>NC_000004.12:158921381-168921381 GCF_000001405.40 Homo sapiens | reverse complement strand
AGGCTGGAGTGCAGTGGCACAATCTCAGCTCACTGCAACCTCTGCCTCCCGGGTTCAAGCGATTCTCCTGTCTCAGCCTCCTGAGTAGCTGGGATTACAGATGCCTGCCACTATGCCAGCCTAATTTTTAGTATTTTCAGTAGAGATAGGGTTTCACTATGTTGGCCGGGCTGGTCTTGAACTCCTGACCTCAGGTGATCCGCCTGCCTCAGCCTCCCAAAGTGCTGGGATTACAAGCATGAGCCATTGCACCGGGCCAAGAGATGGCTTTTAGTATCAGCTCATGTTACTCTTTTGCTTAAAACTTTTGCTTTAAACTTTGGCTTCCTGAGCACTCACCAGCTTACATCTAAACAATTCTTACAGAGCAACCTAGAGAAGACCGAGATGGGATTTAAAAAATTGCTGTCATGGTCTTACCTTGCCCAGGGCTATGGAGATTAATGGGATGATATCAGCACCAGGCTCTGGGCTTCTTTGAAAAAAGATGTCCAACAATAATAACAAATACTCAGCTGGCATTTATATATAGTACTGTAAAGCTTCTCATCAAGGAGCAGCCATAGTTATGGAGAATGCATTCGTCAGCACACAGGGCTGCTATTATTATTTTATAATCCTTGAAACTGAATAACAAGAGCAATACGAAATTACCCAGAAAGCCATCTCAACAAATTACCATCACAATGGAAACATCATAAAATCTTGAGACCTTGACAGTTGTGTGGACCAGAGATCAGATAAAAGCATTTAATTGCTAATAACATGTTGTGCCGCAAAGGGTCAGGATGGTCGCCATCTGCCAGCTTTTTAGTTTTGCCCTTGATTTTGAATGGAAGAAATGCACTGTTAAGGAAGGCCTTTTTACCCCCTACCCCCAACTTTACTAGTACGAAGTTATATACAAAAAGATGTCACTTAGACTGTAAAACAGTTCTTTTGAAGAACTAGCTTTGCCAGCATCAGCCAGAGGACTCACAAATTCCATTCCTGCTACGTGATACTCAACTGATATTACCTGCAAGATGCCTCCCACCACACATGTAGCAAAGGGCTACAGCATTTAAAGTAAACTTAAATGACTGGTTAAAAGGATGAAGAGGTTTTGGAAACAAACAGCAGTAGTTAGGCAGCTTGGCTTCTGAGACACTCAGGCTCTGTGTTCTCCTATCTATCCACTTGCTGTCCCCAGCTCTCCATGTACACTGCCTGACCTGTTTGGAGGTCATCAGAAGTGGTGTGGAGGAAGAGGGAGTGGACATCTTTGGTCAGGCTCCTTGTTGTTCCCACATCTAGAAACAAAGCGGCACTGCTTGTTCCTACTTTACCAGGTTAGATCCTAGATAAGCCATCTACTGACTGAAGCCACAGTATGTTTAGTAGGAGAGATGCCCAAAGCACGCGTACTCTCAAACCACGTGATTCACAGTGAACCTACCCAGTGGATAGTTACTCATGCTAGGGCAAAGAGAATGCCCCTTGTACCTTTTTTCTAACCCCAGTTCTCCTGGCTAAGTAAAGACAGCATGATCTCAGGAGCTGAAGGTCACCACCAGCAGGTCACAATGTAACTAGATCTGTACTCTCAGCACACATGAAAATAGTGATGCTTGTTGCTATGGGAGTGGAATTAGTTATTTTCCTGAAAATTTAGTACCAGTTAAGGATAATCAGTGTCTAGGAATGTTCCTCAGGGGCTAAAAGGGGAGGGGGCTTTTTGGAGGAAAAGCAAGCTGCTGCTTTAGTGTTTGGCTTATCGTCAGGATTTTTTCCCCTTTCAAAGCTTAAATACACTAACTTTTTTTTTTTCCTGATCTATCTGTACATGTGGCAAGGTTTTTCACTTTTTTTTTTTTTTTAAGACAGTCTTGCTCCTTGCCCAGGCTGGAGTGCAGTGGGCACAATCTCAGCTTACTGCAACCTCCGCCTCCCGGGTTCAAGCAATTCTCTTGCCTCAGCCTCCTGAGTAGCTGGGATTACAGGCGCCTGCCACCATGCCTGGCTGATTTTTTTGTATTTTAGTAGAGACGGGGTTTCACCATGTTGGCCAGGCTGGTCTCGGATTCCTGACCTCAGGTGATCCACCTGCCTCGGCCTCCCAAAGTTTTAGGATTACAGGCGTGACCCACGTGCCTGGCCGATTTTTCACATTTTCTTTATCCAGGTCAGATCATCATAGTGAAATCAATAGGCAGTTTACTTTTTGTTTCCAATATTCTTTTAATGGCAGGCGTTTTAAGGACAGTTATGTGCCAGTCCAGTGAAAGACAGTACTGTTATTTCTTTCTTAAATATGATTAAAAATAGAGATAACCAGTATGGTAAGTGTGTATATACCCATCATTTAGTCACTCTCTTATTTTTTATATTTAAAAATAAATTCCAGATTTTATATACCATTACCCCCATATAGCTCAGTATGCATTTCTAAAAACAAGACTTTTCCATAATCACAATTCCATTTTACACGTAAAATTAATAATTCTTTGGTATAATCTAATTATCTATTTAAAATAAAATTTCCCTGGTTAACTCAAAACGTTATTTTACAAGTGGTCTGTATGAATTTTTTTAAGTGTTTTTTAATTGATAAAAATTGTATGTAATTCTGCACATTATTTTGAAATATGTATGTGTTGTGGAATACCTAAACTGAGCTGATTAACATATGTATGACTTCATTTTTTTTTGTAGTAAGAACACTTAAAACCTACTCTTAGCAATTTTCAAGTATATAGTACATCGTTATTAACTATAGTCACCATGTTGTACAACAGATCTCTTGAACTTATTCTTCCTGTCTGAAATTTTATATGCTTTGACTAACATTTCCCCAACTTTCCCTCTCCCCGTCTAGCCCGTGGTAATCACCATTCTATTCTCTACTATGAGTTCAACTTTTTTATATTGCACATATAAGTAAGATCCTGTAGTATTTATCTTTCTGTGCCTGGCCTATTTCACTTAACATTATGTCCTCCAGGTTCATCCATGTTGTCACAATGACAGGATTATAATTTTCCACTGTGTGTGTATGTATGTATATATATATATATCTCATATTTTCTTTATTCATTCATCTGTTGACACTTAGGCTGATCCCGTATCCTGGCTATTATGAATAGTGCTGCAATGAACATGGGAATGCAGATATTGCTACTGATTTCATTTTCTTTTCTTTTTTTTTTTTTGTGGGGGAGACGGGGAGTCTTGTTCTGTTGCCCAGGTTGGAATGCAGTGATGCAACCTCTGCCTCCCAGGTTCAAGTGATTCCCCTGCCTCAGCCCCCTGAGTAGCTGGGACTACAGATGCATGCCACCACACCTGGCTAATTTTAGCATTTTTAGTAGAGATGGGGTTTCACCATGTTGGTCAGGCTGGTCTCAAACTCCTGACCTCGTGATCCGCCCGCCTCAGCCTCCCAAAGTGCTGGGATTACAGGCGTGTGCCACTGTGCCCAGCCTCTGATTTCATTTTCCTCGGATATATAAGCACTAGTAGAATTAACTGGATCATATGGTAGCTGTACTGTATAATTCTTAATTATAGACCAAAAATGAATACACACTCATATATATATAAAATATATACAGACTGAAACACAATTTGTGTATTTATACTGTAAAAAATAAATAATGATCCTAAGAAATAAAATATTTTTGTTATATTTATTCTTTTTATACATTTCTATAATCCCAGATTTACTTTCTGAAGAAACAATGCCCAAATCCTCTAAGCAGCCTATATTTGTGTTCTCATATTCCATACAGAACC
Organism: Homo sapiens; assembly: GCF_000001405.40. NCBI lineage: Eukaryota > Metazoa > Chordata > Mammalia > Primates > Hominidae > Homo > Homo sapiens. Next base: position 168,917,607 of record NC_000004.12, on the reverse strand, counting down.
AGCAGAGGGAGCCCAAATAACTTTTTAAAACCTTATCCATATTTAAGAGTTAAACTAAATTTAAGATCAGTAAACAGGGGGCAAAAAAGAAATCAAACAAAAAATTTTAGAGCAGTGTTTCTTAAATATTTTTTCCCTAAACTCCTTTGAGAAATGGATGAACGTTATCTTACACACATAATTTTGTAGGTAATTTCAGAGTTCAAACACCTAATGAAGCCTGCCTACCCAAGGACCTTGGGTTAAAAAGCCTTGCTGTAGGCCGGGTGTGGTGGCTCATGCCTGTAATCCCAGCACTTTGGAAGGCCGAGGAGGGCGGATCACGAGGTCAGGAGTTTGAGACCAGCCTGGCCAATATGGTGAAACCCCGTCTGTACTAAAGATACAAAAAATTAACTGGGCGTGGTGGTGCGTGCCTGTACTTCCAGCTACTCAGGAGGCAGAGGCAGGAGAATCACTTGAACCTGGGAGGTGGAAGCTGCAGTGAGCTGAGATCACACCACTGCACTCCAGCCTGGGCAACAGAGGGAGACTCCGTCTCAAAAAAAAAAAAAAAAACCCCAAAAAAACAAAAAGCCCTGCTGCAAAACAGATGAAAGAAAGATGTCCCTCTAACTTATCTTAGAATTAGAAAATGGGGGCGGGGCACTGTGGCTCACACCTGTAATCCCAGCACTTTGGGAGGCTGAGGTGGGCGGATCATGAAGTCAGGAGTTTGAGACCAGCCTGACCAACATGGTGAAACCCCATCTCTACTAAAAATACAAAAATTAGCTGGGCCTGGTGGCACATGCCTGTAATCGCAGCTACTCAGGAGGCTGAGGCAGGAGACCCAGGAGGCAGAGGTTGCAGCGAGCCGAGATTGCACCACTGCACTCCAGCCTGGTGACAGAGTGAGACTCTGTCTCAAAAAAAAAAAAAAAGAATTAGAAAATGGGAGGAATAAAAGTCAGAGTAGATATATGGATACAAAATTTGTATGAAAAAAGAATGAAGACATGGTAGATTTATCATATTTATTATTTCAACATTTAAAGGGATAAATAAAACCTCCTGATGACTTTCTAGAGTAATGTCATGTAGGGTTCTGAGTAAAGAACATATTTAATTTAGATTTAAAGAATCATAGTAAACAATATATAAATATCCGACGTATTTCACTTTTTCCCCCCCTTAAGCTAGAATCATTTCATTTTTTGAGACAGGGTCTTGCTCTGTCACCCAGGCTGGAATTCAGTGGCTCGATCATAGCTCACATAGCTTCAGCTCCTAGGCTCAAGCAGTCCTTCCAACTCAGCCTCCCAAGTAGATGGGACTATAGGCACACGCCACCACGCCTGGCTAACTTTTGTATTTTTGGTAGAGATGGGTTTCTCCATATTACCCAGGCTGGTCTTGAACTCCTGGGATCAAGCGATCTGCCCGGCTTTGGACTCTAAAGTGCTGGGATTATAGGTGTGAGCCACTGTGCCCAGCTCTCATTTTATACTTTATGTAATTTCCCCAAAAGGAACTATAGAGAAATGGCAAGTGAGGGAGAAGTGGGGCAATAGGATATGCAAGCAATAACAAAATCTTACTTTGCAGTCCATTCTGCAGAGTTTTCCTTCTTGAACAGTCAGATCTCCAGGAGCCTGCAAGAAGTGAGGTCTGAAGAATCGCTCCTGAATTGGTTCATTTTCGTCTCCACTGTCCCTTGATCTAGAACGAGGCCTTGAAACAAGAAAGATGACAGATAGATAGAAATATAGATAGTAGTTACTTCCAGACTTTTAGTCATCTGTTTTCTTAAAATACATGGGGTAATAATATGATTTCCTTATCTGATCCCTACAGCTAAGATTTACACATTAAAAAATCAGAAAAGCAAACTCTTGTTTAGTTTGGAAGTTTACTATAAATTTAATTGTCTGCCAATTGCAGGCTACTATAAATCATAAAAGGGGAAATGGAAAAAAATGGGGTATTACATATTAACATATTTTTCCTAAATATTTTTAAATATTTATGAAAAGTAGCATTATTGCTCATTTATTACCAAATCTTTTTCAACAGAAGTTACTAGAACTTTACACTGTGATTTTTAAATTTGTAGGAAATTAAAAGTTCTGATAAAAATTCAATATATTTTTAATTAAAATTCCTTTTCATATTAAGCAGGAAAACAAATTACATTTTTAGGCAAGTTTTCTTTTGCATTAGTTATCCATATGCCTAGAGGCATTATTTTTTGCTTTAAAAAATGAGATTGTACAAATCTCCCAGATTCTGTGCATCTCTGTCACTTTTAAAGGTTGCCAGAGAAACCTTTAAGAGGAATACAGTTGAAAGTAATCGCAGGGAAGACTTAAAAGATGTTGAATACAAATTCTGTCAGTAGTGACTAGAAGATAAGTTTAAAAACACTTAACTAGGAAAAGCAAGAGTGGAACAAATGAAAGAAGCATACTAGGCTAATAATTATTAGCTTTTTAATATAGTTTACCCTTCTCTAAGTATAGATCTAATTTATGGGAAAAAAAGCTTTCCAGGACCCACTGATATAAGGAAAGGCTTAAAAATGTGTTGCAGACAACAAGAGAAGCAAAGAGAATAATGCAAGACAATGGACCTAATCCTGTATATGCTATGTTTATACCCAAAGATACAGGCTAGCATCCTGTGAATAGGTATTGCCATGATGAAGTTAGAATTAAATCTACACATGCTCTGGTGCCAGAACTGTCTTCCAAATGTTGAACAAAAGTCTGTGTGGATGCAGTCACACACCACTTGTTTGATGTTTACTCAGTTTTCCTGCCTACTCTCTGTGAGCTAACTATGTATTCTCTTCACTAAAGGAGTTTGCACCTATGGCCTGTAATTTAGACTCAGGACTATTTGAGGATATTCTGTCTATAAAATATCTAAACAGGCCAAGTTGACAGGATGGTTGACTTACTGAATTTTTTTTAAGTGCAAATGTGTTACTAAGAAGTAATAATCCTTTCTCTATCTCTGCCTACCATTGTTCCATCAGTGTCCTTGCATAGACTCAGAACTACTAGGAATGGAAAGCATCTCTATTGCTAGCAGATATCTGAGTATTTAAAATGTGACAGATCTTACCTACAAGATTTGTAGTCTAATGGTCTTATGTTTTGAACTAAGTGGCTGAAAAATGAACATTAACAAATGAGCTGATTTTAAGAAACCCAGTGGTAATAGCTTTTAATGTGTGCGTCCACTCACACAGCTGTTGGTTACAGAAGTTTGGTTTCCAACATTTGTGTACCATTTAGTAGTATTTTCATATGCCATTTAAAAGTGCTGAGTCTTGATTTATTTGTCTATAAAATATGTCTTATTTAACAAACTAATAGTATATGTGAATGGGCTTAGCACACATTAGCGAATGTTTGTTCCCATTCCCTTTCTGCATCACAAGGGAGCATAATAATCAAGGAGCCACAGGCTTCAGGTTTGCATTCCTATTCTATCTTCCAGTTATGTTTACTTTTGTGGTCATATGATGATTCTAATAGTACTACATTTATAGTAATAAATAAAATAATGTAACACTTCTGGGAAGGAACATGTTAAATACCTTCTGACATGAGGATGGCCTGAGGGAGACCGGGGACTTCGACCTCTTTGGTTGACAGCCTGTACCATTAGCCGTCCAGTACAACTGATGCGGCCCTGTAGAAATATCAGGAAATAAATGATTTGCTATTTAAAACTATTAACCACTAAGCACTATCATGCCTACTGTCCTATTCTCTATAAGACATTATTTCATAAAAAATTCAGTATGCCATTTGAGTAATGACTAACCCTTTTCAGAAAAACACTTTCCCTGTGAGTTAAGTGCCTCAGTAAAACTATTTTTACTTGAAGAACTTGAAGGTGACAAGGTCTTTTTTTGGAACTCTTAAATAAGCTTTACTGTTTTATCTAGGATGGTATTTAAAATGACAACCCTTGATTAATTGTAACCTGCAAAGGTCTCCGTAACACATGATGTTGAATTGTAAAATATAGCAGGAGGACATCAGTCTCTTGTGAAGATTCCATTTTCATGGTCATCTACCAGCTGTAGCCAATTCTGAAATCAAACCTAGATGATTTCAGTTTTCTCTTTTTAGTAATATACTAATTATAGTAATATACTAATTAAATGTTAGTGGCTGGCCGGGCACGATGGCTCATGCCTGTAATGCCAGCACTTTGGGAGGCTGACGCAGGTGGATCACGAGGTCAGGAGTTCGAGCCCAGCCTGGCCAATATGGTGAAACCCCGTCTCTACTAAAAAAATACAAAAATTAGCCGGGCGTGGTGGCATGCACCTATAGTCCCAGCTACTTGGGAGGCTGAGGCAGAAGAATCTATTGAACCCGGGAGGCGGAGGTTGCAGTGAGCTGAGATGGTGCCACTGCACTCCAGCCTGGGTGACAGAGCAAGACTCTGTCTCAAAAAAAAAAAAAAAAAAGTTAGTGGCATCCCTTCCCCAAACCATACATTAAAATGAGCATGATAAAATGAGTGTTATGTAAGAAGTATGCGTGGGATGATAAGGAGAGCTTCATGACTAAATGAAGCCATGTTCTCATGAAATGAACATATTTGAGATTTAAAAACTAGAAGCAGTTAAATACCTAAAATATGTGGGTCATATGATAAGGGCCTATGTAATTAAAAAAACCTATATTTTGTTCTCTTAAATTTGTCAATTGAAATTTTGACGGGGTGGTGGGGTCGGGGAGATAGCCAGAAGTTGGTTAATGGATACAAAATTACAGCTACATAGGAGGAAAAAGTTTTAGTGTTTCACAGCACTGTAGGATAACAATAATTTATTGTGTATTTTCATATAGCTGGAAGAGTGGATTTTGAGTATTTCCAACACAAATGATAAGTGAGGTGACAGATATGCTAATTACCATGATTTGAACATTATACGTTGTATACATGCTTTGAAATATCACACTGTACCTCATAAATATGTATAATCATTGTGTCAACTAAAAATAATAAAAGCAAAAAAAGAGTTTGATAAACGCTGTCATATGTGAACAGACAAGTAATACTCAGGGCACCCAGATGACATGGATAAGCCACACATTGTTACTTTGGTTTTTGTTTCAGCCCTTTCTCTTAATTTGTTTTTTTCACTGTTACCAGCAGAGTAGCAAAAAAGATGATTTTTCTCCTTCACTCTCTCAGAAGAATGAGAAGATGTGCTTCTAAATTGTGATGACTGCCAAAGGTAACAGCAAGAGAGGAAAAACAAGAAGCAGATGTACCATCAATGATTAGACTTAGTGAGTTCTAGCTCAGAGTTGATGAGAAGCCCTCATGCACTTACACTCAGAATAAAATTCTCCCATTGGCTGTCATTTTTATTGCAAGCTGCCTATAGAGACAGGTAACAGAAGCTGCAGTGTTCTGTGTGTTTTGAAGAACTGCTTTCCAACTGTGAGTAGACTGGAGTGGGGGTCAGGGTGAGGGCACTAGTGGAGGGAATGCAGAGAAAAATCCCATAGCAAGATTCACTGAAGGGCAGGACTCTAACTGGGGGGGTTCTCTAGGTCTCCTAAAACCTGGACTTCTTTAGGGCTATAACCACCCAGAAAAGGCAAAGACACATAGGAATGTAATACAGACAGGAGAAGAATGAGGAATTACCAAAGAGAGGTCATCACAAAGAAACAAACATAACTAGTTTTATACCACTACATATGTGACTCCGTCTGGCATTCACGGTGTTTGCTATTGAGGTCATAGTTAAAACACTGTGTTTCCTGAAAATTTCCAAGGAGACATGAAGTCTAACATTATGAAGGAGAATTATTTCTAGCTCAGATTAACTGTACCTGAAGCACAGGCCACTTGATACAGATTCTTATGCTAAACTCTTGGCAAACATTTGGGATTCCCTAAACTAGCCTGAAATCTAAAAATTAATTTCATCCAAGTTCTCCAGATCTGTACTTGCTGTAGAAAATCTAGATGTAACTTGCTTAGAAGACCTCCATCATGAACTATCCAACTGATGCATCATACAAGATAACACATGAACACTTAAAATTAATGATTCTTTTTGGAGGTTGAGGACAAGGAAGTGTGTGTATTGTTTTACACAAATAGCTTCCAATTGTCCTGATGTGGGATATGGCTTCCTTATTATGTGCTTTGCGGCTTCCATGATGAAATGCTTATAATTTGGATATATCCTTCCTTGTGATATGAAGCTCAGAAGATCCATGGTAAGTTAAAATGAACTAATCATTTATGCGGTTAGAAAAAGATATAATGTAAGTTAAATTCAGACTTAAACTTGAATTTGGAAAAGGAGGTATGGGTTGTTACAAACAGTCAAACAAACACACCTCACTAACCTGGATTTGAGTGCTGACTTTTCCTAAAACTTTGAGCAAATCACTGAATTTGTTCAAGCCTTTGTTTCTTTTTCTGTACAAATAGGGATGCTACATATATCTCTCACAAGGATGTTTTAAGGGTTAAATGATGTAACCTAAATGCTCTCATAAATATCAAATGGTATGTGACATCATAAATTATCATTATTAAATTCCTCATAGCTGGTACTGTGTTATCATGGGTCTGAGACATTATGCATGGACATGCATCAAGATGGTTTTTAGGAGCCCCAGCAGCTTGGCGGACCCCAGCAAGAATTTCCATGTGAATATACTTTACATGAGGTATATGCTTACCTCCTTCTAAAATTCTTTCATATTTAACCACTATCTCCCCTGCCACTTAGTGCTCTTAATCCTGGAATGAGCCTTAAATACCTTCGTATTGCATTCAGTAGCTCTGGAATCAGTCTAAGTTTGTAAACCAGTTCTGCTGTCCCTTACAGGTGAGTGACTTTAGGCAGGTAACTTAATCTTTCTAAGTTTCCTTCTCTGTAAAACAAGGCCATATAGTTAATACCTAATGGGTTCTTATGAAGATTAAAGGCATTAATACTTGTAAAGCACCGGGCAGCATTGTGTTTTGCATGAAGCCAATGCTCAAAATGTTAAATTATTGTAGCACTCACTATGGATATAATTATAATAACCAGTTTTGAGGCATCCTTTAGAATTGTTTATGTAATGGAATTTTATTTTTCTTGGTATTAGAATGTAATTTACTCCAAAGGAAAAACAAAATACCTTTGGCACAGGAGGCAGACTATGTGGGAAGCAGATTAACCTTTTTAACTTCTGCTGGTGCTTGAAAGGTGCTAAGCACAATCATACTGAAATGTACTTGTTAGTGTGATGGCTGCATTTGATGTGGAGGAGGAAAAATATGCCCTATTCAGCTCTAAACAGATCCTTGATATGCTTAGCCTGCCTCTTCCTCCCCTCTCAAAAAAAAAAAAAAAAAAAAAGTAAACAGGTTGGCATACTACTCTGGAAAGGTCACACATTTCTACACTGTTTTCAGGGTTTTTGCTGCTACTGCTTAGAACCATATATACAAATATTGCCACAGAATATTTCCTTAACTTCCCAAATTTAAGAAAAAGGAATAGTTATCATTTGTAATCTCTCTATTCTGATACCAACCTGCACTTCTGAACATGAAAGGGGAAGGTGTGGTCTTCAGGAGGCAGAATTATTAGTTTGATTTATACAGTGTTATTGGCTAAATATATTACTAACCAATACATAACCAGGAGCATTTAGAGAGCATCCAAACTAAGAAGTTGTATAATTTTGTCATTTTTGTTTGGGGGAAAAAACCCCCAGAGTTCAGTGAAGCTTTTTTGAAAAGATGCCTTCCATGTGCATAATAGAAAATTCAGGTTTTTAAGTCTGAACATACTATTTTTGACAAAGGTCATATAGAATTAGCAATAAGTGATTTTAATAATAATATGCCTATTAACCCTGGTAATCATAGTTAGTAGGCTCTGATGCACATTAATGCTGCTGCATTTGCTTTTATTAATTTTCTCATTTCTATCTGCTTTACTATGAACATAAGAATAATGGAAGGGAATGTTTAGAGTGAAGCTTGAAATGAGCCAGGAAACCTTATAATGCTAAAACAAAACACAAGCAACAAACTAACATTTTATATTTAACTCAGTTGTGTGTTACTTTTCCATTCCAAACAAATCCACAGAGTTTAAAGCTTATATTACAAATAAGTTTGAATTCTAAAAGTGATTCTGTATTAAACATCCAGCTTGTAAAGATTATTTCATACCTTGTGCAAGGCCAATTATTTATGTAATATGGAAATAACATTTATATTTCATAGTTTATGAAATTTAACTTGTGGCACACAGGTCTTCATAAAAGCTTGCCACTTGTATACATAATGCAGTTTGAGGAAACATCAGACTGCAAAATAGCCATTCCAAAATCCAAGTGCAATACAAAGTAACTTAGCAACACAACAAAACAAAGTAAAACATTCGTGTTTAGATGTCGTTGTTCTTAAAGATAGGATTAGAGTCTAAAATAAACTGTATTTGTGATCCTCATTTTGGCATTCTCTTTGGTGTAACTGCACAGTCACTCATTATTTTGCTAAACTATGTGATTGCTTTGGTCTCTTATGAATTGCTTGAGCTACACACATCGAGTGTGATACACAGCCCAGTATATGTTTAGAGCTGTGTGTTCTATCCCAAGTAGAATTTGGATGCAGTCAACAATATCTAATGTTTTTCTTATTCCCAAAAGATTAACCCAGGTGGAAAAATATCATATTCTATAAAATATTCTGCTGAACTTTAATATTTTCCTCCCTCCTTGGTTCTCACCCTTCTCTTGGCTGCTTTCTGTAATTATTTTCCACTGCTCAGGAGAGCTCTACCGTCTGTGTTTCATTACTGAACTAATTTTTCCACTCTAGTCTTCCTCTTTTCCTTGGTTATTTCATTTCATCTGGGCTACAGTGTACTAGAAAACATACATGTATTCTCCCTTTCAAACCCAAATACTTTTTTTTCTAAACTCAAATAACTTTAAAATTTCAAAATTTAAGGTAACTAAAGGGCATTAAGGAAGTAAGGAGTCAACTTCAGTTTTCTGTCAACTACACTTTATGCTTTTGGGATTACTATATCTTGAAAGATTTAGCTATTTTGAATTTTTTTTTCACCACCTTTTATGACATGACTATTTAAACTCATGTCTTAATTCATAAATTATAAGAAAAAAGTTTTAATATACGGTAATAGATGTTGTAAAGCTGAGATTCTAAGAGCATTAAACATTTCCAGAATGGCATCCTTACAGCAACAAATGGTAACTTATGCCAAGAGTTAGGTAGAAAAATGGTGTGTCACTGGTCATGGTTTAAATGCCACTTTGTTTTGCTAATGGATAGTGAAGTTCACTCCAATTTTTAAGTGATGACTCACAGAACTTATATCTGCCATATTTGGACATACCAGTTACTGAAGCCCCCAAGACAGAAAAGAAGGGGTTTTACTCTTGGAATTAAAATCAACTAGGCAACATGCTCAGAAACTTGGAACAAATACTACTACTGCTAAGTGGCATAAATATCAAAATTCTCTCACAGCAATTTCAGTGGGATATATACATTTACACACTGAGGCCTAGACTTCATGAGTTTCCCTTCCTTTTGCCTGTCTTGGGTTATTTAGGTAAAGAAGACTCTTAGCCCTACCCCTTAAGATGCTGGGAGTGTCAACTGATCTTTGGAGTTGGTTGGAATACTATAATAGGTAGTGTTAGAAACTGGTCTGTTTACTGTGATGCTCTGGGTTCTTTGAATCTTTTTTTTTTCTCCTTTTGATAGACCCAGAGTAGTTATTTTACCCTTGGCTGAAATCACAGGTTGGATAGGATATTCTATTAGGAGGGCTGTTCTTGGTCCACTTCTCATTGCTTTGTCTTCTCTCCAAAGGGTAGAGCAAAGAACCAGAGAGGGTTAACCATGGGGCTCAGCCTGGGATTTGCAAAGCAGAGAATTCTGGGGCCTGGAATAAGGGCAGTAACCACTCTCTTTTGGGGCTTCTCTTGGCCCTGAGGGTGCTGAGAGTAGAGAGCAGCTTCCCAGCTTCATGTGTGGCTGATGTCAGCTGTGCTATGGGTGTGGCCGTCCTCTAGCTCACAGCTCCTCCACCCAAGCCCACAGCTGTGGCAGTTGTGGCACAGCCACATCTGCTGCCTAAGTCCTTTCCCATGGAGGTGATAAAATGGAAAAGCCAGGAGGTCAGAAGACCACACAGCAACAACATACTGGGTAGAAATTCCATCCCAAATTGACTTGCTTACTTTCTGACAGTACTGTGGGAACGGAGTACCTAGACACAGAACTGATCCTTTACATCTGGTTCCACAGGCTTCTGTTGTAGGCCTGTTGCTTTAAGATGGGGTAGTTACTGTCTCTGAATTAAAATAATGACAGTAACTAGCATTTATTGAAAGCATAGTATGTGCCAGGTAAACTGAATGCTTTTTACATGTACTATTTAAATCTGTATTATTATTATTATTATTATCATCCTCATTTTACGAGGGAGGAAACAGGCACAGAGAAGTTAAGTGACTTGCTAAGGTCACACAGGTAGTGAGTGGCAGAGCTAGAATTCCAGCTGAGATTGCCTGATGCCAAAGTTCATGCTCATAACCCCTGTACTGCATGGCCTGCCGGCCTCATCCTAGGTTTTTTCAGTATCATCGGTGTTGCCCTACAATCTTGGTATTTGTAGTAACATTTCTTTTTTATTTCCTTCCTTTCCTTTTTTTCCTATGTTAACAAGGGTTTCTTTTTTTTGGCATTATATATTGGGCTTTGGGTAAGATTACATTTATTTTCTAAAAATTTATTTTTGGCTAATGGCAGTGGCTCACGCTTGTAATTCCAGTGCTTTGGGAGGCTGAGATGGGAGGACTGCTTGAGCCCAAGAGTTCTAAGCTGCAGTGAGCCATGATTATGCCACTGTACTCCAGCCTGGGTGACTGAGGAAGACCTTGTCTCTAAATGAATAAACAAAAATTTCTTTTTTATTCTAATTGATAAATTATAATTGTATATATTTGTGGGGTACAATGTGATATTATATGTATGTAATATGGAATGATCCAAGGGAGATTTTCAGCAGCTCACCTTCATCTAGTGACTTCATAATAATTTGTCAAGAGAGTTTAAATGACTGGAGACTACTGACCCCCAAGGCTGGCCTGCTGTCTTAAACTCTGCACACTGCCATTGGCCATGAGCACTGAGTCAGTCCTTCCTCACTGAGAACTTTTCCACATGTAAAAATGCATTATTATAATTTGAGGAAGACACTAAGCGGACTCACAATTGCAGTTTTACGTTTATGTTCTTTTGTTCTATAAAATGGCTTATTCCAATAACAATTTAAAACATGCTAAGAAAAATGTCTTGAAATTAATAGCAGGTTCCCAGTGTTGGCAAATACGTAAGGACCACAGATAATTCCATCCCATAATATACCCCAGCCTTTCTAGGGCAAAAGAGGAATAAATGACCCAACACGAAGAAAAATTTTGGATTTTGTCAGTTCTCCACCATTTTCTTAAACAGGCAGAAAACTAAACTAAAAGCTAGAATTTGTTAATGTCAAGGAAATGCACTGAAAATATAATAAGGAAAAAAGAGGCCGAGGCAGGTGGATCACCTGAGGTGAAACCCCGTCTCTATTAAAAATACAAAAAATTAGCTGAGCGTGGTGGTGCTGAGGCAGAAGAATTGCTTGAACCCAGGAGGTGGAGACTGCAGTGGGCTAAGATCATGCCACTGCACTCCAGCCTGGGCAACAGAGCAAGATTCCGTCTCAAAAAAGAAAAAAAAAAAAAAAAAAAAGAAAAAAAAGCAAGTTCCGCTTTTGTTTCTTCATATATATCAAATATGAACACAAACATTAAAATGCAACTTCTTAATAGTGATTTAGACTTTTTCAGGGTGATGGTCATGTATTCATTGATTAAAACATTTAGAACTTTAAGAATGTGCATTAATATAGAAGCTTTTCATTAACAGTGAAGAGTTTGCTGTGCTCTATCACAACCTGATTAGCTGGATAATCTGTTTTCATTCTGATCTTAATATTATTGCAGAAAAATATATTTATATGACCATGGAATATTAGAATATAATAAACCTTGAATAAACTTTATTTATTTATTTATTTAGAAACAGAGTCTCAGGCCGGGTGCAGTGCCTCACACCTGTAATGCTAACACTTTGGGAGGCCGAGGCGGGCGGATCACGAGGTCAGGAGATCGAGACCATCCTGGCTAACATGGTGAAACCCCATCTCTACTAAAAATAAAAAAAAATTAGCCGGGCATGGTGGGTGCCTGTAGTCCCAGCTACTAGGGAGGCTGAGGCAGGAGAATGGTGTGAACGCAGGAGGCGGAGCTTGCAGTGAGCCGAGATCGCGCCACTGCATTCCAGCCTGGGCGACAGAGTGAGATTCCATCTCAAAAAAAAAAAAAAAAAAAAAAAAAAAAAACCAACAAAACAAAAAACAAAGTCTCACTCTGTCAACCAGGCTGGAGTGCAGTGGTGCAGTCTTGGCTCACTGAAACCTCCGCATCCCAGGTTCAAGTGATTCTCATGCTTCAACCTCCTGAGTAGCTGGGATTACAGGTGCCTACCACCACACCTGGCTAATTTTTGTATTTTTAGTAGAGACAGGGTTTCGCCATGTTGGCCAGGCTGGTCTCAAACTCCGGGGCTGAGGCAATCCACCTGCCTCAGCCTCCCAAAGTGCTGGGACTACAGATGTGAGCCACTGCACCTGGGCCAGAAACTTTAATTAAAAGTTTGTAGTGTCATTAAAATTATTTATATAGTTTCTAATGCTAAATATTTTCTTCAAAAGAAATAATATGGAATGATATAAGTAGATCAGAGATTCTAAAAAGATGACTTCTAGAGAAAACTGCTCATTTTACCATGCCTTTTTTTTTCTTTTTAAAAGTGTGTTATTTATACTACTTTTGCAGACTTTAGTAAAACTACCTGTCATACATTGAGCTCTTAAGGTACAAAATAACTTTTTACTCATTTTTGTATCCCCTATATCCAGCATAGTGACTAAAATGTATAACATAATAAAAAAGAATTTGCAGGCTCGAACTGGCAACATGATACCCAGCAGCCTCCTATTAAATTCTAAGAAGGCAACTGATTTTTTGACCCTAAGTCTAAAGGCAAATACAAGAGAAAACATTTTGATGAAAACTGATAAACCTGAATGCTATCAAAATTATCATTTGTCTACATTTGCACATTAAATCCCACTGATGTGTTTCTTTTAAAATATTTTACTTTGTTGAGTTTTTCTTATACAGCCTATGCATGCCACTCACTCTTTTTCTCCTTTATTTTCTTCATGTAATCCTACCTGAAGTTATATTATTTGTTAATTGCTTATTTTTTACCATAGGACTTTGTCCAGTCTACCACTGCAACCCCATCACCCACATAGAAAGTGTGTACATATTAGACCCTTAATAATATTTGTGGAAGGAGTAGAATAACACCTGATGGAATAAATAAGTATTCATGAAACAAAGAATTTTTCTATCCTCTGAAACCAAGATGGATGTAGAATTTGGAAAAATAGTTTCATAAATCAAAGAAACTTCTTAACTTCACCTTTTAAATAGTTCCTTTGTCTAATCAAATGCCTGTAAGCACTAGACACAGAACTGAGCCCAGACCTATACCCTTCTTTACCTGAGGGTTTGCAGCCATAATTGTATAATTCCCATCATCATCTAGGGTGGAGGCTGTGGTATGGAGGGAGCAGGTCCCATCGAGATCTCTTTGAATGGTGTAGTGATCACTCTTTGGAGAGATCTGCTTCCCATCTTTAAACCAATAGATCTGTGAATAGAAACAAAGATTAAAGATTAGGAGTTTGTGTATTCCTACTCTATTTGGAGAACTGAAAATAGTAACAGTGTGGTTTGCAGAGCTGATCTGAGTTTTCATGTTAAAATGTTAAACCAAATACCTGACTAAGGAATTGATTTTTCACTGAAAAAAGGCAGGTAACAATTTAAATTCTATTTGAGTTTTTAAATTATATATCTTCCTTTTGTTTTTAAAAATATTGCACTTACATTCATATATTATTTATATGAAGGGATATATTGAATTTTGGCAATGATTATTTCTATGAAGTGGCATTACTTCATGGCATTCATAGAATGCCATTATTTCTATGAAGTGGCCTTCTATGAAGGCCATTTTTCTTTTTTCAAATGTACCAGCAATTAAAATGTATTGTTTATAAAATAAAGGTAAAAAGGTTGTTTTGGAGAACAAAAGCAGACCCCAAACTCTAATCATTTCACTGAATTGTGTTTGACAAATAAAAGAGGTTGGTAGGGAGGGAGGTGATGACTAAGGGTTGGTGATGGGTGGAATACTACTGCTTTATTTCTGGGCCAGGAAGCATATGATCAAAGGTTAAATGTTTGTCACCTATCCCCATTATGTTAAAGAAAACACAGTAGTATTGAAAAGTATAATAATTTTCAGATATGTAACTTGGGTTGATAAAAAATTAAATGTGGGCCAGGTACAGTGGCTCATGCCTACCTATAATCCCAGCACTTTGGGAGGCTGAGGAGGATTGCTCAAGCCCAGGAATTCAAGACCAGCCTGGGCAACATAGTAAGACCCAAAAAATAAAAAAATTATCTGGGTGTGGTGGTGCATGTCTATAGCCCTAGCTATTTGGAAGGCTGAGTCAGGAGGATTGCTTGAGCCCAGGAGGTTGAGGCTGTAGTGAGCCATGATCATGCCATTGCACTCCAGCCTAGGTGACTGAGGCCCTGTCTCAAAAGAAACAATGTAAAAAATAAAAGTAAATTTTGATTAAATACAATATTTTTAAGTAGTCCAAAGGGTCCTCCTTCCTTCCCTCACTTTTAAACAAAACCAGTTGTCCATGGATGTCCGAGTTCTAAGGTTTTGTTTTGTTTTGGAGACAGGGTCTCGCTCCGTTGCCCAGGCTGGAGTGCAGAGTGCGGTGGTGCAGTCTTGGCTCACTGTAACCTCCGCCTCCCAGGTTCAAACAATTCTCGTGCCTCAGCCTCCAGAGTAGCTGGGATTACAAGTGTGAGCCACCATGCCTGGCTAAGTTCATTATTATTTTCGATTTAAGTTATGAACAACACAGTTGAAAGATAGGCCCATCATAATGAATCACAGTGCCAACAGCCCTAACATGGCTGAGATGCTGAATTAATAGCTACATCACCCCACCTGCAGACTTACTAGATAAGCAAATAAACCTTTCCTTTTTTAAGCCACAGCAAGTTATTTGTTGTCATTTTTTGTTCCTTGCAGCCAAAAGTATTCCTGATTCCTAACAAAACAAATATACTTTAGACCCTTTAGTTGTTAAAACAAACTTCTTCCTTAATATAAATCAGTATGTAAATTGGTAACATAAACTGACATTCAAATTCAACTGTCTGTCAAAGTATTTGAATCTGAAAAATCTTTTTGAAACCTGCATTCTAAGAAAGGAAAAGACCAGAAATATATAGCACTAAATAAATGGATGAATTATCAGGATATGACTGCTCTAACTTTTCAAACTCGTATTTTTCAGGTAGCTCCAAATTTACAGAAACTATATTACGTATTAAACTCTAGAATCTAAAAAGTAATCACCAACTAGACTAATAACTTTGAGTTGTAAAACTTAAATTATGTAAAGTATCATACTTCATAATTATTTTACTTTTTAGTAGTTGACTTTCTTTTTTTAGATGAGTCTAGCTCTGTCCCCCAGGCTAGAGAGTGCAGTGGTGTGATCTTGGCTCACTGCAATTTCTGCCTCCCGGGTTCAAGTGAATCTCTTGCCTCAGCCTCCTGAGTAGCTGGGATTACAGGTGTGCGCCTCCATGCTCAGCTAATGTTTGTATTTTTAGTAGAGATGGGGTTTCACAATATTGGCCAGGCTGTTCTTAAACTCCTGACCTCAAGAGATCTGCCTGCCTCAGCCTCCCAAAGTGCTGGGATTCCAGGTGTGAGCCACTGTGCCTGGCTATGGTTGACTATTTCTGATGGAAAAAAGAAGCTGTAATAAGTATACAATTTCTTCCCTTTTGCATTCTTGCCACAATGCCAGTTCTTGAGTTATTTCTTTAATCATATTTTTCACCTCCATTATACTTGGCATACAACTTTCAAATAAGATCTAAGAAATATTTCCAAAATTTTACCAAGCGTACTAATGGAGGGAGAAATTCGGGAGGGCACAAGCACGAGAACAGGGTAAATCAGAAATTATTTTCAGTCTTCCTATGGCTCAACTAGAACAAGCATGTCAAGGGAGGAATAAAATATTTTTAAAACATAAGCCTAAAAAAACATGTATTTCTTTAAACATGAATATTCCATACTTTAACAATCCTAATGTAATTTATATGGCATATGCCAAAGTAGACCTTTAATAAATGAGAGAGGGAAGAAAACAATGAGAAGGAGAATGAAGGTTGAGGGAGAGGAAGGAGGGATGAAAGAATAACATTTAACAATGAAAAGTTTAAACAATTAAGTCCCTTCTAGCTGTGAAACATTTAAATTTATATTAGGAAAAAAGTACAGTCATATTAAAAACAAAAGCCCATCTTTCATGTTAATGTAGTATTCTATAAGAATCAATAATCTTAGAATTTGATCAGTGATCTTAAGCCTTGTGTAAGGTTTGAAAGTAATATGGAATCTTCTTGTGAATATCTTGGAAGTTCAAGATATAATTCCTTATTGAATTTCGTTCATAAACTACAAATTTATTTTTAATACATGCGTTTGATAACATGTTGTGAATACACAGTTGTTAATGCAGATTATGCCAAGAATATTGTAAAAAGTTTTCTATAACAATGGAGTTTATTTTAAAAATCCCATTTTATTAGGAAGTATATAGGGTTTGAAAATTCAAGGCTCTTTTCTTTGATCTTTGACTTTGGCGTTGCGATTCAGTTTTAAGAAAAGAACATGATGGTAAAACTTGCCATGGTGGGAAAACAAAACAATGCCATGGAGCTATAGGAAATTAACACCTAAAAGTGTCAGGTATTTTTTTATCACTTTTCCCTCTTTCATTTTATGCCACTATTAAGCTTTTTATTTCATTGAGTACATTGCTCTATGCTTATTTTATAAATTTGTATTTTTTGGTACTATCTTGTTCTTTCATTATAGTTTCCATTCTTTTTAAAATTGTTTCAATCTTTTTAAAGTTATTTTAGAGGTTACTTAAGATTGTTCAATATTGTGCAATACTTGGCCTTCTGTTTTTCTGTTTCTTGTACTATGACTCTTAATATGGTTTGGATGTCTGTCCCCTCCAAATCTCATGCTGAAATGGGACTCCCAGTGTTGGAGGTGGGGCCTGGCGGGAGGTGACGGGATCATGGGGTGGATCCCTCATGAATGGTTTAGCACCATCCCCTTGGTGGTAAGTGAGTTCTTGCTCAATTAGTTCACATGAGATCTGGTTGTTTAAAAGTCTGGGACCTCCACCACTTCTCTCTGTTGCTCCTACTCTTGCTGTGTGATTCACCTTTTTCGCCTTCGCCTTCACCATGATTGTAAGCTTCCTGAGGCCGCACCAGGAGAAGATTCTGGTACTACACTTCTGTATACCATGCAGAACTGTGAGCCAGTAAAGCCTATTTTCTTTTCTTTTTTTTTTTTTTGAGACGGAGTCTCACTGTTGTTGCCCTGAGCTGGAGTGCAATGGCGCGATCTTGGTCACTGCAACCTCCACCTCCTGGGTTCCAGCAATTCTCCTGCCTCAGCCTCCCAAGTAGCTGAGATTACAGGCGCCCACCACCATGCCCAGCTAATTTTTGTATTTTTAGTAGAGATGGGGTTTCACCATGTTGGCCAGGCTGGTCTCGAACTCCTGAGCTCAGGTGATCCACCCATCTCGGCCTCGCAAAATGCTGGGATTACAGGCGTGAGCCACCATGCTTGGCCAATAAAACCTATTTTCTTTATAAATTACCCAGTCTCAGGAATCCCTTTATGCAAAAACGGCCTAACACAACTCTCCTCATGGTTATTTCTTCACATATTATTACCTTTATATAAGGCAACTTTTTGCTTGCTTCTAAGAATTTTAATCATCCAGCACTAAATTTCACATTTCTCAGCTTTTGGCTCCCTATCATGTGATAGTGTAGTTTAGGGGTTTTAATTTTTTCCCTTTTTTTTATTCTTTTCACTCAAGCTCTAGGGAAAAGTGTACTCCTGTTTACTGCCTTGCTGGGCTAGTAAACAGTTATTCTAGTCCTTCCTTTAAAGATAGGGCAGCTCCTTATCCAGCATTTCCATATGTTTGTATGGAGAGAGCTCCCATCCAGGTCATCCTAGTCCTGCATGGTATCAGAATTTGTCATTATCCGTTCTAAACAATATTCTTCACCCCACCTCCCTCTGTAAATATTAATATAAGCAGCCTTGGTTTTTTGATTAAAGATTGGAAGTTTTTACAACCAGTGGTGAGCATTACTTGTCTGTATGGTACAGAGCACTGGGTTCATATGCAGGCCTGGCCACTCACCAGCTCTCTGACCTTGGAAACTCACTTCACAGAACTCAGTTTAGTTATTTGTGATTTGGGAATAACAACGAGGAATAAATGATATAGGTGTGTGAAGAGCTCCCTGTTAGTTATTCTCTATTCTTCAAACCCAAACTCCACTCCCCCCACCACCTTTTTTGGTTTCTAATGCCTCCTGAAGATGGCCCAGAACTTAAGAATATTTAAAACCCTTTATATCGTGGGTATTGAGAAAGATCATTTGTATCTCTTTCTCCTACTGGCATGCTATGTTTTGGAAGCTAAACCTTTCCTCAGAGAATGACTCTTAAAAAGCCTCCATCTCCCAGCTCACCTTTGGCTTTGGATTTCCAGCCACTCTACATGTGAAAGTTACTGGCATTCCCTCAAAGATCTTGTAATGTTTCAGCTTCATCTCAAAGAATGGTGCCATTCCATTTTCCACAGGCACATCTCCATACTGAACTTCATCACCTGATTCATCCACAGGAGACCTTTCTAGCCTGTACTCTATTTCACTGATGAGTCTCTGTTCACAGCTGGAGACTTTGTATTCCTGAATCAAGGAAAGTTTAAGTTAGCAGACTCAATCCCTTCTGACAAAGTGTCACGTCTCTCCCTGCCCCCCAATAAGGCCCTAGAAGACAGTGATATTTTTACCATACAGCTTAAAAACACAGTCTGAGCCCAATTCAATTGCATATGAAACAAAAAACATCTGGAAGTGAGTTTATGTGGTATTTCAGATTGTCTTCAAGTCCTATCATCCAAAAAGAGGGGGGTAGGAAAGATGAATTTTTTTTTCCTTCTTTTCTCTGAGGCGAGGGGAAACAAGGGGAAGGAAAGAAAAAGGCAAAAGCAAAGCTATGTATTCCTAAACTGTTGATAACAATAAAATATAATGGAACGCTGATTTCCTTCTGTAGGGTAAAAGCTGATGCAGGGTGGTACATCTCTCCACATAGTACATGTGGCAAGCAGCTGCCATATTATATACAATTATAGTAAAAGAATAATAGAAAAAATGGTACTAGAAAAAATGGTAATAGAAAAAATAGTAAAAGAATAATAGAAAAAAAAAAATGTTTGTTTTTTTTCCCCCACCTCTAACAATCCCTGCCTTGCAAGGGCCGCCTCCTCAGCTCTGCAGCTGTTAGGAACCCACCATCTTTAGAAGAAAAAATAGGACTGACAGTCTAGCCAAAATTTTGCTTTAAAAAAAAAAAACAACCCATCAACATTCCTGTGGTGATTACGGTGGATCCTACAATTTCCTTGCCTACAAAGTGCATTAAAGGCCAGGTACAGTGGCTCATGCCTGTAATTCCCAACACTTTGGAAGGCCGAGGTGGGAGGATTGCTTCTGGCCAGGAGTTTGAGACCAGCTTGGGCAACAAAGTGAGACCCCATCTCTACAAAAAATTTAAAAAGAACAGTAGCTGGGCATGGTGGTACATGCCTGTTGTCCCAGCTACTTGGGAGGCTGAGGTGGGAGGATCACTTGAGCCTGGGAAGTCGAGGCTGCAGTGGGCCGTGATTGTGCCACTGCACTCAAGCCTGGGCAAAAGAGTGAGACCCTGTCTCCAAAACAAAAAAGTGCAATGAAGACAAGGGAGTCTATGTAAATATTCCCTATTTAATATTAAATGAAAGATAACTTTAACTATGTTTTCTCTTAAAGAAGTTACTCAGTGTTTAAAAAACAAGTTTGTTGGTTTGAGGGAAGAAATACAACAGTATGAATAAAACTGCAAGAGTTATACCACAAGTTGTTTTGCTTCATCTAATTACTATCAAATTAATCCCTTGAAGAATTAGCACTTTTGTTCCCCATAGAAAGGTATATATAACAAATGAAAAATTTTTCTTGATTTAATGTTCAGAGTATCCACTAATGACAGAATTAAATTCAAGTCAGAGGCCAGGCACTGTGGCTCATGCCGTATTCCCAGCGCTTTGGGAAGCCAAGGCGGGTGGATCACCTGAGGTCAGAAGTTCGAGACCAGCCTGACCAACATGGTGAAACCCCATCTCTGCTAAAAATACAAAATTAGCCAGGCATGTTGGCATGCACTTGTAATCCCAGCTACTTGGGAGGCTGAGGCAGGAGAATCGCTTGAACCCAGGAGACAGAGGTTGCAGTGAGCCAAGATCACACCATTGCACTCCAGCCTGGGCAACAAGAGCGAAACTCCATCTCAAAATAAATAAATAAATAAATAAATACATAAAGTAAAAATAAATAAATAAATTCAAGCTGGTAAATACATGACAAGAAAACTCATGTTGCAGTAATTTTGTGTATCTGATATTAAATGAAACAGACACTGGTCATAGCATTTATAATTAATATATGGCAGAAAAGATAGAAACACACGTAAAACAGGAAGAACAGAAGAAAACAGACACAGAGAAAGACTGGAAGGAGAAGAAAGGTGAAAAGCTTAACCTTTTGACCATCCAGAGGACTCCCTACAGAAGCATGAGGAGAACCAATGTCCTGTAATGGTAGAAAAAAAGATGTGAAGACTAATAATAGAAATAATAAGAATGCAGCAAGATTTCTAATTTTCCTTAAGTGAAACTTTTGTGCTAGCAATATGCGTTTGGTAGTAACGGTGCTGTGAGTACTCACACAACCATTCTGCTTCTCACTTTTGGTACAGGACTCCATAAATCACATGAGATATTCAATACTTTATTTTAAATAGGCTTTGTGTTAGATGATTTTGCCCAACTGTAAGCTAATGTAAGTGTTGTGAGCACATTTAAGATAGACTAGGCTAACCTAAGATGTTCAGTAGGTTAGGTGTATTAAATGCACTTTTTTTTTTTTTTTTGAGATGGAGTCTCGCTCTGTCACCTGGCTGGAGTGCAGTGGCACGATCTTGGCTCACTGTAACCTCTGTCTCCTGGGTTCAAGCGATTCTCATGTCTCAGCCTCCCGCGTAGCTGGGACTACAGGCGCACGCCACCACACCCGGCTAATTTTTGTATTTTCAGTAGAGACGGGGTTTCACCATGTTGGTCAGGCTGGTCTTGAACTCCTGACCTCAGGTAATCCACCCGGTCTTGGCCTCCCAAAGTGCTGGGATCACAGGCGTAAGCCACTGCGCCCCGCCTTAAATGCACTTTCAACTTACAATATTTTCAACTTATAATGAGTTTATCAGGACATAACCCCATACTAAGTTGAAGAACATCTGTATATATGTGAAAGAAGATAAAGAGATAATATTTTCTATTTTATTTTGACTAGATATTAAGACTAAACAGTTGATCTTTGAACAACACAGGTTTGAACTGCATGGGTCCACTTATATATGGATTTTCTTCCGCTTCTGCAACCCCTGAGATAAGCAAGACCAACCCCTTGTCTTCTTCTCTTCAGACCACTCTAATTTAAGACAATGAGGATGAAGACCTTTATGATGACCCACTTCCACTTAATGAATTGTAAATGTATCTTCTATTCCTTAAGATGTTCTTTGTAACATTTTCTTTTCTCTAGCTTACTTTAAGACTACAGTCTATAATACATATAACATACAGAATACGTGTTAATCAACTCTTTGTTATCAGTAAGGCTTCTGGTCAACAGTAGGCTGTTAGTTAAGTTTTTGAAGAGTCAAAAGTCGTATATGTGTTTTTAGTTTTGTTTTGTTTTGGAGACGAAGTCTCACTCTGCTGCCAGGCTGGAGTGCAGTGGTACAACCTCAGCTCACTGCAACCTCCACCTCCCGGGTTCAAGCAATTCTCCTGCCTCAGCTTCCCGAGTAGCTGGGACTACAGGTGTGCGTCACCACACCTGGCTAATTTTTGTATTTTTAGTAGAGACGGGGTTTCACCATGTTGGCCACGATGGTCTCGATCTCCTGACCTCGTGATCCACCCACCTCAGCCTCCCAAAGTGCTACAATTACAGGCATGAGCCACTGTGCCCGGCCATATGTGGGTTTTTAACTGTGCTTGGGGTTGGTCCCCCTAACTCCCGTGTTGTTCAAGGTCCAACTCTAATGGGAAATATTCACTAGTTATTTCAGACAATGTCGGCGAAAATGTGTTTCTCCACACAAAATTATTTTGCATAAAACTTAGGATAGGAAAATGGAAATGTACTGGAAAGGAGAATAATCAAGAAGAAGAATAAAAAGAACAGGTATCACTGATGGAAAGAATTCTGTCAGTCACTTAACATAGTATGTGCTCAATAAAAATTAGCTGTGAGGTTGACTGATGATATTAATACTGCTTTTCTGTGACTTGCCCTCTACTTTCCACAGAACTCATCCCAAGAACAGTATCCATAAGGAAGATGGAAAAGGGGGACAGAATAAATGTTACCCTAAGAAGTCCAGAGCAACATGGTACCTGATTAGCTGTTTCCTCTTCTGGCTCCTGAATATTAAAGACAGTTGCACTGTCAGCACCTAGCAGTCGACGAGCCATTCTTTCTTCGTATGTTAACCTCTAAACAACGTAAGTCACAAAAAATACAAAATTAGAAAAAAATCACAAATATGTACTGCCCTATGAAAAAGAGTAAAAAACAACACACTTTCATGATTTTCTGTAAGTGTTCTCTCTCCAGCTTCAGATACCTGCATATTTCTTTTTCTTGCTTCAGTTGTTCTACCTTTTTACCTCCCTTTCTAGTACTAATGGCCTAATCCAGAGAGCCACCAATTGGTACAGCACAAATTTAAAGTGAGCAATAAGCGACAAGGAAGAAACCACACAGAAAAGATTTGTCATGTCCTTAATGAAAAACATGGAAAAAAAGATATTTAAACAGCAAAATACAATTTAAAAGAAATGTTATTTTTATAGCCATCCATCAGCTTCAGAACACCCAAGTCAGCTCTAATACTGACTGAAAGAAAAAACAAAGATACTCAAAAGGAGAATAAACTGACTAAAAAAAGAACAGGTATCGCTAATGGAAATAATTCTATCAGTCATTTAACAGTATGTGCTCAGTAAATGTTTAGCTAAAGGAAGATGTGGATGAGCTGGCAGTGATGGGGTTCTTACCTCTAAGAGCATTTCCCAGGCTGCTGTGTAATGTAGGGGATTGGCGGCAACTATTATAATCCACAGAGAATGATGCACATGGCTGAATTAGCAACAGGATTACACAAGACACTTGCCAAAGCTAACAGCCTCAATTGACTTGACCCAGAAGCAGACTGCTTGCCCATCAGGCAAAGAAAGTGGTAGTGTTCTTGCATCTCGCAGCTAGCACTTTGGAATTGGCCCAAACCGTTTTACCTATGCCATTCTTATACATAAGAAATGCCGGCATTTTTGTGTGACTGTTGGGGTGATACCTGCTCTTGAATACTCATTCTAAAGTGCCTTAGACTTACAGGTTTGGAAGGAACTTTCAGATACCACCTGCCTCATCGGGAGCATTTTATAAGCAAGTGTTTGATTAGAAATAGAGAATAATTGGTAAGGCAGAATCTAAAAAATGTACAGAAATTATTTCAGATAAACTTCCAAACTTCTAAATATAAATGCAAATTTGATTGGAAGCTCTCTAATCAGGAAAATATGTTGGGTAAATTTACAATTTCCAGTAATTGCTGATCTCAATCCCAGCTGAAACCGGGAAGTGAAACAAGTCAAGTGCCAAATGACAAATAGTCCTGCAGTTCAAATTATTTCACTTAATAAAGAAAGGTCAGAGGACAAGAAGAGGCAGAGGTAGGAGTCTGAGGGCGGCATGAAGCATCTGAGTCCACTATGTTATTAAATTAATTTTCTCACACCTATTAAAAAATCAGTGAATTCAATTTTCAAAGAGAGTCTTAAATACCTGATCTCTTAAAAAGCTTCCCTAATCTTTTCACGGAGAATTGTAACACATCAAAGGCAGGCCTGGAGTGATTTTCACTCTGTTCCTTATAAGCAGAAATATCAATTTCATATCTATTCCTTCACCAGAATGCACCTGCTACCACTAGAAGCCAAATATACTTCACAGTTTTTTTTCTAAGTCACTATGCCATCTGGCTATAAAAGCCCGTGTCTACAGACACCAAAGATAAGAAAGAGAATGATATATAATATTAGGAAAAAGTTGGTTGAGAATCCCATTTTCTAAAAAGGGAAACCTTACTTGTCATTTTAAGCTCTCAAGTGTGGATACCTGTGGAACTTACTGTGAATGTTATTCACTGCTAAACAGATGAATATAAATATACATACAATATATATAATGTGGGTTGACCAATAGCTTAAGGAAGTCTTACCTTAACCAAGAGAATCTTAGTTCATAAGGAACATTGACATAGACAGCCAAAAAGAAAAAAAAAAAAGCTGGAGTGATGCCTTACCTGGCTTGAAAAAGTTCCCATATGTATTTATTTTAATCTTTTAAAAGATTTAGTTGACAGAGCCAGGGAAAACTTCCAGAGTATGTACATTTACACATGCAATCACTTATTTCAGGGAGAAAATATTTTCCTCTTGTGAAAATCTTCTATACTCAGTGAAATGAGTAACTAACACAAAACTTCATTGAAATTTTAATCTTTCTTAATCAGATTAAGATACCCTAATAAACTAAAATCAGCATTCAGCACCCCTCCTCTGCTCTCCAGCTTTCAAGTGTGGTCTGTTCTCACAGTTTTACTTATCAATGTTTGATAATTAAAATTCTCAGAAAACATAATTATAGAGAGCTTTCTACTCTGAAAAAGGTGTCTGAAAGGGAGATTTTATACAAAAAGATCCTTGTCTTGTACTTAAGAGCCAGGCAAATTTTTCCAGTGACAATTCCTTAATAAAGCTACAGAAGGTTCCTCTCCTTTACCTGGTAAGTCTTATTTTCTAGATTTGCTTTTCCCATCCCCTTAAAATATTCTGGAAATAGTATTTTAAAAAGAAAAGAGTATTTTAAAAGGATAGCATCAACAAAAGAGATGAAAAAACAAACAAAAACTGATGAGGAAAGACTTAAATCCAGTGGAGAAAACATCTTATCTATATATTTTACCAAATCTATTTAGGTACTCTACAGTTCTGCAGCTGTAAAATAATTATTTTTTCCTACAGTTTAGTTATCTTGCTCTAACAAACCAGAACAAGATTTTGGAACAGCCTTTACTCTTTCAGATGCTGAATTAATATCTAGTAGTAGTCTGGGAGAAAAGAACAGAACTTCCCCAATGGTTTCTCTAGTAGATTTGTGTGCGTGTGTAAGTAGTACATACCATGGAAAACAAATTCTCTTTTTGATACTTTCATTGCAGTTCGCTGTTTCTGGGTAGATACAAACCATTCCAAAGCGCACCTTCTCCATCCCTCCCCAACCCTATCAGCCAGAATGGAATCCCTGTGTTCCTTTTTTTTTTTTTTTAATACCATTGGCATTGCTCATTTGTTCCTCTCCCAACCAGATATCTGCCCTTCCTTCTTCCTTTCTTTCCCACTTACTCTCTTCACTCTTAGAAAGGTTTTTTGCATAGGAGAAAGCAGTGAAGACTGAATAGAAGGAAGGCCTTTCGTTTTCTCTTTTGTCTTTGGATTCAAATCCTAATATCAAGAGAAATGTTGAGATTCAAGGGTAATAAAATAATGTGGCTGTGTGCAGTGGCTCACATCTGTAATTCCAGCACTTTGGGAGGCCAAGGCGGGCAGATCGCCTGAGCTCTGGAGTTTGAAACCAGCCTAAGCAACATAGGGAGACTCTGTCTTTACAAAAATAAAAAATTAGCCAGGCATGGTGGCATGTGCCTGTGGTTCCAGCTACCCAGGAGGTTGAGGTCACAGGATTGTTTGAGCCTGGGAGGTCAAGGATGCAGTGAGCTGTGATGACACCATTGCACTCCAGCATGGGTGACAAAGTGTGACCCTGTCTCAAAAATAATAATAATAATAATGATGATGTTGTGGACAAATATCAAGAACCTAAGTCTTAGAGAAAGGAAGAAAGGTATGTGGGTAGCTAACATTCCAAGTCCAGGTCCCAAATCTATCAGTACCGGCTGGCCATTGTTCAGGAGGTCCTCCTTGAAGCGAAGTTTTCGTTCCAGGTCTTGAATAACAGCATCCTTTGTGCCTTGAATTTCCTCATCGGAGGCTATTCTAGCAGTTCTACTGGCCTTCTTTGGAAATCCTCTGCAGGATAAAAACACAAGGCAGTATAGTTAGTTGTCAGGCATATAAATCCAAGTCAAACGTTCAAGTCCAACAAAGACAGTGCAAGGTATCAGCATGTCACTCCCACTATTTTTTATGCTACATCTGTTGCAACTATGATGGAAAGAACCATGAAAGCTGGTTCAGGTAACACTAATTGGATCCAGGTTTCAGAGAAGGTTCACATACATTAGGGGAGTATGCCTTAGTGGGTAGGTAGATGCCAAGGATGGGGAAGGCCTACATTTAAGTCTTAGCGAGGCGGCAGCATAAAGTGAAAGAATGATATGATTTATAAGTAGAGCTAGGTTTAAAATCTGACTCTATCTCGTATTAAGTTTGTGACCTTGGGCAAGTTTTAAAAAAATATATACCACATATGAATGTTGAGAGGTTGAAAGAGAACGTATTTTTATCATACTTTTATTCAGTCTTCTAGTGCTTTGTAATCATTATTCAACAATAGTGCCTAGCCCATTTGAAATCAATATTAAGTTTGTTACCTTCCCTTCCATCCCCTTATATCCTGATTTGATTAGGGTAGGCCAATGTTATTTGAGGTCTATTTTATACAAGAGGGCTCTGGGAGGTCTGCAGGTCCTGCTGTGCCTGGTGTCTCAAAGCCTCCTGAACTTCTGGTGAGGCCAGGGCTCTTAGGACAGGTGATATCTCACTGCCTCTTTCCTTCCAAAGGCAGCAACAATGACCTGAGCTGTGTGAGCCAAGGGTCATTGGTGCTGGATGCTTGAGGGGTACAGAATCACTTCTGTTGGTGCCTTAAGCAAGTTGCTTCCTATTTTTCTTCCTCTTCCCTCATAGGGCAGTGGACAAAAATTAATGAGAAATAGAATACTAAGCAATGGGGAAATGAATTGACCTATCGCTACCCATATCAACAAAGCTGAACTTCAAAAACAAAGTTCCGGTGAAAAAAAGCAAGTCACAGAAGAATATATATGATATACTTGTATTTATAAACAGGCAAAAGCAAAACAGCCCCCTGCTACAGCAGTGGTTCTCAAGGTGTGGTCCCTGGACCAGCAGCATTAGCATGACCTGAAGTTGTTAGAAATGCAGATTTTTGGCATCACTCCAGACCTACTGAATCACAAATTCAGAGTTGGGGCCCAGCAATCTGTGTTTTAACAAGTTCTCTAGGTGTTACATGCAAAAGTTTTAGAAAGAAACTGAGGGGAGCATACATACATGGTAAAACCATGAAGAGAAGAGAATCATTAACTCAGAAATTCAGGGTAGCAGTTACCTCTCAGGGAGAGTAGTGGATGCAATTGGGGAGGGTCAAATGGGGGCTTCAAAGGTACTAGAAATGGATAAGAATTTCATTTTATTGAGGTATACGTATAAATTGTATATACTTCCTTATTTATATTACATAGTTCATGATAAGATATTTCAAAGTTTAAAAAGTTGACTGCAGGCCGGGTGTGGTGGCTCACGCCTGTATTCCCAGCACTTTGGGAGACCAAGGTGGGTGAATCCCCTGAGGTCAGGAGTTGGAGACCAGCTTGGCCAACATGGTAAAACCCCGTCTCTACTAAAAATACAAAAATTAGCTGGGTGTGGTGGTGGGCGCCTGTAGTCCCAGCTACTTGGGAGGTTGGGGTATGAGAATTGCTTGAACACTGGAGGCAGAGGTTGCAGTGAGCCGAGGTCGCACCACTGCACTCCAGCCTGGGCGACAGAGCAAGACTCCGTCTAAAAAAAAAAAAAAACCACACACACACACACACACACACACACAAAATAAAGCAAACAAACAAAACTTTACTGCCAAAGCGTCAAGGCACTGTGTGCCTCATGTCACTTCACTGATACAGTAGAAAGCACAAGTAAGGCTAAGAATGTACCTAAACACTGGGTTCACGGTTTCACCCACCAGTGCTGGGAACAAAACAGTCACTAAGTATGCAGCAGAAACTCTGAGGATCCTGTAAAGACTCTGCCACCGTCCCTCCTAAGTCATGATGCCATGCACTCCTGAGGCCTGTGCTCCTGGTCTTCCCAACAGCTGTTCTTTCCTCTTGGCCACTCCCCTTTGTTTCCTTGCTGAATTTTTTCCTAATTTTGCTGAGTGTTCACCCTTCAATGTGCTTATAGAAATGTGATCCCCCTCCCCAGACTCAGGGGGTAATTAATGTACGCCAATTTAAATGGTCTCAATCCCCTCGAGAGTGATTAGTTTGGCCAAAGGCATGCGATATAGCCTGGGCCAATGAGACTGGAGGAGTGGGGGGTAGTCAGAGGGTGGAGGTGCTCTAGTTAAAATTCTCTCATCTCTGAAAAGAAACAGAAGGAAGAAATGCCCCTCTTCTTTCACTGGATATCACTGTGTCAGAAATGCAATGTCAAAAGCGGCATTGTTCACTCCATAACTGTAAGAGGAGAACCCATATGTGCCAATGATGATAGACTGAAAAGATGGAGAATACCTGGGCCCTGATAATGTTTTGGGGGCACTGTCTTAACCTACCATGGAACTACCCTACCCCAGACTTGTTTCATAAGTCAGTAAACCCTGTGCATCGAATCTCCTTGTAGTTGAGTCTTCTGATACCTACAGTGGAAAATATGCTAACTGATTAAAACCTGCTATTCTAGGTTTGTCCCTTTTAGTCATTTGCCCTGAAGTTCAAATAAGGTAACACTAGACTTTACAAACTCATTTTGATATTTAAGGAGACCCTGAGACAGTAAGAACCATAGGAATTATTTATAACTTCAATTTCTAGTACCATGGAATCCTTTAACAAACACGTGCATAGTTTGCTAGTTTTCCCAAGCCTGGAACCTCTCTCCCCTCCTACTCCTTTATCTGGGGTTGTTATCATCAGTCTTCAGCTTAATGACTCCTTGGAAAGGATGTCCCTGACTAAGCTTGTCCCATTAGTTGTTTTCCTGATAGCATCTATCACTCTACTATTTTTTCATATTGTCTCTCCCTTACCATGGCTCCTTTGTTAATCACAGTGCTGTTAACAGACACTCAAATAATATTTCTGAAATGAGTGAATGGATGTACTGTCCATCTCTACTTCTGATTTCTCTCTCCCCTCCCTTCCTCAGTCAAGAAAACTTGTGCCAGAGCCATGTGAAATCAGACCCTATGTAAAAAGTCAGGCCCAGGACAAGTAAAAATTATACAATTTTGGAAGTGAAGTTCTCTGCATTTCACTACAGCCTTACATCTGAGAACTAGAAGAGCTAGGTTTTGAAGTCATCTTAAAGGTAAACTGAAGGCAGCCAGCTCTCTGTTACATCAGCAAGGACTGGGAACACACACATTCCCATTATTACTCTAAGCCTGTGCGATGTAGACCATAGAACAACTATGTGCTGATGAGCAGCCTTCAATGACAGAAGGCACCACTGTGTTTCTGCAGGTAGACTACACTAAGAGCTGTGTTCTCAGCACAAATGAAAAAGAAAGGGGAGACAGGGAGACCATCAAGGTCAGAACAGGTCATCTCAATCGGAGGAGCGGAGAACTGGTTTTTAAAAGTCAGCCACAAGTTCCCTTGGACAAGAAAATACCTGTCTATTCACTGTAGAATAAGTCCTGTTCCTTGGGAAGCATTTCTCAGTATATTTGACTCTTAAAGGGACTTAGAACAACTGCTCTGGAACATTCCATAGAGTTGTCACCTTGGTTTGTGTCCCTGCCACAAGGGTAATTTATCCTTTCAAAGGGTATAATTACAATTAGTCTTTGGCTCAAGTAAAAACTGATTATTCTACTTTTTCTTTTTCTTTTTTTTTTTTTTTTGAGACAGAGTCTCACTCTGTTGCCTAGGCTGGAGTGCAGTGGCACCATCTCGGCTCACTGCAACCTCTGCCTCCCAGGTTCAAGCAGTTCTCCTGCCTCAGCCTCCTGAGTAGCTAGGATTACAGGCATGAGCCACCACGCCTGGCTAATTTTTGTATTTTTAGTAGAGATGGGGTTTCACCATGTTGGTCAGGCTGGTCTCGAACTCCTGACCTCGTGATCCGCCCGCCTCGGCCTCCCAAAGTGCTGGGATTACAGGCATGAGCCACCATACCTGGCCTCTATCTTATAACAAGTCACTTCCTTCAACATATCAAGATTACCAGTATGAAGGGCAGTTACTTAATTCCTAATTTCCTACAATGTTAAAGACATTTTCCTCTTTACTTACAGAATTTAAGGTACTCATATTTTCTTGGTTCTAAACAATTAACACAGAAATAAAAATAAACTGAAATATGTTTTTTCTTTTTATAGACTGGGTTTTGCTCTGTCACCCAGGCTGGAATGCAGTGGTGTGATCACAGCTCCCTGCAGCCTTGACATCCTAGGAGGCTCAAGCAATCCTCCTGAGTCATCCTCCAAGTAGCAGGGACCATAAGTGCATACCACTGTGCCTGGCTAAATTTCCATTTTTTGTAGGGACAGGTTCTCCCTATGTTGCCCAGGCTGGTCTCAAACTCCTGGGCTCAAGGGATCTTCCTGCTTTGGCCTTTCAAAGAGCTGGAATTACAGGTGTGAGCCACTGTTCCCAGCCAAAAGATATTTTAAAATGTCTAATAGTGATTAGACAAATATTTATTGAGCATCTAGCAGGGCCCAGTGCTAGGCCAATACATTAATACAAACCCTGTTAAGCCTAGAAAAAAAGAGTTGGTTTCTAAGGTAAGTGATTGTTAATGCCTGATGACATCATGGAATTCTATGTATTAAGATTTTATGCATAAAAATGAAAATATATTAAAAAAACCAAAAGCTTCATCATGATAGTCTCAACACTAATAGTTTTTGCTTCTTAGTACATTTAATTCAAATTATTATATTGAAGAACTGTAACATTAATTGCTTATATCTTCCTTTACTGAGCTTTCTTATCTGTTTTTCCACAAAGAAAAATAAGAGAAAATTAGAATTTGGACTAATTTATGTTTGTACATACATACATAGGTGGTGATGGGAACTGTAGGTTCTTTACCCAAATAGTTAGGTCCTGGAAGAGGACAATTTATAGCAATGGTGACACATGCATTATTTGGTGCCTTGTAGATAGCAGGTACAAATGCTTGCCTCCCTAGTTGGAATGAGCATCACAATCTACTACACAGTTTATATTGCATTCATCCTTGAAGGCTATGAAAATTAGATCCTGAACCTAGAGTTTGCTGTTAGGCCACCTCTGCCTCCTACTAAAATGAATGTGTCCAGCCTATCAAAGATTCTCTTCAACAAGCATGAGCTCCATGACATATTACATTGCAAATCTGACTTTTTGCAAATGTACGTGGCTGGAGACATGCCAATCTTAGCAGTCAGTGCTTGAAATTGAAACTTGAGGGGGAATAAGAAAACATTCCAGTGGGCAATTATTTACAACGATTAATATTTGAACATTTTTAACTTACAAAAATGGCAGTTTCATAGAGGCTATATGGTTTAAAAATACAGAGTACTTCATGACTTTGTGTGTCATCCTTGCACAGAGGCCATGCTAATCTTCTCTGTATCATTGCAATTTTAGTATTCACACTGCCAAAGCAAGCACTCAACATTATTTAAGTGAGATGGCAAAGACCCCCCCACATCCTAAAGGATGGTCCTTGATCACAAAGGCTAATAACCAAGTTGGGGAATAAGTTAAGGAGCAAACCATGTGGTACCAATTCTAGATGCAATGGGAATAAAAAAGAAACAGAAAACAGTGCTGGCTAGAATGACTGCAGAAGACTCCATGAAAGAGGCAAGTTATAAGCCCTTGAAAGATGACAAGGATGTAGACAAGTAGAGTGGAGAAGAAGAAGAAATTCAGAGTCAGCGTGAATAAAGAAACAGACGTGATAACCTGTTTTTTTGTTTGTTTGTTTTGTTTTAACCACTTAAAAGCTGTGTGGTTTGGGCTAGTGACCTAATGACCATATGTCTCAGTTTCCTCCTTTGTAAAATGTGGGTATTAACAGCTCGTATCTGATGCGATCACTGGGTAAACTACATGAACTAATGTGTACTAAACACTTAGAACAGCGCCTGGTGTAGTAAGAGTGGATCTGAAGTGGCAAACAGAAAATATTCAGCATGGAAGTAAGTCACAGAGACAAGATTGGCTGAGATAAACAGAATGGAAGAGGGGAAGGAGTTTAAAAAGATGCCAAGAATTCTTGACCAGAATTTACAAGAATGTGCAAATAACCCTTACTGATTGCCTTCTCAGTGTTCAACTCTGTTCTAGGTGCTAGAAATACAATGTTGAACTAGGTCACAATAGTTAGAAAAATTGTATTTTTATGGTGGATATGGCAGAAAGAGATAAGAGAAAAGAATGGAAGGCAAGACATATCAGGAGGTGGTAAACGCAATGAAAGGACAGAAGTATGAGCAGATGACTGTATCAGACAGTGTGGTCCATCAGACTTCTGAGGAGGTGACTCTACAGTGGTGGCCTAAACCATAGGAAGTGGCTGGCTATGTGAGACCTACAGGGAGAGCTTGGCAGTGCAGAGGTCCTGTGACCAGAACCAGCCTGGCAGGGCCAACGGATGGGCACTGTGAACCCTGAGGAAAGAGGTATGGAATACAGTTTTCTCACACTTATTCTAATATGGAACCTCTTCTCTTTTTCAGAGCATCTCACTGGACTAACGTAATTCAGAAACACTTTACGAAATTAAAAGTTGAGGACAGGGTTTAGGGGTAGCATGCAAGGTGAGAGTTAGAAATAAAAGTGGAGTATTTTGAAAGGGGAGGCATGAGGAAAGAAAAGCAGTTATAAGTTTTGAGGCAAAAATTTGGCAACTGAGTTTGTTTTCCTATAAAACTAATGCTATGTTAGAGTTTAATGTAAGATGGTTGTAGTTCTGCTCCCTGAAGTGGCACCTTCTTTTGATAAATGAAGAGTAGCAACTCATTAGGAAATAAAAAGAGTGGTGACAAAGACATGATCTCCTTTTTTTTTTTGATGGTTTGCACAATTAAAAAAAAATAAAATAGTATTCAAAGTTAGTAGTTACCAAAACCAGAACTCTTCACAAAAATCCATACTCAGAGGCAAACCTTAACCAATAAACAATTTGTAACAGGCCTCCTGCACTAAATACTTCATTGTATACACACTCAGCCCAACTGTACAAAAAACATTACTGATCTGTTTACTCTGGCTTTAACAGTAAGTCATTTGTCATTTAAAAACAATATTCATGTGGTTGGGATAAAAACATCTCAAACATATACACAAGCATCTGGAAGGTAAAATTTTCCAGATTCAATCACCACCAAATCCCAAGAGGTCTCTTTTTTTGGCTACTGAATAATCTTGAAAGCATCCTTCC
Organism: Homo sapiens; assembly: GCF_000001405.40. Taxonomy (NCBI): domain Eukaryota; kingdom Metazoa; phylum Chordata; class Mammalia; order Primates; family Hominidae; genus Homo; species Homo sapiens. The sequence continues at coordinate 168,883,577 of NC_000004.12, read as the reverse complement.
CTTGATATGCTATTGCAGGTCAATTCTGTGAGCAGATTTCAGAAACTCAAATTTCCAGAGCACAATATTGATTAAAGAGATAAGGTACCAGAATCAACCAGAGAATTTAACTATTACAAGTCCTCTTATTCTACTCTTCTCACATTCAGTGAAATCTGATGGTAACTAAATTCCACAAAATTTCAGAGTGAGCAAACTCATTAACATGTTGGCATTTAAATATCACTTATATTCAAGAATGTAATGTATTAATATATAAAAGAGCCCAAGATATACAAACTGAGCTTTTGTATATCAATTCTGTTTTCCTTTTACTGAATTTTACGGTAAAGCAAAGGCTGTTAAAGTACAAAAAATGGGTAACTTAAGCTCATATTTAAAGGAAAATAGATAACTTTATTGTAATATCAAATTCTCCTCATATTATATTTTGGGTTCTTTAAAAAAGAAAATGACAAAGGCACGTGGGTTACTTTTTTTTTTTTTTTTGAGACAGAGTTTTGCTCTGTCACCAGGCTGGAATGCAATGGCGCAATCTCAGCTCACTGCAACCTCACCCACTGTGTTCAAGCGATTCCCCTGCCTCAGCCCTCCCAAGTAGCTGGGACTACAGGTGCACACCACCATGCCCGGCTAATTTTTTGTATTTTAGTAGAGATGGTGTTTCACCATGTTGGCCAGGATGATCTCGATCTCCTGACCTCGTGATCCACTGGCTTCGGGTTACTTCTGTTCATTCATTCTGTACAACTTGGTACACAGCCGTACAGGTCTGATTTTGAGCTGCCCCAGGGGCAGAGACATTTCAACAGAATAACCCAGTCGCAGCAGATCCTGGAGGCCTTGCCTACTAATTTGTTGGTAAATACTTGTCCAGGATTGGATACAACTTGATAAGATACTGGACCCTAATGAGCCCAGTAATAACACCTCCAACCCCTTCAGGTCAGAGAATGAAAAGCCCCCCACTATCTGTTTCCTGAAAAATAGGAGAAAGATAGGTAGATGAGATGTCTGCAAAGTACATTGCGGCTTGTATCTGTTGGATTCTTTTTCACTGGTTACTATCTAACCACAGTCTTGACTTGAAAACTGGTGAAAATGCCCTGTGTCATGAATCTTAAAGTACAGTTAAATTTGTTACAAAGTTTTCCTTGACTCGGGGATTCTGATTTGCTGCTTCTACAACAGCTTTCTTTAATCAAGAAATGTTAGACATTAGAGTTATTTGAGATGAACCTAAGTCACGCTATGCTCTCCTTGCTCAGGCATTTCTTCCAGAACCCTGGGAAATCCCGTCACCTCTTGAGTAACGATGATAGTGTCCCCACCTACCCGTTTCCTATGAGGGAGAAAGAGAGCGACAATGAGATAATGTCCATAAGGAGCTGTGGGCCTATATAATAAAAGCTGTCATTAATACATCTGTATAAAAGCTCTTATTGACACATGCTCTTCTTTGTGACAAACATGGGGCAACATTTCAAACCAAAGCCCTGCTTATATAAAAGAGGTAGTTAAGAGCATACAACATTGTGGCACTGTGGCTATGTGGCACTCCCTTATGAGCACAGATTCCAAGAATGTGAAGATGGCAAAAGAAACAGTGCCAGTCTGGTTCCAGGGATGGGTCTGATCTGATTCACCCTTCAGACTTAGTATGGCCACTCAGAGACCAGCAGAGCAGAACTGCCACACTATGCCTGTCGGCACTGCCAAATCTTCTGGGTTTCTTCTGTGTCTTAGGGCTGATTTACTATGTGGAGAAACATGGTTACAGCAATGGAGGCTGTAACACCAACTTACCAGCAATAGTGAGGGGAATAGAATACATTAATTTTATAAAAGTGCAAACAGATTTCTCTCTAAGGCATGCTCTCCTTACTGCCTCCATCTAAAAGAGTTTGTCAACTTAATATTTGTATCTGTTGACAGCTTTGTGCAGGGCAATATTTTGCCAGTGACCCCAGTAAATTTGGGGAAGATGTAGCATAAAGGAAGAAAGGCATTTGAGGAACTGTATGTATAGAAGTTCCCCAGACCGCAGTCAACCTCTCTCCGGCTCACAGAACAGCATGCAGTTGGTTGACTGCGGTCTGGGGAACTTCTATACATACAGTTCCTCAAATGCCTTTCTTCCCCAGATTTACTGTCTTTTGCCTCGGCTTTGTGGTTTATCACTGACATCCATGACCTTTGTTCCCTGCTTTGACCTCTGCTACCCAAACATATGAAAAACAGAACCTTATCTCCACAGACTGTTTAGAAACTTAGTACTTACTAACCTTCCTGTCTACAGATGAAAATAAGAACAGTGTGAAACAAACAGAATAAAACAGCAAGTATACAAGTATGATTAAGCAAACTAAGAGAGACTGGACACAGTGGCTCAGGCCTGTAATCCCAGCACTTTGAGAGGCCAAGGCAGGCGGATCACCTGAGGTCAGAAGTTTGAAACCAGCCTGGCCATCATGGTGAAACCCCATCTCTACTAAAAATACAAAAACTAGACGGACGTGATGGCCCACACCTGTAATCCCAGCTATTTAGGTGGCTGAGGCATGAATTGTTGGAACCCAGAGGCGGAGGTGGCAGTGAGCTGCAATTGCACCACTGCATTCCAGCCTGGACAACAGAACAAGACTGTCTCAGAAAAAAAGAAAAGAAAAGAAAAGAAAACTAAGATATTGGAAATTTACATTTAAGATTTTGGTAAAACAAGGCAAGTGAAAAAAACCTAATGAATTTCTACTTCATTGTGTTACATATAATCAACCAATTTGTTGGTACTTGATATATATGGCAAAACTATCCAGCTAAAGAAATAACACTTATAAGTGAAACTGAATATATACATCTTATGATAACTTGGCAGTTCCTGCAAGTTCCAGGATGCCAAAGTCATGGCAGCCCTGATAGGGACACTCAATCTTTGGCAAATTATTTGGATTATTATGGTAAACAAAAATAGTAACATTTTTGTTTTTAATTCAGAATGCAAATGACAGATCCCATAGTATGCCAGAGGAAAAACATGTTTCAAAAGACACATTTATCAAACCAAAATAATGAATTCTTCAAGTATGCGTGATTTAGCAACAGGAAAATTCCTTGAGGACAAAACGGTAACCACATAATAATGGCTTACTGAGCAGGCATGGAGCTAAAAATCTGTAGTCTGGTATTGCCACTTTGATGTCACAGCACTTCACTATCTTTGGGTACAGTTTTCCATGGCCACAAAATCGGCACGACTTCTCCATTAATTTTTAAGAAATGGCAGGAACGACTGGACTCTTGTGGTAACAATTATAAGCTATTTTGACTCCATAAAATGAGTCACTGTGATAGATGCTGACAAGAAGCAAGTGCTCCTGTTACTTGAGGTAAGCCATTAAAACTTGCTTATCTTAAGAAGGTTTCAAAGTCACTGATCAGCACAAACTGCTGTTTCTACTACAAATGATAAATGGCACAATCATCACCACCTTTGAAAAACGAATCTTTGATCAAATTCTATAAGAGAAATATTAGAACAGATTATTTACACAGTACTCCTCTTCCTGGGAAGCAAGACTTGGTACCCTTTTAATGAGAGAGGATGAAAAAGTGTCATGCAACAAACTCTGGCTCTTTGGGTCTCTCTAACAGCTTCTTTGTACCAAGATAATACACTTCCTTTTCTAACAGCTAAATAAAAGCTCAAAGAGAAAAAACAAGGGAGAAGGACAAAGGTTCTCCTCAGACAAGTTGACTGACAACTTTCAACAGAAGTCCATTATCACATCATTACTATATTTGGCTCCTTTTTTGGACTTGTTTCTTTATATATTCATTGGACTGTGTTTCACCCAATAAGGATTTGAGAAGAAGCCACATTTCAAATTAATGTAATCAACATTTAGGAAGTGCCCAACAAAAGAAGCATTGCTAACTGAAGCTGCCTGGTACACCTTTGTCGAGGCCCGACATAGCAATGCTTGCCTTTAAGGTGGCATTAGTGTATCCTAGCAATGGAACACTTTTATAGATGAATGAAAATAACTTGAATTCTAAGATCTTCTCCTTTTTACTGTTTAGTAGAGTTCCTTCTTTTTCTCTCTGAACAATAGTATGCTTCTGGCAAACTCTGAAGTAGGATTTCAGAAGGAAGAGTTGAGATATGGGTGCTGGCTTAACCTTTGTGAGCACTTCCTCATTTTTGAAATCTTCAGTAAAATGAGTAAGTACTAGCATTTACTCATTTTACTCTTCAACCAAACATGCCTAACACCTGTACTGTATTTTTTTGAGGATTTTACTGTACTTCTGTAGGTGTTATTTATCCTCAAAGATTTTCCATTTTAAAGACCTCATAGGGCTGCCACATCATCACTGTGATGTAAAGAGAGACATATTAGATCACCTGCAAACAGAAAGAGATAGAGGAGGCATGTAATGTATCTCGAGGTCACAGGCCAGGGACAAAACTGGCATCATAATTTCTCCACTAGGTTGCATACACCCTCATTTATCTACATCAAAACATAAAGACATTTACATGCTTTTGCCCCCTTCCAGTCAATCACTAGATTTACACAAAGGCTTATTTCTTAAATCTGTTAATTAAGGTTTTTCAAAAACACTAAGTATATACTTAATAACCAAACTCCTTCACATCCATTGTAATGCTGGCATGAAATATTATAATAAAACACATAGTTTGGTGGTGAGAGCATGGATTCGTGTCTCGGTTTAGTGGCTATGTGACCCTGGGCAATTTATTTAACTCCTAGACTCCTCAGTACTTTAACTGGGGCAATGCTACCTCTTAGGAATGTTGTATCAAATGAAATAATACATGTGAGTTGCTTAGCACAGTGCTCAATAAATGATAGCTAAGCACCCCCCCCCCCATAATGATTAAGAGAGGGCACTGCATAGATTTTGAATAGTTCCTGATGAGAATCTCATATTAATTCAGAGGAAAAAGTTCTGATTTTGATAATGTTAAGTGGCTACGCAAGAATCACTGAGTCAAATTGCCGTTAAGAATTTTTACATCGCACGGAGAGAAATGTGTGAAATGTTACTGGGGCGCTCTGGGTTGCAGGCTGATGGGAGCGCGTGTATGGAGATGTGGGAGTCCCAGGGCGACCCGAGGCGGAGGGGCAGGGAAGTGGAGGACCGCGGCGGTTACTCACGCGGGGGTGACACCCTTGGGCAGCCCCAGGGCGTTGACGGCCGCCGGCGGCGGCTGCGAGGGCAGCAGAGCGCTGAGGAAGGCCGCGGGCGTCTGGCTGTGGCCGAAGCGGGTGGCAGGCGACGAGCAGTGGGACGCCTGTCCCGGGCTCGGGAGCGGCGGTGGTGGCGGCGGCAGTGGGAACACGTCGGGCACCGGGAAGGCAGCCGTGGGGCTGAAGACCGGGGGTGGCGGGGGCGGGGGCGACGGCGAGGAGGAGCCCCACGGGGCCTCGGGCTCAGCGCCGAAGGGCTGCGCGAAGGGCGGCACGGGGGCGCGGCCGAACTGCCTCGGCGTCGGGGACATGGGCGACGGGAGGCTGGACGAGCTGGGGCTGGAGGCCGGCGTGCCGTGGCCCGACGCGGGCCCGAGGTTCTGCGCGGCGATGAACTGCTTGGGGCGCGCGTAGTTGAAGGAGCCGGAGGACTGCATGGCGGGGGCGGAGCGGGAGGCCAGCGCGCTCATGGGCTCCGGGGACGCGGGCGGCGTGCAGGCCGCGAGCTCGGGGAAGGCGGGCGGCGGCGGGAAGGGGGGCGAGGGCGGCGCGCTGCGCGGGGCTGGCGGAGGCTGCCGAGCGCCGGCCTCCTGCTCCAGTCGGATTTGGTTCTGGAGTTGCTGGAGCTTCAGAGGGTCCCTGGGGGGAAAAAGAGAAGTGACACCTTCAGAGATGGAACGGCCAGGAACGTGTATTCCAGGAGTGAGCTCAGCTTGTGGACATCGCTTGGCACTTAGGCCAGCTGCAGAGAACACCCAGGGAACGGGCACACGTTAGCAGGCCCAAGTGTGGGGCCAGCAGTTCATTCTGGACCAAGCGCTAAGTCAGTGAAGTATGCTCGCCCATTTCACTCTCATTTAAGTTTCACATAAGGTGATCCCAACCAGTTTACAAATCCTGATGGAAATTTTGTCTGACTTCCAGGAGCCATAATTTGTTTTTAACGGATCAAGAAATATTAAGAGAAAAACGTTTCGACATCAATTCTCAGTCCTCTCATTCGTAGCCAATTTTTGGTAAAAGAATTCTATCAAATGAGAAAGTTAAAAGCAAAAAAACACTTGGTTGAAGTTATATTTGGCAGATTTACGTTAGTCCAATTTGCCTATTTCAGTGCTGTCAACTCTACATTCAATAAATACCACAGGTGGATTTTTTAAAAAATTTACTTTAATCTCTACATTTGTCCCCTAAGAAAGTCTTTATGCAAAATTTTAGTAGTAAACTGAATTGCGAATTTCTTACACAAACCTTAATACACATTGATATTGTATGTTATTTCAAACACATGTAAACAAGTGACTTCTATAACAGGTAGGTGTTCAATAAACAATAGCAAAAATTTTGTAATGATGTATATTTAATTCCCCAAATATTTACCATTGAGAAGAGATAGTTCAAATTTTTATTTCTGAAATAAGAGTAAGCAGCTAGCAATGATCTAATATCTCACTCTTTTACTCAAAAACTTTGCTGTACATCCAGGATGTTTTCCTTTATTCACATGAGGTAAACATAGGGACCAATAGCTGTCAAAAGAAACTTCAACAGAAGGCGGCACTGTAACAAGCAGATAAAACAAGTTATCTATGAATAGACAATAAACGTTTTAAAACTAAAAATCAGACCCCAAAACTTTCTTATCCATAGGCAAAAATCAAGCCTTCAGAGACTCAGCAATACAAAGAATTGAAGTGGCCAATAAAAAGTGAAAAAATATCTAGGTCTTTTCTCAAGTATCATGAGCTGTGGGAACATCAGCAAGTTCTAAACTCTGTCCTGTGTCTTCTGTTCCCTTCTATAATTATCCAGTAAAGTGATTACACTTAAGTCCATGAGAAGACAAAGACACACTTTCTTGGGAACTGAAAGGTGTAATGAGGAGATGGTTCTATGTTCTTAATATGTACAGAGCATCAAATACTTGAACAGCAAAGAACTTTGTGGGGTCCTATTGAACTTGAGTGTTTTAAAAGTAGGCATGTCACTGCTGGGATTCACCACTGCCCTGAAGTTCCAGATGTCTGTGTGGTTTGGGTAGACTGTCCAGCACATGTGCTCTGGCATTCATGCATTTAGAACTGGCCCAGGAATAGAACTCATAAAAACCACCCACTAGCTCTAAAATCCATTATCCAGCACTCTCCATTCCGAGTCCCCAAATGCTTCATCTCCCTGCCTTTGCTGTCTCTCTTACATTTCCTCAATAGGGCAGCATGCATCCCAGTCCCAGGATGTTTATCAACACTCTTCCACACCCTTCAGCTGACCTCTGCATCTGGATTAGAAGCCATCTGTGTGGCTCTCCTCAAAGGCGCTGCTCCCCTACTCTGTCCCCACCTGGGCTCACAATGGCCAAAGCCACAGCTGTGTTTTAAGTATTTAAGGCTTGGCCTGGCATCAGCAAATTGCTGTGTGTGGTGGCTCTGCTGAAGTAGCTACAGACATCATATCACGCTCTGTACCTGATGTGAGGATTCCCTGGCCCCAGAATTAGGGAGTGACTCTTGAGAGCCAGTATTCACAGAAACCAGGGCAGGAAAGCCCAGACCAGGACTATATTGGTTCTCAACTTCTCCATGGGTCAGCTTATTCATTCGGGCATTAAAAAGAACCATCATGTTTGCTAACCCAAGTGGGCTTAAAGCTGTGGAAGCGCTAACTTTAGTATGAAGTGACAGTTTAAGAAATTATTAACGTAGCATTTCACAAGAAATGAATGGGCATTCTAGTGATTTGGCTGCTAGTATATACTGTAGTGAAGAACTTTACTAGCGTTTTGACTTCACCATTTTTAAGTGGTTCAGTGAGGCATCAAGAATATAATATGCAGGGACTGGAGGGGTGGGGAAAAGGAGCGCAAAAACATTTATTTCGAATTTTAAAGTGTCTGACTTTATTTCTGTGCAAATGATAATCTTTTAAATACTTGAGTTAAATGGATTTCATATCTGGACTGTGATGTGATGAAATGCACAATTTTACCATTTTCTTCTTCCTCATTAAGCTATTTTTAGAAAAGTTGATTTTCACAGAGATAAAAAGGCCGAAAGAATGAAAGGTACCAGAAAGGCAAGGTTGCCTATAGCTTTTGGAAATTACTTAGAAGTTATTTGTCATAAGAAATTCATTACTTCTTTAGTTTCTCCGTTTTTTTTTCTGCTGTCTTTTCTCTGAAAACATGAAACTGAACTTTTTGGAAATACTATGTATTTCCAACTAGTATGTATTTCCATAGTATTTTGGAAATACTATGTATTTCCAAATAGTATGTATTTCCATAGTATTTTGGAAATACTATGTATTTCCAAATAGTATGACAAGTTAAGCGTTCTAGATAGCCCTAGTTGCAAATGTACTTTGAGTGTCATGTGTTTAAATCTTTGGTCTTACACAAGTAATCCATCAAATTTCTCCCAGCTTCTTTTTTCCCCGCTCTCCTCCATACCCCTAATTCAAAAAATCTAAGCGATTCCCCACTCTTGCCCATCCTTCAATTCTAAAAGTTTTGATACTGAAGGAAAGGGGACCGTCTAGACCTGGCACAGTCCACTTACACATGGGAAGACTGGTTTTAAGTAACACTCAAGGCCACAGAGCAAGTTACCTGCAGAGCCAGGTTAGAACCTGTGTCTGTCCCTGCTCTTTACACTACTTCAGGCATGTAACACATAAAAGGACCCTGACCTTCAATGTGACTTAAAAAAAAAAATCTGTGGCTATATTTTCCTTCTGAGGACTTTATTCACTTTTATACCTTACTGCAGCTGTAACATCCAGGGCCTTTAGGATCTGAATCATCAGTTAAGGTTTTAAATACATATTTAAGAATATATTTAAGAATATCTGACTTCAAACTTGATTTCATGCTAACTCAATAGATTCCCCTCATACATTATAGAAAATAACTCCTCTACCCCAGTGGTTTGCAGAAAGCTTTCAACAAGAATAATTTTACAGATGGTTGGATGGGGCAAAGATTTAGATTTGACAGAGATAAGGAGAGGTGTATGACCTAATTTATTTTCTAATTCAGTCATCTCTCCTACCACTAGATTAAAGCAAGTTCAGAAAAAGTTAACCACACTAAAAACACTGTCCCAAGTGGCAGAATGGTACATGACAAAAAGGGCTAGAGTCACAGTTAGATCGAACTGGCTTGGAACCCCAGCTCAGCCGGCTACTAGCTTGTGGGGTCATTGTGAGAATTAAATGGGCACAGTGCCTGGTTCAGAGTATGAGCTCAATAAATTATCTTTCATAGCAGAATAAAATCAAATCAATTCTGGTTACTTTACAAACCAGAACTTTTAAAACAAGAACAATGTTTTACTTATTGCAGGGGATGTTTCTCTTCACCTATGTCCATTGCAAGTGGCTGGCAGGGGAACAGCAGTGGCAGGTGGGCAAATGGGGAACTGGAGATGGGGCTGTCATGAGACCAGCTAAGATGGCTGGTTTTAGCACTGCTCCTCCGCCTTCTCCTCATCACGAAGCCATAGGGCACTTATCACGTGCCTAGCACTGGAGACACACACCAACCCTAGGAGGCAGGGATGGTTATCCCCATTTAAAAAATTCACCATCAGTTAGTGAGGTCAAGTAATGTGTCCAAGGGCAGAACCTGGATGTGAAGTGCTGGCTGGCTCAGAAAGCCTGGTGCCACATCATTCTCTATAGAGTGCTCAGTAAACAAAAAACGTTTGTTAAAATGTTGGCTATTATTACTACATACCACTTTTTCTCTGGGAAACTGCAACCCAAGTTTAAAATAAATGATGTGAAAGTAAACTTCTGGAAAACAACTTTTATGTAAATTGGAAATTCCTGATATGTCTCTCTGGAGCAATATCTGGATTGCAAGTAATTTATCCCCTGCTCATAATAAAGATGGGGTATTCGTAATTGTCTAGAAAAACTCTTGAGATCACAAAGCTGAAAAACATTTGTGATCTATGAATAAATATGCTGTTGGTTTATATGCTTTCTTTAATATTTGATTGTATGACAGAAGCCATTGTATGAAGAGTTGCAAGACTGCACCCTCTGAACCATAAGCTCCTCTGGTCCTGATATTTATAAGCACTTTAAAAGTAAGGAGGGTAACTTTCGGCATCCTCACAGCACCTGGCCAAACACTAAACATGGTGGACTCATCACTGTCAATGACAACAATGATATAAATTTCTTACTGCAATTCTGTACCCCATTGGGTTCATCAGGCATATTCAGTAGGACATTCCTATACTAGGAGGGTCCCATATTGGACTGGGAAATCTTAAGAATTTTCAAATGAAGGTAGGTAAGTGAATTAGGGGTAAGCTGCTAGGTGTTTCCACAATATATTCCCATCTGGCTAAGATTAGCTCAGTATCATATGCATGAGACTTCAATGTATCAATTCTGGGAATGTATAAAATAGAAAATAAAACTCCTACAAGGGCTTCCCACTCAGGTAGTACCGATTCAGTTCCATCTATAACTTTATTATAGTAATGCTTCAATTGTCTTTTAAAATTCTATTACTCAGAGCTCAATTGATATCTTCATATCACAGAAGCTAGGTCCACTGCATGAAGGTCAATATCTAACAACTTGATTTGTTTAGCACTAACTTATGATTGCCCCTTAGGAAAAGGTATATAAATCCCAATCTTAAGAATGATCATTTATTTACACAGTAAGGATTAATAAAAGACAAATGAGAATGTATTGCACTGGGCTTATGGGAGGTTGTGAGTGCAAAAATAATTCAAATACATTCCCCTAAGGTTGGGGGAGAAGGCAGGGATAAAAATCTGGATTTTCTACAAAGTACCATAAACAAAAAAATGCTAGAATTAAAATTGATTACTGCTTGGGATTATGTATAAGTTTAAAATGTATTGCAAAAGGACATAGGTTTCTTTACAAAGCCCTATTTTTTGACCTTTAATGCATTCTGAACCTTTTGTAAATTGTGCTGACTTTCCAAACAAAGCCAGAACTGAACACAATTATGGAGGAGGGCTCAAGGGAGAAGTGACCTGAGTGAAATCAGCACATGACTTGAGTCTCTTTTAGAGAGACTTTTCCTTTGTACTTAGAATAAGAGCCATATTTGGCTCTGCCACAGAAAAACAGTAGCTTTGTATGTCTTAATGCATAAAGTTGATCTCTATTTGAAGTCATTCCACGTACCGATAGAGAGAGAGAGAAGGAGCAACTGATGACCAATTCCTAATCCTCCTGGGAACTTCTCTGGAATATCAAAGGATGGCTGAGTCTCTCATGTAACATGAAGAATAGGAATGAGAGGTAGGGGAGATGGTGCTCTTCAAGGGTCAGTAGCAATGTGAACTGTTTCTCATAAGTTGACTCCTGCCGCTGGCTTCCAGATGTTGAGATGTCTCATCTAGGAGGTCTGTGGAGATCCAACTCTCTGTGGGGTAAATGGTCACTTTGGCTCTGAGAGGGCTGCAGGATGTGGTCCAAAGAATTTATAGCCCCACCAGAAGAGCAGGATTTGTAGCCTGACATAAATTGCATATGATAAGGGACAGGCTTTGCCAGTGCCTGCAGTTGTGATGTGCCTGAGGAATCTAACACAGAATGCTGGCGCTTCAGTCCCAGCCTCTTTTTGGGGGAGGAATCCGAAGTCAGCTTCTAAAAGAGTTGACTCTGCATCACAGTTAAATGCCCAAAATGATTTTCATTTCTACTGATGCGAAGGCCAGTGAAAACAGCAGGAAGATATTAGTTGATTCTTATAAAAACTATGCTAATTTAGTGGACATTAAAATGAATTAATACCGACTGTTCCTAATAGAAAATGTTTGGTTTCAATTCTTAACATAGACAAAGTACATTTTTGAAGAAAAAATCTGTTTTTCAACCTTTTTTTTTTCAATGCTTGAAGCAAAATCAGTGATCTCATTTCTAATTGAAACACCAAGGAAAAGCTCCCTGTGAGACAGATGTTGAGAAACTTTAAGGTCTTAAGTATAAAATTTCTCTGAGATTTTGAAGAATTAGGGAAGAAAGGACAGACAGATATTTCACTTTCTGTCTTCCAATGAAATGACGAATTTGGCATATTTTAAGGTTTCATATGGTTAATGTTTCCCCAACTTTTCATTTTCATTCATCACACAATGGCTGGTGCCATCCCTTGTGTCAGTCCCATCATAGCTTATGCTTGCTGGGTTGAATACATCCAAAACAGTGGTATGCAGTCAGTATTTATAAGAGTCGATTACTACTAAGGGCAGAGTGTCATCTCTTTCCAAACAAATAACCATTATCTACTCCCCAAATGGCTTTACAAAAAGTAGCAATCCTCCCACTTCGCTGAGCCCTCCATTTTCAGTATCTTCCTCTTTACTCACAGGGAAGCCACTCAATAAATATCTGTTGAAGTCAAATCCCTAGATTTCTATACAATGTAAAACTCCCTGTTCCATCAAGCTCTATGGCATTCAGCAACACACAATTGCATTTTCCTAAGAGAGTATTCTTAGAAATAAAGCCACTATCATGCAGGTTATTTACAAGTAAAAACATGGAGTCAGCCCAGTAGAGAAACGTTCAAATAGTGTGGCTCCTGCTCTGCCACGTTCTGTTTATGACTTTGGATATTTTATTTATCCTTTCTGGGGTAGTTTTTCAACTTTAAGGTCCTAATAAACTTTTAGATTTTATGACCTGTCCTCTTTAGCCCTGTAAGATTTAAATATTATAAAGAACCTGATTTCAAAGACACTGGTAAACTTGGACAACTAAACAAGTCCAAGTATGGTACTTATTTGTGTGTGTGCATATATTAACCTTATGCATATGCTGTTTTCACACCTATTTAAACTGTTTTTGAAAAACGTATATATCAGTTTTTGGAAAACAGAAGAAGATTTTAAAGGCATTCGAGAGGCAGATAAAAACAATTCCATGGTAAATCTTACAAAAGGAAGAATATTCTGTGAATAATCTGTTCTGTGAATATTCTGTCAACTAACTAGCTAACGTCAATTGCATTTTTTTCTTAAGACAGATATACCTATAGATAAATTCTACCCAGATCAAGACAAAAATAGCTTTTAGGTTTTGTGTGTCTCAAAATAGTTTCTATGGGGCTAGAGTTGGATGTGGTTCTGCTATAATGCTTTCCCTTAAAGGAAACATGGAAACTATTTCAGTGGTAAGTGGCCAAGGTTCTGTTAATAACCCTTTCCCCTCTTTCTGCCACTACTCTTTTGGATGTTTTGGCTTTGACATTTCATTCAAATATGAAGATAGGGTTGTGCTATGCTCAGCAGTCCCATGGCTTTTCTCTGCCTTCATTCTTGGTATCTCTGCAGCCTCTGACAGTGGGCTCACCCACTCCATCTTTCTTGAAGCACTCTTCTCCCTTGACATCACTAACAACTCTCCTTGTTCTCTTACTTCTGGGACTGTGCCTTACTTCCTTCACTGGTTCTCCATCTCTCTAAATATGGGTACCTTACCAAGATCTAAACTTTACACTCCTCTTTGCACAAGGAGTCAGTCAGCTGCATCACTCTCACTCCCTGATCTCTCTAACCCAGCCCTCAGTCCTGAATTCCACTATCCACTTCCATGTAACATAAATGTGCTACTTCACTTCAAACTTATGTCTAGACAGAGCTCCTCTCACCCTGATCTAACTTGTCTCCCTAAAATAATATCTGATATTTAAGATACCCATAATTTGGCCTCAAACAGTCCTAACAATCTTATCTCCAACTAATGCTGCTGTATCTCTACCTTTTCATTCTTCTAAGTTTGTTACTCTTATTGTTCCCCAAACCCATTTTGAGTTTTCCTTCCTGTTGGCCTCTTCTCATGCACTGCTCTCTTTTGGAGGGCCACCCCCACCAACTTCTCTCCATCCACTGTCTTCATCCTTCTGTGCCCATTTCAATGCCCATTTCTTCTTGAAGCTCTCCCTAGTAACATCTAGCAGTTCTTACTCCCTCCTCCATACTACTCCAGCCCACAAGGCTGGCATGGCACTGTCAGTTTGGCAGTGGCATTATCATCTCACACACCAGCCCAGATCGCCCAGAGCCAGATGTGTTCTATCTTCTTGATTATTACAGTGTTTTGCACATAGATGTCACTTACTACCTGTCAAAAGATTGCCAGGCATCCTTTTGTGTGGAATACAGGAAAGGGAAACGCATCTTCTAATAAAGGAGATATATATGTATCAGAGCTCTTATAAGTAACAGTACTTATATATTTCTGGCTTGTTAGTATCCAAAATGTGAAACTCCCAAACCCGAATGAGAACGTTTGTGAACCTGGTAATGCAGCTCCTAATCTGGCATCTGTGAGGCGCTCCATCATGTTCCAGGCAGTGGCAGCCTGTACCAGTGCCCATTTTCCATTTGATTTGGTTATCAGTCAAAAACGCAATAAGTTTATGTTTACCTTGAAGAGAAGTGCCTTGGGGATATTTTCAGTACTTGGTGAGAACTTCAGTCATCTCTAGGCAGTTCTTTTCTTTGATAGGACCCATTCTTCCCATCCCTGCACTGTTCTACAGCCACTTTTTCAAAACATAGACTGTATCCTGAGATAACAAAGTTGGTCCCTATACAGAGAGAGGAAACAGTTCCCTTGTGTGTCCATTGTGTAGTGTAGCAAGTCATAAAAGACCGGACAGAGTGTTTCTAACAAGGCCGCATTGAGTGCCTGTGTTGAGGCTAGAAGCTAAAGCACTGATGTCTGCCTGGAACATCACACTGATGTCTGTATTCATTTTTCAAGTGTTGTGAAGTACTGCCAGGAATCGCTTATGGCTGATACTAAGTTAAAGAATGTGTAGGTGGAGTTCATGCTTTATTTCTGGAAGGAGAATGAGGCCAATGGTTGAATGTGTGGCAGTAAGCATTCTTACAAGCAAGTAATGACTCACTAGTAGGTGGAGAATTGAATGAGTTTCTTCTTAAAGTCAATTTCCTGAAACTCCAAGTGTGGCAGACATCTGTTTTTATTCTCTACCATTCTTCTTTCATCTGGTAATAGCACTCCTCCCTCCCTTTACAGATACGCTTCTACCCTATTCCTTGTGGGTCTGCCAGTCACAATCCTCTTGCCCTTGGTTGCAGGGTGAGCATGTGATCCAGGACTAGTCAACTGGTATATGGCTTCAGCAAATTATCCAAGGATAAGTATATAATCCAGGTCAGGCCAGGCCAAGCAGGGCCTTTCCCTGGGACTTTTCGTACTGAAGATGGAAGGGAAATGTGTCTAGAAGCATAGAATCACCTAGAGTTCCTGGCCATCATGGAAGGGTCTACAAAAAGGAAGCCAGTACATAAAAAGCAGCCAATTCCTTATATAAAAGAAAAAGGGAGAGACGCAGTTAAAATTGGAATACTATTTTAGCCGCTGGATCCAGATAACCCTCAGACCAGTTTTATCTCAGAATTTTTTTTTTCTTTTTTTTTTTTTCTCTTCACTTAAATTAGTTCAAATGGTCTCTTAACACTTTTTAGAAAGTGGCCTTGGAAACCAACAAGTCCAATATCCTTATTTTATGATATGTAGATGGAGACACAGGGAGATCAAGAAATTGCTGTTATCAGCTGGTTGGTACCAAAGGCCCAACAAGAACATCTTGCTGGTACGAACAATATAAAAATTAATCTAATAGCACTATCGGCAGTTGATGAATCAATAAATGGATGAATTCATATATTGTTCATAAACTTGTGAAAGAAACCACCAGAAGGGCTAAAAACAAATAGTCTAAAGTGTTCACCTCTGGAAAGTAAGACTAGAATGAGGTGGAGGGGGGACATCTTTTATTTTTGCATTTTATACTCTTCTATACTATTTGACTGTTTTTAACTATGTGCATATAAAAAGTATAGTGGTTAAAAAGACTCTTAAAACATAAAACTCCATAAGTTTGTAACTTAAAAGGAGGCCTTAGACAGTAACAAAATATCCTGGAGGCCTGAGAAGGGTATCCATTCATCCATTTCCTGTGTTTAAAGCCACCAGGGGAGGCCTTTTCCAAATAATTTCATCAAGCATGACTATTGCTACTACTACTGCCAGCACCAACAGCGTCACCACATCTAGTGATGAGAGCTAACTGCTATAGAGCACTTACTATGTACCAAACACCATTTTAAGCACTTTTCCCTCTAAACTCATTTAATTTTTACAAAAACCCGAGGAGAGAGGCCACTTTTATTATCTCCATTTTACAGATGAAGAAATTGAGGCACAAAGATATATAGTAAGTTGTCCAAGATTATGCAGCTGGAAAGAAGTGGAGACGGGATTTAAACTGAGGAGCTCTGGCTCATGACCATGACGTTACCATGTCTCTAACCAAAGCACCACGACTTATCTTATATTTACCATGTGCAATGCGACTTCCTCAGACACAGAGGACCTTTCTGATTTGGGCTCCACTCAAGACTATGGCTCTAAGTCTGCCCCTCCTATGCCCTATTTCTTTGTTATTGAGATACAGATATTGCAATGGCACCCAAAACAGCTATAGAGACAGCTGGGCTATGTCCTGAACACATTCCATGCATATAATGTTAGGTAGTTATGTCTCATATGCTAGACTTAAAAACATTTCTTGGAAAAACTATAAGAATGTACAAAGCAACCTGGAGGAGCTGACTTTGAAACTAAGAAATTAAATTTGCTTCCAGAATTTCTTACTTCAGTGTAAGTACCATCAACTAGCGTTCATTATATTGAGAAACTAATGAATGGTTGGTCTCTACTAAACAAACATCATGTGTTTACAGCTAAATATTGTATATCCAAAATGTGAACAGGAAGATGAAACCAATTGATAAAGGTTCTTACTTCACATTTTCCAAGTATAGTATTAATTCAAATTTCTGAGAAAAATCAAGAGACATATATCACATAAGGGCAATAAATACTACCATAGAATTTCATGGTATGGAAGTTCCTACATACTTATGGTTCTGTCCTTCACTCTCTTTTTTGAACACGTTTGTGGTAGAAAAAAATAAATACAAAAAGAATCATTTCCAAAATAATTGGATTTGAATTCTTAAAAATAGTTTGGTATTTACTTATGTGTTTGTTCATGAATGACACAGGGTCTTGCTCTGTCACCCAGGCTGGAGTAAAGTGGTGTCATCTTGGCTCACTGCAGCCTCAAACTCCTGGGCTCAACTGATCCTTCTGCCTCAGCCTCATGAGCAGCTGGAACTACTGGTGTGTGCCACCACACCCAGTGGAATTTTTTTTTTTTTTTTAGTAGAGACAGGGTCTTACTATGTTGCCCAGGCTCAAGCAGTCCTCCCACCTTGGCCTCCCCAAGTGCTGGGATTACAGGTGTGAGCCACCACACATGGCCTAAATAGCTTTGTTTTTAAATCACCGACAGCCCTTTTTTAGCATCTGCTGCCACTGGGCTACTTAGTACTTTCCCGGGTAGAAGTGACTGTGCCACCAATTTTCTGTGTGGCCTTCACTAAATCATTCTCGGTCTTTCTTTCATATCTTTGCAGTATAGTAGGATTATTTTTAAATAGTCCCCTTTAAATATTTTTAAAATGTGCCCATGCTAATAAATTCATTCTTTAGTCTTTCAAGATTGTACATTTGAACATCTGAATATCACTAATATTACTCATCTGTTATGCTGTTCCATCTCTTGAGATACTGTATCACTAAATGTGATACAATTTAGAAACATTATATCATATGGTGAACAACACTATAAAGACGACTTTTCAAATTTCTATTAACATAGGCCTATAACTGAAGAACTAAACATTTTTGAATAAATAATGTTGCCAATAACATTTTCTACATATTTTGGTCTTGCAATCAATGTGAGGAATGCACAGTTGGATCTGGATACTCAGAGCAATTTATTTCCTCTTACAAGTCTACCATTGATAGTTTAAATGCTAATGGCCAAGATATACAAGCCAAAGGGTCCGTGGTGTGAATGCAGGGCTTGCCTGATCACCAGACTCCCTTCCCAACCTCTCCTCTGAAGAAGGAGAAAGTTCTTGAAAAAGCTCAAAAATGCGTTTTGGCAAGCACAAGAGATGCAGCCTAGCAGCATGAATTAAGAGACTTGTGACCGTGGAAAAGAACTGTAAATTTTAAATGGCTTTGGCCCTTCTTAGCTTTTGACCAGCTGACCTTGACATTCCTTAGAGGCCAAAGGATAAGATGCAGTGAAGACAGTGCTGCCTAGCCATTTCCCCTCAGGGGGCAGCACCAGTCCTTCCAGCAGTGGATGAAGTCTATCCAGTGTGTCTTGGGGAGAACTGTAATAAATGAGGCTCCCTCCCTGAGAAATGACTAAAACCACGAAAATAAATTCTTAGATGAAACAGTTCAATTATCTAATGTAATTACTCCTAAGGAAAAAATGAGAGAAATTTATCATAGCTACATGAAGTTTCCAATGTGGTTATATATGACTGTGTATAGTCAACAGTTATTCATCTGGCGTTCTGTCAAACAGAGTTTTCTATAATATGGTATCTGTGACTGTTTCCAATACAATAAAAATGCTGCAAAATCTTGAAATGCTTTTCAAAAGAAGAATACTTTATAGTATAGTGTGTACAGCTGTAGTATTGAGCTTATTTTGCTGTACTTTATTAATCTTTTCCAAAACATGTAAATAATGAAGTTTGTTGCACACCACATCTGGATTTCATGATTATACTGTAAGACTTATATAGTAGATGGCCCTTCATTTAGGGAAGTAGTATATACACCAGAATATGCCTTTTCTTTTTAAGATTTAAACAACGGAAAAAGCCACTGAAGTATGTATAGTATCTGTGCGCCGAGATACACAGGAAAGCATGGAACATGTGGATGGAAGGAACCGGGATCATCTCATCCAGCTGAGTAATAAGTACGTTTGGTGCAGTGCCACACAGGAGGCCACCAACAGAGCCCAGAGTAGTAACTAGGTTGCTTCACTCTTAGCCTCTCAAGTGATGACACCAAGGTGAGAACTTCTTTCACTAAAAGGCTTAATCTTTTAAATAACTGAACCAGAAAGTCGTTTCTAACAAGAATACAGATAAACATTACAAAGAACAAAGAAAAGATATGTTCAAAATCTGTCAGGTTCCAACAAGGGTTACTTTTTCCCTGAAGAGAGAAGATGAACCATTGCCTAGAAGTAATGTGTAGCTGACTGTCCCGTGGTTCTATGTCTGAGTAACACAGTCTCATCTCTCATGTGTATGTGTGCATATATACATGTATATGACTATAGTGGTATCAGCAATCATGTATATTTTCAAGCTTAAATATGATGAAATTGTTAAAGGACTATAGTCCTAATTAAAACTAATACAGAATATACTTAATCACACTTCTGTTCCTAACTTGTCCTTTTAGGCATGATCTTATCTCTTGATTGTGGCCACCCGTAAAGAAAAGCGTATCTCTAATCTCAGAAGCACAAGGAGTTCATACCAGGAAACCAAGATTAGTAAGTATTTTTGTGGTGAATACCTTTTGAATAAGACAGGATTAATGTAACAGTTAAAAGTATAGAAATATAAAAGTTACGAACTTACTGGTGATTTTTTTCTTTGGTGTGGACATTTGTTGATCTTTAAAATATATCACAGGAGTAAATAAAAGATCTATAGAATTTACAAAAATGTCAAAATGAACCAGAAGACAATAAAGTCACTCAAGATATATGTTAATGACCTCATAGAGGAAACTTTTTTTTTCCTTTCAGGAACATCATGCTATCGTCTTTCAAAATTACTATGTAGGATCAGTGGAACACTAGACACTGACAGAGTGGGCCCTGCATCCTTCACTGCTTCCTCATGGAGGGATTTCCAGGACAGGGGCCCTCTTTGCCTGTCTCCGCCCTTGGTGGCGAATATGGGTGGGGGATGGATCTGGGCATGCTCACATCAGCCCCTCCCTTGCTCTTCTCTCTTTGGATCTTGCTTGCAGTGAGAGGGCTTTTTCTTCCTGTTTTTTGGAGGGTGAGATCTGCGCGGAGCTGTTCAATGCTGCCTGGACTGGGTATTAGTATGCTTAGCTCAAGGTGAAGTATAAGCCAACTCATGAGGCCCAGCAGTGCATCCCCTTTCTTCTCTGAGTTCTCCCCAGTACAAATCTGGTGCTTGGATCTCTTTCTGACTCCTCAGTTTATCTGTCAAATGGTTCCAAACTTGAGTAGGGTGAGAGGATCATCCCCCGTCAAATGTACATTATTCATACACTGTAATGGCGTAAAAGAACCCTAGACACATGGACTCCCTTGCTAATAAGTGCACCTTCAAAGCGATAGTCATTATTTAGCATTTATCGGAAGAGGCTGGCCCCAGCTCTGGTGAAGGGCAGAGAAGGTGTGGGTGGCCTCACGTGTTCTCAATGTCACAAAATGATAGCATTAAACAGACCCACTCCCTCATGGAAGGCAATTTGACGACCTTCTATTGATATTGCAACATGTGTCTCTGGCAGCAGATCTCAATCCTTATGTAAGGGATATGGGAAGACTTCCTCCACTTCATGTATATGCTTTCCCTAAGCAGATCTGGCAGATGCAAATTTATCCATATCTTTTCATTTCCATTGAAGTTTTAGTATCCACATCCCCTCCTGAAGACAGAAAACTTGTCTTTGTAACCCTTTTTATTTCAGCTGATCTAAATAATTAGTTCAGATTTACCCTGACAAATGGCTTTTACCATTTTTAGTTTCTTACCCTGTAACAAAATACTGCCATCAAGTTTTGATTATGAAAATGGCTGAAGGCAAGGGACCATATGAGAGAGCGCAATCAACAACATAGTCTTTTTGCCCAACAGAATTGGACATTTTTGGCTTAGAGAATTAAAGCACAATGACTGTTCCTGAAAATCAGTACAGTAGTCATAATAAAACTTTTTTCTTGGCTGGGCACAGTGTTGCATGCCTGTAATCTCAGCACTTTGGGAGGTTGAGGTGGGAGGATCACTTGAGCCCAGATCTTGAGACCAGCCTAGGCAACACAGTGAAACCTCGTCTATGCTAAAATAAAAAAAAAAATTAGCCAGGTGTGATGGTGTGAGTCTGTAGTCCCAGCTACTTGCTTGAGCCCAGGAGAACAAGGCTGCAGGGAGCCATGATCATGCCACTACACTCCAGACTGGATGACAGAACAAGATCCTGTCTCAAAACAAAGCAAACAAAACAACTTTTTCTTTTTAAAATTGAACTACTTATTATAACTGCAGACATTTCTATACAATATTTCTTTTTAATCTCTTGAAATTAAATCCTATTTTTTAAAGAATACACATGATTAAATACAAACAAAAAACCCCTCCAAACCCTATTGGATTTCCAACCTCAGCTCACAACTGATACCTTATACAAAAGTTAACTAATATCAGTCTTCAACAGGCCAGGGATGGTGGCTCATGCCTGTAATCCCAGCACTTTGGGAGGCCGAAGGGGGAGGATCACTTGAGTCCAGAAGGTTGAGACCAGCATTGGCAACAAAGTGAGACCCTGTCTCTACAGAAAACTAAAAAATTAGCTGGGCATGGTGATGCATGCCTGTAGTCCCAGCTACTCGGGAGGCTGAGATGGGAGGATCAACTGGGCTCAGGAGGTCATGATCTTGCAGCCACAACACTCTAGCCTGGGGGACAGAGCGAGACCCCATCTCTAAAAAAATAAAAAAAAATTAAAAAAAATCTTCAACATAAATGTGAATCTAAAACTATAACATTTCAAGAAGGAATCATAGGAGAAAATCTTTGTGACCATAAGTTAGGTAAAGATTTCTTAGATAAGACAACAAAAGGGTGATCCATAAGAGAAAAAAAATTGATGAACTGGGACTTCATCAAAATTAAAAACCTCTGCTCTTCAAAATGCAAAAGATATAAAGAGAACACTGAAAGTACATCTTCATCTCTTACTTTTTCTTCCCAGTCCAATTTCCCTCTCCAGCATCAACCAAATACTGTTACCATTTCTCAAGTTCCCTCCTAAGCCAGCCCATACATAATAAGCATATAGATATAAGCTGTATGGTGGTTCTAATGCTTTTTTACTTAGTTTTTTTTTTTTAATTCCATATTCAATAGATTTATTCGATTATTCAGTGTAGTCCTACACTCCCAAAAGCATTCACTGGTCATCCATGTAGCCGAGGCAAAATTCTTTGCAAGTAATTAGTTTTGAAGTTTACTTAAGCAAATATGGAAACAAAACATTAAAATTTTTAATTCGTTTGCCTTGGCTAAAACAAACAAAAAATATTTCCTAAGTTATCAGCTCACTGTGTATTATTTAGGCCATACTTCATATTTTAGCTATGTCAGCTGTGGTATCCTGGGGGAAAGATGTTGTCATGTGGGGCCTCACACCAAAATATTATTTGAAGTACATAGAAACCAGCTTCTTCAATTTCTTCCATTTCTTTGGGCATTGTGTTTTCAAATAATGAAATTCTCTCTTAAAGAAAAATGAGGATCTCTTTAGTCACGTTGAGGACTAGAGGAAGTATTTTCCTCAGGCTGAATTTTTTGTTTTTTGAGACTCTGTCATCCCAGACTGGAGTGCAGTGGCACGATCTCAGCTCACTGCAACCTCCGCCTCCTGGGTTCAAGTGATTCTTGTGCCTCAGCCTCCCAAATAACCGGGATTACAGACGTGCACCACCAGGCACAGATAATTTTTGTATTTTAGTAGAGACAGGGTTTCACCATGTTGGCCAGGCTGGCCTCAAACTCCTGACTTCAAGTGATCTGCCCACCTCGGCCTCCCAGAGTGCAGGATTACAGGCAGTAGCCACTGCGCCTGGCTCTCAGGCTGAATTAAAATCACCTTTCACACTCCACAGCACAACTTACTTCCCAGATGACTCACTCAACTATTGGAGTGAGCAAGAAGAGTACTCCCATCTCTCTTTTACTATCTTGTTTTATTTACTTCACAGCATTTATTACTGAAATGACTACACTGATGTATTTCTTTTTAGACTTTCTGCCTCTGCCCCGACTCCAGACCTGGGAGTCCGAGGGGGCTTCTGTCCAGCTGTGCATGGCTGTGGTTGAGGGTCTGGTGTCAACAGATCCTTCTCCACCATATCAACTCCATTTCTACCACTGGGATTGGCCCTTATTACTGTTACCTGGTTTGTACACTCAGCAGCAGTTTTCAGACGCGAAAAGATAAGAGATGAGCATTTAGAGTAATTATCATCAATTCTGCAGCACTGTTTCGGGTGTAAAGGTTGTGTGTTCACCCGATTTCACATCCTCCAGACCTGCACTGTCCCACTATGGTAGCCATTAGCCACATGTAGCTATTAAGTGCTTGAACAGTGGTTAGTCAGAATTGAGACGTGTTGTAAGTGTCAAGTACACAGCAGATTTAAAAAATTTAGTTTAAAAAGATATTGGAAAATGATCTTATGACAATTTTTATATTATTTACATGTTAAAATAATATTTTGAATATATTGGGTTAAACAACATGTACTATTAAAATTAATTTCTTTTTCCTTTTTAATGTGACTACTAGAAAACAAACTGCATATGTGGTCTTCATTGTGGTGGTTCACATTCTGTTTCTACTGTACAGTGCTCCTTGAGGCCTAGTTCTAAAAGTTCCCTCACTTCTCACAAGGGTTACTGTCTGTTTGTCCTACTAGAGGTTCGCCAGATGCTCTACTGAACAGGAATTATACAGCAGAGCCTCAGAATCTAAGGACTTGGTCTCTGAGGGACCGATATTTGGGGTAGTGGTGATAGATTTGTCCATGATAGTGGCAAAAAGTTGTCCTCCAATTTTTTACAAGTTTCCTATTTGCTGACTTCCCATCAAGTAATATTAGAAATGATTCTAAGCTTGCATTTCTCAAGCCTTTCCACTCTTCTAAGACATCCACACATGGTCAGCATGTCTGGGGCACCGTCGGTGCTACCCATTGACAGATGAGAGCCCTCCATCTCCAGCAGAGCCTTCTCCTTCAGGCAGTGAGAGAAGACTCCGCTTCCATAGACAGGATCATCCTGTTCAGATCAACTACAAGGCCACAGTTGTAAAGGAGTCAGTCCTGCCAGCAGCTGTGAGCATGGATAACTATCAGTCATGGGGAGGAAGCTGTCGCCTCCAAAGATTTAGGGTAAAAGGCAGAAGATAGCAGGCTGTGGGGTGGAGATGAATTTGACTTTTCTCTCACGTGAAATGCAGGTAAGCCCCGAGTCATGTAACAGAGCAAAGCAAAAATGTTGTAACACGTTGACAAGAGGAAGGAATGACCAATTATAACGCTGAGGTTTTATGTTTAAATGCTACAAATTTTTCTCCAGTTTATAAATACATTTAAATAAAAGTCTTAATGCAAAAGTACAAAAATGATAGTCTACTGTCTTAAGACGCACCGACTATTTTTATATTTAGAGTAAGGTGAGGGGGATGGGAGTGAATCCAGATTGAATAGTGCCAGACAATGGGCAGAACGGGACTCTTAAACACACATTATCTTTCTTCCAAGAAACTACTATTGCTTCCTTCTTAAAGCCCACTCTGGATTTTTTTTTTTAATTTTTATTTTTTTTGAGACTGGGTCTCATTCTGTTGCCCTGGTTGGAGTGCGGTGGCACTATCACGGCTCACTGCAGCCTCGACCTCCCAGGCCCAAGTGATCCTTCCACCTTAGCCTCCCAAGTAGCTGGAACCGCAGGTATGTGCCACCGTGCCCAGCTAATTTTTTTACTTTTGTAGAGATGGGGTCTCCCTGTGTTGCCCAAGCTGGTCTCCAATTCCTAAGCTCAAGCAATTCTCCTGAGTTGGCCTCCCAAAGTGCTGGGATGACAGGCGTGAGCACTCTGGAAAGTTAATACAATCTTCTGAACCAAGGTATTGTTATTAGTTATCCATCTTTTGACCCAAAAACCAGTATCTCAGAGAAACATGCCAAATTAAAGAGATTACAATGGATACTTTCTTCACACTCGAAATAAAAGATAGCATCTTAATAAAAGTATTTATGCTTGATCAAACTTTATAAAAACAAGATGCCGGGAAAAATATCTTCCAGCCCATTTATGAGTGTATAACTTAAAGAAAAAATGACCCCTGATGTACTAACTTTGTGTGGCTAAATATAGTTAGCAGCCCTCATGCTTCATAGCCCATTTTCCCCTGGAATTCAGCTAATATAAATAAAACAAATGAAGGGAACCTGGCCCCCCTCCATGAAAATTACATCATTCTTCCTTATTAGGAAAACTTCTTCAAATCTGAAATTTTGCTCTAAATAATCAGAGTTTCTATTTCTCAATGAATAACAAGGCAGGGGGCTGCCCTCATCAGAAGTGTTGCTGTGTGGGGAGCAATGTGTGTGACGTACAGGCTCATTTCAACAGTGATGCTTCCAACAGTAGTAATAGTAACACCAGGGAAAGCATTAAGGTGCATTTAGGAAAGCGCATGTCATTCTCTCCAAATTTTTGCTTTCTATATATTTTTGGATATATGCCTGTGTTATGGTAAACAGAAAGATGAGAAAGCAGAAATTCTTAGGTTCTTTTGTAATACTGGTTCTGACCAAAGATTTTTGTATCTGATTGATCTTGATTAACAGGATGATGCAGTGGTTAAAAATCTAAGGCAGATCTGCCACTGCTCCCTGAAACACACTTGAGTTTCCTCTTAAGTGATGTCTAATTTGTTAGACAACTTTAGGTTATCTATTTTTGCTCTCAGCCGTCAGCATATTAACACGCTAGCTGATCTAGGCTTCTTGGTATGAAAGGTAAGATTTATGAAGTTAATGTGTACACGTAAAATAAAAATCAATTAAAACAAATGTCTTCTTTAAACATTACCTTTCCATGGATTTAAACAGGGCTGCTTATCAGTTTGCTGATTCTACCTGGTGTTTCACCTTTCTTTCATCTTGACGTAAGGACTATTCTCATGAAAATTAAGTAAAAAAGAGTTGGAAAAAACACTTCTAAATGTGAAGTCTACAATGGGGTTCATGAAGCTAGTACCATATCCTAAAACAAATAATTTATAAATAAATCCTGAGATGTAATGGAGCATTAGGGTAAGCAAACAATGAAGTCGTCTTACAGAGCGCTGCCTCTGGCAGGCAGCATACACCAGCCCACTCACCGAGTTCTCATTTTCCACTTTGGCTAGCTAACAAAATCAGAGTAGTCAATCACACTGTTCATGAAAACATGGAGGGCGAGGAATGGCCATGAGAGAAGGGTTGTCGAGAGAAGGAAGACTGGTCTAGAAAATACGAGGATGGTTCCAACAGTTATAAGTTTATACTTCTAAATCTCTTCATTTCTGAACTTTTCTAACATTTATGTTTTCAAAAGAAAGAAAAACAAATATGCCTTGTGCTTTGTGCTCAGTTAATTGGACTGTTGGATGGTCCTCACTGTTTCCCATAAAGGGCCCCTGCACTGGCAAATTGGGAAAGCATTTCTATTCAAGGACTCCAAGAACTTCCCAGTTCCAAAGGACCCTTCCATCCTCTAGGAGTTTTATTCATATACTTCTTAACTGGTTTAGGAATGAAAGGTAATGCTGTACTTCTTAGCCATGTAGGCTCTGGAGTTAGACTGCCTGTGTTTAAATTTTAGACTCTATTATTTACTGGCTGAGTTTCTTTGATCACTTAATTTTTCTGAACCTGCTTCTTCATCTTTAAAATGGGGGTCATATATTTCTCAAAGGAAGATATAAAAGCAGCTGACAAACATGAAAAAATGCTCAGCATCACTAATCATCAGAGAAATGCAAACCAAAACCACGATGAGATACCATCTCACACCAGTCAGAATGGCTATTACTACAACGTCAAAACAACAGCTGCTGGCCAGGATGTGGAGAAAAGGGAATGCTTATACATTGTTGGTGGGAATGTAAATTAGGCCACTGTGGAAAGCAGTTTGGAAATTTCTCAAAGTTCTAAAAATAGAACTACCATTAGACTCAGCAATCCCAGTATTGGGTATATACCTAAAGGAAAATAAATCATTCTACCAAAAAACCCCACATGGTACATGTACACTTGCTCCTCATAGCACTGTTCACAACAGCAAAGACGTGGAACCAACCTAGATGCCATCAATGGTGGATTGGATAAAGACAATGTGGTACATACACACCATGGAATACTATACAGCTACAACAAAGAGCAAAATCATGTCCTTTGTAGCAACATGGATGCAGCTCGAGGCCATTATCCTAAACAAATTAATGCAGGAACAGAAAACCAAATACCTCCTGATAAGTGGGAGCTAAACACTGTGTACACACAAACATGAAGATGGGAACGACAGACACTGGGTACTCCAAAAGTGGGGAGAGAAGGAGGTGGGGAGGGGCTGAAAAACATCCTCTTGGGTACTGTGTGCACCACCTGGGTGAGAGGATCAATGGAAACCCAAACCTTAGCATCATGAATATACCCTTGTAACAAACCTGCCCATGTAACCAGTGAATCTAAAATAAATAAAATGGGGGTCATGATAGCACTTCCCTCCTAGACTGTGAAGATGAAATGTGGTAGTACATGTGAAGTATTTTGAGCAATGTTCAAGCATGCCTTTGATAAATGTGAGCTATTAGTATTCAGGACGGTCATGTAAATAATTCAGTGTCCAAATGTGGGCCCTTTAATCTGGGACAAAGGCTGAACTATATAGAACTCTAGACAACTGGCAGATTGACTGTCCTGGGGAAAAGGGAACACGTAGCCATCCCATTCATATTACATAATGTCAAGGTCACACACTGCACAGACAGACTGACTTACCAAAATTAACAAAATTTGTGTATCACTGGGTACTAGAGTGTATAAGAGATCAGATGGAATAAGAAAGCCTTAATTAAAAAATCATGAATTATAATTTAAAGCATTTAAGATAGACGTACCACTTACATGTTAATCACTCATTTTGCTGAACTTAGAACATTCCTTTTCAGGCTGGGCGAGGTGGCTCACACCTGTAATCCCAGCACTCTGGGAGGCCGAGGCGGGTGGATCACGAGGTCAAGAGATCGAGACCATCCTGGTCAACATGGTGAAACCTTGTCTCTACTAAAAATACAAAAATTAGCTGGGCGTGATGGCATGTGCCTGTAATCCCAGCTACTTTGGAGGCTGAGGCAGGAGAATCGCTTGAACCCGGGAGGCGGAGCTTGCAGTGAGCCAAGATCGCGCCACTGCACTCCAGCCTGGCAACAGAGTGAGACTCCGTCTCAAAAAAAAAAAAAAAAAAAAGAACATTCCTTCTCAGCATTATCCCAAATATATTGTAAAGTTTAGTTTAAATTATTTTTACAGTGTTTTCATCCTTCTTCATGGCCTCCTTCCCACAAATATCAGGAAAATGGGAACTGATGAGGAGAGTAACATTAAATAAAAAGGGAAGTACAAGTAATTTTATTGTTGTGCTCAGCACAGACGGACCCAATTACAGTCCTACAAGTACCTGGGTTGCTTCCCTCCTGACCTGGAGAACAGTCCCCTGGTACACTGTCATTGTGGAAACAGAGAAAACACATCTGTTAAAAATGAGCTTTAGTGGAAAAAATTCAGCTGGCATTCTCTTTTCCTCTCTGTCGTCCTTTTTTAATAGCACTCTTATGTAAGGTCGTTACTATATATAGTAGAGAACAGGGAGCTGTGATTTGACCTGTACAGAGGCAGTCAGATATGGGCCATTTCCTACCTTGGTGGGCCCAAAGGCAGCTGAACCTGCTGGACAGCAGGAGCGGCGGCACCTGGAACCCTTGCTCTTTGAGACCTCAGCACAGCTGCACGGCTGTTCTCTTCTTGCATCTTCAGCTTCCCACCTACAAAATCGGCACAGGGCCTACTTCTGATCTAACTCATTGGGGATGCCTGTGGAACCTCAGAGAACATCTGGGAAACATTTTTTTGGCTTTGTCAATACGTATTTTTCCTCTGTATATCCATCCAAGATTTATGCAAGAGCTAGAATTGTAACATTCCAGTCTAAGAAACCTAGACCGTCCTACCATCCCTGACCAGCTTGTCCAAGCAAGATAACTGCTTGTTTATTGTCTTTTTCTCCCACTACCAGTCTTTCTCAAGAGCAGAGTTCACATCTATTCTGTTCAACAATGTATTATCTTAGATACAGCATACCATCCATGAATGAATGAATGAATGAATGAATGAATGACTCCATGAGTAAACAGAGGCAGTAGTAGCAAACATTTACTGAACACTTACCAGGAGACTCTAGACAAATTTAATCTTTCGTACCTCTGTTTTCTCATCTATGTAATGGGGTAATAATAGAACCCACAGAGTAGGGCTGTTGCAGAGATTAAAAGAGAATAGTGCTTAGTTGTTACTGGAATCCTCTCTTCCTCTTTAGTCAGTGGCACCATCCCTGATCCTGTTTCACAAGTCAGAACCGCAGAAGTCAGAGCTGCCTGTCTCCATCCGTCTCATCTCAACCATCATGAGTCCTGCCTTTCCCTCTCCTACACTTCTCCCACACGCTGTTCTCTTCCATGCAGCCAGTTTCAAAAACCACATGGAATCCTGTGACTCTTGACTTCCCTGTCCCCAGTGACTTTCGCTTGCTCTTGGGATCAACTCCAAATTCCTTCACCTGGCCCACCAGGCCTGGTCGCCCCCTGTAGCCTCTTCTTTTCTCCCTCCCACCCCCATTCTCAGAGTCTCAGCCCTTCCCTTCAATGTGCGATTCCTCCTGACTGCACACCTGTCTCTGTCTCCCATTTAGCCTTCAGATGTCAGGTCAAACATCACTTCCTGAGGCTCTTTCCTCAGGCCTCCAAACCACACGAGGTCTTTCAGTTTCCTGCCCTCAGAGGTTGTGGCACATTTTTTTCGCAGCATCTGCCACACCAGCACTCCTTACATGTCTTTTATCTGGTCTCTAATAATTCCACGCACCCAGGCCCTTGAGGGTCTTTTCTAGCTTTGGTAAAATGCGAGCTGGGAGGGAGGATGCTGACAGAGGAGTGAGTAAAGGCTGGTCTAGAGGGCATCTGAGAGCTTCTGTGGACTTCTTCTAGAAGGACCATTGATCATCTGTAAAACAACCTGTATTTGACTTTTAAGGCCAAAATTTCTAAGGAAAAAAATGTCTGTACACACATGGGAAAAGCTAGTAATTATGCTGGCTAAAAGAAAAAGTTACTCTGTGAGATGCTCATATATGAAGTCCTCTCAGATGTTGCTATCTCACTTCTCATTTTCCTATCAATAATTAGCTATGTGTGACTTTTCTCCCTTTACACTGCAATGTGGTTTCTTCTGTTTTTCCTAAATGGCTAAAATTATGAAAACTAATTTATTAGTCCTAAAAAGTAAACTTGACATTTTTTGTAAAGTTTAACAGTAAATAAAGAGTTAATATTACCAAAAACAACTGAGGCAGGGAAAAGGGCAATTCCAGTGCAAAGTCTACTACCCACTGATATCTGTGATACATAAAATATTCTAAACACAACATGTAGGTTTCTTGATATCCACACCTAGAAAGCATTAGAGGGAATTAAGAGAAATTGTAGCCGATTAACTCATCTAAAAGCCCACAAAGCAGAATAAATCTAATTACCATGGCTTAAGGCAAATAATACCTCTTGCAAAATAACCAAAAATTCAAGCTTAAAGAGCAACTACACTCTTGTAGGCACTACTAACTTTGTGGATGGTTCTTTCCTTTTGAGACAGGGTCTCACTCTGTTGCCCAGGCTGGAGTGTGCAGTGGCATAGTCACGGCTCACTGCAGCCTTGACTTCCTGGGCTCAAGCAATCCTCCTGCCTCAGCCTCCCGAGTAGCTGGCACTACAGGTGTGAGTTACTGCACCCGGCTAATTTTTGTAGAGATAGTCTAGCTATGTTGCCCAGGCTTGTGTTTTTGTTTGTTTCTTTTCTTTTCTTTTCATTCTACCTTCTTTCCCAGCTCTCTCAATGAATTTAACAAATACTGATTGAGCTTTTACTACATGTTGGGTGCCAGAAATCTAGTAGTGATCAAAACAGACACAGCACTTGCCTTCATGAAGCCACATGAAGCCAGCAAGTACAGTGTGGCCTAAAACAGAAGAATGTTTAACTGCATGAAGGCAGGGTGCTTTGTATTGCTGGGCTTGGTGTATATTTCTTTGCTATCTAGTTTAATATATTGAGCTTTACATCTGTGCCAGCCTTGCATGTCCATATACCTTTGGCAGGCATTTCTAGTCAGGTGGCATGGGGCAAGGGGTGTGCTACGTTTTAAGTCCCTCATTTCTCCAGCCTGTCCAGGTAGTGTCTACGTCTCCAACTCACTCAGGAAGGCAGGAGACTTCCAGATTCACTCCACTGGTATCAAGAGTTAGGTTCTGGTGAGAGAGCTGGCAGAAGCTTCAGAGGACCTTGCGTCTTAGCCTCCTCTTTTTTTCCTGTCCTCAACAGCAAGTTGTTGCCTCTAATTTTCAGAAAATCGCAGCACATTTCCAGGAGACCTGAAATGCGGTGGACTGCTTCAACATTAGATTATTTTGGCAGACAGGGATAGTATTTAGTGTAACGTCACCTATATGCTTATCAAATAGGGGTAAGGGAGTCATAATTATTTTAATGTCTAATATTAACGGTTCTTTAATAAATTACTTATTAAAGTTCCAAGGTATAAGTCTTTTAATAGAAACAGGTTTCAGCCAGGCGTGGGGCTTATGCCTGTAATCCCAGCACTTTGGGAGGCCAAGGAGGGTGGATCACTTGAGGTCAGGAGTTCGAGACCAGCCTGGCCAGCATGGTGAAACCCCGTCTCTATTAAAAATACAAAAATTAGCTGGGCGAGGTGGTGCTCGCCTGTAGTCCCAACTACTAGGGAGGCCGAAGCATGAGAATTGCTTGAACCCGGGAGGCAGAGGTTGCAGTGAGCCGAGATTGCGCCATTGCACTCCAGCCTGGGTGAAACAGCCAGACTCCGTCTCAAAAACAAAACAAAACAAAAAACAGGTTTGGAATGAATGCAAAAAATCTACGAGAGACTGGCCAGTTGTACTATTAAGTTATCAAACAGTTTTATCCTGCCTCTCTCTTCCATTTTATATATTTAAGTCACTTTTAATTTATGGGGGTATGGAGGAGAGACATATTCTGGAGATGGAGAAAATAAAGGTAAGCCAGACTGTGGGTCCACAGGCTCTGCAGCAGGGAATAAATGTTGGTGCAATTGGCAGGTTAGAGACACATGGGAGGAAGGGAAGAGGATGTAAAGAGACAAAGACAAGAAGGGAGACTGTAGGAAGCTGTGTGTGTGCTGCTGGCCTGGGAGACGGCACCCACTGACCTCCTCTGGCCTCTCAGTCACACTTGGGCCAGATTAATTCATTCTGCAAACTTTTCTTGCCTGCCCATGGAATGCCAGGTACTGAGCTAGGGTTCGCAGACACATGCTAAGCAGCAGTAAAAAGAGCTTATTTTGTATAATACTCAGCTACTACTGAGCTAAAACTAGGAGAGCATATTAGAAATGACAGACTTAGGCTGGGCGCGGTGGCTCATGCCTGTAATTCCAGCATTTTGGGAGGCCGAGGCGGGCGGATCACCTGAGGTCAGGAATTCAAGACCAGCCTTACCAACATGGAGAAACCCCGTCTCCACTAAAAATAAAAAAATTAGCCAGGTGTGGTGGTGCACGCCTGTAATCCTAGCTACTCAGGAGGCTGAGGCAGGAGAATAGCTTGAACCTGGGAGGTGGAGGTGGTGAGCCAAGATCGCACCATTGCACTCCAGCCTGGGCAACAAAAGCAAAACTCCATCTCAAAAAAAAAAAAAAAAAAAAAAAAAAAAGAAATGACAGACTTACAAATTATATAAGTGAGAAAAGGAGACTGACTTTCCCTACAGTATACCGCATTTTTTCCAGGCTTTTCAAACAGGTTTGCAATGTGAACAATCGTTATCTTCTAGAGGACTTTTATGAAGGATTTTAGTAGTGCAGGCCTGGACATACCATATTAAAAACAAACCATTTTAGAGTCAGGGAAATGTTTCCCTCTTATCTTTTAAATTCTTGGTGGGGAGTAGGGGCTGAAGGGGGAGCATTCATTCCTTCCAGGAGCCAGGTTGCAGAAGAAAGCACTCTCACACAGGAGCAGGAGGGCTGAGGCCTCGCGAGCTACCCCCACGCTTGGTTCTGGCAGATCACTTACATTTCAGGACCTAGGCAGATGAAGTTTCCTGGCTATATGCTAAGACAAAACTTTTCCTGCTTAAAATCAGATCTTTCATTTTTTAGTATTGAGTATAAGGGAGGATTAAAGGAGTTTATTGCTTTAAAAATTAAGGAAATACACTGAAAAACTGGATAGGAGTTTATTCATTGTATTTTATGACACCAAAGATGAGCAAATGCATTCGTAAGTATACATAATAAAATAAATATAGCCTGGCATCTCTTTTAATGGAGGTAGCTTGGGGGTGAGAAGAGGGAATGGGGAAGATAAGCTGGGGGCCAGCTCTGAATTCTTTATGAGCCCCCTGATGCAGCCAGCCACACGTGGTGTGAATCTCAATAGTGCCAGTTCTTCTTTCCAAGGGTCAGTGTTTTTTTTTTTTTGCTTTAAAAATGGGGATAATAATACCTGTAATGAGATTTCTTGTAAAGTTTAAGTGAGGTTATAAATGTAAAAGTCTAATGTCAAATCTGGCTACCAAGAATTCAAATTTTCTTTCACTTTCCATCAATAATGATAAAACGTGAATATTAAGCATGGTTTGGATTGAAAACCTTCTCAGGGTCTCAAAGTCTAGTCGAGAATTCAATTCAGACTTTAAAAAGCAGACATTCAGTTCTCTCCAGATTTGTGAATGAATGCATTGTTACTAAAGAAGTTTCAGTGCCAAAATATACACTGTCTCTTCCTTTCTCCTTTTTCTTCTGCAGCTAAGTCGGCCAGAGCATTCTAGAAATCACCTTAAAAACGCATCCCTCTTCTCCTACTGGAGTTTATACAATGACAAAAATCTGATCTGGCTTTTTCAAAAAGCAAACAACAAAACATCCAAACAACATAACCCTGAGTCTTTAACAGAAAGCTGGTGCTTGCACCAGGGGCGTGCAGACGTCTGGAACGCATTACAATCAGCTCCCTAAGGGGCAGCTTATCTCTTCCTCTGATGCTATCGGTTTGCCAAGGAAAGTTAAAGACAAAAGTCAACTGTTGCACCCAGTTGGAATGTGAACATGTGGGAGAACCTGAAATATACTAAGACTAATTTATGTTCCGATGGGAGTGGCTCTCATGGTAAGGACTGAAGCAGTATATCCTGCTTTTTTAACGAATTTTTTAACGAAAAAAATTCTCACAGCCTGCAGGAAGAGCTACAAAATAACCCCCTCTCATCTTTACTGACTGTAGTTAGTACTCTCGTGTTGCATTTTAGGGAAAGTTCATTTGTGTCTGCAGTGGACTTCGAAGTTAATCATACCACAAAACTGTAGAGAATGAACATCTTGAAATTATTTCAGAAATAAGAGCTCCAGGTAGCCTTTGAGATTGGTAAAGTTTAGAAATAAAGTATACTTACAAAGCTGCATCTTATGACGTTGCAAAAGACTGATTTAGGATCATTATTTGGTGTGAAATACATTTTGCCAATGTAAGCCTTTCCTTTCAACTGTTTAAGGCATAGAATACTAGTACATTCTACATTTAATGTTTGAATTCTACCAGTTTTAGAGCTCAGAACTCAAATTAGCATCGTTCTAAGTTTGACAATAACCCTCTTTTTGCTTTTAATAGTGTCTCCCTTCATGTACTGAGTGTGCCTACGTTTTCCTCGAATTGTTTTCTCATCAGTGGTGGTGTGAGAAGCCTTCTTTTAGGAGAAAAAACACAGAACACCACCAAGTAGATCTGTGTCTAAGATGGCCAGTGCATTCGGCACACTCTCTGGGCTGACAGGCACTGAACAATGGCTCTTGCTCAATAGGCCTGGTTTCCAGTCACTGACAACAACGATCAGTACCTTCAATCTCTAAATTACACAAATTTACAGCTTTGATTTTTAGTCTTAGAAGCCATCAAGGACAGGCCCCAGGACAAAACAAAGTGGCTGGCTCCCATCTGCTGAGTAAGCAGAAGGGACAGTGGAGGAGTTCCTCTCAGTTTGCTTCACTTTCACTTTGCCCAGGGGTGGGGTGGGGTGGGGTGGGGTGGGACGGGGGTAGGGTTGCCGGAGGAGGCTAACTCAGTCCTCAGTCACCACCTGAGGACCACTCTCCAGGAACTTAGCACCCCCTGGGCTCAGTTTTCTTAGAGGTTAAATGAGTAGATTAGGCTAAATTCTGGCTCTAAAATTGAGTAACTATTACAGGGAAGTAAAAAATAATTCTGAATAATACTGATTGGGAAATAGAGTGTCAGAATTAGTTCTACAGCTAATTAGCTCTCTCTTAATATGCCTGGGACTTAGTTTCTTCCTTTTTTTTTCTTTTTTAGAAAAGGAATATTCATTGTGAGAAACTGAAGTATCAGAAAGTATAAGAGTATAACTGGATTGTTTGTAATACAAAGGATAAGTGCTTGAGGTGATGGATACCCCATTTACCCTGATGTGATTATTACGCATTGCATGTCCATATCCAAATAGCCCATATACACACCTATGTACCCACAAAAATTAAAGATAAAATATTAATTAAAAAATAAAGTGAAAGTAGTACGATAATAAAGTAAATGTAAAGAATTTCCCACATAACCACCAATCCTCATACAATTCCACTCCACAGGGCAAAACACCAATAAAATCTTGGTGCTATCTTTCCAGAACCTTTACTATACAAATATAAATACTTACAACACCCATATGTTTACATGTTTGGGTTTTTGTTCACAAAAGTTGGATGAAGCATATGCACATTTTCCCTCAGTGATCTTGTATCTTTCAACGATGTATCATGGGTATCCTTCCATGTTGGTACATGAAGGTTTATTTCATGCTTTTGAATGGCCTCATAGTATTCCATAGTATAAACCATTCTTTATTAATGATAGACATGCTCTCTTCAAGTACTCATTAGTGCAAATAGTGTAGCAATAAAGCTGCCTGTACAACTAATTTGTACTGTATACTTGTTTTGAGTTTTCTGTGGCAAACATGTCTAGAAATGAGATTATTGGGTCAAAGGATATGTGAATTTGACATTTTAATGGGTATAAATTGCCCTCAAAAAAGTTCTTAGGACTTTATCTGAAAACAGAGGAAAGAATAGATGATCCTTTTCTTTTTTCAACTGAGCTTCCAATTCAATTAAGAAGCCTTAAAAGCTGGAATGGCAGATGGGAGCAGCTTGCAATTCCAGTCCCCTTTCAACCAGCCCACTAATTTCAGGCCTTTTCTTTTTTAGCAAATATCAAAATTCTGTTTTGCTTTGGTCTCAATATTGTCAAATTAACATTTTTTCATGGTAATATTGCTAACCGTAAGCGAATTGCTTATTTCTAGTAGTGGGTAAGAAATGGATGTCCTGGTACCCACTGGATGCCATGGACATGTACCCAGTGATGGTGATGCTGACACCACCAGTGTGGGTACCATACCCACACTTTGAGAGCCTCAGCTTTTCAGAAAGCCCTTTAATTCTTCGGAAGAAGCCTGCAGTTAGAGGACTCCTATCTTCCTCTGGGTAGACTGTGATTTACATGTATTTGAATGGTAATCAGTCACCTTAATTAACATAGCTTTTCTGTTACATCTCACTACCATGACATGCAGGCTGTTTAACAGGTCACCTGTAAAGAGGAAACTGCAAAATTCCACATGGGCTTCCTGGAGTTCCTCTTACAGACCATACCTACTCTCCCTCGCATAACGGGTGTTTAAAATTCATTTAAGGCAACTAGAAATAATTCCATGCCGTTCTCATCTTATAAAAGGAACTCTTTGTTGATCAGATGTTATTAGTGTTGAAATTGATTCCTTATGTATTATTTAAGGTCTTAGGTTTACAATAATCACCAAGTACCTATAGCTGCTTAAATTACCCATATCAAACGGACATATTTAACTTTCAGTTGTCCACGTTATAAAAGGAAACATGAGAAAACTTGAGACTTCCCCTTGACTGTATGTAGTGGATCTATATAGTACTTCCAATCTATTTTCTGTTCTAGATCTTTTATGTAAGAATGAAAATAGTAAAGCGTGCAGTGGGCTTAGGGTTGAGCAAAGGGACAAGTCAATATTTGTACATGCATGGTTGAATGCATATTAGAGAAGAGGACTTGGTATTGAAATGACATTCAGTTAAGGGACAGAAGAGTAGCAAAAAGAGGTATCCTAGAACAGCTACTTGCCATCTCAGATTATTGCAAGAGGAAGCCTCACTGATTGAGACCACATTAATTTGAAATCTGTGATACCTCTGAGATTTTCACTAACAACTAAAAAGGGGGCTTGTCAAATAAATCAGTAGTATAACAATTGGCAAAAGTGCTGCTTAAGACAAACGACTTTCAAGCCCTTGGGAAGCATTCATTACATTACTATTTAAAACCGTGGCTTTACTTCCCACTGGTACTTTCTTAGTCTTGACTAGCTGAGTTCTTTGTATGTATAAGTCTTCCTTTTTACAAGAGGTTTTATGATTTAGGAATCTCTTAAACTCTAACAACCTGTCTCGTGAGTACAGTTGTCCCTCGGTATTTGAGGGGGACTGGTTCCAGGAACCCTTCGGATACCAAAATCCACACATGCTCAAGTCCCTGATAAAAAAATGTCCTAGCATTTGCACATCACCTACATACATCCTCCTGTATATTTTAAATCATCTCTAGATTACTTATAATACCTAATGTAAAGGCTATATAAATAGCTGTCATGCTATATTGCTTTTTTTCTTGTATTATTTCTATTGTTGTATTACTGTTTTTGTTTTGTTTTTCCAAATATTTTTGATCTGTGGTTGGTTAAATCCATGAATGTGGAACCCAGGGATCCAGAGGGCCAACTATTATCTAAGACAGATGATGCTATTGGAAAAGAAGAAAGGTGTTAGTAAGGGTCCTAAAATTCCTTAAAGGACCTAGAACAATTTCTCCAATGATATAGACAGGTAGGAAATATTTTGTTCGATTTCTGACCGTATCCCTTGATAGAAAGCACATTTTCATGTTTTCCATGGCACTTTGGGTGTGGAAAGCAAGGCCTTCCACAGCTGGTAAAGCCTCCCTCACCTCCTCTGCTCCGGTGCCTCTCTAGCCACACCAGTCACCTGCCATCCTCCGGACACACAGCCCTCCCCCCTCCAGCTTCTCTACCCAGCTTCAGCCTTCTCCCAAACTCTCCACTCTCAGCTCTTGGTTCTCTCCTGAAGCTTCTCCTTACTCCCCCAGGCAGAGCTGGTCAGTCCCTCCTCAGAGGACACTGAATCTGTTTCACCCACAGAACTAATCAATTCATTCTGCATCTGGGCCCCTCCCTTCCGAGCCTAACCCATGATGGCCTGGTCAATGTCCTACTTAGTCGGGAATGCTGAGCACAAAACAAACTCAGTACATGTTTGCTGAATAAATGATACTGGATGTGTCTGCTAGCTTTTTGAAGCATTTGGAAAGACTTTCAAGCACGTTAATAACTTTTTAATATTTGGAGTTCACCCTTTATTAGGAAGTTGGCAGGGAAGATACGCTGTGGGATGCCAGAGTCCAATCTCCTGTTGCACAACTTTTTTTTCCACCTCATATATTCTAATAAATCTCAGATAAAATTAGAATACCACAGAAATCACAGGGTCTTGCGCTGATGGCACAGTTTTTGACGAGCGACTGGGACTTGGAGAGAGAAAAGTTCAGTGTTAGAAAAGCTATGAGCTGCTCAACCATTCTGAAATCCACAAATTCTTGAAATTCTCAAGGCTTGTGGGGTTCCCCACTTCTCTCTTCTGTGTGCGTATATGTGTATTAACAAGAATAAACAATGATCTCACAGGACTGTTGAGAATTAATACAGAATGTAGATAAAATACTTTGTAAATAACCAGCATCACTGAATATGTATTGACTAAATGGATAAAGCAGTTCACTTGGACTTGGGTAGAAAAAGCCCAGTCAAGGGTGGTCTTTATTTCTAGGCACACTCAATCATGGTTTTTAATCTTTTACAGGTTATTTAGTCTTCTAGAAAAATTGCACCCAAATAAAAACAAACAAAAAACAAACTGTCAAAGCTCTTTGATTTGCACAACCAGATACGTGACTTTCCTCCTAAGTAGGGATTCAGAGTAGATAGACAACCTAACAGCATCCTTGTTAACGCGTGAGGAAAGGACACCCACATCTTCCTTCTCTAGTTTGCTAAAATTCAAGGTTACCGACTCCTTTTCACTTTCACTAAAGTTCTTAGTAGATATGCTATAAAGCTGTAATTACTCCTGAGGCACCCATGAATAAGAGAGGTGCCCAGGCTTTGGCGAGGTGTGGTAAATTTGGCACGGAAGTTCAATTTCCGTAACGTTGTTTCCAGCCCAGGAAATGTCTCAGGTGGCTTGGTATGGGTGAGCTGCTGCCAGTTTTTCGGGCATGGGCTTGCCATCCTTGGCTGACATCATTTGACTGGATTCTTTACTCTGCTTGCCCCACAGAATACTTTGCATTCAATTAGTCTCCATTTTCTCAAACACCCCATGCGATCACCACCATGTCTATGTCTCCAAAAAGCCTAATATGGAAAGCCTCTAATTCATGTGTGGATTCTCCTTGCCTATGAAAATAGAAACAGCAATTACTACTGTGCAAATCAAAACTACAATTGGAAAACTTTCTAATTGTAGCATCATTATTACCTGGAATAATGGGCTACAACTATGACTGCGGCATTATATCAACAGAATTCTTATACTACGTATGTGCTACACTGAATTTGTTTATCCTGATGTCCAAGAACTATCTGAAATCATTAAATGTCAAACATAAATTTAAAATACTCCTTTTAAGGAGTATTAGGTAAACTTACCTAACTTGAGCTAAACAAGGAAGATAAGCGCTGACCAGGTGGAGCCTGTGATTTTGCAAGCCAAACTTTCTTCTGTTCCCCTGGTCTAGAGGTTGTATCAATTCATTAATCATCCCATGTTTCCCAAATTAGAGTATATCCAATGGGTATTACCTCCTGAAATATAAACTAGCATAAATTTTCTAAAAGGTTTGCAGGGAAGTCTTTCATGTTCTGTGGCCCACTAATGGCAAACCTTCCTGCATTTAGAATTCCTTTCTGGCAAAACCACAGTAATTATGCTTAACAGCTGGTTAGGTCAGGTGGCACTATGTATTTCCCTGGCCTTCGTATACTATGACATATACACAACTACACATTTGTGGGACCCCCGTCTATCATCATTTTTTGGGTAACGAGCACTTGGGATTTTTGAGAAGCTTTTATTTCTAATATAGTTTTACTGATTATGTACAGGCTTATAATTTGAACTAGAATGTGGCCCTTACTGATGTCTGAGATTCATCTTTTTATTTCTCCAAAACCGGGGAATCATATTCCATAAAGTCATCTACTTAAATGTTTTTACCAAGTACTCCATGAGGGCATGGAGAGAAGACGGAGCAGATAGAGAGAACTGGATAGGAATGCTTTTTAAGTACCTCCTTACATGACAGGGACAGCAAGGCTGAGAAGAAAGTAGCACTCCTCTCCTCTAGTCTTTTTGCTTTAAGAGAAGACTCAAGGCAATGTAGGTTGTCTGGGGAAAGGCAGCTGGCTGTGGATGGCCTGAATGAGAGCTACCAGCCCATCAGAAGATAGACTTGGAGTGACAGCCATTTTCTCAGCCAGTTAAGAAAATAAAAGAAAGTATCACAAAGCAAGAGGTCTGCAAGTCCCAGACACATTTCTACACTTGACTCCATCATTAACTCATGATATCTACACCAGGATGCAGATTTCTGGATGGCCAAGGAAAACATCAGGTGTCTGTTAAGCTTGCCAGAAGATGATCCATATGTTCAGTCAGATCCTGTGGTTTCATAAGAGTTCCACCTTTAATCAGACTGCTGTGAGCTGGAATGTCATGTTTTCCCGATTTGTAATTTCAGTTGAATGCCCATCACCAATAAAAGTGAAATTGTTTTTCTTTTTTTAACTTTAAAGAATGTAGCAGAAGGGATGCTGTATCTGAAACCAAACCTAAAAGCACGGTGAATGAAAGGAGGAGCAGATTACCTCAAGGGCAGAAGAAAATCCAAAAGCCACATATAAAGAGGGGAATCAGACCCATAATTCATAGCAGAGCAACTGCACAACCAAACTTTGTTTCAAGATATTCAGTCTTCATCACATTCCTTGCTAACTCTTCAAATGACAGTATTAACAGTGGAGCTGGATTACTCTGTAAATGCTACATACTTGCTTTATTTTTCACATAATAAACCAATAATTGTTGGACTACATAGGATAGGAAATCTTTCACTATCAGAGTAATTCTGAAATATATGCTGAGAGATTTCAGTAGACTGCTATGGTGACAGGAAACAATGGGAGCTAAATGACATTGAGCAAACATTCAGGAGTCCAAGGTGATTATTCTTTCATTTTCAGATTTGTATTTAACTTAATAAGTAGACAAAATCAAAATAAACACATAGGAAAACTGAGCTCCAAGCAGAGTTGTAGAGGCTGCATGGAGCTTACCCAGGAGCTCAGATATTATAGAGCCACAGAAGGAGCAGAC
Organism: Homo sapiens; assembly: GCF_000001405.40. Lineage (NCBI taxonomy): Eukaryota > Metazoa > Chordata > Mammalia > Primates > Hominidae > Homo > Homo sapiens. The sequence continues at coordinate 168,841,630 of NC_000004.12, read as the reverse complement.
AGAGAGCGGTCAGGTGGTACCTAGAACACAATGACTGTCACTCCGTGGCTGAGGTGTCTACTCAACCCCACTGCTGCATTTTCTCCTCAACTGCCAGCCCAGGGCAGCTGGCCAAGTTGTAGAAACTGCCACTGTGTGGTTCCCTCAGTAAGCCAACCGCACTTTTCCATTGGAATTGCTTTCCCAAATAAACTGGTCTTCAGGATTTTTAAGCATTTACCCTTAAAAACTTTCCTCCTGAACATGTAGTCAGTGTTCTCAATTTGACTTTGCCAGATTTGCCATCTGTGCTTAAGCTTTTGGAAAATTCTGCAGTTGCCCTTGATGCACATTTTCAAGTGGTAAGATCACTCTGCATCTCAAAGGATGCTTGCTGTGCTGAGAAGAAAAACACAGTTGGCCTCAGGAGATCCAGGTCCAACAGCTCACCTTGGGAAAGTCCCAACCTTTATACATGTTAATTCTTAAACATTTATATAGTGGGCCGGGCGCAGAGGCTCACACCTGTAATCTCAGCACTTTGGGAGACCGAGGCAGGAGGATCACGAGGTCAGGAGTTTGAGACCAGCCTGACCAACATGGTAAAACTCCATCTCTACTAAAAATACAAAAAGTAGCCAGGCGTGGTGGCACGCACCTGTAATCCCAGCTACTCAGGAGGCTGAGGCAGAAGAATTGCTTGACCCTGGGAGGCAGAGGTTGCAGTGAGCCGAGATTACACCAATGCACTCCAGCCTGGGCAACAGAGCGAAACTTGGTCTCAAAAAATAAATAAATAAATAAATCTGTATAGTGGAGGTGAGGATATCTACCCTACCCAACTCCCCTACTAAACAGCAGCAAATGTCCTGGTATTTTTAAACGAATGGAACTTGACCCTCCCATATAGCACTGCCTTTCACATATCTCAACCTTGATATGCTCTGATGAATCTAAATTTAGGCTTTAAAAAAATCTCTCAATATAAAATCATTCCAAATAACTTTTAGGTGAGCTGTCAGACTACGTTGTTCATTTGTACCCTGAGTCAAAGAAGTTGATCTGGGTAAAGGTCTGGCAGCTTCACACCTCTGGTCGTTTCACTAAGCATCCACCACGCTTCTGAGTAGCTCTGGAAAAGCGGGAGATGAACTGATATTACAATGGTATACTTTTCTAGGTTTGCAAACTGACAACTCTTGGTGGTTGTGTATAAAGAAGGGCCAAGGAATCATGAACTTGGACAGCTGCCTTATTAGCCCTAGCTGATTTTTTCTGCCCTTCAAAGACATTTGCAAGTTCTTGTATATCACTCTCTCTCTTGCAAATAAAAGCTTCTCCCTGGAGAGGCGAGCTCCTTATCTCTTGTTCCTGGGTATCTTACAGTCACTTGCCAGGACAGATTTATAGTTGCTGGTGTGGACAGTATGTACTCAAACGTTCTCTGTTACATAACAAAATGGTGCAATGTGAGAGAAGTATGGAATACATTTGGATTCATTTTGTCTCTTAATAGAGCCAAAAATAGATTTTTTTTAAAAAAAATCTACATCTTCCACACAAATACATCCATTTATAGTTATGAAGACAAATAGAAAATGAAGCTTTACCAAGAAAAACCACAAGTTTTTCTAACTCCAGTTTTGAATCAATCTATTTGAGGTTTCACTGGAATACACTTTATTTACTTCAATATTCTGTCCCTGGGCAGATTTTGCAGACTATAGCAGAGCCTAGTCAAATGACAGGATCTTTAGTCAACCTTGAAACACGGAGAGCCCAATTTTCTTACTTTATGCTCTCTTTGGGGGCAAACTCATCCTCTCCCAAGGCTTAAATTACCATCTGTGGTGATAATTCCCAAATCATGGTCTCCCACTCAGATCTCCTCCCAGAATGGCAGCCTAGGTATATAATTGTGTCCTGGACATCTCCACTTGGAATGTTCAAAACTAAACTCTTGTCCTTACCTCTGTAAAACGGCGGCTCCATCTACCCAGGGTCTGGCAGAGCCCTGGGAGTAACCTCTGATGCACCCCCGTCCCTTACCCCTCCCATCCCCCCTCCCTCACCCCTCCCATCCCACCAACACCACTTGTAGTCAATTCCTTCTCCTAACTAGCCTTGGAATCCACCTGCTTCATCAGTTCCTTTGCCATTCGCTCAGCTGAGATTACCAATATCTAGTTCTCGTATTATTCTAACCGCAAGTAGCTTTCCCGTTTCCCATTGACTACCTACAGAGCGCCCACAACAGTGTGCCAGCCAAGAAGGAGTCATGAAACAGACATAGAAGGCTTCTTCACTGCCCCCAACAGGGGCACCATCTGGTGGGAATGAGGCTTGACTTAGGTGGTCCCAAGAGAATACTACAAAAGAGTATACAATTAAGAATTTTTAGCCAGTCGCGGTGGCTCACACCTGTAATGCCACCACTTTGGGAGGCTGAGAGGTCAGATCACTTGAGCTCAAGAGTTCAAGACCAGCCTGAGCAACATGGCAAGACCTCATCTCTATTAAAAATACAAAAAATTAGCTGGGCGTGGTGGCGCATGCCTGTAGTCCCAGCTATTTGGGAGACTGAGGTGGGAGGATCACTTGAGCCCAGGATGTCAGGGCTGCATCGAGCCATGATCATGCCACTGCACTCCAGCCTGGGTGAAGGTAGTGAGTTCATGTCTCAAACAAAAAAAATTATTTCTTAGTCTAAAACTTAATCCGTTATGGGAATGAGATTAACTCAATGAAATAATTAACAGTAATTGCTATACAAGTACTGTTTTGGGAACTAGGAACATCACAGCATTTCAGAAAAGGGAGAGAACAATGTGACAATTAGGACGAAAAGCTTAAATGAAATTTCTGGACAAGTGTGTAGGTTTCCTGTAGCAGTCACTCAACAAGCATTAACCATACACATAGTAAGTGCAGGACTCTGCTCCAAGTAAATGACACAGCAAAAAAAAAAAAAAAAAAAAAAAAAAGGAGTTAGAAGATAATCTCTCTCCTCAAGAAGTGAACTAGAGAATTCTGATCTCCAATATACTGTGGAAGGATGTTAAGAGTCAGAATTTGACCATGGGCAGATCCTGAGTGTACATTTCACCAGCTAAATTCAGGCTCCCTTTCTGCCAGGTGACTGTTTCACATCTCTCTCCTCAAACTGCACCCCCGGCCCCGCACTCCCTCCCCGACCCTCGCTCCCCACTGATGACCACACTCCCCATTCCACTAAGAAAACAGAAGCAACACAGAACTTCCACGAGCTTCCATTGCTCCTTCCACCCAGCCCTCATCTGTGCCCCCAGATTCCGCCTGTTTTCTGGGGCTACAGGAGAATCAGCTCTGTGCTCTTGGCTGAGGTCAAGCCCTCTGCTTGTGCACAAAACCCCAGCCGCTCTAGGACATCCCTCCAGCAACTGTCCTCATCTTTCCTGACCTTGGGATAGAAAAGGCCAAGCCCTTCACCAGTCATTCTTGGATACCTCCCCAGTCACTTGCTGCAGTAGAAGCAGTGACTGATGAGGGTGACATGTACTCAACATTTGGTGTTACGACATAAAATGGGTTGCTGCGAGAAACAATAGCGTATGTACTCCTGGACTGATTTTGTTATCTCACAGCTGTCCTTCAGCCTGTATTCTCTACTTGCCTGAACTGCAACCCCAACCTGGCATTCCTCATGCTCCCTAGATCTATTTTACCACATAGCACATAACTGTATCTGAGGCACTAGCTGTTTAGTTTGTTTTGCTTACTGTTCATCTCTTTCCACTGGCATATAAGCTCCACGAGGGCAAGGATTTCGGCATATTTGTCCATTTCATTCACTGCTTTACTCCCAGAGTCTAACACAGAGCCTGGGCCACAGGACTTGCTCCAAAAATATTTGTTGAATTAATGAGGTCCCAGACTTGCCATTTCTGATCTGTGTGATCTTGACAAATTACTTACCCTCTTAAAATCTCACTTTCATCATTTTTAAGATGGGAGTGCTGATAGTACTCACTACGTGGGATTGTGGTGAGGATTAAATGACATAAAATGTGTTCAACATTTTAGCACATTTTCTGGTTTGAAGTACTCAACGAACGGTATATATTCTATGATTAATTCGAATCATATCCATTAGCATCCAGGTTTACCTTGAGTGTATTCAGCTACCGATAGGTGCTGGTTTGGACATTCAGTAGACTGGCATGAAAAAGAAAAATAAGATGTCTACATATGTGCTTTCCTTCTACTACTGAAGACTATTTAAAAACTAACCTTCACTTAAAAAATACTGAACATACAACTAAGTAACATTAATGTCTAGGTCTAGGTTACTAAGTTCTCAGTAAAAATGATGTTTAGTAAGGAAACGATGTCAGTCAGCCTGCAGCTCATATTGATAAGCCATCCAAAATTGGTCCCATAGGTGATGACATCTAGACCTCACTTCTTCCGCTACCTGTGCTCTCTTCCCCCTCTTCTCTTTCCTCTGTTGTCACAAAGCCAGCTACTGCCAGGATCCCCCCTCCCCATCGCTCTGCAGTCCAGGGTGGGGTCTCTGTTAGCATGAGGAAACGTGAAAGGAAATGTATCTCTGTGTACCTTTATTTTCCCTCCAGGGCTTAAATGGAAAAAGAGAGAAGGTGGAGTCCCTTTTGCCATTGTAACTGGAATTAAAAACCTTAAAAAACTCAAGTTGGAGCTCTGAGTGCATTTTCCCACAAAAACCATGTTATATATAGTGGTTTGGTTCTATGGTACTATTAATAAGACAGAATACTTCAGCTATGATTTCTGGGCTGGCCTGGGAAACCACTAAATATGACATAGTTTCAGTGAAAAAGTGTGTTCAGGGTTCCCAGCAATGAGTTTTACAAACCCACAATCAGAACACAACCCATCTGAAAGCTGAGGGCCGCCTACTTCGCAGTAGGTTTGACAGCCTCACAAAGGCATCCGAATGTCATAGACGTCAACGCCAAGCTTAAGAGTCTCCTGCGTGGCGCTCCAGCAGTACTTCATCTCTGTTTGCCTGATCCCCGTTCTCTAATGTGGCGGGCCTACCTCACACAATTTTGTGAGAACTGAAGCACCTGGTTAGCAATAACTATTCAACAAAGGTTAGCTCTCTTCTCTCCCATTCATTGGTGAAATTTCAGTGTCTGTACTTTTTACTTGGTTTCATGCATTTTCTTATGAATCTATTTTTAACACTTCTATATGAAAAAAATACAAAGCTTTTGCCAGTAGAAACCAGAAAACGGTTATTGCTCATTTCTTCTGGCTGACACACCTTGTCTGCAAATGGCAGCTTCTCCCGCAGCAGGAAATCTTTTCCATCAAATAAGCCATTACGCCTTCCAACAGTCTCTGCCAAACTGAAAATCACCATCTTCACTTACCATAGTGGCAGAGCTTTGGCAGTTGGGCTAACGCGCATTGAGCAGGGAGACTCGGCACTGACATTAGCTAACCATCCCACATTTCCATCTTGTTTCCTCGTAGTCATTATCCAAAATACACAAGGAAGAGAGGCTCACCTAACTGGAATGGCTTATGTTACCAATTACGGTCAACCCTAAAGCACATAACCAGGAAGGCAGCTAACACTGACTGAGCAGGAAGAAATCTGTGCCCTAAGTAGTCCACGGAGTTAGGCAGAGAATTGTACCTGCCACCAGTTTCAAAATGCTCTTTCTCCTTCCCTGACACCTCAGGCTCTCCTTATTTCATTTTATCTCCATGTCTTTTCTACAAGAATGGGTCACTGTTTTCTATTCATTAAAACTCTTTGAGCCAGGCACAGTGGCTCACGCCTATAATCCAAGCTACTCAGGAGGCTGAGGCACGAGAATCGCTTGAACCTGGGAGGCAGAGGCTGCAGTGAGCCCAGATCATGCCACTGCACTCCAGCCTGGGTGACAGAGCGAGACTATGTCTCAAAAAAACAACAAAACAAACAAAAAACTCTTTGGATGAAACATTTCTCATCTACCATCTCTAATTCTTTATCCTCTCTTAAAATTTGATAACAGAGCTTCCCTGTTTTTTAAAAAAAATCCCTTAAATTCGTGCAATCTCAAAGAGATCTAGGGCTAAACACCTGGGAGACTGAACTAAGAAGAAATGAGTGTCTCAATTTCCTCTCTGTATGGCCCTGGAACAAATCCTCACCTTCTCTGCAGCTTTTTCTCAAATCTGGTCGAGTTCCATTTCTTGTATGGTGTCTCAAAAGAACATTGCTAGAATGAGCCAATACGTATATAGTACCAGGAGCACTTTCAAAGAACGCTTTAGTGCTCTTTTAATGTATTATTTTTAAAAAGTATATGGTTAGTGTCTATTTTCCCCATTTACTTGTAGAAGATTATTTGTAAAATACTGAATGGGAGGCAATTTTTGAAGTATAGTGAATTGTGATTACTCAGAGTTTATCCGGATCTCTTGAAATAAGTGCTGAAAAAGTGCCATACGTTTTGATACAAAATTGTTGAAGTGGAAAATATACACAAAAGAAAATGTCGAATACACCTTTTTATAGTTCCCAATGATTGTGAAAGAAATCTGGAAAGGGGGGAAATCAACAATTGTTTGGACAATTAAGAACTGTTGGAACACGCTAATAATTTCCCCTTGAAATAATGACTTCAGCACCTTGAGCAGTATGAACTCCACCAACATTGCCAGGAAATGCTTTATATGTTTCAGGAATAATTAGTTGCTTCAAATATAACAGAGTCAAAGGTTTACTGTAACCTAGGGAAAATAATATTTTGCAAAAATGCAAAAATGCAACTACCCTCAAAGGTAGTCCAAATAATATAGTTCATGAGCAAAGTTTTAAAGGCTTAAGACAATAGAGTAAAATTCTGAAGATCAAGTACAATGCAAGGTGGTGACATTTAATTTTTTTTTTATTTTTAGATGGAGTCTCGCTCTGACACCCAGGCTGGAGTGCAGTGGTGTAATCTTGGCTCACTGCAACTTCCACCTGCTGGGTTCAAGTGATTCTCCTGCCTCAGCCTCCTGAGTAGCTGGGGTTATAGGCACACACCACCACACCTGGCTAATTTTTGTATTTTTAGTAGAGACCGGGTTTCACCACGTTGGTCAGGCTGGTCTCGAACTCCTGACCTCGTGATCTGCCCGCCTCGGCCTCCCAAAGTGCTAGGATTACAGGTGTGAGTCTCTATGCCCGGCCTATTGTTACCTTTAAAAATATTAAAAGTCAACTAAAAACTATCTAGAGCTCATAAGGATCTACTGAAGCAACACTAAGGCTACTATGAGTAGGACACCTGTTTATTGTTTACTAAGTCAGTGGTCCTCACCTGGGACAGACTGGGCCTGTCGTTATTACATTATTTAAAGCAGGTGAGCTACCACACCATCCCAGCTATCAGAATTTTATGATTCATGAATTCCAACAATCACAATAAAAATAAAGCTGCATTATTTCCAACCATCCCCCATGCTCCTCACACAGGGCACCAAGTTTTCACATAGCCAGAGATGGTGTGGATGTTGGCATATTTTGCTACTTGCTGTACATGCCCAGTTTCTTAATGAATGCGGTCACTGGGAAACCAACCCCACTCCTTTTTCTAATGACAAAGTACAAGAATCAGTAAAAAAAATAAGTAAAGCTTAGGGATTGGGGGAAAAACTGTTTATTATCTAGCTCTTGTCTATCTCGTATGTTTATGGTTCAAGGATGTGCTATTTATTAACTGCCTCCCTCAAGTTATAAATCTTACACTCACACAAAGGCATAGGGGTACATTAGCTTCAAACTATCTCCTATATCCATTGATCTAAACAGACATGGGGAAAATCAAATTAACTCAAACCTCTTATCTAAATCAAAGTCTGCCAAGTCTGAAGGGGGAAAAAAATTGTTTTGGGGGGATGTGAAAAAAAAAATAGCAAGAAAGATGCTGTCTTTCTAGAAGCAACCCAAACCCAAATCCCTGGACAATTCTCTGGCTATCTTTTCCTTAGGTAGTGGGAGTTAAGGAGACAGTCCTGACAGGAGCCTGCATAACACAAATCAAGAAATTATCCTCACAGCCAAGGCTGGTGACACCATTCCTTAACCTGGCGGAGGGGAGCTTTTCAAGGCTTATGAACCAGGATCATATTATTCCATGTCTCTGAAGCTTGGGTCGGTCCCTCTGTCCTTTTCTCGTGCTAGTTTCTCTGTGATTACGCATTAAAATGTAGAGCCAGTCATCTCTGGCTCCTAGAGACTCCCAGGTTGATGAATGCACACCCGTCCTGGAATTTCGCCTGAAGACCAGTAACGGGACTCGGTGTGCCCGGGCCTGTTCGGGGCACGCAGCGCAAGACCCGGCTCCGCAGGGTGGGAAGATGCCCGAGCCCAGGGAGACCCGACCGAGACGCCCCCTCTCCTGCCCAGCGCGCCCCCTTCCGTCCCCAGCAAGAGAGCAAAGGTCCCAAGCCTCAATCCGGGCTCAAGCGACCAAACCCCTTTCTAGAGTCTGGACCACTCACCATTCGGGACAGAGCTGCCCCCAAAAGTTAAAATGAGACAAACGGGCGGGAAGCCCCCAGCCCCGGGGCGGGGCCGGCCTAGAGCCCTGCGCTCCAGCTTTGGGAGCTCACCCAGGCCCGGGGAGGGCCAGCCTGGCTGCTCACGGGACCCTCCCTTGTTGGCCCGGCCGTGGCCGGGAACCCACGCGTGGCCGGTGCGCGCTGCCAGTGCTGCAGCTGAGGTTCGGGTTCGGCCCGCGCCCGGCGTGAACAAAGCGGCTGCCAAGGCCTGGGACTGAGGGGACTGAGCCGCCGGCTCCACGCCGCCCCCAGGCCCAGAAGAAACACCGACTGCGGGCCGGGCACAGCACCCGGCCGGGGAAAGGACGCCCCGAGTTACGCGCAAACTTCCTTTGAATGGCGCCCAGGTGGGGTGAACCATCCCAAAGAAAGGAGGATGGGCTTGGGAAGGGAGGGCTCGGCTCAGGTCGGGGGGACCCCTCCGTCCCCACCCTCTCCCCGCCAGCTGCCAGGGAATGATGTCATCGCCTCTCCCGGCCCTCACCCCTGTCTCTGCCAGCCCCGCTTTCTCTGCTCTCCCACCCCAGGTCTGACCCCTCAGGGAGCGTGGCCAAGATTAAGAGAGGGGCGGGGGGCCGTGGGGGTGCGAGGTGTTCAGAGAAGAGTTAGGAGAGCGGGAGGGATCGTCCGTGGCAGCAGAGCATCTTCTCCCGTCTGGGCCCTGCCAAGATGATGCAGACATTCCTATCTGGAGCTCCGCTTTCAGGGATCTGTGCTCCCGCGGGCCGGGGGAGGGAGAGGGCTCGGGAAGGAACCGGCCGGGTGGAAAGTGCGCTGACGAGTCTCTTGTCCTCCCCGCCCCCACCCTGTCCCGAGCCCTGCACTCCCGACTCGCGGCCCACCCTGCACGCTGCACTCCCTTTAATTCACACATTTCTTCCACCAGCCTCAGGGCCGATTCCCCGCGCCTACCTCGGCTCTCCGGGCCGCCTCCCGCTGCTGCCCGATTCCGCGTCCGGAGCGAGCGGGAGCTGCAGCGGGCTCCGCGGACCGGGCGCGGGGCAGGTATCGGGCTTTATACCTCGCCCGCCGGGTGACTCAGGAGGCTCCGAGCCTTCACCCGCCGCCCTTCAAAATAAGAGTCCGGCGGCGCGGCGGGCGGGAGAGAGGAGGCGTGGCTCGCAGCTCTGGGACGCGGCCCCCAGGTTAGGGAGGCTTCCCCGCACCCACTCGTAACCTTGTCCCGCCCTTTGCATCTTTCTGGTCGCAGGCCCCTTCCTGGGGCAGCCAAGCTACAAATCGGGCTTTCCTGGAACGATCGAGAAGTGCTAATAACGGGAAAGAATTTAAGTTTTTTAGGCCCATAGATATGTTGTCGGCTTGTTAGGATGATTCTCCTCCGGTGTTTGTGTTTTTTTCCTTTACAGACTAAAGAGTGTCCAATAAACGCGACTCCAGGGCAGCGTTTTAGGGGAAAGCAATAAAAACTCACGGTAGAATGGAAGCTGCCCTGAAGGAATGGAACTGCGAGACTGGGGCTGGGACTGGGGCTGTGGGGAGGGAAAGCACATACAGTGTAAAAACGATTGTGTGACATTAAATCGAAAAGCACAAATCATCATGCAGTATATTTCTTTTCTAAGAAGAGGAAGGATAATTTTTAGATTTCCATTAATTAGTTTACTGGGTTCTGTGTAATAAAAAGCTAAATTCAGGAGCCCTTAGGGTGAGAAGAGTAAAGCATTTGATCTAGCAACATCTGAGGAACCCGGTCCCTATCCTATCCTGTGATCCTCTTAGCTCATAAACTACTGGAGGCCCTGAGTCACTTATTTTAACGCTCATCTACACAGGAACTTCTGTAGAAGTGTTTTCAAAGAGGAACTGGACTCATTCGTTCCAGAATTAATATTCTATGCAAAATTTGTGACAGATTGTGGGCTTAGCCCTAAATCCAGATCACCAACTTTTCTTTCACCAGATCAGCTAAGGACACCCCTGGCTCTGTGTATAATCCTCCAGTAGCTGGGTTGGCACACCATGTCACAACAATTTCTGTCTTCTTTCTCCTTCCAGAGTGTGCTCCTTGGCCACTGGGACCAAATCTTTCACACACAATAAGCTGTTAACAAAATGAATGCATGAATGAATGAATGAATGAATGGTAATATCTACCATTTACTGAACTTACTGTTGTGCCAGGCTGTTTCGGTAACGTGGTCACTCAGTAACTGCCAATAAATGCTAACTAGTTTTGAATAGCCAGTAGACCACTTGTTTAAAGGGTTTAGTACTGTAACTGTATCCTGCCGTCATTACTGATATCTAACACTAGCATTGCTAGGTTCACTGTCTTCAGCCAGGTAGTCTATTCCTCTCTCGGAAATATCTTTATTGACTTTTAAATGAATAACGATGTCTGTAAAATATTAAAAACCAAATATTGTTCTTTAAACAATAAACCAAAATTGAATGTCCCTGTGATTTTACTCCCAGAGATAAATTGTTAGCTGCCTAAAATATAGTCCTCCAGGCTTTTGGATGTGTATTTAAACACACACTTAAAATAGCTTAGATAATTGTTTCCATACAATTTTGTAACTTTTTTTTTTTTGAGACAGGGTCTCACTCTGTTGCCCAGGCTGAAGTGCAGTGGTGCAGTCATGGCTTACTGCAGTTTTGACCTCCCAGGCTCAAGTGATCCTCCCACCTCAGCCTCCTGAGTAACTAGGGCTACAGGCACGTGCCATCATACCCAGCTAATTTAAAACATTTTTTTTTGTTCAAGACAACGTCTCGCTATGTTGTCCAGGCTGGTCTCAAACTCCTGATCTCAAGTGATCCTCCCACCTCGGCCTCCCAGGCGTGACCACCGCACTCAGCCTATAACTTTTTTTTTTTTTTTTTTTTTTGAGACAAAGTCTCACTCTGTCACCCAAGCTGGAGTGCAGTGGCGTGATCTCGGCTCACTGCAACCTCCACCTCCTGGGTTCAAGCGATTCTCCTGCCTCAGCCTCCCAAGTAGCTGGGATAACAGGCGCCTGCCACCACACCCAGCTAATTTTTGTAGTTTTTGTAGAGATGGGGTTTCACCATGTTGGCCAAGCTGCTCTTGAACTCCTGACCTCAAGTGATCCGCCTGCCTTGGCCTCCCAAAGTGCTGGGATTATAGGCATGACCCACTGCACCTGGCCTGTAACCTATTTTTTTTAACCTAATAATATACTGACCATAGTCATCTTTCTGGGGATAATACAAAGCATTATCATCTCTTGCATTTTTGAGAGGGTGATAGACCAACAATTCATTGTCCTGGAACACAAACTTTAAAGAGTGAAAATCACTTTGCCTATTCTAATATTTCTAACAGTATTTCCCTGTTTAGCTTCACCTTTCTTTGAATTCTCAGCTTGTTTACGCCCATGTCAAAGGGCCCTTAGGGCTGCAGCAATGACATCACGTGGCCTGCAGCAGGGTTTTCTTGCAGGCTGTGATGGGACACTGACTAAAGAGTGCCACCAGATGAGAGTTAGGACGTGTGATCTGTGCCATTAACTGTGGGACTCTGAAGCTTCCTTATTTCCACAATAATGGGATTAATCTGATGGATTTTTAAGTTACGCTTCTTAAATTTTATGATTTTATGATTTAGGAGTCCTTTCACAACATAAAGAGCAGAAAGAATAAAACAGATGTCTGATATTACCACCTGTAGTGTTTACCGGCCATGGAAGGGACTGTGGGGTAGAATAGACTTGGAGAGTTGATTGGCTGTGAGAAGACATACGCACTTCCTTTACTCTGAGGAGACAGCAAAAGAAGGATGATCCATTAGATCTGTCATCTCTGTGTGTCTGCCTTATTCCAACTACAGGTGCCCGGAAAGATGCGTACACGTGGACCAGTTTTCACTTTTCAGTGCCGAAATCCATGAAGATTTAAGGCACTGATGCAAAACACTGAATATTCCAATGTTTGCAACTTTGAAGGTTTTACACACGAACCGTGGGAGGTGTGGATACATCTTGGCCATCACTTTGAACAAGCCTCAGAATTGCTAAAACTAGTATCAGTAGAAGCACTGATGAGAATTTCTGCCAAGTTTGAAAAAGAATATTCCATCCTCCTCTGAACACTGAAGATTCTGATCAAGTCTTCTCCTTCTATTACTTTTATTTCATTCTTCCTTGACTAAAACTTAGCGCTCTGTGGATTTGAGATAAGATGAAAGGGGCAGAGAATAAATACACAATGAACTTTTATTTCGTCAGGAGTGACACTCAAGGAACTCCCTCCAGCTTCGCTGGCTGTATCTGCCAGAGTCTCTGCTTTAGGCCGTGCATCTCTGGCTTTACCTTCACAGGCTTTGGCTCAGAGGCCTAAGGCTTCAAACATGCAAATTTACTTTGAGATGAAACATTGGGCTCAATTCGCCAAGTATTTGGGGAGAAAAGTGGAAAGGGTGAAAGTAACCTTCAAATCATTCCTTTTCATATTTTTCTCACAATGAAAATAGTGAAACATAGGTGGTTAAAAACTAAAACACTAAAACGAAAGACACTAAAAACCAACAGTATTCACTAAAGAAAGAAGATATTGGCAGTGAAACCAAATCACAGATCTATCTATTTATCAATCGACTGATTGATCTATCTAACTACTGACGGGTATTGCACACTATCTAGCTCAAAATGCTCAGCATAGGTAACATGATAATATTTTATAAAGTAGATATGATTAGCAAACCAAGTAAATGTCTTTTTACTGCTACCACAAATCGACATTGTTCAATCACGCTTTTCTAACTTAAGAATTAAAGCCCAAAATCTATATTTTCATTTATTTTATTTCCATGTAGCAGCAAAGGAATATTAATATATCTTCCGGCATTTTGCTTAATATTTTAATGAAAATTACCAAAACTTGAGATTTTCCTAGAAGATTCCTGGCTTCTGGATTGGCACATTTTCTACAAGGAGGCTTTTGCTATGTATTTCCTCAGAGTGATCAATGTTGTCTATAACAGATGTTCTGATAATCAGGTCAGCATCAGGATCTTGTTCCATTCACTTCTGGTGTTTTGATGTTTGTTGTTGTTGTTTTGAGACGGAGTCCTGCAGTGTTACCCGGGCTGGAGTGCAATGGCGTGATCTCGGCTCACTGCAACCTCCGCCTCCCGGGTTCACGCGATTCTCCTGCCTCAGCCTCCCGAGTACCTGGGATTACAGGCGTGCACCATCACACCCAGCTAATTTTTTGTATTTTAAATAGAGACAGGGTTTCACTATGTGGGCCAGACTGGTCTCGAACTTCTGATCTTGTGATCTGCCTCTTCGGCCTCCCAAAGTGCTGGGATTACAGGCATGAGCCACCGCGCCTGGCCTTTGATGTTATTTTTAAAAACTTGATTTAGCTCTTACTATATTTTTTAGAGTCACAGAATCTTGCCTGAATGGCCTGTTTCTTCTATTGTACTTGCTACCTTTGCAAGGGCTCCCAACTACATTTATCAAACAAGAACAAGACTAAGGAAATAACAGATTAATTATAGATTTTACCTGATATTGCTTCATAGTAATGTTATGTTTGGGAAAATGTTTCTGAGAGTAGAATGCTTAAGATCAGCTTTTAGTCCATTCATTTTTAAGAATAAGCAACTTTTAACAATCTTGGACTATTTTGAATTTGGACTCTGTAATTAAGTGTAACATTTTATACAAAACACATTTGTCTCCATATCAACAACTAGTAATTATTTTAACAAAAGTGAGAAACTTTAAAAAACCAAAATGTGGGTATTCTAAAGAGGCTCAGCCTCATGCATTATCTGATCATGAAGACAGACTAGTAGGGGAGGAGGGAAAGGGCACCCCTCCGAGGACAACTCATACTTTGAACATGAAAACAAATTCATCTATCCTATTGGTAAAGATAACTTTATGGCTCTTTGGTTTGTTCACAACTTTTTATTAAGATAAGGGAGAATGGATCGGGAAAAAAGAAATGGGACTGTTTGTACTTATATAGACATAACTAGAACCCAGTGGACATCAAATGCTATGTCACAGGGAGAATGACAACCAGGTCTGCAGTTGGAATGTAAAGAAAGGCCACGCTACGATAAACAAAAAACAGGCTGAGCTTATGAGAGTGAGGTAAGCCTTGAACATCCGAGACAATTCCAGAGGACTCAAAATCAGAGTCGGGAGGGGGCTGAAGAGATCATCTAGTGAAGGCATGTCCTGAAAAGAGCATGGCCTTTGGAGCTGGACAGAGTGGGGTCAGTTCCACTGTTTCCATGACCTTGAAATCACAAAGGTTTTGTTTTCTCATTTGTGAAGTGGAGGTTAAGGTATTTACCCTGGACTGCTGTTGAAAAGACACAGTGCGATGCTGCCATTGCAGTACCTAACATACTGTTTGGTATGTAGCAGGTGGGGAGCTGGTTTTTGTTTGTTTGTTTTTGCCTTTTAATTTTGTTTTTGCAAAACACAGTATTTAGTTTCAGATAATTAAAAAACAGAGTAAAAAAAATAATCTGAACTTTACTTTGGGCTGGCATTATGCCAATCATGTCACATGCATTCTCCTGTTTATCTGACTATAGAAACCATGAAGAAGTATCACTATAACTATCATCCCAGGGACAGTGAGCACAGAGAGGTTAGGTAACTTACCCAAGGGCACGGAGCTGGTAAGGGGAGGAGCGGAGATGTAAATCCTTAACTCCAGAGTCCAAGCTCCAAGGAATATATATGTTTGGAGTAAAAAATACATATTTATGGAAAGTGCATTCACCATCCATTCACCGTCCCTAAGATCTCCATTTTACCAATGGAGCAATTGATTATTGCCAAGTTTTATTGCGCATAGTCAGGTCTGCTTGATCTGAAATAGTTAAGGCAGCTTCTAAACATGTCCTGCTTGATCCACAGTAGAATCTGACTCACTATTGAGCACCCTTTTCCAAATCAAATGAGTTATGCTGGCTCTGAAGGAATCATCCACAGATTCCATGTGGATTACTAAAGAGGCATAGTGAGAATTTGCCTGTTTATGTGATTCTCCTGAATAAGTGGTGAAATACCGTTATCAGTGGACTAAATATTTGAACTTATCCTACATAAGAAAAACCTTAAGTTGTATCTTATATATATAGTGATGGATAATAGACAAAGATGGCCTATTTAGGCGAGGATTACAGATTTTACGTTAATCCCAGTGGCAATTCATGAAGTCATGGGTAAGATCATGCATAAAGTCCTCAGCTTGTTCTTTTAATACTATTAATATTACCTCTGGTGACACCATAACAAGGAATCTTGTGTCGCATTTCATGTAGATTTCCAGGGTGCTTAGAAAACACCCAGATCAGCCATGATTCCATTGTTGCTCGCAGAAATACAGGAAGTAAAACTCTCTCAGCAATGGAGCTGCTTAGGGTGTTGCAGCGCCGTTTTCAGAAGAATGAAGTCAATTCAAAGGAAACCATGGACTCCGACAGGCTATACATAGGGGACTATCACAAGAAGGAGGGAATTGGGTCTATTTCCCTAACTCTGATTAACCTGTCATCTCTGAAACCTCCTTCTACCCAGCACTTCACATCTTAAACTTGAATATCCATTCTTCTGGATCAATACACGAATCTTCTGCGTCAAATAAACGGGATTATGTTATCTGAAGTACTTTATTTTTCTCATTAGGCAAATACATAATGATTTGCTTCAGTGCTGAAGTTAAAGGTTTTCTAACAAAGATATCCAACTACTAAGAGAATCATTGAGATTATTTTGCAGTATATATCTTTAACAAAATAAAATGTACAAACCTAGACTCCAATATGGAAATGGAATGAGAAGAGAGAGAGAAGAGAGAGAATAAGGAGAAGTCAAATATTCCAATTAAACTTTCTTTAAATATAAAAATGTAATAAATGTATTTAAAATTAGAAAATTCTCTGAATATAGACCATAAGCTCCATAGGAGAGAATATTTGGTAACATTGGCAATTAAAGAAATGAATTTGGCCAGGCACAGTGGCTCACGCCTATAATCCCAGCACTTTGGGAGGCCAAGGTGGGAGGATCACTTGAGCCCAGGAGTTGGAGACCAGCCTGGGCAACATGGCAAAACTCCATCTCTACAAAAAATAGAAGCCAGGTGTGGTGGTGTGCGTCTGTAGTCCCAGCTACTTGGGAGGCTGAGGTGGGAGAATCGCTTGAGCCTGGGAGGTGGAGGTTGCAGTGAGCCAAGATCGTGCCACTGCACTCCAGCCTGGGTGTCAGAGTGATAACTTGTCTCAAAAAAAAAAAAAAAAAAAAAAGAATTTATCTGATATATAGTTTATATAATTGACAGTTAAAACAATTGACAATAATATTGATATTGCCTGTTACAGGCCCCTTAAGTGAGTTATACTAGGTCACTGCTGATACAATGAAGTACTAGATTTCAAGGAAAAAAAATTAAGATTTTTTTTTTACCCAAGATTTCCATAGTCGTAAATGTAAAAAATAATTCCATTGCTCCAAAGAAGTAAGATCATTATTCTTGTATTAGTATATGATATTTGTCTGTTTTTAGTAACTTTAGAAAAAGTTCAATGATTTTGAGAAAATTTGGTCAATTTATAAGATTTATCAAAAGATGTTTCAAATTAAACTTTGGTTCAATCTGCTATGTTCAAAGGAACTGGTGGCCTATGAATATTTTCCAATGGCTATTTCTTTTACAATATATAATGGATTTTAATAAGATATGGCTCATGAAAAGAGTTCAGAGAGAAGACTGCACTGAGAGAAATAAGAGTTTAGAATATCATTTAAAAAGTATTCACTTAAGAGGATTGGTAAAAAAATAAAAAAATAAAAAAATGTATTTCTGGACAAAGTTGACAAAGTAAGATTTTGAAAGTAAAGTTTTCAATGCAAGTGAAAAGAAAATACGGCAACCATAAATAAAGACTAAATTCAGGCCTCTTTAAAAGCCAGGCCTTCTGTAAATCATTACCTCAATTTTAGCAAAAGTCTCATTAGAGATTAATTTATTGGCAATGGGTATATGCATGTTTGGGCCCATTGTTGCATTTTGTTCATTAGCTTATAGGTGGCAACATTATTATTCCATCTTCATTTGTGGGTGGTACAAGTACAAGCTTGACATAACTTTGGTGTCATTGTTCCCTTGTTTGCCCACTGCATGTCACTTAAGAAAGCTTTGTGTAGCAATGAATAAACTGGTCTGACAAAAATTCTCTTCACAAACTGACTCCATTTTGGAGAACACAGACACAGTCTTTTAGCATCATGGAGGAATTAATTTTTGATTCAGTCACCTGCTTCGTTGTCATATTATGAACGAAGGCCCCTACATAAGCAGCCCTGGCAGAGCACAGTGGACACAAATACTGGCTTTTCTAGGCCAAGTAGTGTTACATAAGGAGAAAGGGATTTCTTTTTTTTTGAAATGGGTCCTGCTCTGTTGCCCAGGATGGAGTGCCGTGGTATGATCTCAGCTTATTGCAGTCTCCATCTTCTGGGATCAAGCCATCCTCCCACCTCAGCCTCCCGAGTAGCTGGGACTGCAAGCGTGCACCACCCCGTGGCTAATTTTTTTCTATTTTTTGTAGAGACAGGGTCTCACCACGTTGCCCAGTCTGGTCTCAAACTCTTGAGCTCAAGTGATCCATCCACCTGCCTTGGCCTCTTAAAGTGCTGGGACTCTAGGCGTGAACTACCTTGCCGAGAAAGGGATTTCTGATTCTTGAGCTGCTCATTGTTCAGAGACAACATCAGGAAAAATAGAAGAAATGGGCCTAGCAGTGTTCTCTGTTACAGTGACAGTAAAAATCGATGGGGCCAGCTATGGTTCCGTGAAGTCTCTTTGTCCATAATCTTAGGCAGGGCCAATTTATTCATTAGGTTCAGTGGGCAGGGCTGACACTTTGGGCAACCCAAGAAAAAATTTTAATTTTAATAAACCCAGAAGGAAAAAGTGAACATAAATAAATATAACAATGATGACCATATAATAATGAATCCAGCCTGGGTTACATTCATCGTTATACCAATACAACTATAAAATATAATTCTATTTTTTTTAATGGAGAAACGGACCCACAAAGGCAAAAGTGCCTAAGGCCCATGAAAGTCATAATGCAGCCCTATCCTTGGGTATCTGACATTCATCTGAAACTTTGACACTTTTCTTTCATTAGATATAAAGACAAGCTCTACCACCTATTCTCTATTTACCATTGTATTCTATGTGAACCTAAATCAGCAGGTGTCACAAGGTTTTAGAAGAAGAAAACAACCTCCAGTATTCTCAAGCTCTTCATAATCAAAGCGCGGAGACAAAAATCAGCTGTTGACAACAGGTGCTTTGCAGTTGTTCATTCATCTGGACATTTCTTTTATGAGTTAATTACTCATAGCTCCATGGTGAACAATCTGCACATCTGGGAAAATAAAACCGCCCACTGAAAGTGAATTACTAGAGCGTTGGTGAAACACAATAGTTAATTCATTTGGATACCCTTAAAAGGCTTAACAAAAATCCCTGAAGCACTTGGAAGTTGGACTCCGTGTCTGAAGAATGAGTTAGTATCAGGTTGAAGGCTGCAACATAGGAATATGTGATTCCAACTTCTCATTCAGCTCCGGACACTTCCCTGGGTCACCCAGTCTCTCCTTTACACAGCCACCTCTCCCAGAGCTTCCCATTGATCAGTATCATTTGACCTCATCAGCAAAATGCCCTGCTTTTCATTTAAGTGCCTACAGATTTCCTTTTCAATTTCAACTTCTTTGTGGTGAAGAGTACTTTGCTACCTGCCTCCCCTCCCCACCCCACCCCCTCCCCAAAAAGAAAAAAATCTAAAACCAAACAAAAGCTCTAGTATGTAAAACAATTCCTAAGCTAGGTTCATTATTATCACACAGCTATTTAGACTTTAAATATAACAAAGACCTCATCAGGTCCTGAGTCCTCTTGGAAATGAGGTCTTGAGACAAAATTCTCATACTCTCTTAGTTTCCCCATGTGTTCTGCGGAGGGGCTGGATGGCTGAGCTCTAACATTCCTTTCAGCTGGAGGGTTCTGGGATCAGGCCTCAGGCCAGCCCACCATGGCCTGGCACAGAACTTTCAGCAACTCTTCAAATGGGTGTTGGGGTATTATACAGAGCAGTGGGCTTCAACAACAGTCTATTGAGAGATGAGAAAAAAAATACTAAAACTTTTTTTTTTTTTTTTTTTTTTGAGACAGCGTTTTGCTCTGTTGCCCAGGCTGGAGTGTGATGGCACGATGTCGGCTCACTGCAACCTCCACCTCTCGAGTTCAAGTGATTCTCCTGCCTCAGCCTTCTGAGTAGCTGGGAATACAGGCACGCGCCACCATGCCCGGCTAGTTTTTGTATTTTTTTTTAGTAGAGACGAGGTTTCACCATTTTGGCCAGGCTGGTCTCGAACTCCTGACCTCAGGTGATCCACCAGCCTTGGCCTCCCAAAGTGCTAGGATTACAGCCGTGAGCTACTGCACCTGGCCTAAAACTTCTCTTTATACGTATATTCATCTAATTCTTCAAATTTTTCTCTCTTTGTGTATATCTGTATGTGTAATAATACATTAAACATGTATATATTTGTACATACATATATATACCCATATCTGCATACACACACATACATATACTTGATATTTTACCAAAGGGGATGAATGATGAAAAAAAAAATACCTTAGTATCCCATGGTTTTAAGGTAAGATGAAATAAGTAGAGAACAAATACGTAATCAACTCATCAGATAATGTTTTGCAGAGGACTTAGGATTTCCATTTCTAATGTCATGCTTAGCACTATTTGTTTCATAAACATACACTTTCACACATGCAAATTTAACTTCAGGTGAAATAATTGAGTCTATTTTCCACTACTTTGGGGAGGAGGATGGATTAGGTAAAGATAATTCCTTCAAATCATTCCTTTATATGGAGATTCAACTAAATACCCTCACTGTGAGTTACAGAGTAGATTACTCTGGGCATATCTTTATGTCTGCGACATTTGGAGCTTGGATGTTGTGGACAAGCAAAGCATGCGACTTGCTAAATCTTTTTCCATACTGATGTGACAGGAATCATAACCCAAAGAAATACAGAGACATTGATTACTC
Source organism: Homo sapiens (assembly GCF_000001405.40). Taxonomy (NCBI): domain Eukaryota; kingdom Metazoa; phylum Chordata; class Mammalia; order Primates; family Hominidae; genus Homo; species Homo sapiens. The sequence continues at coordinate 168,820,967 of NC_000004.12, read as the reverse complement.
AATAACTCTTATTGCGATCCTCACTTAATAAATAATAGTATCATTAGATTCCTTCACTGGTATGACATACAACATTGCAAAATTTATATATGTCTGTCCTCCAAATTTTCACTGATGCAGGTAATTTTTGGAGTTATCTGTGTAACTATCATTCTCATATTCAAATAGAAAAATTATCACCTGGATACCTGGCTTCTGGAAGCCCATCATTTTATTTACTCAAAGTAGAAGTTCTTCCTCATACCTTTGGTCATAGTCAAGAGAATTGTCATCTGCTTGGGATACTTTAGGTGTATTTTCAAAAACTTTCACTGAACACCTACTGAAGTAATGCAAGTTCATGCTTAAGAGCTCATGCTTTGGGTGTAAATCCCAAGGCTGATACTTTGTCTAAATCTCAACATACGCACTTGTGATGCATATGTATCCATACGCATAACTGGCACTATTTCTCCATGTTCTTTTCTAGTCCTCAAAGCATAGCTATACAAATAGCTTGCAGTTTCACAAGGTAACTATTATTTTATCATTTATCATAAACATTCTTGCCTTCATAGGCTTAATTGTTACTAGTTTTAATTGCTGCGTAATATTCCATTGCTAGGTGTAAGGCTTTGGGGAAGTTATTTAACCTCTCTGTGCCTCAGTTTCCTCCTCTAGTAAAATGAGAATAATAGCACTGCACACCTGATTAATTGCTGCAAGGATTCAACGAGACTTTGGAAAGCATTTGGCACGGCGCACATGGCATTGCTGCCAATAAGTTTAGTTATTACTGAGAAACATGACTTCTGCCACTAAGGAGTTAACATTCTAAATAAGTAACTAGATGAAGCAGAATCACCTTGCCTAAGACAAGACTATAAATTGTCTAGAGCTCCTTCAAACTCTTAAGTCTTTCGAAGTAAGACTGATGGAAGTACTGTTTAAGTTCGCCACAGGAGAGGGGCAAGAAGGCAAAGGCAGCAAGTAGAGCTCTAGAGAACAGCCATTAAGGATTTAACTACTATTTTCAACAAAGGAGTTGGCTCTGGCATTAACTCTTTATGAGACCCTGCACGATTCACTTCGAGTCCTGTGTCTCCATTTTCAAATCTCCACTATAGAGGGTTGGATGAGATTACATTTAACATTCTATGATTACTCAATAGTTATTATAAGCCATCACAGGAAATTCTATAAATATATATTTACTTCTTTGCTTCTCCTCTGCTTTTTGACACCTGGGTGTGTAAATAATTTCTGCATTGTTCTAAGTCGCAATTAATTTTCCCTGGAAATGCAATAATTCAAACAAGCTGATTTATGCAAAATGCTTTCTAATCATTTGGAGTTCTTTATAATTACTCCCAGCAGTAGCGGGGTCACCAAAACAAAAGCATGGAAAGATTAAATGAACTGCTCTTTGTGAGAACAGTTTATTATGTGATCTCAATGTCAGGATTGGCTCCCAATTGCCATTCAGGGCTTTAGAAGGAGATCCTGATGCAGGTGCTCTGAATCTTCTCTTTAAACTGGGGTGCTGCTGATGACGGTGTTTAATCCTGGGCTGACTCTGCCAGTCTCTGGTTACCTCACATTATTCACAGCTATACCGGAGGAATCACACACACACACACACACACACACACACACACACAAATGGTCTCGGAGCCTCTGCAGTTACATTTTTGTGGGTGATTGTTTTTCTCACAAAAGAATTACACTTGCTATTTTTAAATAATTGACATTTTGCTATTTTTGCTAGCTTTGCTATTTTTAAATAATTGACAAGTCAAATCAGTAAGTAAAACAGTTCTGTAAATGGCAAAGTCTATTACAACATCACTAACTAGCTACACAAAACTTTGTGACTTATATTTGCTGGATAGGTAAACTCTGAAGCCTCAGTTCTTTCTGACTCTGGAATCCTGCCTCTTGCCTGTAAGCTTGTTCATCATCATCTTTTTTTGAAAGGCATTTATTATTGAAAAACACAAAATAAAGATGACAAAAAATCTACCTCTATGTATGTATAACACACTAGCACTATTTCACCATGTTCTTTTCTAGTCCTCAAAACATAGCTATACAGATAGTGTGTAATTTTACAAGGTAACTTTTCGTCATTATTGTATCATTTATCATAAACATTTTTTGCCTTCATAGGCTTAATCATTACCAGTTTTAATTGCTGCATAATATTGCATTGTTGAGATAAGAGAATATTCTGTGTATTTGACTTCTAAATTTTTTGTTTTGAAATTATAAAAAATATGCTATACTAAACATCTTCAGGCTTATACATTTCTTTTCCCATTTTGAGTTACTTCCTCAGGGCAAATACTGAGAAGTATGATTTTGAAGTCAAATACTCTTTTTACCACTATTTATTTATTTATTTGAGACAGGGTCTCACTCTGTTGTCCAGGCTGGAGTACATGGTATAATCATGGCTCACACAGTCTTGACCTCCTGGGCCCAAGCCATCCTCTCAAGCAGATAAGACTACAGGTGTGCACCGCCACGTCTGGCTTTTTCGAAATATTTTTTTGTAGAGATGGAGTCCCATTATATTGCCCAGCCTGGTCTCCAACTCCTGGGCTCAAGTGATCCTCCTGCCTCAGCCTCCCAAAGTGCTGGGATTACAGGCGTGAGCCAGCACACCCAGCCTTTTTTCCCTGCTCTTGACATCTATTGTTAAATTGCTTAAAAAAAAAAAAGTCAACTAGTGAAGCATTGGTAGGATGGAGCTTGGTCATTAAAATGACTATTCGTGGGCATAACACTGTGTCTCATTTTAATTTTTTCTTTGTTTGTGATAATAAACATTTTGTCATAAGCCTAACATTTTCTTGAAGCATGATCAAGGTAGCTTATTCAATAGAGTTTATATTTCAGTTTAAGTGGGGGGCAGGTTATTTTTGGAGCCAGAATACACTACATTGTAAGATCATCTACATGCCGTGGTCAATCTTTGTGTGTTCCCTATTTTGCACTCCAGTTTAGCTCTCTACCCAAACTCTTCTGGGCAGGTTCTGGTAGTTTCTGATTCAAGTGTGGGCTGTCCAATTTTGTATTTTGCATGAGAACAGAAGGATAGATTTGTTCAATTGCCAATCCTAGAGTTGCCAACAATTTAGTTATTGAGGGCTTTCAAAAGTCTTACCCAGGATGAATGTCTTCTATTTATTCCTAGTTGCAGACATAAGTAAATTGATTTCTTGGTTAATAGAAATAATTTCTCAATGTTGGTTTTGTAGGACAAAAAAAGGTTGTTTCAAATTATGTTTAGGAGTATCTGAAATTCTCCTTCCAAATCTTTGTTCTCTTCCACCCGTACTGCAAAAAAAGTATCAAAATAAGAGCAGCATTTATCCATAGGATCAGTGACATATTATTGGCCACTCTGGAGAGTTGGGGAGATGGTATTGAGAAGATTAAAACAAGTACTGACAGTTTCTTTGCGTAATTTGCCTCTTTTGACATCTTTTTCAGTAACTATCAACATATTTAAGTTAGACACTGTATCTAATGGACATTTAACTGGCTTGTTAAGAGGTAAGATTTTTCTCAAAGGATACAGTTATAATTCAGTGTTCAGGACATGTCTGAAAATGGGTTTCCAGATATTTCTGTTGGTTCTTGGAAACTTCCATCATCTTGGGCTAAAAGTTTCATGCATTACACATAAAGGGAATGTGATGGTGCGTCTAATGCACAACTTGCGTTTTTCTGTCTTTAACAAAAGCATGCTTATTATTGCCATTGCCACTGAAAGAGCTTCTAAACATCTCTTCAGACACATGTCTATAAAAAGCCAACAGAAAGGGATAGATACGATCTGTTTTTCTCACTCCAGCTGAAAGACCAGAGATACTTCTTTCCCTGTTTATTTTGTGGAACAAGTAAAACAAAAATCCTTTGCCCTTTCTTCTTTGCCTATTTTTACTCTCCGCAATTGCCTTGAGTCCCTGACACACTTCTATTCTGAAATACTTCAGCACTCACTTCCTTATTTGGTCGCTGGAACTGCTCTTTGTCTTGTTCAAACATTCTGCCAAGCTTGCAGCCTCCCTTCACCCCCGCCCCTTGCCCACGGCTCCCCCTTTTCTACACACACACACACACACACACACACACACACACACACACACACACACACACACACGGGGCTAGCTCCAACAGGTCACTCTGACTCAGCCTTCTCTGTAGCTCACTAGCCAATCCCCCATCAGTTATGCCCATTTAAGGAGTACCTTTTGGAAACCATAAAGGACCAGAGAGTTTTCAGCTGTTTAAAAAGACTGCTATGTTGCATCACTGGAAGTCACCGCAAAGCATGTATTTCACACAATTGCCCTCATCCTATGGCAGGGTATGTATTAAAAACAACCACCACCAAAAAAAACCCAAAAACAAAACTCCAGGCTGCTTAATTAGTGGTTACTTTATTCCTCAGTGTTTTGGCAGTTAGATTTGGCTGATAGAGGCAGAGTTCACTATCTGGTTAGTTGTCAATGTTCTCTAATCTATGATTCATGCCAAGCACTCCAATCTAATACTTAAAAAAAATATATATATATATATATATATATACACACATACACATATAACATAGGTCTAAGTAGATGTGCCAATAACACAAAGTAAAGCTCTGGGTTCCTAAGCGAAGAACACACATTTTCAATAAATGTTCCCTTTGCTCTCTTGTGTTGAAAACAAGCAGGCATTTGGAGTGCTGAAGGCTATTTTCTGGTTTCTCTGCTCAGATGTGAGTGAGGAAAGCACGGCTCTCTGCATTCCCTATTTAAGAAAGAGCTGTAATGGTCCCATCCAATAACACAGAGCAGTGTTTCCTTACATATAAACAACTGAGAAATTCCTTGGGCAAGCACATAGCCTTTTGGTTCCCGGAACAAAGCGGATGGTGGTATTCATTATGTCAAATAAACACATCATCCACACTCCAAAGGGAAACCTGAAACAATAAGCTGAACAAAGCAGTTTTCAAGGTTTTAATCCTCTTGCAATTAGCCCTTGTCTAACTCAACTGAAAAATTAAGAGTGAGCGATTTTCCCAGAAGAAAGTACCCTTAAGTGATTAAATATCCACAGTTTGTTCCCAATACTTGTTCTGAAAAAGAATTGGAGCTCGTTTTCAGAGGCAAGTAATCTAAACATACAGGATATCCTATCGCTTAGTATTATTTCTCATTTAGCCACCGAAAATGGTCTGTACCTTCCCTCGTCCACCGTGTTAATTCCTGCAGCCCTGTTACTGGGCAGGCATTGGGCTATCCGCTCCAACCAACCTTTATAGTTTCCACTTTGATCAGAATAAGCAGCAGATCAAATCCTATAGGAAGCACGTTCTCTCCCTGCCTTGTTACCATTCAGTCGATTTTGCATATTTGTGTTCACCATGGTGACCAATGTGGAAATAGTGTTTAGCTTATGAAATTCCCAAAGTGTATTTCCCTATTTTATGGAGGACAGTTTTAGACTGGCTTGGATGCATTCTTGTTGGAGGAAGACTCAAATCCTTCTTGGATATAGGCAAGGTGTAAGTGACAAATATACTTTCAACTATTTCCACCAGTTAGAATCTCAACGAGCCTGGATGTGCCTTACAAAGTGACTTGTGGGTTCAAACTTGTTTAGGTTTTAGAGCACATGGAAGTTGTGAATGTTTGCACACTATTACACTTCATTCTATTACAGGAGCACCAAGCAATTCTGCTAAAAGAAAATGATGCTAGTGTATGCCTGCAATATTGAAACAGTCACAAGCATATGTCCATGAGAAATGAAATCTGTCAAAGCCCTTCCAAGTTAATTTTAAAATGTTTACATTTGCTCATTCATCTTGTTCTTGAAAAGAAAAATGGCAGAGGTCACTAAAAGATTAAAATATTCGCCGGGCACAATGGCTCATGCCTATAATCCCAGCGCTTTGGGAGGCCGAGGCAGGTGGATCATTTGAGGTCAGGAGTTCAAGACCAGCCTGGCCAACATGGTGAAACCCCGTCTCTACTAAAAATACAAAAATTAGCAAGGCATGGTGGTACACAACTGTAATCCCAGCTACTTGGGAGGCTGAGGCAGGAGAATTGCTTGAACCCAGGAGGTGGAGGTTGCAGTGAGCCGAGGTCGCGTCACTGCACTACAGCCTGGGTGACAGAGCGAGACTGTGTCTCAAAACAAACAAACAAACAGAAAAGATTAAAATAGCCATTGTCTTTTAGGAGAAAAATTTTAAATTGAGAAAATTATAGACATTCGGGAAAGAGGGTCACTGTTCACTTTCAGCCCAGTGTCTTCAGAAGCATCACTGGAGAACTGTTGGAATCAAGAACCTAGTCCAAGACTTGGCTTAGAGACCTGCACTCTCCTGCCGTTTTTGCTGCAACGCAGTTATGTCGCTTTTGAGGAAGTAATTTCGTCCTATGAACCTTATTTTCCACATCTATAAAGTACAGACCTCATTTTAAATCAGAATTCCCAACATGGTTCGGTTTCATCCTAACAGAAATTATACAGTTGCTTAAGGCAGTCCATATAATCTATTAGTTAATGCATTTCCACCCTCATTGTCCCTGCACTGCTGGTAGATATATTTGATACATAAATTAAGGGATTCAGAATTTCAATTCTTAGTGCAAAAAAATCAGGAATTGGTAGATTGAAATGATTTCAAATAATTTCCCCAAATCTTAACTCCCAAACTTTCAGGACAGTTGGTTCTTATATTTTTGGTGTGTAGCCTTCACACTGATAATTTCCAAATTCAGCCAAAATTTTAGGCTTAGACTCAACCTTTCTCATTGTTTTCTTGGGATCAGTCTCAAACTTTCTGAGACTGGTTTGGAACGTCTCAAAAATGCTGGCAAAATGTATTATTGATAGCGTCTTAATACATTTTTTTGTTGTTGCTTCATCCCACACTGTCTCTATCGAATTCAGAGTTTACTTTAACTTGATTCTATTTCCCATCACTGAAATTCCTCCCACTCTCATCTTCCCCTGGGCTCAGGGATATCCTGAGGGATGCTGTGAGGTTCCATAATGAAAAGGGGCTCAGAGATGTGGGGAGAAGGTTCCTTATGCACACATTATTTGGTTATAATAGCCTTTCCAAAGCTTCATGAATGATTTGTTTTTTGAGGGAGGTCCAAATATTATACAGATCAAGTTTACCATTTAAAATATATCCAATTATGCGAGACAGAATCATACAGCAGCTCACATCTGTAATCCCAGCTACTGGTGAGGCTGAGGCAGGAGGGTCACTTGAGGCCAGGAGTTTAAGACCAGTCTGGGCAACACAGTGAGACCCCCAACTCTAAAACATTTTTTAAAAATTAGCTGGGTGTGGTGGCATGTGCCGGCAGTCCTAGCTACTGAGGAGGCTGAGGTGGGGGGATTGCTTGAGTCCAGGAGTTTGAGGCTGCAGTGAGCCACGATCACACCACTGCACTCCAGCCTGGGTGACAGAGCAAGACCTTATCTCTAAAATCAACCAACCAATCAACCAATCAATCAGATAATGTTATTTTTGTTGTTGTTGTTGTTGTTCTGTAACTGCCTTGCTCCAAAGCAGGGGAAGAGATACATTAAAAGCCCTTCTTTTATAGCCCTTGTTTACCTAGGAAAGTGTTGGGCATGATGTAGAGTGAAAAGCACTAACTTGGAAGTAAAGAAGATATGTTAAATTCCATGATTCCACTAAAATCAATAATACTTTCATCATATAATCTCCTCCTTACCTTCTACAGGCTTGAATTTTTACTGGGAGTTATAATAATTTGAGGAAAAAATACATCACCTCGGTCATTAAACATGTGGTAGAAAATAGATTCAAATTCATTTCCGCCCCCCCCAAAAGTACGTTTTTCAAAAGAAAGAAAAATTCCAGACTTAAAGAACCACAGGGACACTGAGCCCTTCTGCAGCAGCATTCCAACCATCAATTTGCCTCTGGGGAGGTCCCTCAGCTCCAGGCCCAGCATTCTTTCAAACAGCCTGGGATCTCGCTGATGAATCTACACGGGGGCTGGGGACCAGTACAAATTTTAGGCTTCCCTCTAATTTCCACGCCCACATTTATACTCCAGGTTTTGATGGGGAAAGAAGGAAAATAGTTGCCATCAACTTCCCTACCTTTGTTTAAGTGCAAAAAGAGACACACATACACTCTTCATTATAAAACTTCACATGAATGAGTACAATTGAAGGCTGCTTTCCCAACTTTGACTCTGAATCTCAATACTTATCAAGGAGGCCTGATTGTGAATGTAACATGCTCAGAATGTCTTCACTCTTAGGAAGAGCTGCAGAAATATCTCCTGAGATGGAAAATCTTTGCAAACTAGCAAGCAGGAGAGAGTGTGTAACTTAAATCATCACAGCGATGTGCTGGAAACGCATTCTCGCCTGACATCTGGCCATGACTCAGATTGCCATCCTGGAGGCTTCTTTGCTAAACTTTCTGCCCAACTCCCTGTTCCATAGATGCTGTGCTCCTTGTCTCTCCAGGCAGATCAGCCCTATTTGACAGATTCTGTAATTACCCATAAGAGGCCCAAGGGAGATGTTTCTGTGTATACAGTGCCCCGACAAACCAAATTAAGCTAACCACCTTCATGAAGCAATAAACAGAAAGCAGAGATTCTTAGATACCCCTTACTAATCGTCTGTACTGCCGTATTTCTAAGGAGGCCAAGCTTGGACAAGGGGGTTGGGAACAATCCTAATTGGCTCCAGGCCACAATTTGTGGTTAGTTTCCCTAACACAAAAGTCTAGTCTTTGTCTTGCCAATCTAAGAGAATAAGGAGAGTTTTATAAAGCCATTTATTAATATGTTTCTCATCAGTCATCATAACCACTCTCACCTCATGTTCTCTTCTTTTATGGAAATACGTTTTTTCCTTGATGTCCTGCTTTATACTTTTGGCCTTTTCTATATTGTCAAACAAAAGTCCCAAAGCAGCTCCATAGCAACCACCTTTCTTATCTCACTCAACAGACCTTCAGGAAACAGGCGAGGGTAGGACTGTCACCTTCACCCAATATTTTGATATGGTTTTTATACTTCCATTTGACACCCCTAATATCCAACGCTGAACAGAAGCCACCATAATATCCAAAATTTCCTGTTTCTCTCAATTCAATAAATGTGTGTGTGTGTGTGTGTGTGTGTGTGTGTGTGAGAGAGAGAGAGAGAGAGAAAGAGAGAGAGAAAGAGAGACAGGGTCTTGCTCTGTCACTCAGGCTGTTATGCAGTGGTATGATTGCGATTATGGCTCACTGCAACCTCTACTTGCTGAGCTCAAGTGATCCTCCTGTCTCAGTCTCTTGAGTAGCGGGGACTACAGGCACATGCCACTATGCCCGGCTAATTTTTTAAACAATTTTTGTAGATGAGGTCTCACTATATTTTCCAGGTTGGTCTCATACTCCTGGACTCAAGAGATCCTCCCAGCTTGGCTTCCCAAAGTGCTGGCATTACAGGCATGTGCCATCATGCCTGGCCAGCAGTAAACATTTTTTGAATACCTACTGATTAAAAATACACTTCCTTATCTACTCATGACAAAAGAGAATCAAGATATTAATCTTTCCTTCCAAGCAGACACACACACAATTCCACTCTAAAACAGCCAGGTGCTAGTAGAGAACAAAAGGAAAGGGAACACAGGTATGACGGCAGTACTGGAAAAACACCAAGACGCTCTGAGAGTGGATCCTGAAGAATATGTTTGGGATGTCACTTTACATGTTGGCTGAACCACGAATCCAGGCAATTCTAACTCTTTCGGTTGTCCACAATCTTATTAGTTTTTTGGGTGCAAAGTTGATTCCTTGGAAGATTCACTGTAATAAATGCTGCTGTTCTCTCCCATTCTCCTTAAGTCACCAAATCTCATGTCTTTCAACATCTGTTCTATCTAGGAGATCTCCGTCAGCTTACCTGTGAGCACTCAATTTTTTTGTCCTTAACCTCTGACTTTGGAGGGGAAGTATTTCCATTCCCTTGAAATACTACCCAAGCCCCAACTTGTGGTCATGGTCCCACTCCTTCCAGACTCCTCCAGGGTCCACATCTAACTATCATACTTTGGCTATCCTGAATTTTCTTCTTCTTCTTCTTTTTTTTTCTTTTTTTTTTTTGAGACGGAGTCTCGCTCTGTCGCCCAGGCCGGACTGCGGACTGCAGTGGCGCAATCTCGGCTCACTGCAAGCTCCGCTTCCCGGGTTCACGCCATTCTCCTGCCTCAGCCTCCCGAGTAGCTGGGACTACAGGCGTGAGCCACCACGCCCGGCCTTCTTTTTTTTTTTTTTGAGACAGAGTTTTGCTCTTGTTGCCCAGGCTGGAGTGCAATGGTGCGATCTCGGCTCACTGCAACCACCACCACCTTCTCCTGCTTCAGCCTCCTGAGTAGCTGGGATTACAGGTGCCTGCCACCATGCTTGGCTAATTTTTTGTAGTTTTAGTAGAGACGGGGTTTCACCATGTTGGCCAGGCTGGTCTCGAACTCCTGACCTCAGGTGATCCACCAGCCTTGGCCTCCCAAAGTGCTGGGATTACAGGCATGAGCCACCATGCTCAGCCTATCTTGAATTTTCAATCCTCAAATCTCCTCTTGTCAATGGGCTCCTTACAAATTTCTCTTATGCTAAGAACATCTTTCAATGACCTGGCTTGGTGATCAAGAATCATTCTTTCTCTTTCCATTCATCACCAAATGTTTTAAAAACATGGTCTATATATGCTCTTTTCCCATTCTTGCTCTTTTCCTGTTCTTCTCTCTTTTCCCGTCCTCCTCTCAACCTCTTACGATCTTGCTTCTTCCTCTCAAATTATACCAAAATGCCTGAGAAAGTCCTCAGCAGCCACCGAGACACCAAATCTAATTCCTCTTCCTAGTGCTCCCCCTTAAGATCTTCAGAATGTTAATCTTTAGAATGAGCCCTGTCTTCCTCAGAGGCTGACCTCCACTCCTTGCCCCCACATTGTTCTCTCCACCCTCCTTCTATTAACACTTCCCTGACTACTCCTTCTTAGCTGTGTTCATCAGCTCCATTTTGCCCCATGTCTGATTTTTTTTTCTTTTTTTTTTTGAGACAGAGTCTCTCTCTGTCACCCAGGCTGGAGTGCAGTGGCACAATCTCAGCTCACTGCAACTTCTACCTCCTGGGTTCAAGCAGTTCTCATGCCTCAGTCTCCCAAGAAGCTAGGATTACAGGCACCTGCTACCACGTCTGGATAATTTTTGTATTTTTAGTAGAGATGGGGCTTCACCATGTTGACCAGGCTGGTCTAGAACTTCTGGACCTCAAGTGATCCACCCACCTTGGCCTTCCAAAGTGTTGGGATTACAGGCATGAGCCACAGTGCCCAGCCCCACGTCTGGTTCTTGAATACAGACATTTTCCAGAGTCTGTCTTTAGCCCTCCTCTCTTCTCAGTCTAAGACTTTCCCTGGAGCATTTCTTCTTTCTTATGGCCTTATGTTTCTCTCTAGGTGGATAACTAAAACATGTCTTTAGTCTTAACCTCTCTTCTGAGTTCCAGAAATATCTTTCCAACCATTGCCCTCCAGCCTGGGCAACAGGGTGAGACCCTGTCTCTCCAAAAAAAAAAAGAAGAAGAAGAAGAAGAAGAAGGATTTATAAGGGAAAATTTAAATAAAAGTGGGAACACAGAGTGGAAAGCAGAGCACTTAAAGCTGTTTTACCCTGAGGGAATTTCTCAGAAGCTAGAGAATGAGCTTCAGTTTTCATGGCCTCATGAAAACAAGAGACAGAAGACAAAACCCAAGGCTGGCCTGAGGTGAAGAGGCTAGTCATAGACCATTCCCTGTAAAGTGAATGAGAAACAGCAGCAAAAGAAACTCACCCACAAATGCTTCCAATATTGGATGTATTAGACATAGGGTATATAAAAATGACACTGTGTTTAAATAAATAAGAGGATATTTTTTCATCTCCTGGTTCAAAAGATGGTAGTCCACCCACTGCAAATGCTTAAAATCCCTGGCCTGCTTATATACTTGATATGGTTTGGCTGTGTCCCCACCCAAATCTCATCTTGAACTGTACTCCCATAATTCCCACATGTTGTGGGAGGGATCCGGTGGGAGATAATTGAATCATGGGGGCAGTTTCCTCCATACTGTTATTGTAGTAGTGAATAAGTCTCATGAGATCTGATGGTTTGATGAGGGGAAACTCGTTTCCATCGGCTCTCATGCTCTCTAACAGTGCAGCCATGTGAGATGTGCCTTTCACCTTCTGCCATGATTGTGAGGCCTCTCCAGACATGTGGAACTGTAAGTCCAATAAATCTCTTTTGTAAATTGCCCAGTCTTCAGGTATGTCTTTATCAGCAATGTGAAAACAGACTAATACAATGCTTTATGTTAAGCTTCTCTGGATGTGCTTCCTCTTATGTATCTACTCAATTTTCAACACAAATATGTTTTTTTGTTTTGTTTTGTTTTTTTGAGATGGAGTCTCGCTCTGTTGCCCAGGCTGGAATGCAGTGGTGCAATCTCGGCTCACTGCAACCTCTGCCTCCCGGGTTCAAGCAATTCTCCTGCCTCAGCCTCTTGAGTAGCTGGGACTACAGGTACACGTCACCATGCCTGGCTAATTTTTTGTATTTTTAGTAGAGACAGGGTTTCACCATGTTAGCCAGGATGGTCTCGATCTCCTGACCTTGTGATCCGCCCACCTCAGCCTCCCAAATTGCTGGGATTACAGGCATGAGCCACTGTGCCTGGCCCCCCTTATATTCTTATATATATTAATATATTTTCCCTTATATTCTCATATATATTATTATATTTTCCTCTTATATTTTCATGGGCTTACTGGGATATGTAGTACTTATATTACACATATGAGATATGTTTTGTTTTTCCCGCTGAACTGCTAGCACTTGACACTCTAAATCTTCTCTTAAAACAAAATCTCTGGGCCAGGCACAGTGGCTCACACCTGTAATCCCAGCACATTGGGAAGCTGATGCTGATGGATCACCTGAGGTCAGAAGTTCGAGACCAGCTTGACCAACATGGTGAAACCCTGTCTCTACTAAAAATACAAAAATTAGCTGGGCATGGTGGCGCATGCCTGTAATCCCAGTTACTCTGGAGGCTGAGGCAGGAGAATCACTTGAACCTGCCAGGCAGAAGTTGCAGTGAGCTGAGATTGCACCATTGTACTCCAGCCTGGGCAACGAGAGTGAAACTCTATCTCAAAGGAAAAAACGAGGCCAGGCTTGGTGGCTCACGCCTGTAATCACAGCACTTTGGGAGGCCAAGGTGGGCGGATCACCTGAGGTCAGGAGTTTGAGACCAGCCTGACCAACATGGAGAAACCATGTCTCTATTAAAAATACAAAATTAGCCAGGCATGGTGGCGCTTGCCTGTAATCTCAGCTATTCAGGAGGCCGAGGCAGTAGAATCGCACGAACCCACGAGGCGGAGGTCGCAGTGAGCCCAGATCGCGCCATTGCACTCCAGTCTGGGCAACAAGAGTGAAACTCCGTCTCAAAAACATAAAAAAGAAAGAAAGAAAAACATCTCTGAATGAGTCTCAATATGTTGCACAGTACTTTCTATACAGTCAGGAATCAGGAAGTGCTTGTTGAATTAGGTTAAACTGAGTATCATTCACTGTGTGTGTGTGTGTGTGTGTGTGCGTGTGTGTGTGTACTCATAGCTTTTTATTGGCCCCCAAATTTCTCCCTAAAGCCTTTAGTCTCATGAATCTCCTCACCACTCCTGCAAATTCCATGCCCATTTGTACCTTCTAACTTTTACTTAGGTTGCTTTCTTTACCCTCCTCTAATCTTTTCCCCTTCCTCCTGCTTACCAAGAAGTTATCTTACTTATTTTGTTTCTGGCTCTCATCGCCCTGGGTATTGAAGTGTTGTGGTTAGGCACCGTGGAGTCCGCATCTCGGGTGCCAGCACCCAGCACAGCTCCGGGCACGTGTTTAGCACTCCATATGCATTTGTTGAAAGAATAAGTGAAACTACATATATGTATGTGTGTAAATGTGTGTGCATATACATGTTTATACACATATATGTGTATATATATATACACACACATCTCTATACATCTTGTCAGCCCAAATAGGTTGTAAACTCCAGGAAAATAAGAACAAATATTTTGCTTTTAAAAAGTACTCTGCAAATGTAACTACTGCTTGATAAAAAGGATCTATGCTAAACGACCGCTTCTCCCAGCTGAAGGCAGACCATCTACGTTACATTTTTACTCAGTTAAGAGCAAACAATAATAAGTGAATAGCAGCCTGATTCTGTATGTTAAAAATGATAGGTGATTGAATCTCAAATGTATTAGTCTGTTCTCACACTGCTATAAAGAACTATCTGAGACTGGGTAATGTATGAAGAAGAGAGGTTTAATTGACTCAGAGTTCCACAGGCTGTACAGGAAGCACGGCTGCATGGCTGGGAGGCCTTGGGAAACTTACAGTCATGGTGGAAGGGTGAAGGGGAAGCAAGCACGTCTTACCTTGGTGGAGTTGGAGAGAGAAAGAGAGCAAAGGGGGAAGTGCCACACACTTTTAAACAACGAGATCTTGGCTGGGCTCACTGGCTCACACCAGTAATCCCAGCACTTTGGGAGACGGAGGTGGGCAGATCATCTGAAGTCAGGAGTTTGAGACCAGCCTGACCAATGTGGTGAAACCCTGTCTCTACTAAAAATACAAAATTAGCCAGGCGTGGTGGCACAAGCCTGTAATCCCAGCTACTTGAGAGGCTGATGAGGCAGGAAAATCACTTGAACCAGGAGGCAGAGGTTGCAGTGAGCTGAGATTGCACCATTGCATTCCAGCCTGGGTGACAGAGTGAAACTCCAACTCAAAAAATAAATAAATAATAAAATACACAACTAGATCTTGTGAGAACTCACTCACTATCATGAGAATAGCAAAGGGAACGTCCGCCCCCATGATTCAATTACCTCCCATCAGGATTACAATTTGATATGAGATTTGGGTAGGGACACAGGGCCAAACCGCATCATCAAAGGACTATACAATGAACATTAATTGATATCTACTAAGTTGTGCTAGATACTAGGTCAGGTACATGGGATACAAATCTAATAAATGAGATAAAATCCCTGCCTTTAAGAATCTCACATTCTAGAGAAGCAGGGAAATCTATGACCTCTAATTGCAAGGTGCTAAGTGCTGTAACTTACCAGGAGGTAAAACAGGTAAGGCCAAAGCAATTACCTCTGTAACAGGGGAGTCGGGGGCTTCTTGGTTTACAAAGGAGGTCTCTGCAAGGATAAGCATGTACGAGTTTAGGGGTGGGTGGGAGAAAGGGCATTCCAACTGGTGGAAACACACGCACAGAGGCATGAAGTTGTGCAAGAGCCCTGCATGCTTAGAACAGTGAAAATTAGTTTGAACTTAACCCCAGAGGAAATTCAGGCAAGTTTAAGCATCGGATTGGACCGAGAAAAGGAAAGGCTGCTTTGGGCCTTAAATGAGAGAAAAAAATTCCTTAAATAGTTTTACTTTCTCTCTTCTCTTATGTCCTTCTAACCAGTATTAGGGTTCACATCTGTCCCTCCCTTAAAGCAAAGCTTACCTCAAATCTCACATTCTTTAAGAGAATGGTTACTAAGAAACCGTATTAGAAATTCAGCCTAGAGACTTAGGAAATGCTTGTTGACCTATTCAATACTAACCCTCTAAATACACAGCAGGGGCAATTTAGCCTCCCATCTCAAATTTTTGAGTAATGGTCTCACTTTGGGAACTCTTTTTTTTTTTCTTTAGAGTTTCACCCTGCCACCCAGGCTGAGATGTAATGGCGCAATCTCGGCTCACTGCAACCTCCGTCTCCCGGGTTTAAACGATTCTCCTGTCTCGGCCTCCTGAGTAGCTGGATTATAGGCACCTGACACCAAGCCCAGCTAATTTTTGTATTTTTAGTAGAGATGGGGTTTCACCATGTTGGCCAGGCTGGTCTTGAACTCCTGACCTCGTGATCTGCCCGCCTTGGCCTCCCAAACTGTTGGGATTACAGGTGTGAGCCACCACACCCGGCCTCGCTTTGGGAACTCTTGGAATAAAATAAGCACCTTCCAGTTCTTTTCCTTCACAGAGAAAATATACATCTACCCATTTTTACTCTGAATACATAACTCTTGTGGTGAAAAGAACAATTTCTTTTAGGACATTGACAAAGATTTGGTGTTGTGGATCAAACTATAATATTTACTTAATTAAAGCCAACAGAAATACTAATTTCCATGCTTACTTAATAGTAGGTCAGGTGTGGGTACATGCCTCTGAAAATAGGTCTTTGCAACTGTTTAACTGTCACTGCCTAGGGCTGCTGCCCCGATGGGCTGATGGGGGCCTATTTGTTTACTTTTGCATCCGAATTTGTCATCACCATGAGCCAGAAACATCACATACTGGCAGAGGCAGAGACTCATAGGATGAGAAGGGACTTTAAGTACAACTGTCAAAGTTTTTTAAACTACTATGTATTGAACAATAATAGGCTTGAAAATCTGAAGATTCTCCTTGTAGTTCCTCTCCTATAGTTCCTTGTTCCTTGACTGGCCTCTGGCTCTCACCACGTAGGTGAAAAAGCAGCTGGTTTCTGGCCTATACCAACTTGTGGGCAAATATATGGAGCCATATCCCAGGGGCCTCACTAATGAGTTGTGAAGTGCTGCATGTTAGTTGCAGGGTTAATATATTTCTAGTTCGCTCTACACAGAAGGAACATACCTCTTTCTTTTATAAGAAAAATTAAATCTGTGAGGATACATTTTCAACCTGGGGCTGTTTTGGGCAGTACTCTCAAGGGCAGTACTTATGTCATTAACATACATTGTTCCCACACCAGTGAGTAACAATGTAAAAAGCCAGGCCTGTTTACAACTGTAACAGCTCTACACTGTAAATGGAAAAGAAAAGGATGACAGCATACCACCAGCAGAGACATGCCTGAACAGCATTCCCAGGAATCCTTTAGCCACAGGAAAAACAACTCCAAACAAGCAACCCTCCGTCCAGCACAGGGTGTAAATTAGCTTCTGCTGACAACACACTTCATACACCGTTTTGCACTGAAGTCCTCTCCCATGCCAAAGACAACAGAGTGCTCTCTAACAACATGGGGCCCTGGCACTGTCCTTTAAACCCTCACGGTTACTGCGCATGAGAGAGCCAAAATGAAAATTTTTAAATTCCTTGGACAATTTTCCTTTTTTCTTTTTTTTTTTTTTGAGACAGGGTCTCACTCTATCACCCAGGCTGGAGTGCAGTACGCCATCGTAGCTCACTGCAGCCTCAGAATCCCAGGCTCAGTCCATCTTCCCATGTCAGCCTCCCAAGTAGCTGAGACTGCAGGCGTGCGCCATAAAGCCCAGCTAATTTTTTTGATTATTGGTAGAGACAGGGTCTTTCTATGTTGCCCAGGCTGGTCTCGAGTTCCTGGGCTCAAGCAATCCTCTCACCTCAGCCTCCCAACAATTTTCTTTTTAAAATTTTTTTCAACTTTTATTTTAGATTCAGGGAGTATATATGCAAGTACGTATCCTCCTTGCTGTTCTCATGATAGTGAGTGACTTCTCACAAGATCTGGTTGTTTAAGAGTGTGTGGCACTTCCCCCTTTGCTCTCTCTCTCTCCAACTCCACCATGGTAAGATGTGCTTGCTTCCCCTTCACACTTCCACCACGACTGTATGATTCCCGAGGCCTCCCAGCCACGCAGCCATGCTTCCTGTACAGCCTGTGGAACTGTGAGTCAATTAAACCTCTCTTCTTCATAAATTACCCAGTCTCAGGTAGTTCTTTATAGCAGTGTGAGAACGGACTAATACATTTGAGATTCAATCACCAATCATTTTTAACATACAGAATCAGGCTGCTATTCACCTATTATTGTTTGCTCTTAACTGAGTAAAAATGTAATGTAGCCCGGGCACAGTGGCTTACACCTGTAATCCCAGCACTTTGGGAGGCCAAGGTGGGTGAATCACCTGAGGTCGGGGGTTCGAGACCAGCCTCAGCAACATGGAGAAACCCCGTCTCTACTACTCTACTATAAAATTAGCCGGGTATGGTGGCACATGCCTGTAATCTCAGCTACTCAGGAGGCTGAGGCAGGAGAATCGCTTGAACCCAGGAGGCAGAGATTGCGGTGAGCCGACATGGTGCCATTGCACTCCAGCCTGGGCAACAAGAGTGAAACTCCGTCTTAAAAAAAAAAAAATGTAATGTAGATGGTCTGCCTTTAGCTGGGAGAAGTGGTCATTTAGCATAGTTCCTTTTTATCAAACAGTAGTTACATTTGAAAAATATTTTTTCAACCCATGTCCTCCCCGCACCAACTCTAGTCGTCTGCAGTGTCTATTTTTCCCATGTTTATGTCCATGTGTGCTCAATGTTTAGCTTCCACTTGAAAGTGAGAACATGCAACATTTGATTTTCCATTCTTGTGTTAATTCACTTAGGATTATGACCTCCAGTTCCATCCATGTTGCTGTAAAGGATGTGATTTCTTTTTTATGGCTGCATAGTATTCCATGGTGTATAGGTACCACATTTTCTTTATCCAATCCTGGGACAATTTTCAGTGGGTGTAAAGTTTGTACCTCTGAGTGAGCCAAAAAGCAGTTTCCTAGTTCACGTAGATTTGTTTGAGCGATCCTATTGTTATGTAATATCTCTTGGTTTGTGGTGCTTGATCACTAAACTCTGGCTATGTGAGAAGATTCTAGAATTTAGGCCATGATATTGACTACACAGATAAAAGAGGCAGCAGTTTTTCTCAATGGAGCATTCCCGAGAAGTAACTCCCCAATTTTGTAGGCTCTCACATACTTCTTAAATGATGAGTGCACAAACAAAATAAAGTTATTGTGGCTGAGGCTGCTAGCTACTAACCTAATTCCATGTTCTCTTCTTCATGGAACATGGCTAGACTACTTTTCTCAGCCTATCTTGCAATTAGAACTCTTACAAATCAATAAGAAAAAGGCAGAGCCAAGCATTATCTAGTTGTTACCTATGCCACTCTCACCCTCTGGCTGAAGGAGAGATTCTTCATTTGTTCACATGGACCATGTCCTAGAGCTGGTGTTATTTATGGGGTGTTCAGGTGAGCAGCAGGCAGGTTCCCTGACACCCAGCGGTGCCTCTGCAAGCACGACGGGGTGTTAATCACAAAAGGAGAGACATCTTAACCCCTTTAATTACTTTACTTGGGTGTGGATTCTTAGTGATATCCTACTTTATCTGGGGGACTTGGGGGCAGGTCGTTCTCTTTGTCTTGTAAGCAATTATTTAAGATAATTTCTATCTGCACGTCTTTTAAAAAAATATTTACAGGCTGGGCGTGGTGGCTCACGCTTGTGATCCCAGCACTTTGGGAGGCCGAGGCGGGCAGATCACGAGGTCAGGAGATCGAGCCCATCCTGGCTAACGTGGTGAAACCCTGTCTCTACTAAAAATACAAAAAATTAGCTGGGTGTGGTGGCATGCGCCTATAATCCCAGCTACTCAGGAGGCTGAGGCAGGAAAATCGCTTGAACCCGGGAGGCAGAGGTTGCAGTGAGCCAAGATCGTGCCACTGCACTCCAGCCTGGGCAAGAGAGTGAGACTCCATCTCAGACAAACAAACAAACAAAAAAATTTTACACTTTAACAAAGAGTTATAGAGCAAACACCCAGATTGTAACCACTGCTCAGGTAAAAAAATAGAACAGAAGATTCCTGTGTGTGCCTCCCCCTCATACCCCTGGGTTTTCCCAGGGTAACCGCAATCCTGACTTGCAGAGTTATCATTTCCTTGATTTTCTTTCTAACTTTACTATTCAGTTATGCATCTCTGAGCAAGGTACTTGGTTTCTCCCTCCTTTTTCAGCTTTATATCAGTGGAATCTGACTGTATTCTTTTTGTCTGTATGCTTTTGTTCTATATTATGTGTGTAAGATTTATCATGTTGTTTCGTCTAGCTATAGTTCATTTATTTTAATTGCTGAATAATATTTAATTGAATTACTCTACCACAATTTCCTTACTTGTTCTACTGTTGATGGACTTCTGGAATATTTCCAGTTTGGGGTTATTATGAGCAGGGCTGCTATGTACATTTGGGTTACGTGTCTCTGGGTGCACGTATGTAAGCATTTCTTTGAGAAATATACTCAAGAGTGAAGTTTGCTAGGTCATAGAGTTTGCATAACTTTGAGTTTATCAAATTATGCCAAACTCTTTTCCAACGTGGTTTTTAACAATTTATACTCCCACTGGCAGTATATGAAATATCCTGTTACTTCACATCCTTGCCAGAACTTGGTATTATCAGGCTTAAATTTTTGCCAATTAAATGGGTGTGTAATGGTATCTCTGTTGTTTTAATTCATATTTTTCTTATTACTTAATGAGATTGAACATCTTTTCATGTTTATTAGCCATTTGAATTCTCTCTTTGGTGAAGTGGCTGTTCTACTTTTCACTTATTTATTTTTTATTGCCTGGTAGCTTTTAAAAATTGATTTGTACGAGTTCTTTATTTATTCCATTTGTAACCCACATATTCTGGTCCAGTGTTGTCTACATAAGTTGCAAATACTTTCCACCCTATGACTTGTCTTTTAATACTCCTTAGGGTGCCTTTTAATGATCAGAATTTTTTTATTTGAACTACTTATCAAATTTTTCCTTTATTATCTTTTTATGCCTTGTTTAATCCACCTGGAAGCAACTTTTGTATATAGCACAAGGAAGAAATTCCTTATAAAACAGAAGCATAAAAGTTAGCAAGTATTATTTATAAAAAGAGGAACTTTTAAAGCAAATGTTCTATATTTTTCTCCTTTACTACAGATATGAAGCCTGCCTCTGATAAGAGGGAAATAGATCTTCATGTACCTTTTTTAGGGACAACAAAGTATCTACCTTTGAATTCCCTTAAGAAGTAAGAATATGTAAGTGTGATAGGCCCTCATGTAAAAATCATCTCTTAGGGTACCCTATATAAGTGCATGAATACATACAGTACACAAATGCTCGTAAGTGCATGAACCATTTTTGAAAACATACATAGGAAATAGTTATAGTTGTTACCTGTGGGAATGTATTATTTACATTTTCTGCCTCAGGGAAAAGAATATAATGTTTAAGATAATTTCCATAGTAGCTTAACAGGAAAGTAGCATCAGATACACCAAAATTTATTCACATATGCTCTTTCAGGAACCCATCTATCCAACAGAAGTGCTGATTGTCAATTATTTTACACATGCTTTTCGCACACACACAAAAATCTTGGTTACTTAACAAGCACAGGAATTATTGCAATCCACAACTATACTGAATTGCCAGGTACTCAATCTTTTCTAAGCTATGGGACTTGAATTCCAAACCCTATTCCCAAATTCATTATCTGAATAAAAGGTAGCACAATTGATAAGGGATTTGCTCATAAGTTCAAGGTGAGTAGGAACAGTACGACTTAAAGAATTTGCATTAGAAATGTTTTGATGTTGAGAGACTTCGGTTACCTTTCCAATCAGCTGACTACCCTGGACAAAGCAAAGAACAAGGGTTTTCTCTTCTACGTCTGTTAAAACAAACTAAATATGGCCTGAGAAGGACTCTATACTTCTGTATTTGAGTCCTTGTGGATGAATTGCAACCTAACTTAATAGGTAAACAAGATTGACAGCCTAAAAGTTTGCATCTGTAACAGTGGTTGAGTCTTGGCCAATCCCAGCAGCCATACCTCAACCACTCACACACTGCCAAGTATTCAAACTGTGTACAAATAAGGCAAACACTGACCTGTAACCAATCCAGCTGTTTCTGTACTTCACTTCTGATTCCTGTACGTCACTTTATTATTATTATTTTTTGTCTATAAATTTGTTCTGACCACAAGGCACCCCCGGAGTCTCTCTGAATCTGCTGTGATTCTGCGGGCTGCCCGATTCATGATTCGTTCATTGCTCAATTAAACTCTTTTAAATTAAATTAAATTTGGCTGAAGATTTTCTTTTAACACTTCTTTCTGCATTTCCTACTGAACAATTTAGCTGTACAAAGAATTAACTATGAATTCTCTCACGCTTTAACAAATGAGACAGTTCAAGTTTACATGGGCAGCAATGAGTTAAGTATTATAGCAAATGAGTCAGAAAATACATATATTTTGAAAAAATTTAAAACATTTCAGCAGATACTTAATGTTTGTTTTAGTAGGATAAAAATCAGTTTACAATACGGTTCCACTTTTTAAAAATTTATATTTATGCATTAAAATTAACAGTGATTATTTCTACACAGGTAGGTTATAGTAAAGTTTTAATTTCCTCTGTGTTTTTCACTTACTTTCCAATGTTACTGCAAATCTGTATCTTTATCTATCTAAAGAGAAATAGATATTATAGTAGAAGCGGTAAGAAAATTTTACCAAATGCCTTAGTTTTAGTCATAAGAAGCTTTTTTTCTAATGTTAAAACTTTATAAGAAATGATAAATTTTACTCTATTTCCACAATTCAGAAAATGACACTTGCAAATTTTTAAGTTTGAAACCAACTTTTCAAAACAAACAAACAAAAAACCCTTTATTTTTCAACTTTTATTCCTTTACATATAATTTAAATTTCTCCTAGTGGCATTCTTATTTAGAGGAATTTACCAAACAGTATCCTTACCTTTGATATGGCAAGGCCTTTTAGATAAGAAAAAGGCTCCCCAACTGGGGAGGCACAGATAAGTGAGGTGTACTATCAAACATCTACTCATCATAGAAAGCATGCTGGAATGTACTCCACATTTCCTTACATTGCAAACCCTGAGCCTTGGCTCTATTAGTGTCGGGACAAAGCGGGTAACTGGGCAGACTTTTCATAAAAATAAGGTGGGGCTTGTTTGTGTGCAATTTTGAATGTGATACCCTTAACAAAAGTGTCTGGTTCTGATTTGATGACACTGAACTCAAGAAAAATAGCCAGATTAGGATCAGAAGGGAAGTTGCAAAATTTCCTGATTTGCTGAATATGACATTAATATACAGGGGGAAATATGCTTTGTAACGAGCAAGCGAGCAGCTGTATGGTGGTGGGGGTGGGGTTGAGGTGGTAGAAGAGGGAGCTAATATGGCAATCGGTATAACAACAAACAAAAATCTGAGCTAAATCAGCTGTGTGTTCAACTTCTCATTTGGTCTCTGATATTTTTTAAATTAACATATTTTTCTTGCAAGGTAACATATGGAATAGTTTGACCTTGCCAAGCAAACTGGCAATTCTGTGTTACCGTCACTTCTTCCAAGCCATCTCTTCAGAGTAAAGTTGAGAATATAAATTTGAAACATAAGCCCAGTTCTCACAAATCTAGTTTCTTTTTCGTAAGGCACCTGCTCTTTTCCAAGGCAAAAATGCCTCAAATTTCCTTGGGTATGAAATTATCCCAAAGTGATGTAATTGAGGGTGATCTGATAAACTCCTTTATTAGGAATTAACTCCCTGCGTGGGATGATGATGAACAGACAGATGAGTAGTTCTGTTTATACTGTTTGATTGTCACGGTGGTCTAAATATACTCAACTTTTGGATGACTCACAAAATATTGCTACATAGTATTTGGTAAAGGAGATTAGAAGTCAAAAACAGGATGGGGTGATATAGACAGAGGGATTTCAAAGCAAGCCTATGAACATTCGAAAGCATCAGAAAATCATTTGATTGTTTCTTTTTTTCTTTGCTCATCCAACTGTGTCTCCCTCAAGCCAAGTAATTTTTCAGGAGATAAAAATGTTCAAATATTCAAAGATTGGCACAGGTCAAAATCATAAGTGACCTGACATTACTACTGTACTTAGTTATAGTTTTGAAAGGAAAGTAGAGACAACTCAATTTGGTGAGTTTCTTGGGAAATAAAACAAGTAAAATTTCTTCCTTGAAGCACTATTCATTGCTTTTGTGGAACAGGCCAGGTATTCATAATAAAGCCCAGGGTAACTGTATTCACTAGAGACAGTTCAGGCAGAACAAAATGTACTTTGCTCCTTCTAGCTAAGCTTCACATGACCTCGAATTAGGAGACAAGGAAGGTAAAATGTGTTTTCTATAACAAATTTACTATTACTATGAAAAGGTAAGTGGGTATCCATCCCCTCAATTTGATCAAACTGCATTTTTATGAGAAATTCTATGATCTCATTTCCTGCATATGAATATTTTTAAACTTCTCTTCAAGCACCTAATGGCATTGACGTTCTGTAACATTTACAGAAGATATGCCATTTGAATACTTATCAGCCACCAGTGGTTTTCATCTCATAGATGGAACCTCTTACTCATTCCACAAATATTTATTAAGCATAGGCTATGGTTCAGATCCTGGGCCAAGAGTACAGGGCCCAGCGGAGAGCCAGATGGACTCCCTTCTAGCCTGGTGTACCTTAATAACTGCCAATCGTGCAAATAATGCATGATGAGACAGCAAGATCAGTTAGCTATCACAGGACAAGTGAAACAGCCAAACTGAATGTCAGACACCCGCCAGCAGTGACTGGTGTTCTCCTTTGCACTGGGCTCTGAGAAAGCATCATCAGAAATGTAAAACGACTTCTCTCCTCCTTATGTTTGGGGGATACAACAATTATTCTCAAGAAACAATTAGGCCAGCCTGGGCAAGATGGCAGACCCTGTCTCCATAAATACTAAAAAAATTAGTTAGAGCTGGGAAGGACAGTGGGGGGCAAGGTGGGAGGTGAGGGTGGTTGATGGGTACAAAAAAATAGAAGAATGAATAAGACCCAGTATTTGACTGCACAAAAGGGTGACTATAGTCAATAGGAACTTAATTGTACATTTAAAAATAACTAAAAGCATGTAATTGGATTGTTTGTAACACAAAGGATAAATGATTCAGGGGACGGGTACCCCATTCTCCATGATTTCACATTGTGATTATTTCACATTGCATGCCTGTATCAAAACATCTCATATACCCTATAAATATATACACCTACTATGTACCCACAAACATTAAACATAAAAAAAAATAAGTACAAAAAATAGCCAGATGTGGTGGTGCTTGCCTGTGGTCACAGCTACGGGGGAGTTTGAGGGGGGAGAATTCTGTTGAGCACAGAAATGTGAGGTGGCAGTGAGCTATAATCACACAACTGCACCCCAGCCTGGGTGATAAAGCAAGGCCCTGTCTCAAAAAAAAAAAAAAAGACAATTAGGGAAAAATATAAAGCAGTTCATGATTAGCTCCCAATTAACTGTATTCACTGCAGAGACCTGTGGGGAATAGAACATTCTATATTCATTCCTTAGAGCTCATCCACATAGGAACTTTTCTCAGGAAGATTTTCACATGTTAATCATTGAACTTTTTCAGGAAGATTCTCACATGTTAATCATTGTGGTGGACAACTGGAAAACCTCAGATGCTGTAGCGTTCATATTTTGTTGACAGCAACCAATATAATACATACATTTAAAATGGCAACATATATATACTTAATTATCTTAAATCACAAATTTTCCAAACAACACCTATTATGCATTCTTGATTTTTCTATTCTTTTTTCTACTCTTCGATTTCATTTTCAAATTGCCACTCAAGAACCTTTAAATTGATTTCACAACAGTGGGTTACCAAAAACACTGACAGGAATTGTACTTTTCAAATGGTGGTAAAGCTATATATAGTGCAGACATTGTGAGATCTTGCTAAAGACTGAATGTTTGTGTGTCCCTATAATTCTTATGTTGAAATCCTAATTGCTGGCGTGATGGTTTTAGGAGGTGGGACCTTTGGGAGGTGATTAGGTCACAAGGGTGGAACTCTCATGGATGAGAGTTTTAGCCCCAGAGCTCCCGGTCCCTTCCACCGCATGAGCACACAGTGAGAGGCCAGCCTTCTATGAAGCAGGAAGCCAACCCTCACCAAACACTGAATCTGCTGGTGCTTAGATCTGGGACTTCCCAGCCTCCAGAACTAGCAGAAATACATTTCTATTACTTATAAGCCACCCAGTCTATAATGGCTGGTTTCAGCAGCCCAAACAGAGTAAGACCATAAGAAAACACACTACTATGACTACCACTACTACTAATGATCGCTAATATTCATTGAGCATTTACTATTTACTAAGCACAGGGTTAAAGATATTACATGGCAATTCTTTCAGCCTCACTTTTGGCTGATTCCCCACAGGCTGTGAGCAGTAAGACAGATGCTGAACACTCTACCCACTGAAGGAAAGGGCTAAGCCACCATACCGAGAGGCTAAAAGACGGACGTGTAGGTTATGTCCACAGAGCCAGAAATCAGTTCTGCTAGCCTGGCCACTGATAACCCCTCTAGCTAGTGAAAGAGGGGTTGAGGCAGCCAGAGGGGTGTGTGTGTGTGTGTGTGTGTGTGTGTGTGTGCGTGTGTGTGTGCGTGCATGTGTGTGTGCGTGTGCACGTACGTCTGTGCGCTGCGCGTATGTCTATGTGTGTGCGCGCGCATGCGTGTGCGCATGTGTGTTGTGTCTTCCACCCTGGGGGAGGAGAGGATTGCTTTCCCCTCACCTTCAGTGAAGTGGGAGGGCCTCAAGAGGACCCCTTAGAGGGCCTGAGTAAGTCCCTTGGAATTTCAGGCAGGTGGGAGAGGGTGACACTCTCACTGCCCGAGGACAGGCCATAGGGCATGCAGGAGTTTCGCCTCAGGCCAGGTGGGCCTGGAAGGAGCCTACCGGGTCACTATCACAGGAACTCCATCCACAGGACCATCCTGCAGGGGGAGGGAACCTAACTGAGAGGGCAGCTGGAGGAGCGGGCCTGGAGAACCCCTGGAAAAGGGGTTCCGTCGAGGCTGAGGACGGGAGGAGCCGTGCCACTGCACCTAGAGGAGAAACAGCCCCTAGAAAGCTGGGGACAGCCAGAGAGGAGGCCAACCCTGTGCCTCCCCGGTGGATACCCTAGGCAGAACGTGGCCTTCCTGGAATAGTGTGAGGGTGGGGAGAGGTTTCACCTAGGCCTAGACCCAAGTTTAGATGACTGAACCAGACAAGATTTTAATTACTATACTGAGAATGATCTGTTTCTGATGGGAAGACTTCTATCTGAAAGCTACTAGAAAGCTATGAGGTCTCTTGGGATTTCACCCAGTGCAGAGAAAGAACCACAGGGTAGGAGATAACGACTGTGGGAGGGAAAGATGGGCTGTGCTCTTCCTGTGCGTATCTTTATGATGTTCGACATGTCCAATGTTGATTGATCACTTTACCCATTACATCCTTCCAGCAACCCCACTTTGTCACCCACTTTTTACAGATGGGGAAACCGATGCTTAAAGAAGGGTTAAGTCATCTCATGCTAGTGAGTCGCAGAGCCAGGATTCAAACTCAGTTGGTCTCACTTAAATACTCTCTACCCTTCTTTCTGAGGCAATGTGATTTGGGGTGAGGTGGGAGGGAGCAGGAAAGCAGAGTTAAGTAATTTAACTAGTATTCAGGTAAAGCACTGGTCTCCATTCTATATTTTTACTGTGATATGTATGTGTGTGTATATATATGTGATATATATGCACACATATATGTATATATATGCACACATATATATGTATATATATGCACACATATATATGTATATATATGCACACATATATATGTATATATATGCACACATATATATGTATATATATGCACACATATATATGTATATATATGCACACATATATATGTATATATATGCACACATATATATGTATATATATGCACACATATATATGTATATATATGCACACATATATATGTATATATATGCACACACATATATAAAATATGTAGGTATATTTACTTGTAAATTACATACATGTATTACGCACATTTAAAAATACGCCCCACTCCTGTAATCCCAGCACTTTGGGAGGCCGAGGTGTGTGGATCATTTGAGGTCAGGAGTTTGAGACCAGCTTGGCCAACATGGTGAGACCCTGTCTCTACTAAAAATACAAAAATTAGCCAGGCGTGGTGGCCTGCGCCTGTAATCTCAGCTACTTGGGAGGCTGAGGTAGAAGAATCGCTTGAACCCGGGAGGCAGAGGTTGCCCTGAGCCAAGATCGCACCACTGCACTCTAGCCTGGGTGACAGAGTGAGACTCCATCTCAAAAAAAAAACAAAAAAAGAAAAAAAAAGAATAAGATTAAATAGAATTTATCTGCTGGATTCACACACCCAGCATCCTCCCACACAGATGTGTTTTGGAGTGGAATTCCTTGATTGCGAAGACTACTTTGAACTTTGTCCCTAGAGTTCCCAGGCTATACAGGCTCACCTCTCTCTTCTGTTTGGGTTACTTTTGTGGGAAAGTTTGACGAGTGGGAGGCTTGAGTTGAGGAACGAAGGAAAGCTTCTTGGAGTGGAGAGGACTCAGGTGCACCTTAAGGATGCCAAGATTTTGGGTAGGCGAGAGGAAGTAGAAGAGTCATAGAGAGACTCAGAGTGGGGGACACGGGAGGCTGCGGAGTAAAGACAAACTTCTTTTACTTGGCAATATTCCCTAGGTTAGTTCTGTTTTCCTCAACTCATTAGGTGTCATGTAAAATTACTCTCCTATTTTTTTTTAAAGGAACCCTGTTCTGAGGCTATTCTTATTCTAAAAAGGGGCTGAGTAACTTTTGGGAGTCAGCCTCTGCTCCGTGATGCGACATGAGGTGTGACAAGGAAGCTGGGGACTCCAGAAGCCCCCACAGGAATCTTGATCCAGTGATGTGTACCTCACCAGAAACCAATTATACAGAGGTACGAATCTCTGCTGAGGGCAGCAGCCTTTTATTTTCTGAAATCCTACACAAAATTGTAGCTATGTACATATGTGCATTCTTCAGAGGAAAGTGTCTACCATTTTCATCAAATTTTTGA
The DNA here is from genome assembly GCF_000001405.40 of Homo sapiens. NCBI lineage: Eukaryota > Metazoa > Chordata > Mammalia > Primates > Hominidae > Homo > Homo sapiens. The sequence goes on along the minus strand of NC_000004.12, from coordinate 168,792,029 downwards.
AGAGTTCCTTGGTCCCAAAAGATAGGAATGACTGTTCAGTACTAAGTATTCATTTGAATAGTTCCTCCTTTAAAACAACTTATCTTGGGAGGGGGAAAGCAGTTTTTTTTGTTTGTTTGCTTTTTTTTAGAAGATTTTATGTTATAAAAGAAGTACTTATTTGGAGACATAAAGTGACACAAAACAGTAAGGAAATATCTAAAGTATCCTTCCCCCAACCTCCTGATCCTGTTCTCTAGAAGGCAGCTTTGTTCATAGTTTGTTGTCTAGGAGCTTAAAACAATCTTCAGAATTATTTCAATCAGATAATCAACACCAAGCTTAAAATCTATCAGGATCTGATATGGTTTGGCTGTGTCGCCACCCAAAATCGCATCTTGAATTGTAATCCCCATAATCCTTACGTGTCAAGGGAGAGACCAGGTGGAGGTAATTGAATCATGGGGCCCGTTTCCCCCATGCTGTTCTTGTGATAGTGAGTTCTCACCAGATCTGATGGCTTTATAAGTGTGTGGTAGTTCCTCCTGCGCTTTTTTCTCCCTCCTGCTGCCTTGTGAAGAAGGTACTTGCTTCCCCTTTGCCTTCCACCATGATTGTAAGTTTCCTGAGGCCTCCCCAGCCATGCAGTACTGAGTCAATTAAACCTCTTTCCTTTATAAATTACCCAGTCCTGGGCAGTTCTTTATAGCAGTGTGAAAACAGAGTAATACAGGGTCCCAGAGGGGAAACTAGAGATTGACTTATGGTGGTGGTGGAATAAAAGAGGGATCATTTTGGAGAAAGGACTATTCTGCAGAGGGACATGTGATTAGGGCATTCCATGGGGCTTTGGCCAGGCAGAGGTCACTGTGCAGAGGAGAGAAAGGTACAAGTGGATTTAGGTCAGGGCTGCAAACACACTTCCTCCTGGGCCCTAGTGGGGAGTGGGTGTAGACTGCTTTGGGCATCATTCCTGTGGTCTTGGATGCCAGCTGTTGGTGTCAAATGATAGGTCTGATGCCTGTTATAACATAGGGATATGGAATAAGAATATACAAAGTCTATATGAAGACTATGGCAAAACTTTATTGAAGGGGTTAGAATTAATGGAGAGAGAGTCATTTTCATGGGTGGTAAGAGTCAGTGATCTAAAGATGTCAAATCTCCACAAAATCAAATTTTAATTTTAAATCAATCTCAAAATCACAATGGAATACTTTTCTGAAATTAACATATATATGCAAAAGTTTATCTGATAATAAACAGTAATAAAAGAGAGGAATACTCAGTGTGTGTGTATGCATGCTAGTATCTCTGCTAGCAGATGCTGACAGATTTTAAAGGTACAATAATTAAAACAGCATGACACTGGCTAAAGTGAAGACATAGAGGACAACAGCATAGAACAGAACATCAGAAAGAGCCATAAGCATGAATAATTTCGAGAATGATAAAGGTGCCATTTCAAATCAGTGAGAAAGCATAGATTGGTCAATGAACTGCAGGGAAAAATAAATTTCAATCTGTACCTCATGTTAGATGACAATATAAATTCCAGATGGTTTAAATTCTAACATTAAAAAAAAAAAGATGCCAGGCATGGTGGCTCAGGCCTGTAATCCCAGCACTTTGGGAGACTGAGGTGGGCAGATCATGAGGTCAGGAGTTTGAAACCAGCCTGGACAATATGGTGAAATCCCATCTCTACTAAAGGTACAAAAATTAGCCAGGCATGGTGGCACATGCCTGTAGTCCCAGGTACTGGGGAGGCTGAGGCAGGAGAATGGCTTGAACCCGGGAGGTGGTGGTTGCAGTGAGCTGAGATTACGCCATTGCATTCCAGCCTGGGTGACAGAGCAAGACTCTGCCTCAAGAAAAAAAAAAAAAAAAAAGAAACCACAAAATCTCAGTTTAGAGCAGAAGTAGGATTTGGAGACATTCACGTTGCCAGGCCTCCTGCTGCCCTACACAAAACCGGAGAGAGGCAGGCCAGAGAGGCAGGTCCAGAATTTTGCAAAATTCTGGTCTTACACTTAGGCAAAAGTCTTGTTTTTACACAACTTAAAAGGAAGATACCGTTTAAATTTGCATATTTCAAAAATTATGCCTTCTCAAGGACAGTGTTTTGATTTTTCACGGTGTTAAGTTAAAAATAAAAGAAAAATCCCCTACCAGATTAGATTATACTTTTTCCTTAAAGAGAGAGGAAATTGTCTGACTGCAGGGTAAGTACACTCTGCTAGTGAGTTAAATTATGATATATGAATACTTTAAACCTGAAATGAAAATACGAAAGTGTTTGTGTTCAAGTTATCAGCATTACTTCCTACTTTTTTTTTTTTTTTTTTGAGACGGAGTCTCGCTCTGTTGCCAGGCTGGAATGCAGTGGCACGATCTCGGCTCACTGCAACCTCTGCCTCCTGGTTCAAGCGATTCTCCTGCCTCAGCCTCCCAAGTAGCTGGGACTACAGGCACATGCCACCACGCCCAGCTAATTTTTGTATTTTTAGTAAAGATGGGGTTTCACCATCTTGGCCAGGATGGTCTCAATCTCTTGACCTTGTGATCCGCCTGCCTCGGCCTCCCAAAGTGCTGGGATTACAGGCGTGAGCCACTGCACCCGGCCCTAAATGTCTTTTCTATATACTGCATTAGAACCTAGGAAAATTATACACTTGCAAAAATTACAGAAGTAATAAATGTATTTTAAAACAAATCAAATACACTGGTTAACATTTTCTTCATATTTTTCCTCCTGCCCCAACTCTTCCCATTGCACAGTAGCATGCATTGATCTGAGCTCTCCTCTTAAAGATGGTATAATGTTCTAGTTAGAGCCAAAATTTACAGAAATGCTCACCAACACTAAAAGACATGAATGAGAGTGTCAAAAATGAAATTTTAACAAAAGAATCAAGATACGAAAGAGTATGTATGTCATGATTCCTCTTATATAAAGTTCCAAACCAGGAAAACTAAATTATATTGCTTTAGAAATGTACACATAGATCATACAATTATAAAGAAAAGAAATTTTATCACGAAAGTCAGGATTCTGGTTTACCTCTCAAGGTGCGGAGAGTTGCAAAAAGGAAGAAGTATATGAAGTTGGGGTGGCAAGGTTCTATTCTTTTGATCTGGGTGGTAGTATATGTATTAATCATGCTTTACTCATTCATTTATTGCCATTAATTTTAAAATAGATTTTTTAATTCATTTATTTTTAAATTCATTTATTGTCATTAATTTTAAAATTTTAGTTTTAAGAAGAGTTTTAGGTTCACAGCAATATGAGCTAAAGGTACAGAGATTCCCCATGTATTCCCCGTCCCTACCCATGCCCAGCATCCCCCATTACCAACATCTCTCACCAGAGTGGTACGCTGGCTAGAACTGATGACCCTCATGACACATGATTATCACCCAAAGTCCACAGTTTACACCAGCGTTCACTCTTGGTGTTGTACATTGTATGGATATTGACGAATGGATCGTGACAGGGATCCCCCATCACAGTACCACACAGAACGATTTCACTGCCCTAAAAATCCTCTGTGCTCTCCCTATTCATCTCCTGCTCCCCTCAACTCCTGGCAACCACTGATCCTTTTACTGACTCTATAGTTTTGCCTTTTCCAGAATGTCATATGGTTAGAATTATACAGCATGCAGCTTTTCCAGATTGGCTTCACATTAAAAATATATATATAATTTCTACTTGAAAATTAATGCTGCCTCTAAACACAAAGAAAGTAGAATAATAACCAGTCATTATGTATTTTCCTTTTCTACACATTTTTCTAAGGAAAGATCCAGTTCAAAGTACTTGTAAGGAACTTTGGAAAATTCCTGGGTTGTGATTTAGTACTTAGGTTGCTACTCAAATGCAAATTAGGAATGAGATCATTTCACCTTCTATCTATGGGAGTGAGCAATATTTCTTGTTAAAAATCACTGAGATTTTTGGAATCGCATGCTACACAGCAAAACCCAGTGGAACTTGACTACGTAACAAAGATGCCAGATTAGTTACAGTTTAACAACTTAACGCCAATGACCATGTTTACAGCGAAGTTATACAGACTTTTTTCCTGCTGTTGCAAACCTGAAATCTCATTTACAACCATTTCAAATTAATATTTAACCAAATTTATATAAACATACATAAGTGTGTAATGTTGGCCCTTTGATGCCTGCTCTCTCGAGCCGGTGCTGACAAATAATGAAATTCTGAAAAGCTTATTGCTTCGAGAGCTAGGAGCAAGAGCTTAGGGAAAGGAGGAATAAAAGAAAGTAGTTGACTATCAGCAAACTTCTGAATTCTTAAGCAATGAAGAGAAAAAATGTGAAAAGTGCCTTTTTATACACAAGTGTTCTCAGCAATTAGGTTTAGACCAGCATTGTCCAAGAGAACTTTCTGTGATGACATAAATGTCCTATATCTCTACTGTTCAGTATGACAGCCACTGGCCACATCTGGGTATTCAGCAATTGAAGTGTGGCTACAGTTATAGAGAAACTGAATTTTTACTTAAATTTAAATAGCCACATGTGGTTAGTGGCTACTGTGCTGACAGCACAGGTTTAGATAGTCTTACCAATGCAGTACCATCACCCTTCTAGAAAAAATGCTCAATTGTAAGAAAACTTCAATACTACTTCCAGATAAACCGCACTTATTATAAATCAAGATTGTAAGTAGTTTCCCTTGATCTCTTGTGCTCAGAGGAGGCACACACATAATATGACTGAAAAGAGAAAACTTGAACAATGAAAAATACTCTAATAATTTAATCTTAGGATTCCTGATTACCTGGCTGATGGGCAGGTTCTTAATAAATACTTGTGGAAAAAATAGGTAAATAAGTTCACGAATGAATTAGCAGACATCTTTCACTCCCTGACTTGGGAAAAGAAAACCTTCCTGGCAAGGTGTAAACATTTCTTTGAAATTTAGAGCCATTATCTCCCATGTTTTAAAAATGAGTTTCATGAATATACATAATAGCTGGACAGATGGATAGAAGGTAAGTTAGCTAGCTAGCTAGCTAGATGGATAGATAATAAGTTTGATATATAGACCTTGTTATAAGATTGTCAAGTGTTAACCTCCCATTGGGATGTTTCCATCTTGCTTTGGGACCCTATGAAGGTTGCAAACCACAGCTTTTCATGTTCTTATAACCCCCAAGTTGTTCTCAAATTTTGTATAACAATTTTAATTAATAACAGTGTTATAATTTTCTATCCAGTTTTTTTCTTTGTTGCTGACAGTATATGTGTGTGCATATAATATTCTGAAATTAAAATTCAATTGTACTTCATAGTATATTTACTGCTTTTTAAATGTTCCAATATTCATAAACATATATGTATTTTTTGAGACAGGGTCTCGCTCTGTTGCCCAAGCTAGAATGCAGTGGCTCAATCATGGCTCACTGCAGCCTCGACCTCCTGCACTCAAACTATCCTCCCACCTCAGCCTCCTGACCACAGGTGTGAACCACCATGCCTGGATAATTTTTTTAAAAAGTTATTTTGTAGAGACAGGGTTTTCCTGTGTTGTCCAGGCTGGTCTCAAACTCCTGGGCTCAAGCGATCTTCTGGCCTAGGCCTCTCAAAGTGCTAGGATTACAGGTATGGGCTACCATACCTGACAGGTAAACATATTTCTATGCCAATAAGTATACTTCTATGAAAATAGTATACTTCTTTTTTTTCTTTGAGACGGAGTCTCACTCTGTTGCCAGGCTGGAGTGCAGTGGTGCGATCTCGGCTCACTGCAACTTCTACCTCCCGGGTTCAAGCGATTCTCCTGCCTTAGCCTCCCAAATACCTGGGACTACAGGCACACACCACCACGCCCAGCTAATTTTTGTATTTTTAGTAGAGACGGGGTTTCACCATGTTGGCCAGGCTGGTCTCAATCTCTTGACCACATGATCCGCCCTCCTCGGCCTCTCAAAGTGTTGGGATTACAGGCATGAGCCACTGCGCCCGGCCGACAGTAGTATACTTCTATCATACTATTTGAATCATTTTTATTGGTCACACTGTATTCCATTGCCCAAAATATTAATGTGAATCACAAGCCTATCTCTCTCCCTCTATGCATTTTTCTGTGGCTTTCTGATGCTAATTCAGCAACTTTCTTCAAGTTGGGCTTAAAATGCTATATATATATATATATATATATATATATATCTCTACAGTTTATTAGAACTGACTCTGTCCCCTCTCCCTTTATTTTAAAGCCAGCTAGGCCTCCCTGTTATGTCACTGTCTTCCTTTGAGATGACTGGACTTTAAATTTGAGGCTGAAATTGTTAACTGGGTCTCCTCTCAACCAGTAACGGGGTAAGTACGCCAAACCCAGACAGCAGCTGTCAGATCTTCCCAAACCCAAGGTGGGGTTTGCAAATGAGGAAGGACAATTAAGCTTATATAGAACTTTCAGAAGACTGCAGAATTGCCCAGGAGTTACTGCTTCCCAGAATATGGGGAAACTCTGGATCAAAGGGTAAATGTTCAAATGTTTCACTATAGTTCCGAGTGCATTGTTTTGGTTTAACTCTGAAAGTCTTTGAGTTCATCAGCATGAAAAATGAATTTCCACTGGATTTATTCAGTAATCCAAATTTGTATTTGTAGAGAAGATAAGGGTTGGGTGATGCACAGCATGTTCTAGCCGAGTGAACTTGGAACCAGTAGAGGAGGCAGGAACAAGGACTGTGATTCACTTTCGGATGTCGAACAAACAGCGAAGCTCCTTAAACTCCGCATTCACACACATAGCTAGCATCCGAGAGCGCACAGTGCTCCCCTTGTTAAAATGGAATCCCACTGGCTAGCTAATTGATTCACAAGTCTGCTAACTAATTCCATACTAACAGCTTAAATTAAAAGTTAATGAAACACAGCCAGGGCCCCATTGTATTTCCCTTGTAACAACCCTTTCATTACAAAAAAAAAAAAAAAAAAAAAAAAAAAAAGCAAAAGGGAGAAAAAAGCTGGGGCTTCATTAAAAGGAAAATGTCTGGGACACCACCCTGGGCTGGAATGTACCCACAACCAGAAGCATTCCTCAGACCAGCCTCTTTGCCAAGTCTCACGGAAGCCACTGCTCCGACAGGAAAGAAATCCCCACAGGTATCCCATGACCAGACTGACCAGAGCTCATAAGGCGGCATTGTTTGTGGCTCTGCAGAGTCTGCTCAAGATGGGAAAATCTGTTCTCATGGACTACTGTGCACTTAACAACTTCACGCTCTTCCTGCTATGAAACTCACATTTGACTTACATTCCCAAGTAAGAGGAGGTAGAGAATCTCTGTATCCACTTTTCCGCCTACCCCAAACTTGGGTTGACAGCAGCAGTTTGTCTCTTCCAAATCAATGAAGGTGTGAGCAATGTTCAAGACTCAATGCCCTGCTCTTTCTCCCGCCCGCTTCCCTTGTCTCAACATGTTTGTGGTCTCTTCTGTGCTCATGGTTCCCAAGTGTCCATCTCTAGCCCCAACTCAAGCCGCCCTCTGCCTTCAGGCTGTCTCCACTTGGGCACCAGTACCTCCAATACAACATGTGCAAAAGCATTCCTCAGCTTTTCCCACAAAATAATTCTCCCACGTGGCTTCCTCACTCCTGCAGTGGCACTGTGTGCTGGAACTGGAGTTACCTTTCTCTTTTCTTTTCTTTTCTTTCTCTCTCTCTCTCTTTTTTTTTTCAGGGTCTTGCTCTGTTTCCCAGGCTGAAGTGCAGTGGCACAATCACAGCTTACTGCAGCCTTGAATTCCTGGGCTCAAGCAATCCTCCTGCCTCATTCTCCCAAGCGGCTGGGACCACTTTTACATTTTTTCTCTTCATTGGTTAAGAATTCAGATGTCTGTTGGTAGCCAACTACCTCCTCTTATTCCTCCTTTCCCTAAGCTCTTGCTCCTAGCTCTCAGACCAAAATTTTTTTTAATATTCTGTAGAGATGGGGTCTCATTATTGTTGGCCAGGCTGGTCTCGAACTCCTGGCCTCAAGTTATCCTCCTGCCTTGGCCTCTCAGAGTGCTAGGATTATAGACGTGAACCACAGTGCCTGGCCTCAGGAGTTACCTTTTACATTCCTCACTTACTGATCACTCATTTGGGATCAGGGGACAATTATGAAAGCCTAGTTGGGAGTTTGGCTATTGTCCTGAAGGTAGTGGACACTACAGGTCCCTCACTATACAGCTACATCATCAAAGTGTTTTTGGAAAATTATTCTTGTCCTCAACCTGACTCCATCTTACCATATCTTATCAACCAATCCCCACCTCTACCTCCAGCATTTATTTGTTTGACAAATACTTATATATTCTTTGTCAGGAACAACTCCAGGAATTTTACAAATATTAACTTTCTAAATTTTCATGACAGCCCTACGAGGAAGCTACTGTTACTCTCCGTATCTTATGGATGAAGGTGAAGAGGCACAGCCAGCATGATCATCTTGCCCTGGCTAGCCTAGTTACCTGCTTTCTTTTAACTATTCGTTTTCTCTGATTGTATAATCTTTGTTCATGCTCCTCCTGGTCTCATCACCTCTCCCCTAGATGCTCTCCTGTCTCTCCCGTCTTTAGAAATATGCGCTGGCCCTCAGGACTCATCTAGATCCACCCCTCCTCCTGAAGACCAAACTGTCCCAGTGCACATGGGTCTCTCTGTATTATGCTTATTTTACTGCTTTGCAATATTATTGCTTAGCTCTCTTATACTATGAGCTCCTGGAGATCAGAGGCTGCCAGGAGTTTTAAAATCTTCCTTTAATACTGAGTAATAAGAACATAACTGGTACTCAGCAATAAATATTTAACTAAATCAAAATAATAAATATTGCCATTATCCATTAAAAAGGAGGAAGTCACTTAAAGGTATCTTTTGCTTTCTGCAGCTACCATGAATATATGGTTTTATCTGTTCAACAGAAACAGTACTATACACACACACACACACACACACACACACACACACACACATATATATATAAAATTTGTGAGTAGAAATGCTGTTTTCTTTAGACTAGGGGTTGGCAAACTATGGTCCATAGTCCAAATCTGGCCCACTGCTTGCTTTTGTAAAAAAAGTTTTTTTTTGTTGTTTTTTATTTTAAGGCAGAGTCTCACTCTGTCGCCCAGGCTGGAGTGCAGTGGTGCGATCTCGGCTCACTGCAACCTCCACCTCCCAGGTTCAAGCGATTCTCATGCCTCAGCCTCCCAAAGCACTAGGATTACAGGCATACATCATCATGCCAAGCTAATTTTTTTATTTTTTTTTTTAGTAAAGACAGGATTTCACCATGTTGGCTACGCTGGTCTCGAACTCCTGACCTCAAGTGATCCACCTGCCTTGGCCTCCCAAGTGCTGGGATTACAGTCATGAGCCACCGTGACCGGCCTGTAAATAAAGTTTTATTGGCACAAAGCCATGACCATTCTTGTATGCATTGTCTATTGCTGCTTCACACAACAAGGACTATGTAAAATACCTATTATAGAGTCCATATGGCCTTCTAAGCCTAAAATATTTATTTGGTTTTTTGTTTTTAGAAAAATTTGCTCATCTCTGGTTTAGACAAAAAGTAAACAAAACATGTAAATAGGAAACATTCTGTTCATTGTTTTTATATTTAGCTTAAACTTACTTTTCTCTACTAATTTTCTAGACACTATCTGCCTATTTTAAAAATTAAGCATCTACCTATGGTTTGGGATCAAAATTAAACATATAATTCGCTCTACATCAACAGCACAGTTGCAAGCACACTCAAAAAGAGTTGGCTAACAGAGGGTGCACTGAAAAGTTTCTTTTCGTGAAGTTCTGTTGCGCCTCAGTGTTCCACAGCAGTCAGCATCTTTGAATGTGTCACACGGTTGTACTATAATATTCAGTTTCAGGCATTGGTAGCAGTCTGGTCAAGTTTGCTTGTGGTTACCCAGATTTTCCATGCCAGTGGAGGCAAGAAGAGACATGGCTAGTAACATCAGATAATCCCTAAGCAAACCAGGCATGAATCTGGTTGGGGAAGGCAGGTAGAGACAGCATTTAGCTCTGATGGGTGCCAGGGTAGTTTGTTTTTTTTTTCTTTTATCAAAACAATGATAGGAAGAGAGGGCCTTCTCACTATGCCCAAGCAATAAGGCAAAATCAGTCAGTGGGTACATTACTTTTTCATCACATCTTTTCAATATAATGATGGCATGACTTTTAGCTTGTACTTGAACTTGTTTGGTCCAGTCTTGTTCCGGGCTTCTGTGAGCTGTGTTCTGAATTGCCTGTCTTGTCCCTCATTTCTATATTCCTCTCCTGGTATCCTACCTTGTAACCAGCCCTACTAAAGTGGTATGATCTTAATAATCCTTAAGAGTTCTGACCTACAGCCCAGCGCCTGCATCACTGTGGTCTGCTGACAGTTTTCCTCAATGCTGACAGCCTGTTCACCTCCCTCAAATCTCCAAACAGCATTTGCTCCGAGGCTTCCTGTCATCATGTCACTGCAACATGCTGTGCTGCGACAGGCTTCCCGGCCTCTGCCCCTGGCCATACACCATGTCATAGTTATCCCCTCCACCACACCAGCCATGCTGAGCAACTGTGCTCTATGTGCCAGTGCTCAAGGTGGTTCTCCAGCTGCTGGCTCCTGGTTTGCCCTTTTCCATTGCAATTAACTAGGCTCTGCCCACTTCTGACTTGAAACTGGCCAAAATGCAGGGAAGGAAGATACCCCCAAAACCTCAGTAAATCTTCTCAAACATCATCCTGTTCAACAGTCACAAACCTGGTGTATACATAGCCAAAGTCCAGTAATTCTCCTAATTTTGATTCCATGCTGGTGTTATTAAAGGCCCTGAGGATAAACTTACTACTCAAAAGTCAAATCCAACAGCTTTGTCATCACAAAAATTGAAAGAAAGAAAGCCAACAAGTATCTGTGGCTCTTTTTTTCAGGGAAGTATTCTGTTGGCATTTAAAAAAATGTTCATTTTGAATGGTTTCAAATGTCGACTCCTATCTATGGCTCTTTTGAAAACTACACATGGCCGGGTGCAGTGGCTCATGCCTGTAATTCCAGCACTTTGGGAGGCTGAAGTGGGCAGATCACCTAAGGTCAAGAGTTCAAGACCAGCCTGGCCAACATAGCGAAACCCCGTCTCTACTAAAATTACAAAAATTAGCCAGGTGTGGTGGCAGGTGCCTGCAGTCCCAGCTACTCGGGAGGCTGAGGCAGGAGAATCGCTAGAACCTGGGAGGCAGAGGCTGCAGTGAGCCGAGATTGTGCCACTGCACTCCAGCCTGGGTGACAGAGTGAGACTCTGTCTCCAAAAACAAACAACAACAACAAAAAAACCAAAACTACACATGCGGGCACATGCACATTAAATATATAATATTTGACATTACACTGCAACAGTGTCTGCCATGGCCACCCCTTTCATAACAACTGGCTACAGAAAAGGAAAAGGATGAGGCAGGATAAGAGAGAATACTGGATAATCTTGTGTGAAGAGAAAATGTTAGAGCAATTACACAGGGCACCTATAGTATGAGCAATGCAAATCTTAGTAAGAAACAGCAAAATATCTAGCCTCTCATTTTTCATAAAGCTAGGTGAGACTAAGAAAGCTGGATTAAAATCTTCAGAGAGCAATGCTGCATTAGTCAGGGACTGCATCTTATTGCCAAGGGGCAGCTGTGTGTGCCATGGGAAAAAAGGTTGGTAGGAAATAGATCTGCTCTGTGCATGCCCTGCCTAAGGGAAAAGAGGGGAAAATAGGATTTTGGCACAGAGAGTGCTAACAAAACCATATTAAGAATGTAACGTAGTGAGACCAGGTGCGGTGGCCCACGCCTATAATCCCAGCACTTTGGGAGGCCAAGGTGGGCGAATCACTTGAGGTCAGGAGTTCGAGACCAGCCTGGCTAACATGGTGAAACCCCATCTCTACCAAAAATACCAAAATTAGTCGGGCATGGTGGCACACACCTGTAATCCCAGCTACTCGGGAGGCTGAGGCAGGAGAATCGCTTGAACCCCGGTGGTGGAGGTTGCAGTGAGCTGAGATCACGCCACTGCAGTGCAACAGAGTGAGACCTTCTCTCAAAAAGAAAAAAAAAAAAAGAATGTATAGTAGATTAGAAATGAAGAAAAAGAGGCACAGCAAAAGTAAGCCCAAAGTAAAGAACAGTAGAAAGAATTTGAAGGGAAAGTGACAAAGATATTAAATGAGGAACGAATCTACTCAGAGTCAAATGATTAAATTTAGAATGTTACAGGGAATTATTTGGAGTCAAGTAATTAATTAAAAATGTTATAGCAACTTTTATATAATTGTAGTCTCCCCTAAGTGGGTAGAAAATACAAAAATATGACAGAGTATAAAGAGTTTTACCTTGTGGTGCATTAAAAGCCAAATAAGTCACAGAATCTAAAAATGTATGTTCATGACTATCTTAGAATTTATAAATTAGATGCAAGGGTGTGCACATGTGTGTGTGTATATATATGATATTTTATATATATATGATTTTTTATATATATATGATGTTCACATGAAGTTTATATGTCTAAGCTTTAAAACTACACAATATTTCATTATCAAAATAAAACATAGGAATGTTTTCTCCCCAGCATCCTTATGTTGGAGAGTTTCAAATGAACAGTTCCTGAAGAACAAAGGAGTAATTTCATGTTTCTAATACATTACAGAATGTAGAAAGAATAAGAAACAAAATTGCAAAAAGAATCTTTAATTTCCATATAGTAAGAGAAGAAGCACTGATGCTTTTTAAAGTAAAAATGTAATTAGTAATGTTGAGTAAGGAGTACATTAACAAATGTATGCCTCCTTATAGATCAACCAACATAGAATCAATAACCAGTGGGTAACTTAGGAAGTGAAGATATATTCTGATGTCTAGTTAACTGTCTTAGATCAATGAAATCATCATATAATCCCCATTTTTCATGCAGAATCATGTCACGATTTCATAAGCATCATAACATTAATGACTGAAAAATTCAATGTCAATGTATTCTTAGCAAGTGTTTAGAGCAGGACCTCTTTGGCGGAGGACGGTGGCTCATGCCTATAATCCCGAAGCACTGGAAGGCTACAGCAAGAGGACTGCTTGAGGCCAGGAGTTTGAGACCAGCCTGGGTGACATAGTGAGACTCTGCCTGTACAAAAATTAAATAAACAAATAAAAAGAGCAAGACTGCTTGGGTTCAAATGCTGGCTCTTCCCTTTACTAGTTGTGTGACCTTGGACAAGGTGCTCAGTCTCTCTGGATTCAGTTTTCTTTGTAAAATATAGATAGTAATGACAGTTTCCTTACGCAAGTAAGGCATAAATGAGCTTAAATTTTTGAGGTATTTAGCACGGTGCTTGGTACATAATCAGTACCATGTAAAGGTTTGTTATGTAAATATTTATTAAGTATCTACTATGTGCTAGACACCCTAAATCTGATCATGACCAAAGCCAGCTTTGCCCTAAAGGGATTCAGCAAGGAAATCACAGTTACGCGCCATAGTACGACACACAAGCAAAGATGCAAGCTTAAGCCTCTACTTTATTAAAATTTATATTCTAAGTCCCATACATGAGTCAAATACATTGAATATAGTGATTATACAAGGTGTTTCATCTATCTGTCTTAAACCACAAGTATTATTAACAATTTGGATCAATTCCTTAGAGATTCAGATGTTCTTCTGGAGATGATTGATTGGGTGATGCATATCTGCTCAAAAGTGTCCATCCTCCCACTGTCTCCCAGTAAGCTAGAAACAAAAAGATCCTACTAAAAACATTCTGCTTTTTCTTTTTCAAAAGTTGAGGCTGGAATATTTGAAGACTTCTCTAGAAAAAAAAATTCAGGAAAGAAAAGAGGAAGGAAAAGCTGTCCTGCCTTTGGTTCTCCTACCCCTTTTTTCCTTTTCCTTGTTCATCCTTCACTGTGCTCTCCCACAAACACAAAGTTCACAAAGTTCATCCAAGACGAAGAAAAGTGGATCCAAAACATAATCTGAGGTTGAGGTGAGTCTGGTGCCCCCTCTGGGTTCTTCAGGACTGATTATAAAATAGCCTGAGATTACTTACACTGTTGGCAGAGGCAGCTGGCTCCCTGAATTACAGTGCAGGACTGGTGATGAGACCCAAGAAGTGAGTGCTCATTAGGCAGCATTGAATGAAGGGGGTGGGGAGAGTCCCACGCATGTAAAGTGCCATTGTCTGTACCAACCTAAGGCCTGAATATGGGTTGAGGCATTGTTCTCCAAGGAAGTAAGTTACTGCTAAACGGGGCTGGGAGGAGGAAGTATTTTCTGGATATATCAGGAAGAGGGAAAAACAAAACAAAACAAACCAGTATGCTCTCAGATGAACAGCCTCTCTAGTCTAGCCTTGGTGTTCTTATCTGTTAGTTGGGTATTGTGGCCTTGGGTTGCCACAGTCCCTGCTGCTACTGATATTCTGAGTCTATGTGTAAAACCCATGGGAACATGCTGGGCTTGTTTCCTTCTTATCTCCTTGTTTTTGCTTTCCATTTTCTCTTATCATGCAGGTGTCTGATAATCACTTCCTAAACCCCGTCTCCCCCATCACATTTATCTTGGGGCAGTGATTCTATTTCAGTCTAAGGCGGCAGGAAGTCCTGTGTCAAGACTGGACAATGGAGCAATGATGGGATAAAGCAGTATTAACAGCATTCTTCCAAGCCATAACTGCAGCAGTGCTTACTGCTTCTCCTCCGTATCCCTCTTTCCCAGTTTTCACTGAGACTCACTGAGTAGGCTTAGTCTCCTGTTAGCTCTACTCAGGAAGGTTGAAAAGTCCTGTGGCCTGTCTCTCCTAGTTTTCCTAATAAACTTCAGTCAGGACCTCACCATGTAAGACTGTGGGGCGTGTGTGTGTGTGTGTATATGTGTGTGCCTCTGTGTGTGTGTATTCCCATCCTTGATTTTTCAATGACCCTCAGCCAAAGTCATACAAAATTTAAAATGGAAGAAAAGGTTGTTATTTGGTCATTAAGTAAACTGTAGCTACCGTAGCTAGAGCTTAGTGCAGAGACTAAATATAACAAGCCAGATTGGGATCCCAAATTATCAAGTGTACTGGGAATATTTAACACATAAAAAAACTAAATATGATTTCAGTAAATCAAATACAACAATAAAGGTAATTACATCATGATGAAATGGGGCTTATCTCAAGACTGTAGAGGTGGTTTAACATTTGAAAATCAACAGATATAATTTTGGAAAACTGTATGATCATCTCAATAGAGGCAGAAAAGCATTTAACAAAAATCCAACATCCTGATAAAAAATTCTAAGTGAACTAGGAATAGAAGGAAACTGCCTTAATCTAATAAAGGGCATCTCTGAAGAACCACAGCTAACATCATACTTAATAGTAAAAGGGTGCATGCTTTCTCCCTAATATAAGGAACAAGGCAAGGATCTGCTCTCACCACTTGATTCAACATTTTACTGAAGGCTTTGGCCATTGCAATATGGCAAGAAAAATAAATAGCAGGCATCTAGTTTGGAAAGGAGGAAGCAAAGCTGTCTGTATTTGCAAACAACACTATTATGTAGAAATCCAATGGAATCTATAAAAATGCTACTAGAATAAGTTTGGTAAGGTTGCAGATTATAGAATCAATAATATAGAAGTCAACTGTATTTCTACATACTAGGAATAAATAATCAGAAATGAAATTTAAGAACTCACAAGAGCATAAGAACATAAAATAGGAATAAATCTAACAAAAGATGTACAAGACCTGTTACACTGAAAACTCATAGCTGGGAGAAATTCAAGAAGACCTAAGTAAATGGAGAGATATACTTTGTTCATGAGACATGAGATGCAATGTTTTTGAGATGTCAACGTTCCTCAAATTGATCTATAAGTTCAAAATAACCTTGATTCAAATTCCCAGCAAGCTTTTTGGTAAAAATTGACAAGCTGATTCAAAAATCTATAGAGAAATGCAAAGGACCAAGAGTAGCCAAAACAACTTTCTATTTAGATTGAACAAAGGTGAGAGGCTAACATCATCTGATTTTAAGATGTACTGTAAAGCTACAGTACTCAAAACAGTACAGTGCTGGCATAAAGACAAACAGACTAATTGAACAGAATAGAGTCCAGAAACAGACTCACACATACATGGACAACCAATTTTGACAAAGTTACAAAGGCAATCTAGTGGAGGAAAAGACAGTCTTTTCAACAAATGGTGCTGGAACAATCAAATGCATATGCAAACAAATAAAAAAGAGCTTCAATTCATACCTCATATCATATAAAAAATTGACTTAAAATAGATCATAGGTCTAAACATATAACATAAACTATAATATGTGTGCCTGGAAGAAAACATAGCAGAAAATCTTTGTGAGCTTGGATTAGGCAAGAATTTCTTTAATAAGATATCAAAGCATGATACATAGAAGTTGATAAATTTGACTTCATCAAAATTAAAAACTGCTCCATCACTATGAAGGAAATTTTTAAAAAATCCACAGAGTAGGAGAAAATATTTGCAAAGCACATGTCTGATAAAGAACTTGTATCTAGAATATATAAATACTATAATAAGAAACTTGATAATAAGAAAACAAGCAATCCAATTAAACAATGGGCAACAGATTTAAGCAAACACTTCACCAAGGTAGATATACAGATGGCAAATAAACACATGAAAAGATGCTCAAATCATCAGTCATTAGGGAAGTGCAAATTAAAACCACGATGAAATTCTACTACACACCTGTTAAAGTGGCTAAAATTAAGAAAAACTAATGATACCATGTGCAGACTAGGATGTGGAGAAACTGGAACTCTCATACAATCATGGTGGAAAGGTAAAACGATATAACCATTTTGGAAAAAAGCCCAATAGTAAAAAATTGAAAATGATGTAAATATCAACAACTGAATGAATGAATAAATTGTGATATATATGCTCTATAAGCATAGATATCATATTTATGTACAAAAAATACTCTTTAGCAATAAAAAGGAATGAGGTATTATACATATAACAAGACATGGATGAATTTTAAAGTAATTCTGCTGAGTGGAAGAAATCAAACAAAAAGAGTATATACGGAAAGATTCCATTTATATAAAACCTTAGAAAATGAAGACAAATATATAGTGACAGAAAACAGATCAGCGGTTACCAGGAGGGAGCAGGTGGCAGGAGGAAGGGATTATAATGGGGTAGGAAGAAATTTTTGAGGATGATGGATGTATTTGCTATCTTTTTTTTTTTTTTTTTTTGAGATGCAGTCTTGCTCTGTTTCCCAGGCTGGAGTGCAGTGGCATGATCTCGGCTCACTGCAACCTCCACCTCCCAGGTTCACGCAATTCTCATGCCTTAGTGCCTCAAGTAGCTGGGACTACAGGTGTGCACCGCCACACTCGGCTAATTTTTGTATTTTCGGTAGAGACAGGGTTTCACCATGTTGGCCAGGCTGGTCTCAAACTCCTGACCTCCAGTGATCCGCCTGCCTTGGCCTCCCAAAGTGCTGGGATTACACGCATGAGCCACCGCACTCAGCCAGTATTTGCTATCTTAATTGTGATAATGCTTCCAAGGGCATGTACATATGTCAAAACTTATTACATTGCATACGTTAAATATGTGCTCTTTCTTATATATAGCAATTATACCTCAAAAATGTTAAAAATTATCTGCAATGAAAAAAATCCACAAGGATGTAAGTACTATAAGTTAATACAATGCTGACTTTGAAGGTGGCAGGGGCTGTGACTGGCTTGGGTCACATGGCTTCTGAGGCAAGTACAAGGAGAAAGTTCTATTTCTTTCATTCATTATATATACAAATTATATAATGAATTGTTTTACGCAGTTTTCTGAATCTGTTTTATTTTACACAGGATATATATATTTTTTTTAATCGCAAAAAAAAAAAAAGAGAGAGAAAACAGTGGCTTGAGAGGAGGGGACACATAAAATGTGACTCAGCTTATGATAGGCACATTTCCAACTCTTATTCCCAGGGCTATACAATACGGAGGAAAAGGAAACTGAAATAATACATGGTTAAATTGAAAATGAAGTTAAATAGACTTGTTAAATGGCTGGAGCATTTAATGAACATTTCCTCAGTGTTGGAGGGGAAGCTAACTAAATGCTATCTGAAGTTGGGTGTGTACCCGTGACCTTTCGGATTTGAGGGAGAGAACAGGCGGCGAGGTGGGTGGGGAGGCCGGGTGGGGCTCAGCAGATGCCATTGTCGCCAAGGAACAGACATTAATAAGAAAAGGCAAGTGACGAAAAATCAGCAGGTCTTGGCATATCCTAGATGAAATTCACAGCGGGGCAGTACACGATGATGGCTGAGTGCAGAGGCTCTGGAGCTGGGGTTATATTTTTATTCTACCACTTAGACCAGTAACTTGTCTGTTGTCTGCCTCACTTTTCTCACCTGTGAAGTGGTGGCAGTGATGAAAATGCTGAGAGAGCTGTGAGATCACACCTGAACAGCACTTAGCAATCAGGCCTGACACTCAGTGGGTTATTTTTATCCCTGAATTTCTAAACTTATAAACTTTAAATCTTCATGATTAAATAAAGGAGCATGGTTTTAAAAAGACCTGCTTGTAGTCCAGACTATTTCTAGGGCTTGCCACGAAGAAAACCTGGTGGAAGCTCCTGCCGGAAATCTGTTCAGAGTGTGTTTCCATTTTGGACTTCTTCAGACACCAGGATTTTGATAGATAAGGGCAGGCTCGGGGGTTCAGATCACACATGGCTTTACAGTTATTCACTTTAAGACAACAATTTAATTTCACTGTTATTGTTATATTCTAAACAATATAATTTCAAACAGGTACCTGGAGTCCAAAAAATACTAATTTTACTTGTTACTATCATGTTCTAAAATCCTCTCCTACTCTAAACTCTTGAGAGAATGTCATAGGCGGAAAGAGACAAGCCAGCATGGAGCCATCAGAGATGCCTCATTTTGAAACAATGACTGTTAAGGAATAATGTAAACCCATTAAACGTCCAGCCAGTGACCCACTCCATGCCCAAGAGAGCAAGCATGAGCAGCCGTCTTTCTGAAGAGGCTCACCATCCTTCCCTCTTTCCCTCTTTCTCTTTTCATTCCTCGCTCACTCCTTCCTTCCCTTTCTTTTTTCTTCCTTTCTTTTTTTGGCATGGGACTTACTGATCTTTGCAGTAATACTTTTATTCATTCATTCAGTATATTTATTGAGCACCCACTAGTGCTGAGCCCTGGAAATACAGAGATGAATGGGATGCGTGTTTTTTTGCTTTCAAGAAGCTGGCCTCCACTACAGTGTCAGGCACATTTATGCAAAGAGGGCACATACACGTAATACAGAATACAATTGGAACTGTGTACCTCTATCATTCACAGAATATAGAAACCCTCTATTTATAAGCTTTCAACTTAAAAGCTTCTATGGACAAGACCAAAGCTCAGCTCCAAAACTCACTGGCATGGCACTGGTTGCTGTGGTCATTTAAGTTTTGGGCATCATCACTCTGGGGCTGTTTGTGCTTTTTTTGAGGAGGTTTAGTACTTATCAGTTCCATTTTGCAAAGTGAGAGACTTGCAAATACATGTAAGGGGAGGTGTACAATGAAGATGAAAATAAGAGCAGAGATAACATGAACATTGAAAGGGTGAAAGAACAAGTGCCGTTTGTATGGAATAACTTTGGCACTGACTTGGCTTTGGTGCATTGTGTTAGGAGCCTAGATCCTGAAGGCCAACAGCCTGTGTTCAAGTCCTAGCTGTCACTTGCTCCCTCTAGTCGTTTTAAGAAAGTTATTGCACCTCTGGTCTCTGTTTCCTTACCTGTAAAATGGGAATAAAAATAGTCCTATTTCGCAAGGCTGTTGTGAGTGTTGAATGCTAGGCACATACTAAGTATTATTAACCCTACTCAGTAGAAAAGGTTCTGTGTGTTAACCAACCATAAATGGATAGAGTATACCTGTGCTGATGTTTTTGCTATCAGAAAAATGGTTAATTATTAATAGAAAACAAGTTTCTATTTACAAAAATATATACTACCCCTCTTATCTCCTAAATACTCTTTCTGGGGTTCTCTCTTGATTAGCAAGCTGAGTGACAACGACATGCCGCTGCTGCCCTCCCTAGAATCCAGGGAAGGGGGACTTATACCTGGATTGTGGACAAATGAAACTTTCAAACATCCAGGGTCCCCAAAGCTACAACCAAGGGGTGCTGGCAGAGGGAAGGAGAGTCGCCTTGAGGGAATCAGGTGGTAAAGAGCTGGGTGTGTTTGGGGGGTGATGGCTGAGACCAAGTGTAGACAAGCCCTCTATGGTGTGGGCACCCAGAGTTAGAAACAATTCCACTTCCAGCAGGGGGACCACATCACACTGATGCCCTGCTTAAGTGAAGGTCAATGCCCAGACTGGCAATCTCTGGGGAATGAGGTGACATTTTTGTGGGTGTGAATGTATGGGTGCCTGCCTTCTATGCCTCCGGGAAGGGACATTATTGAGCAACAATTGGATAAGCAGGACCACACCAGAGCAAGGCTTGTTGCAGCCCGTTCCTGAATGTCTCTTCCAGGCTCTCAACAACTGTGCATTTTTGAAGTTGAGGCAAAGACATTATACATGTGTTCATGTTCTAATTCTGTCTTTAAGGTATAATATTTAATATGTCATGCTTTGAATATTAGGCTTGCATAACTCTGCAGTAGGGGGTATTCACACACTTTTGTTTTTATTATATTTTACATACTTAAATCTAAGGATTCATACAAATTCATGCCAAAGGGATATGATAATCATGTATTTCAAAAGCAATAAAATGTGTATTTTGAGATAAGAACATTGAGACCTTTGGAGGAACATGTATTTGCATTATGGGTTTCAGAAACTAAGGTTTTTTTTTTGTTTTTTTTTTTTTGAGATGGAGTCTTGCTCTGTTGCCCACCCAGGTTGGAATGCAGTGGTGCAATCTTGGCCACTGCAACCTCTGCCTCCTGGCTTCAAGTGATTCACCAGCCTCAGCCTCTCAAGTAGTTGGGACTACAAGTGCCCGCTCCCATGCCCAGCTAAGTTCTTGTATTTTTAGTAGAAACGGGGTTTTGCCATGTTGGCCAGGCTGGTCTTGAACTCCTGGCCTTAAGTGATCCACCCGCCTCAGCCTCCCAAAGTGCTGGGATTACAGGGGTGAGCCATGGCGCCCAGCCCAGAAACTAAGTTTTGATTCTTAGGAATGTGTTAATTGGCTTGTGAAGCTCTGGCTCTCTCTGAAGTGTATAGGAAACAGGCATCAGTTGAATGTTGATGGTCACAGAAAGTCATGGAAAACCCCTTGGTTCAGGGCTGACTTTGGAGAGGGTAGAACAATTCCATCTTCAATGGAAAAAGACAGAAGTACAAAAAAGATCTGAATGCTCTATGAAAACCACAGACACTTCCTTTTCCCAGGAAGGTTAGAAGCCAAGCTTAGGTTCTCTCATTTTATTGGGTTTGTCCTGAAGATCGCCAGCACTTGTGTATCAGGCCCATCTCCATAAGGACCTGTTAAATGAGCAGGCAGCACTGGAGAGCTACCCACGGGTGCAGTTCAGTGGTTATTGACTGTGTGAACCTCCAATAGCCCAGCTATTCTCAGGGCAGAGGGGTACACACAAAAGCACAGGGCAGGACCTTGCCTGAAGGGAGACAGGCTTTTCTATTCTCGCCAGCAATCCAACATTTAAAGTGCTAGCAAATTCTTTTAACTAAGCTTAAGTACTCCAAGTCTGAATATTACCAGAAAGGGCATAACCTTAGACAACCGTTTCCAGAGTAGATGTTGCTAGTGATAGAAAGAAATCATTATAATTGGTTTGCCTTTCCTGACCTATGAATGTTGCCCTCTCCCCCAACTCAGCCTTGACCTTCCAAGACCCCTCTCTTCCTTTCCCTCAGCCTCTGTCTCCTACAGAGATAGCACTGTTTCCCTTCAAGTAAAAAGAGTAGATTTGGATGTCTGCCTGTGCTTGGTATGGATGTTGCTGAAGGCTCTGCACATAGAAGGAAATTTGTGCATGGCCTCATTTGGGAGAGATGAAATATTTTAATAGCAGTGTTTATATTCTCAATCTGTAGATAACTAAAAACCAGCAAGATTTTACATCAGGCTTTGAAATGAAAAATATCACCCACTCAATGGAAACACAAATTTCATCCCTCCTGCCCTCTGGCCCTTTCAACATTATGAGTGTTCCTCTAGATTTTCCTGCTCTCCTTGAGATTTCTGAGTCACCACAGAGGGAGACCCAATGTGATGTCTGGCCAAGTTTTGCAGGGTTAGCATTCTCAAGAAAAGCAGACTTAAAAGGTTTCCTTTCAGAGTTCCCTAAGCTCCTCAGACAGTCTGGAGCAGAAACTGTCCTGGGACCCATGATAGAGCAGAGAAGAATTGTAGCAGGCAGGGGGAGTTCAAAAGGGTAACGCCAGCCCACGGTTGAGTTCTAGGCAACGGCTTTGAGACCAGCCCGGCCCCATCTGTCACAGACCAAGGCAGAGACACAGAGTTCCCAGACTCTGCTCTCCATCTCAACCTTTCAAGCTTTGCACCTTCAGAGATTCAAGCCTGAAATTCCCAATCCTTTCTCCTCTCTCTAAAGACGAGACCTTATACAGATGAGGCAAAGTTTTCCACGTCACTGTGAGGACAGTTCTAACGGATAGCTCCAGGGCAGGCATGTGCACAGATATACTCTTCCAGGATTGTGTGCGTGGAAATCTGATTTATAGAAGCCAGGAGAACAGCTTATTTTTAATATTTGACTGGGATACAATGAATGTTCTTCACTGGAAAAGTCATCTATACACACTCAAATAAAACACATACCGGCTGGGTGGTGGCTCATGCCTGTAATCCCAGTACTTTGGGAGGCCGACGGGGGCGGATCACGAGGTCAGATGGAGACCATCCCAGCCAAATGGTGAAATCCCGTCTCTACTAAAATACAAAAAATTAGCTGGGCATGGTGGTGTGTGCCTGTAGCCCCAGCTACTCAGGAGGCTGTGGCATGCGAATTGCTTGAACCCAGGAGGCGGAGGTTGCAGTGAGCTGAGATGGCATCACTGCCAGCCAAATGGTGAAATCCCATCTCTACTAAAATGCAAAAAATTAGCTGGGCATGGTGGTGTGTGCCTGTAGCCCCAGCTACTCAGGAGGCTGTGGCATGGGAATTGCTTGAACCCAGGAGGCGGAGGTTGCAGTGAGCCGAGATGGCATCACTGCACTCCAGCCTGGTGACAGAGCAAGACTCCATCTCAAAAAAACAAAAGAAAAAACATACCATTCAAATTAGCTGCCATGGCCAGATTTATTTATTTTTTATGTTAGTCTATGCTCTCCAAAAATAAATTGGGTCTATGTGACACATGCTGAATAAAAACAATTTTAATAAATAGATCATATGCATATAGTCATGCATGTAGTATATAAATGTAAGAAACTTTTCTGAAACGAATTGCCCTGAACCTACTAAATAGAACATATCTTTGTTTCTTCCCTCTATCCTTCATCTTGACCTTTATTCCACCGTCTGATCATCCATGTCTTAAAACAAAGTGTTCCAGGTTCAGGGTAATTAATGTGAACATTCAAAGAAGAGCACTCACAGGTAGAGCGGATGTTTTAGCTTTTCCTTTTTTGACACGGCTTTTATATGCTACAGTTTGGACAATAGACTAAAGTTTGCCCAATGATATTGTGGCTCCCAGGGTAGGACTTGATTGTGGTCAGGTGCATCCAATTAATTACAATCTCATGTGTTATAAAAGAGTAGTATCAAAGATCAACAGAAATATAGATAAAAGAACCGGGGATTCCAGTGGAATGCGGATGGGAGAGGAAGTCGGGTAAACTTCACGGAAGAGGTAACATTTGAACTACGTCTTGAAGGATGAACAGGAGGTTTTCCAAAAGGTCAAATGAGGGAGATGAGGGAAGATTCTAGGAGCTTACAGGGAGTATGGAAGTCTGAACCATGGTGGGTATGGATAACAGCTGGGCAATGGTGGAGACAAGGCTGGAAAGATGGGCTGGTGTAGGGGTGAAAGCCAGGCTTGGACTGAGGTCTTCCACTGAGGGTAAGAGGAATGATATAAGATCAGAGGCTGGGCACGGTGGCTCATGCCTGTAATCCCAGCACTTTGGGCGGCCGAGGCAGGTGGATTACCTGAGGTTGGGAGTTTGAGACCAGCCTAACCAACATAGAGAAACCCCATCTCTACTAAAAATACAAAATTAGCCAGGTGTGGTGGTACATCCCCGTAATCCCAGCTACTTGGGAGGCTGAGGCAGGAGAATCGCTTGAACCCGGGAGGCGGAGGTTGTGGTGAGCTGAGATCGCGCCACTGCAGGCCAGCCTGGGCAACAAGAGCGAAACTCTGTCTCGGAAAAAAAAAAAAAAAAAAAATCAGAGACAGGGAGTAAATAAACCTCAGTATGTAAGGAAAACCATGAATGCTGACATTGTTATTAAAAATAATTTACTGGTATTAGCCTAAGTTAACAATGTTATCTCTGGATACTGCAATTTGGGCAGCTATTGTTCAGCTTTCTACATTACTATGCATATATATTAATTGTATAGTGAAAAGGGGGAAATCATTCTATGTGTTTGTCCAGAACAGGGGAGAAGTGGCTGGAGAGCAGGTCATGTGTAAGGGCCTGGTGGCTGTACCCAACCACAGGCACAGTCTGTGGCATGAGATGACGATGGAGGCTGAAATAACTAACGCAAAGGCAAACTTAAGTGAAAAGCAGCACAGGGTCTAGATGAAAGGCAGAGATAGTTGTGGAGGGTTGGGTTGTTACAGTCCCAGTACTTCCTGGGCTCTTATTTGGCCGGTTGTGAAATGTTGCATCCAATTCTAGGGACCATAATTTAAAGAGTTGAGTCTGTCTGGAAGAGGACTGTCAGGAGGAGGAAGATTTCTGAAAGCCAAGTCATAAAAGGAAGATTTACAGTATCTTGAGATGTTTATACTAAAGAAGAGATAACTTACAGGGTCATTGCAGCCATCTTTAAATACTTGATGAGCTGCCACACCAATGAGATAAGACCCATCCTCTACATTTCTCAAAATTAGAACTAACACCAATAGCTGGCAGTTACAGGAGGCCAGTTTTGGCTAGACGTAGAAAAACAACTTTAAATGACCATGTTATTGCTAGAATGACTGAGATCATATCCAACAGCTTCATAGTTGATAAGTGACTCATTCTAAGGCGCAGTGACTTCTCCCGAAGGTCGTTCAGCTGGTCAGTGGAAGAACAAGCACTGAACCAATTCCCATGCCTCCCAATCCTATACTCTTTCCCCCGCATTATGCTGTCTTGCAGCCACTACAGATGCCCATCATGGCTTGGCCTTCTCAGGAAACAGGCTCTCCGTCTCTGCATGTGTCCATTCACAGGCTGGACAACCGCCTGCCTTGGGTGCTCCCAGGGAATGTCTGTGATGGGCAGAATGTTGGAATGGACAGTCCCTAAGACTGCTTTCAAGTCCATGACACTACCATTTGAGTTTTGGGAATTGACCTGAAAATGTGGGTTCTTTCAGGTAGAGCTCTAGTATTCACTAAAGAGAAGTCTAGGAACTTATTATTTTTTAAGTGAAAGCAAGTTTATTAAGAAAGTAAAGGAGTAAAAGAATGGCTATTCCATAGGCAGAGCTGCCCAGAAGTCTAGGAACTTAGGAGCAATGTAGCAAACTAGGCATACAAAAAAGGTGGAAAAAACTTCTCAGTACCCTTTTCCAGTTTCTTAAGAACCTATTGTGGTTACTATTGGTATTATTGCGTTGATATTATCACTCCCACACCTCACATTTGGCAGGATTCAGGGGTGTGTTGGGTGGGGAAGAAAATCTTCCTGCTTGGGTCCTTACTCTGCCAACCAGAAACTGTGAAATCCCTACAGAAAGGGACTAAGTCCATATGGGTGTGCCCAGAGCCATGGCAGAAAGCCACCTGGACATGGTCACAGAATAGATTATAATAACATTCAAAGCATTTTCATTCATTTTGGCCTATGCCAAGAAAGACACACCCTCTTCTCTTCCTCCCAACCCCTACCCACCACACTTAACAAAATCCACACCCCCATGAGTAATTCAGCCATTTATTTGGCCCACAATCAGAGGTAAAGGGCTGAATTGCTGACCTCACTAGTACATATCCAGATCCTGAATCTACACTTAAAAGAATGTATGGCACAGGATTTCCCTCATTACCACTGAGCAGCAGATGACAAATTCATTAATTAAAAGCTACTTTCTGGCTCCTGGTATGTCTGTTCTTTGGGAAAGAGGTTACAATCTGTGGCAAACAGTAAGTTAGCTTATAAAACCGGAACCCAGTTCTGCAGTGTGAGCTGGCTCTGAACTTCTTGTCCATGAACGTGTAGCTAAATTAAGACCACAGTGTGAAGTGGGTGACAGTGGGATGTAATATCACCTTGGCTCTGAGGTCATCCCATGCTCCCAAGTACCCATTCTGACTTGCATTACCTTGAGTCCTCTTTGGATGGAATTTCCAGTACATTCCTACCCTTGTGTTCCCTTTCCCTATAAAACGCAGCAGTTCCTAATCTCTCATGTCCTCTGGGCCACGCTCTCTGTCTCTCAAGATGGCTACTCATTATTTAGCAATTTTCTCCTCTTCTTCTTCTACTCTGTTTTTCCTTCTCCCTCCTTCAGCATCATCGCTTCCATTTACTAAACCTTCTCTATTTTCAAATATTGTGCTGTATGTTTTGCATATGTGATCTCATTTGTTCATCATTCTTTTTATCTTCATTTTTCAGATGATGGCAATAACTTGCCCAGGTTAAAGCTAAGGACTAGAGATTAGATTCAGACTAACTTTTTCTGATTCCTAAGCCTGATAACCATCACACTGTAAAAGAAGACCTAGAAGGGAGGCTACCTACTACAAAGAAATCATGTTCTTTCCTGTTTATATTGGATATGGTATATTGGGCAGTGTATAAACCCTCGATTCAAATGAGAAAAAGTTATCCGATGCAAAAGTGAGGCTTTAAGTGAAGCTCACTCAGCATGCTCTGACCAGGAGGAGGCAATGGAAAGAGCTGACAAAGGTGTTGTTTATTGACACCTGGAGCCAAGAGAGGTGCGGGAACCAAAGGAGCAGGTTAGAGAGAAAGGAAAACTTGCTTAGAGATGGTACGGTCATCTCTAAGCAAGTCTTTGAGATGAATCTCAAATGATGAATACAGATGAATCTTTGAATCTGAGAAGAATCTGAGAAGCTGTAAGGCTTTTTGCCTAACGCATGGACACCTGTTAGAAAGGGTTTGGAATAAACATACTGAGAGGGATTTTTTCTGAGCCAGAAAAAAAAAATCTCTAAAAGTTGGGCACAGTGGCACACATCTGTAGTCGGAGCTACTCTGGAGGTTGAGGTAAGAGAATCTCTTGAGCCCAGGAATTTGAGGCCGTAGTGTGCTATGACTGCACCTGTGAATAGCTATTGTGCTCCAGCCTGGACAACATAGAAAGATCCTGTTTCTAAAAAAATTTTTTTAAATGTTCCTAGGGGCCAACATAGGGTGAGTTTTCCAGCCTAGAGGTGATTTACTTATAAAATATAATTTATATCAAAATATCATATGTAATATAGAAATACATTACTTATAGGAAAATGATAGAAATTGGTCCTGTATTAAATTATGTTCTCTCAGGTCAAGTAACAAGGGTCCATTATTCACTCCTCTGTTCATTCATACGTTTATTCATTTTATTCGTCTCTGAATATTTACTGAGCACTCACCATTGACAAAGTCCCATATCTATAAGAAGACATATAGTAAGTATACTCTCTAAAAGAATTTTTTTCTTTAAAGTGGTTTCTTTTTCTTCCCATATTTATATCCGTGGCACTCTGATATCCACAAGGACGCTGGTTAATATTACTGCAGTAAATATTTATAGGTGAATAAAATGAATACACATATGAATAAATAAACAGAGGCATGAATAACGGACCCTTGTTATTTGACCTAGAAGAACATGATTTAATACAAGACCATGTGGGAGAGGGCTTCTAAGGCTCTGAGGCTCGCTTGGGGAGGAAACAGGCAAAGGTCTGTGGGAGGCCTGGTCACTCCTGACCTGATGGAATGGGAGTTGCATTCATTTCTTTTTGGTTCTGGATTTCTGAACCTGATGCTGATCTAAAACAAAAACCATGGCCAGGGTACAATGGCTCCATGCACTGGTGTTCATGCTGTCTCTATCCCAGAGCAGCCCTGAGGTTCTTAACTCACTCAGAGTAGAAGTCAGCTTGTCCCACCTCCTGCTGCTGTGGTACCAGGGCAGCATCTCCAGGGAAACACCTTCTGCTCATCTCCTAGTGTCTTTTCTGTAAGTGTGTGGCTTAAAAAACACTCAGTCATCTACTTCATTTAAATACCTTGGACACTGTGTGGCCTAAAAGTGCCATGTGTCTTCAGATCTTACTCAACCTCTTACTCCATGTGAGGCTTGGGGCTGTGGAACGGCTGTGAACCTGTTTCCTCACAGGTGGAAAGGAGATAATGCCACCTGCTTAGCAGGGTTCTTGTGAGAATTAAATGACAATGAAATGGAAGATTCTAATTAGAGCACCCGGCACATAGTAGGTACTCTATGGTATCTGAAGATTGGGTCTAAATTTCATAGAAAGACACTGAAATAATTTCATAGATTAAAACAGTGTTGTAACTGATTTCAAGCTCTGAGATTAAAAATTTATCAAATTCTGTAGAGAATGGCATTTTTAAAGTTATACTTTACCTTCTGGGATACACGTGCAGAATGTCCACGTTTGTTACATAGGTATACATGTGCCATGGTGGTTTGCTGCACCCATCAACCTGTTATCTACATTAGGTATTTCTCCTAATGCTTCCCTCCCTTTGCCCCCTACCCCAACAGGCCCCAGTGTGTGATGTTCCCCTCCCTGTGTCCATGTGTTCTCATTGTTCAACTCCCACTTATGAGTGAGAACATGTGGTGTTTGGTTTTCTGTTCCTGTGTTAGTTTGCTGAGAATAATGGTTTCCAGCTTCATCCATATCCCTGCAAAGGACATGAATTCATCCTTTCTTATGGCTGCATAGTATTCCATCATGTATATGTGCCACATTTTCTTTATGTAGTCTATCATTGATGGGCATTTGGGTTGGTTCCAAGTCTTTGCTATTGTGAACAGTGCTGCAATAAACATACGTGTGCGTGTGTCTTTATAGTAAAATGATTTATAATCCAATGAGCATATACCCAGTAATGGGATCGCTGGGTCAAATGGTATTTCTGGTTCTAGATCCTTGAGGGATCACCACACTGTCTTCCACAATGGTTGAACTAATTTACAATCCCACCAACAGTGTAAAAGCATTCCTATTTCTCCACATCCTCTCCAGCATCTGTTGTTTCCTGACTTTTTAATGATCGCCAGAGAATGGCTTTTTCTTTTTTTTTGGGATAGGGTCTCACTCCAGTCGCCCAGGCTGAAGTGCACAGGCACAATCTTGGCTCACTGTAACCTCAACCTCCCAGGCTCAGGCAATCCTCCTACCTCAGCCTCCCCAGGAGCTGGGATGACAGGCACATGCCACCATACCTGGCTCATTTTTGTATTTTTAATAGAGATGGGGTTCCATTATGATGGCCAGGCTGGTCTCAAACTCCTGGACTCAAGCCATTTGCCTGGATTGGCTCCCAAAGTGCTGAGATTACAAGTGTGAGCCACTGCGCCCAGCCGAGAATGGCATTTTTATGTGTTTTAAGTTCAGTAATGTGTAAATGCTCAATAAATGCTTGCAATTATCACATGAAGCAATTTAAAATAATCAGAATTGTATGTATGAGTCCCAAGTTACTTCGCAATGTTTATGGACTATTAAAAAATGAATTTTTAATGGATCCCTAAAAATAGACTTGTCGTCCTTTCTTTTCTTCCCTTATAAATGAAAACCACAGGGAAATAAGACTGAGTTTGGAGAAGAATAAGAGAGCATTACAAAGTGATAAAACTTAAACATGGTTCATTAGGAAAGAATGACTGAAATTCTAATCCTGTGCAGGTCCAGGATTATGAGGGAAGCAAAAAGAATGCCACTGACACTAGAATAGAATATTTCCTGCCGGGCACGGTGGCTCACGCCTGTAATCCCAGCACTTTGGGAGGCGGAGGCAGTGGATCACTTGAGCCCAGGAGTTTGAGATCAGCCGCGGAAACATGGTGAAACCCCGTCTCTACCAAAACAAAAAACTACAAAAAAAAAAAAAAAAAAAAAAAAAAAAAAACAAACAACAACAACAAAAATAGCTGGGCGTGGTGGTGTGTGCGTGTAGTCCCCACTACTCAGGAGGCTGAGGCAGGAGAATCGCTTGAGCCCGGGAGGCGGAGGTTGTAGTGAGCTGAGACTGCACCATGGCACTCCAGCCTGGGTGACGGAGAGAGACTCGTCTCAGAAAAAAAATTCCCAAAGCCACTTTCTAGCTACCTTACAAAGAAAGGTGCCATATATAATATATTTCATGTAAATCCTGTGGATATGACTTTAACTGGAGGGAAAGAATCTCCGAGTTTTACATGCTAATAAGCCAGAGACTCCAGAGTAGCCCTACAGCGGACCACAGGAACACAGGGGACTCATTGGTGAAACTTCCAGTTGGAGAAATGCTGAGCCAAAGACAGAGGCTTTGGAAAACACTGTGGGAAAAATATACTCCATGGAAATGTGTGTCTTAAAACTTTTCCGTATGAAAAACTAAAAATATTTCTTCCTCCACAGCAGCGTTCTAATATATAAGTAGTTTAAGAACTACTAAGAAGGAAAGAACAACAGAGATTTTTGTCTTTGGTTCAAACTTAACATTGATAAACACTTTGACTTGCAACTCAGTCCTTGGGTTGCAAGAACGACTGAGAACAAAAAATGCATCGGACATTTCTAATGAGGCACATTTCTTTTCCTTGAGATGGTACTTCCTATTTCCCTGTAGCTTTCCATCTGCTGAGGTTGAGCCATCCATACTTCTTGAGAAGGGCAGAACTCGATGGATAACAAAAAAACCATTGTTCCATTTTGACATCAAAATAGATTTTGAAAGTTACAAGAAAAACAATAGGCATAAGTGTCTAGGTTTCAATTTCAAGGACCAGGTACCTGAAGGAGAAAACAGAAAAGTCTTTTCTTGGTTTCCCTTAGCTGGACATTCAATATCCAGAATCAATCTTTGGACTTTGAAGCCAAAGAATTTTCCAGCATGCTCTTGGGTGAGACAGATGTTAGACATGGGGTTTCTCTCCACAGAGGGAAGTAGTAAAAATCCTGGATTGAGGGAATATTTTTTAGGAGAAATTTGGAGGGATGAGACTATGGTGAAATTGCTACTTGGGTTCCTTCTGAGGCACCCGGTACGCCCCTACTCCCTTGTAACTCACGAGAAAGAGAAGAGATGAAAGAGATCATAGAAACCTCATAGATTTGAGGGGGCAAATGAAAATCAGAAAAGTCCCATGCTGCAATTTGGTATTTGGAAGTAGGTCACCGAGCCCGGAGCCAAAAGGAGGTAGTCACAGTAGAGTAACCAAGGGGCTGGCTGTGTTGAGGCCTCCCCGCACCCACTGCCAGAGCCGGGAACTAGGGAGGATCACAAGTTCACAAACGCTCCTGTGGCTGTGAGATGAGAAGGCCAAAGAACCTGACAACCCTGCAGCCAAGATGAGGAGGGCAGAGTCTGTACAGAGACTGAGGCTGGAAGGCAGAGGAGATTTGCAATGAGGACAGAGGCTGACACGTCAAACACAAGGGGAAGTGCCATGTGGAAACGCCAGGGAGGGAGAGAGGCCTCATGCCTTGCAGTTGTGACAGCACATAAATTTTTTTTTTTTTTTTGAGACAGTCTCTGTCGCCCAGGCTGGAGTGCAGTGGTGCCATCTCAGCTCACTGCAACCTCTGCCCCCTGGGTTCCAGCAATTCTCATGCTTCAGCCTCCCCAGCAGCTGGGATTACAGGCGTGAGCCACCACCCCTGGCTAATTTTTGTATTTTTAGTAAAGATGGGGTTTCACCATGTTGGCCAGGCTGATCTCGAACTCCTGGGTTCAAGCGATCCACTGCCTCCACCTCCCAAAGTGCTGGGATTACAGGCATTAGCCACCATGCCCAGCAGGAAATACTCTATTCTAGTGTCAGTGGCATTCTTTTTGCTTCCCTCATAATCCTGGACCTGCACAGGATTAGAATTTCAGTCACTTTTTCCTAATGAACCATGTTTAGGTTTTATCACTTTATAATGCTCTCTTATTCTTCTCCAAACTCAAAGTCTTATTTCCCTGTGGTTTTCTTCTTCTCACAGGTTCCTCTTTCCCCAAAGGAACAAAGAAAGGATGGATGGGTGGGGTCCTTTGAGGCTGGATATGGTAAATGCTACAGAGATTGAGTTAACCTGGAAAAACTGTGGTTTGAAACAGGAAGTGACTCAGTTTCCTTGAATAGGTGAGTGAGGTCTAGGTACCTTCCTGCCAAGTAGAGCAAGTTGAATTCATATTTTATAAATAAAGGTGCTTTTCTGCACATGAATGGTACTGTGCATTTTAAAATCCTACTATACACGAATACTTAGGGGATGATTGAACTGGAAAAGTGGAGAAAGGGTAAGATTGGTGGGGTCAGTATAATGGAGCATATATTGTTTCTATATATATATATATATATATATATATATATATATATATATATTTTTTTTTTTTTTTTTTTTTTTTGAGATGGAGTCTCACTCTTGTCACCCAGGCTGGAGTGCAATGGCACGATCTCGGCTCACTGCAACCTCCGCCTCCCGGGTTCAAGTGATCCTCCTGCCTCAGCCTCCTGAGTAGCTGGGATTACAGGTACCTGCTATCACGCCTGGCTAATTTTTTTTTGTATTTTTAGTAGAGACGGGGTTTCACCATGTTGGCCAGGCTGGTCTTGAACTCCTGACCTCAGGTGATCCATCCGCCTTGGCCTCCCAAAGTGCTGGGATTACAGGCATGAGCCACCATGCCCAGCCTTGTTTTTATACTTTTAATCTAAGAAATCCATTTGCACAGGCCCAGCCCATGGATCTGTGAGTCTAGCATGTAGTATTTCTTGGTGAGAGAAACTAGGGATTTCAACTATGCACAAGTGGGGGATGTGGGAGGGGGAAAAAGAAAACCATTCTAAAACATTTAAAATTTACTGTTCGTGGTTACAAGTTTCCTTAGGAGACATAATATTTTTTTTTCTCTAGTCTAAAAAAATAATTTGGACTAACCTCAAAAAAGCTGGGTTTAATGTTTCTCAGACTGTTTCCAAGCAGACTAAAATACCAACAAACTCATATCCACAGGGAGAGGTTTATGGTTCACCAAGTTTGCATGATTCATGCTGAAGAACCTACACGCCTGAGATGCATGGATGTGCCTTCTGAATGCAACGTGGGGAACACACACACCCAAGCAGTGGATTCTTTAGAAGGGCTGCCTGACGTGGAGGGCCACTGTGGAGAAAGTGGAGTCACTGAAAGGAAGACAGGAGAAAGAGGACAGGCAGCATTTCACATTCATTTTGGATCTGTATGGGAAAAGCATTCTGGTAGCAGCTTTGGAAATTTGAGTTGGATCAATGTCTGAGCCAACAGTTTCAGATGCTTATTCAAATCCTCTTCAAAGCAACAGCTCTTGAGCTTGAAAAGATGAGTTTTAAACATTAAAAAAAAAATAGCAGGAAGGAGCCATCAGGATAGCTGGGCCAACCATGCTCAAACTGTCAGAGTTGGAGAACTAATTTAATACAAATGAAAGAGCATTTTAAATGGTCCCTATGATTAAATATGTTATTATTATTTTTTGAGATGGAGTCTCGCTCTGTCGCCCAGGCTGGAGTGTAGTTGCGTGATCTCAGCTTGCTGCAACCTCCAGCTCCCAGGTTCAGGCGACTCTCCTGCCTCAGCCTCCCAGATAGCTGGGATCACAGGCATGCGCCACCACACCCAGCTAATTTTTGTATTTTTAGCAGAGACAGGTTTCGCCATGTTGGTCAGGCTGGTCTCGAACTCCTGACCTCGGGTGATCCTCCCACCTCGGCCTCCCAAAGTGCTGGGATTATAGGCGTGAGCCACCCCACCCAGCCTAAATATGTTAATTTTTATGAAAAGGCTTTGTAAATTCTAAAGTGGTATAGTGACACCTGTTACTATTGCCGTTGTCATTTTCACTTAGTCATCATGCCGCCCAGCTACAGCAGCCCAGAGGTGATGTGTCACATACCTCACTGTTGTGGCCCTCTGGCCATGAGGTCTAATTACAGATGGACATGGAACTGTCCTGAGATTTCGTTCTTTCTGTCAGAAAATAATCATAATGCTCATTTGAATCACAGAAATGGCTACAAGTAAACTAATAAATGAGAGTTGTTCTCATAATAGATTTAAATTATTTCTTAACGTTTCCATTGTCATCTCAAATCATTACATGGGCATTGGATACAAATGATGCTAGCACCCTCCCTAGTCAGTAATGACACCATCATATTTAGGACATCAACAACCCGAGTAATGACTCTTTTTCACAATTTAGCCTTTCAGGCACTCACCCTAGGATGTTTTTTTGACTTGGCAATGTAATACATTGGGATTTAGAAGTTATCTAAAATTTTTCACCTTGTAGATAAGAAATCTGAGGAAATCAACATTTCCAGCTGGGTACTGTATCAGTTTTCTGTTTGTCCTCACAGCTAATTCCTTGAAACATCTGTTTGTATTTCATGGTGTCTACTTTCCTACCTTTCATTCTTTCAACACACTTCACTCAGGCTCTGTCTCCGCCCCTTCCTGGAATGTCAACCAGGACCTCGTCTTGTCCAATTCAAAAGATTATTCTCGGTCCTCATTTGTTTTGGACACTCTGTAGCATGGATAAAATGGATCACTCATTTCTTTTCTTCCTGAAACATCGTCCTCATCTGGAAACTCTTCTGGGCTTTCCATCTTACTGGGTACCCCTTTTCACCTTCGGCCTCTAATGCTAGAGTGCTTCAAGGCCGGTTCTTAGAACTTCTCTCTATTTACATTCACTGCCTTAAGAGACAGCAAATAGTCTCATGGCCTTAAACACAATTTCTCCTGTGGTGACTCTCAAGTTTATAGCTTGAGTCCAACATCTTTGCGATTTGTATTTCGAGCTGCCTACTTGACATTCCCATATGGAAATGTATAAACACACCTCAAACTTAACCTGGCCACAGATCTCTCGGTTCTCTTCCACCTCCCAAATTGCTCTCCCTTACTCTTCACCACGTCCATAAATACCACCTTTCATGCAGTTCTTAGACCAAAACTCAATAGTTAGCCTCAATCCTTCTCTTTCCCTTACATCCTGAGTGCTAGCCATCAGCAAATCCCATCATTCATGTCTTGAAACCTCATCACTACTTTATTTTTCAATAGCTGTCTTTTATTGCATTATTAAAATATCACAAATAGGTCTTAGGAATTATCTGACATCTTGTTTCTGTAGCTGTACAACTCTTAGATTTTACTCATCAGCCTGCTGAACTGTCCCTTTTTCAGAGACATAGATACCATCCAAAATGTTCTGATATCCTGGTTTTTAGCTGTTGTGGTTTGCTGAGTCAAAGCAGCTGAATTTGAAACAAGTTCAATGTCATTTCCTTTAAGGATGAACTCATCTTTCTGGGCTTGGGATATTGAACAAGCAACACCTGGGCTCACCCGAACCCTGCAGATATATTTTTCGCTCAAGAAAGTTCTGACTTCTACAATAGAGCTATTCTCCTGCATAATGACATTGATGGGGAAGTGAGAACACAGAGACCTCATCTTGTCACAGAAGCCCAGTATAACGCCCTTGATCATCTTCTGTGCATGACTACAGATAGCACGCATGGCAGCCAATTCCCATCTTCTCAGCATTTGTCAATCTGGAGCCTCTGCTTTTTCTTTCCAAGGAGCCCGAGTTCTATACTGACGTGACTGAAGTCCCTCTGCAGGGTCCTCTAGGGCCTTTCACAAGAACTGTGCCCCTTCAGAGTGATGTCGACATTTTCTGGAATGTGGACAGTCTGATTACTGAGAACAGCCTTCATTCTTGCAGCAGATGCAGCTCCCATCACTTCTTATTGCCTCCACTAACTACTTCCACCCCACAAGCCACCATGGTTTCTGGCCTGAACTACAGTAACCCTTCAAGGGGTCTTGCTGGCTTTCTCGCTACCTCCAGACTATTCTTCATGCAGCTGCAAAGTGTGCTATTTAAAAAATTAAATTAGATCACATAACTTCCTTGCTTGGAATTTTCTTGTGGCTTCTCATCATGCATTGAATAGACACCGAAGTCCTTACCCGGGCTTGCAAGTTTCCTGTTTATTTCTCCAATCTCATCTTCTACTGTATCCCCCTTCCCCATCATGCCCTATGTACTCTGACAGCCTCTCTCATCTCTTACTCTTAAGCTCCCACATGCCAAGCTTCTGTTCACTCACGGCTTAAAAACGTGATCTTTCCCCGTTAGAAATGTTCTTCCCCCAGATTTCTGCATGGTTTGCTCTTTCTATATAATTCAAGTCCCTGCCCATATTTTACTCCCCTGATCCTCCATCTAAATTAGATCCCTCAACTTTGCAGCCATTGTCTATCCCTCTACCCTGCCCTTTTTTTTTTTTTTTTTTTGAGACGGAGTCTTGCTCTCTCGCCCAGGCTGGAGTGCAGTGGTGCAATCTCGGCTCACCGCAAGCTCCGCCTCCCAGGCTCATGCCATTCTCCTGCCTCAGCCTCCCAAGTAGCTGAGACTACAGGCGCCCGCCACCACGCCTGGCTAATTTTTTTGTATTTTTAGTAGAGACGGGGTTTCACCGTGTTAGCCAGGATGGTCTCGATCTCCTGACCTCATGATCCGCCCACCTCAGCCTCCCGAAGTGCTGGGATTACAGACGTGAGCCACTGCGCCCGGCCACCCTTTTCTTTTTAGTACTTAACAATATCCCACATTATATTGTTTTATACTTGTTTTCCTATTAACTGTCTCCCAGACTAAAATGTAAACTTCATGAGGGCAGAACCTTTGTTTGTCTTGTTCATTGTTCCATCCCCATGTGTGGAATAATGCTTAGCACAGTTGAGCACTAAGCAATGCACACTAGGCATTCTTTGAACATCTGTATAGTGTGTATTGAATGAATGTTTAAGGACTTGGAGCCAAACACAGAATAGAAAGATGGGAATAGCACATTTTACTTTGAGATACTCCATATCTCGGTTGAATCCTGTTTTTATCTAAAATCACACAATTGTTTTTCTTCAGACTGTTCCCATATACAAATCATCACCATGTAATGAGCTTAAGAAGCACCAGAATGGAAAATAATAGTCAGCATAATGTAACAGTATTTGAAAAGTAATATTTGGGAATCCACAATTAGGATCTTATCTCAGTTTTGTTCTGGAAGATGTCAACAGCAATTTTACTGTATAGCACTGAGGAACTTGCATCCACATCAGCTCATTTGAATAAACATCAATCATTACCCTAGGCATGAAATAAACCATGTATCAAAAGGAAGTTAACTAAAAGGTATACTCATATATAATCATCTTAACTAAGTAAGGATGACTAAAACTTTGAACACACACAATGGAAGAGCACTGATATTTTGCCAAAAAAAGTTATCAGGAGATGAGGCTCCTGAGGTATAGATTAGCAGTGATTTCTTATAGGTTTTGTTACACATTTTCTCTAAATAACAAAGAAGGAAAGTTTGCAACCTTCTTCAAATTCTACAAGGACAATTACTAGAGGCTCTAAATACTCAAGGGAGATAACATTCTTATTTTAAAAAGCTCTGAATTTGTTATCCTTAGATTTCTGACTTTTCTTTTAAAGTATTTGTATTATTGTATACTATTGCATACCTATTACATAGTATGTACTTGTTGCATAACCTATTACCTCAAAATTTATTGGCTTAGAACAACAATAAGCATTAACTGTCTCTTATGGTTTCTCTGAGGCAAGAATTTGGCAGTGGTCTAGCT
This sequence comes from Homo sapiens, assembly GCF_000001405.40. Taxonomy (NCBI): domain Eukaryota; kingdom Metazoa; phylum Chordata; class Mammalia; order Primates; family Hominidae; genus Homo; species Homo sapiens. The sequence goes on along the minus strand of NC_000004.12, from coordinate 168,753,870 downwards.
GGGGGGTCTGGCTCTGTGTCTCTCGTGAGTTTGCAGTCAGGATGTTGACCAAGGCCGCAGTCAGCTAAAGGCCTGACTATGGCTGAAGGATCCATTGCCAAGGTGGTTCGGTCACACGGCTGGCAAGTTGGTGCTGGTCGTCACTGGGAGGCCCCAGTTCCTATCTGCATGGGCCTCTACACGTGATGAGTGAGCATCCTATCAAAATGGAAGTTGACAGAGAGGGTGCACGTAGGAAGCCACTGTGCATTTTTTTAACCCAGCCTTGGAAGTGACACACTGTCACCCCCACTACACCCTGTGAGTTACACAGACCAACTCTGAGTCCATATGGGAGGAGACTACAGAAAAAGCATGAATACCAGGAGACAAGATTCATGGGGCCATCTTGAATGCTGGCTAGGGCGGAGTTGGTATGGGTTCATTCTTCTCAAATCCCTCCCAACTCAGAAGCAAGGGAAGAGGAGGAGAGGGTCGGGGGAGAGAGAGAGACAAAGGGGTGGGTTTGGGGGGTCAGGAAGCAGGGGAAGGAGGGAGGGAAGAAGGTTAGTGACAGAAATGTTGAGGTATCTAAACTTGGGGCCAAAATGGGTTCTCAAATGTTAAAAGAACTAAAAGCCTATATACCTCCCTACTTTCTCCTTGTACTTAAATGGCATGTAAGGTGGGGATTAGTTTATTGATATTAAGAGGGGAGAGTCTTCTCTAGCATTTGCTGCTTGTGAGTAGTCAGGTGGTTGCTATATTTCCTCCAAGGATAAGCAATGAGAGTTTTCATAATGTCAACTGAGATATGTCAAAATCCTTTCTCTTGCTTGTTCGCTTTGCCATTGTCTCATAAATGTACTCTTAATATAGTTTAGCTTTTTTTCACCCCATGTAAAAGCTTTGGTCACAAGTCTAGGCTGCCTCCTCTTTCTTCTCCTCCTCTTGTTTCTCTTCTCTCTTACTCTTTTCACTCTCTAAATTTCTCCTCAAAGTTATTTTGTAATTATTTATACTATAAGTTTTAAAAGATTTTAGGTACTGGAAATAATAATAATATACATTGGGAATTTAAGTAAGTTTTGTGGTCACTAAAAAGTAGCTTCAAGTTATGGGGGTCACCAGTAGATATAAATGGCAAAAAAAAATTACTACCATATTTTCAAAGTATATAGATGCCAATGATATCATATGTATGGAATAGTTATCAGGATCATTTGAAAGTGTGTAAATGTTCTCTGTGGAAACAGAATAAAAAACGTAAAAAGGAAACACAATGCCACCTAATCTCAGAACACAGAACTGTACAACAGACTTTTAAAAAGGTACAAATCTAGAATCATCTTAGTACCCGCACTCCTGCATAAACACCTTGGCCAAGATAACCATCTCTATTCTATGGAAAAGCAACATCTGCCTTTTATCAAGAAAGTTATGGGAACTGATTAGATGACTGCAAGGAATGAACATAACTCTAGCATGGTATTTAAGAAATAGACTTTTTGGTTTGTTTTGTTTTTTAGGCGGGGTCTCCCTCAGGCTGGACTGCAGTGGCGTGATCTCTGCTCACTGCAACCTCAGCCTCCTGGGCTCAAGTGATCCTCCCACCTCAGCCTCCTGAGTAGCTGGGACTACAGGCGCATGCCGCCAAGCCCAGCTAATTTTTGGACTTTTTTGTAGAGACAGAGTTGCACCATGTTGCTCAGGCTGGTCTTGAATTCCTGTGCTCAAGCAATCCACCCGCCTCGGCCTCCCGAAGTGCTGGGATTACAGCCGTGAGCACCCAGCCTACAAGAAATTGACTTTTAAGTTTGAGCCTGATCTTGTGAATTCCTACATTTGGCAAGGGGGACTGAGTGTTCGACAGAGCCCGGATCTGTTATAACATCCCAGCTCTGACTCACTCCAAGCAGCCTTTCATGTTCTGTGTAATTCTCAGAACAGTGTTTAGGACAATCTTATTTCATCTCCCTTGGTTTTGTGAAAATGACCAGCCTTCCCATGCTACTGATTAACATGGAATTCCTTATGTCCTGTCCCTCTACCCACTCTTTTTCTAGTATTCTAACCACTAAAATCACAACCAAAGATGGAGACTATTTATAAATAACTACAGGAATGATCCAGTGTTTATTTAGTCTACATTTGCTAGCAGGTTACTGTCCTACCGAATGAACATGATACGTGTGCATGCTAACCTCCTGGAGATGAGGTTAAACTGTGGAGTCCGTGCCCTGGTGTGAACTGTGTTAAGAAATGTTAATACTTCCAAGTTGATATTAAGAATAGCTTGATATTTATTCAGTAATGACTCTATTAAGGAAAGTGAGATTTAGCGACATTAAGTTTCTTGCTCCAGGTCACACAGCCATTAATTGGAGATGTCAGGCATGGATCTCAGGGCTATCTGATTGCAAAGCTGCTATGACAGGCTATTGCTCTCCCAGTGTGGAAATCTACACTGGATAGATTTTAGTGTGTCCCAATACCTAAAATTAATTGCTTTTATAATTCATCAAACCTTATGTTAGCATATATTATACTGCCGGAGAGGCTTCAAAAATATAATATGTGGACTGGGCACGGTGGCTTACACCTGTAATCCCAGCACTTTGGGAGGCTGAGGTGGGCAGATCACCTGAGGTTGGGCGTTTGAGACCAGCCTGACCAACATGGAGAAACCCTGTCTCTACTAAAAATACAAAATTAGCCAGGCATGGTGGCACATGCCTATAATCCCAGCTACTCGGGAGGCTGAGGCAGGAGAATCGCTTGAACCTGGGAAGTGGAGGTTACGGTGAGCCAAGATTGTGCCATTACACTCCAGCCTGGGCAACAATAGCAAAACTCCATCTCAAAAAAAAAAAAATACACACGCAGACACACACACACACACACACATATATAAAATATGTGATCTCATGAATGTAACATCTGTTTGCTGAGTTTCTGTTACCTTCAGTTACCAACCAGACAGAGAGACAAATCATCTATCCAAATAATGGTAAAGTAAACCGGAAGTACAATAATAAATGGGCACTAAAATGGAGAACAATTCCAGTTAGAAGTATTAGGAAAGTCTTTCTGGAGAAGATATTTGAGAAGGGCCTTAAGGCATAACTAGGGGATGGGGACAGGAGGCCACAGAAATAGTGTTTCTGTCAAACCCAGCTGAGTAGAATAACTTTTTTCTTCTAAACTCACTGAATTTTTCTTGCAGTTGGAAGAAAAATCTATCTTTGATTTCAACTTGGTAACTAAGACTGTAGTCAGTGACTTTTTTTCAAAAGTGCTTCATGTACAAAGAAAAAAGCATACTAAATAGTGGCCAATTTTGTTAAAAAATATATATATAATTTCTGCAACATGGTGAACATATCCTAAACCACAAGTCAAACCTTTGTAGAATCCCCTGGCCTTCAGTGTAGACAGAACCTGTGACTTGTTTTTAACCAGCAGAATATAAAGGTGATAGGAAAATGTGGTACATACACACCATGAGATACTATGCAGCCATAAAAAAGAACAAAATTTTATCCTTTGCAGCAACATGGATGTGGCTGGAGGCCATTATCCTAAGCAAATTAATACAGGCACAGAAAACTAAGTACCACATGTTCTCGCTTATAAGTGGAAACTGGCCAGGCGCATTGGTTCACGCCTGTAATCCCAGCACTTTGGGAGGGTGAGGTGGGTGAATCACTTGAGGTCAGGAGTTTGAGACCAGCCTGGCCAACATGGTGAAACGCCGTCTCTACAAAAATACAGAAATTAGCTGGGTGTGGTGGCAGGTGCCTGTAATCCCAGCTACTCAGGAGGTTGAGGCAGGGAGAATTGCTTGAACCTCGAAGGTGGAAGTTGCAGTGAGCAGAGATATTGCCACTGCACTCCAGCCTGGGTGACAGAGCGAGACTCCAACTTGAAAAAAAAAAAAGTGGAAACTAAGCACTGGGTACACATGGACATAAAAATGACAACAACAGATGCTGGGGTCTATGAGAGGAGAGGGGAGGGAGGGAGGGGCTGAAAAACTACCTATTGGGGTACTATGCTTACTACCTGGGTGACAGAATCATTTGTACCCCAAACCTCAGCATCATACAATACCCCCATGTAACAAATCTGCACGTGTACCTCCTGAACCTAAAATAAAGGTTGAAATTATCATTATTACTGTTATTGAGATGGAGTTTCAGTCTTGTTGCCCAGGCTGGAGTGAAATGGCATGATCTCGGCTCACTGCAACCTCTGCCTCTCGGGTTCAAGTGATTCTCCTGCCTTAGCCTTCTGAGTATCTGGGATTACAGGTGCCCATGATGCCCAGCTAATTTTTGCAGTTTTAGTAGAGATGGGGTTTTGCCATGTTGGCCAGGCTAGTCTCGAACTTCTGGCCTTAGGTGATCCAACTGCCTCGGCCTCCCAAAGTGTTGAGATTACAGGCGTGAGCCACTGCTCTTGACCAATTTTTTTTTTTTTTTTAAAGGTGATAGGAAGTCACTCACTCAATTAGTTACATTATGTAGTGTGTTAGGCCGTTCTTGTGTTTCTATAAAGGACTACCTGAGACTGGGTAATTTATAAAGAAAACAGGTTTATTCATCTCATGTTTCTGCAGGATGTACAGGCATGGCACCAGCATCTGCTCAGCTTCTGAGGAGACCTCAGGAAGCTTTTACTCAAGGTGGAAGGTGAAGCAGGAGCAGGCAGGTCACATGGTGAGAGCAGGAGCAAGAGAGAGAGAGTGGCAGGGAAGTGCCACACACTTTTAACGAGAACTCACTGACTATTGCCAGGACAGCACTAAGCCATAAGGGATCTGCCCTCCTGCCCCAAGCACCTCTCACCAGGCCCCACCTCCAACACTGGGGATTACATTTCAACATGAGATTTGGCAGGGACATATATCTAAACTCTGTCACAGGGTAAAGGTGATGGAAGGTCACTCCCATGATTATGTTATATGACATATATGACACCATCTTAGCAGACTAGAGAGAGACTCCTGCTGGCCTTGAAAGCCTTGAAGAAGCAGCAAATTGCCACACTGTGAACTGCCTCTGGAGAGGGCCACATGGCAGATAACTGGAGTGGCCTCTAGGAACTGAGGGCAGCCTCCATTAAATGGCCAATAAGAGACCAAGGCCCGGTCATATAACCACAAGGAAATGCACTCTGCTAATAACCTAAAGGAGCTTGGAAGCCCATTCTTCCCCAGTTGAGCCTCCAGATGAAAATACAGCCTGAGTGACACCTTGATTGCAGCCTTGTGAGACTCAAAGCAGAGGACCCAGCTAACCTATGCTTGGATTCCTGATCCACAGGAACTTACGAAGCTTATTAAATGTGGGGTGTTTTAAGCCACTAAATTCATGGTAATCTGTTATACAGAATAGGAAACGAATACACCATAGAAGTCAACTAAGCTTTTATTCTCCCAAAGGATTTGATATATTCACCCCCTATATTACTTAGAACTGACATCCAATAATCTGGTTATGCTTGTCTGATTTGTCTGTACCAGTGGTTAGAAACACCTGGTGGACTTGTTTAAATACATACAGATTGCCAGGTCCCACCCCAGAGTTTCTGGTTCAACTGATTTGGGGTGAGACTGAAAATTTGCATTTTCCACAAATTCCTAGCTGATGCTGATGTTGCTGGTTTGGAGGACCACAGTTTTAGACCCATTGATGTCTACTAATGTGTTTTGTAAATATTTTTGTGTCAATTTATATCTCTAGGGCAAAAGGACAAAATATATATTTTTCAAATATTTGATTATTTAGAATACTGAAACCTTTGTGTCAATATGCTAACATTTTCTCCTGTTCCTCCGTCCATTATCCATATTTCTCTCTTCTGAAGAAATAATTACAAATAAATTCAGAAAGCTGATCACAACGGGGAATGTGAAGTGGGAATTGATAAGAAAAAGGATCCGACTTTTCCCAATATTTGAGTTTGACTTGGGAGTAAAGACCCTGGAATACTACCATAAAATGGGCAAAATATTTATAGCAAAAATAATTATTCTGGGAGTTACAATTGCTCAAAATGTTGGAATTCTTGAAGATATTTACAGTATCTCAGCCGCAAGATGTTAATAATCTATCTCTAAAATTCTCTTAACGCAAAGCTAACGTTTTGGTTGGGAAAGTTGCTTGGCTTCCCTGAGACTAGAAATTTTCTTTATAAAATGAAGTGAACTGACAAGGTGACTGGCAGGTCCCCCAACTCCATATCCCATGGCTTTACGAAGTCTTGGGTCTCTTTCTCTACAAACAATTAAATTTCCCTGCCTTCTCTACATATGGTGAGCATATAGCCTGAATTTCCTTGGACATCTGTAGTTTCAAACATACTGTCTCATTGTCATAGCATGTGTCTGAAGTTTTAACTCTGGAAATAGTTATATTGACATTTTTCATTGTTAGGAATAATACCTTCAACTGGAACTAGGCTACATATCCTGTTTGCCTTTACTGTTCTCTCTTGATTTCTATGCTTTTGCTGAGAGCTGGGCATGCTTTTCCCACAGGAGTGAAAACTGACTCTTAGCCTGCAGGTTGGACTTCCTTGCCTACTGCCTCAGCCTCAGCGTAATGTCCTAGACATGCTGTCTTCTCCCACATGCCTCTGTGGTGGCAAGTGATCTACCCTTTTATGCAGCTGATTAGAGTGTGGCACCAACACAGTATGAGAAACCTCAGAGCACAAAAGATAAATAGTAGTAATTACAGCTATCTGCTTTTAGGTACCTATTGTGTACCCTTTTCTATCTATACACTAAAAAATGTGTAGTAAATAGAATCCAACTTAATAAGAAACAGGCATCATTTCAGATCTCAGCTCCAATGTCTCTATCAGATGGACTATTTTAGCTCTGGTACTTTATCGCTGTCTTTCAGGAATAAATTTCTCTGGACACATCTCCAACCTATGCATGGTTATCTGATCATGCAGTTTTCTCACTTGGAAAAATGTCAAGTACCTTTTCTTAGATCATACTCCTATGTGATTTTCATTAATGTCTTCTCAGTCATTCAACTATTGTCTCAACCCCTTTTGATAACTTCCCTCTTCTAAGCAGGATCTTTACAACTTTAAATATTTCCAAGTTATTATCATTTATATCTCTTGGTCCCTTGATGTATCAACTTGTTTCTTATGTTTCTAGTTCTGGGAATGAATGTCTAGGCATTTAAAAATAATAACTTTCACAAGAACCATGGTTCATAATTTTTTCCGCCCAGGGAAGAAAATTGGTACAGTACTCGTAAGTTAACCAGAATGGAGAACGGGCTTGTTATTCACTCAAACATTTGTTCAAATGTACAATGCACTAAGGACTGTGCTAGCTCCAGAGACACAGGGATGAATACGACAGTCCTTTTGCTTAAGGACTCATATTCTGTGTCACACGGGTTTTCTGTCTCAGGTGTTACTACCAGCACTAAGGTTTGAAGTCCCTCCTCTTTTTTTTTTTTTTTTTTTTTTTTTTTTTTGAGACGGGTTCTCGCTCTGTCGCCCAGGCTGGAGTGCAGTGGCGCAATCTCAGCTCAGTGCCAGCTCCGCCTCCCGGGTTCACGCCATTCTCCTGCCTCAGCCTCCTGAGTAGCTGTCAAGTCCCTCCTCTTGATGAGGAAAAGAGCTGAATTAGGGTAAGCTGATTATCCAAGCAGGCTTTATAGAATTCACATATCTATATTTTATGTTTAAGTGGGGGAGGGAAAAAAGGAAATGATGTTGAACTAGAGATTCTGATTCAAGGTTGTGAAAGACGAGAAAAGGTGGTAAGAACAGGGACATTGTATAGGCCAGAATAAGGTGGAGCTCAAATCTGATTTTATTTTGGACACATGATTTCCCGACCTTTGTGTAGTCTGATGTAGCAAAACTTAATGAATAAATTTGAGGGGTCAGACTCAACATTCTTGAGTACATGTAGCAGATGCATTTAAAGCACATTCAGAAAATAATTTTTATTTTAAAATTGGAAAAGTTTTATCCATCCCTCCTCTTTTCTCCTGCATATAGTCCTCAAGCACCCAAAGCTCACCCATTAGTTTGGATCATTTAGATCACATGCAAACTAGCGCAGGTAGTTTTTCCACCAAAATGGTCACTTAGAATTCTTTAAGAAGAATATACTTAATTTTAGGAGTTTACTATGTCTATACTGGAATGGGAAAGTAATGAAAATAATAAATAGAAGAGAACTCTTAACACATACTTCCTAACACACTAGAATGTGTTGTAAAATGAAAATACCATTAAACTCTAATGGGATTGCAACCATACATAAACAAAATCCAAAATAAATTTAAGTTACCTATATTACCTTGATGTACAACATGCTCTTTTAAAGTGTTACATCCCTAACTATTCCAGTTGAAGAAGGAAAAAAAAAAGTGTTACATCCCCTTTTTAAGAGAATGAATCATTATTTGCCCCCCCCTCCCATCTCACAGACTCTAACTAATGATGTCACCACAGTCTGTACTTAAACTAATATAGATTGGGGTACCCAATGAAGTATTAACGACATATGAAGGTGATTCAAAGGGCTGTTGTAAGAGGAATGCTGAGCTAGGAGGCTTGGGTCCTAGGCTCCAGCTTTGATGATCATGATAATGATGACGAAGATGAATAGTTGCTACTAATTTTTAGGTACTTACTGAGTGCCATGCATTAGGCTATGTGCCTTACATGAATTTTCTCTAATGTAATCCTCTTAACAGTCCTATGGTGCTATTATTACTTTTGTTTTATCAATAAAGCTAAAGCTTAAAGAGTCTAAGTGACTTATTCAAGGTCATAGCTGAACTAAAGAGGTAGAGTCAGGATTCCAGCTGATGCCTGACCCCAAAGCCTATACAGATGCTCCTTGACTTAGAGTGGGGTTATGGCCCAATAAACTCATCGTAAGTTGAAAATATCATAAGTTGAGAATGCATTTAATACGCCTAACCTACCGAACATCATAGCTCAGCCTACCTTTAATGTGCTCTGAACACTTCTATTAGCCTACAGTTGGACAAACTCATCCAACACAAAGCATACTTTATAATAAAGTGTTGAATATCTCATGTAATTTATTAAATCCTGTACTGAACATGACAAACAGAATGGTTATACTTGAAATACAGTTTCTACTAAATACGTATCACTTTCACTCCATCATAAAGTTGAAACTTCATAAGTTGAATCATTGTAAATTGGGAACTGTCTGAATTGTCCTCTTTGCCACCACTAGACTGTGTCTTCTGAATCACTTAATGCCTCTTGTCCTCCTAAAATAACAGAGGGGTTGGACCAGGTGACCCCTGAGGTTCCCTTTGGCTTTAAATTTTAGAAACCCTTTGATGCCCTGTTGGAAGACCATGAGTTCTGTTTTTCCAGACACCTTGTCTTGGCTCTGTTTTGTTCTGCTCTATAGCCTAGAGACACAGAGAGTAAGTCTGTGACCTCGAGGCTGTGGAGGATGTGCAGGCACCCTGTAGATTGACCATGGTACAGAGAAGAAAGAACTGGCCCAACAGAGATACTTTAGTCTCACTGATCTATATTCCTAAGCAAGCTGACTCAATACAAACAGAAGCAGAGAACAAAGGGGGCCCCCAAGGAGTCATCTGTTAGCAGCACTCTCTTCCTGGACACGCACGATTCTCACACTTTATACACCACACTCACCCCAGAGGTTAGGCTCTCTCCTCGGTTATTTGGAGAGGGAAATATCCTATGACTGAAGTGACTGCCCCAGAGTGTTGTCCTCTGGGCTGAGAGCTTTCATGAGGACAGGACTTTACTGGCTTCTAGCATCTGTTTGCTCTCCCCCGACCCCTTTTCCAGGGAAGGCAAAGGCAGAGAACTCTGTGGAGCTTTCAGACTTAGATTTTTTTCTGGGATTCCCCTCTATCTATAGCAAAGATTTCTCAGACAGTGGAAGCAAATTCCCATCTGTTAAAATTTGGAAATTTCCAAATCCCCCTTATTTATCTTGTGCTTGTTTTGGAAAATCTGGGAGATGTCCACAGATAGATACATGGCGGTCTCCTGAAGGATGTTTTTAAAAGATTGCAAAACTGAATCACAGTGAAAGTCAAACTGCAAGCAAGCTCTTATTTTTCGGCTCCATGCCAGACCTGACCAAACAAAGCAAGCAGAAAATAAACAAGGACATCAAGTTAAAAGACCCAGTCATCAACCTCATTCAAACTGTTATCCATAACAGAGACCAGGGTGAGCATCGCCAACCAAAGTTCTAAGTTTAACTTTAAGCTACTTACAGACCTAAAATCATGGTACTGCTCACTTAGTAGGAATTGAACAAACCCATCAAATCTTACATTATAAGTTGGAATTTTGAAAAAAGGAGTGCCTTTTCATAGAACTGCCTAGTGATAGGACAGGAAACATCATCATTAATGTCTTTTATCCAAATCTGTAGTGTCCCCATTAAAAAAAAAATCTCGAAAGTAATTGAACCATATTAAGTTTCTGTCTTAGACACTGTGCTAGTTGCTGGGGATTAAACCATGATTGAGATCTTCATAGATATCATGTTCCTTCAGAATATGATAGCCGCGTGGTGTAATCAAGCATCCAGATGGATGTCACTCAGTGTGACAATGAATTCAATCCACCCATTAAACAAAGAAATATTTATTGAGTGTAGATTATGTGCCAAACACCAGGGCAGGGGCTGGGGCAAGGTAAAGAATAAGATATAACACAATCTCTGGTGTCAGAGAACCCTGAGAGAGTAATTGCGTGAGAGTTATCACGCAGTAGAAATTTCTACTGCTGGGGAGGACACAGAAGGCAATCTATTCTAGTCTATAGCTCCTGGAAGGCAGAGAATGGCGTTTAAACTAAAAGATGGTAGGAGGTGGTCGGGCAAATGGAGATTACAGAAGAGAATAGCAGGAGGAAGGCCAGGAATCCAGATGACCTGAATCACTGAAAATCAAAAGGAGGGAGTGAGATTGTCAAGGCATTCTTTGTAGTCTGAAGGAAATCCAACTACATTCAATAAATTACTAGAATTCTTTCCTTATTTAGTGCTAAACAGAAAATATACAACTGTCAATCAGAGCTTATGATTAACATATGTAGGGTTAACATAGTGAATATGATTGCCACTAGATGCAAATACACCCATCATTTCAGTTGAACTGTGAAACGAACTAGATCTTTTGAAATACTGAAAACTACTAAAAAATTCTGATTATTGATTTTCTTTCACCATAGTTGGGAAACACTGTTCTAATAACTTAGTATCTGGAGCAAAAGAACTCCTGAGTCCGGTATGTTCATGGAACAGAAACTGTTCAGGTCCTCAAAGCACCAGGCATTTGACCTTCTAGCCAAATGAAGTACTTCTATGAAAATGAAAGAACATCTTAATACTATCATAACACTTTAAACAAACCTGGCTTTAAAACACACAGTCTTCTCCTCTCAGTGACTTATTTCAAATGTACTTATTCCTTCCCTGGGATAAATTTGGCCTCTGTATCAACCCAGAGGTCAGAGAGCTAAGAACACCTCCCCTTTGAGGGATAAGCAAAAGCAGGAGCTGAGAGAGTAGACACAGCATAGGTCAGATAAAAAAGATGGATTTGTTCATGATGCACTGGGTATGGAACTCAAGAAGGACGGAGAGATGGACAACACTTGCCAGTGATGCAGAGAAGCCACGACCTCTACATTAAAATCCATAAAGCCCTCTAAGTAGAAAAATCCAGTTGAGCACCATCCATATGGCTTCCTCAGAAACACTCAGAATAGCAAAGCTCCCTAGATGCTGGGCAGCAAGAGCACAGGTGGTGGATCTGCCAGCTTTTGCCCGCACTGGAAAGTCAGAAACAAGTGGGCTTTCTCTAGTGAAGCTGGGACATGTCAAAATGCAGCCACTTCCCCTTTTGTCCTGGTCACAGGGCACTGGGCTTTGGCGTGCTCTGACAAATCGAAAAATAAAGTCAGCTGTCAATGAAGACTGGTTCCTTCGCTCTCCCACCTCTCCAAAATGTTTCTGTTTATTCTCCAAGATTTGTCCAATAGGAGCTTTCCAGGACCACTGAGCCTCATCAGAAGAGGCACTCATGTTCTAGGTCTTTGCAGGATGAATTGCTCTTTTTATTTTCCTCTTTCTCTCTCTCTCTCTCCAACCATTCTTTTTTGTTTGTTTTTTGTTTTTGAGATAGGATTGTACTCTGTCGTCTAGGCTGGAGCGCAGTGACACAATCATAGCTCACTGCAGCCTTGAATTCCTGGACTCAAGTGATCCTCCACCTCACTGTCCCGAGTAGCTGGGACTACAGGCATGAGCCACCATGCCGGCTACTTTTATTTTTTTTTAAAGAGCCATGGTCTTGACGTCTTGCTATGCTGCTCAGGCTGGTCTCAAACTCCTTGGCCTCAGGCAATCCTCCTACCTCTGCCTCCCAAAAGTGCTGGGATTATAGGCGTGAGCCACCACGCCCAGCCTTGACAACTATTCTTATCAAAAAGATCACACACACACACACACACAAAAAAAACAAATATAAGGAAGGAATGTTTTTTAGAACTTGGATTTCCTCACTAGCTCAGGAGCCAGTGACCTCATATTATAGCGATGAAGACAAATAAGAATAGTTTCTGAATTGTCACTATTCTCTGTAATTTCTTCCATTTTTGGTGTCCTTGAAACATGACAGCAGTACCAACTGGATAAGAGTGATCCGCCATCCAGAGTTTGATTTAGTTTTATGGAAATGAGCCATATATAGGGATAGATCATGAAGCCAATGGGAAACATTTAAAACTTGAGATGAAGTTAATCAAGCCCGTATTACACTTAACAGTCTTCTCTATTAAATAAACTTCTCTTCCTTCAAGATACTATTTTGAACAAATAAGATTTCTGCAATTCTGCAAGACTGAAGTTAATTAAACAGCATAGCAAAATGGAAAACAGATGTCACAGAACATTTTCAAAGGATTTTAATGACATTCAGCCTATTTTCTTAGACTCGTTTGCAGTTGCTATCGTACCCTGCACTTAAGTAAGTTCCTGAGTTGTTGGAATGGGAGGATTTATATCCATTTCATATAACTGGCAGTAGAAAATCTATTCAAAGAGAAGTACAGTTGTGGTAATCTTGCAGAGTTTTTTTGCTCCATAACCTGACTGGCTCTTTTGGCTTAAACTCTTGAACTCTTTTAAATTAATGTTTTCCATCTTTCAAAAGAACTTTCCATCTTTCAAAAGAACTTTCCATACCACCAACTCTGATTCTAATTTTTAATGGTTCTTTCTGGTAGTCTCAGGCTTAATTATTCTGAAAGCGCCTGCAAGATTGACTAAGAAACTTAGTATCTGTCAATTCCAGCTCAGAAAAAAAACCACAGCATGAGGAAATTTTGGGAGATGAAACTCCTTGTTAATTCAAGTATAGGCATCCACAGTTAGATTTTTAATGTAGTTTTTCATACATTGAGGAATATTATATTCAAAATTCAAAACTGCAAAGGTCTCTTTAAAGTATCAAAATTTCAGATGACACTGAAGAGAAGAAGTAAGTTTACTTTCTCAAAAAGTGCATTCAGAAGGAAAATGTAGAGTGACCAAACAGGGATTATAGAGAATCTTGTGACTACTTTTCTTCTTTTGTAACTCATCCTTTAAAGCATCTTTTAAGATGTTTCCCAGTGCTTGAAACCATGTGATGATTACTGACATATGTCCCAAGAAGCATTACAAAATTTACAAGTTTTTTTTTTATACAGGAAGCTCAACTACCTATTAAAAATGGCATGTGTCATTTTTTTTCCAGTTTCAACTAACATGGGAATTAAGAGGAAGCAATGAATTATCATGCTGCCTGTTGTTTATATAAGCATCCCGTGCAACTTTCAAACCAGGGGCTGTTTTAAGCTGAAACAATGGTATCTTTCAAATCAGAGAAGAGATGACATAAATACATGCTACGAGTGTGAAACAAAGGGACAAGAATTCTAATTAGAGCAGCAATAAAGTAAACCTGAAACAAAAATTCACGCAGTAAATAGGTACCCTTATCTTGGGCAATGGCTTGTTTCTGGTGCTGCCTTTATGACGTGTGTGATGGAGAGGACTGCAACTTCTATATTATCAACAACATGGGCTTTTTTCTTGTCTGGACTTTTAAAAAGTTGATGCAAGTGTTTGTACATATTAATGGGGGATATGTGATATTTTGTCACATGCATAGAATGTGTAAGGATCAAGTCTGGGTATTTAGAGTATTCATCAGCTCAAGTATTTATCATTTCTGTGTTGGGAACATTTCAAATCCTGTCTACTAGCTATTCTGAAATATACAACAACTTTCTGTTAACTATGGTCACCCTATTCTGCTAACGAACATTAGAACTTATTTTTTCTAACTGATGTTTTCACCTATTGACCAAGCTCTCTTTATCTTCCTCCAAAAACCCTTCCCAGCCTCTAAGAAAAGGGAACTTATATATTGTTGGTGGGAATGTAAGTTAGTATAGCCACTATGGAAAACAGTATGGAGATTTCTCAAAAAACTAAAAACCGAACTACCATACCATCCAGCAATCCTACCACCGGGTACTGATCCAAAGGAAAATGAATCAGTATATCAAAGAGATACTTGCGCCTCCATGTTTACTGCAGCACTGTAGCCAAGATATGGAATTAACCTAAATGCTCATCAATGGACCAATAGATAAAGAAATGTGGTATATATACACAATGGAATACAATTTGGCAATAAAAAAATAACGAAAGGCTGTCATCTGCAGCAACATGAATGGAATGGGAGATCATTGTGTAAAGTGAAATAATCCAGACAAAGAAAAACAAATATTGCATGTTCCACTCATACATGGGAACTAAAAATGTTGATTCCATGAAGGAAGAAAGCAGAATGATAGATACCTGCCTGGACTCTATGCTTGAAAGTCTTTTCCTTTTATTTCTAAGAAAGCTTTATAATTAACTATTTTTTTCAAGAAATATTATACAGTACTCATTAATGTTGCCATCTGTAATTTTTGATATGCTAGGTATTAATATAAAAAAAGAGTAAGATAATGAAAACTGGAGGAATTGATTTGCTGTAGTTGGGCTGGGTGTGAATAAGAGTTTAAGAAGGACTGGCCGGGCGCGGTGGCTCACGCCTGTAACCCCAGCACTTTGGGAGGCCGAGGCGGGCGGATCACCTGAGGTCAGGAGATCGAGGCCAGCCTGGCCAACATGGTGAAACCCCGTCTCTACTAAAAATACAAAACTTAGCCGGGCATGGTAGTACACGCCTATAATCCCAGCTATTTGGGAGGCGGAGGCAGGAGAATTGCTTGAACCTGGGAGACGGAGGTTGCAGTGAGTCAAGATCTCACCACTGCACTCCAGCCTGGGTGACAGAGTGAGATTACATCTCAAAAGAATAAAAATAAAAAATGAAAAGTAGATAGAACACATATTAAAACAAAATAAAAATTATCGAACATTGTGGACTCTTCTTAACGCTTGCTACATACAAGTCTCGTGTATGCTCTGTGTCTTCCATAGAGGCTCCTTCAGCCATCTCAGTCCTCTTTCATTCTTGTCCTCCACCCCCACCCAATCCATGATCAAGCCATTGTTCTAAGTGTATGTCTTCTGCGAATGAAATCTTGGTTATAGAAAATGACTCTTGAAGCATAATTGATTCCAAACCCTGACTAATAACAGGTTTTAAGTTCTCCTTTTTCACATCAGTTTCTGGCCACAAATCAATGAAAAATGCCAAGTGAAATGGCCTTGAAAGCTGAAGGCTAGGACAAAGGTAATGTGGTTTTAAAATGAAAAAGAATGGTCAGATTCCTTCCATGCTTGGAATTCATGGACAGTCCTCCTCCAAGGGGACTTCACAGTCTAGAAAATGTGTTGGGAAACAGATGAGCCTCACAGCTGCTGCTGTCTCTGGTCAGCATGCTATGCGTGTTTTGCTCAGCCCGAAACCACTGCCACAGCATCTCAGCAATCACCCTGTCCTCAGTGTTTGAAGCGAAACTACTAAACTACTAAGCTACGCCCTTTGGAAGGGTTAGAGGTATGGGCCGAATTATTTCTTCTCTTTCTTACTTGACCTTGATCTGTTCGTCACTAACAGACGGTCACCATAGACACAAGGAACAAAGATAGGTTCTTTGAAAGGCTAAGCATATATTGGGAGATTGACAAAACTGCCACACCTTCATGGAAACAATCAGAATGTCACTGAGGAATGCAGAAAAGATGAGGAAAGAAAGCAAAGTAGTGTGCTTTTGTTTGACTGCAAAGCCCCTTTTTAGTAAAGAAAACTGTTTTCAAAAAAAAAACCAAAAAAACAAATTGGCATCTTCCATTTGTGTCACCCAGTAAGTGAGCATGTTGTACATAGAGAAAACCCTTTCCAAACTCCTCATTACTCACATAGCCAACAATTTTCTTCTAATGTGCCTTAATCTTGGAAGTGTGTTTTCTTTAGTTTCTTACTCTACAGATGTCTTCTCCATCTGGCACTCAAAAATATTGTTACTTGCATATCATTTGACTTATAAAAAAGAAAAAAAAGAGGCCCCAAATGTGCTATAGCAAGAATCTTTGAGTTATCTTAAGGGATGTGAGCATTTTGTTCATTAGCCTCTATTCCATTCTTTTGAAGACTTGATAAACGTGCCCAGTGTTTTAGCCCTATTTGTTTTGTAGGTCAGATTAAATCTGGGTGTTTAAAAGAGGAGAGAACAAACCCTGGTATTCTTTTTTGCATGCATAGAATGTAATACATTATAGCAATTGTGGTCAGCAATTTGCATATTCCAATTGTGCTCCAAAAGGTACCTAAATCTGCCTTTTGAAAAGAAGAACACACACATATAAATCTTCTTTACACCACTGTAGACAATCACGTTAAGCTTCTCGTTTCCTATCTTTGAATATTTTAAACTTCACGTTAATAACCACTCCCCTCCCCCTCCCACTGTTTCTCCTGAGGGTCTGTTTTTCTCTCCTTGTCTCTTCATCACAGTTGTCAGCACATTTTTGACACTGAGGTCACTAGCAATTGGAAGCACAAACTTGAGGGTCAGTGTTGTGAATGTTTTAAAACATGTTGTGGGAGATGCTGTTCCGCTTGTTAGCTCCCTCACAGCCATCTCCACCCAGGCGGAATCCTGATGTTCAGATGGTGGATGGAGATCCTTTGCACCTAGGGCCTTCTGCAAGTCCAGGAATGAGTTATACCTGGTCTCCATGAGGATTCCATTCGCCTTTGCTGGATCATTATTTCCCAGCCTTTCTTGCAACTAAAAATTGACCCGAGACACCGTTGTGTTCAATGGCACTTAAGAAGTCTCCCAGAAAGGACTTCGGAATAAAATAAGCAGAGCCTCACAAAATGTATTGCTTCTGCCCCATCCTTCCTGCTCTGGAGATGGTGACAGCACTTGGTATTTGAGCAGCTACAGCTATCTTCTAATCATGAAGGAAAGGCTAAAGCCTTCAAATGCATTCTGATGTTTCTGAGCTACTGACCCAGGCCTAAGCTACCAATACATACACACTGTGTGTGTGTATGTGTGCACACATGCATGTGTGATGCTTTCTAAGTATGTATACATACCAGAATAAAAGTGTAGTAATTATTAATTATCAGTGCAAACACTTTGTTTTCACAAAATGAGGCCATTTTTGAGAAAGGAAAAACAAAAGCAAAATTGCGGCAACGAATAGACTCAAATTAAAGATGTGGTCACAGGAAGACTTTGCATTGCTGCCCAAGCTCTGCCACTCATTGAGCCACTGAATGAGCTCCAGTGGCAGAGCTTATTCCACTGATACCACATCACTGGAGAGTTTCTGGGTCTTTCTATGCTGTTTCCTTTTGGCAAAGCTTGGGTTAACCTGTGGAATGTTAGTCAAGTGCCCAGCTATTAATAGGAGTAATTCTGCTTTTCACAGAGTGGCAATGAAAGTAATTTGCAAATGTGGGAGGTAGAGGAACAGGGAAAGAGAAAGTCAGAGTCAAAACGGATACAACTAATCCTCGCTTGTTCAGAAGACAGACTTTCAGCAATCATCAAAGACGAAAACCCAAAGCTGAAATACTGCCCCCAGCCAGGAAGAAAAGAGAAAGAACAAGAAAAAAGAAAAAAAGGCCCTGAGGGAGTTTTCACCAACATGATTGTTGACTATGTATACTAGAAGCACGCAGAAACAACAGTATCTAATGGAAGGAGAGAAAAAGCTTTAAAAATTAGAGAAAAGGAGTCTCAAAGTATGAATGGGTTTTTGCCATCCCTCTCATCTCTTTCTGACACTCTGCCTCAGGTTGCAACATAACCGTCAAGAAACAGTGAGACGAAGAAAAGAGACAGGCTCAGAGAGCATAAGAATGTGTTCTATTATATGGCAATAGGTGGTTAACATGAGTAGGAGTGACGTTTTCTTTTCTTAAAGCTGTTCTCTCAGGAAAGTGAAGGACGTATTCTAAATACTCTCTTTCCTTCTCCTTGGCAGGCTGAGTGGAAATGCTGTTTGGGGGATATACTGAATGGAACTGATGAAGTGAGGGCCGGGACCTCGAGAAAAGGCCAGTGGGGCGAGAGCAGTGAGGGCAGGGGACAGGCAGTCTAGTCTGTGGTGCGGATGCCTGTCTGCCAATGGGGACAGCACATAACTTTTGAACTCAGTGGCCGTGCTGATTGTATAGGAGTAAGACATTGTTTAGGGGGCAAACAGAATCAAATATTATATTGCAAGAGCTCTTCAATGAATAACAGGCTCAATCTTTGATATTCATGAGAATGACTCAGCCTCCAAGAAAAATTTCAGTTATTACATAGAAAAGTAGACATTTCAGAACATTGCCATCCTTACTACACTACTACTACTAGCATCACCCTCTCCCTCCTCTTTCTCCTCTCTCTCTCTCTCTCTCTAAGAGATGGGGTCTTGCTCTGTGGCCCATGCTAGAGTGCAGTGGTGCCATCATAGCTCACTGCAACCTTGAACTCCTGGGCTCAAGTGATCTTCCTGTCTCAGCCTCTCAAGTAGCTGGGACTACAGGCGTGTGCCACCATGCCTGGCTCCTCCTCCTCCTTCTCTCCTTTTCAGTTTTAGTGCTTAAAGGAATAGTGTTAATTTTCTAATGCTATTAGTTAGTTTCCTGGAAAGGTCATTTTTTAATAGAATATTGTACTCCTTGAGGGTGATTTTTAAAAACGTTTACAGCAGCTTATCCATAGTAACGGCTAATGAAGATTGAAGACAGAGCAAGACAGATGAAATAATAGGTGAAAATGGCTCACTTGAGCTGAAAGAAGCTCAAAGCAGAAATATGTTCAAACTAGAAAAAAGAAAATTGGCAACTACGTGCAATTTCGAGCTGCACCATTCCTCCACCACATCCCCTCCTCTCAAATCTTTTAAAACAAAAACAATACAGGAGACACATAGATTATGGCCAAGACATTCTATGTGGATGTTTGACTAGAGTTGTCAAGCCACTGATTAGCTTTGTGTCAGCAGGATGTAGCTGGCTTCTCCACCTACTGAACACAGATAACTTTTTACACTTAAAAAAAAAAAAATCAAACCCAGGACTTATACCGTTATTTTATATTTAACCTTAAAATAGTAAATTTTTTTGGGAAACAAATGAGTTGCCATAGTTAACACTGATGTTACTAATTAAGATGCCAATTCAAATCCTAGATAGGCATTTGAAAAATGATTCCAGAGCTCATGATTTTCTAAGTATCAAACCGATATCTCAGATACTCAGGATTTGAGATTTTAACAATCATGTTACTACTTAAAACATTTCTGTGGCCGGGCGTGGTGGCTCAACGCCTGTAATCCCAGCACTTTGGGAGGCCAAGGCGGGCAGATCACGAGGTCAGGAGATCGAGACCATCCTGGCTAACATGGTGAAACCCCGTCTCTACTAAAAATACAAAAAAATTAGCCAGGTGCGGTGGCGGGCGCCTGTAGTCCCAGCTACTCAGGAGGCTGAGGCAGGAGAATGGCATGAACCTGGGAGGCGGAGCTTGCAGTGAGCCAAGATAGCACCCACTGCAGTCCGGCCAGGGCAAAAGAGCGAGACTCCGTCTCAAAAAAATAAAACAAAACCAACAACAACAACAAAAAACATTTCTGTAATCCCAGCCCTTCAGGAGGCTAAGGTGGGAGGATCGCTTGAAGCCAGAAGTTCAAAACCAGCCTGGGCAACAAAGCAAAACCCTGTCTCTACCCACCCACCCCCGCCCCTCAAAAAAAAGGGAAGGAAAGAAAAGAAATAAAACATTTCACATTTTCTTAATTGCTAACACCTAAAGCACACTAATATTTTACAATTATGATCAAGTTGTACTCATCACATTGGTCATATTTTTCAACCCATCTCAAACACTTTTAAAAAATGGGATTAGTCAAATGGCTAATGAAAGTCAGCTAAGATTTAGAACTTGTCTACTTAAAAGGAAGAGAAAACATGCAGGAGTCATCCCTAAGCAGTAAATTTGTAGAATTTCAGGGTTAGGAATGAAAATATTTTTATTTAAAGGTTAAATTAAGAAGTTGGTTAATGGGTACAAAAATACAAAGTTCTAGGATTTGATAGAAGAGTAAGGAAATTATAGTTAACAATAAATTATTCAAAATAGCTAAAAGAAGAGAATTTTAATGTTCCCAACATAAGATAAATGTTTGAGGTGACAGATATCTCAATTACCCTGACTTAATAGTTACACATTATATATGTATTAAAATATCACATGTACCCCCCAAAATGACAACTATGATATATCAGTTAAAAAAAGATACCAAGAACCTATGCTTACATGAGTCCTAAACATTTCTTTTAACCACAAGTTTCTAGCTTACGTGTATTATCACACAATATCAAATTTCTTTTTGTAAGCATGAGGAACATCCCTGTAAGTCTTCTGACCTATCCTACTACTGAATGTGGAGCTCTTAGTTACATGATCATGTTCTGGTTAAGACTTTCTTTGTGAAATATTTTAAAGGGAGCAAATAATGAGTTGTGAGGAATAGACTATCGGATTGTATAAAAATCTGTATCATAAGTATTTTAATGTTCTGATGAGTCATATTTTAAATCAGTGCAACATTTTTGTCTTTGGGTAGTCTCAGCTTGAATAAGAACTGAATTACGTCGAGATTAGAAAAGAAAGAAATTCACTTTGAGGTCATTTTTACCTTTGGAACATCCTTAAGCCCCTATGTTTTTCTGAGTTTTCTGGTTATGTTCCTAGCCTTATAGATATTTGTGTTTATTTTCACTTTTTAAACATTTCCAATCAATCCTGAATTTTCTGAGCTTCTAGTGATATTCTCTTGCCTAAGAGGAAACAAGAGTGGAAGAGCAAGCGGCTTTCTAGAAAAGGCTACTGGGCTCCTTCATTGTAAATTCAGGTTATTCTAGGCCTATCCCAGATAATACATATCACATTTCTTCGAGCCTTCTCCAGATCATCTCTAGATTTGTTTTTTAAGTTATTTACTACTCAGCACTGACTCTAAGTCAATCAATCACCTGCCCGTAGGAGAGGAAAAGGGGAAATGAGAACTTCAAGAGAACTGACAAGAAATATGCCACAAGTTCTTCGGAAACTCTTTGTACACATGATATTGTGGAATAGGGATTTGTCCAACGCTACAAACTCGGATGAAAGTGGTAGGTACATTTTACTTTGTGCAGCACTTTGTCACAGAATGAGATGCAGCGAATTCAGAAGTATCTCCCTAATGATATCTCCATTGGTTGTTAAAACAAAATTCCTGGAGGGCTCCAGCATTTCAAAGCAGAAAGCATGACAAGTTAAGTATTAATTTTCAGCCTTTCACCATCCATGTGTAACATGTCTCATAAAATCCTCTGTCTAGTGGTCTGTTAAGTGTTTTCTGCATGATTTCATATCTAAATTTGCACAAAAGAACCACTTGTTTATCAATCTTTTGTAGCCCACAATCTGTAGCCTGGTATCAGCTACTTCCCTCTCATTTTTGGTATTCAGCTTACTAGAGTTCATATATGCAATTTCCAGGAACTTTAGGGTGGTCTGAATTGAAACAAAAACTTCTAATTGGTCAGTGATTTTTCTATCTTTTTTTCCTTGCCACTTCTTGAAGGTGGAGGAAGAAAACTCAGCATAGCAGAGGAATAATTCACTTACAGTTTTTTGCAAGTTTTGCAAATTGCTTATTTCTGAAACTTTCTATATGTGCGTCAAATAACAAAGGATTCATTGTGAACATTGTCTTAATAATAACAAAAACAAAGACAGATAATATCAATTGGACTATCTGCCCTTTGGCATGCCCTGTGCTAGCACATTATTTCACGTGACCACACTCCTGTGAAGTAGGTACTGTCACGATTCCCTCTTAATGAAGAGGGAACTGAAATGGGGCACTGAGTAGCTTATCTAAGGTCATCTAGCTTGGGAATAGGGGAGATTCTGTCTGTCCTATACTGCTTTCTTTAGCTGGAAAGAATCATCTTCAAAAACAAGCTGTGAAGTCTCATAAATTGACATCCACTTAAAGATGGCAGATTGAATGGATGTGTTTATTTTTGTTCCTTGCTTCATCGTGAAAAAACTGAGAGCAACGGATTGTGAAACTGTAAGTTCACTGGAATTAAAAGTAAAAGGATGAGTTGTCACTGACTTATCAGGAGAGGAAAACCCAAGTGCCTACAGAGAGTGAATCAAACATGAGGGATGCTAACGTGAGCAGCAGAAACCTTGATCACTAGATTCCTCTGAAGGTGGGGAAGAGGAATGGAGCTTAGTACAAGAAGACTGGCTGAAAGTTTGTAGGAAGGCAGCTGAATCCCTTCCCCCATTTCTTGTAGGTAGTCAACCATTCCTCCTCTACTACTCTAGAATACAGAAAGCTCACTTTATGGAGATGGAGAGCCAAAAGGGTTTCAAACTCGGAAACATCTGGCACAGCAGAATGAACAGGTAAGAGAAGAGGGTGAAAAATGGGGGTAAGGAATTAGATGGATGCATATGTCTACTAAATGATAAAAGCCAACCCCCTTCCCTTACTCAGGCTCCAAATGCTGTCTGCCAAGCATGTTACCTGCCCCCACAACCACCCCCACCATCCCAAGGAAGGTGGCTGAATATCTGTCTTTCTAGAGAAACTGATTAACCCAAGACCTGAAGATATTGGCACTTGGGGGTCTTGCCCAATCCTAGGGTAAAGCCTGCCCATTGACACATTCTAGCTAAGCATATAGTTTCCAATCAACTTGCTGGTGCCAAAGATCACGCTTTCCATGTTTATGGAAAGCCTCGAACATGAAATTTAGTCCAAATGCACACACAGAAAAACAACAACAAAAAAAAGGAATTTTAAGAAATAGAGACAATGCAGGGAACAGGGGAAAAACAAAACAAAACAAAATGACAATAACAATAGGATTCCCTCCTCCAAAATCCAATGATTAATATGAGGCAAAGGACACGATTGCATCCATGAGACAGAACAGAATGCCATGAAAGAATATAGAGAATGAGAAAGAACTCTTGGAAATTAAAAATACAATAGCAGAAATAACAGATTCAGCAGAAGGTCTGGAAGACAAAGGTGAAGAGGTCTAAAGAAAGTACAATAAAAATAGGCAACAAAAGAAAAAAGTGAGAACATCAATTAGGAGTTTTATTAATGTAATAATACAAGTTTCACAAAGAGAGAACAGGGAAAATGGAGAAGAAATTTAAAAATAAGAAAATTTTCAGAATGTATATACATGAGTGTTTTCAGATTGAAAGGGCCCACTATTTTCTATAATTTCTGAAAAATATTACATATCATCACAACATTTCAAAGTACTAGGGGTGAAGAGATAGTTTTACAATGAAAGTCAGTCATATACAGGATTAGAAACCAGATTGGCACTGAATTTTGCTACAGTAACTCTAGGAACTAGAATATGAAGCAATTCCTTCAACGTTCTTAGGAAAAACCCATACTCTTAAACCTAGCCAAACAGTCAGTTTAGTGTGAGGCTAGAATAAAGACACTTTTCAGACAAGCAGGGTCTAGAAGCTTAATGTGGTCTGTACCCTTTCTTTGGAAGCTACTGGAGAATGTGCTTCTGGTAAATGAGACGATAAAATAAAAAGTGAAATATATGGCACTTAGGAACCAAGGGAGCCAGGAGAAGAAGAGGGTAAAAGTACACGAGAATGATGTTGAAGGGAAGTCCTAGGAGAACAACTGTGCATTGATCCTAGGGAGCAGTAGTCAAGGGTGGAATGAATGATGGGGAATTCCGGGAGGGAGTTTTCCTGCCTTTAAGAGGCACTACTTTTGGAGCAGGAAAATGTCATGAGAAAAACAATGTTTAAGAAGATGCCCAGGCCAGGCACAGTGGCTTACATCTGTAATCCTAGCACCTTGGGATGCCAAGGCAGGAAGACTGCTTGAGCCCAGGAGTTCAAGACCAGCCTGGGCAACATAGCAAGACCCCGTCTCTAAAAAAAAAAAAAATTAGCCAGGTATGGTGGTGCATGCCTATAGTCCCAGCTACTCAGGAGGCTGAGGTTGGAGGATCCCTTGAGCCCAGGAGTTTGAGGTTGAGATCCAAAGCAAAAGCACAGTAGTTGCCCATGATGTAGTACCTAGCAAAACCCTAGAACTGAATTCAGCTGGTGTCTTCCTCCTTTGTTCTGACTAAAAAGACCAAGAAATTGGACAAAATTTAAAACGTGTACCTTCTTTTTATCCATTTCACTTCCCATTTTAGTTGGAACACAATTTATTTAGGTCGCTTACTAAATTAGTTGGACCTAATTTATTTAGGTCATTTACTACTATCACCAAGAGTTAAAACAGAACTTCATCTTAGAAAGGCAAGACACAGATGTCCTAGCCAGAGCAATCAGGCAAGAGAAAGAAATAAAAGGCATCCACAAAGGCATAAGAATGATACAGTGGACCTTGGGGCCTTGGGGGGAAGAGTGGGAGGAGGGCGAGGGATAAAATACTACAAATATGGTGTAGTGTATACTGCTCAGGTGATGGGTGCACCAAGATCTCACGAATTACCACTAAAGAGCTTACTCATGTAATTAGATACCACCTGTACCACAATAACTTATGGGAAAATAAAAAAACAATTAAAACGAAATAAAAGGCATCCAAAAGGAAAAAAGGAATTCAAATTATCTCTTTTCACTGATAATATGATTCGATATCTAGAAAATTCCTAAAGACTCCACCAAAAGGCTACTAGAATTGATAAACAATTTTAGAAAGGTTTCAGGATACAAAATCAATGTACAAAAATCAGCAGCATTTCTATACACCAGTAATGTCCACACTGAAAGTCAAATCAAGAACACAATCCAATTTACAATATTCACAAAGAAAATAAAATACCTAGGAATACAGCTAACCAAGGAGGTGAAAGGTCTCTACAAGAACTATAAAACCCTACTGAAAGAAATCAGAGACAACATGAATAAATGAAAAAACATCCATGCTAATGGATTGGAAAGATCAATATTGTTAAAATACCCATACCACCCAAAGCAACTTACAGATTCAATGCTATTCCTGTCAAAGTACCAATGTCATTCTTCACAGAATTAGAAAAAACTATTCTAAAATTCATATGGAACCAAAAAAGAACCCAAATAGCCAAAGCAATCCCAAACAAAAAGAACAAAGTTGGAGGTATCACATTACTTGACTTCAAGCTATACTGCTAGGCTACAGTAACCAAAACAGCATGGTACTGGTACAAAAACAAATACATAAACCAATGGAACACAATAGAAAGCTCAGAAATAAAGCCACAAACAACCATTTGATCTTTGACAAGGCTGACAAAAACAAGCAATGGGGAAAAGGACTCCCTATTCAATAAATGGTGCTGGGATAGCTGGCTAGCCCTATGCAAAAGAATAAAACTAGACCCTTACCTTTCACCATATACAAAAATTAGCTCAAGATAGATTAAAGATTTAAATATAAGACCTCAAACTATAACAATCCTAGAAGAAAACCTAGGAAATAACCTTCTTGACCTCAGCTTTGGCAAATCATTTTTGGTGAAGTTTCCAAAAGCAATTGCAACAAAACCAAAAATTGACAAGTGGGATCTAATTAAACTAAAGAACTTCTGTACAGCAAAAGAAACTATCAACAGTGTAAACAGACAACCTACAGAATGGGAGAAAATATTAGCAAACTATGTACCAAACAAAGGTCTCATGTCCAGAACCTATAAGGAACTTAAATCAACAGATAAAAAAGAATCCCATTTAAAAAATGAGCAAAGGACATGAACAGACACTTCTCCAAAGAAAACATACAAGCAGCCAACAAACATATGAAAAAATGCTTATCACTAATCATCAGAGAAATGCAAATCAAAACCATGATGAGATACCATGTCACATCAGCTACTATTAAAAAGTCAAAAAACAACAGATGCTGGTCAGGCTATGGAAAAAAGGGAATGCTTACATACTGTTGGTAGGAATGTAAATTAGTTCAGCCCCTGTGAAAAGCAGCTTGGAGATTTCTCAAAGAACTTAAAATAGAGCTACCATTCAACCCAGCAATCCCACTACTGGGTATATACCCAAAGGAAAATAGATCATTATACCAAGAAGACACATGCACTAGTATGTTCACTGTAGCACTATTCATAGTAGCAAAGACATAGAGTCAACCTAGGTGCCCATCAGTGGTCAACTGGATAAAGACAATGTGGTACATATACATCATGTAATACTATGCAGCCATATAAAAGAATGAAATCATGTACTTTGCAGTAATGTGGATGGAGCTGGAGGCCATAATCCTAAGCAAATTAATGCAGGGATGGAAAACCAAATACTGCATGTTCTCACAAGTGAGAGCTAAACATTGAGCACACATGGACATAAACGTAGAAATGACAGACACTGCTAACTACCAGAAGGAGAAGAAAGGGAGGAGGCTGTGGGTTGAAAAACTACCTATTGGATACTACATTCACTACATGGGTATAATATACCCATGTAGCAAACCTGCACATGTATCCCCTATATCTAAAATAGAAGTTGATTTTTTTTTTTTAAAGGGACAGCATCTCATCTGCCTGAAGGATGAACTCTATCTGACCTCTCAAAGTGTCTGCTGAACCCTGGGCTGAGTGTGGTGGCTCATGCCTATAATCTCAACACTTTGGAAGGCTAAGGCTAGAGGATCGCTTGAAGCCAGGAGTTTGAAACCAGCCTGGGCAACAAAGCAAGACCCTGTCTCTACAAAAAAGAAAAAAATTAGCCAGGCATGGACAACAGAGTGAGACCTTGTCTCAGAGAAGAAAAAAATTAAAAATGTCTACTGAACACAAGGTGTACAACACCTTAAAGAAGAGAGCATGAATGATCCTGGGTACCTGGAGTAATAAAAATAAAGTGAACACTTCATAAAAAAGAAAAGCAAGATGCATTATTGTAATGCAAAATAAGAAAAATACAAGTTTCTCTCTAGTTGATACCTTGATGAAAATGGGGTCCTCAGCGTAAATCAACTTTTCAAGTTACAGGACCTTCAGGATTCATCTAATTCCTTTTAGAAACTTCTGACAGTTTTTAGTAAAAATAAAAAATTCCTAACATTTCTCTCCAGTAAGGCAGCTGTTCAGTATCAGGAAGTCTTAATTATGATAATAACCACATATATTTCTGCTTTTCAAAGATAGAATAATTACAACAAACATGAAGTGAAACTCTTGCTGTTGTTCTAGAATGCTTCATCATGAGTAATCCTATCTGTGTAAAATTGTTTTGTGATAGAATAAAAATACACATGAATATTTCACATTTGAGTTAGAGGATGCCCTTTGAAGAAAGCAGTGGCTATGAGGGAAGGGAAGGCACATAAAAACAGTCACCTGGAGCAAGAATTTGCCCCTGTAACTAGCACTGTTTGGAAGACTAAGCTACTCTTTTTAGAGTTTTAGTTTTTTCTAAAACTTTATTTTAGAAATTAAAGAGAACAGGCTGGGTGTGGTGGCTCACGCCTGTAATCCCAGCACTTTGGGAGGCCGAGGCGGGCGGATCATGAGGTCAGGAAATCGAGACCATCCTGGCCAACATGGTGAAACCCCGTCTGTACTAAAAATACAAAAAATTAGCCGGGCGTGGTGGCAGGTGCCTGTAGTCCCAGCTACTCGGGAGGCTGAGGCAGGAGAATGGCGTGAACCCGGGAGGCGGAGCTTGCAGTGAGCAGAGATCGCACCACTGCACTCCAGCCTGGGCAACAGAGCAAGACTCCATCTCAAAAAAAAAAAAAAAAAAAAAAGAAATTAAAGAGAATAAAATATATTGTTCTTTTTCACTGCATTGTACTCAAGCCACCTTTTATGTCTTTTAGGGTTTTTTTGTTTCAAACATTGAGCATAATGATACATCCCCGAAACCAGATGGTATATGAACTATTTTAACAAAGAAACAAGGAAAAGAAAATATTTGTGGTCTTTCCAGAAATCTTTTACAACTTACTCATTTAATGGCAATTACTAGGAAAGCAGAAGTTTGAAATTGTAGCTGAGGCATATAATTACCCATTTTTGACCTATTTATAAACTTCTCTGAGCGAAAAGAAGAGTCGATGGCTACACCTACTCTTTTCCATTGCTGACATATAAAGTGAAGTGAAAATATTTGGCTAGGCATTCAACTGTTAGTCATTCAATTGTTTCACTAGCTTCACATCCAGAGGCTCACAGCTGGAGTCTCTCAAATGCTACCTATTGTGGATACATACATCATTACATTTAAATAACAAAACAGACCTAAAGAACATTGTGAAATGGAGCAGAGCATAGAGCAGACATTCCCAGGGCTTCAGAGTCGAGATGGTGTACAGTAGTGAGCTCTAGGAAAACACAGTGGGAATGTAGATACAGAAATTAAGTAAATGTACATATTTATGAAGGCCTTTCCTCTCAGCACCATAAAAAACCCTTGCAGTGAGTGTGCATCCTCATGACAGCCTTGGGCAAGAGGAGCCAGTATCATCCTACCAGGAAACCTTCACATACAGAGGTTGGAAGGCATGAACCTGGTATGCTCCTAGAGCAAAATCTGAGGTTCTGATCGTAATTATGGTTTCTCTTTGAATAATGAAGCAAAGATGTGTGTGTTCAAATTGACGTGATTTATCCAGCCAACTTATTTTAGAAAAATCTACATTTGACAGAATCAATTTAATATGTTCATCATTCTTAAAATCAAATGACATACTATCTAATTCCTTGTCACATATGGAAAAGGTTTTTTAAAAACCACATTGACTCCACTGTCATCCACAAGGTTTGTGTAATCATCACTTTAGTCAGGTAAGGAAACAATCACTCTCAGATTTGTTGAGAAAATGAACTCTCTGGTTTCATACTTGTAATAGAAACCAATTAAAATAAACCTCCCTGTAACTAATGTTCTCACTATTAGGTGATGTATTAGTATGAATGAAAAACTCACACATTTGCAGAAAAAATAAATCAATGGTAAAAAAATTGTCAACCTAATGTATTTCAGCCTGTAGTAGACAAAAATAAATTCTCTAGTAGTAAAAGTTGTAAACATAAAATGAAATTAAGCAAATATGAATTAGAGAGTCATTAGTTGAGAACAATCATTTTAAAATACACAAATGAGGAATTGGGCTTGTTCAATAAAAACCCAATTCAACACGAGGTCAAGAGATCAAGACCATCCTGGTCAACGTGGTGAAACCCTGTCTCTACTAGAAATACAAAAAAATTAGCTGGGCACGGTGGCACGTGCCTGTAATCCCAGCTATTCGGGAGGCTGAGGCAGGAGAATTGCTTGAACCTCGCAGGCAGAGGTTGCAGTGAGCTGACATCACACCACTGCACTCCAGCCTGGCAACAGAGTGAGACTCCACCAGAAAAAAAAAAAAAAAAAAAAGCCCAACTCAAAGTCGTACTTAGAGGTTAGTAACCACAAAATGGATCATGGTGCTACCACGTAACTAAAATAAATAGGAGGCTAAAAAGTAAGTAGTAATTATATTGGAAATGGCTCTATTTCCTTCCAACTGCAAGTAATCTTAGTCACTCTTCATGAAATAGCAGCAAGTGATCCTCAGGACGATGCTTTTGCTTCTCAGCATCAGATGGTACAGAGTAGTGTGCTCTAGCACAACACAGTAGGAATGCTGACACAGAATTTCTGTATCTGCTCTAGCATCCAGAGGTTCGTAGTGCAAAACTCTGCACTATAGCTTTCTTCCTCCTCATCTTCCTTCTCCAATTCTCCCTTGAATCCCTTTTCTAGATCTCTTCTATTGCCTATGGGATTCCTTGGCTGTTTCTAACCAAACTCTGCTTCCTCAAACCTTTTCCTTAGAAATGCTTTGTCTTAACTGAAGTCTGGCTGTCCCTGATGATGTCTCCAGCCTCCTCAGTATCCTTCTGAGCAAGGAGGGTTCTGCAGGGTCCTTGTTTCCCAAGGCAACTCTCAGAAGAGTTTTGCCATCACTACGAAATATCTGTTCCTCTTTTGAAGTTGGTGCACTCCACCTACAGTCATTCTGTCTTCCCTGCTTGTCACCAACAACCTTGGTCATTTCCTCACTTTTCTCAGTGACTTTACTATTTAGCATTTGGTTTTCTGCCATCACTGTTGGCCACCATCCATGTTAATGTTCCTTCTAACATCCTGGCTTCATGGTTCCCTGACCACTTCCTCTGCTCCTGCGACCTTAACTTCCACTTAAACTATCCACTCGAACAGATGCATCTTACATTCTTTTATCACTTGGAAAGAGTTTAAGTTTTTTAAACTTTCAGAATCCTCTCTTTGATCACAACCACTGCTCCCTCTCCATATTTTCTCATCTGACACTCCCCATTTTCATTCTTGGTATAACTTCCATTTTCTTGATTCCTTTCTCTTTTCCCCTCAAGCCTTAATCTTGTTGAATCTGTTTCCTTTTCTGAACCTACACACGGCTTGGCTGATAATCTCAGTAATGTTTCTCAAGGATCATCTAATTAAATACCATAACATCCCACTGTGCCAGTACTGCCAAAGACATATGTCCTGTTTCTACCTTCACAGTGCTCATTATTGCTGAAATAAAGTCATGAAACCATGCTCACTGAATTGAATGTGGGTTTACACTCTTGAAATTCAAATGGGTTCTCTTGATTGCCAGGAAATATACACATTCCTTTTTTGGTATTCTTTCTCTCTCTTAGTTCTCCACCCTTTTCGTGCTTTGTAATATTACCCACAGTTACCACAACTGTCTTTCCTCTTTCAGCAGATGCCTTCATCGCATACTTTCCTGACATTATTGTTATTTGAATTGGAATCTTAGTCTTGCCTTCATTGCATCTTTTCTCCTTCACCATTGTCTCTGAGGGTAAAGTTTTCATCCTACTTTCTGTGGAAGGCCTTGTATGGATTATACTGTAAATGTTGGTCTTTAAAGTATTTGGTTTACTTTTAACTTTAAAATTGGCCAGGTGTGGTGGCTCACGTCTCATAATCTCAACACTTTGAGAGGCCAAGGCAGGCAGATTGCTTGAGACCTGGCTGGGCAACAATGGCAAAACTCCATCTCTACAAAAAATAAAAAAAATAGCTGGGTGTGGTGTTGTGCACTTGTAGTCCCAGCTACTTGGGAGGCTGAGGCAGGAGGATCACCTGAGCCCAGGGAGGTCAAGGTTGCAATGAGCTGTGACAGACCACTGCACTCCAGCCTGGGTGGCAGAGTGAGACCCTGGCTTGAAAATACATACATACATATATACATAAATAGCTTATTCATATCATATTCATTTAAACACCTGAGATGTACAATTAAAGGGATAAGAGTTTTGTTTGGTGGGGGCAGGTGTTGTTGGAAAACAGTGTTTGTGGAGGAGTAAAGTTATTTTGGAATATAGGACATTTTCTGGGGAAGGATTCCTAGGAAGAGTTCTAAAAATCCAGATGGAATCCTGAAGGTCATTGGTTTCTAGAAGGAGATCCCACACGGGAGGTGAGAACATTCAGTGCCAGAGCATTCCACTTCTGAATGTGCTCAAAATTAAGCTTACTTAGCAAGCAACTATTATTTAACAAGAAGCATCCATGATGAACAGTCAAATGAACTGAAGTTTAATGGAGGAAGGAGGATGGAAGAGAAAGGATCAAAAGTACCTATTTATTTTAAAATAATACTTTGTAATTATAAAAGCATTATGTCAAAAAGTTGGAAAATCAGGAATAGTTAATGAGAAGATATAATCTGCCCAAATTTCCAGCACTCAAAGAACCACTGGTTACACTTTGGTGTATTTTCTTCTAATATATAATATACATTTTAGTTGGTTAAAGTGTATTATTTTTTATTTTTTCATAAAATTGACATTAAGTTACATATATCATTTTGTCTATTTTCACTTAACACTATATTGTTCATATTTTCCATCAAATTCATAGCTTTATCTATGAGCATATTGTTCATATGTGGCTCCATCTTATCTCTGAGCTTAGCCACTCCCCCTTTTAAAATAAAAGGTCTCTACCCAGTAGGGATGACTATTTTCACCTTACTTTGTAATTACTAAAAGAGCTCTCCTACGCACTTAGGTAAAATGAAGATATGTTGAAGAAATATTGTTATCATCATGTATTCCTTCATGTAAAACACCTAATATTTGAAATGGACATATGGTATTTCTTATGGATGATTGAGTGCCACTTCAAACACAGATAGGGTATCTGCAAGTATTTCCAATTATATTTCAGACATCAAATAAAACTCCTAATCATAAAAATAGAACTCAGCTTTCTTCTGGAAATGTAATTAAACATTACATTCACCAAGAGACTGGCACAGCAAAGCACAATTAGCCTAATATCTAAGAATGTGGCACTGTGTCAGAGCCAGTATTTACATTAAAAAATCATGAGGATGAATGCACCTAAATGTTATTACTTAGTTAAAAAAGTTTTATACTTCAGGAAGCTCCTTGATTGGACTTCTCATTTTCAGGGAAGGGTTGTTTGCAAAGTGATCCAAGACCAACACTGCTAATGCAAATACCTTCACATGAATGAGTTTATAGGATATGCCTTTCTCTTAAGACAAGATTTATGGAACAATCGGGTATCTAAGACTGGGAGTGAGAGAAAGGAGGAAGAGAAATGCAAATGCAAAGTCATCATCACATTGTATTTATGAAGAGTTCATACCCGCATAGCCACGTACTGCAGAATTAGGACCCGTGACTACTCCTATGTTCCTTATCAACCTCCAATGTGTTTGGTGACTCAGAGTGTGTGTATAATTTTATAACAACAAACTGAAAAAAATGGTTTTCTGCTCTATCTTCCCTAATATTTTGAAGACCCCTCTGGTCCACACTTTATGCTTTTGCCATTACTAAATTGCTTTGTTATTTGACTAGCCTTCGAGGATAATGAAAATCACTTAACCAGAAACAAAAGCTGGTGCATATTAAATCTTCAGAATCAAAAACTGAATGATGTATCTTTCAAACATTAAAGTGGGAAGAGAAGGCATTTGGGTTGCACTGAATCTAATTTAGGGATTGGCCATTCTTCTACAAAATTTGTATGATGCTGAAAGATGTGCAGCATTTTGTGTATATGTGTATGCATCTGCACGTTCTTGCCAAAATCATCGTAGAGATAACCAGGTTATAGATTATTCAAAGGTACTGCTCTTGTCTCTTTCATCTTTGTGTTTTCAGCACCCCACATTACCCAGCATTTTGCAGATGTTCAACTAACAGTGAGGGGATGAATGGTGTTCTACTATTCAGAACAGCACAGACATGGAATCAACCTAATGCCCATCAATGGTAGACTGGATAAAGAAAATGTGGTACATATACACAATGGAATACTATGCAGCCATATAAAGGAACAAGATCATGTCTTTCCCAGCAACATGGACAAAGTTGGAGGCCATGATCCTAAGCAAACTAACACAGGAACAGAAAAACAAATACCACATATTCTTACTCAGAAGTGACAGCTTAACAACAAGAACACATGGAAACTAGGAGGGGAACAGCAGACACCAAGGCCTGCTTGAGGGTGGAGAGCGGGAGGAGGGAGAGGATCAGAAAAATTATCTATTGGGTACTATGCTTATTGCCCAGGTGACAAAATTATCTGTACACCAAACCCCTGTGACAGGCAAATATATAACTAACGTACACATGTATCCCCGAACCTAAAATACAAGTAAGAAAAACTTTTTTAAATAATACTTTTGGCTGGGCATGGTGGCTCACACCTGTAATCCTAGCACTTGAGGAGGCCAAGGCGGGCAGATCACCTGAGGTGAGGAGTTCAAGACCAGCCTGGCCAACATGGTGAAACCTCGTCTCTACTAAAAGTACAAAAAAATTAGCCAGGCAAGGTGGCGGGTGCCTGTAATTCCAGCTACTTGGGAGGCTGAGGCAGGAGAATCACTTGAACCCAGGAGGCGGAGGTTGCAGTGAGCCGAGATTGTGTCATTGCACTCCAGCCTGGGTGACAGAGCGAGAATTTTTCTCAAAAAAAAAAAAAAAAAAAAAAAGAAGATTACTTTTGATAATTACTTAGGTCATTGAAACTTAGACTGGTGGCTGGGAGCAGTGGCTCACGCCTGTAATCCCAGCACTTTGGGAGGACAAGACGGGTGGGTCACGAGGTCGGGAGTTTGAGACCAGCCTGACCAACATGGTGAAACCCCGTCTCTACTAAAAATACAAAAATTAGCCAGGTGTTGTGGTACACGTCCATAATTCCAGCTACTCAGGAGGCTGAGGCAGGAGAATTACTTGAACCCAGGAGGCGGAGGTTGCAGAGAACTGAGGTCATGCCACTGCACTCCAGCCTGGGCAACAGAGCGAGACTCCGTCTCAAAAAAAAAAAAAAAAATTAGATTGGCAACAATAGAGAAAGGAATTATCAATCATTTCTACAATAAATATATACAATCACTTAAAAATAAGACTTTTTAATTACTCACATGAAACATCTCTAAAATCTACTGCTAAATAGAAAAGGCATGGTGCAGAACAGTATATGTGGTGGGTAGGCACTTGTCTAAAAATAAAAGAAAAAATACACATTTTATATATACGTATATATTTGCTTGATAGGCATGTAAACAATCTCTGGCAGGATACACAAGACAGTGACAACTGGTTACTGAGTCCGAGAGGCAGACTTTTCAGTGCATATATTTCTTTATACTTTTAACTGTGTGATTGTATTACCTAGAAAAAACAAATTTAAGTTGAAAAGAAATGAAAGTAATGGCTAGCTAACTGAACATACATGAAATTCCATGGAAATTACGGATGATTTAAGTCTACAGGTTGCAGACATGTAAAAAATTAGAAATATTGGTTAAGAAAAAAAAGTGTGCTAGATTTTAAAATACTTTTATGTACATTCAATGATTACATTTCCTTGACCCTTTGTTAGTTATTTTGTCCCAACTTGTTTTTGCTTACCTTGTCTTTGTCCTTTTTGTTTTTATTTTGCTTTGCTTTTCAATCAACCAGGTAAGGTTTATACAAGAACAGAACCTAAGAAACCATTTGTATACTAATGTCAAACAGTAATATAGTGAGATCTTGAACCCTAACTAGTAGAGGTTGAAGGACGGGATAATGTTCAACTTTGTAAGTTCTATTGCCAAAGCCACACGTTGGAGTTGAAGCTGCAGTCCAACATAAACAGGACAGGAAGGGAGTAGCACAGAAGCTCTTGGCCCTTCACCACAAGTCTGGCATCTGATGGGGTGTTAACATGTCAAGTACACACACCTTGAAATAGCAGTGTGATTGCACTGTGGCCAACTGACATTGCAAGTATGTACTAGAGAGTGAAAATGTCCTCCTAGTCCTTCCGAATGTCTCATTTTTCATAATGTTTTAAATTAAGATGCTAATCAAATGAGAACACAGAAGAAATGAGGAAGGAGTTGAAAGTGTTCCCAAATTAAGTAACTTGGACAAACTTTTCTAATGTAATTCTATCCCATGAGATTCTTATTTAATTCTTCATACTCATTTGGTTTACAAGATAAATGATGTCAGTTGGAAAAGTACTGTAATGTGGGAAAACTCTGGAGTTGATGGGGTTTGAAAATAGAAGTCCTATGGTATATCTAGGTGAAAGGCAGATCAGCCAGGCATGGTGGCTCACACCTGATATCCCAGCACTTTGGGAGGCCGAGGTGGGTGCATCACCTGAGGTCAGGAGTTCGAGACCAGCCTGGCCAATATGGTGAAACCCGGTCTCTACTAAAAGTACAAAAATTAGCCAGGGGTGGTGGCACGTGCCTGTAATCCCAGCTACTCGGGAGGCTGAGGCAGGAGAATGACTTGCACCCAGGATGTGGAGGTTGCAGTGAGCCAAGATCACATCATTGCTCCATTGCTCTCCAGCCTAGGTGACAAAGCAAAACTTCATCTCAAAAAAAAACAAAAAAACAAAAAAAGAACGTTAGGCAGATCAAATGGGGGTTGCTCTAAAGGTGGGAGATCTTTCTTTTCCTCTTTTTTGTTCTGCTTTTGCTTCATTCATTCAAAAAACATCGTTGAGCATCTACTATTTGTCAGGCCCTGTTCTAGGGTCCTAGTGAAAGAGCAATGAAATAAGACAGTCAGGGTTCCCATTCTCAGGAAGCTACATTATAATATTGGAGGCAGGGAGCAATTAAAAAAAACAAAAAGCAAGTAACTGTCGGAAATAATTATGTGGTATGCGATAATTAATGAGGATGAGTTATTGGAACATGGCTGGGTGGCTGCTTTAGACTGGGTGGTCAGGGAAGTGGTGACATTAAGCTGAGATTTGAAAGACAAGTAAGAGCCAGCCATAAGAGGCAGAACATTCTGGGGAGTGGAACATTCCAGGCAAGGGAACAACTTGTACTTCAATTTGTGTCTAGGAGTGTGGAGGAAACCCATCAGGAATTTCCAAATATGGAAAACCTCACTAATAAAGAGAATGATAAAGGCTGCTATTTCCTTCTCTTCTATCTCTCAAACACATCATCTCATGAAATGATATTTTCCTGATTTTGTGCAGTGCTTATTATTGCTTATTAAGATGTACTTTACTTTGTTAGCCTAGAACTGGACTGAGGTGATGCTAACAATCCCTAACAGCTCAATATGAATGATTTTATAGGCTATGTCTTTCTCTGGAGACAGGATTTGCAGAACAATAGGGTATCAAAGGGTGGGAGTGAGAGAAAGGAAGAGAAAAGCAAAGGTTGTAAAATGCAGTAATTTTGAAAAGGTTGATTCAGCCTGAAATCGTTTTACTCTTTTAAGATAGAAAATCATAATACTGTTTCTTCTTTAGAGACTGGGGTAAGAGCAAGTAGTAAGAGTAGGAGCAAGGGGAGCTGTTGATTTAGCATGTAAACACTTAACAATCATTTCATTATTATTTTCCCAGGCAAAAGGACACAGACTTTCACGGTAATGCACATATTTTTGGCACTAGAGTAACAAATAAGCATCATTTTATCTGCTGATCTGTCCCAGGGTAAGAACTTGCCCATCGCATCACCCTTCAGTAACCTCCCTTTGGAGTTCTCATTTTGCTCGTCTACAGGCTTAGAGTCCTACCTTTCTCCCACAAGACAAAGGAAGAAGATAAAAAAGGAAGTAACAAAGGGGATTTGAAAACAGCATATTGTTATTTATATATTGTTGGATCTGCCGTAGGAGGTGAGCTCAGTGGAAAAACATGACCATGCCTTTCTATATGCTTGGCAAATCGCCTACCACATTTTGCCATTCACAGGTTTCCCTTCAGAGCTTATTCCTAGGGGGATTCCATGCATGTCTATGGTTTTGACTTTTTTTTTTTTGAGATGGAGTGTCGCTCTGTCACCCAGGGTGGAGGGCAGTGGCGCTATCTCGGCTCACTGCAGGCTCCGCCCTCCGGGTTCACGCCATTCTCCTGCCTCAGCCTCCCGAGTAGCTGGGACTACAGGCACCTGCCACCACGCCCGGCTAATT
Organism: Homo sapiens; assembly: GCF_000001405.40. Lineage (NCBI taxonomy): Eukaryota > Metazoa > Chordata > Mammalia > Primates > Hominidae > Homo > Homo sapiens. Next base: position 168,715,798 of record NC_000004.12, on the reverse strand, counting down.
TTTTGTATCTTTAGAAGAGATGGGGTTTCACTGTGTTAGCCAGGATGGTCTCGATCTCCTGACCTCGTGATCCGCCCACCTTGGCCTTCCAAAGTACTGGGATTACAGGGGTGAGCCACCGCGCCCTGGCTGAAGGACCGTTTTTTTGGTAGGAATAAAGAGAAGCAGAGATTTTTCACAGTGAGCCCTACCTTTATTTTGATCTTCAAATATCATTTGTAATGAGAGGGCAGCAAGGAACCAAGGAAAAGAATAGTGTATAAGTTAGGTTTACGCTCATTCCCTCCTTTTTCCTCCTGTTAAGATTATGACTTAAGCATTGTGTTGCTTCTTTCATGATGTGATTGAAGATTGTGAGTGTCAGCCACTGAGTTGCAGAAATAATGCTATTAATTTTTTCTTGTGCAGCGTTTAAGCACACTTCGCAGTCCCACAGCGGGTGGTAAGGCGTTGCACAAATCCTGTGTGCAGGTCATCTGGGACTCACCAAATGGCCTACATTTAACTATCTTCTGCTTACACTTGAGGGAGAGTGTTAGAAACAAAGGGAGATGTAGGAGCTGAAGTGGATGCGTCCACGATACTAAGCCAGGAACCCCCACTTTATGAGAGGTACCACAGACTGGGCCAGGAACCCTCACTTTATGAGAGGTACCACAGACTGAGCCAGGAACCCCTACTTTATGAGAGGTATCATAGACTGGACCAGGAACCCCTACTTTATGAGCGGTACCACAGACTCGGCTGGAGGTCTGGGATGGCTGTGAGTCTATAGGTGACGACTTCTGTTGGACAGTACAGGGTGGGGGCTGGGCCTAGTTAGAGAAAAGAGCTCATGGCCCTTCCAGGTTTTTGTTTCATTCTTGAATTTTTTTTTTCTTTTCCCGCAATCAGTATTGGAGCTATTCAAGAGAGAAAAAAAATGCAGTTTTCTTTTTTTTTTTGAAAATGATCTTCTTTCCCCCAGACATCTGACACATCAGACACCATTTTCAGATTAATTCATTGTGAGAGTAAATATTTTAGTTCCTATTACTTGCGCCCTCCGAATTGTTTCCTATTAGTTTGTTTACAAATGATGGAGATGCACAAACTGCCATAACGCCACCAAATATAAGCCTTTCCTTTTGTGAAAGAAAATCAAATCATAAACCGATGAAAAGAAGATTTGAGCAAACCATAGTTTTTCATTGCTGACCACACGAGGCAAATAAAATCTCATATTTTCCCACAATGTATGAAAAGAAAAAAATGAATGTGTAAGAATTTCACTTGGCAGTTACCTATAGTCATTCATTATCAATAACTCAGATGCTGTTCTACATTATTTGTAGATGTCATTCAATAGTATTTCTCTATCAATAATACAACTTTGAGAACACTGAACAAACCATTTTTTAGAAAAGGTTGTGATAATACAGAATATCACACCTTTGAGAGGGGTGGAAATGGGGAAGCAAAGAGCACTTTGAAAACTGAACAAACACTGAAAGAAAACTTTGAAAACACTGCAAAAACCTTTTTTAGAAAAGGCTCTGATAATACACCATACCACAACTTTCAGAGGGCTGGGTTGGAAGAAGGGAAGCAGAGAGTATAAACTTTAATAGCCTCTGTGTTGTTTGAATTGTCACATCAAGCATCCACTGATTTTGTAATAAAACAAAATCCAATAACATATTCTAAATCATAAGAAAATTTAAAAATATATATTTAAAAAGTATCATCACATATTATTTTCTACCTAGTTAAATGGCAGGTAAATATGCAACACGAAAAAACAAAAATCAAGTGATTCCCTAAGAATATGTTTAAACATACGAAGATTTGAAAAAAAAAAAAAAAAAAAAAAAAAACAATGGGAAAACCTAGTACAAGTAAATGTTGTTTCTAAGCTGTTGGGTTTTGTGGTTAGGTGTTCTGCTTTTTCCCTTAAATTTCCTCATGAAGGGAGAGTAACCTATTTATTTGGGCCTCATACATTTAAGTCCATTTTTTCTGCATCTTATTTTATATTTTATCTTATATTTATATTTATATATTTATATATATTCATATTTTATCTCACTCACAAGCAAATCCTGATGTTCTTTAAACTTGTGCTTAAGCTGTCATCCTCTTAATGAACGCGAAGTTGTTTTGTCTACATTCTGTAGATATTACCCCCTTGCCATATACATTAACCTGGCTGCAAAGCAGAGCTAAAAGCTGCAGAGCTGTTGAAACTCCTGAGATAAGACGGGCTGTAGATGCCTCTTAACAGCTCCTCGTATTTGCTCTCCTGTGATTTACATCCAATTTATGATACCCATTAGAGTAGATAGACTTTACTTAATCAAGACCACAGTCAAGTCCTAGTCATTCAACACATTTGCCCTTTCTCTCCCTGGAGAGCAGGTCCCTTGTTTCATTAAAAGCACTGCAAATACATATTCAAAATGCAAAGATGAAAGAAGTCAGCAGTGGCAATTAATTTTATGGGTTGCTGCTACAAGAGCATAAATCTCTTTTAAGGACACCATTTTTTAGCTCATTATACCTGTTCAGCCTCTGAATGGAGATGGCGCATAGGTATTAAATGTTCACCAGCACCTTTCACACTATTGTGTACAAGCTTAGTGAGTAGCCCTACTGTCTTAAAAGAGAGCCAGAACACAATGCAAAATTAAGTAGAGGGTAGCAATATATCGATTTTTGAAACTGCAACCCAAGATTGTCCAGAAGTCTGGTTTTATATAATTGTTAGCCCATTTCTTAACTTAAGGTATTCTTTTGACTGCTTTTGTTATTTGATTAGTCTAATGTTGTTCATGAAATCACTCAGTAAACAATAAAGTGATGTACAAAGGTAAGGTGTTATTCTAATTCAAATATCTTTTAAATTCTAACATTTCTAACAAATGAACTGATCACAGAGAGAAAAGAGTAGGCTAGTCAATGCTAGGGAAATAAAGAATAACCCCTAAAGAAGCCCTTCCTGCCCCAAATCAAAAACATCAGATATGGGTAAATAGAAGGGGCTTTCCTAGGTTCTGGCAAATACATTCTCATGGGAATGTGACCTCATAGAATACATACACATTCACTATGACTCTTACATTTCCACTAACCTCTGGCAGGGCAGTAATTCAGGGTCTCTTGCGCTATGGTAGAACCCTTTGAGCTAATTTATTTCTGCCTCTCTCTGACATTGTAATGGCTCCATTCATAACAACTCTCTGCTGTGCGGTGCCAATGGAAACAGCTCATGCAAGGTTTATCATCCTAAGAAAATAATGGACATCAACTGTGAAGATGGTATTCATGGAAATATGCAGCTCCATGGAATTCCAAGCCAAGTAGCCTGTGTTGTGAAGGGCGCTCTTCTTGCCCACAAGCCTGCTTCCCTCCAGTTTCATTGCCCTGCCAGGATCTGCACCCTGAATTTCCAGCCTCAGTTTTTAGTCTTTCCCCGCTTGTCTATATCAGATCTTCTTACTGATACTTAATATTTAAAGTAACAAATGCAAAGTACTTATACTCACTTTTTGAAATGCTTTTAATAAAGGGCTGAAAGTAGATCCCCCTTTTCCATGGCCTCCAGGGAGTGGCTACATCCTTAGCTGTATGTTGGAAGCCCACACTGGGCACAGATATTTTCACAGCCATAACCAGTTATAGCTTTCAGCAAAGGGCAGATTTCACCAAGCTTTTCATTTCCCTTCTTTATTTTTAGGTGTCTTTTATATTGTTGAAAGACACCACTTGGCAGCAAGGTCCCATGAGTCAAGGCCAACTTGCCACATAGTTGAATACAGGCAAAAGTTTTTTTCTCACCAGACAGGAAATGTAACAGGGGTATGGAAATTATTATAAAACCATGCAGAAATACTCACAGTTTTGGTTTGGCAAGCAGAGGTGGTGGCTCCTTAGTGGGTGAAAGCAGGACAGCTGGTGTTGGAAGAGATTTATTACTGTTAGCTTTGCCGTTAATCAGTCCATTTACTCCACGGCTGGGATGGACTCCGTTCGTTTCCCTCTCAGCAGCATTGAATTGCATTTGAAGGGCTGCCCTGCTCAGGCCTAACTCAGGGTTGTTCACCTGCTGGATCTCAGATGGTTTCTTTGAAGCCAACTCCAAGGAACTTGTCTCCAAGATTGGAGGGGGAGGTGGAAAGTGTTGGAAGTGGTCATTGTTGGATTCTCCCATTGACTCGTAACTACAGTTTTCAGTGTTGGCTAAGGAAGGGGAAAGAGAGGAAAAACATAAGAAGATGCCACTAGTTCAACAAGTGATTTCACACTGTCAGAGTCTTCTGAGAATCCCTGTGTTGTGTGAAGTTGTTAAAGAAGAGGTGATTGTGCTGCTCTCATCTGACGCAGAAGCACTGCCAGCTGGAGGGCCTGGTTCTTTCAAGCTTGTTTTGAACGAGTGCTACCGTTTCATTTCCTGACTGAGCTCACATTTGGGGAACCCAGCTACCGAATCATAAAAATTCCAAACAAGAGCTAAAGATAGAACTTGGCAAAAAAAGTGACAACACAAACAGTATCAACCAACAATGCTTTGTCCTCTCACGTTTTGGTCCATGGGTCCGACTGAACATCCTAGCTGTCACTACTCAAATTGGCTCAAGCTGTAAAGGTTTTATGTGGATATTCATCTAAAGCTAGGGAAGGTAAACCTTGGAGTCCAAGTAAAATTTCATAATCTCATAAAAATATTTTTTTCCATATTAGGTGATTGCTCCAACTATAACTCAGTACGAAAGAGATTTTTATTTGTTGCCCTCAATAGGCTGAAAGCATCTTGAGATCACGTCTTTTTTAGATTCTGCACCTTGCCCACACAGCCCAGCAGAGCTCCTGGCATGCACTCAAAAATGCTTATTGAGGTAAACAAAAAGCTCAGAAATAAAATATTTGTTGATTATGTTTGACCTATAGCAGATTTACTGCAGAAACAAATGGAAAATATTACACACAAATTTTTGCCACTCAGACTTATAGAGCCCAGGGTTTTGGCCATATTGTTTAAACACTGCACTCCTGCTATGGCCATTTGATGGGACAGTGTTGAAGCCAACTCGGAATCAAAACGCTGGGGTCCTCTTTGCTCTGTAACTCTGATCCTGACACTTAGGTTTCTTTCAGCACTTACAGTAGTCATTCACAGAAACCATTTCCCACTTAAGATGACCCTCCCATTTCTTTTCTTAATGAAGATGAAAAAGCATTTACAGTTGCCACTCTAAGGTCCCTAAATAAGTTTTGGTTGTGTCTCTGCTGCCACCTAGCACCAAGTTCTTGCTCTTCTGAAGGAATCCAAGTACAATTCAGTTGTTCTCTCCAAGTCCGTATCATTTAACAAATGACCCATTTATTGATTCCCTACTATGTACATTATGTTCCAGGCTTGGTCAAAAACATATTTTAAAAATATCTTTAAGATGAATGGCAGAGATGAGGCAATTAAAGTAAGCTAATGCTCATTAGTAACTAGAAAACAGACAAATAAAAAGAAAAGAAAAGAAAAGAAAAAGAAAAAAAGCTGTTTCATATTGCCTTCCCTAGTGGTAAGTTTTTGAGTTTAGAAAATATCCATATATTTTTGAAAATTGACTTCAATAATACAATACATTGCTTTCTTTTTCATATTAGTTATATACTATCATTGATACAGACTATCAGTGAAATTTGAGTTTGAAGGCCTTTACAGCTTCTCTGAGTTTTATCTTGTATTACATTTTATACAAGAAGGCTTATCTTGTATTACCTTTTCAGAAGTTTCAACAGTGGATCAGACAATGGCTTATTTGTACAAGTATCTCCAGATCTCATGTGTTGGCACTGCTGAGAAAGTGACTGCACCTCTGATGCAGAGGTGGCTTTCCAATGTGAATATGATTCTAGGTTAGCGGGAGGATGTTAGGAAACCAGCTCCATCGTTTCCAAGACCAAGACTGCACGATTTTAAAGAAAGCCCCCTGTGTGTTCAGTTGCTACACGATCATTATCTTTTTGTTTGTCATCTCCACTTCACTCCTTCTTCTCCCCTCCCCTAAAGCCTTTGTTTCACGATGAACTTAGATTGTTAGGGTGACTCCTGGAGTGGCCAGATTCCTGAAGGCTGAGCTGAGCTCTCTTCCTGGGACAGTCGCTTTGTCCCTTCCTTCCTTCCTTCCTTCCTTCCTTCCTTCCTTCCTTCCCTCCCTCCCTCCCTCCCTCCCTTCCTTCCTTCCTTCCTTCCTTCCTTCCTTCCTTCCTTCCTTCCTTCCTTCCTTCCTTCCTTCCTTCCTTCCTTCCTTCCTTGATGGAGTCTGACTCTGTCACCCAGGCTGGAGTGCAGTGGGATGATCTTGGCTCACGGCCACATCCACCTTCTGGGTTCAAGTGATTCTCCTGCCTCAGCCTCCAGAGTAGCTGGGATTACAGGCACGCACCACCACACTCAGCTAATTTTTGTATTTTTGGTAGAGACAGGGTTTCACCATGTTAACCAGGCTGGTCTCGAACTCTTCACCTCAAGTGATCTGCCTGCCTCGGCCTCCCAAAGTGCTGGGATTACAGGTGTGAGCCACTGCACCTGGCCAGGACGGTGCCTTTCTGCTGTGGCCATCCACACTGGTGCTGGGGAACAGAACCCAGTCATTTTTTTTACTCCTCACATACCTGAGGTGACAACCAGCTGGGCAGTGCTGGTTGCTGATCCATAATCATTTCTTGCTGAACATGTAAAGATCCCTGCATCTTCAGGGAAAGTCTCAGCGATAACTAGGGTGCAAATCTCCTCTGGAAGTGAAGAGAACAGAATCATTCATCAGAGTTGAACCATGAAGTCACTTTTAAGAAGTGAGACCCTCCACCTTTCCACAACAAACAAATTAGGTTATGATTATTACAGATTCACTTTACAAAAGTGTTTACAATAGAATCTCTTTACATTTAATTTAGCAATTCTGCCTAGCAGAAAAAGCTTTGGAGGTAGACCCATTCTTTGTGATGTTGGACAAGAGCAGTCTCGGTGTCCTCATCTATAAAATGGGGATAATACATACCCAATGGGTTATCTGTGAAGATAAAACGAGATGTCTGCAAGTGTGCAGCTCTGTATTTTGCATGTAGGAGTTAAGCTGATTGCATGTCAGAGTTCTTTCTGTACATACAGCTACCTCTTATATCTGCTCAGCTGCAAACCAAGCAGTGGGGAAAATAAAGCTCTTCTGAAATGTTAACCACGGGGGAAAAAAGAACATGACCTGTATATGTTTGACCTGTAGACAACTATTCTGGAAGGTACTGTTAAGTGGCATGGCAGTGTTGTAGGGCATGAAAAGCCCAGACTCGAAACAGCTGCCAGGGCTTGAATGAGGGTCCTGCCACATCTTGCCTTTGTGACTTTGGTCAGTCTCCCTGAACTTCAGTGTTCTTCTCCGTAAAATGGAGACAATAATAGAAGCTACCTCACAGAGTTTGTATTAGTCATGCATGACACACAAAATTAACCACCACACGGTTATTGTGAGGGGGATGATGATGATGATGATGACGATAACAAGAGCTGACAGCTATATAACCCTTACTATACACTAGGTATTGTTACCAGCACTTAACATAGATTAAATCTAATCATCATGTCAATCTTATGAGTTATGTAAGTTTATTATTAGCCCATTTTATAGGTAGAAAATGGAAGCACAATAAGGTTAATTCACTTGCCCAAGGTCACACAGCTAATAAATACTAACATAGGGATTCAAAGCAAGCTGGGGTCCAGACTCCAAACCCTAACCACCACCTACTTTTGTGATATGACATACTGTGCTTAGGACATTGCCTGGCACAGAGCAAATGCTTCATAGCCAGTGTTAGCTGTTAACATTAAAAGGAAGCTATATCTAGAGTATTAATTAGTTTTACTAGTTGAATAATTGCTTATATTGTACCAGTATAAAGATAATTATGTGGGCAAACGTTAAGAAAAGTGATATATTTCGGGTTCCCACAAAGTGATTCTATTGGTTATTCACAAATTTTGGGGGTAGCATAAGACCGTGTATTGTACATTTCTTAGTAATAATGGCTGCAATTATTCCTTCCTTTGTAGACATGCCTCTTTTTAATGTGCCTCTGCAACACCTTCATAAAGTGGCAGAGTCTATTTCCCCATCCGTTGAACCTGGGCTGGCCCTGTGAGTTGCTTTAGCCTAGAATGTGGTGAAAGTGATGTTGTTGGCCAATTCTGAGCCAAATCCTTGAGAGGCCTGGCCTGTTTCTGCTCCATCTCTTGGAACCCTGATGAACCCTTAGGTGAACAAGGCTGTGCTAACCTGTAGGAGGAAGAGACCATATGGAGCAGACATAAGCCCTTCCAAAAGAGACCATCCTAGACTAACTGACTCGTTCCTCGTCATCCTGGCAGCTGACCATGGCCGCACTGAGACAGCCCAGCTGTGGTCAGCCTAGCCTGGCACAGACCACAAAAACCACCCAGCTGAGGTCAAGCCAAATAGTTCACCCACCGAATTATGGTTGCTGCTTTAAGCAACTAAATTTTGGGGTGCTCTACTGTATTGCAGTAGCTAACTCATAGAATTTGATAAGATAAACCTCCTTCACTAACATCCTTCTAAGAGCAAACGTTTCAGACCATCAATAATGAAAATCAGCAAATCTGTTTCAAAACATTTTATGTTTTAAACCCTGAAACAAAAGAAGTACTAACTGTAGGTAAAAGTGATATGTTTAAAAAAAACATTTTTGTCTATTGAAGAGAGCTTTAAATATTTTAATTTTTTACCTATACATCAAATTAATAAGTGCAAAAGTAAATAAATTAAACACTAAGTATAAAATAAAGTGTAAATGTTTCTCTTTATAATCGAATTCCCTTTATATACCTAATACCCCTTAATAATCTCACTCTTCAAAGGCAAATGCAGAGTTTGTTGTATTTGATTCTAGAAAAAAATTCATGTATCTATCATTTCAAAATTTGTCCAAGTATTATCAAACTATATAGTTTTTGATGTCGTGTTATTGGGTCAAATATATATATCTATTTTTTTGTATTACCAAGTAATATGGCCTATAGGCATCATTGAGTTTTACTCGATTTCTCACTCCATTCTTAGGTTTTATCAACCCCCTGCCCCACCCACCAAAGCCTTTCCTTTTCCCCATTTCTGATGATGCTGATGGTAATCTGGTTAACAGACTGCTTGAGATTTTGTTAAAAGCTAAAATGCAAGGATTCTTCTGTGTCAAAATGTTACGTTCCTTAGGAAAGATCTGAGGACTACGGTGATTATAAGCTTCTGAGAGTTTAGCATTGTAGTGTAGCTCAAGGTCAACTCATTTCTAAGATATATTAATACAGGTTTAAAATTGCAAGAGTTGTAAAAACACACACCTTATTCTTTCAGCATATTATTCAATTTGATGTTTGAATGGGGTGTGAAAAACTTAGTTTATTCTTTATGTTCTATTATTAATTTTGTGTTCTACATTGAATCTAAATTATTTAGTTGAGGTAAAAGTAAAGGGCAATGACAGTAGGAGAAATACTGCAAAATTCCACTTAAGAGGTATCTAAACTAGTCATACTCTTAGAAGCAGAAGGTCGAATGCTGGCTGCCAAGCATTGGGGGCAAGGAGGAATGGCAGTTGCTGTTCAGTGGGCATAGTTTCACTCATGCAAGATGAAAACGTTCTAGACATCTGCTGCACAACATTAAGCATACAGTTAACAATACTGTAGTGTATACTTAAAAATTTAAGAAGGTAGATTTCATGTTATATGTTTCTTTAACCATAATAAAAAAAGTAAAGGGCAATGAAATCTATATTAAGTATTCATCCATTTATGGTAATTTAAGGCCAGGCGCAGTGGCTCATGCCTGTAATCCCAGCACTTTGGGAGGCCGAGGCAGGCGGATCACTTGAGGTCAGGAGTTCAAGACCAACCTGGGCAACATGGTGAAACCCCATCTCTCCTAAAAACACACACAAAAAAATTAGCCAGGCATGGTGGCAGGTGCCTGTAATCCCAGCTACTTGAGAGGCTGAGGCAGGAGAATTGCTTGAACCCGGGAGGCAGAGGTTGCAGTGAGCCAAGATCGGGCCACTGCACTCCAGCCTGGGCAACAAAAGTGAAACTCTGTCTCAAAAGAAAAAAAGAAAGCCAAAAATGCTAATTTAAGTAAAACACTGTGATGGGTATCATAAATGCAAAGACATTAAAATCAGGAAGAAGTTGCTCAAACATTCTACATCTTTCTTGAAGAACAATAAGAACAAACGGTTCCTAATTGCAGCAAGAGAGCAGAAGGTGGGTTAAATGAATGGAAAGACTTGTTAAGGAAAGGTTTTAAGATGTCGAGAAAATTTTTTGAGATAAAGTCTGGAATCTCCATCCATGAACAGCTCCTAGAAGCTTTTATAGTCATCTACCCACTTGTTAAGCATTTTTAAGAGTACACTGTCTTAATATTTTATAGCTGCAGATATGGAGATAATTAATGGTTCCTGCCTTTGAGTTTCCTGTAATCTTATCAAGGGGTTGAGACACATCTTTTACATGAATTAAACTTGAATGAGAAAATCATCAGGTCTATTCCAACTCCAAAAGCTTACACTCTTAATGCCCACATGACAATGGTATAGTTTTTTAAGCCCTCCTTCTCTCTTTCCTTCAAAATTGTGCTGTCTTAAAAACGCAGTTAAGTCACCTGCAAGCAAAAATGTTTGCCAGAAACTTTCTTTGGCAAAAATTTTTTGAAATATAAGATGTAAGTAGGAAATATAATATAGAATTAAAATTTTTAGGCAATTAAAAATTAAAAGTTTATTTCAAACTTCTGAAATTAAAATTCTAGTTCATTATGCAGTATTTTAAAAAATTGACCAAATATTTGATCTACTATAATGATCCTATAATCACAAAGACAGGATCTTTTTGGTCTTTTTCTCCCACTTGTCTTGATAGCTTTGCAACCCCTCCTATTGAGTCTGTAAAAACAGAACCAAATGTAGTTTCCTGAATTGTCTTCTTTTTCTTTATTCTTAAGATTTATCTCTACCATTTAAAAATTTTTATTTTTTTGAATAGGTAATACAAATACAACATACACATTTTTTTTTTTTTTTTTTTTTTGAGACAGAGTCTCGTGCTGTCGCCCAGGCTGGAGGTGCAGTGGCGCAATCTCGGCTCACTGCAAGCTCCGCCTCCCGGGTTCATGCCATTCTCCTGCCTCAGCCTGCCCAGTAGCTGGGACTACAGGCGCCCGCCCGGCTAATTTTTTTGTATTTTTAGTAGAGACGGGGTTTCACTGTGTTAGCCAGGATGGTCTGGATCTCCTCACCTCGTGATCCACCCGCCTCAGCCTCCCAAAGTGCTGGGATTACAGGCGTGAGCCACCGCGTCCAGTCAACATACAAATTTTTTAAGGTACAAACAGGTATATGGTTCTCTATCTTTTAAATAATTAAAAATTGTCCATGCCTATGTCATGAATGGTAATGCCTAGGTTTTCTTCTAGGGTTTTTATGGTTTTAGGTCTAATGTTTAAGTCTTTAATCCATCTTGAATTAATTTTTGTATAAGGTGTAAGGAAGGGATCCAGTTTCAGCTTTCTACATATGGCTAGCCAGTTTTCCCAGCACCATTTATTAAATAGGGAATCCTTTCCCCATTGCCTGTTTTTCTCAGGTTTGTCAAAGATCAGATAGTTGTAGATATGTGGCGTTATTTCTGAGGGCTCTGTTCTGTTCCATTGATCCATATATCTGTTTTGGTACCAATACCATGCTGTTTTGGTTACTGTAGCCTGCATGGGCAAGGACTTCATGTCTTAAAACACCAAAAGCAATGGCAACAAAAGCCAAAATTGACACATGGGATCTAATTAAACTAAAGAGCTTCTGCACGGCAAAAGAAACTACCATCAGAGTGAACAGGCAACCTACAGAATGGGAGAAAATGTTCGCAACCTACTCATCTGACAAAGGGCTAATATCCAGAATCTACAATGAACTCAAACAAATTTACAAGAAAAAAACAAACAACCCCATCAAAAAGTGGGCAAAGGATATGAACAGACACTTCTCAAAAGAAGACATTTATGCAGCCAAAAGACACATGAAAAAATGCTCATCATCACTGGCCATCAGAGAAATGCAAATCAAAACCACAATGAGATACCATCTCACACCAGTTAGAATGGCAATCATTAAAAAGTCAGGAAACAACAGGTGCTGGAGAGGATGTGGAGAAATAGGAACACTTTTACACTGTTGGTGGGACTGTAAACTAGTTCAACCATTGCGGAAGTCAGTGTGGCGATTCCTCAGGGATCTAGAACTGGAAATATCATTTGACCCAGCCATCCCATTACTGGGTATATACCCAAAGGACTATAAATCATGCTGCTATAAAGACACATGCACACGTATGTTTATTGCGGCACTATTCACAATAGCAAAGACTTGGAACCAACCCAAATGTCCAACAATGATAGACTGGATTAAGAAAATGTGGCACATATACACCATGGAATACTATGCAGCCATAAACAATGATGAGTTCATGTCCTTTGTAGGGACATGGATGAAATTGGAAATCATCATTCTCAGTAAACTATCGCAAGAACAAAAAACCAAACACCGCATATTCTCACTCATAGGTGGGAACTGAACAATGAGATTACATGGACACAGGAAGGGGAATATCACACTCTGGGGACTGTTGTGGGGTGGGGGGAGGGGGGAGGGATAGCATTGGGAGATATACCTAATGCTAGATGACGAGTTAGTGGGTGCAGCGCACCAGCATGGCACATGTATACATATGTAACTAACCTGCACAATGTGCACATGTACCCTAAAACTTAAAGTATAATAATAAAAAATAAATAAATAAATAAATAAAATAAATAAATAAATAAAATAAAAACAAAGTTAAAAAAAAGATTAATCATTTGGAAAGTGAGATGTCTCTGGAAAGTTACAAGGGATTGGGAAATTTTAAATTGAATGCATATGGTTACAGAATGAGTTAAAAGTGTGGTTAGCCATAGAAGGGGACATACAAGATCAGTACTGTAAGAGATTGATTAGGTCAAATCCCTCATTTCTTCAGGCTCAATATCAATGAATCCTGGGTGTTCAAAGTGATTCTCTCAGGGTCCTGGCTAATTAATGCTAGAGCCAAAATGCTGAAGGTTGGCGTCCCATCTCCGACACGCATGTTCTTTTTTTCTTTCTTTTTGAGATGGAGTTTCACTTGTCGCCCAGGCTGGAGTGCAATGGTGCTATCTTGGCTCACTGCAACCTCCGCCTTCCAGATTCAAGTGATTCTCCTGCCTCAGCCTCCCAAGTAGCTGGAATTACAGGTGCACACCACCATGCCCAGCTAACTTTTTTTGTATTTTTAGTAGAGACAGGGTTTCACCATGTTGGTCAGGCTGGTCTCGAACTCCTGACCTCAGGTGATCCACCCGCCTCAGCCTCCCAAAGTGCTGGGATTACAGGAGTGAGCCACTACACCCAGCTGATGGTCTGTTTTTCTAGAGCACATGTTCTTTTTTTCTAGAGCTGATGTTCTTTTTTTCTAGAGCTGATGTTCTTTTTTTCTAGCCTCTCTAGTTCTGCATTTTTCCTAGTTCAGGACACAAGAAATCTTACATAAAGTAAGGTAATGAAAGATTTAAGTCAGGAAATGGAGTTTCCCGATGCTGAAAAAACTAATTATTCTCATTATCCAAATGATTCATGAGAATTATTCATCTGCACAAGGGGAGGGCAATATGTCCTCTGAGGTATAAGACACATTGGAACAGGATATAAGCTTGTAATGTGGACATGCTTAACAGCCCCTTCTTACGAGGTTTGGAGTAGTGGGCTTCAGGCAGTGCTAAGTCACTTTCCTTCTCCCTTCGCAGATGCTGCTGTGAGTGGTGAAGGCTTCTCAGCTTTCAGTAACACCTGGGCACTTCCTGCCTAGACAACCAGGGCTTACGTCCCTGGACTATCTTCCCAGGGCTTAGTGCTCTCTGGGAAGCACTTCTCTCAACCTTGAATCATCTACACCTGGAAAGACAGAGGTTCTGGGAACACTGAGAGAAATGTCCTTGCCAGTTCAATGCCTGAGGATGCTTCAACTATAAACATAGACATAATTCTGTGCCTTGAAACCTACATTTAAAAACAGGATACAATTTTATTCAGTAGGGATAATATAAAGTGGTTTTAGATCGATGATCTTGATGACTTGTAAAGAATTCCTTCTGATGCTTCTACGACTTTGTGGTTCTTTTAGTCATGCCATTTTTCAGAAAACCTGAGGATGAATATACAGTTGCCCCTTCTAAATCAGAGGGCTCTCTTAATAAGAACGAAATTTTATCATCCTCCCATCCTTCCATGACTTTGAGGATAAAATAAAAAATTTTAACATGGTCTCTGAAGCCCTGCATAATTAGGTCCCTGCTTCTTGTCAGGCTCCTTCTGTGCCTCGCACATCATTGCCTTCTGAGCACTGGGCACATGGGCTCTGGGGCAGCTCCTTGTGAAGCCACGCTCTGGTAAGTTTCTAAGCCCTGGCTCCTCCTGGAGTACTTGGCACTCTCCTACTCAGTCTTATGTTTCCCCACAAACATTACTTTCTCAGAGAATCCCTTTTTTTATTAAACTTAATCAGTTTGACCACCTTAAAGCAATTTTAGGATGGTAAACTTTTTTGGAGACATCACAACTGTAATGAAATAATATCTATCACAAATAATATCATCACAACTGTAATTAAATAATATCTATCTATCTATTGACTCATAAAGGTAGGGTCTTGCTCTGTTGCCCAGGCCTCTAGTGGGAGATTTTAACAGACAGTAGAAGACAATCACAAAATCAAATAAAGCTGGTGCAATTTTGTTTTATTTTATTTTTAAAATCTTTTTTTTAGAAACAGGGGTTTCACTGTTGCCCAGGCTGGAGTGAAGTGGCATGATCATAGCTCACTGCAGCCTTGAACTCCTGGGCTCAAGCAATCCTCCTGCCTCAGCCTCCTGGGTAGCTGGGACTATGTGCCACCTCACCCTGCTAAATAATTTATTGTGTAATTAGTTTGTTAGTTTCTGGTTCGCTGAAATATAACCTCTGAGTGCAGAAACAATTTTTGTTCATGGCCATATTCTTAGCATCTCACACATGGTAGGCTCCCTATAATTATGTTTAAATAAATGCATGCATGAAATTTAGATGAAGGAAAAAAACACTTGCTTTGTAAAAAGACTATTTTCTAAAGGAATTCTCAGTAAGACCAATTTTCCTACAAGCTTCCTTTGTGTGTTTCAAAGTTGATTGAGCAGAATTCATTGTGTATGATTTTATAGGAATACTTCCATGCATAAATAAGGTATATGCCTGTATATAGTTCACGTGGAACATTTAGAAAAATTACAGAATTAAAGAACAAAAATAGAAAAATAAAAAATAAACACTAGGATGTTCTTTTAGTGATCCTCATGCATTGAAATGTCACAGCAATTTTTGCTAGATAATTTTTTTTTAACTAGATAAAATTTGAATACAATGTCCCACAGGTTCCTCAGCTTTTCTTCTCAAAGAAAAGTTCATCCAACAGTGACAAGAGGCTCACATTTTGTTGAGAGAAAGAAGCATCATAGCTTGTATGGTTCTGACATTATAAAAATGAAGAAAGCCATGAGGAAATGAGATGAGCCAGGTTGTAATACTGAATTTTCATCTGGTGGCATCTCACTCGAACAAAGACGTATAAGACATCTGTAAAATAAATTTTGGTAAGGAATGGAAATCAGAAAATGACTGCTTATGTCACATAAAGGGATTTAGAGACTTACTTATCTGTACTAAAGAAACTGTCTCCAGTATAAATGGAAAAATTTAAAGTTATTAATAACCTTAATTATGATGCATTTTAATCTAATTTTCCCATGTTTGGATTTCCTAAGGTTTTGATTTGAGGGCATTTAATAAATTACTAAATCAGAAACTGTTTTTACTGGTGATAAATTCTGTTCTTTATAGTTACCTAAAAATTACAAAATCACAGCAATATCTCCCAGAAGGCAACCTTGAATTGCATTCAAGTTCCTGGACCTACTTAACACTTGGTTAAATACAAATAAAAACCATTTTGTTTGTGGAAACTCATAAAATGATGAGGCAGCAAGGATAAGATTACTGGGTTCCCTGGGTAATAAGGGGACATTTTCATAAATGGCTTCCTTTGCAACTGTTTTTTTTTTTTTTGTCCCAAGTCCCTAAAAAAGAAATCCAGCTTTTACCTTTCACACCACATGGTTTGGCTAACACAGTTGGTAAAAAAGAACTCTGAGCTAAAATCAACAAGATGAAATCCAGTGTGGGTAAATGTAATGCTTGTATCAATATTTGCACAGGAGGCTGGGTGCAGTAACTCACGCCTGTAATCCTAGCACTTTGGGAGGCTGAGGCTGGTGGATCACCTGAGGTCAGCAGCTCGAGACCAGCCTGGCCAACATGGCAAAATCCCATCTCTACTAAAAATACAAAGATTAGCTGGGCGTGGTGGTGGATGCCTGTAATTCCAGCTACTTGGGAGGCTAAGGCAGGAGAATCACTTGAACCTGGAAGGCAGAGGTTGCAGTGAACCAAGATCATGCCACTGCACTGCAGCCTGGGCAACAGATCAAGACTCTGTCTCAGAAAAGAAAAAAATTGCAAAGGATTTTTTTAAATTGTCAATTGTATTTAATATCATATATAAAGAAGGATATTTAAAATGTACCATTTAACGAATAACAGTGAAATGAACCCCTGTGTATCTATCCTCAAGTCTATGAAATAAAACATTCCCAGTGCTTTAGAAATACCTCATAGGCTCTCCCCAATTTAATTTTCCTTCTCCTTTGAGATAATAATTCCTTCGATTTTCTTTATGTGTTTACCATATATGTATGTATCCTTAAAAAATGCATTCTTTAGTTTAAAAAAATTAAGTAGTGAGCACAAATCTTGGCTGACTAAAGAAAAAGTAACCTTGTCACTGTTAGGAAAAAGATCCCAAGAACCATCTTGGGCCATCAACTAGATTCAACGTCCTTGAAAGTTTCCAAAAGCCCCACGGGGCACTCAGTGGGTAAGGTCTTGAGTGAATCTGGGAAATATAAGGCTCACTCGGTGGAGCAGTCTGGTGGGGCCTCATGTGGGCATCCAGCAGGAATATAGTTGTTGCTGGAGATGGTATCTCCATATTTTGTTTCTTTAAATTAAAAAAAATTGTGGTTACATAGGAAGTATATATATTTACTGGGTACATGACATGTTTTGATAAGGGCATGCAGTGTGAAATAATCACATCATGGAGAACAGGGTATCTGTCCCCTATAATATTTATTCTTTTAGTTATTCAATCCAATTATACTCCAATTAAACAATCCAATTACACTCTTATAGTTATTTTAAAATGTACAATTAATTTCTT
Source organism: Homo sapiens (assembly GCF_000001405.40). Classification (NCBI taxonomy): domain Eukaryota; kingdom Metazoa; phylum Chordata; class Mammalia; order Primates; family Hominidae; genus Homo; species Homo sapiens. Next base: position 168,698,316 of record NC_000004.12, on the reverse strand, counting down.
ATTGACTACAGTCACCCTGTTGTGCTATCAAATACTAGGTCTTATTCTTTCTTTCTAACTATATTTTTGTACCAATTAACCATCTGCATCTCCCCCCACAGCCTCTCAATACCCCTCCCAGCCTCTGGTAGCCATCCTTCTACTGTTTCGATTTTTAGATCACACAAATAAGTAAGAACATGTGATGTTTGTCTTTCTGTGTCTGCCTTATTTCACTTAACATAATGAGCTCCAGTTCCATCCATGTTGTTGCAAATGATAGGATCTCATTCCTTCTTATGGCTGAATAGTACTCCATCGAGTATATGTACCACATTTCCTTTAGCCATGCATCTGTTGATGGATACTTAGGTTGCTTCCAAATCTTAACTATTGTGAATAGTGCTGCAACAAACATGGGAGTGCAGATATCTATTTGATATACTGACTTCCTTTCTTTTGGGTATATATCCAGCAATGAGATTGCTGGTATTTTCTGCTTTTTACCCATTTATGCCTAGTGTTCCATTATTGGAATGCTAAGCATTTGGGAGTTACTTATATCCTACTGCTCAAGGTCATCGTCAAGGTCTGATTGCAAAAATTCAAAAAATTGCAACCTCAGGCATAGATGGGTTAATTAAACTCAACATGGCCGACTTCTAGATGTCAGGACTGACCAAAGCAGAACGCTTCTGTGGGGGTAAGATGAGTGTTCCCAGCTGATCCAGGTGACAGTCCATGGAGGGGAGAGCAGGACAGCCCAAGTAGACATGAGATTTCTGGGTCAGGCTTACCGCCCTGCCATTCTGTCATCCAAATAAAAGACGGGCTGGACCAGAGGCAATGAACCTCCTAATGATGAAAGCCTCATTGCATTTGTCCCTCGAGACACGAGGCTTCAATCTGAACTTGCCCTTCATTCCTGATGCACAGCTGTCACCCTCCTGGGGATGCCCTTTGCCTCTTGCTTCTATGTGATCTCCTGCTTCCTGTACCCCACCTCTACATCTTGTCCTTTCTGGATTAATTCTCTTGCTGTGGTGGAGCACACTGTCGGGTTCCAGAGGAAAATTTGGGGGATCTTACAAGTCTGAAAATATCTTTGCTAGATTTCCATGTGAAGTTTTGCCTAGGGGCAGAATTCCAAGTTGTAGGTAACTTTTTTCACAATTTTGAAGTTCTTGCTTCATTGTCTCGTTGTGTCTAGTGTGACTGCTGAGAAGGCCTAAGCTATTTGCATCTTGCTAGTTTGTATATATAACCTGATGTTTTCTCCCAGGACACTTATAACATGATCTCCTTGTCCTGGAAATTCTGAATTTCATGATGACGTGCCTGGGTCTGGGTTTATTCCATATGTTGTGCAATCAGTGGATTTTTCCATCTGGCAATTGATAACTTTCAGTTTGGGGAACTTTAAAAAAATTATTTCATTGATAATCCTGTCTCTCGCCGCTTCTTTCTTCTCTCCTTCTGGAATCCCAGTTATTCAGCTATGCATCTCTAACTTTGTTGCCTTTTCTCTCTTACATCCCTTCTTCGTCATTTTGCTGTACTTTGTGGGACATCTGCTCGTTTTATTTCTGCTATGAACTTTTCATTTCAAGAACTCTGTTTTACAAGTGTCCTCCCCTCTCTTTTTTTTTTCTAGCTTTTCATTTTTATTTCTTGGGTGGAATGATTTCCTTGGATCCTTTAAGAGAGATTTTGTTTGTTTGTTTTTGTTTTACATTTTCCTCTCTTTGCAAACCCATTTTCTCAAAGTTCCCTTTTAGGAAGGTCACTTGTTTTTTTCTATATCATTCATGCTAGAGGTTTTCTCCAGATGCCTTTTCTCTCTGCTTGTCTGACAGGGATGGGAGTTTATTAAGCTCTGAGTATAAGAGAGGAACTTATCCACTTTGGCCTTCCCTATAGCACAATCTAAGTGGCATCTTTATAAGAGAAACTCCCAAATCATTATCTTTGGATTTATTTTTTCTCTCGGGATGTTTAAATTGCCCAGAGAAGAGTCCTTCAGTCTCTGCTGAGAGAGGTAAAGTTCATAGGCCAGCAGGCTGGAATGTGAGTCCTGGAAGAGGACTGGAAATAGGCACATTTGGCATTAAGAATTTCAAAACCCACTCAATTTTCTTTTTGCTGTGTACTCAAATGTGTCTTGAGTCTTCCCCCTCTCCCTCTAGAGCAAGCTTGTCCAACCCGTGGCCTCTGAGCCACATGTGGCCCAGGACAGCTTTGAATGTGGCCCAACATAAATTCATAAACTTTCCTAAAACATTATGAGATTTTTTTTTTAAGCTCAAAAGCTATGATTAGTGTTAGTGTATTTTATATGTGACCCCAGGTAATTCTTCTTCCAGTGTGGCCCAGGGAATTCAAAAGATTGGACACTCCTCCTCTAGAGAGTAAAACAAACTTTCTTGGTTCATGGGACTCTAAGTTTCTCAATACTTTTTAAATGGTGCTCCTAAGCCAAAAGACATAACTAATAGTTATGTTTGTTATGTAGTTATTTCCAAAGAACTTAATAAGTGTTTATGCCTAAACAATTTAGTGTTTAAAAATACATATAAATTGAAAGAAAAATACTATTATTTTATTCTTAAATAACCACTATTTCTTACTAATGGCTGTGTGCATCTGCTGGGCACTGTACCACCTCTCTTGGAATCAGATTGGATGAGCCAGCCTCATTTCATGTTTTACATGGATTTTCATGAGGTACTTACTTTTTATCACACACTCATCAAAAACTCAGTTTCACAAAGAGATTATGTCATAGAAAAGAATGGAGGGTGATCTAATGTTGAAATTCTGAACTAGTTCAAGCCAGTCATTGTGTCATATCTGTCAAATGTCAAGTTTGAATGTGTTTGCATAAAAAAATTTCAAATATATTACAGCATCCCTGTCAGCGTGGTGTGGCACCCCAGGGCATCCTGTCACACTCTTGGTGAACTATAAGTTTCATATGGCCTACTTTTGTTCAACCCACCGTCCTAACCTAGAACATGCATTAAGTTTTTACTGCATACAATCTACTGGGATCTCAAGAAACATCCCTATCATTGCCCTCCTACAACAGCACCTTAGTACATTTAACTAAGTGTAACTTACTTTATATTTTGAATCAGAGAATCAAAGCCTAGACTCTACCGTACAAGATCTAGCATGGGTCACACTGGTGAGCAGAAATTAAAATTGAAAGCAGGAGGCAATATACTTTTATATGTATAATTCCACAACCAGTAAGACGCGTTTTTGTGTTTTTAATTTTGCACGCTATTAGACAGTGCTATAGAAGTAACTCAACACAGTTTGTGGCTGTTTCCAGACAGCTGAGTGAGTAAGAGACTGAGTATTAACAGCTGTCAAATGAGTCTTCTGTGTCCCCCACCCCCAGACTAGTCTTTGAAGGAGTCTATCAGTACAAAGTCAGAATTTCAAAGAAGGCCAGAGAAGGTACTATGACAAACGGATGTTGGTCTTAAGTAAGCTGACTAGCTATTAATTCACAAAACAGTCTGAAAAGATTTGTGATGCAAGCTGACTTCTGTCTAGACAGAGAGGGGAGTGTAAAACACATCAGACAGATACGACGCAGCAGTGACAAGAAAAACCTGTTTCAGTTGCACAGATCCATTTGGAGACAACCTGCTATTTCCTTCTTTATCTAAATATCTAATTCCTAATGGGGCTATATCTAGGTACTAGGGAATTTCAACTTTATTTCTGGAGCTTTAAAACATCTTGCCCATGAATAAGGAAGAGAGTAAAGAGAAGAGAGTAAAGAGAAGAGTAAAGAAAAAATAAATAAAAAGAATGAGGGAGTGAGATGGAGAAAGAGGAAGAGAGGCAGGGAATGAAGGAGGTGAGGGGAGAGAAAGAGACAGAGAGGAGGGGGAGAGAGCGAGCAAGAGTGACTCTCTCAGAGGAAAGGAAGAGGGTAGGAAGAGACAGTAATAAAAACAGAATGCTTAAATGTTTTCCTGAATTTCAAAGGCTATTTATGTTTTAGCATTTGGAAAATATCACTGACCTAGTCCTATAAAATTTATCTCTTGCCTCAGATGTATTGTAGTCACGTCTGTTTTTCTTCCTTCCACTTAACAATGGCTAAGAAAACAGTTTTTAGGGAAGCCGGTTCCTACATACTTCTATATAGTTTAATAGCTCAGAGGTCCATTAGATATAACAGTCAATCAGGTCATTTAAAGAAGGTAAACAGTCATATTTATTTTTTGTTTTTTCCTCTGACATAGCAACTTCAAGGTCAATGTAAGGAAAACACTTGGCAACTAGTAAAAGAATCATACCTAGTTTTGACAGGCATGACAAAACATTGTTTAAGCACAAATACACTGTAACATTTGCTTGTTCTGAAGTTCTTACTCACAACAACTCATATAATTAGTCACTTGCGTGGTCATTCATGTGTTTAAGGGTTTTTTTTGTTTAAAAAACATGATCATGGATTTTATTTAATGCTGCATGCCAACGGCTGATTTCCTGAAGCACAGCATTTTAACGCTGTAAAAGGGAAAGAAGAAAGTCTCGTCGTGTCATGGTAAAAACAATTGTGGAGAAATCATCGTAGGTCAGGAAAACTCATTGTGTTAGTTTTTAATAGCTCCTGACTATATAATATTTTTTGGTGTATTGACAGATTTGCTAGAAATATTTCTCTGCCAGGAGAAATTTTTCAGAAAATGCTATTATTGTAGTTGGAATGAAGGAATCTGTTTTCTTAAACGCTTTCAGATCTAACTATGTAAATAAGAAAATTCAGTGAACACAAAGAGGAAACATTTTTCTGCATTGCTAGGACAAGGGATTTAAAAGGAAGGCCTTCCATATCTTGCTCTTTTCTGCATGATTTTGCTACATTAAAGCAAATGGCATTTAAGTACGTTCTAGAGGTCAGGTGATTCCATGAAGCTGTTTAGGACTAATTTTATTAAATAATTCACAATCAAAACTATAGTTTAGAAGCAAAGCAACAAACTAACTGAAACAGAAGGAGTGTATATAGGGTAAGTGATAAGGACACAGGGCGCAGGGTAGATGTGAAACAGAAGGAGTGTATGTAGGGTAAGTGATGAAGATGCAGGGCGCAGGGGAGATCTGAAACAGAAGGAGTGTATGTAGGATAAGTGATGAAGACGCAGGGCGCAGGGTAGATGTGAAACAGAAGGAGTGTATGTAGGGTAAGTGATGAAGATGCAGGGCGCGGGGGAGATCTGAAACAGAAGGAGCGTATGTAGGATAAGTGATGAAGACGCAGGGTGCGGGGGAGATGTTTCCTTCCTCCCTCCTCATCCAAATTTATTCTTCCTTAGCTAGCATATTCTGAGTGTTTTCCCTTTTCAAATATACACATACTGAAAACTAAGCTGTGCAGTTTCTAACTAATGTTTTGACTTTGCAGATGACTGTTTGTGATTTTCCAACCTACATTTGATAAATCATCATCACCTATGTGCATGATGACAACGTATAACAACACGATGAAAAGAGAGTTGCAGGAGTTCACTCCGAATCCAAAACGCAATGTCAAAAGCTGCCTTATTTCATGCTAGCAGTAACATTTTTACAATTTTTGGCTCAAAATTTTAGCCTTATTTATACACAAAGCATTAAAAGACATAAATTGCTTTATAGGTTTGTTTCACATAAAAAGCTATTTCTTGTAGATAAAAGATATTTGGTTCCTACTTTTATATCTACCTATCTAAAGTTGTTTAAAATAGCAAATGCACAAGATGTGCCCTAACTCCCTACAGGATTCCCATATTAGCTCATGCAGCAGATTTAATCTCAGAAAATCCATGTATTAGAAAAGTAGCATTATGCAATTTTATTCAATGACATTTCACAGACAAAATATGCAGTTGTATATTTCCACAGTCTGGAAAGTGACTACAGTATTTGATGTGATGACTGACACATTAAGTGGGGGGACTTGCTCTGCTTATAATTCATGACAGGAGGGCAGCAGATCAATTCCAGTTGTTCCCTAAGGATGCTACTCAGCCTCCCTTAAACGTTGGATCCTAATAGGGTCAAACTCTGCTTTTAAAGATCCAGTACACAGATGTGAGAAGTTCAGGGACTGACTGCAGTAATCTGACCTGCAGTGGCCCACAGAGGACTTTCCAGTTCCCCCAAGAAGAGTCAGAGCAAGGTCATGGCTCCTAAGACACATGTGGCAAGATCTGCTTGACACTGAAGCAGAGGAACAAACAGGAGAAACAGGAAAATGACTTGTTTTTCTACCCTTTGTTCAGAAATAAGTGAAATTGTGACCCTGCTGATGGGAAAAATACAAAAGAAAATAGTCTTGAGGAGGACATACGATGAAGTACCTAGACAAAAATTTGTTTCCTTTACAAACACTATTTCACTCCACGAGGAACCATAAATACGCAATATGTCTGAGGCAGGGAACAGCTAGGCCCGAGGCTCCTGGATCACATAGCACTGTGATCTGGTCAAACGACCTGATAATTAAGAGTGATCTGGGGGCAAGATGACTTTCTTCATGCTTGCAGAATAGTAAAAGTTTATGGCTCAGGGCACACAAATGAGAAACACCTGGGGGTCCATTTTGCTTACCTCTTTGAGCTGCTCTCATTTGAGACACATTTCTAAGCTGGGGTTGTTAGTGGGTTCTGATCAGTACAAATAGGCAGTAGATTGTCCTTCTCTACTGGAATTTTAGGAGGATGTTTTTTCATCATCAGCTTAGTTTGCTTTCTGAGCCTAAAAGACTGTATTTTAAAAAGCATGAAGTCACTGAGCTTGACCTTCTTGTCTGAATGGAACTTAATGTTTTGCTAATAAAGACGTTGATGTAAAATGCAGTGTACAGACTCCATGATAAAGAAGATATTGTTTTTAAGGGGGTTTCACATTTCCAGGGAGCCACAAAAACATTGTTCTGCTTACGGCTTTAAGGTAGAAAGAAAGAACTATTGAGACCCAAAAGATACATTATCTGCTCCCCCACCACCAAAAAAAAAAACCCTAAAAATATTCTTACCAGGTTCAGCTGTAGATCTAGGTTCTGTTTGCCACATGAAAAAAATAAATTAGAACAAAGTATTAGAATGGGGTTCCATTTAATTAAAAAAAACCTACTTGTTCCTTTCCATTACCTTGTCTAGGACATGTCTGAAGAAATGTTACAGTCAAACTCCATCATACAAAAGATATAAAGTGATAGATCGGTTTATATTTCTATAAATATAAAAACTCAAATTCCTGTATCAACTTACACTAAGAAATTTTTCCAACTGCAGTTCATAGATGGGCTCTAGGAGCCTGGTAAACCTCCTAAAATTATTCATGCAAATTTGAGTACAAATGTATATATGCATTTTTTAAGACGAAAGAATATATGACTTTCATTAGAGTGTCAAGGGGGTCATAGTTTCCATTTACTGGATTTCAACACACTGTAGATTATCTGATCCTGCCACTCTTTGAACATAGAGATCAATTCATCTTAATGACTTAGCCCTTCTTGGTTTTCTTGAAGCTGGAGAGAATAAAATGGTCAGATTTGGGGACATGGGCACTTCTCCTTACTTTTCTGTAGAATTCGGAAATCTGGAGAGTCTTGGATTTCACTCCCTTGCCGAAACCACTGGACCTGCAGAGGGGGTGCCCCACGGACCCGGCACTCCAGAACCACCACCTGGCCTTCCGCCACGGCTGTGTTTTGCAGTTCCTGAAATTCAAGGAAATTCAAGGAAAACCCCATCAGACTTTGGTGCATTTTTAAGCAATTTCACAACACAGAATAAAAATTCCAAACCTCAGACAAAACAGATACAAACACAAAATGCAAAACTTGCATCATCAAATAATTAGCACTGACTCAGGTAAGGATAAACACCTTTGGACCCACCGATTATCAGCTTTTCACCCTCTCCAAGTCATAAAATGAGTAAAGTGTACCATAAGTCCTGTAGAGCTTTCTGGCCTGTCTGCAAATTTGCACTGACTGCTCTGCATTTATGGAATTTGATGGTAACCAATGTTAACTTTCTTTATCTACATTTAAAAGGAAGCAGGTGGAATGTGAATTTCTTGAAACGACCACACTCTAAATAAAAGTAGATTCTTATGAAAACCAGACAAGAAGAGAAAAAAGACATGCATTTGTTTTCACATGCCTCAGCCTTTTCATGTACCACCTCTGCCTGACTAGTTTCCTATGTCAAGTTTATTAAGCTAAGGGGTTTCTACATTTTCTCATTTTGAGATTCTGAGTAAAGTAATGAAACATGCTGTACTTCTTCCTTATTGACCTTCATTTCCTCCTTCTTTGCTCCTGCCTTTGTTGTCCCTCACCGCACTCCAACTCCAGACCAATAAATCTTTACAATCCAACAGATCAGAAATTAATTTGGTTTTATAGATACAAAGAAGTAAAGCTTTTATACTTGTTCTTAAATATCAGGACATTAATATTTCCCTCACATATATCTTCTCTCTACCCTCCTTCTCCAGAATTAACTAGCAATAGGGCCTTTTAAACTTTCTTACTATTTAAACTTCTGACTATAGAATATTGGATCTAGGCCAGGTGTGGTGGCTCACATCTGTAATTCCAGCTCTTTGGGAGGCCAAGGTGGGTGGGTCGCCTAGGGTCAGCAGTTCGAGACCAGCCTGACCAACATGGCGAAATCCTGTCTCTACTAAAAATACAAAAATTAGCCGGTCGTGGTGGCAGACACCTGTAATCCCAGCTACCGAGGAGGCTGGAACAGGAAAATCACTTGAACTCAGGAGGCAGAGGTTGCAGTGAGCCAAGATCACACCATTGCACTTCAGCCTGGGTGACAGAGCAAGACTCCATCTCAAAAAAAAAAAAAAAAAAAAAAAAAAAAAAAAAGAATATTGGATCGAATGTAAGGTGTAGGACTCTCAAAATAACTCAAACATAATTTATCCATATATACACCAAAAGCAAACAAATTCACATTCATTAGGAAGTGTGAATTGTTTTGTTTGTTTGTATGCATGTGTGTTTAAATTATCTGATGGGACAATAAATGATGTCCTGGAAAAAACCAATTCTGTAACCAATGTCCTGCAGTAAGTGTGCTAAAACCCTGAGGGAATTCTAAAACCTATGACATTGGCAGAAGAACTATAAAAGTCTAATGTGAAGTCTGAGAAGACATTTGATAGACATTTTGGTAGTTAACTAGAATGTCTTTAAGTGACAAGGTTTAGATGATCAACTATTTCTGATTGCGTTCTTTCTTCTTCCGTATTTTTAAATGGAGAAAATCTCTGGTTTTAAATCATATTTTTCTTCCTTTGTGACTGGGTCCATAGAATAGCTAATTTATTAGATCAAAACAGGGTAAGTGTCACTTATGGGGTCCAGCTTCTACGGATTAACCTATTAAATGTCTCTAGGCTTGTCCAGGAAGCTGTTCAGGATAGACTACAAATGGCACCAAAATATTTTTCATGCTTCAGCTTTGAGGCACCAAAAGAGACTTTGATTTATTCCTAAGATTATGCATTTTTTTTTTTCAGTGTCGGAAAGTCAAAGATGTAGGAAATGGGTAGATGCCAAGTAACTTAATCAGTCAAAGCTCCACAGTTATTCCAGGATTGCCATTTGGATCCTCCTGGAGCTAACATTTTTATCTTGGCAAAAGCCATGGCTAAACATAGTAAGCCATTAGGAGAACCTTCGGGAACATAACAAGGAGCCCCAAAGGAGACTGAAAGTCAACCTTTACAGGATGCACCTGGCAACCTGGATCATCTACTTTGTGTAGGATCTGGGGGCCCTGGGGGTTTCAGGATCCTTACAAGGACCCCTCTGGCCATACCATCAAGTCCACCTGACATTGTGATTCTTTGGAGGGGTCTATTTGGGAAGAAATGTCACATGTACGTCCATGCTACCCACAGTCCTGTGGTCCACCAGTCTGCCAGGTGGCCTGCAGGCAGGAGCACTGGCTCTGCCTCTGACCAGCTGTGAGACCTAGGAATCTCTTCCAGAGTAGCATGAGAAAACAGATGGAGGTAACCCTTGGACTATGAAAGCCAGCCCACCTGCCATTCACTGTCATCATCATGCCTAAGAGAAAGCCCAGTGAAGGTGCTATGAGTGACAAAGTAAAGGCTAGTTTGAGTTACAGAGGAGATCAGCAGGATTATTTTCTAAACCTACCCCTCCAAAACCAGAGACCAGGCCTAAGAAGGACCCTGCAAATCAGAGACAGAAGCTGCCTAAAGTGAGAAAGGGAAAAGCAGATGCATCAAGGAAGGGAACAGCCCTGCAGAAGAGAGATGTTCCATGGTCCAGACACAGAAAGTGGAAGGCTGGAGAAGTGGCTCTGAGCTTCCAGTGGCTCTGAGCTTCTAGTGGCTCTGAGCTTTCAGTGGCTCTGAGCTTCCAGTGAATTGACAGTTTGAGAGTTCTTAAAAATCAACCTATATAAAGAACAGAGTTTTGGTTTACTTCTCTTTAAAGCTGTGCTGTTAGCACAAAGAATGCTTCATGGTTATCTTTTGGGGAAGGGGGAAAGACCACTAATAGAAAGTCTATGTTGCGGGAGCTGGATTGCAAGGGAGGAAACAGGATTTTGTACTTAGTATTTGAGAGTTCCTCTTGGTGCCCAGGAGGAATTCCATAATATCTACACATGCCAGACCCATGCAGGAAAGCCCGGTAGTGAAAGAAAGCAAATCTTTGCTTCCTCTTTTCCTTCCCTTGTGCCACCAGCATGGACTTTATTTGTTTAAACCAAGAGGCGTGTTGGGCCCTGGCACCCCCAAATCAACTGTGTCTTGGATACCAATACATTGGACAACACACCCTTTCTGGTGATGACCTTGGGAAGCTGCTTGTGCAAAACTCTTAAACTACATCCTAAATGTGGAGTGTCCACCCCTCTGTAAACATTTTCTGTTCTAAACATCAAAGGAAGACTTCATTGGTTATCAGATTGACATGGTTTTAGGCAGGGTTTTACATAACTTCTTTTTTAGTAGTCTAGCTAGGAGGGTAGTTTCCAAGTTGTTACCACCTGTTATCATTTGTTGCCTGTGCCCAACTGGAAATACTATAACTGCTTATGAAAAGATATTTTATAAAGCTTGGATTCAACCAGCTGAAGGGAAAAAAAATCACTCCTTCTATGGAGATTACAAAAATGCTTTTCTTTACTGCCTCACAAAAGTTTTATAGATTTGCTTTCACATTTGTCTTTAGTTTACTAGGAATTGTTTGTCGTGAAAAGTATGAGGTAGGAGTCCAACTGGATACTTTTTCACCTCTGCTGAAGAATTCATTCTTTCTCCAGCAATTTGCAAGTTTCTGTAGGTATTCAGAAACTTTGTGGGCTCTACTCCGATTACACATCAATTTCTCTAGCCTTGTACCAGTACCATACTGTCCTAATTACTATACCTTTAAAACGTCTTGCTATCTTATAGGACAAATCCCACTCCTTCCTAACACTACCTTATTTTCCTTCCTCAGGTGTATCCTGGCTATTCTTAGCCACTTTTTTCCTCCACACAACTTTTTGAATCAGGTTGCTAAATTCCATATCAAACAAACAATTAAAAACCAGGAACCTGTGCTTGCTTTGGCAGCTCATATATACTAAGATCGAGATGATACAGAGAAGATTAGCATGACCTCTGCACAAGGATGACATGCAAATTCGTGAAGCGTTCCATATTTTTAAATGTGGCTCATATACACTATGGAATACTATGCAGGCATAAAAAAGAATGAATTCATGTCCTTTGCAGGGACATGGATGAAGCTGGAAACCATCATTCTCAGCAAACTAACACAGGAACAGAAAACCAAACACTGAATGTTCTTACTTATAAGTGGGAGTTGAACAATGAGAACACATGGACACCGGGAGGGGAACATCACACACCTGGGGCCTGTCGGGAGGTGGGGGACAAGGGGAGGGATAGCATTAGGACAAATACCTAATGCATGCAGGGCTTAAAACCTAGATGACGGGTTGATAGGTGCAGCAAACCACCATGGCACGTGTATACCTACATAACAAACCAGCACATTCTGCACGTGTATCCCAGAATTTAAAGTAAAAAAAACAAACCAAACCAAAACAAAAAAACCCAGGAAGCTGCTAGAATTTTAGCCAGATTACATTAAATACAGATTAATCAGGGAGTCATGGCTTTATACGGTCTATTAGTCTGCAAGCATGTCATATGTCTCCATTTATTTGGGCCTTTTAAAATGTCTTTTAATAAAGTTTTATAATTTTCTCTAAAAAAAAGGAAGGAAAAAGGAAAAAGAAAGAGAAGAAATGCTATATGGAAGCATTTCTGACTTGAGAGGCTGACCAATGAAATGGATGTCATTCAGCCTGGCAATGCAAATTCCGGACTCAGGACAAATGGAAAATTAGTCAGTTTTTCTGAATTTCTATAAAACTTGCTAGATCTCCTAAGCAATTTCCTACACAGCAGGTTTTTTTTTTTTTTTTTTTTTTTTTCTATCTGTCTTGGCTTTCCCACTAGATTTTAGGCTCTATCAAGTTCCTGCTCACATCTCTCAGAACCCATCACAAGATTACAGTCACACGGCAGTCGTTCAACAAATATCTATTTAGTCCCAAAGGTAACCATGGTAATCAGCCTACTAATCTGTTCCTTTTAATTTTTAAAGATTGCTACACGAAGCCACATGTAAATGAAATTTAAGGACCAAAGCAAACACAGAGAATGAGACTTCCAGATGTCAGACCTTTGTAAAAACAGGAGGAAAGTAGGCAGTAGTGGTTCCATCAGGTCGGCAGAGATATGAAGTTGGACTGTGAACCTGCAAAAGCAGAGACATATGGATCAAATTCTAAATATATAAATTGCCTAAAAGATGGGCTGAAGAAACCTTTCATTATGGGGATCACCCACTTGAAGGAAATGAGTGAATGAAAGTACCACCATACATCATTTTGCTCGTCTGCTCTTACAGTACAGACATTGTTCCACTTCCTCATTTCACATCTGTTACTCTTCTCTGTTCAAAAGGATATTCAAGGTAAAAGTTCCCTGGGTCCTTGGGGATCCACGAGCTTTTAAATGCTATTACCAAATGGATTTCTGTGTGTGGGACTTCCACATGCGTCTTTTTTAAAGTTCTCGTAGACAATGTATTTTATTTTTAAATACAGTTTGGATTCAATGCATAAAAGCCATTGGCTATTGGCACTGGAGGGTAAATTATCAAACATCTACCTATCTTATTTAACTTGTACTCTTTTTTGATATAGGGATTATGGGAAAGGAGAGAAAAGAATTTTTTTTTATTGACGTGCAAAAAAGAAACGTGCTAAAATACCTATTCAATGACATTCATCTCTGGAGAAATATAAGGATTTCAGAGTAGTGAATGGAAAATATTTCTTTGTGTACTATCACTTATTTTTAAATGATCTGGATTTATTCACTTATGTAAGTGGTTGTTAGCTTCTTAACCCAAGATGATGGTGATCTGGTATCGTGTGTCTAAATATGCCACAGGACATCATGAAGAATTGTGGCAGAGCGGTAGAGATGCTAGGATGCTAATGGAGTTTATTCATTAACCCTGGAAGACTTTACTGGCCTGTGATTCAAGAGGTCTGGGTTTCACTTTTCACTGTCTTTTTATGTCCCAAGAATATGTGAACACTCTTATAGTATTAATATTTACTCTATGCCAGGGACTGTTCCAAGTGTCATATGAAGATTAACTCACTGGATCTTCAGGACAAACTTATGAGATACATAGTGTTATCATCTTCATTTTACAGATGAAGAAACTCGGCTTGAAGGGTTACATTTTATTTGCTTAAGGTCCCTCCGTTAGGAAGTGATAGAACTGGGATTCAAACCCAGGGAGTCTGGTTCCAGAGCATTACTTGATGTCACATTGCCTGCAATAATAAAGCGATGGAGTTTCTCTGGGTGCTTCATTCTCCCAACTATAAACATGGGGTAAATTACCTTCCATTCCATGTCTTTGTAGAATTTAATCCATTTAAAAATTCACTCTTTACATTATTATGGTATTTACATATCTAGATGTGTGTGTATCTCTCTATTTCCTAGGCTTCTGTCTTACATCTAAATACATTCTGTCACATTCACCCCATTTGGGAATGGGGTGGGTGACATTTTTTCCTGTCATGAAATGCCTAGCACCGTACTAAGCACTCAATAAATATTTATCAATATTTAAACATCAAATACCAAAAAATGCCCACTGATTTAATCAAATATTTCTATAAATTCCACTCTGATTAAGGGGTTTAAAGGAAATATGTACTATATATGCCATCTCTGAGTAACTGATACTTGTTGATTCAAGTTTATGGACCCAAATGTCTTCTCTCTACTGTTTGTATTTTCCACATATCGATAGCACCTATTGGCCTCTATAGTGGCTGAAACACCCCTGAGCATTCAATAGGTAATAAAGGCTGAGGGAGGACATGGTGATACTTATAAGACATACTCATTACTTAGGAATGAGTTTACATTTCCAGACTGTGGGGGAAAACCTTTCTGTGAGTGTTGTCTTTGAACATATTCATTAAACCATGATTTAGAGACATCCAGATGTAATGGTTTTCTACTTTTTTTTTTAAAAGAAGTTCATATTGTTTGTGTTTGCAAAGTAAATTCATTACAACTACTTTCCAGTAGTTTATATTATTGTTCTTTCATGGCTATAGCAGTCTTACAATAAAATAAAAGCAAGATCAAAAAGCATGGTGAAGTCAAGGAATTTGAGTTGTTTTTTCTTATTTGTTTAGCTTTTAGGAGTGGGAAAGCTTTTTGTTGGTATGCAGACTTGTCTTTTAATTTGTAATGAGCTAATAAATTTGGCTATATGAAAGAGCATACACATGTGAGGGAATAATCAAATAGTTACAGCTAAAACAGACACCAGTTTATCAGATTATTAGCTGTTAGAGAAAGAAGTTCCCAATGGAAATGCAAATGTTGACTAATTGGCAGTGTGGTTTTGGTTAAAGGTTGTTTTTAGTGAACTGAAAGGAGAAACATTACCTACAATTTTCTTTGCTCTGAATTTTGTGTCCACTTAGAAAATATTTCAAGGGAGTATACTAGTTAGAATCAAAGTCATATTCTTAAAATCCACAAGTTTGCTGATGAGTTCGACCCCTTATGGGCTCTGGCTCAAAGCATACTTACCTGTTGCACAGGGACAGACAGTGGTTGAATCACAGCTGTGGTCACCCCTGTCTTTGGAGATGATGATCCTATTGTCAAGGAAACAGAAGTTGTTTTCTTTTGAGCTCTGGAAAATAGGAAGGTGAGTGTTTAGTCAGAATATTTTTTGTTTTCGTTTTTTTGTTTTTTTTTTTTAGCAGAAATAATTCCTTGAAACGTTTCAACAGAAAAGCTGGGTTTCTTTTTGTATACGCAATCCGCTTCAACTGTAATTGCTTCCACAATGGGAATGCATAACCTACAGCTAGAATAGCTGTGGTCAGTATATACATGTACCTTATAGAATGTACCTTATAGACATTAAGCAAAATCAAAACATGAGTAAAAGAAAAGTAGCTAGATGTAACTGAGACGCTGTTGAAGATGCTAACGTATTAAACTTGAAAATCCTAAGAGAAAATATTTGGAAAAAATCCAATCTTTATTGATAAGCAGAGATTTGAAATGTTTAGGGTTAGGGTCCTATATTTAACTCAAAGTTTTGGTTGTCTATTTTAAGTCTAACAGCTGTTCTTTTTTCTGGTTTCTAATTTTGTTGTCGGTATCTTGGAATTTTTGTGTTTTCTTAGTGCATATAAGTTAGTGAGATATTTAGAGAAGATTAAGAAGAGTTGATTTCTAGGCCCAGCTTTGTCAAGTAGCTGGCTGTGAAATCTGAAGCAAGCCATGTAACTTCACTAAACTTGAGCTCCTTATAAAAACCAGGGGTGGTAAAATAACCTTAGAAGATCCTTTAAGCATCACTGATTATTTGATGCTGAATGGATATAATTTTTATGTACATACTAGCAGATAAAAGAAATTTATTAGAACAGACTCAATATTTATGGACTTTTCCATAATAGGAATTTCTGGTAGATTTTATTTTTGCCAAATAATTAAGATATTAACATTTTAATAATTGGTATGTCTTTGTAGGAATAACTAAGTTTTGTGAATTTCGGGTACAAGATCTAAATAAATATAGATCGTATCCAAAGGAGAACCTACTTCTGGCCTAATTAGATATTTTCCAACTTGCATAAATAAATTGGTCCTCACATTTTAGTAATGATTTAATTGATTTTCTCTTAATGTGACTTCTCTTTCCATACATTTATAATAAATTAGATGGCTGTCTTTGAAACTAACATTGCATATGGTAAAATTCTGGCATATCAATGATGAAATGCAGACTTCAAAGTTCAAATTTACAAGTTAAAAATTGTGTTCGGGCTGGACATGTTGGCTCATGCCTATAATCCCTCCCAACAATTTGGGAAGCTGAGGCAGGAGGATCGCTTGAGTCCAAGAGTTCCAGATGAGCCTGGACAACACAGTGAGACCCCATCTCTACCAAAAAATAAAAAAAGATTAGCCAGGTGTGGTGGTGTATGCCTATAATCCCAGCTACTTGGGAGGCTAAAGTAGGAGGACCACTTGAGCCTGGGAGGTCAAGGCTTCAGTGAGCCATGTCGCACCACCGTACTTCAACCTGGGTGACAGAGTGAGACCCTGTCTCAAAAAAAAAAAAAAAAAAAAAAATTGTGTTCCAACCTCAGTATTTGATCTCTGATTAACATCAGTTGACTTTTTTCTTCAAAGCACAGCAAACATGGTTTCATACCCCAACCATTCTGTTGCCATTCTTTGTTTCCACATAATCGATGGAATTGTAGGCACTTACTGTGGCATAGCTCCAGCTCTTGATTTGAAAGCTAAACTTTCACTGTCAGAATCTGTTGAACTGGCACCTGGGAAAGTATTAAAGATAATGGTAAAGTTAAGATATCAGTGTTATCTATAATAATTGCAAAGAATTATATTTCCCTTAAATAAAATAACATACAAAGTCTTTTTGACCGAAACACACAATAAAATAGAGTGATTCAGGCTCAGACAATTTTTTATTTGTACTGTTTCTTCAGAAACTCATTTTTAAAAAGTACTACTATAAATAGCTTTCTTCAAAGCAATATACTTTTAATGACAGATTTATTATTAATTTCATTTTTATCACTGTGGTCATCACAACCGTACTTTTAAATGGCTATAAACTATGAAATAAAGATGTGTGTGTGTTTGTGTGAAGAATACCCACGCTTTTAAACTGTAACCTTCTCCAGAGATTGCAGGGTAAGGACTGATGCTTTCTGGCTCCTGGGTAAAACTGAGTATGACAGTGGTTCTGTTCTTGAATAAGAGGGCCTTTGATTTTGGATCATGCCTTCCCAAATTCACTTGCATTATTACTGTTCTTAAATAAAGGGTCAACTTACCAGATTTTTAGTCAAAAGGTAAACTGCAGTCAGATTTTGATGTTTACATATTTCATGTCAAGAGATTTTAGGTGACAGACTTAAAAAATTGCAATGGTTCAAAGTATATTCTTAATGTTTCCAAGATACATTTAACTTGGGTCACTTATATTCTTTTATATAATAATACATGCTTATAGGAAAATAACCATATAGCACAGAATTGTGCAGCCTAATAGTAAAGATCAGTGGGTACCTTCCTAAATGCCATTCCCAAATACCACATTAAGTCTGATGTGTATTGTTCCAGATAAGTGTTTTTTTTTTTTTTTTTTTTTTTTTTTTTGAGACGGAATCTTGCTCTGTCACCCAGGCTGGAGTGCAGTGGCGCAATCTTGGCTCACTGCAACCTCTGCCTCCTGGGTTCAAGTGATTCTCCTGCCTTCTGAGTGGCTGGGATTACAGGCATGTGCCACCTCGCCCTGCTAATTTTTGTATTTTTTTTTTTTTTTAGCAGAGATGGGGTTTCACCATGTTGGCCAGGCTGGTCTCGAACTCCTGACCTCAAGTGATCTGCCCACCTCGGCCTCCCAAAGTGCTGGGATTACAGGCGTGAGCCACCGCACATGGCCTGGATAAGTTTAATACAGCATATCAACATATTTACATTTATGTACATATTTATACAAATGGATTCACATGGCATGTTCACTTGGCATTTGGCTACTTTTGCCTATCAGTAGATTTAGAATACATACGTTCACTGCATTCTCTTGGATAGCTGCCTGGTATTCCTTCCAGTGACTCTACTGTGATATGTTTTCCAGTCTTTTATTGACATTGAAAACAGTCATGTTTAGGTAACTCTGCTGGAATGTTTGCTGTCCCTTCCTATTTATTTCTGTGTCTACCATCCAGTGTAGGCTTTCTTTGCCTGGGGCCTGGACTACCACAATCCATTCTTGTCTTCCCATCTCCTCCTTCTCAAATTCATCGTTGCCCTCCCTGTGTCGGCTAGATTTTCCTAGAGCACACTTTCCCTGTTAAAAATGAGATGATTAGAATCTCTACTCAGTAAAATAAAAAACCCCAAATTTGTCATTTAATGGCCCTCATGATTTCCAACTTCATTTTCTACCTCTATCTGCCAGAACTTCTTGGACTTCCAAGTCATGTAACCTTAAGTCAGAGAGCTGAGTTCACCTGCACATCTAATGGTGTGCACTCCATAAGTAAGGGGGATACGCAGTGAAGAGGACACACACACACACCCCACCACACACTCCCCACACACCATATCCATACATACCCCACCACACACAAACACACACACCCCACCACACACCACACCCCCCCACACACGTCCATACTCACCCCACCACACACACACCCCACACATCCATACCCTACCACACGCACACACCCCACAGCACACCACACACACACACACACCCACACACATCCATACTCACCCCACCACACACCCACCACACACATATACCCCCCACCGCACACCACACACACACCCCCCACACACATCCATACTCACCCCACCACACACACCCCACCACACACCACACACACACCCCACACACACCACACACACACACCCCACACACATCCATACTCACCCCACCACACACACACCCCACCACACACCATGCACACACACCCCCCACACACCACATCCATACTCACCCCACCACACACACACACACACCCACCATAAACACCCCAAACACATCCATACTCACCCCACCACACACGCACCTACACACACCCACACCACACACACACACCACACACTATACCCATGCTACACATACCCACACCACGCACACACCGTACCCACACCACACACATCACACCCACACACACACCACACACACCCTGCCACACCCACTGCACATACACACACCACACATACACACCTCACCACACCACCACACACACGCCACACCCACACGACACACCACACACACCACACACGCACACCATACCCCCCCACACACCATACCCACATCCACTACGTACACCACACACACACACACACATACCCCTCTGATCTTGTGAGGACACAGAAGAGAAATAAGTACATGATACGGTGGTGAGTGAAGCAGGAAAGTCATCAAGCAGGGGAGGGGCACGGGCTGTGATGGGACTTCCCGGGGGGCTGCAATTTTAAGGATGGTGGCAAGGAAGCCTCCCCTAGGACACAGAGAAAGTGGGGACTCTCTCTCCCTGCTTGTTTTCCATGCCTGTACCTTAGTCATAGTTTTCACTCCTTAGGAAACTCCTATCCATCTTTTCTTGATACGCTATCTTCCACGGTCAGCCCAGGCACTATTCTGTGCTCTTTCTCTGAACTCCCAGCGTTCTTGTTTACAGCACTCACGTCACCTAGAATATCATGCCTGCTAGAAAATGATGAGTTCCCTGAGGATGGACGCTGGGTTAGAAAGGGAACTACCAATTTTTGCATATGTCCTATGTGCCCGGCGTCTGCTGGGCACTTTACCTCATTTAATCATCATCATAATGAACCTCACTAAGAAGTGAATTATGTCCAATTTATAGACAAGGACACCAAGGAACCAAGAGGTGAAGTAATTGAAGGTCACATAACTAGAAAGCAGTGGTGACAGGCAAAGCACTGTTGTTGTTGAGCCTCGTGGTCTGTGACCTTGCCCCCACACCACGTGACCTCCAGGTGGCCTTCATGAGGTGCGCGCGTGTGAGTTCCTCAGAGGGCCTAGCTTCATGCCTTCCTCATACACACCTTCCAGGCTTCTGCTGGAATGAAGAAAGAGAACTGGGAAGTGGTAAAGCTTGTCTGGGGACGAGGCGCAGATCGTGCAAGGAGAGAGGAGCAGCAGGCTGGGGGCAGTAACGGGAGGCAAATCTCGAAACACAGGCAGGACTGGGACGCTGGGGCTGACTTGTTTGAACCTGGTCGTGTAGGCACCGAGAGTGGGGGCTGGAAAAGTCAGTGTGCAGGATTAACTGGCGGAGTAGGGACACAAACGGGGCAAACAACAAACCATCAAAAACAAGTTATGGGCCAGGAGAAGTTTTCTCTGTGATGAGGAGATGCAGGGAGCTGAGAAACCCTGAGGAAAAGCCAGTGAAGGCGATCAGAAGGTCGGGGGTGACCCGGGAGACCATTTTACTGGAATCATAAAAGCATTTAGGAGAAGGGGAGGGGTGGCAAAAACCATATGGAAGTTATCACACACACTCTCAAGGTAGCGAAAAATTGGGGAGAGAAAACAGTTACTTTTCACCTGATTCAAAATGTTTCAATCATTAAAAAACAAAAAATTCCTTCTGATGACCTCTCTTTAGAAAGCCATTCTTGCTACTTTTTTCCAGCTGATTTTCAAAGGAAAAAGGGGCCAAAAAGGCTGGGGCCCCCTGAATAAACACACATTTGCTAGCTTTTGCACACCTGTCCAACCCTTGTGAAATCTGAAAGTCACCTTACATCTCAGGTGTCAGAGCAGCTCTTGGAGACGGGGGCAGATCAAATCTCCCTCTCTGTGCCAGCCAGTTCCCTGCCTTCCCCTCAGGGCGATTCTCCCGCCCTCTCCCACTCTGTTCCCACTTCAGTCATCTGCTTTGCACCTGCTGGTCAGGAGAAAAAAAAAAAAACAACACTACGGAGTCTCAGGTTAACGTCTTTCTCCATATTTATTAACCGTCACTTTCAGTTTTGGATGTAGGCTCCAGTCTGAAAGAGTTACATGTTCTAGCCCTTGTAGTTACTATCATCTGTTCACCTAACAGTTACCTGCCTAAACCTTAACTTTTCCTATTCTGCCTCCCACGCAGAGTGAAGGAATCACACGCCGACGATCCTGCTCCAGGCTTTGGCCAGTGGAAATGTCACAAAAATGAGTCTCCTGCCTTGACTTTAAAAGGTGCTCCCTTTTCATTTTAAAAACCTACTGGCTGGGCGCGGTGGCTCACACCTGTAATCCCAGCACTTTGGGAGGCCGAGGTGGGCGGATCACAAGGTCAGGAGATCGAGACCATCCTGGCTAACACGGTGAAACCCCATCTCTACTAAAACTACAAAAAAAAAAAAATTAGATGGGCATGGTAGTCCCAGCTACTTGGGAGGCTGAGGCAGGAGAATGGTGTGAACCCAGGAGGTGGAGCTTGCAGTGAGCCGAGATCACGCCACCACACTCCATCCTGGGCAACAGAGCGACAGAGCGAGACTTTTCAAAAAAAAAATTTTTTTTTAAATATATATAATTAATACATATAAGTAAAATATATAAACATATAAAAATAAAATAAACATAATATATATTATATAGATATGTTTTAAATCTCTAACTGACTTTACTGAACTGAGTCATGGAGTTTATCCTTTTATACATATTTTGCCTTTCAAGATTTGAGGAATAAATACATCCTTTCTCTCATTTCTATTATTTACTTCTTTTCCTCTCTTTTAAATCAGTTGCTATAATTACCAATACAGCAAGAATCATTTACAGATCAGAGTAACCGAAGCAATGTCAGTGACACATAACTTTATAAATGTTGAACAACTACAAAGGAATTAGAATGGTTTTAAAGAACGTTTAATGACATGGGTAGATGTCTGTGACAGAATAGGTTAAATTAAAAAAAAAAGTTCAAAAGAGTAGATACAGCAAAATTTAAGTACTCACATGTAGGAAAAAATTGGAAAGATAAAAATATTAAGAGTGACTGTCATAAGGCACTAGGATTAGACATGCTTTTTTATTTTTATTTTTTGAGACAGGGTCTCACTCTGTCACCCAAGCTGGAGTGCGGTGGTGCCATCCCAGCTACTTCTGCCTTGACCTGCTGGGCTCAAGTGACCCTCCCACCTCAGCCTTCCAAGTAGCTGGGACTACAGGTGTGCACCACCATGCCTGGCTATTTTTTTTATTTTTTATAGAGATGGGGGTCTCACTATGTTGCTCCAGCTGGTCTTGAACTTCTGGACTAAGTGATTTTTCTGCCTCAGCCTCCCAAAGTGCTGGGATTATAGGCATGAGCCACCATGCCTGGCCTAGACATGATTTTTATATCTTCTTTTTATCCGTACATTTTAGCTTTTTAAAAATAAAAATATGGTATTTAAAAATAATAATGGCCTACACTGTGTGCTAGGCACCACCCCAGTGGATTAACCCACTCAACCCTTACAACAATCTGATTTTCTCCAGATGAAGAAACCAAAGCATAGAGCCATCATAAAATACCATGAAAGGTTATTTTAAAATAGATAACACGAAGAATGGCCAAAGTTAAACTGGTTTAGCTTTTCTCCAAAAGTTTTCAAAACCCAGTGAATGGAATCTCTGCCTAGAGAGGCACGGCAGTGGTCCCAGCACCAAGGGCTTTACCCTATGTGATTACCAGGAACAATTCCACATTTCACATCACAGCACGCTTCACAATGTCACTTCAAAGGGGCACACATTTTATCTGATTATTCGTAGCACTGAGAACCTGTGTCTAACAGGACCTGCCAATCTGTGTCACGCTGGTTCTCTTCCCTACCTTTTTAACGCTGCCCTGCCCTCCTCTCCTCCTGACCCCAATCCTCTTTATCCACAAGGTCCGGTTTAATCCAGCTTCCTTCATCCCACATTTCAGGGCCACCATCTTGCCCTCTTCGGAGCTCATAAAGCTATTCATTTGACAGTCTGTGTAATTCATTTTACAATCACAGGGGGAGGCAGTGGTGGGAACTTGAGATGTCTGTATTTATTTTACATGTTTACATGGATCTTTCCTATTTACATAGGAAATTCTTGAGAAGCTCTCTCTGCCAGCTAGTTCTTGAGGGTACCCTCTCGCCATCTAGTACAGATTCCATTTCCTTTCCCCATCTTACTCTCCTCCCTCCTGCATGATCTATTTTTCTCTCTTGCACTATCTTCTTCAGCCTATATTCTAGTAAATCCTGCCTGAAAACACACACATTGTAAAAACCATCTTTTTGACCCCATGCTCCATTCCAGATACCAGCTCCTATCTCTTAGTTGGCAGTTAAGCCAAACTTCTCCAACAAGTATGTTATTTGCTGCTTCTCTTTCCATATTTCACAAACTTTTCTCAACCAGTACCATTTGATCTTTAACCCTGTTCAGATTCCTCAAGCTCCTCTTGCTAAAATCGCTGACAACATCCACTGTTGCTGACCCCAGTGGTTTTCTCCTGGCCCGCATCTGATTGGAGCTCTCAGCAGCAGCAGACACATCTTGCAGCCCTGTCTTCTGGAAACTCTTTCTCTTGCCTTCCCTTACAGCATTCTGCCTGGTTTCTCTCACACCCTGGGGGCTTTTCTTTCTTATCTTGTTTGCTGGCAACTCCTCTTTCAACAGGCAGGAGTATCCCAGGCTCAGATTCAGATCCCTTCCTCGTCCCCATTCCCTCTTCCTCCCTAGCTGATCTGTCTGGAGGTGTATCCAGTCCCACAGCTTTAGTTACCATCTATATCCTGATGCTCCCCAAATACAGCATTCTCACCCTGTGCTCTAGACATCTATGTTTATATTTGCAACTACCGGCCTGACACATCCACATGGCTAGCTAAATAGAGATTTCAAACACAGCATGTTCAGGCTGGACGCAGTGGCTCATGCCTGTAATTCTAGCACTTTGGGAGGCCAAGGTGGGCGGATCACTTGAGGTCAGGAGTTTGAGACCAGCCTGGCCACCATGGCAAAACCCCATCTTTACTAAAAATACAAAAATTAGCCGGGCATGGTGGCTCGTGACTGTAGTCCCAGCTATTTGGGAGGCTGAGGCAAAAGAATCACTTGAACCCAGGAGGTGGAGGTTGCAGTGAGCCGAGATCGCGGCATTACACTCCAGCCTGAGTGACAGAGCGAGACTCCATCTCCAAATACACACACAGACACACACACACACACACACACACACACAGCACGTTCAAAAGACAGCACTTAATTCCTTCTGTCTCCAATCCTATTCCTTTTCCGTCTTCCTCATTTCAGAGATTGGCACCGTTGTCCTCACAAACGGTATAGCTGAATCCACAGAGTCATCCCTGATTCCTTTCCTCCCCTCGCCTCCACATGGAACCACTGCAGGGTTTTGGACCTGCCTCTGAACCCAACTCGAATCTGACTCACTCCCTCATCTCCGCCATATCCTCCTGAGGCACCCGCATCTCTCCTCTGTCCTGCTGCAATAGGCTTCTACCAACCAGAGAGTCAGTTAGAAAATATGAATCAGTTTAAACCCTCCATGATTTTCAATTTTATTTAGCCAAACTAACGGTGACTATAGGCCCTGTGTCCGGCATACCCCGGCTGCGGCCCAAGCCTCTGAGCTAACTCTTCCACCTGATGTTCCAGTTACCCTGGACTTCTTCCTGCAACTTAGGCACATCTGGCTGTCCTCACCAGGGCATTTGTTCCCTTGGTCCGGAGCACTCTTTCCCCAGCCTTCCCTACTGGCTCCTTCTCAGGCTCCTATCGGAGACCAAATGTCATCTCTTTGGAGCAGGCTTCCTGATCACCGCATCCCATCAGCCACCTTCATTTCTTTCACAGCACTTGCTGCTGCTGGAATGCCTTATGAGTTTACTGGGTTACTCTGCCCCCCTTCTGGAGTGTTCGTGCAGTGATGGCAGAGGCCTGCTTGTTCGCTGCTGTGTGTCTCGAGGGTGAACCACGGCCTCCCTTACAGTAGTCACTCACTGTATTCTTGAGAATGACCGAAAAGTGCTCAATTATATGCCCTGAAAAATGCTGTGCTCAGATCCAAAATCCTGTTGCCTGATGAAGGCAAGGAACTGTAGCTGCCCCAGTGATGATGAGTTTATTTGGATTTTATGCTGTAGGGTAGAGGGCAGATTCAGGAGTCACACTGCCTAGGTTTGAATCCTTGACTCCCAGGCATGTGTGTGTGCTGTGTGTATATGTGTGATCTTGGTCATTACTTAGCCTTTTAAAACTTCAGTTTCTTCAACTATAAAATAGGGTGATTTTTAGTTTTCACATATGAGTGAGAACATGCGGTGCTTAACTTGCTGTTAAAAAAGTTCATCTTGGCCGGGCGAGGTGGCTCACGCCTGTAATCCCAGCACTTTGGGAGGCCGAGGCGGGTGGATGACGAGGTCAGGAGATCAAGACCATCCTGGCTAACACGGCGAAACCCCATCTCTACTAAAAATACAAAAAATTAGACGGGCGTGGTGGCAGGCGCCTGTAGTCCCAGCTACTCGGGAGGCTGAGGCAGGAGAATGGCGTGAACCCGGAAGGCAGAGCTTGCAGTGAGCCAAGATCGCGCCACTGCACTCCAGCCTGGGTGACAGAGCGAGACTCCGTCTCAAAAAAAAAAAAAGTTAATCTCAGAAGTAAAAAAGCAGAACAGGGGCTAATAGGGGCTGGAAAGGGGAAGGAGAAGGGGGGAATGGGAAGAGACTGTCAAAGGATACAAAATTACAGCTAAAAGTGTAAGAGGAATACGTTCTAATGTTCCATACCACTACAGGATGACTATAGTTAACAATAATACCTTATATGGTCTTAAGTAGCTAGAAGGAGGATATTGAGTGTTCTCAACACAAACAAATGATAAATGTTTGAGATGATGGATATGCTAATTACCCTGATCTGATCACTATACGTAATATGTATCAAAGCATAACCACATACCCCACGAATGTGTACAATTATTATTTGTCAATTTAAAAAAATAAGAAAATTTTAAATGGTGTGATATTTGTGAGGATGAAATGAGGTGATCTCTGTAAAAATGAAGAACAGTGCTTGGCTCCTAGGTGACACTAAATGAATGCTAGCCACTGTTCTTAAGCTGTAATTTCTTTTGTATCATTCTAAAACTTGACGCATGGGACAGTGGAATTTAGAAAGTTTCTAATTTGTAGGTTGTTAAACTTTTAGAGATGGCTTTGCTGAGATTTTAATTTCAAAAAGAAACCTTTCTACCCTCTGATAGATAGGCTGCCAACGACAGCTGATGTAGTAATAACATGCTTCAGGAAGCAATTCAATAGGAATATGGGTGAGTCTAATTTAGTGCTAGAATAAGTAAAATATAAAAATTTCTTACTTTGAGTCATAAGTTGAGGCTAAGAATTTATCTGAGGTTCTCTCCCACTTCACATAACTGTTCTTAGGGATTAAAACACTAAAATCTTTTGTTTTTTAAAAAATTATTCATATTTCACAAGGCCAAGGAGCCAGTTTTCTAAAGCACTTTATGTTAGGCTTAGCAGACTGAATCTTCACACCTCTTCATTCTTGCTATGTCCAGTTTCCTTACTCTCCCTTCAATTTATCTAAAGTCACATACGATCTATCTATAGTCAGAGGTACCCAAAGGTGTCGGATGTCTCAGTAAGTTCAGCAGTGTCACATGGAAAGCTGGGCACTGGAAGAAATCCACTATCTCTGTTGAAGTCCCGAACATGAAAGATACGTACCATATAGAACTAGAGGGATACTTTTCTCATATTCAGTACCTGAGGCAGATGATTTGAAAGGACTGGCAAAAGAGGACTGGCAGTTCAGAGGCTTTTACACAGAAGAACCACATTAAAAGTTAAAGATCAGTATGGTGAGAGTTTGGGTCTATCCCAGTTGGATTCTGCAGCTGGTTTCAAGAGGCAGTGAAATATCTCATTTTATAGTATATATATGATTTTATATATATCTTATATATCATGCATTTAACTTTTATAAGTTCTTAAAATGCTTTCGATTTCTCTTATACCACTTATTATAATATTACTTTATCATTTTACATTTTTTTTTTCTTTTTTTTGAGACTGAGCCTCGCTCTGTTGCCCAGGCTGGAGTGCAGTGGCATGATCTCAGTCTCCTGGGTAGCTGGGACTACAGCTGCCTGCCATCATGCCTGGCTAATTTTTGTATTTTTAGTAGAGATGGGGTTTTACCATGTTGGCCAGGCTGATCTTGATCTCCTCCTTGGCCTCCCAAAGTGCTGGGATTACAGGTGTGAGCCATTGCACCCAGCTTTTTTGTTTTTTTTGTTTTTTTTTTTTTGTTTTTTTTTGTTTTTTTTGTTTTTTTTGTTTTTTTGAGACGGAGTCTCGCTCTGTCGCCCAGGCCAGACTGCGGACTGCAGTGGCGCAATCTCGGCTCACTGCAAGCTCCGCTTCCCGGGTTCACGCAATTCTCCTGCCTCAGCCTCCCGAGTAGCTGGGACTACAGGCGCCCGCCACCGCGCCCGGCTAATTTTTTGTATTTTTAGTAGAGACGGGGTTTCACCTTGTCAGCCAGGATGGTCTCGATCTCCTGACCTCATGATCCACCCGCCTCGGCCTCCCAAAGTGCTGGGATTACAGGCGTGAGCCACCGCGCCCGGCCCGCGCCCGGCTTTTTTTAAAAAAATGTGTTTATCTGCTGTTAGATTGAGAACTCCTTGATATCAGGAATTGTCTCTTAACCACATTTATACCTGCACTGTGTGGCACTTAGTAGGATCTTAATAAATGTTGGTTAAATTAAGTTGACAGGCTTTTACTTAAATCTAATATGATTTCATTTAATATTTGTAGTATGAAAGCAGCACAACCCAAAATTTATCATATTTCTAGCAATCTTGCAAGCAAATAAAGAATTTCATTTAAAAGTGCTCTATCTGAACTTGGAGACACATCTGATCATCATTAGCAGACAGGATTTTTATGGAAGTTTGTTTCCTTCACTGTATTCTAAGATGGCTTAAGAAGTTTGCTACATAACCCACCCCTGAATAATACTGCTAACTCATTAGTGAAATTTTAAACATCTTTTTATCATTCATTTTTCATTCA
Organism: Homo sapiens; assembly: GCF_000001405.40. Taxonomy (NCBI): domain Eukaryota; kingdom Metazoa; phylum Chordata; class Mammalia; order Primates; family Hominidae; genus Homo; species Homo sapiens. The sequence goes on along the minus strand of NC_000004.12, from coordinate 168,670,002 downwards.
TGCAGCATTTTGAAATACCTATCAGTATGATAGGGTGGTTAATATGGGCCCTGGAGCAAGACTGTCTTGGTTCAAATTATTGTGTGACTTTGAACAAGTTTCTTCTACCTCTCCAGGCCTCAGTTATAAAAAAGGAACACTAATAATACCTCGTAGGCTACGGCAAAGTATAAATGATTGTGTGTGTGTGTGTGTGTGTGTGCATTTTGTAAGTGTCATGTAAGTATTAGTTGTTACTACATATAGAATGTTTGTTTTTATTAATAGGACAAGGTCCCTTGAGGCACTCCAAGATGTTTTCTACCAAAGGTAATGTGGAGGATCCTTTCACTGAAAGTAAAGGTACATACTTTTAGTCATCAGTAATCGTTACTTTTTATTTTTAAATTTTTCTCTTTTTTTAAGAGATGGGGTCTTGCTTTGTCTTCCAGGCTGGAGGGCAGTGGTATCATCATAACTCAATGTAACCTTGACCTCATGGGCTCAAGCAATCCTCCCTCCTTACCTCCTCAGCCTCCTGAATAGCTGGGAGTACAAGTACACGCCACCAGGCCAGGCTAACTTTAAAAAAGTGTTTTTTTGTTTTGTTTTGTTTTGTTTTTTGAGACAGGGTCTCAGTATGTTGCCCAGTCTGGTCTCAAACTCCTGGCCTCGAGCGATCCTCCTGCCTCGGGCTCCCAAAGTGCTGGGATTACAGGCATGAGCTACCTCACCTGGCCCTACTTTTAAAGCTAATTATTGTGGGCCAGTTCTTGAAGGAGCTATAAATGGTGGCTCACATCTTGCCTTCTTCACCTCCACATAATGGAGATATTGGTGCTATTAAATAGTTTAAAAAAGTACAGACCTCAAGGATTTTAATATTCTTTCTATATTTTAACCATTATTTTGAAAGCAACCAATTAACAGAGCACTCATCAATTTATGGATTTAGGAATAGTATATACACTACAGTGCTTAAAACACTTCCAACTATTCTAAATTATTGGTATTGATCAAAACACAATAAAAATGTAAAATATAATACTTTGATATCAAGTTTTTCAACTCCCTGGAGACTGAATCCTGTCAAAAATGAACAGAACAACAGAAATAGCCCATTCTCTGCGTACCCCTCTTTAATACAACATTGATTCTTGAATATTCTCACCTAGTGATTGCAAGTTTATAATACATTTAGAAGGAATAATGGGGTCTTAACAAAAGAGACAAAATTCTAGAATTTAGTAAAAATGAGAACATTAAAAAGTATTCAATCACTTAAAATTCTCATGAATGATTTCCTGAGTCATTTATCGTTTAACTTTGCTTGATATGGTATTTCAATTGTGTTTCTATGCTTCATTTACTAGAGAAAGACAAAAATAATTTGGATACCTTACATTTTAAATAATTCAAGTTAATGGAGTGGAAACATTCTACATTAAAAGGAACAAATGTTGACATCAGAGATAGTTGATGGGTGCCTAAATGTCGGAACAGTTCAATTTATAAAGGTTTTCAGGGAAATGAAGTTTGAATTAGAACACCATTGTGCCATTTGCATTGGAAAGGCACATTTGCATGCCCAAGATACTGGAGTCATTAGACCATTGACACCCCTTTATCCCCCATTACCAGGCACCCCTCCTTACCTTCAATGAACACCTCAGCAGATGTTGTGTCTGAGCCGCTGGGATTCGTAGCCAAACAGGTGTAGCGACCTGTGTCGTCCTCAAAGGCCTCTGCTATGATCAGGGTATGGAGGTCCCCTCCCTCACAGTGGATTTGAATATCAGGAGTGTTGTGCAGTTCTTTCCCTTCACAGAACCATCTGCAGGCCAAATGGAGGTCAAAGGATAGGAGGGAAAGAAAGGAAATGGTGATGTTTAAAACAATAAAGCAGAAGTGAAGGCTGGTTGCTATGCAAAATGATGTTTGTTTGATTAAAAAAAAAACAATGTCAGTGTTACTAATGGAAACTCTACAATTTAGACTGTGAAATTAATGACTAGACAATTCCCACAGGTTTTCTTTGTAAAGCATCTTGTACATTTTATCAACCCAAGTGATGCTATCAAACTCAGAAAGACCATTTCAGTTATAAAAGGAACAGAAACTCAGTGTCTTATAAAATGCTTTATAACAAATACCTCCTCCATTTATTACAATTTTATCTATTAGTCTTATCTAAAGAAAAATAGAAAATATAAACATTATGCTCAAAATATTTAATATATGAAAAGAAACTTATCATCATGTTAAAAAATCACAGGCAGCAATATTTTTGTTGACCTTAAGACTTCTGATCAGCTGAGCAGTAACAGATTTAATGCCTTCCACATTTCTGATATTTACAAAACTTTCTAGCAGACCGCCTTGGCCTCCAAGATGTGGAGAGATATAGCAGTTGTGCTGTAATTCATTCTTGCTCGTCAGCACTTTTCCTTTCCCAAACAATCAGGTCCTTCGTGTGGGAAATTTCAGGCTGCCAGACTGTTTGAACACAGGTTCTCTCACTCTCTCTCCTCTCTTCCCCCAGCACCTCAAATTCTCAGTAGCATTTGGTGGCCTTTACATTTTACCAAGAAACAAACATACAAACAAAACAAAACAAAGCCCAAAGCTGCCCTAAAAAAACCCCAAATGGGATTTATTTTTAAAGAAATATGTAGAAATCTGCCACTTAGAACTAAAAGGATTGAATTCTCTGGGAAAATATTGTCCATTTAGCTCTTAATGAGCACTTAGAGATTTTCTCTAAGTCCAGTTTCCTATAAAATTACTTGGATTTCACATCCTTTTGTGAAATATGACACGGAAGACATGTTTTTTCTGTATTTAGAGTAGAATAATACAGGTTTTTGTCTAATTTAATTTGAAAATAAAGTTAATAAAGCAAATGAGTTTGCTAATACTCTGAGTATCAACCCCAGAAACCATGCTCAACAGTAAATATGTGATTCCCACCAAAGAAGAGATAAGACCTGGGGAATTAAAGAACATACAATAATCAGCCAACTGAGCATTCTATGCAATGCAAACCATATTATTTTGGGGGCAACGGAGCAGGACAGTATTTCTTGATTCTGGGGCACTGTATGGTTTTCTTTGTTGTCATAAAGTCTTGAAGAACTTTCCAGCCCAGAGTCATCCTCCAGTCTCTTTCTTTTTTTTCTGTTATCTTTCCAAAGCCACAGTCCAGATCCTCACCCATCAGTATTAACTGTGGCTTTAGTGTTTTAATTGGTCTCTCCATCACCAGCAGACTATAAATTCTTTCTATATTCTGTCATCAGATTAATGCCCTTGAGGTTTTTCCCTACATACATCATTCTCTAAACTTCAGATCTGTCACTGTGGGTTTTCATATAACTTGGCCCTATCGTTTTCTTATACTAATCCTCTGTTTCTGTCGAATATTTGCATGGACTTACTGCTCCTTACATAGCCCTCAAATATTACCTGCCTACTTTTCTGTGCCCACATTTTCTTCTCCTTGGAATTATCTCCTTACCCTGTTCATTAATCCCATCTAGGAACTATTCTTCCTTAAGACCAAGCTAAAGGCATCTTCAACAGACTAAAATAAACTGAATATACACTAACAGAGCTTCTTCTATGTGTGAGGAACTGCATTACCTACTACAGGTAATAGAAAAAATAACGCCTGCTAAACTCTGAAACTAGTTGAGTCTGTCTGTGAATTAGAGTGTTTCTACATTCCATAAAAAAGATATAAACCACCTACTGGGGGAAAATGAAGCATAAAAAAATGCAACAGAGGTTCCATAGAGAGAAGGATTCGTTTCTTTTGGTTAGATGTACTCCACAGGGAAACATTTGCCAACTACCTAAGTGACTAGTATGTTGTCCTCTAACTCAGTGAACTTATAGCCTGCAAGCCTACTGCCTGTTTTTATAAGGTCCTTGAGCTAAGAATGGTTTTTATACTTTTAAGGGTTTGAAAAAAATCAAAAGAAGAAGAGTATTTTGTGACATAAAGTTCACATTTCGGAGTCCTTAAATAAGGTTTTTTTTTTTTGGTGGGGGGCGGGGAACATAACCATGCTCATTCATTTACATGTTGTCTATGTCTGCTTTTGCATTATAGTCAGAGTCAAGTAGTAGTTGCAACATATTATATGGCCCTCAAAGCCCCAATTATGTAGTATCTGGATCTTTATAGAAAATGATTCCCCACTCCTGCTTTTTGCTCCTCAAAGTGTGGTCCTGAGGCCAGCAGCATCAGCATCACCTGGAAGCTTGTTAGAAGTGCAGTATCTTGACCCTCACCCCAAATCTACTGAATCAGTTCAGATCCCCTAGGTGATCATGTGCACTTTAAGAAGTGTTGGTCTGATAAGTTCTGGACCAGAATGACCCGCCTCACAGAGTCTTGGCTTTCCATCCAGGTTGCTCACTTGTTTCACATAGCAACCATTTTTTTTGTTTGTTTTTGAGATGGAGTCTCGCTGTCTCGCCCAGGCTGGAGTGCAGTGGCGCGATCTCAGCTCACTGCAAGCTCCGCCTCCCGGGTTCATGCCATTCTCCTGCCTCAACCTCCCAAGCAACCATTTTTTAAAAATGTATATTGTACCTCTGGTCCCTCGCATGCCAAAGCAGCAGAGACACTGAAAATTAAAAGGCATGCTTAATACATTCATATGCCAAACATTGTGCTAGAACCTAGAGAGTAAGTTAATATAAGACCAGGCCTCTACCCTGGAAAAACTTACATTCCAATAGGATAGAAAGGCCCATCAAGAGCTAATTTCAGTATAACATGGAAAGTTAAGTACCATGGTTGTGATAAAGACAAGGTGCCAAATCCATCAATACATTTAAAGGTCCAGTGTGGGCCTGTGATCTCAGAAACATGATTGTATCCTAGTATATTCCAAGTAAGCTAAGCCATTAATTACTTGCACCCTTCATCAAAGAATTTTCTACATCATTTTGTGAAATATTTTTTAACACAATCATTAAAAATACACTCTTCCATTTAACAAAAAACCCTTGACATTTTGTCTCTTCATACAGATGAGGAACCTGAACTGGAAGGCTCAATGACTTTCCTAAAGTCACAGTTGAGCCTCTTTGCTCTGCCATTGCTAGTTCCATTGAGCAAATGATTCCAATCATAGATCAAACACACACTGATCTAAATACTGGCCAGAAACTATGCTGCCCTTTTTGTTTTTAGGGAGAGCCTGCCATCAAAATATTTGCAGGGTTTTTTTTTTTTTTTTTTCCTCCTCCTCTTGGGTCACACCCTAACTTACCACATTTTAACAACATAGAACTGGTGACTTGACAGGCACTTACGTCAATAACTGACTTTCCCTGGCTGTCAGTTGCTTTCCCTGAAAGCAATATGCATGGCTCATGCTAATTATTTTACTTATACCTTACTGGGCAAATTTATTCTTTTCTCTGCATTATTTCTCCTATGTATTACAATCTGAGATGCTGTTTCAATTTTATTCACTGAGGTGGAGAACAAAAAACATGCATATTTAAAAAGCAAAAACAGGTCAGCCTAGTGGTTTACAAGCACCAATCATTTTGCCATATGCGGTTGCTGAAGAGTTTTATTACATAATGAGCCATTTCAGATGACTAAATAGATGAGTTAGACTGAGGCAGAAAATGCATTCATTGTCTTAACTTTTCTGCCAGTATTAAGGTATATTTCAAGCACTTTATAGCACTTACTGATTATTTTCTTTAGCCTTAAACTCATCATCACTCAGTTTATAATCAGTCTTAATTTATTTTTTTAAAGTACAAATTCCATGGAAGAAACAGTACAGAAAAGCATTCTGCAACATATTCACGGGTTGTTAGCAGGTACTCAATGAGAAAAAATTTCATGGTCAAATAAGTTTAGTAAATGGCTGGATTGAGACAACGTTAAACAAATTTCTTTGCTGCAGGCCTTCCCAGGGCCTTAAATAAGGAAATGTGAATTGCAAACATCAAGGAGGGAGATGTAATATGTATGTAGCATTTTACAAATCTATTAGAGCACAGATTTCTTCACTATTTGTTATTTCATCGGATGCATGTTCTAAAGTAATGTGGGGCTGATAATAAATATTTTAAAGCATCAACTATGTTCAATACTCTATGGATCAATTTTAAAAGTTAAAAATTGCATTTTTTTTAAACAATCAAGAAGTAGTTGATTTCTAGTTGGGGAAATTGGCATAAATACATTTGATATCAAATAATGGCATGAGGAAACAATACAGACGATATCAGAAAGGGACAAATGATCAATTATCAAATGAATGAGGTTAATTATTTTTGAGTACAGAGAGAAACATACAAAAAGAACATAATTTTGCATGCATTCAATTTTGCATCTAGGACATTGCTGACCCTGCAGGGACTGCCCATCCCAGGGTTAGCCAGTTCCTAGAGGTGTTAAAGACCCTCCTGGGAGCATGCCCTCCATATGCAAACTAACCAGTCCAGAGCCCACACACTCTGCACCCCCTCTATTGGGCTCTCATACTCAGGGCCACAACTTCCCTCCCCACATCAACCCAGGGCCAGATACCAGACAACCAGAAACAGCCCCTGTGCTTGAGAACCCACTGGAATTACTCAAAACAGGCAGTTCTAACCCTGCGTACCTTGCCTCACCTATCCCTTTCCTGTGGGTTCCTAGGCAAAGGCACCTGTCCACATTTCCCCCTTGCTCCTTGGCCTTCTGACTGACCCTGGCACGTCCCCTGCAGTCCCCTGTGGTGTGGCATGCCCCCTCCTCTTGGGAACTATGAATAACAAACTATTTAGTATCTTTCCAATGACAGTCATCTCCTAATCTGTTGACCTCACCACATCCGAATAGCAGTCAAACCTACATTTTCAAACAGGGCACATTGCCATTGAGCTTATCAAAGAAGAATATGCTTACAGATGAAGAAAGGACTGAACAAATAGTTTAATATCGGCCACAGTTTGTGCTTTAAAATATATATGGAGAGAGGCTTATAGACTTTCACCAACTCAAACTGAAGTGCATTTAAAAAGCATAAAATTAAACTGAAAATAATCTAGTTAGTGCATATATGAGAAAAGGAAATCTGCCTCATCCACTCTTCATGTAGCTGATTAAAGATGCATCACCTTCTTGTCTAAACTAACAGAATCTTAGAGTTTTGAAGTTTGGCACCACACATTGGACGAGATGGGTGTGCTACAGTCATGTTTGTTTAGTTCAGTTTCTCAAAGGTCATAATTCCACCAGCTTCCTGGCAAAGAACTCAAAACATTTACTATTCTCTAAAGAGGTAAATGGGAGGAGATCTGTTGGTTAAATTTTGACCTCTTGAAATTTCTCTCACATTAAATTCTTGTTGCTGGTATCATTTAGGGAAAGAGATACTAGGGTGACAAGCTAAACAGTGAAACATACAAAATAGGATGAAGTATAGGTTTGGTAAATGCATGGCACAGGCAAGGACACTATCCCCCTTCTTCCTGTGGCAGACATCACTCACTCATCAGAATGTTCTTTGCTAGTGAGACAGAATGTCTGAGAATCCTCAGCACAGCTGTTTAAGGCTACAAAGCAACTAAAGTTGAAGGCTGAAATGAAACACATTTGCCATCCTCAATTTGATCTCTTTCTAGGGGATACATTCTCACTTTCCTCCAGATCCTGAAAGCCCTGTTTAATTGCTATGGGCTAAGAGTGGAGAGGGGTTTTGATTGAGAGAGGAGTGTGGGTGGAATGTGGCTAAGAGAGAATCCACTCAAGTAAAATTTGACTTGAGAACCCCCTCGGACATTTATTCATTCCATTTTGAATACCTGGAAGCCTTTTATCTAGTGAATAGTATCTGGGTAGCATATCAAAAAATTAAAATCTTATTATCTACATTCCCATTCTGAACTTCTGATAAATTTCAACTTCAATCACATTTTTTATTTTCTGCCATAAAATCATAAAAATATGTAATTATGATCTCATAATTAGGATGGAAAGATCATACAATATTTGGGAACAATGACAATTCTTAAGGACTTATAAAAATTCAAATTAAGGGAAAGAGAATATTTATTGAATGCATATTATATGCAAATATGACCTTATTTTATTTTCACAAGTACCTTGTGAAGTAGTTGTCATTATATTTTTAGATACAGCAACTCTCATTTATCTATAGCAATTAAAAATAAGAACACAAACAATAAAAACCACGTAGTCTCCAAAATTTCATTTTCCTTAATGCTTTTGGCTTTCATCTTTCATCAAAACATGTATCTATGGATAGACACATGTTTTAACAAAGCCTACTGATTCTTCCTCTTTAATTTCTAGTGCAGCTGTTAAATAGCTATGTAATTGCCACACAAACAAGGAGCTGAGGGAAACTGGAGAGCCAAACCTTGCAAAATTAGTGGGCATGGTACATGCCCCTTCAAAAGAATTAAGTTGCTAATATAAGAATAAACCAGTTGGGACTGGCTGTCAGATTTCAAGACCATAAACAGCGTATGAAAATTACCTTGTACTAATTGGAAATAAAATGTAAAAGGATTAGAAGATCTAGTCATACTCATTCATTCATTCATTCATCAATCAATTATTCATTCATTCATCAAGGGGCTTTTTTCACTTCAACCGCAATGCAGGAATCGACTGGAAGCATAGATGTCAGCTAAGCCAGGTTTCTTAGTTCATGAGACTAGTAGCAGGGGCTAACGGAGAAGAAAATCCAATTGTAGACATAAGGAAATACAATGACTATATTTTACCTAATGAGCTTAGATTTTTCCATCACATAGAAACCTGTATTGCACCAGGCATGGTGGCTCAAGCCTGTAATCCCAGCACTTTGGGAGGCCGAGGCGGGCAGATCACAAGGTCAGGAGTTCAAGCAAGACCAGCCTGGCCAGCATGGTGAAACCCCGTCTCTACTAAAAATACAAAAATTAGCCGGGCATGGTGGTGCATGCCTGTAGTCCCAGCTACTCAGGAGGCTGAGGCAGGAGAATGGCGTGAACCCGGGAGGTGAAGGTTGCAGTGAGTCAAGATCGTGCCACTGCACTCCAGCCTGGGTGACAGAGCGAGACTCTGTCTCAAAAAAAAGGAAAAAAAAAAAAGAGGAAGAAGAAAGAAACTTGTACTGCTTCAAAAATCTTTCAAAGTTGGGTATAGCTTCATACTTACAGATTAAGTTTCTTTGGATATAATACTCAAGTTGAAGTCAATTTGTTGGAGAGGAGATAATATTCTCCAGTATTGAATTTTCCTTGTTCATAAAGGATTATAGTACATAAAAGGAAAAAGGATTGTAACATTATAGTTCTGTAAGATGGCATATTTCTTTATACTATTCTGTGCTGGGATTTTGAAATTGTTTTTTATAAATATGTATACGTACACATACATATGTGTGTGTGTGTGTGTATTGTTGTTGTTGCATAATGATTCCTCCCTCCCCGTAAGGATTTTCCAAACATTCCAGCTTAAAAATTAGATGGTGCCAAAAATTCAAGGATCACATTATCGCACTAGCAGGATGTGGCTGGATTGAAATTCAAGAAGATGTTTTACATGAAAATGTTCAATATGTAATTGTTCACTTTCTACATTTCAAGGTGAGGTTAAATGTGACTGCTGACTTGGTCTGAGTCCAGTTGTTAAAGGAGAGTGGCTGCATCTGTCCACAGTCCTAGGGCCTTTTTGGTTAGGGATCAAAGGGTCAGGAGGATAATTAAAATCAAGGGGCTGCAGCTGCTTCAGACCAAATGGCTGTCCTTGAAAACCACCAGTCACTTCCATTCTTGGGTGGTGTAAGAACATTTAAAAATTCACCTCCCTGACGTGGTCTACTAATATCTTTCTCTTGTGATCCTGGCAACTGGCAGTGGGGCTCTGAACTGTATACTGGAGCTGCAGTACACATCTGGGAATGCTCAGAACACTCCGATTCTCCAAGATAGGGTCATGGGTGTTGATTTTTATGATAATAAATTCATGATTAATGAAAGGAACCAACAAATCACTGCAAAGTCTAAGATACACTTTCTAGTATAGACTACAAATAGCTTATGTTAAAAAATCACATATGGCATTGCTTGGCTTACAAGTTGACTAGCAGTATCTATTTTAATACTAACACTTAGCAGGAAATATAGATTTTATGAGTGACAGTTTCTTTTGGCTATCTTTATTTTATTGAACCACAACTACGTATCATGAAAATTCTCTGTGCACTGTATTTTAAACATGTGGCTTTTAAAATGAAACAAATCTGACTTATAACGCTTATAAAGTTTCATCAGTGAATCTTGGCTAATGTTCTCCAACTTTGCTAAGCAAAATGGTAAATGTTAAAAGCCAGTTAATGGAAACAATCAGGTGCTTATTAAATAAAAGCCTTTAAAAACTGTTGAGTCTTTATTTTCTCCTTTAAATCAATTCCTTTATGCTCAAGGGGAAACAAGGTTATGTTGAAAGATGTCTCTCCATTTCTTCCTCACAACTTCACTGATTTGTGCTTCCTGACAAAATGTATCTTCAAAGGGATGTCACGGGTGATTTCAGGATGGCAAATTTAGCCCCCAGCTGCCTCCTCCTCCCAAAGCACATGCAACCACATGGCTTCATGAAGTCCATACTTGAAGAAAACTGAAGCAACCAGTTTCTGTAATGGTATAATAATGAAAATAAAGGGTAGGAAAAAACCCCAGAGAGATAAGTGCTTCAGCAATGGTTATATTTTCCAGGTGTTCCTTTTCCTCAAAGGAATGGCAGTGGTCTGCCACGAACTGGAGAACCACCAAAACGAAATTTGAAAGTGATGCCCAAGATAAGTTTTGTTGCTGCCTAAGCTCCAAGTCAGGCCATCTATAAGTATTGCATTTCATACATCCACAATGAAACACTAATTAATTTTTATGGAGTATTTTTTGTCTGGTCACCAAAGATTTCTTAATTTTTTACATGTGTTCACATTAACCACATGACACACTATGTTTATTCTGTCATGTGGACTTATAGGCAGACCGAAGTGAAATTAATCGTTGTCTAAATTTACTATGGCTATAATTTCATGACTGCTTAGCTCGAAGGCCAATAGCTAAATTTGTGTGGACAACAGATGTACTTTAACCTTATGGCCCCAAAGAGACCAATAAATAGATTGGCTTTTTGAAATTCAAAGCCCAGGAAATAATAAAATAGAATTTGAACCAAAACCAGATTCATGTCTAGCAAGTCTTTCCTCAAATAACCACTTTATCTCCTAAGGAAAAAGGATAAAATAGAAGGATGGACCAGCCCAGATAAAACTCAACTACAAAAATGATTTTATCTTGCCTTTTTTTTTTCTTTTTGACCATGAGAGGTAGCTTAGTGTCTGACACTAGGAATATACAGATATTTATTTACCATCTTTTAAAAACAAATACAGGCTGGGCATGGTGGCTCACGCCTATAATCCCAGCACTTTAGGAGGCCAAGGTGGAAGGATCACTTCAGCCCAGGAGTTAGAGACCAGTCTGGGCAAGATGACAAGACCCTGTCTCTACAAAAAAAATTTGAAAACTAACTGGGCATGGTGGCACGTGTCAGTAGTCCCAGGTACTCAGGAGGCTGAGGTGGGAGGATCACTTGAGCCCAGGAATTCGAGGCAGCAGTGAGCTATGATTGTGCCACTGCACTCTAGCCTGAGTGACAAAGCAAGATCTCATCACAAAAAAAAAAAAAAAAACCAAATAAAAACCCACCACCAACAAAAAACCAAAACCTATAAAAATAGATAAGTGAAATCTACTAAATATCTGTGCTGCCAGAAGCTATTAAAATCTTAGATTGCTTCTAATATTTTCCTCATTGTTGATGCAGTGGAAAGGACCTAGGACTTGGAGTCAGCAGTTCTGATGAAGCAGCCTCATTGTCTGGGGTAAATACCTGGGGTTCGTCGTTGTTTTGCACCAAAAAGATGAAGGACATGGACACACACAAGGAGTGGGTTTAGAAGCAAAGGTTTAATAGGCGAAAGAAAGATAAAGGAGAACAGCTCTCTCTCTTTTTTTGAGACAGAGGGGCTCCCGAATGGGAGTGCACTGGATTTTATAGGCAGGTTTGAGGTGGTGGTGTCCGATTTACGTAGGGCCCACAGATTGGTTGGACCAGGTGTGACGTTTTGGGAAGGCTGGCCACCCCACCCTAATCTTATTATGCAAATGGGCTTTCCACTTGGCTAGCCCATGTCATCTGCTCCTTACTGTACATGTGGCTGGCAAAGAAAAGGGAAGGTGGAGCTGCCATTTTGAACATGCCTAGTCTCAGGTGCCTGTTCCTATTGGCACAACTGCTGGCATTCACCCATGCAAGCTTCCCGCTTGCTTGTCTGTGTCTGCAGCTCAATTTTACAGGCTGCTCGTTAGTATAATTTTGGGGCTGCTTTTCATTAAAAGGAAAACCTTACCAAGGACTCCTATACCCTCACTATCTGCCTAAATAATTTCTTCTTAACTCTTATATCACTGAGTTCCAGTTTTGCCTGGTCCATAGATCAACTAAGTTGACTGTGGTCCAGTCAGTCTCTCATTTGGGGTTATAGTTTCCTTATTCGTGAAATGCAAGGAATGGGCTAAGACTAGAGTTTCCTCAAATGTGTACCAAGAAACTAGTTCTGTAGCAAGTTGACAGATAACATTGAAAAGGTTTCTGTGGCCAAATAGGTTTACCAAGCACTGGGTTAAACAAAGTTAAACATCTGTCAGAAAGTTAAACAGAACTTTTTAGAGCTCTGTGCCAATATACACTGAATTTCTGAGAGAGAAATATGGCAGGCATCATTCTCAATCTTACTGGACCATGGAACATGTGTTCTGTGAATCATGTTGAAGGATCAGTGTTCTGGGAACACATTTTGAAAACACTGGGTTGGATTATCACTAAAACCTCATCTGGCTCTATGGTGGTGACATTTAATACCTAGCATACATTTTACAACTAGCTTTTCCAGAGCTTATGGCAGACATCAGTAATACGGCAAGCCCTATATCCCATTGATCCCCAACTCGGTTTCAGAGTCCTTCTCCAGTGATGCTAGGGGCAGCCACTACCAACCAATTAGTGTTGGCCCCTGAGTTGAAACATATTTGCTATGCCTGTTTTAACAGTCTATGTTTACGTATAATTTTCTTACACAGGAATTAATGTGAAATGTTGATTTCTAATCTCTCACGTATCCTTGACCGTTAATTCCAAGAATTTTCTGTTTTTTTAAATAAGCTGCCATTTGGGCATGGCACATGAAAATACTGGATTTCCCCCCACAATCTGGATATGCAGGGTAAACATATATTGCCCAAGCCGGGACATTTCTGAGGATGAAATAAATAGGTAACCATTGATAATTATAGGAATAAATAATAACTGTTTCGGGTAAACTAGGATGGGCAGTTGTCCTACTTACAGCTCATTGCAAGAGCAACTAAAAAATGTCGTTTTGGCACTAATGAATATTATGGCTTTTTGCAAATGTGACTCATTCCCATGAGTAGACAGGAGTACATTTCACAATACGTGAAGGAAAAAAAGGTTCCCACCCCATCTGTCACTCATTCACAAATTCTCAAGTTACACTTGTTAGCTAAAAAAATAGATTCATCCTCACCAATTCCCTATGCAAGTACAAAAATAAGTCAGCATGACCTGACAAGCCACACTTCAAAGTTACCTACATTGTGAAAATTTGTATTGAATGCTTTCAAGGCTCCAAAGCGTTGGGGGTGGGGGGTGGGGGGGTGGAGAATGGATTATAGAGAGCTGAGAATGAGAAATTGCATACATAAATCAGCTAGAGGTGCACATTCAGCTATTCTGTTGCTACAATTACAGCAGGTAATTATTAGCTATTGTTGTAACTTGGATTACATTCCAAATGGGATAAAATGGGAGATGCTTTATCAGACAATGCTGTCAGTCTTCTGTGCATTTGGAACCTGTCCACTGAAATACAATGATCCCCTCAGAATTATGAAACTCCAAAGGACTAAAGTCAAACTAGGCAAAGGGGCCACAGCTCCTATTGGTGTCTTCGACTCTATGGAATTGCAGAAACCCACGTAAAACAGTTCATGTACGGACTCCTAGAATGCCCAGCAGTTAGTTCTTTGCATTTAACAAACAATTACATCCAATACAACTTTTTTCCTTAGCAATGGAAGAACTTTCCCCAAAGTCAAAGGACAGGAGATGTCCCTCAAAATTTCCCCGAGTTCATTAGTGAAACCCCCAGTTCCTTGCCTTAATCTATGTAATCACGACTAAGAATATGGGAGGAGAAAACTGAATGGAAGAAGAGATTGAGAATGAGAGGAAAATGCCTTACTTTTGGAAAAAGCTAAAACTTTAGAATTCAAAAGGCTTCGCTTCTTTATTTTTCATCTGTTCTCCAAATGATGCTTCAGTTGGTTGAGGCTCCCTCCACAGAGCCAAGTTCAATTGCTCAGGGCAAGGAGGACAGCCAGATTTGGTGGTGATTCTGTCAGAGGCTGAGGAAGAGCCTCCCTTTGCAGAGTCCTGGCTCTAGTCTAATCTAATGGTGTTCAAATGTGGCTAGTGTGGTCTCTGAGGAACCACAAAACAGGCATCTCAAACAGGGCATGAGTGCACACGAACTTAAAACTGTAAACTGCCCCGTCAGTCAATAATTGTATGTACAGAAATGGATTCACTTTCTTTTTCAAGGGTTTTCCCAGCTAACTCCTTTCAAAGCCACCCTCCTTCCCGAATGCTTTTCCCTTGTTCTTATTCTGTGTTCCTTCTAGAAGTTCATGTTTAGAGGTCAGCTTTCCAAGGAGAGCTATGATAAATGAAGTATCCACTGAGGAGAGAACTCTTTTAATTTGATAATGAAACATTAGAGGTAGAAGGAATTATATTCTTAGCAGGTAGCACTTATGGACCTTGCACCAACTATTCTGGCTAAAATTGTGAATGTCTTCATTTTTTAAAAAAGTGAAATTACACTATTACACACACACACACACACACAAGTAGCCATATACATATATGCCTGGATTTAACATCTGACACACTCCTTGAATCAAGTTCCTGAAAGATTTGCAAACATTCTGCAAATGCTGCCTCCTTTTCTTGTTCTAGTTACACAGGTAATTCTCTAAGTAACACCTGTCCTCCTCCCAACCATTTTGATCAAATACATACTTTTGACTGTGTAGACAAGTGAGCTGTTGTCCAAGAAGGCTGCCTCCACTGCTTCCCCTGAGAGCCTGGTTATGCAGAGCTGCAGCAGAGCGGGGAGGGGCCTCAGGTGTGTGAGCAAGAACAGGAAGTCAGGACTAATTACACCTTGTTTTATTTGGCCATTTGAATAACGAATAAAATGCCATGTTTCATTTCAGTTGGTTTTTCACAGCAAATTGCCTAAGGCTGACATTTCATTCTATTAATAATAGACTAGATTTTGTTTTTAAAAGTAGGAAAACTAATGTTATCACTTGATACAGATTTAGATCTTTTTCTTTGAAAAATACAGTTTTCGTTATGTCATGATGAAAATGTTCTTCTTTCTGACACAATTAGAGCCTCACTACCTGGCTACAGTCCATCATTTTGTGCTTATATCCTGTATGCCCTAAAGCAACTGTGATCTCACAATGCACAACTTTTAAAAATTGGCTTCAGAGGCACTTAGAGACTTGGCAAAAGACAAAAAAATACACATAACACCCCTTCCCTCCTCCCCAAAAAAAACAACTCTAAAGCTATTACATGGTGTGGTGGGGAAGAGGTGGAATTAGAAAAAAAGGATTTAGCATATGATATTTACTAGTTGCAGGAAATTATAATCGTTCCTTTGTTTGCATAAGCAAATAAAAATGTGTATTTTTGTGTTTAAAATTATCACTGATGAGCCATGTGTAGTCCCAGCTACTTAGAAGGCTGAGGTTGAAGGATTGCTTGAGCCCAGGAGTTTGAAGCCAGCCTGGGCAACACAGTGAGACTCTGTGTCTTAAAAAAAAAATAACTGATCTCATGCCTGTAATCTCAGCACTTTGGGAGGTCGAGGTGGGCGGATCATGAGGTCAGGAGATCGAGACCATCCTGGCTAACATGGTGAAACCCTGTCTCTACTAAAAATACGAAAAATTAGCTGGGCATGGTGGCGGGTGCCTGTAGTCCCAGCTACTCAGAAGGCTGAGGCAGGAGAATGGCGTGAACCCGGGAGGCAGAGGTTGCAGTGAGCTGCACTCCAGCCTGGGAGTCTCCAGATGAGACTCTGTCTCAAAAAAGAAAGAAAGAAAGAAACAAACAAACAAACAAGCAAACGATAATGACTATACGTGTTTGCTGTGAAGGAAAAGAACAGCATACTCAAAGGTTGTCTTGTGGATCAATGTTCTAATTATCAGAGCCCAATATGTGTATAGCCGAAGAGCTAGATAATGTGATTTCTGCCTCAGCCATATCTCTCCTTGGGGTTGCCAAGAACTGTCTGTCATAAGGAGGACAGGTCAACAGCTTTCAAGTCTGTGTACATTGTGAGAAAGTGTTTCCCCACTACCTTACCATTCTGGCAATTTATAGATGTTGGGAAAATTAAAAATTAATCTGTACTAGAAAAAGGTGGAGAGGTCCATCCTATATGTAAATACTATTTACACACCTGCCTTTTTGCAATTCCTTTGGGCAAGAATGATCATAGTCTCCCTATAGCCTTTAGTGTTCCACTGATCCGCTGTTTTTCCAGGTTGTTTGAAATTGGACGTAAAAATAGTTGTCTGGGTACTATGTTAGGTCTATGTTGAAGGAATTAAAAAAAATTCCCTGAGGTTTCTTATGGCTAAAATTATTCCATATGTTCAAAGATGAAATAGATCAAAATGGCTTAGTGAGTTCCCTGTCACTAGATGCTCTGAAGAGGAAGAAATAATTGACAGAGGTGTTGTAAAGAAAATTCAAGAACTAGATGGATGATTCCTTGAGGGACTACGATGACTGGTGCTATCATTTTTCTTTTCTTTTAGCAAGCATGACAACTGACGGCTGAAAGTGGGACAAATCATCTAATGCCTGGTGTGCTGAACACTAAAGAATGGCACAGTCCTCTTAATTATGATGCATTTATTAGATTAGGCTAATTTAATTAAGATAATGCTGGAGATTTCCAGGGGCTTTCTAATTAGGATGGTTTATTGGGGACACACTAGCTGTAAAATGGAGCTTAGATTCAGCACACACACACAAAAATACTATGATGTTTCCCTGTTTGCATCACAAAATATATTTTAAATAATGCTTTCATTCTTTGAACGAAAACCTGAATCAACATCTCACATTTCCTCTCCTAGGAAAGCTTTCTAAACTTAATCATATTCATTCGTAACTTCCTTTGTACTAAAGTTTCCAATGTTTCTTCCCAAGGTTCATGTTTTAGCCTTATTTCATTGACGTAGAACCTCTAACTTTAAAATGTTTGTGTTAACCTGCACGTTGTGCACATGTACCCTAGAACTTAAAGTATAATTAAAAACATATAAAAAATAAAAAAATAAAAATGTGTTAGAAAATTACATGCTAAATTCAGATCCAATGTGGTGTAATTTAATTTTTCAAAGGCCCATTTGAGAGCTTTGAAGAGATTTTTAAAACGCTATTTAACCAAAGAATCAGTTTCATGAAATTTATTTTCACATGTACATATTTTGGTAGTTTCCTGAATATCCCACCCCTTCCTCCATTTTTATATCCTTTCTGATTTTTCAGCATTCTTCTTGGGGAAGAATCTCATGCTTATCACCTATAGAGTAAAGAAAATCATGATTTCTGCTTGGGATTGGTGCACACATAAGACTATCTGTTGGGAAAGGAAAGTGCTTTTCACTGCTCAAGGAACTCTCTGCCATGGTCACGCGGTATGTGACGCTTCACAAGCGACATCTGCCCCTCAACATTTTAACCCTCAGAGCCTACCCTCCTGAGAGGGTGTGGAGTGTTGAATCTGCCTCTGCCCCACCAGCTATGCTCAGTGTTGAGAAGCCAAAACAAAAACAAAGCAAACAAACAAATACAAAAAAACTAAAGGAAAACCAGTCCCTCAGTTGGTTGTACAGAATCACTATTTTTAGCTATTCACTTTTGTTCAAAAACAATTCTTTTCAATAAGAGATAAAATTTGCATTTTTGTTCAAGTAAACATAACATGCAGATATTCATGGTTATAACCTCTCATTTTTCTTCTTTACTCTCATGTCACTGAGGAGGAGGAGTAGAAATTCTTCCCTCCTCCCCTACCTCTTCTTCTTGTAAAGCATCATTATGTCATTGTGATTTCTAAGTGGCTAAGAACTAAAGTACTTAATAGCTCTAAAATTCTGCTGGGATTAGAGGTTTTCTGGCCAGTGACTAAAGAGCTAACCTTGCGGGGGGGAAAAAAAAAGAGTTCCATCTTCAGAGATTCTGTTTTAATTGGTCCAAGGTCGGGCTGGGCTTTTTTGTTTGTTTAATTGATACATGGTGACTGTTCACACTTCTAGGGTGTAAGTGTTACTTTGATGCATGTTTGTGACAGGTAGTGATCCAGTTAGAGTGACTGGAATGTCCCTCACCTCAAACATTTATCATTTCTTTGTGTTGGGAACATTCCAGATCTTAAGGAAAAAAAAAGAGCTAACCTTGGATGTTACAAAGAAAATGTTAAATCTGTTGCCAAGCCATTTACTGCAATGTTAAAAGCTAAAAGAACCAGTTTGCCCAACACTCTTGAGCCTAATAACTAGTATACTGAGGAGGTGGAACAGCCTTCTAACACTGCTTTAGAAGTGATTTATTGATCCCTGCGCAATAATTCTTTAGCGATTCATATAACCAGAATTTACAGATTTAGTCCTAACCTCAGGAAAAATTGACTTCATTCTTGAACCTTTTGCCTTCTTGCATCAATCTTGGAATTACAATTAGCTAAGTTTAATTACGATCCTGAAAAGGCACTTTCCAAACCCCTTGTGAGCAAAATCTGATTTTCTAAAGTTTGGATTATATCACTTAGTCTTTAGAAAGCCATCTGTAAATACATTTATGTATTTAGCAAATAATATCATCAGATTGTACATATTTTACATAAAGGAGGAAAGAAAGGGATATTCAGAAAGTACTATTATACTTGGTAATACTGTTATACACATATGATATGCATAGGGCAAGAGGGTTCTTGGTGGAGATGGTGGCAGGGTATGGGTACAGTTTTCCAGTTGGGAGCTATGTGAACATCTAAAAGGAAAATGAAGATATTTAAAATACAAGCCAAAACTCATAATATTGAAAATTGCTATAACCAATGTGGGAATATAATTTGGTGTAAGCTGTTAAAAAAAGAATTTGACAAAATTTAGGATACATATACAATTGACCCAGCAGTTTCATTTCTAAGAAGTTGTGCTTAATTTACTCACAAAAGGACACAAAGACACAGGAAAGACAAGAATGTTCATTTCAGCACTTTTCACAAAGGAAAACTTGGCCTAAATGTCCATCAAAAAGGAAACGGCCATTATGGTATCCTGCATAATGAAATACTATGCAATCTTTAAAAAGAATGTTAGACGCAGCTGTCAACAACACATCGTAGACTAACTGTAGACTTCTATTCTATACCATCGTGGTTTCACTGAACAATATATTTTTGGAGGGTTGTAACTTATCTTGAGAGGAGGGACAGAGGCTGAGGGAAGAAGTTAGAGAAAAACTTTAACTTTTCACTGTGGAAAATTCTGCATTTATTTTCACTGCAAGCAAATATAAATCTTTCTCTTTTCTTTTTCTTTTTTTTCTTTTCTTTTCTTTCAGATGGAGTCTCACTCTCGTCGCCTAGGCTGGAGTGCAGTGGTGTGATCTCAGCTCACTGCAACCTCCGCCTCCTGGGTTCAAGCAATTCTCCCGCCTCAGCCTCCTGAGTAGCTGGGATTACAAGCATCCACCACCATGCCTGGTTAATTTTTGTACTTTTAGTAGAGATGGGGTTTCACCATGTTGGCCAGGCTAGTCTCGAACTCCTGACCTCAGGTGCCCGCCTCAGCCTCCCAAAGTGCTGGGATTACAGGCGTGAGCCACCATGCCTGGCCACTTTATATATTTTAAACTTATTAAAATGTACAAAAGAGAAACCTGAAGAAAAACAAAATGATATTAGAATACCCCATTTATGCTGCATTTTAAAAGATGCAAAGAAATACATACGTTTTAGGACCATTATGTTGTAGGAAAAGAGACTTGCATTATTATTTCCTCATTCCTTAACTATGGAGGTCTTTTATACCCATATTTTATTAGTACCTTCCTCATAAGGTTGTTATGCAAACAAGGTAATGCATATCTAACCTCTGCTATGGGGCTTGATGCATGTTACCCAATAAAGTTAGCTGGCTGTTATAATTTCTTTCCAAAGCTAAGGAAAAAGACCATTGTGGAGGCACAGAAAGCAAATTAAGAAAATAAGTCTCTGACTTGGGATGCAGGCAACTAATGTCTTCCACGTTTCCTATTTGAGAGCACTTCCATGACACCTGGGTTATATATTAATGTGTTCATAATATTGGCCTTTGTTTCTAAAACTTCCCACTATTATGAGGGCCATTGGGGGCTTTCTAAAACATGGTCTTAATAAGAATCAAATTGAATCTGATTAAAGAAAACAAATGTTAGCAATTGTTTTATAAACTTAAGTATATAGTCTGAAAACTAGATCTATTGATGCAAAGAGATACTAAAAAAACTCACACCAGCCAGCGATTATCTCATCTTGCTGCAGATAGGAGGTGAAAAATACCACACTGTATTATAAATGAGCGCATGCAGAATGTGACACGTCAGGCTGGTATTCTGTTGTGCTTCCTTAACAACCAAGCAATAGCTTATAGGAAAGTTCTTGGCTCTGCTGAGTCAAAGTCCCAAGAACAGGATGCTTTTTATCCATGAAGTGACTCTTGAAGAAGTAAAAGAAGTCTAAGTTCCACTCCTTAAGCAGTCTTTGGGTTGGATCTTGAAAACCTTGCTGGGAGGAGAGAGAAGCTAATTATGAAACAAAATGGAAACTTGCATATACAGGAGAAGATGACAAGGTGTCTACTTACAGCTTTTACTCCAGTGGTGATGGGAGCAGGGTGAGAGAGATAATAAGCACTTAAATGATACCACATGAATAAAATAATTTCAGACAGGGAAATGTTATGAAGAAAACAAAATACAGTAAGAGTGATTGGAGCATATTAGGTAGGGTAGTTGTAGAATACAGTGAGGTAATTTAATGATGCAACAATAGTGCCTTCCACCAAGTTTGTGTAAGCATAAAGATATCAGCACATAAGAAGAACATTCATGAAGAGACCTTAAAAGCAGATGCTTGGTGCAAAAGTACTCATGCCAAGAGATTCTCTAATAATGCGCAATGCATCACCTATCTCAAAAGAGGCTCCCCAAACCCTCGGATTTATTAGGACTAACTGGCCGGTCTCTTACTCTCCAGACAAAGTACTTACACTTTCTTCGCTGACAGCATTCTCTCTTATTAATTTATACCCATATGGACCGAAAAAGCTTTCACTTATGACATAATATAGAATTTGCATCTATCTCTACAGTAACATGACCCATTTTTCCCCCTTCATTATGCCATAGATTTCTACTTTTTCTCTCTCAAGTTGCAAAACAACTATTTCTAATGATGGATTAAAAACCTGAAGCTGCTATTCCATTATGAACCTCTATCTAGTAGCTACTGCAAACTGCTCAGCTCCTTTGCTTGAAACCTCCAGGAGGGCTCTGGTGAGTAAGAAAAGCAGAAGAAAATTGCTTCCGGGATTGCTGGGTAAGAACTGCCTCTGGTGCTCTCTGGAGCATACTATCTCTTTATAAGAAGCAGACAAACCAGGAGTCAGGGGGGAGTTCACATCAAATCACCTTCAGAAGCTGTCAACAGTCCCAGAGAACTACCTTAGTGGACGGAAAGAAGGATGCGGAAAAAGGAGAGATGATGCAGCCTTGCTTTACGTTTGCAAATTGGATAAATAAGGAAAATATTTAATTCTTTAAAAAAATGTTAAATAAATGGGAGCTTTTCAACTTGAGGAGTGCACTGTAATAGAGTGATTACATGAAGGGAGCTCTGAAAAACTGCCAAGACTTTCTTTGTAACTACTTTTAAATATGCATGCCACTTCTTTTTTTTTTTTTTTTTTTTTTGAGACAGAGTCGGGCTCTGTCACCCAGGCTGGAGTACAATGGCACAATCTCCGCTCACTGCTGCCTCCGCCTCCAGGGTTCAAGCTATTCTTCTGTCTCAGCCTCCGGAGTAGCTGAGATTACAGGTGTGCACTACCATGCCCAGCTAATTTTTGTATTTTTAGTAGAGACGGGGTTTCACCATATTGGCCAGGCTGGTCTCGAACTCCTGACCTCAGATGACGTGCCTGCCTTGGCCTCCCAAAGTGCTGGGATTACAGGCATGAGCTACACGCCCGGCCACATGCCACCTCTTTTTTAAGAGACTGTTTTACACATAGGCTTATTATTGGGATCTACTGTTATGATTTGTCTTCCTAGCAGCCTTAGAAACATCTTTTTCTTTAAATATTTTAATAATTAATCCTGATCTCTAAGAAAAAACACAGTCCATTGTAGTAAGTGAACTAGAGAATCTTCTAAATTTTGCAGTGTTGTCTTTATAGTCAGCCTAACCTTTCTGAAGAACTTACTAGATCCTAACTAGACCCTTCAAAAATCTTAAATGCCAGAGAAAATATTCTACTGTCTAATCTTTACATTTTTAAGGACTTCTTCTAGGTTTAAAAGGCTGCTGAAATGTTTGATCCCTTTCATAGTGGATGGTTAATGTAGCATCTTTGAAACTGGTTGAAGAAGGAAAGATAACTATTTTTTATTTTGAGTGGTGGAATTTTTATTTCTGTTTTTTCTTTTCCAAACTATTTTTGCTATGCACATTGAGAGGTAGGCCATGTTTTTATAATATTTATGCATAAGTATTGGTTGTATGTGTTATAAATACCTTAAATTTGTTGGTAGTTTTGAGGATTGAGATATCATATTTATACCATTATTTAGAAAGGCCTTGAGTATTTTAAAACTATATTGTTACCAGAAAAGTATAAATAAAGGTACATGTCATGAAGTGCTATATTCTTGAGTGATGAGACTTAGACACTATCCTCATCTTCTAAGATTTTATAGTGTAAGACATCATGGCTAAGATATTCTCTATTTTGTAGCAAAGAGAAATAGGATGTTTCTGTAATCATTGCTTGGAGCCATAGAAATTAATCTTATGCCACTGATACCACGGGGAAACCAGAGGCCCCAAGCTGTGTGGTGGCTGTGGGCCAGATCTTGATTCATTCTTGGATGCCTCCTGTGCACCATTTCACAAGTGATACCTGGAGACCACTTTAAGTATATTTCATTTGAGGGTTAGGATTGGTTCTGGAGAGAGGAATGTCACAGGGGTGGGTGGTAAAGTTGTAAGTAGAGACTGATGGACTGTTATCTCCAGAATTACAGAGCTGTGTGCTCTCCACATACTTGTTAAGGCTTGGCAACGAAGCCCCGAGCTTGGCCCAGTCTGGGACTGGAGTCCTGCTGTGGAAGCAGATTGCTGGTGGCCCCGAAGTCATCTGCACTAGTACCAGAGGGAATTTACCATCAATATTCTACTTGGTAGGTTCTCACTTAGAATATCACCTCCCAGCTCTCCTCAAAGGAGGGGTATTTGGGCACGAGATATGGGAGGCAGCAGGCATAGCATCTGGCATAGGACCCAGCCCTTCTTTTTCGTGGGAAAGCTGAGCTTCCTGCAGCCAGGAAGAGGCTGTGATGGCCTGGAGGTGATGCTGCATGCTGCCATCCCTTGAACAGCAGCCAGGAGACCACTTTGTCGCCTGGTGATGAAGTTGGCTTCTTGCCCCAGTTTCTTCTTAGAATAGCAAATAACATACAAGGCTCAGCATCCCTGTGAGGTCGTCTCCCGGTTTTTAATAATTCCTTGTATTTATTTAGTGCCTTTTTCCTTTCCCAAGAGCTAACTCTAAGAGTTTTCCATATGTTACTTCAATAATCCTCATTACAGCCCCGTGCCTGAGCTGGTTAGAGAACGGTGCTAATGGGGCCAAGGTCAGCAACTCAGACTCCACGAGCCTCCTGTGAGCAGCCCCGTTTGCACTAGAAAATCTGTTTCATGGTCTCACTCTGCACAGCTCCTTTAATAAGCTTACAAGAGGTCACAGAGATAAATAAATAACTAATAATAATGGCAGCTAACATCGAATAAGTGTTCACTCTGGGCCAGGTATTTTCTAAGTGAATGTAGTATATAATGAATTCAGCCCTCTCAGAAACCCCATGAGAGAAGTACTAACCCATTTTAAAGAAAGAGGAAACTGAGGCCCAGGGAGGTTCAATAAATGTCTCAAAGTCACACAGGAAATGGTGGAGCAGAGATTTCAACTTCATCAGTCTACTTAAAGGGATTCAAAGAGTTTAACCACTACTTGATATTGCCGCCCGATAAGTGACACTGTGGATGGCACGACGCTGTTCGCAAACACCCCATCTTATCTGTATTGTAAGCACTACTTACTAATACGGGTGGTGAGGTGGGGAGTTGAGAAGAGGGACAGAAGTGACATTTAAAGGGCCCTACTACTGATACATATCAGGTACTGTGCTGCACATACCATAGGTGTTGTCTCATTTAATCTTTACAACAACATTTAGAGCTGGGTACTATTGCCTTCATTTTACGGATTGGGATACTGAGGGTCAAAAAGGCTACATAATTTGAATACTGATATTTAGTGGAAGATCCTGAATTAGAAAAAATATCTTTCTCCCTATTTCCTTTTTTTTTTTTTTTGAGACTGTGTCGCACACTGTCACCCAGGCTGGAGTGCACTGGTGTGATCTCAGCTCACTGCAACCTCCTCCTGGGTTCAAGCAATTCTCATGCCTCAGCTTCCCGAGTAGCTGGGATTACAGGCGCCCACCACCATGCCCGGCTAATTTTTGTGTTTTTAGTAGAGACAGGGTTTCCATATTGGCCAGGCTGGTCTTGAACTCCTGACCTCCAGTGATCCGCCTGCCTCGGCCTTCCAAAGTGCTGGGATTATAGGCGTGAGCCACTGCACCCAGCTGATATCTCCCTATTTCTGATGCATATGCTATTTTCATGAAACTTCAGATAACACTTCCACTTTAGTTAAAGGAAATACTATAGGCACGAAAAAGGAACACAGGTACAGAGGAGATGAAGAGAGTTATCACGAATGATGGTGTCCAGGATGAGAACCACACTTTTGGGCTTCCATTGCTGTGTCCTCTCTCCTACAACTACCACATGGCTTTTTGGTCCTATTTACATACTCCACTCAAACAGAAAGTCGGTCAACCCTTAGGGCCACAGGGGCAACGCTGGATGATGGGACGGAACAGGTGGTTACTTGACAGTAAAACAGAGATGCTACAACCTACCTTATTTGTTTATTGGGTGGATTCAGTGATATGGTCTGTTTAACCCCTTGGGACAAGGTCAGTGCTCAATAAATGTTTGAAAGATATCAACATCCGGCCACGTGCAGTGGCTCACGCCTGTAATCCCAGCACATTGGGTGGCTGGAGGCAGGAGGATCAGTTGAGATCAGGAGTTCAAGACCAGCCTGGCCAACATGTTGAAACCCCATCTCTACTAAAAATACAAAAATTAGCCATTCTTGGTGGAGGCGCCTGTAATCCCAGCTACATGGGAGGCTGAGGCAACAGAATCACTTGAACCCGGGAGGTGGAGGTTGCAGAGAGCCAAGATTGCACCACTGCACTCCAGCCTGGATGACAAGAGTGAGATTCCATTAAAAAAAAAAAAAAAAGATATCAACATCAAAGAGTTCCTCTTCATCACTGGAAGCAAATGGGACTAATTACCAAACCATTTTTCTCTTTGGAGGCACCAAGCGGTTTTGAAAGAAGAATGGAATCCAAGAAGCATGAGTTCCGGAGTCAGCACACCAGGGTTAGTACCCTGGCTCTGTCATTTCCTCCATGAATGAATTTTTGCAAACTACTTAGCCTCTCTGAGCTTCAGTTTCCTAATCGGGAAGTAGGGATATTAACAGACCTTATGTCCTGGGATTATTAAAGGAGAAAAAACATGTCAAGAGACTTTTGATCAGGGCTCAGTAAAGGCCAACTGTTATTATTAAACTGATGATCTTTAGGAGAAACTAAAATGTAGAACTGTGCTTATATTTCCCAGTTTTTGCTAGGTCACCTGCGGTCATAAATGGGAGTTCTCTGGAGCTGTCACTCAAATGCTTCAGACACTCTTAACCAGCCTGCTTTCCTAAAAGTGTTCATTAGCGGAGGGGAATTTTGCTTTTTCAGCAGATAAAGTTTCAAAGTACATTGGCAGGATGTGTTGGGTGCCTTGATTAATGGCTGGGTAGATACTCATATTGGTAGTAATTACTAACACATGTGTATTGGAAATCATACACGGCATAGAGCACACTTCATGTTATGATAAACAGCAAGATCTTAAACAGGGACATTTTGGCTAGCTGGCTGTGATAACTGTTAACATTGCAAAGCCAGTTCCTAGACTTCAAGTTCCTTGTAACTGAAATATCAAAACCAAAAGAAAGAAAAACTCCAGATTGCTTCCTGTGTATTATCCTCAAGCCAGACAATGCAATCCGGATATGAATTCCACCCGAAAGCAATACTTCCACTGTGGTTAGCAAACCAGACTGCTTTTCCCTTTCAGTTTAACTTGATCTAATTAAGGATAGGGTATAGAATTTTGCCATAATGCTCTCAGATCCTTTAACAAGTCATCCAACATTTGTATCATTACATAACTCGCCAAGTTATAACCCAATAGGCAACTGTTTCTTTCAGCACAATGTAAGCTTTCCTATATAGAGAACATTCTAAGGCTCTACAGCTGGTCTCTAACAAGGCTCCAAACACCCCTTTCCTTCCAGCTCCAAATACTTTGCTGTCTTCTCAAAGAGCTTTCACGTCTGCTAACAATAAGGCAAGGTATACACCTGACAATCACTCAGGAGACTTATGTTTGGGAATTTCTCTTCAGATTGTCACAAGACAGTAGAGACGAATGTACAGGAAAAGCAGTTTCTTCCCACTGTGTTGGGATTTGCTGCCAGCATATGTTATTGCATGCTGCCCCACTATCACAAGCTGGATTTGCTTCTGAAAAAGTGCAGGAAGACTCAAGCCTATTGAGCAGAAGATGCCTGCCAGGCGTGGTGGCTCATGTCTGTAATCCCAGCACTTTGGGAGACCAAGGCGGGTGGATCGCCTGAGGTCAGGAGTTTGAGACCAGCCTGGCCAACAGGGTGAAACCTTATCTCTATTAAAAATACAAAAATTAGCTGGGCGTGGTGGCGGGCGCCTATAATCCCAGCTACTCGGGAGGCTGAGGCAGGAGGATCGCTTGAACCCAGGAGGCAGAGATTGCAGTAAGCTAAGATCGCGCCACTTCACTCCAGCCTGGGCAAAACAGTGAAACTCCATCTCAAAAATATAAAATAAAATAAATACATAAATAAAAATAAAAAAGAAGATTCCTGCACTTGGAAAAGGGAATAGAGAAGAGGCAGTAAGTGGAATGTGTCTACCAAGACTGGGAGTTCGGTTGCGTCCCATGTCAATTTTCAACCACTCTGTTAGTCTGCTTTCAGTCTAAAAACTTTTTTTCATCAGGAATCTACTTGTTCCTTGATAAAACACACATAAGAGAATCCAGCCAGAGACCACTTGCACATTTTGTGATCCTGAAAGACCCGAGGGATGTGTAGGTAGCAGGGCTATGTTTGTAATCCAAGGAACACACAATCCCTAAGTGCCCTGGGAGTAGAGAGCAGGCACCAGGTGAAACCATCCTGGCTGTGCTCCTTATGGGTGAAAGGAGACGAAGACACAACTCATGGAAAGAAATCAGTGCAGTGCCTGTGTACTGTGCATGCCCAATCAACATTCATTGCGCTGTCCATTCCCTAGTCATCTATCCGCCTCCTGGAGTATCTGGTTTTTCAGGAACAATAGATTGTAAACTTAGTTTAGTAGGACTGTAAGAACCACTATGCCTCTCTGGGGAAACTGGCTGTGAAGCTTTCCCTCAGAGCAGTTTGTAAATGTTGCCCAGCTGGGGTGCACGGGAGTAGAAAGTTCCCCAGATAAAGTCTTCAGATTGTCTCTCATGAGTCAGGTTTCAGATCCATTTTACAGCGGCATCTGGAAAGGCCTTAGGGAGATAGGCTTTCTCATCTGGAGCAGCCGAGGCCGACAAAATCAGGGGTGAGAGCATATCTAAGACCTGAGTGGGATCAAAGCAGAGTGCTCTAAAGAGAGGAGTTCAATGCGTCAGCAAAACTGAAGAGGACAAAAACAGGACGGAACCAGGGTTGGTGGCAGGCTCTGAGCACCACAGTCCTGGGTCTTAGGGTCATCAGAGAGCCCTCTGAGCTACTGTCTGGATCAGGAGGTTTCTGTGGCTGGTTTTTATGTGCCAGCTTTATCCCAGGGCAAAGGTAGATCTGTAGTATTTAAAGGGTCTGGCCTAGACAGCATAGTTTAGGAGAGGGTTTCTTCAAGTATGGCATGCAAAGGCTTACTCAAAACCCTCTACGGTGCTTATTAAAACGCAGATCCCAGGGCTCCACTCAGACTTAAGCAATCAGTATGTCTTAGAGCCAGGGCCCTAGAATCTCTCTCTTTTTTTTTTTTTTTGAGATGGAGTCTCGCTCTGTCGCCCAGGCTGGAGTGCCGTGGTGCAATCTTGGCTCATTACAAGCTCCGCCTCCCAGGTTCATGCCATTCTCCTGCCTCAGCCTCTCGAGTAGCTGGGACTACAGGCACATGCCGCCACGCCTGGCTAATTTTTTGTATTTTTAGTAGAGACGGGGTTTCACTGTGTTAGCCAGGATGGTCTCGATCTCCTGACCTCATGATCCGCCCACCTCGACCTCCCAAAGTGTTGGGATTACAGGCGTAGGCCACCGTGCCCGGCCTGGAATCTCTATTTTTCAAAAGCACCATACCCAACTCACACACGGGATTTTTAGGAATTCTAAGATTTTAAAACCTGCTGAAATACAGAAAGTTCAAGGAATTTAAAGACAGGAAACATAAGTACTAATCTGGGCTGTGTGACCTTAACCTCACTGAGCCTTAATTTCTTCATCTGTAAACTGGGGTAATGTATATCATTATAAGTGTAGCTTACGCTAATGGAGATAAGTGATTTATAAGTGCAAATATTCATAATTATCACATTTCTGAGCCAAAGGAAAATCTTGGAGACTCCCACCATCATACCCAAGTTAGGTCTAAGTGTAGTCAGTTATCTCTGAATCTACCCATGTAATGACCCTTAGCTACATGCCTCTTGGAAGGCTTTCTGGTGATCTCTTATTTTATCCAGAACTTATAACCTTGTGTGAGTGCCTTGTGTGTACTGGGAGATGGACTACTGGCTTTATCCAATCCTGGAGCCATGAGGGAGAAGTGCTTTGAGGGGCCAGAAGTCTCAGGGGTGAATTCCAGGGACTTTTAATGTGCTAAGCTACTTGGGACAGTAGCTGGGGTTAAGAATTAAGAGGTGGAAGAATAGGATTAGAGTCCCAAATGAGTTGATGAATTGGAGTAGTAGTCAGGAACAAAGGGAAAAAAGCTCAATCGGAAAAGTTCTGGATGCTACATGGAGGAAACAATCATTATCACAAACACAGGCTAAGCAGTGTCCAGCCAAATGAGGATAATACGCTGAACTTGAGCCAGTGAGGCCCGGCTATCGCTTGAAACACGAGCATGAAAGTTGGCCGCACCAACGGAAGCACAGTTTGAAGGAATTGTGAGGTCATCGTCACTTTCTCATACCTTCATGAGACTTCTTTGTCCACTTCTGGACTTCACAGTTTGAGATGCATGGAGCACTTGGATATAGTTCAACAGATAGAAATAAAGATGATGAAATTGTTGGAGAACAAGAACTGTGAGAAAAAGCAAAAAGATCTGGTATTATTGAACCTAAAAGACAGGCAAGCTAAGGGGAGACTTAACTCTTCCTGGCCACAAATTAAAGTTGAGTGGCAGGCCGGGCACGGTGGCTCACGCCTATAATCCCAGCACTTTGGGTGGCCGAGGCGGGCGGATCACGAGGTCAGAAGATCGAGACCATCCTGGCTAACACGGTGAAACCCCGTCTCTACTAAAAAATACAAAAAATTAGCTGGGCGTGGTAGTGGGTGCCTGTAGTCCCAGCTACTCAGGAGGCTGAGGCAGGAGAATGGTGTGAACCTGGGAGGTGGAGCTTGCAGTGAGCCAAGATCACACCACTGCACTCCAGCCTGGGTGACAGAGCAAGACTCCGTCTCAAAAAAAAAAAAAAAAAGTTGAATGGCCAATAGTTCTTTGTAGCCTATTGAGGAGTGAACAGGTTTAAGTAAAAGAAAACATTTCTTATGATTCATGGTCTGAGTCCAATCAGACTGTTGTGGCAAGGGCGAAACTCCTTTCCAAACTTTGACCAAGGGGCCACACCAGACTGGAGGATGCGGATACAATAACATGCCCAGTTTAAACTATTTTGACAACAATACTGACTGCATTTGGAATCAGCTCCAGCTCTAGCCTACAGTTATAACTGTGGGCAGTAAATTAACTTGTCTGGGCCTCAGTTTCCTCATCTATAAAATAAAGGCAACTGAGCAATGACTTCTGTGGTTTTCACAGTTTTGAAAATTCACATTCTGTGATATTCATAAGTAATATAGAGGCTGTCTTTAACATGCTAAAATTTATTTCCAGTGAAAGGAAACACAGTAAACATGCTGGGGAAATTGGCATTTGATCTAGGCTTGATGGGCTAATGTCATGGGCTGGGAAAACTGGGGAGAGGTACAAGATCCTTATGGGGAAGTATCTGCTTCTGAGAGAAAGGTGGGGAAGAGAATGTAGGATGTTCCAAAGAGGAATGTGTGGAGTGGGAGAGGAACATGAGAGGGGTCAGCAAGCCACCTAGGAATAAGGACAGGAAAAAGAGAGGAGACGGTGGAGTGTGAATCGGGGTAAGCTGATTGCTATGGTCTGGATGTTTATGGCCCGCCCCCCCTCCCAAATTCATATGGTATTTAGGAAGTGGGGCCTTCTGGGAGGTGATTAGGTTATGAGGGTAGAGCCTCATGAATAGGGTTAGTGCCCCTATAAAATAGGCCCAAGGGAGCTAGTTAGTTCTTCCAATACGTGAGATCACAGCAAGAAGGCACCATCTATGAACCAGAAAGTGGGCCCTCACCAAACACTGAATCTACCGGCACCTTCACCTTGGACTTTTCAGCCTTCAGAACTGTGAGCAATAAACCTCTGTTGTTTATAATGTATCCAGTTTATGGTACTTCGTTATAGCCGCCAGAATGGACTAAACTATGGATTAAGATGAAGCTTTAGCTAAGGGACTAAGCAAAGGACCTGATCTAGACTCAGAACAGCTGAGGAGACCCCCTGGAAGGCCTGCCAGGAGATCAACTGCAACTTGAAACCAAGAGGACTGGGGCTGTACTCAGGTAGGACAGGGCCCCAGTTCTTCAGAGCCCTGAAGGTCTGAGAGCACAGCTTTGCCTTGAGACAGCCTTGGTTTCCGCTTTGTCTCTGTTACTTAGTAGCCATGTGATCTTGGGCAAGATGCTTATCTTTGTGAGAATATAGTTTCCAGATAATAAAATAGGGGTAATATATCTACTTCATAATATTTTTGTGAGGATTAAAGGTGGTTATGTGCTTGACACATAGTAAGTGAGGATAAACTGCTGTGATTCTGATTTTGGCTTGGGAATGGAATTAAGGCAGAATAAAAAGAAACATCTGTGACCTTGTGGTTTACAGAAAAGCCTGAAATTGGACTCCTTTTAATAATGATGTAAACTGTTACACAGCATGCTCATCTATGTTTCCCCATTTGATCCTCAGAATTTTTTTTTTTTTTTTTTTTTTTTTGAGATGTATTCTCCCTCTGTTGCTCAGGCTGGAGTGCAGAGGCATAATCTTGGCTCACTGCAACCTCTGCCTCCCAGTTTCAAGCAATTCTCCTGTCTCAGCCAACCGGGTAGCTGGGATTACCGGTACTCACCACCATGCCCAACTAATTTTTGTATTTTTAGTACAGATGGGGTTTCGCCATGCTGGCCAGGCTGGTCTCAAACTCCTGACCTCAAGTGATCCACCTGCCTTAGCCTCCCAAAGTGCTAGGATTACAGGTGTGAGCCACTGCGCCTGGCTAATCCTCAGAAATATTTAACTTTGAAGTGGCTATTGTTAGCCCATTTCACAGATGAGAAATCAAGACCCAGAGTAGGAAATGCCTTGTCTAAGCTCTGTAAGTTGTAGAGTTGTGATAATTACTTGTCTTCTGATCTCAGTCACTACTTTTTTTTTTTTTTAAATAAAAAGTAACATCTATTTCATGGGAGTGACATAGGAAGAACATGGAGCCAAATCAGTTTTTAAAATTATAACCGGGTTAGCTGAGCAATGTGAGACTGAACTTGCAACTTGCTGTGCTTGCTGGTAGTTGTCTACTGGTAGTCCCTTGTCCTAGAAAGGTTACTAGACACTAACTGGTACACCAGCCGGCTGAGAACTGTGCTGAGAGAGAAGGGAAGACTGGAGTGGGGCTCCTAGGCACCGTCTTCAGGGAGAAGCCCCTTTCACTCCCATTCTGCCACCAACCCCTCCGATACAAGCAAAGTAAGGCTAGATTAGCATAGCTTTCTGCTTGTCACACCTGCTGAATGAGCAGGATTCTGCCGTTTCTATCTTTAAGTAGAAACATTACCACTGATTTGTAGTCATCGCACTCTCCAGGAGTCCTTAATAAACTTTAAGATCATTACTGAGTCACTTAGCTCTTCTTTTCCTCTTCACAGAGTTACCAGTTTTCTGATCTCTCTTACAGACTTCCTTTCTAACCAGCAAAGCATGCTTGTGACTCTCCTCTCCTACTTCAGATATTGATCTCAGGGCTGAACATTCACATCCAGGGAGGCAAGACTCACTGCTTCTGAGCCCAAGAAATGGATCACCCTGCTGAGCACTGGCTCTGTAGCTCCTCGTTTCTTTCTCACTCCCAAATGCACTTGGACACTCTCTGGGGCCCTTTTCTGCACTGGGACTGTAAGAAAAGGGCTGATATTTTCTTTTCAAAATAGTTTAGATAGAGTCCTTCTGGAAGCAAGGAATATGACTAAGTGATTTCTTAAAGTCCCTTCCAGCCAGTGATTCATCAGACACAGAATTTTAAGCTGGAATGGCCTGTAATTTTCTGGGCCAAATGTCTCATTTTTGCAAATGAGGAGAGTGAGTTCTATAGAGGTTGAGAATTGTGAGGGCTGCTTGCTATGGTGGACAGATCATGAGATTTGAAGTTAGAAGTTCTGGGTTTTTTTGTTTACTTTCTGGGACAGAGTCTCATTCTGTCAGTCAGGCTAGAGGGCAGTGGCACAATAGTAGTTCACTGCAGCCTCGAATTTCTGAGCTCAAGCGATCTTCTCGCCTCTGCCTCCTAGGCAGCTAGGACTACAGGTACCCACCACCACACTGGGCTAATTTTATTTTTTGCAGGGATGGGGTCTCACTATGTTGCCCAGGCTGGTGTCAGAACTCCTGGCCTCAAGTGATCTTCCTGCCTTGGCCTCTCAAAGTGTTGGGATTACAGGCTCATGCTTATGAGCCACCGTGTCTGGCAGAAGTTCTGAGTTTGAGGTCAAATTCTACCACTCACATGCTTTGTGACCTTGAGCAAGTCATTAACCTCTAGAGCTCCAGTTTCCATACTTGCAGAATGGAAATAACGCCACCTGCCCTACCTGCTTCCAAATGTGGTTCTGATGATCACATGTCATATTTGGGAAGGAAATGATCAAATGTAATACAGTGCTTTATCAATGTTACATTACTAAATAGCTGGTTCAAGGTCACATAGTGGCAAAACCAGGATCCTCAATTCCAATGTAGTTTGATTTCCATCATACAATGTTGCCTTCTTGACATTTTTCCAATTCTATAAGATTTTCTCATCAGGTGCCACACTAATTTGGTCTCCACATGTTTTCCTTTAAATCCCTGGACACACACACAGACTCAAACTGCGGGAATCCAGGCTGGCTCAGATGGATCACAGACCAGCAACCATGAAGGGTTGGTGGGAAGATCTCAGGCCTTCCATTACATCACAGTCATGGCCCTCAGACCCTGGGTTGATGGCTGCCAAGGGACTGGGCATGCTCACAAACATGCTTTCCATGGCACTTCTCTAGCTAGTGTCATAACACCGAATTGCAAGTTGGAGCTGGCTATCTGATAGCTTGTAATGGACTATTAGACTATGGCATATGCCTTGAGGATTGAAATAGGATGAACCTGAGCCACAGAGTGAAGTGATAATAGATACTTTAAGTTCATGCTGGACAGAGATTTGGGAACCTGTTCAGAGGTAATAGGTGGTTTACTGTGCCAGTTTGTGGTAGCCCACATAGGAGAGGCAGGAGATGGCTGCTTAGTCTCACAAACGAAGTGTTGCACCCAAGTGTTATGTGTTCCCATGGACCGCTAATGAGAAGGAGCCCCTGGTCTCTGAGCCCTAGCATCACCATTCTGGCATTGGAAAAGATCGACCATGCTTTATTTGGCCCCATTATTAATCGTAGGGTATATTGAACCCTTAGGAGGTTGAGCAAAACCATCTCTCCCAGTCAACAAGAGACATGGATACACTGTCAGTACTGATATGCTGTGGCCCTCGGGTACCCTGGGACAGACTGGCCCTTGTCTCTTTCATAACTGATGGCTTCCCAAGCTTGACATGAGAAAGAAACCTTCTTTCAGTTATTGGAGAGAGTTGGGTCTCTTCTCTGGCAATGGTATTTGGCCCTTGAAGAGCACAACAGATAAATCCTACGTTTTCCTGTTTTCTTTAAACATAAAAAGCTTTTCAAACTTTCAGAAATAATGGAGAGGTCAAGCATATAATAAATAGGGAGTACAGCTCTTCGCTCAGAGCAATAAAAATGAAAAAAAGGGAAAAAACACTGTGAGCCAGTTCAGCCAACAATTTCCATGTTTAAAAAAAAAGTTCAAGTTGGAGCCATGTGGTCTCAATAAAGTAGTAAAATATATTTTCTTTACGCTACACTTCATATGCCCATAACCTTCCTTTTAAATCATCTCTAACCAGCCCCAAATCACTCTGACCGCAAATCATTTGGTGGCTTTGGTCTCCAGGCGATGGAATGTGCTGGAGTAGACGGGGAGTCGCTACCAAGTGCGCTCTGAGGGAGCCTCCACTCCCCTCGCTCAGGCACACAGACCCCAGCAAAGCTTTGAAAAGGTTCTGCGCTGAGATAGCACATGACATCATAGCCCAATCATTCAGGAAAAAAACTGCAAGGCTGCAGAATAGCACAACATGCCACAAACCACAGTGGGCAGATAAAGTCGAAGAACAGCTTTTCTTACGAAAACATTCACAAATACCACAGGCAGCTGGCAGAGGCACGTTTAATTACATTTACAGAAAAACCACTGTATCCATTAGCCCCACCATCTTTGGGGCTGACCAACAAATGGGAAGGTCACTGAAGCCCATCTTGGAAATTGAAAAGCCAGGAAAGCTCGAAGTTTATGTCATTACATTTTATAATATGTGTTACGATTAGAAATGACCCAACTGTAAAATCACTTGATAGGCTTTGAAAGGACGTCCAAGTGAACAAGACCTCAATCATAACCTATCTTTAAATGTACAGCTGAAGATTAAATGCAGCCCAAGGTGTGAGAAATCAATTATTCAATTCATGATTAATTTAAGAGACACCGAGCTTGTTCTGAGCATAAACAAAGCTCATGCAACTGCCATCTGCCATCACATCACAGGACCCAGTCTTGTCTCTTGCAAGTGCCATTGGAGCTTTTGTTTATTTATTATTATTATTTTTTTAAGAAACTGTTCAAAGAGCTAAGTATACAGACTTTGAAGGGATGGTAAATGTATTGGATGTCCCTTTAGGCACCTCAGAGAAACAAAGTTCAATATGCATTGGCAAAGTATGATTAAAGCTTGATGGAAAAAAATTGTCCAAATAAAAATGCTATTTTACAGAGTAAACATCATCTTACAATAATTGCTTAAGTGGGAGTTTTAAAGAAAACTCGGCAGAACCTTCCATGAGACAAGAGGGATGTGTCTAAAAAGTCTCTTGTAGTTTCTAATTTTAGCCCTAGAGAGCAATCATTGCTATTTCTAGTCTGTGATTTCATTTAAATGAAGGGAGATTTTCAATAGCAAAAAGAAAAGAAAAAAGACTCAGAAAAACCATACAACAAATAAACAACAAATGTAAACACTGTAGTGATCAAAGTAGGTCTCTTTCCTAAAGGAACAATGAAAAATTATATAGTAGCTATAGACACTCATGTCTACTAGTTATGATCTTTTCAGAAACATGTTATTTTATAGCCTCCTAAGGTATCTGGCAACAATCTTTTCCATCAGACACCCAAGGATAACTTTCCATTTCAGTTGGGGGTGGGTAAGCTCAAATGCATGCTCATAACATCTTCATGTAACCCCTATAACAACCGCGGGGGGAAATGTAAGAGTCTTAGGTTACTGAAAATAACCTGTTTGCCATTATACGGGCAATTATAAGCTGGAACTTGCTTTTTTAAAATTGCTGGGTTCAGCAGAGATTTCCCATGGATTTATCGGCAACAGAAATAAACAAGCATTCCATTGAGCTCCACTTGGAAGTGTGAGAAGGGCTGATAGAAAGTCTTTTTCATCATGTGGACAGGAATTCAACTTAACCTACTAGGATGTTAAATTACACTCCAATATCCTGATGATTTTCTTAATCATCAGAAAGCTGAAATCATGCTGGTCCCTTGGAGGACAGCCCCCTTCTCAGGGGGTCTTCCCCGCTGCCCCTCTCCTAACATTCCATCACCCCTTTCCTTGTCAGTAGCCTACCTGCCAGTGAAGTGAAAGGTGACTTCAGCATTCTGGGGGTGTTCAGGTGCCAGGGTCTCTATGCTTGTAATGCAAATAGATTAGGGGAACTC
Organism: Homo sapiens; assembly: GCF_000001405.40. NCBI lineage: Eukaryota > Metazoa > Chordata > Mammalia > Primates > Hominidae > Homo > Homo sapiens. The sequence continues at coordinate 168,632,822 of NC_000004.12, read as the reverse complement.
TCTCTGTAAAAGTCATGCTGGTTACTTCTGGATTAAATAATTTCAGGAACTCACCAAAATTGAATATTTATAAGCGTCAGCAATGCTTTCCATAAAAACTAATGGAGAATGTCAGTTTTTCAGTCTTTCCATGGTAGAGGAGTCATCAGGAATGCATTCTTCCCTATTGTATTCTGCCTGCCACTTGTTCCCTAAGAACCACCGCCAACTGAATGCTAACAACAGGGACCCCGTCCAAAGGGAGAGGAGAACCGGGAAAGTAGCATTGGATTTGGTTAGACAAAGAACTGCAATCAAGTGAAACCCAAGAAAACAAACAAACAAGCAAACAATTTTGAGGCAACTGAAAAGCAACAGGTGTGAAAACGCCCAGATTTCTCATGGGAAAAATCACCAAAACCTTGTGAGAAACAAAGTGTTTCCAGCTAGACCTCATTCAGCAACTGAGCAGCTCTTAGGCTGTCAGAAATTGATTGCTTTGTGAAAGTTTCCTTCTATTTCAACCGAGGATGGAGCCGATTACAAAGTAATTAGAGAAAATACAAACTCATTGGGCTCAAATCGCAGCAGGCAAGTTAAACACATGAAAGAGAAGCTTCTCTAAAAGTATCATTTTTTTTAATGGAAAAAAAAAAGGGTGAGGTGGGTAGGAGAGATTATTCAACCTCACGCCTTTCTCCCCTCCCCCACCCTAACTCCAACAACAGAAAAGTCCCGCGAAGCAGGACCCGCCCCCGCCAACCCCCAAAGAGGAGTCCGAAGAAGGGATTAGGAAAACCGTGGCGGAACACGGTATTCTGAGTCCACTACAACTAAACACCCCAAACAGTACTCTTCGCACGAGTACTTGCATGCCACTGCCTGGAAAGGCTGCAAAGCTTTATTTCCTCCATGTCTGCATAGATTTAATGCTGCCACTTACCAGTTGGGCGCAAAACGCCGTCTGCCCCCACTCCCAAACAAGCTCCTCTTGGGGGTCTTTCAGATCTCGCTTATTCCCAGCTTGCAACTTCTGGGCTCTGAATGCGATCTCGTTTGCAGAATGCAACGGAGAAAATTAACTGGCAGCCGCGCTGCCAAAAGGCCGGCCCCTTGCCTGCTGCGCTCGAGAGGTCCTGGGCCCCGCCGGCTCCCGGGAAGCCTCCTGGCGGCGCAGCGGCCACGACTCAGGCTCGGTGAGAGGCCGCCGGTCTCCAGCGCGCGAATGCGCCGCGTCTCGCCGAGGGGCGCGTGTGCGCGGAGTGTGTCGGAGTGCCGGGCTGCTGGGGAGGGGGAGAGGGTGTGTCCTGGGGAGGAATGCTGCTAAACTCCAGAAATAACTCCCTTCACTCCATGCTCTTATCGCACTTAGGACGGCTTTTGCGTTGCCCAGGGGCGGGGGGAATTGTAAGAAGGTAACAGGCAAGTTCCACCGGCGATTTCTAAAGCCACTCCCCATTCAGCTGTGGTTTGAGGCATTCCCTAAAGACCTCTGTTCATTTAGGAAACGTTGCAGCTCTCAAGGGGGGAAATCCAAGAAGCAGCTAGTAGTGAATTTGTATTACTGATAAAAGAAATCAACGTCCAGCTTGAGGTTCCTTCTGTACCCTTCCACACAAGGTATCTTTCAGTTGTACTCTCCATCTGCGTTACCTCTTGTGAGTTAAATTGCTCCTCTGATGCCGCCTTACTGCAAAGCCATAAATTAATTACCCCATTACAAGTAAGCCCCTAGGAAAGGGAATGCCAAGAATAAATCTGGTCTTTGTTCTTTTTTATGTTGAACAAGTCTGCCATTAATCAAGTCTTTCCACCAATGTCTAGGGAACAGACCCAAGGTTGCGACTCATTGAGGGATGAACATGTGTACGTCTGGTTGTCCTGCAGTCTTTCTCTGCGGTATTATGTCATAGTGACTCAGTTACCACACAGACGGATATCAGGAAGAAACAACAGGAGAAACAAAACCAACCGTTTAATAAAGACCTAGCTATTTGCCAACTCTAAAGCCCCTGGCAGACAGTGCTTAATTTTTACACATTTTTAAAGATTATTTCACTACTTCCATCTTCCAGTCCCAGAACTGCTTGTCATTGGCCAGTCTGAGAAACAGACCACAAACCGTTTGAAAATTTAAGGAAGAAACTCATGAGGGACCCATGAAGCTATTAATTTTAATGGAGCCTATGAAATATCAAAGATGTGACAGATTTTTGAATTAGAAACCATATCAAAAAATGCGTTCCGGAAATAGAATCATCTTGAGAGGTCAATAGTAGAGATAGTGCAAACAGTATTTTTTGAAGTGAAAATAAAATGTTAAAAGCGTTCAGTGTATATATCTTTAGTTCGTATTTATTATCCCGAGGAAGTGGTGAGTCATGAAATATTGAATTTTTTCTTCCTTATTAAATTTTCCGCTCTTTGGGAATCAATGTAAAGTTAATAAGGATGAGGTTGCTTTTCAGACTGAAAATATTCTGGGGTTGACAGGTTCAGTCCCTTCTTGTATGTCATTAGATCTTTTTATTTATTTTTTTCCTCTACACTTCAGTTGTAAAGTTTTATTAGGGTCATTGAATAACAAGAGCCGAATACTTCGTTTATCTGAAAGGCATCACAATGAAGCAGGGTGGCCCTGTTGGGTGAGTCTTGCTAAGACACATTTCAGATCCTTACCACCTTTCTCATCTCCAGCAAGGGTTCTTAGAAAGATCTTTCCTCTGTGAATTAGGAAGGACATTGTATTAATTAAAATGCCTGGGCGAAAGAGGAAGGAAAAATTTGGAGGGTTTCAGTATATGATCACCATGAGCGCAGAAATCTGAAGAAGCCCCTCCAACTACTTTCGCTAAACCTGTGAATGTTTAGAAGTCTGAAATTTAGTCTAAACACCCAACATATATAAATGTCTTAGACAGAGAGGACACTCCTTTTACTGGTCCTGCTTGCTTGTGGGGATGAAACTGAAGGGTAGATGAAATTTCTGCTGTTCTTCCACACAAGGAGGCTGCCTTTTGGGTGGCAGCTGTTAGTGGTGTCAAATGTTACTGAAAACTCTGCCATTAGTTTCTGTGATGTGCCTGCCCATTTGCTTGTGCTCCAAATGAGAACTATCCCAACGTTACGCGGTTTGTGGCGTTTTGGGGTCAGGAGAGGTAGTGGTGACAGTGATTTTTGAGGGTGATCTACCCCACCCAGGAAGGGATGGGAGGGTGGGGGAGCTTGTTGAAAATGCAGATTCCCCTGAGCCCTGCTCAGAACTACTGAATTACAATCTTTGGGAGCTGACATCAGCTTTTATTTTTCTTTTGTTAATTTAATGTTTTGAATAAGTAATACATTTACATAATTTATATAAAAGTACATGCACCACAGTCTCCTTTCTACCACTCTTCCCCATATGCCCAGTCCATACATCTCCCTCCAGGTAACCACTGATAATAGTTTTCTCTGTAGACTTCCAGGTTTCTTTTGGCCTAAATACATTCTTACACTTTTTCTTTATTTCTTAAAAATACTATAGGCAGGGCCGGGCACGGTGGCTCACGTCTGTAATCCCAGCACTTTGGGAGGCTGAGGTGGGCGGATCACCTGAGGTCAGGAGTTGGAGACCAGCCTGGCCAACATGGTGAAACCCCATCTCTACTAAAACAAAAATTAGTTGGGCATGGCAACGGGCACCTGTAATCCCAGCTACTTGGGAGGCTGAGGCAGGAGAATTGCTTGAACCCAAGAGGCAGAGATTGCAGTGAGCTGAGATCGCGTCATTATACTCCAGCCTGGGCGACAAGAGTGAAACTCCATCTCAAAAAAAAAAAAAAAATACTATAGGCAGAACAATAACTGGGCTTCGTCTTACATCTTCACTTAAATACATATACACTTTATAGTCCTTTCCACATTGTATGTTCATTAATTCATTTGTTTGGAAACAAACACCTGTTGAAGACCTACTTCATGCCACAGACTATTGTGTATGTTGGTAACACAGCAGGGGACAAGCTGACAAAACTTTCTGTCCCTTGGCATTTATATCTTGGGCAAGGGGCACATTAGGCAGAAAACAAACATACTAAACAAGTTAATTCTGTGTTGAGTTAGGACATAATAAGAGCAGTTGAACACACTGAGCAAGATAATGGGGGTTGGGGATGTCAGTGGGGAATTTTAATTTAAAACGGAGCGGCCAGGGGCAGCTTTCTTGAGACAGTGACGTGTGAGCAAAGACTTGATCATGGTAAGGGAGTCAGTGAGCTTTGGGATTATTTGGAGAGTATGGTGATCCAGGCAGAAGAAGCTAGTGCAAAGGCCTTAAGGAGGGACCATGCCTAGCACGTTTGAGGAACAGCAAAGGGGACAATGTGGCTGAAACAGAGAAAGTGAGATGTAGAATGTCATATGAAGTCAGAGAGACAGGACAGCCAGATGGTGTAGGACCCGCTAAACCAGTGTAAGTATTTCAGGACTTACCCTCAGAGCAACAGACAGCCATTGGAGGGTCTTGAGAAGAGGACGGACACGATGAGACTTACATGCATATCAGTGCAGAGTAACCATGCCTGTGTTTAATGTGGCATAGCATTCCCTTGGATAAATGCACCACGATTTATTCAATCAGAATCCCACTGATAGACATTTGACTTGTTTCCAATCTTTTGCTATTAAACAATGTTACAAACGTCCACACATGACATTTTACACTTGTGCAAGTTTATCTATAGTATTAATTCCCACAAGTGGGATTACTGGATTTTACATTTTGAATTTTGATAAATACAGCCAAGCTGCCTTTCAAAGGGCTGAACCAATTTACACTTCCACTAGCAATGTTAAATGGTGCTTGTTTCCCCACGGCCTTGCCAGCAAAATGTGCAATCAAACTTCTGGATGTTTGCCAGTCTGATAGGTGAAAAGTGATGTCTCAAGATAGTTTTGACTCGCATTTCTCTGATTTTGAGTGAGGCTGAGCAAGTTTTTTATATATTTAAGAGCCAATTCTATTTCCTTTGTTGTGGCCTTATTGTTTATATAGTGTTCCCATATTTTATTGGGTTCTTGGTCTTGTTCTTCAGTTCTTGAAACTCCACGTATGTTAAGGAGATTATCCCTTTGCGTTAGGAGTTTCAGATTGTTTTCTCATTTTGCCGTTTGTCTTTCGACTTGGCTCTTGATATCTCATGACATTAAAAAAGTTTCTAATTTTATTTAATTGAATTTATCAGTTTTTAAAAGAGTCATAGATAGGCCTGTCTTATCCTATATACTCTGATTTTATTTTTGATATTTAGGTATTTGGTCTATCTATCTATTTATCTATCTATCTATATGTTGGAGACAGAGTCTCACTCTGTCACCCAGGCTGGAGTGCAATTGTACAATCTTGGCTCACTGCAACCACTTCTTCCTAGGTCCAAGTGATTCTCCTGCATCAGCCTCCCGAGTATCTGGGACTACAGGTGCACGCCACCATGCCAGGCTAATTTTTGTATTTTTAGTAGAAATGGGTTTTCGCCATGTTGGCCAGGCTGGTCTCGAACTCCTGACCTCAGGTGATCCACCTGCCTCAGCCTTCCAAAGTGCTAGGATTAGAGGCATGAGCCACCGTGCCTGGCCTGTTCATTTATATTTTATCCTGGTTTAGTGTATAAGGTATTAAGGTATGGATCTTGCTTTATTATTAATGATCCAGTTGCCCCACTACCACTTTCAAAAAGAATAATTTTTTAAATGTTAGTTGTTGTTAAAAAACACATAAAATATACCATCTCAATCATTTTTAAGTGTACAGTTCTGTAGTGTTGAGTATGTTCATGCTGTTGTACAAAAGATCTCCAGAACATTTTATCTTTCAAAATGGAAATGCTGTACCTATTGAATGACTTTCTATTTCTCCTTCCTCCAAGCCCCTGGCAACCACTGTTCTTTTCCATGTTTATATGACTTTGACTGCTTTAATCACCGCAAATCATACAGTATTTGTCTTTTTGTGACTGACTTATTTCATTTGGCATAATATCCTCAAGGGCTCATCCATATTGTGGCATGTGGCAGGATTTTCTTCTTTTTAAGGCTGAATAATATTCCATTGTATGTCTATACCACATTTACTTTTTTTTTTTTTTTTTTCCTGGAGGCAGGTTCTCACTCTGTTACCCAGGCTGGAATGCAGTGGCATAATCTTGGCTCACCACAGCTTCAATCTCCAGGGCTCCAGTGATCCTCCCACCTCAGCCTCCCAAGTAGCAGGGACGACAGTCGTGTGCCACCATACCCGGCTAAGTTTTGTAGTTTTAATAGAGGCATGGGTTTCGCCACGTTTCCCAGGATGGTCTCTATCTCCTGGGCTGAAGCAATCCACCCGCCTCTGCCTCCCACAGTGCTGGGATTACAGGCATGAGCCACAGTGCCCAGTCACCACCTTTTTTTTTTTTTTTTTTTTTGAGATGGAGTCTCGCTCTGTCGCCCAGGCTGGAGTGCAGTGGTGCGATCTCGGCTCACTGCAAGCTCCACCTCCCGGTTCACGCCATTCTCCTGCCTCAGCCTCCCGAGTAGCTGGGACTACAGGAGCCCACCACCACGCCCGCCTAATTTCTTTTGTATTTTTAGTAGAGACGAGGTTTCACTGTGTTAGCCAGGATGGTCTCGATCTCCTGACCTCGTGATCCGCCTGCTTCGGCCTCCCAAAGTGCTGGGATTACAGGTGCCCGCCACTACGCCCGGCTAATTTTTTTTTGTATTTTTAGTAGAGACGAGGTTTTACCATGTTAGCCAGGATGGTCTCGATCTCCTGACCTCGTGATCCGCCTGCCTCAGCCTCCCAAAGTGCTGGGATTACAGGCCACTTTTTCTTTATCTATTAGCCCAACAGTAGATGTTTGGGTTGCCCACACCTCTTTGCTATTGTGAATAATGCTGCTATGAACATGGATGAGCAAATATCTTTTTGAGATCCTGCTTTCATTTCTTTTGGCTATGTACCCAGAAGTGAGACTGATTTCGATAGTGGCTGCACCATTTTACATTTCCACCAACAGGGCGCATGAGTTCCAATTTCTCCACACCCTTGCCAACACTTGTTACTTTTTGTGTTCTTCATAGCAGCCATCTTAATGGGTGTTAGGTGATATCTCATTGGGGTTTTGATTTTCTGTTCTCTAGTAATTAATGATGTTTAGCATCTTTCCATATGCTTGTTGGCCATGTAAATTTCATCTTTGGAGGAATGTCTGTTCAAGTCCTTTGCCCATTTAAAAATCAGGTTATTTTTGTTGTTGAGTTGTAGGAGATATATATATATATCCTGAATATTAACCCCTTATAGGATATATATATATATATCTCCTGGATATTAATCCCTTATTGGATATGTGATTTGCAATTATTTTCTTCTGTAACATAGGCTGACCTTTCACTCTGTTGATTTTGTCCTTTGATACACAGAAGTTTTTAAGTTTGATATAGCCCCATTTGCCTATTTTTGCTTCTGTTGCCTGTGCTTTGCTTCACCACCACTTCATGATAATAATCTTTTACCCTGTTTTGAGATGCTATTATCATCATCTATTAAATTCCTGTGTATAGCTGAGTCTATTTCTGGACATTATATTTCCTTGGTTGATTTTTTTTTAGTTTGGGTGCTACCGCCACACCAGTTAATTATCAATGCTTTTAATTTTTAATATTTTCTTAATATCTAATATCTAATCACTTCTATTATACATTTAATATCGTTTCTCATTGCTCTTCTCAGTTTCCCAGTTTTCCTTATTGTTTTTCCATATAAACTTCAGAGTAAACAATAATAGAAACTCTTATTCCTGTTTGTATCATCAGAATTAAATTTAAATAATTAACATAGAGAAAGTTGACTTCTTCATGTTATCAAGTCTTTCTAGCTAAGAAAAAGGTAGATCTTTCTATCTGTTCAAATCTTATTTTGTGTCCTTTGGGAATGTTTTACAGATTTTTCATATGTGTCTTGGACATGTATTAAGTTTATTCATAGGTATTTTATCTTTGTTATTACTATTGTAAATGGGGTCTTTTCTCTCATTACATCTTCTAGCTGGATATAAGCAACTAATTACAGTGTATTCCTTGTGTGCCATTCTATCTTACTCATATTGTTTATAAATATTTCCCAATTCTCTTGTATTTCTAACTATATAATGTAATCTAAAAATAAAGATTAACCATCTGCTCTCCAATTTTTATACTTTTAGTTTCTCTGTTCAAATTTCATTATCTATTAGGTCTAGTATGATGTTAAATAACAGTAGTAAGAGTGGGCATTCTTGTCTTATTTTTTATTTTAATGGAAATGGCTTCAGTGATTACCTATGCCCAGTGATTCAGGGCATGATGTGGGCTTTGGGATGAGAATGATCTATTTTATTATGCTAAGAGAATATTAATTTGTTCTTAGAAGCTTTTTTGCGGGGGGTGGATCAGGTGTGAGTATTGACTTTTGTCCAAATGCTCTTTTTGGTATCTTTGGAAATGATCATATATTTTTTTCTCCATAGAGCTATTAATTTAATGGGATATAATAAATTTCTTGGCCATGAATTATTCTTGCATTCCTACAACAAGCTCCATTTCGTCATGGTAATTACTTTTTTTAATGTGCTAGTGAATGCTGTTTGCCAGTATTCATTTAGAATTTTCTGTATCGATATTGATAACTGAGATTTTGATAACAATTTTTTGTTTTATTGCATTGTGACCAAAAATATTATTTGTAATGTTTCTATCTTTTGGAATTTGTTGACTTTGTGGGCCTTGCCTATGGTTAATTTTCATATATGTTTCCTGACCACTTGAAAAAATGATGTTAGATAATATGGAGATATTTTCAGGATACAGAGTTGAATAACATGTATCTTATTATGTTATGTCTTTTCCGAACTTAAGATATGTTGACTTATTTATCATGGACTGAATTTTCATTTCTGTCTATTTCTTCTTTCCTCTTCTGTAATTCCTGCTTTACACAGTGGCTACTGTGTTGTTTGATGAATGTGTATTCATAATTGCTGTAGCCTCATTTTGAGTTTCACTATTTAGCATTACAAAGTGCCCCTTTTCTTACTATATTAATTTCTGGCCTGAATTACACTTCACCTGAGAGTAAGGTCATAACCTTGCTTTTTCAGTTCCGTTTGCCCGGTATGCCTTTCCTTATGCGTTCACACTTAGGCTTTCTGAACCACTGTGATCTATGTGTGTCTCTCTTGTACAGGGCTTCCTTCTGTTAGGCAGTTCGCCGCCTCCATCCTCACCTACCCAGTCCCTGCATCTGTGATTGCTAAACCATGGAGATAGCTTTCTACCATTGCTCTTCAGAGCAAGTCCTGCATCTTCAGGGGAATAATTTTTCCCTGGTGCTTTGTGAGATGCCAACACATAGTTTGCTTATGTGAGCATTAAAGTGATATTTCATGAACCACATGTTTGTATTTGTAACTTAGGCTTATAATTAAAGTATTATTTCAGGAATCCCTGTTATTTCTATAATAAAGTAGCTTAAACAACTACTTCCAGATTCAGGTTTAGAATAGTTATTTAGGTGGTGATACAAATAGTACCTTGGGCAGCCTGACATGTGATCTCTTTGGATCCTTCAGGTAGTACTGTGAGTTTGGCAGAGCAGGTATCCCCAATAAACAGATGGCAGAGACTGAGGTAAGGTTTCCAAAAATGTGTATTTTCTCATGGTATCTTATACAAGTAGATAGACAATTTAGCTTTCATGTATACAATAGAAAGGCCTTGATGTAGATATTTTCTAAGGCTCAAAGGACAGAGTGTCAATTCAATAATAAGTACCTTGATAGTGGGCTTAACTCTCCTATGAAAATGTTAATGCTGTTGAAGCACTGAGGGTTTACTTAGGGAGGCTGTGGAATCTGCGTCTCTGGGGAAACTTCAAAAATAAAAGGGATCCTCATTTCTTTGGAACAGCTTGAGTGTGGTCTTGCCCCAAGGCACGGGTGACTGGATAACCTCCAGTGTCCCCTTCCTCTGGAATGCTTCAAAGGACATCTCAGAGTGTCTGGGTCATTCGCTTTCTAACTTAGGCACCGGAAGTATGATCTGTCAGGAGATTGTTATCGATATTCAGATTTAAAAGCATAAAGTGGTTATGTAATAAGATGCTACCTAATGGAGGAATTTAAGAAAGGACCTGATTACAGCATAATAATGCTACTTCTCTTTTGGGCTTAGGGACAGGGAGATTGCAATCAACTTCAAATTCCCTCATGTTAAAGAAAACATACGCGTTTCCACATTTCTTTTCTTCTGGGCTGAAAGAAAAAAGGGGGAAATACATGGAAATCTTTCACATTGAGACACTTCAGGAGAATGTTTTCTTCTAACCAGAAATCCCCAGGTTGTCCTGAAACTCAACATCTGAATCATGCCGACTGGTGAGAGACATTGTTTGAGCAAGACTGGAATTCTGAACATTCTTCAAGGCTTCATAAAAATCCCAAAATGATGGACCAGTGCTTATGTTGTGGTCATGCAAAGAAAAGCACCCTCGTGATTCGGGATTGAGTTTGTTCTTTTTATATTTATAGTATCTACACTGGAGGAATGTAGAATTTGGCATAGGGAGGAGGATGGGGAAAGTGAGGAATGGAGACCAGATTTTGTCTGCATGTGAGGGGCTGTGTGTATGTGTGTTTTGACCCAGAGCCTATGGAATAGGGGAGAGGGAGTATTTGATAGTTTTGTTCATTTGTTTTTAAAGCAGAATCTTCTTCAGGTCTCTGGTGCGAGGAGTGACTGGAAGAATTTTTTACTTTCCTTGTTAGCAGCACCATCTGTTTACAATGAAAGCTTGGCTTCCACTTTTTGGCGCAAATACAAACCCTAGGGTGCCCATATAAGTCAAACAGAAGAAGCATGTGTTCGCAGACCTGAAGAATCAGGTCTTTTGTGTGCAAAGGACTTTTACGGTAGATTTACACAGCATCATATCCCTACATAAATTCAGGAGGAAGCTTCTGAGAAGCAAAGGTGGGTCATAGGCCACTGGAATTCACAGCTTGCTTATCTGCCGCCTAACAAAGTGATGGACCCCTTGGGTCACACCTGCCAAGAGAGAGGTTGGCAAATGGCAAAAGGGCCATTTAGTAAAATTCCTTTCATCACTTACGGGATTTATATACATTTGAGAGAGGGACTTACATACCAAAACAAGGAAATATGGAAATATGGTAATATGGTCTTTACAAATTCCAGATAGAAAGGCATATTTCCATAAACAGCAAAGCTTAAAGTAAGCAAATGAGAAAAATTTCTAGGATTAACTATCAAGACTGGGGTGGTGGAAGGAGTAAGGAGCTGAAAATAGGAGCAGGGCACCTTTTTTCTCACTCTGGTTTGTGTCACGTAGCGGCCCCAGCGGGAGTTCCATAGATCCTCATTTGCGGGCTAGGGATTTTTACCCTCTCTCCAGAAATAAACTCTAGATAAGGATTTGTAAGACAATGGCAACAGTGAATAAACTGTACATCTGGAAAAGTTTTAGTAGTGATGAGAGAAGTTTTGCGTAATATAATTTGCATGCCATAGATCAATCAAGTATTGATTCATTGTTTATTGAGCCTTCCCTCTGCTAGGTTGTCTGGTGGAAGCCTAGGCTGAACTTTCAGAGGTTTATCAATGGCTAGGGAAGAGAAAAATAACACAAAGCAAACTTATAGTCATTTGAAACAATTGGAAAATAATTAAATATGCATCTGCTAGTCTGGAATTGCAGTTTTCAAGTTGTGTGCATCAGATCAAATGGGTCTTGTCAACGTGTGGATTGCCAGGCCCCACCACTTGGATTCAGAGGGCCAGCACAGGCTCTCTGTATTTTAAACAAGTGTTCTCAGCTATTTGATGAAAATGAACTTCAAAGCCTACTTTGAGAATCACTAGCTTAGAATATTATATTACTTTATTTTAAAAGAAGTGGGGGAAAGTAACATTTGTTGCTTTTACTACTCATACTTTTTGCATATACTGTGTGGCTTAATTTTGAGGTATAGACCCATGGTTTAGCCAGAAATTTGGTGAGGGTCTGCATCTGAAGTCTAGGATCTTCCATTAACAAGCATGCTGCTGTCTTTTCCCAAAAGGACAGAAAGTCAGGGTGTGTGAGGCTGGCCGCACAGACTAGGGTGCCATGTGTTTTGTCCCCTGGCTTGTTCCTTAAGCCAGCCTCTACATAGTGCACAAAGTTATCTATCAAATGCAAATCTGACTGTGGCATAATATTATACTTTATTACCCTGTGATGTATTTTTTTCACTGAGCACTATAATTTGGACATCTTTTTGGTTGAGTTCCCTGGTTTTTTGCCCAATGAAGGGTAATTTTTTTTGTTTTTTTAGACAGCATCTCACTCTGTCGCCCAGGTTGCAGTGCGGTGGTGCGATCTCAGCTCACTGCAACCTCTGCCTCCCGAGTTCAAGCGATTCTCCTGCCTCAGCCTCCTGAGTAGCTGCGATTACAGGAGCGTGCCACCACGCCTGGGTAATTTTTGTATTTTTAGTAGAGACAGGGTTTCACCATGTTGGTCAGGCTGGTCTCGAACTCCTGACCTCGTGATCCACCTGCCTTGGCCTCCCAAAGTGCTGGGATTACAGGCGTGAGCCACTGGGCCCAGCCAGATAATTTTTTATTGAAATACCATTAAAGCAAACACAAAATTAAGTATCATTAATCAAGCCCATTAATGACATTTTTAGCATGGGGCTGGGGTGGTTTGTGGCTTGGAGTCAGCTGATTTTGCTCTGTTCCATGTCAGCAGGTTGTGCGTTTGCCCACTAGTCTTAAACATTTACATTGTGAGTCAGGAAAATGTGTGGACCAATTTGCACAAACTCATCACTACTATTGGAAGAGCTTAAAGTGCAGACTTTACTGACCATTGGCCAGGAGAACTATGCTTTTCACTGGGGACAACCATTCTAGTGACAGTTAAATCTGATGTTTTAGGAAACCTTCAGGAGACTAGGTTTGGGGTGGATCCAGACTCATGAATTTAGTCCTTTTAAGGAATTCACTAGCAATAAGAAGATACAGAAGTGTCAGTCCAAGCCTCGAACATTGTGTATGTAAGATAACCCTGGAGCTCGTCATAAGTACAGACTCCCCCATCACTGTCTTCCTCCAGCTGTTAAGGATCCATAGATCTGAGTTGGTTCTACTGAAAGATTTCCCACCACAGTATAAGAAACAGTTGATCTCCAAACTTCTCTAACTACAGTTATCAGCCCAACCTGAATCACACAACTCTTTCCAGACCAGGCACCTGAAGAGCCTCCTAACTGGCTATCCCTACAACAGCAGTGACATCATCTTCATGTGCAGGTTGGATTAGCTCAGTTCCCTGTTTAAAACAGCTAAGTGGCTGCCTATTTCAGTTAGATTAAAAGCAAAAGTCATTTAAATGCCAACCAAATGACCTGGCTGCTGCTTCCTTCTCCAGCTCCTGCCAGCTCCCTTCCACATTCCAGCCCACTGGGTTTCATTCAGCTCCTAATCCATATCAGCCCCTTCACACTTACATGGCCTTTGCACCAGTTCCTATCCATCCTCCAAGTTGCCAAGTTATCTCGCTTCAGAAACTCTTCCTTCAGCCTTAGACTCTGCTTTCCTACGGCTTATCAAAGATATGTGTGTCTTTGTACAAAGTGGATCTCCTGCTGAAAGGTGACCTCCGTGAGCATGTTCCTATTCACAGCTCAGTGCCTGATACAGACCTGGCCCAGTGTGGACACTCAGAAAAGATGGAGCCAGCAGGCCTCGTCATGGCTCGGCATCCACATCCTTTAAAACTGCACATTACATGTTAAACATCTAGATCTGATGGATGTTGAGTGTGATAGAAATTATCACTGCCTTCTAGAAGCCTGAAAGTGTTACAGAGAGGATCCATGTGGAAGAAAAAATGTACTGTACTGGGATTTATAAGGACCTAATCGGTGACGCCAGTGAGGAGCTGAGCGGGAGGGAAGCTTGTGAATAAGTAAATACATATTTGATAGCAGTCAGTATTTTCCTTGGAGGGAAGGACTCATTCTTGTGGCTGGGCAGCAGTGACAGGTGGCATTTTTGATGCCTGATGTCATCTAAGAGCTTCAGACTATGATGGACTAAGTACAGCCTCCATGCTATGCACAGCCAACCTACTTGAAAGTGATTTCTGCATTTCCTCCTAATACTTGATTATAACTGGCCTTTCAAAGCACTTGCCTTTTGTACAATGAAAGGGGTTAAATAGAGACTAAGATGGGTGTGTAACAAAATTTTTTTAGATGCTTCGATATATTATTCTGGTGGCTTACCTGTACGAGTATGGCCCTTACAACCCTAGAAAGTCAGCAACTGGAGATGATCGTGCCCAAAGCTTCTCTACCCAGATCCTCCCTGAAGTTGAGATTAATTGGCACAGAGAAGATTTACATGAGAGAGTTTCTGCTATCCCCAGGAATGTAGCATGGAGTCTGAATATGTAATAAAACCATAGAAAGTTATAGTTCTTTATAAATTCCAAATTATATGATTATTACATATAACTACATTGTTATTTCATTCACTTATCTCAGTTATCATCTGAGGCAGATGAGTTCCTTTCTACAGAAAAGGAAACTGAGGCTTAGAGTATAAGCGACTTGGTTGAGATCATCCAGCCAATAAACTAATCAGAGGTGGTAGGACTGGAAGCTACCTCTCACTTCGTAGTGGCCTCTTATTCCACTTCCCTGTTCTCATTGGTGTTACTTTATTTTCTTTCCTAAGAAAAATATAGAACTTTACTGATGATTTCTTTGCAAAGCAAGAGCAGGGACTTCAAAATCCTATTTAAACATCTCTCTTTCTCTCTCCAAAACTCAACTGCTTACAGTATTTATTTCTCAAGGTGGAAGAAAATCAGGTTCTGGGGTAGCTGGTGGAGGGAGCTTCATAACTACACTTCCTGATGTTTCATTTTCTTTCCTCTTACAGTTTTCAAAAATAACCATCATAATATTTGCCATTTATTGAGAAAATTTGTTATTGAGATGCCAGACTTTACGTATAGCATTTAAGCCTCATAGTAAGTCTTGTATGGTTGGTTTTCTAAGTCTCCTCGTTTTATAATGTTGGACACTGAAGTTCGAAGGAGTTGGGCAATTTACTGAAATGCACACGAAAAAGTGAGGGCCCAGTATTCAGACCCAGGGAGTCTGACTCTGCCTATAGTCTTTGCTCTTCATCCCCTCATTATACTCTCTTTAATTCTAATGATTGCATAAGGTTGCAGATAATCTTCCTACTGCTTGACTGGCCGGCCCCTAGTCTTGTTCTGGTGACCCAGGAGCTGCAAAGGCTGTGAATCTGCAAGCATGGAAACCCATCTCCATATCTCATCCCCCACAATGGACTGCTTGCTTATAAGAAATCAGCTTATCAGTACCAGGCAGGTTCTAGGATTATGGAAGAAAAAGCAGACATTTTTTTTCTTGGAGTCTATATCATTTAGTTTAGGCTTAGCTGCACATACCGTCTACCCTACTCCATTCCACAACTGAAAACAAAACACCAAAATGAGAGACTTACGAATTAAACCAGGCAGACATTTATTTCTCTATCGTATAGAAGAAATGGAGAGTTGGGCTATTTGGGCCTGTTATGGCAGGCTCATTGTTGTCAAATTCTTTCCCTTTTGCTTTTTAGTATGTTGCCTCCTTTCTAAAATGGATGCTTGAGTGCCAGCCATGATGCCCCGATTCCAGCCAGCAAGAAAGAAGAAGCAGGAAGCAAGTGCGTGTGTCAATTAACTGTCTTTTAAGCTGCTCACAGCACTTATGCTTGCATCTCCATGGTGGCCTGGAACCATAAAACGGACATACCTAGCAGTAAGAGAGTTGTGCCTGGCCAAGACTTAGGGGCTCTATTACTTGAGGCATGAGGGCAAAGCTGGTCTTGGGGTAAACAACAGCAATCCTGCCAGTCTCCATTCTAGAATCTCTTATGACATCACAGTAGTCATTCCCCAAACTTTAGGGTCTTAGGAATTGCCTGGGAAGCTTGTTAAAAATTCAGATTCCTGGAGCCACTGTTAGAGATGCTGATTTAGCAGACTTGGGATGGGGCTTGGGAATCCTTATTTTTCTCAAGCACCCTACCTGCTCATTTCATTGATTTTGAAGCAAATGCTTAGGGATTTGCCTCCCACTTGAGAAATACCATATGGGATTCCAATCAGAAACCAGGAGTAGAGAGGCCGAGGTATGAGAAAACCTGGTGAACTCAGGTAAGAAAATAAATTCCATCTGTTTCTCCCCTAGTGAAATTATATACATGATCTGGCCTGCTTCTGTAGTATCCACAGTGGAGTTCCCTGACTGAAAGAAGTGCAACTAAATTCTCCTTTGTCACTAAAGAGGATGAAGTCAACAAATAGTCTTTTAATTTGATGAACTACTCTACTCTGAATTACTTTTTTATATTTTTAGAATATAGGATCCCTCCTTTAATATTTTTCTGATGTAGATCTACTTATCCTTAAGACCCAAAATGAGAAAAGGTTTAAGCATCTCCAAAGATGCATGCAGCCATTCAAATTCCTTCTCTGTGCGATTCAAAATAAAACAAGTTAGAGTTAAAGAGAAGATAGCGTGGGGAGTACTCAAAATGAAGGCAGGATAGCTCTGATGACAGATTTTTTTTTGGTCACAAAATTAAAGTTGACTCCTTGAATACAACCCAGTTTAAACTCAAGGCCAAAAGGAGTATGTAAAACATAGGCAAAAAATACTGTCACAATCATCAAAACCCAAGGATGGCTTAAAAAAGGAAAAAGAAAAAAATGGGAACACTACCATTCCTTCCTTAACAATCATGTCATAAATAAGCTTTCCCAGCTAGCAACAAACTCCTTTCATCTACAACTTGAAGGCAAAGACCTCATAAATTGACTGGGGTATTCTTCCCCTGTGTGACTACAAGGCAGGGATTATTTAAAACTGAAGGCTCCTACTGATAGGTTTTTCAGAAGGAGTCACTGGTGGGATTCGGAATGGTTACCCTTCATTGCTTTGGTGAGTGATACCTCAAAGATAATGCAGGAGAAATTACAAGCACCCCCCTTGGCTGGGGAGGCAGCAACATCGCCTTTCAGATGTCACATCAGACCCCTCTGAGATGGGTGCTGAGGATCCCTTGGTGGAACTGGCAAGGTGTGGGGACACATGCTTTTGATTATCTAAAGAGAATGAGTATGAAAACAAAACCTAATCCAAGAAGGAATGTAAATCCTGTCTCTTTGTGCCCCGTTGAAATGTAATGTCAGTACTTAAGAATTCCTTTTGCCACTAAATGGACTCGGGCCAGATACTGACACCCAGAGCCCAAGTTCTGTTATTTTCCTTGTGAAATTGTAAGGAGAAATGTCTTCATGATTACCAAAGTATGTGTGGATAGATGGTAATGAAGATAAATTGTTTTTCCCTTGCCTGATACCCGAGCCCTTTGTGGTATATGCCACAATGTAGCTGTTACAAAAATCATATTTATTTATATGCTGTTTGGGACAGAAAGTGTGTGAAACTGAAGCATGAATGTGATTTCTATTCTTAGTACCTTTTGTATGAATTTTTTAATGTAATGCTTTATAAAGTTTTTTTTTTTTTTAACTTACCATCTTTCCCAGGAACGAGGGCAAAAGTACTCAAAAAATGCATTGCAAGAAATATGAGCTAAACCCTGTATACAGCAGTTTATTCCCTTAGCCTATTTCTTTAATCATGTAACCCTAATCAATGAACCTCCTAATATCCATGCACTGGGGCTTATTGGCTCTAGCTATCCCTTGTATTCGAGGAATCTTCTGCCATTGTGTTTTAAATACCCACAGCCTATTGGCAATCTTGCTGCTGTTGCTTTTTATTCATGGTCTTAGTCTTGGGATATTCAAATAACTTACTGAAATGTTACCATCCCACACTGATGTGGTTTACCGTGCAGGACTGGGGAGGAACGCATGCTTTTGGAAAGAAGAGAAGTCTTTGTTATTAGGATTGATTTCATTTCATTGTACTTTTGGCTGCCTTTTCAGCATTAGGTTCTTTTCCTGTGATTTTTTTTTAAATAGTTAATAGAGAAAAATATACCCAAGTTAGTGGATGGTCTAGGGACCTAACTACATCTGGAAGTTTACATGAGCACTGAGAGTCCACTATGCAAAAGCAAAGGCAAAATGATACCATCTAATAAACACTTGTAAAAGTATGCATGATACTTACAAAGTATTTTTTTTTAATCAGAGTCCCATTTGTTTATTGCTGCTTTATGGTTTTTCAAATTGGAGAAAGCTATTTCAAACATGTATGATACACATAAGAGCAATTTCCAGATACAAAGAAATCTTTGGCAAAAAAACATTGACTAGGCCAGCCAGTGTGGCTGCTCTCTCCCTCTCTTGAGCTGGGAGCTGTTGTTTTGGGCACAAGGGTCTCCCTAGCGCAGCATGGTCACTGACATAGGCCTTCCTTTAATTTATTACTATTATTATTTTAAAAATATGAGTGACAGAGTCCACAGTGTCTTTTTAAAAAATAATACAATCCAGGACTTTTTAGAAAAAATGATTAAGACCAGTAGAGTGCTCAATATGATAGAGAAAAAAGACAGGAGGCAGGAATCCAGCCAAGAGGAAAATACACTTTTCATTTTCTTCCTGAGACTGGAGATTCTCTGCTAAAGTGAAGGCGCCATCCACAGAGTTACATCTGATGGACATTACTTATGACATGACTTAAGCAGAGAAAGAACAGTCGAAACCGAATTCTCCAGCCTTTAAATGAATTCCCAGCTACAAACCAGAAGAATAACACTATTAGGTCTGGAGGGCAGCAGGATGTGGAGCTCTACGACTCAGATTTCTTTTCACGATGTTGGCATGACTTTGTAGGATCTATGTATTATTTATGTGGCACCACTACCATGTTTTTAAATACTCTTTGGATATACACCCGTGAATTAGTTTAATCGAATTCTCCCATTTTTATCCATAACGAGTTCTAGTCTTTGTAGCCAGCATGACTTGGGGCACACTCTGTCTCCTGGAAGTCTTGGGGTAATCCCAGAGGTTCATTATTTCTAATTACTTCATATCTAAATGTGTAGTCCTGAGCTCATTGCACAAACCAGCCAAAGGAGGTAGGATTCTTCTCCCCACTACTTTCCTCTCAATATAAATATGTATGTTTCACAACCAAGCCCTTATAGCCAAAACCAAAATCTGCATCCATTTCTGGCATTGTTATCTGGAATACAGGATGCAACACAATTAATTGCAGAGAGTGCTGACACATATCCAAAAGATGAGGAGAAGATGATGTGGACAGGTAAAGATTGAGGCTGAGGATGGTCTGTAGGTGAGGGGAATTCTGAAAAGAATTACGGTGCATGCTCTTTGATGCGGTATGGCTGTCAGAAATACATACACCTCAGTCAAGATGTTTATCTTTGTTGTATTTTGGTGTCTCTATTCATCTTGAGCATGAAACTAGGGTGAACAATTCATTTGGGTTTGTCCTGGACTTTCTTGGTTTCAGCACTGAATGTCCTGCATCCCAGTAAACCCCTCAGTCCGAGGCAAATCAGGATGGTTGGTCACTCTACAAGGCACCTAGACACAGGCATTTGAGATATCTAAATGTGTGTGATGCATTGCAAAGGGTGACATTAGAAACTCAGTTTTTCTGTCATGCCACCTCCCAGAATATTTTCATTTTTCTCCACTAGTTACTGAAGGAAGTTGATGGGGGAAAAGGTATTCAGGAAGCAGAAACTTCAGCCCCATGCTGGCAAGATGGATTCTTGATGATGAAAGCCTGGTAGTTCCGAATCCAGTGAGGGCATAGTCCAGAAAGCTCTTTGAATTCCAGGGTTTCAGAGACATGGGTTCTCTAATATAAGCATGCATTTTCCTCCACACTCCCTTCTAAGGAGCATTCTGCACTGCCCTTTTTGCCTCCAGGACCCTGGGAGAAGATTTTCAGGAAGTTTAGCTCTAAGCACAGCATGAGTCCCTCGACTCTATCCCTAAGGAGTTTCTAGTAAAACAGGAAAAAAATTTATAGATATTTTTGGTGACACATCTCTGTTTCTCTTGGATGAGTCACTGTGTTGAGACAGACTTTGAGGCAGTTGCAAGGCAGTCTGGTTTAATTCACCTTACGTTTGGGGGCAAATGTCCCAGATTTTCGACCTAAAGAACAATGCACAGCTGTACCTTAGATAAAATTATTACCCCAGAATGCAGCCAAGGAAAACTTT
Source organism: Homo sapiens (assembly GCF_000001405.40). Lineage (NCBI taxonomy): Eukaryota > Metazoa > Chordata > Mammalia > Primates > Hominidae > Homo > Homo sapiens. Next base: position 168,612,512 of record NC_000004.12, on the reverse strand, counting down.
CACCATTGTTCAGCTGCTGGACAGATTGGAGCAAGGGAGTTGGGGCTCAACTTGACACAAGCATTCATGGTTCTTGTAGTGATCATCCACGAATCAGAAAACTGTGGAGACGTCTCTGGGATCAGAATTATCACTATGGGAGAAATCCTGGGTTGGGGGTGGAACCACATGGGGATGTGATATATCAGTTCCCTATTTCAAGGGGGTTGAAGAGATGATTTTGGAAATTATAAGATGAGCATTTTTTTTTTTTTTTTTGTAAACCTAGATTTCAAGGACACTGAATTTCTTAAAAGTAGGCATTTTAGGAAACTTAGAAGAGGTCTGTGGTGGACATTTTTATTTTTATTTTTGAGACAGGGTCTCACTTCGTCACCCAGGCTGGAGTGCAGTGGCACGATCCTGGCTCACTGCAGCCTCAACCTCTCGGGCTCAAGTGGTCCTCCCACTTCAGCTTCCCAAGTAGCTGGGACTATAGGCATGTACCACCACACCTGGCTAATATTTGTACTTTTTGTTGAGATGGGGTTTTGCCATGTTGCCCAGGCTGGTCTTGAACTCCTGAGCTCAAGCAATCCACCCACCTCAGCCTCCCAAAATGTTGGGATTACAGGCATGAGCCATGGCGCCTGGCCTGTTGGACATCTTTACACTGATGAATCTGACTCATTAATGGAACTGCATCCTCTGAGCTCTTTCAGTAGGACAGAGAATCAAGCAGGCTTTAAGACTGCTGGTGAGAAACATGTACTACCAGAAAGAAGAAAAATCCGTGAGCAGTATCAGCCCAGATTCCAGGTAGTTGAGCATTAAAATGGTACCAGAAAGGCAAAACTTCAAAACAGACAAATGCCAGAAGTGAAATGTAGCCTGCAGAATTTTTCATTACTATTTGGTCATAGAATAAGTCTTCAAGGACCTCAGTTTTGCTTATAGATTAATCTGATAGTCTTCAGATACATATGTCAAATTGAAGAGTTGATACGATCTGTAGGTTTAGGTGTTTTTGTTTTGCTGTTTCCTTGTATGTTAACAAGAAGAAGAGAGGAAGGTGCTACCTTTGTGTTTGTGCTTTAGGAGCTCTGGCAGCTGGCCCCCGGCAGGATGTGATGGAACATAGCTCACAGGATCAGAGACAATCGATTCAGTTCAGCAGAGAGTGATTTATAGCAAGGAGTTTTTAAACAAGCTTAGACTTCACCGCAAACTGGTGGGATGGTCTGAATTTTCATTGTTGGTGGAGCTCATTAGAGGGAAGAAAGAGGAAGGAGCAGTTGTGGCAGCTGTCAGGAAACCTGAGCAAATGGCAGAGTATGGCGCAGGCTCTTGGAGTAGACCCCAGAACCAGAAAACAACTCCGTTTGCTGATATTAGGTCCAAACCAGGAAGGGCCTGGTCCCCAGTGACCAAGGGTCCAGTCAGAGCCTCCTGGTATGTAATCATGGACAGCTTCCAGGATCTGCTTCCAGGATTCATCACACTGGTCAACTGTTCCAGCCAGGAGTAGACTCTAGATATTAGTAGGTGGGAGACAGATTTGATAATATACCTGTGACTGCACAAGATTTGGGAAGATGGAGCCACATGCAGCTTTTATTAGTTGTGGCAAAGAGGTCACCCTGTACCCATGGAGAAAAGAACTCCCTATCTCTACAGATAGGGAATCTGACAGAATAGAAATGACCAGGCTGCTGGCTGCCACTCCTGAAGTCAATTCTGAAGATGCATGGAGGTGAGAGGGAGGATGTTGAAGCCAGAGTTACTGGAAAAACTAAGAGGAACACTTGGAGAGCCAGAAGGTGGTTGGATCATGATGTTTGTGTAAAAGTGCTGGCCCCGAATGGAAGTTGGCCTCTAGAGGAGGGTCTGGGTTGGGAGCACGAGTTTATTTCTACCCCTTTGGTCTTGTGCATTGCCAGATTGCCACTGAATGGCTGCTAAAGAGCACGTGGTGAGGCAGAAACTTCTGCTCCATGAGAGACTGATAAGGAAATGCTCAAGCTGTCTGGCCAGCTGCATGCATTGCCTTCCCCAGCACCCCTCCACACACAACCTTCGACGAAGTCCCTAGGGACAGGGTCACCCATTTGGGGAATGGGGCAATGCCCTACATGAAGTGATTAAGCCCAGAGAGTAGCACCTGAGCATCTCAGCCTTGAAATGGCCCTCTAGGAAGGGGACCGATGGAGGCCCTGGCTTCTAGCCCTCACTCCAGAGATACTTAATCAATCAAGGAGATGAATGCCCTCAGGAGAACAGGAGCTCTGAGGGAAAAACACTGAGACTGCCAAGGAGAATAAAGAGAAAGACTCCTGGTGGAAAGCTATCCGAGATGCAACATAGTTGATGGGCCAGGAAGATTAAAATAAGCATATCAAATATTATAAAAGAGTTGAGGGAAGATAGACATGAAACAGCAATAAGAAGTTATGAAGAACCAATTGGAGATACTAAGTAGAAAAATATATGCATTGGAACAAATATCATAAATGGATCGAATGACAGATTGAACATAGACAAAAAATGAATTAGCAAGTAGGAAGATTGGGATGCAGAGCTAGCTCTAAAGGATTCTGGAGGGGATATAAGGAGAGGGTATTTGTAAAAGGAAACTAAGCATTGTGGAGGACAATATCTGCATTGATATAGAAGGAATCCCAAAAGAAAAGAAGAGAATACTTGGGATGACATTTTTGAAGGAACAGTAACAGAGAACTTCCCAGAATTAAGGAAGCACATAGAAACCTCAGATTCAGAAGGTTCTGAGCTGTATGAGATGCGTCTTGGGTCCCACATCGTATCCACACAGGAGCCCACCTTTTACTCCAGCCATCGCAACTCCCTGCAAGGACATCTTGACAGCCCACATCCACTAAGCTGCCCTCAGCACCTCTTGTGCTCTGCCCCTAGGCCACTCTGATACCCCCGCATGAAGGCATCCAGAACCCTACTCAGCAAACAAGCATGCACAGCTGGAAGTGCTGGTGACATCCCACAGGGCAGCCCTTGCCCAATGTGGGGTCAGGGACTGAGGGATCAATGCACCTTTCTTTCATCTGTTGGTTGGACATTTCTGAAGGACAATGTACAGATGTCCTGGAGGGATCACAACAGGAACAGGCCTAGTCATCCACCTGGAGAACTTTTTTTTTTTTTTTTTTTTTTTTGGTAACAGCTTTCACTCCTGCTTTCTTATCTCCTCGTCCTCCATTCCTGTCTCCTGGGATCAGTGCTTGACAAGTGGAACTGCTAAACCAACATCAGCAACTCTCTAAGGCCAGACTTCTTGTTATAGTAAAAAATAGACCCCTATTAATGTAAGCCACTGCAAATTGGGCTGCCAATTATTCACAGGTAAACATAATTCTGGCTAATATGTATCTTGACCCGAGCCACAGCGTCTGAATAAAGGAAGTTTGAGTCCTGCTGCTGAAATTCAGGACAACTCCAGATCACCCAATTTTATGGAGAGGTAATGCTCTTAAGGCCTTGGAGATAATTCTACTCAGCTCAGCAGGATACAGGAAGGAAGCGGGGTGTGTGTGTGTTGAAACATGAACTGGAAGAAACTCTGGGTGCCTCAGGGGGATGTCCCCTTCTTTGTGGAAAACTGCAATGATTCCAGTGAGACAAAACTTGGTAAGGCAAAAAAAAAAAAAAAATAGTTATAGCTTTCCGCCTTCCTCATCTTCTATTATCCTATGCCTGTTTCACTGATCTGAGTGGTAGTAGAAAAAAAATGACAGATACTAAAAAATGCCAGAGTGATTCATAGAAGTTAGGGTATAGAAAAATCCAAACAAATGAAAAACCAAAATAGCAGCAGCAACAACAACAGCAGCAGCAATAACAACAAACAGCCCTGGATATCAGAGATGGATTAAGAGAAAAGACAGTTTGTGGGGAGGAAGAAGAGAAATATCTAATGAGGCTTTCTAAAGAGGTCTTGATACATGTTACATGATGTAGTAATTCCTCTTCTAGCCGCTTCAAGAAACTTCAATGAACGCTTACATTATGTATTGCAAGAATTTTGGATATGGATTCATGTTTCTTTGGGAAGTGATGTCATACTGATGTAGGTCATGAAGTCTCAGTCTCATGAAGACCAACACTATAATATGTCCTGAAAATTTTATCATTTAAAAGGAGACTAAAACCGTCTTGAGATGCAAATGGGGGGCTCATTGGATGAGCTCATTGGCAGGGCTTGCTATGAGCAGGCTTCAGATTCATGCCTCTGAGAAACGGCAGACCACTTTAGTTATAAAGCATGGAGTTACTCACAGGAATGGGCTCCTATTTATCTGCTCAAGCATCTCTCTTTCTGCACCACATATTTATAGGTTGCCAGCGCTGCTCCCAATGCGACCCTGCTCTACAGCCACAGCGATTGTTTAACTAAACAGGTGGACCAACCAAGGTCTCTTCTTTGGAATTGTAAAAACGGGACCTACTGAACAAGAGCCAGCTCTTTAAGTGGTGGGACCTATAAAATGCAAACTTGTGAGCAGCTGGTAGCCATATTTCCAGCCCCTTGGACTGCAGGAACAGAGTAAGATTGGCAGCAAAGACAGGGAGGCAGAGGGCAGAATCCCAACAGTGTAGAGTGCCTTGTTACCATTTGTTTCTGAGGCCTGGTTTCTGAACCCTGTCTTTCATTTCTCTTACCCTAATAATACTCTTTTATTTTTGCTTATGCTAGCTCAGGTGGATTTTCTTTTCCTTGCAGCCAATTTTTTTTTTTCCAGAAAACACTCACAAATAATTAGCATTATAGAGGAACAGAATAACAGCATGACAGCCTCAACTACTTGGCTATCAAATTACCTTAGTTCTGTGGTCTCCAACAAATTACTTCAACTTTCTCTTTCCTCAATTGTTAAATGGAGATCAAGTTTGTTGAAATAATCAAAAGTGCCAATAACACAGGTAAAGCACTCAGAACAGTGTCTGGCTCTCAATAAATATTATCTGTTATAAGTATTATGGATATATAACTATCAAAGCCTGGAATACAAGGGTCCGCTGTAGTTGATTATTCAATTCTTACAGAAAAAAAGCTCACACCGAGTGCCAAAATTACATGAGTCGACAAAATTACATGAGTCAGAACAGTAATCAATCAGTTACACCTCCGGTCACTGTGTGTTTTGTACTTCCCAGTTCCCTCTGTCATTGTTTGTTTTTTAATAAACTACATTAAGTGTGGTGGGAATGAAAGGGGAGACAGGCAGATGCTCCAAAGAATATGAGGGAGGGAATCTGCTTTCATTATCATTCTAAATTTATTTCCGCAGATATGACTTATCATCTGCACTGTCTCTTCTTCCTTTCACTCCCTCCTTTGTACCATTCATATCATACCTTTTCTCAACTTCCTTGCAAGCACCTATATATAATGTTCCCCTGTCAACTCCCATCCCCATCTCCCAGCCCCCGTGCCTTTTGTATCTTAGGTTCTTAGCATAGGTTAGTGAAACACATACAAAATATGATTTTACCTTTCTCCCTCATCTTAAAGAAAAATGGCCGGCCTATCTTGCATCTTGTTTACATCTTAAATTTTGGAACTCAATGTTATGAGCAAGAGAAAATCTCAGCTTGTGCCTCAAGATGGCTCCTCTGATCTCAGGAAGGCCTAGGGGCCATGTGGGTTTTGCTGGCCCTCAGTGTATTCATGGGTGTTCCCACCCCAGGCTCTGAAGATGATGGCAGTAGGGATTCAAAGGGGACACTAGACTGCTGGGGTGTTCAGCCACCAAGCTCTTGTCTTTTTCGAGAACATGTAGTTTATATGAGGAAACTGACTCTGAGAAAGCTTGATCTTTTTTTTTTTTTTTTTTTTTGAGACGGAGTCTCGCTCTGTCCCCCAGGCTGGAGTGCAGTGGGCTCACTGCAAGCTCCGCCTCCCAGGTTCAAGCCATTCTCCTGCCTCAGCCTCCCGAGTAGCTGGGATTACAGGTGACCGTTACCATGCCCAGCTAATTTTTTGTATTTTTAGTAGAGACGGGGTTTCACCGTGTTAGCCAGGATGGTCTCGATCTCCTGACCTCGTGATCCACCCTCCTCGGCCTCCCAAAGTGCTGGGATTACAGGCCTGAGCCACCACGCCTGGCCAGGAAGCTTAATCTTAAGTGAAGGGCACTGCTTCAACTCCAGCTGACGCGGGGCAAGTAGGGCATAGCTGAGCTGTTGTCCTGGGTGGCGAGGGTCTGAAAGCAGCAGCCACCACTGGCACTAAAATAAATTACAGGCACAAAGAGGAAAGTAACAACAACAACAACAATAAAGTGTCCAAAAATCACACGTAAGGATGCTCAACTTCCCTGATAATCAAAGAGACACAAACTAAAACAACCATAAGTTTCTGTTTTTGCCTCCCATACTAGTAAAGATTAAAACAACTTCTAATTCACTTTACAGGCAAGGACACAGAGAAAGAGGACTACTTATAGGAATATAAGTTAATACAAGCCTTACAGAAGGTACTTTAGCAATGATTGTAGAAATTTAAAATATAGATGCCCTTTAATGAAAAAAAGAGATTTCTAGAAATTTGCCCTAAAAAAAAATTGGGCAAACTCTTAAAAAAAAGGATAAAAATCTATATTGACATTGGCGTAGCCCAAGTCTGCAAACCAAAATACAAGCAGTGAATTCTTCTGGTGGCAAGAATTCCTTCAATATATAATATCTTTTACACTACTTACAAATTTTTGTGAGAAGAAAACCATTTTATGTCTATTTATTTTTGGGGACTACTGGTAGAGGTGATAGCATGGGTGGTAGCAGCTACAGAGACTGGGTAGAACAAACATGCTAGCCGCTGGTCCGCAGATGCACCAAGCCCAGTGTGTCCAGACAGCTCTGCAGAGCCCACGTTCAGTCCAGGCTCCCCTGCCCAGTCTGTGAGTCATTCCCTGGATCCTGCTGACCAACATTGATCACAGTCCTCACATTTCCTTGCTTCAACATGGGCCTGTCTTCTAATGTCTTATGTGCTGGTCCCAAACAGCCAGCTGTATGGCAGTCATTGGTGGGGGCATTTTTTTCATGCTTAATTCTTTGAGATTTTTGGATCACTCATTGGAGACTAGATACTCAGTAGCTGGACATGAACATAACAGCAGTTTTTGGAGGCTTTTGACTTTATTTAGAATCACCTAGAAAACTTTTCACAAATACAGAAGTTCTATCCCTAGAGATTCTATCTAGTTGGTCCAGGGTGGGGTCTAGGCATCGGTATTTTTTTTTTTAATCCCCCAAATGAATTTAATGGGCAGCCAGGCTTGAGAACCACTGCTCCAGGGGCTGAAAACATAGGATCCAAGTCAGAGCACCAGGAGATTGATTAATTGGTTAGAATGACTTGAAGTGACCACCAGAAACATCACATTTGGAGCTCAGTTAATTACCCCCTTGATCACACTCTGCACCAGAGGGGCAGTTTATATTTGATATTCCAAAGAAGGTATCAGAGTACAAAGACTTCGACAAACACAAAACAAAAAAGCAAACTTGCTTTGTGGCGTTTTTCCTTTCTCCAGTTAACCAAAGTGGTAGCTGGAAGATCAAATATCCTTTGACCAATGTAATAGTATATCTTAACTCGCAGAAACAATAGAGCTTTACAGAAAACTCTATCAGTTGAGAACTTTGTTTCTTACCCTCTATTTAACACACTGAATAGGACTGAGTCTGCCAGGCATTCTCTCAGAAGCTCATTAGGTCTGTGTCGGAATTTTGGATGAGTCACCACCAGTGGCATTGTTAGGTAGCGAGCATTTCCCCAGTGGGATCCTTTCCAGTCACTGACAGCAGGAATTCTCAGAGACATGCACTTTATGTAACTTTCTTGCTATTAAATCCCATGCACTATTAATATTCATATTGCAACATAACAAACTTAAGCTTTATAGACATATGCTCTTTGTGTCTTCCAAATTCTCTGTATGCCTTAATCAAGCGTTGTTAGTCTGGTAATGTAACTATGCTCTATTTGTTATGTCTAGAGATGTTCAAATTCAGGCACTGTTATATCATTTTTGCAGATTGTTTGGCCGATTGTTAAACTGGCCATGTTACGTGTTCCATGTATGAGATTTTATGAGATTTTTCTGGGTGTTGTGTGTTTCATAGATAAATTGAGACATTTCCTTTGGTTAGGTACATTTCTTTCTTAAAGCAGAACTGAGAAACATAAAGATAATGGATATCTGGTTTACTCTTGGCCCCTATAGCTGTCCTTGATCCAGAGGAAAATTTGGCTTGTAATGAATTTCAAGTGTCTTTTTGTCCTTCTTGGTTTGTATAACACTACTGATGTTACTGTCTAACCTCTCAGCTTCTACAGAATTTGTCAGGCCTGTTTATTTTCTTTCCCTTCTTGTTTCTCACTGCAGCTCTCATGAATTACTTTCCTAAGGGAGAGTTTTCAGAGTTATTTTCAATTACTACACGAGAAGAAGCCTAATAATGTAGAATAGTTTTTTCCAGATTATGTTTCACGATTAATACCATGAGATATTTCTGGATATAAAAGGGATTTATACTCAAGTATGTTTGGGAAATGCTGCAGACTATCTTTCTACTTGGAGATTGATGAAGCACATTTGTGTATATCCATTCACTGAGATGTCTGCAATTTTTTAAAAAGAACTGTTTAATTTTTGTTTCATCCAAAATTTTCCAAACCACTTTTACTATGGAACCTTTTTGCATCCTGTGAACCTTTTGGGAAATATGGAAAGAATACACGAGTTCAAATTTTACCAGCTGTGTAACATTGGGCACAACGCTTAATTTTTTTGAACCTTACTTGCCTCATTTTTAACGAAGAGAATGACACCTATCCCTACCACCTTGCAAAAATGCATTGTAGCCTGAGGGCTACTATGAAAATAACAAGAAACATCCCCAACAAAACATAATGAACACATTTAAGCAGCTGTGCCTAACATAGAACAAGCTGTACTTTTCTGAATTTTGAAAAATAGGTCTTTCCTGAAGTTATTAAATGGTAATAAAATGTCATTGATAAAATTATACATTCATAATTAACTGGACACATTTTCATCTGTATAACATTTGATTACTCTTCTGCAAGTCTACTAAGGAGCATATCAACAGTCTTAAAGTACTTTATGATATAAAGTTTACAATATAAAGATTTTTAGATGAACAAAAAACTGCTGTATGTTTTCTCAGAAAAATAAATCCTGAGATACTTTTAATTATAACTTAGATCAAGAATATTTAAGTGGTCTATTAAAATGTTGATAAACACTGGAAGTTTTGATGGCAATGGGTTGCTTAGGATCTTTAAAAAATTCTCCATTGCCAGTCCTTAAATTAGAGATAAATATGTATTTGATAGAAACAATTTATATTTAGAGTGGTTAATCCATGACTGGGGTATCACTGCATAGTTTTAATACATTCAGGGCCAGGTATGATGGCTCACATTATAATCCCAGCACTTTGGGAGGCCAAGGTGGGAGGCTCGCTTGAGCTCAGGGGTTTAAGACCATACTGGGCAACAAAGCAAGACCTTTTCTCTGCAATTTTTTTTTTTTTAATTAGCTGGGCATGGTGGTGCCTGCTGCAGTCCCACCTACTCAGGAGGCTGAGGTGGGAGGATTGCTTGAGCCTGGGAGGTCGAGGCTGCAGTGAGCCATGATCATGCCACTGCACTCCAGCCTGAGTGACAGAGTGAGACCTTGTCTTTTTCTCTCTGTATATATTCAAGTTGGTATGTTTCTTTCCAAAGCCGCCCTCCAGGAACCATGTTTTTCTGCAGTTCTGTGGATACTAACAGTCCCTTACTTTTAAGGTAATTTATATTTTAGTTTTCCTTATAACATCTGAAATGGCTAAAATGGAGTCTGGAAATGAGTAGAGCAAAGCCAAACTTATCATACGCTGAGCAACAGAGCTAGAGTTCAGCCTGCTGAACACGGGCAAATCCCACTGTGCCTTCATACCTGGCAATATTTCTGCATGGCTTCATCTAATTAATGGAACTTTGCTCAGAGTTCACGTATGGAGTCTTTTGTATTCCCTGCTTCTCTGGGTTCCCTAGATCTGAACACATTTCTCTTTTGGCAGTTGTCACACTGGGTGATATTTGTTGATTTACCTGTTAACCATATCCCTGTACTCGAAGTCCTGGAATTCAGAGTCTATGTCTCAATCAGTGTTTGTTTCTAGTGTTTAACCCTTAGTAGGCATTCAACAAATGGTGGAATGGCTGGGTGAATAAGTGGTCTCCAAAGTGCCTGCCTGGCGAGTACATAACTCTCTTTTGACAGATATCTGTCCATTTCCAAATCTCACCCTGAAGGGTTTTTGACGCTTAGTTGCCATGCTTTGGACCTTGTGACCCTGCACTCTTGCCCTGACTGGCCAGACCAACTGTCTGACTCAAACATTAATATCTGCAGACTCACCGGAGTCACAAGAGTGCTCTATGCTGGATGGTGGTTGCCCGGCCCCATTATCCCCTCCTGTCTTGGTTAGATTGAGTGGTTAGAAAGTAGAGAGGCTCTGGAAGTTGGCCCTTAGAAGGCAGAAGTTATGCCATGAAACACCAAATAGAGGGAAGGTAGATAAGAGGTAGGAGGAAATACTGAAGGGATAGAAAAGTAGAGATGAGGGGTCATGAGCTCATTAATAAACTCGTGCTTTTGGATCTCGAAGAGCTACCCTTGGCCCCTGGAGCCCCTGAAATATTCTTTTCCAGCAAGGAATGAATTCCCATTTCTCCAAATCAAGCTGTGCAATTGCTGAGATTTTGCTTTCTTTGATATCTCCTGTGTCCTTGCATTCAACTTCTGTTATTTAAGCTAACCTGGGCATGTTAGATTATCAGACAACTTATTTTTATTCTTTTTTTTAATACAGATCAGGAAGCGGAGGGTTGGATCTATTCAGAGAGAGGAATGGAGTTTGATTTGGCTTTGTGCATGTGAATTTTCTCTAGAGTAAGCCCAAAGTCCTAAGGCAGGTTTGTCAATGTGGTCCTGAATCAGGATTGTGTGTGGCTGGTGGTGACGGTGGTAGTGGTGGAGGGTGGTTCTCTCTAACAGGCTATTCATGGCATTCTACGCATTGAAGTTTATGAATCATTGCTTTCTGATGACATACAAATTGAGCTAATGCCTTGAGGTCTTCTGGACCAAAGGTGACCAAAATGACCATAATGAGTCTTATTCACCTGGGGGCCATTTGTGCACAAGCTGTTCTCTAAAACAAGGCATTCAGTCTCCCGGGATGTGAGAGATGCCTCTTTCCCTCTATGTGCAATCTAATGTGCCTATAGATAGATTTTTTTACTGAATTAACAAATTTCTTAAAAAGCTAGGAATTTTGGACCTATGTTACAACTAGCTAAGATTTTTTTTTTTAAAGAAGAGCCTAAGGCAAATCCAAACTTGCAGAAGAAAAAACACTGAGACACAAGGAAATAGCAATAAATCATTGATTTCTTAATATCCTTGCATCATTTAGAATATTATGCTAAAGACAGCTCACTGGCAAGCCTGGACGTTCCCCTCTCTCCCCAGGCAAAGTTGACATTGCACCATAGATATCACAGCCGTCTTTAGGAGTTACCTTTTTCTTTTTAAGGAAGACACTCTTGCAAGTATTCTAGAGTACTCCCATCATTCTCTCCTGAGATGACTAGAAGTCTTTTAGTCTCTTGTGCCCTGTTGGTAACTGCTTGCAGTCTAGACTTTCTTTGCATCCTCTCTTTAATCATGATGCTGCCCCCCAATATAAAACTATTCTGATTTTTGAACAAAATATACTAAAATGGTTCTGATTACTCAATCATCATTATATTTAATTATGTTAAGGCATTATTTAAGAAATCCTGAGAAATTCTGGGTTCATGTTTTTCCTAAAGTTCTGGTCACAGATTGTGATTAAAATAGAGGAATAAAAAACAAGACCTCACCTAAAAGCTAAAAATGGTATATATGATTTGCAAGCAGGGGTTCTCAAATATTTTCATTTATTTATTGCTTTAAAAAGATGAGTTTAAAGAGGGAAAGTAATTTAAGCATGAGAAGTCATAGAAATTGATTTGAGCAGCAGCTATAATTTTTTATTATGAAAGTAAAACATTTTGCTTAAAAGGGGGAGAGGAATAGAGTAAAAATAGACAAATTTTTATAAGTAGAAGTCCTCTGTCCTTTTAGTCTAATCCCCAAAAATAGCCACTAGGAATGGTAGAACATGTAACTGTTGAAAAATCTGTATAAATATAATATGTAAACTAAATTGTGGCCAAACTATTAATACACACACACGCACACCGTTTATATATGTATACACACACAAACACAGTTTATATAGTGTATATGTATATATGTGTGTATACACATGTATGTATATATATGTGTGCATACACATGCATGTATATATGTGTGTGTATACACATGTATGTATATATGTGTGTATACACATGTATGTATGTGTGTGTACACACATGTATGTATATACGTGTGTGTATACACATGTATGTATATATGTGTGTGTATACAATACACACATATTTGAAAAAGTCTAAAACAGTGCATGTGTATATATATGTGTGTGTGTGTGATATACACACACATGCACTGTTTTAAACTACTTTTTCAAATTGAAATACAACTTGGATAAATTTCATGGTTACATACATAGAAAGATTTAACTTATTCTTTTTATTTTATTTTAAAAATTTCTATAGACACAGGTTCTGGCTATGTTGCCCAGTCAGGAGTGCAATGGCTATTCACTGATGCAGTCACAGTGTACTACAACCTTGAACTCATGGCCTCAAATGATCCTCCTGCCTCAGCCTCCAGTAGCTAGGACTACAGGTGTGTGTCACCATGCCTGGCTAACTTGCTCTTTTTAATAACTACATAGCATATTATATTGTTGATATCCATTATTACTTGCACTATTCTCCCACTTACGGCATTTCCATTTTTTCATCTGTTACAAACAATGCTTCATTGAATATTTTTGTACAAAATGTTTTGTTTGTCTGTGACAGTCTATCTGTAACAGTGAATTAGTAGAAGTGGAAGTGTTGGATCCAAGGATGTTTAATTCTAAATTTTGGTACATGCTGCCAACTTGTCCTTCAAATAGATGATTAGAATTTTGACTTTCACCTTAAGGGTGTACTGAGGAATATTTATAGTAAGCCAATTTATTGTGAACCTCAAATCTTACTTGTATGGTCTTCTTCCAAGGCCCTGCATGAGCCCTTAAAATATGTAGACATTTCTAATGTTTTTGTAAAATTAGCAAAAGTAAGACATTTCAACCACAATTGGTTATGACTACCATCTCTTAACTCTGAATTCTTCACTGTTACACCCCTTACTTGCCACATGGAGTTGGAGTGGCTATTCGCTATTTTGGGGATCAGGCTTGGAGAAGTTGAGTTGGGATATGTTATTTTAACAGAATTTTATAAAGACCTTTTAGAAAGTTTCAATATAATAAGGAATTACAGACCCTTGATGTTGACATATAGGAAGAATATGTTTTTGGTCATCTTTAAAATTATTTATTAAAGAAATAAAATTCAGATTAAAAGTCAGTGAAATATGAAACCAAGGCAATAAAAATGTGTGGTGGGATCTATGGAATTATTTTGATATACAGAAGTGAATTGTGATTTTGCTGTTGCTGTATGCTGGTGTTGGAGGACCCTCCCTGCTTTGGATTTACCAACAGTGTGAATCAAGAAAGTTAGCCAAACTTCAGGCTCAGGTCCAGATAGGAGGCAAGGGTACAGCTTGCAAAACAAAGGTGGAACCTAGAGAGTTACAGCAGATGACAGAAAGCTTCAGAGTTCCGTAACTAAACTGGCTGTGAATAATATAGCTGGTATTAAAGAGGTGAACATGATTGAAGATGGGACAGTTTTTCATTTCAACGATCCCAAAGTCTAACCTCTGTCTGCCCCCTCTCTGTTAACATCTTTGCAATTACCTCTCTCTGCTCCTCTCTCTAGTTCTTCTCTCTCTGCTAACACCTTTGCAGTTACCAGTCATGCAGAAGCCAAACCAATCACAGAAATGTTTCCTGGAATATTAAGTCAGCTTGGTGCTGACAGCTTAACAAGTCTCAGGAAGTTAGCCAAACAGTTCCCATGGCAAGTCTTGAATAGCAAAGCACCAAACCCAGAAGACAATGATGAGGAGGAGGATGTTTCAGATCTTGTAGAATATTTTGGTGAGGCATCAAAGAATGAAGCTAACTAAATTTTTTTCTGGTGTTTGGAGGCTGGCATGGACTAGATTTAACAAATAAGCCAGTGGTTCCAAAGTTTTACAGATACAGGGTGTATTGCCTATTGCTATTCAATAATATAAATATTATACATATTTTTAAAAAAGAAGTGCATTGTTAAAAAAATTCACTCTGAAAAGCAGTAATTTATTAAAAGGATATACATTTTTTCTTATAGGGGTAGTAAATAGGCTCTTGGATTATTTGATAATCATGTTTATAAAGAAGAGCAAATCATATAAATACATGAAAATGATGAAGTTCTTATTGATTTGACAGAAATATTGGCATGGACAATAATGTAAAGCTCATAACACACCACTGTGACAAGCACATCAACTACAAAGAAGTGCCATCAATTGAAATGGTCTTTAACATTGATATGGTTACATAGCAACCAACTTGAAATTCCCTGAAATATTACAGATCATATATGAAATAAATGTTTTAGAGTTTTTTTCAAATTTATCAGCTATCCTAAAAATTTATAAGATATTTCCAATAAGTTGTGAAACTAAAAGAAACTTTTTCAAATATCAAAAATAAAAAATTTTCTTTTGACCAACCATGCTGGAGGAAAAATGACTTATATTTCTATTCTCTCTACATAATGTATTATAACATTGTTGCATGAAATGATACTCAGAAAGAATGTATCAAAAATATAGGGAAAAGTTAGTAGAGAGCTATGCCAGGCAGTACATCAATAAATATTATGTTATTATTCTAGATTTTGCAATGTTTGTGGTATATGTCATGTTTTAAAAATTTATAATTTATTAGAATCATTCTCATTCTAAATAAAAATTCAAGAGCATGCTTAATATTGTATTCTTTTTCTTAAAGAAGTCTCCAAAACTGTATGAGTTTCAGGCACAAATGTGGATCCATCCCTGAATTTATGAGAGTGCCTGTTTCCCCACACTCTTGCTAATTCTAGGTAGTGTTAAAATTTTGTATACTTGCCAATCTGATAAATAGTATATGGTATATTTTTATGGTTTTCATTTATATTTAATTATAAATTAAGCTGAGCATTTTATTATCTTATATAGAAATCCCTTTCATTATCTTTGCCAGAGTTGTCTTTAAAAAAATTCATCTGTGACAATTCTGACTGTAACACAATTATCTCTCTGTCTGTCAATCATGCTTCAAATCCTTTTCTCAATTATTTGTTGATTCTTTGACTTTGCTTATGGCGTAATTTTTTTTCCCATTAAAAAATATTCAATTTTTATTAGATTTACCAATTGATGACAACACTTTGAAAAGGGTAAAAGTGCTATATTGAATTTATTGGGGCTTAAGTATGGATTGACTCAATCAAATACCTTTAAGGTTAAATGAGATAAGCACAGTTTAAGAAACATAAAAACCTAGATATTTTGGCTTACTTTCTCCAAGTCAGAGAGATGGTAAATTATAATTTTTTTTAGAAACCAAGGATTCTAGATATTTCTTCCTGTTTCCTTTTTTTTTTTTTTTTTAACAAGGCCAAGTTAGTCTATACTTGGAATTGGTGAGGAAATCTATAGGACCCAATCTATAAGACTTGCATTTTCCTTGTCAAGAAGTGACCCTGAAGTACAAACCTAAGCTACCTATGCTGCTGCCTCCATGGGAAGGGCCTCTGTTTATTCTCTCTGGGATGAAATGTCCAAAAGTCATTTCTCCAGGCTCTTAGCTCATTATACATTTTGATGAGTGAACCATGCCAACCTCATACAGAAGACAAGAGTTCCCTACATAGAAACACATTTGGTTCTTTCAGTAGCCTCCCCAGGACAACAGACCTGCTCACCTGCCTGGCAAGCTACTTCTGTCCTTTAAGGCCCACTTTAAATGCTGCTTCATTAAGATGTTTCTGGATTCCAAGGAATAAATAATCACACCCTTACTGAAGTTTCCATAGCAGTAGTTTTACAGTATCTTTATAGCACTTAAGATATGTATAATATAATATATAGTCTGCATCTTTCTCCTCTATTAGACCATGGGCTTCTTGCAGGTAGGAGTGTGTCTCATTCATCTTGAAATCCACAGAACCCAGCAAAGGGTTTGGCAATAATAGGTACTCAAGACATTTTCATTTTTGTGGAATGTACAAAAAGTCTATAAACATGATTTAAATGGAGTATAAATAGTATACTTAAACTACCAAAAAATCTAATTACTATTAGTAGTACATTTATAACAACACAAGCATGGTATGGGTTGCTTTGGTCATAATTGAAAGTTGGGTATTCTGTTTTTTTTTTTTTTTCCTTTTCAATTTTTATTTCAGGTTCACAAGGTACATTACATGTGCAGGTTGGTTACAAGGGTAAATTGCATGTTGCTGGGGTTTAGTGTACAAATAATTTTGTCACTCAAGTAGTGAGGACAGTACCTGATAGGTAGTTTTTCTACCCTCACCCTGGCATTCTGTTGAGCAGACAAAAATAATACACTGTAGGCCAGATTTTTATTTTTAGGTTTCTTAGGTCCTGCACTCTCACGACTGAATTCATAACCATATTCACTTTGAAGAGCCAAGGACATTGTCACAGCAATTTGTAGACACTGTCTTGCTTCACTATAAATGGGTTAACACATTTACTCATACAATCACACTTTAAGTGAAAACTGCTAACATCTATAGAGAGGGATGGTTTTGGCACTAAAAGGCCAATACACTTACTTTAATAAATGCTCATCTGTATAATTATACATAATAAGTGTTTTGGACAAAGACTTCAAAGTCTTTTAAGCATTTATCATAAACGATGTGAACTAGTACAAGAAAGAAGACCCCTGGGCCCCACCATACCACAGGCTTAGGCATCATCCCATGTTTATTACATAGTACAGATCTCAGTAGATCACTGTGCTTTGGAAAAGTGTCTAATTTATTCTTTCACACTTGCCAAAATATAGCTGCATTGGGAAACTTAAAATAGCCCAGTATTTAATTGGTTCTAGGCATGCACATAAACAGGTATTGTTAAAGAAACCAAGTTATTGATTCAATAAAAGACAGCGGATAACCACAGGCCCCACCACAACTTATCCTCATGGAGGTCAAGGACAGCAAACATTTATTTGGGGTCTTTAATGACATCTAGTCAATTTCTCTAATCCATAGTCTTTTGGATTAGTCATTTATCATTCCTTTGGGAAAACAAATCCCAAAATGACTGGTTCAAATGCATTTGACCTTGAGCTGCAAAACAGATAATTCATTTACATGAAATAGATTACTCTGTAAGAAGATTCTGTTAATTGAGACTGTTTTTTGAAAGTCATAAGCCTAGCAAAGTTTCCATAGCAACTCTGACAATTCCACATAGAGTTAGTTATGTTAACCTTGTTCTTGATCTATTATTATCTTTAATATACTATGGGTGTAAAATAGCTACTGAATTTGTTACAGGATCAAACACTACAAGGATATCACTGACACAACCTGTAAGGCATTACTGGCAGACTTCAGGAGCCTAATAACTGTCAGTTATTGAATGTGTAGTTGACACCATCTGTATATAATATCTTTGAGATGACTTACTGAATGCTCATTTGTAATATATCCCAATTGGGCACCAGAGAGGTTAGATCATTTGACCCAATATCACATGAACAAGAATTCAAGTCCTCTTTGGTCTGACTACAAATGATGCTCTTTCACTATACCGGTTTCATTAAGCTCTATACAAGGTTCTGAAAAGACATTCATTCTCTGTGTTACAAACATTTGATTTGTTAAGTATTAGTGGGATACTACCTCCCCTCACGCGTCTGTTTTTTTTAAGGCTACTTCATAAACATCATCCTGCTGTCTCTGTCTAGGAACTAAACTGTCAGGAATGATGGTATCACCTTGCGACTAAGGTAAAGCTTATTCTAAGCTTTCACATGCCTTGCTTGTATCCACGTCTATTTATTCAGCCTTTGACTAATAACTGATCATCAAATTCCATCTTAGTCAAAGTCCTTTTCACTTCTACTTACACTATCGTTAACCATCTCCTTACCTTCCCTCTCTATTTCATTTTGATTTTTTTCCTCTTTTAAAAAGTTTGTCCAGTTCTTTAAAAATAAACAAGCCACTCCTTTATATATAACCTCTACTTCTTATTTGTTATTTCAAGAATTTTCCTAATGGTGACTGACAAATACAAGAGTTAATAATGCTACACCGAAAACCAAGAGGCCATTAACATCCAAGGCTGTGAAACTACCCAGATGGTCCTTTTTCTATAAGCCTCCAATAAACTCATCTAGCTAAACATCTTTCCATAGCAGAGCACTTTGGAAAAACAATACAAAATCACTTTATGTCTTTAAAAATTTTTAATCATTAGAATTGCAATGGTATTTTTTCTATTTTTTCATTTTAAACACAGATGTACATAGAACACCCAACATAACCAAGTTGTTGGGACTTACATGGGATTTTTGGTGGGCCTGCTTTGTAACACTAAGTGTTCCAAATTGGTTCTAAACATCTGACCGTCAAGTACACTGTAATTCACTACGTTTTAAAATTGGGGACTTCCTGTATTTGTTGGAGTGGAGATGTATATTTGCATTTTGATTATCTGTGGATGACCAATTTGACTGGAATCCTCTTGCTTTTTGGCATCTTCCTCCAGTTTCTGGGCTAGATGATAACTTGCCAAGACAGGTGGGTGGGAAAGCCTGAGGTTGCACGTAGAAGAGAGCATGTGCTTTTGGTCTGAATTTCAAAGCTGAACTTTTGATTGGACTCGTCTTCCTTTTTTTCTTTTTTTTTTGCCTGGTGACTGGTAGTGTCTTTACTAAACAAAGTACTTTTCTTGGCTAACAAGATATATGCTGAGCAGAAAAGGTAGAGCTGAGAGGTCTCTCTTCCTCCCCTTAATCAGAACAGATCCAGCAGAGAGAAGCTGGAGCCCATGATATTCGAAAGAATCCAAGAAACTTTAGCTGTGTTGGAAAAAAGCTTAGTAGGAGAGATGAGAGTTTAGAAGAATGGAGAGGGAAAATCTGATGAAAGAGATGAAATTAACCATAAACATTTAAAAGAATATCATCATGATTTTTAACAATCCAGCAGAGCCTATAAAATAAAATTTATATAGAAGATTATTAGGGAACCAGTAATTTCACTGTGTGTTATACTTTATGAAGTCTCTTATAGTAATTTTTGCATAGTTGACTTTTTTTTTTTTAAAGGAAGAGGCAAATGACATTGCATTTTATTCCACTATAAATCTCAGGAGCAAAGCCTTAATTCATGTGACTATTTGGGATGGTTCTAGACACGTAGGTCTCTTCAAAATTTTAAAGCTCAGATCTGTCAGGACAATGACCTAGATTCCTCTTCAAGTTTGGTCCTGTAGGGCTTGTTGCCCCACACAGTATAATAGCAGTAGTCTTTCTACCTTGGCTTCTAGACAGACAAGCAGGCTAAGTTAGAAAAGATACACATTGTAGATGAAGATGAGCTTTTTTTTTTTTAATATTTCAAATGACTACATCTATAGGAGAGATATGATATGTAAGGCATAACCATAACAGAAGAAGAGTTAGGGTCAAGTCAAATAAGATCTAACTTGATCTTTTGCTGCAACTTGGTGATCTCCATGCAGTGGAGTTCCTGAATTTTAGGAACAGATCATTTTATTCTATTTTGCATGCATCTTCTAACAATTGTATTTTGAGGCACATTTTAGCATGACTTAACTAGTTTTTGAGGTCTCAAAGTAAAAACACTCCAAGGTACTTTAGGTTCTAAGTAAAGTTTCTCATCTTTTTATGACAATACTGTTGTTTTTCTCCTGTTAACTGAGTTCTCATAGACATGTTCTATGATATAGTTGGGACTCTTCCTCATGACCCCTTCAAGCTCATAAAAATCCATAATAGGCTGGGCGTGGTGGCTCACACCTGGAATCCCAGCACTTTGGGAGGCTGAGGCAGGCGGATCATGAGGTCTGGAGTTCGACACGAGCCTGACCAACATGGTGAAACCCCCTATCTGCTAAAACCCCATATCTATCAAATCTTACAGGTGCGTGGTGGTGCGCACCTGTAATCCCAGCTACTCAGGAGGCTGAGGCAGGAGAATCGCTTGAACCTCGGAGGTGGAGGGTGCAGTGAGCTGAGATCGTGCCATTGCACTGCAGCCTGGGTGACAGAGCGCGACTCCATCTCAAAAAAAAAAAAAAAATCCATAATAGTACTAAGAGTAGCCGAAGAGTAGCATTTCCCTGGTTTATTTCACTCATCCATATTTTGGAAGTTATTTCTCAAATACCCAAGTGACTTTTTAGGATAATATTTTTATTGCTCCAAAGCCTCGTCTTTTATTTCCTTTTCATTCTCCACAGATAACATTGAACATTTCCTGGGGGCCAAATTAATAATAATAAATTCAGTCATTAACATAAAAGGAAATGTAATTAAATTATTCTTTTAGGAAAGAAGATATAATGACATCTCAGGCCAGGAATTTTACACTAAAAATCATAACATATTTTGGAATTTCTCAAAGTACAGTTTAAAAAGATACATCAATATTATATAGAAATAGAATAGTCATACATAAACTTTGAGTTGATGTTATTGAGTGAGTTTCTGAGATTATACGCAGGGTTGGAGGTGAGACTTTCATGAAAGGTCGTTTTTACCGGTGATGAGAAAGCATCTATGGTAGTAAAATTGTGACTACTTTTTACTAAGTGTGAGTTATACTATGCACTTACGTCTTTAATGCCCACATCAGTTTCATAGGGATGTATTATGATCTCCTCTTCGTAAACTGGGAAATACAGGAAATACAGACTCAGGGAGGATAAGGACCCACTTAGAGCTAAATGGTATCTGGCCCACTGGGATTTGAACCCATCGCCTGACTATAGAGTCCTATGTTGTGCACCTCAGCAGGCAGACTCATAGTATTACTGACATCTCTCTAACACCATTGAGTGGGAGGAACCGTTCCAGTAAATCTTTTGGAGAGAAGCTAAGAGGGTCTTACAGAATGATATGATAGAAAATACATACTTTCAGCCAGGTGTGGTGGCTCACGCCTGTAATCCCAGCACTTTGGGAGGCTGAGGCAGGTGGATCACCTGAGGTCAGGAGTTCAAGACCAGCTTGGCCAACATGGCGAAACTCTGTCTCTACTAAAAGTGCAAAATTAGCTGGGTATGGTGGCACAGGCCCGTAATCCCAGCTACTCAGGAGGATGAGGCAGGAGAATTGCTTGAACCTGGGGGGAGGAGGTTGCAGTGAGCCGAGATCGCACCATTGCACTCTAGCCTGGGCAACAAGAGTGAAACTCCCTCTCAAAAAAAAAAAAAAAAAAAAAAAAAAAAAAAACTTTCTAGGTCCCCTTCTGAGTAAAGACGGCATACTCTTCTTCACCTATTTTATCCCATTCTTCACTCCATGGTGTTCTACCCTGTGCTGAAGAGCAGGTTTGCTTAGTTATAGAGTAGGTCAGTTATTACCAAGATCCTACTGTGTGCCACGGACATCTCCTAGAAGCCCAGCCAGTCCCTTGCTCATTTTCTTCCTGGTTCTTTAGGATAATCATGAAGAATTGTTTCTTACTCCAACTGGAAAAACAAAATTCAAAACCATATGCCCTGCTACTTAAAAGCCACTAAATATTTCATTATTTAATAGATGATACAAGTAGAAGTGAATTCTTGTTGTGCCATTATTATACAGAAAGCCAACATTTTCCTTGTGAATTTCTGATGATATTTTAACAGGGTGGTTCTAACTGGTCTCAGAATTTTTCTGAGGAATAATGCTATTTGTTGGAAAAAATACTTAGATATGCACTGGGGATAAGCGGATATTGAGACTTTTGTGTAGTTGTTAAGACTGTTTTTTGAGACGGAGTTTTGCTCTTGTTGCCCAGGCTGGAGTGCAATGGCGCAATCTTGGCTAACTGCAACCTCCATTTCCTGGGTTCAAGTGATTCTCCTGCCTCAGCCTCCTGAGTAGCTGGGATTATAGGCGACTGCCACCACGGCAAGCTAATTTTTCTTTGTATGCTTAGTAGAGACGGGGTTTCGCCATGTTGGCCAGGCTGGTCTCAAACTCCTGACCTCAGGTGATCCCCCCGCCTTGGCCTCCCAAAGTACTGGGATTACAGGCGTGAGCCACTGAGCCCAGCCTGAGTGGTTAAGACTTCTAGTCAACCTGAGAAAAGAACTTTTAAGTGTGCCAATCCTGGAGGCTTCAGTAAATTCTTCCACCATGTGACATTTGGTGCAAATGGACATCCTTGTAAAAACTGGTGAAGAGCTGGGTTTTACACTTAGGTGGACATGGGGCCAAATGAGGCAGCACGCAGGTATACAGAACAGGAGCAGAGAGGATCATGAGAGGAAAAGCAGTTGGGAATCCTTAGAGACCTTCAAGAGTTTAAATCTTTCCAGTCTGGCACTGGGCAGAAAAGTCCATTAGGCTTGATTCTTTCAGTTGCGAGTGAGGCTCAACTAATATCTGGATCTCAAGATAATTTATCAACAATGCCTCTCATGCTTAGCAACTCCCCAAACTTTTCTTTCCTATCTTTAATATGGAGTGTCAGCTCTGAATAGAAATTTCAACTTGTTCTCCCCCTTCTTGAGCTTTCAAATGTGAAGAAATTGACTCAGCAGTAGATCTATAGTTTTTGGTGGTGGGGGTTGGTGGGAGTGGGTACAGTGGACTGGGTTATCCCAGGAAAGATTTCACGGTTATAGAACACTTTAAAGTATAGGCACTGATAGTCGCAGGAGGAAACGGACAAAAAATGGCCTTAAAAAAAGATGACTCAGAATTCTGACTCAGAGGGATTGGGGCCAATTTCTGATCTCATCTTGGAGCTTCTTGAAGCACCTGGACTTTCCCTGAAGGTCTCCTACCTAAATTGGAGCTTAGACCACACCTGTCTGGCCCTGAGGGAATAAGCTGACAAGCACCCGGCCTGCAGTGGATGCAGCTGTTCTCATTAGATCAGACGTGGATCAGAGTGATAACTTTCTAGAAGCATAATTTACCATACATTACAATCAAGAATGACAAATTACAGTATGGTAAAGCACTTTAGAAACGACACAAACTTTCCCTGCTAAGGGAGCCAGCTCTGACGAACCAGTACAGTTGTGCTTGACAATAGCCCGCTTGACTTTAGGGACTGTTGTCCTATTACCTAGTGTTTTACAGATACCCCTGGCCTTAAGTTCATTTTGACCCAAACATAAAAACTCACTGTCAAGGAACAGATGAAATTTCCACAAATTGACTCAGTAATTTCATCTAGAGTTGCAAATTGAGTATTTCATAGAGGAGAATACTTGAAAGAAGAAATTGGCTGGAGGAAAATAATTTTACTTGAAGCTGTTTCTGATAGAGATTGAACACGGCTATTTTTTTAAACAAACCATTTTGCTCTTTGTACATTTAGAACATTTTAATTTAGTGAAGTAATCTGAGAAGAATGATAACCAGAGTATGCTTAAAAAGTATCTGACACTCAGCCAGGCACGGTAGGTCACACCTGTAATCCCAGCACTTTGGGAGGCTGAGGCGGGCAGATCACTTGAGGTCAGGAGTTTGAGACCAGCCTGGCCAACATGGCAAAATCTCGTCTCTACTAAAAATAAAAATACAAAAGTTAGCCGGGTGTGGCTGCAGGCACCTGTAATCCCAGGTACTCAGGAGGCTGAGGCATGAGAATCGCTTGAACCCAGGAGGCGGAGGATGAAGTGAGGTGAGCACGCCACTGCACTCCAGCCTGGGTGACAGAGTGAGACTCTGTCTCAAAAAAAAAATAAAAAGTATCTGAAACTATTTCCATTTCTCTCTCAAAATCTGCAGACAACCATCTGAGGGTGACTAGGTGAATAAATCTTCTTTAAGGTGCTCCTCTCTTTCCCAACCCCACATTTCTTCAACATTTGAAAATTCTCACAATAATGGGCCAGTTTCATAGCTCAGGGTGTTTGGCTCCAGGAATTTTTTACAAATCCATCCTCCCAGGGCTCACAGTGATCCTGGTAGGAAACTGGGAATGGGGTCAAGGGAGAAGAAAAGCAGAGCAGTGGCTCTCAATCTCACAAACTGCTGAGAGGAATGGGCACTCCGCAGACATTCCCAGGCCCCATCGAGACTGACCCAGATCCAAGAGCGCCAGTTAGCACCAGATTTGACTTCAGAATGACTCAACGGAGTTTCTGCCTCAAGGGGTTTAGCCCTGGAGAAAGGCACCAGGAGACTCCCTTCTTGTGACACGCCTCGCAGTCTCATCTCCTGTCCACTTCCCCTCCTGCTTGCAGCCTTACCTTCCCACTTGAATCTCCCCTGCACCCCCCTGAAGAGCGCTCCACTGTATTTTAATGAATCATCTGAGTGCTGTTAGGCCAAGTGGTGACTCAGTTTTTTGGCTATTGGGGATGGCAGGAGAGTTCTCTTAACTCAGTTTTGTGGATTTCTGTATGGTGGAAAATGGGAGGAGGTGGTGAAATCCTTAGTCTTAGTAGCACTGGTTAGGGAATTGCTACAGCAGGGGAGAGGTAGAATAGGGAAAAAAGCAGCTGGCCAGGGATAACCTTAGCCATGCACAAGGCAAGCTGAGGTTTGAGAAAAAACGGAAAAGTTGGGAGATGCTGGCACAGCTGTCCTTCATAACCGCCTTCACATCCGCTCTCCCTAGCACTGAAGCCTCCCTGCGCTTTGGAGTCCCTGGCAGAGACTGGTTTGGGCAGTCTTTCCAGTGAAATCTGGTGAGCTGTCTGCTGCTTTAGCCAAGGAGTCCTGCTACTGAATGACATAAACAGTTCCCTTTCTTCAAGGGTGAAAGTATATTGGTGTGTTCTAGCAAACCAAGCAAAACGTGAAAAATATTTCAATTTTTAGGTGGCATTTGGTCAAGTGATTGCCTATGTGGTCTTCAAAGAATGTCTCCACTGGGGATTGACTATCATGATGCCAGAATTTTCCAAATCCCTAGACTCTTGAAGATCTTTCTAGCTGCTATCATTTGAAAGCTTAGCAGATTGTTGTTTATATCTACACACCCGCATTCTTCAACATCAGCACTGCAGGCATTTTGGGCTGGAGAATTCTTTGTCGTCGGGGGGTGTCCAGGGCACTGTGGGATGTTTAGCAGCTTCTCTGGCTTCTACTCTCTAGTACACCCCTCTCCCAGTGGTGACAACCGAAATGTCTCTAGGCATTGACAAATGTCTTCTGAGCAGAAGCGCAGCTCTGCAAAGAGACTGTCTAGGATACTAGACTTTTCCTTTTTACTCACTCTCTTATCGCATGGTACCCCTAGCTATGTCTCCTTGCCCTGAGGGAACGTTCGATTTTTTTTTAAGGAAATTCAGGAGAAAATATTTTTTAATTCCACAAAAGAATTAATGCAGAATTGAGAGACTGAACTGATGATGATTTGGTATATAAGGGTTTGAAAGACCTCTAATGTTTAAATTAGGCTTGTTCCATGGATGTCCAGAGTGCCCTGGAAAGCATGACCCATTTGAACCCAGGAAGCAATCAGCTCTGCCACCAGGAGCACTGGGCAGCCATATGATCAGAAACTGGGTTTACAGTTCAAACCCAGTACTGGGTTCTAATCCATACTTGCACAATGATTCAGCTTACGTTTTAGCTTGGCAGTTCTAGAAATCTCTGGCTATCTCAGTTTTACCAGTTCTAAAGTAAAGAGAGGGATTCGCTCCTCCTCTCCCTCCCACAATTCCCAAATTAGTGATCAACGACAGCAAAACGAATTGGGTCCAGCATGTAGACAGTGGTGAATTCTGGACTTTGCTGGGCAAGGGAATCTCAAGTTGAGGCTCAATTGTGAGGTGTAACAAGGTGTGTAAAAAAAAACGTTCTCTATATTCTTAAGAAGGGAGTTGCTACATAAATTTGGGGCATATCTAATTCCTAATGGTTTACCAGGAGTTTGGGAATACTGGAATCAAGGGGTGAAGAGTCTCAGCTTTTCTTTTTTGTGGGGCCGGAAGTAGTAGCTTGATAGGCACTGCTTAGAAAGCCTTTTTTTTTTTTTTTTTTTTTTTTTAGGTCTCTTGAGGACCTGGAGAAGCGATGTAGTATACTAAAGATATCTTAAAGTGCTCAAACACTCTGGCTAAATAAAAATTTCTCAAGACATTTCTTTCCAACTCGAACAAAATTACCAAAATATGAGGACATTGGTAACATTTAAACAGCAACCTTAATAGACCTATAATAGTAAACAATACGACTGTATTTGGTTTGAGGGAAAGAAGTTTATCTAGCTAATGCTATTTTCCTGACATTCTACCAATGCAAAGGACCCTGGATCCAATACTTTAATATGTCATTGTGTGGAAATCTCAGCTCTGGCCTCTTAAGAGTACTAAGAAGATTCCCCAAGCTAACTCTGACATTGTTTGGGAAACTTGGCTCCTAAGAGCAGGCGTGGGCTGCTTGGTTCCACCCTGGGCTGGGGAGCTTTTCAACTGGTATTGTGTCCACAGGCTCCCTCAGCTGGTGTCTCCGAAAACGACAGGCTGCTCCTCATACTGTCCTGAGCGCTCAGAATTAAACTGATGGGGCCAGGGGCACACTCAGTGCCTGCGCTGGGGACTGGATCCCAGGCCCCCCTCTGTTTTCTCTTCTATCTAAGAGTGCCTTCGTGCATAGACATGACAGCATTGATGAGCTGTGGGATGGCTGCAATCCCTACTTCATAAAAAGATGTGGGTCAGTAGAGAGAGGTGGGAGGAGAGGCATAAGGCTGGTTGCAAATCTCTTTTCTGTGACCTGCCAGTATAATTGAAGCTACATTGTTAGTTACACCTCATCTATGAAATGGGTTACACCTCATCTATGAAATGGGTTAATCATTTCCTCTCCTACACGGACACACACACACACACACACACACTCACACTCATATATTCTCATGGTCACACACACACACTACTCATAAGGATGTTGTGAGAATTAAACAAGATAATGGTTATAAAACCACTTGATAAACTGCAATATGTCATAAAATTTTGAAACTATTGTTTTTGTTGTACATCATGAGCAGTATGTCCTGTGTTCCTACATCTTTTAGAGACCATTCAATACATTTGGAATCTATTACCAAATAGAAATAGTTTCCAAAACAAACATATCTATCTTCTTGTCAGTTAGAATTAGTCAAATTTTTATCATAAATAACTATTATTATATAAACCAGTTATATGGGAACTGGTGTAAAATAGCCAAGAAAGGGGGGAACTCTACTAGACATTCCAAATAAATGTGTAGTTTCTTCATGTGTGTGTGCATGGGTACTTTGTTGAGGGAATATTTTGCTCACCATTGGCCTAGAATAAATGTTTGTTAAATGAATGAAAGAAAATATACATTATATAATGACTTTCCATCAAACAGTCCCCCTCAAGTTTATCCATATTCTCAGCCATGGCAGGATTTTCCATCACACATGGTCCACATTTGAATGTTCATATTCAGAAACACGGCTGGGTGAAACTAAAGTTTACTCATTTTTGGATGGCAGAAACAAACCACAGATTGAAATAGAAGACATTGTAAGCAATGTGTCTGACATACTTGGTGACTAAGATAGAAAACAATTCCTTAGATGCCTTAAAAGTGACATTTATTTTATATATCCAACTTTTCATGAAGGCAATCACACAAATTAAGATTGTTAACACATACTCTAATGAAGGATTAAGTAGAAATTTAAATGGAAAGATGACAAAATCCAAAATAACAATTTTTGGTTGAGATCCAAGAAAGATGACTTATGAACACATTTCTTTGTTTAATGCCAGACCCAGTAAAAGTACCATCTTGGTTATCTGGCATCTGTTCCATGCCTATTGGCATTCTTAACGCACACTGTAATGATACAGTGGTTCAGCAGAGGGATGCTTACACTTTGTTGAAATCTGAATATATTAATTTTAATTGCTTTAAATTAAAACTGAAGACGAGGTAAAAAAAAAAAAAACCTGATGGTCTTAGAGTACTATATAAGCTGGTGCTAGATTTTACCTGATGTCTATACATAATGATTTCCAATTATGCAAAGCCACATTGGAATGGGACAAAATAAAAGTGGGATAGGGATAGAATCTGATATTTATTTGGTTCCTTCTTTGTGTTAGACACTTTATGTGCCATTTCATTAGCTTCATATGCACCCACGCACAGAGTTTCATGCTCCTTATTTCAGAGATGAGAAATTTTGGGCTCAGAAAATTTAATTGCATGTACTAGAACTGGTAGAGAAAAAATGGAAACTATGCCTTTCTTGGTGGTGGGGAATACCACCACCTCAGTTTGGATTGGAAGGTTGGAAGAAAGAAAAGATATCGAAGGAAAGTAGACCTGAGAACTAGGCTTGGTAAACAGACAAGGTCCCATTGGCCACCCAGCAGAGCAGAAGTATAGAGTAAAAGCACATTGGTAGGAAAAGAAAAATATTATCACAGATATCCCAAGGGCTGAGATGTGTAATATTTAGTCCATTAGTCCATTAGCCTTAAATGGAAAATAAATATTCTTTTCAAGTGAAGTAAATCTTGAGTCTCCCTCTTTATCCAACTCCATCAAACTGATTGGTGCACTGGAAATATTTCCAGAGGAACCCAGACTAGGAAATAAGTCTGGTGCATGAAGATGACGGTCTATGTAATCTAGAACCTTTCTACTCCAAGTGTGATATGCAGACCAGCAGTATCAGTACTCCCTGGGAGCTCTTTGTGATTGTGGAATCTCAGTCTCCAGCCCAGACCTGCTGAATCGAAATGTGCTTGGAAAACTCCTCAGGTGATTCGTATGCACATTAATGTTTGAGAAGCACTGATCTAGAATAAAATTTTTTAGTTTCAGCATCATCTATTCACTTTCACATACTTTTTAGATAATTATAAAGGATATTTCACTTTATTCATCCATACCATACACATAGCAAAATATTGTAGGAACAATATCTTAGATTTCACTGTTTCTCATCCTCCTAACTTTTCCTAATAAAACAAAAAGAAATGTCTCTGTATTTATTTTAGTTTTGTACATATTCTACTTGGTCTTTTCTCTTGTTCCTAAAGACTATATGATAAGTACATTAGGGCTGAAATATATAGAAGAGAGTTAAAGTCCTATCAGGGAGGGAAAATGAGAAAGTACGCTGCTAATAATGAGTATGCTGTTTACTCTTTTATTATCAACTCTAATAATTTCTTTGTCCCAGTACTTCCTGGCTTTCAATGAACAGTAAAGTACTGGAACCAAGGAATTTGTTCAATTAAGAGTGCAAAGCCTTTCATTTATCAGGCACTGGCTTAGGTTGGAGGCAACTATGCATATAACATTATATTTTCCCACAACAAAATACCAGCAAACCAAATTCATAGCATATTAAAAGGATCATACATCAGGATCAAGTGAGATTTCTCCCTGTGATGCAAGAATAATTCAACATATGCAAATCAATAAATGTGACATACCACATTAACAGGATGAGGGATAAATATTATCTGATCATCTCCATAGATGCAGAAAGAACATTTGACAAAATTAACTCCTTTCATAAGAATTCTCAACGAGATAGGTATCAAAGAAATGTTCCTCAATATACTAAAGGCATATATGACAAGCCCATAGCTAACATCATAAACAGCGAAGAAATGAAAGCTTTTCCTCTAAGATCAGAAATTCAACATAGTACAGGAGGTCCTAGCCAGAGCAATTAGGCAAGAAAAAGGAATAAAAGGGATTCAGATCACAAAAGGGAGAAGTCAAATAGTCTCTGTTCACAGATGATCTGATCTTTTATATAGAAAGCCCTAACGACTCCACAAAAAATCTGATAAACAAATTCAGTAAAGTAGCAGGATACAAAGTCAACATACAAAAGTCAGTTGTGTTTCTGTACACTAACAATGAACTATATGAAAAAGAAATTAAGAAAACAATCCCATTTACAATAGCATAAAATCAATAAAATACCTAAGAAGACATTTAATCAAGGAGGTGAAAAATCTGGACACACTGAGAACTATAAAACAGTAATGAGAGCAGTAAGATACTTGCATAAAAACAGACATATAGACCAATGAAACATAGTAGAGAACCCAGAAATAAACCCATACATATATGGACAGTTGGTCTTCAACAAGGGTGCCCAAATTACATAATGGGGAAAGGACAGTTTCTTCAATAAATGGCACTAGAAAAACTGGATATTTATATGCAGAAGAAGGAAAGTAGACCCTTACCTCACTCCACATACAAGGTCAACTAAAAGTGAATTCAAGATTTAAATGTAAGACATGAAACTGTAAAACTACTAGAAGACAACATAAAAAAAAACCTTGACATTGGTTAGGCAATGATTTTTTGATATGACCTAAAAAACATAGGCAACAAAAGTAAAAATAGTTAAATGGGATTGCATCAGACTAAAACCTTCTGCAAAGCAAAGGAAATAGTCAACAGAGTAAAGAGACAACCTAAGAAATGGGATAAAATATTAGCAAACCATAAATCTGGTAAGGAGTTAATATCCGTATATATAAGAAACTTAATTCAGTTGAGTTTACTGAGTAACTCAGTAACAATATCCCCAAATAACCCTACTTAGAAATGGGCAAAGGACTTGAACAGACATTTCTTCAAAGAAAACAAATGGCCAACAAATACATGAAAAAGCACTTGATATCACTAATCAGAGAAATGCAAATCAAAACAGCAATGAAATATGACCTCACACCTGTTAGAATGGCTACTATCAAAAAGACAAAAGATTAAGCGTTGGCAAGGGCGTGAAGAAAAGCAAACCCTTGTACACTGTTGGTGGGAATGGAAACTGGTGCAGCCATTATGGAAAACAGTATGAAGGTTGCTCAAAAAAAAAAATAGAACTAGCATAAAATCCAGCACAATCCTGCTTCCAGGTATATACACAAAGGAAATGAAATCAGTATCCTGAAGAGACATCTGCACTCCCACGTTCATGGTAGTGTTATCTACAACAGCCAAGATTTGGAAACAACCTAAGGATCTGGGTATTTTTTTTTAATATTGTAACTTTTATTTTAGGTGCAGGGGTACATGTTCAGGTTTGTAATATAGGTAAACTTGTGACTCAGTGGTTTGGTATACAGATTATTTTGTCACATGGGTACAAATCATAGTATCTGACAGTTTTTTTTTTTTCCTGAACCTCTCCCACCTCCAACCTTCTTCCCTCCAGTAGGCCCCAGTTTCCATTGTTTTCCTCCTCCTGTCCACATGTTCTCATTTTTTGGCTGCTAATTATAAGTGAGAACATGCAGTATTTGGCTTTCTGTTCCTGTGTTAGTTAGCTAAGGATAATGGCCTCTAGCACCATCCATGTTCCTGCAAAGGACTTGATCTCGTTTTTTTTGGCTGCATAGTATTCCATGATGTATATGTGCCACATTTTCTTTATCCAGTCTACCACTGATGGGCATTTAGGTTGATTCCATGTTTTTGCTGTTGTGAATAGTGCTGCAGTAAACATATGCATACATATGTCTTTATAGTAGAATGATTTATATTCCTTTGGCTATATACCCGGTAATGTGATTGTTGGGTCAAATGATAGTTCTGTAGTTAGTTCTTTGAGGAATTTCCATACTGCTTTCCACAATGGTTGAAGTAATTTATACTCTCACCAGCAGTGTATAAGCATTTCCTTTTCTCCACAACTTCACCAGCACCTGTTATTTTTTGTCTGTTATAGTAGCCATTCTGACTGGTGTGAGACGGTATCTCACTGTGGTTTTGATTTGCATTACTCTAATGGTTAGTGATATTGAGCATTTTTTTCATATGCTTGGTGGCCACATGTATGTCTTCTTTTGAAAGTTGTCTGTTCATGTCCTTTGCCCATCTGTTGATGGATGCATGGATAAAGAAAATGTGATACACACACACACACACACACACACACACACCACAGTGAAATAATATTCAGTCTTTAAAAAGAAGGAAATCCTGCAATTTGTGACAACATTGATGAGGCTGGAGGACATCATCTTAAGTGAAATAAGCCAGGCACAGAAAGACAAACATGGCACGATCTGACACACGTGGAATCCAAAAAAGTCAAACTCATAAAACAGAAGGTAGAATGGTGGTTGCCAGGGTTTGGATGGTGGAGGAAATGAGGAGCTATTGGTCAAACGGTACAAAGTTTCAGGACGAATAAATTTTGGAGGTTTAATGGACAATATGGTGATTATAATTAATAACACTGTGTTCTATATTTAAAGTTTACTGAGAGTAGACCTGAAGTATTCTCACCACACACACAAGCTGTAACTATGTGAGCTGAGAATATGTTAATTAGCTTGATTGCAGTAATCATTTTACAACATATATGTATATCAAAACATCACATTGTATACTTTATATATAATTTTTATCTGTCAAAATAAAATAAAATTCCAGAAAAAAATTATGTCTTACATGTCAGATAAGAACTTATTTTAAAATAATTTTTATGTAATAAAAAACAATGCCCCGTTAAGCTACCGAAGAGTCATCTTCACAATAGGGGCATAAACATGATTCTCATATTTTTTAATTTGTTAATTTTCCTTTAAATATTTATTTTAAGAACATTGACCTAGACCTTTTCCGTCTTTAACTACCCGATATTATATGCTTGTTTACCTAACTAGATATATGTTGATTTATACATATTTGTGCGCTGTATTGCATAGCTAAAAAAAATTGCTGCAATGTTTGAGTATTCCTATGTTTTTCCAAATCAATTTCTCAAACATTTAGAGATTAAAATTTAGCAATTGGATGCATTTGTTAATAATGACAACTGACAGTCATTGATTAGTTATGGCATGCTTCAATATGACATTCCATTTAATATCCCCAATGTCCCTCTGGAGGAGACATCATTCTTACCCGAATTACATGAAGGTACGAAATGACGTTTAGGGAGATTAACCAACTTTCAAATAGCTGCACTTTACATGGCACTATTAGCCATTGTGGTGAACTACCTTGACCTCCCCACTGTGGGAGATTTACTAGGACTTTCTAGGGATTGAAAGCAAGGACTGCCTTAGTCAAAATTACAGAGCTGAAGCTTATTTTCAGATAGTCTCCTTTATCCCTTTCTTTGATCTCCAAATGCTCTTCTTTTCCTGTGAAAACTCTTTCCCTACTTGAAAATAGAAATCTACTAGGAGTTGGTTAAAACTAGAAATTGACACATACAGAGCACACAAACTGGAATTTTACAGAATAGTGTTTACCAAATGTTAATGGGTGAGCCTCAAACAGTGTTCTCTTTTTAAATGAGTTTGGGAAGTAATAGGTTTAAAAACACAAATAACTTTCTTTACTATAGGTTTTTTTTTAAGCACTGGGACTATCTATCTATCCATTGATCTATCATATTACCTACCAACATATTTATCTACCTATGATATCTATCAATCATCTATCATCTGTCTATTCTATCAATCTATTATCTAACTCCTCTGTGTTTTTTTCTTCACATGTAAAACATTTTCCACAGTCTTATTGTTTAGAACACTGTATCAGTCTGTTCTCATGCTGCTAATAAAGACATACCCAAGACTGAGTAATTTATAAAGGAAAGAGGTTTAGTTGACTCACATTCAGCACAGCTGGGGAAGCCTCAGGAAACTTACAATTATGGCAGAAGGGGAAGCAAACATGTCCTTCTTCACATGGCAGCAGCAAGGAGCAGTACCGCGCAAAAGGGGGGAAAAGCCCCTTATAAAACCATCAGATCTTGTAAGAACTCACTCACTATCACAAGGACAGCATGAGGTTAACCACCCCCATGATTAAATTACCTCCCACTGGGTCCCTCCTATGACACGTGAAGATTATGGAAACTACAATTCAAGATGAGCGTTAGGTGGGGACCCAGCTGAACCATATCAAACACAAATTTTGGAAATGCTTTTGTAAGGGCTATTTGATTCACAATTAGATGTTTTTTAAATCCTAACTTAATGGAAGGTGTATGTCCAGGGAAATTGCTGACCCTAGAAGATAATGTAGAACAAACCAATGTTATTTATTATCAGATTTCAAATTAACAAGTTGTTTGTGAATATTCTAGGCTACTTTGCCTCAGTATATCCTGCATCCAAAGGAAGCACACATTAAATTGAAAGAACATTGAAAAGTAGTATGGGTCTTTGTAACATTTTCTCCAGGAAGTGATGAGAGATTCACAACGTTCCCCCCGCCCCGCCCCCATTCATGTGTCCTCTCTTATCGAAGTTCCACTTTCCAGGCAGCTGTTCAGCTGTTTTCTTTTCCTCTTCTGCTGCCCATTGCTGCATGCTGGGTTTGTCCTTTCATTCCCCTTCTTCTTTCTTTGGCCAAGGTCCTCCAAAAGTCCCTGGAACTGGTGGCCTCTTTTGCGTAATGGTCAATTTAGCCTTTCTTTCAGTTTCCAAATTGCCTCTCTACTCTTGGGTCCTCCAAGAGTCCCTGGAACTGGTGGCCTCTTTTGAGTAATGGTCAATTTAGCCTTTCTTTCAGTTTCCAAATTGCCTCTCTACTCTTGACTCCTGCCCCAGCATAACAAACAATCTCTTAGAGAATAAAAATTGCAAATACTTTTGATATATTTTAAATCCTTCCTATGTAAGAAAAACCTGAATTAAATGGGTGCTAACAAATGTTACAATCCTGTGAATGTCATGCATTTTTTTCAGATCTTTAAAAATTGATATACTGTATTTAATAGAAATAAGAATACTCATAGTTTATCTACTGTTAAAGCAAACTAAATATGGCCTGAGAAGGACTCTATATTTCCATATTTGAGTCCTTGTGGGCAAACCATAACCTAACTTAGTCGGTAGAAAAGACTGAAAAGCCTAACTTAGGTGTATGTGTCTATAACAATAGCTGAGTCTTGGCCAATTCCTGTAGTCATACTTCAACCACTCATACACTGCTGAGCATTCAAACTGTGTTCAAATAAGGCAAACATCAACGTGTTACCAATTCAGCTGTTTCTGTACCTCACTTCCATTTTCTGTACATCATTTTCCTTTTTCTGTTCATAAATCTTCTTCCACCTTATGGCTGTGCTGGAGTCTTCGAGCCTGCCGGATTCATGAATTGTTCATTGCTCAATTAAACTCTTTTAAATTTAATTCGGTTGAAGTTTTTCATTTATCACTACTAATCATTTTATGTATCACAGAGAAAGAAAATGCTGCCAATTTCTCCACATCCTCTCCAGCACCTGTTTTTTCCTGACTTTTTAATGATCGCCATTCTAACTGGTGTGAGATGGTATCTCATTGTGGTTTTGCTTTTACACTGTTGGTAGGACTGTAAACTAGTTCAACCATTGTGGAAGTCAGTGTGGCAATTCCTCAGGGATCTAGAACTAGAAATACCATTTGACCCAGCAATCCCATTACTGGGTATATACCCAAAGGATTATAAATCATGCTCTATAAAGACACATGCACACGTATGTTTATTGCGGCACTATTCACAATAGCAAAGACTTGGAACCAACCCAAATGTCCAACAATGATAGACTGGATTAAGAAAATGTGGCACATATACACCATGGAATACTATGCAGCCATAAAAATGATGAGTTCATGTCCTTTGTAGGGACATGGATGAAGCTGGAAACCATCATTCTCAGCAAACTATCGCAAGGACAAAAAACCACAACACCGCATGTTCTCACTCATAGGTAGGAATTGAACAATGAGAACACATGGACACAGGGAGGGGAACATCACACACCAGGGCCTGTTGTGGGGTTGGGGGAGGGGGGACGGATAGCATTTGGAGATATACCTAATGTTAAATGACGAGTTACTGGGTGCAGCACACCAACATGGCACATGTACATATGTAACTAAACTGCACGTTGTGCACATGTTCCCTAAAACTCAAAGTATAATAATAAAAAAAGAAAAAAAAAGAAAATGCTGCCAATTATATTAAATAATTGTAAGCACCACAGATTATGAAGTGTTCCAATTTTAGAGATATTGAAATATTAAAAAGTGCATCTTAGGAACAATTAAATGCAATGATACTTTAAAAAATATATTCTTTAATAACTCACATATGTTTTAGACAATTATATTTATATGAAAATTCCATAGATGATTTTATCCTTTCTAGACCAGTTTTCCTCCAATTGTGGACTATGGATTACCTGTAATAGAAATACCTGGAGCTCCTCATTAAAAATATAGATTTCTGCCCCTACTTCCCTGAAGGTTAATTGAAACGGAATTTTGTGGCAGGGTCTGGGCAGCAAGATATTTTAAGATTTTGGATGATTCTAACATGCAGCCAGAGGAGAGAACTTTTCAACAGTGGTCCCCAGGCCAATAGCAGTGGCATAACTTGGAAACTTCTTAGAATGCAGAATCTCAAGCCCCAGCTCAGATGTACTAAAGTAGAATTTGCATTTTCACAAGATTTCCAGGTGATTCATAGGTGCATGAAACTGAGAGAAGCATTGTAGACCAGGAGTTCTGAAAGTTGTGGTTTCAAGACCAGCAACGGCAGCTCCGAGAGACTTGTTAGAAATGCCAATTCTTCATCCCCAAGTCAGACCTCACCAATAAAAAATCTGGGGTTAGAGTGGTGATATGGTTTGGCTCTGTGTCCCCACCCAAATCTCATCTCAAATTATAATCCCCACATGTTGAGGGAGGGAGATGATTGGATCATGGGGGCGGTTTCCCCCATGCTGTTCTCGTGATACTGAGTTCTCATGAGATCTGATGGTTTTATAAGTGTTTGACAGATCCTCCTACATACACTCTCTCACCTGCTGCCATGTAAGATGTGCCTGCTTCCCCTCCACCATGATTGTAAGTTTCCTGAGTCCTCCCAGCCATGCAGAACTGTGAGTCAATTAAACCTCTTTCCTTTATAAATTACCAAGTCTCAGGTATTTCTTTATAGCAGTGTGAAAACGGACTAATCCAAGTGGGGTGGAGCTCAAGTTATCTACGGTTTTATAAGCCCTCCAGGTGATTCTGATGCATACTAAAGTGAGAGAACTATTGCTGTAGCGAATCAGATTCATGCAAGGCAAAGGGATTCAGCTGGTGGCAGACACCTGATTTGCAGTCATGGTGATTAAGAAGCATTAACTAGCATCTCAAAGGCTAACTAAGCTTTTAATCCCGGATATTAAAATAATAGCAGATAGAACAATTGGGAAAAGACAGGACATAATATGCTGGTGAATGTTGATCTCTCATTTTTAAGTGAGTCAGAGAGTGATAAATACATTCTAAGCCTCAGGAATCTCTTCTAGCTTTAATCTCTTACTCTAGCTTTTGTTTTGTTTTTCTGACTCTTTAGAGCCTCTGTGACAAAGCCATCATATTATGAGTTCTCTATAGTAGCTAATAAGTTCTACTTTGAAGTGCTGCCAACTTCCAACTCATTCAGGGCAAAAGAGTTGGTACTTGATATTTCTTTTCTCCACTCTTATAAATGGGAGAGACAATAAAATGAAGGCTTTGGGGAATGATTCATTCCCCAAACTTGTTATTGAGCATCTACCACAGGTTAGACGATATTGGATACTAAAAATTCAAAGATAGAATAGCAGTTATTTTCCTCAAGGAACATACAGTCTATTAGGGAGACAGACATAACAAATAAATAATTTCACTGCAATATGCTGCCTTGCATAATGGAGGCATAAAATGATCATTTATTATAACTGGCCTGACAGTGGTTTGAAGATGAGAATAACAAGAAAAGAAGACAAGTAAGAAGCTACTGGAACATTTTAACCAAGAGGCTAAATAGTGGCAAAAGCTAGAAGGGACATCTGTGTGAGCATTTTCTTTCTTTCTTTCTTAATTTTTTGTTTCTTTGGGGGTTTTTTGTGGTAAGCATCTTGTAAAGCACAATAATTTATAATCAGTGATTGATCCCATTGTACCCACTGAAAGTAAGAAGTGACTCAGGATATCCAAAATAAGTTTCTAAACATTCTCTGACTTTGGGAGGTTTCTGAAAGTCATGTTTTTAACTATGCAATAAGTGTCTGATGCTTCTCAACATGCCCTTTTTATTATCTCCAGCATTCCATGACTATACTGTTTATGCTAGTATTATGCTTAATTAAGCACCACGACAATACCAATAAGAGTCTGAAAGCAAGACGTGGCACAGATCATCCAAAAATGTAGCTATCCTGGCAAGCTGAGGATAAACCTTGCAAAAAAAAAAAAGCTGCTTCCCAGAAGTTGTTTTCTCTTTAATTAAGATTCAAACGTAAAAGGTTGTATTCCAAGGATAAATGAACATAGTGATCAAGATTATGTTAGTAGTCTCAAGCATTTAGAAATACAATACCAGGGTTACTGTTTTTCCACACCAATAATGGTATGCAGCTTCGTATAATTGGGAAGGGTACCTTTATGCTTTATGAACAGACCATAGGAAAGAGGGCCTCCTAGAAGCATGATTTTCTCCAGGGATCCTTTTCTAACCCTCTCAGCCTGAGATGGTTCCTTCCCAACTTCCCACGTTCTTTTAGAACTCTTCATACCTTTCAGTCATAGCAATCATCTCTCTAAATTGTAGTTACTGATTTATTGTCCCCCACCAATAAAAACCAGAAGGGTATTTGGGATATGTTTCCTTACATGACCATCAATCTTCTTAGCCATTCATTCACTCATTCATTCAAACCATATGTCAAGGTGTTTTGGACACTGGGGGTATAGAATTGGGAAAGACAGACAAACTCAGCTGATAAGGAACTAAAGACCTAGTGAAAGGAGAGAGATAGTTCAACACATAAGCAGGTAAATAAACAAATGACTGCAGAGAGTGGTAAATGCTACACAATTAACAAAAAAAAAGGCAATGGGGTAGAAAGAAATGGGGTAGGGGAGGGATCCTTTGGCGGGAGTGTTCAGAGCAGGGCTTCCTGAGATGGTGACTTTTGAGCTGAGACCTGTCATCATGAGAAGATCTAGGAAAAAGAGCACTCCAGGCAGAAGGAACTGGAAATGCACAGGCCCTGAGACTTCCTGTGCTTGGAAATCTTGAGAAATGGAAAGAAAGCTTACTCAGAACACAGCTGTAGGCGTGAGTTGGGGAGAAGAGTGGTAGATGAGGGTGGAGAGGTGGACAGACTCTAGAACATGCTGGCTGGGCCTTACTTGTAGATTATATTAAGAACAGAAGATTTTGTTCTAAATTAATAAAAAAAAAAATCTGCTCCAGACATCAGCCTGCTGACAACCACCTGTGCTGGTGGGTTGTTGGCAGGCTGATGTCTGGATCAGATTTACAATTTAAAAAGAACACTCTGACCATTATATGGAGCACAAAAGAAGGTATACTATTTAGGAGGTAGCTGCTGATGTCCGTGGAAGGATGGCTTGGACCAGGGCTGAGCAGTGTGGGTGGCAAGAAGCGTGTTCAGATTTGGAGGTTTTGCCAATGGGACCTGCTGATGAAGTAAGCTGTGAAGGAACAGAGTATGACTCTCAGGCTTTGGCTTTAAGCAAGTGGCTAGATGGTGGTGCCATTTTCTGAGACTATATGAGGAACAGATTGGGAAGGGGGATATCAAATCAAGTGTTCGGTTTGGACACGTTGAGTTTGAGAGGCCTATTAAACGTCCACACCTAGTGAAAGGGTTTACTAACCCAGAGCAAATCAAAAGGTGGAGGTTCCCCTTAATATTTTTCTACCGCTGTGAAAAAGCAGTTAGAATCTTGGCCCTTGGAGGGAGAATGACCTGAGTTTGTACCCCAGTTTTCCTACATAACCATTTTGGATAACTGTTCTGTTTGAGCCTTAGTTTCCGTATCTGGCAAATATATCTATATCATGGGATTATTGTGAAGATTAAATCAGATCATGGATGTGGTATATTTATAGAGTACCTGGACCACACTGAGTGCTGAAAAATGATACCACAAACTGACGGCTATAATGGTGGTGATGAGGCAGTGCTTAAGGTGACAAGTGCAGAGGGAGGTTTCACTGCCAAGAAGAAAAAGCTGTGTCCACTGCACTGAGTACTGTATCAGGAGGGACAGGAAGTCGATTTCTTACTAAGCAAGGCCTTTCTTCTCAGGCTTTAAGCTTCTAGTGCTTCAGGTATTACAAGGGCCAAGCCTATTGACCAGCCACCATACTACAATAGATTCATCCGCCTCGGCCTCCCAAAGTGCTGGGATTACAGGTGTGAACCACCATGCCCGGCCTGGCACTGATAAAAAATGCTGTAACTCAGTCAGGCCTGGCACTGATAATTCTTATAAA
This sequence comes from Homo sapiens, assembly GCF_000001405.40. Lineage (NCBI taxonomy): Eukaryota > Metazoa > Chordata > Mammalia > Primates > Hominidae > Homo > Homo sapiens. Next base: position 168,571,886 of record NC_000004.12, on the reverse strand, counting down.
CAAAAATGCTGTAACTCAGTCATCTACAGTAGTCTCGAGGCAATAGAATTATTCAGAACATTAACTTCTCTTCAGGTTTAAAATCTACAGAGAAAGCTTTAAGATTCTTTGGCTTAGTAGTCTACTCAATAAGCAGTTGTGGAAGGCTGATGTTCATAGCATGAAATTTACCTTCAAGAATCTTGCATTCTGCCGATAAAACCAGATTTCTAAAGAATGCTAAAAATTGTCAACAGACAAGGAGAATACAGAGAACTGAGTGGCTTGACTTCTATAGTTTTACAAATTCTCGATCTGTGAAAAGTAACACATTTTGGGAGTCAACTGGAATTTAAATGAAGTCAGGGATTGCAATTAAAATTTTTTCCTTAGATATACTTAAAAACTTCTAATTGAATGGTTGATAAGTTACGTAAATATTAAGCTAACCTAAGAATTGTGAATGGAAGAAAACTTTTCCAGTTTCAGGTATGTAATGAGTCAACTATCAAAGCAGATAAATTTGATTGATAACTTGGACATAGTGCTTACGTTTAGGGGAAAAAAGTTATCTTAGTTTTAAAATGGATCCAGCTAGAATCTTCTACTTACAGTTCACAGAATCACACATAGAGTAAATAGATGAATGAACTGGTAAGTTTTAGAGCATGTGGTGCAGAATAAATGAAGCAGAAGGAAAAGAGGGAAGAAACTCTGGAAAGCTTCTGGGAGAAAGGAGAACTGAATGGTAAAGAAGGCAACGGTGGTTAGGATGAAATGCAAAGAAAATTCATGGACTGCAAGGTTTTAAAAGCTCTCTATGTTTTTTCTTTAGATGAGAACCCTGCCATTATTTTCAAAGAAGAGAGCCAAAGAAATAAGCTCCAGAGAATAAAAATCAAGATTACAAAACCAAGTCAGGCATAGAGCCTAAATAAATGCTTCACAAGGCATAGATTTATATTCACCTCTTTGTTATTCCCTAAAATGTGATTTGAGAATAAATGTGGATAGGAGAAAACTTTTCCAGTTTTAGGGATGTTGGAGGATAAGAACTGATCAATATTCAGGAATTAACCAAGAGTGTCAATCCAGGACAAAAATGAATGTGAACAGCTGTGTTTCCCAATTTGACTTCAGGACATTGGATCTTTAGTATTTCCATAATATGACTATAAAAAAATGTCCCTCTAGCCTTATTGCTTTCCTTAATGGATAATGCTTTTGGCTTGGATCTTTGTGTGGAAAAAAGGATCTTTTGTCTCATAAAATGTTACAGATGCTTCTATGGTAACACATTTTAATTTTATTCCTATCTCAGAAGATAAACATGGAAAAGTGCAATTGGCAATTTAATCTAATATTTAGCATTAGCTTTAAGTCCACAGAGCATTTTGGTTTTTGTTTTAAAGGAACATTGGCACTTTTGTTAACCTGCTGTACTCAATTAAGCAAAATCCTGAAGGCGTGTCTAAAAGGTATTACTTTGCCAACTTAAAAATACCATGTGGCCAAGTTTTAAAACCCGTAAGGGAAAGAAAGCATGCCACTTCTAGGACAAAATTCTTAGGTGGCCAGAATGGGTTTGTATTTATGGGAATTTTCTTCTGGGCTAAAAACAAAAACCAAACATTTCAGCATTTACAAAGACAGTATCTATTTGGTTTGAAATAAAATCCGCCCGTTAAATAGACAGACAATTATTGAATGGTTGTTCTAGTAGTAAGCCCCGCAACATATTGCAGTAAAACTTTTGACAGTAAAGTAAGTTGTTTACTTTGTACTCGGTAAATAACCAAGGTTATTGCATTCGGAGGCTGTAATTTGAAGCCCGGTTCCCTGTTGAATTACAACGATATACATTTACACGGTAGATAAAGGCTTCCATACTTGCCAGCATCATAAAGCAAGGCAAAAAGCACAAGAAGGGAAGAGACAGGAAACGTGGTCAATATTGCTTGGCAGGAATTAAAATCCTGTGACGTTTCTTCTAGAATTGCAAAGAGACACAAGCCCCTGATTGTATTTTTCAAAAGCCATCAGTCCCACTTCACAATTTTTATTATTTTCTAGGCAGCAGAAGAGTTAATGAAGGGTGTGGTCAATTTATACAAAGTTTCAGTTACAAACCTGCGGGGGTCAAGTCTGATGTAGATTCACCATATGCCGCACTAACCAGTTCCAGAGCACATTTGGCCTGCATCTCAGACAAGAATCCTGATTCATTCATTACATGATTAGAGAACGTGCAGCCTGCTTAATTTTAGTTATCTTAGAGATCTTTTTAGAATAATAAAAATCATCACCGTTACTGATTCATACACTGACATTTAGAAATTTCCATAATGAGTGTACTAACACTACAGCCCTTTTGAAATACCACAACATATGCAAGTTGCTAGTAATTAAACTGAAGTGCCTACCTAAGTTGTTCTTGAAGCAAACTTCAGCCCTTTGTAATATTTTCCCTTCATAAAAGTCCCCAAGTATTTACAGTCTGTAGATGAGATCATTCTCTTGAAATGGTAGGATTAAATGAGAAGGCGAATGAGAGTCAAAGAGAGGTTGTTCACACTAACACTACTCGTATTGAAAAGATTCCACGGCACTATCTCAGTTCTCATTGGTCACTTGGCGGGCTGGAACAATATTTGCTCCAGTTGCTATGTAGAGGGGAGTGGCTGCCAGTTCACTTCACTAATGAGCCTGAACCTGTCCTCTGCAGATAAGAGTAGCTATTGTTTGAGTTAATGTGCTTGCTGATAAGATGCTCACCAAGGCAGGTAAAGGAGATATTTTTCTTTTGTAAACATCTGTAGAGCTGCTACAGATATTTCTCTGTCACTGTCCGAATTTTAACAGCTGTTGCAAAAAGTAAACCAGACCAGGAGATAATTTCTTTCCTTTCTTTCTTTTTTTTAAATTAGTCTTTCCTTCTTCAGGAAGGCACATCTATCTAAAAGATCACACTTAAATGTTTTCCTAAAAAGGACACTATCCTTAAAATATAGAACAACTCACACACCCCAACTCTGAAAACCAATTACAATATATTTAAAGCATTCCATGGTACTATTTTATAGATATATAATACATTTGTAGAATACATATATTATATATAATATGCATATATAAATATTTACATATAAAATATACATATATACCTACATACACACATATATTTGTGGAAGTTATTTTAGGAAAAATTTCCCAAATTTCAAATGAAGTAGTTTGGATTTGCAGGTACCTTATACATACACAAACCCCATCACTAAAGTGTGTGTGAGCATACATAATGCACACATAAGTATGAAAGTTTGAATAATACAGGACTAATGTAAAGCACATGTCAATTTAGGCAGGGTTTAAAAAAATTTAAAGACAGATGTTTTTCTTTTTGCATTTAGAGAAATACCCTATTTTTTTCAATTTATACTCACCATATGCATTTTTGTGGGATTGTGTGAAGGAAAGACTTCAAATCCTGAATTGAACTTCATATAATGAACAGAGGTACATGAAAACAAGAATATTCAATATGCCTTTAATGACCAATTTTTAGTGTACCCAATACCATGAGAAAAATGGAATAAATTGCTTAACAAGTAGGATGCTTTTCAGTGTTCTGCTATAGAATTTCTAAAAATGATCAATTATGATGGAAATTATCTATGTACCTCTAATTTTCTCTTTATCACTAGGTCGATAAAGCCTAATGATTTTTTTGCTATATATTTATTGGTTACTAATAGAAATAAAAACTAATAAACTAATATATTCATAAAACCAAAAGGGCCCATGTTGCTTTAAACTCTGGCCTAGAATAGTAAGAAATTTCAGCTTTTATTTAGAGTATTTTTAAAAACTAAAATGAAAAATATTTGTAGATAATTGAAAAGAATCTCAATAGATAATCCAATGGAAAAGTTTGATTTTTTAAAATCACTTCTTTTTTAAAAAACTTTATAGATTTAGGGGATACAAATGTAGTTTTATTATATGGACATATTATGTAGTGGTACAGTCTTGGCTTTTAGTATACCCATCACCCAAATAGCGTACATTGTACCCGATAGGTAATTTTTCATCCCCCCTCCCATCCTCCCACCTTTTGGAGTCTCCATTGTATATTATTCCATTCACTATGTCCATGTGTACAGATTGTTTAGCTCCCACTTATAAGTGAGAACATGTAGCATTTGACTTTGTGTTTCTGAGTCATTTCACTTAGGATAATGGCCTCCAGTTTCATTCTTTTTTATGGCTGAGTAGTATTCCATGGTGTACATGTGTGTATATTATATATATTATATATAATGTATAATATATATATCTACATACACACACACACACACACACACACACCACATTTTCTTTATCCAATCAACCATTGATGGACATTGGACACTTAGGTTGATTCCACAATTTTGCTTTCCATTTGCTTTGTGGTTTTAATTTATATTTCTCTGATGATTAGTAATGTTGAGCATTTTTTCATATGTTTTTTGGCCATTTGTGTGTCTTCTGTTGAAAAATGTCTGTTGATTCCTTTGTCTACTTCTTCATAGAGTTGTTTATTTCTTATTGAGTTGTTTGAGTTTCTTGTAGATTCCAATTATTAGTCGTTTGTCAGATGCCTAGTCTGCTAATATTTTCTCCCATTCTGTAGGTTGTCTGTTTACTCTGTTGACTGCTTCTTTTGCTGTGCAGAAGCTTTTTAGTTAAACTAAATCTTATTTGTCTATTTTTGTTTTTATAAAAATAATTTTTTAACTCAAACATGTGAGAACCACATGATGCTACTAAAATTTGGCTACTTACAAAATGGAGCTACAGAGACAACTCACTGTTCAAGTAAGGTAATAAATGCTCATAGCTAGAAAAAGTGCTGCAGAATGTGGTTCCAGTTGTTTTTCTGTGTTGCCTCCTCAATTAAGACAACATGTTTCCTGAGGAAGTTTTGAAAGAACAATCTGGTGTATCTCTGGCTTCACTGCATTTGCTGATCTCTGTTGGGCCTGACCAATCCACACTATCCAGAAACACCTCATCATGTGTTCATGAAAAACACACAAATAAATGAGCCCAATGTTTATATTAATATGCAGATTTCTTCTGCTTAGCACTTTATTTTAATAGCTGGTTAAAACTAAGAGTATAGGAAAATAATGAGATGGTAATCCTCACGCCACTGTAGAAAGAAGCATGCTAACAACAATATGTTTATTGAACAGAACATGTTTGTATCTTCATGGACTCTTCATGGACTCAAGAATCAGTACAATTTCCATGACATAAATATGTGGAGATAGCTGAGCATGGTGGCTTATCCCTGTAATCCCAGCATTTTCAGAGGCTGGGGTAGGAGGAACTCATAGGACTAGGAGTTTGAGACCAGCCTGGGCAGCATAGGGAGACCCCGTCTCGACAAAAATATAAAAAATTAGCCGGGCTTGGTGGCTCATGCCTGTAGCTCCAGCTACTTAGGAGGCTGAGGTAGGAGGATTGATTGACCCTGGGAGATCAAGGTTGTAGTGAGCTGTGATCGACCATTGCATTCCAGCCTGGGTGATACTGTGAGACTCTGTCTCAAAATTAAAAATAAATAAATAAATTAGTGGAATTGATTAGTATAGATAAATGTCTCCCTGTGAAAAACTGAAAGAATTGTATTCTTTAAAACAAGGTCTAAATCTAGAAAAGAAGGTAAGCTGAGTTTGGTGTTTCTAAAAATAGATTACTTTCTAATAACTGATACCTTAGCACTCCTGAAGAATATTTTCTGTGGGATGATGGCCAAAGAGATTGGCTAAGTGCTAAGAGACTATATTATTTATCCTATGTTATCTCTGACCTGTTTTGCACTATTATAACCAATAGTATCCAGAATTCAGTCACAGGACAGGTCAAAAGTTCTAAGAGTATTTTAAGGAAGAAAAAAAAATCCACACCATTATATAACACAAAACACACTAATTCTGCAACAGCCACTAGCATTATTTGGCTAGATTTAGAAGTCAAAATTTTCTCAAGGCTATAAAATTTCATGGAGCATTAAAAAAATATGACAAGGAATCAGCTTTTCAATTATGACAGCTTTACCTTTCAATTCAATACAGATTCTTTTTTATGAGCTCTTCTTTTTCATGAAGTGGGGTGATGGTGACAATGTAAAGTATATTATTCACTAATAAACTAGTAATACCATGAAGCAGAATTGAGCTTCTAGGAGTGGTCTTCTCGGAGTGTAAATCTGCACCTGTGTTTTCCTGCTGGAGGACCTCCTGGCTTTCCCTTGACCTCCAGATGACATTAGACCTGGCCACCTGACCTCCCCAGTCTCCTCATGTGCCTCTCTCTGGAGCTCCTCTGGCTTAAGTCAAGCTGGATAGGTTTTAGCTGAATGAATGCACCGTGTTCTTTCTTACCTCCAGGTTTGGTTTTCTTGGTCTGGAACACCTTCCTTCCTGACTTATCTCTAAGCCTCCTGCAGAGGTGTTGCATCTCCCCCAGCTCTGTGCTGCACTCATCACATGTGTAATTACTTGTGCCGAGAGCATGGAATGGTCTCTAAATATCCCCTTGTATCCCCAGAGGCTACTGAAACATCTAGCCTATAATAAACATTCAATGAATATTTGTTTAATGAATGTAAGTTTGAACAGGAATAGTTGCTTTTGTTGGTGGCATTGGTCAGAAAAAAAAAAGTGAAAGACTAAAGCTTCTTTTCCTTCTATTGTTTGAGATAGGGTCTCATTTTCCTCCCAGGATCACTGCTGCCTTGACCTCCTGGGTTCAATCCATCTGCTGCCTCAGCCTCCTGAGTAGCTGGGACTACAGGCATGTGCCACCATGCCCAGCGAATTTTTTTTTTTTTTTTTTTTGGTAGAGATGGGGTTTCACCATGTTGCTCAGGCTGGTCTCCTAGGCTCAAGCAACCTGCCTGCCTTGGCCTCCCAAAGTGCTGGGATTACGGGCATGAGCCACTGCACCCAGCCAAGTTTTCTTAAGGGTAATATAATGTTAAATTTAAGAAAGTATGTGGTCCCCTTATGGGAGCAAATATGAGGGTGGATCTGCTTTTGATCAATGTAGAGACCTATGACTTAATCTATAGTGATTTTCTCTAAAAACATAAATATATAAACTTGAAATGAATAATTACATTAATGTCCTTGAGATCCCAGAGAAATTCATTTTGTGCATATATAATAGTACATGTAATTTATATAGGCTGTTATTTTATTACCATAGGTTTAGCCCCCAAATGTTTAAATCCTCCATGGATTTCTGTCATTAGTCTCAGTCAAGAATTTTAATAGGCATTATATAATCCCTCCTCGACCATATATAGAAAACATCTTGTTTAGTCTATCCACAATTTTAGATTATTTCATCTTTTCTAGTAAGACCTTGAAGAGCAATGCATTTCATTTGTATTTCTATCTGTGCCTAACAGTGTTATGTCATAGACACTGAACAGATCCTTGCTAAGTAGACAAAGAAATAAATGTAATATGCAGTTATATGTTTATAGAAAAAATTGTGAAGAGATGAAATGCTAACGTCATGGTAGGTTGAAGGAGAATAGGTCACCTCACTTGAGACACTGGTTATGTTGGAGTCTACGTGACCTTATCTAACCTCACCTCGCCTCTAAGAAGCACTGGCTTTATTAACATTTGAACAAAAGACCTAGAAATGTTAATTCAGGTATCTCAGTAACTGTTGAGTGAATTCCCTGTGAGTCACATTTGGATACTATGAACTATGATAATGTCATAGTAAAGGACAGCTAGGCTCAGAATAAAACTCTCATCTTCTCATCCTAATGAAGCCCAGAGAGATTTTCTTCCATGTGGACAGACAATGGAGACTGGGAAGGGTGAAGGCTGGGAGAAGGGTGATGAAGGCAGACTACTTAATGGGTACGAGGTGTATTATCTGAGTGATGGATACCCTAAAAGCTCTGACTTAAACACTACAAAATCTATGCATGTCACAAAATTACACTTGTACCCCATAAATTCATATGAATAAGTTTTTATTAAAAATGTTTTTCTTCCACAGAACTAGAGTTGCTTCACAATTCTTGGTCATTAGTAGAACACAGACAGACAATCAATGCCTTGAGAAAGAGATTTATATAATGGAGAACTACCTGTTCTTGGAAAATCTTAGCTTGTAACTCACATCACATCAAGCAAAAGTTTTTTATAATGCATTATATATATAAATAGGGAACATTACCACTTTTTCATATGACTTTAACTGATAATGAACAGTTTGACCTTGCTAAAATGTCACACTTGAAAATCTACATTCATTTAAAAGACAAATTAAAATTACTAACAAAAGAAAAGGCTGAAGAGGAAAATTGGCAAATAGTTTTATATGTAATATTTTTGGGGTTTCTTGATGTGCTCAGTTTTACTGAGATTTGACTTTAATCATGGAGATGGAGTGATGTAATAGAAAGATATCTGACTGACAGCATGATGTTTCTGGTTATGGTCTATGTGTCTTTAAATGATAGAGAACCTCAAGGCTCTGCCTAAGTCTCATTTCCTAGCAGAAAAGACATGCCTTTAACTGCCTTATGTAAGCCACTTCTGATCCCTTTCCCCCGAGCTCCAGATTCTTACGTACAACTGCTCTGAGATCACTAGTCAGATGCCTAATAGGTATCTCCAACTTAACATGTCTAAAACAGAAGCTTGACACCAACTGTCTTCTCAACCACCTGCCTGTGAAACCTGCCCACCCACCAGTTGTTCCCATTTCAGCTAACAGATCCACTATCCACTCACTTGCTCAGGCCCCAAATCATTATTTATTCTTCTGTCCGCCACTCCCCACAAACAATCTTCCAGGAAGTTCTTCCAGCTCTCTCTCTAAAAATATACCGCAAATCCAACTTCTTTTCACCATCTCCACTTCTATTTTCCGTTTGGATTCACTCATCTCTTGCCTTTCACATACCCTTCTATATAGTCCATTCTCTACACAAACGATGGAGCTGCAGGCATCTTCTGAAAACAAAACTTAGATCACTCTTCTCTCTTAGAATCATCTAATGGCTTCCCATTGCAATTAGAATGAGGGCCAACCTCCTTTCCACGGCCTAGAGTCCCCACACGGCTCCATTCTTTTCAGGGTCACCTCCTGGACCCTCCATGTTCAGCCACACTGGCCTCCTTCCCTCTCTTCAAACATGCCTGTCTCATTCCCATTTCAGTGCCTTTCTCTACTGGTTTTCTTTTCCAGCAACACTTTCCTCTCAGCTGAACTATTTCTTTCTCAGGGAGATCTCCCCTGACCACACCACCTAAAGTAATCCTGTAGTCCTGGTTACTTTCCAGCCTGCATCTTTATCTTTTTCAAGAACTTAACACCATTTAAAATTACATTACTTACTTATTTGTTTATGTATTTGCTATCTTTTTCCTCTTGCCAGCACATAAACTTGAAGGCAGAAACCTAATCTGTCTTGTTCATAGCGATATCTCCAGTGCTTAGAACACAGACTTACTCCTGAACTTCTTTAATGATGGATGAATGAATGAATCTCAGGCTGTACTTACCTCCTCTGTGCCTTTGTTTGCTACTTTAAACACTGGTAGGTTTAGAAATAATATATGTAAATCACCTAGTACAGTGCCAGAAATATAAAAGGCACAGAACAGATATTCGGTGACTGTAGAAATGATGTTCTTCCTATGACTCATGGCACATACTGGAAGGTAATTTGATAGAGTGAAAAGAGGCTTAGAATTAGAAGTACGGTGTCTGCATTCCTTTTTTTTTTTTATCCTTGTGACCTTTGAGCCAATCTTTCCACTTCTCTGAGTTTTAAGTTCATCACCTGTAGATAATAATCCAGCTGTTATGAGAATAAATATTTAGGCAATGTCTGTAAAAGTGCCTTGTAAAGTGTAAAGTGCTGAGCAAATACATGTAATTTAAATATTATTATCATATGGAAATATCTGTTGATTAGTGGAGGGAAAAGTCACGGTAGCTCTTTTTTTTCCCACGGACATTCCTCCTGAAATAATTAAGTTTATATATGTTGAAGTCTCAATACTGGCCTCATTTCAGATGAACTACTTCCCCCGAATATCAATGGATGGGAACCACTCTACTTCAAGTAAAGCTAAGCTTTGGAAATCCTCTTTAAAGGGTTAGAAAAATAATAAGAGAAGTTTGAATAATCTGTGAGTTATATGCATGAATGAAGATTAAGAAAAATAAGTTAAGAAAAAAGCGTATGAATATGTTTTGAATATATTTTTTCTAACTTGAAAAGGATTTTTGAAAGTTGGTCATCTGGGGCTGGGCACAGAGGTGCAGACCTGTAGTCCCAGAGCTTTGGGAGGCCAAGGCAGGTGGATCACTTTAGGCCAGGAGTTCACGATCAGCCAAGTCAATATAGCAAGACCCCTATTTCCAAAAAAAAATTTAAAAATTAGCTGAGCACAATGGTCCATTCTCTGTAGTAGCCTGTAGTCCCAGCTACTTGGGAGGCTGAGGTAAGAGGATCGTTTAACCCTAGAACGTGGAGGCTACAGTGAGCTGTGATTGTGGCACTGCACTCTAGCCTGGGCGATAGAGTGAGGCCCTGTTTCAAAAAGAGAGAGAGAAAAAAAAAGAAAATTGGTCGTCTGCTTATTAGCCCTTATTAGGTAGTGTATCTGTCTATAGCAACTTTGGGAAAGGAAGGGGTCTTGGTGGTGATTTGGGCTTCACTGACTTATCCTTGACTGCATCCAGGGAGGCCTCAGAGCACAGAACCCAACAGAACTGGGTTGATATAGGGCTGCTCATGTCTCACTGTCATCATCTTGGCTCCAGGGCATAATAACAGGCACTGAAATGCCTCCCTCTTGACTGCAGATGTGTTTTCCTACTTTTCCACTGACAGTGCTTCCTCTATTATTGCAGGCAACTCTGCTTTTCAAAGCAAATAAATCATAACCAACAGCTTAGTTATGCTAGAGTACTTGTGTGTATGTATGCACTTTAAAAATAGAATAAAATATTTGCCCATATCCAGAGTGGGCATTCAACTGGTAGGTCAGCTTTCTGTGAATATGGATATAAGGGTTAAAGCTTCCTAAAGACAGGGTTAGACCTGCCTTCCACAAAACTAATAGGTTTGGTGCTTATGACAGTACCTGGCACTTACTAGGAACTCAAATGTTGGTTGAATACATGTCTGACTGGGTTAATGAGCTTCTTCTCTGATCTCCTGACAGCTTGATACAGAAACCGGTACTATGGGGACAGAGACTGCTTGGGAAAGTGCTATGAATCACTTAAATCATTTTAGGATCATTTAATTCATTTGGATTACTAAGAGTAATTTCTTGATACTCATACTCTTCGTCTTCCAATTTAAATGAAACTTTTAAGAGAAAGTTTCAAAAGAAATCTGTCTGGTTCAAATTATGTGTGAACCTGATACTAGGAACTGCTGAGTAGTTTCAGATTACACTGTCAACATTGTGCACAGTTCTAGTGCTTTCCAGCGTCTGCCTTGTTTCCAGCTGCAGTGTTACTGGACAAGAAGAACTTCATTCTTAAAGGATTCAGTAAGGTGATGGGTGTCACTGTGAAAAGCAAGCAACTGGCCTTGCAGAATGAGACAGTTTTCTTGTTTGAGAGGTCATGTACTTCACTTAGGGTACCTGAACTATTTTATTGAACAACAAGCTAGAAATCTAATTATGGGTCTTCAGAAAGAACATTCTACAACCCATTTCAGCTCATGTCTGTCATGAAGTTGCTGCATTGATCATTACACCCCTTTATACTCTACCTGACAGCATATATTGAGGGTACCTTGAATTACTTCTAGGAAATATACATTGAAATTTGTAAGATGCTATTTGAATTTCATATGAACTCAAATATTATTTTTAAAAGCGCCAGGTAAAATTCACTGGTTTATATACTGCTTGCTTGCATGCTCTCTCTCTCTCTCTTTCTCTTTTTTTTTCTCTCTCTCTTTCTTTCTTTTTGAGACCCGGTTTCACTCTGTTGCCCAGGCTAGAGTGCAGTGGTGTGATCACAGCTCACTGCAAGCTCAACTTCCCTGGGTAGCCGGTACTACAGGCAGGTGCCTGTAGTAGCTAGGCACACTACCATATCTGGCTAATTTTTGTATTTTTTGTAGAGATGGGGTTTCGCCATGTTGCCCAGGCCTGTCTCGACCTCCTGGGCTCAAGCAATCCACCCACCTCGGCCTCTCAAAGTGCTGAGATTATAGGTGTGAGCCACCACACCCAGCCTATGTATTGCTTTCTTGATAAGACTCAAAAGTTCTCTGCAAATGGCTCTGATATTATCACTATAATAATGTTCTTTTACTTGAAATGTGCATATTTAAACATGTTATCTTAAAATTTTTCAGCTATGTTTGAATTTTGATATAATTCCATTTCTAGTGATTAAAATTCAGTGTCAAGGTGGGGGCATAGTTTACTCGTTCATGAGCAAATAGTTTCTGTATCATTTATCAGAAGGGTTGGGTCAATATCTCATGCTCTGTACCTTTAATGATCCTTCTTTTCAGCAAAACTGACCTGATCTTCTCTATTTGTGTATAGTCTTGCTGTGGCGTTGGCTGGCTAACTTGTTAAACTAATTAGAGTTTTCAGAGGCTAAACAGTCAACATGAAGTGACTGAAGAATCTTAAGGCAGATACATCGGGGGAAATACAGTGTAAAAATCTTGTTATGGCTAAAAATCCAGAGTTCCATTTACACTTTACTATGTTTTTCCAGAGAAAATATTTCTGCTTCTGTTAAGTCATTTGTAATTCAGGGTGAGTTAAAAGGGGGAGATTTCATGTTGGAACTAAAAGAAACTATATTAGGGTAAATCAAATCATATGGATAATCTATTCATTCCAACCTAGTCCTGTAATAACCTCTCAGTCTGTGATTTCAATTGCTATGTGGAAAGTTACATTATAATTTGAACCTTGTCATTTTATAAACAGAGAAAAAAGACACACCTAGGTCATGTTTTACAATAAATGGCAAATCATTATTGCTTCCTTTGGTATTTCCTTTGTAATGTTGATTATGATGAACTCCTGGCACCATGACAATAAATGGCATTCCAAAGAAATTCCATTTTCACTTATGTAACAGGATGTTAGAATGGGGCTCCTCTGGTCTCTGCTTCAATGGAAGCACAAGCATGGTGGTGGATAATGGGTACCCACGTGTATCTGAGACAGATCCATATATTTGGATTTTCAAAGAAAGGAATTAAAAACCAGTTCCAAGACTCTTGGGCCCTTCAGCGCATCAAGGATATAAAAAGTGGTCAGAGTTCGGAGAGGGAAGAAGGGCTGGTGAAGAGACTCACTTGGAGAGAGCTGCTGCCAGGCACGTTTCTGTTTGTGAAAGAGCTGAGGGAGGGGTGTTATCTCCAAACCATAAGCCTGGTGATGGAGGAAGGGCCACCTCTACCGCTTTGAAATGCCTTCCTTGCATGTGGGATACCCAGAGGGCTGGCGCCTGACTCCTGCCTGAGAAAGGTAAAGTGTACCATGGACTGGGGTCTAACCTGTCCTGGAAAGTTTCACAGGAAAGGAGATCTGAGTGCCTTTGTGTGGAGGAGCCAGGGAAGCGCTGATCTGCCAGCACTGGTTTTCACTTGCAGTTTGGGGGCCAGAGCTGGGGGATGAGTAAACATGGGACATGAAGGATGGAGCTGCTGTTGGTACAACACAGTAGCCCGTAGGGGTGAGAGGTGACCTCATCAGAAAAAGGCTGAAGATGAGGAACTGATTTGCAGGAGCTGAGGAAGGAGTCCCAAATGGCCATTGGTAATGAGGAGACGAAGGGCTCTGCATAGGCTCTGTAGAGCCTACAAAGCACTCAATGAGAAAAAGAGCTGGTTTTAGCCATCACCAGGACCAGAGAGAGCAAAGCTACCCAGCCAAGTAAGGATTGTCCTATCTCCCCACCTTCCCTCCCTTTCCCACATCCCTGCTGGTAGGAAGTGCACAGACAGGGGTGAGCAGGGAGAGATTAACAGCAGGAGGGAATCCCCCTGCTCACAGCTGACTCAAGCCTGAAGTAGGTCCTAACTGGGGTAGGGGAGAAAATCTCATACCACAACAAGCTCAGAGGTTTGAGAATTACATGGGATTAGGCCTTCTTACTACTGAAGGAGACCGTGCTTGAGATTTAATGCACATGTAGGGCACCTTACGTAACAGTGGATAGTGTCTATGTGTTTCCACATTGGGACACAGGAAGATTACTGCAGTCCAATGGAATAAGTTTAAAGGGGTAGGGGACAAGAGGAATTGATTATGATTTGTTTACTTCTTGAGTTGTCCTAGTCCAACATATTGATTATGCCTGGAATGAACTAATGAATATGATTTAATGGCTGTAGTTTCAAAGTTAATGCTTACAGAGAGAAATAGAAGAAATAGTACAATAGGGATCCGTTGCTTGGAAATGGTCTAAGATTTGTTGGAATATTCTCAGATGCATGGAACTCTATAGGGCAAACGTATATTGAACGAACAAGTGGAGGCCGGGAGTGGTGGCTCACGCCTGTAATCCCAGCACTTTGGGAGGCTGAGATGGGCAGATCACCTGAGGTCACGAGTTTGAGACCAGACTGGCCAACATGGTGAAACCCCATCTCTACTAAAAATACAAAAATTACTGAGATGAGGTGGCACACACCTGTAATCCCAGCTACTCGGGAGGCTGAGGAAGGAGAATTGCTTGAAGCCGGGAGGTGGAGGTTGCAGTGAGCCAAGATCCCGTCACTGCACTCCAGCCTGGGCAACAGAGCGAGACTCTGTCTCAAAACAAAACAAAACAAAACAAAACAAAAACAAGTGGAAATGTGAGTTGAGAGCCCATTGAATACTGACAGTTCCCGGGGGAGGCTGATTACAGGAACACTTGCTCTGCTTCCTGCCTTCTAATCTGTGCAGGGAGCTGTCTAGAATAAAGTAGGGCTATAAACCACAGGCAGAAGTAGCCACTTCTTCTAGGCTTCATGCCTTAGTCACGAGAGTATGGAGTACCCTGCACCTAAGAGGCAAAGAGACATCGGGGCAGCCCCAAGGTGTGACACTTTTCCTCCCATCTTTTTCTCTAGCACAAATTTCTGTACTTTCATATTTTC
This sequence comes from Homo sapiens, assembly GCF_000001405.40. NCBI lineage: Eukaryota > Metazoa > Chordata > Mammalia > Primates > Hominidae > Homo > Homo sapiens. The sequence continues at coordinate 168,556,735 of NC_000004.12, read as the reverse complement.
TCAGTCTTTTTTGTTAGGCTGGTTTGAATTAAGATGTTAAGACTGATAGTAACAATGATGTTCCTCTCAAGCATGACTTAAATGACTTAAAAAATAACACAGGGTAAGAGTCCCAGACTTGTGTGGGGATGGATAGTTTGAGCTTTTAAAAGGCAGGCTACCAAGAGGTTGATTTGCACACATTGAAAGCATCCTGCTTCGCTGGTACAGGAGTTTCACTTCCGGAAAGCCCATTTTTAAAAAATGAAAAATATATGTGAATGGAAGAGGGAAAACACTTTACCTTTTTCTTCACTTCTTCTTCTTCAACTTCTGGTCCCTATTTTAAAAGGTATTAATATGGCCGGGCGCCGTGGCTTACACCTGTAATCCCAGCACTTTGGGAGGCAGAGGCGGGCGGATCACGAGGTCAGGAGATCGAGAGCATCCTGGCTAACACGGTGAAGCCCCGTTTCTACTAAAAATACAAAAAATTAGCCGGGCGTGGTGGTGGGCACCTGTAGTCCCAGCTACTCTGGAGGCCGAGGCAGGAGAATGGCGTGAACCCGGGGGGCGGAGCCTGCAGTGAGCCGAGATTGCGCCACTGCACTCCAGCCTGGGCGACAGAGTGAGACTCTGTCTCAAAAAAAAAAAGGGTATTAATATGAACTCCATTTACGAACACTGACTATACTATGTGTTAGAAGCTGTGCTAAGAGGTCTTAAACCTTTTCTCTCTCTAATCCATGATCCCGGAACTTCGGGGTGGTTCTATACACATTTTACAAATGAGGAAATGAAGATTTAAGAAGGTTAAATAGGGTGTCTTAGGTTATAGAGTTAATTTGCATCTGAGCCTGCAATCGATCCCTCTTTTTGACTGGATCCCTAGGTCTTAACAACTATGCTATCCAGAGGTAAGCTTTTGAATAATTTATTAATAAGGTGTCAAGATGGGCCATGATGCTGAATACATAAATGGATAATGAGGGATTAAATCAACTGCTTTGGAATGAACTGCATTTTGTTTCTAAATGTGTTATGCTTGGCAAGTCTATTCTGAAATGGAACAGCTGGTCTACTTACTTTTGCGGCACTCTGCCTCACCTGCTGGTTTAATTGTGTAACAGAAAGTGGAGAAAGAGATGATTGATCTGCTAATATCAGATCTTTCATTCTAATACTCATATTCAGCTATCTAAAAGGAAAATTAGAACACAATCGCCAGGCTGCTCTGGATAGAACCCAGGGAGCAGCAAGTTTTCTCAGCAAAGCGGGTCCACAGAGGGCTCGCTGCGGTGCTCAGGTCTGAATAAAGTGGTTCCACCTGCAGCAAATTACCCCTCTCCCCACCAGGCAGATTCAGCCATCTTCCTCCTTTTTAGTTAGGGAAAGGCTGGAACCTGGTATGGATTTTTCTCAGGCCTCAACCCTTAGAACCAGTTTTAGTCTTCTTTGGTTTCTGTGGTTCTATTCTCTATGCTCCGTTCCTAATCAGCCTTGACAGATACCTGCTTCGCTTTCATTGCTGGCACTTAGGACTTATTCACAAGTTCAATTCACTGGGGAAAACACCCCAGGGAACATCCTTAATATTCGTATAAATCTTTAATAATAGTAGATCTACATGTTTCTTTCTTTCATACTTCATTAGAAGACTGGACTCCAATAAAATTGAATATTTTGTTTGTTTTTTCTCCTTGCATATAAATCTCATCGTATACAAATAAAAATACAAAAATAGAAACAAAAAATCACTCAAAATTATGCCCTACGAAGGCAAACATTGTTTCCATTTTAATGTATTTTGTTCCAGTGTTTTTAATTTGTATCTTGGTATAAATATGAATAGTATAAATATAAATAGTATAAACATGATAGTATAAAAGTAAATAGTATAAATATGATAGGTTTTTCTTTAAAATATCAGTGAAGTTGTTGAGATAACCTGAAAGCTGATTATTTATTTTGGAGGGCTCTAGAATTAAATTCTGGTAGATTCTGAAATCAAGATTATTAAACGAAAGATATATAAAGCAAAATATAAAAAGGTTTCTTTATATATGGAGCATTAAAGACTTTCAAATTGCTCCATAACAAAAATCTTTTAAAAAAATTAAGAGCGTACTTAGCCTCAAATATTTTAATGTTTACCATGTCAGCATTACAACTTGTTAAATAATAATAGTCGCTTTTGTTTTAAACAATTCTAAAAATACAGGTAACATGCATTGCTGTGAGACTATGAACATCTGTGGTGACCACGGATTGGCTGACATAGAGGTGTTCAACACTTTTGCTGTAGTTTTATGGTTCTACAAATTTCTCCCCGTTAAAGATGGGATAGTGTCTTTGCTCCAGCATTGGTAGATTTCCCCACTAATCATTGGCGGTCTGAAGAGTAAGAGAGAAACTCAATAAGGGTATTGGAGAAAGTAAAAAGTGAGTTAGCTTTCCTTGCCAATAAGGAGTTCCAGGAAATATGTTCTTAATGGAGAGAAAAAAACTCAGAAAAATAAAGCAAGGAACAAGGAATGACCTAATAATAATGGTTTTTCAGGTGGCAAATATTTCATAAACAATGGTGACCAGATGTTTCCTACCCTCATAAAACAGAGCTACCGGGCTTCATGTACAAGCCGAAGGATGTCCGGCATTGAACCAGGGCTTAGTGATAGTTCCCTGTGTGCCAGGCACTGCGCTGGCCTCAGTGGGGGCTGGACAGACATGGTCTCTGCTGCCACGGACCTTGGACTCAGGGAAAGATGTGGTAAATGAACAGTTTTTAAAATCGCCGTTGTCACAAATATCAGAAGTTTCCTTCCAGAATGTAGAATTCCCTGATTCAGCAAATAAAAATAACATGATGCCCCTACCCTACCCAGAAGCCCTCTCCATTGAATGGTAGTAGGAGGGAGAGGAGAAAGAACATTCCAGTAAGAGGAAAAATGCATATTCCAAGGCACTCAGGTAGGGAAGCAGCTTGGTGCTTATCAGAATCTAAGTTAGACATAAGGAAAAACAGTCCAAAAAAACAAAGCAAGGCCAACAACAACAACAACAACAACAAAAATGGGTAAACATATCTGCATGTCTAATGATACATTTTTGAAGTACAGATTAAGAATCATTATACACAAACGTTCAGTCTAATTCACCCCAGCCTTCTTTTTCTGACAGCAATACCACAGGTTCCTTTGTAGGCAGACAGAGTTATCTTTCTTTAGTGCCAACCCAAGCACAGGAATATTCTCTCCAGTAACTTAATTTTTCTGAATCCACTGATTGCAAATATGTCACTTACTAGTTTAAACATTTTACGTTAAAAAATTTTCAATTGTAGCACTTGCATTAATGACTCTTATAAATGAATTACCTTATCTTGGACTTAGACTCTGTTTGCTTTAACTTCACCCATCTCTACCTTTTGCAGACTTTTACCAGAGCCATTACAACATTATAAGGCTTTTTTTCCCCAGACTTGCCCTCCTCACAGTCGTTTTGAGTCCCTTCATGGCTGTGGTTCCTTCTCTTACATATGGGGACAGTAAAGAATAGGTTTTCAATTAGATGGGTTTCAAATCCAAACTCCTCACTTACTGGCTAAGTAAGCTTGGGTGACTTACCTAATATCTCTGAGACTCAGTTTTCACATCTTTAAAATGGGCCAATGACACTAGAGATTTATCTTATAGGGTTGTTGGGTTATAGGTTTGTAGGGTTATAGGTTGTTGGATGTTGCCCAGCATATGAAGTATTAGCACAATGCTTAACACATATTGTCTGGGCGTGGTGGCACCCGCCTGTACTCCCAGCAGTTTGGGAGGCCAAGGCAAGCAGATTACCTGAGGTCAGGAGTTCGAGATCAGCCTGTCCAATATGGTGAAACCCTGTCTCTATTAAAAATTAAAAAATTAGCCGGTCATGGTGGCACGCGCCTGTAGTCTCAGCTACTCAGGAGGCTGAGGCAGGACAATCGCATGAGCCCGGGAGGCAGAGGTTGCAGTGAGCTGAGATCATGCCACTGCACTCCAGCCTGGCCGACAGAGTGAGACTCTGTCTCAAAAACAAAACAAAACAAAACAAAAACAAACAAGAAAACCCCCCAAAAAACCCACATATTAAATACATAGGAATATATAACAATTTTAAAATTTCACTTCAGATTTCCACAGCTTTCTTCCTGTATAGGGGGTTATGGCTTTGTACTGGGTAGGATAATATTTGCCATTGTGTTTCCAAACAGGAAAAGTTAGCTAATGAACTGGGTTGATGTTGCTGGCAGGTTAGTGTTTAGAGCCTGTGTTGCCAGTAAGTGGTATAAGAAAGCTCATGGATTCCAGGGATTCATTTTCCTGCAGCACTGGACTTCCTTAAAAATATCACTTCATACTTCCCCACATTTAAATATACCTGCTTGTTTCTCACCAACTCAAAAAACCAAATGAATCCAACTTCCCAGGTTCCTGCCCTCCCCTCACCCCACGTTGGCTTTGGGTCCCTTCATGAGTGTGATTCCTTCCTCTCTCACATTGGGGGCAGTAAAGGATAGGCTCTTATTTAGATTGATGTCAAATACAAACTCCTCACTTACTGGCTGAGTCAACTTGGGTGACTTAAACTAACATCTCTGAGACTCAGTTTTCACATCTTTAAATTGGGCCAATGACACTAGAGATTTACCTTATAGGGTAAATCTCAAAGATTTTACCTAATGTATTTAATGTATACATCTCAAAGGTTTACCCTTGTGGAGTAGTACCTCAAAACCAAAGACTCACGGGAGCTTCCTCTATCTTCCTTCCCAATTTGACTTGGTATGTCATGACTTGGAAAAACTTGGTGTCATCTGAAAATTGGAAATGTCATCGTGAATTTTCTCTTCCAAATCACACTATAATATCAGAGTCAGATGTTTCCAGCACTGATCATAAGCCAACACGAGTGTTTAATTTTACTTCATTTAGTGGAGAGTTGTCCTTGGTTTGCTACCTCCAAGCCAGTTCACTAGCCATGGACAAGCTGCTCTAAATACATGATTCACATTGCCTGTTTTGTTTTTTTTTTAATTTAAAAAAACAAGTTATAAAATGTTAAAAAAAAATGAAACATCATTTTTATTCTAAACTATTGTCAAGGGCCTTTGAAAGTCTTAATATATGTACCCCCAGGTTTGTTTTTATCCACATTGATATCTCCTTTACAAAGAGTAGGTAACAAATTAGTCCTCATGGTTACTATATTTTGAAATTTTGTTTTATTTCCTTTAATAACTAATGCACCAAGCACTCAGGAATTCTACCATTTACACAATAAAAGAATTGTGACTCCCAAGTTTGTGGTTATGAAGTATACTCCTGGAATCCTTATGTATAAAATCCTGATAAACTGTCATTGCCAGTTCTTAAGCAAGTTATAAAATGTGGCTAGCAGCTTCCTTATTTTGCCCTAGAGTTTCCTCAGATTGCTGAAATAATAGGCAAAAGACCTGAGCAAACAATTCACGAAAGAGAAAATAAAAACATTTGAAAATATAATTCATATTCAAAAATGCACATAAAAATAGATTTATTTTTTATTCATCAAATTAAGAGAAATTGAAAAAAACAGACTACCCAATTCAGGCAAGAATACAATGATTTTGGCTTTCTGTGATTTGTAATAAGTCTTTCAGGGGTATAAAAATTATAATGTAACAAGGGTATACACTACAGTGCATAGATAACTCTAAACTTTGTCACTGGATTTATAAAATGTGAAAATTCTTGAAGCAACTGCAAACTTTGTAGAAGCTACGTAAGTGTTGGCAAATTCTCCATTAATTCAAATTATGCAAATTAGCACTAGTAACAAGAGAGTTAGAAACTGTTTTTCCAAAAATAATGACAAGTAGTAAAACATTACAGTTCAATGAAAGAACATGGATTGGGGGCAGAGTATCAAACTGAAAAGCAAAACTAAATTAGTAATTGAGGGATTCATAACATATGTCTCTAAAGAGACAAAACGAAATACTGACCCCCTATAAGTGAGACTAATTTGCTTGTATAGCAAAAATTTGATCTTGAGTGCCCAGCTTGATTAGCAAAGTTCCCAAAGAGGGCGCCCCCATAGTGAGTGAGGAATGTAACTACAGAAGTTTAGGTGGGCACTGGGCACGGGGAGACTCTCCCAGTGGCTCTTTAGAAGCTCATAAATATCTCTAGCTTGAAGTCCAGATTAGTTATAGAGGCTTACTGTGTTTTGTCATTTTGCCAAAAATGCCCCTTTTGCTTCGGTTCCACATTTGGCTTTCCCTGTGAGTCTTGCAGGGTTTTATTCTATTTTATCCCAGAGGAACAGAGAACTAGAATAACTCAAATACTTGTAGGCCTGGGGGAGCTCCATGACTTGAATATGGTAATTCTCTGCTTTGGATGGTATGATTGAAGCACTTACCATTTTTCTTTGTTTTCGTTTTCTGTTTTGATAAAAAAAAATGTAGTTTTGCACTGACTCAGACAAAGTAAAGTCATCCCTTTTAACTTAGGATTAGCCCTGAGGAACTCTTCTCTCCTTTTTATTAAGTGTGCTTTAGTTCCAATCCCTCCACAATCCCAGGCCCACAGTTATCCTAAGTATTTGCTGATACAGGGGAAATGGCACTGAGCATTGAGAGAGATGAACCTGGCATTAATTTCCTAATGTGTTGTATTCACTATGGCTAATGGAGAAATTACTCAGATTTATTTTCTATTTGTAAAATGATTACTCAAAGATGTTGGGAGGAATAAATGAGACAACATGGATGAAAGTGTAAATAATATAATTCTACATAAATGAATTATTGTCAGAACCATCATAAACTTCTTCATTTTGGGGATAGAATTTCATTGCCTTTTGCTAAATGCTACTATAGAAAATAAGGTATTAAAAAACCTCTTGGTTTTCTGAGGGTTAAAGATTTGTTTCTTCAATTCTAACTCTCATTTTTTTTTTGTGGTTCTTGTTCCTTGAACTATTGCCCATGAATGTCTAATGGCTGGTTAACTTTTCTAAAATTAAATAGCCCTTTGATGGATATCTTTGTTTCTCATCTCTCACCAGAATATTAAAATAAATTATAGGCTCTAGCTTCCCTCTAAATAGGATACTTTAAAAAAGATAATTGGGTGAAGTATTAATAAGAGGGAGGGAATGTACTGGGTTAAAAATGTCAAGATCCTTCAGTACTAGATGTTTGAAAAATCCGTAGAAATAAAGGATGGAAAAAATAAATTAATTGAGTAGTTGATTTTAATGCTATCTTGTTTACTTGACATTATATCAAATGAGTGAGCATTTAAATATATAAACTGTTAAGACCGTGTCTTGAGGCTGTACAAACACATATACAGAGACATCTGACTTTAAAAAATTGTTTTGAACACCCACCGAGATGAACATCTGTTTTGCATTCACTGCCCTTATGCTTTTGGTTTAGACGCTGCAATACTAATTTTTTTTTTTTTTGAGAAGTGTGACATTGCAATCAATTGACAATTTTAATTATTTCAATGATATCTTTGTAAAAAAAGAAAATTCATCACTCAAAAAGCAGACCACATGGAAATTTAAATATTTATAGAGAGTAAGTGATTTAAATTGTCAGATGGTGGCTTAAATCATCAGATGGTGTTTTTCTGAGATAATTATATTTTCCTCAAGATTTAATAGCAACTTTCTTTTTTAATTTTTTTTTCTTTCTTTCTTTTTTAGAGATAGGGTCTTGCTCTGTCACCCAGGCTGGATTGCAGTGGCACAGTCATGGCTCACTATAATCTCACTACAACAACCTCCTGGGCCCAAGCAAACCTCCTGCCTTGGCCTCCCAAAATATTGTGATTACAAGTATGAGCCACTGTACCCAGTCTGCAACTTTCATATTATTTACCACGCTCCTCAAATTTGTATTTAAATCGTTAATTTCAAGAATAAAATCATTTACGGTAATAATTTTAAAGCAACCTTTCAAAGGAAACATGTAAGATAGTTTTAAAAATAAGACTTGTATATCCTTATTATCCTTTATTATATCATAGGATGCTCTTCCCCAGAGCTTTGAACTTCAACTCTCCTTACTTTGTCTCTCCTACAATGGTTCTCACCTAGGACTTGCATTAGATTTCCCTGATAATGCCCAGGCCCCACACCAGACCATTTCGCCAGACTCTCTCATCTCTCATATCAGTATTTTATTAGCCTCTTCTGAGATTCAGCCTTGGGGAATCTCTTTAGATTTAACTAGTCATTGGGAAGAACTTTGTCTTCAAAATCATCTCAAATCATTGCTTCTTTTCTTTGTGTACACCAGAAAACAAAGAAGTGTAAAGATAATTTAGGAGTAATATGATCTGCTGAGAGTATTAGTGTTTCCCTGTTTTTTTTTTTTTCCTGAGTTAGAAGGAAATGATCTCTTTTCCTTTTTTCATCTGAAAAAAAGTAAGGAAGAGCCTCTTCCATTTTTAAGTCAGAGCAATAAAATTTAACAGTAAATATTACCTCATTGGTGACTGAACTCTCCCCTTCAATCTTTTAGAATTTCTTATTAATGGCTTTAGATAAGATCCTTTTGTCTCATTAATTTTTTTATGTTGAACACTTTGGGTCTGACGTGTAGTTGGTGTTCAAGAAGCACATGCTGGATAATTAATTGTGCTGAGCCTGAAGGAGACTTTTTTGTTTGTTTGTTTGTTTGTTTGTTTGCTCTTTGTTGCCCAGGCTGGAATGCAGTGGCACATTCTCGGCTCACTGCCACCTCCGCCTCCCAGGTTTTTTTTTTTTTTTTTTTTTGAGACGGAGTCTTGCTCTGTCGCCCAGGCTGGAGTGCAGTGGCACGATCACGGCTCACTGCAAGCTCCGCCTCCCGGGTTCCAGTAATTTTCCTGCCTCAGCCTCCTGGGTAGCTGGGACTACAGGCGCACGCCACCACGCCCAGCTAATTTTTGTATTTTTAATAGAGATGGGGTTTCACCATGTTGGCCAGGATGGTCTCTATCTCGACCTCGTGATCTGCCCGCCTCGGCCTCCCAAAGTCCTGGGATTGCAGGCATGAGCCACTGTGCCTGGCCACGCCTCCCAGGTTTAAGCAATTCTTGCGCCTCAACCTCCTGAGTAGCTCAGTCTACAGGCACCTGCCACCACACCTGGCTTTTTTTTTTTTTTTTTTTTTGTATTTTATTAGAGATAATGTTTCACCAGGTTGGCCAGGGTGGTCTCAAAACTCCTGAGCTCAGGCAATCTGCCTGCCTTGGCCTCCCAAAGTGCTAGGATTACAGACATGAGCCACCATGCCTGGCCTGGAAGGAGATCTTCACAGTTACCCCAGAGGGCTCCACGTTCATTGTGGTGTTATTGGCGGTGTTATGCTGGCCACACACACACACAACACACACACTCCCACACACTCCCCACTTGGTTTTCCTAATAACCTGAGGCAAGTTTGCCAGAAATTGGCTTTTCTACTTTACAAACAGGGAAACTTAGTTTCTGAAAGGTTAAATCACTGGCCGGGTGCTTGCCACACACCCAGTTAGTAGGCGTGTGGGGCGACGGTCCAGGGCTTGAGATTTGTATTCTTTCTCTTTGTCCACGGCTCCTTATAACCCCTTGTCAGGTAAAGGCAGATGGATCAAATCTGCAGCTGAGACAAGGGGTAACAGAATCAGAACTCTAAAATGTATGAACAGGTTGGAATGCTGGCCACAAAAACCCAAAAGGTAAAATTTAATAGGGAAAAATATAAGGTGTTAAGTTCAGATTACTTTAAAAAAATTATGAAATACAGCTTTGGGGAACAGGGAGAGAAGACAGTTGTTCATGTGAATAAAAAAATCTGTGGCTATGAGATCAGCATGTGATGGATTGAAATACATAATGTAAACCTAGGCTGCTTTATAGTATCCATAGAAGTATAATCAGGTTCAGGAAATAAGAGAGGTCCCAACTTCTTCTCTGTGCTGGAAATAAATCATTTGGAATTTGCGCTTAGTTTTAGCCCTCACATTTTAAGTGGGACAGTGACAAACCGATGTTTGATTATAGTACACGTATCAGCGGGTATCCTCAAAAACTGGGTTATACTGGACCAACTTTTTTCATTTCGGCACCTATGGAAAGTTTAAAGACCTGCAGGATGTCTATGAATTTTCAGGGGCTTAAATTCTCATGGTAACTCCTGGCTCTAAGATCCATCTTCAAGTTCAAATCCCAGCATCTTGCCTGGGCTATACCTGTTCTTTGCTTTGTGGACCCCAATAGCTCAGCTTCTTGTTCTGATTTTCACAGAATTTCACTCACACAAAGATTTTCTGTGCTAAGAGATTTTACTGGTAATTTGGGGGAGGCAAGGAAAGCTTAAGGAGCTGGAATGATAAACATTTTAATTTGAAAAGCAGGCATCTCTGTTCTTAAACTTTCTTTTGGTGGGTGGGGGGTGGGGGGCGTTGGAATTTTTTACTGGCTTCCGATATGTTCTGAGCACTCTGATCTTGCTGACTGCTCTCACTCTCATTATTGTTCTTTATTCTCTTCCTCTCATATTTCCTGCAGGAACTCCATATGTTTCTCAGATGAATACACACAGTAATTCGTCTTTCTCTGTTCCTTACTCTCAAACTCAGCTCCAGGCCAACCTGTGCATATACAGAAGCTATCAAGCTGCTTGGTTAAATGAAAGAGCTACCCCTAAATTTCTTTCCTAACAGAATCCATTCTTTTAGAATGGAATTGTGCATTTAAATAGCATTTTATTCCTCTGTTAAGCCAGGAAAATAAAGGGTTTGAAAATGGGAGCTTCCTAGCACTTATTTTAAGTAATTTAAAATCATGAACTCACTTAAAATTGCTGCATAAGGGATCATTCCACCTTTCCCATCATAATTGTACATGATAGAACTGTTCCTCTTTCTGACTGTAGGAAGTGGATATTATATATTGATAAACTGACATTATGTAATTACAAAACTCAGTTGTTTTGTCATTGTAAATAAATACTGGTATTCCTAATGATATTGTGTTTGAAATAGGAAAGAGCAGTGCAATAGTCACACAACTGGAATGGATCTAGGACAGATGTGGGAAAAGGAGGATAGACAGAAGGCTCAGATTAAAAGAGTGAATAGGTAAAAAATCAAACAAGGTATGTAATTTGCTATAGATTAGCTGTAGGAAGCAATAGAGAAAAAGAAACTGAGTTCTTTTTTTTTTTGAGACAGAGTTTCTCTCTTGTTGCCCAGGCTGGAGTGCAGTGGTGCAATCTCGGCTCACTGCAACCTCCGCCTCCTGGGTTCAAGTGATTCTCCTGCCTCAGCCTCCCAAGTAGCTGGGATTACAGGCACCTGCCACCTCGCCCGGCTAATTTTTTTATACTTTTAGTAGAGACGAGGTTTCACCATGTTGGCCAGGCTGGTCTTGAACTCCTGACCTCAGGTAATCCGCCTGCCTCACCCTCCCAAAGTGCTGGGATTACAGGTGTGAGCCACCACACCCGGCCAATCTTGAGTTCTATTAAAAGAGAGTAAAGGAAATAGTCATTTACACTAAGGACTCAGGCTTTAGAGAGATACTAAGTAAGGAATTTGAGTTTTGGAAACCAGAGAGGATGAAAATAAAAAGCTCATGAGGAAATGATTTCAGTCTGAGCTCCGGGATTATTTCTGCCACCACTTTGATTTCCTCTCACAGGCTGAGAGAGTTAATCTAATATTCCAAGGATTGAAGTTGCTGGATCTGAGAAATCAGACCTGCATCTGTCCTGACAATGCTAGCCTCTACCCAAGTGAGTGACGGTCATATATAGGCACGTGTATGGTGTTTGTGTCCCAAGAGACCCACAAAATCTGAAGTAGCTTTTACGTTGTTTCCCTGGGGATGACTTGGACAACCCTCCAGAAACAAGGTTAGCTGGGAGAAACATTGTCCTGGTGTAAAAATGGTCCCTTTCTGTTAGGGTGGGCTAGCTCATGAGATTACTTGCAAAATCAGTTAACTTTTTTAGTGAACAGCCTTGGAATTTTCTGAATAAACTAGGAAATAAGAAGTGTAAAATTTTCTACAAATGCTGATAATAGAAATAAGTGTAAAACGAAATTATCCTTTTTGATTTTGCAATTCACTTAAGTATTTTAGTAATTCAAGATGATTTTTAAAAGTCATATAATCTTATCTGTATTTTAAATTAGGATAAAAAATTCTAAGTAAATGGTTGGCTTAATTTATTTATAATAACAAGCTCACTCTCCCATCTTTAAATGCCTAGTAGATCCTGGGAAGTTTTCCATTAATGGATACACCTATAAATAGGTAATTAACACACACATTAACCTCAAGAATTACCAGGACCATGAGCTATGCTGCAATATTATACTACTCAAGGCAAGACAGCATTTACTTATTTTGATATCCACAGGGCCTATGCCAGGCATATAATAGGTACTGAAAATATTTGTTGAAATGGACAAATAAGTCAAGTTCTTATCTTGCTAACACTGCAGGATATGCAGAAATGTGCACTTAGAACTAAATTTCAAATCATCTAATAATCAGTATATATCAGTGAGAGAAAGTATAAACAGAACATGTAGTTTCTAATTTTAAAAGTTGGAACACATTCACACAGATAAATACATGATTTATCAATGACATTTGGCATAGCAGATTATGTGATATTTGCCTTGTAGAATTAAGTCAAGAAATTTGTTTTCAGTATTCAGGCAGTAAAAATGGAGAAAGAATATATATAAAACAATTATTGGCAAATATTCTCTATATATGCATATACGTGAGTACATCTTCATGTATACACAAATACACCAAATTCATTCATTATTCAACACATTTTTAATGAGTGAGCAAAACTAGAAGGATCTCTTCCTTTGGGTTTTTTTTCCCCAAAGATACTAATGTCTCTGCTGAGAACTAAAATTTTGTAAGACTTTAGCAATGAAATGCAGTCTGCAGATTTAGTATTTGTTAAGACTTTTCGAAAGGCTGGAGGGAGCCAATAGTGTCTATAAGGTGGGGTATCTTTTCCCAGCTTGGCTGGTTGTGGGAAGGTACCCTTCAAATGATGACTCAGACTCTTGGGACAGGGTATAATATACAGTATTTAATATAATTAAATATGTAGCTCATTTTCAAACATTTAGCTCATTTTCATTTACTTCATTTAATTTTTTTTTTTGCCCTCCTGCCATTTGCATTCAATCATCTACACCATTATGGAGGTAGAAATGTCTCTCTCTTACAACTGTGGCGGAGGCAGAATAGAGGAAAACTTACAGAGATTGTGTTTTATACATTAAACTAGATGCCCATTTAGTACCACATCTTGCCTAGTAAGCCCAGTTAAACTTAACTGTAGTCCCTGCAGTTGAGACGAGATTATGTGGAGAGGGAAGATGCCAAAAAAAAAAAAGATAAATATAATTTATATACTATCAACTAGGTGTCATGTGTTATCCTAATTACTTTCTATCTGTTAACTCATATATTCCTCTCAACAGTAGTATCGTCTCCATTTTACAAATGAAGAAGATGAGGGTCAGACAAGGCAAGTGACGTTCTCAGTGTCACACAGCTTGCAAATGATGGAGCTAGGAAGTGGTCCTAGCTGACATGCTCAGAGGCTGTGCTCTTAATTACTGTGCTATACTTTCTCATAAAGTAGACGAGACAGTATCAGCTCATGAGGATTTAAGGTCCATCTCAGTAGGAGAGTGGCACAAAATCTTAATATATCAAAAGACAGCAGGTGATTAGGTCATACGGAAATGGAAGAGGCAGAGGTCTGAGGAGCCAGGTGAATCCAGTGGGCTGGTGGAGACTGTCTGGAAATGGCCCTTGCTCTGGGTCCAGCCACGTAGAGGGCAATGACGCAACAAGGCCATCAGATAGGCCCAAACCTTTTTAAGGATGTGAAAGATTCCCACCCAAGGTTGGTATCTGCCTAAGCTCTCTCTCTCTCTTTCTCTCCATATATATATATATATATATATATATATATATATATATATATATATGGAAAGGTTAGCTGGGAGAAACATGTAAACCATATATATATATATATAGAGAGAGAGAGCTTTACATAAATATATAGGGAGCCTTACATATAGCTTTACATAAGTAGTCATGGTATAATTTTTCTGTTTATGGAAACTGCTGGATTGTGGTTGTGGTTGATATAAAGTGCCAAGTTAGGTAAAAGACTAGTTTCCTAGGTGGGAGCACTCAACAAAGTACTTCAGAATTCTTTGCCACTAAAAACCTGCCACAATAATTGTTAATAGGGTGCAGCAGTTTTTTTTTTAATTTATTTTAAAAAATTTTCTTTTTTCTCTCTGTTGCCCAGGCTAGAGTGCAGTGGTATGATCATAGCTCACTGCAGCCTCGAACTCCTAGGGTCAAGTCACCCTCCCATCTCAGCCTCCCGAGTAGCTGGGACCACAGGCACAACCCACCATGTCTAGCCATGAGTGGCGGTTTTAGTTACCATAAAACCACAGATCCCAGAGACAAACTGCTCAGGCTAGAGTCTTGGACATGTCATTCACTACCTGGGTGACTGACACATTACTTATCCTTGCTGTGCCTCAGTTTTCTCACTTGCAAAACGTGGATAACAGCAGTATAACCTTAAAGGTGTGTGTATGTGTGTGTTTGTGATGATGAGACCAGTTTGGGAAACATACACATACGAATTTGAGCACATAGTGATAACGCAAATGTTAGGGTAGATCCACCACCACTTTCCCCTCACCTCTGCAACTCAAATGTCAGCTTCAAAAGGCAGGCATTTTTGTCTCTTTTGTTCACTCCTGTATTCTGGGCATCCTGAACAGTGTCTTCACTGAGTAGGTGCTCAATAAATATCTGTTGACTGGAAGGGACACTTTTCAACATTTTTATTTTTTTGCAACATATAATTGGGCAATCAAATGGCTTATATTTCTTTAAAGACTGGATCTATTATAAAATGAGTAAGAGAGGCTGGGCATGGTGACTCATGCTTGTAATTCCAGCACTTTGGGAGGCTAAGGTGGGCGGATCACTGGAGGTCAGGAGTTTGCGACTAGCCTGGCCAACATGGTGAAACCCTGTCTCTACTAAAAATACAAAAAAATTAGCCAGGTGTGGTGGCGAGCGCCTGTAATCCCAGCTACTCAGGAGGCTGAGGCAGGAGAATCGCTTGAACCTGGGCCTCATGCCACTGCACTCCAGCCTGGGCGACAGAGTAAGACTGTCTCAACAGATAAATAAATAAATAAATAAATAAATAAATAAATAAATAAATAAAATGAGTGAGAGTGTAAAATAAATACAACCCAATTCCCAGTTAGTTTTAGTTTACAATAAAATATGTCACAACTAACAAGACAGTCTAAGAGAGGACGTTTTTATAGGATGGGGGCTGAATTTTGTTGTTGGATGTGCTGTCATCTGAACACTTCTCATATGAGAAAAAAGCAAAAATAAAGAAACCAAGTAAAAACCCGAATAACACAAACAGATAAAGAATGAGTGCAGTTACCTCCCTGAATATTTATCCCCATCTTGAGCCCTGAATAATTCATTGACGCTTAAGTAACAGTGAGTCAACATATCTGCGTAAATATGACAATGTGTTTGTGCCACATTTTCCATTGTTTTCTTTTAAGTATAAATTTCATAGAACTGAAGTGTACTTATTAGCAGGGAGGCTGCAATCATCTTTGCCCACAGGGAATTTGGAGACTAACTACCGTCTCCATGATAGGTCAACAATTTAGAGTATATCTATAACCCTTCCACAAAAATGCAATGAGAGATGAAGGCTGGGGTGAGGTGAGAAGGAATGCCAAATACAAACTCCAACTCCTTACAGCTAATTTAATAATTTTGCAGTGAAAAATGGCTTTTTATCATCTCAGGAGCAAGTGCTTTTTTTTTTTTTTCTTCCCACCTGCTAAAAACTCTTTTCATTAAAAAGGGGGCTTGGAGTGCCTTTGCTTTGATGTAGGAGAATGTGTAATACCTGCAATATTTCTTGGCTAGAGAAAAATTGTTTTCATTTTCCAATGCTAATGACTCATTAAAAAGCAAAGTAAGAAGATAAAAATAAAGAAGAATGTAAAAACAAACATACATGCATACTTTTTGCTCTTTTTTTAAAAAAATGCGCAAACTGAAACTCATTTAAAATAATTTTTTTTCCAGGCTCTTGTCTAACTGAAATAGAATTATCACCATTCGACATGGCCCTTCAATCCTAAAACCCGTTTCAGAGTAAAAACATAATTAGCATGAACCCTAAGGACAGAAAGAGGGTGAGGTGGTTTCTGTAGTTTTGTGTTTCGGAAACAGAAAGAAGCCTAGAGAAAGACACAATGACTGTAACAGGCACAAATCAAATGAATCACCCACTCGCATGCTGGGAAAGCCTTTCTGATCTTTTAAGCTTGCCTGTAATTTATTTTTGGAGCCTCTGCCTGTGAATGTGAAACGTTGAGATGGAATCTGATAGTAGTCGCCTATGACGACTATGGAAGTCACTGTGGAAAGCCTTCATGGAAACCAGCTAGAGCATCTGCTAATGAGAAAATCGTTAGGGCTCATGTCGCAGCACAGACTGGGATGACTTGGTCATAATACGGTGCCATAATTAACATTCTTTTTCAGCTTCAGGTGCCTTTAAGGTCTTGGACTACACTATAGTTGGTTTACATCATAAAAAAGTATGACATGGACATAAAGATGGCAACAGTAGACATTGGGGATTACTAGAAGGGGGAGGGAGGGAGAAGGGAAGGGGGTGAGAAACTAACTCTTGGGTACTATGCTCAATACCTGGGTGACCAGATCAATCGTACCCCAAGCCTCAGCACCACGCAATATACCCATGTAACAAACCTGCACGTGTACCCCCTGAATCTAAAAGTTGAAATTATTTAAAAAAATAAAATAAAGTATAATAAATCTGAATTATATGCAGCTGTGTTTTAGTTTGGAAGAATCAACAGGGTACCAACGGGGATGAAAAAGATAATTTTGAGCTTTGATGAGACTGTGTGTTGCATTTTCATAAATTAACTATGAAAAGAAATTGTGAGAGGCCTTTGCACAACCTTTAGGTTTTCCAAAGCATCTTTATTTATTTATTTATTTATTTATTTATTTATTTATTTATTTATTTTTATTTTTTGAGACAGTCAGTGGCGCCATCTCGGCTCACTGCAACCTCCGCCTCCCGGGTTCAAGCGATTCTCCTGCCTCAGCCTCCTGAGTAGCTGGGATTACAGGGGTGCGCCACCACGGGTGGCTAATTTTTGTATTTTTAGTAGAAATGGGGTTTCTCCATGTTAGCCAGGCTGGTCTCGAACTCTTGACCTTGTTATTCCCCTGCCTCGGCGTCCCAAAGTGCTGGGATTACAGGCGTGAGCCACCGCGCCCGGGCAGGACTCGTAATTTTTAAAGCTGAAACCCCTTGACGTGGGGTCTGAAAACTTAGATCTGAACTCAACTTGTATCATTTCCTAGCTGACAAATTATGGAAAAGTTACTTAATTTCTCTAAGCCTCAGTTTTCCTTATTTGTAAAATGGGATAGCACAGCTGTAGTAAGGATGAAACAAAATAAGGTGTGCCATTGAAATTCATCCCTCAGGTAGTAGGTACTCACAATGTTCTTAACAATTTCAAATTATAATTCTATGAGCTAGTTTTATGACACACTATACATTTATCTAAATCTGTGAAATGCCTGTTTTTCACGCCCATAAGATCAGCCTTTTTAGGGGCTGGGGGAGGGCTAAATTCTGAACCACATGAACACGAAGTCGTAGCATCCAAAACTTGGAACATATGTGTTTCGGAAACAGAGAGAGAATCCTAGAGAAAGACACAATGACTGTAACAGACACCAATCGCGGGTAATCACCCACTTGCACAATGGGAAAGCCTTTCTGATCTTTTAAGCTTGCCTGTAATTTATTTTTGGAGCCTTTGCCGGTGAATGTGAAACGTTGAGATGGAACCTGGGACTTTAGAGTTGGGAGACGTTTTTTCTCCTAAGGTCTGGAATTATTCCAAAAGCATTCCCAATGTAATTTAAAATTCAATAAGAAACCAAGATTTATTTTATGTTCAGCTTTGTACAATTGTGTCTCTTCTGGAATGACCTGTCACAGAATGAGCGCAGGTATAATAACTGAATCATAAGGTCATTTGAAAAACAAGGTCTATGGCTAAAATGGACTGAATTTTATTATTTTATTTAAAATTTATTTAAAATAAAATTTTATTTTATTTTATTTTATTTAAATTTAAAACAAATTGTTCTGAACTTGGAATGTCATGACTGTAGGAATTATATTAAGCAATTTCTCATTCGGTTAAATCTTTCAATTTTCTTTGTATACTTACCTTTTCATTTTAAGGGCAAAGCCTTTAAAACATTTTATTAGATTCCAGATAGAAAAAAGGAAGTGGATTGTTTACTTACTCAGAATAATTCCCTGGATCTATACTTCAAATCATGAGGCACATTTTATAATTCTATACATTTTCAATTATCATTCCCGTTTTGCTTCTACTTATTTTTAAAATCCTACTTAATACCCTACTTGCTTAAGCAAATACTTCAGTATATACTTATGATGCCTATGTATAAGCACAATTCAAATAAAAACACAGCTTGTTTTGGTATTGCCACTCTTGTGTGTTAAAACAGGGAAAAGATCCAAGAATATAAAATATGTCACAGAAAGTTTCCTTACTGGTTATTCTCACCTGAAGGGGGATAGAATTCAATTTATTACTGCTGTAACAGGTTAAACATGAATGTGGCCATAGGCACCAAATATGTTGAACTGGTTTTAAAGAAAATAAACTTTCCCTTTTCCTGAACCTTTCATCCATTTTGAAGCTTTGAACTACTTAGATAAAAATTTCCCTCTCATTTTTGTCTGCCTTTGTAGTCTGACTTTGAGCCAGGACTTGAAGCAGACACTATGGCTCATGCAGAAAAGAAACTTCTTCCCACAAGACTGCCAGCGAAATTTTGCAGACTCAAGATGTTCGGAGAGTTTGGACAATCATCACAGTTTTTGGACGCCTATCTGAGGTAAACATAAAGCCAAACCTTGACAGTCTCATTAGTAGTGTAAGTATGATTCAATATGAGGAATTTCTGCTCTTGGCTGGTTGATATAAGATAATTATAAGATTTCTTAATTGAAATTTAATTGGAGATACAAAGTGATACATGGCACTTTGTAAAGCATCACAGCTAAACAATTTGCTCCAGTATACCAGATGAGCAGAAAACAAATCAATACATTCTTAGAACTGCTAAGTGAAAATTATGTAGAATAATTGCTTCAATCATTGAAAATACAATTTTTTAGCAGTATGTTTGTGTAACCAAAAGTATGTTATTAGTTATTGAGTGAGTAAAGCATTTGTCATCACAGTTTGCACTTGAAAGGGTTACAGGTAAGAGCTGTTTTTTGTGCCCAATTATTTCCTCAGTCCTGTGTTCTCACCCTAAGCAACTTAATGAAATTGGAAAGGCATATCCTTTTAGAAATGTATCTGTAGTAAAGATAATTTGAAAGCACTAAACTCTAGAAAATCTTTTCCGCTGGGCGCGGTGGCTCACGCCTGTAATCCCAGCATTTTGGGAGGCCGAGGCAGCGGATCACAAGGTCAGGAGATCAGACCATCCTGGCTAACACGATGAAACTGTCTCTACTAAAAATACAAAAAAATTAGCCGGGCGTGGTGGCAGGCGCCTATAGTCCCAGCTACTCGGGAGGCTGAGGCAGGAGAATAGCTTGAACCCCGGAGGTGGAGCTTGCAGTGAGCCGAGATCGCGCCACTGCACTCCAGCCTGGGAGACAGAGTGAGACTCCGTCTCAAAAAAAAAAAAAAGAGAGAACCTTTTCAATGCTGATGTAGTTAGGCTTTGTGTCTCCACCTAAATCTCACCTTGAATTGTAATCCCATAATCCCCAAGTGTCAAGGGAGAGACCAGGTGGAGGTAATTGAATCATGGAGGTCGTTTCCCCCATGCTGGTCTCGTGATAGTGAGTGAGTTCTCGCGAGATCTGATGGTTTTATAAGGGGCTCTTCCTCGCTTTGCTTGACATTTCTTCCTGCCTTGTGCTGCGTTGTGTGGAAGGTGTCTTGCTTTCCCTTTGCCTTCCGCCATAATTGTAAGTTTCCTGAGACCTCTCCAGCCATGAACTGTGAGTCAGTTAAACCTCTTTCCTTTATAAATTACCTAATCTCAGGCAGTTCTTTATAGCAGTGTGAACACGGTCAAATACAAATGCTAGAATGTTTCAAAAGGTAATCCCAGGATGGTAATAATGCAGGAGGGCAATGCTCTGTGGCTTAATGCCTTAGGTGCCCAGAGACCTTTATCCTAAACAGAGGGAAAACCTTGTTACAGGGTTTGTTGCAAACTGAGAAGAAAGCCTTCTGTAGCATGTCATTTCCTTTCGTTTTGTTTTGCTGGAAGGGCAACAGGAATCTATTTGGGTTAAAGGACAGGCAGAAGTGGAACATCAGAAGTCAGGGGTCTTTTGGGAGAGTCCTGAGTAGCAGGAGTCATAGATCTGGAATAATTAGATTATTAAAATGAACACTTGAACAAAGGGGAACAGAAAGCTGTTAACCTTAAGAAAAGATTCCAGACAATTCTGTTTGACTCTCTTTTTTATCAAAACAAATAAAGGAGTATAAGTTAAAATGTATTCAGTGAAGTCTCTAACCGGCACCAAGGTACTGAGAGTTCTTTAAGTGTTCTTGTAAATTACACACCACGTTGCTTATGTGATTATTAATGCGATGATGTAATAGTTGTATTTTTATGTACAAAGAATACGAGCCTGGATTGTGTGCTAAATTCCTGCTTTTGCTCACTTACCCCTTATAGACAGCATAAAGGAGGACTCTTGGTCAGATATTTGTAGAGGTGGCTATAGTTCCCTTTATTTGCCTAAACTTGCTGAGTTTCTTAAGAGGGATGCAATGGGTGTTCAAATGGAACAATTCTCACCGTGGTGGCTTCAGTATTGCAAGGTGTTAAACACCCCATCCTACTAAATGCCACAATCACTTTCCATCCATTGTGATACCCACCATGTGATAACTCTGCACATTTCCAATCTCTTCTTGGAAAGTGGTATACGCATACACCCCTGAAGTCTTCCCCTAGCCCCAGCCACCACCATATAAGAACCACTGGCCTAGGATATGTGGGTTCGGTTATCTGAATCTCAATTACAGAAAATCAACAGCACTTCTGGTAGTAGAAGGTAACCCAGTTAAGAATTAAAAAGTATAGACTGTAGTTTGAATACTGAATCTTTTGGAAAATCATTGAATTATTTGAACCTCAGTTTACTCATCTATTAAGTGGTAATCCACCCTCTCTCCCATTTAAGCCACTTAATTCTTGTGAAAATCAAGAGATCTTATGTACCTTAAAATACTTTAAAAAATATAAAAACCTACATAAGGAAATAATATAGTCATTCCTCAGTATCTATGGGGGAGTGGTTCCAGGACCTCCCTTGGATACCAAAATTCAGAGATGCTCAAGTTCCTAATATAAAATGATGTAGTATTTGCATAAAACCTATGCACATCCTCCAGTATACCTTAAATCACTTCTAGATTACTCATAATACCTAATATGATGACTGCTATGTAAATAGTTGTTATACTGTATTATTAAGGAATAATGACAAGAAAAAAGGTCTGTAAATGTTCAGTACAGACACCATTTTTTTTCAAATATTTTCAATCTGAGATTGGTTGAATCCACAGATGCAGATATGGAGGTTGTATTAGGTTGTATTAGGAATAATCCTCAGTAGTCATTATCTTTGGGTAATGCGATAAAAGACAGCCAATTAGTATGAGATAACCTATTATGTAAACTGTTCTAGTAGCTATAGAGGATTCAAAGGAAAATAAGACAGAATTGGTGCCCCTGTGGCTGTCATGACAAAGATACAATGTATGTGGTTGAAAAGATGTCAGTATGAAGGTAATAAATGATTAGAAGCAGACATGTGCTATTACAATATGTACTGGAGAAGTTCAGAAGAGAAAATGTGTTCAGTGGAAGATACAAAAAGCCAAAAATGATGAAGGAACCACTTCCCCTATTATACCATTTGAAATGAATAGTTCTTTTTCATCATAATGCATATTAGAAAAGTATCAATCTTCTCCATATGCATATTTTATAGGTCATAGATCTTGAGAATATAAATGATTAACACTTTCTTCTGTGGGAAATATTATCAGATAACAATTCATTTCCCTAATAAGACAGACAAATGATTGAAAGGCAAGAAGGTATTAGTTTCATAGTGCCACTGCTGATATGTCCTCTGACTGACTCTCAGATGAACACGTTCGCTGATGGTGTTTTTGTCTTCCCTGTCTGGTCTCTGGCTCTGGTCTTGCTCCTGGTGGCTTTGGTCTCACCTCTGTGTCCTGACTTCAGCCCATCTTTTCCTTGAACTTGGTATTCCTGGTTCAGGAATTGACCTCAGCTTGGAATTCTGGAAACTCATCCCTAAGGGGTGGACTCCTTGACTCCATGTTTTCTCCAGAAATCTAGATAAAGTGCAACCTTGTAAGGGGTCTTCTACCTTTGCCTTGCTTAAGATGTTAAAAGCCCCTTGGTAATGAAGAGATGCCTGTATGAGAACAACCTGATGAACCATAATATATTATACAAGATTATTTGGCCATTCTAATATTTATTAACCTGAAATTCCTGAAGAAGAAATGACATTGTCAGTTATCAAAAACTTGCATTTCAACTCTTCCTTCTTGTCTTCGTCAATGTGGCAAATCCTTCTCCTTTTTGGAGAAAATGTCCTCCTTTAGCTGTGACATTGATCTCTCTAGATCCTCCTTTCCGTATGAACACTCCTTCTCCCGCAGCACTGGCTTCTCTTCCCTCAGTTTCCCCTGGTGCAGGCTCTCCACATGGATCTGTCATGAGTCCTTTTCTTTCTTGTCTGCTCACCCCATGGCCCAGCTATCTCTCCAGTCAACATCTCTCCCAAGCTCCAGCCCCCATTTCAGACCACAGGCCAGACCCTTTATATGAATGCTCTTCCTATACCTCAGACTCAAGTCCGTAACGTAAACATCGTATGGACTTCTCCGTAACATCCAACAGAAATCTATTCCTCCTTTGGTCTTTCTCATCTGAATGGCATAATTATCTAGTCATCTAGTCATTCAGACTTGTAGGAATCACCTTTATTGTTTCTTTCTCCTTTATTCTTAATTTCAATAACTCACCAAATCATGAAAAATATCTTCAAAACATTCCTTGATTCAGGCCCCTAATTTCTATTACTGTAGGTTCTTCCCCTCTCAGTTTCTCGTCAGTGACTGTTATAATAACATTCTAATTAGGTAACAGCGTCTAGTCTCTTTGCCTACTAATTAATTCTGTCCATGGATAGAATTAATTAGAAGGGAAAGATATTTTTAAAATAATTTAGTTATAAAAGTAATAAAAGATGATCTTAAAAATTAAAACAACAGCAAGGTAGAAAGTAAAAAGCCAGTCTTCTCCCTCAACTCCCAAAGGTTTGATGTATATTTTTCCAGATGTCTTTCTAAAACATATACACACAAATATGCTTTCCATTATTGTCCTCGAGGGTTTTAGTGCTTCTGGTGAAATATCAGGTGTTAGTCTGATTCTTCATTTTGGGTAACCTATTTTAATTCTTTAGAAGCTTTTAGAATTGTCTCTTCATCTTGAGATTGCATCAAGAGCTTTATTATTTTTTAAACATCTATCCTGCCCAATGCTTGATTGATGTGTCTTTCAATCAATCAGAAGGTTCCTGTATTTCTTCAGCAAAAGCTAATTTTCTTCTAATGTTTCTTTCAATGGTTTCCCTTTCTTTCATTATCTGTGATTTCTTCTTATGGAATTCTACTGAATGCACCTTGGCCTCCATGAATCTCCCTCAAGTCTCTATCCTTTTCCCCTATTTATGATGTCTTTTCCTGTGTGATCTACATTTTAAGAAATGTCATTTTTTCTTCTACAAGATAGTTAGCTTTATCCTCTGATTTTTCAGACAATCCTCTGAAATTTTTACTTACGTAATTCTATTCTAATTTTATTATATCCTACTTTTTCCCAAAGCAATATAATATTATTTTTATTGATGGTGTATTTTGTTAATTGGGATTTAAAAATCTTCTCTCCTAAAGTTTTTTCTTGAGATAACTCAGCTTCTTCTTGGATTGGTCCTATTCATTCATTTTGGTAGAGATAGAGAGGCCAAGTTCTTGTTTTCCTATAATACCTGGCTATTCTGATAGTTAGATTATGTTTATGAATGAAGACTTAGGATGACTGGTATAAGTAATGTGCTATGTTTCCTCTGAAGTAGTGAAGATCTGATTTCCCTGTAGAGAATAAGAGTAGGGCTTTTGGAGAACGAGATCATATCCCTTGCAGGGATGTGCATGGAGCTGGAGGCTGTTAGCAAACTTGCACAGGAGCAGAAAACCAAATACCGCACCTTCTCACTTATAAGTGGAAGCTAAATGATAAAAACACATGGACACATAGCAGGGAACAACAGATACTGGGGCCTGCCAGAGGGTGAAGGATGGGAGGAAGCAGAGGATCAGGAAAAATAACTAATGGGTACTAGGCTTAATACCTGGGTGCTGAAATAATCTGTACAACAAAGCCCCAAGACACAAGTTTACCTGTGCAACAAATCTGCCCTTGTACCCATGAACTTAAAAGTTAAAAAAGAAATAAAATGAGAGAAGTAAAAATCTTTAAAAAAAGAAAAAAAAGGAGGGCTTTTGGAAGATTCCCCTTCCCCTGTAAAACTCCAGCCCCTCAATTGCCAAAGCAGGAAAGGATTTACTTCAGGGATAGAGTGGTTCTCTGTTTAACATGCCCTCTGTAGGGCAGCTGTTTTTGTTGACCTGGTGGCCAATACCTTATGAAGACAGTGTTTTTACCTACATTATATCTTCACTGTAGTAGCATCAATGTGAGGGAGGATTTTTCTATCAGCATTCATGATTTTTCACTGAGTATTCCTTAAGCATGCATGGCCTAACTTTTTTGGTTCACCATATAAGCTTCACTTCCTGAGTTTCTTAGGCCAATTTTCTTCCGTCATGGGGACAGAAGATACGTGAATGGTATCACTCAGTGTCCAGTGTGAGTCATTCACACCTGCCGATTTTTCAGCTTTGTTCTGGTCTGGAGTGCCGGACACTGAGTGGTAATGGAATTGGTATTACATCACTCCTCTGGTTTAGGATGAATTCCATCTTTACCTGGGATATCCTGTCCAAAAATTTGAAGGCAGCCTTTCATCTCTGTAATTTGTTCAGGCAAAATAATCATAAGGTTCTGGGTCTAACCATCCATTTCAGATTGATCATCATCAGCTTAAAATTTATAGCTAGTCTACTTAAGCAATTCTTTGTTACTCCAAAGCAGTCTTATTACCAAACATTCTGACAAATAGTAGAAAAAGGGGAAAAAATCACCACATGGTCCCACAATTATATATATTCACACATACATAATCAAGAAATCTTACTACTATAAGCAATATCATAACATTATTATTTTCTAGTCCTTTTTATTCATGCCTTGAATTAAGGGTATTTGACAAAAGGGAGAATATTTTAAAAATATGCTCTGTAATTTGCACAAACACTTCTTCCAGAGACTGGATTCTCTGTTGGGAATATCTAGGTATCAGATGGTGCCAAGACTTCAGAGGAGGGGGACATTCCCTGTTTATTAGAGGGAAAAGAATCTGGAGCTTCTGCAATCCAGGATAAAAGAGAAAGCTGAGAAGAAAGGGCAGTTTGGAGAGAGAGGTGAGTAGTGGTCATTGATGGTTATAGGAGAATATGAATGTCTTAAAATGATATTTAGCTTTCCAGATGACCTGCCTTCTTGGCTCCCTTACAGATTGTGGGCATGCCTGTGATGTAAGTTCCTCATCTGTCTCCTTTCAGACCATCTTCTGTGAAGTTTATTCAGCTCATAAGTGTGAATAAAAAATTGCTAAATGTGAACTCAAAGAGACAGTGCAGTTTTACATCTGAGTCCACTGAATGCATCACAGAAGCAGCATGTGCAGCAACAGGAGTCCAATAGGTGAGAAAAGATATGGAAGACATGCTTTGAACTTTCACAAACCATAAAATTGGCGAGGGGAGGAGCCAATTATATCAATATTGTGAGAGGCAGGAACTTCAGTTGCAGGTGTCTATCTCTCTCTGCAGTTCTAGGTTTATTGAAGGGATGGATAGAGTCTTTGTACCCTTCAATACCCAACAGAGCTTTACACTCAAGGAGTGTTCTATAAATGTCCAACACATGCATAACATAGTCCAAATGCACGTAATGGACATCAATAGCAAGATGAGAGAATAAGGGCAGAGGCCTTATCTGCAAAGAAATATTTTGTTTAATGAGAAGGTTGAGATTGTTGGCTAAAATATCAGACTTCCAGATTTGAGATCTTAACTATCTTCCTTTATTACCAATTGCAGTGGATAAATTAGAGTTAGCTATTGTTACTCCATTTCTATCAAAGTACATTCAGTCACTATTCTGGAGAGTAAATCCTCAAAAACTTCTAATTCTTTACAGTATGTAATTGTTCTAACACAGAACCCGAGGGCCATAGTAATAATGAAATATAAAATATTGTTAAATGTGCACCATTTAGAATGGTGGGAAACCTAATAGAGAAACATAAAATTAGTTTGACGTTTACACATATTGTACGGGGGCTGGGTTTCATTAAAATGAAAATAAACATGTAAGCTAATATTTTAGGTGAAGAAGGTATATGCTTTGCTTTAGCTGCAACAATTACTTCTTTAAGTATTTATTTTCATTTATTTAGCCTGGTTTTATTTTTAAAAACAAAAATATCAATACTTAGTCATTTTGTCTGTAATTATTTGATTTAAAATTATAACAGCTTTATTTGATTTTGTAATTGTCTTCTGTCTGCTGAGAACTCCCACTACAGAAGCCATGTAATTGGATCTTTGTTTTCGGTAATAAAATGTCTCAAAAAACTTTTTTATATTAAACGATTGTTCTTAGGTTTTAATAAAACAGATGTAAGTTAAACATAGTGATTTACCAGATTCATTTCTTTGGGGGGAAAACTAGCTGAAGACTTTCCATCGTCATGTGGTAATGCAGTTCAGTAAGAGCCTGGGGAGGCTGTGCCCTTCTTAATTGTGTACCACTCTCCCCCTTCGCCTGGCTCCCTGCACTTGCGCTAATACTATGCTGCAGGTTACATGACTGAGGGAGGGAGTCAGATTTTGAAGAGAAAAACACATTTTTTTTTTTTTTCTCGAGACAGAGTTTGGCTCTGTTGCTCAGGCTGGAGTGCAGTGGCACAATCTCAGCTCACTGCAACCTCCACCTCCTGGTTTCAAGCAATTCTCTTGCCTTAGTCTCCAGAGTAGCTGGGATTACAGGGATGTGCCACCATGCCCAACGAAATTTTTTGTATTTTTAGTAGAGATGAAGTTTCACTAGGTTGGCCATCTCCTGGCCTCCGGTGATCCACCAGCCCCAGCCTCCCAAAGTGCTGGAATTACAGGTGTGAGCCACCGTGCCCGGCCCAAAGCATAATTCTTAATGGCACACCTAGTTCTTATGTTAGGTGCTTCCTCCTTTCCACTGATCTGGATTCCTTTCTACCTTCCTTTTGGCGTGACTCCTAATTCAAACTGTAACCCTGTTGTATCACACTCCTCATCCAAACTCCATGATATTCGGTATTCTTTGTTCTCATTAGAGTTTACTCATTCCAGGATAACAGACGTGAAAAAAATGCCTAAGAGTTCCCCTGTGGTAGCTAGTCTTCAAATAGACTAGTAAGTGAGAGAAAATAATAAATTGTTTTGAGCCATTAAGTTTTGGAGTGGTTTGTTATGTACCATTAAATAAGTCAAGCACCACTTCAAATGTATGAATCACTCATCATTACAAATTCCACCAAAAAGCCAACTTTTGGTGTTAATAATCCCAGACACATTACTGTCACGTTATGTCTTTGGATAGTTTGCCTACCTCTCTGAGTCTCAGTTTTCTCACATCTAAAACACGTAATAACAGAACCTACCCTACAGAGCTTGCGAGATAACTGGATGAGAGACAGTATATAAATTCCTTTGTAAAAAATGCCAGACATATGTAGCACTCCATTTAGTGTTAGTCATTTAATTTCTCATTGACAGAGAGTGAACGAATGAGAAAATTCCACTTACAACATCAAATGTCTTTTTGGACTTTCACATCAATGTGATTCTTTTACTAAGTTATAGAATTGGAGTTGAAGTTTACTTAAGTCTAAAAGCAAACAGCGAGAAATAATAGGGAATATAGAGCTGGAAAAGTAATTTTGAAGCTGTGTAACTTGCCTGTGAGTAATCCTTAGCAATTTCAGAGGAAAGCATTTCAGGAATTGCTTGTGTCACCGTATCTGGATAATAATTATGGGTCATCATCATTTTAGGTTTGGGCAATCAGGAGGAGGATGTAGCAGTTGTGGTCCTAGCTAGAAAGAGAGGGCACACTAAAACTCAAACAATGCAAGGAGGGTTTCATGAAAAGATTATATCTGAAGGTATCGTCAGAGTATGAGGAAACCCAGGGATAAGGGATCACCTGGGGACTACAAAGCAGAATTGCTACCACTCTTAACCCTAAAGGAACAGAAGGTGGATGCACTTTCCTGAACACAGGGAAGCATTGTGTTGATGGAGACCTTCATTTGACTTAGAGGGCCAAGGCAAGCCCATAGGAGGAAGATGGGACACTAAGTACCTTGAGTTCCTCTCTTTCTTCCTTCTGATCTGCCAGGGCCCTCCAGGACTTAGCCCAACCGGAAACCTGAAGGAGTCTGTTCTAGTCTACACAGATCAGCCACTCAGGGCAAGACAGTGGGGTGGAGAAGAGTGGGAAGAGGAGGATCTGTCAGGGTCTATGAAAGATGATGAGTCAGAGGATAATGGAGCAAAAGTAGTAAGGCAGACTTATGATCCTCATATTTAAATGCTTGTATTTTAATAATCTTAACACAATTCTGTGGCAGCTTAAACCCAAGGAATATTTAAGTTTCTTTTCTGATCTATGAAGAAAAGCTTTGTGAAGATGTACAGAACCCCAAAGAGGTTACTGTCTTTATTTCCTTCTGTATCCTACTCGAAGTTTTAAGGAAGTAATGCCATGAGCATGACTTTTTTTTTTTTTTTTTTTTTTGAGATGGAGTTTCACTCCTGTTGCCCAGGCTGGAGTGCAATGGCGCGATCTCAGCTCACCACAATCTCTGCCTCCCGGGTTAAAGCGATTCTCCTGCCTCAGCCTCCCGAGTAGCTGGGATTACAGGCATGTGCCACCACACCTGGCTAATTTTGTATTTTTAGTAGAGACAGGGTTTCTCCGTGTTGGTCAGGCTGGTCTTGAACTCCCGACCTCAGGTGATCTGCCATCCTCAGCCTCCCAACGTGCTGGGAGCACGACTCTTCAACAATGACTCGTGTCACCTCGGAAGGATTGCTGTCGCGTATATGTTTGTTATTGTGAGTACACACAATTTTTCACAGAGAGCTGAGACAAATGCCACAAGCAGCTGGCAAAGGAGGAGACTGTTGCATATTAATTTCATTCCCTGGGAGGTCTGATCTGGAACCATTTGGGATATGGATGTTTAATGGTCTCTAGCAGTGAACTATCACCAGCTCTGCCTTTTCTCATTGCTTCTTGGAACTGTTTCTCATGCCATCTGCTTCTAATCCTTCACCTTGTCTCTTTCAGATTCCCTTTCTGGAGGCTTCATTTGCTTCTCTTAATTTTTTTTTTTACCCCTGGCTTCAAGCTTGTTTCCTGCTCTGATCAACTAAGATCCACTTACTCTATTTGGCTGATAAAATTATCCATACAGGTGAGGCTGTGAGAAAACACTCCAGGTGCTAAGAGCCTTGGGTAATTTCTAACACTTGCCCCCTATCATCCATTGGCTTTGAGCACAGATGATTAGTGCAGGTGTAGCATTGTGTTTGCATGATGAAAGGAAAACTAAATTGTGTTTCTGTAGACCTACCTGAGGATACGAAGACCTCCTGGAAGAAAGTGAGGCAAGAGGACAACAGATAGCACTAAATATGGGGAGTGAAAAAGGACTGATTTGCAATGTGGATGTGAGAGAGAGAAGATGAACCCAACTCCTCTTTCTTTTTGGATCATAATTTGCTTCAATACCACGGATGTGAGAAGGTTTAACATTTCAACCAGAACAAACTGTAATGAAAGACACGTTTTGGCTGGGTTTGGTCTTTTTCTGATTTGTCAAAATCTGAAAGATCAAAATCTGAAAGCCAGAAAACTATCCAAAGGCAAAGAGAAAAAACACATATGCAACAATACAGAACTTGAAGATGACCCCATGAAGGGTCAAGAAACTGCTGAAACCAAATAGTACGTTCCGAATTGCAGGTAGCTAAGAGCTGGCCTCATGTTCCAAAAAAACCCATGGTTCTTGAGGCGTGTGTTGGAAGCTGAACTCTATGCTGGAAGGCAGGGGCTGCTCCTAGGCCATGTTAGAAGATACAACTTCCAATTCCAAAGAGCTAAAGCCATTTTACATAGTGCACTGGATGAACAAATGTTAAGATTTTAAGATTTGCAGGTGAAAGGGACTAGATCAGTATAAAATTTTAAAATTGGCAACATAAGTGTTACAGTATACATTATATATTATACGGTATATAATTATTATAGGTTACACAGTGGTAGTAAAGTTACTTTGATTTGTAATAGGATAGAAACACCTTGTTAATGGATTCATCATTTTACCTGCATTGGCCTATTAGGATTTAGAAAAGAAAATACAATCCAAACACAATAGCTCTCATACTAGAGTGATTCTTCTCATTCTTCTTCTGTGGAATATCTTGTTTAAACTATTACTAAGGGTGATGGTATCTTTAATTTGAGGTATACCATTGGCATTTTCCATTAACAAATAGTAAAACAAATGGGGCACTTACAACATATGTGCCAATCCCCTCCAATTAAAAATTTCTCCCAAATATCTAGCATCTAGGTTGGAAATGAATTGGTCAAGATATTTGTAGAGCTGAGTGTGTACAATGGGGCAGCACAAATGTTCAGTCAGTGAAACTGACCCCAAACTGAGGCACGCCATTCCTTGTCTGCACACCTAACACCTAGATACACTATACCATGTGGCCCCCTGATGAATTTTACTGTGGGCAGAGGAATCTCTCTCCTTTTGATGTGCTCATTGACTTTTTAGGCTATGACGACAATCTCTCGTTCCAAAGTTAATTTGATTTCTTCAATCTTCATGCTTCCCTCTTAGCTCCCTGTTCAAAGTTAAAATTATTTATTTCGTAAAAAATGATCTTGCAGAATTGTATTTTGCAATGGCCTTTTGTAGAAAAGGTATATCAGAAGTCACTTGAACTAAAGTGTGGTTGGGGCCCTTTCTTCCTCGATTTTAGGCAGCAGTGTGTGTCCTCAGGCTTGGCCCATGGAATAATTCCATGTTGCAGGATTCTGGCCAACATATGCCAACACATTCTTAATTAGAATGCTGGCAGCTAAACATAAGGATTAAATGGTACTATAACGGATTACAAGTCATATCTGTTATATTCTGCTTGGGATCAGTGTTCTGTTTATAAAAGAAAGAGAAACCCAGCAAAATGGCTTTGATAGAGGAGGCACTGTAGCTCAGGCCCTCACAAGTTGCAACAAGGAAGGTTGTTGCTAAGAGTAAAGACGCTGGCTCTTCCTCATGTGACACCACAAAGTGGGCTGGGAATGTATACAGCACAGTTTTCTCATGAGGACCACTAAAGAATCAATCATGGCTCTTTTCTTTTTTAAGGTTTCTTAACATTGTCTGGGGGCAATGGAAGGAAGCGATTCATGAGGTTTGCTTTTAGAGAACTGCTCACTATCTGTGGTGGTGTTTCTGATGGTCAGGAGGACTCACCCAAACTCCATTGAGACAGATCTTGAGAAGGGTTATGGCAGTAGAGTATAGCAGTTAAAATGTACAGATTCGTTAATGCTCTAGGGGAGGGATACTTCATTTTCTATGATGACGTGATTATTACACACTGCATACTTGTATCAAAAAAATCTCATGTGCCCCATATATACATATGCCTACTATGTACCCATAAAAATTAGAAACAAAAAAGTATAGACCCAGGAGCCAGTTTGTCTCAGTGTGAATTCCATCCCTACCAGTAACTGGACAATTGGGAAGTTTTGCTAAACTATTCATATCTTAGTATGTTATTTTTAAAATGGAGAAAACAAATTTCTAGTTCACTGAATCTAACATGAAATCACCACTAGATACCATTGTTTTATGAACCACTAATAAAGAAACAGCATATAGTACTGGCCAAGTAAATAATTAAGCTGCCAAACAATTCTGACCAAATTTGTATGTGTACAAGCAATACAACCACAAAATGAGTCATCTGACAGCTGTTGTTTAAGTATGTCCTTTTCTGTAAAGAGTTCTGATTACAAAGATGTTAAAGTGTTGTAAAATAGATGTCTTAGAATCCCAGAAATCTGGCAGTATCTAGCTTATTGGAATAAGTGAATTTATACAGGTAGTGCCCTTAGAAGAGTGGCATACACTAAGTACTCAAGAAATGTTGGCTATTAATATTATTATATCTATTAGTATTACTAGGAGAATGACAATAACTTTCGTGAGGGTTCAGTGTTAATAGCTCTGTAAGAAAATAAAGAGGAATCATTTTAATTGGTGACTTTAGAATGATGACCATAGGGTTGACAAGCATGAAAATGGCAATTTTAGCATAAACTTCCTACAATTTAGTACTATGTGTAATTCTACACAGTGACTGCACAGACATATATGATGGTGGTTGAATGTTACCGTGCTTCTGGTGTTAACTTTCAAGACCTCCTCATTAGGGGATAACAAGGCCCCTGGACTGGAGTGACCAGGCTTAGCTAAGCCCTGACCTTGAACAAATCCTCTTATTTATCAATACCTTCTCATTACTATCCTTCTAGAAAGCATGCTGGGCCCATGCTGGTCCATTAACATAATCAAATTCATATATTGATATGGAGAATTCTTGGTCTTTGTAGTGGTTCAAAGTCCAAAACTGAAACATTTTCTTTCTCATCTCCCTAGATGTCCACAACTGTATATCTATTGCATTCTCTTTGCACTAACACAATTAGAATATTCTCTGTCAAAGCAATTGGTCTGTAATGTCTATATAATGGTGAAAATTATTTTGAAGATCTTTCTGACTTTAAAAGAACCATTAATCTTCAGATGAGAGTTTTCTTTGTCTGCCTCCCTCCTTCCTCCCTCCCCCCTCCTTCCTCCCTTCCTCCTTCCTTACCCTCCCCTCCCCTCCCCTCCTCTCCTCTCCTCTTTCTTCTCGTTCTCAAAGATTCTCCTCCATTACTTGGAAATTCATTTCCCTAGACTTGTTTTCAATTTCATTAGAAATACTCACCATTTTCAACAACCAAGGCTAAAAGCTGTCATCTTAGGAAAAAGTTCTTATTCCCTAGGGTATTTTTATTTACATTTTTTGGACCACAACATGTGGATCATATAAACAGTGACTGGAAGCTTGTTTCTGTGGCCTAATTTACCATGCACTGTTATATGGAACTAGACTTCACCATTGGAACTCATAACCGAGAGAACAAAGCTAGTTTTCACTTGCAATTAGTATTATTTTTGGCCAGGAAAAGCTTTTGATTGGATTTCTCTATCACAGTTCAGGAGACCAGCAGTTTAGTCCTATTTCAGCAGATATCCAATAGGATGCTATTTCTTGGCTCAAATCAATTAAAATTAAATAGGAAAGAACCATTTCTATTGTTATATATCATTCAAACACCAACTGGTAGAACTATTTTGCATCTTGGTCAGCACAGTAAGCTATATAAAGTTTCATACTTAAAATTGTATTTGCTACAGTTACATTTATAAAGTAACTCCAAAACGTCAAAAGAATGCAATGTCTAAATGGAGTCCTTGAATTGCTGTAATTATGCTTAAGCAGATTCAGTGATCCATGAGGAGGTATGGCCCCAAGGCAAATGAAGAAACATGTTGAAAAGTACTTAAAATAGACTCTGCAGAAAAGATTTGAGACATTGAGTAGTTTTGACTGTGAAGGTATCTGAAACTTCAGGGTCAAATTCTTTCAAAACAACTATTTGATACTAGTTTGCATACTAATAAATTAAACTTCCGAAAAGCACATCCTTTTCCTTTTGAGAGCTTTGCAGCATGGTATAATACTTAGTAGTAAGAAAATGCAAAATAAAAGGTCAATTTATCTAGCTGAGGAAAAGCCTGCATTTGTTACTTAAATTATTTTAGATTTTTCTTCCTGCTGAAATTATTGAAATACAAAAACAAAGAGTGGCTAAAGTATTGGGGAACCACTTTCAATTAACTCTAGCAAATAGTTAACACATGCTCACAAAGCAAACTGAGGGAAATTGCTAAACAATTTTTAAAGCAGCAAGAAAACAATAGTCAAAGAGATTTTATTTTTGGAAGGTGTTCTAAATTGACAGTAATCCACAGTACGGCTGACCTTCACAGCTTCTACATTTAGAAAGAGAGGATGGGGAGATAATTAGTTGTATGAAGGAGGAGTAGAGACAGAAACAAATCACTTTTCTTTGGCTTTGATCCCATACCCTGCAGCAGTGAAGGAACAGAAGGCCAAGTGAGGTAAAAATGTATAAAAAAAATAGTATGTTATACAGAGACCAAGGGAAAGTATCCCACTACTTCCTGGCAGCCTTTGTGATGATTCCGACTCTGAGATACAAATCTAGGACTCAACAAATAGTCAAAAGCAACTTTCAAGATGTATTGTATTTCTGATAAATCATTTGTTTATTTTATGCTGTTGAAGTGTTCCATCTCCATAGGCTCTATACCATTGTGAATACTTAGTAGTATAAAAGAAAATGGCAGTATGAAGATTTTAAAGAGAGGAAACAGAGTCAAAGGTTTTTGAAAAGGTAGAGTGCGGGGAGTTTATTCTAAGTCAATAACAATAAACTATAAAAGTAAACACTTTAAAATAATAAGTAACTTTTAAAATAATACATTAATATTTATTAAGACACTACAATGTGCTAACAGTTTTAAACTCTTTCTCTGTGTTAATTGACTTAACATTCATAATTACCCTAGAGGTGGGTACTTCTATTATTTCCATTTTACCAACAAAGAAACTGAGGCACAGAAAGTTGAAATAACTTGCCACAGTGACCTAACTGATGCGTGATGGAGCCAAGAGTCACATTCTGATTCTAGAACCTCTACTGTCCACCACTAAGCGCTTCTGATGCTTGTTTCACGAATCCCTTTTAATTCTAAAGGGATTATCTGAAGAAGCTTCTTATATACAGGTGTTTTGTTTTTTTTTGTTTTTGTTTTTTTTGCCATCTGCAGCAGGTAAACTGGGTAGATGATACCATAAAAGATCTATGGCACAAGACTGACTACATGTAATATTCTACTGAAACACCACAAATTCAAAGCAAAAGACATTAAAAAATCTCTACCTTTATTCTTCAGCTACATTTATTTTGGTGTTTATTGTTTTCTTGTTAAATCCAGAAACTTGTCCATTAAGATATAAACTGATGCTACTGTCTAATTTAGCTACTGCTACTCATGACTAGATACCAATGACTGTCATAACCAATTCAAACTTCTAACTGTATAGTGATATTCCACTTTTGCCTTGAATATCAGCCTTACTTCTTGGTTCACTAAGGTATCAGTGAGAGCAACATTTTCACAGCTTTATGCATTTATACAGCTGGAATGGGCTTTTCATAACATCATGGTGTTATGGGTTGACCAGAAGAGGTAATAAGGCAGCTGCTGCCACTCTGTAATATTCAAGTCATTAAACAAGAATTCCATGCAACAGGGGCAATATTTCCTGGGCTTGCTGGATTCTGAATTATTCCATTTCGCTAAGGTCTGCAGAAATAGACTCAATATTCTCATTAATGATGGCCTTGCAGGTAAGCTACTGCAGAGGCATAGCTAGTTTTCAGAGTGAAAATTACAAGTGGGTAGGTACTGGATGAAAACAGCGGTTAAGAAAGAATGGAAAAGATAGAAAGAGGATAAAACCTCTCAATGCGTCGCATGCCTTTCATGAGTTAACTCCCAGAAATTGTGTGGTAGGAGTCAGAGATAAGGCTATCTTTTCACTTAAGTGAAAATAAAGGTGCCATTCTCTCTCTCTCTTTTTTTTTTTTTTTTTTTTTGGTGACGGAATCTTCGCTCTGTCACCCAGCCTGGAGTGCAGTGGCGCCATCTTGGCTCACTGTAAGCTCCGCCTCCCGGATTCAAGCCATTCTCCCGTCTCAGCCTTCCGAGTAGCTGGGACTACAGGCACCCGCCACCACGCCCGGCTAATTTTTTGTATTTTCAGTAGAGACTGGGTTTCTCCAAGTTAGTCAGGATGGTCTCCATCTCCTGTCCTCGTGATCCGCCCGCCTCGGCCTCCCAAAATGCTGGGATTACAGGCATGAGCCACCGTGCCCGGCGAAAGGTGCCATTCTCTTATGAATTTCTTTTGCTTTCTAGTTCAACAGTAATTGGGTGTTCTAGGGAATATTTATTGTCCTCCGCAAAATATAAAGGCTTTTGTTTGTTCAATTCAGTGCAAATACACAGAAAAAAAAAAAGATTTAAAATGAATTAAGAAATAAAAGAATAAGAAAATAGGCAACTATAAAATTAGGTTTTGCTTTCTTATGGATTCTGCCCTAGTGTGCTTGTTCCTATTGTCTAGGTATGTAGATGGGAGGAGAGGCAATTGGGTTGGTGAGATAGTGACAGGAAGCACTTGTTCATTTTCAAATTCCCTCTCACTAGTCCTAACCAGGTCCATAGTGTGTGTGTGTGTGTTTGTGCCTAATGCAGACTTTTTCCTTAAAAACAAGAAGCTCATATACAGATTTTTTAATTGACTGCAGCAAATAAAGTAGACTATACCATAAAAGATCCATGGCACAAGACTGAATACATATAATATTCTACTGAAACACCATAAATTCAAAACAAAAAAAAACATTTTAAAAAGCTCTAAAATATAACTAAAACAACCCTGAAAATTATATGGACAAATGGCTAAAAGCCAACCTATCCGATTCACAGTGCTTAACACCAAGATATTTTCTGGATGGTTTTTATGGGGTAAATCAAAGTATTCATTAGAGACATTGCTGCTGAACTTATTGATACATCATGAGGATAGTAGATTAACATGAAAGTCAGTATTTTTCACTATTAAATATTAAAATGATGTAGTTTATATCTGTGTCTCTACTACCCACCTTAAGATATAAAATACTGCCAACACAGTTGACTCCTCACAAATCACGTGCTTCATCTCAAAGGTTACTGCTGTCTGGAATTGACTGTTCCTCATTCCCACACATTTCTCTGTACTACTACATCCGTAAGCCTGAAATAGTACTATTTTGCAAATGTAACTTCATATGCAAACATCTGTCCATGTAATTTATGTGTAAGTTTTTACAACTTGCTTTTCTTTGGTTGATTTTATGCTTATGAGTTTCATATATCCTGATACAT
The DNA here is from genome assembly GCF_000001405.40 of Homo sapiens. NCBI lineage: Eukaryota > Metazoa > Chordata > Mammalia > Primates > Hominidae > Homo > Homo sapiens. The sequence goes on along the minus strand of NC_000004.12, from coordinate 168,518,991 downwards.
GCAGCTCTAGTTCATTTGTTGTGTGACTATATCACAATTTATCCATTTTCTCTTTGATGAATGTTTAGGTTCTTTCCAGTTTCTTGAGCACATATTTATTGAGCACCTGTTACATGCCAGACACTGTTCTAGGCTCTGAGGACACAAAAGTGAGTAAAACAGATAAAGTCCTTACACCCAAGGATTTTATATTCTAGTGAAGGAAGAAAGACAACTACAAAAATCAAACAGATAAAATGTGCAGTGTATCACATGAGATCTATGGAGAAAAGCAAGAGAGTGGAATAGAGAGTAAGGTAGGCAGGACCTTTCTTTTACATAGAGTAGTTATAGGAGGCCATATTGTAAAGGTGATAGAGATATGGAGGGGATCAAGGATTTAATCCTGCAGATATCTGGGGAGAGAGATTTACAAACAGAGGGAGCAGAAAGTACACAGGCCCCAGACAAGAACAAGCCTGGTGGTGTGATGGAGGTGCAGCCAAGAACCCCACTGTGACTGGGGGAGTGGCAAGAGGTGAAATCAGAGAGATGAAGCCTGATTAGGATGTATAAGAACTATGGATTTTACTCGGACTAAGTGAGAAGCCCCTGGACGGTGTTCGGGCAGTGCTGTGATAGTGATTTCATGAAAAAGAATTACTCTGAGTGCTGTGTAGACTGTGATGAACAATAACGAAAGCAAGGAGATGGGTTGGAAGGTAATGCAAATAACAAAGAGACAGATGATGGTGGCTTGACGTGCAGCCTCATTTATGGAGGTGGGGTGAAGTGGTCAGATCTGGAGACATTAAAGGTGGTGCCAGCTGGATTTGCTGGATGAATTGGACTTGGGGTGTGAGAAAAAGAGGGATCGAGAATGGCTTCAAGGTTTTTTTCCTGAACAGCTGGAAGGAGGGTTGTCTTTTGTTGACATGGAGAAGATTTGGAAAGAGAAGGTTTTTGGAGGAGAGGAGAATCAGTTTAGTTTTCGACAAATTTGATAAGAGTATCAGACATCGATATAGTGGTGTCAAGTAGGCAGTTGTGTATCTATAAAGGCTTAGTGTATGCACATCTTAATTGTGTATCGTAAAACAGTTCTCCAAACTGGTTGTACCTATTTACATTTCATGTTGCAGTCACAACACGTGTATTGTCAGGATTTTTTCATTTTGATGATCTGATGGTATTATCTGGTATCTCATTGCTGACTATATTCTTTAACAACAACGATACTCCTGGGCTAAGCCATCTGGATCTTCACTTTACAAGCACTGAATATTCATAAACTATTGGCTAGTGGTGCTGTTGCTACATTTTCCGAAACCAAATCAGCCAAAAGATGGGAGATACCATATTTTCTTACCCTTAGTAAGAAAAGTAAATTCATGGCTTGTTTTTCTTCCTGTCGTTTTTGAGGAGATGGAAATTTTTACTGACAGAGTTGCATAGATTTGATATGGCTAATCCTCTTGTTTTGGCTTTTGATGATGATCAAAGTCTTGCTGATGTAAACTAATTGGAGGCATTGGACATGCTGTATTTCGATTATAAAAAGAAATAATTGTATTACTTTTAATTATATATAGTAAATAAAACTTTACAGGGCTAACAATGATGACCTAGTAGGTATCTTATGATTAGATATGAGTAATTGTATTTAGACTATTAAAGCACATTACTGGATTCCACTTTTACTACAATAAGTGGGTGTTTAAAAGTTTTTTTTGACATATGTACACATTTACCTTATATTAATAATATAAAGATGTGTTTGGACTACTTGTAGATAAAACAGGAATGCTTTGTTTTATTTGTAGTTATTTTCTGAATAATAACTTTATTTGTAGTAATTTGATTGAGAATAACATAGTTTCTTCCCATGTCCCAGTCCCTGTGTCTTGATCCTGCTTCCTGCTGCCATGTTTTCCTGTGGCGCATTCCCTGTGCGTCAGCCTGGACTTTTCCAATGGCCAATTGCCAAGCTCCTTGGCACCACACTTCACTCACCTCCCACTACAGCTGCCAACTACCCAACACTGAATGTTTCTACACTAACTATACCCACCTTAAAAAATATTTTCTGTTGATTGACCATGATTAACTTAATACAAAAAAAGGGAAGGATACCCATGAAGGGATTTGTTTTCTTTTTCCATAGAGAAAGATACTGGAAATTGCCAGGCTACCATTTTCTTTGAAGATATTTGGAATATGAATTCCAAGCGTAGATTTTTAAAGGTGGCAATTCCACTATCTCCATTTCTGGAGGCTTTCAGTAAGCTATGCATAACTTCTAACTCCACAGTGACAGTGGCTAAGTCTTCTCATTAACAACTGCAGCATGGGATCAAGAATCATAAGAGCTGAGTTATACTCCAGTCTCCATGACTAATGAATGATTTTTGTATTACTAGGCACATCATTTCACAGTTTTTGATCCCAGTCTCCTTACATTTAAATGGTTTAAAACATACAGTTGATAAAATATTTTTAAAGGTATAAATACCTTTAAAATAAATAAATAATACCTTTAAAAATAAATAAATACCTTTAAAAATATAAGGCCTCCTTTTTATAATACCGGAGGTAATTTTGAACTAAAATTCTTCACAAATTTTTTACTAACTCACAAAGTCAAGAGTGGAGAGAACAGGGAAGGTGAGTGATGTCAGGGAACAGGTCTTTATGCTGTTTGGAAGGAGTATATGAGAATATGGGACATTTGAGCATAAGCAGAGAAAAAATGAATTCTGACTTGATTTCATTTAATGTAGTAATTCAAATTGTTAATATAATTTGCATATCATGTGAATACTACCTCAATTGTATATAACGTCCTTTTTTATGCATAGGGTTTTCTTCTATCAGCTCTTCTTTCTCTTGTTGAGATTTTGTTGGATATGCAATAATAAAGGAGGAAAACATATTTTCAGTCCTGTTTGTAGTCATAAGTGGTGTTCACACAGTGTGAGAGGGTGAAGTGACTGCATGTGAAGTACAAATGCCTTGCCTTGAAGTGACTGGCCTGGTTTTACCCTGTTGTTTCTGTTACTTCTTCCCTGAGTGGGGGCTTCTTTATCCACATTTGTAAGGTTCATCATGCCAGCTTTCAAAAGCAAACAATCTCTGTTGTTTAATCTAAGCTCCAGCCAGCTGCTTAGTAGCCCAGGCATGTTAACCTAGCAATTGGTTTCCCTAATCTGGACCCAGTTGAGTCACTAAGATTCTGCTCTGTTCTTTTGTCTTTCTGGAGCTATGGTCCTAACTTTCACTTGCTTAAACTCTTGCAAGGTAAAGGTTTCTCCCCCGTGTTCCAGCTCCTGTATCTTGATCCTACTGTCTGCTGCCATGTTTTCCTGTGACGCATTCCCTATAAGTCAGCCTGGACCTTTCCATTGGCCAACCGCCAAGCTTCTTGGCACCATACCTCACTTACCTCCCAGTACAGCTGCCAACTACCCAACACTGAGGAGCGTCTCTGCTCTCACCAACCAGTGTCTCTTGGGCTTCTGCTTATGGCTTGCTTTAGATTCTCCTGACATCTCCTTGCCTCTCCACACGTCTGTCAACTGCTTCTGTGACCTCAGGAAATGGCCTGCCAATCAATAGGTCTGCCTAAGCTCCAGGTCCTAGGTCCTCTGGACTGACACAGTCTGAGTCAGGTTCTAAAATGCCCCATTGCAGGAAATCTTTAATAAAGGTTTTCTTCCTGATAGAAAATTTCCTTCAAAGATTTTCTCTTATGACTGTCATATGTCTCATGTGGTCAAAAGAGCTCAATGTTCTTAGGCGTCTGGTGCACTTACAAATACATGACAAGGAGGATCAAGATCTTTGGAACAGAAATTTAAAAAATCCAATGAGCATCTATGCTCTCCCTCTCAAACAAAAACAGCCTCCAAACCCAAAAAACTCTATAGGATACAAACATGACCAGCTAACTTTCAACAATGGAACATTTTATGAGACTTAATTATTCTAGAAGGGCATAATTTGTCAAGTTTGGACTTTCATAGACTGCAGAATAAGAGAAAACTAGTTAATAATACTGCAGATACTAACTAAATTAAATTTTAGTTCTGCTACCCCCAAAGAGGCAGAAGTGTGAATTTGATGACCCCTAGAATCACCAAATGGTTAAGTGAATTTTAATACAGTAATTATGGTCTGTTCACCTGAATTAATCCTTCAATGCTAAATGGACTGCTTTCTGTCATTTTTTAAAGGTTGTAGTATACTTCAAGGGTTATTTTGGAAGTAAATGTAGGTGGAACCATATGTAGTTTGAAAACCTGTGGAACTGTTTTGAGTGACATGAGAATGAATGTCTAATGAAAATTATTTATTTGCAAGATTGATAGGTTAAAAAATCTAAATAGAATCTGAAACATTCATTTCTGTCAAAGGTAAAATGTAAGAAACAAATTCTTCATGTATATAAATCTGTATAAATAATCTACATAAATAACATATAAATGCAGAATTTAGAACGACATATTTAATTAAATGAACACATGAAAAAGTTTTTTACTGCCCCCTGCTGTCAGTTTCTTAAAGAATTATAGTAAAATTACTGTAAAGCTGACTCAAAGTGAATTAGTTGAACAAATTGGTCGGGGGAAAAAAATCGCCCACCTGTAATCACACCACTTTTCAGCCAGTAATGCTAATTTTTACTTCATGTGTGTGCACAATGAGGTCAGATTAAGAAACCAACACTAGCAAAGCTTGTGTTAGTGAGCAAAGGATCAGAGATACAGGGAAGTTTGTGATCTGTGAAATGCTATTAGTAAGAAAGTACCAGTGTTTCAATTCAATCTTTAGCCAGTGATGTCTACTTTACCATTTTTTTCCAAATCAAATAATTTTCAGTTAACTTTTTTTTTTTCTTTTTTTGAGACAGAGTCTCGCTCTGTCACCCAGGCTGGAGTGGAGTACAGTGATATGATCTTGGCTCACTGCAACCTCTGCCTCCCAGGTTCAAGTGATTCTTGTGCCTCAGCCTCTTGAGTAGCTGGAATTACAGGCACTCGCCTCCATGCCTGGCTAATTTTTTGTATTTTTAGTAGAGAGGGGGTTTCACCATGTTGGCCAGGCTTGTCTCGAACTCCTGGCCTTAGGTGATCTACCCACCTCAATCTCCCAAAGTGCTGGAATTACAGGCATGAGCCACTGTGCCTGGCCCTTGAGTTAACTTTTTAAATATTTATGTAATTTAGGTAAAGCATTCTGCATGAATAAAAGCAAAACTTCCCAGATAAATGAATATTCATTATTTGTGTAGTATAATCCTGACTTGTTATTTTCATTTTGCCATATAAAATTAAGAAATGAGAAATAATAAAGATAATAGGTAACACTACTGCAGCAGTTACTAGCTGCAAGGTACTGCTTTAATTTTCCCCATGTATTATTTAATCATAAAACAGAATGATGTAGGTATCATTATACTTCCCATTTCACAGATGAAGAAACTGAGTCACAGAGGGGTAGAGTAACTTGGGCAATGGAATCATGACTGGAAACCCTGCAGGGGGACTCCAGGATCTCTTTCCCCTTAACATTTTTGCTCAGGGGAAGGTATAAACTCTACAATGAAGTCAGAAGAATGTATAGAAATTCTAATGAACATGGTGGTATGAGTGCCTATTAACTCTAAGTGCATACTCCCTTCACTGTTATTTCTTGCTGTCTCCATGCTCTAGTGGCCAGAGCCTGTGTAGGAATAACGGGCAGACCTGCGGAGCTCCTGACTTGATTTATCTTTCTTTCTTAGGAAAGTTCTGCCTTCCTTCTTTGCATCACATTGAAGGGGTGTGTGTGTGTTTATGTTACTGAATATGTGCCTATTTAGTCCATGCCTGAGACTAGATTATCCATTTGGGGGATAATTTTTGTTTGGTTTTTGTTTCTTGTATATGAGAATCTTTTTTTTTTTTCTTTCCAACTTTTACATTCGGGGATACGTGTGCAGGTTTGTTACATGGGTAAATTACATGTTGCAGGGCTTTGGCATACAGATTATTTTGTCACCCAGGTAATGAGATTAGTACCTGATAGGTAGTTTTTTGATCCTCAGGCTTCTCCTACTCTCCCCCCTCAAGTAGGCCTCGGTGTTTATTGTTCCCTTTAATGCGTTATTGGGGGCTAATCTGAAGGTTGGCCTCTACACACTCGTGCCTTTCACTTCTAGATAGCAGCTAGTTTTAGCCATGCTTTCAACCGTCTTTAGCAACTCATATTCAAATATACACACACTTTTCACAGTACTTCGAGTAAATAAGTTTCACATCTTAAGTGTGCCTATTTGTTACTAGTTCCACCATCTTAGAGAACAAACTGTTTCCACTGCTCTTTGCCTTCTCAAGTCCTTTGCCTTCCTTCCTTAGCACAGAGGGTGCATGACCACAGATATATCAGGCCAGGGACAACTAGGACAACTCATAGTGGCGATTCTGGGCTGCTTCTCTCCTTGCAAGTACTCTACCTCAGTCTCCAGAGGGCTAATGACACAGGAAATCTTTCTTCCTCCCATATTAAAGTAACACCAAAGTCAACAAGATCATTTGCTATGCATAATACAAAAATTCATACCTGACTCGAGGAGTGGGGTTTCCAGTGACTCTACACTCCAGATAAACTCGGCTCCCTTCTGCTACTTCTTGGCTCCTCAGCTTTTGGATGAATCGAGGTGCAGCTGGGAAGTGGAGGGCGCTGTGGGGCTGTGGGTGAGACTTGCGGTTGTGTGGCACTGCCAAGTCCTGGTTGTCCTGGTAGCAATGCCTGGCCCCAGGGGACTTGACCTCTCTTTCCATCTCCCCTTGGTCTTCCATAGGGCTCTGGCTGGCTGAGGCACTCAGCAGGGCTGACGGCTGATTTTTAGGAGACAGGTACCCACTGTCTGGTGACGAGGACTCCCCATTTGGGCTTCTGTTTCTTGGCTTTGCGGCTTTAAATATGGATGTTAGCTCCTCAATTAAATTAGCTGCCTTGTCACACAGCTGGCTCTGGGGGCCACCCTTTCTTTGATGTGGCGTTTTGGGCTTTACGTTTGTGCTGGGAGTTTTTGCACCACGCTTTTCAGCCTTTCGGAGGCTCCGGATGTAGCTGGGCCTGGTGAGCAGGGGTGACATGGCAGGTTTCCTCTTTGAAACAGGTGAAGAGATACTCTTAGTTTGTTTCTCTGCCAGAGGCTGGACAGGTGTTGACCTGTTATCCTGAGGTCTCCTCGAGGCGTGTTCACCCAATTTGGTCTCCTTATGGGAAGGATGTTCACAGAGGCTTGCAGGAGAAGTACTGAAAATCTGCGAGATCTCCTTTTCCGAGTCAAAATCTTCTGTTTCGGAGTCGGCTATGGCTCTCCGGGCCAGGTCAAGACTCTTGTTTATCTCTTCCTGGCTGAGGAAAGCAGAAAGGCCCGGGAAGAAGTCAGTATTCTTGCTTTCTTCCTGCATGTCTGAGAGGGAGTCATAGAAGGACTCATGGGAGGAGGTCCCTGACATATTTGAACGGTCTTCATGCACTCTGTGTCTGCTTTCAGTAGGAAGGCCAGAGGCACTGGAAACTGTTTTCTGAAACTGTGTTCTGAAAGACAGCATAGAATGTCATTAGTAGCAATGATTTTTTCCCCATTTTAATCATAAAACTTGTAAGTCACAAATTGGGAGAAACATTAAAGTGAATGAATATAAGTTTTCTTTATTTTACAAGTTGGAAGAAATATCAAGTATACTTGTGTTGATCATTTTATGATTTTAATACATGCCCTGTGAGTGCTATCAAATATCTCACTAGGCAGTATTAAATCATTCAAAAAGATGATGTGTGCAGTAGGCACTATTAGTAGGATAGGGCTCACAGTCAGCCCCCCGCCCACCTTACTCAAACTCTAATTGATTAATGTAATGAGATCAATAGAATATTGATATTTTTAGTAAATCTGACTCTGATTATCCAACCCTAAACCACAAAATGCATTTTAAGGATTCCAATTTTCATTTATTTATAGTTTTCAGTGAAATCTTTGAAACTTTATTGTCTCCAGTTATGTGCATTCATATTCATTCACTCAACAGTCCAACAGATGGTAATAATCACTTATTAAATTTCAGGTGCTGGAAGTACAGCTGTGCTGTATGCCAGGGATGGGCAAACTTTTCTGGAAAGGGCCAGATGGTAGATACTCTTGACTTTGTGAGCTGTTCAGCCTCTATTATAATTACTCAACTCTGCATGAGCATGAAACCAGCCAAAGATGATGGAAATGAATGAGCATGACTGTGTGCCAATAAAACTTTATGGACACTCATATTTGAATTTTATATCATTTTAATGTGTTAAAACTATTATTATTTTGATATTTAATTTTTAAACAATAGTTTTAAAATGAGAAAAACATTCTTAGTTTGCAGGGCATACAAAAAGGGTTGGGATGGATTTGGCTCAGGGGCTGAAATTTGCTGACCCTTCATCCAGACTTACAGCACAGTTATCATGTTCAAGGAGTTAAAAGTCATGGGAGGTAGTAAAGTGGAGGAGATAGAGAAGATATTAAACAAATAATATGTTAATAATATAAAATTTTGATAAGGCTTTTAAGGAAAGTGAGAAAAACCTGGGGGCTATGAGAGTCTAATCTAATCTTAAAGGGCATGAGATAACTAGAGGCCTGGCATAGAACACTTACATGGGAATATCAGCAGAATTAAATAAAAGGTATTTCATTATCTGTAAGCTATTACAGCTTTAAATTCCACTGACATTTTGAACTTTATATTGTGAAGCAATGACTCCTTGTTACTCTAAGTGTGCCATTCTTTTGCTATATATTGTTCATAGAGTACTGAGAGGGACGATCTAGAAAACATCAGCGGTGATGTCTGCCACAAGACTGAGTCTAGGAGTGAATAATGGAAGCTTCCTGGATGTGGTGAACCTCAACTTTCTACCTTGTGTCAGTCAGGAGTAAACTTGGTGGGACATTCCCCAGAAATGGTGTGTCTTCAGAGGACTGAATTGAGTTGCTTGCGTAGAAGTATCTTCCCATCTAAGAAAATCTCTAATTTCAAAATACATTATGCAAGAGTCGAGGGGGTTGTAGAAATCCAGCTCAAGAGCCTACTGCTTCACTGGATGCAGTGAGTCATAGACCTGCTGTTTAACAGAGGGTAGTTAATCAGAGATCCTGAAACTCAATGTTAACATACCCCATCTTCTTAAGTGGAATACTGTACTTTTGTCTTACATGTCTTCTTAGAAAGATAGTTACTTTTTTTGTGCCTGAATTATTAGATTCACCACATGCTAGCCCTACTCTATCTACTGAACCATATTTCGCACTCTTCTTCAAGTAAATCCTTAATCCTTCAGAGGGTGTCATCATTCTCCCTGACTTTACTAACCCAAATATCACTCTAATTCCTTTGTCCAGTCTGTGCTGCAGGATAGAAACATCCTGACTGGTCTCCAGTTATTCAGATATGGCTCGTATATGAGGAACAATTATATTCAGTGTATTTTTAATACTTGAATGTATTTTCTTCATGAGAAACAGGCAGTTAAAGTATGATTTTGAAAAGGCAAAGGTATAGTAATATATAAAAATCAAATAACATGTATTTGAGCTTTTATTTAACAATTGAAAAAATCAGTAATATATTACAATTATTTCAAAGGAGACGCTGAAGATGAGACACATGTAGGCAATCAGGCATGCTGATATGAAGTTGGTAATAGATTTGAAACTGGTTAATATCTATAGAGCAATAAAATACAATGTTTGGAATCATAAGAGTGGAAAACTATAGCATTTCTACTAGAAAAAAAATCATTTGTATATCTATGCACCAGTATAATTTGCATTGTTTTTAGATTTTTCCAACTTACAGAGTTGTAAAATTGTAAAGACAATAAAAGGCATAGACCCCTGTGGAATTAGATGACCCTGGAACGTCCACCAGAGCCAATCCAGCAATGGTACTGGGTGTCTATTGCAAGGACACCCAGTACCATTTTGTATATTGCAAAACGTTTTATAGTTTGTCCTACCAAGGCAGCCTGGTTTCTCTCAGTAATGAGCTCTGAAGTACAATTGGCCCCTCAGTCAGCACACATGGTAGATAACTTTAGGGGAAGCCAGGATCAGGATCAACTCTTACAAGGTGTGGGGAGATGAGCCATTAGGTAACATGGATCCAGAAGAGACATGAAGGTGGAGAGGGGGAGACTCGGGGGCTGAAAGTAGGTTTGTGTACCAAAGGCACAACAGACTATATTTTCATTTATTGCATTTCTTGTAAAATTTATTTTTCTTTGAAAGAAAGCTACTGTGTTTTTTATTTGTTATTTATTTATTTATTATGGCCTGAAAGAAATTCAGTTTTTGTGTTGAAATCAGTGCTAAAGGAGATTGAAAAACATTTTGTGTCAACCAAACCTGTGGTAGATTAAGCTGAAAATCCAAGGAAATAATTGCAACAAAACCTTTGATTCTTGACATGACGAAATTGTGAAGCCTAAGCTGGGATAGATGTACTACATGGACCAGAATTACCCACTCGAAGTGTATTTATGGACTATCTACCACATGCCTGGTAGTGCGCTAGGGACGGGGATATGACCTTGAAAAAGAGAAGGTTTTTGCCCTCATGGAACTTAATACAAATTACAACTAAATAATAAGCTTATATAATTGAGTATGTCTTTTTTTAAATTGTATTTTATTTTTTAAATTGACAAATAATAATTATACATAATTATGGGGTACCTAGTGATGTTTCAATACGTACAATTTATAGTGATCAGATCAGGGCAACTAGCATATTCATCTCTAACATTTATGATTTCTTTGTGTTGGGAACATTCAACATCTTCCTTCTAGCCATTTGAAACTATAGAGTATGTTATTGTTAGCTATAGTCATCCTGCAGTGGTATAGAAAAACAAAGTGCTGTGATAGCACCTAGAAGCAACAGCAAGGTCAGGATCAGGAAACCTTTGTGAAAGAGAGAAAGCTGAAAGAATGATGTGTGAGGGATGAGGAAGAGCGGGGAGGTGAAGAGGATACTGGCAAATATGTATTTTAAGACTTGGATCCCAGAGAGCACATGGCAGACTCAGGTAATTCTACTAAGCATTTCAGCTAAACAGAAATCTATCTGGAGATGGGAAAATAACCAGAGATAAGGCTAGAAAGCAGGAGTTAGGTCAGAGAGGGCCTGGAGCCATGCAGAGAACTTGCATTTTATGTTATGGGTAGTCAGTAGGCAAGGAAGAGTGTTAAGTCCTTGAGAAACATCACCAGACTTACATTTTTGAGAGATAACTGATTGCAGTCTGGATCCGGGACAGAGGTAGGGAAAGAGGAAGACAAGACTGACAGTAGGGCGGTCCGTGAGAAGGCTTGTGCAGTAATCCAGGGGGTGCACACATTTATCATGGTTTCACGTTTGGTGTTGCTGTCATCTGGACGTCTTCATTTTGGAGAATTCCTCATATTCTGAGGCTCAGTGAGAAACTGAACTCACTTGTAATGGGATGTGAAATCTCCAAGTATTTTCTTTCCCAGCCGCTTGGAGACTGGGCACAAGTCTTGGCACTTGGCCTAGACAGCGATTAGATGTGTCCTTCTTGGACTCTGAAGTGAGAGCTGGTGATTCAGGGAAGCAGTGGGTCCAGGGTCCATAAGATAGATGATAGAAAGGAAAGAACTTGGTAATTGATTAAAGGCAGAGGTGATGCAGAGGCAGGGTTACAGGTTTCTCACCTCAACAACCAGATGACTGGTACCATTAACTTACATGCTACAAGTGGAGGAACAAGTTTTTTTATTTTATTTTATTTTATTTTTTAAGCTTGATTTTGATTTGAGCCTTTTGCAGTTGAGGGACCTTTGGTAACTCTGGTGTTGATGTCTAGGAGATTTGAGATGCTGATCTAGAGCCCAGGAGAAGGGAGAACAGAGCTGGATTGGGGATTATTAGCCTATGGGTGGCACTTTAAGACATGGGAATGCATAAGGTCATCGAGGAAAAAAGAAGGAGAAGATAGAATCCTTCGAATAATCACAGGGAAGCAAGAAAAGCTAGATATCGTGGAAGCTGGGAAAGAAAATATCTCAGGAAGCAGTACATGTCCTTTTGATTTTTGATTTTAGCAACTTGGGAATATTTAGCACCATTGCAACAGCACTTTCGGTGTATGCAACAGAAATATAAGCCAGATTGCTACATGGAAGGAAAGGAAAGAAGGAAAGAAAGAAAATATTACAGGTGTGGTGGTTTGTTTTGAAAAGATCATAGAAAGAAGGAGAGACAGAAGGTAGTAGTTGAACAAAAGTATAGACTCTGGTGAGGTTTGTTCATTTTTAGGATAGAGCGCTGTAACATGTTTTATACAAACCAAATTAGGCAGTAAGAAGGGAGAAGCTGAAAATAAATGTAAAAAAGCGGGGATGATTTATAGGTCAGCTCTCAAAAGATGTAAGAAGAAATGAGTTATTATAGGACAAACGGAGTATGAGGTGTTCAGCTTCCAGTAGGAAGGGGGCAGTTCTTTCATTGTTAAAGGAGAGAAGTAACAAAGGGTGTATGTGTGTTGGGGCATGGGGGGCGGTAAGAGAGAAAGGGAGAGAGAGAGAAACATGAGATTCTCTGCAAAATTTGTAATAGAAAGAAAGGAGAGTTCCCAAACTGAGACTTCTGTGCATTGGAGGTTTATGAGGACAGAAGATGATTTGAAATAGCTGTTGTAGAAAAAGGGGGAAGGAAGTTTTGTAAGAAGGATTTATGGGTAGAGGTGAGGGCCTGGTTGAAGTTAGATGTGATGTATTTATAGTGTCATTAATCTGTGTGATTGTGCAATTCTCTCCACCAGAGCTCAGCCATCCAGGTGAAGGTACAGAGATAGATGATCCCAGTTTGACATGCAGGTAAAATGGGAGGGAAGTGGGCAAGGCCATTGAAAATATGGTCAAGGAATAGGTGGCCTTTGACATATATGCTGGGTTGGAATTCATGGGTAGGAGTTTGAATGTAGAGATTGTCTTTGTTTTTTTGAACCAATGTCAGAGTTGAGTAGTTGCAACAGAGACTATATGGCACATGAAGTCTAAAATATTTACCTGCACTTTTACAGGAAAAAATTGCCAACCCCTTCTATAGAACATTAGCTACCTAATGACTTCATATAACACATATAAAGGCAATTAATGATCACGATGATTGATAATGATAATGGCTAATAATGGACTGCTTACCCTGCGGTGGGCATTGTGCCCAGAGTCATCATGTAGATTATTTCATTTAAAACCCTCACAGCAGCCTCTGGTTTAGAAAGGAGGAAATGGAGGCAGAAAATCTGAGTGGGAGAACCAAGGTTTAAGCCCAGGGAATAACTCCAGAGCTCATGTTCTATGCACTTTACCATCTTACCATTGTAGTTTTCATAATTGAGAATCCTAAGCAATGTATCAAACTAACAAAACTGTGGATCAGAAATCAGAGTTCTGCTATTAATTCAATTGCTTTTTAGTTCCAAATGAACATAATATGATACATTTTAAAACTTCACAAGGAGCATTATATAACAAAGCTTAAAGCAAACTTCTGAATGATGAAAACATTTTCAATTCTTAATGTAGGGAGTGTTTGCTGGAGGCAGATTATCTCACCTGCTTATTAACTCATATTTTGGTTTTAAAGAGGCGCCATCTGACAGGATCCAGTAGTCAGGATTAGGTGTAGCTTTAAAACTGCTTGCACATTGAAAAAGAAAATAATAGTTCTATGGCATATCTGGTTCAGGCTTAATTTGCAAGCCAGTTATTGCCGCGGGAACATGCACGTGGTCTAGGGAAAATGCTCATTCAATGAGGATGAACAAGGGCGGTTTCCAAGCGGGCCAAGTTCACTGGAAAATTGTGCTTCAGAGATTTCCATGTCAGTCAGCACTCCAAAATGAAAAGGTCAAAATCAAAAGGAATGAAACACAATCACAAACATCTCCATCATTTGCCTGAGATTTCATGTTTTCTGTCAAACAGTGCTCTTGGTAATTCTATGCCGGTGTGATAGACACAGAAGATGAAATAGACTAAAAAGACCCACTAATACTGCTGTTAATGAGTGAAGAGGAAATGAGGTAAACACCAACGCCATTAAAGTGGTTCTACTTTAGTAAGTAGCATTGAAAGATTTTGAAATTTTGAAGAATAAAGGATTCTTTGGCATCTTTAAATTGTCCTGTCCCCTGCCTCCTCACTTTTCTCAGAAGGAATCTGAATTTCCTAGAAATTCTTCTGTCTTCTTCTTTTTCTCATCCTTGTCTTATCCATCATCTCCAGCTTTAGCAGTTTAGCTTAATTGTCATTTTCCCTAAAACGCTCATTAGCCACAGCCATTTTTTTTTTTTTTTTGAGTTGGAGTCTTGCTTTGTCGCCCAGGCTGGAGTGCAGTGGCATGATCTCAGTTCACTGCAAGATCCACCTGCCGGGTTCAAGAGATTCTCCTTCCTCAGTCTCCCGAGTAGCTGGGGCTACAGGTGCCTGCCACCACTCCCAGCTGATTTTTGTATTTTTAGTAGAGACAGGGTTTCACCATATTGGCCAGGCTGGTCTTGAACTCCTGACCTTGTGATCTGCCCACCTTAGCCTCCCAAAATGCTGGGATTACAGGTGTGAGCCACCATGCCTGGCCAACCACAACTGTTTTTTAATTTGCTTGAAGTTGCGTAGCATTATGTTCTTCACCATGGAGGAAATGACTCTTCCTTGGCCTCGCCCATCTTACAGTCATGCTTCCTTTCTTCTACTTCCCTTTCCTGGAATAGTAAGTTGAACATGAAATCAACGGAACAACTGCTTAGTTGTGCAAGAGAAGCTTCAAGGAGGACAAAGATGAGGCAGGCGTAGTTATTCTCCTTAAATGATCTTACAATCCAGTAGGAGGGATTAGACAAGAGTAAAAAATAACTCAGTTACAAGGAGGAGCGTGATAATTTCTATTAAAATAGTTTCAACAAATTGCAGTAAGGGATAAAAATGGTAAGAGAGATCATAGGTACAAATTGTGTCACGTCACTCTTTTGGTTTTTATTTTTTTCCTATGATGCTCCCCGGCTGATGAGAAAAGTTCCAAAGCACGATGTGCAGGTTAAACATACCCGTGGACAGCCTGAGCTGATGGAAATGCTCCAGCCTCACCCTCTGTCATCACCAACACACATGCACTCAGGCCTCCCTGGCCCACTCACCATTCCTCAAACAATTCAGATTCTTTCTGGTTTTCACACCTTTGCACTTGCTGCTCCTTTTGCTTAAAATGTGCTTCCTTTCTCTTTTTCTTTTTCTTTTTTTTTTTTTTTGAGATGGAGTCTCGCTCTGTTGCCCAGGCTGGAGTGCAGTGGCTCCATCTTGGCTCACTGCAACCTCCGCCTCCCAGGTTCACACCATTCTCTTGCCTCAGCCTCCTGAGTAGCTGGGACTACAGGCGCCCACCACCATGCCCGGCTAATTTTTGTATTTTTAGTAGAGACAGGGTTTCCCCTTGTTAGCAGGATGGTCTCGATCTCTTGACCTTGTCATCCACCCGCCTTGGCCTCCCAAAGTGCTGGGATTACAGGCATGAGCCACTGCATCCAGCCCTCTTTCTGTTTTTCAAACTCCGGTTCATCCTTGAAAACTTTCTTAAATTTTACCACTTTTTGGTGCTTTCTAACAGTTCCCCAATCAATATAATTTGCTTCTTCTTCCAAGCATGTTACTTTGCATTGCGTTTCTCACAGCAGTCATCATATTAAATTACAAGTATTTGTTTAGAGAATGCTTTCCTCATTCAACTGTGAGCCCAATGGAAGCAGGAGCTGTGACTGGCGTCTTTGTATGGCAAATGCTTAGCACACTGGGTTACAGCAGCTGATGGAGAAAAGCTAAGAAATACCGGGTGTTTGAAATGTGGTTTGAGCCCTGGATAGGATTTGACACACATGTGAACAAAGGCACGAGGCAGGAAATGTTCTGATGACTGATTTGCTTTCAGCCTCCCAGAACCTGCTGCGACATTTCTCTGGGACATGCTCTCTTCAGCTAAGTGTTATTCTGCTCTTTTGAGTGAGGGTCTCATTCTGTCTCCCGGCCTGGACTGCAATGGCATGATCATAGCTCACTGTAGCCTTGAATTCCTGGGCTCAAGGGATCCTCCTGCCTCATCCTCCTGAGTAGCTAGAACTACGCGTGTGCATCGTCAGGCCTGGCTAAATTTTAAAATATATTTTTGTAGAAACGAGGTCTCCCTTTTTCGCCTATGCCAGTCTCAAACTCCTGGACTCAAGGGCTCCTCCTGCCTTGGCCTCCCAAAGTTCTGGGATTACAGATGTGAGCCACTGAGTGCAGCTAAACATTATTCTGCTCTTAAACTAGGTTTTTCTTCTGTTTTATCAACTGTTGCTTGTGTCCCGGGCTCTGTTTTCTGGTAAAAACTTGATAGAGTAATCAGTGCTAAATGTTAGTGTATACATATAACACATAACTGTTTGTGTCTACATATAAAATACACTTTACCTGCTCATTTCGCTAAAGCAAAATCAGTCATAGGTCAGACATTGTGTTAAAAAAAAGTATCTATAAAGACGTGGATGTCAGTCTTTCTCATTACCCTCAAAGAAAGTTTCTCATGAAAAAATTTGGAACTAGAAAAGCATTTATTCTATTTTCTGGCAATTCTGTTAGACAAAGAATTCTGTAAACTTTGATGACTCTTTCACACGGATACTAGCAAGCTCAGGGTTAAATTTCCAGTCATAGAAATTCAGATGTTTTTAGCTAAAAAAAAAATTTATTTTGCTTACTTTTCTCATTGTTTTATTCAGTCAGCATTTATTTATTGAGTGCCTACTATGTGCTAGGCACCTCTTTCATAGGCCAGGGACATAGCTGGAAAGAAGATAGATTCTCTGTCCTAGGGAGTTAAGATTCTAAGAAGAGAAAGGACAAAGGTAGTAAATTGAGAAAACATTTCAAGTTCAAAGCTTTTTATACTTGGTTTGATCTGCATTTTCTTAATTGATTTTGGGCAATTGTACTATGCTTTTATTGCATACAGCCTCAAACTAGCTTTGAAAGTTGTTAGGGTGCAGACATATAAGATAAAATGAAGTGCACATTCGCATGTTAATGTTCACATCTACAGACCACTGTTGTTTTGGGGGGCACACCCTTGGCGGGGAGGGTGGTGAAAGTCACAAGAGGAGAACATGCTCAGGTCAATGGTCCTTTAGGTTCCTTCAGAGTGTACCATGGGGGCAGCTGCCATGTCACCTCATGGCGCTCTGAAGGGAAATTCTCCCAGGTGAATTTCAACATGTGCCTAATGCCAAACTCTTCATCTTAAGCAAACATTTGGTGAAGCAAAGGTTTGGGAGGGTTGGCAAATATTGTGAGTCATTACAGAATCCTATCAACCTTGAATTGTCAACAGGCAGCTTATATCCTTATAAGCATCTTGGCTTATCCTAAGCAAATATTGCTTTCAAAGGTAAATGTCCACGGTGACCTATTTTGTTAACTCCCTGGGCATATCTCATTCTTCTTCTTCTCTTTTCCTTTCTTTTCAATTTTGCCCCTGCTGTAGTAGTGCGATGGTGTGATCATAGCTCACTGCAACCTTGATCTAGTGGGCTCAAAGGATCCTTTTACTTTAGCTTCCCAAGTAGCTGGGACTACAGGTGCATGTCACCAAGTCCTGCTAATTCTTTTTTATTTTCTGTAGAGATAGGGTCTCCTTTCATTGCCCAGTATTGTCTTGAACTCTTGGCCTCTGCAATCCTCCTGCCTCAGGCTCCTGAGTTGCTGGGATTACAGGCACAAGCCACCAGGCCTGGCTATTTCATTCTTTCTTAAGGAATTTTATGTCACTTAATTTATAGATTAATTTTAATTGTAATTTTATGGTTCGCAACTTCTCCCTAAGTTAGTGTCATCTGAATTCTGTTAGATTCATGGTATACTATAAAATATAGAACATATAAATAAGTTTTCATTGGTATGTATATTACACATTTGACATAAGTAATTTTGTGAATCTTATCTTGGCATGACTATCCTAATATTTGGCAAAACATTTATTTTTTAGATCCTGAATATGTACTATAGGCATAAATGTATATGGTTCACATTCATATATGAATATACAAATGATAGAAAAAATAGACAAATTTAAAAATTATGACTACCATTTGCCTTTAAAGTTGCTGACTTTTGGGGATAGATTACCTGAAAGCCAGCTCTATGATATTTGGGAGAATCCTCTATGTTGTCAGTTAAGAAATATTTATAGGGGGCTGGGCATGGTGGCTCACATCTGTACTCCCAGCACTGTTGGAGGCTGAGGCAGGAAGATCGCTTGAGCCCAGGAGTTCAATACCAGCCTGGGCAACATAGTTAGATTTCATCTCTACAAAAATACAAAAAAAAACCCAAAAACTTAGCTGAGTGTGATGGTGTGTGCCTGTAGCCCCAGCTACTCCAGAGGCTGAGGTGGGAGGATTGTCTGAGTCCAAGAGTTCTAGGCTGCAGTGAGCGATGATCAGGTCACTGCATTCCAGCTTGGGCAAAAGAGTGAGACCCTGACTCAAAAAACAAACAAACAAGACTTATGGGACCACCCCCTGGCATGATCCCCATGAATCAAGGCACTATTGACTGTTGAAATTACAACAGATTTCTTTGACGTGGAGGAACTTGGGGAAGACAAGGAATATACATGAGAAAGAGCAGAGTCTAGTAAGTAGAAAGAATTCAGTGACAATGCAAGTTGTTCCTACATAACAGCTTGGAAGTTACCTGCTTTCAAAAGTGAACAGTTTGATCCTCAGAACAATCCATGTAGTAGATGTTATTTTTCTATTTTATTGTTTGTATTACCCACAACTGCAGCAGAAAAAGTTTCAATTATTTGGCCCAACCTGAGCCATCAGAAAGTGGCAGACTCAGGGTGGAAGCCTGCATTTAACTGCAAAGTTTTCTTCTCTCATTGGAGATATTATAGGAAATTACTTTAAAAATTTAGATAAGGGGAAAACTTTTGAAGTCTGTTTGTGAAATACTTTGAGTCGATGAAGAACTGCTACAATTTTGAAAGAAAAAGTTTGATGTTAGAAAAACATTGACAGGCAGTAAGGATCACTTAATACCATGTACCACATTCAGCAGATTCTTTAGAGAGTCCAGGTGGAATAGCTAAATTCCCATAGTCATTTAAAAATGTATACATAGATAGGAATAAATATATGAAAATGGTTGGAATAACATACACCAAACAATCAACACTGACCTCTGTGGGGGGATTTAGGCAGGGGTAGGAGTTGAAAGGTGGGACATGCAGGGGGATCTTTTGTTGCTTATTTTGTAATTTTTGAAAAAAAGTTATAAGTGATTTTTAATTTTAGGTTTAGCAGTTTTATTTTCATATTTAAGCAATTACTAAAAAAGTAATGCAAACCATTGATACAAATATTAGATATTGAAATATCTTTTAATAAAACCTAAACTATGAAAACCAAAGTTAGAAAAGCTTTAACACTTAATTTTCATGCTTCAGAATCACAGGCAACCCCCCTAGACTAAATCAATAAAGTCCCTCCCTTCCTCCCTCCCCCCTCCCTCCCTTCTGCCTCCCTTCCCCCTTCTTCCATGTCTCCCTCCCTTCCTCCCTCCCATCCTCCCTCCCATCCTCCCTCCCATCCTCCCTCCCTTCCTCCCTCCCTTCTCCCTTCCTTCTTCCCCGTCTCCCTTTCTTTCTTCCTTCCTTTTTTTTTTTTTTTTTTTTTTTTTTGCTACAAAGGGTCCTTTAGGGCAAAAGTCAAACACGAAAATTTTATGAAATTTTATGTTTGATGCAGAAAATGCACTACAATTTTATAATTTATTTCTTAATAAATACACATGGATTATTTTCCTTTCTAATTATTAAATTGTCAATGCAGGCAGATATATTTATCCTACAGTTTTAAATATCTCTTTAAACAGCTTATTTAATCTCAATTTCAAGGACATAATCTAATAGCTCATTTAATGCAGAAACAGCCAAATAAGATACTTTACAGAGTTTTTGAAGTTATCCCATGTCCTGTTCATCTTATCAACTTTATTCACCATACTGAGTCCATTGCAAATATTTAGATTTTACTTCTGAATTATCCATTTCCATTACCATTATCCAATTCAGGGCTTTATTCTTCTCACTTAAATTCAAAACCTATTTACCAAATTTGCTTCTATATTCTCTAATATGATTTAACAGTTAGAAATTTTAGTCGAAGATACTTTGTTCAATCTTTGTTTTCTTTGCTGTAATTTCACCGGGACACAGTCATTAACTCTAGATGGCCTGAATTTCTAACTGGAGCTCAGTAATTGCAATACCCTTTGACAGCCTCCACACACATATTGTTTAAGAAGTGGAGCTCTTGTCTGGGCCTTGCAGATTCCACTTGGTATCTCTTAAAGAACTTGTCATATTTATTTTTAAACCTGAATAATGATTGCCCTCTACATTTTTAAAAAATGAGGTAAGGAGGTCAAAGTGATTGTACTTGTCCAGTGCAATCCAGATCCTCATTCTATTGTGAAATATGCTATAAGGCCAGTTTTAATATTCAGCTCTAGCAATAACAGAGAAACCCAGAGGAAGAGCTGACACAGAACCCCTGGGATACAGACCCTAATCCATACCAGATTCTAGGATGCCAGAGGACTAATTTATATTCTAGGAATGTGTAATCATGTATTTACAGGGCAGTTAGTGGCCAGATAAACCTCATCGGCCTTTTCTGCTGTTAGCAATAACTTGTCAAAGAGACTTTGATTTTAAAAATCTGAAAAAAAAATCTGAATAATTGAGGTGAGTATTCAAGTTCTTTCTGTGAGAAAAAACATTGGAAGGCACATTTATCATGAAATGAGGATTTAATTTCTGCATATATGTGATTGAATAGATTTGTAATAGTTTTATATTGCCAAGAAATGGCTTTATATGTCACCACATTATTCATACTAGAAGGCAATTAGTATTTTTAGCAAATGTTAATAAGTAATATGAGCCTGAAATCATTTTATGTCAACCTCCTATATTGGATTCAAGACAATTTCATGTGCAACTTAAAACAACATGATAAAAATTATTCTGTGATGTTTAAACTTGACTGGACTCGAGATTGCACTGTGGTTTCCCTTAGTAAGCGTTATCTTATTAAAAATATGTATGTAAATTTTATGCATGAATATAATTTAAAATACCTGCTGTTACTATCCCAACTCATTTAATTATGTCCAGTGAGTTACTTTTAGAATCTTTTGAAAGTGTAATTAACAATTTATAATGTTACTGAAATCTAAGGTCTATCACTTTAAGCCATCATCACTTATCTAGCTTAAATATGGGTGAGGGTCTAGAAAGCTGCGTTTTCCTTTTCTGTGAAACATAACACATACACGATCTTGACAAAAGCTGGCTCCATAAATACATTTAATCCTTTTGGAATTGATAGCACCATCTTAGCATGCTTAAGCTTATAACAGAAAGTGTAATTCTCTGACAGCAAAGGCAGAGATGAAGTGGGCAGGCAAATCTTACGTATTATCTGTTTTTGGCAAAACCGTAACATTCTCATTACGTTTCCTCTCCAAGCAAAAGAATAATTAAGGTATCTTGTAAATAGTATCATATCTTCAGAAAAACTTTTGTATTTTTAGTTTTTTTTTTTTTAAGTCCTTAAAATGTTGCCCTACTAGTTAGTATATTAAGATACACCTTACAGACCTTTTCAATGCTTGGTCAGTTTGAAGACTCCAGAGAGGTGATGAATTTCAGATGAGCATTTCTTCTTTTCTGGGAGAATGGAGGTTGTGGCCTTGCCTATTCATTAGAGACTGCCTGGTCCGTGGTCACTTTGAGGCAACTGTGGCCTCAGACTCTCATCTGTCCTCTTACTCCACTCAGCTATATTTGGTAACTGAGCTCATGTTTCAGCAGACTGCCACGATCAGGAATTCCAGCAGCGGGCTGGGAAGCACCCCCAGGACCGAGGGCTGGGTTCTTAGAAATAAAGCCACTTAACATAGAAGGAACTATATTTATGGATCTGATAAACGTAGGATTTAAACACATTCTTCTATACTTTGGACTTGTAGCTGGAAATCACCACCTGGACCTTTAACATGTTCTTAATCAATTTAAAGTACAGTATGTGACTCCAAGTAGAAAAAGTGATAATCCAAATGGAAGCTCTTCTTACTCTGATCTTCTGTTCTGTGCATTTAAATTTTGGTCATGTGCTAGATTACCCTAAAATAGTAAATTCAGTAACTGAAAATTTAGCCACCTGTCAAATTGAGTGGAAAGTCCCATTGTTCTCTTATTTCATATTGCTAATTAAAAATTGATATATGACTATGGTATGTATTAAAGGCCTTGTCTATAATAGTATTAAATAAGTATGAACACACAGGGACTGGATCTTATCCACATTGCAACATTGAGTTCTTAGCTCAATGCCTAGGACATCATGAGCATCTCTTAAATATTTGTCAAAGAAATAAATGAATGTTGAATGAATAATATTCAGGAAAAGTATCAACCCTCTTACAGTTGCAAAAAATGTTTCACAATCATTTAATATTTTGATCTTTCAAATGACAAATAGATATAGCAAGAGTTTAATATTTTGATCTTTTAAATAACAAACATAGATAGCAAGAAGAGAAAGCTTTTCTGTTTAAAGGTCAGGTAGCAGAATCAAATATAAGGGGGGCAAAAAGAGCAACACAAAAGCTCCCAGTTAACTTGGAAATGGGGTGCTGAGTCTTCCTTTGTCTGGGTAAGACCATCACATTTGATTCAGTTTAATATCTAAATATTTTTTCTTTTCTGATGTTAGAAAATTTGTGAAGGTCTGCTATTGTATTTTCTTTATAGGCCAAACTGGTCCTTTAGAAATGGTCCTTTCTGTGAGTGGATACTTCTGTGGGTCATTTCATCTATTATATTAATTAAGAAGTGATTTTAAAATTTATACTTACGGCTGGGCGTGGTGGCTTATGCCTGTAATTGCAGTACTTTGGGAGGCCGAGGTGGGTGGATCATGAGGTCAGGAGATTGAGACCATCCTGGCTAACACAGTGAAACCCCCTCTCTACTAAAAATACAAAAAATTAGCTGGGCGTGGTGGCGGGTGCCTGTAGTCCCAGCCACTTGGGAGGCTGAGGCAGGAGAATGGTGTGAACCCGGGAGGCGGAGCTTGCAGTGAGCCGAGATCCCATCACTGCACTCCAGCCTGGGTGACAGAGCGAGACTCCTTCTTAAAAAAAATAAAAATAAAAATAAAAAAATAAAATTTATACTTACAAGGAAATATAACTCTGATTGATTGTCTTAGTTTGTGTCATTATAACAAAATGCCACAGACTGGGTAATTTACAAAGAACAGAAATTGATTTCTCATAGTTCTGGAGGCTGGGAAGTCTAAGATCAAGGTGCCAGCAGGTTTGTTGTCTGGTGAAGTTCCTGTCTCTGCTTCCACAGTGATGCCTTGAGCACTGTGTCCTCACATGGCAGAAGGTGGAAGGGCAAGAGGGGGTCAAACTTCCTCCATCAAGCCCTAAGGGCATCAAATCCCATTCATGAGGAGTCCTCCTGAATCACCTTCTAAACGTTACACCTCCTGATACTGTTGCATAGGGGATTAGGAATCAACAAAAATTTTGAAGGGGACAAAAACCTTCAAACCATAGCATTGCTTAAACACATATTTATATCTGCTTTTTCCTAAAACCACAAGATAATAGTAAAAACTGAAAAGGGCAGAAATTGGGAGGGAAGACAATAGAAGATATCAGAAATGAACAAAATTGTTGGAAAGAGATAAATATAAGTATGCATGTAACTAAATTACAAAGCTTAAATGCCTGCAGGAGGAGATACAGAAAAGAAGCAAGTGATTCACCCCATGGAGTCTCAGAAAGGCTTGGGAATAGGAAGCAGTGAACCCATCTTTAGAAATAATTTTAATTGGCAACTCTGATTTTTGCCTCTGCCTTCTGGTGAACTGTGAGTCTCATGGTGAATTCCAGAGGCAATCATGTTGGACTACTGGCCAGACGAGGCCTCTCCCACATTTCTTTGGATTGCTTGGTTCCTAAATCCTGGTATAACACCAGTGAAGTGATGAAGCCATAAGAAGAAAAAAGAAAAAAAAACAGCTTGTGGTCCTGAGAGAGGCTTCAAAGATGGATATGACTTTACTCAAAAGGACACAGAAATGTGACCTTTTTGTGTGTGTATTGCAAATAGTGCAGCAAACCAAGCTTGTTTTAAAAATCTTATAAGAAGTTCTTTTCCTTAGAAAATTGGCATCAAAAAAATTTAGAAAGTTTGATCAACACTCTTAAGTTAGTATAGCAAGGTCCAGTTGATATTAAGGATGAGATTAGTGTGTGGACAGTAATATCATTTCTCATGCACTTTCATATTTTCCACCAGAGCCCATTTCTGTGTGCACGAAGGTTGGGAAAGGGAGTCTGTGGCTCCTTCATGGGGCTCCAGTTCAGCTTTCAAATGATTACTTCTTCTTATAGAAATTCCTGCTCTTTTGAAGCACTTATATTTGCATCAACCATCCTCCATCCCACTTTTTAAAATTAAGACTTTGGATCTAGTTGGGCTCTTGGTTCTCTTCTTCACTCCACACCCTGCCATTATTCTGGGTGACTCAGCACCCATTTGTCTATTCTATATGTTGGCATATTGGTTTTGGACCTGCTTTTCTCTATGAATCTTCATCTCTGTTCCTCTTACAGATCACACAAACAGACCTCCTCCACCTCCAAAATCAGATATAACTTATCTACTGCTTCATAACAAATTACTGCAAAAATTAATGTCTTAAAACAATATATATTTGTTATTTCACACAGTTTCTATGTGTCAGGAATCCATTAGTCTTAGCTGGGTAATTCCAGATCAGGGTATCATGAGATAGTACTGAAGATGTTGCCCCAGCTTCTTTCAGGTGGAAGCATGGCTGGGGCTGGAAAATCTGCTTCCAAGGCAGCTCACTCACGTGCCTGGAAAGTTAGTCCTGTTATTGGCTGGAACCCTGTTGACTTCTCTGTGTCACTGCCTGAGTTTCCTAGCTTCATGGCAGCTGGATTGTGCCACAATGTCTTTTTTTTTAAAGTGGAGTTTTGCTCTTGTTGCTGGAGTGCAGTGGCATGACCTCAGCTCACTGCAACCTCCACCTCCTGGGTTCAAGTGATTCTCCTGCCTCAGCCTCCCAAGTAGCTGGGATTACAGGTGCCCACCACCACGCCCAGATATTTTTTTGTATTTTTAGTAGAGATGGGGTTTCACCATGTTGGCCAGGCTGGTCACAAACTCCTGACCTCAGGTGATCCACCCACCTCAGCCTCCCATAGTTTTGGGATTACAGGTGTGAGCCACCGCGCCCGGCCCCATTATATCTTTTATGATCCAGCCTTGGAGGTCATATTTCGTCTTTCCCGCAGTATCCTTTAGTTATACAAATTGGCAGTATCCACTGTGGGAGGAGACTGCATAGAGGCGTAAAAACCAGTTGGCAAGACAATGCATTGGTGGTCATCTTGGCAGTTGGCTACCACACCTCTATTCCCTTTAACCCATCAGTCCTATAGCCACATTGGGGCATGCTCTGTTTTCACAACTGCACGTTCAAACATGTTATTTGACTGTAAACTTTCTTCCTCTAGCTCTCTCATACACTGATTTTTCTTCTTCACCAGAATTTCCAGGCTGTAGATCACTCTGTTTTGAGATTATCTATCAGTCTGCCTCCCAGGTTCAGGTCAATCGAGGATACTGGTTTACAAACTTTGTTTTAGGAGATACAAACTCTTGGGCAGCCAATAGAAAAAGTAAAGGTATTCAAAGTTTCCTTGATGAAAGGGGTGTGCAAAGGAATGCAGCAGACTTGCTCATTCATCCCCCTTGGACGTTTTCTTTTTCTTACGATCCAGGAAGTTTGAAAATCCTAAGTTTCAAGAAACAAGTCTACTTACTCCCTTTTCACTTTTATTCCTCTCTTCATTCCCAGCGTCAACCACCAGGAAACAAGGATCACGGAGCATGTGAGAAAATGGTAATTGAGAAGGCTGATCAAGGAACACACTAAAATTGGAGGCATGAAACACTTGCAGAATTGTCCCAATGGTCCATCTGGGGATCCTGGGAACAAGTGTCTTTCAAGCCACGACCAGTCTTTCTACTTCTTCCTCATACTTTGTATCTGGCTTGTGTACATGTCACAGAATCAGGTATGGCCCCAAAGACTTGTCTGATTAAACTGGTATATCTATCTGTACGTAGCAGGGAACTCCAGATTTGTCCCTCATGAGCTCGATTTTATGAACTGTGATTAAATCTGCATAAATGTAGCCTGAGCCTGTGGGTGATCTTTTGGTCACATGTTTCTGCTACTTGGGATGTTTGCTAACTTGTGCATATGCACAAAAATGAAGAGAGAAACATAATCTTATGATGATAGGTAATAGAAGTAGAATTGAGATAGTCTGGAAACAAAATCTATGTCTGTATACGAGTATTGGGGTACAGTTAGCTATTATGATCCTTAGAAATAATCTCATTTTCTATCTGCCTTACAAGGGTCCAAATGTAGAGACAAGTATTATTTAGGGTGAAAAAGCCAGTAAAATTAATTTCAAAAGCAGATTTTATTGAATTTAAGCAAATAAAATAAGTCTTGGAATTTACAAAGACAGAATAACATCATTATATCATTATATTATCCTTTTATCATTATGTCATTATTCAGTAATATAAAATTGAATGAAGACAGACGAGTGCACATTGGTGTTTTGAATAGTAAAATAAAATTTGAAAAAAATAGTAATAAATAAAAGCCAACAATGTATTAAAAGAATAATACACTTTGGACAATTGGGTTTTAGCCAAGTCATAAAAGTTGGCTTAACATCCAAACTTCTAGTATTTAATTCTTCAAAAGAAACTCAAAAGAAAAAAGCCATATGGTCAGCTCCATATATTGTTAGTGAGTCTTCAGACAAAATTCAATGTCTAGTCCCAATGGAAAAAAAAAACTTTTGTGAGAAGTGAAGAGAATGGTTCTACTTTAACATTATATTTTAAGGTATAGGTGCATGTGTGACTGTGTATACATACACACATTTATCCATACACACATATGATGCAATATATAGTAATGAGATAAAACACCAAGGAATACTAACAACTAATATGCAGGTTTTAATGTATACTAAAGAAGAGAAAGGAATGAAATAACGAAATAAATGGAATGCTATATCCCGTTCTTATATAGGAAGAATTGATTTTGTAATGTAATCAGTTCTTTATCAAAATAATCTACAACTGTCATATAATCTCAATTAAAATAGCATTTTTGCCAGGTACAGCGGTTCACACTTGTAATCCCAACACTTTAGGAGGCTGAGGAAGGAGAATTGCTTGAGGCCAGGAGTTCAAGATCAGCCTGGGCAATATAGTGAGACCTTGTCTCTAGAAAAATTAAAAAATTTAGCCAGGTGTGGTGGTGTGTTCCTGTAGTCTCAGCCACTTGGGAGGCTGAGGCGGGAGGATCGCTTGAGCCCAAGAGTTTCAGGCTGCAGTGAGCCATGATTGTGCCACTGCACACTCCATTCTGGGTGGCAGAGCAAAGTCTTCTTTCTAAAAAATAAAAACAAAAATAAAAAATAAAGTAGCATTTTTTGCTGGACTTAGAAAAACTGACACAAAATTTACCTAGACAAATTAGCATGGCAAAATATCTAGGAAGATTGTGTGAAAAGGAACGCTAAGGGCAGAGGAGTAGCCCTTCATTGCTACTGGAGTACTAACAGATTTCTTATGGCGATACAAGGAATGGAGGAATGGATGAATAAAATGACATATTTTATTCTTGTATGGAAAGAACATTATTTTGAATTGGCAGCATATATTAAATAACTACATACGTTTTGATTTATTTCTTGGCCTTGTTCAGTTCCACTGACTTCCCCCTCATTATTAAAAAACTGGATTCCTATTTCACTTCATTCAGCAAATTGAAGTTCTTTTGGCTCACATGAATTGGAAAAAAAATCATAGTGGAATGGATAAATATGTATGTAGTCATAGAAATATATTCAAGATAGATTTAGGATAAAAAGAGTATACATGAGAGTGTGTTAGAGCATCATCATATTTGTATGTATACTTATATCTATTTTTATAATTTCTCTCTCTTTCCTGACATATGAATAAAACATTTTGAAGTTTTCCTCGAAGATGATAGGTTAATTTTGGTGAGAAAATGCATTCTGACTAGGATGCAAATAGGGTTGTATGTTGACTCCAACATACATGCTGTATTGTTATTTTAAAAATGGCATCAGAGAAAAAAAATGGCATCAGAGATTATCTTGACTGTTACTGTTTCTTACTCTTTATACTTTTCCCTATCAATAATTATGATTTTTAAATGTGTTTTCTAAGGTACTAAAACAAGAGGTGATACAGAAATAAGCTATCCCAAATATAGCATTAAGTGAAACAAACACATCGTATACTAGTTATTATATCCGGAAGGTAAGATTAAAGGAAACCTTCATTTTTTTCTTTTTGTGTTTGAAATTTGTATGTATTTGCATTATATTTATCATCAAATTGCTGTGCTCAGTGGTACCTGTCTGTAGTCCCAGCTATGCGGGAGAATGAGGCAGGAGGATCCCTTGAGCCCAGGACTTTGAGGCCAGCCTGGGTAACATAATAAGACTCCATTTCTCAAAAAGGAAAAAAAAAAAAAAAAAAAAAAAATTCCGGTCATGAGCCTGAAGTCCATTTAATCTTAAAAAAACCTTTCTTAATTGTTTAATCCACTAGAGAGTAAAATTTTTTTAAGTCTTTGGGTATAAAATAGAGAATAATCAATTAAAGAAATTTTGAATGCAGTATGTTTCTATTTGGAGAATAAAAAAAAACTTTACTGACTTTAAAAATCTTAAACCAGATTTCCTCTACTGTGGATCAGCTCTTGTGAGCTGATTTGCAAATCAGACCCATATACAAGCGAACCATATTCTGCATATACTGTATGAACATTCACCTTCATCTGGCTACTTTTAAAATGTCATAACCTTTGATCCACTCTCTCTCTGATCTGTTCCAAGGACAGAATCCTAACTACAGTAAACACTTTACATAAAAACACATTTAATTCTGTATTATTTATAGAAGAAAAAATCAAAGCAATCTAAATGTGCATGTTATGGAATGGCTTAAACTCATGGAATTTTAAAGTAGCCATAAAATATGATTTTTCTGATGTGTTTATATTAAAGGAAAAATGCCGATTATATTATGCTAAGGGAAACAGGAAGAAAA
Organism: Homo sapiens; assembly: GCF_000001405.40. Taxonomy (NCBI): domain Eukaryota; kingdom Metazoa; phylum Chordata; class Mammalia; order Primates; family Hominidae; genus Homo; species Homo sapiens. The sequence goes on along the minus strand of NC_000004.12, from coordinate 168,489,562 downwards.
TCAATAGTCTTTGAAGTCCGAATATAACTTAAAAAAAGTTAAGACTCTTTGCATGGCTGGAAGTTTTAATGCTTTAAACTGAGTTGCTTTTGACATTTTACTACGTATGAAGACATCAATAAACTGTATAGGGTGATTTTTTTTTCCTCTACTAGAAAGAAAAGGCAAATCTACCAAGATAATTAGTTATTTAGAAAGGCTTTGACATTTATTTGACCTAAATCAAAATGAACAATATTTTGTTTCTCTTAAAGTTTGCATTTTATATGCCTCATGGAGATACTTAGCGATATTCAGCAACCTTGCAAATGGAGTGGTCTCTGCCAGACAGCTACTAACAGCTGTAGAACAATTTCAGAAGCTGCTTACCCAAGAAGTCTAATGTGGAAGGACATGGCTGTCACTGCCTGGGGAAGCAAATAGGAAAGAATATGACAAAGGAGGAAATCAGCTGTTGGACCAAAGAATTTAAACTTTGATAAAATGCCAACCGTCGAAGACAGTTGCTGTCTCACACAAAATCCCAAGAACTGTGCATACTCTACTTCTGTCAGCCTAGCAATTTGCTCAGCTATTGCTATTTTGGGAAGGAATTTCCACCAAGCTGGCGTATCTTCAGCCCCTGAGGTTTCCTCTGATTGACTGATTAACAGGTGTTGAAAAAGCCTGTTGTAGAAATATCACAGACCCAGTGTGCTCGTTTGACTTCTGTAACTGTGACTGTAGTTTCATTGAATATATTGTTTCTTAAGAAGACTTTCTGCAGGGTAAAATCAAAACAGATTATTTATAACATTTTTAGGTAATTACTTTTCCATAGAGACAGCATATGCATTTGTTAATATGCTTTATTATTTATGAATTATAAATTGAATATGGTACTAATGATTGTGCAGATGAAAGCTAAATTAATATAACACAGAGTGAACTTGTCAAAGAAATGTTGGCATTATAAGCCTAAAAATGCAGTCAGCCCTCCGTGGACTCTACATTTGGTAATTCAACCAACAGTGCATCCAAAATATTTTTAAAAAGCCAACAATACAACAATGAAACATAATACAAATAAAAACAATATAGTATAACACCTATTTATAAAGCATTTACATTGTATTAGGTATTGTAAGGAATCTGGAGATGATTTAAAGTATATGGGAAGATGTGTCTAGATTATATAAAACACTACACCATTTTTTTTTATAAGGAACTTGAGCATCTGTAGATTTTGGTATCTGCAGGGAGTCCTGAAACCAATCCCTCTTGGATACTGAGGAACAACTGTAATCATATTTTTCTAAGAGATAAAAGGAAATTGAATGGAATTAAGGCTAGGTTATCCAAGTGTACCTGATTCCTGACAAGCCAAGTCTGAATGATGAGCAGGACTTTGAATTACTTTGACAGAGGTGTACCCTTTAGGATGCCCACTCAATCATCAGTGAAGCAGGCACCCCAGAGCCAGAAGTTTCCATGGAAGTCTTCACCTACCTTGCCTACCTCCAGTGAGTTGTGATAGGACCTCTCCTGAACCCACAAAACAGATCCAATCAAGTTCCACCTTCCATTCATGGACTTTCCCCTCTTCATTGCCTCACGCAATGTCATAGCTGGAAGAGTTGATCTTGTCTGACCTCCCAAGAGAAGATGTCTTATCCAAAATCACAAAGCTGCCAAATGTCAGCTGGGCTGAGAAGTGGCTGGTCCTACTCTTCGACTGTCTGGGCCAGCCCAGCCTGGGGAGGTGCTATCAGTGCGAGGCCCATAGTCCCTGAAAGCTTCACAGAAATGGGTGAAGATGGGGAGAGAGCTTCTCACGTCCTAGTTAAAGACTGGAATAATCATTAACTTTGCTTAGTGTTGCCCAATAAACAAGCTTAGCAGATGAGTGAGAAGGCAAGGAAAGAGAATCAGACTTGGGATCTAGAAGCTGAGATGACCTTAGGGACACTATTCTGCCTCAGGCCACTCTGAGGAATTGGGAGCTTCTAACTGGGCTGGGTAGGCAGCTATTACGCACTGGTGTTTATGTCTGGTATGAAAAGTGACTGGGGGAGGTGGGGAGATTTTAAATCAGTCAATGATCATAGGTGTGGACGGTGAGTAATAAGGAGATAAATGGAATTCAGTAGCATAAAGGGTGAAGCCTCGTCCTTTGAGCTTTTCTGAGAAACCCAAGTGGTATGCAGCTAGAGAGGTGGGGGCTGCGGATGACAGTGGGTCAGAAAGTTGATAGGGGGACACTGATCAAGTAGAAAGCCACGGGGGATGGATGAGGACTTCAGTTATTCCTCTGAAGAAAAAAAGAAGTAGCTTTATGAGAGTATATTAATTCAGATCAAGGGAGTGAGCCCAGGCAGAGGTTATGAGTAAAAAGGGGTGGAGTTTTACCACTGTGAGTCAAGAGTGAAGAGCCTGCTGAATCATGTAGGGGTGAGGATGTTGGTGATAGGGCAGACCCCTTCCAGGGCAGAAGGCCTGGAATGCAATCAGTTCCCCACAGAAAGGACTAAGGTCTACTGTCCCAGCAATGCAAGTTCACACCTAAAAGCAAGGGTGTAGGATCAAGTCTCCAAAACCCGAGAGATCAGCTGCAGTGCATACCCTGCTCCCTGGCCTGCTCTGGTCCCTGTCCCCATCAGGGTCACTTCAGATGGCAGTGCCTGGCTTACCAGCCATCTGTCTGAAGAATTAACTCTGAGGCATTCACTAAACACACTTAGGCCATCAAACCTCACACCATATACCAACATAAATTCAGGTGCTAAATGGAAAAAACAAAACCAAAAATAACCATAATAAAATACATGCCTTTTTGTTTGTTTGTTTTTTGGCTCTATGGTAGTGAAGGAGTTTTCTATCCATAAGGGCAAATGAAGGAAATATAAAGGCACAGTGCGATAAATCTGATGACTTTTAAAAGCTCCTAACTGTGAAACTAAAACAAAATCTTCATTTAAAAAGAAGAAAAGGCAAGTTAAAAAAATGAAAGGAAACCTTGGCAAGATGTGGCCTTGCAATTCAATAAGAAAAAACACATGGATAGGAAAATGAGCAGTATATTTAAAATTTATAAGACAATAGATATATGAAATAATATAGTCAGCCTTCTGTGGCTTCTACATCTGTGGATTCAACTAACCATGGATCAAAGATATTCAGAAATATTGAACATGTATACTTTTTTCTTGTCATTCTCTAAACAATACAGTATAACTGTTTACATAGTATTTACATTGTCTTAAGTATTATAAGTAATCTAGAGATGATTTAAAATTTATATGCAAATATGCCATTTCATAAGGGACTTGAGTATCCATGGATTTTAGTATCCAAGAGGGTCCTGGAACTAGTTCCCCATGGATAACTAGGGACAGCTACATATTACATTATCTTGACTTAATTTTGTCTCAAAAACTGTCAAAAAAGCCACTAGAACAATGATCAGTATTAGAGAAAAAACAAACCAAAAAAGAAAAAAATCCAGTGTTAGATTGTCAAACACGTAAGGAATACAATTTGTTATACTATTTTTATATTAAATTTCATTTCTTGATTTTTTCTTTAACATATATCCAAAACAAAAGGAACATGTATACATGAATTGTTCAAATATTTAATAAAAGTAAATTATAAATAAGATAAAATCTCAATGTATTTGCCATGACATGCCTTCTTATCACATTCAAAGTAAAAGTCACAGTCTCTTTTGTTCTCTGGGATCAGGCATGATCTGCCTCCTCACCTTATCTTTGTGACATTCTCCCACTCTTGCCTAGTCCTTCAGCTTCAGTCACACAGGCCTCTCTAATGCTCCTTGAACCCACATGGCTCACTCTATCTCAGGGATTTCCCTGTCCCTCAGCCAGGCTTGGTCTCTCCAAGAAAAAAGAATGGCCTAACTTCCTTCCAATCTTTAGTCAAGTCACCTTCTTAGTGGGACTTTCCCTGTCTATCCTATCTAAAATTTCATCTTCTTTTCCCATCAGGATTTGATATCTCCTCTTCTCTATGTATTTTTTCTCTTATAGCTTATTTTTATCTAACACAATGGACTTTTTACTTCTCTTGTTATTGTTTATATTCTTTACTAGAATGTAAACTCTGAAGGAAGGAGTTTTTAATATTTTGTATCAGTGTATAAAAAGTGTCTGGCGTAGTAGGTCACCATACATACATGTTTAGTGAATCCCTAGAAAGGAATGTCCAGAAATTACGATGTTTGAATGCATATGGATTGATATTACTGTTGCCACTCAACACAAGGCTTTAAGACTTTTTAAGACAGAGTAAGACCCTGTTATCTGTCTCATAACTCAAGGAAGGACAAGCTACCTAGTGCTACATTCATGGTTCTCAGTATTTCCTGAAGAGAATAATAATAATGATACCTGCATCCTATTGCTTTGTGTCTGATCTCTTTACAACATTGAATTCACTTAATCCTTTAACAACTCTGTGGATTGTTTTTAACTCCCGTTTTAGAGATGAAAGACAGAGGTTAACTTACCCAATACACTGAAGCTAATACGTGATGGAACTGTTATTAGAGAGATCCTCTGAATCAAAACACTTACTTGTCACCATTAAGGTATAGTGTTTGGGAGCTCTAAAAAAAGATGAAATACCAATAGGCAGATTAATCTGAAAGCAATGAGGAAATGCTAATGGATTTTAAGACAGGGAGTAACATGATCAGGTTTACATGCTAGAGAAATTACCCTGGCAGGAGAGTGGAAAACAGAATGGAGAGAACAGGCTGGAGTCAGGAAATGAATAGGCTTTTGCAATAAACCAGATGACAACACATGAGGCTCATTCTAGTGAGTGGAAGGAATGACATAAAAGAGAATATGGAATTCAGATGTATCAACTGTGGTGAGCCAAGATCATGCCATTGCACTCCAGCCTGGGAGACAGATCAAGACCCTGATTCAAGTTAAAAAAAAAGAAAAGAAAAGAAAAAGAAAGGAGAGGCTGGTATAAAATCTTGAATATCACCAATAGGTCAATAAATCGTGGACTACATAGCACTGTTTGAATTTGGCAATTAATAGGTCATCATGAATGAGTTTGGCAGAGGAGCTTCAGGGCAGATTCTGGTCTAAAGATAGACTAGACCAATAAACTTTAGGACTTTGAAGGAGAAGTGGAGATGATGACTGTATACCCTTATGAAGTGCCATGATCAAAAGGAGGAGATGAGGCCCTGGTGTGGTAGTTCACACCTGTAATCCCAGCACTTTGGGAGGTTGAGGCGGGCAGATCACCTGAGGTCAGGAGTTCGAAACCAGCCTGGCCAACATGGTGAAACCCCATCTCTACTAAAAATACAAAAATTAGCCAGGCATGGTGGCATGCACTTGTAATCTCAGCTAACCAGGTGGCTGAGGCAGGAGAATCGCTGGAACCCGGGGGGCAGAGGCTGCAGTGAGCCGAGATCATGCTACTGTACTCCAGCCTAGGCGACAGCAAGACTCCGTCAAAAAAAAAAAAAAAAAAAAAAGTGAAATAGGGCAGGGCTCATTCTTGTAATTGTTTTGGAGGGGAAAGTGACTTTATCATTTTAATGGAATGAATAGTAAATGCCAGTTGCATTAGATTCCTATTGTTGCTATAGCAAGTTACCACAAACTTGGTGACTTAAAACACACATTTGTTACAATTCTGGAGGTCCGAAGCCTAAAAATCAAGGTATTGGTAGGGCTACATTATTTCTAGGGGGTCTAACGGGGAGTCTGTTTCCTTACCTTTTCCAGCTTCTACAGGGCACATGTATTACTTAGCTTGTGGTCCCTTTCTCCATGTATAAGCCAGCAGCACAGCATCTTCTCTCTCCTCTGATCTCCCATTTCTCTCTTACAAGGACCCTTGAGATTACATCGGGCCTACTCTGGAAAATCTAGGATAATCCTCCATCTCAAGATCTTTAAATTAATCACATGCAAAGTTCATTTTGCCCTGTAAGGTAACATGCACACATTCTGGGGATTAGGGCATGCACAGCTTTGGGAGCCATTTATTTGTCATTGCACTCTCTGCCCCAAACATTCTCATCAATTCCATATGCAAAATGAGCCATTCCAAGGTCCCCCCAAAGTCCTAATCTATTGTAGTATCAACTTAAGTCCAAAAATCCCATCTAAATCTCATCTGCTGAAAAGACCTAAATGATTAAATCAGGTATAGTTGAGACTTTGGGTATGAACCATCCTGAGGCAAAATTTCTCTCCATATGTGAAGCTTTAAGACTAGAAAACAAGTTATTTGCTCCAAAAATACAATGGTGGAACAGGAATAGGGTACCAGTTACAGATATTCCTGTTCACAAAGGGAGAAAATGGAAGGAGAAAAAGCCAAGAAATTTCAAAAATCTGCAAGGCTAACTCCATAGGTTTTAAGGCCTGTGAATAACCATTTGTGTCTCTAGGCTCTGCCCTCAGAGTCATCCTTCATGAAAGATAGCACAAGTTTGGGGCTGAATAGTTTTATCAGACTGTTTATTGCTTATGGAATTTTGGGAGTCCTATAACCGTCTTTCATTTTATTCTCTCTCTGTACCTTTCAGTTCAAGCTGGCAGTGTTTCTGCTGATATTCTCAGAAATCTTTTGGATTTCCTGTGTATGTCACAGAGATCTTTTTGAAGCACTAGCAAAAGGTTGTCCAGCTGTACTCATGACTTTTTCTCCAGAGTACGTTTTCCCAGCAGTGAGTCTCTTACTTTTACCATCCTTTGCAGTCTTGAAATCCTGATAATTTCCCACATTATCCTTGTCCTGGTTCCTTTTTGATAATAGTCCTTCCCTCTTATAAGGACCCTTCTGATTATATCAGGTCCCCAGATAATCCAGGGTAATTTCCCCATCTCAAGATTCTTAGGAATATCTGCAAAGTTCTTTTTGCAACAGAAGATGACATATTTATAGGTACAAGGATTAGGACATAGATGTCTTTGGGAGACCATTATTCAGTCTACCACAGCTGTAAATAGAGAGAGGTTAACAATATAGGAATGGAGTGAGATTCCTGAGGAAGCTGGAGGTAACCAACTCAAAAGGGAGTGGTTATATTGTATGTGGAGCATGTCATGGGCTTCTTGGACTAGATGGAGGTGTCAGACAGTTAAAAGGAGTCTCTTTAAAACAGATATATTCTTAGTGGACTTGAAGAGAACAGCAAGATGCTGTAGGGTTTTAAGGGCCACTGTAAAAAAGATCAGGAACCTATAGTCATAAACAGTAAATCTGAGGTGAAAAATATTAGACAATTTCCTTCAATGTCCTGGTAAGGGCAAAAAATGGTTTACTAGATTGAGGTGATCAAGTTGCAGTGAAGGTGCAGAGGAAAGAGAGTGGATGAAGCAGTTGAGAATGTTAGTGAGAGGAAGGTTCAGTGCCTGTTCACAGAGTTGATCCTGGGGAGGTGAAAGAGTGGGGCTCCTAAGGAGACTGAGAGATTGAGGCAAGGGGGAAGTCTCTAAAAAGTGGAAATGGAGTTTATGATTTTCAAGTTTCTGGATAATGTCCAGGCTGGAGTTATGGTAACATATTATTAAAGTGGAAGAGAACTGGATATTGATTTGGAGTAGAGTCTGCTTATGTGCATTGTACATATACTTTGCGGTGGGAAGTGGGATGTGTGGAGTTAACATCTAGGGAATCCCCACCTGATACATCTATATCTTTAAGAGAGAAAAACAACAGCAGACAGTCAATTATATTAAGAACATGTAGGGCCCACTTCTACAACCAAAAGAGGAAATCCCCATTAAATTGTATGTGCTTTGGGGGAGGAATAATGACACTGTAGTATTTAAAAGAACTGGAATGAGATAATATATACAGAGAATATTGTAGATATTATCTTTGGAATTAAATTTTGAAGTCTTGGCTACCATTAACTACCTGTAGGGTCATCGACAAGTAATTGAATTCTCTAAGCCTTATTTACCTCATCCATAAAATAGCAACAGTAAAGTTGCTCATGGGATTTCTGTGAGATTTAATGTGATAATACATGTTAAGGGCTTAGCCTATTGCCTGGCACATAAAAAGCTCAATGAATGCTTTTACAGCAAAGCCCAATTTTCTGCTGCTAGCAAATGCATTCTTATGATACAAAGGTCCAGTATCAGATGCTAGAGAGGAATTCATCTGAGATGAACTCATGACTTAATCATGAGTCATTTCAGGTTCTTTCTCAATGTCATCCTCATTGAGAAAGAGAATCATAACTATTTTCAACCAAACATAAAATTAAAGAAAAATCCTGACAGAAGTGAGCAATGTTTTCACCTCCTTTTCGAAGCCACTTTATATTCCAGAGTCTGAGAAAAAACTTTGTTCTTCTGGGCTCTTTCTATTGTGAACAAGTCACTTCCACCCTTTCCTTTTCTTGAAGACAGAACTTCCGGTTTCGATTTCTCTCCATTTATTACCCCATGCCGTTACTGGGGCACCCTCACCACCACCTTGAATCTCAATATATTCTGCACATGCATAACGTCATGGAATTAAGCGTCTGGAGCACTAAAGACCATGATGGGCTGGGGTTGAAACTCGAATTTCAAACATTAATGAGCTTGATGACAAAACTAAAGAGCATTCTTCTTCTCAATTTAAATTCTCTGTGATAGATGATTGGTCTTTCAAATGTTCACACTGGACAGTTATACTATTGGAAATTTTTCATAAAATGAACTTCTTAGGACAGAAACTCAAAGCCCCTAATCCTTTTTTACTCCATTTTTGCCTGTCCAGTACCTTGCCAGAAAAGAAAAACGCCACACCTCACCGCAGACTTTCATAGTGCTTAGCGTGCTGCATTTACTCTCAGCCTCAATTCCTTGTTTAGAGTCCCAGATTTCTCTGCTTTCTTTCCCTTTACAATTACATGCATGTCCCAGATAGCATATCATCGCTTCTACTATTACTTCCCTAAGATTCTCAGAGTAAACCAATGCAGACCTATATTCTACCTCCAGAAAACTGCGGAAATCGAAAAGGCCTCGCGGTGGAGAAAAGAAACCGAAACTAACTCCCTAGATAAAAACTCAGGCGCTGGCTGCTGTGTGGCTCAGAGCGCCCAGTCCGACGCCAGGCTCTGCGCTCGGTCTCCTCTGCTCCACCTCCTCCCCGCGGGGCGTGCAGCTCCGAAGCTCTTTGGACCTAGCAGGTTCGGCGGCCGGGGTGAGGATTGCGGGTGACGTCGGGTGTCGCTAGGGACCCTGGAGCGGAGCTGTCCCGCGGGGGTTCTAGGATTCCTTCAACATCCAGATGGACCGGGCGGGGAGGTGGCCTGGTGGCTTCGTGCGCGCCGGGCGAGGGAAGCTGGGGCGCCCACTGGGCTCGGGCGGCAGCTTCGCGGAGAGGTAGGGAAGAGGGACAACCACCGTGAGAGAGGAGAGTGCTCAGGCATTTAACGGGTCCTCTGCACCCGAGGGGGCCTGGGGATCTGGGGTGCTGAGGAGAAAGTAAGGGTCACCACATCTGAGCACAGCCATTCGAACCTGGACATTGACAGGCAGCAAGCCGCTTCCCTTTTTTCCGTCTTGTATTTAAGCTTTTTTTTTTTTTTTTTTTTTGAGTCAGTCTCGCTCTGTCGCCCAGGCTGGAGTGCAGTGGCGTTATCTCTGCTCACTGCAACCTCCACCTTCCGGGTTCACGCTATTCTCCTGCCTCAACCTCCCGAGTAGCTGGGACTACAGGCACCCGCCACCACGCCCGGCTAATTTTTTTTTATTTTTTATTTTTTATTTTTAGTAGAGACGGGGTTTCACCATGTTAGGCCAGGATGGTCTCGATCTCCTGACCTCGTGACCCGCCCGCCTAGGCCGCCCAAAGTGCTGGGATTACAGGCGTGAGCCACCGCGCCCGGCCGGATTTAAGCTCTTAATAGCGGAAATAAGGTTTTACTATTTCTCTGGAAAGGTACTTTGTTCTTTTTTCCCGCTTCTCTTTTGTTTACAAAGTTACATTGATAAATTTATAATAAACTTCTCAAGGTTTTCCATAATCAAAGAAGCTGACATCATCCGTGATGGGGCCTTAAGGATTATGAAAGCTCCTAATGACTGCTAGAAAAAGCGGTCAGAACCAAACAGAAGCAAGTCCTTTAAAGACACAATAAGAAGTCCAAACCATAACATCAACGACATACAGACCTTCATGATTTCGAGTGTTCTCCTGAAAACAGTAACATACCATTCAATCTAAGATTTGCAGTTTGAAGTTTGGTGGAACTCAGGTGCTGAGAGTTGAGGGTACTAAAATAAATGAGGGTGAGTTATGCTTCCAAGGCTCTTCGCCTTCTATCCCAAAGATATTGGGGATAGTTTAGTGTGAATCCTTCCTGATACTCTACAAAGAGACAAGTTTTTGTCTATAGCTCCTATCTCTCTATCCATCCATCCATCCATCCATCCATCCATCCATCCATCCATCATCCAGCCATCCAACCATCCGTCCATCCATCGATCCATCATCTGTCTATCTCTAGATCCATACACTTTAAAAGATATTTTGGCTGTCATACTGGTATGCTTTTCTTGGTTCATGATTTATTGGTACCTGTCAGTCTTACTTAGTAATTGCTGTATGATACCCCATGGTATGCTGGGTCATAATTGATCAGTTTTATTTGAAGCAGAAGAGAAAGACATAAAACAAAAATTAAATGCCCTTCTCTACTACTTTCCCCTTCATACTTAGTCTCACAGTTTTAGTTCTCCTGAGGCGTTACCACTCCAAAGATATACATTTCTTTCTTGGTTGCTTATAAATTATATGCTTACAAATCAGTCTTTTGTTTTATCTACTTTAGACAGACTCCGACGACTCCCTGTGAAAGAAATACTTCTAATATGAATTATATATTTTTAAAAATTCTTCTCAGGATTAGCTTTATGGCTTTTAATAAAATACCCATGTTAATTATCATCCACGGCTATGTTGATGTGGGTGGAAATCTCTGTGGTTTTCCCTGCTGCAGGCTCATTTTCTGCTTTGTAAGTATGGAGACCTGCTGGTTGATTTACTGATATCACCCTTTTTTATAACCTGCTGCTTGTTTTACTGATGTAACCATTTTTAAGGCAGCTCATAGTTTATTTGGAAATACAATTCTCTAAGAAATGTATCCAGCTTCTTATGCTCTAGTTAGTTCCCTATGCCGTTAATTACACCCAGAGAGTTTCTATTTTCATCCTAATTCCCTCTCAAATTAGCATAATCTGTCTTAAGTTCATTTGAAATGATAGTCTGGCCTGGGAGGGTAACACCTCCACCTAATACTTGCAGCAAGGCTAAGTCCTTCTGTTTAACTGAGAATTCTTTATGAGTCTTTGTTGAGCAAGGTGTTTTTTTTCTTTTTTTTTTGTCCTATCACTTTTTATTTGCAGTACAGAAGCTGTCACCTGTGCGACCCAAATTTCTTGGCTCCCTTCCTTCTTCTCCTCTTTTCCCCTCCCCTCCCCTCCCCTTCGCTTCCCTTCCTTTTTAAAATAGGGATGTGGTCTCATTTTGTTGCCCAGGTTGGTCTCCAACTCTTGGCCTTGAGCAGTCCTCCCACATCAGCTTCCCAAAGGGCTGGGATTATAGGTATGAGGCGCTGTGTCCAGCCAATTCTCTTCTTTCCAGCTCTGCTTTCATACCACCCAGTTCCTTCTTAAGACATTTCTCTTTCCCATTCTTCCTTGGTCATAGCTCCTCAAAAACAGCAACTAAAACACTATAGACATTGACCATCAACCTTTTCCAATCACTTTTCTGTGAGCATCAGGCTTGTTGGCATGTGGTTGGCTTCCTAGTTTTGAAGGGGATGATTTTTACCAGATATTTTGCTTTGCATCACCTGGGTTTCCAACTTTTAAGCCCAAGAAGCCTAGTTTCTCACTGCCTATTATCTGTCCATTAGGGTGGAGATACATACCATGTTTGATTGGTTTTATAATCTGTGTCTTCTCTTTTTACATCTAAGATGAGGATGAAAATTACAAACCTGTGGTATGTTATGGTTTAATTGTTAGTATTAAGAAAATTAGTGGTACATAAAATGATGGTGTATCTTGCAATTCATGGATTTTTAGATTAAAAGAACGATAGCACTATACCATTATGCAATGATAGGAAGGATTTCACTTTTTTTTTTTTTTAGACAGAGTCTTGCTCTGTCGCCCAGGCTGGAGTGCAGTGGCGTGATCTCGGCTCACTGCAAGCTCCGCCTCCCAGGTTTATGCCATTCTCCTGCCTCAGCCTCCTGAGTAGCCGGGACTACAGGCGCCTGCCACCACGCCCGGCTAATTTTTTGTATTTTTAGTAGAGACAGGGTTTCACCATGTTAGCCAGGATGGTCTCGATCTCCTGACCTTGTGATCCGTCCGCCTTGGCCTCCCAAAGTGCTGGGATTACAGACGTGAGCCACCGCGCCCAGCCAAGATTTCACTTTTGTACCAATTTCTGTAGCAGTAAGGGAATGCTAACTTCGGTAGCAATTACAACTTACAAATTTCAGTGGCATTACACAATAGAAATTTATATATATTGTCCTTCTAAGAGTTCAAAGCAGATTTTCCTGGCCAGTCGGCCCAATAGTGATTCAGGGACCCAGTTTCTTTCATATAGTGGTTCCACTGTTCCCTGGAGTCTTAATGTTCTTTGCACCTAACTTTTTAAAAGAGAAGAATAGAGAAGGTATACCTATTTCTCGAAAGTCTGGCTATCACTTCCACTCACGTTCCATTGGTAAGACTAATTTCATGGCTATCTCCAGATGCAAAAGAATGGGGAAAATGTAGTCATTGGCCAGATCACTGCTTCTCAGTGATAATTCTTAAATGTGGAAGGAGGAGCATGAATTTTAGTGGATAGTTGATACCTCTGATCCGATGCATATGATTTTTTTTTCAATTTTTTTTAACTTCCATCAGAATCCAAAAGAAAGTCTTCACATTACAGTTGGTGTATAAATGTCTTGCTTTTTAATCTATAGGATTCCCTCTTTCTCTCTCTCTTTCTTCATCTCTGACTCTTTGTCTCCTCTCGCTATTCTCTGTTAGTTCTTAAAATTAGAGGCATAATCAGTTCTTTTTAATTTTTTATATTTTTGTTAAGAGTTCACATAGATGGCATCATATTCCATTCAGAGACAGAGAATGTCTTGCTATCTCCATTTTTATGGTATTAGTATTCATTGATGTTCAATATCTAGATCCATTAATTTATTAGATGTTTCAAAATGAGGAAAATATAAATTCCTCATTTCTTCTTTTATTTTTTTGAACTGGGTTACTTCTGTAAAGACAAACTTCTCATACTATTTACTTAATCAGAGTTACACTTTGTATTGACAATAGGGGATAAGTGTTTGTTTTTTCATTGCAAAACATGTTCTTTTTAAAAACTTTTATTTCTTAAATCTTTATTTTTTGATTTATCTTCTCTCTTAGTTTGCTAAAGCTGCCATAACAAAATATTATAGAGTGGTGGCTTAAACAACAGAAATTTATTTCTCACTATTCTGGAGGCTGTGAAGTACAAGATCAAGATTCTGGCTGATTGAGTTTCTGGTGAGGTGAGGGCTCTCTTCCTGGCTTGTACATGACTACCTTGTTGCTGTGTTCTGAGAGAGAGAGTGAGCAAGCAGGAGCAAAGGGGGAGGGGCGGGGTGGAGGGGAGAAGGGAGAAGGGAGAGAGTATGAGCTCTCTGATGTTTCTTCTTAAGAAGACACCAGTCCTATCCGATAAGGACCCTATCCTTATAGCCTCCTCTAATCCTAATTACCTCCTGAAGCCCCCATCTCCAATTACCATCACACTGGGGTTTAGGGCTTTAAAATATGAATTTTGGGGGGACATAAACATTTAGTATATAACATTATCTTTGAATGCTATTTCTGGGCTCCCTATTTTTTTTTTTATAAATGATAATAATAGCATTCCTACTCTTTTCCTAACATTTTTCCCTCTTTGTACTTCTCAAATTGGTTAGCTATTTTAATATATTGTCAATGTTCAAAGCATTTACATTTTGGTTCTCTGAATAAATTAAGTTCATTGTTATTTATCTATACATTGAGTCTAAAAATTGAAAAACAAACACAACATAACTGTATACATAGTATTCATTATGGAGTCAAGTTTTGTGATCAGATCCAAATAGGAAATGCATTCTATATAATTAAAACTTGATTACAGTAGACTTTTCAAAGCATTAAAGAAGATGAAAGACATTGGTCATATGTCAGAGCATTCAGTGTTGGCCATAATGTTAAAAGAGCTGACTTTAATCAGTTTTCATTACGTCCAGGTGCTTTTTAAGCAGTTTATATATTAACACATTTTATCTTGACAACCCTAGGATAATAATAGTATTCCAAATTCGCAGACAGGAAACAGAAACAGAGATGGTAAGCAATTTGCCTCAGGCCACACAACTAGTTAGTTGTAGAATTAGGAATTCAACCCAGGCATCCTGGTTTCAGAGCTCATGTTCTTATTCACTTTAATGCCTCTTTCATTTTGATTCTTTTGTGGCTAAAATGTCTTTCTTTTTTGCCAGACGTTAGATTTTCTCTTTATCTTTGGAGTACTGAAATTTTATCAGGATATATCTAGCTGTGGCTTTCTCTTTTTTCATCAAACTTGTTTTGTTTTTGGAGAACCTTTTTAATCCAGGGATTCATATTTTTCTTCAGCCCTGAGGCAGTCTTCTTAAATTACATTTTCTCACAGTATGTTTTCAATTATTTTCACCACTCGTTCTGGTATCCCAGTTATTTCCTCCAGGATTACCTTTTAATGGATTATATAAGCTTCGATCAATCTTTCATGTGTCTTAATATTTCTTTTATTTCTATCTCATTGTCTTTCTGGACTCTGTCTTTTAACTTGGGATTCTGTTTTATTGTTCAGCAAACTAATTTATTTTATATCTGCAATCTTGCTTTGAATTTTCAAGAGTGCTTTCTTGTTCCTGTATTTTTTTCTTTTCAATAGCAGCATGCAAGCTCCTATTTCATAGATTCAGTATCTTTGATTCTGTATGAAAATTCTAGTGGAATTTTTTAAAGTTCTCTTCTGACTTCTAAATTATCTCTTTTTCTCAGTATGTCTTTTAGAATATTTTGATGTTTTTTAGTTTGTTTATTTATTTGTCATTTTTGGTGTTTATTTTCTGTCTGATCAGTATGTTATATCTGACGATCCTTACTTTTATATTCATACTATAAATTTTAAAAACTACAGTGCTTAATAAAAAAGCTGTTTTAGGCTTTCCTAACCTGTCTCTCTCTTAAATGGGAGGGGCTCTTTGAATGACCACTCCATTCACTCCTTCAGGGCTCATCTGAAATGTCACTTTCTTGGAGATACTGTCTGTAGCAATCCTGTCCAATTCGTTATAACTCTTTTATTTTTCAAATAGTACTTAACTTTTAAATATTTAAAATTTTATTAATGTTTTTCCACTAAATGATAAGCTCCTAGAGTGCAGCAAAGCCTACTTTTGTCCTTTTCACTGTACTCCCACCCCCAAGTGCAGCGCCTGTCACACAGCAGGTGTTTGCTCATTCAATAGTTGTTGAATAAATGCATTCTGCTTTCTGTCCCTTCAGTTTCACAGAGACTGTACTTACTTTGGCTATAAATACTTTTCTACTTACCAATCCTGTGGCAATGTTGAGTTCTAACCATATTTTGCTGCTATTCTTTATGGTTAATATGAAGTGAAGAAGTGAGTTCTCCCAGAATCACCTCCTAAGACAAGGATTTGAGTGCCAAAAGTTCATTTTGGGAGTGATCAGGAGTGGCCAGAAACTTATTTTGGGGGTGACCCAGAGTCACTAATAAGCAGCATTCAGTGATTTCCTCTACCTGTGATATATACTCATTTCCTCAGTTATCTTTAGTAATCAAATGACTTGATAGTTCTATTTCTAGCCCAGAAACTTGGCCACCTTTCAGTGTGCTTTGTTCAAGCCCCATCGTCCATCCTCCTGTCCTTGCTAGGATCTGAGGAGTCATCTGTGACACTCCCCAACTCTCCCTTCCCATGTGGAATCTATTGCCAAACTATGTCACATTTATCTTCAAAATGGCCCCCCAATAAATCCACATCTCTCCAGCTCTAAATAGCACCACATTAGCTCAAACCACCATCATCTTTCTACAGGACTATTTCAGTAGCTTTCTTTATGCACCTCCCCATCCAATCTGCTCTCTCTACTAAAGATAGAGTAATGTTTACCACGTGCAAGTGTAATCAAATTACAACCAGTTTAAAACCCATCAATGGCTGAGTTTAGCTCTGAAGATGAAGACGAAACACCTTAAAATTCCTTAAAAGACTGCCTAGCTTCCTTTTTCTCTAACCTTATCTGACACAGCCTTACCCTCTGCTGCAGCCGCACTAACTTCTTTTCTGAATCTTGTACTTTCCATACTGTCCTCTGTCACAGGGCCTTTGCACATGCTGTTCTGTTTGCCAAGAATACTTTTTATTGCTTTTTTTGGGGGGCAAATTAACTATAAGGGAGTACTCATTCCTTCAGATCTCAGTTCATGCATTAATTCCTTAGGGAAGCCACCCTCATCTCTGTGCCTTTTGTCACATTTGTGATTTGAAATTTTTTGTATGATTATTTGATCAATCTTTGCTTATTTACTAGACTGCTTGCTCTGTGGAAAATGTAACCATATTTTTTGGGTCCATTTCTTTGTTTTAGGAATAACTGCAGTTCTATTTTTTCTTTTATTACAGAGGTGCCATTCACATCAAATGTAGCCATTTTAGAGGTGTCAAAATAAATCAGCCATATTTAATAAATTCCAGCTCTACTCTTCTACCCTGTAGCCCAAGAAGCAGCAACGATGGGTAATTCTCAATCTTTGATATTTGTAGCCTATAAAGCAACAATCTTGTAAGATATTCAGATTCAATAATGTTACAAAGTAATTGGATGTCTATATTTCATTTCCTTAATAATTACTAAATTATATAGCTGTGTAAAAATATTGATGGCTCAAAAAATCTCCTTATTTTTAGGGTCAAAGGATCATGCAGTATTTTTCAGGGAAATGACACAGTTAATTTTGAATGAAATGCCAAAAGCTGGGTAAGTACTGTGAAGTAAAAAAGAAGGAGCTATACTATTGTATGCTCTGTGTTTCCACATCCCTCTTAACCCATATACATATACATGATCACTCAACCTATTTATCTTGGAGCAGCTTGGAGATGATGGGAACGCACTCTTCTTCCTATAGTTGTCTTAGCTGTCACTGAACAGATTGTTTCCTAAAACAATCAGATTCATGGAGCTGGGAGTTATATATGTCCTTATCCAGAATAACAGCCTTTAGAATCATATTCTCAAGTTCAAATCCTGGCTCTGCCATTTAGCATTGGATAATTTCCTTTGCCTCTCTGAGCCTAATTTTATTTTAATAAAATAGTAATTGTGCTATCTCCTTCTTATAAAGGACAGTTGCTTAAATGAGGTATTTGAAAAGGCATCATGGACTGGCATGAGGTACTCAACAAACAGTAGCTTATGCAATAATAGTAACAACAACAGCAACAAAGTCTCTGTGAAACATCTGTGATTTTTATTCTCTTTGATTTTTATTTTAGGTATTCCAGCATATTAAATGATTTTGTGGAATCTAATTTTTTTGTGATTGATGGAGATTCCTTGCTTGTCACATGCCTGGGTGTAAAATCATTCAAGTGGGGACAGAATCTCCACTTTTTCTATCTGGTTGAATGCTATCTTGTGGATCTTCTGAGTAACGGAGGACAATTCACCATAGTTTTCTTTAAGGTAATATATGATGATTGATGTCGTTTTAGTCCTTTGAAGACTATAACTGAAATGTCTTAACCTAAAGAGCCTTTGACCTAAAATGAAGCATGTCATCATAGAAAATATAAAAAGACAGGTTAACAAAAGAAAAAATTACCCATAATTTCACTACTCAGAGATAACCATTCTTTATTTTTTATTTTATTAAATTTTTTTCCCTCAACTCTATGTTCCCACATTCACAATATAGATCAGGCACAGAGCCTGGGCTGAGGGGTATATTGGGTAGGTTTACTCTACCTCCTTTTCTATATAGTCAGTGTAAGAATTCAGCCTGTGGTAAGCACCAGCAAGCCCATTCTTTAAGTTTCAATATTTTATTATAAAATTTCAAATACAGGTAAGTTGAAAGGTTGTAGAGCAAATATCTATATCCCACCATCTAAATCCTACAATTACATTTTATTTTACTTACTTCTTCATATATCTGTAAGCTTATCCATGCCTTTATTCACCTGTCAATCCTTTTATTTTGGGGGTACGTTTCAAAATAGTTGTAGACATTACATTTAACTCTGAAACACTTCATCATACATGCCATTAACTAGAGTTCGGTACTTATTTGCAGGTTTTTTTGATGGTAAAATTTACATGAAATAAAATGCACAGATCTTAAATGTGTTACAAAAAGTTTTGCTCCAACCTAATGCCATTTAACGATCTTTGGCACGTGCATAGTATTTACCAGTACATTGAGTTTTGACACACGCATGCACGTGTAACCCAAACTCTTGTTCCACAATACGTCTTCTCATGCCCCTGCCCAGTCCATCCTCATCCCATCCCCTAGAAGCAACCACTGTTTAAATCCTTTCTATTGCCTTCTTGAGTTTTGCCTGTTGTAGAACTTTCTTTTTTTTTTTTTAGATGGAGTTTCGCTCTTTTTGCACAGGCTGAAGTGCAATGCCGTGATCTCGGCTCACTGCAACCTCCACCTCCTAGGTTCAAGTGATTCTACTCTCTCAGCCTCCCAAGTAGCTGGGATTACAGGCGCGTGCCACCATGCTCAGCTAATTTTTGTATTTTTAGTAGAGACAGGGTTTCATCATATTGGTCAGGCTGGTGTCGAACACCTGACCTGAGGCAATCCACCCGCCTTGGTCTCCCAAAGTTCTAGAACTTTTAATAAATAGAATTTTACAGTATGAACTCTTTGTATAAACCTTTCATTCAACATAATATTTTTGAGAGGCATCCATTTTGTTGTGTGCAGTGGTATTTTGTTCCTTTTATCACTTTTGAGTAAGGTTTTATTGTAGAAATGTGCCACGGTTTGTTTACCCATTTTCTTGTTGAGTGGACACTTTCCTGTTGAGCAATCTCTTTCAATATCTTGCCTAGATGAATAAAGCTACTATGTGCATTCACATGCAAGTCTTCGTGTGGACGTAAGTTTTTATTTTCCTTGTGCATGTATCTGTGGTTGAAATATATGTTTTATAAAACTGCCAAAGCTTTTCCTAAGGTAGTTGTGCCCCTTTACACTCACTCCAGCAATGAATAACAGTTCTGGTGCCCTGTGTAGTTGCAAACATTTGTATTTGGTCAGTCCAGCCATTCTGGTGGATGTGTAGTGTTATGTCCCTGTGTTTTAATTGGTATTTATCAAATGGCTAATGATGTTGCCTACTTTTTCAAGTGCTTATTGTTCATTTGTATACTATGACTTGTGAAGCATCTGCTCGTATCTTTTGACCATTTTAAATTGGGTTCTTTATCTTTTTAATATTGAGTTGTAGTAGTTCTTGATATATTCTGTATACAACCTCTTGTCATGTATATTATTGCAAATATATTTTCCCAGTCTGTGGCTTGTCACTTCATTTTGAGACAGAGTCTCGCTCTGT
This sequence comes from Homo sapiens, assembly GCF_000001405.40. NCBI lineage: Eukaryota > Metazoa > Chordata > Mammalia > Primates > Hominidae > Homo > Homo sapiens. The sequence continues at coordinate 168,469,857 of NC_000004.12, read as the reverse complement.
CACGTAGGCTGGAGTGCAGTGGCGCAATCTTGGCTCACTGCAACCTCTGCCTCCCGGGTTCATGCCATTCTCCTGCCTCAGCCTCCTAAGTACTTGGAACTACAGGCATGCACTACCATGCCCGGCTAATTTTTTTGTATTTTTAGTAGACATGGGGTTTCATCGTGTTAGCAGGATGGTCTCAATCTCCGGACCTCGTGATCTACCCGCCTCTGCCTCCCAAAGTGCTGGGATTACAGGCATCAGCCACCGTGCCCGGCTGCCACTTCGTTTTCTTAGTACTATCTTTGGATGACCAGATATTTTAATTTTGGTGAAATCTAACTTATTATTCTTTAATGGTTATTGTGCCTGTATCCTGATAAGAATCATTGCCTATCTCTTAGTCACAAAGATATTTTCCTATATTTATTAATAATTCTAGAAGTATGTAGTTTCAGCTTTTGCATTTTGGTCTATGATATTTCTTGAATTAATTTTTGTGTGTTTGTGGTGTGAATGGGGGATTGAGGTTGATTTGTTCCAGCATCCATTGTTGAGAACATTTTTCTTCCACCAGTGGATTGCTTTGGTTTCTTCATCAAAAAATCAAATGATTATATATGTGTAGGTCCATTTCTGGGCTTTCTACTATGTTCCATCAAAGGATTTAACAAATTACCAGTACCACAATGTCCTGATTTGTGTAATTTTATAGTAAATCTTGAAGCCCACTTTGTTCTTCTTTGTTTAACTTTGGCTATTCTAGGTTCTCTGCATTTCCACACGAATTTTAGAATCAGCTTGCCAATTTCTATTTAAAAAGAACGATGGGATTTTAATGATATTCATTAAATTTGTAGACCAATATAGTCTTTCAGTTAGTGAACACAATATGTATCTCTGTTTTTTAAGATCTCTAATTTGTTTTATCAGTTTTGTAGTCTTCAGTGTGGAGGCGTTGCACATCTTTTGCTAAATCTATTTCAAGATATTTCATGTTTTGATCTTACCGTAAATTGAATTTTTAAAAATAATTTTTTAGTTTTTGCTGCTTGTATATAGAAGTAGAATTGATTTTTGTTTGTTAACTGGTATCCTGCAATCTTATTAAAACAACTTATTAATTTCAGTGGCTTATTTGTATATTTCTTAGATTTTTTAATGTCTTCAGTGAATAAATACATGCTTATTTCTTATTTTCCAATTTTATTTTTTAATTGCTTTTTCTTGCCTTATTACAGTGATTGGCATCTCTAGAAATGCTGAAGTAGAGTGAGTGGGAATCTTTACCTGGTTCTTGATCTTAAAGGGAAAGTATCCATTATTTCCCTACTAGGTATCATATTAGCTGTAGTTATTTTACATATATCCATTATCAAATTGAGAAAATTTCTTCTTATTTTAGGTTTTCTGAGAGTTTCTATAATTAATAGGTGTTACATTTTAAAAAATGCTTTTTCTACATTTATGGAAACTCTGATACACCTTTCCTCTTTTACTTTCTTAATTTGGTAGATTACATTAAGTGATTTTTAAATATTAATTCAATCTTTTATTCCTGGGAAAACCTTAGTTGGTCATGATAGATATCCTTTCTTTAATATATTGCTGGGTTTGATTTGCTAATATTTTAAGTGTTTTTGGTATATAGTCATGAAAAACATTAATCTGTAATTTTACTTGTTTATTTATTTATTTATTTATTATTTGAGATGGAGTCTCACTCTGTAGCCCAGGCTAGAGTACAAAGGCATGGTCTCGGCTCACTGCAACCTTTGCCTCCCAGGTGCAAGCAATTCTTCTATCTCAGCCTCCTGTGTGGCTGGGATTACAGGCATGCGCCACCATGCCTGGCTGATTTTTGTATTTTTAGCAAAGATGGGGTTTCCCCATGTTGGTCAGGCTGGTCTTGAACTCTGGACCTCAGGTGATCTGCCTGCTTCAGCCTCCCAAAGTGCTGAGATTACAGGCATGAGCCACCGTGCCAGGCCAATTTTATTTTTTATAATGCCTTCGTTTGGTTTTGGTATCAGGATCATGCCGACCTGGTGAATGTGTTGAAAAGTCCATTTTCCTCTTCTATTTTCTGAAAAAGTCTTTATGAGATTGGTATTATTTCCTCAGACGAATTTGATAAAATTTGATCAAATTTTCCTGTGAAACCATTTGGGTCTAGAGTTTTCCTTGGAATAAAATTTTTGATAACAAAGTCAATTTCGTTAATAAATATAGGGCCATTTAGACTTTCTGTTTTATCTTGTGTCAGTTTTGTTAATTGTATATGTCAAGGGATTTGCCCGCCTTATCTAAGTTGTCTAATGTTTTGGCATAAAGTTGCCTATAATATTCTCTTATTTTCCTCTTATTGCCTAAAGATTTGTAGTGATGTTAGTGTTAGTTAGCTCCTTCTTTCATTTTTTTTTTTTTTTTGGAATGGAAACTAAATTTTCTTTTTTTAAAATTTGAAACAGGGTCTCACTCTGTCTCCCAGGCTGCAACATAGCAGTAGCATGATTTTGGCACACTGTAACCTCTGTGTCCTGGGCTCAAGTGAACCTCCCACCTCAGCCTCCTGAGTAGCTGGGACTACAGGCGTGTGGCAGCATGGTTGGCTAATTTTTGTATTTTTTATAAAGATGGGGTCTTGCTGAGTTGTACAGGCTAGTCTCCAACTCCCAAGGTCAAGCAATCCACCTATCTTGGCCACCCAGAGTGTTGGGATTACAGGCATGAGCCACTGTGCCTAGCCACTAAATATTTATTTTTTCATTCATTTTCAGATTATGCAGTTTTACACTGAATAACACAGAAGGAAACTAAAATTACCAACAGTTTATATGTAAGCTTGATTCCTGTCTTAAGGAAAAGAAGAACACTGCAAAAGCAACACGTATTCTAACAAAACGTGTTCTAACATGTTTTGTTAGAACACAAACAAAAAACCTCTAAAAAGCTTTCATGTTACACTCTCATTTTGTGAATTGGCAGCTGTCTGTGTCCCTTAAATCTTTGATTATCTGCTGCTTTCTGTGTAGCAGGCAACAAAGCACACAGATTGTAACTATAGCTTACCAAAAGGGGATACATGGACCATATATCCATCACCTGGATACTCTAAACCAGTTTTTAAACATAAACTGCAGAAATCCTGACTAATACAGCAAAATAAGACTTTATTTTTTGGCTAGCTGCTAGTGACAACCAGTGATGCCATAACAGGAGGGGACTGGTCAGAAACATGCACCAACTCTTAATAGCAACTGCTCTACTTGAAATTCACATCTGGTGAAATGAGGACAGATTTTTATTCCTCTATTTTCGAATGATAAATATCATCACATAATTTTACAAATTGAAATGTAATTTGTCATTGTTGTATCTCTGATTCTATAACCTGATATACTGCTAAGGGAAAATAAGGAGTTAACTTTTTAAAAAATGTGTGAAAGCCATAATATCATCTACTGTATGTGACAAAGCCTCACAGATTCTCTATTGTGATAATTTCCATTTTCTTCTGCCCTCATTTATCCTTTATATTGCTAAGTTGTGTCTTCCCTCTTCTTGATTAATCTAGTTAGTGATTTATCAATTTTGCTGATGTTTTCAAAGACCTAGCTTTTTTCACTTTGTTAATTTTCTGTATTGTCTTTTTTTTAATTTCACTGATTTCTACTCTTGTCTTTATTTGTTTCTCTTGGATTTTCCTTACTCTTTTTTCCACTAACTTCATAAATTGAAATTTTAAGCTAAGATCTTTTTTATTTTCTATTTATGAACAGTAAAATTTTTCTTGTAAGCTCTGTTTTAGCTACATATCACAAATTTGCATCTAATGGTTTTTTCTTTACCATTTAATTAGAAATAATTTCTAACATCTCTTGTGATTCTTTTTTCTTTGACTGGTGGATTATTTAGAAATTTGTTGTTTTAAAAGCTGGGGGTATTTCACTACTAGATTTCAAAGTATTCCACAAAGCTCTAGTAACCCAAACAGCATGGTACTGGCATAAAAACACAGTTGGACCAGTGGAACAGAATAGAGAACCCAAAAATAAATTCATGTATTTACAGCCAAATGATTTTTGACAAAAACATATCAAGAACGTTCACTGGGGAAAGGACAGTGTCTTCAGTAAATGGTGCTCAGGAAATTGGATATTCATATGCAGGAAAATGAAACTGAACCCTCACTTTCACTATATTAAAAAATCAATTCAAAATGGATTGAGGACTTAAATGTAGGACCCAAAACTATGAAACTATTAGAAAAAAACATAGGGGAAATGCTTCAGGACATTGGTTAGTGTGAAGATCTTATGGAGAAGACTTCAGAAGCACAGGTAGCAAAAGCAAAAGTAGACAAATGGGATTATATCAAACTAAAAAGTTTCCGCACAGGAAAGGAAATAATCAACAGAGTAAAGAGACACCTTCAGAATGGGAAGAATATTTGTCAGTATTTATCCTACAAGGAATTAATATCCAGGATATGCAGGGAACTCAAACATCTCAATAGCAAAAGAAAAAAAAGATAATCCAATTAAAATGTGGGCAAGTGAGCTGAATAGGCATCTCTCAATAGAAGACATACAAATAGCCAACACATGTATGAAAGCATAGTCAACATTATTAATCATCGGAGAAATGCAAATCCAAACCATAATAAGATAGCATCTCACCCCATTAGAATAGCTGTTGTCAAAAAGACAAAAAAAAAATGCTAGTAAGGATGTAGAGAAAGGGTAACTCATATGCTGCTGGTATGAATTTGAATTAATTCAGTAATTATGGAAAACAGTATGGAGGTTCCTCAAAAAACACAAAAAGGAATTACTATATGAACCAGCAACTCCACTACTAGATATATATTCAAAGGATAGGAAATCAGTATGTTAAAGAGATATCTGCTGTCCTGTGTTTATTGAAACACTATTTACATAGCCAACATATGGAAACAAACTAAGTGTTCATCAACACATGAATGGATAAAGAAAATGTGGTGTATATATACACTATATAATACTATTTGGCTATAAAAAACAAAATTCGGTCATTTGTGGCAACATGATGATCTTGGAGGACATTATTGCACCATAGGGTGGATATAATTAACAGTAATTTATTGCATTTTTTCACATAGTTAGAAGAGCAGATTTGGCATGTTTCCAACACACGCACACACACAAATAATTGTGTCTGATGTGATCAATATGCTAATTACTCTGATTTGATCATTATGCATTGTATACATATATATCAAAATATCACCCTGTACTCCATAGATATGTGCAATTAGTCCAGGTGAGGTGGTTCACATGTGTAATAACAACACTTTGAGAGGCTGAATGGGGAGGATCATTTGAAGCCAAGAGTACAAGACCAGTGTGAATAACAAAGTGAGATCCTGTTTCTACCAAAAAAAAAAAAAATACAATTATAAAGTCACTTAAGGATGATTTTAAAAATTAAAAAACTATTGTTTTAATGTATAAATTCTTGTTTTTTCTAGATGTGTTATTGATTTCTAATTTAATTCCATTGTGGTTGAAGAAAATATTTCTGTATAATTTCAATAATTTAAACATCTATTGGGACTTGTTTTGACGTCCAATACATGGCCTATTTTGGTGAATGTACCATGTGTTCTTGGAAATAATATATATTCTACAGTTCTTGAATATAATCTTCTAGAAATGTCATTAAGTCAGAGTAGTTGATAGCTAAAATTAATTTTTATTTGCAACAATAGATACTTATTTTAAGGACACCTAGGAACATGAGGTAGGAGGAGACTTCCCTCAACCATCTTTCTTTGCTCTCTGATTTTGTATGCTTAAATTCTAGGAAGCACTTTAGGATCAAAACTGAGAAGAAATTGTATTTACATTCCAGTAGAATGGCAAATCAATAGAGGCACTATCCTTATTTGGATTGATCTATATAAACATCCTCAACAGTGTATTATACTATGGTTTTTAAAAATTACAGATTGAATGGCTTCCAATTGTAACAAATCTCAACCCAAATACAAAAGTATATTATGAGCCCATTCCCTCATCCTACTCCTAGAAGCAATTGTTGTTTTACTCCTAAGAATTCTAGTCTATATTTGTTCAATCTTTATACATAGGATTTTTTTGGGGTGGGGGTTAGTTTTGGCACCATTAAAAGTGAAAGCAGTGTTTTGATTGATACCTATAGAAAAGTCAGGGTTCTTTTTAAATTATGACAGTCTAGTAGGCTAGAGTGTCAATATCATTTAAAAACAGATTTTTTTTTAACTTAGTTCAGGGGTACATGTGCAGGTTTGTTATGTAGGTAAGCTTGTCTTATGGGGGTTTGTTGTACAGATTATTTCTTCACCCAGGTATTAAGCCTAGTACCCATTAGTTATTTTTCCTGATACTCTCCCACCTCTCACCCTCCACCCTCCGCCCTCCAATAGGCTGCAGTGTCTGTTGTTTTCCTGTATGTGTCCATGTGTTCTCATCATTTAGCTCCCACTTACAAGTGACAACATGCAGTATTTGGATTTCTGTTTTTGCATTTGGGACATGATCTCATTCTTGTTTATGAATGCATAGTATTCCATGATGTATATGTACCACATTTTCTTTGTCCAGTCTATCATCAATGACTTAGTTTGATTTCATGTCTTTGCTATTGTGAATAGTGCTGCGGTGAACATATGCGTGCATGTGTCTTTATGATGGAATGATTTATATTTCTTTGGATATATACCCAGTAATGGGATTGCTGGGTCGAATGGTAGATCTTTCAGGAATTGCCACAGTTTTCCACAATGGTCAAACTAATTTACACTCCCACCAACAGTGTTAAGCATTCCTTTTTCTCTGCGACTTTATCAGCATCTGTTATTTTTTGATGTTGAGTTATTTTAACTCTCATTTTTTATTATTTTTAATAATAGCCATCTGACTGGCGTGAGATGGTATCTCATTGTGGTTTTGATTTGCATTTCTCTAATGATCAGGGATGCTGAGCTTTTTTTATATGCTTACTGGCTGCATGTGTGTCTTCTTTTGTTTTTGTTTTTGTTTTGAGACACAGTCTCTCTGTCACCCAGGCTGGCGTGCAGTGGCATGATCTCGGCTCACTGCAACCTCCGCCTCCCTGGTTCAAGCGATTTTCCTGCTTCAGCCTCCCAAGTAGCTGGGCTTGCAGGCACCCACCACTGCGCCCAGCTAATTTTTGTATTTTTAGTAGAAACAGGGTTTCACCATGTTGGCCAGACTGGTCTCGTCCTCCTGACCTCAAATGATCCACCCACCTCGGCCTCCTAAACTGCTGGGATTATAGGCGTGAGCCACTGTGCCTGACCATATGTCTTCTTTTGAAAAGTGTCTGTTTATGTCCTTTGCCCACTTTTTAGTGGGTTTTTTTTTTCTCTTGTAAATTTGAAAAATAGAAATTTTGATTTGCCAAGAAAAGACTTACATTATTTAGGGAGGAGACACATCACCTGGAATGTTACATTTTTATCTACTAATAGTGATTCACATCAGCTTCTCAATTCAGATGAAATACATCTATCCACTTGCTACTTTAATCCCTATTTGAACATAGATAGTAAAAGAATTAGAAGTGAAGTGGTAGTGTATGCCTGCTCAAATAAAAGAGATGAATCTATATAATCCACATTTTGACCTGTGGCATGCACTTGTGAAAGGAGTCAAGTTTAAGGCCCTTGAGCAAAACAATTAGATCACATGAGTTCAGTCCTGTATAGCTTTGTGCTGTAAGCAACAAAATTAACAAATAAGTAAAGGAAGATTTGAAAATGATGTGCTTGTTTCTTTTTCTCACCACAGGATGCTGAATATGCATATTTTGATTTTCCTGAACTTCTTTCATTGAGGACCGCTTTAATTCTCCACCTTCAACACAATACTAACATTGATGTGCAAACGGAGTTTTCTGGATGCTTATCACAAGATTGGAAGTTATTCTTGGAACAGCATTACCCGTATTTTCTGATAGTTTCAGAGGAAGGCCTGAGTGATTTACAAACGTACCTTTTTAACTTCCTAATCATACATTCCTGGGGAATGAAAGTCAATGTTGTGCTTTCATCAGGGCATGAATCTGATACTCTCAGATTTTATGCATATACTATGGAAAGCACAGACAGAAACCAAACTTTTTCCAAGGAGGTAATTGACATTAATAACTCATTTTTTTCCTGATTTCTTGTTTTAATTCTCAAAATCACTAACTCAATATTCTTTCTGTATTTTTAATGGAACTTATTATAGGCAGTCTCCAAAGAGGTAATACATTTAATAATGGTAACAATGATAATGATGGACATTTATTAAGCACTTATGCCAATTCCTTTTTCTAAATTTCTCTTAATTCTCAGGGTACTCCTATAAGGTTTGTAGCATTATTATATCTATCTATTCATATCTAATTGTGGTATTGTCACCTCATCTGTAAAAGAATATTTAGAGTATTGAAGTAATTTGCTCATGTTGAGTACCTAATTGTAGTATAATAAGAAATATATTTGCACTTTATCCCCAGTTGCTGTCACAGAGCCCCTAAAACCCTTGGAATTTCTTGAGTAATAATAATGTCTTTTGTTATTTGTAAGGAGCTGCTTTTGATCACATCTGAATTTTTCCTAATGAGGTAACCTAGGGTGGGGCCCCTGGATAGCCTCAGGGTTGAGCTGGCCACCAAAAGGACCAAGCCATCAGAGGCTGGAAGCTTCAGTCCCAGCCACCAACCTCTGGGAAGGAGAGTAAGAGGGGCTAGATATTAAGCTCTATAAAAACTCTCGAACAGTGAGGTTTGTTCAACTCCCAGGTTGGGAAGTCCTGGGAGGGTGGTGCACCCAGGGTGTTACTGGGGCCATCTGCCCCTCTTCTCATACCTTGCCCTGTGCATCTGTTCCATCTGGCTGTTCCACAGTTGAATCCTTCATAATAAACTGGTAATAGCAAGCAAACCACTTTTCCTGAGTTCTGGTGAACTATGCTAGCAAATTACCAAACGTGAGGAGGGAACCCCAGATTTGTAGCTGGTCTGTCAGCATGTGAAGCCCGGCATTTGTGATTCGTGTCTGAAGTGGGAGGCAATCTTGTTGGACTGAGTCCTTACCCTGTGCGGCCTGCCTTAACCCAGGGTAGTTAGTGTCAGAATGGAATTAAATTATATGGCACCCAGTTGGTGTCTGGAGAGAATTAGGCAATTATTGGTGTGGAAAACCCATACTTTTTTTTTTTGTTAGTGTTATAAGTAAAGAAGTGGTTTTCCTTTACGAATAAAAGGTTGACAGTGGATTTCCCCAAAGGAGTATGTCTCTAGCTTCTATATTTAGCCGTAGGGTGTCCTGCCGCCCAGATCCTGGAAAGCAAGAAATGCATTTAACTGGAAATCCATGTGTTTAGAGGTTCCTGTGTTGCATATAGGCAGTGAAATGATGGGTAACATGGAGGAAGGACCCTTAATGAGAAAGAAATGAAGAAGACTGACAAAGAAGCAAGTAATGAGATAATTTCATTCCTTAACATAAACTCATGAAGTCTGAAGAATTTTCAAAGCATTATGATAGGCTCATTATTTTGGTATAGTTGACATTAGGTTTATGCAGTATTTATGTTATGAAACTTGGGAGTCAAAAAATATATTAATAATCTTATGAGTGAATCTAGTCTTGTTCCAGTTTTCACATTTTGAAATGAATTCTGATGATGCAGGCCATTCGATAGTTTATCAAAAATAATCTTTCAATGTAATTCATATTTTTACTTTTTATAGCAGATCTCTGTCCTTTGAAATTGGAACTCCGCCTTTGTTTTTTGTTTTGGTTGGAAAATTGCCTTCTAAATGTACAACATGGCAATAAAACTACAATTTATCATGTTTTGAGAAACATTCTTCATGTAATTAAGACATACAGATGTTTGTCATGCTTTTAGATTAGTTATTTGCTTTATTTTTATTCTGTCATTAAAATATTTCCCCAGGTTTTTTTTTTTTGAACTTTAGACTTCTCTTTCCTTCCCTCCTTCCCTCCCTCCCTTCCCTCCTTCCTTCCTTCCTTCCTTCCTTCCTTCCTTCCTTCCTTCCCTCCTTCCTTCCTTCCCTCCCTTTGGTGTCTTGATATATTGCCTAGGCTGGAGTGCAGTGGCGTGATCTTGGCTCACTGCAACCTCCGCCTCCTTGGTTCAAGCAATTCTCTTGCCTGCCTTGGCCTCCCAAGTTGCTGGGATTACAGGTGCCTGCCACCACGCCAGGCTAATTTTTGTATTCTTAGTAGAGATAGGGTTTCACCATGTTGCCCAGGCTGGTCTTGAACTCCTGACCTCAGGTGATCCACCCACCTTGGCCTCCTAAAGTGCTGGGATTGCAGGCGTGAGCCACTGTGCCTGGCCTCTAGACTTTATTTTCATATTGAGAAGAGGTACTGTTACCAGTAAGTCTCTATTTTGCCTGAAAAATACCAGACTCTGACTTAAAAATGCAATACTAGGGTCTTGATTGGTCTCTCTTTAAGAATAACCATATTTATTTATTTATTTATTTATATAGGGTCTCGCTATGTTGCCCAGGCTGGTTTCAAACTCCTGGGCTCAAGTGATATTCCTGCCTCAGCCTCCCAAAGTGCTGAGATTACAGGCATGAGCCATCATGCCTGGCCTTCTTTTCTTCTTAAATTGATGATTTTATTTTCTGTAAAATTATTTTCTAATTCATTATCTATAAGTATTTCCCTAAAAGAAGTTATTTTTCTCACCCCCTTTGGACTGTTTAAATTAGTCTCAATAAATATTATAGATGTATTATATGTTGATAATTGTTCAGGATTGGGGGTCCATACTACCTTCTCTAAGTTTCTATATTTTTGAAAGCTCCATAATACCAAGACAGTTCATTATATTCTGAAATAAAAATTAATTTGTCAAAGAGGAAATATGCATGTTTATCAGAGCTTAAGAAAAATTGTCCTAAAGACATATGAGGGTGATTTTACTTAGTATACCTTATAACAAATGTAGAATTCAAATGTCTCACTAAAAAAATTAATTTAACTTTATTTTAAATTCTGGGATACATGCGCAGAACATGCAGGTTTGTTACATAGGTAAATGTGTGCCATGGTGGTTTGCTGCACCTATCAACCCATCACCTAGGTATTAAACCCTGCACGCATTAGTTATTTATCCTGATGCTCTCCCTCCCCCGTTCCCCCAACAGGCCCTAGTGTGTGTTGTTCCTTTCCCTGTGTCCATGTGTTCTCATTGTTCAGCTCCCACTTATAAGTGAGAACATGTGGTGTTTGGTTGTCTGGTCCTGCGTTAGTTTGCTGAGGATAATGGCTTCGAGCTCCATCCATGTCCCTGTGAAGGACATGATGTTGTTCCTTTTCACAGCTGCATAGTATTCCATGGAATATATGTACCACATTTTCTTTATCCAATCTATGATTGATGGGCATTTGGGTTGATTTCATGTCTTTGCTATTGTGAGTAGTGCTGCAGTGAACATACTTATGCATGTATCTTTATAATAGAATGATTTATATTCCTTTGGGTATATACCCAGTAATAGGATTGCTGGGTCAAATGGTATTTCTGGTTCTAAGTCTTTGAGGAATTGCCACACTGTCTTCCATAATGGTTGAACTAATTTCATCCCCACCAACAGTGTATAAGCATTCGTATTTCTCTACAAACTCGCCAGCATATGTTGTTTCTTGACTTTTTAGTAATCGCCATTCTGACCAGCATGAGATAATATCTCATTGTGGTTTTGATTTGCCTCAAGTGTCTCATATTTTACAGCTGGGAAATACTTTATTTAAGATATTTTATATGGTTTTCTCCCTTTTACAGAATGAAACAGTGATTCAGAGTGCATATAAAAGCCTCATACAACACTTGGAAGAAATAAGGGTTTTAGTATTAGCAACTCATTTTGAACATTTGAAATGGAATGATATGATGGAAGAGGTATTAAAATTTTTATTTCTTTAAATAAAAGTTTGATAGAATTTGGTAAATGAGAATGAACTTGTGATTAGTTCAGTCCTTAGACCAGACTAAAGGGTGCCATATACCTCCTTAGTACATGTATACTATCTGAATCTTAGAATGTCATGCTCTCAGAGTACCTTGAATTCATCGGATGGCATATGTAATTTTATATTCATTTCCGGAAGCCATATTTTAAAACAGACTCTGGGAAACTAGAAAATTGTAGTACTTAATGCAACAGTAATGTTTATTTTCCAGTATTCAAATTGAGGAGGGCTCTAAGATATCATTTGCCATATAAACAGTCAAAATGTGGAATTAATTATACCTTAAGTCTAATTTTCTGATTATCTTCTCAAGCTATGCTTTATACTACTATTTATCATGATGGATTACTAAGCACCTCTTTCTTTTTTTTTTTTTCTGATGCTCAAGCGGTAAAAGGTGGTTGCATAAGAAAGTTTGGAAAAAAACACAAAAGTAGTAAGAATATCCATAATTCCACTTCTTGATATTAGCGTTTTAACATATATTTTTGTGTAGCTGAGGACATATTGTGTGTGTGTGTGTGTGTATGTGTGTGTGTGTGTGTGTGTGTGTGTGTGTATGTAGTTTATATATATGTTTTTGGTGTTTTGTTTTGTTTTTTTTTCAGACAAGGCCTCACTCTGTTGCCCATTCTGGAGTGCAGTGACACAATCATGGATCACTGCAGCCTTGACCTCCCAGGCTCAGGTGATCCTCCCACCTCAGCCTCCTGAGTAGCTGGACCCACAGGCATATGCCACCATGCCTGCCTAATTTTTAATTTTTATTTTATATAGAGATGGTGTCTCACTTTGTTACCCAGGCTGGTCTTGAACTCCTGGGCTCAAGTGATCCTCCTACCTTGGCCTCCCAAAGTCTTGGGATTATAGCTGTGAGCCACCATGCCCAGACTGTATATATATTTTTAGTGTACATTTCATTAAGATTATTGCATATTTTCTTGTCATTAAGAATTTTTCATAAATGTAGTATCTAATGAGTGCATTATATTTTCTTAATGCTAGACACTTAAATTACTTCAAAATTTTGGCTCATATAAATAATGTTATAATGAACATTTTGATGTATATGTTTTTTGTATACATATTGGGTTATTATTCCTCTGTGCTAAATTCCCAGAAATTCAAAACTGGATCATAAGGCATCAACATATTTAATGATCCTGATGGACGTTGTCAAAGAGCTTTGCAGAAATTCTATACCTACCTGTACTTTTATCTTTAATCTGTAAGAGAGGTGACTCACCACACAATTTTCAATGTTGTGTGATATTATTTTAAAATTTTTGATATTATTGATATTTATAACAAGCTAATTTTTGTTTTAACATATACTTCTCTGATTTTTAGTAAAATGGGATGATTTTATTTTTATTAATAATCTATTTCCTTCTTTGTGAATCAGTTCATGTTTTACTAAATCTTAATTTCTTATTATTTAATTTCTTTACATATTTAGGTTTTCATATTTCTCTGGCATATTGGTTGTAATTATTTTTCAATTTTCTATCATTAAAATGATCATACATTTTTAAACTAAACATTTGAAGTTCCGTTTAGTCAAATCTATACAATCGTTTTCTTTATGTTTCTTACAAGTAAGAGCACTTCTGAGTAAAAGAATATTTCTAAATAATTTGACATTTGAAGAAATTTCTTTTTTGATAGGCGTATCAGACTCTATTTCTGCTTCAGCACCTATGGTCAGAAGGATCGGACATCCAGCGTGTTCTCTGTGTCACTTCATGTTCACTATCCTTGAGAATGTACCATCGTGTCTTAGTAAGTAAAAAGAACACAGCCGCCAGGCAGAAAGCTGTCATTCATCAGGTGTAACTGGTATAACTTCACTGGTGGCATCAGGTTCTCCACTGTGGACATACTCTTGGTTTCTGACCGCCATTTTCTTCATTAGGAATTTAGCCCCTTCCCCCACCAATTTATGTGTATTAAATACCAAAAAGGGGAGAAAAATTAGAATCTGTATACATAAGAAAATATTATGTTACGTAATTTAGTGTTTTTCTTAAAATACAATGTACAGCAAGTTTTATCTGGTGTTTCACTTAGTAGTTATTTGGCCCAGTTCTTCTAAAAAACAGAGAAAGTGAGGAGGAAGAGGAAAAGAAACAAATTGGAGGAGGGGCCCCACTATACGCTGTGTTTCAGGGTCTTTGTGTTACCTGACACCATGTAATCTTACAACTTTTCAGTATAGCAATTATCACTCTCTCCTGTCGATTCAAGACTTTGAGACCAAGACTTCCCTAACCTACCTAAAATCACATGGTAAAAGGCAGCCTGGATTTTGACTAGGATGGTTGGCTCCACAGCTTGTAATGATTCTGCTCTGTTAAGTTGTGTATTTAAAAGAACAGTTCTGTTATTGTTTATTAGTGTCACTGAGACTATAGAGATCCTGAATTTTTATAATTGTTTTCAGCTTATAGGGCCCTTTAGGAATCTTTTGAGGAACATGGATTTTCCGCTCTACTATATGCATCCCTGCTTGCATAAGTACACACACACACACACACACACACACACAAAGTTTGTATGCAGTCTAGATATTGGTGTGTTTCAGGCTGAAAACTCTGTTCTTAAAACAAACAGCAATAAAAGAAATAGAAAAAAAAAGAAAAAGAAAAAGAAAGAAATAATGTGACTGTACAGGGCTCAAGAAGTTAGTATTCTATAGGAGAAAATTGTCCATTTCTTAAATCTATCAGCATGTTTTCATAAAATATTTACTTTGTGCATGGTAATATATATGCCAAAAATAAATATATTTGGAGAGAGAGAAGAAATAGACATGATATCTACCCCCACTGATCATACATATCTTGGAAGGCAATTTTAATGTCCCTTTGAAATAACTAGAGGAATTTCAGACCTCTAGTCTGAACCACCAACTCAACATTTTCACTTGGATTTGTAATAGACATCTCAAATTTAGGATTTCTGGAACCAAACTCCCCAAACCTGCTTCTGCCTCACTCTTCTCCATCCCAACAAATGACAACAACATTCTTCTAGCTGCTAAAAAAAAAAAAAAAAAAAAAGGAAGCTGTTTACTCTTCGGGAGCACCATGGAGAATGGAGAATGGAGAGAGCAGTGAGCATTTTATGCTTCTTCCTTCTTGATTCTTTCCTTAGTTTGAATTTCCCATCTTTGACTTTCTCTTGACTGATAACACATTTATTAATTCCCTTAGCTAAGGATATTGATTGTCTAATGTGTGCTAATAGCTGCTTTCAACCTACAGAGCTGGGATGTTATGAAGACTAGCTAATAATAGGTAACATTTAGGGCTTACTGTGTATTGGTGATATTCTAGATATTTCACGTTTTTCCAGAAACCCTATGAGAAAGTGTACTGTTACTATCCCAATTTTATACATATAGGAGAACTGACTCATACAGTGTCTTGACTGGAGTTAGACGGTTTTCAGAGCCCAGATCCTGAATTACTGTGCAATAGTCTTTTTAATGTAGGAGACAGAGCACTCCAATATTTTAATTTAGTATGTAGTACAGTAGATCTTAGCTATGTAGATTTCTCTAAAATTGTGAATTTGAATACTTAAATTTTGAAGATAAACAGTAAAAAATGAAGAACTTAGAAACTTTATTTCAGCATGATTGTCAGAATTTTAAGAGCATGCTTAAAAATGATAATTACCTTAATATATTCACTTTTATGTTATGCTGAAGATGTGCCGTGGGTGGGAGTGTGAATAGCACCCATCATAGGGTTCTGGGTATAAAAGCTGATTTCTCACAAAAGTTCATATTGATTAATTTAATTTGCTTCTTTCTCACATGATTTAGAGATGGCTAGGGATCACTGTCTCATTTGAATCTCCTTTACTCTATTTGCCTAATTGTTTTTGGAAAAATATTTTCAAATGACCATGCACGATGTTTTTGGTGGTTCTAATTTAAAAAAATGAACATATTGAACCCAAATCAATCTCCTTGTAATTTCAGTTATCCCTAATTTTGCTCTATGAAGATACCCAGATTAAGGTTTTTTTAACCTTCCATATGACAACCTTTTATATATTCGAAAATAGTTCTGAAGTCTCTGCCACAGGAGGTGAAACTTGACCATTTCCTTCCCCGATTTCTCATTCAATACGTTTTACAGATAGATTGCCATCCGGGATTTCTCACCCTGAACCTGCCATGGGTTTGTAGATATTACTCTTCATTCTCTGAAATGACAGAGCATTTTACATGGGGCTCTGTCAATCCTCAGACCTCTGGGTCAGGGACTTCCTTTGCTGCCAACTCATTTAAAGTCCAGCTTCACTGAAAATCATAAGAAATGCATTATGTGAACTACTAAGCCTGGAGCTTTCCCTCCCTCTTACCTACTTCTGTATCAGTGCAGCCAAGTTTGTGTATGCAGAAGGGGACTTTCTCACAAATGTAGATGTAAAACTTTGAAGATATGATCTTCGTGGAGTGCCTATTTCAATGCCATTTCACAGCGTGACATTGTGACTGTTCTCATCTTCTTTATTGTACGCAGGTGCACAGTAATTGCCTATCCCTGCAGGAGGTGGAAGATTTCTGCAGACTGCGTTGCCTCTGTGTGGCTTTTCAACTCCACTTACCCCTTTCTCAGAGAGCTTGTTCTCGAGTCATCACATGCTCTTGGATTAGGAACAGTGATTCTTTCTTAAAAATGGTAAACATATTTTGTTTATTTTTTGTCTGAACATGAGAGATGAAAACCATGATCACCTTTAAAACTAGAGTTATATTGGAATAATGCCAGATCTAATTAGCTGATAAATCAAGTTCCTATTTTCAACAACTTTTATTTTTGGTAGTGTAATGAGGAAAACCACAGTATATCTGTTTTATAGAAGCATGAGAGCCTCCTCTTTTTCCTTCTTATCTCTGATGAGATCTTGTTTTTGTATAATCAATCATAGAAAATTGATTGACATTGTATTCTCTTTGTAGAGAAACTCAGGAAAAGTGTTTATGAATTTATTTTTTCTGTTTTTAATAAAAGTGTATTAAAGGAAAGTTAAAAATTGAAGAAAAAATAATAATATGTACTCCTAACCCACTGTTCAAATTAATACTGTTAACGGTTAATATTTTGGTTTAATTTCTTTCATTTTTTATTTTAGGGCCTAGTTTTTGTTATGGTTGCAATCATACGATATATGCTACATATTATTTTATTGTAAAAGCATTTTCACTTTTGGTTAGCATAATTTTTAAAATTTTTAATTTTTGTGAGTACATAGTAGTTGTACATATTTATTGAGTGCATTAGATGTTTTGATACAGGCATGCAATGCCTAATAATCACATCATGGAGAATGGGGTACCCATTCACTCAAGCTGGTTAGCATAATTTTTATGGCTACTAAATACGTTTGAGTGATTGTATTGTAGTTTACTTAATCATACCTCTATAAAGGGACATTAGGATCATTTGAAGCTTTTGTATCATAAATGCTACTGGCCTTGAGGGATAATTTGTAATGAATTACCTTGAATAGATTTTCTGAAATGGGAAAAGAGATGATAAGCCAAAAAGGTATGGAAAATTTGAGGATCTTGATAGATACTGTCAAATTGTTATCATAGACATTTTAAAACCAGTCTGTCAGGCAGCTGGTCCACACATGTTTATTCAGTGCATATTCACTGTGATAAGCACCAAGGAAGGAGTGGAGAAAAATACAAACTCATATCTCTTCTTCTTCCATGGAACTTCAATTTGCATTATTGAATAAGCAGTAAAATGATTACAAAGGTGCTGATGGATATGAAGGAGGGACTAATGAAGCTTTGGAAATGAATGATTAAGAGATACAACCCAGTCTGGAAAGGTTGACCTCTCTGAAGAGTGAAGACAAGTGAAATGACTCATGGTCTGAAGGATGAGTAGTAGTTAGTGGGGGAAGGGAAGAGCAAAAGGTTTTCAAGAGAGGACATAGCACTTGCGAATGCCACAAGGAGCTCAGATATGTTTAGTGTGACCAGAGAGGAGAAAAGCTGATGAAGCTGAGGAGGGGGTAGGAGAAAAATCAATATAGTACTTGTTGGCTCTGTTAAGGACTTAGGAAATCCTAAGAATAATGAGAAGTGATTGAAGGATTTCAAGCTGAAATTGACATTTTTGTTTAAGAGTTCTTTGGCTGAAGTGCATAGAGCGCATTGTAGACATCCAAATATAGAGGTGAGGAAACCACCCCAGTGATCACATGGTGATGATGCTAACATGGCTAAGATGTTGGTGGCAATAGGAACAAATAGAAGTCAAAGATACAAGAGTTCTTTAGGCTTTGAAACTGACAGGGTTAAGGAACAGGATATGAGGCAGAAGGGAGAAGGAAGAGTCAATGATGACTTTCAGGTTTCTGGCTAGGCCAACTGTATGGATGCTGCCACCGAAAGAAGAACATTCTGAAGAGGAAAACAATGAGTTTGGGAAATAGTGAGTTTGAGGTGGTGGCAATGAGACTTCCAAAGGAAATATGTAAAAGGCAGTTTAAGTATTCTTTAGACTGGGAATAAAAATTTGGGACACATCAGCCCATGAGTGGTTCTGAATACCATACCAGTTATGTGTTTTTCTAGGTAAAATGAGAGGACATCTAGGTTCAGGGTCCAGAGATATTCCAGAATTTAGTGGTCAGGTAGAAGCTTAAGAATTAGAAAAAGACACTGAAAAAGAGTGGTGAAGATAGATGGTAGAAAATCTGGGAGAATATGATATCTTAGAGTTCATATGAATCATATTTCAAAAAGAAGGAAATGGTTTATTAGTGTCAAATTCTGCAGATAATATGAGGATGTTGACAAGAAAATTCAGTGACTTTAATTTAATTGCATGAAAGTCAAGGCCAATTATTATTGTTGTCATTATTATTATTGTTTTGAGACAAGATCTTGCTCTGTTGCCCAGGCTGGAGTGCTGTGGCATGACCATAGCTCACTGCAGCCTCGACCTCCCAGGCTCAAGTGATCCTCCCACCTCAGCCTCTCTAATAGATGGGACTATACGCCACCATGCCTGGCTAATTTTATTTTTTGTAGAGGCAAGGTCTGGTCATGTTGCCAAGGCTGGTCTTGAATGCCTGGGCTCAAACAATCCTCCTGCCTCAGCCTCACAAAGTGTTGGGATTATAGGCATAAGCCATGGTACCTAGCCAAGGCTAATTATTATTAAGAGCTGTTTTGGTAGAGTGATGGGGTACAAAATCTATGGAATATTCAACAATAGTGAGTGGATGGGTATAAAATAAAGGTAGTGGAGGCAACTCTTTCCTTGGAGTTGGTCTTAGTTCATCTGTAATCTTTTTTTTTTTTTTTGAGGGAGACCAGAGTTTTATTATTATTCAATTCAGTCTCCCCTGAGCATTTGGAGATCAGAGTTTTTAAGGACAACTTGGTGGGTAGGGGGAAGCCAGTGAGCCAAGAATGCTGATTGGTCAGGTCAGAGATGAAATCATAGGGCGTTGAAGCTGTCTTCTTGCACTGAGTCAGTTCCTGGATGGGGACCACAAGATCAGATGAGCCAGTTTATAGAGCTGGCTGATGTCAGCTGATCCATCACGTGCAAGGTCTGCAAAATATCTCAAGTACTGGCTTAGGTTTTACAATAGTGGTTTTATCCCCAGGAGCAATACTGGGGAGGGTCAGAATCTTGTAGCCTCCAGCTGCATGACTCCTAAGCCATAATTTCTAATCTTTTGACTAATTTGTTAGTCCTCCATGGGCCGCCGAGTCCCCAGGAATGAAGGGGGTTTGTTTTGAGAAAGGGCTGTTATCATCTTTGTTTCAAACTATAAACTGTAAACAAAGTTCCTTCCAAAGTTAGTTCAGCCTACACCCAGGAACAAACAAGAACAGCTTGGAGGTTAGAAGCAAGGTGGAGTTAGTTAAGTCAGATCTCTTTCACCGTTTCAGTCATAATTTTGCAATGGTGGTTTCAATCCCTACTTCTGGGTTTTATAACCTCTTTTTTTTTTTTTTTTTTATTTTTACCCACATGTTTATTTTATTTTTATTCTATTTTCATTATTTTATTTTTTCACCATTGCTTCTTGCAGCCTACTCTTTTCAGTTTCAGCCTCTTTCTTAGTCAAGCACATCATTTAGTAATTTTTTTCTTTTTTCTTTTTTTTTTTTTGCATTTTTTTTTTTTGTTTTAATGTTTTTTTTTTTTTATTATACTCTAAGTTTTAGGGTACATGTGCACATTGTGCAGGTTAGTTACATATGTATACATGTGCCATGCTGGTGCGCTGCACCCACTAACGTGTCATCTAGCATTAGGTATATCTCCCAATGCTATCCCTCCCCCCTCCCCCGACCCCACCACAGTCCCCAGAGTGTGATATTCCCCTTCCTGTGTCCATGTGATCTCATTGTTCAATTCCCACCTATGAGTGAGAATATGCGGTGTTTGGTTTTTTGATCTTGCGATAGTTTACTGAGAATGATGGTTTCCAATTTCATCCATGTCCCTACAAAGGACATGAACTCATCATTTTTTATGGCTGCATAGTATTCCATGGTGTATATGTGCCTCTTAATCTTAAGGTCTTGGCTAAAGAAGATGGAAAAAGGGCAAAGACCGCTCTAACTTCTTCCTGCTCACCAGGGGTGTAGTGGGGGTAGGTGTTGACCCCAAAGTGAGAGGAATGGAACCAGTTTGCAACTGTCTAAATGTACTCATGCAGGCCTGGCTGGGATCCCAGGACCTGCATGACAAAGGTGTTAGTATTGTCATCTATAGTTTTAGTACCACATTAAGGGAACAGCGTACTATAAGGTAAATAATGAGTACTAGGATAAGCAGTGCAATTCCCAGTTTTAAAAGTAAAGATATGAAAGCATTAGTTTGGGGACTTATAGATCACCATCTGTAATATTTGTGATTGTAATGACTTTATCATTCCACCCAGAAATGTCCCTTGTGACCTACCTTATAGGGGGTTAACCAGGAGTATGAAATTATTCCATGCCTCCCTGCTAATAATGTTTTATTTTTAATTTTCAGAACAAGTGGTGTGAATATTTCATTTTAAGCAACTTAAACGTTTTTGGATGCTGGAATCTGAATTTAAATCATGTTTCTGACTTGTATGATGAGCAATTGTTAAAGAATATAGCCTTCTACTATGAATTTGAAAGTACTCAAGGTAGTACCTGAATATGCATTAACATTATATCATGAACAAATTATATAAAACCCTTATAAATTTTCCAGTACATACCACAGCAACATTTTTGTTTCTTGAAAACCTTTGTGTGTGTACATACTTTTTACGTATTTTATTTTTTCTTCACTTAATAGCATTTGAAAATGAGTATAATGCTATGATATGATATGCTATGATATGATAGCATATTAATAGTTATATTTTTTATTTAAATGGTAGATGCATGATATTTTATAACGCTTGCTGTAATTAATATAATCCTTTCACTATTTTTGAACATTTAAGGATATATTGCATTTTTCCTAAAAATAAATAAAACTGCATTTTGGTACATACATAATTTTTGCCTTCCTTTGAATATTTTTATAGAGTAAATTATCTAGAGTGGCTTACATAGTCAGAGAATAATAAAACATTTCAAAACATATTTTTCCTGAACGAACATTATTGAAGTTTTTTGGACCTCTGGCATTTAATTCCCTTAAATGACAAACACTTGAATAAACTGACTGCATAAAATGTAGCAAATTTTACTAGTTTTAACAAAATTCTCACCCTCTCCATATTCTGTAAACTCCTTTTTTTTTTATTATACTTTAAGTTTTAGGGTACATGTGCACATTGTGCAGGTTAGTTACATATGTATACATGTGCCATGCTGGTGCGCTGCACCCACTAACTCGTCATCTAGCATTAGGTATATCTCCCGATGCTATCCCTCCCCCCTCCCCCCACCCCACAACAGTCCCCAGAGTGTGATATTCCCCTTCCTGTGTCCATGTGATCTCATTGTTCAATTCCCACCTATGAGTGAGAATATGCGGTGTTTGGTTTTTTTGATCTTGCGATAGTTTACTGAGAATGATGATTTCCAATTTCATCCATGTCCCTACAAAGGACATGAACTCATCATTTTTTATGGCTGCATAGTATTCCATGGTGTATATGTGCCGCATTTTCTTAATCCAGTCTATCATTGTTGGACATTTGGGTTGGTTCCAAGTCTTTGCTATTGTGAATAATGCCACAATAATGTGTGCATATGTCTTTATAGCAGCATGATTTATAGTCCTTTGGGTATATACCCAGTAATGGGATGGCTGGGTCAAATGGTATTTCCAGGTCTAGATCCCTGAGGAATCGCCACACTGACTTCCACAATGGTTGAACTAGTTTACAGTCCCACTAACAGTGTAAAAGCATTCCTATTTCTCCACATCCTCTCCAGCACCTGTTGTTTCCTGACTTTTTAATGTTTGCCATTCTAACTGGTGTGAGATGGTATCTCATTGTGGTTTTGATTTGCATTTCTCTGATGGCCAGTGATGATGAGCATTTTTTCATGTGTTTTTTGGCTGCATAAATGTCTTCTTTTGAGAAGTGTCTGTTCATATTCTTTGCCCACTTTTTGATGGGGTTGTTTGTTTTTTTCTTGTAAATTTGTTTGAGTTCATTGTAGATTCTGGATATTAGCCCTTTGTCAGATGAGTAGGTTGCGAAAATTTTCTCCCATTTTGTAGGTTGCCTGTTCACTCTGATGGTAGTTTCTTTTGCTGTGCAGAAGCTCTTTAGTTTAATTAGATCCCATTTGCCAATTTTGGCTTTTGTTGCCATTGCTTTTGGTGTTTTAGACATGAAGTCCTTGCCCATGCCTATGTCCTGAATGGTAATGCCTAGGTTTTCTTCTAGGGTTTTTATGGTTTTAGGTCTAACGTTTAAGTCTTTAATCCATCTTGAATTGATTTTTGTATAAGGTGTAAGGAAGGGATCCAGTTTCAGCTTTCTACATATGGCTAGCCAGTTTTCCCAGCACCATTTATTAAATAGGGAATCCTTTCCCCATTGCTTGTTTTTCTCAGGTTTGTCAAAGATCAGATAGTTGTAGATATGCGGTGTTATTTCTGAGGGCTCTGTTCTGTTCCATTGATCTATATCTCTGTTTTGGTACCAGTACCATGCTGTTTTGGTTCCTGTAGCCTTGTAGTATAGTTTGAAGTCAGGTAGTGTGATGCCTCCAGCTTTGTTCTTTTGGCTTAGGATTGACTTGGTGATGCAGTCTCTTTTTCGGTTCCGTATGAACTTTAAAGTAGTTTTTTCCAATTCTGTGAAGAAAGTCATTGGTAGCTTGATGGGGATGGCATTGAATCTGTAAATCACCTTGGGCAGTATGGCCATTTTCACAATATTGATTCTTCCTACCCATGAGCATGGAATGTTCTTCCATTTGTTTGTATCCTCTTTGATTTCCTTGAGCAGTGGTTTGTAGTTCTCCTTGAAGAGGTCCTTCACATCCTTTGTAAGTTGGATTCCTAGGTATTTTATTCTCTTTGAAGCAATTGTGAATGGGAGTTCACTCATGATTTGGCTCTCTGTTTGTCTGTTGTTGGTGTTTAAGAATGCTGGTGATTTTTGTACATTGATTTTGTATCCTGAGACTTTGCTGAAGTTGCTTATCAGCTTAAGGAGATTTTGGGCTGAGACAATGGGGTTTTCTAGATATACAATCATGTCGTCTGCAAACAGGGACAATTTGACTTCCTCTTTTCCTAATTTAATACTCTTTATTTCCTTCTCCTGCCTAATTGCCCTGGCCAGAACTTCCAACACTATGTTGAATAGGAGTGGTGAGAGAGGGCATCCCTGTCTTGTGCCAGTTTTCAAAGGGAATGCTTCCAGTTTTTGCCCATTCAGTATGATATTGGCTGTGGGTTTGTCATAGATAGCTCTTATTATTTTGAAATACATCCCATCAATACCTAATTTATTGAGAGTTTTTAGCATGAAGGGTTGTTGAATTTTGTCAAAGGCTTTTTCTGCATCTATTGAGATAATCATGTGGTTTTTGTCTTTGGCTCTGTTTATATGCTGGATTACATTTATTGATTTGTGTATATTGAACCAGCCTTGCATCCCAGGGATGAAGCCCACTTGATCATGGTGGATAAGCTTTTGGATGTGCTGCTGGATTTGTTTTGCCAGTATTTTATTGAGGATTTTTGCATCAATGTTCATCAAGGATATTGGTCTAAAATTCTCTTCTTTTGTTGTGTCTCTGCCTGGCTTTGGTATCAGAATGATGCTGGCCTCATAAAATGAGTTAGGGAGAATTCCCTCTTTTTCTATTGATTGGAATAGTTTCAGAAGGAATGGTACCAGTTCCTCCTTGTATCTCTGGTAGAATTTGGCTGTGAATCCATCTGGTCCTGGACTCTTTTTGGTTGGTAAGCTATTGATTATTGCCACAATTTCAGCTCCTGTTATTGGTCTATTCAGAGTTTCAACTTCTTCCTGGTTTAGTCTTGGGAGAGTGTATGTGTCCAGGAATTTATCCATTTCTTCTAGATTTTCTAGTTTATTTGCGTAGAGGTGTTTGTAGTATTCTCTGATGGTAGTTTGTATTTCTGTGGGATCGGTGGTGATATCCCCTTTATCATTTTTTATTGCGTCTATTTGATTCTTCTCTCTTTTTTTCTTTATTAGTCTTGCTAGAGGTCTATCAATTTTGTTGATCCTTTCAAAAAACCAGCTCCTGGATTCATTAATTTTTTGAAGGGTTTTTTGTGTCTCTATTTCCTTCAGTTCTGCTCTGATTTTAGTTATTTCTTGCCTTCTGCTAGCTTTTGAATGTGTTTGCTCTTGCTTTTCTAGTTCTTTTAATTGTGATGTTAGGGTGTCAATTTTGGATCTTTCCTGCTTTCTCTTGTGGGCATTTAGTGCTATAAATTTCCCTCTACACACTGCTTTGAATGCATCCCAGAGATTCTGGTATGTTGTGTCTTTGTTCTCGTTGGTTTCAAAGAACATCTTTATTTCTGCCTTCATTTCGTTATGTACCCAGTAGTCATTTAGGAGCAGGTTGTTCAGTTTCCATGTAGTTGAGCGGTTTTGAGTGAGATTCTTAATCCTGAGTTCTAGTTTGATTGCACTGTGGTCTGAGAGATAGTTTGTTATAATTTCTGTTCTTTTACATTTGCTGAGGAGAGCTTTACTTGCAAGTATGTGGTCAATTTTGGAATAGGTGTGGTGTGGTGCTGAAAAAAATGTATATTCTGTTGATTTGGGGTGGAGAGTTCTGTAGATGTCTATTAGGTCTGCTTGGTGCAGAGCTGAGTTCAATTCCTGGGTATCCTTGTTGACTTTCTGTCTCGTTGATCTGTCTAATGTTGACAGTGGGGTGTTAAAGTCTCCCATTATTAATGTGTGGGAGTCTAAGTCTCTTTGTAGGTCACTCAGGACTTGCTTTATGAATCTTGGTGCTCCTGTATTGGGTGCATATATATTTAGGATAGTTAGCTCTTCTTGCTGAATTGATCCCTTTACCATTATGTAATGGCCTTCTTTGTCTCTTTTGATCTTTGTTGGTTTAAAGTCTGTTTTATCAGAGACTAGGATTGCAACCCCTGCCTTTTTTTGTTTTCCATTGGCTTGGTAGATCTTCCTCCATCCTTTTATTTTGAGCCTATGTGTGTCTCTGCACGTGAGATGGGTTTCCTGAATACAGCACACTGATGGGTCTTGACTGTTTATCCAATTTGCCAGTCTGTGTCTTTTAATTGGAGCATTTAGTCCATTTACATTTAAAGTTAATATTGTTATGTGTGAATTTGATCCTGTCATTATGATGTTAGCTGGTTATTTTGCTTGTTAGTTGATGCAGTTTCTTCCTAGTCTCGCTGGTCTTTACATTTTGGCATGATTTTGCAGCGGCTGGTACCGGTTGTTCCTTTCCATGTTTAGTGCTTCCTTCAGGAGCTCTTGTATGGCAGGCCTGGTGGTGACAAAATCTCTCAGCATTTGCTTGTCTGTAAAGTATTTTATTTCTCCCTCACTTATGAAGCTTAGTTTGGCTGGATATGAAATTCTGGGTTGAAAATTCTTTTCTTTAAGAATGTTGAATATTGGCCCCCACTCTCTTCTGGCTTGTAGGGTTTCTGCCGAGAGATCCGCTGTTAGTCTGATGGGCTTCCCTTTGAGGGTAACCCAACCTTTCTCTCTGGCTGCCCTTAACATTTTTTCCTTCATTTGAACTTTGGTGAATCTGACAATTATGTGTCTTGGAGTTGCTCTTCTCGAGGAGTATCTTTTTGGCGTTCTCTATATTTCCTGAATCTGAACGTTGGCCTGCCTTGCTAGATTGGAGAAGTTCTCCTGGATAATATCCTGCAGAGTGTTTTCCAACTTGGTTCCATTCTCCCCATCACTTTCAGGTACACCAATCAGACGTAGATTTGGTCTTTTCACATAGTCCCATATATCTTGGAGGCTTTGCTCATTTCTTTTTATTCTTTTTTCTCTAAACTTCCCTTCTCGCTTCATTTCATTCATTTCATCTTCCATTGCTGATACCCTTTCTTCCAGTTGATCGCATCGGCTCCTGAGGCTTCTGCATTCTTCACTTAGTTCTTGAGCCTTGGTTTTCAGCTCCATCAGCTCCTTTAAGCACTTCTCTGTATTGGTTATTCTAGTTGTACATTCGTCTAAATTTTTTTCAAAGTTTTCAACTTCTTTGCCTTTGGTTTGAATGTCCTCCCATAGCTCAGAGTAATTTGATCGTCTGAAGCCTTCTTCTCTCAGCTCATCAAAGTCATTCTCCATCCAGCTTTGTTCCATTGCTGGTGAGGAACTGCGTTCCTTTGGAGGAGGAGAGGCGCTCTGCTTTTTATAGTTTCCAGTTTTTCTGTTCTGTTTTTTCCCCATCTTTGTGGTTTTATCTACTTTTGGTCTTTGATGATGGTGATGTACAGATGGGTTTT
This sequence comes from Homo sapiens, assembly GCF_000001405.40. Lineage (NCBI taxonomy): Eukaryota > Metazoa > Chordata > Mammalia > Primates > Hominidae > Homo > Homo sapiens. The sequence continues at coordinate 168,442,863 of NC_000004.12, read as the reverse complement.
TGGTGTGGATGTCCTTTCTGTTTGTTAGTTTTCCTTCTAACAGAGAGGACCCTCAGCTGCAGGTCTGTTGGAGTACCCTGCCGTGTGAGGTGTCAGTGTGCCCCTGCTGGGGGGTGCCTCCCAGTTAGGCTGCTCGGGGGTCAGGGGTCAGGGACCCACTTGAGGAGGCAGTCTGCCCGTTCTCAGATCTCCAGCTGCGTGCTGGGAGAACCACTGCTCTCTTCAAAGCTGTCAGACAGGGACATTTAAGTCTGCAGAGGTTACTGCTGCCTTTTTCTTTGTCTGTGCCCTGCCCCCAGAGGTGGAGCCTACAGAGGCAGGCAGGCCTCCTTGAGCTGTGGTGGGCTCCACCCAGTTCGCGCTTCCAGGCTGCTTTGTTTACCTAATCAAGCCTGGGCAATGGCGGGCGCCCCTCCCCCAGCCTCGCTGCCGCCCCTCCCCCAGCCTCGCTGCCGCCTTGCAGTTTGATCTCAGACTGCTGTGCTAGCAATCAGCGAGACTCCGTGGGCGTAGGACCCTCTGAGCCAGGTGCGGGATATAATCTCGTGGTGCGCCGTTTTTTAAGCCCGTCGCAAAAGTGCAGTATTCTGGTGGGAGTGACCCGATTTTCCAGGTGCCGTCCGTCACCCCTTTCTTTGACTCAGAAAGGGAACTCCCTGACCCCTTGCGCTTCCCAAGTGAGGCAATGCCTCGCCCTGCTTCGGCTCGCACACGGTGCGCGCACCCACTGACCTGTGCCCACTGTCTGGCACTCCCTAGTGAGATGAACCCGGTACCTCATATGGAAATGCAGAAATCACCCGTCTTCTGCGTTGCTCACGCTGGGAGCTGTAGACCAGAGCTGTTCCTATTCGGCCATCTTGGCTCCTCCCCCATATTCTGTAAACTCTTTAAAAACTTGTTTTGAAATTAGTTTTTAAAGTTGCAAGCTTATATGTAGCATATTGTGCTTCATTATTTTTGGGAATAATTATATATTTATCATTCACATTATTTAATAAGGACTATGATTAAAATGGTGATGTTCCTTTGTTAATTTTTTGGGCAGGGAGGGCATCTCGGTACATTGCCCAGATGGTCTTGAACTCTTGGGCTCAAGCGATCCTCCCGCCTCAGCCTCCTGAGTAGCTGGAACCACAGGCCCATGTCACAGTACCTGGCTCTGCATTATATTTAAAGAGAAAATGACTTTAAAAAAGTACTGTCATAGTGTCATGACTAATTTTCATGCAAGTGTATTGTGTAACTCACTGTAAGTTTCCATATTTGATCATCTTTCCAGAGCTCTATGAATTTATTCAAAAAAGATGCTCTGTGTGTGTCTGCATGTGTATGACTTTTGAGATTTTAATATTTTTTATTGTTATGCAGAACCACATTTGAATTTGGGAGATTCCATTAGGAGGGATTATGAAGACCTGTGGAATGTTGTGTCACACCTGGTTAAAGAATTTAACGTTGGAAAGTCTTTTCCTCTGAGAACAACAAGAAGACATTTTCTTAGACAAGAGAAATCGGTCATTCAAGGTACTAAATGGGTAAATTAAAGTGGAACAAAAGCATGTTTGTCCTGAACAACTTTTAGAAGCCCTAATAATTCAATTCTTCCAAGTGTAAATAATTTTCCTTCACTGTGCTTTCTTGTTTACCTCTTAATTGAGGTTTAAAATACATATAATAATGTGGTTAAAGTAAACCAGTGTGCAGAGTAAAGCCTGGTGAAATTTTACACAGATATATACATCTGTGTGATAACCACCTGGATCAAGAGAGAGGCCATTTCCAGCACCTCAAGAGAAAGTTCCTCGGGCCACTTCCCAATCCATCCTCCCCCTCCTCTCATCTCTTTAACAGACTTCAATATGATTTCTTAGTTTTGTCTGCTTTGAACTTCATTGGGATGGAGTCATATAGTGTATATTCTTTCTATCTTTTTTCCTCTCGGTATAATGTCTGAGACATTCCTGCCTGTTGTATTTACCATTATGCTTAAAAGTTATTGCTGTGAACTGTCTCTTTGTATGAATATATTACACTCTGTCCATTTGGAGCATTTCCTATTGGCTATTGAATTGTTGAAGAAGCGGTAAAATGATTACAAAGGTGCTGATGGATATGAAGGAGGAACTAATGAGTGCTGTGGAAACTAATGATTAACAGACCAACCCAGTCTGGAAAGGTTGACCTCTCTGAGGAAGTGAAGAGAAGTGCAATGAGTCGTGGTCTGAAGGATGAGTAATAGTTAGCTGGGGGAAGGGAAGAGCAAAAGGTTTTCCAGAGAGGACATGGCATTTGAGAATTCCCCAAGGAGCTGAGATATGTTTAGTGTGACCAGAGAGGAGAAAAGCTGATGAAACTGAGGAGGGGGTACTTGCTGGCTCTGTTAAGGACTTAGGAAATTGTAAAAGTAATGAGAAGTGATTGAAGGGTAAAACTGTTATGAATATTCTTACATATAACTTTAGGTAGATATATGCATTTATTCACTTCAAGTATATACATAGAAATGCAGCTTTATGAACTACTGTCCACATATTTTCTAAGGTGATAGTTCCAAGTTAAACTCCCACCTTCCATGTGGGCATTTTGGAATTTTAGAATTGCTTCCCAGCCTTGTCAATCTTTTTTTGTGTGTGTGTGAGACAGAGTCTCACTCTATTGCCCAGGCTGGAGTGCAGAGACACCATCATAGCTCACTGTAATCTTGAATTCCTGGCCTCAAGCAAACCTTCCACCTGGGCCTCCCAAACTGCTGGGATTACAGGTGTACACCATCATGCCCAGCCTATTGTTAGTCTTTTTTATTTTGGCCATTCTGATGGGTGCGTGGGGGTAGCTCATTGTGGTTTGAATTTGCATTTTCTTGGACTTTTCATCTGTTATTGGCCATTTGAATATCCTCTTGTGAAGTGCCTGCTGAGTTTTGCCTGTTTATAAAGTATAGGTCGTAAGTATTTCACAAGTCTATGATTGATCTTGAATTTACTTTTGTATGGTGTGAGAGAGGGGTTATTTCTTCACCCTCTGTTCTCTTTCATAAGTTTATCCTTGAGCCTTGTTTATCCTTGAACCAATATTAAAGTTGATTATGGTAGTTCTGTAAGAAACTTTGGTTTTGGTAGTATATGTGCTCCAACTTTGTTCTTTTGAAGATTGTTTAGTTTATTCTGAATCCTTTGCATTTTCATTTAAATTTTATAATTGGCTTGTTGATTTTTAATAATAGTCTGCTGACAGGTTGATTTTTGTTGTTTTGAGTCAAAGGCCCATTTGGGAAGTGTATCAGTTAGGTTTCTACCAGATACACAGAACTAGTAGGATACACATGTTAAGAGATTTATTGCAGGGAATTACCTTACCTGATTATAGGGACTGGCTCGGCAAGTCCAAAATTTATAGGGCAGGTCTTAAGGAAGGGGAGGGTGGAGCTTTGGGGCATGAGCTGAAGTTGCAGCCTACAGGTGGAATTTGTTCTACCTCAGGGAAACCTCAATTCTGCACTCAGGGACTTTGAGATGATTGGATCAGGCTCTTCTATATTATCTAGGATAGTCTTCTTTACTTAAAGTAAAATTGATTATAGTCTTTAAGCCCATCTACAAATACCTTTACAACAACATCCAGATTCATGTTTGATTGGATAACTAGGGAACTATAGTCTGATGAAGTTGACATCTAAAACTGACCATTTCAGTCTACCTCTTGTCATCTGAGCACCCATATACATATCCTTAAACCATACTTAATCTCCCAATAAAGGCACTAACGAAATCACACTTGTGCTTAACATGATACAACTATACTGCATACAACCAACGGCATGTTAACTCTTCCTTCAAAAGACAATGCTAAGTTCTTGGGCAATTTTCACTCGTCTGCTTTGATATCCTGTAACCTAAATACTGTGATACAAAGCACACTATTATGACTACATTGTATGTAAACTGATAAAAGAAGAAAACAAAAATATCTGCTTAATATATACGTATTTTCAAGACAAAATAAGGAAGAAATACCCCTAACTATTAGAGTCCTCATTTCTGTAACTGGTCACATGGTCATAGCTGGTATTTATGACTGCCTTCTCCTCCCATTACCTATTCCCTAAACCCTTTGCACCCAGCAAGCACCTAAGCTGGTCATGGTTCTTTGCCTGAGGTCCTCCTTTTCCAGGGTTGCTGTCACAAAGCACCACAAGCTGGTGGCTTATAGCAACAGAAGTTTATTCTCTTACAGGTCTGGAGGTTAATGTCTGAAATCAAATTGTCTACAAAATTGGTTTCTTCTGGAGGGCCTGAATTAAAAACCAAACTGTTAATGGAAAAACTAAACTTTGTAAAATATTTTAAAGAGGTTTATTCTTAGCTAATATGGGTGACTGTGGCCTGGGGAAAACACAAAATATTTTAAAGAGGTTTATTCTTAGCTAATATGGTTGACTGTGGCCTGGGGAAAACACAATCCCAAGAAGTCTTGAGTAAGTGGCCCTGAGGTGGTTGGGTTACAGTTTGGTTTTATATATTTCAGGGAGGCAGGAGTTACAGGTAAAGATATAAATCAATACATAGGAGGTATACACTGGCCCCAAAAGGCAGGATATCTTGAAGCAGGGGCTTACAGATTATAGGTAGATTTGGAGATGATTTCATTTGCAATTGGTTAAAGGAACAAAGCTTTGTCTAAAAACTTGGGGCCAGTTGTGGTGTCTCAGGCCTGTAATCCCAGCACTTTGGGAGGCCGAGGCAGGGGGATCACCAGGTCAGGAGATCGAGACCATCCTGGCTAACACAGTAAAACCCCATCTTTACTAAAAATACAAAAAATTATCTGGGCATGGTGGCATGTGCCTGTAATCCCAGCTACTCGGGAGGCTGAGGCAGGAGAATCGCTTGAACCCAGGAGTTGGAGGTTGCAGTGAGCTGAGATTGCGCCCCTGCACTCCAGCATGGGTGACAAAGTGAGACTCCGTTTCAAAAAACAAAACCAAAAAAACCCAAAAAAAAACCCCATGGAGTCAGCCGAAGGGTTTAAGTGAAGACCAGGAGTCTGCTAATCATCATGTGATGTTCTGCCAGAGTCAGGTTATCAGAGCAAGCCACGGTATACTGAGTCATAGTGACCTATAGGGTGCATGACATCACCTTTGACTGGCATGGCCTTAGATCTTGTTCATGATCTTATTGCCACAAAGATTCTGTTCTGTCAGTCTTGCAATCTCTATTTTAACATTAACGCTAGTCAGTTTTTGTGTCTAAACTGCAAGAGGGAGGAGAGTATAGTGAGGCCTATCTGACTTTCCTTTGCATCGTGGCTCAGAACTCAGTCTTAAATGTTTCTCTGGGGTAACCTTGGCCATTAGGGGGTCCATTCAGTTAGTTGCGGGGGTTGGACTTTGGATTTTATTTTGAATTTACAATCCCATGCCTCTCTCTCAGCTTCTGGAGGCTGCTGGCAATCCTTGGTGTTCCTTGGCTTGTAGATGCATCACTTTCATCTCTGCCTCTACCTTTACATAGTGTTCTCCTTCTCTCTGTGTGTTTCCTCTGGGTCTGTGTTCAAGTTTCTCTGTTCTTGTAAGAATAGCAGTTATTACATTAGGCCTCACCCTAATCCAGAATAACCTTATCTTAACTTGATTTCATCTGCAAAGACCCTATTTCAAAATAAGGTCACATTCACAGATAGTGCGAATTAGGACTCGAACATGTCTCTTTGAAGAACACAGTCCAGTCCAATCCTTTGTTCCTTAAGGGTCTGGACCCATAGAGTACTGTTTGCATTGGGTTGTTGTAGTTTTCCATTGACGTTAATCACATGGCATGGTAGTATGAAGGGATGTACTACGGAACCCTTAAGGGATCTCCTGTATTCTGGACATACTTTTTCTTACCCCTCCATTGAGTAGTAGCAGCCCAATGTCCCCTGGAGAATCAGGATAAATCACAGCAGCCAGCACAATAACCCTTTCCTTTGCCTGTTGATTCAGAGGTACAAGGAGCTCAAAATGGCAAGATGGCAGTCCTAACTTCTAGTTCAATGGAATCATTGTTGTGTCTCCTGGTGGAAACATTCCTCTCTTTGGAACTAAGATATCTAAACAAACAGAACATAGGGGTGCCAGAACAGAAAGCAGAAATTTTGCTAGCATATCACTTAGGGGTAATAGTTTGTGGAGTCATTCGTTTTCTATCCCTGGAATCCTGAATTGTGAATTATGCCTATAATTCACAAACAACACTATATATTGGCCACTAATTCAGAGTAATTACAGCCTTCTGGAGAACGTTGCCCCAGCCTTCAAAGTATTTCCACCTAGCTCACACTGTAACTGTGTCTCTAAAATGCTGTTAGACTATTCTACTGAGGCAACTGCTTCAGGATGATGGAGAATATGGTAAGACCAGTGCTTTCCATGAACGTAGACCCACCGCCACACCTCATTTGCTATAAAGTGAGTTCCTTGTGATCAGAAACCATATTGTGTGAAATACCAAGATTGTGGATACGGGTTCTGTAAGTCCAAGGATAGTATTTCTGGCAGAAGCATTGCATGCAGGGAAGGTAACTATATCCAGAGTAACTGTCTATTCCAGTAAGAAGAGGGAATGACTCCTTTCATGAGGGAAGCCTGCAATCGTGTCAGCCTGGACATGTTGCAGGGCCTTCTCTTATTCTCGGCTCCAATAAAAACTAGCAACTTTTCAGGTCACTTGATCAATAAGCCAGAATAGCACACCTAAGTGAGAAATGTAGCTTTCCAAATTCACAAAGGCTCCCCCAGGCATTATACTTTATTTTTTATTGTAGGAGGGGCCAGATGCAACAACTACCCTTCTCCTAAGAAAGGATATCTTGATATGCCCCACACAATTGGACTCCTACAAGTTTTGCAGAGGTGGAACATCCTTGAATTTTTGTTCCGTTCATTTTCCACCATCAACAAATTTTGCTGAGATGGAAATTCTCTGAATTTTTGCTGAATTGATTTCCCATCTTTGACATACAAATGTCCTATTGGTATGTCAAGTAGTGTCTACTTCTTATTCACTAGATCCGAGCAGCGTAATATGAACAATGTGATGGACCAGTGAGATACTTTGTGGAAGAAAAAAATTTCTTCCGGAAAATTCCCTGGGGGCTAAATTATGACATGGGGCTAGGGTAGGACAGTGAAGGTATATTTTTCTGGCCTTTCCAGCTGAAAGTAAATAGCTCCTGGTGGTCTTTATTAACAGGAATGGAGAAAAAAAGCATTTGCCAGCTCGATAGCTGCGTACCAGGTACCAGGAGGTATATTATTTTGCTCAAACAATGAAACCACCTCTGGAACAGCAGCTGCAGTTGGAGTCATCATAGGGTTAAATTTACAGGAATCTACTGGCAATTTCCAGAATTCATCTGTCTTTCTGCATAGGCCCAATAGTCAGGTTGAATGTGGATGTGAGGAAAATCAGCACTCCTGTATTTTTCAAGTCCTTAATAGTGGCATTAATCTCTGTAATCCCTCCAGGAATGCAGTATTACTTTTGGCTTACAATTTTTCTAAGTATAGACAGTTCTAGTGGCTTCCATAAGCCCTCGTTCCACAGGTCAGGGAACCAACCTGGAGATGTGTTGAGTTGCTGAGTATGTCTGTCCCAGTTACGCATTCTGAAACTGGTGAAATAACCACACAGAAGATTCAGGGACCCACTGTGAGATGAACTTGAGAGAAAACTTCATCAGTCACCTGACGTTCCACAAGCCCTTACTGACTGGGGGTTGGGGGTTGGGAGCACAGTGACATTTTGGGTCTTCTGGAATTAGTGCCAGTTCAGAATCAGTATCCAGTAATCCCCTGAAGTCAGATGATTTCCCCTTCTCCAGTGGACAGTTACCCTGATAAATAGCAGTAGGTCCCTTTGAGGAAGACTGAAGAAAGATGAACAGTATGAGTTTTGGCAGTGGAGCAGGGTCCTTCTTCAAAGGGATTTAGCCTTTTCTCCAATCAAGGGGTTCTGGGTCTGTAACAGGGCTTAAGTTTAGGAACTGATTAAGGAGCTATGACTGGTGATTTAAGTTAGGCATCTGTTCACTTACCTTAGAACTCTTCCTTTTGTACAGATCAATTTAGAATTTAGTGGAATGCCCATCTTTTGTTTTTTTCTAGGAACACTATGACCAGCTAGCCAATGCTGTAGGTTTCTGTGAATCAGACTATTCAGATTATTGCTTTGACTTTGCCGTCCATTATGGTAACCATAACTACTTTATCTTTAGTGATTAAGTGCTGCCACTTGGCCCCTGCCACCCCAGGATTGAATTATCCCTGTGGCATTTAGGGATCCAAATTTGCTGGTAGCAGTTCCCACAGCAATTTCTGACTTACACAATAGCGTAACTATGGAGCTATTCCAGAATTCTGGGGTTCCCCTTACAATTTTATTTCTCATAGTTGTGGTGGAAGGTGTGTCCTCTGCACCCTCATGGGGTGAGTGAGCAGGTCTTACATGATAAGTCACTCTAACCTTCCAATCTCTCTAAGCCTTTGGATACCTTAGGTCAATCACATGTCCAATTGGAGTTTCAGAAGCAGAGGATAGAGACATCAGAGGAAGAAATATCCATAGATAATGACTGAAAATAATTTTTTTCTGATTTAATGAAAGACACAAATACCTGGAGTTAGGATGCAGAAATGAGTCTCATATACGATATACACATGTACACACTCACGCATCTATGCACACACAACACACACACAAACACACACCACTAGATACATTATAGTGCAACCGCAGCAAACCAAAAACAAAGTTCTCTTAAGAATAAGAAAGAAAACAGTTACCTACAAAGACATAAAAGTTAAATTGCTAGCAGACTTCTCCACAATAACAATAAAAGCAAGATGGTAATGAAATAATATCTTTTAAGTAATGAGACAAAATAATGGTTGTTGGGGGCTAGTGTAACTAGTATAAGTACAACTTATGAATGAGGAGATAATATAGATATTTTCAGATGCACAAGAACTGAGTTTACTGGCATCATATCCTCATTAAAAATATTTGTATATGATACAATTCAGGAAGAAGGAAATAGTCCCAAAGGAAAGTGAGAGATGCAAGAGGAATGCAGATGGGAATTGTGGATACATTGGCAAAAGGATATTGTCCAGAATTTAGGAATGAGGGAGGAGAAGGATTATATTTTTTCATCTACAGTTTTGAACACAGCTAAATTTAAAAATCCTCTAGTCTATTATATTCAGCATGTAAACCATACATAGGAACTGTGAAAATAGAAATTAAAGAAGGCTCCAAAGAGTATTTGGTGATAAATAAAATACTTTTATTATTAATTTTTTCCTATTTTTGTGATTTAATTTTCATGGAGGCTTTTATGTAGGTGAACTCTGAGTGGTGCTTCTTTTTTCAAGTGCTGTTATTACTATACTGTGACACATTATTCATACTGTGACATAATAAAAAAGAATAAGTACTTGGAAATGGAAAATCTACATGTTTGTCTATCTAGTGATCTGCTACCATCTACATACATATGTAAATGGTTATATACTAATTTTTAATATACTGGCTTGCTACAACATGTTTGCTTTGAGGAATATCTCATTTGGAAGCTCTAACTTGGTAAACATTAGTAAAATTTATGTAAAATATTATGCATTTGAAATTTTAAAAATAATGTTCAAAATTCATATAGGATAGTTACACCTTTCCTCTCATCTTAAATTTATATTTGTTTTCAGAAATCTCCTTGGAAAAGATGCCTAGTGTGGGCTTTATTCCAATGACATCTGCTGTAATTGATGAGTTTGTTGGAGATATGATGAAGGATTTGCCTATTCTAAAGAGGTACAGAGTTAATGAAGTACCTGATTTAGTGCCATCAACTTGAAAATACTAGTGAAGTGAATGACTCATCAAAATGTCTATGTAATATATCATATCAGGATATGGTAAATTCTATATAATGTGACTATAATACATTTAAGTGATTGTAACATCTAGTATGTCAATATTATTTGAACATTACTATATAAAAATCTATATTATTTTGAACGTATAATAAAATTACTCCAGCTATAAAGTTTACTACATTGTTGTTGATGTGGATGTGACTGTTACAGGAATGGCAGAAATTCAGGGTTTTTATGTCTCTGAGGTTTTATGACCCACATTATATCACACAAATAGAAAAAGAGGTTGTACAATTTCTGTTATCACAGCCTGAAGTTTGTGCTAAAATTTGAAAAGCTTAAAATTTAAAAAAATTATGTATTTATTTTTACAGTGATGATCCGGTTGTTCCTTCACTGTTTAAACAAAAGACATCTGATGAACTTTTGCACTGGCATGCTCAAAGACTCCTTAGTGACGACTATGACAGGATCAAATGTCATGTTGATGGTGAGCTCTGTAACCACGATAAAATAGAGCTTATATGAATTGCCTTTGCTGCTCTTTTTATTAACAGTGAAAAGATATTACATTGTAAACACGTTCTATTTTGAATGAGATCTATCTATATATTATATATAATATATATTTTGAATGAGATCTCTATATACAATATATACTATACATATATGTGTGTATATATATATACACACACACACACAATATATATATATATATTAATTGAAGAGGCACAGTAGGAAGCATGCTGTCTGAAAAAAATCCCATTATATTATCTGGTGTGCATATGTACGTATGCATGCAGATGTATCTGTTAATTCAAATAGAGATTTATTAATCTTTTAAGGATGTACATATGCATGGTATTGTCATGAAAATATCAGATGCTGTTTAAGTGGGAAAGATACTTGATGGTTTTAGGAATCTGTCTATACCTTGAAGTAAATATGCTGATACAGCCATAGTCTTCCTAACATTTTAGCTCTTTTCCTGCTAAACTATTGTCTAGTTGATTGCATGCTGCCAAGTACCAGCATAATTGTGCCCATGAAAACTCAGTAATGAGGAGGAGTTGAATCTACAAAAAGTAAAGCCCATGAAACAATTAAAAATGGGTCCTAAGGAAAGGAATTCATAGATCTTTTTTTCCTGGTTCATTCTTTTAGTGTCTTTCTCCAATCCGATGTTTATTTCCACCCTTTTCAGAACTAGTAAAACTTTTCTTTTTATTTTATTTTATTATTATTATACTTTAAGTTTTAGGGTACATGTGCACAATGTGCAGGTTAGTTACATATGTATACATGTGCCATGCTGGTGTGCTGCACCCATTAACTCGTCATTTAGCATTAGGTATATCTCTTAATGCTATCCCTCCCCCCACCCCCCACCGCACAACAGTCCCCAGAGTGTGATGTTCCCCTTCCTGTGTCCATGTGTTCTCATTGCAGAACTGGTAAAACTTTTCAGAAGGATCTAGAAATAAGTCAAGTAAGTATGCCAATTGCATATAGGAATAAGCTATTTATGTAAGTGTCTACGAAGATTCTGCATGGTGTGTTTCCAGAGTGGTTTGATTTGTGATCACATACACAGACACGGAAAAAGCAACAACATCCAAAACAACAAAACACTAGCTTATTTATATCTTTTATGTTTGTAAAGAGTGTTCCTAGGTCTCAAGTGAATCTAGCCTTGCTTCCTGGGAATTTTCTGTGTCATTTGAATTTTTGCATGGTGTAAGGTAATTGGTATCAGCATCTGTCAGCTGTAAGCTCCTAAATATTTGACTGGGACCAGAAGTAGAGGTTTTCCTTTTTAGGAGTGCAAACAGAATGTTTTAGGTCCGGAGTCAACAAACTTTTTCTGAAAGGTCTAAGTAATAAATATTTTAGGCTTTGCAAACCAAGAGACCAAAATTGACAGCATGATGTAGGTACTCATATAATCATTTAGAGTGTAACCAATTTTAAAAAATGTACTCATCAGATTTGATCATGTGGACCTAGTTTGTAGACCCCTGTTGCAGGTGAATGTGCTATTAGACTGCCCCCAACCTTCCTCTTCTCCTCTTCTCCTGCCAAATGACAGGGGCAATGTCCAGGTACTTAGACCCGGACATTAGCAGAGCTTCGTCCTCTCTCTTCTTCAAATAATATAGGGAATTATTTTGTTAGCGTATGGTAATCTGACCTCATTGGCAAATACTGAATTATTATTCTGGAGTTAAAAAAATAATGTGTGGGTAGCACACATATATAGCAATATTTTAAAATACATGTTTACATTTTAAGTCTTTCTATTTCAGAACAATCTAGAGATCCTCATGTTCTTGATTTCCTGAAAAAGATTCAGGATTATCAGCAATTTTATGGGAAATCGTTAGAATCAATCTCTACGAAAGTCATTGTGACTCAAACTACTCGGCCAAAGGAGGATTCCAGTGGTGCCAGTGGTGAAATATTACAGGTAGATCGCAAAGATTTTACCTAATTTTTTTCTTTGATGTTGTTTTGTTTTCTTTAGGCTCATATTTGTCTCTGGAGGTGTCTTCCATTCTCTTCTTTCTCATGTTTGCTAACTGTCTTAGTCCATTCTCACATTGCTAGAAAGATATACCTGCGATTGGGTAATTTATAAAGAAAAAAGGTTTAATTGGCTCACAGTTCTGCAGGCTGTACAGAAACTGTGGTGGCATCAGCTTCTGGGCCTCAGGGAACTTCTTTTTCTTTTTCTTTTTCTTTTCTGAGATGGAGTTTCGCTCTTGTTGCCCAGGCTGAAGTGCAGTGACACGATCTTGGCTCACTGCAACCTCCGCCTCCCGGGTTGAAGCAATTCTTCTTCCTCAGCCTCCCAAGTAGCTGGGATTACAAGCACCCACCACCAGGCCCGGCTAATTCTTGGTATTTTTAGTAGACACAGGGTTTCTTCCTGTTGGCCAGGCTGGTCTCGAACTCCCGACCTCAGGTGATCCACCCACCTTGGCCTCCCAAAGTGCTGGGATTACAGGTGTGAGCCACCACACCCAGCCTTCAGGGAACTTATAATCATGATAGAAGACAAAGGGGGAGATGGCACTTCACATGACTGGAGTAGGAGGAAGTGTTGGGGAGGTGCTACATACTTTTAAACAACCAGATCTTGCACAAGTCACTCATTCACTATCATGAGAACAGCACCAAGTGGGATGGTGTTAACCATTTATCGGAAACCCCCTCCCCATGATGCAGTCACCTCCCATCAGGCCCAGCTTCCAATGCTGGAGATTACAATTCGACATAAGATTTGGTGGGGCCACAGACCCAAATCATATCACTTACAAATGAGTTATTTTACTTGCTTGCCATTAGAAATCCTAAGAAGATTACATAAAATCTAGTATTCTATCTTTTTTAGAATAAGAAAAGATAGATTTATCTGATAACAAGCTTAATGCATCAAAGAATTACAAGCTTGGATTTAGAAAAGTCAAATTTAAGTTAAAAGAAATGTTTGTGGGCTGGGTGCAGTGGCTCACACCTGTAATCCCAGCACTTTGGGAGGCCAAGGTGGGCGGATCACCTGAGGTCAGGAGTTCGACACCAGCCTGGCTGGCCAACGTGGTGAAACCCTATCGCCTCTAAAAATATAAAAAAATAGCTAGGAATGGTGGCGGGTGCCTGTAATCCCAGCTACTCAGGAGGCTGAGGTAGGACAATTGCTTGAACCCAGCAGGTGGAGGTTGCAGTGAGCCAAGATCGTGTCACTGCACTCCAGCCTTGGTGATAGAGCAAGACTCTGTCTAAAAAAAAAAGAAAAGGAATTTTTGTATATTAGTTTGTTACAGTGAAAATCTTTTTACATAGAGGTGGTAAAAATAGGCCTAACATTTCCATCAGCTTCATTATTTTGCCTGAATTTGGAAAACTGTCCATGTTTTTAAGTCATTTATGCCATTAATCTGTCCTGGACTTTTGTTTATATTAAAGGTAAGACCAGGTCTTCTTGAAAGGGTAGGAATCTTCCATACCTATTTTCTTTCTCTTCCTGCCTTTACACTAGACCATGCTTGTTTACAAACTTAGAATCCCTGTAATTCAAAAAAAATTTAAAAAGATAATGTGGAAAAGTATCAGGTAACACAAATGATAGTGTTTATAACTGAACAAACGGTAGATTTTATGGTTCTGCTTGGGAAGGTACTACTTTGCGATCATTCTTCATCAGAGGGGATTTCATTAGGCTTCAGTACTTCTCTCTTAGCCTCATGGTTGGGAATTAAGGAAAGACATTTATTTGCTTTGGTAAATCCCCTTCCTGAGGTCAACCATGCTAAATACGTGAAAGAGCACAAACCAAACTATTGATGACCAATGGCACTTATCATGGCTGCCTTACCCTAACTGGAGTAGGAAAGGGAATATTTTTGGAGAATGAAACATAAAAGCCCCACAAGGAAAAGATCCAAAAAATGAAAACATTTCTCTTTCCCACTAATTTCAGAAAATTGTTAATCAGAGATCTAGAGTCTTCCTTTTCCTTGCCAGACCGTCAATTCATTAACCAGGCTGAAGTTGCAAAGGCTACAATCAGTGACAGGATATCTCCTCAAAGCCATTCTAGATAATAGTTATCACTGATTACACTGTAGGTTTCTTAGCACTGCTGTTGGGTCTCTCTCCTAGAGCTATTTAAGGGTCCATCCAGCCACACAACACATGCTTTCAACTGCAGAGGCTCCACCTCAGCCCACAGACCTAACCTCCTCTGGGCTGAGGGTGGCCAGGTGGGGCTGGCTCAGGCAAAGGTCCAGGCTTGGCTTCAAGCATAAGGATCAAAGTGAATACAGCATCCTGAAGCAACCATCTTCTGCAGCCTTTGTGCAAGGGCCTCACCCAGCTGAGCCCTTTGCTTTGCCAAGCCCTGTGCCCAAGGCTGGCTCCTGGGGCCCAGGCTGTGCACCTCTGCTCCTTTGGCAGCCCTAATTGCAGGGCCAGGAACTGATGGGAGCTCACTCAGTTCTGTTATGTTGGTAGTGTGAGGCCTAGGAGCAGCCTCCACACTGAAATAGAAGCAAAATGGGAATTAAATGTTTGATCTAGTTAGGGGAGAGGTGGGAAAAATTACCACCCCACTAAGTGTGTGTGACTCCTCCATTTTCCAGTGGGATTTCTGTTTTTTTCCCCACATTGACTAATGTCTGCTTAGACCGTTGGTGTTTTTCAACATGAATCTCCAAAGAGCGAGTGGGATCTGGGAGGCCCAAAATGCTTTGTGGGGTGGAGAATGAATAAATTAATTAAGTTCCAAATCCCCAAGAAGCTGCCCTACAATCAAGCTCAGTGGCTACTCTTTCTCTTCTTTGTTTTCTTCCATTTACTTTTACTTTTTTATTAATAATTTACACCATTTAGAAATCTAGAAAATATTCTGCAGTAAGAGGCAATTTACATTTATACTGAAGTTTAAGTAGGTTTGCATCATACAGACTTTAATTTTAAGAAAAGACATTAAGAATTCTTGCCTGTGCACGAGTAGAATGATGGCCAGAGTCCTCAGTAAGTGCACAAAAAATAATCTCACTAGTGAAATGTCATAATGGAATTTTCCCACTTGTTTCATATGTTCCTTTTATTATTGAGCAGAATACCAAACCCCACCAAATTACCAAAAAGAGTAAGAAAAAGTCATTTCTCAAAGAAGATCAGAACAAAGCTCAGCAAAACGATGATCTGCTGTTTTCTATTGAAGAGGAGATGAAGAACAATTTACATTCTGGAATAAGGAAATTGGAAGATTATTTGACATCATGTGCAAGTAATTCAGTGAAATTTGGAGTTGAAATGTTAGGATTAATTGCCTGCTTTAAAGCATGGAAAAAACATTGCCGAGGTGAAGGTATGGGACTCCATACTCTATGGATAAAGAGTAGTGATGAAAATATTAATGATGTTAACATATTTACTGAATGCATGGTTGTGCTAAAACTTTGTATAATCCATTGTCTGATTTTATTGTCAACATGACCCTTTAAGATAGTTATTATTATATTTTGCAGACAAGAAAGTGGAATTGCAGAGGTTAGACAGAGGGTCCCAACAGGGAAAAGATGGCACATTCAAAAAGAAATGAGGAGAGTATAAAGAAAAAACTCTTTCAAAAAGTGTGGAGAGAATTAAGGGGATCAGCAAAGCAAGGTGAGGCTCAGCAGCAGCAACAGGGCCTATCAGAGAAGGAAAGCTGTCAGCACCAGGGAGATGTGAAGTTGCTGTTGGGAGGTGATTCTCCATGGGTTTTTCCATGTTTCTGCCCGTCTAGCCAGCAGAAGCATTGACAGGTTCACTTCCAGACTATCTTTTTAAGTGTGTTTGTATAGTGAACAGGCTTGGAAGGAAGAAATTGTGTTCCTCTCTAGGGCAAAGGCCAAGTTTGTTTACTGTCCAGTTAATAAAGATCACATTTCCCTCCAGGGCAAAGAAGCAGGTTTTGCCTGAGACCCATTATAAAATATTTCGGTTTTCTAAGTGTAGATTTCCTTAGCTGTGACATCAACCTACTTTGTGTGTGGTTTCTACCTGGGCTCTTTATCTCCGCCATGGAGCACAAGGGGAACCGACATATACATGATGGTTATATTGTTAACTGGGCCATGATAATAAAGCCTTTTGTTTCTGACCCAGGAGTCTCATGTCTTTTGCCAGCAACCATGAGACTGTGAAAGACTAAATTTCTAGCTTGTAAATAGAATAAAATCTCAGCCCTTTCCTAGTTCTTGACAAGAGCAGGGGAGTGAACGGTTACCAGAATTCCTTGAGAGCCATAGCTATGGGGGAATAGATGCCCAATAGCACCTGCAGTCCTAGGTAACGGTACACAACCATTTCCACACTGTGGGCTGGCAGGGAGGGAAGTGGGTTGGAATGGGCCCTGCCTGCCTAGCATTCTAAGTGCTCCCTCAAATTTCTGTGGCTCCCTGTGCTCTCCTGTATCAATGTCTCCAACTGGCAGCAGAGAATGATTTTGGTGAAATATGTAGCAGAAATGATGTGTGCATACTATTTCCAGGTATTACGTCTTCATATGGCTTGTAGTGTGTGCTTTTATTACTTAGTTTCCTGAATATTGACTTGTGGAAGAGCCAACTGAGGGAAAGAATCAGAAAAAACTGAGTAGAGATATGTGATTTTTTTTTCTTTTTTTTGGGATGGAGTCTCACTGTCACCCAGGCTGGAGTGCAGTAGAGTGATCTTAGCTCACTGCAACCTCCACCTCCCAGATTCAAGCTTCAGGTGATTCTCCTGCCTTAGCCTCCTGAGTAGCTGGGATTACAGGCTCCTGCCACCATGCCTGGCTAATTTTTGTATTTTTAGTAGAGACGGGGTTTTGCCATGTTGGCCAGGCTGGTCTTGAACTCCTGACCTCAGGTGATCTATCCGCCAGGGCGTCCCAAAGAGCTAGGATTACAGGCTTGAGCCACTGTGCCCAGCCTGAGATATGTGATTTTGATGCTAGACCAAGCTGACAATTCCTCCTCAAGTTGTGGTTGATCACCCTGTCTTGAGTATGTCCTACTCAGATCCTTTTCACGTGTGGCCACGTGACTCTGTAGTCACGCTCATGTCTCTCTATTCTACTTCCCAGCAAAGCCAGTACCTCAGTGGGCTGTCAGAGACTATGCTCATTTTCATCTCTAAGCTTTAGCATATGTGTTTTTACTTGATGCCATATCAGATAGGAATTGCCATTAGCTATTAACAGAGATAGGAATTAATAATGGCTTAAAAAAGATAGTTTATTTCTCTTTCATGTAAAAGAAGTCCAGAGATAGGCAGTTCAGTGTCACTGGGAACTTAGGCTCCGCTATCATCGTATTGTACCGTTCTTAGTGCATGAGTTGTATTCTTAAAGTTATGTCATGAATGCAGTTGGTGGCTGATGCTACAGCCATGATAACTGTATTCCAAAACAAAGTAGGAAGAAGAAAAAGGGCAAATTTGTACATTCATGCTGTATTTCTTCTATGGAAGGAGGCTTCATCCCAGAAATTCCACCAATTTTTGCTTACTTCTCAATGGCCAAACTTAGTAACAAAACCGCACCAAACCACAGAGAGATTAGAAAATGTGAACTTTGAATTGGACCTATTGCAGTATCCATTAGTATGGGGATTTATAAGAAAGCATTGGGTGAGAATGGATGTTGAGGAGGTAATATCAGTTTCTGCTACAGATGTTCTTCTGCTTGTCTCTATTGGCCTAAATTCTGTGTGTCCTTCAAGGCCATCCTCTTGTGGAGTCCTCCCAACTTCTCCTGCTCACATAACACTGCTTCTATGACTCCATTTGGACCCTGAATTGTAAATCACTTAGATATTTTACTGATCTGTTTCAACACTAATCCCTTGTTCTCCAATTAGATTGAAGGTTCCTTGATGTAAGAACTCTGTCTTAAATTTCATTTGTACTTCCTTAAAGCATACATTGGTGGTCTGCATAAGCAGTTGCTCAGTAGTATTTGTTAAGAAAGAGGATATTTCTTAACAAAGAGGAAAGAGGATAAAGACTTTATATGACTTTATATGGAGTGGTTAGTAGTGGGATAGAGATAAAGAGGCTATAAGTGAACAGGAGGTAATAGAAGGGCTTAGGAGAGTCTGGATAGAATGATTGGGATGCAGTGAGGTTGTATCTTAGCCCTCAATAATTGAAGGGTTCTGCTGATGGTTTCATAAATACAAGTACTGTATGTGGTCAAGAGTAGGCCTTGATAAATGTTGCTCATGTTTTGGTCAGGCATCTAAAATCATAGGACTTTTTCCTGTGAACAAGAGTAGAAGACACACAAATAATATGTGGGTTATTGTGTTATTTTTCTCTGGAAATGAGTACAGAGCTCAGTTTAAATGGTTCATATTTCTGCTATAAATCACAAAGTTTGTTTCTTTTCTTTTTTGCCTATACTTACCCAGCTATGTCTAAGTTACTTAAGATGATAATTAAATGTGTGTAGATGGAGTTTTAATTTAATTTAATCATGAGTTTTAGTTTTTAATGCTCTAAAATCTCCTTTAAAGTCAAGTAAAATAGTGAGGTTTAATCACATGAGGTTAATTGATTAACTCAATGATTGTCGTAAGTGATCAACCAGTTATTTTTGGTGTTCTTTATAACAATTTTATTGTTTCTTTAACAAGGCAAAATTTCGAAAGATTTAAGTATAGCTGTTCAAATGATGAAAAGGATTCATTCACTCCTGGAGAGATACCCAGAAATTTTGGAAGCAGAACATCATCAATATATAGCTAAATGCCTTAAATATTTAGGCTTTAATGATCTGGCAAACTCTTTGGATCCAACTCTGGTAAGAGAACTAGAATTTCTTATACTTTAAATTTTTACTCAATTTTAATATGGAAGAATAACTAATAGGTCTAATGAAGTATCTCACATATAGAGTTATCAATTGACTATGTTTACTCTGATTCTAGTTTATAAAATAATAGATATGAGATTACTTATTAATAACCTAGCTGCCAAACTTTGAAGTAAATTAAAATTAGAAAATTTGTACAGATGCTTCCTGAAAACAGAAATTAAATACTAGATGATATCCAGATGCCACTTTAAACCCTCTTGGTAACAGGAATGAATCCTATACTTAATTCTAGTGCAATCTAAAAACTGTAATGTAGTGAGATTGAAGAATGGTCTTTAATAAGGTTCCAGGTTCCAATTCCAGGATGAACTTTTTTTAACGTTAATATCTGCTATTTGACTTTTCCCAAGAATAACATTTTAGGCAGGAAAACTCTTCTTACTTAAATATTACACTATTTAAAAGCATAGTAGGCCAGGCATGGTAGCTCACGCCTGTAATCTCAGCACTTTGGAAGGTCAAGGTGAGCAGATCACTTGAGCCCAGTAGTTCAAGACCAGCCTGGGTAACATGGCAACACCCTGTCTCTACAACACACACACACACACACACACACACACACAATATTAGCCACAATTGATAGCATGTGCCTGTAGTCCCAGCTACTCAGCCAGGGCATGGGATAGGGAGTGGTGGGGCTGAGGTAGGAAGATCACTTGCACTCAGCAGTTCAAGGCTGCAGTGAGCTATGATGGCGTCACTGCACTCCAGCCTGGGTGACAGAGAAAGACCCTGTCTCAAAAAAATAAAAAAAAGTGTAGTAAAAATGCCTTGTGCATAGAATGTGCTCAGTGGATATTTAATAAATGTTTATTCAATTTTGAAGTTTAAGTTGATTTCAAATAATATATTAAAATAACAGATAGGAGATGACAAAAATAAGAAGAAATATTCGATTGACATTGGACCAGCTCGGTTTCAACTGCAATACATGGGCCATTACTTGATAAGAGATGAAAGAAAAGATCGGGATCCCAGGGTCCAGGATTTTATTCCCAACGCATGGCAGGTAATGACAACAAACATTGTACTTTTCTAATCAGTGTGACTTCAGAACTTTTCATTACTGTGTCTCTACATGTCAAATTTTGCATAAACTTCTTAATCTTGTTTAATGTCTTTCCTCTACTGTGCCTGGAGAATGTAACTAGAGTATGAGAAATCATTCATTTCTTCCCCTTCTTGGCCTTTTTATTTTCACCATCAGTGGAAGTTATACTGATACCTGTTTGTATGTGAAGGCATGCTAATGTGGCATTACTAGTTCTTACAGCTCAGTTTTGGAAACCTCTTTCTGTACTTACTCAATGACAATTGGAAAAAGTGTTTTCTAATGGAAAAATATGTTTTACTCAGTCTCCCTTTCTATTTTGCAGAAATGAAACCCTCTCTCTAGGCCAAAATGTAAAACAAAATCTCTTTTCTGAGGGAATGGCATGAGTAATCCAGGTATTTTCCTGAATCCTTCGAGTGTTCACCAGACCTAATCTTCAGGGGTTCAGGGAGTTCCCCCAAAGGTAGCATAATACAGGCACAGGAGACAGAAGGTACAAAGGATACTGTCTGTGTTTTGGTAACATGCTGTTCACTTTCTTGACACAAATGGTGCTTTGTACCCTGCAGCAGGAACTCCTGGATGTGGTAGATAAGAATGAGTCAGCAGTGATTGTTGCCCCAACGTCCTCAGGCAAAACCTATGCTTCCTACTACTGCATGGAGAAAGTGCTGAGGGAGAGCGATGTCGGGGTGGTTGTGTACGTTGCACCCGCAAAGGTAGTGTTTGAATGACTTTCATTTTTGCTTTTGTTCCTGAACATCCCCTTTAAAAAGAATGCACACGGTCACATGCTAGATCTAATTCACTGTTATTTTATTTTTGAGACAGAGTCTTGCTCTGTCACTCAGGCTGGAGTGCAGTGGCGCGATCTCGGCTCACTGCAACCTCCACCTCCCGTGTTCAAGTGATTCTCCCGCCTCAGCCTCATGAGTAGCTGGGATTATAGGCACGTGCTGCCATGCTGGGCTAATTTTTGTGTTTTTAGTAGAGACAGGGTTTCACCATGTTGGCTAGGCTGGTCTTGATCACCTCAGGTGATCCACCCACCTTGGCCTCCTGAAGTGTTGGGATTACAGGCGTGAGCCACCGTGCCCGGCCAAGAAACTATTTTTGATATTTTTATTTCATCTCATATGTTAATATTTTCATTTATAGTTACTGCAATTATACTTATTTTTAGAAAATATTTCACTATCATGAATATAAAAATGATGACTATAGTATTTTTAAGGATTAATTTTTTAAAAATTTACATTTTAAGTTGTTTCCCTTTCTTTCTTTCTCTCTCCCCTTTCCTTTTTTATTTTCCCTCCCTCCCTTGGAGTGGTATGCTATGATTATAATTATGAAGATTTATGTTTTTCTTTTAATTAATATTGTTTCAATTAAAAAATACAGCCAGGTATATATGACTTCCATTTCCAGCAATATGGCCATATAGGTCAACAGAAAAATCTCTTTGTGTAAAATACCTGAAATGCTGGATAAGAGACACCAAACATCTTTTTATATAATTATAGTTAAGCTCAGAACAATAGAAGGGGAATCCTAGGGGCTGAAAATTTTAAGAGAAGGCCACATGGGCTCTTTGCCTCTTTTAGGCAGCAAGTTGCAGGGGCTTAAATAAGAAAGGATCCCGACAAACACAGGCAGAGAGAGCACTAGGAGGATCCCAGGCAGAGCAATGGTGGTTTACCTGGAATCATGAACCAGATATTCAATAGAAAGTCATTCATTTGCCCATTGTCACCATATACATGATATGTAATATCTGTCTGTCTGTCTGTCTGTCTATCTATCTATCTATCTATCTATCTATCTATCTATCTATCTCATGTGTGTGTGTGTGTGTGTGTGTGTGTATGTGTGTGTGTGTTTAAAATCAAGGAGGATCAAAGAGAATACTCAGTGGTATCAGATAATTTCATTACCATCTGTATTTTTCCCTACTTCATTTCATTTTCATTGAAGTGTGTGTGTGTGTGTGTGTGTGTGTGTGTGTGTGTGTGTGTATGTGTATGGATTCGGTTGTCCTCAAGGTTTTATATGTCTCTTCTCTACTAAGTGACTAATGGTTTTTTTTCTTGTCAATCAGTCCCTTGTTGGTCAAGTGGCTGCAACTGTTGAGAATCGTTTTACTAAAACGTTGCCTGCCGGCAGAACTCTATGCGGTGCTTTTACAAGAGATTATTGTCACAATGTACTAAACTGTCAGGTATGACATATTAATTAATGAGTTTATTATCAAATTATAGAGCAGTACTTATATAACTGTTTTGCTGGGAATCTGCAAAACACAAGCCCTTATAGAAATCATTTCACTGAATTCACAAAGAAAATGAAATTGCTCTAAGGAAAATTTAAGGTTGTTCTACTCTAAAAAGTAAGAACTAGGCTCACCATCTCTAAGGATATTCACATTGTGAACTGAAATTTCAAATAGAAAGTTATGATATTTCATTATAACTTAGAGAGGGAGTCAAGTAGATTTGACAAACCCAATGCATTACTAAATGACTATCCAACCTTGTCTTTCCATTCAAAATTGCTAGGTCTTGTGAACAATATTTATACTTACATTGTGATCTGAAATTTCAAATAGAAGATTATGATATTTCAGTATAACTTAGAAAGGGATTCAAGTAGATTTAACAAACCCAATGCATTACTAAATGACTACCCAACCTTTTCTTTCCATTCAAAATTGCTAGTTCTTTTGAATGATATTTATGGATCCTCATAATAAAACCTTGTCTCAAAAAGATTGTGTGTTGATAGTGGACCCGTCGATAGGTAAATCATAGATTAAGATAGATTGTCTCCCTTATTGAATTCACAAAGTAGACATTTAAGACTAAACAAAATGTAAAACAGTCGTTACAGAGTAGAAGCTCTTTTTCATTTTCATTAATCCAAATGTTCATAAATGTAAAGACTTAAATGAAAAACGTCAAAGATGCAATATTATCTTAATGAAACTGCTATCAGCAGCAGCATATTTTCTAGGTTCCTATTACTATGCCTGATATAAAATTAATGCTCCATAAAGTTAGCTACACTAATCATTCATATTTGTAGGTACTTATTACAGTGCCGGAATGTTTTGAAATCCTGTTGCTTGCTCCTCATCGCCAAAAATGGGTGGAAAGGATCAGATATGTTATATTTGATGAGGTAGGTTTGGTGTTAGTTCTCTGGTTGATGTTCTAGTCTGCATACACCCTATAATTTGTAATTTAAAGAATATAGGGCTTTTTCAATGATGGCAGTTAAGTTGTGCGTCAGCCAGGGTACCAATGGAAAACAGATTGCATATTCACGTTAGTACAATTTTTAGAAAAGTGTTTTTACTAAGGGGCTGTTTACAAAGGTTTGTACAAGGGAAACCACAAGGTAAGTGCAGTAATCCAGAATAGTACAAGCCTTTCAACCCTGTAAGGATGAAGGGAGGGGGAAGCATTATGAACCTTAACAGAAGAGAGATTCTATAGATATGTCTCTTTGAGAAGAACAGTGACCTTGGTGAAGAAATGCAGCTGGCCAAGGTTGACCTCTTAGGGAGAGAGAGCAAAAGAATAAAGACCTTGACCTCACTGTCTTCTCTCCTTCCCATTTCTTGCCTAGGCTTCCCACTGGCCAAACCCAGTAGAAGCTAGAGGGCTAAGGAGGCTGGGTGAGCCAATTCCCAAGGTCAGACTCATTGGCCAGAGAGGAAGGTGGCGAATGGTGTAGATCTGGAAGGACATAGCTATGTTATTATCAAAATGAATGGAAAGAACTGTAAATAGAATTCAAGCTTTGTATTTTGTTGCTTCAAGGAATTTTCAACTTAAAGGAAAACTAGGTGATAAACCTATGTAGTGAATCTACTCCTTTTTTGTGTGAAGTTGAGAGTTGGTAGACATGCTGTCATTCTGCTTTCTTTGTGCTGAAAGTAGTCTGTTTCCTTTTATGCATCAGGCTGTATTGTGTGTTGCTGACTTTGAACATTCCCGTTTTAAGGGAAAACAAAACAAAACAAAAACCTTGATCTTTATGATCTAGAACCTTGGATTGTGGTCTCATCTCAAAATGCCTAAGCACAATAATGTTAAAACATGGGTAATGAGGCCGGGTGTGGTGGCTCATGCCTGTAAACCCAGTACTTTGGGAGGCTGAGGCGGGTGGATCACCTGAGGTCAGGAGTTCGAGACCAGCCTGACCAACATGGTGAAACCCCGTCTCTACTACAAATACAAAAACTATCCAGGCATGGTGGCATGCTCCCGTAATCTCAGCTATTCGGGAGACTGAGGCAGGAAAATCACTTGAACCCGGGAGGCAGAGGTTGCAGTGAGCCAAGATCACACCACTGCACTTCAGCCTGGGCAACAATAACGAAACTCCATCTCAAAACAAAAAACAAAATGTGGGTAACTTTGGTTTTCTGATTTATACATGCACAAAACTTGATTGTAAGAAGGCTTTAAAAATTGTTTATTCTAGAAAGTTCAGAGAAATTGCCTGCTGATACAAAATATAAGATTAGCATTTGGTAAAGTGGGCGATTATCTGACTAGATCAAAGTCAGAAGGGATATGAAAATATTCTTCTTTATGTATTTATTACTAGCCTTGATTAGTAAGTCTTTCCAGCTGAGACCCAATTGTCACGATGTATTCTGTTTAAGACCAAAATTTGGACCTCCTCTCTAAGTCTTAATTTGCATTATTGAACCAAAGAGGATTGATTCATTCATTCAACAGATATTAATTGAGTACCTACTCTGTGCTAGACACTGTGCTTTCTCCCTGATATGCCAGTACTGACCTTGTGGTTTAGTGAAGGGGAGAGCAATTAAATAAGTAAATGTACCAATGAAAATATAAGTAAACATTGTGATACAAACTCTGAAGAAAAAAAAATCAGTTAGTTTTCACCAAGATAATAGCAAAATGGGAAGTAAGAACAACAACTTTGGAGCAGGTACTCAGGGAAGGTGTTTCTGAGGCAATGACCTTCAGCTGGGCTTTGCAGGGATAAGCAGGAATGGTCAGCTAAGAGGTGGATGAGGATTTTAAGTAGCAGGGTCGTATATGTGAAGGCCCTCAGGTGGAACACGTGTGTTCAAGGTATGAAAAGAAGGCCAGTATGTTGGGAGCAGAGTGCATGGCGGGGAAAGTGGCCTGAGATGGGGTTGGAAAGGTGGGAAGAAGCCAGACCATGCAGGAAGTTACACTTCCAGTTAAGCAGCTTGTGGTTTACTGTAAATGCATTGGGAGGACAGTGTAGGGATTTAATTAGGTATGTAGCCTAATTTGATTTTTGTTTAATAATACCATTAGGGCTATGATGTGAAGAAAGTATAGAGAAAGAGTGGAAGCTAAGAGAAAAATCAGAAGGCTGTTGTAGAAAGCCAGGTGATGGTGGCTTCAATGACAACAAAAAATGGAGAGAAAAACATAGCTTCAAAATAGATTTTTGGAATTGGAATCTGTAGGAATTAATAATGGTTTCGATATGGAGATTGGAGACAGTTAAGTGTCATGATGTCTATTGTCTGAATTTATCACCATTCACTTTATTTAGGTTAGGTCATTTATAGGAAACTGGAAAAATATGCATGATGATTTTATGCTTCTATTTTTTATTTACGATTTTGACATCAACTTTTCAACTGATTTTTTTTTCTTTACTAGGTCCATTATCTTGGCAGAGAAGTTGGAGCAAAATTTTGGGAGCTCCTCCTTGTCATTATTCGATGTCCCTTTTTGGTTCTTTCAGCTACCATAAATAACCCAAATCTTCTCACCAAGTAGGTATAGGTAAAAAGAGTGGTTGTTATATATTCAGTGGTTGAATTATATACTGTCTATATGGTCTGAAGTCTTTAAGGTTTTTTCTATGATAACTTTCAAATAAATTTATTACCCAATCTTTGAAACGTCAGTGGTCTTGCTTTGTTGCCCAGGCTGGCCTTAAACTCCTGGGCTGAAGGAATCCTCCCACCTCAGCCTCCTGAGTAGCTGGGACCACAGGTGTACATTACCATGTCTGGCTTTCTCAAATTTTTTTGAAGATATATTTCCTGGAAGTTAGAGAAGGAAAACATCTTCTCCAAAGAAAATCAAGGTCTCCCATAGCCAGATCTGAAATTGTGCAGGACAATTTCTAAAAATTTTCAAGTAAATGTCATCTGAAGTAAGAGAGAGAATTGTATCCCCCTTTCTTTGTCCTTATCCAATAATTAAAGCTAAAATGGAAATAACTGGGACACAGTCATTGACCTTGCAGATGACAATCATAAGAACAACAAAGCATTATATGAACGTCAAGTATTGTTTTGTTACCAGACTTGATTTTTCCTGGTAACAGCGACGATGGCAGTAACAGCAGCACTGGTAACAAGCACACAGTGCTTTCTATGTGGCAGGCACGCTAACTCATTCAAGCCACGCAACACCCTTATGAGAAAGATACTTTCGTTATCTTCTATGTTATGATGGAGAAAGGGAGGCATAGAGAAGCTGAGGAATTTGCCCAAAGTCCACAGCTCTGAAGTCAACTCAGGTGGTTTAAATTGAGAGGGCATGCTCTAAATTTTTAAACTTGTGAAATTTTCTTTGTTTAAAATATCCAAGTTCTTGATAAATACTTCTATATTTTATTTAAATTATATGCATGTTTATTCTGTAAGGTGGCTGCAATCAGTAAAACAGTACTGGAAACAGGCAGACAAGATTATGGAAGAGAAATGTATTTCTGAAAAACAGGCTGACAAATGTCTCAACTTTCTCCAAGACCATTCATATAAAAATCAATCATATGAAGTTAGACTTGGTAAGCTTATTTTTTTTATGTTTTACTATATATTTTTATATTTTACTACAAAGCTTTTTATAGGGATTTTTGTGTTTTAAATCCATATTCTAATAATCGTATGTCCATTAATTTGGATATTCTTGCTCTTCGTATCTAGTGCTCTGTGGAGAGAGATACAATGATTTAGAGAAGCATATATGTTCAGTAAAACATGATGATGTTTATTTTGATCATTTTCATCCCTGTGCTGCGCTAACGACAGATATTGTAAGTATAAAAGTGTATTTGTCCTGTTAGTGGAATTTTTAGTGTATATCGCAACTGGAAAGGGACTCAATCTTCATAGAACTGCAGCATGTATAGATAATCTTTTTCTTTCTTTACTGATTCTTTTATTTTATTCATTGATTTTTTAAATTTAATACATTTTTTATTTTTAATTTTGTGGGCATCTAAAGTAGCTGTATATATGGGGCACATGAGATATTTTGATACAGACATGCAATGCATAATAACCACGTCAGACTAAATGAGGTATGTATCCACTACCTCAAGCATTTATCCTTTAATGGATACACAATGGTAATTATGTATCCATTACCTCAAGCATAATAACCACATCAGACTAAATGAGGTATGTATCCATTACCTTAAGCACAATCCAATTCTACTCTTTTAGTTATTTTAAAATATACAATAAATTACTGTTAGCTATAATCCCTCTGTTGTGCTATCACATACTAGATCTTATTTATTCTATCTATTTTTTTGTGCTCATTAACCATTCCCTCTTCCACCCAACCCACTGTCTTTGCTAGCCTCTGGTAACCATCACTCTACTCTCTGTCTCCATGCATTCCATTGTTTTAATTTTTAGCTCCCACAGATAAGTTAGAACACGTGAAGTTTTTCTTTCTGTGCCTGGCTTATTTCACTTAACATAGTGACATCCAATTCCATCTATGTTGTTGCAAACGATAGGATCTTATTTTTTTTTATGGCTGAATGGTATTCCACTGTTTTTAAGTGCCACATTTTCTTTATTCATTAATTTGTTGATGGGCACTTAGGTTTCTTCCAAATCTTGGCTATTGTGAATGGCGCTGCAATAAACATGAGAGTCCGGATACCTCTTTGATATACTGATTTCCTTTTTTTTAAGTATATATGTAGCAGTGGTATTGCTGGATCATAAGGTAGCTCTAGTTTTAGTTTTTTGACTTTTTGTTGTTTCTATTAATATCTTATTGTATTGTCTGTCTTGAAAAGTTGCTGTGGCTGTAATTTGTGATAGGTTCATTGTTTTGTCTTTCTACTGAAGATATACTCATATCACAATTACAATGTTATAATATTCTGTGTTTTTCTGTGTACTTACTAGTAAGTTTTTTTACCTTCAGGTGGTTTCTTAATGCTCATTAACATCCTTTTCTTTCCCACTGAAGAACTCCCTTTAGCACTTCTTGTAGGACAGGTGTTGCTGAAATCTCTTAGCTTTTGTCTGAGGAAGTCTTTATTTCTCCTTCATGTCTGAAGGATATTTTCACTGGATATACTATCCCATGATAAAAGATTTTTTCCTTCAGCCCTTTATGTCATGCCACTCTCTTCTGGCCTGTGAGGTTTCCACTGAGAAGTCTGCTGCCAGACATATAGGAGCACCATTGTGTTATTTGTTTCTTTTCTCTTGCTGCTTTTAGGATCCTTTCTTTATTCTTGACCTTTGGGAGTATGATTATTAAATGTCTTGAGATAGTCTTCTTTGGGTTAAATCTGCTTGGTGTTCTATATCTTCTTGTATATGAGTATTGGTATATTTCTCTAGGTTTGGGAAGTTTTCTGTTATTATCCCTTTGAATAAACTTTCTCCTCACTCTAGGGGTTTTAAGCCCCTTTAAGGCCAATAAATCTTAGATTTGCCCTTTTGAGGCTATTTTCTATATCTTACAGGAATGCTTTTATCATTTTTAATTCTCTTTTCTTTTTTCTCTTTTGACTATATATTTTCAAATAGCCTTTCTTCAGGCTCACTAATGCTCACTTCTGCTTGATTAATTTTGCTATCAAGAGACTCTGGTGGATTCTTCAGTATGTCAGCTTTTGCTTGATTCTTTTTAATTATTTCAATATCTTTGTTAAATTTATCTAATAGGATCCTGCTATCATTCTATTGATATTATATATCACATTGATTTGTGTATGTAGAACCATCCCTACATTGCTGTGATAAATCCCATGTGGCCATAATGAAATATCTTTTAAATGTGTTGTTTAACTCAGTTCGCTAGCATTTTGTTGAGGAGTTTTGCATTAATATTCATCAGGGATATTGGCCTGTAGTTTTCTTTTTTTAATGTGTCTTTGCCTTGTTTTGATATCAGGGTAATACTGGCTTTTTGAGTTTCCTCAAAACAGCTATTTTAAATTATCGGCCTGAAAAGTCACATATCTTTGTCTTTCCATAATTGGTTCCTGGTACCTTATTTAGTTCATTAGGTGAGGTCATATTTTCCTGGATGGTCTTGATGCTTGTGGATATTCATTGATGCTTAGACATTAAGTAGTTAGGCATTTATTGTAGTCTTCACAGTCTGGGCTTATTTGTACTTGTCCTTGAGAAGGCTTCCCAGGTATTTGGAGGGACTTGGATGTTGTGATCTAAGATTTTGGTCACTGCAGCCATTATCTGCACTGGGGGGCACCCCAAGCTCAGTGAGGCTGTGGCTCTTGCAGTCTCATAGAGGAACCACTTTGGTGATTTGGATAAGATCCTGAATAATTCTCTGGATTATCAGAGACTTTAGTTTTCTTCCCTTACTGTCTCCCAAACAAATGGAATCTTTTTCTCTGTGTTGAGCTGCCTGGAGCTGGGAAGAGAAAGCAACATAGCATCCCTGTGGTCTCCACTGCAGAGACTGCACTGGGTTAGAATGGAATCAAGCACAGCACTAGGTATTGCCCTAGGCTCACAATAATCATTGTCTGGCTACTGCCAATTTTCATTCAAGGCCTGAGGACTCTACAATCAGTAGGTGGTGAAGCCAGCCAGGCTGGTGTCCTTTTCTTCAAGGTGGCAGGTTCCCCGGATCTCACGTGGGTCCAGAGATGTTGTTTGGGATCCAGGGCTTGGAGTCAGGATCTATCTACTCTTCCCTTTTTTTTTCCCACAAGTAGAGGAGTCTCTCTCTGTGACCACCAGCGGCCCTGGCCCATGGTGAGTTTTTCCTGGCTACTGCTAATCTTCACTCAAGGCCCAAGGCCTCTTCAGTCAGCTTATGGTGAATGCTACAAGGCCTGGGTCTCTCCCTTCAGGCCAACAGGCTTTTCTCTGGCCCAGGGTAAGTTCAGAGATGCCATCCAAGAGCCAGGGCCTGCACTTGGGGACCCCAAGAGCCTGCTCAGTGCTCTACTCCACTGTGCCTGAGTTGGCATCTGAGCTGCAAGACAAAGTCCCATTTACTCTTCCCTCTCTTTTCTTCAAGCAGAAGTAGTCTCTCCCCATAGCCACCACAGCTAGGAAGGTGCTGGGTCATATCTGAAGCCAGCATGCCTCAGAGTATCACCCCAGGCACACGGCCACGTACTACCTAGCTACCACTGCTGCTTATTCAGGGCCCAAGTGCTCTTTATTCAGTGGGTGATGAATCCTGCCAAATCTGGGTCCATCTTTTCAAGGCAGCAGGTTTCAGCATGTGTCTAGAAAGGTCTGGGAGCGAGGGCCTGGAATGGGGGCCTCATGACTTTGCTCAGTGCTCTATCCTACTGTGGCTAAGCTGGTGTCCAAGTTTGAAGACAAAGTCGTCTTTACTCTTCCCTCTCCTCTCAGCAAGCAGAAGGGAGGAGTTTTGCTCAGAGCTGCGAGCTGCACTGCTTAGGGTTGGGGGAGGGATGATGCAATCACTCCCTAGCTCTCCTCAGCTGGTGTCTCAGTAGATTGCATACACCCCAAGTCCATAGGCTCTGAGCCCAGCACAGCACCATGACTTGCCCAGGAATTGTAGTCCTTGTGGCCTAGGCTGCTTTTCAAGTTTATTTAGGACCCTCGGGCACTTTAACCCCCAGTGACGAGCTTGCCAGTTTCAGAATTACCCATCCTGGAAGTCAGGTTTCGACTGCTGGGATGGGCAGTTCTCCTCTGGGTCAGGCTAGTCTAAATGCTCCCTCCACTGGTGCCAGCTGAGTTCTGCCTGGTGTTGCTTTTCGCTGTGACAGGGTAACACTGAATTCTAATGCAAAGTCCCAGTCACCATGCTTTCCCTCTTCCAAGTGCACAGACTCTCTCTGCATGCCATGTGGCCACTGCTGGAGGATGTGGGATGGGTGGCATTGGCAGGTCGACACTGTCTTTCCTGCCCTCTTCAGTGCCTCCTTCAGTGATACAGAGTTAAAACCAGATACTGTGATCACTCACCTGATTTTTGGTTCTTATAAAGGTGCCTTTTGTGTGCATAGTTGTTCAATTTGGAGTTCCTGTAGGGGCTGATTCTCACAGGAGGCTTCTATTAGGCCATCTTTACAGATAATCTTAACCTCAGGTACACGGACATCAAGGATGGACTTCATAGAAAAGTGAAAAACCCCTAAATTGTGTGTGTATACATTCTTCTAGCTTTCATTAGATCCTCAAAGTCATTTGGGACACCCAAAGTTTAATAACTGGAGAGGAAGTAATGGAGAGTTCTAATTCGGGTTCTTTGGTTAGTTTATTCCTTTTCTTTATTTACAGACATTATCCTTTCCTATTTACGGCTTCTTAGTATCTATTTCTGTCTTCTACTTCTCTGTGACTAACAGTGCTGCCACAACTGTATTGGCAGTCCTCATTCATGTCCGAAGTTCCCATTACCAAATGATCTGAACAGGGAAGAGACATTTCCTACCAACATAAAAATCGGAACATGACTTTTTTCATGGTGGATTGAGAAGATGAAGTTTTCGGAGATCTCACTTGAGGCACTGGATTATGAGTGTGGGAAGACATTAATTTCTCCTGCTATTCTCTCCTCTTTTTCCATCCTATCTCTGTTATTAAATTATATAGGTTCAAGTTGCCTTGTGAAGATATAATGACATTAGCCAATAGTTGGTCCTTTTTTTATTACTTTATATCCAAAATTATGCTGTTCCATTTATCTTCCTAAAACATAATTCTGATCCTGTCCTTATTCTACTCAAAAGTCTTCAATGTTTCTCCACTGGAAATAAATTTCAGACTTTGTAGCCTGGCATTCAAATCTTCTATAACTTAGACTTTCCTCAGCTTTTCACTCAAACCCTGGATGTAGCTTACCTAAAGGGTTCATGCTGTGTACTATACCTGGAATGCTTCATTCCAGATGCCAAACTCTAAGTTTCCAGATTCTATTCGTCTTCCATGTCTTTGCTAATGTGAGATTTTTTTTTCCAGAAGTCTTTCTATGATCTCTCCACATGGATGGAATTAATCTTCTTTTCTGATAATATGTAACTTATTATTTGTACTTTTTAAATGACACCAATTATGTTTAGCCTGCTGTTATAATTTTTTGCTTTCATGTCTTCTTTTTCTTATTAAATTATAAAATTGTTAATGAAAAATTTTGCACTTTTTCACCCCTGGATTACCTTATAGCTAGCTCATAGTGCCATATACACAAAAGTTGCTCAGTAAATATTTGTGGAATGATGATTGCAAAGATGTGTTGAGAATTTACGTGGCAGGCACTTGTTAATATTTATATATATTTCTCTTTTAACCTTCACAACATCTTTATAATAAATGTACTATAATTATTCCCAACTTACAGATGAGGAAAAAGAGGGCTAGTGAGGTTGTTTAACTAGTCCAAGGACTCAGTTAGTAATTGTCAGACTATGGTACAAACTCAGAAGTTCTGACCCCAAAGCCTAATGTTCTTAATCATAGTGTTATACTAAATAATTTGTGGATCGAATGCACGAGTAAGGAATTAAATGGAAATTACTTCATAGATTCTGAGCTATGGTGATTAAGGGCATGTAAAACTCACTTAAAGTGATTCTGTCTTCCAGACATTTTCAAACATAATTTTATTATGTAGTTTTTTCTTGGCTTTGCAGTGACTCATTCCAAATGGCATTTCTGTCCCTATCCCTCCCTATTTCTCTGACTCTGTGCTTAGGGAATAGATATATGATAAGCATACATCACTCTTTAAGCCTTCCAATTATATTTTGATATCTTCAGCATTGAATTTTCAGCAAGTTTTTAGTTGCATAGTATTTTATAATTTTTTAATGGTTTACTCTGCTTAGAGTGATTTAAGGTAAGTTACCTTTAAGCATTTGTGAGTACAGTGGCCTGGAGTTCTTGGTAAGATCATCATTTTGGCCATGTGCCTTCGTCTATTCTCAGTAGCTATTAATGGAGTAATTGGAAAGCAACAGAACCATTACAGTGTGTTCTGACCCTGTATGACTTCTGCAGAGCTGTGCTGTTGTATGAATCTTCTCAGCTCTTTACTCTGTGATACTTTACTTTTGTAAAGTAACTAGACAACTAGAGAGACATGCTTCTTAAAATGCTTAGACAACTGGTTAAATTTGTGAGGTGTGCATTTATATAAGACCTTTCTTCGTGCTCCTAAGATAGCAATGACAATAGCAAGATGGTCTATCCAAATGAGTATAGTATTCATGAGATTACACTGAAATTGTTCATTCATGAGGGGAAGCAGAATACATTGAAGCAACAGGAGAAGAATGTAAAGGAACCTTCTAACCTTGGATTTATTCTCTGTAACACTCATGGAAATAGCTTTGGGAAGGAAGGCATGGGAACAGGATGAGTGAGCTGGCTTTAATCCAGCTGTGGTGAGGGATCACTGCAATCCATATATGGCTTGTTCCTGGGCTAAGGGAAGAGCTGCACAGCCTTCCTACAAATTATGCTGCCGTAAAAGAACAGCTGCTCAGTGCCCAAAGAGGCTGTCGGCACCAGGCAGTCCTCGAAAGAACTACTGTCTGTCTCTTTCTGTGTAGTTCTGATAAATGCTTAGTATGTAACTTTTTTACTTATTTTTTGTTCATTTTAATTTTTTTTTCAAAAGGAGCATTGTGGTATGATATGCTTTTGTTTATGAATGAAGAAGTACAAACCGATACAACCATATAATGATCTTTTATATATTGTCTTTCTATATAATTTTATGTATTATCTAGGCCAGCTTAAGAGAAACCAGCTAATTACATGTTGTGCAGAGGAGAACAATTGAATTGAATATAT
Source organism: Homo sapiens (assembly GCF_000001405.40). NCBI lineage: Eukaryota > Metazoa > Chordata > Mammalia > Primates > Hominidae > Homo > Homo sapiens. The sequence goes on along the minus strand of NC_000004.12, from coordinate 168,408,431 downwards.
CCTTTTAGTGATACAGTTGACAAAGTGATGAAAAAGAATACCTGAAAGTTAATAATCAGTCACTATGATGGATGGGATACTCAAAAAGAGTCAGGCATTTTAACAGCATATTGTATACATTATATCATTTAATCCTCACAACAAATCTGTGGTGTAAGGATAATTATTCCCATTTTAGAGACGGGAAACCAAGGCATTCATAAAGGAAGGGAGATGCTTTGAAAATGAATCACTATTATTCTAGAGACCAAAATAGAAGCACAGCATTAGTATGTACTTGATAATTCTTAGAAAACTAATTACTTAAGTCAAGAATGGCTTCATTTATAGACAGAATATTTGGTCACCTGCAAGATGCAGTTTATGAGATACTGAAATCCTCACCTTCTGAGATAATGAATACAGTTACTAGTGTGTTCAAATGAAGTCCCTGCCAACTAGCTAGCTTCATAAATTCAATCTGAGAATTGCTAAATGATGATTCTTTATGTTGCATAACATAGAATAAAAAGAAAACCTTGCTATATTAACCTCTTGAATCTCACCACAATCTTGAAGACAAGCAATGAAGACATTGTCATTCTCATATTATAGACAAGAAAAACAGAACCCCAGGGAGTAGTGATTAGAGCTGTGATTAGAACCCAGCTGTGCGGTACAGTCCATCAAACAGCCTTTCTTTGCTTTCTGAACTCTATCTTTGGAGTGGCTCCTTTAGCCCAGTATTTCCAATCTTCTAGAAACCAGTAATAGGCATTTTTTAAAGGAAGGGTTCCTTCCTCAAGTATATTTGGGAGAAGTGTGATATCCTGTCCCTTTCTTAGAGATTCACAGTACACATGAACATAACAGAAACCTTGACATAAAGATACTTGGTTAACTTGCTTAATAGGGCCTTTCCCATAGTTACTCATCTTTAATTTTTTTCTTGGTGTTACGGTTTAGATGTTACTTTATCCCTTTTGTACATAATGGATTCGAAGAAGTGGTGATTGAAGCCAAAAGAGTATAGAACACAAAGGCTATGAGGACAGGATTTGTTCTTGTACCCTACATGGTGCTTTGCACACAACTAACATCAACAGTATTTGTGAGAGAAAAAGTAGTGCATGAGTTCTAAAGGCTTCAGACGGAAGCTGATCAGTAACCAGGGTAACCATCAGGTAGAAATTTCTTTGAGTATCTGAAGGTTGTCTGAGGGTCTTTGCCCTTATAAACTTGATCCGGCTCTTGTATTGGATCTCTAGGGGCAAAGGTTTGTCCCTTTTTACGTGGCTTGGTACCCATAAAATCATCTTCATCACTAAACACATTTTAATGTCTGTTTCAAAGGGATATTTCAAAAAGAAAGGTATATTTTTTGTCTAAACTGAGGCTATTCTGTAAGAGCTCATATTTTCCAGCCACCCAGTACCCTCACTGGCATTCTAAGGAAGTTTCATAGAGCAGTGTTAGTTTATTATCTAGTGCAAATAGTCTCAGGAAATAGTACTGAAACTTATTAGTGGATTTTGAAGTTTTCCATTTCAGCAGGTTAGGGATGCTACTTTGTTAAGACTTTATTAACAGATCCTTGCAGAGGTGAAATATTACAGTTGATTGCCTTTTAATGTCCCTGGATTCACAGGTAAAGACTTGAGGGTTTAGTCATGAAAGATAAAATAAAAGAAATATAAACATTGTAATTTTATTTCTTCATCCATCCATTAATTTGTTTATTCACAGATTGAAAAGTATGGATTCCCACCTGATCTTACCCTCACCCCTCAAGAAAGCATCCAGCTTTATGATACCATGGCTCAAGTCTGGGAAACTTGGCCCAGGGCTCAGGTAAATATAGAAATATATATTCACCAAAATGAACTTTAGTTAATGCTATTCCAGAATATAGCAAAATTACTCTACAGGTAAGCACACTTATTCTCTCTACTTGGTTGATGCTGCTATTTTGAAATAATCAGTTATTTTTTCTTATTTTCAGCCATTCTTTGTGACTTTATTATTGTACGTAGCATGGAATATTCTGTAATTCTCAAAAATATGTCTTCTTTTAGCTTTTGGGATACCATACTACTTTAATTGTGTTTTTGGACTTATATTCCTCTATTCTCTTCTCTGTTGGTTTTCATCTTTTCATCAGCTGTGCCCTGTATTCTTTCTTTTGAAGAGTTCACCCATCATCATAGGTTTATGTGTTAGAAATTATTGGGAGGTAAAAAGATGTTCAACAGCCTCTGCCCTCAAGGAGTTTGCAATTTTGTTAAGGAGACAAGTAAACTTAAATACATCATTGTATTTTTCTTACTATAGATTGCATAGCTTAGCTTAATTTTGTGATAATTTTCCCCCCAAGGAATTGTGTCCAGAGGAATTCATTCTTTTTAAGAATAAGATAGTCATTAAGAAGTTGGATGCTAGAAAATATGAAGAAAACTTAAAGGCAGAATTGACAAATTGGATTAAAAATGGCCAAGTGAAGAAGGTAATTTTCACACTTTCTTGGACAAAGTTTCACTTAATTGTTAATTGTTTGGAGTTGCATAATAATTTAGCCAATAAATGTTTTGTAATCTTTTTATTCCGATTTTTGTTTTAGTAATTCCATTTAAACATGTTATCCAGTGAGTATGAGATAGAATAAAGGAGGAGGGAAATGGTTTCATTTCTTAGCTCAGTGACCTTTAAAACATGCACCATAGGCTTTTGGTTTCTTCAGGTAACAGCTACAAACAGCTAAAAACGAAGAACCTTTAACTTTAACAGGAGAACCAATGTTGCCGAGGCTTTCACAGAAGAGGGACTGGCTCCAGAGGAATGATAGTGGAGATCAGGAATTAGTACAGGGGCTAATCTAAGAAAGTTTTGTGCAAATAAAAATAAATTATTTAAAAATAACCAATTTCTGAAACTCATGTACATGATGATAAATGAGAAAATATAAATATACCTGAAAGAGGCTCAGGCAAATTTATAGATGACAGACTCGTAGGTGGCTATGCTGAGAAGCAAAGATATCTTTGAGCATAACATTGATGCATCTTTGGTTCTAGTTTGCTGACTGTCATGTTTATTTGCATTTTTCACTCTGGTGGTGAAAGAAATAAAGATAAAAATGGTATGGGTTGGCCGGGAGTGGTGGCTCACACCTATAATCCCAGCACTTTGGGAAGCTGAGGCGAGTGGATCACTTGAGGCCAGAAGCTTGTGACCAGCCTGGCCAACATGGTGAAATCCTGTCTCTAAAAAAATACAAAAATTAGCCAGATGTGGTGGCGCATGCCTGTAATCCTAGCTACTCTGGAGATTGAAGTGGAAGAATCACTTGAGCCTGGGAGGCAGAGGTTGCAGTGAGCCAAGATCATGCCACTGTACTCCAGTCTGGGCAACAGAGGGAGACTCATCTTCAAAAAAAAAAAAAATGATACTGATGTTAGGAAATATTACAAATAATTTAGCCTGTTTGGCACAGAATGCTGTGTTCCATTAAATGTTAATCAGGGGAAAACTGAATACCAAGGATGTCCCTATTTGCCACCCCTCAAATGATAATTAAACTGGAAAATAACTTTGTCAAGAAAATTATTCATGATAGCCATAACTATTTCATCAAAGATTTTCCATTGTATATTATGTAAAGGAATTTAATGTTAATTTTCCTGATGTAAAATAACATTTATTTTTTCTGATTAAAAAAGAGGTAGATGCTGTTTATAAAAAAATTATCAAATATGGAATAGTAGGATAAAAGTTACTATCCACAATTTCAACAATATCTGAGGTGAACAACTTATTACACTTCTATTGGCCATTGTATTTTGTGACTCACTTATCTCTTGAATTTTCAGTTAAGCATTATAAACATGTCTGTATACTATTACAAATTATTGGTAGACATAGTTAAAACTTTTTCTTTTTAATTTTAAGAAATTAAATTTCTTTTCCATTATAGGTTTTATATACTCCTTAACATATTTGGCAGCTATTTTGTTATATAATAACTGGAGAAACCCTTTGTCACTCTTCCTGCAACAGTTGAAACAGCAACATTTTATGAACATCCTTATCCTACTGACTTATTTGTAGTACCTACAAAATATCATATATTATATTTTATATCTTTTATTATCTATTCTTTAGTATAGAGATGTCTGTGACTCTGTTGACTTTTACCACTACTTGATAATATTAAAGGACTATTTTAAAAACCCACCCAAAATTATATATGAAAAATTATTCTAATTTTAGACAACAAAATAATTCCTTTCTTTCTTCTGTTTCCACAAATTCTTTTTTTTTTTTTAAATAATTTTTACTTACTGTTGTAGGTCAAAAGAGTACTGAAGAACCTTAGTCCGGATTCATTGTCTAGTTCAAAAGATATGGTGAAAATGTTTCCTCTTCTTGTTGAAAAGTTAAGACAAATGGATAAGTTGCCTGCAATATTTTTTTTGTAAGTAACTGAAACTTAATTTATCTTTGTTTATATGTGAGAATTTTTTGTTTGGTTTTGTTTTCAATTAGTCTCATTTATATATAGTGGTTAGAAGTAACCCTACTTTTACCATTTTGTTGCATTTTAGAAAAATAATATAGATTTTATTTTTAAAGAAATGGGTCAGTCTTCTAGGTCAATCCTTATAAAATTTTTCATCTTATTACCCTCTTACTTCCTTGACTTTTGATTTTTAAAAAGGTTTTCAGCTTTCCTAAATTTCTTTTTGTAAGCAACTATCATTAACTTTAGAAATGTTCCTTTAGGAACTAAATTGCATTTTTCATGTACAGATGTAAAACACATAAAGCATTCATAATTTATTGAATGTTTGGTTTTTAATTTATAGCTAAGAAAACTAAGCCCAGAGGCTTTCCTTGATATGGTGTGGTATACTAAAAAGACCTTGAGTGGTATTTAGCATCTCTCTTTGATTAGGAGAACCGAAGTGGGACACATTAAGTGGGTAACACTGTGTACCCTGGACCCACTCTAATAATCAGAACCAAAAAACTTATTTAGCCCAGAGAATTTTAAATTATTTTAACTACGAAAATTTGCATAAAATAAATTCCCAGGACCTTGATCCAATGGTAATGTGAAGTTGTTTACAAAGACAAACACACAAACACATAGGTGTGTAGATACGTTAAATGGTAGCACTAAGCCACATGTGTTCTGTTACGCATCCGAAGTCCGTGCTGGTGGTCAGTAACCAAAAGATGATGATAAGAGAAATTAAAGAGTAGTATGACTGAAGTCACAAATGTGGGGAATTACAAGAAAATTTCTTCTTCTTTTGTGCTTGGACCAGAGTAAACAAATGAGGTATTCTGCCAACATGTTATAACATCTATCTAGATTACTTTCCAGTGTGGCTCTGAATTTTAGTTAGAAACAAATGTACCCCTATATATCACTGAGGAATGGCTGAAAGTATGACTTTGGGATAGGAATCTGAACAGAAACAGGATTCATTATTTATACACTTACATGCATTTACTTTTGTAAAATAAATTATTTTTAAAAATAGACATTTTAAATGTTTGGGAACGAGATCTTTGCCAGCTTTAACGGAGTTTCCAGTTGTCTTGAAAATATGCTACAGAAATCCTAGGTTGAGTCCACTGGTTTGTAGCTCTGGAACATTGAGAACTCTATGACAGTTGGTTTAGGCTCAAGCTGGGTCAACTTCCCTTCCCTAATCTGGACCCTAGAAAAAACACATGGTGCTGACAAGATGCATGATTAGTGACTGGTGCCCATGTAGAGGCGTAGTTAAGAGCGCATACTTTGGGTCAAATCTTAGCTTAAACTGCAGCTCTGCCCTCCTTTGGCTATGTGACTTCTGAAAATCTATTTAGCTTCTTGCAGCCTCATTTGAAAAATGGAGATAATAACTAATTCATTGGGTTGTGATATGGGTTAAATGAAATAATTTATATAAAACACTTAACTAATCAGTAGAAAACATGACTGATTGAGGCCCATTCACTAGAATTTTTTTTTTTTTTACACTGGACTCTTGTCATAGATTATCAGAGGGATTGAAAAAGGAAAATTAATTCTAGATGACCTAGGTTTGTTTGTGTTAAAGCAGTAAGAAGAATCATTTAATGCTGTCATTTAGAGTACTGTTTGCAACCAGTAGTATGTGGGTGTTGCATATTAACTTCTATTACTGTGAACACGGAAGCAAATTTAGAAGTGCAGTTAGACATATAGCCTCTGCTTCAGTGAGCTGCGAGTGCACCACTGTACTCCAGTCTGGGCGACAGAGCAAGAGCCTGTCTCAAAAAAAAAAAAAAAAAAAAAGCCTCTGAAGTTGAAGCTGAGTTGCCCGGGTTCTAATCTTAACCTGACCAGTTACTAGGCTATGTGACCTTGAAGACATTTTAAAATTTCCTTTGGCATTTACTTCTTCATCTGCAAAACAGAGATAATATTACCTTCCTCATAACGTCATGGTAGAGATTAAATTAGTTAATATATTGAAGCCACATAGAACAGTGCCTGGAACTTGGTCATTGTTTGCTATTATTATTTTTGCTTTTTTACATACCAGATCTTCTTACCATGCATAGTAGACTGTGACTTTCCTAGTCTTTGTTTCTTCAGTGTATTAATTTAATGCTGATCAGCTAAATAGGATTTCTTTTCGAAGTCTGTTTTCTAAACATGCTAGTAAATCCATGGCCTCACAAGTAGTATTCGAAAAAATTCTATGGTGAACTCAGCCTAGAATGAGTGTTATATTACTGGACATTACATACATTGAGCCAAAACATTTTTTTCTAGCAAACTGTATGTCAAGATGATCATGGTAAATGGACATATGATATTGTCAAACTCCCTAAAGTATTTGAAGAGATTTATTCCGAGCCAAATATGAGTGACCATGGCCTGTGACACATCCCACAGGAGATCCTGAGAACATGTGCCCAAGGGCTACAGCTTGGTTTTATACATTTTAGGGAGATATGAGACATTAATCAAATACATTTAACATATACCTTGGTTTGGTCCAGAAAGGCAGGACAACTCAAAGTTGGGGAGGGAGGCTTCCAGGTTACAGGTAGATTTAAAAATTTTCTGATTGGGAATTGGTTGAAATAGTTATCAACAGAAAGGGATGTCTGGGTTATGATAAGAGGTTGTGGAGACCAGAGTTTTACCAGGCACATGAAGCCTCCAGGTAGCTGGCTTCAGAGAGAATAGACTGTAAATGTTTCTTATCAGACTTAAGGTCTACATTGGTGTTAATGCTGGAGAGTATCGAGAGGTATGTTGAACCCCTACTTCCCATCGGGGCTTAAACCAGTCTTTCAGTTTAAATTTTAGAGTGCCCTGGCCTAGGATGAAGTCTATTCAGATGATTGAGGGGCCTTATAATTTTATTTTTGGTTTACAATATGGATAGAAACATAGTCTTTTCAAAGCACTGTTTTCATTTGTTTTAAGGTTTAAGAATGATGATGTGGGAAAAAGAGCTGGAAGTGTGTGCACTTTTCTGGAGAAGACAGAGACAAAAAGCCATCCCCACACTGAATGTCATAGTTATGTCTTTGCAATAGATGAAGTACTTGAAAAAGTGAGGAAGACACAGAAAAGGATGTAAGTATTAATGTTTACTTAAACAAATTGGCCCCTGAAGACTAAAATATTTACAAGACACTGTCAGAAATGTTTAGAGACCTGAGCCACAAAGAGGTTCTTGTTATTGCTTCACAGTTTTTGCAAATAGAGTAAATTTGGGTGGGAGGATGGGAGGAAGGGAATCCCTCTTATACATGTAGATGGATTTCATTTAGGAATCGGGGAGGTGGGACTACAGCCTGTAAGCCTAAGGGTCAACTGGGCCTCCTAGGAGGCCCTCAGCCTACTTAACCATAACCTGCATTCATGCCCTAGGCCACAACCTGGAGGTTTCCTGGTCTGTAGAACGCTTATTCACTATTGGTGGGAGTGTAAATTAGTTCAACCATTGTGGAAGATAGTGTGGTGATTCCTCAAAGACCAAAAGACAGAAATACCATTCAACCCAGCAATCCCATTGCTGGGCGTCTACCCAAAGGAATATAAATCATTCTGTTGTAAAGATACATGCATGCATATGTTCACTGAAGCACCATTCACAATAGCAAAGACATGGAATCAACCTAGATGCCCATCAATGATAGACTGGATAAGGAAAATGTGGTACATGTACACCAAGGAATACTATGCAGCCATAAAAAAGAATGAGATTATGTCCTTTACAGGGACATTGATAGAGCTGTAGGCCATTATTCTTAGCAAACTAATGCAGGAACAGAAAACCAAATACTACATGTTCTCACTTATAAGTAGGAAGTAAATTATGAGAATACATGGACACATAGAGGGGAACAACACACACTGGGGCCTATCCGAGGGTGGAGGGTGGGAGGAAAAGGGAGAGAGAGGATCAGGAGAAATACCTAATAGGCACTAGGCTTAATACCTGGGTTATGAAATAATCTGTACAACAAACTCTCATGACCTAAGTTTACCTATATAACAAATCTGCACATGTACCATTGAACTTAAAATAAAACTTAAAAACAAAAGAATGGCCTATAGAATGAATTGCCATACCAATCGTATGCTTGGGGTAGGACTTCACTGCTGTGATTTTTTTTTCCTTTCTCCCCAAGGTCTGATTAATTCTGACAGTTCCATGGTCAAAATATTTCTTCTCTCCTTGCCATCCTCTCCATCCTCACTTACTGGCTCTGCCTTGGTTCAGGTCCTTGCCATTTGTTATTTGGCATTCTTTGGAGTCTTTCTCATGTGTAATTTCTTGTTCCAGGTTCACCTGTTCCAATGTTATTGAAATACAGGTGCTGGTCTGGTTGTTCTGTTATGGGATTCTGTTACGGGTGTTGCTTTTCTGGCCGGAAACCTCTGTGGCCAATGGCACCTTTGCTGCACACAGCCAGGCATGCTAGCTGCAGAGGGGTGGGCAGCTCCAGGCACTGTCACGGGCACCAGCTTCCTGTGAGGCTGGGGCTGGACCAGGCGTACTGCAAGCAGCTTCCACGGCTGGCATGGGGGAACATGGTGGTGCCCAGAGATGCCAGGAACTGCAGAGCCCCAAAGAAGTTATCACAGCCATGGCTTGGGGAGCTCCTAGGTCTGGCTCCCTGAAGGGCTGCAGCTCTTCTCTCCTTCTCTCTTCTCTCCAGCTCATCACCCATAACGTGGCAAGCAAGGGGTGTGTTTCAGCCCTGTTTGTGTTACAGGTCTTTTAGCCCTGCCATTCAGTGGTCCCAAGTTCTTGTCCCGTATCCAGGAAGAATGAGGTACACAGACAAGTGGAGGGTAAGCAAGGTGAAGAAGAGCTTTATTGAGAAATGGAACAGCTCAGAGGAGACCTGCAGTGGGTAGCTTCTCTCTGCAGGTGGGATGTCCCATTGAGTGTTGAGCTCTTAGCAGAGAGGAGACCCTGGAGTGGGTTGCTCCTCTCTGCAGGCAGGTAATCCCATCAAGTGCTTAGCTCTCAGTGGAGAGAAGACCCTGGAGTGGGTCACTCCTCTTTGCAGTTGGTTGCCCTGTTGAGTCCTCAGCTTTTAGCAGAGATGAGGCCCTGGAGTGGGTAGCTCCCCTCCGTAGCTGGTAATCCTGACATCTGCTCAGCTCTCAGCAGAGAGGAGACCCTGGAGTGGGTAGCTCCTCTCGGAAGCTGGTCGTCTGTTGAGTCCTCAAGTCTGGCTGAGTCTGAGGTTTATATAGGATTCAGAGGGGAAGAAGTGTGTGCTGATTGGTCCATGGGTGGCCATGGGCAGGCCTGGAGAAAGCACCGTTAAGTTCCCACTCTGGTCCACAGGACTGGCAGCCCAGCCCCCAGGTTTCAGGCCTTTCTCAGCTTGAAGGTGGGACTTCACCAGGGACCCACTCCTTTCTGCTCCGAGCCTGTCTGCCTCCTGCTGCTGTTCATGGCACCCAGGCTCTTTGTGCCAAAGGGCCGCCTGCAGGCCAGTGCCGAGCTGCTCTTAGCCCCCACTTTGGCCTCCCTCCCATGCTCACTGGCACTCAATGTCTGGAAACAGCCGAGTCAACAGGGGGCTGGCATGTCAGCGCTGTCCTGAGCGTGCACACACCTGGCTAGGTTGTGACAGCACCTAGGCTTGGCCTCAACTTTTCTCTGAGTTTGGAGTGGGTGCCAGGAGCAGGGAGAGGCCAGGCAGCAGGAGCAGACACTTCTGAGCCTGTGGAGTAGGGACTTGGAGCAGAGAGAGGCCAGGTAGTGGGAGCAGGTGCTTCCAAACCTGCAGAGGGAAGGGGGCCTTCCTGGGCCCCCGAGAGTGTGGAGATGCCTGGGTCCACAGTTGCAGCTTGGGTGGCTGCAGCTATATCTGGAAGGATGGGGCTCCTGTCCACTCCTGGCACCCAAGTGCACGGGGAGGCCCGGGTCTGCAGCCATGGCTTGGGTGGCTGCAGCTATTCCCATAAGGGCGGGGCTCCTGCCTGCTCCCAGCCCCCAAGAGCACAGGGATGCCTGGGTCTGCAGCTGCAGCTGCAGCTTGGGTGGCTACAGCTGTGCCTGGGGAAGGCGTCTCCCACCCTGTCAACTCAGAAGTGGGCAGGACTTCCACCTGTTCCCAGCTTCTGCTGGCTCCATGGAGCACGCAGCCCTGGCCTTGCCTCTCCCACTGCAGCCGGTGTCCTGGCAGCGGCCGCTCCAGATTAGCCACTGCTGCCATCAGTTCTAATGTGCACATTTAGTTAGATTGTCGTACATACAAAGTTCTTCCTTCTGAATGGCTTGGTAGGGTTGTTAATGGGTAGGCACTCACATGAATTGCTCTCCACCATCTGAATCTATGTAGCACACACTGCATCTACCTGGAGGGCCTTCCTTCCTGTTAGCTCATAAATCTGCTCATTTCCCCCACATCTTTTGTTTAAAATCTGTCTTCTCTCTGAAGTTTATAATGATTGCCTCAGATAGATCTATTACCCTTTGTCTTTTGTTCTCATTCCACTTTGAATCATTAAAGCATTTGGATTAATTATAACACTGCATTGCAGTTGTTTCCATATCTTTATTTTCTTTAGATTGGGAGTTCCCTTACCAGAACTGTGCATATTCTTCTTTGAGTCCCTCAGTAATAGCATATTGCCTGGCACATAGTAATAGTGCTTCATAAATACTTTTGAAAGACTAATTAAACCTTCCCTCAACATTTGTCTTAGTCCATAACAAGTTACCATAGACTAAGTGGCTTCTAAACAGAAACTTATTTCTCACAGTTCTGGAGGTTAGGAAGTCCAAGATCAGGATGTTGACAGAGCTGCTTCCTGGTTCATAGAGAGCTGTCTTCTCTGTGTCCTTACTTGGTGGAAGGGGCGAGGGATGTCTCTGGAGCCTCTTTTATAAGGTCGCCAATCCCATTCATGAAAACTCTGTCTTCGTGACTTAATCACCTCCTAAAGACCCCACCTTCTGATATCACAAATGGAGTTTAGGATTTCAACATATGAATTTGTTTTGAGGGGGCACAAACATTCAGTCTGTAACAATATTGAAACAACTTCCGTAGCCCTTCTAATTCAGACGTTGCCTAAAGACTAGGGCAAGCTCTCTATTGTTTCCACCACTGCTTTGATCTTCTTTCTGCTTGTTGTGTATATTTTTTGGACGTAGGGGAAGGGAAAAATACCTGGGAGAGAGATGTCGGAGCTCCAGGTCTTCTCGGTGACTGATTCTCTTCAGTCAGTCTTTTTTCAGGACTAGGAACTACATTTCAAGTTGGATGTGTAATGAATGATATGGGCCATGAAAATAAAGAGTATTTAATGGTATAATCAATTTTTCTCTTAGGCCTAGTCAGGAAGGGTCTCTGCTGTCAGCATGGATATTTAAATTACCCTTTTCTTTCTGGAACCCTCTTCATAAGACCAGAGTTACTGGGATCAGGGGATGTGCCAACTAATTCTAGACTGTGCCACACACCCCGCCCCCTTTGCTTTTCCACTGTGCTCTGGCCACTGCTCAAAAGAGATTCAGTAGCAGAAATTTTCCTGAGAAGAACTGGATATCTGTTACAGTGTGAAGGAGGAGAAATTATGCAGAGAAAATGAAGAAAATATAGAGGATTTTGCTGATGAGGGGACCTGACTTCTAGATGAAATGGTGGAAGTGCACGTGAGGAAGGGGAGACCAAGTCAGGATTGATGGAGCTACTGTCAACGTCGGATGACCAAGGGAAATCTGTGGGGCCTTAGGCTTCTTGCAGTAACTGAATATGAGTTTTCATTACTTAAAAGTTTTTTTTTTTTTTTAAATAGTAGCACTAAAAAAAACCCAAAGAAGGCTGAAAAACTGGAAAGAAAAAAAGTGTATAGAGCTGAATATATTAATTTCCTGGAGAATCTGAAGATTCTGGAAATTTCTGAGGACTGCACGTATGCTGATGTCAAAGCCCTACACACTGAAATTACCAGGAATAAAGACTCAGTACGTCAGAGAATTATTAATATAATACGTTACAGTTGTGACATTTTATCATAGTGATCGTTTAATATCTTTGAACACTGAAATGACTTGTGTAATACCTTTGAAATATGATTATCTCTGTGTGTGATTTTGTTTGTTTTGCAATGATTATCCCAATTTAATGTGCTAAAGTTCTATAAGTGACTCTTCCTTGCTCAGTGTGAATGTCAGCCTCTTATTTTATTTCACTCTATTATCCTGGATTAGTTTATAGCCTGATTCTAGAATTCAATTCAATATGATATATTTTAATTCTGGTCACGTTTGGGTTTTATGACACAATATATTTTAAATAATGTCAACTGAAAGTTTCAATTTCAGAGACCTATATAACATTCAAAACATTTCTTTAAACAGATATTGAAATATCCAAGGATGGTATGGCATTTAAACATTTTTTATTATGCAAGTAATTTATGTCCATTGCAGAAGTACTTGAAAATAGAAAATAAAAATAATGTCACAGCTCAGAGAGACTCACTGTTCTATCAGATCTTTTATTCTATTGCCTGTAGTCACAAGCATGTCCACAGTCACATAGACATTTCATGTATTTATTCGTTAATAAAATAAGGCCATATTATATACAAATTGGTCTGTAATCTCCTTTCCTCCCTTACTTATTTATTTCTTGCCAACAACAATAGAGCTACATTATTATTTTAATAGCTTCATAGTATATATTTATGTGGATGATTATAATTTATGTAACCAGTTGTCTTACTCTAGGCTGCATAGGCTATTTTTATTGTTTTTTCTTGTTCTCTTAATACATTTTTACCTTTGACATCTTTGCCAACTGCTGGATTTCCTCCTGAGGATAAATTCTTAGAAGTGAGGCTATGAGGGTATGGACATTTTTAAGGGGTTGGATATGACTTGTGAGTGGTTCAGTGAGAAGTAAGAATTGTCTGATCATCTAGAGTAGAGATCTCGCTCTGCCTTCTTGGAGAAGTCTCTCTCTCTTTGCTTGAAAAGGACTCCTAAGGTTCCAGTAGAGAAGTAGTCTGTCTCTCTCAGGCAGCAGAAGATTGTTTACTCATCTGTCCTGGGCATTTGATCTGCTGCTTCAATAGCATCTTCCCCTTTGGTTTATGAATGCCTCTTTTCTGAGAGAGTCTGTTCACAAAAATGGGCAGATTGTTTCCGTAGTCATAAAACATGTAGGTTCAGGGTCAAAGGGCAGCCTCACTGTGTGCAAGATGTAAGTGATTTGCTTGTGAAAATGTCCTTTGATTCTGATTGAGCTTGAAATTAAATAAAATACATCATCAATTGTTTTACACTTCTTTCTTGTTTTAGACTTTGGAGAGGGTATTACCGCGAGTGCGATTTACAAGACACGGCAAAGAACTGAAGGCTTTAGCACAAAGGGGGATTGGATATCATCACAGCAGCATGTATTTTAAAGAAAAAGAGTTTGTTGAGATACTCTTTGTAAAAGGGCTTATTAGGGTAGGTAAATTTCTTTGCATTTAAAAAATAAAGTTGTGCATATTATGATGCTGAATACCACTAAAAGGTAAAAAATTATACCAGTTGGTTTTCTCATCTAACCAGTGTCTTTTTATTACAACTCACTGGACTGGACTGCTCCATCTATCCCATTTATTAGAGGAGTTTAAAAATTATTTCTACGTTGAAAAATAATATTTATAATGGAGTAGTATAGCTGTGGTAATCCAGGTGTAACACTTTACTCTTTTTTTTTTTTTAATTTTTATTAGATCGAGTCTCGCTCTGTTTTCCAGGCTGGAGTGCAGTGGCGCGATCTTGGCTTACTGCAACCTCCACCTCCCAGCGTCAATCAATTTTCCTACTTTAGCCGTCCCGTGTAGCTGGGATTACAAGCGCGCACCATCATGCTCAGTTAATTTTTTTTGTATTTTATTACAGACAGGGTTTCACCATACGGGCCAGCCTGTTCTCGAACTCCTGACCTCATGATCCACCCACCTGGGGCTCCCAAAGTGCTGGGATTACAGGCGTGAGCCACTGTGCCTGGTCATAACCCTTTACTCTTTAACACTTAGTATCTAGGACACAGTTCTTACAATTTTGTCCTAGACAGCTCATAAGGATATTTATACATTTAGTATAAATGACTATACATTTGGTCAGACTATTTTCTAATGTCATACCTCAGCTAAGAGAAAGACATTTCTTTTTTAAGAATTGGAAAAAACTTGCACTAGACTAACATGTTTTAGACAGAGCTGATAGATGTGATACCTCCAAATGAACTTGGAAGAGGGTAAGGACATCTTAGATGGCTCATAGTTAAATGCTTTATGTTAACTTTTTGTTAGTATGTTTCAGAAGCTTGCAATATTCTATTTCTAGGTGGGGACAGTGTGTGAAGAGTTGTGTAGAAGGGTAGCCGTTACACTATTCAGGGTATTTATTTTGTAATCTTTTTTTTGTGAGACGGTGTCTTGCTCTGTCCCCCAGGCTGGAGTGCAGTGGCATAATCTCGGCTCACTGCAACCTCCGCCTCCTGGGTTCAAGCCATTCTCCTGCCTCATTCTCTTCAGTAGCTGGGATTACAGGCATGCACCACCACACCCAGCTAATTTTTGTATTTTTAGTAGAGACAGGGTTTCACCATGTTGGCCACGCTGGTCTCAAACTCCTGACCTCAGGTAATCAGCCCACCTCAGCCTCCCGAAATGCTGGTATTACAGGCGTGAGCCACCATGCCCAGCCATTTTTGTAATCTTAAGAAGAGTGAGGAGTATTAGATATCATAAATAAAAGTTGTTTCTTGCTGTTTATAAAAATAAAATATTGTGAACAACTCTGCTCAGTTTTCATATCTGTATCATTTATTTGTCATTTTAAAGGACAAATAACCAGAAAAGTTTTCATAAAGGTTATTAATTATGGGCAAAGGTCACTCCAATTTTGTTCATCACAGTCAGTGTTGTAGACCTTGTCACATAGTAGTGGCTCAATAAAAGTTAATGAGTGAGTAAATGAATGAATATATAAATGAATGAATAGCCATATTGTTATAAAAGTGTTATTCTGAGACTGTGGGAGCTTGCTACACGGAACACTTTTTTTTTTTTTTTTTTTTGAGACAGAGTTTCACTCTTGTTGCCCAGGCTGGAGTGCAATGGTTTAATCTCGGCTCGCTGCAACGTCCGTCTCCAGGGTTCAAGCAATTCTGCCTCTGCCTCCTGAGTAGTTGGGATTACAGGCATGTGCCACCATGCCTGGCTAATTTTGTATTTTTAATAGAGGCAGGGTTTCTCCATGTTGGTCAGGCTGGTCTCGAACTCCTCACCTCAGGTGATCGGCCTGCCTTGGCCTCCCAAAGTGCTGAAGTTACAGGCGTGAGCCACTACACTTGGCCAGAACACTTTTTTTTTTCTAAATGATACTCATTATGGCTAAATTCTAAAGTTTGGTGATTTGAGCCTTTCATTTTTATTGATGAACTTTTACAGATGAACCAATAATGGGTTGAATTTGGATGGGTTTATAAATATCAATTAGAAAGTCTTTTTGCTCACTCTTTATCATTAAATAATTGAAATAATTATGGCACAGGTTAATATTAGTGTATTTGACAGGAAGAGAGAGCAGCTATATGCACCTAGCATTACATAGGTGATTGGGCACATAACTGATATTAAGAGAGTAAATAAGAAGGAAAATGTAACTTTATTATCCTTCAATTAATTAGATCAGTTAGCTGTTTGGATAAAACCTCCATAAACAAACATGAGAATAAGAGAAGGTGGTTGTCCAGAGTACGTAAGACAAAACATTATTACCCTATCTTAAGGAAAATTTGTATGCTTGTTGTTCATTCATTCATGCAGTTATTGGACACATATTTATTGTGCATCTGCTGTGTGTCCAATACTCTTCCAGGTGTTGAGGATACAGCAGTGGCCAAGAGAGATCAATGCCCATGTCCTCATGATACTTAAGGTCTTGGGGGGACAAGTAAACATGGTTATTTTAGAAACGATGGTGCAGGAAGTCTTTTTGGACATTTATATAGAGATCAGAAAAAGCCTGCAAATGGAGATTTGGGGAAAATGATTTTAGGGTGAGCAAATGGCAACAGTTAGGATGCTGAAGTAGCAATGTTCTTTGAATAATCAGGCAGTTGCAAGAACAGTAGGGTTAGTATGTTAGTTTTAATGACATGTGGTTTGTTAAAGCTCTAAGAGTTGTTCAGTGACTGGAGTGGAAAATAGATCTTGTGTCCTTATAGATATGCTATATTGTGTATTGACTGTTTTTTTTTTTTTTTCCTAGGTAGTGACAGCTACTGAAACACTTGCCTTAGGGATCCACATGCCATGCAAATCTGTTGTTTTTGCCCAAGACTCAGTCTATCTGGATGCTTTAAATTACAGACAGGTAACTCTCTGACTCTTTAACTCCCATTGCTGAAAGCTGAGTTTGAAATAATGAACCATGTGGCACTCACATCTGGTAACAGGCTACGGTTTGTGTCCTTCCTTTTACTTTCTATGTGGCATAGCATTTTTGAGTTGAGTGGCCTCATATCTTGTTGCTTCATTTTGTGTGATCTATCTGTTGTTACTACTTTTTCATAGTTAGGGTTTATTGGCTTAATAATCTTAATGTATTTCAGTTTTTAGTGTAGTTTTTATATTTCTTGAGAAATGTACAGCTGTTCTGATTCTTGATCCTTTATAGTGCTCCTTTATTTTATTTTTCCGGGAGTATGTAAAATGGTCTGAAATTCCTTGCGTTAGCTGTTTCCTTTAATTTGCCTTTCTCTGTGTGTGGCACTTGGTATTATCAATTCCTGGGTCTTTTGGGAATCCTGTCATTTAAATTAGGTAGGTTTTGACTTCCTTACTTGAAGTTTAGTATTGAGTAATTAGGAGTCATTGACCACCTGTTTTCCAAATTCCAAGCCTTTAATACCATTCACCTTCTTGGGAGTATGCTTTTTTTTTAAAAAGGTTTTTGTTATCATTTTAGTGGAATTTCTGGAGTGAGAAATGTTACTCGGAGGTCTCCAGATAACTTTTTAAAAATCAAGGATAAAAATATGTCTGTATTATAAGGCGAGGGAGGAAAGAGAGATAAATGAAACAAAAACAAGGTTGAGAGTGAGAAAAATAAAAATAAAAGAGAAGGGCTATATAACAGAGATTTAGACACAAAGACAAAGATGTTATACCTGAGAGTCTTCTCATTTCCTTATATGACATCCTATATGTGATATATATTGTAAGTCAAAGGGAAGAAAAATCACCTCCTCTCTATACACTGCTAAAAAAAAAACTGACAATAATCTTTGCCTAGTCTCGAAATATAAAAGATAAATTATAAAATATAAATTTTATCATTTTGCTTATTCTTGAAATTTTCCTCTTTTCTTATTCAAATTTAGATCATGTGAACTCTCCTAGACTGGAATATGAAGACTGTGATTTTACAGAGAAAAGGAGTTTATCTCCATTTCATGACCTTTTAGGATGTTGCTGTTTCAACTTTAAAAGCCATATTTTCCTTTTCTCAAGTATAGCTATAGACCATATCACCTTTTACCATGTTCTGTTATGAAAAACAGGAAGTCCCTGAGCTGGAATTTTTCAGTCTTTCTCTTTTTCATGTAGAGAGCAAAGTTTCTCTTAAGGGACTTTTGTTTCCTTCAGAATTATGGTCTCCTTTTTTCTCTTCCTTGCCAAAATCACTAGTTTGGAAGAAATCCAACATCATTTATTTACTATGGACCACAATGAGAGTGGAACTACTTTGTTATCCTGCCCTGATGACTTAGCATTATCTCCTAGGACAGAATAAAATATACTTTCTCTGTGAATGGATTTTATTTGTTTCTCGAGGGTCAGGTGGCAGACCTTTCTGGGAATTGCCCCTTGCACTTACATCCCTCAACAACCACCTCATCATCCCAAATGTCAGGTTGTCTCTGTCTAGAGAAATGCACTTAAAACAGAATTGTATTTCCATATTATTTCTATGTTATTTACAATTTGTCTAGAAGGATTTGTCATACAATGAGAACCAGAAAATGTTAGTTCTACTGCTTGCACTTTCGTACCAAAAGTATTTCATGCATCTCAGTTTTGTCATGATCTTATAGCTACAGCCTTGGTTTAGCTGTCATTATTTTGACTTCATGTCAGTATTTTGACACATCTTCCAACTAGAAGTAAGCATTTACTATGTTTTATACTTAAAAGTTTTAAAAAAGAAAATCTACCTGTGGATTTATGTTTCTCACTCAATAACTAAGTTATTATTTAGAAATATAAATAGAAAATTCAGTCTCCAAAGCTGGTTTCCCAGGAACTGACTTCAGTGACTTTGTCCAGCTGTATCAGAATCTTGTTCTTTCTCTAGATCTATTTGAATATGTGGCATGAAGCTATGCACCTTCCTTCCTTCTAGTGCTTTCTTTGATAGAGGAATCTAGTCTCATGGGAGTGTGATTTTTCCTAGCACAGCAGGTAATACAGACCCCTGAACTATGTATTTTATATTAGCTCTTGAAAGCAAATAATACGCTTTCCTGTATTAATTGAAAAAAATGATATGGATTTTCTGCTAACATGCCATTTTCTCCTTTTGGTCTTTCCATTTTCTATCTTTCAAAATATACTCATTTATATATTCCCTCAAATGGCATTTATTATGAGTCAAATACATGTCATGACCTGCTCCTAGGTGTTGTCCTCATGTCACTCAATCTTCGTAGGACTTTATTGCCTGTAAAATAAAGAGAATACTTGTTAGCTTCACCTTCCTGGCTTTTCTTCAACAATCAAGGAGAGCAGATTACACAAGGCTGTGAATAGCAGGAAGCTGTGATTATTAGAATCATTGGGAGCAGCCACTGAGAAAGCTGCCTACCACAGTCTGCTGCCTGGGTCCCAATGAGTCACTTCTTTCCCATAAGCAAAAACACATTCACTGCCTCCCAGGGACTCCAAAAGTCTCCTTATTGGCATACTCCTGGGATTGCTCTAGTTATCAGAATGCCCTTATTGCTATCACAGTCTCTTGGTATCCTTTCCTGGGCCTCTTCACCACCATGTCAGCATTACCTTGATTCTGCCTACATTCAAACCAGCCTGTTGCCCTGCCCCTCCCCTGCTGGGACTGCTCACCACCACACTGGTGGCCTGGCTCAAGTCTTGCCTCAGGTACCTATGTGCTAGATCTTCACAGTGCTTCTGAAGGAGTATGTATAATGATTAATATGGGGGAATCTGGTCCTAGATTCCCTAGGCTTAACTCTTTGCCATATTCTTTACTAGCTGTGCAACTACGGACAAGTTAGTTAATTTCTCAGGTGTCAGTTTCTCAATCTGTACGATGGTGACAATAATTATATTTTAGAAAGTTATTATGAGGACTAACTGAAAAATGTACACCACTCAGAACTGTGCACAGCACATAGTAAGTGCTCAATGAATGCCAGCTGTTATTAGTAGGGCCCTTTGCATCCTGATCACCATGTGATTTTTTAAAAATATATATATTTATTTCTTGTTCTTTCCTAGTGAGAACCTTCTGGCACAAATTGTTTTAGTAATTGACCTCTCATTTCTGCTATGCCTTGTTCATCAGGACATTTGCTCTCCTTCTTCCTCTTAGAGACTTTTCCTTCTTTCCCCTGATTGAAATCCTAGCCCTTTACAAGGGTCTGATTGAACTGTCCTTATATGTTTTCTTTGAAGTCTTCTTTGATTACTCCAGCTTTGGGGAAATGTGATTGCGCTTGTTCTTTCACTGTTCTTGTTATGTGCTCTTGTAAATTCCATTAAGGAATTTGTATCTCAAATAGCAATTAGCATGGGGATGACAAGAGATGCTGAAGGTATTTGTGGAACTGATGATTTCTTCTGTACAATGTGCGTCCATCTATGCCAGGCTGTCATTTTCAGTTGTGGTATAATGGAAACCATGATAATGGAAAATCTGTGGACATGAGGTGATTATTGCCAAACAGATGTGAGACTTCAGATGAGATATCTGAACTGCTGGATCTTCCTTCACTGTCTCCAGAATGGCTGTGATAATCACTACCCCACAGCCCATGTGAGGATTAAGTGAAATAGGAAAGAGACACATTAAAGGTCCTTAATAAACATTTCCTTCTTCATTTGCCGTGCCCACTTTTTCACTCCGGAGTCATCTTTAATGCTTTTCTCTCCTTTGCTTTTGATGCTTAATCTATTACACAGATCGTCCAATTACTTTTCTGCAGTGGTGTCCTCAGATTTCTGTATCACAATTTCTGTAGCCAGCATCCTTCTTCCTTCATTCTTTACCCAGGGCTATTATAAGAGTGTTAACAAAAGGATATGAGATCTGCAGAGGCAAAACAGAGTTTTATTTTCTATAAAAAACAATCTGCAGATTGGAGAAACTCAGCCTTTGCTGTAAGTGAAAGTGGGCTCTTCAAAGAACAAAGGGAGGGTCTGGCCTAAATAGGGAAAGTTCTCAGCCTTGTTTTCAATCAGATCCTTTGTTTGCAAATGAAGGATTCAAACTTCTTCCTTTCTGATTGGTTGAAATAGTTGAGCTCTGACTGAGTGGTTTCCAAGCTCCGAACCAGAAGTTTCCATCAGATGTTTCTTTCAAACAGCTAGGAGTGGAGATTTCCAACCACAGTTTATCTTGGCACCACCAACAGCAGCTGGTTTGGCTTGATCGTAGGAAGCATCCTTTGACACCTTTACATCTTTCTGAGAACACAGCATGCATGACCACTCCCTCACCCTGCCGTGACTGCCTAGTTCTGTTTTACCTTTGAGCACCTCAGCCACAGGAGTCCATTCTGTCTGTTGGCCAGGGGCATACTTTAACAGTCCTCCTGGTTATGATTTGCCCGTATTCTATTCTGTGCTGTAGATGATGGATAGCATCGTTTTTCTTCATGTCATTTTCTGGCAAGGGAATATTTGATGGCTAATTCTACTCTAGGGTCAAATATAGAAGTGTTGGCAATATTCAAGCCCTTTATCAATAAAATTCCTTTTGCTCTCTATCTAAAATATGTATATTCTTATGCTCATGAACATTTATCCTAATCAATCTAATCTTCTTACTGTTTCTAACCATCTTTCTAATCTCTGTCTTCTTGCTTTTTTCTTCTCTGCTGTCATTGTTTCGCATGGGTTGTCTACCACGTAATCTTCAGGAATCTCATTTTTAGGATTCCCAGAGGCAGGCTCACCTGGCCCTTGGGGACGTGACTTTGATTAAAAAAACATCAGGGATTAGTTGAATCTGCTACTTCTCAGTTGTTGGATTGTGGCTAAGTTACTTAGGTTCTCTGCGCTCACTTTTCTTATCTTTGTTCTTTTTTTTTTTTTCAACATCATATTAGAAGTCCTTCTTTATCTTTAAATGGGGCTGACAATACTCTGTACCTCACTGGATTATTATGAAGACCGCCTAAAACTAATTTATATAAAGGGCCCAGCACATATTAAGCATTGAATAAATGGCTGTTACTTCTTCTGCAAATAGTTGGTCCTTGACATACCTCTTCCACGAAGCCTTTCAAAATGTTGTCTCTTTCAATAAATTTACTTGATTTGTATCTCAAGGAGCTTAGGCACACTTTTTAAATTTCATTACTTTTAACTCTATTTGTTAAAAGAGTTAGAGAAAATGGCTTAAATAGGGAACAGTTGCTGTTGGTGGTGCCAAGTGTGGTTGGAATTCCCCGCTTCCAGCCGTTTGAAAGAAACATCCGGCAGACTCTTCTAGTTTGGAGCTTGAAACCACCCAGTCAGGGCTCAACTATTTCAACCAAGCAGAACTGAAGAAGTTTGAATCCTTCATTTGCAAATGAAGGATCTGATTGAAAACAAGGCTGAGAACTTTCCCTATTCAAGACACTCTCTAGTTCTATTCCTCCCTCTCTCTCTCCCCTTCTCCCTTTCCCTCTCCCTCCCTCCCTCTATCCCTCTATCACTCCCTCCCTCTCTCCTTCTCTTTGTGTGTGTGTGTGGTGAGAAAGAGTGGGGGTATATGGACTCTAAGCTCCTTTAGAGCAGATTCCATTTGTGTTTCTTTTACGTATCATCTTACCATCCCTAGTACAGTTGTCTGCATGATAGGGAATACCTGTTAATGACTCTGCCTCTGAATATGAGCAAAACGCAAACTGCTTTTTCTATTCTGTCACTCTATAATAATCACTACAATCAACACAGAAGACTTCTGTGACCAAATGTGTGGGGATTTCTGCTCACCACCGAGTGAGCAGTCAATTCTGCAGCTCAATTCAATTCCACATTACCTACCTGAAGATAGCATCGGATTCCACACATTGAGGGCTCAGTCCCCAAGACTGCCTCCTCTTCAGACACCAGTCACAAGTGCAGTCCTCTGGAACTTATGACCAACTGGCTTCAAGTTGGGGTTCCCATGACCCCCTCTTTGAGTTTAGTTAATTTTCTAGAGTGGCTCATGGAACTCAGAAACACTTATATTTATCAGTTTATTATGAAGGATATTATAAAGGATACAGAAGAGCTGTGAGGGCAAGGTATGGGTCAAGGGGCACGGAGCTTCCATGCCCTCTGAGGGCACACCACCCTCCAGGAAACTCCGTGTATTCAGCTGTGTGGAAGCTCTTTGAGACAGTCCCTTTAGGTTTTTATGGAAACTTCACTACACAGGCCTGAAGAATTAAACCATTAGCCACTGGTGATAAACTTAACCTTGAGCCCTTCTCCCTTCCCCAGAAATTGCGAGGAGGGGCTGAAAGTCCCAATCCTCTAATCATGCCTTGGTCTTTCTGGTGACCAGTCCCCGTCCTGAAGCTGCCTAGAGACTGCCAGCTATCAGCCAACTCATTCACATACAGATATTGGAGAGTCCAAGGATTTTATGAGTCATATGCCAGCAACTGGGGCCAAAGACCAAATATATATCACAATGCCTCCTTATCTCTTTTGCCCAGCCACACTGTATTTTTTAAGTGCCATGTTAACATAGATTAGTTTCAGGACTAAATACACAATTTAACACAATCCCGGATAACAAGTGTAAAGTCATAAATCTTTGGACTTCATAGGATAATTATCTGTGGAGGTTTTACATTGTGATTCTTTGCTGCTTCCAGATGTCTGGTCGTGCTGGAAGAAGAGGTCAAGACCTGCTTGGAAATGTGTATTTCTTTGATATCCCATTGCCCAAAATAAAAAGACTCCTTGCATCCAGTGTTCCTGAGCTGAGAGGACAGTTCCCTCTCAGCATAACCCTGGTCCTGCGACTCATGCTGCTGGCTTCCAAGGGAGATGACCCAGAGGATGCCAAGGCAAAGGTACCGTGCTGGACACTGCCTGAGGTTCAGTCTTCATCACTGGCCTGGCTCTAGTCAGGTCTGCTGCTCTTTTAGAAGTCTGTCTTGAGAAAGAAAATAAACTTTCTTTTTGTTTGATTGTTTTGGAGACAGGGTCTTGCTGTGTCATCTAGGCTGGAGTGCAGTGGTACAATCATGGTTTACTGCAGCCTTAATCACCTGGGCTCAAGTGATCTTCCCATCTCAGCATCCCAAGTAGCTGGGACTACAGGTGTACACCACCATGCCCAGCTAATTTTTATTTTATTTTTTTGTGTAGAGGTGAGGGCTCACTGTTGCCCAGGCTGGTCTCAAACTCCTGGGCTCAAGCAATCCACCCACTGTATTAGGGTTCTGTAGAGTGACAGAACTAATAGGATAGATATATGTATAAAGAAGAGTTTATTAAGTATTAACTCACATGATCACAAGGACCCATAATAGGCCATCTGCAAGCTGAGGAGCAAGGAAGCCAGTCTGAGTCCCAAAATGAAAGAACTTGGAGTCTGATGCTCAAGGGCAGGAAGTATCCAGCACAGGAGAAAGATGTAGTTTGGGAGACTAAGTCAGTCTAGCCTTTTCATTTTTTCTGCCTGCTTTATATTCTGGCCATGCTGGCAGCTGATTAGATGGTGCCCACCCACATTAAGGGTGGGTCTGCCTTTCCCAGCCCACTGAGTCAAATGTTAATCTCCTTTGGCAACACGCTCAAAGACACACCTAGGATCAATACTTTGAATGCTTCAATCCAATCAAGTTGACACTCAGTGTTAACCATCACACCTGCCTTGGCCTCCCAGAATGTTGAGATTACAGGTGTGAACCAGTGCACTTGGCCAAGAAACTTTTTATCTGAGGAATGTGAGTGCCCTTTAATTATCAGGCCCAGAGAGGCATTGGAGTGTGACAGGGTGTGACAGCAGTCATGTCTCACTCCCCTCGTGAGCTAAATAATTACCTCTTGAAGCCACTTCCTATGTGAACTCTAGGCTAACTGACATGAAGTAGCCATAAAACACCATACATTGGACACCATACCTCATTCCTTGTAGTTCAACAATGTATAGCCAATCACAAATCAATGTTATTTCTGTAAAACTGTGAGAACTCCTGTCAAAAAACTTTGTATCAGCCCACTTCTTGTCCCCTTTTGCCTTTAAAAATCTACTTGTAGCAAAGGCTGAGCAGAATACTTTTTGGGACAACTTGGAAGTGTGTCTGTCCCAGACAGCTGTCTTCAACCTTGGCCCAAATGAACTCTCTATATTAATTTTGCCCCAGTATTTTTCACGTCAACAGTAGCAATAGCTCTTCAGTTTCATCACTCTTTTAATGCTTTGCATTTTCTTGATTATTATATGTTTCTTCAGGACAGAAAAAAATAATTTTGTTTTACCACCAAAGACCATAAGGCATTAAGAATTACCAGGGTTATTTTAATGTGTGAAAAGCAATATAGTATAGTGGTTGAATATTGGCTATAGACTCATAAAGGTCTGGAATAGGTCCCTGGTTCAATTATTTACTGACTATTTAACTTTAATAAGGCAATTACATTTTCCTAAATCTCAGAACTGTCAGCTACAAAATGGCAATAACAACCACTATAAATTATAGTTAATGCAAGTCAAGGACTTCTTAGCATCATATTCGATGAGTAGTAAACACATAAATGCTAGCTATTATTGTTTGTAGTCTCAGGTCTTATGATTTTAGTTTTAGGTTTTTTTTGTTTTGCTTTAGTGTTCATTAAAGAGAAGAATGGGAAAAGCACTTGCTAACTTTTTCATTCTTTTTATATGTTGATTTTTACTTTTTCCTTTATAAAGGAAGTCAAGTATGAGTGAAAACTGATAATATAACTTGTTTTTGACTGTCTATATATTTTTTGTGGAAAAATAGATTTGCTTCTACCTTAAATTCTGTTATGTTGTCAGCATTTGCCACTTAATTAATTAGATCAATATGAAATTTTTACATTAAAGAATTATTAGAAGAATTATAAGTGAAATGAAAGATTGAATGTATTCTCAAATGTGTCACTCTTAATTCCAGATAAAAATGAGGAAAACAGTATTGCTGTATTAAAAATAAAAATTATATTTTAAATATAAAATAACCTGTTTATAAAAGTTTATTTGGAACCATAGAAAAGCTGAAAGAAGGAAAAATCACCCATACCTAGTTCCACTACTCACTTGATCTTAGCCAAAAGGCCAAGAAGCGATAGTTCCACTACTCAAAGGAAACTGCTTTATTATTTTGGTATATTTCTTCCAGTCTTTTCTACCTAAATGTGGGTAAGTGTTTGCTTTTTAAAGAATGGATGCAGTTATGTTGAACTAGATGTCAGAATTTGGTAAATTTGCCTGAGGTTTTCAATCAGAACAATTTTGGGGGATGTAACCCCATGTTGAGTAATATATAATTCACATTAAAATTTAAATTTAATAAAATATCATTGTAAGGTTACCAAGTTTTCCATATTCTTATATATTCATTATCATGGCCAGTTACGTCAGATTCCACTTGCCAAGACAAAGAGTCTTCCCAGAACCCTGTAATGAGTCAGGTGTGTGCCTTTTGATAGTCACAGAGAACAGCGACACCCAGTTCTATGTAAAAGTGGCCCCATTCTTGGTTTTGATTACTCTCCCAGGAAGAGAGAGTAGTACACTTTAAAGGTTTTTGTTATTGTTTTTCATATAATAACGTTTGTGAGGGTGGCATATTTTCTGGGCTCCTGCGTATTTGAGGAGATTTTTTCTTTTGTAGTAAGGACAATTTAACCTGGCATAAATTTTTTGGATTTGAGCCATTAGTCTTCAGAATTGTCGATGCTTCATTTTCTTTGGCATCTACTGTTGTGGAGATATAATCTGTGGCCCTACTGATTGCTGTTTTCTTGTAGGTCACTTGACTTTTTCTGCCCATGTATATGGATCCTTTTCTTTATTCTTATATGTTACTTTTTTAGGAGAAGTTTCTAGTTATAGTTTTTTTTTTTAAAAAAAATTGATAGTGTTTATCATATTCAGAACCTTTTCAATTTATCACATTCAAGTTGTTTTTGAAGAAGTATATTTATTAAATTAGATTTTTAATTTGATTTCTATTTTAATTGCTTTGGTTTCTTTATTAGAAAAAGTTTCACTGGCTGGGTATGGTGGCATATACCTGTAGTCCCAGCTATTTGGGAGGCTGAGGCAGGAGGATCACTTGAGTCCAGGAGTTTGAGGTTGCAGTGAGCTATGACCTACTGCACTCCAGCCTGTGATGGGAGGGAATGCTGCAAAGGTCTCTGAAATGTCTGTGAGGACTTTTCCAATTGTCTTGACTATCAGCATTTGCCTTCCTTTTAGTTATACAAATACATGCAGGCTGCTTGAATTCCTGCCCAGAAAATAGGCTTTTCTTTTCTGCCACATGGCTAGGCTGCATATTTTTCAGATTTATACTCTGCTTCCCTTTCAAATACAAGTTCTAGTTTCAGGTGATTTCTTTGCTAACACATATGCGCATAGGTTGATAGAAGCAGCCAGGCTACATCTTGAACACTTTGCTACTTAGAAATTTATTTCTGCCACATACCCTAAATCATCTCTTTCAAGTTCAAAGTTCTACAGTTCCCTAGAGCAGGAGCACAATGCAGCTAACCTCTTTGCTAACACTTAACAAAATTGACCTTTGCTCCAGTTCCCAATAAGTTCTTCATCTCCATCTGAGACCTCATTAGCCTGGACTTCATTGTCCATATTACTATTAGCATTTTGATCACAACAGTTTAACAAGTCTTTAGGATCCAAACTTTCCCTCATCTTCCTGTCTTCTTCTGAGCCCTCCACAAAATTCCAACCTCTGTCCACTATGCAGTTCCAAAATCGCTTCCACATTTTCAGATATCTTTATAGCAGTGCCCCACTCCTCAGTATCAACTTCCTGTATTAGTTCATTCTCACGCTGCTATACAGAGACACTTGAGACTGGGTAATTTATAAAGAAAAGACATTTTATTGGCTTATGGTTCTGCAGGCTGTACAGGAAGCATAAGTAGCTTCTGCTTCTGGGTAGGCCTCAGGAAACTTTCAATCATGTCAGAAAGTGAAGCAGAAGTAGGCCGTGTGTTACATGCATGGCTGGAGCAGGAGGAAGAGAGGTAGAGGGGAGGTGCTACACACTTTTAAACAACCAGATCTCATGATAACTCACTATCATGAGAACAGCACCAGAGGGGAAATTCACCTCCATGATCCAATCACCTCCAATCAGGCCCCACCTCCAACACTGGGGATTACAATTTGACATGAAATTTGGGTGATGACACAGATCCAAATATTTCCATTCTGTTGACTGCAATCTACCTAATTCCATTAGGTTTAATGGGATAACTCAAGATTCAGAACAATATAATTACTCTATTTACCTTTAGAATGGCCTAAGACAACTAATCTTGTAAGCCGGATTGGCTTTCATACTTCATTTTTTCAGGCCACTATTGGTCACCACTGTTTCAGGGATTTAGCAGATTATTTGCCAGTCTGGGTTATGTATAACAGTTCTGCTTTATATGATGTATTTAATTCAAGGAAGCATGTGCCATGTGAAGATACAATCAAAGAGATAATATGAAATCAAATGAAATTTACTTTCACGTAAGATCTGGTAACCTTATCTATATAGTATGTATGTGTACTATTTATTACATATCAGTATTTACAAATACTGTTTAAAACTAGATAAATTAAAGTACTCTTCTTTTATAGGTGTTGTCAGTGCTAAAGCATTCATTGCTGTCTTTTAAGAGACGAAGAGCCATGGAGACTTTGAAACTTTACTTTTTGTTTTCCTTGCAGCTCCTTATCAAAGAGGTATCATCGTGCTTTGGCTTTTTGTTCTCTGTAACTAGTACCGTGTAAACTTCTTTCTATGCTAAACCAACTGAAATTTCTATAATCTGCATTCAATGATAATGTTACTTATCATTTATTAATAAATGAAGTCAGGTAATATTTGTCAGTCACTCACACTGGTATTTTATGGTATTTGAGTACATGACAAGTTAAATCAACTTTTTGTTTCTCATTTTTAGGACTATTTAAATAAAAAGGGTAATCCAAAGAAATTTGCAGGACTTGCATCATATTTGCATGGTCATGAACCTTCAAATCTTGTTTTTGTAAATTTTCTCAAGAGAGGCCTTTTCCATAATCTCTGTAAGCCAGCCTGGAAAGGTAAGCTTGGGTTTTATACCTGTAGTCGAAAAATGGCAACATATTTATTGAATAGCCAAAACCGCAGATATGTTTTTCTCTTCTTCCTCCTTCTCATTTATTAAAGCAAATAAATACTAAGTATATGTTCAGATTTACAGATGCCAAAAAATTAGACACTAAAAGTCAACTGATATTTATTCTAATAAAGAGTATTTGAGGGCTACTTATATATTACTTAACTGATAAAGAATATTTGCAGAAGAGAAAACGGAGAAGCATAGAAAGACAATAAGTTTCTGATGGTCATATGATTTTAGTATGCTTCAGAGCCCAGTTAATTAAACCTAGCCACCTTTTAATGCCCACAGTATGGTGCTCATGCGTTATGGGGAGTGGAGAGTAGGTCAAGATGACCAGAACCTAGAGCTAGTGTTTAGAAGTGTTGGTAGGTAAGTTTGGAAGCTTTGTTTTGACAGGATTTGAAACACCCTAAAGAGCAGGCCAAGGAACCTGGATTTTTCAATTAGCCGTTGAGATACCCTCAAAGGTTTTTGAGTAAAGGAGGGATATGTTTATATTCATGCTTTGGAAAGGCTGATCACTCTCAAGATGGCCTGAAGAAAGGAGAGTGCAAGTCAGGAAACCAGTTAGTAAACATTCTGGGGTGGGAACTAGGGCGGGTATAGCAAGGATGGAAAAACAAGGCACAGAATATAAAATCTCCTGTCTTACCCAAAAAAATAAATGTGCACATAGTATTGCAAATATGGTCAATTTCTGAGGTATATATTTGCTAGAAAATTTTGCCTTCAACAAAAGGAAATGTACTATAAAAACAAATTTAGGCAGAAAATAAATGGAATCAACATTATTCTTATTTATAATAATGCTCTTTATTTCAATAGGCTCACAACAATTTTCCCAAGATGTGATGGAAAAGCTCGTGTTAGTATTGGCAAATTTGTTTGGAAGAAAATATATTCCAGCAAAATTCCAAAATGCTAATTTAAGTTTTTCTCAGTCAAAGGTAAAGTTTGTTATACTTACAATGATATAATAATGATAGTTATTAAATGTATGCTACTGGAAAGCATTCAGTACCTATAGGGTTAAATTAATATAAGCTACTCCATTTGTTTTAATAGTGTTGTCTTTTCATAATTAGAGTTCTATTTAATTTTTAGTTCAAACATCTTCCCCTGCTAATCTAACAAACAATTCTTATCCCTAAAGTTTTTTCACTTTATTGGAGCAAATTATGTAATTCAGTAGCAACAGAGATTACATACACAAATAGTCATTTAAATAGAATGACAGCCCTACTGCTGAACCTATAGTTCCATTGGGATTGTTTACAGCTAGGGATGGGAGTGCAGGGAAGGAATTACATTATGACCTCTAATGTCCTCTTCAGACAATATTGAGGTGGTCACCTAAGAAAGAATCCCCTAACTTAAGGGTTGAGAGACTGAAAGAAAAATTATTTTCTAAGTTTTTTTGTAACACTGTTTGTTTCCAATTTCTTATTTTTTTAAAGACACAACAACAAAATAATAACAAGCAAACAGAACCCAAGAAAATGTGCATTAGAACCTGGGAATGTAGAAGAAGCTTGTTTCTATCCAGTAACCCTAGTGAATAGAGAACAAAAAGGTAATTAGCATTAATCTAGGCTTTCTGACCTCACAATGCCTCTGGATATACCTCCAGACCTGAGCACCCAATTTTAGTTACTGACATATATCCACATTGCAAACCACTGGAACTGTTAATCATTTTCTTAAATGCATACACATTTTAAAGTATTTAAAAAGGAAACTTCATATTTACTACTACTGTAAATAGAAAGCCAGGATCTTTGATTTCAAAACTAAGGAAGCCATAAAAATAGATGCAGTTAACATGGTTCTCAGCTGAAGCTTCTCTCTCTTTGCTACAAAAAGAGATTATAAACTTTTAGAGAAACAATGGTGGTCTATTGCCTCTGGACTTTCTAGGGTTATCAGAAAGAATAGAAGAGGACTGGAAAGAAGATATTTTTATTTATTTATTTATTTATTTATTTATTTATTTATTTATTTATTTATTTGAGACAGAGTCTTGCTCACTCACCCAGGCTAGAGTGCAGTGGCGCAATCTCAGCTCACTGCAACTTCCACCTCCCAGGTTCAAGCCATTCTCCTGCCTCAGCCTCCCAAGTAGCTGGGATTACAGGCTTCGCCACCACGCTTGGCTAATTTTTTTGTATTTTTAGTACAGTTGAGGTTTCATCAGGTTGGCCAGGTTGGTTTTAAACTCCTGACCTCAAGTGATGCGCCCGCCTTGGCTTCCCAAAGTGGTGGGATTACAGGCATGAGCCACCATGCCCAGCCCACTTTTTATTTTTTAAAACTGATGTATAATTACTCAATGTTCTGTGTGTCACACTAAATCATCTCATGTACCTCTTATATTATGTACCATAATTTGGGATAACTGCTCTATATTAGTCAATTAGCAAAGATTTATTGAGCAATAAATATGTGTAAACTATAGCAAAAATCATGATTGGGAAACATAGTTGCTACCTTCCAAGAGCTTGCTCTCCTGATGGGGCTGTATAGCATACACATTCGAGAAGGTGGCAAACAACACAAGGTGTACATGGTAAGCAGCACGTGCTGCCCTAGAACGGTGTCCAGCAGTGGCACAATGGCAGGACATGGAAGGCATAGCAGTAAAGAGACCATATCACTTTGACCAGAGTGTAGAGCTGCACCTGTCAATTTATTCTTTTGTCTTGGTCCATCCACAGATGGAGCTGAGTCCGAAGTAGGCTTGTGGAAATTGTCATACTATCCACTGTAAGGAGTTGGTAGGGGCATTCTTTATTATGTCCACACGGTTGCCTTTTGTAAGAATCCCCCTGGAAAATTCTTACCTGATATTAGTGCTGAGAATAAATAGCTGTTTATCTCATAGACATTCTGAAATGTGTCATTCACACTTGCTCCTAGGAATCTTGGAATATAATTTGTGCCCCATTTTAGTCTCTTTCTTGTTTTTCTTTCCTTTTTACCAAATTTTGATTTATATGATCATATTGTATTATCTTTACCCTTATAAAATACCTCAATTATTGGAAAAGTACAGGTTATGAATAAATTAAGGAAAATATCAAATAAATAATAAAACCCATAATTGTAACAGAAGAAAACCAAGAACATTTCTAATGTCATAGCTATTTCTAACTCACACTAAAGAAACTTCTAGTCCTAATTCTGAAAGAATTTGTTTTTAAACATGAAATTTGGAAGCTGAGTTAGCTTGCAATACCAGCTACTTCTCTATCTACTACCTGTCAGGTTTGGAACAAGTTTACCTCTGTGAGGGTTAGCTCCCTCATGTACAAAATGTAGATGAAAATGTTTACTGCATAGGGTTGTTCTCAGGATTAACTGAGCTAACATATAACAAGTGCTTGGGGCAGCAAAGCACAGTGTTGGCACATAATCTGAACTCAATAAAGCATTGACGCTACTACTGCTACACTAACTTGTTACTTGCTCTCTAAATATGTCCCTCAAGTCTCTGAAATATACCTAAGTTTAAGATCAGTGTAGGACATGTTTCTATTAAATTGGTGGTTTTGGCTAAGTGGAGTCAAAATAACTTTTTTAAGGAAAGATACTTACATTTATAAATGTTGGTTGAAATCAAAAGGAAATTTTACCTTAATCTCACAGGTGAGTAAAGTAATCAAGGGTTTTGATGAATGAGCATCAATCTACAGAACTATGCTGCAATCTTATCACCAAGCAGTTTAATTTTTTAAATAAAAGTAAAGAGATCTTTCTGAAATGTATTTCGCCCATAGGTGATCCTTGCCGAACTCCCGGAGGATTTTAAAGCTGCTTTATATGAGTATAACCTGGCAGTAATGAAGGATTTTGCCTCCTTCCTGCTGATTGCTTCCAAGTCGGTGAACATGAAAAAAGAGCATCAACTCCCTTTGTCAAGAATCAGTAAGCAGATTTTAGTTCCATTCCGGAACAATTTAAAGAGTAAACAATCTTGGTTAAGAAAGCCTCTGGATATTGGATGCTTCAAAGCTGGTAAAGGAGCTTATTACAGGGCAGCTGTACTAACCCAAGTGTTTTATCCCCAGAAAACAATTTAGCCCATTGTAGGGTGTGATAATGGCTCTGTTTTCCAATTAAAAAAAAACTTTATAATTACCAAATATTAATTGGGCAATGGAGGAAAAAAAATAAAAGTCATTCATGAACCATTTTGATGGAAAGTTGCCTATCTGTTCAGGTTGGAAAACTGGATCAGAAAAAGTGACAGATGAAAAAGAAAACGGCATAATTTCTGGCATTTTTTTCCCCTGAGGGGCAGTTGCATAGTGGTTACAAATGTGAACACTGGCAGCAGAATGCCAAGGTCTAAATCCTGGCTCTGCTACTTATTAACCATGAGGTCTCATGCCAGTTACTTAATCTTTCTGTGTCTCATTTTTTTAATCTGTAAAATGAAATGACTAAAAATATTACCTAGCTTACAGAATTTTAGAGGATTAGGTATATTAATGTTTATAAGTTTCTTAAAACAGTGCATAGCACATAGTCAACATCGCGTAAGTCTATTCTACCCAACATGGTAGCCACCAGCTAGCTACGTGTCACTATTTAAATTAAGTTGATTAAAAATAAAACAATTGAAAAGTTAATTCTTTAGTCACTTTAGCTTTAGTCACGTTAACTTTCCAGTGCTAGTGGCTTCTACTTTGGACACAGTAGAGGTAGAATATTTCCATCATTACGGAAAGTTCTAGCAGACGTTGCAAATATCATTCTTTGCTTCAATTATTTGTTCTTGATTGAGGAGTAACTGGTATTGCAAAGTAACTAAGCTTCCAAATTTCAATTTTATAGCGGGAAACTTTTAGGGGAGAATAAATGGAAAGAAGCTAGACTAAGAGTAAAGAGTGGAGCCATAAAATGATTCCCATATTCCCCTGTCTCCTAATATAGTCATAGTTGGAGTAAAAGACAGGGAGGTAAGCATTGTAGCTACTCAAGATTTGTTGATGTAGGACACAGCATGAGCAAATGCAGACAATAATGGTGGAAGCAAGGAAAGTAGTGCAGAGAAAAGATGATGGGAGTGTGTGATTGTGTCGTGATGGGAAAAACGAGCCAGACCTGAGTGCATGACTTGGTGCCTTCCAAGTCCAGCGAGATGGTACTCGCTGGACAGAACCTCTGTTTTATCTCTTATGCCAGCTCCAAATCCACTGGTAGGAGCTGCCTGAACATCATGTCTAGGAGGTTTCTGAGGTTATATCTGAGTTCATAGGCAAAAATAACAGGTAATAAAAAAGAGTAATGATAATAAGTTAATAGTCAACATGGATTGAATGATTACTCTGTGCCAAGCTGTGTTAATGACTTTATGCACCATATCTCAATCAGTTTTCATTCTGATGAGATGAATGTCACCTACTGTGGCTTGACCTACAGTGAGTTTGAAAGGGTTAACATTTGGGCTGATTTTTAAAACCTAACGTGACCTAGTCCAAAATGGTCAGAATTCACAGGTAAAGAATGTGAAGACTCCCAACTCGTGTCTCACTTGATGAGCTGCAAGAAAGGAAGAGTAGCCATTTCACCATTTGTTTGTCTTTCGGGGAACACAGATAATGATTTGCTTCGACCAGAGACTATCAACCAGGTAAGTGAAGGATACATCTTATGTACAAAATGTGTTTAACAGACAGAGTGGGGTTACATTGCTGTGAAGCCTTGATAGGACCTCAAACCCAAAACACTGAAAAATGTCCACTGATGAGCATCATTGTCTAAGAGAATGAAGCCCTGGAGGCCAGTGTGATTTATGCTCTATGGAGTTGGCCTGAGAAACCCTGCTTCTTTGTCTAAAATTTCAGACACCACTGTTTTTTCTCATTTTTTTAAATGAGGTTTGCCACAGGTTTGCTGTGGGAAGAGGAAAAGAAAGCGGCTCACATTTTTCTAAAATTGATCATAGACCTCATAGTGCTTTTCTACTCCAGACCACATGGATCTTTGGGGACAGTGGTCTACAAAGGGGGCCACAAAGCATTAGAACCTCTGGGAGGTTCTGGATAAAATATTAGGGTGCTGGAAGATTTTAGATTTAATTTGAAATATGAGAAATAAATTCCACATTGAATATATTTAATAATAAAGATTGACACTGTGCACTGGCTTATTTTATCCCTGGGTCAGAGAGTCACACATCATGTCAAATATGGTCTTCAAGTATTTTTGCATATGTAACGTTTAAAGGAATTTTAAAAAATCGTGAATCTTCTTGCACAGTTTGGGTTGATATCTAAAAATTTTGTTAACCAAAATTTTAATAGCTGCTAATGCAATTTCAGGTTCATTATAAATATTGACATTTTAAAAGAACTGTTAAATTATTTAAAAGTTTATCCAAAAGAATATAGATATCAAAGCTATTTGATACCCAAAGTAAACAAATAGAAAAGAACACAGATGATCAAACAACTTCTTCAAAGTTACAAATTCTACATTATGTATTTTTCTCATTGAACTTTTGTATCTTCCCTTCCCTTCCCTCCCCTCCCCTTCCCTCGACTCCCCTCCCTTTCCCCACTTTTTATTTGTGACAGGGTCTCACTCTCTTGCCCAGGCTGGAGTGCAGTGGCACTATCTCGGCTCACTGCATCCTCAACTTCCGGGGCTCAGGTGATCCTCCCACCTCAGTCTCCCATATACCTGGAACTACACGCACGTGCCAGCATGCCCAGCTAATTTTTTATATTTTTAGTAGAGATGGGTTTTCAGCATATTGCCCAGTCTGATCTTGAACTCCTGGGCCCAAGCAATCCACCCACCTCAGCTTCCCAGAGTGCTAGGATTACAGGCATGAGCCACCATGCCTGGCCTGAACTTGTATTTTTATTCCAACTTGCTCCACAGTTTAATTTTACCCATGCACTGGCAGAATTTGCAGATTCCTTCTGATTCTGTACAGATTAATTTGTCTAATGTGCCCAGAACCACGGAGACTTAGTTTTTGTTTGTTTGTTTTGCTTCTCTTCATTTTCTCCTCTTCTGCCTCCTCCTCTGCCACTTTTTTCTTCTCTCTGGAGCCCAGAGGTTTGTGCTGTTTCATTTTATTCTCCCTGTGAGCACAGGGAGACACTAGCTACATGACACTCCTTTCAAGGTCATTCTGTGCACCAATGAAGATAACGATGAAAATTCTACCTTAAAATCAGCTTCTATTTATTTTTCCTTAGTGAATGTTGCTAACAGTATTGTAGTTGGATGGTTGAAATTGCCTTCAGTATGCTTTGAGAGTTCCTATTTCCCTCAGCGGTGCTGCCCATTCCCGAGGCATGCTTAGTGTCACAGTGGCCAGTGTCTGTAACACGCCCTTTCCCTCACTGTAATGGGCCCTATTTCCCTCAACCCCCATGGGAATCCCCCTCTGCCTGCCTCCTTCACTTCAACTTCTTCAGAACGTACTTTAAGAAACAGATTCATACAAAGGAAATCTCAAACTGCAAACAGTTACTCTTTACATATCAGTAATGAAGTAATAGAAAATGTCTTTCTTCAGGTCATCCTGCGCACAGTCGGTGTTAGTGGCACTCAGGCTCCTCTGCTGTGGCCATGGAAATTAGATAACCGAGGAAGGAGAATGCCACTAAATGCATATGTGCTCAATTTCTATAAACACAACTGCTTGACAAGATTAGACCAAAAAAATGGGTAAGTTTATGGGTATGTTTCTGTAAAATATATACATACATATATATCTATGTTTTATTATTGTATATTCATATTATATATGTAACAGCATATAATTTACATTATATAGTTATATAAACATAAATTTATATTATATATTTTTAAATAGAAATTTTAATACCTAATCTTTTAAGAGTTTAAAATACAGATGAATCATAAAAATCATACTAGATCACTTCGTAGAAGACTGATTTCTGGTGATTAGAAACTCCAGTATTATTTGGGATTTTGGGGCTACTACCAAAATTTTGGCACTTGAACTAGTTCTGGTGAATGTAATTCTGAAGACAGAAAATTTGGATATATTACAAAGCTCAAAAAGATATTTTAATTATACTAACATTTCTCTTAATATGATTTAGTAATAAACTATACTAAATTATTAGTATAATTTACCGTTACACTAATTATTCATTAAGAAAGAATGTTGATTTCTAGGAGTATATAAAATATTATTTTTTATGAAATAAATTAATATTTTTAATGAAATAAATCTTTTTTATGAAATAAATTAATATTTATTTTTTTCCCACAAATGTGACATGGAGGGAAAAGATCTGAAAGTTACATTTTGAGAAAGTTAACTTAGCTGGTGTCTGCTAGAAAGTGACACTTGTTCTAGTTCTTTGACATGGAAAACATTTTACAAAGCAGTAAAGAAGGATGAATACTTAGAATTCACATGGAACGTGAAGAATTTAGCCATGGAAACAAGTAGGTAGAAATGGGGAAAGTCATGCTTTTAAACAGTGATTCAGGAATTCTATATGTATTTTACATACATTTTTAAATAATTCTGATAAAAATAAGTTTTAAATATTTAAATGCTGTTCTTTTTAAAGTTTATAAATTGACATATTGTAACTGCACATATATATAGGATACAGTTTGATATTGTGAAACATACATGTTGCATAATGATCAAATCAGGTTAGCCAGGGTACCCATCACCTTATGCACTTATCATTTTTTTGTGGTGAGAATGTTCAAAACCTCTCTTCTGGCTACTTTGTAATCTACAATACAATGCTGTTAACTATACGTACCTTACTGTGCAATAAAACACTAGAACTTATTCCTCCTATCTACTTACTGTAATTTTGTACATGTTGATCAACCTCTGCCCACCTTCTCCTTTCTCTTCCCCTCCCCAATCTTTGTAACCATTATTCTACCCTCTACTTCTATTGTATTAATTTTTCTTCTTTTTAAACTTTACATGTGAGTGATATCATGCAATATTTTTCTTTCTGTCTCTGGATTATTTCACTTAACATAATGTCCTCCAGATTGATTCATGTTGCCACAAATGACAGGATTTCATTCCTTTTTATGGCTGAATAGTATCTAATTGTGTATATGTACCACATTTTCTTTATCTGTTCATCCACTGTTGGACACTTAAGTTGATTCCATATCATAGCTATTGTAAATAGTGTGGCAATAAGGATGGGAGTGCAGATATCTCTTTGACATACTGATTTAATTTCTTTGGATATATATCTAGTAGTGGGATTGCTTGATCTTATCGTAATTCTAGTTTTAATGTTTTGAAGAATTTACACACTGTTTTCCATAATGGATATACTCATTTATAATCCTACCCACAGCATGTAAGGGTTCCCTTTCCGTCACATTCACACCAACACTTGCTTTCTTTTGTCTTTTTATTATTAATAGCCATGCTAACTAGAGTGAGGTGGTATTTGATGGTGGTTTTGATTGGCATTTTATGATGATTAGTGATAGTGAACATTTTTTCATATACCTGTTGGCCTTTTGTATACTTTCTGTTGAGAAATGTCTATTAAAGTTTTTTGCCCATTTTTAAATAGATTTTTTTTGCTGTTATGTTTCTTATGTATTCTGGATATGAATCTTTTGTCTGATGTATAGTGTGTCGATATTTTTCTCCCATCTTATAGGTTATCTCTCCACTCTGTTGTTTTCTTTACTGTGGAAAACTTTTTAGTTTGATGTAATCTCTTTTGTCTATTTTTGCTTTTATTGCTTCTGTTTTTGAGATCTTATTTAAAAAATCCTTGCCCAGTCCAATATCATGAAGTTTTTCTGCTGTTTTTTTTTTTTTGTTTTTTTTAAATGGCTGTATTAGTTTGTTTTCACACTGCCGATAAAGACATACCCAAGACTGGGCAATTTAAAAAGAAAGGGGTTTATTTGACCTACAGTTCCGCAACCTCACAATCATGATGGAAGTTGAAAGACATGTCTCACATGGCCGCAGACAAGAGAAGAGAGCATGTGCAGGGAAACTCCCATTTTTAAAACCATCAGACCTTGTGAGACTCATTCACTATCAGGAGAACAGCTCAGGAAAGACCTGCCCCCATAATTCAGTCACCTCGCACCGGGTTCCTCCCATGACACATGGGAATTGTGGGAGTTACAATTCAAGATAAGATTTGGGTGGGGACACAGGCAAACTATATCATTCTGCCCCTGGCCCCTCCCAAATCTCATGTCCTCACATTTCAAAACCAATCATGCCTTCCCAGCAGTCCCCCAGAGTCTTAACTCATTTCAGCATTAACTCAAAAGTCTACTGTACAATGTCTTATCTGATACAAGGCAAGTCCATTCCATCTATGAGCCTGTAAAATCAAAAGCAAGTTAGTTACTTCCTAGATACAGTGGGGGTATGAGGATTGGGTAAATACAGCCATTCCAAATGGGAGAAATTGGCCAAAACAAAGGGGCTACAGGCCCCATGCAACTTGAAATCCAGCAGGGCAGTCAAATCTTAAAGCTCCAAAATGATCTCTTTTGACTCCATGTCTTGCATCCGAGCCATGCTGATGCAAGAGGTGGGTTTCCATAGTCTTGGGCAGCTCCACCCCTTTGGCTTTGCAGGGTACAGCCTCCCTCCTGGCTGCTTTCACAGGCTGGCATTGAGTGTCTGTGGCTTTTCCAGGTGCACAGTGCAAGCTTTCAGTGGGTCTACCATTCTGGGGTACAGAGGATAGTGGCCCTCTTCTCACAGCTCCACTAGGCAGTGCCCCACTTAGGATTCTGCGTGGGGGCTCTGACCCCACATTTTCCTTCTTCACTGCCTGAGAACAGGTTCTCCATGGGGGCCCTGCTCCTGCAGCAAACTTCTGCCTGGGCATCCAGGCGTTTCCATACATCTTCTGAAATCTAGGCAGGGGTTCCCAAATCTCAATTATTGACTTCTGTGCACCTGCAGGCTGAACACCATGTGGAAGCTACCAAGGCTTGGGGCTTGCACCCTTTGGAGCCATGGCTCAAGCTCTACATTAGCCTTTTTCAGCCATGGCTGGAGCAGCTGGGATGCAGGGCACAAAGTCCCTAGGCTGCACACAGCACAGGGACCCTGGGCCTGGCCCATGAAACCACTTTTTCCTCCTGGGTTTCCAGACCTCTGATGGGAGGGTCTGCCATGAAGACCTCTGCCACATCCTGGAGACATTTACCCCGTTGTCTTGGGGATTAACGTTAGGCTCCTTGTTACTTATGCAAATTTCTGCAGCTGGCTTAAATTTCTCCTCAGAAAATGGAATTTTCTTTTCTATTGCATTGCCAAGCTGCAAATTTTCCAAACTGTTATGCTCTGCTTCTCTTATAAAACTGAATGCCTTTAACAGTACCCAAGTCACCTCTTGAATGCTTTGCTGCTTAGAAATTTCTTTCTCCAGGTACCCTAAATCATCTCTCTCAAGTTCTAAGTTCCATAAATCTCTAGGGCAGGGGCAAAATGCTGCCAGTCTCTTTGCTAAAACATACAAGAGCTACCTTTGCTCCAGTTCCCAATAAGTTCCTCATTTCCATCTGAGACCACCTTAGACTGGACTTTATTGTCCATATTGCTATCAGCATTTTGGGCAAAGCCATTCAGCAAGTCTTTAGGAAGTTCCAAACTTTCCCACGTTTTCCTATCTTCTTCTGAGCTTTCCAAACTGTTTCAACCTCTGCCTGTTACCCAGTTCCAAAGTCACTTCCACATTTTCAGTTATCTTTTCAGCAGCACCCCACTCTACTGGTACCAATTTACTGTGTTAGTTCATTTTCACACTGCTGATAAAGACATGCCCAAGACTGGACAACTTACAAAAGAAAAAGTTTTATTGGACTTAGAGTTCCATAGGGCTGTGGAGACCTTACCATCATGGCAGAAGGTGAAAGGCACGTCTCACATGGTGGCAGATGAGAAAAGAGAGCTTATACAGGGACATTCCTGTTTTTAAAACCATCAGGTCTCATGAGACTCATTCACTATCAGAAGAACAGTGCAGAAAAGACCCGCCCTCATAAATCAATAACCTCCCACTGGGTTCCTCCCACGACATGTGGTAATTGTGGGAGTTAAGATTCATGATGAGATTTGTGTGGAGACACAGCCAAACCATATTGTTTCATAGTTTCAGGTTTTACATTTAAGTCTTTAACCATTTTGAGTAGATTTTTGTATATGGTGAGAAGTAGGAGTCTAGTCTCATTCTTGTGCATGTGTATATCTAATTTTCCCAGCATCATATATTGACATATTAGCATATTATATTATGCTATTATATTTAATATGTTATTAACATATTAACATAT
Organism: Homo sapiens; assembly: GCF_000001405.40. Classification (NCBI taxonomy): domain Eukaryota; kingdom Metazoa; phylum Chordata; class Mammalia; order Primates; family Hominidae; genus Homo; species Homo sapiens. The sequence continues at coordinate 168,366,994 of NC_000004.12, read as the reverse complement.
AACATATCAGCATAACCTATTAAACACATATATAATAGCATATAATATATTAACATATAATATAATGGCATAACATATTAAACACACATTCCCTTTTCCCTCGTGTGTGTTCTTGGCACACATGAGGGAAAAGCTAATTTATAAAAAATCAGTTGGGTGTAAATGTGTGGATTTATTTCTGGGTTTTCTACTGTTTCATTGGTCAAAGTATGTGGTTTTTATGATGGAATCATACTGTTTTGTTTATGATAGCTTTGTAGTATATAGTGTGTTGAAGTCAGTGTGATGCCTCTAGCTGCATTCTTTTTGCTGAGGATTGCTTTGCATATTTGGGACTTTTTGTGGTTTCCTACAAATTTTAGGATTTTTTTTCCTATTTTTGTAAAAAATGTCATTGGTATTTTAATGGAGATTGTATTAAATTTATAGATCATTTTGGGTAGTGTGGCCATTTTAACAATACTATTTTTTTCATTCCCTGAACGTGGAATATCTTTTCATTTCTTAGTGTCCTCTTTAATTTCTTTCATCAATGTTTTACAGTTTTCAGTGTAGAGATCTTTTACCTTCTTGTTTATTTATTATCTAATTTTTTGTAGCTATTGTAAATGAATTTGTTTTAAAAAAACTTTTTATTTTCAGACAGTTTGCTATTATTGCATAGAAACACTACTGATTTTTGTGTGTTAATTTTGTATCCTGCAAATTTATATTGTTTGTTGATCAGTTCTAGCAGTTTTTCATTAAGTCTTTAGGGTTTCCTGTATATAAGATCTTGTCTGAAAACAGGGACAATCTGACTTTTTCCTTTCCGATTTGGATGTCTTTAATTATTTATTCTCTTGTCTGCTTGCCCTGGCTAGGACTACTAGTACTATGTTGAATAAAAATGGTGAAAGTCGGCATCCTTGTCTTATTCCTGATCGTATGATGTTAGCTATGGATTTGTCATATATGGCTTTTATTGTGTTGACGTACATATCTTCTATACCTAATTTGTTAAGAGTTTTTATTATGAAGGGATGTTTTGAATTTTGTCAAATGCCTTTTCTGTATCTATCAAAAGATCATATGGTTTTTGTTTTCCTGTTAATGCTATTTATCTCATTTATTGATTTGCATATATTGCACTATCCTTGCATTCCCTGGATAAATCCCCCTTGATCTTATTGAATGACATTTTTAATGTGCTTTTGAATTTGGTTTGCTAGTATCTTGTTGAGAATTTTTGGATTTGTGTTTATCAGAGATATTGGCCTATAATTTTTGTTGTTGTTGCTGTATCCTTATCTGGTTTTGGAGTCAGAATAATGTTGGTCTTGTAAAAAAAATTTGGAAGTAGTCCCTCCTCTTAAATTCCCTTAATAGCTTGAAGAGGATTGGTATTAGTCTTCTTTAAATGTTTGGTAGAATTCAGCAGTGAAGCCATTAAGTCGTGGGCTTTTTTTTTTTTCTGATGAAAAACTTATGATTACTAGTTCAATTTCTTCTCTCATTACTGCTCTGTTTAGATTTTCTATTTCTTCTTTATTTAATTTTGGGAAGTTGTATATGTCCAGGAACTTAGCCATTTCTCCCATGTTATCAAATGTGTTAGTGTATAGTTGTTGATAATAGTATCTTATTATTTTTTGTACTTCTGTGGAACTGTTGTAATGTCTCCTTTTTAATATCTAATTTTATTTATTTTAGTCTTCCCTCTTTTTTCTTAGTCTAGCTAAAGGTTTATCAATTTTGTTTATCTTTTTAAAACCATCTTCATTTCACTGACCTTTCAAATTGCATTTTTTGCCTCTATTTTGTTTACGTCTGCTTCTTTAAGCTTTATTCTTTCCTTCTACCAGTTTTGGGTTTAGTTTGTTCTTGTATATTAAGTTTCTTGAGGTGCATCATTTGGTTGTTTAGTAAAAATGTTTCTTCTTTTTTGATTTAGGCCTTTATTGCTATAAATTCCATTTTAAAACTGCTTTTTCTGTGTTCCATAAGTTTTGTTATAATGTGTTTCCATTCTCATTTGTCTTAAGAAATATTTAAGTTTCCCTTTTAATTTGCTTATTGATCTGTTGGGTTTTTTTTAAGAGTAGTTGTTTAATTTCCATGTATTTGTAAATTTTCCAGAGCATTTCTTGTTGCTGATTTCTAGTTTCATACCATTTTGCTCAGAAAAGTTACTTGATATGATCTCTATATTCTTAAATTTGTTCAGACTTGTTTGGTGATCAAACATATGATCTATCCAAGAGAATGTTCCATGTACGGTTGAGAAAAATGTGCATTCTGAAGCTGTTGGACAGAATATTCTGTAAAAAATATCAGCCAGGCACAGTGGCCCACACCTGTAATCCCAGCACTTTGGGAGGTTGAGGTGGGATGATCACTTGAGGTCAGGAGTTCAAGACCAGCCTAGGCATCACAGCAAGACCCTGTCTCTAAAAAAAGGCTGTTAGGTCAATTTGGTCTATGGTGCAGTTTAATTCTGATGATTCCTTGTTATTTTTTCGCCTGGATGACCCATTCATTGTTGAAAGTGGGATGTTGAAGTCCCTAATATTATTATACTGCAGTTTGTCTCTCCTTTTAGATCTAATAATAATTGCTTTATATATTTGGATGTTTTGGTATATAGAATTACAATGCTATATCCTCTTGTTGAATTGATTCCTTTATCATTATATAATGACTTTGTCCTTTTTATAGTTTTTGTCTTAAAGTTCATTTTATCTGATATAAGTATTGCTACTCCTGCTCACTTTTGATTTCTCTTTGCATGGGATATCTTTGTCCCTTCCTTCACTTTCATTCTATGCTTGTCTTTAATGGTGAGGTGATTCTGTAGTAGTCAGCATACAATTGTACATTGAGTTAATTTTTTTAAGAGATGGAGTCTCTCTCTGTCACTGGGGCTGGAGTACAGTGGCACAATCATAGCTCACTGCAGCCTCCAACTCCTGGGTTCATTCAGTCCTCCCAGCTCAGCCTCCTGAGTAGCTAGGACTACAGGTGCACACCACCACACCTGGCTAATTTTTTATTTTTCTTTTTTGTACAGACAGGGTTTTACTCTGTTACCTTTAAAATAAAATCCATTCACTCTGTATCTTTTAACTGGAGACTTTATTTATTTTCGAGGTAATTATAAGTAGGTAAGAACTTACATCTGCCATTTTGTTCATTGTTTTCTGGTCGTTTTGTAGATTCTTTGTTCCTTTATTCCTCTCTTGTTGTTTATGTCTGTGGTTTGGTGGTTTTCTGTGGTGCTAAGCTTTATTTTCTTCTTTTTTCTCATTTGTGTGCCTGCTCTAAGTTCTTTCTTTGTGGTTATCATGTGCTAACATAAAGAGTCTTGTAGTTATAATAGACTATTTTATGCTGATAACAACTTGACTTTGGTCACATAAAAATATTTTAGACTTTCTTGCTTCCCCACAATAATTTCTGTTTTTGTTGACTTAATTTACATCTTTATCTATTGTGTATTCTTTAGTCATTAATTGTAGGTGTTGTTGTTTTTTGACCATTTTGACTTAAAGCTTTCGGACTAGAGAACTGAAGGATTTCCGTAGCACCCAGACAGCATGAGGTTATTCTGAATTTGATTACGAATTTACTTCTATCGATGAGTTTTAATCTTTCAAATATTTTTGTGATAGTAATGATCATTCTTTCATTTTTAGTTGTAGCATTCACTTAAGAATTTCTTGTAAGCCTAGACTAGTAGTGATAAATTTCCTCAGCTTTTGCTTGTCTGGGAAGATCTTTATTTCTCCTTCATTTCTGAAGGATAGCTTTCCTGGATGTAGTATTCTTGACTGACTTTTCTTTTTCTTTCAGCGCTTTGAATATATCATTCCATTCTTTCCTGGCCTGTGAGGTTTCTGCTGGGAATCTGCTGATAGTCTCATGAGGATTCCGTTATGTGTGACTTGATGCTTTTCTCTTCAGCATTTAGAATTCTTTGTCTTTGACTTTTGACAGTTTGGTTATAATGTGCCTCAGAGAGTATCTTTGTGGGTTGAAACTAATTGGGGACTTTTGAGCTTCTTAGATGCATATATCTCCCAAGACATGGGAAGTTTTCAGCTATTATTTTGTTAATAATAATAACAAAATATCTCTCTACTTCTCCCTCTGGTGCCCCTATAAGGTGAATATTTGTTCATTTAATGGTGTCCCATAAGTCCTATATGGTTTCTTAATTCCTTTTTATTCTTTTTCCCTCTTTGACTGGTTATTTCAAAAGACCAGTCTTCAAATTCAGAAATTATTTCTTTAGCTTGATCTAGTCTGTTGCTAAAGCTCTCATTCTTTTAAAACTTAATGCATTGAATTCTTTAGCTCCACGATTTTTTTGGTTCTTTTGTATGATATCTACAGGAGGATAGGCTACAGATGTTGGTGGTATGGTTTTGGTGGGGGCAGGGGCACTGAGCTGGTTATTTGGGGCAGGAATATTTTGGTTCAGTGTGCCAGCAGGCTGTATGGTGGACTCTCCAGAGAAGTGAGGCTATCACCAGGCTGGCTCTTGAGCTGGGTATCTGTGGGTGCAGTGAGCCAGCCAGCTGTGCAGTAGTGTCTCTGGAGGAGGTAAGACCACTGTTGGACTGCTGTTGGTTTGAGTGCAGGCATATGTGGGCTGGCCAGCTGTGTGGCAGTGTCTATGGGGAGGTCGGGCTGCTGTTGAACTGGATATTGGGCCAAGTGCATGTGTAGTGGGACTGCTGGCTGTGTGGCAGTGTCCCTGGGAAGGTGAGGCCTCTGCTGAACTGGCTGTCAGGCCAGGCACATGCAAATGCATGCTGGGCTGACTGGCATGCCGCAGTCTTTTCAGGAGGTGGGGCCACCTCTGCCCTGGCTGCCAGGCTTGGCATGGGTTGGTGCAGGCATGGTGGTTTTTCTGGCTGCGCAGCACGAGTATGCACTGGTGCAGTGGCCTGGCCACCTGTTCAGTGGTTTTCTTGCTGTGCATGTCTGCCTTTTCCCCAGTGGGTGGTGGGCTGCCACATAGCTTTGGATGTGAAATGATAGTGGGGCTTCAGGGATGGAGAGAGAGATTGGCTACTGGCCTTCAAAATGTCATCATGCCATAGCTGCTTAGGTCATGAAGGAGGAGATACACAATGTGGGCTCTTACTCTGGGGCAACGAAACTACTTAAACTTCTGGCAACTCTCCAAAATAGATTCTGGGCCTGTGAGGACTGGGAGACTCTCTTGTAGCAAGAACTGCTGGCATCTGTGATGGCTGTGGAAACCGCTGGAAGTCTTTTGCATACCATTTTCCTGTAGGAAGAAGCCACCCTGACTCCCAGTCATTTCTGGTAGGAGAGACAGTGTGGCAGAGGCATCTTGCATCTTGTTCAATGTTCTCCTATTCTTGACAAATCTTGAGCTACATCTGTTTTTCTTAGGTCTAGTTCTTAGTTATGAAGAACTAAGAAAGTAGAAATAGAACTAAGAAAGTAGAAGAAGTAAGTAGAAATAATATTAGTCTATCAACTTGTTTTGTTTTCACTTTAATCTGTAGTCCTCATTGACCCTTCTATGCTTTACTTTTATATTTCACCCTCCCCCTTTGATAATGGTCAAATTATCTCTTTAATAATTTTTTTTGTGGTTTTTACCTATGCCTCTCAATTTCATTATGATTAATACAATAGAATGCTTAACTGGGAGTGCATTTGGCAGATAAATTAACTGCCATGGACAGACCACTATTAAAGTTTGAGTTAATTCTTTTATGTTTATGTTTTTATACTTTTTAATTAAGAAATGTTGTTCTCTTTAGGATGCGTATGGGACAGCTTTTAAAGTGTTTGAAAGATTTTGCATTCAACATTCAGGCTATCAGGTATGTTTCATGCTGAGTTTGATTTTCTCAATTATTTAATGATAGTTTAGCAAACATATAGCTCTTCCTTTGTGTAAGTTTGTGATTCTCATGAAGGAGCACTCTGAAGATACTATTGAGCCTCCCAGGTTCTCTACAATTCAGCTATCCAAAGGCTCTGTAGACCCATTCCTCAGGACACTGTCACGCTGTTTTTTTTGTATTAAGATTCATCTCAAATCCATTTGTAATTGAATTTCATTCGGATCAGAGCCTGGAAGGCTCTTCCTCATGACTTCATAAATCTCCAGGCCTCGCTATATTCTCACTATACTCAATTTCTACAAATGCTGAGCAGTCACACTGAGTCAGATAAATGACTTCAGTAGGTCTCTGGTTTATATCCACTTCAAAGCAGTTAAATCTTTCTCGTACCCAGTGCCTTTCCCAGACTCTGGCAGCTCCCATTGATTTCCTATGTTCATCTGCCCAATGCTCAACAGAGACCCAAGCAAATATGAACTCTATGTGGGCACTCCTTTCTCTATGCTCCATTGGTCATCCAGTTTTTGTCTAGCTCCATTTTCCTTACCTCTAGTCCTTACTTCTTTATCAAGTGTATGTGGTTTTTCACGTAAATTCAGTTTTGGAAGGAGAATATTTATTTAGAGTTCCTTGTTAGTGAGGACATATTTGTGGTTTTCCTTGGTCTGAGCCGAGTCTGACCCTTTGGGAAGCTTTCTACAAAGAGTGAAAGTCTTAGGATGACCCTCCTTTGCCCACTTGGAGTATCTCTACATAAAGGATTCCTCAAGTGGCTTATAGCTACCAAAGCTACAACCTCTTTGAGTAGCCTGAGAAACTTTGGAGATTTTAAATGTATCTCAAGAGTTTAAACAGGAAAAATAATTCCTTCATTCATTTATCAATTATAAAAGTATCAAGGTCTTACTGTGTTAGAGGCACTCTTCCAGGCACTTCAATGTCATGGGAGAAACTTTCTTGTAGACAGTCATATGTGGTAAGTGCTATGATTGAGTTATACACAAAATACTAAGATAACATAAATAACTTTATGATTAATGCTACTATAATCGGAAAAAGCATTATAGAAGATGTAATTTCCAATCAGGTCTTAAAGGAGAAGTGAAAATTCATTAAGTAGATTAATTATACTTAATATAATTCTAGTTAATTAGGATAATTAAGTAGAATAATTAGGGTAGTCAGATTTTAAGCAGGGAGAATAGTGTATCCAAATGTGCAGAAATATTAAAGGTCCTGATGTATTCGGGGATAGGCCCCAAGCTAATGATGGTGGAGTACAGAATGTGGAGGTTGTGACAGGGACTGGGGAAAATGCTGAGAAGTGAGTGTGGAGTCTTTGAAAGGAATTTGGTTGTATATGCGAAGGGTCTTATTTGTTAGGCAATGAAGTTTGGATTTAAAATGGTAGACAAAGGTGAGACAAATGGTAGACAAAGGGGAGTTTCTAAGGATGAGTACGACATAGATCTATGTTTTAGAGATATTATTCTGGCAGGGTATATAGATTAACTCAAGAGGTAGAGAAACTGAAAGCAGGGAGCTAAAGCTGGAGGCTATACCCATATTCCAGGTGAGAGAAAATGAAGGCTTGAATTAGGCAGTGGTGGTAGAAATGAATGATAAGGATTGGAGAAATATTTAAGAGGAGGAATTCATGCAATGGGGAAAGAGATATTATGACAAATTGGGTTTCTAATTTGGTTAATGATAGTGTTAATGAAAGTAGGGAATACATGATGATGACTTCAGAACTGACAATAAAAAAGTATGAGTTGGAATTTAAAATGTCACATGTGTTGTCTATAAGACATCCAGGGGGAAATGTTCAGCAGTCAATAGAATAATATGTCTGAAACTCTGGAGGAATTTCAGACTTAGAGATAAAGATGTGATCATTCCTAATATTCAGCCACTGAGGACTAGTAAAAAACTGAAACTCTGCTCTAGAGTGAATAAGGTGGAGCATGAAAACGAAAAGGATGGCAAAATGTCAAATCCCAATTGATTGCAATGCTCGAATAGCATGTCAGGTAGCTGAGGGACTCACTTTTCTATGTCTCCTCTCATTCACCCCAGCTTCTATCCTAAGATATATGGATAGGGACAGAATTTTTTTCCACTGAATTGGGTGACTGTGGGTTTTTAAAAATAATTGTCCCTATATTAGGAAGTCCATATGGCTTTCATGAGATGTGTAAAGAGAAGAAAAGAAGTTGAATAACACTTCTAGGTTCTAAGAATATGGAATTCTGTGGTCTTACAAACTCACAGAGCAAGTTTAGGTGTAATATAAAGAGGAACTGTGGCCGGACACGGTGGCCCACGCCTGTAATCCCAGCACTTTGAGAGGCCGAGGCGGGTGGATCACGAGGTCAGGAGTTCAAGACCAGCCTGGCCAAGATGGTGAAACCCTGTCGCTACTAAAAATATAAAAATTAGCCGGGTGCCTATAATCCCAGCTACTCAGGAGGCTGAGGCAGAGAATTGCTTGAACCCAGGAGGCAGAGGTTGCAGTGAGCCGAGATCAGATCACGCCACTGCACTCCAACCTGGGCAACAGAGCGAGACTCTGTCTCAAAAAAAAAAAAAAAAAAAAAGAAAAAGAAAAAAGAAAAAAAGAAGAACTGTGTGAAGGTATATATCTTTATCTTTCTCAAGATACATGATGTATGTTGTAAAGATTTTACAAGATAACTGTGCATTTTATTAATATTCTGCGTACTTTTTCTCCATATTTACATCTGATAGATTTTGGGGGGAATTACTTCTGCTAACCTTTTAATAATATTGATTGTTATAAAAATGTGGGCTCATTATTTTTTTATTATTATTATCATTTATACAGTGACTCCTTGAGTGAACTATGTGAAAATAAGCGTGACAATGTAGTCCTGGCATTTAAACAATTGAGTCAAACCTTTTATGAGAAACTTCAAGAAATGCAAATTCAAATGAGTCAAAATCATTTAGAATAACACCATGGAAAACTTTCAAGTCTGATTATGTGGTATTTATCCCTTTGCAAGGAGAGATATAATTAAGCTTACACAATGAAATGGAAAAAATGTTTGTCTTGGAGTCAAACAGAATTAAACTCAGATATCAGCTCTGCTATTTTCTAACTGAATGACTTTAAGTTATGTAATATATCTGAGCTTTAACTTCATTTTTGGCAAAACCGGAGTAAAAATGAATACCTCTAGTTGTTTTGAGGATTAAATGAGATAATGTAAGAAAAGTGATTGGGATTGGGTGGTGACTTAATGAACGGTAGTGGTTTTTTTAGTAGTTAATGTATAGCAAAATTAGTTTCACATTGTCAAGTTTTCAATACATCCCCAAGTTAATTGAATTTTAAATTAATGATCAATAAATCACAAAGGACCCAAATCAATTCTGAACAACAATTTAGTTATGTAAGAAGACTTCTGAGATTACAAGAAACTCACTGCTGTGGACTGGATGTTTGTGCCCTCCCCTCCAAAATTTTTATATTGAAATTCTAACCCTCAATGTGATGGTATTAGGAGATGATAGGTCATGAGGGTGGAGCTCCTTGGATGTAATTAGTGCCTTTAACAGAGAGACAAGAGAGCTTGTTCTCCAATCTCTGCTCACTACCACTGGATGATACAATGGGAAGATGGCCATCTGCAGACCAAGAAGCAAGCCCTCAACAGAACTGAATCTACTTACACCATGATCTTGAACTTTCCAGCCTCCAGGATTGTGAGAAATACATGTTTGTTGTTTAGCCATCTAGTCTGTGGTTTTCTGTTGAAGCAGTCTGAATTGACTAAAACAGTCACTTGGAGTAGTTATAAACCACTTTCCTGTTGAAAGCAGAACATGCTGATTCAACTGTTTTGTTCAATAGCAATGATAGATTTTGTTTAAGTCCCCTACACTTTCTTATTTCTAAATGATCAAGAGTACACTTCCTGGCAGTGATTAAGGAGTGTGTATCTAACAGAAAAAATATATATACCCTGTGAACCCGAATATGGAATTCAGATTGTTTCTGCCCTCAGTATCATACTTAAAAAACAAGCATACAAACAAACATAAGGGAACAAACAGCAACCATAACAAAAACAAACCTTTAAAGGTGCGTTTTTGCTGTGATAAATGAATACGGTACTCTGAAGGAGAAAAAAGTTTCTCAAATGAGCTTAAACTGCAAGTGATTTAAAAATTAGAGAATATAATTCTTAAAGCTATTGAAAGTTTCAACCAGAAAACCTCAAGTGAATTTTGTATGTAAATGAAATCTTGAATGTAAGTTCTGTGATTCTTTAAGCAAACAATTAGCTGAAAACTTGGTATTGTTGTAGTTTATGTAGTAAGTGACTTGGCACCCATCAGAAAATAAAGGGCATTAAATTGATTTACTGTTGTGTTCCTTATGTTAAATCTGTTAGTCCATCCATTTGTAGACACCTACGCATTAGGTATTTTGCTTTCATTGCTATCTATCTTTACTGCAGCCCTAGGTCACATACTACAAAATCTGTTTTAGACCTAGACCTTGAACACAGAGCATTTCTTTCTCAGGGTGAAAGACATAACCTTTTGTATCATCCAGAATGTACCAAGACACCATTTATCATATGGCATTACTTAACAGATACATTACATAGGCTTAGAAAAACACTTTGTCTAGAAATGGAAAAGCCTCTTTTCCTTAGAATTTAACCCAAAATTGGTTTATATTAGTCATGTGCCAAAATCTTACTTGTGACTATTTTCTTAGGGCTAATCCTAAAATTTTTATTTAAAATAAGCACATAGTAACAAACATAGTAGATATTAATCCAGCTTTATAGATAATAACTTTAAATATCAAAGGCTTAAACACAGCAAAAGAGAGATTGTCAGAGTGGATCAAAACACAATAACCAACTATGTGTTGTCTACAAGAAACCTCTTTTAAACATAAAGACATATGCAAATTAAAAGTAAATGGATGTGACTTCTAGTTTCTGGTTTCTCATGTAAGAATCTTGGAATCAACCACTCCATCCTAATTAGTGAAAATAGAAATGAACTGAAAAATTGATAATTATTCTACATCCCTGAGAGAAGTGATGTCACAGGCCCCTCAAATTCGAGCAAAAGGCAGGTGGATACAGAGAATCACAACATACTGAGGCAGAAACCTCCACAGGAAATAGTGCTGGAGTAGGAAAACCTGAACTTTAATGAACGAATTGCTCAGTGTGGGCACATCTGAGAGCTGAAAACTCCAGGGGGATACATTCAGCTGGGAGCCATGCTTCTGTGAGTTTTATATCTGGGAACTGAATATTGGAGAAGAATCCCCTCATGCTTCTGGAAGGAGTAAGATAAAATAAACTGTTTTAAAATGTGCCAGAGCACTCTGTTCTTTTTAATAAGGTCTGCCCTCAAGAGAAACTAGTTACTCAGAGACTAGCCTGCTGGAGTTTTATCAGAGACTAACTCACCTGTTAGAAGGGAAATACCCAACTTCAGCCCACTCTAGCCATCTACCCCACCTAAAGCAGGGCGTAGAATAAAGCTGAGGAGCACTTGTAAAGTTCATAGTCTTGAGGCACAAGCTCACTAAATGACAGAAATAATTATAGTCATAAGTCTCTTCTTAATGGAAATATGTTCTGAGAAATACATTGTTAGGTGATTTTTGTCATTGTGTGAACATTATGGAGTGTACTTACATGAACTTAGATAGTGTAGCCTATTATACTCCTAAACCATGTGGTATAAACTATAGCTCTTAGGCTACAAGACTGTATAGCATTTTACTGTACTCAACACTATAGGTACTTATAACACAATGGTAAATATTTGTATAGCTAAACATATCTAAACATAGAAAAGGTACAATAAATATATGGTGTTATAATCTTATGGGGCCACTGCCATATATGCAGTCTGTCATTGACCAAAATGTCATTATGCAATGCATGACTGTATAGGACTATAGACCACTCCCCCAACAACTTACCACCGCATTACTAAAGACCTGTTGTTTACAGCAGTTCTTTTTACCCAGTACATTATATCTGGCTATCAAGAAAAAATTACTGGGCAAAAAATTACTAAAAGGCAAAAAAACCAGTTTGAAGAGATGGAGCAAGCGTCAGAATCAGACTTGGCAGAAGTGTTGGAATTATCAGAATGGAAATTTAAAATAGTTAATTTAAAATAATTAATTTGCTATGGGCTTCCATGGATAAAGTAGGCAGCAAGCAAGAACAGAGGAGCAGGCATTATCCAATTTACTGAGGGACAGAATAGAACAAAAAGGTAGAGGAAAGGCAAATTTACTTTCTTTGCTTGAACAGATACATCCATCTTCTGCTGCCCTTAGACATCAGCACTCCTGATTCTGGGGCTTTTGGACTCAGAGTGGGACATACACCATTGGCAACCCACAGGCTCCATCGCCAATCCTCAGGTCTTTGGGCTGGGACTGAATTATACTTCCTGCTTTCCTGTTTCTCCAGCTTGCAAGTGGCAGATCACAGAACTTCTTGACTTTTATAACCACATGAGCCAATTCCTAAAATAAATCTCCTCATATCTCTCTGTATATGTTCTATTGTTTCTGTTTCTCTGGAGACCCCTAACTAAAACAATACCATCTTAAATAAAATTCTGGAATTTCTATAAATTGTTTTCTTACAAAAAGACAACATAAAATATAAAAAGAAATAAAATGGATTCATGAGATTTTTGCTTAGGCTAAGAATTCAGTTAGATAATTTTAGTCAACTTAGGTTTGACCTAATATGTTACTAAAAATGTTCCCCTTTTTGAGACTTAAAAATTCTGAAATTCAGAGTTTAAATGATGATTATACATATTGTTTTTATTCTTCTTTTGCTTTGCAAATATAATTAGTATTTGAAGACAGTATCTTTATATGAAACATCCAGTGAAATTAAATCGATGATTTACCTTTTCAAAATAAAAATCTCGAAGGGGATTGGGCTAAGATGGCAGACTAGAAGCACCACTCTCATGGAAAGGAAACAAAGTAGCTAGTGAAAACTCACCCTGAAGGCTGCATTAGAGAAACCACATTGGAATCCATCAAGGTAGCAGGGGGACAAAGCAGGGAGTCGTGAAGCCAGGCACCAGCCTGTCTGGGCTCATCATAGAGCCAGAAGAACCTCTCTGACATGGGAAAGGATAAGTGAGTAAGAGACCCCTGGATGACTCATGCTCTTCACAGGCACCTGTGCAATACTGGAAATGACAGGATCTCCCTGTCTGTCTCTTCCCATCCACATTTCCCCTACCCTGCTTCTAGGCTGAGGCATAGAACCACCTGGAAATTTAGTAGGGGCAACTCTTGAGACAAAGGGGACATCTACAAGCCTTGGGCCCTATAGCAAACCAGAATCTGGCATGGTAGCTCCAATGGAGGCCATAGTTGTAGTGCCTGGGAGTAGTAAGACTGCTCCACCCTATTTGCCAAATGGGGGTCGGTACTAGTGCTAGCTTCTGGCCCAGTGGTTCTGCTTTGATTTGAACTCAACTGGCAGCTGCAGCCTCTCATTGTCCCAGGAAATGCCCAGATGGCAGGATGGGCTACCTCACCTACCCTTTTCACTCATGGCCAGAAGTGCTATGGTTACTAGAGCTTTTGGCCTAGTGGTCACACTTGTGTGAACTCAGCCCTAGGGCACAGCCCCTTGTTCTAGGAAGCACCCAGATGTCAGAATTGGTGAACCCACCTATCCCCGTCACTGATAACCAGGGGAACCATGCCAGCTACAGCTTCTAGACCAGAGTCCTACACTGCCTGAATTAAGTGAGGGGCCTAGCCTCCTGTTACTCTGGAAATGACCCAAAGGCAGGGTGGGCAGCTCTACCTGTCCCAGCTTCTCATAGCCAGATGGCCCACATCTGCTAGAGCTTCCAGCCCAATGGTACCACTTCTGCCTGAACTCTCTGGGCAGGTGCAACCCCATGTTCTCCCAGGAGGCATTTGGACAGCAGATTAAGGCTGACGGGCAAGGATTCAGCCTGTCTGCCAACAGGAGTCCCTACCTGAGGGAGCCTTGTGGACCAGAACACACAACAAAAGAAACGTGGGCATGGAGACAGTAATCAGAAGGGGCTCCTGCAAGACCCAGGAGCAGACTAGAATTAAAAACAGTAGACTGAACCCACATTATGTCATAATCAAACCCCCAAGGGCATCAAAGAAGATGAAAGCAAGGGCATCAAAGAAGATGAAAGGAAAAAAGCCCATCTAAAGGATAGCAGTGTCAAAGACTTTAGGAACATCAGTCCACACAGATGAGAAAGAACCATCTCAAGAACTCTGACAACCGAAAAGGCCAGAGTATCTTCTTGTCTTCAAACAACTACACTAGTTTCCCAGCAATGGTTCTTAACTACGCTGAGATGGCTGAAATGTCAGAAATAGAATTCAGAACATGGATAAGGAATGAAGGTCATCAGCATTCAAGAGAAAGTCAAAACCCAATCTTAGCACTCTAAGGAATATAAGAAAACAATATAGGAGATAAAGACAAAAGGGTCATATTAAGAAAGAACCAAACTGAATTGATAGAGCTGAAAATCTCACTTCAAGAATTTCAGAATACAACTGCAAGTATTAACAGCAAAATCAACCAAGCTGAGGAAAGAACCTCAGAGATTGCAGAACAGTTACATGAAATATCTCAGTCAGACAAAAATAAAGCAAAAGCAATAAAGAATGAACAAAGCCTCCAAGAAATATGGGATTATGTGAAGAGACCAAATCTATGGCTCATTCTTGTCCCTGAAAGACAGGGAGTGAAAACAAGCAACTTGGAAAACATATTTAAGGGTATCATCCATGCACATTTCCTCAACGTTTTTAGAGTGGCCAACATTCAAATCCAGTAAATACAGAGAACACCTTTACGATACTATACAAGATAACCATCACCAAGACACATTGTCATCAGATTCTTTAAGTTCAAAATGAAAGAAAGAAATTGTTAAAGGCAGTTCTAGAGAAGGGGAAGGTCAGCTACAAAGGGAACCCCATTAAACTAACAGCAGACCTTGCAGCAGAAACTCTACAAGCTAGAAGATATTGGGGGCCTATATTCAGTAATCTTAAAGAAAATACATTCCACTGAAGAATTTCATATCCAGCCACACTAACTTTCATAAGTGAAGGAGAAATAAGATCCTTTTCAGACAAGCAAATGCTAAGGAAGTTGGTTACCATGAGGCCTGCCTTCCAAGAGGTCTTTTAGGGAATGCTTTAAATATGGAAAGGAAAGACTGTTACGGTCACCGCAAAACACACTTAAGTACATAGACCATTGACACTATAAAGCAACTACACAATCAAGTCTGCATAACAACCAGCTAACAACACAATAGAAATGAAGGTCATCAACATTCAAGAGAAAGTCAAAACCTAGTCCTGGCACTCTAAGGAATATAAGAAAACAATACAGGAGATAAAGACAAAAGGGCCATTTAAGAAAGAACCGAACTGAACTGAAAGAGCTGACAAACTCACTTCAAGAATTTCAGAATACAGTTGCAAGTATTAATAGCAGAATCGACCAAGCTGAGGAAAGAATCTCAGAGACTGCAGAACAGTTATCTGAAATATCTCAGTCAGACATGTGCAGTTTAAAATCTGCTCATGTCAATAATAACCTTGAATGTAAATGGGCTAAATGCCCCAATTAAAAGTCACAGAGTGGCAAGTTGGATAAAGAAGCAAGACCCAACTGTATGCTGTCTATAAGAAACCCATCTCACAGGCAGTGACACCAGTAGGTTCAAAGTGAAGAGATGGGGAAAAACCTACCATGCAAATGGAAAACAGAAAAATAGCAGGGATTGGTATTCTAATTTTAGACAAAACAGCCTTTAAATGAACAATAAAAAAGGACAAGGCCAGGTATGGTGGCTCATGCCTGTAATCCCAGCACTTTGGGAAGCCAATGTGGGTGGATCACTCGAGGCCAGGATATCAAGACCAACCTGGACAACATGGTAGAACCCTGTCTCTACTAAAAATACAAAAATTAGCCAGGGGTGGTGATAGGCACCTGTAATCCCAGCTATTTGGGAGGCTGAGGCATGAGAATCACTTGAACCCAGGAGGCAGAGATTGTAGTAAGTGATGGAGTGAGACCCTGTGCCAGGAAAAAAAAAAAGAAGAAGAATATTTGTATTAGTCCATTTTCACACTGCTCTAAAGAACTACGTGAGACTGGGTAATTTATAAAGAAAAGTGCTTTTTTGTTGTTTTTGTTGTTGTTGGTTTTTTGTTGTTGTTGTTGTTGTTGTTTTGAGATGGGAGTTTCAATCTTGTCGCCCAAGCTGGAGTGCAATGGCGTGATCTTGACTCACTGCAACCTCTGCCTCTGGGGTTCAGGCAATTCTCCTGCCTCAGCCTCCCAAGTGGCTGGGAGGCTGGGATTATAGGCGTCCACCACCGTGCCCAGCTAATTTTTTTATTTTTAGTGGAGACGGGGTTTCACCTTGTTGGCCAGACTGGTCTTGAACTCCTGACCTCAGGTGATTCACCTGCCTTGGCCTCCCAAAATGCTGGGATTACAGGTGTGAGCCACCACGCCTGGCCAGAAAAGAGGCTTCATTGACTCAGTTCTGCATGGCTGGTGAGGCCTCAGGAAACTTATCATCATGGAAGAAGGCAAAGAGGAATCAAGGCACATCTTACATTGTGGCAGGAGAGAAAGAGAGAGTGAAGGGGAACTGTCACACACTTTTAAACCATCAGATATCATGAGAATGCACTATTTTGTGGGAACTCATGAGAACAGCATATAGGGGAACCTGCCCCCATGATCCAATCACCACCCACCAGGCTCTCTCTTGACATGTGGGGATTACAACTCGAGATGAGATTTGAGTAGGGACACAGAGCCAAACCATGTCAATATTACATAATGGTAAAGGGGTTAATTCAACAAGAAGACCTAATTATCCTAAATATAGATGCACCTGGGACAGGAGCACCTAGATTTATAAAGCAAATTCTTACAGACCTATGAAGAGACTTAGATAACCACACAAGAATAATGGGAGTGTTCAATACCCCACTGACAGTATTAGACAGATCACTGAGGCAGAAAACTAGCAAAGATATTCGGGATCAAAACTTGACATTTGACCAAATGGGCCTAACAGATATCTACAGAACCCTCCACCCCAAAACAACAGAATATGCATTCTTCTCATCTGCACATGGCACATACTCTAAAATTTGCTGCACAATTGGCCATAAAATAGTCCTCAGTAAATTTAAAAGAAAAAAAAAGTCATACCAACCACACTCTCAGACCATAGTGCAATAAAATATACATCAATACTAAGAAAATCACATAAAAGCATAGAATTTAAAGAACCTGCCCCTGAATGACTTTTTGGGTAAACAATGAAATTAAGGCAGAAATCAAGAAATTCTTTGAAACCAAAGATTACAAAGATACAACATACCAGAATCTCTGGGACACAGCTAAAGCAGTGTGACGAGGGAAGTTTATAGCACTGAATGCTCACATCAAAAAGTTAAAAAGATCTCAAATTAACAACCTAACATCACACCCAGAGGAACTAGAGAAATGAGCAAACCAACCCCAAAGCTAGCAGAAGACAAGAAATAACCACAATCAGTGCTGAGCTGAAGGAAATCGAGATATAGAAAACCACACAGAAGATCAATGAATCTAATAATTGATTCTTTGAGAGAATAAATAACATTGATAAATCACTAGCTAGACCAATAAAGAAAAAGATGACAAAAGGGGCATTACCACTAATCCTGCAGAAATATTAAAAGACACTCAACAGAGGTGACTGTAAACACCTCTATGCACACAAAGTAGAAAACCTAGAAGAAAAGGATAAAATCCTGGGAACATACAACCTCCCAGGAATGGACTAGGAAGAAATAACTTGGTCCAGGACAGGAATAGACCAATAATGAGTTCCAAAATTGAATCATTAATAAAAATCCTACCAACCACAAAGAGCCCAGGACCAGATGAATTCACAGTCAAATTCTATCAGATATATAAAAAATAACTTGTACCATTCCTACTGAAACTGTTTCAAAAAATTGAGGAAAGACTCCTCCCTAACTCATTTTATGAGGCCAGGATCATCCTGATACCAAAACCTAGCAAAGATACAACAAAAAAAGAAAACTTCAGACCAATATTCTTGGTGAATATGATGCAGAAATCCTTAACAAAATACTAGCAAAACAAATTCAGCAGCACATCGAAAAGCTATTCCCCCATGATCAAGTAGGCTTCATCCCTGGGATGCAAGGTTGGTTCAAAATGTGCAAATCAATAAACGTGATTTACCACATACACAAAATTAAAACCAAAAAACAAATAATTATCTCAATAGATGAAGAAAATGCCTTCAATAAAATTCAATATTCTTTCATGTTAAAACCCTCGATTATGCATTGAAGGAACAGACTTCAAAATAATAAGACTCATCTATGACAAACCCATAGCCAACCTGCAGAATGGGCAAAAGCTAGAAGCATTCTCCTTGAAAAGCAGAACAAGATAAAAATGCTCTCTCCCATGACTCCTATTTGACATAGTACTGGAAATCCTAGCCAGAGGAATCAGGCAAGAGAAAAAAAAGACATCCAAACAGGAAGAGAGGAAGTCAAACTATCTCTGTTTGAAGACAATATGATTCTATACCCAGAAAACCCCACAGTCTCTGCCCAAAAGCTCCTTGTTCTGATAAACAACTTCAGCAAAGTTTCAAGATACAAAATCAATGTAGTAAAATCAGCAACATTTCTATATACCAATAACATCCAAGCTAGAGCCAAATCCAGATTGCAATCCCATTTATAATTACCGCAGGCTGGGTGCGGTGGCTCACACCTGTAATCCCAGCACTTTGGGAGTCTGGGGTGGGCGGATCATGAAGTCAAGAGATTGAGACCATCCTGGCCAACATGGTGAAACCCCATCTCCATGAAAAATACAAAAAATTAGCAGGGCTTGGTGACAGGCACCTGTAATCCCAGCTACTTGGGAGGCTGAGGCAGAAGAATCGCTTGAACCTGGGAGACAGAGGTTGCGCCATTGCACTCCAGCCTGGGCAAAAGGAGTGAAACTCTGTCTCAAAAAAAAAAAAAAAAAAAATGACCACAATAAGAATAAAATTTCTAGGAATACAGCTACCAGGAAAGTGAAAGACCTCTGCAAAGAGCATTACAAAACACTGCTAAAAGAAATCAGAGACGACACAAACAAATGGAAAAACAGTCATTGCTCATGGAAGGAAAAAATCAATATTGTTAAAATGGCCATACTGCCCAAAGCAATTTGTAGATTCAATGCTATTTCCTCAAACCAATGACATTCTTAACAGAATTAGAAAAAATATTGTAAAATTAATATGGAACCAAAAAAAGAGCTCGAATAGCCAAGGCAATCTTAAGCAAAGAGAACAAAGCTGAAAGTGTCATATTGACTGACTTCAAAACTATACTACAAAACTACAGTAACTAATCAGTGTGGTACTGATACAAAAACAGACACATAGAACAATGGAACTGAATAGAGAGCCCAGAAAAACTGCTACAAACCTACAACCATCTGATGGTCAATGAAGTTGGCAAAAACAAGCAATGGGGAAAGTACTCCACCTTCAATAAATGGTACTAAGATAACTGAGTAGCCATATGCAAAAGATTGAGCCTGGACCCCTACATTATACCACCTACAAAAATCAACTCAAGAAGGATTAAAGACTTAAGTGTAAAACATAAAACTATAAAAACCCTGGAAGATAACAAAGAAAATACCATTTTGGACATAGGATCAGGTAAGGATTTCATGACAAATATACCAAAAGCAGTTGCAACAAAAATAAAAATCAACAAATGGGACCTAATCAAACTAAAGAGCTTCTGCACAGCAAAAGAAACCATCAGCAGAGTAAACAGACAACCTAACAGAATGGGAGAAAATATTTCCAAACTGTTGGATCTGACAAAGGTCTAATATTCAGCATCTATAAAGAACTTAAACAAATTTACAAGCAAAAAAACAACATCATGTTAAAAAGTGGGCAATAGACACAGACACTTCCCTTTTTTTTATTATTATACTTCAAGTTCTAGGGTACATGTTCACAATGTGCAGGTTTGTTACATATGAATACATGTGCCATGTTGGTGTGCTGCACCCATTAACTCGTCATTTACAATAGGTATTTCTCTTAACGCCATCCCTCCCCATTCCCCGCATCCCATGACAGGCCCTGGTGTGTGATGTTCCCCGCCCTGTGTCCAAGTGTTCTCATTGTTCAGTTCCCACCTATGAGTGAGAACATGCAGTGTTTGGTTTTCTGTCCTTGCAATAGTTTGCTCAGAATGATAGTTTCCAGCTTCATCCATGTCCCTACAAAGGACATGAACTCATCCTTTTTATAGCTGCATAGTATTCCATGGAGTATATGTGCTACATTTTCTTAATCCAGTCTATCATTGATGGACATTTGGGTTGATTCCAAGTCTTTGCTATTGTGAATAGTGCCGCAGTGAACATACGTGTGCATGTGTCTTTATAGTAACATGATTTATAATCTTTTGGGTATATACCCAGTAATGGGATGGCTAGGTCAAATGGTATTTCTAGTTCTAGATCCTTGAGGAATCGCCACACTGACTTCCACAATGGTTGAACTCGTTTACACTCCTACCAACAGTGTAAAAATGTTCCTATTTCTCCACATCCTCTCCAGCACCTGTTGTTTCCTGACTTTTTAATGATTGCCATTCTAACTGGTGTGAGATGGTATCTCTCATTGTGGTTTTGAGTTGCATTTCTCTAATGACCAGAGATGATGAGCATTTTTTCATTGTCTGTTGGCTGCATAAATGTCTTCTTTTGAGAAGTGTCTGTTCATATCCTTCGCTCACTTTTTGATGGGGTTGTTTGATTTTTTCTTATAAATTTGTTTAAGTTCTTTGTAGATTCTGGATATTAGCCCTTTGTCAGATGGGTAGATTGTAAAAATTTTCTCCCATTCTGTAGGTTGCCTGTTCACTCTGATGGTAGTTTCTTTTGCTGTGCAGAAGCTCTTTAGTTTAATTAAATCTCATTTGTCTATTTTGGCTTTTGTTCACATTGCTTTTGCTGTTTTAGTTATGAAGTCCTTGCCCATGCCTATGTCCTGAGTGGTATTGCCTAGGTTTTCTTCTAGGGTTTTTATGGTTTTAGGTCTAACATTGAAGTCTTTAATCCATCTTGAATTAATTTTTGTGTAAGGTGTAAGGAAGGGATCCAGTTTCAGCTTTCTACATATGGGTAGCCAGTTTTCCCAGCACCATTTATTAAATAGGGAATCGTTTCCCCATTTCTTGTTTTTGTTAGGTTTGTCAAAGATCAGATGGTTGTAGATGTGTGGTATTATTTCTGAGGGCTCTGTTCTGTTCCATTGGTCTATATCTCTGTTTTGGTACCAGTACCATGCTGTTTTGGTTACTGTAGCCTTGAAGTATAGTTTGAAGTCAGGTAGCATGATGCCTCCAGCCTTGTTCTTTTTGCTTAGGATTGTCTTGTTAATGCGGGCTCTTTTTTGGTTCCATATGAACTTTAAAGTAGTTTTTTCCAATTCTGTAAAGAAAGTCGTTGGTAGCTTGATGGGGATGGCAGTGAATCTATAAATTACCTTGGGCAGTATGGCCATTTTCACGATATTGATTCTTCCTATCCATGAGCATGGAATGTTCTTCCATTTGTTTGTGTCCTCTTTCATTTCATTGAGCAGTGATTTGCAGTTCTCCTTGAAGAGGTCCTTCACATCCCTTGTAAGTTGGATTCCTAGGTATTTTATTCTCTTTGAAGCAATTGTGAATGGTAGTTCACTCATGATTTGCCTCTCTGTTTGTCTGTTGTTGGTGTATAGGAATGCTCGTGATTTTTGCACATTGATTTTGTATCCTGAGACTTTGCTGAAGTTGCTTATCAGCTTAAGGAGATTTTGGGCTCAGACAATGGGATTTTCTAAATTTACAATCATGTCATCTGCAAACAGGGACAATTTGACTTCCACTTTTCCTAATTGAATACCCTTTATTTCTTTCACCTGCCTGATTGCCCTGGCCAGAACTTCCAACAGTATGTTGAATAGGAGTGGTGAGAGAGGGCACTCCTGTCTTGTGCCAGTTTTCAAAGGGAATGCTTCCAGTTTTTGCCCACTCAGTGTGATATTGGCTGTGGGTTTGTCATAAATAGCTCTTATTATTTTCAGATACATTCCATCAATACCTAGTTTATTGAGAGTTTTTAGCATGAAGGGCTGTTGAATTTTGTCAAAGGCCTTTTCTGCATCTACTGAGATAATCATGTGGTTTTTGTCTTTGGTTCTGTTTATATGATGGATTATGTTTATTGATTTGCATATGTTGAACTAGCCTTGCATCCCAGGGATGAAGCTAACTTGATCATGGTGGATAAGCTTTTGGATGTGCTGCTGGATTTGGTTTGCCAGTATTTTATGGAGGATTTTTACATCGATGTTCATCAGGGATATTGGTCCCAAATTCTCTTTTTCTGTTGTGTCTCTGCCAGGCTTTGGTATCAGGATGATGCTGACCTCATAAAATGAGTTAGGGAGGATTCCGTCTTTTTCTATTGATGGAATAGTTTCAGAAGGAATGGTACCAGCTCTTCTTTGTACCTCTGGTAGAATTCAACTGTGAATCTGTCTGGTCCTGGACTTTTTTTGGTTGGTAGTCTATTAATTGTTGCTTCAATTTCAGAGCCTGTTATTCGTCTATTCAGGGATTCAACTTCTTCCTGGTTTAGTCTTGGGAGGGTGTATTTGTCGAGGAATGTATCCATTTCTTCTAGATTTTCTAGTTTATTTGCGTAGAGGTGTTTATAGTATTCTTTTATGGTAGTTTGTATTTCTGTGGGATCAGTGGTGATATTCCTTTTATCATTTTTTATTGCGTCTATTTGATTCTTCTCTCTTTTCTTCATTAGTCTTGCTAGCGATCTATCAATTTTGTTGATCTTTTCAAAAAACCAGGCCAGGAAGCTCGAACTGGGTGGAGCCCACGCAGCTCGATGAGGCCTGTCTACCTCTGTACACTCCACCTCTGGGGGCAGGACATAGCTGAACAAAAGGCAGCAGAAACTTCTACAGACTTAAAAGTCCCTGTCTGACAGCTGTGAAGGGAGTAGTGGTTCTCCCAGCACGAAGTTTGACATCTGAGAATGGACAGACTGTCTCCTCAAGTGGGTCCCTGACCCCTGAGTAGCCTAACTGGGAGACACCTCCCAGTAGGGGATGACTGACACCTCATACAGCTGGGTGTCGCTCTGAGATGAAGCTTCCAGAGGAAGGATCAGGCAGCAACATTTGCTGTTCTGCAATATTTGCTGTTCTGAAGCCTCTGCTGGTGATACCCAGGCAAACAGGGTCTGGAGTGGTCCTCCAGCAAACTCCACCAGACCTGAAGCTGAAGGTCCTGACTGTTAGAAGGAAAACTGACAAACAGAAAGGAATAGCATCAATATCAACAAAAAGGACATCCACACCAAAGCCCCACCTGTAGGTCACCATCATCAAAAACCAAAGGTAGATAAAACCACAAAGATGGGGAGAAACCAGAGCAGAAAAGCTGAAAATTCTAAAAATCAGAGCGCCTCTTCTCCTCCAAAGGAACGCAGCTCCTCGCCAGCAATGGAACAAAGCTGGATGGAGAATGACTTTGATGAGTTGACAGAAGTAGGCTTCAGAAGATCGGTAATAACAAACTTCTCCAAGCTAAAGGAGGGTGTTTGAACCCATCGCAAAGAAGCTAAAAACCTTGAAAAACGATTAGACGAATAGCTAACTAGAATAAACAGCATAGAGAAGACCTTAAATGACCTGATGGAGCTGAAAACCATGGCACGAGAACTATGTGATACATGCACAAGCTTCAGTAGCCGATTCGATCAAATGGAAGAAAGGGTATCAGTGATGGAAGATCAAATGAATGAAATGAAGCGAGAAGAGAAGTTTAGAGAAAAAAGAGTAAAAAGAAATGAAGAAAGCCTCCAAGAAATATGGGACTATGTGAAAAGACCAAATCTACGTCTGATTGGTGTACCTGAAAGTGATGGGGAGAATGGAACAAGTTGGAAAACACTCTTCAGGATATTATCCAGGAGAACTTCCCCAACCTAGCAAGGCAGGCCAACATTCAAATTCAAGAAATACAGAGAATGCCACAAAGATACTCCTCGAGAAGAGCAACCCCAAGGCACCTAATTGTCAGATTCACCAAAGTTGAAATGAAGGAAAAAATGTTAAGGGCAGCCAGAGAGAAAGGTCGGGTTACCCACAAAGGGAAGCCCATCAAACTAACAGTGGATCTCTTGGCAGAAACTCTACAAGCCAGAATAGAGTGGGGACCAATATTCAACATTCTTAAAGAAAAGGATTTTCAACCCAGAATTTCATATCCAGCAAAACTAAGCTTCATAAGTGAAGGAGAAGTAAAATCCTTTACAGACAAGCAAATGCTGAAAGATTTTTTCACCACCAGGCCTGCCTTACAAGAGCTCCTGAAGGAAGCACTAAACATGGGAAGGAACAACCGGTACCAGCCAATGCAAGAACATGCCAAATTGTAAAGACCATCGATGCTAGGAAGAAACTGCATAAACTAATGAGCAAAATAACCAGCTAACATCATAATGACAGATCAAATTCACACATAACAATATTCACCTTAAATGCAAACGAGCTAAATGCTCCAATTAAAAGACACAGACTGGCAAATTGGATAAAGAGTCAAGACCCATCAGTGTGCCATATTCCAGAGACCCATCTCATGTGCAGAGACACACATAGGCTCAAAATAAAGGGATGGAGGAAGATCTACCAAGCAAATGGAAAACAAAAAAAAAGCAGGGTTTGCAATCCTAGTCTCTGATAAAACAGACTTTAAACCAACAAAGATGAAAAGAGACAAAGAAGACCATTACTTAACGGTAAAGGGATCAATCCAACAAGAAGAGCTAACTATCCTAAATATATATACACCCAATACAGGAGCACCCAGATTCATAAAGCAAGCCCTTAGAGACCTACAAAGAGACTTAGACTCCCACACAATAATAATGGGAGACTTCAACACCCCACTCTCAACATTAGACAGATCAACAAGACAGAAAGTTAAGAAGGATATCCAGGAATTGAACTCACCTCTGCACCAAGCAGACCTAATAGACATATACGGAAGTCTCCACCCCAAATCAACAGAATATACACTCTTCTCAGCACCACACTGCACTTATTCCAAAATTGACCACATAGTTAGAAGTAAAGCACTCCTCAGCAAATGTAAAAGAACAGAAATCACAACAAACTGTCTCTCATACCACAGTGCAATCAAACTAGTACTCAGGATTAAGAAACTCACTCAAAACTGCTCAACTACATGGAAACTGAACAACCTGCTTCTGAGTGACTACTGGGTAAATAACGAAATAAAGGCAGAAATAAAGATGTTCTTTGAAACCAATGAGAACAAAGACACAACATACCTGAATCTCTGGGACACATTTAAAGCAGTGTGTAGAGGGAAATTTATGGCACTAAATGCCCACAAGAGAAAGCAGGAGAGATCTAAAATGGACAGACACTTTTCAAAAGAAGACATACACGCAGCCAACAAACATGTGAAAGAATGCTTAACATTACTTATGATGGGAGAAATGAAAATTAAAACTACAATGAGATACTATCTTGCATCAGTCAGAATGGCTATTATTAAGAAGTCAAAAAATAACAGATGCTGGCAAAGTCGTGTACAAAAGGGAACAATTATACACTGCTGGTGGAAATGTAAACTAGTTCAACTATTTCAGAAAGCAGTTTGGCAATTTCTCAAAGAACTTAGAATTACCATTTGACCCAGCAATCCCACTATTGGGTATATACCCAAAGAAATATCATTCACTCTACCATTAAAACACATGCATACATATATTTATCACAGCACTATTCATGGTAGCAAAGACGTGGAATTAACCTAAATGTCCATCAGTGGTGGACTGATGAAGATAAAATGGTGCATATATACCATGGCATACTATGCAACCACAAAAAAGAATGAGATTATGTCATTTTCAGCGACATGGATGGAGCTGGAGATCATTATCCTAAGTGAACTAACACAGGAACCAAAAACCAAATACCACATGTTCTCACTTGTTAAGTGGGAGTTAGACATTGAGTACATATGGATACAAAAAAGGGAACAAGAGACACCAGGGCCTACTTGAGTGTAGAGGGTGGGAGGTGGGTGAGAATTGAAAAACTACCTTTTGGGTACTATGCTTATTACCTGGGTGATGAAATAATCCATACCCCCACAACGCGCAATTTACCTACAAAACAAACATGCATATGTACCCCTGAACTTAAAACAATAAAAAAATACAACCAAAGAAAACGTAAATGTAAAAATTTGGTTGGGAGCAGCAAATGCAAAATTCTAATATAGTACTCTACTTGAAAATGTCATGGAGAACTTCAATAAAGAGACATAAAAGAATATAATCTTACAGTCTTTAAATTTCAAAGTTATGACCTTCAGACCATATATGATGTAAGACTGAGAGATGAGGTTATCAGAATACTTCTTTACAAAGGTGAAATAGCTAAAAATGAAGCTGAATGGAAAGTCTCAGGAAGTATATGATACTTAATGGAAGAGAGGTTTATTTCTCTCATTTTGTCTGGGGAATTTTTCTTCAAAATATGTTTGGATTTTATAAAATGTTTTAAATGAAAAAAATAAATAAAATGTTTTAAATGAAAAAAAAATCTGAATAAATAAAGACCTGAATGGACATTTCACCAAAAAGATATATGGATAACAAGTATATGAAAAGATGCTCAATATCATATGTCATCAGGAAAATGGAAGTTAATAGAACAATGAGACACCACTACACGCCTATTAGAATGGCCAAAATCTAAAACACTATCAAATGCTAGCAAGGATGTGGAACGACTGAAATGCTCATTACTTCCTTGTGGAAATGATGGAAAACAGTTTGGCAGTTTCTTACAAAACTAAATATACTCTTATATAATCCAGAAATAGTACTCCTTGTTATTTACTCAAATGAGTTGAAAACTTATGCCTACACAAAAATATGTACATGGATATTTATATTGGCTTTATTCATAATTTTCAAAACTTGGAAAATAACCAAGATGTTCTTCGGTAGGTAAATGGATAAATAAACCATGATACATCCAGACAATGGAATATTATTCAACTCTAAAATGGAATGAGCCATCAAGTCATTAAAACACATGAAAGGCCTTTAAATACACATTATTACTAAGTGAAAAAGGTCAATTTCAAAAGACTAGATATTGTATGATTCCACTTATATGAGATTTGGGAAATGCCAAAACTATGAAGACTGTCAAAGGATTTTTGGTCACCAGAAGTTGAGAGGAGGGAGGGATGAATGGGTGGAGGATTTTTTTTAGCAGCAGTAAAACTACTATGTGTGATGCTATAATGGTGGAAACATGTCATTACAAATTTGCCAAAACTCATAGAACGTACACTATCACAGGTGAACACAAATGTAAGCTATGAAACTTGGGTGATTATGATTGTCACTGTAGGTTCATCAATTGTAACAAATGTACTACTTTCATATAAGGATTTTGATAGTCTCAGAGGCTATGCGTATTTTAGGATGGGGTATACAAGAAATCTCTATTTCTTCTTCCAGTTTTTCTATGAACCTAAAACTGCTCTGA
Organism: Homo sapiens; assembly: GCF_000001405.40. Lineage (NCBI taxonomy): Eukaryota > Metazoa > Chordata > Mammalia > Primates > Hominidae > Homo > Homo sapiens. The sequence continues at coordinate 168,339,305 of NC_000004.12, read as the reverse complement.
AAATAAAGTATATTAAAAAAATCACAATGATAGCAGTTTTAGAAAAATAGAGACCCAGAGACTCTAGAAATTTTTACCATCTCTTATCCTTTACCATATGCTTAATGTAAGAGTGGTTTATTTCTGTCATTGGAATAATAAATAATCTTAATATATTACCAAATTAGCTTTCACTCTTTACTTGTTTTATACCCTTTATCACATTTCCAAGTCTTTGGCTGGAAGATAAAGTCTTTTTTTTTTTTTTTCAGATGAATGAGCAAATCTTTGACCCCTTCTTTTTGAAAGAATAATAGAGGAGATGGGATGCAACCTGGTATCCGTTTCAAAAGAGGATCTGTTTCTAACTTCTTTATTCAGACCTCTTCTTGGGTAGGAATCATTGACGGTAATTGTGTCCAATCATAATTACATTTGAGGTAGGTCTAATAGCAGCACTTCTCTGTTCTGTTTTGTGTTTTTGTTTTTGAGCAGGAACTTTAAAGAGCAAGCTGGCACCATGGTTTCATAGGGAACCCTGGCAGCATTTCATGCTCTATTTATTAAAATAATGTAAAATTTCTCTTTCAATGAGTTCCTTTTCTGGAATTTTTTTGACATGAAAATACCGAGAGAGAATATTTCTTTAGCAAATAAAGCAGTAAGATGTAAAGCTCTCTGCTGTGGATCAGAGAAGTTGAGTTGGCACAAAGAAGAAAAATACGTCATGAAGAGACAGTATTGACAACAGTTGAGTTTCTAGTTCATTGAACACCTGCTATGCATCAGGTGCTGATCTAGATATGGACATAAATAAGGAAAAGAAAAAAGTCATTGCTTTTAAGGAGTTTGCCTTCTAATGAAGTAGGAAGATAATAAAGAAACATATAACATATGATATAGTTTTATGTAGTAATAGAGTCTGTGACTAAATAGGGAGTGATGTAGAATGTGGGAGAAGAAACAAGCTATGCAATTGTTTGGGAGAAAGAAATTTCCAGGCAGAAGTGACAGTAGGTCAGTGCTCCTGAGAAAAGAATGAACTGTGGTCAAGCTGTAGAGAGAAGGCCAGCATAGCTAGGCGGCACAAAAGAGCACAGTGCAAGATGAGTGTGGAGGGGTTTGAAAGGTGATGGAATGTTGGATCTTGTAGGCTGTGAAACCTAAATATTAAAGAAAGCCATTGGAACAGTTTGGCCAGGATATGAATATGATCTGACTTGCATTTATAAAAGATGTTTCCAGTGACACGAGCATAGAGAGAAGGAGATGGGAGGAGAAGCATGTTACTATGATAGTCATGGAACTTGGAATTGGTTGGATACAATTAGAAGGGATCAGTATTTGACCATCAGTATTTAGGTTAACTCTGAGTGAAGTTCCAGATAACTGGAAAATTCAAGAAAGAACTTGTTGATGAACTGTATAATAGTTAGGAGGTTAAGAGAGGAAACGAGGGTGACCTGGAGACTTTTGCCTTGTGATAGGGCGAGTGCTATTTAGAGAGATAGAGAAGAGGAGGTATGAGGATGTGGAGGATTCAAGAGTTCTGTTTTGCAACAAACTAGTCTGAGCAGCATATGAGACATTCCAGGAATAGCTTGAACTCAGGCAGTGACCAGGGCTTGAGATAAATAGATGGGAGTAGTTAGCACAGAAATAATACATAAAACCATAGGAGTTGGTGAAATCGCCATGAGTGAGTATAAATAGAAGAGAGATGAAATTTTGTTCAGTCCAACATTTTAAAGTCAGAAATCAATTGAGGAGCTGGAAAAAAAGATTGAGAAGTAGCCAGTGAGGTAGGAAAAAAACAAGGAGAAGGTGGTGTTCTTTAAGTCAAGAGTAGACTGTGTTTTAAGAAGAGGGAATAATCAACTAGGTCGACGTTGAGTAGGATGAGAAGGGATGTAGCAATGTGGAGGTTGTTGGTTACTGTGAGACAGCAGTTTCACAAGGGAGTGATCAGGATAAAAATGTTGATGGAGTAGTTTGAGGAAAGACTGGGAGGTGAAGCAGTGAAGAAGGCAAGAACAGACAAGTTTTTAGTTTTCATATAAAAGGGAGCAGAGATATGGAGTGATAGTTGGAGTCATTGATGAGATTAAGTGAAGATTTTTTTTTAATCTGGGAGAATGACATCTTTTTTGCTGTGAAACTGGATTTGAGTTGGTTTTGGTGCCAGGCAAGTATGTCTTCTAATTTGTTTCCTAGGACTGTAAATAATACATTTGCTTGTTAGCCCAATAAATCTCTCAGCCCCTGTCCATAATTGCAATAATTTAATGAGTCATCCATGATTTTATCATTTTGCATAATTCAGTTGAAGAGTAGAGACTTTCCTCTAATTCGTTGGACTATTTCTCAAGATCTTAATCATATCTATGTAAGATTTGATTATGGAAAGGGATATTAATCATGTAATAAGGATTTAATTTCTGTACAAAAGTGATTTACTTGATTTTTAATGGTTTTAAACCATTAAAAATAACCTTTTAGAAATAATTTATATGTGTTCTTCATTTATATGTAGTCTTCATACTAATAGGCAATCAGCAATTATAGCAAATGTCAAAAACTATATGAACCTAAAATTAATCTCTATCAGCCTCCTATACTGGATGCAAGAAAATTTCACATGTAACTTAAAGCAATGTGATGTTATAATGCAATGTTTTAATTTAACCAGCATCCAGAGACTATATAGTGGTTTTCTTAGGCAAGTTTTAAGTTTTTGAAAAAGAAATATATACATTTCATGTATTAATATAATTTTTAAAAACTTCTATTTAATGTATCAATTACTTTATTATATCTAGTGAATTATTTTTAAAAATCATTTGAAAGTATAATCCACAACTTCAAATGTTACTAAAATATGCAATGTATTGGTTTTTAGCCATCGGTATTTAGCTTAAGTATGGGTGAAGTTTCCTATAACTGCATTATCATTTTCTGTGAAACATGCACAATCTTGAGAAAAGTTCTCCGTGAGTATATTTAATCCTTTTGTGATTGAAAGCACCAATGTAGCATGCTTGTGATTATAGTAGAAATGTAGTTCTCCGAGAGCATAGGTGGATATAAAGCCTGCAGGTAATCTTATGTATTGCGTATTTTGGAAAGACTATACTATTCCTATCACCTTTCCTCTCCAGATAAAAATAAAATCAAGGCATCTTCTAAATAGCATCATAACTTCAGAAAAAAAATTGTTATTATTTTAGCTGTTTTTTTTTAAAGTTCCTGAAATGTTGTACTATTTGTTAACATTTCGAAATACACCTTAAAGACGTTTTCAACACTTGGTCAGTTTGAGGCCTCCAGAAAAGTGGTGAATTTCAGATGAGTATTTCTTCTTTACTGGGAGAATGGAGGTTGGTCTTGTCTATTTATTAAAGAATGCCTGGTCCATGGCCACTTTGAGGCAACTGTGGCCTCAGACTCTCATCTGTCTTCTTACTCCACTCAGCTATATTTGGTAACTAAGCTCATGTTTCAGCAGACTGCCATGATCAGGAATTCCAGCAGCAGGCTGGGAAGCACCCCCAGGACTGAGGGCTGAGTGCTTAGAAATAAAGCCACTTAACATAGAAGGAACTATATTTACAGATCTGATAAACATAGGATTTAAACATGTTCCTGTGTACTGTGGACTTGTAGCTGAAAATCACCACCTGCCATTTCAGCATATTTTTAATCAATTAAAGGTATAGTATGTGATTCCAAGTAGAAGAAGTGACACTCCAATGAAAGCTCTTCTTCCTATGATCTTCTATGTGCATTTAAATTTTACTCAAGTGGTAGATTATCTTAACGTAGTAACCCAGTAACTATTATAAAATAGCTACCTGTTTTACTCACATTGTTAGGTAAAAGTGGTCATCAATGTTGATGAATATTACAGACATAGCTCATAACAAGAAAATCAAATTGATTGTCAGGAATCATATAGGGACTGGGTTTAAGCCAAGTTTTCCCAACCTGTGGCCCAGGATGGCTTTGAATGTGGCCCAACACAAATTTGTAAACTTTCTTAAAACATTATGAGATTTTTTTTGTGATTTTTTTTTTTAGCTCATCAGCTCTCATTAGTATTAGTATATTTTATGTGTGGCCCAAGACAATTCTTCCTCTTCTAGTGTGGCCCAGGGAAGCCAAAAGATTGGACACCTCTGGTTGAAGTCATACATTGATTTCTCAGATCAGTTCCTAATACATCAAGCGTCCAAGAAATGTTTGTTGGAAGAATAACTAAATGGATGAATGGACGAACCTAACTTACATATTTTTATACTGTATACCTTTAATTTGGGGCAATCTAAGATTGTATCTAGGCTTAAAATGAAAAGCCCAAGCAATTATCTCTACATATTGATTTAATTCAGTTGATAATGACTCAACGTTCCATTTTTTCATCTATTAACAACATTATAAATGAGATTGTGAATACTTATAAATAATATAAATATAAGACTAATGTCAAAGATTTCTTCATATTGTTAATGGGTACTAGATCATACAACAGCAGAAGATGCTAGAATTAAATATAGCCTGTAGGGTAGGACACTTGTTCATAACAAGGATAAGTCTTTTCTTTAGTTGTCAAAATGACCCCACAAGACCCATATTACCTATTCTGTAGAGTCTGTGTTTAATGTAGTCTAATGTTTTAATCCTCCAAATAGCAAATATAGGTAAATAGAACAAAAATCATGGCTGTCCCAGTGTCTGGTAGCAGAACCATATCTAAAGGGTGAAACTATAATGAAAAATTCTTTGTTATGTTAACTTGGAATTGAAGTACTGAGTCTTTTATTTATATGATACTTTATCATCACACTTGATCCAGCTTCTTATTTAAACAAGTTTCTAAGTGAGCTTGGCTGATTTAACATATGATTTTTCTTTTGAAAACATCACAAATATCATAATACAAACCTAACAGGACAAAGATTGGAGTAAGAGATAGTAAAATATGCTGGAAATCAACAAGGTTGTTGGAAATGGTAAACAGATGAAGTAGTGATGTAACTAAATTGAAGAGCAGAGCAAATCAAAACTGAAACCCCTTCAGAAAGAGATGCTGATGACATGCAAACGATTTGTCTTAGAGCCCAGGGAGGCTCAGGAATTGGAGGCACCAGTCACTTCCTTACAAATACTGTTAATTGGCAAACTATGGATATATGTAGTGAGTTAGGGGCTTCAAACCAGGATGAAAGAATCCCTAAGGTGCAGTTAGACCCTACTTTCCCATCCCCACTTTTCTCCAGAAAAACTAATCCGGAAGCCTTCAGACCTAAGAACGCACATCCTAGAAGACAGCAGATGAATCACTGGAAGAGGTCTGGGGAATTGGATTGAGGAAGGGAAAATAAGAGCTTCAACTGTGCTTGTAATTTTATTTCTTCACACAAGATATGGTACAATATGTAAAAATATTAACATTGGAAAAATCTTGGTGGTGGTGTGAGCATTAGGGAGTGGAATAACAGGATTAATTAGATAAATGGTGAATAATATCATATATACAATATATTATTAATTTTTAAATAAAATAGATGCTTTTTCTCTTAACAATTAAATTATATAAATCTACCATCAAGTTAATGTTTTCAAATGTTTTATTTAATTTTAAAAATTTATTTTTAATTTTTGTGGGTACATAGTAGGTATATACTTATGGGCTACATGAGATAGTTTGGTACAGGCATGCAATATGTAATAATCACATCACAGAAAATTGGATATCACCCCCTCAAGCATTTATCTTTTGTCTTACAGACAATCCAATTATACTCTTTTAGTTATTTTAAAATGTACAATTAAATTATTATTGACTATAGTCACCCTGTTGTGCTAGCAAATACTAGGTCTTATTCATTCTTTCTAATTTTTTTGTACCCATTAACCCTCCCCACCTCCCTCCGATGTTTTATTATTGAATGAATAGTACAGATCTCAGAGTCTCACCAGGTTTTTTTTTCTCCAGAGTGAACTGCACCCAGGCAGTAACTTTGATAAATCTTAGGTAAACTTTACAACCCCATCTCAATGCAGTGCTGAAGAAATGCTCACTATTTAATATTTCCTTTAATAAAACCTTACTCATTTCTTTTTGCTGTTGTTGACTCTTTTTTTTTTTTTTTTTTTTTTTTTGAGACGGAGTTTTCGCTCTTGTTGCCCAGGCTAGAGTGCAATGGTGCAATCTCCGCTCACCGCAACCTCTGCCTCCCGGGTTCAAGCGATTCTCCTGCCTTAGCCTCCCAAGTAGCTGGGATTACAGGCATGCGCCACTACGCCTGGCTTATTTTGTATTTTTAGTAGAGATGGGGTTTCTCCATGTTGGTCAGGCTGGTCTCAAACTCCCGATCTCAGGTGATCCACCTCCCTCGGCCTCCCAAAGTGCTGGGATTACAGGCATGAGCCACTGTGCCTGGCCGACATTTTAAAATGAATAAAAAATGTTTCCCTTCCTCTTAAGGTGTGTTAAAAAAATACAAGTTTTCCCTTCTACCTCTCAGGAAGTCTAGCTAAGTCTTATTATAAGTAGACTTCCTCTATCTCAGAGAGAAATTCACTTTGTATTTCTGAATTATAAGAATAAAAAAATTGCAAGTATAGGTGTAAAAACCCTCAAAATGATACAGTTTTATACGTATGATGGAAATAATTCTAGAAGCATCAGATGGGGCTTGTGCTTCTAGAGGAAGATGCTGGTCTTAGCCTGAGAAGGAGTTGAGTTCTCAGAGCCTGGAAAAGCAGGTGGGTGGTGGGTTCTGTGATTGGCCAGGACACTCATGCAGGACAGAACAGTGTCAAGGCATAGCAGGCCTGGACATAGACTCCTGAGCACTCAGCATTAAGCATCATGGCCTTGGAAGCTGCAGTGAAAGTAGTGGGTGCCTCTTCTTTGTAATGGACCATGGGGATTAGAACAATGAGTCTCATGGTGAACCGCAGTGGACTACCGACCAGAGGAGGCCTCCCTGAAATTTGCCTGGGTTCCCTGGCCCGTAAATCCGGGTATAAGGCCAGTGAAGGAAGAAATTCATAAGAACAAAAAAAAAAAAAAAAGGAAAAAAAAGCTTATTCTCCTGAAAGGTCTGAAAACTGGATATGATTTCATCAAAAAACATAATGCAACATGACATTTCTTTCATTCTGTACAGAGTGGAGAAGAAAATACCTGTTAAAAAATATTGCAATACAGGAATATGAAATACAGAACTTCTCTTCCTTAGAAAATTTACACCAGACTAAGACTCTTAAGTTATTATAACAAAGTTAGACTGATTCATTGAGGATGAGGTTAGTGCCTGGAAAGTAATACAGTGTTACAAATTAGTTTTTTTAGATGCTGTCAGGTTAGGCTGGTGGTGTGCGCCCATAGACCCAGCTCCTTGGGAGGCTGAGGTGGGAGGATCCTTTGAGTGCAGGAGTTTCGGTACAGCCTGGGCAACACAGTGAGACCCCCATCTGAAAGCCATTTTTTAAAAATGTTGTCTTGAGGAGCGGCCAAGATGGCCAAATAGGAACAGCTTTGGTCGGCGGCTTCCAGCGAGGACAATGCAGAAGGAGGATGACTTCTGCATTTCCAACTGAGGTACCCAGTTCATCTCAATGGGACTGGTTAGGCAGCGGATCCAACCCACAGAAGGCGAGCAGAAGCAGGGTGGGGCATCGCTTCATCCCGGAAGTGCAAGAAGCTGGGAGACCTCCCTCCCCCAGCCAAGGGAAGCCATGAGGGACTGTGCTACCCTACCCGGTTACTACACTTTCCCCATGGTTTTTGCAGTCTGCAGACCAGGAGATTCCCTCGGGTGCCTATACCACCAGGGCCCTGGGTTTCAAGCACAAAATGGGGTGGCTGTTTGGGCAGACACCGAGCTAGCTGCAGGAGTTTTATTTCATACCCCAGTGGCACCTGGAACCCCAGCAAGACAGAACTGTTCACTCCCCTGGAAAGGGGGCTGAGGCCAGGGAGTCAAGTGGTCTCACTCAGTGGATCCCATCTCCACGGAGGCCAGCAAGCTAAAATCCACTGGCTTGAAATTCTCGCTGCCAGCACAGCAGTCTGAAGTCGACCTGGGACGCTCGAGCCTATTAGGGGGAAGGGCATTTGCCGTTACTGTGGCTTGAGTGTGCAGTTTCCCCCTGGCAGTGCTAAGGAGGCTGGGAGGTCTGGGCTGGGCATGGCAAAGAGATTGTGGCCAGATTGCTTGTGTAGATTCCTTCTTACTAGGCAGGGCATCTCTGAAGGAAAGGTAACAGCCCCAGTCAGGGGCTTACAGACAAAACCCTCATCTCCCTGGGACAGAGCACTTGGGGGAAGGGGTGGCTGTGGGCACAGCTTCAGCGGATTTAATCTTTCCTGCCTGCTGGCTCTGAAGAGAGCAGCTGATTCTGACAAGAGGGATTCTCCCAGTACAGTTCACCAGCTCTGCTAAGTGACAGACTGCATCCTCAAGTGGGTCCCTGACCCCCATGCCTCCTGACTGGGAGAAATCCCCCGACAGGGGTTGACAGACACCTCAAACAGGAGAGCTTTTGCTGGCATCAGGCCAGTGCCCCTCTGAGATGAAGCTTCCAGAGGAAGGAGTAGGCAGCAATCTTTGGTGTTCTGCAGCCTCCACTGGTGATACCCGGGCAAACAGGATCTGGAGTGGACATCCAGCAAACTGCAGCAGATCTGCAGAAGAGGGGCCTGACTGTTAGAAGAAAAACTAACAAACAGCAACAACATCAACATCAATATAAAGAACCCCTAAACAAAAACCCCATCCAAATATCATCACCCTCAAAGATCAAAGGTAGACAAATCCACAGAGATGAGGAAAAACCAGAGCAAAAATGCTGAAAATTCCAAAAACCAGAATGCCTCTTCTCGTCCAAATGATCACAATTCCTCTCCAACAAGAGCAAAAAATGACAGACAGTGAGACTGAAGAATTGATAGAAGTAGGCTTCAAAAGGTGGGTAGTAACAAACTCCTCTGAACTAAAGGAGCATATTCTAACCCAAGACAAGAAAGCTAAGAACCTTGATAAAAGGTTACAGAAACTGCTAACTAGAATAAGCAGTTTAGAGAGGAACATAAATGACCTGATGGAGCTGAAAAACACAGCACAAGAACTTCATGAAACATACACAATTACAAAGTCAGCTTCATCCCCTGGGATGCAAGGCTGGTTCAACACATGCAAATCAATAAACGTAATCCCAAGAATGCCCTCTCTCATCACTCCTATTTAACATAGTATTGGAAGTTCTGGCCAGCGTAATCCGGCAAGAGAAAGAAATAAAGGGTTTTCACATAAGAAGAGAGAAGTCAAATTGTCTCTGTTTGCAGATGACATGATTGTATATTTAAAAAACCCCATCATCTCAGCCCCAAAACTCCTTAAGCTGATAAGCAAATTCAGCAGAGTCTCAGGATACAAAATCAATGTGCAAAAATCACAAGTATTCCTATACACCAACAATAGACAAGCAGAGAGCCAAATCATGAGTAAACTTCCATTCACAATTGCTACAAAGAGAATAAAATACCTAGGAATCCAACTTACAAGGGATGTGAAGGACCTCTTCAAGGAGAACTACAAACCACTGCTCAAGGAAATAAGAGAGGACACAAACAAATGGAAAAAAATTCTATGATCATGGATAGGAAGAATCAGTGTCATGAACATGGCCATACTGCCCAAAGTAATTTATAGATTCAATGGTATTCCCATCAAGCCACCACTGAGTTTTTTTGCAGAATTGGAAAAAACCTCTTTAAATTTCACATGTAACCAAAAAAGAGCCCATATAGCCAAGACAATCCTAAGCATAAAGAACAAAACTGGAGGCATCATGCAGCCTGACTTTAAACTATACTACAAGGCTACAGTAACCACAGCAGCATGGTACTGGTACCAAACAGATATATAGACAATTCTGTATAGCATTTCTGGCAAACGCTCAGAAATAGCACCACACATCTACAACAATCTGATCTTTGACAAATCTGACAAAAACAAGCAATAGGGAAAGGATTCTGTATTTAATAAATGGTGTTGGGAAAACTGGCTAGCCATATGCAGAAAACAGAAACTGGACCCCTTCCTTACACCTTATACAAAAATTAACTCAAGATGGATTAAAGACTTAAATGTAAAACCCAAAACCATAAAAACCCTAGAAGAAAACCTAGGCAAATACTATTCAGGACATAGGCATGGGCAAAGACTTCATGACTAAAACACAAAAAGCAATGGCAACAAAAGCCAAAATTGACAAATGGGATCTAATCAAACTAAAGAGCTTTTGCACAGCAAAAGAAACTGTCATCAGAGTAAACAGGTAACCTACAGAATGGGAGAAAAGTTTTGCAATCTACCCATCTGACAAAGGTCTAATATCCAGAATGTACAAGGAACTGAAACAAATTTACAAGAAAAAAACAACCCCATCAAAAAGTGGGCAAAGGATATGAACAGACACTGCTCAAAAGAAGGAATTTATGCAGCCAACAAACATATGAAAAAATGCTCATCATCACTGGTCATTAGAGAAATGCGAATCAAAACCACAATTTGATACCATCTCATATCAGTTAGAATGGCAATTATTAAAAGGTCAGGAAAAAACAGATGCTGGTGAGGCTGTGGAGAAATAGGAACACTTTTACACTGTTGGTAGGAGTGTAAATTAGTTCAACCATTGTGGAAGACAGTGTGGCAATTCCTCAAGGATTTAGAACCAGAAATACCATTTGACCCAGCAATCCCATTACTCGGTATATACCCAAAGGATTATAAATCATTCTACTATAAAGACACATGCACACATATATTTATTGCAGCACTATTTACAATAGCAAAGACTTGGAACCAACCCAAATGCCCATCATCAATGATAGACTGGATAAAGAAAATATGGCATGTATACACCATGGAATACTATGCAGCCATAAAAAGGATGAGTTCATGTCCTTTGCAGGGACATGGATGAAGCTGGAAGCCATCATTCTCAGCAAACTAACACAGGCACAGAAAACCAAACACCACATGTTCTCACTCATAAGTGGGAGTTGAACAATGAAGACCCATGGACACAAGGAGGGGAACATCACACACTGGGGCCTGTTGTGGGGTGGGGGGCAAGGAGTGGGAGAGCGTTAGGACAAATACCTAATGCATGTAGGGCTTAAAACCTAGATGATGGGTTGATGGGTACAGCAAACCACCATGGCACATGTATACCTATGTAATAAACCTACATGTTCTGCACATGTATCCCAGAACTTAAAGTAAAAAAAAAAAAAAAAAGCAAAAAAAATATGTTTTCTTGACCCAGTTTTGAGGTCCTGGCTGGAAGCTGGCCAGCTTCCTTTTATGAGAAGCCCATTAAGCCTATCCATCTCCCATATGGGGTTGTATGCACCCACCTAATCACCACAGGGCCAGATACCAGACAATCAGGGGCAGCCCCTCGGCCCCAGAACCCACTGAAATTACTCAAACTAGCCAATCCAAACTGCTTTTTCTTTTCCATGTTCCCTTTCACGAACCACAATATAGCCACTTATTGGCAGGTGCCTCTCTCATGCCTCTTGGCCAAACCCGTGCTTCCTCTGAGTGACCCTCCAGGTGGTGTTCCTTCAGAGAACTCTGAGTAACAAAATTGAAAAACTCTTTCCAGCCTCCCTCTCGCTCGCATCTGGCCTTACTGTGCCTCACCAAGGGTCATATGGTTAAAACGAGTGTCTCATGCATTTTCACATTTGTCTGCAGCCCACTTCCACATGTAGCTGAAGTTGGGAAGAGGGGTGAGCAATCTTTTGGCTGGGTCCTGATATGGCTGCCAAATGATCACTCCTTCTTCTTATAAAAAGTCCTGCTCTTTTGAAGCTCTTGACATTTGAGTTGACCTACTTTGTTTAATCAAGACTTTGGATCCAGTTGGACTTGTGCTTCTTTTTCAAGTCCTGTCATTACCCTGGGAGACATCATCACCTGTTTCTCTATTTATCCTACACCTTCACATATTGCTTAATGCTTGTTTTGTGACCTGTTCACATCTGTTGATCCTCACCTCTATTCATCTTCAGTCCTTCAGTTTCACAGCTGCACTTGGATGTGCTCTGCTTCCAAAATCCCAAATCAAAATGTATGTCAATTATCTATTGCTGGGTAAGAAATTACTACAAAACATAGTGACTTTAAACACTTGATCTTAGCCAAAGGCCGAGAAGTGATATAGTGGCTTAAAAAAATATGTACATATGAACTTAGTATATTTTTACCCAGAGCACTAAAGGTGACCCTAATTGATTTTAAATCCCTGAAACAAGGTGTCCTATATTCCAGGCCATCTATTGTCTGTAGATTTGCAAATCTTTGGATTCATTTCTAAGTGTACCAGTTTCTTCACACTTTAAATGTTCACACTTTTAAATGTTCATGCTTTAGGCTGGGCGAGGTGGCTCATGCCTGTAATCCCAGCAATTTGGGAGGCCGAGGCAGGCGGATCACCTGAGGTCAGGGGTTCCAGACCAGCCTGGCCAACAGGGAGAAACCCAGTCTCTACTAAAAATACAAAAATTAGCCGGGTGTGATGGCGGGTGTCTGTAATTCCAGCTACTCGGGAGGCTAAGGCAGGAGAATCGCTTGAACCTGGGAGGCGGAGATTGCAGTGAGCCGAGATCGTACCACTGCATTACAGCCTGGGTGATAGAGTGAGACTCCGTCTCAAAATGAAATAAAATTAAAATAAAATAAAATAAAATATTCACGCTTTAAAATGTTCATATCCTTTGACCTATTCTACTTTACTCTGAGGACATGTATAAAATCATATTCATCCTGTTATTTATAATAACTAATAATTGGAAACAACATAAATCTCTTAATTTGTGGGATGGCTAAGGAAATAAATGAAATTTTTAAATGGTCATAGGGACCATTTAAAGTGATATAGCACAGTAAAAACTCATTACTGAATGCTAATGGAAAGAAGAAGAAATTATTTATTTGCATTTACACTATTAAGGCATTATTTAAAAATGTAAGCATCTTTTCTATGGCTGAAGGCTTTAATGTTTTAAATTGTGTTGAAATAAAGGATAACATATTGACTAGTTGAAACAGTTTGATTTTCTACATTATTTTATTTATTTTTCTCCACTAAAGGGAAAAGGGTAATCTACCGAAATAATTGAACATTTAAAATGGCTTTAAGACTTATTTGACATAATTAAAAATGCACAGTGTTTTGTTTCTCTTAAAGTTTACATTATACATGCCTCATAGAGATATTTGTCAAAAGGGATATCCAACTTGCAAGCAAAGAGGTCACCGCTGGACAGCTATGGACTGCTGTGGGACAATTTCAGAAGCTGCTTACCCAAGAAGTCTAATGTGGAAAGACGTGGCTGTCACTCCCTGGGAAAACAAATAGGAAAGAATATGACAAAGGAGGAAATCAGCTGTTGAACCAAAGAAGGATTTAAGTATTTAAGAAATGCCAACCACTGAAGACAGTTGCTCTGCAACTTAAAATCCTGAGGTCTGTTGTGTATCTGTTGGCCAAGCAGTTTGTTCACGACTATTTGGGGAAAGAATTTCTATGGAACTGGCATATTCTTAGACCCCAATGTTTCCTCTCACTGACCAGTCAACTGGTGTTGAAAAAGCCTGTGGCAGATATATCACAGATGGAGTGTACTCATTTTAATTTTATACGTGCATCTGTGGTTTTGTTTGAATGTATTCTTAAATGAGGAAATGTTTCCTTTGTTTCTGTAAATAAATTGTTATTGACATAATCACTTTTTCATAGATACACATATGAATTTATTAATACCATAGGTTTATTTCTGATTTATAAATTTAATACTGAAGTTATGACTACACAATTCAAACCTAAACAAAATTAATAGAGAATGAACTCTCTTTGTAAAAAATAAAAATTGTTGGCATCCTAATTTTAAGAAAGCATGCAATTATCTGGGCTTTGTAGAAACCTATTGTAGCTGGAGAAATAAGTAGCATTGAATTTTCTTACAAAGCCACATGTCAGGTAAAGCTCTTGAAACAATCACATTGGAGTCAGAGAAAAATCAAAACTAAAACAATATGGTAACAGTGGGTAACAGCCCTATTTGCCGTGTTCTTAAACCTTGAAAGAATGAATGGCTCCTCACAAACTTAATGCTGTGGGCCCCTTTAAGGCTCTCATACATAATGCTCAAAAAAAAGTTACTGATTCTATCCAACCAGAAATTTGTTTTTTAAAAAAATCTGCTATAATAGATTTCACTAACATTTTCTGTTCGGTGTGTATTTCACCAGCCTCTTGACTGCAGTTTGGCTTCACTTCTGAAGGGACATAATACGCCTCTACCAGGCCATCCGTGGATATACCTCAGCAGCCTTCTGTTGCACACAGTCTTTGCAGACAAGATCTTAACTGCTTCTACCCTTCTCCAGAAGCACAGGTACGATACATTGATGATATCCTCCTCTGCAGAGATTCATTTGGGATACTCATTCAAGACATGCAAATACTCATAAAGGAGCTTTAAAAAGGCGATGGACCATTGGTTCATGCATAAGTATAAGACCCTGCCACCTTGGTTAAATTCCTGAAAATTATTTGGCGAACTGAGGACTGCTCCATCTCTGATGCTGTCAAGATGAGCAGAGGAACATAACTGTCCCTTTCTAACATCTTTTAGTCCTTTTGGGTTCTGGAGGCAACATATTCCACATTTACAAATTTTACTTAATCTCGCTGATGCTTTTACTTGCAAATCAGCCCACCTTAAACAGGGCCCCCTCCAACAAATGCTGTAAAATCTGTCCAAACTGAAATGGGCAGGCATCTCTGTTAGTGCCCTCAGGGACTTCTTCACTGTAGAGGCTTTAACAACCTCTTCTCATGCCTCATGAAGTCTCTGAACCACCTGTGATGGCCATAACTTGTCCATGACTTCTGATACAAAATATTGCCCTTCTTCAGCCCTGTACTGTACACCATTGTGTTGGCATTTTACTGGCCACATCCTGGGCTCTCTTGAAAACAGAGGCTCTCACAGCCCCCAAGCCTGTGACCTTTTCTATCCAGTTGCCCATTATGCTTTGGTCATGGAAGCAACACTCCACGGCCTGGCTCCGCTACCAAGGCCTCCTGGATGCAGGATGGAGCCAAACTTGGGCTCTCTGGCATAGTTCACTTGTAGAAAGAGGTGGTCTCCCCTGTCCTGAGTCTCTTGCCAGATGCCACATTGCTGGAGAAGGCCTCCACACTACCTGGGGAGCCTCTGGGATCAACTGAGTGAACAGAAATGGGAGTTCATAGATTTAATGAATGGAATCACCACCACGATATGTGCTAGAGCTCAATGGAATGTGGCGACTTTCCATCCTTTAACCAGGGTGTCTCTGAAAGAGGATGGAACCCAAGCATCAGCACTGTTGGCTAAACTTTGAAAGTCATCTCCGCATTAGATGCCCTCATTGAGAACTGGTCCCATCTGTCCACTGTTACATAATCTTGGGCCATTCTCGGGCCATGGCCTATGAGTTCCTTCCTTTGGGGTAAAAAACTCTGGAAATCTCCTTTCTTACTGATACCCAAAATATAAATTAAGGTAATAGATACCTCTATACATACTAAGGCCATAATACAAGCCCTCACGAGGACATTTCTTATCCCCTTTGGAGTTCTAGACATTAATGAATGTGAGAAAGGTGCATTTCACTTCTCAGAATATATAACAGTGGGCTCTTGAAGAAAGCATTCAGTGGAACTTCCACCTTGCCTATATATCGGTACCAGTCAGTTTAATTTAAGAGGCCTAACAGGCAGTTCAAAGAGCTCTTATTAAAGTTACAATGTGGCAAATAGATGCCCTCATGGGTGTCACCACTGCTACATGCATGCATTGATTAATGTAAATTCACAACCGCTGGGGACTCGCACTCCCTATACCAGTGCCACAGGAGTCCCTCAATTGTTTTTATTGGTCATAATGGGGGCACCTCTAAATTTTATGTTCTTGATTTCCATCTCACTATTTGATCCTCTCCCTCCTGGTCAAATACCTGATTTGCTTCCTAGGAAAGCCCTCCTACTCTCAGTAAGTCTCAGACATCATCAAATTTTAAGTGGATAGAAAGGCATTGTATCATAAGGCTGAAAATTTCATGTGCTTGCTCCATGTGAAAGTTGAGGCTGCTTTGAGGCTCTTGGGGCCCCAGAGACCTAACCAGTAGTTCTGGGCTCTCACCAGATATACTCTGCACCCAGCTCCAAAGCCTTCCCACCTAGCTCTTTCTCTATCAGCCCTACCAGTTGCACTTAACTTTTGGATTTCACTGTCTAGTCAGCCAGCAAAATTATTCAATCAAACAATCACATCCTCCTGTGGGAAACAGGGAGCTTCCCCCCATCCTTTGGTAATTGCAGACCCTGGTTCCCATAGTCCCTGCTTTTTCACTTTGCTCCTGAGTTCCATCCCGGTGTGGCCCTGTGTGGCACACAGTTTCCTTCTCCCTTGGCTGGGAGGACATGTGACTAATAAACTGCTGTCAAACTTCCGTGTCAAGTGCCATGAGTCTGGCCATCCCTTTCCCCTAGGGTGGGAATCATTCCCTCACCAATGGAGAGAAGAGGAGGTGAATAAACTATTTGAAGTGTTCTAAGAAGAGAGGAAATATTGATAGGAAAGTTTGATCTAGAAGCAATGAGCATATATTGAAGTGTTTTTTAATGGGGTCTTGATGTGCTCAGTTTTACCTGCTGAAAAAATGCAGCAGAGTAGAAAATGAATTGGAGGGACAGACTGGAGTTAGAAAGTGAAAAGGTTGTTTCAATAATCCAGATGAGAAATGATGAGGCTTGCTCTAGCCTTTGGAAAAATGGAAGAGTCAAGAGACTCAAGATTCTGTAAGTGTTTGGAGTTGGAATTTACTGGGATTTGAGGGAAGTGAGGATGCAACAATGGCTCCCAGGTTTCTAACTTGAGCAGTAGTTATGTGATGATTCTGCTGATCCTTACAGAGAAGGTGGGAAAAGAAATTGATTTGAAGGAGAAGATTGTAACTGAAATCAAGGGAGAAGAGGCACTTTAGAAGAGAGGGGCTGTACAAACTATCTTTCTAATGCTGAACAGAGGCAAGTAAATCAAACAGGGACTAAACAAGCATTGTTTGGATTTGTCAATTAGTGGATCCTCATTGGATATCTTTGACAGAGCAGTTCCAGATCAGATTTAGGCTAATGGGCCTGAGAAATTTGAAGGGAGGTGAAGAAGTGTAGCCAATGGATGAAGACCACTACAGGGCACCATGCTGAAAAGAGAAGGGCTGAAATCGGGCATGACATCATTTTTCTTATTGTTTGAAAATGGAAGTTTGAACCTATTGAACCTATTCAATTCAATAGGTTCAATTAGAATTGAATTCTATTGAATTGAGTTCTATTGAATTGAATAGGTTCTAATTGAACCTATTAGTGGAATGAACACTATGTTTTAGTTGACAAAGAGATGTTAAAATACACAACAAACTGAAGAATGATGGGCTAGGATGCTTGAGGGGAGATCCAAACCCAGATCTAGAAGGCTAGTTATGTTGTGTGTAAGTGGCATGCTGTGTGTTCTGCTTAAACTCTGTGTGAGACTGGAATATGGAGTTATCAGAAAGCTGGAGAGAATTCTCCTTGAAAACAGAAGAGATGGTCTATCATTTAAAAGACTTGAGAATGGTAAAGTGCTGAATTGTAACTGTCATTGTGAAATATGCAGAAGGCTGAGGGGAACAGAAAAAAAGGTATCAGCTGTGTTGTTAAATAATACATTTGATGAGATCCTAACTGGGTCATTCCCCTTGGTGGCCAGGTATCAAAAAGAAAAGAAAACTTGAATTAATCAGGATTAACAAATTATAGGCAAGTGTAGAGGAAAGTCAGTAGGTTCAAGCAGTTGAACATGTTAATTAAGAGGAGAGTTGAAGTGTTGGCTCATGGAGTTCACCCTGATAGGACAAACATTTGGGAGTCCTCAGAGGTTAAAGTGTAGGGCATAAAGGGAGGGGTCTAAAAGGAAAAATAAAGTACGTGACTATCAAGCTTCAGAACAAAGTCCAGGGTGTGGTCATGGGAGTAGGCTGTTGAAGTGAAAAAGTAAAAAAAAAATAAAAAGTTTCTGTGTGTTTACATACTTTGGGGTGGAAAATTGAAGAGGATGAGTCAAAGTTGTCTTGAACTCTCACCTGATAAATCCGGTCACTGAAAGTCGAAACAACTGTAGAACATCATATATTCTAAAAAACTTTATAATTTAAGCAAAAAAAAATCATTTGTCCACTAGCTGAAACACTTTCAGTTGTAGAATTTGAAGCATTTGATGAAATTATGTAATAGAGAATGTTGTAGATAGGCCATTGGGTTAGACCACATTTTGAATCTTAGTATAATTTATTAGCTGTTTTATCCCTCGAAGCTTTATTTTTCTTATCTACAGAATGACAGAAATCATAGTACACACCTCATGAACTTGCTGTGATCATTGATATGGTATTAGCATATTGCTTAGCACATAGTAGCTGTCTGAATTAATTCTACCTCTTGTTATAACACAATCCATTATTTCTGCTGTTTGCAAATATGTTATTCATTTCCTACAATACAGTTTGCAATATTGTATTAGTTCTCTATGGCTGCTGTAACAAATTACCACAAATTTAGTGGCTTAATACCACACAAGTTTGTTCTCTTACAGTTCTGAGCTCAGAGGTTCAAAATCAGTCTCTCTGGGCTGAAGTCAAGGTGTTATCAGGGCTGATTTCTGGAGGCTCTAGAAAAAAAAAATGTTTCCTTGCCTTTGGTAGTTTCTAGAGACCACCAGACTCCTTGGCCCGTGGTCCCTTCCACTGTCTTCAACGCCATCTGTGTAGTGTCCCCACATTCTGTCACTGACTGTTTCTATCATCACATTGCCCCTCGAACTCCTGTCTCCCTCTTATAAAGGCCCTTCTGATGACCTTGGGCCCACCTGGATAATCCCGGGTAAGGGGTAATCTCCTCTTCTAAAGATTCTTATTTAATCTATTTTGCAAAGTTACTTTTGCTATGAAAGTTACTGTATTCATAGGTTCCAGGAATTAGGATTTTGGCCTCTTTTGGAGGGAGGAGTGCAGGGTATTATTCAGCCTACCCCAGGCAGGTACATCAGAGATCACAGTGAAGGAGACAGGAATATTGGCTGATTTAAGACCAATCATGTGTTAAATTCTAGAGTCTTTTATTTTCTTTCTTAATCTCATCACTAACAAACACGTGAATTTCTAAACAAATGAATAAACAAGTAATTGTCTGATGGATGTGAGAAATGTCCTCCTTCCCCATATCCCCCTCTTTTAACAACTTGACTCTCTAATTTTTCACAAGACAAAGTATCATTCACTACTCTCTCTGTTCTGTGTTCCCTGTGGAGCAGTGCCTGGACCTTGGCTCTTTCCTTTCCTTGTAGACAAAGCAGCCTGTGGCTTCTTATCATGCTGATTACCCAAATTCACTGCTGTCTTTCCTCCACACCCTCTTCTATTTCCAATATATGAATGCATATTTATAGCATTAATGAAATCAAGCATACGAGGGCACTGAAAGGAAAGGAGATGAGTATCGAAACCCACACTGCAAGTATCAACAGGCAAAAATTAAGAGAACATTTCATCAATTTGAGGCACAAATAAATGTGACCATTCTGCATTTTCAATTTATTTTTTAATGTTGATTCTTGGCCCATGAAAGTACCAATTACAGTTTATACAGAACAGTAATCATCAGCTTCTCATAACAGAAACTCAAAGTTCATGTATTGTTACATACTTTCTTTTTTCTTTTTGCATACAAGTAGAAGCAGCAAGATCTCCAATTTCATTGTGGGGTTTCAGATTCCACAGTGTCTTTTACATTTTATCAATTTCTAAATTCTAACTCTTCTTGATTTTATCTTGTTTAGATGTTACAAATTTTTCTGCCTCAATTTACTCTATATTTATGCCCAAATTCCAAAGCCCATTTTTATTGCCTTTGTCTCTCTCTTTTAAGGTTTTTTTTAGTTTCATTTTATTTTTAATTGACGCATAATAATTGTATATATTTTTGGGGTACAATGTGACGTTTCAATACATGTATACATTGTGTGATGATCAAATCAGGATAATTAGCCCATCTATTACCTCAAAACTTTACTATTTCTTTGTGATGAGAATATTCAAAATTCTCTCTTCTAGCTATTTTGAAATATGCATTATTGTTAACTATACACACCCTACTGCAGAATAGAATACCAGAACTGGTTCTTCCTAGCTATTGTAACTTCATACCTTTTAACTAACGTCTCGCCATGCTCCCCTTCTTAAGATTCTGATTGAAGGGAAGGATGCTAAACTTTCCACGAAAGTGCCTCGCCTAATTCGTGCTGAAGGGAAACTGAAACCTAAGTGCTTCTGAGAGGAGAAAGGAAACCGAAACTCCCGCCGGATGCATAAAAGACTGGCTGCGGTGGCTCAGAGCGCCGAGTCCTAGGCCAGGTCTGGGGTAACCTGGAACTTCCACCTGGGCTCTGCGCTAGGTCTCTGTTTCACTCCCTCCCCGCGGGGCGCGCAGCTCGCGGGTCTTTGGACACCACCGGTCCTGAGTCCGCGGTGAGGAGCCGGGGATGTCCCTTGGGAAGAGCCTGGGGCGGAGCTGTCTAGCGGGAGTTCTAGGTCTTCTTCAACGGACCGGACAGGGAGGTGGCCCAGGAGTGCTGGGCTCGGGGCGCGGGAATCTGGGGAACCTCCTGGGATCGCAAGGCCGTGGCGCACGGGCCCCCTGCTGGCCCGGAAGGCCGGGCGTGGGGAGGGGCGGAGGAAAGGGACAACCGCGAAAGGCCTGAAGTCTGAGACAGAGAGGAGTGCTTAGTTAGGCATTTAAGGAGTCCCCGTCAAAGGTGGGAGCTGGGTAATGGAGGTTGAGGAGAAATTAAGGGACATCATATCTAAGCACAGCCAGTAAAACCTGTACATTGACAGCAGCAAGAAGCTTCCACCTTCAATCCCTGCTCCAGACTTGTAGAATCAGAATCTGCGTTTATTAATAAGATTCCCCCAGGTAATTTCTGTGCACCCTTAAATTTCAGTGGCTTAAGACAATAGAAATTTATTTCCTACTCCAGTAACTTAATTTATTCCTGGTCAAGGGGCAGGTATAGTGGCTTAAAACATTACAAGTTTATTATTTTACAATTGCTGTGGATCAGAAGCCCAGGCATGGGTAAAGTGAGTTCTCTGTTCAGCATCTCATCGAGCTGAAATCAAGGTGTCAGAGCTGTGGCCTCATGGGACACCATGGATGCTCATTCAGGTTGTTGGAAGAATTCAGTTTCTTGCAGCTAAAGGACTGAGGTTACCTGCTTTCTTGCTGGCTGTTGGCTGGGGGTTCCCATGTCTTTAGATTTCACCCTGAGATCTTAGCTACAGTGGCCTTCTCACAACAAGGTGGCTTATACCGTTAAAGAAGGTATAGGGTACCTTTAAAGAAGGTATAAGCCTCTTTGGGGGAATCTCCCGAGTCTACTATGATGAAGTCTTACATAATATAACCGAATCATTAAAGAGACTATGCCATTAAATTCACAGGTCCTGTCCACACTCAAGGGGAGAGGGTTATACCGGGTACTGGAAGCCATTTTAACCCACCAGCTCTTCTCCAGGCAGGGTTTCAGGAGCTTGATGCCTTTCATCAAGTAGCTCCACCATTCTGTTCCAATACAGAATCCATGATTTCCTTTCCCTTCCCTTGCCCCCATTTTTTTCCTCTTTACCTCCCCTTTGCGCCTTTCCTCTTCCCTCCTTTTTTCTCTTTTCCATTTCTCTTCCTCCCTTCTTCTTTTCTTCTTCCTTTTTAAGATTGTTTGAATCAGAATATGGTTCTGACACTACTGTGATTGGAGGATAAGCCTTATAAGGTTCTTGCAATTTCTTTCATCCCCTTTTAATTTATTCGTTTGTAAGATTTGTGGTCTTATGATTGTTTGTTTTTGTATGTGTGTGTCCTGTTGGGTGTGTGTTTATGTGTGTGTGTGTGTATGTGTCCTAATCCCTGTGGTGTCATTTAACATATTTTGCTGGCCTCTAAATTTCTTGTAAATTAATCATTACTACTAGCGTTTTGATCAGATTCAGGTTTTCTTTTTTTTCTTCTTCTTCTTTTTTTTTTTTTTTTTTTGAGACGGAGTCTTGCTCTTTTGCCCAGGCTGGAATGCAGTGGCTTGATCTCAGTTCACTGCAACCTCTGCCTCCCAGGTTCAAGCGATTCTTCTACCTCAGCCTCCCAAGTAGCTGGGATTACAGGTGACTGTCACCATGCCCAGCTAATGTTTGCATTTTTAGTAGAGATGGGGTTTCACCATGTTGGCCAGTCTGGTCTCGAACTCCCGACCTCAGGTGATCTGCCCGCCTTGGCCTCCCAAGTTTTGGGTTTCTTTTTTTTTTGGCTGGGAGAACTACAATACTTCACTGATGGTGTGGACACTTGCCTCTATTTTTGTTGTGCTATCGTTTAAAAATACCAAGATCTGTTAATTCATTAGGAGTTGTAAAATGGTGATATTCTAATTCTATCATTCCTTCTGTGTTTATTAGCTGCATTATTTCTAGAAATGAATCACTCTTGTATCTACTCTTTGGTAATGCGATGGTGCAGTACTTAGAAGAAAAGCAGGATAATTTCTTGATTCCATAAACCATTATTTTTTTTCATATATTGTCTTCAGATGCTATTGCTGGACATCCTGCTGTGAAAGATGAAGAATTTAGCATTCATATTTATTTTTCTTTCATTCATCCCTTTGTGAACTGCCAAGTTGGTTAATTATATTATTATTTTCATACTGTCAAGGTTTATCATATTTTACAGCAGTTTGTGACTTTGATTCTTGTGATTTGTTTGTATGTTGAGTCAACAGTAAAAAAGAAGTAAACAGCAGTGACAAAATTATGAGTATGTACACATTACTCAGTGTAGAAGCAATCTAGGAATTGCTAGGCTAAGACATGTAGTTCTATGTTGTTAAAATTACTGTTTGAAATAGACTTTTGTAAATTCGAAGTACCATGGGTTCTCTTGTTTTTCTTTATAGCTTCCTTTAACTTTTCTAAATCACACAAAGTTTCATGGTTTTTTGATTGTCTTCATTCTTGATGGGTTTTCCCCAATTTTCTGTATTATCTCTTTAAATAAAATTATCATTTAAGATATATAGTTGGCATTTTGGAAGACAGCGTGGCCATTCCTCAAGGATCTAGAACCAGAAATACTATTCGACCCAGCAATCCCATTACTGGGTATATACCCAAAGGATTATAAATCATTCTACTGTAAAGACACATGCACATGTATGTTGATTGCAGCACTATTTACAATAGCAAAGACTTGGAACCAACCCAAATACCCATTAATGATAGGCTGGATAAAGAAAATGTGGCACATATACCCCATGGAACACTATGCAGCCATAAAAAAGAATGAGTTCGTGTCCTTTGCAGGGACATGAATAAAGCTGGAAGCCATCATTCTCAGCAAACTAACACAGGAACAGAAAACCAAACACCACATGTTCTCACTCATAAGTGGGAGTGGAACAATGAGAGCACATGGACACAGGGAGGGGAACCTCACACACTGGGGCTTGTCGGAGGGTTGGGGGCAAAGGGAGGGAGAGCATTAGGTCAAATACCTAATGCATGAGGTGCTTAAAACCTGGATGACGGGTTGATAGGTGCAGCAAACCACCATGGCACATGTATATCTATGTAACAAACCTGCATGTTCTGCACATGTATTTCAGAACTTAAAATAAAAAAAGGATATATGGTTGGTGAAATTTATGACTTCTTAGAAGTCTAATTACATCTTTTTGCCTCCTCCATGAATTGAATCACTATTTAGATGCAGAATTCTAAGTTCAAATTATTTTCCCTTTAGAAATCTGAAAGTGCTTTATTTTATCAAAACATCCAGGAATGTTGCTTATTTTAATTAATTCTGTGTGCCAGGTATTATTTTAATCAATTCGTATCCATCAGTTCATACATTTAAGTAGCTTGAAAACACAATCAGAGGTGAGTAATATTATTGTTCCAATTTTATAGATAAGTAAATTGAAACTCAGAGATGGTAAATACCTTGTCTAAGCTTATAGAACTATAGTATATTTCAGAACCAAGATTAAAATGCAAGTAGTCGGCCAACAGTGTTCATTTCTTAAACCAGTTCTCATATGGCCTGACTTCCATTTCTTTGTACCTTTTCTGTCTTTCTCTTTATTCTTGGAGCTCTGCAATTTTAACAAGTTGTGCCTAGGCGTAGTTTTCTCTTTTGTCATTATTTCTACTCAGTAGTTAGAGAAACATTTCAATCTAAACACATTATGTTGTTCTTTAGTTCTAGTCTAATATTAGTATATTAGTTTAAGTATATATCTTTGATTATTTTTATCCCCACTCATTTTGGAATCTTAGTTATCTCCTACTAGAAATATTAGTAGGGGGAGAAAGAGCTTATTGACTTATTCCTGGATATTTTAGTATTTTTAGAATTTTTTCATCTCTTTGTCTTTTACTTTTATCCTTTACAAAATTTCCTGGACTTTAACCCTACAGATCACTGACTAAAAATTCCAGCATGCTCATTTTATTGTTCTGCAATGACTTTCTTCCTTGTAAAATTATGTTTTAAATGTGTACGAATACTTGCATGCTTTCTTTTTCTCTTTCTCTCTCTCTAGCAGCCTGTTACTATTTTATGAGAAATATTTTTAATTCTTTGAAAGCAGTAATTAGAAAATTTTGAAGGTCTTTTCTGTCTCTGCATCATGCTTATTCATCTGGTTTCTTATTTTTGCTTTTTTTGTGTGCCTCAAATGTCTATTGGTACTAATTTGTGTGTGTGTGTGTGTGTGTGAGTGTTCAATCATTAGTTACTACAGGTGGCTGGATCTCTAGCATGTCTCTCCCTTAAATGACAGAGAAGTGGGGATAATGACTGTGAATTCTGTTTAGGTGTTAGGGCGTGCATGTGTTGGGGCAGAGGTTAATAGGGTAGCTCTAGTATAGGGTATATAAGAGGAAAGCCTAGGGTGTGTAAGCCTACTTTAGTATAGGGCATGTAAGAGGAAAGCCTATTAGGCTTTACACGCATTGTCTTGCATACCCTGTCCTATGTCATGCAGAGCAACCTGTAGGATCTCAAACTTCCCATAGGCAGGCTACGGAATCCCTTGATTGTCAAATTAAGGAGGGATTGCCCATTAACGCAGTTTTATTTTGTCACCATAGCTATTGCTGAAAGTTTCACAGTGTTTAACGGGCACTCACGTCTCAGTCATAGTTATATTTCATTATAAAAACTATATTATTCCTTTTAATCTATGTATATTATTTCTTAAAACAATTTCTAAGTTGTCAGGACATAAATAGTTATTAATTTGTTTGTATCTAACTACTTAATAAATGAAACGGTTAGCTATTGATTTTGTCCTAGGAGTGGCATAAAAAAATTCCTGAGACTCTAAGAGCATCGTGAACATCTGGGAACCTGTAAATTAACTTATTTCATCTTGTAGAATCTGATGCTATCCTTTCTGAAGTTTTCTGTAATATACTTGGGGTTAATTCTCTCTTGCCTGTTCAGTTCTCACTGACCCATTTTTTTCCATTTGAGCTTGGTACAATTTGGAGAGTTGAAGAAAGATAGTATGGCCAATGCACAGTTAGTGAGGTGGAGGATTGCATGAAATGGGTGACAGAGAGTTTTTTGAAAATACCTAATCTCCTGACCTGGGCACAAGACCCATTATAGTCTGGTTCTAACCTACCTTTCCAATGTCATCTCCAATGAGTCACCCTGTCCTATGCCATGTAGAACAACCCATAGGATCTCAAACTTGTCATGTAGTTTCACAACTTTATGCATTAAACTGATGCTGATTTTGCTACCTGAAAAGTAATTCTCTATATCTCTCACTTTCCCCAACATGCTTTCATAAGTCTTCATCATCTTTTCAACCTGTTCTTGAAACCTCAGAACACAGGACCCTGATCCCTTCATTCTGATTTAGGAACTCCCTCTCAATTCTCTAATGGCTTCCTGTGCCATTTCTGCTAGAACACAGCAAATTAGATGTAGTGTGTCACTTAGTTATCTTTCAACTTACACTGGGTTGTACAAGGAGAGAATCATGCTTCATGCATATTTGCATATGTTTCAGCAAGTACAATGTTTTGTAAAGTGTAGATACTCTATAATCTTTGAAATAAGATAGTAACTGAGTGAGTGAGAGACCATACTTACGCTCGTGTCTCCATTAAGGGTCCCTAAACTCCCCAGCCCACAGTAATTCCATTTTTCTTTAAACTTATTTGTCATTACAGTCATATACTTCCTTGCATTATTATTGTAATATTTAATATCAGCATGTGCATCACCATTATATGTTCCTTACTATCATGGAATAGGAATCTCTCTCTCTCTATCATATCTATCTATCTATCTATCTGTGTATCCATCATCTATATCTATCTATATCAATCAATCTATCTACTATCTATCCATAAATCATGTGTGTATCTACCTATCTGTTTCATAGCCCTAACATATTGAATGGCAAGTGTCTCAATATTTAGTGTCCATGACAAAATGCTCAAGTGCATTTTCATCTACCTCTTTAGTATTTTCTTCTCTATTACCTTTGTGGATTCTTCCTCCTCTCTTGATATATTAAGTATTAGTATCTTCAAATGTGGGTTTTTAGTACTCTTCTCCCATGATGCTGTCTCTCCCTGTCCAAGCAAGCTCATCTACACCAATGGCCTCATTTACCGTTAATACTCAGATGACTTACCTCTTCAAATCTAGTCCAGACTTTGTATTTGTCCTCTAGACTTGTATATTTTACTACTTACATATCATGGCTTATGGGGAATCTTGAAAGCAAGTCAAATTCAGGTGGTTCACAAATGCCGCCATAATCTTTTCCTGACACGTAGCCTTGTTCTAAAATTCCCAGCCCAGGGAATGGCCTAGTCATCCATCCTGTTACTTGAGCTAGAAACTTGTGTCATCCTTGACAACCCCCTTTCCTCTCTTGTCCATCCACATCCAGTCCAGTTCCAAATTATGTCAAGCTCATCTCCTAAATGTCCTTCAAGTGAGTCCACATCTCTCCAGCTTTATTATCTCAGCTACCATCAAACTATATTACATCAAATTATCATCATTACTCTCCTGCACAGTAACTTTCTTTCTGCTCTACTAAGAAGCTTACTCCCATCCTGTTTATTCTCTATATTGTAGCTGGACTA
This sequence comes from Homo sapiens, assembly GCF_000001405.40. Taxonomy (NCBI): domain Eukaryota; kingdom Metazoa; phylum Chordata; class Mammalia; order Primates; family Hominidae; genus Homo; species Homo sapiens. The sequence goes on along the minus strand of NC_000004.12, from coordinate 168,311,922 downwards.
ATCTTTTCAAAGTGCAAAGCCAATCACAATACCACCTGCTTAAAATCCATCAGTGGCTAACTTTTCATTCTAGGACGAAAAGAAAATTCTATAACATGACTTCAAAGGCTCTGCATGTCCTTCTATTTCTCTTGTCCTCTCTAGTCTTTTCTTTGATGGTCTCCACTCCAGCCCTACTGGCTTCTTTCTGGAATCAATGTCACCCACAACCCTTCACGCCACTGAGCTTTTACACATGGTATTCTGGTATTTCCTCTGCCAGAAATGCTACTTTTTCTCTTTTTGCCTAATTAATTATTGTTTATTTCTTAGAACTCAGCTCAAGCATTATTTCTTTAGGGAAACTTCCTCTGACCTCTTGACTTTGTCGTTTTTGCAATGTTCCATTGTTTCTATGATTATCTGATTAATAATTATCTTTAAGCTCTGTGAGAACTGTCAGCAATGTTGATTTGTTCATTCTTGTATTCCTTGTGTCTAATATTTTGCTTTACATATAGTAGTCATTCAATACATGTTTGTTGAATAAAGACTCATTTTCTTTTCTTTTTTTGCAGGACTGCCATTTTCATTAAGAACTGCCACTTAGAGGTACCAAAATAAAGGGTATTTGCTACCTTTAATACTTGCCAGTTCAGGTTGGAGGCACAGGCAGCAGCAAGAATGGGTAATTTTCCACTTAAAATATTTATAGATTATAAAACAATGTTACCCTGTAAACTACATAGATTTAATGGAATTAAAATAACCACATTACTGTTTTACTTTCTTGAATAATAACTAAATGATAGCTCCTGTAAAAAGGACCAATTGAAAAATAACCCATTCTCTTTCTCTCTTTTTTTTTAAATTTAGAAAGAAATGTTCTTACAACATTTTCACAGGAAATGTCCCAGTTAATTTTGAATGAAATGCCAAAAGCTGAGTGAGTATTATTATAGTAATAAAGACGGGAAATCATAGCTCATGTTCCCTGTATGTCTATTTGGCCTTATGCTGATTTATAGACAGTTGACCATTGAACAATGTAGGGGCTAAGGGCACTGAACAACTATGCAGTTGAGAATCCATGTTTAACTTTTTAAAAATTATTGTTAATTAATTTTTATATATTTTTTCTAAATTCATGCCAGCCGGATAATGAGATAACTTTGTAACAAGGATTGAGTAGGGCACATCCAACACATACACATGAAAACCCAATCATCACATTTATGAACTACAAAAGGATGGTGTTTAACTTTTTACTCCTCCAAAACTTAACTGCAATAGCTTTCTCTCTGCTCTACCAAGAAGTTTGCACCCATCCTATCTATTGTCTATCTTGTAGCTGGACTAGTCTTTTCCAAATGCAAAGCCCATCGTAATGCCACCTGCTTAAAATTCTTCAATGGCTAATATTTGATTCTGGGATGAAGAGAAAATCCCAAAACATGCCTTCAAAGGCTTGCCTGCCCTCTTGTTTCTCTGGTCTTAGTATAGAAAATTAAGAAAATCATAAGGAAGCAAAAATGTATTTATTAAGTGGGAGTGGATCATAACAATAGTGACATCTTCAATGGTGCCATCCCCCCAGACTTCCATGATGTTCTGTCTATCAGGGTTCTCTTCCATAGCATTGACAATTCTTTCCATAGATTACTGTGTGTAATGAGCCTTAAAGGTTCTTATGACACTCTGATCTAAAGGCTGAATTAAAGACATTTTGTTTGGGGGCGAGTAGACCACTTCAGCATCGTTGTGTTGAACTCATGGAGTTCTAGGTGGCCAGGGACATTGTCCAATATCAAAAGTACTTTGAAAAGCAGTCTCCCTCACTGGCAAGGTACTTCCTGATTTCAGGGACAAAGTATCAATTTAACTAATTCGGAAAATGTGTCCTCATTGTCCAGGACTTTTTGTTGTACATCTGAGAGACTGGCAGCTGGTGTTTATCTTTTCCCTTCGAGTCTCAGGAGTTGGCAGCTTTACAGATAAAGACAGGCCTGAAGATAAAACCAACAGCCTTTACACAATACAGTAGAGTTAGCTTATCCCTTCCTGCTCTAAATCCTGGTGCTCACTTTTGTTTTGTACTAATAAATATTATTTGTGACTTTTTTTCCAGAATAATTTCATTTGCATTAAAAACCTATTCAAGCAGATATTCTTTCCCCTCAATGATTTTCTTCTGTCTCTTAGCTGGCTGAAACTGCTTCTCTTGTTATCTTGACATTTTTAAAGCCAAACTTCTTTCCAAAATTATCAAACCATATTGTGCTGGCATTAGATTTTCCAGTTTTAGATATTTCGTCTTCCTTTTGCTTTGTCATATACTTTGCTTTTTCTTGAATCATATTAGAGTCTATAAATTTGCCTTTTTAGATAATCCCACACCCACATAAAAGCTCTATTTTCAATGTGAGATTAAAAAAAAAGCCTTTCACAAAAAATGCAAGATTTTTATGACTGCTGCAACAATGCCTTCACTCATTTCTTTAAAAAAATTTTTTTACAATGGTCCTTACGTTAGGTTTATTTATCTGGAAGTGGTGGGCAACTATAGCTGCAAGCATCAATCTATGACACACATCAGGCAATTCAACTTTTTCTTGTAATGTCATGACTTTCTCTGCTTTTTGGGAACACTTCTGGCATCACTAATGGCACTTCATATGGGTTCCATGGTTTTATTTAGGGTTTATGATATTGCAATAAACATGATGGAAAAATACGCAAGAACCATGAGAGATCACTTTTTATTGTGTTTGGAGAGCAGTTTACTGGAGAGGAACTGCTAACTTACCACCATACAACAAGAAGTGGCTACAAAGTTATTACAGTAGTACAGTATGTACTAGAGTTAATTTTATGCAGTTATGATTTAATAGTGCAGCATAACATTTGTTTACACTTCTCTCAACTCTGAAAGCTGCCATGTGTAGTCTATAAGTGCGTGCATAAGTTTAGATAATTTTTAACTTTTACAATAGATCTGTGTATATTTTATGGCAGTAAATGCTAAAATAGACTACATATACTTTATGCATTCGTGACATAGGTAACTTAAAATTTTTTTCATATTTGTAGGCTGCACGGTTTGAGAGTTTTTTCAAATAGTCACAAATTTTCACAAATTTTTCTAATATATTTATTGAATATATAGTATACATTTATCAGTATATATCTATGTATCAGTATTTATATTGGTGTGTATCTATGTATAATATATATACATATATAATATATATCTATATATAGTATAGAATATTATATATAACAGTATATAGAACTATGTACACTATTATATATATGTATATATGATTGTTCAACACAGCACTTTTAGAGCTATATGACAGTGAATGGAAACAGTTTCCTCTTGCTTAATTTGTCAATAGCCATCAGTGAATCCACTTGTAAGGGGCTGAGGTTGATTAAGCATAAAATATATATAATTTAGGTTTATATGCAGGGTACAAGTACTATATTCATGGTCCTATCAGGCTGTGCCACATGGCTTTGGATACTTTGCTCTCTGAGCCTAAGATGTGAATAATCCCGCCTTCCTCCTGTGAAGGATAGTTGTGAATGTAGATATGTTTGAAAAGCCTTAGTGTAGACACTGCCATGAGACAACTCAGCAAATTTAGCTATTGATGATAATGATAATGAGCTAATAAGAACGATGCCTTTTTGGAACATGATTTAATGCATATGTGATTTTTGTTTTAACTGTTTTTCATTTTAGATATTCCAGTTTATTCAATGATTTTGTTGAATCTGAATTTTTTTTGATTGATGGGGATTCATTACTTATCACATGTATCTGTGAGATATCATTTAAGCCTGGGCAGAACCTCCATTTCTTCTATCTGGTTGAACGCTATCTTGTGGATCTTATTAGCAAAGGAGGACAATTCACCATAGTTTTCTTCAAGGTAACATGATAGTTGAGTTCTTTTTTATAATATGAGAACTAAAACTAAAATTTCCTAAATTATTATATATATATTTTTCTTATTACAAAGTAGATTATATCTATAAAAGTTCAGAAAATTGAAAGGAAAGAAGAGAAAAAATTACCCACAATCCCAGTATTCAGAAATCACCACACTTGAGATTATGTTTTATTTGAATGAAGAGAACTTTATTGTAAGGACACACAGGATCATGAGAGAGGATGAGAAAGCTCCTCAATAGCGGCCCAGTTGAACTCTGGATTCCAGTTCTCCTGCTCTGAGAACTATTTCTGTTTTCAAAACTCAGCAGGCAATTTATATGAGCCCAGAGGAAAATATATCTGAGCCTAGGGACAGTCATTAATAATGCTTTGTTGGCTGGGCACGGTGGTGCATGCCTGTAATCCCAGCACTTCGGGAGGCTGAGGTGGGAGGATTACTTGAGCCCAGGAGTTTGACACTGCAGTGAGCCATGATCACGCCACTGCACTTCAGCCTGGGTGACATAGTGAGACCCAGTCTCTAACAATAATAATCAATGTTTTATGATGGTTTGTTTGAGGTATTTCCAAAATAATACTATTTTTGGTTTGCTTTTTTATTATGAATATAATTAATATAATTTTTAACAATTTCAAATAAAGATATGCATAACCACTACCACCCTTCCTAATCCTATACCTAAAGGTAAAGAGCTTTGGTGTGAGTCTTTTCAGTCATTTTGCAGTCTCAATTATTGTTACATTTCTGAACATGGCTGAATGCTTGCCAGCCATGTTTTGTGTAAAGAGCTAGGCTTCCGATCTAATGTTTACAATCTAGTTGGTTGCCCCAATTTTGTTATGCCGAGACAATCTCAGTTGCTTAAGGAGGGTTGCAGTAACCTGGAGCAATCCTCTAAAACACAATGGTTCACCTCAGCTTTCTGATGCAGATGATTTATATCTACCACTTGCTTTCTGTTCTTTTTCTTTCTGAAATGAGATTGGAGAGGAAAAGAATTAGAAAATGGGAAGGGTAAGCATGATAAGCTCCAAGTATTAAGTGCCTGCTTAAAGGAGACACATGCATTTAAATCCAAACTGTGATTTTTTTCAGCAAATATCTGTAAGATGGTAGTAAAGTTTAGGGGTCTATTCCCCGACCATCAGACAGAACAAAACTGTTGGATTTTATTCCTTCAGTGCCTTTAATGATGTGTTAGCCAACTAAATGATTAAATGATAATTTTGAAATAAAATGTACTTCACCTCCTCCTCCACAGGATGCCGAGTATGCGTATTTCAACTTCCCTGAACTTCTTTCTTTGAGAACTGCTTTAATTCTTCATCTTCAGAAGAATACCACCATTGATGTTCGAACAACATTTTCGAGATGCTTATCAAAAGAGTGGGGAAGTTTCTTGGAAGAGAGTTACCCATATTTCCTGATAGTTGCAGACGAAGGCCTGAACGATCTACAAACACAGCTTTTCAACTTTTTAATCATTCATTCTTGGGCAAGGAAGGTCAACGTTGTACTTTCCTCAGGGCAAGAATCTGATGTTCTTTGCCTTTATGCATACCTTCTTCCAAGCATGTACAGACACCAGATTTTTTCCTGGAAGGTAATTCACATCCAAAAGACAATTTCTTCTAGAAATTTTCAAAATGTTCTAAGTTACTTGACTCAGTTTTTTCTCCTCCTCCTCTAGGAAATTATCAGAGGCTTAACAGATAGGTATAACAATTAATAATATTAAGTAAATAATGATAATGCAAATGCAGTCATTTATCAAACACTTATTGTTATAAAATTGTGCTTGGTATTTCTCATGAATAATTTTTATTTAACCTTAAAACCAATCTTATAAGGTAGGTGTTAAGTATTGTCTGTATTTTACAGTGATGAAATAGATACTAGAATCAGTAATCTGCTCACCAAACACACCAAATGAATAGTAGAACATGGATTTGAAAAGACACAGTTGGACTCAAGCCCCTGTGTCCTTAACTGCTGCATAATATGTTGACCTCAAGGTATTGAAGGCCAGAAATGCATGGAATTAGGCAAAAATTACGCCCCTGTTGCTGAGACATATTGACAAAATGCTATTAATATGGTAGCCTTTAATAAGAAAACAATGGAGAAGGTCAATAAAGAAGGAAAATAACTGAAATAAGCTTATTTCTTATTATTAAGTAATCAATAGGAGAATTTTCAAAGTTCTTAGAGTTCGAATTCCATGATGTTATTATTTTGATACATTAGTATATTTGACAATTATTGTATTGAAATTTTGGGAGTAAATATGCATACGGATATATTTATAAATTACTATATGTATAAAATAAATGATAGCTATAATAATATAATATATAATAGAAATTATAATAAATTTATTTACATAATAAATTATAAATAAGACAATACGGTACCATATAGTAAATTAATAAAATTAGTACATTAAATAATATAGCTATTTATAAATTACTAAATTTATTTATAAAATTATAAATACATCCAGTTTCTGCTTATTTTTCACTACTGATGGTGAATTGTGAATATGAGGGCCATTCTTTAATTCATCAAAATCATTTTTGAGACAATTAACATTTGTCACTGTTTGAGAATTATGTCATACTCCTCATGTATTTGGAAATATCCACATGGTTGCCATAAAATAAGCTAGTTTGTATTGCTTTAGTTAGTACAGTCATGCATCACATGGATACATTCCAAGAAATGCATCATTAGACGATTTCACTGTTGTGTAAACATCGTTAGTGTACAGACACAAAGCTAGATGGTATAGCCTATGACACCCTTAGGCTATCTGATGTAGCCTACTGTTCCTAGGCTAAACCTATACAGCATGTTACTGTATTGAGTACTCTAGGTAATTGTAACACAATGATAATTATTTGTGTATCTAAGCATATCTAAACATAGAAAAGGTACATTTGAAAATGGTATAAAAGATTAAAAATGATACACTTGTATAGGGTACTTACCATGAATGGAGCTTGCAGGACCAGAAGTTGCCCTGGGTGAGTCAGTGAGTGACTGACGAGTGAATGTGAAGGCTTAGGACATTACTGTACACCACTGTAGATGTTATTAATATATACAGTATTCACTTTGGCTACATTAAATTTATTTAAAAATACTTTTTTATTTAATACCTTAACATTAGCTTACTGTAATTTTTTATTTTGTGAATTTTAATTTTCAAAATTTTTTTGACAGCTGTACAAACACATTATACAACTGTACAAAAATATTTTCCTTCTTTATTTTTCTTGAGACAGTGTCTTCACTCTGTCACTCAGGCTGGAGTGCAGTGATGTGATCACAGCTCACTGCAGCTTCCACGTCTCGGGCTCAAGTGATCCTGCCGCCTCAGCCTGTCGAGTGGCTGGGATTACAGGTGCGCACCACCATGCCTAGCTAATTTTTGTATTTTTTGTAGAGACAAGGTTTTGCCATGTTGCCCAGGCTGGTCTCAAGCTCTGGGGCTCAACCAATCTGACTGCCTCAGCCTCCCAAAATGCTGAGATTACAAGTGTGAATCACTGTGCCTGGCCTTTCTTTCTTTTTATCATTATTCTGTCAGCTTTTTTTCTGTTAAAATATGTACTTTTTAAGCTTTTTTCTTAAAAGAAAAAAAGATGCAAACACACACATTAGCCTAGGCATACACAGGGTCAGGATCATCAACATCAACTGTCTTCCACCTCCAGATCTTGTCCCACTGGAAAGTCTTCAGGGGCAGTAACACACATGGAGCTGTCATCTTCTATGATAACAATGCCTTCTTCTGGAATAGCTCCTTAAGGGCCTCCTGAGGCTGTTTGGCAGCTGTTTTAAAAATACAAGTGAAAAGAGTATACTCTGAAATAATAATAAAAAATTCGCATAGTACAGTAAGTCATAAGTCAGTAGCAGTCATTTTTATCATGATCAAGTATTATATACTGTACATAATTGTATATGCTGTACTTTTTTTATTGTTGTTTTTTTGGAGACAGAGCCTTGCTCTGTTGCCCAGGCTGGAGTGCTGTGGTGCGATCTCAGCTCACCACAACCTCTGCCTCCTGGGTTTGAGCGATTCTCCTGCCTCAGCCTCCCAAGTAGCTGAGACTACAGGCATGCACCACCATGCTGGGCCAATTTTTGTGTTTTTAGTAGAGACGGGGTTTCACTATGTTGGCCAGTCTGGTCTCGAACTCCTGACCTCATGATCTGCCCGTCTTGGCCTCCCAAAGTGCTGGGATTACAGACGTGAGCCACCACGCCCAGCCTATGCTGTACTTTTATATGCCTGGCAGCACAGTAAGTGTGTTTACACCAGCCTCATGAACACTTGAGTAGTGCATTGCACTGTGGTGTTATGACATCACTATGACATCACTAGGCAGTAGAAATTTTTCAGCTCCATTATAATCTTATGGGATCACCAACATATAAGTGGTCTGTGGCTGAAAGAAACATTGTTATGTGGCTCTTGACTATTATTAAACTATTTTCAATTCTGGTTGCCTACTCTGAGCAGGAATAGCCCTGGGATTCATTTTTATATTGGAAGGAAGTACTGTTATTAATTTTCTCATTTTACTCTGTTAGAGCAATTTCTAAATCTGAGTTTTAACAGTACCTACACACTGTCGAATCTTTCCTTAAGAGTATTTTTTTTTTTTTTTGGAGACAGAGTCTCGCTCTGTCGCCCAGGCTGGAGTGCAGTGGTGTGATCTCAGCTCACTGCAAGCTCCGCCTCCCGGGTTCTCGCCATTCTCCTACCTCAGCCTCCTGAGCAGCTGGGACTACAGGCACCTGCCACCATGCCCGGCTAATTTTTTGCATTTTTAGTAGAGATGGGGTTTCACCGTGTTAGCCAGGATGGTCTCGATCTCCTGACCTCGTGATCTGCCTGCCTCTGCCTCCCAAAGTGCTAGGATTACAGGTGTGAGCCACCGAGCCCGGCTGAATAATTTTTTTAATGAAGGATTTTATTTTTGTTAAAATCTATTTCCTAATTTGTTGAATATTCACCTTAAAGAAGTTATGTTATTAGTCAATTTGAGGATTATGTGAAATACAATTGAAAATACAATGCATATTTAAAATGGCTGCTGCTGGGTGATAGGTACCTGAAAGGGGGGTTATGCTATCTTTCATTCATGTGTATGTTTGAAATTTGTTAAAATATATGGCATTAAATGGGGATGACGGTGTTTTGGAGGGTGCTGGAAGTGTTCTAAAATTAGATTGTGATATTGGTTCCAAAGTTGATAAATTTACTAACAGCCATTGAATTGTAACAAAATGAAGGAATTTTATGTTATGTTAATTATACTTTTATGAAGCTGTTAAAAAACAAAATACGCTATATTCCTAGGCAAAAATTAACTTTCAAAGACAAAATAGTGATGTTCAATGGGGTTTAAAACTTACAATTACATTGGCATATTTTTTTCCTTAGAAATATATCGTAACATAATTATATCTAAAATATGTAATTTTCTATAGTTGGAAAATAATTACATATTTTATTTATAACAACTTTTCTGATTTTTCTTTATTTTACAGAATAAGCAGAACATTAAAGATGCTTATACAACCCTGCTTAACCAGTTGGAAAGATTTAAGCTTTCAGCATTAGCACCTCTTTTTGGAAGTTTAAAATGGAATAATATTACGGAAGAGGTAACAAAACATTTTAAAAAGCTTTGTATTTGAACTAAGTTTTTAGTTATAGAAAAGTTGCAAAAATCATACAGAGTTCTCATGTACTTCTCATCCAGCTTCTCCTAATGTTAACATCTTAAATAACCACGGAACATTTATGAAAACCAGGAAATTAACATTGTGTCAATCCTATTAACTAAACTTTAGACCTTATTCCAATTACACTGACTTTTCCACTCATGTCTCTTTGCTATTTCAGGATCCAGTCCAGGATACCACATCCATTCAGTTGTCAGTCACACTTTTGAGTGTCCCCCAGTCTGTAACAGTTTCTCAGTCTTTTCTTGTCTTTCATGACCTTGACATTTTTGAAGACTGCGAATCAGTAATGAGGTTATACATCTTTGGCCAGAATGTCACTGAATTAATCTTGGGTCCTCAGTACATCCTAACAATATGTCTGAGCATTAGTTAAGTTGGTGCCTGACAGTTTTCTCTACTGTGAAGTTACTATCTTCCCTTTGTAGTTAATAAATCTTGAAGGACATGCTTTGTGACTATGCAGATCCTGTTTCTTCTCAAACTTTAGTTGATTCACTTTAATGTCCACAGTGGATCTTGTCTGCAACAATAATTATTGATGTTTTTGCCTAATGGTGACTTTTATTTCACTCTTTCCTTGGAATTCCACCGTAAGGGACAGCTGTCCTAGTGCTGCCATTTATTTGTTTATTTATGTCAGTATGGATAAATATATTTATTTTATATTACAGGTTAAAATCCAACATTATAATTATCTTGGAGCTCAAAATGTTCCAGGTTTGAACATTAGAAGCCCCTTTAGGTTGGCGCTTGTGTTCTTTTACAAGCCCTCATCTTTCTGTACTTTCTAACTTTCTGAAATCACAAGATGGTCCAGTCTCATCTTGTATTTTCCCTGCCCCACCCCTGAAATTAACTACTTTGCCAAGGAAGAAGGCATTTAGAAGTTCAGATCTGAAAACTTTGTTGGTGAACTGCTACTGGGGTGTCATTGCTACTAGGGCTTTTCAGCAAATTGAACTAGGATCCAAATCCATAATGGTTTATTTTACCCCTCCCCTTTCTTTATTTTTAATTTCTCTCTTCAATCATGAGAAATCCAGCTTTCGTTATCTACAATATATTCACTTTTTTGTTCAATTTTTATATACACAGAAAGTTATTTTATTTTATTTATTTTGATTTTTATAGATTCAGGGAATACATATGCAGGTTTGTTACATGAATATGTTGCATAATGTTGAAGTTTGGTTTTCTAGTGTACCCATCACCCAATGTTGTACTCAGCAGGTAACTCTTCAACCATCACTCCCCCTGACTCACCCTGTTTTGGAGCCCCCGTGACTATTATTTCCCTCCGTATAGTAATTTTGTAATTGCTAACCATACCTGTGAGAAAAAGTCAATGAGATTATAAGATTTATGTGCAGTTCTTTTTTAACTGTAGCCATAGAATATGTTAATATACTGTTTCCAAAGTTATTCAGGCTAGTGACTTTCTCACCCACCTCCTTTGGTGTGGTTATGTTATCCTTTATTATGTAATACAGTTACAGTCATTGGTTAGTGTTTGTATTTCATCTTGGTCCCTCCCACCTATTTCCTGGTTGTTTTTAATTACGTTCATTTTGAAAGGTATGTGAAAGGTATAGGAAACACTTCCACTACACACACACACACACACACACACACACATTCTGGTGTTAAACACATAGATCGTAGCTTCTTTTTTTTTTGAGACAGAGTCTCAATTCGTCCCCCAGGTTGGAGTGCAGTGGCATGATCTCGGCTCATTGCAACATCCACCTCCCAGGTTCAAGCACTTCTTCTGCCTCAGCCTCCCAAGTAACTGGAACTACAGGTGCCCGCCACCATGCCCGGCTAATTTCTGTATTTTTAGTAGAGACAGGGTTTCACCATGTTGGCCAGGCTGGTCTTGAACTACTGAACTCGTGATCTGCCCACCTCGACCTCCCAAAGTGTTGGGATTACAGGTGTGAGCCACCGCACCCAGCCGTAGCTTCTATTTGCTTGAGTGTTTTTATCATGAATGCATGAATGTTTACTAAAATTATGGATATAATTACACAATTTTTCCTCCTCAGTTTTATTAGTATTGTATTAATGATTTTCCCTGTATTGAAGCAACTCTATATTACTGGAATAAATCCAACTTAGTCATAGTTTATTACTTCTTAATATGGTGTTGGATTCTGTTTACTAACATTTTGTTTAGAATTTTTGCATCAGTATGCATGAATGATATTTCTGTAATTTTGTTTCTTTGAATTGCCTTTATCTGGTTAGATGTCAGTGTGGTATGTTCTTCATAAAAAAGATTAGAATGTCTTCTCCTCTTTTTCAATATTGTGAAATAATGTGTAGATCATTGGGATTATCTAGTCTTTGAAGATTTGATAGAAATCTCCTGTGAAGCCATATAGTCCTGGTGCTTTTTTGTGAGGTAGTTTCTTAATTTTCTGTATTTCTTCCATGGCAATTGACTTCTTTGGGCTTGTTAACTCTAATGGGGTCAAATTTAGTAATTTATTCTTCTGTGAAAATTATCTATTTCACTTAAGTTTTCAAGTCTATTTGCATAGAACTTTGTGAAGTAGGCTTTTGTGATTTAATTTATCTTGTTTCATTAATTACTTTCCCTTTTAGTTTTTATTTTGTGTATTTGTGAATTCTCTTGGTTTTTTTTTATGATCAGGTTAGCTAGTGGTTTGTCTGTTTTTAAGTTATTTAAAACCAAGAATTTTGATTTATTAATGAGATCTGTTGATTTTTTAATTTATTTTGTGCTTTCTTTCATCTTACTTTTTTGGTTTTTATGTTGTTGTTTCTTTTAGATTTTTGGGGGGGCTGGGAACTTACTCATTTTTAAAATTCGTTTATTTTTATTGTTAAACATATTTAGTGAAATAAACTTTCCTCTGAATCACTGCTTTAAATATAGCCCATAGATTATGCTGTAAATTTTTTGTCATTAAAAAAATAAATTCTGTAATTTTAGTTTGTATTTCCTTTCACCCAAGTTTGACCGAATAGAAATGTTTTTAAGTTCCAGATTAAAGCACGTTTGTGATTTTTTTTTTTTTTTTTTTTTTTTTTTGAGACAGTCTCGCTCTGTCGCCAGGCCAGAGTGCAGTGGCACAATCTCGGTTCACTGCATCCTCCACCTCCTGGGTTCAAGCAATTCTCCTGCCTCAGCCTTCCGAGTAGCTGGGACTACAGGCTCATGCCACCAAGCCCAGCTAATTTTTGTATTTTTAGTAGAGACGGGATTTCACCAAGTTGGCCAGGATGGTTTCAATCTCTTGACCTCATGATCTGCCCTCCTTGGCCTCCCAACGTGCTGGGATTACAGGCATGAGCCACCGTGCCCGGCTACGTTCATGATTTTTAAAATTTCTTTTTTTTTTCCACTACCTTTATTGTATTATGAAGATGTTAACATATAGTTAATTTTTATGGATGTGCTGGGGACATTTAAGACAAATGAAGATTCCCTATCACCACAATGTAGTTTGATTCATAAGGTCTACTCTGTTGATTATGGTGGTTTGTCTTTTATCCCTTAACTTATTTTTTTGTCCAGCTGTCTCTCTTGTGTTTTAAAATTTGTTACTATAGGTGAGTTTCTCTATAGAGTTTCTTTTATCTTTTGTCATTTTTGTTTCACAAAGTTGGTTGCCATGCATATGTTGGATAATTTTTCATAAGGATTATCTTTTCATTATAGATTGTGGCTTTTAGAATAAAAGACTGCTTTTCTTTTTCACATGTAATGCTTTTGAGTTTGAATTCTACTTAGCCCAATATAAAGATACTAACTTCTGCTCTCTTTTAGTTTCCATTTACCTGATAGAATTATGTCCATTCCTTTATTTTTAGTATTTCTGAATCACTTTGTTTTAGTTGTGTGTCTTATATATGGAATGTGGTGCAAGTTGAAATTATTTTTTCTTTTATAGGTAAGTCTCACATTTACTGTTATGACTGATACGTTTGGTCTTGATTCTATAATATATTATAGGCATTTGTATTCTGGTGTGTTTGTTAAGTTTCTTTACGATATGTGTATTCTTTGTTATTTTATTTAAACAATTTTAAACTTTGGGCTGTTTTACATGTTTCGTTATGGTAATTACGTTTGTAATTACCATGCTGTACCATTTTTATAAAAAGAATAATCTCAATTCTCTGTTTCCTTATTTTACCTTTCACTATTTGGTTTCTGAAGTTTTAATTTTTCTCAGTATCCATTAGCACTCATTTATTGTGTATAGTGGGTTTTCTAGGATTATTATTTTAAAAATATTAATTTTATTATTAAATTATCATTATTACTATTATTTTATTATTTATTATTTTTCATTGAGACAGAGTCTTGTTCTATTGCCCAAGCTAGAGTGCAGTGACACGATCACAGCAACCTCCTTGCCTCCCTGATTCAAGCAATTCTTCCCCCTCAGCCTCCCAAGTAGCTGGAACTACAGGCCTGTGCCACCACACCTGGCTAATTTTTATTAGAAATGAGCTTTTGTCATGTTTTCTAGGCTGGTCTCGAACTCCTGGCCCCAGCCTCCCAAAGTGCTGGGATTATAGGCATGAGCCACCGCACCTGGCCCAGTTTTGTTTTTGATAAGATGTGCAATGATACAAATATTTTTCTGTCTTTCATTTCCACTATTATTTTTCTGACCTTTTTTGGTTTTTATTTTATGTCATTTGGTTGTTTTCCTACCTGTCTTCATTAAATTTTATTGAGATTATTCTCCTTTGGGCATCTTGTAACTTATTCTTTATTTCTGCATAGCTTTGCATTTTTCTATGATTATTTTGCGGAATTAATTATTTATTGTCTTTCTTTCTTTCTTTCTTTCTCTTTCTTTCTTTCTTTCTTTCTTTCTTTCTTTCTTTCTTTCTTTCTTTCTTTCTTTCTTTCTTTCTTTCTTTCTTTCTTTCTTTCGTCTCTCTCTCTCTTTCTTTCTTTCTTTTTCTTTCTTTCTTTCCAGCCCTGTTTTTGGTTTATCAGTTGCTGAATAAAGATCATTTTTTGGCTGGGCGTGGTGGCTTATGCCTGTAATCCCAGCACTTTGGGAGGCCAAGGTAGGTGAATCACAAGGTCAAGAGATTGAGACCATTCTCACCATCATGGTGAAACCCCGTCTCTACTAAAAATACAAGAATTAGCCGGGCATGGTGGTGCATGCCTGTAGTCCCAGCTACTCGGGAGGCTGAGGCAGGAGAATCGCGTGAACCTGGAGATGGCAGTTGCAGTGAGCTGAGATTGCCGAACCCAGGAGGTGGAGGTTCCTGTGGGCCCAGATCATGCCACTGTACTGCAGCCTGGTGACAGAGTGAGACTCCGCCTCAAAAAAAAAAAAAAAAAGATCACTTTTTGTATGTTCGAATGCTTGTTTGAGTATATCCATATTTAGAATGTAGACTTAGAGATTTCTTCTGCTTTATAATTGCTGATATTATTACTACTTTTGGAGATAATGATGAGATTTTTCACACAATTTGTGTGAATTTTTTTTCCTGCTATTATTTTTTGTAATAGCTCTCTATGTACTTTCTTTTCATTTTAATGATACCGAGGTTTGTTACAAGATACTTTAATTCGATTTAATCCAATCCAATTAATTTAATATAATTTAATTTAATGTTATCTTTTTCTGCCAGCTTGTCAGAATCCAGGCATGTTAGTGGGGTTTTTGTTAGTTTGTTTATTTATTTGTTTGGTAGTGGGTGAGTGGTTTTGGGTCTTCAAATTACCTGCTTTTCTTCTGACTTGCAGAGCCCTCAAATTCTTCTTTGTCTTCTTTTACTCTTTCGCCACTTAATTGCCAAAGGATACTTCTTCCTTTTTTAAAGCTTCCTTTTCTTTCCCAAACCTGTTTTCAGAAAATTGTCCCCTTAGGTAGTTCCTTTTAAATAGTTTCTATTCTTTTTAAAAATTTTAAATTAAAAAAATATTTTTGATTGACACATCATAACTATATATTTATGAAGTACAACGTTTTGTTTTGATATATGTATACAACGTGACATGATTACATGGAGCTAATTAACATATCCATCACCTTGCTTACCTATCATTTTTTATTGTGAGACATTTGAAATTTATGCACTTATTTTGAAATATATGACATTATTATTGGTTGTAGTCATCCTGCTGTATAATAGATCTCAAAACCCATTCCTCTTTTTTATCTGAAAGTTTGTACCCTTGGGTCAGCAAGTCTCCGTTTCTCCCCTCACCCTCTGAAGAGAAGAGTTTCTCTTCTCTATTTCTATGAGTTCAACTTCGTTAGATTCTACATATAAGTGAGATCATTTGGTATTTGTCTCTTTGTCTTGGCTTATTTCACCTAGCATAATATCCTCCAGATTCATTCATGTTGTTGAAAATGACAGGATTTCCCCCCGTTTTAAATGCTCAATAGTATTCCATTGTGTATATATACCTCATTTTCACTGTCCGTTCATCTGTTGATAAACACTTAGGTTGATCCACGTCTTGATTGTTGTGAACAATGTGTCAATGAACATGGGAGTGCAGATATACCTTCGAAATACTGTTAAAAGAAAAACTTCAGCTGAATTAAATTTAAAGGAGTTTAATTGAGCAATGAACGATTCACATATCAGGCAGCCTCCAGAATCACAGCAGATTCAGAGAGACTCCAGGGGTGCCTCATGGTCTGAACAAACTTATAGACAAAAAATGTAAAGTGACATACAGGAATCGGAAGTGAGGTACAGAATAGCTGGATTGGGTACAACTCTGCATTTGCCTTATTTGAACACAGTTTGAACGCTCAGCAGTGTATGAGTGATTGAAGTAAGGGATTGGCCAAGACAGCGACTGTTACAAGAACATACTCCTAAACTAGGTTTTCAATCTTGTCTACCTATTAAGTTACATTGCAATTCATCCAGAAGGATTCAAATATAGAAGTACGAAGTCCTTCTCCAGCCATATTTAGTTTGCTTTAACCATACTAATTTCGGTTCCTTTGGATACATACCCAGACATGGGATTACTGGGTCCTATGATAGTTCTAATTGTAGTTTTTTGAGGAAGCTTCATATCGTTTTACATAATGCCTGTACTGATTTACATTCCTACCAACAATGTATTAGAGTTCTCTTTTCTCTGCTTCCTCTCTGACACTTGTTATCTTTCATCTTTTTGATAAAAGCCCTTCTGACAGATGTGAGGTGATATCTCATTGTAGTTTTAATTTGCATTTGCCTAATTATTGGTATAATTATTAACGCTGAGCATATCTTTCATGTACCTATTGGCCGTTGGGTTTTTTGTTTGTTTGTGTGTTTTTAGTAATGACTGTCCAGGTCGTTTGTCTATTTTTAAATGGGATTATTTGTTTTCTTACTATTGAGTTTGAGTTGTTTCTATACTTTAGATCTTAACTCCTTATTAAATGTATAGTTTGGCTGGGCGCGGTGGCTCATACCTGTAATCCCAGCACTTTGGGAGGCCTAGGTGGGTGGATCATTTGAGGTGATTAGTTTGAGACCAGCCTGGCCAACATGGTGAAATCCCATCTCTACTAAAAATACAAAAATTAGCCTGGCAGTAGTGGCACATGCCTGTAATCCTAGCTACTTGGGAGGCTGAGGCAAGAGAATCGCTTGAGCCTGGGAGGCAGAGATTGCAATGAGCTGAGATTGGGCCACTGCACTCCAGTCTGGGTGATAGAGTGAGACCCTGTCTCTAAATAAATAAATAAATAAATAAATAAATAAATAAATGTATCGTTTGCAAAATCTGTGGACTGCCTCTTTCATTTGCTGTGCAGAAGATGTTTACTTTGATGCCATCCCATTTGGCTATTTTTGCTTTTGTTGCCTGTGCTTTTGTGGCCGTATCCAAAATATCATTGCCCAGACCAATGTTGTGGAGCTTTCCTCCTATGTTTTCTTCTAGTAGTTTTACACTTTCAAGTCTTGTATGTAAGTCTTTAATCCATTTTGAGTTGCTTTTTGCATATGGTGTGAGGATCTAATTTCATTTCATTGTTTCTCTTGTTATACAGTGAGCTCTTTTATTCTATGTACACAGGTTTCCTTTCGTCTCAGAAAAATTTTATTATTTCATTTTTTTAACTTTAAGTTCAGGGGTATATGTGTAGGTTTTTTATGGAGGTAAACTTGTGTCACGGGGGTTTGTTGTACAGATTATTTTGTCACACATGTATTAAGCCTAGTAGTACCCACTAGTAAGATCACTTACAAATAAAAATATTTTTCTAAATAGCATGACACATTACAATTTTTTTCTTTGACAGGCACACAAGACTGTATCTCTGCTTACACAAGTCTGGCCAGAAGGATCTGACATTCGGCGTGTCTTTTGTGTTACTTCATGCTCATTATCTTTGAGAATGTACCATCGCTTTTTAGGAAACAGAGAGCCCTCCTCTGGTCAGGAAACTGAGATCCAACAGGTGTGGTTTTTATAACTTTACTGAGAAATACTATTTCTCTCCACATTTGAAATTTTGTTGATTTGTATCTTTCATTTCCTCTATTTGGTACTTCATGTTTTTCTCTTATTTATATAAACTTCAGAAAATAAAACTGAAATTTGTGTCTATCAGGAAACACTTATTGTGCCATTAAATGATTTAATGTTTTACTATGTGCATGTTTCACTTAGTATATATTTAGTCTAAATCATCCAAAAGAAAATGAAACAAGACAGGATATTAGCACTTGGTGGAGGCCTAATATGCTAGTATGTTTTGGGCTTTTTGTATGCATTGTGCCCTTAAATCCTCACAACAGCATTGTGAGAAAGGCATTAGTATTCCCATTTCACCTATGAGAACACTGAAGTTCAAATAGTCCAGGTAACATTTTTCAAACCAAACGTACTAAATAGCAAGGTGGATTGAACTCCGGTCCATCTTGTGCAAGTTCCACAATATCAAAGTGTCTTTTGAAAGAACCTTCCTGCTGTAGTGTCTTGGCGTCATCCTAGCTGGAGAGATACTAAAGTTTTTAACTTTCTTTATGGCCAGTAGGGTCCATTAAGAATCTGTTGGCCAGTCTGTTTTCCTTCCCCCAATATACAGTTGTCTCTAAGTATATGTGCTTATGGGTGTGCGTGTTTACACATACACACACACACTTACACACTCAGACGCATGTGTATACATACTATTCTGTATACAATCTACCTACTGGGGGATTCTTGGCTGAAGGTTTCTATTAAAGAGAAATGAAGTTTCTGAACATTTCAGAAATATTCAGGGCTCATTATCTTTTACTTAGCATCCTTATAATTGTTTTTCCAATTATCAGATTGAATATATTTTTAGTGAAACATTTCTTCATAACTAGACATAGTATTTTAAATCATTCTCACAAAAATGATACTAAGTCAAATCTGCCTCTCTGGAATTTCTAATGATTAGACTCTATTTGGCCTTCTGGAGGTGCCCTGATGAAATCTTACACTTGCTTTGTTGATAGCCCTGCAAATGTTTGAAGAT
This sequence comes from Homo sapiens, assembly GCF_000001405.40. Taxonomy (NCBI): domain Eukaryota; kingdom Metazoa; phylum Chordata; class Mammalia; order Primates; family Hominidae; genus Homo; species Homo sapiens. The sequence goes on along the minus strand of NC_000004.12, from coordinate 168,292,736 downwards.
AGCTATGACGTTCTTGTCCCATGATATCAGATGTGTCCACTTCTTTACCCGTGTTCTCACAGGGCAGGTTTTTCAGATATATTACCATCCTGGTGTCCTCGCCCTGGTAATTTTCAATATTATTTAAAAATATGATGCCTTGGATGGGATAGAGCATTTAATGTGTGGCTCCATCAGCGTAGAGTCCTGTGAAATTACGACTTTATTAGTTGCTCGATCAGCTCATGTAGAGTTTGGCTTAACTAAAAATCCTGAAAAATGTTTTATTTTAAATGCGATTAAGCCAGCAGCTTCCCATTCCACTTACCTCACATCTGTATAAATGCAGTAGAGTTTATGTTATAAAGAAAAGGAAAGTCTTAAAAAATGTAGAATGAAAAATGTAATAATTCAGCTGGGCATGGTGTCTCACACGAGTAATCCTAGCACTTTGGGAGGCCGAGGCAGGTGGGTTACCTGAGGTCAGGAGTTCGAGACCAGCCTGGCCATGGTGAAACAGTGCCTCTACTAAAAATACAAAAATTAGCTGGGCATGGTGGCAGGTATCTATAATCCCAGCTACTCGGGAGGCTGAGGCAGGAGAATCACTTGAACCTTGGGTTGGAGGTTGCTGTGAGCTGAGATTGGGCCACTTCACTCCAGCCTGGGTGAAAGAGCAAAACTCTGTCTCAAAAAAAAAAAAAAAAAGAAAGAAAGAAAGAAAGAAAGAAAGGAATAATTCATGATTCCTGAACAGCAAAGGTAGCTGTCAGCTTTTGTGGTCCTAGATGCTTATTATGCAATGTCACACCCTGCTGTTCTCTGGCTTATACCTTCTTTATTTTATTCAGGTGAACAGTAATTGCTTAACCCTGCAGGAGATGGAAGATTTGTGTAAACTGCATTGTCTCACTGTGGTTTTTCTACTCCATCTGCCTCTTTCTCAAAGAGCTTGTGCTAGAGTCATCACTTCCCATTGGGCTGAGGACATGAAGCCTTTATTACAAATGGTAAATGTACTCTTTATTAGTTTACTATTTTTGTGTTTTGAATGTTTGATAGAAACTACAATAACTTTCAAAATTCTCTTATGTGGGACTACTATTAGCCCCTTGGGGGCTATAAAAGTTTAATGGGCTACATCAGTCACTTTCCAATTTCAGCATCTATGTTTAGGAGAACTAACAAATAGCATGATATATATCTAACCTAAGGAAAAAGCCTCTCTATTTTTCCTTTGTTAAATCTCTGCCAAGGTCAGGTTTTTGTGTTATCAACTGTAGTTGATGGTTGGTGATCACTGTGGTCTGCTCTTAAGAGGAACTGAAGAAATCAGTTTTGTAGTTTATTACTTTCAACTCTTATAGAGAATATTTAGAGACAATTTGGATACTTTAGAGAAATAGAAGCAAAAACAGAAGAAAAACTTCCCCGGAGGTCTACCATTTTAATCAATAGGGATAACTGTTAACATTTTGGTTTATTCTTTTTATTTTAAATGCATAGATTTTTCTGATGTTTTATTGTTTCTTATATTGGAACTCTATATATACATATATTTTTTCATGTTTTTCTATTTCCTTTCACAATATTAGTATCATTTTTAATGGCTACTAGTTATCTTTTAGTACCATGGTTTACTTACCCATTTCTCTATTATGGAATATTAAGAAGACTTTGATGGTTGTATTATAGATGTTGTTATTCTCTTTGTGTATAAGCCTTTTCCTTTAATTTGGGGTTATTGATTTTGGCTTGAGAGCTAGAAATGGGATTAAAGGATCAATTGGCATGAACTTTTTTTAAGGATCATTATACATACAGTGAAAATGTTCAAGGAAAGTATTTTATGACCAATTAACTAGGAAGCCAGTCCACAAACATTTAGTACATTGTGGTAATCACTGGGATAGAGTGAGAAAAATAAAAACATATTTACCCTTCCCACTCCAACCCCTTCATAGACCTACATTTTCCACAGAAGACAGATATTAAATTTTAAAAGTAATTATGAAGACGGAATCATAGAATGCTTTATAATCTGATAATAAAAAGATCCAACGTAGTCTGAAAACGATGGTGTTTCTTAAGAAATGAAGACAGGCCGGCCGCGGTGGCTCACACCTGTAATCCCAGAACTTTCGGAGGCCAAGGCAGGTGGATCATGAGGTCAGGAGGATCATGAGGTCAGGAGATCAAGACCATCCTGGCTAACATGGTGAAACCCCGTCTCTACTAAAAATATACCAAAAAAAATAAAAAGTAGCCAGGCATGGTGGTAGGCACCTGTAGTCCCAGCTGCTCGGGAGGCTGCGGCGGGAGAATGGTGTGAACCCAGGAGGCGGAGCTTGCAGTGAGCCGAGATCGCACCACTGTACTCCAGCCTGGGTGACAGAGCGAGGCTCCGTCTCAAAAAAAAAAAAAAAAAAGAAAAGAAAAGAAAACAGAAAGAAATGAAGAGAAGTGAAGTGACCCAAGTCCTGGAGGAATAGAAGGAGTTAGCAGGATGCAGAGAGGATGAAACTGGATTGTAGGGCGTGAAGCAGCATGTGTGATTATCCCGAGGATGGCATAACCAAGGAACTGAGATACATCTATCACAGCAGGGGTAGCAAAAATATGGGAAAGTGATGAAGCTGAAGAGGCGGGCAAGAGACAAGTCACGTAGGATTCTGTAGGCCCTGTTAAGAAAATACAGATGTAACTTGATAGAAGCCCAATGAGGATTCACTGAGTGGTTTCAAATGGATGAGTGGCACTTGCATTTGCAGAAACTTTCCCTGGCTTGCAATGCAGAGAGTGCATTGTAGAGGCAAAACAGGGGGGACTTGGGGAAATTAGGTGGCTATTACCTCAGTCATGTAAGTGTTGATGGTGCCAGGGACCAGTGAGAGGTAAGTAGGGATGAATAGCACTGGGCAATTTTAAGAGTTATTTAAGGTGAAGAATGACAAGTTTAGTGATTGAATATGGGTAACGAGGGAAAGGAAGGAGTCAAATAGTTCCTAGACCCCTGGCTTGAGCATTTGTGGGGATGCCGTCATTGTATGAAGGGCACGTTAGTGGGGAAGGATCAATGGTTTCTTTTTTGGAAATACTGAGTTTTGAGTGCCAATGCAATGTCCACATGGAGATATCTAGTAAACAATTTGAAATAATGTTTTGGACTTAGAAGGGTGGAATGGGCTGGAGATAAAAGTTTAGGAATTGTTACCCTGTGGATGTTAATTGATGCTATGCTAAGAGATGAAATTATTTTGGAAGAGAGATATGGTAAGAGAGCTGAGGACAGGGAGTTCAAATATTCCAATATTAAACACTTAAGTATGGGTTGAGACAGTGGCAAAAGATACTGAGAAGGAACTACTTAGATAGATGGGAATAAAATCAAGGAGAATGGGTTGTCCTGAAGGTCAAAGGAACTGGGCAGTTCAAAATGTGGATGTGGTTAATAGTATCAGCTGCTATAGAGGATTGTAATAGGTTGAGGACTGAAAATACATTGGTTTTAATGAAACGGAGCTCACTGTTGATCATAATTAAGAGACTAAGGTCTAGGTTGTACTTTACCTAATAGAAAACCTTAGTCTTTAATTAGACATAACAACGATCCTCTTATGTCCTCATTTTGCAAAGGAAAAACTTGGACTCAGCTATGTGGTCCATGAGCACAGCTAATGAATGATCAAGTTGAGATCTGACTTCACTCTGTCCAGCTTCCAAATATATGCCCTATGGAGTAACAGCTGATCAGCCCATAGTCAGCCAACCTTCCTGCCTTTCCCATACTCCATGCCTGATATTTGGTAACACTCTGTAGCTTGAAGTGTAATTTCAGGTAGCCCCTAATATTTTCAAAATAAAAGAAATTTTTGACATTTCTTGAGGCCTCTTGAGAAAGCAACTAAGCAAATCGTAGAAGGGATCATTCCATGAGGTTTACTCTGAATCTTGAAGCATGGAGACCAGCCAGGTAGGTGGATGGGAATCTTAAGAGTTTGAAGGATTCAGCATCTTCTAGGTCCCTGAACACTCAAACACATTTTTTTAAATGCTCTTTTGACCTGAAGGTTGAATCTGAACATATTAAAATCTAAATAAAGAACAGAGGCACATTTCAAAGCAGAAGTATTTCTGTAGCTTTGGAATTCTATCTGTGGGTAACAGTGTGAGAAAAACACTATTTTAAGAGTCAAATGCAGATTTCCTTGATTCGGGATAAAGAACTATACAGAATGCATTTTTGGATCAGTTTTTATTTTATTTTATGCTTTAATTCCTTAAGGTGTAAAGCATTCACCATTACCCAGCCTGAATGGGCTTGCCTAAACAAGGATTGGAATGATCCTGCCCACTGCCTTTCAGTTCAGAAGCATATGAACCCTATAGTTTATTGCTAATATGAATATTGCCAATAACTTGGTTTTCTTTTCAATTTTCAGAAAAAGTGGTGTGAATATTTCATCTTAAGAAATATACATACTTTTGAATTTTGGAATCTGAATTTAATTCACCTTTCTGACTTAAATGATGAGCTTTTGTTGAAGAATATTGCTTTTTACTATGAAAATGAAAATGTAAAAGGTACCATCTCAGTATATTATAATCATACTTCCATCCACAGATAAACTTTATAAGGAATTTAAAACTACAAAATAATTTTTCTGTACTTCCAACATATAACATAGCAATTATTTTCATCTTTGTTCACATTTGTATGTAATATTTTAGTTGCAATTAGAGGGAATGCTGTATTTTAAAATATGTTTTTCACTTAATATTACATTAAAAGTATTTCAGGAGAAAATATATGTTTGCGTGTCCAGCATTTTCAGTTAATTTCAAAAGTTGAACTTTTCATTTAAATGCATGCATAATATTTCTTCATAAAGTTTAATTAATTTAATTATTTCACTACTATTGAGATATTTAGAAAATTTATTTTTTTCCAAAAGATAAGGCTAATTTATATATTTTTATATGTAATTTGTTTTTCTTTCTTTAAAATCTTTTCTTAGGGTAAGATTTCTGATGTTTCCTAATAGTAAAACCGAACAAAACAAAACAAAAACATATTTGGACAGAACTCTAACTGATTGAACATTATTGAAGCTTTGACCACAGTGATGTGGTTCCTTCATGTTGTAATCATTGTAATGAATTAGCTGCATATAAACTTAACAATCCTTTACCAATTTTCTCATCTCTCAAAAACTAAAGTTTTTATTCTGTTTTGTTTGTTGTAAAGTTATGTGTGGCATAACATTTTTATTACCTTAAAGAGTAGTTAAATGTTCACGATGCGTTTGTGGGTTAATGTGCTTACAAATTTAATACTTAGTTATTAACAATAAAAACAAGATAAACTTTACAATCTGTATCTCATAGTCAACACTAGTGACCATTTTCATTTATGTCCAGTGTGGAACTCACTAAAAATTTCACTATGTGGAAAGTATTTCAGAATTCCATGAATTTACTCAAAATGTGACTAATGATTCTTTATGTGGGAGTGGATGGCTTCTAGTATTTAGTGTTTTTAATTGTTATGTAGGCCTACATTTGAATTTGGGAGATACCATTATGAAAGATTATGAATATCTCTGGAATACCGTATCAAAGTTGGTCAGAGACTTTGAGGTTGGACAGCCATTTCCTCTGAGAACAACAAAAGTTTGTTTTCTTGAAAAGAAACCATCACCAATCAAAGGTAATAAATTTCTAAATTAATCTGAAATGAAAGCATTATTCCTCTGAAAGTGTTTAGGAAACACCACTAATTCAGTGCTGCAAGTATAAATAATTTTCTGGCACTTGAATTTTAATAATAAAAATAAATTACCTTTATTCTTATATCCTTGGAGTGGTATGCTGTGACTATAATTATGAAGATTTACATTTTGCTTATAATTAATATTGTTTCAATTAAAAAACACAGCCAGATATATATGACTTCCATTTCCAGCAATATGGCAGTTATAGGTCCACAGAAAAATCTCTTTGTGTAAAGCACTTGAGATGCTGAATAAGAGACACCAAACATCTTTTTATAACATTATAGCTAAGCTCAAAACATCCTAGGGGCTGAAAAATTTAGGGAAGGCCACATGGGCTCTCCACCTCTTTTAGGCAGCAAGTTGCAGGGGCTTAAATAAGAAAGGATCCCGACAAACGCAGGCACAGGGAGCACTAGGAGGATCCCAGGCAGAGCAATGGTGGTTAACCTGGAATCATGAACCAGACATTCAATAGAATAAAAAGTCATTCATTTGTCTATTATCATAATATACTTGATATGTAATATCTATCTATCTATCTATCTATCTATCTATCTCGTGTGGTGTGTGTGTGTGTGTGTGTGTGTGTGTATAAAATCAAGGAGGACTCAAGAGAATACTGTAATCATATCAAATAATTTCATTACCATCTGTATTTTTCCCTACTTCTTTTTTATTTCATTTTCATGAAAGTCTTTGTATATGTGTATGTATATGTATATAGATATATAATCTCTGAGGCTTCCATCGTCAAAATCTTTGTCTTATAATAAGGGATAATAAAAGGAATTCACATTTGAAAATAAAAGGCATAGGTATTTTTCTTTATCTTCCTTCCTTTCTTCCTTCCTTCCTTCCTTCTTTCCTTCCTTCCTCCCTCCCTCCCTCCCTGTGTGCTTGCTTGCTTGCTTTTCTTTCTTTCTTTCTTTTTCTTTTTTCTTTCCTTCCTTCCTCCCTCCATCCTTCCTTCCCTCCCTCCTTTCTTTCTTTCTTTCTTTCTTTCTTTCTTTCATTCTTTCCTTTCCCTCCCTCCCTTCCTCCCTTCCTTCCTTCCTTCCTTCCTTCCTTCCTTCCTTCCTTCCTTTCTTCCCTCCTTCCTTTCTTCTTCCCATCTACCTACCTATCTGATTTATCCATCTGTCATCTGTCTACTTACCCATCCATCCATCCACCCATCCATGCATACATCCATCCACCCATCCATGCATCCATTCACCCACCCATCCCCCATGCATATCCACCCACCCATCCCCCATGCATATCCACATATATGCCAAAATGCTGTCTGATTCTTTATACTCTACTGTGTTCCAAAGTGTTTTACTGTGGGAAATAGCTTTATGAGAAGGGCTGAACTTGATATATGTAAATAAGATTAATATAAAATGTTTTTAATATGAAGTTTTAGAAAATAATATGTAATATTCCTGTCTGAAAGCTTTACATTTGACCTTGTCTCAATTTTTTTTTGTTTGTTTACAGACAGCTCCAATGAAATGGTGCCCAATTTGGGTTTTATTCCAACGTCATCTTTTGTGGTTGATAAATTTGCTGGAGATATTTTGAAAGATTTGCCTTTTCTAAAGAGGTATAAGGCCAAAAACTGTGCCTCAATAAATACTTGTGTGGAATACATGAGTTACTCAACGAGGATTATTTGAAATGCAGACGATTAGAGTACATTACATGTAGTATGTGTTTGTAATACATAATGAATTTAAAATCAAAATTTTCAATGCCTTTTGGCCATTACTATGTAAAAATCTGTATAGTTTTTAATCTTAGAATAAATCACTACAGCTGCATATTTTAAATTAATGAATTAATGAATGCCTATTAGTTGATATTGATGGGACTGTTAGAGACATGGAGTAGATTTTGATTTATTAAACCTCTAATAAACTGCTGTTTGGAGTCTACCACCCACATCATATTGCAGAAAGAAGAAGGGGAACTATGATTTTCAAAAACATTATAAAATAAAATCTGTGCTGTGTTATATTTGGAAGTGTGCAATTTAAAATATGCCTTTTTTTGTCTCACAGTGATGATCCTATTGTTACTTCACTGGTTAAACAAAAGGAATTTGATGAACTTGTGCACTGGCATTCTCATAAACCCCTGAGTGATGATTATGACAGGTCCAGGTGTCAGTTTGATGGTAAGCTCTGTGACTCCAGTGATATAAATTTAAATCTACTTTACTCTCTGCCTCTTATTTTATAGTGGAAAATTATCATAAGACACAAATTAAATTTTTTTGAATGAAAATAGTCTACAAGATATTTAGATGTGCATTGGGAAAGATGGTAATGAAAAATTCTCTCTCTCTTTATTGACAGTCGTACGTATGTAGATATGTATGTGTTTTAGGAGGAAGTGCTAGAAGTTGTTTCAAGGAAAGATGGTTTGTAGTTTAAGCAATGTATGTATTCCTTGGAGTCATATATATTGAGACCATAGTCTTTCAAGCAATTTTAACTGTTTGATAACACCCGATTGGCTGCATGTAACAAGCACCAGCATTCTATCTGCCTTCATGCTCAGGGTGGTTGAAACTACAGAAGGAGGCCCATGAAACCACTAACAGTGGATCAACAGAGACTGAATTTGGGATCTTGTCTTCATCTCAACTTTCTGTATCCCTATGCTTACCCCCAGCCCCGTTAGAGTTGACAAAACTTACTCTGAGAATAACCTAGGAGTAGGCATAGCAAGTATGCTCCTGTGAAGTACCTGGGTATGTAAATAATGACCAAGGTGTGGGGGGATACTTTAGATGAACCATTAACATGCTTCGGAGTGGTCTGGTGTGATATGTGTAGTTACAGACATAGAAAAATTAATCAGCTTAGTTATTTCATTACTGTGAGTATTACAGTTTTTATGGAGATAAGGGAGTAAGGCATATCTTGACTTTGGGGGCATCTTATGTTATTAAATTTTACCATTTTAGCTGCCATGCTCTGGGCTCTGGCTCTATGGCTATGGTCCGGAGTAAGGATTTTTTCTATCCAGTGATACAAGAAGTCAGAATATCTTAGATGGTTGTCTTCTTCACTCTGCCTCTACCTTCTTCTTAAACTAATTCACAGGGCACAGGACATAGGTAATGAATGGAATCCGTCATTTTTTTTGTTGCACCTGATACCTAATTTAGGAGGTAGACCATGAAAGTGTGTTTTGTCACTTCCATCTTTTAAATAAGAAAAGGAATTATTAACTTGATTTTACGTTCTCTCTTTAAGAAAGATAATGAGATTAAATTACTTTTCCACTAATTTAACTACTGGATGTGGAATAATATGAAGAATTGATGAGAATGCTATTGAAAAACTACAATAAAGTTACATTTTAAGTCTTTTCTTTTTCAGAAAAATCTAGAGACCCTCGTGTTCTTAGATCTGTGCAAAAGTATCATGTTTTCCAACGGTTTTATGGGAATTCATTAGAAACAGTCTCTTCGAAAATCATCGTGACTCAAACTATTAAGTCAAAGAAGGATTTTAGTGGGCCCAAGAGCAAAAAGGCACACGTAGGTTCTATAAATTCTATCCAATTAAAAAAATTTTCCTTTTCTTTTATCAGGTTGATATGTGTTATCCCTTTGGTGGTTTCTTTTTATATAATGCCTTTTCTTGATATTTATATGCATATATTTTTGTATATGATTACTTATTCTTTTACCTCTTGCTGAAAAAGCCTAACCTTCATAAAAAAGTTGTAATGATATTCTATACATAATAACATATGTATCTCTTTGAAGAATAATTAAGTGACTAAAGTTTTGAGTTTAGAAATTTTAAACTAACGTTAAAAATATAGTTGTTCATTAATGACAGTGAAAATCTTTTTCATATAGGTAGTAAAAATGGATATGAAATGTTTATCTACTTTTTTTCTAAATTATAAAGAGTGTTTACACTTTTCCAAAGTATTTAAATGATTGATTAATCCAACACATTTTTTGAGTGGAAGGTTAGAACTCTCCATTCCCTCTTTCTGTGTGGCTTGTACTCCTGCAAACTTACCTTTTTCCTTCTTGGGATGTCATTTTTCTACTCTTTTCCTGGGAGACGTAACTGGGGATGGAATACAAGGAGTAAATAAGGAAAGTTCCAATCTATTTCTGGAATAATAATACTAATAGTTTATGATCTAAAATTATCAGTTGATAATTCCTGAAACATTAATGTCTAAGTACAGATATTTTTATTTTAAAACTGAATTTTCTGATTATCTGACTTTAGAGGCAGGTCATAAATGGTTTCCATCTTAAACAAATGGAAAACTCATCAGGCTTTAGTATCTTTCTGTGGCCTCAAAGTTGGGGTTTTGGAAATGGCATTAATTTTCACAAAAAAGTTTCTCTCAAGATGAAAGGTTTTAGTATATTAGAGAAAGTACCAACTTAACAAAACCAATCACAAATAAAGGTATTTGTCACATATCCACCTTAACAAATTGAAATAAACGTGGTGAAGTTATCAGGAATGGAACATATAAAGACCTCAAAAAATATTTTTATTTTCACTTCTGAATAATTACTTTTGCGAAAATTTTGGCAAGATCAGGAAAATGTGCATCTCTTTGTCAAGCCTTCAGTGGACATTTTCAGAACTCCGAGAGACAGATAGTTCATCAGTTCAAGGACTTATCAAAAAAGTTCTTGTATTTTCTACTCAGGATAACTTCAAAAAATAATCACAAATTACTCTAAAAGGTTCTCACATGTTCTGTGAAGCCTCTATTCTTGAACTGCTTCAAAAGTTTAAGCAGTTGGGCTGTCCCATCTTTTGTTTTAAGAGCCAAAGAGAAGCCTCTCTGAGCCCAACTGTGTGATCGTTGTTTCTCTCCTCCTTTTCATTTTTATAGCCAATTGTATTGTCAGTGAGACTACTTAATTAAACATTTACTTTTTTATTATGGGTGACAAAAGGCTACTGCTTTTCAGTTTTTTTGTTGTTGTTGTTTTGAGAGATGTTATGAAATGGTAAATTTGCAGAAATTCTTGTTACATAATACAATGTATGAAAATAGAAAAATCTACATGGCAAAGGGTCAAAGGTAACCCTTGTACTATTGAAACAGAACCATGCTAAATTGGCCCAACACAGCAAATTAGGAAGACTAAACACTGGGAAAACTCAAATATTATTGATTAGAATTATTTGTTTCTAATTTAGAGAGTGATGACAACTAAACTTGACTTCATTATAGGCAGGCATTTACATATTAATTTCGTGACTAACCAGAAGTGTGGAAAATGTGTTGGAATCCTCTTGCTAATACAACAATTCTCTAATTTGTCTTTGTAGATTAATGAGTCAGGTTGGTAAAAGCATAGTAAAAGTGGGTCCATACTATGTTTAAGTTAATTGGAAGTGCTTATTGAGGAAGAGCAAATCAGTTGTATTTGTGTTGTTCCTCTTATCTACTCCTCTTCTTCCTCTTTCCTTATTCACTCATCAAACATTATGGACTAAATGCTTTGTGCTTGAGACATACAGACAACAAAGGCACATTCCTGTCTCAAGGATCTCAATCAAGAGAGGAGGAATGGCAAATGAAATTACAACTACAGTTTATGTTAATGAGTGCTTCAATAGGTGTCTGAGCAGAGGAAGAATACATGACTTCGACTTGGGAGAGTCAGGGAAAGCTTCATGGAGGAAATATCATAAACAAGTAGAGAACAGGGAGGTGATGTGGGAAGAATGGAAGAGGACAGGCGATTCCAGAGAGAGCAGCAGATATCATAGCATGGAGAAATGAAAAGAGAGGCAGTCTGTTGTCTCTGATTTTGTGACATTAACTTTTCTTCTTCTTTTTTATTTTTCTGAGACAGAGTCCTGCTCCATCGCCCAGGCTGGAGTGCAGTGGCCCAATCTCGGCTCACTGCAACCTCTGCCTCCCAGGTTCAAGGGATTCTCATGCCTCAGCCTCCCAAGTAGCTGGGACTACAGGAGCGTGCCACCATGCCCAGCTAATTTTTGTATTTTTAGTAGGTAAGAGGTTTCACCATGTGGGCCAGGCTGGTCTGAAACTCCTGGCTTCAGATGATCCTCCAGCCTCAGCCTCCCAAAGTGCTGGGATTACAGGTGTCATTCACCACGCCCAGCAACATTTACTGTTTTATTTATAAACCACACCACTCAGAAATCTAGAAAATTATCTACAGAGAGCCTTTACACTCCCTAAATTAAATTGTCTTAAGTTATAAATTAACAGAGGCTTAATTTCCAAAAGAAAAAAAGAAATTTTTCACATCTACTCAAAATGGGATGATGGTCAAAGTCTTCAATACACCCATAATATTGTCTCACTCATGACCTGTTATCTTGGAATATTTTCAACTTGTCTTAAGAGATGTTTTTTCCTTTGGGGCAGGAGACCAAGGCTGAAATAATTGCTAGAGAGAATAAGAAAAGGTTATTTGCCAGGGAAGAACAAAAGGAAGAGCAAAAGTGGAATGCTTTGTCATTTTCTATTGAAGAGCAATTGAAAGAAAATTTACACTCTGGAATAAAGAGCCTGGAAGATTTTTTGAAATCCTGTAAAAGTAGCTGTGTGAAACTTCAGGTTGAAATGGTGGGGTTAACTGCTTGCTTGAAAGCCTGGAAAGAACATTGCCGAAGTGAAGAAGGTATGTAATTCTGTTTTGTTATTTCGGTGAGTTGGAGAATTAATACAAATGTAATGATGATAGTTGCCATTTGTTAACTGGAAATTTGCATTAGAAGACTTACATGCCCTATCTTACTTTATACATTATTACCTTTACAATAGTTTCCCGCTACCTGCCGGGGGTATGTTCTAAGACCCACAATGGTTGCCTGAAACTGTGGATAGTACCAAATGCCATGTATATTGTTTTTTCCTATGCATACATACCTATGATAAAGTTTAATTTCTTTGAACTCCTGCTCTTGAACTCCTGACTTTGTGATCCACCTGCCACGGCCTCCCAAAGTGCTGGGATTACGGACGTGAGCCATTGCGCCCAGCCACTGTTGTCACTTTTTAACTCATCAAAGTGTCTCTGTGAAGGTTGCCATTCTTTTGTGATTATATGGGTGACTTTAATGCTGTGTTCCATCTGAGAATTGTATTCCATATTTTTTCTTTTAATATCCATGTAATTTGAAACACTTCAGCAAATTCAGGTTCTGCTTCAGGTTCTTCATCTTCCTCCCTAGATGACTCAATAAGTTCTTCCATTTCCTCATTTGTTAACATTTCCTAATGAACTTCAATATGTTGTTTCACTTCTTTATCAAACACGTTGGCAAATCTCTCTCTATCAATCAGTCTTGCTGCATGAATTATTTTCCTAACTTCTCCATTGATCCCCAGGAAGTCTCGAATATCACTCAGGACTTTACTCCATAAATTCTTCCAGCAGGCATTTATAGTTTTTGGGTTTAATTAATCCATTGCATCTTTGGTGAGTGTTATTGCATCAGCAATAGTGAATAATTTCCAGCACCTTATCATGTCCAGATTAGGGTCTGCATCAATTGCTGATTGAATGTAATCAAACACCAGGCAGGTGTATGTGGCTTTGGCAAACTGAATGATGCCATAGTCAAGGCGCTGAAGCAGTGAGTTTGTATTTGGAGGTAAAAATACAATCTCAATGTTTTCATTTTCAACAAAAACAGATTTGGGATGGCTAGGTGCATTGTCTAGTATTCCAAGCTTTCCTCTTTCAAGTATTTTTTCACTTCTGGGAAGAAGCATTGGTAGAACCATTCCATAAAAATGTTGGCTGTCATTCACACTTTCTGATTATGTTGCCAGAACACAAGAAGATAATTTTTGCTTTTGTTTTTGAGAGTGTATGTCTTCTTCAGTCTGTATGCTATGCCTGTCTTTATTATATGCACTGCAGCATTGCCACCTAGTACCAGGGTTACTCTGTCCTTCCATGTTTTATGTCTTGGTGCCTCCTTTGGACTTTTATGAATGTGTAGGTTCTATTGGGCATCTTCTTCCAGAAGAGCCTGGTTTCATCACAATTAAAACCTTGCTTTGGATGGTATCCTTTCTTTCTAACCAACTTCTTCAACTCTGCCAGAAATGTGGCAGCAGCTTCTTCATTGGCAGATGGAGCCTCTTCAGTCAGTAGTTTTTTTGTTTTGTTCTGTTTTTGAGATGGAGCCTCGCTCTGTCACCAGACTGGAGTGCAGTGGTGTGATCTTGCTCACTGCAACCTCCGCCTCCTGGGTTCAAGCTATTCTGCTGCCTCAGCCTCCTGAGTATCTGGGACTGCATGCACACACCACCATGCCCAGCTAATTTTTGTATTTTTACTAGAGATGGGATTTCACCATGTTGGCATGTTGGCCAGGATCATCGATCTCTTGACCTCATGATCTGCCCACCTTAGCTTTTCAAATTGCTGGGATTACAGGCGTGAGCCACTGAGCCCGGCCCGCTTCAGTATTTTTTATATTTTTCAGTCCAAACCTATTCCTGAATTTGTGTAACCATCCTATATTTGAAGAAAATGGGTCATTGTCACTCATTTCAGAGGATGCCTTGTTGAAGTCTTCATACAGATTCAATGCTTTCAGGTGCAACATGTTTCCATCACCTGGAAAATATTTTCTATTCATGTCTTCCACCTTCTATCTTAACTAAGCACTTATCAAACACTGTGTCCAAAACTTTTGCCATTTGAGGTGCAACAGCAAAACTAGCACGGATTTCTTTTTTCTTCTTCACAACTTCATGGATAAAAGATTGTTTCTGACTGTAGATCTTAGCAACCTCAGCATATGAGTTTTTCTTCACTTATTAAGTCAAGAACTTTCATGTTTTCACTTAAAGAAAGCACTTTATGGCTTCTTTTTGGCATATCTGAATTGCCAACATCACTTATTTTACAGTTTGGGGCCACTATTAAGTAAAAGAAGGGTTATTTGAACACCAACACTGAGGCATCAATGCAGTCAATCTGATCATCAAGGTGGCTACTAAGTAACTAATGGGAAGGTGGTGTCTACAGTGTGAACATGGGGGACAAAGGAAGGATTCATGTCCTGAGCAGGATGAAGTGAGATGGTGCGAGATTTCATCACACGACTCAAAATGGTGTGCAATTTAAAAACATATGATTTATGTATTTCTGGAATTTTCTTTTTTTTTTTTTTCTTTTTTTTTTTTTGAGATGGAGTCTCGCTCTTTCGCTCAGGCTGCAGTGCAGTGGCACTATCTCGGCTCACTGCAAGCTCTGCCTCCTGGGTTCACGCCATTCTCCTCCCTCAGCCTCCTGAGTAGCTGGGACTACAGGCGCCCACCACCGCATCCGGCTAATTCACCATGTTAGCCAGGATGGTCTCCATCTCCTGACGTTGTGATCTGCCCGCCTCGGCCTCCCAAAGTGCTGGGATTACGGGTGTGAGCCACTGCGCCCGGCCTGGAATTTTCATTTAATAGTTTTGAACCACAGTTTAGCTCAGATCCCTGACACCACCAATAAAAGGACAATTTTGTATTTTATCAATGAGCAATGAAATCTCAGAGAGGGTCCCAAGGGCAAATATATAGCACATCCATAAGCACCTTCAAAGACGGGTGCAAAAAGAACAACTTATAAGGTTGTGGGCGTGGTTAAGGGAACCAACAAAAACGATGAGGCACCCAGGAAGAATCTGTCATTCACCTTTGAGACCAATGAGTAAACATTTCTTTTTTGGGTAACACTGTATTCATGCTTCCCTGGCACGCTGAGTTCTTCCAAAGCTGCTGTGGATACCATGTGCTCTACTTTATAATTTCCATAGCAGGTAGTAAAAAAGAAAAGAAGAGGCAGAAAGAGGAAGATACAGGTGAAATAGGATCACATCAAGATGTGTAAACTCACGGCAAGTGAAATGATCTTGTTCCATAATACCTCCAAACTGACAGTTCTTCTGAGCAAACCTAGTTGATCTGTCAGTTTTGAGCATCTCCACACTTTGATCCATTTAACACATGACCTCCATGTTCTCTCCAACACCCTGACCTATTGTTTCTCTCCAGCAACCTCCTATTGTTTCTGCTGCTTAATTGGGAATGATCAAGTGTTATGCATTGTTTTTCTAAGTGAACTGCTCACCTAGAAAAACAGTGCATAACAATCAGTATGAACTGTATTACATTTCCTTTGTAGCCTCTTACTGTATTCAGTAGGTGTTAGTTAATATTGTTAAATAGGTGAAATATAGGTGATTGATTAGAAGAAACCCTGACATAATAAGTATGAAATAATTAGCAGAGCAGAGGAACAAAAAGGGTATGTATGAATATAAAGCAATGGAGAGAGATTAGCAACATCTAGAATGTGACAGTTGGAAGAGGTGGATTGAATTGAAGGGCTCCAATGAGTACACCAAATACTTATCTGTGGTCAACCATAGGACTCAATAAATGTTGCTAAGGTTTTAACCAGATATTTCAAGTAATAAAGATATTTTTCTTTGAACATAGTAGAGCACATATGAAAATAAAAGATGGAGAAAATATTTGTTATTCTTCCTAAACTTTTACAAACTTGAGCTTTTTTGATCTTATTTCTATTATGAACTACAATTTTTTTCCCAACACTGATATAGCTACATCTCAACAATCCACAGAGATGATGAAGTGTGGATAGTGGAACTTCAATTTTACTTTATTTGGTCCTTTCTACTCCAAAACCTCCACTAATGCCAAGTGAGATAGTGAGGCCATCTAGATGATTAATCTTGGGTAATCAAATGAATTATTTTTGATGGTCTTTATAACAATTTTATTGTTTATTGTTTATCAAGGTAAAACCACGAAAGATTTAAGTATAGCTGTTCAGGTGATGAAAAGGATCCACTCCTTGATGGAAAAATACTCAGAACTTTTACAAGAAGATGATCGGCAACTCATAGCCAGATGCCTTAAGTATTTAGGATTTGATGAGTTGGCAAGTTCTTTACATCCAGCCCAGGTAATATTATCAGAATAGCTCAATTTCAACAGGGTAATTATTAGGTATACATAAAGTGTTTTGCAAAGATAGTCATCTCTTCCAGATTTTTTTTTTTTTTTTACTGAAAATACTATTATTAGTAGTAACCCAACTGCCCAATCTTGAAGTAATACATAATGAGAAAATTTGTACAAATGCTTACCTGGACAAACAGATTAAATGCCAGATAATCTCTGCAGATCCTTTAAAACTAACCCTGCACTTAATTCTAGCAAAACATCTCAAAACTAGTGTGATTATTCAATTGTCTTTAAATATATCAGGTTGTAGCCACAAATATCATGACGTATATTTGAAAATCTTGATGTCTACTAATTTTACCTAGTTAAGACAATGATTTAAAAAATTTAAATTTAAAAGGTGGTAAAATGCTTTTCACATAGAAAGTGCTCAGTAATAAATGTTTTACTTATTTAAATGATATTCTAATTCAATGTCATTTTCAAAATGGACTTTTAAAATAATGCAGGATGCAGAAAATGATGTAAAAGTGAAGAAAAGGAATAAATATTCAGTTGGCATTGGGCCAGCTCGGTTCCAACTGCAATACATGGGCCATTATTTGATACGAGATGAGAGAAAAGACCCAGATCCCAGGGTCCAGGATTTTATTCCCGACACATGGCAGGTAATACTGCAAATGAAACAAAAATTACTGTATTTTCTTATTATATGTGATCTCAGAGGTTTCTCATTATTGTGGCTGTACATGTTATATTTGATGTTCATGTCATTTAAAGATACTTTGTTATTGAAAATGTCAAATGTGGACTATTTTTTCCCCATTTAAAGAAAGTGAGATTTTCTTTTATTATATAGACCATTTCCTTGGAGGTACATTAATGGAGTCATATGTTTAGCTCTGATGTTATCTCAGTGTCATCCAGCTGTATCATCATGGAGCAGCCTCCAGGTTTTCCGTGTGTCAATAGGATTTCATATGTAAATATATAAAGTGCATAGAGAAATTTGGATAGTTTAAATAGTAGGGACAATTGTTTAGATATTTACACATTGCATCTGTCACCATAGTAGCTATTCTAAAAATGTATATAAAATTAATATTGAGGGATATAAAATTTAGAAGAAAAGGATGCATTTCTACATACATTGAACCATACCAACTTGCTGATAAATTGAACATGTTTGCCTACAGAAATGCAGTTTTATAGCTTCAGTCTAATAGACTGCCCCCTTCAGAATCTTTCTTATGATGGTGGGGTAGGTTAAAAAATGCATGGTGCCTTTTCATGAATAGGAAGACCGGTTCCTTGCTTCAGTGCAGGACTAGAGGCACTAATGCTCTCCATTAATTTCATTCACATTGTAACTCTTCTGATGCCCAATTCACGCTGAGGTGTGGCCGGGAGTGGACCGGTTGGGGTTTTGAGTTGTTTTCCCACCTTCTACCTATTACATAGACTTATTATCATTCTTCGGCTAGTCAACATTCTTCGGCTGAAGGGATGGAGCTCTCTCATCCTGGCATTCTTCTATGTAGAAAGTAGAATATCAGTAGTAAAATTAAGAATGTTTGATGTTTCTTCTCCTCAGCTATTTTCTTCACCATCAGTAATATACATATTGTCTCTTTCTTAGAACTTAGTTTCTCAACCGCACTTAGTAAATAGCAAATAATTACAAGATGTTTTCTCAATAATAAGATATTTTGTTCAGACATCCTCTCCATTTGTCACACATAAAACCCACCTTACAGATGTTCAAAAGCATAAAAATGATCTCTTCTGAGAGAATGACATGAGACCTTCAGATGTACCTACAGATCCTTTGAGGTTCAGAAAATCGTATTGGAAGTCTATAAATACTGTCTTTGTTTTGGTAACATACGGTTCAGTTTCTTGACATGAATGGTACTCTGCACCCTGCAGCGAGAGCTCCTTGATGTTGTGGATAAGAATGAGTCAGCAGTGATTGTTGCCCCAACGTCCTCAGGCAAAACCTATGCCTCCTACTACTGTATGGAGAAAGTGCTGAAGGAGAGCGACGACGGGGTGGTCGTGTACGTTGCACCCACAAAGGTAGTGCTCAAGTGACTATAATATTCTCTTTCATTCCTGAACCTACTATTTAAAAATAATGAACATGGTCACATGGTAGATCTAGTTCACTTTATTTTTTAACCTGCATTTTCTTGTTTCAGTGTCTGAAGCTAAAATAATATACATATACATATACACATACATACACACACACACAAACATGTACATAAAATAACATATACATATTCAAACTTTAGACATCAGAGGAAAGTCACCAAATATAGGAGACACAATTTTTTTTCTGATATATAGGCAACATTTTCTGTTTTTCCTTCTGATGAATACTTTTTAAATTCCATTTTACTTTAGGTTGAGGTTTATCAATGAGATTTGTGTGCTGAGTCAACTATCTCAAAGAGAATATGTTAGTGTGTTTAGAGTAGTGGGTTGATGAAAGGGGTTAGTAAGCTTTCTGCACTGAAAGCAGGACACACTTTTAGACAGTTCTTGTTGTCCTCTGATATTTCACCTCTCTCTATTATGTGACTAATGGATCTTTTTCTTTGTCAATCAGGCCCTTGTTAATCAAGTGGCAGCAACTGTTCAGAATCGTTTTACGAAAAATCTGCCAAGTGGTGAAGTTCTCTGTGGTGTTTTCACCAGGGAGTATCGTCATGATGCCTTAAACTGTCAGGTAGGGTATTTTAATTAATAAGTGTGTTATCAAATTATATAACTGTACTTGTATGTCTCTTTGACTAGAAATTCAACATCTTCACAAGGCTTGTGAAAATAATTTATTTGAATTTATGAAAGACAAAATACTTTTAGAAAAAATGTAATATTGTTACATTTCAAAGAGTGAGAACTAGAACTCATCTTTCTCTAAGGACACTGACCTTTGGATTTCTGATTTCATTAATATTTTATTGCATTGTCTTGGTTTGTAAAGGGATTCAGAATGATCTGAAGAATGCTATGTTATAGAAAATTAACAAATCTCAATTTTAAATCAATTACTTTTTCTTCATAAGTATCTATTAAGGATACTCATGATTTAGAAAATGTTGTATTATGGATCGTATACCTGGTGTTAAATCATAGACAGTTTTCACCCTTATGAACTCACAGATCAACAATTAAGACTAAATAAGAATGAACACATGATTATAGAAGATTGCATGGTAGACATGGAGATGTTCTACCCAGATTGCCTTTCAAAGAAGGACTTGATGTGGGGAGTGTGGTTAAGATAGATGCCAGCCATCAGCTCCCCCAGTTCTGCCTCCACAGTCTCTACCCTGCAACTGAGCTAAGTAGAAGTATAAGCAGCGGGCTGCTGTGGCTTGATGTGGAACAACTCTGACAGCAGTCCTTACTCCAGAACTGCGAGCTAGGTTGGCTGAGGCTCCATCAGGCCTGCCTTGCAGTTAGGCTTCCCCCTCTGCTCATTCCTGCTTCCCTGCTCTTTTCACACTAGCTGATTCTTAATAAACATCTTTCAATCTAAACTCTATGTCAGTGTCAGGTTTTAAAGAATGAAACTTGTGACAATGAATAATTTCTATTTTTAAACCCTGAATGTTCATAAACAAGGATGTAAACTTCAAATCTGATTTTCTACCATTTTTGGCCTAACAAAATTTCAGTTTCATATGGTTCCAATGAATATAGCACAGTTTTGATGAAACCCTGAATTCTCAGAAGCAATGTTATATGCCAATTATCAGCAGGTACATTCAGGACTCATAAGTCTATCTTACATATTCCTGTAAATATGTCAACACATAGTAAGTGCTCAAAATGTTACTTCACACAATATTATTCTTTGTAGGTACTTATTACAGTGCCTGCCTGCTTTGAAATTCTGCTGCTTGCTCCTCATCGCCAAAACTGGGTGAAAAAGATCAGATATGTTATATTTGATGAGGTAGGTTTGGTGTTCTTTCTTTGCTTAATTCCCTAGTGCACACTTGCATAGCAATGAAGATATTTGGTGTTTCAGGACATCTATCCCCTTGGATGGAGTTCAGATTGAGAAGGCCTCCGTTTTTTTTTCCTGAGTGATTTTTCAGGAAAAATCACTTTTTTGGCTCCCTTTTCCTGTTGTGACTCAATAGGGTAAAATGATGCACCCTGCAGAGTTCTGTATGGGAGTGGAATCTTTCATTGACAACTGTTTCAGGGGAAATAGAATTCAACCATCCTGGTACAAGTTTCCCTGGACAGAGATTTCAATCCAATCTTTGACCTCTAAAGTAAATAATTTTTGGCTCTAACAATGATGTCAATTACATAAGTTTTATCAGTCATGATCCCAACAGATAATTAAATGACACTCTTGAAATGCAATAATTCAAGAAGTGTATTTTTCAAAGGTGTATGTGAGGGAATCCACAAGGGTTAGTGCAGTAATATAGAGCTAGTAGTTTGCCCCTTGGCTTAAAGGGGCAGGGCGTGGAAGCATTTATGGAAACTCAAAAGGAGATTCCAATTGAGTTGGCCATATTGTGAGGAACATAGCTGATTCAAGGTAGCTTTGCAGGAAAGGAGCCAATGGAAAAATGACCTCAGCCTCAGTCTCCCCACTTCTTCTGATCTATGGCCAAGACCCTTCATAGGCCAAACGCAGTGGAACCAGAAATCATAAGAGTCCTTTTGACGAAGTGTCTATGGGTCAGCTTCCCTGGGAAGAGAGAGCAGAATAAAAAACAATGTAGATTTGTAGCGATTTATTGGGGCAAATGGAAGATACTTAGCAAAGCTATATTGCAGCATTATTTGGAATATTTATTGGTCAGGTGCGGTGGCTCACACCTCTAATCCCAGGACTGTGGGAAGCTGAGGTGGGCAGATTGCCTGAGGTCAGGAGTTTGAGGCCAGCCTGGCCAACGTGGTGAAACCCCATCTCTACTAAAAATACAAAAATTAGCTGGGTGTGGTGGCAGGTGCCTGTAATCTCAGCTACTCAGGAGGCTGAGGCAGGAGAACCACTTGAACCCAGGAGGTGGAGGTTGCAGTGAGCCAAGATCGTACCACTGCACTCCAGCCTGGGTACCAGAGCGAAACTCCATCTCCAAAAAAAAAAAAAAAAAAAGAAAGAAAGAAAAAAAAGGGGGAATATTTATTAAAAGAGATTTAAAACATGATAGAAAGATATATTCTTTGACTCTGTGGAATTTTACATTCAAAGGGGAAAAGTTTAACAAATCTCTGTAACTTACCTTTTCCTTGCTGTAAACTTGGAGCTACCAAATAGGCTGTGCTTTGGATTTGTTTGATACTGATTTATTATATTTATTTTTGGTTAATCTCATATTGCATCATGAAGGTCTTGAATATTATAGTTTTCAAAAATCCAACAACTTTGTCTGTGCAATCTAGAACTTTGAATTAAAATCTGATCTCAAAACTCTGAAGTGCTATGACGATATGACTTTGGCTATTTCAGTTTTTCAAATTTTGTGTAAGGGATAAAACCAAAAGGTTTTAAAGGCTAATGTCTATTCTGGCAGAATCAGGGAACAGTGCTATCTAGTGCAAAGCATAAGGTCAATATTTGATGGAGTGGTATTTTATCTCACCAGTACAAGCCCAGATGGGCAGTGGGTATGCATATTCTAATAGGTATATAATTTGACTTTGATAGTAAGTCTTTTTCAGTTGCTTGCTAGGTGTCATACTTTAATCTCTTAAATGAAGACCACATTTGAGACTCTTTTCTGAATCTAGTTTGATTTGCTCATCCGTTCATTTACTCAGCAGATATTTAAGGAGTGCCTCCTCAGTGCTAGGCTTTGTGTCAGTGGCTAGGAATAGAATATTCAGGTCTAAGGTTACAGTTTACTTAATGCCTTATCTATTAGACACTGGAGCTGACAGCAGTTTAATCAAGAAAGAGGAAATAAACAAGTGAGCTCACAAATGATGATGCCAGCCCACGTTGGTACAAACTGTGAAGGGAGAGACCAGGCTGTCATGACTGCAGTCCTGGCAGAGTGTCAGGAGGAGGCAACTCTGGAATAGGTGGTCAGAAAAGTCTTTTTTATGGAGTGGCATTGAGCTGAACTCTACCATTTGAATAATAGAGGGTAAGAGTATTTTAAGCAGAGGGAATAATATACGTGAAAGCTCTTGGGTAGAAAGGGTGAGTTCAAGGAACAAAGAAAAGGTCATTCTTTCTGGACCATAGTAAAGGTGGAGACAGTGGATTGAGATAAAGCCAGAGAGGCAGCAGCGGCCAAATGATGCCAGACATTATACATCCCATTAAGGAGTTTATATTTTATTTCACATGCAAAGGGAAGATATTAAAGCAATTTATTTAGTGACATGACTTGATATAGTTTATCTTTTTAAACTTTTTTTTTTTGAGATGGAGTCTCGCTCTGTTGCCCAGGCTGGAACCCAGTGGCGCGATCTCAGCTCACTGCAAGCTCTGCCTTCCGGGTTCACGCCATTCTCCTGCCTCAGCCTCCGAAGTAGCTGGGACTACAGGCACCCACCACCACGCCCGGCTAATTTTTTTTTGTTTTCTTAGTGGAGACGGGGTTTCACTGTGTTAGCCAGGATGGCCTCGATCTCCTGACCTCGTGATCCGCCCTCCTCGGCCTCCCAAAGTGCTGGGATTACAGGCGTGAGCCACCGTGCCCGGCCAACATTTTTATTTTGGCTGTGATGTGAAGAATTTAAGGGCAGATAGGGAGGCTAAGTACAGTAGTCAAGTGGGTATTGTGGTAACGCTGCTGAGATATGAGAGTAGCTAGGTTGGCAGTAGACATGAAGAGAAATGCATTGAGTTGAAGGAAATTTTTGAAAGTAAAGTAAAGCAGAACTGTTGGTGCATTGGTTGTGAGGATTTTTAATATTTCTTTAAACTTGGCATGGTCACTTAAAGGCGATGGGAAGGCATGCATGACAATTTCAAGATTCCATGTCTTAACTTTCATTTGCTATTTTTAAATCAACTTTTCAGTTGAGATTTTTTTTTTTTTGTTTAATAGGTTCATTGTCTTGGTGGAGAAATTGGAGCAGAAATCTGGGAACATCTCCTTGTCATGATCCGATGTCCCTTTTTGGCTCTTTCAGCTACCATAAGTAATCCTGAACATCTCACCGAGTAGGCATTAAGTTTCAATTTGGACAGAGTGTTTATCTATTTTGAATATTTGAATTTCATAATTTCTCTGTGGATTCTGAGGAGTTTCATAATTTTCTAGTGAATTTAATAGTTTATTTCTGAATCTTCAAGAAACTGCATCTCTCTACACCTCCTGGCCGTAGTTGAGGAAAGCCACCCTGTATAAATTAAGGACTTCCCCACCTAGATCTACAATTGAGTAGGAAATTTCCCCCATCCCAAAAATGATTCATCAGAAAAGATATATTTTTGTTTCTTTTTTTGTCCTTCACCAAGAAATAAAAAATAAAATGATATAACAACACACTCAGCCATGGGTCCTGTGGTCCATTTTCCCACTTTACAGAGATGTTTAGAAAGATAGCAAATTCTTATTAGATGAAAACCCCATTTTATCTTGTCATTGGGCTTGATTTTTGCCTACTACTAATAATTTTTTTACTTTATAATAATAGTTATTTATTTACTAATAACAATCCTATAATACCTCCTATGTGCCCAGTACTGTTCTAAGTGCTTTACATGTATTAATTTATTTTAAATGCCCAGCAACCCTTATGATTTAAGCTTACTTCCATTACTACTATTAAATAGTCACAGTTCCAATATGAATACCATATTTCCATTTTAAAATGTGGAAAACTAGGTACAGAAAGATGAAGTTATTCAACCAAGAGACACAGCTATTACTAAGAAGGTTGGGATTTAATTTCAGGTAGTCTGGCTTCTGAGTCTATTCCCCTAAGTACACTTTATAAGGAAGATGAAATTGTCTTTACTTAAACTACTTAATTTCACAGGAAGTAGTTCCATGTTCTGCCTAAATAATATGTACATTTATTTTTTAAGGTGGCTACAATCGGTAAAATGGTACTGGAAACAAGAAGACAAAATAATTGAAAATAATACCGCTTCTAAAAGACATGTGGGTCGTCAGGCCGGCTTTCCCAAAGACTACTTGCAAGTAAAACAATCGTATAAAGTTAGACTTGGTATGTTTGATATATTTATATAAAGCTTGCCTTTTATTTTATTATTTTTAAAAAATCTGCCATTGCCTTGATCTTGATGCCGTTTACTTTAAATTTGTTTCAGTGATTACATTTCCATTGATGTGGAAATTCTTGTTCTTCATTTTTAGTGCTCTATGGAGAGAGGTATAATGATCTAGAGAAGCATGTATGTTCAATAAAACATGGTGACATTCATTTTGATCATTTTCACCCATGTGCTGCACTAACAACAGATCATGTAGGTAATATTTTAGCCATATTTGTTCTAAGTAATATAAAATATTTGTATATATTATAAATAAATGCTGCCTAATTGATATGTATCAGAATTATAGAATAGAATTACAGAATTACAGAAACTGATACTTTAACCTTAATTTAAAAAATAACAAGAGTATTCTTTCTAATTCTCATTGGTTCTTCAACAATGCCTGAATACACAAAGATTAAAAACCACTACAAATTTAACCTGAATTTTTAGCTAATTTTATTTATTCTCGGATGTTTTCTTTGGCAATTTTTCTTCCTCTCAGCTCCCATGTCTGTCTGTCTACCCCTCTGACACTAATTCTTCTCATAGTGCAGCCATACAATTATATGTAGACAATCCCTAGTACATAGAAAAATCAGGTAAAAGACATTCTCACTAATGTAGCAATCACGACATGATTTTTTTGGTGGTGAGCCAGTAAGGTGGAGGTCTTAGGAAGATTTCAGCTGGGACACCGGGGTGTGAGTGGGGAAAGATTACTTACTTTTTCTTGCATAGTTCTCTTCCTCTCTCATCCTAGTCCCATACATGGCCCATTTAAACTTCCTTTGGCTTTCAAAGTGATGATTAGTCAATAGTTTTGTCTTCCTTCTAAAACCTTAAATATATTCCAAATTCTGTTATGTTAAACATAATAAGACATCCATCATAAGATTGTTGTGATGATTAAAGGAGGTAAAATATGTAAAATTTTTAGAGCACAAAAGTCAACATAATTTGACACGAATATAATTAAATGTAACTCTCAGCTTTCTTTGAAGATAATTTTGATCTTTCCAAGTCTCTTTTGACTTTCTTTTGGAAAAAGCTAAATGCATACCTCCTTAGCTTGACAACCAAGGTCATCTATGACCTGGCCCCAATCTCCTTTCCATTCATTCACTGGGGATATCTTACCTGGCAGCCCTCATGCTATATATTGCTCTTAGAATATTTCAAACCGGATGCCAAATACCAGTCATTCAGATACTGTTCATCTTCCATAATTCTTCAAATGTGAAACCTTTTCTGAATTCTTCTCTGACTTTCTTAGCTAGATGTAATCTTTCTTCTCTCAATAATACCTTGTCTGTGTTTCTAATACGACACCAGCCATGATGAGCTTACTGCTTAAGTTGTTTACATGCATATAGTCTTTACTTACTAGAATAACTCTTTGAAGACAAATTTTGTGTCCTTCATTTCCTAACAAATTGCTATGTATATAAAAGGTACTAAGTGTATGTTAAATAAGAACAGCTAACCTAAATTGAGCACTTACTTCATGTTCTAAAAATTCTACGTTTTTAAACCTCTTTTAACCATTACAACAATCTTATGATAGATGTCTTAATACTATTCCCACTTTACAATGAGGAAAGTGAGGCATAGAGAACTTAACTAACTCAGTGTTGCATCATTAAGTAAATGGTGGGGCCAGGATACAATCTCAAACAAGTTGGCTTCTAAAAGCAAGCTGGCTGATGGTAATTTTCTAATAGGATTTTGTTATGGGAACTTATCTCTTGTGTGACAATGGCCCAATCCAAATTCTAAATAAACCTAAATATGGACAAAATTCTTGTGACTTAACTCATACCCCAAATCTAGAATATGGATGATAACCCACATATAAGAATAAAAGGCACTTTATTCTCTCATTTTTCTTTCTCCCTTCCCTTCCCTTCCCTTCCCTTCCCTTCCCTTCCCTTCCCTTCCCTTCCCTTCCCTTCCTTCCCTCCTTCCCTCCTTCCCTCCCTTCTTTCCTTTATGATATCCAGGAGTTATCTGACATTTTCATCATTATGTGGCATTTTAAAAACAGTATAGTTTTTAAAAATTATTCTGTGTAGGATGGTTCAAGGCAGATTATCTTTAAGCAGCAATGAATATAGTGGTTTGGAGTACTTGCTGAAATTGTCATTTTGGTCCAAGTGCCTTTCCTCTATTTTCAGTAGCTATTAATGGAGTAACTGGAAAGCAATAGAACTGCTACAGTGTGCTGTGACCCCAGATGACTTCTGCAAAGGTCATGCTGTTGTATGAGTCTTCTTAAGATGTCTAGACTTTTGTGGCAGGAATGCAGAATGAACATAAAGACTTAGGTATTAGTAAGTCCGTTTTGACAGCTGCATGGTATAGCATGTGTTTATATAGGACATATCCTAAAGAAGCAGTGATAAAAACCAAAGAGACCTTTCAACTGAGTAAATAATTCCTGGTCTTGTGTAGTCCATTTTTCAGATTAATATGAAAAAATGGAGTGGCAAGAAAAAAACATAATAAACTATGGCAACATAAGAACGGCCATCCACCTGGGTCCTTTCCTCTATAGTTGTAGTATAAAAATGATTTCAGGAGTGGGGGCAGGACCAGTGAGCTGA
This sequence comes from Homo sapiens, assembly GCF_000001405.40. Lineage (NCBI taxonomy): Eukaryota > Metazoa > Chordata > Mammalia > Primates > Hominidae > Homo > Homo sapiens. The sequence continues at coordinate 168,265,185 of NC_000004.12, read as the reverse complement.
TCTGAATCCAACCATGGTGAGGGATCGCCTTCAATCCATACATGGCTTGTTTCTGGCTAAGGACAGTGTCTTTGGCTTTTGGCCCAATTTTCATGCCACACAGGAACAGCTGCTGACTCCTGGAGAGCTATCAGCCCCAGGAAGTCCTTGAAAGAACTGCTATCTATCTGTTTCTGCTCAGCATAGATCAATGCCTACCGTCACCTATGACATTAGGGACAATGTGGTTTACAAAAATAGCATCATGGTATAATACTATTGTGTTTATAAATAAAGAATGGTACAAATCTGTGACCTTTTATTTCTCTTCATTTTCTGCCTAGACTCACTCAACTTTTGCAGGATCATTAGTCACTGTGTAGTGGAGAACAACTGAATTGGATCCCCAGTATTTAGGCATAGGACTGTTAAACTGATTTAAAAGATTAAGAACTATAAGGGATAATTAGTCAATCATATTGATGGCTGTGGCATTAATCATATGCCAGGCATTTTACTAAGTCTGTTACATATGTTATCTAATATAATTCTCATAAGAAATCTATGTCACAGGCAGAATTATCCTCCATTTTAGAAATGAGGAAGCTCAGACCTCTCTAAAAGGCTAAGAGACTTAAGAAATCATAAGCATTCTAGCTAGCAACCAAAAACAGAAGATTTATATTTTAAAATTATAATAAATCTTGGATTTATTGTATGTTTTTATTTTAGATAGGTCGAATAAGTAACCACTTTCAAGTAATACCTAACAAGAGAGCAAGATGCCAACATTACAAAATAATAGGTGTTTTGTTTTATTTAGTATGTTGATATAATATAGTCCTTAGCATTTAGCTATCTTTCAGTACTCCAACTGAGATGTTAAACGATGATTCCAGGAATTGTTTTACGTTCTATAGTTTTAAAGGTTTGAAGAACATATGTTGATTTTGTCTGCTCTCACTGCAGTCTTTAGGGTGGAAGTAAAAATATTGTATTTTCATTCCTATATTATGGATGAGGAACTAGCATTTACAGGTGCAATTAGAACCAGATCTTCTGATTCATACTCTCCTGTACTTTCCATTCTACCAAACATCATCTCCAGTTTTTTTCAACTGTGTTGTGTTTGGAGTGGCTTTTTTAGCCCCGAAATTTGAAGCCTGAATTTTAAAACATATTAATAGCTATTTACGAAAGCAAGTGCCCTATTGTCAAATTATTTTGGATAAATTTGCATGCTATATTTACTTCTTTGAGGTTTAACATTTCCAGTGAGAAATCCCAAAGAATCCTATTTGATACAATATATATCATTTCTCTCTCTTTTTTCTTTTTTGAAGAATACTCTCTTAGCCCATTCAACAGGCTTCTGTAACAAAAATATCACAAATTGAGAGGCTTTAGAAACAAAGATTTATTTTTCAGAATTCTGGAGGCTGGGAAGTCCAAGGTCAAGGCCCTGGGAGATTTGGTGTCTTGTGGGGGCCTGCTTTCTGGTTCATAGATAAGCTGTCTTCTTGCTGTGCCCTCACATGGCAGAAGGGACAGGGGAGATCTCTGTGGTCTCTTTTATAACAGCATTAATCCCATTCATGAGGGTTCTTCCTTCATGACCTAATCATCTCCCAGAGGATTTGCCTCCAGATACCATCACATTGGGGATTCGGTTTCAATATGTAAGTTTTGGGGGAAGACAAACATTCAGTCTATACTACATTCCTATTAACATCTCAGAGAGTATGTTTCTACATGCAAATGATTTGTAGCAGTAGTGATTGAAACCAGTAGAAAATACTACAGTGAAACTTTTTGAGAACAGGAATTTTTTATTTCCACTTAAAAATATTTGTGGAAAAAATGAATGGCATACATTATTAAGAAGACTTAAAGCAGACCTGTCAGTGACCTTTGGGAGAAATTTCTTGGAGTCTTGAAGGTGGTTTAAGAGCCTTTATCTTGAAGTTGACCCAGTTCTTATCTTGAAACTTAAGCAAATAAGATTTTCCCATTTTAGCCTGGCTTGGTACACATAAAAGTAAAGAATCACATTCTTAATTACATCAGTTTTGGTGTTAGCTGTAAGATAGAAGTTATGTATTGTCTAAACTGAGTCCACAAATCTTTCAGCTTCCCATCGCTCTGATTTCAATTATGAAGTCAGTTCATAGAAAATTAGCACAATGAAAAGGTCTTGGGAAGTAATATTAAAATTTTTTGGTGGGCTTTTGGCTTTTTTCCCTCTTTTGTGATTCAGGGAACTGTGTTGATAGAATTTGGTAGCATTTAGCACCTATCAGCATTTGAACATTTTAGTTTATTGCCTTTCAGTGTCTTTGGGTTATGATAGTGACTAAGAGGCAAAGGATACGACATAAAATAAAATAAAGAGTAAAAATTTTAATTTTATTTTAAACAGATTGAAAGGTATGGATTCCCTCCTGATCTTACCCTTTCACCTCGAGAAAGCATCCAGCTGTATGATGCCATGTTTCAAATTTGGAAAAGTTGGCCTCGGGCCCAGGTAAATAATAATGATGTAATTAATCCTATTATAGAGGATGATAATATTGACAAACTCTCACCCTTTCTAATCACTGGCATCTAATCTTTTAAAATTATTAGTTGACTCTTCCTACAATAAGAGTGCCTCTTCTCATATTTCTAACATTATCTGTTTGTTTTTTAATGGGTTTTAATTTGTATTTTATTTAATTCCTGAGAATATTTCTTCTTTTTTTTTTTTGAAATCTTTTCAACTTCTGCAACTTCTAGAACACTATTATATTTCAGTCTTCTTACACCTTAGATTCATATTTCTTTTTATTACACTTGCTTCCCTTCTAAGTCCCAATTGCTGTTTGTTTTCATCTTCTACTTTGTTTTGCTTTGTATCCTCTCTTTTGAAGAGCTCATCCATCCTAGTAACGTTATGCATTAGAAGCCATGTGGAGATAAAAAGTTTAACCATCTCTGTGCTCAAGAAACTTGTAAGGCTGTTAATGAGGCATATAATTGAGAAATACTTTTGGATTTTCTTGCATGATTGTGCCTAATTTTGTAATATTTGTTTTCAAGGAACTGTGCCCAGAAAACTTCATTCATTTTAACAATAAATTAGTCATTAAAAAGATGGATGCTAGGAAATATGAAGAGAGTCTAAAGGCAGAATTAACAAGTTGGATTAAAAATGGCAACGTAGAGCAGGTAATTTTCATACGCTTTTTGGCCAAACTTTATTTTTGTTGTTTTCTTGAGTTATATCATTCAGTTAATACCATTTTCTGATTTTTTTTAATCCTCAATTTTTATTTTAGAAATTTAAGTTGAACTTGAAGTCTAGTAATTCTGAGATAGAATAAAAAGAGAAAGTAAACTGGTCTTTGTCTTATCCTCAGTGTCTTCTGAACCATGTGCCAGAGGCTACTGGTTGCTTCTAAATGGCATAGCAGATAAGAACAGAAGGTTCACTATCCATAGAGATGATATTGTTGATACTTTGGCAGTAGAGAAACTGAACTCACAGTAACAGTCTCTGAGAAGATTGTTTTACTCCTCTGTCTTTTTTGACTTGCAGTTTATTGTCCTTTTCTTCTTCTTATTTCAAGTTGTAGGAACTATTTGTGTATTAAAACTTTACCTGGAATTATATAAGTTACAGATATTTGTTTTAATAAGTTGATGGTCTTCATATTTTGAAATTTGATTTATTGGCACAGATTGAGGAATGACATATATTAGACTTTTCTCATTGGATTTTTTTTTGTTGTAATACCTTAATCTACTCCCATTCAAAAACATAATATAATTGAGTTACATTTTCTTCTAGCTATTCTGTCATTTACAGACCTTGAAAATATATTTGGATGTGATTTTTTGACATAATGTAGAAACTGATTCACACTTGCCCTCCTGTCATAGTGAAACCAGCATCATTTGCTGAAAAATCCTTCTATTCCTGATTTGTATTGTCTTAAAAATTGCAGGTTAAATTGCATATGTGTGTATATATTACTGCCAAATTTTTGTTCTCTAGTGTATGGGTTTGTATGTTTCTTTGATGGTTCTTTGCCTCGTTTTATAATGTACTTTCATAGGACTATTTTAAAAAAACCCAAAAACATATATTAGACAACTATGAAAATATTTTAGCAAAAAGTAGTAATTTCTTTCTTTCTCATGCAGAACTTAAAATTGTTTTGTATTCACCACTACAGGCCAGAATGGTACTTCAGAATCTTAGTCCTGAAGCAGATTTGAGTCCAGAAAACATGATCACCATGTTTCCACTTCTAGTTGAAAAACTAAGGAAAATGGAGAAGTTACCTGCACTATTTTTTTTGTAAGTTATTTAATTTAATTTGGTTTTGCTTGTAATTGTATTAGACTCATTCCTTTAAGGCAGAGGTCCCCAACCTCCAGGCCACAGACCATCACTGGCCCAGCCCATGGTCTGTTAGGAATTGTGCCACAGAGCAGGAGGTGAGTGGTGGGCCAGCGAGCATTGCTGCCTGAGCTCCACTTCCTGTCAGATCAACCCTATTGTGAACTGCACATGTGAGAGATCTAGGTTGCATGCTCCTTATGAGAATCTAACGAATGTCTGGTGATCTGAGGTGGGGCAGTTTCATCCTGAAACCATCCCCCTCGATCCTTGTGCACCACTTCCCCACCGCCACCCACTGCCAAGTTGTCTTCCATGAAACCAGTCCCCGGTGCCACAAAGGTTGGGGACTGCTGCTTTAAGGTGAGGGGTGTTATACAAAGTTCCCTATCGTAGTGCGGTGTTCATTACTATTTCTGGGACCCATTGGTTATTTGAATACATACGTTTTGTTTAAAAACCGCATGTTCTCACTCATAGGTGGGAATTGAACAATGAGAACACTTGGACACAGGAAGGGGAACATCACACACCGGGGCCTGTTGTGGGGTGGTGGGAGAGGGGAGGGATAGCATTAGGAGATATACCTAATGTAAATGGTGAGTTAATGGGTGCAGCACACCAACATGGCACATGTATACATGTGTAACAAACCTGCACATTGTGCACATGTACCCTAGAACTTAAAGTATAATTTTAAAAAAAGAAATTAAAGACGACATAGAAAAAAATACAACTTTCTAGTTCAATTCTTATATTTGTATTTGTGCTATTATGAATTACCTTCTTTATTTAGTTTGCTACTCTATTTTTTGTTTTCTTTCTACTGTAAACTATTATTTTTTATTTAGCCTTGTTAATTTTTAATACATAAAGGTTCTTTGCAAAACAAATTGAATATATATGCACACAAGTATCCCACATAAAATTAAAGTATCTTCACAATATACTACTTATTGACAGTGTATTTTATTATATTTAATTTATAGTAATGAGAACTCTGATCCAGATACACTGATATCTTGCTAAATTTTATATATTATAGTATCAAATAGCTTAAAATTGAACAAAATAGTGCAATTTCGTTGGACATCAAAGTATAATTTATTAAATGGATAACATACTAGATCCTGGATTAACTTTGGTAACATAGTTTGGGACTAGAACACAATACTCTATTTACTTTGGGCAATTTCAAGCTACACTTAAGCCATGGAAGCTGAAGTAAATAAATCCAGAGTCTTTGTTAGGTGGAAAAGTTTAATGAAACTTGCTCACATGTAAACAGACATATAGGGATGAATCATTGATGATATATTTCTGAAATAACGATGATGGGTGAATGTAAGATTGTGTTTGCAAATTTGGGGGATTGCAATAATATTACTCCTTTTATCTTTGTTGTTGGGATAAGGAAAATACATTTCTGCACTGCCAAGGATTTACAAAGCTCACCCATTTCACTTTCAAGTGTGGCTATAGACTGTAATTAGAAACAAAAGTAATTCTGTACCTCTGGGATATTTCTGAAAGCCTCACTGCAAAACAGAAACTGAAAAATATCTGTTTATTATTCATACCTTCATACAAATATAGGGGAGGCAAAATTTTACTTCTACCACCTTAGGCTTTTTTACCTGGGCCTCAGAATTAGACTGATATAAGACAAATCAATAGAAAAGCATGCACATGTATGTAGTATGTTTTATATGGTGCAGAAGGCTCCATAAGGAGTTGAAAACCCAACGATGCAGTTAGAGTTGGACACTTACATAGTGAATTGGACAAAGAGTGGTAAATTGTGAAAAATGTGACAAAGTAAAGGGGTGTAGGCTAGGGTAACTTGGGTGAAGATGTGACTAGGAAGGTAAGAGTTAGTTTAACAAGGTTTTTTAGTATAGATTTCCCTTGTCTTCAAGTTCCCATCTTTGAAGATAGGAGTGTTACTGTCCTTCGGGTATGAAAACATATTTTTGTGGGCATTTAATCTGCTACTTTTAAGAAAAAGAAAGAAGATCAGAGTGATCTTCTTGACCCTGCTGTTTTTTCTAGTGCTTTCAACTCAAAATAGTTAATATGCCAGAGTGGTATATTTTGGGAGTAGCATGTTCCAAAATCCTTCACATACTTAAAATATTTTAAAACTAAAATATTTCAGAAAACATCAAAAGTTTAATTATACTTGAAGAATTGAAGCTTGGCATGTTTATATGACTCTTGAATTCTCTACAAAATAAACTGTGAACATCCTTGGTATTACACAATTTGATCCCAGATCATCAAGAGATCTGAGGATTTTTCTGGGCTCAAGTTTTACCTCTAGGAGCTTTTCAAATAGTAGTGTACCCTTAAGCCTTTTGCAGTCTGATCTCTTAAAAAAAAAATACATGGAGCATATTCAGTGTTTGATGGCAATGGCAGTGTGTGCTTAAGGGCACACACTTCATGGCCAGACCCAAACTTGGATCCCACCTCTGCCCCCATGAATTGTGTTATTTCTGGACAGCTACTTAATGACTTTAAGCCTTAATTTACTTATTTGCAAAATGAGATGATCAGAATAATAGTACAAAGGATTGGAGTGAGAATTAAATAAACATAAGTTATGAAAGCACTTAGTACAGTGCTACAAAAATGTTATTGAATAAGGTCTAATCTCTAGGTCGCATTCATTCTTGTATACCAGGATGATCCCTTTTTGTCAGATCCAAACAGACTGGAGCTGAGAGAGCATGAAGGCGGGTTGTTCATGCTTGCATGGCTGAGATAAACTGTCTCAAGGACTTTCTAAAATAATCCCACAGGCAGTTCTTTATTTACTGCTGAAGCAATTCAGATAAGATGCCCTTGAAAGAACACCCACCCAGTAATGGCATCTCCACCGATAAATTGATGCCAGCTCTGGTTTTGCGTCTCCAAAACCAAAGAACTGTGTTTCTAAGCAGCTTATGTGAACTTCCCCTTTTGCCAGTACAAGCTTCCTTTTATCTTCCTCCCTTCAGATACATATGTGGCTTGCCATAGCTGTGCATCTTGGGTTATAATTCTCATTTCTAATTCCAAATATAGTCAACATATTTGGAGATATTTTTTCTTTGGTTTTGTTTTGGTTGACATAAAATGTAGGTTATCAGAGAGATTTAAGAGGCAACATTATTTCTAAGTGATCTTTGAACAAGAGTTTTTTAAAAATGAAGTGCTATGATGAAAGTGACACTATTTTAAAAAGTAATATATTCCTAGGCCCCAGTAACTTGCATTAATGTAAAAAGAGAAGCAACATATGTCAGTTAAAAACAGGATTTGAGAACAGGGGCCTGCAGGCCAGACTCTGCCACATATAAACTGTGGGCTCTTGGGCAGGTCACTGAATCTGGCAATAAGGATATTAATAGAAATATTAATATTAATAGTGCCTTCTTCATAGGATTGTTGTGAGTACTAAATGAGTTAACATACTGAAGTCACTGAGAATAATGCCTGACAACTGTGTATAATTTTTTTTTTTTGAAGGGCGATGGAGTTTTACTCTGTCGCCCAGGCTGGAGTTCAGTGGTGCAATCTCAGCTCACTGCAACCTCCACCTCCCAGGTTCAAGCAATTCTCCTGCCTCAGTCTCCCAAGCTGGGATTACAGGCATGTGCCACCACGCCCAGCTCATTTTTGAATTCTGTGTCACTGTGTTGTCCAGGCTGGTCTCGAACTCCTGACTTCAGGTGATCTGCCCACCTCGGCCTCCCAAAGTGCTGAGATTACAGGCATGAGCCACCATGCCCGGCCAACTGTGTATAACTTGAATTTTACTATTACCATTATTTTATTGTCTACTATATGAAATTTCTTGCCATGTGGCATAGACTCTCAGTTTTAAAATTCTTACTTCACCAGTGTGCCAGTTTATTTACTGTTTAGTAGCTAAACACATTTCCTTTTGATGTTAGCTCTATAAAAACTTTAGAAAGGCCCTTTGCTTCACAACATAGATTTAAAAAGCTTTATTATACAAACCAAATCTATGACTTGCTATAATAAGCTATGGTTAATATAGTGGCAATAGCTACTGGCTACTTGCAGCCACAGCATTTTGCCACCAAGATGCAGTGGAGAAATAAGACCTCCCTGGGCTTTTCAGTGCTCCTGTAAAAAGCCCTAGCTTCTTGACACAGGGAAATGCATGTGAAATAAACATAGGAAATGTTTGCCTTTACTTCCTCTAGAAACATTTTACTTTTCATGTATCAGGAGAATTTGATCTGCAGCCATTTGTCTATAAATGTCTAGCAATTTGTAGCTAATTGCTCAGATCTGAGAAAGCCAACCTAGACCAGGTTGCTAGGTTGAGCCCCAGGGTGCCAGGAAGTATGGATCACTATATTCCTAGGTATTTACATTTCAAGAAGTATAAAGCCCAGACCTTGGAGACATTTCTGCATTGCAAAGTCCAGCAACAACTAGGGTTTATTCTTTGGGAAAGAATCATAGGTTCTCACCTTCTACCAAAAGAACAATTTTTTGTTGATTAATCTTTTTTTTCTCATTTTTAGAGAAGGGTGGTGTTGGGGATAGCTATCTGTCTTCTGCATATAAATGGAGATAAACGGAGAAAAACCATTGTTCTCTGTTCCTTGCTTATGGAATATTTGACTACTCTTAGAGGAAAAATTTCCACGAGTTCTGATTGCATTGTCCCAGGGGTAATGTCTGGGTGGCGGGGTGGGGTGGGGGGGAGTGGGGAGGGAGAAGGGGAGGGTAGGCAACATTATTTACTATAAGGTAGTTAATAAGGAGTCTGCTGATTCAGAACACCTGGTGTGCACATTCTGGGTAACATTTATAAAGGTGGGTATTAAAAACCCAACAGGCAGATGTCGGGATGATAGTAGTAGATGGAAATATGGTTTTGAATTGTATTTATGATGTTATTTTCAAGGCGCACATTCTTTTTATTTCCAGATTCAAGTTAGGAGCTGTAGAAAACGCAGCTGAAAGTGTGAGCACTTTCCTAAAGAAAAAGCAGGAGACAAAAAGGCCTCCCAAAGCTGATAAAGAAGCCCATGTCATGGCTAACAAACTTCGAAAAGTTAAAAAATCCATAGAGAAACAAAAGATCATGTAAGTAGTTAACTAAACAAATTGATAAGTAGAGGGTTAAAATACTCCCCAAGTCCTAGTAGGAAACGTAAATTGAATATGTTCTATAAATAAGTTCTAGTTGTCGCTTGGACTTATTTCTAAATTGAGTACATTTGGGTGAGAGAATGGGATAAAGATGAGTGACCATAATTGTACATTCATTCCTTAATTGCATCAATCAGCCTCATTTAGGACTTGGGAGAGGTAGAACCACAGCCTGTCAGCCTAGGTAGATTTTATAACCTGACATAATCATCCTACACAATAAGCACATCTTTGATACATATATGAACTCTGGCTATCACTTAGTTCTCAGAAGGTTTAAATATAGACTACACACTTTGTCTTTGGTCATGACAAAGAAGTCTCACTAATATAACATCACAGTTTTGTGAGTGATCATAAAAAGAACTTGAGAATGGATGGAAATGCTGATTTGATGCCTGGAAAGACTTAGCTAATATAACATCTCTTCCTTGCTCTCAATGTCTAATTCTGTCAACTCTAGGGCCAAAATGTTTATCCCCTCTCTATGATCCTCTCCATCTTAAGTAACTTCCTGGCTTAGAAGCTCATCATATCTTGCCTGGATGATCACAGAGGTGTTTTTTTTGGACTTGAGAGCCTTGAGGTTCACCACTCTCCAATCCAGTCAACAAATGATCTTGCACACATTTGAATTGATTAAATTATCCCATGCTCAATGTTCTTCCTTTGCCCTCGCTTAGCTGATGAAGTCTAAGCTTCTTTACCATTATGCCAAAATGTTTTGGTATTTGCCTTAACTCGATCAGTCTCACTTCCTACCACTCTCCTCTACCAATACTCAATATTTATGATTCTCCTCACATGACTTACTTTTCTACCTCTTCCTTTCCATGAACTGACCCATCTGCCTTGAGTGCCCTCCTTCCTGATTGCTCCCTTTTTGGTATCTCATCTCTGAATCTTTCCTTGATTCCTGCAGTTAGAATTTCTACCCTCTCTCCTATGTTCTTCTACACTTTCAATAGCTAGTAGATCAATTATTGTAATGTATTGTTGTTTATATGTATTTCTTTTTCCTAAATTTTAAGTTCCTTTTCAACAGGAACCGTGTATTTTTCTTCTTGTGTCTTTAGTGCTTAGCACATTACCTGGCAGGTAATATTATTCCATAAATATATTTGAATGAATGAAAGATATTTCTCTCCAAGTTGAAACAGCTTTTAGAGCATTTCTGATTTAGGTTTTCCAAATTCTAGAGCAAACTAGAATTTGCTGCTGATCCTTCTGCTTATATTTCCTCTACCTATTTTTCTGTTTCCTTAGAAGCATGGGAGGTAAAAACCCAGGGACAGCATAGGAGGTGTAAGCCTTCTTAGTGACTTCAAGTTATAAAAATAAAGTGAGGGTGAGGGGACCCTTTAGATAGTCCCACTCTGGCCTCTTCCATCTGCATCCATTCCCATAAAGCAAGGGGCCAGTGGAGCTAAGGAGACATGCCCACCCGGAGCTCATTCTCACCCTTGAATTCCAGGTTATTATGGAGCTATATTTGTCAAGGTAGGTGGATAGAATTTATTTTATTTGACGGTTTATTACCTTGACTAAAAACTTACAGTGAGGCAATAATATGTGGAGCTTTGCCACATGCTCTGCAAATTTTAGGGCCAGGCCCTTCCATAGTCAGAGCGTTCTCCCCTGAGTTAAAGGTAACGTTACTTAACACGTAATGATGACATACAAGTGAGCACATCTTCTCATATTTAGAATTGTCTTCCGTGCACAGCTAAGAGAAAAATTTAAAAAATCAAATAAGTGATAAGTGACTTGGGTGCATGTTACATTGAGGGGTGATGGATGGACAACACAGTATGATGATACAATAGTCTAAGCCAGGGTTTACGGAGGAGTCTTCTAGGTAGATTCCTAGTAGCATACACTGAGATGAGGATATCTGTGGAAGGGATTTATTGAAGGTGTGTGCTCATGAGGGACCTATGAGAAAATGAACGAAGCAAGAAAGGGAAGGTGAAGAAAAGCAAGAATGTGGCTTCTGCTAGAATATAGCCTGATTCTAACCCTACTGGGAATGCCAGGACACCAGAGAATTGCCCCACCTTGAGTCAAGGGGGCTGATTTTTATACTTCATGTCACTCAGACATTGGGTGTGGGCTATTTCCCATCCCCAGGAGAGGTCGTAACCACCCAGGCATCTCCAAGAGGCCTCTGTCAGTTTAGGGCAATTGTCCAGGGAATGGTGCAGCTGAGAGCCTTAGCAACCCAACTCAAAGCAGCTGTAGCATCCACTACAAGGAGGGAAGGAGAATGACTAGAATTGGCAATGTGGAGCAAGGAGAATGCCTACCTTACATCCAAGCCCAGGGTCATGAAGGCCGAGGAAGAGAAAATGATCATCACTTTAACAAGGAGAAACAGAGTTATCTTGGGAGAACTGGGTTTGGCAAGACTACAGCCAGAAGGAAAAGGAACATCCCAGAAAATATCAATATGTGATAGAATTTTCTCATGATGGATCATAACATCCAGAGGCTGAAAAGGAAGGGCATTAGAGGAAGACTGAGTTATTAAAGATGCACAGCAGGCCGGGCACGGTGGCTCATGCCTGTAATCCCAGCACTTTGGGAGGCCGAGGCAGGTGGACCACGAGGTCAGGAGTTCAAGACAAGCCTGGCCAACATGGTGAAACCCCGTCTCTACTGAAGATACAAAATTTAGCCAGGTGCGGTGGTGGACACCTGTAATCCCAGCTACTCGGGAGGCTGAGGCAGGAGAATTGCTTGAACCCAGGAAGTGGAGGTTGCAGTGAGCTGAGATCACGCCATTACACTCCAGCCTGGGTGACAGAGAAAGACTCCATCTTGAAAATAAAATAAAATAAAATAAAATAATAAAGATGCACAGCCGTGGAAGTCTGGGTGAGAAGACTGACTTGGGAAGTCTTGGGCATCCTCTGGTGGCCAAATCAAATTAATTACTTCATTCATTATTTACAATTTCATTAATTAAAATTTTATTTTTATGAACAGAGATGAAAAGAGCCAGAAAAAAACCAGAAATGTGGATCAAAGCCTAATACATGAAGCTGAACATGATAATCTAGTGAAGTGTCTAGAGAAGAACCTGGAAATCCCACAGGACTGCACATATGCTGATCAAAAAGCAGTGGACACTGAGGTCAGCACTTACAACCTGATCGTTCTCCAAACTATTTCATTTGTCAGCCATAGCTTGTTAGTTGTAGATAATGCTTAATAAGATATATGCATAATATAATACATAATTAATACAATCCCTACCAAAAGAGAACTCTCCTTTAGCTACATATCACTCTTGAATGCTCTGCAGTGCATATCTAAAAAGGACATAATAGTCTAAGCCAGGGTTCATGGAGGAGTCTCCTAGGTCAAATTCCCTAGTAGCACACACTGAGATACCTGTGCAACAGATTTAGCAATTGTAGATTATTTCTTGCCTGTTAACAGTTCACCTCTGAAAATGTTTGCCGTTTCGTTATTTGTTTCTATTACATTGTTTCCACAGCCTGAATTCTAGACTTCAATTTCACATGCTGCATTTGAAAATTTGGGTGCATGTGGTCCAATACACTTTAAGTAATATTCACAGAATTTCTCAAAATCAGGGGCTTTTTACATTATAGCTAAAACACCAAAGAGGCATTGGAATAGCTAAAACTGGTATGCAGAAACCTTTTAAAATGCAAATTACTCATGCTTATAGTAGACAAATTTGAAGATATAAATATAGTAATAATAAAATCAATGTCATCACTCATAGTACTCACTGCCCTTCCAGACCAACCTTTTATCTCATTTTCCTGTGACTATACACATACAAACTTACATACATTTTGCGTATGTGTGTACACATATATGTATCATTCTATTGTGCACCTTCTTTTGTAAGCTTCATGGTGTCTTATTTTTTATAACCATGTATTTCGATCATCATTTTAATGAATACTTGATATTCTGTTGTGTGAGTGAATACATAATTGAAGTAACCACTAACCAGCCTTTTGCTTTTGGAAGCGTTTTTTTGTCGCTCTTCCTTCATAAGCAGTGTTCATCTTTGTCCATGTATCTCTGGACACAACCGTATTTCTTCTTTAAGACCTGGATATTTTTAAGTCCATTTGTGCTCAGTTTCAATGGGAAGTAGGCATTCCCGGACCACATAGGGTAAGGAACCTCCTCTGCCTTCTTGGAGAATTCTCCCTGTTGGGGAAAACTCCTGAGGCTCCAATAGCCAACTGATATCCCTCAGGCAAGAGCAGTCATGCACTCACCACCACTTGGTGTTTTATCTGCTACTTTGTCAAAATTTTCTGCCCCAGAAGTGGAGTAAGACAGTTTAAGATGGTCTGTCCAAAGAAGTGGGAAGATTTTTCTTGTAGTTACTGTTGCTGCCATAATGTTCTTTGTATTCATGTAGAGTCAGTTTCAAATAGTTGCCTGTTTAGCCAAATTATTACATAGTATGCATGTTATTTTCATTTAGACATTTTTAATTATAATTAAAATTAAATCATAATCCCTAAATGTCTTGCTTCTTTTAGACTTTGCAGAAGGTATTTGGTCGAGTAAAATTTGAAAGAAAAGGTGAAGAATTGAAAGCCTTGGCAGAAAGGGGTATTGGATATCATCACAGTGCTATGAGTTTCAAAGAAAAACAATTAGTTGAAATCCTCTTTAGAAAAGGATATCTTAGGGTAGGTGAATTTTCTTCATTCTAAAAATTGAAATTGTGACTGTTTCAAGCTGAATGTTCAGGAAAAGTAAAGAATACAACCACCATTTTTCTTTTTTTCTCATGTAATTGTCTTTTAAAAAAATAAGTTGGCCGGGCGTGATGGGTCATACCTATAATACCAGCACTTTGGGAGGCCGAGATGGACGGATCACCTAGGTCAGAAGTTCGAGACCAGCCTGGCCAACATGGTGAAACTCTGCCTCTACTAAAAATACAAAAATTAGCCGGGCGTGGTGGCAGGTGCCTGTAATCCCAGCTATTCAGGAAGTTGAGGCAGAAGAATCGCTTGAACCCGGGAGGTGGAGGTTGCAGTGAGCCGAGATCATGCCATCACACTCTAGCCTGGGGGACAAGAGCAAGACTTTGTCTCAAAAAAAAAAAAAAAAAGTCATGATATCCTCTGTCTTATTTAATTGAAAAGGGGATTGAAATGTACTACTCAGTTTATCTCTTTTTGTTTGTTTGTTGTTGAACCTCCTGAGTAGCTGGGATTACAGGCATGTGCCACCATGCCCAGCTAATTTTGTATTTTTAGTAGAGATGGGGTTTCTCCATGCTGGTCAGGCTGGTCTCGAACTCCTGACCTTAGGTGATCCGCCTGCCTCAGCCTCCCAAAGTGCTGGGATTATAGGTGTTAGCCACTGCACAAGGCCTAGTTTATCTCTTTTTCATGAGAATAAAAATATTTCCTAAATAAATACTTTGGCAAATTTTTCTACCATGAAATATATCTATGTTCTCTCTCCTATCAGTGATAATGAACAAAAGGAATACTAAAATAACTTTCAAACTGAAGTCTTGCTATGTTTTGTGTAGTGTGTCCCATGACAGTGCGCAGGGATTTTCTGGATAAATTCATGAAGGAGCTTTATATGGTTTGCTTGTAAATTTGGATCTTTAGTAATATTCAAAAATAGACTGACTTTTAAAAATTATTCACATTGAATTTTGTATGACATATATTACATTCACAAAAGAGAGAGAGGAAGAAAGACAAAGAGATTGAGATTGTTTCTGCTACTCTAGGTAGCATCTTTTAAACTAAATGTTGAGGAAAATCTGACATCATAGTTAAAAATCCTATTCCCTGAAAAAAAAAATAAGATGTAGCATTTGCAACTTTGCTATGCTTTTCTCTTAACTAATAACAAATTATGTATCTCTTTTAAAGGCTAATAACCACGTACAATATTTTCTACATGCTTATGAATTGATAGAAGAGAGAAACACCTATTTTGATCAGGGTATTCTGTGTTTAAAATAGTACCTGTTAAATAGTAGTTGCTCAATTACTAATAGGTTAATGAGATCACTCCACAAAAGGTACTATGAAAATAGTGACAGCTTTGCTATAGAGAACATTTTTTAAAAAGGTATTTATTCTAGTTATTTTCTAAATGTATTATTATTTTCTACATTTTTGTTCTTATCAAAAAACTTGAGAAAAACAGGTAATAAATGATGTGTTGCATTTTCGCAGATATATAGATTTCAGTTACAGAATAATTACAGAAAATCACTCCGTATACTTAAACATTAATACTAACCATTGGCATGTATGACAATCAATATAAAAAGAAAGAGAAGATGATTAGAAATACCCAGCATTATATGAAAAGAGGATTATCTAAGTAAACTTTTAAGTTTGTCCTGCTCCTTTTCTGCTCAGTTATGACAATTTAGGGGGGAAAGACAACTTTTTAAAATTACTGAGGTATGCTTTTTCCATAGGCATAATCTCAACAAATTTTAGTAGACAAAATAGGTAATTGTCCAAAAGTGGATTTGTAAAAGTATTATTGCCCTATCATAAAAAATTTTCTTTCTAGTTATTCATTTAAAAATATTTACTGGGCCTGGCGCAGTGGCTCACGCCTGTAATCCCAGCATTTTGGGAGGGCAAAGTGGGTGGATCAGCTGAGGTCGGGAGTTCAAGACCAGCCTAGCCAACATGGTGAAACTCTGTCTCTACTAAAAATACAAAAATTAGCCGAATGTAGTGGTGGGTGCCTGTAATCCCAGCTACTTGGGAGGTTGAGGCAGGAGAATCGACTGAACCTGGGAGGTGGAGGTTGCAGTGAGCCGAGATCGTGCCATTGCACTCCAGCTTGGGCGACAAGAGCGAAACTCCGTCTCAAAAAAAAAAAAAAATTACTGAACACCTATCAGTTGTCAGGTACTCTTACGGATGCTGTGGATACAATAATGAATCTTGCTTGGAGTCTGGTATAAGACAAGTGAACAAACAAGTAATATTATTGAGGTAGTCATTAATGCTATGAAGATAAATCATGTGAGACAGAGATAGATAATGATGGTAGGGGTGGTTATTTTGGATGTGGTGAGCTACAGATTCCTCTGTGACATTTGAGTAGACAGCTGAAGAAGCCAGAGAAACGAATATTTGGGGAAGAATATTCTGTGCAAAGCAAACAGCGCATTTGGGAATGTACTTGTGGTGTTTGTGAAATAGCAAGAGTACCAATGTGTCTAGTTTCTCTAGCTTTCCCATTGTGGCTTAATTGAAGCTCAAAGAGTTTTTCAGCAACTTTATGACAGGAAATACTTGCATTCTATTAAAATGCTATTTTATGAAGTAATTGTTTTATTCTCTTTCAAGGTGGTGACAGCTACTGGAACACTTGCTTTAGGTGTCAACATGCCTTGTAAATCTGTGGTTTTTGCTCAAAACTCAGTCTATCTGGATGCGTTGAATTATAGACAGGTATTGCAAAATGCATAAACTTGCTTATTGTATTGCTGAAATATGGCCATAGCGTAGTAAAACATGTGAACCTTTAGTTTACAAACATGCCACAATTCACAGTAGCATAACTGGACATTCATCCTTGCCTGGCTTTCAGTTTTAGTTGTGGTATAGTTGAAAGCACCTGCATTTGGGATTGTGTGATTAACCAGATGTGTGACCTCGGATGAGATATCTGAACTGCCTGATTCTCATTTTCTATCTCCAAAATATGGGTAATAATTACTCTCCCACGGCATTTGCAAGAATTAAATAAGTGATTTGTATGGAAGATAGACATCAAAGGTGCTTGATAAGCATTTACTCATTCATTTGCTGTGCACAAGATTTTGCACTCTAGAATTATCTTTAATGCTGACCTCATCTTTACTCCTGACACCAAATCTGTTACCAAGCCCACTTCATTACTGTCCCATAGAGGTATTTGATTTTTGCCTTGCAATTTCTGTATCCACCATCTTTCATCGTACGTTCTTAGCCTTGTATTATTAGTACAATTCCCCTGATTCTCCATTCTCCTTATTCTACCACGTCCTGCAGACAACGTGGTTTATCTTCATACGACCTCCCTGCTCAGAGACATTTGATAATTATTTCTGCTCGCAGAATCAAATTTAGATATGTCACCCACATGCAGGTTTTTATCAACGCGCTTCCCTCCCTTTATCTCTAAACACTTTTTGTTCTCCTTATAGGCCTTGTTCCTACCCAATATAACATTCTTATATCATTTCCCAGCATGTTAACAACCCCTGCTTTTTATTTCTATTGCTGCTGCCATACTCTGAATCAATTCTTCTGACTCATTTTTGGGAATCTTCTCCTTTGGGCTCTTGAGCTAGGGTGTTTGATATGTGGGATGACGGACTTGGGAATTGAAATGTCAGGGTTTGAGTTCTAGATCTTCCACTCTGTGGTTGTTTCAGTATGGGTACGTCTCTTACATTCCCAGTGCCTTACCATAGTCTAAGCACTTAATAAATAAGAGTTAACATAAGCTCTGTAAAGAGTTTATTCATAACTTGCTTTTTCACAAGTAGCATTTCTGAATTTTATTTCACTCATGTATTTATTCTGTTTGTGCCCATATTTTATTTTGTGATTTGTAACTCAACACACTTGTGTGTGAGAGAGGGTAGAAAAGGGATGAGAGATGGGGAAGATGGGCCGGGAGAGAAAATTGGTATATTAGAGTTCAGCTGTAAGTGATTTTGACATCACTGCTTTGCCAGTGTTCTTTGTTTCTTCAATAGATCATTATTTCTTTGATATATATTACACAAATGCCTACTGCAATTAATGGCATGAAATACGTACGTAATGATGACAGATGTCTCAGTTTTTAGATCTATCTCAGTCATGGCAAATTTCCTAAGCACTATGTAGTTGCATGTTAGTGTCCGTTCCTTAATGGTTAGACATATGCACAATTTCCATGCTCCAAACCAGAGTAAAGGGCTCATTCTTACACTATGGCAGTAGAAGCATTTAGGGAAGTTTTACATTGTAATTCTATTCTCTTTTCAGATGTCTGGCCGTGCTGGAAGAAGAGGTCAAGACCTGATGGGAGATGTATATTTCTTTGATATTCCATTCCCCAAAATAGGAAAACTCATAAAATCCAATGTTCCTGAGCTGAGAGGACACTTCCCTCTCAGCATAACCCTGGTCCTGCGACTCATGCTGCTGGCTTCCAAGGGAGATGACCCAGAGGATGCCAAGGCAAAGGTACCGTGCTGGACACTGCCTGAGGTTCAGTCTTCATCACTGGCCTGACTTTAGTCAGGTCTGCTGTTCTTTTAGAAGTCTGTAGCAATCACCCTTGAGTTTCATCAGTCTTTTAATGTTTTGTAATGTCTTGAATCGTATAGAATTGGGGGTAGCTAGGGAGAATAACAGTTTTGTTTGTTTCCACCATCAGACATGGAATTTGTGGCTGGATGGGCACTGAAAATTACCCAGGATTACTATTTTCAGGTGTGAAATGCAGTGTCCTATAATAGTTAAGTGCTGGCTATGGATTTAAAAAGCTCTAGGTGACTAATAGACTCCTTTCTACCATTTAGAAAGAAAAAAATATTTATTTTTATGATTTTGTAACAAAAAGGTTTAAGTGTTTCATAAAAAAAGTAACTCAAACTTAGGAGTATGTGGGAAATGTAGAACGTTGAAATAAGGAAAAAGTGCCCCTGTTCCACTCCCCAAAGACATTCACATTATCATTTTTTTTTTCAGCCAGTTTTCTAGGCATGGGTGTGCATTTGATTTTTAAACACTGATATCGTTGTATGTAACTGAACTTCAAAATATGGTTGTAAATGTGTCCTGATGTGTGTTGCCCAGATAAAAATTTTGTATCCAATCCCTCAATGACAGACTTACAATTCATAATTACATAATTTGATTCTCATCTTTATGGAGATGCATTGTTAATGATACCTGTTCTTTCTGTTTTTGTATAGTGATTAACATGCCCAGTTAAATCAGATACTGTTTTCTGAAGGGGGGATTCTTCTAGGATTCTTTTGATGAGTTGGCTGATCCTACAGAGCAGTCATACATCATTTTTAAGACCAAAATTTCCCCATTCTTGAGTTCTTCATTTTTACCTCTCTATAAAGAGGAGTACATCTTCTAATAAGGTTTCTTATTTTTTTAAATGGTTATCAGGGTGGTTCATTTTCTTTGCTTTGCATATTTGGGAAGACCCACATGTAAACTTCTCACATATGGGACTCTTAAAAGTGGGCATAACATTCTTAGAATATTATTATCTTCATTCATCAAATCAAACTAAGATTGTTTCCGTTGCCTTCTGGCATTTAATGTTTTACATAGAGGAGCCATGGCAGTTTCTGTTTTCTTGCAGTTAACTTGATATTTTTTTCTGTTTATGCAATTATATGAATCTTTTTCTTTATTCTATTTCAAATGTTTTATTTCCTATGATTTTCTATTTTATGGATCCTTTAAAAATTGATGTTTTAGTTATTATATGAGACCTTTCAATCTTCATGCTCAGGTTTTTATTTATTGCGGTGAAATGCATATAAAATTTACCATCTTAACCATTTTAAGTGTACAGTTCAGTAGTGTTAAGTACATTCATATTGCTATGCAATGCTCAGGTATTTTTTAAATGAAGAAGAGATCCTTGAATTGTATCTTTGTTATTTGCTTCTGTTAATTGTTCTGTTGTTTTTTCAGGAAAAGTTATAATTTTTAAATTGAAACCCACTTTTCTGTTTTTCATTGCTATTTTTTTTTATGAGAAAACATAAAACTTACCTTCCATATCACTGATGGTCTTAAGTGTCAGTTATGGCTCTTCATAATGCAAATGTGGATTTTAGTTCTGCTACTACTGGACTTTTGTTTTCCTGAAATTCTTTTTTTTTCTTTCTTTTTTCTTTTCTTTTTTGAGATAGAGTCTTGCTCTATAGCCCAGGCTGGAGTGCGGTGGCATGATCTCAGCTCACTGCAACCTCCGCCTCCCAGGTTCAAGCAATTCCCCTGCCTCAGCTTCCTGAGTAGCTGGGACTACAGGTATGCGCCACCACACCTGGCTAATTTTTTGTATTTTAGTAGAGACAGGGTTTGACCATGTTGACCAGGATGGTCTCGATCTCCTGACCTTGTGATCCACCCACCTTAGCCTCCCAAAGTACTGGGATTACAGGCGTGAGCCACTGCACCTGGCCCCTGAAATTCTTTACTACTCCATCCATCACTCTTTTATATCATAATAATGTACTTTTTAAATGTCAATTTATATTGTCTCTATACCATAGGCTGTAGTGCCAGTGCCTTGTCTCAAAGAAGTCATATCATTTGGCACCCATTAAGTATGACAAATAATTTTTTCTTTTTTTCCATCTTCTTATATTATTTTATTTTAAGTTCTGAGGCACATGTGCAGGATGTGCAGGTTTGTTATGTAAACATGTGCCATGGTGGTTTGCTGCACCTATCAACCCATCACCAAAGTGTTAAGCGTAGCATGCATTAGTTATTTTTCCTGATGCTCTTCCTCTCCCTGCCCCAACAGGCCCTGGTATGTGTTGTTCCCCTCCCTGGGTCCATGTGTTCTCATAGTTCACCTCCCACTTATAAGTGAGAACATGTGGTGTTTTGTTTTCTGTTTCTGCATTTGTTTTCTGAGGATGATGGCTTCCAGCTCCATCCATGTCCCAACAAAGCACATGATCTCATTCCTTTTTATAGCTGCATAGTATTCCATGGTGTATATGTACCACACTTTCTTTATCCAGTCTATTGTTAATGGGCATTTGGAGTGATTCCATGTTTTGCTATTGTGAATAGTGTTGCAGTGAACATACACATGCATATATCTTTATAATGGAATGATTTATATTTCTTTAGGCATATACCCAGCAATGGAATTGCTGGGTCAAGTGGTATTTCTACCTCTAGTTCTTTGAGGAATCTCCACACTCTCTTCCACAATGCGGTTGGACTGATTTACACTCCCAGCAACAGTGTAAAAGCATTCCTGTTTCTCTGCAACCTCACCAGCATCTGTTGTTTCTTGACTTTTTAATAATTGCCATTCTGATTAGTGCGAGATGGTATCTCATTGTGGTTTTGATTTGAATTTCTCTAATGAGTGGTGATGTTGAGTTTTTTTCATATGTTGGCTGCATGTATGTCTTTTTTTGAGAAGTGTCCTTTCATGTCCTTTGCCCACTATTTAATGGGTTGTTTGTTTTTTTCTTATAAATTTGTTTAAGTTCCTTGTAGACTCTGGATATTAGACATTTGTTGGATGGATAATTTTCTCCCATTCTGTAGGTTGTTTGTTTTCTCTGATGATCATTTCTTTTGCTGTGCAGAAGCTCTTTAGTTTAATTAGATCCCATTTATCAGTGTTTGCTTTTGTTGCAATTGCTTTGGGCATTTTCATCATTGTATTATTCCATGTTCATGCTGCTGATAAAGACATACCCAAGACTGGGCAATTTACAAAAGAAAGAGGTTTAATGGACTTACAGTTCCACATGGTTGGGGAGGCCTCACAATCATGGCAGAAGGCAAGGAGGAGCAAGTCATGTTTTACAATGGATGGCAGCAGGCAAAGAGAGAGAGAGCTTGTGCAAGGGAACTCCTCTTTTTAAAAGCATCAGATCTCATAATACTTATTCGTTATCATGAGAACAGCATGGGAAAGACCCGCCCCCATGTTTCAATTACCTCACACCAGTTTCCTCTCACAACCCATGGGAATTGTGGGAGTTACAATTCAAGATGGGATTTGGGTGGGGACACAGCCAAATCATATAATTCCACTCCTGGTCCCTCCCAAATCTCATATCCTCACATTTCAAAACCAATCATGCCTTTCTAACAGTCTCCCAGAGTCTTAACTCATTTCAGCATTAACTCAAAACTCCACAGTCCAAAGTCTCATCTGAGACAAGGCAAGTCCCTTTTACCTATGAGCTAGTAAAATCAAAAGCAAGTTAGTTACTTCCTAGATATAGTGGGGGTACAGGCATTGGGTACATACAGCCATTCCAAATGGGAGAAATTTGCCAAATCAAAGGCACCACAGGCCCCATGCAAGTCCAAAATCCAGTGGGAAAGTCAAATCTTAAAGCTCAAAAATGATATCCTTTGACTCCATGTCTCACATCCAGGTCACACTGATGCAAGAGGTGGGCTCCCATGGCCTTGGGCAGCTTCACTTCAATGGCTTTGCAGGGTATAGTGCCCCTCCTGGCTGCCTTCATAGGCTGGCATTGAGTGTCTGTGGCTTTTCCGGGCACACAGCGCAAGCTGTCAGTGGATGTGTCATTCTGGGGTCTGGAGGGTGGGGGTCCTCTTCTCACAGCTCCAATAGGCAGTGCCCCAGGAGGGACTCTGTGCAGGTTCTCCAACCCCATATTTTCCCTTTGCACTGCCCTAGCAGAGGTTCTCCATGAGGGCCCCATCTCTGCAGCAAACTTCTGCCTGGACATCCGGGAAGTTTCATACATCCTCTGAAATTGAGGCAGAGGTTCCCATACCTCAGTTCTTGACTTCTGTGCACTGTCATGCTCAACACCACGTGTAAGCTGCCAAGGCTTGGGGCTTCCACCCTCTGAAACAATAGCCTGAGCTGTACCTTGTCCCCTTTTAGTCATAGCGGGAGCAGCTGGGATGCAAGGCACCAGGTTCCTAGACTTTACACAGCAGACGAACCCTGGGCCTGGCCCAGGAAACCAGTTTTTTTTCCTAAATCTCTGGGCCTGTGATGAAAGGGGCTGCCACAAAGGTCTCTGACATGCCCTGGAGACATCCCATTGTCTTGGTGATTAATGTTTGGCTCCCTATTACCTATGCAAATTTATGCAGCCAGCTTGAATTTCTCCTCAGAAAATGGGATTTTCATTTCTATCCCATTGTCAGCCTGCAAATTTTCTGAACTTTTATGCTCTGCTTCCCTTATAAAACGGAATGCCTTTAACAGCACCCATGGCACCTCTTGAATGCTTTGCTGCTTAGAAATTTCTTCTGCAAGATACCCTAAATCATCTCTCTCAAGTTCGAAGTTCCATAAATCTCTCAGGCAGAGGCAAAATGCTGCCCGTCTTTTTGCTAAAACATAACGAAAGTCACCTTTGCTCCAGTTCCCAACAAGTTCCTCATCTCCATCTGAGACCACCTCAGCCTGAATTTCATTGTCCATATCATTATCAGCATTTTGGTCAAAGCCATTCAAGAAGTCTTTAGGGAGTTCCAAACTTTCCCACATGTTCCTGTCTGCTTCTGAGCCCTCCAAACTGTTCCAATTTCTGCCTAGTACCCAATTCCAAAGTCACTTCCACATTTTCAGGTATCTTTTCAGCAGCACCCCACTCTACTGGTACCAACTTACTGTATTAGTCTGTTTTCATGCTGCTGATAAAGACATACCCAAGAGTGGGAAATTTACAAAAGAAAGAGTTTTAATGGACTTACAGTTCCACATGGCTGAGGAGGTCTCATAATCATGGCAGAATGCAAGGAGGAGCAAGTCATGTCTTACAATGGATGGCAGCAGGCAAAGAGAGAACAAGCTTGTGCAGGGGAATTCCTCTTTTTAAAACCATCAGATTTCATAAGACATATTCACTATTAGGAGAACTGCATGGGCAAGATCTGCCCCCATGATTCAATTACCTCCCACTGGGTTCCTTCTATGACATGCGGGAATTGTGAGAGTTTCAATTCAAGATGAGATTTGGGTGGGTACACAGCCAAACCACATCAATTATGAAATATTGCCCATGCCGATGTCCTGAATAGTATTGCCTAGGTTATCTTCTAGAATTTTTATAATTTTGGGGTGTACCTTAAGTCTTTAATCCACCTTGAGTTAATTTTTGTATAAGGTGTAAGGATAGGATCCAGTTCCATTTTCTGCACATGGCTATCCAGGTCTTCTATTACCATTTATTAAATAGGAAACCCTTTCCCCATTGCTTGTTTTTGTTGAAGATCAGATGGTTGTAAATGTATAGTCTTGTTTCTGAGTTCTCTATTCTGTTCCAATGGTCTGTGTGTCTGTTTTGGTTACTGTAGCCTTGTGTTAAAGGTAGAAGTTGGGTAGCATGATGCCTCCAGCTTGTTCTTTTTGCTTAGGATTGTCTTGGCTGTATGGGCTCTTTTTTGGTTCCACTATGAATTTTAAAATAGTTTTTTTCTAAATCTGTGTAGAAAGTCACTGGTAGTTTAATGGGAATAGCACTGAATCTATAAATTACTCTGGGCAGTATGGCCATTTTCACAATATTGATTCTTTCTGTCCATGAGCATGAAATGTTTTTTCATTTGTTTGTGTCCTCTCTGATATCCTTGAGCAGTGGTTTGTAGTTCTCCTTGAAAAGGTCCTTCACTTCCCTTATTAGCTGTATTCCTAGGTATTATATTCTCTTTGTAGCAATTGTGAAGGGGAGTTCATTTGTGATTTGGCTCTCCGCTTGTCTGTTGTTGGTTTGTAGTAAAATGCCTGTGATTTTTGCACATTGATTTTGTATGCTGAGATTTTGCTGAAGTTGCTTCTCAGAAGCTTTTGGGTTGAGATGATGGGGTTTTCTAGATATAGGATCATGTCATCTGCAAACAAAGACAATTTGAGTTCCTCTCTTCCTCTTTGAATATCCTTTATTTCTTTTTCTTGCCTGATTGCCCTGGCCAGAACTTTCAATACTGTATTGAATAAGAGTGGTGAGAGAGGGCATATAAGTATTTTTTCAAAACAACTTTTTTTTTTTGCTGCATATAGAAAACAATTTTCATAGGTCAGATCTTTTCTTTAGAGGAAAAGATGTCCTTGTCACAGTCTATGAGATCCTGTAGAATATGATATCTTACCAGCTTGTAAAACTCACTTCTTCCTCTTTCCCATATGGCCTGCTACCTGCTTCATGAACACCCCAGGCACATTCCAGTCTGAGGACCATGGCTCTTGCTGTTTCTTCTCCTTCTAAGATCGTCCCTGAGACATATACATGGCCTCACTCTCTTACCACATTAAATTCTTTGCTCTAACATTACATAGTGAAGCCTACCCTCACCATGCCTTCTAAATTGTAAATGTTTCCCTGTCTGCTGCATTGACAATGTTCCTTATTCAGTTAAATAGAGTTCTCATCAGTTCCTATATAGCATCAAATCTATCTATGTATCTATCTACATTGATCTATCTTTCTTTATGTCTATCATCTATATTTCTATCCATCTACCTACCTCTATCTATCTATCTATCTATCTATCTATCTATCTATCTTCCTTCTATCATCTCTCTGCTATCTGCTATCTACCTACCTTTCTATCATGTATCATTCTATCATTTATCTTTCTATCCATCTATCTACATCTATCAATCATCTATCTACCTATCATCTATCTTTCTATCTTCCTATCTCTATCATGTTTTTATATATTTTCTCTATATTTTCCACTAGAATGTAAGCACTCCAAGGCCAATAATGTTTGTTTGTCTGATTTTCTGATGTAGACATTCAGTAAATATTTACAGCATCACCATAATTTTAGGAAGATGATCAATTTTTCTTAAGAAGATTTGATCTATTGTGTGTTTTTCTATTTTATCACTTTGGATACATCTATCCAAATCTGATGGTTTGCCAAGCAATAGGATGTATGAAATTTCTTCTGGCTTCACTCTATCCACCTAAATGCTAATCAAATACCCTTTCAGAGCTGAGCTGGATGAATAGTTTTTGGCCCAAATATCAGTGTTTAGCAGATCTTCATCTATGTAGTTTTCTGGACTGAAAGGTCGCGTTCTACTTCTGCTAGTCTTATTACACATTGATTATCTGGATGACATTAATCACAATAAACTATAGTATGCAATGCTATCAGGATTCTTATAATCTTAGTATGACTTTAATATGAGGTCTGTACCTCTGTGGTTATAGTGAACCACCATGAAACCCTCACCCTTTACTATGCTGTTTTCTGACTATTGCCATCTCTGACTATATGTGGCATATGAGAGCGAAGAGGTTGCAAAAAAGGCCAGATATGGTGCCCTCAAAAATATCATCCCACAGTAAGGAGATGGAAAGTGCACTCCCTTCTTCTACGCTTCCACTCTTTCTTCCTTTCTCTCTTCTTCCTTTTCTCTCTCTTCCCTTCCTCTTCCTTTCTCCCCTTCCCTTCCCTTCCCTTCCCTTCCCTTCCCTTCCCTTCCCTTCCCTTCCCTTCCCTTCCCTCCCCTCTCCTCCCCTCCCCTCCCTTTCCCTTCCCTTCCTTATTTTTTTCCTTCCCTTCCTCCTCCTAGTCCATTAACCTTATAGTAAGTAGAGATTCTTTCTAGGTTCTATAAACCCTCAGGCCTAAAGACAGGTTAAGTTTCAATTTTGGTGATGCTGGGTTTTTTTTTTTTTTTTTTTTTTTGGAATTTCATAGACATTTTAATGGGAAGTTGAAAGATACATGTACTTTAATGCAGTTTTACTCTGGAAAACAAGCAATATTTTTATAACATTGGTGAAATCAACCTAGTTACATTATTTTTGTAATAATACTGCAGAACATGGGATAATATATCTTTTTACTCCTAGAACAACTTAAAAGCTATAAACTCTTGAACTGGAATGGCTTTAATAATCAGACTGTTTGGCAATACGTTTCATTTCTGACAATTCAGTTTATGTGCTCTATTTTGTTAAAGAAGTTGCCATGTAACACTATAAAATAATATGAAATCAAATTTTTTCTGATACATTTCTGATATCTTTGTGGTATAATAGATATTGATCTATCATTTATTATCATTTTCAAACGTATTTCGTAACACTTAACATTGTGTGTCTAAAAATACTCTTTTCTTTAAAGGTGCTATCAGTGCTAAAGCATTCATTGCTGTCCTTCAAGCAACCCAGAGTCATGGACATGTTAAAACTTTACTTCCTGTTTTCTTTGCAGTTCCTGGTGAAAGAGGTATGCATTACTGCACTTTTGTTTTGGGAAATAGCATTACTACTATCTAGATTTCTTATCATGCTGAACAAATTGTAGCTTTTAGAAGGTTCTATCCAATGATTGATATTATTTATAAATGGTATAATTATAAAAGTTGGGCCCAGTAATAGTTATAAATATTTCTTATATTGGCATTAAATACTATTTTAAACTGGTACTTAATAAGTTACTTATTATGTGGTGACTTGAGTCAAACTAATAAATTGTTTTTTGTTCTTTAGGGCTATTTAGATCAAGAAGGTAATCCTATGGGGTTTGCTGGACTTGTATCACATTTGCATTATCATGAACCTTCTAATCTTGTTTTTGTCAGTTTTCTTGTAAATGGACTCTTCCATGATCTCTGTCAGCCAACCAGGAAAGGTAAGCTTGAGATTTTATATATATATGTAGAGAGAGAGTCCAAAAATAGCAACAGATTTGTAGAAAAACAACACTTCAGGAATATTTTTAATAAAGAAAATACAATTAATATGTAGATAATTTATAGATCTTCAATTGATAAAGTAAATACCTACTAATATATATTAAATGATAGTCAGCCATGTTTTATGACATGTATTTACAATGTCAACACCTCCAAAATATTAACTTCAGTGATTCCTTGCCTCCAGGATTAATAACATATTAAATAATATACACTTTTTAGAAAATATTTTCTTCTAATTAAATATAATATATATTCATCATAGAAAAAGGATATAGTAAAGCATTAAGTTAAAAATAAAAAATTACTCATAATTACACTATCCACAGATAATCACTATTAATGTTTGTGAATATTTTCTTCCAATCATATTTTCTTTGAATATTATTGTATAGTATACCTAAATAGCTAATAGTATATTAATAGTGTAATTTAGAATCATATTTTCCCCTAAAAATAGCACAATTTTATCCATATTGAGTAAATTTTTAAATACATTTTATTTAATACATTTTTGATTAAAATCCTTTGATTTTTACATTTAAACACTAAATCTATATGGTAGTTCTTAAAATCACTAAGATAGACTAAAGGGAGGAAAATCTAGGTAAGGAAATAAGGCAATTTGTGTGGGATCATTAGGATCTAAATTAGGGTATAGGTAGCAAGGATGAAAAAGAAGGCACAGATAAAAACTATTAGCGGATATATGGTAATTCTTCAATTGCTATGTTTGTCATAAATTTTTAGTTTCCATGAAATTAAATGTAATATGACATTCCATTTAAACATGAAAAAATAGAATTATACCCTTTCATATTTACAAGAAGACACTTTGTTTTATATAGGCTCAAAACATTTTTCTCAAGACGTTATGGAAAAGCTAGTATTAGTATTGGCACATCTCTTTGGAAGAAGATATTTTCCACCAAAGTTCCAAGATGCACACTTCGAGTTTTATCAATCAAAGGTAAACTGTGTGATTCTGATAAAATTTAGTAATGTAAAACCACTAAATAGATCTTACCTAAAATGACTTAGCAGCTGTAGAATTTTAATTCAAAGGGCAGTTCATTTGTTTTATAGAATAATTTGTTCTTTTTGTAATCAGTGTGATATTTAATCTGTAATTGATGTCTCCCTCTGTAAATCTACCAAAAAGTTAAAGTCTTTGTGAAAAAAAAGAGGATAAACATTTTATTCATGTTTTTCATTTGATTGTATCAAATTATAATATCAGGTGACTAAAGAAAAGATATGCTAATTATACATTAAGTGAAACATCTAGCTGTATCACCGAATATACTGTTCTTTTAGGATCCTTTTACCTTAAGGTAGAACTATGGAAGGGAAGTATATGTTGTGAATTATAATGTCTTCACTGAGAAAATATCAGAATAGTCATCTAAGAAATCATTACTTGACTCACAGAGACCAAAATCAGAGAAACACTTTTTCGATTTTATTTGTAACATGCAACATTTTCTTTGGTTATGATTCTCTACCATCAAGTCAACATCAAATACTATTACTATTATACTTCCCTAGAATAAAATGGGATATGCTGGTTTATACAAGATAACCTTAGTGAAAAGTTGCTATGGAACAAACAAAAAGAATTAGTATATATTTTCTAATCCCACAATGCTGGATTAAAAATCTGTGCTCTCACAGAATGCCCTCTAGAGCAGTGAACACAATTTTAGTCATTGACCTATCATCTTTACACTTTTCACCACTCATGCATTTTTGAAACAATTATTTAATTGTTCTGTTTATATAAATTTATATTTAACATAGAAAATTCACTATCTCTATTTTGAAAAAAGAAGCTCATGATAAAAATACACTTTACTGCATAACAGACAGATCTGCGTGAAATGTTGGGGTACTACACCAAAAAGCTTTAAAAAATAGGCCAGACATGGTGACTCAAGCCTGTAATCCCACTACTTTGGGAGGCAGAGGTGGGAGGATTGCTTGAGCCCAGGAGTTTGAGACCAGCCTGGGGAACAGAGAGAGACCCCATCTCTAAGAAAAAGAAAAAATTAGATAATAATTCCTAAAGTCCCATTATATTAAATAAAAACTCACTAGAGAAAAGGATCTGGGTCTGCCTTCATAGGTAGGCTTGTATCCCCCTCAAGACATTTTCGAAGCCATCTAGGACTGGAAAATTTAACAGCAGGTTAGGAAGTGCTATAGGAAAAAGGTGGATCTTTAGCAGTCTTTTAGATTTGAGAAGACGAAGACTAACTAGCCTTATTCTCAAAATCTTAAGAAATCCATGACCTAGAAAGAGAGACAAAGCATAAATGAGGCTTACTAAAACTGTAAAACAATACCCACTGCAGTCTGTACTTGTACTGAGGTGATCATACTTTCACTCTCTTGGCCAAACACGAAAATGGGGGCATTCGCTCTTGTGAAAGATAACATCTAAAGCCGTAAAGTCCTTTGAAAACAGTTTCTGGTGCAAAACCAATACCAAAACAAAACCTAAAATGGTGAGTAAGCATGAACATATGACCAATAAGCAGGAAGAAAAGAGGTCGGTAATTGTAGATCCATAAATCATCCAGACATTAGCATTAACATATAAGGATTATAAGTGTGATTAATATGTTCAAGAAAATAGGAAGAGAGACAAAATTGATAAAAAGATGGATATTTTTACTAGATAATTAGAATGTATAAAACTAAATTGGACATTTTAGAACTGAAAATACAATATCTGACCATTAGAATATGCATTTCAGAAGTCATGATCAGTAAGTTGACAGCATAATAGAAAGCATCCAAGGTATAGCACAGAGATTAAAAAAAATTAAAAAATCAGACAGCGTAACAAACATGAATCACATGGAAAAAGTTTAATGTATATATAATGGGAGTCCCAGAAAAAAAAATGGTGGAGAAAAATGGCTGAAGAGTATTCAAAAAGATAATAGCTGGGAATTTTCCAAAGCTGATTAAAGATAACACACCATAGTTTTAAAACCGTAGTCAACTTCAGGGAGGATAAATGTAGAAAAACATTAAGCTAAACTGCTGAAAAGCACAAAGAGAAAATCATAAATCACCTAGGACAGAAATAAAGTGACACATTTCCTTCTAAGAAGCAATGAGAATGCTAGATTTCTTTTTAATCAAAATAATGGAAGCTAGTGGACAATGGAACAATATTTTGTTGTTGATTCAGATATTTTACAGGCAAATACATGCAATCATTGATATATACATATATAAACTCTTGGTGTTACATAACTAGAATCATATTAGACATGCTATTGCTTTTTTATACTTATATCAAAGATACTTTTCCGGATGACCACATATGAATTTTTTTGGTATTTTTTTTTATTTCAGTAGGTTTTGGAGAAACAGTTGGTGTTTGGTTACATGTATAAGTTCTTTAGTAGTGATTTCTGAGATTTTGGTGCACCCATCACCTAAGCAGTGTACACTGCACCCAATGTGTAGTCTTTTATTCCTCACCCCTCACACCTTTTCCTATGGGTCCCCAAAGTCCATTGTACCATTTTTATGACTTTGTGTCCTCATAGCTTAGCTCTCACTTATGAGTGGGAAGATTTGATTTTTGGTTTTCAATTCCTGAGTTATTTCACTTAGAATAATGGTCTCCAACTCCATCCAGGTTGCTTGTGAATGCTCTTATTTCATTTCTATTTATGGCTGAGTAGTATTCCATAATACATATGTACCACATTTTCTTTATCCACTCATTGACTGATGGGCATTTAGGCTGGTTCCATATTTTTGTAATTGCAAATTGTGCTGCTGTAAACATGCATGTCCAAGTATCTTTTTTGTGTAAAGACTTCTTTTCCTCTGGGTAGGTACCAAGTAGTGGGATTGCTGGATCAAATGGTAGATCTACTTTTAGTTTGTTAAGGAATCTCCATACTGTTTTCCCTGGTGGTTGTACTAGTTTACATTTCCACCAGCTTTGTAAAAGTGTTCCCTTTTCACTACATCCACGCTAACATCTATTATTTTTGATTTTTTGATTATGGCCATCCTTACAGGAGTAAGGTGGCGTTGCACTGTGGTTTTGATTTGCATTTCCCTGATAATTAGTAATGTTAAGCATTTTTTTCATATGTTTGTTGGCCATTTATATATTTTCTTTTGAGAATTGTCTATTCATGTCCTTAGCTCACTTTTTGAAGGGATTGTTTGTTTTTTTGTTGCTGCTTTGTTTGAGTTCTTTGTAGATTCTGAATATTGAGTCCTTTGTTGGATGGATAGTTTGTGATTTTCTCCCACTCTGTGGGCTGTCTGTTTACTCTGCTGATTATTTCTTTTGCTGTGCAGAAGCTTTTAGTTTAATTAAGTCCCATCTATTTATCTTTGTTTTTGTTGCATTTGCTTTTGGGTTCTTGGTCGTGAAGCCTTTGTCTAAGCCAATGTCTAGAAGGGTTTTTATAATATTGTCTTCCAGAATTTTTATGCTTTCAGGTCTTAGAATTAAGTCTTTGATCCATCTTGTATTGATTTTTGTATAAGGTGAGAGATAAGGATTCAGTTTCATTCTGCTACGTGTGGCTTGCCAATTATCCCAGCACCACGTGTTGAATAGGGTGTCCTTTCCCCATTTTATGTTTTCATTTGGTTTGTCAAAGATCAGTTGGCTGTAAATATTTGCCTTTATTTCTGTTCTTTATTCTGTTCCATTGGTCTATGTGTCTATATTTATGCCAGGACCTTGTGGTTTTGGTGACTATAACCGTATAGTATAGTTTGAAGTCAGGTAGTATGATGCTTCCAGATTTGTTCTTTTTGCTTAGTTTTCCTTTGACTATATGGGCTTTTCTTTGGTTCCATATGAATTTTAAGATTGTTTTTTCTAGTTCTGTGAAGAATGATGTTGGTATTTTGATGGGAATTGAATTTGTAGATTGCTTTTGGCAGCCTCATGATTTTCACAGAATTTATTCTACTCATACATGAGCATGATATGTGTTTCAATCTGCTTGTGATATCTATTATTTCTTTCAGCAGTGTGTTGTAGTTTTCCTTGCAGAGGTCTTTCACCTCCTGGTTAGGCATATTTCTAAGTATTTTATTTTACTATTTGCAGCTATTGTAAAAGGGGCTGAGTTCTTGATTTGATTCTCAGCTTGGTTGCTGTTGGTGTATGGCAGAGCTACTGATTTGTGTACATTAATTTTGTATCCTGAAACTTTACTGAATTCATTTATCAGTTCTAGGAGCTTTTTAGACGAGTCTTTAGGCTTTTCTAGGTGTTCAGTCATATCATTGGGAAATGGTGACAGTTTGACTTCCTTTTTACTGATATGGATGTCCTTTATTTATTTCTTTTGTTTGATTGCTCTGGTTAGGACTTCTAGTACTATGTTGAGTAAGAGTGGTGAAAATGGGCATCCTTTTCTTATTCCAGTTCTCAGGGAGAATGCTTTCTACTTTTCCCTGTAAAGTATAACGTTGACTGTGGGATTGTCTTAGATGGCTTTTATTACCTTAAGCTATGTCCTTTCTATGCCAATTTTGCTGAGGGTTTTAATCCTAAAGGGATGCTGGATTTTGTCAAATGCTTTTTCTGCATCTATTTAGATGATCAGTGATTTTTGTTTTTAAATCTGTTTATGTAGTATATTACATTTATTCACTTGCATATGATAAACCATCCCAGCATCCCTAGTATGAAACTCACTTGATCATGGTAGATTATCTTTTTGATCTGCTGTTGGATTCTGTTTGCTAGTATTTTGTTGAGGGTTTTTGCGTTTATGTTCATCAGAGATATTGGTCTGTAGTTTTCTTTCTTTTTTTTTTTGTTATGTCATTTCCTGGTTTTGACATTAAGATGATATTGGCTTCATAGAACAATTTAGGGAGGATTCCCTCTTTCTCTATCTTTTGAAATAGTGTCAGTAGGCTTGGTCCCAAATCTTCTTTGAATGCCTGATAGAATTCAGTCGTGAATCCATATAGTTTTGGACTTTTTTTGTTGACATTTAAAAAATATATACCATTTCAATCTCACTGCTTGTTATTGGTCTGTTCAGAGTTTCTATTTCTTCTTGGTTTAATCTAGGAGATTTGTATATTTCCAGGAATTTACCCATCT
This sequence comes from Homo sapiens, assembly GCF_000001405.40. Taxonomy (NCBI): domain Eukaryota; kingdom Metazoa; phylum Chordata; class Mammalia; order Primates; family Hominidae; genus Homo; species Homo sapiens. Next base: position 168,231,106 of record NC_000004.12, on the reverse strand, counting down.
CCTCTAAGTTTTCCAGTTTGTGTGCGTAAAGGTGTTCATAGTAGCCTTGAATAATTTTTTTTTTCGTACTTCTGTGGTATTGGTTGTAATATCTTCTGTTTCATTTCTTTGGATGAAACTTATTTGGATCTCTCTTCTTTTCTTGGCTAATCTCACTAATGGTCTATTTATCAATGTTGTTTATTTTTTCAAAGAACCAGCTTTTAGTTTCATTTATCTTTTGTATTGGTTTTGTTTGTTTGTTTCAATTTCATTTAGTTCTGCTCTGATCTTTGCTATTTCTTTTCTTCTGCTGGGTTTGGGTTTGGTTTGTTATTGTTTCTCTAGTTCCTTGAGGGGTGACCTTAGATTGTCTATTTTTGCTCTTTCAGACTTTTTGATGTAGGCATTTAATGCTATGAACTTTTCTCTTAGCATCACTTTTGCTCTGTCCCAGAGGTTTTAAATCAGTTGTGTCACTAATACTGTTCAATTCAAAGACTTTTTAAGTTTCTATCCTGATTTCATTGTTGACCCAATAATCATTCAGGAGCAGGTTATTTAATTTCCATGTATTTGCATGGTTTTGAGGATTTCTTTTGGAGTTGATTTCCAATTTTATTCCACTGTGATCTGAGATCACTTATTGAGGCTTGTTTTGTTGCCTATCATATGGTCTTTCTTGGAGAATGTTCCATGTGCTGATGAATAGAATGTATATTCTTCAATTGTTGGGTAGAATGTTCTGTAAATATCTGTTAAGTCCATTTGTCCTAGGGTGTAGTCTAAGTCCATTATTTGTTGACTTTCTGTCTTTATGACCTGTCTAGTGCCGTCATGGGGTATTGAAGTCCCCCACTATTATTGTGTTGCTATCTTTCTCATTTCTTAGGTATATTAGTAATTGTTTTATAAATTTGAGAGCTCCAGTATTAGGTGTATATATATTTAGGATTGTGAAGTGTTCCTGTTGGAGTAGTCCTTTTATCATTATATAGTGTCCATCTGTCTTTTTAAACTATTTTTGCTTTAAATCTGTTTTGTCTGATATAAAAATAGCTACTCCTGCTTGCTTTTGGTGTCCATTTCCATGGAATATGTTTCTCCACCCCTTTCCCTTAAATTTATGTGAGTCCTTATGTGTTAGGTGAGTCTCTTGAAGACAGCAGATACTTGGTTGGTGAATTCTTATCCATTTTGCTATTCCAAATCTTCTAAGTGGAGCATTTAGGCCATTTACATTCAATTTTAGTTTTGAAATGTGAGGTACTATTCTATTTATCATGCTAGTTGTTGCCCAAATACCTTGTTTTTTCTTTTTCCATTGTGCTATTATTTTATAGGTCTTGTGAGATTTATGCTTTAAGGAGGTTCTATTTTGGTGTCTTTCAGGGATTTGTTTCAAGAGTTAGAGCTCCTTTCAGCAGTTCTTGTAGTACTGTCCCCCACTCCCCAATAGCGCTGAATTTATTTCCAGGCAATCTGTGAGCAGGGCTGAAAACTTTCCCCAGGCTACAAGCCTCCCCACTGAGAAAGCAAGCAGGGCTCTTGGGTTTCACACCTCCCCACTTGCTGCAGCCTCTGTGCTTGTATCTGCACTCCCTGTTTACCCCCCTGCCCCAGGTTCTGTCCAGGAAACTTTGTGTTTGGTTGAAATTGTTACAGAGTTCAGCTGGAAGTTTCCTTCTCCATGTGGTCTTTCCCCAATTCCATTGGCAGCCTTCCCAAGGACCCCTGTGAGACAAAGTCAGAAACGGCTTTTCTGGGGACCGAAAGTGCCCAGAGTGCTTATCCCACTGCTTCCTCTACACCTATATTTCACTTGGCTCTCTAAATTTGTCTCAATTCCAGATCCTTCTCCCATGATCTGGAACTTCAGTTTCCCCATTGATGATATGTGTTAAGGGGTGGATGTTCCCCCTTTCACACTTTGGACATTCACAGTTTTTCAGCTTGCCTGAAGAGGCAAGTTACTTCTTTGAAAGGGTCTGTGGATTCTCTTGGCTTTCCTGGTGTGTTCCTTTGGTAGTTCTTGGAGCAAAAGTTCATGGTGTGAGTCTCCACATGCTGATCTGTCTGTCTGAGTGGGAGCTGCAAGTTAGTTCTGCCTCTTGTCTGCCATTTTTTATTTTTATTTTTATTTTGGCTCTCCAGACAATGGAACAATATTTTTAATGTGCTCAATTAAAATAACTCCTATCCCTGAATTCTACACTTGTAGGAAATATTCGTCAAAATAAAGATAAAATTAAGATGTTTTCAGATGTGAAATCTGAGGTTATTCATTGCTATCAAGTCTGCAGTAAAATAAATATATACTTTAGGTACATAGAAAAAATCCAAAATTTGGAAACATGAAAATGCAGGAAGGAATGAATCACAATAGAAAGGGTTATGTGTGATTACATATAAAGGAATACACATTGTGTCAAAAAATAATTGTAACATATAAAATTTGAAATAATACATAGAACTGAAGTTTATGAAAATTATAATGTAAGAGTTCAGAAGGTTAATACATTTAAATGTTTTAAAATTTTGGAAGATTAAGAAATATAAAATTAAAGCTATATCTTATAATCTCTGGGGTAACAGCTAAAAGACTAGTAAAATAGTGTGCACATACATGTTAACAAAAGGAAAAACTGGTAAAAACAAGAAGGGAAGAGAAAAAATATATAATGAGTGGTTCAAATTCAGACAGAAAACAAATGGCAAGGTAGAAAATAGCTATATCAATAGTTATATTAAATGTAAATGTACTAAATACACTAAGTAAAATACAAAGATTTTCAGGCTATATCTTAAAATATAGACAACTATAGACATGTGCCACACAATGACATTTTGATCCACAACAGACTGCATACATGATGGTTGCATAAATATAATATTGTATTTTTACTGTACCTTTCCTTCATTCAGGTATATCTGGATACACAAAATACTTACCATTGTGTTACAGCTGCCTAAAGTGTTCAATTCAGTAACATGCTGTACAGGTTTGTAGCCTAGGACCAATAGGCTGTACCATAAAGCCTAGGTAATGTGATCTAGGTTTGTTTAAGTACACTTTGTGATGTTTGCACAATGACAATATCACCTAATGCCACATTTCTTAGAATATATCCCTGCCATTAAGTGACATCAGACTATATATGCTATTTATACAAGTCACACTTTAGGTATAAAAACTGAGAAAGCTTGAAAGTAAGATGATTAAAAATATATGCCAGGTAAACACTAACCAGAAGAATCAGAAGTATCTCAATTGCGTGAAAAGTTAAAAAATTAATTTATAAATACACAAAGGATAAAAAAGACATAAAATGGACATTTAAAAATATTTTACATTAAATAAAAATAAAGCAAACATAAGAATGCTTATAAGTTGGAATTTATTCAGTGCTTACAGAGGAATTTGCAGCCTTAAAACCATAAATTAGAAAAAAATACAGGCTGAAAAGTCAATGAATTAAACTTTAGCTTAAGAAAATAACAAAACGAACAAGAAGATCTAACCTACAGTAAGTAGAAGGAAAGAAATAATAAAATGAGAACAGATATAAAGTAAATTAACAATAATTGTGTGAACAAGAAATCAACAAAGCCTCTAAGTTGGTTCTTTGTAAAGAATAATAAAATTGATTAATGTCTAGCAAAACTCATTAAGAATAAGGGAGTAAAAGCACAAGTATCAGAAAAGAAAATGGGGCAGTACTACAGGCTCTATTTTAGACATCGCAAAGAGCAAAGGAAGATTTTGTGAATGACTTTATAGCAACGTATTTGACTATTTAGACAAATGGGCAAATTCCTAGAAAATACAACTTTCCAAAACTGAGCAAGGAAGATATAATTAATCTGGTTCTGATATCTAGTAAAGAAATTTAATCTATTATTTAAAAAAAAAAAAACATTCCCACAAAGAAAACCCAAGGCTCAGATGGCTTCACTGGTGAATTCTTCCAAACTTTGTAAGGATAACATCACTATATATGTATATTAAAACACCAGTTTGTATATCTTAAATATGCATGATTTTTATCGTAAAGAGAATAACACCAACTTTTTACAAATTTTATTTTAGTCTGTTTGGGCTGCTATAATGTAGCAATGATTGGCTGGCTAATAAACAACAGAAATTTACTTGTCACAGTTTCGGAGGCTGAGAAGAGACCAGTCTTTCTAGCTATTTTTTGGTACCCATTAAACATTCACTTCTCCGTCCCCCAGCTACCCTTCCCAGCCTCTGATAACCATCCTTCTACTCTATCTGCATAAGTTCAATTGTTTTAACTTTTAGGTCCTACAAAGTAGTGAGAACGTGTGAAGTGTGTCTTTTTGTGCCTGGCTGATTTCACTTAACATAATGACCTCCAATTCTTTACATGTTGTTGCAAATGACAGGATCTCATTCTTTTTTATGGCTGAATAACTAAAAGAATAGAATTGTATTGTTTGTAACACAAAGGATAAATGCTTGAAGTGATGGATACCCCATTTACCCTGATGTGATTATTATGCATTACATGCCTGCATCGAAATATCTCATATAATCCATGAATATACACACCTGCTATGGACCCACAAAAATAAAAAATTAATAATTAAAAGGAAGTTCTAAATCAAGGTGTCTGGTGGGGGCTGCTTTTTGGTTCATAGATGGTTGTCTTTATGCTGTGTTCTCACATGGTGGAAGGGGCAAGGGAGCTCTCTGGCGTCTTTTTTTATGGGCACTAATTCCAGTTATGAGGACTCCACCCTCATGACCTAATCATCTCCCAAAGGCCCTGCGTCCTAATCCCATCACATTAAGTGTTCATATTTTAACATATAAATTTTGAGAAAATATGAAACATTCAGTCCACTACACTCTTCTGGATAATACAAAAAGAGGGAATATTTACTCTTTCTAAGGGCAAAAGTTAGCTTTAATACCAAAACCTGACTAGAACATAATGAAAAGGAAAATTAGAGATACTTCTCTTTCATGAATGTAAGTGAAAAAATAGTTAACTAAATATTAGCAAAATGAATCCAGTGAGGTTTAAAAAACCCTCAAAACAAAACGAGATTTACTCTAGGCATGCAAATGTACTTTGTCTCATTGCTTGCTATTCAAATGTGTCACTAGAGTCTTTGAAATTTTCACAAGTCTAATGTTATTTGAGGGCATGCTTCTATTTAAAAGTGGTTTTGATTCAGTATGTCAAAATACATTTTTAAGGGTAATGAGTAAGGTATTTGTTTTCATAATTGCAAATAGAAACAAAACATGAAGTTACCTGAACTTCACCAGTGAAAAAATGAAACAGTGACATTATTGAATAAATATTAATAGATAACTATAGAATTATATTGCAATGTTCTTTACCTTTCTTCTTCCAACGATTCAGTTTTGAAGGAAGGTAAATAGATCTATCTCTATGAAAATTATTCGGCTTCTAGGTGTTCCTTGATGATCTCCCTGAGGATTTTAGTGATGCTTTAGATGAATATAACATGAAAATTATGGAGGACTTTACCACTTTCCTACGAATTGTTTCCAAACTGGCTGATATGAATCAGGAATATCAACTCCCATTGTCAAAAATCAGTAAGTATATTTTACCTCCATTGTGGAACAATTTGAAGAATAAATAATCTTGCCTAAGAATAGTTTATTCTGGAAGAAGAGTGGAACCCCAGAAAGTTTATTTTGCCCTCAAGTGAGGAGATTCCTTTTCCTTTCTAAAGAAAAAAATTTTGCTTATTAGACATTAAAAGGGCAAAAGAGACAAACTAAGTAGGGCAATTTATAACCATCTTGTTAAATGCTGCTTCAGGGTCAAGCCTGGAAAACTGAGTAAGGGCATCTATGAGATGAAGAGAAACTAGAGACGAATTCTGTCACTCTCTCTTGAGAGGAAATACGCTTAGTTTTCATAAACACAGATTCTGAGCATATTTTCTGGGTCCAAACTCTGGTTCTGCTACTTATTAGCTGTGAGATCTTGAGCAAGAGACTCCATACTCATGCCTTAGTTTTCTGAACAGATATATGAGAAAGGGAATAGCATTATCTACGTAGTTTTGATGAGTTTTAAATGATTAAGTTAACATATATGAAAATCTTAAAATAGTGTTTTGTACATGGTTAACACTCTTAGCATTTGCACTTTTTTTCATGAGCTAATAGATGGAAGCTTTCTAAGGGAAAATAGATACAAAAAGGTGACCATCACAGGTGGGGTGAGATTGGAGTCTGTGAATATTATGCCTCAATTACAAATTAGAGCCCAGTTTGAATGTCTGATCTGGGTTTTATAAGAATATAAATGGAAAATATATTTATTCTCATGCACTACTTCCAAACTTACTAATTGAGGCTGCATGGTTTCAGGAAAGATTCTGAAGGCAATTCTGAGTTCAGTAAGAAAAAGTACAAAGGTAATAACAATAATTCTCTGATAAGAGTATATAATTTAAATTTAGTCTTTCATTTCTTATTGATTAAGGCAACTAAAATATAATACACATTTTTATAATAGTGATACTAACATTAATAGCCAACTTTCATTGAATGTATTCTGTGCCAAGCTGTGCTACTAACCTTATGCGATATAACTTACGAAACATTTCAGTCTTCATTACATGAAGCTGAATGGCTCCCCTTGTAACATGGTCTAGAGAAAGTATCTGAGGTTTGACAATTTGACTGAGTTCAAAACACTAATCTATCCCTAACTATTATTGTCAGAATTCACAGGTAAAGAATGTGAAGACTCTCAACTCGTATCTCATTTGATGAGCTGCAAGGAAGGAAGAGTAGCAATTTCACCATTTGTTTGTCTGTCTGGGAACTTTGATGATGATTTGCTTCGACTAGAAACTCCAAACCATGTAAGTGAAGAGTGGGGTTTATTAATAAAAGCTGTTTAAGAAAGAATGGATTTATATTGCTAGGCAGCTTAGAAAGAACTTCGAATTTCCCAGCTTAAAAAGGAAAAAAAAAATCTGGGTGTATCAACAGATATATTCAGGAATTGGTGCTCTTGAAGTCAATATGATTTCTGTTTCTCAGAGTTGGCCTGAGGACCCTGCTCAGAGAGTTTCCAGGCACCACTACTTTTCTTCAATCTTTGAAGGCTCTACTGATATTGACACAGGTTTTCTGTGGAAGTAGCACATAAAACTGTCTTCAGACTTTCTCAGTACTGCTATAAATGCTGTAAATACTACTTACAGTCTGCATCATTGATGCCTAAAATGGAATGCAAAGAACTAGACACATTTGGAAGATCCTGGCTAATTCATTTGAATGTTGACACTTGGTGAAATTTAATTTATATCTTAATACAAACTTTGAGAAAAAGTGTTTTATTACATTTGATATTATGGATTGACATTGGTGTCTCAACTCTATTTTATTCCAAAATCATAGTCATGTATCACTTAAAATAATTTTGAAAACTATATACATCTTGTGCATTTTAAATGAACACATACATTTTTATCCTAAATTTAAATACTTTCTAAAAATACAGTTTTTAGTTTCAAATAAATGTTGGTGTGTTAAAACCAATGCATCATTCTTTTAATTGTATAAAATGGAATATCAACAAGAAAGTGTTTTCATACCCATAGTCAGTAAGTTAAGAACAAGTCAGGAAAACTTTTTATAAGGATTTATAAATTTGCAGTTCTTTTCCTCTTGAACTCACATTTTCTTTCCATATTCCCTCACATTTACCTTACCCAACTCACTTTATACAAATTTACTTTACTAGAGTAAGTTATAACCTCTTAAAATTGTTTTGCTTTTATTGTTTATTTTAATTAATAAAATTAGTTTTACATTTTAATATAATGCTAAGCGTACATACAAATATATCTTTTATAGCATATAGATAAGTTCTAAAGCATCGAACTAAATGAACACCATGTACTAAGGATCTGTGTACTCCTCCCACGTTTCATTTTCTTGTCTCCCGTTTTCCCCCAGGCCATCAACCTTTCTAAACTTTGTGTTTTTCACTTTTCTTTTTAAAAACTACATATTACAAAATCCCTTTTTATATTAATTTGCTTTTGAATTTTATGAAAAGTGAAGGAATAGTTACTGCAGTCACCTGAAAGTCACTTTTATTTACATTCAGTGCTATGCCTTAAGGTTCATCCCTGCTGTAACGTCGAACTCTCTTTTATTTTTAGTACTTAATAATATTTTGTAGTGTGAATATCAAACAGCCTGTTAATCTGTTCTCCTGTTTCGAATAGTTGTGTTTGTTTCTTGTCTTTGCTATTACACACAGTGTTGCTATGGATGTCTCGTGCGTATGTGCAATAGTTTCTCTTAGGTATTGATTTTCTGGGTTAAAATAATTTTCTGAGTCATATAGAATAAGAATATTCAAATATTAAACTTTTCAAGCTACTACCAACTCATTTAAAAAGTAGCTGTGCCAAACAAGTCTCAGCAGGAGTGAACGCAGTTGATATCTGTCACTCGAATGGTTACCTGCAAATTATTAAATTTTAATAATAGAGTCTTGTTTAGATATTGCTGCAGTTTATAATTTGCATCACTGATCTGCATATAGTACATGGAGTCAACTCTTATTATTCATAGATATTTATGTATGAATTTTCTTAGTTGTTAAAATTTATTTGTAACTACCAAAAAAAAATAGCTGTGCCAATTTACACTCATAATAACAGTATGCTAGAGTTCTATTGATCCTCTACAGTACAGTTTGCAAAAAATGAGCAGACATGGGAAAACTATTCACCGCCTTCTTTTTACTTTTCTTCTTTTTGTTTTCCTTCTTCCTCCTTTTTATTCAGGTAATTGGGTTCCCAAGATTGTTAGAGTTGTTCAATTGAATTCCTTTCTTGTGATGTATAATCCTCTAGCTCATTAATATTCTGTTTACAAGTAAATTCCTTTCACCAATAAGGAGAATGAAATGGTGTTAGGTTTTCTTTCCTAGTGAGTGTTTCTATATTCTAGTGGATGGATGGTTGAAAGTGCCATTGGTATTTTGTGGAGGCAATAATCTTCATGGGGTGGAGCTGAGCCACTCTCCACTCTTGCTTAGGATGGTGCTACCACAATGTGTGGCTAAGGCACCCTCTTACTTCACAGTGAAGAGTGGGCTTTAAAAATGGTAACTAAAGGATGTATCTACAAAGCACCACATAAGAAATTATCAACTTTCTTTATACATAAATAATACATTAAGAATAATCGTATTTTTTCAGGTTACTCTAGGCACAATCGGTGTCAATCGCTCTCAGGCTCCAGTGCTGTTGTCACAGAAATTTGATAACCGAGGAAGGAAAATGTCGCTTAATGCCTATGCACTGGATTTCTACAAACATGGTTCCTTGATAGGATTAGTCCAGGATAACAGGTATGTCCTCTCTGTCTGTCTCTGTTTCTCTGTCCTCCCATCTCCATCTCTAATGAATTAATTTAATGAATTTTAAGGAAGAAACCTCATTACAGTTTCAAGTGCAGGTTAAATCATACTAAACATACTAGATTGATTTTTTTTAGAGACTAATGGCAAGAGAGAATAACAATTCGGTATTATTTTTCTTTGTGGTTTTCCAACAAAATCTTGGCACTTAGCCCAGCTCACATGACATCATGCTGTGCTCTAACGATATAAATATTTGCACATGCTCATAGATATATTTGTATTTATTACTCTCCTGTTTATTCATTATTAGATATTTTAAAACTGAATAACAAATAATGGCATGCTCTCCAGTATTTGAGAAGAGTAGATAGAGGACTGAGTACATGACAATTGTTTTAGTTCTGTGGCAGGAAAAACATTTTCAAAAATAGTAGCCAGGGGTAAACACTGTTGGATTTATCCAGGATGAAGAAATTGACTTGGGCACTGAGCACATAGATTTGGGGAGGGGCATTCTGTCACATCAAAGCAGGAAACCAATTTTGTTTTTTACATAAAATGTTGAGCAGTCCTTATAGAATGAAGGTATTAAAATATCTGACACTCTTCAAAGATGTTGAGCACTGTTTTGAAAAAAAGTGACTCATTGTGAATAAAGCAGCTGTGACATTAGTAAATGATACAACTGTTTCTTCCCTTTTGAGTCTCTAGTTCCAATTTACCCTCCTGAGCTTTATTTTCCTGTTTTGGTTATCTCCTGAGATGGCCAGCCTCCTATTTTTATTGCTTATATATGATTGTGAAATTTCAACTCTTGAATTCATAATCACCATTGCCATAGGTTAGATCAATATCTAGGAGTCTGTGGCAGAAATAATTTTTGGAAAGAGATCTTGACAGACAAAAGCAACCTCTTACTGATAAATTCAGCATTTAAATATAAAATAGGATGTTCTTTAATGTTTTGTATTATTAATTTTCAAAATGTTGTTTTCTTTAGGATGAATGAAGGAGATGCTTATTATTTGTTGAAGGATTTTGCACTCACCATTAAATCTATCAGGTGTGTTATATATTTAAATATTGATTTTAGATTTTTTAATAATTTATTTATAATTTGAAAAATGTTGAGCTGTTACTATAAGCCAGGTACATGAAGGTGCCATTAAGCTTCTTCTGTGCTATGCATTTCAACTCCCCAAAGGCTCTGCAGAATGTCTGTTCAACACGTGTTGTATTATTTCTATAACAGAATTAATTCCAATGTCTAGTTGAGATGAAGTTTCATCCAGACTAGAGTCTCAGCCCCAGGCATCATGCACTGACAGGCAGCAATATTCAAAAGCTTCATTGACTCCTCGATCCTGGTATTCTCAATTGCCACAAGCAGTGTATGTCAAAGACATGGGACACGATATTTCAGAGGGCTCCTTAGGGTTCCATCCGGTCTCTAGTTTATATTCACTTACATACTTTGAATTTTGTGTTTTCTCTGATGTTTTCTCCAGGCTCCGTCTGACTCTGATCTTTCATATTGGCCTCCTATTTTCACCTTTAACAAAACCTAGTGGGGTCCCAAGCAACACCAAACTTTATGTGGGTACCCCATTCTTAGGCTTCATTGACCATCTACTGTTGCTTAGTTGCATGTCCATCTTTCTTTTTCTTTTCTTTTTTTTTTGAGACAGAATTTTGCCCTTGTTGCCCAGGCTGGAGTGCAATGGTATGATCTCGGCTCACCACAACCTCTGCCTCCTGGGTTCAAGCAGTTCTCCTGCCTCAATCTCCTGAGTAGCTGGGATTACAGGCATGTGTCACCATGCCCGGCTAATATTGTATTTTTAGTAGCGAGGGGGTTTCTCCATGTTGGTTAGTGTGGTCTCGAACTCCTGACCTCAGGTGATCTGCCTGCCTTGCCCTCCCAAAGTGCTGCGGTTACAGGCATTAGCTGCCGCTCCTGGCCTAAATGTCCATCTTTCTAAAGCCTTCAATCTGCATGCAACTCAATACTTTATAGGTGTTGCTTCGTCCTATCCCTTTTTATATATTTAATTTGCCACAACTCTCTCCATTATTAGGTTCTTGCTAATCAAGTCTCTTTTTATATCTTGGATCTGAGCAGAATCGGCCTGTTTGGACTTTTTATAACAGAGTAAAACTTTTGGGAGCAGAAGGAAACTGCTTTGTCCACTTGGAATATCTCTAGATAGGGTATTCCTTGAGTGGCTCATAGTTACTGAAGTTATTATCTCCAGAGCAGCCCAAGAAACTCCACAGACTTGGAAGCTGTCTCAAAAACTTGGGCAAGGAAATCAATCAATCAATCATTCACACATTCATCCAAGAAGTATTGAAGCATTGTTGGTATGAGACACACTTCCTAAGCATTTGAGCTATAAAGGTTCATAATTTTTTTTTTTTTTTGGAGACGGAGAGTCACGCTCTGTCACCCAGGCTGGAGTGAAGTGTTGCGATCTCGGCTCACTGCAACCTCACCTCCCAGGTTCAAGCAATTCTCCTGCCTAAGCCTCCCAGGTAGCTGGGACTACAGGTGTATACCACCATGCCTGGCTAATTTTTTTTTTTTTTTGGTATTTTAGTACAGATGGGATTTCACCATGCTGCCCAGGCTGGTCTCAAAATTCCTGAGCTCAGGCAATCCACCCGCCTTGGCCTCCCAAAGTGCTAGGATTACAGGCAAGAACCACTGCGCCTGGCCAAAGGATCATTAAATTGATATACCTGCTTTAAAAAAATTCTTACATGTGTAGTGAAAGAAGCTGACTTATAGACCTTACAAACATGGTCAGAGCTATGATGGCAGATAAGGGAATGACTAATGTGACTTGCATTCAAAGAAAGAGTCTCAAATGAGGTAATTTTTTGACTAAGCCTTAAATTATGGGGAAGAAGAAATAGTATTTTCAAAGTACAGAAATGAGAAAGGGCCTGATGTGTCAGGGATAGACTCCAAGCTCACTATGTCAACATGGAGATTATGGGCATTTGACAGAGATGGGGGAAGATGCTGGGTTGTTGTAAGAGACTTTAAATGGAATTTGGATCTATATCAGGAAAGGTCTTTATGTTAACATTAAGAAGTTTGGGCTTCATCTTTTGAGCAACGTGTAGACAGTGCATAAGCCTGAGGGGAGCATGAGCATGCGGATTATATATGTGGCAGAAATATGTAGGTGCAAAGGCTGTAACAGTCATGCAGGTGAAAATGAGTGAAGGTCTGAATTAAGGGAATTGAAATATGATGCAGAAGAGTGATCAGAAAAATATTTACGAGGTAAAATTCAAGAAATTGGTAAAAAAATTTATGCAGTTGGTAAAGATGACCAAAGTTCCTATTTTTGTTAAGGATGTATAGGAAACAAGGATGAGCATGACATTTGGGGATGAGAATGAAAAATAGTGAGCTAGAATTTATACACATCACATTATATCTGGGAGATATCAATCAGGAGGAAATGTTCAGTAGTCACAATGATAAGTCTGTAACTCAGAAGGAAATTTGGTGTTGTAGAGACAGAACTGATCAATTTTTGTGGTAGGTCAGTGATGACACTCGAAAATAACTGGAACTCTAGTGGAAACAAGGTAGGGGCAAATAATAAAAGGCTGATAAGATGTCAGATCATGACAGTTTTCAGCCCTTGATCAGTCCAGCTGTACTGTTCATTCTTGGATTTCTTCTCTCCTTTTTTGTTACCTGTACATTAGTTTCTTAATGCTGCTGCAACAAATTACCACAAACCTAGTGGCTTAAACCAACACAAATTTATTATTTTACAATTCTGGAGGTCAGAAGTCCAAAATGTGTCTTCTTGGGCTCAATCCAGTTGTCAGCAGGGCTGCATTTCTTTGTAAAGGCTCTTAAGGGACAATCTACTTTTATTGCCTTTTCCAACTTTTAGAGGCTGCCGGCATTCCTTGGCTTGTGGCTCCCTTTCATCTCCAAAGCCAGCAATGGTTCGTAGACTCACACTGCATCATTCTGACTCTCTCCTGCCTCACTCTTCCACTTACAGGGACCTTTGAGATCACACTGAACCTGCCCAGATAATCCAGGATTATTTTCCTATCTCAAGGTCAGCTGATTCGCAACTTTAATTCGCACTGCAGCCATAATTCATTCCCCTTTGCCATGTAACCTGACCTATTCATCGGTTTCTGGGGAATATATGATATGGACATCTTTGCAGGGCCATTATTCTGCTTACCATATCTTGTTGTCCTTATCTTTTTACACATCTAGGTAAAGAAAGCAATATTTTCCTCTTCGTAGATGTAGCTGCCTGTGGGTTTCAGTATACACTGGACACTAGCATAAATAACACAAAATGACTCCACAAGAGATATGTAGAGGAAAGAAAAGGAATTTGCGTTGCACTTTTGAAGGGAGAAGGGATCAAGTTATGTGGAATTTGATGGCTTTTCAGACTCTCTTGGTAATAGTCATGGAGAAGAATTGCATGGGGTTGTTTTGTTATCTTTTCTTAAATTTTTTATACAAGATTTTTTAGGAGAAATATGTTTCTTATCATTATTCCTCATATTTTGCTAACATAATTTCATCATCTGATGGGATTTCCTTACTTCTGCCTAACCAAGGAAAGCCTTTCTTATAATATTCAATCTCACTAAAGTGGATCCTATATTTTTTTCCCCATTTCCAGTGTTTCCTTGCGTGAGCTATGTGAAAATGAAGACGACAACGTTGTCTTAGCCTTTGAACAACTGAGTACAACTTTTTGGGAAAAGTTAAACAAAGTCTAAAAACAAAGTCTATGCAAACCACTTAAAAATAATTCCATAGTAGTTTTTCAGGTCACGTTTTTGATTCTTATGCTTCTTGCCAGAAATACATTATGATAAAGTGGAAATACATTACGATGAAGTGGAAAGAGCAAACACTTTGGAATCAAACAGAGTTGCAATCAAACCTGCCATGTTCTGTCATGAATACTCACAAATTATTTAGTATACCTGAATCTTGGTTTCTTTTTATAACTGAGTAATAATGGTTACATCTCAGGTAGTTTGAGGATTGACTAAAAAAATGCGAGAATGTTGTATGTGACTGAATAACAATTTTTACTCTGCGAAGCCAAAGTAAATATAATATTATCAGTAACTTTATCCCCAGTGTCAGTATTTATAAAATGTTTATTAAGGCTAGAAAAAATGAATACAATATCCTGAAGGTGAAATATATTCTCTTCAATTAGCATAAATATGATTTACATAAGTTAGCTATACAGCTATTGAGATAGTACTTTCTAGTAAACTTAAACTACTTTTTAAACATACATTTTGTGATGATTTAACAAAAATATAGAGAATGATTTGCTTTATTGTAATTGTATATAAGTGACTGGAAAAGCACAAAGAAATAAAGTGGGTTCGATCTGTTTACCATTGGTCTCATTGTGTTAAATATATGCATCTATCAATCCTCTGGCACAATCTATTCATCATATATATTGTACTTTATATATAAAAATCTTCCCCCTTTACCCTTAGCCTCAGGTCAGAGTTCTAGAATCTATTTTAGATCCTAAACTAAAACATAAAATTTTTTCCTCAGAGTAAAAAGTTTGCTGTCTCCTGCCACCCAGATGTCTTACTGAAAAGAGGATCTTTTGTATGCTATTATTTATAAATAGATTACATTGGCTTAGAATAAAACCTGTTTTTCATTTTGTCTGGAGATAGAAGAATATTCTGATTTCTGAGACTAACCCATCATTTCATGTACCATATTATAGGTCTCTCCCTTCTTTGGGCTAATCTCATTTTCATTGCTTAAAATCAGCACTGCAAGAACTCTGGACACCAAGACACTTAGAAACTAAAGTGTTTTCTTTTTTGGGTTGGTAGGCTATTAATTACTGCCTCAATTTCAGAACTTGCTATTAGTCTATTCAGGGATTCAACTTCTTCCTGGTTTAGTCCTGGGAGGGTGTATGTGTCCAGGAATATATCAAATTCTTCTATATTTTCTAGTTTATTTGCACAGAGGTGTTTATAGTATTCTCTAATGGTAGTTTGTGTTTCTGTGGGATCAGTGGTGATATCCCCTTTATCGTCTTTATTGTATCTATTTGATTCTTCTCTCTTTCCTTCTTTATTAGTAGTCTGGCTAGTGATCTATCTATTTTGTTAATCTTTTCAAGAAAATCAGCTACTGGATTCATTGATTTTTTTTTTTTTTTTGAGACGGAGTCTCACTGTGTCTCCCAGGCTGGAGTGCAGTGGTGTGATCTTGGCTCACTGCAAGCTCTGCCTCCTGGGTTAACACCATTCTCCTTCCTCAGCCTCCTGAGTAGCTGGGACTACAGGCACCCACCACCACGCCCAGCTAATTTTTTTGTATTTTCAGTACAGACGGGGTTTCACTGTGTTAGCCAGGATAGTCTCAATCTCCTGACCTCGTGATCTGCCCTCCTCAGCCTCCCAAAGTCCTGGGATTACAGGCATGAGCCACCGTGCCCAGCCAATTCATTGATTTTTTGAAGGGTTTTTCATGACTCTATCTCTTTCAGTTCTACTCTGTCTGATCTTAGTTATTTCTTGTCTTTGGCTAGCTTTTGAATTTGTTTGCTCTTGCTTCTCTAGTTCTTTTAATTGTGATGTTAGGGTGTCAATTTTAGACCTTTCCCACTTTCTGATGTGGGAATTTAGTACTATAAATTTTCCTGTAAATACTGCTTTAGCTCTGTCCCAGAGATTCTGGTACGTTGTGTCTTTGTTCTCATTGGTTTCAAAGAACTTATTTATTTTGGCCTTAATTTTGTTATTTATCCGGTAGTCATTCAGGAGCAAGTTGTTCAGTTTCCACGTAGTTGTGTGGTTTTAAGTGAGTTTCTTAATCCTGAGTTGTAATTTGATTGCACTATGGTCTGAGAGACTGTTTATTATGATTTCCATTCCTTAACATTTGCTGAGGAGTGTTTTACTTCCAACTATGTGGTTAATTTTAGAATAAGTGCTATGTGGTGCTGAGAAGAATGTATATTCTGTTGATTTGGGGTGGACGGTTCTGTAGATATCTATTAGGTCCACTTGTTCCAGAGCTGAATTCAAGTCCTGAATATCCTTGTTAATTTTCTGTCTCATTGATCTGTCTAATATTGACAGTGGGGTGTTAAAGTCTCCCACTATTATTGTATGGGAGTCTAAGTCTCTTTGTGGGTCTTTGAGAACTTTATGAATCTGGGTGCTCCTCTATTGAGTGCATATATATTTAGGATAGTTAACTCTTCTTGTTCTTCATATAGAACCAAAAAAGAGCTCCTATATCCAAGACAATCCTAAACAAAACAACAAAAACAAAACAAACAAACAAAATAAAATAGAGCTGGAGGCATCATGCTACCTGACTTCAAGCTAAACTACCAGGCTACAGTAACCAAAACAGCATGGTACTAGTACCAAAACAGATACATAGAACAAGGGAACAGAACAGAGGCCTCAGAAATAACACCACACATCTACAACTACCTGACCTTTGACAAACCTGACAAAAATAAGCAATGGGGAAAGGATTCCCTATTTAATAAATGGTGCTGGGAAAACTGGCTAGCTGTATGCAGAAAACTGAAACTGGACCCCTTCCTTACACCTTATACAAAAATTAAGATGGATTAAAGACTTAAATGTAAGACCTAAAACCATAAAAACCCTAGAAGAAAACCTAGGCAATATCACTCAGGACATAGGCATGGGCAAAGACTTCATGACTAAAACACTAAAAGCAATTGCAACAAAAGCCAAAATTGACATGTCTAATATCAAGAATCTACAAGGAACTTAAACAAATTTACAAGAAAAAAAACAAACAACCCCATCAAAAAGTGGGCAAAGGATATGAACTGATACTTCCCAAAAGAAGACATTTATGTGGCCAAGAATCATATGAAAAAACCTCATCATCACTGGTCATTAGAGAAATGCAAATCAAAACCACAATGAGATACCATCTCATACCAGTTAGAATGGTGATCATTAAAATGTCAGGAAACAACACATGCTGGAGAGGATGTGGAGAAAAAGGAATGCTTTTAGACTGTTGGTGGGAGTGTATATTAGTTCAACCATTATGGAAGACAGTGTGGCAATTCTTCAAGGATCTAGAACCAGAAATACCATTTGGCCCAGCAATTCCATTCCTGGGGTATATACCCAAAAGATTATAAATCATTCTACTATAAAGACACTTGCACACATATGTTTATTGCAGCACTATTCGCAATAGTAAAGACTTGGAACCAACGCAAATGCCAGTAATGATAGACTGGGTAAAGAAAATGTGGCCTGTATACATCATGAAATACTATACAGCCATAAAAAAGGATGAGTTCATGTCCTTTGTAGGGATATGAATGAAGCTGGGAACCATCATTCTCAGCAAACTATCACAGGAACAGAGAACCAAACACTGCATGTTCTCACTCATAAGTGAGAGTTGAACAATGAGAACACATGGACACAGGGATGGGAACGTCACACACCAGGGCCTGTCAGGGGGTGGGGGGCAAGGTGAGGGAGAGCATTAGGAGAAATACTTAATGTAGATGACGGGTTGATGGATACAGCAAAACACCATGACACATGTATACCTATGTAACAAACCTGGACATTCTGCACATGTATCACAGAACTTAAAGTATAATAATAAAAAAAGAGACTAAAGTGTTTTTCTACTGCCTGTTAATCTGTACTCAAAACAATGGTACACAATGTTAATATATTGTCGTGATGCTTTCCTCCATTTGTAGTTTCATGAGTCTGATTGAGACGTGAAGATTTTTTTTTCTCATATTACTGAGCGAATCTGACTTCCTCATTTTTAGGAGGAAACTGAAATATTTTTTACAATCCAGAATCTTCTTAAAGGAGAGGAGTTATACCTAACCACCTTGAGGTGGGTCCAATGGGCAGCTTTATTTTTGATGTTTAGCAACAACTTTAAGGAATGACCTGCAACAATTTATGAAGAATGAGTTTACATAGGAACTCTAAAAGCATTTTATGTTTTATTTGTGGTAATAAAATGTAATTTTTGTTTTTGAGAAACACATGCAGAGTCCTTGGTGAGACTTGATGGAGAAAAATTACGGTGGCCACAATTCATTCCCATCCTTTTCCCAAGAGGGGAAAAAAATCGTATTGTCATTGGTCCTTTACAAGGTGTCCTGCAATAGCCAATTATTAAATTATTTATTTTGAGAAATTTGTAGATAGATGTAGTTACAAGAAATAATTCACAAGAGATCTTGTATACCCTTTGCCAAGTTTCTCAAATGGTAACAGCTTGCATAATTATAATGCAATATAATATCAGAACCAGGAAATTAACACTAAATGATCTATTATTTAATAGTGCAGTTTTAGATGCACTCATTTATGTGAATTTAGTTCTATGCAATTTCATTGCATGCATAGGTTTGTATATCCATCACCACAGCCAAGATACAGAAGAGTTCCATCACCATAAGGATGCTTCTCTTTGCCCTTTTAACCACACTCACTTCCCTCTCACTCTCTTCCATACACCCCTTCTCTCTTCCCCATCTGACACCATCCCCTTTTTTTAATCTCTGTCAACCACTAGCTGTACTCTATTTCTGTAATTTTGTTATTTCAAGACCTATGTAAATGGAGGTCAGGTGAGGTAGTGCACGCCTGTAATCCCAGCACTCGGAGAGGCCAAGGTGGGCAGATCACCTGAGGTCAGCAGTTCGAGACCAGCCTGGCAAACAAGGTGAAACTCCATCTGTACAAAAAATACCATAAATTAGCCAGGCATGGTGGCTCAGGCCTGTAATCCCAGCTACTCAGGAGGCTGAGGTGGGAGAATCGCTTGAACCCAGGAGGTGGAGGTTGCAGTGAGCCAAGATCATGCCACTGCACTCCAGCCTGGGTGACAGAGCGAGACTGTCTCAAAACGAAACAAAACAGCAACAACAGCAAACACCTATATAAATGGAATCAAATCATACAATATGTAACCTTTTGAGATATGCTTTTCTCACTTAGCATAATTTCCTTAAGACCGTCCAAATCACTGCTTATATCAATAGTTTATTTCCTCTTTATTAATGAATAGCATTCCATGGTATGGATGTACCATAGTTTGTTCACCTATCAACCCATTAAAGGACACTTAACTTGTTTCTAGTTTTAGGTTATGCTATAAATATTCATGTTCCTTCTGTTTGTTATTCTCCTATTTCTCCTTTCTTGTATTCCTGTGAATTATCTGAACATTTTTAGGCATACTTCTTGATTTACTTATATTGTTTTCGAGTATATCACTATATGTAGTATTCTTAGTGGTTGCTCTAGGTGTTGCAATGTACGTGTCTTTGTTTTCTGTTGCTATAACAGAATATTACAGAATGGATAATTTGTAAAGAACAGAAGTTTATTTGGCTCCTGGTTTTGGAGGCTGAGAAGTCCAAGGGCATGGTGTTGGCATCTGGTGAGGGCCTTCTTGCTACTTTATAATGTGGCAGAGAGCATCATACAGTGAGAGGGCATGAGTATGTTAGCTTAGGTCTCTTTTTATCTGGAGGCTGGAGTGCAGTGGTGTGATCTCAGTTTACTGCAGCCTCCGCCTCCAGGTTCAAGCAATTCTTGTGCCTCAGCCTCCTGAGTAGCTGGGATTACAGGCGTGTGACACCACATCCAGCTAATGTTTGTATTTTTAGTAGAGATGGGGTTTTGCCATGTTGGCCAGGCTGGTCTCAAACCCCTGAGATCAAGTGATCCACCCTCCTCAGCCTCTCAAATTATCTTTTTATCTTCTTATAGTCATCACTTCCACCATAGGGATCTCACTCAGATGATCTTACCTGATCCTAATTAAATCCCAAAGGCCCCATCTCCAAATATCATCAACATATGAATCTGGGAACTAAGTTTCCAAAACATGAAATTTGGGGGACATGTGGAAACCATAGCAATACACATGTAACTTATCACAGTATACTGGTATCAAAGTTTTTATCACTTTATTTTTATTTAGGTTTTTTTGCCCTCCACACATTTAAAATATAATTTCCTTAAATATTTCCTCCAAATACATTGAGCACCACTTTAGATAATGTTAAAAATTCCACTTCACCTATCAAATATGATTTAAAAAGCTCATGAGAAGAATATTCTATTATATTTAACTCTATTTCTTTTCCTTTCTGGTTTTCTTCTTTCCTTTCTGAAGTCCCGTGCTTTCTTTTGTATTCATTTTCTTTCTGTTGTATTCATTTTCTTTCTGTTGAGAGAACTTCCTTTACCCACTCATTAAGAATAGGTTTGCTGGTGATAAATTCTCTTCATTTTTTCCCCATGGGACAATGTTTTTATTTCCTCTTTATTCCTAAAGAATATTTTCCCTGGATGTAAAACTTATGATTGAAGCTCCTCTGGCCTTTATGGCTTCAGATTGGCAATTCTTTATTAGTTATGTGTTACTTTTCTCTGTCTGCTTTAAATATTTTTTTTTTCTGACAGATTTCAGAAGTTTAAGATGTTTCTTGGCATTGCTTTCTTTCAAGTCTTACTGGGGGATCACTTAGCATCTTCAATCTGAAGTTGTCTGTCTTTTGTTAAATTTGGGACTTTTCAGCCGTTAATTCTTTGAATACCCTTTCAGATCCACCCTTTTTTCCCTATCCTTCTTTGCCTCCAATGATATGTTAGCTCTTCGGTTTTGTCCTGCAAGTTCCTAAAACTGTTTATTTCTTTTTTCAGTCACTTTATCTCTGTTATTCAGATGGGGTAAATTTTATTGACTTATCCTCAGGTCTACTGACTTTGTTCTATGTCGTCTTCCCTCTACTATTAAAGCCATGCAAAAATATTTGAAGAATGATTTTTGCTATTGTATTATATTTTTCCATTCAATAATTTCCACTTGGTTCTTTATAACTTCTATTTCTTTACACAGATTTTTCCATGTTTCCATTTGTTTCCAGAGAATATGTGTTTGCTTGTTGAAACATTATAATGATAGATGCTTTTAAAGTTCTTTTCAAATAATCCTAACATCAGATTGATCTTGGTATTGGCATCAGTTGATCGTCTTTTCTTATTCAAGTTTTAATTATCTTGATTATTGGTATAATGAGTAATTTTTATTGTATCTTGAACATTTTGGATATTATATGATGAAACACTGAATCATATTTAATATGCTTTTTGAACAGGTCATCTCCTTGGTGAAGTGTAGCCTCACCAGCTTGAGAGCCAGGCAGGTATTAGCTTCCTGCTAGGTCTTGCTGATATCACTATGACAAACGGAGCATAGGCTTATACTGCCTCAATGCAGATAGTGGTGTTGTTGAAGTTTAGCTTCTCCCATACTTCCTCTGAAACATTTCTGGTGTTAGTGGGACAGTGAATTCCCCTGCCTGGTTGCCTTTTAGTGGGGGTGTATACTTAACTCACTACTGGGCCTTGCTGACAACCTGGGAGAATGAAAACAGAGGCGTGGTTCACATTGCTTTGTTGTTTCAGGGTAGGGATGGAAGCTCAACAGCCTGCTTGGCCCTGCTCCCACCAGGAGTATGTATGGAGGAAGAGCTGATTAGTCTTGCTTTGCTCCACCTCATTCTTCCTTATTGATGTTGATTGTGAGTGGAAGCTCAGCATTCCACTGCGGACCATCCCAACCCTGGTACACACTGTGAAGTAGGTTCACTGAGTACTGGTTTACCACCTTGTCTTAGTCTGATGAGAAAGAACACACTCATGCACAGCAAACTACATGAGGCAGATTTATAACTCACAGATAGGCAGCAAGGTACAACAGAAGCCTCCGATTCATTGCGAACTAGTGCCCCAAGGCTCAGGAAAGCTGGCAAGGAAGATGAAATCTCAATTATTGGGGCCTTACTTGCACCACAGCTGAGGGACCTTAGAAAGCAGCCTGGTTTGATTTTTATACCCCATAGCAACAGGAGTCACTGGGATAAAGAATTTCAATGCACAGCCTATTCTGGGGAAGACTAAAACAGAGCCTGGATGATTCCAGCCAATTCCCCCTTATCTCAGGATATTGCATTCACAGCACATTCCATAGTTATTCTTGAGGACAACTACAAGCAAGAGAGGGAGGAGAACTGGGTCACTTCAGGGACACATGGAGAATTGTCAGGGAGGGAGGTAAAAGGAGAGTACCAATGAGCCCCACTTCACACTACCTCATTCATTCTCACTGATGGCAAGTCAGGGAGAGACTCAGAAGGCCCTAATGCCACCAGGAGAGGGTAAAGCGTAGTGGTGATTAGCCCGACCTCTTAGTTCTTTATCAATTCTCATTGCTGCCAGGTAAGGGTAGAGGCTTAGTTTGCTGCTGGAACCTGCTGACATTATCCTGGTGAGGGAATCTGAGCAACACCTGCTTCTTTTAGGCAGGGAATGGAATAATAGCTCCCTGCTCAGCCCTGCCAGCACCAACAGGCAAGGGAATGAGAGTGCCACTGTCTGCTTCTATGGGGCAGGGGCACAGGCAGTGGATTAGCTTCTCACTCTGCTCTGTTGAAACTGCAGTGGAGGAGAGTTGCTGTATTTTTTTCTATTGGTGTTTGGAAGGAGTAGGATGGATGTTTTAGTTCATTTTGTGCTGCTGTAACAGAATGCCACAGACTGGGTAATTTATAAACAATGTAAGTTTATTTGGCTCATGATTCTGGAAGTTGAGATGTCCAAGATCAAGGGAACACAGAATGGTGAATTACTACTTGCTGCATCATAAAATGGCAGAAGTCATCATGTGGGCAAGAGAGAGAGCACATGAGCGAGTAAGAGACTGAACTTGAAGCTTGAAGCCCTTTTATAATTGGCATTAATCCATTCATGAGGGTGGAGCCATTGTGACCTAAACACCTTCCATTAGGCCCTGCCTCTCAACACTGTTTCATTGGAGATTAAGTTTCCAATTAAGTTTTGGGGACAACATATTCAAAGCATAGCAACGGATATTGCCAAAAAGGCTTTCTACATTAGACCACTCTTTGTTAAGGTCATTTGGCTGGGGGAAAATAGGCTTTTCTTGGACTAGTTTTATCTGTGCCAGTTGGCAGTTCTAGGTCATGGACTTCTGTAGCACCATGGCCAGGATATGTGGGAGTCAATAAGGAAACCCAGGAAACATATTGCCATGTTGCTCCTTGACTTGAGATCACTAGGTAGTTCGCTTTCTTCTTCTCATGTTTCAGTCTTCTTACTCTTACTTTTATATTGTGTCCAAGGTTTTTGCGTTTTAAGAAAGAAGACCTTTTTTGAGTTGTAAGAAAAAAGACCTGGAAGAAATGAGGTTGCTCCATCTTGCCCAGAAATGGAAGTTTTCATTCATGACATTTTTATCAAAAGAAAGGAAGGTCTGAACATGTTGGGGGATGTTTGATACTACAGTTTTTGCATGAATCAGTAACTGGGTCAAGGGAAGCTTTGCCTCTTCAACTTGAAATGCTGATCTTTATAGGAATTTTTGCTACTGCAAGAAATCTTATATAAGTGAGCAAGCCTTCCATAACCAGAGAATATACTCAAAGCTAGTCCCTGCTCCTCTCAATATCCCTTTGTGATCCGGTTTATATTTTCCTGTGCAATAAAGACCCACTGTATCATCTTTATATCACAAGCAGGTGAAGTCCCTACTAGGTTGAGTGCCTATGAAAAAAAATTGTGTCTTACCAATGCATTTGATTAAACCTGTATTAGCTCTTATTATTTATGTGGGTGTACCAATCTGAAACCAAATCTAATTTCCCAGTAATAAATGGATTAATAATGCTTGCACTGCACATCTTTGTGACTCTGAAGTTGATAACAAGCTTTTATCATAGCTGATGCAGCTGAACAATATCCTAGAAACCAGAAAATGTAGACCCTTTTATTACAGGGCCTGGCTTTCTTGATACAACTCTACATAGATGTTTAATTCTCTGAGAAAGAATCATACCCCAACCCTGGCTGATTTTATGCACGTTGAGTCTGCAGTTCAATAACACTGAGGCTGAAATATTAGGTTGGTGCAAAAGTAATTGCAGTTTTTGCACATAAATATATAACATAATTTTATGTCCTATTAAAGTCATTGACAAAATAGGATAAGGGTCAGATAATTATATAAAAACTGTTGGGAGTGGGGAGGAAAATAGCCACACAAAGGTTTGGAGAAAGAAATTTTCAGGCAGGCCAGGTGCAGTGGCTCATGCCTATAATTCCGGAATTTTGGGAGGCCAAGGCAGATGGATTGCTTGAACTCAGGAGTTCAAAATCAGCCATGAAAACATGGCAAGACCCCATCTCTACCAAAAATACAAAAATAGCCAGGTGTGGTGGCACATACCTGTGGTCCCAGCTACTCAGGAGGCTGAGGTAGGAGGATCGCTGGATCCTGGGATGTCGAGGCTTCAGTGAGCCATGATTGTGCCACTGCACTCTCCAGCCTGGGTGACAGAGTGACACCCTGTCTCAAAAAAAAAAAAAAGGAAGAAATTACGAAAAAAATTTCAGGCAGAGAAACAGCAGTGCAAAGGCCTGATGGGAGAATAAAGTTGTGTTTAAGATATACCGAGAAGGGCAGTGTGACTGTGTGAAGTAAATAAGGAAAGTGGTAAGAGATTAGAGTGGAATAGAAGAAGGGGGCCTTATAGGCTATAGATTTGAAGAATACAGTGGAACATTTTGGCCAAGACGTGGTCAAGACATGCTATGATTTGCGTTTCCAAATGATGTTCTTTTACCTCATGAGAAACAGACTGGAGGAGGCAAGGAGAGAAGGAGGCTATGACAGTCATCATGACACAAGTGTGTGGCTTGGATTAAATTAGCTACAGTAGAAAGGGAGAGAAGGTGTAAACTCAAGTAGGCTTACATTGTTGATGGATTATATAACGAATATGACATTATGAGAAAAATGAAGGATGATCTAGGTTTTTGCTTATTGATAGCAGGTTATAAATTGGGTTATAAATTGGATTATAAATATTATAGGATCTTGAAAAATCAATCCAACATGGCTGTAGACAGTACACTTGCTGAGGCATAGGAAATGAAAAGTTATTGTACTCACAGGTTCTAGAGGGAGAGGAATGGTCACCATTCAGGTTCAACCAAGTAGGTGGGGAGCAGAGAGAGGGAAAGGACCCCTGGGCAAGTGTCTTTGTTGGGGATCAGGGATGAGGGGATTTCACTGGTGTGTTTGAATGTCAGTAGGTGACAGTGAGTGGAGGAAAAGAAGTGTGCCTGGATGCCTGGGCAGGGTGTTCACAGCCTGTTTGTGGGGATGTTGAAGCATTTGGAAAATATGAAGTTTAAAAAATGTACAATACAGACAAGTATTTTAGCAGACATCTATTAGCACATATTCATGTTCTTTTCTGGTACATGACTCTTATGGACCCCATTATTTTTCCACCTTGGCTTATTCAGTTACTTTGTAGATCCAGCCCTTCCCTTGTCTAGCAAAGAAAGACCCTCCATTAGAGCCTCCAGAAGGGAACACAGCCCTGTCAGCCACTTAATTCTAGCATGTGAGGTCCATTTTAGACATCTGACTTTGAGAACAGTGATATTACCACTAATTTAATAGTAACTCATTAATAGCAGCAATAGGAAATTTACTATAGTCACAAGGCTGACATTGTATTTCCATTCATCTATCACCTGTGTCATTTTCCAATTAAACCATGTAAGAATAAAAAGGGCATTATATATTATTAACTTCCTAAAACACCATCATTACTATATTTATAGTTTGGGGATAAGTTGCAGGGTGAAATACAAAAGTGAGAAAATATCTCGTGATATAAAGGAGTTGTGGTCATCTCACAGCACTAGAAAAGGGGAATCTCAGGGGAGACATTTAGTATACATCTCAATCTGGGCTTCAAGTATTTTCCTTTCCTTATTTACCCATTACTTTATTTTATTCATTGATTTTAAATTTATATTCTATTTTTTGCATATATAACACAATATGTGTGTATTCATCTGTTCTCACACTGCTATAAAGAACTAACAGAGACTGGGTAATTTGTGAAAAAAAGATTTAATTGATTCAAATTTACTCAGGCTGTACAGGAAGTATAGCTGGGGAGGCCTCAGAAAACTTAATATTACAGTGGAAGGGTGAAGGGGAGCAAGCACATCTTCACATGGAGACAGGAGAGAGAGAGGGCAAAGGGGGAGGTGCTACACACATTTAAGCAATCAGATCTTGTGAGAACTCTTTATTATGAGAACAGAACGGGGGAAATCCGCCCCATGATCCAGTCATCTCCCACCAGGTCCCTCTCCTAACATTAAGAATTACAATATGACATGAGATTTAGGTGGGGAAATAGAGCCAAATCATATCTTCTGCCCCGTTCCCTTCCAAATCTCATGTCCTTCTCACATTTCAAAACATAATCATGCCTTCCCAATAGTCCCACAAAGTCTTAACTCATCCCAACATTAACTCAAAAGTTCCAGTCCAAAGTCTCATCTGAGACAAACAAGTCCCTTCCATCTATGAGCCTGTTATCAAAAACAAGTTAGTTACTTTCAAGACACAATGGGGGTACAGGCATTGGATAAATGCTTCCATTCCAAAAGGGAGAAATTGGCCAAAACAATGGGGCTACAGGGCCCATGTAAGTTTGAGACCTAACAAGGCAGTCATTAAATCTTAAAGCTCTAAAATAGTCTCCTTTGACTCCATGTCTCACATTCAGGGCACACTGATGCAAGGGATGGACTTCCAAGTCTTTGCACAGCTCTGCCTCTGTGGCCCTTCAGGGTACAGGTCCCACAGCTGCTTTTACAGCCTGGTGTTGAGTGCCTGCAGCTTTTCCAGGCACACGACACAAGTTGTTGCTGGATCTGTCATTCTGGGATCTGGAAGATGGTAGCCCTTTTTTCACAGCACCATTAGGCGGTGCCCCAGTGAAGACTGTCTGTGGGGCTGCAACCCCTCTGCACTGCTCAAGTAGAGGTTCTCCACGAGGGCTGCATCTCTGCAGCAGACTTCTGCCTAGACATCCGGGCATTTCCATACATCCTCTGAAATATAGGCAAAGGCTCCCAAAGCTCAACTCTTGCTTTTGTGCCCCTGCAGGCACAAGCCTTGGAAGCTTGCCAAGGCTTGGGGCTTTCACCCTCAGAAGCAATGGCTCAAGCTGTACCTTGGCCCCTTTTAGCCACTCCTGGAGCTGGAGTAGCTGGGATGCAGGGTGCCATGTCCCAAGGCTGGACAGAACAGTGGGGCCCTGGGCCTGGCCCATGAACCCATTTTTTCCTCCTAGGCCTTCAGGCCTGTAATGGGAGGGGCTGCCATGAAGGTCTCTGAAATGCCCTGGAGGCATTTTCCCCATTGTCTTGGCTATTAAGATTAGGCTTTTCTTTACTTATGCAAATTTCTGCAGCCTTGAATTCCTCCCTAGAAAATTTTTTTTTCTTTTGTACCACATGGTTGGGCTGCAAGCTTTCCAAACTTTTATGCTGTGCTTCCCTTTTAAATATATGTTCTCTAGTGTCATTTCTTTGTTTATGCAAATTAGCATAGGCTTTTAGAAGCAGCCAGGCCACATCTTGAATGCTTTGCTGCTTAGAAATTTTTTTCTGCCAGATATCCTAAATCATCTCTCTCAAGCTTAAAGTTCCACAAATCCCTAGAGCAAGGGAATAATGCCCCCAGTCTCTATGCTGAAGCATAGTAAGATGACCTTTATTCCAGTTCCCAATAAGTTTCTTATCTCCATCTGAAACCACCTCAGGCTGGACTTCATTGTCTATGTCACTATCAGCATTTTGGTCACAACCATTCAATATATCTCTAGGACATTCCAAACTTTCCCACATCTTCCTGTCTTCATCTGAGTGCTCTAAACTGTTCCCACCTCTGCCCATTACCCAATTCCAAAGTCACTTCCACATTTTCAGGTATCTTTATAGCAATGCCTCACTTCTTTGGTATCAATTTTCTGTATTAGTTCTCACACTGCTATAAAGAAGTACTTGAGACTGGATAATTTATGAATAAAAGAGGTTTAATTGACTTACAGTTCTGCAGGCTGTATGGGAAGCATGACTGGGGAGCCCTCACGAAACTTAAAATCATGACAGAAGGGTGAAGAGGAAGCAAGTATATCTGCTCATGGCAGCAGGAGAGAGAGTGAAGGGGGAAGTGCCACATACTTCTAAACAACCAGATCTTATGAGAACTCACTTACTATCATGAGCACAGCAGGGGGAAATCTGTCCACATGATCCAATCACCTACCACCAGGCCCCTCCCCCAACATTAAGAATTGCAATTCAACATGAGAGTCGGGTGGTAACACAGAGCCAGGCCATATCAATGTGTAAACAAATCTCTTTAGCAACAGGTGTGATATATAGAAAACACACAAATAGAATCAGCTGAAAGTAAACAGGAGTGAAATAAAGGATGTAAAGCCTAGAAAAAAACTAGACATGAGGGAGTATTGCCAGGGACCCAGACGTGAGGGACTATTGCCAGGGGACATTGGAAAGGGTGTATGTGTGTGTGTGTTTGTGTGTGTGTGTGTGTATGCGTGTTGGTGGATTATTAGCTATTTACTGTGTGACAATTCTTTCTTCACTGTAAAATATGAATTCAATAAATAAACTGCCACTAGTATTCCCAGAGAATGGTACTGTTAGGCATGGGCTGTTCCCTTCTTTCTGAGATGCTCATGTATGTTACAAGAGATGAAATAAATAAAAACTTAAGGTAGTCTGCAGAAGTTTTGTTTCTTATTGTCATAATGAATTTGTCATCCTTAAACTAATTTTCTACCTCTGGATGCAATCTGTATCCATGTCTATTGACATACTTTTTACAATGGATCTCCCACTTATTTTCTTTTTTATTTCTACCACTATGCATGTCCAAGCTCATGTTGTTGAACTATTATTATTTTGAAATATAGTCGTGTGCTACATAATGACATTATAGTCAACAATGGACCACACATATGAAGGTGGTCCCATAAGATTATAATGGAACTAAAAGATTCCTATTGCCTAACTTTTAGTATACTATGCTTTTTTATGATTACTTTAGAGTGTACTCCTTCTACTTATCAAAAAAAAAGTTAACTGTAAAACAGCCTCAGGCAGGTTCATCAGGAGCTATTCCAGAAGAAGGCATTGTTATCACAGGAGGTGACAGCTCCATGTGTATTATTGCCCCTGAAAACCTTCCAGTGGGACAAGATGTGAAGGAGAAAGACAGTGATATTGATGATTCTGACCCTGTGCAGGCCTAGGCTGATGTGTGTGTTTGTGTCTTAGTTTTTAATAAAAAAGTTTAAAAATTAAAAAAATAGAAAAAAGGTGATAGAATAATGATATATAGAAAGAAAATATGTACAGGTGTACAACCTGGGTGTGTGTTTTAAGTGTTATTACAAAAGTGTCAGAAATTTTTAAAAATTAAGAGTTTATAAAGTAAAAAAGTTACAGTAAACCAAGGTTAATTTAATAATGAAGGAATAAAAAATTTTTTTATAAATTTAGTGTAGCCCAAATGTACAGTGTTTATAAAGTTTACAGTGATGTACGGTAATGAGCTAGACCTTCATATTCACTCACCACTCACTCATGAACTTACCGAGAACAACATACAGTGCTGCAAGCTCCACTCACGGTAAGTGCCCTATATAGGTGTACCATTAGTATGTTTAGATATGGTTAAATACATAAATAGCATTGTGTTACAATTGCCTACAGTACTGAGTACAGTAACACCCCTGTGTATGTTGGTAGCCTAGGAGGTTAGGCTAGGTATGTAGTAGACTAGGTTTGTGTAAGTACACTCTATGATGTTTACACAAGGATGACACATTTCTTAAATGTATCCTGTTGCTAAGTAAGGCATAGTCATAGTTGTATTTAGTTTTGGCTTTATCAATCGTTTTTCTTTTTTATGTGTCAATAAATTTTTAATCTTAATTATCTCCTTAATTTACTTTCTTAGAAAATAGTCTTCTTTTAACTTTTTTTCTTGGTTCTTTTAATTCCCTTAGCTAAGTTGGATGCTTATCTCACTAATTTTCATTCTAACTTCTTTCCAATAAAAGTATTTAAGATATAAATTTTTCTAATCATAATTTTGGATGCATTCCATACATTTTAATAAATATTTTAAGGTTATTTCAAGTATTTTGACTAATTAACTTTTGCCTCTTTAGTTATTTAGAAGTAGTCTTATTAACTGCCAGACATAAGCCATTTTATTTTGATTTTCTTATTTATCTTTCATTACTGATCATGTCGTCAGAGAACGTAGTTCCTAAGACACTTATTCTTTGAATTTTGTAGTTTTGTGACTTAATACATGGTTAGTTTTCATAAACATTTCTTATATGCATGAGAAGATTGTATATGTATATTCTCAAATTATTACATGTACTAGCAATCAGAGAAAGGTTCCTAATTGCATTATTCAAATTTTCTCTAACCTTATTAATTTTTGATACTTAAGAAGTGAAGAAATATGAAGATGGTCATATCACAATGAAGTACTATTTCTTGCATCTCATTAAAACCTTGAGGGTAATTCATTGTGCTAATTCTCTACATAGCACTGTCCATGCACGGGAGCTCTCCATCATGCTTTTATTTTTTACTGGACATCAGATTCCATTCAGCAGATAGTTTTTTAATACAAAGTGTTGGTTTCTACACTCATCAAGACTTTTGAGCTGATGGAGAATAATTTTTAGTGACTCTCAAGACTAATTAATCACCCCAAGATTTTCTCTACCTTGCTCTGATCTTTATCACATTTAAAAATCAAATTTGAAAAAAAAAAAGGGGAGAATGGATAAAACGGAGAGGAAGAGGAAGAAGGAGAATCAGGAGAAGTGACAAGAGAAAGAAACGTGACTGGGAGTCTAAGGGAGTGGCTGGGCTATGTCCTTGAAGTAGTTAGTAGCTGGGGCACATGCCAGACTGCAGGTGTATGTGCATATACTTTCAACCTTTGCCTTCAGTGTTCCAGACATATATTTTTCTAGGGGCTTTGACTTTAAAAAATGGGATTCTGTGATAAGCTACCTACTCTTCTTTTGTTTTCTAAAGCTGTAACAAAACACAAAGCTCTGTGAGGAAACAAAACCTACAGCAGTGTGACAGCTGGCACAGAGAGGGTGCTGCCATCAATTCAGTTCCAGGAATAAGTGTAGCTCTACCTGCCTCTCTAGAGCTTCTCAGAACACATGTGAGGACTCATTCCACACGTCTTGTGACTACTGCCAGCTGTTGGACTGTGAAAGGGAAAACCACAGGCACAGGATGGTTTGGTGCCTGCATATAGATGAAATAGTGAGAAAAATGAGTATGTCATTTTGATGTCAGGGTGATGCTGGCTTCATAGAGTGATTTAAGGAGTAACCCATGCCCGTGTGGCTTCACAGTTGAATTTGATCAGAAATATAAAGAGCTATAACACTATTACCAATTCTACTAAAATTATTCCAAAAAATAATTTTTTAATTGGTAGGTTTTTTATTACTGATTCAATTTTGGAAATTTATATTGGTCTATTCAGGTTTTTTGTTTCTCCCTGATTCAATCTTGGGAGATTGTGAAGATGGCTGAATAGGAATAGCTTCAGTCTGCAGCTCCCAGCGTGAGTGACACAGAAGACAGTTGATTTCTGCGTTTCCAACTGAGGTACCAGATTCATCTCACTGGGGCTTGTCAGACAGTTGGTGGAGCCCATGGAGCAGGGTGGGGCATCGCCTCAGCCAGGAAGCACAAGGGGTCAGGAAATTCCCTTTCCTAGCAAAGGGAAGCCGTGACAGATGGTACTGGAAAATTGGGACACTCCCACCATAATACTGTGCTTTTCCAATGGCCTTAACAAATGGCACACCGGGAGATTATATCCCATGCCTGGCTCAGAGGGTCCCATGCCCACAGAGGCCTGCTCACTGCTAGCACAGCAGTCTGAGATTGAACTGCAAGGCGGCAGTGAGGCTGGGGAGGGGCGTCCGCCATTGCTGAGACTTGAGTAGGTAAACAAAGCGGCTGGGGAAGCTCGAACTGGGTGGAGCCCACCACAGCTCTGTTATAAATTGTTATAGTGCCTTTCTGTGTCATTTTTTACTGCTCTTTGTTTAAAATCTGTTTTATCTGATAGAAGACTAGCGACCCCTGCTCTTTTTTGCTTTCCTTTTGCATGGAGAATCTTTCTCCAACCCTTTACTTTGAGCTTACTGGTGTCATTACACATGAAATCAGTCTCTTAAAAACAGCAGACAAATGGGTCTTGTTGTTAATCCAGCTTGACAGTGTGTGCCTTTTAAGTGGGACATTTAGACCACTTTCATTCAAAGTTAATATTGACATGTGAGGTTTTGATTCTATTATGAAGTTGTTAATTGGTTGTTTTGTAGTTTCTATTATGTGGTTGCTTTATGTGTTCACTGTGTACTTAAGTGTGTTTTTGGGATAGCATGTATCATTCTTTTGTTTCCATGTTTAGAACTCCTTTAAGGATCTCTTCTAAGGCTGGTCTAGTGATGACACATTCCCTTTGTTCTTACTTGTCTGGAAAATATTTCTTCTTCATGTATGGAGTTTAATTTGGCAGGATATAAAATCTTTGGTTGGAATTTGTTGTTTTTAAGAATGGTGAAAATAGGCCTGTGGTCTTTCCTGGATTGTAAGTTTCTGTTGAGAAATCCACTGTTAGCCTGATGTGGTTCTTTTTGTAAGTGACCTGTCCCTTCTCTGTAGCTGCCTTTAAGATATTTTCTTTACTGTTGACCTTGGATGGTCTGGTGAGTATACCTTGGTGATTTTCATTTTGTATAGGTATTTTTGTACAGGTGTTCTTTCTATTTCTTGTATCTGGATGTTTACCTATCTAGCAAGATTAGGGAAATTATTTTTGTTTTTTTTGAGACAGAGTCTTGCTCTGTCACCCAGGCTGCAGTGCAGTGGCGTGATCCCAGCTCACTGCAAGCTCCACTTCCCGGGTTCACGCCATTCTCATGCTTCAGCCTCCCAAGTAGCTGGGACTACAGGTGCCCACCACCATGCCCAGCTAATTTTTTTTGGTATTTTTAGTAGAGACAGGGTTTCATCTTGTTAGCCAGGATGGTCTCGATCTCCTGACCTCATGAGGCTGCCCGCCTTGGCCTCTGAAAGTGCTGGGTTTACAGGCATGAGCCACCGCACCCAGCTGGGAAATTTTTTTGAATTATTCCTTCAAATATGTTATTCATGCTGTTTACTTTTTTTCTCCTTCTCTCTCAGAAATGCCAAAATGTGTAGGTTTGGTTGGTTTACATAGTCCCATATTATGTGTGGGATCCCAAAGTCTCAAAGACTTTGTTCATTTTTAAAAATTATTTTACCTTAATTTTTTTGACTCAATCAGTTTGAACAAACAATCTTCAAGCTGTGATATTATTTCTTCCTTTTGATCTATTCTATTAATAAAGCTTTAAAGCTTCCAATTGTATTTTGAAATTCCGTAAGTGAGGTTTTCAATTCCAGTGGCTCTGATTGATTTTTTAAAAATATGTTAATGTTTTCCTTTGTTTACTGGGTTGCTATAGAGGTTTTTTTTTTGTGTGTGTTGATTTTTATCTTTGTCTTGGATCTCGTTAAGGTTCCTTGCAATCCATGCTTTCAGTTCTTAAATTGTCATTTCTTAATTTCCATTTTGTCTAGTGACCATTGCTAGAGGGCTAGTGCAATTCTTTGGTGGTGTTACTACAATCAGATTTTCGTGATGCCAGAATTCTTGCACTGGGTTTTTTCATCTGGAGATGCTGGCACTTCCAATATTTGTAATTATTTTGTGTAGGTGGGATTTTTTGTGTTTTATTTCTTTTCCTATAATATTATTGCGTTTTCTTCTTTCCTTTTCTCTTCCCTATCTCCCTAGGGGGTGTGACTGTAGAGAATGCTGAATAGGGTCTTTTGGGTTTGCTTCTATAGTCTTATTTACTTCCTTCAGCAGGTTTTATATTAGACTGTGCATTTCTGCCTACAAGATATTAGATGGTGCTTATAGAAAAGAGCCAGCTGCAGCCAACACAGCTTTGTATATACTTGATCCTTATTTTCTGGTAGAGGCTCTCTTTGCCTCAGGCAAAGGGCTGATTCATGAAATGCACAGTTATCTGAGTTCCCTGCTCAGCCCTGGAGGCAGGGGGCAGGGGCTACAATAGATGGGGACAGACTAGGCAGGCTCACCTACTTATCCCCCAATGTCTGGCACACCGCCAATGCCAAGAGAGAATCCAGTGGGTGGCCAGCAGGTGCCCAGAGGTGTGCCTAGGCATGGAGCTGGGAAATCTCCTTGGCCCCAAGTTTTCTGCTTGGGGATGGAGGGTGGCTTAAGCTCCTATTTGAGGAAAGTAGGTTCTCTGGGTACCTGGAGATCTACCTGGATGTGGAGCAGAGAGGACCTCCCCTGCACCAGGTTGTCTGTATAGGAAGGATGGGGCAGCTTGGGATGGTAATACAGGTGAATTGGTGTTCTGAATTCCTGGAGATCTTCCTGGGGACAGAGTGGGGAGATGCTCACTGCATCATAATCTATGTCCAGGAACAGTGGGGTGGTTCAGGCTACTGAACCAGGTGAGTGGGTGCTCTGAATGTCTGGAGATTTGCCTGGGCATGAAGCAAAGAGGGCCTCCATGCACCAGGATCTCTGTACAGGAAGGACTGGGCAGGTCAGGCTGCTGATCCAGGTAAGCATCGTCCTCTGAGTGCCTGGAGATCTGCTTGGTTTGAAGCAAGGAGTGCCCCCCTCTACAAAGATCTCTGCACAGGAGGGGTGAGGCAACTTGGGCTGCTGAATCAGGCAAGCAGATGCTCTGACTACCTGGAGCTTTGCCTAGGCATGGAGCAGAGAGCCATGCTAGACCACAATTTATGCCCAGGAAGTGTGGGGCAGCTCAGGCTGCTGAAGCAGGTGAATGGGTACCCTGCATGCATGGACATCTGTATGGGCATGGAGTGGAGAGGGCCTGACTGGACCACAATCTGTGTCTATGAAGGATAGGGTGGCTCAGGCTATTCGTCCAATCAAATAGATGCTCCAAGTGCCTGAAATTCTGCCTGGGAGTGGAGTGGTATGGACCCCATTGCATCATGATCTCAGGATAGCAGGCTGGGGCACCAAGAAATGGCACATGCAGACTGATTCCAGATTACTAAACTTGACCTGGCTGCAAATCTCACTGTCCAGGAGAAACTGCAGCTTTAGAAGTACTCCTCTTTCCCCAGGATTGCAACAGGGTAGAACACAATTCCAACACCTACTGCTGAGATGCTTTCCACAGTTCTGGCTGTGGAGGCCCCTACCCAACTCCAGGCCAGGCACTCCAGTCTCCAGCTTGAGACTAAAATGCCTGTGTGGCAACACTGCCAGGTCACCCCAGAATCTATAACAGTTTCTGACTGAAAATCTATGTTGTCTGATATTAGTATAGCCAAACCAAATCTCTTTTATTTGCTGTTTGCATAGAATATCTTTTCCCATCATTTTACTTCCAGCCTCTTTGTGCTTTGGGATCTAAAAGGAGTCTTTTCAGACAGTATATATTCGATTATGTTTATTTTTTTAATCTATTCTGCCAATGTCTACCTTTGGATTGGAGTGTTTAAACCATTTACATTTAAAGTAATTGCTAATATGGATTTTTAGTCTTATACTATTATTGTTCCTCATTTTCTCAATTGCCACTTCCTTTCATTTCCATTGATTTTTATGTCTTATCATTTTGATCCCTTCTCATTTTCTAACGTTATTGAAATATATCTTCCATTTTAAAAAATAAATTTGAATGTATATATGTAAGGTATACAACATGATGTTTTAAGATATAGCTATAGATAGTAAAATTATTACCATAGTGATGCAAATTAATTTGTTCATGTTACCTAGTTACCCATTATTTTTCTTTCCTTGATATATAATATTTTACATATTTATGGGGTATATGTGAGTGTTTGTTGCAGGGATAGAATATGTAATGGTCCCATTGTTACTGCAATACCAAGGGTTTGGTCTAGGCCCTACTGCTCACTGCACAGAAAGCCAATCACTGAGATGATGAGTACTGCCAAGGAAGAAGGCTTTAACTTGGTGCTGCAGCCAAGGAGATGGGAGCTCAGTCTCCAATTCATCTCCCTGACTGACTAACTATGGGTTTATATAGCAGGGAAGAAATGTAACCATGCATAAGAAAACAGGAACTAAGGAGGGGCAAGGAAGCCATCATCATGAATGAGAAGTCTGACAACTGGTGCTGTGATCTGGTGAGTTTCAGTCCTTTGATACTTTTCTGAGGCAAATTTCAGTTCTTTGATACTTTTCTGAGAGGCCTGAAGATCCTGTCCAAAGGAAGGAACTCAGATAAAACAAATATAAGCTTCAAGCTTTAAGAGCAGAAGGATCAATTTCTACGTTTATCAAAAAGAACAGTATATGGGACTATTGGGTTGGTTTCAACATCAGGGTACTTGGGGTATCTGTCACCTTGCATATTTATCCTTTCTATATTTTGGTATCATTTCAAGTTTTATCACAATATTCTTGCTAAGTGTAGTCATCATAGTCTGCTACCAAACATTAGGACTTATTTTTTTCCATCTAAATGCATGTTAATACCCATTAACCAACATCTCTTTATACAGCCGCCTGCCTACCCACCTTTCCCACTCTCTGGTATCTAGCATTTTATTCTCCATGTTAATGAGATCAAGTTTCTTAACTCCCACATATGAATGAGAAGATGTGGTATTTGTCTTTCTGTGCCTGACTTATTTCACTTAGTATAATAACCTCCAGTTCCATTCATGTTGCTGCAAATGACGTGATTTTATTCTTCTTCTATGGCCAATTAGTATTCTATTGTGTGTTTATGCCACATTTTCTTTATTGAGTCATCTATTGATAGACACCTAGGTTGATTCCATATCTTTGCTATTGTGAAGAGTGATACAATAACTATGAGTGCAGGTATCCCTCTGATATACAGATTTATTTTCCTTTGGATAAATATTCAGTAGTGGTGTGTCCAGAGTTGGTTCCTTCTGGTGGGTTCATGGTCTCGCTCACTTCAAGAATGGAGCCGCAGACCTTTGCAGTAAGTGTTACAGCTCTTAAAGGTGGCACAGACCCAAAGAGTGAGCAGCAGCAAGATTTACTGTGAAGAGCAAGAGAACAAAGCTTCCACAACGTGGAAGGGGACCCCAGCAGGTTGCGACTACTAGCTGGGGTGGCCAGCTTTTATTCCCTTATTTTTCCCCTCCCATGTCCTGTTTCTGTCCTATCAGAATGCCCTTTTCTCAGTCCTCCCCATGATTGGTTACTTTTAGAATCCTGCTGATTGGTCCATTTTATGGGATGCTGATTGATCCCTTTACAGAGTGCTGATTGGTGCATTTTACAAACCTCTTGCCAGCTACAGAGTGCTGAGCGGTGCGTTTTACAATCCTAGCCACAGAGTGCTGATTGGTGTGGTTTTTGTTTGTTTGTTTGTTTGTTTGTTTGTTTTTTTGAGAGGGAGTCTCACTCTGTCGCCCAGGCTGGAGTGCAGTGACGCAATCTTGGCTCACTGCAAGCTCCACCTCCCGGGTTCACACCATTCTCCTGCCTCAGCCTCACGAGTAGCTGGGACTACAGGCGCCTGCCACCGCACCCAGCTAAATTTTTGTATTTTTAGTACAGGCGGGGTTTCACTGTGTTAGCCAGGATGGTCTTGATTTCCTGACCTTGTGATCTGCCCACCTCGGCCTCCCAAAGTGCTGGGATTACAGGCGTGAGCCACCACGCCCAGCTGA
The DNA here is from genome assembly GCF_000001405.40 of Homo sapiens. Taxonomy (NCBI): domain Eukaryota; kingdom Metazoa; phylum Chordata; class Mammalia; order Primates; family Hominidae; genus Homo; species Homo sapiens. Next base: position 168,192,869 of record NC_000004.12, on the reverse strand, counting down.
TTGGTGCGTTTTACAATCCTCTTGTAAAACAGAAAAGTTCTCCAAGTCCCCACTGACCCAGGAAGTCCAACTGGCTTCACCTGTCAGTGGGATTTCTGGATCATGTGGTAGTACTATTTTTAGTTTATTGAGAAATCTCCACACTGCTTTTTATAGTGGCTGCATAATTTACATTTCACCAACAGTGTTTAATAGTTCCCTTTTCTCTGGATTCTCACCAGCATCTGTTATTTTGTGATTTTTAAATAAAAGCCATTGTAACTGAGGTGAGGTGATATCTCATTGTAGTTTTGACTTGCATTTCCCTGATGATTAGTGATCTTGAGCATTTTGTCATATACCTCTTGGCCACTTGTATTTCTTCTTGAGAAATGTCTATTCATGTCTTAGCCCAATTTTTAATGGGACTATTGGTTTTTTACTGTTGAGTTGTTTGAGTTCCTTATATATTCTGGATACAGCCCCCTTTTGAATGAGTAGTTTGCAAACAGTTTCTCCTATTCAAGCAGTTGTCTCTTCACTTATTGAATGTTTCTTTTGCTGTGCAGAAGCTTTTTTGTTTAATATAGTCCCTTTTGTCTATTTTGGGTTCTGTTGCTTGTGATTTTGAGGTTTTAGTCATAAAATCGTTGCATGGACCAGTGTCCTGAAGAGTTTTCCCTATGTATTCTTCTAGTAGTTTTATAGTTTCAGGTATCACATTTAAGTTGTTCATCCATCTTGAGTTGATTTTTGTACATAGACATAGGGGTCTAGTCTCATTCTTCTGCATATGGCTAGCCAGTTTTTTTTAATGTACCATTTATTGAAGAAGGTGTCTTTTCCCCAGTGTATGTTCCTCATGACTTTGTTGAAGATCAATTGACTGTAAATATATAGATTTATTTCTTGAGTCTCTATTCTGTTTCTTTGGTCTATCTGTCTATTTTTCCATTAATACAATGTTGTTTTGGTTACTATAGGCTTGTAATATGTTGGGAAATCAGGTATTGTGATGTCTCTGGCTTTGTTTTTTGCTCAGGATTGCTTTAGCTTTTCTGGATCTTTTTTGATTAATACAAGTGTCAGGCTAATTTTTTCTATTTTTGTGAAAACTGACATTGGTGTTTTGATAGGGATTGAATTGAATCTGTAGATTGCTTTGGGTTACATAATCATTTTAATGATATTAATTCTTCTGATCCATGAGCACATAGTATCTTTCCATTTGTCCTCTTTAATTTTTTCATCAGTGTTTTGTAGTTTTCCTAGTAGAAATCTTTCACTTCCTTCATTAAATTTATTCCTAGGCATTTTTTTGGTAGCTGTTGTAAATAGGATTTAGTTCTTGATTTCTCTTTGGGGTATTTCGTTATTGGTGTATAGGCATGTGACTGATTTTTGTGTTATGATTTTGTATCCTGAAACTTTACTGCATATGCTTATCAGTTCTAGGAGTTTTTTGTGGAGTCTTTTGTTTTTTCTTTTTTTTAAATAATATAAAATTCTGTTATCTGCAGAGAGGGACAATTTGACTTCCTTTTCCCCAATTTGGATGCATTTTATTTCTTTTTCTTAACTGACTAATCTGGCTAAGGTTTCCAGTAACATGTTGAATAGGAGTGATGCAAGTAGACATCCTTGTCTTGTTCCAGTTCCTGGATGAAATGCTTTCCATATTTCTCCATTCAGTATGATGTTAGCTGTGGGTTTGTAATAAATGACCTTTATTATTTTGTTATATGTTCCTTCTATACCTAGTTTGTTGAGTGTTTTTATCATGAGGGAGTGTTGGATTTTATCAAATACTTTTTCTGCATCTATTGAGATAATCACGTTTCTTGTCCTTCATTCTGTTGATGTGATTTATCATCATATTTATTCATCTGCATATGTCAACCCATCATAGTACCCCTGGAATAAGTCCCACTTGTTTGTGATGTATTATCCTTTTGATGTGCTATTGGATTTAATTTGCCAGTATTTTCTTTAGGATTTTTGCATCTATGTTCATCAGGTATATTGGCCTGTAGTTTTCCTTGTCTGGTTTTGGTATCAGCATTTGGTAATGCTGGCCTTGTTAAATGAGTTAGGGAGAATTCCCTCCTCTTCAGTCTTTTGGAATAGTTTGTGGAGGATTGATATAAGTTCTTCATTATACATTTGACAGAATTCAGCAGAGAATCTATTTGGTCCTGGTCTTTTCTTTGTTGGAAGACATTTTATTACCAATTCTAATTACTATTCATTATTGGTCTTTTCTTGTTTTCTATTTCTTTCTGATTCAATCTTGATAGGTTTTATGTTTGCACGAATTTATTCATTTCTCCTAGGTTTTTCAGGTTGTTAGCATACAGTTGTTCATAATAGTCTTTGATTATCTTCTATATTTCTGTGATATCAGTTTTAATGCCTCCATTTTCATTTCTGTTTTTGTTTATTTGTGTCTCTCTTCTTGGTTAGTCTAGCTAGAAGTTTATCAATTTTGATTCTTTTCTAGAAGAACCATTTTTTCATTTTGGTGATCCTTTGTATTGGTTTTTTTAGTCTCAACTTCATTTAGTTCTGCTGTAATCTTTATTTTTCTTTTCTTCTGCTAATTTTGGGTATTGTTTGTTTTTGATCCTCTAGTTCCTTGAAGTGCATTGTCAGATTTTATTTGAAATATTTCTTTATGTAGTTATTTATTGCTATAAACTTCCTTCTTAGCACTGCTTTTACTGTATTACACAGGTTTTGGTATGTTGTGTTTCCATTTTCATTTGTCCAAGAAACTTTCTGATTTCCATCTTCATTTTTTTTACTGATCTGATGTTCATCTAGCAACATGTTTGATTTCCACCTATTTGTATACATTCCAAAGTTCCTCTTGTTATGGATTTTTAGTTTTATTTCATTGTAGTCTGAAAAGATGCTTGATATGACTTTGATTTTTTAAAAATTCAATGGGACTGTTTTATGGTCTAATATATAGTCCTTTCTGGAGAATGTTGCACGTGCTGATAAGAAGAATGTGTCTTCTGTAGTTGTTACAGAAAATGTTCTATAAGTGTCCGTTAGGTCTATTTAGTATAAAAAGCAGTTTACTTATTTATTTATTTTTTGAGACAGGGTCTCACTCTGTTGCCCAGGTTGGACTGCAGTGGCATTATCACAGTTCACTGCAGTCTCAACCTCCTGGGCTCAAGCAATCCTCCCACCTTAGCCTCCCAAGTAGCTGAGACTACTGGTATGAACCACCATGCCCAACCCTAAAGTGCAGTTTAAATACAATGTTTCTTTGTTAATTTTATTTCTCAATGATCTGCCTAATGCTAAAGGTGGGGTGTTGAATTCTTGCAATATTATTGTATTGGAGTTCATCTCTCTGTTTAGATCTGGTAGTATTTACTCTCTGAATCTGGATGCTCTAATGTTGGGTACATATATATTTAGAATTGTTATTTCATTTCACTGGATTGGTTCTTTTATTATTATGAAATGACTTATGTAGTCTTTTTCTTACTTTTTGACATAAAGTCTATTTTATGTACTATAAATATAGCTACTTCTGCTTGCTTTGGGTTTCTGTTTGCTTGAAATATCTTTTCCATAGTTTTATTTTCAGTCTATATGTGTCTTCATAGGTGAAGTGCATTTCTTGTAGGCAGCATATAGTTGGATCTGTTTTTAGCCTTTCAGCCAGTGTATATCTTTTAAGTGGAGAATGTAATCTGTTTTTATTCAAGGTTATTACTGATATACGAGGTTTTGTTCCTATCATATTGTTAGTTATTTACTGGTTGTTTTGTATATTCTTTGCTTCTTTTTTTTTCCTCTGTTTATTCTTGTGGTTTGGTGTTTTTCAGTGGTGGTACCATGTGACTCCTTTCTCTTCCTCATTTGTGTGTTTGCTTTACTAGTGAATTTTACACTTTCATGTGTTTTCAGGATGAGAATTTTCTTCCTTTTGGTTCCAGGTTACACTCACCCATCTTGCCTCTGGTTTCAGTCCTGGCTAGATTGTGGCATCAGTTTAGGTTATTCCCCAAATCTGATCTCAGTGAGTATTTTTTCTTTGTCACTCCTAACTTTCTGAACCTTGAGAGACAGAAGAGACCATGCTCTACTGATGGCACCAAAAAAGCATATCATAACTTCCAAAAGTCGTTGAGGCTGCTGTTAAAAGGTGAAGATAAAAACAGAGAGAAATGGCTTTTCTCACATAGCTTGGGCAAGTAGTTGGTTAAGTACTGTCACAAAAAAAGAATAGCTGCAAGTCAAACACACACACGTGCACACACACACACACACTATATATATATATATATATATATATATATATATATATTTTTTTTTTTTTTTTGAGACGGAGTCTTGCTTTGTCTCCCAGGCTGGAGTGCAGTGGTGTGATCTAGGCTCCGCCTCTCTGGTTCTCACCATTCTCCTGCCTCAGCCTCCCAAGTAGCTGGGACTATACGCGCCCACCACCGTGCCCGGCTAATTTTTTGTATTTTTAGTAGAGATGGGGTTTCACCGTGGTCTCAATCTCCTGACCTCGTGATCCACCCGCCTCAGCCTCCCAAAGTGTTGGGATTACAGGTGTGAGCCACCGCGCCTGGCCACACACAGTATTTTTACACCCAAATCTCTTATACGTCTAATCCAGGCAAGCATATATCTGGCTGCATTTTACTGGTTTATATCTTTTTTTTTTTTTGAGACAGAGTCTTGCTGTGTCGCCCAGGCTGGAGTGCAGTGGTGCGATCTCGGCTCACCACAACCTCTATCTCCTGTGTTCAAGCGATTCTTCTGCCTCAGCCTCCTGAGTAGCTGGGATTACAGGCACCTGCCACTACGCCCAGCTAATTTTTGTATTTTTAGTAGAGACAGGGTTTCACCATGTTGGTCAGGCTGGTCTCGAACTCCTGACCTAGTGATCTGCCTGCCTTGGCCTCCCAAAGTGCTGAGATTATAGGCATGAGCCACCATGCCCGGCCACATTTTGCTGGTTTACGTCTTTACTTATTTTTAAAGCCTGCTGTAGATGATCACTCTAGCTTTATTGTAATTGTATAGGAGTCTCAAAAATTCCCCAAACTAGGATGGTCACACTGCATTTTCCTTGGTCTTTCAAATCATGATAAAGACGGCCTTGAGCAGACTCTCTTGTTGTAGGTTGTTGATGGTTCACATTTAAATAAAATCTATTCCAATGCAATTTTTCTATTATTCCATCATGCACAATTTATTTAATTGCTGATTAGATAGTAGGCAAATTCAGGATAGTAGGCAAATTCAGTATCATATACTTTCATTCATAGTTTTCTTTGGCTTAGAATAATTTCAAAGATAGAAGAGAAAATATGATTGTATAGTTTTGTTAATAGTGCCATGAACAGTACAAATTTGTGAGAAAATCTCTATTTGGAAGTGTCTAGAAAGAGGAGTGCACAGTACTCCAAGTCCTCTTCATTTTAGTAGTCCTCAGCATCACCAGCACAGATGGCAAGCAGTGCTTTCTTATAATGCCCTGAAGCAAAATTCTGAAAAGAAAAATATAATATATTTGAAATAAAATATCATAATAGTTCTAAAAAGGAAGCATAATTCCTCTGGACTGCACTATGAAAGAGCCATGGACCATTAGCCTTTCTAAACTTATTTACTTTTCTCATCTAAAGGTTTAACATGCCCTAAGTACTGCTCCCAATGAAAGTTGTTGAAGAATAATGCTCTGGTTACAGTCAGTAGTATGTGGTTTACATAAAGTCGGTTGAACCTGAATGTGTATTTATAAGAACTTGCCTTAGAATTAAATATTCTCCTCAACTTTAGGAAGATGTACCCTAATGTTATTATTATTATTGTTATAAATGAATGTAGAATGTGGAGAACAAATTAATATGTCTCAAAAGATTTAAAAATATTTATAATTATTAATGTAGTAATTCTACCTCAAGAAATATATATTAAGAAAGTTATTATCAATCATTGATAAGCACAAAGTTTTGTGCTAAAAATATATACACCATAATATTATGTATAATAGTGAAAAACTGAGAAGCAATGTATAATAATGTGAGGTAGTTTGTGTACTTTATAGCTTATACAGCAGAATACCATGATTCAATAAAAATACTCTTTTACATAGCAAAACATATTATTATTTATATAGCTTTAGAAAATGACTGAAAGTACCTGTCTTAGTGTGTTCAGGCAGCTGTGACAAAAGTACCATAAACTGGGTGACTTATAAACAATAGGAATTTATTTCTAACAGCTCTAGAGGCTGGCAAGGCCAAGATCAAGCAGATGTGGTGCCTGCTGAGTGCCTGTCTCTCGTAGACAGCCTTCTTCTCATTCTAAGCTCACATGGCAGAAGGGACAAAGGTGTTCTCTTTGGCCTATTTTATAAGGACATTAATCCCATTCATGGGCTCCACGTTCATGACCTAATCACCTCACAAAGACCCCACCTCCTAGTATCATCACTTCTTTGGGGTTAGAATTTCAGCAGATACATTTTCAGGAGACACAAACATGCACACCATAGCAGAATAAAAGTTTATTAATGATTTTCTGTAGAAAATTAGGGAGGTTTTAATTTTCTTGTAATGGTCTTCTATAATTTCTATATTTTCCAAAATCAATGATAGTAGTAAATAAATATTATAAAATGTTTCTTTGTTAAGTATCAACTTTCATATTAAGGTGCTTTGGCACAAAGTCATGTAATGATAATTCAGTACTTTAAATGTACATAGCAAAGTTACATTAATTACATTTTCATATTAGCAGACTTTGAGTCGGTTGTGATTAATTATAATAAGTGCCTAAGAACTAATGTATTCATTTAGAAAATGAATTATGCCATGCATTTCTCATCACTAAAAGAGTTTAGAGTTTTGAAAGTGGCTGTAGGAGAGTTTTATCAAAGATGAAGGAATAAGATTTCTCTTAACTGCTCCATCAACTCTTCCTCTTAGAAACCATTTCAGCTCTCCAGAGGCCTACAAAGTCTTCTGTATTATGTGATCTCTTGGGCTTTAGATTGCTTCTAGATTACTCTTTCAATAAACTAAAACACTGCTTCTTGGAATTACAAATTTCAGATGAAAACAACGTGAACAAGGTAATAGCTTTTAGTTCTGCACAAAATATAAGTTCAGTTCTATTCTTATGTCCCTGTGCTTGGCTTGGTTTAATGCTCTGCTCTCCCCATCCTGAAATTCTTGAAACTTTTTTGAACACAGTGCCAAGCATTTTTATTTTCCACTAGGCTCTCAGTTAGTAAATGGTCCTATATATTCTGAGGATTCTTTGTTAGGTTGTATCAAAATGCATGAAGTTTAAAAGTATCAGAATGAAAACACTGGCTTGTTCAGTACTGAATCATTGCTCCTTTGCCCTTCAAGGGCTAAAGGGATAAGGATATGTAGAGTTGTATATAGCTAGGAACATTAAGTCCCTCCGAATTAGCAGTTTATGATATTTGACTGACTGCCCTGCCTTCTATGACAATATGAGAGGACAGCTCAACTGATTTAAGAAACCTCTTCAAAAGTAATGCAGCCTTTTGCAATATATATTTTTCCTGAGCCTGATCATACTTCAGAATTTAGCTCTTTAAGCACAATTATAGAGAATGAATATTTTGCATGACTGCATCAATGCTTCTGGGTAAAACACATCAAAGAGGAATAAGTTCTGTCGCTGAGGTAAAGGGTTCTCTTTTTTTTTTCTTTTTCTTTTTTTGAGATGGAGTCTCACTCTGTTGCCCAGGCTGGAGTGCAGTGGCGCAATCTCAGCTCACTGCAAGCTCCGCCTCCCGGGTTCAAGCGATTCTCCTGCCTCAGCCTCCCGGGTAGCTGGGACTACAGGCGTGTGCCACCACACCTGGCTAATTTTTTGTATTTTTAGTAGAGACGGGGTTTCACCGTGTTAGCCAGGTTGGTCTGGATCTCCTGACCTCGTGATCTGCCTGCCTCAGCCTCCCAAAGTGCTGGGATTACAGGCATTAGCCACCACGCCCAGCTGAGGTAAAGGGTTTTCTAAGTTAGCACCTGCCGATGTTCTAAAGACTGTGTAGAGGAAAAAAACTAGGTTATCCCTGTCTGAATAGTTAACTTTTTAGAGTCTGCCATGAAGTTATTTGAATGAGAACTTTTATCTCAGTTTCAAAAAGGAGAAAATGTGGGTCCAAATAAATCATGTGTCGGAAACTTACTCTGATATCATGAAATAGGGATTTTCCATATCGCTCTTTGTATCGTTTCCTTATGGTCAGCAGGTCTATTTCACTTCTGGCAATGAGAATCCTGATTACAGTTTTATTATGGAAACCAAAGTCCTAAAAGATACAGAAAAGTGGGAGAAATGAGAAGACAGCATCCTAAAAGTCAGTCTGTCCCAAGTGGACACACCCCTTTTCTGTAGTCATTTTCTCTTCTTCCTGAGTTCTTCCAACACTGGCATCACTGGCCACACAGGCTGTGGTTCAGATCCTGAGTCATTTCTGTCACTTCTCCCTCTCCCTTACCGCATGCTGACAGTGAATTATTCTCTTCTATTTTCTGAATGCCTTGTGCTCTCTATTCCAGTGCCACGACCTTGACTCTGACCCTTATCATTTCACCCTGATTCTGCAATAGTTGCTCCCCCTTTCTAGCCTTGTTAACCTTCACACCGTCCCACTCACACTGCATTATAAACTGCAAATCTGATCCTGTGGTCCTTCCTGGTAAGAATTCTTCCTTGGAGGGGAAGACATTCTCAGCTCTGTCAGATGGACATTGATTTGTCTAAGACAGCAGTAACATTTTAATTTTATTTTCTTGTCATCATTGATAAATTATAAAAAATTAGAATTCTAGGTGATTCAAATATTTGCCGGTTTAAATTCAAATGCAGAAAAATACAAAATCAATGTCTGTATGCTAGCCCCAGAAATACTGCACCCTAACAAATCAGTTTCAAATTGTCTTTCCAAACAGAGTAATCGTGACATCTAGTGGCCAGAAAACAGAATCTGATTTTTGAAGACAATGTTTTGAATGTATATTACTAATAAACTTTTCATAATTTGAGGTGGTTAAAATGAATGATCTAACAAGTATTCAAACTTAAAATGTAGATCGTTCACTTTAGAGTTCACTGGAGGAGAACACAGAATATATCTTTGGTTCAGGGGTGATTAAAGCAGCTTTTTGACAAACATTTGACATTTGAGGTCTTCAGGTATCAAAAATTACATTACTTGAATATACAATCCTTCTCCGTACCTACAAACCATTTGTGAATACGCATATCTTCCTATTGCCTTATAACACATACACAGCAAAAATACAGTTTTCATGTACTATTAGAATAAGTAGCCTTGAATTTGTGCATAATTGGAATCAAGGTAATTGTAGTTATTTTCCCATAATCATTCACAAGTGAAGCTTCATACTGTTGTTGTAGTGGTTGGTTCTTTGAGAAGGAAACAATTGAAATCATCCTATAGCATTTCCAAATACACTATTTCAAATAAATGTTTAACCAAATCAACTGTTTCTCCTAGAAAATAGAATAGGAGAGAAGCAAGACTGTGAGCATTGATCTTCCTTTTGTGTTCTGGGGTTATCCAGGTTCTTCCTTTGCATAAATGAGAAAATACACTGCAGAAGATATATAATAACATACTCCTGACTATTAACATATTTTCCCAGCATGCTGGCTACTTTTAAGAAGTATATCTGTTAAATTTACCTTGAGGATAAAACTGATGATTAAAATTACTGTATTATTGGATTATTTTTAATCGTTTTCTTTGAGTTTTCAAGGCTACGACATGTATATAATTATCTCTATGAGACTTTCTTTTTCTTTTCTTTTTTCTTTTTTTTTTTTTTTTTTTTCCGAGACGGTGTCTCGCTCTGTCGCCAGGCCGGAGTGCAGTGGCGCGATCTCGGCTCACGCAAGCTCCGCCTCCAGGGTTCAGGCCATTCTCCTGCCTCAGCCTCCCGAGTAGCTGGAACTACAGATGCCTGCAACCACGCCCGGCTAATTTTTTGTATTTTTAGTAGAGACGGGGTTTTACCGTGTTAGCCAGGACAGTCTAGATCTCCTGACCTCGTGATCCACCCGCCTCGGCCTCCCAAAGTGCTGGGATTACAGGCATGAGCCACTGCGCGCGGCCGAGACTTTCTTTTTTTGTTTCATGTAGATATGGATAAGGAGTGCATTATGTGATGATGCACTTAAGTGTTTGTTTTTTAAAAAAATGAACGCTCCAGGCCGGGCGCGGTGGCTCACGCCTGTAATCCCGGCACTTTGGGAGGCCGAGGCGGGCGGATCACGAAGTCAGGAAATCGAGACCATCCTGGGTAACACAGTGAAACCCCGTCTCTACTAAAAACACAAAACAAAATTAGCCGGGTGTGGTGGCGGGTACCTGTAGTCCCAGCTACTTGGGAGGCTGAGGCAGGAGAATGGCGTGAACCCGGGAGGCAGAGCTTGCAGTGAGCCGAGATCGCGCCACTGCACTCCAGCCTGGGCAGCAGAGCAAGACTCCATCTCAAAAAAAAAAAAAAAAAAAAAAAAAAAAAATTAATGCTCCAAAGTATGTGCGACTGAATAACACACTGAAGTATGAAAAACATTCCCATTTAATTACAAAAATAGATTTAGAGTTTATGGTTTTCTAGTTATCACTTTAAATACTTTTTGAAAATAGCACAATGTTCAAAAATATCCATTGACATAATTTCGTGTATTGAAACTTCACGAACGTGGCAATTGCTTGCTGAGAGTTTGTAATATTTTGACATTTTCTGCTTAATGCCATATGTTTTGTACTTGCATAAGTCTGATGTGGGGGTCTTTGGAAACATACAAAAACATTTGAATTTACCAGTTTCTGCAGATATTAAATAATCTCTAAAGTGCACAGGGAGATACACCCCAAATATGGTTCCCTAAATTTGATACAGAAAGCAGAACATTATTTTTATCTGATATGTCTTATTTTTGGTGTCTAAACCAGTTTTTCTCACTTGGGTGTATTTTCTTTGTACATACAAGTTCAAAAATGGTAATGAACATTTAAATGATGGAAGTAAAATTAATCCTTTGAGAAAACAGACACAATTTCTGGAGAAATTTTAAAAATATATGTCTTACTTACATGAATTGCACTATATAATCTATAAGCAAAATAGGCTGGTTTGTCTCGAACACAGAGAACTAGGAGAAATCAGAGAGAGAAGAAGAAACATTGAGAGTGAAAACATATATTTTCGTCAGAATTTGAGAAACAATAACACTTTTCCTGTTACAATTCTTACATTGTATTGTAAGGTCAACACTTAGAATAATGGTAACACTATAAGCCACAGGAAAAAAATATAAAGCAACAACATTATAATGAGTCATGCAGATTTTCACTTGGTCTATTTCTATCTGTTGGAACTCTTGTTAGTTCCTTCATGTAGCCTAATGAAGAAAACTTTATCATCTTCTTTTTTTTTTTTTTTTTGAGACGGAGTCTCGTTCTGTCGCCCAGGCTGGAGTCCAGTGGCGTAATCTCGGCTCACTGCAAGCTCCGCCTCCCGGGTTCACGCCATTCTCCTGCCTCAGCCTCCCGAGTAGCTGGGACTACAGGCGCCCGCCACCACGCCCGGCTAACTTTTTGTATTTTTAGTAGAGACGGGGTTTCACTGTGTTAGCCAGGATGGTCTCGATCTCCTGACCTCATGATCCGCCCGCCTCTGCCTCCCAAAGTGAAAACTTTATCATCTTTATCTGAATATTAAATTAATAGAGCTTCAAAGAGACCTAGGTTATTAACACTATTATAGATTATTATTATTATTGTAGGATTGAATTTGATATAGCTCCCATGTAATCTGTTCATCTATTTGAATGCTATTTTTAGTAACTTATAGATTTGTGAGTAGACCTGAAATCTCTTAAGGGGAAACTATGGACCACAACTGGTCTAGACTAGTTCTAGAAGTTATCTAATAAAAACTGCTAAGGTGGTAGGACAGCCTAGAGCCTGGTCAACAGTTACCTTGCTGGAAGTCAGTTGATGATCATAAACATTCAGTAGTGTTTATTTGAAGAGGTTAACAAATTAATACATGAATAGGTAATGTATGAGAGGCTATAATTTCTAGCCAGAATGAAATAATCATAACAGTATTTCCCTGGTAGTTTAAGTAATTATTTTAGATTGTGAGATTATACCCTCATCTTTTCTTTCATTTTTAATACACGAAATCTTCATAATCACTCTTGAGTCACTACTCCTTAAAAGCTCCTTGAAGGCAGTGAACTTTTGCTGTTTTTGTTGTTTCATTGTTCTATCTGCAGTGCCTAAGTCAGTGTCTAGAACAGTAGGTGCTGAATAAATGTCTGCTGAGTGAATAAATCAGTTGAAATGTTTTCTGCCATTTCTAATGTCCACCACTTCCTCTCTTATGCCCACTGCTTTGTGGCAGGGGTCTATAGTGGAAAGAAAGCTATCTTGAGATTCGGATATTATGAATTTTAGTCATAACTTTGCTGCTAATCAGCTGATAGGCTTGGAGGCAGTTACTTAGTTTCCTTAGGCATTGTTTATAAAATGAAGGATTTTGATGTAATATATGGTTATTAAATTTTGTAGAGAATTTTCTGGAATAAATGTAACATTTTCAGAAAAAATACACAGTTATTAATAGTCATCTATTGCATACTATTTTAGGGGTTTCATCAAACTGTTTTCATGGAAGCCTAGCTTGAGACTTCTTTACTAGATAAGCTACAAAAATTCCTTTATCTGTCAGCTCTCACGCCCGTGTATGCCTCTGCCATTCAAGGATGGAAAATCACAATATTCATTTATTCAACTAGTATCTAAGTGATTACTTGACTACGCCTTCGATGGAGATATTTCATAATGATCCCCTTTGGTCGTCCCTGAAATGTGTGCTGTCAATTCACCAGCACAGTACAAGACAAAGGTAGTTCTATTGCACAGGTAGTTCTATTGCAGTTTTTCTGGATAACTCGCCCCGTTTTGTCCTCTATGGAGGGATATCATTTCTTACTTAGGAAGGAGCAAGAGGTGTGCCACTATCACAATAGCCTGAGGAAAATCACTACTTGGTAAATCTCTTTTATGGTAGGATTTACTCCTAAACCAAAATTTATTAGTAATGGTCACTAAAATATCCTTTTCCTCCTAAAGAGAAGAAAACCATACTGTTAAGTATTTATCGGCTCTTGGACAAGGGAATGGAAGTCAGTAAAGATAAAATGGATTGAACAGTGTGAGAAGCCAATTCAAAGAGAAAATATCTGAGAATGATGTGTTTTCTGGTATGAAAGTTGAACTAGCTGTTAGGGAAGGGTATCAGTTCATTAAAGTTATCAGGTTGCCAGTTTAGTGCATTTTATCAGTAGCTGATGTACTCTTCCCCTATGGAGTTAATGTCCTTTTAAAAAATTAAATTCAAGGGAAAATGACTCGATCAAGAGCTTACTCATGCATCTTTAGTTCAATCAGAGCCACTCAGCATTTATAGAGAAATAAAATGTCTGTTGTGCTTCAAATAATTTATTACTTACCAATTGCAACCAGCAGCTCCTGAAAGTATCCATCATAACATTCATTAATGGCATCTACCATATCTTGCCCAGAAATATTTTGAAATTCCTGGAAAACTTTAACAAATTGATGTAATTCAAAGGAGATTTTGAAAATATTATAATACAAATATTAGATTGTTACACATAGTAAAAATCCATATTTTCCATAAAATAATTAAAAGTACTACTGTTATCAATTCTGTTTGCTATAAATACCATTGAAACAAATACAAATACTCTTAGTAGAGTCAGCATAAATCTTGAACTTCAAAGACCTGTTATTATTCTCTTCTCCTGGGGAACAAATGCCACCTCCAGTGGGACCCACTAACTCACTGCTGATTTAAATTGAGAGGAAGCACACAACAAGCCATTATTTATGGACCAGTTATTTAGGACATATATAATAGGCTTATGTCAGCAGCAAACTTCCTACTAGAGCTTAAATATGAGAATTAAGTGTAAAAGTCCTCTCTGTGATGATTAAAATAGCAAAGTATCTATAAAGAATATTCTGAGAAATATGAAATCAACTTTTTGGGTGTAGACTAGGGTTTACTAATTTAGAATTGTGTTAAATTAAGATTCTTTATTTCACGAACTTAGTTATCTGACTACCCCAGGCAACTTTAGTTCTCATCCATTCTTACTGAAAATTAGAAGCAAGAAGATGTCTTTTCATTATTATTATTATGATTATCATTAAGACAGGTAATGTCTCTTATTGACTTGTAAAGTCTAGATGTGGGATTGGGGTAGGGTAGGCCATCTGTTGAAAATTTTCAGCCATTTGCGTACTTTATATAGAAAAAAACAAAATTTTTTTTAATAAAAGAAAAAGACACTGTAGTTTAGGGAATGTCAAACAAAGGGCAAACTAACATGAGTGCACCCTCTAAGACCAATAAGATTCCGTCGATATTGCAGAAATCATGACATCAATACTAATGGCCTTGATGCAGTATTGACTGGTTAAACTATATTTACTATGCATTTTGCAAGACAACATATAATATACCTAATAGGAAACAGCTAATATATTTGAATAAGTACTCCATCAAATACAGAGATTATTTTTAAAATGCTCAGTTTTTGAAAGTTATTGGAAAAAATATTAAGGAAATATTTATTCCTTAGTAATGTCATTAAATAAGGCACATCTTATAAACAAAATTCAAAATAAGTACCTTTGAGATAACTGACTTTCCGCTATTTCCTTGTAATATTTCATTTTTGTTTCTAGTTAACCACCTTCTTTTTGTTATATAATTGGTCAAGTAGCTGGAACGAAACCCAGTTAATAATTACCCAGCCGCAGCTGCTGGTAGCTCTTGTTGCACAGGATCATTTGCAGCATGGTTTTGTGCTCCCCCGTCTTCTGCTGACAGGCTTCCCATAGGACCTGGAACATTAGCCAGCAGAGAAGTAGCATCAGAACCACTCCAGCCCATTTTAACCCAGGTTCTTTGCAGTCAGTCTGAGAACTGGTTCTAGTTACCATTGCATCCTGAGCAGCCATCGCAGGGTCTGTATATCCTTCCTCTCTGGTCCCCTGTAAAGTAAGCACAGGTTTTCCATGTAAATGTTCTTAGTCAGCAACTCATATTGGATTAGTGAGACTGAAATCCTTGAAAAACATTCTGATTGTTCCTAAGGAACTTCTTTTATTATCTGGAGTAAGTGTTCATTTCCTGATTTCATGAATACTTTAGAAGATAGTGTATAAGGTTTTGTCTTAAAATGTGCATTATTTTATTTTACCTTTTCTTTGCAGCACTGGTAATGTTTGAAAGACATTTAGGCATTTTTCAGTTTTCCAAGTCTCTGTGCAGTATCTTCTCCCTTATCAAACTGAGTATCCACTGCCTGACCATGGCAGTGGGTGTTAGAAATGAGTGTTAACATTGTTAGAGCAAAAATGCAGAGAAAGTCCATCTCTGACTTGCACAATAGGATTTATACAACAACAAAATAGTAATGAAGCTCAGACTTTGTGCAGTGAGAATATTTTGTAAATCTGTTTAACTCTCACTCCATTATCATTTAGAGAACAGACATGGTCCAGTTGATCATTTCAAACAGGAGGGAAGGGGCGCTAACCAATGCAGGGTCCATTGATTCCTGAGGGTTATGAGGGCCAGTGGGGAGAAGGAGGTAGGGAGGCATGTTATCAGTCTAATTAACTGTTTCTTTTGGGTCAAGATATGGAGGGGAGGCTTTCTCCTTGCTCCAACTATGTTAAGAGAACACTGAAAGTACAGTAGCTTCTGCTTCTACCATTTTTCTTTTTTTGAGACAGGGCCTTGCTCCATTCCACAGGTTAGAATGCAGTGGCATGATCATAGTTCACTGTAACCTTGACCTCCTGGACTCAAGCAATCCTCCTGCCTCAGCCTCCCGAGTAGCTTGGACTGCAGGCGTGTGCCACTATGCGTGGCTAATTTTTTTTTTTTCTCAAAAAGAGGATCTCGCCATGTTGACAAGGCTGGTCTTGAACTCCTGGCCTCAAGTGATTCTTCCGTCTCAGCCTCTCAAAATGTTGGGGTTACAGGCATGAGCCACTGTGCCTAGTCCTGTCATCTTTTAGGATACTGGGAATAGCCACAGTGCAGTGAATCCAGTGAGACAGCAAGAGGGCACAGAGAGGTCTTAAACACAACTTCCTTGAATAAACCTCAGTCCCTAAATAGTATGAATGGGATCCCAAATTTCTTACCGGTTCCTGATGGAGGAACTTGCAATCTAGCTGAGAACCTGTGGGGAAGCTTGCCAGATTGAGTTGTTTATGACCATGGCAGGGACAGTGTTCCAGCAGCCAAGGGCTACAGGATAGACCACATTGATTTGAACTATGTGGGAGACACAGCTAGACCTTTGGGGGAGTCTTCAGCTCCCGTGAGAGTAAAGGTGAGGCTAAATCATCATGAAAGGTTTCTCTGACCAAACTGGTCAGTTTGGCTCTGACCTAAGTAAGACAGAGAAAAGATCATAAATTAAATCAGTGGCTTATCTTGGCAGCTAACACTGATAAATGCCCATATGCTGGTCATTGACACCTCATATATTCAATGTCCAGAATTGCCAAGAATTGCTATTCCATAGTCAAGATCAGCCAAAATGCAGGCAATATCTTGATCTAAGGACACAGTGGTGACCTTCCTGTTGCCAAGGTAGTTCATTAACCACACACACACACATCTCTCTACCAATTGCCTTCTTGGAAAGAAAGGAGGAGGATGGCCAGAAATCTGAGAGTCAAATACTTAACCCAATAAAAGTATGATGACATTGAACGTGCACCCACATTCACTATTCAAAGTATCACACAGATGAAATTTGCCATTTTAGATTAAATATTAGGGCTGTTTTTCTTGATAACAAAAAGCTAGAGGCATATGAGAAAGTGCAATTTATTCACAAAGAAATAAGTAAGCTACCATTTTTGCATAAATGTGTAGCCCTGGAACATTTAATGTTTAATCATAACTCAAAAGTTGTATGTCCCCTAAAGGTGAACAACTGATGGGAAATAGGCATGAGTTTGTCAGTCACATTTCTTCTTGCTCAATTTCCTTTGCTTAAAATACCAAGAGACTAAGACTGCACATATGCAATTCTTATTTTGAAATCTGTGTATTAAAATAAAGGAGTGAATAATGTTATTGAGTGGTAGGACTATGGGTGTTATCTTCAAATCATGGAAATGTTGAGGTGCAGGTACCTTAGGAGTCCCACCTCATATTTTGGAGATAAAAATTAGAGATATTAAGTGAATTGCCCAAGGTCTGATTGTTAGAGAAGAATGTGTATGAAATATCAGTGGCATTTCTGACTCTGAGGTCTGGTTACCATACTCTTCCCTTAGCCTAAATAACTTATTTTTACACAATATGTTCTGGCTCCCTTTCAAATTCTCTCTTATGATTTTAATTAATACCAAGAAACAAATAATTGGAAGCAATTAATATGCTATATCTTCTGTGACTACATGCCATTTATTTAATAACATACATTTGTGGTAATTCTTAGTCTTCATCTTATTGAATCGATCAGTAGGATTTGGTATAATCGACACTCTCTTCTTCTTGCTATACTTTCATCACTTGGCTTCCAGGATCCTGCAATCTATTTCATTTTATTGGTTACTCCTCAGTCTTGTGAACTGGTTTCTCTTCTTTTCGATCTCTTAATTTTGGAAGGTCCAAGTAGTCAGTCTTTGATCATCTTTTTGTCTGTATTTACATTTCTTCTCTTGATAATGTTATCTACTCATGTGGCTTTAAATTCCATCTATATTGTAATGATACCCATTTGTCTTACCCATTTATTTATTTACATCTCTAGCAAAGATCTGTCATCTGAACTTCAGATATGTATATTCCAATTGCCAATTCAGCATCTCCACTTGATTTTCTAATATACATATCAGGTTTAGCATGTTGAAAATTCAATGCCTCGACTCCCTCCACCTCAAACTCTTTCTATAGTCTCAGTCTTCCACACTGCACTTCATCCTTTCTGTTGCTCAGACTAAGAAACTGAGAGTCACATTTGATTCCGTTTTTCTTCGGCCTTTTCATAGCCCACATCCAGTTCCTCAGGAAATAATATAGACACTGCCTTCAAAATGACACAGGATTTTTTTTCTGTGCGTTTTGCCAGTTGGAGACCTCTGTGGCTGGCAATGCTCCTGCCTGGGCCTTGCTCGCCCTGGGCTTGTGGCAGGAGGTACCCTGCCCATTCAGCCTGTTGGGCTGCATTTGCCTTGCCACCTGGCCTGGATCCTGTGGCCACTGTGACTGCGCACTCAGCCCGCAGAGTGAGGGGATGTGTGAGCGAGTGAGCATGGGGTCCAGCTGGCTGTTCCAATTGCTGGCATAGGTGCGGGCTCCATGTGGGGCTTGTGGCTGGACCAGGCATGTCACAAGTGACTCCAATGTCCAGACAAAGGGGACATGGTGGTGCCTGAAAACTTGGAGACTCCAGGTGAATAGGGGTGTGTTAACAGCTCTTTTAGTTCCACCATCGACAGCCTGACTAAAGGGGGCATGTGGAGCCAAGCAGCTACTTTTCCTGTTGCTTGGTGAGTGGGAAGGGAGTGCTACAGGGCTACAGCTCTATTCACACTCACTGTTTGGCAGGTCCCAAGTTTTTGTCCCACATCCAAGGAGAATGAGGTTACACTGACAGTCAGTGGGTGAGCAAGGTGAAGGGTTTTAGTGAGTGAAGAAACAGCTCTCAGCAAAGAGGGAGACCCAAGTTGGGCAGCCCCCTTACCCAAAGTCAGGTAGTTCCTCCCCCACCACCCGAAGGTGGGCAATCCCCTGCTCTGACTGAGTCCAGCGTTTTTATGGGCTCAGAATGGGGGGGTATGTGCTGATTGGTTTGTTAGGACGCAAAAAGGCTAAAAAAAAGGCACCACTCAAAGATGGGCGCAACAGTGTAAAAAACCAATTAGGGAAGGGTAGGAATGTGTAAAATAGGTGAAGGCTGGGGATCAACCAGAGGAAAGCACCTCACATGGGAAGAGGGGTTCCCAATCCGGTCTGTGGATTTATCTGAGACTTGTAGATGGGTTTTCAGCTTTAAACTGTCTTTGGTGTGAAGGTTGGGTTTTACCATCCCTGTCTGCCTAAAGATTTGTCTGTCTCCTGCTGCTATCTAAAATACATCCAGAAACTGGGCACTTATCACCACTGCCAATGCTCTCCTATGGGTCCGAGGTAACATTACAGCTAGCTTTACTGCTGAAGCAGCCTCCTTACAGGCTTCTGTTTCTACCTTTGGCTCCCTGTAGTCTTTTCTCAATATAGCAGCTATTGTGAATATTTTAAAGCATAAAACCACGTTCCTTCACTAAAGACCCAGCAATGACTTACCTCTCATCCATTTCACTCAAAGGAAAAGCCAAAGTCCTTAAAATGGCTTCAGGATTTGACATAATCTTACCACGTGCTACTTCTCTGAATTCATTTACTATTATAGTACATTTCCTTTGCTTGCTCAGAGGCTACCAACTGGCCTTGTGTCTATCCCTCATACCCATTAGCTTTTCTTACCTTACATTTTTCTCTAGCTATACCCTTTACTTGGAACATCCTATCACATTGATTTATTTGTTAACTCATTCTTTTATCCATATTTTTGCTCAAATCTCATCTTCTCAATGAGGCCTACTCTGACCAATCTATATAATATGGCAGGAGGGGCACAGTGGCTCATGCCTGTAATCCCAACACTTTGGGAGGCTGAGGCAGGTGGACCTCCTCAGGTCAGGAGTTCAAGACAAGCCTGGCCAATATGGTGAAGCCCCGTCTCTACTAAAAATACAAAAATTAGCCAGGCGTGGTGACAGGCATCTGTAATCCTAGCTACTTGGGAGGCTGAGGCAGGAGAATCGCTTGAACCCAGGAGGTGGAGGTTGCAGTGAGCCGAGATTGTGCCATTGCACTCCAGCCTGGGTGACAAGAGCAAAACTCTGTCTCAAAAAAAAAAAAAAAAAAAATGGCAACATACCCATTATGCTCAGCCCTACAATGCTTCTCCCTGTTACTCTGTTCTGCCATATCTTTCATCAACCTTCTAATATTTTATATAATCCACCTATTTATTAAATTTATGTTTAATTGTCCATATTCTCTTGCTAGAATGTAAGCATCTTAAGGGCTGGCTGGGATCTTTATCTCTTCTGTACACCAATAATTCCCAATTATCTAAAATCATGCTTGGCACATGGTAGGCATTCAAGAAATGTTAATTGGAAAAGTAAAGAAATAACTTTAGATAGCAGACTTCAAAGATGCATCAGTGGATGTGGGAAGATTTTCTGGATTATTGATATTTTCTTAGTGATCTTCAGCTTCTATAGCTAAGTAAGCTCCTGCCTTTGCAAAGTTTGTGAGAGATATTTAAGAATTTTCTGCAACTTTACATATCTGAAATATTGTTTGGAAAGATAATTGTTTTGGACATTTAACCTGAAATGGTGCCTATCTGTTTATTTTCCTATGCAGCTAATTACCAAGAGCACTTTAAGCACACTGGTGGATTTAAACAATGTGAATAAGTAAGATTGTGATTTGGCTTTGACAAAGGCAGAGTCAAGCTGGCTTTGTCATGTAAAGGGCCTGAGACGGCCACATGGTATGTTTAATTGATGTAAGTACCAGAAAATGGCATAAATGAGTACAGAATTTAGTTTAAGGGCATGATAAACATGGGAAGGAAAGAAATGAAAAGAACTAAGATGTGGGTGAAAATATTTGGAGGCGATGAATTGATTACAGATGATTATTGAAAGCTGTTGGCCATAACACTCCCAGAGGCCTCATTGTACGGGTTCAAGAAACTGTCATAAGAGAATTCTGAAAGCCAAGGTAAGCAGTAAGTATCCATTAGGTAGTTTCCATTCTTTCTCTTCCTGAAAACGTTTATCATCTCCAGTGTGATTTGCACATATTGATTAATTAATCTCTAAGTGACTAATTTTTCATTATTTGACAGATAATTAGATCTTTCATAAATCTGTGTAATAAAAGCATGCAGGAAGCATTGTGAGCCAGTTTAATAATTGGCATTAGTTTTCAAGAAGAATGTGTTCCAGCTCAGTTGTTTCCTTATTAGAAATCATCCTGTCAGGAAACACTTTATAGATAAAGTAAATGATCTTGTCTTCTGGAAAATATGACAATGATTTTTAACACTTGCCATTTCACAAGAACCTAAGGCTCCTATGCTCCAATTACCCCAGTCTCTATTAATTCAAAAAAAATGGGTGTGTCTGAATTTTAGTGATGTTAAAAATATGAAAACCATGGGTCATCTTTCCTTTGATTCTAAAAGTGAAGATGCATAGGGAGGTAGAGGACCTGATTATAACAACCAAAGAATTGGAGAATATTTGTTTTGGAAAGGAATTGAAAGAAGGATGAGCTCATATCCTTTAATTTACAGAGTAAAAACCTGAATCTCATAAAGGTTAAATGATAAATCCAAAGATACAAAACTGATGGGAGAGATTTGATTACACTATGGTGCCCCACAGTTACCCACTAGGAACTCACCAGCTCCAAATTTCACCTCCCTTTAGAAGAAAACTCCATTTCTTTTTGTAAAATATCTTGACAGATTCTCTCTGAAATTGTGTACACCACAGACAATGATCAAGAGAAGTGATGGACTTTTACAATCCCATTATTCACTTTATATCTTTTCCAATTTTCTGAATTTACTGATCCAAATCCTAAGTCAGTGGTTCCAAACTGAGAAGCCATTAATGTAGAAGTGAGAAGCCAATAGAAAATCTTTGAACTATTTAACAATCTAAGAGAACTCATACATTTTACTAACAGTATAAATTATCACGGAACTTCTGATTTTCGAAGAGACTATTATTAAAGGAGATTATATTAAGTTTTTAATAGTTTGGTACCTCCATTTTCTATTATGAGTTAAATAATCTTTATGAAATATGTATTATTGTATTTTTGTGTATTTTATATTTTAAGGAAAATGTACTGTGAAACTTTGTAAGTATATAATGTTAAAGTAAACTTTATTAATTTTCCTTGGCTTCTTATAAAATGTAAGCCTTGATTCACCCACACTTTTTGGTATTCTATGTTGAAAGGAAAATTTTACTATACTTAAGTGCTGTTCCAAGGTTAAATACTCATACATATATTTAATGTTCCAATTCTAGAAATCAAACTTAAGAAGTAACACTTTTGGTGGAACCACAAACGGAAAAGAGTCTTGGGTCCTGAATCATGGTTTGGAGAAGACCTTTATGCCTATTAGGAGCCAAAAGCCTAAAACTCTAAACTTAAAACACAAGCAATAGAATGTTGATTCTGTCCTGTCTGCAGTATACAGGATTAGCTTTTTCTGTTAAGATAAAACTAGGAAATAAAGTTGTGTGTGGAAGCAATAAAAATCTGAACTATTCCTACATGTAATTCTAGAAATTTATAGGTGCTACATTTTTTGAAAATTTTAATGACATATATAAGAAGGAAAATCAAATTAAAAATTCAAGTTGATGTTATCTTTAAAAAAAAGTAATAGTTCATCCTGTTCATTCATAATCTAAATTAGGTAAAAACCAGTGATAAAATATTGTGTGTTATTTTAAAATATATGTATATCTACACAAACGATATTATATATACAAATACTCGTACTCATGTACACACCCTATCATTAATAAAGCATCATTGTTTAATTTTAGGAAAAAAATAACTACAATTGGGAATAAAATTGATTGCCCTATTACATCCAAAAGTCACCATTCATTGATTATTTTTTCACTTGTGATTTATTTTCCCTCATGTTTCATTTTCGGAACTTGTGTTTTCCCTTGAAATACAAGAATGCTTACTTTATAAAAATACACTGTGATCCTAATTCTTAGATGTCAGTTATTTTAGGTGGTTTATAGCTCAACCTTTAAAGAGGTGCAGAAATGCTAAGAGGATTTGAGTTTTGATCGTTGACATTTTACCAAATAGAAGTAGAATTGGAGTGGAACCAAATGGGGTTGGAGATAGGAGCAGTACAATTCAACAGCAGAGGTATAGTGCATCTAGGCCTGACTTCATGTCAGCCCTTTCATTAAGTAGACCTGTAATGTCAGGTACACCACTTAACCTCTCTAAGCTTAAGTCTCCTCATCTCTACACAGAGGGGATATTGCCAGTTGGGTTTCCTGGGAAGATGACTTTGAGACGGAGATCGGCATCCAGCCTGTTAATTATGGAATGTTCTTGGGATCAACACCTATGGGAGGGAGGGAACAGAAGCAGGATTTGGCTGTGATGCAGTCCTAATGGAATTAAATAAAGTCCTTAGGAAAATAATTTTCTTCCTACTAAAGCAATAAAAACTTGTTTGATATTAGGATTTATAATGGCTTATAATGGAACTGTTGGCTTCACTCTGTTAGGGGCAATACCTGTGCCAAGAAGAATCTCTGAGTGGAAACTGTTGCTTTAATTTATATTATTGTAGCAACATTATTGTAAAATTACCTTTTAAATTGAGAAAAAATTTTAATTAAAATTAATCTTATAAAATGTAAAAGAAAATATTCAATTGGCATCTTGTCAATCGAGATTATTTTAAAATAGTAATTATTATTGAAAATGTATTTTTCTGCAAATGACCTCAACTTCTGTTACAAATTAAAATGAGCTTATACCTACATTTTACCAGACGCTTCAGTTTGTACTATGAAAAACCAAATTATCTTTTCTCCACTGACATGGATAATCCTACAGATGAAAATCCTCAGAATAGGATGATTTACTGAGAGTGGTGACATGGGAGTTTTATGAACTATGTAGCCAAACCACAGATATCCAAATTAAACTAAACCAAACCAAAACCAAACACAACAAAGCAAATTCTTTGTTTATATATGCTTCCCTTTTAGAAATTCTATTTGGGCCTAATATAGTCATCATCATAAGTTTTCTATTTATTGACAAACATGTCTTTACCATCTTCTGTTACCCATTTGTATTTCTTGGTTGCAATGTTCAATTCTTTTTCACAGCTTTGAAATACACTGATTGGCCAGGCGCGGTGGCTCACGCCTGTAATCCCAGCACTTTGGGAGGCCGAGGCGGGCGGATCAAGAGGTCAAGAGATTGAGACCATCCTGGCCAACATGGTGAAACCGCGTCTCTACTAAAAATAAAAAATATTAGCTGGGCTTGGTGGCACGTGCCTGTAATCCCAGCTACTCGGGAGGCTGAGGTAGGAGAATCACTTGAACCAGGGAGGCAGAGGTTGCAGTGAGCCAAGATTGCACCATTGCACTCCAGCCTGGGTGACAAGAGTGAAACTCCGTTAAAAAAAAGAAGAAGAAGAAGAAGAAATACACTAAATACAGATTTAAAACTTGTTTCAACTTCCTTGAAGACAAATAACTTCACTACCTTTGATATTAAGTAGGCCTCCTTGAGTGAGGGTTTAGCCAGTGATATCTGAGCAGAAATGGATATGCATTGCAACAAGGCTCATGAACACTTCTGTGAAGAAACCTCTATTCTCTTTCTGCTTCCCTGGGTTGAAGACAGACATGATAAACTTAAAAGCCAGTTGTAACGGTGGAAGGAGACTAAGTCTCTGGATCACTTCTTGGAAGGGAAATGCACTCTGATCGGTAGCACCTGTTCAGGTCTTCCTGTGAGCTTGAGAAATGGCATTTACTTTATGCTTTTAGTCATCTATTACAAGAAAGAGATAAGCTCAGTAAATAACTTGCTAGTTTGCAAGCAGACATACAAGGGAGAAGAGAGAAAGTTTAGAAATTTGGTGCCTTGAAGAGTTACAAAGAGAAACCACTTACTGATTCCAAGCAATGTAAGCTGAGACTTGAAGAGGCTTTGAAAAGTAAGGGTTTGTTATGACTCAGCCCTCTAGTAATACCCGGCCAGTTTTACCTTCTAAGAGATCCTTCAAGGAAATGTTTTTGAGTCGTGAAAATAAAAAAGGCATAAATGAGGGAGCAAGGATGCAAAGAAAGTCATACCGGAGAAATATATCTAGGAAAGAACTTTGCATGCGGTTAAGTGGTAAATGGACCTAACCAAAAGCAAGTAGATCACAACTCTTCTAAGTTTTTAGAGATCCTCATTTTCAAAGACATTACAAACTAAGATTAAAGAAATATTGATAACGTGTGCTATAAACAAAATATGAGGACTCTAAATTTGCCAAAGTTGAGCTGCTATGAAAGTGGTACAAGGATATAGAGAGGCTTCTCAACTTATGATGGGGTTACGTCCTGATAAATCCATTGTAAATTAAAATATCCCAAGTCAAAAATGCATTTAATACACCTAACCTATTGAACACATACCTTAAATGTGCTCAGAACACTTGCAGTAGCCTACAGTTGGGCAAAATTATCTAACACAAAGCCTATTTTACAATAAAGTGTGTTACATATCTCACATAATTTATGGAATATCAACTATTATGTGAAAATTGCAGCAGTTTTGCACCATCATAAAGTAGAAAGGTACCATGAAGTAGATAAGTCAGACCATAAAAATTCAGGGACTGAGGACTGTCTGTTCTCCATAGCACCTCTTCAGATAAAGCCAAGCAGGATAAAGGACAGGGGAGGACTTCTCAGAGTTTATCCACAGTAGCCACAGAAACGTTTAGATTAAAAACAAATCCAATAACTCATGGAAGCAATTGGGACTGGAGGGGTTCAGAGAAAAGGATGAAAGAATAGACAATTATCTACCTTGCGTTTTTATCTGGTGATTCTAACTCCTCACCTAAGAGTGTGGGGCTCTGTGTTCCTGAGGGCCTTAGGCAGGATTCTCACTCTAGTCCCCTCCACCTGGACTATAGATCCTTCTCTCTCCTAGGTCCTACTCTTCCAGCTTTGTTCCCACTAAAAAGGCTTTCATGTATTCTTTTTTTAAAAGGCATTGAAATCTTTTCTAATGTCATGTTCCCATGTACAAAATTCTATCAACTTCTTGGTTTTAGTGAAATTCTTTGGTGACTACTAATTCTTTGCTAACTACTATGCCTTTGATGTGTAAAGGAAAGGTTTGGAGGTTTAGAAACTCTTGCTTCATTTCAAACACACACACACACACACACACACACACACACACACACACACACACACACGAAACACAAAACCAAACCAAACCAAAATTCTGGCTTTTAAGACATGTTTCTCAGCTGTGGCCTTTGAGATTCTCTTTTAGAAATTAAGAGCTGAACACTGACCCTCTTTCTCTTTGCATTCCTGAGTGCCTTTGTTAAATAGGATAACAGGCACATTGGAGAATATGTATAAAACAGGAGATAATTATATCTTTAAAAATATTATTTGTATTACAATGCTAATATGTGGAATATTTTCAAGAAATATTCATTAAATGGAAATACTTATATATCATTTAGCCAGTACAGAAACATAAATGATAAAATCTATTTTTAACTTGAAGTAGTGTTCCTTTTTGGTAATATATAACACCACAGAATTTTTATAGGCTGCATCAAAGATCATATGCTGGCATTTAGAGTCTCTAGCATTCAATCAAATTCTGGATTTCTACTTATTAGCTCTTCAGACAATCATAGAGCTAGAACTTTATACTTTGTGATTCTCTATTCTTTTCTGAAGTACTTATGAGAATATTTGTATTATAGTGTTTTGTTGTTATTAAATGAGAAAATTGTTTCTCTCCTCACACAGTACTAGGCACATTGTAGGAGCTCAGAAATGTTAGTGTGCGCTAAGCCCATGTAGCAGTTTTAAAAATGAAATTATTTCTAAGGCTGGGCATGGTGGCTCACGCCTGTAATTCTAGCACCTTGGGAGGCTGAGGCAGGCGGATCACCTGAAGTCAGGAGTTTGAGACCAGCCTTGCCAACATGGTGAAACCCCATCTCTACTAAAAATACAAAAATTAGCTGGATGTGGTGGCACGTGCCTTGAGTCCCAGCTACATGGGAGGCTGAGGCAGGAAAATCACTTGAACCCAGGAGGAGGAGGTTGCAGTGAGCTGAGATCATGCCACTGCACTCCAGCCTGGGTGATAGAGCGAGACTGTCTCAAAAAAGAAAGAAAGAAAGAAAGAAATTATTTCTAATTAGAATTATTAATTTTAACTGTAATATTTTTAATCTTTTAATTTTCTCAGAATATAAAATTAATTATACATACATGTATATTTATAATCTCTTTAGAATAGATTTTTAATTTTTTGAAAATAGAGTTGAGGCATTATCCATATTTGTCTTTAACAACTTAAATTTCTAGTTGAGTATTTTGAACATGGCTTCAGTAAATGTTACTACACAGAATTTACTATTGAACTGTAATATACTGGAGTTTTCTGTTCTATTTTTTTTTTTTTTTTTGGCAATGACATATACTTATTTGCTTAGATAGTGCAAAGTAATGTAAATTTTGGAATGCCATACCTGGACCAAGTTCATGAGAGTATCTCTGAAGTGTCCTGAGGTCTCTGAATAAATGTCCTCTTGGAGGTTATTGCTGTATTCTGTATAAGAAAACATGTTAAAGGTATGATTTATTATAGAACTATGTATCAGTGTGTTTTGAGTAAGTTAATGTTATTTCCCAGTTGTGAGTACAAAGTCCAGGAAATGTAGTCCACCTGTTGACATTTCTTTGTCAATAAACCGTCTGCCAAAGAATTCTGTCACCTAATGGTAACATAAGCACAGGACTATTTTTTAAAAATCTTTAGTCCAAAATTGAAAAACAGGATTGAGAGTCATTTCACATTCTCTGATTCTCAAAATTCAGAATTATGCATTCTATTTCCACAGAATGCTGCCCAGCCCAATACTTTTTCTAAGTGCTTCATCTCATTTTAACATTTTAGTGAAAGTTCTGACTTCATTCCCTTCAGAAAAGTCTTGTTTTTGTTTGAATGCAATAGAGATGACTGTCCGCAACATTTTCTTGACACACAATGTCATATACTACATAACGCAATAGAACTTAAGGCATTATACCTTTTTGAAAGTGAAAATAGTTACCCTTTCTACTTTTGAAATGTATAAAAATCTGATTTTGTAGTAGATTACGGGAATGTGAAATTTATGTAAAGCGAAGCAGATATATTTGTAGAATTCACTGAGCCATTATTGTACCTTATTTTTTCTATATGCTGGGTCTTTCCTGGGTAAGAGGTGAAATGCCCCCTGAATTAAAATGTGGGACACTTTCCTGTCTTAATGAAAACATTCACCTCATAGAGACTTGTAATTATTTTCCTGGAAAATTTGCTTAACTTGATTGTCTAGAGAATGGTTTCATTTTTAGTGCACTAATAATCGGTTTTACCTAATGAGTTAATTGGTCCTCAGTGAATCCTATGTTAAATGTAAGAATGTCTTAGATAATTCTTCAAAATACATAAACTGGAATATTTAATGTGTTATAAAGTTCTTATATGTGTAAAATATATTCACATATGTATATTTCCTTACGCAAGCAGTAGGCTTCTCGCATCTGGAAAATTTCTCCATTTGTTCTTGAAGCTAGTATTTCAATGAGGCAATTCTCATCAGTGCCTACTCCCTAGAGAAAGGAAAAAAGAGATAAATGTAAGGATATTTTTATTGGAAGTAATAGTGTACCTTTTGTACAAGAAAGGGATACAGCATTTCCAGTGTTTTGAGAGGTGGCAGGGAAAGGAAGTGGTTTAGGATGAAGGCAGGCACAATCTTAGTTTCAGCTTTGCCATTTACTACCTATTTGACCCTGAAGAATTAATATTATCTGAAGGAAACTGTTTCTTCATTTAGAATAAAACAGTATGAGCATTTCTAAACAATGTGGAGAAAGACATGTTCAAGCAATGCTCATGGCATTGAGCATTTCCATTTGCTGTTGGAATGATATTTGATATTCCATTTGCTGCTGGAATATTAATTCTTTAGCAAGCTGACATTAGAATACAGGTTTTCTAATTTGCCGAGAATATTTTAGGGACCTGTGCCTGCCTCTCTAGATGTGGAATTTTGTACAATTTGCATAAATATTTGGATGGATGCTTTCTGTGGTCTCTTGCAGACACATGGATATATTGGTCTGTGAAAGAGATCTTAAAGACAATACACCTTTTTTAGGAAAGCCTCAGAAATCCTTAGCATTCTATGAATTATTGATAAAACACACTTGTTTAATCAAAACAGCAACATATAAACATATAACTTTATTTTTTAAATAATTTTTAGACATAATTTTGCAAGAGGTAGGAATTGACATGTAACATGTGTTAAAAGCGATTAGTTAAAATTCATATAATTTTTGTACAATGCCTATTTGGATCAGTAAATGTGATGGCCAAAATCCATGTCCTTTAATTTTTTTCCTGTTGCCTCTTTTCTGTCACACATTGTTCACAGATTGTGGTAATCTGGTCATTGGCAAGCATCGTACTGGAATGATTTCAACAGTTCTGCAGGTGTTTAATATCTGCATTTGGAAAGAAGTAAAGCCAAGGCCCTCTTTGTTCCCTGTACCTAGCCAACAAAATCTGTAACAAATCCACAGTCAACTTATTTCATGGAAATGACTTTCCTGTAAGAAACACTGATTCTAATTCTTCCAAATTAAGATTTTTATACATTTGAGCAAAAAAAAAAATGTTTCTGTAAAGAATGAACTTCAGGTCATAAAAAGAAAATATAAAGACATCATCTATATATTGTCCCTGATTCAATATCTTCTTTTGACTTAATCAAATTTTTACAAATAATGTAACAAGATTCACATCATTTTTAATACATTATCCTCAATATAGGAATACATGCTCAGGGACAAATCTGAATAGCCCTGGAGGCTTGTTCACTTTTCCTTGTTGTAGGTCAGCACTGGGGCTGGCTCAGTAAGTTTGTGACTTTGTACAACAAAAGAACAGGCTGATCCCAGCCACTCAGCCCAGGAGGCTCCACCTTCCTAACAAGGCCACTGCCCTTGACCACAACATTTCCATTGTTACATCATTGTTTAGATATTCCCTCCCCTCTCCTTGATCATATAAGTATGTAGGAGCATCACAGGGCAGTTTCCCCTCTACTGAAATACTGGCCTGTACTTGTTACAGGCATATTTTTGGATCAGATCACTACCTTCATGGCATGCCAGAGCTCATGAGCATCATACAGTGGTGGTGGGTACATGAGGCCAGCCATCACATCTTTGAAGTGATCCGAAAGCTGCTCCCTCATATCCCCAATCAGGTCCTGTGGAGGAAAAAGTACATATATTTATTATATGTTACCAAATTTGCAAGAGAAATGAGATAATTGCAGAAAGTCTTTTAATATTTTCTTTTCCATGTCATTTAATAATAACAGCATAACAAGTCTGATTCACATGTATATGTATGCATTACATGAGATGATGAACTTGAAAATTGTTGATTTGATCTCACCCCTGCATGACATAGCATATGCACATTGTAGACATTTGAACATAGAATGATTTTCTTTTTCTGACCCTAAACTCCAACTCCTCTTTTGATCTCATTATGAAAATATGTAAAAGTTAAACTTAAAAACATTTAATTGGGGGTCTTTAGTTTTCTTGTGGAATTACTGAAACATTACTCCTTAAAGAAAATATGCACTTTATTTTATTTTATCATTGCAACAGTCTCTTTTAGCAGAAGTCCCTGGTTATACTATTGCCAAACAGCTTATGTAAATTAATTAAGTAGTCTTAGAACTTTCTTCAAATAACAAGCAATATTATTTTAAATATTGAAAGTCAAACACTTAAAGAGAAATACATGCATACTAAATGTGCTATGAAAACAGACATAAAAATATTTTGCATTTTATTTTACAAATGTAAAGTGGAATTAAAAATATATATATGCTCTTCCTATACAACAACAAACAGGCAAGCCAAGAGCCAAATCATGAATGACTTCCAATTCACAATTGCTACAAAAGGAATAAAATACCTAGGGATACAGCTAACAAGGGAATTGAAGGACCTCTTCAAGGAGAGCTACAAACCACTGCTCAAAGAAATCAGAGATGACACAAACACATGGAAGAACATTCCATGTTCATGGATAGGAAGAATCAATATCATGAAAATGGCCATATTGTTCAAAGTAATTTATAGATTCAATGCTATCCCCATTAAACTCCCATTAATGTTCTTCACAGAATTAGAAAAAAAACTATTTTAAAATTCATATGGAACCAAAAAAAGAGCCTGAATAGCCAAGTCAATCCTAAGCAAAAAGAACAAAGCTGGACGCATCACACTACCCAACTGCAAACTATAATACAAGGCTACAGTAATCAAAACAGCATGGTACTGGTACAAGAACAGACACACAGACCAATGGAACAGAATAGAAAACTCAGAAATAAGACCACATAGCTACAACCATCTGATCTTTGACAAACCTGACAAAAATAAGCAATGGGGAAAAGATTCTCTATTTAATAAATGGTGCTGGGAGAAGTGTCTAGTTATATGCAGAAAACTGAAACTGTATACCTTCCTTATGCCATATACAAAAATTAACTCAAGATGAATTAAAGACTTAAATGTAAAACCCAAAACTATAAAAAACCTAGAAGAAAATCTAGGCAATACCATTGAGGACATAGGCACAGGCAAATATTTCATGATGAAAACTCCAAAAGCAACTGCAACAAAAGCAAAAATTGACAAATGGAATCTAATTAAACTAAAGAGCCTCTGCACAGCAAAAGAAACTATCATCAGAGTGAACAGACAGCCTATAGAATGGGAGAAAGTTTTTGCAATCTATCCATGGGACAAAGGTCTAATAACCAGAGTGAGTCTAAGAAGAACTTAAGCAAATTTACAGGAAACAAACAACCCCATTAAAAAGTGGGAAAAATATGAACAGACACTTCTCAAAAGAAGACAGACGTGCAGCCAACAAACACATGGAAAGAAGCTTAACATCACTGATTATTAGAGAAATACAAATCAAAACCACAGTGAGATATTGTTTCACCCCAGTCAGAAGGGTGATTACTAAAAAGTCAAGAAACCACAGATGTTGGTGAGGTTGTGGACAAAAAGGAACATTTTTACACTCTGGGAGTGTAAATCAGTTCAACCGTTGTGGAAGACAGTGTGGTGATTCCTCAAAGACCTAGAGGCAGAAATACTATTTGACCCAGCAATCTCATTACTGGCTATATGCCCAAAGGAATAAAAACCATTATATTAATATTATAAAGATACATGCATGTGTATGTTCATCGCAGCACTATTCACAATAGCAAAGATACATAATCAGCCTAAATGCCCAATGATAGACTGGATAAAGAAAATGTGGTACATATATGCCATGGAATACTATGCAGCTATTAAAAAGGGATGAGATTATGTCCTTTTCAGGGACATGGATAGTTGGAAGCCATTATCCTCTGCAAAGTAACACAAGAACAGAAAATCAAACACTGTATGTTTCACTTACAAGTAGGAGCTGAATGATGAGAACACATGGACACATGGAGGAGAACAACACACACTGGGCCTGTTGGGGGCGGGGGCAAGCAGGGAGGGAGAACATCAGGAAGAATAGCTAATGGATAATGGGCTTAATATCTAGGTTATAGGTTGATAGGTGCAACAAACCACCATGGCACATGTTTACCTGTGAAATAAACCTGCATATTCTGCACACGTATCCCTGAACTTAAAATAACATTTGAGGGAAAAAATATATATATACTCAATTTATTTTCTGTAGGGTTACCAAGAAATCTGAACGGTGTTTAAAATGGTCTCTCACTAAACTGTGTAAAGCATATTCAGTTTTACTTAAAAACATGCAATACTTTGGTTCTGAGGTGGTTCAATACTGGAATTCAAGTAAAAGATTCCACATTGAAATAACTACAAAATAGTCCTAATTTTCATTTTATTATTTGGCATAATCCAACACCACCTTTCATACACTGTGGATTTTCTTTTTTAGTAGATAAAAGCATTATAACAAGAGAGAAAATACAAAATACCAATATTGGAAGTGTAAGAGTTATGTGTATGTATACTGTAGACACTAAGGGGTAAAAAGAGACTATTATAAACAAATTTCTGCCACTATATTTTAAAATTTAGTTGAAATGGACAAATTCCATGACAAATACAAATTACCAAAATAGGCTCAAGCATAAATAGAAAATTTAGATTTCCCAATGTTAATTAAAGAAATTGAATTTGTAGTTAATGCTCCCGCCTATCTCTAGACCCAGGTGGAATCACTAATGTAATCTATCAAGCCCTTATGGAAGGGGTAAAGTAAATCCTATACAAAATATTGAAGAAATTAGTGGATGATAGAAGATTTCTCAATTTACCTTATCTGGCCAGTATTGCTGTAATACAAAAATTAAAATAAAAACTTCATAAGAAAATTGCACACTGATATCCCTTATAAACCTAGACACAAACATGTGTATTCAAATATTTATAAAGCACATCTAGTAACACAGAAAAAGAATGACACCTAACGAGCAAGTAGGGTTTATCCCAGGAATGCAAGGTTGGTTTGCATTTGAAAATTAATCAATGTAAATTTCCATTTTAGCAGTATAAGGAGGAAAGCTATATGATGATATCAATAGAAGTAGCGTGTTAGTCCACTTTGTGTTGCCATAAAGAAAAACCTGTGGCTGGGTAATTTACAAAGAGGTTTAATTGTCTCATGGTTCTGCAAGCTGTACAAGAAGCATGGCACCAGTATCTGCTTCTCATGAGGCTTCAAGAAGCTTACAATCATGGCAGAAGGCAAAGGGGGAGCAAGAGCTGGAGGGAGGAGCTGCCAGGCTCTTTAAGGGGAACATATTACTCATGGAAAGAGCTCTTCATGAGGAATCCGCTCCCACGACCCAAACACCTATCTTCAGGCCCACCTCCAGCACTGGAGATCACATTTCAACATGACATTTGGAGAGGACACATATCTAAACCAACTAATGTAGCAAAAGCATTTGAGAATATTTAGCACATAATCATAATAAAAAAATTCTTAGCAAAGAAAGAAGGAATCTTTCTCAAACTGATAGAGGGCATTTACAAAATTTCTACAGGGAAGAGGATACCAGTGAAAAACTAAATGCTTATCCTCTAAGATTGAGAACAAGGCAAGGATGTCTGCTCTTACTGATATATTCTATTTCAATTTGTACTAGAGCTATATACTTAAAAAGAAAAGCCAAAACTAAATCTTCTAGAAGAAAGTACCAGAACAAATCTTTGCCACTTGGTGTAGACAAAAAATTCTTACATGATACATAAAAGAATAAACAATATATGAAAAAATGATGAATTTAACTTCTTTGAAATAAAAACCTTAAATTTTTGTAAGGAACTTTGAAGAAAGTAAAAGAGAACCACAGTTGTCACTTCACATATTTGACAAAAGATTTGTGCCCAGAAGATACAAGAATCTCTTAAAACCCAGTTAAGACATTCTGATGAAAACATGGACAAGACCTTTCAACTAGAACTTCACCAAATAAAACTTACAAACTGGGAATAAGCCTGTGGAATGTTTAAATGTTTTCATGCTTAAAACATTGGTCATGACACTAATGGAAATTAGAACCATCATGAGATACCACCACATATTCTCTAGAGCAGCTAAAATTAAAAGACTGATAATACCAGGTGTTGGTGAGGATGTGGATCATTTGGAACTGTCATCACTGATCAGAATGTAATATATTGCAACCACGTTAGCAAACTCTTTTGTAGTTTCTCATGAGTTTAAACATATATTTAAAAACAATCCATCAAATGCATTCCTATTAACCAACAAAAATGAACATTTATAAACCCAAAGAACAGGAATATTTATAGCACATTTATTCATAATAATCCCAAATTGAAAATGAATGTCCATCAACAGGTGAATGAATAAACAAATATTGGTATATATATGCACTAGAAAAATAGCAATAAAAGAATACACATAGCTTCACAAGTGAACCTTAAAAACATTATTCTGAGAAAATGAATCTAGACATAAAAGAGCACATATGACATGATTACATTTATATTAAATTCTAGAAATAGCAAAAATTCATCTATAAGGACAAGTAGAAAGCAGATCAGTGGTTTCTTTCAGCAGGAGGATGTCAGGAGATGGGCTGCAAAGGAGCAGACACAAAGTCTGGAGGTATTAGAAATGCTCTATACTGGCCGGGCGTGGTGGCTTACGCCTGTAATCCCAAGACTTTGGGAGGCTGAGACAGGTAGAGTCAGGTCAGGAGTTCAACACCAGCCTGGCCAAGATGCTGAAACCCTGTCTCTACTAAAAATATAACAATTAGCCAGGGGTGGTGGCAGGCGCCTGTAATCCCAGCTACTCGGGAGGCTGAGTCAGGAGGATCACTGGAACCTGGGTGGCGGAGGTTGCAGTGAGCCGAGATCATGCCACTGCACTCCAGCCTGGGAGACAGAGCAAGACTCTGTATCAAAAAAGAAAAAAAAATATAAAGAAATGATCTATACCTTGATTGTGTTGTGTTCAAACTGTATTAACATAAATAAAGTTTATTTTATAGAAATTGTACTCAATATTGTGAATTTTTAATTTTAAAATGTTATTTTGGCATCTATAATGTATTTTCAAAGTCTTCAATTTATTCACTACTTTCAAATTTATATGCCATACCACTAGATCACTGGTTTCAAGTTATTTATCAGGTAATTTAGTAGTTTTAGCATTTTTTCCACGCTAGTGTACCTTAGAAAAAATATGAACTTCATCATTAATATTGGTGCCCTAGAGGAATGATTTTTTAATAAGCCTGAGGATAGAGGTGACATGAGAATCCTAGGTAAGAGGAAGAGTTTGTAAAATTATTCAAAATTAATAGAGTCTCCTGTTTGGAGGCCAGGTGTTTGTCCCTTTACTCCAGCCAAACATCACCAAGATGGATAAAAACAAGAAATAGGGGCCGGGCATGGTTGCTCATGCCTGTAACCCCAGCACTTTGGGAGGCCGAGGCAGGAGGATCAGGAGGTCAGGAGATCGAGACCATACTGGCTAACACAATGAAACCCCGTCTCTACTAAAAATACAAAAAATTAGCTGGGCATGGTGGCGGGTGCCTGTAGTTCCAGCTACTTGGGAGGCTGAGGCAGGAGAATGGCGTGAACCTGGGAGGCAGAGCTTGCAGTGAGCTGAGATCCCGCCATTGCATTCCAGCCTGGGTGACAGAGTGGAGACTCCGTCTCAAAAAAACAAAACAAAACAAAACAAAAAACAAGAAATATGCACTTAAAAAGCAATGTGGTCACCTACTATATATATAAAATTATATATTATATAGTATATATAATATATACTATATAATATATAATATAATATATATTAATTATATTATATATACTATATAATATATTATATAACATATATACTATATAATATATTATATATTATATATACTATTATATATAATATAATATAATATATACTATTATATATAATATATACATTATATATAATATATACTATTATATATAATATAATACATATTACATATAATATAATATATATTATATATAATATATAATATATAATATAATATATATAATATATAATATATATTATTTTTATATATAATATATATAAATATAAATAAATATAATATTTATATATAATAAATATTATATATAATATATATAATATATGATATATAATATATAATATATAATATAATACTATATATAATATATTATATATAACATATAATATAAATTATGTATAATATATGATATATCATATAATATAATATATGATATATCATATATTATATATAACATATAATATATGATATATAATATAATATATGATATATCATATATTATATATAACATATAATATATGATATATCATATATGATATATTATATTATATATGATATATCATATATCATATATAATATATCATATATTATATATTATATATAATATATAATATATGATATATCATATATTATATAATATATAATATATGATATATCATATATTATATTATATAATATTATATATTTATAATATATTATATATTTTATAATATATAATTATATATAATATACTATATAATGTATAATTATATATAATTATATATATTTATAATATATAATTATATATTATATAATTATATATATTTATAATATATAATTATATATTATATAATTATATATTTTATAATATATAATTATATATTATATAATTATATATTTTATAATATATAATTATATATTATATAATATATAATTTATAATTATATATTATAAAATATATAATTCATAATTATATATAATTATATATAATATAATGTATAATATAATATATAATATATAATACATTCAATATAATATATAATACATTATATAATATATAATATATTATATATAATGTAATACATATAATATAATATATATATTACTAAGGGCCAACAAGAGAGGCAATATAAGGGCAAGGCTTTGAAACTTACAGAATTGTACGAATGTATAAATTAGAGATATTATTCATAAAATGAAGGTTCGTGGAAAGCGTAGTTGTGAGGTGAGCTTTGAAAGATAAAGTGGGATTTGATCAGGCAAAGGCTTAGGAGATACCAACAATAAATAATGTTTCAGGACAGAGAAGGTACTGTTCTGGGTAGAGTGAAACGTGCCTGTGAAGTATACAGCTAGCCTTCAGTAAATGTTGGGTTGATTTGAAATCTGAATATTTCAAAAGAGACTTTGGATGTCCTTGTAGTGCAAAGGGTATACCATGAGGCCCTAATAATGGAAAGTTGAGTAGGCCAGGCAGAAGAATGTGATGATTATCATAACAACTAGCATTTACTGAATACTTAATATTTGTCAGATGGTATTCTGAATATTAGAATAACTGTAATAATTTATTACAACAACCCTGTGAGTTAGGAACTGTATTCATTCCACTATGTAGATAAGAAAATCAGGCACACAAAGGTGACATAGCTAGCACCATAGGAAGCCACTAATTATATGCGACCAAAGTGATGAACATAGCAAATAGGTGGTACCTGTGGCACATTTTAGGCATTTTAAAATAAATCTTGTGGCAATGCGTTGAAGGTTTGAATGCAAATGGATCAATTCAATATACTTTTATCTCTACAGGATAGTGGCACTTGACAGTTGATAGAAAGGTAGAAAAATTAAAATGATCATCTCTTCCATGGGCCTTCTTCTATCCCTAAGTGAAATTGATTACTTCCTGGCCACCACTGCTTTATCTTTGCGTTTATTATATTTCAGTGACCACATTATATGATAAATATATGTGCATATTTCCCCCAAAAGTCTATCAGGACATGGACTTTCTCACAAATTCTTCAAAATTCAGCATCTAGCTCTAGCAAAGTACTGAGTGCACAAAATATGTGGAGTACAGCTTATAAATAATACATACATGAATGTATAAGCAAATGAAAGAATAATGGATGAATGTGGATAAAGAAAAACTTGGTAAAGGATAAAAAAGGCAATGTTCAAGCTGAAGACTATGCAAGCATTGCAAAAGTTTGTTATTTAACCTTTAGTCACATTTATTTGATCACTACTCCCACCCTACACATGTATCACAACATATTTCTTCCCTTTACATATGATATTTTTGTACTAATGCTGAATTGTAGACTGAGATTAGTAGTGCCAGTAGATGGCGCTTGTATCTTTGTTTTCAACTCAGAGGCACGCGCGCGCGCGTGTGTGCGTGTGTGTGTGTGTGTGTGTGTATACATAGCTATAGTTACAGTGAACTAATTTTGTAAAAAAAAAAGAAATAATATAATTTCAGGAAAATAAACAATATCAGATATCATCTAATGTTCGAATGTACAGGTTCTGGAGGTAGGGTTTTTAGGCTTGAATCCTCACAGTGCAAAATACCAGCTAAGAGATTCTAAATATGTTCCTTAACTTCTTTGTGTCTGTTTCACAATCTGCAAAGTGAAAATAATCACAGCATCTGCCTCGCAGAGTTGATATAAATGTTAAAAGATTTAACTCAGGTAAAATTCTGAAAATATTTTATGGCATATTATAGGCATTCAATATATGTCTTTCCAACCCCACAAAACCTTAAGTAACTTGTTGCAAATAAAACATGATTAGTTAGGTTGTTTCCTTCTCTACCGTCCCCCATCTTTGTCTGTCTCTCTTCACCTCACAGTTTTCCCGTATTTTTTGCAACCTTTACTATATCCCAAGCTTGTCCAACCTGTCTTATTTTGTTGTTGTTATTGGTTTTTTTTTTTGTTTTGTTTTTGTTTTTGTTTTTTTTTTTTTTTTTTTGCTTTAGGCTTTTAGCAGCTTGAAGCCATGGTTTTTAGTTTCTCTCTCTAGTGATAAGCAGAAAAGAGGGATGGGGAAGGCCCTTTCTTGGCCCAACCAGAAACAGAAACTAAGAACCCATGACTGTATTTTCTCCTTGGTTACCCCTGCTATATCCGATTGTCAATGGATTCTATTGTCTGCAACTTACAAATCTATCTAGAAACTGATGAACTGTTACTACTTTTACTGCTACGATCTTTACCCAGGCCACCATCATCACTCTCCTTTGTTAATATAATAGCCTCTGGCTGGGCACAGTGGTGCATGCCTGTGTTTTGGGAGGCTGAGGCCGCCAGATTGCTTGAGTCCAGGAGTTCAAGACTAGACTGGGCAGGATGGCGAAGCCCCGTCTCCACAAAAAATGCCAAAAACTCGCTGAGTGTGGTGGCATGCACCTGTAGTCCTAGCTACTTGGAGGCTGAGGTGGGAGGATTACCTGAGCCCGTGAGGGTGAGGCTGCAGTGAGCTGTGATTGTCCCGTGGCACTCTAGCCTAGTGACTAACTGTGAGACCTTGTCTCAAAAACAATAGATATATTGTTTATATATATAATATAGATATTATTTATATATTAAATATTAAATAAGCCCTATGAGTTATATTTTATTTACATAAAATATATTTTATATAAATAGAATTGCTGGGAGGCGATACATATATATATATGTAATTTACTTATTTATTATGTATATATAATAGCCTCCAAGCGAGTTTCCCTTCTGTCCTTGTACCTTGCAATCTCCTTCAACAACCTTGAGAGTGTGATCCTGGGAAAATAAAAATCAAATTAGTTACTCCTCTGCTCAAAATGTTTTCTCTCAAGCCACACTCCAAAATAAACTATACCATTATTTTATACACTTGATCTTAGAAGAAAATGAACACTCAGTGTTTTATTCCCATGTAAATGACAAAGTCCTTACATGGTCAACAAGATACATAATATCTTCTTGGTAACTTTGACTTCATCACCTACAATTCTCCTTGCTCCTGATTTCTCTTGCTCTGGCTACAGCGGGCTTCTTTCTGAACCTGGAATAGCAGATCTGTGGGAGTCAGGGCCTTTACTTTTGCCCTTCACTGTGCCCTTAATGTTCTTCCCCTAGGTATTCACAGGGTCCACCCCCTCTGCCTTCTTAGTGAAGCCTGCCCTGTTTATCCTGTTTAAAATTACACCCCATCTCCCCACACTTCCTGTATTTCTTACCTGGCTTCTGCTTTTTTTCCAAAGCATTTATTGCCTTCTATGCATGATCTCTCCCACCCAGGTGGAATAGGTAGAATGTAAGCTCCATCATGCAGAGCTGTTGGTCTGTTTTCTTCACGGCTATTTCACCAGCCCATAGAACTGTGCCTGTTACATAGTCGTCACTTACAATATAGGTACAAAATGAATGAGTGAATGAAAGAGTGAATGAGGACTACTTGTAGTTCAACAATTATTTGTTTGGAGTCATTCTTGGCAATTTGAACATAAATAAGTGAAGGTCCTTATCATCAAGCAGTTTTCTTCAGTGGAGAGAAATACAGGAATTACAATTAAATTACAATACAAAATTTGGTAAGTGCTATAGTAATGGGAATAGCATGCTATTATCAGGACACTGGAAGGAGGTGTTACTTTCAGTTGGGAAGATAAATATCGAATAACATGTTTAAATAACTGAACATTACAAGTTCAAAGTGGAGCCTTCAAATAGGTTCTCTAATTAGAGTATTAAATTCTCACTAGGATTTATATATATATACACCACTTTTCAAATGCAACCTTTGCAGCGTGACTTTCCCCAGCTGGACTGCCTCTGCTTTCCTGTATTCCGAAGACTTGCCCTAAAGCAGACTCTGCTGGAATCACAGCTTGGCCTTACATTAAGCTAATGAGTACTTGCTTTGCAAATTGAGCTGTTCTGTGTTGCCAATGAAACTGCAGACTACCCTTGCTGCAGCTATTCTAACCACTCCATTTAAATTAAAAATAAAATGGCATTTTCTTATTTCTTATTCGTCTTACCTTTATCTTATTATGGATAAACAGGGGCAAGAAATAGAAGTAAGACTAACATCTTTCTTGTCTGAATATGCTCAGGGGAATAGTTTCATATGCTTTTCACTTATATGGCTTTTTCTATTATTATTTAAAATGTTCTTTGCTGTTTAAATATCAATGATGCATGCTGTATAAAGTGAAATTTAGAATTTATCTTAATTCTATCTCCCTCCCCCAGTGGTCACTATGTAAATACTTGCATCATTTTATATTATATTGAAAAATTAAAATGAAATCCTAAGTCCCTCAACTGACTGGATGAACCCCTTCCTGGCCAAGGGGGCCCCAGAGCAATCTTGAAAACTGAGTTCCTAGCAATGATGGGATGGAATTTAGAATACACCTTATGGTACCCCCTCCCTAGCTCACTGCCTTTCTTTCCTAAGAGTTAACCAGAAACCAGCCCTTTGGAAAGACTTACTCCACCCCTGATATCAACCAACCCTCTTACACTGCCTCTCCTTTTTGTGGTTTAGACAAAACAACCAGCCAGCATTCTTTCCTGGCTAGAGACCACTGACCGCTTAGTGGTTCTGGCCAGTCTATGGAGGATGTGCAGTGAGGGTTTTCTGTCACCTTTCAGTGTCAGAGGGCTGAAAATTCCACCCTCGCAACATGCTAACACCACCATGTTTTGAACGTGGGTCCTGTGGAGAGGTATGAAGCTTAACTGCGCATGTGCGTGTTTCTCCTTTCATAAATATTCATGACTCCTATAGCTTATTGAATATGTATATTCAGCCACCCTGTTCTGCATAAATTTCTGTCTTATTCTTCTGGCTATCAAAGTGTCTGTTTCCAGTTTTCGGCAGGAGACCATGCTTCCCAGCCTGTCAGAATGGCCACCCTGCAGGCTGCAACCTTTTATAAAACATAAAGCTTTCTTTTCCAAATTTATGAACCTTGTTATTCTTCAGCTGACAGTATTATAAAAATGTTTGTGCAAGTTGCTTCGTCACTTTGCAGTGGTAAGAGAATATTCTTTCGAATAGCTTCATTTTACAGATATTTTCGCAGTTTACATAATTATTTAATTTTCAATGAAATTTGGGGTTTTTTGTTTGATAATAATGATAATACTTTGGTCTTCTAGACACACATGGTATATTAAATCTAAACTCTCCCCTTTCAAATACCTGATAAAAAGTAACAGAAATACTTTTAACAGTATACATGATTTCAGAAGAAAGAGAAACCGCTTGATGTAAAAATCAGGAAAAAATGAAAACCAGAAGATAAGCAAGTGAGCTGACCTTGGAGACGATCCTGCAGGTGACTGGGGAAAGTAGAGGCTGGTTTTGAGAGCTATTTGGTTTAGGCTTTAGTGCCTAATTTCGGGCACTGTATGAGGAGAAGAGAACATTTACTGGGCAATGTAACACAGGGAATCAAGTCTGAAATCTCACATATGAGGTTGCTATCCTCAAAGGGTTGTATCCTCAGTAGCAGCGTGAACTAGAAGAAAAATATTATTCAGCATTGAAAGATTGGCAGAAAGCTCACGCTCACCACTCATTGCCTAGGCTTTGAGTAGGAGAACATTTTCCCTGATAATCTGAAACAATAGACCTGTGCTTTCCTGAGGCTTGAAGTTCAAATTTATTTAACTCATATGAACTGAGACCTCCATGAAGAGAAATCATCATGAAAGCTGATCTCAAACTAGTGATTCTCATGGAACAGAAGAAGCAAATGCAAAACCAATCTTCAGAAATTCTCTGACACTCCAGAACAGAAAAAGATTCTCCCTAAAGAAACAAAAAACAAGACCCATCTCCTAGGTGATATAGTGGACTCTGCAACAATCAGAATTGAAACCCCATGAATTTGAGATCATTAATAACAATCTGAGGGAATACTATGAAAAAAAGTTAACAGACTTTTTAAAGAAAGCAAATAAAATTCTAGAAATTAAAAACTAAAAAGAGTAGCTAGTAAAAAACTGAAAATGAAATCAGCACATTGGGAAAATACATTTTAAAGTGACAAAAATATTCTACATATGTGGACAAGAAATATATGGTATTTATATGGTAACATAAAGTTAACAGACTTGAAAGGGTGAATGAGACGGACAGACTTTGGTCTAAAAGGATTTACAGTAGGAGAGAATGTGGACAATGCTGGAGAGACACTATTTCCAGTCTTCCAGAATACGTGAATCCTCAGCTATTTAGACAAAAATGTACAAGCCTGTTGACTACCACAGTGAAACTATAGAATACCAAAAATAAAGAAAACTATCTTAAAAGCATCCAGAGAATAACAGAGAATCTATAGAAAAAAGGATCAAAACAAACAAAATAATACCTCTTGATGTCAGAAGAGTTTTCTCAGAAGTGTCGATAAGGGCCAGAAAAAACAAAAAACAAAACTGAAGTTATATTTGCAAAGATGTAGGGGAAAATAACTAGAGTTCCACCCAGAATTCTATAGCTATCTAAACTAATATCTAACAATGAGGAAATAATAAAAATATTCTCAGGGAAAGATTGAAATAATTTAACATTTATTTGTTATTTCCAGAAAAAAAGGAACTGCTAATGAATGTCCTTTTGAAAAAAAATCACATCGAAATCAGAAACATAGAATTGGGTATTAGAAGAAAAATGTACAAATAAATTAAGAATCACAAATAAAACTAAAGAAACACTAACTTATACAATGGCATAATAATGACTAATTTGAGGGAGTATAAAACAAGGTGGAATAAAAATATTGATCAATAATAATATGTGCCTAGAAAATTTCCCCAGCTCCTATGTCAATTACAGGAAAAAACTTGAGGTAAGAGATGTTATTGTGAACATAGGTTAGCAAGTAAGATAGAGTCCATTTCAAAGACTGACTCATTTTAAAAAATTGTCATGGCCAGGCACGGTGGCTCATGCCTGTAATCCCAGCACTTTGGGAGGCCAAGGCGGGTGGATCACAAGGTCAGGAATTCAAGACCAGCCTGGCCAAGATGGTGAAACCCCGTCT
The DNA here is from genome assembly GCF_000001405.40 of Homo sapiens. NCBI lineage: Eukaryota > Metazoa > Chordata > Mammalia > Primates > Hominidae > Homo > Homo sapiens. The sequence continues at coordinate 168,148,351 of NC_000004.12, read as the reverse complement.
CTACTAAAAATACAAAAATTAGCTGGGCGTGGTGGTGGGCACCTGTAATCCCAGCTACTCAGGAGGCTGAGGCAGAGAATTGCTTGAACCCAGGAGACAGAGGTTGCAGTGAGCTGAGATCATGCCACTGCACTCCAGGCAACACAGCAAGATTCCGTCTCAAAAAAAAAAAAAAAATTGTCACATATGGGTCAAACCCAATTCACTCAAAGGACTCAAACCCCTTGGCTGTGACAGAAATAACTGTGGTTCTGACCTCTGGCTCAAGGGCCCACAAAGCTGAAACACATGGGGTCAGTAATGATGAAGTTGCACCTGATGGAGGACTTTGTGTAGGCCAAAACCATTGGAAATTCATTTGATTGAGGTGTGCACAGCCACTGTACAGGATATCAACGTGTCATGCTGACTAATGCAGAGCCTCTGTCTCCCTCATGTCCCCTGAACTTTTCCTTCCCTCTACCCCAACTTCTACTGCTTTCAGGAAAAAAGTGAGTGAGGGTGGGACACAGATCTTCCTATTCCCATTGTGGACTAGGGCCATGCCCATTTGCCTTTGTGGAGCAGGAGGACTCAAGGATATGTGAATCTGTTGGATGCAGGTGTCCATGTCACCATTCTACCTGGACTCATCGGTGAAAGTAAACCCGAATTCAAAGGATGGGTTTGAACAAGGTTTGAAATGGAGAAGGAAAGTCAAAAAACCTTATGATTGGAGACCTTTAGACTAGTATAACTTCCACTGTTGAACGTACTTGGTATTCATGTTTATTTGTTTCTTCTGTGAATGCTCCTAAATACTGGAGGGGATGCTTTCCACAGGAAAACAGCATATGTAAGAAGTGCTACTACCTATGAAGCCCCATAAGCCTAATGATCACTTTCAGGCATAAGTTTCTATGATAGATGGTTTGCTGATTGGAGCCTCTGGCAAGGGAAAGCAGCTTCTCAAAGGCGCCTCTTGATGTTTTAAACTTGCTGCCTTCCTGATACAATTCCAGGTATATCCCCTTTGAAAAGCAGCTACTGGCCTGCTATTGGACTCTTGTATAAACTGAATGCCTGATCCATGGAGGCCTTGTGACCCTGATGCCTGATATTCCCATATTAGGGTAAATCAACTGGGACTCAATGAATGGCAAGGTGGAAGAAACCAGCCAGTCTCACCTGTCAAATAGAAGTGGTACATCAAAGAATCCAGTAGGCCTGGACCCTGCAGTGTCTTGCATTTACATGAAAAAAATGGTAGCTATTCCACTGGGGGAAACTTTTGGGGAAATCAGCAAGCTGCTGATTCAATGGGGACCTCAATCTGTTGCCCTAAATGCCATGGCCTGGTTCACTGGCGATTCAGATAAGCTGAAACCAGATAGTGTCCACTGGGATGCTGTGGCTACTCAACTCAGAAACACCTGTGCAGAACAAAAAAAGAATGATTATTGCCCCATGGGCAGAAATCAAGGCTATTATAGCTCTGAACAGTGTTCCCTTTGATAAACTCAATGTTTTTATTCACTCTTGGGCTGTTAGCCTTCTCTTTGGGTTAACTCTTGGAAAAACACAAACTGCATATTAAACAGAAGTTTCCTTCTGTAGTCTGTGGGGGGAAAAATGCAGGTTCTGATAACTTTTGTGTCCTTCTTGCAGCTGTCCACAGTAAGGGCTGATTCTCTGATGAGACCAACTGGAATCCAGGTGCTGATCCAGCCTGCGTTGCTCAGATCACACAATTGCTACCTGTATTCATCATCAGACTGGACATCACAACACATATACCCTCAAAAGCTGGGCATATGGTAAAGCATTCTATGTTTCTGACGCCAAGGTTACCACCGCTTGCCAATCTTGTCACTTTTGTCAAAGGTTGACTTGCGTTTTTCCTGGCAAAGGAAATCACAATTCATAGGATATTGCCCCTGTAGTTCTGGCAGATGGATTGCATCAGACTTTGATTACCTCATAGAGTTCTGTAGGTCCTCACAAATGATAACACTTTTTCAAGTTACAATATTGCTGTTTCAGGTCAATCAGCTGACTTCCGCCACATCACTGTGGCCCATGAAAATAATCTGTGCCATGTTTTTGGCTTTCTAGACTACTTGAAATCTGACCATCATGCAGTTTTATTAAAAATGCCACTCAAGGCCAGGCATGGTGGCTCATGCCTGCAATCCCAGCACTTTGAGAGGCCAAGGCGGGTGGATCATCTGAGGTCAGGAGTTCACGACCAGCCTGGCCAACATGGTGAAACCCCGTCCCTACTGAGAATACAAAAATTAGCTGGGCGTGGTGGCATGCACCTGTAATCCCAGCTACTCAGGAGGCTGCTTGAACCTGGGAGGTAGAGTTTGCAGTAAGCCAAGATCATGCCACTGCACTCCAGCCTGGGTGACACAGCAAGACTCTGTCTCAAAGAAAAAAAAAAAGCCACTCAACAATAGACTAAGAGTCAAGGTATTTGATGATCTCCACCATCCCTAGGCTTCTGGTATTGCTGCAAATTGATCAGCTCAGTAAGACTTCTGACTCTATCTTCTTGACCTTCATCTGGCCTACTTAGCTTAGTAGGGAAGTTTGGTCCCTGAATTCAGCGGTTCCTGGAAAATATTAACCTCCTTTCAATTTCTTGGAAAATGACCATGATGGAGGAAAAGGGTCATATAAACCTATTTGTAAAATTTGGGATTTCACTCTGACCTTTTCTAAGCATGATGCTTCTTTCTTTCTCTTAATACTGAAAGGATAATTTAGTGGGTAGGGTGTTAGCAAAACTTTGCAAAACTTACAACCGAGGCAATTCCAGTGAAAGAGAGCTGGCTAACTGACTCCATCTTGCTTCTAACCTCCAAGATGTACTTGTTCATTCCTGGTCATACGCCGAACTAGCTTTGGGAGGAACTTAGGTTATAATTTAACTTTGAAACAAAGATGGTAACAGCCCTTTTCTAAAACAAATCCCCTTGGCTGCCTTTGCAAGACTAACAAATTAGCTACAAGATTAGAAATTATGGGTTAGCAGTCTTGCAGCTGGAGGCTGTGACATTCTGAACCTCCCTAAATTGTTCCTCAGGAAAACATCAGTGTTATACACTTGATCTTATCCAAAAGGCCGGGAAGCAATACTACATCAGTATTATAAAACCTAGGGTCAGTGCTTGAGATATTTTGCAGACCCCGTGCTCAGTGGATTAGCTGGCAACACCCAGGTTGATAAGCTGGCTCATCTGGTCTTGCGGCCCCCACCCAGCAACTGACTCAGTGGAGGAGGACAGCTTTGACTCCCTATGATTTCATTTCTGTACCAGCCAATCAGCACTCCACACTTTCTGACCCCCTACCCACTAAATTATCCTTAAAAATCCCAATCCCCAAGTTTTTGGAGAGACTGATTTGAGTGATAATAGAACTCCTGTCTCCTGTACAGCTGACTCTGTGTGAATTAAACTCTATATTCCCCTGTCTTGATAAACCAGCTCTGTCTTGTCACAGGGCAAGGAGAAACCACTGGGCGATTACAATACCAACCTCAGGGTGTCCTAGTTGGTCTATTCTCTGGGTAGCAGCCTAATCAAAAGTGGACATAGGAATTCAAACTCAATTCTGGTTCAGTCACTTGGATTCTCTCTGGAATCTCATCATCCCAGATCATAAGGTTAAGGATCATTGTTGTGGGTACACTATGTGTGGTACACTATGTGTGGGACATAATAGCTTTCCGGAAATTGTATACAAATGGCTTTGTCCCTCTTGCACCTGACCATTCCATATTAAAGTTCTAGGTATCAGTTGGAAATGATAGAAAAAAACTGAAGTTATATCTACTGGAATGGAACAGGTCAATTTTCTAGTGGTAAGTAAGAACAACAACTGGGCGCAGTGGCTCATGCCTGTAATCCCAGCACTTTGGGAGGCCAAGGTAGGTGGATCACCTGAGGTCAGGAGTGTGAGACCAGCCTGGCCAACATGGCAAATCCCTATCTCTACTAAAAATACAAAAATTAGCTGGGCGTGGTTGCACGGTCCTGTAATCTCAGCTACTTGGGAGGCTGTTGCAGGAGAATTGCTTGAACCTGGGAGGTGGAGGTTGCAGTGAGCTGAGAGCGCGGCAGTGCACTCCAGCCTGGGTGACAGAGCGAGACTTTGTCTCAAAGAAAGAAAAGGAAAAAAAAAAGAACAACAATCTTGGCACCTGGAGAGAGGACACTTAATTACACCATTTTGGCCTTAGAAGGCATTCAGGATTGCCTTAACTCACTGGCCAAGACTGTTAGATGATAGGCTTGCCCTGGACTTCCTCCTGTGGGTCAGGTGAGGGGTATCTGGAGCTCTAGCATAGGGCTTGGGGTGAGTGACAGCTTTAGATTAGGCCCTCTTGAGTATTTGACACTTAAGCAAAACCTTGAAAGATGTGAGGGATTTGGCAGTATAGATGTCTGCCCTTGTAAGCCTGAGTGTTTGCTCCATTGAGAACAGTGGGCATTACTGAGAAGCTGTGGAAGAGACAATTTAATAGTCAGATGACCTTGGTTGAAGTTTTACTTTTGGGCAAGTCAGCCCCGGCACTAAATTGCTTAACCAACCATGTGGGTTAAATGAATGACAGAAACCAGCATATTTTAGACCGGATAGTCCCTGTTTTAGATGAAAAATGAGAAAATTAATTGCATCAATGCTGAATTTGAACTTCTCCAAGAATCATTGTCTGTTTATTCTTCTCCCCATTCACAAGGGCATTTCATTGTTCCCTTGGTGTCACTGCATTGTTTTTAACTAGCACTTGCTTTGGTGGGGAAGATCAGAAGTGACCTCATGAATTACTTTGATAAATATGTCAATCAGCGGAATTCCAAGTGGATTTTCAGTTGAGTCTAGGGATTAGTTTCTGCAATAGGTAAGGCAAAGCTGATGAAATTCAGCCACTCTGCACGAATGTAAAATGTCAAGTAAGAAGTGTTCATGGAGCCTGCTGAGAATTGTACTTCACTCAGCAGCTAAGAAAATGATTCTGTCAACTCTTGATTATTCTTGTTAATGAAAATTTAAAATACCATTGATTAACATAGGGGTTAATGTATACATTCTTACCACAGAAAGGGAAAAGTAGCAGGAGATACACCTTGGCCAGGTGGAAGAAGTAGTCCTAAATGTGAGCGGTGGTAGATGTCAAGAAGACCTTACTGATGGTCGGAGAAATTAACCTGGTAGCAGCCAGGGCAAGGAATGAGAGAAAAGAAATCTAGGCAATTGGTGTAGATTCATTTTAACTACAGAGTGGATAATGAAAGGATGCTTTTCCTTTTCTTTAAAAAAAAGTAAATAGGCAGAATATAATGCCTTAGATTCACTGATTCTGTAAATGAAATGCCTCTTCTATGCCAGACCTGGGCTGGGCTCTGGAGGGATAGCAGCAAATATTACAATCCCTGCTTTTCCAGGAGATTACAGTGTTATTGGCAAGATGTAAAAGTGAACCAGCACAACCCAGTAGCATTATGCACAAGGATCTCTTGGAACCAAGCAGGAAACACAGAGTAGAGGGTGAGCATGACAGGCTGGGAAAGTTTACAGGAGCAGTCAAAGCCTGCCTGTGTCTTATTGGAGGAGTTGTAGTTAGATGCACCTTTACAATGTCATTCAATAAACATTAATTAAGCAATCTTGGTATGCTAGACAGACATTTATGGTAAGCTCTAGGATGAACAAGAATCATCCCAGCTTTCAAAGCTTTAGACTGTGGTAGAGTGAAACAGATACAAACAAGCTCTCAGATGTGTCATTAGTTACTGTGAGGAAATTACAAAAAGGATGTATTAGCAGCCCAAGTCTGTTCCACTCGATCTGGTGGGGGGCTGTGAGGTCTTGTGTCTAGTACCTGGAAGGATGATAGGTGTCCAGCCTGTGGTATTGAAATCAGGTTATTGAAGATAGATAAAACAACATGACTGGTGGTGAGGGGCAGCCATGGTTAATTTGAAGAACTACAAGTATAGCAGTTCTATTTGACTGCAGGTGAAAATTGTGTTAGGGAAGGGGAGAGGGATGAAGACGGAGAGCAGGAACAAAGCAAGCAAGGCTTCGTGTGCCCTGGGAAGGCATTAGGTTTATTCCATGTGTAGGAATATGTGTAGGCAGATGGCTAGACATGAGCGGGTTACTCAAGGGGAGCCCTTGAGAAAGGAAAAGCTTGGGAAGTCTTAGGCCCAAGGGACCACCCACCGCTTACATATTAATAGAATCCCTAATGCTGTAGCGGGTGGACAATTAGTCAACTGTGAGCAGAAAGAAAGGAAAAGGAAAAAGGAGAAATTCCTAAGAGATATATAGGCACAAGTACCAATTTGACTGCTGTACGACCTTACTGGGGTGGTGGTAATGAGCAGTGCAGCCATTAGATAGAATTCGTATCCAACCCCTGGCCCACGCATGCGCACTGACTAATAGTAAGGGAGGGCCCCACAAACCTGGGGTGGAAACTAGGCAGGGAAAAGGCAAGGGCTTACGGCAGAAGCAGAAAAACTAGATAATGAAAAAAGGCAGAGACTTGAGACAGAGCAGGGAACGTGAAGAAAAATCCAATGTTATAAAAACCCAACCCAGGACTCTCTGTTGGCCCATTCTCTTTCAGCAGCCTGCTCTGCCTCATCTTTCAGAATGTCCTGTCTCTTTAAATAAACTCTCTGCTCCCTCTTTCCCTTCAAGTAAAGATTTCTGCTGTCTTTGAATTGTCACTTGGCCATTATCTTACTCCCAAGATGATCAAGGACCGAGGATTCCCCATACTTTTTAGTAGCGCATGGAAACACGGATGTTTGTAGGGAGAAACAAGATAAACACTCAAGGATTAAAGTGGCAAAGTGATGTGTGAAAATTTAGATTTTGAGTCATTCTGGCTACGGTTTGGGGATAGACTGGAGTGGGAAGGGACTAGGGGTAGACAGGACCATTTAGGAATTTCAGCATTAGTCTGGGCACAAAATGATGAAGATCTAAATCAAGACTGTGTAAGTCAGTTTAAAGAGAGAAATGTGTGAAGAGAAATAATTTACAGAACTTGCTAATTGATTATAAATGACAAGGGTATTTCAGAGGAAAGAGGCAAACATGACTTCCAGTTTTCCAGGCAGTGCAATTTAGTGTATCAGCCAAGGTTTTCCAGGAGGTATGAATTATTCAGCAAAACTGAGGGTTTAACAAACTCTGAGACTTTATATGTACAGTGAAAAGTTCTTCAGTGGAGTATAAATTCTTTAGTAGATTTTAAATTCCTTGAGTGTAAGTACTTCATTTTAAAATTGTTTTAATCTGCTTTAGCATAGTTTTGTAGAGCTTGATAAAGTAATGTTTTCAGTCTAAATTTAACCTGATTTGTAAAAAGCAAAAATGTATGTAAACCTTTGGGTTAAAAAAAAGTTACTTAAAAATGGCATTTCTTCTCTGGGCACAGTGGCTCACGCCTGTAATCCCAACACTTTGGGAGGCCGAGGTGGGCAGACCACCTGAGGTCAGGAGGTCGAGACCAGCCTGGCTAACATGGTGAAACCCCGTTTCTACTAAAAATACAAAAAATTAGCTGGGCGTGGTGACGCACAGCTGTAATCCCAGCTACTCAGGAGGCTGAGGCAGGGGCATCACTTGAACCCAGGAGGCGGAGGTTGCAGTGAGATGAGATCACGCCATTGCACTCCAGCTTGGACAACAGGAGCGAAACTCCATCTCAAAGAAAAAAAAAAAAAGACATTTCTTATAGCACTATGCATATTAAAACAATGTTAGATTACCAGTGATACAACTTTTATAGTTTTTATATTCTCTTTCAAAAGAAAACTAGTACTGGTGTAGGTGGAACATAGGCTGAGGTAACAGTTTATGTGGAAAAGAAGATATCACTGGTCTTCTACTTTGGCTTACTTCAACTAAGGTCACTACTGATAGTAGCTTTTGGATTATTAATTCAATCTAAAGCTGAGGGATATCTTTTATTTCATCTACTATAGTTGTTCAAAGACTGGGGTTTAGAGGTGGAGTAAATTTACATGGATTAACTCTACTGAGAAAGTTTTATGATAATGTTTCATTGATAAAGCTCAGCTGATGAAGTAATTGTTGTTTCAGGCACTTTTGGCCTGAAGAGTTTTTGTTCTGAATTTGTGGTTTAAATGCATAGCAAAAGCAAGGAATCTTTAATGGTACTTGCTTTGAAATTAGAGTATGATTACTTTAAAACACTATGGATAGTTTTATTGCCTTAAACTATTTTTAAACTGCCATTCTTTTTTAATGGTCTCTATAGCTGCATGCTGGTGAAAGGAAAAGCTGGTAGAGAATTCACTTTGGTTGAGAGTTAGGTGAGGACCTGCAAGGAACTGTAGGAAAAGCTGTTATATTTTGAACTGGTGATCATTAATTTTTTATGTGCCTTCCCTAAAGCTCGCCACAGGGGTGTTTCCAGCACAACACTTTAAGCCTAATTGGACCCACTGGCAATGTAAGTTCATCAAAACTTTTCATTTGGGGACACTGAATGATTTTGGGGAAAGAACTTGTGGTCACTGGTCACTGTGAGTGTGAACATATCTCACATGTATATTTGTTTCATAATATAGATTTTATTCCTTGAAACATGTAAGAGGAATATGAACTGTATCTGACATATAATGATGTCTGAGATATTTGCAATCTGTGAGATTGAAAAAAAAAATACCTATTATCCGTGAGTGTGGTTAGTTCTCAAGAGATTGCCCTAGAAATAGGTCAAGATAAAGTGGCCTTACCCGGCCATACATGCTCTGGTATGCCTCTGCAATCATCATCCTTTGTGCATTGCAGCGCTGAGTCAGAATGTTGATCAGCATGTCTTTGTCACAGTCTGGAAAAGAATAATATTTGAAGATTAGTAAAGTTGCTACTTTGTAGTTGGGAAGAATCCTTTATCTAACGATCATAACCAGTATGCACGCATTATCCCTGATGGTATTTTACAGCAGGGAACAATTTTAACTAAAATTGGAAATCATGTAATGATGCTTGATGAAGCCTGGATCCTTCCTATCTCCTAATTTAGTGCCATTACTTTAAACTAGGCATTGAAGGAACATTCCTCAAAATAATAAAAGCCATATATGACAAACTCACAACCAACATCATACTGAACAGGGAAAACTTTCCCCCTGAGAACAGAAACAATACAAAGATATTTCCTTTCTCCACTCCCATTCAACATAGTACTAGGAGCCCTAGCTGGAGCAATCAGGCAAGAGAAAAAAATAAAAAACACCCAAATTGGAAAAGAGGAAGCCAAACTATCTCAGTTTGCTGATGATATGATCTTACCATCTTATAGAAAACTATAAAGACTCCTCTAAAAGACTCCTAGATTTGATAAATGACTTCAGTAAAGTTTCAGGATACAAAAGCAACGTATGAAAATCAGCAGCATTTCTATACACCAAAAACAATCAAGCTGAGAACCAAATCAAGAACTCAATTCCATTTATAATAGTTACAATAAATAAATAAAATATCTAGGAATACATTTAACCAAGGAAGTGAAAGATCTCTGTAAGGGTAACTACAAAACACTTGAAAGAAATCATAGATAGCACAAACAAATGGAAAATTATTTCATGCTCATGAATTGGAAGAATAAATATCACTAAAATTATCATACTATCCAAAGCAATTTACAGGTTCAATGCAATCACTATCAGCTTATCAGTGTCATTTTTCCTAGAATTATGACAAACAATCCTAAAGTTCATATGGAGCCAAAAAAGGGCCTGAATAGCCAACGCAATCTTACACAAAGAGAACAAAGCCAAAGTCATCACATTACCTGATTTCACACTATACTACAAGGCTATAGTAATCAAAACAGCATGCTACTGCAATAAGAACAAGAGAAAACAAATAACTCCATTAAAAAGTGGGCAAAGGATATGAACAGACTTTTTTTTTTCCAAAAGAAGACATACAAGCAGCCACCAAACATATGAAAAATGCTTAACATCATGAATCAGCAGATAAATGCAAGTTAAAACCACAATGAGATACCATCTTACGTCAGTCAGAATGACTATTATTAAAAAGTTAATGGCCAGGCACGATGGCTCATGCCTGTAATCCCAGCACTTTGGGGGGTCGAGGTGGGTGGATCATGAGGTCAGGAGGTTGAGACCATCCTGGCTAACATGGTGAAACCCCATCTCTACTAAAAGTACAAAAAATTAGCCGGGTGTGGTGGCGGGCGCCTGTAGTCCCAGCTACTCAGTAGGCTGAGGCAGGAGAATTGCTTGAACCTGGGAGGTGGAAGTTGCAGTGTGCCGAGATCACGCCACTGCACTCCAGCCTGGGCAACAGAGTAAGACTCCATCTCAAGAAAAAAAAAAAAAAAAAGTTAAAATAACAGATGTTGGAGAGGATGTGCAAAAAAAGGAATGCTTAAAGACTGTTGGTGGAAATGTAAATTAGTATGATCTTTGTGGGAAACAGTATGAAGATTTCTCAAAGAACTAAAAATAGAACTATCATTTGACTCAGAAATTTCACTACTGTGTGTACATACTCAAAGGGAAAGTAATCATTATATAAAAAAGATATTTGCATCTATATGTTTATTGCATTACCATTCATAATAGCCAAGATATGTAATCAACCTAAGTGTCTATCAACAGATGATTGGATAAAGAAAATGTGGCATATACACACCATGGAACCATGGAATACTACTCAGCTATAAAAAAGAATGAAATCTTGTCTTTTGCAGCAACATAGATAGAATCAGAGGCCATTATCCTAAGTGAAATAACTCAGAAAATGTCAAGTACCATATGTTCTCACTGATGGGTGGGAGCTAAACGAAGGGTACACATGGACATATTGAGTAGGATAATAGATATTAGAGACTCCAAACAGTGAGAGGGTGGAAGAGGGGCAAGGGTTAAAAAATTACCTATTGGGTATGATGTTCACTATTCAGGTGATGGGTACACTAAAAGCACAGACTCCACAAGTATGCAATATATGCATGCAACAAATCTGCACTCGTACCCCTTAAATTTGTAAAAAAATATTGAAAGGAAAATAAAAATCCAATCAAAAGTACAGGGGAGTGAAGAAAATATAATGTCTCTTCAATCAGCTCTTACTCCACTAAAAAAATGGCTCCTTGACCTTTAAGCTGATTAGTGTTTAAATGGGAGCAACATCTGATATTTGGATTTAGATCCCTGCCTGGCTACCCTGCACAACTGTGGGACACTGCTCTCTGCATCCCAGCTGCTCCAGCTCCAGCCTTGGCTAAAAGGACCCCAGATATATCCCAGGCTGCTGCTCCAGAGGGTGCAAGCTGAAAATTGCCAAGGCTTCCACATGGTGTTAAGTCTGTGAGTGCATGGACAGCAAGAGTTGAGGTTTTGGAGCCTTTGCCTAGATTTTAAAGGATGTATGGAAACACATGGATGTCCAAGCAGACATCTGCTGCAGAAGCAGAGCCTTCATGAGGAACCTCTACTAAGGCAGTGTGGGGGAAAAATGTGGGGTTGGAGCCCCCACACTGGGACACTGCCTAGTGGAGCTTTGAGAAGGGGGCCACCATCCTTCAGATCCTAGAATGGTAGATGAACTGACATCTTGCACCATGCACCTGGAAAAGCACAGGGAGTCAACACCAGCCCTTGAGAGTAGCCGTGGGGACTGAGCTCTGCAGAGCCATGGGGGCGGAGCTTCCTGAGGCCTTGGGAGCCCACCTCTTGCATCAGTGTGGCCTGGATATGAGACATGGAGTCGAAGGATATTATTTGGGAACTTTAAGATTCAATGACTGCCCTGTTAAGTTTCAGGCTTGCATAGGGCCTCTAGTCCCTTTGTTTTGGCTGATTTTTCCCCTTTGGAAAGAGAGTATTTAGCCAATACCTGTACCCCAATTGTACATTGGAAGTAACTAACTTGTTTTTGATTTTACAGGCTCATAGGCAGAAAGGACTTGCCTTGTCTCACATGAGACTTTGGACTGTGGACTCTTGAGTTAATGCTGAAATGAGTTAAGGCTTAGGAGACTGTTGAGAATCAGTAATTATATTTTGCAATGTGAGAAGAACATGAGATTTGTGGGGGGACAGGGGCAGAATCATATGGTTTGGATTTGTGTCTCTTTGCAAAGCTCATGTAGAATTCTAATCCCCAGTGTTGGAGGAGGGGCCTGGTGGGAGGTGACTGGATCATGGGGGCAGATTTCCCCCTTGCTGGTCTTCTGATAGTGAGTGAGTTCTCATGAGATCTGGTTGTTTAAAAGTGTGTCGCAATTCCTTTTCCTCTCTTCCTCCTTGTAGGAAGGCCATGTAGGATGTGCCTGCTTCCCCTTTGCCTTCTGCCATGATTGTAAGTTTCCTGAGGTCTCCCCAGCCATGCTTCCTGTACAGCCTGCAAAGCCATGAGCCAATTAAATGTCTTTTCTTTATAAATTATGTAGTCTCAGGTAGTTCTTTATAGTAGTGTGAGAATTGACTAATATTGTGTCTTTCTTGTTGAATAGAGAGATATGGCTTATAATGAACATATATTAAGGAGGGAGGAGTAATAGAGAAGGAAATCATGAAAGTACAAGGCATCTGTGTGCTTCTGAGGGATAGAGTGAACCTGTCATGCTTTTCATGGAACACCTATCACCCTGTCTATCTCCTCCCTAATATAGACTGTTTCTGGTCTGTGTATCCTTCACTTCCTCATGTGCCAACACACCAAGCTAATAGATTGGTTTAGTGCACAACTAGTTTAGATGAATTTTGCAGTCATAGTAGAGTCAGCAATATGACATTAACTTTTCCCTTAGCTTGACTAAAATTTAGATAAGTTTCTTCCCAACTACAGGCTCCTAACCTCCCTTTTATTAGAGCATTTATTTTAGAAAACATGCAATTTTAAATTCTTTCTCTGCCTCTTAGAGATGTAAGTCTCCTCCCAGCCTCTTGCAGTTTGACAACCCAAAATTGTCTTTCTCAGGGATATGGGAGCCATCCTTTTGAAATGTCATCATTGGGAAGATAGAAACTGTATTTCCTATTTCCCAGTGTCTGTGTGAGGACAGGAACCTGACTTTGTTAAGTGCCAATTAGCAATCACAGATAGCCTAATCACATTGACCAATGCCCTCCCTGCCCAACATCCTTTAGTTCTTTCCTACTATCTCACCATACTGCTTAAAAACTCTCTTGCCTTTGTTTCATAGGATTTGAGTTCACTCTCTCTCCCTTCTTGCAATAGTCTTGATCCCTACTGCAGAATCTTCCTTGCTGTTTAATTCCATCTGGTATAATTTTTCTTCAACAAGGGAAGATATATAATGGAGATAAGGAGAAAAATGAATTGAAAAGCTAGAATGTTAAGCAAATCATCTTTTTTGAAATTAAGTCCCTCCTGGATGGGCTTAGGATCACAGGAAGGCTATGAATAAGGTGCTGAAATATCCAGCAAATGAGAACAAGTGTTAAGAATTAACATAGATGACTGTATCACTGAAAAGCAGGGGGAGCATCAGGGTATTTTATGCACAAATGGTCTGAAAGCTGTAACAGGGAGGGAGGAAGGCCTAGAATTGGCTTCAAAGATAGAAATTAATGGCTACTGAGAGAAAAGGCAGACTCCACTGAAAAGGCATAGAGAAAGATGATGTCTGGCTCAAGCCTGGTTAAGACCCTGAACTAAAAGGCAGAAACAAAAAACAAAACAAAACAAAACCAGTAGAGGAATCTGTTAATGGCATGATGGACATTCTAAAGTGAACATATATTTGATAATAAATAGAAGATTTTAAAATTACTTTCTTTGTCTTATTCTTACTATTATCACATTTATGAAATTATTATAGTCTTACTTTTTGTTCTTGTTCTGTTGAGATTATCCACAATCTAGCGCTCTGAATTGCTCTATTAAGTTTTCATAGCAATTCTTGTTTATTTATTCTTCCAGAGATATTTTATATGAATCTCAATAATTGTATTACAATTTTTAAATTAAAATAACTGTAAATTTAGGAATCAATTTTGTAAGTGTTGTCTTTCTGTCACTTACATGATATTTCTGCCAACCTATTATTTAAGGATTTTTCTTCTCTAAAAGACTTAGTAAAGATTTGTGGAGCTTTTTGCTAATGACAAGAAGGTTTATTTTGCTAAAGTTACTTATATTTGCACTTCTATTGATATTCCCAGTTATGTTATTTTTGTTTTATTTCCTAACACATAATTGCTTAATTGAAGAAGTGATACTGATTTTTGTGTTTACTTTGTATCCTGAGAAGTTACTGAACTCTCTTATAATATTAAGTAACTTTTTATTAAACTTGAATTTCTAGATATATAACCTCTTCTTCATATAATCACAACTTTGATTTCTTCTTTGTAATCATTATAAGTTTTTCTCCTTCTTCTCCTAGTGCTTTAGGTCAGGGATTTCTAAATAATTTATCTTTTTCTGATTTTAATGGAAAATTTGGGCATAATGAACCATCATAATTTTATCAAATTTTATTTTGTACAAGTGACTCATTGTATGTGGTATTTATATTCTACAAATTTGCCATGAACACTGAATTAGTAAATACTGAACTATTGTTCCTAGGGAAAATGCAGGGTTAGGTTTCTGTAACCCTGTGGTTACAATATTTTTTGTCAACTGAAATGTCATTTGCATTATGTTTGTTTGCCAATGTCCTTATGAAACAAGCCAGTCTTGTTAGCATTGAAAACTATACTTCCAGATAGCCTTCTCCTGTATAAACATTTAAGAGATATTTTTAAAGCTCTTCTGTAGCCTCCTGATCTACAGAATTTTTCTAACCTGCCACCCAACACTGCTTTCAAAAGAAAGCTGACTGCCTTGATTATTTTTTAAAATTATTAATTTTGTTATCAGTTATAGTCTCAAGAACCCAAAAATTCAGCCATTTTTTCATCTTTTCCATACTTCATAACATAGAATAGATGTTACTTCAGCATTTTCCAAACAGCATCGTGCAGAGATCAATACATTTTCTATTATTTTTTATGGATGTATTATTTTATTAATTCATTAACATTAAACTCATGGTCAACAGTACTATAACTAATTCTTGAATTTAGTTTATGTGACACACATATTTTTTTCTTGAATACTTCTTTTTGTGCGTAGGAACACACTAGGCAGTACTTCAGCACTATGCTTGGGGCCATTTTAAACAGCACAATCACCAAGCAAAGCATAAAAATGCAAAATTGTGTCACTACATAGATTGCATAAAGGACTTATTTACAGCATGAAAGCTAAAAGAAGACGGCAGAGGTCACCTTGTTTGATTTCAACCAGCAATATGCATTCTAGTGACTAAAATTTTTCACCTCTCTGCACATGTCTGCAAATGACCACGAAATATCTGTGCATATTGATTTGGGGGTTATAAAACAATTTTAGTGAGTAGATAAATTTGTAAATATAGCATTTGTGAATAATGAGAATCGACTGTATGGTCAAATAGGTAAAAGTGGCCTCCTAGGCAAGAACATAATTATTACTAAAATTTAAAATTATTCCTTAATTTTTTACTTTTAATTTTTGTGGTTACATAATAGGTATATATATTTATGGGGTACACAAGATGTTTTTATATAGGCATGCAATATGAAATAAGCACATCATGAAGAATGGGTTATCCATCCCCTTAAGCATTTATCCATTGAGTTGCAAACAATCCAATTACACAGTTTTAGATATTTTAAAATACACAGTTATTATTGACTATAGTCACCCTGTTGTGCTATCAAATAGTATGTTTTATTCATTCTTTCCAACTATTTTTTGTACCCATGAACCATCCTCGAGTCCCCAGCAGCCCTCCGCTACCCTTCACAACCTCTGGTAATCATCCTTCTACTTTTTTATGTCCATGTGTTAAATTGTTTTGATTTTTAGATCTCGTAAATAAGTGAGAACATGCAATGTTTGTCTTTCTGTGCCTGGCTTATTTCACTTAACATATGATCTCCACTTTCATCCATGTTGTTGCAAATGACAGGATCTCATTCTTTTTTATGGTCGAATTGTACTCTGTTGAGTATTTGTATTATATTTTCCTTATCCATTCATCTGTTGATGCACAGGTTGCTTCCAAATCTTAGCTATTGTAAATAGTGCTGGAACAAACACAAGAATGCAGATGTGTCTTTGATATATTGATTTCCTTTCTTTTAGGTATATACCCAGCAGTGGATTTTCTGGATCACATGGTATAACTCACTTTTTAATTTTTTTGAGGAACCTTTAAACTGTTCCACATAGTGGTGGTACTAACGTACATTCCCAGAAACAATGTACAAGGGTACTCTTTTCTCCACATTCTTGCCAACATTTGTTATTGTCTGTCTTTTGGATAAAACTCATTTTAACTGAGGTGAGTAAAATTATTTCTTAATAGCACTAAGTGGTCTACAAGAAATCAACATTAAAGACACAGAGAGATTAAAAGTAAAGAATGAAGAATTATATACCATGCAAATGCAATCAAAAGAAAGTTGGAGTAGCTATGTTAATTTTAGACAAAGAATACTTCAAAGCAAAGAAAATTATCAGGAATAAAAGGGTTATTACAAAATGTTAAAGGGGTCAGTTCTCCAAGAAGATATAACAAACCTTAATATGTATGTGCCAAACAACAGAGTGCCAAAAGAGATGAGGAAAAAAATAATAGAATTGCAAAGAGAAATAGAAGAATCCACTGTTATAACTGGGCAATTTAACACCTCTAGAGTAATTTGTCAATTACTCTATAAGTAATTTAAAAATCCAGCAGACAGAAAACCAGTGAGGGTATCATTGAAATGAACAGCACCATCAATCAACTGGATTTAATTAACATCTATAGAATGCTTATTGCCACAAAAGCAGAATACACATTCTTCTCAAGTTACATGGAGCATTAACCAAAATAGACCACATTCTTGACCACAAAACACATCTTAACAATTTAAAATAATAAAAAACATACAAAATATGCTCTGAGGCTGCAATGAAATTAAACTAGAAATCAGTAACAGAAAGATGGCTGGAAAAATCCCCAAATACACACAGATTAAACAGCACACTTCTAAATACACATGAGACTAAGAAGAAGTGACAAGAGAATTTTTAAAAATTTCAAACAAATTGAAAGTAAAAATATGACTCAAAATTTATGAGATGAGCAAAAGCAATGCTTAGAGAAAAATGCATATAGAGAAACAAAAAGAAATCTGAAATCAAGAATCTAAGCTTGCATCTTAGGAAACTGGAAAAAGAAGAGCAAATTAAACCTAACATAAATAGAAGAAAAGAAAGATTAGAGCAATAATCAATGAATTTGAAATTGGAAAATCAAGAGAAAACATCCATGGCACCAAAAGCTGGTTTTTTTTGGGGGAAACATCAATAAAATTTATAGGGCTTTAGCTAGGTTAAGGAAAGAGAGAGAAAGCAAGAGAGGGAGAGAGAGACAGAGACAGAGAGAGAGAGAGATAAAACTTACGAATATCAGAAACGAAACAGGAGCCATTACTACCAATCTCAATGGACATTAAAATCATAATAAAATATTATTAATAACTCTAAGACCACAAATTTGATAGTCTAGATGAAATGGATCAATTTCTTCAAAGACACAACCTACCCAAACTCATAGACAATCTGAATGGGCCCATATCTATCAAAAACTTAAGTCGGTGGTAATTAATAACCCACAAAATAGAAAGCACTAGGTCCATATGGCTTCACTTATGAATTCTACCAAACTTTTAAGAAAGAAATATCAATTTTCTACAATCTCCTTCAGAAATTAGAAGCATAGAGAATGCTTCATAACTCTTTCTACTAGGTCAGCCTTACCCTAATACCAAAACCAGAGAAAGGCACAACAAGAAAAGAAAATTACTGACCAACATTTCTCATGAGCATAGATAGATGCAAAAATCCTCAAAAAGTTTGAAAGTCAGATATAATAATGCATACAAGGCATTATATTTCATGATTAAGTGGGATTTATTCCAGATATGCAAGGCAGTTTCACCATTTAAAAATCAGTTATGTCATCCATTGCATCAACAGGAAAAAGGAGAAAAATCATGTGATTATATCAACAGATGAAGAAAAATCACTTGACAAAATCCAATACCTATTCAAGTTAAAAACTGTTAGCAAACTAAGAATAGAGGGGAACTTCCTTAACTTCATAATGAACGTTTTCAAAAATCCTATAGCTAGCATCATACTTAATGATCAGAAAGATCAGGAACAAGCTGAGATTGTCCACTCTGAATAGCACTGAGCATTTCAAAAAAGATTAATTTTGACTTGTGTTCTCCTTTGTCAAGATTTAGGAATGTAGGTTAAAAAT
This sequence comes from Homo sapiens, assembly GCF_000001405.40. NCBI lineage: Eukaryota > Metazoa > Chordata > Mammalia > Primates > Hominidae > Homo > Homo sapiens. The sequence goes on along the minus strand of NC_000004.12, from coordinate 168,129,960 downwards.
GACTTCGGTTGTCCAGGATCTCACAGGGCTGACCTAGCAATTACACATGTTAATAGATACAAAATAAAAATGGTTATAAGAATGCATGGGCAGGAAAGTATCTTCAAGTGGTGATAAATTGGAAAGTAGACTGTACTATTAGGGAATGTTAACTAATAAGTGTTTCTTTTTATAGATGATGAGTAAATTTTTATACAACTTAAAGCAATTTCTATCAGAGCTACTCACTTTCATTTGTTTCAGAATACGTTTTTGCTTTCAGATTTTTCTAAATAAAACACAGTAGCTAAGAAAAACATTAGTTATTGTCTTTTTCAATAACACTTCGCCAGAGTCATGGAGATGGATAGAACTTTAAAGCAATTTGAGCTGTGTTCATGCTCTGGCATGCTACAGTGGACACCGTGCAATCAAAGCCCAAAACCTCCTGACGTACTTCAGCCTAATACACTGATAAGCAACAAATTATGATGGTCAAAATGAATCCTTATTCTGACCCTAAAATTGCAATGACAGGAACATTGAAACTGGAGCAAAGAAAAACTTTTTGGTGAACAGATTGCTGTGACCCATAGTTTTAAAGCAAAAATTGCACTCCTCAATAAAAAGTTAATTCATAACTTTGTGTTAACTTGTCTTTTTATTGTTCTAGTGATGACTGATATTTTAAAAGGCATGAAAGCATTGCAAACTCCTAAAGTCAGCTTTAGCGAGCATATTTTAAGTCCTCTATTGTTTTCCTATGGGATACTGCTAGTGAATAAAACACACAGATGTGCATTCATGCATACACACACACAGTCAAGCTCCTGTAAAGGCGACCTTGTCTTTAAAGTTAAGAGCTTGCTTTCTTATGAAAGTTTTTGCATGCCTTATGCAAAGATTTCTTTTATGTTGTCTATGTTTGTCTTTATGCTCATCAAGAGTCTTCTTAAAACAGGTTTTATTGTAGGAAACTATATGAAAGTTTAATACCTCCATATGATATCTTAAAAATTATATATATAATATTTTTTTTTGTAAAAGAATCCCAAAATTGTCCTCCCTTCTTCTCTCTCTATATACTTTTTCTAAACTTTAGTATCATTCATTATGAATCACCTCTATGTCAAACTCCAAGCTCTGGGAGTTCACAGTCCAGTCAGCAGGTGAGACAAACATAAGCACAGTGCAAATGAGATTAGGGGAGTGAGAGGTAGGAAGTAAGGTGCCTGGGGGGTTGGCATAGCTGATTGAGCTTGCAGTGCCCAAAGAAGGATTCAGAGAGGAAGGCTCATCTGAACAGATTCTTGAAGAAGAGAATTTAGATGAAAAGTAGACAAGAGAAGAAAATAACATTCCAGGCAGAGAAGTGATTGGGCCAATTTACAGAGATGTGAAAAGCAGAGTCATTTGGGGGAATAGCAAAAAGTTTGATTGACTGGAAGTGGAAATAGCAAATAGCAAATGAAACAAGCTAGAAAACAGAAGCAAAGGTTAAAAAGAATGCTCTATCCTGGATTAAGGTGTTTTAGTGGAGATTTCATTTAGTAGTTAGTGATGAGGCACTTATGGATTTAAGGCAAACATTTTAAGATTAGACTAGCAATTTCTAAAGGCAAATTTGTTCATCATTATTGTCTTTTTATATTATTTTTCTTCTCATTCTACTTCTTTGCTCAGTTTTTTTTTTTTTTGTCTAATCTGTATCTGTGTTTTGTAAGACATCAACTATTTTATACCCACAGTATAGTCTTAAAACAAGGTAAAGCAAAAAATAATCACAATAAAAGATGGTAGAAATAATCAGACTTACCAAATCCTTGGAGTGCTCCTCCTAGCATTTGGGCATCCATTATGGGATTGAAATTGGGAGCTGGGAAGATGGTTCCTTGCACCTGGTGGGAAAATCAATGAGAAAGTGATTGTAATAATTCATGTTAATGTTTCAACATTGTGGCCGGGCACAGTGGCTCATACCTGTAATCTCTGCACTTTGGGAGGCAGAGGTGGGTGGATCACCTGAAGTCAGGAGTTGAAGACCAACCTGGCCAACATGATGAAACCCCCTCTCTACAAAAAATACAAAAAATTAACTGGGTGTTGTGGCGCCTGTAATCCCAGCTACTCAGGAGGCAAAAAAAAAAAAAAAAAAAAAAAAAAAGGTTTCAACATTGTTTTCCAGACAAATGAAAATGAAAGTATATTCTGTGTGTTTAAATTACTACAAAACATACACACAAGGCCTGTTAAACAAACGCCTTACTTGTGTGTCAATTGCAGAGAGAAAATTTGGTTGAGTTCATTTTATCTGTTGGTCTCTACTGTGTTTGCATCTATTATTTAAATAAGAGACTATGATACCAAAACCAATAGTAAAAAAATGGGAGAATCAAATTAATAATATATATCTTCTTGACAAACAGTAAGTATTTTTTTAAGGAATGGAGATTATTTTATAGAAACTGAAAAAGGGTACCATATTGGTGGGATTCGTTTCATTCATATGAATTAGAAATGGTACCTGCTACTACAGCTTTTTTCTGTATAAGGGACCCTAAAATCATATTAGAAAAACATAAAAATAATTGAATTTGGATTATGAGCTTCATAAAAATCCAGGTGATATAGATAACGCAGAGATTATCTAACCAAAGCTCATGGCTGCAGAGGTAAACAGAAAAACTTGACTGACATTCTATCTAAATTCTCTCTCTTGACAATTATAAAATGGTAGAACATTTAAAGCAGGCTTGTGATCCACATGGTGCATTATTTTGGACTGAACCCGTCAGGACTAGGCACCATATAATCACACTCAGCACAATACAGCTGTCAATCAAACTTTATTAAGAAGGGCAGCTCTCCCTGTTTGTTGTCAGTATGCCCAGACACATTGGGGAATTCATGCCTTCCCACAGCAGATGAGTCTTCTAGGCCCTGACATGAACTCAGACATTCCTATTAATTAAGTTAATTAATTAATGAGAACAGGACTGGACCATAATTTCTAGCTAAATGAATATAAATATACTAATATCAAAATATTTGTAAAAGGAATTTGAAGGACTAAGAACTCAAAACTAAGAATTGAATTCAGTTTGGATTCTACCTCACTGATTAATAAATATGAAGTTGTCTATTTGAAGTAGACCAAAAAACATGATGATTGTGATATGTCTATATTTTTATTCTTAGAAGTACAACTAAATTAGTGGAATTCTTATTCTGTGAATTATGCAGATTCTTTCAATCATTATACTTATTATATTTAATGTTTTGCATCAGGAAAACAAAACAGAAATAAATATATCAGACAGACTCATAAGAATTACCTTGGAGAAGAAGGTGTGGGGGGAAGAGCTGGTCCTAGATAAGAGGGTGTAAATTTCCCCCAACCACATCTATGAATGAATAAGCGATCTGGGAAGTGGGACTGCAGTGTTTCCACAGCTGATTGTATATGAGATGCAAAAGATAGAGTTGGAGGTGGTAGCCACAAGGTTACTAAGTAAGAGAGTGATACAATTTGATTTGAGTTCCAGTGGTAACACTTTATAACAATGTAAAGAATGAAACAAAAAAGAAGCAATACAAGTTGCAAGAGTGGGTAATTTAGAATGCCAGTTGAGCTATAATGTAAACCTGAACTGAGGCAAACAGCATGTTTTCAATAAATACAGATTTCTTGGTTAACTAAATGTAATTTAATCTACTAATTTTTTTGAGACACATTTTAACTTAACCTAATAATGGCAGTTTACCCTGAAAAGTTACCTTGGACAGTCAGAGACTGTTTTAGGAGTTTTCCAGAATTTATACCTTTCGAACAATGCCCTTTTTATATGCATGATTTTTTTTTATTCTGGCCTTAGAGTAAATTGGAAATTTTGAAAAAAATGTACATTTTTCAATGTGACAGTGAGAAATAATGTGTATCTGTATGTATTAAGATTTTTTCATTTCTTTGAAAGTGGCCAGATTTAGAAATAGTATAACTTGTCTAAGCCAAAATAAATTGTAATAACTGTCATTTCTATTTAAATTCTTACCACAAGGTAATCAAAATATAATCTTTGCTTCTAGTTACATAAGAATTTAGGTTTTGAAAAAGGAATAAAGAATACTCTCCTTTTAGAAGACAGAATAAACAGCCACATAAACTTACTATACTGAAGAGCATGAGTAATTGTATGTTTAAAATTTAGTTCTAGAAACCATCTTCCCACCTCTGCGAATAGGTATCCTTAAATGACAGAAAAATTTCAAATTTATTAATGCCTGAGACTGAGTACAGACTGAAAGAAAACACTTGTTTTGCACGTGAAGTTGAAAAAATTATTTTTACTATCTCATATCAATAGGTACATCAATATATGGATCATATTTCACTTATTCATAGCCAATTAGGTGGCCAGGATTCACAAAACCACATCCCTCCAGATCCAACATCCCTAGGCTTCCCACATTTGAGTACTTTTTCTCATGTGGCTTTTGAGTCACATGCACCTTGACAATCTGAGTGCCTCAAGACTTTTTGAGTTTGAAATGTCAGCTAGGCAGGGTGACAGTTTGACTAACAAGACACCTGCTGGAGTGTGGGTTTCAATGGATAATTCAGTATGTTTGAAGTAGCTTAGTTTTAGTGCAGTTGATACTAGATCTCTAGTTAATTAAAGACTTTAAGAGTCCTAAGAGGAAATTGTACAGAAATCTTAGGATTTCCGTTCATGAGGCATTTACCCAGAACATGGCATTGACTTAACTTTGGAGCGTTGCTCCTTGGATTTTACTTTGGACAGAACTAAATGCTCTAAATTCTCCTAAAGGTCTTCAGGCATTTCTCACCCTCTGCCTCATGTCTCCCAAGAGTTCTTCCAAAGTGGTTTCAATGGCTTTAAACACAGCCAACATTAAAGGGTGGATTACTGAGCACATTGTCTTCCTTACCCTTCCGCAGTTAACGAGCCCTTCAGTCCCATTCCCTCGTTCCTAGCCTCACAATAGTTTTCATGTAATTTGCCTTCTTTTAATTTCTGTTGTTACTACTTAATACAGACCTTTGCCAATTTTTCTTTGAGTTATATCTGATAAGCTGCCAAGTAGATCCTATTTGTCTACCAAAATGATCCTTCTAAAAGATCAAATATTATTTGCCCTTCCATGCTTAAAATCCTTAATGCCCAAAACAATGCTTCTCAATATTTGTTTTGTACTCTGGCCCACATGAAACATGGTTTTCAGAAGAAAGAAACATCCTTGGGAGCATCTAGGCTTATGAACATGTCCCAGTATGCTAGCTTTAATTACATCCCATTCTTGCCCACTCAAAAAAGTATATTGCAATCCAACTGAGTGAGAGTATCATATAGGCAATGCAGGAATCACATAGGATAGAAAAAGTCAGACTTTGGTTCTTCAATATTAAACATTTTCAATGCATGCTGTAACATATTCCTGTGACTCAGAATAGATGACTCAAGGGATTCAACTCAAATATTTTAACAGATATACAATATTCTTCATGACCTGATTCCTTACTCCCTGGATAGTTTCATATTTTATTTTCTCTCTCCTGAGCCTCTCTATTCCTACACCGTGACTCACAGTCACACACTCCAGCTAAAAGGAACTTCTGTGTCATTGTTCATTTTGTTCCATCTGTTTGAATATTTCCTCCTCAACTCCCATCTCTTGACTTCACCTTATGATCATGGCGACCGTCTATACAAGATGTTATCTTTCAAGCTTTAGCTCCAGAGTCATCTTTTACATGGAGCCATTCATGATGCCTTTAGTAGGACTGTCCACTCCCAACATGGTGCCCTCTATTTTATCCTGGGCACGGAACTGTAGCACATGCTACTACAGCATCAATTGCACGTCAGCAGAAAATTTCCATTTCTAATTCTACTGGCTTTCTGAGAATAATGGGTCCTATTAACAGGGTTTCCTCAGTTTTCTTGAGAGTAAACCTGAATGGGAGTGGCTGTGCAAATATGGAAATAGAACTGTTCTTGCAAGTAAAGGAAGAAGGATTTGGATCTCCAGGAAATAATTTGGGAAGATACCTAACAAGGAACAAGAATGGAAAATGAGGCAAAATTCCTCTCTGTGACCTCCCCTTACTAGTCACAATTTTTCATTAACATTTGTTAAAAGGTTGTTATAAGTGATTTTTTTTTATAGAAGTTGGGGAAAAGAATGAGTTATTTAGGTTTGTCTGGGTGAAAAAAAAATAACATGCTGACAATGGCTCTCTTCAGTTTAAGTTTTAGTTAGTCAAACTTTAGTTCGGCACCTGTGAATCCTGTTCCCAACTAGACATCTACATTTGGGGGTCTCTGTTAGTCTTGGCATCACTCAATTGTAATGAGAATCTTGCTAAGTCAGTTTAAAGAAAACGTCCTAAATGTGATATCTGATGAACCTCAATGTCTGATCAAATTCCTCATCCCCCAAGTGATGGCTGGTCACTCCAGCCTGCCTTCAGCAAGATTCCTGTTAGGTATATTAAACCAGAATCAACCCTCTACTCTTGATGCTTAATCTCAGTAATTTTTCATTCCAGACTGCCTCCCTTGAATATAAATCCCCACTTATCCATGATATATTTGGAACTGAGCTCAGTTCTATTCAATACTGAAATCTCTTTTCCCCTATTGCAATAGTTTTTAAATAAAGTCTGGGTTTTTTTTGTTTTTCCATTTTAACTGCTACTCAGCTCTGATTTCTTCAACAACGCACAGCTATAGAGCTCACATGGGGGAAAGAATCAAGGCAGCATAACATGCTAGGAGTTTGAAGAAATCTGGGAAGGCTTTGGACTCCACATTGCATGCTCAGGGTATTTGAGGCAATCTTATGTGTAGACCCCCACAAAAACCTACGTGGTTTCCTGCTTCTTCTAGGCTATAAGCTCTCAAAACCATAGATTTTGTGCAGTGTAATTTTATTAATAGTAGTGTATTCGATTTGAAATAATTTCTGACTTCGACTTTTCAAAGTTTTCAATAGACTGGCAGGATTTTGATTACACAAATTCCTTCACAAAATTAACTTGAAATGACGCTAAATATGTGATATGATTTGAATATGTGTCCCCTCCAAATCTCCTGTTGAAATGTGGGCTCCAGTGTTGGAGGTGGGGCCTAATGGGAGGCGTTGGGGTCATAGGGGTGGATACCTCATGGCTTGATGCTGTCCTCACAATAGTGAGTGAGTTCTCACGAGATTTAGTAGTTTAAAAGTGTGTGACAACCTGCCCGCCAGTCATCTCTCTTGCTCCTGTTTTCGCCATGTGACGGGCAACCTCCTGCTTCACCTTCTGCTGTGAATAAATGCTTCCTGAGGCTTCCCCAAAAGCCAAGAGATGCCAGCACCATGCTTGTACAGCCTGCAGAACTGTGAGCCAATTAAACCTCTTTTCCTTATAAATTACTCAGTCTCAGGTATTTCTTTAAAGCAATGTAAGAACGGCCTAATACAATATGATATATTGAATTCGGTTCTAGGTATTCTCTCTCAGTAGTTGTAATTCACGCAAGTGGAATTTAGTTCTATAGTACAGAGTATTATATTGGGCTTAAAATGTATGTGCGAGTTTCAACGTAAATTACTTTCTAGACAATCCAGGAAGAGGTAACTATTTTCTAACCACCTGATCTCAGTCGGAAACTTCCTCTCCATCCTCTTATTACCCTTATATTTCTAATGAGATTAGGAGGTTTAGAAACAATATTAAGACACCACTGATCTGAAGAGACTTCAATGGATATGGATTTGAGAGAGTGAGTCTCATTCACGGAAGGTCAAAATGGAGGAGTAAAAAGCTGAAAAACTGGCCGGGGGCGGTGGCTCACGCCAGTAATCCCAGCACTTTGGGAGGCGAGGTGGGTGGATCACAAGATCAGGAGTTCACGAAATGCCTGGCCAGGATGGTGAAACGCCATCTGTACGAAAAATACCAAAAGTAGCCGGGCGTGGTGGTGGGCGCCTGTAATCCCAGCTACTCGGGAGGCTGAGACAGAGAATTGCTTGAACCCAGGAGGTGGAGGTTGCCGTGAGTGGAGACTGCACCACTGCACTCCCGCCTGGGAGACAGAGTGAGACTCCGTCTCAGAAAAACAAAAACAAAACAAAAAACAAAACCAAACAACAAAACCAAACAAACAAAAAAGCTGAAAAACTAAAGGGAATGTTTCCCTGTGAAAAGAACATGTTCAATGAAAAAAATTGAGAGTATATGGGAAATAAGTATTTTTGGTGTATACTATAACACATGAAAACACGATTTTTAATATTCTAAAACAATGAAACTTGGAATTTTGTTGAATAAGCACCAAATGTTCTCAATTTTTAGCTCTAAGCATTTAATTATTTGATAATGTGTTTTTAATCAAATTTTTGAGATTAACTTTGATATTATTAAATGATAATTAAACTATTCACTTTAAAAATTATGTGCATTTTGATTAAAATTGTAGCCTACACTTATTGTAATTTTATAGAATTTAACTTTCCTAGATTCAAATAACTAAATGTCATGTTACTTTTTGAAGAAAGTTAAAATAAACGGCTAACATGTGTAATATAATTTTACTATTGTAAATTAAATACGTATACACAATGGATTCAAGGAAGAAGATGATACATTGTATCATAAAAGTCTAACAAAATTCCATGGAATTTGAAGAAAAATGACTAATCTTCAAGTGAAAAATAGAAAACAGTTCATGCCTTGTTAGAATGTGTGTGTGTGTGTTTTTTGGTGAGTATAAAAGACATATGTTTACTCAAAGAATGTAAACAATGAAGAAAACTACAGATAATTTTTAGAAACCCTCAGTCTCACTACTCAGAATTAAAAATTATAAACATCAAATGAAAACATGATTAGGAGAATAAATATTTTTAAAAGATAGAATTGCTTTTTAAAAACTTTTATATTAAAGTAACAGAAATATATTGAATGAAGTGCCAAAAACTTAAGCAGACGGCCAAATGAATTTTTCCTTATGGGCCAAAGTAGCTGTGTCCTAGATCTGGATATGAAGCAAGAAATATCTTTTACTAAATGCAATTTGGGATAAATACTACTTAGATTAAATGAAAAAAAATTAATGAAGTGATGTTGAAAAAATGTACTGATTTTTAACAAATCCACTTTAAGCACTGTAAGTATTGACATTTTAAAGTGTCACTTTCAGGTTAAGAGAAGAAATAAAAACATTAACATTAAGTCATTATATCTTATAAACAATTTTTCAATTTTAGATGGATTCAAATACAAACATTATGTAAAAGATGAGGATATTGAACCTCCCACATTGCTTCCTAATTTCCCTCTTCTCCCTGTCAACGTTGTTAGGTATTTTATTAACATTGCGATGTCATCAAAATTTATTACATGTACATTCTGTACCATTACCATAATGACCACAATTGTCCAACAATATTCCAATAAATTTATAGAAATATATTAATAAAGTTAAGTCTTATAACCAGTTATTTACCCAGGCTTTTTTGTTCCTGAAGTGTTAATATTTTCTTAAATGAATTTTGCTAACAAGTATTTTTCCCCCAAGATGTGCTTATGAGTGATGTTTTACTTGAGGTGAAAATTTTACACTTGACTAGATTGCAACAGGTGGAAAAACATTGCTTGGAAATTTTATATTTCTTGGAAACCAGCTTTAAATAAAAATTATTTAACAAGTTTTCACATCTGGTACTATTTCTAGGTTCGAGGCTTCCTATTTTGACTTTTTTCCTATGAGTTTCACATTTATGAAATTCATAATATATTTCAATGTTCCAGTAAAACCCCATCTCCATTAAGTCACCAAACTTATAAATAATCTTTCATGAGTTGCTGTAAATAGCTGCCATTTACAGAGTGCCAAGTATTGCAAAACTGTATTTCTCGGTATTGTATTTCATCCTTAAAGCTATCCTATGCTATTATAGCTATATTATTCCCCGTTTTGTAAATGAAAAAAGTGAGACACAGCAAAGGTAAGGAACTTACTGTGGCAATACAGCAACTTAGTGGCAAAGAAGAAGCTTGAATCCAAATTTATCTGGTACTGAGCCAAAAAACTTAAATTCTTTCCCTAATTTCTTGTACCAGTTAATTTGGTATGTATATACTTATTTTCCAGCACTATCTTACCACTGAAATAATTTGTTTGGGGGACACAACCAAATTTCATGCACCCCATAATTAGAAATCATGCTTTGTGTAGTACTTTCTATTTCTCAAAGTTCAAGGCCTAGCACTTTGGCTGGGCTTGTAACTAATCAATTGTTTGCAGCGTATAACAATATTTCAAAATATTTCATATATTAACCAAAGACATACATATTAATATGGTTCTAAACTTTTTGAAACATATACAGCTGAACTGCAAAGCTCAGTCTAAGCTATTAAATGCAGGTACCTATAAACCATGTAGCATAAACATGGTCCCATTGTACGGTGGCTGCTTTGGAAGAACTCAGAACTCAATTGAAAATTAAAAATTCTGTGATTCTATGACAATTGATTGCTTTGCTCCACCTGTATATGAGAAGGTGTGCTAAATGAAAATCAGCCTTATGAGTCAAGGACATCTGCAATCATTTTGGTAATTCCTAGTTTCCTATCACAGCCTATTTCCAATTATGTGGATGTGCAATGTACATTTTTCTGACTCCTCTTAACGAGGTTATCTCTATGAGGTTCCACCTCATTTCCTGAGATAGTTTTATGGGCTGACACTATTAGTTCCTTTTTCACTGTGTCATATCATTTTCAGCCTCATTTCCTCATCACAAATCTAAATAGTAGTAAATGCTTAGAACTAAGAAGAGAACAAGACTTATGAGATAGAATCTTACACATTGTTGAAGAAAAATATATATCAAGGCACACTAAATAAAAATCATGTAGATAATGAGTAAATATAAAAACAAGCATAGATATGAAATATTTTCAGCTAGTTGAGTTTTTGTCATCTTTGATTAAATAATCAAATATTTGTGCATTTGATTAAATGCACAAATATTGTTCTCTGTTAGCCAGATACTTTAGAATTAGTTACAAAATTTATTAATAAAAATGCAGAAAAACATGAATAATAACTTTTGCTTCTTGATATTATTTCTTTCTCCAAGTAAAAAATAGGATATACCATGAAGGTGTCTTTACACATTTCAGCAATGTTTGCAGAATTGTTTTCTTCTTGGTTAAAAAATATATATACACACATATTTTTAAAAAGCAAATCTCTAAAAGTCTGCTTCCCCATCATGAAATGGCTCTGAAGGAGAAATCCTCTAGAGTACAGAGTATATTTTCTAAGGAGAGTACACCCTTTTTGAGCAAAATACCAGCCAGATTCTCAATAGTTTGGGTACCAACTCCCCATTCATTACTAGAACTCATTAGAAAAAAACAGAACACTACTAGTGCCATCATAGAATCCCTACTGCTCCCAGAGAACAATCAGATTACAGTCACTTCTCAGGTTGTTCTAAAGAATTTTTCAGGAGCTGAGAGCACAGCATAAATCAAAGTGAGTGAGACCCTGCAGAGTTACAATAGCTTCCTCCCTGAAATAGAAAATACATGGTTGGGACATGGCTGGGACTGCTGTGACACTGATCATTACACAATATTCACCATACTCATTTCAGCTGAAAGAGGAAATGCTTATGTTTATATTTAATCTTTTGAAAGCTCATTTCTTTGCTGTCCCATGCTAATTAGGCCAAGGGCCCATTTTTTTCCCCCTTGTTTCTTTAGAGTTTTACAATAGTCCTCAATCCTTATACACAGAAGGTCCTCTAGTTACGTCATTTTGATCAACATTGTTTGGTTATAAATTGATGAGGAAAAAAAAAAAAAAGAATCTCCGGCAGTGATACTGTGTGGAGTTTGCATGTTCTCTTTATGTCTGTGTGGGTTTTCTCCAAGTACTCCTGTATTCTCCCACATTCCATTGATGTGCGCATTAGGTTCATCTGCTTGTCCCCATGGTCCCAGTGTGAGGGAGGGAGGGAGTGAGTGAGTGAGTGAGTGAGTGAGTGAGTGAGTATTGTATGAGTGCACCCTGTGGTGGACAGGCATCCTGGCCAAGGTCAGTTGCCACCTTGTGCCTGAGCTGCTGGGATAGGCTCTGAGGCCACCTGTAACCCTGAAGTGGAATAAGTTGGTAAACACTTATCTTGTTTTTACTAATCTTTCTTCAATGTATGTATAGCTCACATTTATTTCAATTTTAATATTGGAAGTCTTTGGTCTATTTAGAACTTCGGTGATGTTTTTGTGATGAGAGATGTAGGAACATAACTCTTACGTATATCAACTAGCCTATGGGTAAAATTGATTTTGTTATACATTGTTTTCCTTAAAGGTGCAGATTCCAAGAACCTATCCATGACATCAGGTGAGGACTTACCGTACAATGGCAGAGCTACACATGGAAGATTCAGTCCCTATTCACAAAGAGTTGGTATATGCAGCTGGTAATGCAAAGAGTGTTATAAGAAACCATGAAGTGATGTGATGTGTTCCTGCCAAAAATTAGACAAATACAGCATATATTTATGTATTTAATCTTAAGGTTGTATTTTTAAAAGGAGTTATTTTGGAGAACACACACTTTTTCCAGTTGTTCAAATATCACTTTGGGGTAAGTATTTCAGAATTGCTTTCAGAGATATTTGAATACCTCTTCTTCTTCTTAGTATTTTTGAGACAGGATTTTTTTCTGTTGCCCAGGCTGGAGTGCAGTGGTGCAATCATGGCTCACTGCATCCTCAACCAACCAGGCTCAAGTGATCTTCCCACCTCAGCCTCCTAAGTAGCTGGGACCACATGTGCCTGGCTGAGTACTTATTATTTTATGATGGATTTGATGTTTACAATTAGCCAAGGCTAAGACTAATGAGATACAGATTAATAAAGCTGTTAATAACACCACATAGTGTGTGTGTGTGTCTGTGTGAAAAATTTGCTGATGATATTAGTGAAACTGGAGGAAATTCATAAAATTAAATGGAGAAATAATTGCTAGTAAATTTCATAGTGTTTCATCACTTAGTGGCTTCAATGAATCAAACTTCACTGTTAGGTCACAAAGAACATGGATTTAAAAAATGAGAGTGGATTTGGCTCAAACACATCCCTACTTCTGGAAAAATATTTGCCTTACTGAGTTCTGGTTGGTAGTCATCCTGTATGAAAAACGACACCAGTTTATAATACTACCTTTATTCCATAATGGGATGTTTTTCTCAGTTATTGAAACAAATTGCATATTAATTGGATTTCTTCTACAATAATAAATAAAATATGAAAAATTAAAATAGTGCCTTTTTGCCTCTCTGATTCAGTAGCTTACTGAAACTTCTAGTTATTTTTTGGGGGGTGGGGGAGATCTCTGGAGATACTCATTCTTTTATTTAGTTATTCTGGCTACAGAGGATGCTATAATAAACACCATACTTCTGTTTTTCTTGAAATAAATGTTCACTGGCCCATTACTGGCTCATGCAAAACAAAATTGGCTCAGAGGAATACTGCACATATAATTTACACAAAGAGGCATAGATTCAGAAGAAGACAAATGGAATATTTTGTCTAAAGTCTCCAAGCTGGTCATATCTGTAGCCTCAGTCTTTGGGTTTTACTCATGCTTGCCAATAGACCGTTTAATAGTGATTTCTTAGATTCAAAAAGTAAGATTTTTTTTTTCTGCACGTGTTTTGTCTATATGGATTGTATCCCACTCAAAATTTGAGACCTAGTTCATGCTCCAACTATATTATGTGAAGTCTTTACAGATTTTACCAAGTATTACTATTATTCACTTTGCATCTCTATTACACATGGCATTCCATTTTTTTTGCATTTGTCTTTATCTCTAAATTTTAAACTTCCGGAGGGCAGGTACCTTCCTTTTCTTGCTTTTCAAAGCATCTAGGGCAGTGCCTTAGACGTAATGCGAGCTCAGAGAATGTTTATAAAGTATAAAAAAATCCATGTACCACAGTGACATCTTTTATTTACCCAGTGGTTTTAAAAATTCATTATTCACATAAGCAGGCTATGCTCTAGGCATCTTCACCTGCGTTTCCTTGGTAATCACCTCAGCAGTCTTGTGAGACTGATAATCTTATTTCACACACGAGAAGACTATGAGGCTGAGTAAGTTGTTTAAAGCCACACAGGTATTGACTCATGAAGCCAACATTCAAATCCAAATTTAACTTCACGGTTAGTGCCCTTTCCATTATAGCTGTAATTTGTGTAAAATAAAATAACATATACTATTAAGACTTTTTTTTCACTTATGTGAACAAAAACGTTTCCATTTTCAAAGGACCCTACAAGTAAAAACAAAATTCTAAAAGGATGAGCTCTTATTTTTACGTCAGTTCAAAAAGAAAGAGGGGAGTGTGTGTGTGTGTGTGTGTGTGTGTGTGTGTGTGTGTGTGCGTGTGTATTGTAGGGAGGGATGGAAAGGCAGTAAGAAAGACACCCAAAAAGAAATTCCCATTGTCTGGGTTGCTGAAATTTATTAAGAACAGAATGTCTAATATTTGATTTCAAGTTATTTGCACAACCCCTGTGTAAACCCATCTGTTGTCATGAACTTTCAATAGAGGTGAGTTGGAATAGATTTTAGTTGGTGGTATTTTGGGGGAGTGAAGGTATCAGGGTTTTCCCCATGATAGGGTTATTCAGCATCAAGATGGAATCAGCCTAAATGCCCACCAGTGATAGACTAGATAAATAAAACAAGGTACAGAGGCTGGGCACAGTGACTCATGTCTGAAATCCCAGCACTCTGGGAATCTGAGGCAGGTAGATTGCTTCAGCCCAGGAGTTCCAGACCAGCCTGAGCAGGCAACATGGCAAAACCGTATCTCCATACAAAATTAGCTGGGCATGGTGGTATATGCTTGTGGTCCCAGCTACTTGGGAGGCTGAGATGGGAGGATTTTTGAGCCCTGGAGGCAGAGGTTGTGGTGAGCTGAGATTGTATCACTGCACTCCAGCCTAGTCTACAAAGTAAGACCCTGTCTCAAAAAAAATAAAAGAAAATAACAAAAAATAGAAAATGTGGTACATACACACCGTGGAATACTATGCAGCCATAAAAATAAATGAGATCGTGTCTTCGGCAGGCACATGGTTGGAGCTTGAGGCCATTATCCTTAGCAAATTAACACAGGAACAGAAAACCAAATATTGCATGTTCTTACTTACAAGTGGAAGCTAAATGATGAGAACACATGGACACATAGAGGGAGAACAGCACACATTGGATCCTTTCAGAGGGTGGATTTTGGGAGGAGGGATATGATCAGGAAAAACAACTATTAGGTACAATAGACTTCCATGACACAAGTTTACCTTTGTAACAAACCCTGCAGTTATGTCATTGTACTTAAAATAAAAGTTTTAAAAATTGCTAAAAAAACAAGAGGGGACACTATACATGTGCTGGCTGCATGTTCCTTAAACTAATTAGTCAAATGACATGAAAACATAGAGTTTCAAATGAGTAAGATAATTGTTAATCTTTATTTCCTGAGGCTGAGTCGGGAGAATTGCTTGAACCTGGGAGGTGGAGGTGGCAGTGAGCCAAGACTGCACCACTGCACTCCAGCCTGGGCAACAGAGCAAGACTCTGTCTAAAAAATAAATAAATAAAATATATGTATAGACACACATCTGGAAGATAGCAGAGCAATGAAAGAAAAAACAAGAATAAATAAAACATAAACAAATGTAGGTAATGAAAGAATCAAGTCCTTAAATGAAAAGAGATTACCTAATGTTGGATAATATTAATGGAAAAAACAAGATTAACATTTGAAACATAATATTTAGACCTATTTAGGTTATTTACAAAAGAAATAACCAAATTGCCCTTAGCATTCTCTTCTGCAAAATTAAATACAAGAAGCCAATTGATCAGCCCTTCCAGAATCCAGAGAGAAAGGTTATAAACTGAAAAGCTTTAAAACCAGCAAAACTATAATTTAAAGGAAAGGCAAAAGGTAAAATGCCACCTACATAACTTTTCCAAGCATAATATTAAAGAGTAATTCCAACCAAATGAAAGCTGAATAAATGTAAAAAAGCAAAGGGAAGAAAAGAAGTAATTCAACACCATGAATAAGTGTTCAAAAATCATAGTCAACACACTGAGTTTTCAATTATATATCAAGAATAGTGCTAAATAATTTATATTACCCTGTACTATGGTTTGAATGTGGTGTCTTTTCCAATATCTATAATAAAACCTAATTATCAAGTTGATGGGATCAGAAGGTGGAGCCTCTGGGAGGTGATGAGGCCATGACAGCTCTGTCCTAATAAATGGGATTATGTACTTTTATACAAGGGCTTGATGAAAGGAGTTCCTCCACCTTCTGTTACTTGAGAACACAGCACTTTTCCTTTAGAGAGGACACAAAGTTCAAGGCACCATTGTGGAAGCAGACTGGACTCTCACCAGACCAAGTGAGATGAAAGCAGAGACTGGGCTCTCACCAGACCAAGTGAGATGAAAGCAGAGACTGGGCTCTCACCAGACCAAGTGAGATGAAAGCAGAGACTGGGCTCTCACCAGACCAAGTGAGATGAAAGCAGAGACTGGGCTCTCACCAGACCAAGTGAGATGAAAGCAGAGACTGGGCTCTCACCAGACCAAGTGAGAGCACCTTGATCTTGGACTTTCCAGCCTCCAGAACCGTGAGAACATAAATTCCTGCTCTTTATAAATTACACAGTTTTAAATATTGTGTTATAGCAGCACACAATGAACTAAGACAGCATATTTAACTCTCAGGCATTAAGCCATCAAATATACAAACAAATGGGATTGGTCCTATTACTAAAGTTGAAGAAACAGATTCAGAGAGACTGATTTCTTTCTTTTTTTTCTTTCTTTTTTTTTTCCGATGGAGTCTCCCTCTGTCACCCAGGCTGGAGTACAGTGGCATGATCTTGGCTCACTGCAACCTTTGCCTCCCAAATTAAAGCGATTCTCCTGCTTCAGACTCCTGACTTGCTGGGACTACAAGCACGTGCCACCACACCTGGCTAATTTTTTTGTATTTTTAGTAGAGACAGGATTTCATCATGCTGGTCAGGCTGGTCTTGAACTCCTGACTTCAAATGATCCGCCCACCCTGGCCTTGCAAAATGCTGGGATTACAGGCATGAGCCACCATGCCGGCAGGGAGATTCATTTCTGTTGCTAGGTCATATGGCTAGTGAAGTATGGAGCCTATATTGAAACCCCAATCTGTCTGATTCCAAAGGCTATGCTCTTGATTGCTAGACTAGTCTTCCATATGAAGGAGAAATACAGATGGGAATATTTTTTAGTCATTAGAAAATTAATATATAATTAATGTATTAAATTTGGTTATGAAAAAACTCTGACATAAAAAGTTAAGAAAAATCATTTATGATCTCATTGTCTACAAATTATCGTTAAATATTTTAATAGCAACCAAAAGAGAAAATAGTCCGCCAAGTGCTCTTCTTGTACTTTTCACATCTTTACATATAGTCATAAGGTGTTTGTTTCTAAATGAAATAATGAAGTCACATTTACATATTTTTTTTTGTAATCTGGCTTTTCTTTTGTTGTTGCCTTCCCCCCAGCCCGCCACCCCAGACAGAGTCTTGCTCTGCTGCAGAGGCTCTGGAGTGCAGTGGTACGATCTCGGCTCACTGCAGCCTCTGCCTCCCAGGTTTAAGGAATTCTCCTGCCTCAGCCTCCTGAGTAGCCGGGACTACAAGTGAATGCCACCACGCCCGGCTAATTTTTGTGTGTTTTTAGTAGAGATGGGGTTTCTCCATGTTGGCCAGGCTGGTGTTGAACTGCTGGCCTCAAGTGATCCGCCTGCCTTGGCCTCCCAGAGTGTGCTAGGAGTACAGATGTGAGCCACTGCCCACAGCCTGGCTTTTCTTTTTCATAATATACCACTAATAGGATATTTCTTGAAGTCTATTGTGCTTATCTTGAAGATAAATGTCAAGGAGCAGATCTGAAAATACTACTCAGCCCTCCTTGTAAATAGTTTAATTAATAATAAGATGTCATTACATGCTTTTTATTGATCAGTACTATATTATTTAAAAAGAACTGAAATAATATTTAAATTCAGTGAACATATCTGTGCCCCAAATAAAATAGTGATAAGTATATTTTGCAAAGCATGACATTCTAGAGATGAAGGAGGCATTATACTATTTGAATAGCTACTGTGCAGTTTAAATAGCACCTCCATATTCTTTATCTTATTTGATATTAACACGAGTGTATCAGGCAAGGTAAGTGTTCCTATTTCTATATTATATATGAAAAAATGACAGTATTTATACAAGGCCAGTGGCTTACTAATTGGCAGCCTGGAATAGGTGCCTTGAATGTTGTGTCCTCTGTAAAGTGTTATGGATTTAAACTACTGCTTTTATAGTGTATCTTCCCTGTCAATTTTATGCTTTTCTACTCTTTTTTTGATTATTATTCTCACATTTTGAAAAATTAAGGCTTATTTTATGTTTTTCATGTCACATAAAGTGGTTAAAAGGCCTAGTACACATAAATTAATCTAGAAAGGATAAAACATATAGTAATTTAAGATTTTTGAAGGGTTAAACATAAAGCAAATTTAACATAGGATCTAAGTGTTTGCTCACCCTCAAGGAATGCATGCACTCCTGAATCTCACACTTAAAACAGAGATTATGCTGACATTTAATGTGTGAAGGACTGAATTCTGTAGATTTATTAGAACAATTTCTACAAAATGGTATTACAAACCTTAGATGAATGGTGATTCTAAAATTTCAGCAACTTTAATCTCATTTGATGTTTTTAGATAGGTTAGTAATCAGCACTCACAAAGCACAGTCATCTATTTCACAAACAGAAACAGATTCCTGGAGATTAAAAGTTCTTTAGCTTTCAGTAGCAGAGACCAGTGATATTATTATCTAGAGAACTGTATGTTCTTGAGATGTTAATGAGAAAAAGAATGGTCCTTTAGATTACCTTTTACTTTCCTCCTTTTTGTACACTGATAGACTATCATTGAAAGTATCACGAAATTCTATTCCCAGCAGATTTTTACCTTTAAAATAATGCATGGCTCTGGTTGGTTTTGTTGTTTTTTTCTTTCTTCCTTTCCTTAATACTTACTTAAGCAAGAGTATGTGATTTTAAAGTAAAGCCAGTTTGCAGCTAGACAAAACCTGGCCTGGGCAATCCATAAATAAGTTGTTTAACTATATACTAAAGAACTTCTAGACTTCTATATGAAAGAATTTCAATGGAAACAAAAGTTTTAGAATTTTGAAATTAACCTTGATAGACAAATAATATATATTACAGAGTTAGAAATAACAGCCAGTTTGTTTAGGGTAATTTTTACCTTAAACTATTTTAAATGAATGCCCTACACAGCATTTCTATTCTAGTCAATGAAATAAGATGTACCAATCTCAAAAAAAAAAAAAAAAGAATTAACACAAATAAAAATGTTGTAGCATCGTTAATATGGGTGGAAGGCATTTCATTACTAGTTTTCTTTATGAACATTAACTATACATCTAGCTATAACTAAACCAGGGGATGAAGGAGACAAAAGGAGCACATTTTATCTTGATTGGTTTTCTATCAGTTGGTTAACAGGTTTCTACTTCTAACATGGAGTTTATTTATTTTTATTTTTTAAAATTATTATTATTTTTTGAGAAGGAGTCTCGCTCTGTCGCCCAGGCTGGAGTGCAGTGGCTAACTATCCCGGCTCACTGCAAGCTCCAACTTCCGGGTTCATGCCATTCTCCTGCCTCAGCCTCTTGAGTAGCTGAGATTACAGGCACCCGCCACCACGTCTGGCTAATTCTTTTGTATTTTTAGTAGAGACGGGGTTTCACCGTCTTCGCCAGGATGGTCTCGATCTCCTGACCTCGTGATCTGCCCGTCTCGGCCTCCCGAAGTGCTGGGATTACTGGCGTGAGCCACCGTGCCCGGCCTAACATGAAGTTTATTGATGCATTATAGTAAGGAGTGTAAACTAAGTGAGATAACTTAGATAGCTTAGCTGACTATAGCTAAAATGCTTTTAAAATATATTTAAAGGTAATTTTTAATTTCTCAGGAGTACCTAGTTTTATAAAGACATTGAATGTATATTTTGTTATGATTTTATATAGGTAAGAAAAAGATGATTCAGCAAATATTGATTATCATGAAATTATATGGTAAGGAGTCTGCAGTTATTTTTTAAAAAGATCTTCAGATTCATCTGTCAGCTCTTTGCCAAACCACTCAATGACAGATTCAGGAAATGGTAAAGTCACTTGCCTAAAGAGGGAATGAAATTTTATCATTTTATTTTAAAAAATAATACTAACTTGGTGATTTATTTTATACTTTGAATTATTGGTAATGTACCTAATATTTTCCTAACATGTACTTAAGTCCAAATCAATTTTCTGATATAAATTGCATTTGGAGTATTTGATATCGATTTTCTTCATTTAAAAAATGTAATAGCTACAAAGATAGAAGGAGTAAGAGAATTTTGATAATTTAAAAAAACTTGAGCACATATGCCTAGGAGACTAAAATCCATTAAAATTCATACTGTGTTTTATATTAAACTGAAAATTTTTGCTGAATAAATATGGTATGTTGAACAGAAATCAGTTATGGGTTGCTCTGCACCAAACATACATTGATCTTCTTTCTGGAAAGTGAGGGTTGGTAGAAATTCTCATCTGATGGGTACATAGCAGAAAAAAAATGTGGGAAACATCAAAGAGTTCATGTAGCACCATAACAAGATTTTAAAATTGGTCCCTTTATAATTCAGTTTTCACTGAGGCTGTAACCTGATGGGAAAATAATAGCTGCCAAGAGCATTCACATTCCAAAGTGAAGAACAGATTCCCTAGACCAGGTTTGCAAAGAAAATTCTAAAAATCAGTGTTGTTATTCATAGCCACTTACCAACCTAGATGAGGTTATAAAGGGGATTTATTTGGGTAGAGGTGATAGTGTTCTCTGAGACCTCCTTGTCCTGCCATGGGGAATGAGGTGAAGGGTGGTGATGTCAGCATAAAGGAGACCACCCAGAGAACTTGAAATGTGTACCATATTTGGGGAACACCTTAGGTGCACATTGAGAAATGTCTAAAGCTCAGATTGCGTGGCTACATAGCTATTTTAAGTGAGAGGGTGGCTTCACAACGGATATCTGAATTCCAATAATTTGTTGCGCTCCCAGAGTTTATTGGGACATAAGATGTGAGACTTTGCCACAGACTACATAAGTGCTACAAAGTAGGAGGAGTTGGCATAAACCATTTTAAAGGGATCTGGCTCCAAATTCTCCTTTAGAAGGAATGACAGGAACTCTAAGAGGGAGCAGATTGATAAGAAGATGGCAAGAGAAGATTGTTTGCCATGAGAAATATCCTAAAAACCTATAATGGTCCCAAAGAAACATCTTTGAAGGCCATAGTGTATCAGTGCTAAATGACTATAATACCAGCTAAATGACACCAAATGTCAGAAGTGTTTCAAAAAGAGCAACTCCATCTTGAGTAGGGGTTGGGTAAAATAAGGCTGAGACCTACTGGCCTGCATTCCCAGACAGTTAGGCATTCTAAGTCACAGGATGAGATAGGAGGTCAGCACAAGATATAGGTCATAAAGACCTTGCTAATACAAGGGGTTGCAGTAAAGAAGCCGGCTAAAACCCACCAAAATTAAGATGGCAATGAGAGTGACCCCTGGTCGTCCTCACTGCTCATTATACTCTAGTTATAATACATTAACATGTTAAAAGACACTCTCACCAGTGCCATCACAGTTTACAAATGCCATGGCAACATCAAGAAGTTACCCTATATGGTCTAAAAAGGGGAATGATTTTTACCTTGACACAAGATTAGACATTTTAAATTTCTATAAATTTTTGTGAGTGCAAGTAACTTATGAATATTTAATTGCCTAAGAGTAACAGAAAAGTAATGGTACTTAAATGGACTGGATGTTCATGTCCCCCAAAATTAATATGTTCAAGCCCTACCCCCCAATATAATGGTATTTGGAGATGAGGCCTTTGGGAAATTAAATGTAGATGAGGTCATGAGAATGGGGATCCTATGATGGGATTAGTATCTTTATGAGAAAAATTTGAGTCTCTGTCCCCTGTGTAAAGACACAGCAAGAAAGTGGCCATCTGCAAGCCAGGAAGAGGGCCCTCCGCAGACACCGAATTTGCTGACACTTTGATCTTGGACTTTCCAGCCTCCAGAACTGTGATAAATAAATTTCTGTTATTTCAGCCACCCAGTCTATGGTATTTTGTTATAGTAGCCTAAACTTACTAATATAGGACCTATGGAAAACTAGTCCTAGTGAGTTTAAATGAACAATTTAAGAATGAAATAAAGGCATATGGTTTTTGCCACCAGTAATTATCCTTAGTTTAATTAATTAAACTATCTGATAAAAACATTTCAGAGTTGTTCAAAAATATATTTTAGGTAAAGGATAAATACAACAATTTCTCATCACTTTATATAATTGGAAAGTGAAATTAGCAATGTCAGAGAGATATTCACTAAAAAATCTCTAAACACTTAAATTGCTCCTATTCTCCACTGAAACTCTTTGTTTCCTTTACTCTGTTGCCCCCTTTTATTGACATTCTTGGTCTAAATCTATTTTATCCTCAAAGAATTATTTAACAGTTTTGTAATCAAGTAAATCCATATTTTTTTCTTTTTTATTGGTCTGCTTATATTACTGCCAATGGAATCCATATAAAAGGAATTCTAATGTGATAATTTTACAGGATACGTTGGTCTTTTGAAGAGGCTCTCAACTAACCTGCAATGTGGGGGATAGTATTCCTAAGAACTCCATGAGGCCCTCCATACTTTTTGCCACTAATTTAAATGCCTCCATCTTTGAGGCATCTCATGGGAAACACATCTAAAAATATCAGGAACTTTTATATGTAATGCATTTTATCCTATATGATTTAACTTTCTTTTTTCTGATTGGGAAGAGAAGGGCATAAAAAGAAGCATACATCTATCAAGTAAGTGACAAACTGGAGCAAAAATCATGTATCATGTAACCAGAAAACATCTGATAATTACTTTCTCTGGACATTGTAAAAAATAAAGCACAGCCAGAAAATGTTACAACCTCCTTTCCATTTCCCTTGTGATAACAGACATAGATATCTCACTAAAGTAAGGCAGTAAAGCAGACTTGATTTTAAATCATCTTTGTTCCTTGCTGTACAAAGTGGTAAATTATTTTAACTCCCCTACTTCACACCTTGTAAAGTAAAAGTTGTAGACGTTTTGCAAGTTTCAGTTACTATGAAGATTAATGAGATATGTATTTCAATTAATAGTAATTATCATTCATTCTATTTCTCTTCTTTAGCACCTGTCTGGAATATCACACAGGTTTTGGTTTTTCTTCCAAGAGTTCCATGGAACACTATATTGTTTTCAAGAATCACACTGATATAAAATTAGAAATGCCTAGCTTAATTGAGTTGTAAAATTAAAACTTTAAGATTTTTACAGGTCCACAATCCACATTTTATCCATTTCCCACACATTATACTATAGAAATTCATAATAAATGTTTTTAAAATATCATTGAGCCAAAATTGTTTATACTTATTGTTGACCTAAAATTGTTTGCATTGAAAAGTACCCAAGTAATAGGAATGGACAAAGATTTCATGACAAAGATACCAACAACAATTGCAACAAAGGCAAAAATTGACAAATGGGATCTAATAAATTACAACAAAAGAAGCTGTCAACATAGTAAACAACCTACAGAATGGGAGAAACTTTTGCAAACTATGCAGCTGACAAAGGTCAAACATCCAGCATTTATAAGCAACTTAAACATATCTACAAAGAAAAAACAAACAACTCCATGTTTGGAGTATGTGTGAAACACTCCAAAAAGTGGGCAAAGGACATGAACAGATACTTTTAAAAAGAAGACATATATGTGGCTAAGAAGCATATGAAAAAAAGCTTATCACTGATTATTAGACAAATGCAAATGAAAACCACAATAAGATATCATCTCACACCAATCAGAATGGCTGTTAATAAAAAGTCAAAAAATAACAAATGCTGTTGAGCTTATAGAGAAAAAGGAATGCTTATATACTGTTGGTGGGAGTGTAAATTAGTTCAACCATTGTGGAAAACAATGTGGTGATTCCTGAAGGAGCTGAAAACAGAACTATTATTTGACCCAGCAATCTCACTACTGGGTATATACCCAAAGGAATATAAACCATTTTACCATAAAGACAAATGCATGTTTATGTTCACTATAGCACTATTCACAATAGCAAAGACATGGAATCAATCTAAATGCTTATCAATGGTAGACTGGATAAAGAAAATGTGGCACATATACAACATGGAATACTACACAGCCATAAAGAAGAATGAAATTGTGTGCTTTGCAGAAACATGGATGGAGCTGGAGGCCATTATGCTTAGCAAACTACCACAGGAAGAGAAAAACAAATATCACATGTTCTCATTTATAAGTGGGAGCTAAATAATGAGAACACATGGACATATAGAAGGGAACAACAGAAACTGGGGCATACTGGAGGGAGGTGGGTGGGAGAATGGAGAGAGTCAGGAAAAATAACTCAGGGGTAATAGGCTTAATACCTGAGTCACAAAGTAATCTGTACAATGAACTCCCATGACACGAGTTTACCTGTATAACAAACCTGCACATGTACTCCTGAACTCAAAATAAAAGTTAAAAAAAAAAGTGCCCAAATCTACAGATCCCAAAAGCTTTCAAGACCACATGGACCTTTGCTGATCAAAACAAGAGAAGAAACAAATTCACTCATCTACATTTATCACACAAGTCTGCCACTTTTAATACTCATATGTTTCAGTGCCTAAAGGTAAATTTATAACATTAAATATAAATATATTAGAACGAAATAAAATTTAAGTTTTCACCACAAGAAATTAGAGAAATAATAGAAATTTACATGCAATGCAAGCAGGAGGTAGGAGGTAATAAAGACAAGAGTAAAATCAATAAAATTAAAAAGAGAAAAATAAATAAAATGAAGTAAAGTTATTATTTGGACAACAATGAAATTGATAGAACTGTAGCCAATTTACAAAGAAAAACTAAGATACAAACTATAAACATAAAAATAGATGACAACATTCCTACCAAAAGGAATGCTATGAATGATTCAATGCCCATATATATTCAATTTAAATTTCTTGACAGACTAAAATTACCCAAACTCATTCAAGAAAAGCAGTTAACTTAAATTGCCTCATATCTATTGAGAAAATTGAATTTGTATTTAGAAACCTTTCAGCAAGAAAATCTCCAGCTTACATGGTTTTACTGGATATTTCTGCCAACCATTTAAGGAAGAAATAATATCAATTCTACCAAATTTTTTTCTAGAAAATAGAAGAGAACACTTTCTGACTCATTTTATGAATCTAGATTATACTAATACCAAAACCAAATCAACATTACAAGAAAAGAAAATTGTAGGATAGTAACCCTTATGAACATAAATGCAAATATGCCCAACATAATACAAGAAAATTCAATGTACTAATATATAAAAAGGAGGATGTAGTACAACTTAGTTGTGTTTATCCCAATAATGCAGGACTGGCACAACATTCAAAAATCAATCTGTTTAATTCACCTTATTAACAATTTAAGAAATAAAACTTATATGGCCATCAAAACATGATGCAGAAAAAACACTTGACAAGTATAGCATCTATTCATGTTAAAAACTAAGCAAATTTAAAAGACAAAGCAACTTCATTAATTTGGTAAAAGACATCTACAAAAACCCTACATCTAAAATTAAAGGTGAAATATTGAATGCTTCACCTCCCTTTCCAGCGCCCCAGTCTGCTCTAGACTAGGAAGAAAGCAAGAATGTTATTTTCCATTACTTCAATACCATACCGAAAAATCTTAGGCAATGCAATAAGAAAATTAAAAGAAATAAGCATTATACATATTGGAATAGAAGAAACAGAATACTTCTGACAGTTATTTAAAAAGATAAATAAATAAAGATATGTACCATTTTCATGGCTAGAAAACTTAATATTGTTAAGATGCCAAGTCTCCTTAAATTGGCCTACATTTTCAACAAAATCCCAGTCGAAATCCTGGCAGAATTTTGTGTCGATGTTGACAATTTTATTCAAAAATATTTGTGGAAATGCAGAATACCTAGAATAGCTGAAACAATTTTGAAAAGAAACTCCAAAATTGTAGGAGTAATGCTAACTGATTTTAAGAATTATTATTATTAAGTCGTAGTACTAATGAAACTCTGCTATTAGGTAACAATATTGAAGTATAGCTCGATTGGACAGAATAAAGAATCTAGACTCACATAAATGCAGACAAGTAACTTTTGACAAAGTAGTGAAAACAATTTGATAGAGAAAAAACAGTTTTCCCAAGAAATGGTACTATAAAAATTGGAGATTCATATAAAAAAATAAGCTTGACCTATACTTCATGCCTTATACAAAAATTGATTCAAAATTTGTCATAGACCTTAATAGAAATGTAAGTCTATAAAACTTCTAGAAGAAAAATATAAGAAAAAATCTACATGACTTGGGTAAGTGAAAGAATTTTTAGAAATGACAACAAAAATATGATCCATAATGAAAAAATAAATTAGACTTTGTCAAAACTGAAAACTTTTGCTTGGTGAAAAGCACTGTTAAAGGACTGAAAAGACAATCCACAGAAAGAAAGGAAAGGTGTGTAAGTTACATTTTCATAAAACGTTTAATCCAGAATATGTATAGGACAATATAAATAAACAAAGAAAATGATATAAAAATAGGGAAGTATTTTAAACAAACACATTCACAATGACGGTATAGTAAATGAGCACATGAAGATATGATCAATATCATTACCCATAAAGAAATTCAAAGTAAAACTACAATGATATTCTACTGTAATATATTGCTGGTGAGAATGCAAAATTGTATAGTCACTTTGGGAAAACAGTTTGCCAGTTTTTTCTAAAGCTAAACGTACTGTTACCATATGACCTAGCAATCTTGCTTCTAAGTGTTTACGCAAAAGAAATGGAAACATAACTGCACTCAAAAACTTTAACTTGATATGTTTAGAGCAGCTTTATTTATAATCACTAAATCCTGAAACAACCCACAGTTCATCCATTCACAGTTTATCCATTCAAACTGTGAACAGATAAACAAATTGTGGTACATCCATACAAGAGACAGTGACTCAGCAATAAAATGGCAGAACTAATGATTAATACAATATGAATTAGGGTTAAATGTTTCTACTAAGCGGAGGAAGCCATGTCCAAAAGGTTCAATAGTTTATGACTCTGTTCCCATGACATTCTGGAGAAGGTGAAACTATAGCAGCAGCAAACAGTGCAATATTTGCCAGAGTTTGGAGTTTGGGGTCGGTAGCTGACTACAGGCAGGCAGTGTGGTGGAATTTTTGGATAATGGAAGTCTTCTATAAGGAAATGTGGCATTGGATACATGACTTAAATCATAAAATTGTATACCACAAAAAGCACATTTTGTTAAATGTAAGTTTAACAAAATCAACAAAGATGTATGGAAAACCCAACAGAAAATGCAGTTTGTAGCAAATTTATCTATTTATATAACAAATAAATCTCATAACCACAATAAGCTCAGTGGAGAGAGGGGATGTGCCCTAAGTAACTTTAGAAAATAGTGTTTTGACTGAACTGTAAAGCTAAAAATAAAAATAATCCAAACAATGTACTCCTCTTGGTAAAGTTGTTTCTCACAGAGTAATGGCTTAGCAAGTTTTAAACTACATGTATGGTAGGGTTAAACAAATAAGCAAACAGGTTTCAGATATTGATAGTCTTAGTTTTCACTGTCTGAGAAAGAAGTAACAAATAATGGTGAAGGTTAGAACGGTGTTGTTGATTAGATTGGAGGTATTAGTATGAAGATAGATGGTAGATAGATGTATGGATAGAGACAGAGAAATCGATAAGTAGGAAGGTAGATGGAGACATGCATACATGCAAACATATATGCATACACATGTACAAAAGTAAATATAGATGTGTGCAGATAAATGGGTTAGTATACACACATATTTTTTGCTCTGTACTCTTAAGAGGGCATATAAACAGTGATACCCCAGTAGCAATGAGTATAACTAGTATCCAGATCTTGGTTTTAAATATCGGTCTTCAATGGAAGGAATCAGGGCGTTTTGGAGAAGTGGTTAATTCTAGGGCTGGAATAAGAAAAAATACAAGATTAGATTAATGCATCTTGTAGCTGTAAGTAAGGAAAAGCTTCCCCCCGTCCCCTTCCCCCCCAAAAAAAACACAAAGAAAAGAGAAAAGAAAGAAATGTCAAAAGTAAGATTAAGCCTAAAAGTGTTCCCAATGGCCACTAGCTCCTGGGAGCAGTGTATTAGTTCATTCTCACATTGCTATAAAGAAATATCTGAGGCTGGGTAATTTATAAAGAAAAGAGGTCTAATTGACCCACAGTTCCACAGGAACAGGAAGCATGATCCTGGCATGGGCTCAGCTTCTTGGGAGGCCTCAGGAAACTTACAATCATGGAGGAGGGCAAAGGGGCAGCCAGCACATCATACAGCCAGTGAAGGAAAATGAGAGAGCCAAGTGGGAGGTGCTACACACTTTTAAGCAACCAGATCTTGCAAGAACTCACTCTCATGAGAACAGCACCAAGGGAATAGTACTAAACCATTCATGAGAAACAGCCCCCACTATCCAATCACCTCCCACCAGGCCCCACCTTCAATACCGGGAATTACAGTTCTACATGAGATTTGGTGGGGACACAGATCCAAACCATATCAAGCAGGAAACCAAAGGATTAGCAGAAATACTGGTATAATCTAAACAATATCTGTGGTTTAGTTAGTTGCACTGTGCTTATTTTAATATCCTGTTTTGATAATTTCAATATGGTTATATAAAATGTAAACATTAGGGAAAGCTGGGGGAAGGGTAATTCAAATTATGAATTATTTTGACAACTTTTTCTTGTAAATCTGAAATGTTCCCAAAACAAAAAGTTTAAACATAGTATTTTTAGGTGCATATCTAGTCTCATAAAACTAAATATGGCAAACTTTTAAATCAGAAATTGCCACATTGGTTTGAATTTAGCTTCAAACCGTATAGTTTGACAAAATAATTTCACAAGAATTACAACTGCGAATTAAGATAGAGGTTCAAACATGAGAATAATAATGAGTTGTAGCAGGAAACAGATCCCAGTTGTTTTTGTCTTCACTTTGAAGAGCACCCCATACAAGAGAGAGAAGCAGAGAACTTAGAGCTAAAGATGAAGGAACCTGTATGAGAGGCTTAAGGAGGGAAAAAGTTTGTGAATAGAAAGATGGGTGACAATCATCTTAACCATATGGAAATGTCCTGCCTCACACATTGTCATAGTGAGGTGACAGAAAGCCTTACAGGGAAGTACAATTTCATGATGAATCTGTTTTATATCCCACTCTAAGGAAAGAATGTTCTTGTAAATCAAAATCAGATGAGAGAAGAATAAGCTACATTGCCAATAAAGCTAAGTATTTTTGAAAATTCAACCTGTCTACATGTCTCTCTAAATCAGACTTAAAAAATCTAGATTAAAAACATGACTAAATGTAAGAAAAGTTAATCTGATGCCTTTAATTACAATACACCATTTGACTAGTTTTCTGAGTTTAGTGCACCTATCTTAAAAATTTCTACAACTGATTCTAGATTACATGAATTTTTGTTTGAAAACTTTCTCAATATGCAAAAAGCATTGAGAAAGAACAAAAAGGAAATGAACCTAGATTATAAAGCTGAACTCTTGCATGTTGTAGGAGAGAGAAAGAAGCCTAATATTTGAAAGGGACTAACTCACTTGTTTCTCTGTTATTGTTGGCAGACAGTTTATATGTAACCCAGTGATTCTGAGAGGAGGTATTATTTGATACTGATTTCCCTCTGCCAAATGACTAAAATAACATTTTATAAAAACCATTTCTGTCTCTGTAGCACTCAGAGACATATGGATCATATATTTAAAAAAAAGACCAAGTCCACTAAGTCATGAAATTAGAAGTCATTGAATAT
This sequence comes from Homo sapiens, assembly GCF_000001405.40. NCBI lineage: Eukaryota > Metazoa > Chordata > Mammalia > Primates > Hominidae > Homo > Homo sapiens. Next base: position 168,099,714 of record NC_000004.12, on the reverse strand, counting down.
CTTGAAGGAAAACCAAGCATAGCCGCCCACAGTCATTCTAGTATTCACAATATCTAGAATGAAACAAAATAAGAACCAGAAGGGAGTGAGATCTCGAAGAGTTTCTTCTGGTCGTTAAGTTGTATTAGGTTCAGTTGTAACCATTGTTACATGAAAAAGTCTTATTTCAAAACCACTAATTAATTACCTTTCACTGAGGGTTCATGAATCTAACCCTTTTCTACTGTGAAGGGACTACTGTATTCACTGTGAATATTTACTTTTCTATATGTGAGTTGCCCTCTTGATTAAACACACAGCAGTCAGCCCACAGGTGAGGAAAGGTACACAGAAGGTGCATGTGTCCCCAGGTACTGACGCCTCTCTCTTTCGGCATCTTTGACCGTTTTCTTACTTACCTTTTCAAACAATATTTTCAGACTGGCAACTAAATGAATGCCTAGAAGAATATGTACATTTATTCAATATCTCCAAAGGGTTGAACAATAATTCAAGAAGTTTACTACTGTACTAAGGGCAACAACAAAAGAATAACCCACCAATAAAATACAATATGATTTACATATTTTAAAACGATTACTAATTCACAGTACTAAGAATGCTATATCTGCTGTGGTTAAAGTGCTTTCTTTTTACATAACTGAAAAAGTATTACTACAATGCCTTCCATTCTGGCTTATTTAAAAATAAAATAGCAGAAATGTTTCAATTAAGAGATAGAATGATAAAATACATGAAGACATTCTGTTGCTTTATTATTACAAATTGCCACCAAATAAAGATGAAAAGCCAATCCAAAGTTGCTGTGAGTGAAGTTGATTCCCACTGTATCTATAACAGGGTATATAAAACACATTATCTTGTGTGGATTTACTTTTATGTTTTGTACATGATACTTGTAATAGTCTTTTTTTTTTTCTGGTTCCTTCCAGCATAATTACCCAGAATGTCTAGAGGACATAAATAAAAGTATAACTGAGGAAGAATATATTCATAACTGTGTGGTGTAAGACTGTGATGCTGGCAAGGAAAAATAGGCCCCAGGAAGCAAGTTTTACTCTGCCTTTGATAACAAATGCATGTCCAAAAGCTATGAGTAAAGTATTACAAATAGCTGGAGACTATTTAGAAGAAGCTGATGCTGGGAGATTGACAGCATAAACTCTGAAATCTCCTTTTAAAAATTATTGCAATCCCTTCCTTTTTGATGAATCAGGCTGAGCTACTTCTGATTACAAATAATTTCTACTGATAGAAGAACTCTAAGGTAGATAAGGGTCGGATGTGGGTGTGTGTGAGGCTATACTGAAAAATGAAAAGTTGGTAAATAATGACCTTTAAATGACTCCTTTCTTTCTGCTTTTCCTCTCCACCTAATTGCAGGAATAAATGACTCATTAAACTAACTATGATTCATATTGCTTAAACATAATTTCTGAAGACTTCACCTTAAGGGTTAAGGAAAGAAGTACGTTCTTAGTGCTTGCCATTTGTGATAATCTAATGACTTTCTTCCTTTACTGTTTGTTAAATAAGTTGATTAATTAGGAAAAATAAAAAAAAGAACATATAGTTAAACATCTTTTTTTTTTTTAAATTTCAAGAGTGCCTTAGATTTAAAGTAATACTTATTTAAATGGGCACACTGTATTAATGTTAATGGTATAAGCATAATGTCAAAATAACAGATAATTTTATAATAATCTCAAAAACTAGTCCATTCAAGAGAAACCAACATATCTAGAGAGGTGTTCTAACTTCTCACTTGGAAAAATGCAAGTGATTCTACAAATTGAAGTCTTCTTATTTTTCTAGCTATTATAAATTAAGAACTTTCAAACCAAGATGGCTTTCTCAAAATATCCTCTTTGCTGACTTTTACCTCCTATTCCATTACTTTGTGTAATTGCAGAGTGAGTATGAATCTTATATGTCAATGAAATACATGTTTCAAGAGGTCAGGGTTTATGACAATGATATTTATTACTCTCTGACCAGTACCTGGAGGTGGGACCAGGGACACCAGGTAGGAAGCCACTGCAGAAGTTGGCAGGCAATGATAATGTAAGGTATGAGAGAACCTGAGCCAAGGATAATAGCAAGGCTTAATTTTTTTTTAACTTTCCTTTTTCTGTACTAATAAGAGGATGAGTTTCTACTCAATGAGTAGACACTTGGTTACAGGAATCTGGGGTTCATGCATAGGTTCTGGGTTGAGACATAAATTCAGAAAAGAGTCTGTATATAGAATGTAATTAAAACCATTATGTTGGATCTTATGACCAAAGGAGAGGCTATAAGGAGGAAGGAGAAGAGTTTCAAGAATTTGGCCCTGGAATACTTCTGGCAAAGGCGATTGTGTCTAATAACACCCATATGTCTAGCAAGATGAGAGGAGAGAATTAGGCATGGGATTTAACCATATGAAGGTCATTGTTTACTTTAATAAGAGCAGTTCAGGCAGGGCATTTGAGAAAGAAACCTAATGAATGGATACGGAGAGAATTGAAGGAGAAGAAATGTATATAATGGGTGTAATACAAGTTTGAGGAGTTTTACCATAATAAAGAAGAGAAGTTACCAGAAATTGAAGTAAGTGGGTTTATGAAATTTTTTTGCATGATACAATCTACTTATAAATAAACATTATGCTAAGTACAACAGAAAATATATTTCCCCTTGTGAAACTTTTGTTGTTTCTCAAATTTCTTTATAAAATTTGGGACTGTTGTATATATACACATACATATATGCTTATGTATGTATTGTATATACATATACATACATATATATATATATATATGCATTTGTATTAGTAATGGATACAAACTTAACCTCCCCTCTAGAAGCAGTGCATTGGGCAGCTGAAGGCCAGGGCTTTTGAATTAGACAGAGTCGGATTCAAGCTTTGGCACTGGTACTGTGAATAATAGCTCATCTTTTTGGGATGCTTCTATGCTCCAGATACTCTTCTTGGTGCTTTATATGCCAAACAATTCTCAAGAGACCCTTATAAGATAGGTGCTGTTATCACACTTAACAGGTTAAAAAAAATTGAGGTGCAGAAAGATTCAGCAAGTAGTGCTCAGTCACATGGATCCTATGCAGAAAGGCTAGATTTAAGTGTATCTTTAGCCACTACGCTACAGTGATGTTTGCCCAGCCCCTAGATTAAAACCAATCTATGGTTGTTATAATGGTATATTTTTAAAAATTTACAACAAGCATGCATGCCAGTTCAAGGAAAAAGTTAAATTTAATTTTTCCAATCCAACTCTTATTAGTTCTACAGAAGTTTCAGTAAAAGTTGAAGCCATAACAGCATGATTCAAAACTTTTGTTGAATCAAAGTGTGTAAAGTTCAGACAATGTAGTCTTGTGATAGTGAAAAGCAATCTGAAGTATGAATAACCTTTTAATAATATTTGCTCAGTAAGTCATACTGCAGATAAACAATCAAAGTCAGATTTCTTGGATGGAAGTTTTTGTCCTGGGAATTACTTTCTATAGGAAAAGACAGTCTTGAAAATAATCTTGCCTTATCAACAGCCTCTCCTCCCATGAGATGTCTTGTCAGTCTGCAATCACTCCTAGGTAATATGCCCTGAATTCATTTCTGATTTATGGAGTGCTTTTCCTTCACTACATGTAATCCACTGCTAAAAACCAATGCATTTATTTTTATTCTAGTTAGGCTAAAATGCTGTATGTCTCATTGCCCATAGTAGACACTGCCTAACATGCTGTTGCCTGACTTTCGTGCTCTTGAGCTATTCTGAGGCAAACTCATGAGTCAAAGCATCTTTGTAAAGATACCGCTGCTAAGTTTTTCTCATTTAATTGGGGTCACAAAAAATAATCATACCTAGGCATTTTTTTCTCTCAGTGTGGTAGAAATGATTTTGGAGTTACACAGAATCCTCTGTATCTGTCACCTACTGGCTTTTAACTCCTGGGAAAAGTATTTAATTTTTCTGAACCTTAGTATTTTCATCTGGAAAAAGGGGATGATAATACTGTCCTAGAAGTTTGCAAACACAAAAATAATATGTATAAAACATTTGGGTAGAATATCTAGTACCTCCAAAAGAACTTCAAACCTTTGCATGTTAAATGGTATTCTTATAGGACAATTTGCTGTGAAGATTAAATTAAACAAGGTATGGATGATGTATATAGACAGTAAATTATTATAATAATTTCTATATGTTTGTATAATACATAATGCTATTTTAGGTAAGAAATATGATATCAACATGTATCCTACTTTTCATACTGCTATGATTAACATTTTCTGTCAGTCAATAAATATTATAGAAGTAGGAAAAGGTGTCAAAAGGGTAGAAAAGGGAATAGGATTAAAGTTAACTCTAATCCTATTAGAGGTCAAAAGGAAGGGTATCATCTAAGAAATGAATCTATAGTAAATAAGATGCTACTGTATGAACAAGGGGGATCAGCTGATGACAAAACAGGACAAAATCAGCGAACAATTTTTACAAGAAAATTGTATTCTAAAGAGGCAGGTGTATTCTAAAGAGACATTATATATTAATAAAAAGAATTTGAGCTCTAGGGATGTAGAGATACCTGGGTTTAGATCCTGACTTGGGCAAGTACACTGTATAGTAAAATTTCCTCCATTCTAAGAGAGCTATTATAATATTATAATAATATCTTCCTATGATGTGATTTATATCTGACTAATATATCAAAACTCAGGCTTGCAATAATCTCTTAATTAAACCTTGCTTTTGAAAGATGGTCTTACAGTCAAGCACATAAGTAAAATACACTAGTGCACCAAAGATAAATTTCCTTCTTAATGTAACAAGCACACTTAAACTACCTTAATCACTGGGGCCCGCCTAACTCCAGAAATATAGAAAATAATTTTAACATATTATGTATGTTTATCTCCTACAGAAATGTAACCATTTTTCCATGATTCTTGTCTCTTGCTTGAAGTATATTTAAATTTTCTATACTTTGAGAGTAATGAACTACCTATCTCTGTGGTTCTCAAAAATGGTAACCCTTTTATATCAAGTGTATAAGTTCAGATGTTATATATACTGCATCAGGACTGCTAAATAAGGAGGATCTAGGGACATATCTTTAACAAACAACTCAGTCAATTACTACCCACATTATAAAATAAGAAATTACTTGTCAACAGAAGAGCCAGTCTCTTGCTTGAGAACATCCGATTAAAGAGATAAGCTTGGCCTCAAATATTGGCCTTTTTAGCACTAAATTCTGACCACTGGGGTCATATACCTTAAGATAGAAAATTACTTTAAACTATACTGATATTGATTATGTAAAACCATTTTACCATCCAGGCTTGCTGAGATTATACATAAAACATAACATTCATCTCTAAAATAGCTAATCAAAAGTACTTAAAATGGATTCTTAGGTATGCTCAAATCCAAATCTTTAATCTTCAGTTTTCTTTATTTGCTTCAGAAGCATAGCAAATAATTGCATTTAAAAAAAATCTTGTTAGCCTGGTAATGTTTAATAATCCCAGAAATATAATTTAAATATTCTATAAAATATGTTTCTTTTGAAAAATGGGCATATAAATAGTAACATTAGACCACACAATGCATAGAATATAATAGTAATTACTCCCAAATAACTATACTCAAATGAACAGAGAGAGAAAACAATAGGCATTTGCAAATTTAATCATTTACCATGCTGGCCTAATTACTTGATACCTTTTTTTCTCTGTAGTGAAATATAACCACCTTACAATTAATAAAACAATAATGGTAACTTTCAACTGCAAAATGAGATCTTGAAATCTTAAGATGAAATTAAGATTGTTAAACTAACAGTGATGGAAAATAGCTGCCTTTTAAGTCCTAATTCAGTATTTATCTTAAGAAACACAATATATAAGTAAAATTTTCCTGCATTGATTACTTTGTATGAGTAAACAATGTTTTGTGTGCCAAAGTTTAACAAAATAATTATGTTATAATTTTTTTGCATAAAAGTTCCCAGAAAGTTGTTTTTTGTTTTTTGAGATGGAGTCTCGCTCTGTCGCCCAGGCTGGAGTGCAGTGGCGCGATCTCGGCTCACTGCAAGCTCCGCCTCCCGGGTTCACGCCATTCTCTTGCCTCAGTCTCCTGAAAGTTTTTTTATAGTATAGATTTGTAAAGAATCATCATTAACACACATATACTTGTATATAATTTCTAAGACCACAAGGCATAAATTCACATTTGTATATAATTTTCAAGACCATGTGAAATGGAGACCTTTTCATATAAAGCATATTCAGACAACTTAATGTTCATGTTGGCTTTTTAAAAAGTGAATGACTATTAGAGCAGTTGGACTAAAATGATTCAGACAAGGCCAAAAAAAAGACTAAATCTTGTTATACATTGCTTCTATTCAACAGAAAATTATTCAAAAATAAGCTATCTTTTACAGAAAGCATGGATTTAAAATAAAATTAATAGTCAAAATTATTTTAATTTTTTATAGATAGAAGTAAATATCGAGATAAAAAATCTTATGATAACTTCAGTTAGAATTCTGAATCAAATTACATATGAAAGTAACTTGCCTCTGTGGGATAATACGTTGTTTCAAAATTAGCATGGATTTAAGATTTCATAATATTAACTCTGTTTAATAGTTATATTGAAGACCCACTAATTAAATGGATTCTTAGGTATGCTCAAATCCAAATCTTTAATCTTCAGTTTTCTTTATTTGCTTCAGAAGCATAGCAAATAATTGCATTAAAAAAATCTTGTTATCATAGTAATGTTTAATAATCCCAGAAATAAAATTTAAATATTCTATAAATGTTTCTTTCAAAAAATGGGCATAAAATAGTAAGAAAGTAGTAAGAATAAAAACAAATTAGAACAACATTTTCTGTTAAAAACGTCAAAAAACACAAATGAAATTTTATAAATCAAGTTTCAAAAGAGTGAAAAGCTTTACAGAAATAAGCATTATACTCACATAGTCTCCACAAAACATTTTGATGGTAATTGTTAACCTCAGGGATGAAAATATTTGATCGATTGCATAAACTTGTTTCACTGTGAAGCCAGAAAGAATTAAGGTTCACTGTTAAATCAAATGTAAATATGTTCACTGTTCACCTCAGACTCAGGCAAGAAAATGTAAAAGCAAATCTGGATACAGCATGACTTGAGATACTGTATTTATACTTAGTTATCAGTCATAGGTGAGTAGGCAGAATTATTGCACAAAATAAGTAGAACCATTAACCTAATCCCCAGTTGTATGTTGATTTAAGACACATAAAGTAGCCAACTAATGAAAGAAATGTAATCTTTTGAAAAAGCTGATGACTTATGGAAAGCTAAGTTGATTACCCATAAAGTTAATCATTTATTTTCTGCTTAATTGTTGTTAACATGGAAACTCTTTCAGGTGCTCCAGCCCTAGTTTCCTATCTTAAATTGCTAGGTTCTATGTGTATCCATACAATTTTAAAAGAATATTTCAACTACTGTTTATCTGCTCTTATATTAAAAAATAATGTATTTAGGGGCTGGGCCTGGTGGCTCATGCCTCTAATCCCAGCACTTTGGGAGGCTAAGGCAGGCAGATCACTTGAGGTCAGGAATTCGAGACCAGGCTGCCCAACATGGCGAAACCCCGTCTCTACTAAAAATACACAAATTAAAAAAAAATTATTTTAAATATATTTAGAAAAGAATTCATTATCCACCAATAAAAGTCTTTGGAGAAATATATTCACCATCATTTTTGCACTTAATTTTCCTATATTTATATATATGTAATTTTAATATTAACTATTGCATTTTAAGGAAATAAATTTTAGAAAAACCTGTAAAGTTCAATATAGTGTTGGAAACTATCTAGATACATTCATATATGATTCCAAAAATAACAAAATGAATCTGTATTATATTATTTTACTGCTACTTGCTATTTATTGAACAATATAGTGTTCATTTATAAAAATTTTAAAATACTTTGAATAAGAATTAGGAGCAAATAATCCTTTATTGAAAGAACCAAATACTAACAAGACAAGTGTCAACTGATCAGCATCCATAGGTCTAGAACTACCCAAAATAATTCTGATGTTAAAATATGAGTAAAAGCCATGAAGCAGTATGTATTTATGTAATACACACACACACACACACACAAACACAAATATATATATATATAATGAGCAACTATATATATATATTCTTCAGCATTCAATTTATAATATTATCTGATTACCTTACCAGTATACCTGGTACTATGAGAGATATATGGAACCATGCTGCTTGGCTCAAAAACATTAAAATCTAGTAGGTCCTACTATGTATGTGTATGTGTCTGTGTATGAATCAGGGTCTTGTGTTTTTGCTATGTAGACAGCATATAGCAATTATAAAATTGTATAATTTATATTGTATAATTGCTATAATTGTATAATTTATATTGTATAATTGCTATATGTAGACAGCATATAGCAATTATAAAATAATAGATATACTTATTAAAACTATAGGATTCAGAATTAGAAACAAAAGAAGAATTTTCAACTAAAATTGTTTTTTAATTAGAAACAATAGAAGAGTTTTCAACTACAATGATTTTTTATGATTATTTTAGTAAGTTGCAGGTCTTATGGCTTTTATTAGAGACTAAATATGTGAATATGAACAAAATTTGTCAAAATATTTGAGACCAAAATCCTTTCCCTAAGATTATTAGATAATTCAGAGAAAAGAGATTTGATAATATTCCCTAATTTTCTCCCAGATAATAGGTACTTAATGTATAATTTTATTCATCATTATTTTGTGATTTAGCTTTTAAAAAACATGTCCTTAAGGGAAATTATGATATCTGGTATTTGGCTTATAATATTCCATAGAAAAGAGGGTCATGAGACACCTTTTGATACCAGTGTGGCAAAATCTTGAAAACTATTGGGAAAGATGGTAGTTAATTATTTAATATAATTCTATTTTATGTTTATGAAAATTTCCCTGATGAAAATTTTAAAATGTTTGGTTGTAACTTATTTACTCATACTTAAATATCATTTGATTATCTACAACCTGTACAGTAATAAATGTTATCAATAATAAGGATTTTCCTCTATTCTAAACATTGTTTCAAGTCAATATACTTGTATAAATTAATTCTTACAACAACTCTATGAGCTTGGTACTGTTATTGCCCATATTTTATCCACAGCATAGATAGATAGTAGAGAGGAAATGGAATTACTCTGTAGTCAAGAATGTTGCCTAAAATCTCACTCTTGAAGTAGGAGAGTGAAATTTGAACCTAGGCAGTCCAATGACAGAACCTGTAACCTCAATCTCAATGTTACATAGATACTCAAGGAATGAAACAAAGCAACTTAAGAAGAAAATGAAAAGGCATGTTTCTTGATTCAAAGGGATTTACAGTTTAGTAGGTTTTAAAAATTAACAGAATACAAGATGATAAATGGTAAGAGCCATAAGCAAGTTGCAAAAAATATTTTGAACAATTCCTCAAGAGGCAAGTTACTTAGGGAGCAAGTAAATGAAGAATGCTTCACAGATGAATTAGCGTTTGAAATGTGACTTACCACAATGTCCTCTAGTTTCATCCATATTGTTGCACATGGCAGAATTTCCTTCTTTTTAAAGCATGTATATTATTCTATTTTATGTATACTACATTTTCTGTATCCATTTATCCATTGATGGATACTTAGGTTGTTGCCATATCTTTGCTTTTGTAGACAATGCCAGAATGAACATGGGAGTGCAGACATTTCCTTGATATACTGATCTCAATCTTTACGGATATATATCCAGAAGTGAGATTGTGGATCATATGGTAATTCCATGTTTTGTTTTTTGAGGAATCTCCATACTGTTTTTAAAAATGGCTATACTAATTTACATTCCCATGAACAGAACACCAGGTATCCTTTTTCTGCACAACCTCACCAACACTTATCTTTTGTCTTCTTGATAATTGCCATTCTAACATGTGGGAGGTGATATCTCATTGCAGCTTTAATTTTCATATCCCTCATGATTAAAGATGCCGAACATTTTTAAACATATCCTTTGTCTAATAGCATGTTTTATTTTGAGGACTCTCTCTTTGGGTCCTTGGCCCATTTTTAAATCAGGTTGCTTGTTTTCTTGTTATTGAGTTGTTTGAGTCTCTTAGATATTTTTCATATTAGCACCTTAACAGATGTGTGGTTTGCAAATATTTTCTCCCGGTACACGGATTGTTTTGTAACTCTTGATTGTTTTCTTTGCTGTGCAGAAGCATTTTGGTTTGATGCCATCCTATTTGTCTAATTTTGATTTTCTTTTCCATGCTTTTGGGGTCCTATCCAAGAAATAATTGCTGAAGTCAATGACATGGACTTCCCCCTATGTTTTCTTCTAGCAGTTTTAAACAGTTTCAGGTCTTACGTTAAGTCTTTAATCCATTTTCAGTTAATTTTTCTGTAGGGTGTAAGTTAATAGTCCAATTTTATTCTTCTGCATGTGGATATCCTATTTTTCCCAACAACATTTATTGAATAGACTGTCTTTTTATCATTGTGTGTTCTTGACACCTTTGCCAAAAAATCAATTGATCATAAATACTTGGGCTTACTTCTGGGCTTTCTAATTGGTTCCATTGGTCAGTGTGTCTGTTTTAATTCCACTTCCATGCTGTTTTGATTATGATTGATTCATAATACATTTTGATATAAGATAGTGTGATGCCTCCAGCTTTGCTCTTTTTTTTGCTCAAGATTTCTTTGGCTATCTGGGGTCTCTTCTGATTCCATGCAAATTTTAAAATTGTTTTGCCTTTTTCTGTGAAAAATCACATCAGAATTTTGATAGGAATTGTATTAAGTTTGTAGATTGCCTTGAGTGGTATGGCTACTTTAACAGTATTAATCCTTCAGTCCATGAATATAAAATATATTTTCACTTATTTGTGTTGTCTTCAGTTTTTCATCAATGTTTTGTAGTTTTTAATGTACAGATATTTTACCTGCTTGGTTAAATTTACTCCTAAGTATTTTATTTTTTCGTGATACAATTTTAAATAAGATTGTTTTCTTAGTCTGTTTTATGGATAGTTTGTTGTTAGTATATAGAAACACCATTGATTTTGCGTAATGACTTTGTAACCTGCACCCCTACTGAATTTTTAAAATCAGTTCTAACAGTTATTCAGTGGAGTTGATAGGATTTTCTATGTATAAGATTATGTCATTGGCATACAGATAAAATTTCATTTCTTCCTTTCATGTGTAAATGTCTTTTACTTCTTTCTGTGTACGCTTTTACCAGTGAGTTTTTTAAAATATTTTTATATATTTTCCTATTGCTATTTAGTGACCTTTTCCTTTATGTTGAAGGAATGCTTTCAGCATTTGTTGTAAGGCAGAACTAGCAGTGATAAAGTGCCTCAATTTCTGTTTGTTTAAGAAAGGTTTTATCTCTTTTTCAGTTTTGAAAAATAGTATTGCTGGGTATAATATTCTTGGTTAACAGTTGTTTTTCTTCTAGCTTTTTGACTATATTATCTCAGTCCCCTCTGACCTACAAGATTATTGCTGAAAAACCCATTGATAGTCTTATGAAATCTCCCTCATATGTAATGATTTGCTTTCCCCTTGTCCTTTCAGTATCCTCTCTTTGTCCATAATTTTTGACAGTCTGATTTATGATGCATTGATGTGGATCTCCTTGGATTTATTCAGTAGGTATCCATTGAGCTTCCAGTTCAGCACAGCAAGGTAGCCCGTCCTCCTTCCAATGAAAGATTGCAGGGATTTATCACTAGAGAAACGTAAGGACAAAGGCACAGAAATTGCTGCCTCTCTTATTTAGGGTTGAGGAGGTTTATCCTTGAGGCCAGGATCACAGGGAGCTTCTGGAAATCTGTGTATCCAAACTCTTTCTAGAAGTTGAAAGCTGGATTGATCTGAGGTATACAGATACTGGGAATAGTTGTGTGGATTAAAACTCCTCTTTGTTCTTTTTGCTTGAAGGAAATCCTCTGATATCCTTTTCCTGCTGCTCCTCAAGCAAGGTAATTTAATAGACAAGCTGTCTGGTAGAGATTATAAACATAGTGATATGTGTGGTACAAATCCTTCATCCCTCTAGATGCAGCTAGGAGTTGGGGATTTCTTCCTGATCGTAAGGCACAGTGCTCAGGGTGGGCTTGGTGGTTTATATCTGCCTTTCCTACTCATTTTGATGTGTGTATTTTCTCAATTCTCCAGTGTGTAGGAGTCTTTCAACTAAATTCTGTCATTCTCTTGGAAATAATTGTTTCATGTGTAGATGTTAATTTGGTGTGTCTGTGGGAGGAGGGATAGTTAGAATCCTCCTATTCTTCTATGTTGCTGGTGTCAGCATCTAGAAAAATTTGAATTACTGTCTACTGTGCCATATTAAGTAAGCATTCAATCCTTCTTGGAGTCACATTTTATCATTCATTCAATTTATTAGCAAATATTTATTAGGCAACTAAAAGGTTTCTGACAGTGTAATAGGTATTTGGGATACTTCATGAAACAAGATAGGCAAAAATCTCTGCTTTATGGTGCTTATGTACATTAACTAATGATTTGAAATTTTTATTTTATACATGATGAAAAACGTATAATTAACAAAAGTTGTTTAATATGTTTATATATATTTATGTATGGTTGACATTGACACTGCCTTTTTTGAGTACTGCAAATTGCCTAAAACAACAATCATAAGAAGAAGGCTAGACATAGAACATTTTTTTTCCAATTAGACAATGATCTCCAAATTGTTTTGTCTCAACATTCCCCAAAGAATTTGGAAAAACTATGTACCTCTTCTACTTTTTTACCAATGTCATATAAAATAATTTCATTCAAGTTTAAATAGTCACAGTTATTTTTTACTGTTCTCAAAGCATCCAATGTGATCTCAATACCATAGCAATTCAATGTCCACTTAATTCATCTAAATATGTAAAATAAGTTCTTATTTAGCAATTGAATATTTTGCATCATTTCTTTCTCTTAATTCTTATTTCCATTCTATTTCCTGCACAGTCATTTATTATGAGGTAATTTATGCCTGAATATCTTCTAGGGGATCACCTTATCATATATTTATAAATTATATTTATAACTTAAAGAAAATTGCTTGTAATGATTTCCATCTTTATTCAAACTGGAAGCCATGGGCTCTTCCCACTAATCTTTGTTATTTTCATAAATCACCCAATAAAGTAGATGTACCACATATTATTTATCCATTTACATGTTGGTAATCATTTGACTGTTACTAATAAAGATGATTTGGGGCTAATACTTGACATTTTCACCCTTTTAAGTTTTAGCCATTAAATTGTGTGCTTGTATCACATCGTGCTTCTAATTTGCAATTCTCTTATTACTAAGAATGTAATCTTTTTATATGTTAAATGGCCATCCTTACATGTTCTTACACAAATTGTTCAAATATCTTCTCCATTTTCAACAAAGTTGGTATATTTAGTGTTGATTTGCAAGAGATCTTTATAAATTCTGGACACTTAACCTTTATCAGCTTTGATTTGTAAACATTTGCTTTCAGTTTGTGGCTTGTCTTTTTATTTTTGAAATGTTGTCTTATGAATAGAGTAGTTTTTGTTTGCTTTTAATTTATAATTGAATAAACTCCAATTAATTATTCATTTTCAAGCTTTTTATATTTAAAAAATTTTTGCCTACCCCAAGATCACAATGTTTCTTCTAGAAATTTATAGTTATAGCTTTTATGAAATATAATAATTACTCATTTATATTTTGTATCATATAGTCAAGTTTCATTTTTTTCTCTTCATAGGGATACTCAGTTGTTAAAGTACCATTTATTTAAAATATTTTTTCTCATTGATTTATTTTTACACATTAGTCAAAAATTACTTTACCATATATGTATGGGTCTATTTGTGGACTCTACCTTATGCCTCATTGATCTAGATGTCCTTCCTTTCACCACAACCACATCACCTTAATTCATAACTGTAGATTTATAATTGTGAAAATCAAGTACTGTGATTTCTGCAAATTTGTCACTATTTTTCTCCTCCTCCTCCTTTTTAAATTGCTTTGGCTCCTGTAGGTTATGTTTTTTATTTTATAAATTATTAATATCCTTGTCAATTTCTTAAAAAGCATGCTGGGAACTTAATTACAATTACATTAAATCTATAGGCTTATCTGGAAGAAGAAATAATACATTAATGTCTAGTCTTCTGATCCATGAACATAGTGTATCTCTCAATTTATTGCAGTCTCCACTTTCATTAATATTTTGTTGTTTTCAGTGCATTTATTTTTTACCTTAAAATACCTCATATTTTCTGATTTCATTGAAAATCATATATGTTATTTTGTTTTTGAATTATTTGTGCCAATAAATAAATATACTATTGCATTATATATTTCCACATTGTATTCTGTGACTTTGCTAAGTTAAATTGTTAGTTATTACAGGTGTTTTGTAGAATTTTTAGTTTTGTACTTATACAATCAAGTTATTGTTTAAATGTCTGCAACCCACTCAAAATTCATGTTGAAACTTAACCTCCAATACAATTGTTTGAAGAGGTGGAGCCTTGAAGATGATTATGTCATAAGGAATCCTTCCTTGCCAATGGGCTTAAGGCACCTTATTAAAGAGGCTTCACACAGAGCTCAACCTTTTCTTAAATTTTTCTTTCTTTCTTTTTTTCTTTTTTTTTTCTTTCCTGCCCTTCCACCATGTGAGGACACACTATTCATTCTCTCCAGAGAACGCAACAACAAAGCACCATCTTGGAAGCGGAGAGATTAGTCCCTTCTCAGACACCAAACCTGTCAGTGCCTTGATCATGGTTTTCCCACCCTCCTGAGCTGTGAAAAATACATTTCTATTGTTTGTAAATTACCCATTCTGTTGTATTTTGTTATAGCAACACAAACAGACAAAGACCAGGTCAATTTTTTTAAAAGATAGTTTTACTTCTTTCTCTCCAATCTGAACTTTTTAAAAAATTCATTTTTCTTATTTTATTAAATATGAATTCCAGTATAATATTGAATACATGGTAGAGGCAATATAGCCTTTTATGACTCTTAGGAGGAAGCATTTCATTTTTTATCACTATGTATGTTATTAATTATGGCTTTGTAATAGATGTCCTTTTTTAGGACATCTGAGAAGTTTCCTTTTATTCATAGTTTAGTGGATTTAAAAATTCCTTTTTCTGAAACTGAGATGATCAATTTTTGTTAATTCTATTAATGTGGTGAGTTATAGTAATCTATTTTGAATGTTAAATTAACCTATATTTCAGGGAAAAACTTCACTTGGTCATTCTGCATTACATTTTTTATATATTGTTAACTTTGATTTGCTAAATTATTTTTTAAAAATTTGCATATAATACAAGGGATATTCGTTGATAGCACTTTTTAAAATTTCATAATGACTTTGTCTAGCTTTTTTATCAGAGCAACGCTGGCCTCTGAAAACAAGTTGAAAAGTATTTAATTTTCCTCCGTTTTTAAAAATATTTGCATAATATTGATATTTTTCTTTTTAAAATATTTGGTAGATTTTACCAGTGAAGCCAATCTTATCCAGATTTCTATGTGAAAAGGTTTATTTTATAAATTATGGATTCGATTTCTATAGTTGTCCAAATTTCTCTTTGATTTTATGTTCAAATGTTTTTAATATGGACTTTGAAGACTTTTCTTGTAAATTTAAAGGGGGACCCACTTAGAACCAGTTTCAATGAACTATCTTTTTTCCTGGATATGTGCCACACTTTGCTGTTTCTTGGAATGTCTAGTAATTTTTGTTTTAAAGCCAACCACAGGTAATGAACTCTGGATACTCTTGCATTCTTCTGAGGATTGCTTGATTTTGTTATAATAGGTAGTCAAGTTGCCTAGACTCAGACAGAAAATGTGTCTTCCCTATGTTATGCAACAGCTGAATTTTCTGCTCTGGTCTTAACAACTTCCAGCTACTGCTTTTCTTATGTTGTTTCTTGTAGGGGGTGTTTCCATTTGCCTGGATTCATTGTTAGCCAAATTTTGGGCCAGAGATTATATTTAGATATGTGGTCCTTCCATGCCTGTGGCCTACTTGTTTCTAGAAATTCACATGTAATTTTCTACTACTATTCTGGCCTTAAGCTCTCTTCTCACACTTTAAGCTAATAAGACTTCTTCTTTTGCCACTCAAACTGTGCATGGTCAGAGTGCACTCAGTGACCCATAAAAGTCACTTTTTTTTTTTTTTTTTTTTGGCTGGGTGCAGTGGCTCATGCCTGTAATCCAAGCACTTTGGGAGGCCGAGGTAGGAGGGGTACTTGAGGTCAGGAGTTCTAGGCCAGCCAGACCAACATGGTGAAACCCAATCTCTACTGAAAATACCAAAAATTAGCTGGGTGTAGTGGTGGGTGTCTGTAATCCCAGCTACTCAGGAGACTAAGGCAGGAGAATTGCTTGAACCTGGGAGGAGGAGGTTGCAGTGAGCCGAGATCATGCCATTGCACTCCTACCTGGGGAACAGAGCGAGACTCTACCAAAAATATAACAAAATTAGCCGAGTGTGGTGGCACACACCTGTAATCTCAGCTACTCAGGAGGTTGAGACAGGAGAATCACTTGAACCTGGGAGGTGGAGGTTGCCGTGAGCCAAGGTCGTGCCACCGCACTCCAGCCTGGGTGACAGAGCGAGACTCTATCTCAAAACCAAACAAACAAAAAGTCACAAAATTTTCAAGAATAGATTTCTCTCTGATTTCTACCTGCCTTTTTATTACTTGCTACCCCTACATTTCAGGACTTCTTTGTACAAATGTACTTTGTATCAGTCAATGATGTGGTTAGAAACTTCCTCAGATGAAACAGAACATCTGTTAATGACCAATAGCTAATAGTATACATAGTGATGAGAAACTGAATGCTTCCCCCTAAGATTCGTAAAAGGCTAGGATGCTGTTCTCCTTTCTTTTTCAGTCCTCTTGCTGCCAGTATTTTACCTCTAAGTTTCTAACTGGTCTTTCAACCTTAAACTCTCGTTGCTGGTACTCTTACCATGTAAGGCAATGGTTTTCTACTGCTCGTTTACATCACTTTGGCTGTGGGTTGAGAGGGTCTTTAATTCAAAAGTCATGCAGTCAGGTCTCAAAGCATCAAACTCATGTTCCTTACTCTTTCGGGAGTTGGCTTTTTTTTTTTTTTCGTGGGGGGAGGGCAGGGAATAACATTTGCTACTGCTTCTGTCTGATTTTGGACAATTTCTAAGTGCTTTTATGTAGTTGAATTTTAAGTTTTATCTAGTTTCTGTCTGTGGGAGGGCTTACATGACAACTTTACTTAAATACCATTACTGAAAGTCTTTCCTTAATACATTGTGATATAATTTTTAAAAAATCTGTAAACATAAGCCTCTTAGTGTTATTTTTTTTTCTTGATGGAGATTCCCTTAGATAATTGTGGATAATTTGCCAAAAAAACCCCATAATATTTCCAGATATATTATAATACAATGAGATGGCTAAAGTATTTTTTCAATGAGTACATGTGTCCATGGATGGCTAAAGTTAGAGAAAACTACAGCATACATTCTGGTTTTACTTCTTTAATAGGTACATGTTCTTGAGAAGCATATTAAAATATGTATTTCGATGGGAAGAGAAGAAATTTCATTACAGAAATCTGACTCAGTTCTTTGAAGTCCTGAGTGATACTAACATTATAATTTATCACCAACATAAATTTGGTGCAGAAGGATATGTTATTCATTTATCATCTCAATTTTTAATAAATACATCAAAAGAGAAGACTTCTCAATTACTATTGTGTTGTTATCCTTTTCCTAGATACACCTTGTCATCAGAATTAAAAATTGACAGAAACAGAGAAAAACAACCCTATAAACGGGAAACCTATTGGTCAAACTGTTTCTGTCACCTAGTAACAAAACCTATATAATAATGTATTAATGTTTAATTTTCTTAATTACCTTGAAGTCCT
Source organism: Homo sapiens (assembly GCF_000001405.40). Classification (NCBI taxonomy): domain Eukaryota; kingdom Metazoa; phylum Chordata; class Mammalia; order Primates; family Hominidae; genus Homo; species Homo sapiens. Next base: position 168,081,650 of record NC_000004.12, on the reverse strand, counting down.
TTGAAAAGGACAAGTGGAAAGAAGCGCAGACGTTTTAGAAATATTTATATAGATATACTAGTAATTTCATATCATGTTTGAAAATAGAGTTGGCCCTTAAACTGTGCAGGTGTTAGGGGTGCTGACCCTATGAACAGTACAAAATTTACATACAATTTTTGACTCCCCCAAAACTTAACTAATAGTCTACTGTTAACTGGAAACCTTACCAATAACATAAATAACCAATTAACACATATTTTGTATTTTATATGTATTATATACACTGTATTCTTATAGTAGTAACATGAGTTAGAAAAAAGTTATTAAGAAACTCATAAGGAAAAGAAAATATAGTCACCATTCATTAAGTGGAAGTGGATCATCATAAAGTTCTTCATCCTCACGGTCTTCATGTTCAGTAGGGAGTGGCTGGTGTTGCTGTCTCAGGAGTGTCAGAGGCTGAAGAAAATCTGCATATAAGCAGGCCCATGTAGTTCAAACCTACACTGTTCAAGGGTCAACTACAATTAAGTTTATGATTTTGATGACAGAATTAGAGCAGCACATCAACATCTATGAGAGAGAATAATTCATCCTAATTCAATGAATCTGGTACTCCAAAATATTAGGCATTATGTTTCAGAATGCCGTAAAGGACATTTTGTCCTACACCTATACATAAGTTGAGGTGTTCTTCTTAGAATGCAGGCTTGTTTGCTCTGTGAGTATTAACAACAATCAAAGTGAGTAACTATTAGGCCAGTAAAAGTGCAGGTCTTACAAATTACATTAGTAATTCCTGTTAAGTGAATAGTTTATTATAAAATTCACATTTCTGTTATGTTTATATAAATCTAAAATATATACTTAAAACTTATGTGTGAGGAGGGAAAGGTATATGGTCAAGTCACAATAAATATAAGAAATACACTCACAGTAAAAACATTATATTGATTGGCTACAATTTTAATATGTGACAGCAAATATCAAGTATGTGATAACCAGTTCTTTCTGAAAATCCTTGTTGGCTGTGTCACTCTCTTGAAGATCTATTTCACATTTTTATTTTTATCAACCTTCCAACCCCTATACTCTTTCACCCTACTAATTTTCAGCTGATCCCTCCCTTGTTGTTTTATTGAGGATACATCCATTAATGCAAATAGGAGATTTTTCATTCTTCTACTATGTGTATTTGTACTTTTGTGTTTTCTCCCATCTTCCCCTTTCACAGTGCACATTGCTTCTAACTTAGTCTCCTTTTCCTACCAGCTGACTATATGAATTCTTCTCACTTATCCAAGAATTTCATTCCTGAAATTATCTCATTTTTATACATCATCATTTTATTCTTTTATTATTTCCAACAACCCAAAATTATGTTACAGCAACTGTAATTTTAAAAAGCAAGCAGGCAACCAAATGGAAAAATTCCCTTGGCTTTTATTCTCCACCTGCTGCAACTTCATTTTTGTTTTTCTGTTCTTTTCACAGGGAAAGCTTCTTCAGACAGTTTTCTATACCAACTCTCTCCACTTGTCTATTCTTTCTTTATCCCACGTCAATCAAGTATTCCCACGCAACACTGAAACTGCTGTTGTCATAAATAATGGTCATCTTTGCAAGTCTAGTGGATTATTCTCTGTTCTCATCTTGACATAATTGTCTCTCCTTCATGATACACATTCTTCTGGAACTTACATTCCCTTGGTTTTACTTTGACTAGATTGATTGTATCTTCTTAGTCACCTTTATTGTAAATACCACTTACATTACTAGCTTTATATTATTCTGTTTTTTGGTTCATATTTTCACTAATGAAAATTATATATATATATGTTATATTTTTAAAAATATGTTATTTAAAAATGCCTCTCTAACATTAGAACAAACTCTATGGAGATAGAAAATGTCTTGGTCTTCTTCACTACCATAATGACAATACATAAAATAGTGTATAAAACATCTAAAACAGCATCCAACAAGTATTTTTTGAATGAATGAATTTTATTTTTAAGAATCTGGAGCTGAGGGCAAGGCTATCATCTATGTTGTTGGGGCCATTATACTTTCCCTGGTGACCATCCTCTGTGGCAGGTCTCTTAACCTCTGATGTGTATACAGAACATCTATTAGCTTAAGAACCAATGTTATTTGTCACCAGATTCTCTTTTCTTTGAATTTCTTTTTCTATAACTTTAAAAATGTTATCATTGATCATTCTAGCTAGCAATATCTGTAACCTCCTTCTCTGTATACTTCATGAATCTTTGTAAAGCAAAATAGCAAAAACTGTCTTTCTTGAATTATATTGCACATCATTTAGAACAATAAATTTTTAGTGTAGATACCATGTATCCCTCTCAAAATGTCACCACTTTTTATGGCTTGTCAAAGAGAATTGAAGTTGAAATGTAAAGCAATTTTTCAGGATTGAATATCTACATACAATGTACTCTAGATATCCATGTTTTAGGTAAATGAACAAAATATGATTTAAAAAATTATCTTCATTTCTGTACTTTGGACATATTCTGATGTTCTAAAGTCCATTTAAGATTCATTCTAGTTGGAAATTTGCACTGACCCTTTCCAATTTGTAGCAATAGAAGTCATGAATAAAAATAATTAAATTTTAATTATTTTTAAAATTATATGTCCTAATCCTTGTAGAAGAAATTTAATTAAAAGTCAAAGAAAAAGTAACTTACTATAAACATTTTCATCACTTTGAAAATTAAATTCTAGCATATTAGTCATGTGCATTAATTTGAAACAAATTTCACATCCTTGGAATAATAATTTTCATATATCCACACAGAGATTAGTAGTCAGAGGATCATTATCACTAAAGAAAAAATAAGATGCTGCTAAATTGGTCTCATCTGAATATTTTAATAGGTAATATTACAATTAAAAGCAAAGTATATTAAAATAGTAACAAGTGTTTCTGAATCATATTTACCTTTTGACTTATAAATACTTTTGTTTTGAAATAAACTACATATTGTACATCTTATTTATCATCAACATGATTAACCTGTAGTAGGGAAAACTCAATTCTTACGGAACAAATGTGGCAATAAGTAGAGATTTAAACCTGATTGTTCTTTTGTTGGAATCACTAAATAAAGTTTGTATTATAATATGAGAATATTTTGTTTTCAATGTATACATATAATAGTCTTATCCATTGAAATAAAAAATAGGTTTTTATGGAAATACAGGATTTCATAAGTAATTTAAATGTATTATAATTTATCTATACAGTGTGTATTGTCATTTACCATGAAAGATTATACATAAATTACTGTGATGAAGCTATTTTTCCATTGACATAAAATAAGATTTTAAAGCAATGAATGTGCCAGTTCTGTTCTAAGCACTTTAAATGGTTTAATTCATTCCTTGAAACAACCCTACAAAGTAGGCATTGTTATTATTTCATAATACAGATGGAGATTCCATAGATTGAAAATCAGACTTCGATAATTGAAAGGACTCACAAGACTTCAAAGAGCATCCTTGTATAAGGCTTTCAGTAAAGGTGAAGAACACAGTTGAGTAGGAGAAAGGGTTGAGGCAAATATTAGGGACCTGCTTATCAAAGTCCTTCTTATATGCACAGAACGTGCTTCATCTCCAGTTCGGGCTTCCGTTTGTGCAGTGAGCCTTGTTTTGGGAAAACTTCTTAAAAGCATTCTGGTGGAATCTTTTATGTCCTGTAGTTATGTAGCTAAGCCAAGGTGAGTAATCAGTAATAGGAGTTACCTGTGTTATTTTGGGAGGTATTTGGGGTTTACTTTGTGAGTGATGCACTTTGATGCCCACCTCCAATTCCATATCAAATTTCAGATTACGGGGTTCCTTTATTTTCCCATTATCTCAGGCTATATGCCAACTCTATTGGTTTTTACCAAAGAATTGGCAAGAGTCATTTTTGTTATTATCCAGTTCCTCTGGTGCCAGAAGAAACATGACTCATTTCTGCCTATTAAGCAGATTTATCTTTTTACCTCTTCACCTAAAGTAAGGTCACTAACACTTCAACAATGGGGTTGCTTTCTAGACTGAATTTTTATTGTGTTGGTCTTCCACCCTTGGGAACCATCTAAACTTCAGTTACTTGTTTGACACCCTTTGGCACCCTTGGAAACTTGTCATAGGGACAAGTTATGTCCTTACACAATTCCACAGGGAGACTTAATGTACATGTTCATTTGATGAGGAAATTATTTCCTTCATTTGCTTCCATGTAGGAATGATGGTATGACATAACCCACAACCATAGGTATCTCATATCTCAAAATAAATTTATATCCTATTGTAATAAAAACGATTTCAATTAAAGCCCCTATTACAATAACAAGCCAATGATAGTTTTCAAGCGATGCTTACCTTGAAGTTGAAATAGGCTACTTTCTAGTCCCAAATACCAGCAATGACCACTGGGTGTCAGTCAAGGGCTTTTGCCAAGTGCTTCAGTCAGCATGGCTGCTTTGACTGGACATTTCCAAAATCATTGGAACATGGAGGTAATGAAGTTACCATGTGCTTAGTAAGGTCACAAAGACCTGATTGTGCTAAGTTTCTTTGAAACTGTAAAAAAAATAAAAGAAGTGCTGTTGCTCAAATTCAGGTTATTTTTTTCTTGGTAATTTTGTGAATAGCAGTTGATAACATTTCTCAGATGTTGTATGTGAATTCTCTAGAAACCAAAGAACCTAATCAAACTTTATATTGCTTGCTTTGATTTTGGAGTTCACAGAGAAAATCATTTATTTTTTGTTTTATGAGGGATGCCCTAGTCTCCTCTGTTCAAGAGATATCAAGGAATTTCACCATTTTTCTGAGATATGTATTGTATGATAGTTAATCAGCCATCTTCTGGAATCATATGATTAACAAGCGTTTATAATGCAATTTTAGCTTAGCGTTGAGATTGATACATAAACAATATATCATTACTATCACAAATAGCAGCACTCTCCAATTGATTCAAATCTGTTTCATCTCATCAGGTACAGCAATAAGCAGGAGAATTTAAATATCTTTGCGAGAGCATGGTAAATGTGTATTTTTCCATCCATCTCACACGAATGCAAATTGGCTTTAAATTTCTTCATAAGTAGAAATGGAAAAGAAAGCATTAGTCAATTTGGTCACAGAATAATAGTGTCCCTTAGTTTGTTGTTCCGCTTGAATAGTTAATACGATACTGTGCACTACTCATGGCATGAGGGTTATTATTTATTATTTCTGTACTCTATAGTGAATCTCTGGGTTTCATCATTTCTTCCACAGGCTGTTAAACAAGGAAATTGTGGCTATTAATATACCTACATCTAAAACATTTTTAATTGAAAACAAAATTTCTTTATGTGCCTCAGGTATCCAAACCTAGTCTATTCTAATTGCTTTAAATTGGCCACTTGAATGGGCTTAGATAATTTTGAAATTTCCCATCTACTATGCTCCAGTAAAAAAGGATTAAAAACAGATTTGCAAGACAACCTTTTTCCTAATAACCTGGGTAAGATAAGAGTCCTGCATTCAGACATTAGATCCATTCTAACCACACATTCTGGCAGAGTGAGGCAACAACCTTACATAACTTTTGTTAATAAATGCCTATATTTTAGCCATACTTTTGTCTGCTGTTCCTTGGAGTTGCTCACCGTATCTCCCTAACTCAATTCTATTGCCTGTTAACTTTTCCTTAACGGGCTTTGTATGATGTTATATTGGACACCGGTGTCCAGAAAGCCAACTAAATTTCCTTCACCACCCTCGGGCCATTTTACTCACACCCATGGAAACAGCCTTGGATCCCTGGCTGGGGTGTTGAGTCAGGGGGCTCTGGCCCTCCTGTCATCCAGAGTCAGAATCTTCTCTTTTTCCCCATACAATTTTCATGGGCATTGACACTCAGGGGATTATGAATTTCTTTTGTACAATAATCAGATTCTTAAAAATTTATTGAGACTAAAATAAATTGAGCAAAACTGTCACAATTCCTTTATAGGTTGAAAAATTGATGGAGCAGCCAGACCACCTAATCTTTACATAGCAATTCATGACAATTTTAGTGTTTATAACATCTGTCTTTTCCTTATTAATGTTATTTTTAATCAACCTTCTGAACACTAGTATTCAGTTTAAATTTTCTCAGGACTTTTTTTTACCCCTTTTATCCATATTTCCTTTTCTTTTTATTAACCCTAATCATTTTTCCATCATTAACCCTTATTTGCAGTACTTGGACAAGGAGTCCTTCCATAGTTTCACTCATCCCATCTTATCTCCGCAATAATGAAGTCAAATAAGGAGTCCAAGCAGTTGTAGCTTCTTATAGCATCTATCATATCTTGACCAAACCTGTAGAGTTAGGAAATTTTTTAGAATTACTGCAACTAATAAAAGTTACTTATGTTCTCAACAATTCAGCAGCCTCAGAAATATTCCATTTAAAACCTAAGGGTGAATTTGGGGAATTTTCCTTTTCAAGATTTATGTTATTTACCTTTGATTTTATACAGCTTAATGGATTTGGAGTTTACTCCTTCTATCCATGTTTCCACAAAAGCTACAATAAGTGAGGGTGCTGAGTAAGCACTAACATGCCTGTTCATTTGACAGTATCCAATAGAGTTCTCTGACTTCTCATGCACAACACTGATTTCAGTAGAGGTTCAGAAGTGAGTTGGCGATCAACTCCCAAGTGGCTTAACCGTTTAACTAACTACCCTTGCATTTCTGCGGTCTTTGAATTCGCACCCCCATGTGACCTGTGTAAATGTGTTGTGATGCTCGTCTCTGCTGAGGGGATATTTTGGTTGAAACAGCTATCTTCCCCACTGCCTTTGGGCATTACAGTCAGGATCACATGCTGTACATCTGTGGTCATGGAAGCCATCGACTGCTTTCCTATTATTATCATTTTCTCTAGAAAAAAGCAGGGTATTCTTGGTTGGCTTCTCCTTTTGAAATTTCTTTTTTGTAATCCATTTAGCTCCCTAATTTCCAAGCCAGGAATTTTCCTCTCCAGCATCCACTGACAGGAATTTCTTCTCAGCAACGGTTGCAATATTTGTGATACTCCACATCAGAGATGGGCAGAAAGTCATCCTGCAACAGTAGTTCCTGGCTTCCCCACCCTTTCTCATTCTTTTATTTCCACTTTTATTTTTTGAGACCTGGTCTTTCTCTGTCACCCAGGCTAAAGTACAGTAGCGTGATCTTGGCCCACTGCCGTCCCTGCCTCCTGGGCTCAAGCAATCCTCCCTTTTGGGCCTCCTGAATAGCTGAGACTACAGGCACATGCCACTATACCTTGCTAATTTTTGTGCTTTTATTAGAGATGGGTTTTCACCATGCAGCCCACACTGGTCTTGAACTCCTGGGCTCAAGCAGTCTGCCCACCTCAGCCTCCGAGAATGCTGGTATTATAAGCATGAGCCACCATGCCTGGCCCCTTTCTCATTCTTAATTCTCCCAAACAGAAACTTCATCATTACTTAAAATTATAGAGTAGATGGTGCCAACTGCACAGATTACAACAGTTCACAAGTCTAACAGTTGACAAGATTCACAGCACTGCCCAGAACATACACATAGAAGGTTGTAAGAATGGCAAGAACAGAGCGGTGGAAGAATGTGGAAAAGTGTGAAGGTCCTGGCGATGTTTATAGGCCCAGCTTCTCAAGGTCTCTGTCACTTCCACAGGACACGCGTCACCTCCAAATTGCAACGCCAATATCTGTGCGATAAATTCGGTTTTGGGAGATGTCCCTAGAAGTTTCCAGGGGGATCTTTTATGTTCCTAATCACTTATTCAATTAAGACTGCTTCACTGCTAATATGAGGTATAAGCCAATTTTACCAGTTTCTGCTTTTGGGGAAATTTTGAACTTTAAATAGCACATTATAAATTATTAATTGTAACATCCCCTTTTCTTATCTTGACTGAAAGTCAGTTCCAGACTTTCAGCCGTCCCTGGAGATAAATATAGAGGTGTCTTATTCCAGTTGCAAAATATAGGCATACCTTGTTTTATTGTATTTCATTATATTGTACTTTTGCAGATATTGCTTTTTTTTTTTTTTTTCACAAGTTGAAGGTTTGTGGCCACCCTGCATCCTGCAAGTCTATGGGCATCATCTTTCCAACAGCATGTGCTCACTTCATGTCTTCATGTCTCTGTCACATTTTGCTAATTTTCACAATGTTCCAAACTTCTACATTATTATTTTACCTGTTGTGGTCATTTGCGATTAGTGTTCTTTGATGTTACTATTGAATTGTTTTGGGTGTCACTCTGTTGATACATGTTGTATGTGTTCTGACTGCTCCATCAATTGACCATTTTCCTGTCTCTCTCCCTCCCCTCAGGCCTCCCTATTCACTGAGACACAACAATATTGGAATTAGGCCAGTTAATAACCATATAATTAATGGTGTCTGTATGTTTAATGAAAGGACAAGTAATATCTCTTTTGCTTTAAAATGAAAGCTAGAAATGTTAAATCTTAGTGAGGAAGGCATGTTAGAAGCTGAGATAGGCCAAAATCTAGGGCTCTTGTGCAGAACAGTTAGCCAAGTTGGAAATGCAAAGGAAAAGTTCTTAAAGAAAATTAGAAGTGCTACTCTCAGTGAACACACAAATGATAAAGTGAAACAGCCTTCTTGCTGAGTTGGAGAGTTAAAGTGGTCTGGTTACAAAATCAAACTGGTCATGGCATTCTCTAATCCAGAGCAAGTCCCTAACTTTCTTCAGTTCTATGAAGGCTGAGAGAGGTGGGAAAGCTGCAGAAGAAAAGTTGGAAGGTAGCAGAGATTAGTTCATGAAGTTTAAGGGAAGAAGCTGTCTCTAGAGCATAGAAGTGCAAGGTGAAGTATAAACTGCTGATGTAGAAGCTGCAGCAACTGATCTAGAAGGTCTGGCTAAAGTAATTGATGAAGGTGACTATAATACACACATATTTCCAATGTAGATGAAACAGCCTTGTATTGGAAGAAGATGTCATCTAAGACTTTCATAGCTAGAGAAGAAAAGTCAGTGTTGACCTTAAAAGTTTCAAAGACATGCTGACTCTCTTGTTAGGAGCTAATGCAGCTGGTGACTTTAAATTGAAGCCAAGGCTAATTTACTATTCTGAAAATCCTAAGGCCCTTAAGATTATGCTAAATCTACTCTTCCTGTACTCTATGAATGGAACAACAAAGCCTGGGTGACAGCACATCTGTTTATAGAGTGCTTTACTAAATATTTTAAGCCCACTGCTCAGAGAAAGATTTATTTCAAACTATTACAGCCCATTGACCAGGTAGGTTCCTAGTCACCAAATAGCTCTGATGAAAATGTACAAGGAGATTAATGTTGCTTTTATGCCTGCTAACACAACATCAATTCTTCAGTCCATGGAATGAGGAGTAATTTTTACTTTTAGGTCTTATTATTTAATAAATACACTTTGCAAGGCTATAGCTGCCATAGATAGTGATTCCTTTGATGGATCTGGGCAAAGTCAATTAAAAACCTTCTGGAAAAAAGTCATCATTCTAAATGTAATTAAGAACATTTGTGAATTATGGGAGGAGGTCAAAATACCAACAAAAATGGGAATTTAAAACATTACAACATTATTACAAAATACAACATTAATGGTGTTTGATTTCAACACTTGTAGATGACTTTGAGGGGTTTAAGAGTTAGTGGACTTAATAATTGCAAATGTCATGGAAATAGCAGGGGAACTAGAATTAGAAGTGGACCCTGAAGATGTGACTGAATTGCTGCAATCTCATGATAAAACACGAATGGATGAGAGTTGCTTTTATGGCTGAGCAAAAAAAGTGGTTTGTTGAAATAGAATCTACCTCTGGTGAAGATGTGAAAATTGTTTAAATGAAAACAAAGACTTAGAATATTTTATCAACTTAGTTGATAAAGCAGTAGTAGGATTTGAGAGGATGGTCTCTGGCTTTTAAAGAAGTTCTGCTGTGAATAAGATGCTGTCAAACGTCACATGCTAAGAGAAACCTTTCATGAAAGAAAGACACAATCAATGTGGCAAAAATTATCATTGTCTTATTTTAAGAAATTGTCCCAGTCACCTCAGCCTTCAGCAACCACCACCCTGATTAGTCAGCAGTCATTAAAATAGAGGCAAGACCATCCACCAGCCAAAAGATTATGACTCACTGAAGGCTCAGGTAATCATTAGCATTTTTAGCAACAATTTTAATTAAAGTATATACCTTGTTTTTCTTTAGGCATATGCTATTGCACACAAACAACAATATAGTGTCAACATTATTTTTATACGTACTGGGAAACCAAAAAATGTGTGTGACTCACTTTATTGCAATATTTAGCTTTCTGTGGTGATCTGGTACCAAATCCTCAATATCTCCAAGGCATGCTTCTAACTATTTTACACAGGCATACTAAGGCACAGAAGCCATGGCCATAATTTACACAAGTAATAGGTGATAGAGTAGTGTTGTGAATCCAAACATTCCAGCTCTGAATGCCTCCACTGAACTCCAAGTCCTTGCTAATATTGCTGTAGCAGTTTGTAATTGCAGTTAGAGTCATCTAGCATTTCACAAGGCAAAGTCATGAAACTAACAGGTACCGGGGAGCAAGAACCACAACTTAATCTTCCTCACATGCTAAACTTAGCACAGTGTCTGATCTATTCCAGGTAACTAATGTTTATTATAATTAATTGAAATAAAGCTAAATTCACTTTTTTATAATCCTACTTTGTATCATGTATATTCAAAAGAAGAGCTCCAGTCTGGCTTAACTAATCATGCATAAGAAAAGGAGGTATACAACTAATTTAGACTCTGGGGCCAATTCTTTTCCCAACATTCATTTGAGTCATGAAATAATTAAAAAAATTCAACTGGCAGAATCCTTTTGAGAAAATAAAGCTGTGTGTGCAGAATCCTGAAGGCTGTCTTTACCGCATAGGCAGCCTACGAGCCACAAGGAATATTTCTAGTTTTGAGGTGTAGAATCCATTATGCCAGTATTTTGCATACGAAAAATACAGATGTGGATTGCAAATATGTGTTGGATTAGTCTGTAATCTTTAATTGATTTCAGAATTTGATAGGAAATATACTTCAAATGTAAACAAAACATTAATTTTGAGAGATCCCCTCCCTGTGTCCAAGTGTTCTCATTGTTCAGCTCCCACTTATGAGTGAGAACATGCGGTGTTTGGTTTTCTGATTCTTTTTTTTTAATTATACTGTAAGTTCCAAGGTACATGTGCACAAGGTGCAGGTTTGTTACATATGTATACATGTGCCGTGTTGGTTTGCTACACCCATTAACTCGTCATTTACATTGGGAATTTCTCCTAATGCTATCCCTCCCCCAACCCCCCAACCCACGACAGGCCCTGGTGTGTGATGTTTCCCGCCCTGTGTCCAAGTGTTCTCATTGTTCAGTTCCCCCCTATGAGTGAGAACATGGCGGTGTTTGGTTTTCTGTCTTTGTGATAGTTTGCTCACAATGATGCTTTCCAGCTTCATCCATGTTGCTACAAAGGACGTGAACTCATCCTTTTTGATGGCTACATAGTATTCCATGGTGTATATGTGCCACATTTTCTTAATCCAGTCTATTATTGATGGACATTTGGGTTGGTTCCAAGTCTTTGCTATTGTGAATAGTGCCACAGTAAAAATACATGTGCATGTGTCTTTATAGTAGCATGATTTATAATCTTTTGGGTATATACCCAGTAATGGGATCGCTGGGTCAAATGGTATTTTTAGTTCTAGACCCTTGAGGAATCGCCACACTGTCTTCCACAATGGTTGAATTAATTTACAGTCCCACCAACAGTGTAAAAGCATTCCTATTTCTCCACATCCTCTCCAGCACCTGTTGTTTCCTGACTTTTCAATGATCACCATTCTAACTGGTGTGAGATGGTATCTCATTGTGGTTTTGATTTGCCTTTCTCTGATGGCCAGTGATGAGCCTTTTTTTCATGTGTCTGTTGGCTGCATAAATGTCTACTTTTGAGAAGTGTCTGTTCATATCCTTTGCCCACTTTTTGATGGGGTTGTTTGATTTTTTTCTTGTAAATTTTTTTGAGTTCTTTGTAGATTCTGGATATTAGCCCTTTGTCAGATGGGTAGATTGCAAAATTTTTCTCCCATTCTGTACATTGCCTGTCCACTCTGATGGTAGTTTCTTTTGCTGTGCAGATGCTCTTTAGTTTAATTAGATCCCATTTGTCTATTTTGGCTTTTGTTGCCATTGCTTTTGGTGTTTTAGTCATGAAGTCCTTGCCCATGCCTATGGCCTGAATGGTATTGCCATGTTGTCTTCTAGGGTTTTTGTGGTTTTACATCTAACATTTAAGTCTTTAATGCATCTTGAATTAACTTTTGTATAAGTTGTAAGGAAGGGATCCAGTTTCAGCTTTCTACGTATGGCTAGCCAGTTTTCCCAGCACCATTTATTAAATAGGGAATCCTTTCCCCATTTCTTGTTTTTGTCAGGTTTGTCAAAGATCAGATGGTTGTAGATGTGTGGTGTTATTTCTGAGGCTTCTGTTCTGTTCCATTGGTCTATATCTCTATTTTGGTACCAGTACCATGCTGTTTTGATTACTGTACCCTTGTAGTATAGTTTGAAGTCAGGTAGCGTGATGCCTCCAGCTTTGTTCTTTTTGTTTAGAATTGTCTTGGCAATGCAGGCTCTTTTTTGGTTCCATATGAACTTCAAAGTGGTTTTTTTCCAAATCTGTGAAGAAAGTCATTGGTAGCTTAATGGGAATGGCATTGAATCTATAAATTACCTTGGGCAGTATGGCCATTTTCATGATATTGATTCTTCCTATGCATGAGCATGGAATGTTCTTCCATTTGTTTATGTCCTCTTTCATTTTGTTGAGCAGTGGTGTGTAGTTCTCCTTGAAGAGGTCCTTCACATCCTTTGTAAGTTGGATTCCTAGGTATTTTATTCTCTTTGTAGCAATTGTGAATGGGAGTTCACTCATGATTTGGCTGTTAGTCTGTTATTGGGGTGCAAGAATGCTTGTGATTTTTGCACATTGATTTTGTATCCTGAGACTTTGCTGAAGTTGCTTATTAGCTTAAGGAGATTTTGGGCTGAGATGATGGGGTTTTCTAAATATACAATCATGTCATTTGCAAACAGGGACTATTTGACTTCCTCTTTTCCTAATTCAATACCCCTTATTTCTTTCTCTTGCCTGATTGCCCTGGCCAGAACTTCCAACACTGTGTTGAATAGGAGTGGTGAGAGAGGGCATCCCTGTCTTGTACCAGTTTTCAAAGGGAATGCTTCCAGTTTTTGCCCATTCATTATGATATTGGCTGTAGGTCTGTCATAAATAGCTCTTATTATTTTAAGATGCTTCCCATCAATACCTAGTTTATTGAGAGTTTTTAGCTTGAAGGCTGTTGAATTTTGTCAAAGGCCTTTTCTGCATCTATTGAGATAATCATGTGGTTTTTGTCTTTGGTTCTGTTTATGTGATGGATTACGTTTATTGATTTGTGTATGTTGAACCAGCCTCGCATCCCAGGGATGAAGCCAACTTGATCTTGGTGGATAAGCATTTTGATGTGCTGCTGGATTTGGTTTGCCAGTATTTTATTGAGGATTTTCACATCGATGTTCATCAGGGATATTGGTCTAAAATTCTCTTTTTTGTTGTTTCTTTGCCAGGCTTTGGTATCAGGATGATGCTGGTCTCATCAAATGAGTTAGGGAGGATTCCCTCTTTTTCTATTGATTGGAATAGTTTCAGAAGGAATGGTACCAGCTCCTCTTTGTACCTCTGGTATAATTCAGCTGTGAATCCATCTGGTCCTGGACTTTTTTTGGCTGGTAGGCTGTTAATTATTGCCTCAATTTCAGAGCCTGTTATTGGTGTATTCAGTGATTCAATTTCTTCCTGGTTTAGTCTTGGGAGGGTGTATGTGTCCAGGAATTTATCCATTTCTTCCAGATTTTGTAGTTTATTTGCATAGAGGTGTTTATAGTATTCTCTGATGGTAGTTTGTATTTCTGTGGGATCAGTGGTGGTATCCCCTTTATCATTTTTTATTGCATCTATTTGATTCTTCTCTGTTTTCTTCTTTTTTAGTCTTGCTAACCATCTATCAATTTTGTTGATCTTTTCAAAAAACCAGCTGCTGGATTCATTGATTTTTTGAAGGGTTTTTGTGTCTCTATCTCCTTCAGTTCTGCTCTGATCTTAGTTATTTCTTGCCTTCTGCTAGCTTTTGAATTTGTTTGCCTTGCTTCTCTAGTTCTTTTAATTGTGATGTTAAGTTGTCGATTTGCGATCTTTCCTGCTTTCTCTTGCGGCCATTTAGTGCTATAAATTTCCCTCTACACACTGCTTTAAATGTGTTCCAGAGATTCTGGTATGTTGTGTCTTTGTTCTCATCGGTTTCTAAGAATATCTTTATTTCTGCCTTCATTTCGTTATTTACCCAGTAGTCATTCAGGAGCAGGTTGTTCAGTTTCCATGTAGTTGAGCAGTTTTGAGTGAGTTTCTTAATCCTGAGTTCTAATTTGATTGCACTGTGGTCTGAGAGACAGTTTGTTATAATTTCTATTATTTTCCATTTGCTGAGGAGAGCTTTACTTCCAACTATGTGGTCAATTTTGGAATAAGTGCAATGTGGTGCTGAGAAGAATGTATATTCTGTTGATTTGTGGTGTAGAGTTCTGTAGATGTCTATTAGGTCTTGTCTTTTCTCTAGCTTATTTCTAAGTATTGTTTTACTGAATATTAATTTTTAAAAATAATTATTCTCTTAGGTTAAATTCTTAGTATTATTACTGAATTAAAGAGCATAATTTTTTGTTTGTTTAAGATATTATTATATTATTTTTGAAAAGCTTTTCGTTATCTTACATTAAACAAATGAAGACCATCTTCTTTCAAGACACTCTTACCAGCACAGGATAGTTTTTAAATGTTTTGCTAATTAAGTATGTGTCAAACTGTATCTAATTACACTTTTAACTTGCATTTTGAAATTATAGTGCCTGGCAATTTTCTGCCTTCATGTTAATTGTGTTTCCCCTTGTGTGAATTGTTAGTTTATATGGTCAGCCCACTTTTAAAATATACCTTTTACCAATCCGAAGGGATGCTTTATGTAAGATACATATACAATTTAATGTATACTGCCAAACCAAATAAATTTGTTGAAAGAGAGTTACTAGTAAATAAGGTGTTTATTTTTGCCTTTAGGTTACCCAGCATGTGTTTGAAGCCATTCTTGTTCTTCTATTCTGTGGAGGTAAAATGGGGACTATGGGCAAAGACAGAGTGCCTATTTGGAACATCAATAATCAACCTAGTTAGCCCTATTGAGAAAGCACGAAAGGCCTCTCTTTCCCATTATGGCAACAAATTCAACATCTTAGTGGTAAAGAAAGTTTTCATTGATCCATGATTCTAGTAGGAACTATTTGCTTTTGGTCTATGCATAGATTTGAGATGGTGAAAAGCGGTGTTAAATTATGATTAAATATTACGCTGCTGATAGGAAAAGATTAAAGGCTAATTAGTCTGATCAGGCTGAGGAGGTTAGGGGAGCCAACATCCACTATTACATAAAGGCATGTTCTTGGTACTGACTGCCTGAGTTACAATGGACAAATATCTATATATGTGAAAAGAATCATTAGTGTATTACGCACCAAGTATATTTTACGTGATATATAGGTACATAAATATAGATATAAAATCTACTAATCCTCATGCAACCAGGTGAAGTGGGCCGTATAATTTCTTACATTTCTCAGAGGAAATGAGGCACCAAGAAATTGCTCAAGAGGTTTGTTAACGGTAGGAAAGAAATAAGAGTCTAGATTGTTTATTTGCAGTCCATTATTTGAACCACTATACTCTGCTTCTCTAATGGAATTGTTACTACTATTATTATTACTATCAGTATTATTCATAGGATAGAGCTGCTGAAAAATACTGTATATGGAATTAGTCCCTATGATTATTGAATTATTACAAGAGTATTGATCAGTTTTAGCATCTTATATAGACTCTAAAACACTTAATGGCAAATTCAACTTTCAATAAACTCACAGCAGAGGAGAGTCAGAGAGATGTGTGGTCTTGTGAAGCTTCACATGATCTACACTGTTGTTTAACTCAGCACCAGATTTGTGAGTTAATCCCAGAACAGGACATAGTGAAGCTGCCTGCTACTTGAAGTAGATCACTTGGAACTGTTACCTGCAGTAGCTTGTAGGGTGCAATACATCAGCAGGGGCAAATGGTCTCCTGGATTCAAAAGGAAAGTGGCTTAGAGAATTCAGGTCTTTCAATAAGCTAGACGTATTCTCTCTTAATTTCAGACACATTTTCTTTTTAAGTAAAGCTTTCCTTTCTTAATTTTCTACTTCAGCTTGTATATAGGCATAGTCTTGTAACTAAACTCAAATTTCTCTAAAGTATTAAAACAAATTTAATGTGTTTGGTGTGTTCTATTCCTCCATACAATTATTATTTTCTCATCAGATTGTTTTCCTATGAGGAGATATAAATGCATGACCATCTTTGTTAGTAATCATTGTGATTAGATAAACTTTGGGGAGGCTTAGAGTAAGGTCATGTGTCTGTGGCTTTCCTCTCAGTCTAAAACTCAATATTCCTTACTGTTCTAGGAGTGGGAGTATTTTGACAAGCACTATCAAGAATCCTTTATCCTATGCAAAATTCATTTAAAACTCTGTCTATACAATCAACCTAGAATAATAGGACATCTTTTTAGTTTCTTTTCAGTAACAGTTGGTTAGTGGCAATAGGTCCACTCACTGCTTTCTTTGCATTAATATATAACATGTACAGTACACATTCACCACTTCTCCTTCTCTTTCTCTCTCTCTGTCTCTTTCTTCCCCAGAGGACCTTGTAAGACTGAAACAAGATTAGACACACATATTAATATATCTTTTCAATGATACTTCCAATATGCAACATTCTATCACCACTGATCCTGACCTGCTTCCTTTGAGATTACCTTGCGGCGACTCTTGCTATGGTTAGTCCTGCAGTATTTTAACTTAAAGAGGTTGATATCTGTGACAGAATTTTATACTTATGTGAAACTACTCCCAGCAGTCTCAAACAGCATGCAGACTCTCAGGTATCTCAGATATAAGCCAGAATTCTTGAAATCCCCTCCTCATGTACTGCCATTGCATTGATCTGTAAGTGGTGTAAGCCATTCAAAAAGAACCATTTCAAGAAAGTATCAAGATTTAGAGCTTTAAGTTGTATTTCATTTTCAATGGATTCTTCATGGGCTGCTTGAGGAAGCATAATGAATAGCTTCTTGTGGAGTTTGCAGAGGAAATCCTTGTATTTCCTAGGGCTGCCATAACAAAATCCCACAGACTACAATATAAATTTATTCTCTCACAGCTCTGGAGGCTGGAAGCCCAGGATAGACATTCCAGTAGGTTCAGATTCTTCTGAGGCCCCTCTCATTGGCTTGAAGCTCTCCATCTTCTCGCTGTGTCCTTGCATGGCCTGTCCTCTGTGCATGCTCGTCTCTGGTGTCTCTCTGTGTGTCCTCATCTCCTCTTCTTCCTTTTTTTGTAACAGTTTCTTTTACTGATATATGAGTTAATGTATTTTAGGGGTACATGGGATATTTTGATGCCTGTATACAAAGTGTAATGATCAAATCAGAGTAATTGGTGTATCCACTGCCTCAGACACTCATCTTTTCTTTGCATTGGGGACATTCCAATACTTCTCTTGTAGCTATTTTGAAATGTACAATAATTATTAACTATAATCTCCCTACTGTACTATCAAATACTAGACCTATTCTTTCTATCTAAATGTATTTTTGTATTCATTAACTAAATTCCCTTCATTCCCTCCTCCTACCCCGGCCTTTGGTCACCAACATTCTACTCTCTATCTCCACGAAATCCACTTTTTTAGCTCCTACATATGAATGAGAATGTGCGACATTTGTCTTCCTGTGCCTGGCTTATTTCATTGTACATACTAACCTCCAGTTTTATCCATGTTGTTGCAAATTACAGGAATTCATTTTTTTAAATGGATGACTAATATTCTATTGTGTATATATACTATGTTTTCTTTATCCTTTTAACTGTTGATGCACAGAATTTTTTGGCTATATTGAATAGTGATGGGTTAAACATGGGAGTGCAGAGATCACGTAAACCTACTGACTTCCTTTGTTTTGAATATATACCCAGCGGTGGCATTGTTGGATATATGGAAGTTCTATTTTATGTTTTTGAGGAACCTTCATATTCTTTTCCATAGAAGCTGTACTACTCTCATTTCCACCAACAGTGTACGAGCCTTCCACTTTCTCCACATCCTTGCCAGCATCTGTTGTTTTTCGTCTTTTTGATGAAAGCTATTCTAGCTGGGATAAGATAATATTTCAGTGTGGTTTTCATTTGCACTTCCCTGGTGACTAATGATATTGAACATTTTTTCATATACCTACTGGCCATTGTATGCCTTCTTTTGTGATATGTTTGTTCAGGTTTTGCTCATTTTAAGATTGAATTATTTGCCTTTTTTGCTATTAAGCTGTTTGAGTCCCTTATATATTCTGCTTATTGATCACATGTATGATTGTCAGATGAATAGCTTGCAAATATTTTCTCCAATTCTGTCAGCTGTCTCTTCACTTTGTTGATTGCTTCCTTTGTTGTGAAGAAGCTTTTTAGCTTCATGTAATCCCACTTATCTGACTTTGTTTTTGTTGCTTGTGCTTTGGAGATCTTATCCAAAAATCTTTACCCAGACCAATATCCTGATGCATCTCCCGCCCCAATGTTTTCTTCTGATAGTTTCACAGTATCATGTCTTTACATTTAAGTCTTCAATCCATTTTCATTTGATTTTTGTATATGGTATCACATAATGGTCCAATTTCATTATTTTGCACATGGATATTCTATTTTTCACACACCGTTTATTGAATAGACTGTCTTTTTCCCATTGTGTATTGTAGGAAACTTTGTCCAAAATCAGCTGGGCTCAATAAGTGGATTATTTTTAAGCCTCTCTTCTCTTTGAAAGGTTTCTGTGTCTGTTTTTATGCCAGCAGATGATGTTTTGGTTACTATAGCTCATAGTATAATTTGAAGTCAGGTAGTGTGAGATCTGCAACTTTTTTTTGCTCAGAATAGCTTTGGCTATTTGGGGACTTTTGTTGTTCCATACAAATTTTAGGATTTGTTTTCTATTTCTGTGAAGGATATCATTGCTATTTTGAAAAGAATTGCATTGAATCTGTATATGACTTAGAGTAGTACGAACATTTTATCGATATTAATTCTTCCAATTCATGAGAATGGGATATGTTTCCATTTTGTGTGTCCTCTTCAATTTCTTTCATCAGTGTTTTATACGGCTTTTGTAGATTTTTTTTTCTTTGGTTAAATTCATTTGTAGGTGTTTTTTGTAGCAATTGTAAATTACAAGGATACCAGTCATATTGGATTATATATTTGATTAGGACCCACCTTAACAGACTCATTTTAACTTAATCACCTAGCACAGACTTCTTATTGATCAATAATTTATCTAATAAATAAATAATTTTTAAAATTATTTTACCCTGATCTCTGCCTGGAGACATATTCTCAACTACATCACAGGGAAGAGGAACCCAAGCTGAGCAGAATCTCTCTCAGTTGAGAAGACAGAGATCAAAGTTTAAACATGCTGGAGCATCTGGAATTTGTGGCTCTTTATAAGTAGAGGAGTATACAGAGCTATGCAAAGAAAGAGTTTGTAGTAGGCTTAAGAATGGCTTCTAATAATATCAGGTCCTAATGCTTGGAATCTGTAAATACTACTTTATATGAAAAAGAGTCTTTGCAGATATGATTAAGAATTTTGAGAGAGGGAGATTATCCTGGATGATCCAAGTCAACGTTAAGTGGAATCAACACAAGTATCTTTATAATATAGAGAAACACAGGGAGTTTTGACAAACAGAAGTGAAGAAGCGAACATGACAATGGAGGCAGAGAATGGAGAGATTCAACCACAAGGGAATTCCTGTAGACCCCAGAGGCTGGAAGATGCAAGAGTGAATTTTCCATTAGAGCTTCCAGAGGGAGTGTGGCTCTGCTGACATCATGATTTTAGTCCAGCCATATTTATTTTAGACTTCTGGCCTCCACACTATGAGATACTTAATTTCTATTGCATTAAACAACTACATCTGTGATAATTTATTACAGCAGCCATAGGAGACTAACACAGAATCCAAGATATGTAAATAGGGTTTCTCTTAAGTTCTTGTCTGAAGACTAAGCTACACAAGCGTGGAGTAAAAATTCACAAGGTCAGGCAAAGAAAACTGTCAGGGAGCTGTAAGCTAAAACATTCCTAGAGGTCAGATAGAATGGGAGATGGTCAACTTCCAGCCAGCTAAAGTAGAGAGATTTTAGTGAGTACTTGGCTCATTTAATAGAGACCCCAATAGACAAATCTTAAGGTTGCCAAATTAAAAAAACAAAAATACAGGATGCCTAGTTTGTTTGAATTTCAGATAAACACCATTTTTATATATGCAGGTCTCAAATATTACAACTGAAGTTTCAGTTTAATGCCCCAATTTTTAATTTATAATAACACATGAGGCCTACTTATCATAAAAATGTGTTTTTTTGTTTATCTGAATTTCAAATTTAACTGGGCTTCCTATATTTAATCTGCAAATTCTAACTACTTCAAATACATCCTATCGAAGCTTAGTAACAAACCAGAAACAAGTAACTTAACTCCCTGCAAACTCAAAGTTCAAAATTCTATAGAGAAAGGCAACAAAATACAGATGGTTAAAAACATAATAAATGCAATGATGGCATCTAATTAAATAATCATGTACCAAAAAAGGAAAAAAAAACCCACCAACATAATATGTGATCCATTAGCTGGATAAAAACTATTTAATAAAAATATAGCAAAAATGGTAGAAATACAGAAATTAGCAGACACATTTCTTAACAGCTATTGCAAAAATATTCAGGATTTAAAAGTAATAATAAAAATCAGGAGAAAAAATAAGAAAAACATGCAAAACAACACATAGACAAGCATACAAATGAATAGATCTTGATAAATTTAATATAAAATGGAAATGTGCTCATTGAGATTAAATACGAATTAAGCACTTCAAAAGGAAAGATAGGTGAACTTGTGGATACAGTGATATCAACTATGCATATTGATGCACACAAAGAAAAAGAAGACTGGGTAATTTGTGGAACAATATCAAGCTCACCAACTAACACGTAATTGAAGTTTCAGAAAAGAGGAACAAGAAGTCAGGGATTAGAAAAATTATTTGAAGAAAAGTGATTTAAATTTTTCAAATTAGATGAAAAGTATGAACTAACGGATGCAAAAAACTCATCAAACCCCAAGCAAAATAAACACATAGAAAATATCAAGGCCAGGCACAGTGGCTCATGCCTATAATCCCACCATTTTAGGAGGCCGAGGTGGGTGGCTCGCCTGAGGTCAGGAGTTCAAGACCAGCCTGGCCAACTTGGTGAAACCCTGTCTCTACTAAAAATGCAAAAATTAGCTGGGTGTGGAGGCAGGCACCTGTAATCCCAGCTATTTGGGAGGCTAAGGTAGGAGAATTGCTTGAACCCAGGAGACGGAGATTGCAGTGAGCTGAGATTGTGCCATTGCACTCCATCATGGGTGACAGAGTGAGACTCCATCTCTAAAAAAAAAAAAAAAAAAAAAGAGAAAAGAAAATATCAAGACATCATAATTGATAAATCAGTGATAGGTATACTACTATATGTAAAAACATATTGGAATATATAATTTTTACTGTATATACTTAAATATTTCAGCAAAGTCATTTTGAAAAAACCAAAATGATCCAGAAGTCTATATTTCTACAAGAAAACAAAGCAAAGTGTATATACAGAACATTTCTGCCTTCCAATGAAAGCATATCATGACTTAATTGTTGTTCTTTATTATTTTTCTCTTTTTCTGTTTACTTTAGAAAAAGTAGTGATCAGCAGAACAGCAAGAATGTTGTTTCCAGTTTGCAAAGTTAGTCTGTAACAATTGCAAATCATTCATCAACTTAAAATAGCAAGCATTTTACTGTGACTAAGAAATAAGTTATAACCACAAACATGGGGGATATTCGGGATTGAGTGTAATCTGAGTACAACATTAGACATTTTCATGCAGGGTTTGTATGAGTAATATACTGCATTTTAGCAACACTGTTTTCTTGTTTTATTGATATCCCCATTTAATTTCAATTAAATTAGTAAATATAGAATGCATAATGTATTTCCACATTTTCTCCAAGGTTCTGAATTTCAACCAGATTAAAAGAGCCATTCTCATGTTTTAAAAGTCCACATTTAAACAAATGCAATGATGGGGAAAAATCAAGTGGATAGTTAAACAATAAAAATCCATGTGCCCACGGATTTTCCAGAAGAAAGAGTAAATTAAAACACAAATTTATAAGCAAAAAATCAATTTAGGTTGATTAGAACTAAAACTGGCACCCAGATTATTTTCATGCAGAAGATGAAGATTTTTGTTTATTTTATCTCTTTCCTCAAATCAAGCAAAATTGAATTCAAAATATACAAAAACCATTTTACACTTTTTTGAAATGATTATCCTTTATTTAATAGTGGTGCTAATGTTTAAACCTTTTGCTTTATTTTTACCATGCGCACAGAGTGAGCAAGAGTGGAGAGCTCCCAGTATTCACTTGGCCCTGTGCTCTCATCAATGCAATTTTGATAATGATGCCTCTCTGCTTAACATACTATTGCTTTGTGGCCATAGTGAAGAAAGCTACATGGGAAAATACTTTGGAAATAATGGTGTGCTGTATAAATATATGTCAGCAGAAAAGGTAATAAAAACATATTAAAATGTAGGAGCTTTATATTTTAAATAGGCTCTGTAATTTAAAACAGATTAAATAAATTAAGCTATATGATTATTTAGAGAACGCTAAAGAGCCTACAATGAATCAGTTGGATAGGTGCACAATAATTAGATGGTATAAATGCCATAGAGAAAAAACTTAGCAGGAAAGGGAAATAGCTACTGTCACAGCTGAAGGAAGTTTCCATTTTAAACGGAGTGGACTATTGAGTGCATGGTGGAAAGGAAGGTTCACTGAGAAAATGACTTTGAAGGCAAAGACTTATAGGAGATGAGGAAGCATGCCCTAATGATATTGGGGGGAATATGTTTCATGCTAGGAAAGAGAGTAGGGTCAAAATCTCCCAACTTACAGTGTTCCAGGCACATTGAAGAAACTAGTGTATATGTAGTTAAGAGAGACAGAAGAAAGTGGTAGACAATAAGATCAGAGAGCTGAGACAAGTGCTAGACACATCTGGAGACTTAGTTCTAAGAGGGTTCAGATGGGTTTTGGCCAGGGAAGTGACATAATCTGATTTATGTTGTAACTGAATGATGCTTACTATTGGGTTGCTAACAGACCAAAAGGAGGTAGGGAAACAATAAATTAAAGTAGTTAGGAGGCTAAAACTATGAAACAATCATCAAATAAGCCAGGGCAGTAGAAGTGAAGGTGGTAAGAGACACTCAGATTTTGAAGGTAGAGTCAATTTGATTTCCAGACAAATTACATGTGGGATGTAGAGAAAAAGATGAATCCAAGATGACTGCCTTGTTTTTGGCTTGAGTATCTGGAAAAATTTGGCTTCTAATAATTGATATGGGAAAAAATGGAGGAGTTTATTTTTGGGAGGAATGAGAGTTGCATTTTTTTGACATGTTAAGTTAGATCCTGTTGGACTTTGATGTAGAGATGATATCCAGGCAGTCATATTGACTAGACCAGGTTTCTGGTATGAGTGAAGACTGGAGATATACATCTGGGGAGCCTCACAGCATATAGGCCTTGTTGAAAGCCACAAGACCGGAAGAGGTCACCAAGGGCAGGTGTGTAGAATAGACATCCGAAGATTGAGACTTGAGACAAATAGCTTTAAGAGAGCTGGAAAATGAGAAATGAGCAGTCACCAAGTAATAGTGAAATTAAGCGTGTGATATTCTGAAAGTCAAGTGAAAAACTGTTTGAAATAAGTGATCAGTTTTGTTTCTTAAAAGCTGTGAATACATCTACAAGAAAATCAAAGCCTAATTATTAGATTTTGGTGGAGGTAGTTGATGACCTCTATAAAAGCACCTTTTGTGAGTCAAAAAGGCAAAGACTGATTAAAATGGATTTAAACCCCATAAGGCTTGGTGTTGATCGCAAATCCTATAAAAACTCAAGAAAGATATTGTAGAAGGTAAGCTCAGGACCACATTTTCAGTATTTCTTCAGTGAACTCCTCTTTACCTTTTGTACATTCAGGGTCACAGTGCTCTTATGCTGCCCTTGGTTAGTTGGAAGAGCAAAGGGAACCTGCTGAGAATAGTCTTATTGTTGTGATAGATTAAGGTCTAGGATAAATTGAATGTTTTTGTTGTTGTTGTTGAGATGGAATCTTGCTCTGTTGCCCAGGCTGGAGTGCAGTGGTGCAATCTCAGCTCGCTGCAGTCTCTGCTTCCCGGGTTCAAGCAATTCTCCTGCCTCAGCCTCCCAAGTAGCTGGGACTACAGGTGCATGCCACCATGCCTGGCTAATTTTTGTATTTTCAGTAGAGACGAGGTTTCACCATGTTGGCCAGGATGGTCTTGATCTCCTGACTTCATGATCCATCTGCCTTGGCCTCCCAAAGTGCTGGGATTACAGGCGTGAGCCACCACTCCTGGCCGATAAATTGAACTGTTAATGGGAATATATGGAAAAGGCAATGGTTAATGCCTAAGAATAATATGCTCTTTGTAAATTTGTTTGAATTAATGAAATAATAATTTTTGTGCAGGAAACATTTCTGGAATTCTTCCATTCAGACCATGTAGGCAACCATCTGTTTCACTCTTGCAAGTGGACAAATTGATGATGCTGGAAAAGGAGGCATCTAAGTTGTTTGATTTTATTGCTAGTCTTACTTTAGTAGAGATAGTAAACAAAAACAAACTATGTATTTAAAAATATAAACCTATTTACGGCCATAAAACATACAGACTATTAAACTTGCTCAACTAATCTTTGAATTTTGCAGTATATATTTGAGTTCCCATTAAAAAAAGTTTCATCCTTTCAGCACATTTTGGTTTTGAATAAGTCTATTAACGTGGTAGAGGCGTTGTACTATTTACTAAATCATAGTATTTTAAAAACACAGAACTGTATTAGGTGCTGCCTTGCTAAACCTCAAGTAATTATACCCATGTTATGTAATCTCTTAATCAGTAATAACTTTTGTAAGTAGGGAGATTATCTGATGTCTTATGTAAGTATGAGTTAGTTGCAATTTAAGTTTGTTTTGTCTTATTTTGATTAGTTTATATACAATATCACACTTTGAGAACCAGAGAGAGAACATTTCCTTAGTTCATGAAGGGAAAGATATTAGACTACAATTGACTGTAAAGCAAAAACCACTCTGAATGGATAACACTTTCTGTTTCTCACTTTAATTACTGCTATTCTGCTTCACTCTTAACTTTCACAAAAGTACATCAAAATCAGTCAAATTGTGAAACAAGGCAGTAATCTGTTGTTTTCAACCAGCAAGTTAAGTTGTGCTCGTCCTCCCTCTCTCCATTCCATCTCCACATCCCATGACTCAAAATCAGATTTTAAATGTATCCCCAACTTGGCTAATTATCATTAGCTGTGGTAAAATGAATCTAACTTTGAGTGGAATTTGGTGTGCTCATTTCTAAGATCAAAAAAAATCATTTCATATAAATCCTATGTATTTTGTTAGCACAATGTAGAGGAACAGATCCTATCACTCTAAAGAAAGGGCAAAATACTAAGTGAAGGTGCAGGTATATGAAGGTCCCCATACAGTTTTGTCAATCAGTTTATCATTCATGGTGATCTCATTCCTGGCACAACCCTGTCTAATCCTTGAGGATTTGTCAAACTCTTTAATCCCTTTTCCTGATCGAGGTCTTCTGTTACTTCATTTTTTATTTTTATTTTTGAGTTGAAGTCTCCCTCTGTCGCCCAGGCTGGAGTGCAATGGTGTGATCTTGGGTCACTGCAACTTCTGCCTCCCAGGTTCAAGCGAATCTCTTTCCCCAGCCCCCCGAGTAGTTGGGACTACAGGCATGCGCCACCTCGCCTGGCTAATTTTTGCATTTTTAGTAGAGATGGGGGTTTCACCAGTTGGCCAGGCTGGTCTCAAACTCCTGACCTCGGGTGATCTGCCCGCCTTGGCCTCCCAAAGTGCTGGGATTATAGGCGTGAGCCACTGCGCCCCGTCTTCTGTTACTTTATATATTATTTATTACTTCTGCTTCATTATAGATCCCTTTGCGTTTATAGTTCTGTCAAACCATGTACCATCAAATTTGCTCCTATGTTTCTATAGAGAAAGCATAATATAATCAAACATCACTGGATTCCTTGGTGGTCAGAATTGGGGTTTTGTCTAGCTGTACATATAGATAGTTATATGACTTAGAGATGTTTCCTTAATCTTGCTGGGTCAGTTTTTCATCGATAAATAAGGGGAATTCACACTGACTAATAGTTTACTCACCACCACACAGTGGCCTCCACTCCCACCCCTATAACCCAAAAGAAATATTAAGAATAAACACTGAGTTGCAGACCTTAAATTTTGCTAAAAAAAAGAGGACCTCAAAAAGAGACTTACTATCACCATCATTTAATAAAGAGAAGGTAATTTAATTCCAGAAATTGCCAATAAGAAATCATTTTAGAGTAAAGTCTCATTTTCTAAGAAATTGCTGCTAGCTGTAATTTTTTCCCTTACACTAACTGGTATGATTTTGCCATGCATCAGCATTCATCTACAGACAGGTGTTTGGGAAGCACTAGTCCAGTCCAGTGGTTCTCAAAATTTGCAGGCATTAGCATAACCAGTAGGACTAGTTTAAATAGATTTAAGAGCCCCATCCACAAAATAAGTCTTCTTGGAGCCTGAGAATTTGCATTTCTAACATATGTCAGGTGATGCTGATGCTACTTGTTCAGAAACACAGTTTGAGAACCGTGGGTCTAGATAATTTCTAATATCCTTACCATACAGACTTTTATGAAGGTACTAATTCTTCTACGACTAAGTGTAAGCAAATTACAGATAACATAAATTGATATAAATGAATATCTTTTCCATCTACTGAAGATTTTTAAACACCAAGATGTTAAAAGCCAATTTATATAATATATCTAACTAGTATTACATAGTGAGAAAATTTGAGCAAAAAATATTTTTTGCCATGCAAGAATTACAAGGTATGCAGTATTTACACAAATAAAATTTATGATTATGTAAAAAGAATAACACCAAACAAAGAAAAGTGGGTTCCACAAAAATTCTCTTGTAAATATATTTTTAAAGTTCAGAAAATCAGAAATCAGAAAATATGACCACAAAGTGAGTCTTCTAAGGTCTTGTATGTACCATTGGTTTTGATTTAAATTTTGTATGTGATTTATATGAAAGGGAAATGGCTGCACAGAGCCTTCCATTTAATTTTAAACAAAGTGACTTTTTTTTGAAAGAACAATCTCACTATATTGAAAAGCATATTTTTTGAACTAGCAATATAGAAATGTTTCAGGATATAAATATTCTGTAATTACTTGCTTTCAAAACTAGACAAGGAGACAGTCAAGCATAATTAATAGTGTTGAAATATAACTGTAATGGTAGTGTGTAAATGCCGAAGGAAGAATATTTGACCCTAACATTCTAATCTCACAGATGTTTAACTTTATTCCCTATTCCCCGATCTTGGAAGCAGACTGAACAAGCCGAAGGAGGAAAATATCTACCTTTTAATATTCAGTGGTTAGCTTGACAACTGGTAATTGGTATTAACTGTTATTTCATTTGTAAAGTTAACTGATTTTTTTTAAAACAAGCAATTTTATTAACAGCAGTTAGTTTAAATGTATAATCATGGGCATTTCAGAACCATTGTTATTATACATGCAGATTGTTAAAAATGTCACTGTAATTGCTTTTTATGATTTGAACTACAATATCCATTCGTCAAGCAAATATATTACACACAACTTTCTGAGGGTTAGGAGTATGAAAAAAATTTCTTTTTCTTATTTATCATCTTTCCCTTTTCCCAGGTTTTATCATCTATGTGTATTTGTGCTTGACTTTAAAATTTTTTTTAAGCTCTACTTTTGCTGATTGTATTTTAGGGAAATGGTATCGGTAGATATTCACACGAGAGAATTAAAGAAAATTATGATACATAAAGGTTAGTTGCAATTTATGTTTTTGACAATCAATATACATTATAATTTTCCTTGTGGATCTAAGGCTTTGTGTGAAGAGCTGATAAATTTTACAACCCCCTTGCAGGAAATAATCAAGGGCAAGATACATTTTTTAATGGAGAAAAGCACAGCGTTAACCTTAAGCAGAGTTTTTACATTATAAAAAGACAAGAAAAAGAAAGAGTAAATACCAAGAAGGGACCTGTTATTATTCTTCATCACACTGACACACATAGCTGTAAAGTCAGGCTGCTTTGGAGGACATTGTCTTTTCTATTGATTAAAGGTTTCACCCATAAATTAGAGGATATTCTAGTTACCACCTCTAATATTTCAAAGGAGGTCTTCTGGTTAAAACCTGTGATCAAAAGTAGCCCCCAAACAGGAGCAACAACAACAAAAAACTGTTGAATGATTAGTTTAATTCAAGTGGGAAATAATAATTGTGTCAGAGGAGAAGAGAAGAAAGATTCAAGAGATACCCTGGATGTAGTGTTTACAAGATTTAGTAATCATCGAATATAAGGTAGCACAAAGTAGATGTGCGTAAACTCATGGCTCTGGGTGAAACTATATGGCTTTTATTCTATTAACAAAGACAGAATAATTCGGGTAGTTGAAATGCCAGTGAACATTTAGAAATAAATAGCCAGTAGCCAATTAAAAAGATAAATATAGAACTTAAGAGGAAATTTGAATGAGAGATACAGATTTGGATGCCCTCAGTTTACAAACTGCAAGCTGATAGTATAGTTGCAGATTTGATTATTAAAGGAGAGTGCATGAAATAATATGAGAACACAATTGGAGCAGATTTGAAGGGAACACTAATACTTTAAAGGAATTGAAAGAGAAACCATTCTATCTAATCTCTAAAGAAGAAGTAATAGCAGTACTTCAAAAAATCATCCAGAAAATACAGAGGGAGAGAACACTTCTCAACTTATTTTATAATACCAGTAATATCAAAGCCAGATAATTACAAGAAAGTAATGGGCTAATATCATTCATGAGTACAGATAAAAAACTTCTCAAATAAATATAAGTAAACCAAATTCAACAACACATAAAAATGATTATAAATCATAACCAAGTAGGATTTATCCCAGAAATTCAAGATTGGTTTAACATCAGAACATTAATTAATGCCATATGCTATATTAATAGAATAAATAGAAAAATGGGAATATCATTTGACAATATGCAACATCTATTCATGACAAAACTCAACAAATTAAGAACAAAAGGAAACTTTCTCAACCTGATAATTGGCATCTATGAAAACACTACAGCTAGCGTCATACTTAATGGTGAAAGGCTAAGTGTTTTTCCCCTAAGACTGGGACCTAGGAAGAAATATTCACTCTCACCACTCCAATTCAATATTCAACTGAAAGTTCTACCAGCACAATAAGGAAAGATAAAGAAACCAAAGTCATCTCAAATGGAAAGGAAAAAGTAAAACTGTCTTTATTTGCAGGTGACATGACTGTGTATGTAGACAGTCCTGAGTAATCCACAAAACCACTTCTAGAGCCAATAAACAAGTTCAGTAAGTTCACAGGATGTAAGAACAATGTGTAAAAATCAGTTGCATTTCTATATACTAGCAATTGAAATACTAAAGAACTCAATTCATATTAGCATCAAAAAGAACAAAATGAAGAAAAATAAATTTAACAAAAAAGTGTAAGATTTTGTACACTGAAAACTAAAAGTATTGTTGATAGAAAGTAATAAAATTCTAAATAAATCGAGACATCCTATGTAAATGGATTGAAGATTCAATATTGTTAAGAAAGGCGATCTCCATAAAAACTCCAGCACGCATTTTGCCGAAATTGATGTGCTTATCCTAAAATTTATATGGAAATGCAAAGGATCCAGAATAGCTTCAACAATTTTTAAAGAGAAGAATGATCATGAGAACTTATACTTCCTCACTTCAAAACTTACTATGATGCTAAAGGAATCAAGACAATGCAATATTAGCATAAGTATAAATATTGAATCTATGGAATAAAATTATGTATAAAAATTTTATCTTTAGGGTCAATTGATTTCCAACAAAGAAACCAAGGGAATTCAATAAAAAGGGTAGTCTATTTCAAAAATAGTGCAGGTATAATTGCCTGTTCATAGACAGGAAGATGAATTTATATTCTATTTCATATAATACTCACAAAAAATAACTTATAGTAAATTTTTGAACTAAAGATAAGAGTTTAAGTTATATATATATATTTAAAAAAACATAGATAATCTTTAAAACCTGAGTTAAGCCAAGAATTCTAAGTTAGGACACCAAAAGCATAATTAAAAACAATAAATGAAATAAACTTCATCAAAATTAAAAATGACATTTGACCTTCAAAATACGGTATTAAGAAAATGGAAAACCACAAACTTGTGTAGAAAATATTTGAAAATCAAATATGCAATAAAGGGCTTGTATACAGAATAAAATAAGACCCTGAGAACTGGATAAGGAAATGAACAACCCATTTTTAAAATGGGCAAAAGCTTTTAATAGACCCTTCATCAAAGAAGATAAAGTGCCCAATTAGCAAATGAAAAAAATTCATCATTATTATTAATTAGAATAGTGCAAGTTAAAAACCACAATGACGAATCACTTTATAGCCACTAAGATGTATATAGTAATAATTTATTGAAAGGAAAATAGCAAGGATGTGGAGACATTGGAATGCTTTTACATTGCTGGTGGGAATGTAAAGTAGTACAGTCTACTTGGGAAGAGTTCAGCAGTTTTAAAAAAATGATTAATGTAAAATTTACCTTACAACCCAGCAATTCTATGCCTCAGTCTCAACCCAAAAATTAATGAAAATATATGTCTACACAAAGACTTGTACCTGAGTGTTTATTTACAATAGGTATGCATACATGTATTTTTAGAGTACTCATTGTGTACACAATAAGTAGTGTACTTTTTCACACTAATTAATAATAATAAGTAGTAGTATTTACAATAACCAAAAAGTACAAAACAATCAAAATGTCGGTAAATTGGTGACTGAAAAAAATGTGGTACATCCATTCAATGGAATGCTATTCAGCAATAAAAAGGAATAAACTATTTGTACATGCTATTACATGGATTATCCTCAAAATTAAGAAGCCAAATTCAAAAAACTATATATTATATGTGTATTAGTCTGTTTTCTCACTGCTGATAAAGACATACTCGAGACTGGGAAGAAAAGGAGGTTTAATTGGACTTACAGTTACACAGGTGGCAGGAGAGGCCTCAGAATCATGACGGGAGGTGAAAGATACTTCTTACATGGTGGCAGCAACAGAGAATAAGGAAGAAGCAAAAGCGGAAACCTCCGATAAACACATCAGCTCTCATGAGACTTACTCACTATCACGAGAATAGCACAGGAAAGACTGGCCCCCATGATTCAGTTACCTCTCCCTGGGTCCCTGCATCAACACGTGGGAATTCTGGGAGATACAATTAAAGTTGAGATTTGGGTGGGGACACAGCCAAACCATATCATTCTGCCCCGGGCCCCTCCAAATCTCATGTCCTCACATTTAAAAACTAATCATGCCTTCCAAACAGTCCCCCAAAGTCTTAACTCATTTCAGCATTAACCAAAAGTTCACAGTCCAAAGTCTCATCTGAGATAAGGCAAGTCCCTTCCACCTATGAGCCTGTAAAATCAAAAGCAAGCTAGTTACTTCCTAGATACAATGGGAGTACAGGTATTGGGTAAATACAGCTGTCCCAAATGGGAGAATTTGGCCAAAATGAAAGGACTAAAGGCCCCATGCAAGTCTAAAATCCAGTGGGGTAGTCAAATTTTAAAGCTCCAAAATGATCTCCTTTGACTCCAGGTCTCACATCAAGGCCACACTGATGCAAGAGGTGGGTTCCCATGGTCTTGGGCAGCTATGCCCCTATGACTTGCAGGGTACAGTCTCCCTCCCGGCTTTCCTGGGCTGGCGTTGAGTGTCAGTAGCTTTTCCAGTCACACGGTGCAAGCTGTCAGTGGATCTACCATTCTGGGGTCTGGAGGGCGGTGGCCCTTTTCTCACAGCTCCACTAGGCAGTGCCTCAGTAGGGACTCTGCATGAGGGCTCTGACCCCACATTTCCCTTCCACACTGCCCTAGCAGAGGTTCTCAATGAGGGCCCTGACTGTGCAACAAACTTTTGCATGAGCATCCAGGCGTTTCCATACATTCTCTGAAATCTAAGCAGAGGTTTCTAAACCTCAATTCTTAACATTTGTGCACTGCAGGCTCAACACCACATGGAAGCTCCCAAGGCTTGGGTCTTCCACCCTCTGAAGCCACAGCCTGAGCTGTACATTGGCCCATTTCAGTCACTGCTGGAGCAGCTGGGACACAGGGCATCAAGTCCCTAGGCTGCACACATCATAGGTACCTTGGGCCCGGCCCACAAAACCAGTTTTTCCTCTTGAGTCTCCAGACCTGTGATGGGAGGGCCTGTCACGAAGGTCTCTGACATGCCCTAGAGACATTTTCCCCATGGTCTTGGGGATTAACATTAGGTGCTCCTTGCTACTTATGCAAATTTCTGCAGCTGGCTTGAATTTCTCCCCAGAAAATGGAATTTTCTTTTCTATTGCAAATTTTCTGAACTTTTATACTCTTTTTCCCTTTTAAAACTGAATTCCTTTAACAGTACCCAAGTCACCTCTTGAATGCTTTGCTGCTTAGAAATTTCTTCTGCCAGATACCCTAAATCATCTCTTTCAAGTTCAAAGTTCCGCAAATCTCTAGGGCAGGAACAAAATGCTGCCAGTCTCGTTGCTAAAACATAACAAGAGGCCGGGCATGGTGGCTCATGCCTGTAATCCCAGCACTTTGGGAGGCTGAGGCCAGCAGATCACAAGGTCAGGAGATGGAGACCAACCTGGCTAACATGATGAAACCCCGTCTCTACTAAAAAAATACAAAATTTAGCCAGGCATGGTGGTGGGTGCCTGTAGTCCCAGCTACTGGGGAGGCTGAGGCAGGAGAATGCTGTGAACCCAGGAGGTGGAGCTTGCAGTGAGCGAAATCGTGCCATTGCACTCCAGCCTGGGAGACAGAGCAAGACTCTGTCTCCAAAAAAAAAAAAAAAATCATAACAAGAGTCACCTTTGCTCCAGTTCCCAACAAGTTTCTCATCTCCATCTGAGACCACCTCAGCCTGGATTTTATTGTCCATATCGCTATCAATATTTTGGTCAAAGCCGTTCAACAAGATAGTAGGAAGTTCCAAACTTTCCCACATTTTCCTGTGTTCTTCTGAGCCCTTCAAACTGTTCCAATCTTTGTCTGTTACCCAGTTCCAAAGTCACTTCCACTTTTTCTGGTATCTTTTCAGCAAAGCCCCACTCCTGGTACCAATTTACTGCATTAGTCTGTTTTCACTCTGCTGATAAAGACACACCCAAGACTGGGAAAATAAAAGAGGTTTAATTGGACTTACAGTTCCACATGGCTGGGGAGGCCTCATAATCGTGGTGGGAGGTAAAAGGCACTTCTTACATGGTGGTGGCAAGAGAAAATGAGGAAGAAGCAAAAGTGGAAACCCCTGATAAACCCATCAGATCTCGTGAGACTTATTCACTATCATGAGAATAGCAAAGGAAAAACCAGCCCCCATGATTCAATTACCTCCCCCTGGGTCCCTCGCATAACATGTGGGAATTCTGGGAGATACAATTCAAGTTGAGATTTGGGTGGGGGCACAGCCAAACCATATCAATGTGATTCTATGTATAGATGATAGGGACAGGAGGCAGAGAAATTCCAGGCAGAAAAGGGCAGGTCCCTGGTGAAACCCCATCCTCAATCCCAAAAGCCTGAAACCACAGCCCAAAGTGAGAACTTACATCTCTGTTTTCCTGCTTGAATGTTGCCTTTTCCTAAACCATCCATCACCCACCCTGCCTGCAAAGCTGTACCTTGTAAAGACCCCAGACTCAGTTGGAGAGGAGAAACGACTACAGCTGGATGTCAGAGAGAAGTGGCTTGACTTCAGAGGAATAGCTTGACAAGGTAACTTCAGAGAATAACCCAGTTGGAGACAGCTGGACTTCAGGGGAAGATTGCCTACACCCCTGTCCCCTTTTTAGCTCCCCTTCTCCCTGTCAGCCACTTTCATCAGCAATAAAATCCCCTTATTTACCATCCTTCAATCGTTTCATGTAACCTCATTTTTCCAGGACACCAGACAAGAGCTCGGGAACCACAAGTGCTGATACAAAAAAGGTTATCACACTGGCCCTTTGCCCTCACTGGCGGAGGGCAGCTGCCTCACATGAAAAGGCAGAGGGCTCACTGAGCTGTTAACACTGAAGCTTTCTGTGAATGGCAGAGCTAAAAGACACACCCTCTAGGGCTTTGGGAGTCACAGGCACCCCATTTGGATGCTGCCATGGGGTGTGTAGGAGTTCCCTCCTGCCGGCGCTCTTTCTGGCTCCTGCACCTCCTCACCTATGCACTGCCCCCCTCATGGGGTGGATTGTAGTGGGTCTGAGTGAGTGGGGTTTGATCCTGCCAGTGCCAAAATGGCCAGCTGGTTCCAGCACTCATGCACTCCAGTTCCCACCTTGTTGACCTGCGCACTCCCTCCCACAAGGATTTGAGACCCACAGGCTGAGTAAACGAGGGCAAGCCCCACTCAAGTCCCACGAAGGGGTCAGGGAAATATCCTGCTTCATAGAGAGACTGAAAGATTAGGTTTTGTGTCCAAGGTGGGGGTAGGGAGGGAGAGAGGGTTAGGTAGGACACCAAAGGAAAAGCAACTTACCTCCCAGGGGCAGGTGGACGCTTTTTGTAGTGATAGAAATGTTCAAACACTGGATTGTGTTGATGGTTGTATAACTCCATTAATTTATTAAAAAGCATTCAATTGTATGCATTATTTTTGTCCGAAATGCAATTCAAAGCCAGAGAGACAATAAAAATCAAGGGAAAGAAGAGATGTTTCTTTTCCTTTATTGTGTTCCAAAGGCAAACATTCTCAAAACAGAATTCTGTGAGCATTATTACTGTATAAGTAATTTTGAAAGCATAAAGGGAAAGACATTTCATTAAACACAGCTGTAGGTGTATGTAACCCATTAAATCATATTAAAAATGCAACATATATGTAAAGTATAAATGCAGATAGCTTGAGGAGTTTCCCCTCATAGTAAGTGTAAAAAGGATAAAGCTGGCTGATAAATACATTTGTTATGTTATACCATATTTAATTCAAAAAAACCCTGCTGAATATAGATAAACTGAGTCTTTAAAATGTAAATCAGATATTTATTTTCAGTATAACTCTAAATGAGAATGACATACAATTTATTTAGCTGTAGAAATTCATTGAACTTGAAACCTCTTTATGGTATATGTGGGCCTCTTAATTATTTGTGGGTACATAGTACATGAATTCATATATTCAAAGAATTTAGATATCATGATTGGACACAGTGGCCCACCCCAATAAAGATTTAAAGAAAGCCACTGGCATTTAATAACATAAATAAATGAACAAAAAACATAATTTTAAACTAATTTAAACTTTAAAACTCAGTTCCTTTAAAACTCAGTTTTAAAGGAACAAATGTTTTCTTTTTCCCATCTGAACCCTCTGATAAGAAAAGCCTAGTTACTATAGTTGGTGAGTGTGTGTGTGTGTGTGTGTGTGTGTGAGGCACAAGGGGATGGTGGGTGGAGAGGGAGCATGAGAGCAGAATTGGAGGAAAAAAATTCAATACATAATTCCTCCTAAGAGATTTGTCTTAAGTGGTTTCTTGAGTACATTTTCCTTTACTGTTTTTCTCAATTATTGCTTGTGTGAGAAGCATGAACTCATCAGAGAAAAAAAATCCACTAAGAAAACCTGCAGACTCATTATGCAAAAACCTTGAAAAATGCTTCTATGATTTCTCCTTGATCATTAACAAATTATGATTATTTTAATAATAACAAATTATTATTATTATTATTTTTTGCAGAAATTCTTCATCAGTTGAAACAAAAATGTAGGTAGTTGCCAGATCAGCAAATAACTAATTGAATATTTAGAGGTTTTATTGCTATATTGTTCAGTTTTATAAAAAGGGCATTAGCTTCTACTTTGAATAAGAGGTTATTTAGCTTGATAGTGTAATAATTTTTGACTCTTAACATTGTAACACTGTATTTTTAGGCATGTAAAGAGCAAAGGCTGGACATATACAGACAATTTAATTAAATCGAACCTAATAGTGAAATATTACAAATACTTTTTCACATGAATGTTTTATTTTTGTGAAGATCTGGTACAATTCTGCATGTAGTGGTTTCTACCTTTTTCTTTAAAAAAGTGAAGTTAATTAACATCTGTTTTCCACTGATAACATTAAGAAAATATGGTTTATAATTAAGGTGTTTTTAAAAGAGTGGGAGGAGAGGATACAGATTCCAAAACTATCATTATGTTAGATTGATTGCTAAATCCAGTTTTTAACTGTGAAATTAAAGGTAACATAAGCCATGATATATCAAACACTATAGCCATGAATATTTTCTTTCCAATTCCTATCACTACATCTATATTATGCCTTCTGTTGAAATAATAAAATATTAACTTTATCCTTGAGATTTTATCTTCTCAACTTTCCAATATTTGCTACATGTTACCAACTATTTGCTATACACATATGATAGTTATGTCTTTATTTTTTATTTCTATAATTTGGATATTATTTTTAATTATTCTACTTAATTTTGTTGTTTAGATAATTAATATAAAAGTTCTAAATTTTTACTTTAATGTGCATTTATATACACACACATACATGTACAAATATATATTGTATTGAGGTGAGAATATTTACCATGACATCTGCTCCTTTAAGAAATTTTAAGTGCACAATAAAATATTGCTAACAATAGGCATGATGGTGAACAGGAGATTGCTCTACCTTATTTATCTTGCATAACTTGGATATTATCTTTTTACTATTTTTCATAGCAGTAATTGTTTGTGAAAGAAAATAAATTTTTTGGAGTAATAACTATGATTTTAGAGCACTGACTAGCCTACTAAGAATTTTGATTTTTGTTTCAGAGATTTACAAGGGCCCTTATAATAATAACCTCCAGAAAAATGCTTCTTTTATAGCAAAAGACTTAGGCTAAATTAATTTCATAATAGATCATGAAAATAACATTTTAAAAAGTATTTTATTTACCAATATACAGAATGCGTGCCCGCTTCTGAATTGTAGCACGAAAATTTTTCAGTGTTTACCTTTGCTCTACTCTTAGAAATTAAGGTTAATTATGGATTATCAAAATATAAATAGAATAACAACATTTGAAATAATATTTAGATCAATAAATATTGGAGACTCAATTGGGGAGGATGTGAGGGGAGTGAGGAATAAAAGAAACTACCTATCGGGTACAATGTATGCTACTTTTTGTTGGTTGTTCTAGTATGATACATGGTTGAAAGGAAGAAAAAGATCAGAGATGAATTTTTGGCCATTTATTATGTTTTAAAAATAATTGAGATATAATATTTAGGTTTTTTTGGGACAAGTTCTATTAAATAAATAAAACCTTTTTATATGTTTTTCCAAAATTACACTGTAAAATTTAAATTTTCAGTCTCTAAGAACAGTAAAAAAATACTTTCCTATGCATGAATTCTGGGTGTAAATTTCATTTGAAGTGTGCTTTTTCAAGAGCAGTTTACTTGTAATATTTTCAGAGCATAACTTTGTCCTCAGATTCTGGGGCACCTTGCTGTATACCTCTGTAATAAAATGATAAAAGAAATTTTCTAGGGAAATCTACTTACTATTTTATGTATGATTTTATGATAAAGTTTTAGAAGCTAAATTACACACACACGCACGCATGCACGCACACACATAAACCGAATGGATTTTTCTAAAGGAAACAATCCATTAGGGAATTTGTATTAAACATTGGAAGTTTTGCATTTTGTGGATGTGGTAGATTTTAATTTTTGGAAATAATCTGATAGTGATTGTCAATTTAATATAAAATTATTGGTATGTTTATTTACAAGTCTAAAGGTATTTTCCTTTTTTTGTTGAGTTTCCAATGTTTACTATACTGTTTTACATGCCTTTGTGTACCTATAGCTTAGCTCCACTTGTAAGTGAGAACATGCAGTATTTGGCTTTGATTCCTTCACTTGGAATAATGGCCTCCAGTTCCATCCAAGTGCTGCAAAGTACATTATTTTATTCTTTTTTTAAATGGCTGAACAGTATTCCATGGTGTATTTGTGTGTGTGTGTGTGTGTGTGTGTGTATAAAACCACATTTTCTTTATCCACTCATCAGTTGATGGGCACTTAGGTTGATTCCATAGCTTTGTAATTGTGAATTGTGATGCAATAAACATACACATGCAAGTGTCTTTTTCATACAGTGACTTCTTTTCCTTTGAGTAGATAGTAGTGGGATTGCTGGATGAAATAGTAGATCTGCTTTTAGTTATTTGAGAAATCTCCATACTGTTTTCCACAGAGGCTGTACTGATACTGATTTACATTCCTACCAGCAGTGTGTAAGTATTCCTTTCTTCAGCACATCCACGCCAACATCTATTGTTTTTTGACTATTTAATAGTGACTATTCCGGCTGGGGCAAAGCGATATCTCACTGTCATATTAATTTGTATTTTCCTAATGATTAGTGATGCTGAGCACTGTTTCGTATGTTTGTTGGCCATTTGTACATTTTTGGA
The DNA here is from genome assembly GCF_000001405.40 of Homo sapiens. NCBI lineage: Eukaryota > Metazoa > Chordata > Mammalia > Primates > Hominidae > Homo > Homo sapiens. The sequence continues at coordinate 168,042,494 of NC_000004.12, read as the reverse complement.
GAAATTTCTATTCGTGTTTTTGCCCACCTTTTGATGGAATTATTATTTTTTCTTGCTTATATGTTTGACCTCTTTTTTACCTCTTTTAAGTATTGTAATGCATTAAGACATTGTCTAAACATGCCAGGTCCTTCAGGGATATACCCTTGAAATGTTTTCACTTTGCAGGCACCTATTCATTCTTCAAGATTTAGCTAATGTGCTTCTTCCTCTGAGGTAGGTTGAGCATTAACACAGAAAAATTTTAAAATAAATAGATTTAATTTATTATAGAAAAATAAGAAACTAATTTATGTTGTTAATAATAGTATTTTAAGTTTTGAAAGTTATCATTTCTTATCATATCCATAAAATAATTATAGTTATTTTTAAATTCTAATGAGAGTCATCATCTTTAAATAAAGCATTGAGTATGCTATGTGGATAATATGCATTTTATATCATGATATTTATTTCCCATTATATTTTGTTAGTGTTTCTGCTGATGTTTTTCATATCTGTTATAAAAATTCTCAATACTCACCTTTAATGAGATAATATCAATTAATATGGTTGTCTTACTTAGATGTATATCATTACATTTATATTCTATAATTCTCAAAATCTTTTATTTCTCAATGATGCAATATCTAATTAGCAATTTTCAACACTTCACTGTCAGCTTAGCATTATATTTCAAAGCAATTTTGATAATTGGATGCATAAAATTCACTGCTGGCTCATAAATTATTGAAGAAAGAACATTTTGAAAATGAAAATTGTACAATGACATGTACTTTGCAAATTAGAATTTTAAGCTCTTGTAGTAAATTAGTGAGTATAAATCACATTTTGGTAACATGCTTACATCTGTAATATAGAGGTGGTATTTCTTTTAATAATTTAAGGATTTATGTAAAATATTTTTTAAAACAGGCAGATATTTTATTTTACACATTATTTTTAAAATTAATTGCTTGGTTTTAAAGTGATTACGATTTCATAGTAAAACAGAATTTTTGAGAACATGTAAGTTTATTATTATCACAGTTAAATGTGAGGAAAAAGGTTATTCTCATCATAACTAAGGTAATATATACACACACCTATTATATATTAAGGTAATATATTATATATTTTATATATATAATACACATATACACACATGAATCTATTATTTCAAGCTTGCAATGTGTTTGGTCTAAAAGACTTGATAATTTCTTGTTGAAACAAATATATATATTTTTGGTGGGGGACAGTTTTTTTTTAATATAATTTCAATTGTTTAGCAAAATTATAAGAGTAATATAAAGAATTTTCACCTAACCTTTGCTCAGTGTCATTTGTTAGTTTTTGTCCCATTTGCTTTCACTTTTGCTCACTTTTTCTCACTTTGATTCTCTTGTTTCTCACGTTCTCTTTCTCTTGTCCTCTATTTTTCACACAAACATAAATAAATGTACACATACACTTGTGTCATTTGAGACTACATAATTTGAAAGTAAATTGCATTCATCAAAACATGCCGGTTTATCCCTAAATATTTAATTCTTAGTTAGCTAAGGACAAAGAAAATTTTCTTTCTCAATGACAGTACATCTATATAAATTAGGAAATTTAATGTCATACATTATATAATCTACATTTCATACTAAAATTTTTCCAATTATCCCACTGGTGTCATTTATGGCTATTTTGTTCTCAAATCTAATCAGGAATCATGCATTGATTTCAGTTGTAATGTCACTCTCCTTTTATCTGAAAAAAAAATTTATTGAGTTTTTTTTTGTTTTATGACCTTGACCTGTTGAAGATACAGGCCAATTATTTCATAAATTTTTTAAATATGTTTTTGTCTGAGGGTTTGTCATGATTATGCCAATGTTAATCACTTTTGTGAGGAGCACAGAAAAGGAATACTGTTTTCTTCACTTTGTGTTGTACCAGTAGGCACGCGGTTTCAGAATTCGGACTGGAACTGCAGTTTTTTTTTTTTTTTTTTGGCTCTCCTGGGATATAATCTTCTATTGGTTCCATTTCTCTGGAAGACCCTGACTAATATAGTGGGTATGGAGTATATGTAATCCTTGATAATATTTAACAGAAAACAGATTAAGGTACATTCAAAGGAAAACCAATGGTATGTACAGAAGTCTTCAAACGAATTCAAGAATTGCTAAAGGATAATGAGAGACTTCGTTCAGAGAGAAGTAGGCCAAAAAGAGAAATGATAGCTTTCAATATTGAGAGAAGTGTCATGAAGAAAATGGCATCTATTATTTGATATTGTATATTTGACTGGTTGAAAGAGAGAACAGATTTGTTCTGAATTGTGAGCCAGCATAAGGTATGACAGTACAGGTTACAGGAAGACAGGGATACATTCCTAATCATTGAACTCATATTGTTTTATTATAAAGAAATAGGCTTCCTGGTGTTGGAGTGCTTAAATAAGAAACAGATAAAAATATCTCAGAAAAAGTTAAAAAATTAAAATAATTGCTTTTCTAAAAATTCCCCAGCAATATAATGTAATGAGTCTCTATTCAAATAGATTTGAAGGTACAGTAGTTTGTATCTTATTTTTCATTTTCTTTGAGACAAGATCTCACTGTGTCACCCAGGCTGGAGTACAGTGGCACAATTTCAGCTCACTGTAGCCTCAACCTCTCGAGCTCAGGTAATTCTCCCATTTGAGCTTCCTAGCAGCTGCAACTACAGTAGTGTGCCACCAGGCCCAGATAAATTTTTGTGTTTTGTAGAGACTGGGTTTTGTCATGTTGCCCAGACTGGAGTTTGTATCTTTGACCTTGCTTTTTTGTTTAGACTATCCTCAACTATGATTGAACTTATCATTTTCTTCTAAATATATTGATATTTGTTTCTGAATGCAATGAATCTATGATTATATATTATTATTTTGACATTTTATACCTGTAAGACAATATGGATAATAAACTTTTGCTGCATTTTTTTATTTTAATGAAAAATAGAACATATACAGATAATTTCACCTGCAAGCAAATTTGCAACCTGCTTCTATAGATTAAAGGGAATGGTGATAGTTATAAATTATTTGTGGTCCTAAATACTATCATAAGTTTTAGATTTATCACTTGTACATCTTCTTGAAATAAAGCAATACCAAATTCAGCATTTTGCACAGGTATAAATAATATTTAATATAACTGCACAAAACTTTAGATTTCTACTAAAATAAAAAAATTCAAAACAGTTTTTACTTTTGTTTGGAATGAACTACAGGCACTTCTGTTGATTCTGTCATTTTTTCCTTCATTTAATAATTGTAATTTATTTATTTATTTATTTGTTTATTTGAGATGGAGTTTTGCTCTGTCGCCCAGGCTGGAGTACAATGGTTCCATCTCTGCTCGCCTCGACCTCTGCTTCCTGGGTTCAAGCAATTCTCCTGCCTCAGCCTCCCAAGTAGCTGGGATTACAGGTATGCACCACCACACCCAGCTAATGTTATGTATTTTTAGTAAAGACAGCGTTTCACCGTGTTGGCCAGGCTGGTCTCAAACTCCTAACTTTGTGATCAGCCCACCTTGACCTCCCAAAGTGCTGGGATTACAGGTGGGATCCACCGCGCCTGGCTGCTGTAATTTAATTTTTAGAGTTAGAACAAATCCTAGAAGTTACCTAGATGATCAATATTTTTTATTTTGAAACTGAGAAAAATTTGATTAACTTGACTGAGTTTGCAAAATTATTTTCCCAATGCCATTGAAAGTGGAATTAGTAAGCAGCCTATTTTCTCTATTATTCTGCGCTGACTCTGCCCAATGAAATACAGGTGTTGTCTTATGGGCTGGCTTATACATCAGTTACCCCCTACAAGCCTGCCTTTACTTAGGTCCACATCTCTGTCTATAGATTCCTTTTCATTTACAAGCAGGAAACATAATCACTTATTATTTTCTACTTGAAAACCAAATCACCAACAGATATCAATGATATCTAACTTTAATTGTTTGAACTGGATTTGGTCCTTCAGTTTCTAAATTGATGAAAGTTTGTTTAACTTCAGGTTTTAAGGTGGCTTGTGGTTTATTTACCCTGTTATTAAAAATATCACAGATGTATTCCTATGGTTCAAGATTCTTACTTCACTCAAAGCTAATCACTTGCCCAACCTCACCTACTGTAAGTGCTAATATATTACTAATAGATGATAAGATGTACTCAGAAATGTTTGTGCTCAAGAGATTTTCATTTTACAGTGTTAACCTTTTTTCTTTCTCTGTCTACTTTGAAAGCTGTAACTCATATTTGAGTTTCTTTTCTTAACATTATCACAGATTTTGTGCTTGAACACATCTTTTAGCTGTTAAAACTCAGTTTTTCTTTGAGTTTAATGCAAAACTGACAAAATAATCTTAAATGTTTAGTGAAATTATTGCCAGATTGTAAATCCTTATGGAGTTATGCTAGTGAAGACAAAAACATTTCAACATTTGTCTTAGATGTTTGCTAATGAAGACAGCCTTTTAAATTTGCATCATTTCAACTCTCTCTTATTCTTTAAAATACATATTCAGCTGAAGAAAAACACAGTAGTGTTCACATTCCAACAACTTTTATTTTTTTCCCCAACAGACTATGCATGGAAAACAGAGTCCTGTGTTGCCAACATTGGGAAAATGTTCCTTCCGAGGTGCTCTGCAAGCCTTCTGTTTACCACGAACTTGCTTAAACACATTCAAAATTTCATACTCAAGATTTTTCTCAAAGCAGAGAAAATCTGTTAGTAGCAGAATTAGAATTGTCATGAATGATATGTTGTTATTATAGTGTACAATATGAAGATTTTTTCTTCTGAAAATACCATGTAATACTTACCATTCTTATTTGTTTATTTATTTATTTATTTATTTATTTATTTATTTATTTATTTATTTATTTTTGAGACAGAGTCTCGCTCTGTTGCCCAGGCTGGAGTGCAGTGGCGAGATCTCGGCTCACTGCAAGCTCCACCTCCTGGGTTCACGCCATTCTCCTGCCTCAGCCTCCCGAGTAGCTGGGACTACAGGCGCCCGCCACCACGCCTGGATAATTTTTTGTATTTTTAGTAGAGCCGAGGTTTCACCGTGTTAGCGAGGATGGTCTCGATCTCCTGACCTCGTGATCTGCCTGCCTTGGCCTCCCAAAGTGCTGGGATTACAGGCGTGAGCCACCGCGCCTGGCCCTTACCATTATTTTTAAAATAAAGAACATTTTATTTTTTCATTGCTCTCATAAATTAATACGAAACTAATCATTGAAATGTTTTAAAATGCATTTTCATATCTCTGTGGTACATAATGTGTTATTAAATGTTTTGTAGCAATAGCTAGAACCTGAATAATTTATTTTATTGTATTATGAGAAATTTTTTATTTCTGATGACTTATACATTTCCTAGAGAAATTCACCTAATTTTAAGGATCCCATACCATTGTCCTTCTCACTGTTAATATTGTTCCTAATGACTCCTTATATTACACCAGTAAGAATGTTTACATGTGATATATTTTAGGGCTTTCTCATAATTCTATGAGATCAGGGGTATTATGCTAGGTTGAAAAACCTTAGGAACAAAGTTTTTGTGATTCGTGGACCCATTAACGAACTTTAACTGTCAGTCAAGTTTGATTCAGGAAGGACATGATTGAAGTAATGAGATTAATTTGCTGGATGCTTATATAACACAATTTAGAAGCTTGGAAACTAGAGAGATTATACAGGTCTTTCTGTTCCTGCAGACTCGGGTATCCATTTGTGTCAGATTGTTGCCTCATGGTATGAAAAAGGAGAGCCATTAAATGTAAATAAACATTTATATTTTGATGATGAGATAAGTGTTGGCCAGGTAAAATTTGTAATTGAAATGTCATGCTTAAACTCATGTTTCTGTCCATGAATATTCCTCATGCAGAAATTATTCTGTGCTAAAAAACATTGGATAAAATAAATGAAACATCTGGTTTCATGCATTGGCACAAAAGCCAACACAGGATTGAAAATCTTGAGAAAAAGGACATAAATGAGTGGAGCCTTAAAATTGCCAGGGGCTTATTTTATTTTATTTTATTTTTATAGATGAAGTATTGCTCTGTCACCCAGGCTGGAGTGCAGTGGCATGATCTCGGCTCACTGCAACCTCCACCTCCTGGGCTCAAGCAATTCTCCTGCCTCAGCCTCCTGGGTAGCTGGGATTACAGGCGCCCACCATCACACTCGGCTAATTTTTTGTACTTTAATAGAGACGGGGTTTCACCATGTTGGCCAGGCTGGTCTCAAACTACTGACCTCAGGTGATCCACCTGCCTTGGCCTCCCAAAGTGCTGGGATTATAGGTGTGAGCCACTGCGCCTGGTGGCCCTGGACTTCTTAACTCATACTTTCCAGGCCACAGTAGAAGGGAGAACAGAAGCAGAGCAAGGCAATCTCTCATGGTGAGACAAAGAATGGAGCTGTGGAAAGCTGAGGCAGCTAAAATTTGCAGGGAAGAATATCATAGTGGAGATAACTATGAAGAAAAAAGAGCTCGAGAAATCAGGATAGGAATCCAGTTCAGTCTTTTACTATTTATTGATCTATACCTGCAGAACTCCAGGGATCTAAACAAGAACAACTCTTGGAGAGTTGTAAATTGAAGAATTCCCAGTGCTCACACAGGGTTGGGAATTATGTGCATTCTCTTCAGCTAAGTAGGTGACTGCCTTAAATACTAGACATTATATATGCAATATCAAGCATCTGATACAAAATTACTATGGAAATTATCAAATGTGATCCATAACCCAGGAAGGAAGAAAATCCATTAATAGGAAAAGACCTATAAACAACAGAACAACAGAGATGATAGATTTACTGACAAGAATTTAGCTATTATAAATATAATAAATATGCTCAAGAATACAGAGGGAAAAACATAATTAGAAGAGACATGGAATATGTAGAAATGAAAAAAGATAACTTTTCCACATGAAAAATGTAATATCTGAAATGAAAATTTCAATCAGTGAGCATGAGATAATGTGACACTGAAGAAAAAACAAACAAACAAAAAAAAGATACCACTGAACTTAAAGTCATAGGACCAGACATCATTCAGGGCAATGTACAGAGATTTAAAAAAAGATGAAGAAAATGAACAGTCTTAGTTACTTATGGAACAATATTATGCAGTCCGGCATACGTGCAATTGCAGTTCTAGAAGGAGAGGAGTGAGTCAGTCAGTGCAGAAAACAATTTGAAGACATAATTTTGATAGACACCAATAATCTACAAATAATCACAGATATGACTATAGCAAGGCACATTTTAATACATTTTCTGAAATGCAGGAATAATGAAATATAAAGTTAAATTTAAAAGAAGCCAGAGAGAAAAGAAACAATACAAACAAGGAAACAAAGTTCAGGGTATCTTCAGATTTCTCATCAAAACAATGTAGCCCAATAATAGCAGAAGAGCATCCTTAAAGTGCTATAGGACAAAACTAAAATACATCAAAGTAGAATTATTTAGTATAAATATCATTTAAAATAAACATTAAATAAAAGCATTTACAAAAATAAAAGCTGTGAGAATTAATTGCGGTAAGTTTAAAGTAAAATATGAGTATACTTTACAAACCTACTAAAATTCAGAAAACTACAACAATTGTGTTTATATAAGCCAAAGTGAACTCTAGGTCAAAGTATAATATCAAGGACAAAGAAAAGCATTTATAATAATGGAAGTATAACATGCCTAATTATAGATCAATATATGAAGAAAAATTATTTTTAAAAAGGTATAGACATATCCACAGTTTCAGATAAAGACTTCAACATTCATCTGTCAGTAATTTTATCTAGTAAACTAGTCTGAAATACTTTAGAATAAAACATACTTGAACAATCTATCAACAGTTTTGAACATTAGACTAAACAATTTCAGGATACTCATGTTTTCTAAGTAGATATGAAATAGTCACCAAAATACATTACATGCTGGGCACAAAAGAAGTATTAGATTTCAACTATTGAATTTATACAGAATAAGTTTGTTTTGTAATCACAATGAATTTAAATAAATCGAGAAATTATTTGGAAAATCATGAAAATCTGTAAACAGAGAATACTATTCTAAGTAAAAACAGAGTTAAGAAGGCATTACAATGATAATTTGAGCCTATATTTCCAACCAAACAAAAGAAAAATATAATACATCATAATTTCTAGGATAAGTTAGCTCAGTGTTTAGAGATAAATGGGTGGTTTTAAATGCTTATACTAGAAAATAGGAAATTTCTGAGATCAAGTAAGTGTCCACCTTGAAAAGATAGAATAAGAACAGATTAAAACTATAGTAAGTAGAGGACAAAAATAATTTAGGAAGGAGATGAGTGTAATGGCCTCCAGTTCCATCTAAGTCCCTGCCAAGGACATGATCTCATTCTTTTTTTTTTTTTACAGCTGCTTAGTATTCCATGGTGTATATATATTATACTACATTTTCTTTATCCAGTCTATCATTGATGGGCATTTGGGTTGATTCCATGTCTTTGCTATTGTGAATAGTGTTGCAAAGAACATACATGTGCATGTGCCTTTATAATAGAATAATTTCTATTCCTTTGGATATACACCCATTAATGAGACTGCGGGGTCAAATGGTAGTTCTTTTTTTAGCTCTTTGAAGTATTGCCACACTGTTTTCCACAATGGTTAAACTAATTTACACTCCCATCAACAGTGTGTAAGTGTTCCCTTTTCCCTGCAACCTTCCCAGCATCTATTTTTTTAGACTTTTTAATAATAGCCATTCATTTTCAACCACGAAAATGGGAAATGGAGTTAACATTTTAGCTCCATTTTCTCAAGAAATTTTAGCTCAATTTCTTGAGAGAAAAATGGCTTTCAGCTCCATGTCTTGAGAAAAAAAGGCTTTTTCGCTTTATTTCTTGAGGAAAAAAAACCTAACAATTTCTTGAGAACCAAACCAAATAACAATGTTAGAAGAAAATAAAGCTTCAGAACAATACACTTAAGCACTGATGCAAAAATTTTTTTGAAAATGTTAGCAAATAGAATCTAGCAATATTCCCTAGCCATGTAGGATTTTTTTTTTCATGAATGCATGGTTGGTTTAACATTACAAAATCAATAAATTCAATTGGCCCAATATACATTTCAAATTGAGAAGCAAAGACATTTGATTATCTCACTACATACAGATAAAAACTTTGATATAATTCAGCATCAGTTTAGGATAAAATCTCTCAACTACCTAACATAGAAGAGGATTTCAACAGAATAAAGAGCTGATGAAAACAAGGAAATATTCTAAAAGATGAAATACTGAATATCTCATTCTTAAGATCAGGAAAAAGACTGATGCTGTTCTCACCACTCTATGCATGTTTTTACTGGAGTGCCTACCTGGTACATCAAGGCAAATAAAGGAAACAAAATAAGGCATAAAGATTAAAAATGAATTAGTGAAACTGTTTCTATTCTTATAAGGCTGTATTGAGTATTTAGAAAAATGAAGGAATCTACAAAAAGCTAAAAGAATGGATAAGTGAATTTCTTGAGGCAATTTATTAAATGGGTAATATTCAAAAAAGTACCTATACACTAGCAATGAACAATTAGAATATTATTTTAAAAAAATACAGATTAAACTAGCATCCAAAGGTATAATACACTTAGAGATAAATTTAGCTAAGTATGTGCAAGACCTGAAACTACTACTAAAAATTACAAAACGTTGCTAAAGAAAATAAGACCTCAAAAAAAGTTTTAAAATACGCATGTACAGGTATTGGAAGACTCAACCACTTTAAAATGTCAGTTTTTCCTAAATTGATCTATAGATTCAATGCAAGTACATTCAAAACCTCAGCAGGCTCTTGTTCTTGGAATGAGGTAGAAATGGACATGTCTCTTCAAATATTTAACAGACTGTATAAAGGAAAAATATAATACAATTTTGGGAAAAAAGAGCAAATTGGATTAATTTACTTTTATTGACATCAAGCCATATTATAAAGCTGCAGTAATCAAGACAGCATGGTGTTTGCAAAAGATAGACATATGGGGAGATAATCTAGAAATGGAACCATACATATTTTGTCAATTGTTTTTCAACAAAAGGACCCCAATAGGGAAGTATTTTTCTCTAATTTCAAAAATGATGCTGACAAAAGTGATAGTGATTAAAAAAATAACATCAACCATTTCCTTACACCATATACATATAGAAAAATAATTGGAAGAGATCCAAAACCTAAATGTGAAAGCTAAAACTGTAACACTTCTAAAAAAAGAATGTAAAATATCTTTGTGATCTTGGATTGGGCACAGATTTCTCAGGACACAAAAAACACAAACCATAAGTACTTACATATTATCCTCATGTGCTGCATAATGGTGTTTCTGTTAACAATGAACCACCATAAGATTATAATGAAACTGAAAAATTTCTACCACCTGGTGACATCATAGCCATCATAACGTCATAGTGCTGCACATTACTTATGTGTTTGTAGTGAGGCTAATGTGAACAAACTTACTGCACTGCTAGTTGAATAAAAATATAGCACATACAATTATGTACAGTATATAATACTTGATAATGAAAATAAATGATGTTACTAGTATACATATTAATTAAACTATACCTTTAATCATTATTTTAGAGTGTACTCCTCCTACTTATTAAAAAAAGTTAACTGTAAAATAGGCTCAGGCAGGTCCTTCATGAGGTATTCCAGAAGAAGGCCTTGTTATCACAGGAGATGACAGCTTCGTGCATGTTATTCTCCCTGAAGATCTTTCAGTAAGAAAAGATGTAGAGGTGGATGACAGTGACATTTATGATGCTGACCCTGTGTAGGCCTACACTAATATGTGTGTTTGTGTCTTCATTTTTAACAAAATAATTTAAAAAGTAATACATAAATACTTATAGAATAAGGAAGAAAGAAAATATTTTTGTTCAGCTGTACAGTGTGTGTGTTTTAAGCTAAGAATTATTACAAAAGAGTTAAAAATTTTAAAGAAATTTTATAAAGTTACAGTAAGCTAAGGTTAGTTTATTAGTAAAGAAAAATTTTTGAGTAAATTTAGTGTAAAATAAGTCCTCAGTAGTATACAGGGATGTCCTAGGCTTTCACATTCACTCACCACTTACTCACTGACTCACCCAGAGCAACTTCCAGTCCCGTAAGCTCCATTCATGGTAAGTGTCCTATCTAGGTTTATCACTTAAAAATCTTTTATGCTGTATTTTTATGGTACCTTTTCTATGTTTAGATATGTTTAGGTATACGAATACCATTGTGTTACAATTGCCTACAGAATTCGGTAGAGTAACATGATGTAGAGGTTTGTAGCCTAGAAGCAATGGGCTATACTGTATTACCCAGGTAGGTAGTAGGTTATACCATCTAGGTCTGTGTAAGTACACTCTATGGTGGTAGCACAATGAAATCTCCTAAGGATGCATTTCTCAGAATGTATCCCCATTCTTAAGTGAGACAAGATAGTGTGTGTATGTCTGTGTGTGTATACATCATACATACACGCAGACACATTGTTCTTTTTCAAAATTAAAACTCTCTAAGGCTCAAAAGACATTGTTAAAAAAGTGAAAATGTAAGCCAAAAAGTGGTAGAGAATATTTGCCATATACATATCAAAGAACTTATATTTTGAGCATACAAAAATGCTTAATATTACATAGTAAAAAGTACAACACAATTATAGACAAAATATTTGTAGCAACATTTCACAGCTGAAGGTCTGCAAAATGAAAAAGACACTGAACACCTGTACTCATCAGGGAAATACAAAATAAAAATCACAATGAAATCCATTACATACCATAAGAGAGGTAAAATTAAAAATACTGTCAGAAGAGAGAGAGAGAAATCAGCTAGGCAGATAGTTAGGGCAAGGGTCCTCGGTAGAATTCCCTTCTAACAAAAAACAACCCAAGAGGTCCTTTCTCTTTCAACAAAGAGCAGCCTGAGAGAACAGGCTACAAACACAGATAAGGGAGATAAACTCTAACACAGAAAGGGGCTTCCCACGTGACATACAGACATACAGTGTTCCCCAGCAAACACAGTCCTCTTCCTTCTTAGAAATACTCAGGCCGGGTGCGGTGGCTCACGCCTGTAATCCCAGCACTTTGGGAGGCCAACACAGGCGGATCACGAGGTCAGGAGATCGAGACCATCCTGGCTAACATGGTGAAACCCTGTCTCTACTAAAAAATACAAAAACTTAGCCAACTTGGTGGCGGGTGCCTATAGTCCCAGCTACTCGGGAGGCTGAGGCAGGAGGAAGGCACAAACCCGGGAGGCGGAGCTTGCATTGAGCCGAGATCGCGCCACTGCACTCCAGCCTGGGCGACAGAGGGAGACTCCATCTCAAAAAAAAAAAGAAATACTCAGACAAGGAGACTTACACAGGAGGAGTACCTACAACAACATTGATAAGAACTACCCTGAACCAGACATGTCCACCTCCGAGTGTTTTACCCCCTGCCGTTTTTACACATACACAACAGGAAGAGACAACATAGAATAACTCAAACTAAGAAGCCCACATACACACTAGAAAGGATGGGGTGGGGACTCAGAAATTCACACCTTATGTAAATGAAACACCCCTCCTGAACAACTTATCTATTAAAACCCTTATTTTTCACCGTAAAATGACAACCCGTCTTTCTGGGACCCCTCTCTACTCCAGAGAACTTTCTTCCTTTCACTTATTAAACTTCTACTCTAACCTCACCTTTAGAATGTCCAAATCCTTGATTTCCTTTGCCATGAGACCAAGAACCTCAGGTGACACCTCAGACAATGAGACCTTTTTCTTTTGGAGGCTCATCCAGGATTTCATTGAAAGGGTGACTTGGAGCAGACCCCAACCTTTACTTTCATTTCCGAGCCCTCTGGTACTTATTTTTATCAAATCAAGAAAATCACCAGGCATCTGTTGGCCATCTAAACATGACAAGCATGGCCATCTGTCTAAAGACACAGATGACAGGCTTGCTGGGGAGGACTTAGCTAATCCCCCAGCACACTCAGAGTGCTGGGAATGTTGGCTATGCTCCAAACTGGTTTCCTTTCATGGGGAGCCTAGCCATTGCATGGGGCTGGAAAAGGTCCTGAGGCAACTGAAAGTTTCTGGCTGGGGTCACACCCTAACACCCAGTGGGTATCAGCAACAGAACCTCCAAACTTTTCCTATCACAGTTTTCTCCCTTTCTTTCCATGGCTACTGTGTCTCCTATTCCCTCTCTGTATACAATAGTGTGGCAGTTTTTACGACTTGGGGAAATAGACTTGTTAGGCAGGATTAACAAGTGCCTTAGCAATCACGAATGTAGCTCAAGAGATTACTGTTTTTGTAACTTTTTAGAAACAGGAGGATTTCACGATCTGGGTCTAGGAGATCATTTAACTCCAATGATGACACTTCCTAGGGTTAGACAGGGGGCTATCTGCCGCCCCCCCACCCTGTCAGTGATGGCCCCCTCTTCATTTGGGCTGTTTCTTTTCTCATATGAGGAGTCAACACTGCCCAGTTGAACTAGATAGTCTTTCCATGAGATGAACTAACTTCCTCCTACTGGAAGGCATGTTGTGGGGATGGCCTGTCACACTTCAGACTTCTCTCTCAACACATTGTCTAGAGAGCATTTGGAAACAAAACTACAGCCTGGTAGTTCCAGGTTTATAATGCCACCTAGTGGAATGGAAATCTTCTCCATGGGGAAGCCTGTTGGCTGTTGGCCAAAAGCCTCTGCTTTCCCAATTCTTCTACCTATTGAGCCCCTCCACTAGAAACCAGAACTTATGTCCTCTCTGTGAACAGGAAAACACTGCTTATGACGCAGAGAAGAGAGCAGTTCTTCTAATCCTCGATACTGTCTCCATCAGCAGATTTTGGCCTCAATACCGTCTCCATCAACAGAAAGACAGTCATGATCCTTACATTCTTTTGAGACACCTATTCCACCTCCAAGTGGAATAACATTTATATAAAGAAGAGATCCTATGATTAAAAGTCAATCAGAACCACAGCCTAAGGATAAATACTTTAACTTGGGCCATAATAACAGAATATAGGACTCAACCCAGAATACTCCTTTCACTGAAGGGCCTGGCCCAAATACAACAGTTACATAGTCTTTCCTGAGATCCTTCTCTAGTAGGGACACACCAACCACACAAATCTAAGGAATCAAAGGGGAGTTCTCAGCAGAGGACTTGGGTCTCACACAGATGAGCGTGATCATTCCTGCTTGACCCACTCCTCCGGGTCCATGGGTGGAGGTCACACTTACGTCCATGGATGACACCTTTAACAGATGCTGAGGCACAGGCAACAAAGGAAGGAGGATAATGGGGGCATGCCCGCACTGCCTTCCTCTCCACCTGGGTCACTCCAAACAAAGGGAGAAGACTAAGGGACACCTTTCTAGATGGTTAACAAACCATCTTCAGCCTGCACTCCTCTCAAATGCATTCAGAAGCACTGGAACTCCTTTGACCCTGAAATTCTGAAGAAAAAGCAGCTCACATTCTTTTGCACAAGGGCTTGGCCTTCTTACCAGCTTGCGCATGGACAAACCCGGCCTTCTGAGGGAAATCTTTATTTTAATACTATCCAACAATTAGATCTTTTCTGTAGATGGGAAGGCAAATGGTCCGAGGTCCCCTGTGTACAGACTTTCTTTGCCCTGTGGGACAACCCAGACCTCTACAAGTGATCCACAATTGACCCAGCTCTTTAAACAATCATATCACCATGGGGAATGATTCCCCAAAGCTAAGAAAACAAATTCCTGGGTTATCCTGTAAGACAACTATTGAGTGTCTCAGTCTTCTTTTCCCTTTTATCTGGGGCCCCTTCCTCCAACTGCACCATTGGCTCCTCCAGTTCCACCACTTTCAACACTCCCCACTTCCCCAGTTTCACTTTTACCACTACAAGAAACGCCTGATGGGTGTGGTGCCACTAGGGTTCAGGTTCCCTTCTTATAATAAGACCTTAGACCAATAAAAGGAGACCTGGGTAGGTTCTCTGAAGACTCCGACAGGTATGTAGAGGCTTTCCAAAATCTAGCCCAGTTGTGTAACCTCACATGGAAAGATGTTGTATTACTCTTAAACCAAACCTTAAGAGCCGCTGAGAGACAGACAGCTCTACAGACAACAGAAAAATTCAGGGATGAACAACATGTTTCTTATGAGAGGCTAAAAAGGAAAAGAGGAGATAAGGAAGGTAAGGAAATTATGGAACAACCATTCCCAATAGGAAGAGAGGCAATACCCCTTGAAAACCCTGACTGCGACCCTAGTGACCCCACAGATGAATGGAAAATGAAACACTTTTTAATGTACATATTGGAAAGCCTACAAAAAACTAGGGCCAAACCTCTTAATTACTCTAAATTGGTCACAATAGATCACAGACCAGATAGGAATCCCTCAGTTTTCATGGAAAGGCTGAAAGAGGCCATAATAAAACACACTTCCATGTCTCCTGACTCAGTTGAAGGACAGCTAATCCTAAAGGAGAGGTTTATTACTCAGACAGCCCCTGATATTAGAAGAAAATTACAGAAACAGTCTATAGTTCCAGATAGTACTCTGGAGAACCTCCTGAGGGTGGCCACCTTGGCCTTTTACAACAGGGATCAGGAGGAGGTCCAGGAAAAACAGAGGAAGCACAGGAGAAGGACGGAGGCCTGTGAAGTCCAGAATCCCTGAGGCACATCCACTAATTACTATCAGTGTGGCAAATCAGGACACGTTAAGAATAACTGTCCGGACAGTAAGAAGAAGCCACCCCAACCCTGTCCAGCCTGTGGCAGGAACCACTGGAGGTCAGATTGCCCTTGGAGACATAGGTCACTGGGTCCAGAACTGGTCTCACAAATGATCCAACAGGACTGACAGGTCCCAGGGCTCATTTCCCTGACTCTAGTGGCCCAAACTGCCATAACTGCCCAGGAGCCCCAGGTGATTCTGGAAACTGAAGCAAGGAGGGTAGACCTTCTTCTGGATACTGAAGCCAGTCTCTCTGTTCAGGCCTCCCATTGTCCCAAACACAACCGTGAAGGGCATCTCAGGAAAAGTATAGTCTCATAATGTTCTGCATTCACTCAGACTGCCCTGCTGAATTTGGTCTTTCTTGACTCACATTCCTTACTTATGCTGCTTTTACTTCAGAGAATGACTCTATGACATCCAAAAGACATCCCATTCCATGGTCTGTCAGACATGCTTATAAATAGTCTAACCTCTATTGAAGACATGTTTAAATGTTTTCCCATGAGGAGGCAGAGCTCTATGCAAATATGAGAACGTGGTTAGACCACTGCTTATGTGATTCCATATACTTTGTAATAATTAAAGAAGCTTGTCCGTCAGGCCACACAGAGGATTTCCTAGCTGGTGGTGGTTGCTGTATGTTGACCTAAATTTCACTTTGGATTCATTAAAAAAATATAGAGAATGAAATATAAATGACTTCCTTTACCTTTTAAATAAAATATATGAAAGTTTTGAGGAGAAGAGTCATGTATAGCAAAATGTGAATGTGAATGGTGGCATATGCCAAACTTCCAGGAGTTTTTATCACACAATGGCATAATAGCAGCTATGGTAAAGATGTGATAATGAGAGCACTTGCAGCCTTATCCTACAGTTTTCACATGCTTATAATTCCACAGGGGGAAAAATGCCACTGCCGAGAATGCTTATTCTTCTTTCCTTTTCAGTCTAGTCTATGAACTGATTTTTCTTTATTTACTTTTTCTACAGTGGTGAATATACTAAAGCCATTATTTTCCTCCTCCATTTTCCTCTTATTGTTTTTTAGATAATGTTTAAAAAAACTATTTAAAATTTACATTTAACATCAAATAATCAGCTTTTATGTTCACTAGGCCTTACATCTCAATAAATATATTGGTGAAGAAAGAACTGGTTTGTATTTTTTATGTTATCTCTCTCTCAGTGTGTGTGTGTGTGTGTGTGTGTGTGTGCATATGTGTATTCATACTACCTATTTTTATTATTGGATTTAGAACAAAATAATTTCATATATTCTCCGAGTAAGCAGCAACTATCTGGGGCTGGTGGCATGGGAATAAGAAGAATTTACCAAGACAGTTGTAGGTAAATAAAGACAGATGTATTAAAGAAAGTATGAAAATACATTCTTGAAGGCAACAGGTAGGTCAGCAGAAGAGGAGCTGCCTGCCAGGAAACAAAGGGTTGCCGGGCATTTTATAGTCTGTAACTTGCGCTGAAGAGTGCTACATGAGGTACTGACAATGCCAAGGTTGCAGGGAGCTAACTTGCATTTTTTCATCATGCAAGGTGTTTGATGATAAATTGAAGTATTTTATAATAAGTTGGGTAGGGGAAGATTGTGAGTTATGCACATCATCTGTGCAGGAGGGCTATATGTCCTGGACCATGAAGAAAGGCAAACCTATAGTTTACCTGCCTTCTCTTTTTGCTTTCCCTTGGTCTTCCCAGCCTGACTCCTTTTCCCTAATTTGGACTCCAGATATACGACAGTTAAAGTGAAGGGACAAATTGAAATTATGTATAATTGACATAAGATTTTTCAAATTTATCTGGATGAATTCTTATTCCCTCAAATGGTTTTATGAGGCAAAGTGAGGAATTATGGATATGATTAATTTATATAGAAAAAATCCAAATCTTATTTAAATCAACAGAAGAATCTTAACCCAATTATATCTACTCTTACACACACACACACACACACACACACACACATGCAAATACACACAAATATATACCTTTGTGGCTCCTAAAACAAATTATGAAAATTCTCAATCAGATAATTAATTTACATTTATATTTTAAATTTGCAGAAATAAGTTTATATGTATAAGGATCTGTCTGAATTTGCTATTTTAATCTGCATCAAATATCTGAGATACATTCTGTGTTGTTATGACTTTTGCCTGTGTTAAATTTATGTAGTTGGCATGATGTCATTGTGATGATGTATTTCTTCTTATAAATCACGAATATCTCTTCCTCGATAAAACAGTGTAATATATTTCATGTGCTAGTGCCAGAAAAAAGCACACCTTCAAATGTATGAGGAAGGATTCAAATACAATTATGTTATGGAACTCCAAGTAGGTGTTCATTATCAGTGGGCAGTACTTCCCCAAGTGGTAGATGTAGGACTCCAGGATTCTTCTTTCCTGTGTCTGCATCATCTTCAATTTATGGCCATCAAGAACTCTGTGTTCATAGGCATCTGACAAGAGTGGGAGACAAATCAAAAAGAGTGTTATCCATGGGAGTTTTTCATAGGGCATGTTGGTAATGTGGTTCATCTGTGTTCTCACCCAAATCTCATCTTGAATTCCCACGTGTTGTGGGAGGGAGCTGGTGGGGTGGGTAGTTGAATCACTCTCATGCTGTTCTTGTGACAGTGAATACATCTCATGAGATCTGATGGTTTTATAAGGGAGAGTTTCACTGCACAAGCTCTCTTCTCTTGTCTGCTGCCTTGTAAGATGTGCCTTTCACCTTCTGCCATGATTGTGAGGCCTCACCAGTCACATGGAACTGTAAGTCCATTAAACCTCCTTCTTTTGAAAATTGCCCAGTCTTGGGTACGTCTTTATTAGCAGCATGAAAACAGACTAATACAATAAATTGTTACCAGTATAGCGGGTTGCTGCTGAAAAAATACCTGGAAATTTGGAAGCAACTGTGGGACTGCGTAATAGGCAGGGGTTGGAACAGTTTGGAGGGCTCAGAAGAAGACAGGAAAATGTGGGAAAGTTTGGAACTTCATAGAGACTTGTTAAATGGCTTTGTCCAAAATGCTGATAATGATGAACACTATAAAATCCAGGCTGAGGTGGTCTCAGATGGACATGAGCACCTTGTTGGGAACTAGAGAAAAGTTGACTCCTGTTATGTTTTGGCAGAGAGACTGGAGGCATTTTGCCCCTGCCCTAGAGATTTGTGGAACTTTGAACTTGAGGGAGATGATTTAGAGTATCCGGTGGAAGAAATTTCTAAGCAACAAAGCATTCAAGATGTGACTTGAGTGCTGTTAAAGGCATTTGGTTTTATAAGAGGAGAGGAAAAGTTCAAAAAAGTTGCAGCCTGACAATGTGATAGAAAACAAAATTCCATTTTCTGAGGAAAAATTCAAGCTGGCTGCAGATATTTGCATAAGTAACTAGGAGCTTACTGTTAATCCCTAAGACAATGGGGAAAATGTCTCAGGGTGTGTCAGACGTCTTCACAGCAGGTCCTCCCATCACAGGCTGGGGACAGAGGACGAAAAAGTGGTTTCTAGGGCCGGGCCCAGGGTCCCTGTGATGTGTGCAGCTTAGGGACTTGGTGTTCTGTGTCCTAGCTGCTCCAGCTGTGGCTGACAGAGGCCAAAGTAGAGCTCAGGCCATGGCTTCAGAGGGCCCAAGCCCCAAGCCTTGGCAGCTTCCATGTGGTGTTGAGCCTGTTAGTGCACAGAAGTCAAGAATTGAGGTTCAGAAACCTCCACCTAGATTTCAGAAGATGTAAGAAAATGCCTGGATGCCCAGGCAGAAGTTTGCTGCAGGGGTGGGGCCCTCAGGGAGAACCTCTGCCAGGGCAGTGTGGAAGGGAAATGTGGGGTCAGAGCCCCCACAGTTTCCGTACTGGGGCACTGCCTAGTGGATCTGTGAGAAAAGGGCTACTGTCTTCCAGACCCCAAAATGGTAGATCTACTGACAGCTTGCACCATGTGCCTGGAAAAGCCACAGACACTCAATGCCAACCCATGAAGGCAGCCAGGAGAGAGGCTGTACCCTGCAAGCCACAGGGACAGAGCTGCCCAAGACCATGGGAACCCACCTGTTGCATCAGCATGACCTGGATGTAAGATCTGGGTCACAGGAGATCATTTTGGTGCTTTAGGATTTGACTGCCCTGCTGGATTTCAGACTTGCCTGGGGCCTGTAGCTCCTTTGTTTTGGTCAATTTCTCCCATTTAGAATGGCTGTATTTACCCAATGCCTGTATCCCAATTGTATCTAGGAAGTACCTAACTTGCTTTTGATTTTAAAGGCTCATAGGTGGGAGAAACTTGCCTTGTCTCAGATGAGACTTTGGACTATGGACTTTTGAGTTAATGCTAAAATAAATTAAGACTTTGGGGGACTGTTGGGAAGGCATGATTGGTTTTGAAATATGAGGACATGAAATTTGAGAGGGGCTGGGGTGAAATCATGTGGTTTGGCTGTATTCCTACCCAAATCTCATCTTGAATTCCCATGTGTTGTGGGAGAGACCTAGTGTAGGGTAGTTGAATCATGGGGGCAGGTCTTTCCCATGCTGTTCTCAGGTTAGTGAATAGGTTGGACGAAATCTGATGTTTTTATAAGGATGAGTTTCCCTGCACTAGCTCTCTTCTCTTGTCTGCCACCTGTGAGATGTGCATTTCACCTTCTGCCATGATAGTGAGGCCACCCCAGTCATGTGGAACTGTAAGCCCATTAAACCTCTTTCTTTCATAAATTGCCAAGTCTCACGTATGTCTTTATCAGCAGCATGAAAACAGACTAATACAATTGGAATTGACACACATTCTGTTGGCCTGAAGCCATTCATGTGATTATACATTCCAGGGAAACTAGAAATTCTGCTTTTTTTATTGCCCAGGGAGAAGATGAATACTATGGTTCATCTAAACTTTATAGTTCATTAAAAAGATAATAGAATATAATAGTTTATTATTTCTTAAAATGTCTTTGGACTTGACAAAAGTGTAATAAAAAAGGTGTTTATTAATATTAATTTAAATTATTTTATATGAAAAACCTAGTAGTTTCTCTTAGTCTGAGAATGCTTTTTATTTATATATTTATTTTTATTTGTATACATTTAAGGGGTACAAGTGCAATTTTGTTACATGGGTATATTGCAAAGTGGGGAAGTCTGGGTGTTTCATTCATTCATCACCTGAATAATGTACATTGTATTCATTAAGTAATTCGAGGGTGCTCTTTATGTTAGCCACTCAGTGAGTATCTGATTTTATGTTATGAGGTAACCAAATTTTTCTAACATTTAAAGACCATGTTTACATTTCATACTGAAATAAAAAGTCATTTTCTATGACCTTTTGCATACCAAGTCACTGGCTACAGTGGTATTAGAATACTGGCTTGAAACTTTCGTTTCTGAGTAAAGAAAATATATTCTATATTTTCACATAATTATTTTCTTACTATGTAAGCTCACCACTATCAAAAAGGAACAAATTATTATTGTAATAAAAATGTATTTTGTAGGGATGAAATATATTTAGAGGTATTTAGTAATTTGGTCTGTTTTAAAATATTGTATCTTCAAACTGAGGTTAAAGTCTTGTATTCTTGCTAAGATAATACATTTCCAAAGTATTATAATAAAAGTCAGCATTTTGACAGAAAATAAACTTTGTTTTTTGATTCTAAAACATTTTAAATAGATAAATTTAGCTTTTTATCATGATAAATGTTTAAGAATCTACTTCTAAATGGCCATTATTTTGCTATCTAGTATTTATTATATTTATTTTTGGTAGTGTTTATAGTTCCTGTTATACATCACATACATTGTTATTTTATTCCACTGAGCAGAAAATTTTACTGATTTTTTATAATAGACAATTTATGTGAACGTGTAAGAAATGATTTTTATACATCAATTTTTCTTTGAAAGATTTTCAAAAGAAAACTGCACTTTTAGTTGATGGAAAAAAGCATGTGTTTAGAAGGTATATTTAAGTTGTTTTCCTCAAAGTATTTGTCAATGTCCCATTTTATTATGCTTCTTTAAATAGCAAGAATGTGAAAAATAATGAGAGGTGGAATTCCAGTCTGGTTTATAGAGCGTGTCTTTCACATAAATATGCTTCATAAAGGAGAAAAATATTTATACGACTATGCTTAAAAAGTGAATAAAACATAGATTTGTACTAAGTCATTAGAATATATAACAGATATCTTCATGTATTAATATGCTGTCTATTATATCCATGTAAATGTTTTCTATTCTCTGGGGCAAAACTTATAGTTACATTTTCTCTTCACAAATGGCAGTAGTTCAATTTCATGGTGATTTAAAATTACAGTTTTGCACATTGAGCCACTACTTAGCTCAAAAATCTCCAATGACATAGTGAGTAAAATCCAAAAGTCTTATCATAAACTCTGTTCTATCTCACCAAAACACTGTTATTTTAAGACCTTTGATGTAACTTTTGTCTGAAAGTTTCTTCCCACAGTGTATCAGTTAGCTTTGTTGTGTAACAACAACTCAAACTATGCAGATCAAAAATTTGGCCTGGGGTCAGCTATGTGATTCTTCCATTCTCAGCTAAATTTACTCATGTGCTGCATTCAGCTGCCAGAGTGTGCTGGGTATGGGGATGTGGATAGATAATCTAGAAAGATATTATTAGGATCTATTAATTTTAACGCACGTGGTCTTTCATTCTCCAGCAGGCAATCTGAGGCTTGTTCACAATGACCCTTGTTAAAATTTCAGAGAGGGAGATAGACAGAGAGAGAGAGAGAGAGAGAGAGAGAGAGTAAGTAAAATTATAGAAGACCTCTTAAAGCCTAGGCTCAAAACCTGCACAATATTACCTGGTTGTACTTTATTTTTCAAAGTAAGTGACAAAGAATAGGAAAATAGACTCTATCTATTTATGGGAAGATCTGGAATGTCAATTTCAAAGAAATGTGGATAGAGGAGGAGAGTTAGGACATCTTTCCAAACAATTGCCATAATAGCTATATGGTATCTTAACTTCCTTGAGGGCTCTGTTTTTAGGTCACCTTGGCATAGAGGCTTGTCCTCATCAGCTTGTAATGAGACTCTGATGGAGAATAGCTAAGGGAAATTGAAGTGATTTCATGAGGATGAATAACACTGTTATGTTCTGGAAATCTGCAGTAAGTCTGGAGGGCATTATGTGGATGTCAGAGAGCTGGGATAAGAAAAGAGATGAAGCCTGGGGAAGCCTGCATCAAGTCAATGGAATGTGCCTGGGTGAGGAAATGGAGGAATTGTGAGGAACAATTTCACTTGCTTTTGATTTGGCCCTATGTTGTTGTTCTATGCCTCAAGACCTGGGAAGGATTGATTATCATTCGGGGTAATGAAAAGAGTGAATAAGGAGTGGTAGTAGGTATATGTTATTTAAGGGACCACCTCCAGCTATGAGTGTGAGTATATACTTGTCAGGAGTAACAAGGAGGAAAATCAATTGCATTCTTTAAATTTTACTCAGATGATGACTCTTCAATCAACATTCTATAAAAATATTTTAAGTTAACATAAAAAGTTGCAAAAGTTCTTGTTAATTTTCTACTAAAAACAGTACAGCTAGGTAGAAGGAAAGGGTACTGTCAGGCCTCTGAGCCCAAGCCAAGCCATCGCATCCCCTGTGACCTGCATGTATATGCCCAGATGGCCTGAAGTAACTGAAGAATCACAAAAGAAGTGAATATGCCCTGCCCCACCTTAACTGATGATATTCCACCATAAAAGACGTGTAAATGGCCGGTCCTTGCCTTAACTGATGACATTACCTTGTGAAAGTCCTTTTCCTGGCTCATCCTGGCTCAAAAAGCACCCCCACTGAGCACCTTGCGACCCCTACTCCTGCCCGCCATAGAACAAACCCCCTTTGACTGTAATTTTCCTTTACCTACCCAAATCCTATAAAACGGCCCCACCCTTAACTCCCTTCACTGACTCTCTTTTCGGACTCAGCCCACCTGCTCCCAGGTGATTAAAAGCTTTATTGCTCACACAAAGCCTGTTTGGTGGTCTCTTCACACGGACGCGCATGAAAGGTACTAAGTAGATGGAAAAGTTAGAAAAGATAGAAACAAGGTATTATATAAATTAGTAGAGCATAGAAATCCACATCTCTAATACTATTCTGCCCAATTTTGCTAAGCGTAGGCAAAGTGATGAGGAGCAAGAAAAAATTTACTGCTGCTTTGTGATAATGTGTTTCATAATCACATCCCTTTATATTCTTCTACTGCAATGTGTGAGTGCACATGCATAAAAGAACTGAACCAGATTGATGGGAATTGAGGGGTAAACAAAAATTGCATGTGGACAGAAAATGGTGGTTCCATGAGAAATTCCTTTTCACTTGTCCTTGGAATGGTGTAATTAAAAGCTAAAACTTTAAAGAAGAAAAATGAATTCTTAAGATAACACTGAACATGTATCTCTTACGAATGCAACTTTGAATAGAGGAGATAGTTTTCATTCCTTCCTGACACATCTGTTTTCAAGAAGATTGTTTCAGAGTAAGTAAGAGGGATGCAGTCTGTGCAGCTGCAGGACCAGAATATAACATTGCGGGGCCCATGAGCAAGAAACCTACATCTTCAAAATCCTTCTTTGTTCAGAAAAAAAGAGACACAGAACAAATCTGTAGCTGCTGCATGTTCCTCCCTGAGTGCTCTTTTGAAGTTGCTGGTTGTGGTAACCATTAATGTGGGCCTCTCAGATCTCCTTAATTGACTTATGGCTTAATTAACTGATGTCTCTCAATATACCACTACGCTTATGAAGTGGCCAGACATCCAACACAATGTTCTTGGTCACTGATGGAGCAGAGCCTTGGTACTAAGGAAGATCCATCCCTGTGAGACATAAACTCCTCTGACAAGTGATTTTAGCTGAAGAACTCTCCTCTGAGCTTGGCTGAACTTTCTCAGAAATGCACTGCAGTCTAAGTCTCTTTATATGAATCTTCTCTTCCTTCCCTCTCTCTTTCACAGGGAGCAGATTTTCATCTCTGTCTAATGGCTCTTTATTCTCCTCTGGTTCCCTTTCAATTTTTTCTCACAGCCATTTTCCTTGATAAATCTCTGGGGTGGTTCTGGAACAAAGGCAGTATGGGGAGGTACTAGAACTGGCTCACTGTACAGTTTGGATATTTGTCCTTTCCAAATCTCATGTGTAAATTTGATCCCCAGTTGTGGAGGTGGGGCCTGGTGGGTGCTGTTTTGGCCATAGGGGTGGATCCCTCAGGAATGTCTTGGTGCCCATCCCCATGGTAATGAGTGAGTTCTCACTCTATTAGTTCACGTGAGAGCTGGTTGTTTAAAGGAACCTGACATCTCTCTTGCTCCCTCACTTGCCAGATTCAGGGACACACCTGCTCCCCTTTCACCTTCTGCCATGAGTAAAATATTCCTAAGGCCAAGTAGATGCTATTCTTGTACAGCCTGCAGAACTGTGAGCCAAATAAACTTCTTTACAAATTACCCAGCCTCAGGTATTCCTTTATAGCAAATGCAAAGTGGGTGAACACACTCACTGATTGCCTGGTAGGAAAAACAAAACAAACAAAACAAAAAGCACATTCCATTCTCAGTGGTATATGAAACAAAGGAAATCCCTAGCCTATTTGTTATCTATTTGCTAAAGAGTCCACTGGAGGTGACCTGGGGAAATAACCCAATGGAGAGGAGTGCTCTTGCTGTTGCAATGAATGAAAGATGCATAGGAACAAATCCTACAAAAACTGTAAAGGTGCTTGGGTTGTGCTTAAGTTGTACTGATGTTCTACCTAGGACTAACAGAATACTGGGAGCCAGGAAAAAACAGTCAAAGACTAAATGTGAGAGTCAGAGGGTTTCTTTGGTAACATGCAATTAAGTCTGTACCTCCTGCAGTGCAATGGTGGAAACAACTGAGCAACAAATACAATATTTGAAGGAGTTGAAGAGTTGCAGAGATGTTTAAAGGCTCGGCCAAGACAGATCTGTTTTCTAAGTTCAGGATTCTGACTGAGAAAACCTGAAACCCAGAAATATGGGATGGAGACATCTGGATGGATGCCCCTGAGGATATTGGCTAGTAGCCTGGAGTCCTTCTGCTCCAGAGGATGGGAGATACCTCTTATAAAGATTCATGGACCTATCTTTTCAGTAAAGTTTGTAGAGTTTCAATGGTCAGGGGCATGCCAAGGTAGCCTCTAAAAGCAAGAAATGGTGGGATCTTGCATTCCCTGTCACATAAAAATATGGAATCACAGAGCCAGGCAGACCTTTTTGGGTTATGGAGGTAAAATGTTTCAACACACAGGAATATTGTTACATTGCAGAAACCAGGTGACATGGAATTCAGCTAGTGGTGAATGGAGCCTTCAGTAGGAAGGGGCTCCAACAGTTTCAGGATTTGGTGTAAGCAGCCCTGGCCCTTGGCCTGGCAGAACCAATGGTGTTGGAGGTGACAGTGGTGGACAAAGATGCTATTTGAGTCTCACATCAAGCCTTCATGGGGGAATTATTGCCCAAGCCCTAAGAATGCTGGAGCAAGGTCATGCCATCTTCAGCAGTGCATTTTGCACCCTTTAAAAAATGGCTCCTGGCAGCCGGGTGCAGTGGCTCAGGCCTGTAATCCCAACACTTTGGGAGGCTGAGGTGGGTGGATCACGAGGTCAAGAGATTGAGACCATCCTGGCCAACATGATGAAACCCCGTCTCTACCAAAAATACAAAAATTAGCTGGGCTTGGTGGCATATGCCTATAGTCCCAGCTACTTGGGAGGCTGAGGCAAGAGAATTGCTTGAACCCAGGAGGTGGAGGTTGTAGTGAGCCCAGACCATGGCATTGCACTCCAGCCTGGGCAACAAAACAAGAATCTGTCTCAAAAAAAAAAAAAAAGGCTCCTGGCATGTTAAAGGGCCCTGGTAGACACAAAATGCTTGGTCACTGATCACAAAGTGACAGTGGGTCTGGATCTGCCCATTATGTGTTGAGTTCTGGCTGACCCACCAGCTCAAAAGTTGCCTAGGCTCCACAGCCATCCCTCATAAGATAGAAATAGAGAAATGATGTCTCTTAAGATGGAGCTTCAGCAGGAGCAGTAGGCATGAGTAAATCTCATGAGTACATAGCCCAGACCTTCAGGTCACTCCCCAGAATTTCACTAATTCTCTTCCCCCACCTTGTACTTATATCTATATGTACGTTTTTGTTGTTGCTGCCGTTTTACAACCAGCTCAAAGAAGAGAAAAAAAAGAAACTCAGTTTATATATGGGTCAGTTTGATTCATGGCTATAAACTGAACACGGTCAGTATTACAGCCACATTTAGGTACGGTGTTCACATACAATGGAGAAGAAAAACTTTCTCCATGGTGGAGATGCAAAGTAGTGCACTTGCTTGCTGTTTTGGTAGAGGAGGAAAAGTGGCCTGAGATGAGAATGCATGCAGGTTCCTGAGCAGTGGCCAATGGCCTGGCTGCCTGCTAGGGGTTTGGAATGTAAAGGTCTGGGGGTCTGGTGTAGAGGCATGTGAATGAACATGGTAATGCATGCAAAGTGGAAAGAATTCTGTGCCACTGTGTTAGACAGAATAATGGCTGCCAAATATAACAACGTTCTGAGAGCCTGGAACCTCTGAATGTTATTTTATATGACAAAAGTGACTTTCACAGATTTAAGTTAAGGATTTTGAAATAGGAAGATTATCCTTAATTATCCAGGGGGCCCTAAATGCAATCACAATTGTCCTTATAGGAGGAGGGCAAAGAGAGAATTGATTACGGAAGAGGAGAAGGTGATAGGACAGTGAAAAAAGAGAAATGTTAGAAGATACCAAGTTGGTGGCTTTGAAGGTGGAGTAAAGGACCATGGGGCTAGGAATCCAAGGAATGCAGCCGGAAGCTGGAAAAGGCAAGGAAACTGCTTCTCCTTTGGAGCCTCCAGTAGGAACCAGCCCTGGAAACACTTTGTAAGAGCTTTCTAAGACTCATGTCAGACTTCTCACGCTCCCCCAACGTGTAAGGGAGTAAATTTGTTTTAAGTCACTCATTTTATGGTAATTTTTCAGAAGAGCATTAGGAAATTAATATAATCATAGTTTATCACCTGACAGAAACTGTCTACTATGGAAGAGGTACTGAGCAACCAAGTGGACAAAATGACTTGGCCAGTGGGTGTTTGCCAGCCTTTGTTATGAGATGCCCTCAAATTGGTGCTGTGGATTCACAAGTGGAGTTTCCATGCTAGCAGGGATGGGAGCGATGCATGGACTCAATGGCATGGACTCCCACTTACCAAGGCTGATATAGATAGTGCTGACTTTGAATGTCCAACTGATTCTACACGGAGACCAACACTGGGCCTCTTATATAGCACTATTCCTTGGGAAAACCAGGCATCCACTTTGTAGTAGATTGACTAAATTGGGTCCCTTTCATCCTGGGGTCCTTGTCTCAGTCTCAAAGAATGGATACCTATTCTGGGTATAGATTTGCCATTCCTGTCTGCAAACATCATTATATAGGGGTTTGGAGTGTCTGATCAATAGATTGCAATGCAGTTCTATAAGACCTTCTTTCAATGATTTCCCCTTTCCTTCACGGTGTTCAGACCTGGACCTTAGTGGTCAGACAGCTCTTCAGCCTCCATTGACTCCCTTGTCATTTCCCTACACAATTCTTATTCTCCAATAATTCTCTGACACATTTATTCCCAGCTTTGTGCCTGCCTCTTGAAGGATGTAAACTAACACAACAGCTGTGATATATGAGCCTCTCAGGAGGAGAAGGTTAGACAACCTTTGTGCTACACAGTGGGACTTTTCTTTTACTGGCATAATGCAGAGAAACTGGGAAATAACCTAAGGTTCTGCAGCAAAGAGCAGAGGTAGGTGTAAGGATTGACATCAAGGATTGACATCATTTGTGCTAGAGTGGCTTTGATTTTGGAAATTATGTGTGTCAAGCTAGCTCAAGGAATTTTTTAAAGCTATGGGAAAACAGATTTTTGTTACATAAAACTGGCATCTTCCACTGGTCATGATATAGAGCTACAGATTAATCTCTAAGTAATC
This sequence comes from Homo sapiens, assembly GCF_000001405.40. NCBI lineage: Eukaryota > Metazoa > Chordata > Mammalia > Primates > Hominidae > Homo > Homo sapiens. Next base: position 168,013,572 of record NC_000004.12, on the reverse strand, counting down.
CAGTGGATGGAGAGGAAACAGTATTGAATTAGTATTGGAGGGAATCCATGGTGAATACTGGCACAATAAGAAGTCAACTATTCTAGATTGTATTGTTTGCTTATGTAAGATTGCTTGGGTAAAATACAGCCTTGTGCCAGTAAACAGAATGGTTGAAGTGGGGCTCATGTGAAAGTCCATTACTCACTCACATGACCCTTAGAACCACTAATGGCCCTTCTTATTTGGTGAATGTATATTTTATTCTATGCCTACCTTCACTAGACACAGACCTATAAACAGTACTTTCAAGTTTTCCTTTGGAAGACCGCTTATCAAGGACTTTTGGATTCATGCTATTATAAGATTGATCAAGTTGCCTGGTTTTGTAACTTGCTGACATACAAAGATAGTTTAAAATCTCAACCAATGCTTGATCTACCAATGTTAGATCTAATTTGGACCTGTGTCTACTCAAGTTTAAAGTACACGAATATATCCAATGTTCGAGCTTTTTGCTTCTGGTATGAAAATTTATATTATTAAATGGAGAAGTTGTTCAAATATAAAACATTAATGGATTTTAGGAATTATCATTCCACAAGGTAATTTATGGCATGTAATTGTTGGGTCTTGTAAAGCCATTTAATTTTTTTTCAGTTTTAATCCCTATTTCACAATCTTAATACTCCTGCCATCGTTGTAACTTCAGGTGTTGTTATAAAATATACAGTGTTATTTGTGTTTATGCTTTATGAATTTGCATAATATTGTGAAAAATACTTCCTTTAGTTTCTTTCAATGAGCAGTGATTTTTATTATCTAATCATGTCACTGGACACATATTGAGTTTGCAGCTTTTAATCGCTTAGTAATAATCCATACTATCTCTTTAGACTGCTTTTTTATCCTTTTCCTCAGTGGTATGTTCCCAGAATGCTAAGGACTTGTAATTCCTTTAACCCCAAATAATTATGCAGGAAACACTGCCATTCATGTTTCCTCAGGGACCCTTGACTACACCTCCAGATATAGATGTGTCATTGGGTATAAAATTATTTAATTTTTGTAAATACTATCATATTTTCTCCAGATCATCTTCACATTCTACTTCTATCAGTAGGACACAAGTTTTGCTGTTTTCCTTAATTTCTTTTCCAATAGATGGCGTGGTCCAACTTTCTATATTTTGTCAACCTAAAGATCTCTTATTGATTATTTAATGTGTGTTGTCTCATCAAAAATAAATTTGCACGTCTTATCATATATTTACTAACCATGTAATTGCCTGTTTACAGGCTGCTATGTTTTTCTTTCAGTTTCCTGTATTTTGCAAATTGATATAAAATTGCTTTTTTGTCCTAAAAATTAATCCCTTGAAACTTCAGATATTTTAAGTATTTTTTTCCCAACCTTATATCCCTTTGCTAACTTTTCTTGGATGTCTTTTGTTTAAGTGAAATCCTTTGTTGATGGAATCAAAATCATAAGTTTGGGTTATATGCATTTTTCTTCTAGGATTTCTCTCCACCAAGCTGCAAGTACCTCTTCTCTATATTTTCTCCTAATCAATATATAGTTTTACCTTTCGCATTCATATTATAATGCACTTAAAATCCACTTTTAGTCATTGTGTAAGACAGGCTTCATTTTTAATGTTCTCAATTAAGTGAGACATCTACTAAAATAGTGTCTCACTCATTTACTGTTGGTGCTAATTTTACCATATATCAAGTGTCTATGTGTACCTTGGACTCTCTCTGAGGGTTTTATTTTCTCCCATTAATTTATTTGCCTTGTCTTATTATTCCTTATTGTTTTATAGTATGCCTAGGACTCTTGTAGGAAATTCCCCACAAATTTAAAGAAATCTCCTAAAATTTGAAGAAAGTCCCTCAACTTGTTAAGCAGGTTAATGTTACACTGTGGTAGCAAACAACTGTCTGATCTTTCAGTGCCAGAAAAACAATAGTTTAGTTTTGTGCATGAGGTGTGCCCACCCTTCGATTCATAGGGGCTCTTTCATTCTACCAATTGGGAGTGACAATGATGGATGATATACCATCATTTCATAATGCTGTCAACCTGAACAGGTGCTTCCACATCACCATGGCAAGGGAGAACAATGCCAGTGACAAATGGACTGGCAATCAGTTGCTAGAGCCCCAAAGTGGCATATGTCTCTTTTGTTCTCATTTTATTGGCTACACTTAATCACATGATTATATATAATAACAGGAAATGGGGAAGGATATTAGTCAGGGTTCTCTAGGGGGACAGAACTAGTAGGATAGATGTATATATGAAGGGGAGTTTATCGAGAAGTATTGCCTCACACAATCACGAGGTGAAGTCCCACAATAGATCGTCCGCAAGCTGAAGAACAGGGAAGGCAGTCTGAGACCCAAAACCATAAAACTAGAAAAGCCAACAGTGCAGCCTTCAGTCTGTGGCCAAAGGCCCCAGAGTCCCTGGCAAATCTTAACTGGTGTTAAGTCCAAGAGTTTAAAAACCGAAGAACTTGAAATCTGGTGTTCAAGGTCAGGAAACATCCAGCACGGGGAAAGAAGAAGGCCAGAAGACTCAGCCAGTCTGCTCTTTCCAACTTCTTCTACCTGCTTTATGCTAGCCATGCTGGCAGTTGATTAGATTGTGCCCACCCAGATTGAGGGTGGGTCTGCCTCTCCAAGACCACTGACTCACATGTTAATCTCCTTTGGCAACACCCTCACAGACACACCCAGGAATGATAATTCACATCCTTCAATCCCATCAAGTTGACACTCAATATTAATCATAACAGGAAGTATAATCTAAAAATGTCCTCATGCAGCGGGAAGGCTGTTCTAGTTTCCATGTGTAACTGATTTAACTGCTTATAGAATGTATCCTTACCTAATACATTTATAAATAGGATTTGTCAAGTTTTGGAAAAACATCTTTAGAGATTTAGATTGTCAGCACCGAATTTTTGAACAAATCAATCAATTTTGAAAATATCAGTTACTAAAATGTTAAATTATTCCATTTAAAGGCAAAGTGTGGAATTCCATTTTTTATGTTCTTTATGCTTCCTAATAGATCTTTATAATTTTGTTACTTCTGCAAATACTATCTTATTTTCTGCTATGTATTTGACTGATTATATATGGTGTGCAGAAATGCAGTTGATTTTTATGTTTGATGTTTCATTTTTAATGTTAATAATTTGTTAATGTGTCCATTTTCTATTTCTATGTATATAATCATACCATAGGCAAATGATGAGGACCTTTCATTTTATCTTTACATTTTATTAGTATTTTTGGGCTTTCTTATCTTAGTATATTAACGATGTTATCTTGTCTTATGCAACACAGGAACGGTAATAGTGGTTATTCTTGTTTCTGATATTACAGAGTATTTGACTAAGTTTCTACTTTAATATTGTTGGAGAGCTTTTGTATATAACCTATGTTAGTTTTCCCCTCTTTCAATTAGAGTTCAATAATTTTTTTCCACTATATAAGAGAGGGTGGATTATTGTCCTGTCAGGACCTGTTGTGATGACATGTTTATAGGAACCAGGCAAATAGTGTTTTTGTTTAGAAATAAAAGGGCATTTGTAAGGAAGTAAACGCTGTCCATTTTTGGCAATCTGTGTGTGTGTGTGTGTGTGTGTGTGTGTGTTTAAGACTTCCTGTGTCAAAACACTTTCTATTCAGGAGTCTTTTAGAAAATTTGTTTCAACGCATTGTTGGTATTGAAACCACTAGATAGCTTTAAAAACTGCTTTTATTAGAATTTAGATTAATATAGCTTATAAAGTATGTTAAAAGAAAGAACATAGATTGAGATGAATATGAAAATATTAGAGATATGCTTACAAGAAAAAGAGCATCACAAAATATTAAGATTTTGGAGATTGGGAAATACAGTTTCTTCATCAATATTATTGCAAACTCTTTCAATTTCTTTTGATTTGATTTCTTGTTTATATAGGGTTAGTTGGTTGGAATGACTATCAAACTTTAATAAGGGGTTAATGATGTAATGGGAAAAGTACTAGCAAACAAATTACCAGAAAAAAAAATTCCTTAACCTTAAAACTTTATTGAACTAATATAGTCTTTTTTTTGTAATTTTTTTTTTGTAGAGACAGGGTCTCAGTATGTTGTCCAGGCTGGTTTCAAACTCCTGGCCTCAAGAGATCCTCCCATCTCTGCTTCTCAAACCCCTGGGATTACAAGTGTGAGCCATTGTGCATGGCCTAACTGACGTATTTTAATAGGCTTTACTGAGAACTCTTTTTAATCTTAATAATGTATATACATAAGATTTGGAAACAATATATTTGAGCATTGGTTCTTTTTTAAAAACATTTGATTGCTTTAGAACATCAGCTCAAGTCACTCCATTTGATTGCTTTAAGGTAACAACTTCAGTACTTTGCTATATATTACAAAAATAAAAATGCATTGCTTTTGGAAGATCATCTATACATATTATATTTCTACTTGATGGATACATGTTGATTGGTTTGAGAAAATTTAGTTTCTGTACTTTACTTGTGTACTTCATTTTCCCCCATGTGTTCTTTATCAATATAAATATTTGTGTTGTTTATATATACATATAATCATACAAAATTGAGAATATAAATTTAGGTCTCTTTATGTATTATGTATGTATACCATATATCATACATATATGATGTTATATATGCATAAAATGTTATATAAAATATACAATATGTACATAATATATGTAAAACTAAATTTATATTCTCAATGCCTTTGGACCTATTGAGATGAGAATATTTACTTTTTCCATCTGAAAAATGTTAATTGATAGAACATCAGGCATTCATAATCATACTTTAAATGTCATTCTAACACCTCTTCCTACTCCTAATACTTTGACCTTCTAGCATGAACTCTGGAGCCCAACTGTGGCTTCAAGTCCTGACTCTATCATTTATTTTGCTACAAGACCTTAGTTAGGCCATTAGCTTCTCTATATTTCAATGTCCTTCTCCTAACAATGAAGATGATAGCAATTATTTTTCTCATGGGATTGTGCAAAAAAAAAGGAATAAGGCCAAACCTCAAAGCTCTCTTAAGGATTAACCTTACCTACAACTTGATTTCAAATTTCTAGTACCCAGATCTCTGGGCGAGTAAATTTGTTATTTTAAGTCACTGAATTTGTGGTACTTTGTTACAGCAGCCCCAGAAAACTAATCTGCCATGTAACTATATATTAAATATAAAAATATACTCACATATTTTGGTTTAATTTTATTTATTTATTTATTTATTTATTTATTTATTTATTTATTTATTTTTGGAGACGGAGTCTCCCTCTGTCACCCAGGCTGGAGTGCAATGGCGTGATCTTGGCTCACTGCAACCTCTGCCTCCCGTATTCAAGCAATTCTCCTGCCTCAGCCTGTAGCTGGGACTACAGGCACACGTCGCCATGCCCAGCTAATTTTTTGTATTTAGTAGAGACGGGGTTTCACCATGTCACCCAGGGTGGTCTCGAACTCCTGAGCTCAGGCAATCTGCCCTCCTCAGCCTCCCAAAGTGCTAGGATTGCAGGCATGAGCCACTGCTCACAGCCATAATATTTAAATATGTAATGTAAGCTGTGGCTGTGTTTTTGATGAAAAAATATTTGAGATAAAAATTTATAAATATATGGAGTTGAAATTATGTTGTGGTTTAGCTGCCAACGTATAGACATGTAAAAAATCATTTTAAATTACAATTATCAAAAAAATGAACAACGAAAATACAAATATTTAAGCCACATGCATGTAATACATTTTAAGCATGGCTTTGAGCTTATTTGCAATCATAATGAAAAGCCTATAGCCAATTTAGGAAGGAATCATAATCTTTCAATAAAAGATGAACAAACTCTATCTAAAATGTGTGAACCGAAGTTCATTCTCAGCAAGACCACTATAAAGAACCCAGTACAAGTTAATGAATGCTAATGACATTAGTTCTACTCTAAGACTATTTAAAGAGATACAAATGTGATAAAAAATTTATGTCCATTCATTGATGGGCACATATATTCCAAGAGAAGAAAAACTATTAATTATGTACTTTTATAGAATGGAACTATTAAAGTGCTGCAGTTCATTCAGAATAACTAATGTATATCCCTAAAAGAATATTTTATATCTACAATAACATGATCAATGCAAGTATAATGAATATCAGGTTAATTAATAATATCTGACAATTTATATCGAATTGTTATCAGTCACATTTTAATGATGCATTAATTATAATTAAATAATTACAAAAATTATTGAAGAGCCTATGATGCACTTTTACATCAATTTATTTCATTAGGATCCACACTAGTCAAGTAAAACAGACAATTAATAATGAACATTGAGTTTTTAAATGTTTAACAAACTTTTTACTATTGTAGATCCAATTTTTATGATATGTTCAGGTTTCAGAGGAGGAATTTTTTTCATCCCAGTGGGATATTAATTTAACCATCATATACTTAATGTATAATGTGAGATGATCACTGCAAAGTGAACATCGATGTCAGAATTCAGCCCAACATTTCTAATCTTTTTGCTAAATCTGAATTAAGTTATACATTAGAGAACCATAGATTAAAAACTCAAAGCAACTTAAAAACATAGACTAAACAGTGAAGTCATTACATATGTGATTTCAATTGATGGAAAATGTCCTGAGAAAAGAGACAAAAGGAAGAAAAATATTTTTCTTTATTTTCAAAGGAGAAATAAAGCCTCTCATTTATTTGCTTGTTTGTTTGAGACAGGGTCTAGCTCTGTCACCCAGGCTGGAGTGTGGTGGCGAGATCATGGCTCACTGCAGCCTCAAATTCCCTGGCTCAAGTGATCCTCCCACCTCAGCGCCCCGAGTAGCCGGGACCACACGTGTGCACCACCACACCTGGCTGATTTTTGACTTTTAGTAGAGAAGAGGTCTCACTATGTTGCCCAGGCTGATCTCGAGCTCCTGGGCTCAAGTGATCCTCCCATCTCGGCCTCCCAGAGTGCTGGGATTACAGGTGTGAGCCACCGCTCCTGGCCCTGACTTTATTTCCATGAAATATGAAATTGTCCTTCACCTCCAGTGTGTAATAGGCAATTTTTCACGTCACCTTTCAGTTTCCATTATCCACTCAACCCAGGTCCTTGCTTAGTTTAATAAGCTGTTCTAATTGTCAATCCCCGCTGAAACCAGCGCCCCACTCCACCCCTCCACCGAGGTCTCTGCCCGGAAGTATGTAAAGGGACTGGGAAAATAAAGAGGGTTACATACACCAAAGTTAAATACCATTTTACACGGATTTGCCTCTTTTAACCTGTTGCTTTTAAATTGTATAATACCTGGTATTGTGTGGTAGCTTCTGGTTTTGCTTCAGCATTCAGAGTCTTTCTCTTTTTAAGAAGGCCACAATGTCAGAACAAATTTGACGTTTGAGAAACATAAAAATAACAGTAAAAGCTGCTAATATTTATTGAAAGCTTACTATGTTCCAGGGACATACATATTAAGTGCCTGGGGTCACTTGGCTAGACAGGGACAGAGCTGGGATGTGAATCCAGATAGACTGGTTTCAAGGTCTTTGTTTTTAACCTGAGAACAAAAAGTTCTCAGATTATATTAAATGCTAAGAGACATCATAATTCTTGCCTCTTTTTTTCCAAAAATAGTTAATTTATTTCCTTAATAAAAATGCAGATAAGCTGCCTTTGAATTAAGTATAAACAACACAATGCCAATTTTCTTACTTAGAAAACAGAAATCCCAGAGTCATTACATAATTTTCAAATCTGCAAACCTTCTGAATAATCATTGCTTTATGTATGGCTGAGCACATGGTCATAGAAAACAACACTTGCAGGAACACAGGGAACTTGGAAAAGGAGGTCTCACGTCTTTGGAAGTAGAAACCTGACCTCTGGATCTGAAACACATGCCATATTTTGTGAAAGAAAAAAGTGAGTAAAGATGAAAATTTTTGAAAATGTTGATTGGAATATAATATCTTTAAATTTTAAGGAATCTTTGCTTTTGGGAAGCTGATAAATTATAAGGAAAATAGTATGGTATAATGGAAATAGCTGGAAAAACTTTGCCAACTACTCTTGAGTTAAATCTCAGCTCTTCCACTCACTGCTTTCCTGAACTGGAATAAAATAATTAATTTCTTGATTGATCTTCAGTTTCCTCATCTGAAAAATATGAACAGATATACATATACATATACATATACATATACATGTACAGGTACACGTATAGCTGATAGGTAGTACCTGATAGGTAGTTTTTTTGTACTCAATCATATATATATATATATATATATATATATATATATATATATATATACATATATATACACACACACACACACACACGTAATTCTTTTTCTCCAGAGAACCCCGACAAATACAAATGGCTTTTCCATATTATCATCTCCTCCCATTTTTTTTCTTTTTCAGTAAGTAAACATCAACTTTCTGAAGATATAATAAAATGAAATTAGTGGGACTACCTACTGTCAACTGAACCTTCTAAAACTGCTATTACTTATAGTGAGCTGATTATTTGCCAGGGATTCTTCTAACTGCTTTACTTGTGTTTATTTATGTAATTTTGCAATGGCCTTATCTAGCCTTTCATGCTAGATACTATTATTACCATCCTGGTGTTAACACTGTAGTCCTCAATGTATTATCAGCTGTTATCTTATACTACCAGAGTTGTATGCAAAGAAGGAATAAAGCCTGTTTTTGCCTTTTATTTTTTAATCACCTGTGATTTTTCTAATTGGATTCTAATGTTTTTTCTAAATTTTGCTTTCTTGGCCTACTCTTTCCAGCCTGAGAGGATAGCTACTAATTATTTTCTGCTCTTTGCCTACACTATGTTGGTTCCTCATGGAATCAACCTCTTTCCTCAAGCTAATGTGATTGGCACACCTATATGTACTGAATTTATGACATAGAATTTCATTAATTAATTCAACAAGTATTTGCTGAAAACTGAGCCAGGCGTTCCGCTTTAAGCAGGGTAAGCAAATCATAGAATGGTATATAAACCTTTGCCAAATGGATTCCAGTGTGTCAGTGAAAATAGACATTAGTCAAATAATCACAAAATAATCATTTTGCCTAAGATGTGCAGCAGAAAACCTGTAGGATGCACATATTAGTGGACTGACCCTATGTAGGAACCTGTTTAACATTTGAGTCAGTGGACTGGGAGAGGCCGACCCACCCTCAATCCAGGTGGGCACCATCTAATCAGCTGCCAGCATGGCTAGCATAAAGCAGGCAGAAGCTGGAAAGAGCAGACTGGCTGAGTCTTCCAGCCTTCATCTTTCTCTCATGCTGGATGCTTCCTGCCCTCGAACATCAGACTCCAAGTTCTTCAGCTTTTGAACTCTTGGACATACACCAGTGATTTGCCAGGGGTTCTAGGGCCTTTGTTCAGAGACTGAAGGCTGCACTGTCGGCTTCCCTACTTTTGAGGTTTTGGGACTGGGACTGGCTTCCTTGCTCCTGAGCTTGCAGATGGCCTGTGCCCACACAGTGCCACTTCACCTTGTGATCGTGTGAGTCAATTCTTCCAATAAACTCCCCTTCATATGTACATATATCCTGTAAGTTCTGTCCCTTTAGAGAACCCTGGCTAATACAGTGCTGATTAGAATTGAGGAGTGACCTTTGCATTCATCAATATGAAGGTCAACACTGATTTTAGTCTTATTTTTCAAAGAGAAATGGTGATAGAAGACAACCATAGGGTTTTGAGCAGAGTGCTGTGTATTGAGACTGCTGGTATGATTACTTCTCCTTTACTTAAGCATATATTTAAATATAAGCAAATACACATATATTAGCTTATATTTAAATATAAGCATATATACTTATATATATTTAAGCATATATTAAGTATATATACTTATATTTAATATATGATTAAATATAAGCAAATATATGTATATTTGCTTATATTTAAGTATACACTTAAGTAAAGGAAAAATAATCATACCAGCAAGCCAAAGAATTTTGGAAGGTAGCTTAAGGGAAACTGGAAATGTCCAGTGTAGCAGTCCCTAAAATGTGTCCCACAGAATATTAATAGAGATTATTAGGGGATAAAGGGGTTCAGTCAGTAACCAAAAACGTTTGGAAAACATGGGGTTAAAAATAGTTAAACATATTTCTTTCTTTCTTTTTTTTTTTTTTTTCTTTTTTGAGGCAGAGTCTCGCTCTGTCACCCAGGCTGGAGTGCAGAGGATTACTGCAGTCTCAACCTTCTGGGCTCAACCCATCCTCCCACTTCAGCCTGCCCAGTAGCTGGGACTACACACATGGGCCACCAGGCCTGGGTAATTTTTTTTTTTTTATCTTTTTGTAGCAGTGGGGTTTCACCATGTTGCCCAGTCTGCTCTCAAACTCCTGGGCTCCAGTGATCTCCTGCTTCAAGCCTCCCGAAGTGCTGGGATTACAGGTGTGAGCCACTGCATCCAGCCTTAAACATATTTCTTTACTCAGATCCTCTCAACTTTTAATATAGAAATGCAATTTTGAATATCTACGAGAGGAAATATAATATGTAGTGTCCTAAATTGTTTTACCTAGATTTAAAATACCATTATTTTATTTTTGTGGGTTGTGTTTTAATTATTAGACTGTATTTTGGGGGCATTTTTAGGTTTACAAAAATAACTGAGCATAAAGTACAGAGTTTACATATAATCTCCTACCCAGTTTTTCCTATTATCAACACTTTGCATTAGTGTGGTACGTTTATTACAATAGATGAAGCAGTATTGGTGTAATATTTTTAACTAAAGTCTATAGTTTACATAAACATTTACTTTCTGTGCTGTACAATTCTATGGGTTTTGACAAGTGACCAATATTATGTATTCACCATCACAGTATGCAGAATACTTGTACTGAGTTAAACATCCCTTTTCCCCACATCTACTCATCCTTTCCTCTCTCCTCCCAATCCCTGGTAACAACTGACATTTTTCCACTGATATTTTTACTGTCTCTGTACATTTGCCTTTTCTGGAATTCTGGAATGTCTTATAGTGGAATTATACAGTGTGTATCATTGTCAAAATTAACACTTTAACTTAGCAAATACCCATTTAGGATTTCGCCCATGTATTTTTTGGTTTGACAGCTCATTTTGTTTTATCTTGAAATAATATTCCATTGTATCAATATACCTCAATTTGTTTATTCATTCTCCTGTTGAAGGATATGTTGCTTGCTTCCAATTTTTTGGCAATCAATAATAAAGCTACTCTAAACATCGAAGTGTAGGTTTTTGTGTGGATTTATGCTTTTAGTTTATTTGGGTAAATACCTAAGAGAACAAGTGCTAGATCATATGGTAAGACTATGTTTAGCTTCGTAAGAAACTGCCAGATTGTCTTCCCAAGTTATCCATAGGATTTTGCATTTCCACCAGCAATGAATGAGAGTCTCTGTTGCTCTACATTGTCATTAACACTTGGTATGATCAGTGTTTGGAGTTTTAGCCATTCTAATAGGTGTGTAATGGTATCTCATTGTTTTAACTTGCAAATACTTAATGACACATGATGCTGATATTTTTTCATGTTTATTTCTATCTGTATATTTTCTTTGGTGAACTGTTTTTTCAGATATTTGCCCACCTTTTAACTGGCTTGTTCTTTTCTTATTATTGAGTTTTAAGAGTTCTTTGTATATTTTGGATTCAAGTCCTTTGTCACATATGTGTTTTGGAAATATTTTCTTCCAGTATGTGACTTGTTTTTGTATTGTATTAGCTTGTTACATATGTGTTTTGGAAATATTTTCTTCCAGTATGTGACTTGTTTTTGTATTGTATTAACTATTGAGGTTTTAAAATAATTAAATATAATTATAGAATTTTAATTCTCCACATTTATTTATTTTTACTCTGTACTATCTGTAAACTCGTGCACATTTGGCTTCAATTAAGAATTAATAGACTGCTTTAAAATGAAATATACTTAGTACTTTTTACTTACTCTTTCTTTCACCAAACAGGGAACTAGAAGGGTGAATGACTTTGCTCTTTCAGGCTGTGATACTAGTGGCTGCTGAATATTGTCTGGATCATCACAGATTATATATCGGAATAAATTGCATATTTTTAATTTAATCTTTAATCTTCATTATGACCCTGAAAATTAGAGATTATTATCTAGATTTGTAGAAATACAAAATGAATAGTGAAAATTTAAATAATTTGCCTGGAATTAAAAATTTAGGAATGGGCATGCCTCAGCTTTTAACTAATCTCTGTGTGCCTTAAAGCCCATTTTCTTTCCTTCTTTTTTTTTCTCGAGCCTTGAATCTCTTAGATTTCAACCTTTTTATCTGCATTACACACATGCACACAAGAAAAGTGGAGTCAATGCAAGACAGATTTCTTAGAAGTGGCCAGGTGCATGACTCCTCCAGAAATTACATTTATATGCAAATAAGAGTGAAGAAAATTATTATACCATTGTCTAAATCAATTGTTCTTAATATGAAGTCCTCAAACCACCACAGCAGCATTACCTACAAATTTGTTAAAAATTTAATATTTTACTGTTTTTTTCTGCGTGTGTGTGTGTGTGAGAGAGAGAGAGACAGAGAGAGAGAAATACTAAGATGTACTCTCTTAGCATATTTTAAGTAAATATTATTGTTAACCACAGTTACCATTAAATCTCTAGAATTTATCCATATTATAACCAAAAGTTTGCACCCTTTAACTATCTCCCTATTCCTCCACCCCCATCACCTGGCAATCACCATTCTAGTCTCTGTTTCTGAGTTCGACATTTTTAAGATTCCAAATAAAAGTGATATAATGCAATATCTTTCTGTGTCCCCTGGCTTATTTGACTTAGCATAATGTACTGGACCAGGATGATTCCAACAATGAATTTTTCCTGATATTAATTTGAGAACTATTTTTGAAGAAAAGTGCAATGTGATTGGCTGGTATAGAAGTCTTTGCCAGCAGTCATCAGCTCCAATAATAAAAGTAAATCCCTGTTTACATATCTAATGCCTTAATTTACTTGAACCATTGTCTCCTCCTATTGTCTAGAGAATGTAATAGTTAAATAGATAGTACATGGGAAGTGGTGGCACATTCTTGTCTCATTGCAAGAACTTCATAAATTACAGATATTCCTGCTACTACTAACACCATTATCATCATTATTGCTTTAATTTTAACTTCAATTATTAGGTTTTGTTACTTGCAGAATGTGAGATATTGAGCAAATTAAGTACCTTCTGGTTTACCTCTGGTTTCTTAGAAGTCAAATTGGAATTAAGATAAATATTTTTTCACAAATTCTCCTATTATTTCCCATAGAGAATTCTTGTCCTTTCCTTCAAAAATAGTTCTCAAATGAATATCAGGAAAAATTCATTGTAGAAATCAACCTGGTACAGTACATTATGCTAAGTGAAATGAGCTAAGTGACACAGAAATATATTGCCTTTTATCACTTTGATGTGGAATCAATTTTTACCTATCTGGTAAGTTACTTAGTGTAATGGCAGACACAAGGTCTGTGCTCAGTAAAGGTAGTTTATCTCCTCTCTCTTCCTTGAAGGGTATTTACCTTAAGCTTCTGACCGTCTGCCAGGTGTGTATATGATCTGATTACTGATACTGAAGAGTTCATCTCTCCTCTCCCTGTTTTCTGGAACATAATATATTTTGTTGACATTTCAAGGTGGTAAATGATCTCTGTTCAGATGAGATAAAATATATTTGTTGATTATACACAGGGACCAGGGTAAATTCTTGGATTAAAAAAAAGACAAAAAAATTTTGCACACCTTTTGTGTAAACTGAAAAAGACCACATTCTGGCAGATGATATTTGTACCTAATTTGGTAGACAACGAATGGAAGGAAACAAAAAGTATTTAACAGAATAATGGTATTAATGGAAATAAAAAGACTTACTAACATAAGATAGAACATGTTCCTGCACTTCTAAGATGTAGTTTACAGACAGAAATGAAAATCTCTTCTGCAAATAACTCTCTTTATGTTGTTCATAAGTAACAATTTATTCACTCAGATCTTCCTAGTTTCAGTCTGACCCCGTAGGCTGTAGACTTTCATCATTTTCAGAGTTTGATGACAGAGTCCACGTTAAAGTGTTCTCTCTAGATTCCAGGATGATTTTCATCGTTTTAAATTTAAACTTATTTCTTTCTCTTCTCTTTCCCATACCATTTTGCACAGTATGCTAAAACACAAGGTCACTTTTGATCTCCGTTTCATTATCTTTCCTCATCTCTCAAGGATCAAAAGTATAAAAGAAAGATAAGTGAGAAACAAGAGGAAATTGAACTCTTTGGTCTTGTGTAAGATAACGGAAAAAAACATCTATTGGTTAAAAGAGGTAGACTAAAGATTTTTCAGATAAAACCATGAGTCAAATTATATACCAAATTATATATATATGTATTCACTATGCATCTAAGCATTAACCAGTAACTGTCATGTACGTGTCCTCCAGTTCTAACAGTTTAATCAATTCATTCATATAAGTAACATGAACCTGTTGTGTGCCAGCGTCTGAACCCATGTAATTTTACTTCAGAGCTTGCTCTATTAACCATACTGTTTACTACCTTTCGTGATGTATGCATGTGTCTCCAGCATGTATGTGAGCTCCTGTTGGGCAGCTGACAACATTTTACTAATTTCTATACACATCATCAGGTGCCAAATGGTACTTTGTGCATAAAAAGTAACCGGCAGTGTCTAATTAAACTTGAAGGAGATTTTCTCTTTTGTCCACCATTTAGTTTATTACGCAAAGTAATTCAAGCCCTAAAATGGGTATTTGCTCTCAGCTTTCTACCTGATTATTTAACATAGTACATGCAAGTAGAACATTCCAATTACTTTCCTCCCTTTAGTTAAGTGAAGTCAGCATCTACAAATACCATATCTGATAATTTAGTTGCCTTAGATTAGGAAATCTTTGTGCTTATATATCAAAATATTTTGGATCCCATAAGACTAAACAGTTTGTTTATCATTAATTTATAAGTATCTGGCAAGGATTCAAAGGGGATAAATTATGTAAATTTACAGTGGAAAGCCTCAACAATATACACTGTAAAGCATTATTATTACTTTTAAAAGTAATAGCTAATCACTCAGATGGTAATAAAATCTTCAAAAATACTTTTTTTGTACAGTGTTTGGAAGATAACTGCTCACAGGCTTTTCTACACATCAGGTAAGACAAAATTTTCTCTTTCTCTTGTTACTATCCAGAAAATAAAATTTTATATTTTCTGCTACCAAGGGTGCTCAAGGATCACATTTTTACATGTACTTTATTGGTGCTCAAATGCAGCTTTAATTGAATTGAACAGTGACCTAGTACATGTTTCAATCTGTCTAAAATCAGAATCAAAATATAAAATTCATTTTGGTCTCTTAAACTCACTCTTCTAGCTGTGCTTATTTCGCACAGGATCAGCCCCCCTCAAAGCCAGTGCCCTCCTCATTGTCTGTCATTCAGCTTTCCTCTGCTGCTTTAAAACTAAAATCAGTAAGCTGTTGTATTAGAGGAATCGTGGCTGTGCAGTATATTTGCCTGTGGGTCAGGATAAGATATTGCCTGACTGTCAAAGATGTTCCATAACCTTCACTATGTTTGCTTCTCACGCTTTTAAAATTACCAAAGATAATCAACTTCAGAATGAATTTTCAATGTCCACACAATAATGATTGCTCTCCAAGACAATTTCTTGTTATTAATGATTTGCTGAGTGAGATTATGGCCCATAGTAATGGCTGAGGTAATTAACCTCAGACTAACGCCATTTCTTATAAGTTTAGTAAAAACATCTATGTGAGGATTTCAATGTGATGTTCTAAAGTTTATTTCAGGGTGTGAGGGTGGCTGTTGGCAGTATGTACTACAGTCTTTTCCTTAACCATTCGCTTGCTGCTTCAGAGAGCATTTTAAAAACAGTAAAATAGGCCGGGTGCGGTGGCTCACGCCTGAAATCCCAGCACTTTGGGAGGCCGAGGTGGGTGGATCACTTGAGGCCTAGAGTTTGAGGCCAGCCTGACCAACATGGTGAAACCCTATCTCTACCAAAAATACAAAACATTAGCAGGGCATGGTGGCGGGCGCCTGTAATCCCAGTTACTCAGGAGGGTGAGGCAGGAGAATCGCTTGAACCTGGGAGGCAGAGGTTGCAGTGAGCCAAGATTGTGCCATTGCACTCCTGCTTGGGCAACAAGAGCAAAACTCCATCTCAAACAAATAAACACAGTAAAATCAGCCAACATTAGAGAAATTATATTTTTTGTCTTAAATTTTCTTAAAAGTTCATATGAAAATTAATCAGAATTTCATATATAATTTTTTTAATAAAAATGTTTAATGGATGATAAATATTAGTCATCTGGTCATATCCTTCATGTACAATTTCAATTCTTGCTTCAATTTCAACTGTAGTTCGAAAACCAAAGTTTCAAAATTTCATCCTCACTTTGTGTAATCAGATTACTTCCTCAATTATTGAAGAATTCCAAGATGGAGAGTGAGAGAGCAATTCTAGGCTGCCCAGTTGTGGTGGTCTGGGAAAAAGTTTATTTTGAAGTTCTGCTAGATGTTCGCCCATCAGTTATTGTCCTCATAATTTCTTATAATTATAATTTTGTATTTATATCTATAAAAATATATGACTTCTTCTAAAAATGTTTTCCATAATCTAACTGCGTTTTCTAGATACTGTTCTAATTGCTTTCTTCCCTTCATTATGAAACTTATCAAAAAGATGGTCCAATACTTTGTATTACTTTTTTATCTTTCATTCACACCTGATATGTTGTTGCTTTTTTTTTTTTTAACTTTCACCATTCTCCCAAACTGTTTTTATGAAGGTTGTGAATATTTTCCTAGTTCTTAGATCCTTTGGTCAGTCTTAATTTTTTTTCAAACTTCTTCACTTAGCCTAGTAGTCTCTCTTCATTTAAAATTTTCTGCCCCTTGCCATTGTTGAAATGACCACATATTTGATCCCTGCTTGCAAAGATTTTTCCTGTATCCTCTGCTTTCTGTTCTTCTCTCACCCTATATAGAGGCATTCTGTAAGTGCTGTTGTCTTCCTTTCCTTTGCTTACCCTCCCTTTGACTTTCTTTTGCCTTTTCTTCTTCTCTGTCACTTGGGAAAATCTCACCCTTTTCTCAGGACTTGAACTGTCACCTCTCTGTAGATGTTTTCTCATTCCATGCCTCCAGCTATAAATTCTAATTTTCAGTTCGTCATTTATCAAGTCCTGCTGACTATTTCATCCTGGATAATTTACTGGTAGTTTTTATTTAAAAATTTATATTTATTACCTTTACCATAGAACAAGTTTTTCCCTTGTATCTATTTTTTAAAAACATATTTTAAAGGGATGGAAAAAGATATTCCATTCCAACGGAAACCAAAAAAGAGCAGGATAAGCTATACTTATGGCAGACAAAATAGATTTCAAGACAAAAACTATGAAAAGAGACAAAGATAGTTATTATATAATAATAAAGGAGTCAATTCAGCAACTAGCCATAACAATTGTAAATATATCTGTACCCAACACTGGAGTACCCAGATATATAAAGCAAATATTATTAAAGCTAAAGAGAGAGATAGACTTCAATACAATATTAGATGGAGACTTCCAACACCAGTGGACAGCAATGGACAGATCATTCAGACAGAAATTCAATAAATGAGCCTCAGACTTAATCTATACTATAGACCAAATGGACCTAATAGCTATTTCCAGAACATTTCATTCAACAACTGCAGAATACACACTTTTCTACTCAGCACATGGATCATTCTCAAAGATAAACCATATGTTACTGCATAAAACAAGTTTTAAAATATTCAAAAAATTTGAAATAATGTCAAGCATCTTCTCTGACCATAAAGGAATACAACTAAAAATCAACAAGAGGAATTTTGGAAATTATACAAACATATGGAAATTAAACAATATACCTCTGAATGACAAATGGATCAATGAAAAAATTAAGAAGAAAATTGAAACATTTCTTGAAACAAATGATAAGGGAAACAACATACCAACACCTATGAGATACAGAGAAAGCAGTACTAAGAGGCAAATTTATGGCTATAAATGCCTACATCAAAAGAGAAGGGAAACTTCAGATAAACAACCTAACAATACATCTTAAAGAGCTAGATACAAGAGCAAACCAAACTCAAAGTAAGTAGAAAAAAAGTAATAATAAAGATCACAGCAGAAATAAATGAAATTGAAATAAAGGAAACAATACAAAAGATCAATGAAACAAGTTGTTTATTTGAAAGATAAACAATATTGGCAGTCTTTTAGCCAGATTAACTAGGAAAAAAGAGAGAAGACTCAAATAAATTTTCAGAGATGAAAAAGAAAACATAACAATCAATATCACTGAAATTAAAAAGACCATTAGAGGCTAGTATGAGCAACTATATGCCCTTAATTTCTTCTAGCTTGAAAAATCTAGAAGAAATTGATTAACTCCTAGGCACAAATTCTAGGTGTATAGAAATGGATAGACAAAAGCCATAGTAGGCCTGGCGTGGTGGCTCATGACTGTAATTGCAGCACTTTGGGAAGCCGAGGCAGGTGGATCACAAGATCAGGAGATTGAGACCATCCTGGCTAATATGGTGAAACCCCATCTCTACTAAAAATACAAAAAATTAGCAGGGCATGGTGGCGGGTGCCTATAGTCTCAACTACTTGGGAGGCTGAGGCAGAAGAATGGTGTGAACCCGGGAGGCGGAGCTTGCAGTGAGCTGAGATCACACCACTGCACTCCAGCGTGGGTGGCAGAGCAAGACTCTATCTCAAAAAAAAAAAAAAAAAAAAGCCATAGTAAAAAGTAATCCACCAAGAGAAAATCTGAAACCTGAGGCTTTGCTACTGAATTTTAGCAAACTTTTAAAGAGGAACTAACGGCAATCCTCTTCAAACTATTCTGAAAAATAAAGGCAGAGGGAACACTTTCTAACTGATTTATGAGGCCAGCATTACGCTGATAACAAAACCAGACAAAGACACATTAAAAAAAAAGAAAACTACAGGCCAGTATCTGTGATAAATGTTGATGCAAAAATAGTAAAATACTAACAAACTTAATTCAATAGCACATTAAAAAGATCATTTATCCCAGCAATGCAAGGATGGTTCAACATATACAGATCAATATGATACAGTATATGAACAGAATAAAAGACAAAAATCATGGGATCATTTCAATTGATACTAAAATGGTATTTGACAAAATTTAACATCCCTTCACAATAAAAACCCTCAAAAAACAGTATAGAAAGAATATACCTCAACATAATAAAAACCATATATACCAGACCCATAGCTAATATAACACTGAATGGGGAAAAATTGATCACCTTTTCTCTAAGATCTGTAACATGAAAAGGATGCCCAATTTCACCACTGTTATTCAGTATAGTACTGGAAGTACTAGCTAGAGCAATGAGACTAAAGAAAGAAATAAAGGGCATCCAAATTGGAAAGGAAGAAATCAAAATATCCTTGATTGCAGATGATGTGATCTTATATTTGGAAAAATCTGAATACTCCACCAAAAAAAAAAAAAGATTAGAACTGATAAACAAATTCAGTATAGTTACAGGACACAAAATGAGTAAACAGATATCATTAGCATTTCTATATACCAAAAATGACCAATCTCAAAAAGAAATCAAGAAAGTAATCTTATTAAGAATAGCAAGAAATAAAATTAAATACCTAGAAATTAACTTAACACAAGAAGTAAAATACCTCTACAATAAAAACTATTAAAAAATTGATGAACTAAGTTGAACAGGACACAAACTTTTTTCCGAAAAAATATTTTATGTTCAGGGATTGAAAGACTCAATATTGTTAAAATGTCCATACTGCCCAAAACAATCTATATATTCAATGCAACCCCTATAAAAATACCAATGACATTCTTCACAGAAATCAAAAAAGCAACCCTAAAATTTATATGGAACCACAAAAGACCCAGAAGAGCCAAAGCTAACATGAACAAAAAGAATGAAACATCACCTGACTTCAAATTATACTATAGAACAATAGTAAGCAAAATACCATTGGCGTAATCCCATAAAAACAGACACACAGATCAAGCAAACAGAGTAGAGAACTCAGATAGAAATCCATACTTCTACAGTAAACTCACTTTGGACAAAGTTGTCAAGAATATACACTGTGGAAGAGGCATCCTCTTTAAGAAATAGTGCTGGGAAACTTGGATATCTATGTGCAGAAAAATGATGTTTCTATCTCTTGCTGTTCACAAAAAACCAAATCAAATTGTATTGAAGATTTAAGTCTCAGACCTCAATCTATGAAAGTACTACAAGAAAACATTGTGGAAACTCTCCAGGACACTGGACTGGGCAAAGATTTTTTGAGTGACATCCTACAGTCACAGGCAACCAAAGCAAAATGGGATTGCATCAAGTTAAAAAGCTGTATAGCAAAGTAAACAATCAACAAAGTGAAGCGACAACCCACAGAAGGGGAAAAATGTTTGTGAACTGTTCATCTGACAAGCGATTAATAACCAGAATATATAAGGAGCTCAAACAACTCTATAGGAAAAAATCCAATAATCCAATTAAATTAAATAATCCAATTAAAAAATAAATTAAAGATATGAATAGACATTTCTCTAAACAAGACATAGAAATGCCAATCAGGTATCTGAAAGGTACTCAACATCATTGATCACTAGACAAATGCAAATCAAAACTACAATGAGCTATCACCTCACCCCAGTTAAAATGGTCTTTATTCAAAAGACAGACAATAACAAATCCTAGCAAAGATGTGTAGAAAAGGGAATCTTCATTCACTGTTGGTGACAATGTAAATTAGTACAATCACCATGGAGAACAGTTTGGAGAGTCCTCAAAAAACTAAAAATATTGCTATCATATGATCCAGCAATCCCACTAGTAGGTATATACCCAAAGAAAGGAAATTAGTAAAGTGAGGAGGTGTCTGCACTCCCAGTCTCCCATGAGTTCTTGGGTAAGTTACAGCTTTTTGTACTGGGTGTTCTTGTTTATAAAATAAGAAAATTATTAGTTATCTGCTAAATGTAATTTATATATATAAAAATATATACATTTATATATATATAAATTACATTTATAAAATAACAGGATTTTAGGTAAGAAAGAAATCAAATATATATATTTGATTATATAAATAAATTTATTTTATGTATATTTGATTTCTCACCTAAAATCCTATGTTCTTTTACTACAGTTAGCACAGAAAAAATTGTAAAATATCCAATTAGGAAAAAGCCAAGATTTTTGCAAGCACAGAAGACCGTGGGTCGATAGATAACTCTTCTAACCATGTAGCTTGTTCTCAACTACTCAGCAAACTATGAAGTCTATAGTTCATAATTTGTGTGGATGTGGGGAAAGGGTGCAAATAAAGGTTCAATTCATATATCCCGATTAGGGGAAAATGGAAACTATTTCTTTAAGTTATATAATTCAATAGCGTTGCTTTTTAAATTATCTAGTTAAAAGTCTTAACAGAAATTTACATTCCAATTGAAGAGCTAATGAAAAGTTATTGACATTGGATAAATACAATATTGCCAAAGTTTCAGAAGAATGCTTTTATAATTCTTAGCAGGCAAACTGTTGCATCCCATTCTAATATTCATCTAACTACTAGTATCTTATTTTGTATTTTCAGGTTTTTGCTGTTGTCCTCATTGTACATTCATAGTCATTGTTTATATACTTCACCCTTCCAGTTATATGATCAAATGACCATCTCATACATAAGCTGTAATATCTTTTTCTGTCTTGATTTTATTGTATTGTTTTGGTAGTATTTAAAAATTCAGAAATTGCTAGGCATGATGGCTTCACGCCTGTGAGCACTTTGGGAGGCTGAGGCAGAAGAATGGCTTGAGCTCAGGAGTTCAAGACCAGTCTAGACAACATGGTGAAACCCTGTCTCTATAAAAACTACAGAAAAACTAGCCAGGTGTGGTGGCCCATGCCTGCAGTCTCAGCTACTCTGGAGGCTGAGGTAGGAGGATTGCTTCATCCCAAGAGGTTGAGGCTACAGTGAGCCATGATCATGGCACTGTACTCCAGCCTTGCTGACAGAGTGAGACCCTACCTCAAAACAAATCAGAAATTATCTTAAAATGTGAATTTATACAGATATATATCTTATACACAAATATACAATGCACACAATATCTTTATTTTACAACTTTTCTGTGGGAAAGTCTTATAAGTAATAGTTTACTTTCAAGTTGTTACCCTCATTTAAGGTGCTCATTCTTAAGAAAAAATAATGTCCAGTTTTCAAAATTAGATTTGAAAAATCTATCTTTATATGAATCGAGTCTGCATAATACTGAGGGTGTGGTGGCATAAAAGAAGACAGATAGTGTTTTTACAATTAGTAAAAGAAGCTGCAAGATTCTAAGTTATATTCCAACGTCTTCTAACAAGCTCTATGGTTTTGAGCAAATTATTGAAGGTTTCTGAGTCTTGGGCATTTTAATTGCAAACTTAGAATGATACAAGCTCAATGCAATTAATAAGACAATGCATAAAATTCTAATAACAATAACTCCGAGCTATTATTATGGGACCATTCAGCATATGATTTCTACAGGAAACAAATACTGTAAAATTAACCTAGAGAATCTTAACTTCACAACAGAAAAATTGCAATTATGCTGGTCAATATCAGTAAGTAATAATATATTATGATTTTTTCTTTCTTATAAATATCATCACTATTGTAAATGCATTTGCTAGGAAATCCACAAATTCAGGGCAAACTCCTTTCTGGTTAGAGAAGTAATCACCACATTCTTATTTGTAAGCAATTAAAAACCACTACATAAATTCATTTCTGTGGTGTTTATACATCAACTTTTTAATTTTAAGCTTCTTCTCTAACATTCCTTGTTCGGTGTTCTACTTATTGCAATTCCAGATGGCATGCTCAAGGCTTAATGTAATGTTTTTCATTTGAAAACTGCCATTGACATAACACAGCTCTGGTGCCATCTACCTTACACGACAAATTTGAACTAAACAGCTTTATTGAAGTCTCACCTATCCCTGAAAAGAAAATAATGTATTCTTTTTATTCAGGTGCACTTTAAAATGCCAAAGGTGAAATATATTTCTACTAGTTCAGTAAATTATATAAATGAATTGAAACTTATACTAAAATGTTACAGACAAAAAAACAGATAATAAATGGAACAAAAACACACACCTTGTTATTTATGAAAATTAACAAATATATTGCCATTTTAATAATTTCCCTCTCTTTGCACATTCCTTTAGTGAGTGTGGTGTGTTTATGTGTAGGGATGTGTGTGTCATCCAGCAAGCAGGGAGCGACTTTTCATGTATGGGAGAAGTTTAAGTCTTTTAACTTCGTTATTTCATTCTTATAGATAGAGCAAAGGTCCTTTACTGCCATCACCTGGAATAAAGAAAATCAACAAAGGAAAACTAACAAAACAGTATTATATTTAAATTCCAAATGTGTTCATTCAGTAAACACTTGTAAAAAAACTAAATGTACTGTCTTAGCCCATGCAATATAAAAAGAAATATAAAAGAAATATATAGTCCATGCAATATAAAAAGAGCTATAAAAAGAAAAAGAGAGAGAGAATATAGTCTCTGGCTATAAGAATTTATGGTCTCAAATACAAAATACATAAGCTATCATGTAGCTTATAGACATATCTCATGATCCACATGAAACTTTAGAACCATCAGTCCTCCTTCTCTTGACTAATTTAATAAGATTATTTCTAAATAATTCTAACTACACGTGGAAATGGAGATGGAAAGAGTAGGAAGCAAGCAGAATAATTGTATTATATGAAAGAATTACTGTCTAGTACTGACTTAAGGTCCACAGTTAACACTATTTACCAATTGACCAAAAAATTATAATTATAAAAGACTCATACTTAAATAGCATACAAATATAGGATAAGGTATTAATTTATTGGGAGGAGAAAGCACCAGTGCAAAGATAACAACTTATGGAATATTTTAAAATTTTTTTAAAAATTTTTTGAGTACATAATAAGTGTATATATTTATGAGGTATATGGGATATTTTGATAAAGGCATACAATGTTTAATAATCACATCTGGGTAAACAAAGCATCCATCAACTCAAGCATTTGTAGTTTGTGTTATGAACACTCCATTACATTCTTTTAGTTATTTTTAAATGTACAATTACATTGACTATAGTCATTCTGTTGTGCTTTCAAGGAGTGGATCTCCATGAGTCCAGTTGTTTTCAGTTTTAGCTCCTGCAAATACATAAGCATCTGTGAAATTTGTCTTTCTGTGTCTGGCTTATGTCACTTAACATAGCGACCTCCAGTTCCACTCATGTTATTACAAATGACAGGATCTCATTCATTTTTATGGCTGAATAGTACTCCATGGTGTGTATGTGCCACATTTTCCTTATCCATTCATCTATTGCTGGACACTGAGGCTGCTTCCAATCTTAGCTAGTGTGAATAGTGTTGCAACTGGGATACGCCAAGCATTTGGTGATAATATTGTGGTATTTTAAAATTATTTAAACTTGTCCTATCATAAGTTATAATTTCTAGTAAATGTTATGACTTTTTTTGTTTGTGTATTTTGTTCAAAGTCATGACTTTTTAAATGCCTAAACGCATACAAAACTTTCCTCCCATATAGTTTAATGTGTAGGCTTAGCATATACATTGAGAACACAGAAACTACAACTGATCAAATAAATGCCTATGTATCAGAAATAATTTATTGTAATGTAGAGTGTTTTCCTCTGATTTTCAAGTTGTGCCGTGTATATTCTGAAGCACTTCCCTGAGAGAAAACTTAAAACACCATCAAGTCCAGTTTTCACTATAGGGAAATTTTTACAGTAGATCCATAATGAAGGCCAATTCTATTGAACAAGGGACTAATTAAATGTTCACTTGTGGTCAATGCCTCTTTAGGCTGTATAGCTTACTCCTCTCTACTACTCTCTATAGGCTTTTAAAATGGTTATAAAAGGAGACCT
Source organism: Homo sapiens (assembly GCF_000001405.40). Taxonomy (NCBI): domain Eukaryota; kingdom Metazoa; phylum Chordata; class Mammalia; order Primates; family Hominidae; genus Homo; species Homo sapiens. The sequence continues at coordinate 167,988,383 of NC_000004.12, read as the reverse complement.
ATATAAAGTCAAGATGGGTTGAAATGCAGAGTCTCATGTTAAGCTTGAACTACAGTTTCTCTCATGAAATAATGTAGTCATAGTCCACTATACCTACTAGAAAAGCATTGTGATTGACCTCCAAGTGAGAGAATAGACATTCCTCTGCAGGAATTGTTTATGGAATTTTCCAGAAAGTCATCTATATTACTGTGGAAAATTCTACTGATTGTTGTTGCAGTCTTTAAGCAGCCTGGATCCCTATCCTGCCCTTCCTAAACAAACAAAACAAAACAAAAAACCTATTGGTAAAGAAAGAAGACATTATAGTACTAAAGAAGCTTAGAATTGTACACATATACATAAAATTACAATAATTCCTACAATAAAATAACTGTGTGTGTTTTTTTTCCCTCAGTTTAATTTGTGCTACTTAAATAATAATAGTAATAAAAATCTACATAGGAAATGAGCTTCACTTCATTGAAAACCACTTGTCTTTCAATCTTTCAGAACATTCTTTTTTGGAAGCTGGTTTTCAGGAGTTAAAGTTTGCACAAATAGATATATAGACAAAAACAGTAACAAATGATGAGCAAATAAAATAAGGAATTTTGTCCTCAGCTTATTAATATTGCAGAATATTGCTCAACTGGTTAGCAATTGTCAAAGCTGCTACAAGATTGGATACCCTGTATTGCCGAACATCAAAAAAATTAACTGAATTTTTGATATAGAAAGCCAATACTGAGTGCTCTGTAACTTTAGCTACCTGAATAATATAATCATTGAGCCCTATAGACAATTTAATAGGACTTGACTTGCTTTATTCTCTCCTCCCAATCCCACTGAGAGTATGTTTCAATCTGTCAAGCCCCGTATTGCTTTCATACAACATTCTTTTACTGCTTGTATCTTGAATTTGACTCTTGTTCTCTGGAGATCTGAGTGAAATTGCCAGAAGTCATTTCACCTGTCACCTTGAACAACCATCAGAAAGATGGGACTACATCTATCTTTGACGGGTTTGAGTTTTCACCTAGCAATGCACATGGCATTGTAAGACACTCACTTTTGATTTACAAGTGTATTGACTTGAACCCTGAATCATTCTGCTTCCACAATCTGTGATCACAGCCTAGGACATATTCTCTTTCTTGAAATGATCTGTAGACATGTTTTTTCCACCACTAGCTATCCACATGGAGAAGTTAATAAAATGAAATCAAGAAATGATGAATAAAAGAAAATCTTTTCATTGTTCTTAACACAAATTGACTTAAATCTCTTTCTTGATTTTATTTTAGGGCTCTTCCTTGTTATTCTGTAATGGGAAGTTTAAAATATGTGAACCAAGGCAGGGCTTGAAGATGGGTGATTATAGGCATCTGGTACTCACTTCCTCACAAAACAGCAAGTAGATCACCACATATCAAATAGGGCATCTAAAAGAGAACACTGGGATTCAGCAGGGAAGTGACAGGGGACATTCGAGGAGTGGAAGGAGAAGAAAGAGAAGACACTGGCCTGGTGAGGTTGGGCTTGGATCCAGGAGGACTCTCAGTGAGGGGAGAAGGTAAGCAAGAGATCCCCAGAAGTCCACACTTTTCCTGTGGAGCCTTGTAATCCTTGCCACAGGAGAACCCCTCAGTTTTCCTAGGCCCTGAGACTATGACACAGAGCTGGCTGGAGTCCACGAAATGGCATTGCTACAGAAAGGGAGTTTTGTGCTGGGTCCCACACACCCCTTAAAATCTAAATAGTTATAGCAGAGTGCCATTTTCAGACCTCAAACCCCACTAGACTATATCCTGCCCTGGGCTTAAGACCCCCTATTTATTCACAACTCTGGAGCTCTGCTGACATCACCCTATGTCTACACCAAGAGCTACAGCATTGTGATGCTGGCTGAAATCAGCAGTGCACCTGGCTCCCCAACATCCTAGTCCATGCTATGCTCCAGGGAACAGGCAGTGCAGCACGTCAGAGAATCTGCCATTGGGACAAAGGGTGCAAGTGTGTGCTCCCCAGAGCTTGACAGTCCCCTGCCTGGGGCTACTGCTACTGACTGCAACTACCCCTGCCAGCAACAGAACTGCCATGCACTTGCATGAGAGTTCACTGGGCCTGAAGGCCTGCCCACTTGGGTGCCATCCCATGGCCTAAGGACAAGCTCATCTCACCCACCACTGCCACCTCCACTGCTGAGGCTCATGCAGACCATCCAGGAGCCTGGGGACTGACTCGCTCTGCCCTCCGCAGCTGGCATTTGCACATACCACCAGAGGACCTGAGGACAGACCTGTCAGGCCTACTGCAGACCCCACATGTTTTCTGGGTGCCTGGGCATTGAGTAGTTTCACCCACATGTTCATCCCTCCTAGGGGCCTGAGGATGGGCTTGCCAAGCCTGCTGCTACTACTGCCACCTGTGGCCACCCCCACATACTATGTAGGGGCCTGGGGATGAGCTCACACAGTCCACCACCACCACTGTTGGTGCTAGTGCATGCTGTCTGGGGGCCTGAGGGTTGGCCTACCATTGTTACTGACATTGCCAACACCCTGAACACTGCCCAGAGGCCTCAAAAGCTTCTTGGCTCAATGCTGCCATTCATGGGCCCTGAGCAAGCTACCTGGAGGTTCAAGAATTGGCCATCCCAGATCCACTACTGCAAGTACTTGCATGCACTGTCCAGGGACCCAGGGACCCAGTGCCTGGCATAACCAGCCAACTGTCACTGCCACTGGTGCCTGAGGACTGCCTTACCTGGCATCTGTGTCCCAAGCAAAGCTTCACCACAATACTGATGCTGAATGCAGCCAAGAATATCACCAAGAGACTACATGATATGTGCACCTGAAGTCTAAGCCAAAATTTCTTACACAAGTGACATTATAGATGATACAAAAATAAGGAACAGTCTTTCCCTATGAAAGCTGGTTTATAAAAATGGAAGAAATGATTGTTAAACAGATACATGGATATCAACATAAGGACACAAGAAACATGAAAAAGCAAGGAAACATGGCACCTTAAAGTAACAATAATTATCCAGCAGCAGATTCCAATGAAAAACAAATTTGTGAAATGGCTGAATAAGAATTCAATATAGTAATATTAAAGTAGTTCAATGAAGTACAAGAAAACACAGATACACAAAACAAATCAGAAAAGCAATTACTGATCTACATTAGAAACTAAACAAAGGGATGTATATCACAAAGAACCAAACACGAATCCTGGAACTGAAGAATTCAATGAATGACATAAAACAATAAAATCAAGACCTTCAAGAATAGACTAGATTAAGTGAAGAATTTCTGAAGTTGAAGACAGGCCTTTTGAAATAATCTGGTCAGAATAATTTTTTAACAAAAAGAATGGTTAAAGCCTATATGACATATGGGACATCATAAAGTAAACAATATTTGAATTTTGGGTGTTTTGGGTAAAGAGAAGGGATGGGCAAAGACAAAGAAAATCTATTTAACAAAATAACAGGTTGTTCAGTTTCCATGTAGTTGAGTGGTTTTGAGTGAGTTTCTTCATCCTGAGTTCTAGTTTGATTGCTCAACACCTCTACGCAAATAAACTAGAAAATCTAGAAGAAATGGATAAATTCCTGGACACATAAACCCTCCCAAGACTAAACCAGGAAGATGTTGAATCCCTGAATAGACCAATAACAGGTTCTGAAAATGAGGCAATAATTAATAGCCTACGAACCAAAAAAAGTCCAGGACCAGATGGATTCACAGCCAAATTCTACCAGAGGTACAAAGAGGAGCTGGTTCCATTCCTTCTGAAACTATTCCAATCAACAGAAAAATAGGGAATCCTCCCTAATTCATTTTATGAGGCCAACATCATCCTAATACCAATGCCTGGAGGAGACACAACAAAAAAAGAGAATTTTAGGCCAATATCCCTGATGAACATTGATGCAAAAATCCTCAATAAAATATTGGCAAACCAAATCCAGCAGCACATCAAAAAGCTTATCCACCATGATCAAGTTGGCTTCATCCCTGGGATGCAAGGCTGGTTCAACATATGCAAATCAATAAACGTAATCCATCATATAAACAGGACCAAAGACAAAAACCACATGATTATCTCAATAGATGCAGAAAAGGCCTTTGACAAAATTCAACAGCCGTTCATGCTAAAAACTCTCAACAAACTAGGTATTGATGGGACGTATCTCAAAATAATAAGAGCTGTTTATGACAAACCCACAGCCAATATCATACTGAATGGGCAAAAATTGGAAACTTTCCCTTTGAAAACTGGCACAAGAAAGGGATGCCCTCTCTCTCCACTCCTATTCAACATAGTGTTGGGAGTTCTGGCCAGGGCAATCAGGTAAGAGAAAGAAATAAAAGGTATTCAATTAGGAAAAGAGGAAGTCAAATTGTCCCTGTTTGCAGATGACATGATTGTATATTTAGAAAATCCCATTGTCTCAGCCCAAAATCTCCTTAAGCTGATAAGCAACTTCAGCAGTCTCAGGACACAAATTCAACGTGCAAAAATCACAAGCATTCCTATAAAGCAATAACGAGAAACAGAGAGCCAAATCATGAGTGAACTCCCATTCACAATTGCTTCAAAGAGCAATAAAATACCTAGGAATCCAACTTACAAGGGATGTGAAGGACCTCTTCAAGGAGAACTACAAACCACTGCTCAGCAAAATAAAAGAGGACACAAACAAATGGAAGAACATTCCATGCTCACGGATAGGAAGAATCAATATTGTGAAAATGGCCACACCGCCCAAGGTAATTTATAGATTCAATGCCATCCCCATCAAGCTACCAATGACTTTCTTCACAGAATTGGAAAAAAAATACTTTAAAGTTCATATGGAATCAAAAAAGAGCCCGCATTGCCAAGACAATCCTAAGGAAAAGGAACAAAGCTGGAGGCATCATGCTACCTGACTTCAAACTATACTAAAAGGCTACAGTAACCAAAACAGCATGGTACTAGTACCAAAACATATATATAGAGAGAGACCAATGGAACAGAACAGAGCCCTCAGAAATAATACCACACATCTACAGCCATCTGATCTTTGACAAACCTGAAAAAAAACAAGAAATAGGGAAAGGATTCCCTATTTAATCAATGGTGCTGGGAAAACTGGCTAGCCATATGTAGAAAGCTGAAACTGGATCCCTTCCTTACATCTTATACAAAAATCAATTCAAGATGGATTGAAGACTTAAATGTTAGACCTAAAACCATAAAAACTGTAGAAGAAAACCTAGGCAATACCATTCAGGACATAGGCATGGGCAAGGACTTCATGTCTAAAACACCAAAAGCAATGGCAACAAAAGCCAAAATTGACAAATGGGAACTAATTAAACTAAAGAGCTTCTGCACAGCAAAAGAAACTACCATCAGAGTGAATAGGCAACCTACAGAACGGGGGAAAATTTTTACAATCTACCCATCTGACAAAGGGCTAATATCCAGAATCTACAAAGAACTTAAACAAATTTACAAGAAAAAAATCAAACCACCCCATTGACAAGTGGGTGAAGGATATGAACAGACACTTCTCAAAAGAAGACATTCATGCAGCCAAAAGACACATGAAAAAATGCTCATCATCACTGGCCATCAGAGAAATGCAAATCAAAACCACAATGAGATATCATCTCACACCAGTTAGAATGGCCATCATTAAAAAGTCAGAAAACAACAGGTGCTGGAGAGGATGTGGAGAAATAGGAACACTTTTACACTGTTGGTGGGACTGTAAACTAGTTCAACCATTATGGAAGACAGCGTGGCGATTCCTCAAGGATCTAGAACTAGAAATACCGTTTGACCCCACCATCCCATTACTGGGTATATACCCAAAGGATTATAAATCATGCTGCTATAAAGATACTTGCACATGTATGTTTACTGTGGCACTATTCACAATAGCAAAGACTTGGAACCAACCCAAATGTCCATCAATGATAGACTGGATTAAGAAAATGTGGCACATTTACACCATGGAATACTATGCAGCCACAAAAAAGGATGAGTTCATGTTCATTTTAGGGACTATGGATGAAGCTGGAAACCGTCATTCTGAGCAAACTACCACAAGGACAGGAAACCAAACACTGCATGTTCTCACTCATAGGTGGGAATTGAGCAATAAGAACACATGGACACAGGGTGGGGAACATCACACACTGGGGCCTGTCAGGGGGTGGGGGGAGGGGGGAGGGATAGCATTAGGAGATATACCTGATGTAAATGACAAGTTAATTGGTGCAGCACACCAATATGGCACATGTATACATATGTAAAAACCTGCACGTTGTGCACATGTACCCTAGAACTTAAAGTAAAAAAAAGAGAAATATATCTTTTAAGAATAAAAAAAAATGACCACTGAAAACTTCCCAAGTTTTTCCAGAGATCCTGATATGGGAAGCTCAAAGAAATCCAAATATATTCAACCCCAAAAAATCTTCTCCAGGGTACATTAGAATCAAACTGTCAAAAGTCAAAGACAAAGAGAGAATCCTAAGAACAAGAAGAAAGCATCAAATCACATATAAAGGAATTCCTATGACACTAATAATGGATTTCTCAGCAGGCACTTGTCAATCAAGGTAAGAATGGGATAATATATCAAAGTGCTGAAAGAAGAAAATAAAACTGCCAACCAAAGTTAGTATACCCTACAAAGCTATCATTTAAAAAATTAAATAAAATATAAATAAAGTCTTTCCCAGATAAGTAAAAACTGAGGAAATTAATCAGCATTAAACCAATCCTACAGGAAATGCTTTGGGAGTTCTACATCTAGAAGGAAAATGGTTATATCTACCATCATGAAAACACAGGACATTATAAAACACGTGTAAAATGTATACACAAATGGGAAAGAGAAAGGACTGAAATGTTACCACTGCAGTAAACCACCAAACTGCAATGATAAAAAATAAGAGAGAAAGAATGGAACAAAGAATATTAAAAAAACAGAAACACTTAGCAAAATAATATGAATAAGTCCTCACCTATCAATAATAACCTTGAATGTAAATGGATTCAATTTCTCACTTAAAAAATATTGATTGGCTGAATGGACTAAAAAAAAAAACCTGACTCAACTATATGCTGCCTACAATAAGCAAGTCACCTATAAGGGCACATGGAGACTGCAAGGAAAGATGTGTAAGGAGATATTCCATGCAAATGGAAACCAAGTGAGCAGCAGTAGGTATGTAATATAAAATACATTTTAAGTCAAAATCTATAAAAAGAGGCTTGGAAAGTTATTAGATAAAGATAAAAGAATCAATTCATCAAGAAAACATAATTCTAAATATATATGCACCCAACACTGAAGCATCCAAATATTTAAGCAAATATTATTAGATGTAAAGGGAGAGAGGGACTCCAATATAGTAATAATGGGGAATTGAACAGCTATGCCAGCATTAGATAGATCATCTATACAGAAAATCAACAAACGTTGATACTAAACTACACTTGAGACCAAATGGATCTAACAGACATTGACAGAACATTTTATCCAACAGTTGAAGAATATACATTTTCTTATAAGCCATGGTACATTTTCCATGATAGACCATATGTTAGGCTACAGAACAAGTCTCAACAAAATTTTTAAAAGTCAGAATCATATCAAGTATCTTCAAGTATCAAAATCATATCAAGTATCTATGGAAAAAACCATATGGTCATCTCAACAGAAACCAAGAAAACATTTGATACAATTAGATGTTTTTTATTTTTATTTTTTTGAGATGGAGTCTCACCCTGTCACCCAGGCTGGAGTGCAGTGGCATGATCTTGGCTCACTGCAAGCTACGCCTCCTGGATTCATGCCATTCTCCTGCCTCAGCCTCCCTAGTAGCTGGGACTACAGGCACCTGCCACCACGCCTGGCTAATTTTTTTGTATTTGTAGTAGAGACGGGGTTTTACCATGTTAGCCAGGATGGTCTCAATCTCCTGACCTCGTGATCCACCCACCTCGCCCTCCCAAAGTGCTGGGATTACAGGTGTGAGCCACTGCGCCCAGCCTACAATTACATTTAAAAAAAAATTTTGTAGGTACTTAATAGGTGTATATATTTATAGGATGCATGAGAAATTTTGATTACAGGTATGCAATGTGAAGTAGTCACATCATGAAGAATGCTGTGTCTATCCCCTCAAGCATGTATCTTTTGTGTTAGAAACAATCTAATTACACCCTTTTAGTTAGTTGAAATTATAAAACTATTATTGACTGTAGTCACCCTGTTGTGCTGTCAAATAGTAGGTCTTATTCATTGTTTCTAACTACTTTTTTGGTACTCATTAACAATCCCTATCTCTCCCCAGCCCCTTACTACCCTTCCCTGCCTCTGGTAACTATTCTTCTACTCTCTGTACATGAGATCAATTGTTTTAATTTGTTGATCCCACAAATAAGTGAGAACATGCAATGTTTTTCTTTCTGAGCCTGGCTTATTTTACTTAATGTAATGATCTCCAGTTCCATCCACCTCATTGCAAATGTCAGGATCACATTCTTTTTCATAGCTGAATAGTACTCCATTGTTTATGTGTACCACATTTGCTTTATCCATTCATATATTGATGGATACAAATAGCTTCCAAATCTTGGCTACTGTGAACAGTGTTGCAGCAAACATAGGAGTGCAGATATCTCTTAGACATACTAATTTCCTTTCTTTTGGTTATATACCCAGTAGTGAAATTGCTGGATCATGTGGTAGCTCTATTTTTAGTTTTTTGACAAAATTCCAAACTGTTCTCCCTAGTGATTGTACTTATTTACATTCCCACCAACAGCGTACAAGGGTTCCCTTTTCTCCACGTCCTCACCAGCATTTGTTATTGCCTGTCTTTTGAATATAAGCCATTTTAACTGGGGTGAGGTGGTATCTCATTGTAGTGTTGATTTGCATTTTTCTGATGATCAGTGATGTCGAGCACCTTTTCACATGCCTGTTTGCCATGTGTATGTCTTCTTTGAGAATTCTCCATTCACATCTTTGTTCCATGCTTTGATCAGATTGTTAGCTTTTATCCTATAGAGTTGTTTGAGTTTCATATATATTCTGGTTATTAATCCCTTGACAGATGTGTAGCTTGCAAATATTTTCTCCCATTCTGCGGGTTGTATCTCCACTTTATTGATTGTTTCCTTTGCTGTACAGAAGCTTTTTAACTTGATGTGATCCCATTTGTCCTGTCCATTTTTGTTTTGATTGCCTGTGCTTCTAGGGTATTGCTCAGTAAATTTTTGCCCAGACCAATGTCCTGGGGATTTTCCCCAGTGGTTTTTGTACTAGTTTCATAGTTTGCAGTCTTAGGTTTATGTCTTTAATACATTGTGATTTCATTTTTTTTGTATATGGCAACAGATAGGGGTCTAGATTCATTTTTTCACAAACGGATGTCCAGGTTCCCCAGTACCATTTATTGAAGATAATGTCTTTTCCCCAATGTATGTTCCTGGCACGTTTGTCAAAAATGCATTCACTGTAGGTTTGTGGATTTATTTCTGGATTCTCTATTCTATTCCTCTGGTCTGTGTGTTTTTATGCCAGAACCCTGCTGTTTTGCTTATCAGAGCTCTATAGTATAATTTGAAGTCAGGTAGTGTGATTCCTCCAGTTAGGTTCTTTTTGCTTAGTATGCCTTATGGTATTCTGAGACTTTTGAAGTTCTGTATAAATTTTAGGATTTTTTTTTTCTATTTCTGTGAAGAATATCATTGGAATTTTGATGGGGATTGAATTGAATTTATAGATTGCTTTGGGTAGGAGGGACCTTTTAATGATATTGATCCTTCCAATCCATGAACATGCAATATTTTTCCCTTTTTTGGTGTCTTCAATTTCTTTCAACAGTGTTTTATGGTTTTTATTATATAGATCTTCCACTTTTTTGACTAATTCCTAGGTATTTAATTTTGTGTGGCTATTGTAGATGGGATTACTTTTTTATTTTGCTTTCGGATTGCTCACTGCTGGCTTACAGGAGGAGTACTGATTTCTGTATATTGATTTTGTATCCTGCAACTTCACTGAATTTTCTTTTTTAATGTTTATTTTAGGTTCAAGAGTACATGTGCAGGTTTGTCACATAGGTAAGCTCATATCATGGAGGTTTATTGTACAGATTATTTTGTAACCCAGATATTAAGCCTACTGCCCACTAGATATTTTTTCTGATCCTCTCCCTCCTCCCACCTTCTACAATCAAATAGGCCCCAGGGTTGGTTGTTCACCACTATGTGTCCATGTGTTCTCATTATCTAGCTCCCATTTACAAGTGAGAACATGCAGTTATTTGGTTTCCTTTTCCTGCATTAGTATGCTAAAGATAATGGCCTCCAGCACTATACATGTTCCTGTTCCTGCAAAGGACGTGATCTCATTTTTTTGGCTGCATAGTATTCCGTGGTATATATGCACCACATCTTCTTTATCCACTCTACCATTGATGGACATTTAGGTTGATTCCATGTCTTCATTATTGTGAATAGTGCAGCAACGAATATATGTGTGCATGTTTCTTTACAATAGAACAATTTATAATCGTTTGGGTATATATGCAGTAATGAGATTGCTGGATCAAATGGTAGTTCTGTTTTTAGGTTTTTGAGTAATTGTCACATTTTTTTTCAACAATAGTTAAACTAATTTACACTTCCACCAACAGTGTGTAGGCATTTCTTTTTCTCTGAAACCTCACCAGCATGTGTTATTTTTTGACTTTTTAATAGTAGCCATTCAGACTGGTGTGATGTGGTTTCTTATTGTGGTTTTGATTTACATTTCTCTAATGATCAGTGATGTTGAGGTTTTTTTGTTATATGATTTTTGGCCACAGGAATGTCTTCATTTGAAAAATGTCTGTCATGCCCTTTGCCCACTTTTTAATGGGGTTCTTTTTTTTTTCTTGGTATTAGACCTTTGCCAGATGCATAGTTGGCAACATTTTTCTCCCATTCTGTAGGTTGTCTGTTTACTCTGTTGATAGTTTCTTTTGCTGAGCAAAAACTCTTTAGCTTAATTAGACCCCATTTGTCAAGTTTTGCTTTTGTTGTTATTGCTTTTGGTATCTTTGTCATAAAATCTTTGCCTCTGCTTGTGTCCCGAATGATATTGCCTAGGTTGTCTTTCATGGTTTTTATACTTTGAGTTTTAAATTTAGGTATTTAATCAATCTTGAGTTAGTTTTTCTATATGATGTAAGGAGTGGGTCTAATTTCAATCTTCTGCATATGGCTAGCCAGTAATCACAGCACCATTTATTGAGTAGGTTGTCCTTTCCCCATTGCTTGTTTTTTTCAGCTTTGTTGAAGATCAGATGGCTGTAGGTATGCAGCATTGTTTTGGGTCTCTCTATTCTGTTCTTTGGTCTATGTGTCTATTTTTGTACAAGTACCATGCTGTTTTGGTTACTGTAGCCTTGTAGTATAGTTTGACACTGGGTAGCATGATGACTCTACTTTTGTTCTTTTTGCTTAGTGTATTGGTAACTTCATGGGAATGCACTGAATCTGCAAATTGCTTGGGCAGTTTGGCCATTTAATGATATTGATTCTTCCTATCCATGAGCATGGAATTTTTTTTTCCATTTGTTTGTGTCATCTTTCATACCTCTGAGAAGTGTTTTTTTTTTTTTTTTTTTTTTTAATATTTTAGACAGAGTCTTGCTCTGTCACCCAGACTGGAGTGCAGTGGTGCGATCTTGGCTCACTGCAACCTCCACCTCCCAGGTTTGAGGGATTCTCCTGCCTCAGCCTCCTGAGTAGCTGGGATTATAGGTGCATGCCATCATTCCTGGTTAATTTTTGTATTTTTAGTACAGATGGGGTTTCAGCATATTGGTCAGGCTGATCTTGAACTCCTGACCTGGTGATCTGCCTGCCTCAGGCTCCCAAAGTGCTGGGATTACAGGCATGAGCCACTGCACCCAGCCAAGAAGTGTTTTTTAATTCTCCTCATAGAGGACTTTTATCTCCCTGTTTAGCTGTATTTCTGGGTATTTTATTCTTTTTGTGGAAATTGTGAATGAGATTGCATTCCTGATTTCCCTCTCAGCTTTACTATTGTTGGTGTATAGGAATGCTAGTGATTTTTATGTGTTAATTTTTGTATCCTGAGACTTTCCGTCAAGTTATTTATCAGCTTAAGTGGTTATTGGGCCAAGACCATGTGGTTTACTAGATATAGGATTATGTGTCTGCAAACAGAGATAGTTTGACTATCTCTCTTCCTATTTGTTTGCCTTTTTATTTCTCTTGTCTGACTCCTTCAGCCAGGACTTCCAATACAATGTTGAATAGGAGTGGTGAGAGAGGGTATTTTTGTGTTGTGCCAGTTTTCAAGGGGAATGCTTCCTGCTTTTACCCATTCAGTATGATGTTGGCTGTCAGTTTGTTATAGATGGCTCTTAAGCTATGTTTCTTCAATACCTAGTTTGTTGAGAGTTTTTAACATGAAGCCATGTTGAATTTTATCAACAGACTTTTCTGCATCTATTGAGATAATTATGTGGTTTTTGTCTTTAGTTCTGTTTATGTGATGAATCACATTTATTGATTGTGTAGTTTGAAACAATGTTGTATCCTAGGAATACAGGCATAAAGCCCACTTGATTGTGGTGGATAAGCTTTTTGATATGCTGCTGTATTTTGTTTGCCAGTATTTTGTTGAGGATTTTTGCATTCATGTTCATCAATAATATTGGACTGAAGTTTTCAGTTTGTGTGTGTGTGTATTCCAGGTTTTGGTATCAGGATGCTTCTGGCCTCATAGAATGAGTTAGGGAGGTTTCTGTAATTCTCAATATTTTGAAATAGTTTCAGTAGGAATGGTACCAGCTCTTACTTGTACATCTTGTAGAATTCTGCTGTGAGTCCATTTGTTCCTGAGATATTTTTTGTTTCATAGGTTATTTATTACTAATTCAATTTCAGAAATTGTTATGGGTCTGTTCAGGGATTCAATTTCTTCCTTCTTCAGTCTTGGGAGAGTACATGTGTCCAGAAACTTATCCATTTCTTCTATAATTTCTAGTTTGTGTGCATACAGATGTTCATAATATTCCCTGATGGTTATTTCTATGTCTATGGGGTAAGTGGTAATATCCCCTTTGTGGGATTTGATTTCTGATTGTGTTTATTTGGATCTTCTCTCTTTTTTTAATAATCTAGCTAGTGGTCTATCTTATTAATTTTTTCAAAAATCCAACTCCTGGATTGGTTGCTCTTTTGAAATTTTTTTTGTGTGTGTCCCAATCTCCATTAGTTCAGCTCTAATTTTAATTTCTTGTCTTCTGCTGTTTTTGGGGTTGGTTTGTTCTTGGTCCTTTAGTTCTTTTAGTTCTGTTGTTAGGTTGTTAAATTGAGATCTTTCTAACTTTTTGATGTGGGCATTTAGTGCTATAAATTTCCCTCTTGCCACTACCTTAGCTGTGCCCCAGAGATTCTGGTATGTTGGAGTTTTGTTCTCATTAGTTTCAAAGAACTTCTTGATTTTTTGAAATAATTTTATTATTTACCCAAAAGTCATTCAGGAGCAGGTTATTTAATTTCCATGGAAATATATGGTTTTGAGCAACTTTCCTAGTCTTGATTTCTAATTTTATCATGCTGTGGTCCAAGAGAGTGGTTGTTACGACTTCAGTTATTTTGTATTTGCAGAGAAGTGTTTTATATCTGATTATCTGGTCAGTTTTAGAGCATGAACCATGTGGCAATGAGAATATGTAGTCTCCTGTTTTTGGATGGAGAGTTCTATAGATGTCTACCAGGTCCATTTGATCCAGTACTTAGTTTAGGTCCTCAATATCTTTGTTAATTTTCTGCCTTGATGATCTGTCTAATATTGTCAGTGGGGTGTTGAAATCTCCCACTATCATTGTGTGGGAATCTATATCTCTTTTGAACTTCTCTAAGGACTTCCTTTATAAATCTGGATGCTCCTGTGTTGGGGGCTTATATATTTAGGATAGTTAGGTCTTCTTGCTAAATTGAAACCTTTACCATTATGTGATGCCCCTCTTTGTCTTTTTTTGTCTTTGTTGGCTTAAAGTCTGTATTGTCTGAAATTAGAATTGTAACTGCTTTTTTTCTGTTTTCCATTTGCTTGGTAGATTTTTGTCCATACCTTTATTTTGAGCCTGTGGGTGTCATTGCATGTGAGAACCAACTCTTGAAAGCAGCATACCATTAGGTCTTGCTTCTTTATCCGGCTTGCCACTCTGTACCTTTTAATTGGAACATTTAACCCATTTTCACTCAAGATTAGTATTAATATGTGTGGACTTAATCTTGTCATCATGATGTTAGCTGGTAATTATGAAGACTTGTTTGTGTGGTTGCTTTGTCGTGTCACTGGTCTGTATACTTAAGTATGTTTTTGTAGTGGGTGATAACAGTCTTTCCTTTCTATATTTAGTGATTCCTTCAGGATCTCTTCTCAGGCAGGTCTAGTGGTAACAAATTCCCTCAGAACTAATTTTTTTGAAAAGGGTCTTATTTCTCCTTTTCTTTTGAAGCTTAGTTTGGTTGGATGTGAAGTTCTTGTATGGATTTCATTTTCTTTATGAATGTTGAATATTGGCCCCCAATCTCTTCTGGCCTGTAGTGTTTCTGCTGAGAAGTCTGCTGTTAGTCTCATGGACTTCCCTTGATAGGTGACCTGACCTTTCTCTCTAGCTTTCTTTAGAATTTTTTCTTTTAGTTTGACCTTGGAGAAGCTGATGATTATGGGTCTTGGGGATGATTTTCTTGTGAAGTATCTTACTGGCATTCTCTGCATTTATTGAATCTGGATGTTGGCCTCTCTAGCTAGGTTGGGGAATTTCTCATGGATGATGTCCTGAAACATGTTTTCTAAGTTGCTTCCATTCTTCCCATTTCTTTCAGGGGTCCTAATAAATCAAAGATTTGGTCTCTTTTCTATATCTCCTGAATCTTTTTATCAGTTCTTGAACTTTTTTTGATAGAGTCCTTAGGATTTTCCAAATAAAAGGTCACATTATCTGCACCAAAAAAAATTTGATTTCTTCCTTTCCAGTTTGGATGCTTTTTATTTATTTCTCTTGTCTGATTGCTCTAACTAGGACTTCCAAGAGTATTTTGAATAACTGTTGAAAGTGGGCATCCTTGTCATGTTCCAGATCTTAAGGGAAAGGCTTTCAGCTTTTGCTCATTCAGTATGATACTAGTTGTGGTTCTGTTATATATGGATTTCATTATGTTAAGATATGTTTTCTGTCCTCAGTTTTTTGAGAATTTTTTAAAATTATGAATGGATGTTAAATTTTATTAAAAGCTTTTTCAGCATCAATTGAAAGAACAATATGTTTTTTATTATTTTTCTTTTGAGAATGTGTATCACATTGATTGATTTGTGTATATTGAACTATCTTTGCATTCTAGGGATAAATCCCACTTGGCTGTGATGAACATTCATTCTAACGTACTATGAATTCAGTTTGCTAAGGATTTTTGCATCAGAGACATTGGCTTATGGTTTTCTTTTTTTGATGTGTCTTTGGTTTTGTTATCAAAATTTATCAAAACATTTTTTGATGTTGTCTTTGGTAATACTGGCCTCATGGAATGAGTATGGAAGTGTTGCAGCTTTTTTGCTCCTATAGTTCAGCAAGTAGAAGAAAGTGGCACCCAACAGCTTCTTTATTCTTGTAGCTTGATGAGTGGGAGGGTGTGATGGCCAGTGTCTTCCTCTTTCCCATTGTTTGATTAGCAGGAGGGAATATTACAGCTCTTTTATTCCCACCACCCACAGCTCAGCAAGCAGGAGCATTACAGCTCTTTTGCTTGCACAGTATGGCAAGTTCCAGGTTCTTGTCCCATGACCAATAAGAATAAGGTATGTGAACACTGGAGAGTAATTAAGGCAGAGTAGAATTTTACTGAGTGACAGAAAGAAAGCTCTCAGCATTGAGAGGGAACCTGAAAGCAGATAGCCATCTGTGTCTGAATCCAAGGTTCATATGGGTTTATAATGGGGGAGTGGGTTTGGACAAAGCAATATTCAGTTGGGTAAAAGTCATCATTCAGAAGAAACCAGTTGAGAGAGAGTGGGTAAGACAGGGATGGAAGTTCTCACTCTGGTCATAGACTTTGTCTGGAACCAGCAATTCTGTTTTCAGGATTTAAACTGTCCTTGGCTTGAAGGTTGATTTTTATGGGGACCCATCCATGTCTGCCTAAGAATTTGTCTGTCTCTTGTCACTATCATAAGTATTCTCTATTCCTCTATTTTTCAAAATAATTTGAGTAGGATTGACTTTCGTTATTCTTTAAATGCTTGGTAGAATTTGTCAGTGAAGCCATTGGGTTCTAAGCTGTTCTTTACTGGGAGACTTTTTGTTATGGCTTTGATCTCATTATTTGTTAATAGTCTGTTTGTGTTTTGGATTTCTTTCTGGTTCAATCTTTGTAGGTTTTATGTGTTTAGGAATTTGCCCATTTCTTCTAGATTTTCCAATTTATTAGCATTATAGTCGTTCTTAGTAGCCACTAATAATTCTTTGAATGTCTGTAGTATCAGGTGTAATGTTTTCTCTTCCATTTCTGATTGTATGTATTTGGATCTTCTCTCTTTGCCTCTTAGTCTGGCTAAAAGTTTGTTAATTTTGTTTAACTTGTCAAAATACCACCTTTTTGTTTCATTAAACTTTTGTATTTTATTCTTCATTTTAATTTCATTTATTTCTGCTGTGATCTTTATTTTTTCTACTAATCTTGGGTTTGGTTTGCTCTTGCCTTTCTAGTTTATTAAGATGATTCATTAGGTTGTTTATTTGAAGTTTTCCTTCTTTTTTGATATAGGCACTTCGAGCTATAACTTTTTCTCCTAGTACTACTCTTGCTGTATCCTCCAGGTTATGGTATGTTGTGTTTACATTATCATTTGTTTTAAGACATTTTTCAATTTCTTCTTAATTTCTTTATTGACCCACTGGTCATTCAGGAGTGTATTGTTTAATTTTCATATATTTGTATAGTTTCTAAAATTCCTGTTATTGATTTCTAGTTTTATTGCATGTGGCCAAAAAGAAGGATCTTATTTCATTTTTGTTTCATTTTTTTTGAATATTTTATGATTTATTTTGTGACCTAACATATGGTCTATCCTTAAGAATGATCTATGTACCAAGGGAAAATTTTGCATTCTGAGTCTTTGGATGAAATGTTCAGTAAATATCTATTAGATCTATTTGGTCTAGTATGGATTATGTCCAATTATTGCTGATTTTCTTTCTGAAAGATCTGTCCAACACTGAAAGTGGGGTGTTGAAATCTCCAGCTATTATTGTATTGAGAACCATCTCTCTCTTTAGCTTTAATAATGTTTGTTTTATATATCTAGGTGCTCCAGGGTTTGGTGCATGTATATTTAAAATTATTATATCCTCTTGCTGAATTGACCCTTTTATTATTATATAGTGACCTTATTTGTCCATTTTTATAGTTTTTGTCCTGAAATCTATTTTTCATGACATAACTACTTCTGTTCTTTTTTGTTTTTTATTTGCATGGAATATCTTTTTCCATCTCTTTATTTTCAGTCTATGTGTGTCTTTATAGGTGAAATGTGTTTCTTGTAGGCAACAGATCAATGGGTCTTGTTTTTACTTCCATTTAGTTACTCTATGTTTTTTACTTGGATGCTTAGTCCATTTACATTCAGTGTTATTGATAAGTAAGGACTTATTCCTGCCATTTTATTATTCATTTTTTGGTTGTTTGTGGTCTTCTGTTTCTTTTTCCTTTCCTTCCTGTCTTCCTTTAGTTAAGGTAATTTTTTTCTTGTGTTATGATTTAGTTTTATCTTTTCCTTTTTTGTGTGTCCATCATATGTGTTTTGATTTTAGGTTACCATGAGACTTGCAAATATTACTTATAACCCATTATTTTAACTTGGTAGCAACTTAATATTGTTTGCATAACTAATCAAACAAGCAATGAGAAAACTAATAACAGCTATGTGCCTTAACTTTATACCCATTATTAAATGCCTTGAGATAATCTTCTTTCGGTTAAATCTTCTTGGTGTTCTATAACCTGGTTGTACTTGGATATTGATATATTTCTCTAGGTTTCCAAAGTTTTCTGTTATTATCCCATTTGAATAAATTTCTGTCTCTGTCTCTCTCTCTACCTCCTCTTTAAGGACAATAACTCTTAGATTTGCCCTTTTGAGGCTATTTTCTACAACCTATAGTCATGTTTCATTCTTTTTTATTCATTTTTCTTTTGTCTCTTTTGTATATTTCTAAGTTGTCTGTCTTCAAGCTCACTAATTCTTTCTTTTGCTTGATCTATTCTGTTATTAAAGAACTCCGATGCATTCCCCAGTATGCCAATTGCATTTTTCATCTCCAGCATTTCTGCTTGATTTTAAAAAAAAATCACTTCAATCTCTTTGTTAAATTTATCTGATATAATTCTGAATTCTTTCTCTGTGTTATCTTGAATATCTTTGAGTTTCCTCAATACAGCTATTTGGAATTATCTGTCTGAAAAATCAAATATCTCTGTTTCTGCAAGGCTGGTCTCTGATGCCTTATTTAGTTCATTTGTTTAGGTCATGTTTTCCTGGATGGTGTTGATGCTAGTAGATGTTCTCTGGTGTCTGGGCATTGAAGAGTTAGGTATTTATTGTTGTCTTCACTGTCTGAACTTGCTTGTACTCATCCTTCTTAGGAAGGCTTCCAGATATTTGAAAGAACATGAGGATTGTCATCTAAGTTGTATGTTTGTTAGGGAGCACCTTAAGTCCGGTAACCCTGTGGTTCTCACAGACTTGTAGAGGTTCTGCCTTGATGGTCTTGCACAATATTTGAGAATTCACTGGATTACCAGGCAGATACTCTGGTTCTTTTCCCTTAATTTCTCCCAAACAAACAGAGTTTGTCTCTCTGTTTCTTAAGACATCTAAAGCTGAGTGTGGAGTAACACAGTACTCCTGTGGCCACCACCACTATGACTGTGCTGGGTCACGCCTGAAGACAGCACAGCACTGGGTTTCACCCAAGGCCTGATGCAACCACTCACTGGCTACTACATAGGTTTGCTCAAGGTCCTGAGGCTCTACAATCAGCAGGTGGCAAAGCCAGACAGGCCTGTGTTCTTCCCTTTAGAGTAATGAGTTCTCCAGGCCCCAGGTGGGTACAGAGGTGCTGTCCAAGAGCCAAGGACTAGAGTAAAAAACCTTAGAAGTGTGCCTGGTATTCTGTTGTAGTGTGGCTGAGCTGGTACTCAAACCACAAGACGCAGTCCTTCCCACCCTTCCCTCTCCTCTTCAAAGGCAGAGAAGCATCACTCCATAGCCACTGTCACCAAAGGCCATGGGAAGTACTGTCAGAATATCACTGATGTTCCCTTAAGGCCCATTTGCTCTTAAAGCGGCTTGTGGTAAATGCTGCCTGACCTAGGACTCACCCTTCAGGGCAGTGGGGTCCCCTCTGTTCCAGGGCAGGTGCAGAAGTGCAGGTCAGAGTCATTTCCTGGAATCAGGGGCCCTCAGAGGCCACTTGGTGCTATACATCCCTTTGGCCATGCTGGTACTTGAAGCCAGCAAGTCTGAGACTCAACGAAGGCCCTTGATTTAGTATCAGGGTATCACTGCTGGTTATTCAGGGCCCAAGGGCTTTTCACTTAGCAGGTGATGAATACTGCTAGGACTGGGTGTTTCCCTTTAAGGCAACAGGCTCCCGACTGGCCCAGAGTATGTCTAGAAATGTCTTCTGGGAGCCAGGTCCTGGAATAGGGCCTTCATGACTCTTACCAGTGCCCTATCCTGCTGTGGCTAAACTAGTATTCAAGATACAAGACAAAATGCTCCCAACTCTTCCCTCTCCTCTCCTCAAATGGAAGGAAGGGGTCTCTTTTGGGGTGGTGAGCTGTGCAGCCTGGGGTAGGTGAGGGGTGATGCCAGCATTCCCTTAGCCTCCCCAGCTCATGTCTTCAGCACCAGGACTTACCTAAGAGTTGTAATTCTTGCGGCCTAGACCACCTTTTTAATTTACTTAGAGATCCTTTTGGCCCACAGTGGCAAGGTTTGTGGGAACTTAATTTCTGACACCTGGCATTGGCTATTCCCCTCTGGCTAGGGCTAGTTTAAATGTTTCCTCCGTGGGTGGGCATCAGCTGAATTTGGTCTGGTTTTCCTTTTTGCTATAACAGGACAGCACTGGGTTTGATGCTTCAAAATTGCTGTTCTCTCCCTCTTGCAGCACCCAGAGATGCCTTTTGCACCACATCACCACTGCAGGCAATGGTGGAGGGGTAGCATCGGTGATTCAAGACTGTTTTTTTAGCTTCGGTGTCTTTTTCATTGATGTGATGATGAAACAAGGTACTATGAAGCCTCACCTGGTTTTTGGTTTTTACGAAGGTGTTTTTATTTGTAAATAGTTGTTAAATTGGTATCCTTGCATAGGGCGATGATTGATGGATCCTTGTATTCTGCCATCTTGCTCCTAGAACATTTGATAAAATTCAACGTCCTTTTATAATAAAAACTCTCACTAACATAGTCATAGAAGAACATACCTCAAAATACTATGGGCCTTACTAGACAAACCCACAGCTAACATTATACTTAATGAATAAACTTATAAGCCTTTCCTTTAAGACCTGGAACAAGGCACAGATACTCACTCTTATAATTTTTATTCAACATAGTACCACAAGTCCTAGCTAGAGAAATCAGGGATGAAAAAGAAATAAAAGGCATCCAAATTGGAAAAGAGCAAGTCAAGTTGTCCCTTTTTGATGATGACATAATCTTAAATATAGCTAAACGTACAGACCACCAAAAAACTGTTAGAATGGATAAACTAATTGAGTCAATTGCAGGATATAAATCAGCATATAAAACTCACTAGCATTTTTATACACCAACAACGAAATAGTTGAAAAAGAAATCAAGAAAGCAATCTCACTTATAATAGCTACAAAAATTAATAAAATACACAGGAATAAATTTAACCAAAGACATGAAAAATCTTTACAAGTAATACTACAGAACACTGATGAAAGAAATTAAGGAGAATCCACACACAACATTGAAGGGCATTCCATGCTCATGGATAGGAAGAATTAATATGATCATACTACTCAAAGCTATATACAATTCAGTGCAATCCTTATCAAATACTAGTGACATTCTTCAAAGAAATAGAAAAAAGCTACTTCTAAAATTTGTGTAGAACCACTGAAGATTCCAATTAGCCAAAGCAATCTTGAATGAAAAGAACAAAGCAGGGAGCATCACACTCCCTGACCTCAAATTATACTACATAGCTATAGGAATGAAAACAACATGGTATTGATATAAAAATAGACACATAAACCATTGGAACAGAATAGGAAACCTAGAAATAACCCACCCATTTACAGCCAACTGAGTTTTGACAAGAGCACTTGGAATATTCATTGGGGAAAGGACATTCTCTTCAATAAATGGTGCTGGGGAAAGCGGGCATGCATATTCACAAGAATGAAATAGACCCCTATCTCTTGCCATATATACAAAAGTCAACTAAAATTGGTTGAAGACTTGAACATAATATCAAAATGGTAAAACTTACAGTAGAAAACATAAGTGAAATGCTTCAAGCCATTAGTCTAGGGAATAATTTTATGACTAAGACCTCAAAAGCACAGACAACAAAAACAAAAATAGAAAAAAAGGAGACTATATTAAACTAAACATTTCTGCACAGCAAACAAAACAGTCAACCAATGAAGATACAGCTTCTTGAATGGGAGAATATATTCATCTCATAGGGGACGAATATCCTGAAGATACGAGAAACTCTACAGTAAAAAAAAAAAAAAAGGAAAAAAAAAAGTCCCAGTAAAAGTGGGTAAAGGTTCTGAATGGATACTTCTCAAAAGATATACAAATGGCTAACAGGTTCATGAAAAAATGCTTAACATATGTAGTCATCAGGGAAATGCAAATCAAAACCACAATGTGATATCATCTCACCCAAGTTAAAATGGCTTTTGTCAAAGACAGGGAATAACAAATGCTGGCAAGGATGTAAAGAAGGGGAACCCTTGTACGCCTTTGGTGGGAATGCAAATTAATACTGTCCCTACAGAAAACAGTAGGGAAGTTCCTCCAAAGACTAAAAATAGTACTGTTTTGTTCAGCAATCCCTCCACTGGGTATTTATCCTGAGGAAAGGAACTCAGTGTATCAAAAGGATAGCTTTACTCTCATATTTTATAGCCAAGATATGAAATCATTTTAAATTTCCATCAACTTAGGATACAGAAAATGTGGTATGTATACACAACAGAATACTATTCAACCACACACAAAAAATGAAATCCTGTTATTTGCTGCAACATGAATGGAACTAAAGGTTATTATGGTAAGTTAAATAAGCCGGAAATAGAAAGACAAATATTGCATGTTCTCATTCATATGTGGGAGCTAAAAACTTTATTTCATAGAGGTAGAGACTAAAATGATATTCACTAGAGGCTGAGAAGGGTGTATGGCGCCCAGGAAAGGAAGTTGCTTAATGAGTATAAACATACAGTTAGATAGAAGGAATAATTTGTAGTGTTCTATAGCACAGTTGGATGACCACAGTTAACAATAATGCATTGTATTTTTCAAGATAACTAGGAGAGACGATGTGAAATGTTCCCTGTACAAAGAAACAATAAATGTTCAAGGTGATGAATATTCCTAAATACTCTGAATCAATCATTACACAACATATACATGTATTAAATATCACATTTTACTCTATAAATATATGTAATTATTACGTATCAGTAAAATATTTAAAGAAATAATAAATTTAAAAAATAAAAAATCAAATACTTGATCTCTAAATTCACAATTTACAATAACATTAGCCACTATTTATTAAGGGCTTATTATACAACAGGGACTCTTCTTATTGCTATGTATGCAAAATTTTATTTCATTCTTACAATTACCCCCACAAGGAAACATTATTATTATACCATTTTACATACTCAGAAACAATAACAAGCAGAGGAAAAATATTATTCTGCCTATATTGAAATCCTATCTGTTCTCAGCAATCTTTTCCAGAATTTAAGCAGTGTAAAGAATGTGCTTAAACTGAGCAAACAAGAAAGGGAAGTGATCTCACAGTGATGGCATAGGTTCACTTGCTGAAATAGAGCAGCCCGACTCCTTGGAAAGGCTAGTTTAACAAGTTCTTTAATGTATAAAACCACTGGCATAAATATCTAAGCCATGACTGATATTTTATTGAATATGCTTATATGGGAAGGCCATATTCATTTGGCTGTCTCAATTTTATCTCATTTCCAAAGTAACTGTTCTGCCAGTAGGGAGTAACTTATAACAATGAAATTGACACAGAGTGCAGAAATCTGTCATTTCTTCTGTTTCTCTGTGTGAAGCGAAAGCACTCCCCTGGAGATTCTATATGGTAAAGATTGGCATATTCCAATGGGGTATCTGATAGCCTTTGTTTTTGCAATAGAATCACATCCAACACAGAATCATTATGGATATCTGGAGTTTGTAAGATGAATCAGGGAAATTTAAAAGTATCCTTGATTCTTCATACACGTGGTAGATCCAACTCTGGTTGAGTCCTTGAGGTTACCTTTTGGAAATGAGATATTATCAGACATATAATGAAATACCACAGGGGTGTTAAAAGAAATAGAAGGCCAGTGCACCTGGAGTAGTGTTCTGTGTTTATTAGATCTTACTTACTGAAAATGCTATTTCTATATTTTCTTAAAATTAAATAATTAAAATTTGATTTATGCCTTCAATTATATGTTTTCAAAATTATAATCTTAATAAGACACATAGAAATATATTTGCTGTAATTAACCTTATGGGAAGGCAAAGAAAATAACAAAATCATAGTCATTTTTTTAGATGATAAAAGGAGAAATAAGTGATTTAAAGAGGCATAAAAACAATTCCACATATTGTATTTTTAATAAAATAGTACCTTTCTGTCTTGTACCTAGATGGGTTTAGAATATGTCATCTTTTTTCTTCAAAATATTTTGAAACACACACTGTAACTTCTAGGTAAAATGCAGTATTTTTTTAAATATTTGTGATGTGGTCAATAGACCCAAGAGTGGCTTCCACTAATACCTGCCTCCTGGGGATTCAAGCCTTGTGTAACTCCATTCCTTTAGTGCACTTGTGAATAGAATATGGCAAAGGTGATGGGATGTCACTCTCTGATTAGATTATGGCAAACATAATGGGGTGTCACTCCTGTGATGACCTTGAATTCTGTAAATTTCTAACTTAACAGTCTGTGAGAGACTCTCCTTCTGGGCTTGAAGAAGCAAACTGCCATGTTGTGAACTGCCTATGGAGAGAGCCACATGGCAACATGGTTCTAGAGGTTAGCCTCTAGAGAGAGCCACATAGTTCTGGAGGTTGGCCTCTAGAACCTGAAGACAGCCTCCAGCTAAAAGCCAGTCAGAATCTGAGGTCTTCACTCCTGCGGCTGCCAGCAACATACACATGCCTGGAGGGGATAGCTTCCTAGTTGAGCATCCAGATGAAAATGAAGATCATGGCCAACAGTTTGCAGCCTTGTAAGACACAAAACAGAGGACCCAGTTAAGCTGAGAAACTGTGAGATAATAAATGTGTGTTGTTTTAACTTGCTAGATTTGTTACATAGAAATAGAAAATTAATGCAAGGTGGATTTTAGAAAATACTGAATATCAAGTGTGAAATTGTATTTGGCATTGAATTTATGTATATGTGTATATGCTTGTTCTTCTCTCAGATTAGTTTTCCTTTCTTTTCATGTTACGAGGGTGAGGAAAGAAAGAAACCATTTTAATCAAATGCTCTGATCAAACAAACCCAAAGTAGTAGGCAAGGGAACACTAGTTAGCATTTGAAATAGCATTGAATTTTGTTGACCATTGTCTTAGCATTTTCCACTTATGAATCTTCCGATCAGTTATGATATGGTCTCCACAGCTATACCCACTGCCAGGCTGTTGACTTAACAAGATGAAAGACGTGCAATGAAGCCAAGTAAGCACAATAGTTCAGCCATTTGGGAAAAAAGCCACAAAACACTTTTGTTAAAGCCAAAAATGTAAAGAAAATAATACTTCTATATAATACCAGAAAGTATATAGGAGAAACATCAACAACAACAAAGAAACAAACAAATGGAGAGCTTAATATTGTGAGGATGAAAGAGAGATTCTATGTTAGGACCAATTGCTGTGAGGCTCAGTGTATGCATGAAGCTTTCAAGGTGCAGAAAAATAATAATCAGGAATCCCTAAAATAAATGCATTAGAATGCCTTATAAAGCCCTCTGTACAACTGAGAATATATTAAGAGTTCCAGTACCAAGAAAAAAATATGACATACAATCCTTTTCATGTTTCTTTTGCACAGCATATTTGTGGATGGAAAATTTTCCATAATGGTTTAACAGGTCATGAAATAAGATGAGTTTGTTTTAGGAAAAAGGTGGAAGAGGAAAGGCTGTCTTCTAGAACCTTCAGAACACAACACTCTGGAATATTTTACATCATCATTTGTTTTTGTGGCTTATGTTTTGCTTTTAAAATTTCATATATATATACATATACTACAAATATGTATATATATGTGTATATATGTATACATGTGTGTGTATATATATGTGTGTATATATATACATGTATGTGTGTATATATATATACATATATGTGTGTATATATATATACATACATGTGTGTATATATATATGTATGTTTAGAAAGAGAGAGCACAAATTTCTGGTCAACCTCACTATTACTGTTGGAAAATAATATTCTAACATTTAAGGTAATTGCATTTTACCTATTATGTGTGTATCTATTAATGAATCCATGTAAATATTTATTAGAATTATTTAAGCAAGTACTTTCTCCCATTCTGAAAATTGTGTCTTCCCTTTGTTTTCTCCTTTGCTATGCAGAACCTCTTCAGCTTAATGTGTCTATTTTTGTTTCAGTTGCCTGTGCTTTCGAGGTCTTACACACAAAAAAAATCTTTCCCCAGAATCATGTCCTGGAGTGTTTTCCAGGACATGATTCTGGGGAAATCATGTGTATGATTTGCATATTTTTTTGTGTATTTTGTGTATGTTGAACCACCCCTGCATCCCTGGGATGAATTGCATTTGATCATCATAAATGACCTTTTTAATGTTGAATTGTGTTTGCTAGTGTTTTTTTGAGGATTTTTGCATCTATATTTACTGGTGATATTAGCTTGTAGTTTTCTTTTTTTGTGTGTCCTTGTCTGGTTTTGATATTGAGTTAATGTTGACTTTATAGAATGAATTTGGAAGTATTCCTTCTTCAATTTTTTGCAGAGTGTAAGTAGAATTGTTATTAGTTCTTTATGTGTTTGGTACAATTCAGTAGGGAAGCCATAAGATGGGGGACTTTTTATTATGGCTTTGATCATGCTGCTCAGTATGGGTTTGTTGAAGTTTTCTCCTTCATTATAGTTTAATCTTGGTAGGCTGTATGTTTCCAGGAACTGATCCATTTCTTCTAGATTTTCCCATTTGTTGGCTTATATGTCTTCACAATAGTCTCTAATGAATGTTTGTATTCTTCTGGTCTCAGCTGTTAGTTAAAAGGTCTCCCTTTTCATTTTTGATTTTATCTATTTGGGTCTTTCTTTTTTTTTAGTCTAGCTAAAGGTTTATCAACTTTATCTTTTCAAAAAAGCAACTTTTTGTTTTATTGATCTTCTGTATTTTTTAGTCTCAATTTCATTTATTTCTACTCTGATCTTTACTTTTTCTTTCATTTTGCTAATTTTAGGTTTGGTTTGCTTTTGCTTTTTTAGTTCCTTTAGGTGCTTCCTTAGATTCTTTATTTTAAATATTTCCACTATTTTGATGTAGACATATTTTTCCTATAAAATTCCCTCTTAGTACTACTTTTACTATATTCTACAGATTTTGGCATGTTGTATTTTCATTTGTTTCAAGAAATGTTTAAAACTTTTTTTCTTAATTTGCTCATTGACTCAATGGTTGTTCAGGGGCACATTGTTTAATTTCTACATTTTTGTGTATTTTTGAGGTTCCTTTTGTTGTTAATTTCTAATGTTATTCAATTGTGGTCAAAAGAGATACTTGACATAATTCCTACTTTTTTGAATTTATTGAGACTATTCCGTGGCCTAAGAGATGAACTATTCTGGAGAAGGTGCAATGTGCTGATTAAAATAATATGTATTCTGTGAGAGTTGGGTGAAATTATCTGTAAATGATATTTTGGCCTATACGGTCTAGTGTGTAGTTTAACTCCAATGCGTTTTGTTGATTTTCTGTCTAGCTGGTACATTACTGAGCGTGAGATGTTTACATCCCTTACTATTATTGTATTACATAATATTTCTCTTTTGTAATCATTAATGCTTGCTTTATATACTTGGGAGCTCTGGTGTTAGATGCACAGATATTTGTAATTATTATATTCTCTTGCTGGCTTGACCCCTTTATCATTATGTGATGACCTTCTTTGTCTCTTTTAACAGTCTTTGATTTGCAGTCTATTTTACCTAATAGAAGTAGAGTTGTTCTTGCTTTTTTCTTGCTTTCCGTTATCTGAAATATCTTTTCATGGAATATATTTTCCACCCCTTCTCTTTTAGTTTATGTGTGTCTTTATAGGTAAAGTGGATTTCTGGTAGGCAGCATGTCTTCGGGTCTTGTTTCCTTATCCATTCAGCCACTTTATGCCTTTCAATTGGAGAGCTGACTATTTAAATTCAATGTTATTATCAATAAGTAATGATTTAGCACTGCCATTTTGTTGGTTGTTTTCTGGATGTTTATTAACTTCTGTCTTTCTTACTGTTTTCCTTTGTGTTTAAGTAATTTTCTCTTGTAGTATGTTTTAATTTGTTGCTTTTCATTTTAATCAAATATATTATAGATTTTCATATTTTGATTACCAAGAGGCCTATAGAAACATTTTATAGATATAACAAGTTATTTTAAAGAGATGCTAACTTATCTTAGATCACAAGGAATGGAAACAAAAATAAAAATAAAATTCTACACTTTAACTCCATTTTCCCAACACGTTGACTTTATGTTGTTCTGACTTACATATTTTTATATTACCTAACTCTTACAGGTTGCTGTAGCTATTACTTATTTTGACCTATTTGTCTCTTGGACTTCACGCAAGAGTTACGTGGAGATTGCACACCACACTTACAGTATTATAGTATTTGAGTTTTGTTTGTGTATTTAATTTTACTAGTGAGTTTTATACCTTTAAATGTTTTCTTTTTGCACATTAGTGTTTTTTCACTTCAGATTGAGGAACTTCCTTTAACATTTCTTATAAAACTTGTCTTATGGTGGTGAACTTTCTCAGCTTTTGTTTATCTGAGAAACACTTCATCTCTCCTTCATATTTGAAGGATAGCTTTGCTGGATATGGTATTCTTGAATGGCAGGTTTTTTTTCTTTCAACATGTTAATACTGTCATTTCACTCCCTCCTGGCCTGTATGGTTTTGATTGAGAATTCTGTTGCTACATGAATTGGAGCGCTCCTTTATACATTATTTGCCTCTTTTCTCTTGTTGCTCATAGTATAATCTCTTTCTTACTGACTTTTGAGAATTAATTATTGTAGTACTTGGGGTATTCTTATTTGGGATCAATCTGTTTGGAGTTTTTGCTGACCTTCCTTTACCTGGGTATTTATCTCTTTCTCAAGTTTTCAAAAGTTTTCTGCTATAATTTGTTTGAATAAGCTTTCTCCCCATTGCTCTTGCTCAACTCGCTCTTGAACACCAATTATTCTTAGATTTAGTCTTTTGTAGTAATTTTTATGTCTTGTAGATGAGCTTTGTTCCTTTTCATTTTTTTCTCTTCAGTGTATTTTCAAATAGCCTGTCTTCAAGTTCACTGATTTTTTTCTTCTGCTTGATCTATTTTGCTGTTGGGAGCCTCTACTGAATTTTTCAGTTCGGCAATTATATTTTTCTGTTTCAAGATTTCTGTTGGACATTTTTTAACTCATTTCAATCTCTTAATTTTTTCTAATGGATTTCTGAATTGCTTTTCTTTGTTATCTGGGAGATCATGGAGATTACTTAAAACCATTATTTTGAATTCTTGGCCAGAGAGTTTACATAACACCATCTCATTAGGATGGGTCATCAGTTCTTTGCTTTGTTCATTTGAGAAGGTCATACTTTCCTGTTTGCTGTTGTTTCTGTGAATGTATATCTATGTCTTTCGGTTGAATGATTCTTTATTTGTTTAAGCCTTTTTTGTTGGCTTGTTTTCTTTTTCTCTTGAATATGTTTGCTTAGAAATTCTTTGTGTTTACTTGTTGATTTTCTTTTTTTTTCTGCTATGATGCTGCCTCCTTTTTGTTGATATGTGGTGCCTTAAGCACAAGGTTGCCTTGGGTCTAGTAAACCATCAGAGTTCTGCCTATTTTGAATGAAGGAAGTCCTTAAGGGGATATCCTGGTAATGTAGGAAAGCTGGCTAGGGATTAGTGCCCAGAGGACCTGTGGAACAAACTTCCTATATCATGATGCTGTTGAAGAGTCACTCTGATTGGCTGTCTCCTTTGGCTGTGTTAAATTGTAGAGTTTCCAGGGCTGAGAATGATAGTCTTGCCTTCCCCCTTTTATCTTTGTTGTCTTCAGGGATATTTTTCCCTATAGGTACTCCTGAAGCTTTCTTTGGGTTGAGGCAGGGACGGATCTCTTGCCAGGGAACCCAGGATGGTGGAGAAGCTGACTGTCAACCTTGATCTCATTTTTCTAGTGTAGAAATCAAAAGTTGGGGGAAATTTTCCATGTGCTTGGTGTCAGGCAGACTGTGGGGAAGGCTATCTCACATACAGAAGTCTGATTCTCTTATTATCTGCTTGAAGTTTTCTCATTTCTTTTTGGCCTCAGGAATTGGCTCACTCATATTTGAGTTCCAGGATATTGTTGGTGAAAATTTCAGTGCTGTAAATGTGTTTTTTTGTTTGTTTGTTTTTTGATTTTTGTTTTCCCCCTACCCTCGCCTCACTCTCTCTCTTTCCTCTCTCTCTCTCTCTTTCCTCTCTCTCTCTCTCTTTCTCTCTCTCTTTCTCTTTCTGTGTGTGTGTGCATGTGCAAGGATGGGTGGAGCCAGCTTGCTTCTAAACTGACATTTTGGAAACTAATGTTTTGAGTGTTATCTGGAATTTCTTCCTTCTATCCTTTTTCTTTTAAGCTTTCTGCATTCTTAGGTTTTAAGTTCATCTCCTGAAAATAATACATAGTTGTATTGATTTTATATCTATCTTGACAATTTGTTTTAATTGGTGAGCCTTTGATTTGGAATATTATTGGACTCATCTCTGAAATCTTATTATGTGCTTTATTTTTTTCTCTCTTTATTTTTTGTACTTTATTCTTTTCCCTCTTTTTCCTCTGTCTTATATTTTCATCTCTTTTTACTTCATTGAAGGGTAGGATAGGATTTTTCTTGGTTTTCTAATCTTTTTTTTTTTTTTTTTACTGCTCTTAATGTTTACCCTTGAAACTGTATTACCAAACTTAATGAAGTTTAATATTTACATTAACATTTCCCTAACAACTCTGTAACACCTAAAGCCTTTAGTCTTATAAACTTTTAAACCTGAATGCTATTGTATGATATTTTAGCTCTGTGATTTTAAAACTGCGTGGTCAAAACCACTTTGATGTCCACAAATTTTGGACCCTCATGTTGCCCTCATAAACAGGTTATATGGCAAAGGGGGCTTTGCAGATTTCATAAACATTATAAATCAGCTGACTTTAACATAAAGAGATATGGCTGAATTATACAGGTGCACCTAATCTACTCACATGCACTCTTAAAAGCAGAGATTTTTTCTCAGGCTAGCAACAGAAGAAACAGGCAGTAAAATTCAAAGTGTGGAAAGGACTGACTGCCACAGGTAGCTTGAAGACGGAGGTGACCGTTTGGAAAGCATAACATAAAAGAACTGGATTCCCCTAGCAACCTGAAAGAAATTGAAAGCAGAATTTTCCCCAGATCCTCAAGATAAGACACCTTGTCCAAGTGACACCTTGATTTTACTCTTATTAGGCTCTGAGCAGAGGACTTGGTTGAGTCTTCCTGTGCATTGGTTTCTGATCCTTTGAAATGTAAGAAAAGAAAGTGGTAAGTTTTAAGCTTACAGTAATTTGTTATAGCAACGATAAAAAATAAATAGAAACTATATGAAGTGCAGTCTATTCTTATTATTTTCAGAGTATATATTTTTAAATTTGTCTACTTGCTAAATTTACTTGTAACCCCCAAAGCAATATTCCTAATGCTTTTGCAGTAATTCAATAACATGCATGATGTGGAAAAAGTTTGAGTCATCTCATATGAATGTTCCAAGCTAAGAGAGAACAATACTGCACTCTGCTTTTTTTTTAACAGTCATACTATAAACAAGTATCTTTCTTATGGTTTATTTACTATCATGTGTTTGGCATTTTGATGCATTTTGTTGGCATTTTTGCAGTTTAGAATGTTTCTCAAGTATAGTGCTGAAGTGCTGTCTCATGTTTCTAAGTGCAAGAAGACTGTGATGAGTTGTAGGGAGAAAAAATGAGTTAAGTTTTATTCAGGCACAAGTTATAGTTATTGTGGTGGTACGTGCAATGTTTATGGAGCAACAGTGAAGTACATACAGAAAATGGAAAAGAAAAATCACTGATCTGTGCATAGGGCCCTCCAAGAAGTGATAAAATAGCATCTAAATTATGTGATGGTACTCTGGAAAAGATTTTAAAAGCAGCTATATTTGTGGATTCATGAGATGACTACCTATAAAAAACTATAGCCAACATCACTGTTTTGAGGTTGAAATCCAAAGAAATTTAGTCATGTTACCCAGGATCAGAAGAATTTTAAATATTTCTTGGCTAGTGCTGGCTAACTCACACATTTCAAAAGGTGATATGACAAGAAAAATGTTAAGCTTGAAGGCGAGGCAGGTTCTGAAAATCTAGAGGCAATAGAATGGTTTTTAAAATACTTGCTGGCTGGGCATGGTGGCTCATGCTTGTAATCCCATCATTTTGGGAGGCCTAGGCAGGCAGATCACGAGGTCAGGAGATTGACCTTGTCTCTCCTAAAAATACAAAAATTAGCTGGGCATGGTGGTGTGGGCCTGTAATCCCAGCTACGTGGGAGGCTGAGGCAGAAGAATTGCTTGAACCAGGAAGTTGGAGGTTGCAGTGAGCCGAGATCACACCACTGCACTCCAGCCTGGTGACAGAGTGAGACCCTGTCTCAAAAAACAAAACAAAACAAAAATACTCACTACGTGTTATACAGAAGTAGTTATGTGACAAAGAGATTTTCAATATCTATGAGGCTGGCCTGTTTTACAAAGACATTGACAAACAAATCTATGTGGAACAAATGGCCCCAAAGTCCTAGCTTTAAATATTTCAAAGACTGGGGTGGCCTTGTGCCCTAAGAGAAACTTTAAGTGTAATCCTCTAATGGAGTTAAAAGCCCCAAATCCATGAGCATTTAAAGAAAAAAAATGTATTATAGCTCAGTGATGAGAAAAAGAAAACTGTGTATGGCACTCTGATATTCTGGTATATATTCCACAACTTCTTCATCCCAGAAACTGAATGCTATCTCCAAGGCAAAAACCTTGCCTTCAATATTTTATTAATATTGGATAATGTCCCAGAATATTGCTGCGAACGCAAAAAATCTACTCCAACATAGAAGCTATTTTTATACACTAAATCTCTACATCTGTCATGCCACCTCTTATTCAGGGCATTTTAAAAGCTTTTAAGGTATACTGGATAAAAACTTTGGAAAGCTTTGGAGGTGTTATGGAAAATAAAATAGTGCTAAAAATATAATGTATACTTCATGGCAAATAAGTGTAGAAGACATCAATGATGTAAAGAAAAAATTCGTGGAGAAAATTTTGGCAGACAAAGCCCTAAAACCCACCAATAAATACTTAAACAAGATGGAAAAACAAGGCATAAGTCAGAAAGGAAAAGGATGGCAATGAGAGTAACCCAAGACTCCAAGAATTGTTTATTTTATGGCAGCCAAAATACTAGAATGGAATTTTGCCTGGCAAAAGTTTTTCAATGACAAGAAGGAATGTGAACATATGCTAGAACACAGCCTCTAGTTTAAACTCGCCTCCATTGTGTTCACCTCTTACACTGAAGTGCTTAAAGATTTGAGGCAAAAGCCAAAGAAATAAGGTGGATGCAATTTTAAGCCAGTCAGGAGGGGAAAATGGCCTATGATCTCAAAAAGTTGAAAGGATCAAATTCCAGAGATTGGAATTTAAGATGTCAAATACTATCCTCATCAAACATCTCCTTCTGCAGAGTAACTTCCACCAACCTGTCCTTTGGGTTTTGGGGCAAGCCAATGTTAAGAGGTTAACCCCACAGTATCCTGCCCTGTGACATACTGTAGCTCAATTCAAAGTAAAATGTTAGTTAATGTTTTTCTAAAATGTAAATGCTTGGTTTTTATTTCAAGGGTTTCTTCAGGAATTTATTTGCACGACTGTATTATACCTTTTGTATAATATGTGTTCACAGCACTGTGTGTGTTTACTACATATGAGTACTATACAGTGCCTGCATACCGTGTGTATTTATTGTGAATACTGCATATGTTTACTGTTTGTATATGTGTGTGTCTTACCAAGTAAAAGAGTTAAAATAGTACAATCACAGTGCAGTGGAGTATGTTACAAAAAATGCTACAATTGGAAAGTTATTTTATTATAAAGATAATTACATATAATTATTTGTAAAAATAATATATCAAATAAGACATTTTAAACACGAATATGTATAAAATAATGTTATGTATTGATTAGTTGATGAATATTGTGACCAGAGGCTTTCAAAAATCTGACCCTAAATGCTTATATACAGCTAGTTGGAATGTAAATTAGCTTAGACACTGTGGAAAGTTTTGAGTTTTTGAGATTTCAGAAATTTCAAAAAACTTAAAAGATGTATTAGTCCATTTTCATACAGCTATGGAGAAATACCTGAGACTGCGTAATTTAAAAGAAAAAGAGGTTTAATGGACTCACAGTTCCACATGGCTGGGGAGGCCTCACAATCATAGCAGAAGGCGAAGGAGAAGCAAAGTCATATTGTACATGGTGGCAAGCAAGAGAGCTTGTGCAGGGAAACTGCCCTTTATACAACCATCAGATCTCATGAGACTTATTCACTATCATGAGAACAGAATAGGAAAAACCTGCATCCATGATTCAGTTAACTCCCACAGGATCCCTCCTACGACATACGGGGATTATGGGAACTACAATTCAAGATAAGATTTTGGTGGGGACAGAGACAAACCATATCATTCTTCCCCTTACCCCTCCCAAACCTCATGTCCTCACAATTCAAAACACAGTTATGCCCTTCCAACAATCCACCATCTTAACTCATTCCAGGATTAACTCAAAAGTCCATGTCCAAAGTCTCATCTGGGACAAGGCAAATCCCTTCCACCTATGAGACTCTAAATTCAAAAGCAGGTTAGTTACTTCCTAGATACAACGGAGGTACAGGCATTAGGTAAATACAGCCATTCCAACTGGGAGAACTCGGACAAAACAAAGGGGCCACAGGCCTCATGCTTATCCAAAATCCAATAGGGTAGTCATTAAACTTTAAAGTTCCAAAATGATCTCCTTTGACTCCATGTTTTACATCCAGGTCACACTGATGCAAGGAGTGGCCTCCCACAGACTTGGAAAGCTCTGCCCCTGTTGCTTTGCAGGGTACAGGTCCCCTCCCAGCTGCTTTCATGGGCTGGTATTGAGCATCTGAGGCTGTTCCAGGTGTACAGTGCAAGCTATTGGTGGATCTCCCATTCTGACGTCTGGAGGATGGTGGCCTTCTTCTCACAGCTTCACTAGGCAGTGCCCTACTAGGCAGTAGGGACTCTGTGTGGGGCTCTGACCCCATATTTCCCTTCTGCACTGCCTTAGCAGAGGTTTTCCACGAGGCTCCACCCCTGCAGCAAACTTCTTCCTGGACATTCAGGTATGTTTATACATCCTCTGAAATCTAGGTGAAGGTTCCCAAACCTAAATTCTTGACTTTTATGCACCTGCATGCTCAACATCATGTGGAAGCTGGCAAGCTCTGGGGCTTGTACCCTCTAAGGCCACTGGTTAAAAGGGGCCAAGATCTGAAGTGTACCCTGGCCCCTTTTAGCCATGGCTGGAGCAGCTGGGATGCAGGGTACCAAGTCTTTAGGCTGCACATAGCTGAGGAAACTTGGGCTCAGCCCTCAAAACCATTTTTTCCTCCTAGGCCTCCAGGCCTCCAGGAGGGGCTGCTGTGAAGGTCTCTGACATGCCCTGGAGACATTTTTCCCATTGTTTTAGTGATAAACAATCAGTTCCTTGTTACTTTCTGCAGCAGGCTTGAATTTCTCCCCAGAAAATAGGTTTCTCTTTTCTATTGCATCATTAGACTGCATATTTCCCAAACTTCTATTCTCTTCTTCCTCTGGAACATTTTGCTGCTTATAAATTTCTTCCCTCGGCCACCATAAATCATTTTTCTCAAGTTCAAAATTCCACAGAAGTCTAGGGCAGGGGAAAAATGCCGACAGTCTCTTTGCTAAAGAATAACAAGTGTCACC
Organism: Homo sapiens; assembly: GCF_000001405.40. Lineage (NCBI taxonomy): Eukaryota > Metazoa > Chordata > Mammalia > Primates > Hominidae > Homo > Homo sapiens. The sequence goes on along the minus strand of NC_000004.12, from coordinate 167,952,640 downwards.
TTTGCTTCAGTTCCCAATAAGTTCCTCATCTTCACCTGAGACCACCTCAGACTGGCCTTTATTGTCCATGTCACTATCACCATTTTGGTCAAAGCCTGTCAACAAGTCTCTATGAAGTTCAAAACTTTGCCACATCTTTCTGTCTTCTGAGTCCTCCAAGTCTCTAGGAAGTTTCAAACTTTTCCACATTTTCCTATCTTCTTCTGGGCCCTCCAAACTGTTCCAAAGTTGGTTAGAACCTCTGCCTGTTACCCAGTTCCAAACTCACTTCTACATTTTTTGGTATCCTTAAAGCAGCAACACTCTACCAGTACCAGTTTGCTGAATTAGTCCATTTTCATACTGCTATGAAGAAACACCTGAGATGGGGTAATTTAAAAAGAAAAAGACATTTAATGGACTCACAGTTCCACATGTCTGGGGAGGCCTCACAATCACTGCAGAAGGCAAAGAAGGAGCAAAGGCACATCTTACATGGTGGCAGGCAAGAGAGCATGTGCAGGGGAACTGCCCTTTATAAAACCATCAGCTCTCGTAAGATGTATTCATTATCATGAGAACAGTATGAGAAAAACCTGCCTCCATGATTCAACTATGTCCCACCAGGTCCCTCCCACAACGTGTGGGGATTATAGGAGCTACAATTCAAGATGATATTTGGGTGGAGACACAGCCAATCCATATCAAAAGAGAACTATCATTTGACCCAGCAATCCCATTACTGGGTATGTACCCAAAGAAATATAAATCCTACCGTAAAGATACATGAATGCCTCTGTTTATTGCAGCACTATTCGCAATAGCAAACACATAGAATCAACCTAGATGTTCATCAATGGTGGGCTGGATAAAGAAAATGTGGTACATATACACTTTGAAATACTACCCAGACATAAAAAAGAATGAGATCATGGCCTTTGTAGAAACATGAATGGAGCTGGAGGCCATTATCCTGAGTGAATTAATTCAGAAACTGAAAACCATAACTGTGTGTTCTCACTTATAAGTGGGAGCTAGACATTGAGTACACACGGACACAAAGAATGGAACAACAGCACCACATCTTACCTGAGGGTGGAGGATGGGAGGAGCATGAAGACTGAAAAACTGCCTATTGAGTATTATGCTGATTACTTGGGTGACAAAATTGTACACCAAACCCCTGTGACATGCAATTTACCCATGCAACAAACCAGTCCATGTACCCCTTTAAGATAAAATAAAATTTGGAAGGAGTAAAAAAAGAAACTGACCCTATATTTTCCCTTAGAACAATGATTCAGTTTCCAGTATGTTAGTGTTCATGGTGACTTTACAGACTATAATTACCTAGAATAATAATAATCTAAGGCATTATTATTTTATTATAATTACTATTATTTTATAAACATGTTTATATTTACCTTGAGGCTTACCAATTTATTTGTTCAATTTTCCCTCTTCTATTGCAGACTCTGTGTGTGAGTGTGTATGTATGTGTGTTTTCTCTTATTGAAGTACGTAGGAATTATTTTGGTGAATCTCTGTTGGTGATATATTTTCTCAGTTTTGTTTACAAAAAAGTTCTTATATCATGTTTATTTAGAAAAAAATTATTTTTCTGGGTATATAATTCTGCCTTGAGAGTTATTCTCTTCTAGAACTTTGAAGATATTCTCCCACTTTCCTCTAAACTTTGATATTGTGGTTAAGATCTTTACCCTTAGTCTAATGGTTGTAGCTTGTACATTGTAGGTAATCTGACTTTTCTTCCTGACTGAATTTAAGAATTTTTTTTATATCCTGTGGTTCTGATATAACCATTCTGTAGTTATGATATTCTACAACAGATTTAGTTATGAAATTTCCCTCTGGATTGCGTTTCCTGTGTCTGCACATTCATGTCCTTTTCAGCTAGTATCTCTTCTTCTCTTAGTCTCATTTTCTTCTGTTTCTTAACTATTCTTTTGTATTTTTGATGCCTCTGAGACTCATTCGAAGTACTTTCTTCATATATATCCTCTGAGTACTGATTCTTGTTTTGTGGTGTTTAGCTTGTTTTCTAGCAAATCTGTTGCATTTTTATTTCAATGAGTATACTTTTTATTTCTCAAAATGGAATATGGTTCATTTTCAAATATGCCAAGTCATTTTTATACCTATGTCTTGCGGTCTTATTTTCCTGATTTCATGGTTTTTTTAAAAAATATTTCAGATTAAGCAATGTAAAACCCACATATAATAAACTTAATATCAGAAGTTTTGAAGAAAACCTACCTTTTTTTCGTCTGTTTATTTGATAAGCTTTTATTGTGACCTGATATTTGGGTTAATTCAATTTGTATCAAATCTGAGGGCCTAAATTTGGAATTTTTTTTGAAGGAAGATTTGCAATTGCTGTTTGTGAGTTAAAATGATACCAACCTGCCTGGGAATATTTCAGGCTTTTTAATAATCCTGGCTTAATGCAAAACTTTTGAATGTACACACGTTTTTGTCCACTCATTCTAAGCAAATGTGGCCATTTGCCCCATTGAAATCTTGATTGTTGTTTGCTAATATATCACAATATGTTATCTGCTTTCTGTAATAATTTTTAAGGTAGATATTCCTTTATGTAGAAATAGCAAAGCATTAAAATGTATGTCTGTCTTACATTTTAATTTCTTTGATATCTTATTATTGTGATTAGTAGTTATTTCAGAATATTAATTGTGTCAGACTACTGGTTGAGAAGAAAATAATAACTACTGGTCACCTAAAATTCCTTGACACATTACTAAGAACCATACAAAGCATATAAAAATTTGCTTGAAATGTATGTACATGACATTTTTATTGAAGTAAAATATGCATGTGTATGTGCTTATGCAAAATCGCATACATACATACATTTAAAACAAATCTTGAAAGTTCAACCTGATAAATTTTACATATTTATATGCCGTTATAACTGTTAAGAATACACCACATCTTTGGCATCCTGGAAGGCTTTCCTGGGCCCTCTTTCAGTCAATAACTCCAATGGTAACCACTGTTTTGACCTCTCACCAAAGGTTACTTTTGCCTGTCTTTTAAATGCTTTCAAGCTAAATTTTAAAGTATTTACTATTTGGGTCTGGAATTTGTGGGAGTCCATATCACGTTTGTGAAATTTATTACTGTGTGGCATACTTCAATGATTTGTTCTTCTTCATCACTGTATGATATTTTATTTTATGTATGGATGTGTGGGTTGTTTTCTGTTTTTAGTTGTTGTGAATGATACTGCTAAAAACAGTCCTATGTTTGTCTTTTGGCTTAAATATATGTTAGTTAATGTTGGGTATATATTTAAACATAGAACCACTGGGTGATGTGTGTGCTTTATGTTCAGATGTATTAGCAGCTGCTAAGATTATTGAAATGATTTTATTAACCTAGATTACATGAGAAAATGTAGATGCTCCGTATCTTTTATAAATCTTGAGGTTGGTTTTTTTTGTATGGCTTTTTTTGCCATTTGTGTGAGTGCAGTAGAATCTACTTGTGGTTTTAGTGAGCATTTTTCATTGACTAGAGATGATTTCATTGTCTTATTTATATCTAGATACTCTCTTCTTTGCAGTACCTGTTCAAATATTTTGGTCACTTTCTTCAATTGGATTGCTCGGGATTTTAAAACTGATGTGTAGAGTTTCCTTATATATTTTGAAAATGGTTCTTTGTAGCTTCTTTTTGGAGGAGAAAAAAAAATAAAACAGTGAAGTAAAGAAGCTGTAAGATGAAGAAACGTTTACACTTACCGGTCTATATCAGTGTAGACCCAAGGCCAAAATGTATAAGGAACATTTATGATAGTTGCTGCTTATCTATTTCTTCCTGTTAATCCAAACTCCAGGAGGTTCTGAGAGCTGGAACATGTGCAATGTATACATGATGAAGTAAAGTAAAACCCCAGATTCTGAAGGTAAGTTAGTACAGAATCTGTGTTAAAGTGCTGCTTACATTGCTCTAGTTATTTTCCGTTTGTGAACAATACTTCCAAATGCTTCGCATCACAAAAGATTTTATATGTACATGAAATTTAGGAGAGTCCTAAAAATTCATGCCCCTATTGAATGGGGATTCAATTGGTACGGTTCCCCAACCTGATAATTAAAAGAGTTCTAAAAGTAGAAACTAATTGAATTTCAATTTACTTCTCTTTCTGCATCAACAGCATGATTTTAGAGACTTTTTAAAAATAGCTATTTATGTTCAAATATTTCATTGTAGCATGACATTAATGATCTTGTAAGTAGGCTAATTGTCGATTCCATGGCAGACCTCCTTTGGAGATACTTCTGTTCAATGCTTAGAGCCAGTAGAATAGGTTTAGTTCAAAAGTCCACCCTGGTATTTGTGAGATGCTTTACTTTCTTAAATTCACAGGAGTTAGAAACAAACTTTATATGCAAGTACAGACTGCTTGAAACTACAAGATATTTTTATATCTTTATATTACCTGGGAAATTGTTTTTGGGGTTCTTATAAATTTTGCAATTTTGCAAATCACATAACACTTCCTTCTCTGTGTTCTCCCATCCAAATATGTAATGGTGACTTTAATAATTTATCCCCATTCAATGCTGAATACAACTTCAGGATGTTCACGTACTTGAGATACTCATCCATGGAGTCATGAATTCAGAAACTAGTCCAGAATATAAGAAGGCTGCCTATTATAAGGCTTTACACAAGGACTTCATTGTGAGTATTCATTTACTTGAATGTTTCACCAGAAGATAGGCGTGAGAAGGAGGAACTGTGGCACTGGGAAAGGGAGGTAGAGGCAACTGTGTATTGAGTATTGACAAGACACCACAGTGACATTTCTAAAGCCTTGTTCTATCATCAACGTAAAATCCATATACTTTCAATTGCTGGAAATGTAAACCTGATGAACTCCTTCAAAGTCATAGTCTCTACACGTTTACAGTGTTATCAGCTTCAGGAACTCAATTCTATACAAGCATTTCACTTGTTTCGGAAATGCACCATAAAGACTTTTTCCTCATCATTTGGAGGAGAAAACAATGAACCAAATACATAGATAAAGAGAAAAAATATATATTCCTAGAATTTTTCTTCCAGAAATTAATAAAGAAGCATTAAAATTTCTGGAGAAAATCTATTCTCATGGGTTACATGGCTGAATTGGTTGGAAATTTGCTATTATATAATCTAGGGATTTATTTGGATTTTGAAACTGCCCTTGACAATAAACTCTATATTCTAGATATTTTCTAAAATATGATAGAAATTTATTTTTACTCTGCCTATGCAAGCCTTTTAGCAATGAAAATGTCAAATAAAATTTAAATTAAGCAAATTATTCTTTTCATTATCATATTAGATTATATTTTTCCTTGAAGCTTCTTAATCTGCATTTGTTATTGATGTGTTTGGTACTATAATTCTCTTTTTTTCTGTCTGCCTGCATATGTCTTATATATGTATATGTGTGTGTATATGTAAAATATCAAACTATTAAACCTGGGCAAACAGGTATTTTTGATTATTTAAATATAAACCAATCAGAAACATAGAAATTAAATTTCAAGTACACGATCTTAAAAATACAAAATAATTTAGAGAAATCATTTTGTTGTGCTATGTATCAAAATTTTTAAATATTTGAGATGTTTAATAAGTACTGTCCATATTTAAAGAAGATTCTATGTTAATATATAACATTTAATGGAATAAGGCTCCTAATTAGAATATTGTCCCCCCAAAAGTCATGTTCACTCAGAACCTGCAAATGTGGTCTTAATTGGACATAGCTTCTCTGCAGATGTTATCAAGTTAAGATGAGTTCATACTAGATTATGGTGGGCCCTAGGCCAATGACTGATGTTCTTAAAAGAGAAATTTGGACATCGATTCAGGCAGAGGGACGATGGCTATGTAAAGATGAAGGCAGAGATTGGGGGGATGCTGCCACAAGCCAACAATACCAACCACCAGAAGCTAGAAGAGACAAGAGAGAATTTTTCTCTGGGGACTTTGGAGGAAATACAGCCCTGTTGACACTTTCATTGTGGACCTCTAGCCTCCAGAACTGTGAGATAATACATTTCTGTTGTCTTATGCCACCCATTTGGTGAGACTGTTATGGCAGCCTTAGGGAATGAATTCAGATTCCCATTGCTCCTAGATAAAGTCCAAACTTCTTTCTATGGCCTGTAAGATATTTTCTGCTCAGGCACTACTTCAGTCTTCAGCCTGTTTTGTCTTCTTGTCTTACTCTTTCTTCAAAGTTAATTGAACAATGTTATTATTATTAATTTTGTTATAAAATAAAATTGTGTATGTTCTAATTTATACACAAATTTCTATTTTCATGTTAAAAACCATTCGCCAAGAAAATACTGCCAAGTCCCTAGGTTCAAACATGGCTAGTATAGACAAGTTTTCACAGTTGGAATTTTAAGGCATGATATCAATAGCAATGATTTATTGAAAGCCATCACTGCATCATTGCTGAATCATGTTTAAGTTTGTAATGATTTTTGGGAGTAGAAATGGAAAATGTAATATTAATACACTCATCTGTAAAAGCTCATTGTGATGGTTAATATTATGTGTCGAGTGAGTCAAGGGATACCCAGATAGCTGGTAAAACATGCCTGCGTATGTCTGTGGAGGTCTTTCTGGAAGTGATTAGCATTTGAATCAGTAGACTGAGTGATATGGTTTGTATCTGTGTCCCTGCCCAAATCTCATGTTTAATTGTAGTCCTCAATGTTGGAGGTAGGGCCTGGTGGGAGGTGATTAGATCTCGGTGTTGGTTTCTCATGGTTTAACACCATCCCCCTTGGTCCTGTCATCATGATAGTGAATGAGTTCTCGTGAGGTCTGATTTTCTTAAAGTGTGCAGCACCTTCCCCCTCTCTCTTACTCCTGCTCTGTCGATGTAGGACATGCTTGGTTCTCCTTCACCTTCTCTCATGATTGTAAGTTTCCTGAGACCTCCCAAGAAGCAGAAGCCACCATGCTTCCTATACTGCCTGCAGAACCATGAGCCAATTAATTCTCTCTTCTTCATAAATTAACCACTTACAGGTATTTCTTTACAGCAGTGCAAAAATGGACCAATGTGGGTGGGCATCATCCAACCCACTGAGGGCCAAATAGAACAAAAACATAAAGGGAAAGCAAATTACTACCCTCCTTGAGCTGAAACACCCATCTTCTCCTGCCCTTGGACAAGTGTGGGGAAAGGGTAAGAGTGAGCAGTAAAAGGACTCAAATTGCAGTAGAGAATTAGAATCATCAATGCAATCTGCCCTGATTTCTGCTTATAATCTAAATGAAGAAGGACAAACATTTTCATAATACAGACACATGACAGAAAAAGAAATTATCAGTTGAAATTTGGTGCAAGACACATGGGTCAGTGGGTGATTGTGGAGAGAGCACTGTGGGCTTCTTCTGCCTCTATAACTCTAGGAACCATAGGCAAATGATCAGCCTGTTATGTCAGACATCTCAATAAAACTTGTTTCTGAGGCAGAAAGGAGCCTAGTTAGTTATATAACATTTTTTCAACTGCTATCATTTTAAAGTTAGCAAGAAAAGAAAAGATTCTAAAATCCCCTTCAATATGCCACTTAAAACTCACTACCATTATTAAATAGGCTGCATCTTTCTGTATTCAGAATTTCTGGGTGGCCTGTTATGGTGATGTCAGGCACAGAAATAATTAATCACTGAGGCCTGAAAGCATACAGAAATGTGATTACATCTAAGTCAGCATGTGTAGCTCAAAATCAGCTACAGTGTCCAAATAGATACTACTGTAAGAGCAAATTACACTTAGAAAAATTAGATAACTAACGGGCAGGACCATTTTCTCAAAGAAAGGGGCTGTGAACTCCCATCATCACTTTGTTTATCGTGGGGACACTGGTGGCAGAATCAGATGGCCTAAGTTCTTGTCATAGCTGTAACAGTTAATCTTCTGACTGTTATAAAGTTTTGTTTTTAGCTTTGCTGATCCCATTTTCACAGCTGTAAAATAGGTATAGTTACAATTTACAAAGTTGTTAAGAAATCACTTGATATGTTAGTGAAAGGATTTTACCCAATGTAAACTATTCACCATGATATTAGTTGGTATTTCAACTTGAAAGACAGATACAGTTTCCAAATTCTGTCAATTTACTTTATAGAAAGGGTGACACAGAATTAAGTAACATATGATGCACCTGATGGCAATATGCCTTAAGGATTTTTGAGCTTCATTTAGGAGCTTCAGGTTCCTGCTTCTTATTTATTCCTTGTCGACAGAGTGCATTACTAATGCCAAATAGTGACATAATTTAAATGACTCAAGTTTCAGGAGCACTGAGAGAGAGAATTTGAAATTCATGTTGCCCAATTCTCTACATTTCCCATTGACATTCATTTGTTTGAAGGTTTTCAATTTTTGCAATTTCTAAAATAATAATGGTCTGAACTGTAGGAAAGGCTTACAGAGGTTGACATGTGAGACAGTGTGTGTCTCACTGTGAGGCCACTCAAACGCTGATGAGTTGCTATTGCAAATTTGCCTTGAGTTAATCTGTCTCTATTCTTTGTTCCCATCATGTTTTCTCTGTGACCAATGTTAAGTAACAAATGCAAATTTCACTTTCGAATTGAATGAATGATCTATATCTACTTTAAGAGTGAGAGAAAGGGTAATTTTTACATGTAAACATTCTGTAGGATAATAAATACAAAAATATTGCTGTAAAGAGGGGTGATTTGAAGGTCAAGAAGGCTTAATTTATAAGAAAATCCAGGATCAGGTCCTTAGTAAAAGTAAACTGTAAAGTGAGGACCTGTGTTTTATATGTCATAAACTAAAGCTTATCGTTGGCAGGAAAACAACTGTACAATGATACCTCATTTTAACTAGATTCAATGTGTGAAGCAAGGCTGCTATTCACTTCTTGGATGAATGTTTGTTTCACCCATGATGAGGATGAAACCTGCTGATACATCACCAAAAAATGGAAGATTTTTTTTTTTAAGCAAGCAAAGCAGAAAACAGCAGGAAGGAAATTCAGTGCAGAATAAAATCATATAAGAATCTTGTTTGATGCTACAGAAAAGTAATTGGATTTGTGAATACCGGGCAAACAGCTCAATGAAAATGAAATGATATGCTGATGTGCTGACATTTGAGCTGGTCTTATAGAAACGAGAAAAAAATAAGCCTTAAATTTGAACCATGGAAATTTTTCTTCCCCTTTTATGACTTCTTGCATAGGGATATCAATTTCATATAAATTAGTTGAAAAAGGGGTCTGAAATATATTCTTATATGCATAATTTTTTAAAATTTGAATATAATCTTAAAACATTTGAATATGTTAAATAGATAATAGAATATCAAGGGGGAAAGAGTATTCATTTATTAGAATTGTTAATAATTTAGTATGTTTTTAAAACGTGAGAGCCAAATTCAAACTAAAATAAGAATCTCGGTTAACAAGATATATTTGCTATTGTCATGATAACTGCAACCTAAGTCAAATAAACTAATCTTAGAAATAAATAGCTTTTATGTGGAAGTTGCTGAAAGCCTCTAGCAGTACAGCTGGGGCACATCTGTGTTATTCCAGCAATACTCAGTGGTTAAAAGTTATGCATTTATACATAATACATGCCTTTGATTCACATCTATATTACCAATGGCTAGCCTGTTTCCATTGCACCTCATTCCACAAAATGTATGCAATTCTCTAAGAATGCATTGGGAAGTGGCAATTCTAGGTAGCTTTTTATATGAATGTAATTTTGATCAAAATATTTAGCAGTTGCTCTAAAATAATGCTCTTTATTATGTTCTCTATCATAGATTTGATATCAAAGTGTAAAGGGGATCGGTACAGCAGTAAACCCTGCAGGATACAGGACATCAGTCAGGTGCAGGTAGGAGGACAAACTCCTGGCCATGAAGGGTTACCGTGTTCTGGCCATGCACGATAACTGAGTTCATTGTACACAAAGACTATGCTGTGGATTCATTGTCCCTTAAATTCGGTCTACACTGTAGTGTGTTGTAGAAGAGATACTTAAGCACTGAACTCCTTCCTCTTCTAATAATTCTATACGATGAGATACATTTAAAATATTCTGCAGAGTTAAGTTTAAAACGGACACTACATAGCTTTAAAGAAGAGAAGGAGGTAAACTGTAGGATTGCCTGTCAATTGGGAAGAGTATGAAAGGAAGTGGTATAATTTCCCATACTTTTGCTTTGGCAGTAGAGTTTATGCTTTAGGTAAATATGTAAGTGATTTCATATTATCTGTGTAATTTTATTATTCACAAATAGGTGACATAGCAATGGAAACAAATGGTTTCATCTTGTTAGAGTACATATTTTGAAGCATAAATTGATGAGATTTGAAGTTGAGGAGGTGGGCAGGGGTCAAATAACAGAAGGCTTTATGTTCTATGTTCAGTAGCTTGAAAGTTATTCTATACATATGGAATATAGATATGGGTTGGATGGCCAGCAAAGCATCTTAGAGAATATGTTCAGGTTTCTGTTTCATTTTGTTTGTTTATTTATTTATTTATTTTTGAGACAGAGTCTTGCTGGATGGAGTGCAGTAGCACCATCTCGGCTCACTGCAACCTCTGCCTCCCAGGTTCAAGCAATTCTCATGCCTCACCCTCCCGAGTAGCTGGGATTACAGGTGCCCACCACCATGCCCGTCTAATTTTTGTGCTTTTAGTAGAGACGGGGTTTCGCTGTGTTGGCCAGGCTGGTCTCAAACCCCTAAGCTCAAGTGATCTGCTCGCCTTGGCCTCCCAAAGTGCTGGGATTACAGTCGTGAGACTTGTGCCCAGCCAGAGTTTCTGTTTTAAGAAGAGCTCTCTGTCTACAGAATAAAGGATGAATTCCACGGGCATGTGAGGTAGGGAGTCAGAGCAGAAGAAAGCAGACTATTAGGTGGTTAGTACAAGAATCCTGGAAAGAGACACTGTCAAACTGGACACACTATCCTGTTTCAGTTTATTGGTATAAAAATCCTTCCTTCAGCTCCTGTGACAAGTGGAGTGACCCCTTAGGAGTTCCCTAGACTTTTGCAAACAGTTCAATGCTGATATTATTCAAATTAGAAAAAAAAAAAAAAACCTTAGTAAAACAATTTTAAGCTCTTTAAACCTCTTTAGTGGAGTTTTACTTCACTTAGGCAGAGATCATCTACTGAATTCCTACTATGTCCAGGTACAAATCTGTGTCCTAAGAATATAGGAGAGAGCAGCAGGGCGCGGTGGCTCATGCCTGTAATCCCAGCACTTTACGAGGCTGAGGCAGGCGGATCACAAGGTCTGGAGATCAAGACTATCCTGGCTAACACGGTGAAACCCCGTCTCTACTAAAAATACAAAAAAATTAGCTGGGCGTGGTGGTGGGCACCTGTAATCCCAGCTACTCAGGAGGCTGAGGCAGGAGAATCGCTTGAACCCGGGAGGTGGAAGCTGTAGTGAGCTGAGATCGTGCCACTGCACTCCAGCCTGGGTGACAGAGCGAGACTCCGTCTAAAAAAAAAAAAAAAAAGAATATAGGAGAGAACAAGATTAATATGATCCCTGTACCTGCCAGATGTATAATCTAAAGGTTGGTGTATAGAGAAACACTGACGGAAGTAGAATATGATGCAATGGCCGTTGTGTAGGGGCAGCGCACAAATACAGTTCATGTGATCATATGTGTATGTGGGGGAGGGGCATACACATCTTACTCAATTTAAAGAATCAGGAAAAGATTCCGGAAGAAGGTCTGAAACGAAGGAGGACGTAGGGATGGTGGATGGGGAAGAAAAAGTTCAGGCAGAGGAAAGAGCAGGTACCGAAAGCTTAGCCAGGAGCCTGAAATTAGTCCAGCCTGGCCGGGCCAGGGAGTGGTTCAGTAGGGAGGATCCAGAGATGAGGATCATTGTACTCTGCGTGTTTATTGTTATTCCAAGAAGAACACAAGTTCCTTCAGGGTAGAGGCCATGTAATTGTTATAATTTGTCCTTCCCTATACTCTTTAATATTCAATGTATGCACCAGTTAGGGAGTGCAGCCGAGGTATTCTCAGTGGCCAAAATGTTACTGTTTTTGGTGAGTAGTTCCTGTTCTTGGCAGGGAGGTTAGGAGGCCCTCAGGAATATTTGCTGGCAAGAAACTAGGGTACTCACAGCATTTGCTCATTTCTAATGCTGTAGACTTCTTTTATATGAATAAGCACTTGGCTGTTCCCTCTGAGAACATTGCTTCATGGCTTCCCAAACTACAGTAACTAGAACATTGATGGCATTGCCTTTGCTTGGACGGGTTTTCTAGTACTTTGAACTCGGTGACTTTATGTAATGAATGCACTTTTTCACCCCCAAATAGAAGTTTCCCTTGAGATCCTGTACATGCTGGTCTCCCCTCTCTTTTTCATAGCAGGGCTGCCCTGCCTGCTACTTATCAGAAGGTCTGAAAAGGAGGTTTAATTTCCAAACTATCCAAGGGAGCTCTTGGCGGGGTGTGGGGCGGGGTGGTGTCATTCACTGCATCGCTGACTTCTAGACCAGCACAAATTGAATTCCATGCATGCGTGCTTATCTGTCTTCGACAGCCCTTGGAGTCTCGCCTCTCCCTGTGTGGATGGAGAGGCTGCTGTCATGCCCAGCCCCCTCACTTAATGTCTCTTCATCTCTCCCCTTTTCTCTACCACAACCACTGCTTCATCTAGGGCTTTCTGCAGCGTTGACTTCCCACCCCTGCTGACTGCAGCCTTCTTTAGCAAATGCCAAATGTCCTAAAATGTCTATGGGACAGTCTCCAGATAAGCATCATTTCTGTGCTCTGAATATAACATATCTAAGTTTGAGTGTAGCCTGTGCCCAAAGATCTCTGAGGGTTTCCTGCACCTAATCAGAAAGTGCAAAATGCAAAATTAAACTAGGAAGAAATAATATGTCAACAAAATCTTCAATTTTAAGGACATAAAATAAATACGTCTCTTTAGAAGAGAATTAAAAGTGAAACTTTTTTAAAAAGCACAACCTGCCTGCTTTTTGAAAGAGTAAGGAATTTCTTGGAGAATCTGTGACATTCATTGTTTAAAAAAATAAAACCAGAGTCCATTGTCTTCTGAAAGTGAGAACCACAGTATGAGTGAGATACAAAGCTAATGAGCATATTGACAGGTGGCAATCTTGAGGTGGAAGGCAGGAAGCCACAGAGAGCTGGCAGGACATTCCCGGTGGAACTTATTGCTTATAAGTTAGTTTGTCTGTTGATCAGGAGCTTTTCCTCCTTACATTTTTCTAGTTCTCTGTAGGATAGTTACTGAGGATACAGAAATTGTGAAGTAAGAGTGAATATCCCAAGGATATGTGCCCAATAAGGGATTTCTCTCAAAAGTAAGGTAGTCCTCTCATTAATTGTTTGGCCAGGAGATAAATGACAAAGACATAGATATATGTTATAATATGAAAAATATATTGCCATATAGCATGTTGGATCAGGTGGAATGCCTGGTATGCTCTCAAAATGTATAGAAAAGAGGAGTAGATGCCCTCAGAGAATACCCATTCTTAAACTCAGACTAAACAATTTCTCAGTGCTCCACTAGCTATATTTCTATAAAGAATAATGCACTCCATGCCCATACAAAACCTGCTACTTGAATCTGTTTTCACCCACATTCATGAAACTATGCGCCACGGCAGTTCTTGCCAAGGATTTTTACTAGGAATCTAAGAAAGAACTCAGGAGTGCTGTTTGACTTCTACATGACAGTACTTTTGATTTTCCTTTGGTGGCAAATTTTGCTCCTGCTGACAGCAAGAATAATTGCTGCACACAGAGTTTAACTCTATTTTCTTGCTCAATTTTTACAGTGTAAGCAATCTTGGACAACGAAGTTTTTTTAGATCAAATCCTGCTCTGGGAAGAGAAAAATCAACTTGCATTCTGATGTACAAATCTACAGCAGCTTACTGGGTCACTATGGAAAGGGTACTTACCTTGACAGCAAATAATAAATTAATTTCTAATTAAAAGAGGTGATTTTTTTGTATTTCAAAGCATTCTCAGTTATTTTGGCATTTGCACCTATTGTCTTACACTCCCTACAGACTATTGTATATAATTTACTGCACTTTTCCTCCATTTGTCATTTCTATTTAATAATAATAGCATCGTAGACAATAACTTTAGCATTAATGCATTTTATTATCTAACTTTATGGATATGATCTGTTTCACCTGTTTGGGATCTGTAAGAAAGGTTACTACTCTTTCAATCTTCAAAATATATGCAATAGGATTCTGAGTCCCCAGCAAATCGATTCTTCTTTGGGGTTCCCTCCCAAATGATTACTGGGAACTCAAGAAAAGTAAACACTTTGATGAATTACTGCAGTTTTTTTTTTTTAATATGCTGTCTCCTGTTGGGAGACTAGCAGTTTCTCAAGTTGTCCAAATACTGGCCTCTGACAGAAGGCTACTGTTCTCGAACCCTCCCAAGATAACTCCTGTGGCCACTGATATTCCTTTCTGCCTTGTTGTTTAGTTGGAAAGAAAGCTTTTTTATTTTATTTTTTCAGAGGTACTGATATGGAAACTTCTGGGGATGGCAGAGACCAGTTGTCTGATGCAAAGCTGTTTGCCAGAGCGAGGGATCTGCATTATTTCTTCCTGTAGATAAAAAAGAAACTCTACTTTCCAATGCCATTCTTTTCTGGGTAGAACCACCTGTTAAAATCTTGGTGTTAGGGTTGAAGGACTCTGAATACTGACAAAATCCTTCACTACTCACATTCTGCTGTATGACAAACACGTCCGAATAACTGGCAGACTCAACATCTCCTACTTGCCCTTTCTGGTCCAACAATAAAATTATAAATAATCAGGGGGTTATTTACCAGATCTCGACCATCCATTCTTAATTATGATCAATTTGTTCCAATAATGATCATGATAATTTGTTTTGAAGATAAGTATTAATTATTAATTTTGCTACACTGTACATTTTGAAGAACTAATAAAATTAAGACTTTTACTGATTTATTTAAGGTCACCAAAAACATAAAAGATAAAAACAAATATTCTTTAGGTTATTACTTTTGGTAATTGTACTTTTTTTTTTTTCTGAGATGGAGTCTTGCTCTGTCTCCCAGGCTGGAGTGCAGTGGTGTGATCTCGGCTCACTGCAATCTCTGCCTCCCAGGTCCAAGCGATTCTCCTACTGCAGCCTCCTGACTAGCTGAGATTACAGGTGCCCGCTACCATGCCCAGCTAATTTTTGTATTTTTAGTAGATACAAGGTTTCCCCATATTGGCCATGCTGGTCTCAAACTCCTGACCTCTGGTGATCCACCCACCTTGGCCTCCCACAGTGCTGGGATTACAGACGTGAGCCACAGCACCCGGCAGGTAATTGCACTTTGAGTTTACAATTTTAACATTGCTCTAGAGTTCTTATTCTTATTTTTAACTCCCTGAAAACATTTAGAATATTTAAAACACATTATATTTTGTTATCAAAATCTAAATGACAAGCCGAGCATAAACTACAAAATATTTCAAGTAATAGTTCAGTAAAATAGAAAATGGAGTTGAGAAACAGCAGCAAAATATATGTTTATGTCAACTCAAGTTCGAAATGTTGGTGGTCTTAGCAATAGGCGACCACGTTCATTGTGTCATTTTTCTGATACCTATGGAAGACCTCATGTGAAGATTGATTACAAAAATGGCCCTGATTCTTCATACCTCTGTGAGTATGCACCCTTTGCAGTACGACTTTGCAGTTTTTCCCATCAGTAGGTGGAGTATAATCGTCTACCCCTTCAATCTGTTCTGACATCACAACTGCCTTTTGCTGATAGAACATGGCAGACTGTTGACATGCCAGTTCTGAGCTTAAGCCTCCAAAGACCTTTGTATTTTGACTTTTTTTCATTAAGTTCTGCCACAACCATACAAATAAGCTCTGAATGGCATTAGTTGTGTGGCCCCATTGCCACCACTGCCCCAACTGCCAGCCATCCATCCAAAAGACATGTGAGTGTGGCTTTTCATGACCAACCAGACTCCAGCCAATCTGCCTGGTGACCACAGGCATATAACAGACCCAAAATGAGACCAGAAGAATGTGGTAAATATAAGCATCCAGCTGATGCATAAACATGTGAGAAATAATAACTAGTTGTGTTAAGTCGCTTTCTTTGGATAGTCTGTTACAGAGTGATAGATAAATGATAGAAATTGGTACCTGAAACAGGAATGGTTATAATAAAATCGTTGGACTAGGGAGCTGGTAAAGGCTGGAAAATTGAACAAGGACATGGTGAAGAAATTGCTCTTGGAGGCTAGAAAAATGAAAACCCATATATTATGCAATCACAAAATAGATGGCAAAACAATTGCATATAGTAACCAGGAATATGGAAAATATAACTCATGTACTCCAGTTTTGGATTAAAAATCTCCAGAAAGAATATTGAAAGTACCAGCTGGTTGATACCAGCCATATATGATAAGGCACGGGGAAAGAGAATAGACTTTTTCAAGAGCTGGGAAATTTGCAAGTAAAATTTAGAGGAGATAAAGTGGGACCAGGCCTTGTCTGGTTGGAAAATAAAACTGTTTCTCATATCTGGTAGGTAAAATATGTCAAAGTAAAATCTGAGCTCTATGGACAAAAGTCAAATCAGGAGGCTCTAAATGCTTTGTTGAGACTTAAAGAGTTTAGTTTGTGCCTATGCGTTATTTCAGTTAGCAAAGAGAAAGGACTTCTAAGAAACAGAATGGCAAGATCTCACAGTGGCCTCTTTCCAAAGTAACAGAATGTAAGTCTATAGAGGGAGAAAAATGTCTTGAAGTCAATTGTGGGTGTGGCTGTTGTTGAATTGAGTGATCGCAAATCATATCTATGAGAAGACCACAAAGGTTTGAAGGCTATATTCTCAAAAGTGCCAGCAGCCTGAACTAAAAGGGATTGAGATGGTGAAAACTGTAAAAAGTCTCAGTCCCAAATTTGTACAGGCAGGGAGAAGGCAGAGAAATCTCCTCAGTTTCCAATATGAGCTATTTCTTCATGGTAACCAAGGAGTATAATGAAAACAATAACCGGGTACCTCAGAAGGAGAAACTCAGATATACGAGCTAAGAGTACTGGAAGACAAAGTGCCTCTAATTTAGGAGCAGTTTGCACCTTCAGAGTACGGGAACTTAACAACCCTGCCCAGTGGGTTCTCAAAATACGGCAGATCAGTCACAACTGTGTACACTTCATTTTCACCCTTTTTAAATGGGATTATTTATCCCATTCTTGTGTCACAATGAATTGGCAAATAATCTGTATTTTTAGCTCAGAAGTTTTGGATCCAAGGAGTTGTCTCTAAGGGGTCACCACAAGATATGATATTGATTATGGGATCTTGGGTTTAGGGGCTATCCGAGATCTTAGTATGGAGTGTATTAGTATATTTTTCATGTGAGAATGGCAGGACAAAACCAGAGGGAGACAATAGAAAGGACTGGTTGATTATTTATAAAAATGGCCCAACTATCTACCTTATATTTCATATCCACAAATAATGTGGCTTTTCAGCCATTCTAAAATAGATTCTAGAATTGTTTTGGCTGAAAAAAAAAAAAAAAAAGGCAGAAATGAGAGGCTGCCAGTTCTAAGCCTAGGCCCCAATAGACCTTCTATCTTTCTGCCATCATTTTTGTAACCTAGCTGCCACCACCATGTGAACAAACTTGGGCTTGCCAGCTGGATGTTGAGGCATGTGGTATAGTCTCTCCATTATCCCCACTAACCATTACCCCCACTAACCAATAAGCCACCAAACCCGTGAATGAAGTTACTCTGGGACAGTCACCTGCAGCCTACTGTAACTGAGACACAGTTTCAGTCACTCACCACTTGCAGAGTTCAATTAGCAGAGTGAGGTCTGGTATAAAGAAAGTGACCTTTTATTCCAAACCTAGCTTCAGGGAAGTATTGCAGGCTTCCTACCTTCAGGGTACTGCTTCAATTTTGGAGCATAAGGCAGGGGTTTATAAAAGAGGACTTGGCATGCATGACATGCACGGGAAGGAGCAAGCAGTGGGGGTCCACGTGACTGCTTCAGTGCCCTTTCTACCGGGTGGTTGAGCAGCCACCACTGTGGGCAGAACTAGGTTGTAAAGAGGTCTTGTCTCAGATACTGTCCAGGTGGAAGAGAGTTTTGTAGCAGGCATTCCTTTGGTTGTAAATGGACTGTTGTCCCTCGAGGCAATCCCCTGGTAGAAGAGAATTCCTCTCTGGAGCTTTTAAATAAGCACCCAGTTAGAGAAGCTAGTCCTGTAGGTAGTCTGGTGAAGGGAAGGTAAAAGGTTAGACTTGCATTTCTGAAGAGCTGAGTATGAACTGGGAAGCAGTGGGAAAGAAAGCAAGAGAAAAAAATATTTAAAAATAACTCATTCTCCATCTCTTAGAAAAATGGTGGTACTCAGTTACACTACCCACAAACTGACGGTAGACACGTAAACCAACCAAGCTTAAATGTGTTGAACTTGGCCTACATCAAAACTTTCCAAGTAAACTGTAATTGCATCAACAATAATACATGGTAGATTTTTTAACTAGGTTTTGGGCTATTTTTGGTTACATAACAGTACAATTTATATACATTTATCCCCCAGGAGACGTCCTCCACCAGCTCAGTGAAGGTTGACATATTGCAGTTAAAAATCAATTTTCTGGCCAGACGCAGTGGCTCAAGCCTGTAATCCCAGCTCTTAGGGAGGCCGAGGCAGGTGGATGACGAGGTCAGGAGATCGAGACCATCCTGGCTAACACGGTGAAACCCCGTCTCTACTAAAAAATACAAAAAATTAGCCGGGCAAGGTGGCGGGCGCCTGTAGTCCCAGCTACTCGGGAGGCTGAGGTAGGAGAATGGCGTGAACCCGGGAGCTGCAGCTTGCAGTGAGCCAAGACCGCACCACTGCACTCCAGCCTGGGCGACAGAGCGAGACTCCGTCTCAAAAAAAAAAAAAAAATCAATTTTCTTGATTTATTCACTAACTTTTATTTTAAAAAAGCAAATACGTGTTTGAGGTGAAAATTAACTGATCATGTCCTTTACTCATTTGAAAAGAGAAAGGATGAGAATGGAAGAAGGAGCGGAATGAGGATCTTTGAAAAAACTGTCTGACTGACAAGAAAACTTCTTTTAGAGAGAAGTATTATAGACTGAAGGACTGAGCCCTCTGTGCTAAAATTTAAATGAAGAAAAATATTTGAAATGATATTAGGAGTTGATGGATGTTTTCTTTACAAAGCACATGTGCACTGTAGAGCTCTCAATGGGAAATTTTCCTGTTTAGGGACAGCAGTGGTCTTTTGGCAGAGCTGGGTTTAGACAATGCCCAGGAAGCAGTTTTGGAAATTTACATAACCCCGTTAGATCCACAAAAGGTATATTGTGTCTGTCCTGCCTCCATTTTCCTTTATTCTTCTCAAAGAACCTTGATTTTGTATTAAAGGAATGTTCCTCTTCTCACTGTCTGTGGGGTGTGCATGGGGCTTACTCTACTATCCTAGTTCCAAGAAAAGCACCAGATTCAAGATGAACTTCACTGAATCTTGAATCCAGCAAGGAGCTTAATTTAGATCTATTTCTTAAATTTTTAATTTTAGCATACAATTATTTTCTTTTTCTTTAAGCCTGCATGAGTTGGGTACTTGTCTCTTGCAAACAAGAGTTTGAATGACAAAGTCTTAAATTTACATTAGCGGAGGGCATTCTGCTGGGCTAAATGCTTGTATGAACCAGCAGAAAAATTGTTCAAAATTATAAGTTGCCATTACAAAAATAAAAATTTCAAGATTTTATGTTGTGAACCCCCAAAATCTGAGACACATCTCAGTTAATTTAGAAAGTTTATTTTGCTAAGGTTGGGGACATGCACCCATGACACAGCCTCAGGAGGTCCTGACGACATGTGTCCAAGGTGGTAAGAGAATAGTTTGGTTTTATACATTTTAGGGAGACATGAGACATCAATCAACATATGTAAGATGAACACTGGTTTGGTCTGGAAAGGTAGGACAACTGGAAGCAAAGGCAAGATGACTGGAAGCCCGGAGGAGGCTTCCAGGTCATAGGAAGATAAGAGACAAGTGGTGGCATTCGTTTAAGTTTCTGATTAGCCTCTCCAAAAGAGGCAATCAGATATACATTTATCTCAGTGTGCAGAGAGGTGACTTGGAATAGAACGGGAGGCAGGTTTGCTCTCAGCAGTTCCCAGCTTGACTTTTCCCTTTAGCTTATTTTTGGGCCCCAATATTTATTTTTCTTTCACAGTGTCTAGCAAAACAGCCATATCCTAGGTCTAGTAACATATTCCACTGAGAAATGGAAATAAAATAGAAGAAGAAATCATCTAGTATGTTGATGTTTTGAGACAGGAGAGGACTACTGTCTGAGTCCATTTTGTGCTGCTAAAACAGAATACCTGAGAGTGGGTAATTGATAAATAATCCCATTTAAAAAGGGTGAAAATGAAGTGTACACAGTTGTGACAGATCTGCTGCATTTTGAGAACCCACTGGGCAGGGTTGTTAAGTTCCCGTACTCTGAAGATACAAACTGCTCCTAAATTAGAGCCACTTTGATAATGGCATTCATCTACTTATGAAGGTTCTACCTCCTATTAGGCCCCACCTCCCAACACTGTTGCACTGGGGACCCAGTTTTGAACACATGCATTCTGGGGAACACATTGAAACCACAGCATTCAGCCCCAGCCCCCCAAATTCTTGTCCATTGCACACAAACAATTCCATTTCATTCCAACATTCCCAAAGTTCTCAAGTCATTCCAGCATCAACTTTAAAGTCTAATTCCAAGGTCTCATCTACATATCATATAGGCGAGACTCAACGTAGGATTTATCCTAAGACAAGTTCCCCACCAGCTATGAGTCTGTGAAATCAAAACAAATTACACACTTCCAAAGCACCATGGTGGGTCAGGCATAGGATAGACGTTCCTATTCCAAAAGGCAGAAATAGACAAGAGAAAAAGGGTAACAGGTCCCAACTAAGTCCAAAGTCCAGCAGGTAAAACATTACATTTTCAGGCTTGGGAATAATCCTTGACTGCATGTTGTGCCTTCTGGGCACAATGGAGCAGAGATTGTGCCCCCAACACCTCAGGCAGCCCCAACCCTGTGGCTTTGCTGGGTTCAGTCCACACAGCAGCACTCACAGGTTGAAGTCTCATGCTTGTAGCTCTCCTAGGCTGTTGTTGTACACTGGTAGTGTTCCTGGACCAAACTGAGGGTTCGGCTGCTATTTCTCATGGCCCATAAACAAGATGCAGATGAACTGGGGAGGAAGAGAGTTTTTATTTCTGTAACTGGTTACAGGGAGAAAGCCTGGAAATTATTACCAGACAAACTCAAAATTACAAAGTTTTCCAGAGCTTATATTCCTTCTAAGCTATATGTCTATGTGTAAGCGTGCAATCATCTAAAGACATAAGTGATGAACTTATTTTACTCTATAACTAAGATCTGAGTCTTGAAGACCTTCCTCTGGAGCCTCAGTAAATTTACCTAATCTAAATGGGTCCAGGTGCTGGGGTGATTTCCCTTATCTTGTCTCCTGCTAAATCACGGAGGTCTGGGGAGTTCCTTCAGACTCTCAATAATCTTTTTTTGTGGAGAGCTGAGGAGTTTCTTCAGACTCCCAGTAAAATTTGTTTCATCATGCTTTAAGGTTCAGGAAAGGCCTAGGCAAAACTCTTGGTGGGCTTTTGTTACATGCCAGCCTTTGTATAAGGGCACTGGCTTTTAATATTTAACTTAAACCACTCAGTCAGTACTGAAACAGTTGTTATGGAGGCCTGCGTTAGTGAGATCTGGTCTGCCACAGTAGCCCTACAGTTCTGGGGTGTTGGGGGCAGCCCTGCCCTTATGAGTCCATTAGGCATTGCTTTAGTGGGGACTGTCTGTGGTGGCTCTGCCCCTGCAGCAGGTCTCTGCAGCATCATTTGAAATTTAGGTGGAAGCAGTTATGCCTCCACAGCTCATGCCAGCAGAATTAGCACCATGTGAATGCCACCAAGGTTTATCACTTGTATCTTCTGGAGTAATGGCTAGAGTCACACATAGGCCCGTCTGAGTCACATCTGTGGGTGCAGCACCAGAATGCAGGGACTAGAATCCCAAGGCTGCCCTGGGAGGGGAGCACTGACATCCCATTGGTGGTGTTCCCTTCCTCAGAACTTTTCTGCCTTCCAGGCTCTAGCATTCCAGGCCTGTGATGGGAGTGACAGCTTCAAAGATCTCAAATGTTTTCAGAGTCATTCTCCCATTGTCTTAATGAATAGCACCCCCTTCTAGCCATACTAATCTCCTTAACAAAGTAAGGATGGTGTGGTCACACCCTTGTTTTTTTCCTCCTAAACATGTTTTTAAATTCTTTACATGGCCAGGCTGAACTTTTCAAAATCTCTATATTCTGTTTCCCTTTTGATTATAAATTCCATCTCTAAATCATTTCTCTCTTCTTGTATTTTACTAGTTAGTTAAGAGAAGCCATACAGCCTTCTCAATGCTTTGCTGCTTAGAGATTTCTTCTACCAGATATCAGAGTTTATGACTCCTAAATTCTGCTTTTCATAAAGCCCTTGGGCATGGAAACAATTTAGTCAAGTCCTTTATCAATTTGTAAGGAGGGTGCCCTTTCCCCCCAGTTGCCAGCACCTTGTTCCTGATTTCTGTCTGAGACCTCATCAGAATTGCCTTTATTGCCCATATTTCTACAACATTATGGTCACAACCACTTAAGTTTAAGCAATCTCCAAGAAATTTCAGATTTTTCCTGCAGCTCTCTTCTTCTATGCCCTCACTGTCAGGCCTCTGAGCCCAAGCCAAGCCATCGCATCCCCTATGACTTGCACGTATACATCCAGATGGCCTGAAGTAACTGAAGATCCACAAAAGAAGTAAAAATAGCCTTAACTGATGACATTCCACCATTGTGATTTGTTTCTGCCCCACTGGAACTGATCAATGTACTTTGTAATCTCCCCCACCCTTAAGAAGCTTCTTTGTAATTCTCCCCACCCTTGAGAATGTACTTTGTGAGATCCACCCCTGCCCGCAAAACATTGCTCTTAACTTCACCGCCTATCCCAAAACCTGTAAGAACTAATGAAAATCCACTACCCTTTGCTGACTCTCTTTTCGGACTCAGCCAACCTGCACCCAGGTGAAATAAACAGCCACGTTGCTCCCACAAAGCCTGTTTGGTGGTCTCTTCACACGGATGCGCATGAAACTCACCAGAATCGCCCTTGACACCCTCTTTATGGCAATCTAGGCTTTTTTTAGCCTTCACATTCAAATCTTTCCATCCTCTACCTCTTACCCAGTTTCAAAGCCACTTCCACATTTTTACATGTTTGTTATAGAAAAACCCTATTTCTCTGGTACTGATTTGTGCTTCCATAACAGAATACCTGAGACTAGGTAATTCATTAAAAACAGACACTTCTCACAGGTGCAGAGGCTGGGAAGTCCAGCATCTAGTGAGGGCACTCCTGTTCTGTTCTCACACAGTAGAAAGTGGTAAAGGCAAAGTGTGTAAGAGAGTGAGCCCACTCCTGCAAGCCTTTTTAATAAAGACATTAACCTATTTATGAGGGCAGGGCCCTCATGATCTAAATACTTCCCATCAGGCCCCACCTCCCAACACTGTCATATTGGGAATTCAGTTTGCAACACACAAATTTTGGGAGATATTTTCGAAACGTAGAACTGTTCTCCCAAAGAGCTCTAGTTAAAGTTGCTTGACCAAATTCTAATACACTCAAATGAATTTTTATACAGCTTCTATTTCTTGCATGATCATACTGATTATTTTGTAGACATCATTTCTGATAATTTTCAGAATTTCAGTGCCTCAGGGTAAAGAGTTAAGAACATAATTTTTTAATAAAAACGATATTCTTAATTTCATGCACGTCCGTGTGAAGAGACTACCAAACAGGCTTTGTGTGAGCAATAAAGCTGTTTATTTCACCTGGGTGCAGGTGGGCTGAATCCGAAAAGAGTCAGCGAAGGGAGATAGGGGTGGGGCCATTTTATATAGGATTTTGGCAGGTAAAGGAAAATTACAGTCAAAGGGGGTTTGTTCTCTGGCGGGCAGGAGTGGGGGTTGCAAGGTGCTCATTGGGGGAGATTTTCGAGCCAGGATGAGCCAGGAAAAGGACTTTTACAAGGTAATGTCATCACTTAAGGCAAGGACCGGCCATTTTCACTTCTTTTGTGGTGGAATGTCATCAGCTAAGGCAGGAACCGGCCATCTGGATGTGTACGTGCAGGTCACAGGGTATATGATGGCTTAGCTTGGGCTCAGAGGCCTGACATTCCTGTCTTCTTATATTAATAAGAAAAATAAAATGAAATAGTGGTAAAGTATTGGGACGGCAAAAATTTGGGGGGATGGTATGGAGAGATAATGAGCGATGTTTCTCTGGGCTGCTTTGAGCCGGATTAGGGGCGGCATAGGAACCTTAATCTCTCCCACTGGAGAGATTAAGCTGAAGGAAGATTTTGTGGTAAGGGTTGTTAGATGATGTTGTGATGTTGTGGGGTTGTTAGAAGAAACATTTGTTGTGTAGAATGATTGGTGATGGCCTGGATATGGTTTTGTATGAATTGAAAAACTAAATGGAATAACAGAAGGAGAAAAACAGGTATAAAAGGCCTAAGAATTGGGAGGACCCAGGACATCTGATTAGAGACTGCCTAAGGAGATTCAGCATAGTCCTGCCAGCAAAGATTATTTATTTAGTTCAAGAGTTAAGAGTGGCAGTTTGGGGATAGCACCAGGAGATATCAGCTGTGATGGCTTGGAGAAACAGTGTAAACCAGCAGTGTAAACAAAAGCAGGGCATGTATGAGTAGTTGAGAATGGTGAATAGGAGTATGACTAGACAGAAGATAGTAGGGATGACAAGTTTTCTTGGGGCACAGTCTAAGTTGGTCTGGTGTCTGGAATTAGACTGGGGCCTAATAAAAAGGAGCATCTATACAGGAGCTCAAATGGACTGTACCTTGTAGCATTCTGAGGACAGGTCTGATTTCTAAGAGGGGAAAGTGGTAAAACTATTGTCCAGTCCTTTTTAAGTTGGTGGCTGAGCTTGGTGAGGTGTGTTTTTAAAAGACCTTTAGTCCGTTCTACTTTTCCTGAAGATGGAGGACCGTTAGGGATATAAAGGTTTGACTGAATACTAAGAGCCTGAAAAACTGCTTGGCTGATTTGACTAATAAAGGCTGGTCTGTTATCAGACTGTATAGAGGTGGGAAGGCTAAACTGAGGAATTATTTCTGACAGAAGGGAAGAAATGACTGCGGTGGCCTTCTCAGACCCTGTAGGAAAGGCCTCTACCCAACCAGTGAAAGTGTCTACCCAGACTAAGAGGTATTTTAGTTTTCTGACTCGGGGCATGTTGAGTAAAGCTAATTTACCAGTCCTGGGTCGGGGCAAAACCTGGAGCTTGATGTGTAGGTGAGGGAGGGGGCCTGAATAATCCTTGAGGAGTAGTAGAACAGCAGATGGAACACTGAAAAGTTATTTCCTTGAGGATAGATTTCCACGATGGAAAGGAAATGAGAGGTTTTAAGAGGCGGGCTAGTGGCTTGTTCTATAGCATAGCCTGCCTTTGCTGGTGTGTGGAGATTAGGCCTGGTGGAACTGCCATCAATAAACTAAGTGTGATCAGGGTGAGGAACAGGAAAGAAGGAAATATGGGGAAATGGGGTGAATGTTAGGTGGATCAGAGAGATACAGTCATGGGTGTTAGGTGTGGTATCAGGAATAATGTGGGAGGCTGGATTGAAGTCCAGGCCAGAAACAATGGTAATTGTGGGAGACTCAACAAAGAGTGAGTACAGCTGAAGGAGCCGGGGAGCAGAAAGTATATGCATCAGGTGTGAGGAAGAAAATAGATTTTGGAAGTTATGAGAAATGTAGAGAGTAAGTTGAGCATAGTTTGTGATTTTGAGGGCCTCTAAAAGTATTAGGGCAGCAGCAGCCGCTGCACGGGAACATGGTGGCTAGGCTAAAACAGTAAGGTCAAGTTGTTTGGACAGAAAGGCCACAGGGTGCAGTCCTGGCTCTTGTGTAAGAATTCTGACCGCACTAACCATGCCTAGGAAGGAAAGGAGTTGTTGTTTTCTAAGGGATTGAGGTTTGGGAGATTAACCGGACAGGATCAGCAGGGAAAACACGTGTGTTTTTATGAGAATTATGCCGAGATAGGTAACAGATGAGGATGAAATTTGGGCTTGACTGAAGTAATGGGGGCTGTCTGTGAAGCCTTGCGGCAGTACAGCCCAGGTAATTTGCTGAGCCTAATGGGTGTCAGGGTCAGTTTAAGTGAAAGCAAAGAGAGGCTGGGATGAAGGGTGCAAAGGAATAGTAAAGAAAACATGTTTGAGATACAGAACAGAATAATGGGTTGTGGAGGGAGGTATTAAGGATAGGAGAGTATATGGGTTTGGCACCACGGGGTAGATATGCAAAATAATTTGGTTGATAAGGTGCAGATCCTGAACTAACCTGTAAGGCTTGTCTGGTTCTAGGACAGGTAAAATGGGGGAATTGTAAGGAGAGTTTATAGGCTTTAAAAGGCCATGCTGTAGCAGGCGTGTGATAACAGGCTTTAATCTTTTTAAAGTGTGGTGTGGGATGGGATCTTGGCATTGAGCGGGGTAAGGGTGATTAGGTTTTAATGAGATGGTAAGGGGTGCATGATCGGTCACCAAGGAGGGAGTAGAGGTATCTTATAGTTGTGGATTAAGGTTGGGGAATACAAGAGGAGGATGCAAAGGAGGCTTTGGATTGGGAAGAAGGGCAACAATGAGATGTAGCTGTAATCCAGGAATAGTTAGGGAAGCAGATAATTTAGTTAAAGTGTCTCGGCCTAATAAGGGAACTGGGCAGGTGGGGATAATTAAAAGGAGTGCTTAAAAGAGTATTGTCTAAGTTGGCACCAGAGTTGGGGAGTTTTAAGAGGTTTGGAAGCCTGGCTGTCAATACCCACAACAGTTATGGAGGCAAGGGAAACAGGCCCTTGAAAAGAAGGTAATGTGGAGTGGGTAGCCTCCGTATTGCTTAAGAAGGGGACGGACTTACCTTCCACTGTGAGAGTTACCTGAAGCTCAGCGTCCGTGATGGTCTAAGGGGCTTCCGAGGCGATTGGGCAGCGTCAGTCTTCAGCTGCTAAGCCAAGAAGATCTGAGAAGGAGTCAGAGAACCTTGGGCCAGAGTTCCAGGGGCTCTGGGAGTGGCTGCCAGGTGAGTTGGACAGTCCGATTTCCAGTGGGGTCCCACACAGATGGGACGTGGCTTAGGAGGAATCCTGGGCTGCAGGCATTACTTGGCCTGGTGGCCAGATTTCTGGCACTTGTAACAAGCTCCTGGGAGAGAAGGTTCTGGAGGAAGGCCTGGCCACTGCAGTTCAGGCGTTTGGAAGTTCTTGTGTGCTGGAGATGTGGCTGGGGTTTGTCTCACAGTGGAGGCAAGGAATTGCAACTTTTTTCTATTATTGTACACCTTGAAGGTGAGGTTAATTAAATCCTGTTGTGCGGTTTGAGGGCTGGAACTTAATTTTTGGAGTTTTATTTAATGTTGGGGGCAGATTGGGTAATAAAATATATTTTGAGAATAAGACGGCCTTTTGACATTTTAGGGTCTAGGGCTGTAAAGTGTCTCAGGGTTGCTGCCAAACAAGCCATGAACTGGGCTGGATTTTTATATTTGATGAATAAGAGCCTAAACGCTATCTGATTTGGGATAAAGAAAAAGGAGCATTAACCTTGACTATGCCTTTAGCTCCAGCCGCCTTTTTAAGAGTAAATTGCTGGGCAGGTGGGGGAGGGCTAGTCACGGAACGAAACTGTAAGCCGGACCGGGTGTGAGGAGGGGAGGTGATAAAAGGATTATAGGGTGGAGGAGCAGAGGCTGAGGAAGAATTGGGACCTAGCTCGGCCTGGTGAAGAGCAGCCTGGGAAGGAGGGGAGAGGTCAGATGGGTCTGTAGAGGAAGATTAGAAAGACTCAGCGACACTTGGGGTTGGGACTGAGGGGACAGGTGGGAGGGAAAGAAGGAAGATTTGGGATGAGTTGCATTGGGAACAGAGACTAGAGAGGGACAGCTGTGTAAAAGAATGACTGGTCGTCAGGCACCTCACACCATTTGCCCATTTTATAAGAATTATTTAGATCTTGCAGGATGGAAAAATTGAAAGTGCCATTTTCTGGCTACTTGGAACCACTGTCAGGTTTGTATTGGGGTCAAGCAGCATTGCAGAAGAAAATAAGATGCTTAGATTTCAGGTCAGGTGAGAGTTGAAGTGGTTTCAAGTTCTTAAGAACACAGGCTAAGGGAGAAGAAGGAGGAATGGAAGGTGGAAGCTTGCCCATAGTGAAGGAGGCAAGCCCAGAGAAAAGAGTAGAGACACGGAGAAGGGGTAGGGGGTTCTTGCCCTCCAGAAAAGCAGAGAAGAGGTTGGGGTGCAGAGATATGAGGTCGGGGCGTGGAAATACAGGATCAGGGCTCAGAGATGTAAGAGGTTGGGGCTTGGAAATAAGGGATTGGGGCACAGAGATAAGATGTCGGGGCAGGGAAATAAGGGATTGGGGCACAGAGATACGAGGTTGGGGTACTTGCCCCTCTCCCAGAAAAGCGGGACTTGCTGTTAAGGGTGAAGGAGAAGGGGTTGGGGGTTTCTTGCCCCCCAGAAAGGTGGAGAAGGTGGAGAAAGGGAGAGAAGGGGTTGGGGTACTTGCCCCTTCCTCCGAAAAGCGGGACTTGCCACTAAGGGTGAAGGACCAAGGCAGGCATCCCTGCATGGTCTGACACCTCTGAAACCTGGGTGAATAATCAGAGAGGTGTCCCTGCAATGATTAAAAACCAAGGGAAGGCTGCCTTCCCAGTCTGTGACCGGGGCCAGAGTTTTGGGTCCATGGATAAAACATGTCTCCTTTGTCTCTACGAGAAAATGAAAGGAATTGAAGTTAAGAGAAGGGAGATATTGAAGAGTGGAAAGGAGAAAGTGGTTGAGGGATAGTGAGAGAGGTTGGAGAAGAGAGTAAGAAGCGGCTGCTTACCCGATTTAAAATTGGTGAGGTGTTCCTTGGGCTGGTGGGTCTGAGGACCTGAGGTCATAGGTGGATCTTTTTCATGGAGCAAAGAGCAGGAGGACAGGGGATTGATCTCCCAAGGGAGGTCCCCCAATCTGAGTCACGGCACCAAATTTCATGCATGTCCATGTGAAGAGACCACCAAACAGGCTTTGTGTGAGCAATAAAGCTGTTTATTTCACCTGGGTGCAGGTGGGCTGAGTCTGAAAAGAGAGTCAGGGAAGGGAGACAGGGGTGGGGCCATTTTATATAGGATTTGGGCAGGTAAAGGAAAATTACAGTCAAAGGGGGTTTGTTCTCTGGCAGGCAGGAGTGGGGGTCACAAGGTGCTCATTGGGGGAGTTTTCGAGCCAGGATGAGCCAGGAAAAGGACTTTTACAAGGTAATGTCATCACTTAAGGCAAGGACTGGCCATTTTCACTTCTTTTGTGGTGGAATATCACCAGTTAAGGCAAGGACCGGCCATTTACACTTCTTATGTGGTGGCATGTCATCAGTTAAGGTGGGAACCGGCCATCTGGATATGTACGTGCAGGTCACAGGGTATATGATTGCTTAGCTTGGGCTCAGAGGCCTGACACTTAATATTGCCTACTGAGATAAAATGGCAAATATAGTAAAAAAATAATCTACTGGAGGTTACCATGATGATTAATATTGAGTGTCAACTTGATTCAGTTGAAGGATGCAAAATATTGATCGTAGGTGTGTCTGTGAGGTTGTTGCCAAAGGAGATTAACATTTGAGTCAGTGGGCTGGGAAACGCAGACCCACCTTTAATCTGGATGGGCAAATCTAATCAGCTGCCAGTGTAGCTAGCAGGCAGAAAAACGTGAAAAGACTAGACTGGCCTAGCCTCCCAGCCTACATCTTTCTTCCGTGCTGGATGCTTCCTGTCCTCAAACAAGTTCTTCAGTTTTGAGACTTGGACTGGCTTTCTTTGCTCCTCAGCTTGCATATGGCCTATTATGGGACCTTGTGATCCTGTGAGTTAATACTTAATAAACTCCCCTTTATAAGTGTGTGTGTATACATATATATATATATATATCTCCTATTAGTTCTGTCCCTATAGAAAACCCTGACTAATACAGTAACTATATCCCACTCATATAATAATCAACCATATTTCTAGTTTTAGACATAAAATACAGCAGTATTAACAAAACGCTTACATATTAAGGTCAGTTTTAAAATCTGGTTTATTTCTCATTAGATACTGTGGAATAATTATGGTCTTATGTTATGAGACCATATTATATTATAAGACATATTATAGTCTGAGCTTTTATTACAAAAAATACTTCTGCTTTAAAATATGAAAAATGTCAATTGACTCCCTTTGTAAACACATATAATGATCAGTATTAAATATTAAAATAATGATCAGTATTCTTTTCTAATGTTGAACTGCTCCCACTTCCTATAAATAAATACAAGTTTACTTTTTGCATTTTATTCTTCCAAATGATGAATAAAACTCATATCTTTATGTTGGTTTTGTGATTTCCATTTTTTGTATACTTGATATACACAAATGTCACATGATGCTTACTTAAGGGTAGTGATGTAAGACGAATTAAAATTTCATTTTTTAAAACCTGTAAACTATAACAGTCAATCTCTTCCAAACCATTCTTTTCCTAATTGTTGAGTTAGAAATTGGAAAGTCAACATTCCATATATCAATCACAGAGATTGCTTTTAAAAACAAACCTCGGTTTTGAAAGGTAGATTCTCTGCTACTGATTGGCCTCTCTCTCTCTCTCTTTTTTTTTTTTTTAAATTTCCATCTTTTATTTGAAGTTCAGGGGTACATGTGCAGGATGTACAGGTTTGTTACATAGGTAAACATGTGCTATGGTGGTTTGCTGCACAGATCATCCCATCACTCAGGTGTTAATCCCAGCATCTGCTAGCTGTTCTTCCTGATCTTCTCTCTCCTCCCACCCCTCACTCTTCAACAGGCCCCAGTGTGTGTTGTTCCCTACCATGTGTCCACATGTTCTCATCATTTAGCTCCCACGTATACATAGGAACATGTGGTATTTGGTTTTCTGTTCCTGCGTTAGTTTGCTAAGCATAATGGCAGCCAGTTCCATCCATGCCCCTGCAAAGGACATGATCTCATTACTTTTTATGACTGCATAGTATTCCATGGCATATATATGCCACATTTTCTTTATCCAGCCTCTCATTGTTGGGCATTTATGTTGATTACGTGTCTTTGCTATTGGGAACAGTGTTGCAGTGAACATATGTGTGCATGTGTCTTTATAATAGAACAATTTATATTCTTTTGGTTATATACCCAGTAATGAGATTGTTGGATCAAATGATATTTCTGTCTCTAGGTCTTTGAGGAATCGCCACACTGTCTTTCACAATGGTTGATTACTCTGTGGAAACCACATAATAGTTTCATTTGATCCTGGCTAATTTTCAGGTTAGAGCATCACCTGGGGTCTTGTTCTATAGTTAAACAAAATTGAGTGTCTCTTGGAGCTCTGGAAAATATAGAGCTCAATGTTCCAGCTGTCTCAATAATTCCAACCTTCATGTTCCCAAAATAAAGGACATTAGACCTTAAGTGTTTCCTGATGTTATACCCAAATTAGCTCTAGTCCTTTAATGCCAATGCATTTCCATAAATTTGGAGCATATGCCATGTACTGATAGGCAAGGCTATATATATATATATATATATATATATTTTTTTTTTTTTTTTCCCCACAAAATTTCAATTTTCCTGTACCTAACAGAGAAAAAGGTCCAATACTAGCATTGGACCTCTCATCTTTGGGTATTTAATACATAGATCTAAGATTGGACATCATTTTGTTTCACTACAGGAAATAATGACTATATAGGCTGGGCATGATGGCTCATGCTTGTAATCCCAGCACTTTGGGAGGCTGCAGCGGGTGGCCACAGGAATTCAGGACCAGCCTGGCTAACGTAGCGAAACCCCATGCTTTCTAAAAATACAAAAATTAGCCAGACATGGTGGCACATGCCTGTAATCCCAGCTACTTGGGAGGCTGAGGCAGGAAAATCACTTGGAACCTGCAGGGGGTGGTGCGAACGGAGGTTGCAGTGAGCTGAGATCGCACCACTGCACTCCAGCCTGGGCAACAGAATGAGACTCCATTTCAATTAAAAAAAAAAAAAAAGAAATAGTAACTATAGCCAAAGTTCCACTATCGATTTAAATCAACCCTCATTTCAAAGATTCATTTAGGCTTGAGGGGATGCAAGATTAGAATATAAGCTCACAATGGAGTGACAGCAAAGGAAGAACTAATTAAATTTTAATTATTTTGTCATTATTACACCACTGTTAATGATGGCAATGAGAAAACTTATAAATGTGTTTCCCCTTTTTATAATGTCTCTCCAAATTTAACCAGAAGATAAATGGGAGATGGTGAGGTGATTTAAAAAGATTGCAGACCTTGGCTTCCAAAGGATCTAATTTTAACTCTAACTGCCCTTTAGCATCATTCATATTATGTGATTTTGGATTAGTTACTCAAACCCTCTGAACTTCCGTGTTCTTATATGCGCAAGAATATGCATGGGAGTTTCATTGCTAACTCATCTTGTGCAAAACATGAAACACTTCAAAAACCTATTTAATACCTAGAATTGCTTATTGCACAAAATAGTATTTTCACATATTATCAATTTATTATATAAGTGGTGGCATGAAATACAATGTGTATTGTACCTCTTTGGAAGTTCATTTTGCTCTCAGGAGGGTTAGGTCTGTTATTGAAGGTCATTTGCCCATCTGGGCAGCAGAAAGCAGGCTTAGATTGGAGCAGCAGTGTGCTCACCAGCTTTACCCTCACCTTAATCAAATCGCCATTACACAAGACACATAATGCAAAACATATTTTAAGTTATTGTTATCCTTCTGGATCAGATACAGATTGACATCAGCCTCAAACAAGACTGTCACTTAAAATTTATAGAACACAAGGGAAAATATTTACGTATTGAACCATATGAGTCTTTTTGGAATAAACCATGAAATATCTGCTTGCAAAATAAGGATAATATGATATTAATTATTTGGAAAGAGTTTTTCTAACGGATTTCTGCTGTTCAAAAACCAAAGAAAGAGTATTTATTTTTTCACCAACTTTACTATCTGCTACTCTAACAAAAGTGTTAGAAGTACACTCATCAGAGAGAAAAACAAAGGATGATAATTTAGTCATTAAAAGGGCCGACAAATAAATTTAAAGAAAAGCCTGGACAATCTGTGTAATATATCTAGTGTTGTGACTTTTGCTACTCAAATCCATTTTGGTGACTTAAAGGATATGTGATTATCTGGGAATCTTTTATTTATGAATGGTTGTTCTTTTGGACATCATCCCATGTAGTAAAGAGGAAAAATGAAATAAATCCTTATTTGAAAATATTATCCTCTACAAAGGAATATATGATCTTTTAGAAGTAAAGAAGATGCAAGAAGTAACAATCTTTCTATTTTTAAATTCTGTTTATAGAATCTGTATCAGATGGCACCACATAATCGGGTACTCAATAAGAGAGAACAATAATCCCTCTCTCATTCGGATTCAATTGGCTCTACATTTCTTAAACATGTGTAAATTTGTCACATATTTAGTGCAATCAAACTGTGAGTATGAAATTGTACTGTATTTTACCCAGTGGACATCATCTATCTCATCCCAGTTTGAGTCAATATTGGGATGAGCTCAGTAGCATCTCCATGACAAGGTAGCACCATTGCCTGGAATGGTAGTGAAGGTCTGACCCAAGATGTAGTTGTGAAACTGTCCCTATAAACATAAAATTAATCAGAGAAGAAGGAAGGGGGAGAAATAAAAATAAACCAAGCTTGCAACACGTTCAACATTAATTATTAGTGCTAGTGCTCTCTGACCCCTTCCTCATGGGTGCCTCAGAATCATATAGACCCTTGCTACAAGATTGTGATTCTTCCTAACTGCTCTGTAGATAACAACTTGAACATTATAAAATGTTAAGTTTCCCTTTGAGATATTCTTTTGGCTCCTGAATACAAGTGAAACTATTGATGTCAGCTGATCTGAAGGATCCCATGAGGAGCTGAATCACCAAAGAATGCAGTTTCCACATCTTGATGATTTCATTCCCCTTGCCCCAACCAAGCAATGACCCCAATTTACCAGCCCCTTACCCTCCATGATCCCCTTAAAAACCACAGCCCGGAAATCCTCAGGGAGATACATTTAAAAGTCTCCTCCCATCTCCTCTTGGCACCCTGAAGTCATTAAACTCTTTCTCTGCTGCAAACCCTGCTGTTTCAGTTTATTGCTCTCTTACTGTGCAGCAGGCATACAAACCTGTTGGTCCTGTAACAGTTGAGTCCTCAGGCTATATTCAAAGGAGCATTTTTTTTTCAGTTTAATTCTATTTGCCCTTTTTATTTCATGCAAACCTCATATTCTTTAATTCTGTCAGACTTCACCAGTCTCTATAAAGTTCCTGCAATGGAAACTAATTTGTAGAATTATGACAATCCAAAATAATATTAGCCCAGGCTCACTTAGGATATAAGTAGCACAGACGGGACTCATACTGTCCTCTCTGACTTCAAAAACAGTTTTATTTTGCTCTAGCCATGATACCCCTCTGTCTGATAGTAGCCTCAAACATAAATGAGAATTCATATGATAGTTTTTGCATTATTAGAGGTATTTTATATTAGACATGTGGAATGAAATTCAGCCACAGAAAGAATTGTTATATGAAGAGAGAACATCAGCCTCTAACTTTGTTACTCATTATCTCATTATTGCCATATTTTTGAGCATGCCTATCAATGCTGTTTCCTTATGCATTACAAACAAAAAATGTTACGTGCCCAGCTGGTAAACTAATTATAATTTTCTTTTCAACTCTTTTGCTATCATATATAGAATAGATGTTCTGATGTTTTAATCAAAATGAAATATTTAATAAGGCGCTTGTTAAAAAAAATCTGTTGTTGAAAAATAAGGTTTTACATTTAACTCAAGTCAATTTAATTTGAAAAATATTCATTTAGTACCTGCAATGAGCCAGGCTTGCTTCCAGGTCTATTGGCCACGGCACTGTACATTGACTACATTCACTGCCTTTCACAGGTAAGCGGACTTGTAGTTTGAGCCTGAAAGGCTGGAATTGCTTTAAACAACTCTGTATCTGCAGTGTTTCACATGGGTCCAGGTTTTTTTGTGATCTGTTGGGGTTATGTTTGAATCAAACACACACACACACACACACAGACACACACACACACCCCAATTATTATTCACTGTGATTTCTAATTCCTCCTTTTCTTTGAACCAAAATCCTATTTGTTAGAATAAAGAAGCCAAGTAAGATGCATGACCCACATGGTCCCTTCCAGAACTATTTTTTCTTACTTGATAGGATACTTAATAAGGATGCAGTACCACAGCCTTTGGTCTCTGAGAAAATGTTTCAGGAGGTGGTTTTTTTTGTTTGTTTGTTTGCTGGTCTATTTTGTTTTTTTCTCTAAATAGAAAGTTAGAAGAGCACACTAAGCTGTGTTAGAAATGTCTAGAGTGTTCCCCTGGGTCTTTTGCTTACTGTCTTCATGACAGTAAATTACTTAAGCTGTGCCTGAGTTTTATTCCACCCCAATAAAGGGGAGCTAATGAAATCCATTATCAAAATTTTCTGACAAACATTTCTGTCCAGAACTTGTTACCAGTAAATTGCAGGTACTTAAGAAATGCTCAGTGAAAAAAAACATGCATTTCACAAGAGGTTTCTCAATAACATGTTTGTGGAATTTGAAAGGCAACAAAGATTAAATGAGCTGAAAAAAGCGGGAAGAGAGAGGAAAATGAAAATTTATTTTTCTTTTCTTGGATCCAAAAAAAATTACCAAATGGAAGCAGCTTTGGAGGTTTCTCAGACATTTGATAGTAAGTATTTAGGGCCCATGGAGCTCCAAAAAAGAAGGATTTTAGTATAATTATAAATAAAAATGGCTGTTTTTCCAGGAGTGAGAAGACAAATTTGTCACTTTATACTGTCCCATTTCTGAAACAGAAGTCTATGACAAATTTCTTAAAGTATATGTAGGTATTTATGCTATCTTTTCTGAGATTTGTCTACTCTAATTAATCATGTTATATTCTTCTCAGCTAAGCTTTCAAACATCGAGGTAAGAGATTAATAAATAGTAATATCCAGCAGAAGAAATTGTGCTAGGAGGCTTAAATGAGGCTCCATGTCTCTAGTGTTGTTTTGATGATAAATTGGCCATTCCTAATATTATTAAATGTTGGGCTATATCCATGAAATTGTGCACACTTAGAATTTAGATAACTACAAGAGAAATAATCTCCATCTTTCTGCCTTCAAAACAAATATATAGCAACACAATAGGTAAATGGCACTTACCTTGGTCCTTCAAAAGTACACTTACAAAAACCAAATGAAAGAAACATATAGAAAATATGTTCAATTAGGTTGAAAATTCTATCTTAAATGATTTCCCTTCCTTTGTCCTTTGATAGTAACTTATTTGTTGGGTTTTGAATTATAGTTAATTATACTTATAATTTTTTTAAATGTAGTAATTAAACTAATTCAAACAAGAACATTTCAACACCTAGATCAGTGGTTTGTACCGAGATGATGCTCAATGTTTGGTAGTTCATTACCATTTTAAACAATTAGTGTAACGGTGTCTCAAACACTGAGAGATGACATTTCCTTTACTCTCATAGATTACAGACATTTGAGTATCTATATAGTCTAAAACTATGGCTTGATGACTTAAAATCTTCACATTTGAGAAGAAAAAGTTGCTCTAAAATAGTTTTATAAAGTAAAATGCCACTAGATTAATGAATTCTGGATTCAGGTGAGTTTATTGGGCTTTTTCTTTCACTTAGTTTTTGTAAGTGTGCTTTTGAAGGACCAAGGTAAGTGCCATTTACCTATTGTTTTTATTGTTTGTTTTTTAAAAATTGTACTGGATATACAAATCGCTTCTTCTGTTTAAGAAGTCTATTTAAGTTGTTTGAATTATGTGTTCTCTTTTTATGTACTTTGGGTTGAACTAACCAAATCTGGAGTGCTATTCTAGTTGCTTAGTTCTCTCTAAGAATAGGATATAACAGAGTCTGAAAATCCTCTTATTTAGAATACATTTCTTTCCTTTGTGTGGAAGGAAGCTTTTACTTCAAGTAGGTTAATTGGATTACTCTCAAGTGTGATAAAGATATCTTGGAAAAAACTCAAATCTAAATTTTATTGTCAAATGATCTCTTGTTCTCTCACACTCCAAATTTCATTTCTTTTCATTTGCGCAAAGGATATATTCGTTAAGTGATAGTCATCTGGTGGCAATCTTTTTCCCATAGCATAAGTATGATCTACAAACTCATTGTGTAGTGCTATGTGTTTGTTTTTAAGGCAGCAAGATGGAGATCATTCTCTTACTAGTGCTTGCCTTAGAATTCTCCTCAAACTAAATTCTCCTTCGGTGAATAAGCACATTAGGCTATTAGATATTGTAGCTTGTTTCTTCATATAGAAAAATGAAATGGGAGAAGGTATGGGAAAGGGAAGTTTATTACAAAAGTTAAATTTGAAGTACTGGAGCAGGTCAGGAGGGGACGAACATGACTCTTAAGAATTTGGAACTTTCCGATTTGTCTCTGGGTCCTGGAGTATTTATTTTTTTTTATATACTTTAAGTTCTAGGGTACATGTGCACAATGTTCAGGTTTGTTACATATGTACACATGTGCCATGTTGGTGTGCTGCACCAATTAACTCGTCATTTACATTAAGTATTTCTTGTAATGCTATCCCACCCCCTCCCCCTGCCCCACAACAGGCCCTGGTGTGTGATGTTCCCCACTCTGTGTCCTGTCCAGATGTTCTCATTGTTTAGTTCCCACCTATGAGTGAGAACATGCGGTGTCTGGTTTCCTGTCCTTGTGATAGGTTGCTCAGAATGATGGTTTCCAGCTTCATCCATGTCCCTACAAAGGACATGACCTCATCCTTTTTCATGGCTGCATAGTATTCCACGGTGTGTATGTACCACATTTTCTTAATCCAGTCTATCATTGATGGACATTTGGGTTGGTTCCAAGTCTTCGCTATTGTGAATAGTGCCACCATAAACATACCTTTGCATGTGTCTTTATAGCAGCATGATTTATAATCCTTTGGGTATATACCCAGTAATGGGATTGCTGGGTCAAATGGTATTTCTAGTTCTAGATCCTTGAGGAATTGCCACACTGACTTCCACAATGGTTGAACTAGTTTACAGTCCCACCAACAGTGTAAAAGTGTTCCTATTTCTCCACATCCTCTCCAGCACCTGTTGTTTCCTGACTTTTTAATGATCACCATTCTAACTGGTATGAGATGATATCTCATTGTGGTTTTGATTTGCATTTCTCTGATGACCAGTGATGATGAGCATTTTTTCATGTGTCTGTTGGCTGCATAAATGTCTTCTTTTGAGAAGTGTCTGTTCATATCCTTTGCCCACTTTTTGATGGGGTTGTTTGATTTTTTTCTTGTAAATTTGTTTGAGTTCTTTTCTCTTTTTTTTTTTTTTTTGAGATGGCGTCTCACTCTGTTGCCCAGGCTGGAGTGCAGAGGTGCATTCTCGGCTCACTGCAAGCTCTGCCTCCTGGGTTCACGCCATTCTCCTGCCTCAGCCTCCAGAGTAGCTGGGACTATAGGCACCCGCCACCATGCCTGGCTAATTTCTTTGTATTTTTAGTAGAGTCGGGGTTTCACCATGTTAGCCAGGATAGACTCAATCTCCTGACCTTGTGATCCACCTGCCTCAGCCTCCCAAAGTGCTGGGATTACAGGCATGAGCCACCGTGCCCTGCCTGTTTGAGTTCTTTGTAGATTCTGGATATTAGCCCTTTGTCAGATGGGTGATTGCAAAAATTTTCTCCCATTCTGTAGGTTGCCTGTTCACTCTGATGGTAGTTTGTTTTACTTTGCAGAAGCTCTTTAGTGCAATTAGATCCCATTTGTCAATTTTGGCTTTTGTTGCCATTGCTTTTTGTGTTTTAGTCATGAAGTCCTTGCCCATGCCTATGTCCTGAATGGTATTGCCTAGGTTTTCTTCTAGGGTTTTTATGGTTTTAGGTCTAACATTTAAGTCTTTAATCCATCTCGAGTTAATTTTTGTATAAGGTATAAGGAAGGGATCCAGTTTCAGCTTTCTACCTATGGCTAGCCACTTTTCCCAGCATAATTTATTAAATAGGGAATCCTTTCCCTGTTTCTTGTTTTTGTCAGGTTTGTCAAGATCAGATGGTTGTAGATGTGTGGTATTATTTCTGAGGGCTCAGTTCTGTTCCATTGGTCTATATCTCTGTTTTGGTACCAGTACCATGCTGTTTTGGTTACTGTAGCCTTGTAGTATAGTTTGAAGTCAGGTAGCATGATGCCTCCAGCTTTGTTCTTTTGGCTTAGGATTGTCTTGGCAATGCGGGCTCTTTTTTGGTTCCATATGACTGTAGTTTTTTCCAATTCTGTGAAGAAAGTCATTGGTAGCTTGATGGGGATGGCATTGAATCTATAAATTACCTTGGGCAGTATGGCCATTTTCACAATATTGATTCTTTCTGTCCATAAGCATGGAATTTTCTTCCATTTGTTTGTGTCTTCCTTTATTTCATTGCGCAATGATTTGTAGTTCTCCTTGAAGAGGTCCTTCACATCCCTTGTAAGTTGGATTCCTAGGTATTTTATTCTCTTTGAAGCAATTGTGAATGGGAGTTCACTCATGACTTGGCTCTCTGTCTGTTAGTGGTGTATAGGAATGCTTGTGATTTTTGCACGTTGATTTTGTATCCTGAGACTTTGCTGAAGTTGCTTATCAGCTTAAGGAGATTTTGGGCTGGGAAGATGGGGTTTTCTAAATATACAATCATGTCATCTGCAAACTGGGATAATTTGACTTCCTCTTTTCCTAATTGAATATCCTTTATTTCTTTCTCCTGCCTGATTGTCCTGGCCAGAACTTCCAACACTATGTTGAAAAGGAGTGGTGAGAGAGGGCATCCTGTCTTGTGCCAGTTTTCAAAGGGAATGCTTCCGATTTTTGCTCATTCAGTATGATATTGGCTGTGGGTTTGTCATAAATAGCTCTTATTATTTTGAGGTACGTCCCATCAATACCTAGTTTGTTGAGAGTTTTTAGCATGAAGGGCTGTTGAATTTTGTCAAAGGCCTTTTCTGCATCTATTGAGATAATCATGTGGTTTTTGTCTTTGGTCCTGTTTATATGCTGGATTACGTTTATTGATTTGCGTATGTTGAACCAGCCTTGCATAACAGGGATGAAGCCCACTTGATCATGGTGGATAAGCTTTTTGATGTGCTGCTGGATTTGGTTTGCCTATATTTTATTGAGGATTTTTGCATGGATGTTCATCAGGGATATTGGTCTAAAATTCTCTTTTTGTGTGTCTGGTTTTTTGAAAAGATCAATAAAATTGATAGACTGCTAGCAAGACTAATA
Source organism: Homo sapiens (assembly GCF_000001405.40). Lineage (NCBI taxonomy): Eukaryota > Metazoa > Chordata > Mammalia > Primates > Hominidae > Homo > Homo sapiens. Next base: position 167,911,879 of record NC_000004.12, on the reverse strand, counting down.
AAGAATAAAAGAGAGAAGAATTAAATAGACACAATAGAAAGTGATAAAGGGGATATCACCACCGATCCCACAGAAATACAAACTACCATCAGAGATTACTATAAACCCCTCTAAGCAAATAAACTAGAAAATCTAGAAGAAATGGATACATTCCTGGACACATATACCCACCCAACACTCAACCAGGAAGAAGCTGAATCCCTGAATAGACCAATAACAGGCTCTGAAATTGAGGCAATAATTAATAGCTTACCAACCAAAAAAAGTGCAGGACAAGACAGATTCACAGCTGAATTCTACCAGAGGTACAAAGAGTATTTTTATGTTAAATTTATTTGCTTCACTAAATATGCTGCCTCTGTCTCTCAAAAATGTTCAGCTACCACAAATGTTCACCACCTATCTGGGTGAACAGACTAATATTATACAGCATTGTCTTGAAATTAAAGGTGAACAATAACAAGTTCTATACACGGTAGCTTACCATGCTATTAATAATATTATATTACTAGGCAGCATATATAAATATATCCCAGTATCACATAAGTATTTAATCTCTTGTTTCATCAAAAGCTAGAACAAAAATGTTAAAATATTTCATTAGAAAAGCACCAATGCCTTAGCAATGATTGAATTTGGAAGTGTAGTTGACTGCAGAGACTTAACTCTAAACTTAGAGTTAGCTCTTACCTTATGTCAGACTCTTGTATTTTTCACTATACCTTTCTCTTTTCTCTGAGGCATTTCAGATATCCCACTGATCTGAAAATACCAACTTTCCCAGGACAGTTCAGCTAAGGTGCACTTTTAGCTATGTCTCTGCTTAGATGCTTGATTGATATGCCTCGCTATATTCATGCCCTTATATTAAAGAAAAAAATGCCAAACCTCAAACAAAATTAAAGAGAAGCACTCTGATTCAGATTTATAAGAATTTCTCATTTAGGTTGGTAGATAAATCAAAAGTTCACAGAACGTTATTCCAAAATGAAAAATTGTGAGAGTGAGATTCATGTAGCATAAAGTGCTTAGGGGAGGAAAATAAGGGGAATTATAACCATAAGATTTGTTTTGAGAGAAACAGTTTAATGTAGGAGGTGCAGAGTGAGTAAAATATAGGGCTTGGTTTAGCAGAGAAGAGGGGAGCGAACATTCCGTGTTAGAGAACTGTCATAATGGAAAATTGTATTGACTTTCATGATGAAGACAACAAATTCTCTTAATAAATCATGCATCACTGCTTGTTTCTGAGCAACCATGTGAGATTTTCAGCATGTTTTCTAGGAAACATATTTTGATGGGTTGTATAGGCTGTGGTAAATCTTAGGGAGGAGGGGGATAAAAGTGGGAAGAAGAATTTGAAAGCTATTATAGCAAGTTGGCATGCAAGATTGAGGACATGCTCCAGGCTGTGGCTGGGAAAATAGAGGGGGCAAAGGACAATCTCTAGCCATCGCTTACTTGTACAGATCATTTGAAAACTCCCAATAGTTCTCATGGATTTCAGTTTCAACTTTCATTAAAATGTTCAGTCAACATTGTGTCATAAGACTGACATAAGAAGTCAATTCTTTAATGTTTTATTTCCAAAAGAGATAATGGGAAGATTACTGCTTTACATGCCACTCACTGGGTGAAAGAAACATGTAATAGGTTTCTAACTACTTATTTTCAGTAAAACGAATTATTTTCTAATGACTTGTCATTGTCACTATTATTATTATTATTAAGCCAGGGTCTCGCTCTGTTACCAGGCTGGAGTGCAGTGGTGTGGTTATAGCTTACTGCAGCCTCTAACTCCTGGGCTCAAACCTCCTCCCTTTGCTTCCCATGTAGCTAGGATTACAGGTGTGTGCCACTGTGACTGGCTAATTTTTTTCACTTTTTGTAGAGATGCAGTTTTGCTATGTGGCCCAGGGTATCTCGAACTCCTAGCCTCAAGTGATCCTCCTGTCTTGGCCTCTCAAAGTGCTGAGATTTTAGGTGTGAGCCACTGCATTCAGACTATTTTTATAACATTGTTTTCTAATTACCCATCATGTCATGACAATACCTAAGAGATCTCAATTTTACCTCTCTAGATAAAGTTACTATGTTTATATGTTTGATTGGGAAGCTTTCATTTGCACAGACTTATATGCATCAGTTTTAGAGAAGAATGATCAGTGTCCAAATTAATCCTTAACAAAATGTTACTGTCCATATGATGGTAGGCTTATGTAATTCCTGATACTTATAAAATAACATAAAATACGCAAGACAAATAAGATAAAGGGACAAAATCTGTTGGCAGGAATAAGTTTAAGGTTTGTGAGTTCATCAAGAGCCTGGAAATGGAATTTGTTCCTAAAAATAGAATTCATACATGAAAAGTCAGAGGTTTCCTTTAACTGATAACAAGCTGTTTTTTTTTTTTTTTTGACAGTTGAGAACTTTCTGATATCAGTTGTACAGATTTCTTGTTAACATTTTTTTTGAACAGTACTGGTTACTCGTATTTTTCTCTCAACAAATAATTTTCTCTCTGAATAATGCCTTTTCACTGGACAGACATGATATTCCAGGAATGAGGAGGCAGGATATTTGAACTTGTGATATAGCTAGACATTCAAATATAGCTGAACAAGTTAAGGGGCATGGATACAGCTGAATTACAGTTCCCACTGACCTGCCTTTTTAGATTTGTCTATCATTCTATGATAACAAGCAAAATGATCTATATGCCTTTTAAGTTAAAGTTAATAAGAAGACTTCATAGATATTATTCCTTCTTTCCTGTGGTTTTGAATGGGCTACACCATCAATGTGTTGATACATTGTCATTACTTTGCCATTGGAACTAATATGAAAGCTTTAGAAGTGTCATGTCAGCTTTTCCTGAAATTTTCATTAGTATTTCTTTGTATTTGTTTAAATGCCACTGATGGGTTCACTGGGTTGAGTAGAAATACTTTCACAGAAATGAGTTCAATGCCCTTTTGGTTGGAAAGGCAGGAAAATGCCCATGATCACTCATCCACAGAATTCTCCCTTAGCCTCTCAATCTGAAAACTCCTACTTCTGACCCTGTTCCATCAGATTTGCATGTGGGGAATGGTGGTTCTCTGTTTTCTCCTTAGCTAATGTTGACTCTTTCGTGGCTCCTTTACTCATGCCAAGGGTCCATCTCCCCTCATGCCTAACTCCACTATGCACAACCAGACAATCATTGCAAGCACTCACCCAGAACCTGGTTGGCACTGGCAGAGAAGATCAGCACAGAAAACTCACAGCAATTTCCTAGCCTTGTTTTCTAAGGTAATAATATAATCAACAAAGAGATAGATTTTCAGGAGGATAGGTTGTCATTGCTTCAAAAATTTATCTGAAACGTCCTTAGAAATGCAGAAAACTGCATATTCTGTTTTCAAAGGCAGACAAATGTATAATATACTTTAGAAAGATGTTCATCAAAAAATATTTTTAATGTTTACCTTTGCTGCTTACAATAGTACACTCCATTTATTTGGAGAATTCCTGCAAATGAAATGGCTTATTCCCCACAGGGAAAAATAAGTGAAGCATTACTATAAACAGATAAATATAAACAAATACTCTAAATATATATAAGAAAAAGGAGAACATTGAAGGGCACCTGTATTTCTATTTTTGCTCATCCTGATAGATTATAGCAAGAGAGGCATTACTCTTTTTCATGTCCAGTGGTTGATGGAATATAGGAGTACTTCCTAACACCCGTCCCATTCACATTTGATCTTAATAATAATAGAAAGAATGCCCTTTTCTCTCTCACTACCTTTCACAGGTCAAGGGCCTATTTTTGCCTTTGAAAGAAAGAAAGGGCTGTCTCTGAAACTCTGCAATGTGTTGCCTGGGTTTTATGACCAGTTGCTACTTCCCCAGCAAGTATGCTTCAGATTATGCTAAGATAACATAGTAAGTAATATGATAATAATATAAATACAGTAGTACAATAAATAGTCAAAGTTAGATGGCAAAAAGAGAGATTTGGCTCAAGCATGTGTTAGTTGTGCAGGTAACTTGACAGCTATCTCTTCATTCTGATGTTTCTAAAAGATACTGCATTTATTTGCCCTTTAAAACAGATAATGTAATTTAAGAGAAATTTTGTGGTAGTGGTCATTATTTTGCTTCTTAGACCCATCTCTATCTCTAAGAAATATTACACAAATCTGCCTATTTTTAATTTTAATGGACTATATTTTTAGAGCAGTTTTAGGTTCACAGCAAAATTAAGAAGGTACAGAGATTTCCTATATATACTCTGCCCCCATAAATGCATAGACTTCTCCATTACGGATATACCCTAGCAGAGGGTATATTTGTTACAATTAATGAATGTACATTGACAAATAATTATTACTGGAGTCCATAGTTTACAGTAGGGTTCACTCTCAGTGTTGTATGCTTTATGAGTCTGGAGGAATCCATAATTACATGTATCCACCATTACACCGTATAGTACCACCAGAGTACTTTCATTACCTAAACATCTTCTGTGCTTCTATTCATCCCTCCCACCCCCTTGACCCTTGGCAACCACTAATCTCTTTACTGCCTCCATAGTTTTGGCTTTTCCTGAATGTCACAGGGTTGTAATCATACAGTATATAGCCTTTCCACATTGGCTTCTTTCACTTAGTAATATGCCTTACTAAGTTTGCATAAGTTCCCTCCATGTTTTTCATGGCTTGATAGCTCATTCTTTTGAGTGATTAGTAATATTCCATTGTCTACATGTACCATAGTTTATTTATCCTTTTACCAACTGATGGACATGATGTACTGGTTAAAACAAATGGCTGTAAATAGGTGCTTAGTAATGCAGAAGCAATGTGTGGGGGGAGAAGAACATTCTTTAATTCCATGATGTGTTCCAGTCTTTTAGATATCCTGTGACTTTGGACTGTGAACTTCACAAATGTCTCTCAGTTTTCTCCCACCATCCCCCCAGGTGGAAAAGGATGTCTAGAGTGGGTTGAATTTGGGTGTTTTTCTATTTCCACGTGACAGGTGAGAGGGGGCTGGAGTTGTGTATTTTCCTTCTTCCAAGTGGAAATCTAGAATCAGCTGGAGTTAGATATTTTCCTGTCCCAGGTAAGTTAGGCTGTAATAAAACCCCAGCATGGGCTGGGCATGGTGGCTTACGCCTGTAATCCCAGCACTTTGGGAGGTGAGGGAGGTGGATCATCTGAGGTCAGGAGTTCGAGATCAGCCTGGCCAACATGGCGAAAGCCCGTCTCTACTAAAAATACAAAAATTAGCCAGGCATGGTGGTGCATGCCTGTAATCCCAGCTACTCGGGAGGCTGAGACAGGAAAATCACTTGAACCTGGGAGGCAGAGGTTGCAGTGAGCCGAGATCGCGCCACTGCACTCCAGCCTGGGTGACGAGTGAGACTCTGTCTCAAAAAACAAAACAAAAGAAAACAAAAAAATGAGCACAAACAAACAAAACCCAGAATGACAGGCTCTGTATAAATAGACTCTTATGAGAGCACACCTTGCTAAGAAGAACAGAATGCTTTGTAGTTTACAAAATGGTTATTTTTCCCCTCTGTCCACCAGAAGCATAAGCAGATTTTTCTCCAGTATTCACTGTGAGATCCTGGTAGAACTCCTGGAGGTAAAACTCACAAAAGTGTGAGGGCTGCCGTCAATAGGCCCCTCTGGATTTTTTTAACTCACATTTGTTCACAGTGATCGTCCAGCAGCTCATCTATTAGAGTCAGGTTTTTCTAACCCAGTGCTGATTCCTATGGACGTTTCTGCTCATGGGTTTATTCTCCTATAAGCTGTGATTCTCTGCATTTGCCTGTGTCTCCAGGTTTGGGGACGTGGTTTGCCCTGTGACCTCACTCCTCGTAGGAATCTAGGAAGAGCTGTTGATTAAGTTTTTCAGCTTTGTACTTGTTAGCATGGATTGGGGAGTTCTGAACTTCTTCCATGCCGGACCAGAGACTAGAAGTTCAAATCTGTCTATTTATAAGACAATTGTCTTTGGAATTATTAAAGATACGTATGGGGATGATGCTGCCAATGCACGTCACTGCTAGCATATTTTGCACATTTAATTAGTGGTTATTCTCCTCAAATGTAAAAGATGGTTTAATCAATGTGGTTTAATTCAAATGTGAAATATAGCTAGACTTTTTGCCTCATCTTAAAGCATTGTTCCTGTCACTGACTACATTCCCTAGAAGGAGATTTTAGAAATAAATTTTTATGACCGACACAACATGGCTGTTGCAGATGGCAATAATAAAGCCAATTAAAAACAACTCAAAGGAGATATATATATATATCTATATACACACACATACACACACATATATACACACACATAGATAGCATTCTTATATACATACGTGTGTGTATATATACATATATGTATATATATGTGTATATATACATATATGTATATATGTGTATATATACATATATGTATATGTGTGTATATACATATGTGTGTATATACATATATGTATAGGTGTGTATATATACATATATGTATGTGTATATATACATATATGTATATATGTGTGTATATATTCATATGTGTATATGTGTGTATATATACATATATGTGTATATGTGTGTATATATACATATATGTGTATATGTGTGTATATATACATATGTGTATATATGTGTATATGTGTGTATATATACATATATGTGTATGTGTGTGTGTATATATACATATATGTGTATGTGTGTGTGTATATACATATAAGCGTGTATGTGTGTGTATATATACATATATGCATATATGTGTGTGTATATATACATATATGCGTATATGTGTGTGTATATATACATATATGCGTATATACGGAATACACATATGCGTATATACGGAATACACATGTGTATATATGCAATACACACACACACATATATATATATATATATATATATATATACACACACACACACATATAGGTATAGCATTCTTGAAGTGGCTAAAGGATTCCCATTACATGTACATCTTTTATAATTGTCTAATGGATATATATATATATATATATATGGCATTCTTGGAGTGGCTAAGGATTGTCTGATGTGGCAGGTAAAATGTAAACATGGAATTCATTGGGTAGCAACACAGAAGATAATTTCCTTTCTCAAATAGATATTAAAGTCCTTTGAGAGAAGGGGTCAAGTCTTCTGAAATACTGTTCTCCTATTGTGTTAAAGTAACACTCATCATAATTGAGGCTGGCTAAATGACACTTATCATTTCCCTAATTCAGCATTAAAAAGATTAATCATACTAATGACACTATTTTCTAGATGATTTCTCCAATGTGGATTTTGGCTGTTTCCATTTTAAAGATTTTATTAAAATGTTAAAATGTTAAATTATGGTCTTTCCCACCTCTAAGTGAGTTTGGATAATTGATGATGTTTTTAATTCATAGTAGTAGTGCATTCTGGTTTTCTAATTGTATTGGCTTATGAAACAATGAGTACACATTTACAACCTTGGGGTACAGAAAGTGGCACTGTATGTACTTTATGTAAGTGTAAGAACAGAGAAATAAGTTCATTATGTTTAACATTAGTATTTTGTTAGCCCAGATGAAGCACTGAGTTGTCTTTACTTGAAGGTGACATATACATGTCATTGGTTATGGGACGTTAGCTACATCTGTCTGACAGTGCAATTCCAATTTATTTTAAACTGTAATTAGAAAGTATCCTTCCAGGCTTTTAAGCCTAATGAAAGAAACTGATCATTTTTTTAAAATCTCTTCAGAGACTATTGTATTTATTTTCTATTTTTCATAAATCAATTTTACCCTCAATACCTGTTTCAAAAAAAAAGTTACTTTTAACCTCAACAATGTTACTTTTAACCTCAACAATGATTTATTTATGTATTAGGCTTATTCTTCCCTATTTTAGTTATAAACTTGATTTTTATTAAAAGACAGACAAGATTGAGTCATAATAATTTGTCCTCCATATGTAACAGTAACTGGAATATTATAAAAGTCATTAAAATAAATATAATTCAAATGGATAACATTTCAAACTAACAATATATGTAAAAAATGGAAAGTACATACAAATTTGGAATGAAACTTTATCTGGAAAATGAAACTAAACATTGTGAACACACTTTTCATATATCTCATGTATAAAAATAATCTATAGTCATGACTAAGTGATGATTGTTAGAACAAATAAAGAATGCATCATATGGTGATTCATTTGCAACATAGTTGTTTCAGTTGAGTTGTGCTTTCCTCTTCCCCTCAATAAAAGATATGCTCTCAGCCCAAGCAGGCTGAGAGTTTTATCAAGTTCTAACTCTTGGTATCTCAGAATATGAGTTATTTGTAAATAGGGTCACTGCATATGTGGTTAAGATAAGGTCATACTGGAAGAATGGACCCTAATACAGTATGACTGGAATCCTTATAAGAAGAGAATGAACACAAACACATAGGCACAGGCAAGAACACCACACGATGACAGAGACAGAGATGAGAGTGATGCATCCACAAGCCAGGAAATGACCAGAATTGGCTGGCAACATCAGGAGCTCAGAGAAGACATGAAATAGATTCTCCCCTATAGCTTCCAGAGAGCCCATGGCCTTATTGACACCTTAATTTTGTATTTCTGGCCTCTAACACTGTGAAAAAAAAAAAAAGAATTGTTTCAAGCCACTTCAGTAGTGACACTTTATTATTATAGTTCCAGGAAACTAACAATGATTTTCAGCAACATTCTACAAAAGCAGGATGATAAGAAGTAACCTCTTCTAAAATTATGTTTGAGCACCTCACCAATTTTCTCATCAAAGGCCTCTTATTTTAATACTTAAATCATTTTGCTTTAAAGTGTCAAAAGTCATATATCCTCCACAAAATTGAATGTGTGCATTTCCATAATTTCTGGATTCCCTCTCCTGTTCAATTGATGTATTTTGTCTATCCTTTCTTCAACATCACGGTATCAGATATTACAGTTTCAAAGCTTTAAGTCTTGAAATCAGGGAGTATAGCTATTTAACTTTAGCTTTGATATTGCTTTAAAAAATTATTTTGCACCATCTAGGTTATATGTGTTTTTATATCAAATTTAAAATAAATTAGAACGTTTTTACCCTAAGCCTTTGACATTTTAATTGGGAGTGCATTGAATCTATAAATAAATATAGAAAGAATTCCCAAATTAACAATACGAAGTTTTCTATTTTCTATTCATGGTGTATATCTTCATATGTTTGGTTTCATCTAATTTCTCTCATTGACTTTATTGTTTTCAACCTACTGTTCTTGCACGTCTTGTTAAATTTCTCTAAAAGTATCTCATGTTGTTGGAAACCACAGTAAATAGCATTTATTTTAAAATTTATTTAAAATCTTAGTTGCTTATTTATAAAAATGCAATTGATTTTTATTGGCCTTATCTTTACAATATATGTAAACAATGGAAAGTATATAAAAATTTGGAATGAAACTTTATCTGGAAAATGAAACTAAACATTATGAACATACTTTTCATATATCTCATGTATAAAAATAATCTATAGTCACACAAATTTAATAAATTAACTTATTAATTTTAGAAGCTTTTTGTAGATGCTTTAAAACTGTATCTACGGAAAATCATGTCATCCTTGAATCATGACAGTATAGGTCTTCCTTTACAATCTCCATGCCATTACATTGTTTTTCTGTTTCCCTTATGATTACGATTGTTTCTCCCCTTACATCCCGATGAGGACCCCAGAACATGTGAAGAGAGGTGGTGGCACCAGCCATCTTTGCCTTGTTCCTAGCCTTAAAGAGAAAGTGCAGAGTCTTTCATAATTAGGGATGATATTAGCTGTGTGTGTGTATTTGTGTGCATGTGTGTGTTTGTAGATGCTGCTCCCAACCAGGCTGAGCGTTTTATCAAGAATGAGTGTAGTTTACAGTGAAATAATTTTTCTGCATCTGTTGAAACACTCAGTTTTTTGCCTTTATACCGTCGTGATGAATTACATTGTGTGATTTTCAAATGTTAAATGAGCATCGAATTCCTTGCACTTGATCATCATGTACTTTCTTTTCATATGTTGTTGAATTCAATTAATTATGTTTTTAGGATTTTTGCATATATGCTAATTAACAATCTTGGTCTGTAATTTCCCTTTTTTGTAATATCTCAATCTGCATCAAGTATCAGTAATACCGACTTTGTAAAATAATTTAAATTATGTTGTATAGGATTGTTATGATTCCATTCTTGTATGTTTGTTGTAAATCAGTAACAAAGCCTTATGTGTGCTTTCTTGGAATGATTTTAACTCAAAATTTAACATGTCTTTTATTTTATTTTTTTGAGACAGGGTCTCACGCTGTCACCCAGGCTGTAGTGCAGGGGCACAATTATAGCTCAGTGCAGCCTCGGCCTCCCAGGCTCTAGTGATCCTCACACCCCAGCCTCCTGAGTAGCTGGGACAACAGGCTCATGCTACCATTCCAGGCTAATTTTTGTATTTTTTGTAGCTACAGGGTTTCACCGTGTTGTCCAGGCTGGTCTCAGACTCCTGGGCTCAAGCTATTCACCTGCCTTGGCCTCACAAAATGCTGGGATTACAGGCAGAAGCCACCACACTCGGTCTTCAAAATTTAATTTCTGAGACTGATAGAAAAGTAGTGATGCCATCATCTATTATTTCTGTACTCATATTTCCAGCTCGTATCTTTCAAGTGATTTGTTCATTTTGTCTAAGTTATCAATTTTTTGACTTAATGCTGTTAGTAACATTCACTTACTGTTTCAAAATCTGTAGGATCTATGCTAATATCCACTCAGTCACTCCTAATATGTGTGGTTTGTGTCTTCCCTCTTTATTTCCAGATCGATCTGACAAGAGGTTTATTGATTTTATTGATCTTCTCAAACAACATGCTTTAATTTCATTACTTTTCTCTATTTTTTTCGTTTTAAAAATGTGATTAATATATGCTCTTTAATTTTGTCTTTTTTACATTTATTTTGGTTTTAAATTTCCATTACTTTGTCTAGTTTTTAAGGTAGCATCTTAAGTTCTTGATTTGTGATATTTTCCTTGTGCCATAAATTTCCCTCTAAGTTCTGCTTTATGCACTTCCCACAAATTGTGATATCTTTTTATCTTTATTTATAATTTTAAAATTCTAATCTCTTTATTGGTACTTGTGAGTTATTAAGAAATATTTTAATTACTTTCAAAATATTTTGGGATTTTCCAGATGCCTTTCTATTAGCATGCTCCAATTTAATTCCATGGCCATCACAGGATATGTTTAGTATGATTTAAATAATTTTAAATTTATTAAGACTTGTTTTATGGTGTGGAATATGATATATGTTGATAGTGTTCAAAGTAAACTTGAAAGAATATGGAATATGCTATTGACTGGTGGAGTTTTTATAAATATCATTCACATAGAGTCAATACGTAGTATTGGTCAAGTTTTCTGTACCTTTGCTAATGTCTAATAATTTTATCAATTATTCTGGCAAGGGTGCTGAAAATTTTGAATATAATTAAAGCATTTTTTCTATTTCTCTAGGTGGGAACATAAACTATTTTCTGCCCTATGTGACGTACAAGAGTTGCCCCATCTCTTACTTTGGGTTGTTTTTCCCAACATGTGGGTATTTTCCCCAAACATATTCTCTGATCAGTTCTCAGCAGAAAACTTGAACTGTATCCTCTGCTGATCTCCAAGGCACTTGTGTGCACTCACTCTCCCTCTCTTTTGCTTTAGCTCTCACACTCTCTTTCACACATCTCTCTAAACTCTCTGATACTCTGCCCTACAGACTCAAGCCTCCCTGGATTCTCAGCTCTATTGCCCGAAGCAGGTTTTCTTTTTTTGCACTGTGATCTACAAATATCCATATAATAAGTTATGGCAATCATAGATCTCACCTTATTTCTTTCCCTCTCTTTCAGAAAACACTATCCTTTACTGACTCAGGTCCAATGCCTGAAAACCACCATTTCTTATATTTTGTCATTTAAAAAAATGGTTTTTAGCAGGAAGGTATATCTTGTTCCTCATGGCCAGAAGAGAAAGATCCAATGATTACTTTTATATTTTGTCCAAATATTACTATTGTTATCTATGGAAGTGTTAAGTCCTGAATTTTTTTCTAAATGAAGGCATTTTCTCTTAAAAATATATGAGGCATTCAATAATAGTATGCTTGGTATTTTTAACTGAAACTTTTTATTTGCCCTTTACTTGAAAGTATTTCTCCTTCAATATTTTTCATCTAAGAATTCCATCTTGCTTAGCCATTTCACTGGGTCAAAAGCCTTGGACATATTCTTAATCTCTATTTCTTATGCACAACACACATATAATTAATCCATGAATTCTCTGAGCTCTACTTTAATATATGTCACTAATTCGACTAATTGTTGCCAATTCTACCACTATACTAATAGATTAATATTATCTCTTACCTTGACTACTACATGGTTCTACCCTTGCTTCTCCATAGAGTGTTCTCCAAACATTTTGAGTAATTTTTTTTTTTGAGAGGAATAAACAAGTAAAGTCAGTCTTCTGCTCAAAATCATTTAATGATTACCGTGTCTTAAGATGATATATATGATTTAGCTCTTGGATACCTCTCTCTTCTTATTTCCTGTTATTCTCCCTTTGGTCATTCCATTTTGCCATATTTCTATCTTTTAAACATAAGAAACCTGGTCCACTTCAGTGACTGTAGATATTCTTAGACCTCAGTTCTTTAATCATAACCCTGTAGAAATATTGCCTCTTCGGAGAAGTGTTCCCTGACCATTCTCACTAAAATGGTACTTCTCATGTCTCTTCCTTCCTTCCTTTCTTTTCTTTTTCTTTCTTTCCTTCTTTCTTTCTTTTTTTCTTTCTCTCTTTCTCTCTCTCTCTTCTTTCTTTCTTACTTTTTCTTCTTTCTCTCTCTCTTTCTTTCTTTCATTTATTGATCACATGTCTTCTCAACAAGTATGTAAACTTCATGAAGACAGGAGTTTTGTTTTTAGTATTATGTTGTCCCTGGCACCTAGAGAAGTGTCTGGTACTTATCAATTACTTGAGTAAAAAAAAATCCGTGAATAGATCAGTTGAGTAGGGATTTGTCAAATACTTTCCATCTGAAATTTTCTTTTCTGTTCAAAAGTCACCCTACCCAAGAAGGTCTTTCTGACTGCCCTAACTGAAATACAATTATATGTCCCTTTTTCACCCTGTAACCTGCTTTGTTTTCTATAGACTATATCAAATAAAGTGTAGCTTAGGTACTAAATCGCTTGTTTGTTGACTATGTTCTCCACTAGAAAATGATCTCAATGAGGATAGGAACTTCTCTACCTTTTTCTACATGAGTGCTTTGGATAGTATCTGATCAGATACATTATAGGCAATTAATGCTTTTAGACTGTAGAGTGAACCAAAATGCTTAAAATTCTTTGAAGAATTGCACAAAACATTATTGGGATTTAAAACCTGGGAAATTTTCCTAATGATTATTTTATTGTACTTTTTAAGCTAACTGTTTTTCATATTTACCTATTCCAAATTTTTGGTTTTCTAGTTATTAGTGTCTGCTTTTGTCTTCATGAATATCTTATTTATATATTCTTTACATACAAATTCACTTCTTAAATAAATAGGCAAAAGTAAAATGCCCCAAGGGATGAAGAAATTATGATATGTAAATGTATAGAAATGATTTGTAGAAATTACAAATTGGTGTTTAAAATCATTTAATGATAATGAAAATGGTTAATGGTAAATTATATAGTCAATGAGTAATTCAGAGTCTGATATATTTTCCAAACACAAAAATCTTGAACAGCATTATAACCAATATTTATCTCTATTGTGTGATTTTAAAGACATCTTCATTATCTTCTTTATAATTTTCATATTGTCCAACTTTTCAATAATCAATATGTATGATTTTACAATCAGGAGAAATAAAGCAGTCACTGATTTTTCTAAAAATTTATAAAATGGAAAATGTAAAACAGCATTACCTCCATCGAGTTTTACTCTCTGAAAAATATTAATTTATCCTTAGACTATGTAATTTAAAAAACATAATAAAATAGAAACAAGTAAATTTCATTTGGATGCAAGGAAAAGTATTCTTGTTAATGATAAAACAATGTCATCCACTAAAATAACAAGGTTAAGGACTTAGAGGTATCAAATGGCCAGACAGATATAGATAATTTCTGAATGATAACTCACAGCTTTGGTTACTTTTCTTTGGTAAACATGATCATAGGCACAAAGGTTCTGGTGATTCGTGTGCTTTTTTTTTTTAATGAGTTTGTATTTTAGACTTTGTAGGTTGCTTTTCATACATTATCTCTTAAACTGTGAGAAAGGTATTTTTACCATTGATAGAGGCAGGAGACAGGCAAATGCCTAGGAAATAGGGAAGGGCCCCCGGGAGAACCTCTGACCTGCTCCGCAAGTATTCACACCAGATGTTTTTGTGCAGATAAAGGAACCAGTGCAGGGTCTTGCCTGGGCATGCCCACAATGAACCGGAGGCGAACATGCACTGGAGGAATGGGGTAGAGCCACCAGGAATTTGTGCTGTATACTGGGGAGGAGCCTGGCCTCATCAACTCCTGTGTGGTGGCCTGGAATTCAATTTGTGAGGTGGAAACCTGAGTGCAGGACTGCTCTTTTTGTTGAGAGCTTTCCTTTTGCTTAATAAATTCTGGGCCGGGCACTTTGGCTCACACCTGTAATCCTAGCACTTTGGGAAGCCAAGGCTGGCGGATCACCTGAGGTCTGTTAGGTCCATTTGTTCCAAGGTGTAGTTTAAATCTATTGTTTTTTTTTTTTGACTTTCTGTCTTGATAAACTGTTTAGTGCTTGGAGCCTTTGTTCATATTTTCTTATTCTTTTTTCTTTTCTTTCTTGTATTGGGTTAGTTCGAAGTCCTTGTCTTCAAACTCTGAATTTCTTCTACTTGTTCAATTCTATTGCTGAGACTTTCCAGAGCATTTTGCATTTCTAAAAGTGTGTCCACAGTGTCCTGAATTTTTTATTGTTTTTTTTCTTCAAACTATCTATTTCCATGAATATTTCTCCCTTCACTTCTTGTATAATTTTTTGGATTTCCTTGCATTGGGCTTTGCCTTTCTCTAGCCCCTCCCTGATTAGCTTAATAACTAAGCTTTGAATACTTTTTCAGGTAAATCAGGGATTTCTTCTTAGTTTGGATCCATTGCTGGTGAACCAGTGTGATTTTTGGGGGGTACTGAAAAGGCTTGTTTTGTCATATTACCAGGGTTGTTTTTCTGGTTCTTTTTTGAGGGAGGAGAGAGACCCTCTCATATTGTTTTATATTGTTTTATACTCAGTACCTGTTTTAAGAAAAACAACAAGGAAGTAAAACCAAAGACAGGCAGCCTGGCACCAGGCCTGAAACCAGGCCTGGGCCTGCCTCGCCTAAATCCAGTAGTTAAAAATCAATTCATAACTTAGAAACCGATGTTATTCATAGATTCCAGACATTGTATAGAAGAGCATTGTGAAACTCCCTGCCCTGTTCTGTTTCTCTCTGACCACCCGTGCATGCAGCCCCTGTCACGTACCGCCTGCTTGCTCAAATCAATCACGACCCTTTCATGTGAAATCTTTAGTGTTGTGAGCCCTTAAGAGGGACAGAAATTGAGCATTCGGGGAGCGCGGATTTTGAGGCAGTAGCTTGCCGATGCTCCCAGGTGAATAAAGCCCTTCCTTCCATAACTCGGTGCCTGAGAGGTTTTGTCTGCAGCTCGTCCTGCTACATTCTCATTTGGGTAAGCTCTGTCAGAGGGAAGGTCTAGGGCTGAAGTCTGTTGTTCAGACTCTTTTGTCCCATGGGGTATTCCCGTCATGTAGTACTCTCCCCCTTTTCCTATTAATGTGGCTTCCTATAAGCTGAACTGCAGTGATTGTTGTCTCTCCTCTGGGTCTAGCCACCCAGCAAATTTATGCAGCTCCAGGCTGGTACTGGGGGTTGTCTGCACAGAGTCCTGTGATGTGAACCATCTATGGGTCTCTCAGCTGTGGATACCAATGCCTGTTCCAGTGGAGGTGGCAGAGGGTGCAATGGACTCCATGAGAGTCCTTAGCTTTGGTGGCTTAATGCTCTATTTTTGTGCTGGTTGACCTCCTGCCAGGAGGTGGTGCTTTACAGAAAGCATCAGCTGCATAGTGTGGAGAGGGACCAATGGTGGGCGGGACCCTAGAACTCCCAAGATTATTTGCCCTTTGTCTTATATACCAGGGAGGATTATATACCAGGTTATATACCATGGGGGATATGGAAGGACCATCAGGTGACAGCAGGGCTAGGTGTGTCTGAGCTCAGACTCTTCTTGGGCGGGTCTTGCTGCGGCTGCTGTGGAGGATGGGGGTGAGATTCCCAGGTCACTGGAGTTGTGTATCTAGGAGGATTATGGCTGTCTCTGCTGAGTCATGCAGGTTGTCAGGTAAGTAGGGGAAAGCCAGCAGTCACAGGCCTCACCCAGCTCCCATGCAAACTGAAGGGCCGGTCTCACTCCCACCATGCCCCCACTGACAGCCCCGAGTCTGTTTCCAGGTGGAGGGCCAGAGGGGCTTGAAAAGTTGTCTGAGACTATCCGCCTCCCAGCTGCCACAGAAAAGGGTGTTAGCTTTTCCCCACCTGTGAAGTCTGCATATCCGATTCGCGCCCTCCCCCAAGTTCTGGCCAGGGGGGCTTCTTGCCCCTTTCAAATCATTACAGAGTTCACCAAGAGAAGTGCTTCTACCTGTGGAGTTTTACCCCCTGCTCCTCAGGCCACCCTCACGATGGATCCCTGTGGTGCCAACCAGGAATGGGCTGCTGGGGACCCAGCAAGCTCCCAGGGCCTTCCTGCTGCTTCCTCTGCCCCTGTATTTCACTGGGCTCTCTAACTTGACTCAGCTCCAGGTAACGTCAGAAACTTCTCCGCAAGCAGACCTTCAGCTTCTCCAGTGGGGTTGTGTGTTCGGGGGAGGAGGGTCTCCCTTTCCCACTTCCCCAGTTGGGGCACTCACAGTATTTGGGTGTCTCCAGGGTCCTGCAGGAGCAGGCCGCTTCCTTCAGAGGGTCTGTGGCTCCTCTCGGGATTGCTGGTTTGTTCTTGCAGTCAATCTGGAGCTAAAATTCACAGTGCAAGCCTCCGCATGCTGCTCTGTCTGGAGCTGCAATCTAGTCTTGCCTCCTGTCTACCATGATCCCAGAAGAGAAAGACAAATCCGATGAGTGGATCATTAGTTCCCAGTTGCCTTGAAACTAAATTGTTTAAGTATTTTGACATGGACTACACACTCCCCATGATTTGCCCTCTATCTACTTCTCTAGATATTTCCAGTGCCTGGAACATAATAGCCTCTCAAGAAATATGGATTAAAAACGTGAAAGAGATAAGGTGGTTTATCATTCTATTTTGTGCTTAAGGAAACTGGTGTATAGAGGGTTTTTTTTGTGCAAGCTAAAGAACAAAGGTTGGACAGGGCCCAAACTGAGACTCCAAATTCAAATATTTGCCTGCCTCCAAATCCAATGGTCTTCACCTCAATTCTCTGTTTCTGCCTCTCAGATGTGTGTGTGATGGGGAGTGTGGGTAATGGGGAGGTGGGAAGCAAAACCAAAAATGACCAGTGAAACCACAGGAAAACAAAGAAAAAGTGATATATTCAGTCCTTTTGAAATAATCCAAATGGTAATGTCATCATTTGGTCCTGGCTTGAAAATCCAGCATGGCTTTTATAAAGCAATTTCCTACACGACATCAGCAATCAAATACTTCTCTATAGCATGCTGTGAATCCAAATGGGGACATCTAAACTAAAATGGCATGCATTTTAACATTATTTTACCTCTTCAAGTCTCTCTTCAGAATCAGAATAAACTAGGATTTCATTGAACAGAAAGCCAGCATGAAAGTGATATGTGGAACTCTTTTTTTTCTAAAGTAAGTTTTGCATTGCATAAATTGTCCTCTGTGGTATAATGAAAGTAATATAAAGTTACATCCATTCAATACAGATAATACTCAGTTTTATTACTGTTTTAAGAAAAAGAGCGTCTGCAGTTTCAAGCCAGTGATCACATCTGCAAACAATCACCAAGCATATCTATTTCAGTGTACATCTCTTTGAAATTGTGGGGCTTATTAGATTTTACTGACTCTCAGAATCATTTGGTTGGAATTATAGTTTATCCACAAAGCCCTACCGCTGACAGGTAGAGAAGCACCATACAAACCAAAGCACACAATTAGATATCGATGATTATGGTTTCTGAGCCACTTGTGTATTCTGAAAGGAACTACTTCTATTATGCCATCAATATCAGCAATTTTTTTGCAGTACATAATGGCGAAATGATATGTTATGAGACTATAAGGAAAACATCAAACTAGTTCCAGCTTACCCCATTTATTCCACATGCATAAATGTATTCTGTTTAGTGAAACATTTAGAGTTACTCCAAAAACACCAATGGACTTTTAAGTAGAACTAATAAAGTACATTAGATTTCACATAAAGAAAATAGATAACATTAAAATATAAGTAATTATACCTGCAACAGTTTTCTAGAATTTAATAACATAAGGTTAGACAATGAAGGCCCCAAAAGCACATAATAGAACTATCATATCCATATATATCTGATTATATTAATGTAACCAAGAAGTCATCTCTTTGCATGTTCCCAAAACTTCTAGCTTTGTAAAATCATTTCCTTTCATTGTATGTATGAAAACTCTCAAGGGGTTTATAATTCTACTAATGATCTCTTGCTTCAATTTTCTCCTTTCTTTGAGTGTTTTATATCACTGATTCTCTGCACTTCTGATCAATCTGTCTCTGACCTGCACCAACACATACCTGGACATAAGCCCTTTATACTTAATTTTACAAAGCAATATGTAAAATATTAATACATATATTTAATTTGAACAAAGCAACATGTGAGTGAACTCCATACCTTGTAGTTTTACTAGAAATTTGGAGGTAACGGTGAAAATTTACACAGGAACACAGTATATCAACAAGAGACTGGAACACATAACTTAGAATTGAGTATTGAACTTCATTCTCCTTATTGCTTTCTAGTCATTGCAACATCCAGAATTTGCCACTCTCCTGCATTATGTATTTTTCTTAAAGAAACACGAAATGGGCCGGGCGCGGTGGCTCATGCCTATAATCCCAGCACTTTGGGAGGCCAAGGCGGGCGGATCACGACATCAGGAGATGGAGACCATCCTGGCTAACACGGTGAAACCCCGTTTCTACTAAAAATACAAAAAAATTAGCCAGGCGTGGTGGCGGGCGCCTGTGGTCCCAGCTACTCTGGAGGCTGGGGCAGGAGAATGGAGTGAACCCGGGCGGCGGAGCTTGCAGTGAGCCGAGATCGCGCCACTGCGCTCCAGCCTGGGCGACAGAGCGAGACTCCGTCTCAAAACAAAAAACATGAAATGATATATATTTTGTTTTGTAAGCTATGCTAAATTTGATTTTAAAAAAGTAGTCTGTTGTTTTAGCTTCAAAATATCAATTTATTTTGATCTGGGCTGATTGTAAACATGCCAATTTCAGAATAAATATATGCATATTTTAATATTTCCATGAAAATTATATTCTTGCATCTTAATAATCGCCCCAAAATTTGCATGAAGGTCACATTTTATAAGTGTTATGCTGCCTGCAAACTTTTATTATTTAAAATATTTATAGCATGTGATAAGATTCAGTTTAAAAAGACCTTTGGGCAACTTTTGTTCACTTTTAAAAATTTATAATTAAATATATAACTATAATGATCTTTTACAAAATTTTAAAGCACCTTCTGTTACTGCTCTAATTCTTTGTTATCAGTGTAGTTACTTTACCATGGAAATGAGGGCATAGATGGGGTGTAAGAAGAAGGGGGGACTTTCCCCTAACTGGGTAGATGTGTTATGAATTTGAGAGACATTAACTTAGACCACGTATTTTACACATTCAACTACCATTTTAAAAATACTCTTCAACTCTTTTTCCTATTTTTCTGCTTCGTTTTCCAGAGATAATTATAACCTAGTTGCTCAGTCTTGTGCAACTACCAGTACATTTATGATGCCTTGTAATATCATAAGCCAAGACCCAGTATTATGTGTTCAACAATCCACAGATAATTATAGAATCATTTTCCTCTTCAGATAGAAATTTATCTTCACCCCACATTATTTTTATTTCTTAAATTTTCTATTATAGTCATGAAATAATCTGAAGATCATACTGTATTATTCCCACCTCTTTTTTCCTCTCCTTTGTTTTCCAAAATAAATATTATATATCCTTAAATCTAGAATATGGCCTTTCATGTCCAATAGGCAACTGTTTCATGTTCCTTCACATCCTTCTCATTAATGTGCAGTAACATTATGATTGGTTTTCTTGCCACCAGTTTTGCTCCCAATACATTTCTAAGAGGTAACTCTGGTCATGCTACTACTTTACCTAAAACCCTTCAATCTGGCCAAACCTGTGCCAATGGAAATAATGCCCTTTAATGTTTCTAGACCCTTTTTTGCCATGACTCTTTTCAGTCTATGTTTCAGCAATACTGAACTCATCTCTCACATATCAAGGACTTTGTATACTCTGCTAACTATTCTTAGAATATCTTCCTCTCTTCCCTCCCTGTTTTTTTTTTTTTTTTTTTCTTTTTTTGAAACGGAGTCTCGCTCTATCACCCAGGCTGGAGTGCAGTGGCGCAATCTCGGCTCACTGCAAGCTAGGTTCACGCCATTCTCCTGTCTCAGCCTCCCGAGTGGCTGGGACTACAGGTGCCCACCACATGCCCGGCTAATTTTTTGTATTTTTTTTTTAGTAGAGATGGGGTTTCACCGTGTTGGCCAGAATGGTCTCGATCTCCTGACCTTGTGATCCGCCTGCCTCGGCCTCCCAAAGTGCTGGGATTACAGGCGTGAGCCACCGCGCCTGGCCTTCCCTCCCTATTTTTTAAGGATATATCCCACTCAAAACTCAGCTCAGCTATCACTTTCTCTTGAAATCATTCCCTAATAACAATTTTCCTTTATTATACAACTTCTTCACTCCTCTTAAGCACCACAGTATACTTCCAGCCTTGCATAGAAATTGTACTCATTTGTTTATCTTTCCCATCGAGGTGCAAATACTTTAAAGATAGAGTTATATTTTATGTTTTCTCATCTGGTTTCTAACTCAGTATTGAGTGTATAATGGGCATTTAAATGCTTATTATCTAATTATTTAGAGTAAGAAATATTAAAAATATATAAGCATTATGTTATGATAGGTCCTTCAACTCTTGGAGAGAACAGTGAGATGTGAGGTAATACACTTCTCTGTTTTCAAGAAGCATCTGAGCTAATGAAGGTTGGGAAATTGGTGCACATAACTTCATCACCATATAGAATCACTGTTGTGTAAGTCCCTTCTTGTGTCACTATAAAGAAATGCCTGAAGCTGAGTAATTTATAAAGAAAAGAGGTTTAATTGTCTCACAGTTCAACAGGCTGTACAAGCAGGGCTCTAACATCTACTTCTAGTGAAAGCCTCAGAAACTTCAGAAACTTCCAATCATGGTGGAAAGTAAAGAGGGAACAAGCACACCACATGGTGAGAGTGGGAATGAGAGAGAAGGGGGAGGTGCCACACTTTTTTTTTTTTTTTTTTTTGATGGAGTTTTCTCTTGTCACCCAGGCTGGAGTGCAATGGTGCCATCTCAGCTCACTGCAACCTCTGCCTCATGGGTTCAAGTGATTCTTCTGTCTCAGCCTCCCAAGTAGCTGGGATTACAGGTGCGCACCACCACGCCCAGCTAATTTTTTGTATTTCTAGTAGAGATGGGGTTTCACCATATTGGCCAGACCTCAGCCTCCCAAAGTTCTGGGATTACAGGTGTGAGCCACCGTGCCCGGTCTGTGTCACACTCTTTTAGACAACCATATCTCTAGTGAACTAACAGAGTGAGAACTCACTCATTACGGTGAGGATGGCACAAAGCCATCCATGTGGGATCTATTCACATGAACCAAACACCTCCCACTGAGTCCCACCTCCAACATTGAGGATTACATTTCAACATGAGATTTTGAGGGGACAAATATCTAAACTATACGAACTGTGCTGTCATAAAGTTTCAAACAAAATGTCCTGTAAGTTCAGTCTAAGGAGAGATAATCTTCATTTTAGAAGAATAGAATAGTTTCATGGAAAAATGTCAAATGAGCTATGACTCCAAAGATCAGAGGGATCTGACTAAGCAATGTTGAAGGATAGGGAGATGCATCATTGCAACATGATAAGGCAGGTAACAACTGGATATGTTTGATAAATAATAAACTGTCCAGTGTAGAATAAGATTTTTATTTTATTTTTTTGAGATGGAATCTTGCTCTGTTGCCCAGGCTGGAGTACAGTGGCGTGATCTTGGCTCACTGCAACCTCCACCTCCTGGGTTCAAGCAATTCTCTGCCTCAGCCTCCCGAGTAGCTGGGATTACAGGCACCTGCCACGACGCCTGGCTAATTTTTTATTTTTAGTAGAGACGGGGTTTTGCCATCTCAGCCAGGCTTTCACCATCTTGGCCAGACGGGGTTTCACCATCTTGCACTCCTGGCCTCGTGATCCACCCACCTCGGCCTCCCAAAGTGCTGGGATTACAGGCATGAGCCACTGCACCCAGGCTAGAATACGATTTAAGATGTAATAGGAAAGGATGTTGTAACGCAGGTCTCAAATGTTTGGAAGGGCATTGTGATTGCTAGACTTGCAGATGCAGATGAACTGCGATTCTTTATTTACATTAATCTACAAGGGTATTAATCAGTGGCTGTAAGGATATTTCTGCTCTTTTAGAGGAGGATATTATCGCTGAACAGTAATGGAGAGTGTTGATGGACCATTATGGTAAAGAATCGAGGATATCTGAGAGGCAGGGAAATGGGTGGTGCATGAGGGAAATTTAAGACAGAAAGGTCAGTGGTCTACTTGGCTGGCAGAAGTGCACGATGAGAGTCAAGAATGTAACAGATCAGTGAAGCATCAAAAAAATCTGACAATGAGCTTTTGGATCTCAATAGTGGGGAACTGAGATTCAAGACAACTCCAGCACCTTGGAGGAACTGGCCAGTATATCAAGAAAAGCCTCTGGCATGGTCAATAAGGTAGGTTCCCAGGAACTAGAAGTTGGGTTATAAGAAATAAAGATTAAAATGTTGACCTAGTAATGGCTAATACAGTAGTCCCCACTCACCTGAAGTTTCCATTTCTACAGTTTCAGTTATTGTGGTCCAAAATATTACATAGAAAATTCCAGAAATAAATAATTCATAAGTTTTAAATTGTGCATTTTTTCTGAGTATTGTTAGAATTGTTCTATTTTGCTATTATTTATCAATCTCTTACTGTGCCTAGTTTAAATTAAACTTTATAATAGGTATGTCTGTGTATATGTGTATATGCATATACGTATATAGGAAAAAAACCCACACATATATAGAGTCCATCCAGTACTATCTGTGGTATAAGGCATTCATGGGGGATCTTAGAAAGTATCCCCCATGAAAAATGGGGACTATGGTATTCAGACACTGGTCTGGGTCTCCTGAAAGTCTTCCTTTTGAACAAAGGGATTTAGTCAGAAACTTCAGTAAACTTTATAGGCTATAGATAGTTTCAGCTGTAAAGAAGGTCAAGTTGTCATTACAGGTATTGAAATGCCTTATTTTGTGAATAATAATTTGTTCTTTTGAATCCTATCATTAACCAATGAAAGTCGTTTTGACAAAGAAAACCAAAGTGACACGGGATTTTTCCCAGCCTCTTTGTTGGGCTCACCGCAGGGGGTGCCCCATCTACTCAGTCAGCTGGGCTGCATCTGGCCTGTGCTCTGGCCTGTGGCTCCTGCGGATGCCACAACCAAGCACTCAGCCACTGGTGGAAGGGAGCATGTGAGTGAGTGAGCGTGGGGCACGGCCACCACTCTGAGTGCTGACACAGGAGCAGGATCCATGTGGGGCCCATGCTCAGACCAGGAATGTCACCCTGAGGGAAACATTGTGACACCCATGCTGGGGTGCCCACAACCCTGAAGTCCCAGAGGGGGTTACAGTGTGCTACTTAGCTTTTTAAATTCTGCTGTCTCCAGCATGAT
This sequence comes from Homo sapiens, assembly GCF_000001405.40. Taxonomy (NCBI): domain Eukaryota; kingdom Metazoa; phylum Chordata; class Mammalia; order Primates; family Hominidae; genus Homo; species Homo sapiens. The sequence continues at coordinate 167,887,661 of NC_000004.12, read as the reverse complement.
AGATGGTGGCATGTCATCAGCTCAGTCAATCCTTTGCCCCATTCTGGCCTGTGGCTCTGGGACCAGCTCGGCCCCACCACCACTTCCATTGAATGGGGCAGCTGCCCTCTGCCAGCTAAGGCAGAGGGCCAGTGTTACAGCCTTTCTGGGTACCCAAGTTCAGTGTGTCCCAATCTCTTGTCCTGTGTCCAAGAAGAATGAGGTTATGCTGACGATTGAAGGGTGGTAAGGGCAGATAATTTTATTGAGCATTGAAACAGCTCTCAGCAGAGAGAAGACAGGAAGGTTGGGTTATCTCTCCTGAAGTCAGGCCATCTCCCCAATGTGGCTGAGTCTGGGGCTTTTGTAGGCACAGGATAAGACAGTGTGTGTTGATTGGTTTGTGAGTATGCAAAAAGTTTAAAATGAAGGCACCAGTCAAAGTTGGGCACAGTGTAAAAACAATTAGGGAAAGACAAGTATATGTAAAATAGGTGAAGGATGGGGATCAATCAAAGGAAAGTGCGCCAAACAGGAATACAGGGTCTCAATCCAGTTTGTGGATTTGACTTGTAGCTTGGCCTTCAGGCTTTAAACTGTCTTTGGCTTGAAGGTGGGATTTCATATGCTAACACATTTGTCTTCCTCCTGATGCTATCAAGTGCTGTAAGATTTTTCTAAGAAATAATAAAAGAATTACATACTGCATGAGTACAGCTATGTTCCTTAAAATAAGTGTTTTTTAAGATGATAAAGTGAATAACTCATTGAATGACTTTTAGGATAACCAGTTCTTTTACCAGCATTCTTCCATCATCCACTACTCTGGCTAATCCTAAAAAGTAGGAAACCGTCCTTTGTTTTCTGTCTACAGTATGAACACCTCTATTGCAATTAGATGCACCCACACCAAGAAACCATGAGCAAGCATGCCTTCAGATGCATACCAGTTACGTTTTCACTGTGGTGTGTTCTTGTTATCTACATCACTGAATGTTATTTATTTTAAAATATATTTTACACAGTGCATTCATGTTCACAAAATGTGTCCTGGTTCACAAAACGTTTTCTGTTCCCCTTACCTTCATAACTGCTTCATTCTATGAGCCTGCATTGATACACCACGTACCCTTACTGCTTTACTTGATGATTTTTAAAAACTATATATTGCTTTTCCAAGTAGATTATATATTTTTACCTAGGACAAAGTAACAATACTTGTAGGTCCTTTTATCATGCCTTTTTAAACAATCATGTTGAAGTATAATTGATATAAAATTTATCAATATTAAATGTACAATTCAATGGGGTTGAAAAAATATGTACAGTGATGTAACCAACACCAACACAATCATAAAATATTTTTACCCCTTCCCCCATCCTAGCCCATGAAAACTACTGAGAAGATTTCTGTCACTATAGTTTTGCCTCTTTCTATAATTTTATATAATTAGAATCATAAAATATACATCATAGAGATAGTCTTTTAGTCTGTAAGTTGGCATAATGCATCTGAGATTCATTCAGATTCTTGCATACCTCAGTATTTGTTCTCATTCATATACAAAAACGACCTCAACTTTATAACTCATATCTATAAAAATGAGTCATAGATTTTAGAAGTATGCAAAACAAAACATAGAAAAAAAATTTAACCCAAAGATGTGTAGGATTCTGAGTCATGGCACCAAATGAAATATCTACAAAAGGAAAATAAAATGGTAAATTGTATTTTCTCAAAATTGCTCTGCTAAAGACACTGTATGAGAATAAAAAGACTAGCTGTAGGCTAGATTGTGTTTTCAAAACACAGTACAGAGCTTTGTATCTAGAATATGAAGATTTTTAAATAGTCAACAACAGGAGAATTTAAAAACTTGAGAAAAAACTTTAATAAACACCAAAATGAGGACAAATAAGCCTATGAAAATATGCTCAATGCCATTGGCTATTAGGGAAATCAATATGAAAGCCATGATAAGCTACCAATATATACATATTAGAATGAGTAAAATAATAAAATAAGAACTAATAACACCAAATGCTGGAAGGTGTTGAGCAACTGGAGCTCCCATACATTGCTGGAGAAAATGGAAAATGCTATAGCCAATCCAAAAAATGGTTTGGCAGTTTCTTATAAAGTTAAAAATATACTTGTCATATGACAGCAGTTACACTCCTGGGTATTTGCAACAGAGGAATAAAAACATGTTTACTAATGAGAAAGGAAAATAAATCTTGAGACTGCAAAATCACTAAGCCAAAGGGAAAAGTCAAGCTGGGAATTGCATGGGGCAAACCTGCCTTCCATTCTATTCCTAAATAAGATAGCTACAAAGATACAAAAGCTACCTGCCTCCCTCACAGTTTTCCCACAAAGAAATTCCTTGTGGTCAAAGGACAGCCAGAACTCAAAGTCATCCCTCTGCTCATGTGAGACAAATCCATAGTCGATTGCTTCCTTTGCCCTATTGCTTCAACTAAGCCACACTAAGACATTAGTGACTATTCCTGTAAATTCAGGATAAAATATATTCAGTGAAATGATAATCAGAAACTCAAAAGAATATAACAATTTGTCTCTTGCCTACCTATGGCCTGGAAGCCCCCTCTCCACTTCAAGTTGTCCCGCCTTTCTGGACAGAGCGGGTGTACGTCTTACGTATATTGATTGATGTCTCATGTCTCTATAAAATGTATAAAACCTATCTGTGCTCAGACCACCTTAGGCACATGTTGTCAGGACCTCCTGAGGCTGTATCATTGGTGCATCCTCAAAACTTTGTCAAAATAAACTTTCTAAATTGATTGAGACTTCTCTCAGATACTCTTTAGTTTATACTAAAAACCCATAGACAAATGTTTATAGCACTATTATTCATAATTGCTTCAAGCTGAAAATAAATATCCTTCAACAAATAAATAGCTTAATAAACACTGGTATATCCACATAATGGAATACTACTGTGAAATAAAAAAATGAAATATATATCAATACACTCCCAACTTGGATGAACATCTAATGCACTTTCTTAGTGAAATAAGCCAGTTTCAAAAGGTTTCATACTATATGATTTCATTTATATGACATTCCCAGATAGATAAAACAATGGAAAAGGACTCAGTGGTTTCAGGGAGTGGAGGTAGAGAAGGGTGTGGCTTTAAACAGGGAGTAAGAGGAAGTTTTTGGGGTAATTGAATTGGTCTTTACCCTGATTGAGGTAGAGGAGGAATAAATCAAAGTAAAATAAAAATAAAAACATGTATTAAACTTCATAGAACTATACAACAATGGAAAGAAAGTAGGAAATAAATTGTTTTAAGAGCACATGTAAAATTTAAGGTGATTTTTTAGACATTCATATTATAAAATATTAATGCTATTAGTGATGTTACCATTTATGTGTTTAACAATGGTTAGGGAATTCATGGTCTAAGCCACCTCTGCATACCAGATACATATAAATTTGTCTGTGTCATTTGTCAACCTGATATAGCAATCTAGTATAAAAACAGGAAACTGGCAGAGTCTTTTGAGTGTTTAAACTCTAGATCTTCATTATAATTAATAGTGTACAGTAGCCCTTGTGTAAGTAGGTAAAACATCTCAATTTTTATGAAGTTTATTGTTAGCACTTAAACCCAGTAGACACTTGGTAAAATGATATTTGATCTTTCATATGTATGTTTATGTTCTAGACTTCTTATGGTTTGTTAATTTGTAAGAATTATCCTAGAGGTTTAAACACCAACTTTAAATAAACCAGTTAGAACACCAACTTTCTGATTCACATTTATGATTCTAGCTGTAAATTTCTTGAATGGAGTGAATTTATATTAAAGTTATAATTTGCTTCACAACTGGGTAGATAGGTAATTATTTTGCAATGGTAAAAATAATTGTTTCCTAATGAATACTTTTAGGTAAAATATAAATATATGTCTCATTCCAAAATTGCTCTCAAATAGTTCATACATGAGTCCCCATAAAATACATCTTATAAAGTTCACCGCTAAGTCATCTTATGGAAAACTGTTTCTACTTTATTCCCAAAACAGAAGAGATCTATAATTGCTATTATTTTAGAACAAGAGGAGAAGTTGTATTATAGATGGAAACATGAAGAAATCAGCTGAACTTTTAAAAACCTTGTAGTTGTCATATGTAGGCTGAGAGAACTGATTAGAATGCAGATAAGCCCTAGCAATAAATCATGTCTGCACCTACTAACTAATGTTAGACCGTGGGCCTTGTGTTCAGTGTGTGGAGTAGTGATCCAAAGTCTAGAGCCAGGGAAAGAGAGCCAAAGAAAGGGGATCCAAGAGGAAGTCTTCTGAAGTTCTTGCTGTAGTGTGATGGCAGGTTACTAACAAATTGAAGAAGGCATAGAGGTTAGAGAAAGTTCTCCTGGGTGCCCCAAGCTTTTATTAGTTGTAAATGCTGGAAACTGAACAAGAGTGTAGAGGCACCCAGAAATCTTCAGCAACCTAAAAAGCTGGCAGATGTGGTCTACAGAGTGGAGAGAGCAGGAGAGAGAGAGTTACCAAGAGATCCCAAGATTTAATAGCCAGTAACTTGGCTTTAAACATAAAAAGAATATGTCAGTCTCACCAATGCTCAGAGCCTAAGTCTCAATGAAAGGTCAGTTCTAACTTTGCACTCAAAATATTAGAAACAAATTACGTATTGAGTCAAACAAATATTTCATCAAATTCTTGCCCAGTTACATTACAGATTAAGTTAATTTAGTCCTTCACATTAATAATGCAATGATAGAATGAAAGTGTATTTTTCTGGTTTTAAGTATTATTTACTTCAGTCTCTATTTTTCCTTGTACACTTAGGAGCCAGCATAAAACCAAACATTACAAGACACACAAAGAAGCAAAGAAATGTGACTCACATTCAAGAAAGGATGCAAGCCCAGATATTTCCTAGATATTGGAAACATCTGACAAGGACTTCAAAATAACTATGGCAATTATGTTAAATAAAGTATGTAAAAACACAGGAGAAAATGGGAACTTTTAGTACATATATAATCATGATAAAAAAAAACCCAAATGCAAATGTTAGAAATAAAGAATGAGCCATCAGAAATAAAACATTCATCAGACGGGCTTACATTTGACAATATCAAGTAATAGCCATTATTTATGATGATATAATACAAAATATATTATTATAGTCACAAAAAAGGGACAAGCAAAAAGACCTAGTGCCTGAGAATTTTCAAAAATTGAAGAAAGATATCAAACCATAGATTTTGGAAGCTTAGCAAACCTCAGTGAGGATACATTAGCAATAGCAACAACAAAACACAAAAATCTATCAGAGTGAAGAAGTAAAAAAACAAAATAGGAGAATGCTACCAACTTTCTTGGGTTATTATTTGACTACCCAGCTTTTAATATTCTTAAGTTTTAATTTTATGTCTTGTAAACATTAAATACTTAAGTTTCTTTTTCCAAATCAGAAACTACAGGTTGGCAAACTACCCTAAACCTGGCCTGCCTGCAATTTCTTATGTGTGTGAGCATGAAATGGTCTTCACATTTTTAAATGGGTGAAAATATCAAAAGAAGAATAAGATTTTATGACATATGCATTTGGAATCAAATTTTAGGGTTCATAAATACAGGTTTATTGGAAGGCAGTTTTCATGCACGTCCCTGTGAAGAGACCACCAAACAGGCTTTGTGTGAGCAATAAAGCTTTTAATCACCTGGGTGCAGGCAGGCTGAGTCTGAAAAGAGAGTCAGTGAAGGGAGATAAGGGTGGGGCTGTTTTATAGGATTTGGGTAGGTAAAGGAAAAAGGGGGGTTGTTCTCTGGCAGGCAGGAGTGGGGGTCACAAGGTACTCAGTGGGGGAGCTTTTGAGCCAGGATGAGCCAGCAGAAGGAATTCACAAGACAGTGTCATCAGTTAAGGCAGGAACAGGCATTTTCACTTCTTTTGTGGTGGAATGTCATCAGTTAAGGCAGGAACCGGCCATCTGGATGTGTACCTGCAGGTCACAGGGGATATGATGGCTTAGCTTGGGCTCAGAGGCCTGAAATTCCTGTCTTCTTATATTAATAAGAAAAATAAAATGAAATAGTGGTAACGTGTTGGGACGGCAAAAATTTTTGGGGATGGTATGGAGAGATAATGGGAGATGTTTCTCAGGGCTGCTTCTAGCAGGATTAGGGGCGGTGTGGGAACCTAGAGTGGGAGAGATTAAGCTGAAGGAAGATTTTGTGGTAAGGGGTGATATTGTGGGGTTGTTAGAAGAAACATTTGTCATTTAGAATTATTGGTGATGGCCTGGATATGGTTTTGTATGAATTGAAAAACTAAACAGAATAAGAGAAGGAGAAAAACAGGTATTAAAGGACTAAGAATTGGGAGAACCTAGGACATCTAATTAGAGAGTGCCTAAGGAGGTTCGGCATAGCCTTGCCAGCAAAGATTATTTATTTACTTTAAGAGTTAAGAGTGGGAGTTTGGGGATAGCACCAGGAGATATCAGCTGTGATGGCTTGGAGAAACAGTGTAAACCGGCAGTGTAAACAAGAGCAGGGCATGTATGAGTAGTTGAGAATGGTGAATAGGAGTATGACTAGACAGAAGACAGTAGGGATGACAAGTTTTGGGGGCACAGTCTAAGTTGGTCTGGTGTCTGGAATGAGACTGGGGCCTAATAAAAAGGAGCATCTATACGGGAGCTTAAATGGGCTGTACTTTGTAGCATTCCGAGGACAGGTCTGAATTCTGAGAAGGGAAAGTGGTAAAAGTATTGTCTATTCCTTTTTAAGTTGGTGGCTGAGCTTGGTGAGGTGTGTTTTTAAAAGACCTTTAGTCTGTTCTACTTTTCCTGAAGACTGAGGACTGTAAGGGATATAAAGGTTTCACTGAATACTAAGAGCCTGAAAAACTGCTTGGCTGATTTGACTAATAAAGGCTGGTCTGTTATCAGACTGTATAGAGGTGGGAAGGCTAAACTGAGGAATTATTTCTGACAGAAGGGAAGAAATGACTGCGGTGGCCTTCTCAGACCCTGTAGGAAAGGCCTCTACCTAACTAGTGAAAGTGTCTACCCAGACTAAGAGGTATTTTAGTTTTTGTGACTCGGGGCATGTTGAGTAAAGCTAATTTGCCAGTCCTGGGCGGGGGCAAATCCTTGAGCTTGATGTGTAGGGAAGGGGGGAGGGGGCCTGAATAATCCTTGAGGAGTAGTAGAATAGCAGATGGAATACTAAAAATTTATTTCCCTGAGGATAGATTTCCGCGATGGAAAAGAAATGAGAGGTTTTAAGAGGCGGGCTAGTGGCTTGTACTGTAGCATAGCCTGCCTTTGCTGGTGTGTGGCAATTAGGCCTGGTGGAACTGCCATCAATAAACCAAGTGTGTTCAGGGTGAGAAACAGTGAAGAAGGAAATGTGGGGAAGTGGGGTGAATGTCAGGTGGATCAGAGAGATGCAGTCATGAGGGTCAGGTGTGGTATCAGGAATAATGTGGGAGGCCGGATTGAAGTCCGAGCCAGGAACAATGGTAACTGTGGGAGACTCAACAAAGAGTGAGTACAGCTGAAGGAGCCGGGGAGCAGAAAGTATATGCATCAGGTGTGAGGAAGAAAATAGATTCTGGAAATTATGAGAGCTGTAGAGAGTGCATTGAGCATAGTTTGTGATTTTAAGGGCCTCTAAAATATTAGGGTGGTAGCAGCCGCTGCATGGAGACATGATGGCCAGCCTAAAACAGTAAGGTCAAGTTGTTTGGACAAAAAGGCTACAGGACGCGATCCTCATCCTTGTGTAAGAATTCTTACTGCACAGCCCTGCACTTCAGCTGTGTGTAATGAAAAGGGTTAGGATGAGTCAGGGAGAGCTATAGTGGGGGCAGTTTCTAAAGCTGTCTTCAAGGAATGGAAAGAGGAGTGGGGGAAAGGATTTAGTATCTATGGGGTCGGCTAGGTTTCCTTTTGTGAGTTTATATAATGGTTTTGTTAGGATGGCAAAACCAGGTATCTAAATGTGAAAGTATCTAACCATACCCAGGAAGGAAAGGAGTTGTTGTTTTGTAGAATGGATTGGGGTTTGAGAGACTAGTTGGACACGATCGGCAGGGAGCGCACGTGTGTTTTTATGAGAATTATGCTGAGATAGCTAACAGATGAGGAAGAAATTTGGGCTTGACTGAAGTAATGGGGGCTGTCTGTGAAGCTTTGTGGCAGTACAGCCCAGGTAATTTGCTGAGCCTGATGGGTGTCAGGGTCAATCCAAGTGAAAGCGAAGATAGGCTGTGATGAAGGGTGCAAAGGAATAGTAAAGAAAGCATGTTTGAGATCCAGAACAGAATAATGGATTGTGGAGGGAGGTATTAAGGATTGAAAGGCCATGCTGTAGCAGGCAAGTGATAACAGGCTTTAATCCTTTCAAAGCATGCTGTGGGATGGGATATTGGCATTGAGTGGGGTAAGGGTGATTAGGCTTTAATGAGATGGTAAGGGGTGCATGATCGGTCACCAAGGAGGGAGTAGAGGTATCTTATACTTGTGGGTTAAGGTTGGGGGATACAAGAGGAGGATGCAAAGGAGGCTTTGGATTGGGAAGAAGGGCTTCAATGAGATGTAGCTGTAATCCAGGAATAGTTAGGGAAGCAGATAATTTAGTTAAGGTGTCTCGGCATAATAAGGGAACTGGGCAGGTGCGGATAACTAAAAGGAGTGCTTAAAAGAGTATTGTCTAAGTTGGCACCAGAGTTGGGGAGTTTTAAGAAGTTTAGAAGCCTGGCTGTCAATACCCACAAACAGTTATGGAGGCAAGGGAAACAGGCCCTTGAAAAGAAGGTAATGTGGAGTGGGTAGCCTCCGTATTGCTTAAGAAGGGGACGGACTTACCTTCCACTGTGAGAGTTACCTGAAGCTCGGCGTCTGTGATGGTCTAGGGGGCTTCTGAGGTGATCAGGCAGCGTCAGTCTTTAGCTGCTAAGCCGAGAAGGTCTGGGAAGGAGTCAGTCAGAGAGCCTTGGGCCAGAGTTCCAGCATCTCTGGGAGTGGCTGCCAGGTGAGTTGAACAGTCCGATTTCCAGTGGGGTCCCGCACAGATGGGACACGGCTTAGGAGGAATCCCGGGCTGCGGGCAGATTTCTGGCACTTGTAGCAAGCTCCTGGGGGAGGTGGTTCTGGAGGAATGCCTGGCCAGTGCGGTTTAGGCATTTGGAAGTTCTTGTGTGCTGGAGATGTGGCTGGGGTTTGTCTCACAGTGGAGGAAAGGAATTGCAACTCAGAAATATGTTGCTACTTGGTGCCTCTATTATTGTACACCTTGAAGGTGAGGTTACTTTAGTCCTGTTGTGGGGTTTGAGGGCCGGAATTTAATTTTTGGATTTTTATTTAATGTCAGGAGCAGATTGGGTAATAAAATGTGTATTGAGAATAAGATGGCCTTTTGACTTTTTAGGGTCTAGGGCTGTAAAGCGTCTCAGTGTTGCTGCCAAACAAGCCATGAACTGGGCTGGATTTTTATATTTGATGAAAAAGAGCCTAAATGCTATCTGATTTGGGATAAAGAAAAAGGAGCATTAACCTTGACTATGCCTTTAGCTCCAGCCGCCTTTGTAAGAATAAATCGCTGGGCAGGTGGGGGAGGGCTAGTCACAGAACGAAACTGTAAGCCGGACCAGGTGTGAGGAGCAGAGGTGATAAAAGGATTATAGGGTGGAGGAGCGGAGGCTGAGGAAGAATTGGAACCTAGCTTGGCCTGGCGAGGAGCAGCCTGGGGAGGAGGGGAGAGGTCAGATGGGTCTGTAGAAAAGGAAGATTAGAAAGACTCAGTGACGCTTGGGGTTGGGACTGAGGGGCCAGGTGGGAGGGAAAGAAGGAAGATTTGGGATGAGTTGCATTGGGAACAGAGACTAGAGAGGGACCGATGTGTAAAAGAATGCCTGGATGTCAGGCACCTCAGACCATTTGCCTATTTGACAACAAGAATTATTTAGATCTTGCAGGATGGAAAAATTGAAAGTGCCATTTTCTGGCTATTTGGAACCACTGTCAAGTTTGTATTGGGGTCAAGCTGCATTGCAGAAGAAAATAAGGCATTTAGGTTTTAGGTCAGGTGTGAGTTGAAGAGGTTTTAAGTTCTTGAGAGCACAGGCTAAGGGAGACGGAGGACTGGAGGGTGGAAGATTGCCCATAGTGAAGGAGGCAAGCCTAGAGAAAAGAGAAAGTAGAGACACGGAGGGAAGGGGTTCAGGGGTTTCTTACCTTCCAGAAAAGTGGGAAAGGGGTCAAGGCATGGAAATAAGGGGTTGGGGTGCAGAGATAAGAGGTCAGGGTGCAGAAATAAGGGATTGGAGCGCAGAGATAAGAGGTCGGGGCATGGAAATAAGGGATTGGGGCACAGAGATAAGAGGTCGGGGCATGGAAATAAGGGATTGGGGGTTCTTTCCTCCAAGAAAAGCGGGACTTGCCACTAAGGGTGAAGGAGAAGGGGTTGGTGTACTTGCCCCTCCCCCAGAAAAGCGGGACTTGATGCTAAGGGTGAAGGACCACGGCAGGCATCCCCACGTGGTCTGACACCTCTGAAACCTGGTTGAATAATCAGAGAGGCATCCCTGCAATGATTAAACACCAAGGGAAGGCTGCCTTCCCTAGTCCATCACTGATGCTGGAGTTTTGGGTCCACGGATAAAACGTGTCTCCTTTGTCTCTTACCAGAAAATGAAAGGAATTGAAATTAAGAGAAGGGGGAGATTGAAGTGTGGCACCAAGATTGAAAGGAGAAAGACGTTGAGGGATAGTGAGGGAGGTTGGAGAAGAGAGTAAAAAGAGGCCGCTTACTGGATTTGAAATTGGTGAGATGTTTCTTGGGCTGGTCGGTCGGAGGACCTGAGGTCGTAGGTGGACTTTTCTCACGGAGCAAAGAGCAGGAGGACAGGGGATTGATCTCCTAATGCAGGTCGCCCATCCGAGTCACGGCACCAAATTTCATGTGCATCCGTGTGAAGAGACTGCCAAACGGGCTTTGTGTGAGCAATAAATCTTTTAAACACCTGGGTGCAGGCGGGCTGAGTCCGAAAAGAGAGTCAATGAAGGGAGATAGGGGTGGGGCCATTTTATAGGATTTGGGTAGGTAAAGGAAAAAGGGGGGTTGTTCTCTGGTGGGCAGGAATGGGGGTCACAAGGTACTCAGTGGGGGAGCTTTTGAGCCAGGATGAGCCAGCAGAAGGAATTCACAAGACAGTGTCATCAGTTAAGGCAGGAACAGGCATTTTCACTTCTTTTGTGGTGGAATGTCATCAGTTAAGGCAGGAACCGGCCATCTGGATGTGTACCTGCAGGTCACAGGGGATATGATGGCTTAGCTTAGGCTCAGAGGCCTGACAGCAGTCATGCTCTTCATTCATGTATTGTCTATGGCTGCTTTGCATTACAACAGTAGAGAAGTTCAGTTGTTTTGAAAGAGAATGCATGTATGTGGCACTCTTATTGCTTCATGCTAATGCTTGGTACTCTAAAAATTGTGTTAATATAGTTAAAACTCTGTAGCATTCCAAATTCCACGTCGCTATAACACAACACTTAATGTATATTTTATTACTAGTACACAACCATAAATTTAAAACAAAAAGAAGAAAAATGACTTTAAATGTTGCATATTTAAGGCACAGTTGAGTATGAATTATTTTGTACTGAATTTGATAGCAAATTGCCCAACGATGATATATCTATTCTTAAAAAAATTATATTGACATTAACAAACTAAGCATTGTTCACAATATTTCCTACTCACAGAAATGCAATGTTTAGAAAAACTAGAAAATTTAAAACAGCGTATCTCATCACAGTAGAATTTCTTCACAAAAATAACAAATGAGACTGAGGCTACAACCATAATAAAATTTCAAATGTCCCATTTTTTAGCCAAGCAAGAAAAGCCATTTACCAATGGTGAGTTATTTAAATCATGTTAGATTTGAGCAGCTGAAGAAATGTGTTTAGAGAAAACAAACTTGTTTAATATGATTAGCCTTTTAGCCAGAACAGTTACTTGATGAGTTAAGGACACTGGGAGCAGCATTGATAATCAATTTACCTTATTTTTTAAAAGCAAATGATTTTGACTGGCTTTGCATTGCTCCTGATGAGTTCACAGATGTTGCTAACACTCATCAGTTGTTACTTATTTGATGAGTCAATATCAAGCTTTAACTGATTATATAATTAACCCCTAAGAGTGGTCTGCACAAAACTAGGGGAGGTGAGGAATTTTTTATGGAAGTTGAGAAAGCTTGAATCCAGTACAACGTGAAATGGGGTCTGCTGGTACGACTGATAATAAAAATACATATGGAGCAGGGAAAGGCTTATTTGAACAAACTTACAAGACATATGAAAATGTAAAGGGTTTAAAGCCCATCATTGCCCACTTTACTATTCACCAGCAGGTTTTTGAGGAAAATGCTAAAATCTATTATGTTTTATTGAATCAGTAGTGTCAACAGTGAAATTCATTCCCTCTCATGGACTCAACCATTGTCAGTTTTGTGAATTTTTGACTGAAATGAAAACTGAGTATCCTGACTCACCCTATCGCACATTTCAATAGCTTAGCAGTGGTCAAGTTTCATTGCAATATTTTCAGCTCAGGGTTGATGCAGAAATTTTTCTGGAAAGAAAGAAATGCCCTCAACCACTATAATCAGAAAACAAATAGCATTAAGTTAGTTTTTGCAGCAGATTTGATGTTTCATAATGAATTCAACATAAACTACATGGTCAAACAGTATTCAAATGTGAAACTTATACTGTAGTAAAACTATTTCAACAACTTAAACACTTTGAGTCACAAGCAATGTCAAGTTACTTTATGCACTGCATGTTCTCTCAACAGTTAAGAAGCCAGATCCTCATTCCCACCCAATTTTGCACCAGATAGATTTTCCAAACTCAAACTAGTGCAAAGTAAATTTTCATATGTCAAAATTCATTTTAATTATGCTATTGAGGAGCTTCTGCTTAATTTTCAATTGGAATTGTAAATCTGCAATATAATAATTGCTTAAAGGCAAATATCCAGAACAAAAATCTAATGGAATTCTATAAATGCCTTCCAAAAGATGCATATATTTAATTAAAATAATTTGCTTGTGAATTGATAATCAGTGTTTGGCGGGATCTATGTGAGAAAGTATTTTCAAAGAGGACATATATAAAAAATCATTACAGATTACCGTTAACAGATGAACATGTGCAGTTGTTTTTGATCAAAAAGCTATCGATTCTCAATTAGATGTTATCTTCCTTTCCAAAATTCCATTCCTCATAAGTAGACCTGTATTACAAAAAAAAAAAAAAAAAAAACAGGTCCACCATTATTTGTTTAATTTCATCAATAAACAAATATTATGTTTTTAATTTCATCAATAAAAATTTGTGAAGAATAGTTTCCTCTCTAGCAATGTAAATATCTATATAATATCCTCAATTTCATATCTTGCCTTCCAAAGCCAAAAATATTTACTGTCTGGCCTTTTACAGAGCAAATTTGTGGAACATTGTCCTCAAGGAAGTTTCAAAAGCAATATCTCAACAGGTGGAAAATTTTAGGTAGATTTTTGTTGTTTATTCATAACAACCTTAAGCAGTATATGGTTATCAAAAATGTGTAATCAAAATGAAAATTTAGACTGATTTACTGTATTAATACTTCTACTTTGGAAGTGAGGACTAATTTTCTAGTCTTTTCTGCTTCTAACTTTATTAATAAAGGACAACATAAAAACAACTAAACACAGATTGTAGCATTCCACAATGTTCTTACTTCAATTGAAAGAATTTATAATATGTAAAAATGATTTCTAGTTGCTCTCCTTCTCTGATTTTTTCTAACTAGAATGCAAATTCCAGAACAGTGGGGATCATACCTCTCTTGTTCAGTCCTGTATTCCCAGTGCTTAGAACCATCTCTGTGTAGAGTAGTCCTGCAATACAAATTTGTTGACTAAAGGAACAAAGAAAAGAATGAGGTTATTTAAAACATTTCTTACTAGAAAATCTACATACCACTATATTACAAAATCACTCCCTAACTTTCTAACTCATGTTTTTCCATATGTTGACTTTGGCATTCAGAGTGACAAACTATTTGGCATTTTTGTTGCATTTTGGGGCTGGTTGGTTAAACACATGTAAATAAGCACTTTTAATAAATTCTCAGTACATTATCCATAATGACTACTTTTCCCACTTACTGTGATATTCTTCTTCCTCCTCTTCCTTTTCTTCCTTCTCTTTATTCTCTTCCTCCTGATCATTTTCTTCCCTTGGAGCTGATGTTGACTGTACCCTCTCCGAGGTAAAGCAGTATAAGCTACAGCCTAAAGAAGAGGTGGACCAATTATGATAATAATCTATCCTAAATCGTGGTAGTTAAATGTGTTGTTGATAGGGAATTAGAAGGACTAAGGTTTGAAAGGAAACTAATGCTGTAATGCTGAAAAACAATCCCTTCCTTGAAGCCATAAGAAAATAGTGTGTCTCAGCAGAAGAGTAGTGGTCTGAATGGGGATAAAAATGGGGAAAAAAACATTTAGAATTGTTCAGCGCTTATACAGCGCTGTCTAAAGGACAGTGAGCTAAGAATATCCTTGTTTCTAAATGAGTATTTTCTACTGTGGGAGAGAAAGAACTTGATAGCAAAATACATTATTGCTTTGCTAAACTCATATGCTAAATAAATATTTTGTGATTCTCTTGTTTGGGGGAGGGTAACTTGGTACTAAGAAGAAGAGTCACCAAACAGAAGCTTGAGTCTTCCCATTAAAAATGATGAAACTTCATTTTACAGTTAATTAGTTGGTGTTTTCACCTGTCTCATTATGAGTGCCTTCTCTGAGATTAAATTAACGAAAGTGTTTTAACCTATAGAGTCAAGGCGTACCGTGGTGTCAGAAAACCACAGCAAGAAAATGCCATTCTTGGAACACATTACTAATCTCCTTCTATAAGATGTTTTCTCCTTTAGAAAATAAAAAAATGGCACCATATGACAATACTGGGAAGGGTTATAATAAATGCACCTCTTCTTCCCCTGGGGTGGATGTTACTTTTACTCTCTCTGAGTAAGTTGAATAAGTTGACTCCTAATATGTCTTATTGTGGGATCAATGATAATTCCTGGATACCAATGTTATCATGGTTACTTATATATCAGTAATGACACATATAGTAATGAACGAGATGTCTTTGTATTGAGAGGTGTAAGAGCTGTATGAATCAAGTTACTTTAATGGACAAATCATTTAAAACACACTTGTACTATCTGTTTTGCGCCTAAGTACAAACTCCAAAGAAAGCTTATTCATACAAAATACAATAACAACTGCACTGTAAGTGATTTTATATTTATTCAAAGTAACATGTATCTGTTATTCTCCTATTATATTTCAAACACACCACATCAAGAAAGGCAGCTTCTCTTTCTTGATGTGGTGAATAGTGCTTTATGGCAGATTCAGAGTATAAGTCAGAATATGCATAAAATAATAGAGCATGAAAACTAGCTGCTTCTGTATTCAGAGTCCACAGTTAAAGACATTTTCCTATTAAATTAAGTACATCCATCTTCCCCTAGGTGTCTACAGAAAGGAAATTTTATTTTAAATATGATTGTATTCAAATTAGTGATTAATGATAGGATTCATCCTAAATATTTGAATACATATTCAAATCTTTCTTCAAGATACATTTAAGAACGGAAAGAATAATGTCAAATAACTAGCATTTTTTAGTTTAGTTTTTATTATTTAAGAAAGACCTACCTGTCTTTTTCACTTCAGATTTTTATGTTTTGATATATTTATGTCAGCAGTTGGCATGTCAGATTTATTTCTTCCATATTGTTCTTGAAACAAAGCAAAATCAAATTTGATTCTAGCTGTACGTCCATTTACATATCACTTCAATAGTTCCTCATTTATTTTTGGAGTTATCTCATTGCTTAGCTGGACTTGGTAGTCTTTTGAAGTGAAGAGAGCCTGCCCATCTCACTGGATAGATGATCTTTATAGTATGTCCCAATTCTTCTATAAGCCTTCCTTAATGTTGTTCTTTACATATGCTAGTCTTATTTGAAAGGAGAAAAATTGTGGACTGAAGTGCCCAACTAATCTATTTTTCCAGTCTCATCTTAAATTTTCACTCCTCTTCTCCAATATGCCTCCAATATGAGTTCCAAATCCTAGCCTTTCTGCTTTGATAATAGCTTTCTCTTATTTACAGTGGTACTCAAGTCTATTTTCTCTTTGCTCCCACTGCAGAATTCCTTTAAGTGTATATTCACCCTGTCTTTTTAAAGCACTATTACAAGGTAACATATAATTCAGTGTTCAGTCTTCGACATTAACAATAATTCATAGCATAGTAGAGGAATTAAATGTAAAATTTCAAGGTCCCTGAGTGGCAAGCCATCAACTGCTTGACTTTTAATAGAAATATATAGAGTTGTTCCTCAGTTTCTGGATCAGAAACTAATAGCTGGCTGGAAAGGGCTCGCATTTTTTGTTTGTATGCAATGTAAATGGTTATCTACTGAAATCTCAATGCCCTTTAATAATATAGAGTAAACATCAGCAGATCTCGTCAGTAAAAACAAAGCAGTAAGTATTTTAGCTTTGTGATTCATATGATCTTTGTTGTAACTACTTGACTATGCCATTACAACATGAAAGCAGCCATAGAGAACATTGAAAGGAATAGGTATGGATGTGTTTTAATAAAACTGTATTTATAAAAGCACATGCCAGACTGGATTCGTCTCACTGGCTGTAGTTTGCCAATCCTAGGATGGAGTTTTTATGGGGAAATGATTGTCCAGAGAAAGACTAGACCTCTCAAGGCTGAGGATAATTTTTCATTAAGCTAACTTGCATAGTCCCTTCCAAGGCCAAGACCTGAATGTGTGTGTGTCTGTGTATGTGTGTGAGTGTCTGTGCACCTGTCTGGGTGCATGGACGTATGTGTGTATACACAAATATATATATATATATACACACACACACATATATATACACACACACATACACCCATATATATATATATACACACATACATATATATACACACACATATATACATACATGTGTGTGTATACACACATACACCCATATATATACACATACATATATATACACACACATACACATACATACACATACATATATATACACATACATAGAGAGAGAGAAATTATTAAGTTCACTGATTAAAACTGCCGTCTCTTTCAACTATGAATTGACTTTACCCACCTCATCTCTTCGGTGATGTTTTAATGGTCATAGACATTGTTTTTTAGTTCAAACTAAAGGGAAATTAGTTTGGGAAACATTTACTTTGAATTTATACTTATATGTCTTTCAGTTACTCTTATGTATGAGTCTGGGTACAATCAAAAGACAAAATCCATGCTGCAGTTAAAGCAGGAAGTTTAATATAAAGTATAATTAATCTAAAATGAAAGGAAAATATGAAAATGTTAACAGTAATCCAATAGTGTTGTAGGACTGAGAGAGATTACCCAAGAAAGGACAAAGCTGGAATGGAAGCCCCCTCTGAGACTTTTCTGGAGAAAGTATGGTTGCAGCTCGCTGGATGGTGGAGAGTTTCTGTGGGTTGCTAATGCCAGAGCAGATTCAGAATCACCAGACAGGTAGGAAGCAAACATTCAGAGGACAGGCGCTTTGCGCTTTCGTGCTGCTTTGTCACTTCACTCATATGTATTAAATTAGTTTAGTCAACTAAAATAATCATGTAATAAACTTTGTGAAGACAGATTTATTCCTTCATCCTTTCCTATTTTCCCCAGCACTTTGCAAGGATCACAGTGTGTGTACAGCAGTCAGAAGTGTTTTTAAAACTTAGCACATGTGGTGTTCTTATTGCGAGGGCTACGGAATATTAGTCACAAGACCCTAGCATGCAGGAGGAGTTACACTACATCACAGAATACTATGCAGACATAAAAAGAAGAACAGGATTATGTCCTCTGCAGGAACATGAAAGGAGCTGGAGGCCATTATCCTTAGCAAACTAATGCAGGAACAGAAAACCAAATACCACATGTACGTGGAAGCTAAATGATGAGGGCACATGGACACATGGCAGGGGACGTGAAACACTGGGGTCTACTTGAGGGTGGAGGGTGGGAGGAGGGAGAGGATCAGGAAAGATAACTAGTGGGTACTAGGCTTAATACCTGGATGATGAAATAATCTATACAACAAGCCCCCGTGACACAAGTATACCTATGTGACAAACCTGCACATGTACCCCTGAAATTGTAAGTTTAAAGAAAGATGAAAGCACAGTAGCTGAAGTCAAGAAATAAATCTCCTTCCTGTTGGCACTGTCTCACTCATACCCGCTACTTAAAAACAGCTTAACATTGTGCCAGCTGGCAAAGAAACAATATTTAAAGGGCCCAGATTCATTTTCACAGAACAGGGAATGAAGAGTTAGTTTGGAGCTGAGAGGCAATAAAGTAAAAAATGGCATCCTCCTGTGTGTGTAAAAGTTCTTGTTTGACATTCTGATGTGAGAATGGCCTTCAGGGGTACCTCTAATTCCCCCTTGCCTACCTACATTGTGTCATGTTATGAAAGTTCCGAGCCAGAGGTCACATCGTGATTTATATCTGTCCTATAGTACCTGGTACCCAAAATATGTAGATGGTGGAGGAAAAATATGACTGGAACCCTGAAGACCTAGAAACTAGTCAAATTCATTTTTCTATTTATTAGTTTTATTAAATTATAATCTTAGGATTAACTTCTGGTAATGTATCTTTTTTGAGGGAAAGGAATTACAAATTAAAAATTCTGAAAAGAATTCCTCTGCTGACTGCAACTGGAAAGGAAAGGATTATTAGGATGTCAGTTGGTCAATTATAAAACAGGCTTAATAATTTTTCAGAATTTTCCCATTTTACAATATTTTATATCTTTAAAAAATAAGTAATAAATGTGATATTTTATTCTAAAAATATTTAAACAAATGCCTTCAAACATTTATAATGTTTGAATTCTTTTCATTAAAGTGAGCTCCAAGAATTATAAAAATGTCAGGCCTCCAAAATCTTGGAGATAATATGATAATAAATATGATAATAAAATAATGAGGGTGGGTATTTTGACAAAAACAAGGCATTAAACTCTTGCAGAGGGAATTTTTGAAAGATCTTTTTTACAAATTTTGAGTAATGAAATATAGGATAGGATCACTTATAGAAACCCCAAGATTATTGCTAGCAAAACCAAAATGACTCATGTCCATAAAATGCCTTCTACTGAGAATGCACGAATTTTTTCTTTATCAGTTTTTTGCACTTTTTGTGCTGCTTTGTCATTTCACTCATATGTATTAAATTAGTTTAATCAACTTAAATAATCATATAATCAACTTTGTGAGACAGATTTTTTCCCTTATCCTTTCCTATTTTCCCCAGCACTTTGCAAAGATCATAAGTAACTGCTTAATTAATGAGTGAATGAATGAATTAATTAATTAATATCTGTCCTTATTAGTGAGTTAAACATACAATTTCTAGTTTCCAGTCTTTCTAGGTTCTAGTCTTTCACCTAAACAAAGGTATGTGATTATATATCCCTAGAGATCCTATTCAATTCAAGCTGAGATCATTGCTTTCTTTTATGATTCAGAATGGGCTATAGCAGATCAGAATATTAAACTACTTTTTGTATTTATTTCATTGTTCCCAAAGCTCTTCTTTAAGATTATACTGCCACAAGTTAATAGTTTCTTTTTTACATTTTTATAAGACAAAATAATGAGCTAGAGAAAACACATAATAGATTCAAAATCTTATCATTGATTATAAATGTAGGTATCTAAAGTGTAACCTTAAAACATGGAGTTTTAAATATACACTTATCTAATAAACTGAATTACACAGAGGCCCTGCATTCTGTTATGTTTATTCATGTATATTCTGTTAAAGAATTACTATATTCTTGAGATTGGGATTTGAGGGAATCTTTCAAAATCCTTTTCATAATGGACTCTCCTTCCTCCGTCCCTCCAACCTTGTAACATGTTTACACAGGAATAATTTCGGACAACTTCATTCCCAGGATTGCAATTAGAAATGTTATTCATTAGGTCTAGAGAGATTATCTTCCTTATAAACATACAAATGTAAATTTTTTCAACAATCTCTCCAAAGCATTTCGGAATCTGTGCTCCACAGTTTATCTTGTTAGTTTCTTGAATACAAGTGAAAGATAAGCTTAATCTGCTTAAAACAGGAGTTATTATTGTGCTTTGGTGAAATGTCAAAACTCTCTCTTTGCATTTTTTTTGTCTTACATGACACAAATCAAGTATATAAAAAAGAATAGCACAATTCCATTGACATTCATGGGTGGTGATTATTTTAGATGATTTTATGTGCCAAACGCAAAGCAGAACATGAAGCAGAACAAGATGACTTAAAGATCATTGCCTTCTCAAAGGTCATCAAGCAGGAGCGCTGGAGAGACTGAAAGCTGCCAATTTAAGCAGGTCTACTTTGATGCTTGAGTGCTATGGAATTTAATTTTTGAATAATTCAGTGGTGCTTTTCTACTTGGTTGTATTAAACCACTTAGTGCCTGAAATTTAAGTAGTTCAGGGTTGAACAGCTTAAAGGAAAATTAAAACTTGCTTGCTGAGTTATTTTTGTTAAAGATCAGAGAGGGCAACGACATCATGTTCATAATAACAGTGACAACAACAATAATAGCTAATAACTCCTGACACTGTTCTAAATGCTAACACATTCAATTAACTATATATTCTCAGCTAAACAATGAGAGGAGGAAATTCATCTAGAAATAGATCTGTAATTATCTCACTATCACTCATATCACAAATATAATCTTTAGTGTTTAGCATTGAAGATGAACTAAACCAAAAGTCCAATGCACTCTCATTAAAAATTAATGGTCTGATTGAAATACTTTTATTATACATGGTTACATAAAAGAGACAGGAGAATGTATAGAGCTGTGTAATACTTTTGACATTTACATGAATGATCTGACTTGCTCTTCCATAATTGTTTGAGATTCTTTTATGCTTGTATAGTGGAAAGTAAATAGAACTAAATATTACGTTTTGGCTGTCCCATTAACATCTTTTACTTTAATTCTAAGTAGAAATCGTTATTTAATTAATAGATACACGTTTTTCAGATTTATTTTTTAATATGGAGGATATATCTTTTATTATTTTTTATCACTATTATAACCTTTTACTTTGAAATAACTTCAGACATAAAAAGAAGTTCCCCAAATGCTGTAAATAGTTCTCACATACCGTTCGCCAGGCTTTTCTCAATGTTAACATTTTAAATAACTGCAGTACAATTATGAAGACCAGGAAATTAATTTGATAAATACTATTAACTAATCTGCAGATCTTATTAAATTTCACCAATTGTCTCACCGATATCTTTTTACTGGTCTAGTAACCCACATTACATTTATTTGTCTTGCCTCCTTAGTGACCTTCAGTCTGGGACAGTTCTTCCATCTTTCTTTGTCTTTGATGACTTGATTCTTTGAAAGCTATTTTACAACTTTAGTTTTGTCTGATTTTTCTCCTGGATAAAATTTATATTTAGCACTTTTGGCAAGAATACCACAAAGGTGATGTGTCTTTCTCAGTACAGTATGTCAGAAAATATGGAATGTTCATGTGTCTTATTACTGGTAACGTTAACTTTAATTACTTAGCTAAGATGATGCTTGATAGACATTTCAACTATAAAGGTACTATTTTTTGGCTTTACAAAAAAACTTCAAGTCTATGTAATTATCCTATTTCTTATCATCCAATTTCGCATTTAATTTTAGCATTCATTGATGATTCTTGCTTGCGATAATTATTACTGTGCTGTCTGCCAAATGGTGACTTTCTATGGTCATCATGCATTCTACATTTATTAATTAGCACTTTACAGTGGGAAAGAGTTATACTTTGTCCTTCTTTCTTTCTTTGTGAGTTTTATTAATATTGTTCAATGACATATATTTTATTTTCTGGGTTATTGTCCAATATTATCATTATATAGTTGCTAAAATTTACCCAGAAATAGCCCTTGGGAGCTCCTTCAAATTGGTTCCAGTGTTTTTGATAAGATCCTATTTCTTAATTTTATCACTGTTTAACTTTCTGGTACTACAAGATATTCTGGGATCATCTTATTTTTTTCTGTGCTTCAGTCCTGGAATCAGCCATTTTTCTAAGCCATGGTATTTTTTATTGGAAAATGATAATTGGAAACAAAATCTGAGTGCTGGGGTGTTAATTGCTAATTTGTTATCACTGTTTCTAGATCCTCCTAGTGGACAGAGATAGAAAAAATAGAGAATTAAGTACACATATCTATTTATCTATCTATATCAATATCTATCTAACGATCTATCTACACATATTTAAAACCAGTGAGTTTGGACTGATGGTACAAAAGTTGATTCCAATATCGGAGATTAACTCTGTTGTTTTACTTATAACATTTTTCTCTGGCAATGAAAATCTGGCTCTTAGTATCCACAATATATTTATTTGCTCAATCCGATAATACAACACATATAAAATAGTTTCCAAATTCCTAACCCATAACTCTGTAAAAAGTAAGTTTCTAAATTAAAATATATAATCTGTGCAGAGTTTGTGTGTGTGTGTGTGTGCATGCGCATGCCTGTAATTTTGTCTCTTTAGCTTTACAGCAAACAGACAAAACACTGTTTTCCAAAATTGCTCAGATTTGGTTTTTCCCCATCACAATAATTTTGATTATATTATTCATTTATAATACACTTAACATTCCTTTATTATTCTTTGGATCCCATTTTTGGTTTTTCTATATCCTGATTAATTTTTATAATGTATCTTTGGGTCTATGAGACATTACCATGATTTGAACAGTTACAATATAAAATGTGATACTTAGGGAAGTGTTCCTCTCCCTCATCCTGTCTACCTATTCAAATTTCCCCATTCTTTTCACCCAGCTTACATCTACCACAATAGGTAACCAGTCTAATTAGTTTGTTTTATCATTCCTGTGTTTATGTTCGCCTAAATTACCAGACACATGTATATTTTATTATATGTCTTTATTATAGGAATTGCCTCACACTATAGCTGTTCTTTTGTACTTTTCTCTTTTCACTTAAAATATATTGTAGAATTGACTTAGTATCTGTATGGATATGTTTCTTTCTATTATTTGGAGCTGCAAAGTTCTCTTCTGGGTGGATCTATCATTCAACCTCTGTTTTATATGTGGATATTTAGGTTTTTCCAATACTTCAAAATTATAAATAATGTTGGGATGAATATTCTTGTTCTTATTAATTTGTATTGCTGGAGGTGATCATCTCAGGATAAATTCCTAGGAATGAAACTCCCGGGTCAAAAGGTAAGTAATCTGTAGTTTTGTTACATATTGCCAACATGTACTCCAGAAGGTTATACTTGTTTGCATTCCCCTCAGCAATATAAACATTTTTATACTACAAAGTTTCAGTTTCTCTACTGACAGTCACACCAACAAAATGTACTATCATGTATATTTTAATTTTCACTAAGATGATAACTAAGAATGCTTTATCAGTGTTAATTTACATGCAGCTATTATGAGTAAATTTGAACATGTACATATTTTAAGGGAACTTTTTTACTTTTTAAAAAATTATCTGGCCATTGTTTTTTTAAAATTAATTAATTAATTTATTATTATTATACTTTAAGTTTTAGGGTACATGTGCACAATGTGCAGGTTAGTTACATATGTATACATGTGCCATGCTGGTGTGCTGCACCCACTAACTCGTCATCTAGCATTAGGTATATCTCCCAGTGCTATCCCTCCCCCCTCCCCCCAACCCACAACAGTCCCCAGAGTGTGATGTTCCCCTTCCTGTGTCCATGTGTTCTCATTGTTCAATTCCCACCTATGAGTGAGAATATGAGGTATTTGGTTTTTTGTTCTTGCGACAGTTTACTGAGACTGATGAGTTCCAATTTCATCCATGTCCCTACAAAGGATATGAACTCATCATTTTTTATGGCTGCATAGTATTCCATGGTGTATATATGCCACATTTTCTTAATCCAGTCTATCATTGTTGGACATTTGGGTTGGTTCCAAGTCTTTGCTATTGTGAATAATGCCGCAATAAACATACGTGTGCATGTGTCTTTATAGCAGCATGATTTATAGTCCTTTGGGTATATACCCAGTAATGGGATGGCTGGGTCAAATGGTATTTCTAGTTCTAGATCCCTGAGGAATCACCACATTGACTTCCACAAGGGTTGAACTAGTTTACAGTCCCACCAACAGTGTAAAAGTGTTCCTATTTCTCCACATCCTCTCCAGTACCTGTTGTTTCCTGACTTTTTAATGATTGCCATTCTAACTGGTGTGAGATGGTATCTCATTGTGGTTTCGATTTGCATTTCTCTGATGGCCAGTGATGATGAGCATTTTTTCATGTGTTTTTTGGCTGCATAAATGTCTTCTTTTGAGAAGTGTCTGTTCATGTCCTTCGCTCACTTTTTGATGGGGTTGTTTGTTTTTTCTTGTAAATTTGTTTGAGTTCATTGTAGATTCTGGATATTAGTCCTTTGTCCAATGAGTAGGTTGCGAAAATTTTCTCCCATTTTGTAGGTTACCTGTTCACTCTGATGGTAGTTTCTTTTGCTGTGCAGAAGCTCTTTAGTTTAATTAGATCCCATTTGTCAATTTTGGCTTTTGGTGTTTTAGACATGAAGTCCTTGCCCATGCCTATGTCCTGAATAGTATTGCCTAGGTTTTCTTCTAGGGTTTTTATGGTTTTAGGTCTAACGTTTAAGTCTTTAATCCATCTTGAATTGATTTTTGTATAAGGTTTAAGGAAGGGATCCAGCTTCAGCTTTCTACATATGGCTAGCCAGTTTTCCCAGCACCATTTATTAAATAGGGAATCCTTTCCCCATTGCTTGTTTTTCTCAGGTTTGTCAAAGATCAGATAGTTGTAGATACGCGGCATTATTTCTGAGGGCTCTGTTCTGTTCCATTGATCTATATCTCTGTTTTGGTACCAGTACCATGCTGTTTTGGTTACTGTAGCCTTGTAGTATAGTTTGAAGTCAGGTAGTGTGATGCCTCCAGCTTTGTTCTTTTGGCTTAGGATTGACTTGGCGATGCGGGCTCTTTTTTGGTTCCATATGAACTTTAAAGTATTTTTTTCCAATTCTGTGAAGAAAGGCATTGGTAGCTTGATGGGGATGCCATTGAATCTGTAAATTACCTTGGGCAGTATGGCCATTTTCATGATATTGGTTCTTCCTACCCATGAGCATGGAATATTCTTCCATTTGTTTGTATCCTCTTTGATTTCCTTGAGCAGTGGTTTGTAGTTCTCCTTGAAGAGGTCCTTCACATCCCTTGTAAGTTGGATTCCTAGGTATTTTATTCTCTTTGAAGCAATTGTGAATGGGAGTTCACTCATGATTTGGCTCTCTGTTTATCTTTTGTTGGTGTATAAGAATGCTTGTGAATTTTGTACATTGATTTTGTATCCTGAGACTTTGCTGAAGTTGCTTATCAGCTTAAGGAGATTTTGGGCTGAGACAGTGGGTTTTTCTAGATATACAATGATGTCGTCTGCAAACAGGGACAATTTGACTTCCTCT
Organism: Homo sapiens; assembly: GCF_000001405.40. NCBI lineage: Eukaryota > Metazoa > Chordata > Mammalia > Primates > Hominidae > Homo > Homo sapiens. Next base: position 167,861,952 of record NC_000004.12, on the reverse strand, counting down.
TTTCCTAATTGAATACCCTTTATTTCCTTCTCCTGCCTAATTGCCCTGGCCAGAACTTCCAACACTATGTTGAATAGGAGTGGTGAGAGAGGGCATCCCTGTCTTGTGCCAGTTTTCAAAGGGAATGCTTCCAGTTTTTGCCCATTCAGTATGATATTGGCTGTGGGTTTGTCATAGATAGCTCTTATTATTTTGAAATACGTCCCATGAATACCTTATTTATTGAGAGTTTTTAGCATGAAGTGTTGTTGAATTTTGTCAAAGGCCTTTTCTGCATCTATTGAGATAATCATGTGGTTTTTGTCTTTGGTTCTGTTTATATGCTGGATTACATTTATTGATTTGCGTATATTGAACCAGCCTTGCGTCCCAGGGATGAAGCCCACTTGATCATGGTGGATAAGCTTTTTGATGTGCTGCTGGATTCGTTTTGCCAGTATTTTATTGAGGATTTTTGCATCAATGTTCATCAAGGATATTGGTCTAAAATTCTCTTTTTTGGTTGTGTCTCTGCCCGGCTTTGGTATCAGGATGATGCTGGCCTCATAAAATGAGTTAGGGAGGATTCCCTCTTTTTCTATTGATTGGAATAGTTTCAGAAGGAATGGTACCAGTTCCTCCTTGTACCTCTGGTAGAATTCAGCTGTGAATCCATCTCGTCCTGGACTCTTTTTGGTTGGTAAGCTATTGATTATTGCCACAATTTCAGCTCCTGTTATTGGTCTATTCAGAGAGTCAACTTCTTCCTGGTTTAGTCTTGGGAGGGTGTATGTGTCCAGGAATTTATCCATTTCTTCTAGACTTTCTAGTTTATTTTTGTAGAGTTGTTTGTAGTATTCTCTGATGGTAGTTTGTATTTCTGTGGGATTGGTGGTGATATCCCCTTTATCATTTTTTATTGCGTCTATTTGATTCTTCTCTCTTTTTTTCTTTATTATTCTTGCTAGTGGTCTATCAATTTTGTTGATCCTTTCAAAAAACCAGCTCCTGGATTCATTAATTTTTTGAAGGGTTTTTTGTGTCTCTATTTCCTTCAGTTCTGCTCTGATTTTAGTTATTTCTTGCCTTCTGCTAGCTTTTAAATGTGTTTGCTCTTGCTTTTCTAGTTCTTTTAATTGTGATGTTAAGGTGTCAATTTTGGATCTTTCCTGCTTTCTCTTGTGGGCATGTAGTGCTATAAATTTCCCTCTACACACTGCTTTGAATGCATCCCAGAGATTCTGGTATGTTGTGTCTTTGTTCTCGTTGGTTTCAAAGAACATCTTTATTTCTGCCTTCATTTTGTTATGTACCCAGTAGTCATTCAGGAGCAGGTTGTTCAGTTTCCATGTAGTTGAGCGGTTTTGAGTGAGATTCTTAATCCTGAGTTCTAGTTTGATTGCACTGTGGTCTGAGAGACAGTTTGTTATAATTTCTGTATTTTTACATTTGCTGAGGAGAGCTTTACTTCCAAGTATGTGGTCAATTTTGGAATAGGTGTGGTGTGGTGCTGAAAAAAATGCATATTGTGTTGATTTGGAGTGGAGAGTTCTGTAGATGTCTATTAGGTCTGCTTGGTGCAGAGCTGAGTTCAATTCCTGGGTATCTGGGTATCCTTGTTGACTTTCTGTCTCGTTGATCTGTTTAATGTTGAAAGTGGGGTGTTAAAGTCTCCCATTATTAATGTGTGGCAGTCTAAGTCTCTTTGTAGGTCACTCAGGACTTGCTTTATGAATCTGGGTGCTCCTGTATTGGGTGCATATAAATTTAGGATAGTTAGCTCTTCTTGTTGAATTGATCCCTTTACCATTAAGTAATGGCCTTCTTTGTCTCTTTTGATCTTTGTTGGTTTAAAGTCTGTTTTATCAGAGACTAGGATTGCAACCCCTGCCTTTTCTTGTTTTCCATTTGCTTGGTAGATCTTCCTCCATCCTTTTATTTTGAGCCTATGTGTGTCTCTGCACGTGAGATGGGTTTCCTGAATACAGCACACTGATGGGTCTTGACTCTATCCAATTTGCCAGTCTGTGTCTTTTAATTGGAGCATTTAGTCCATTTACATTTAAAGTTAATATTGTTATGTGTGAATTTGATCCTGTCATTATGATGTTAGCTGGTTATTTTGCTCATTAGTTGACGCAGTTTCTTCCTAGTCTCGATGGTCTTTACATTTTGGCATGATTTTGCAGTGGCTGGTACCGGTTGTTCCTTTCCATGTTTAGTGCTTCCTTCAGGAGCTCTTTTAGGGCAGGCCTGGTGGTGACAAAATCTGTCAGCATTTGCTTGTCTGTAGAGTATTTTATTTCTCCTTCACTTATGAAGCTTAGTTTGGCTGGATATGAAATTCTGGGTTGAAAATTCTTTTCTTTAAGAATGTTGAATATTGGCGCCCACTCTCTTTTGGCTTGTAGAGTTTCTGCCGAAAGATCCGCTGTTAGTCTGATGGGCTTCCCTTTGAGGGTAACCCGACCTTTCTCTCTGGCTGCCCTTAACACTTTTTCCTTCATTTCAACTTTGGTGAATCTGACAATTATGTGTCTTGGAGTTGCTCTTCTCAAGGAGTATCTTTGTGATGTTCTCTGTATTTCCTGAATCTGAACGTTGGCCTGCCTTGCTAGATTGGGGAAGTTCTCCTGGATAATATCCTGCAGAGTGTTTTCCAACTTGGTTGCATTCTCCCTGTCACTTTCAGGTTCACCAATCAGACGTAGATTTGGTCTTTTCACATAGTCCCATATTTCTTGGAGTCTTTGCTGATTTCTTTTTATTCTTTTTTCTCTAAACTTCCCTTCTCGCTTCATTTCATTCATTTCATCTTCCATCACTGATACCCTTTCTTCCAGTTCATCGCACCGGCTCCTGAGGCTTCTGAATTCTTCACATAGTTCTTGAGCCTTGGTTTTCAGCTCCATCCGCTCCTTTAAGCTCTTCTCTGTATTGGTTATTCTAGTTATACATTCTTCTAAATTTTTTTCAAAGTTTTCAACTTCTTTGCCTGTGGTTTGAATGTCCTCCCGCAGCTCGGAGTAATTTGATCATCTGAAGCCTTCTTCTCTCAGCTCGTCAAAGTCATTCTCGGTCCAGCTTTGTTTCGTTGCTGGTGAGGAACTGCGTTCCTTTGGAGGAGGAGAGGTGCTCTGCTTTTTAGAGTTTCCAGTTTTTCTGCTCTGTTTTTTCCCCATCTTTGTGGTTGTATCTACTTTTGGTCTTTGATGATGGTGATGTACAGATGGGTTTTTGGTGTGGATGTCCTTTCTGTTTGTTAGTTTTCCTTCTAACAGACAGGACCCTCAGCTGCAGGTCTGTTGGAGTACTGGGCCCTGTGAGGTGTCAGTGTGCCCTGCTGGGGGTTGCCTCCCAGTTAGGCTGCTCGGGGGTCAGGGGTCAGGAACCCACTTGAGGAGGCAGTCTGCCCGTTCTCAGATCTCCAGCTGCGTGCTGGGAGAACCACTGCTCTCTTCGAAGCTGTCAGACAGGGACATTTAAGTCTGCAGAGGTTACTGCTGTCTTTTTGTTTGTCTGTGCCCTGCCCCCAGAGGTGGAGCCTACAGAGGCAGGCAGGCCTCCTTGAGCTGTGGTGGGCTCCACCCAGTTCGGGCTTTCAGGCTGCTTTGTTTACCTAAGCAAGCCTGGGCAATGGCGGGCGCCCCTCCCCCAGCCTTGCTGCCACCTTGCAGTTTGATCTCAGACTGCTGTGGTAGCAATCAGCGAGACTCCGTGGGCGTAGGACCTTCCAAGTCAGGTGCGGGATGTAATCTACTGGTGCGCGGTTTTTTAAGCCCATCGGAAAAGCGCAGTATTCGGGTGGGAGTGACCCGATTTTCCAGGTGCCGTCTGTCACCCCTTTCTTTGACTAGGGAAGGGAACTCCCTGACCCCTTGTGCTTCCCGAGTGAGGCAATGCCTCGCCCTGCTTGGGCTCGCTCACGGTGCGCGCACCCGCTGACCTGCACCCAGTGTCTGGCACTCCCTAGTGAGATGAACCCGGTACCTCAGATGGAAATGCAGAAATCACCCGTCTTGTCTTCTGCGTGGCTCACGCTGGGAGCTGTAGACGGAGCTGTTCCTATTCGGCCATCTTGGCTCCTCCCCCCCGGCCATTGTTTTATTTGTATTCTTCTATTGGATATTTGGTCTTTGGTCTCTTAATTAAGACTGCTTTATATATTAGGGATGTAAGCCATTTGTCTGTAATACATACTGCAAATATTCTTTCTCAGTGTTTGTTGTCTTTTAATCATATCCTTTTTGGCTATGCAATTTACATATATTGATATATTTGGATATATATACACACACATATTAAACATTTCTTTCAGTAGATTTTAATTTTGGAGTCACAGTGAGACAGCTTGGAATTCACTCATGTTTCTTTTTACTATTTCTATTGTTTGTTTTTTTTTTACATTTAAAGCACTGATCCTTTGGCATTTATTCTAGTGTAAGGTATAAGATATGCATTTAATTTTATCTCTTTTGTCTTTAAATGACTACCCGATAGTTCCAGCACCATTTATTATAAATTCCACCACTGCCTTAATGATGAAACTCCACCTTTATCATACACTAAATTTCCAAAAGTACTTGGGTATATTTCTGGGCTTTCTATCCCATCCACTGGCCTTTTGCCTATTCCCATGCTAGAATGGTTTTAGCCTGTGAAGGCTAGTCCCCAATTACAGATTTTCTATTTGTGTTTTCTATGCTACTTTTGTATGTTTGTTTATTCACCAGAAACTTTGATAATCACCTTCTATAATTCGGTAAGCTTTAGAGGGTCTTATAGGGATTGCATTTCATTTAGAAATTCACTTAAGGAGGATTAACATTTTTATGTCATAGAGTCATCCTATCCGAGAAAGGGGATGTGTTTCCATTTGTTCAGGTCTACTTCATTGTCTTTCAAGAGTATTTTATAGTTTTCCTCATAAAGCTTTTGTGCATCTGTTATTAAATTTATTCCTAAGTGTTTAATCTTCTTGTTTGCTGTTGTATACAGAAATGTTTCTACTATTATTTCTTGTACATATGAGGACTTTTTATTTGTGCATGTGAATTTTATAGCAGGCTACCTTATTGAATTGTTTTATTGCTTCAGTTAGCTTTAACATTGGTTCTGTACAGCTTTTTGAGTATATCATCATATTATATCATTTAAAATAATATTTTTAATTCTATATATTTTTGTTTTTAACAATTCTTATGCTAATTGAATTCTTTTGTTCAATTGTATGGGCAGTTGCTACTAGTACAATATTGAATGTTAATGAAGTCAGTGAAAATCTTTGCCTAATTCTGAATTTTCATCAAAAGGACTTTAGTGGTTCTGATTAAGCATGACACTGGCTTTTCAGATAAACATTGTGTGTGTGTGTCTATATATATACATATTTAATGATTAATCATATTAATTATCTATCAATTCTTATATTCCTGAGAGTTTTAAACCATGATTGCATGTGACATTTTGGCAAAGACATTTTCCACATTGAGCAAGATAATTATATGGTTTTTAAATTAGATTTATTAATATAGTGTTTGGTATTAAAGGATTTCCTAATATTGAATCAACCTAGTATTCCTGGAGTAAGTCTCATTGGGTCATGGTTTATTATTTTATTAAGGTAGAGTTGGATTCTGCTTTCAAATATTTTATTCATTATCTTTGAATTTATATCCATAAATGAAATTTCAGGTTTTGCCCAAGATAGAGTCACAAAGACTGATTTTGGCATTTCTCTTGAGAAAACAAAACAGAACAAACAAACAAAAAATTGCCCCAAATATATGAAACAATGGTTTTCAAGATATCAGACATCAGCTGATGAAAAATATTGGCTTTTGAGAGACACAGAACATATGAAGGGAGCCCTATTTCTCCCAAATTTACTGCTGAGAGAACAGCCCCAGGTCATATAGGCATCAAGGGCAAAGCCAGATGAAACCTAAGGCTTGGGCTGTGGCTTCTCCCCTCTTCCCAGTCAGCTCCACTAGGGAAACTTCTCAAGGTTCTCCCAACCTCCCCATGATTGCTTACTGGGGTTTCTGGAAGAAAAACCTGCAACGGGGTGAAAAATCCTGTATTTCTCCTGTATTTCTGTGACCTTCCAAATCTTCATATTCTCACATTATCCCACAATTTGCCTTTAAAATTTCTGATAAATATTTAGTTCAATCTTCTTAGAGTCTTACATGGCTTCTGTCCCTGTTAAGCAGGTGTCAGGTCCTGTGTCTCTCTGGTGGTGCCTGTTTCTGTCCAGATTTTGGGTTACTTACTGGCCAAAAAACCTTATTGTTCTGATAGGCTGAAAACAAATTGTTAATGCACATTGTTCAACATTTATTCTTATAAGAGTGAGAGTGACACTTTCTCCAGCTCTGCGTATCTAACATTAAACTGGAAGTCCAAAGCAAAGCAGGTTTAACAGGAAATTTATGAATATAGCATTCAGTGAATTTGATGCCATAAACTGTAATAAATATATTCAAAGTTTTGCTATGTGATCTAGTAATGCTAACTAAAATGCATTTTATTCTATATAATGATGTTTCCATGACAGTCGTTCCCTGCCCCTCTCCCCATAAAGCTATTTTTTTTGTTTATGAATCATCTCCCTACCAATGCCATCATTTTTGTGAAAGAATGCACTATTGATGGGAACACAAATTCAGTGACCATTTCCACCATCATTAGATTTCTCCTGGCTTGCCTCTGACATTTGCAATGCCTTTCTCTCAAATTAACTCTAATCAGATCACTGGAATTCCCCATTCTAATAGTTTTCCTTCTATTCATCCTTGAAACCATATAATCTGAGTACTTCCCAAATCTCACTTTTCCAGAAGGTCGTCATGCCAACTGAAGATAATTAATAACACATTTTAATGACTTTATACCAGCTGAGGCATATTTTTCAATGGCAAAACACCAGAGGTGATCTCATTTATGACTACTTACGCCTCTGTGACCTGGATTATTCTCCAAGTTTAATCTTCAGTTCATGTTAAAACTCTATTACTTAATAATTTTGTTATATTGTACAACTCTCTTCAACCCTTTCCACCTCTGTAAACCTGTTTCTTTATCTAGTTATCTCAAAATCATTGTTGCGGTTTTAAACTTTACAATTCTTATTTGAAATCTAAAAATAGTAAAAACTAGCATATTACATGTGAAATTTTATTTCATACTGGGGAATTCAATGCTTGAACTGTTTTAGTAGATAATTATAAAATGCCAGAAATGTTAAATACAAAGTTAGCTATCAAATGCTACCTAGACATAATCTTATGCAAATATGCATTAACATCTCATTTCAGGTAAGTTTCTGATCCTCCTCAGTGTGTTCTGATCCTTCCTTCCTGGAAGAAGCTTCCTGCAGTCTGAGACTCACAAAGGATAAATTGTTACAATAAGTAGATCACATGTAGAAACAGGTTATTATGAAAGGAAGTGGTACCATAGAGGAAACCTGGAACATAAAAAAGGATGGAGAGAGCAGAATCCCAGCTGAGGAGAAAAGATTTTGAACAATTAGAAGAAAGATACACTAGCCTTTTTCACAACTTTGACTGAAATTAGTTTAGCTTAATAGGCCATGCCATAGACATTTCTGTGATTTTTAAGTGTGAATCTAGATGGCTTAAAGTGGAATGCATGATTTCTTTGTGCCTACACTCCTATTTAATTTCTTATTCACAAGTAGCTTTAGGTTTCAAGATACTTCTCTGGGTTCAATTTTGACTAGTTTCCTCTGCTTTTACCCCTCATCATGGGTATACACGGCTACTGGGCCAGGACATGCTGCCCGCAGGGAAGCTGTGATCTTTTACTCCTTATCATAGTGAAACTTAATACATAAGGCAGCCTGGCACATATGCACATTTGGGAATTATGAAGAGTTGGTTTTCTATATGTGGAAATGGTGGTACACTTAATTTAGGAAAGATTCATATTGTTCTTCATTGCATATGTTTGCTATGGCTTTGCTGAAGAATTCCTGAAAATACTCAGTTAAAAGATCACCACAAATGGTGGCAACAAATATTTTTAATTCTCTATTCCACTATTTTATTCTTTCATTATACGTGAAATACTGAAACATAAGTAATTAACAAAGCCTGTGATACATCACATTTGGACTTGAAGTAATTTGCAGGTCTCTATCTGATGATGAATTTAGAAAAGTAATACCTTTAGTAGTATTTGTAATAGCATTATGTGCATAATATACTTTTTAATATTTCTTTCGGTGATAGAACACATGCCTTATTTTGAAATATGTGCAATGTATTGGTTAACACTAGCAAAATATACATAATTGCTGACATTGTAGTGTGAAACTAAAACATTTTTACTTTAATTAGTTTTACAATTTAAAAATGGTTCAGGAAAAGCAGCACAATGCTCAGTTTTCCAATGTGTTAATTTTTATATACATTTAGGGTGCTATGTAACATGTTGATTATTGAGAATACAGTTAATTTATTTTCCTAATTAATTGGTTATTTATAAAAATAAAAATAAATCACTAAAATTATCTACATTCTTTCCATCTAAATCTTAAACTTGAGTCATTTTCTCAGCTATTTTTTTCTCATAAAAATCAATCTACTTATTTGTTGTTACAGAAAAGAAATGCGGTAATGCTAGGGCACTGGATAATGCATTATGTCACATTTACCTAATGTAACAAGAAGTATTAAAAGTAATAAAGGTATAGAATGAGAAACAGAGAATAGAGTAGTATATATGGATTGTTACTAAGTGAATACGAACAAGGTGCTGAGGAAAAACATCTATCTAAATCTATATAATGTAAACATAGATCTATGTATTCTATTCATCTATTTTAATAAACAACATTAACTTCAATTTAAATTATCTCTTAGAACTATATGCTCTTAAATCAAGTGAAGTCAACAAAAATTTACTTAATGCCGATTATGGGCAGATATTGTGAGAAGTCCAGCAAGAAAGAAGGTGGAACATTTGTCCTTGGGGAGCTTATAGTTTAATAGGGCTTCAAAGAACCAGTGACTGGATTAAAATAGAGGCATCATCGTTGTACATGTTAGGTCGAGGCAGAAAATAAATGTAAAAGAAAGTAAAGAAGGCAAAATTGACTTTGATAGGGGGTAGAAAAAAGGGACTTATTGCTTATTAGAAAATTGTCTTCCTGTAATCCCAGTACTTTGGGAGACCGAGGCAGATGGATCACCTGAAGTTAGAAGTTTGTGACCAGCTTGGCCAATATGGTGAAACCCCATCTCTACTAAAAATACAAAATTAGCCGAGTGTGGTGGCACAGGCCTGTAGTCCCAGCTACTCAGAGCTTGAGACAGGAGAATTGCTTGAACCCAGGAGGTGGAGACTGCAGTGAACCAAGATGGTGCCACTGCACTCCAGCCTGGGCAAGACAGAAAACTGTCTTAAAATGCAAAGAAATACTATAATGGAATTTCAACTATAGACTTAAATTATGTGAACTTTGCTTGCAGGGTTTTATAGGGAAAAATCCTTACTTTAAATAAGCGTGTGAGGCCTTAACAAGTTAAAAATGCAACAGTTTTAAGGCTCACTCACTGAGGTGATAGAGAAGCCACTTTTGGAAATCATAGCTGGAAAATGAGAGAAGTTGTCTCACTTTTATATGTTCTCGGTGAATCAGTAAAATCTGTAGTTTAGAGTCAAATTGTAAAGAAATGTTTTTGAGTAGGCAGAAGAAACTATAACTATTTCACAATAATGAAAAGAAAGCATGCAATTTAGAAGAGATCATAAAGCTGAGCTGAAACCTCTAAGAACTAATTATCTTCTAATGCACTTACATTTATTTCATGTCTTGCCCATATTTACCACAAAGAAACAAAATAGGAGTTATGGAATTTCAAAAAGTTAACTTGTGCAGAAATGTCAGATTCAGATATTACTGGTATTAATAATAAGAAGAACAATGAGCCTAAAATTGCCTCAGAACAGTTGCAAATACATAGAATTAAAGAAAAATAGCATGGCCTGTTGGACTCAAGTATATATTTTCCATTGCATTCATTAATGATTTCCAGAAGATAAACACACCTGACATCCATCCGTGTCTTCCTATATGCAATAGGTGTCTGACTACTGTTTGCCAGACACTGTGTTGTATGAGACATAAAATACTGTAAGAGACGCAATGCCTTTCTCCAAAGTGTTTGTAGTTAAGTGCAGATGCATCTTCCAGCAATTTCACTACTTTGTGATAAGTAGTGAATAGGGTCAAAAAATTAAAAAAAAGAAGGGTAATGAAAGCACAAAAGAAACACAGCTTAGCCTCTGACAGAGTAGGATAAGATAAGGCTTGTCATAAGAAGCAACTTCAGTAATATTCTTAGAATAATTATTCAGGAGAAGAAGAAAAGCATAGGTAAGAATAAACAGACAAAAAGTCAAGATGAGGGAAATGAATAAAGTCCCAGAAAATAGAAGAATGGAAACAAAGACACAGGATGAATAATGTTCAAGCCATTTAAGGAACAACAACAGCAACAACGAACCAAAAACCCAACTATACAGCAAAGAAATCTCAACCAATCTGAGCAGAAGGAATTAAATCTAAAGTGATGGTAAGTTGAAAACACAAATAAGAAGACAGGAGTAAGTCCAAAGATATCTATAGTCACAAAAATGTGTTCAGGTAAATTTCATCTATTGAAAAACATACTGATAAGGTTGTCCAAAAGGTAGTTGAGTAGTTATGGCTAAGAAAGGGTTCAGCCTTGGTAGTAAAATAATTGGACAGGCTAAAAGTTAAGAGCTTCTCCTGCAACCAAGCATTTGCTCTCTTTGTTTTACTTATCTGTTCCAATAATGCTGCTACACCTGGGGGCCTTATTGGACAAGGTCTTATAGCTCCAACTGTAGGACAGCCATTGAGTAAAGGTAATGGGGGAAGACACTCGAGGTCAGATAATAATGCCTTCATACAATATGTATCTATTTATCTAGGTGACCTTGCACCAAGATAATACAAGATTGTTTATATTGATGATAATTTTGTGAGACATTTTTCTTTTCTGCTTTTTTTCCTTATCTGTGTTTTAAAGATGCATTATAATTCTATGCATTTAAAAAATATATTTAAATGAGGAGTACAATTAGTAATGTCTCATTGCTTGAATTGTCTTTGTCTTCCATCACGTAACTGGTTTATGTAAAATCTAGAAGGGGCTACATGAAAGACAAATAATTCAAATTGTTGAACTGCTAATGATTCCCCTCAAACAGTATTTATTTTTTCTCTCAAAGCAAAGATGGGAAAATAATCAGCTGTAACCCTAGGAAATAGAGTACTCAATACACAGCATACATAATTTCATGACTTCTTCCTGAACTTCTCCAGCCCGTGGAAGGGTTGTCTAAGCTGTGATGCAAAAGTTATTTGTGATCTTTGTTATGCTTCAAGAGTTGGGGATCCAGTGAAAGCTCGCACTGCCCAGGAAGAAGCCTGGAAGTGGGAGTTTTAGTGTTGAAGGGATGCTTGGGATTTTAGTTTATGGTCGATTTGTTGTTCAGTGTTGTAGTTTACAGATCAATATATTTTACCGTATTGCAGTATGTAGATTTATTTGCCAATATCATAAAATGATGTACACTAGATGGTTATTTTTAATGTGAGTATAATTTTGTGATATGTGGATCATAAAAGAGGTACTATAAAACCAGACTAATGAGATAACTTTAGTTAGGTAACCATATTCATAGCCAAGTACCTGTTCAATCAGTATATGATGAAAGCTTGTTGGAAACTTTGTTTGCTTCTATTTTATTTTATTTTTTGCTCAACCTTAAAAATTTTTCACAAAGGACCATTTTTGATTTATTTGAATGGAACTCATAGTATGAGACAACATGGATCTCAATTGAAATACACAGGCTGCTCTATCTTTGAACAACAGTGGCTCATTACCCTAATTAAGGAAAAAGCAAGCAAACAAAGAATTATATGGATCAGCATTATAGAGCCAGTGTACAGTTTTCATATCCTTTGAAGATTATGTGTTCCTTCTCTAGAATAGAGAATCGAGGAAGAAGTGTTGTTTGCATAAGATCCAAAAAACAAAGGTAGCTACATAATTATTTTGCTTTACCATTATATTAAGGTATGCAGGTCTAAGAGATTCTGAATGTAAGTGGTATCTTTTATTTTGCTATAAATTTGTTAATATTTCATGGCTTTCTTTCTTATATACTTCAGTTATAATGTGTTAGTATTTGCTCCTTGATTAGTATAGAATAGAAATGACTTAATGAGATATATAGAAATTATAGGAAGAATCTATATGGGGCATTACATTTTAGATTGTCCAGTCATTTCACAATCAGGGATAATCCAATTCATCATCAACAAATTTGTTATTATTTATTTAATAGTTTATGTAGCTCTATAGTAGGGATTCATTAAAAGAAAAGGCTATTAAATAAGCAATATTTATAATTTTAAGTGCTCTTTCATTCTCATGGCTTTGATACCATTTAAATATGGTTCATTTCATTAAATAAGCATACATATTAATATTAGAAACTCACTTCCTGGCACTGTGTTAGTTTTATATTCACTTTCTTGTGCATGTCATCATTTGTCTATTTTCGGTATGATATAAATATGTAATCTGCCTATCCTGTTAACTAGAAATATGCTTTTTAAAAATCTAAGGCTACTGTTTTGCAACAGTGGCAAATATATCTTTTGGCGTTGAGAGTCATTCGTAGAAGCCAAGAAATATTTCCCAAATACTGTATAAAATATAAATGTTTTATATTTATATGGTTAGAGGTAGAGTACAGAGAATACTGATTGTTGTGAAATTGAAACACACTTTACCAGTAATATTCATCAGTGAACCAACTAGCCACAGCCCTGATTTATTAAAAATCTATATATTAATAATAATAAAACATCACATTATTTCATAATAAAATTATTTTTCATAAAAACACATTTTTTTCTATCATATTGCAAAGCATGGTGAACCTTTAGACTGGTTGTATGGGATTAGGTTGAAGTCTACCTTGGTTAACTGCTTCCATGACAAGGCCACTTTTTCTGGTTTTGTCTGATACCCATTCACATCAACTTTCTATTATTTTCTCACTTCATGGATTCTTGGGAACCATCTTTAGCAGACCTCTTCTTTACAACTTTAACTAGGCTTAGCTTAGACTGCAAAAGTAACCACTTCATAGGAGCATGCATATTATATGTAGCATAATTCATAGTTGAAGATATAAGAATAAAGAATAAAGCCTAAACAGGAAAATGCTTGTAAGTATTATCGTATATATAAATGAAAATGCATGTGATAACTAAGACAATGACGTTGAAATCTTAGTCTAAGCTTATCGCATTATTGAAATGATTTTTACATATAAGAGTGAATCATACACAGCAGAGCAGACACTAGTTAAGTTACAGCAAGATTTAAATCCATTTGAATAAATATGTGAGCTAAGGAGTAAATGTAGAAGATACATTTTTATTTTAAAAAATATGTTGAAACAGGTTTTAAAATGGACATGAAATATCCAATTTTCTTCCTCAGAAATCAAAAATACATACAGAAAAAAATGTAAAAAATATAATTTTAACTCCTTTAGCTGAGAGCAGGACAACTTCAATAGTGAATTCTAATGTCCATGCTTTGAACCTGGATTAAAAAAAAAAGACTGCATTAAAATACTCAGTAATTTTTTAAGGCTTGTAAAATGGATGGTGATTTATGAAATAAATAGTATGTGAAAGAGTCTTTATATTAATTTTTCATCAAGTTGTATTTGCAGATAATATATTTTTTAATAAAAGATTTCTCTAACTAAATCCTACGCTACTGTGAAAAACACATATGACAGGAAAGCTGACCTTTATGCTTCAGTGAAGGAAATTATTAAGGAAAATTTAGAGAAAAATACATATGACAATACATAAAAATGAGCACGAAGATGAAAATATTCTAAGAAAATGGTGGAGATGTTTATCAATAATAAGTTAAAATAATTCTTCATTATCCTGTTACCAAATCGAAGGACACAAGGGGAATTTTGGCTCATCAAAGAAAAAGATGAACATTTTTGTTTTGAAACGCAACTGGAAAGTACAGTCTATAGGAAAAATAAAAACATTGACACTAAAAGAGGAGAAATGTGAAATATATAATGCCAACAAACTCATTAACAGAGATAAAAAGGTGCTTTGCTCAACAAGTTTGTTTACATATTATGAATAATATTTGCAAAGTAATGGCATTTAATCACTAGAATAGACAACTGAGAAAAGCAAAAATATTGGGGCAATATTTTCCAACTTGAAAGCGTTGGCATAAATATCCATTAAATAGCTCTTTTAAGGAAGCTGTGAGAGGTAGTAGAAGAATGAAAGCAAAATGATTCTTCTTTCTGAGGGTGATTTACATTGCAGTTTATAGAAGTCACTGATAGAGGTAGGGAAGACATCTGATTTTTCCAAATATTTATCTACCAATCATCTATCACCTATCTGTCTATTGATCACTGCATTTAAACTATATTTTATCTGAGATGGATAAAGGAAATGCAGAGGTCATATTCTTTTAATTTGTGTAATAAGTCAGCGATGCAACAATGTTATTCTACTTTATTGAAAACAACAGAGTAACTGATAAAAAATGAGTTCATTTCTTTGTAAAGCAACCATAGTATAATGCAAAATATTCAAAAATGTTAGACTACATTCCAGTTCTGCCAGGTTGTCTGAACTCGGGGAAGTTCATTCACTTTTCTGAGTTTTGCAGAATCCAATTATAAAAATGCCATACGAGTATCATCTCTTTTTAACTCTCAGGATAAACCACATTGTCAAGTATAAAGTGCCATAAAAATATATTAAAAACTTATTGATAGAAAGCTTGCAAGTACAAGTTTTGTTTTTTGTTCGTTTGTTTGTTTTACTAAGAACACGACAAAACATCATCAGGATTAAGCAAATCTTTTATCCATAATTACTTTCAAGGGGGAAAGTGCTACTTATAATTATTGGTGCTATTTAACTAAGTGACCTTGTATGTGGAAAATAATTAACACAACTATGCCTCTTCAGCAATATTCCCACAGGGTGGGGATGTCTTTCGGTAACCTCAGGAATCTAGTATTTTAAAATTAAGCTGATTCTGTCAGCTAGGTGGGCCTAGAAGCAATGACAGCTGGTAGCAACAAGCACCTCTAGCAGCCAGATCTCTGTTTCTCATTTCATTATTCAATCGAAGGGAACCAGAGCCCCTGGTAGCAAAGGCTGATTCTAGAACTGGGGCAAGGAATACGTAACACATACCTTCAGCATCTGTAGTTCATGAAGCAAGGAGGTGCTCAAAAACCAAAAACCAACAATGAAACAAACAAACAAAAAATTCCCATCTCCTTGATGGAGCATGTGAAAGGGACACAGAGTCTCCAATGGACAAAGCTGGAATAATTTTTTTTTTTTTTTTTTTTTTGAGACAGAGTCTCGCTCTGTTGCCTAGGCTGGGGTGCAATGGTGCAAAGTCAGCTCACTGCAACCTCTGCCTGAGGGGTTCAATCGATTCTCCTGCCTCAGCCTCCTGAGTAGCTGGAATTACAGGAGCCACCCCACCACGCCTGGCTAATTTTTGTATTTTTAGTAGAAACGGGGTTTCACCATGTTGGCCAGTCTGGTCTGGAACTCCTGACCTCAGGTGATCCACCCACCTGGCCTCCCAAAGTGCTGGGATTACAGGCGTGAGCCACCGTGCCTGGCCAAAGTTAGAATAATTTGAGAAGCAAAGTGAAGTAGTATTGGATTATAGCCAAGAAATAAATATTCATGAATTCATACTAATATAAAAAAATGATTGAATAAATCAATAAATGGGAGACATGAGTTCCATGCAGGAGAGTTTTAAACAAGTTACTTAGCTACACTTTCATTAAGGAGATGGAACATAACTCCCTTCTCAAGTGCAGGCTGCACTGAGTGACTTCCTTCAAAGAGTACAGTATGGAAAGGAGGAAAAAAGGAGCAACTTCACAGTGAGAAAATCTGACAAACATTACTTCAACCAGGAGACCGAAGTCAACACCAATGGTGATGCCATGTTGATACCATACACCCTTGATAGAATGTGATGAGATTGATAACTTTTGTGGGCTTTTCTTCAAAATCTATAATCTCAGTCTTCTTAGGTGAAAAATATCAGAAAAATTTCAACTGGGGGACATTTTACAAAATACCTGACTGATACTCCTTTCTTCAAACTCATCAAAAACTAGAAATGTCTGAGAAACTATCATAATCAAGAGGAAAATAAAGATTCCTATCAACTGAATGTTACGCGATATCCTGGATTGGATCCTGACACCGAAAATTAGGCAAAAACTATGGAAATCTGAATAAAATGTGAACATGAGTTAATAAAAATGCAAAAAAAGTGTCCTGGGATAAGCTTCTGCAGCTGAGTTTTACTAAAGTGTGACTCCAATGGAAATGGAAGTCACTAACAGAAATTAAATCTGCTCTTAATAGCATGTGAACAAGATGGGAAAAAACCAATGGAGGATGAAAGGCAGAGGCTTAATGAATTAGAAGGACAGAATTAAAATTACTACTAAGAATATTCAGTAGAATTTTTTTGATCATTCAACAGTAAGGCAAGTGTTATAATAAAATTCCAAAAAAGGAAACTGCATTAAGTGAGTATCAACGTGATTGAGAGTTTAAATTGCAGGAAACTTTTTTCTTTTTCTTTTTTTTAAAGCCGGTAGGTTTTTTTAAAGGATGAAATGTACTCAAGGGGCGTAGCTGGCAAGTCCCTCGTTAGAGAAAGGCTTTCACCACCTTTAAATGCTTTCTCCCTGTTTGATCTTATTTGAAAGATTTGGAAGTGTGCCGCTGCACTCCAGCGCTTTCCTGTTTTGTTAGTGTGTAAGGGAAAAGAAATCACACAGGGTGTCTATGGATACATTAAGGAGAGTCCGCTGCTACTTAAAGCACATTAACTTGAGAGTGGGGAAACTACAGCGACCCTAGCTTGTGAGAAAACAATGCCACAAACATGCACTCCACACTCATATGCATGCACACACTCCTGGTTACCAAGTTCGGGAACCAATTCTGCATTTACAAAAGTACAGAATATGGGCCGGGTGTGGAGGCTCATGCCTGTAATCCCAGCACTTTGGGAGGCCAAGGAGGGTGAATCACCTGAGGTCAGAGGTTCAAGACCAGCCTGACTAACATGGTGAAATCCCGTCTCTACTAAAAATACAAAATTAGCCAGGCATGGTGGTGCATGCCTGTAATCCCAGTTACTCTGGAGACTGAGGCAGGAGAATTGCTTGAACCTGGGAGGCAGAAGTTGCTGTGAGCTGAGATCATGCCACTGCACTCCAGCCTGGGTTACAGCACAGGACTCTGTCCCAAAAAGAAAATAATAATAATAATAAAACACAGAATTTGTGTCTTTTTTAACATACAGAGAACAGAATGAAAAGCATGCTGCTTTTAAACACTATATGCCACAAATTTTATCTCAAATTTTTTTTATCTTTGTCTAGTCCATGTTCCTAATGAAATATTCACTTATAAGGATGAAAAATATCTAGATGAAATATTATAGTACACTCTGGCAAATAAACGGTTGTGTTTTTGTTTACCTGCCTAAGGACTCAAGAAAAATCGCCTTAACTATTGACTAACACATGAAAGAGATGTTCTAATATATTTAAATCTGTGAACGTCATACTCTTCTTTTTTTTGAATTTTTTTCTTCTTATTTATTTTTCAATTGACAAATAAGAATTGTCTATATTTATGGTGTAAATCATAATGTTTGAAATGTGTATCCATTGTTCAATGGCTAAATTAAGCTAATTAGCATATGCATTACCTCACATGCTTATCATTTACTTATGGTGAGAGTTCTTAAAATCTACTTAACAATTTTAAAGTTTACAATTCATTGTTATTAACTGTGGATACCGTGGTGTACAGCAAATCTCTTGAGCTTGTTTTCCCTGTTTAACTGAAATTTTGTATCCTTTGAGCAGCATCTCTTCAATCACCTAAATCATCTCCTCCATCACCTCCCAACTTCCCAAACTCTCTCTTAAAAATTTAGGAAACACAGTTATCAGTATCTCATAGGGATAGGGAAATGTATCTTCTGAATAATTCTCAATTTTTCTAAAACATAGATATTTATGTCTGAAAACATTTGATGTGTCCTGAATGTACTTACATCTGATGATATTCAGAGTGTCCTTTAAACATTACTACCATCATGTTTTTAGATTATCAGCAGCTGGTAACTAAAAACAAACAAACAGTAAACAAAAGATATACTAAATGTAAAGAGTTAGGAATACACCTGACCTCCTCAGAGAGATGTGGGCAAAAGCAAGTATCCTGTTTACTTGGGTGTGTTTCCCAAATGATTGTGTGTACTTGCCAAAGGTGTATATTTACACCAACAGGAAGATTGAAAAGAAGAAATAAGGGCCTTTCCCCAAATTACCTTATCCTTAGCATTCTATTTATGTCCAAATTTACCGTACTCCAATTTTTGTGTGAATCTAGCTAAGTACTTTGCCTATACAATTTATATTATACAAGTATGATGATAGGACAGAAATCATTAAATTTTACATGTTTTTCCATGACTGTTCTTTAACATTTTGCTACCTCAGGTTTTAATTCCTTTTTTTTTTTTTTTCTGAGATGAAGTTTCACTCTTATTGCCCAGTCTGAAGTACAATGGGGCCTCCGCCTGAAGTACAATGGGGCCTCACTGTGTCCTCTGCCTCCCGGGTTCAAGTGACTCTTCTCGCTCAGCCTCTCAAGTAACTGGGATTACAGGCATGTGCCACCATGCCGGGCAAATTTTATATTTTTAGTAGAGATGGGGTTTCTCCATGTTTGTCAGGCTGGTCTTGAACTCCCGACCTCAGGTGATCCACCCGCCTTGGCCTCCCAAAGTGCTGGGATTACAGGCATGAGCCACCTTACCCGGCCGTAATTTTTAATGTATGATTCACAACTAGTGATATTCTAGACAAGTATAGTCTCATAGTAGTCTCTTCAAAGACTTACATATGAATGTAGGTATGAATTTATGAATGTATTTTGTATATATGATTTTTCTTTATCTCTCACCCTCTTTCTTTCTATTTTACCTGTATAAGCTCTTGCTCTAGCTCTGTGGATTATACTACTGCCTACCTTGAACATCAGCATTGCACAATACTTAAGAACATGCAGGACTGAATGCTTGAATTCAGGCTTGTCTCTACGAGTTACCAACTGTGTAACTCTGTCCAAGTCATTTAAACCCTCTTTCTCTGTTTTCTCATCTGTAAAGTGAACGTAATAACTGTGTAGGTGTCATAAGTGTGACAATGGTTGCTAAAGAACAATAATCACTGGCATAGGATACATATTCTTTTATAGTGATTAAACAATACAAGGAATTGCCTATTCATAGATGGCTGAACAAAACAGTAGATGTGAAAGAGCACATCCTGTTGGCAGAGCAAGACTCCCTGTCTCTCAAGATACTATACCAATAGCAACTGCCTGTAATAATGGATCCTATTAGATCTTTCAAAAATCTTTTCCCCTCTTGTTCTCCAGAACAATTTACTTACTCCTTGCCTCTCTAAATTGCTTTAGATACTGGATTTGTGCCCATCTGCTCACTGTTTTCAAGTAATTTGTATAAAATCTCAACACTTTTATAAATCTGTTTTGAGAGACTGAATGAAACAAAAGTCAGTGACTTAGGTGTCCTGGGCTGTAGTTGGTCTTGGCATAAAGTTATATTCTGGCAATAAGAAAACCCCTATAGAGAGTTATATAACTGAGAGAGTTCAGTTAGATAACATGAAAAAGGCTACTGGCATTCATTAAGAAGTCAGTACATTTTAGCCATTTATAACTAAAATAAATTTTATTAGGATTTTTAAGATTGAACATCACCAAAGCTTTTGTTCCTTTGTTTTGAGATTCTAACCATTTACTTTAAATAAAAATGATTTATTTTCATTGTCAGAAATTTTTAAAGTAAATCACAAAACTTCAATAAGATATTCATGTATGAATTGACGTAGAAAAAACTGTCAATTATTGAGTGA
Source organism: Homo sapiens (assembly GCF_000001405.40). NCBI lineage: Eukaryota > Metazoa > Chordata > Mammalia > Primates > Hominidae > Homo > Homo sapiens. The sequence goes on along the minus strand of NC_000004.12, from coordinate 167,841,816 downwards.
TTTCCATATAGTAAGCAATTTACTTGGCAGTTTAAATATTCAAATCTGCTGGATATGGAGGCTCATGCTTGTAATCCCAGCACTTTGGGAGGCTGATGCGAGAGCATCGCTTGAGCCCAGGAGTTCAGGACCAGCCTGGGCAATATAGGGAAACCTTGTCTCTACAGACAATTTTAAATAATTAGCTGAGTATGGTGGCATCCACCTGTAGTCACCAGCTGAGTAGTCACCAGCTACTCAGAAGGCTGAAGTGGGAGGATCACTTGTACCTCGGAGGCAGAAGTTGCAGTGAGCTGAGATCATGCCACTGCACTCCAGCCTGGGTAACAGAGCGAGATCCTGTCTCAAAAATAAATACAAATTTAGCATGAAAACGTATTTGGAGTTGAACCGTATTAGTTTTCTACGGTTGCCAAAACAGTGTAACACAGACTGGGTAGATTAAACAACATTTTTTTTTTTCTCCTCACAGTTCTGGAGCCTAGAAGTCTGAGATCAACTTGGCGGCAGAGTTGGTTTCTTTTGAAACCTCTCTTGTTGGCTTATGGTTGGCAGTTTTCTTTCAGTATCTTCACATGGTCTTCCTCCATGTGTCTGTGTCCTAATCCTCTCTCATAAGGACATCAGTCATATTAGATTTCAGACCACCCACATAGCATCACTTTACCTAATTACTTCATTAAAGGCCCTAGCACCAAATGGAATCATATTCTGAGGGAATAGGTGTTAGGCCTTCAACATAGAATTTTCAAAAGATACACTTCAAGTCACAGCTAGGACTTAAATCTGGGTGCCTCTGACTCTAAAGCTTAAGTGCTTTCTTACTGTTATCTACACCAAATATCTAGATGGTGCTTTGTTCCATGGAGATATGTAAGTACTGGGCCTTGGGTGTTGACTCCACATCGCATATAAATGCAGTAGCCAGTACTGCCCACTGTTCATCAAACCATTTCCTTCTCCTGAGCACAGGCTAGTCTACATTTGGTGTAGTATTAATAACTGAGTTCTGGCTCATGGAATGCTAGCTAAAGTAATATTGGTACTTTTAGTTATATTAGTACTTTTGGCCTATTAACATCTACACAATATTATAGTTTTTCTCTCATCCGTATCTTTTGGCGCAGGATACTGCATTTTGACACTGGACGGGTCCCTGTCAGGATGGGCATCCAAATGACTGTACAGATCAGAGTCCTCCCCTGCTACCTGATGAACTTGATATAAATGTATAACGAAAAAACTGTATCATGCCACGGAAATATTGGAATTTATCTGTTACAATAAATAGATTTAGCTTAACTAAAACAAGTGAGTGAGGCTAGACATAGACTATCTAAAGGAAAAAATAAGAACCCCAGCAGCCTGGATCTCAGTGGCATAAAAGTAAGGACTGGTGAGAAGCTTGAAACTTCAGGGTATTCAGCAGAGCAGGAGGTGCTGGGAACTTGGGAATTCTTGGGTTTTGCAATATCTTACTTTGTTCTGGGGACTTGGATATAGAAATATAAGCACAGACACTGAGGGATTAATAAAATCCACATTTATGCTTGAGTTATTTAATACCAAATTGGTTCAGAATGATCTAAGAGTATTCAGACACCTTGCTGACCACAGTACTTAAAAGCAAGATTCATCGCTAGATAGATTACTCAGATTTATAATAATTGTTAACCCAAGTTTGTAAACAAAATAAAAAACTCAATTTTCCTAAAAATCTTTAAACATACAATGCTAGCTCTTTGTTATTTGTTAGGCTTCCATTACCTTGTTTTTAATCTCAGAAACTGTTTTCATTTTATTTGTTTAGTTCTGTTATATACATTGTCCCTTGCAAGATATAACCTATGCATTTGAAATCCTGACAAGCAGGAGAGAAATACATAAAATGATTTTTATTCTTACATTGAGATGCAAAAGCATTACAACATCAGGGAAAAAGATATATGGCCATTGAGAATGAAAGCTAGTTTAGACATGCCAGTAACGAAATCTGGATCTCTTTTACCACTTCAAGAAGAAAAAAGAAAACAAGAAGCCCAGGCCAAAAGTTAGAAATATTAGCACAGGCACTGAAAGATGAACAAAACCTATGTTTTGGTTTGAGTTAGTCAAAATCAACTTAGCTCAGGATGATCCCAGAGCATCTTATCTGCAGTTTCCAGGTATGATAGAATTTTTCTATCTGTGGAACAAAGCCTAATATATGCAGCATATGTATTTATTTTCTTGGTAATAAATATCAGCTTGGCATTCTATTTTCTCAGAGAGATCTTGCATTACAATTTACTAATAACTTCTTTTAGAAAATTAATAGTGTCATGCACATTGATTAAATGCAAGTATATTTATTAATTAAAAGGAAATTCTTATCTCTTCAGTATATTTTTTTCATAAAAGAATTTGAGGGAGGCCAAGGTAGGAGGATTATTTGAGCTCAGGAGTTTTAGACCAGCCCAGGTACAGAGTGAGAACTCATTTCTACAGATAATTTAAAAATTAGCTGGGTGTTGTGTTGCACGCCTGTGGTTCTAGCTACTCCAGAGGCTAGAACCCAGTACATTGATGCCAGTGATATTGAAATAGTACAATATCACTTTAAAGTAGACTGCTAACTTAAAGATGTATACTATAACTCTTATGGCAATCAAAATGTGAACAAAACAGACATATACAGAAAGGCTAATCGGCTCATAAAGGAAATGAAATGGAATCATACAAATTTCTCAATCCAAAAACAAAGGCACATAATAAGATAATAAACACATGAAAGACAGAAAACATGATCTAAATACTCTTATTGAAAGGCAGAGATTGTCAGATTGGATAAAAAGGCAAGACCTAAGTGTTAAGATGTAGGTCTTAAGATAATAAATAAGAACATGAAAATATGACCAAAACCATTACTCATGAGGGAAATACGACATCAATCTGTAATGAGATACTGCTACATACTTACTTGAATGTCTAACACTAAAAGGTTTGGTTACACCATGTAATAGTGAGGATGTGTAGGAATTAGAAACCTCACACAGTATTGGTGGGAATTTAAAGAAACACAAGCACTTTGGAAAACTGTTTTTCTATTTCTTGACAACCAAAATATACCTCCAGCTTATGTTCAAGTCATTTCACTCCTTAACATTTACCCAAGAAAAATAAAAACTACATCCATAGAAAGATGTGTACATGAGTAGGCACAGCTGAATAATAGCTTTGGCTATTACTTGTAATAGCTAAAGTCTAGAAATAACCAAGAAACAACCCAAATGTTCACCAACAGGGGAAGACGTTGACAAACTATGGTGTACTCATAAAAAAATTACTCACCAACAAAAAACCATAAACTAATATTTAGTTGAGAAATTTTGTGCTTTAATTTTGTGAGAATTAAGTTCATTGTTCTTCAGGTTTTTTTTTTTTTGGTACTATTTTTGGTTTTGATACCAGGGTAACTCCAGCCTCAATAAATGATTTGGGAAATTCTCCATTCTGTTCTATTTTCCACAAAATACTGTGTAAAATTGTTGTAAATTATTTGTTAAATGTTTGGTAGAATTCTTCACTGAAGTAGTTTGTGCCTGGAGATTTCTGTGTTGGGAACTTTTTAATTACAAATTTGAGTTATGTAAATATTATAGGAGTAGTCAGATTTCCTATGTCATCTTGGTTGAATGTGGTTGGCTGGTCCTTTATAGTTTTTGAGGGATTGATCTATTTCTTCTGTGTTTCTAAATTTATAGGATAGCATAATAAGCATATGAACAGCTGTTCACCATCTTTAGCTCTTACGTCAATGCAAATTAAAACTACAATGAAATACCACTATGCTTCTATAAGAAAAATCAAAATAGAAAATATCTATAACAGTAAATAATGGTGAGGATGCAGGGAAACTGGATTAGTCAGCATAGCCACAAAAGAAGAAAAGTTGATGGTGCAAAGATGGAAAAGGCATATTTCAGGTAGCGACAACTGCGTTTATATGCATTTCTAAAATGAGAGCGAGCACAATATGTTTGAGATACAGGGAAAAGGTGGAAAAACCAACAAGAAAAAAACAAGTTGTGCAACATGATACTCGAATGATAAGAAAAATTCCAAATTAGGTATAGCCATGCATTATTTTGGAATTTTAAGAATACTGGAAAATGATGAAAGGGTTTCAACCAGGAAAATCATAACCATAGATTTGAATATTATTATACACTATTGTTTGTATTGTATATCACTGTATATTATATATATATTGCATTAATCATGTACGTTATTCTATAAGTATATTATTTAGTATATAAATCATATATTGTCAATTATGCATATTTTGGTAATTTTTTTTAAAAGGAATCATAAAGGATCAAAGAAGGATACAAAGGGAACAGTTAAGAGCATGCGGAAGCAGTAAATGTGAATACTATGGTGTCTAGGTCTAGGATGATGGTAATTTTGAAAAGAAAATTGTCTTAATAGATGATAAGTATACTGGATTAAGAAGGTTTTGAAACTGAATTGGTAGAGGTGTAGAGAAAATTGCGAGTTAAGGAGGATCCCTGTGAATTGAAGATATTGTAGGCAGAGGGGAAAAAAACAGGTTAAATGGACAGGGGATGGTGTTTGGCTAGAAAACGGGTTCAGTTTTGAACACATCAGTATGAGATGCCACCTTTAATCTAAGTGAAGATGTCAAATGGATAATTGGACATACAGGCCTAGACTTCAGAAAGAGAAACCTGAGGCACAGACGAGAATTTGAGAAATGTCAGCAAATAGAAATAAATGAAAAAACTGAGAATGAATCACATCCTGAGAGAAAACGAAGTGTGAAAAGAGAAAATTGTTTGAGAAAAAGCCCCAGGGAGCTACAGGATTAATGAACAATTAGACATAACAGGATATGCAATTGTTATTTAACCATTTTCTATTGATGGGCACTCTAGTTGTTTTCATGTTTGGCTATTACAAGCAATCACACAGAATGGAATTTTTGCATACATTATTTTTCAGGTGTGCAGATATATCTGCTGGCTAGATTCCTGGCTAGAAGGGAAATTGCTAAGTAAATGTATAAATGCTTTTGTAATTTTGTCAGATGATGCAAAATTGTTCTCTATGTGAAGTTGTCCCATTTTGAATCCCCCATCAGCAATGTGTGAGAAAGTCTACTTCTCTATAGAGTCATTAAATGAGTACTTTGTCAAATTTTTGGATATTTGCCAATATCCTAGAGTGTAACGTGGCATCCCAGTGGAGCTGCATGTTTCATTTATCGCAAGTTCCATTAAGCATTTTTTACACATGTTTCAGTGTCACTCATAAGGTTTTTTTGTTTTAATATAAAATGTTTGTTCACGAGGTTTGCCCATTTTTCTGTTTAACTTTTCTATTTTTCCTCAATTTTTAAGAGCTCTTTCATATTAGTAAACATACTTTTATGATAAGCATTTCAAATATTTCCCTCCAAGGTCAATAGGTTTATTTTGTCATTGATCTTTCTTGTCCTGCCTTAGGTATTTTCCTCATTTTCATTTCTTTTTTAATGTAATTGAATTTATCAGTGTGTCTTTTAACAGCTCTCAGATTTGGAATATTGCCTGCAAAAACCTCCCTGCCCCACATTTACAAAGGAATCTTGGTGCTTTAATTGAGTAGTTTCACGTTTTTACATTTAAGTATTTGATACATTTGGACCTATTCTGATGCACAATCAGGTATGGATTTACCATTAACTTTTATAAATCACTGCCTAGTTGCCCTTCACTGTTTATGAAAACATACGTCTCTACACCCACTGTATTGAGGTCCTATATTTATCATATACTAAGTTTCACTAGGTATTTGTTTCTGCTTCTGGACTTTGTATTCAATTCTATTTCATTTAGCTGCCTATTCGTAAATCACTACCATTTTGATTTGATTACTGAGGCTTTATAATATGTTTTAAATCTGGTGTGTTTAGTCTCCCTTTATTATAGTTCATTTGAATAATTTTCTCCCAGATTTTTTTCACCTCTCTTTTGGGTCATGATTCCTATGTAAGTTAAGGGATGGGGTTGGTCAAAATGTAAAAGCTGAAATTGTTATTACTGGTTTGTCCACATGAATATAAACCAAGAAGCTGAGAGTCAATTTAACTGCAGGGGTCTGCATTGGCAAAGAAAACTCAGGTCTAGCTAGTCATATTCCCAATTCCTCTAGTTTATACTCATAGGCAGTGAACTATGGAAGTTCTTGTACACCCAGAAAATGCATGTTTCCAGATTCCCATCTGAGTTAGTGCCATGAAATATAAAGACTAATATCTACTTAGCAATCAGTACTGGGATGTGAGACCAATGGACAAGGGGAATTATTCCAGGGAACAGAACCGAGGACTGTTGAATTACATAATCCAGGAATTGATGCCACTATATGGCAGCAAGCCTTCACTATTTCTGCCTTGCAGTATTTGCTGTTTGCATTTTTTACAATTATTGTATGTTTCTCATTATGTGTTTACTTTTTTGAAAAATTTTGTTTTATATCGTGGGTGCTGTTTTCCAGTAGTGTACATTAGCTATGATATCAGCAGATAATTTTTAGTTTATAGATCTTTGTATCATGATGAACTACAACTAATGGCTTCAGATGGAGAGGATTTGTCATAACCTTAAAATCCTGTGCTTTAAGGTAGACACTGAAGCAGAACGAGATTTTGGAGTCATACTATTTGACAAGGGGTGAGGCTGTCTCTTTTATGGAAAGAAGATTACATGTGAAAATTGGTTAGCTAAAAGAGTGGTACTGACAGGTGCTGTTAGTTGCTAATCTATGTCTGCCCTCCCTTACTCATTACTAAGAACAACTCTGATTTTGCTTAAGGTGGCAATGTACTGACAGGGTTTAGGACCTACTACTCCAAAATAGAGCATCTTGGCATATGAGAAAATAGCAGAAGCAGGGTGGTTTCTCTGACCTTTTTCTAGCTTTTGCCCTTGAAGCAGGCCATAAGATAATTCTCTGACCTTCCTCTAAAGTAGACCATAATACCTTCATTCCAGCAGTGCCCTCGTTATACCTGGAGGAAAGGAATGAAGAGACAAAGAGATGGAGAAGAATATGAACAAATAGGCCTTGCTAAGTTTCCTCCAGTTTATTGCCATTTGATGGTACCCTATTTTGTCCAGTCATACTTCTGTATGACTGTCCACTCGTCATCAAACCTAAGAATAGGAATATAGTTTTCCCTGCCTTCATTCCTGAAGGCTCTCATGTCACATAAAACTTACATTAAATGAATTTAAATATTTTTCTCACATTAATCTATCTTTTGGTATTAGGGTGGCAGCGCTATGGGTGACGAGAAGATATTACTCTTTCACCCCTACATTATCTAAGTCAAAATCCCCTCCATGCTCCTACACCAAGCTTGAATAGCCAATAAAATATAAGGTGGAACTTTCTTGGTTGGATTTCTGGAATTACATTTTAAAAAATTTATTATAAAAATTTTGAAATCCACAGAAATCTTGAAATAATATCCTAACTGAAACACTAAGATTACCTTCAAATCTCAGTGGCTTAAAACAACACATCTACATATCCATTGTGGTATGACTGAAGCTTTTGCTCTAAGGTCCTCACTTGGTGGCAGCTGAACATGCAAACACTATTTGCAATGTTGCTAGTCCCATGAAATTAGCACACAAAGGAAGCAAGCCCTGTACTGACTATGTAAATTTCTGCCTAGAAAGATAGACAACATTTTTACTTGTGTTTCTTTGTTAAAAGCAAGGTCTATGGCCACACCCAACTAAACTGGTTGTAAAGAATGAATCCGGCTCATTTAATTTAATTAGACTCTGAGATGCCTGGAAGCTGAGTTTAAATTTCTACTGGAGCTAGTCCTTCCAAAGACTTCCCTTATTCCTATGAAATAACCACTTGGGATTCAAATCCAAAGTCCTAGGGGCTTTTTAGTGCCTGCTATGATTTGAATGTTTGTCCTCTTCAGAACTCGAGTTGAGGCCGGGCGGGGTGGCTCATGCCTGTAATCCCAGTAGTTTGGGAGGCCGAGGTGAGTGGATCATCTGAGGTCAGGAGTTAGAGACCAGCCTGACAAATATGGTGAAACCCTGTCTCTACTAAAAATAAAAAAATTTGCCAGGTGTGTTGGCACATGCCTGTAGTCCGAGCTACTCGGGAGGCTGAGACAGAGAATCGCTTGAACCCAGGAGGTGGAGGTTGTGATGAGCCAAGATCAGGCCTCTGCACTCCAGCCTGGGCAACAAATTGAGACACATCTCAAAAGAAAAACAATATCGAGTTGAAATTTGATTGCCATTGTAATACTACTTAGAAGTGAGACCTTTAAGAGGTGATTAGCCCAGGAGGGCTTCAGCATCAAGAATAGATCAGTGCCATTATTGTGGGAGTGTGTTTGTGATAAAAGGTTCCCTTTTCTCTCTCTCTGCTTGCCCCCTTGCCTTCTGCCATTGCAGCCAGAAGGCCCAGATTAGATGCTGGCAGCTTGATCTTGGACTTTCCAGTCTCCAGAACTGTGAGAAATAAATTTCTGTTCTTTATAAATTGCTGCATCTGTGTTATTATGTGATAGCAGCACAAAATGGACAATGACAATGCCTTTTCCCCTGATGCGCCCTGAACTCAAGTATTTGTCAATCCAGTCCCAGCGCTGGTAAGCTTCTCAGCTGATGCCTGTCTTTGCTGATGCTTCTGGGCAAAAGTGGTCCCCCAAAGCCAACTGTCTTCACTGAGTTTCTTAATTCTCTTATATCTTGTCCTTATAATTCTTTTCTGTCTTTTCAGTTCTCAATTTTTCAAGCAAAAGTCTTTTTTAATTATTTTTTTTAATACTACTGTCATTTCTTGTCCGCAGGTATAAGCATGCTCTGAATTGCTTAATCCACCAACTCTGGAATTGGACATCAGATTTTTTTTAAAAAGAAACACTCAACAGACATCAGACATCCACCATTTGCTTCTTGTTCTTCCCTTTACCCACTTCTTCAAACTTTTCATACAGATATAGCTGCAAAATTGGAGTAGTCTTCCTGTGAGTTTAAAGGCGAAAGCAACATATGCATAGCAGATGTGTCTGATCTGCATCATGGCTCTCCTTACCTACCTTGAACTACATACTTCTCAACTTATTTAAAAAGCAAAAACAAAAACTACCTTAAACTAATTTAATATGAATGCATTCTCAAGAATATGAATATATTCTCCACTAACAAAGAGAGGAACTATGCCTCAGTGGTGACACTAATGGTTATAAACAGATCTCATACACACACACACACACACACACACACACGATCATTAGTATTTTTTAGAAACCTACTGAAGAGCCCAGTAATTTTCCCTTACTCATTGACCAATGCAGAATGCAGCACAGGGAAAAAGACAAACATCAAAATTTGCTCTTCCCTAGGAAACGTGCTGACCTGTTTAATACCAACAAATAAGATGTGCTCAAGTACACTTTGTGTAATATTGCAAACAAAGGAGCAGTTTAATTTCTGAAAAATTAAAGCCAGCAAAAACTAGCAAGCTGGTTTACCAGCCCTATATAGTTCAAGGTATGGCATGTAGTGAAATTGGAAATCTTACTTGCTACTTCTTACTGGTAATTGTTTGGGAATGAAAGAGTAACTGTACAGTAAATGCTGAGAATCTATTTGGGGTACACAGTAACTGATGACATAAAAGATTATCCTTTCTTGGTCTGTGTGCATCAATGCTCTGATGTAAGGCATTATTGCACAATATAATTCTAATTGTACTGCCTTTAATCTTTTTGAACACACAGTGAATCACTATGTTTTTTATGAAAGAACTAATACAGTCTGTAAAGTATGAGGAATACAAGGCTGTCACCAGATATTGATCCATAGCCAGGTTTCTACTGGTGATATTAAATTAAATTTCATCTCTCCTCATTCTAGGTCTGGAAAAGAGAATAATAAATAACACCAACCCCTCTTCTAGGCACAGTGTTAGCTTTACATCAAAATAAATTCAATGATAACTTAAGTAGTTTTTATTCTATACCATGGATGTATTTTATAGAATTTAAAATATAACTCTTAACTATCATACTTCTTCTGTTATCTTGCCGACAACACCCACAAAGCCTTAGGAAGGTAACCATTAGAGCATTTAATATTTTCATATCTTTCCCTTTTTCAGTTAGATTTTGTAAATTGTGTTATATCTAAGCCCTGAGAGCAACGCAAAGAGCACTGAATATATTTAACCCTTCCATTTCAGTTAATGCGTGCAAAAGATTAGCAAAAATAATAATATACACTTGTATGGGATTGTATGTGAATGTATTACTAAGATAGAGTAGAGAATTGCAGAAGGGAAATCTAGCATTTTTATCTTCCGTTCAGTATCGCTTGTTTCTCTCTTCCCCCACTTTCTTTCAAAACACACATGCCACTGCCTGCCTTTTCTTAAAAGTATCACAAGGTGGAATGTAAAGAGATAGTTGAATTATCAACTTTCCCTAAATAATTGTTCAGATTTCAATTCGTGGGTTAACATGAGACTTCTAAAATTTGATGCCTAGGGTGGAGAAATGGGACAGAATTTTCTGTAGGTTCTCGTGCTCCTTCTTTGATTGCCTCTTAATATTCTTTGCTGGCTCTTTCTTATCAAATTGACCTTTCTGTGTTGGATTGCCAAAGGTGTTTGCTTTTGGCACTTCTCCTCCTCTACAATTTTTGTCTAAATAAGAATTTCTCTTTATTTATGGTTGAAAATACCATATATGCAAACAACTTTTATATCCACATATCTACCATAGATCTTTCTTGTAAGCTCCCTTTTAGACATATAGACCTGGCTATTTACTTAATACCTTCATTTTGATGTCTCTTGAAAAACTTCACATTAAACAGGTTTGACTCTCAATTCTCAATTAATCCCTATAAACTTTCATCTATTAATACATTCATATTGCCCATCTAAGAAATATATCATGACCATTTAATTAATAATTCATGATGGAGACTTAGACGAACATTGACATTTCTGTCTCTCATTCCTAATCCATAATCAATAAATTATAATACTCTACTTGCTCTCTAATGAGATTACTTATCTGCTCACTTTTCTCATTTCACTGTTATTTAACATCCTTGTTGGGGCTCAGAAAATCATACCCCAAAGTATGGCATATTGGCATGCAGAACACTTTGAATTAAAAGAAATTGGAAAACCTTACAAGATGCCTCAGAATAAAGATGTTTCTGACCTTTCTTTGGTTCTCCCTTCAGTATAAGGAAGGACTCTGAAGTTCCCTTATCTGACTGAGGGAAATTCTTCCAAAAGAAACACAATTGTCTTCACTCCATGGTCTGAAATTGCATGAACCAGGAAAGATTAATCACTGAAAAAAGAGCCAAAGATCATCATCCTGCCTGCCTGAACAGACTTTTTATCTATTCTTCTGAATGCTGTTACCTGAGAATTTGTCTGCATAATGAGACAAACTTTGAAGTGCAATTCCACCCCTCACCTTGTTACCATAACTCCTTACTAGCTCCTCTGGAGCCAAGGGGAGCTTTGTCTCAAGCCATTGTCTGTTCTTCCAGCCTATTCATTTCCTCTAAAAATTATTTACTCTTTTTCAAAAATTGCGTATGTTCTCCACTTTCTTTTGCCTTAGAAAAGGGTTTTAAGCTTCAATAATCTGGCTCTTTGAGTTTCTTACTTTGTGGGATTCCCATGCACTTGCATGTTAATATATTTGTGTGTCTTTTCTCCTTTTAATCTGTAGTTTATTTCAGTAAACTCAATGATGAGACCTTCAGAGGGAAAGTTTACATTTCCCTACATCATCTTTCCAAATTATCTTTATAGTAGGCTCCTAACTGGCCTCCTTGATTCTATTTCTATTCCCCAACAGTCTGTTCATATAAGAAGCCAAAATCATCTCCTAAAATGAAAATTTGATAACATTATATTGCTAAAACAGTACAGGCATACCTCATGTTATTGTGTTTCACTTTATTGTACTTTGCAGATCTGGCATTTTTAACAAATTAAAGGTTTGTGGCAACCTCTCATCAAGCCAGTCAATCAGTGCCATTTTCCCAACAGTACATACTCATTTCATGTCCCTGTGGTATCATATTTTAGTAATGAATTATTTTAAATTAAGGTATGTATATTTGTTAGACATAATGCTATTGCACACTTAATAAACTTTTGTGACTTTTATACATACTGGGAAACCAAAACAATTGTGTGACTTGCTTTATTGCAATATTTTTTTTTTTTTGCTGTGATCTGGAACTAAATCCCAAGTATCTCCAAGGCACTCCTGTACCTGTATTTTACCCAGGCATACTAAAGCACAGAAGGACTGGCCAAAATTCGCAGTTGATAGGTGGTAGAGTAGGGGTGTGAATCCAAACATTCCAGCTCTGAGTGCCTCCACTGAGCCCCAGTGCCTGTGAACATTGCCGTAGTATCTTGTAATCGTCCTTAGAGCCATTTAGCATCTCACAAGGCAAAGTCACTAAACTGATAGGTACTAGGGAGCAAGAAATACAAATTAGTCTTCCTCACATGCTAAACTCTGAGCACAGTGCTTGGTGGATTCCAGGTAAACTGATGTTTATTATGATTAATTAAAATAAAAGCTAAATTCATTACTTTATCATCCCACTTTGTATTTATGTATCATATATATCCAAAAGAACTCAAGTCTGGCTTAACTAATCATGTAGAAAGAAAGGTGGTATACAACCAACTAATTTAGACTCCAGGCCAATTCCAGTCCCAACATTTATTTGAGTCATGAAATAATTTAACTGGCTGATTCCTTTTGGGAAAATGATGCTGTCAGTGTAGAATCCTAAAGACTCGTTCTACTGCATAAAAGCCTATGAGCCACAAAGATATTCCTAGTTTTGAGCTGTAGAATCCATTATGCCAATGTATTGCATACGTATGCGTGCATGCATGCACACACACACACACACACACACACAGTGCAAATACATGTTTGTTGCCATATTTTCTGTGTTGTGGTGGTCTGGAAGGAAACCTGCAATATATCCAAGGTAAGCCAGTACCTGCAAAGCAAAGGGTAGCCTGTTCCATCACTAAAACTCCAGCTTCACTTCATGTTATTCTTTTCCCCTAGTCATGCATTCCCATTTATTCACTTTGTGAGTATTCCTTCTTAGCACATTTTAGAGTTATACGTCTTTGTTCTCATAAATTAGGTATGGCCACATACCTTTCTTTGTACTATGAAATGAGATCCTTGTCACTTTCAGGCAACATTTTTTAGAAAACCACAAAATATAAAATTTGTCACTTTTATTACTAATGATCTAGAGGATGGAGGACACACCAATATATGTAGAGTGTGAGAAATAAATATCCTTCATTTAAAACCGCAGAGACCCAAGGATTGTTTGCTCTCTCCCTATTCTCTAGCATGGCAGACCTTCCATTAAAATAACTTACCAAACTCCCTCATATATCTGGACAATCACATATAATTTTCCTCTTCCGGAAATGCTGTCTTTATTTTTTTCCCAACTGTTTAACTTCATCTTGTTGACTCTAATTTTCTTATATCAATTTAAATGGGAACTTTGTTAGTATACTGGATTGTGTCCTCTCATAATTTCTACATGTTTAAATACTCTTCATAATTGTAAGTATAAGGTTGTTTATAAAATAACTTTTAAGTATTTATTTTAAAAATATTTAAACTTTGAATTCCATCATAATAGGACCCAAATTTGTCTTATTTACAAGAATGAATAAGTGAATGCAATATTTCTGATATAATCTGCAATAAAAAAATTTCTGGAGTAAGTCAGATTTAGCTTTCATTTGGGCTCAGCCATTCAATAGTATATGAAGTTTGAAAAATTACTACATTTATTTTTTCCTTCAATTTCCTCATCTGTAAGTGAGGTAGTGTTTATCTTTCATGTTGATAAGTCTCAAGTTTGTTGAGATTATCAAAGAAGTTAAAGTACTTAAAATGTCTATCATAATACTTCACATGAGGTTCATGCACAAGAATGATAGTTTCTTTTATTCCTCCATGTTGAGTAAGTAAAATGCCAATGTCCACGGCATCAGAGATTCAGGCCTTTGTGACTCACATAAAAAGGCAGTGTTGGTTTTCTATACCATATGCTATTTCAGAAATCATATATATTCCCTCATCAGTTTCATTTGTCTTACTATTATATTTCCATCAAATTATATAGTATTTCAGAACATAGATTATTTGCAGAAAACAATCTCAAAATTCAGTATGTGCCTCCAAATATTATAGAAAAACATTTTCAAATTGGTAAGATATAACTTTATGACACTGCTGTGTGTCTCCTTAGATTGGTGGATTGTCAATCATGCTGTAAGAGGTTTTATTCTAAACAATTTGATAATCATTAAGGACGTTAGCATAACTCTTGGTCTGATAGTCAAGCTTTGTTGCATTCTGGCTGACTTAGTCTTGATTTGGAAGAATTTAATTTTATGACCATGTTTTTCTCCACCTACCAGGTGTATAGCATTATGCAAGTATAGTTGACTGCTGTTGGAGTTTCAGAAAAGGTGGTGGTTTACAGAATCTCATGACTGAACACGTTACTTAAGCAAAAGTCATAATGGTATAGATAGTACTAAAAAGGAAGCTAAGAACTATGTAGTTTCAAAAAAGAAATAGAGAATTCCACTTGAGGAGTTATTAGGAAAGAATAAAACATTCCTTGAAATATGGCTCAAATAATAGTAACATTTAAAAAATTGTGGTCTTTGGAGTCAGAAAAGCATTTATCAGATACAAAGCCTCAGATAATTTTCTTACGCTTTTTGAAACTGTTTTCTCAATTGCAAAACAGAGACCACTATAAATGTTTAACAGATTTATATGAAATCAAGTTACATTATGCCTATTCTGGTACTTACCAATACTAGTATTTATTGGTGCTTTAGAAATGCACTGTTTTTCTTTTCTTTCTCCTTTGAAGTCAAAAGCAACTGAGGGAAATGTAGTGGTCAAGCAGATCTGCATTTTTAATAAAATCTGCATTTTTAGCAGCAAAAGCTTGGTTGAGTGTGGTAGCTTAACTCAATGAGTTTCCTAATGGTGAACCCAAGGATTAGGCAGATTTACAAGACAGTCATTAGACTACAATTGTTTTGGGAGTGAGGGTAGATACTTTATAACTAAGTGTAACTTATCACTCAGCCGAGAACAGACAGAAGCACACAGTTCCTGGAAGCAGTTTTATCCAAAGTGAAAATGAGGAAAGAGATGAATCATGTATGCTCACAGGATTCAGAGTGTTGCATTACAACACTCTGCAATTAAATAAGTTACTTCCTCTCTAGGGGGTAATGAGAGAGGACTCAATAGAGACATGTATGTGAAAGGAAATGTCAGATACAGTGACAAAGCATTTCCTCCCAATAGGTCCCATCTTGTTATATTCTTTATCTATTATGCTTAAAAAATTAGTCTCGCCAACTAGGAGTAAGCTATCCCTCATAGCAGAATACCAGTTTATCAGTGAGGTACTGCTCTTACCTTGACGTTGCTCCTGCACACCAACTAATGCTTGCTTGCTGTTTTGCTGAGCCTCCTGGAGCCACTGTCACGTATTATGTTTTTCTAACCCCATTCACCCAGAGAGAGGGAATTACCATAAGTATTACAAGATTTAAAATCTAACCCCAAAAGTAAAAATCTGTGGAACGAAATACCTACAAAAGGATTTGAGTTGTGAGTGTCCCTATGTTACAGCAATTTTCTTAGGGAACGATTGTTTAAGAGTTGGAAAGAATTATACAGAAGAAAATTACTAAAAATAGATACATATTAAGAATAAGAGGCTAATCTCCCTACGAAAGATAAGAGAGTGATTCCTCTCACCTTCTTTTTCTCCATAGCATTTACCTTAGAAAACTTGTAAGACTTTTTCCTCTCTTTAAAATGTATGTATGGATATAAATCCTGTAGAAGACAAGAAGGGCCTTTTGTCAGCTTTGTGACCCAGGAATGTTTTTAACATTTAAATATTGAGGGAGATAGCACCCCCATCTTCCAGTTTCTGTGGAAGGGTAGGAGACTAACTTCTATGAGCAGCTTGCCCCAGATTGTAAAACTATATCCTGTCCCAAAAATTTGAGAAGTTTTGTTTCCCAATAAATTCAATTAGTTAACCCAGATGATTGCCCCAATGTCATCTTGATGACAAATGGTGCCGTCAACTCATCTTACTTGACGACTCTTTATTGTCTATCTTGAAAACATGTGTGATGGGTTGTTCTACTCGGCTATAGAAAAGAGCGAGATTTCTTTCTGTTCTTGAAATCTCTTAGCAAATTGCTTGTGATAAGGCTCACATTCTGGCTTAATGTTTACTCAATTATGAAACTTTTTCTTCTATACTTTGTGGAGAGGTTTTCATGACTGGGAGAATATTGTATTTTTCATTATATTTCCCTAATACTATAGCTCCGTGTTGCTCTAAACCAAAAGGGGTTATTTCACAGGAAGAAACCTGAAGAGGAGCATAATATAACATGAAACTCTGGACAAGATTGGTTTTGAGCCTAGAAAACTCTGCAATGAGTTATAATGGTATAATGTTATATTTATTATACTATATTCTACAGGTGTTTTGTACTATATGTCAAAAGTCACTACCTACTAAAATGCTGGTCTCAATTTATTAGCAGCCTCATCGTTCAACATAGCCAACTAGAGATTTTGAAATAAAGTTAAAAATGATGTAAAGCTACCCTAAAAAAATGTTGCCAATAATTAGATTCCCTATATTTGATTACCTATCTTCTCCGGCTGTAAGCTTCTTATGGAGGGAGTTAGTATCCTACATTTAGATTGCTTTGTAACTCAAAATCTAAAGAAATTAAAGTTTACATTTTAATTCTCCTGCTCTTTTGAGTTAATATTCCAAGAAATTTAAATTGAAAATTTGTCCCATATCATTTTCTCTTTTGCTGAATTCAGCAAGAAAAATCCTAAGATCTATATAAGAGTTGGGGTTCTTTCTGCAGTTGTAGCCTTGGCTGTATCACACTAGAATGGGTGTAGTTTGGACAGAAATTTGTATCAGTCAAAGCCTCTGGGCCGGGCTTGGTGGCTCACGCCTGTAATCCTAGCACTTTGGGAGGCCAAGGCAGGTGGATCACCTGAGGTCAAGAGCATGAGACCAGCCTGACCAACATGGTGAAACCTTATCTCTACTGAAAATACAAAAATTAGCTAGGTGTGGTAGCGGGCACCAGCAATCCCAGTTACTTGGGAGGCTGAGGCTGGAGAATCGTTTGAATCCTGGAGGTGGAGGTTGCAGTGAGCCGAGATGTTGCCACTGCACTCCAGCCTGGGCAACAGAGCAAACAAACAAACAAAAAAACACAACTCAGTCTCAAAAACAAAAATAAAAAGAATCAAGCCTCTGATGTTTCCCACTTTAAAGTAAAGGGTTACACACAAAGACACAAAGATAACATAGCACTGGCCTCACATCCATCAAATTTAGATCAATTTTCCCAGGAATTTTTCCTTTATCAGTAAGTTTTCTTGTCTGGCCAACGGTAGCCCAAAGCACTAATCTCTGCAGACTGGTAGATCTTAAAAGGGAGAAAATGAGGGGAGGGAATGAGAGGGATGGAAGGAAGGGGTTGAGTTACATTTGTTTAGCTCCTCTGAAAATCTTCACTCCGATGAATCAATCATGTCTCTCAGAAGGTGTAAGACAGGAGAAAGAGAGAGGACAAGTAGGGTGTGCAAGAGGATGTCCAGCTACATAATAAAACAGTAGGGAATAATTACTTTTCCATCACATTGTAAATAATAAAAAATCTTGCAGCAGTGGAAACAAGATGGTTTAAACTATTGAAATATAGAATATAGAAAGGGTGATTTTCATAGGTTTCTATCCCATCTTCTCCTGATTTCATAAGTTATCTTTTCCATATTGCCACATTTATATTTTATGTTGTTTTCTGTCAAAGTACTTGGTTTCATGTTATGTCCTTCTTTTTTTTCATATTTCTCACTATGAAGTAATTCTCTTTGCTTTGAAGCATGAAGCTATTAGCTCAGTAACTTTCTTCTTTATAAATTTTTTTAATGTTGAGTAAGTATTTCTTTGTAAAACTACTATTATGTATGGACAGCCACAATCTCACATCTGTTTATAGCTATTTTGATCCACACGTTTTTACTTCTCAGTGTTGATTTTGAATCCCATAAAAACCTGTGGTTTATGCTCTCTTTCTATGTGAGTGGGCTTTTAAAATCTACTACATAGGTCCTGTGTATTTTATATGTCACAGGATTGCTAGATATGTAATGCTAACATGGGTGAACTATTGATAGTCCATTTTAATAATTATGGAATTATAAGCCAATTATTAGTGCCACTGTCATAAGCAACCATGTGTTAGACATATGAGACAAATATTGTCTCCCATATATTACTTCTTTAGTTATATGGATAAAAATTCCAATTAATTAAAAAAATGACACTTATGAACTGAGCTTCTAAGAATAAAACAAGACCTTTCATTAGATGAGAAATTTTAGTACTTAGCTCTGAATTGAACTATCTGCCCTGGCAAGACAGTGTTCTGGGAATTTTATATCTAACGCATTGAAAAAATAATTTAATATTTTTGAACCTTTCCACAAATCTGAAGGTTATTCCAGCAAATACCATTCTATCAGAGTGAAATACAGAACAGTATGAGGACACTGAATTCAACAACACATGTTGACATTTAAAGAATGCAACATTTCCATCAATTTAGCATTTCATTTATTCATTTATCATGTAAAGTTGCCTTTAATTCTTTTTGTCAGTTTTAACAAATTAGCATTTACACCTATAGATAAAAGACACCTCAGAATGCTATATAAGCATTTATGGTTTTTTGAAAATGTTATCTCAGTGGAATTCCCTTTGTTTCATGATGTGTGTTTGTGGCACAAAATTAACTTTACAATAAAAATGCTCAATCTAATGTTTACATTGGAAATAACCTGAAACTAAAAGGTAATGTCTTTTGTTTTAGGGCTTGTGCTTTTTTAAAAAATTCTATTTTTAAGCACCTGTTACAACAGGTTTGGAATCAATCTTGAGCACTTACTCCAAATTAAATTTAACCATACTAAATTAGCACTATTTCTGCTGGGTTAGTGTTATAAAACTATCAACATAAGTTGCATTAAACACTACTTTTGTGAAACAGAGCAAATGCTTTTTAAGCTGGCAGAGACTTTTGTATGGGAGAACTAAGTATCCAAATGAGGTAAATAAAGCAACCTACATTAAAAACATCTATATCAGAAAATAATATTTGGAGACAAGAAGGAATTTGAGGCAAAATATTAGTGAAACCTTTGACTGTGTGACAACAAAGTTGTTCAAAAGAAATCATTAAAACCTAATTAATTTGGGAAACAAAAGATGCTGTAATGTCAGCCCACCAAGATTCAATATTCTTTCATGTGAGCAAGAGAAAAATGAAGATTCACTTTGCTTTGGGTGTATTCAAACTTGTCTTTTTAAAATGTTTTAATAAAGAAGCTGTATACTCATATAGTCATAGCTTTTTTACATTTTGGCAGTAAAAAAATTTAAAAAATTCTTAAAATGTTTAAACAAGCTAAAATTTGAGCTCTTATTCAAGAAAACACACTAAATGTTTGATTGTAAAGTTTTCAAATGTCTTTTACAAAAGCAAAGTTAGTCATGTGCTGTCAATTAAGATGAGGCAGAATGTAAGAAAATATAAACCAACATATTTTAGCCAATTACCAATAAAATTTTATTGCGTAAATAAACAATATTTTTGATGTTTGCGTCATTAAGGTCAATTATTTTTATTTTGTCCCAATAAGTATTTCTTGAGTCCTCCCCATGCAAATTAATTTATAAGGTAGTAAACGGTAAAACATACAATCTGTCACAAGCTGACACGTTATTGACTGCTGTATCAGTCCTTTCTCATAATGCTATAAAAATTACCGGAGATTGGGTAATTTATAGAGAAAAGAGGCTTAGCTGGCTCATGATTATGCAGGTTGTACAGGAAGCTTGGCCGGGGATAGCCTCAGGAAACTTACAATCATGACAGAGGGCAACGGGGAAGCCTGAATGTCTCACACAGCTGGAGCAGGAGGAAGACAGTGAAGGGGGAGGTGCTATACACTTTAAACAACCAGATCTTGTGAGAACTCTATCATGAGACAGTACTAAGGGGATGGTGCTAAGCCATTAGAAACCATCCCTATGATCCAATCACCTCCCACCGGGCTCCACCTCCAACACTTTGCATCACAATTCAACATGAGATTTGGGTAGGGACACAGGGTTAAACCATATCAAATGCATACTCATATAAAATTTTCTCACATTTAATTTTATTTTAGATTTGCTAATGATTTTATAAACATTGTTTCACATTTAAGTATTCAACTACTTATACTTACAAATATAAGGCATGTTCCAGTTTCCAGTCATGACTGGGTAACTTGCCTTACTGCATAGACAACTAGAAAGCAGAAAAAAATATAGGTGTTTACAGATTTTTGACAACTGTTGGGCATAATCTACAATCCCTTAGAAAAGAAACAAATGAGGAGAGCTTTATAACTTATCATACTTCTGCCTAGGGGCACATTCTCATATGCTCCAATGGAAGGAAAAACCAAAGTAGAATGTTGCAGTTTTCATGAGTTAAAAAAGCAAAGATCAGAGTTTAAGAAAGCTAAGATATTAGAATTAACTAGATAGTATAACAGAGAAGAAGGGGGTTACTTAGTGAAAAACAATAAGAAGCTCTTTAAGAAAGGATGCTAAGGATAATGATAGTCCATTTTGCAACCATAAGGTGAAAATCCATAAGGTTGAACAAAGAGCAAACAGATACCAGGGGACTGTAAACTGGATAATTCTTAGAACTCATACAGTGTGTGGAGCCCTTTGAGTTCAGACAAATGAGAATGCAAGTGGTAGACTGGTTGGTAGGTTTAAGGTATCCTTAGAATAACGTCTACTATTGACACATTGTAAATTCTAAAATGGTCCAAATAAATCTATAATGACAGAAAGCAGATTAGCATCTGTGCTGGACCTGGAGTTAAGTGAAAAGGGCTGCAGTGACAGCAAGGAAGTATGGGGAAACTCTTGGAGTTATGGGCATGTGCTATATGTTTATTATTAAATGGATGTGTGCATTCTTGACAACTCATCTCATTATAAAGTTAAAATAGAAACGATTTACTGTTGGGATTATGGGCATGTCCCCCAGGGTACTGGGAAGATTTAAGATACACTACTGAACACAAGACAGTGGAGCACTGCCAGTGCCCTAGAATTGAAACTTCTGATGAGTAAAACCAAAAATCCATTTTTGAGAACGTTAAGAACATGGAAATGGGGCTAGCATCAGGAAGTTTTGTGTACTTCAGTCGACATAAAGTTAAAAAGAAACTGGAAGGCACAGTTCAGTGTGAAATTGGACAGAAAATCCATAATTGTAAATGAAGAAAGTAAGTAGAGGAGGAGAGAGGAAAGAGTTCTTGTGAGTAACATCCCTGTGAGGCTGGTCTTGAATGGCTGAAAAGAAAAGCCAACAATATCTAATGTGCATGTGCGTGCACACACACACACATGCACACACACACACACACAGTGACATGAAAAGAAGTCTAGTTAATCTTGGACTAGGATCCTTATCCTTTTACAGACAGGAACCTCTTGAAGATAGTTGGTCCAGCAAGAATATACATTATTCAATAATAAATAATATTCACATGTTCCCTAAAAAGATAATGACAAATGTATGAAAAATAAATGGCAGTAGAAGAAAACAAATGGCAACAGGAGGAAAACTGGTGGCAAAATTTGCTATGAAACAGATAAAGAGTGTGACCAAACATATTTATTTAAATTTTTCTCAAAAAATGTAATACAATTGCCTTTATCAAACAAGAACAAAAGAAGCTCACAGATTATTTATCAGAACATTAGAAAGAAAAGTACTAAAATAAAAACATGACAAAAATAAGTGTCAAATGCATAAACTCAGGAAGCTGTAGTGAAAACTGAAATGAGAGCAAAATACAACCCAAAGAAATACAAAGGAAATAAACAAAAGATAAAAAGGAATTTTGAGACTATAATTGACAAAGACAATCAAAATGGAGTTCATAGACTTAATAGCTGGTCTCCCTATTTAAGAAAATTTAAATATTGAATATAATTTTTAAAAATGTTTGAATAATGAAAGAAGACTTATGTCTACAAATTGAATGATTACAAGAAAAACATTGGTAAAGTATCATTAACCCTAATATCTGTTCTAGTAAATTTGCTAGACACAAAACTTAAAGAAAAAAATGTATGAAGAAACTAGGTAAAGAAAAATCATCTATCAAGAGGAAATAGATTTTTTACAGCAACATTTAACACTAGAAAGCAATGAGCCTTGCCTATGATATGAATTAAAAAACTGATGCGAGAAGTATATACCTAGCCAGAGTATCATTCAAGTATAAGGCAAGAAAACTAATTAACAAAAAATAGATTCAGGAAAAATAATTTCAATTACATTTCCTTAAAGAAACTATTAGATAATAATATGTTGCCGAATAAGCTATAGCAAATAGTGGAAACTCTACTGCAAAAGGACTAAAAATTAACAGACTTTGGTACGAAAACAAATGTTGGGGTTATGCTTTGGAAACTGCGTAGTAAGAAATGTAATCTTATCCAAAAAAAGGTCTGGCCTTTACTCTCTGTTTTTGGGAGATAATCTCTAAGCCGTTGGAATGTCATGCAGGATAAAAGAGATTTTTCCTTTTTTTAACCTGGGAGCTTTGGGCCACATGGATAGACAGTGTTCAAGATTTAGGGTGGGGGCTGCTCTGAGTCTTGGAGTATCAGTAGACCTCCAGAGGGGCTTGAGACTGAGGTCCAACACACAGTCGGTCAATCAGGTTTATGTGATTGAACCCCAGTGAAGATTCTGGATAGCAAGGCTTGGCTAAGCTTCCCTGGTTGAAAATACTCCATGTGAATTGTCATACATCAATGACAGAAAAGTAACATTGTTCATGACTCCATGGGGAGACGACAACTGGAAATGTTTGGAAACTTCCTGGACTGTGGCCATTGCCCTCCCTTAGGCTGATTTTAATCTTATCCTTTACCTGTAATAAATTATAATGGTGAGTATAATAGCTTTAAGTCAGTTCTGTGAATCATTCCAAATAGCTTTTGACCCAAGGGTGGTGGTCATGTGGACCTCTGAACTTGCAATTCAAGTCAGAAGTGAGGGCAGTTTTGTGGCCTGCTTCCTTTGATGTCACAGAAACGTAATTTAAATACAGTTCTTGATAATAAATAATTTAGTACCTAAGAAAATGTGTGAGGTAAGGATAAAAAAAAATCAGTGAAAATATAAGCACAACATTTAGTTTTTCATCCTTTTTAGTCAAACGTAAAAATATATCATATGAGCTAGATATATAAAATAAACCAATATTCATATACTAAAGAGATAATTAGAAAATACTGAAAATATACAATCTAAAAAAATCAGATATTGGATAGTAATTATGGGAGATGGGAGGAGGTAAATATAGTCTATCATTTTACATAGTAAGAAATCAGAAATGTCTAAATAAATAGTGGAATAATATATAAAGTTATAATTACAAATGTGGTTCCTAAAACTAAAATTAAAAACAACCACTCATTAACATGTATACCCACACAATATTATAGAGAAATGTCTGTAAACATTCTAACAAGCAGAACAAATTAAATCATTAGGAATTTTCATTTTGGGTAGTCATTAACTAGGTCATCTGGGATCCATCTACTTATGAAGAATGACATGAAAATAGGAACCAAACAAAAAAAACTTTTGTTTGAAGAACTTGTAGGGTTCCTAAGGAGTGACGATATCTGGGAGCAATATTCAAGAGAAGAAGAAAGCTCAGAAATGTGAATCTGGCTTCTGGGTCTCTTTTTCCCTAAATTCACGTGGCAATGCCACAGAACGTGACTGAGAAGATTGTGAGGTGAGAAGCTGACCAGAGATAACCTGTAAATAGACTCAAAGAGTAAGAAAGATACAAAATGGAAAGGACTTGCGTGTGTGTGTGTGTGTGTGTGTGTGTGTGAGAGAGAGACAGAGTAGGGGTGAGAAAGGGAGAGAGATTATATGGGAGTGGGAATGACAAAAGTAGGTTTGGGCTAGATCTCTGAGACGATACCATATTATTAAAGGTATAGCATCAATAGACAAGTTCTTGTAGAGGCAGAAGACAAATTTCTAATCACTTTAACCCTTCATTAGATTAAGAATAATCAGAAATGTTAATGCTCCCAAATGCCTGACAGGGCCAAAGAAATCTATTCTAAAGAAAAAAATAAAATTCCTCTTCATATTATTTAAAAATATTTCTATATAATTTCTGGGTTTCAGTAATAAAATAATCAAGGCCACTAGGAGAAATCAAAAGTGATCAAAAATCAAGAGAAAAAACGTTGTAGAAAGAGACCCATAGAGATACAGATTCATTGTTACATGCATGCTGAAATATAATCATGTCTATATAAGAGATACAGATTATTGTGTATGTATATAATAAAGTATAACTATATCAAATATATTTAAATATATTATAAAGAAGACTTTGGATTTTAGTGGAAAATTGGCACGTAGGAAAAAATCAAAGAAAAATTATAAAACTAAAATGCAAAAAAATTAAAATGTAGAACATAATGGATGTATTTAATAGTTGATTAGACACAGGGAAGAGAGAGTTATAGAACCAGAAGATAGAGCCAAAAGATCATTGAGAGAAAGAGAAACATTTTTTTTTTTAATATATGACAGTCACAGAATTACACAAATTGGAGAGCATAAACTGCAAGTTTTCTCAAAGTCCTAGATGAAATAAATTCTCCAAAACAACTGAAGTTATGGGGCTGGAGAAATAGACTATACCTCCTAATAGGACAAGTGGAGAAATTATAATCAAAGTGGCATACATATAATGGTAGAAGTAATATATGGTATTTTTTTAAAATAACAAAAACATAAAAAGTGAAAGTTGGTAAATGCATACAATTAAATTACATATAGTCCTAAAAATGATGTTGTCTTTCAAGATTGAATAAAATACAGTGAATAACTATGTGTTTTATAAATCATTATTTTAGTAATAAGAAGGATAAATTATATAAGCTTGTTTTACATAAACTATCTATTGCCACATACACGAGAGAGGAGAAAATGTGATTGCCTTTTTAAAGGATAACCGTTGTGAATATAGGAACTCCCACAACATGCTATGCTATAGAGTTGGAATTAAATTATTTAATATACATCTACATAGTTAAAAAAATTGGTGGAGAATCCTTTGATAGAGAAAAATCTGGTAATCAAAAGCATGCAACAGAATATCAAAGCAATAAGCCAGCTATTTTTGTAGAAAAAGCAATTTTGTATAGCAGATTGAACATGTCAAGAGGTAAAATTAGAATAAGGTCTTTTTAAACTAGGCTAAATGGTTTGAATTTTTTTTTAATTTTATTTATTTTTTATTTTTTGGAGAAGGAGTCTCATTCTGTAGCCCATGCTGGAATGCAGTGGCATTTCTGCTCACTGCAACCTCCACCTCTCAAGTTCAAGTGATTCTCATGCCTCAGCCTCCTGAGTAGCTGGGACTACATGTGTGTGCCACTGTGCCCAGCTAATTTTTTGTAGAGACAAGGTTTCATCATGTTGGCTGGATGATCTCAAACTCCTGAGCTCAGATAACCTGCCCACCTTGGCCTCCCAAAGTGCTGGAATTAGAAGCATGAGCCACCATGCCCGGCCTGAATGTATTTTAAAGTAATAAGTCCTCAAACATTTCTGCACAGAAGAAGTACAATGAAAGCAGAACACTGGGGACATTGTTCTGACTGCTTGCCCAGGATAGAATGGGAAGAAGAGCTTAGATGCAGTTAGAAGTCTATTGCAAGGCTAGAGAGCATTGTGATTCAAGAGAAGTAAATGTAGTAAAAGCTAATACAAAGTTGTTTTAATTTAATTTTGGTCTTCTAAGATAAACAAAGTACATCAGAGGAGCCAAGGAAAGTTGTGGATAAGATTACTTAATTGCTGTGAGTAATTACTGAGATGTATTGGTAACCTAGTAAAATGCCCAAGTGATGCAGAAAGTGGTAAAAGTACCTCAGTGTTGTTTTTTTTTCATAAAAAATTAAAATTAAAATTAAAGCCTATAGACAATAAAAGTGAAAACCATGCACACAGAAAAACTTTTTATCAGATGATTATTAGACAGGCTGTTTCTGAGCACCAGGTACCAGCAGACTTTTATTTTTTGGCTTAATGTAACATTAATTTGTATTTTGCAGAATTAAAACTTACAACAGAAATAGTAGTTATAAGATCCTATGCTATTGTGCCTGTAAAATGACTACAAATTTTATAATTGTCTGTTTGTTCTAGTTAGCAGTAAGTAAAAGAAGTTCTGCTTCTGGGAAGCTAGAGTATGTGTGCTCTTCTTCATTCTACACACTAAATAGCCCTGGGTATTATATATAAAACAAATATATGAACACTCTGCAAGGCATAGAGAAGATGACAGTCTGGCTAGGGAACTTGAGATCTAAGAAATGACATGGCAGTGAGTTTTTTGTATTCTCTTTTTGTTGTTGTTTGTTTGTTTTTTGCCTCATATATACCAGACTTGAAGCTAAAGAAGCCAGCAACCCAGAAACATCAATGAATTTAAGAGGCAAATACCATCCCCATCAACAAAGCCTGCTTTCTTTAGCCAATTGTCCTGTAAAGGGGCATAGCAAGGTAGAACTTTTTTAGATAATAGCCACCCTACTCCATCCCAACAGTACAGAAAAACAGTGGGCCAACTTCCATGCATGCAAGAAAAGGCAAAGCAGGGAGCCTAGACTTTCACCTACTCAGGCTATAATAAAGCACTCCCAGGATGGTGTCATAGAAGGTAAAGAAGGAAGCCAGGGCTTTAATCTCTCCCAAGTAGTAATGACAACCCTCCTCAACACAAACTACAGTGTCAATGAGAACCAAATTGGAGCACAGACTTCTACCCCAACCTGGCAGAGGGCCATTTTCACCCTCCAAACTGATGTGGTGGCTAAACAGGGCTAATGAAGAATCAGGACTTTCACTCTTTCCCAGGGGTAATGAGGACATCCTTTTGAAGTGTCAGTAAAGACCATATGGGGAGCAATAATGAGGCATTGCTGCCTCTTCCAGTCAAGTAAGTATCAATTGAGGCATAGTAGAGAGCCAAAACTCCCACCACCAATGAGCAGTAATGAGGACCCCTCCCTACTACCTAAGGTGCTACAAACATCTGAGTCAGGAATCTGGGCTTACGCACCCAGTTGGCAAAAACAAAGTGGCAACCGCCCCACCGACCCCAACCTTCCCTTGCTGAGGCATTGTTAGAGGAAGCCAGCTAAAATACATTTAAATATGATCTGGAGTATCATAACATAAACCCGGCATGTCCGGATTGCAGTAGAAAATTTCTTGCCACATCAAAAAAGAAGATCTTAAACTCAACGAAAAGATGCAATCAATAATGGCCAAAACTCATATGCAAGAGATGTTAAAATTATCTGACAAATATTTGAAAGCAGCCATCATAAAAATGCTCCACCTTGTAATTGCAAATACACTAGAAACAAATGAAAAA
Organism: Homo sapiens; assembly: GCF_000001405.40. Classification (NCBI taxonomy): domain Eukaryota; kingdom Metazoa; phylum Chordata; class Mammalia; order Primates; family Hominidae; genus Homo; species Homo sapiens. The sequence continues at coordinate 167,814,029 of NC_000004.12, read as the reverse complement.
ACAGATTCTTAGCAGATAAATGGAGTCTGAGCAAAGAAATAAAAAGAACAAGATGAAAATTTTAGATCTGGAATAAACCAACCTAAATTAAAAACTCAATGGATGAGTTTGATGGCAGAATAGAAGAGACAGAAGATAATATTAGTAAACTGAAAGACAACAATAGAAATTACCTAATCTGAAAAACAGAGAGAAAATAGACTTAAAAAAAAAAGCAGAGTATTAGGGACCTGCTTTACTGTAACAAAAAGTATAACATTGGTATCATCAGAGTTTCCAAATAAGAGGAGAAAGAGGTCAGGAATAAAACATCCTTGAAGAAAAAGTGGCTGAAAATGTCCCCAAACTGGCAAAAGATATAAACCTGCAGGCTTAAAAAACTACTGAATTCCAAAAATAGTTAACCCAAAGTAAATCTACACTGAGATGCATCATAGTCAAACTTGTGAAAACTAAAAACAAAATCTGGAAAACAGGGAGAGAGAAGCCACTTTACCTCTAAAGAAAAACAATTATGACATTTGATTCCTCATCAGAAATGACGGAGGCCAGAAGAAAATCATGCAGTAATTTTCAATTTTTCTCAAGCAAGAATTCTATATTCAAAATGTTTTTTTAATAATAAAGGGGGAAATCAAGACATTCATATGTAAAAGAAATGAAGAGTATTTGTCACCAACAAAGTAACCCTGAAAGCATGCATGGCTTAAGGAAGTTCTCGAAACAAAAAGGAAACAATTTTTTTTTTTTGTTTTTGACGGAGCCTTGCTCTGTTGCCCAGGCTGGAGTGCAGTGGCACAATCTCGGCTTGCTGCAAGCTCTGCCTCCCGGGTTCATGCCATTCTCCTGCCTCAGCCTCCAGAGTAGCTGGGACTACAGGTGCCTGCCACCATGCCCGGTTAATTTTTTGTATTTTTAGTAGAGACAGGGTTTCACTGTGTTAGCCAGGATGGTCTCGATCTCCTGACCTCGTGATCTGCCCGCCTTGGCCTCCCAAAGTGCTGGGATTACAGGTGTAAGCCACCGCGCCTGGCCAAAGAGGAAATACTTTTTAAGAAAGAAGATGAGGAAGGAAAAAGAACATGATCTCTATACAGCTTTCTGTGATCATCACCAAGACCGTGGGATAGTAGTCGCTGTTCCTGATCTGAAGATTTAGGCACATCACTGAGTTCATACACAATGAGGGCTTTTCAAAGAGCAGGTAATTTTACCTCAGTATTTTCTTTTCATAAAATTATAAGAGAAATTAGTGTACATGTAAATTAAGTTTCTTGATAAGGTTTACATTTTCATAACATTTCAGAAAAGATTTCAATCAAATCCCAAAAAAAACAGCAACATAAAAAGACTAGTTACAATTTGACAGAATTCTGGTCTATGGTAATGCCAGAAGATTGGTTAATGCAATAAGTTATTAATGGAAGTAAATAGACAGAAACTATAGTGTGTTAAAAATTCAAAAGTAAATGTAGAAGTAATGTTTGACTACAGTTGAAACAAATGTCTGAGGCAAAATATAGAAACAAATCATACCTGATTAAAAAAATTCTGTATAAATTTAGTAAGAATCCCAAATGTCATTTCATACAGTACAAGCTAATGAAGAAATGCTGACCTCAAAGGCAAAGAGTCTATGCATGCACTTAAGCTATATAATAGAAACATATGCAACAAGAGAAGCAGAACTAAAGTTTAAGTGACATTTCAGCAGGGGAGGGAGTTTCTAGTGAGAGTAGTTTCCGTGAGTAATGTGGATTTATAGTCAGCTTTTAAGAATGGGGAGGATTGATGAACAGATTTCTATGCCAAGGCATTTCTGGAAATGGAGGCTATCTGAATAAATTTAAAATTGTCAGGATATATAATCACATAGAAGGACCCCAGTGATGATCTAATTCTTTCATATTACAGAAGAGAACTGGCCAATTATATGTATTACAAATATATGTATTTGTAAACCTTAATTTTTCAATCTGTCAGTTTAAGTGCAAATAATTTTGTATAATCACAAAATCCAAACATGGCTTAAAATACTGACTCATCTTTACTGAAATCTACTTTGATAAGATTCTAGTACAATGTTCAGCACATAATTGGACCTTATTAAAATATCTTAAATACATGAAATGATAATTAAATCATTAGGAAAATATTAAGTAACTGATTTGAAAATGAAAGCTAGAGAATAATTCAAAATGCAATTATAGAAGCTTTAGGAATTTGTTTTATGGGTCTGCTGATTGTAAAAGCACTCTGTGTAATAAGCCAAACCCATTCAATATCCAAATACTATAGTTGCCTAGTATTTAATAGCTTAAATGCACAGACATTCCAGATCTATATTTATCACAAGCAAAATTGAATCTGACTTTTTCTCTGATGAATCAGAAAACAGAAACCTTTACTTATCAAAGTTAAGTTGACAGAAATATAATGTGACCTTGGTTGGGAGAGTCAGACTTTCTTGGACAGCAATTTTCAGAACTTTAAAACAACAGAGTTTTTGTTTTATTCTATGAAGGTTTTATTGTCCTTGTTGCTATTGTTTTGTTTTCATTCTTTGTTTCTTAAAAGAATAATTACCATGCTCCTTAATGCCAGTAATTCAGAATATCTTTCATATTCTATATGTTATGAACAATCTTTCTCATGGAAAAGGGCTCCATGAAAGAAATCACTATTTCCTTAAATAATTTTTGTGCCTTTTATTTCTGCCTGTATAATATTGAGTTTTCTTTTTTTTTCTTCTATCTTAGCAGACATTTGTTCTGGTTAACTGATTACTCTTGAATTTGAAGACAAAAGCCAAAAAAAGAATAAAAGCCTCTGCCTTTAACCAGACTCTGTCATCAGTTCCCATACCCTTTAGAAAAGACAGTACTGTTTAATCATTTCAGTATCACATAATTAAAATTATTTATTTTATCTTAAATATATCCTACAAATTGCAACTGATTTTATTTTTTATCTTTTCTGAGCTTTTCCCAACCTAATTATATGATTTTCTAAATACTTCTTTATACTGGATTGATTTTTCTTACACTGCTTAATTTACAGTTACTTTCTATGTTCTATATAATTTAGGTTTAGGTGAACTTGACACTTACACGGTTTAGATGAGTGACCTTTCAATAATTCTAAAGAGATAACTGCTATGTTTGTTTACATTTATTTACCTTTTAGAAGCTTTGTTTATTTCATTTTTAAAACACTATTTGCAATTTTAGAAGTTTATTTTCCTGAAATTCATTCTATTTACATGGTTAAAAACTTTACCCGCATGTTGTAAGCCGATTCTCAGTTGATTTGTTTCACTTGGCAAAATGAAGGGAGACTATGGAGTGACATTATTATTATCCTAAATCTAGATTCATGAATAACAACATGCAGGAAAAAGTCTCCGCTTGCCCTCTGCCCACCTTGACAGCATCGAACATAGCTCTCAGCTGTGGGGTACAGGTCAGACAGTGCTCATATTAGAAGAGAGAGGAGGCTTTAATTCTTTACTCCATTAGCCAGGATTTCTGAAATTATTCTGTTATGTATAGGACAGATATGAGTACCTATTGTTAATTGAGAAGTTTTTTGGAGAAAACGTGAGTGAATTAGTATATTGAACAGGTATTTACTGAGCTTACAGCATGGGCCAAACACTGTGCAAGGCATTAGGGCAATACTACTGATTAACAGTGCAACTTGTCCCTAATTGACGGAGTTTTCATTAATGTAAGGGGAAACACACTAATAAAACAATTACATTGTTGAATGTTTACTTACTAACTAGGCCAACCGAAGCACTTTATAGAAAATGAATACAATGGTGTGTGAGAATACACCAAGGAAACTGGCCCTGAGTTGAGCTCGGGGTGGTTCGCTCTGCGGGCATGAGGCTCAGATGGTAACCACGACAGTGAAGGCTAAACCAGGTGAAGGGAATGGAGAGGGGAGTGGCATTCCAGGCAGTGGGAACAGCCTCATAAAAGGGCTCTGAAAAGAGGGGAAGAACTGGAAAAGGGTCTGTCTGACCGTGGTGCAATGAGAAAGGGGAAGAGAAATTTTCTCCTCGCGACTTGTAAGCCACGTTGAGGATTTGGGTCTTTACCTTAAGAGCAATGTTACACCATTCATTGATGTTAAACTTGGCAAGAATTAAACTAATCAAATCTCAGTTTTGAAATGATCACTGTGGCTACAATTTGAAGAACAGATTGGATAGGGGCCAGACAAGATTTAGGGAAAGTAATTAATTGGTTGTTGTTAAGAAATGACAGTAACTTGGACTAAGGTAAAGCTAGTAAAACAATGAAGGAAAGAGAGATGCAGGAGATAAGAGGTAAAATAGAAACAGGATTTGGTGATAAATTTTATACGGTGGAAACACTAAAGGAGGATGATGAGGCCTGCATTTACTGACAGAGCAAGTCTGGGAAAGGAACTTGTTCAAGTTTAAGTGCATTTGAGATACAACTGCATTTATAAAATAAGCTCCCTGCCCTGACAACTCTGGAGGTGGTGGGTGGAAGGTCTGGAGAATCATTGACAGGTGGGCAATGATTTATTTAGAGCTATATTCTAATAAGGGAAAAGGACCAAAGATAGAACCTTAAAGTCAAAGGCGTAGGAAAATCATCAAGAGGAAGTTTTTGATTCTCATGTACAAAATCCAATTAAGCCAATCATCAGACCGAAATCTATAATTCACCTTTGTTCAGGAAGAGGAGAGAGCCCAGCTGAAGAAACATAACAGATTTAGATATTTAAATTATCTCTAAATCATCTTGGGAATAAGAAATGACATGTAGACATCTCCTAAAAAGTTATGTAAAAGGAATATTTCATCTGTTTCTTGACTATAAGAAAATTTCCCATATTTATTATCATAGAAAACTTTTTAAAAGCAATGTTGTTGTTGCTTTTTTCTTTAAGACTGATTCAAATCCTAACTCTAAACATGGTTAAAGAGAAAGAGAGAAAAATAAACATGATTTCAGGGAGAAAAACTTAAGTATTGACATTTCTAAACAGTCACAAGAAAATACAAGTTTCAAAAATAATGGTATTAAAGAAGATGCTCCCCTCTAGCTCCATAAAGAAAGACAAAGTTTACCAAGGTTTCTCACAACCCAGGTTTCTCAGCCTTGGGCAGCACAGAGATTCTGTGCAGTCAGCCTCATCTGTTGCACTCTGACTTAGTCTACTTAAACATGACTTTTTTGTTTAGCCTTCACAGTCTTCCAAGAGTAGCTAAAGACTTTCTCAATGTGTTTTTCTAGGACACTGTATTTCCTTGAAAGTCTACATCTCAATTCATAATCATGTATTTGTATGATTGTTTAATATTTATCTCTGGTACTAGAATGGATGTTTTAAGAAAGACAAGATTATCTCAGTCTAGAACATAGATACATATTAAACCCTCAAAGCTTTTTTGAATGAATAAGAGGGTGTGATGTTAGATATATTCCCCTGACCAGTGAATTGTTGGAATTTTTCTTGTTGGTTAGTGTTATTTTAAAAGTCTTACCACAGTCATCTTGATGCTGTCAGGACCTACATAATAGATAGCTTGGATCAAAAGTTAAGGCTTAGTGCCTGAAGTCAAAGTATCTAGGTATTCTATGAAATTAATTTAAAGGGTTTCCTCAGACATCCGTTGGCTGGAGTCACCCTTGATATAAATGTACAATTTAAAGACAGTCCTCCCTAGGTATAGATACGGGATTTGTTTCAGGACCCAAATTCATGCATACTCAAGTCCCTTTGTAGATCCTGAGGAACCCACAGCTATGAAAAGTTGAAAAGTTGGCCCTCTACATACCTGGGTTTCACATCTGCTAATAATGTTTTTTCTATTTGTATTTGGTTGAAAAAAAAGTCACTTGTAAGTAGACCCTCACAGTTGAAACCTGTAAGGGTCAACTGTAATCAGGATAGCAGCCTCTTCCCTGAAGAAGATCTATTCACAGGGAACTACTTCAATAAAAGGCAAGTTCAAAATATTCCCCAGGAAGAAAATTTGGACCTGATAAAAAGCTTAGAGAAATAATTGACTGAAGCTATAGATTTCTGATCCAACACAATGAAAGACTGGCCCATTAAGTTGGTTTAGTCATACTAAAGGCAGCAGTTAGCAATTATCTAACTTCTATTATTAAACAAAAAGAAAAGGTTTTTGAGAGGGGTTATGATGGTGATAGTTCAATGGATCCACTAAAACAAGCTTAGTTCATCTTTAAATTCTGATAAAAAATGGCAATATTAACATTGGTATTTGCTATTTCTGAAAATAAGTGAACAACAATTTGGCTAATTGTTTTGCTTCCTAAATTCATTATTAGTACAACAAAGTGTTAAAGAGTGAAGGAGAACAGTTATTTTCCTTTATTTCATTGTCAAATAATCCAAATACACTTCAATCATGAGTAAAACACGTTAAAGAAGGTTTTCAAAAACAGAGCTTGATTTTCTAGTTTCTCTGTCACCCTAGGACTCTAGAGGACAGTTAACATCCCCACCTCATTCTGATCTCTATATTTATGTTAGGGTAATATAAGCTTTGTTTTGACTTTTTTTTTTTTTTTAAAAGCAATTGTGTTCTAGCACTGCTTCTCTTCAGCTGAAATCTGGAGGGCTTTTTTACTTGAATCAGTACCTTAGTGTGTGTTTTTCTGGAAGCAGGGCCAGGCAGAAAGACTTGAGTGTGGGTAGTTTATTTCGAATGTGATCCAGGGAGCAGGATGACAGGGCAGAAAAAGACAGGAAAGGAGGAAAAGCTTTCATAAGTGCACAATTAGATTTACTGCTCTAGATAGTGGGGCCTCCATGCATCAGAACCTCTGAAAATGAACTCCCCTCACTTTCTGATAGGTTTGAATGGGGGCTGACCCCACTAGCACACAAAAAGTCTGAACTCACAGGCAACTTTGCATTGCGGCTGCAGCTCATGTCAGAGGTAAGCAGAAGGAGGGTGACACAAGGCAGCAAAGGTGTCTGCTAAAGCAACTCCTTATTTGCTTTTCTCTTTTCTTGTGATTACCTTTTCTTTAATCCATATGGAGGGTCTTCAGATTCATTTTTGTTAAATTTTATATTATTTTATTCTCCTATCATTCCAGGCTATTAAAATCTGTAAAAATATCTTTACTCAGCAATTGTGACATTTGCAGATGTAACATACATAATTTTTCTGTCTTCTTATATTTCCTTAACAATGTTTCATTATTCATTATTTTATCTGAATTTCTGGAATTTTTCTTTTCAGTCTGAGTCTCTTACATGTCACCAGTCTTTGAGAGACAATAATCCAATAGAAACACAGTGTAAATTAGTATTGTAAAAACTCGATCTGCAATGGTAGATAAACACAAGATTCTAATATGAGAGTATATTTTTAAACATCAAAGTTTTAAAAATTACAATACTTTATAATGGCTTTGGAAATAAATAGCACACTTGATTCTACTTCTCCCTAAACTCTGGGCAGTCTACACCTATGCAAGGTGAATCTCTGGTCTTTGTTGTGGTTTTCCGTACTAAAACACTGGGGATGACACAAAGACAGGAAAGACAGTAAAATGTTAACATGCTTTTCTATTCTATTTTTGTTTGTATTGCAATGAAACACTTTGTCAGTGCTGTATTATGGTACAGAACTTTATGACTTCGATTAATAATTTCTGTAACTTGTAATCAGGTCTAAAGAGTTTCTTGGTAAATAACCATACAAGACACTCACTTTGGTAGATGCTGTTAATTACTAAGTACTCAGGTTGCTCAATCCTTTACTTTCATATCTAGAAACAGAAAGATTAGAAATCATACTGTTTTTACGGGTCTGGCTTTTTTATCCACGGAGGATTGATGAGGGGCTTGTCAATTTCACAACAGGGACTTCGAAATTTGCATTCTCTCTTGTACTCTACCACACAGTAATGATTCAGAATTCAGTACTGAAATTTCAAAAGAAAAAAAGGATGTAGACTATATGTATTTGTGTGTGTGTATACACCTAAAAGACATATCAGCAAATATAATATGTGAGACTTATTTGAATCCTTATTCAACAATGTTTTAAAAAAGCAGGATGTGTTAATACTTACTAGATATTTGATATTAAAGGATTATTTTTAAAGATTTTTAAAGTTATAATAATGATCTTGTGGTTATGTTAACATAAATCCTTATATTTTAGAGATGCTTGTTAAGTATTCTTGGATATAATTATGTCTGTGATTTGTTTCAAAATAACCAATAGAAACCTGTATATTGACTATCTCCCCCCAAAATAATGTACACTCAGTTAGGGATGGGATTTTTAATCTATTCCGCTCACTGTGGGATCCTTAGTGCCTTCAGGGAATTGAATTAATAGTTGCTAATAAAATAAATGCTAAATGATAAATGAGTCAAGTTGTCACTAACACCAAGTTAGTCTGCGTATTTACTTTTTGCTGTGTCTTATTATTTTGTTGATCTTTCATCTGAAGTCACACAATATTGCCAAAAATATTTCTTTCACTATTTTTTGCTGTTTTCCTTATAGCTATATAGGATATCAATTTATATAGCATGTCAATATTTTATATGTAAAAATTGGATTTTTTTTCCTCTGGCTATATTACTTAAAATTTGGACATTTGTTATTTTTTTGACTTCACCAGGAGAAATATGTGAGTTCCTTCTGCAATTTATCATCACCAGGCTAGACTTTATTACTAGAAATATGTAATATTACTCTAATAAATTATTTAAAAAATTTTAAAAAGTTCCCTAGTAAGTCACTCACTTATATTTTTAAGATTTTTTTTCTTGTTCTTATACTAGATGTTATCATATATAAATGTGAAAGTAAGATAAATTCTTCTCCTAAAAAAAAGCATAGGGAAAGCTATTCTCAATAATGTGCTCTTTTGGGTAAGACATTGCACAAATTAAGTTTTGGGCACTGCAACATTAAGAGGCAGTGAAAGATAATCTTGGAATGTAATAAATAAAGCCTTAATGTATTTTAGAAAATAAAACCATTATGCAAGGTAGCCCAAGCTATAAACTGACTTTCTCAATTGCCTTGATCATATATATCTTACTATCTTTTGTCTCCACAAATTTGCAAGCAAATGTTACATATTGGATGTGGCCTGATAGTGAGATTTGGATTCTAGAAGCTATTAATAAGTAGCTATGTTGGAGTTTCATTCGACCTGGCACTTACTGGAGAATAAGATGCATTTTGAGTGTCTTTATGGAGCCTGTATTCCCATCATTTTGCATGTATACAAACAGTAGTTGCAGCCAGGAAGAGTAATGATTGTCACTTTTCTTTTTAAGCAGAAGATGACCTGCAAAGTAATCTTTCTTTCTTTCCCCTTCCCTCCCTCCTCCCTCCCTCCCTCCCTCTCTCTCTGTTCTTCCTTTCTTTCTTTTCTTTTTTCTTTCTTTGTTTCTTTCTTTCTTTTTCTTTCTTTTTTCTTTCTTTCTTTTCCTTCCTTCCTTCCTCTTTCTTTCTTTCTTTCTTTCTTTCTTTCTTTCTTCTCTCTCTCTCTCTCTTCTTTCTTTCAAGATAATGGTCTCACCATATTGCCCAGGGTGGTCTTGACCTCCTGCGCTCAAGTGATCCACCTGCCTTGGCCTCCCAACGTACTAGTATTGCAGGGAGAGCCACAACACCTGGCCTATTCTGTTTAGAAAACAAAAAGTATCTGGAGTAAAGTTGTCTTCTGTCTCTCCACACAAACTAAAACACATATTATCTTCCAAACACATGATATCATCAAATTTAATTTATCTATAATGTTAGATTCAAGTAACACCATTTATAATTAAGAGAAATCACCCAAAATGACTAAAATTAGGGATGCCTATGTTAAATATATCTGTAATCTTAGAAATAATTGATTGTATTCTTGTTGAGATACTAAAATAAATTTACAAACCAATGAAAAACTTCCAAAACTAGTCAATATTCAATATCAATGTAAACTGCGTTCCACCAGGCACAATTTTTATTTCTATAGACGGAAATTATTTGTGTTACTGTCAGTTTTCAACGAGTTAACTTTTATCTCTGCTTGCAAAATAGCCTAGTCAAATATGAATAAAAAGCAGGTATAAACTATAGGATTAACTAGCCAGAGCACTCACATAATTGTATTAGCTCACAATGTTTCCTTACCTCCTTTACCTGGTTAACTCTGTGGGTACATTGTATTGGAAAGAAAAAGACATAAGAGGGACAGTGTAGTTCTTACTTGACTGATATGTTTTAAGTATGTGACATGTTTTCTAATCAGACAGATATTTGAGCACTCTATTGAGATCTGAATTCTCTAGATCCTCCCCAGTTGCTGAGACATGTCAGAGCAATTTATTTAATGGGGTAATGTATTATTCTCTGACTCTTAACTTTGTCTTTTCTCTGCCTCTAGACATTAGGAGATAACCCCAGCTTTCCTTTTTTGAGATTCGTTTACCCTCATTTTTCTTGAACAGATCCTGAGGCGACTCTGGGCATGTCTTTTTCCTATGGCCCACATCTGGTTAGTGGTAAACACAACTGCATCTCTTGCTTTACAGACTTTGGGAGTGCAGATCTCCTGATGAAACCACTTTAATTTCATCCCTTGTATAAGCCCTTGAATAAGCAGCTTGCAATCTAATTTCTTATCCTTTATATTACTCAGATGGGATTCAGGCATATATGTGTTTGTACTGTAGGAGTCACATGCCAATGTTATCTAATACTCTTATTTAAATCCCACTTCCTAGATTACATGTTGTATATGTGTGCATGCACACAGGTGGGTTGAAGGGCAAGGAGTGAGACACACGGAACACTAACGATTCTCACCAAAATATATATATATATATATATTTGTTTTTTTCCATCATTACTCTCTGCTTCCTATGCCTTCATGATCTTCTTTATTAGCCAGATTTGGGTATCAGGGGTTGTAAAACTGGTCTTCTGCTCTCTGCTTTGAAAGTCTTGAATAGTGGTGTAGATACATATTCTGTAGTTTTCAAGTTATTTGAAAACTGAGACCGAAAGAGTTCTACTTTCACATCTTAGATATGGGCAAAATTCATTTTAACCCTCATCTTTATGTTTTCATTATGTGCCCTATGTCAAATAAAAGCAAATCTGGACTTAGGCACAGAGACACTTTTTCAAAAGGATTATTGCAATAAAGGAGGGAACAATTTATTGCTGTAGGTGATGGGAACAATGGCAGTGGAGAGACTCCTCTGACCATAAGATCTATGAACTTTACAAGGGTCAAGCAGAAAGAAATGTTCTTTTATAGGCAGGAGTAAATAAGGAAAAGAAACTGGGTATGGGTGAGTGGGTTGAGAGGGCAAAGTGATCTGACATTTGAGCAGGAAATGTTCTCTGAAGGGAGGGGAGGATCTCTTAAGGGAGGGTTATTCCACACTTCATGCTAATGCTGGCTTTGGCAGAGAGGGAGTCAAAGTTCAGGGCTGTGGGGGAAGAAAAAAGCTTAATTAAAATTTGGTCAAGTTAAGGCAGCAGGTATTTTGTCCAGATTAGTCAGTCTGTACAAAGAGTCAGCTAATCTTTCATGAGACAAAGAAGGGAAATTTGGAGAGTCTGTATCTGACCTTGACATGGGTTTCAAAGAGGGCTCCATGAATTTTATCGAAGTTATATGGGGAAGGGTGGTTCTTTCTTTCTTTGCAATAAAGCTGTTTGGGGAGCACAAAATGATGGGGTTATTTCTTAATCATCATTATTTTCCACAAGCACAGGGCTGAGGGAAAGGTTAATATTATCACTTTACATAATTTGTATAATCTGACGAGCATATCTATGAACAAAGTGTTCTTACAGCAGCTTTTCCAATTTTATCCACCAAGAAAGAAACATGACATTTTATTAATTTTCGACAGTAACGAAAAATAAGAATCCAGTTTGAAGTTTTGCAAGCGACACTGGAAGCAAAATTGTTTTTGGCAGCTCTTTTGGCAGCTCTATTTCTGAGGAGGCACAAAGCTTTAGGCCCTTGAAATGAAGCCATGCAGATGGAACCTTTACCACATCTTTGCTGAGAGTCCCCATGTGAACAATTACAGGCAATTCTAAGCCTGTGAAGAGTATATTCACTTTAAAGAAAACTTAGAATGTTCCCATGGAAGAGGGAGCAAAGTCTATCCTATTAGTGTGAGCACTGGACTGGAAGATAAAACTCTAGTGTTCTATTTACAGCTTTAATGGAGATTTGCTATTGTCCCTTGGGGTATCCCTTGCCTCAGTCTCCATGTTTCTTTTTTTCTTTTTTCTTTTTTTTTTTTTTTTTTTGAGATGTAGTCTCACTCTGTTGCCAGGCTGGAGTGCAGTGGCCTGATCTTGGCTCACTGCAACCTCCGACTCCCTCATTCAAGTGATACTCCTGCCTCGGCCTCCCAAGTAGCTGGTGTTACATGCACGTGCCACCATGCCCAGCTAATTTTTGTATTTTTAGTAGAGACAGGGTTTCACCATGTTGGCCAGGATGGTCTCGATCTTCTGACCTCGTGATCTGCCCACCTAGGCCTCCCAAAGTGCTGGGATTACAGGCATGAGCCACGGTGCATGGCCCAGTCTCCATGTTTCTACAAGTTATTTATAAAAGCATGTCACAAGCTCCCTAAATGGAGTCAGTAGACACAGCAACAACCAATGCTGAACATTGCATGTATATATACAAAGATAAACACCAATCTATGGAAGAATTATAAAAAGGCTAAATATGTCTTTATTAAAATCTGTATGATTTATGAAAATGAAATGAATCTTTCAACTGAATACCTATTATTCACCAGGCTTTGTTCTAGGCACTTTACATATTACCATATTCCTTCATTTAAAGCTTGCAACAATTCTTTGGGGTTGATGCCATTATTACCACAGTTTTATATATGAGGCAATTAAAGAAAGAAGAGGGTAGGTAATTGGCCCAAGTTCACATGCTGGAGAAATGAAGTTTTGTGTCTAAGCGTCTCCAAATCATTAATTTACTGTTGATGGGTAATAAAAATAAAGGACCTAATGCAATTAGAGTTTCAATCAACTTGTCTCAATAATTGGTCCATTTGGTAAGAAGTCTTTGGTAAGTAAAGATTTTTAATTCTGTAAGTCTCTGGAATAAAAGACAAAAAAAGATATGGAGTTCAGTCTTAGATTTGATGGAGAGAGCCTGCATGTTGAGCATATATAATTAAGTGTGATCTCTCTTTAGAAAATTTGCCCCTCAAAATCTGAATGGCTTCACATCTTTCTAATTGATATTTCTAGTAATTAATGTTATGGTGAGTAATATTATTTTATAAGCTGCTGTATGGAGGGTTAATGAGGATAAATTTAGTCTATAATTCAGTCTGAAGATAATTCTAGAGTAAATGGGAACATTATGTGTTAATAGATTCATTTATCACAGCACTCCAAAGCCTGATAGATTGTACAATACCCCATTCTGCCTATTCGTCATGTTTCCAGATGCACAGACAGAACCTGTGGCACTCGTGAGTTTATGAAATCATATTGAGGAGTTTATCAATTGAGTATTGTCTTTTCTGGTAATTTCTACACAACAGGTACATAATTATGGCAATTATCTCTTTTAGAAAATAAAACAATTGACTTCCTTTCACTGGAAAGATCAAACAAAATGTGAAAGCGCGAATCTGTCCAGATAATCACCTGTTTCCTATTTTTCAAATATAAGCTAAAATGAATCAAAGCCCGAGAACTAGAAAACGTGTCCCTGGAATTTATATTACCGTTTTAGTTTACATAGAAGATCATTCTTGAGTTCTTTGAGCTATTTTCTGTTTTAGAAATAAAACTTTCTAAAAATTATAGTCACATTTACCTCACAGCAGGCAGCAGCCCTTGAATTCAATGAGAATTAAGTATCCCAGAGCAAAATTTGGCCCTAAAAGTGATCTAAGGGCGTGTAAAAAAATAAAAATGAATTTCCTATGCTAGGCCATATGCTCTACTTTGCAGCATTTGTTTTCTGGTAGCATAGAGCCACCATGGTTTCCTAGAAAGTTTAGAACTCCCTGGTCTTTCAGAGAGAGAAAGATGTATGAACCTGTCCTTCAGGGATGAACTCTTAATACATCTGATTTTTATGAATCTCTTCTCTGGCAATAATATACTTTTATTTAAAAGAAACTTCATTCATCACGATGGTCAGTTGGGCTGATAGCTTCAGAATGTAGAGTTTTTATTAAGTTCCCTGACAAACAGAAAGAAAATCATCAACTGTATAGTTAAAGCTTCATTGATTGATTGGGGGGAATGGATGCAATTAGAATGAATGAATGTAAAGCATTTGTTCATAATGTAATACCAGCTGCCAGGAAAATATTTACTCATGCAGCTGAAGTTCTGCTAGGATCATTTTAGAGATTAGCTGATATACTGAGTTTTAGTGAACTATTCTAAAGAGCTAAAAAAACAAAAAATGGAGTTTTTGATAAAGTAACACATTTTACATTTACTGTCAGACAGTGCTGAGGTTCATTTACATCATGCGCAGTCACCCAAATGTGAAGAAATACTTTGTGGTTTTCTTTGAAAGCTAATATAAAAATATAAACTATTATTAATATGAATATTAACATTTTTATAGCTCTCCTGTTCTTCACTCACTTGGTAATCAAGATATACAGAAAGTCCTTGATAGTATAGTGGAGTGAAAAATCAAAATAAAGATACACCAGACAGGGTCCAAGCTAGGATTAATTTAATTAGTTTATTAGAAAATTGTCCTCTGGATCACCAGTTCTAAATAAGTACATGGAACACTCCAATTTGCTAACTGTTCTCAAATATCTTCAACATTTCCAAGCCACCCTTCCCATTACTTCTATTTATCTTTTTAAGTTAAATTTCTACTCTTGTTGCAAAGTACGGATCAAAAATTTATCTGCAATGCCTTCCATACTTTCCCCATTTACTTATATTCTGGGTCCCCAAAGCATTGTAGCTCTTTTATTTTTCTGACCACATACTGTTTTATGTTTTGTTTGCTTTTGTGCCAAAAAAGTTTGAACATGATTTTATGGAGCACTCAATGTAGTTTTCCTATAGTAATAGAAACAAGGTTTGAATTAGGCAGAAGCCATCTGCCAATATTGCTGTATTTCCTTAGTAGTCTCTTTTGCTTTAAACTAAAAAAAAAAAAAAATCTAGAAACTCATTATTATTTTTGACACATATGAATTCATTACATAGACACTATCATTCTGGTGGAGGTGGGGTTGCCCTAGTTCTCCCCGTTAAGGCTTAGGTTGCTAATGTCCTCTCACTGTTGCTAGTCTCTGGAGCCTCTCAACACCATTATCAATGCCCTCTGTATATAGTGTCCTCATTAAATCTCTTGAATAATCTTTTCGGATTCTGTCTTTTGCACCAGTCTTTTCTGTGTATTTATTCCTAGTATAAGAAGGCCTAGTCTAGAGGTTTAGAAGTCCCAGACTTGAGCAATTTATTTTAAATTTAGAAATCTGAAAGATCATTTTAGCCCATTTAGTTTCCAACATTCATTTTCTTTAACTTTCTTAAGTTATTTGACTTTGTTTCAAATGGATTTGTTCCTATACTCTCTTCCTTCCTTCCTTCCTATGAATTTCTAGGTGAGTCTTAAAGAAGTCATCTTCCTGAGTAACACACCAGCAAGTATGGGTTTGATTTGACAAAGACAGGCTGTGGGATGGAGGGACTGGTACAGGTGTGCCCTTTTGTTCTCTCCCTCACTTTGCCTTGAGCGGACTGTTGCCTGCCTTACCACCCCGTTGATAGAGAAGGAAAACTGCAGGATCCACTCATCATTATCCCCTGAGAGAAACGAAATCTCCTAGAGGGGAAATGTACACAGTCCATTGGCTTTTCATGTTTTCAGGATGTTCACTGGGTCTAATGCAGACCCTAATTCCAGGACGCTGGGCATGGAGCTCTTCAGGAAAGCATAGATTCTCCCATAGTTGCCACGTGGCATTCCAGCTGCAGAGGTGCTCTGGGAACCACTTCCCATCTGCTTCTTGGCCCCCAGATCACACAAATATTACATAGGTAGCTGCTGCATAGGTTTCTTTTGTGGTAAGACAGTTTAACTTTCTCACAGTGTACCCCAGAATGTTTATACGGTTTAAGTATATGCTTTACAAATGTTTCAGCTCCAAAATTCCAACCTGTGAATTTAGCGACACGGAACATCTTACAAGAGAGTTAGGTAAATGTGTTTTTCTCAACCAGCAGTTAGTCTTCATGCAAAGAAGTTTAATAATTGAAAATTGTCCAATCTTAGTGATTTTTACATTTCTATGCCCACTTATTCGAATGAGGATAATTGCCTGAATTAGAGAATTACACATTGAATGCATAATTGCTGATGTTTGAAATGCTATAAACCAAGCAAGTTATATAACATTGCAGAATTTCTAGTTTCCAAGTAGAGATTTTTGGTCCTACATTAAAATTGCCTTTGGAGATTTAATTTAGTGATGTTGCAGGAATGGTATTATTAGCTACTGTGGTTTCCACAAATTCACTACACTTTCAGCCTATATGAATTATGAGGGCAGTAATTATGAACAAAACATTTACAGTCATCAAGGCTATGCATTTAAAACAGGGAGCTGGTGTGTTTAAATTGCTGATTTAACAATGCAATTGTACATTTCTATTAACATTGTCCCATGTAGGTATAAGTAAATTACCCTTAAATTGAAAATATAATTATGAAGATCAAAAGCAAGTCAAAAACTATAAATCATCCAAAACAGGTATTCCTGAGAACAGTTATATTACTCCTCAGATAAACATTCAAACAGTAATTTTCCACATTTCATGCATCCTAATTTGGCTGAAATTTCTGCCTTCATTCTTCATAAAGGTACTTTCTGTTTCCCAGTTTAGCTTTCAATGTATGCTATTTACCCTTCTAACAAAATAATTAATACTCTCCCCAGTGTTTACATGATCATGAAATGATCTGATAAACACAAAACTACATGAAACCAGAAAAAAGCTAACTAATCTAAATGTTCCTAATACGTACTTATTTATTTTATAAAAGAAAGAAAGTCACAGGGCATGATAAAATAGCCACTGCCATTTAAAAATAGTATTAAAATTAAATCTTAAGCCACAGAGCCAAGGATACAAACTTGAGAAAAAAATTAAATGGTATAGAATAATTATCCACAAAAATATCCAATCAGTGGAGACTTTTAGCTTCTTATATTTTAGGCCTCCGGTTAGCAGAGAACTCTCAAGGGAGAACTATTTGGATGGTTGATCAGCCTGAACAAGGTTGCAAGCCAAAATTCCGAGGAAATAGATAGTTTCATTTTTACATTTTCATACTCAATTATTTTCTAATCTACATATAATTTGTGTTAACCTTATCATTCCTATATTCCTTCAAACTATTCTGATGCAATACATGTTAGAAAAGACTAACAAAAAAAGCAGGCTTTATAGTGGTTTCGTGTTTTACACTGGTGATGGTACCTGGTGAGCTCAGGTGCATTTTATGGGAAACTGTTGTTCTCCCTTATGGCTTCAAAAAGTAAAAGCTGAAACTCTGATATCACTAACACCTTTAGTAATTTATTGTCACTTTGTTTATGAATACAGTATATATTGTATATATATATGTCTCTTGTGTGTGTATTTGTTTGTCTGTGTGCATATATATATGTATATATAATACACTTCCTACACTACCCTCCAAAAGCACTGAGTTGTATATGCTTAGGAATTTTCTACTAAAGATATATATATTTTGCTCCAAAATTATATTAATAAATGAAATTCTTCAGAGCACATAAGCAGGATACCCAGCCAAGGCTGTAGTATCTGGAAAAGGCTTCCTGAAAGATGTGAGCTCTGTACTGGGGGCTGAAGGGAAACATGGAGCTCACCAGTAATGAGCTACCAGTAGAAAGTGTGAGTAGAAATGTATTAAGCAAAGAGAAAAGCCCATGAACTCCAAATCAAGCCCAAATATGGCAAAGTGGAGAACTGCCAGAAATATATTGTATGATCTACATTATGATGATGTAAATTTCAAAATGTATTTTGATCTTTCAAATCTAATACTGTCTTCAAAGGAGAATACCTTATCTTGTTTATAATTTTGTTTGTATTTATTTTACCAGGGCATTATTATTTCTTTATTTGAAGTTTAATGCAGAGATCTATATATCAATATGAGGTTGAGGTTTGGTACACACTCATGCTTCACACCCTATGTGAGAGGCAGTACAATATAATGGTTAAGAACAAGGACCCTTACTGGGTGCGGTGGCTCACACCTGTAATCCCAGCACTTTGAGAGGCCAAGGCGGGTGGATCACTTGAGCCCAGGAGTTTGAGACCAGCCTGGGCAACATGGCAAAATACCCTGTATACAAAAAATACAAAAATGTGCCAGATGTGGTGGTGTGAGCCTGTAGACCCACCTACTCGGGAAGCTGAGGTGGGAGGATGGCTTGAGCCCTGGTGGCAAAATTTGCATGCATAGAGATCACACTACTACACTCCAGCCTGGGCAGTAGAGCCAGACCTTGTCTCAAAGGTCTAATTTCCAGCTCCACCACCTATTTGCTATGCAACTTTAGGTAAGGTTAGGACTGTAAGTAACTCGTTGGGTCACTCTTAAAATTAATCATGTGAATGCATGTTCAACACTTAGAACAATAGCTATACAGAGGGTGTACTCCTTGATGTACTCATTTTCCCACAATGATGCTATCTATCTATCTATCTATCTATCTATCTATCTATCTATCTATCTAATCTATCTATCTATGTATCCTGATCATTTAAGAAGTTACCCTATGGTGTCACATCGTATCAGTTCCTAAAATCCCTTCATGATTGTGCCAAGAGCCCAGACCCTACTTTCTGATATGTTCATAAATAGAATTTTGCTCATTTGTCAATAAACGTATCACCACAATTTGGTGAGCATGGAACTATACTGCCATTTTCCCAGTCATTCCCAGAACACAGAGGAATTTTGCACAATTTCTTCACATCAATATGATACATTACTAACCATAAAAGCTTAGTGTTATCTCCAAGCTTGGAGTTAGCCTTCCTTATGGCATGACTTTGGGACTAAGCCTTATTAAACTAAGCTACTTCCTTGGATACATATTAGAAATCTCACGAAACTACTCTTTCAGGTTTATTCAACTATGTGAAACTGATCACATTTCTAGCTACATTAGAATGTAGGGTTTATTCTGGCTTAGGCCTCAATTACACCACTAAGTATGTACGTAGCCTCCTTCAGGAGACTGTTAACCCTTTAACCCTCTCATCAAAGCCAATGCTCACTTTACTTTAGTCGTGCTCTCAAACACACTAAACATTCTGCTTTAAGGCCTTTGCACTTGCTGTCCCTAAATGCTCAAATGGTCCTTCTTGTTATTTGGATTTTGATACTATCTTCCAAGACCACCCTAGTCATTGTTTGTCTCATATCACCCTGTTTAATTTACCCCACTGTATATCTAAAACAATCATGTTCCATAATTTGATTTATCACTTATTGCCTATGGAATGTAATAAATTAATGAATAAGTGAATGCAGCCCTATAAAAACAATTTGGTCTTCTTGATATCTGCTGTATTCTTGGAACTAAAAAAGTGACTGGTGTATTTCAGTGATTATTAAATCCTTATCAATAAATGCTTTCTTTCTACAGGATAACAAATGCCTTATTAACAGCTATAAAAATGTAAAAAAAAATGTGCAACAGCCCCAGTATGGGTATTCTAGCAATCCATCTGAAGTCTTACAGCTAAAAACAGTGGGCCCACAGTCAATGTGAAACTGAACAGGCAAACATTGTACTGAATGGGGAAAAGCTGAAATAATTCCACTTGAAAACCAGTATAAGACAAAGATGTCCTCTCTCACCACTTCTGTTCAACATAGTATTGGAAGTCCTGGACAGAGCAATCAAGCAAGAGAAAGAAATAAACGTTTAGCTGATAAAGGACTTCAGTGAAGTCTCGGGATACAAAATCAACAAAAGGAAATCACTAGGATTCCCATTCACCAACAAGAGTCAAGCCGAGAGTCAAATCGGAAATGCAATCCCATTCAAAATTGTCACAAGAAGAATAAAATACCTAGGAATACAACTAACCAGGAAGGTGGAGGATCTTTACAATGAAAATTACAAAATACTGCTCAGAGTAATCGGAGATGACACAAACAAATGGAAAAACATTCATTGCTCATGGATAGTAGGAATCAGTATTGTTAAAATGGCCATACTGCCCAAAGCAATGTATAGAGTCAATGCTAGTCCTATCAAACTACCAATGACATTCTCCATAGAACTAGAAAAAATTATTTTAAAATTTATATAGAATCCAAATGACCCAAAATAGCCAAGACAATTCTTTTCTTTTTTTCTTTTTTCTTTTTTCTTTTTTTTTTTGAGATGGAGTCTTACTCTGGTGCCAGGCTGGAGTGCAATGGTGCGATCTCGGCTCATTGCAACCACTGCCTCCTGGGTTCAAGCAATTCTCCTGCCTCAGCCTTTCAAGTAGCTGGGACGACAGGCACACACCACCACACCCAGCTAATTTTTGTATTTTTAGTAGAGATGGGGTTTCACCATGTTGGCCAGGATGGTCTTGATCTCTTGACCTTGTGATCCACCCGCTATGGCCTCCCAAAGTGCTTGGATTACAGGCATGAGCCACCATGCCCAGCTGAAAGCCAAGGCAATTCTAAGCAAAAATAACAAGGCTGGAAGCATCATGCTACCTGACTTTAAACTATACTACAGGGCTACACTAACCAAAACAGCATGGTACTGGTACAAAAACAGATACATACACCAATGGAACAAAATAGAGAGCAAGGAAATAAGGCCGCACACCTACAACCATCTGATCTTTGACAAAGTTGACAAAACAAGCAATGGGGGAATGGATTCCTTATTCAATAAATGGGTCTGGGGATAAATGACTAGACATATGCAGAAGATTGAAACCAGACCCATGCCTTCAGTATATACAAAAATTAACTCAAGATGGATTAAAGACCTAAATGTAAAACCCGAAACTATAAAAACCTTAGTAGACAACCTAGGCAACACCATTCTGGACATAGGAAAGGGCAAAAATTTTATGTTGAAGACAATGAAAGCAATTACAACAAAAGCAAAAATTGACAAATGGGATCTAATTAAACTAAAGAGCTTCTGTACAGACAAAGAAAGTATCATCAGCATGAACAGACAACCAGACAACCTAGAGAATGGAAGAAAATTTTTGCAAACTATGCATCTGACAAAGGTCTAATATTCAGAACTTATAAGTAGCTTAAACAAATTTTCAAGAAAAAAACAATTCCATTAAAAGGAGGGCAAAGGACATGAACAGACACTTATCAAAAGAAGACATATATGTGACCAAAAAGCATATGAAAAAAAGCTCAACATCATTAATCATTACAGAAATGCAAATCAAAACCACAATGAGATACCATCTCACACCAGTCAGGCTATTATTAAGAAGTAAAAAAAAATAACAGATGCTGGCAAGGTTGCAGAGAAAAAGGAACACATATACACTGTTGGTGGGAGTATAAATTAGTTCACCCATTGTGGAAAACAGTGTGGCGATTTCTCAGAGACCTAAAAACAGAACTAACATTTGACTCTGCAATCCCTTTACAAGAATATACCCAAAGGAATACAAATCATTCTATCATAAAGGCACATGCATGTCTATGTTCACTGTGGCACTCTTCACAACAGCAAAGACAGGGAATCAACGTAAATGCTCATCAGTGGTAGACTGCGTAAAGAAAATGTGGTACATATAAACCATGGAATATTATGCATCTATAAAAAAACAAGATAATGTCCTTTGCAGAAACTTGAATGGAGTTGGAAACCATTATCCTTAGCAAACTAGTGCAGGAACAGAAAACCCAATACCATACGTTCTCACTTATAAGTGGGAGCTAAATGATAAGATCACTTGGACACATAGAAGGGAACAACACACACTGGGGCCTACTGGAAGTTTAAGGGAGGGAGGAGGAAGAGGATCAGGGAAAATAACTAATGGGTACTAGGTTTAACACCTGTGTGACAAAATAATCTGTACAACAAACCACCATGACAGGAGTTTACCTATATAACAAATCTGCACAGCTACTCCTCAACTTATAAAAGACAAAATAGAATAAAATAAAACCACAGTGGACCTAATAATCCCACATAGGTTCTAAGAAGAAATCACAGAACACTGCTAATTATCTCTTCTAAGGAATCGAGGGTGGTGAAGAGAATTTCTGGTGTTTAAACCCATCACCATTTTCCAGTGTTTATGAAAATGTTAGAAATTCAAAAAAAATTGAAATTGTTTGTTATTGGCCTGAGTATTTTACTTCATTACATCTTATATAACTTTGAGAATCAAAATGCTGATTTTATCTGAAGAAAAGGTAGGAGGATTTTAAGAGAAGAATTCATAAAATTTAGGATACTTATAATTATGAGGAAATGAAAGTTGATTTCCTAGCTGAAAACTGTTGAGTTGTATTACAACTCCAGTTAAGGCTTACTCCAGTCCCACAGAGACAGAGAGTAGTGAGAGCTTGACAAAGGTCTCTTTGAGTTTTGATGACTTCCAAAGGCATTGATAATATTGACTATTAGCTTAGAGAATTCCGAATGTAAAGAGCTAACTGGAATAGTTCAGAATGGCAGGGCAAAGAGAGAGAGAGAGGGCATTAATAAGACTAGTTAGGTTCAGCAGGTTCCCACCATATGGCATTAGGAGAATATGTGAACTTTTTGTATCTTAATGAGTGCCTAAGGAATTGCCTGTGTTCAATATGTCTTACTACGCCCTGGACAAATTAATGACCTACTTTGGCATAGACACCAGCCCTCTGGAATGTAACTAAAGAACACAAATTGAAGAAGTGTAATATAAAAAAAGCTGATAAGAATTGCTGTGTCAGGGGGCCGGGCGCGGTGGCTCACGCCTGTAATCCCAGCACTTTGGGAGGCCGAGGCAGGCAGATCATGAGGTCAGGAGATGAGACCATCCTGGCTAACACGGTGAAACCCCGTCTCTACTAAAAATACAAAAAAAATTAGCTGGGCATGGTGGTGGGTGCCTGTAGTCCCAGCTACTCGGGAGGCTGAGGCAGGACAATGGCGTGAACCCGGCAGGTGGAGTTTGCAGTGAGATCGCGCCACTGCACTCCAGCTTGGGCGACAGAGCGAGACTCCATCTCAAAAAAAAAAAAAAAAAAAAAAAAAAAAAAAATTGCTGTGTCAGGAAAATGTGCAATGTGATGGTTTCTCTGGAACTTCAAAATAATGACTATATGTGTCTGAGCACAGACACGGCATTTTAATGTCCATGGCACAGAGTACACCCAGATTGGTCCAGAACATAAGCTTTCATCACTTATTATTTATTGACATCCCTACCATGCGGTAAATCAGAGTAGGAAAGTTCTTCTTTAATTAGTATTTCAGTGGACTAGTGTTGCTATTTTCTGCATTTGACAGATTTAAAAAATGCTCATTTCAGCATCTTGGTGGCAATTATTGTATCTCTTCTAGTTGGTTGGTTATGATTCTATCTGTATAAGCTTTGTGCAGACACCTCCACATTCTTTCGGCTAACACGCAGCCCTCTTAGGTAGGATCTAAGATAGTTTTACAAAAGTATTCTCTTGCAGGAAGCTTGTATGTGGTCTGAAGAAACACTGTCATCCTCTGCTCAAGAAGTGCGTGCCAACCCGTGGCAGCACCCTTATCTGCTTGGATAGAGAAACTCACCAAACTTAGTCTTCCGATCCGTCAGTTTTCCAAGCTCCTGGAGACTTATGCCATCTTCTCAGATGATCCCATTACAACTTTTCTCTAGGCCTGAAGTAGAGAGAGGTCATGCTGACAGGATTAGGTCTTTCAGCAACCTGAGAGGCTGGTCCAAAAATTCTATTCTTTAAGCCTAGTACAATCCCACTTAAAACATTCTAGAGTTTTGCTTTTTTTAGAAAAGTGAGAAAAGCAGATAAATTGTTTTAGACTGTTATTTTGTAAGTTTTTCAAAGGTGGTTTTAATCGGGAGTGTAGGAGTGTTTGGTAGCTATTATTTGGGAGCCTCAGGTCAGGTCAATTTCTATAAATTATTTTCAGCACTGACACACATATATACATTCTCAAAGTATTCACAGGAAACAATTATTTTCTTGGATGGTAGGCTTATGGTTGGTGGGAGCAATTGGGGAAGCATGCTTTTAACTTTTATCCTTATTTTATATAATGTTTAATGTTTTAGCCCTGTGTGTATATGTACAAGTACTTTGTGTGCTTTTACATGTTGTATATGTGTATATACATATGCATGAGGATATATGTGTATTTATGTGTATATATGTGTATACATACAATGAACACAGAAATGCACAGATGATTACTTTAAGAAAAGCTTTCTTACTGAGTAAAATTTATGCAGTTGTTACTTTCTGATAGGCAAAATGTATTCCAGCCTGAGGAAAATCCAATCAATATTAATAGTAACTTCTTGAAGTGTTCATGTGACATGCTTATCTCTACACTTCTGTTCTTGAGTGTAGTGTTTACCGATGTGTTTTAATATTCAACACAGAATTATACCTGGTTTTCCACCTTGACTTCTTCTGTTTCACCTTTTCTTCTTAGGTTAAAATCATACAGAATAGAAATTTGTCATTAGAGCTGAGTTATTGTAATGTTAACTACAGAGCAAAAATTTAAGTGAAAAGCTTATCAGTAATTCATCTCTCTTTACTTGGTGTATTTCTCAAATTTTCAACAATACAGATGCCAACAGCTGAGATTGAAAATGTTTTGCTCAAACTGAAATTCTATTGGAACAAAATAGCATAGAATGCTATGAAAATATGGTCAACAGAAGAGTGGTTCATGCAGTAGACAAAATAGTCAAAGAATTTCAAAGAAATATTATTTCCTGAAAGCATGACTAACAATTTAATTTGTATTGGCAGTAAAACTATCGAGTGATTTTGCTAAACCAGTATATTTCTCCAAATAAAGAAGACTAAAACTTTAAATAAATCAGATATCAGTATTCTAATTTTTGAAATAGTTTTTCAAAGTTGACTATTAATGCATATCTTTGTAAAAATACTTATACAAATTAGAAAAAAATTATCTACCAGTTTGAAGTTTATTTCAAAAATAAAAATAAATTCTTTCATATTAGTAGTAGCAATAGCAATGAGAATTAGGAATATTTAAGTATGATTTAGTCCAGATCTGTCTGCTTTTTTAAGGTACTAATCAAGTCAACATTAATAATTCCTTTTTTCCAGTAATTTTGTATATATTGAAACAGAAAATAATCAATATTAATTATTTGAGGAAAATAAAAA
This sequence comes from Homo sapiens, assembly GCF_000001405.40. Taxonomy (NCBI): domain Eukaryota; kingdom Metazoa; phylum Chordata; class Mammalia; order Primates; family Hominidae; genus Homo; species Homo sapiens. The sequence continues at coordinate 167,788,578 of NC_000004.12, read as the reverse complement.
CTGGAACCTGAATATCGTGGTAACTTTAATAACTTTCTCCAGATTCAGCTTCTCACTTTTACTGGATGGAATGTAGGTTATATGTGACAAGTAAAAATCTCACCGGTGCCAGATGAAAATATAATACCATATGCGTTTCACATTCTTTCCTTAAATCAGTGTGAAGTGACTGGTCATTACTATGGAAAAAACACAGCTAACTCTATTGTCTCATGGTAGACATGTGAGAAAGTTTTCTTGTTCCAAATGATCAGCCCCACATTTTGTCACTGTCTGGAATTGCCAATATCATCAGCAACTCTTTGGCAGAGTGTTTTACTCAGATTTCTTAATACCTGAAATGGACAAGTCACAATGCAACTTGAGATAGTCCCAGTACTGCCATTGCCTATTGCATTGCCTTAGGGGAGTCACTACACTTCCCTGCTTCTCTATTGCTTAAATGTGTAAATTTAAGCAATAATTTTTATTGCTTAAATAAATAATAGAGAAATTTAAATTTAAATTGCTTAAATAATTTGCTTAATTATTTATTAAATAATTAAATAAATAATTTATTTATTAATTAAATAATTAATAAATAATTTATTTGTTAATTAAATAATTAATAAATAATTTATTTGTTAAATAATTAATAAATAATTTATTTGTTAAATAATTAAATAAATAATTTATTTGTTAAATAATTAAATAAATAATTTATTTGTTAAATAATTAAATGATTTATTTGTTAAATAATTAAATGATTTATTTGTTAAATAATTAAATGATTTATTTGTTAAATAATTAAATGATTTATTTATTTGTTAAATAATTAAATAATTTATTTATTTGTTAAATAATTAAATAATTTATTTGTTAAATAATTAAATAATTTATTTGTTAAATAATTAAATAATTTATTTGTTAAATAATTAAATAATTTATTTGTTAAATAATTAAATAATTTATTTGTTAAATAATTAAATAATTTATTTGTTAAATAAATAATTAAATAAATAATTTATTTATTTGTTAAATAAATAAATAAATTGCTTACATAAATAAATTTAAATTTAAAATGCTTAAATAAATAATAGAGAAATTTAAATAAATTTCTCTATTGCTTAAATGACAAAACTAGACTGAATTTAAGTGCCCTGTAGCTCTAAAATTTGGAAGGCATAGCAAAGATAAAATGTATTAATAGTAAGAAGTAGAAAAGGTTTGAAATATGGAGGATTGCTTGGAAAAGTGACCTCTCGTTGCTGAAATATTGAGCCATGAGAGGGCACTGAACACCTGGGAGAAGATGGAGGAATGGAAAAACATGATGCCTACTTTCCAGACCTTGTCATTTTGCTGAATGCCAGATCTAGCTGTAAAAGTATTCTATTTTTGATTACATTGTTATTTAACAAAGGTAAAGCAAACACATCTCATTTAACTTCTCTAGAACAGAAACCATGGGTATATCCGTATACACTAATTGAAGTGAATAAACATAGGTAAGTTATAAACTATTAAAAAAAACCACACTTTTTCCTGTTTAGAAAAACAAATGTATGTAATATAAATCTAATTAAAGAAATGCCACTTTAGCTCTACTGTTAAAACTCTGTGAGTTGTTAAAGACTTAGAAAATAATTTAGGAAAAGTGTAATTAACGCCTTAGGAGAAGCCTGATTAAAGAAATCTATATTTATCAGTAACTTAGGAGAGAAATTCAAGTCACCATGGTGAAGCGTAAAAATTACGCTACATCTATTTCTGAGGTTAATATTCGTATTTATATTTTCTTCCTCCATCAGTTCTCCCTACTATCTAAATGCAGTGGTTTGTAATTCAGTAATTGTGTATAGCAGTAGGGTATACCCATGTGCTTGAGAAAAAGAGTTTGTAAGTCATTGGATAGCTTTCTATGCTTTGAAACACACACACTTATTTACCTCACACCAGTCTTAGCCTATATCATGTTCATTTTGATAGCCACACACTTTTTAACTCAAATAACTCACTTATTTCTCTTTTATTATCAAAGAGTAAATAGTTTCAAAAAAAAAACTTAGGAAAGTTCAAAACAGTAGGAGAAACAACTGGGATAGAAATAGATCTTAGGTGTTCCCAATAGTGTGCTGGTCACCACAGCTCAGGTGTCCAATAAACCACACTCTTTAGGTACCACTCCTTGGCCTGAAAATCTTGAAAGGAGGGACAAAAATTATATTTAAAATTTATGTTGGGAAATCCAAACTAAAAGGCATTAATTTAAAAACAATGTTCCTAGAACATTAGATTCAAAGTTAATTATGAAACATGCAAATAAATAAAAGCAGTCTGGGAGTCACAATGGTTTGGAATCAGTAGCCCTACAAATTTTGCTCATTTACTCATTAGAGTGGATTTGTGAAAATTGATTACTCCTATTGGACTCTATTTTCATCTATCAAATAAATGGAGTGAACTATAATATAACTAAGATCTTTAACAGCTTTATATTTCTATATTCCTCTATCAAATGCTTGCTAGATCTCAAATGGCTCTGACAAACCTGCAGTAACATGTGGGGACATTCCTAAATGAAAGTAAACATGGCATCATTAATTAAGGGTAAAAGTGCAATGCTTTTCACAGTGGGCTTTTAGGTTTGATTAATAGTAAACATGCTTAAAAAGCAAAGTTCGATTAAGCCACTCTGTGGGGTTTTTTTAATCCTCATTCTTCATTCAAATGGAAAGAAGTATTCATCCATTTTTCCTCTCTTCTTTATGTTGACTGCAGTAATGAGGACCCAGGGAATTTTTAGTCTCTCCTAAAAGGTTTCTTCCTATTTCAGGCAGTCTATGGTATTCATAATAAATATACTGTTGCTATTTTTGTCATGAATCCTTTCTAGAGAGCTCCTGCTGTTACATTATTCAATTGAAGGAGCCTGCCTTCACTTGTGGTCAGCAGTATCACTAGTAGTTGCTGTAGATTTCATATTTGCCATCATCATTTGGCTTATTTACTCAATCCATTGCAAAAGCCATAAAGGAGATGTATTTTTCTCTTTTTTCTTTCTTGTCTCAATCTTCTATCTTACTCTAACACCCTACTGCTGATCATGCACCGGCAGTGAGCTTAAGGATCTTATGTGTTTCCTTTCTTAACTGTTTTCTTTCCTACTTATCAGGTTTCAATTTATTATTAGCTTTCCCTATTCTGCATAGACTGTTTCTTTTTGGCCAACATAGAATGTAGTTTGCTTTACGTTACTGAGGCCTGCCTGAAAAAATCAGTGGAAAGCATTACATTTCTTTGTTTAATTTTTATTATAAAATGGATGTGGAGGGGTAGGCTGGGGAAATGATGAGACAGGGAATGAAGAAGGGGTGCTAGTCCTGCAATAAGGAGCAAATCTTCATGGTTTTAAAGAGAACTGAAAGAGCTTACCTCTTTTATCTCATATACACATAGAAGTAGTTGCTGTTAGAAAAAAAACAGGCCATCCCAATCACAGCTTGAAACGCTATTTCTAGGCCCTCACAAACCTTTGGAGTAGCCTGGCAGCCCAAAAGCCAAGTACTGACAGTTATGAGCAGCAGGTGAAGTGACCTCCTGCTATTCCATCTGCCTCTGGTGACAAGAGATCTGTGTCTACCCATATGCACTGAGGAATGCCAACAGCTGAAAAACATTAATCAATACATTAGCAAAAGTACTTTGCCCGTCAGAATTCTGTTGATTCTGTATTAGGCTTAAACTGTTTTCAATTTACAATCTGTTCCTTGTTACTATATTTCCATTTCCTTTTCAGTGGATTTTCACAAATAAGTATCAAATAATTAGAGTTATAATTAAAATATATTTATAAGATATTGAGAATACATTTAGAATATTAAAATGACTTTTCTTTAATAGGAAAAAGCATTCTTATTCAGAGGAAAACCTTTTTAGAGCAACAATATTAATCTTGAGATAATCTGTAATCTTGTTTTTACTATTATGGAATCAATTGCCAATAATGCTAAGCACACTTAATTGTTAAATATTATATGAGTATATATAATTATATATGTATATTATTAAAAATAATACATATATAATTATTATATGTAATATAGCATTATGTATTTAAATAAAGAGAAAAGATGAATTGGCAAAGAAGGTGAAAATGTAATTCCGTTAATATAATTAAAAGGCCAGATACAAAGAAAATACATAAAATTTTGAGGACAACATGAACAAGTTGATCACAAGGAGAAAATGAAAGTCATTGCTGTTTTTTTCCAGTAAATTTAATTTAGAGTTACATGACAGGTAATTCCTCTACCCTTAGCACTAAAGTGATTCAAAGTAGAGAGAACATTTGATATTTCTTTCTTGGTCTTTGCAATTACTAGATTTTCCTCTGAGCTTGAAGAAGTTCACAGACATAGACATTCTGGAGACGATTTGCAATATTTTGGCACAGCAAGGTAAAGAGCTAAATACGAGACTAGAGAAAAATGAACATACTTGAAAAGTAACTGGGGAAATAAATGCATTAAAGGAAATCTGCCATCTGATAGTATATGGTCAACTTGTAAAATTGTGGAGAGTATTTAAGAAGTAGTTGGGAAGTTTCCAATTGAAATGCATTTTCAGGGAAATCTGAACTGACAATATCTCAAAAATCTAGAGAGCACTTTACTCTTGAATAGTCACTTAGTACCACAAAATAATTATATCTTTGACACTGGACTGCTCTCAATGTGCTGTGAAAGTTCAGCAGCGTCATATATATCCAGTCATCATAGAATTTAATTAAGACATTGCTGCTGACTAACTGCTTTCTATAACGACCCAGAGAAAGATGGGCATTTAGGCTGAAATTCCCCATCATCATCATTTGGGCTTATTTGAGGTAAAATTGGCAAGAATGATCAAACAGATACTCTTCTGGGTGCCTCAGCAATCAGTGGTAGAGCCAGTCTGAATCCTAAATCTATAATAATATGTCCTTTCTGCTTTTTTAAGATTGTCTTCTAGAGGGAAGAACTCAGGTCTTGCTTTACAAATTACTGAATGTAATCATGGAATTTTCAAGCTGTTTGAAAGGAGATTTGTGTCTTCAATGGAGTAGTGGTATAAACAACTTGGAGTATGCCTTTCGGTACATACTGTAGGGTGATCTAAATCAATGAAAAAATATACGTATTCTATCTTCCCTAAGGAAAGGAGAAATTAGTAAAATGAGGATGTTATTTTTTTCCTAAATAGAACAGCATATTTAATGAAGTTCTAACTGTAATCCCAATAGGAATTCCATGGAACTTGATGAAGTTATTCTGAAATGTATTAAGAAGAACAAAGGAAAGGAAAAGATTATACTCTCTTGAATAAGACAAGTGACTTGAAAGGAAGAAAGGAAGCGTCATGAAACTGTTAAAACTTTATGCCCTAGCAATTCCTCTCTAGAGTTTACTAACTAAAGAGAATTGTACAGAGGAGAACATGGAGACGTTAAAAAATGTCTGTACTGCTATTGTTGATAATAATGAAATACACACCCATATGTTCTCTCTCAGGTGAATGGTTAATAATAACTGATATACACATGATATGAAAGAATCACTGTAATGAAAAGTAATGGCTTATAACTGTATGCATTAATATGAATACATCCTTAAAATATAATATTGACTTTAAAAAAGCAACTTGTAGAATAGTACATTAGAACAACTGTTAAATAAAGCAGAAACTACTATCCATAAATTTCAGGGATGTATATATGTATATACATTTTGCTTGTGCAAAAATCACAAACATTCCTATACACCAGTAATAGACAGAGAGCCAAATCAGGAGTGAACTCCCATTCACAATTGCTACCAAGAGAATAAAATACCTAGGAATCCAACTTACAAGGGATGTGAAGGACCTCTTCAAGCAGAACTACAAACCACTGCTCAAGGAAATAAGAGAGGACACAAACAAATGGAAAAACGTTCCATGCTCAAGGATGGGAATAATCAATATTGTGAAAATGGCCATGCTGCCTAAAGTAATTTATACAGTCAGTGCTATCCCTATCAAGCTACCTTTGATTTTCTTCACAGAATTAGAAAAAACTACTTTAAATTTCATATGGAACCAAAAAAGAGCTGTATAGCCAAGACAATCCTAAGCAAAAAGAACAAAGCTGGAGGCATCATGCTACCTAACTTCAAACTATACTACAAGGCTATAGTAACCAAAACAGCATGTTACTGGTACCAAAACATATATATAGACCAATGGAACAGAACAGAGGCCTCGGAAATAATGCCAAACATCTACAACCATCTGATCTTTGACAAAAGTGACAACAACAGGCAATAGGGAAAGGAAACCCTATTTAATAAATGATGCTGGGAAAACTGGCTAGCCATATGCAGAAAACTGAAACTGGACCACTTCCTTACACCTTATACAAAAATTAAGTCAAGATGGATTAAAGACTTAAATGTAAGACCTAAAACCATAAAAACTCTAGAAGAAAACCTAGGCAGTACCATTCAGCACAAAGGCATGGGCAAAGACTTAATGACTAAAACACCAAAAGCAATGGCAACAAAAGTCAAAATAGACAAATGGGATCTAATTAAACAAAAGAGCTTCTGCCCAGCAAAAGAAACTATCATCAGAGTGAACAGGCAAGTTACAGAATGGGAGAAAATGTTTGCAATCTATCCATCTGACAAAGGGCTAATATCCAGAATCTACAAGGAACTTAAACAAATTTACAAGAAAAAAACCAACAATACATCAAAAAGTGGTTGAAGGATATGAACAGACACTACTCAAAAGAACACATTTATGCAACCAACAAACATAGGAAAGAAAGCTCATCATCACTGGTCATTAGAGAAATGCAAATCAAAACCACAAGGAGATACCATCTCATGCCATTTTGAGTGGTGATCATTAAAATGTCAGGAAACAACAGATGCTTGAGAGGATGTGGAGAAATAGGAATGCTTTTACAGTGTTGGTGGGAGTGTAAATTAGTTCAACCATTGTGGAAGACAGTGTGGGGATTCCTCAAGGATCTAGAATCAGAAATGCCATTTGATCCAGCAATCCCATTACTGGGTATACACCCAAAGGATTATAAATCATTTTACTATAAAGACATATGCACATGTATGTTTATTGCAGCACTGTTCACAATAGCAAAGACTTGGAACCAACCCAAATGCCCATCAATGATAGACTGGATAAAGAAAATGTGGCACATATACACCATGGAATACTATGCAGCCATAAAAATGGATGATTTCATGTCCTTTGCAGAGACATGGACAAAGCTGGAAACCATCATTCTCAACAACCTAACACAGGAACAGAAAACCAAACACCACGTGTTCTCACTTATAAGTGGGAGTTGAACAATGAGAACACAGGGACACAGGGAGGGGAACATCACATACAGGACCTGTCGGGGGTTCAGGCCTAGGGGAGGGATAGCATTAGGAGAAATACCTAATGTAGATGATGGGTTGATGGGTGCAGCAAACCACCATGGCAAATGAATACCTATGTAACAAACCTGCATGTTCTGCACATGTATCCCAGGACTTAAAGTATAATTTTTTTTTTTTTAAAAAAAGCAATTTGTAGAATACTACATTAGAATAACTGTTAAAGCAGAAACTACTGTTCACACATTTCTGGAATGTATACATGCATATGCATATTTCAGCAATTAAAACATGTATGTTAAAATATACATAAAAGCATGGGAATGATAATATTCAGGATATTCATATTCAGGATAGTTGTTATACCTCAGTAAGTGAAGAATATGTGACCAAATACAGATAATGAGAGACCTTTAATGGCACTGGTAATTTTCCATTACTTATTTTGGTTGGTCGATTTATAAATATTTATTTTTATACTTTACAGAAGTATATACAATTTATATATAATTATAATATATATGTATGTATGTATGTATACACACATATATAGCCAAATTTTTCCTATGCAATAAATTTGTAGCTGCAAATGTAAGAGTTTACCTACAAAGAAATAAGAACTGGATGAATAACAGGATTTGTTCCAATTGGCCAATGTCATGAAGCAATGGTAAAATATTTCAAACCAACTGACAATCTACAATTGTATAACAAGTTAAATAAGTATTCATGAATAAGATAAAAGTTTTGATACATGACAATAATTTTAGTTTGTGAGATAACTGTGTGTTTCTGTGTTTCTGTGTGTAAAGACATATAATTAAGAGTATTTAAGAAACGATGAAGATTTGAATTAACTCATTTATAATAAAAAACAAGATATGTGGTGAACTAAAAAAACTACAGTAAAAAAAAAAAACGAAATAGAACAGGACAAAGAAATAACAAATATACAAAAATCCATGAGATGAATAACCAAAGCAATAGAGATATTTTACAAAATAACAGCTGGTGAATTTCTAAAGGCTAAGACGATAGATAAACCATCATTAAAACGAGGAGAGAAACACAGAGAGAAAGTGAAAGTGAGACAGAGAGACAGAGAAGGCAACCAAAACAGAAGCCAGAATCTTTCTGTAGCATAATCTTGGAATTGACAGCCCATCAGTATTGTCATCGTCTATTAGTTAGATATGAGTTAACAAATCAGCCCACACTCAGAAGAGGCTCATATGAGGGCATGGACACCGGGAGGCAGGGACCTTAGCAGGGCATGTTACAGGCAGAGAATCACAATCAGAAATTATTTTATGAGTCTATTATTAGGTTGACTTCAAAATTATATTATTCACTATTATTCAGTACTAGCGAATAAATGTATAGGCCAATTTCAAATGTATGTGAAAATATTAATAATTTCAGGTTTTATGAAGGGGCTGAATCAATAGATCATTTCATCTTTTAGAAATGGTGGAGGAACAGGGATTAAAGAGAGGACAGGAGAAGAGATGTAGGTAGGGGAGGAGAAACGAGGGGAGGTAAGACCCTCCTGCAGAAAATGAGTTTATCAACCTAAATTTCAAAACACATAGACAGTCAGCAAAATTAACCACGTGACTCTGAAGCCCTGTCCCCAATAATCTCTCTCCCCAGATAAAGTACTTCGTAACCACAAGGAGGTGCAATCCTGATTGTGAAGCCTGGGGCATGTGAGATGGTCCTGCTGTAGATTAGCTCGAGGCTATCAGAATACTAAGACGGGCAAACAACAGATAAGATGAAAATGCCAACTCTTCTAAGGTGCCTTGGCTTTTCTATTTTAGATTTGCCTTTCCAGGTGATTTGAAGAGATCAATCAAACATCTGAGTCTTTGTTTTCTCATATCTAATATGAGATTTTGCTAGGTAGTTATAAATGTGATGAGTTTCTGGGTTGAAAATTGGGAGAGCAAAATTAATATTGAAGAACAAAATGTACATAATCATTCCAGCGTGCTACTATAATACATATAGTAGTATACATATAATAATATCTCTTTTGTTATTTTCCTGACACTAATTTCATCTTGGAAACTTTATTACCATTTGTTTTTATTATATTCCTTTTTCTTCTTTGTATATCCTGTTCAGTTTATTATATTGCCTATCTATAGTATCTTAAATAATGTAATATCTACTTATTGATTTGTTAATATAAGTGCTCACCTTTATCTCAAAAATGGAAAGAAAACACATCAAACATTGCATTAATATTAAACTTCATCAAAACAAAACTGTACTTTCCTCTGTCATTCCCTACAAGGTTCTTGAATGAATGGTCTATATTATCTTCACTTACTTTCTCTCTTATGCCTATGATGAATCCTTTGAATATGCTTAAATTGATTACCAACACCTCTTTTAAAAATCAAAACTCACTGGAATTATCTTTCTCCTGGTTGTACTTGCCTTTCTGTAAGATGCTACTGGTAACTTAACACCTCTTAAAATCTTTTCCTTGCTTCCAATAAGTGACTAACATCTATGTTACTCTAACCTTTAGTCTAATCTGGGAAGATCCTCTTCAAGGAGAACTACAAACCACTGCCCAATGAAATAAAAGATGACACAAACAAATGGAAGAACATTCCATGCTCACGGACAGGAAGAATCAATATCGTGAAAATGGCCATACTGCCCAAGGTAATTTATAGATTTAATGCCATCCCCATCAAGCTACCAATGACTTTCTTCACAGAATTGGAAAAAACTACTTTAAAGTTCATATGGAACCAAAAAAGAGCCCGCATTGCCAAGACAGTCCTAAGCCAAAAGAACAAAGATGGAGGCATCATGCTACCTGACTTCAAACTATACTACAAGGCTACAGTAACCAAAACAGCATGGTACTTGTACCAAAACATATATATACACATATATATATATATATATGTGTATATATATATATATATATATATATATATAGAGAGAGAGAGAGAGAGAGAGAGAGAGAGAGAGAGAGAGAGACAGACAGAGAGAGACCAATGGAACAGAACAGAGCCCTCAGAAATAATAATACATGTCTACAACCATCTGATCTTTGACAAACCTGAAGAAAATGAGAAACGGGAAAAGGATTCCCTATTTAATAAATGGTGCTGGGAAAACTGGCTAGCCATATGTAGAAAGCTGAAACTGGATCCCCTCCTTACACCTTATACAAAAATTAATTCAAGATGGATTAAATGTTAGACCTAAAACCATAAAAACCCTAGAAGAAAACTAGGCAATACCATTCAGGACATAGGCATGGGCAAGGACTTCATGATTAAAACACCAAAAGCAATGGCAACAAAAGCCAAAATTGACAAATGGGATCTAGTTAAGCTAAAGAGCTTCTGCACAGCAAAAGAAACTATCATCAGAGTGAATATTCAACCTACAGAATGGGAGAAAATTTTTGCAATCTACCCATTTGACAAAGGGCTAATATCCAGAATCTACAAAGAACTTAAACAAATTTATAAGAAAAAAATCAAACAACCCCATCCAAAAGTGGGTGAAGGATATGAACAGACACTTCTCAAAAGAAGACATTTATGCAGCCAACAGATGCATGAAAAAATGTTCATCAGCACTTGCCATCAGAGAAATGCAAATTAAAACCACAATGAGATAAAATCTCACACCAGTTAGAATGGTGATCATTAAAAAGTCAGGAAACAACAGGTGCTGGAGAGGATGTGGAGAAATAGGAGCGCTTTTACACTGTTGGTGGGACCGTAAACTAGTTCGACCATTGTGGAAGACAGTACGGGCCTGTCGTGGGGTAGGGGGAAGGGGGAAGGATAGCATTAGGAGATATACCTAATGTAAATGACGAGTTAAAGGGTGCAGCACAGCAACATGGCGCATGTATACATATGTAACAAACCTGCATGTTGTGCACATGTACCCTAGAATTTAAAGGATAATAATAAAAAAAAGGTGTAGAGTCACATAAGGAACAAAGAATAGAATGTGTGAAAAATACCTGATGAGTTAATACAACGACAATATTGAAACGATATTTTTCTTAATTTGACATGAGACATATTTGGAATAATTTTAAAAATTGAGGTCATATGACTACTTCTCTATAAATATTCGTTGCTAAGTCAAGGGCATATACAGAATCACTAAATAAAAATATTAAAGTATTTTATTTACATTCTCTTTTCCATGAATTATTTCTACAATATCAAGATAGGACTTCATCTTTCAAGGCAATTGTTATCTTATTCAAAACTATAAACAATAGTAGAATACTTCTCTTATATCATTCGTAGTGCAAATAAAATTTAATTTGAAGGCCTTTTTTCAATATTATGTTTTTGTCTTTGAGAAAGTCAATAATAATAATGACAATTTTAGTTATGTTTGCTGTTTTTACCCTCACTTAAATCACGTTAAAATTCATACATATATCAAAGTCACTAATTATACATAATATGTCTTGCTAAAAAACACGTGAGTATTAGTATTTGTGGCCCAGGAAGTGAAATTCAAGGAATGACATTAAAATCACCACATTATATTCAACACACTTCTGAAAGATGACATAATAAATTTGTCTATTTGGATAAATGCATTGCGATTGATTCATAATAATAAAAATTATTCAACTCATTTCCCTTAAAATAGAGAAATGAAATAAATTAGAATCACACAAATATAGAGAGAGCGTGCTGAAGTGTACCATAATAAAGATCCACGTATTAGATACTATGACCTTTTATTGATCAATTAGGATCAAGATTTTTCTATGTTGAAATTTCATTAGATATTTCTCAGGATTCTTGGTAGAAAATAGGAACATGATGGATGTTGTAATTTAAAAATGTCTTATACCATTATTTCTGATACACATTGACTTGCATCCAAAGTCACTAAAAGTAATTCAAAGCAGTGCTAACTTTACCTAGAATTGTAGGATTTTAAGTGATATACACCCCATGGAATTGTTTTTGCATAGCCTTTATACATCTGACTTTAGAGCAGCGAAACTAATGGGAAAACAGAAGGAAGATAATGCATTGGTGATATGAATATATAAAGAACTAGGAAAAAATATAATAAATATTATAAAATTTAATTATTTAAAATATGAAATATCTCTATAAGAATCTATCTATCTCATCTATCATTTATCCATCCATCCATCCATCCATCCATCCATACATACATACATACAAAAAGACCTATGTCCACATGACAGATATAAAAAAGTAGATAAAGAAGAAAATCTGGAATGATAAACAACTGACTATGGCTTATGGGATTTTGACATAAAACTTTCATAGATTTATCTTAAAAAATAATAAAGAAATATAATATGTAGCTATATTGGTGCAAAGAAACATGATGAACAATAAACTACAAATTAATATTGAAAGAGATTATTGCATAATGTTCTTACCCTCTCATAAATTGCAGAGTAAGTTGTGTTTTTACTAACATTCATTAGGTTATATATTTCCTCACCACGCAAATAAAACATGTAGACTTACTGTCTTGAAATTCATCAGGCGTGCCCTAAGATGCATATGGACAACATGTGTGTGATGGTGATGATGCACTCTTAAGTCATCTGTTTGATCTGTTTGGTTAAGGGGATCACAATTTTGATGTCTTAAATAAAACTTTGTTTAGCTGCCAGGTTTTCCTGTCTATGAATGATTTAATCATAGCGAGAACTTGACATGCAGATACAGTTTGTGTGTTCACTTGGAAGAAATTAGCCCTTCTATTGGTTTTCCTAAAAAAAAAGATGTAGAAATCATATGGCTCTGTTACTGCTGCTCATTATGACTTAACTTTTCTGAATAGAAAAAAGTGGCAATACACATACTTTCTAATACAAATTTGTTTTTTTCTCAAAGATTTACATATCAGGTATTTTGCTTTATCACTGCTACTCTACATGACATGATTTTTAATGTAGTATCTAAGCATTGCAAGATCAATGATACAATTAAATGTACCTTTTCTAATATTGTTTTACTTACCTCCAACCTTATATTTTTTTTCTTGGTTTATAATTACATTATACCCCCTTGTTTAATTGGAGGATTCTTTGTCTCTTTTTTGCTATTTCTACTTGTTTTAAAATTTCTGGCTTACACCTGTAATCCCAGCATTTTGGGAGGCCAGGCATGAAGATCTCTTGAGGCCAGGAGCTCAAGATCAGCCCTGGCAAATTAGGGAGACTCTGTGCCTACTAAATAAATAAATAAATAAACAGATTAGCTGGACTAGGTAGCATATGTCTGTAGTCAGCTACTTGGGAAGTTGACTCAAGAGGCTTACTTGAGCCCTGGAGTCTGAGGTCATAGTGAGCTATGATCATGACACTGGAATCTAGCCTGGGCAATAGAGAGAGACCCTATCTGAAAAAAATAAATACATAAAAATAAAATAAAATCCCTAGAGAATGCATTTTTACAATTTTAAAATCTATTTGCAGCACTTCAGTAAACAAATTTTCATGATGAGATTTTATTTTGGGAAAAATACTTTGTTGAATATATAGCACATCCTACATATTTTCATAACTAAGGAAGCTTTTCATTAATTATTACATTGTTAGATTCAATTTAGTAACAAAATAGAACATCGATAAGAACAAGATATTTCTGAATGAATCTTTTTTCAGTTAACAAAAGTTTTGAAAATAGTGTAATAAAGCATTTACTTTTATTTTTAATTGAATTATCATAAAAACATAAATTTTAGCATCTGTTTTTAAGTGTAAGTTCAGTAGTCCTAAGTATCTTTGCCTTGTTTTGCAATAGATCTCCAAAACCTTTTCACCTTGCAAAATTGAAACTTTACACCCATGAAACAACTTTCCTCTCTTTCCAGCCCAGCCTCTGGAAACCAGCATTCTATCCCCTACTTCTATGAATTTGACTTCCTTAGATTCCATATACAAGTGAGATGATGCAGGATTTGTCTTTTTGTGCTGGACTTATTTTACTTAGCCTAATGTCCTTCCAGGTTTATCTATGTTGTCACAAATGACAGGATTTCCTTCTTTTTCAAGTCTGAATATATTTCATTGTGTGTGCACCACATTTTCTTTGCCCCTTCAGCTGTTGATTGATACAAGTTGATCCCACATCTTGACTGTTGTGAATAATGCTGCAATAACCATGGGCCTGCAGATACCTCTTTGATGTACTAATTTCATTTTATTTGAATGTATGCCCACTAGTTGAATTGCTGGATGATATGGTAGTTCTGTTTTTAAAGTTGAGGAACCTTCATACTGTTTTTCACAATGGCTATGCTAACTTACCTTCTTACACAGCCATTATGAAAAATAGTATGAAGGTTCCCCAAATTTAAAACTGGAACTACCATAACTACCAAGATTTTCTTTTTTTTTCTACAGTCTTGTCAATACTTGTTATCTCTTATCTTTTTGGGTACAATAATCCTAACAGTTATGAGATGATGTCACATTGTGGGTTTGATTTACGTTTCCCTAATGATTACTGACGTTGAGCACCTGTTCTTATATCTGCTGGTAATTTGTATGTCTTGTTTTGAAAGAAACGAATAAATTCCTAGAAGCATAAAACTTACCAAGACAGAATTATGAAGAAATAGAAAATCCGAACTGACCAAAAATGAGTAAGGAAATTAAATCAATAATAAAAATCTCTCATCAAAGGAAAACCCCAGACGTGAGATGGCATTATAGCTGAATTCCACCAAACATTTTATGAAGCAATACAATACCTTATCAAACTCAGGAAATGGAAGAGAAGAGAATACTTATAAATTAATTTCACAAGGTCACCATTATCCTGATACCCAAGACAGACAAGGGTAGTACAAGAAAAATTTCAGGCTAACATCTCTGATAGACATAGATGCAAAAATCCTACTAATTTTCTTTAATCTATTTTATACACATAATAGTTACTTTGGAATCACTATTTTTAAAATTTAATTCTTCTAAAATTGAGTTTAACATGAATATTCTGAATAACTCAGAATACTTTTTATTCTAAAAATACTATGTGCTTATTTGATGAAGCAGCAGCAGCCTTTATTGGCTTTTATTAAACCACATTCAATTGACTTCCTGCTGGTATGCATTTGGCACAGATTAGTCAGTAAGTATCTTTCTATTTGGGGTAATAAAATCATTTCCAATGAACTAGAAGAGAGAACCTCATGCAATGTTACCTTCCCCGAAAAAGGCCTGGTGAATAAAAAGAGTACCATATGTTCTGATAACTGTTTCTTATAAAGGGCTAGAATTTCTATCCGATTCACCTATACTGAATACTAATCTAGTTCATTTCCCCTTTTTGTGGTAGAGGCTGTGTTCCATATGCCTAAGATATAGAACCACCTGAAAGGCTTGTTCAATGTTAAGGAGCTTCACAAGAGAATCAAATCAATGAAAACTTTAATTACATGGACCCATTTAAATTCCAATATTGGCTGCAATCAAATTTGAAAATATGACTTACAGCTGTGGGGGGTTGTGTGTGTGTGTGTGTGTGTGTGTGTGTGTGTGTGTGTGTGTGTGTGTGTTTTACTACTACAGAATCATCTGGATTTGTAGAAGGTTTTTTTGTTGTTGCTTTTTTTTTTTTTGGAAATTCTGATTAAGCACATATAATCATTCCTTTTGGACAATCGCAAATCCATCCAGCATATAGTGAGCCTATTTAAGTTTATAAAAGTGAGAGCCAAATACCAAACATGAAGTATCTTGACAAGTTTGAGTTCTTTGCCTAATCCTATTGATGTCAGCAACATCTTTATTGTGTCTGCCATGAGGATGATTACAGGCAAGCAAAACGACAATCTTTACCCAGGATGAATGCATTTTGACAGAGGAGAAATGAATTTAAGATTCCAAAAGGCTTGAAAATTAAAGATGATTGTAACAGAGTCAAAATATTTCCCCAGGACTTCCTGGAATCTTACACTGTCAACATTGAAGACATATTGTAAAATGAGAAGTTCTGATGTAAGAACAATGATGCAAACAATCAGAAGCTCCTTAAAATTTTTAAATAAACAAGCACGAGCATAGAAAGGAAGAATATGAGAAATTTTCTAGAGAATTAGAAGAATTCAGAAAACATGTAATAAAGATCCCGACCTAGAAGGCAGAGATAGCTAATATTTTCCAGAAAGGTTAAACTTTTTTTATCTAGAAGCTTCTGAAACAACTTTTGTGGTGGTTTCACAATTGAGCAAAGGCATAAAAAATCACAACACTTTTAAAATAAATTTATCTTGAAATTAAAGGATGAGAATTTGTATTGTTTTGCTACTATATAAAATATTGAACATAAAGAATAGTTGAATACATTATTAAAATAGGTAATTGGGGACAGAGTAAACACTATTGCATTTTTGGAATTCTAAACAATGAGAAATGTAATTAATGTCCTAGGAAACAAAAGTCTACTTTAAGTTGGCAGAACTTAATTAGTTACATAACTCATAATAGTAAGTGACATGATTTTGACATAGACCAATGAAAAAGAGAGACTTAACTGATTCTGTATCTGAGCACTTTATACTTTCAACTTTATTTTTCATTAATAATGCATTTATTACTGAAAAATAATAAAGAAGTTATTGTAAAAATTTCATTGAGATCAAAGAATTTTTGAGAAAAAGTAACCAGGTTAAAAAACTATGTAAATACAGCATTTGCAAAAGTTCTTATAGATCTTATAAGAGATCTTACAAGCTACTATATTTAAAGGGTTAAGCAAAACAAAATAAAACTATCAAGCAATTCAAAACAACATTAACAACATACATTAGATCCCACACCATTCTAATCCAGCCAGAATATAGACAAACTTGTCTTTAATTTTATCCTTCCTATAATGCCAAACTTATTTCAATAATTGACATTAAGTACCCTTTAAATTGAATATATGAAATCTGTATATTATAGTCTTGGCCAAAGAGAAAAATATTTTTACATTTGAATTTGTGCATTTTTAAGTGAAGTCCAATAGGACAATGAAACATACATCAGGGTTTGGAGCCTTATCTTTCACTTGGTCCCACTTCCTGCCATTTGTCTGCCCCTATGGAATAGGTTCCCAGCCATCTATTTCCCCAGCTTTGGTGCCCCAGTCCTACTTAATCTCCCTTTCTCCCTGCACCTCCCAAGCATCAGTTGTCTCTCTTTGCCCTTGCCGAGTACCTGGACAAAGGTGGAGAGTTAGACATATGCATCCCATAATTTCATAGGAAAGGGCATAGTGAAAACAACAACAACAACAAAACAAATCATGACAGGTCTTTCTTTCCCAAAAGAAAGAAACTTTATATATTAGCACTTTCATGGTACTTTTCTTTTTTAATATATATATTTGTATTATACTTTAAGTTCTAGGGTACATGTGCACAACGTGCAGGTTTGTTACATATGTATACATGTGCCATGTTGGTGCGCTGCACCCATTAACTCATCATTTACATTGGGTATATCTCCTAATGCTATCCCTCCCCCCTCCCCCCACCCCACAACAGGCCCCAGTGTGTGATACCTTCCTTTTGAATAAGGAGTTTTGCATTTTTATTTTTATTAGGCCCTAAAAATTCTGTAGACAGCCCTGATTGAGAGATATTTTGCACACAAATAAAACATATTTTTTCCCACATAGAATGTTCTCCAATGTAGACCAAATGTTTGTTGTGCCCTAAAATAATTCTCAGCTAATTTGTAACCTTGAAATCTTACAGATTAGGTTCTTGAACACAGTGTAATTAAATTATAAATCAATAAAAAGTTTATCTAGAAAAATTCCAAAGTATAGGGAAGTCAACTAGCACAATTTCAGTCAAAGAAGACATGTATGAAAAGAGAAATCAGATATTTTAAATGGAACACTAATTAATATGTAATATTTAAAAATTTGAGTATATGTCCATTGAAAATTTAATCAGTATGTAGGGCAAATTTACATATTTTGAATGTCTATATTACCAAATGAGAAACTTTAAAAATCAATGATCACTGTTTTCCTCTCTAGAAGGTAGAAAAGAAAGAGTAAATAAACCCAACATGAGTAAAAATAAAAGAAGACAAGAAAGAATAAAGGTAAGAGCAACCAACAATATCAATCTACAAAACTCAGCAGAGGTCTACTACCACGGGAAAAGTAATGAAAAACTTCCATCTAATCTAACCACAGATACACAGCAATGCTTGGCTGCAAAAGAAAGCAGGGGTAGAGAAAGTCCCACTTTTAGGCCCAGATGCCCACAGCGGGCCTAAGACTGAGGCTGGACCAGAACACTAGAGAATCTTCTCTCACCATGAGCCTAGTACTGAGTAACAATCAAACATTTACTACTTAGGCACTTTCCCTCCTTCTTTTTAAAAACAGGTCTCTGCAAATTATGTAGCCATCGTGGGCTGGGGCAAGGATGTGGAGAAATATCTATTCTGCAGCACAAGCATAGGTTAGCTGAAAACTGAAAGGGAACCAAGAATATCCTACAGCATCCAGATTGAAGGGTGCCCATCCTGAGCACAGGCAACAGTGACCAAATGCTAGAGAAATTTGAAGCTTGTGGTGGACTGATGGTAACCACAGCATGAACAAAATTCAAAGCCAGTTCAAATCCTAACTCCCTACAATATTGACCCAAAAGCAGAAGCATTGCTATTTTTAGTTATAATGCATTTTACCTTTACTGTAGATACCATATATGGCGTTTGATCCAAAACTTTTGGACACATCTAAAAACAACAGCAAAAACAACAACATGAAGAAAACGATGGTCTGTTGCTTAGAAATAAAGCAATCAACAGAATCAGGCACATGATGGCCCAGATTTGGAAATGATCAGATAAGGATTTTATAACAACTATGATTAATATGTGAAAGACTCTTATGGAGAAGATAGAAAATATGCATGAAATGAGAAATTTCAGCAGCAAGAATCAAGGGAAAATGCTGGAAATATAAAACACAATATCAGAGATAGAAAGTTTTTGAGTCTCATTAATAGACTCTATACAGCTGAAGGAAGAATCAATGAAATTGAACATGGGTCAATAAAATCATTCAAACTGAAATAAAAGAGCAAAAAAAAAAAAAAAAGAAAACAAGCAAACAAACATGCCAACAAAAACAAACAAAAACCAGAATTGAGCTTCTAAAAACTGTAGGGAAATACTGACAATGTCAACTAGTCCAAAATGCATATAATTGGAGTCCCAGAGGAGTTTAGAAAAACAGAGAAAGTGAAAACTCAAGGAAAAAAATTTGAAAAGGTAATGGTTGCAAAACAGTATGTGTATTAGTTCATTCTGAATTTCTATAAAGAAATACCTGAGGCTGGGTAATTTATACAGAAAAGAGGTTTATTTTACTTATGGTTCTGCAGGCTGTCAAAAAGCATGGCACCAGCACCTGCTTCTGGTGAGGCCTCAGAAAGCTTTTACTCATGGTAGAAGGCAAACGGGGAGCAGCTGTGTCACATGCTGAGACAGGGAGTAAGAGAGAGGAGGGAGGCGATGGCAGGCTTTTTAAAGAGTCAGCTCTCCTTGTAACAGAGCAAGAACTCACTCATTATTGTAAGGGTGGAACCAAGAAATTCATAAGGTATCTGCCCCCATGACTCAAACACCACCCACCCAGTCCCTCTTCCAACACTGGGGATCAATTTCAACATGAAATTTGGTGTGACAAATATCCAAACTATATCAGTATAAAAGAAATTAAATTACAGATCAAAAGATCTCAAAGAACACCTACCTGGATAAATAAGTAAATACACCTGTATACATCCTCATCAAACTGCTGGACACCAAAGGTAAACAATCTTTAAGGCAACCAGAGAAAAGAGACATAATCCACAAAAAGAAAAAATATATAAGAATTATAGCAGATATTTATTTTAAAAAATATGAAAGCTAGAGGACAATGCAGGGACATCTTCAAAGTACTAGGAAAAAATCACTTAATGTACTAAAAGAAGAACTATTATGATTATTAAGAGATGAAAAAAATTAGTTGAACAAAATTGAGTACTTATTGATAATAAATATCCTTGGAAAATTAGCAATAGAACTTTGACAAAGCCATTTATAATAAGCCTGTGGTTCATATAAAAATAATAATGAAACACAATATTTTCTTCCTAATACTGGGAACAACGCAAGATATTCCCTCACCATTTTTATTCAATATTTCACTCAATGTCTTGATCAGTGCAATAAGGCAGAGAAAATTTTTAAAACGCCTACAGATTAGAAAGTAGAAAATACTTCTGTTATTATTCACAGATGACATGATGTTTTTAAAGAAAATGTTTTCAAATCTAAAAAAACTGAATGAAAAAGAAAATTTTACCATTTGCAGGTTATGAGGTCAATAAAGAAAGAAACAAAAGACACATTTTCTAATAGAAAATTAACAAAGAAATTAAACAAGTGATCAGTGCACATGCAAAAAAATGCCCAGAATTATATTTACCATGGAAATAAAAATAAAAACAAAAATGAGTTTTCACTTTATAACCACTGCAATGACTAAAGTTAACATCACTGATGATGGAAATGATGAAGTGGAGTAGGTGAAATCCTCATCCTTGTCTGGTAGGATTATAATATGGTACAACTATACTGAAAGAGTTTGGCAGGGTTTTTATTTATTTATTTATTTATTTATTTATTTATTTATTTATTTTGAGCTGGAGCCTCACTCTGTTGCCCAGGCTGGAGTACAGTGCATGTTCTTGGCTCACTGCAACCTCTGGAATTTGGCAGTTTCTTAAAGCGTTCACCATATGATCCATCAATTCCACTCCTAGGAATTTAGCTACAAAAGATGAAAATATATATCCACAAACAGACATACAGTCGGAATATTCATAGAAGCTGTATTTATGCTACCCCAAAACTAGAAATAGCTCAAATAAACTGATTTTCTAATGAAATAGAGTACTATTCAGCAATACAAATACATATACTTCTGATACAGTCACAGGAATGAATCTTAAAACATGCTGAGCAAAACGAGTGAGACACAAAAGGTACAATATTATAATTCCTCCTACATGTAGTTCAAGAATTAGCCAAAAAATATTATACCAGTAGAAATCAGACCTGATTCTAGTGACAGAAATCAGATGGGCTGATAAGAAATGCTGTACTGACTTCCAATGGCCATAAGGGATCTTATATCTAAGAATTTGAGGTGATAGTTATCCATATAACATCTGTGATCACTCACAGAATTGTACTGTCAAATTAGATACAACTTGTATATAGATTATACCTCTATAAATTTGATTTAAAATATCAACATGAAAGTCATCTACTTTTAATTTATTAAATTTGTTTCAGTATGTTTTCCTTTTTTCTGATAACTGCACATGTTCACATACTTGTATACGTCAACACTTTGTTAAGAAAAAAGAGAGATCAAATTGGACTGGAATTTATTGTCTTGAGCATCAATCTTTTCCTCTTACTCTTGCTTAGCTATGATTTACTGGGGTAGATTTTTTAGTTGTTTAAATCAGGGGTCCTCAACACCTGGACCATGGATCAGTACTGATCCCTGGCCTGTTAGGAACTGGGCCACACAGCAGGAGGTGAGTGGCTGGTGAGCCAGGGAAGCTTCATCTGTATTTACAGTTGCTCCCCATCACTTGCATTACGGCTTGATTGCTTGTGCTCTGCCTCCTGTCAGATCAGTGGCAGCATTAGATTCTCACAGAAGTGCAAACCTTATTGTGAACTACGCATGTGAGGGATCTAGGTTGTGCTCTCCTTTTGAAAATCTAATGCCTGATGATCTGTCACTGTCTCCTATCACCCCCAGATGGGACTGCTTAGTTGCAGGAAAACGAATTCAGGGCTCCCAGTGATTCTACATTATGGTGAGTTGTATAATTATTTCATGATATATTACAATGTAATAATACAAATAAAATGCACAATAAATATATGTTCTTGAATCATCCCTAAACAATTCCCCCTCCCCACTGGTCTGTGGAAAATTTGTCTTCCACAAAACTGGTCCCTGATTCCAAAAAGGTTAGCGGCCACTGTTTAAATTATTTCATAGGAGTGCAAAAGGCTTACTGGAAAAAAGAATTCTTTCAACTTCAGAAATATTCTCCTACCATGTCTTATTTTCCCATCACCTAAAAACGTATAATGTTTTATTAATTTAAATTGCCAGCCTCTATCTAAGTTATCTAACTCATAATATTGGTGAGAGAAACCATCCTTAGAATATCCCTGCAAGCCAGTTCACACACTGAGCACTTCAGTAACAGCTATCACTTTTATTGAAAGGTCCACAGTGTAAATGGCATGAGACTAAAATCCACAATATGTGAGAACATATGGTAATGCTTACACAAATGAATTACACCCTATCCGAATGGTTCCCTTAGAGACTAGAATGGTGTGCTTGGTTTGCTCTTTGCAGTCAGTCTGCTTTAAGATGGAATGTAATTATAACTGAGAGTTGACAGTAGTAGCTTAATGATGGAAGAAAAATCTACAAAATCCAAATGGATAACCTTCCCGAATCCATTGCTCTTTCTAATTGGAAGCCTTATGTTTGTATAGCCAGCTACTCCAACAGATTTTCTGATAAAGGTAAAATCAAGAATAATAGTCTACAGAAATTCTGAATGGCATCAGGAGGTGTAGAGAGTTTTTTAAAAGATGACAAAATCAATACAAAATCAGCAAAAAAGAAAATAGCTAAGCAAGTTTACAGAGTAAGTGTGAAATAGAGCAAATGAAGCCAAACAAAATTACTATTCCATTCTGTAAACGAAATACAGCTGCAGATTGTTGGGATTCACCCATGGTCAGTCAATACTTGCCTTCACGCCAATGTTTCCTGCAGTCACTGCAATTCCCTGCTTCGGGGCTTCTCCTTGACTGCAGGAGCAGACTCAGTTCCAGGGAAGTAAGCTATAAATGCCTTAGAATTAACACCTATGGAAGAAGTTCTCAAACTGTGATGGACGAGGATGTGACATTTAAATATCTCACTCTTTTGCCCTTCATGGGAATAATTCTGAGGAATGTTGTCTATGCTGTCTCCTAGAATTCGTCAGTGAGATCAGGGTACTCCTCTGCTCACAGTTGATAACTTTCCTGATACTATACCCCTCTGGTTTCCTTTCTTTTGTCTCACTTTTCTACTCCCCTAGCAAGGTTTACTGAACTCTATTCCCAATTAACTAATCACACTGAATTTCTTGTGTCAGTGACTGCATTTGTGGGAAGACAAAGAGGGGAAGCCAAGGGACAATAATGGATAGGAAAGGATACTAAATGTGGTATATATGTTTTGTGTAATTGAAATAATTTTAAATTGCAAGTAAGATTTGCATAAAATCCGCTGAATAATTATAGGCCCCTGACTCCTAAATCAAAGAAAAACAATAAATGTTCCCTAAGAAATGCAATGAAAGGAGAGACATTTTAAGGCGAAATCTGTTCCATTTCAAAGTTTAGGGAAAGGTGGTATGACCTCCTTAATTTCACGCTATTATTTATTCTCCCACAACATACTTAGTGTCTTAGTAAATTCAGAGACAGTTTTCTAATCTGGCAATTTTTAAAGCCAGTCTTAGAGTCACTTTTCATTGAAAGTTCTGTAAATATGACATATGACTCAATTTCTCATTCATTTCCTCATGCGGCCTGATCATTGAGTTAGCTCTCTGGGTCTGTGTTCTCTCCTGCCTTCCACATGGCTTGAGGAGTAATCTGTGAACAACCGTCTCACCACCCTCCACCCAACCTCTTCCCTGTTCCTCCCAATTGCTCCTTACCAAAGGACAGTCAAGATTAAAGATTCCGCTGGACGACTCCATGCTAGGCATCAGGGTCAAATGGGCTTTTAACAGCATTTCCTAGGCTCCAGTTTTTTTTTTTTTGACATTGATTGAATGAGCATTGCAATGGTCTTTTTTTTTTTAACCTAAATAATAACATATAAAATTTTATCTGAGTTGAGGGCAAAAGAAGCCCCAGAAGTCTATAAAATAGACCATGCACTCCAATTTAGTTTACAAAATTTTGCAATGTAATTTGCGGCTAAAAGCACAGCTAGCAATTAGGTGTTTGTTTTGCTTTTAAATTTTGTTGTTGTTGTGTATGGGGCGTAGAAAAATAAGGGAGATGAGAAGTATGGGGACAACTATAGATTGTTTGCTTGTTTGCTTGCTTGAGAAAAAAAGAAAAAATTGAATCAAAAAATATTTTTCTCAAAATGAGGGCATATGGGCAAAAACCCAGAGTGGAAGCGATATTGTAGAGTCCTGGAAAGAAATAATCTGCATCCTATTTTTTTTTTTTAAGTCAAACCTCCATCGAAGTAACAATACGTCACATATTTTTCAGGGTCAAAAAGAGCAAGAGGAAGGATTGCAAAACCCTATTAAAAGAATGGGCATATAGTATAAGCTGAGTAACAGGTCTCTGACTCTCGCTAAAATTTCCATGACAAGTGGGAAACAGCAGAATAATTTCTGCCTCCCAGGGTAACAGAGAGGAGAGAAAATACCTCTGAATGGGAAGAAGACAGGCAGAAAGCAACATGAGACATTTCATTGGGGCCAAACATGATGAATATTTCAGTGGATATTTGATTCATTCACTCATGAAATATTAATTTTGCAACTATTGTGCATCAATGCTATTCTGTGCGTGAGGAATATAGAAATAGGTAAGGTATAGGACTTTAGATAATGGTGTTTTATTGAAAACAAAAAGTGAAGAAAGAATAGGAAAAGCTGGGTCTGGGATGGACAATAGCATGGTAAGTAGGGTGGACAGGGACTGTCTCAATGAGAAGGGTGTGAGAAAACATGTAAAGAAAGTATAGTGTTACCAAGAAATAACAGAACAATCCTCTGCAAAGTCTTTGAGGAAGGATGCATCCTGGGATGCTCCATTATCAGCAAGGCTGTCAGTGAAGCTAGCTGAGTGGAGGGGAAGTAGAAGGAGATGAGGTTAGAGAGATAATGAGGGTCATTGTAAGAATGCTGTGTAATACTCTTTGTTAGAACAGACATCATTAGAGAGATTTAAGCCAAGAAGTAACGAGTACTAATTTAAAATGTATAGAGATGGCTCTTGAGTTAAGAACAAAGTGTGGGGAAGGTAGGTGGATGCAGGGTGAAAAATTAGTAGGCTACTTCAATAATTCAGGTGTGAGGAGACACTGATTTGGAACAAATGTCAGCAGTAAGGAGTAATACAAAATCAGATTCTGTATACCTTTGGAAATAGAGTCTCCAGGATTTGCTGACATTTTGGATGTACCATGCAAAATAAATGAGGGAAATATGACGGCATTTTTTTGGCCTGAAGAACTGAAAGGGGTTTCAATTATTTGAGATGAGTAAGACTGGGTAAAATGGGTTGAGGGGTTGGATAAGCTCAGGGGTTTGGTATTGACATCACACTTTAGGTGAGCAATCCCACCGATGCCCATATGTTTCAGAATGAAGAAACATCTATTGCCCCTTCCAAACCATGGTGATTGACTCTCATACTATAACTCTAAATTAATATTAAAAGGCCTATGTTGGAAATAAATTGATTTGGAATAAAAATAGTTAAATTTATTGTAAAAGGAAAATAATGAAAAAGACCAGTGTCCATGAAGAATTTTTTTTTTTTTTAGATGAAGTTTTGCTCTTGTCACCCAGACTGGAGTGCAATGGCATAATCTTGGCTCACGGCAACTTCTGTTTCCCGGGTTCAAGCGATTCTCCTGCCTCAGCCTCCCACATAGCCGGGATTACAGGCATGTGCCACCATGCCTGGCTAATTTTTATATTTTTAGTAGAGATGGGGTTTCACCATGTTGACTAGGCTGGTCTCGAACTCCTAACCTCAGGTGATCCACCCGTTTTGGCCTCCCAAAGTGCTGGGATTACAGGCGTGAGCCACAGAGCCCAGCCCATGAAGAAAGAATATTTTTACTGGGAGTAGCTGAACAAACAAGTTGTTGCTAAGTTCTCTCATAGCTTTAATATCATAAATCGAATGGACAGGACATCTTTTAGTCCTCACTCTCCTTGTCAGATTGGAGATAGTTGACTGTTCTTTCTGAAATGTTCTCTTATCTCTGTGATTGTATGTTCTCCAAGTACTTGACTATTCCTTTTATATCACATATTCACCACCCTTTTATTTGGTTATTCAATACAGAAATTTCTCAAGTATTAGTCCAATTTATTTTCAAAATAAGACCTTTCAATATTCTTGTTCATCTCTAGAGCATCTATCAATATTATAGCTTGATTACTGTTGAAGTTAAATCTATATCCCTTATTTCTCATGTGAGATCAAATCAGGATTCGAGCCCAATGGAATGAGCACCCTAGGCAAATTATTTGCCCATCTCTGTATTTTTTCCTCCCCCATAAGTTCTTAGAGGACATTGCTCAGGCATAGGGTACATAAAGTGTTAAGGCTTTTGATTACTTTTGTTGTTAAATTTCCTCTAAAATATTGTATCAATTTATACTCTCAACAGGAATATATTATCTGAGGAGGCTTGTTTGTATCCTTTCCAACCCCGAATGCTATTACTTTTAATATTGAACAATTTGATCAATTAAATATATCTTGGTATTTATATCACTATTTTTAGCAACTTGCATTTTATTTTTATGAATTATTTGTCTTTCTGCTTTGATTTTTTTCCCATTGAACATGCATATTTTCTGACAAATTTTAAAAATCAGCTCATTGAAAATAGATGATCCAGTCTCTGTGTTGAAATGTATTATCCTTTGATTAATTTTTTCCTTTGACCTAGAAAATAAAAATATCTACACAGGTTGAACATCCCTACTCCAAAAATTTAAGTTTGAATATGCTCTAAAATATGACACTTTTTGAGTGCCAACCTGATACCATTAGTGAAAATTCCATACCTGAACTCATGTGTTGGGTTGCAGTCAAAATATAGTCCAAACTGTGTTTCATGCAGAAAATTATTTAAAATGTTATATAACATTACCACAAGGCTGTGTGTGTATGGTATATATTAAACATAAATAAATTTGTGTTTAAACTTGGATCTCGTTTCCAAATTATCTTGTTATGTATATTCAAATATACCAAAATCTGAAAAAAATTCTAAAACCCAAAACATTTCTGTTCTCATGCATTTTTAATAAGGGATACTCAACCTGTATCTAGATTTATCTTTTCAGTTCAGTTTTGGATATGACCAACAGATGTTTGGTCATATATATCAAGCTCAAAAAGAGAGAACTCTCCAGGGAAAATTGGATGGCAGAGAAAGTAATGGAATAAACAGAAATTATACTTGCTGATTAGAACCCATCTATGTGGACACGGTGATAAGTCACCTTTTTTGTTTACTTGAAATTCCTTTTTAAAAGTGCCAGAAATACATAAAAAACAAATTTTGCACAAGTGAATTAAAGTTGTTATATATTATATGTAATATCTACTTTTAGATGGTGATTATAGGTTTCCTATATTTACTATAAAATTATTTCTTCTATGGTTTTCATATATATTTCTATAAAATAATTTAATATGCTTTTTAATGACCTGGGTTATTTTGGTTCTGTACAACTTTTAGAGTTGTGCTTAACAGAATAAATCGTAACATTGTAGAACCTTTTAGAGCTTGACTTATTTTCTCATTATCCAAACTATGCAGGAAGCATCCTTTACATTAGTTCTTAACTATTTATACAAATAATAGCGCAATTCTGATTGTCTTTATAAAACTACTCTACTCTTAATTAAATCTCTTTCAGAAAAGAGATTGTTTAGGACTATAAACAATTTCTTCACATGGGAAAGAACAGAAAATTGTTATACACTGTATTTGTAAATGGGAAAATAGTGCTTGTGAGTAAATAGCTGTTCTATTACTAGTTTACATTTTCTATACAATGTGATGACTGCTTCAGTTTATAATTAACTCATAAAAGAGTGCATATGATAAATTCTCCAAAATACCATAAAATAATATGTACCATTTCATTTCTCAGAATGTCATTCTCATGCCTACTTTATTCTCATTTTATTAAAAGAAAGCTGAATAATCGGAGTTCAGATACTGCCCTCTATATTCTGAATTACGTAACTATGTGGATTTGCAGAAATGAGGTTTTTTTTTTTTTAACTTTTATGTTGTTTGGGGGTACACATGCAGTTTTCTTATATAGGTTAACTTGTGTCAAGGGGGTTTGTTGTACAGATTATTTTGTCACCCTGGTACTAAGCCTAGTACCCAGTAGAATTTTTTTTTTTCTGATCCTCTCCCCCTCCCAATCTCCACCTTCAAGGAGGTCTGGGTGTCTGTTTTTCTCTTCTTTGTGTTCATGAGTTCTTATTTTACTTCCACTTATAAGTAAGAAGATGTGGTATTTTGTTTTCTGTTCCCATGTTAGTTTGCTAGGGATAACGACCTTCAGCTCCACCCATGTTCCCACAAAAGACCTGATCTTGTTATATTTTTATGGCTGCATAGTATTCCATGGTGTATATGTGATGGGCATTCAGGTTGATTCCATGCGTTCACTATTGTGCAAAGAACATTCACATGCATTTGTCTTTGTAATAGAATGATTTATAGTCCTCTGGGTAAATGCCCAGTAATGGGATTGTTGGGTCAAATGGTAGTTCTGTTTTTAGCTCTTTGAGGAATTACCATACTGCTTTCCACAACATTTGAACTAATTTACATTCCCACTAATACTGTGTAAATGTTCCTTTTTCTCTGCAACCACACCAGTATCTGTTATTCTTTGACTTTAATAGTAGCCATTCTGACTGGTGTAAAATGGTTTCTTATTGTGGTTTTGATTTACATTTCTCTAATGATCAATGACATTGAGCTTTTTTCTTATGTTTTTTGGCCACACGTATGTCTTCTTTTGAAATGTCTGTTCATGATCTATGCCCTCTCTTTAAGGGGGTTGTTTGTTTGATTTTTCTTATAGATTTGTTTACATTCCATATAGATGCTGAATATAAGACCTTTGTCAGATGCATAGTTTGCAAAAATGTTCTCCCATTCTGTAGTTTGTCTGTTTACTCTGTTGATAATTTCTTTTGCTGTGCAGAAGCTCTTAAGTTTAATTAGATCCCATTTCTCAATTTTTGCTTTTTCTGTGATTGCTTTTGGTAACTTTGTCATAAAATCTTTGCCTATTTCTATGTCTAGGATGCGATTGCCTAGGTTATCTTTCAGGGTTTTTATAGTTTTGGGTTTTACATTTAAGTCTTTAATCCATCTTGAGTTGATTTTTGTATATGGTGTGAGGAAAGGACCTGGTTTCAGTCTTCTGCATAAGGCTAGCCAGTTGTTCCATCACCATTTATTGCATAGGGAATCCTATCCCATTATTTGTTTTTTCAGCTTTGTTAAAGATCAGATGGCTATAGGTATGCAGCATTATTTCTGGGCTCTTTATTCTGTTCCTTTGGTCTATGTGTCTATTTTTGTACCAGTGTCATGCTGTTTTGGTTACCGTAGCCCTGTAGTATAGTTTGATGTTGGTGGTGTGATGTCTCCAGCTTTGTTCTTCTTGCTTAGGATTGTCTTGGCTATTTTGGCTCTTTTTCATTGCATGTAAATTTTAAAATAGTTTTTCCTAGTTCTGTGAAGAATGTCATTGGTAGTTTGATGGAAATAGCACTGAATCTATAAATTGCTTTAGGCAGTATGTTCATTTTAATAATATTGATTCTTCCTATCCATGAATATAGAATGTGTTTCCATTTGCTTGGGTCATCTCTGATTTATTTCGGCAGTGTTTTGTAATTCTCGTTATAGAGATCTTCTGCTTCCCTGCTTAGCTGTATTCTTTGGTACTTTATTCTTTGTGTGGCAATTGTGAATGAAATTGCTTTCTTCATTTGGCTCTCAGCTTGACTGCTGTTGGTGTATAGGAATTCTAGTAACTTTTGTAGATTAATTTTTTATCCTGAAATTTTTCTGAAGTTGTTTGCCAGCTGAAGGAGCTTTTGGGCTGAGACTATGTTGTTTTCTCATGAGACGACATGAGATATAGGATCATGTCGTCTGCAAACAGGAATCATTTGACTTTCTTTCTTCCCTTTTAAATGCTTTATTTCTTTCTCTTGCCTAATTGCCGTGCTCAGGACTCCTGATACTTTGTTGAATAGGAGTGTTGAGAGAAGGAATCCTTATTTGTGCCAGTTTTTAGGGGGAATGCTTCTGGCATTTTCCCATTCAGTATGATGTTGGCTGTGGGTTTGTCATAGACGGCTCTTATTATTTTGAGCTATGTTCTTTCATAGTTTTTAACATAAAGTGATGTTAAATTTTATCAAAAGCCATGTCTCCATCTATTGGGGTAGGCATGTGGCTTTTTTCTTTAGCTCTTTTATGTGATGATTCACATTTATTAATTTGCGTATGTTGAACCAACTTTGCATCCCAGGAATGAAACCTACTTGATCGTGGACAATTCAGCTTTTTGAAGTGCTGCTGGATTTGGTTTACCAGTATTTTGTTAAGGATTTTTGCATCAATATTCATCAAAAATATTGGCCTGAAGATTTTGTTGTTGCTATTGTTGTGTCCGTGCCAGCTTTTGGTATCAGGATGATGTTGGCCCCACAGAATGAGTTGGGAACGGGTCCCTCCTTCTCAATTTTTTGGAATAATTTCACCAGGAATGTTTCTAGCTCTTCTAAAGTACATCTAGTAGAATTCAGCTTTCAATCTCTTTGGTCCTGGGCTTTTTTGGTTGGTTGGTTATTTATTTCTGATTTAGTTTCAGAGCTTGTTATTGGTGTGTTCAGAGACTCAGTTGCTTCCTAGTTCAGTCTTGTTAGAGTGTATGTGTCCAGGAATTCATACATCTCTACCAGGTTTTCTAGTTTGTTTGTGTAGAGTTGTTCACAGTAGTTTCTGATGGCTATTTTTATTTCTGTGGGGTCAGTGGTAACATTATTTTTGTCATTTCTAATTGTGTTTTTCTGGATCTTCTGTCTTTTCTTCATTAGTCTAGCTAGTGGTCTATCTTATTATTATTTTGAAAAACTAACTTTTGGATTTGTTGATCTTTTGAGTGGATTTTCAGGTCTCAGTTTCCTTCAGTTCATCTCTGATTTTGATTATTCCCTGTCTTCTGCTAGCTTTAGGTTTGATTTGCTCTTATTTCTCCAATTCTTTCAGTATGATGTTAGATTGTTAATTTGAGATCTTCCTAACTTTTCTAAGTGGGAATTTAGTGCTAAGAATTTCCCTCTAAAAACTGCCTCAGATGTATCCCAGAGATTCTGGTAAGGTATATTTTTATTCTCATTAGTATCAAATAACTTCCTGATGTCTGTCTTAATATCATTATTCACCCCAAAGGCATTTAGGAGTCTGTTGTTTAATATTTCTATGTAATTGCCTGGTTTTGAGTACTTTGTTTTTAGTCTTGATTTTTTTTATTGTGCTATTGTCCGAGCGTGTGTTTGGTATTAATATAATTTTGATTCTTTTGCATATGCTGAGGTTTATTTTATGTCCAATTATGTGGTCAATTTTAGAGTATTTGCCATGTGGCGATGAGTAGAATGTATATTATCTTATTTTTGGGTAGAGAGTTGTGTAGAGATTTTTATATCTGCAAGTGAATATTTTTACTGATTGCAGGCTTTCACAGTGGTAATATAGATATCAGATAATAAAATAATGGTACTCAACTACTAAGGTGAAAATTAGCTCTTAAATCATAATTCATCAATACTTTTTTATAGTATGGCATGGTTTTTGTTTTGGTGAGATATTTGTGTGCATAGCATACATTTTTGATGGTATATATTTCTTTAACTTTCTACATCCTATGCTTTGCATAATTTCTACAGACCAGTATCATTCACCCAATGTCTGTCATAGAGCCTAAATTATATTGGGTGCTCAATAATTTTGAATAGATTGGTATATAAATAAAGGTCCAATCTAGAAGCTAAAAGACTTATTGGCACACAATGTTTGTGGAGGGTGCAGATATTTAAATTATTGCGGTAGCAAATAACTAGAAAAGTAGAGAATCATTATGCAATTCAATATTTAGTTGATTCATTTCTAAGGGGCTTTTCAGGCTGATGATAAATTACCAAGGCCAAGGTTAATAGAAGTTACTCCTTTATTAGGCTCTAAGTTTCTCAAACCTGAAGACAATGTATTTTTTACCACTGTATTCTCAATACCTTACAAAATGAATACCTGGTAAATTTTAAGTTCTAAACAAATATTGTGGATCAGAGGAAGAAAATGAAGGAAGGTAGGAGGAAAGGATAGAAAGAACCCTATATTAGTAATCATTCCCCATTCTGTCCTCTCCCCAACTCCGAAGAACATAAATCTACTTTCAATCTCTATAAACTCGTTTCTTCTGGACATTTCATATAAATTAAGTTTTATAATATGTGGCCTTTTGTATCAGGCTTCTTTCATTTAGCATAATGCTTTCAAGTTTCATTCATTTTGTAACCTGTATCATTCTTTTTGCATGGATGAATAATTTATCAAATGGTTATGCAACATGTTTATCCATTTATCAGTTGTGGACATTTAGGTTATTTCCACTTTGGGGATATTATAAGGAATATTATAAATATTAATTTACAACATTTTAAATGTAAATGTGTTCAATTTTCTTCGTTATATACCTACAAATAGAATGGCCTATTATATGATAACTCTATGTTTAGCTTTTTGAGGAATTTTCCAAAGTGGCTGCATCATTTACATTCCTACTAGCAATGTATGAGAGTTTTAATTTCTCCACATCTCTATAACACTTGTTATTGCCTTTTAAAAAAAATTTATGAGCAACCTAGTGGATGTGAAATGATGTCTCATTGTGATTTTTAACTTGCATTTTCCTAATGACTAGTAATGTTGAGCATCTTTTCATGTGCCTATTGACAATTTGTACCCTTATTGGAGAAATTCTTATTTATACCCTATGACCAATTTTTAAATTGAGTTTGTCTTTTTATTGCTGAGTTGTAAGGGGTTTTTAAATATATGATGGATACTAATACCTTATTAGATATATGATTTGTTTTTTGTTTGTTTGTTTTTTATTATACTTTAAGTTTTAGGGTACATGCGCACAATGTTCCGGTTTGTTACATATGTATACATGTGCCATGTTGGTGTGCTGCACCAATTAACTCGTCATTTAACATTAGGTATATCTCCTAATGCCATCCCTCCCCCCTCCCCCCACCCCACAACAGGCCCCAGTGTGTGATGTTCCCCTTCCTGTGTCCAAGTGTTCTCATTGTTCAATTCCCACCTATGAGTGAGAACATGCGGTGTTTGGTTTTTTGTCCTTGCGATAGTTTGCTGAGAATGATGGTTTCCAGCTTCATCCATGTCCCTACAAAGGACATGAACTCATCTTTTTCATGCTGCATAGTATTCCATGGTGTATATGTGCCACATTTTCTTAATCCAGTCTATCATTGTTGGACATTTGGCTTGGTTCCAAGTCTTTGCTATTGTGAATAGTGCCACAATAAACATACCTGTGCATGTGTCTTTATAGCAGCATGATTTATAATCCTTTGGGTATATACCCAGTAATGGGATTGCTGGGTCAGATGGCATTTCTAGTTCTAGATCCCTGAGGAATCACCACACTGACTTCCACAATGGTTGAACTAGTTTACACTCCCACCAGCAGTGTAAAAGTGTTCCTATTTCTCCACATCCTCCCCAGCACCTGTTGTTTCCTGACTTTTTAATGATCT
Source organism: Homo sapiens (assembly GCF_000001405.40). Classification (NCBI taxonomy): domain Eukaryota; kingdom Metazoa; phylum Chordata; class Mammalia; order Primates; family Hominidae; genus Homo; species Homo sapiens. Next base: position 167,754,378 of record NC_000004.12, on the reverse strand, counting down.
CCATTCTAACTGGTGTGAGATGGTATCTCATTGTGGTTTTGAATTGCATTTCTCTGATGGCCAGTGATGATGAGCATTTTTCATGTGCTTCCGCACAGCAAAAGAAACTACCACCAGAGCAGATATATGATTTGTAAACATTTTCTCCTACTCTGTGGATTGTACTTTTATTTTATTGATGATTTCCTTTGAAGCACAGAAGATTTTAAATTTGATGAAGTCTAAATAATCTGTTTTTCTTTTTCCCCTTGTGCTTTTGGGGATATCTAAGGAACAACTGCTAAATCCAAGGTTATAAAAATACATTCCTATTTTTTTTCTAAGACGTGTATAGATTTAGCTATTACATTTTATTTTTTTGTGTTGGTAGGGGTCTGATTTCATTTTTTTGCGTGAGGATATCTAGTTTTCTAAGCACCATTTGTTAAAGTCTATCTTTTCTTATTGAATTGTCTTGATGCTCTTGTCAAAATTTTGTTATCATAAAAATGACCATGAATGTACGAGTTTGTTTTTGGACTCTAAATGCCATTGGTCTCTATCTCTGTCTTTTTGGCAGTGCCCAATACTTTTGATTACTGTAGTTTTGTGGTAAGTTTTGAAATCAGAAGTGTGAGTCTTTTAGCTTTTTCTTCCTTTTCATGATTGTTTTGGCTCTTCCTGGTTTTTTGCATTTTCATATGAATTTTAGGACTAGCTTTCTTTTCAGTTTCTACACAAGATGGTACTACAAATGTGATAGAGATTGCACAGAATCTATAGACCATTTCAGAGACTATTGTTGTCTTAGCAGTATTGAGTCTCCCAACCCAAGAAAATGGGATATCATTTCACTTACTTAGGTCATCTTTAATTAATTTTAATAATATTTTGCAGTTCTTAATGTATAAGTTCTACACCTTTTTTGATAACTTTATTCTTAAGTATTTTACCTCTTTGATTTTATTGTAAATATTCTATTTTTTTTTTTTTTTTGAGACAGAGTATCACTCTGTAGCTCAGGCTGGAGTACAATGCTGTGATCTCATCTCACTGTAACCTCCACCTCCTAGGTTCAAGCGATTCTCCTGCCTCAGCCTCCCAAGTATCTTGGACTACAGGTGTGCACCATCACGCCTGGCTAATTTTTGTATTTTTAGTAGAGACGGGATTTCACCATGTTGGCCTCTGGTCTTGAATTCCTTTTCAGATTGTTTATTTCTAGTGTATGGAAATGATAGTGACCTTTGCATAATGATTTTGTATCCTGTACTATGCTTAACTTGTTTATTATTTCCATTAGGGTTTTCTTTGGTGGATATTTAAAAAAAATTTTAATATAAATAATTCTATCACCCAAAAGTAGAGATAGGTTGCTTTTTCTTTTTCACTTTATATGTCTTTCATGGTTTTGCCTAGTTTCTCCATTTTGCAATGGTGAAAGAAATGTTAACAGTCAACATCTTTGTCTCAATCATGGTCTCAGGGAAAAAGTTTTCAGTCTTTCTTCTTTAAGTATGATTTTAGCTGTTTTTAAAATAGATAACATTTTTTAAGTTTAGAAAGTTCTTTTGTTTTTAGCTTGTTGAGAGTTTTCATCATATAAGGATGTTGGATTTTGTCAAATGCTTTTCCAGTATCTGTAGAGTTTATCATGTGATTGATGTCCTTTATTTTACTTGCTGTATTTGATTGATTTTCACTTGTTGAACCAAGTTTGTAACCTGGGAACAAATCCTACTTGGACATGGTATTTAATTATTTTTATATGCTCCTGGATTTGGATCACATGTCAAAAGTATTTATAATTCCTCTTTTGACCTTTTTATATGGCCCATTGATTATTTAGGATGGTGTTGTTTAATTTGCACATATTCATGAATTTACAAATCATCTTCTTTTTGTTGATTTTTATTTTAATTCATTATGGTAAAAGCAAATACTCTGTATTATTTTAATGCTTTAAAATATATTGGTAGTGTTTTTTTTGAGACTAAAGTGTTTCTTGTAGATAGAGTATAGTTGGATCCTGTTTTCTTTCCCTACATTCTGCAGTCTCTGCCTTTTGATGGGTGTTTATTCCATTGACATCCACTGTAATTACTGTTAAGATAGGATTTATTTTATTTATTAAGGTAGGATTTATTTTGGTTTATTTCTATGTTTTTCTTATTTTATTTTTCTTTTCTTCCATTATTTCTTTCATCTGCATTAAGTATTCTGTAGTGAGCCATTTTAATTCCCTTGTTATTTCTTTTACTACCTGTTTTTTGAGTTAATTTCTTAAAGCTCATTCTGGGGATTAAAATTTACAACTTAATTTATAACAACCTACTTCAGATTAATACCAAATTCATTCCAATATTACTAAAAAATTTTACTCCTATTTAGCTCTATTTTCTTTCCACTACTTAGTGCTATTATTGTCATACAAGTTGCATTTTTATATATTTATATATAATACATATAATTTATGTCTAATATATTTATATATACATATAAACACATAAACAATGTTTTGTAATTATTTCTTTATGCAGTTTTTATTTCAATGATGTAGGAAAAGAATTACAAAGAAAAATACATTTATACTCTATCTATGTAAGCATTTTTGTTGGTGTTTTTTATGTATTCATTTGGACTAAATTACTGTATAGAAAGTCCCTTTTGTTTTGTCTTATATAAGGTAAAATGTGTCAATGAATAATTCTAAAAAACTTTTCATAAGTAAGTCTGAGATCAAGATGGCTTCACTGGTGATATAATCAAATAATTAAGACAAAACTAATGTTAATTTCTGACAAAAAATTTCAATAGCTGGAGGAGGAGAAAAAAATCACCAGTTCAATTTATGAAGTCAGCATTATCCAGATAGTAAAACCAAAGAAACAAATACCAAGAAAACAGTATCACTCAGTAATGTAAAGGGAAGTGTCATTAAGAAAATTTTAATATATATGAAATACATAAGAAAGATAATACATGGTGATCAAGTAGGGTTTATCCAAAGAAGACAAGTTGAGCCTTTGAAAATCAATTGATGTGATTCAGCATATCCAAAGATAAAGAACAAAAATCCATATGATGATCTAAATAGGTAGAAAGCTTTGGACAAAATTTAATAGTACTTCATAATTAAAAACCACAAATAACATCAACAACAAAAATCTCTCAACAGACTAATAATACTTTGGAAACTTACTCAAACTGATAAAATGCATCTATGAAAACTTGTAGCTCACATCAAACTTAATAATAAGACTGAATGCTTTCTCCCTAACACTGGGATCAAGACAAAGATGTCTGTTTTCACCACTCCTATTCAACATTGTAATGATACTGCTAGCCCACCTCACTAATGTCTCCTCGGGGTAGGCAGAAGTGGAAAAATATTTGCTAGTTGCAATCGTCTTCATATATCATGATAAACAAAAGCATCTGTTGGAAGAGATGCAATTATATGGAAGCAGAACAGAGTGAACAAAAATTATTCTAGGTCTCCCCAAAGAAAGTGAAGCAAGTAAAACACACAGGAAAAAGCCATGTGATTTAGGATACATACTTAATGCAGTAGAACCAGTCCCTATTGCAAGGATTTGATAAAGACAGAGAAAAAAGAAAAAGAAAAAGAGGTTCTAAACTGCAGCTATCCATGACCACATCATAAGCAAATTATCTATTATGCTAGGAAGTGATTGATTCAAGAGAATATAGAACAGAGTAATCAAGGATGTTTTCCTAAAGTATTATGTGCTTTGTACATCAGTCAGCAGGCAGAAACTACACTGATAATGTGAAGGAGAATTTTTATTCAAGAAATTAGTAGCAGGGGATTACCTATTAAGATAAACAGAACTGTAAAAGTTATAGGTATAGCTGATATAAGAAGCATCCACCAACTCTAGGGCTTACAGAACAAATATAGAAGAAAGATCCCATCATGGAAAATATATTCAGAACTTGAAGAATGCGCGCTTGGAGCCCACTCATGGTGGAGAACTTTGTTGAGGTGCCATAAACCAGGGACAGTGGGAAGGAAACACACTGGGCAGCTTTTCACTGTAATACAAGAGACACTCACTAGGAATCTTGTGCCAGCAAGAGGGACTATGAAGCTCTCTGATGGGAGTGTCATCTGTATTGACTAGGATTCACCTGCTAAGATAATGGCAAAACCAGATGGGGGGTTTGTACCACTGGGTCTCTTGCATAGCACTGTCAGGGAAGCCACCCATTGATGAGACCCCACTTGCTGATGAGGTAACATTTTCATTGTGCCGTAAGAGACAGAAGGAAAACAAGCAAGCAAGCAAACTCTTTTAAACAGTAAGAAAATTGTCTTCTTCATACAGTGTTCATCCAGCACCTTTCATTGAAAATGCTTTCATTATGCAATCTGGCAAAGAAGGAATATCTGCAGGGCCCAGCTCAGTTATCACAAGACTAGGCAAATAAGGATGGATTTGGCAATACATTTATACCTGGCACACTTGGCTGGAGGTCAGCCTGCATCCTCCTTTTTTCTCCCCAAAGGGAGTAGAAAGGGCGTGCCATAGCCCTCAGTCAGCTCTGTCTAAAGATGTTGTCACTCTCCACTCTCTCTCCTCTCATGTATAATCTTTCATAAGGCTATTTATTAAACAGCAGCTTAATAGTATTGGAACTTGTTCAGAGTTAACTCTAGGATGTATAGGTAAATGGCATTCATTGTTTATTTCTTGGTTCAGGCTGTTGAAACCTGTAGAAAAGAGGGAAGTCATATTTCACATCCTTTACTACGCTTACTTAATTTCAAGGTTTTCTTATCTGATAATGTAAAACTATCTGAGAAGAAAACATAGGCATATGTGACAGAATCAAAGCAATACAACATCATCTGTACATTTTTATTTTTTCATGGGCTTCAAAGAAGATAACTTAAAGACAGCTGATGTAGGTATGACAGAACAAAAGGTGACAGGGAAACACCTGTGCTTTAAATCAAGTATAGGATAATTTATCTTTATATTCAAGTTAAGATTTTCCTGGATGAAAGCATGTAAGAGTAGACATTTTCTCAAATACTCTTAGATGACAAAACACAACAGTGAATCATTTCTAAAGTAATTTGAGATAGTACGTGCCACAGAGAAAGAGTTGTATTACTTTTGTACTTCAAACGACAGAAAGTGATGCCATGATGGTCTGATAAACATTAGGTGGACATGTTGGGCTATAGACAGTTTATGTGCAGCACCTCAGATCTCATTGTTCTCACCTGTCACTAGACCATTTTTTTTTTTGTTCAGGCCAGGTAGAGTCATATTGGAATCTGAGACAAAAGGAAAAATGTGCAGTCATATAGATACTTATCAAAATATTTTTCTTTATTTTCAACCAAATGGCAAAAGTTACTGAGAGCTCTACAATTAAAAAAAAAAAAGACTTTATGTCAAGCCTCAAATTACCTCATCTGTTTGTAGGCAATTTTCAACCCTCTTCAAATTACCCTGCAAAAATCCTGATGACTGCATTGGTCAGGAAATGTTGGATCATTGCAAACTACTGCTTTTTGGCTTTTTTTTTTTTTTTTGCATGACTCAAAGTAGTTAATCTAACAAATAACAGCTTGTCTTTAGTTTAAACTATATTATATTTACTGATTTTGCATTAATTTTATTTTTTAAGTATCATGTTAAATGCTATTTATCTCTATTATTGAGTTTTCAATGCACCCTTAAATTTTGCAAAAGAGACAAGTGACTCTTGCCTGACCCCAACCTCATGCCTACAACTTGTTCTGCTATAGTCATTCTCTACTGAAGCAGTCATCCCTGCAAGGGCCTTGATAGTTTTAGGTTAGCACACTGCATAGTCCTAGTTTCATTCTTATAAAAAGCACTTATTTTATCCAAATCTTTAAAAAAAAATTTTTTGCTCTTACCAAGGCATGAAACACTGCATACTCACCAGATAAGAAAAGCACATGTAATCCAGAAATACAGAGTAGCATTCTTTCTTCTTCCTCACCATCATCCACACCTCCACTCTGGCAGATGTATCTGATATGCAATACATCATATGGATTCTTACACGTACTTGTCTGGGATTAAACAACTCCCATCCCTTTGGTATTGCATTGGCTCTCTCCTTTTCTACCTCATAACTCTTTTCCCTCACTACTGAGATTGTGTTTCCTAATACAGATGTAACAGATAAGGCTTTGCTTCAGACTCTGTTTTCTGGAGAACACAAGCTAAGGAGTACACACCAGGCTTGCTGGGACCATGTCACCCTTTGGAAAAATTTTCAATTATTTGCATATATTGCAGGCAATATTATTTTAAGGAATGGAATTGCAGTAGTTTTTCCTGTCATAGAGACCTCCAAAATTCCAATGTTACTACTATGTGTAAAGGAATCCGTTTTCCCTGAAAATCACAAACTCAATCCATTATTAGTAATTTGCTTAAGAACAGATTCACATTTAGCTGATGTCGTAAATCTATGTTTCATGGCAATTAATTGTGTAATATATTTAAGATTATAGAAAAATTAAAGTACTAAATATATGAAGAGTTAATCTAATTCTGAATATAAGAAAGAACATTATAAGCTAGCAAACAAAGAGCAAATTTCATTTAACAATTTTCATTTGAATACGTTGCTAAAACCTTAAATGTAAAGAATATCAACAAATATCACAGCAGTGCATTTTACTATAATAGGTTATAAAATGCAAAAACTAAATCACAATAATCACCAAATAGTATTTATAACTTAGGTGAAAAAAAAGATAAATGGTCATCCAGGCTGGAATGCAATGGGGCAATCATGGCTCACTGCAGCATCAGCATCTCAGGCACAAGTGATCCTCCCACCTCAGCCTCCTGAGTAGCTGGAACTACAGGCCAGTGCCATAATGCCCAGAAACTTTTAAAAAATTTTTTATAAAGACCCTATTCTCCTATGTTTCCCAGGCTGGTCTCTAAATACTAGGCTTAAGTAATCCTCCTGCCTTGGCCTCCCAGAGCATTCGGATTACAGGTGTGAGCCACTGTGCCAGGCCACAAATCTTTAACTACTGAGTAGCATGAGAAGTGATGTGGCAGGCAATTTACATCAGCAAGTGATTGAGAAGAAAAAGAAATAAATTGAATATCAGCATACATTTTAACTCTTCTGGTTACAGTTGCTTGCTGAAATATTTGCCACCTCCCTATTTAACTGTCCCACAGTTTTTAATAATGCCTATAATGCTTTGATGGTCTCTCTCAAAGGAACGGTGTCAGTGATATTTCAGATTTAATTCCAACATTTTGAAATAATAAATGGGCTGATTAATTCAGGGACAAAGTATCAGAAGATTAAATATGAACTTCTATCTTCATGTATACAAATTTCATGTATATTTATTTCAAAAATGTAAATGGACAAATGTCATTTAAATGGTAAAAATCAGTTGAGAAATTAAGTTTTTATTCTTACAGATACAAGGCAGTATATATTAAATATATCTTTATGTTGAAAAATATTTACAAAATACCTTTGTACCCTAATCCTTTACTGTAGAAATAACATCAAAATACTGAAATAAGCTCTTCAATGTTTACCTTTTAAAACCCCCAACAAATGCTTTCAAAAGTCTGGCTAAATTCTTGAAAATTTTAGTATTACTGAATTACATATCAGAATACTATTTTATTTAAGTTTTTACAGAGCCATATATATATATATACACACACACATATAGATAAATATATCTGTATTTGAAGAGAAGTATATATATATGAAGTATATATATACTTCATTTACCAGCTTCCATATATATGAAATATACATATATGAAGAGAAGTATGAATCTCAATTCTCTAAGACCATATTTCAAGGAAGTAGAAAAGGAATGTCATATGCATCCCCTCAAAAACAGAAAAAGAAAATATTAACAAAAAAGCCATGATGAAATAAAAACCATATAATAAAATCAGTAAAGACAAAGCTAGAATGAGGAAAAATTAAACATTTTAAAACAAAAGAAATCTAGTAAATCTGTTCACAGAAAATAAAGATAGAAAATATGTATTACTATTATGCGTAGCAAAGCAAAAAATATCATGGCAGACCTAAGGCATTAAAATGACACGCAATTATAGCTAGATAGAAGGATTAAGCTCTAGTGTTTCATAGCACTGTAGAATGACTATATATTATATAGTTTCATGTAGCTAGAGGGAGGATATTGAATGTTCCTAACACCCCAAAAAATAAAAAATATTTGTGATATTGGGCATGTTGATTTCCCTGATCTGATAACTGTACATAATATGTATGATAACATTCCTATGTACCTCATAAATATGTTCAATTACTTGGTGTTAATTTAATTTTTAAATATAAAAATTTAAAAATAAAAATAAAATAATAAGTCTATTTTGAAAATATTTAAATCAGTAACATTGGAAGAAATAAATTTCTTAATAATTGCAACTTAAAATTGACTAAAAAGAAAATCTGAAAAGTCTAATTTCTATTAAAATATTTAATATTTTATAACATATTTTTCCACCAAAAAATCCCAGAATGTGATGAATTCACCTTTTCAAATAGAAATTATTGAAGTAATATGCAAATTAAACTATTTTTATACATGTAATAAATTAGTTCTCTTGGAAAGATTACACTCATGTTAAAATAGGCTTCTTTGAGAGGGGAGATATAAAATATTTGAGAAGAGTGTTGTGCATAAGCAGTATTTGATTATTATTAAGTAAATATATTAAATGGAGGAGTTCAATGAGGCTCTGAGGTTAGATGTGGAGTGATTTCGTGAGGGCTCCCTTCCTCTGCAATCCTGTACTCTGATTGGAAGGCCTCATTTGATGATCACTTCGCAGCTGCCCACATGTGATGATACAAAGACATTTAAAGTAGTTGGATGGAAACTGGAAGAAGGGTGGTGACCCTGCAACCAGTGGCCAGATTTTTGCAAAACCCCTTCCTTATATGGTTGCATGGCTCAATTAATCACATGTGATTTATGAACAAATGTGTGTAAGACATAAAAGCAAGAGATACATGATTGATTTTCAGTGACAAAATAGATTGGTTTTCTCACAGTTTGCTTTCACCATGTGCATTTTCTAGTGCTTTCTGCTACGATACTAAGTGGGGTTCACAGACTCTAGACCTTTCTGCAGCAACTGAGAGATTTAATGTCGCAAATCCTGTCAAGTTGATCTATTTCTGACACCATTTTCCCTTTCAAACCCTCTTTTGGCTTCTGGCCTTAGAGAGGTTTGAATGTCCTGACAGATAAACGAAGCAATTTCAGCATTTTTGAGTCTAAGCTTTTGATCGGTTCACCAAGGGAGATAAAATGTCTTTCTGGCAGCATATCACGTGGAAAGGCATGTTAGACAAAATCCTACAGAAAGGGACATAGGATTTAGAAAGAGGACACCAAAGACAAACTATCGTAAACCAACAGTCCTGTATACTGTAGTAATAATATAAATCCAAAGCTGATAATCTAAAGATTGGCTTGTATTGCCTTGCATTTGAATGGGTGTCCTGTATGCACTATCTAGATTGGTAGATCTAGAAAAAAACAGAAGGAAGAGTAGAGGATAAAATACGACAGTAAAACAAATATTTTACTGACAAATCACAGTAATCACTCATCCCTTTGTCTCTTCTTCTATCCTGTCCAGCGATGCAAAACCTCTGAAATGTTATTTTGAGTGTATCAGTTAATAGCTTTACCTTGAGTGTATAGCTTTGCCTTAAGAATGTTAATTACCTTTTTCTTCCTTATTGCATTAAAAATTAGGGATGTTAATTCTCATCATACTTCTAAATTTCTCATTAAAATTAGAATTTTGCAGAGAATTAACTAATTCCTATGGAGTTTACACAGAATGAATGAAACTATTTGTTTGCTTTTTCAAAATTATTAAATATTCTGTGATAGATACTATAACAAGCTCTGAAGAGAAACCAGTGACTATGACACTTCACTCACAAGAGAGCTTATAGTAAAGAGAGAATTTTGTTTAATTATCAGGTATGGATTGTAGGTGATTAGTTGTGGTGCTAGAAGAGTCTTTTATCCTTGCTGGCAAAGTTAGCAGAGAAGTAATGTGCAAGGATAAAAGAAGGTGAGCTTTATTGTCAGAAAAATCTATATTACATCCCAGACTCTGCCACTTATTTGCTGTAGAATTATGGGAACATTATTTCTCATCTATAAAAAATAATGATATTGTCCACTACGTAGAACTGTAATGGTAATTTTTAGGAAACTTAGATAAAATTTCTGACATGGAGTTAGCTTCAATAAAGAGAAGACATCACCAAAATAAGAATAGAAATAGGGGATTTCTATTCTTTGATTTATTTCAATATTTCTCTGCTGGATATCAAGTGCAACAAACTTTTTGTGCCTTCCATTTTTATACACGATGATCCTTGAGGAAACAGCAAATTGCTTATATTTAAATTTTTTATATTAAAATATGTTCCCATTATTATATATAAATATATACACATCCACATATACATATTTATATATATACACACATACTTAATTATTTGAGCTATTACTATTATAGAATCAGAAATATAAAATTTGAAGTTAGGAAGATAACTTGTCTGCCACTCCTGTTGTTTATGTGGTCTAAAGTCATCACATTTCTTAATGATAGAAAAAAAAAAAACACATTTCACCTGAGTATTCATTAGTGTCTAAATTTACAAGACCAATTGAATAGTTTTAGAAACATTTCCCTAGGATGAAAATGCCCTTAAATATTTTGAAATGTTCAAAAGGAGACATCATGAAGTTGCTGCTATTAAGAATTCTTCACTTTAAAATTGGTAATTTTCTTTTATGGCTTGTAATCCTTTAAAATAGTTTTATGCATTAGAATTTCAGAATTTCAGATTTATAATCACAGCATGTTGAAAAGTGTGTTTTGTTATAGAGATTATATTTTGGTGACATTATTCTGGATTAGAATACTGAAATACACATTTAAATTTTCCTTAATAATAATTATATTTCGTAGAGTAACAGGACAAAAATTTGATTCTCCGTACCTTTTGGTATGTTTGATGTAGAAGGAAGCTATGGTATTTCTCAAAATTTTAGACATACTTAAATCTTTTTGTTTTTTTCTTTCTGTCTGTCAATTGTGTTCCTAGGGGTAAAATGAATAAACAGGTTTAAGCGGCATTGCAAGAACTTAGGCAAACATAAGCATGGAAAGATGATTGTCAAGTAAGGCTGACACAAAGCAGAAACTGGAAAGAATATAAAATGGTATTCCATTCTTCATTCAATGCTTGCCACAACAGCACTGAGCTTCATATGGGTGATAGGCACATAACCTGGGGTATACATAACATATAAATTACCTGCACAGCTTTTCCCTATTCATAGATAATGCACTGGACCAAATATAGATGGGCCGCCTGAGTCCCCATTTGAAGCAGGGTGGCAAGCTTGATTGCTATTAGGAATATTCTTTTGGAAATAATGGGAATTCTTTCTCATTACAAAGCAGCTTTGTTAAATGAGAAAAATAATCACCATGTGCTGCATTTATCTACATGAAAATCTGGCTTCGTTATTTTCCTTTTAAAATGATTTTTTGATTCCATTTTGCTTTAGATGTTTGGCTTTGTTAGTATAGAGACCCTGAAAGCTAGCATCTTTTGATCCTAGTCAGTTAAATCAAGCAGATTAAATAGACAAATACAGATAGAGATCTGATGATGCCTAGGTCACTTATAGAAGATACTTTCTTGTTTCTGAGATAATCTAAAAATCTAAATAATTTAACACTACTCCCATAGAATGACATATCTGTCATTTTATATCACAACATCCTCATCATCATTATATAGATATTTCCTAAAGAAAACACTTTAATATTTAAAATAATAGTTCTGCATAATGATTCTTCATGTCCTTATAATCGAATAGCATAAGAACTATTTCAAAGAGTATAGACATCCCCTACTGAAAGCTGATGGTGGTGATGACTGGGGAGAATAATAGGACTCTGAGTGTGGACAGGATCAGGGATGGGTAAGTGCTACATAGAGGGAGGATTCCAACAGGGAGTAGAATATCCATATATAATCAATGCACTTAATCATATAAGAGCTCTGGATTGTTTGCAAGAAGATCCACATGGAGACCCAATATGGGGTCTGTTATGGTTAGATCTAGATGTTATTTCTTCTCATGGTCATGGCTAAAACAAATCTTAGGAATAGAACTTTTCAAAACATTTAATCATGCAAATGGTTTCATACTGGTTTCTCGAATTCACAAACCTAGAATAAATGTATACTAATTACATAATTGTGGCCATGTGTTTACAATTTCAAATACATTCAACTACTGCTGTCATTTCTGTTACCAGACTGTTATCACATAACTAACACATTAAATTATTATTTTCTTTATTTGACGCAAGATGTAATATGCACGGACAGCCTCATTAAACTGGACACACCTGACTACATCCTCTAGCTAGCTTCTGGTAAAAACAGCCTTTCTCTGTGGAAGCACAAATGTTCTTTAAAATACTTACTAAAAACAACAAAATCTACCTATTTCTGCAAAAAAAAATATATCTATTGCTATTCGAATGACATCATTGACACAATTGTAATACATTGATGCTTGTTGCAATTTGGTATGTAACTATCCTAGACTAGTCTGCCAAATAGTCAATTTGCCTGCTTTATTTGCAGTAACTATTTCTTCCATAATGTTCAAACAGAATAGCTAACAATTGCTTTTACTTCCGTTGGTGCTCTCTGGAATTTTAATTATAGTGTTTAACTAGCATGAGCTGTAGAGGGTTGGATTTTATTTTTATGAACCTTTACAGCATACGTGTCAAGAAAGTGTTTGTACATATCAAGCAAATCTTCAGCTAAAAGGTATAAATTTTTGTTTATTTAAAAGAAGAAAAAACTGTCATATTTTGGGTCAGAAGTATGTCTATTAAAACATAACTGAAAAACATGTTTAATTTTTAGAGCATTTGTAAAAGCAATTACAATTTTTCCCAGAGAACAGATTATTACATCTGATAACTTTATTCTCAATTAAGTTTAATTAAGCTAAGAAATTTGGTGAACTATTTCTCAAATACAATTTGAAACAAAGCTAGGGATAAATAAGTACATATGTTATTAACTGTCTCTGATACACAAGTCAATGTGGTGCTAGATGCAGGGAGGACAAATGTTACTAACAGAGTTATTTCTCTCAAGAATCTTGCAGGCTGATGAAGCCATAAAATGAAAATCAGCCATGTTGACATGACTGTATATAAGTAGATAATGAGAAGAAATATAAATTCAGTTCAGTGGGGATTTAGTGAAATGAGACATCAAATTTTAGTCAATAAATCAGAAATAATTTTATGAAGAAGCAGGAATTTCTGATTTGTCTTAGGATGGATAGATTTGCATTGATAGATATGCTTTAGTTGGGTGGCATACCAATTCTGAGAAAGTATATAAGCAAAATAACTAACGTGGAACATCTCGGAGTATGTTTGGAGAACAATAAATGGTTGAGAATGTAAAAATGAAACATGAGTTGGGAAAAATTAGGTTAATTTATAATCAGTAAACATTAGTTAAGTGAAAATAAGCAGCCTCACATTTAATAATAATATCAAAAGTAAATATTATATTTTATTTTTAAATGTTCACATTAAAAATATATAAAATTATTTTAGATTTTAAAATATTGTGAAAAGTATTGTTAACAATACTTTTGAAAGTTTGATTTCATTAATATATCCTAATGCATATTTTTAAACTAATGGTAAATGCATAAAATTAGATCTCATACACATAATTCAGTATCTATCAATTATAAACTAATTAATAGTTAATTGTTTTAACTAACTTGCAATTTGCAATAAGAATCAACAAACATTTATTTATAGCCTATAAGGTCTCAGATCCTGGAACAGACTGGTGAGTGACAACAGGCAACAAGAAGGAATCATACCACTACGTCATAGGAGCCTGCTAAAATAGTGGGTGGAATGCCTGACGTCCCTCTTTCTTGTTTATATACATATTATAAAAAAAGACAAATTTTGTGTTTATTATGTTTTAGGCTAACATACCTAACATTGAAACATAATTTAGAGTATGAAACTTTCTTTGACAAAGGTAGTGGTCTGTTTCACCTATGCTAATAAGGAATTGATGTGGATGAAGAAAAAGAAGTTGAGGTGGGTTACTGGGATGGATTAGTGTGGGCAAAGGTTAAATATCCAATTAATGATATTTTACATTTACCATATAAAATTGATGTGCTTTCTGATCCAACCCTCAAATCGCAAGTTTCACTTTCATATTGGGAAATAATATTACCCAAAAGATGCTATCTAATCAGAATTCCCATGGTTCAGAGAGACTGCCAATGAGCTTCTGAGTTCACTGTGGGGCTCAAGTGTGCCTTTGGTGTATTTGGTGATTTTTTCAAATTTTTGAATAAAATATAATTTCAAACCTTTCATAAAACATGTCCAAATGTCTTCACTATTTCAGACTGTTGACATAGATTTTTTTTCAATGTAGAAATTTAGACAATGATCAATCTGAGTGTATGCCATAACTCTAGATAAAGCCCAGCTAATCAAAATTCAGTGTAAAGGAGAAGGAGTTTATATCTGTTTAAAAAGAAAAAAAGGAAACCAAAAAAACAAAAAAAACCCCACCAAAAAAACAAGCTTTGGCAACTTAGATCTGTAGGATACAGAATTTGCTGTGGGTATCTTGCAAACCAATTACAGGGGTCAATGCTGCCTCTCTCAAGGCTTAAGGATCCACATTTTTCATCAGACTATTTATCCCATCTAAACTATTGAATTTCCCAAGAGGTCTGGTTTTAGACTTTTGCTAGTATGTAGATATCTCTGCTTATGTGTCAAAATCAAACAAACACATTACCTTTGAATATCCCTGTTTTAGCGTGTCTGATGCATACACACTTTAAATTTTGTGTTATTTCAACATACTGTTCAGTGAATTTAACCTATATAAACATTTGCTAGCTACTCCATCTCTTATATTCATACAGTCTTGACCACGTTTCTTCTTCTTCTCAGAAATTTGAACATTATAAATCCTGCCACATTTCATAGAACTCATGAAGCTAAATTCTCTCACCCTACTATATTATATACTTGTAAAATTGAGGAATTTTGCGTTAGTAATCTCTGTAAGTCTGGGGCTAAGACAGAATAGATAGTTCAATAAATACATGATGAATATGGTTAGAAGTGACTCATCACAAAATGCTTCTGTTTATCACAGTCTTATAAAACTCTTATCTTTCCACATGTCCACTTGTTCCTAATAATGTTTGTATTGTAGCTAGTCTCTGTGTAAATGAGTGCAGAGTTCTTTCTTATTTCTTGAAGACATAGGCTGTATCTCATACTGTTCCATAAATACTTCATAATGCTTAACAAAAAGCCTTATAACTACAAAGTAAATATTTATTGATCATTTTGCTCTAAAACCTATAAGAAATGATAATAATAAATTGATAAAATGTACTTTCCACCTCTCTACTTTCACTAACGGGAAGAAGAGATTGCTAAACCACAACCAGTCCAGTCTTGGGTGGTAAAGGTTGTAGATAATTTGCAGCACTCTAACTCACAATTCTTGTGACTGTAACATGTGGGACAACCCATTCAACAGAATATAGACAACTTCTTTCTTTTTTATATTAAATTATAATAATTTTTGGTAAATTTTCTTCTAAACTCTGTGTGTGTATATTTTAAATTAATACTTGTGTATATAAATGACTTTTGGGTCTGAGTCCTTAACTCATGTGGTACCATATCTTCCTGCTGGATGTAAAACAATGAATGCAAACACTTACATAATAAAATTAACATTTCTCTTTTACTGAGATGTATACCTGACAGTTGCTATGAATCTTGAAATCAAATTTGACTTTAGGTACTTTATTTATTATTTCTTGAATATTTTCCCTTTATTGCTTCCATCTTAGTATATTATCATTAAAATATGCTTGCGTTTTTAACTTTTGTCAGTAAACGTCAGGAAAAGAAGTGTGAATATTCCTTGCATGTCTATGTTTTTGGAAGAAAGACTACACAAATATACTCAAATACTCATTCCTTCAGTAAGCATCTGTGCTTTGGTCAATATGCTGGAAGTAGAAATCCAAGAAATGTATGGATCCTGTCACCCACGGATTCAAAACCTATAAGTATTTAGACAATTAATAAACCTCAATCCAAGACTTTGGGTCAGGAGTTAGACTGATCAAATGCTGTAACCATTGCTCTCTGAATCCACCTTCCTCCTCACAACAGTCACACACACACACAATATAGAGATCAAGAGCAAGATGAAACTATTTGTGTGTTCAAATCAATTAAGGAATCAAGAACAATAGGCCACACAACTAACTGGGGAACCAGAAATATAGAGAGGCATTAAAGAATGTGTAGATCTAATGCTTATTGAAGGAAATGATCCTCCATTCAGGGACCATGTGTAGGAGACCTTGATGTGAGCTGCATGAGAGAAGCAGGGGACCAACACAGACTGAATGATGTCTGTCAACTCAGAGCCATGGTCAGAATTAAGCCAAGTCTGTCAGTAGAAATACAGTCACCAGCAACAAAACTAGAACCCTAGACACTATTGCACATGTATCCAAAGGAAAACTATCTGTGTCATACAGAAATCCCAGGCCAGTAAAATAATATTAAAAATGATTCAGGACCAGTAAACTCTATAAGAGCCCAGCAGAGCAAACAAAAACTAATCCATAGGAAGGCTAGGTATGAGCTGAACTCTAAAGCAAATAATTCCTGCTAAGGATGAGTTTAAAGTCAAAATTAAAAGAAAAGTATGGGCCAGCTCATGCCTATAATCTCAGTAGTTTGGGAAGCCAAGGTGGGTGAATCACTTGAGATGAGGAGTTTGAGACCAGGCTGGCCATCATGGGGAAACCTTGTATCTATTAAAATCCAAAAAATTTAGCTAGGCATGGTGGTGCACACCTGTAATTCCAGCTACTCAGGAGGCTGAGGCATGAGAATTGCTTGAACGTGGGAGGCTGAGGTTGCAGTGAGCCGAGATCACGCCACTGCACTCCTGCCTGAGCAACAGAGTGAGGCTATGTTTCAAAAAAGAAAAAGTATATAGCAGTACAATACCACAATACCATGTAATATAATATATGATTCACAGTAAGATAATAAATATAATTGTGCAATTTCAAGGGTGCTTAAATAGTGATAGTTTAACATTGTGCTATTTAATATAGCATTTCTATAGAGTACAATCTATAATGCCACAAATAAAAATTATGTTCCTAGACACATTATTAGTAAATTTCATATCTGTAAGATTCACAAATAAAAAGTTTACTTCAATTATGTATAGAAATTAGTATCTGGGAATATGCACTCATTAACAGAATCTCTGGAACGATTTCTTCTTGACCATATTTTAGGCTACAAAGAAAGGAATGTCTCGATCTAAGTTCTGTCACTTCTGTGACTACAGTGCAAAAATATAAGGAAATCAGAGAAACACATTTTTATAAAAATAAAAACTTAGAAGATAATAAAAACAAACAAAAAGTTCTGGAAACTGAAGAGCGACTTATAGTTGAAAATTCCAAATGGAATTTCACAGACTTCCAATCTGTTAACTAAAGAACAAAAAGTTAGAGCCGAATAACAATCAAAGCATCTTATAATTTGTAAATTATAGCCACAATGATAATGAGAGAAAAAAATGTGGACTTAACTATATTTGGAAAACAATTTTTTGGGAAACAAGTAAATTTATAAATTACTTACTAAAGCATCGAGTTCATGAATTCAGAAAAACATTAACATCGCTAAAAAATTAAAATCTAAAATAATATAAGAAATGAAACGAAGATAGAGGCAGAGATAAATAAAATAGAAAACGGAGGTAATAAAACCAAGAGCTTGTTTTCTGAGAAAACTAAAAACCAAAGAAAGAAAATGAAAACAAGCGAAAAACTCTTGGAAGTACTTAACAAAATAGTAATAACAACAAAAATTAGGGAATCATTAAATAATATTAGAAACAATTAGATATGACAAAAGTAGAATCAAGAGCTGTATTTTAGTACTAGAGCAATTACTAGAGATTAAAACTTTGATAGAAAAACACGAAATCTGCAAATCAAAGCAAAAATAACTAGTCAATATGAACATAATGAAACAGTAGTTAAAACCAGGCTGTGTCTCCAACAAATACACCTGCACACACATGCTTATACCAATGTATGAAAAGATAATGATTTAAAAACAATTTTTTAAAAGATTTCCAAGGAATAGATATTTCTTATCTCAGATATTGTTATGACAATTAGGAAAGGAAAAGAAAGATGACCTCTAGACAGGGGCACTCTATTAGTTTGCTAGGGCTGCCATAACCAAGTTTCATAGGCTGAATTGCTTAAACAACAGAAATTAATTTCCTCACAGTTCTAGAGATTAGAGGTCCCAGGTCAAGGTGTCAACAGGGCTGATTTCTTCTGAGGTTTCTCTCTTTGGCCTATGACTATCTTCCTCTGTGCCTTTGTATGGTCTTCACGTTTTTTTATAAGGGCAACAGTCATATTGGATTAGGACCCACCTTAATGACCTCATCTATCATAGTCACCTCTTTAAAGACCATATCTTCAAATACAGTCACATTTTGAAGTATTGGGGATTAGGGTTTCAACATATAAATTTTGGGGAATATAATTCACCCCCTAAAAGACATTATATGAAAATACATTTGTACACATATATGAATATTCATATCTCTGTATGAATTATTATACACACAGAATATTAAACCAATAATTAATACATCTAAACTAACATTGCATTGAAATACATCATAGTGTGGCACCTGTATCCCAGATATAGAAGGATAGACAGACAACTGCATTTCTTTGGATTAAGAGATTTATTAATAAGAAAAACCATATTATGATTTTATGGATTCAGAAAGTAATTACTTGACAAATTTCAGCAAAACTTAAAGAAAGGCTCATAGAAAATAGGACTAGAAAGGAACTTTATTAATCTGAATAAAGGTATCTATAAAAACCTATGAAACCTCATTGTAACTGAAGACAGTAGTTGCTCAAACTACCTCTCAACATCTCCTCATGAAACTAAGACAAAAACAAACAAACCTGAAGGGAAAAATAATCTGTACTAGGATCAATACCCTCAGCATAGTTTGAAGGCAGATGATGCTGAAACTGCAAAATAAGTGTGAGTGAAAGAATTTGTAGTGAGCAACAGCAGACTACACTTATACCATGTCAAAACCATATAATCCTTATAATGGTTATTTCTCATATTTACCAATTCCTAGTATTATCATATGGGCATACATGCTTTCCCACCTATACCCAACCCCAAATCCTGGAAAATCATTACAGATGAAAACCTTTGCAATTATAATGCTACAGTGTGATCAGTTATATCCCCACTCTGCTTACCACCAACATGGGCTCCTTGTTGCCATGTGGCTGACTGCTGATCCAAAACAAGAACCCAACAGTTAGAGTCGGCTGTCCAGAGCCACTTCTGGCTATCAACTCTCTTACAGTGAGTTCCCCAGGAGGAGACGTTTGATAAGATTTCATGTGCAAGTGATCTACTCAGAAAGAGCTTCCAGGGGAAGTTTATAACTGAGGGAGGGAGGCATGACAGGGAAGGAGAGAGAAGGACAAACCAGAGTGAAGAGCCAAGCAAAGTCTCAAACCCAAGAGCTTCATCTGGCCACGCTGGAAAAGGATGCCATGTAAGTTGCACTTCAAAGTTGCCCTGCTCTGAAGCAAGTGAGATAGATTCTCTTACTTTTCTCTTCCTGCTTCATTGGTAAATGGCTGCAGAAGACTCAAGGAAGGGAAAGGCACACATATGAATTCCCAGGGATGTCCAACATTTTGCATAAAGGCAAAGAGACTCCTGAAACCTTAGCATGAGCCTTCCAGAAAAAGCGCAACAGGTCTTGGCTGTTAGAAGCAATAGTGCACAAAGGAGGACAGGGTGATTGTTATGTGCACAAATAGGAATGTAAAACAAAAAAAAAGTGAAAGAAAGGGGAGGGGAGTGGAGGGCTACATTGTCCACTGTAAGTTATGATAGAGAAAAGTATACAATTTTCTTAAAAGGCATAAGAGAGGACATGGGTCAGGGGCTGATATACCATTTTTTTAGACAACAGTTAAATATATAAAGATACGCATCTCCAAAAATAGTCTGTCCATTGGTAATTAATATTTGTTTCAACTTTCCAACAGGATTTTTTTTGTGTGAAACTGGATTAACTTCTTCTAAAATTTCTATGAAAAAAATCCTAAAATGATTCCATTAACTGATTTTAAAGATGGTATGGTAAAATAGCTAAGCTGCTTTTTTTGTGGGGGTATAAAGAAACAAAGAATACATACTATGCCTCAAGAAAAAATTGTTTGTTAGATTATTTAAAACAGTATCATACTGGCACAGAAATAAAGAAATATATTGATAGCAGAGAAAGACTCTTCATACCTGTTTCAGAACTCAATACCAAACATAGGTGGCATCATCTCCAATCAATAGGGATAATGGGCTTTTCAATAAAGGTTTGGTAACATTAGAGTGCTATATAAAACAAATTATTGTTCTACCATATGCCATACTCTCAAATAAATTACCGACAAATTTAAGACCTAAACATGAATGACTGTTTTAAGGTTTTTCATTTCTCACATGAGAAACCCAGGAGTCTTTATCAATATTTTTTCTTCACCACACCTTCTAACCCCTTCCTTCCAATCTACAAAGCTGTGAATATCTCTCTGTCTTCACAGTCACATGGCCATGGCCATGCCCAGCATCATCTTTCCCCCAGTCCACTACAGTCTTCTGTCCTGCCTCTCAACTTTCACTTGTGTCTCTTACAATTTATTTTCTCAAAGCAGTAGTAGTAACTTCTTAGAAGTGAAAAAAATGAAGGGATTGCTCTATTTAGAACTTTCCAATCACTTCCAATCACACTTAAAATAAAACAAAACCTTTTCCCTTGGCCTTCAAGGTCATAGATGTTCTGCCCTGCCTGTTTAAAATCTTATGTTATTTTCCCATTTGATCAGTATGTTTTAGACTCAGTGCCTTTTTCAGTTCCTTGAAGCATTTTTCTTATGTCTTTGCACATTGCTCTTTTTTCTTCCCATAATGTCCCCCAATAATTGCATAGAACGGTACCCTTGGTTTTAGGTCTATGTTTAAACAAGACCTTCTCCTGAAAGCCTTCGATAAAGTTACTTTTAAATGCAGATTCTCTGTCATTTTATTTCACAGAAAGTTGCTTAAAAAAGGCTGGGCACAGTGGCTCATGCCTGTAATCCCAGCACTTTGGGAGGCTGAGGTGGGTAGATCATTTGAGTTCAGGAGCTCGAGGACAGCCTGGCCAATATGGTAAAACCCTGTCTCTACTAAAAATACAAAAATTAGCCAGATGTGGTGGCACACACTTGTAGTCCCAGTTACTCAGGAGCCTGAGACAGGAGAATTGCTTGACCCAGGAGGCAGAGGTTGCAGTGAGCAGAGATCACACCACTGCACCCCAGCCTGGGTGACAGAGAGAGACTCTGTCTCAAACACACATGCACACACACACATATGCACACACTAGGGTAGGAACGACCAGGAAAAAAAATAAAATAAAATAAAAATGTACACACACGCCTACAAATAAAAATATGTATGAATAGATAGATTTTCACACTGACACACACACTTATATAAGTGGTTGATAAATTTATGTGCATCAGAATAATGTTTAGAGATTCTTAAAATACAGATTTCTAAATTCACTCCCCCAGAGATTCTGGTTCAGGATATCTGCGATACAGCCTCAGGATTTATACCTCTAACAAGTTCCCAGTTGATGCTGACATTACTGGTCTGGGGACCACAGTTTGAGGACCACTTATTTATTTAAGTTCTTAGTATTTTACTGTTGTATTTTCACTGTTTTCTCATTTCTCTTTTCTATTAGTGTTTCAGCTACCTGAGTCCAGGGCCATTATTGTTGTTTTTCTATTGTAATCTTTTTTGAATTTCTGTGGGATCACATAGATCGGTGTATTAGCCCATTTTCATGCTGCTGATAAAGACATATCCAAAGATTGGGCAATTTACAAAATAAAGAGATTTAATGGACTTACATTTCCACGTGGCTGGAGAGGCCTCACAATCATGGTGGAAGGCAAGGAAGAGCAAGTTGTGTCTTACATGGATGGCAGTAGGCAAAGAGAGAGAGCTTGTGCATGGGAACTCCTTGTGAGACTCATTTACTATCAAAAGAACAGCACAGGAAAGACCTGCCCCCATGATTCGATTACCTCCCACCGAGTCCTTCTCACAACATGTGGGAATTCAAGATGAGGTTTGGGTGGTGACACAGCCAAACCATATCATTCTGCCCCCGGCCCCTCCCAAAATTCATGTCCTCACATTTCAAAACCAATGATGCCTTTGCAACTGTCCCACAAAATCTTAACTCATTTCAGCATTAATTCAAATGTCCACAGTCCAACGTCTTATCTGAGACAATGCAAGTCCCTTCTGACTATGAGCCTGTAAAATCCAAAGCAAGTTAGTTACTTCCTAGATACAATGGGGTATAGGCATTGGGTAAATACAGCCATTCCAAATGGGAGAAATTAGCCACAATAAAGGGGCTCCAGGGCCCATGCAAGTCCAAAATCCAATGGGGCATTCAAATCTTAAAACTCCAAAATCATCTCCTTTGACTCCGTGTTTCTCATCTACGTCATGCTGATGCAAGAGGTGGTTCCCATGGTCTAGGGCAGCTCCACCCCTGTGGCTTTGCAGGGTTCGAACCTGCCTCCTGGCTGCAGGTGTTGAGTGTCTGCAGCTTTTCCAGGCACACAGTACAAGCTGTGGGTGGACCTACCATTCTGGGGTCTGGAGGATTGTGGGCCTCTTCTCACAGCTCCACTAGGGCTGTGTCCCAGTAGGCACTCTGTGTGGGGACTCCCACCCAACATTTCCCTTCTGCACTGCCCTAGCAGAGGTTCTTCATGAGTGCCTGCCTCTGCAGCAAACTTCTGCTTGTACATCCAGACATTGCCATACATCCTCTGAAACCTATGCGGAGGTTCCCAAACCTCAATTCTTGACTTTTGTGTACCCGCAGGCTCAACACCATGTGGAAGCTGCCAAGACTTGGGGCTTGCACTCTCTGAGTCTATGGCCCTAGCTGTACTTTGGACCCCTTTAGTGATGGCTGGAGAGGCTGGAATGCAGGGCACCAAGCCCCTAGACTGTACATAGCAGAGAGACCTGGCCCCAGCTGACAAAACCATTTTTTCCTCCTAGGCCTCTGGGCCTGTGATAGGAGGGGCTGCCACAAAGGTCTCTGACATGCCCTGGAGACGTTTTCCCATTGTCTTGGTGGTAAACATTCAGCTCTTCATTACTTATGCAAATATCTGTAGCAGGCTTGAATTTCTCCTCAGAAAATGGGATTTTCTTTCCTATCTCATTGTCAGGCTGCAAATTTACCAAACTTTTATGATCGGTTTCCCTTTTAAAACTGAATGCCTTTAACAGCATCCAAGTCACTTCTGGAATGCTTTGCTGCTTAGAAATTTCTTCCGCCAGATATCTTCAATCATCTCTCTCAAGTTCAACGTTTCACAAATTTCCAGGGCAAGGGCAAAATGCTGCCCATCTCATTGCTAAAACATAACAAGAGTCACCTTTGGTCCAGTTCCTCACCTTCATTCTGAGACCACCTCAGCCTGTATTTCATTGTCCATATCATTATCAGCATTTTGGTAAAAGCCATTCAACAACTCTCTAGGAAGTTACAAACTTTTCCACATTTTCCTGCCTTCTTCTGAGCCTTTCAAACTGTTCCAACTTCTGCCTGTAACCTAGTACCAAAGTTGCTTCCACATTTTCAGGTATCTTTTCATTAGCACCCTACTCCTGGTACCAATTTATTGTATTAGTCCATTTTACACTGCTGATAAAGACATATCCAAGATTGGGCAATTTACAAAAGAAAGAGGTTTAATGGACTTACATTTCCACATGGCTGGAGAGGCCTCACAATCATGGTGGAAGGTAAGGAGGAGCAAGTCATGTCTTACATGGATAGCAGTAGGCAAAGAGAGAGAGTTTGTGCAGGGGAACTACTCTTTTAAAAACCATCAGATCTCAGCCAGGCCTAGTGGTCCACACCTGTAATCCCAGCACTTTGGGAGGCTGAGGTGGGTGGATCACCCCAGGTCAGGAGTTCAAGACCAGACTGGCCAAAATGGTGACACCTTGTCTGTACTAAAAATACAAAAATTAGCTGGGTGTCATGCCAGGCACCTGTAATTGCAGCTACTTGGAGGCTGAGGCAAGAGAATTCATTTCAACCTGGAGGCAGATGTTGCAGTGAGCTGAGATTGCAGTACTGCATTCTAGCCTGGTTGACAAAGCAAGATTCCGTCAAAAAAAAAAATCAGATATCATGAGACTTATTCATTATCATAAGAACAGCATGGGAAAGACCTGCTCCCATGATTCAGTTACCTCCCACTGGGTCCCTCCCACAACACGTGGGAATTCAAGATGAGATTTGGGTGGCAATTCAGCCAAACCATATCAGTCGGGTACGTAGTAAGTTTGGTGGCTATCAGGAAAGACAACTCAGAGTGTGAATTTAATGTTTTATGCCACTGATGACCTTGATGAGACAAATTCAGTGGCATGAGAGTGGCAGAAACCACCGTGCATAGTTTGGAAGATGAGTGAAAAGACTTAGCCACAATAGTGACCATTGTTTAAAGACATTCACCTAGAAAAAAAGAGAGAAGGAGCTGCTGAATAATTTAATAAAAATAAAGCAATGGTGTGCTTTTGATATTTTTATTTGTTTAGATATAGAAAAGATAACTTCTATGAATATGAAAGTGCTTGGTTTGAGTATAATGGAAGTGAATATTATTGGAGTTTTAGCACAAAATTGAGAGGGTAAAAGATTGAATACATCATACCTGCAAAAAATACCTCCAATTATGGCAAGATTTAAGGTGGAAGGAAAATCTGTGAATGAGAATGATAGGGAATAATTGCCAGATAGTAGATGCTAACAAGCAGCTGGTCGTATTGTTGTATGACTGATTGGTTTAGCTTAAAGTAACAGAAGTTTCCTCATGGTCTTTTGATTTTAATTTTGTTTCTGTGAATGTTGAATATTCTGAGAAGGACATTGGTGAGTGAGGACAATACTGAGCCCACCTTCTGCTACTGGGTTCAAGGGGATGGGAGATTACAATCAGGAAAGTGTTGGCTGAGAAACTGATTTCAGGGAAGAATGAGGTTCAAGTAAAACAAGGAGGTAGAAGGAAAATGCTGATGTTTGACATAAAAGTCCTTCAGTTTCCTTGGTAATATCTGAGTTGACATTCTGAAGTTCTTAAAACTTCAGATATCTTCATACTGGTGGGAAATTTTTTATTGTCATAAAAGCAGTTTTAGAGGACCTCCTTAAAATTAGAGCATTCAGTATGAAGCTACAGTTTCAGAAATCCATCCTCAGTATCAAGTAACTAACATGTTTAAGATCAATAATCTATACTTCATTAAGATGACTTATGCGTATGAATATTGGCCTCCAATAAAATAGTTTATAGTCTAATAACATACTTGAGGGAAGTCCATAAATTTTATCTTTGAAATATTTCTGAAAGTTCTGCTGTCTAATCAAGATCGTGAGGACACCATTCTGCCCTCTACCTCTTTCAACACACACACATGCACACACACACACACACACACACACACATGCAGGAGAGAGGGAGAGAGACAGAGAGAGACAGACAGAGAGAGACAGAGAGAGAGAGAGAGAGAGAGAGAGAGAAACTGCCTAACGGAATATCTTGAACAACAGTGCTCATTAAATATTTGAATAGCTTTATAAATTGTAATAGGTACTTTCTTTCCTAACTCATTCCAAATATTTGAATTATAGGAACAGTAACAGTAAGGGTTTTACCTTCTCCACTGTACTTCTGGATTTTTAAATAGACCATATCTTCATTCATTTTTTCAAAACACAATTTATCCCTGAAAATTATTTTTGTTATGTTCTCTATTTCATAAATTTCTCTTGCAAAAAGGAACTCTATATGTGTGTGTTCTGCAATGTGATACTGCCTTCTCTAGTCTTTGCTTTTTTTTTTTAAATCAGTGAGTTTTATGATAGTTATAGCATTGGCCAAGATAATATATTTTAGAGCCAGATAAGCTCCCAGGTCTGACATTTGTTATCTATGGGATTTGTTCAATTTTTGTGACCACATTGAACTTTAGTTTCCTTATCTATAAAACAGAGATTACAATACACACTGCATTTTCAAGGGTTAAATGTAACGACCAAAAAAGAGCCTAGAACTGCACATGAAACTGACTACTCAATAAAAGCCATTATAAGTTATGTTAAAAATGTTTTTTTATTTTAATTGAATGCTATAATTTGCTTAAATACGGCTTCAGTCTCCAGTATTTGCTTGCTAATCATCAAGTCAAAATATTGATTACAATACCTATTTTGTCATATCTACCTGTAGATCTAGTTGCTTGCACGATTTACAAGAGTCCTTTAATAGGAAAAACTCCATAAGTTCTGTGAGAGTTAATAGGCTCTATTTTTGCACCCCGATCATAACGGTGTTATGAAACACATATTGTGAAAGAGAATGTATGTGCAGCAGAGTCATTAATTAAAATGCTGGCTAAAATGATTTAAACTGTGAAAAGGCAATTGTCTGCAATATGAACATATATTATGGTAAAAAAAATATATATATATATAAGCAACAATTTCAAACAATGGCTAACATCCTATGTCAAAGAACTTTGGATTTTGGTTTTGTAAATGTTCTTAGAAGCTGATGTCTTTCACTTCCAGTTTCTATATCAGTGAAATATTTATGACTGTTAGTTTGGTCCAAAAATTAGGCCTTGAAACTCTCTACTATGGGAGAAAACTCTTTATAGTAAACTCATCTTTAAATTATGATGATAGATCTAAATTTTAAAAATAACATATGCTAATTATGATTATAAATTATAAAGCTTATTTAAGAACATTTTAAAATCCAAAATCCAAAATAAAATAATTTATTTTTTACTATCCAAGAAAAATAATTGGTAATATTTAAATTTATGCCCTGTATGCATTTTTTATATATCAGTATACTCGGATAAAAATTGAATAATCTGTACATTGAATTTTTTACTCAGTGTGTTTTCATTGCAATTCATTATATTCTTTTCTTTATTTTTGTTTATGATTCATAAGAATGAAGCTTAACAATATTAACCTGTACTTGTTAAATTATCAGTTAGAAAATAATAGCTTATTTTAAACATTCACATATTAAACAAGAAATGTATTACACATTGATTTTGCTTTCAATATATCCTCTCCAATTAAATTCTAGATTTATATTCAAGTTATTGGTAGATTAAATTTATAAGTAACATTAGACTTTTTCTGTTTAAGAATAGATTTGATTTGTACTTGGTTAATAACCAAATTGACACTTATGTTGATTTAGTTATTTTTTTAATTGGAAATTATTCAAAATACTCATTTGAAAATATTTCTATATCATAATTTTTTACTCAGATCCTTTAACCCATAAAATATTATCCTTAGGAATTCAATAGAATAATTAATTGAAATTCCATAATTGATTATTTCACCCTACATGTTTTGTGAGGTATGCCTTTATATTGGATTCTATCTTCAGAATCTTTTTCACCTCTTCAAAAGGACACACATCATTCCCTAAAGCTAACCTTCTTTTAACCGCCTACATGTTATGAGGTCACCTATATTAACTTCCTAAAGTACTTTAATCAACTTTCTAAATGATATATAGTATTTCCAGACCCAACATGATCAGATGCAGGCGACACTTCCCATACCAACCACCTCACTCTCCAATCACATCCTTATACAGAGACATCAATTGTTGCCCATCTATTTTTCATGAATTTAAGTACAACTAATTTAAATATTGAGATATAGTGAGGAATGAGAATAGAAATGAAAAGACAGACATTCAGCATGCTGCCTCAAGGCCATCTTTAGGGTATGTAGGGCCTCTGACAAAAGCTTTTGTGCTTTTCCTCTCTACGTAAAAATTGATTAAATGTGCATTATAAAATTCGTGGGTTACTGTGAGTGAATAGTGACTTAATGATGAATATTTAGAGTAATGTGGACTGAAGAGGAACTTAAAAATTTGTTTATTTTCCAATCAGTGCATGTGCTGTATATTTGTAAACCCAAAAGTCAACCCTTCCTTTCAGGTTCAGAAACCATCTCTTCATATTTTTATTTAAAATGTGCCATTCCCAGCTAATTTAATATGTTCCACTATGAGAAAAAGATAGCAATGCTGTTATTACTCATAATGCCATGGCTCCATAATGTATTAAAGCAAAATAGATCTTCTCCTCTTCAGTTCCTTGATATCATATATTTAATTCTGGTTCTGCAATTAATTGCAAGACTGCATCATCAATCATGCCAAAAGTGAATACTGGCTTTGAATGACTTTCTCAAAGGTTGTTATTTGCTTCATTGATGATGATCACCAACCCAAGTGTTATTCACTATTTGGAGAAAACTTTGAACAAATGTTCATTTTCTTGTTAAATTTACCAGTCAGAATTGTATAGTATAAATGTAGAATAACACATTTTCCAACTAAGTTATCTTGTGATGTCTTTAAGTCAGAATGAATGCATGGTAGAATATGATTTCCTTTGATGTTGCCTTCACACCTGACTTCTATGCACCATCAGTAGGGAAGGAATGGCAAAGGCCATGCTGGTGGAGAGGGCAACATTCCCATAAGCATGTAAGGCAACATTCCCATAAGCTGAGGTTTGTTACAAATTTAGACTGAACTGGGAAAGCTTCACCTCACCATATTGATTGAATGCAAAAGACAATACTGATAGGAAGGGCCTATTGGCATTATGAAACAATGGTCTCAAGACTCTTGAAAAAGATAGATGTGGCCATCCCTAAGGACTACTTAACATGTGGCAGGGAGCCCATTGTGGGGGGAATTGAGTAACCCTGAGTGCCAGAAGTGGGGGCAGATAGAGAACACCTGCTGTAATGAAGCAGCTTGGCTTCAAACTGCATTTTAAAACTTTTGTTTTCTTTCCTTCTTTCTCCCCAATCTCAAGACATAACTTTGAGACAAACTCCATATGTTTCCTTTCATCTAGAAATACAGCCTTGAAATGTACTGTGAGCTTCCACTCCCTTTCTTTTCCCATTCTATGCTTATGCACACCTATTTACCTACATGCTTGTTAGGCACACACCATGCTCACTTATCTGATCATATATTTTCTTAGAAGCTTCTGGGGCTGGCTCCTTGTATGGACCAGGCACCTCCAGCTGCAATGGTGCTAGTCCCATTACCAAATGAAACAATAATTCAAGACAAGCCATCGGAGTGGGTCACATCACCTGACACATCCTAGCCCCCTTGCCTCGTCTGAACTTCAAACCCTCTCTTTTAAAACTCCTGGGTTTCCTCCACAAATTGAAGAGTGGAAATTTTTGATAAGAATTGCACCCACTCCTCCCTCTGCTGGCATGGATAATAAAATTTCACTCTCTTTTTAATCACATCTCAGTCTTGTCATCTCGGTTTCTTTTTATAAGTGGCGAGCATGCAGACCCTTTTGCCGGTTACACTGCCACCACCTCTACCACCTTTGGATGATAAAGACCATAGGTGATATCATGGTTAGAACACATATGTAGCTCATGTCCAAGCACCAGTGGTGTAGCTTCTGTTGTCTAGGATCCTGAACTCAGCCCACACTCACTTGAAGGAGCATGTCAGCATTTATCTGAAGATCCAACCTCAGCAATCTTGCAAAAGCATTACCTCACTAGGATAATTCAGGTGCAAGTTCTACAGCTCTTTGGGGGCATCTGGTCAATCTCACATATAGGATAGAGGGCCAGGGCACACATGAAATAGGAGAAAGAGAAACACAGACCTAGGCAGGTCCCAATATGTTCCTAGCACTGGAGAAGGACTTGCCTGCAGGAAAGCACTCTAAAGTGGAAAGATGGCAGACCCCGAGCCACAGGATTCAGAGTAAAGGTCTAGCTTGCCCAGGTCTAAGGTGGTGCCGTTCTGTGTTCTTAAAAAAAAAAATCAGGAATTTCTAGTTCCTTTGGAGATATAGAAACAATGTATTTCTGAATTATTTCTTTTAGTAGAAATAGCAAAAAGACTAATAATAATAACAAGGAGACATTAAAAACTCTACAAGTTGGTTTTCAGGAAACTCAGACATGGAGAAAACTCAAAAAGTTCGAATTATGTGTAAATGCTTACAAAGCCAGATCCAGGAAGAAAGATTAAATATAAAAATTGGATAACGCTATGGGAAAATATCAGCAGAGTCAAGAAAATCTTTCAGGAGCAGATCTCATAAACCTCCAACCAAAATTTATTTTCAGAAGGAAAGAGTCCTGCCCAAAGAGAGAGCGAGAGAGAGAGAGAAAGAGATGAGCAGGACCAAGGTAGAACTAGACTCTAGTGCTGGAAAAAATGGGAAGATTAAGCCAATTGGAATAACAGGGAGTTGTGGACTGAGTAGAGGCTGATCGCTTGATTTACTCACATATTTATTTCAATATTTTAAAATGATTAATACATGACATTTCCTACTCAGTAAAAATTGTGTCAAAGAAGAAAAAAAATTAGAAACCTTAGCACTCTGAAAACTGGTCTAGAAGAAAAACAGTGGACAGTAAGGTAAAATGCATACCACATACTAAATAAATGGTTTAGGCTGAGGATTAATAGTGATGATTTTTGTATAAATAACCTCCAGGATGTGACGTGCAGATCCAAGAAGAATGGGGGAAAAAAGAAAATTGGTCTTAAGCGCTACCGCCTTGCCCAAGTACATGTCTGTATTTGTTTATGTCTTAACATGGCCCACGGGAAATTTTATTGCTTTATATTAGGAAATCTCTCTCTCTCTCACACACACACACACACTAGACACATACATATGTTCCTAAAAAATAGAAACATCAACACAGTAGAAGGAAGACTGCTTCATTTTCTTTTTGGTAGAGATTTGGCATCTCTTCAACATAAAGCAGAGTATGAATGATAAAAGAAGCCTTCCTTTTTACTTCTGGGAAACTAAAATTATATCTGTACTATGAATGGCAATCTAGTCTCATTATTCAGATATATGATAGGAATCATGCTTACAGGAATTTTGCCTGTTCTTGCAACAGTTTCACTGCCCTCCTTTGTCCTTATTGCAATTGAGATTACTGTTAATGTTTCCATAGGTTTTTGCTCAGGTATTTCAGAGAGCTTGGGACAGTTTATGGACCTGGCATCATTTTACTGGAACTAAACATCTAAACATTTTATATATTTGTCATGAACTTCCTATGAGGTTGATTGTTATGGTATATTTCTTTATGGATATTTGATTATGCAGCCTCTCTCTCACTGTATGGGACACGTGTAAGAAGGGACACATATAGGTTTTACGAAGGGCGATTTGGAGATAATGACTCGCAGCTGCAATAACGAGAGGTAATGTGCAATATACCCCTTGCGGAGTCTGGTGACAGGAATTAAATTAACTCATGTCACTATTGTGAAGCAAGGTTAACTTGAGCTGAACTGTATCACATTCCTGCATCCACTTAATAATGGCCCTGCCACAGGGTGATTAGGACATAAATCAACTGAATTGTGATATAAAGAAAGCTTATCATGATGCCAAAACTGAGACAATCCATATGACATTAATATTCCAATAATAGATCCATCTGGGATCTCAGTAGAAAGTACTTTCAATTCAACTCTGTAGAAATGATCTTAGTGAAAGGGCTTGGGAGATCGAAACTGTCTCCTTTCCTGTTCTTCAATCCTTAATGGAAGTGACACAGCTTGGACTTAAGATTCTTTATATAGCAAACATATTGGCTGTTCCCAAATAATAAGTTTTTATATTTTTAGAAAGAATTAAGTTCAGAAAAAATATGTAACTCACACCAGATGAACTCTTGCTTGTATTGGCCAGGGCTTCTCCTATAAAA
This sequence comes from Homo sapiens, assembly GCF_000001405.40. Lineage (NCBI taxonomy): Eukaryota > Metazoa > Chordata > Mammalia > Primates > Hominidae > Homo > Homo sapiens. The sequence goes on along the minus strand of NC_000004.12, from coordinate 167,722,140 downwards.
TACTTAATATCACTCTGTTAAATTTATTGGTGACATTTTAAGAAACAATGTTTCTTTTCAGTCATGGTTAGGTCAGGAGGAAACCATTTTCCAGAACATAAATAAAACTCAGGAAAATGTGCCATGGTTGTTAATTTCTTTTCCTGACAAACTGTGTAGCAGTTTGATTGAATTTCTTACCCTTTTACGTGATTGCATTCTAAAATCCAGTGGAAGAATTTGTGCCTTCTTCCTGAACAATGACCACTAAGGTAACTGAGGGCAGGGCAGTGGGGGAGGGCCACACACTCACACAGGAACCATCAATGAAGAGGAAAACGGGAGTGTCGGAATAAAAAGAAATGACACCACAGTCCAATATCAAACACTTACTAATGACTTATTCATTCCTCAAATATAAATTCAAATATCTTCTGGGTACCAGACATATGACTCATTAAAAATGAGAATATGAATAGCTCACAGCCTTACAACAGAGGGGCCCACAGGGTCCACAGTCCTGCATGAAAAAGAGCATATAAACTAAAGAACCACAGCTCTCCTGTAAATACCAAAATAAAGATTAAATGATTTACTTAAAGAGAACAGAGGAGAAGACATTTGCCCTTGCTGAGACAAGACAGAAAAGACTTCCTAGAGGAAAGGAACTGGAGCTCAATTTTAATATTGAAGAATAAATTACCAGAATTACAATGTAGATGAAGGGCACTCTAGGCAGAGAGAAAACAATGTTCAAAATTTTGAAAGTATGAAAGAATATGTAGTATTGGGAAAATACTGTCATTATGGTTCAGATTGCCTAAGTAAGAGGTCTAGGTGGGAGACAAAATTGAAAAGAAATCCAGGACACTGACCTATCATGCTAAGGAGCTTAGGAAGGTCATTAAGCTCCTGGTTGTGAGCTACTGAAGGATTTCTAAAATGGTAAGGACATGAAGATTACTTTAAGCACAAGGGGCAGAAGTTGCACTCGGGATGAGGCAAGTATGAATTCACAGAGGTGAGTTAGAACATAAGAGTCTAAGGCTTAGACTCTGAGCAAAAATTCAGAAGGCTGAAAGCATGGCAAAATATTTAAGAAATAGCCTTACTGTTATTTTAGGTTCAGACTAACAAGTACCCGATTCATGCTTAGTAAGTCCTCTTGAGACCACCTGATATTTAAGACATAATATTTTCTAATAATTATATTTTTGTTAAAATATTTTCATCAAATTTTAAAAGAACAGTAATATAACAAATTCAAGGTGAAATTTCTCAAAGCACTCAAGTTTTGTTCAACCAGTTTGTTAGGCTGTTTTTGTTTTGCTATAAAGAAATACCTGAGGGTGGGCCATTTATAAAGAAAAGAGGTTTAATTAGCTCATGTTCCTGCAGGCTGTACAGGAAGCATGGTGTTTGCATTTGCTCAACTTCTGGGGAGGCCTCAGGAAGCTCACAGTCATGGTGGAAGGTGAAGTGGGAGCAGGCACATCACACGGTGAGGGCCAAAGGAAGGGAGCCAGCAGGGCGGTGCCACTCACTTTTAAACAAGATCTCAAGTGAACTCATTCATCATCAAGGGGATGGCACTAAGACATTCATGAGGGATCTGCTTTCATGATCCAAGCACCTCCCACAGGCCCCACCTCCAACACTGGGAATCAAACTTCAACATGAGATTTGGAGGGGACAAACACCCAAGCTATATCAACCAGATACAAGAAATTTTGCCTGTGGTTTCCCTTTGTAGCAATGTATTCTTTCTACCCTCTCAGTCAGCTATTGTATCATTCAGAATATCCCTAGTTAATAAGAACTTAAATTTACCATTTATAATAGAAAGTGTAAAAGAGGAATATTTTATAATATTTATTATATTTTTCAATCTTCATTGTAGTCGTTAAAATACAAAAGACGTTTCGGCCAGGCACAGTGGCTCACTCCTGTAACCCCAGCATTTTGGTAGGCCAAGGCAGGCGGATCATGAGGTCAGGAGATCAAGACCATCCTGGCTAACACGGTGAAACCCCGTCTCTACTAAAAATATAAAAAAAATTAGCCGGGCGTGGTGGCGGGTGCCTGTAGTCCCAGCTACTCAGGAGGCTGAGGCAGGAGAATGGCGTGAACCCAGGAGGCAGAGCTTGCAGTGAGCTGAGATCGCGCCACTGGACTCCAGCCAGGGTGACAGAGCGAGACTCTGTCTCAAAAAAAAAAAAAAAAAAGACATTTCCAAAGTTATGTGGTTTGACTAATATACTAATATCAAAAAGAAAGTAGTGAAAAATTTGGGGGGACCTTACTTTCTCTCCATAGGAAGACTTTACATACAAACCTGTTTACATCAACTTTTAAAATTATATTGTGTCTTCTGGATCAAAACTTTATATGATGGAAATTATGTGGAGGGTTCTAGACTCTTCTCATTGACTTCACAATAATACTCAACATCATCAGCAGAGAAGACCTCTAGCAGATATTTAATACCTCTGGCAAATTTACAAACTTTCATAGACTAATGAATCTTAGACTGATCAGTGTTCCTTTCGATCTCTTATCCATTACTACCAGTAATTGTCTATTAATGTGGATGCTCTAATAGTTGGTCTATTATAGTTAGACACACGTAAAGCATCAGTGATGCATTTTTATCTGTAAGTATACCACAGTCCTGGAAATTATTACATTTTATTGCTGTGTCATTGTGTTTGTGTTTTAAGAAAATGCCTTCGTTTGGTGGCCTCTTACCTATGAAAACTACCAAACACTCCCTAGCAAAACAGTAGCTATTTATTTATTTATTTTGTATTGAGATGGAGTCTCACTCTGTCGGCCAGGCTGGAGTGCAGTGGTGTGATCTCAGCTCACTGCAAGCTCCACCCTCCGGTTTCAAGCGATTCTCCTGCCTCAGTCTCCCGAGTAGCTGGGACTACAGGCGCGCCCTACCACGCCCAGCTAATTTGTGTATTTTTAGTAGAGACGGGTTTCACCATGTTGGCCAGGACGGTCTCGATCTCCTGACCTTATGATCTGCCCACCTTGCCCTCCCAAAGTGCCGGTATTACAGGTGTGAGTCACTGCACCCGGCCTCTGTAAACTTTCAAGGGGAACACTATGGTGAGTTTTGTCTTGGCCCATGGCACCTGCTATTGAGATCTTGGTAAATGAACATATGAATAGAATGTATCCATACTTCCAGAAGTCATTGGACAATAAATTATACTTAAATATCAGAAAACAAATCATCTGAAAAGTTAACAATCCTCTGAATGCCAAAAACAAAAATTATTATAATGCCTGTTTTAAGTTGAAGTACAAAGGTCTTCTGAGAAAGAAATATTAAATAAAAAGAAATGTATTTCATATTATTAACCCAACTTATAAGATAATAAACTATAATGTTATAATATGATATGAGAAAGAGATGTGTAAATAACTAGTTTTCTAAAAGATAACAACAGCTGTAGCCTAAAGCATGGGTGTCCAATCTTTTGGCTTCTCTGGGTCACATGGGAAGAAGAAGAATTGTCTTGGGCCACACATAAAATACACAAACACTATCAAGAGCTGTTGAGCTAACAAAAAAAAACAAAAACTCATAGTCTTTTAAGAAAGTTTACGAATTTGTGTTGGGCCATGTTCAAAGCCGTCCTGGGCCACATGTGGACTGTGGGCCATGGGTTGAACAAGCTTGGCCTAAAGACAAAAGTAAGCTCTCCTGTAACAAATCCACGGTGCATCATCTATTGTGTGCATTAGAGCCCTCTTTGCTTTAACACAAGCAAGGCTTATGGAGCCTCCAGTAAGCCAGAGATAAACACTTAAGCTAAATGAAAATATTTTTAAAATTCTCTGAGTTCTAATCATTAAAATTTAAAATTACTGGAAAAGTTAAATAGCTGGAAAGCTACATGATTAAACTGTATAATACTATAAAAGAAATAGATTGTACCTTCATTTTTAAAATCAAAAACTGGGATACTGGAGAATCTCTGAAAGCTTCACAGAGGTAGTTTTTAATGTAAATTGAAAAAGGTTTACAAATTAAATCAAGAAAAACTCATGGATCCAATATAACTTTAGATAAGGTATACATCTACAAATAGGTAGTTTCAATATGTTTTAGCATTATTTCCTCAGACTCTGAGAAATTGTTAAATAAAGATACATTTATTTAATGATACATTTCTAACTTTTTTGGAAGAGAATTTCACCCAGCCTAACCCCATAACAATCTCCTTGTGCCACAGTATGAGGTAGACACTACCTAAGATAGACCCTGGCTTTATCAATACAGCTTGCCTTATGTATTTATGTGGTGGTGTCCTGGAAATAAAATATCTCATAAGTCATGGTTCATTTGAACTTTGGATGGACCAAAGGTGAACAATGATGCTCTCTGTTCAGCACTGTGCAGAGGAAAATATCAGTTTCAATTTCTGGAATGCGTGAATCCACAAACACAATATCGCCACACTCATCTTGCCATTCAAAGTAATTTTTCATCTTCTGTAGAGTAATGAAAGCTGACAGGTTAAGGGGATCATAGGCTGTCAATGCACAGCCAGTGCTCATTTCACAGAGGGTCCCTTCCTTTGATTTAATGATGGCCCACAAGGTGTCTGTGGATGCTCTCTAATTTCTGCAGGAGAAATGTTCATTACTCATGTAATACCTTGTGCTTCATAATATCCAATTTAAGTTAGGAACCTAATTCTATTGGTTATAAACGCTATTAAAACAGAGAAATAGAGGTAGGAAAAAATCAGCCATGTACGAAAGAACAAAGCTCAATATTAATAGGCCAACAGAATGCCATTTCCTCCTAGACATCATCTGGAGAGCAATGATGAACAGGGATACAGTAGGCAGAACAACAAAAATAAGGAGTGATAGCGAAATGCACCGTTCAAGAGTAATGTAAAATTGCCAATTTATATAAAATAATAGGAAGCTGGGGTTGACACTACATTTTTTAAAAGTAGAAGAATAACCAAAGAGTGATTTAGGGGTGTAAACAGCAATGTTCATTTTCTTGATTAAAGGAGAAATAGTTTCTGGGCTGAAAAACTACTGTTCTGAAAATTCAGTTCCTTCTGTGCATTTTTGCACACTCATGGCATGATGTGTTAGATATCTTAGGACTGGCTACCTTTATAGCATAGATTTAAGTAGCGACCCCACTGTAACAGGGCCCTAAAGTTACTACCCTATTGTCTTGAATAAATCAGTACTGCCCTCCAAATACCTAATATATATTGATTATACAAGGATATAATCATGGATGAGGCAGATAAGAATGCAACATTTTGGTGTATTACTTTGCACTTTCACATGAAGAAAATATTGAATTGTGAGCTTGGGAGAATTTTAGCTTCCAGATAAGCTAATGAAGTGATCTATATCCTGTTTGTGCTTCCATAGTATTCTGGGTATTTTTTACATTACATTTATCACATTGTTGTTTCATAGCTATTGTTATGGTCCTTTTTAAAGAAAACACATACTTGGCATTTAATACATGATTATTGAATAAGTACAAGAGTATCTTGGATCTAGAATGATTTTCAAACCTGTAGAGACATACACATCATCATGCTTTAGAATTATAAGCAAATGACTAAAGTGGGCTCTATAAAGTTTTAGGTATGATAATAATTTGATTAATTTTGCCTTTTGAAAAGATATTTGAAATATAGATTCATGTATACATTTAAAAACCTTCTAAATTTGAGAATGAAAATCAAGATGAAAAATCGCAGAAGTGAGGAAGATAATTTAGTGGAAATAGAAATAAAAATTGAAACCACCTGAAAACAACTAGGAATTCACTATAGTGTCGCATGATTACGGAGAAGAGAAATGGGTTACTCCGTATATTAATACATTCATTCCTTCATTTATTTATGTATTCACTTATTCAATATGCTTCTTTTCAAGCATTGGTTACATGTGTCATGATGGGAACAATGGGAACAAGCGAGACAGAGCCTGTCTTCAGGCTTGTGGGTTGGATGTGTGCAGTGAAAACCCAGCGAATGTGCATCAAACCTTGAATTTGATGCATGAGAAAGTGTACAAGGCAAAGAGAACAGGAAAAACTGATGCAAATATGGTAACAATCTAGAGGCAAGAGATAGCATGCATTTTCAAAGAATTAAGAGTGCTTCACACTCTTTGCATACAATATAAATACTACCTGGAAAAAAAATATTTTTCAGAATTCATATCAAACTGCATAGTCAATTAATTTCTAATACTTTAGTAAGGTTTTCTCTCCTTCCTTCGTTTCTTCCTTCCTTCCTTTCTTCCTTCTTTCCTTTATCTCTCCCTCCCTCCATCCCTCCCTCCTTCCTTTCTTCCTTCCTTCCTTCCTTTATTCCTACCATCTTTCCTACCTTCCTTCCTCTCTTAACAGTACTTGAGTTTTCTTACATCTCAAGCAATGAATGCTTAGCAGAATCCTACATGGTTTGCATGACCTAGTTTATTGCATACATATTTTTTAGCTTAAATGGAAAGATATACATTTCATCTTGAATCCTGTCATATATTTACCAAATAGTCTAATCTCTCTCTAAAACATGTGGCAAAATGGACATACATTGTGTTTACTGTAGTAAGACAAAAGGCTAGTGTGACAATCTTTGCCTGAGTTGTAGATCCAAGCAGTGATGAACTAAACCAAATTTGTTCAGTGGGGAACAAATCAGATTGTGTTTTCACAGATCTCAGAGGTATTAAAACTATCTAGCGTGCTTCTGGAGGGACCACAGCTTAAAGTCAGCATGAAAAGATCTACATATTTTTCTGATGGTTCATCTTTAAATGTGTGATGGACTATGAATGACTCAGTGCTATTGTATTAATTGAAGCCTTATACATTCAACCAATAAATTTTGTCCTCATGCTTTTCTTTTGAACCTCTGCTTTTATGCTATATAGTAAGCAACTAAGAAAAATAGGAAATCCAGGACAAATATTTGCACTAAAATGATTGTTTACTATATCAACTGAAATTTTTTTTTTACAGATAAGGCAATTTCAGGCTGGTTAAAAAAAGAAAAGTTATTCCACTCAATACTTGCTTTTAAAGGCTTACATAAATAAGACATGCATATTAAGTCACTAAGTGTTATACCTGGTCCTTAGGGTAATTTTCAAAAGCATAGCAAGGTTATCACAGAGAAATTTAACTTTGAAAGGAGCCCAGATTCCTCAACATGGTTTCCAGTGGAAGTAGTTATGTGCTATGTCAAATTCCTCAAAATGATACTTCTTCTTATGATCATATTTTGTTCCACAGTGTATCTTCTAATAATATAGAAACATCACCTAAAAGAAGGGGTATAAAACAGGCAGCCCATTTAGACCCTGAAATGTTATGCAAGCTTTTATATGACTGTGACATGCACCATTTTTGGTGAAGAGTGTTCAGTTTTCATCAGATTCCTCCAAGGGTCCATAATGCCCCCAATTGCTAATATTATTTTTAGGAGTTAAATTATTTCAAAATTACATTGAACTTTAAGTTGTTTATTTTAGGACACCAATGTCATTCACTGAAGACAGTCAGCAGGTGTGACTTTAGCAGGCCAATGCCTACTTTGGCCAACAGTCCTATTTGGAGAAAATAGTCTTCTACCTGTTATCATCGTTATCTTCTATTATGTGGAGTAAGGTATTAAAATAAATTGCCACAGCTTGCATGCTTTCCTTTCAGGCATAAGATTTTATCTGAAAGCCTTAGACTGGAACCAATGACAACATGATTTCCTCAGTAATACATCCCAAGAATAGGCTATTTTCTGATTTGTTGTGCAAGCTTATGCTAGTTTTTAAATGCTACCTCTGTGGTGTGTATTATTAAATTTGTTCCTACAAACTCTGAGCATCTAATAAGACAAGTATATGAAAATGTTCCTTTGTAATTAAAGGATTTTCTGGTGGTCTAAAATAGTTAATAAAGAACTGCTCAAATGCCTAGTTTACTACTGAGGGAACAAAGTCTTAAAGAAAAGGAAGACAAAGGCTAGTGTGACAATTATTGCCTGAGTTGTAGATCCAAGCACTGATCAACCAAATCAGATTGTGTTTTCACAGATCTCAAAGGCATTAAAACTATCCAGCCTGCTTCTAGAGGGACAACAGCTCATGCTGACAACAAAGTCAGCATGAAGTGACCTACACATTTTTTTGATGGTTCATCTCTAAGTACATGATGGACTATGAGTGACTCATTGCTTTTGTATTCATTGGAGCCTTTTACGTTTAACCAATAACCTTGGTCTTCTTGCTTTTCTGTTGAACCACTGCTTTTATTTTATTTTCTCTAAGAGATAGAATTGCTGTACAGTTCCATCTGTTAGAAATAGAAAGAAGGGCTCCTAGGAGCTTGTCTCATAATTCTGGCATAGTAACAACAACAAAAAAACCTAAAAATATCAAGAGATTAATGAATATATATGTTCTTCATCTTCTTTTAGGTCACATTTTGCCTTACTAGGGACAAATAAAATAACATGCATAAATTCTTAATTTATAAAACTTTTTTCCGACATAAATTAGTTTCTTATCCTTGAAGGAAGTGGTTTGATAGATGACTTTTGTTAAGGGTTAAATTGTGTTCCTGGAAAAGATATACGGAAGTCTTAACTTTCATAAGATATGTACAGGGGCATTTAATGTACACCTCAAAATGTAATTTTATTATTTGGAGGCAAGGTGGTTGCAGATGTAATTACTTATGATGGGGTCATACTAGAGGAGAGTGGACCCTTAATCTGATATGACTGGTGTCCTTGTAAGTAGAGGAAAAAAGACACAGAGAGATGTACACATGAATGGCAGGTGAGGATGGGACAGAGATTAAAGTGTAGTAGCTGCAATCCAAGAACCTCAGGAATTGCAGTGAACCACCTGAAGCTAGGAAAAGGCATGAAAGAATTTTCCCTAAAAGAATTCAGAAGGCACATTACCTGCAGACACCTCAATTTTGGACTTCTAGCCTCCACAACTGTGAGACAATACACTTCTGCTCTTTTTAAGCTACCTGATTTGCAGTACTTTGTTATAGCAGCCCTGGGAAACAAATACGACTCCTAAGATTTTCAGCTCAAATATTCTATGATTCCTTAAAAGGATCTGTTTATAGACTGGGCGCAGTGGCTCACGCCTGTAATCCCAGCACTTCGGGAAGCTAAGGTGGGCAGATCATGAGGTCAGGAGATTGAGACCATCCTGGCTAACACGGTGAAACTTGTCTATATTAAAAATACAAAAAATTAGCCGGGCATGGTGGCACACGCCTATAGGCCCAGCTACTCGTGAGGCTGAGGCAGGAGAATCGCTGGAACCCGGGAGGCGGAGGTTGCAGTGGGCCGAGATTATGCCACTGCATTCCAGTCTAGGTGACAGAACGAGACTCTGTCTCAAAAAACAAACAAACAAACAAACAAAAAATAATTTGTTTATTACTGATTAATTATTGCTCAGGAATGTATTTCGGAGCTAAACAAGCGCAACATAGGTCCACTCCATTTTCTTCATCAAGTTACAACTGTTATTATTTACATTACAACAGCACTAACATATATGGCAAGAACAGTGTTGGAACTCATTGCTCTGTGCTGAGAAAAGTATGCATATAGATAGTTGCATGATACTCAAAAAGAAGAGGTGAACAAAAATTCAAGCACCAGATATCAATGTTGATTTGGACATGGAAATGTGAATAAGAAATCAATTGTATTCTTTATCATACTAATTCTGACTTTTAAATGGTATTTAGCTTCTAATTGCAAATATTTGCAGGAAATTTAAAACACAGAATGAAAAGATTGAGGTCATAAAACCTGCGATGTAAAAGGTGAACCATAAATATTGCAAAAAGTGTTAAAAAACTTTAATGGTCCAAGCGACACTTAATATAACACTATTATCTCTTTAAAGGGCTTGAATAATGCTCAAATCTTTTATTATGTGAAAATCTTAAAACAAAATTTTCAGAGTACAAAACACAATGCACTTCTGTTAAGCAACTTCCAAAAAGGAGGCTCAAAGAACACCACAAACTGAGTAGCTTTAGAATAAGGGCTCTTTATTGTGACTGGCTTTAGAGGAGAAACAATAAATTGGGTCATAACAAATCATCCAACCAGGTTGGACTCAGAGTTGAATGGGTCATGGATCTTATAAACTTTCTTTTCTTTCTCTTTTCTCCTCTATGCAGTTAAAGATCAAGGTGATTATCACTAGTAAAACCCTCTCTCCTACTACGAATATATTATTGATTCATAGTTTCCCACCAAGTTTTAAGGAGAAGGAATCATTGAGGCTAAGGTGCCTTTGCTGGTTCGAGTGCCTACCCTGTGTTCATTATATGTGTGAAAGGGTATTGACAGAGAGCTCAGGGGCCTCTGATGAAATACAGCAGTCAGGGTGAAAAAACCATTTTTCATTTAATAAACACTCTGAAAGACTTGTCGCTGCACACCGTATTTATAGCCACGTCTCAGTTCCATTTTCTTCTAGTTCTGCTTCTATAAAACTTCCTTAACCAGCTGGAATTGGGTATGTGACTCTGATGTCATAAATCTTATAAAAGGATCAGTTAAATGAGCCTCATTTCAGGGGCATCTGCAGTACATTTTATAGATATTTTAATGAGAGACAACAGAGGGCTTTATACACTTTCCACACTGAGGGCACAAAAACATTCATTAGCTGAGCAAACTGGGACTCAGTGGTGAGATTTGGTAAAGATTCTAAAGTGTTAAAAATGTTTAAGTTTTCCCAATGGCTTCACTTGACATTAGATGATGAATATTATTTTAAATCACTTGCTTTCTTGGCTATGTATTCACCTGGTTTCTTATTTGTTACATCCGTGTGGGCTCGCAGGACGCATACTTTCACAGTCCTCTTGGTAAATACTGCTGGAAAAGAGACTGAAAATCAGGGAAGAATGATCTTCCTACTTTATTCACACTTCTTAAGTCTGATTTCTCGTTTTTGTTTCAGTAGAGTAGTGGTACTACTATAAAGGCAGTAGAATGTGCGAGTGTGTGTGTGTGTACGTGCATGTGTTTCTTTTACAAGAAGCAAATGGTTTTGTAAAATCTTGCCCCATGACTCAGACTTTTTACTTTATATAATATCGAACTATTTCAGCATATATAGACTATTTTAAGAGTGAAATGACTCCACAGAAAGTTTTTCCTGACCCAATTATCTGAGGGCTGCTCATTTTAGGTTGGGTCAGTGAACATGGCTGCATGAGGACTACAGGGTCAGAGAGAGAATAGCTTTAAGAGAAGAAGGAATGGGAGCACATCATTTAGCCCCTTTGATCCTCTTTATTCCACTATACAAAATGAAGATGATGCCTTTCTCATCAGGGTAGTGGTAGAAAATATTTGATGTAGTAGAAAGAATATTTTATACATATATATATTCATAGTATGGAATTAAACATGTAGTGCAGTTAAAAGCTTTATATAAAATACTGTTTATATAAAATATGGCTGCTGCCATTATTATTAATTCAAGGTAACAGCATGTTTATTAAATTGGCAAGTGATTTTTTTTTTATTATACTTTAAGTTTTAGGGTACATGTGCACAATGTGCAGGTTACATATGTATACATGTGCCATGCTGGTGCACTGCACGCACTAACTCATCATCTAGCATTAGGTATATCTCCCAATGCTATCCCTCCCCCCTCCCCCCTCCCCACAACAGACTCCAGAGTGTGATGTTCCCCTTCCTGTGTCCATGTGTTCTCATTGTTCAGTTCCCACCTATGAGTGAGAATATGCGGTGTTTGGTTTTTTGTTCTTGCGATAGTTTACTGAGAATGATGATTTCCAATTTCATCCATGTCTCTACAAAGGACATGAACTCATCATTTTTTATGGCTGCATAGTATTCCATGGTGTATATGTGCCACATTTTCTTAATCCAGTCTATCATTGCTGGACATTTGGGTTGGTTCCAAGTCTTTGCTATTGTGAATAATGCTGCAATAAACATACGTGTGCATGTGTCTTTATAGCAGCACGATTTATAGTCCTTTGGGTATATACCCAGTAATGGGATGGCTGGGTCAAATGGTATTTCTAGTTCTAGATCCCTGAGGAATCGCCACACTGACTTCCACAATGGTTGAACTAGTTTACAGTCCCACCAACACTGTAAAAGTGTTCCTATTTCTCCACGTCCTCTCCAGCACCTGTTGTTTCCTGACTTTTTAATGATTGCCATTCTAACTGGTGTGAGATGGTATCTCATTGTGGTTTTGATTTGCATTTCTCTGACGGCCAGTGATGGTGAGCATTTTTTCATGTGTTTTTTGGCTGCATAAATGTCTTCCTTTGAGAGGTGTCTGTTCATGTCCTTTGCCCACTTTTTGATGGGGTTGTTTGTTTTTTTCTTGTAAATTTGTTTGAGTTCATTGTAGATTCTGGATATTAGCCCTTTGTCAGATGAGTAGGTTGCGAAAATTTTCTCGTATTTTGTAGGTTGCCTGTTCACTCTGATGGTAGTTTCTTTTGCTGTGCAGAAGCTCTTTAGTTTAATTAGATCCCATTTGTCAATTTTGGCTTTTGTTGCCATTGCTTTTGGTGTTTTAGACATGAAGTCCTTGCCCATGCCTATGTCCTGAATGGTAATGCCTAGGTTTTCTTCTAGGGTTTTTATGGTTTTAGATCTAATGTTTAAGTCTTTAATGCATCTTGAATTGATTTTTGTATAAGGTGTAAGGAAGGGATCCAGTTTCAGCTTTCTACATATGACTAGCCAGTTTTCCCAGCACCATTTATTAAATAGGGAATCCTTTCCCCATTGCTTGTTTTTCTCAGGTTTGTCAAAGATCAGATAGTTGTAGATATGCGGCGTTATTTCTGAGGGCTCTGTTCTGTTCCATTGATCTATATCTCTGTTATGGTACCAGTACCATGCTGTTTTGGTTACTGTAGCCTTGTATAGTTTGAAGTCAGGTAGCGTGATGCCTCCAGCTTTGTTCTTTTGGCTTAGGATTGACTTGGCGATGCCGGCTCTTTTTTGGTTCCATATGAACTTTAAAGTAGTTTTTTCCAATTCTGTGAAGAAAGTCATTGGTAGCTTGATGGGGATGGCATTGAATCTACAAATTACCTTGGGCAGTATGGCCATTTTCACGATATTGATTCTTCCTACCCATGAGCATGGAATGTTCTTCCATTCGTTTTTATCCTCTTTAATTTCATTGAGCAGTGGTTTGTTGTTCTCCTTGAAGAGGTCCTTCACGTCCCTTGTAAGTTGGATTCCTAGGTATTTTATTCTCTTTGAAGCAATTGTGAATGGGAGTTCACTCATGATTTGGCTCTCTGTTTGTCTGCAATAATCAGTAGCTTACCAACCAAAAAGAGTCCAGGACCAGATGGATTCACAGCCAAATTCTATAAGAGGTACAAGGAGGAACTGGTACCATTCCTTCTGAAACTATTCCAATCAATAGAAAAAGAGGGAATCCTCCCTAACTCATTTTATGAGGCCAGCATCATCCTGATACCAAAGCTTGGCAGAGACACAACCAAAAAAGAGAATTTTAGACCAATATCCTTAATGAACATTGATGCAAAAATCCTCAATAAAATACTGGCAAACTGAATCCAGCAGCACATCAAAAAGCTTATCCACCATGATCAAGTAGGCTTCATCCCTGGGATGCAAGGCTGGTTCAATATACGCAAATCAATAAATGTAGTCCAGCATATAAACAGAGCCAAAGACAAAAACCACATGATTATCTCAATAGATGCAGAAAAGGCCTTTGACAAAATTCAACAACACTTCATGCTAAAAACCCTCAATAAATTAGGTAGTGATGGGACATATCTCAAAATAACAAGAGCTATGTATGACAAACCCACAGCCAATATCATACTGAATGGGCAAAAACTGGAAGCATTCCCTTTGAAAACTGGCACAAGACAGGGATGCCCTCTCTCACCACTCCTATTCAACATAGTGTTGGAAGTTCTGGTCAGGGCAATTAGGCAGGAGAAGGAAATAAAGGGTATTCGATTAGGAAAAGAGGAAGTCAAATTGTCCCTGTTTGCAGACGACATGATTGTATATCTAGAAATCCCCATTGTCTCAGCCCAAAATCTCCTTAAGCTGATAAGCAACTTCAGCAAAGTCTCAGGATACAAAATCAATGTACAAAAATCACAAGCATTCTTATACACCAAAAGTTTTTAAAAACCTATCTTTATAAAGACTGTATCATGTCTGTATTTCTTTCATTTTATGTTGATTTTTTTTCTTATCATTGAGAAAAGATTGCATAAATCCCACAAATGATTTTTTTTTCTCTTTACTTATCTTAGGATGATCTTTTCTAAATGGTTATGTTTCATTGCCCTTTCCTTTCTCTCTTCATCTTTCTCCGTCTAACTCTATAAGCATTGTAAAAATTCTTACCCCATAGAATTTAAACTGGGCTTGAACAGGTGAGTACATGGTAGTGAAGATTCATTCTTTTGTCTTCCTGACAAAGCTTAGGGTAGAATTGGGGGCAAGGGAAAGGTGGTGTGGAAAGTAATCTGAAAATTATCCATCCTGGTAAGGATATTTTGTCTCATAATATTTTGTACCGATATTTATTAAAAACTGAGTCACATTCTCTGCTAAAGTTAGAAGACAGAAGTTCTTTAGTTTTCAGTTCCAGTTCAACTTTGAGATGTTTTACCCACTTTCATTAGAAGTGGAATTATCCCCTGTGTTTTGTGAAATGGGGACAAATATATCTTTCCCTCCTTGGTCACATTTTCTGCCATTTGTCCAAATGTATAAAAATGACTTTTAGAGATTATTCTCCATCACTTTGACATCTACCATAGCCTCTAGATCTTGGATGATTTTCTTCTATTTCATATCAGAACAAAATCATGCCAGTATTAATGACCTGTGTCTAAGAAAAAAAGTGGCAAGGCGTGATGTCAGTGTTTATAAATCCTGCTACTACTCTTGTTGCTTGGCAGGTAAATAGGTATCCACATTAGAGCCATCTAAATCAATGCATTGTTTAATCATCCTTGTAGTTCCTGTCCCCACAAACCTAGGGATGTTGATAAGTGAGTTTTCTATCATGCCCTTTACAAATGTCTTAAATACCTTTCCCCTATCATCGGAAAGGAAATTTCATGTCAACTTTCAATGTTATTTTTACTTTAATCCTAATCGTATTGCTTTCAAGAAATAATTTTTAAAGTTTGTGATATGAGTTTGAAATAATCCTCTTATCTATATGCTTTTGAACATTTGTCTCTTAGTCACCATTAAAAAATATTTCAATGGATAAATTCATTTTTATGCTACTGGTTTTAACTTAGGCAAAGATAAGAATGGTAAAAGACAAAGATAATTGTCAAACCCTATCTCATAGCCCATCATTCTGTGTTCTTCAAAAGCCCTTCTTTCCCCTTCAGATCCAGACCAAGTTCATAACATGGCAAAAGAGTGCCTGTTTATGTCTCTAGTCTCATCTCTTACTCTTAATACCTAAGACTTAGTGTTGCAACTCCTAGTGACATTGTTGCAGTTCCTTTATATAACATTATTTCCTCTCAACTTCCTGCCTTAGAAACTCTACTCTCTTCTTCCTTCTTGCTCCTTTGCCTCCTAAATATTTGTTGAGATTCAATTTGGTTGCTATATCCTTGTGGTAGCTTCAGTATTCTCCTCCTCATACACACACACACACACACACACACACACACACACACACACACACACACACAGACATGCAAGACACCACACCACCAGTCTCTACATGTAGCATTACATCTATAAGCCTGGATTGGTATTATTTGAATTATTTGATTATTTTATTGTTTCTACTAATAAACTGTATGCAACTTGGCCTATTGTCTAACCCATGATTCAATCATGTCATTTTTTCCCCTAAAGAGGTGAATTGTCATTATATATACGTTCATCAAAATTTTCCCATGCCTTTGTATATTTTTAGTCTTTATCAGCATTTAAAAAATCTTGTTACTACCTGTGATGTATTTTATATAGTTTTTAGTTGATCTTAAACAACTCTCAACACATTGTAGTATTTTTTATTTCTCGTTCCCCAGAATCCAGAGGATAATACCATATTCACTTTATTCATATCCTTTGGAATTTTATAATCCTTAATTATTTCATCTTTTTAAAAAGAAATATGCTAATCAATTTACTGTTCAAGATTTGCTTAAAATAGTATTTCCCAGATGCTTCAGAATTATTCTTCTTTCTCTAGGTCTTCAACAGCTTTCTTTCAAGTTTGAGGACTGGCTACAATTCATCATAGTTTATGTATAAAAACATCCTAGATTCCTGCATGTATAGGGAAAATAAAATAATTACATCTTACTTCAATAAATTTCACTTACCTGTGGTATCATCTTGATCTCTCTACAACAAAAAATTGGATTAATATTTTCCAACGATAATTTGCAGTGATTTTTAAATCTCTGTGTGTATGTGTGTGTGTGTGTGTGTGTGTGTGTGTGTGTGTGTTTATAGTTGTAACTAAGAGTTCAGGGTCTGTGTCCTTGTACATTTAGTTTAGGTTATTTTTCAAACTTTCTTATCTACACTGAAGTTCATCTGCCATTTTCCAGACCACAGTGAATATTAAAATATTGCCCTATAGTTCATCATTATCATCTTGGCATTTCACTACCTGGAAAAACACATCATCAGTTTAAACTTTGCTATTTCACTGTCTGCTTTTATATACTCAGATTAAAATGTTTAACAAAGAATAGATTGATTCAGCTATCAATTTATTTAGACTAAAATAATTCATGGAATAAATTGCTACAAATGTGAGCGTGAGGGACATAAGATACTTTTCATAGGTGACTGTGGCTAACTTGTTAGCAATCAGTAAATAAATCCAGCTAAAATAATTTTAATTTAGTATTTTAATAAAGTTGTATTTTACCTTTTATTCTTCTTTATATGTACAGTTATGGATACAGTAACATCACTTCTAGATTTTTGTCAACTAAATGAGAATACTGTTCTTGGACCAATGAGACTTTCTTTTAGAGTCATGAAGAAGATTCAGTGAGAAGCATATTTAATTCTGAATCTGAATTACATCTCTAATTACAGAATTTACTTAAAAAAATAACACATTCTTACATAGTTAAATCCAAACTTCTTCAGTGTTTAGCCACAAAGTACAGAAGAGCATAGCATTGAAAGTCATATGTTTACTTCCATAATTCTAGAAATACTGTCTTTTATTAGGTCACAGTTCATTTTCAGCTCAAAATTTTCCTTTTGAAAGATCACTGTCATGACCGGGAAAGTTATTTATGATTCGGACAGTAAATTAGATTAGCTACCAAAAATCAGACTTAACAACATAAATAATGGCTCATACGGTTCACAGTCTACGTAATTTCTCTGAAAGCATACTCATATGTTCACCAATAATCTGTTTTTATTTTCAACTCTAATTCTGTTGAACTCCAGGCATTTCTGAAATGCGTTTAGGAATTAGGATGACATTCAGGTCCTCTAGACTCAATCCACATGCACAGCTTGAGTTTAATATCTGTACTTTAAAAAATCTCCAATACTCTTGCTATCTATAGTCTCATGTTCAGAATGTTCAAATAATAAAAGGATAAAATTGTACGAGTCACTAAGGATCTGTGAAATTGAATTTTTCAGAACTCTTTCATTCAAAGATGTGAATTGAGGAATCAGTTCTGCAAATCTCTGTAAAATATTTTTTCTATGCTCTCTCCTTCTAAGTACCTTGGAAAAAAAGCCAAGTCTTGGTACCCTATGTATTAGACACCCTTTGTCCTGCTTTTCATCCTCTTGCCTACCAGTGCTCCAGACATTGCTGCAGTAGACAGTTCATGCAGGTAACCTGACCTCACTTCACCTCAATAACAAATTTTTGTCTGTTTTGTTCACTACTATATCTCCCATCCCTGCATCTGACTCTAGAAAAGTGTCTGGTACATAGAAGATGTCCATAAGTATTTGTCAAATTTAGTAATAAAAATATAAATGATTTTCATAAGATTTTAACTTTTCTCCATTTTTATTGTCATACCCTACTTGTGGCAAGTGAATTGTTTTTGTTTTAAAATCTATTTCATATTTATTTTATCCCATTGATTTTACCCTTTTTTAATCATACATATAAATGTATAGATAAATCAATAAATAAGAATGATATTAGTTGAGCTTCATGCCATATATATGTGTATATATGCAATTCATACACACATACACACAAAGAGAGAGATAATTTGTATTATCAGGTAGTACAACTTATTCTCCCATTTACATTGCAATATTTTCTTCTGCTTGTTCTGTATTTATTAAGTAAAAGCATATTATTGAATCTTCAAATACTTGGGGATTTTTCAGTTATCATTTAGTTGCTATTTTCTAGCTCAGTTCAATGGTAGTCAGTGAATGTTCTCTGTATAGCTTAAAATATTTTGAGATTTGTTAAAATCTGTTTTATGAACAAGCATATGATCATTCTGGAAAAATAGTCAATGAAAACTTTTTAAAAATGGGTTCTGTAGCTTTTGGGTACCGTGTGCTTTGTATGTTAATAAGATCAAGTTTGATAATTCTGATGTTCAAATCTTTTATATAGTTATTGGATTTCTGTTTATGTTAAAATGTTCCTATCAAGTTCATGAATATATTCATATTTCTCTATTTACCTCTGCTGATTTTGGTTAAAATAGATTGTGAGACTATGTTATCAGAGACATTCACATTTAGAATTATATCATTTTTATGAATTTCACATTTTATGGTATTGAATATCTCCCACTCTAGTAATTGTTCTACTTTTGAAACTTTCGTCTGTCACCAGGACAGCTACACTAGCTTTATTTTGGTTTCTGTTCGTAAATTGTGTTTATTTTATTAACTCTTCATATAATAATACTGTTTTATTCTTCCTTTCTTCTGAGAATTCGAGATTATATATATATATATATATAAAACCTTTTCTTAGTATCTAATGTGCTTTTTTTCCCTGTACTTTTAATATTTTGCTTCTCCATGCTTCATTCTGGGTATTTTCTTCTAGTTTGACTTTATAAATTCTCTCTTCATTTTTGCTTAGTATCTGCTGAAGATATTCATTAGGTTCTTTCTTTCACATCTTTAATATTAAATATGCTAATATTAAATATACTAAAGCCCATGAGTAATAACTCCATTATTCACATCTCATATCTTTTTCTCTAATCTTTTTCTTTCTTTCTTTTGGTTTTCTATAAAAATTTGACTTTCTGTATGTCCAGTTACTTTTGATTCAATGTCATGCATTTTATATTTAAAATCAATTATAATATTATATTTCCCTAGAGAGAGTGTACATTTTTTTTTTCTTTCAGGCAGCTAGGCTTGTAGCTCTTACCAGCTAAGATAAACTTATTCTAATCAGGGTCTGAAATGCTATAAACCTGGGATTTGTCATGGTTGGTAAATGGTTTATTTTAAGGTATAGACATTTGGGATCTCAGATAAGTGCCTGGGATATAAACAAGACTCATGATCTTTGAACACCCCTGAAATCCATGGCACAGTGCTATGGATTTCAAGGGTGTTCTGCTCATCTTCTTACACACAGCTTTCAAAGTTAGCTTCCAGAAAAAGAAAAAAAAAAGTACTACATTCTGGGCTGACATTTCTAGGCTTCTCTTTTCTCTACCACCCTTGTGCTACCAACCCTCTCTCTTTGTTGATAATAATCCAATGTCTTCACAGATACTTTTTCCAGATGTTTTCAGATAAAAGTTTGAGCTGAAGAATGTAAATTCATTAATACTGGAAGTGGAACTAGCACATTTTATTTTTAAGTGCCAAAATTTTGTGTGTCATAATCAATCTTTTATTGTTGCTGTTTATTATAAACTTTATTTTTGTAACCACTTTTATTGTTATTTTTTCATTGAATAACTTAAGGTAACTAAACTAATATCAAATTAGGCAAGTTACCCATGTTACAAAGACATGACTTAAGCGCCTCTAATTATTATTATTTTTCATCTAAAATCATATATATATCCTTTTTTCTTCTCCTACTCTGAATGCTGGCCAGTTACAGGTTTCTAATAAAGCATTTCCTTGCCTTCATCAAGGCAATAAATAATTACATCTGACAAGGTAGAAGGACTTGATTATTCTTTTCTCAAATTCAATAAGATATGCTTTAAATGTTTACCTTTCTATCCATGTTAACTTTCCCATATCTTCCAAATTAGAAGAGATATCTGTCACCTACAACTGCTAAAACTTCATAACTTTTATTTTATGAAATTCTGCATTATAGTATTTAACTCTCATACTAATTCCACAAAGTAAGGGGCACACTGATTTCTATACAATAGACAGTCAAGGAAACGATTTTGAGTGAGTTGATGAATTTACCCTTCAGGTAAAATCTAGTGAATCTATTCAGGAATAATTAAACTTTGGAGGACACATAGCAGTTACTACTTCCTTAAGTATTTCTACACTGTCTCCCCTATACTGTGGGGTATTATAACTTGGAACTGAGGTCTTTTCCATTGTTAGAGGACTTTGTTCCTGGATAGTTTTCCTCGTAATTTCTTCTTGTGATTTTTCTTAGCATTTTGTAACAGTCAACCAAATATCATAGCTGTGGGAAAGCCAAGGGGATAAATGACTGAGGTTGGGACAAAACAGTTATGGATAAGACAATAATTGAAATAAAATAATCTGCAGTGCTATCCATTGTATAGCCATTTATTCAGACACTCATCATCTGTTATTTCCACTTAAAATCCAAAAACGTTTGAGAACAAACCTGATCTGAACTAAGTTGTCAGTTGTCAGCAAAACTTGACCTGAATTGACTTGGGGCTACTTACCATTCTTTATTCATTCTACTCATATAATCCTACTTTTCTATATATAATTTGTTTGATTTCAATACTAATAGCCTATATATCCTATAGCCTTTCTAAAATCTGAAAACATGGAATCCCAAAAAATGGTTGGATCACATGATTTTGAAGAAAATGTTGTAAATCCTTAGAAATTAGAAATTACAATTTCTGATTTCAGAATATAAATGCAAGGAATACATATACAGGAAATCAGAAAAGAAAGGGTTAGGAAGTAAAACATAGAACACGGGCAATGTCAAGTTCTAGAGATCCAGAGGGGCAGATGTTAGAAAGGAAATATCTTTGCAGCTGACAAGGTAGAAGGACTAGATCAGAGGCTGATAATCTGATGGTAGTTTGTTCAGGAAAATATGAAACCAATGAAGGAAGGGCTGTATCCCTCCAAGGGTAGAAGCTGAAATATTTGTCTTAGAGTATGAAGCAGTGATATCCTCAGTGTGTCATCTGCTTCATGCCAAGGCTACAATTTCTTTAGTAATTCCCTCAATTTGAGTCAGTTATTATTGTAATGTCTTATCTGTTCTCAGATGTATTCCTTACAAAATGCATTAATGATCCCTCGGTTCATTTGTCAATGTAAATATTAGCTTTATCAAATTATATTCTAAGAATCCTACATTCAAAAAGCTAAATAAAAATTAACATTCTATTTCACAACTTCACTTCCAACAACCTTTGACATTACATCCATTGGTTATCTCAAGTAATTTTGAGTGATTATTTTAGATATTCTTTGTTTATATTTTCTGTTCACCTAGAATCACATTAAAAAAAAAAACAAAGTCAAAACTGGGATCTTTTCAGCAACTCTGTTTTTCTTTATTGCCACTGTTTAGCCATACATAAAAGCATCTTTCGTTGTATTTCAGAAAGGTGCTAGTATAAGCTAGGTGACTTTTCCTTTGATTCAGACAACTTACAGCTTTCAAATTTGCAGTAACTGCAATGTTTGAGGGGCTATCTAATTACTCTTCTTACGGAATGAATCCTACATATTGATTGACCTTGGATCTTTTGAAGTACAGGGCGCTACATAAAATAAATATTGATTTTATATGAACCTAGTAAATAGAAAATCAGGCTATAGATTCACAGTACATAAAACAGCACTGAAAGTGGCATAGAAGAGACCCAGCTTAGACAACAACAGTGAAAGTCCCAGGCTCAGCAGCTTATCTTGGAGAGGCAATTAGATTGCCCTTGAGAAAGATGCTTCAGCTTAGCCATCTGAAAGATGAGGATGTTAATGTGTATTGCCTCTTCCCTTAAGATTTATAATACAATATTTGAAAGATATCACTGTGATTTCCTTCACAAAAGGTAATAGCTACATGTTAACATTTTTTAGCAAAATTATTTAGGGATAGCTACATGTAAACATTATTTCACAAGTAGATGAAACCACTTTTATGTCTCCTCTATCTTCATGTAAACTAACAGATGTTTATCAAGTTTCTACCATGTGATCAGTGGGGAGCAGGGATCCTCTGTGGTGACATAAAAGGACTGGAGGAAATTCTGGCTTTGCCATTTACAAGTTGTATAACTTTGGGTAAATATTTTTACCTCTCTGACACTCAGTTTCGTCAAGAGTATAAATAGGTGAGAGTAAAATGTCAAAAAGATAAGCAGGGTTTCCCTATCACCCTTCACATATTTTTTTAACACTACACAGATCATGAAACCACACATTTGGTTGACCATTTTTGTATACAATAAAAAAAATGGAAGAAGTGAAAATAATTAGTATTTGAGGTGGGGGTGGGGGTGGGACTAGCACAAACTGTGCAAATGTATATAGGAGCGTAGTCTGCTGAATTATCTTTAGGTAACATAGTTTATATTTGCTCATCTGAAGTCTTTGTATTCTTTTGTTCTTATCGCACACTTATGTATCTGACTCTCACTCACAGAGACTTTGTATTTCTGTTTTCTATATCTGTATCTATTTGACTAACATTGTTTATCCTCGTATTAAAACTAAAAAGTGTAAAGCATCTGAATCAGACACTAAAAAGTGGTGAGTCTGACAAGGGGTATACAGGTTGCAATGAATAAGAGTAGATTAAATCAAAATTTGCCATGGTATGTATATCTTAAACATTCATATTTACACACACACATACATACATACACACATATTCATTTACTTCACAATTCCAGGTGGATAATTATATTTCTAAGAGAGAGCTAACTTAGAGGGTTAAGGCTCAATGAAAGAATTCTTACAGAAATAGACCGGGTGCAGTGGCTCACACCTGTAATCCCAGTACTTTGGTAGACCGAGGCAGGCAGATCATCTGAGGTCAGAAGTTTGAGATCAGCCTGGCCAACATGCTGAGTCCCCTTCTCTACTAATAATACAAAAATTAGCCAGGGGTGGTGGCACGTGTCGGTAATCGCAGCTACTCGGGAGGCTGAGGCAGGAGAATCGCTTGAACCCGGGAGGCGGAGGTTGCAATGTGCTGAGATTATGCCACTGCACTCCAGCCTGGGCACTAAGATATTCTACACACGTGGGGATGGCCGCGTTGCCAGGAACATGTGGGGCAAGGGCTAGAAGCCCGTGGAAATCGCCATGATGGGTGGACCCAATTTCTAATGGCTGGTATTTGCATATTCAAGGTTGCTGGCCTGGCTCTAAGAGCCAGGGCTTTACAAGAAAATTTTCCTGAGATGCTTTAAAAAATGAAAACTTCCCAAGGACCCCTTTTCCTCTCTATCTGCCTAAAACAATTTCTTAATAACTCCTACCACACTATTGTGGTCCCTTCTGTATTTGAAATCTCAATCTTCAAATGTGAATAGTAGTGATCTACGTTTCCTATTTGCATCTATAGTTTGGGCAAATTATAATTATTTCAGGAAATTGCTATTCGATATCCTGTCTCCCAATGGTAATATTCTACCACAGACATGGGTGTGTAAGGGAGTTTGTGTATATGTATATGTGTAGGTAGAGGATGCTCATGGGTAAGGTTGCAAATTGACTTTTAGATAAATCATACAGCTTGTCTCCATCCCCGAATGGAGCTGCGAAAAACTGAACAAACAGGAAGCCCGAGAGTAAAATCACGACTAATAGAAAGCATCTACCAAAAGCTCGTGTCACAAGGAAGAAAAAAACATTTATAAGTGTTCTGAATTGTTGAATTTCACAGATGGTTTATCATTTTGAATCATAAAGCATTCATAAATACCAATTAGTGGGCTGAATCCTTCTGTAATCATACACTTCTCTTGCTCTCACAACAGTGGGATGATCCCAAAATTCATGTGAATTAAATGCTAGAAATATTTTTGGCTACAACCACTCAATTGTGCTTTGAACTCCACAAAGTATAATTTAATTACTTAAAATAATAAAATTAAAATATCACCAATCTTTACCAGTATTAGCTACTTGCCTACATATTGTCCAAATGTTTTCACTAATAAAATATTATGGTTTCTTTAAATTGTTGCTTGTTCTGAAAAGACGTCCTTCTAAATTAGAAATAGCTGTCAAGGGCATGTTTCCTTTTATACCTTGAACTACACTTCTGACCTATAATTTGGAGAGATTTTTTTTCATTATCTACACACTGTACATCAACTCTAGGATTTCCTTATAGAAGAGGGGCATTTTCAAAATGGAGCACTTCCTTGGACAATGTCCTGTTTCTGAACCCTGCTAACAACACTGTCAACACATCTACTCTCTGATGGAATCATAATTCTACTTGTCAGTGACTGGAACTTGCTCATGTCATCGAAAAAATGCTAATGGACTCAGGGCTACTAGTGAGTATTTTGAGAATTCTGTTGCTTGAGCAGATGCCTTGATAATCTAAATATTATTAATAAGTAGAAGAACAGCACTGTGACTTTTCAAATCAAGCGAAACCTACCTTAATACTATAACAGATGAAAAAAAATGATGCTTTGAAAGTTCTTTTATGTCTGAAAATACAAACTTTTTTTCCCAAGGGACAACGATAAAGAATCTTTAAGATTAAAAGCAATGGGGGAACAGCAGTTGTTTCTAATTATTTTTTTAAAATTCTGTACTTTTCAATAATGTTTCCTTAAGAGCTGAAGATTCTTAAGTAACACATTTATACAAATCCAAGATGTAATCTGCCTTTTAAAACGCATGGTAATAGCAAAGTCTTTATTATGCTTTATGTTGTTTAAATCTGAGATATTTTAAACTATTCCCATGGAAGCATGTTCATATTTCAACTCTCATATTTTATTAGACTTTAATTACATAAAATATACTGGAAAATATCCATATTTATGCACAAAAAGGAAGCAGTTTTAAACTGTATTTACTTTACTCTCAGTATTTGTACTGACTTTCTTCCCTAATTTACACATGGTTTTAGACACTGACAGCACAATAATGAGGAAGACAGGCTAGTTCCCTTCCTTCATGGAGCGTAGCATATTCTGGTTGGTGAATAGAAACAAAAAAAAAAACCTATTAAACAAGTAATAAGAAAATTATCATGTGATAATAAGTAATACACAGGACAACAAAATTAGGTGATATATTAGAGAGTGACTACTTTGGTGGCTACTTTGGATTCAGAGGTCAAGAAATAAATCTTGTTTTAGGAGGTAGCATTTGATATCTGAATGGTAAGACAGATGATGTATGTCAAGAAAAGAAAAAAACATTACAGGAAGAGGAAATACCAGGAGGAAAGGCTTTAAGGCAGAAACAAACAAGGTGAATTCACAGAATAGCAAGAAAAACGAAGTGACTGGCATGTAATAGGTAAGCCCAAGAGAAGTACAAGAAAAGATTGCCCAGGTCAGGATGGAACAGATCATTTAAGGCATTGTAATCTGAGGGAAGGCCATTGCATTTGCGTCTAAGTGTGATAAAAATCCACTGAAGACTTTGAAAAGGTGACATTCAAACTGCTCTATAGAGAATACATGAATAGAGAATAGATGATTGATAAAGGCAATATGAAAAATTGTGAAGCTATTGTCTTATCAGAAGAAGACTGTAATTCTCACTAGGAGGGTAGAACCTGCAATGGAAATAGGTAAACAGATTCACGATACACTTGGGATATACAGTCATTGGAATCTGCTAATGGATGGGGCATGGAGGTAACAGAAAGAAATCAATCAAGAATAAAATTAGATATTTTGGAATAATCAACTTTATGTGAGAGGCAATTTTTGGCACCTGGCAATGATTCAGATATAAATCTACTGGACCCCACACTGGCATCATAATACTTCCAGACTCAACGTTTTGATTTATTACTCAACAAATTGTACTTAGCATGCAACACTTACACTCAAAAATTTAATTCAGAATGCACTGTTTATGAGGTTTTTTTTAATCATGTAAATATGTAGAATTAGATCATTCTAAAGTAAAAGTCAATTCAGACAGCACCATAATGAAGAACAATCAGGTTAACTGGTCGTAAGGCCACATAACCAATAAAATATTTTAAAATTGATTTTAAATTTAATTTTTCAGAGAAGCAGCCTCCACAATATTTTTCTGTCTCATCCAAGAATACATACATTTCTGCAAAATTTTAATTTGCCACAATGCATCGTTGAAATGTTGAAAAAAATTAACTTTTTAAATTTGAACAATATATGTATCTCAACTTCTAAAAGCAAAAATGAATTTAAGACCACATAGTAAATCAGTGTATAACATTTAAATGTAAAATGCAAAAAAATAAAATAAAATAAAATATGATCAAGGTTGTTATGCTTGTACTTCCTTCATCAATACATGCATTTTTTTTTTTTTTTTTTTTTTTTTTTTGAGACAGAGTCTTGCTCTGTCACCCAGGCTGGAGTGCAGTGGCGCAATCTCGGCTCACTGCAAGCTCTTCCTCCCGGGTTCACGCCATTCTCCTGCCTCAGCCTCCTGAGTAGCTGGGACTACAGGCGCCTGCCACGGCGCCTGGCTAATTTTTTGTATTTTTAGTAGAGACGGAGTTACACTGTGGTCGCGATCTCCTGACCTCGTGATCCGCCCGCCTCGGCCTCCCAAAGTGCTGGGATTACAGGCGTGAGCCACCACGTCCGGCCAATACATGCATTTTCTAAGTTGGCATAAGAAGGAAATAAGCTAACCATAATCATAAAATAATAGAGCATAAATGTTTTAAGTGTATATTTCTATAATTGTTAAAATTTTTGATTGGCCTTTTACAAATAGCATCTCAGTTAATAATATTTGAGTTAATCTCACCTAAAATATAAAGGGAAGGTTTATAATCACATAAGAGACACGTGAACACAAAAAATGTACTACTCAGTTTAGCTATTGACATCAAATTTAAAATGAAAATTCTTCAATGTGTCTTTACAAATCGATGCCATTATAAAGTCATATTCTTTAACTGCAACAGAGCCACTTCAGTGCTGCCCAGAAATCACAGTGTCTCTACTATATACCAATTTAGTATTAATTACCTTGGCCTGGGCACCTCCCAGAAGCAAACCATAAGCAAGGATTTGAGTTCCAGGAATCTATGTGGGAGGTAAAATAGAGAAGTTCGAAAAATGACAAAAGGGTGTTATCGATCCAGTTATTACCATGAACAACTAGCAATGTCATCCTGCAAGACCTGGGAGATTATGTCGAACCTGGCTCAGAATTGGTCTCAAGAAAGGGATAAGAAAGCAGACATATATGTATCCTCACTCTCACTTCACATTGGCTGACAGCTACCCCTGGGAACACAGCTTTTTTTGCACTTCCTGCCTGCCTCTCACATGGATCACCACAAATCCCCCAGATGGAGGATCACGAATGCCTCAGGAGGAGGCGATTATCCTCAATGAAAAGAGATTCAGATTTTTCCTTTTCTTGATTTCATAGGAATCAAAATTCACTACAAAGCTATCAGAAAAAAATGGCGTGGAATTCATGGTCTGGAATATATAGTAGACATCGGCTGGCAGTGGGTTTAGGTCTTGATGTCTACGTGGAAAAAATATCACAAGTCTGGATTCTTTAGCATATCTGATGAAGAACAATGGTTAGTGTGCGTAAGTTAAATAATGATATAGTTTTGTTTCCACCCAAATCTCATGTTGAATTGAAACGCCCAGTGCTGCAAGGGTCCCTGGTGGGAGATGTTTGAATCCTGAGGGCAGATCCTTCATGAGTTGGTGTTGTCTTCACGATAGTGAGTTCTCGTGAGATTTGGTCATTTAAAAGTATGTGACACCTCCCCCTCAACATACACCCTCTTCAACATACACCCTCTCTCTCTTTTGTGCCTGCTTTGGTCATGTGACATGCCATTTCTGCCTTTGCCTTCTGCCATGGTCCTAAGCTTCCTGAGGCCTCATCAGAAGCCAAGCAGATGCCTGGTGCTATGCTTTCTGCATAGCCTTCACATCCGTAAGCCAATTAAACCTCTTTTCTTTGTAAATTACCCAGCCTTTCTTCATAGCAACACAAGAACGGCCTAATACAAATAACAAAATGAAAGTCTATAGAGACACTAAATAAGAAACAAATAGAGTCTGCACCTTGAATCACTCCTTGCCTTTTGTATGGATTATATTACAAACTCTGAACACTTAGTGTATCACCTTCCCAATGTCTCAATGTCTTGCTATCATTGCACACTTAAAACATGTTTGTTGAAAAGGGTAATGGTTGCTCATTTTTGTAAACCAAAGACTAGTTCATTCAATGATTATATTTAACACTTCTTGAGTGCCTGCATTGTGGAAAGTGTTAAAAAATGCTTTCCATATATTACATAACCTGAAAAACTAGCTCCATTTATGTGAGAAAATTGAGAAAATTAGAGGCATTTGAATTATTTATCATCAATCTTCAAAGTATATCATAAAATTTATTTAACAAAATTATAATATCCGGTTAACATTTTCAAAGTAAATCTATCACATATAATTTTTGTTCACAGTAGAGAACAAGTTCTTCCAAATAAACTAAAAGTCAAGGTATCAGGAAAATAGAAGTAGTTAGCACATAAGAATTAAAATAAAATAGAGCCAGTTATTATTCACTGATAGAGTGAAACTTAACAATAGGAGAAATATGAAAGAATGAGACATGATACTGATATTATACAGACCTATTTTTAGCTACTATGTAGAAAAAATTAAAAATTTAATTTGGCTATGGAAATGATGATATGTATTTTCATATTTTGTTTTACTGAAGTATTTGTCAAAATTTCCCAAGAAGTTCAGAAGGAACTGTTGAACCCAGGGTCAAGAGAGAAAGTGAAAGTTCTACCATAGATAGAAAAGCACAGCCCTGGACATAGAATAGTAGAAGATCATAAAAATTTCAAGTAGCCTTAATTTTAAAAATAAGAACTTGTACCCTGTAGAATGTAGAAACAAGTGGAAATGTGTCAGATAATAAAAACTTGGGTCCACAGAATAAGAGCACAGTGAGACACACTAGGTTAATATTAATGTAAGATATTTATGAAAATGTATATTATGAAAACTGGGAATATTGGTATGTGTAGGAGCTTGATAAGATAATGTGAAAAATACTCTCAAGAAACATAATTACAAAAGATATTTGAGTCCAGAAAGTATAACAAAAAAGTCAATGGGTGCTTTTTCAAATGCACTGAGGATAAGGACTAAAATCATTTCTATCTCAGATTGTGCAATTAGAAATTCAGCTAAACCAGGGAGGTGAAATATTTCTACAATGAAATTACAAAACACTATGCAAAGGAATTAGAGATGACACAAACAAATGGAAAAATATTCCATGCTCATGGATAGGAAAAATCAATATCATTAAAATGGCCATTATCCCAAAAACAATTAACAGATTCAATGCTATTCCTATAAAACTACCAATGACATCCTTCAGAGAACTAGAAAAAAAATTTTTTTTAATTTACATGGAACCAAAAAGAGCCCAAATAGCCAAGGCAATCCTAAGCAAAAAAACAAAACAAAACAAAACAAAAACC
The DNA here is from genome assembly GCF_000001405.40 of Homo sapiens. Lineage (NCBI taxonomy): Eukaryota > Metazoa > Chordata > Mammalia > Primates > Hominidae > Homo > Homo sapiens. The sequence continues at coordinate 167,692,233 of NC_000004.12, read as the reverse complement.
AAGCTGCAGGCATCATGTTACCCAACTTCAAACTGTACTACAGAGCTACAGTAATAAAAAAAAAATTGACAAGTATAATCTAATTAAACTTAAGAGCTTCTGCACAGCAAAAGAAACTATCAACAGAATAAACAGACAACCTATAAGATGGGAGATAATATTTGCAAATGACGCATTTGACAAAAGTCTAATACTCAGCATCCATAAGGAACTTATAAATGAGTTTACAAGAGAAAAACTACCACATTAAAAAGTGGACAAATGACACGAACAGACACTTTTCAGAAGAAAACAGACATGCGGCCAAGAAGCATACAAAAAAAAAAAAAAAAGCTTACTATCACTGGCCGTTAGATAAACACAAAACAAAACCTCAATGAGATGCCATCTCACACCAGTCAGAATGACTATTTTCAGAAAGTTAAAAAATAACGGATGCTGGTGAGGCTGTAGAGAAAAGGTAACACTTATACACTGCTGGTGGGGGTGTATATCAGTTCATCCGCTGTGGAACACAGTGTGACAATTCCTCAAAGGGCTAAAAACAGAACTACCATTCAACCCAGTGATCCCATTAGCTAAAGGAGTATAAATTATTCTACCCTAAAGACACATGCATGTGGATGTTCATTGCAGCATTTTTCACAATAGCAAAGACATGAAATCAATCTAAATGCCCACCAATGACAGAGTGGATAAAGAAAATGTGGTACTTGCACACCATGAAAAACTATGCAGCCATAAAAAAGGATGAGAATATGTCTTTTGCAAGAACATGGTTGGAATTGGAGGCCATTCTCCTTAGCAAACTAACACAAGAACAGAAAATCAAATACCACATGTTCTCACTTATAAGTGGGAGGTAAATGATGAGAACACATTGACCCAAAGAGGGTAACAGCAGACACTGGGGCCTACTTGAGGGTGAGGTTGGGAGGAGGGAGAGGATCAGAAAAAATAACTATTGGTTACTAGGCTTAGTATCTGGGTGATGAAATAATCTGTACGACTAACCCCATGACACAAGTTTACCTGTATAACAAATCTGCACTTGTATCCCTGAACCTGAAATAAAAGTAACAAAAAAAATTAAGTTCTGTCTATAAAGCAGTATTTGGTATCTTGGATTTTCTCTTACATGGGAATCAATTATGACTTAAGGTGCACAGCAAGGCATATTATTTCACATTCATTTTTAAAATGGAGCTACAGAAATGTAAAAGGTGGGAGAATCTTGAAAGATATGATTTCTACTTTTAAAGGTAGATTTCCAGTTGATCAATTCAGTAAAACACTGATGGAAGTCAGGTCTTATCTGGTCAATCTTACTGTGATTCTCCAGTGTAATATTTCCAAAATGAGTTTGGTCATAATAATCAAGTAGGGTGCTTGGTGACTCTCTATTACCTACAAACATACCAGGTGAAAATTATGATCAAGTAAGTTTGATATACTATTTAAGTTTCTCTTTATCTACCATGAAAACATGTTTATGTTGCTGTCTCCATTTTAAAGATGAAAACCATCTCTTGGGAAGATAAGTCAATGGGATGGAACACTTTCTTGCAGGAACAATTCCACTGTTACAACTTATTGCTTAAAAGTCAAGCTAAAAAGCATGACTCCCATTATGCAACATGATGATGTTTCTTATGTAGCATTTTTAAAGCAACTGTAAATTCAACCACAAGTTATATTCAGATGCCTTCCTTTCCTGACTGTTTTTCTAATAGACCTCTAGATTTTGCCGTAAGGATGCAAGTGAAATAAAGATATTATCACTGCAGTTCAAGGATCACATAACCTAATTTTACATAACACATCAAAACCTCTTCAGAATGTTTCCATGTAGTATAAACTAATTAAGTTTTAACAAAGCCATTGGGCTATAAACTACTTGAGGTTTGTTTGCAATTGAGATGCCAAAAACACTGCTTATAACAAAGGAGATGAGAAATATTTGCTAAATAAATAAATAAATGTATGAATGATTCACATTAGTAATATATGAAATAAAGGGAATCACATGAATGCTGGTTAGTAAGTCCATCAACAGACTGGCTAGTTCCAGGGGTATGGAACATTATTTTAATGGTTGCAAAGATGTGGTATATATGTGTGTATTGGTAGTGGATGGGTGTGTGGGAAGACTTGAGAGAGGTTAAAACATGAAAATATCTCTAGGCTTTACAAAGAAAATGGAAGCTGAAGTTGGGGTAGACAGTGCTTAGAGCAAAAGAATACTCCTGGGACAAAGAATTGTTATATAAATGGAAAAGTTAGGGAAAACAATTCAAAATATTTTTAGATATAGTAGGACCCTTTCGAGAGAACAAGAACAAATAAGTATAAAGTGATACGAAGAATGCATTAAATTAGAAACATGTACATTTGACTCATTTTTTTTCCTAAAAAGGACGTGAAATAGCCAGTGATTTTGACAGGGGTATCCTTGCCATGGAGAGAATTTGGGAAGCTGTGTTGTAAAGGTGTTCACACCACGCTGCACTGCGATCTCACAGGTCCTTATGATTCTGTCCCTGTAGTCACCCTTCCTCATGGATTTGTCACTTATTTTCTTTACTTGAGACATAAGCCTGAATAACATGCTCATTAGTACTAATTAATAATGACTTAATTGCTTCCTTATTTGCATCTAATCATACAAAGATCTTTAGCACATTCAGTAATTTGAGATTGGCATATTTGGGAGATTAAAGTTTGTTCTTTTGAAGAAGTCAATCATAATTATTTGTATTTTTAGGATTTTTTGTGGCTAGAATAAAAGAAGTCTTCACTAGTAATAATGAGTACTATTAGTGAGAAGTTAATCTTAAGAATACATACATTTTAAATGTCATCCCCTCAAAAATTTATTATGTAGGTCTTGTTAGCCAATCACATTTTTAGAAACAGAAAAGTTTAACCAGAAAATTTTATGAATTAATAATCTTTTTTTCAAGTTACAGAAAACTGCACCACTTAGCCTGAAGAAATAGAAATATAAATGCATGCATAATTTATATAAATAAAGCTATATATGTATATATTAATAAAACAGAAGAGTTCAGCAGCTGGCCTGAATTTAAGAACAGTTCTATCAAGAGATTCCTAATACTTTCTTCCGGGCTCTGCCCTCTCTTTATCAACTTCATTTCCAGAGTGGCTGCTCTCCTAGTAGCAATAGTGAAGGACTCTACTACATCTGTTTCAGGAAAGAGAGCATCTGTTCTGGTCCTATTAGAAGAGAGGGATAAAGCACTCTTTTTACGAAAGCCCCAGGCAAACATACACTCGTGTGTCACTAGCCTGAAGTGGGGCATGAGGTCAAATTTTTATCAATTAGTTATGGTCATCGTGTTAGGGTGAGACAATAGAGAGTGAAATTTAGTAATTGACTTGAGAACTCCAGCTTATAATGGAGTTCACCTGACCCAAAAGATGTGGCTGAGAAGGGGAAGGAGGGAATTCTCAAGGAAACACGTAATTGATACAAAAAGAGAAAGGAAAAGTGGTTGATGCGGAGGGAGCAAACACAGTTAACAAAGACCGAGGCGGGCGGATCATTAGGTCAGGAAATCTAGACCATCCTGGCTAACACGGTGAAACCCCGTCTCTACTAAAAAACACACAAAAAAATTAGCTGGGCGTGGTGACGGGAGCCTGTAGTCCCAGCTCCCTGAGGCTGAGGCAGGAGAATGGCCTGAACCCGGGAGGCGGAGCTTGCAGTGAGCCCACATCCTGCCACTGCACTCTAGCCTGGGAGACAGAGCGAAACTCCGTCTCAAAAAAAAAAAAAAAAAAAAGAAAGAAATGAGAAGTTATTACTTTTAAAGTAAAATTAATGGGCATATCTAACAAGCTTTCTTAACTATAGTAAAAACACAGCCTTTCATTCATGTCTTGAAACGAAGCATATATTCTGCTGTATGTACAGGACATTTTATTTTAATAACATTGGGCAGCCTAAGAGGCTCCAACAGGGAACTTTTACAAATAGATTCTTTTATTGACCACGAAGAAATTTAGCAATGAAATTCAAGTACTGGAAGGGTATTATCAGATAGGCTGGTGGCCAGCTGTTTCTGTTCTCTGCAGAGGATACAACCAGGGGACAAATGTGTAGGCTGGAGCATGAAGGGCTTATACATAATCTAGGTAAGACTTTCCTGCGAGTAGCGTTATTAAATCCCAGGAAGAGCTGTCAAGGGAGATTTTGTGATTTACTCCGGAGGCCTATATAAAACAAAGCAGTTTTTTTCCCCCTTACTCATATAATTCAGGAAAATTGTGTTTAAAGGATAAACTAGACAAGTTTTTAATAAATATTTAATAAGCGTTGATTTAAGGTTGATATTTTAAGATGGAAAATGTCAGCTATGAGTAGAGTATACAAAATAAATTTATTTTCAAATAGAATGAATTCCCCAATTCCTCATTTTGAATACAAAATCAGCAAAATGTGAGTGATTGTATTTTATAGATATAGAAAGTATGTCTTAAATTTTTAGCTTAAAATGTTGTGTTTAAATAGTTACCTCTTAAAATCTATTCAGCACATAAACACCCAAAGTATGAGATTTTTAGAACATGGGAATAATCCATTCTATGACATTAATACAGTTTTTCTAAAGGCATTAAATCAACTGTTTTTCAGTTTTCTGCAATTTAAATCATATTAGCATACATAAGTAATATTAGAAACCAAAATTCAGTTCTGCTAGTCAGGGAACTTGTGTCAAATAATTATTGGGTATAATATTACTGTTATTGCTCACAGCTATGCATGTGTCCTATTGAGAAAGTAGCACTTATTTCAGAAGGAAAATGTAAAGCAATAATATTGCAATTGTCAATCAAAAGTCCATTAGAACTAATATTTTTTCCCCTTTAGCTTTGTAATAGTTTTACATTTCACTCTTTGTATTCTATGTATAAATGGCACCCTATAGCCAACAATTTTATTTTTACTTTGAGATAGCAAAGACCCACAATGGCAGTAAAGTAAATTATGCTTTTTGTAACATTAGAAATTAGTGCAGAAACAAAATCCTTGAATTTACATGATTTAGCCTTGAAAACTAATATTAGAAATATATATATTTTTAAATGTGGATGTTTGGGAATGGGCTTTTAGATTCCCAGGATTACTAAGACATACTTAAATGAATAATGAATAATGAACTTGATACCAGTAAATGCATTTCTAGGATGAAATTAGTTCATTTTACAAAAATTAATGAAAAGAAAGTGATATATTATCTTTTTAAAAGATGCCTAGCAAGAAATAATTTTGGTGCAAATAAATAGAAGTGTATAAAATATTTTGTTATGATTAATTCAAGTAACTATTGTCATACTTGTCTGATTCCAAATGCAGGATAAGCTACTTGCTTCTTCAAAAGACTCTCAGAACACTGAGATTTCTGACCTATGACAGTAGTTATTTCTACACAGAGAAATGGAACCATATAGCTGATGCAAGATTCCTAAACTATCCTCATCTGTGATTTACAAATGTGCAGTTTTGAAACTTTGATGTGAAATTATCAGAACATCAAAAGCAGTAATATCTCATTTGTCCTCTTAGGGAAATTTTAAAAATTCATTTTATGTAAATAAATTCTATGCCCTTTGTTTCTTTTTGCCAGCTCTGCTTAAGTTTAATATATTTAATGGTTTGTTCACATTATAAATATGAGTTTTTTTCAGAAGCATTGTTTTGGCTCTCAAGAATATGCCATTTAATTTTAGCATTCAGTGAATGGAAAATTTCAGGTATAAGGTTGCCAAATCATCAAAGTTACACAAAACACATTGGACATTTCTCTTTTCAATGTTGGTGTCCTGTGCCACAACTGAGAATATTCGCTTTTAAAACATTGCACTGCATCAATCTGTGTGTGAATTTCCATGTTCTCAAGGAAGCTAATTTGCTGGCAGAACACGGTGTCAGGAATGCTCAACAGTATCATTCAGGCTGTCCCCCACCATTGGCATTTGTATCTATTTGTGTAATGTGACTCTGTGTGAAAGTCTTTCTCTTGGTTGTCCACATTGATAAATGTCAGGCTACTAAAACTCTGAAGAGCAAGATGATTGACCCTTAGAAAGCTTGTAGATATATGGAAGTTATTTCCTGGCCTCTTAAGAAAATTCTAAATATGACAGCAAAGTATATTGAGAAATGACCTAAAAGAAAGACGAAAATACATTCTTTGTCTACTTTATGCAACTCTTTTGGGATTATTGCATTTCAGAGTAATACGTAAATAAAAAATAAAAGAGAACCCTGACTAACAAAGAAATAAAAACTGTGACTTCACAACTATCTGTCACACTGCTGCTATTGTTCCCTAAGTTTTAAACTTATATTTAACTTCTGAACGTGCTTTCCTCTATACAATTATCTTAATTACTCTGGCAAATGCATATTAAAGTATTATTTCCAACTTATATTTGTGGAAACTGGCATTAAGAAAAGGTAAGGTGGCTGATTTAAATTTAGACAGATGATACTAGTTGCTGGAGCAAAGGCAGAATCATAGTTTTCTAAGAAGTAATTATAGTCTCCATCTATTTTCACACTTATTTGCAGATTTAAATAATATATCTCACAGCATTTAAAAATATAATTTTAAATAAGTTGTCTTTCTCCTATGCCATTCTCCTATGCCATATAGTATGGCAAACTTTCATTGCCAACAAACACCTCCCTGATGACTGAAGAAGCAGCATGAGCCACAACTAAAGGTATGAAACATCATGCATTAGATGGGATGCTCTGTACATTTCATGAGAAAGGACAGTGGACAGGGAAAGAAGGAATGATCATAGAAGTCCTCTTAATCCTTGGTGTCTTTCACTTATTAATGAAGGTGGTAAAGAACTGGAAAAAGGGCAACTAGGAGAGTGAAATAACCACGTTTACATTTAATATATATTATTATTTGCTCTTAGGAGAGAGGGATTGATGGAGTTAAACCTGGAGGTAGAGGGGCCAGAGAGAAAGTAACTGTGATCAAAGCAAGAGCCAAATGTTGACTGTGGTGGAATAGGTAGGGAAGAAACCAATTCCAACCTAAATTTAGTGAAAAAGAGAAAAGCAAATATCCCATATAAAATGATCAAGCATCTGTTTTTCTTATTCATTTATTGTTTTTTTTTGCATTTTCAATACACCAATGTTTCCCACTTTCAGTCTCAATATAAGTTAATTTGCCTGTCATCCTGATATTTTTTTACAGAATTTTGTTCTGCAAGATGTAACTGAAACTTAGCTGCCAACATTGCTTCTCTTACAGGTAGCTCCAAAGCAATTGGTTATCCTCCCATATCTTATAACCCAAGAGGCTTGTTACTGCATTCTTCTGGCTAATCATCACTAGTTCCAAACTATTACTCTTCATCCCTTTATCAAAGCCTTTCTAATTTTGAAGGTCGTGCCTTGGACATTTCTATCTTCAATGCTTTCTCATTTTTACTGCTCATAGCAGCGTTTGTTGAAGTATAGACTTCAAAGCACTGGTGGTCTTTGTCATCCTAACAAGTGATCCCCAAGTTCAAGGCCAAGATGCCATCATTTTTAAAGTTGGTGAAACTAAATTATGGTGACAACTGCTTGATTACTCACAGTTTGATTTTCTCAGCAATTTATGTGTTATTTTTAGAGAAAGCAATTGAAAATATATTATTGGAGATTTAAAAGCTACGTAGAGCTAAAAAAAAAAACCACAAAGAATTACTTTGAAGATCATAATGCAAGCACTTAATAGATTGAGGATTCGTTTACTGTCTCTCTGAAAAGCTGAAACATTTTGCTGTCTGCAAAGGACTGAATGTTTGTGTTTCCCCAAAATTCGTGTATTGAAATCTTATCCTCCAGTGCGATGGTATTAAGAGGTCGAGCCTTTGGGAGGTTATTATTTCATGAATGTGGAGGCCCATGAGTATGACTGATGCCTATGTAAAAGGAACTCTGGAGAGCTCTCTCACTTTCTGCTGTGTCAGGATACAATGGGAAGTTGTCCTCTGCAACCCAGAAGAGGACTCTCCCCAGAACCCAGATAGTGCTGGCTTGGGCACTCTGATCTCAAATTCTAACTTCCTGAGCTGTGAGAAATAAAATTTCATTTTTTGGTTTATGAGACACCCAGTCTATGGTAATTTCTTATAACAGCCTGAACTAAGACACTGTACACCTTATAGGTGATATGACCAGCAGTGCAGCATTTGTCATGACATGGGCAGGGAGTGATTTTCAGAAGAAAATTTTCCTTGACTTTTGTGTCTGTTTAAAATATGAGTAAAAAAATGAGTATCCAGCATAAGTTGACTCAGATGCTGGGAGAGAAAAGCCATGAAGGAATTTGAACATAGAAAGTTTAATAGAATTATTCACAGCTCTAACATATAGGATCAAAGTAAGGAGGGATTAGTTGAGTAAGAAAGAAATATAATTCTAAAGAATATAGAAATAGTGGATATAAAGGACAGCCACTCTCCCTAGGTCTGAGATGGCACTTGAATGGAAGAGTCCCACTTGTCAGGGAGGGAACAGCTGTGGCTCAATAAATGGCAAAGTTGCTGTGATGCTCTGTTGCTGGAAACTACCTGAAATCTGCCCTCTAGGGTGCTTGGGAAAGCTGATCACTGGAAATACTCTGCAGGGAGAGGCTGCTGGCCACTGGGTGCTTCTGGGCCACTGTTCACTGCAGCTTCCTATATTCAATATTTCACAATCCCTCCATCTCTATTGATACTGTCACCTAAGTCTATATACAAGCAAAATCTTATTAAAACTCCTTTGAGCCTTTATTTACCTTTTATTAAAAAGAAAAAAACTATTCTCCTATGAAATAAAATTAATACTTGAAGTGTTCGGGCTTTTAAGTATTTTACATTTTTACTTTTACAAATATGCTATCAAAGACTCACAGATGAATTGAGAAGTGTAGTGATATGGTTTGGCTGTGTCCCCACCGAAATCTCATCTTGAATTGTAACTCCACAGTTCCCACATGTGGCGGGAGGAATCTGGTGGAAAGTGTTTGAATTATGGGGGCGGGTCTTTCCTGCGCTGTTCTCATGATAGTGAATGAATCTCACAAGATCTGATAGTTTTAAAAATGAGAGTTTCCTTACACCAGCTCTTTTTGCCTGCCGCCATCCACGTAAAATGTGACTTGTTCCTCTTCGCCTTCCGCCATGATTGTGAGGCCTCCTCAGTCACATGGAACTGTAAGTTTATTAAACCTCTTTGTTTTGTAAATTGCCCAGTCTTGGATATACCTTTCTTAGCACTGTGAAAACAGATTAATACATGTAGAAACCACATATGCACGTCAGCAGCAGAGGTCGCCTGTTGACTGGTGTATTGTCTATTAGGACTGCCATAACTAAGTACCACAGATTGGGTGGTTTAAATAGAACTTTATTTCCCACAGTTCTGGAGTGTAGAAGCCCCAAATCAAGGTGTTGACAGGGTTGGTTCCTTCTGAGTGTGGTGAGGGTGAATCTGTTCCAGGCCCCTCTTCTACTAGTAATACCTTAGTTTATGACAACATAACTCTAATCTTCACATGGGTTCTCCCTGTGTGCATGTCTGTCTCCAAATTTTCCCTTTTTATAAAGGCACCAGTCTTATTGGATTAGGGCTGATCCTAACGATCTTATTTTAACTTGATTAGCTCTGTAAAGACCTTATTTTCAAATAAACTCATATTCTTAGCTACTGGGGAATTAGGACTTCAACAGGAATTTGGTGGGGGGACTCAATTCAACATAAAAATGAGTTATAACTTAGTATATTCATGTTCAATTGTATTTAAATTCTAAAGAGGTGATTATAATATATATATTTATGAATGCATATTTATGTAAACATATAGACACACATGTAAATTTATATACATGTAATTTTAAAATTGTTTACTTAAATATAATTATTAATTTTTTTCCTAGCTTTATGTATGCTTCAGAAACGTGATTTTAATTTCCACATAATTTATTATCAGCAAGAATCATAGTTTTTATTGAACTATTTTACTCTTCTTAAACATATAGGTTGTTTCTAATTTGTAGCTATTAAAAACTCACTGTCATGGAGAACTGTTTATCTCTCTGGCTATCTAGTTATCTACTTGCCTATCTATCCATTTTCCATATGAACACATATGTTTACACACTTTGGCACACTACTGGCAGAGTCTGTGCCTTAAAATGAGTTCATATATGTAGAGTTGAAAGTCTCAGTGTATCAACATTAAAGAAAACCTGAAGAATGGAGAGATATAACATGTGAAGAGATAAGTCATGTCAATATTTAAATTTGCCAATATTCCTCAAATTGAGCTTCTGGTTTTGATTACATTTTATTAAAATCCCAACCTGTTGTGGTATGTAAAATTTAACCAGCTCACTAAATTTATTTGGTGTGAAAAGTACGGTAGTGAAAACTTAGAATAATCCCAAAGTAGCAAAATTGAAGAAATGTGACTTCCCCCCAATATTATGACTTTTAGAAAGCTATTGTATTGAATACAGTGTGGTATTTAAGTAAAACAGAAAAAATATAACAGAGGGAGAAAAAAGTGGGCAGTAGAGAAATAGGGCCATGCAGGTAAGGAACAATTATAACACCTTATATCACAGATGATGCCATAGAAGAATGGTGAAAGGATCAATTATTTAGTAAGTTTTACTACAATAATTTGTTATTGAGATAAAATTATGTTTTTACTTCAAACCTGCATATACCAGGGTAGGTATATCACAGGCCAGGGTAGGTCCCAGGCCTGTTAAGAAGTAGGCCATGCCACAGAGAAGCAGGAGCTGAGTGGTGGGCGAGCAAGCGAAGCTTCATTTGTATTTACAGCCACTCCCCATCACTTGCATTACCTCCTGAGCTCCGCCTCCTGTCAGATCAGTAGTGGCATTAGATTGTCAAACGAGCACAAACTGTATTGTGAACCACACGTGCAGGGGGTCTAGGTTGCACACTCCTTATGAAAATCTAATGCCTGATGACCTGTCACTGTCTCCCATTACCTCCAGATGGGATAATCTAGTTGCATGAAAACAAGTTCAGGGCTCCCACTAATTCTACATTATAGTGAGTTGTATAATTATTTCATTATATATTACAATGTAATAATAATAGAAATAAAGTGCACAGTAAATGTAATGCGTTTGAATCATCCCCAAACCATCCCACCCAAAACCTCTCTGTGAAAAATTATCTTCCACGAAAGCAGTCCCTGATGTCAAAAAGGATTGGGACTGCTGCCATATACAACATCAATTCTAGAGAGAATTTAGATTTAAATTTAAAAACATTATTTAAATTTTAGAAAAAAATTAGGATGTCTTCATGATCTCATGGTATGGAATGATGTCTTACACACCAAATACTCAACGACAAAGTCTAACACCAATAAATCTCACTTCATTAAATCTAAGAACTTCTGGAGATCAAAAGATATCACAAAACAAATGAATACAACCACAAAAACTTGGGAAGAGTTTGTCACAGATAGCCAACAACATATTTATGTCTAGAAAATGCTAAGCCTCTTACAAATCAAAAGATAAGCAGGGCAACAGAAGAAATGGGAATGGGGAAGCTTTTATTAGAGAAGGCATAAATGCCAATAAACACAAGCAAAGATAACTCCCAGGATATCAGATAACCAGAAGAAGACAACTTTTATCTTTCTTCACTCCCTTAAATTAAAATAAATATAGGAAATTTCTGAAAACACCAAAATGGTGGCAAGACGGTAGACCAATGGGAAAATGTCTCTGATAAAAGTGCAAATTGGTATAATCACATTGCAAAACAAATTTTTCATTATCTGAATTTAAAGCCATCTATACTTCATAATGTAGGAAATTCATTTCTATTCCCTAAAGAAAATCTTTCGCGGGCATACTATCAGCCATATGCAATATATTTATAGCATAATTATTTCAAACAGCACAAAAGTAGAAAAGAACCAAATACTGATTTACAAGAGACTGGATAGTTTGAATTATATTCACTGAATGGACTACTACCTGGTAGTGACAAGGAATGAACACCATCCTTCTCCCTAAAACACCAGTGTTTATGTGTGTGCACACACGTGCGTGCACATGTGCACGTGGAAATCTACAAAAAGCTTAGAGAAATAAAGCAGGTTTCAAAATATACTTCTAATATGTTCTCATTTATATTAAGCTCAGATTCATGCAAGAGTGTTATCTTTATCTTTAATGAATGATGAATTTATAAATAAAAGCAAGTCAATGTTGACATAAAACCAAGTGAGAGGTCAATTTCATATGTATGAAGAAATTGAGAGGAAAGGGGAAAGGTTGGGGAGGAGCAGATGGTAGCTATGAAGTTATCTGTTGTGAGCTATTTCTTAAAGAGTTTAGAAGGTACATACACCTGATTACAAAATTTAAAGGTATCTGTATCATAACATTTCTTGATACAATTTTTAAGTGGCTCACTAAGATGTTGACCCAATTTTATAAACCTACCAAAATTCTCACCTAGCTCCACTGAGTTGTGTACATTTGTTCAGTTGACATGTTGATGTGTCATTGTAAAAAAAATTTTTTCCCATTTATTTTTTATCAATGACCTTTTTAAATACACTTTCCAATTACAGGGTATACAGATACGCTGTTTTGTGAAATGTGTATACATTTTTTCCCAGTTGCATATTTGTTTGTTATTTAACAATTACAATTTTGAATATATTAAAGTGCTAATGATTTCATTTTCTCTGCCAAGATTCCCTCCAACTCAAGGAAGCAATATCCCTTTTTAATAGAACTGTTTCTCCTTCTATCCAATTAAGTGATGGTATGTGGATATCAGAGTTATAATTCTTCTGTCTGTACCCACAAGGCTGGTCACGTGAGTAAAGATGTGTGGCTGAAGATAAGTACTGCAGAGAAACTGCCAAACATGATTCTAGTATCATGGAAAAGTTGGCATAAAAGAATGAAGCAGATATGCACGAAAGCAGTGGAAAGGTGGTATAAAGAAAATAAATTCTGGCGCATCTCAGCCCTTGGTTTCAGTTCTCACTTGAGCTAATGTATGATCTCTGCATCTTGTTGTTTAGAAATGTACATGAGGAAAGTCATTCTTTACCTAGGATAGATTGAATTGTTAATTTGTCATCAATCATGAAAAATATACTGACTAAATAAATCCAATGTGAAATATATAAGTTTTCTATTGTAGGGATTTTATACCTGTCTATTCCTCTCCCAATCCCCAACTTCAGCTTTTGGTGTCATGCTTTCATACTTCACCCACTTGCTAAGTCTTTCATAAAGGAATCCCTTTCATGTATAGTTTTTCCTTAAGGATGTTTTCAAGGTTCCAACTTACTCCTGTTGCAGCTCCCACACTGAAAGATGAAATAAGTTTGCAGTCATTTAGAAAGCATTCTTTGATTTCTTTTTTAGTATTCAATAACAGAATGAGCATTTTCCATATCGTTTTCTCCTTACCATTCATTAGCATTATATGGAGTGGTAGTTGAAGAGAAGGAAGAGATTTCATCTGAAATTTGTCTCCTGTTCTGATTTGGCTTGCTTGGGAGAACCATACTTGGGAGGGGTGGGGTGCAAGCGTAATATTAAGGATAAGGTAGTGTCTTATTTTCATTTGTATTTTGGTGCCAATTTTGACCTAAGTCATATATCATTTTACCCTCTCAAATAGCATTCATGCATACAGCAAATGTTTAGCAAACTACAGACCAAGGGCCACACTAATTTATCACCTGTTTTTGTAAATAAAACATTGAAACTCAGCCACATGTACTTTCTATGCATTTTCTAAGGCTGCTTTCACACTACAATGGTAAAGTTGCAAAATTGATTATATACAACAGATAGCACATGACCACAAAGTCTAAAATATTTGTTATCTGGGTCTGTATAGAAAATTTTTGCCAACTTCTGATGTATTACAGATGCGCTAATTTGTATGAATGGCACCATGTACACGGGTCTTTATGTGGCTTTGGAACTTTATGAAAAGAGAACTTTTCTGATCCTTGAAACTCATTTGAAGCTTTTTTTGACTGAATATTACATTGTTTGACCATTTTATTCTATATTTCAGTATCCTTCTGTTGTACTTCAGACAACAAATGTTAAAAAATGTTTGCAAATGTGCTATTATAAAATGTTTTAATGGACATCCAAACAAATGCATCTTAATTCACATATTTTATTATATTTTTCAATATAATAAAATATGGGGGTTTTGGTTTCTACTTTAAAATGCATTACATAAAGACTGAAATAGCTTATAAAAACCAAATTCTTTATTATGATTGCTTTTGTCCAATGAAGATGGTTTTATTTTTCTTTTGATTTTGACGAAATATTTAAAAACTATGTTTGCATTTTTTTAATATCTTACTTTTGAGAGAAACCTGTATCTCCCATTGTTTTTAATATATTTCCATAGTATTGAGCTCCTAAACTGTGGAATTGAGAAAAACAAAGATTAAGCTCTACATTTCCCTTTATTAAATATCAGTGTGGAATATTCTAATATAACTTCATACCTTTTGTTGCAAGTTATCTGAAGCTATGCTTTGGTGTATCACTCCCTATTTTTCATGCCCAGATATCTGTCATGATTTCAATAAATCTTTTGGACCACATGAAATCAATGGTGAAATCTGCTACTGCTCCATATGTATGGCCTGAGCATTGCTTTTCCATTTTATGAATTCAGTTGAGCATTAAAAGCTTATTCAGGCCGGGCGCAGTGGCTCACGCCTGTAATCCCAGCACTTTGGGAGGCCGAGACGGGCGGATCACGAGGTCAGGAGATCGAGACCATCCTGGCTAACACGGTGAAACCCCGTCTCTACTAAAAATACAAAAATTAGCTGGGCATGGTGGCGCGCGCCTGTAGTCCCAGCTACACGGGAGGCTGAGGCAGGAGAATGGCGTGAACCCGGGAAGCGGAGCTTGCAGTGAGTCGAGATTGCGCCACTGCACTCCAGCCTGGGCGACAGAGGGAAACTCCGTCTCAAAAAAAAAAAAAAAAAAAAGCTTATTCATTTCTTGGGAACTCTTACAAATTTTATAAACTTTCATATTTTTCAAATTTATTTTCTACTCTTGGTGTTATGTTCACATCAACCCAGCCCTAAAATCAGCTTCACACTTTCCTTACTTTCCCTGTCTTTATATCTGTGGAATATTTTCAATCCTAATGATAGTAAATATGCGGTTTAAGGTGTTATATTTTCAAATCTCATGCAAAACATTTTCTAAACTTAGGAAAAGGAGTTTATAGTTAAATTATTGCTGAAGAATTCATAAGCTCAATAGACTCTCTGAAGGTCAAACAACATGAACAGAAAATAAATATGCTTGGTTCTCATTTTTCCTAGACAGTTAAAAATTATTTATAGTGTAGTCCATTTTAATACAATTTATGCCTTATCAGTTTTTAATATTTCAATGAAGCATATAAATGAATCCTATAGCACTGATATTTAAAAGGTTAAACTCTAGCTGAATGGTGTAGTCTATTTGTGCTGCTGTAACAAAATATCACAGACTGGGATAGAACAGGAATTTATTATCTCACGGTTCTGGAAGCTGGGAGGTCCAAGATGCAGGTTGCTTTCTGCTTTCAAGATGAAATTCTGATGCTATATACTCTGAAGGGGGTGAACTCTATGTCCTTACATGGCAGAAGTGGAAAGAGTAAAAGGGGACAGACTCTCCCCACCAAGTCCTTTTATGGGAGTCCTAATACAATTCATGAAGGCAGAGCCCTCATGAGCCAATTACCTCCCAGAGACTCCAACTTCCAATAACATCACCTTGGTGATTAGGTTTCAACATCTGAGTCTTGGAGGGAACACATTCAAATCATAGCCCTCACTCAGACTTTCTATTATTTGACATTCCCGAATCATAACTATAAAACAAAGAAAGGTAATGTCCATTAAAGTTGTTGACTAAATATATTTTATGATGAAAATAGGGTGGATTTATACCAGAAAACACTTGTCCAAACTTCCCTTCATAGGACTGAAGGAGTTTGACACAATATATTTCATGAAGTTTGTATTCTGTCTCAGGAAAAGTTAGAAAGTAATGAATTGTGACTGTTCATTTTTTTTTTCCAAACTAAATGCCATAAAATTCTGTGTGCACCACTCTAAGAAACTAGATTTCACTTTGCAGATATAAAGGGAGCAGGCAATGTTTGCATAATTTCTGTGAGAAATCTTAGACCATAAATTTTGTACTGTTGTGCTGCTGGATCTTCAATCTTGCTGCTAAAGAACAATACTGCACCTGCTCATTTAACAGGCTTCCAGTGAGGAATGAACTTTGATAGTAATTTTGTCCAAAGAGAGGTTATTAAAAAGGCCACACACCTCCCTATATGAAGCTGAATTTAGGTTGTGAAAAATACACATTTTGCACATTTTGATTAACCTTCAAAGAGTTGCAGTGAGGATGGGAGGTCTCCATAGTCTTGAATACATGAAGAAGAGCTCTCATAAGCCAAGGACTGAAATGATGATTATGAAATATGCCTGTTTGGTAGTATTGTCTTGAGAAGGGAATAGGCAGGCAGTAGTAAAACATTTTTTTTTTTATTGCTCTCATGGCTTATATTAAAATTACAAAATGAAACTGTCCCATAAAGTTAAATCCACTTTGGTTTGGTCAAGTTCTTATTTCATAAGTTAAACATAACAATATAACTTGTGTAACCCCACAAATAGGTGTTGTTTTATTATTAGTTTTTAAGATAATGTCTCACTCTGTCACCCAAGCTGGAGTGCAGTGGCATGATCATGGCGCACTGCAGCCTGGACCTCACAAGCTCAAGTGATCCTCTCACCTCAGCCTCCCAAGTTGCTGGAACCACAGGTGCCCACCACCACAATCAGCTATTTTTTTTTTTTTTTTTTTGGTAAATAAAGAGATCTTCCTGTGTTGCCCAGGCTCTTGAATTCCTGGGTCAAGCAATCCTCTCAAAGTGACAAATATACAAGCATAAGCCACTATGCTTGGCCCACATATGATTATTTTAATCCCGGTTTTCTCAGTGCCTTTAGTATGCTGGCATGACTTCTGGACCTAAGGGGGATTTATTGCATCCAGTGCATTCCAACACTTTTTTTTGCTGTAAATCCTTTCATTTCTAGAACTTCTATTCCATTATTTTGGAATAGCTTTGATATTTATTTAATTAAATGCTATACAACAATTTTTGAACATTTATTTAACAGCCAGATGGACTTTTTCAATTTGGCTATCTTTAAAAGTATTTTACCTTCAACAAGTGAAAACCTGAATGCATTTTCTTTCTTGCAACATCTGCATTCCCTGTATTGTCAGTGTCATTACATTCAACTAGCTGCCCAACAAGAAACATGGAAATCACCCTAGAATTCTCACTCTCTTTAGTCTTTCACATGCAATTAACAAGCTCCTCTGGACTAAGTAGGACAAATAGAATCCCAACTCAAAATATGTCTAAATAAAATTCAAAAGATAATTATTGCTATGGTCTGAATGTTTTTATGTCCTCCCAAAATTCAGATGTTGAAATCTAATCACCAATGTGATGGTATTAGGAGCTGGAGCCTTTGGGCGGTGATTTGATTAGGAAAGCTAAGCCCACATGAATGGAATTAGTGCCGTTATTTAAAAAGAAAAAAGGCCTCAGAGAGCTGCCTTGCTGCTTCCACTGTATGAGGACACAGCAAGAAGGTACCCTTCTATGAACCAGGAAGCAGGCCCTTACCATACACCAAATCTGCCTGCTCCTTGACCTTAGACATGCCAGCCTATAGAACTGTAAGAAATAAATTTCTGTTGTTTATAAACCATGCAGTTTATGGTATTTTATTATAGCAGCCTAAATGGACTGAAACAGTTTTCATTATGACATTTAAAAGGATGTATAAACAACAAGTTTGGTAAATTTAAAACTTTACTTTCTTCATATGAGTCATTAATTTTATCTATTTTAATTCGCCTTGAGCTTATTTTTACTTAATTATTTTAAGAAGATCTTGGGAATGTTTTCAAATAGTACTGAAATTATTATTAAGCATTTGCTAAGCCCTACTTCAGTGTAGATATTTTTTGGCAAATTTTATAATTACTAAAATATCTCTTCTATCACTGCTAAATATAAATATAGCTAGTAATTTTCTTTATAACTGTGCACACTTTTAGATATGTTATTTTATCTCTCTTTTAAAATTTTGTGTCATTCAATGTTGAAATATTAAACGGTACTATATGTTAGTGTTTCAAAAGCTCCCAGCCAAATTGCAGTTCTAGTTCCAAAGAAGCCAGCAACCCTGCTCTAAGGGCAAATGAAGGGGTGTTGGACTTGAGTGTTTATAGTATGCTTTCCTGGGATACTCCTTTTACTTCGCAGATGGCCTTATGGTTAGTTTCCTGATACATGACTATGGCCAGGTGACCCTCACACCTAAAACTTGTTTATACTGGCAGACACCTTGTGGCTTTTGTCTGACCCAGTTTATGCCTACCTGACCAAGCTCTGGCATGAGGACCCTGACCTTGTCTGCCCATCCACCTCACATCCAGGAAACACTCCACCTAGGCTAGCCCCTGGTTCTTCAGAAAAAAGCTGTGAATTCAATATACCATCACAATAGGAAGCAAGTTCAAAGGTTTTTACTTACAGATCCTGGGCAAGGGGGGCATATTTAGTCAGAAGGACACTCCTCTGCCACAGGTCACACAAGGCAAGAATGAAGAGTCAGGCAGAGACAGAAAGAGTCCCATGGCAATCAGCAGTATAGATAAGGGTCAGAGCGTGGGTCACTTTACATTTGAGGGCTGGCTGAATGTTCCATTTAAAGTGAGTGATGGGAATACAGAGAACCCAGTCTGCTAGGTGGGAGAGATGCCTCTAATTTCTTAGCCCTGGCCACTGGCTTGAGCTATTGGGTGTGGTATAGAACTGGAAAGTGTGTCAAGGGTGACTGAGCCTTGCTTCTGGTATGAGATAGTTAAAGTTGTATTTGAAATGGATATGAAAGCAACATAAAATTATAAGAATTCACTATAGTCAGGTGCTTTTTTATTTCCAGTTATTTATTTATTTTAGTAAAAATATTTTTATTTTATTGAACATGTCATATGTGATAGGCACTGGAAATATAGAAAAGATAAAAAAGAGAAAAATCTGTTTCATGAAGCTTAAATGACATGGGGAACACACTCAATAAAATCACAGCTATTATAATGTGTGCATCAGGCTCTGCCTTCCTTGCAGTTTCAACAACATGAATATAAGTGGTTGTGATGATTAATTTTGTGTCAATTTGGCTGAGCAGAGATGTGAAGTCAAGCATTATTCTGGGTTTCTTTAAGGATGTTTTTGGATGAGATTAATGTTTAAATCAGTGGACTTTGAGTAAAGCAGATGGCCCTCCCTAAAGTGAGTGGGCCTCATCTAATCAGTTGAAGGCCTGGATGGAACAAAGACTGACCTTAAAATCCTGCAAGATTGGGTCTTCCCTGAATTTCCAGACTGCTGGCCCACCCTGCAGAAATAAGGTATTATTTTAAATAATTAGTAGTTAACATTTTCTTTAATCCTTACACAACTCAATGATTAAAAAATGGGTTATCATAAGGTAAATACATTTCCCAAGATAGTAAAGGTGAAAAGCAGAAATTTCACCTGCGAGTGAAACTCAGCAATTCTCTTCAGAACATGTGCTCTTAATGACTACAGTTCCAACAATCTGCTCCAGGTTTATCAACTACAAATCAGATGAAATCCAAATCCTCCCAAATCTTAACCCTATAATTATTTAAAGAAAAATATGTCACTGGCTAGTAAATCTTGCCATTTGCAAGTGTATATGAAATTGAAAGGAGGTTGCTGTCCCTGCCTTGTGTCTATCAGCACCACCTAATTAATTTTCTTAATTTTTATGCAATCATTAAATTGGCTACAGCTAATTCTTGGTTCAGTTGAGGAGGCCATCGTTAGCTATTAGTACATGAGAATAATGAACACAGAATCAGCAAACCAAAGGGTGGCATTCATGGGAGAAGACATTTTCCGAGTTTTTCTGGTTCAACCTCTAGAAAGTTTATATGGCCAAACCAGATAATATATTATATTGGACTGAATATTCTCAAGAATTTGTTCAAATTTTTGAGCACTTATATATTCTTACGATCAAGTTAGGAAATAAAGTTTTCTGTTTGAAATATTAACTATTGAAGAGACAAATTTTAGTTACATATAAACCATTGCCTGGTAGAGCCTGGAAAAAAAAGTTCAATTTCAGTTTAAATTCTGAGACATCTGAATAATGCATTTATGTGCTCATTAGACATATAAATAAACTACATTGTTTAAAGTCCAGAGTATTACCTCCTTTTGGAATAATTCTCCACTTAGCAAGACCAGAGGTACATCTCAAATTAAATTTTTCTCTAATGTTTCACAATTAGCTAATGATGTTTACATTACCATCTTCTAGTATGACATGTTGGTAAAGATGTAAGAAATATGTGCTGCCTGAGTTGGGGTCACTACAGAGGCAGACTCTGGGATAAAAAATTGCATGCAGATATAGCTTATTTTGGAGTAAACATAAATAAGAAAGTAAGGGGCCAGGCTCGGTGGCTTTGGGAGGCCAAGGCGGGTGGATCACGAGGTCAAGAGATCGAGACCATCCTGGCCAACATGGTGAAACCCTGTCTCTACTAAAAATACAAAAATTAGTTGGGCATGGTGGTGGGCGCCTCTAATCCCAGCTACTCAGGAGGCTGAGGCAGGAGAATTGCTTGAACCTGGTAGGTAGAGGTTGCAGTGAGCTGAGATCGCACCACTGCATTCCATCCTGGGCAACAGACAGTAAGACTGTGTCAAAAAAACAAACAAACAAAAAAAAGTAAGGGGGTTAAAAGCAAAGGAAAAAAAGCCAGTGAAAGGTGTTTTGCTAATCCTGTTGCCACTTGGCAGTGGAAGCTCAATCTCTCAGGAGAACTCATTTAAACAGTGAAGAAAATGCCACAAAGTAATCCCAGTAGAGGGGTAAAAATCAGATACATTTATTCATGTGTTGCCTCGTGAGAAGGACAATTCTGAACACCATAATCCCTTAATGTTGAAATCCAGAAACATGAAAATCCCTAAAGTCCGAAGTTCTTAATGTTTAAACTCCTGAAAATCACAGTCTTGACAGATGAAGGTTGAAATCCTGAATGCCAAAATGTGGGGGAAGGGACTAATGGGTTTTCATTTGTATACAGGGTAGTTGCATTAGTTTAGGTACATGGTGTTAGGCAGAAATATTACCTTGTTATTGTCTTTATGTGGAAATTAAGTATGGTTTTAAAATATGTGTATGGGTGCCAAGTTGACAAGGGGTGGACTTGTGGAATTAATTTTAAGTGTCAACTTGACTGGATTAAGGAATACCCAGAAACATGGTAAAGCATTATTACATGCGTGTCTGTGAAGGTGTTTCGAGGGTAGACACCTCAGAGTGTGTGAGTCTGAGTGGACGAGGTGGGGAAGATCTGCCCTCAGCGTTGATGGGCATCTTCTAATCAGATGGGGGTCCGAGGAGAATGAATACAGAAGGCAAATTATTCTCTCTCTGAGGGCTGGGACACACTCTACTTCTGCTACTTTGGACATCAGAACTCCAGACTTGCCAGCCTTTGGACTCCAGAACTTGCACAAACAACCCTCCAGATCCCAAGGCTTTCTCCCTTGGGGTGAGAGTTATACTATCGACATTCCTGTATCTGAGGGCTTCAGACTTGGCTATCAGCATCCCAGGGACCCCAGCTTGCAGATGGCCTATCACGGGACTTAGGCATCATCATCACATGGGCCAATTCTCCTAATAAATTCCTCCACCTGTATCTATACATATATCTTTTTTGTTTCTGTCTCTCTGGAGAATCTTGACTAATACAGATTTGGTATTAGGGAAGCCAAATATTTCTTCTTATTCTATTATTTGCAACACAATGGAAGAGATTGGTGAAATTGTTTCTTCATAAAAAGGCTGTGATAAGTTAAGTGTATGAGGCTACTTAATGGTGAAAGATAATAATTTAAAACCCAATTGTTATTGATGCCCTGAAAGCAGAAAATCATTTAATTGCAATGGTCCAGCAATAACCAGACTTTCACACGGACAGCATGTACTTGCGAAATTTGTAGAAAACAAACACTCTCCAAATAAAAGTGCAATGAGTGTTTTGAAAATCATAGAAGTGAAAACGTAGATGAAAGATGCAAGAAATATTCCCTGACAAATGATTAAATCATGCACAAGTTCTGGGCCTTCACATATCGTACCAATTCCCTATGCTATGTATTTCACATTTGCATCATTTCGAATACTGGAGGTGTGCATCATGTACAGACACTCAGAGATATATATTGCAACACTATTCAATATAGTCAAGATATGGAATCAACGTAAGTGTCCATTAACAGATGAATAGATGAAATTGATAAAGAAAATGTATATATACACAGTGGAATACGATTTAGTCATAAAAAAGAATAAAATTCTGTTATTTGTGGCAAAAATGGATGAGCTTGGAGAACACTATGTGAAGTGATACAAGCCAGGAACAGAAAAATAAATACTGCCTGTTCTCACTCATATAAGGAAGCTTAAAAAAAGTTGATCTCAAGGAAGTAGAGAATAGAATAATGGTTACTAGAGGTGGAGAAATATGGGGGTGGTAGGGAGGGATGGTCAAATATTGGTTAATGGATATAAAAGTACAGCTAAATAGGAGGAATGAGTTCTAATAAGTTCTAATGTTCTACAGCACTAAGGGGCAACTATAATTAACAGCAATTTATTATACATTTTCAAACAATTAGAGGAGTGGGATTTGAGTGTCCCTTACCAACATTTGGTCATGTTTGTCATTAAAGTGGTCATTACGGCTTTAGTATGCATTATCCTGTGAACTAATGCATTGAGCTTTTTATTTTTGGTGTTTGCATATTGGCTTTTTAACAGGATCTAAGCCTTTTACCCCATTTGCTTTTTAAAATTGATTGTAATTCAACACCCTTGCTAAAATAACACATTAGTTCAAAGAGATGTTTCTAGATTCCTTGCGATTTTCTATATAAAAGTTCTGCTGTTTTTGAAAAAGGAAAATTTTACTGCTTCCTTTCTAAAATACTTTAAGATTCTTACTTGTTTCCAGAAAAAATTGTGAGGGAGGTTTTTGTGTGCTAAACCTAGAGGTGTCATACAGAAATTTTGCTCATATTTCTCAGTTCAGAAACACTCCTGATCCTATTGAACTGTACGTCCCTGAGGTCGAGAAAACAAATTTCATCCATGAGCCACCCCTTCATCCTGTGGCCATGGAATTCCATCCTGCCTCTGATCCTTCCTTCCTGACCATGTGACTTTTAAAATTCAGATTTGCTCCCAATAATTGTATGAGTAAAAAACCTTGGAATAAAACAATATATAACTCTTTATAAAAATATAATCTCCCCCTGATTTTGCTTCTCTTGTTGATGCCTGGATGCCACATATTTTGCATAATTTTAATACATTATTTTATAATATATAAAATAAATCAGCCTAATACATTGCTATGTTTTGAAGTAGTTCTGCAAACAACATTAATATACATACTTAAGAAATTATCAGTTTAATGCCTGCTACCTAAAATTTTTTCAGAGGGTCTAGCTGGACTCTTGACTTACAAAAAAAAAAAAAAATCTGTCAAATTTATGGTGATTTCTACACTTGCCTGTGTTAAGAGATTTTTGTTTTGTTTTTACTTTTTAAAATTATTAACATATCCAGGTCCACAAATCTGTCCATTCCATACTTGCTAGAATTTAGATATGTTAACACATATTCTGAAATTTGTGGGAAATATTTCTAGAACTCTCTAAGTCTGACATAACTGAAATGTACATATGCATATCATTACCATTTTAAAGTATTTGAAACTGATATTTGCCTTCTCATCTATATTAAGCTCTATAATTTTGGCCTTATAAAGATTTTATTGTAACTTCCATTTTTTCTGCACAAACTGTTTTTCTCTTTTTGACTTCATCTTACCTGTTTTTCAATTTCTTCCCAGTTTCACTTTGAGACACCTGGTCCTCTTAACCTTTAAACTATGTTAACTATGAGATCTCCCATCCATCTTTATGGAGTGTTCTGTTGCTTCTTGATTGAAAATAATTATGTCTTCTGAAGCCTGAAAACTCATGAGATCACCCACCCACCTTTATGGTGTGTTCTGTTGCTTCTTCGTTGAAAATAATTATGTCTTCTTAATCCTGAACACTCAATTACATTCATTTATGCATTCTAAAAAATAGCCTAATTAGTTAACTTGTAGAGTGGGCAGGCAAATTTACTAAAGAACTGTTAATGCTAATTGCTCCCTGCCTGGCAACTTATACATACATATATACACATACACACACACACATATATATATATATACACACATGCACATATGTGCATGCATATATATATACACACACATATATATACATCTATGTGTATGTGTATGTACATAGGTTACAGTCATTTGAAAAGTGACATGTAAGCATACATTATAGGAAAGAAGAAGGCAATGAAACCTGCGAGCTCACTCCCAATTGAGCCTTTCAACCAAACACATCTTTTAGAAAATAATACTTATGCCTCTCTCTATCTCCCTGCTTCTTCCAAATGGGAATTTCAACAAAAGATTATCATTTCATAGAGTGTCTGATTTTACATGTATTGCTTTAATTTTGACATGTGCCATGAAAAAGTAGTATTATGTTCATTTTGGATAATTTGCTTTCCTGGGAGAGGGAATAATATAATTATGAAATTTTTATGTTTTGGGGCAGCCTGAAATAAAGGTAAAATCTGGTAAGAATCTTGAAAAAATTAAGGAAAAGCTACATATTTTAAAATGAAAGGTGAAGTAAAATATAGATCACAGCTCTCCTTAAATGTATTCTCTCTTATGTAGTTTTTTAATATCAAAGTTCAATCTGGCAGTAGGACTAGCTTAGTGATTTTAAACTGGGTCCTCATAAAACAGACTGTGACAGAAGTGCATCAAGCATTTCACATGTTTTTCTGCATTTCAGATGAAATTGAACTACATCAACTAATACTTACATAAGTTAATTAACGAATTGGAGAAGAACACACACATACATATAAGCCTATAGGATAGACTGCAGCGTAAAGGCAACCTAGTGCATACGTTTTTTACAAGTGTGTCCTTGATTTTGGAAGTAGAGATGTGAAAATTTTCCTTTTAAAAAATCAGACCTGCAAATCTGCTCAGTGAAAATTGTACAAGAAAGCATACTGTTGTCAATGTACATGTAACATACTTACATAAATTTTAGGCACATGAATCTACTCTATTGTTCTTGATGTCATCAAAGCAAAATACACAGTTGCAAAATAACACATTACCTGACGATTAAATCATATAGTAGTTTTAATATTAAAAGCTAAGTATTCTTCTCACCTAACACTCAATTGGTGAAAAAATAAATAGCAGCCATTATTTGGGAGCTAAGGATTCTAGTATATTTCAAAAATAAAAACTTAACCATTATTCTTCAAACTTCCAAATGTATTGGGTTGAAGTGTCTTTTGAAAGTGTGAAGAGAACTGGGAAGAAGGGAAACTGAGACAGAAAGAAATAGAGACCCAGAGAGAGTCAGAGAGAGAGAGATTAGTATCATTTTTAGCATTATCTGTATAAGTAAGAATTTTCTCAGCTTTATGCCACAGAAGAAAATATAAAAACAGATCAGTTCCTGAGGCTGACATCCCACTACAGATAATGGCCATGTATATGGGTTCAAGATGGGTATTGCTGCCTAAAAGATGTGTTCACTTCTCCAGGTCTCTGGGATTTTTTCTTAAGAGAGCTATGTATGCAAATAACAATGGCAGAATGGAGTTCCAAAGAACAACAGTGAAAATATTTAATACTCACCAACTTTAAGGCATTTAAAAACGAAAAAAGAACCTAAATTGTAAGCACTTAAGAGTGGCTTCATATTCAGACCCCTTAGAAACTCTGGAGCTGTCCATAAACCGAACTGTCAACATAGAAAAATTTTGAGAGCCTGTCTCAGACACTCAGGGAACAACCCTTGTCTGGTCTTGCCCAAGTGTTTATAACATTGGAGTATAAAGTAAAATAAAATTGGAGGAACAGATTCTTAGTTCTCGGTGCCTATGACCACTAGTAAAACAGGGTGCAATCAATATCTCAGATTCTGCTCAATTAAACTTGCAACTTCTCATAGATTGGGGCTAGTAGAGATGGAAAGTAAATGTGAAATAATGGGAGTTGAACTTCTATTCAAGATAAGATCTCTTAATATCTCAGATTCTGCTCAATTAAGCTTGCAACTGCTCATAGATTGGGGCTAGGAGAGATGGGCGGTAAATGTGAAATAATGGGAGTTGAACAGAAGATAAGGTCTCTTACTCCTAACATTTGACCATACTTTCAAACTTTTGAGTGCATCAAAAGCTTCGCTTTTTTTTTCTTTTTTGTTCTTTCCATGTCTTATGGTGAAAAGCTTCACTTTTCTTACTGATTTCTTGAATTTAATTTGTATTAAAACTACATGTGTACAATTATAAATCTAGATAGTATTAGAATGCTAATAAAAACAAAACAGCATCTGCTTCTTCACCTTTGACAAAGATTCTCCCTGATTTCACTCTAGCCAGACTCCTCTGAGCCTGGTTCTTGAATAGACTTGTCAACTTTGGTCTAGAAAGACTTGAACACACACTGATACTATTTCTAAGCTCAAAGCCACATCCCTAGGATGACAGTGGCCCCCTCTTAAAGTGCCTGACTGAAAACAACAACAACAAATCTCAAGGCTGCCAAAAGAATTCACTGTTTGTTTCAGCCATCCCCTGAACATAGGCCCCTGTCTTCCAGCCCCTGTGAGAGCATAGAGCCTGAATTCTGTATGTCCCAGTTCACAAACCCAGATGAGTTTCACATGGACCAAACACCCCTTCCTGCATTTTGTAATTTTTCACTTCCGATTCCCTTATCTCCCTTTAATACAACCAGTCACCTCTATACAATTCAAAGCTGAGTTCCGTTCATGCTGGATTCCTTTCCTTATTGCAATAGGATATTACTGATTAAAATCTGTTCTTGCCACTTTACTTAGTGTCTGGCAGTGTTTATCTCTGACACTTCTCTTCACAACAAATTATATTTTCCAATAAATTATTTTCAATTACGTTACTTATTTATCATGGTATTTACTTTTGTTCTTCTAAATACCTGCTTATATTGATATTTCTCGATATATACATTTCATATGTTATATTTTTAATGGGAAAATGGGTGTTTCACCCATTTATATCACAGCATTTATTACACAGACATACACACACACTTCTGGTCATTAATCTCAAAATCATAGGACTAATACAATTTTTGATTAAATCAGTTTTCTTTGTTTATATTCTCATATTGTTTTTAACTGAGCCATAATATATTTCATAACTAAATGTTCTATGACATATTTTCCCCCTGCTGTTAATAATTTCTTTTTTTTTTTTTTTTTCCGAGATGGAGTCTCGCTCTGTCGACCAGGCTAGAGTGCAGTGGTGCAATCACAGCTCACTGCAACTTCCACCTCCTGGGTTTAAGCAATTCTCCTGCCTCAGCCTCCGGAGTAGCTGGGATTACAGGATGCACCACCATGCCCGGCTAATTTGTTTGGTATTTTTAGTAGAGATGGGTTTTCACTGTGTTGGTCAAGCTGGTCTCAAACTCCTGACCTCGTAAGCCACCCGCCTTGGCCTCCCATAGTGCTGGGATTACAGGCATGAGCCACCGCGCCTGGCCAATAATTTCTTTAAAACATTATTTGCTTACTTTGTAAGTACTTATCACTAATTTGCTCCCAAACTCTTAAGCCATGAATCTCCTTTAAATATGAAAATCAGTTTTACTTTTGTGCATGTGGCATGTGTCCTAGGAATGCACTGTCCTTCTGCTCTTCTCTATAATGATTGGTCTCTAGGCTGTCCTAGGAATGTCTTTTTCTTCTCTCCTTTGTCGGATCTTCTGTTACCTGGACACTTGTCTTTCAGATTCTTGGACTATTCCTCCATTTTAACGAAACACTTTCTCCAGTTGCTTCTTAAGGTTCTGGGGAGGTGCATTTAGTCATGTCCAAAGTAGCTTTTCTGCCTGGTTAATTTTAATTATAGTTTGCTTCACTTAAAGTATGCCTTTCTGTTGAAAATAATTTATTCTCATAATTTTAAAGGCATTGCTCTGTTTCCAGTCTTTCTTGACAAGGTCTGGGCAGAAAAGCCAAAGAGTTCAAACTCCCTTGTGTTTATGACCCTAGGGGTTCCCTACTCACATGTTAGCCACCATTTGGCCAGTAGCAATTTACACACACACACACACACACACACACACACACATACACATGTACACATATATAATATATATACATATATTGACATATATACACACATATATGTTCTGAAATCTGATTGGTAGCAATCTATTATATATGTACATATATACATATATCTATTATGTATACATTTATATACATATATACATATATCTATTATATATACATTATATACACATATATGTATGTGCATTATATACACATATATGTATATACATTATATACACATATATACATATATGCATATAAATACACACACTTATATACATATATACATATATACACATATACACACATATACACATACGTATGGCCACCATATGTGTGTGTGTGTGTGTGTGTGTGTACGTGTGTTCTGAAATCTTCCTTCTGGTTGTATGGTAGCCAAGTCCTCCTCCTCCTACCAGGGCTGAGCCAGTGTTCATCCTGGCTCACCCTGAGAATAACTGTCATTCCTTCTATTTTATACCCAGCTGTCCTATAACATCTACTCTCTGATGTGTTCACAAAAGTTATACTTTTGAGAATTATGTTTTTTTTTTTTTTTTTTTCTTGAGAGCTTGTTTTGAGGTTCTAGCAGGGCAGCACAGCTCCAGGAGCATCCCTCCTGAAGCTGCGGTGAGGGAGAAAGGGGACACCTACCTAGCCAGCCAGATCAGCCGTGTCAACCCTGGCGATCAATGAGGTGACAGATGTCGCAGCCAGATAGCCTTTACATTCTGTTCTTTTTTTATTATTATTGTTCAGGAGGGTGAGGAGTTCTCTGCAGATTTCTGCATTCCATGCAAAAGCCAGAAACCATACTTTTTGTATTGAAATTATGTATTTTGGTAGAACTAATACTATGAATTCTTGTTAGTAAAATATAAACTTTTGATTCTATTTGGAGGCTATACTTGCATGCATGGTTTTATTTTAAAAATATAAATGAATGGAATAATTAATGATACTAGGGTAGCTATTTAGAATATTATGTGATAACTGCATTTTAAATTAAGGCCCATTATTAATATATCTAAAGACTTTTAAGGATTAATATCATGAGTGTTCTAGTGGTACTCAAACTTAGCCCATGTAAATTCAGATCCAGGGTCTATTAATCTCTTATTTGGGGATATTCTATTTTTTCAAATAGAATTTGTCACCCTAGAACATTTCCACAGTTCCATTTGTTGAAGGAGGCTATCCCCAGGTGTATACTTTTCAAAGTACTACAGGAGCTTAAACAGAGGGACTTGGCTTTATCTTGAAACAGTTCTAATCTGTGAATGGGCTGAGATTTAACAAATGAGTGAGACCTCATTAATTTCTATTGTGGTGACTCAGATCATCTAAACCGGGGTACATTCTGTTACTCAGGTCAAGTAACATTTTAGTAGCTGGCTTATTAATTTTATTACAGTGATCAATGAGTCATCATCACAGATTTCAGTAACCCAAAACATTTTTTCTTACCAATTTTTTTCTGCCACCTATTTATAGAATAACTTGATATAATTTAAATATATTGTGTAAGTATAAATATTAAGATATTTAATATGCTAATATATATGTTGTACTAGGTATTTTATGGTAGGACAAAGCATATTTTTGGACCAGATTAGGACCCCTTACGATGTAATAAGCCAGGAATGTTTTATTGTGTTAGCACATGTACATAGAAATAATTATCTATTGCTACGGTAAAAGATAAAGCAATGATTTTCTTATTTGGTAGATTTTGGTATTAGAAAAATAGCTATGAAAGTACTTCAGTTCATGTAAAGAAGCAATATACAAAAAAGTTTTTATTAATAAAATATAACTACAAATACTAATTGTTTTTACTTTTTGCTGAAACTAAGTTTTCAGAAAATTTCATTTTTCCTTGCCCATGGAATATAATTTTTTTCTTATATATAACTTCTGCTTATCAGTTGTACAGAAACACATAATTGTTTCTGAAAAACAAATCTAAAGCTAAAAACATGGAAATAAAATGTACATGTAATTATGTAAGCATTATGAATACATAATAGATAACTTGTTGTTTTTAATACCTAATTTCCATGGCAACTTCATCATCACATTACATATGGTTCTTTAAAGATTTTAAAAATATCCTTGCAGAAAACTGCAGTATTTTAAGGTTTTATAATTCCATGAGGTAAAAATATGTTACTGCAAACTATCAGAATTTAAAATTACATTTAGCCTAATGTTTATAAATATTTAGTATCTACTAAAGTAAATTTTCTTTCAAAAACATGCAAACATTCATTTTAGCAGCTCCTTTTCATCTTAGACTGTTTGATATAAAATATGAGCAATTATGTAATTATAATAATAAAGTAAAATAAGTTGCTGCATTTTTCCAAAATTCATTTTTATTTTCTGAAAATGAGCTGGAATACTACCTGGGATTTAAGCTACATACTATTTGAGACTCAGTTTATTTTATTTGTGAAATGAGGAGATGTTCTAGCAATTTATCTTTAACATATTTAACCACCAACTTGTCCTATTAATCTGGGCACATTATTAAAGTCCTCCAAGTTGATTACATTTATATGAAATAAAGGGACAATGTGAGCAAACATTCCAGTATATTTTATAAATTAAGTGTTCTTCCAGATTGTAGACAGCATTTTCTCTACCTAGATGACTATTACCTGCTGGGAGGCAATTGAATCATGGGGGCAGGTCTTTCCCATGCTGTTCTCCTGATAGTGAATAAGTCCCAGGAGATCTGATGGTTTTAAAAATGGAAATTTCCCTACACAAGCTCTCTCTTTGCCTGCTGCCATCCACGTAAGATGTGACTTGCTCCTCCTTGCCTTCTGCCATGATTGTGAGGCTTCCCCAGTCATGTGGAACTGTGAGTTCTCCACTAAACCTCTTTCCTTTGTAAATTGCACAGTCTCAGGTGTGTCTTTATCAGCAGCCTGAAAATAGACTAATACAGTAAATTAGTACCAGTAGAGCGGGGCGCTACTGAAAGGATGTCTGAAAATGTGGAAGTGACTTTGGAACTGGGTAACAGGCAGAGGTTGGAACAGTTTGGAGGGGTCAGAAGAAGACAGGAAAATGTGAGAAAGTTTGGAACTTCCCAGAGACTTGCTAAATGGCTTTGCCCAAAATGCTGATAGCAATATGAACAATAAAGCCCAGGCTGAGCTGGTCTCTGATGGAAATGAGGAACTTTCTGGGAATAGGAGCAAAGGTGACTTTTGTTATGTTTTAGCAAAGACTCTGGGTGCATTTTGCCTCTGCCCTAGAGCTTTGTGGAATTTTGAACTTGAGAGAGATGATTTAGGGTATCTGGCAAAAGAAATTTCTAAGCAGCAGAGTATTCAAGATGTGACTTTGGTGCTGTTAAAGGCACTCAGTTTTACAAAGGAAGGAGAACATAAAAGTTTGGAAAATTTGCAGCCTGACAATGTGATAAGAAAGAAAATCCCATTTTCTGAGGAAAAATTCAAGCCAGTTGCAGATATTTGCATAAGTAACAAGGAGCTGAATGTTAATCCCCAAGACAATAGGGGAAAATGTCTTCTGTGCATGCCAGAGGACTTCACAGCAGCCCCTCCCATCACAGGCCCAGAGGTCTAGCAGGAAAAAGGGGTTTCATGGGCTGGCCCAGGGTCCCAGGGCAGTGTGCAACCTATGGACTTGATGTCCTGCATCCCAGCCACTCTAGCCATGGCTGAAAGGGGCCAATGTAGAGCTCGAGCTGTGACTTCAGAGGATGCAAGCCCCAAACCTTGGCAGCTTCCAAGTGGTGTTGAGCCTGTAAGTGCACAGAAGTCAAGAACTGAGGTTTGGGAACCTCCATCTAGATTTCATAGGATGTATGGAAATGTCTGGATGCCCAGGCAGAAGTTTGCTGCAGGGGTGGGGCCTTGATGGAGAACCTCTGCTAGGGCAGTGCAGAAAGGAAATGTGGGGTCAGAGCCCCCATACAGAGTCACTACTGGGGTACTGCCTAGTGCAGCTGTGAGAAGAGGGCCACCATCCTCTGGACCCCAGAAAGGTAGATCCACTGACAGTTTACACCGTGCACCTGGAAAAGCCACAGACACTCAATGCTAGCCCATGAAACAGCCAGGAGGGAGGCTGTACCCTGCAAAACCAGAGAGATAGAGATTCCCAAGGCCATGGGAACCCACCTCTTGCATCAGCGTGACCTGGATGTGAGAAATGGAATCAAAGGAGATCATTTTGGAGCTTTAAGATTTGACTGCTTTGCTGTATTTCAGACTTGCATGGGGCTTGTAGCCCCTTTGTTATGGCCAATTTTTCCCATTTGGAATGGCTGTATTTACCCAATGCCTGTATCTTCATTGTATCTAGGAAGTAACTAACTTGTTTTTGATTTTACAGTCTCATATGCAGAAAGGACTTGCCTTGTCTTGGATGAGACTTTGTGGATTTTTGAGTTAATGCTGAAATGAGTTAAGACCTTGGGAGACATTTGGGAAGGCATAACTGGTTTCAAAATACGAGTACATGAGACTTGGGAGGGCCCTGGGGTGAAATGATATGGTTTGGGTGTGTCCCCACCCAAATCTCATCTTGAATTCCCACGTGTTGTGGGAGGGGGACTCGGTGGGAGGTAATTGGATCATGGGGGCAGCCGTTTCCATGCTGTTCTTGTGACAGTGAATAAGTCTCAGGAAATCTGATGGCTTTAAAAATGGGATTTCCCTTCACATGGTCTCTCTTTGCCTGCCACCATCCACATAAGATGTGACTTGCTCCTCCTTGCCTTCTGCAATGATTGTGAGGCTTCCCCAGCCATGTGGAACTGTGAGTTCTCCATTAAATCTCTTTCCTTTGTAAATTGCTCAGTCTCGGGTATGTCTTTATCAGCAGTGTGAAAATGGACTAATATGTCAACAGTGATATCAGATAATATGGTGGAAGCAGGAAGTGCTAGGAATCTGTCTCCACATGTAGGTAACAATTGTATGGCAAAAATTATCTCAAGTGATTATTGTGAAACTCTGATCTCTATTTGAGTCTATTTTCTTCTCAAGCACTCATGGTGTATGCTCTGCAGTAAACCATACATTAGATAAAAAACAAGTCTGTATACATTTTAAAAGGTAGACATCATGTAATGTATCTTCTCTGACCACAAAGTGACAATCTTTAAAATAAATAACAGGAGAAAATCTGGAAAAAATATGTGGATATTTATACACTCATACAATCAATGTATGAAAGAAGAAAGCATGTGTGAAATACTAATATATTCAGAATGAATGAAAATGAAAACACAACACCTCAGAATTTATGGGTTGCAGTGCAAGCTTTGCTCATAGAGAAATTTATAGCTATAAATTCCTACATTTGAAAAGAAAGCTATCAAATTAATAACATAATTTATACCTTAAAAATCTAGGGAATAAAAGCACACTGAAACCAACACTAGCGGAAGAAAGGGAAAGATAAAGGTTAGAGAACAGAGAAATAAAGAAAATTAATGAAACCAAAATTTGGTTCTTCGTAAAGACTGACAAAATTGACAAAGTTTTGGCTACGATGACAATGAAGAATTAGAGAATATGCACGTAACTAAAATCAGAAATGAAAACAGGAACGTTACTACTGAACTTATAAAGATGCAGAGGATTGTAAGGGAAGACTATGAAGGTTGACACATTATATAACCTAGAAGAAGTGAAAAAATCCCTTGAAACATGCAAATTATTTAAAATAACAGAAGAAGAAATAGAAAATATATCAAAAAACCAAGTAAAGGAATTAAGAAGTCATCAAAAATCTCTCATAAAATGTATGTTCCGGACTAGATAATTTCATCAGTAAATTCTACCAAACATTTAAATAATTAACACTGCTATTTCTTAAACTCTTCCACAAAAGTTGAAGAGAACTATTCCAAACTAATGCTATGAGGCCAAAATTATCATGATACCAAAGACAGATAAAAGTATCATAAGAATATTAAAGACCAGCGAGGCGTGGTGGCTCACACCTATAATCCCAGCACTTTGGGAAGCTGAGGCAGGCAGATCATGAGGTCAGGAGATCAAGATCATCCTGGCTAACGTGGTGAAACCTATCTCTACTAAAAATATAAAAAATCAGCTGGGCATGGTGGCACACACCTGTAGTCCCAGCTACTTAGGAGGCTGAGGCAGGAGAATCACTTGAACTTGGGAGGCAGTGGTTGCAGTGAGCTGAGATCATGGCACTGCACTGCAGCCTGGATGACAGTGAGACTCCATCTGAAAAAAAAAAAAAAAAAAAAAGAATATTAGAATATTAAAGACCAATATTCCTTTTAAAAATATAAATTAAGAACTCCTTAAGAAAATATTAGCAAACAAATCAAGAGCATTTGATATTCTTTCTTTTGTTTTGACCTTGGAAAATCTGATGCTTATGTGTCTTAGGGATGATCATCTTTCATAGAATCTTTTAGGGGTTCTCTGTATTTCCTGAATTTGACTCTTGGCCTCTCTAGCAATGTTGGGAATGTTATCATGCAGGATATCCTGAAATACATTTTCCCAGTTGTTTGTTTTCTCCCCCTCCCTTTCAGGGATGCCAATGATTTGTAAATTTGGCCTTTTTACATAATCCCATACTTCTTGGAGGTTTGTCTGTTCCTTTTTATTATTTTTTCTTTACTTTTGTCTGACAGTCTTATTTCAGAGAGCCCGTCTTCAAGTTCTGAGATTCTTTCCTCAGCTTGGTCTATTCTGTTGTTAACACTTGTGATTACATTGTGAAATTCTTGTGTTGTGTTTTTCAGCTCTGTGAGATCTGTTAGGTTCTTTTTGACACCGACTATTTCATGCTTCAGCTCCTATATCATTTTATTGTGGTTCTTAATTTCCTTGGATTGGGTTTTGCCATTCTCCTGAATCTCAAGGATTTTCCTTCCTATCCATATTCTGAATTATATTTCTGTTATTTCAGTCTGCTCAGCCTGGTTAAGAACTCTTTTTGGAGAACTGGTGGAGTCATTTGGAGGACATAAGACACTCTGGCCATGTGAGTTACTAGAGTTCTTGCATTGGTTCTTTCTCATTTCTGTGTGTGGGTATTTCTCTAACTGCAGTGTAGATTGAGTATTGTCAATAGATTCTTTTCTGGATGTTTTCACAGGGCTGAGGATTTGTGTAGAGTCTTTATCTGAAACTGACTTATTGTCTTTGGTTTCACAGTGGGGCATGTTAGCGAGATATTTTTGGTGTTGAAAGTTTGGAGTGTGACCCTTTAAGTGACACTTATGCTTATTGGTTAGTTGATAGGCTCTTGCCTGGGCATGTGGGTCCACTATGTTTCCTATATTTGTAAAAAGGTTGTCTGTCCACGTTTTTATAGAGCAGCGGTACTATGCTGGGGGTCTGCTCCAGTCCCTGGTCATCCCGGACTCTCCAAAGCCCAAAGGCTGGAATGGCTAAGTCACCCAAACAGAAAATATAGTGGCCCACCCCTCTTTCTGGGAGCTCTGTTTCAGAGAGGTGTAATGCTGCTGTTGGTGGAAGGTTGGAGCTCCAAGCCAGCAGATCTTATCTGTGAGGTAATGTGGAAGTGGGGCCTGCAAACTGTTGCTGCTCAGTCCCCTGGATCCAGCCTCTTTCCTAAGGGTATGCACAGGGGTCTTTGCCTGCTTTGCCAACTCCTGCTTTGCCAGAGTTGCAGCTGCTTTTGCCAGGAAGCCCAGGTATCTGGGTCTCCATGCGTGCCTGAACGGCTGCTCTGCTGAGACTCCATGTAGCTCTATGTGTCAGACTGAAGGCCCTGGTGAAGCGGGTTTATGAGGGAATCTCCTGACCCGAGGGTTGCAAAGATCCATGGGAGAAGTGTGGGTTCTCATGTCTCACATTTCCTCACTGCTTTTCCGGGTTGGGGAGGTTCTCCTCGCTCCATGTTGCTCTTGGGTGAGCTATTGCCCTGCTTTGCTTTTCTCCATTCTTTGTGGGTCGAGTCATTTTCTTGATTAGTCCCAATGTATGTTCCTGGATATTTCAGTTGAAGGTACTGTATTTACTCACCCCTCCTGTTCCTTTCTGTGACAGTGGCACACAGTAACTGATTCTAGTCTGCCATATTGGCCAACCCTGTAAATTATTTTTAACATATTTTCCTAGGAACATGTTGTTTATTAGAACCAAAAACCTTAAAAATTTTATACCCAAACCAATGTTCAGTCTCTTGAGCTATGTGGCAGCAGAAGGTAGCCAGACATGGAAACCATTTCTAATGGTTTCACTATGCTGTTCTAAAGTTGTAAATCTGATACAATGTCCTAAGCAGAAACCCCAGGAATACAAGGCATTTCTGAATAAAGTAATATGATTCAAAATATATGATTTTTCATGAAGTGATCACTAATGCAGCCTTAGGAAGTGAAAAAATGGTTGGAAATAAGGGAGAAAGAAGATGGAATTATCATTTATTGAGTGCCTAAGATGTGTTGAGTATAATGTTAGCTTTTCCCTTCTGTAATCTAGTTTAATTGGCA
Source organism: Homo sapiens (assembly GCF_000001405.40). NCBI lineage: Eukaryota > Metazoa > Chordata > Mammalia > Primates > Hominidae > Homo > Homo sapiens. Next base: position 167,655,223 of record NC_000004.12, on the reverse strand, counting down.
TTACAAACATGTGGGTTGGCATTATTGGCTCCATCATACAGCTTATAAAATTAAGGTTTAGAGTCGTTAAGCCATGAGCTGAAGCCTGACTTCAAACCCAGGCTTGAATAATGACAAAGACCGTAGTTGACACTATTATATCATGCATTGTGTTTTAGTACATTTGTTCTGCTACAACAGAATACTTGAAACTCATTTATTAAGAAGAGAAATTTATTTTCTTACAATTCTGGAGGCTGGGAAGTCCAAGACCGAGCTGCCAGCATTTTGTGGTCAGGTGAGAGCCGTCTTATTTTGTTCAACAGCAGGAACAAATGTTGTATCCTCACATATTGAACATGGAAGAGCAAGAGAGCTAAATATGGAGTTAAACTTCTTTTATAAGGGTCTCAATCACATTTGCAAGGGGGCAGTTCACATGGCCTAATCATGTCTTAAAGCCTTCACCTCTTAATATTATCACATTGGCAGCACCTGAATTTCGAAGGGGGACATATTCAAACCATAGCACATACCTAGAGATGTATACGATTGCTGATACTAGTAGGTAACTATAAAAAGATGTGACTATGAAATTTAAAAATATGTGACTAGATATAACTTTATAAAAGATGTGACTATTAAAACTCTTAATAAAAAGATGTGATTTTTTCATGCATGAACTTAGAATGCTATTAACACGAGTTCATCTTAAACTATTTCTGGGGAGATTGAAGTGTTTGAACAAATGTAGATATATCGAAATAGCTTGGTATAGACTCTGTGTAGAAAATTTTAAAGGTTAACTGCTCTATGAATCACAGAAACAAAATACTTAGGGAAGACCACTCATAACTCTCAAGGGGGTATAATAAATTAGAGGATGTATTGTAGAATAACAAACAAATAGATGCTGACTTTTTATGAGGCAAACAGTGTTTAAAGGCAGGATGCAAACATAAACTGTGAAAGTAGGCCAGGGCTCATTTAAAGTTCTTTTAATTACAGTGAAGAATAGGTTTAAATGGGTCTGCAGTAATTTCTAAGAGTAATAATGATAAGTTTGATCATTATGAGTCTTCAAAATACATAAGTTAAGAGCAACTGTGTTAACATTACCTTAAGAAAAGTCCCTGAAAAATTTGGGAGGAATCTGAGAGGCATCTAGAAGCAATACCACTTGGACTTTCGATGTCATAGATTTTTCAATCTTTGCATCCTTTATTAGGTTTCTTTTATTTTTTAATAGAAGGGAGCCTCATACGCACTTCTGAACCGTGACTCCACACTGCACAATACTACAGCCTTGATGAAGAAATACAACATAGCATTTACTACAAATGACTTAGAGTGGGGAAAATGTACAAACAATGAAACAACAAAGAAAATTCTAAAGGATCGATACTCACATCCTAAATAATGGAAACTGACTAGCAAATCAAAGATCGTAGTAGTGATTGTAGTGTAAATATCATAAATAGCTAAGAATTAGTATTGAATACTTAGATACATCTCACCAATAAAATAAAAGGACCATATGTAACAACATTTAATCATGAGTAGGAAAGCTACTGTCAAATAATAGTTATGACTCAAAAATTTCTATATATGTTTATGAGTTAAAATATAAAACACTTTGTATGGGACTCAAATTACGACTTTAGAACAGCAAAGTGAAATAATCTTGTTTCTGATCTGAATGAAAATTGTTTAAAAGAATATATTATGACTTCTAGTACTTTCCAGATTGGAAGATTATTATGTTTCCAGTGTTTGAAATATAACTTGATGTTAAGAAATCTATGAAACTGACCTAGAAATGTTTTGAATGCAAATAACATAAAAGGGTAGAAAAACAGACACATATACTTGGAGAAACAAGAAATAGAAATTAGTTTTAATAATAAACACAAATATTCTAGAGATCAGACCACTCTCACAAAGTATTACTTAGTAGAACAAATAAAGTCTAAATAAGATTAAGCTATGGTTATATGTATTAAAATAGGATAGAAAAAAAGGGCAGGACCAAGAGATTGCTGGAATACAATGTCACGGTCACCTATTATACATATTTACTTCATATATACAAAGTAGGACATCATGTTAGGTCTCCAAAGCCTGGAGAACAAGACCAGAATGTAGAGATATAACATATTAACATATTATCCTATTTGCTAATTCGTTAGTTAATTGTATTATCATCTGGCATTGCATACCAACTGAAGTCCATAACTTTATTTACAATTTATTTATATGTATTCAGTTATTTCCAAACTTATCAATCCACATTCTTAGATTTTCACAGCCTCCATCTCAAAAACTGGCCATTATTAGCAAAATAATTTGTGAGTTCTCCTCTTCTCCTAGCTGATATTTGGTCCAAAGTTCCATGTCTTCCTAGCTTACTCCTGAGTTAAATTTCTGCAATTTTTCATTAGAGAGAACCTGAGGGAACTCTCCAAGAAAGAAACATTCTATCTTCTCTTGCTTGTTCTCCATTTCCCCTTAGTTTGTTAACAAAAAGAAAAAAAAAGAAGGGTTAAAAGTTGCTTAAGTGGCATTTATGTGTAATTTTGTTATGAGATCCTTGCATGTTGCTTTGCCAGCCAGAAACCTCTGTGGCCAGTGGCACCTCTGCCTGAGTTTTGCTCTGGCTCACTGGGCTCCTTTCGCCCACCAGGCCTGGCCGGCTGCATTTGGCTCATGCTACTGTCCTGGATCCCGTGCCTGCCAAGGGCCAGCCATGCATGTGGCAGCAAGGGGTGTGTGAGAGAGCATGGGGTGCAGCCACTGTGCACAACCAGGCATGCCAGCTGTGGTGGGGTGGGCAGCTCCATGCTGGCACAGGCACTAGCTCCCTGTGATACTGTGGCTGGACCAGGCATACCATAAGCAGCTTCCACAGCTGACACCAGGGAATGTGGGGAATGCAGTTTTGCCCAGAATCTCGGAGACACCAGGAACTGCAGCCCCCTAAAGAGGGTGTCACAACCCTGGCTCAGGGACCTCCTAGGTTGGGGTCCCTGAAGGGCTGCAGCTCTTCTCTCCTTCATTCTTCTCTCCTTCTTGTTGACTGTAATATGGAGGGCAAGGGGTGTGTTCCAGCCCCAATTATGTTAAAGCTCTTTTAGCCCCACCTTTCAGTGGTTCCCAAGTTCTTGTCCTGTGACCAGGAAGAATGAGGTACACAGACAAGTTGACGGTGAGCAAGATGAAGAGGAGCTTTATGGAGCAATAGAACAGCTTGGAGGAGACCCGTAGAGGGTAGCTCCTCTCCATAGCCAGGGTGTCCTGATGAGTGTTAACCTCTTAGCAAAGAGTGTAGCTCCTTTCTCAGTAAGATCACTTTTGTAGATATAAGAGTAAATAATGTAAAATAAATATCAGCTTATTTTTAAAACAAAGAATAATTAAGTAAACTATTTTATCTCCAACTTTTTTACTATTTAATTCCTCAAAAGCAGAGTTCATCCTATCAGCTACACAGTGCAATTGATCCACATAAACACAAATTTATTTCCCTGACAAGCTAGAAACATCTGTTTAAAAGAACATTATATTTAGGTAAATTAAGACTTGGAATTTTGGAGTAGACAAAAGAATAAAACTAAAACACTGGGTTATTCATACCTTCTTCCACCAGTATATCCTTTATTTCAACCTCCACTATTGTAGTTAAAGCATGTAGAATGACTTTCTGAATCACATTTGCTAATCCAAACAATAAAAAAATTAATTTAATTGTTTTTCTGGTTTAATGCATCAACATAGATGAAAGTTGTAAAAATACATAGACACACAAAGCAATAAAAATCATCTCCAGCTCAACAAAGATTATTTAATATGTGCTTATAAAAATTGTACTCAATGTAAAATATTTGAAATTGAGATCACACTGCCTTGTAATAAGCTTTTTTTACTTAATATATCAGTAATATTTCAAAATTTACTACACTTCTATAGTCAATGATGAGAATAATCATTTTAATGCATAGTAATTCAAAAGAGTAGCTTTAAATAGTTATATTTTCATTGGAAATAATAGTCCTTGTCAATTTTTGATGTTTTCTTCCTAATTCATTTCTAATTTGTGTAATTTTTTAAAAATCAGAAACCCTGATTTCTTTATAATTGCATTTATTCATTTGTGTAAAATTATCTCATAGATATTTTTTAGTGTACAAATTATAATTGGATTTTTTTTTTTTTTTTTGGAGGCAGTCTCGCTCTGTCACCAGGCTGGAGTGCAGTGGCGTGATCTCAGCTCACTGCAACCTCTGCCTCCTGGGTTCAAGCGATTCTCCTGCCTCAGCCTCCCGGGGGCTGGGACTACAGGCACGTGCCACCACACCCAGCTAATTTTTATATTTTTAGTAGAGATGGGATTTCACCATGTTGGCCAGGATGGTTTTGATCTCTTGATCTCGTGATCCACTCACTTCAGCCTCCCAAAGTGCTGGTATTACAGGTGTGAGCCACCATGCCCGGCCTATAATTGGATTTTTTAAAACACGTCTGAGAATCTTTGATTTTCAAATAGATGAATTTGTTTAGTGCTCTGTATTTTCACATTTTTTCCTAATATTTTGTTCTTTTAGTTTTACTACCTTTGTAGTTTGTTTTTGACTTTTGCCATATTGATTACGTTTTCTTATCTTTCATCAATTCTTCTAGAACATATTTATTTGTTTTTGATTTTTGCTACTAATATGGTAAATATAAATGTTTAAAATACTTTTTATGGTCTCTATTTCAGAAGTTAGTCAAGTAAAGAATAAAATGGAATATTTTCATTTTTCTTTACCTAATAGAGTTCAAAATATTATTACTTTTATCTCTTCTGCTAACTCACACACCTTTTGGTCTTAATTAGGATAATGTGACATTTCTTACCAGTATATTGTTACATTATTGTTCTTACATCATATATCCTTTCTTTCAAAAATAGTGTTGAAATTTACAAGTTAGCTTTACAATATGCTACACACTATTTTAGCCCACTGTTATTTAAAATAAGGTATTTACTTGCAATGCATTTTCCTCTGATTTACTTACTTTTACATTCTTATTTTCACTGGACCCATAAGTTGAGTACTTTTTCGTTAGTGTTTATGTGAAGAATGTTGTTCTAGCCAAATAATCTATGGGTCCCACTTCTGAACATGAAGCTGGAGGCAGAAACTGCAGGCAGTTCCCTGTTGGAATTTTTATTTTCCCATAGCTGGCCAGTGCTCTTCAGCCTATCTTTTTGCTGGATCTTTGCATCTGCTGTGAAGGTCTCTCATTGCCTTCACAAATAAAACATTTTATTAGATGTAATCCTCTGGAGTTGTGACCACTGCTCCTCAAATCTCTTCTCTCCCTTGTTCCCGGGCATCAGTGAGACCCTGGAACACGTGACCTTGCTAGGCTTCAGTGTCCTCACCACTGAAGTAGCCATATGCCACCATCATATATCAGCATGAGGTGATAGTAGGAGAGGAACAACCTAACAGGGAGAAACGAAATGCATGAGGGGAGTCTAGAGGCTAAAACCATGATCTACAGAGTCAGGCTGTTTGGATTTGAAACTTAGTTACAATTAAAGCTCTGTGACCCTGTTCAAATTTCTTAAACTTATTATAACTCATTTGCTTCAATTATAAATTTAGAATAAAAGTAGTGCCAAATCTTAGAGCAATTTAAAAGGATTAAATGAGTCAATATATGTAATGCATATATATGTATGGTAAGTAGGAGAATACTTGGAACATAGTAAGCATTATGTAAATATTTCAGCAAAATATAAGCTTCGTATGGACAGAGCTATTTGTCTTATTTCATTAACTATTAAAGCCGCACACAGAGATATTTGTCTATTTCATTAACTATTAAAGCCGTAGTGCCTGAAATTATACTTGGCAAAAAGAAATTGCCTGATATAGGTTTTTTAATGAATGAAAAAAAATGCTGCTAGCTATTATTATTATTGTTGTCATTAACACTCTCATTAATGCTTTTATTAATATTTTTATTACTACAATGGGAAAACTAATTTAATTATTATTCATTCTCAGATATACTTTTTTAATCCCAAGAAGTTTTAAAGTAACTATTACTTTTTAAAATAAAATAAAAATGAAACCTTTACAGTATAGTGGTTGATTTCATTTCAAACTTTTGGCTAAAATGACAATGAATCTTTCAAATCAGATGTACATGTCTTTTTTTAGTTTAAGGAAAATCTATTCTATATTTCATTATTCTGTCCCATTTGTTCTTTGTGAAAAGTGATATTTTCTTTTAAATACGTATTTTTAAAAAATTCAATTGTTTTAGATTTACAGAAAAGTTGCAAAGATAGTGATATGGGTTGGCTCTGTCCCCGCCCAGATCTCATATTGAATTGTAGCTCCCATAATTCCCATGCATTGTGGGAGGAACCCAGTGGGAGATAATTGAATCATATGGACCACAGCACGTGCTCATCACAGTCCTCTCCAGCGCTGGTAAGGATGTGAAGAAGCTGGCCTGTGACAGGTGGGAAGAGGATGCGCAGAGATGCTGACATTCTCTCTACTTTGCTACCAGTGATGAATGGCACATTGCATGGTCGAGAGCCGCAGTCAAAGATACCTGGTTTCTTTCTGTATCCATGAGGAGAGAAAGTGAGTCCCTTCTCCTACCACAGTGTCCTGTACTCCATGGAACAGGTCGAAGATGACAACTCTGTGTTCAGCATCCACATTATATATGGCAGAGTTCACCACGCTTCCTGCAATAGCTAAGGGCAGGCAGAGCTTGCAGATGAATTCAAACACTTTGGCAGCCAGGCTGGAACCTCTTACACCTGCTTCCACTCTGACCTCCACATCAATTTCCTAACCTCTTTTGAAATTACTTGTTTCTCCTGTTTCATACTTTAGTCTTCAGAAGCAAGTTACCAAGTACAACCCTAATTTAAGGAGTAGAGAGATAGGCACCACCTTTTTGAGTGGGGAGTATTTAAATGAATTATTTGGAATTTTTCTGCAGGAGAGATGCCTCTTCTCTCCATTTATTTGTTAATGCAGTCACTTGTTTATATCAGTAGGTACTCAGGATATTTATTTTACGACGTAGGTTGTAATCCCAATCTAAGGCTTTTGCTCAGATTGTTCCACTTTTAGCCTTTGGGAGCTGTTTCGGCTCGACTCCTGTTTTCCTTTGACGTACTCCTGTCATTTTATCTTTTGAACATTTCACTCTGGCACTCAGAATCTTACAGATTCTGAGCATGTGGAGGTCTAAACTATTGTTCCCACACTCTGCCTAAAAATCTCTTGAAACACCACAGATCAGACTTCCACAGGAGAAAAGAAAATACAGGATTTTGACCTCCTCTTTGACTGGTAGAAGTCAAGAGAGCAGTAATCTCTCTAGGTTCCCAGAGGGAATCTGACCCTGAGAAATCTGTGAAAACTTTTCAGTAAAGAGTAACACATAGTTCTAGGAAGGTTTGCTTTATTCTACTGACCTCAAAGAAACTACAGCAAACTAACTATAGGAGTGCTATAGTGCAGTAGTTTAGACTTCCATGTTCTCAGAATCTGTGAGAGTCTGAGTGCCAGAGTGTAAGGAAATGTTCAAAAGGTAAAATGACAGGGGTACGTCAAAGGAAAACAGGAGTCAACCTGAACTAGTTCCCAATTGTTTCCAGGCCCTCCATCATCAATCTATTGCCTAGGAAAGCTTGGGAGCACAGAGATTTCCTACCACACAAAGGAGGAGTCTGCCTCCCACTAACTTTGGTGTCTCGAGTCTCAAAGGAGCCTAACATATTTACCTAGGGCATGTTTAAGGAAGAAAAGGAGAAGTGTGGCTGTACAATAAATGAGGCTGATGTGTGAATACTTCCTATGACCCAATGATAAGGGCTACAAAGGAAGTGGAACAGAATTTGTTTTCTTTTTTTGAGGTACTATTCAAGAACCAACTAATCAACTAGTAGCATGTAAGGAGCATAGAGGAAGAAGCTGAAGTTTAATTTTGGATTCCTAAGACTTGGGAAACATCACAGAGATGCATAATAGACAGACATCTTCATGGGTAAAGACACTAAAGAAAAGAAAAATGTAAAATAATTTTTCAACATACCATAGAGAAAGATGTGATAAAATCTCTTACCTCACTTCTAACAAGAAACTACTAATCATCTCAGAAAAATAAGATCTGTCTGGAAGATCAGTGAGAGAAATACATCACAATACAAAATGAAACTACAAAGTGATTGAAATTAGAAAAGAGAGTTCTAAAAATGGAGAATACATTAAGAAGATCAAACCTGTATACAATTTCAATTCAATTACAGGAGAAATAATAGGTGGGAGAGAGTAAAGAAAAGGGAGGGCCAATAATATAAAAAAAGAAGTTTTATTAGTCTAAGAAGAGTTTAATGATAAAAGAAGTGCATTAAGTAATTCGGGTAAAAATTATTCACTTTGAAATAAAAAAAGATGAAGATGAAACCTTAAAGTTTCAATGCAGATATACAAATTATTTACAAAGAGCAAAAAAGCATTGTCTTTTATTTACAACATACAACACTGAGACAGTTAAACACCTTCTATCTACCATAGAAAAACAAGACTAATTCAAAACCCCATTCAAGCATAAGATCTCATTCACATGTCAGAGTGACAAGAAGACACAGGAGGTTAAGGTTGATAAAAATACACAAGAAAGAACTGTGTAATAAACAAACAAACAGAAAACTGGAATAATTAGTTCAGCTGAAAGGCAATAGATTCATGGTGGAGGAATAAACAGTGAAGAAGGACAGTCTTGAGTCTAGGAGCTGACAAAATCAAAAATATCTCATATAAAACAAAATTAATTTCAGGGTATAATTTGGATATGAAAAAATAGAAAATTTAGCAAATATTAAATATATAATTCTATATCTCATATATTTATATATATTATATAATAATAGTCAAATATATATTAACCTTTATGTTTTTTAACAAAAAACAAAAAACAAAGTAGAAGTATTATACTACAAAAAATATAAATGTTTTGCCTGACAAAATTTTCATTAACAAAGACATAAAATAGATTAGGATTTTTACATCATATAGCATATTGAGTTATTCTCCAAAAAGAGTTCCTACAAATTTATATTAAGAAGAAAACAATTCAATATAAAAAAATCACCTAACAGGAATAAATAGTCCTCAGATGAGAAACTCAAAACAACTTAAAATAAAAAACATGTAAGATGATTCTCAACTTTGCTAGTAGACAATAAAAATAGTGAAATGAATAAAGAGGCCCTAATTTCACCTACCTTGCTAGCAGACATTTTTGAAAAAGAAAATAAAGAGGTAATGTCTGGTTCTGTGAATATGCACTAAAAAAAAATTGCTGTTACATGTTATTAATAGGATATTTTGGAAATTAGTCTGGCAATAACACTAATAATATGTGTGTATAAGTGTGTGTTTGCACATGTGTGTATATGTGATGAAGCTCTTGATGTTAAGGAGCTGAATACCTGTATACACATATGTATGTTTGTGTATATACATACATATGCATGTACCTATACACACATATACATACATATTTAAGTGTATGAATAAAAAATAATTAAAGTCATTACTGGATGGGGCAAAAACTATAAACAGCTGTCTATTTCTTCCATCATTATCTTCATACATATTTGCTTAGATCATCATTCCTTGCTTGTTGATATTTTAGAAAGATGTTAAAGTCTTTTAGTAACCTTGAATTATAAGAAAACTACAACTCTTTTTCAGATAACAAAGTCAAGTCCAATTTACAACCTCCATCTTTCATCAGTTTGGGAACATTTCCCAGATCAGTCCTGACTCTCTGTTATGTGGACTGCTATGAAGAAAGGAGGCATGGTCTATGCATTTATCTTTTCTCCCTCTCCACTCTCTCCTTCTGCTCTCTTACCTAGGAAAGATGGGCAAGAGGAATGTTAGAGAAAAGTGGGTACAGTTTTATATCACCGGTGCTTTGCAATTCAGCCTTTGATACCTTTTGCATGGCAGGTATTCAAATGCTTGCCTTCTAGGAAAATGTATCCATGGGTCCTCCTGGTGACCTGTGGTATTTGTACACAACAAATGTTAGGTGATGCCCTCTTTGAGCATAGATTTGTTCCTAGATTTACACTCTACTGCTTACCACTATTGGGATCTTTCCTCCCAGAAGGTTAGTTTTGAAATAGCTCAGACTCATTTGGCACTTTAGTGTCTATATATTCCTTGATTTCACACATTTAAGACATGTGAAACTGTACTGGTGTAGGCTTACATTATTACCTATCACCCTTTATCCAGATTGTTCCCGCTAGCCTCCTACTTTCAAAATTCCCCACCAGAGGACAGGCCCAGGCACCAGGCACTATTCTCTATCGTGGCATATTCCCTACAACTCCCAGAAATTCTTTGCAAGTTCTCCCAAGAATCATCATCATCACATTTTATTTCAGTGGCCACACCACGGTGGGCGTATATGGTTCTGCCAAACAGGAAGAAGCCAGCTGCCAAGAGGCCGATTTTCCCCTTCCTGAGGGCTCCACTCAACTAGGAAGTTCCTTGTTTGGCTTAGTGGAAAACAGTGATCCATGAAGCATGGAATGGAAGAGGTAAACTCACAATACTCCTCACCCTTGCCAAGACTCCTTCAAACTGTAAAATTTTTAGCTTTCTTCTCATATTGAAAATTTTAGAATGATGGAGTGATTATCACAGCACTGGAGTTTTGTTATCTTTTGACAGGCCCTGGAGGGGATGTCTGAAAATGCCTACATACTCTCTGAAGCAAATAAATGCACTTATCAACTACAATTTTTCAATATTGGGAGCTCAGTCAAACATCAACACAAAAGAAAAATCTCACTTATCTAGTTACACACAAACTTATTTTGACTCGATTATTGCATAAAATAAAAACACCAATTTATAATGCCAGATATGCAATGGTATGGCAATATTTTAAAAAACCAAATTGGAAATTATCTGAATTTTTAAGATTGAGGCATAGTTGACTAAATTGTGATTTGGCAGAATAAAATATTTTGCTGCTATAAAATACATAGATCAGTAACTAAAATATTTTTATAATATATTTGAAATGATAAAATAAAGATATGAAGATACTTGGAGTGTGATCCTACTTTCTAAAGTGAACAGCAACAAGAAGATAATTCCTTTTATGTTTGTACATAATTATATGAACATGAAGCATGGTGTGGAAAGATGCATGCCAGGCTTCTAACCTATTTTGTTGTAGAAAGGGTTGCAGTGTGGAGAATAAAACCTGTTAAAAAAATGAGGAAGAAAATATATATGGTATATGTTAACAGAAAAGAAATATAAGCTTCTATCTATGACAATACGGTAAATATGCAAACACTGTATATATACAAAGACTAGAAGGCAAAAAGAATACATGAAATCATTAATTTGATTTTGATTTGAAATTGTGACCCAGCTTAACTTGGAGTTTTGTTAATTTCAGTAAAGTAGTTGGGGAAAAAATGCCTGGAGTTTGTTTTGTGTAAATATCTATTTCTCATTCTCAGGTTTTTTTTTTTTTTCAGTTACAATTTCACTATAAAATCTTCCTTTAACACCTCAAATTGAAATACTTTGTTCCTCCCTTAAACTATTATGGCAATTATATAGTGCATACTTAATGGAACAATTAAAACAGTTAATCATCTACTGCCCCAATGTATGAATTATTTTTCTTCTTGACCTATATACATTTTTAATTCTTAACAGAATTTAAATATTGTCATATTACCTAGTTAGATTTTGAATTATCTGTGGTTAGAGAAGCTCTCTAATAAATCTCAGGATTTGTCAAATCTTCCACTGCTTTGCATGTGCAGATGCCCTCCATAAAAGTTGCAGGATTAATAGAAGAGTAAGATTTTCTGACTTATGTGGGGCAATTGATTTAATTTGCCACCCTATTCCCTCACTCAACAAATAAATGCCTATTCTTATGAGCACTAGGGATATTGAACAGGAAACTTATCATATATTAATGGCATTAAGTAAAAACACAATATAATAGCAAATAATTATATAAGCAGTGAAGAACAAACAAGGCAGAGTAAGGGGGAGATAAATGATTCCCCTCTTAGTGGGAGTAAGAAAAGATTATCTTGAGAGTGCACCCATTGAGCAGTGATCCGAATGTCATGAAGAGAGAAACCATATGGGTCACAGAAAGTATTTCAGACAGAATGTTCCAGGAAAGCAAGGAAGGCCCTGTAACAAATGTAGCGTATGTGAGCAAGAGTCACAGAGAGAGAGGTGGCAAAAGGTCAGGTCATGCAGAAACTTCTAGGATTTAGAACTTTATTCTAACTATGTTAGGGAGTCTTTGGAAGGTTTTGTTTGTTTATTTGTTTGTTTGTTTTGTTTTGTTTTGTTTTTGATAGAGTCTTGCTCTGTTGCATAGGCTGGAGTACAGTGGCACGATCTCAGCTCACTACAACCTCTGCCTCCTGAGTTCAAGGGATTCCCCTGCCTCAGCCTCCCAAGTAGCTGGGACTACAGGCACCTGGCACCACACTCAGCTAATTTTGCATTTTTAGTAGAGATGGAGTTTCGCTATATTGGCCAGGTCAGTCTTGAACTTCTGACCTCAAGTGATCCAGCCTCAAGTAATCCCAAAGTGCTGGGATTACAGCCATGAGCCAAACTGAGATAATCACGTATATATTTAAAACTCATTGTTCTGGTTGCTGTTGAGAATAGACTATAGGGGCACAGGAAGTGAAACAGGGAGAAGAGTTAGTAAGCTATTATGAACAACCAGGCAAGAGTCAGTGGTAGAATAAACTAAAAGTGGAAGTAGTAAGAAACAATCAGAATTGAAATAATTTCAGGAAGGGTTTATTCACAGACTGTATTAAACATATGAATAATAGAAAAGAGTAAAAACTTATTTCAGCTTTAAGGCTGGGAAACCTGGAAGATTGATAGTTCTGTTTAATAAGATGGGAACATTCAGAGACAGTAAATTTGGCATATAGAAATGAATAATTCTATTTAGAACATTTTTGTGTTTGAGTTGAATAATAAACAGCAGTATTAGATAAGCTAACTGCTCTAACACACAACTCTAAAATATCAGTGGCTTAGCCCAACTAACAATTATTTCCTATTCATATTGTGTTCTAATCTAGTTTAGTGATGGTGGGGGTGGTTAAAGAGGTCATTCAGAAATTCAGACTCCTACACTTTTCCCATCTACTCCCAGAAAGTCTAGTTATAAATACATTAGATATTTTGAACAAAATCAGCTGACTCCTGATGGAGAGGGGCTATAGTGGCCCAGATCAGTTTTCAGAGCTCAAGCAATACAGAGATATGAATTCACTTACGTAAAATAGATGATTCAACATGTCTATTCTTAGAAAGCTCTTTGGTCATTTTAACCATTAGAACCTCAACCTTCTATGTTGCTTTTCCTTATCTAAACTCCTCAGTTCTCCATCTTCATATTGCTCTTAATTGTTATTATTTTTAAAATATACAACAAAGTTTAACTACCAGTTGGTAACCTTCCTCCCATTCAGTTACCCAAAACTATTAGTAAGATATTTAAATAAATTATATTTCATCTCCAAGATTTTGTTTCTAGGTGTTTGTTTTTTTCTCAGTAGTTTAGTAGAGATCTCAGGAGGTAGGGAAAGAGACATGTAAGTATAAGACAATTTTTAATGCTTGCCCTGACATGTGAAGGAAATAGTGTCTTTTTTGAATGATGGTCTTTAGAATCATAGCAACCTGCATTTACATGTTGTATATGCTATTTGCACGTTTATAATCTCAGAAAAAAATACTTAAGTTCTCAATCTTTTCTCTTTGGTTAAGTGAAGGTGTATGAATTAGACAAAGAATATTGCCCCAAGGTTTGCTATGTAATCAATACTCCATGTAGGCAAATTGTAGCCAGGATTTCTGCGTGATGGCAAAATAATATCCTGAGGATACTTTCCTCTTCTGAAGGTCTTTTATATGACCTTCTAGTGAGTTGTTCCTATTCTGCTTTCGAAGGCTTGGTGAATCATAAGCTCACTTCCCACAACACACAGCCCTGCTACACCCCATCAAGAGAAAAGAATTCCTAGTTACCCATGAGCATAGAACTTTTCCTCTATCATAGTGGAATCACTTTTATAGGTAATAGTCATTTTCTTCCTTATACCTGAAAAATTTCCAAATGTTTATAATAAGTGTACATTGTTTGCATAATTGAAAAAAATATTATTTTATAAAAATACATATATTTTCCACTCATTTTGAATCTTAATTATTAGTACAATACTGGATTTTTAGTCTTTATTTTTTTACCAAACATTAGATTAAAATACAGAAAAAAAATCTATTATGTCTCCTAGTCTGTGTATTGAAATATACCTACAGAAGTGTTCAACTTCATAGAACATTTGTTCTTTGTTCTTTGTCTTCATGATACTGAATGATAGATCCCTATAATTTTGAGGTATTTTTGAACCTAGTAAGAAGCCACACACAAAAATTAATTCACATCTCAATATAAACTTGGTATTAAAAATCCAGTTGTAAAATTAATTGCTTTTTCAGGATTTTGAAGAAATCAAAGTGTTCCTAAAAGCAACTTAAATAAAATTTGCGCCTGTTTCATTTATTCCTTATTTTTATTAGTAAAAATACATTTTTGTGAGAATATTTTATTCACATTTACCATATATTTTGTTTTTATTTCAGAGATTTGTTTTTAAGCATCAGGCATTAGTAAGTGATAAGTAAAGTATTAGACTGAAGTATATAATAATAGATGCTTTGAGGAAATAAAATTTTTAATTTAAGGTTTTCTTACCATTTTCAAAAATTAAGTTACCAGTAATACCAAAATATACATCCTATGTTTTATATAAATATATATATATATATATAGAGAGAGAGAGAGAGAGAGAGAGAGAGAGCACCAGTCATAAAAGAATATTTTGTTTTAATGTCTCTTAAAAGCCAAAAATTTGGCTCAGCATGGTGGCTCACGCCTGTAATCCCAGCACTTTTGGAGGCCGAGGCAGGCGGATCACCTGAGGTCGGGAGTTCGAAACCAGCCTGACCAACGTGGAGAAATCCTGTCTCTACTAAAAATACAAAATTAGCCAGGTGTGGTGGTGCATGCCTGTAATCCCAGCTACTTGGGAGGCTGAGTCAGGAGAATTGCTTTAACCTGGGAGGCATAAGTTATGGTGAGCCAAGATTGCACCATTGCACTCCAGCCTGGGCAACAAGAGTAAAACTCCATCTCAAAAAAAAAAAAAAAAAAAGCCAAAAATGATATCATATGCCCAGAGATCAAATCACAGGACTATAGAATACTTTCCTCTGCCCACACCTCACCACTTCATTACTAAAGGCCTTGGTATGGTTTGACTGTGTCCCCACCCAAATCTCAACTTGAATTGTGTCTCCCAGAATTGCCATGTGTTGCAGGAGGGACCCAGGGAGAGGTAATTGAATCATGGGGCCTGGTCTTCCCCATGCTATTCTCGTGATAGTGAATAAGTCTCAGAAGAGCTGGTGGGTTTAAAAGGGGTTTCCGCTTTTGCTTCTCTCTCATTTTCTCTTGCCATAGACAGGTAAGAAGTGTCTTTTGCTTCCCGCCATGAATCTGAGGCCTTCCAGCCATGTGGAACTGTAAGTCCAATTAAACCTCTTCTTATTCCCATTCCTGGGTATGTCTTTATCAGCAGCATGAAAACAAACTATACAGGCCTATTTTCTGCACCTTATTTTACCAGTACGTTATGTCCACTTGTCATGCAAAAATTACAAAGAGACAAAAAACATAATGTGAGGAGACTGAACAAGCATTAGAATACTCAGATAAAGCAGGCATGTTCAATTTAATGACCAGGAATTTAAATCAACTATGAATAGTGTGCTGAGGGATTTATTGGATAAAATGATAACATACAAAAAAAATATAAACAAAGACGTGGAAATTCTAAGAAAGAATATAAAAGAAATGCTAGATATCAAAAACAGTATAAAAATAAACATTGCCTTTGATGGGCTCATTAGTAGAGAAGACATGCTTAAGAAAGAATATCTGACTTCAGGGTATGACGAGAAACTTCAAAAACTAAAAGGCACAGTAAAAAAACACTGCATAAATAAAACCAGATTATCTATGAACGTGGTACAACTACAAAAGCTATAACCTATGCAGAATGGGAGAAATGTTTGAAACAAGGATGACTGAGAATTTTCTCAAATTAATGCCAAACTCCAAACCACAAGCCCAGGAGCTCAGAGAATATAAAGCAGGATAAATGACAAAAACAAAAATGAAAAAAACTATACCTATGTATATCATATTAAAACTTCAGAAAGTTAATGACAAATAAAAAATATGGAAAGAAGACAGAGAAAAGAAACAACTTGTGTATAGCAGAGTTAAGGTAAGATTATATTTGACCCATCAGAAACCATGCCAGCAAGAAGAGAGTGGAGTTAAATAATTGAATCTTTAAGATAGAGAAACCACCAAACTAAAATTCTGTACCCAGCAAAATTATCCTTCAAAAGCAAAGGAAAAATAAAGACTTTGTTGGACAAAATTTTTTTTAAAAAGAGAGTTTGTTGGCAGTAGACTTGCTTTAGAAAAAATGTTGAAAGACGTTCTTTGATAGAGCTGGAAGGCATTGTGTTACATGAAATAAGCCATGCAGAGAAAGGCAAATAAAAAAGTTAAATTCATAGAAGTAGAGAGTAGAATGGTGGTTCCCAGAGACTGGAGAAGGAGGAGGAAATGAAAAGATATTTTCCAGGGGTAAAAAGTTTTAGTTAGACAGGAGAAATTGGTTTTTGAGAACTATTGCACAGTAATGTTGACTATGGTTTATAATAATGTATTATATATTTCAAAATAGCTGAGTAAATTTCAAATAATTCACCACAAAAAAAAAAAATGGGTAAGAGAGATGATGGATATGTTAATTAGCTGATTTACTCATTCCACACTGTTTATATCAAAACATCACATTGTAACCCTTACATATTTCTGATTATCATTTGTCAATTGAAAATATTATTAATAAAAAATTATAACAAATTAAGCAGAAAAAAGCTTTTTCAGAGAGAAGGAAAATGATATAGGTCAAAAACGTGGGTCTGCATAAAGAAAGGAGCAACAGAGAAGGAAAATGTGAAGGTAAAATAAAAACATAATTTCCTTAGTCTTATTTGATCTAATAAATAATTGTTAAAACAGTAATAATAATGTATTGAATTATGTAGGCTTAAATACATACATACACATGCATATACATAAATGTTTAATATATATAATATGTAATATATATATATAAATAACTTAGTGAAATATATGACAATAATGATACAAGGGATGAGGGGGGAGTAATTAGAATTTTTTTTCTGATATAAAGTTCTTTTACTACCCATGAAGCCATAGAGCATTATTTGAAAGTAGACTTGGGTTAGTTGCAAATATATACTGTAAACTCTAGGGATACAGTGAAAAAGGAAGTGTAATTGTTATGCTTAGAAAGGAGAAAAATATAATCATATAAAATTCTCAATTAAAATCACAAAAGGTAGAGATACTGTGCAAAAAATGTAAACAAAGAGCAGTGACACCAAATAGAAAACTAACAAATGTGGTAGATGATAATCAAATTATATCAATAATCACTTTAAACATTAATGACCTGAATATACCACTTAGAGACTGTCTGAATGGATCAAAACAGCAAGACTCAACTATATGTTGAGTAGAAGCAACTCACTTTAAATATAAAGCTACCTATACATTGAAAGGCAAAGGGATGGAGAGAGATATATTCATATGTATATGTGCTTGAAAAGAGAGTGCCAGAATACATGAGGCAAAACAGAACTGCACGATAAATAGAAAAGTTCACTATTACAGTTGGAGACTTTAACACTCCTCTATCAGACATGCACAGAGCCAGCAAACAGAAAATCAGTGAGAACATCGTTGAGCTCATCATTCAGCTGGATATAACTGACAACTACTTTATCCAACAATAGCAGATTATAATTTTTTTTTCAAGCTCGCACATAACATTCACCAAAATAGAGGACATTCTGGGCCATGAAACACACTTTAACAAATGTAAAAGTATAAAAATCATACAATATCTGCTCTTACACCAGAGTGGAATTAAGTTAAAAATTAATAACTGAAAGAGAGCTGGAAAATCCCCCTAAATACTTGAAGATTAAACAATAGACTTCTAAATAACACGTGGGTTAAAGAAGAAATTTCAAGAACAAATTTTAAATATTTTGAAATAATGAAAATGAAAATACAACATCAAAATTTGTGGGATGCAACAAAAGAATATACTACAAAAGAAAAAAGATCTAAAAATCAACAATCTGAGCTTGCACATTAGAAAACTTGAGAGAGAAAGTAAATTCAAAGTCAGCAAAAGAAGATAAATAAGAAAAATACAGCATAAATAAGTGAAAATGAAACAAGGAAATAAACAGAGAAAATCAATAACCAAAAGCTGGATCTTTGAAAAGGTGAATAAACTCATTTAGCCTCTAGCTAGGCTAACCAAGAAAAAAAGAAAGGGGACACAAATTACTAATATAATAAATAAAAGAAAGGAAATCATTGCAATACCATGGACTTTAAAACAACAATGAAAGACTCTTATGAACAATATTATGCTTACAAATTTGATAACTTTAATCAAATGTACCAATTCCTTGAAATAAACTCTGCCAAAACTCACAGGAGAAGTAGACAATCTGAACAGGCCTTTATCTATTAAAGAAATTGAATAAAAAATCAACAACCTTCCAAAAAAGAAAGCACCAAGCCCAGGTGGGCTTACTGATGAATTCTACCAAATATTTAAGGAATAAATTCTACCGATTCTCTACAATCTCTTTCAGAAGATACAGGCACTGATAACTTTTTCTAAGTCATTCTCTGAGGTCATCATTACTTTCGTACCAAAAGTAGACAAGTATATTATAAGAAAAAAAGAACTATGCCATAACATCTCTCATAAATATAGTTGCAGAAATTCTCAACAAAATTTTAGTAAGTTGAATCCAACAATGTATAAATGTCATTATGGAATTGCAAATTAAAACAACAATGAGTTACTACTACAAGCCTATTAGAATGGCCAAAATTTAAAACACTGATAACTCCAAATTCTAATGAGGATGTGGAGCAATAGAAACTCTTATTTATTGCCTGTGGGATTGCAAAATGGTACAACCACTTTATAAGACCCTTTGGCAATTACTTACGAAATTAAACATACTCTTACAATATGATCCAGAAATTATATTCTTAGATATTTACCCAAATTAATAATTGAAAACTATACCCACACACACAAAAAAAGCTGCACATAGATATTTGTAGTAGCATTCATTATAATTGTTAATACTTAAGGGAAACCAAGTTATCCTTTGGTAGGTGAATAGATAAATAAATTAGTACACTCAGACAATTGAATATTATTTAATGCTAAAAAGAAATGAGCTATCAAGGCATGAAAAGACTTGGAGGAAACTGTAATTCATATTACTAAGTGAAAGAAGTCATTCTGCAAAAGCTACATACTGTTTGCTTCCCAATACGCGACATACAGGAAAAGGCAAAACAATGGAGACTGTGCAAATATCAGTGGTTGCCAGGAGTCAGTGGGGAAAGAAGGATGAATAGGCAGCATACGGATTATATTTTGGCCATTGAAAATATCTTGTATGTTACCACCATGATGCATACATGTCATTATACATTTTCAAAACCCGTATAATGTGCAACATCAAAAGTGAACCCTAATGAAAATTTTGATCTTTGGGTGATGATGTGTCAATGAATGTTCATTGACTGTAACAGATATACCACTGTGCATGAGGCGTTGATAGTGGAGGAGGTTGCATGTGTGGGGAGAGGGGATACCCAGAAACTCTTAGTACTCTCCACTCAATGTTGTTGTAACACTAGAGTTGCTCTTAAAAAATAAAGTTTACTAATTAAAAAATTAACTGCCATCTTTTAAAAAGAAAGCAAAGTGCAGTTACCTGCATTAAGTAATATCCTTTCCCATATATAAGAGCCATAATAATTTCTTCAAAGGGAATTAATAAGTTACAAACACTATTTTTGGGGGGCGCGGGACAGAGTCTTTCTCTGTCACCCAGGCTGGAGTGCAGTGGCATGATCTAGGCTCACTGCAACCTCTGGCTCCTGGGTTCAAGCGATGCTCCTGCCTCTGCCTCCCAAGTAGCTGGGATTACAGGCGCCCACCACCACGCTTGGCTAAAATTTGTATTTTTAGTAGACACAGGGTTTCACCATGTTGGCCAGGCTGGTCTCGAACTCCTGACCTCAGGTGATCTGCCTGCTTCAGCCTCCCAAAGTGCTGGCATTACATGCGTGAGCCACCATGCCTGGCCCTACAAACACTATTGAGACATCACTATTTCCAGTCAAAGAGTGAAAGTTCCCATTGCCAGAACTCACATCTTAAACATTTCCCTGAGCATCAGGAGACCTACAAACAGTAGGATTTGTGTTTGGCATTTCTTCCAGTATTTGTAGTGACACAAACACCTAAAGTCCCAGCATGTCCCTATGATTAATGTAAAGTTCTTCACTTCCCGGATCTAAATA
The DNA here is from genome assembly GCF_000001405.40 of Homo sapiens. Lineage (NCBI taxonomy): Eukaryota > Metazoa > Chordata > Mammalia > Primates > Hominidae > Homo > Homo sapiens. Next base: position 167,634,535 of record NC_000004.12, on the reverse strand, counting down.
TATTTTGTGCCCTTAATATAGATTTCAGAGTTACTTTAAAAGTTACTTACAAAGTTATTTGACTTCGTAAATAGTAGGCTACAACCAGTGCTTTACTATGCTTATGAATCAGCTGAGGATTTTACAGACTCTGGTGTTGAGCCTGAGATTCAGAATTTCCAACAAGCTGGTGCCACCAATAGGTGGACTGTATTTCTATAGTAAGTAGCTTAACCAAGTTTTTAAAAGTGTGGTCTAAGAATAGCCTACATTAGAAAAGCCTGTAGTAGCCATTAAAATTTACATTCCAGAGTCTAAGACCTATTGAGCTATAAAAGAATCTGCATTTTAAACAAGTGCCCAAGTGATTGTCATGTACATATATATTTGAAACCCCAAACATGTCCAAATAACTTGAGTCTGCACTGATCTATAGTCTCCCCAAACTCCTATGGATTCAGTTTTTCACTTTTTTTCCAAGTTATATATTAAACTGCCACTTTGAAATAACTTTGCCAAAAATCAGCTATTATAAAATCACTTAAACTTTAAAAGACTTATAAAGTCAGAGTGTGGGTTTAAACTATGTTTATATATTATTTGATTTATGGTGCTATTTAATTTTTCTGTCACTTCATGAATTTTAAATGTAAAGAGAGGGAATATCTTTGCTATTACTGCAGGCAATATTTTGATTTGCAACCCCGGTATCTAAACCTATGAGAACTATTGTGTATCTTTACTGTGTCTTGTTTCTTATTTAGGAAATTATTTGAGAAATAAAAAGCAAACTTTGTAATAATAATATCCCACTTATTAGGAAGTATGCCTTCAGGCAAACACTACCTTTCAAACACAGCCAAAAAACCCAAAAGTCAGCCGAGGCAGGATCTCAGAAACAGAAATAGCTATCCAAAGTCCCCCAAACACACACACACACACACACACACACACTCACACACACCTGTATTTGTTTTATCACTAGGGCTTAGTTTTCTTTATCACGCAAATGCATATTTCCTTTTAGTTTATTCTAGAAGTTACATATCAGTTTAGGGAGGGCAAAATAGAAAACCTCAGGTACCATTAAAGACAAGACTAAAAGCCAAATTAAAGTAGATGTAAAATTTAACAGCTCAAAGTAAAAAAGTAAACATTTTAAGGTCTCAGGAATTTGTCAAAATTGCATTTTGTTTTTGCAGTTTAAGAATAAAGGAATAGACATGTTTAGATCTATTTTTTTTTAAATTATTATTTATTTTACTTTAAGTTTGCGGTACATGTGTAGGATGTGCAGGTTTGCTACATAGGTAAATGTGTGCCATGGTGGTTTGCTGCACCTATCAATACATCACCTAGGTATCAAGCCCAGCATGAATTAATTATTTTTTTCTGATCGTATCCCTCCCCCTCCACACCCACCCCTGACAAGCCCCAGTGTATGTTGTTCCCCTCCCTGCATCCCTGTGTTCTCATTGTTCACCTCCCACTTATAAGTGAGAACATGAGGTGTTCGGTTTTCTGTTCCTATGTTAGTTTGCTGAGGATAATGGCTTCCAGGTCTATCCATGTTCCTGCAAAGACATTGTCTCATTCTTTTTCATGACTGCATAATATTCTATGGAGTATATGTACCACATTTTCTTTATCCAGTCTATCATTTATGGACATTTGGGCTTATTCCATGTGACTGCTATTGTGAATAGTGCTGTGATGAACATATGCATGCCTGTGTCTTTACAATATAATTTCTATTCCTTTAGGTATGTACTTAGTAATGGGATTCCTGGGTCAAGTGGTATTTCTGTTTCTAGGTCTTTGAGGAATCGCCACACTGTCTTCCACATGGTTGAACTAATTTACATCCTCACCAACATTCCTATTTCTCCACAGCCTTACCAGCATCTGATGTTTCTTAACTTTTTAGTAATCACCATCTGACTGTCAGGAGATGGTATCTCATTGCGGTTTTGATTTGCATTTCTCTAATGATCAGTGATTTTGAGCTTTTTTTCATATGTTCTTTGGCCAGAAAAAAAGTCTTCTTTTGAGAAGTGTCTGTTCAAGTCCTTTGCCCACTTTTTAATGAGGTTGTTTTTTTCTTATAAATTTGTTGAAGTTCCTTGTAAATTCTTGATATTAGACCTTTGTCAGATGGACAGATTGCAAACATTTTCTCCCATTCTGTACGTTGTCTCTTCACTCTGTTGATAGTGTCTTCTGCTGTGCAGAAGCTCTTTGGTTTAATTAGATCCCATTTGTCAATTTTTGCTTCTATTGCAATTGCGTTTGCTGTTTTCATCATAAAATCTTTGCCCGTGCCTATGTCCTGAGAAGGATTGCCTGTATTTTCTTCTAGGGTTTTTATAAATTGCGGTTTTACACTTAAGTTTTTAATCTCGAGTTCATTTTTGCAGAAGATTTAAGGAAGTTTCAATTTTCTGCATACGGCTAGCCAGTCCTCCCAGCACCATTTATTGAACAGGAAATCCTTTCCCCATTGCTTATTTTTGTCAGGTTTGTCGAATATCAGATGGTTGTAAATGTGCAGTCTTATTTCTGCCTGATGGAGCTGAAAAACACAAGAACTAACAAACAATATTTTTTATTATTATACTTTAAGTTCTGGGGTACATGTGCAGAACGTGCAGGTTTGTTACATATGTATACATGTGCCATGTTGGTTTGCTGCATCCATCAACTCATCATTTACATTAGGTATTTCTCCTAATGCTATCCCTCCCCGAGCCTCCCACCCCCCCAACAGGCCCCAGTATGTGATGTTCCCCTCCCTGTGTCCACGTGTTCTCATTGTTCAACTCTCACTTATGAGTGAGAACATGTGGTGTTTGGTTTTTCTCTTCTTGTGTTACTTTGCTGAGAACGATGGTTTCCAGTTTCATCCACGTCCCTGCAAAGGACATGAACTCATCCTTTTTTATGGCTGCACAGTATTCCATGGTGTATATGTGCCACATTTTCTTTATCCAGTCTATCATTGATGGGCATTTGTGTTGGTTCCAAGTCTTTGCTATTGTGAACAGTGCTGCAATTAACATACATGTGCATGTTTCTTTATAGTAGAATGATTTATAAACCTTTGGGTGTATACCCAGTAATGGGATTGCTGGGTCAAATGGTATTTCTAGTTCTAGATCCTTAAGGAATCCCTGCACTCTCTTCCACAATGGTTGAAGTAATTTACACTCCCACAAACAGCGTAAAAGCGTTCCTATTTCTCCACATCCTCTCCAGCATCTGTTGATTCCTGACTTTTTAATGATCATCATTCTAACTGGCGTGAGATGGTATCTCATTGTGGTTTTGACTTCCATTTCTCTAATGACCAGTGATGATGAGCACTTTTTCATAAGTTTGTTGGCTGCATAAATGTCTTCTTTTGAGAAGTGCCTGTTCATATCCTTTACCCATTTTTTGATGGGGTTGTTTGTTTTTTTCTTGAAAATTTGTTTAAGCCCTTTGTAGATTCTGGATATTAGCCCTTTGTCAGATGGATAGATTGCAAACATTTTCTCCCATTCTGTAGGTTGCCTTTTCACTCTGCTGATAGTTTCTTTTGCTGTGAAGAAGCTCTTTAGTTTAATTAGATCCCATTTGTCAATTTTGGCTGTTGTTGCCATTGCTTTTCCTGTTTTAGGCATGAAGTCTTTGCCCATGCCTATGTCCTGAATGGTATTGCCTAGGTTTTCTTCTAGGGTTTTTATGGTTTTAGGTCTTACATTTAAGTCTTTAATCCATCTTGAGTTAATTTTTGTATAATGTGTAAGGAAGTGATCCAGTTTCAGCTTTCTATATATGACTAGCCAGTATTCCCAGCATCATTTATTAAATAGGGAATCCTTTCCCCATTGTTTGTTTTTGTCAGGTTTGTCATAGATCAGATGGTTGTAAATGTGTGGTATTATTTCTGAGGGCTCTGTTCTGTTCCATTGGTCCATATATCTGTTTTGGTACCCGTACCGTGCTGTTTTGGTTACTGTAGCCTTGTAGTGTAGTTTGAAGTCAGGTAGCATGATGCCTCCAACTTTGTTCTTCTTGCTTAGAATTGTCTTGGCTATGAGGGCTCTTTTTTGGTTCCATATGAAATTTAAAGTAGTTTTTTCTAATTCTGTGAAGAAAGTCATTGGTAGCTGGATGGGGATAGCATTGAATCTATAAATTACTTTAGGCAGCATGGCCATTTTCACTACATTGATTCTTCTCATCCATGAGCATGGAATGTTCTTCCATTTGTTTGTGTCTTCCTTTATTTCATTGAGCAGTGGTTTGTAGTTCTCCTTGAAGAGGTCCTTCACATCCCTTGTAAATTGGATTCCTAGGTATTTCATTCTCTTTGTAGCAATTGTGAATGGGAGTTCACTCATGATTTGGCTCTCTATTTGTCTGTTATTGGTGTATAGGGGTACTTGTGATTTTTGCACATTGATTTTGTATCCTGAGACTTTGCTGAAGTTGCTTATCAGCTTAAGGAGATTTGGGGCTGAGACAATGGGGTTTTCTAAATATACAATCACTATTTTTAATGTCACATTGCCTGATGATTTATGCTTCACTTATCTGAAAATTTTATTCTAATACGATCCCATTCTATTCTGATGACATCAAATAATATATCTTTCTGTGTACTATTTGAAAACAATTCCAGTTTATGAACAGCTTTAAATGTGCTATTTCCCTAATTAATACACGTTATGAAAAAAATAACTTCTCAAATTTCATCAAATTAGAGTTTGTTTCACATATCCCCTCTTTAATTAAAGGGGCTGTATTCACATCAGCCCTCTTTAATACTGGAGATAGAGAATGAAAGGTAAGTGAAGTTCAGTGTTTTTGTGATCACAGAAACTGCATTTTGCTAAATAGAGAGGACTGAGTATAACTTGAAACATCACACACCTAAAGCAGGATCTAGTTAATCAAGCATGACAGTTAGGAACAGAACAAAATCACAACCCTCAGCAGGGTGAGACAGACCATTAAAATGATAATATACTCAATTGTTGTCTTATTTCACTCCTGATATTCCCTGGCATTTGCTCATGTCAGTCATTTGGCATAGTTTGTCAGCTGAATATCAAAACAATCATGACAAGCAAATAAATATGAAAGTCTGAGAAAATATACCTTGACAGTATGTGCTGAGCATGAGTGGCAGGCAGCCTGCCGATACTAATGATTAAATTCTACTTTGTGACTAGAAACGCTAAGAACTGTTCCTCTTAACTCTGTAGTTAGATATATTATGATTTTTTTTTTCATATTTAACCCCCCTGCACACAGACACACAGAATGTAAGCAATTAGGAAATATTTCATATTACATTGGTTAACTCAGCAAATCTACTTTCTAAGTCAATTTTATGGACAGACATGCCTGGTTGAGTGTTCAGAATGAATTAGGCAGGGTCTAAAATATCAGCCCTCATAATATCTCCAGTGAGCAGGAACCTTCTGATCAGCAGCCTTCATTGCTCATTTATCATTTAAATAAGTTTCATCAGTATTGGGGAAAGGATAATTCCATTCTGTAAAGAGCAAACTCTACTTGGAAAGCAAGTTACTGGTTTATTCATATTTTACCAGTTGAAGCCATGTCAAAGATCAATACAATCATGAGAATAGACATTACCTTTCAAACAAATTGGCATGCATTATTTTTCGGAAAAGCATTCATCAGTTCAAACAGACTATATTTAGACATGTGGCAAGAATGGCAAGAATTCTTAGAAGGTAAAAAGCTCCCTGTTGTCCCTTTATCTATTTCTCCCTCTCTCTCTCTCTTCTTCTTTTTTATTTTTTTTGGTTTAGAGACAGGGTCTCACTACATTGCCCAGGCTAGACTCCAACTTCTGGGCTCAAGGGATCCTCTCATCTCACTTCCCAGTACTATAGGGATGGGCCACTGTGCCCTGCCGTCCCTATTGTCTTTTAAGCCCTCAATAATGAAAGACTAATTTATATAATTTACAAAAGTAAGTCCTTGAAGTGTTGATTGCCCCCACACATTTAGTGCCTAACACGTACACAATGTATAAATCAATGTAGGTCTTTCTTCATGGGCCAATAAGAGCAACCACTAAATGGAGAAAAAAATCTTTTTTTTTTTTTTTGTCAGTGCTGGAGAATTAAATCTATGAATCCAAGTGTGCCCAGTAGGATCCTGAATTTGGTGTATCATCTGAACTCCACAGGGTTTTGTGTGGAGGTGCTGAGAATCACATTCACCCACCTTGCTTTTTCTGATTGTCAACATACTGCACGTATGCCCAATTTAAGCAGAAAATCAATCAAGATATTACACAGCAGTAACATACTGCAGGTTTCAAAGAAGCTCTAAATTCTCTTAGAAATCTGGAAAAGCAAACTGGAGCAGCTATACATGAAAATTGTGTGCACTACTTACTACCAAAAAGACCTGTTAAAATTCAGGCTTATGTTACTGCATTGTCCTTTCTAAATTTTTCTGGGGAGGGTGGTATGAAGAAATTAAACTTTTCATTCTGCGAATAAATATGCAGAAATCATTTCCTAGAATTTATATAAACATTATGACCAACCAAAGAGTCAAAGGATTAGACCTACTTAATATATGAAAGGTGTTTTTCTTAATAAGATGCAGTAGAGTTCAATATTTCTCTCTATTTTTAATGATTACAAAGTCTTTATTACTCCCTTGAAAATAGATTATAGAGTGGTTAATATGTTACTTTCAGTTTATTTTTATTCTTCTTAGCTAAGGAAATAGTATTTAAAGAAATAATTATCTATGAGAAAAAGTGTTTACATTTAATATGACTAAATCTAAATAAATGTTCCAAAAATAAGTAGAATTTATTGTTTCTGAAAACCATTTTTTTCAGTTTGTAACTAATATATTTTCTACTATATTGTGCATTGGGATTTTGATATTTTACACCTCATCTTCCACTGCTGGGCACAGTGGCTCACACCTGTAATCCCAGCACTTTGTGGGGCTGAGGTGGGCGGATCACTTGAGACCAGGAGTTCGAGACCAGCCTGGCAAACAAACAAACAAATTATATTTATATATGTAATATAAACAAATATATATATATATAAACTTATATATAATTCCCATCTTCCATTTATTTTGTGTTTAAACTAGTTTATAATTGTTAAAATATATTACTTTTTAATATTCTCTTTATTGCATGAGGAATAAACTTTAACAAAGGAAACAATTTACAATTTTTGGTAGGACTGAAAAAACATTATTTAGGTTTTACTGGTAGAAAAACTGTCTCAGATTTTGTTTTGTGTTTTCTAAAAGATGTAAAGATATATCTTTTTATATATATCTTATAAAGATGTATCTTTTATATATAAGATATAAAGATATTCCACTAAGTTAAATTATATGTTTTATAATTTTTATGATGGAACATCAAAAGGAATATGAATACTTAGCTAATATCTGTCATAAAAATAAAAATAGCTCTTGTGTATTTTAGAAATCACAAAGTACTGCTTGGAAAAAAATATGTAAGTTTGTGACAAAGCACTTAGTTCTGTCAGTGATATATGAAGACACAGCTATCAGGCACTGGCATTTGGATCTGATAATATAAAGAAGGTTTAACGAACCCATATCATCTAATACATTGAATTTCCATTGGGACCATCTTCAAAAGAAAATATTTTTATAGTTTCCTAGATTATATTTGAGTCAGAGAAATAATTGACAAGAGAGACATGACTAAAATAAATATTTTAGAAGTTGTTCTAAGTTGTATTGAAAATAAAAAGAAAGGTTAAAATTCAATATCTTTAAAAGGGGATTTTGAAAAGAAAACACTCTATGAGATAGATAAATATATTTAGAGCAGAAGCCGCGACTGCTAAAGCCTCAAGCATGGAACCAGCCTGGTGTATTCACGACGCGGCAAATGGGCCAGTACAAGTAGAACAGAGTGAGTGGAATGTGAGTTGTAAAAGATGAGGTAGGACATTTAGGCCAAGATAGGAACATGTAGGGCATTGTAGAACAGGTAAGAAATTTCCATTTTATTTTCAAAGCAATGAGAAACTATTGAGATATCTGAAACAGGGACTGACATATCTAACTTACATTTTAAAGTGTTTAAATTCGCTGCTACAGAGAGAATGCATCATAGAAAGACAAGAACAAACCAGGGAGGCAAGTTGGGAAGATCATGCCATCGTCCGGGTGAAAGAGATGTATAACATAAACTTTGCATTTTAAATATTTTTAAGTACACATTGCAGTGACATCAATTAAATTCACAATGTTGTACAATCATCACCACCATCTACAGATAATTGGACAAGGGTTTTATCAGTGGTAATGGTGGAAACCTCTAGGTTCCAAAACACATTTTGGAGGTGATACCAGAGGATTTGCTGATGGATTGGATATGGGATGTGAGGGGGAAGAAAGTTTCCAAGATGAGTTCTGAATTAATGGCCTAAGCCACTGGGTAGCTAATGGTGCCATAAATGGAAATAAAGGAAACTAAGGGACAGTAATTGAACAGTGGCGGATGAATCATCAAGTCTGCTTTGAATTTGTTACGTTTTGGGATCAAGGTGGAGTTGGTGAGTGCACAGTTGAATATAAAACTGGAGCCCAGAGAAGAGGTTAGAACTGAACATAAAGGTTTGGGATTCAGTGGCAGGCACATAATCTGAGGCATAAAAATATCACTGATGAAAAGAGTTAGAGTTGGGGAACTTTGACAATAAGAGTTTGTGAAAGGAATAAACAGCCAGCAATGAGATTAAGAAGAAGCATCTAATAAAGCACCAAGAAGAGTATGGTATTGCAGATGCATAAAGAGAAAAATATTTCATAGAGCAAAATGTGTGGTTTACTGTAGCATCTGACACAGAGCAGTGAAGGAAGAAGAAAGAGAACTAACCATTGAATTTAGCAAAAGGTAGATGTTGTTGACCTTAAAGAAAATTGTTTATATAGAATGAGGAGGGGTAAGTTTGATAGGAGTGAAGTATGAAGCTAATTGGAGTTGAGAAAAAAATAGATTTGAAGTGAAAAGAATTCTATTTAGGAAATGTGTCACAGGGGAAAGAAGAATGTTGAGTGATACATAAGGTGACTATGGAAGAAATTTTTAGATGACCAAGGTAGCTAATTAGTAGCATTATGCATGGAGTTAGACAGAATTTGACAATGCAAAATAATTAAAAAAAATTAAAAATGAGAAGGTAGGGCAGAAAAAAATGGAAAAGTTATAGAAAACGTGCCTTTGTTTAGGTGAGAAGAAATGAGGTACAGAGAATTGGTGAAGTTATTGGCTGGGACAGGAGCAAAAACTTTTCTTCTATTGAAATATAAGGAAAGGCAAATCATGAGTTATGGACATATTGCTGGAATTACTGTTCAATGGGTACTGAGTTTCAGTTTTCTGAAATGCAAAGGATTCTGGAGTTGGATGGTGGTGAGGCTTTATCAATAATGTAAAAATACTAACATTACTAAAATATACACTTAAAAATGGGAAAGATGGCAAATGTGTTTATGTGCATTTTACCACAATTAAAATATTTTTTAAATATTTTAGATTTGTGTCAGTAGCAAATTTTGAAAGTTCTGGTCTCGTGGGTTTTGTATTCTCTGTGAATTAAAAATAAATAATCTGTTATGAATGATGGGAGAAAGTATTAGGGTCTAAGATTGAGAAACAGAGAAGTAACTATCTTTCCATGAATTTTTACCTGTCTGCATATCTAGTAATATAACTGTGAATATTTTCTCTACAAAGCCTGACTATACGTTCTTCTACTGCACTAAATCATATTTTAGTTATGATCTGTCATTAGTATGTGAGAAATAAATTAGGAGAAAAAAACAGCAATATAATGTTATTTCTAGCTCTATACTTGGGTTTATTAAGAACATTTGCATGCTGTTTCAACAACTTCTTCAAATCAAATTAACCAACTGTTATCAAGCTTTACGCTCTTTCCTGATGACCATCAATCCCAGGCTCTAACAATTACCCAGAGCTACAATTCTTTATTAGTAAACCTCTCCTGGTAATTCCAAAAATCAAGAGCCTGAAACTTTTATCAGGTCCTAGCTACAGGAAGATCTAGTTTTGTCATCAACTACTGTGTGCTAACTATACCCTGAATAGTCGTCTCAATGCCTACCTAGATTTACAGTTAGCAAAGTACATGGTCTGTGCATTTAAAATTGCTAAAATAAAAAAATGAGGATTTTGTCCTAAAACACTTAGGATTTAAACTTCTTAAATTGTACACAGATAGATAACTTGAAATGAGACTGTTTTGTACTTTTGTGAATCAATTCTACTTAAAATGTAGGCAGTAGCTTTTCCAATAGCAGTTACAAGGTAATTTGTGCTTTCAGGACACAGGTGTCTAAGTGGCCAGTGGTCTAAACGAGGTTTCCACATACCAGGTATTGCTCATCAGTGTGCAATTTGTATCCTCATAAAAGTGTACATCAGTAGTGTTCAGGGATACTCATTGGATTGGGTGTCACACTATTTATTTGGCTCATAATGTGTGTCAAGGGACCCTACAGTGAAAGTCATTTGTAGAATTCCATCTGCTCTTCTACAGGCAGGTAGCCAGGTCCCATTGTTGAACAAATTATATCTGATCACTCCCTGATGCTATGTATAATTGTTTTCTCTTCTTTGATGTGAATGTTAGGAAATAAACTATGAAAAATAATATATGTTCTTAAAAGAAAATTAGGTGAAAGTTTGTAGTTAACAGTTGATCATAGAAATAGTGGCTATAATAACAATTAAACTAGGCCAGATTTTTTTCATCTACATCTAGATATGTATCAGGTACATAATTTTTAAACTTGCATTTTTACATTCATGTTGTAAAAATGCAAGTTAAAAATTCAGTTAGCAGTTAGTTATTTTCAAATATAATTTATCTACTACTTTCTGATGTCTCAAAGTTTAGATAAGAATGCAGAATTCTCTTGGTGGTGTTGCTGTAAAGTACACTCAGATGGAATTTACTCTCCACTCAGTTCCAAAATAAAGACTTCAAATATTTGGTACCAAAAGTCCATGCCATATGAATCACACTGTTTTCATTAACTTCATGGATACTAGATATTTGACAGTAGGTGTTTTTTTGGAATTTGAACTGGCAACTGATGACGACTTCTGTTTACTTGTAAGCACTCTATTTCTCCTGCAGTAAATTTTCACTTGAATTTTGATGCTGGGTTTCATGTTCCGGTAGTAACATCTTTTTCTGTCCCCTCTACAGCTCACGGTGATGTGAGGCATTTTTTTGGTCATCACTATAGGTATTCTAAAGGAAACTTTTATCATCTCTTTGTCTTACTAGTGCCTTGGAAATTCATTCAAATAAACTCCCTATTCTTACCTGCCCATTGACAGGTAAGGGAATGACAGGGTCCGTAACAGCTGCAAATGAGATTTCAGGTGCGGCCCCCCTCCTCCAGTGGCTTTCAGGCCTGCTTCCTGGGACCTTTGCTGAGCGAAATCTATAGACCAGGCTCTGGCTATGGTAAGCTCATGAATGCCTGAATTTTCTTCTCTGCTTGCTGAAGTGATACAATTTCAGTCTGATTGGACTTCTTTCAGTGTCCTTAGCTCCAGTCTGCCCACCAGAGGGCAGCCTAGAGCGGCTCCCTGGTCAGCGTCTTAGCATCCTAGTCCCGGTCAGGGCCTTTGAAAGATACCGTACACATCTGGGAAGGAAACTGAGGTACTCTTCTCTCCATAGAAACATCCTTAACAAAATTCCTCTGGCAAATTCAGTGTGACTCCACAAACATAGAACAGAATTTAAGAATTAACAGGACTACAGTGCTGTGGAATGAGTCACGGAGGCAAGTGAGATAGTGAGATACACCCAGCCAAAAGAAAAACTGCATAGTGCTCTGCATAAACACCTGAGTGGTTAACAAACTGGTAAATGTGATATTGGAAAAGAAGGGAACCCTCACATTCTGGAAATGGCAAAATACCTACTTCAGATACGTAGCTTGCTTGTCAATCATTGTTAGTTAGCATGCAGTATTGCAAAAACCACCGTAAAAATGCACAAACGAGGTAATATTAGAGATTCGATATTTGCAGAAAGTATAAAGGATGAGTAGAATTATCTGGGAAGTTGGCATATATATATGTGTGTGTGCTTATATATATATCTATAATATGTATGTTTTAATATTTGAAATTAGAAAAAATGGCTGGGCACCATGGCTCATGCCTGTAATCCAAGCACTTTGGGAAGCCGAGGCAGGTGGATCACTTGAGCTCAGGAGTTTGAGACAAGCCTGGCCAACATGGTGAAATCCAGTCTCTACTAAAAATACAAAAGTTAGCCGAGGGGTGAGGGAGGTAGTGGTGCACGCCTGCAATCCCAGCTACTCCGATAGCTGAGGCATGAAAATCACTTGAACCTGGGATTCATCAGGCCACTGTACTCCAGCCTGGGTGACAAAGTGAGACTCTGTCTCCAAGAAAAATAAAATAAAAAATTAGAAAAAGTTTTGGAGAAACAATTAAAAGGCAAATCTTTTATGTTAATATTGTTTTAATTGACAAAGAATACTTATATATGTTTATGGTGTACAATGTGATGTTTAGATGTTTATCCATATATAAGTGGAGTGAGTAAATCAATCAATACATATCTATCACCTCACTAATTTTTTTGTGATGATACATTCAAAATTTACTCAAAAAAAAGGCAAATATGCTAATTCATTAACATCATGAGAAAGGACACAATTTAGCATTTTGCATAGATTACTTAAATCTCCCAAATATAAAGTTCATAAATTGCTGAGAGTGTATATTATGTTTCAGGAATTATTACACAGTTTACGTAGTATCTTAGTGATACAGTTTGTCTGTGTCCCCACCCAAATCTCATCTTGAATTCCCACGTGTTGTGGGAGGGACCTGGTGGGAGGTAACTGAATCATGGGGGCAGGTGTTTTCCATGCTGTTCTCATAATAGTGAATAAGTCTCACAAGATCTAATAGTTATATAAGCGGGGGGTTCCGTGCACAAGCTCTCTTCTCTTGTCTGCCACCCTGTGAGATGAGCCTTTCACCTTATGCCATGATTGCGAGGCCTCCCCAGCCAAGTGGAACTATAACTCCGTTAAACCTCTTTCCTGTATAAATTGCCCAGTCTAGGGTATGTCTTTATCAGTAGTGTGAAAATGAACTAATACACTTAATGTCTTAACTCAATCTTTACTATATTCTGGTGAAACTGAAGCTCAGAGATGATAAGAAATTGGTCCAATTCCAGCTAATAACTGAAGAATTTCAAATTCAGATCAAATTTTAAATGTGTTCACTTTCAAAATACATTTTCTATCCTTTCATTTTTTTTCTTTTGCCTTCTATGGGGTTCTACATTTTTTTAGAAATAGCATATAATTTAACAGAATTTTACTGCTGTTGATGCTCACTCACCTTCAAATCTATTAACTTTCCTTTTTTTCATTTTCCAAAATTTAACCTGAGATTTAGAAGAAAAAAAAGATAAATGTCATCCAAAACATCAGAGTGAGGAAAAACAGAGATTCATATGGCAGAAAGTGAAGCTAAAATAGTCAGACCTAATAGCTGTGGGATGACATAAGTCAAAACATGGCCTTTGAAAGACTAGTTGAAAAGAAGGACACATAATGGAATCTTATGAATTTGGCTACAACTCAAGACATTTGTTTGCAAGTGTCTGATATCTAATTAAACTAGCCTAAGCTAAATGGTAGATCTGTTGGTGGAAATCTGGGATAGCAAACAAAACAGAGAGTACAGCTAAGTAACTAAGTCTTAGGAAGACAGAAACCAAAATAATCACATGCCTGTGCCCCCCCCCCCATATTTGTTTATTTCATGGTTTAATTCTGAACATTTATTATGACTTTATCACCATCTTTCTCTAAGAGACTGTATTAGCTCACAACCTCTTCTTCCACCAGCCCATGTTTGAAAAATAATGTGGATGTACCTAGAGAATTGCATTGGCTCAATGTCAGCTAGATCAGACAGCGTGGCAGGGTCCCCAGCATTGTAACCCACACAGAGTCTTATGCCTGGGGAAAGGGTGGTGCATCATGCTGTGGTAGCTTCCCCGAGAACAAAGGGAATCACAGCCTGTGCTCTCCAGAGACTGAGGGTTGCCTGCTTGTGAAGGCTGACAGCAACTCTGCCTTCACCAGCAGCAGGACCCTGTGCCCCTGCATTCACCCCGAGAACAGTCTCTCCCTTCACACTGCTGTGGCTACTCCTGCTGAGGTCCAAAGTACTTGCTCCCTGGGACCTAGAAGTCATCTACCTACCTGGGCCTGCTCCCTCTGACAGCAATCCTACCTTTCCAAACAGCAGATCCACTGCACAATTGCAGGCACCCTGAGGTCAGGCTCTCATACACATTACTAGGTATTGCCTTATCCTACCTACTACAGCCTATGCTTATTTGCACCACTAGGCAGCCTAAGCGTAGGTCCACCTGGCTTGGCACAAACCCCCCACCCAGGCTCAAGAATGCCACCCAGGAGAGTAGGGAACAGCCTACCCAGCGTAGCACCACTAGCATCTCCCAGCGATCTGAAGATGTGACCACTCAGCTTGCTGCCAACACCACTGCTGGCACCCAATAGAATGTGCCACCTGAGTACCTGGAGACTGGCTCACCAAGCCATTCATAGCTACAGCTATCATTCTCCCAGAGACCTGAAGATGGGACCCCCAGGTTGCTGCCAACACCACTGCTGGCAACCAATAGCATATGCCACCTGAGCACCTGGGAACTGGCTCACCAAGCCCATCATAGCCACAGCTATCATTAGCGAGTGCTACCTGTGACCTAGAAGGTTGTTCAACCACAGCTACTACCATCGCCCATGCCCAGGGGCCCAAGAACCTGCCCACCTATCCAACTGACCATGGTCACTCTGGCCATCTGGGATCCTAAGAATTAACCTCCCTGAATCCACTAATACAGGAGCCTGCATACACTACCTGGGGTCCCAAAGAGAGGTACATTTGGCCCACCACTGTCACCACTGGGGCTTGAGAAATGGCCCACCTGGCATCCCTAAGTCCAGTAAAGCCTTACCAGAGACTCCACTAACAACCATATCCAAGCCTATGAGGAAATCATGACACCACTGACACTGTTCACAACCAAAAATAAATCATATGGGAGACTTTAACACCTTGCAGCATTAGACATATCATCTAGAAAGAATATCAACAAAGAAACATTTGATTTAAACTGGATTTAGGCCAAATGGATCCAACAGACATATACAGAACATTTCA
Source organism: Homo sapiens (assembly GCF_000001405.40). Classification (NCBI taxonomy): domain Eukaryota; kingdom Metazoa; phylum Chordata; class Mammalia; order Primates; family Hominidae; genus Homo; species Homo sapiens. Next base: position 167,619,222 of record NC_000004.12, on the reverse strand, counting down.
TCCAATAACTGCAGAATATACCTTCTTCTCATCTGCAGATGAAATATCCTCCAGGATAGACCATACCTTAGGCTACAAAACAAATCTCAACAAATTTTTAAAAAATCAAAATCATATCAAGTATTTTCTTGAACAGCAATGGAATAAAACTAGAAATCAATACTGAGAAGAACTTTGCAAACTGTAAAAATACATGGAAATTAAACAATATGTTCCTGAGTGAACATTGAATCAATAAAGAAATTAAAACAGAAATGAAATTTTTTTAAACAAATGAAAATCAAAACACAGCACACTGAAACTTACAGGATACAGTGAAAGCAGTGTTAAGAGGAAAGTTTATAGGAATAAACAACCCCATCAAAAAAGCAAAGAGATTTCAAATAAAAAATCTGACAATGTATCTCAAGAACAAGAAATGCAAAAACAAAACAAACCAAAACCAAAACTAGTAGAAGGAAAGAAATAATAAAATCAGAGCAGAACTAAATGATATAAAGTGCATTAGTCTGTTCTCACATTGATAATAAAGACATACCCTAAACTGGGTAATTTATAAAGTAAAAAGATTTAATGGACTCACAGTTCTACACAGCTGGGGAGACCTCATAATCATGAAGGAAAGCAAAGGAGAAGCAGAGTCACATCATATAGGGCGGCAGGCAAGTGAGCTTGTGCAGGGGAACTCCCATTTATAAAACCATCAGACCTCGTGAGACTTATTCACTACCACGAGAATAAGTGGTATGGGGGAAACTACCCCCATGATTCAATTATGTCCACCTGACCCCACCCTTGATACATGGGGATTATTACAATTCAAGGTGAGATTTGGGTGGGGACACAGCAAAATCATATCACAGAGACTACAAAAACAAAAAAAAATCAATAAAATGAAATTTGTTTTTTTTTTTTGAAAAGATAGGCAAAATTGATAGGCCACTAGCTAGACTAACTAACAAGAAAAGAGAGAAGACCCAAAGAAGCAAACTTAGAATTGACCAAGGAGACATTACAACAACAGAAACACAAAAGATTATGAGACTATTTTGAACAACTATGCACTAGCAAATTGCAAAATCTAAAGGAAATGGATGAATTACTGGACACATACAAACTACTAAGATTGAATCAGGAAGAAATACAAAACCTGAGCAGAACAATAATGAATAATGAGATTGAAATAGTAATTAAAAGTCTCCTAACAAAGAAAAGCCCAGGTTCGATGACTTCACTCCTAATTCTACCAAGTGCAAAAAAACAACTAATACCAATTCACCTCAAACTATTTCAGTAAATTAAAGAGGAGCAATTCACCATACTCATTCTATGAGGCCAGCATTACCATGATGCCAAGACCAGACAAGGTGTAACAACAAAGAAAACTACAGGTCACTATCCCTGATGAACATAGACACAAAAATTCTCAACAAAATAGTAGCAAACAAAATCCAACATCAGACCAAAAACAGCCATCATCATACTTGATATTTATACCAGGTATGCAAGGCTGATTCAACATATGTAAATTAATAAATGTGGTATATCACATAAACAGAATGAAGGACAAAACCCACATGGTCATCTTAGTAGACACAGAAAAAGCATTTGATGAAATTCAGCATCCTTTCATAATAAAAACTCTCAACAAACTAGACATAAAAGGAAACTAATAAAGGCCATATATGACAACCCACAGCTAACCTTATACAGAGTGAGGAAAAGTTGAAAGCCTTTCCTTTAAGAATTGGAGTACAACAAGGGTGCACACATCTACTGCTCCTAGTCAACAAAGTACTGGAAATTCTAGCCAGAGCAATCAGGCAAGAAAAAGAAATAAAAGGAATCCAAACTGGAAAAGAGGAAGTCAAATTACCCCCTCTCTAGAGACAACATGATCTTCTACCTAGGAAAACCTAAAGACTTCACCAAAATAGCTCAATCTGATGAATAAATATAGTAAAGTTGCAGGATACAAGACCTATATATAAAAATCAGTATCATTTCTACACACCATTAATGAACTACCTGAGAAAGAAATCAAGAAGATAATCAGCCAGCTAAGAATAAATCAAGAAGACATTTACAATAGCTACAAAAAATGAGAAATAAATTGAATCAAGGTGATAAAAGACCTCTACAAAAGCAAAACTACATAATGCTGATGAAAAAATTTGAAGAACACACAAACAAATGGAAAGGCATCTCATGCTTACGGATTGGAAAAATCAATATTGTTAAAAGAAAAATACTATCCAAAGCAATCTAAAAATTTGATGCAATGCCTTTCTAAACACCAACATCTTTTTCCCAGAAATTGAAAAAAACAATTTTAGTATTTCTCTAGAACCAAAAATTATTCATCCAACAAGGGACTAAATCTAGACTATACAAGGAACTTGAACAACTCAACAATGAAAAAAAAAACAAATAATTCCACAAAAAGTGAGCGAAGGATATAAATAGACATTTCTCAAAAGAATATATATAAATTGTCAAGAAGTATATACAAAATGCTCAAAAGTATTAATCATCAAGAAAATGCAGACCAAAACCACAATTATGTATCATCTTACTCCACTTAGAATGTCTGTTTTCTAATGGCTGATACTAAAAAGACAAAAAATAAAGGATGCTGGAGAGGATACAGAGAAAAAGGAACTTGTATACACTATTGATAGAAATGTAAACTGGCACAGCCACTATGGAAAACAGGATGGAGATTTTTTTAAAGAACCAAAAATAGAACAATATGATCCAGCAATCTCACTACTGGTTATTTATCCAAAGGAAAGGAAATCAGTATATCAAAGGGTTACTTGCAATTTTATGTTTATTACAGCACTATTCACAATAGCAAATATATAAAATGAACCTAAGTGCCCTGCAATAGATAAATGAATAAGGAAAATGTGGTATATATACACAATGGAATGCTATTTAGCCATAATAAAACAAGCAAATTCTGTCATTTGCAGCAGCATGTATAGAACTGGAGGTTATTGTGTTGAGTGAAATCAACCAGAAACAGAAAGAAAAATATTTAATATTCTTATTATATGTAAGAGTGAAGAAAGTTCATCTCATGAATATAGAGGGTGGAGTAAAAGATACCAGAGACAGCCGGGTGCGGTGGCTTACGCCTGTAATCCAGCACTGTGGGAGGCTGAGGCGGGTGGATCACAAGGTCTGGAGATCGAGACCATCCTAGCTAACACAGTGAAACCCGGTCTCTACTAAAAATCCAAAAAAAAAATAAAAAAATACCAGAGACTAGGAAGAATGTGGGTTGGGAGGGAATTAAGAGATTAAGAGAGGTGGGAGGGAATTAAGAGATGTTGGATAATGGGTAGAAACATAAAGTTAGATAGAAAAGGTACATTTTAATGTTAAATAGCAGAGTAGGGAGACTATAGTAAACAAGAAAGTATTGCATATTTCAAAGACTTGAAATGTGTTTAACACACATAAATGATAAATACTCAAGGTGATGGATACCCTAAATGCCCTGACTTGAACCATTACACATTCTATGCCTATAACAAAAAAATCACATGTATCACATACATATGTATAAATATTATATATCAATAAAAAAATAGTGTGGCTGGACTTCAAGTGGCCTGACTTGGTTTTATGGCCACCATAGAGATTAGTAATTGCAACTTTGGAAAGAATTTCTAGTATTATTTCCCGGGAAGACCAAATCTGAAACAAACATTTTAGGGGGCTTGCAAACCCAGAAAAATAATAGTGAAGGAAAAGGCAGCATGGGAAGAAAGAAAGAAAGGCAAATGACCAAACTGGCAAAAGCATCATCATAAAATACAGCTGATTTCTCATCAAGCAGCATTTCTCAAACAAGACTTTATGAAAACATAGGACCTCAGAATAATTACTAGAAGTGGAAGAGAATTTATTCACCAGCTCCTTTCCATCTCCTATCTCTCATGAGTCAACGTTTACCCCATTGGATATTAACTATCCCCACTCTTCCAGGTTTTATTCCCTGGCCTCTGAAGGCAGCTCCTGGAAAGGCTGGATCAGTGCAAGAGTAGCAGCAGCATTCACCACACATGCCATAAACTGCACAGTGAGTCAGCGAGGAAAAATTGGCCAGTGGCAGTATTTATTTGCTGGCTGGAAGCTGAAAATGTCATTAATCTGATAAGGTGGGCTATATCATGGGTTCTGAGAAGGTCCTGCGGTGTATTGAACCTTAGTAGTGAGTAAGCATGGAATGGATGGCATAAATGAGGTGTGCACAGTGAGAGGCATGAGACTATCTGACTGGACTCTGAGCAATATGGGGGCAGGTTGCTGCATCAGACTGAGTTGAAGAAAATATAAGAGTGCTAAAATGATATAATGTATGCCATGATGGTGCTGACAGAGCACTATGAGCTTCTCTGCAGTAAACAGAAAAGTCATCGTTCTATGGCCTATAAGATTGTGATCAGTTCAGACCTTCCTGGAATGCCAATCAGTTACCTTGAGCAGAAATCTATGGTCATGGGAGTGTATGCATGCATGTACACTAGGACCAGTATATCGGGGTATTATCACTGTAGCTTGGCTCATATGTCTGTTCTTTATTAATTAATATAGCTAAGGCTATTGGCCATTTAAGGAGAGGAGCATTTACAAAGATCCACATATGGAGGACATAGTAGGTGAGAGATGGGAGTTGTAGGAAAGCATGATGGGAAATAGAGAAATTGAGGAATAAAGAGAGAGATGTAAAAGAAGAGATAGAAATGGAAGAGGGAGCCAAAAAGACACACACACACACACACACACACACCACACATACGCACAAAAGGGAACAGAGACATATGAAGAGAAGAATGAGTGAAAGGGACAGGAAGGAGGCAGAGGTAGATGATGAGGTGATCAATACTACGAGAGAAAGATGTGTTGGTATGCTGATCACTGCTCAGATTATTATATGTTCCCCTAGTTGGTTTTTTAAAAAGAAAGTATTCTGGCATTGCTGGAAAATCAGCAGAGAATTTATGATGGCTAATTTTGTGAATTTGAACAGGCTGGGCATCAAAGAATGCTTTATCTCGTATTTTCCTTATTACAATATTTCATAAACAAAACTCTCTACTCTGTATTCATTATGATCACAAAGATCAAGGCTTTTATTAGAATAATATATTAAATGTGTTTGAGAAGTCAAGTAAAGCAATCATCAGAACACTTAAGGAGATTCAAAGGGCCACATAGGTTGTAACACATGTTTTATCCCTCTGTAGGCCTGGGAAGGAATGAAATAGTAATTTGTAAAAACAACATGAAATTAAGCTCTCAAAAATGTCTGTATATTTATGTCTATGTAATATGCACAGACTACCATATTTCATATCCAAGGTTTATATAAATTTGCATCTCTATAACAAATCCTGTCAATTTAACTTCAAAAGTATTTCTGATATCCAGCACGACATCCACATTTTTCTCACTTCTCAGCTGGATCTGAAATACTTTGTCTCCGCCCTGATTATATGGTATTTTCTTTTTTGCTTATTTACTATACATCTTCCCTGTTACAGAAAGTGAACTCCAGGAAAACAGAGATTTGTCTGTCTTGTTCATCACTATCCAATCACTCAGAACAGTCCCATTAGCTAGAAATAAAACAATTGTTTTATGCTAAAACAATCTGCTATTCACTGATGCCCTTTCTGAAGGCATCCCTTTCAGTTCACTGTTGCCATGAATCTATCCCAGGTTACTTATTTTCTAGTTTATGTTTTAGTAAATTAAATTATATAACGTTGGTACTTGTATGTGAATTATAGGTTGTCTTTTTGTTTCCCATACTACCACATTTTTACAGACACACTAGTGAATAAGAGTGAAAATATATTCTGTGTCATCTGTTACTGGGCATTGTCTTGATCATAATCATTATTATGCAGTAGTATTAAATATTTTCTGTTCAATAATAATTGATATTCTAAACACTGACCCTGAGTACCATGTTATAACCCAAAGTTATGTTGTCTACTGCATTTTGTGTTAATTTTTCAACTGTATTTTTTTCTTAATTGTTTCAAAGACAAATGTTATACTTATTCTCTCTTTCTCTGAACAGACCACATGTATCGCTTAAATAGATAAGTGATTAATTAGATTTGAAAGCCTCTGGGAAAACTGTAAAATAGAGAGTGAACTTTGCCTGCAGTAGCACAAGATTACCTGTTAACACAGCAGGAACTATGACAAAATATATTCACATTTTGCCTTTCCTTGAACAGGGTGATATCCATACACTCAGGGTCTTAAGAGGTAACTTTTGTTTGCTAGGTTTACTTTTTACATGGGACATACAATGTTCTCTTCACTAAGCACTGTTAGTTTGGAAAGCAGGAAATTCTTTCTTATAGTGATAGAATATGGGATGAGGCTTGAAAAGAGATGTGTTCTAACATGCCTTATTGTTTTTTGTTTTCATGTCGTGTACTTTATTTGACTCCTCAGAACATATCTAATATTTCATCTTTCACTGTTAGTTAATAACAAGCTATGGTTAATCCAGGAGACGGATATGGTTGTGCATGCTCTTTCAATTCTGGGAACTAAAATAAGGCCTAAAGACCTCTATTTTTCTCATGCCAAATGTCAAATTCACTGAGTATCAGACATTTATCATTTGTCTGGTGAATCCTAGACATGAAAGACAGCTTGCTGTTGATAATGTGAAGAAAACACCCAAACATACCTCAACTTAGAGACTGATTCCCCTTTTCTGGGGGAAAATCTGACTTTTTCTCTTATTAAATATAACATTATAGTGGGTCTGTGTACCAACTTCTAAACTAAAGCAAAGCATTTTCTTCCTTTCTCTGTACCTTAGCATTGGCTATAAAGTCATCAAAAATCATTGCATATGACTAAATTCAAATATTAGCACATTACTCTTGGCCTGATAACAAGGTAACTGTCAGACATAAGCACAAACTAATAGCTTAGTTACATGACAAATCCATTAACAAGGGAAAGCTAGTCAATTTATGTCTGCTTTCTAGAAAAGTATGTTGGTGCAACGTTGATGCATTGATTTTTGAAAGACTTTCAACTGTATGCAGACAGAATTGTGAAATCAATGATGTAAATAATTTGATAGGAGCTGGAGAATATTTATACAGATATTCTGAATAGCTCTCTCTAAGTCAAAATGTATGTATCATTTGGGAAGAGTTATTTAATGACATAAACTACACTCTTACTCATAAATATAAATATAATTCCTATATTATATCCATAGTAATGAAGAAACAGTTGCAACCCAGAGGTAGTCTGCAAATTCTGTTTTCTATATTATTCTGTTATTTCAAACATTTCCTCACCTTTAAAACAAATAAGCATTAAAAGAAACCAGGTTGACTAATATCCTCAATGTGCTCTCTCAATCCTGATATTGATTCGTTTAAAGAGTGAAAAAGATAAATAACTAAATATTGTAAACTGGAGCAAAATTTTATCCAAGTGTTAAATTCTATGCTCAATACAGAAGGTCAAATTGAGAATATTCACAATTATTACTGAGTAATATTAACATTGAAAACACCAATAATATCAACGTTGTCAAGGGTGTGAAGGATCAAACATTCTCATAGTTTGCTATGGTGGTGCAGATTGCTAGTCACTTCTTAAATCTGTTTAGTTTACCCACTAAAGTTAAATATATATCTATGTAAGTTAAGGCAGTATCACTCCAAAATTTATGAGTGTGCTTCTACAAAAACATCTGCATAAAAATGTTCATAGTGCTTTGTTCATCATAAAGCCAAATTGGATACTATCTAAATGTTCATCAACTGGAGAATGTATAACTAAATTATAGAATGTTCATACAGCAGAATACTACTAGCAGTAGAAAAGAATAGACTTCTACAAGGTAAAACAACATAGACACATTTTGCAAGCATAGGGCTGAGTAAAAGAAACTAGACATCAAAGAATAAATAATATGTGTTCTGTTTTCATCTAGGATACAGGAAGCTAGCAGTGTAACTTCCAGATCTAACAGTGAGAAAATCTGGGTACAGTACAAAATAATAACTTTGACTGAACCCATCAGAGAACCAGGTTTACAGAGCTAAGTAGCCTAAATTCTAAAGAAGGACAGGTATTTTCAAGGAGAAATGATGGATGTTGACTGACGTATCTGTGGCAGACCACATAGAAGGCGCCAGCTGTCCAAAAAGTGGGTAAGAAAACATGATTGAAAATTGAAAAAAAAATGTTAAAGGCCAGGTATGCGCTACTTGCAACAATGTGGAACCCATGGGAGCCTGTGGAGAAATAAAACTTCTCTGGAAATCTTAGTGATCCTAAAAAAGCCCTCCTTTCCTGAGACAGGAAAAGAACTGTATACAATAGAAAAATAGAGAATACTTGCTTTCACTTCCCCTGGGAACATTTTACTCTTCACACACTATTAGAGTTAGATCAGTAGCCATTTTCTAGTTTGTTGCTCCGATCTAAAAGGATAATAAAACTTATCTTATTTTCCAGATGCAGCCAAATGATTACAGCCTGGATCAGTTTCCTAGGCGAATTCCTAAGGTGCCAGGAAACTTGGAATGCTCTCTTCCTATATAGATATTAATGTAGTTATCAATATTCACATTTCAAATACTAAAAGCAAGACTTTATAGATGGCTGTAGGTTGTAGAAGCCAGAGATTCTTGGGGTTAACTGGCCCATAGAAAGATGTCTTTACCTTGTAAAAGTAAGAGTGAGGATTCAGGATGATTTCCATTTAATTTTAAGGAGCAAAAGTTTTTATATTATTGTATTCTTTCTTTTGTGGAGGAGAAGGGGACCTGTGTCTCTTATCACCTATAAATTGAGAGAGTCCATTGTTCTTTACCCCTTGCCTATGGGGTGTTTGACTAGTAATGCAGGAGAGTTTCCCCTCTTGCTTTTATCTCATTGCACAAAGGGTAATGTCTATGGAAAGAGGGACTGGCACACTTATTATTTACTATAAGCTGGCTAACAAGAAACTTGTCTCAGATCCAAGAGCTCATCTGCTCACATTCAGGATATTAATAGAGATGAAAATAAAAAATGTAACAAAGCCCCCCACACAAGGAGACTTCACATTCACCTATGGATTCTTTTCTATGAAACTGTAAGGTGCTCAGTAGAAAGACTGGCAGGTGTACAGGAGACCAGAGAGAACTTCTGTCTATGGTCCTGGTGTAAAATAGATAACTGGAAGCTGATGGTTGAAGGGCACAAAAACCTCAGCCACCTGCCTAGACCCTACTCTCATACAGAGCAAAAGGCTTAAAATGCTGGGAAACTGACAGCAAGCCGTCTCACCCTCAGAACATAGGAAAAGATTGACCGTGGCTAGCAGAAGTATAGACCAAAAAGAAAGCAAAATAGGAAACAATCCTGGACCCAATATCTTTTTTTTTTTTTTTGAGATGGAGTTTTGCTCTTGTTGCCCAGGCTGGAGGGCAATGGCATGATCTTGGCTCACCACAACCTCCACACCTCCCAAGTTCAAGTGATTCTCCTGCCTCAGCCTCCTGAGTAGCTGGGATTACAGGTGTGTGGCACCATGCCCGGCTACTTTTGTATTTTTAGTAGAGATGGGGTTTCTCCATGTCGGTCAGGCTGGTCTCGAACTCATGACCTCAGATGATCCACCCACCTCAGCCTCCCAAAGTGCTAGGATTACAGGCATGAGCCACTGTGCCCTGCCTGGACCTTATACCAGTACCATTAAAAATCTTCTACTAATATGGGAGATGCAAGAAACTCCCTCATATACAAGATCTGGCACAGATAAGGGGTAGCATTTATCTACCACAGGGATCAGGAGAGGGACAATAAATAAATGGCATTCTCAAGCCCTAAGACTATGGCTTGACTAAAACAAGGAACAACCATGTTGGCCACCTAACACCAGCCTAATAATCATCAAGTAGCAAGTAATAAAAGCATATTGTTTTCAGAGGGGCAAGAGCATACAGGGAAACTCCCTTTATGTTAAAGACATGCAAATAGAAGCAAAAGCTGAGTGTAAAACACTAAGAAAAATATTCCAGCATCCCTGCTTTCACTTCAAACTCAAAGTAATGGCAGCTATATATATTACATATGTATCTACCATACGACAGCAGGAGTTAAGCACAGCAACAACAAAATATCACCCCTGCAAAGTCCTGACTAGATTCACCCAAACCACCAAGGTGAATGTCTGAGAGAAGAAATGTACCTATTTTCAGGTGTTAATATGATTTACTTCAGTTTCTACAGTTCTACACCTAATATCCAGGATTTAATAAAAAATTTAAACGCACACACAAAATAGGCTTAAAAATAATGAGGATAAAAACAATAGATATAACAAGACACAGAGATGACCGAGGTGCTGAAATTATTTGACAAAGTATTTTAAAATAACAATGACTAATATGTTAAAGGGGACAACATCCATAAACAGATGGGAAAATTTTAGAGGATAAATGGAAATTATAAGAAAGTATTGGCTGGGCGCAGTGGCTCATGCCTATAATCCCAGCACTTTGGGAGGCTAAGGCCGGTGGATTGCCTGAGCTCAGGAGTTTGAGACCACCCTGGGCAACATGGTGAAACCCCGTCTCTACTAAAATACAAAAAATTAGCTGGATGTGGTGATGCACACCTATAGTCCCAGCTACTTGGGAGGCTGAGGCATGAGAATCATTTGAGCCCCAGAGGCGGAGCTTGCAGTGAGCCAAGATCGTGCAACTGCACTCCAGCTTGGGCTAGAGTGAGACCCCATCCCCCCCAAAAAAAGGCTTCGTGCTGTGGCTCATGCCTGTACAGAATCCCAGCACTTTGGGAGGCTGAGGTGGGTGGATCCTCTGAGGTCAGGAGTTCGAAACCAGCCTGGCCAACATGGCAAATCCCCATCTCTACTAAAAATATAAAAATTAGCTGGGTGTGGTGGTGGTGGCTCATACCTGTAATCTCAGCTACTCAGGAGGCTGAGGCAGAAGAATCACTTGAGCCTGGGAGGTGGAGGTTGCAGTGAGCAGAGATTGCACCATTGCACTCCAGCCTGGGTGACAGAGCGAGACTCCATCTCATAAAAAAGAGAGAGAGAAAAAAAAGAAAGTATAAAATGAAAATTATAAAATTTAGCAAAGTATGAAGAATAATTATTTATCTGGGCTCATAAATGAACTTAAGACAGTTAAGAAAATAATGGATGAAATTGAAGACATGTTAATAGAAATTACCAAAATTGAAAAATAAGAAAATAGAACACAACCAAAAAGGGCTTAAAACATAAAGAAAAAGGATAGAACAAACAAGAGCTGTGGGATAATATCAAAAAATCTAACATATGCGTAACTCAAGATACAGAAAAAAAGAGGGAAGGTAGCAGAATATTTGGATAGATAACCGCAAACAATTTTCAAAAGAATCATACATAAAATACATCAAACTGAAAAAATACAGATCGTTTCAAAAGAAACAAATGCAACAACAGCAAAAGCATTAATAACAAAAAATTCTAGACATGGTCCAATTGCTGGAAATCAAATACAAAAAAACAATCTTGAAGACAGAAAAAAGATAGATCTCATATAGAAGAACAAAGATAAGAATTATAGAATTTCTCATCAAAATTAAGCAAGCCAGAAAACAACGGAGTGTCATTTAACTGACATTTTGAGGTGGTTAATGAAAAACAAAATTTTATCAACAAAAATGCCAGTGAAAATGCTTTAAAAAATGAAGGCAAAAGAAAGACACACAGACCAATGGCCAGAGTAGAGAGTAAAAAATAATAAAAAGTAAAAATAGAGTTAAAAAAATTCAATTGATTTTTAACAAATTTGCTAAAGGAATTTAATGGGGATAGGATTTTTTAAAGGAAATTGGCACTAAAAAATTGGGCACCTACAAGTAAAATAAATAAAACTCAATCAAACTTTGTGTCAAGTTCCATATTAACATGAACTGTATCATTGATTTAAAACTAGAACTAAACTAAAATACGAAAATTTCCAGAAAACACATTGCAAAACTTATTGAGACCTTGGGAAAACTGAAGCTTTCTTAGCACACCAAAACACAATATAAATTTTAAAAAATATTTATTACACTTGATCTCAAGTTTCATTTTTGAAACGTAAGAAAACGAAAAAATGCATATCTGAGAAAGGATTTGTATTCAGAATATACAAAGAACTATCACAAATTATGGGCTGAATGTGTGTGTATCCCCAAAATTTATTTGTTAAAACCCTAACCAATGTGATGGCATTAGGAGGTGGGGCCTTTGGAAGGTAAACAGGTCGTAAGCATTGAGCTTTGTGAATAAGATTAATGCCCTCATAGGAGGGGCTTCTCTCTCTCTCTCTCTCTCTGTCCCCCTGGCCTCCTTGCCACCATATGAGGATGTGGTCTCCCCCTCCCTCCAGCATGCGCTCTCCCCCTCCCTCCTTGCCACCATATAAGGAGGCAAAGAGCAGATGGCCACCTGCAAACCAGGAAGTGAGTCCTCACCATACATTGATTATATCTGCTAGTACTTTGATCTTGAAACTCTCGAGCCTTGACACTGGGAAATAAATGATTTGTTGTTTAAGTCAAGCGGTTTGTGTTATATTTGTTATAGCACCCTTAATTGATAACATACACCTCACTAAGACAAACAGTTCAATTAAAATCAATAAAAAATTTGAACAGATACTTTATTAAGTAATATATAAAGATAGAAGTTAAGGATGTAAAATGCCCCTGAACATCGCTACTCATTTGGAAAAGTAAAATTGAAACTACAATTGTATACTATTATATACTGGTGAAGATGAAGGGCAACTTTATCAAGCATCATTGATGCAAAATGCAAAAAAGTCTATTGCTTCAGAGAACAGTCTTTTATTTACACATATATATTGCACATGTATTTACCACACGACCTAACAAGCTCTCTTCTAGGTTTTAACTCAAGAGAAATGAAAGTATACATCACCATGCAATTCTGTAGGTGAATATCTGCAGATGTTTTATTCATAATCACCCAAAATGAGAATCCAAATGTATATCAACTATGGTGAAAGGATAAACTGTGGTGCATCCATAGAATTAAATGCTACTCATTAACAAAAAGAAACAGAATACTGATACAACCAACTGGGATGAATCACACATGACTTATGAGATTCAAAGGCTATACATAATATGATTTCATTTATATATTTTGAAAAGTCAAACTCATAGGAGTAAACAACAGGCCAGTGTTTTTTAGAACTTGAATTTTAGGGAGGGGTATTGCCTATAAAGTCAAATGAGGGAACTGTGGTGGTCAGTGAAATGCTTTATATCTTATTTATCTGTGGTGGTGATTACATGACTGTGTGTGAAAATCATAACTGTATACCTTTAAAGGATGATTTACTATATGTAAATTATACCTGCATAGACCTGTTTTTTTAATGTATATACTTTATTATTGTATTTATATTAATATGAAGCTCAAAAACAAATGAAATTTTTACTATGTGAGAAATAAGACTAGTAGTAATCACAGTATGTGGATGATGGTGTCTGTTGGGTAGGAACATAAAGGATCATTCTGTGATACTAAAAAATGCCCTATATCTTCTTTCATATGGTGGTACACAGGGTTATACATATGTAAACATACATGGTTCTATATACTGAACATGTGTGCGTGAACATTTGTAGTAGAATATATGTACATGTGTGTATATTGTGTGTGTGTGTATGTGTGTGTGTTATACTTGAGTCAAACATCTTTGTAAAATATATACAGTCAGACCTCCCTATCAATGGGTTCCGCATCCATGGATTCAACCAACTGTGGATTGAAAATATTTGCCCATTCCATTTGCCTCTTAATAAGAAAGAATAAACTATAATTTTTGGAGAATATAAAAGGAAAAAAATGGAAAAAGCATGGTTCTGCCAGTGCTAAACATGTATAGTCTTTTTTTCTTATCATTGTTTCTTAAACAATATAGCATAACAGCTATTTTATAGAATTTACATTGTATTAGATATTAAAATTAATCTAACGATTAAAGTATGTGGAAAAATGTGGGTAAGTCATATGCAAATACTACATCATTTTATATAAGAAACTTGAGCATCTGTAGATTTTGGTAATCATGGGGGTTTTGAAACCAACCCCACACAGATATTGAGAGACATTATTTTGAGTGCCAAAAAGCTAAGAACTATTGGAGTAGACAAGAACAATGTCTATAGTCCAACTAACTGGCTTAAACTATTCTGTCTTTAAGATAACTATCAAGTCCCTGGAGTAAATGGGGAATATTTAGACATTTGTAAGAATTTGTATTTCTTATGGTTTTATTATATCCTCTTTTGATATTCACCATTTGTGACCTTAACAAAAGGAAAATGAATGATTTTGCCAGTATTGAACATGTACAAACCTTTTTCTTCTTGTCATTTTTCCTGAAACAATACAGCATGACTACAAAACTATTACTAAAATGGTCATAGTTTTTTTTTTGCTCTGTGGATTAAGCACTTTTGTAATTTTTCAGCTGGACAACAATCTGAGACCTTTTGTATACATATAGGCATGATTATGGAAGGTATGGCAAAGTGAGTTAAATTCCCACTTATAAGCCTGATACTTTCTAATAACTCATCATGCCACATATAGTTTATTCTTTCTCATTGAGAGGTAAATTAAATACAAAGTTTTATGATTGTCTATTTTATTAAGTAAGCAAAACTAAAATTTGCAGTCATCTTTTCTGTGACACAATGTATACACATGGCAAAAATAGGATATATTATGCTTACTAAATACCTGTGAGAAGTATCTCTTTCCCCTGAGAGTGCTTGTTTACTGTTGAATGTTACTATTAAAGTACAGAGAACTAATCATTGAACCTATCTCAAAGTGATAAAAGAATAAAACTTATTATCTGTGGCCCTTTTTCTACTATATATATATATACACACACACACACACACACACACACACATATATATACACATATATATGTTAGATATGTATATATATCCCAAGCAACAAACTATTAAAGCAATAGCTATGTTCTGTTTAAGAGCTGATTGGACTTACCAGCAAACTCTAGATTTGGTGTCCTGCAAACAAATTGCCAGAGGTAATTGAAGTAATATCTGAAATTCATCTAATCATTATCTATTCAACAAATATTTATTGCATGCTTACTATGTCTCAAATACTATTCTATATTCTGAGAATATAGCAGAAGACAAAATAGATTATCTTCATGGAGACTGTATTCCAGTGAGAGGCAACCAAAAATAAGTAGATAAGTAAGTGATGTAATTTCAGATAGTGTTAATTGCTATGATGAAAATAAAGATAAGAGAGAGTAATGAAGTCACATCACTGAGAAGGAATTATTTCAGCAGAGATGAATGATGAAAAGAACTAGAGATTACCTCATTGATTTGTTTTTTGTAAAGGAAGTTGGTTTGCTACGTTCAACTAAGCATCAAAAACCTAACATGTCTAAGGACAAGGTCTTCATTTTCTCCTACAAAACTCCTTCCATCCTAGTCCCCAAATGCTCACAGATACCTCCTCTCAATTAATGACATTAGCATGATGTTATTCATATTATTGTGCTGTTAATATGACAACTATTGGGTAAAAATAGTATTATGGCTACAAAATGGGATAAAAAATAAGCATTAGATGATTTTAGAATAAATTTAATATAAAATAAAATGCCAAATGCACTGAAAATTATTTAAGAAGGCTATATATTAATTTTCTGAGATATTCTTTGTACATCATTATTTTTTGCTTGCTGAGGGCAAAAATAACGAAGTAGGAGACATGTTAGAAATAACTTTAGAATTGTAATTGGTATGTTCTCTTTTAAGCTTTTAGAATTTTCATGACCGTTGCTCTCTAAAAATACCAAATGCTCAAATCTAGCTGTTGAAATTTAAATGGCATTGCGAAATGAACAACCTTTTTGAAAGTATCCTAGAGTCACTCTAGAGCTAGAATTCTGGTTTTAATGTATATGCAACTTTGCAATAGCTAAGCAAACTAATAAAATGACTATTACTTTGATAAAATGTGTTGTTTCACAAAAAAAATGGTTAATATTTACTACATTAGAATTAAACCATCATTAGTTTAAATAAAGGGTATGCCAATTTTGAGAATTGTGGTTTAATTATGTTATCCTTATCTTTTCAGAGACCTGATTGTGCATGTGTGGGGTATTTAGTTGAGATTTAACATTCATTTGCCTTAAAATTGGAGTAAAATATTCAGGCTATTCCTCTAAGGTTATTCTTTTCAAAAATCCATATTATCTAAGTGCAATAATATTAGCTCTTTGGTCTATATTCTAGAAATCCAATAAATAATTGCCTCCCTATTTACTTATTTGAAGTTTCGACTTGCTAAGAACACACACACACACACGCACACACACACAGTTGAACCTAGAGTTACATGTATCTATAAATATACTTGAGGACATTTTGGTGTTTTACAATCTGTTATAATGAAAACATGTTAAATGTTAACATAATTGCTGCTGCATATTTTGTTGGACTGCCTTAATCAAGGATTCCAAAAATGGCCCAAGTTATAAGTAACATTCATTCCCTATATGACATCAAAATCAAACCAAAGATACCAAAACCCAGACTCCTGAGGATACTATGAGTCAAGTACAATTGATGTCTCTCATGTAGTTCTTGCTGCAGATGTTTAATAATGCAATATTTTCTACCTGGCATGACTCTATGTCCTGTTTAGGCTGTCAATGAATATAATTACCTTTCAAAATAATTCTGCTTACACAGTAGCTTTAAGTTGCCAACATGCTTATACACGCAGGCAGCATCCTCCTGGACTTTATTAGATAGAATCTGACTGAGTGAGTCAGCATATTCCACATAGAGAGAAATATTCATGACATGGAATCAGTGTTCGGTTTAATATTCTCTTATTTGGGAAGCTAATATTGAGTTCATGCCTAAACTTTTCTGATGAACTTTGGTCATGTCCAAGTTCTTCACGGTGTCCAAAATTCATGAAATCATTTTCATTACATAAATTTTTAAAGTTCTACCAAAAACAACTTAGATTACATGGAAGAAAGGAAGAAGGTAATGGAGGGAATTAAGAAAACAGGTTTCCTACAGTTTTTCTTGATCCTCAGGTTACTCAAAATAGGAAATTAGAAGCTTAGAAAAATGGCTTCAACTTTTTCTGAAGTACATGTATCTCAGAGAGGCATTAAAATATTAGGCTGGAAAATAAACATAAGGCTGCTTTTTTTTTTTGTTTTTTTTTTTTTTGAGATGGTGTCTCGTTCTGTCACCCTGGCTGGAGTGCAATGGCGCAATCTCAGCTCACTGCAACCTCCGCCTCCCAGGTTCAAGCAGTTCTCCTGCTTCAACCTCCCTAGTAGCTGGGATTACAGGCACCCGCCACTATGCCCGGCTAAATTTTTGTATTTTTAGTAGAGATGGGGTTTCACTATGTTGGCCAGGATGAAGGCTATTTTCATTTGGTATTGAATCTTATTGATCCAAGCAAAGATTTAAGAGTGTATGGATTAAATAAAGGCTAAGGAGGAGCTAAGAAATGAACAATTTTACAAAAACTGGGAAATAGTTGTTTTGAAATGGGAAACAAAAATATTACGGAGAACATTCAGCAATGTTTTATGTACTTCAAACAGTTTTGAAAGTGAGGGCAGAGAATATATTTTAAACTGTTAGATGGAAAACAGGGGTCTTGCCAACATTGGACTTAATTATAAAGTTCACAGTGTTTCCAGAAAATCTGATTTGGGGACATGACAGTCATGTCCAAAGTTCTGAAGACAACTCTGAGATTAAGATGGTTCAAATTCATGTTGGGAAGATTCTGCAATATTAGGAAGTAATATCACAGTGAAAAACCTAGATGGTAGTCACATGTATGTGCTTTAATCACTAGATTGAATAAGGTCCACATGTACAGGAAAGGGGAGCAAGAATAGAAACTCCAGAAGAGCTGAGAAAACCTTGGAGTTTGTGTTGGGTTTAGAGAGATTTATTTTCCATATTTTTTATCACTTTTTTAAAAAATTTATTCCTAGAATCATATGTACTCACATTCAACAGAAAGAGAATTCTAGTAGAGTCATCTCTGAGTAGACATGCTTGTTTAGTCTTATACTAAAGACTAAATTAGTTCAGTGGTTTCAGAGGGAAGAAATACTTAGAGTCCAAGAAAATATGTATTTCTTAGTGGTAATATATGAGTTTATTTCATTTCAATGTGGTCTGTGCTTTACTATATTAGTATGTTGTTAAAGCCACCAACAAATTGACGTAGTCTGATTTAGTTTTATTAAATGATGTAGCACAAGCATCATCTACTTTATTTCTGAAACTCATCTTCTATGCTCAATGGAGTTAAGTGCCCACTCAATATTTCAGTCAAAGTTAAAAGAGCTAGAATTTACTGAGGGACATCAGTCTTATATACGTCCCTTAAATCTGATCAATGCTTTTTTTTTTTTTGGATTGACAGGCACTCATTAAGCTAAATAATAACTGAAATTTTATTTCTAGTTCTTTTTCTCTATTTCATTTTTCTCCTGAACACCTTGTTGGTGTTTGAGATACAGAGATCAGATCTTCTTTTGTCAGTTTGCTCCAAGTCTGGATCTTCGTGGTCAGATTATAGATAGTGTGTGTGGTGCTGAAGAGCTCTGTCCAGGAATCTAGTAGCATGAATACAAATTCTTGATTCAAAGAGCAGCTGTGTGTGTGTGTTTGAAAGTAGAAGCTCGTCCTATTAGATATTAAAACAAACAATAAAATTCTACAATTAAGACATTGTAACACTGCCTTATAAATAGAGGATGGGCCAATGGAAAAATATAAAATAATCCCCAAATAATGAAAATACGGTATATGTGATATACCATACTATACATAATATATCAATAGCATCTAAAATTTGTGGTCAAAATAAATACTTTCTAGTACATATTTACATCAAAATATAAAATGTACCCAATACCTCACATCATACCCCAAAATATATTCTGAATGGATAGGAGATCCAAACATTAAAAATGGAGCCATACGAGTCTGTGTTGGATTGTGCTTTTAACGTGATTGAAACAAGGGCTATGCTTTCTCCAGAATCTCCTCACCTGGAGTCGATTATTATTGGTCAAAAGAGAAACTAAGGCAAGATCCAGAAGAGCAGATGGAACAACAATTGCTCCTGCAAACTTGTCATAGTCACATATGGTTATGTACAGACAAAGAGGTGCCCAGTGGATTTTCTTAATTCTCCTCTGCTCCATGTGTTAATCCTGTTGGATGAAGCAGTCTCATACCCACCACCAGATACTGGGTTTTGAAACTTGTAAGCAGAAGCTACAAAGGCACATAGACATCTCCATGAATTCCCCTTCTGTTGCCCCACTTTTGTAACTGGGTATGCTTGACTTCTTGCATTATTAGCTTGCAAACTCTGACATGTCCACCTTTGTGAGTATTTCAGTTGAATTCAGTAGTGACTCTTGGATTTCCGCTTCCAAAACTTTACTTCCTCAGCTTCAGTCATCATTTTTCAAGGTTAATTCCTTTACTGTGTACTGTATCTCTATAATGCTCATAGTATTCCTGCTTTCTTGACTGCTAAAGAAGTTAGTACTTAGAAATCAGGCACTGTCATAATAAAAACATAAAACAACACTGATTTGGGGATGAGAAAGTTGGATGAGGCAGAAAAAAGTGTCTGGAAAACTGTTAGTGTAGCAAAACAAAATGATATACTAACCATTTAGAAAGAGCGAAGAATAATAATACATAAATTATTACAGCAGTTTGGTGACTGTATTTGTAGTTGCAGAAAAATGCAGCTGTCAAGTACAGTAACAGGAAAGATATAAAATTGACCAATAAACTTAGCCACTTTGGAAAGATGATTTCTAGGCCAAATAAATATATGAAGTATCAATTGATCTATTTTAGCTGTCTATGAAAAGATACAAAAAGAGATGAGCTAAAGAATAAACTATTCAGTTTGCAAGCAGAATTTAGAGGAAATAGAGAAGCACCGAGTTAACAAATGAATCTGTTTGTTATCTTCAGAGTCTTTGGTCAGTAAAAATCTCCCCAAACAAAAAGTAAAACAAGGTCTAGGGGTGCAGAAAAAATTTCAAGATCTTTTTAAAAATTTCTATTAGATTTAAGTTAGTGCCTAAGACCCTTCAACTAAAGAAGAGGGCTTCTCAGAATTGTATGTGTGTTTTTTCCTACTGAAGATTGATACATCTCTTGTAGAGAAAGTCTTAGAGCACCACCTGTCTTCAAAAGAATCACAGATTTCGCCTTGAAGCAATAAACATGCACCTAGATCATATTCATAGACAGGGGATAAAGCTTTTAAAGAATTGTGCTAATTAAATTATCACAATCTTGGCATACAAAAGAATATAATTCTTTAAAAAGAAGTTTCTAGGCCTCTAACTTTTCATAAGCAGCAAGCATATTGAGAATGCTACCCATTTTTTTTGCTGCTGTTCTTGTTGTTATCTATTTCTATGCAATGAATTGCTCAAACTTAATTTACTCTAATTAACCCTTGATTTTGTGGGTCAAGACTTAGGACTGGGTTAGCTGGATGTTTAGTCTGCTGTATGTTCTGTTAACTGGGGTCATTCATTTGATTGCATTCAGCAGGAAGCTGTAGTGGCCTGAAAGATCCAATAAAGCTTTCCCTACATGTCTGGCACCTCGCTCCTACAGTGGCCTCTATCTCTATATGGTTAACTTGGCCTTCCTTACAGGTTATCTCAGTATAGTTGGACTTCTTACATGGCATCTGATTTCTGAGAGGGATTGTACTATGTAGGAAAAAAGCAGAAGCTGTGTATGTCTTACAGCCCATGCCCAGGGTTAAACATCTCTTCTGCCACACTCTATTAATCAAATCTAGTCCCAAGGGCCAGCACAAATTCCAGAAGAAAGCAAATAGGTGGGAAAGGTGGCAAAGAATTTACTGCCTTCTTTAATTTACCACAGTTGCCAAGATGGTCTATGCCTTATGAAATATGAAGTATATCTCAGAAGGGAGAGAACAAAATACAAAAAGCTAAATCATGGGCAGTGGTGAACATTTAAATAGAGAGGCACTCCCAAGGAACAGAAAAATATGACACTGGAAAATATTCTGAGGGATGTAAAAAGGTTAGTGGACGGGGGCCTATTTCCAGGGATTATCGCTAGGCCATACTCATAGAATATTTCCTGTCCCCAGTATAGAGAGCCCTGGCAATATTTTCCTAGCAAGACTTTGGAATTGCTGTGGCCAGTGACTATGTGACTCCCTTTGTTCTTCTATCTGAATAAGAATGCATATCAGGTGTTCCCGTGCCTGTCTAGCCTGTTGAGTATGTTATAAAAGGTCACTTACCCATAGGCCTCCACATCAAGAGCATCCTCATATGCATCCAGATTGCAACTCTCATGCCATATTTGATTAAATGAGAGAGTCCCGTGTTGGGGAATGTTGCCTACAGGAGCATGGAATTTATTTTGAGTTATTTTGTGTTGGGTTACTTTGCTTACAGGAGAAGTATAAATATATGTAGCCAAAAACTGAGCTGTTGTGGGTTGTAAAATTGACTACAAATTTTGACCTCCCAGAAAGACATAATGATGGCTCTGGGTTGGCCATACGACTTGCTTTGGCCAATGATGCATTACCACTGGGACAGGAGCAGAGATTTGTAGAGTACATGCATATTACGACTTGTCAACTTGATGATATTAGAAAGTCTTAGACCACCACCATGTGAAAAAAAGACAGGCTAACCTGAGTAATCTGCAAACATGTGGCCCAGTTACCCCATCAACCAAGAGGGCAGCCAGACATCTGAAGGTCATATAAGTAATGTTATCAAGATCCTGATCTCTGCTGACTTAGTTTGAGCTGAGTAAGAAAAGTAAACTTTCCTGTATATATTATAATTTATCATTTTCTTTTATAAATAAACAACATAATTTCCATGCTCCTGTTTTAATTATAAATAATACTATAACTCCATTATGACATTTTATGCGTTATTGAGAATTGTGTTTATCACCGTGCAAAAGTAGGTATCTTGCTTATATTTGTATCCTTATGATCTTCCTCCATGCTGAAGAATTAAATTTCTAGCATTGGTTTGTTTCACATCGTGGTTATCCAAGACTTTCCATCTACAAAGACGGAATGTTTTGAAATGCATCTTCCCTTCTTTCAGAAGCTTATTTCTATTAAATATATGTGTTATTATTTTCTAAATCATATTATTCTAACAATGACCCCACTAACATCTTAAAATCAAAAACTATTTTTCTTGGCTTATTCTTAAGAAGAAAGATGAAAAACATATCCCAAATTGTTATATTATTTTATGGGGTTTTGTTGCCTAGGTGACTGTTTCTATAAAAAAATTTAATATCAATTATACAGGATAATATTGCTTTCATTTAAAAACTACTATAAAAAAGCAGGAGGATTTTTTAGAAATTTTTTTCACATTTACTGTTTCTTATTTTACTGTTAAGTAAAATAAGAAATCTAAAGGAAGATAATCTTTAGGATTACTTTCATCTTTATTTTCCCATATTTTAAGATATTGCCTTTATAGCATCAGATTCTAGTGATGTATCATTTACAGTGGTGTATAATTTATGTTCCACTAGAAAATTGTTGCTATGTGGAAATACTATTTTAGCCTAATTCAGAATATGGTACTTATATTTTAGGTGCCTATATTAATTTATTTTTTAAAGTTTTTACCTCAAGATTTTTCTTGATATACTTTTGGAAATATAATATCCAATTACTATGACTTCATAAAAAAGTACTAGAAATTTATTGGTGTAAAACTGTTATAGTTTGAGCATCCCTAAATCCAAAAATCTGTAATTCAAAATGCTCCAAAACCCAGAACTTTTTGAACACTGACATGACTCCACAAGTGGAAAACTCCACACCTAACCTCATGCGATGGGTCACAGTCAGAATGCAGGCACACAACTATGAAGATGATGTCATTAACACTGCAGGAAAAGTGCCTATAGATGACATGGCAAAAAAATGTGTGATGTGCTTACGAAGCACTAGAGCAGTATGTATGTATGATAGGACAAGAAACCATGTCAGTTTATGAAATCAGAGAGAGACTTCTAAGACAAATACCATTGTTAATGAGGCAGACGACTCTAAAAGACACATTTTAAAAAGCCATCTGATAGAATGCCTTCTTATCCCTAGGGGACACACTTTCTTTTTCCTCAACTGCTGCCGATATTTCTTATCACCTAAAACAATTAACATGCAGTGTACGACAACCTTTTAATCAAAACACAGGATTGTAGGTGGGAACTGCAAACCTGCTGTTGATGGTTATGGCTGTTGTCTACCAGCTGGTACAGGGGTTCTGGTGCTGCTGCTGTGCTGCTGAATTTTTCACTTTACTAATAGTGTGTCATTATTTTTACTTATAGTACTTATGTGTGAATACGTGCAGGCAAATGATTGCTTATGAGTAGCTTATAAACTACAAGTCAGGAATGATGATGATGTCCAACAACTACAAATTGTCCACATGGGTGACTAAAATAGGGATACCTTTGCTTTCTGATGGTTCAGTGGACA
Organism: Homo sapiens; assembly: GCF_000001405.40. Taxonomy (NCBI): domain Eukaryota; kingdom Metazoa; phylum Chordata; class Mammalia; order Primates; family Hominidae; genus Homo; species Homo sapiens. The sequence continues at coordinate 167,595,509 of NC_000004.12, read as the reverse complement.
CAAACTTCGTTTTGTGTACACAGTTATTAAATATAGCATATACAATTACTTTAAGTCTATGTGTGTATGATGTCTATAAAAAATAAATGATATGTTTAGACTTAGGTTCCATCCCCAATATATCTCACTATGTATATGCAATTATTTCAAAATCTGAAAAAAATTCAAAATCTGAAACACTTTTGGTCCAAAGTGTTTCAGATAAGCGATACTTGACCTATAGTATTATGCTCTTGGATTGTATGGGACAGAAAGTTGAGAGGTGACAGTAGGGTAGCTTGTCCCTTTTCTTAATACCTGGGCTCTTAGCTAGAATACAAGATGTTGAAGGCTAGAGTGATCTTGAGGCTGGTGGTTCACAGTATTTGTTGGCTGAGAACCTACCAAGGGTATTAGCCAAAACCCTAGAAGAGTATAGGGACAAATGGGTAATTTGATAGGTAAGACATCATATTTCAGTGCAGTTTTAATTTGCGTTTATTTAATTATATGCAAGGTTGATAATTTTTATGTGCAATAATAAACGTTTCTTTATTTATATCTTTTGCTGTTTTTCTTGCTTAGAATGTATTGGTCTTTTCCTTCTTTATTTTTGGAGTCTACATATTGGAGATATTAACTCTTTATCAGTGATATCACTTGAAAAAATATTTTTCTCATTTATTATCATTTTTCATGCAAAACATTTTGATTTTTATTTCGTCAAAATTACCACTCACTTACCTTACATTCTCTGAACTCTTAATCATAATTAGAATAACTTCCCACTCCCAGTAAAATAATTTATCCATGTTTCTTTATGTTAGATAACTTTTTCTATGTAACAACAACAAAAAAAATCGAGTGTTTTGCATGGGTTAGTAAATTTTTTTCTGTAAAGAGCCAGGATGTAAAATTTTAGGCTTTGAGAGCTATGTGTTTCCTGTTGTGACAGGGGTCTTCCATGGTTTGCTGATCCCTGTCCTACTCTGACACCTTGGTCCTCAGATAGGAAATCTGTCATTGTGCATAGTTTATCACGATAATTTGCTTTTTAGATGAAAGGGCACAGAAGTCTGATCCAAGAGCAATGGAGAACATTGATACAGAATTATGCTCAGGGAGTAGAATAGCACAATGAACTAAGAACCCTCCCTTGGAGATGCAGAGGCCAATGAGCTGGGAAGTCAATCAGTGCATAAGGAATAAGATCTAGGTCTTCCATGTAAGAAGAAAAAATATTCTTTAATAATGAATAATGTAGAATAATAGAATTAGAAAGATATATTGTAAGATTGTAGCATTTATATTGCTTCTTAGAAATAAATTAAATTTAGTAAATATATCAAAAATTAAAAAAAAAATTCCGAGCCCAAGTAGTACAGGTATATTGACTTTAAATTGATCACATTAAAATTAAAATTATTATTACAAATCCAATATTGAGTATATTTTTGCATAAATCAAAGTTGTACTATATATACGTAAGCTAACAATGAAAGGAAAATCTACTATGTGTTAATCTTGTAGTGAATTGTAAATAAATTCGAACCTAGAATATTTTAATATAAGAATTTAAGAGGTTAAAAGTAAGTTTATAATATGTTGGGGCAAATATTTTCAGATTTATTACAGAAATGTGAATTTGGAAAGAGACATTTCTGGCACATGTTCTGAAAATTAATAACAATATTTTAGAAAAAAAGGCTGCATTATAAATCATATAAATAGGGCATAATTCCAGATCATTAACTTTCATACAGGAAATGAGTCTAGATATTATTTTGGAAGAGATGTAGAAGACTGAACACTTATTCTGAATTCTTCACTTGAGTTCAAAAAGCCTAACTCGTTATTTCTGAATGCAACTAATGCATTCAGACATGATACCCCTCTCTGCAAAATTTTAAACAATTTCTATGATATAAGATCTCTGACTACATCTCTTTAATGATTTTGTGTTTGTGTGTGTGTATGTGTGTGTTGAGAAAGAGGGAGGGAAGGAGAGAAAGAGGGTTGTATCTTTCTTTCTTCTTCTTCTTCTCCTTCTCCTTCTTCTTTCTTCTTCTTCTTCTTTTTTTTTCAAGACGGAGTCTTGCTCTGTTGCCCAGGCTGGAGTGCAGTGGCGCGATCTCAGCTCACTGCCAGCTCCACCTCCCGGATTCACGCCATTCTTCTGCCTCAGCCTCTTGAGTAGCTGGGACTACAGGCACCCGCCACCACGCTCTGCTAATTTTTTTTTTGTATTTTTAACAGAGATGGGGTTTTGCCATGTTAGCCAGGATGGTCTCGATCTCCTGACCTCGTGATCTGCCCGCCTTGGCCTCCCAAAGTGCTGGGATTACAGACGTGAGCCACCGCGCCCGGCCGTATCTTTCTTCTTGATAAGCTGCAATTTCTGCACTGTGATTCTCAGTCTAGTAGTTGTTCTGTAGATTTCTATGATGGTACTTTTATTTTCTCAACTGATGATGATGCCCAGCTGCTCTTACAAGCTGAGAATTGACCCAGTTAAATTACATAGTCAGTAATAACACTTACACTCTGATTATTGTAACTTATGATCCATACACAGTCATTACATTTCAGTTTATATGATCATCTTGGTGATAATGGGAGATACTTCAGTCAACATAATTTTTCTCTTCCAGATTGAAAAAGATACTAGCACCAAGCTTTATTCTGGTTATTCAGTGATGAAAATTATAACAAATTTTGACAAAGAATAGACAAGTTCCCCAACTGTGCCTCTTTCCAAGCTCTTTGGTTGCGTATATTATCTGGCAGGAAAAAGAAGACCTGAAGTCCAACCTGAGGCATGTTTGTCAGCTTATTTGCCAGTTATGTTCCTTCTGTGAAGTATATCAGGAACCCAAATGGCTGACATAGTTTAGATGTGTTACGTGTGCATTTGTTGCAGGCATTGATCTACTACTTTCTCAAATGGATTTCTGTCTGAAGTAAATATGAAATAATAGAAATGATTTTAATAAAAAATTTATCAAAAATAAATGGTACACATGAAAAACAATTATGTTGCAATTCTAGTAATATTGCTGTTTGCTAAAGCATTATTTTAGTATTGCTTTCAGTGTCTACCCAGTGGTGGGCTGGAGCTAATGGCACCATCTCAAGAGGCAATTATGCACATCTTTTCATAGTTCCGTGTTTGCTGATACTCCACATAGGTAGCTTAAAATTGGCATATCATAGAAATTGGCAAACCCTGTAAATCAATGTTTCCCACCTCTGGATTATTTAACCTGTTGTTAAATATTTACCACTACAGCATACTACTGGATCTACTCTCTATTTTTTTTCTTTTTATTTTCTTATTTTAAAGTTCAATATATTGTATTATTTGATCTCCTCCTGTCTCTTCTGAGACCCTAGAAATCACTATTCTGCTCTCTACTTCTATGAGTTCAACTTTTTTAGATTCCACATATAAGTGAGATCATGCAGTATATGTCTTTCTGTTCCTGGCTTATTTCAGTTAGTATAATATCCTTCAGTTTCAGCCATGTTGTTGCAAATAAGAATTTTTTTAATGGTTAAATAGGCTTGTATTTTATATAAATAAGTGGCATATATATATATATGCCACATTTATTAATACATTCAACCATTGATGAAAACTTAGGTTATTTTTATAGCTTTGCTATTGTGGACAGTGTTGCAGTAAATATGGAAGTGCAGATATTTCTTGAACATAGTAATTTCATTTCCTTTGGATATATACCTAGAGAAGAATTGCGGATCACGTGGTAGTTATATTTTTAATTTTTTGAGAAACCTTCATAGTGTTTTTGGTGATGGCTCTACTAATTTACATTCCAACCAATAGTGTATAAGCATTCTCTTTTTCTCCATGTTCCTGCTAATATTTGTTTTCTTTTTTCTTTTTGATAATAATCATTCCAACAAGTATGGGGTGATACCTCACTGTGGTTTTAATTTGCATTTCCCAGATGATTAGTGATGTTGAACATTTTTTTCATATATTTTCTGGCCATTTAGATGTCTTCCTTTGAGAAATATCTATTTTGATTCTTTGACCATTTTTAATGTTGGGCTTTTTTTCACTATTAAATTGCTTGAGCTCCTTATATGTTTTGGATATTAACTCCTTACCAAATGTATAGTTCGCAAATTCTTTCTTCTGTTCTACAGGTTGTCTCTTCACTCTGTTGATTATTTTCTTTGCTTCCCATAAGCTTTTTAGTTTAATGCAATCCCATTTGTTGGTTTATGCTTTTGTTGCCTATGCTTTTAGGCTGATAGCAAAAAAGTCATTGCCTAGACCAATGACAGGAAGGTTTTCCCCTCTGTTTTCTTCTTGTAGTTTTACTGTTTCAGGTTTAACATTTAAGTCTTCAATTCACTTTGAGTTGAATTTTTATATACAGTGTGAGGTGTATCCAATATCATTGTTTTTGCATGTGGATATCTAATTATCCCAACACTACTTACTAGAGAGACTGTTATTTGCTCATTGTGTGTTCTTGACATCTATGTCAAAGATCAGTTTATCGTAATTTTATAGATCTATTTCTGAGCTCTCTATTGTGTTCATTGATCTGTATGTCTGTTTTCTTGCCAATACTATGCTGTTGTAATTTAGTATAGCTTTGTAGTATATTTGAGATCTGTGATGCCTCCAGCTCTGTTCTTTTTGCTCAGGATTACTTTGGCTATTTTGGGTCTTTTGTGGTTTTATCTGGCGGTTTATATTTACCCACAGTTTTTTTCTTTCCTATATTCTTCTTTCTTCTTTTCTGATTTTCCAAGTTTTTAAAGATCAGTTTCTGCTTGTTTCAAAACTTCCTTTAGCTATTTGTTTAGGGTAGATCCTCCAGTCACAAATTCCCTACTCTTAATTTATCTGAGAATGTATTTTTTTTTTTTTCATCCTATAGGGTATCTTTTCTAGATACAGAATTCTGGATTGCCCTTTTTTCTTTTAGCACTTGAAAAATTTGATATCACTTCCTTCAGGTTTTCATGATTTTTGACTAAAAATTGACTGTTATTTAAATTGCCCACCCCCGCTTTCATGGGTAAAGTGAAGTTTCTCTCTTACTGCTTTCAAGATTTTTTTCTTTGTCATTAGTTTTCTGAAGTTTAATTATAATAAATCTTGATGAGGATTTCTTTGTTTATCCTGTTTGTGTTTGTTCAGCTTCTTGAATATGTAGGTTTTGGTCTTTTTTACAAGGTTGGGAAATTTTCAACACCATCCTCTTCCTTCTCTCCTTCTGAGACTTAAGTGATAAAAATGTTAAATCTTTTGAGAATTTCCATTTGCTGAAGTTCTGCCTATTTCTTTTTAAAGTCTGTTTTCTCTCAAGTTGGCTGTTTTCTGTTGTTTTGTCTTTGAGTTCACTTGTTCTTTCCATTGCCCTCTTCATTCCGCTATAAGGCACATTCTTTCAGATTTTTAATTTGAGTACTATATTTTTCAGTTCTAAAATGTTCATTTTCTTCTTATTTATATCTTCTATTTCTTTTCTGAGACTTTGTATTTTTTGCTGAGATTTTTGATGTTTTTATTTGCTTCAGATATGTTCATAATTGCAAATTTAAGTATGCCAGCTGCTTTAACATTCTTTTTAGATCATTCTAGCACCTGTGCTATCTCAGTGCTAGCATCTGTTTATTGCCATCTGTCATTTTAGTATTGTCCTGCCTCATAGTATGATGAGTAATTTTTCATTGTATTCTGGACTTTTGGGATGTTATGAAAAGCTGGGTCTTATGTAAATCTTGTCTTTTAGCAGGTCTAGGATACTGCATCAGCAAGAGAAAGGAACCCTCCTTTTTATTACCAGGTGGAGATTAAAGTCCAGGTTCCTCACTCAACCTCCTTTGACAGCAAAGAAGGAGTGCCTTATTATGGCTGGTATTTCAGGCTCCACACTAGACCTCCACTGATACTATCCTTACTGGGAGGAGGAGGGAGGTCTCATTATAGCTCCCTATGTTACCACTGCCGAAATAATAGGGTGCAGGTTCATTATGCTGTGTGGTGATAGGAATCCTGAATCTCTTCTATGCCTCCTTTGACACCCCCAATGGGGAGAGGGAAGGCTGCTTTGTTAGTATTTGATGAGGTAAAATCTAGGTTTCCCACATATTTTCCATCAACAAAGGAGAGGCTAATTACTGCCCAGCAGGGTTAAGGGTCCTGGATCCCAATTTACACTCATCCTTTTCTGGCATCTACACAAAGATGCTAGGGAGTTTGGCGTGTTGACAAGATTCTCTGCTTCACTACAATTTATTCAGGCTCCTGAACCTTCTCCTAAGTCCATATGTGCACTTCCTTTAAAATATAGTTTTAGCAAAAATCTACATTTTGCTAGCAAAAACCTCTATCCTTAATATCTGATCATCTTTGATGTCTGATCCAGTCCCTCATCCTCCACTATTCTCTAAGTGATGTAAGCCCTGTTAGGTTGGTTTGGCCAGAATCCTTCTTACACCTCATGTTTCCTCTTAGTAATTTTCCATCCACTGACCCTGCTCTACTCCTTGGCTTGTCCATGCAATGGGATCATGTAATGATCCTGAATACAGTCTTCCCAACCATGCGTTAACAAGTGTTATTAAATATTATTTTGTCTTTAACAGTGTCTTGTTACGGCCTGGTGAAGATGAAAGGTGGAAGTCTAGGTTCTCCACTCAGCTTTTGCTTACAGGAGTGGGAGTGGGACTGCAACAGTGGTATTCCATGGAATAGGGTGGTTGTTGTCTAAAAGCCTTATGTTTTTCTTGGCTGCCCCTTTCTTGGTCATTAAGCTGGAGAGAGCAGGCTTTTCATCAGCTTTTTAACTTGTGTTCCTTGGCATTTCTAGGTTGTTGACTTCTCCAGCACTAAGCCTGAGATAAATAAATCTGAAAAGGAAATTTAGGCAAGTTATTGTAGTGTCATTCCTTGGTTCCAAAGGTCCCTAGCAGCCTAACTTCTCACTAGCTTTCAGAGTCTTCTTGTATTTGTTTTATATGTGATTTCCAGGATTGTTAGCCTCACCTACTATATGAATAAGGAAAAATGTTTCTAATACTTCTTGTCTGGAACCATTGTCATCCCACATTTAAATAACCTTGATGTCAAATCCAGGTCATTTGCAGGCAATTTTGTTGCACATGCATGTATGTGTGTGTATGTGGGTGTGTGTGAAAAGATAAAAGATGTCACTCAGATTTAAGTCTGATGTGTAATCACAGAGAACAAAGTGTGTAATACTATTCTATAAAACACGAGCCAGTATAGGATTTGAAAATATTGTGATCCCAAGGTCAGGAGATCGAGACCATCCTGGATAACATGGTGAAACCCCATCTCTACTAAAAATACAAAAAAAAATTAGCCGGGCTTGGTGGCGGGCGCCTGTATTCCCAGCTACCGGGTAGGCTGAGGCAGGAGAATGGCGTGAACCTGGGAGGCGGAGCTTGCAGTGAGTCGAGATTGCGCCACTGCACTCCAGCCTGGGTGACAGAGCAAGACTGTCTCAAAAAAAAAAAAAAAAAGAAAAGAAAAAAGAAAAAGAAAATATTGTGACCCATGTTCATTATTTGCTCAGAAAGTATCTCTGATGCAATCTCAAATACCAGTTTCCCAAAATGTTTTCAAATATGGCAGAATTACTTGAAAAATATTATTATTTCTTAGTTTTTAAAACTATAACATGCATTTACATGTTTAGGTTATCTATCTTTTTAAAAAAATATTAATCTCATTACTTTAAAATCTCTAAAAAGCAATTCACCTCATTGCTTTAGAGTCTAACCGTTAAGAATCCACAGCTTTGTGATGGTCTTCTCAAATATCTTCTCAAGATACAAATATTTTGATATGGGATAACTTTTCCTTAAATCTTTAGTATTAAACAGAGGGTGATACCCTCACAACTGTATTAGTCACTGTTACTGGGAGATGGCACATTAGAGGAGCGAAGGTTGTTAGTTCTTGAGTCACAGTGACTAAGCTTTTATACTGACATTCGTCCCCTACTATGTGAGTAACCTTGAGCAGATTCCCCAAACTTTCCATGCCTCAGTTTTCTCATCTGAAAAATTATGATAAAAGCACCTCCAATAAATTATAATGCCATATACATAGATAATATGTGAAATCCTTAGGCAAGCGATTGGCGTCTAAAAAACACTCAGCAAAATATTAGCTATTAAACATTAATTATTCATGATCTTATCACTTAAATATATCAGATAGATTTTACATTACCTACCTCGGGTAAATATTTTTATTCAAATACTTAAAATTGTGTTTCTATCAAATGAAGACAGATTATCAGAGAGAGGTATATTATGGAATCTGTTATTTTTTAATGTTTCTTTCTTTTTTTATTCTATAGTGTGTCCTAAAACAAAAAATACAAATATAAATGTAAATGGATTACTAAGATTATCCATTTTTAACATTATATAACAAAATAGGTACATTTATTGGGCTCTTGTAGAGCTTGGAGTTCTTCTACATGCTTTTTATGGTAGTGTTATCTCCCATGTGCAAATTAGGAAGCTGGGGCACAGAGAAGATAAAAAAATGGTAAAAAGCCAAACAGTTATTATGAAATGGAGTCAGATAAAGTGGAGTCAGATAATAATGCTGCCTCAGAGCTCACGTTCTTGAGCACTACATCACATTTTCTTGAATGTATTCCTTGTACAATCTTAAATCCTTTTTAATAAATTATAAATCAGGAAAGAAAAAAATGTATACATGTATGTGAATTCTAATCATTACTGTATCATACTATAGTATAGGATCTTTTTGTTTTGTTTTATTTTGGTTTTGACACAGGGTTTTGCTCTTTCACCTAGGCTGAAGTGCAGTGGCATGATCATGGCTCACTGCAGCCTTCATCTCCCAGGCTCAAGCGATCCTGCAACCTCAGCCTCCCGAGTAGCTGGGATTACAGGTGCATGCCACTGTTCCTAGCTAATTTTTATTTATTTATTTTTATCTTCTGGAGAAATAGGGTCTTACTATTGCCCAGCTGGTCTTGAACCCTTGGGCTCAAGCGATCCTCCTTCATCGGCTTATTAAAGTACTGGGATTACAGGTGAGAGCTACCGCACTCAGTCACATATGATTTTTTTATACTGGAGTAAAACACAAAAAGTATGAGAAATCAACACAAATGAAGATCAGTAAACACATTTGTCAGTGCAAAAGAAACCTAGAAAAATTTTCAAAATTGAAACTCATTTTCACTCTCATTAATGTGATCGCAAAAAGTGATTAAAATTTTTAAATAACACTGAGAAAGATAACTTATTTTTAAATTTTTATTTCCTGCATTTTCATGATTATTTCCTTTTCAACTTGACATCACAATAGACACAGACAAAACCTATGCTATGAATGTTTTGAAAGGTATTTCTTTTCACTTTCCTAAACATGAGGGGGAAAAAAATGGCATTTCACATTGAGTAACTGACATCAGGGATGTGACTGTCTTGCAAATCTCAAGTTGTATGTCTAGAATCTTTTAGGAGTAGAGGCCATTAGTGCCAATTTGGGGCTTAGAACAGAAGAATTAGCAATGACAATAATTGTTACAATTTTGCTGTACAATTTTTAAAAGTACACCTGGAGTAGCTATATATGTATGTTTATATACTGATATTTAGATAGACATTGAGAGAGATAATTTTTAATTATACCTAAAAATAGTGCTCTTATTTAATTCTAACTTAGAAACCTAGAGACACTTCAAAAATACTATGGTTTCATGACAAATAATACAATTTTTTCTAGTATTTAGACATCCTTGAAAATGTAGTTTTATACCAATTTTCAATGAAAATTTACACAACAACCATTTGGGATCTTTTCCATTTTCACTTATGTGTAACTAAGTATATTAGATATAAATAATTCAGTATCCATGACAATGGTAAAGTAATTCATTACACTGATACTGTACCATTGTATTATCAGAAAAATCATCAGCGATTTCCTTATATCAGGTTATTGTATTTCTCACAGTTTTGGCATATTATATGTTGATGAACTATTCTCTCATAATCTGAGAAGTATCTGTGACATTTTATGATTTAAATAACTTTCATCATAACATTTTATGAACTTATATCAATCTATAACATCAGCAGTACAAAAATGCATTTTGAATTGTGCTGATTTATTTTAAATGATTTAGTTAAATTGCCTCATTTAAAAGTCAAGATGTTTTATTTAGTTATAAGATTCTTTGAATTGCAGTTTTTTTTTTTTTTTGAGAAAGTAGGGAAACTTACGGAGGTTACATTTTTTCTGTTCTTTATTTTGTGTAGATAATATCTATTCTATATATTAGATGTAAGAGATGACACTGAGTTTAAAAAATCATCAAAATCTGAGGAAAAAATTACAGAGTTATGAGAATTCAATTCATAATGGGATGACGATATGATTCTGCCATTAATACAGCAGTAATAGGAGGAAAAGAGCCAAGAGGAATATTTAAAAGGTTGAAATATATGATTTTTGAAATGATGATGCAGATTTTCAAGTGGTCTAATCCAACATCTTGGTTTTACAAATAGGGAACCTGGCATTGGGCATGGTTTACTGTGGTCAGTGGTTTCCTAGCAAATTCTCTTTTTGAAATTGTTTGGCTATTTGAGATGTTAGTTCAATTTGTCTTTTCTCTTTTACCTTGACAATGCCTATACTACACAACAAGAAATTGTTGTATATCACTGGATTGTGAAAAAACTAGGCCCAAACAAGACTACTTGGGAAAAATAAAATAATAAAACATTTCCTATGCCCTGCCATGTTTCTAGGCAAGAGTGGTAACAGAGAGATGAGTTAGCAGTTTGACACAGAAGTCCAGGTGTGAGGTGATGCTTGCTTAGATTAGGGTGGTGGAAGTGGTGTGGAAAGAAGGAGATGAATTTGAAATGTGGTCTTGAGGTAGATTTACTGACAAGATCAGATGTAAGGGACTTCAGGAAAGGAGGAATCAAGGATGGTCCTAGATTTCCAGCTTCTAGAATGAACAACTGGTACAATTTAGTGAGAAGGGTACCATTTATGGCAGTGGAGCAGTTTTGGAAAGGGATGGAGGTCAATTTTACTAATGATAATTTTAGAAGTATATGTAACGTAGTACTAAAATGGACAAGTCACTTCGGTAATTGGATAGATTAGCCTGAAGCACAGAGGAATGGTATTATCTAGAAGCATCTATTTTAAAGTTTTCACTCTGAAGGTGTGATTCAAAGACATGGAGGTAAATATAATCAATCAGGGTGAAAATGTGGAGATTGCTCTCCAAATACCAAGTATTATATTGTTAGTGAAGAGTGTAGTAATTGGATTTTAATAATTGCCATATTAATATGTATATTGGTATTAATATGGAATGGTATCGATGTATACATTTATAAGAATTCCAAAATTAACACTATATTGAATAATATATTAATATTAAATATTTACTAGTATTCAATTGATATTATACGTCTAATTGTTGATATAGCTTGGTGGAGACTCAGGGCCCTAAATAAAAAGAGAAAATTCTTATAATTCACAGGGTATAATATATGTGAAAGGAAAATAAATCTTGGAAATCTTGGGGCCCCCAAATCACTAGACTTAAGGGAAAAGTCAAGCTGGGAACTATTTAGGGCAAACTTGCCTCCCATTTTATTCTAAGTCATCCCTCTGCTCACTGAGGTAAATGCATATCTGATTGCCTCCTTTGGAGAGGCTAATCAGAAACCCAAAAGAATGCAACCATTTGTCTCTCACCGGCCTGTGACATGGAAGCCCTCTCCCTGCTTAACTTTTCCCACCTTTCTGGACAGAACCAATGTACATCTTATATATATTGATTAATGTCTCATGTCCCCCTAAAATGTATAAAACCAAACTGTGCCCTGACCACTTTGGGCACATGTCATCACGACTTCCTGAAGCTATGTCACAAGCATGCACTCTCAACCTTGGCAAAATAAACTTTCTAAAATAGCTGAGACCTCTCTCAGATATTTGGGGTTCACCTTTTGGTAACTGCAATGGGGTTCTGAGTGGAGATACACCTGACCTTTGACAAATAATTTCCTTTCCGTGCTTGGTACCAGATGAGCTAACTTTATGGCTCAAATAGGAAAATTTGCTGAGGTCTGGGAGCACACCCTCCAGAGAATCCCTGATCTCCCAAAATCTGGTTGAGGTCTAAAGTTCATTTTGCCATACAACTCCCCCTTTTTTGGAATTTTACTTACTTTCAACGAGAAAGGCAAGATTTCCTGCTTCCATAACGATGGAAGGCAAATAACTCCATTATGAAGTTACCATTCTATCATTTTCCACAGCAGGAAAGACATGTTTGATTTTTTTTTTTTTTCCCCCTGCTTCTAGGATGGTACAGTGTGGTCTTCAGCCTGAGACATATCCCTAGGTAAGTAACTGAACTCCCTTGGGTAAAGCTTAACCACCAGCTGGTCTTAATTTCTCCTTACCATTAGAGTACTCAGTAATCATAAAAGTTATGTGATCGTTTGTTTTGCTGAACTGTTTTTTGGTTGTTGTTGTTTTTGTATTTGTTGTTTCCTCGGTCTTTTTCCCATTGGATTTGAACAACTTTATTTGAGTTGGAAAGTTCCAAATTATGGGAAACAAGGCCTCCAAAGTGGCTAAATTCTCACAAACACACACACAAAGGTGGTGTGGTTGGGGAGAAAAATGACCAGCAAAAGGAAAAAATTTTGATTTTTACTACGAAAGAGGCTTTATTCACCTAGCAATGTGTCCGGAATTGGTGGGTTCATGGTCTCACTGACTTCAAGAATGAAGCCACGGACCCTTGCAGTGAGTGTTACAGTTCTCAAAGATGGTATTTCTGGTGTTTTTTCCTTCTGGTGTTCGGATGTGTTCGGAGTTTCTTCCTTGTGGTGGGTTCGTGGTCTCACTGCCTTTAGGAGTGAAGCTGCAGACCTTCGTGGTGAGTGTTACAGCTCTTAAGGCGGTGCGTCTGGAGTTGTTTGTTCTTCCCATCTGGAGTTGTTCATTCCTCCCAGTGGGTTCATGGTCTCACACCTTCACAGTGAGCGTTAACAGCTCATAAAGGCAGTGCGGACCCAACGAGTCAGCAGCAGCAAGACTTATTGCGAAGAGCAAAAGAACAAACCTTCCACAGTGTGGAAGGGGACCCACACAGGTTGCCCCTGCTGGCTTAGGCAGCCTGCTTTTATTCCCTTATCCGGCCCCACCCACAGCCTGCTGATTGGTCCATTTTACAGAGAGCTGATTGGTCCATTTTGACAGGGTGCTGATTGGTGTATTTACAAACCTTGAGCTAGACACAGAGTGCTGATTGGTGCATTTACAATCCTTTAGCTAGACAAAAGTTCTCCAAGTCCCCACCAGATTAGCTAGATACAGAGTGCTGATTGGTGCGTCCACAAACCCCAAGCTAGACACAGAGTCCTGCAGCTAGACATAAAAGTTCTCCAAGTCCCCACTTGACTCAGGACCTCAGCTGGCTTTGCCCAGTGGATCCTGTGCCAGGGCCGTGGGAGGAGCTGCCCACCAGTCCCACGCTGCACGCCCACACTCCCCAGCCCCTGGGCGGTCAATGGGACTGGGCACCACGGAGCAGGGGGTGGCGCCCCTCAGGGAGGCCTGGGCCGTGCAGGAGCCCACCATGACTGGGGACTTGGGCATGGCAGGCTGCAGGTCCCAGGCCCTGCCCTGCAAGGAGGCAGCTGAGGCCCAGTGAAAATTTGAGTGTGGCGCGGGCGGCTGGCAGTACTGGGGGACCCGGTGCCCCCTCCACAGCTGCTGGCCCAGGTGCTAAGCCCCTCACTGCCCGGGGCCGGCAGTGGCAGCCAGCCACTCTGAGTGCGGGGCCCGCTGATCCCACACCCACCCAGAACTCGCCCTGGCCCGTGAGTGCAGGTGCAGCCGCGGTTCCTGCCTGGGCCTCTCCCTCCACACCTCCCTGCAAGCAGAGGGAGCTGGCTCCTGCCTTGGCCAGCTCAGAGAGGGGCCCCTACAGTGCAGTGGCGCTGAAGGGCTCCTCAAGCATGGCCAGAGTGGACGCGGAGGCCGAGGAAGCGCTGAGAGCGAGTGAGGGCCGCCAGCACGTTGTCACCTTTCAGCAAGGCCTCTTTTTGCTAGCCAAGTCAAACTGAAAGAGCAATGGCAGTCGCTCCCATGCTGCAGTTCAATAGCTAAAGTTCTGCCTTCTTTTTTTCTACCACAACAGTCTGGGTTTGGTTCCAAAATCAAGCCCATTCTGATTTGATACTTGCTCCTTCTGAAATAGAAACAATTTGTCCTAGCTGAAATATGGTAATGAGATTTAAAAATAATTTTTTAAAAAGGAGCTCAAATGGTTAAAAGTCAGCTTAATTAAAAGCTAACGTCTGTGTATGTGTATGTGTTTGTATGTAAAAGGCCTTCATGTTGTTGTATTTTTTCTCTCTCCTAGGACCTTGTCTTTTTTTTTTAAGCAAAAGTATTTTTCTTCTCTGTTGACTGAATTCTGTTTTCTTTGTTGACTTCTGCTGTCTCTCCTTTCTCTTGCACCCTCTGCTGCATGATGGACCTAAAATAGTTTATAACTGCCTGGAGTTCCTTAAAGAAAATAGAGAAGGCACCAGTTCCCTTTTGGGGAGAAACTCTGTTTTTCCTTATAGAATCCCAAAAGCGTAAACAGACAAGTTTGTCTGAGCTCTTAAACTGCTTGCTTTTGCATTGTGTCACCTGATTTCTTGACTAAAATAGTTAATGCCACAGAGGCTACTCTCGCATTTTTAAGGAAGAGTGTAGATTAGACACTTAAAAATCTCTTTGTCTAAAAAAATATTGTTTTAAGTGCACTGTAAAAACATCATGTGGTCTATCCTAATTCTCCCTTATTCAAGATCCAGGATTCAGTGTGGGCTCTTCCCAGAGTTCAGAAGTCCAGTTAAAAGATAGGTAGTCCCTATCTAAATAAATTGGTCTCCTTATACAATCCTATGACTGATTTCTATAATATTATGTGATTTGGCATCCATCTTTAATCTCCGTCTAGCACCAACAGAGTTTCTCTACACCTTATGATGTAAATATTGCTATTTAAATTTCACCTGAGTTTTCTTTAATATGCAAGTTTAAGGATATTTAGCTGACAACTGCATAGGTTTGTGAAACACATTATCAAGAATCTGAAAATCTAAGATAGGAAAAAAAGTCTTTATGAACTATAAGTTGTACTTCCATTGGCATGCCTAATACAGCTATGCATTTATGTGTTGTGTACACAATGTTTCACTACTGAAACTATATAAAAGAGCTCTAAATAATTGGCTTAAGAAAATAAGTGTTTGAGTCTGATACTTTATCAGGAAAAAAGAAAGACTAGTCAAATTATTTTTCAAGTTTATGTAACAAATAAAATCTTTAATAAATAAGCTAGCTTTAAAATAATTGGTAAATTATAATAGTTTAGAAATGTCTTCAGAATTGTCAGCATACATTTTTGTTTGCATTTATTAATCAAAAAATTTTATACTTATCCCTGCTAAATATTATGAGGTGTCAAAATGGCATAGTGGTTACAAAACTATAAACCCAGCCCAAGACACAATGATCTTTGCTTGTGTAATCTTTAATAAATAAGATATTGATATTGGTTTAATAAAAATAGCTACATCTTTAATTCAGTAAGATTACCATAACTTCTAATCTTGCAGCTTTTGGCAGTCTAGTGCACAGGCAGTAAGGTTTGTTTTGGGAAGGGACTGTTAGCATCTTTGTTTCAAAGCTAAACTATAAACTATTTTCCTCCCAAAGTTAGTTCAGTCTACACCAGGAATGTACAAGGACAGAATGGAGGTTAGAAGCAAAATCGGGTCAGTTAGGTCATATCTTTTTCATTGTCTCAGAATTTCGCAATGGTGAGTTTCAGAATTTTAAATAATGACTATCACAGTTTTCAATATAATCTAGGTAAGTGATTAAAATAAAATAATTAGGTAAATGTAATGGGATAATACTTGTAGACAAATTTGTCATAATTTAGAATCTAAAGTTGTATTAAATTAAATAATAGAAATTTCATTTTTAGGTATTTTCCAATAAAATATAGGAAAACATTCTTTTATAAAAAAGTATCCTTTTTAAAAATGTGAACAACTATTTTAACATTCAAAGCTTATTTAAAGATTAGGTATAAAACAAAGGAAAAGGAACCAGGAAATAAGAGCAATGAAAGAATAGAAATAAAGAGGGTTTTTTTTTTTTGTAAGAAAGCTTCAAGAGATATAATTTTATATAAGAAAAAATCTTGTATGGTAAAGTTAGTCCTAGAATAAAATGACTGGTTGTTTAAGAAAGAGGGATGTTCAGGACAAACCAAAAAGTCCAAGTCCAAGCTTGTCATGAATGGTCTGTGTAAGTCATGATAAGAGGTTATTAAAAACTAACAAACAAACAAAAACACTTTTATTTGATCATGCTGTCTACAATTAAAGGGGAATCATCATGTTCTTTCTAGAGATTACGTTTGATGTAAAGAAAAAAACGCTTATACACTAAAGAATTGATTAGAAGAATAGAATTTTCTTAAGGGATTGATTTACTCTTAATAAATTATAAGAGATATTAATTTTTTAACCAAAATTTCACCTTTTATTTGCATCTTGCAGTTTGGTTTCCTCTTCCCCTTTAAAAGGCACAAAATAGTAACACTCTCCTTTAACTCATTTTCAGCTTATATAAGTTTTTTTTCCCCTCAAGTTCTATTTGTTGTGACCTGATGCTAACAGTGTTTCCTTAAAGGTCTAAAGGAAATTATTTTCCAACATAATGTTCTGTGCACGGCAAAGGTCTTTTCTTTTGCCTTTTGGTAACTAGCCTAACAGTTTTTTAAGTTTTATCAAAATAATTCCTATCCCATTATTATTCAGTTTGGGTTTCCTTAGAAAAAAATTAAAAATTTTTAATTAAAGTTATTACATGTGTGTATCTTTCTGTATGTGCTTTTAAAGTCCTTGTGACGTTAAGTTACAAGGCTTGGACTCCTGCATCTAAAAAGTACACTAAGCCCTGCTAAATCTTAAACCCTGACAGGAATTAAAGCCTCATCTTCAGGCTCTGTAGAAGAGATCAATAAAAATAAACTGCATTCCTGAGACATAAGGCCAGAAATTAAAGCTATTCAACTCTTTAAGGCCCAGGGACTATCACGGAAGAGTTGTGGGCATGTGAGACTGTAAGGACTGATTTTGAGAGATAAAATAAGTTAAAGTTTCTCTATAAATTAACCATTAATGTCAAAGGCACACTGATGCAAAACCAGCAAATGAGCCCCTGTGTCAGATTAACAAGGTTTTCTTGAAGCATTAACTGATTCCTTAATAAAGGCTATAAAGGTTATAAAAGGCTTATGGAAGTTATATCTTATGGTCAAGATTACAATTTTATAGATTGTTTATAAAATTTTGGAAAACAAATTTAATTGGTTTTATGCTGTTTTTATTAGTGCTTATTGTTTGGAAAATTAAGTATCCTTTCTCAAATAATGAAGGTTTTCACCTTTTTTTGAAATCCTTGGGTTATCACTTTGGTTAAATGAATAACTTATTTTACAGTAACCTGTGATCCTACTTTGTGATATCAAGTGTTTTAAACCTTTGATATTTGACAAACTTTCCAAAATCAAATTATAAATTATGTCTTTTTCTCACCTAATTAGTCCTTTAAGATATTAGGTGCCCTAAAGTCCAAAAATGAAATATTTGGCTTATTTTCTATAAAAATTATACACGAAGCATTGTCAAATATGAAATAGCATTTGGTTTTCTTTGGGCTGTATTTGTATAAATATGTTATTGGTATGTGTTCCAAAATTATGGGAAACTACTAAAATTCTGATATGGTTCAGTGTCCGTTATCAGTAATAATTATAATTGTTTATATTAAATTATTGTGTGCCACGGAAGTAACAAGTTTCCTTGTCAATTGTGTCTTTGGCTATGGCTGCCCTGAAACTTTTGTCATTCATGGACGATTGTTGTCTTGTTTTGGTCCTCCTTAGAAGGTGGTTTTATAATCAGCAATAAAACTCTAACAGGTGCACATAACTCAGATTGCTGCTATATAATCGTAGAGCAGGGTTATTATGGGTAGTACTGCATCTACCCCAGAGAATGAAATCCAGAGAAGTCCTTCTCCTGCTTGCCAGGCACTCTCAGAACTCAACCTTGTTCTGGAGCAGACACCATTGCCATCAATGTGCCGTAGGCACATTCCTTCTGAGAAGAAGCTATTGTTTTCAGAGGCCAGCAGTAATGAGTAAAGAAAACTGGACAATGATTTCCATTTCAATATTCTTTTAATCTAGCACCCAACATAAAGATTTTCCTTGTGCTTTTTAAGTGCCAGGTGTTAAAGAATCCTTAATCTGGTTGATTCATGAAAGCTGATTAGATAATTCAAAAATTATTGAAATGTGTCCATAAAAGTCACACTACAATAGCGCAGGATCTTTCAGTAACTCTGCTCAAGACTCTATCAATCTGAGATGCCCAAAGGTGACACAAATCCTTTTTTGCAGTAAATCACCACAATACAATAATTTTACTCTCAACTTTTAAACTTGGGTGGATTATCTAAGGCATAAAACTAGAAATAAATATCATTTGTGATATCTCACACATGACAAAAACTGTCCTGTATTTTCATTTAATATCAAAGTAAAATGTGTTACAGAGGCTTTGAAATGATTCTTCTAGAGACAATTTTTAGAATTTGCTTATCTTCTTCTAAGTAAACATGTTTATTTAAACTAATCAGACATACATGAGAGTGGTTAGTTCCATTTAGGTTAGCACTTAAAATTCATGATAGAATAAACCACATAGTATTAAAATCATAGTAATGTGGGTTTAAAACAATATCACTTACAATAATCAATGACTGAGAAAATGACTCAAATATTCTGAATGAAAACAAATGTCAACCACAGCAATGAAGGAATGAGGTAAATAATCATTTAAATGTAATGTATGACCTGGCTTTTGCAGCAGATTAAGCTTGTCACAACCCTAAATTAATGCTAATTTATTATTTTGAAAAACAAAACTGCATTATAGAAGCCAATAATAAGTTTTTCTAATACTCTGAGCATCAATCTCAAGAAATAAAATCCCAAGTGACAAGACTCAGCACATGCATTTAAGTGAATTGGTGTCCGTGCTTCATGAACTTTCTAAATGAGAACAATCAATTGAGCAAAGCAGTAGGATCAATGCACTCTGAGCATTGAAAAGGAGTTGGTCATATTAGTTAAGAGTTTTCTATGATTTATATATTAAATGAGTCTTCATCTGTTCTAACTTTAATGTTAATAGTAATCTACTAACCAATATCTTTTTATAGAAAACATTTGATTTAAAATGTCACTCACGTGTGGCCATTGAATGTTGATTTGCCCAAGACAGAAATCAAGTGTTGTACAAATTCACTTTCTTTTTCAGCCTTCACCTCTTTTACCACTGCTACATGCCCTGTACCTAGAAACGAACACACCCGTGTTCTCATTGTTCCTGCAAACACCCTGCACGCTCCCACATCCATTGCTTTATTTAAGTTCTTCTCTCTCTGAATTCCTTACTCCCTTTTCTGTCTTTGAAGCTTTTAAGTCCTATCATTTCCCTCACTTCCTAGGGAAATTTCTGAAATCACTGTCAGATTTACACTCCCATGCTATGCTTATATTAGAGTTATGTAACACGGCAGTAATTAGAGGCAAGTGTCTACCCTCCATCAATTTAAGTATAATTCTGATAACTCCAAAGTCTGACCAGTGAAAGGATGGCCTTCCCAAGCATTTGGGGATTTGTGAATAGAAATTATTTTCTCCCTACTCACTTCATTGGGATGAAAAGCAGGAAATCTTTTGCCTTCCGAGATAAGAATGAATAATATTCTACTTAAAGGGATGACTAGCATTTCCATTTCCATCTGTGAGGTATTGCTCTTCACAAGAGGACATTAGCTGTGGGGGTCTGTCTGCAGACCCTGACCAAAATAGCGGATGAATAAAACGTACACTGACATGCAGATATTCCATTTTGCTAGTCCAGCTGAGTGTCTGACCGCCTGCACACCAAGAGAGATTTGTCACTGTGGCCGGCCCTGAGCAGCTCGCACTCCAGGCATTTATTTAGTAAAGAATAAACAACAGAAGCTCTGAGTAAACACATTTGTGGATAATTAACATGGTTAAGAGGATATTTCTATGAATGATTGAAGCTCAGCTACCACGGTTTAAAGTAAAAGCCTTTAGGGGGCAATATCCTAGGTCGACCTCCCCCATGAGAGGGCCATCTGGCTCAAAGGTTAGTTAAAGGAGGTAGGGTAAACAGACTTAACTGGGGAAGCCTCTATTGTCCCTCGTATTTCCCTTATGACCTAACACTCTAGGGTAAGAACCAGCTGCCTTCAGCCCGTTCAATTATTACAAGCTATGTAACCTTTTGACCTTCCAAAAAGGTTTGTGACTATTCTCTATAACTTTCCCTTTAAAATTTCTGCCACCATCCTGAGTGAATCCCAGCACAACTCCATCAGGGAATATGGTTAGATGGTGGCTCATTAATAGCTTGCTTCTAAGTAATCAAGATGGAAAAGAGAATCGTGAAGGCTGGGTTCTCAGGTGGTGACCGAGAAGTAGAAGGGTAGGACATTTAAACCTTCAACTACCAGTTCCTGAGATCTGGAAGACAGATTCTATGCCTAGCTGAATGCCCAAGAATTAAGACCTAAAATTTGATTCAGCCTTGTTGCAGTCTGAAGGGTAAAGAAATCACGTATACCAATGAAATGTAAGATGATCTAAGCTGGGGATCAGGAAAAAAGCAACCAAATTTCAGAAAAACACACCAATGCCTAGGAAAGCTGTTGGTGGTAGACTCTCATCAGCACTCATTTTTAATATTCAACTGTTTATTTAAAAACAAGTTATAGGTAAAGCTGAATTTCTGGGGAAATACGGTGCATTCTTTAAATTTTCATTTAAGATGTCCTTTATTATTTACGATCTATATTGGAGGACATGAAGAAACTTTTACTGAACCCACAGGTACTCTAAGTAACTATTTCTGCATTTTCAGTTCATGAGGCAAATAGCAGAGCTTCTAAAGTCAGAAGCACAAAAAAAATTGCCATCTGATCTCTGATTATTTCTCCAAATGTATAGGCCTCTAAGCTTCATAAAAACATCTCTATCTCGTAGGCCCAGTCATTGAGTGCCCCATGATGGCAGTTATGTAACTCAAAATTTCTGTCAAGTTGATTCTCACCTCCAGAATATATCTTACACTTATTATTTCACTAGTGGCATGGATAGAGTGGGCAACAAAGAAAGTCACTCCTTGAATTAGTTTTCTGTTGCTGCTGTGACACATTACCACAAACTTGGTGGTCTAAAACACCTGAAATTTATTACCTTACAGTTCTGTAGAACTGAGGTCCAATATGGTTCTCGTTGGGCTAAAACCGAAGTTTCAGCAGGGCTGTTTTTTTTTTTTTCTTTTTTCTGGATGTCTTAGGGGAGGCTCTACTCCCTGTTCCTTTAGGTTGTCGGCAGAATTTGGTTTCTTACAGGACTGACTAACGATTTCTACAGTCTCCAAGAAATAGGCATGAATATCTCTGGGAGTTAATTGTGCTGGCTACCAAACTCCTGTTGAACACAATCCAAAGGAAGGCAATTTATAGTGACATTTAATATTTTGTAATGATATTATTAACATAACAATGAAAATACATTAGAGAACAACCTATGAAAGCAAGAGTCATTGTTCATTACATGTTCTAACCAGAAGTTAGAAAATAAACCACACAGCTGGATAGAGAGGTACACTTCTGTGCTCATGTCACCAATATTCTTTATGGTATGCTTCTCTCCTTTCTTTTCCTTGTGCCACTTTTATCTTTTTGTATTTCCCAATTAATCTTTTCATTTCAAATAATCTGAAGCTACTGGGGCCAAGAAAAATTTTCAAGAATTATAGTACCATCAAAATTTTCCTGAGGTACTAAGCAAATGGCCACTGTGTGGACACCATCCTCTCGGGGAATTCACTGAAGTGTGAATTCAATGACTGTGAGGCTCACAGAGACACAGGCAGTGTAGATGCCACCTGTGCATTGTGATGGGAGGAAAAACAGACTTTATAACATGGTGCAAAATATTCCAGGTAAGAAAAGATCATCTATTTCTGGAAGTTATTCAGATACGGTTGATAAAATCCAATGAAAGATCCAGACAATAGTCAGTATATAAAAAATTATAATCATAAGTTCTCACAAGGACTGAGCTAGAAAGCAGGGTGTGGAGTGAGTCTGAGAAGAGAAACAATGGAAGAATAAAAGTTTATAAGGCTGCCCTTATTTCAAGATTCAGTAATACTGTTTTGGTTTTATTGCAATTATTCCATGCTAAATTTTTATTTTTTTTTCAAGTGATGATGATTTTAAGAATTTTGGATTTAGCACAGAGTTGAGGTATGCACAGTGTACATACATGTATACATTCTGATTCAAAGTCATGTTATAAGTTTAGAAAGAACACAAACAAGGGTTTAAACTATTCTAATAAGTTCCATATTCTGTAATAAAAGTCATTTTGCTTCCATTAATTAACACCTGCTAAGTACAGATTAGTTAACCTATCTAAAAATGAGGGTTTTTGGAGAGAAAACAGGTGGCTTGTTTTGATAGCTGATCATTGCAATATCTAGTTTTTTTTTTTTTAACTACTATGTGGTCCTCCAGTTTTCTTAGAAATAAAATTATAGGCCACAGTGTTTGGACTGCCAGTCTCATAAATTGATTATGTAATAAAATGTGAAGATTCAAAGGTCCAAATACATACAACATAAACTTAAAAAAAGTATAATAAATATTACTATCCATAATCATTCTATAGTTGAAAAAAGTCATCTTAAAATAATGAAAGCTTATCAACAAATCCCACTAAAATCTTCTTTATTCTCCCTTAAAAATTTATCCAGATTTGAACTACAGATATACCTGAACTTATGATGGATTATGTCCTAATAAACCCATCATAAGCTGAAAATAACATAAGCCAAAAACTGCACTTTATTCACCGAAGCTACTGAACAGTATAGCTTACTTAGCCCTGCTAAATTTAAAGATGCTTAGAACGCTTACATTCTCTTACTGTTGGGCAAAATCATCTAACACCAAGCCCATTATTATAATGAAGTGCTGAATATCCCATGTAGTTTATTGAATACTGTATTGAAAATAATAAACAGAATGAATAATCAGAGTGTCGTTTCTACTGAATGCATCACTTTCACATCATTGTAAAGTTGGAAAATCATAAGTGAACTAACATAAGTCAGGGATTATCTGTATTTCTCACCATCTCCACAATCACTGTATTGGTCAAGTAACAATTTTCTCATTCCTAGGCAACTGGAAGACACTCTAGGTTAGATAATCTTCTGCCCATATCCACTTCAAAATATTTATTACATAGAAGACAAAATGTAAATGTTAAAACATAAACTAGATTATGCCACTCCTTCTAATGGCTTCCCATGATACTCAAAGGAGAAATCAAAGCCCTTATCATTGCCACAATGTGACTATGCCATGATTACCTCTCTGACTTTGCCTTTTACCGATCTTCCTTTTTATTCATTAGATGACTTTGTCTTCCTTGATGTTCCCTGAACACAGCAGGAATATTCCCAGCTTAGGGCCTTGGCAGCTGCTGTTCCTTTGGGCTGGTTTTTAACATTATCTACATGGCTGGTTATCTCACTTTATTCAGATCACTACACAGGCTCACCTTCTTAATAAGGCCTTTTAACACCTCCACCTCTAGTTGCTATCCCCTTGCTCTGCTATAGTTGTCTTCCTAATATTTATCATCTTCCTTCATCACCAAGACAAATATATGGGACTAACTGACATACAAACTGATAATACTATATATGAGTGTGTGTGTGTGTGTGTGTGTGTGTGTGTGAGAGAGAGAGAGAGAGAGAGAGAGAGAGAGTGAGAGAGAGACAGGGACTTATGATGTTTTATCTTTCAAGGTTGTCATGTTGTTCCACTTTTCCTGATTTAATCTATTTAAGAATGTAAGGATTGGGATAAATATGGAAGATAGTAGTTCAGGGTTATTTAGCCAGGGATTATGACCAGTCCTGGGCTTCACTGGCTTGGAAATAGCCCATGGAGCTCATTAGTATTCCCATCTTTTGCTCCATTATTCATCAGTGTCAGCCTTTTTCATGTAACATTTTAGATGTATTGTTATCATGCACTGGATTTCTAAAACAATAGTAATATAAAAATAATTCACTTTTAACCCTGTAATGGGGATGTAATTAGAAGTTATGATTCTTGGCTAGAGACTTAACTCAACCTATAAATTTGTTTACTTAATAAATCTGGAATAAATTGATTAGTTAGTACTCTTATTTTAAAATAACACATTGATTTATGCAGAAAATAGACCTCACTATTCTTATTTTTCCCTGACCAGTACGAAATTACAAGTTCCTATTGGAAAAAGACAGTTGGCTATTTGAAAGGCAATTTGAATGGTCCACAACATCACCATTATGCAAAATTCTCAATCTTTTGATATGCTTATCCATCACTGCCAAGCTCTGGAATAATGTGATTACAGTAATAGAAAGAAATGGTTGTGCTCTTGAAGCAGTAGGTGGCTTTGCCTAGTGCAGATGAATTACTGCCAAGGAATACATTGGTTATGCACAAAACAACTGTATTTTGCTTCCTACAATTTAGTTAAACTACACTATGAATCAGTGGTGCTCAAAATTGGTTGAAAGTCCCATCAAACACAGCAGCAATACCAATATAGATTTAACTCAGCTTGAAATTTGCAAACTGAAGTTAAAAAGCTGCTTTTCGAGATAGGATTATTTTAATAATCTTTTTTTCCTGGCAAAAATCTATAAAATAAAATATGACTTAAATTTGCCAATGTTTTCCTTAATTCCATAAGAGTCAATTGTCTGCCACTTCATTATTACTATCTAAATTGAGCAATATTTATTTATTATATAAAAATATATAACAAATATTTAGCAGGCATTAGGCAATCTTCTACTCACAGAGGACACAACCATAAAAAAGATGAAGTCTTTGCTCCTGAGAGGCTTAAATTTTATCAGGGAAAAGAGACAACACACAAACTATTAGTAAAAAAAAAAAATATATATATATATATATATATATATAAAATTTCAGTTGTAATGAGGAACTATGGAAAAGAAACAAAAACAGATTAACAGTTAAGAGTGACAGGGGTAGAGAAAAACTCTGAGGAACTGACATTTGTGCAGAGACCTAACCATATGAGTGGCAAAAGCATGCAGATAGGAAGGAGAACATAGCTGTGCAGCAAGTACAAAGTCATGCTGTGGAGTGAGCTTGGCTTGGTCAAGAAATAACAAGGATGAGATGATGTAGCATGGTGTGTGGGGACAGAGCATCGACAATGAGATTGATAGGAATGAACTAGGACTAATCTTTTTAGAGACCTGTCATCCATCATAGTCTACTAAAGGGTTTTCAACACGTGAGTGGAAAGAACTACTTGACATTTCAAAGAGTGGGGCAGGAATGAAAGCAATTAGTAGATCTTTGTATCAATTTAGAAAAGAGGTAGTAGCCGTGAGCAATAAGTGGGCAGAACTGGAGGTGGTGAGAAATGTTTGAAATAGGATTTGTTTTAAATGTAGTTCCAACAGATTTGGCCAATATGGAAGAGAAGAGTCAGTGATGACACTGGATTGAGGCCTTGATATTTGGGTGAACAATAACTTTTAAGGAATAAGGGAGCCTAAAAGTAGAGCAGGTTTCAGATGGGGGTAGGCATTATACATGCAATGCATAGTGGCTTTATGAGGATAGTGATGTATCCAAGAGTTTTAGAAAAGGCAAAAGTCCCAACATGTTTCAACACTTTGGCCTCACAGCACTTTGGGAAGCCAAGGCAGGAAGATCACTTGAAGCCAGGAGTTTGAGACAACCTGGGCCACAAAATGAAACCCATCTCTACAGAAAAATTAGAAAGAATTAGCCAGGCGTGGTGGTGCATGCCTGTTGTCTCAGCTGTTCAGGAGGCCACGGTGGGAGGACTGCTTTAGTCCAGGAGGTTGAGGCTGCAGTGAGCTATGAGTCCACTACTGCACTCCAGTGTGGTTGACAAAGTGATATCCTGTTTCCTCCACCCACAGAAAAGCAGAAAAATTAAATTGATGAACTAAACAACCAAATTAAGAAAACATTATGCTTGTTAATTTACAGAAATATCTGGTGATAGATATTTTTTGGCCAAAAATGAATGTAGGAAATGGTATCTCAATGTTTTAAATTTCATTCCCCTGATTCCAGTTATGTTTGTGCATCATTAGTTTGTTAATTGGCTGTGTGTGTGCCTTCTAAGTGTTTTGGCTGTTCTTGTAGGGGATTCTTCTTTTTCTTATAGATTTCTAAAAGCTCATTATATACTCTAGATTCTAATCTTTTGTCAGTGATGCATTTTTTTTTACAAATATCTAATTACCCTATCTATGGATTGTCTTTTTCATTGATTCATGTTTGTCTTATGGTATAGAGACTTTTTAACATGCTTTATTTAGAATAACTATTTCTCCTCTTTT
The DNA here is from genome assembly GCF_000001405.40 of Homo sapiens. Classification (NCBI taxonomy): domain Eukaryota; kingdom Metazoa; phylum Chordata; class Mammalia; order Primates; family Hominidae; genus Homo; species Homo sapiens. Next base: position 167,568,812 of record NC_000004.12, on the reverse strand, counting down.
ATAATGACATGTTTAGAAAATCTCATCTAATTTTTTTTTTTTTTAAATAAGGTGTCTGTCACCAAGGCTAGAGTGCAGTGGCATGATTATGGCTTACTGCGGCCTCCACCTCTCATACTCAAACAATCTTCCTGCTTTAGTCCCAGGTAGTTGGGACTGCAAGTGAACACCACCACACCTGGCTAACTTTTTATATTTTTTTGTAGAGATGGGATCTCACTATGTTACCCAGGCTGGGATTGAACTTCGGGACTCAAGCAATAGGCCTCCCAAATTGCTGGGATTTCAGGTGTGAGCCACCATGCCTGGCCTTATCCTGTTTTTGTATAATGAATTGTTTTACCCATATTTTCTTCTAAGTATGTATCATTTTGTTTTTCATATTTAGTTAATGTACATACCCCAATTTTTTGGTTCATGGATGGAGGTAAAGTTCAAATTTTTTTTGTTAATCCATCTTGCCATTATTTATCTGTAAAGTCATTTGTAATATACTAATCTTCCCAACATGTTTGACAAACCATAGGCTTACTGTTTTGTTTCCAAGATCAATAACCTACTGCTTCATATATTATCTCCTTATAGTCATCTTAATGTCTTATAGATGCTCACTTTTTCCTCTTCTCCAAAGCCCCTACTGTTACAAGTTGGTCTTTTATTTTCCCATGAATATTAAAGTTGGCTTGTCAAATCTGTAAAAAGCTAGTTTGGATTCTAAATAAAGTGGCATTTCATTGTAAATTAAATTGAAAAGAACTGATATCCTAAAGGCATTTAAGTTTTTCCAAACAATAGTATATGTCTACATTTATTAATCTGCTTTACTGACTTTCAGTAGTGTCACAATTTCTCTGTATATGGCTTACCATGCCTTGTCAAATTGATTTCTAGTTATACACCCCAAATATAACCTGTTTTTCTTAATACCATCTAATTGTTATTGGTATTTAGAACTTTTTTTTAATATTAATCATCTTTCAAAAAATTTTACTGGACTTTTATTAATTAAACATGTTTTTCAGTAAATACTATTGGCTTATTGTTGCTATCAATCATTGTTGTTGCTGTTTTATTTATTTTTTTTAGTTCCAGGGTACATGTGCAAGATGTGCAGGTTTGTTACATAGGTAAACCTGTGCCATGGTGGTTGCTGCATCTATCAACCCATCACCTAGGTATTAAGCCCAGCATGCATTAACTGGTTTTCCTGATGCTCTCCCTCCTCTAACATCCCCCAACAGACCCCAGTGTGTGTTGTTTCCCTCCCTGTGTCCATGTGTTCTCAGTGTTCAACCCCCACCTATAAGTGAGAACATGTGGTGTTTGGTTTTCTGTTTCTGTGTTAGTTTGCTAAGGATAAGGGCTGACAGCTCCATCTATGTCCTCGCAAAGAAATGAACTTGTTCCTTTGTATGGCTGCATAGTATTCCGTGGTGTAAATATACCACATTTTCTTTATGCAGTCTATCAGTGATGGGCATTTTGGTTGGTTCCATGCCTTTGCTATCATGAATAGTGCTGCAATGAACATACACATGCATGTATCTTTATAATAGAATGATTTATATTCCTTTGGGTACATACTCAGTAGTGGGATTGCTGGGTCACATGGTATTTCTAGTTCTAGATTTTTAAGGATTCACCACACTGTCTTCCACAATGGTTGACCTAATTTACATTCCCACCAACAGTGTAAAAGCATTCCTATTTTTCTGCAACCTTGTCAGCATGTGTTTTTTCTTGACTTTTTAATAATCACATTCTGAACTGGCATGAGATGATATCTCATTGTGGTTTTGATTTGCATTTCTCTAGTGATCACTGATGCTGAATTTTTATAAGTTTCTTGGCCACGTAAATGTTTTCTTTTGAGAAGTGTCTGTTAAAATCATTTTCCCACTTTTATATGCAGTTTTTTTTTCTTTTTCTTATAAATTTGTTTAAGTACCTTGTAGACCCTAGGCCTTTGTCAGATGGATGGATTGCAAAAATTTTATCCCATTCTGTAGGTTGTTTGTTCACTCTGATGATTGATAGTTTCTTTTGCTGTGCAGAAGCTGTTAAGTTTAACTAGGTCTCATTAGTCATTTTTTGCTTTTGTTGCCATTGCTTTGGCATTTTTTGTCATAAAATCTTTGCCTGTGCCTATGTCCTGAATGGTATTGCCTAGATTTCATTCTAGGATTTTTATAATTTTGGGTTTTACATTTTTCTTTAATCCATCTTGAGTTAATTTTTGTATAAGGTGTAAGGAAAGGGTCCACTTCGATTTTCTGCTTATAGCTAACCAGTTATGCCAGAATCATTTATTGAATAGGGAATCCTTTCTCTGTTGCTTGTTTTTGTCAGAGTTGTCAAAGATCATATGGTTATAGATGTGCAGTCTTATTTATAAATTCTCCATTCTGTTACATTGGTCTATGTGTCTGTTTTTTTTCTACCAGTACCTTGCTATTTTGGTTACTTTAGCTTTGTAGTGTAGTTTGAAGTCTGGCAGCATGATGCCTCCAGCTTTGTTCTTTTTGCTTAGTCTTGGCTACAGAGGCTCTTTTGTGGTTTCATATAAGTTATAGTTTTTTCTAGTTCTGTGAAGAATGTCAAAGGTAGTTTAATGTAAATAGCATTAAATCTATAAATTACTTTGAGCAGGATGGCCATTTTCATAATATTGATTCTTCCTGACCATGAGCATAGAATGTTTTTCCGTTGTTTGTGTCCTCTCTGATTTCCTTGAGCAGTAGCTTGTAGTTCTCCTGGAAGAGGTCCTTCACTTCCCTTGTCAGCTGTATTCCTACGTATTTTACTCTCTTTCTAGCAATTGTGAATGGGTGTTCATTCATGATTTGGCTCTTTTCTTGTCTGTTGTTGGTGTATAGGAATGTGTATGATTTTTGCACATTGGTTTTGTATCCTGAGCCTTTGCTGAAGTGGTTTATCAGCTTAAGAAGCTTTTGGGCTGAGACAGTGGAATTTGCTCTATATAGGATTAAGTTATGTGCAAACAAAGACAATTTCACTTCCTCTCTTCCTACTCGAATGCCTTTATTTCTATCTATCTCTTGCCTGATTGCCCTGGTCAGTACTTCCAACAGTATTTTGAATAGGAGTGGTGAGAAAGGGCATTCTTGTATTGTGCTGGTTTTCAAGGGGAATGCTTCCAGCTTTTTCCCATTCAGTATGATACCGGCTTTGGGTTTGTCATAAGTTGCTCTTATTATTTTGAGGTATGTTCCTTCAATACCTCGTTTATTGAGAGTTTTTCACATGTAGGGGTGTTGAATTTTATTGAAGGCCTTTTCTATGTCTATTGAGATAATCATGTGGTTTTTGGTTTTACTTCTGTTTATGTGATGAACCACATTTATTGATTTGTGTATGTTATACCAACCTCGCATCCTGGGGATGAACGAAACTTGATTGTGGTAGATAAGCTTTTTGATGTGCTACTGGATTCAGTTTATCAGTATTTTATTGAGGATTTTTGCATCAATATTTGTATTAATGTGATAATTTGGCTCTTTCTGACATTTAATATCATTTTCTAATTGGCATTTCTTAAAATCAGCTTTTCAAAATATGTATATAGCTTATGTCTAAACTTTTACAAAAACAGAAAAAATATATTTCTAAAAAGCAATAAAGAACTTAAATGATAACTAATTTTATCATCATTTTCATTTCACTGCCAAAAGGAAACATATCTTAATTTCTTCAAGTACCTCTATATTCTGAATAAAAATACAATTCCATAAATCAAATTGAAAATATTAAATTACTGTTTATTGATTACTATTTCACCATATTAAGAATTTTAGGATATCCTAGGAAAATTCCAGTTGATAAAGAAACTAAAATATTTATCCCCTTTTAGCAATTAAATTTAGTAATTTTAATTATATTATTGATATATCAGAGGCAAGTGTAAAGGGGCATATTAATATTTCTCCATTATCAAATACTTTCTTCAAATCAAAATTTTAAATTATATTTCAGAGAGAATACTTAAAATACTTAAATTAATAATTGTTTCAAAGCACTTGGCAAGCATGTCACCTTGATATGCTAAATTAAGACATACTTAGATTTCTTTTAAGTCCCTAAGTACCAAGTTATTGTAGAATCATAGGCCCTCTTAGCAAGCTGTTGGACAATGATGTTAGCCTAATTAAAGTGGTTGCAGAATGACTGAAGATAATATAACCAAACTCTTCTTAGAACAACGACACAGTGTAGACCATTTTTTAATATTAAGGAGCATTTATTATATGTTTGTGAGATTTATATGCTTTTTCAAATACTATTAAATTACTCAGATTACAATGACATTAGAGCTGCCTCTATATGCTGATGTCTTATACTGAGCAGAAAAATGGTGTTAAGGAACATAATAACATATATAAATATAGTAACTAGCAGGTTTATGGTCACCACAACAACATTCTTGAATTTTCAATATTGCTTTTATCTGTTGGCTGACAGAGAGCACAGTCTTAACAGCCACAGTTTATAAAACAAAATAATAATAGTTTAACTGTATTGAATGCTTACAGTGTGTCAATACCTGTGATAGGAGTTTTGGACATATTATCTCATTTAATCCTAACTATAGCTCTATTAATTTTTATTATATCTCTATTTACAGATAAGTATACTGAGGTCTAAAATGTCCATGGTTACATAGCCAGTCATTGCAACCTTAGCAAACATTTTGTTACAACTTTTCTCTAATTTTTCAAATGTCTACCTTGGTACAATTACCTTTTCAGTGATTAAAATAAATACTCAACTGATATTGGATCAATATCAGTATATCATATATAAGGGAATGTTTTAGATACTATGCCATATAAATTTGATAAAATGTTTTGAGGTAGGTGTCATTTTAAATTATACTACAAATGAGAATGTTGAGTTTTGGAAAGTTAGATGATTGGTCCAGTGTTATTATTTCGGTACATAATTGAGTCTAGATGTAAAAATATAAATTACTACTTTACCATTTTTTCCCCTATAAGGCATATATTTCCCAAGAACTCAATGAACAGATCAAATCTTAAATTACAATTAAATAAAAGCCAACTTTATAGTTTTTTATTCTCTTAGAAAGGAGCATTATCATTAATAACCTTTGGGGGGATAAAAAACATTGGGAAAAAAGACTTTGGTTTATAAACTAGTAGGATAGACACTACTCTAATAGACAGTTTTTAGTAGGGTTTGTGTGGGTAGGTGTGTGCTACTGGAAATAAAGGTAAAACAAATTATACATATGGCACAGATAAAACAATGTTAAATCTTTTCATGAATATTCACTATTTCTCAAGATTTCATTAAAATTCTCTATTTTATATATTAAACTGAAGAAAAAAATGCCACCAATATTTGGAATTCTATAAAGAAATATATAACCTACACCTACAAAGGGAAGCCCCACAGACTGACGGTAAACCTCTCAGCTGACACCTACAAGCCAGAAAAATTGGGTGCCAATATTCAACATTCTTCAAGAAAATAATTTCCAACCCATAATTTTATATCCAGCCAAATTAAGCTTCATAAGCAAAGGAGAAATAAGGTCGTTTTCAGAAAAGCAAATGCTGAGGAAATTTGTTACCACCAGATGTGCCTTAAAAGAACTACTGAAGGAAGCACTAAATATGGAAGGGAAAGACCATTACCCCCCCCACTACAAAAACACACTGCAGTACACAGACCAGTGACACTATAAAGTAACCACATAAACAAGTCTGCAAAATAACCAGCTAACATCATGATGACAGGATCAAATCTGCACATATAAATACTAACATTAAAATGGGCTAAATGCCTCAATTAAAAGACACAGAATGGCAAGCTGAATAAAGGACCAAGACCCATTGGCATCCTGTCTTCAAGAGACCCATTTCACAGGCAGTAACACACATAGACTCAAAATAAAGGGATTGAGAAAAATCTAACAAATGGAAAATAGAATAAAGCAGGGGTTGCAATCCTAGTTCTGACAAATCAGACTTTAAACCAACAAAGACCATAAAAGACAAAGGAGGGCATTAAATAATGGTAAAGGGTTCAATTCAATATGAAGATCTAACTGTCCTAAATTTATGTGCATCCAACACAGGAGCACTCAGATTCACAAAGCAAGTTTTTAGAGACCTTCAAGGAGACTTAGAATCTCACACAATAATAGTGGGAGACTTTTATACAACCACTGACAATATTAAACAGATCATTAAGACAGAAAGTTAACAAAGATATTCAGGACCTGAACTTAGCACTGGATCAAATAAACCTGATAGATAATATATAGAACTCTCTACCAGGAAACAATGGAATATATATTCCTCTCATCAAATCATGGCACATACTCTAAAATCAATACAATAATTGAAAGTAGAACACTCCTCAGAAAATGCCAGACCACAGTGCAATCAAATTAGAAATCAAGATGAAGAAATTCACTCAAAATCATACACTTAACATGAAAATTGAATAACATTCTCTTCAATAACTTTTTGGTAAATAATGGAATAAAGGCAGAAATCAGGAAGCTCTTTGAAACTAATGAGAAAAAAGTTCTTTGAAACTAATGAGATAAAAGAAACAATATGCTAGAATCTCTGGGACACAGCTAAGGCAGAGTTAAAAGGGGAATTCATAGCACTAAATGCCCACTTGAAAAAGTTAGAAAGATCTCAAGTGAACAACCTAACATTGCAACTAAAAGAACTAGAGAACCAAAGGCAATCAAATCCCAAAGCTAGCAGAAGACAATAAATAACCAAAATTGGAGCTGAACTGAAGGAGATTAAGACATGAAAAATAATTCAAAAAATCAAAGAATCCAGTAGCTGATTTTTTGAAAAAAAAAAAAAAGGTAGCTAGATCAATAAAAAAGAAAAGAGAGAAGATTCAAATAATCACAATCAGAAATGACAAGGGGGATATTACCACTAACCCCACAGAAATATAAACAATCATTGGAGAATATTAGAAGCAGCTCTATGCACATAAACTAGAAAATCTAGAAAAAAGGGGTACATTCCTGAACACATACAGTCTCCCAATACTGAACCTGGGAGAAATTGAATCCCTGAACAGACCAATAGCAAGCTCTGTAATTGAGGCAGTAATAAACAGCCTTCCATAAGAAAAGCCCAGTACCAGACAAATTCACAGCTGAATTCTACCAGATGTACAAAGAAGAGCTGGTAACTACTGAAACTATTTCAAAAAATTGAGGATAAAGGACTCCCTCCCAGATTATTCTGACTCCCTCCCAGATTGTTCTATGATGACAGCATCATTCTGATACCAAAACTTGGCAGAGACACACACACAAAAAGGAAATTTCAGCCAATATCCTTGATGAACATGAATGCAAAGATCCTCAGCAAAACACTGGCAAACTGAATCCAGTAGCACATCAAAAAGCTTATTCACCATAATCAAGTAGGCTTTATCCCTGGAATGCAAGGTTGGTTCAACCTACACAAATCAATAAAGGTGATTCATCACATGAACAGAACTAAAGACAAAACCACGTGATTATCTTAATAGATGCAGAAAAGGCTTTTGATAAATTTCAATACTCATTCGTGTTCACAACTCTCAATGAACTAAAATTGAAGGAACATACCCCAAAATAATAAGAGCCATTGATGACAAACCCACATCATACAAAATGGCCAAAAGCTGGAAGCATTCCTCTTGAAAACAGGCCCAAGACAACAATGCCTTCTCTTACCACTTCTAATAGTATTGGAAGCAAGAGAAAGAAATAAAGGAAATCCAAATAAGAAGAAAGGAAGTCAAACTATCTCTGCTTGCAGATGTTATGATCCTATATATAGAAAACCCCATTGTTTCAGCCCAAAAGCTTCTTAAGCTGATAAACAACTTCAGCAAAGTCTCAGGATACAGAATAAATGTTCAAAAATCACTAGCAATACTATATACTACCAAAAGTCAAGCTGAGAGCCAAATCAGAAACAAACTCCCATTCACAACTGCCACAAACAAAAAAACAGAATTCCTAGAAATACAGCTAACACGGTAGGTGAAAGATCTTTACAAGGAGAACTACAAAATACCACTCAAATAATTCAGAGATGACACAAACAAATGAAAAAATATTCCATGCTCATATATAGAAAGAATCAATATCATTAAAATAGCCATAGTGCCCAAAGCAATTTATAGATTCAATGCTATACCTATTAAATGATCATTGGCATTCTTCACAGAACTAGAAAAAACTATTTCAAAATTCACATGGAACCAAAAAAGAGCCTGAAAAGCCGAGGCAATCCTAAGCAGAAAGAACAAAGCTGGAGGCATCACGTTACCCCAGCTATAGTACAAAGCTACAGTACTATAGTACAAAGTACTTTGTAACTATAGTACAAAGCTACAGTAACCAAAACAACATGGTACCAGTACAAGAACAGACACATATAATAATGGACCAGAATAAGGCCATATACCTACAACTATCTGATCTTTGATAAACCTGAGAAAAACAAGGAGTGGGGGAAGGATTCCCTGTTCAATAATTGTGCTGACATAATTGGCTAGACATATACAGAAGGCTGAAACTGGACCTTTTCCTTACACCACATACAGAAATCAACACAAGATGGATTAAAGACTTAAATGTAAATGTAGAACCCAAAACTATAAAAACCCTGGAAGACAACCTAGGCAATACTGTTCATGACATGGGCACCGGCAAAGATTTCATGACAAAGATGCCAAAAACAATTGCAACAAAATTGTTAGAAATAATTCTAAAATTCATATTGAACCACAAAAGAGCCCACATAGACAAAGCAAGGCTAAGCAAACAGAATAAATCTAGAGGCATCACACTACCTGATTTCAAACTATACTATAAGGCCATAGTCACCAAATCAGCATGGTACTGGTATAAAAATAGGCACATAGACCAATGGAATAGAATAGAGAACCCAGAAATAAACCCACATACTTACAGCCAACTGATCTTCAACAAAGAAAACAAAATCATAAAGTGGGGAAAAGACACCTTTTTCAACAAATGGTGCTGGGATAATTGGCTAGCCACATGCAGGAGAATGAAACTGGATCTTCATCTCTCACCGTATACAAAAATCAGCTCAAGAAGAACTTAAACCTAAGACCTGATATTGTAAAAATTCTGGAAGATAACATTGGAAAAAAACCCTTCTAGACATTGGCTTACACAAGGATTTCTTGACTAAGAACCCAAAAGCAAATGCAATAAAAACAAAGATAAATATCTTGGATGCAATGAAACTAAAGAGCTTTTGCACAGCAAAAGGAACAGTCAACAGACAACCCACAGAGTGGGAGAAAATCTTCACCTCTATACATCTGACAAAGGACTAATCCAGAATCTACAACAAACTCAAACAAATCAGTAAGAAAAAAAAAAAAAACAAACAATCCCATGAAAGAGTGGGCTAAGGACATTAATAAACAAGTCTCAAAAGAAAATATACAAATGGCTAACATACATATGAAAAAATGCTCAACATCACTAATGATCAGGGAAACGCAAATCAAAACCGCAATGTGATACCACCTTACTCCTTCAAGAATGGCCATAATAAAAAAAAATAAAAAAAACAGCGGTTGTTGGCATGGATGCAGTGATCAGGGAACACTTATACACTGCTGGCAGAAATGTAAAGTAGTACAGCTTCTATGGAAAACCGTGTGAAGATTCTTCAAAAACTAAAAGTAGAACTACCATTTGATCCAGCAATCCCACTACTGGGTATCTACCCAGAGGAAAAGAAGTCATTATTCAAAAAAGATACTTGCACATGCATGTTTATAGCAGCACAATTCACAATTGCAAAATCATGGAACCAACCCAAATGCCCATCAATCAAGGAGTGGATAAAGAAACCGGTATATATATATATGTGATGGAATACTACTCAGCCATAAAAGGGAATGTATTAATATAATTTGCAGTGACCTGGATTTGACTGGAGACTATTATTCTAAGTGAAGTAACTCAAGAATGGAAAACCAAACGTCATATATTCTCATTGATATGTGGGAGCTAAGCTATGAGGACGCAAAGGCATAAGAATGATACAGTGGAATTTGGGGACTTGGGGGAAAGACTGGGAGGGGTCAAGGGATAAAATACTATGAATGTGGTGCAGTGTATACTGCTTAGGGGATGGGTGCACCAAAATCTCACAAATCACCACTAAAAACTTACTCAGGTAACCAAATACCACCTGTACCGCAATAACTTATGGAAAAATAAAATAAAAATAAAAATTAAAAAAGGAATTGAGGACATAAAAAAATTGATTGAGGCAATTCAAATATTATAAAGACGAGTAAATGCATCCACACTTCAGACAACTAGTCTTTCAAAAAACATATACTGCTTATATATTAAGTGTTCTCTAGGTATCTGGAAAGATAAACCTACATAGGCTGGGCACAGTGGCTCATGTCTGTAATGCCAAAATTTTGGGAGGCTGAGGTGGGTGGATTGCTTAAGCCCAGGAGTTTGAGACTCGCCTTGGAAACAAGCTGAAACCCCATCTCTACAAAAATTGGCCAGGCATAGTGGCAGGCACCTATAGTCCTAGCTACTAAGGAAGCTGAGGTGGGAGGATCACCTGAGCCCAGGAAGTCGAGGCTACGTTGGGCTGTGATTGTGCCACTGCACCCCAGCCTAGGTGACTGAGTGAGACCTTGTCTCAAAAAAAAAAAAAAAAGATAAACTTACATAGGAAATATGATTGTAACCTGTAATAACTATCTTTCATATACTAATAAACATAAATATTATATATGTGTGTATATTATATTATATATTATATACTATATTATATATATAAATACCTTTATGTTCAAATACATAATTTGCATTTTGAACATGCATTGGCTTATATACAAAAAATTTGCTTGCTCACCTGGGCCAAGTTTGGACATATAAAATAATGCCAATACTAAATTGAAACAGTAACATTGGCCTCAGGAGAACTGTGTTCTTAGAAGTGAGCTAACAAAATGCAATATGCATATGCCTTTCCAAAATAATTGTGAGGAGAAGGGTCATGTAATACAAATAAAATATGTGATGTAGTCACTGATGTTTTGAAAAATAAACATGAAGCAAATGTTAGTGAAGAATAAATGTACAGGCAGGTGTACTACTACTCATTTTATTTAATTTTATCCATTAAGGTATTATCTCTGTCTGATTAGGAATCTATTATGTAAAAACAAAGTTTCCTGAGACCTGTGGGTTGTCATCCTGTTCTTCATTAAGCTCCATTTGGTATGGCAAGGAGGGAGGTAAGAGTCCTAATAATAAAGTTTTTCTATCTGAGGATGCATTTACATCCTTCTTGAAATTAAATCTAGTCTATGTTAAATTTCTTTCGATGTGCTTCAGTGGAGTTTCAGTAAATCTAAACCAAATTCAACCTGATGTTCTAACTTTGGCAGCCAAAATTCATAAAATCTTGGTAGGATTCAACTAAGGGAAGGGACTCATTAACTGTGTGCTAAAATATTATATGCTATATGCACTAATTACAAAGGCTATCATGTGCTAAAGTGTAGAAAAAAGATTGATCTGAATGTGAAGAAAAGATCCATATTGGCTTGAACAATGCATAAGGATGTTAACTCATTAAAGTTTGTCCTACAGGCTTGCTCATACAGGTAGCCCATAACAGCTGCTTATTCAGTCTTACAGTGGAAGGAATGACACTTGAAGCTCTCTAGATAAACTCCGTAGGAATCAATTCAATTCTATTATTTCATAGAGAAGATGGGAACTAAACAACCTCAATTGCAAAACTCCATCTGGTAATATCAAGTCAATTTACCACTTACTGCATTCACAGCTTAGCATTTAACTCAGAGCTATCAAATAGTCAACCAAGGAATTGTCTGGCAATCATCCAGGGTACTTAGCAGCTTTGTTAAAAATGTTAAGACATAACAAAAAGGAATAGGTTAGTGTACAATATGCTTTCTATGACGATTAAATATTATATAGGATGTGAATGTATAAATATATGTGTATATCAGTGGTGTACTTAAGAGAGTTTGGACATATTTTGCATAATCCCACCTCACTATTGCAAACACGTATTCAGTAATATTCATGAAATAAATTATAATGACATAGAAAAAGTACAGACAGTAAAACCTCATAAATGAGCCCAAATATAAGACCCTCTGCTTTTTTCCTTTCTATCTGAGTGCAATATAACAGGACTTTGCGTAGCCATTTTGTCACAGCCTTTCTAAACATGGCACTAACAAATTTTTAAAATAAGAAAAAATTGGCTGGGCACAGTGGCTCACGCCTGTAATCCCAACACTTTGGGAGGCTAAGGTGGGCAGATCACAAGAGGTCAGGAGTTAGAGACCAGCCTGGCCAACATGGCGAAACCCCATCTCTACTAAAAATACAAACAAAAAATTAGCCAGACATGGTGGCACATACCTGTAATCCCAGCTACTAGGGAGGCTGAGGCAGGAGAATTGCTTCAACCTGGGAGGTGAAGGTTGCAGTAGCCAAGATTGTGCCACTGCATTCCAGCCTGGGTGACAGAGCTAGACTCTGTCTCAATAAAATAAAATAAACAAAATATTTAAAAATTAAATTTAGAAAAATGTTAAAAAAAAGAAATTTAAGTAGTAAAATAAAAATAAATAAATAAAACATGGCACTAACAATTCAAGGATACAACTTCATATTCTGGTGCTCTTGGGGTTACCACGTAGAACTTAGTTATTTTGAAGACCTTGCTGAAAAACATCAGTAACGGTTTAAAAAATATTACTAAAATGTTGTTTCATTTTTGACATGAGACTTCAATTTAAGTAGAAATCTCTCTTCCAGTGTGCTTTTGGTATCACTTTTAATGCGCTGTTAGTGTCCTTGCCCCACCTGCACCTCCAGGCCAACCTGTATTGTGTCATGAACATAAGCCACACCAGGCCACTTACAAAGGCATCAAGCCATGTACCAGTTTGATAAACTTTCCATTGACTTCTCTGTATTCATTAAGACTCAGCTGTTAGAAACATACCTACCTACCTTTTCCAAAAGCACCATCTCACCCGTGATAAAGCCACCATAAACTCAACTAACTTTTCAAAGTCAAATCTTAAATGGCCTATTTTACTCATGGCTGAAGTCACCTAATCAAGTCCTCACCAGGGCTGTGTTTTCCAACTGTTATTTTGAGCATCAAATTTCACTTCCTTTCTCTTTCTCAATGTATCTGCTCAGTGTATCACATGCTGAAGTTTAAATAGCTAATAAGTAACCCTAGCTTCCTGCCTGATTACAAAATAATTTAATAACAGAGGGACAGATCCAGCAAGTAGGGAGTGAAATATCACTTTCTTATTCATAAAGCTGACATCAGAATACATAGCAAATATCTGACAATGAAAGACTTGCTAATACTTTGCTTGATTAGACAAATTTGCTAGTCACAGATGTTTCAATGTAGAGTAACTATAAGGCCTGTTCCTAATACAGATAATAAAAAGTTGAAAATACCATAAATATTCAGCAAAACTAAACTTGTTATGTGAATCATGGACATGATTTTCAGCCATTTAAAGGAATGAGGCAGCTACAATTTGTGAGTATGTGTGTGTGTGTGTGCGCATGCATGTATGTATATGTATATACACATACATATACATATACATATATACACATACAAGCATATGTATGTGCACTGAATGACAGCATATTGAATGAAAGCATGCATACATATATGTATACACATACATGAACACATATATACACATGCTTTCATTGAGTTTATCTAAAGTCTTCCCATTCAGTATTAATGTTTCTGATCTTTGATTTTTCAAATATGCAACTATATTCTTAATGTCTTCTGGTTAAAATATACTAACAATAAATTTATTTAATTTGTTGTAATACTGTTTTCTGATTATCATTTCACATTTCAGCCATTTTTCTCACAGTGAGAATTCCTTTTTCTCAATCGTGTTTTTTAAAGCAGAAAATTGAGGCTCTTAAGCATTGGTTATTCACTTTAGTACACATTATAAAGTTTTGGATTAACTATTGCATGACTAAATGCACCAAAAAAACAAAAATGTTTGCCTTCAGACTTCGGATGCTTAATTTTAAAGTAAGCTGATCATGATGACATAGTATTTTTAGCTAATCTCTCACAGAACAAAAGCAGGGAAAGTTTAACTGTTAAAAACAGAGAAAGTAACTCATATTTTTAATAATCTTCTAGATGACATATTTTTATATTTTACTCACAAAGGTAAATAGATTATAATTGACATACGTCATAAATATCTGAAAAGAGCTGCTCTTAGGTATGAAAGGGTAACTCTATACCCTTGTCTTTTTGTTTGCCTTAACTTTCATGATTGCCAGTACTTTCCATCTTTCATTTCTTTACAGTGATAATTTTCACCATGTGCCTTTTTTGCAAACATTAATTCAGCTAAAACTAGACAACAAAATTTATAAATTCACTTTAACCAAGTACATCTTTATTAAATTATGACACTAACCAGAAACAAAGCCAGAAATCCAAGAGCCACTGACAATTCCTCTGCCTCATGTGACCCTCATCCTTCTCTCAGGAAACCTTGAGTCCTCTCATTGACTTATGAAAGATGGAAGATGCCGCTGGCTAAAACAAATATTGAACACTACTAACATTCAATGTCATATTTAGATCAAAACACCTAATATTTTCTTCCCATACCTCAATGTACTTTTTTCTGTATTCACTCCAAAGCATATTTTCTCAGTTTCAGAACTTGGTAATATGTTGTCCTCTTAGATTTATAACCTAGCACTCAACCCAAACAAACACATGCACACAAATACACACACACAGGCACACACTGTCTCTCGCATGCACACATATGCACACACACATTCTCTCTCACATATACACTCACACACACATCCTAAAATGCACATTCCCTCATGGTTTTGTCACACCCATTTTTTTCTCTCTCCCATAAACAGCTTTATCACCTTCTGCTTGTACTCAAGTTACTCCCTCTTCTGAAATTGCTGGTTTCTTATCTGCCTGTTAAAATTCCACCTGACTTTCCAGCCTCACCTCACTCCCTATTTCTCTTAAAAATATCTCCTATTTCCCCCATGTAAGAATAAAGATCTCCCTTCTCCATATTTTCTCAATGGTTTGAGATCTCAGGATCTGCTTCTAAGAACAAAATTAAGCTCTGCTAAGTATAAGGCGTTTACTTAGTAATGTATATTTACTAAGCTTATTTTGCCTAACCATGAGGCTTCTGTTGCAGATTAAGTAAAATAGGCAAGCCTAAAACCTTACAGGACAATGAAAAAGAAGATTTACAGAAGGAGTGTGTGGGTAGTCATAGTGTGAAGAGAAGAGGGATCAGAGGATAGAATAACTCAAGAGAGAAATTGGCACATCAGTTGGGAAAAGATGGTCTTTTGAACAAATGTTAGTGGAAAAATTGAATGTACACATGGAAAAAACAAAAATAATTTTTACCATCACACTACCACATATACAAACATTATTTCAAGAGGAATTGTAGATGTAAATCTGAAAAAAAAAATCTGCTATAACACTTCCACTAAAAAAATAAGAGAATACCTTTAAGGATGCCATTATTACTTTGGGTGAAAAAAAGTTTATTAACTTAAAAAGGCACTTGGCAAAAAAATAGATTAAAATGTTGATTGCATACAAGCTTAAAACTTCTATTCATCAAAGGATATCCTTTGGTAAGGGAGAAAGCAAGAAATGAAGTAGAAAAAATATCGTATGAATAACAATTCATAGATTATAAAAGAGTTAGGCAATATAAAGAACTATAACATATTTTAAAACTCCCACAAATAAATAAATTGAAAGATGACTAAATAGAAAACGAAATAGTCAAAAGGCAAAGAAAATGGGATTGAATCTCCAGGTGAATGCAAATTTAAACTGCAATGATAAATATACCTATATTCTCCACTAAATGGTAAAAAAATAAGGCTAACAATGCCAAATTTTGGAATTAAGGTGAAGTAATGTCAACTTACATAAATAAAAGTTTATATACTTATATACAGTGATAATATCATATAATATTAGCATATTTTTATAATATTGATATGGTTAGGCTGTTTCCCCACCAAAATCTCATCTTGAATTTCTACATGTTGTGGGAGGGACCAGTGGGAGGTAATTGGATCATGGGGGCAGGTCTTTCCTGTGCTGTTCTGTTCTCATAATAGAGAGATAAGTCTCATGAGATCTGATGGTTTTAAAAAGGGAAGGTTCCCGGCACAGTTTCTCTTCTGTTGTCTGCCACCATGTGAGACCTGCTTTTCACCTTACACCATGACTTTGAGGCCTCCCCAGCCGCGTGGAACTGTAAGTCCAATTAAACCTCTTTCTTTTGTAAATCGCCCAATCTCGGGCATGTCTTTATCAGCAGTGTGAAAATGGACTAATAAAAATATTAATATAAATTTGTAAATGTTAATACAACTCCTTTGGAAGGTTTTACCTGGCAGTTTGTACTAAATCTAAAAATTCATATATCTTCTATCATGACAATTCACCTTCTAGTATATATGAATAAAAATGTACACATTTGTTCACTAAAATATATGTAGAAGCGAGATCACAGCAATGCTATTAACAACCCACGTGTCCACGAAGAAGCAAACAGAAAATCCAATTGTGTTATATTCACACAATCATATACAGGCAGCTCTTGCTTTGCATGGTAATGCAAGACCTTCAAAAGGATCATGCAAGCTAGGACTGTGCCAAATGGTCATAATTATCAATAATAATAGTAGGAGTGTTATGGAACATATGGTTGCTCCATTACTTTTGCAAATATGTCAAAAATTTTAAAACTCTCTGTCAACTACAACTGTATATGGAAATGAAACATGCAGTGAAACTAGTATTTGTTTGGAATATTGTGATTTAAAGTATTAGATATGGAGAATTAAATATTATATTTCTTTGTAAAAGACTTATCACAAGTAGTTTGAATAGTGTTACCTTCTCATCACATAACTTATTCATAATATTTCTATGTCTTGGTGAATTCTCATACTTCTTTCTTCTTAAGAGTAGATATGCCCCTGATATTTCTCATTCCTGGAGCTTTTAATGTCATAAAATATGTCTGAGAGTTTCTCTAGTGTGATTTTGCTGATCACTTCCTCTTGGGCATCTCCATCCTCTCACACTTTCCTCATTTCTGTAAATAAGTCTGCCTTCACTAAGTTCTTGGAACTGGAATGGCAGCAGTGTCAACATTCCCTAGTAAGCTATTCATTCTGTAGCTCCACTGACATTCTATTTAGATTCTGCAAAGTTATTTTCACCATATAATAAAAGTGTCAGCCATGATATGTACAATTCAAAGAGCAAATGGATTAGTTTTATGTTGCTGCAGTAACATATTACCAAAAATGTGGAGGCTTAGAACAATACAAACTTATCATCTTTACACTTTTGTGAGTTAAAAGCCTGACACAGGTCTCAGTGGGTTAAAATCAAGTTGTGTGCAGGACTGGGTTCCTTTCTGGATGCTCTAGGAGAGAAGAATCTGTTTCTTGTCCTATTTCAGCTCCTAGAGGCTGCTGATACACCTTGGCTCATACTCTACCCCTTTATCTTCAAAGCTAGTAACATTGCATCTTTCTGACCATTCTTCCATAGTCACATTTCCCTCTAAGCTTGCTGTGGAAGGTTATTCATTTGTAAGATCATATACGATAAGATGCACTCACCTTGTTAAGCTTTCTTTGACTGTCACCTTCTGTCTTCCTCCTATAAAAACCTTGTGATTACATTAGGCCCAGCTGGATAATTCAGGATATACTCTCTAACTCAAGGTTTGTAATTAAATTACATCTGCAAAGTACCTTCTGCCATGTAAAGTAACATGTTCACAGGTTGCAAAGCTTAGGACATTGACATTTTGGGAAGTGTATTCCACCTAACACAAGAAGTAAACACTCCACTTTGACCATACACAACTTTTTGTTCCTAGAGCGAATAAAATAAAATATGTTAAAGAGATGTTACTTTGTTTGTTTTATTCATTGTACATTTTCAATGTGGTCTGTACCACAATTTCACACAGACCCAGGTTTCCTCCTAGCATCGCTTTGCTATTGCCATTTTTGAATCTCCTAATCATAATCAATTTCACTTCCAGCATTCTTGTGTTTTTCTTTTCCTTTGCTGCACTTTTGTCTTTGTTGGACCATTCTCTCCCTTGATTATACTTTTTTTTTTCTTGTAAAATGCCACATGGATTTATCACTGGGGTTACCAGTGATAAAGGAGGCAACACAACTATGTACTTTGCTATCTGTGAATGCATTAGATAAGAGATCCGCAGGAACAATCACTGCCAGACTTTGAAAGTCCATCCCCCGACTATGGTGCTCATTTGCTATTTATTTACTGATTAGTGGATGAAAGGGCTGACAGTGAATTTTGCACTTTATGCAAATACTCACACTTCATAGACCGTGGAAAGTGAAAATGGAACCATGTTGTTAGCGATTGGTGTCATGTACCTAAACTGTGATAACAAATTTGTGTATATTGGAACCACGTAGAGAAAGAACAGTCTGAACTATAGCCTTGACAGTGAACAAATGAGCAAGGAAAATGGAGTTCTAGTCTTAGCCTATTATGAATTTAAATCTAACCTTGTGAAAATCAACTGACTTGTCTAGACATCTGGACCTCATTAGTAAAATGCAGGATTTAGATGAAATGATCCTTAATGTCCTTCCAAAATTCCAAGTTTCTATAATTCTTTGACTAAAGCAAGATGCTTTCTTCATTGGATGCACTAATAATAGACTCTCACCAGACTGGAAGATGATTTATACAATTCAGTGACAAGAAGATTTGTGTTCCTTTACACAAAAGAAACAATTATCAGTAATGTTTGTTGAAAAATAGATAAATGTTATGTTTACACTCTTTGATTTAAACTGTAGTTCTCACAATAGGAATAAAAAATATGAAATCTTCTATGTTAAACATTAGCTGTAAAACAATATCAAAATTTGGCACCCTGACATTCATAAAATGATTTCTGTCTCACTGTGATAGAAACTATGATTTGTTACATACTCTGCTATGCAACCACTTTGATCTGGGCTCCAAGTAAAAGTTCACATTTTCTAATAGGTGAGTATAAAAGTTATGATAATTTTTTTTTCAAATGAAAGTTGGACTGTAGCAGTTGTACCTATATAATGGCAACCAATGAATGAAAAAGGATGAAACATTCTAATAGGGTTCCAATATATTGACAGAGTAACTGTACAGGTGTGATAGGTTTTAATCTTCACTTATACTATTTCTATACAAGAGAATTATTTTTCAATTACCAGCCATAAAAAAAAATACGTGACAAACATTCTACCTTCTGTACTACCTCACTCCCTCTCTGTAACCCCAGGAAAGAGTGAAATACCTTACTGGTGAGTTTGGGAGGGAAACATTGAACTTTTCCTTTTCTGTTTGTGTTTACCCTTTACCCTTTTCCGTCTGCATTTTAGACTCAGACTGGCTGTTAAAGCATCCTCTACTACTCCATTTCCTAGCATTTGCTGCAAGATAGTTTCCACCCATGGACAAGGCTATGCAGGAGTGGTTATGAGCAAGCCCACCTGCCCATAGAAAAATAGCCATATTCTCAATCTGTATTACTAATAAATTAGCATTTGGGTCTCTGCCTTTTTGTGTGCCATATTTCTCAGTGGTTCTGAATTAAGGAGGAAAAATGTGATTTATTTGCCACATAAATTCTCAATGCTAATAAACTTTCCAAAGTATAAAAACAATTGTGATGTCTTATTGCAGGAGAAAAGTCTCACTTACATTCCTCAAGCTAAAAAAGCAAGAAAACAAAAGTGGATTGTCCAGGAAGCTGGGCTTCAAACATTTGAAATATTTTTAAGGAGAAAACATGTTTGCTCCTTTTGAATTTCCAGCTTTCCCAGGCAGTAAGCTCCATGAGCACAAAGTACATAGCTTATTATGATTTCATCAAAAACTTCCAGAATAGTACCTTATCTATAATCAATGTTCAAATAATATTGTTAATATTAACCTCCTTGTCATTGTCTTCTACTTTAAAAAATTCTGGGTTTTTTTTATATGAATCCATGTTTTAAATACTTTCATGCTAAATTTTCTGATAAAAATGCATACAATAGGGGTGATTTCAAATTTTTAAATATTTAAGAGTATATTTTATGTCTATGTAGTTCAGATTTTATTTGTGCATTTAAAACAGGATTTTAGTTGTAATGTGCTTCTGATACTGATAATTATTCAGGAGGTAATAAGGTATAATATAAAATTTGTTTGAACTTGTTAAATCAAATAAACACATTTAAAGAAAAAGACACTTGAAAAAATTAAAATTAAAATTAAAACTAGCATTAACTATGTAATCAAACTTAGCCTATATTTTTATAATTTTTACTTCTTTTCGTTTATGCAAGTTGACAAAATTATTTTTCTCAATATAACATTAAAAATATAATTGCTCAAAAATAGTTTATCACTAATATAAAAGTTTGAATACAATTAGAATTTTTAAAGTATAAGGCAAAAATTTATCCAAGAAATATGACTTCAGGGATAAAAGTAATAGTGTGTGAATGTGATTAATAAATGTAAATAATAAAAATTGTTTTGAGTATTTAGTATATTATTTTGCTAATCTTTATCACCATCCTTTAGTGGATTCACTTGATTACTTTCCTTAGAGTCTTATTTCAGCCCACATTAGATTCTCATATTTTCAAACCAAAGGAAAGGATTTTCATTCTTAGGAAATACTATTACCAATGTCAAGGCTTAAAGTCTGAACAACTATACAACCACAAAATAGAAAACCTGGAGGAAACAAATAAATTTCTGGAAAGACACAACCTCCCAGTACTGAAACAGAAAAAAATAGAAATGCTGATTGGATTAACAATAATCAGTAACATTGAATCAAACAAAAAATCTCCCAACAACACTGATAAAAAGCCCCCGACCAGATGGAATCATAGCTGAATTTTACCAGATGTACAAAGAGCTGGTATCAATTCTGCTGAAATGGCTCCAAAAAATTAAAAAGAAGGGAAACCTCCCTGACTCATATTATGAAGCCAGTATCACCCAGATATCAAGGCTGGCAAGGAGGCAACGAAAAAAAATGCAAACCATAGACCAACATTCCTGATGAACAGAGATGGAAATGTCCTCTACAAAATACTATCAAACTGAATTCAACAGCACATTGAAAACATAATACCCTATGATCAAATGTGTCTTATTTCAGGGATCTAAGAATAATTCAACATATGTAAATCAATAAATGTGATTCACCACATAATTAAAAACAAAAACCATGTAATAATTTCAATAGATGCAGAAAAAGTATTAAAAATGTAGCATCCCAGTGGAGGGGGCAAAATGGGCAACGAGAAACAGCTCTGGTCTCCAGCTCCCAGCGAGATCAGTGCAGAAGGTGGGTGATTTCTGCATTTCCAACTGAGGTACTTCACGCCAGTCAGAATGGTGATTATTAAAAAGTCAGGAAACAATAGATGCTGGCAAGGCTGTGGAGAAATAGGAACACTTTTACATTGTTGGTGGGAGTGTAAATTACCTTGACCATTGTGGGAGACAGTATGGCGATTCCTCAGGGACCTAGAACCAGAAATACCATTTGACCCAGCAATCCCATTACTGGTTATATACTCAAAGGATTATAAATTATTCTACTACGAAGAAATATGCACAAGTATGCTTTTTACAGCACTATTTTACAATAGCAAAGAATTGGAACCAACCCAAATGTCCATCAATGATAGACTGGATAAAGAAAATGTGGCACATATACACCATGGAATACTATGCAGTCATAAAAAAGAATGAGACCATGTCCTTTGAAGGGACATGGATGAAGCTGGAAGCCATGATTCTCAGCAAACTAACACAGTAACAGAAAACCAAATACCACATGTTCTCACTCATACATGGGAGTTGAACAATGAAAACACATGGGTACAGGGATGGGAACAATACACACTGGGGCCTGTTGGGGTTTGGGGGGCAAGGGGAGAGAGAGCATTAAGGCAAATACTTAATGCATGCTGGGCTTAAAACCTAGATGACAGGCTGATAAGTGCAGCAAACCACCATGGCACATGTATAGCTACATAACAAATCTTCACAAACTGCACAGGTATCCTGGAACTTAAAGTAAAAAAAAAAAATAGTATCCCTTCATGATAAAAGTATTCAAGAAATTAAAAATAATAGCAGCCATTTCTTACAAACTCACAGCCAACATCATATTGAATGGGCAAAAGTTGAAAGCATTTCCCTCAATAACTGGAACAAGACAAGGATGTCCACTCTCACCACTCCTATTCAACGTGTTACTGGAAGTCCTCACCAAATAAATCAGACAAGAGAAATAGAGAAAAGGGATCCAAACAGGAAAAAAGGCAGCCAAATTATCTGCTGACTGATGATGTGATCTTATTCCTAGAAAACCCTAAAGACTCTTCCAAAAGACTCCTAGATTTGATTAAAAATTCACTAAAATTTCAGGATACAAAATCAATGTAAAAACATTAGTAGCATTTCTATACACCAATAACAAGCCAGTTGAGAGCCAAATCAAGAAGACAATTTTATTTATAAATATGACAAAACAAACAAATAAATAAAATACTTAAGAATACAATTAATGGAAGGAGGTGAAAAATATCTACAAGGAAAATTACAAAGCACTGGTGAAATAAATTGTAGATGACATAAACAAATGAAAAACTTTTCATACTCATAGATTGGAAGAATGAATAATGTCAAAATGACCATTCTACCCAAAGCAATCTACAGATTCAATGCAATTCCTATCAAAACACCAATATCATTTTTCACAGAATTAGAAAGAGCAATCCAAAAATTCACATGGAACAACAACAACAAAGCCCAAACAGCCAAAGCAATCCTGAGCAAAAGAAACAAACCTGGAGGCATCATATTACCTGACTTCAAATTATAATACAAGCCTACAGTAAGAAAACAGCATGGCACTTGTATGAAAATTGATGCATTGATCAACAGGACAGAATAGAAAACCAAGAAACAAAGCCACACACCTACAGCCAACTGATCTTTGACAAAGCCAATAAAAATACACTTTGGGGAAAGGACACCCTGCTTAAAAAATAGTGATGGAAAAATTGGTGAGCAATATGCAGAAGAATGAAACTGGACCCTATCACTTACCATATACGAAAGTTAACTCAAGATGAGTTAGAGTCTTAAATGTATTACCAAAACCTGAAGCTATAAAAATACTAGAAGAAAACCTAGAAAAAACTCTTCTGGACCTTGGCCCAGGCAAAGAGTTAATGACTAAGCCCTCAAAAGCAAATGCAACAAAAACTAAAATAGACAAATGGTACTTAATTTAACTACAAAGCTTCTTCACAACAAAATAAATAATCAACAGTGATCAGACAAGCTAAGAATAAGAGAAAATATTTGCAAACTATGCATATGACAAAGGGTTAATATCTAGAATTTACAAGGGACTTAAGCAACTCAACAACAGCAACAAAAACAAATAACCCCATTAAAAAGTGGGCAAAGGATATGAACAGACATTTTTTCAAAAGAAGACCTACAAATGGCCAATAAGCATATTAAAAAATGCTCAACTTCACTAAACATCAAATAAATGCAAATCAAAATCAAAACGAGACACCATCTTATGCAGTCAGAATGGCTATTATTAAAAAGTCAAGAATAATAGATGTTGGTGAGGATACGGAGAAAAAAGGATGCTTATACACTGTTGGTGGGATGCAAATTAGTACAGCCAGTATGGAAAACAGTATGGCAATTTCTCAAAGAACTAAGCATAGAATTACTATTTGATCTAGTAATCTCACTATTGGGTATCTACCCAAAGGAACAGAAATCATTACATCAAAGAGATACCTACACTTGTATGTTTATCATAGCATTCTTTACAATACCAAAGATATGGAATCAACCTAAGTGTTCATGATCAGATGATTGGATAAAGACAATGTGGTACAAATATACCATAGAATACTACTTAGTCATAGAAAAGAATGAAATCATGTCTTTTGTGGCAACAGGAATACATCTGGAGGCCATTATCACAAGTGAAATGACTCAGAAACAGAAAGACAAATAGCAAATGTTCTCTGATAAGTGGTAGCTGAATAATGTGTACACATGGACATCGAGTGTGGAATAATAGATACTGGAGAATTTGAAAGGTTTTGAAAGTAGGCAGCAGGTGAGAGATGAGAAATTTCCTAATGGGTACAAGGTACACTCTTTATGTAATGGCTTCACCACTATGCAATATATCTATGTAACAAAAATGCCATTATACCTCCTAAATCTATAAAAAATAAAAATTAATTAGATATTAATGATATGTCATATGATCAAATATTAAAAATAAATGGAATATACTATAATATACTCTTGTTATAAATCATAATTGGTAAGTATCTACTTTTCAATGACCAAGAAAATGTTGTGTTTTTAATCAATCACACAAAACAAACCAGATGATTATTTAAAATATTTATTTTGTCAATATTTTAACATAATAAATATCAGCATAATTTAAAATTTAGGGACTTATTTCTGCAAATAACCCAGAAGCTGGTGAGAGGCATGAGGGGTATGTAGCATACCCATCACCCCCAACCTGGCTGCCAGGCACTGAAGAGCAGCAACAAGGCTTCTCCTTTCCCTGACTATAATGCATGGGAAAAACACACACTTGAGCAGAGCTTGTTTCATTCGAGATTCATAAGGTCTTCTCCATATTATATCTGTTATTATTTGGAAGGCAGAGCATTCAGTTGTTCATTTTAACATAACTTTTTTTTTCTCCCAGGATACAATGTTTATATCCTTATTTATAAGCATTTTTTAAGTACAAGTACTTATTTAAAGATCTTTCCCAAGGAGGCTTTCTTAGGAAAATATTTTAAAAACACATTTTGTAGGAAGTAATACATTTCTGTTAAAGTCTGTATTTCAATTCTGCGCCCACTGGGATCTTAACAAGATCTTATTGGTGTATGTGTTCAGTATTTCATTATTCTGTTTGCATAAATAATTTTACATTTCTTTTATTTTTTGATACATGGTGACTAATACAATCCTATAGGTTTTGTGTTAATCATGTAGGTAATATTTTACTATCTAACCAACTTAGAGCAAGTTTGAACAGAAGAGTCTAAAATCATACTGTCATGTTGCTTTCCCTAAAAATAAAAAGGTGATTTTATAAAAATATACACTCTAAATTATTCTTTTTATGATATAAAAATGCACACTGCTTGAGCTGACATAATTAAATTGCCTATGTACCTAGATGATTTTTGGTAAGAAAAAGAAAACCCTGGAGCATTTAAATGATTTGCTACATTCATTTAAACAGGGTATTCAATAGTGCCTAGCCATACATATTCATTCTTTCTGCTCCTGATAGCAGGAATAAAGGTATTAACTTTTTAGAGTGATTTTTAATGCAATAAATTTGTTATTTTTTTCTGTTTAAAATACTACCCCCAGGGGGATTGCAAATATTATAATTCTATATGGTTACCTCTTTATTACAAGAGTTACTTATCTTCCCACTCATGAGTAACCATGCTTACATCAACCACACTTGAAATGTAATATTTTTATTCATTTTAGTATCAAATTAGAAATCATCCATCTTACAATATCTGCCAGCAAAATGTTTCCTCTCTCTTAAACCAGTAATTTCAATGTATGATTAATCTATTACTCTTCATTCTTCATGCCTGGCTTATCTCTGTTGTAATTTTCTTGTTGTTTCTTATCCACGTGTGTACTATACTTATTATTACATGTATTATACTTCAGCGATGGCAGAATATAATTAATACTCCTGTTATTTTTAATCATTTTAATATGCTGATACTTATGTCTATTTTATTGTTACATTGAGCATAAAAGGACTAGCAAAGAAAAATTCTATAATTTTTTTTTTTTTTGAGACAGAGTCTCGCTTTGTCGCCCAGGCTGGAGTGCAGTGGCGCAATCTCAGCTCACTGCAAGCTCCGCCTCCCGGGTTCAGGCCATTCTCGTGCCTCAGCCTCCCGAGTACCTGGGACTACAGGCGCCCGCCACCACGCCCGGCTAATTTTTTTGTACTTTTAGTAGAGGCGGGGCTTCAACATGTTAGCCAGGATAGTCTCGATCTCCTGACCTCATGATCCACCCACCTAGGCCTCCCAAAGTGCTAGGATTACAGGCGTGAGCCACCACACTGCCGAAAAATTCTATAACTTTTTTTTTCTAAAAACTTTTGATAAAAATGCACAGGACTAGAAGTCTTGGATCTTTAAAGATACTATACACAAATGTTTCAAGAGTGAAAATTAAATTTAATTTTAAGAACTTAAAAAAGAGGGAGCTTTAGATCAGCTTAGTTAAAATATAGTACATTAATATTTGATATATAGATGTATTTTTTTTTCTTTTTGAGACGGAGTCTAGCTCTGTCGCTATCAGGATGGTTTCGATCTCCTGATCTCGTGATCTGCCTGCCTTGGCCTCCCAAAGTGCTGGGATTACAGGCGTGAGCCACTGTGCTCAGCCTTAATATGCTTTTTAAAAAATGTCTATAGACTGCTCAGACGCCATTAACTAAGAAAGGTATAATCACTTTTAAACTAATGTAAAAGTTAGGAATTGAAAAAGAAAAGTATAGTCTTCAGGAAAGTAGTGGAATAAGAAACTAAAATTGTATCCCTTCAAAATAGGCAATTAAATTAAATACTGGGAAAAGCTGTCAGTACAAATTTTGGGGAGCACGGAAAATTAACCAAAGGTTTGCAACAACCAGTGCTTGCTTAAGAAAAACAACTGAATCTTGATAAGAACAGTGAAATGTGTGGCATTTTAACTACCCCCATGCTCATCTCCCACTGTTCAACTGGTAGTATTGGAAGTAGCAGCTCACATTTCCAGTACCATAGGAGAAGATTGGACCTCATTAACGAGCAAGTGTAATTTTTTTTTTTTTCATCTGTGTGTTGGTTCCTTGGAAGACTGGCTCAAAGGGCTTATCTTTATTTCACCTGACTCAGAACTTGCCCAGCGCTAAAGCTGCCACCTAAAAGGAAATGAAAGGATGCATATGTTTAAAGCATGTATAGGCAAATATTTTAATTGTTTCTGTGTGTGGTTAGAAAACAATTGAGCCACACGACAGACTAACTTAAAACTTGGGAGGAAAGTCTGGGAAATGAGATGTCTATGAGTAATTTGAAAAACTCTTCAGAGGATGTAATTTCCAGAGTTGCTAAATTATAATATTCAAAATATCCAGTCCCCAACCAAAAAGACTGAACATGCAAAGAAATAAGAAATTATTGCCCATATTGAGGAAGAAAAAAGTAGTAAATAGAACTGTCCAAGGGGAAGCCCAGAACTTAGATTTTCAAGACAAAAACTTTAACTCAGCTATTTTAAACATTTTTAATGAGCTAAGGAAACAATGTCTAAAGAGAAAGACAAATTGGAACACTGTCTCAAAAAATATAGAATATTAATAATGATATTTAAATAATTAAAAATTTACATAGGAATTAAGAAGTTGAAAAGTATAATAACTGATATGAAAAATTATATAGAGGGGGCTCAATAGCAGACTCAAGCAGACAGAATAAAGAATCAGCAAAACTGAAAGTAGATCAATTGAGATTATCCAGACTGAGGAACAGAAAAAAAAAACAAAACACCAGAGAATGAAAAAGAAAAAAAAAACAAAAAAAAAAACTGAAGAAAGTCTTGGAGACTTCTGTACCAATTCATTCATAATGAAAATCCCAGGAGGAGAGAGAAAAAGGGACAGAAAGAAATTTGAAGAAATAATGACTAAAGATAATCATAATTTGATGAAAAATGTTAATCTACACATCAAAATGCTCAATGTACTCATAGCAGAATAAATTCAAAGAAATATATAACTAGATACATCATAATTAGACTTTCAAAAGCCAAATACATTGAAAACATCTTGAAAGCAGCATGAAAAGATAATCATCACATACAAAGGATCTTCAATGAGATTAACAACTAATTTCATGTCAGAAAACATAGAGGTAGTGGGATGAAATATTTAAAGTAGTAAAAGAAAAGAGTCACGGAAGAATTCTATATCTGGCAAAACCATTCTTCAAAAATGAAGGAAAAATCAAAACATTCCTAGATAAAAACAGAGTTTATCACTAGCATATCTGCCATACAACAAATTCTTTTTTTTAGTTTTATTTTTCCATAAGTTATCGGGGTACAGATTGCATTTCGTTACAACAAATTCTTTTTTTTATTTAATTTTTTTATTTTTTTAATTTTATTTTTCCATAAGTTATTGGGGTACAGTCGGTGTTTGTCTACATGAGTAAGTTCTTTAGTGATGATTTGTGAGATTTTGGTGCACCCATCACCTGAGCAGTATACACTGCACTGTATTTGTTGTTGTCCTTTATCCCTCGCCCCCCCCCCACTCTTCCCCCAAGTTCCCAAAGTCCACTGTATCATTTTTTTTCAATGCTACTTAATGCTTTTTATTTAGAGATGACGTGTTGGCTTTCTTTTTTTTTATTATTATACTTTAAGTTCTGGGATACACGTGAAGAACATGCAGGTTTATTACATAGGTATACACTGCCATGGTGGTTTGCTGCACCCATCAACCTGTCATCTACATTAGGTATTTCTCCAAATGCTATCCCTCTTCTAGCCTCCTACCCCCAACAGGCCCCAGTGTGTGATGTTCCCCTCCCTGTGTCCATGTGTTCTCATTGTTCAACTCCAACTTATGAGTGAGAACATGCAGCATATGGTTTTCTGTTCCTGTGTTAGTTTACTGAGAATGATGTTTTTGACCTTCATCCACGTCCCTGCAAAGGACAAGAATTCATCCTTTTTTATGGCTACATAGTATTCCATGGTGTATATATGCCACATTTTATTTATCAAGTCTATCACTTATGAACATTTGGGTTGGTTCCAAGTCTTTGCTATCGTGAACAGTGCTGCAATAAACATACGTGTGCTTTGCTATCATAAACAGTGCTGCAATAAACATATGTGTGCATGTGTCTCTAGAGCAGAAGGATTTATAATCCTTTGGGTATATACCCAGTAATGGGATTACTGGGTCAAATGATATTTCTGGTTCTAGATCCTTGAGGAATCACCACACTGTCTTCCATAAAGGTTGAACTAATTTATACTCCCACCAACAGTGAGAAAGCATTCCTATTTCTCCACTTTCTCTCCAGCATCCGTTGTTTCCTGACTTTTTAATGATTGCCATTCTAACTGGCATGAGATGGGATCTCATTGTGGTTTTGATTTGCATTTTTCCAATGACCAGTGATGATGAGCTTTCTTTCATAAGTTTGTTGGCTGCATAAATGTTTTCTTTTGAGAAGTGTCTGTTCATATCCTTTGCCCACTTTTTGATGCGGTTATTTTTTTCTTGTAAATTTGTTTAAGTTCCTTGTAGATTCTGGATATTATCCCTTTATCAGATAGATAGATTGCAAACATTTTCTCCCATTCTGTAGGTTGCCTGTTCACTCTGATGATAGTTTCTTTTGCTGTGCAGAAGCTCTTTGTTTAATTAGATTCCATTTGTCAATTTTGGCTTTTGTTGCCATTGCTTTTGGTGTTTTAGTCATGAAGTCTTTGCCCATGCTTATGTCCTGAATGATATTGCCTAGGTTTTCTTTTAGGGTTTTTATGGTTTTAGGTCTTACATTTAAGTCTTCAATCCATCTTGAGTTAATTTTTGTATAAGGTGTAAGGAAGGGGTCCAGTTTCAGTTTTCTGCATATGGCTAGCCAGTTTTCCCAACACCATTTATTAAACAGGGAATCCTTTTCCTATTGCTTTTGTAAGGTTTGTCAAAGATCAGATGGTTGTAGATGTGTGTCACACATTGTATCATTCTTTTGCCTTTGCACCCCCTTAGTTTAGCTCCCACATATCATATCAGTGAGAACATACGATGTTTGGTTTTCCATTCCTGCGTTACTTCACTTAGAATAATAGTCTCCAATCTCATCCAGATCATTGCAAATGCTGTTATTTCATTCCTTTTTATGGCTGAGTAGTATTGCATCATATATATATATATACATATATATATATATGTATATATATATATATATATCACAGTTTCTTTATCCACTCGTTGATTGCTGGGCATTTGGGTTGGTTCCACGATTTTGCAGTTGTGAATTGTGCTGCTATAGACATGCGCCTGCAAGTATTTTTTTTGAATGATGCCCTACAACAAATTCTAAAGGGAGTTCTTAGGTTGAAATGCAAGGACAGTAGACGTTAACTCAAATCTGAATGAAGGAATAAATAACAAAGTAAAAGAAACTACATAGGTAAATAGAAAACACTGAATAAATATATATGTGTTATAATTCCTTTTTATTTCACCTAAATTAAAAACTAACTGTATAATGCAATAATTATAAGTCTTTGTTGGCCACACAATGTACAAAGATGAATTGTGATGATACCAGCACCAAGAAGGGACAGATCTATATGGGAGTAAAATTTTTGTATTATGGAAATTGTTACTAATCCAAGCCAGATTGTTATAAATTAAGGTGTTATTTGTAATACACAACAAAACCACTAGGAAAATAACTCAAAATTTATAGAAAAAGCAATGACAGGGAAATTAAAACTTATACACTAGAAAATATTTAATACAAAAAATGCAGTAAGAAGAACAAGAAACCAAAGGAGAGAAGATACAGAGACAAGAAAGAGTGCAATAGCATAAATAAGTCTTTTTAAAGAAATTGCATTAACTGTAAACAATTAAATTTTCCAATAAAAATACGTAGCTTGGTAGAATGGATTTTTCAAAAGATCTATTTTATGCTGTCTACAAGAAACTCATTTAGATCCAAAGACACAAATAAATTGAAATTAAAAGAATAAAAAAAGATATTCCATTTAAATAGAAAAGGTCTGCTTATGTTAAAATTATATATAATGAACTTTAATATAAAATTGTTACTAGAGAAAAAGAAGGGCATCATATGATGATACAGTCAATCCATTAAGAATATGTAACAATTATAAACATATATGCAGCTAACAATAGAGTCCCAATATACAAAAAGTAAAAACTGATAGAAATGAAGGGAAAAACACCATTTAACAAAAATAGTTTGAGACTTCAATACCCTTCTTTCAGTAATGGAAGGAAGAATTAGAATGAAGAAAAGCAAGAAAATAGAAGACTTGAATATTATTAAATATGAACTAGACTTAGTAGATATATACCTAATAATCTATCCCCCAAAAAGCAAAATACACATTTCTCTAAAGTGTACATTGAACATTCTCCAAGTTAGAACGTTTTTAAGGCTAGAAACAAGTTGCAATAAATTTTAAAATATTATAATTATTAAAAGTTTATTTCCTAACCACAATTGAAAAAAATTATAAATTAACAGAAAGAAATTTGGAAAATTCAGAAATATGTGAAAATTAAAAAACACGTTTTAAAATAATCATAGGTCCCACAAACAAATTAGAAAATGCTTAGAATAATGAACTCCAGCTCCATCAATGTTGCTGTAAAGTAAATGATTTTATTCTTTCTGTGGCTACGTAGTATTCCATGGTGCATATGCACCAAGTTTTCTTTATCCAGTCCACCATCGATGGTCACCTAGTTTGATTCCATGTCTTTGCTATGGTGAATTGTGCTTCAATGAACATATGAGGGTATGTGTCCTTTTGGTAGACTGATTTATTTTTCTTTGGGTATATACCCAGTAATGGGGTTGCTAAATTGAATTGTAGCTCTGTTTTAAGCTCTTTGAGAAATCTCCAAACTGCTTTCCACAGTGGCTGAACTAATTTGCCTTCCCACCATTCCCTTCTCATCACAGCCTTGCGAGCATCTATTATGTTTGACTTTATTAATAGCCATTTCGAGTGGCATAAGAATGTCATTTTGTGGTTTTGATTTACATTTCTCTGCTGATTAGTGATACTGAGCATTTTTTCATGTCTCTTGGCCACTTGTATATTTTCTTTTGAGACAAATCTGTTTATGTTTTTTGCCCAATCTTTAATGGAGTTATTTATTTTTTACTCATTGAATTGTTTAAGTTCCTTATAGATTCTTTAAAGTTTAAGAATATATTTGTGTGTATATACATATATATGTGCTTCTGTATATATATATATATATATATATATATACGTGTTTGTGTGTGTGTGTGTGTGAAAATACTTAGAAATAAAGAAAAACCAAAGCACAACATACAAAAGATGTATAAGAAGGAGTGACAATGGTGCTCAGTAGAAAATTATAACTTGGCCGGGCACGGTGGCTCATGCCTGTAATCCCAGCACTTTCGGAGGCTGAGGCAGGAGGATCATGAGGTCAGGAGTTCAAGACCAGCCTGGCCAATATGGTGAAACCCTGTCTCTATTACAAATACAAGAAAATTAGCCAGGCATGGTGGCATGTGCCTGTAGTCCCAGCTATTTGGGAGTCTGTGGCAGGAGAATCGCTTGAACCCAGGAGGTGGAGGTTGCAGTGAGCAGAGATCACACCACTGCACTCCAACCTGGGCGACAGAGTAAGACTCAGTCTCAAAAAAAAAAAAAAAAATTGAGCATCACAGGACACCAAGAAAGCTAAAACTCAACCCACAGGATGGGAGAAAATATTTCCAGATCATATTTCTGATAAGGGACTAGTACTGGAATATATAAAATACTCTTACAAATTAACAATAAAAAGCAAATAACCAAGTTTTAAAATGGGAAAAATATCTAAATAGACATGTCTCCTTAGAAGATACAGAACTGGCGAATAAATAAATGAAAAGATAAGCCATTAGAGAAATACAAATCAAAACCACAATGAGATACCACTTCCCATCTACTAACATGCAGATACATAGTTATTTACATATAAAGAAAATAACTAGTGTCAAGTATGTGGAGCTATTATAACTGTTAAACATTGCTACTGGGAACGCACAGCAGGGGAGCCAAGGTGGAAAACAAATGAAAAGTTAAACACAGAATTACCATATGACCAACAATTCCCTTGCTAGTGAATACAGTAATGGGTCACGTAACAATGGGGATACATACTGAGAAATGTCATTAGGTGATTGTGTTGCACACTTACAGAAACCTTATTGTGTGCTTACACAGACCTACATGGTGTAGCCTACTACACATCTGGGCTATATGGTATAGCCTGTTGCTCCTAGGCTACAAACATGTACAGCATGTTACTGTACTCAATACTCTAGGCAATTGAAACACAATGGTGTTTGTATCTAAACGTAGAAAAGGTACAGTGAAAATATGTTATAAAAGATAAATAATGATACACCTGTATAAGGCACTTACCATGAATGGTGCTTGCAAGACTGCAAGTTGTTCTGAGTGAGTCAATGAGTGAGGGCTAAGTGAATGTGAAGGCCTAGGACATGAGTGTACACCACTGCAGACTTTATAAACACTGTACACTTAGGCTACACTGAATTTATTTTTAAAAATTTCTTTCTTCATTGACAAATTAAACTCAACTTGTAACTGTTTTTACTTTATGCACTTTTTAAAAACCTTTTTTAAACATTTTCATAACACTTAGCATAAAACATGAACACACTGTACAGCTATACAAAGATATCTTCTTTCTTTATATCCTTACTCTGTAAGCTTTTTTCCATTTTTAAAAATTTGGTCATTTTTTACTTTTTAAGCTTATCTGTTAAAAATTAAGACATGAAGACACCCATTAGCCTAGGCCTACACAGAGTCAGCATCACTAATGTCATCACCTTCCACTTCCACATCCTGTCCCACTTAAAGGTCTTCAGAGGCAGTAAAACACACAGAGCTGTCATCTCCTATGATAAAAATGCCTTCTTCTGGAATACCTCCTGAAGGACCTGCCTGAGACTGTTTCACGTTGACATATTTATAAGTAGGATTACACTTTAAGATAATGATAAAATGTATAGTAAATACACAAACAAGTAACATGGTCATTTATCATCATTATCAAGTATTACATACTGTTCATAATTATATGTACTATACTTAAATATGACTGGCAGTGCAGTAGATTTGTTTCCACCAGCATCATCATAAACATACAAGTGACATGTAGAACTATGATGTCTGTGAAGCCACAAGGCCATAAGAATTTTTCAGTGCCATTATAATCTTTGGAAACCACCATGGTATATGTATATGTGGTGACTAAAACATCATTATGTGGTGCATGACCATATAGGAAAACAAAGAATTGTTGGGGCATAAAATAAAACAGTCTCAAATATCCAGTTTCTTCAATCACTAAACACTCTCCAAGTATGAAATGGCCTCAGTGTAAACATCAAATCAGGGATTTAATTATGAAACCCTCTGCCATGATCTTAGAAATATTTTAAAGTTTGCCTAGTATGCCACTCTACAAAACAATTGCATGGCCATTATCCCATAGCATTTTAGCTAAAGTAAAGAAAAACTAATGTTGAAAAATTATTAATATGGTTTTTGGAGTATGGGATGAACACTTATAAGATTTATAAGAAACTCACAGAAACTTTAAGAGAATGTATGTATGAAAGTGCTGACAGCTTACACTAAAAGATATTGAGAAAGTTCAAAATTTTAAAAAGCCCCTGGTCCTGGAACTCTTTAAACAGAGATAGGGAGACTAAAGATCTAATCAATTGCAAACAGAGGACACTTCTCATAAAAAAGGAAGTACCACTTGGAGGACAGAGCCAAGTGGCAGAGAGAACCATGGATGTACTGGGTACCTTCTTCCATTCTTTCTGGGAGAGAAACTATTTGTGACTTTTCCCTGGAATAGAGGAATGTGATGACATGTTCCTCGGTGGATTTCAAATTGGCTACAGATTTGTGGCTGCTATGTTTTCTCTTTTTCCCTCTTTTTAATGGTTGTTAAATTTCTATCTCAGCATTATGTTGGATCTGGACAGTAAGATGGATAACTTATCATTTTATATCACTTTCTCAGTATCCAAAGATGCTGCATTTGAGCTGTTGTGCATGAGAAACTGCACATAATGAGCTTCACCTGGACCCAGGCCTAATTCACAGTACTCGATCATGGTCTTCAAGGTTGATGCCATGATTGGGGGCTTTGGAAGACAGTGACTGTAATTTGCATTATGGAAATGATATAAATTTCTGTTTTTTAAGCCACCTAGTCATTGGTACTTTGTTAGGGCATACCTAGTAAATTAATAAATAGGTCATCAGGATAAAGTATGAAAAATTATTATATATTTTCCAAAGTAGAGGTCATGGGTAACCTTGAAAACACAGTTTATGTTGAGTTGTAGGGATAAAGCCTTGGAGTAGGTTCACCTGAGAAAGAGAGGAGAGAAAATGATGATGGCAAGTAGAGAAACATTTCGAGGAGTTTGCTGAAAAGGGAAGGAAAGTAAAGAAGCATCAGACAGAGAAAAAATAATAGCATATTTGTATACTGCTACGGACTTAATATTGTCCCCACCAAAATTTATATTTTGAAATCCTAGCCCCCAGTACCTCAGTTCTAAAGTCTCCACAAAATGTGACTGTATTTGGAGATGTGATCTTTAAAGAGGTTAAAATGAGATCATTAGGACTGGCCCTAACCCAATGCAAATATGACTTATGTCTGTAAGAAAAAGAAATTTGGGGCCAGGCACGGCGGCTCATGCCTGTAATCCCAGCAATGTGGGAGGCCGAGGTGGATGGATAACCTGAGGTTAGGAGTGCGAGAACAGCCTGGCCAATATAGTGAAACCCTGTCTCTACTAAAAATACAAAAATTAGCTGAGCGTGGTGGTAGGCACCTGAAATCTCAGCTACTCGGGAGGCTGAGGCAGGAGAATTGCTGGAACCTGGGAGGTGGAGGTTACAGTGAGCCAAGATATCTCTCCATTGCACTCCAGCCCAGGTGACAAGAGTGAGACTACATCTCCAAAAAGGAAATTTGGGCACAGACATGTACATGTGCAGAGAGAAAATGGTGACACAGGAAGAAGGCTGCTATCTACACACCAAGGAGAGATGTCTTACAACAAAACTGCCAACAACTTACTCTCAGATTTCTAGCCTCCAAAGCTGTGAGAAAATAAATTTTTTCATTGAAGCCACCCAGTGTTGGTACTTTGTTATGATATCCCTAGGAAACAAAAACATAAACTTTTGGAATAAATCAACAAAAAAAGGAGAACTACATAATGGGTGAGAAAGGGGAAGAGTTTTTGGAGCAATGTCCTTGATGATCCTATAGAGCATGAGATCTAGGGTATAGCTGGAAAGTATGACCTTAGGAAGGAGCAGGAATAGTTTATCTTTAGTAATAGAAGATAAAGTTAGTAATATGATTCCATATATAGGCTGATAAATGTAATGTTAAGGACATTTGGAGTTTCTCTGTAAATGTTATTTATATTTTCTCCATGAAACAGGAAGCAATACTTAGGTTAAGGGAATAGAGGTAAAGTCATCATTTGAGAAAGTGGGAGATGAATGGACCCGAGAAAGTCAGGACAGTTGTTTCCAGCAGAACTGAGGGGCTATATCATGCTAGTGATAATGAGTTTAAAATGAGATGAATAAAGATAAGTGTGTCTTTTATTCTGTTTCCATAAAGCATCTGAGATTTAGAACTTCAATTTAAATTGTGAATTATGTATTTATGTAGATGATAAACAGATATTTAATTTTGAAGAAATGAGAGATGATTTACAGGGAAGATTACAATTCATCTACAAAATATGAATCTAGGCTTTTTTCAGGGGAATTTGACCTTCAAAATGATTGATAGAAAAATGTAGCAAAAGGTCAGATCAAAAAGGGGAGAGGGTCTATGTGAAGTCTTTCCTTATGCATTTATGACACATAGAAGAGTTAATATAGTCTAACTGCCTGGGCTAAGGCCATAATTTTGAAGAATCCTTTCTTCAGTTAGAGTGGGCTGAATACTTCTCCCGTCTCAGGAGAACTTCAAGAAATTTTGTGAAAAAGCTCATCAGGCCTTAAAATCATCTACTTCCCATTCTTTTTTCTTTTTCCCTTTGCTCAATCACCTTCTCCACGCTTTTATCACTTGCTTGTCAGACAGCCCCCAACATGTTCAGAATTCTCAACTGCCATATATCAGTACCATATTGTGCAAATGCTATAGGAGTTAAGACTGATCTTAAGAGCTGGCATTTAAAAGTACCTTTACAGTGAACATCACTTGTGTCATTAGTAGTCAGTTAAATGAGGATGAGTAACACATCTTCAAAAGATTCAAAACAAATCATTTGGAAAAATACAATTGGACATACAAAAATCACATCTATAGAGTCACATATTTCACATTTATCTGTGACTGTCCATTAAATAGTATACTTGGAAGTCAAATTCAGTGATGAGTACATAGCTAATTTCCAAAAACAGCCCATTCCAATTTTGTAGAGTTGTATTTATTATAGTTTTCAATTAATCATAATCCCTTGGGATAAGTGATGGGGCTCATTATGAATGCATTTGTGTATATTTTCATTCACTATACACTTTTCTATTTTACATATAGAATTAACATAGGATACTGAATATAGATATTTATATTTTATCTGTATTTTAATATTACACATATTTTACATATACAAATTCTGTAACAATAATACGTTGCTATATTTTTGTTTCCTTTTTTCGTGCCCCTTTCTTGTCTCCACCATTCAGCTTAGAACAATTTTGTCTGTGCAAATTTGAAATGTTACATTTTTACCCACACAATACCTAGACTATTTTATCTTATGTGATATGTATTTATAAAATGTCATTTAATTTTTATGATTCAAAATTAGTATCAATCAATATTCTCTTATAACTATTTAATGAATAACTGATGAGTATTTTTTATTTTGGGGCAAGTGTCACCTCTGATGACATCACTAATATTTTAATCTATTGAGTTCATATTGCTGGTCCATACATCCCAGGGAAGGAGACTATAAAAGATTGTGTAAGTACGCTTAGAAATACTTTAATTAAAATGATTAAATTAAATTTTAAAAGCAAAGTGAATAAGAATAGTCAGCATGACATAATTACAATAAATCACTCTCTAATATATAACAGTGATAAATTTTAACCCAGGTTCTAACTTCTACTAGCTACGTGACATTGGAAAAAATTCACAATTACTCTAAACTTTAGTTCTCCTATAAAATGGTAATCCAATTATTTATTTTACTAAATTATTATGAGTTAATTAATAAATGTAAAGTTTTAGCAAATAGTAACTGATCAATACATGCAAATAAAGGGCTACTCTTTATGAGGAAATCTTAAAAACCAAGCACCCAAATAAAATCGGGTACCTGCACTGTATACTCAATTTGAGAGAGAGTTTTCTAAATCTAGTTTTTTCTGGTTCTTTCTACTTATTCTCATGGCTGGAAGTTTTTCTGTTGCATTTCCTCATCTCAGGCTAGGTGTGTCTTGTGGCAACATCATTCTCTTTTACCTTCTGCCTTTTACAGCCTCCAAATCATATGTAGTTCAATAATAATTGATATGGAAAATTTATCTAACTTTCCTGTTTGATAAATGTGTGCATTTCAAGAGAATAAATAACCTCCAATGAAGTATATGTCATCAGACTATAATCTACAAGCTTTGTACACAATTTGTGTTACTTATCATTCCTTAAAAATATTAGACATGTTTTATGGCGAGGGCTCTTCCTATGAGCATCAATACAACATCCTAGGTTTTGAGTCTGTTGACTTTCTTACTTTTAAAATCTCTTCTCCATCATATGTAAGCTCACTTATTTGCATGATTGTAACCAAGTCATAGCTGTTATGAATAACTGCACAAAAATCAAAATCTCAAAATATCAAAATCTCAACTCCGGCAACTTCTCCTCTGACCATACTTCTATATTTTTAATTCCTAATAATCCCATTTCAGTATACTTCATTTTACTGCGGTCTTTAATCTGTTAATCCTACTAGTTTTTTGTTGTTAATTACGGCTGGAATCATATAAGTTATCTTCCAAATGAAGACGCTTTTAAGAAGAAAGGGAACACTCAAACTATTCAAAATTATATGATTACTTGAAACACTTGCTTATTAATCAACAAATAGGATTCATTATATTGATAGACCTCTAAACAGTTTTTTATACCTAAATGTAGTATTATTATTTTATATCCAGGCAAAAATTTTAAATGTAATGTTGATTCTCTGAATATTAAAAATAGTATATGAGAAATATTACCCCATTATTGATTCACATATACTTTAATCAGTTTCCTAGCCATACTTAAAGCAATGGACAAGTAATATCCACTATAAAATTAGGATATTTTTTCCAGTAGAGTTTATTTTTCTTTAAATAATGTTACTTCTAGTTTTCTTCAAATTTCCATTTTATGCTTAATTAGTTTAAAATTGCTAATCATTTTAACTGAAGCTTCTCTTTGTAATGCTATTTTTAAATGAGATAAATATTCTCATGTACTGGAATAACTGGTAAGCTGATAACGAACTCTGCTTAGTGGAGACCATTGACAATTCTATTTATTTGCATTGAAATATATAGAATTTACAAATATGATGTTTGTCTCCATCCAGAGCACTTTTCGTAACAATATTATTGTAAGACAATGTGTGTGAAGTAATTTATTTGTATTTATACTTTTTCAAAGTTTTGCCTATTTTGATTCTTCAAAATTGTGGTGATGGCTTTTTTTAAATAGCTTTTCTGGAACCTCTCACAAAACATAGATAGCAATAGAATAGGAAAGACAAAAATCCATGGACAATATTGACAACAAAAGTACATAACAAGTTACTTCTCTAGTACCAGATATGCAAATAGCAGCAAACAACTAAAAAAGAGAAGACCTGCATACGATCTGAGTCAGTGAAAGAGGACAGCATAGAGAGTCAGTAGAGCTTCCAGTAAATCTAAGAACAGAAAAATTCCCAAAATTGCCACGTATACACTGGAGAGCATGTGGTCAATTTGTAATCAGAAGCTGAAACTAATAGTCCACATGCTCCAAGGCAAGTTCTACAAAGGCTGGAGTTGTCACATAAAAACTCTTGAAACTGACCAACCGGGATTATTTTTTTTGCATAAGTTTGCACAAAAAGCAGAAACTGCTGGAAACTGAGTCAACTTTGAGGTCAAGAACAGTAGAGTTAAAGGAAGAATGCAGATATTAAGATAAGTGAAAGAGGAAAACAGAATTGGCACTTCTCAAAAGTGCAAGCTACTTATTTTGAACCGTTAAACAGAGACAACAAATAAAACTTCTATGGAATTAGATTATTTGACTTTTGTACAACATTTTCTGCCTAATTCATAATTCCTGAAAGTTTGGAAATGCAAATTTCATATCGAAATAAACAAAGAACTGGAAAAGTTCAAATCTTATGCAAAAGTTTTAAAAAAAGTATAATAAGGAGCAGAATAACATCCTTTTTCACCATGAAATTATGCCATAAACCACACCAACAAAATATATAAAAACATGGTTTACTCTTTTGAAATTAGCCAATATGAAAATAATAATATGTAACCTCAAAAAATTATACAGAATAAAATAACTCAGAGTTAAAAGAACTCAGAAAGAAAGGAGGCAGAGCAAGATGCCAGAATAGAAAGCTCCGACAAAGACACCAAGTTAACAACTATCTACACAGAAAAATACACCTTCATAAGAGCCTAAAATCGAAAAAAACAGTCCTGACTCATCAATGCCAATCCCCCAAACCCTGGCAACAGCAGCATGGTGAGGAAAACGTCTCTGGCATTGGGCAAGGCAGAACAGAACATCTGTGAGGCATTGAACCCAGTGCTGTCCTGTTAAAGCAGAAAGGAAAATCAGACCAAACTCAGCTGACACCTGCCCAGGGAGAGAGGACTTATAAATCAGCCCGAGCCATAAGGGACTCACCAGTCCCAGCTGTCGAAACTCAAGTGCCTGCAAACCTCTCCACCAAAGGCTACAGCACTCTGTGACTCCAAGTAAACTCGAAAGGCAGTCTAGGACATAAGGACTGCAACTCTTAGGTGAATCCTAATGCTAGTAGGCCCAGAGACAGTGGACTGAGGGGCATGCAAAATACTGAGACACTAGCTGGGGCAGCCAAGGGAGTGCTGGCATCACCACTTCTTTAACCCCAGGCTGCACAACTTGAGGCTTTAAAAAAGTCCCCTTCCTTCTGCTTGAGGAGGAGAGAAGGAAGCGTGGGGAAGACTTTGTCTTGCATCTAGGATACCAGTTCAGCCACAGCAAGACAGGGAACTGGTTGGAGGTTTGAAGACCTCATCCCAGGATCTATCTTGCAGACAACATTTCTAGCCATACCATGGGACAGAAGGGAACCTGCTACCTTGAAGGAAAGGACCCAGTCCTGGCAGCATTCATCACCTGCTCACTGAAGAGCCTGTGGGCCCTGAATAACCAGCAGCAGTGCCCAGGTACCACACTGAGGGTCTTGGGTGAGTCTCTGAGAGTTGTTGGCCTCTGGTGTGACTCAGCACATTGCCAGCTGTGGTGGGTATGGGGCAAAATTTCTACTTGAAAAGAGCAGAGGGAAAATTAAGGGG
This sequence comes from Homo sapiens, assembly GCF_000001405.40. Taxonomy (NCBI): domain Eukaryota; kingdom Metazoa; phylum Chordata; class Mammalia; order Primates; family Hominidae; genus Homo; species Homo sapiens. The sequence goes on along the minus strand of NC_000004.12, from coordinate 167,526,981 downwards.
ACTTTGTCTTGCACCTTAAGTACTAGAACAGCCACAGAGCCATAGAGCACCAACCAGGCTCTTAGAGTCCTTGACTCCAGGACATAATTTTGGATGGCATGTCTGGACCTGCCTTGGGCCAGAGCGGAGTCCACTGCTCTGAAGGGTGAGTCCCACGCTAAGCAGCATTCACGACAAGCCAACTTAAGAGACCTTAGGCATTAAGGGAACACCAGCGGTAGTCTGGCAGTACTCCTCGTAGGCAGTACTCCTCATAGGCAGTGCCTATGAGGTGAGGTTCCTCTGCCTTTGGAAATGAGAGAGAATAGTGGTTAAGACTCCATCTTTTGGTTTCAGTACCAGCTAAGCCACAATACAATAGAATCCCAGGCAAACTTCTAAGGTTTTTCACTCTAGTCTTTGACTCACAGACCTGGCTGGCTTTGCCACCTGCTGATTGTAGAGCCTCGGGACCTTGAGTGAACCTAGGTAGTAGCCAAGGAGTGGTTACAGAAGGCCTTGGGCAAGACCCAGTGCCATTCTGGCTTCAGGTTTGACTCTTTGGGGAAAAAGTAAGGGAAGAGAACAAGAGTCTCTTCCTGGTAATCCAGAGAATTCTCCTGGATCAGGTCCAAGACCATCAAGATGGTACCTCTACAATTCTACAAGGACCACAGCATTATTTGCCTTGGGATGCCCCTAAAGCAGATACAGCTTAGATCACAACACCCAAGTCCATATAATTATCTGAAAAGCCTTCCCAAGAAGGACTGATACAATAAAGACTACAATAAATATCTAACTCTTTCATGCCCAGACACCAACGACTATCTACTAGCATCAGCAACAATTCAGGAAAACGTGACTTCACCAAGTGAATTTTATAAGGCACCAGGAAACCAATCCTTGAGATAGAGAGATACATGACCTTTTAGACAGAGAATTCCAAATAGCTGTGTGGAGGAAACACAGCACTCAATAAATGCAATTAATTTGTTGCCTACAAGAAACACACTTCACCTAGAAAGACATACACAGACTAAAAATAAAGGAATGGAAAAAGATACTTCATACCAATGGAATTGGAAAAGAGCAGGATTTGCCATACTTTCATCAGACAAAATAGATTTCAAAATCAAAACTCTAGGAAGAGACAAACAGGCCACTATATAATGATAAAGGAGTCAATTCAGTGAGAGGCTATAACAATTGTAAAAATATATATGTACCCAACACTGGTGCACCAAGATATATAAAGCAAATATTATTAGACCTAAAGAGAGAGATAGGCCCCAATACAATAATAGCTGGAGACTTTAACACCCCACTTTCAGCATTTAACGGATCTTCCACGTCAGACTTAATCTGCACTATAGACCAAATGATCTAATATTTACAGGACATTTCATCCAAGAGGTGCAGAATACATATTCTTTTCCCCAGCACAAGGATGGTTCTGAAGGATAGACTATATATTAGGTGACAAAACAAGTCTTAAAACATTAAAAAAAAACTGAAACAATATAAAGCATCTTTTCTGACCACAATGGAATAAAACTAAAATTAATAACGAGGAATTTTATAAACTATAAAAATACATGGAAGTTAAACAATGTGCTGTTGAATGATCAGTATAAATAAATTAAGAAGGAAATGGCAAAATTTCTTGAAACAAATGATAAGGGAAAAACAACATACCAAAACCTATGGGATACAGCAAAACAGTAAGTAGAAGTAAATGTATAGCTATAAATGTCTATATCAAAAAAGAGGAAAAACTTCAAACAAAAAGTCCAATGATGCATCTCAAAGAACTAGAAAACCCAAAATTAGTAGAAGAAAATAATAAAGGTCAGACCAGAAATGAATGAAATTAAAATAAAATAAATTACAAAAGATCAATAAAACAAAAAAATTGTTTTTTTGAAAAGTTAAACAAAATTGGCAATCCTTTAGCCAGACCAAGAAAAAAAGAGTGAAAATTCAAATAAATAAAATTAGAAGTGAAAAAGGAGACATTACAACTGATACGACAGAAATTAGAAGGATCATTAGTGGCTACTGTGAGCAACTACATGCCAATACACTGAAAAATCTAGAAGATATTGACATATTCTTAGATACATACAACCTATCAAGATAGAATCTCAAGAAATCCAAAACCTGAATAGACCAACAACAAGTAACATTATTGAAGCTATAATAAAAAGTCTCCTACTAAAGAAAACCCAGACACCTGATGGCGTTAGTGTTGAATTCTACCAAACCACTAAAGAAGAATTAATATCAATCTCACTCAAACTGCTCTGAAAAAATAGATGAGGTAACACTTCCAAAATCATTCTACAAGGCCAGTATTACTTACCCTCGTATCTAAACAAGACAAAGACACATCAAAAAAAAAAAAAAAAGAAAACCACAGTCCAATATTTCTAATAAATATTGACCCAAAATTCTCAACAAAACACCAGCACTTTTGACATAGTTCTAAGAACTTACACTGGGGAAAAGGTAGTCTCTTCAATAAATGGCGCTGGGAAGAGTGAAACTAGACCCTCATCTATCACCACATACAAAAACCAAATAAAAATGGATTAAAACTGAAATCTAAGACCTCAAACTATGGAACTACTACAAGAAAAAAAAAAAACAACACTGGGGAAAATCTCCAGGTCATTGTTCCAGACAAAGATTTCTTGAGCAATATCCACAAGCACAGGCAACCAGAGCAAAACTGGACAAACTGGATTACATCAAGTTAAAAATCTTCTGCGCAGTGAAGGATACAATCAACAAAGTGAAAAGACAACCCACAGAATGAGAGAAAATATTTGCAAACTATTCATCTGACAAGGGATTAATAACCAGAATATATAAGGAGTTCAAACAACTGTATAGGAAAAAAGTCTAATAATCCAATCAGAAAATTAGACGAAGATTTGAGTAGACATTTCTCAAAAGAAGACATATAAATGGTAAACAAGTATATGAAAAGGTGGTCAATATCTTTGATCATCAGAGAAATGCAAAGAAAACGACAATGAAATAACATCTAACCCCAGTTAAAATGGCATATATCCAAAAGACAGGTAATAACAAATGCTGGCAAGGATGTGGAGAAGAGGGAACCCTTGTACACTTATGGTAGGAGTGTAAATTAGTACAATCACTATGGAGAACAGTTTGAAGGTTCCTCAAAAAACTAAAAATTGAGCTACCATATGATCCAGCAATCCCACTGCTGGATATATAACCAAAAGAAAAGAAATTAGCATCAAAGAGATATTTGCACTCCTATGTTTGCTGCAGCACCGTTTGCAATAGCTGCTGTTTGGAAGCAACTAAGTGTCCATCAACAGATGAATGAATAAAGAAAATGTGGTACATATACACAATGGCGTACTATTCAGTCATAAAAGATAGAATGAGATCCAGTCGTTTGCAACAACATGGATGGAACTGTAGATCATTATGTTAAGTGAAATAAGCCAGACACAGAAAGACAAACATTACATGTTCTCACTAATTTCTGGGATCTAAAAAATCAAAACAATTGAAATTGTAAACATAGAGAACAGAAAATGATTACCAGAGGCTGGGAAGGATAGTTGGGGGGCGGGGTGGAGGTGGGAATGGTTACAAAAAATAGAAAGAAATAATAAAACCTAATATTTGCTATCACAATGAGGTGATTACAATAGATAATAATTCAATTATACATTTTAAAATAACTTAAAAAGTATAATTGGATTATTTTTAATTCAAAGGATAAATGTTTGATGGGATGGATACCCCATTCCTCATTTTGTGCTTATAATGATGTTATTCCTTGTATCAAAACATCTCATGTACCCCATAAATATATACACCTATTTTGTACCTACAAAAATTGTTTAAATTTATTTTTAAAAGAACTCAGAAAGAATAAGAAATAAAGAAAAAAGTTATTACAGAAATGAAGACTATAGTAGAAGCAACACAAGAAGAAATACACGCAACAGTTAATTCCTTAAGAGAAATAGAAGTTGAAATGGATTAAACAAATAAAATAGGCAATGAATAATTAAGCAAAAGTGTTAAATATTAAACCTAAACAAAGTATATCTGACTTATTATAAATCCTTGAAAAAGAAAACCAAAGCAAGAGAACAGATATAAATATTAAATATAATTAAAAGTTTTTCTAAATAGATATCATAAATGATTTGTAACCGCATATTAAAAACGCATTCACATACTAATAATATTGATCCAGAATGACCAACAGCAAAACATACTTAAGTAATGTTATTTAACTTTAAAGAAAAGAAACCTTTGTCATGTAGGAAGAAAATAGGGTGACTTATTAGGAAAATTAAAATTAGATTGTTATAACACTTTTCCACAGAACGGCTTATGTCAGCAGAAGAAAAAAGTAACATACTTAAGAAACTTGGTGAGAGGAAATTTAATTTAAGGAGTTTTATATCCAGGAAAAAAAATGAAATTTAAGTGTAAAAGCACACGTGCATTTGCCTATTGTAATCATTTGTCTGTTGTAAAACTAAGATACCTCAGATAAAACATTTCCAGACATTGAAATGATTTAATATATAAAACTTATTCCCAAGTAACATGGTTTCTTGTCCTGGAAACATTTTTTCATTAACTTCCAAATTTATGAACATTAAAGAAGTCAGGAATTTTTGTTCCTATGACTTCCCTAAAAAGTTACCAGAAATACTAACATAAGCATTGGTGATGAGCATTAAAGATATAGCTAATTGCAGACTTTAAGACTAAATGGATAATAAGAGTGAAAAAATATATTTATGTACTGTAGTATGCACTGGCTATATACTATACCAATAATGGTATAGTTCAACTATTTTTTTAAAATGAAAGAGAATGGGAAGAGAAAAATATCAAGATAATAAAAATGTTATTGAAGCCCTACAAGGGCTGCCCATTCACCTTAGTAACAGTCCTAAATATTGATGACAATATGACAATTGTTATGATGGCTGAGTGAACATAAAGAATAAAATTTTGAAGGTAATGGCAACTCATTCATTCTCTGATTTTTTTCATTTAATTCATAATCAACAGACATTTATTGAACAGCAATTGTATGGCTGACACAGTTCTCATTGCTGTATTTCTAATAAGTATAATATTATAATATTGAAAATGTAGCATCTACAAAAACAAGTTTAAGCCATTTAGCTTTCTTGAAACATCAAATGGTTGCACAAAAATATGCCAATGGTTTTCATAAGGTTGCCCTTTAATTGTTTAAGTTGAATATTCCACTTTCCTTATAGCACAGGAGGTAGGCTGTGACTACAGGAAGTCAGGATCCTATTAGAACTAGCATGATTAATCATTTGTGTGCTGTAAAACTAAGATGCCTCAGATAAAACACTTCCAGAGATTGAAATAATTTAATATATAACAGTTATTCCCAAGTAACATGGTTTCTTATCCTGCAGACATTTTTATCATTACCTTCCAATGTTTTCTTTTTACATCTTAGTAAGACATCACAAAAATAACATAAAATACATTCAAAATTCATTAAAGCTGATTAAACCAATACCAAACAAGTAAAACTGCCTAAGTATAATAATTGGTTCTTACACAGGAAAAAAAATATCATCCTATTGTGTTAGGGAAAGACTTTCATGAAAACAGACTAGAAATTTGGGCTTAATATATAAGTAGGATTCTGAATGACTAAACCAAGCAATAAACATGTTATAGAAAGTATTAAATGAAGAGGTGGTTGAGAAGTAGAGGCAGTGTTTATACTGTAAATATTATGGTATAAATCCTTATGTAGATTTTATTTTGACCTTGACTATTTAACATAGAGCTATTTTGAAAATGCACATTTTGTCAAAGGTGTTTTCTTTACCAGCTTTAATAGAAAATGAGAGTATTTATTTATAATTCCTCAGGCAAATTCAATTCTGCTTACTGCCTTTGGGTTAGCACATTACTTTCAGGTCATAGTTAGCAGCAATATAATGCAAGTATTTTGTGATTTAGACACGAGCTAGAATTTAAATTGCATCTTCTGATATTTTGCTGTTTCAGGATAAAAATGAAACAAAACTCATGGTCCTTATGGAGCATATTTTTTTGTGAAGAAAACAGAAAATAGAATAATGAGTGACCAAGCTAATAGGTGAATTGTAAGTTAACTATAAATAAAACAATAAGCTAAATAAGTGCAATATGTGCTTGTTGAATAGTGATCATTGTTAAAGAGAAAGATAAAACAGGGAAAGGGTAGGACGGTAATTAGGTTATAAAGGTCAATAGGAAGTACTCCATGAGAAGGTGGCAGAATGGAGCCATGAAAGAAGTGAAACAGTGAAGTGAGAGAGACAGGCAGGCAGGACACCAAGTGTACAGACATGGAGGCAGGAGTGTGCCTGGCCGTGTTAGAGAACTAGCAAGGAGACTCATGTAAAGTAAGGAAGTGATAGGAATAGGGGATAGGAGCACAGAGGTAACCAGCAGTCAGCTATGTCAGGACCTTATGGGTATAGACTGCCTTTTACGATTAGTGAGATGGTAAGCCATAATGTGATAGAGCATGGGAGCACCACAAGCCAAGATGGTTTTAGTAGGATCATTTTCTCTGCTGCACAGTGATAGAATGTAGAATGGAAAAGAACAAAATCAAGAAGACCAGAGAGTAAGCTATTTAGTAAGATGACTGTGGCATGCCTTATGACGGCAGCAGTGGGGTGACACGGAGAGAGTCTGGATTGATAAAACACACAGACGCAAAGTAACTGTGAAGCTAATGGAACTTTAGCTTTGGGACACTCCCCTGCACAGGCTCCTTCCAAAGAAGGCCTGTATCTTGAAATGAATGTCTTATGGCTGCTAGCGTGCATGCATGGGGGGCAGTGAATAAAAAGTTGAGGAGATGGAGGACGGAATACAAAGGAGAAACAACTTTTGGGCCAGAAATTAGCCTGTGGGAAACTCTTCCAAATATGAGATGTGTAAATTTTTAAGTGCAGATTTTTGTTCTGATTAATATCTAGCCAAAACAGAAGTTCCTGCCTGTCAGAAGCATTTGATAATTCTTCATACAAAACTATAAACAGCTTAATTTTTAAAATATTTTGATGAGAAGAGCATGAAACAGAATTTACCACAATTCCTGTGGTTATAGGTCAGCAACTTACAGTGTTATTACAAATAGTAAGTTCAACTGTGTTTGAAGTCTCATATTTTATGCATTATCATGAAATGCATCAATGAAAATAACTTAAAATTCATAACTAACCACTGAAATATAGGCATCAATGACAAACTGGGTAATGTAATAAATATTATCCATTCAAAAGATACCTAAAGTATCCCTACATGAAAATTGAGATGCCTTGAAATGTTGTCATGTATGAAGGAAAATATGTAAAGATTATTCCAAATTCCAAAGACTTTTCTAGAATATAAGCAATCCAATAAACTTAATACTTGTATTGCATCGCCAAAAGTAAGTTGTAAAGCTGAAATTTCACAAATTTTATTTCCAAAATAAAAATAATTTTAAATTTTCAATCAACTGTTATGAAGACATTAAATGTCTTTTTCTTCTCTTTAAGAATATTTTAAGAATCATCATAGGAGAAAGTATTCAAGAGCATGAAGTTAGAATTTATAGGGAGAAATGCTATAAAGATATGTCATGTAATTACATAACAAAACATTATTTTATTTTGTATTTTATAATTTTTTGCCATTTATCAGCTATCCAAATTTTGTATTATATTGTGATTTCTGTTATAAATATATATTCACATTTATGCCCAATTTTATTTTCAAAATTTTTGATTTTGTTTCTTGAAGTGGCCTGTCTAAATTTGAAAGGCTTCAGGTTTTATGCAAACCCTATAATTTGAAGGAACAGCTGAAAAGGTTTACTGGTTGATTGAAGTGGGGCATGAGAAAAAGCAAGAACTTAAAAAGATTTACCAATGTTTCGGTCTGAGCAACTGGAAAGCTGGAATTGTCATCTGCAGATATCAAGAAGACTATGAAGGAGCATATTTGAGGAAATAATAAAAAATTCAGTTTTTAACATGTTATCCTTAAGGCATCTATTAGGTGGGGATGGCAGAGTTTAGAGTACAGGATAGAGGTTCAACTTGAACATGTAAGCCTGAGAAGCTTTAGCTTATTAATAGCATTTGAAGCCATGAGACTTGATGAGATACCATCATGTACCACCTAATGACATCTAACAAGGCCTAACCATGTTTCAGTCAACAACAAACCATATATACGATGGTGGTCGCATACAATTATAATGGAGCTGCAAAATTCCTATTGCCTATGAGCTTCAGAGTCTTCTTAACATTATGGCAGAAGCATTACTCACAGTTTTGCAGTGAGGTGGGTGTAAATAATTCTTCACTGCCAGTTATATAAAAATATAGCAAAAACATAGCACATTCAATTACACACAGTTTATATACTTAATAATGATGATAAATGACTATATTGCTGGTTTATGTATTTACTACACTGTACTGTTTATCATTATTTTAGAGTGTCCTTCTTCTACTCATTAAAAAAAAAAGTTAACTATAAAAAGCCTCAGGCAGGTCATTCAGGAGGTATACCAGAGGAGGGTATTGTTATCGTAGGAGATGACAGTTCTATGCCTGTTATTGTTCCAAAAGACCTTCCAGTAGAACAGGATGTGGAGGTGGAAGGCAGTGATATTGATGATCCTGATCTCATATAGGCCTAGGCTAATGTATGTGTTTGTGTTTTAGTTTTGTTGTTGTTGTTGTTTTGTTTTTTGTTTTTTTGAGACAGAGTTTCACTCTTGTCACCCAGGCTGGAGTGCAGTGGTGCTATCTAGACTCACTGCAACCTCCGCCTCCCAGGTTCAGGCGATTCTCCTGCCTCAGCCTCCCAAGTAGCTGGGATTACAGGCATGCACCACCATGTCTGGCTAATTTTTTATTTTTTAGTAGAGACGGGGTTTCTCCATGTTGGTCAGGCTGGTCTCAAACTCCCGACCTCAGGTGATCTGCCTGCCTTGGCTTCTCAAAGTGCTAGGATTACAGGCCACCGCCTCTGGCCTGTGTCTTAGTTTTTAACAGAAAAATTTAAAAAGTAAAAAATCAGAAAATAAAATTTTAAAAAATAGAAAAAGCTTATAGAATAAGGATATAAAGAGACAATATTTCTGTACAGCTGTACAATGTGTTTATGTTTTAAGCTAAAGGTTATAAAAGTCAACAATTATTTATAAAAACTTTATACAGTAAAAAACTTACAATAAGCGAAGTTTAATTTACTAAAAATGAAAGAAAATTTATTAAATAAATTCAGTGTAGCCTAAGTGTACGGTGCTTATAAAGCCTATACTAGTGTACAGTAATGTCCTAGGCCTTCACCTTCACTCACCACACTCACTCACAGATTCACCCAGAGCTACTCCCAGTCCTGCAAGCTTCGTTCATGGTATGGTCCTATCCAGATGTACCACTTTTTTTCTTTTATACCACATTTTATTGTACCTTTTCTGTGTTTAGCTACACAAATAATTACCATTGCGTTACAATTTCCAACAATTTTCAGAACAGTACCATGTGTTACAGGTTTGTAGCCCAGGTATGTAATAGGCCATACAATCTAGGTTTGTGTAAGTATGCTCTGTGATGTTTACACAATGATAAAATTACCTGAGAAGGCATTTCTCAGAATCTATCCCCATTGGTACGTGACACATGACAGTACATAGCAGATATGGAACACATAGTTGAATCTATAAATCTAACTATTAGGGAAGAGATTTGAGATAATGAAAACAATTTAAGAGTCATCAGCACAAAAACTTTTTATATGTCTGAATAAGACCATGATGAAGTGAAGATAAAGAGAAAAGAGAAGTGACTCCAGAACTGAGCCCTGCCTGGGTCATTCACTTGTTAAGGATGAAGGCAATGAGGAGGAATCAACACAGGAGAGTGAAAAAGGAGCAGTTAGAGGGGTCAGAGTAACACAGGGAGTGTGATGTCCTAATACACCACACATATGCCAAGAGAGTCTGAAAAGCTTTATTATTCCTATAATGTGGTTATCAAACTGATCCAAAGTGGCTTGAGAGCTGAGAAAAGAGAGTCGGTGGGGGAAACATTATGGCTAAGAGGTGGGGCTAGGTTGACACTTCCTAGACTTCCAAAGGTGTGAAACTCCCATTGGTGCCAAAGAACATAGCATGCAGGCTTTCTTATCAGCTTGCTCAGATGCAGAAAAAAAAAAAAAGGTGAAGCTTGTAAGGCACCACGGTGGCTTCAGGAGAGAATGCAATGAGGGAATTGGGAAATAATAGAAATGAATAATTCAGAATTTTCTGTAAAGGGAAGGAGAAAAAGAAAGAGGTGGTAGAAATAGGGTCAAACGGATATTTTAAGATGGAAAAAATAACAATAATTTGATAGGAGTTATGAGAAAGGAAAACCTTGATGCAGGAGATGGAGGCCAGAGTCGCTTGAGTGGGCAGAAGGGAGTGAGGCTGAAGTTCCTGAGTGACAGGGTGGAGCGTAGCGGCACAGAGTAGGTGGGGTTTGGATGAGCTGGGCGACAGCTTGTTGGAGCTGATTTCTGTTTTTTTCAGCTTTCTCCATGAAATAGGAAATTAGGTCATCATCTGAAAGCCAAGAATAAGGGTGTCACCTTAGGACAGAAAAAAAAAAGAGAGTAATAACCATCTTCGCTTTAGCTAATGGTACCTGGAAATTCACCCAGGCAATACAAAGAATGCTTTGACACTGTGAAAATCTCTTGCCTTGAGTTATTTCTAAGTTCCCTTCTGTACCATAGGAATAGCCATTCCTTATAGAGTACTTTCCAAAATGAGGCAGAAGCACCTGTACTTGTGTCAAAAAACAAACAAACAAACAAACAAACAAAAAAAACTTCTTTCTAAAGGATAAAACCTATTTTGTCCTTTGTAATTAGAAAGAAACCTTAGCAGGTTTTATATGAGATTCTACAAATTTTACCTACATTGATCCCCTTAAAGAAAAATGCATGACATATTTAAAATGCTATGCCTCAAGGTCACTGCCAAGCATTCTTATTTTATGTAGAGGTGCTATGTGCCTCTATTCAGATTTTATTTTGCCTGTTTGTTAACCTCCAGACACAAATGATTCTTTGGAAGGAACATCTTAAATTTTATATAGTTTTAGAGAGCCTTTTGCTTCCTTTCTTTTTCTCATACACGATCATCAACCTCTGAGTAATTGTAGTTTACAGACCAAAAGTAACATAAGCGTAGATATAAACATATATGTACCAACACATATATATTTAAATATTCACTATAACCCTCAAAAAAAGAGAGAGGCAGGATTTGCCCATTTGAATGCTAGAAGCATTCTGTATAGTGGATACCAAGAAATCATAAATTTATAATATGAAGCCATTGTGGCTTGAGGGATAAATATTCAGTACCTGGTATTACCTGATAAAGTCATACATATGTATAGCTCCATTTTATGTGATAATTACTGAATCTATCTTTAGCATCTGCTTTTACCAGATAAACTGAATGTATTATTTTGGATAAGGCAGTCACAATAATTCATAGCCTTGTGAAGATTTGGCAAATAAAGGGGTCATAAGAGAGAGAGAGGAAAGTTAACTATAAAATTTTATTAGAAGATTAATATAACAATTATCTGCATTATATACATTTTTAGAAATTGTAAATTGCATCTTTAAACTCCAGATTCTCTAGGAACAAAGTTAAAATAAAGCTTAACCCAAAGACATCTGGAGGATTTATGAATTATCCATTTTAGCCTTTGAATATTAAAGTGACTTTTATCACATTTCAAAATAGCTGTGCATCTCCTTTCCATTTACAAACAAATAACTCAATGTTTCTTTGATTTTGTTCAACTGCCTACTATCTAAAAGCAAGTGATAAGCTAAGAAATGTATTTTAATAATGAAAGAGATAAGCTGAAGAAGAATGTAGGCAGTTGTTCAGAGATATGGGTGTAATAAATCCACCTTCACATCTAGAGATTCTCTGCTTAGTATGATCAACTTTAAGGTGAATCTTTAAGCTGACTATATCCTCAATGCCACCTTATTTTTCCTTGGTATGGTTCAAGAGCACAGATCTCCCTGAGACATCATTATTTTCTTAAAATATTTTGAATGAAAATAATAACTCTTTAGGCTAACTCATACTAAAATTGAAATTCTTAGTTTTAATAGAATTTCTCATAGTTTTTCAGTATTAAAAAATTAGATGTAAAAGGAAAATTACTGCAAAATAAATGAATACTAAAAGAATTAGAAAAAATATAAATATTTATTCTTGAACTAGGGATGCTCATTCTAACCTTTAACATAAAGAAGTACATTGTAAAGAACTAATAGATTTTATATATAAAAGAAAATATCTACACATGGGAAACAAAGTTTATAAATAACCTTAGTAGATGAAGAATTTTTAAATATTAAGAAACAATAAACACACAAAAGTAGAAAAGAGTAGACAGGGTGAAAGAAAATCTCAAAAGAAGTAGGGATCTCCAATGAATGTTAAACTATATTCAACCTTCAATTCATCGAATAAATAAAAGTTAAAGCAAGAGTAGAGTAGCATGTTTTAAAATACTCATTTAGTAATGATCTTTCAAAGTGAAAATTAAAATGCATAGTATTCATTACTGGTCCAATCATATATTGTTAATGCATGATGCATAATGTTAAAACTTACAGAAAGACAATTTGTCAATACATATCAGCATGTTGCCATCTTTTGGTCTAATAACTATACTTGTAAATTTTTGTTTCAGGGGAAAATCAAAGATATACATAGTGATTTTATCTCTTGGTAGTTTTAAATTTATAAAATCCATATAGGGAAATAATTTTGTCTTTTGCTAATTTCTCCTCCCTCTCTTTCATCTACATACCTGCATACATGGATATAGGTATGTAATACACGTATGTAGGTATATAATCTGCTTCTGTCTTTCTGTTCTGTCTCTGTACACAGACACACATGCAATAGGTCACAATAGATGTATGTATGTACATTTATATATTATACAAGATGAATATTTTGACATATTTGAAACATGTATGTATATATGTATATGTATATACATACATGCATATAATACTGTATCATATACACACATAAATACTCACAGTGTAGGTAAGTACATTTTATGTTACTGATAAGAAGTTCAACAGTTTTGCCTACTGTGACATTGGACTTTTCTACTATCCTCAAAACTCTGTATTCTTTCCTTATAAGTTTCAAAGAATCCATCAAACAAAACTCTAATTATTGCTTGCTTTATTTATTTATTTATTCACTTATTTATTTATATTCCTACTCTGTGCCAGGCACTCTGCTGTACATTGGTAATAGAGTATTGAATTAGACAACGAGCTTCCTTGCCCTTCTGCATTGTAGGTATTGAAATTATAAGTGCAAGAACGTTCATGAAGGAGATTTTCAGGGTGCTATAGTATCATTAAATAGAACCGAAGTAGTGATGGAGAGGGAAGGTTTGCATGAAGAAACAGCATTAAACTGAATATGAAGTAGATACATGGGGCTTGGGCACTAGAAATTGCAAAAGATGAAGGTTATGATAAGCACAAAGAAATTCCAGTGGAGGTACTAGCCCTTGGCTTCAAGAGTAGAAACAGAAGGATAAAGAGACCTGTATGGTTGAATCTTAGGAAGGAAGAGAAAGCAAGGTAACAGTAGAGCGTCATGACAACACACAGATAATTAGGGGCCGGATCATGTAGGAATTAGGTGATAAAGGTTTAGGTTTTATTTAAATTGTAATGGAAATTTATTGAAGATTTATATATAAAAAACTAAAAATGTAAAAATTTACCTTATAAATATTTTTCAGAATTTTGGAGAACAATCTGAAATGATCACAACAATCCAAAAAAAGAATGGTTGTGATTTGGGCTAGTGTGATGGAACTGTGAATAAAGACAAGTGGACAAATATGACCCAAATTTTGGAGAAATAAACAGTGGTACTTATTCTTGAGGTGGGTAAAGGTAGGAAAAGGAAACTGAAAAATGAAGCAGGAATCTAAGGATTCTCTTTTGAGCAACTGGGTACCTATAATTTCTCTTTGCTGACATGTGGAAGATTGTAAATATTAGGGATAATAAATATCAGGAGTTCAATTTTGGTCATTTTAAATCTGAAATTCTTGTGAAACATCCAAGGTGACATGTCAAGATTGTAGCATATCTGGAATACAAAGTAAACATTTAAATTGGAATATGTATCTGTGAATATTATCATTTTTAGCATCATAGGTATAAATGAGGCCATCTAGACAGAAAGTTTTTAAAAAACTGCAATAACTAGGTCCTAAATTCCTTAACTTAGAAACTTACGAAAATACAGACATGTAACCTCAACACTCTGAATCTCTTCTTCAGTCAGTCTAGGTTTCAGGGTCCAGGAATATGTAGTTTTTAGAAAAGTTCCCAGGCTCACTGAATAAATCTTAACAACATGATTGTAAATATGTAACAAACATCAAAAACTTTTGATGCTAAATTAACCAATTATTTATCACAGTGAAACATATTTAACATGTTTTACTCTAAATTTGACAGACAAAAGAAAAAAATTAGCTGTATTGGCAAATATATAAACAAGGTAATTCACAAACTTTGAATACGTGTATAAAATCTGAACACCTCCCCCAAATTGAATAAACATTCCTTTTTAGCCTCTATTAATTATTAAATTTGAATTTACTCAATATAAGACTACAGATAAAGACAAAAAATTGCCAAAGATACAGGTAATAAGATTCTGTTCTATGATCACATGCAATAAAATTAGAAATTAAAGCCAGAAGACAGCAAAAGTAAAAATTAATCACTTCTGGCCAACTCTTGAATTAAAAAAGAAAACGTAATTGAAATTACCAAGTGTGTAGACTTGAAAATCAACAGAAGTGTTACCTACTAAAAACATGTAGGATGCAATTCAAGTAATATTTAGGGGAAAATTTATAACCTTGAAAGCATTAATCATTAATCCAGTTATATGAAAATAAATGAACTATTCAAAAGAAGCTAGAAAAATTTTCAAATTACTCAGTAAACTAAAAAATATGGCAGAAAGCACAACTAAGGGTAAAAGTAAATATTAATAAAACAAGAAAGAAAGAAGTGATCAATACAATTAAATGCTAATTATTTTGAAATACAAATAAAATAGACCCATATCTGGATAGACTCATCAAAAAATCATAAGTAAACAATGATTAAAATTGGAAAACTGACAAAATTTGCATTTAGAAGAGATTTTTAAAGAGTATATCAAAACATTTTGAAGAAATATGAGCTAATTTTGAAAAGAGATGAATGCTTTATTAGAAAGAAATTAATTACCAAAATTTAAAAAGATAATAATTAATTTATAAATTAAAATTATAATTTAACATAATGTCATGAGTCCTAAGTAATGTTTTTAGATGGTTTGAGCAAAAATACGAACATGAATAGTTTCTTTCTTCTGCAGATTTTTCTAGACTTTGAAAAAATTGGGACATCTATTCAAATGATTTTAATAACCTATTAGGACATTAAAATTGACATTTGACAAAGGCAGTGTAAAAAAAAACAAGAAGCATTGTTATTTGAAAATAGATGAAAAATCATAAATGAAATCAGCATATTTCTTAAGCAAATAAGAGTGAATGACCCTAATAGCATGAGGAAACTTTCAAAACAGAAGGAGCAGCTGGGGTATGATTTTCCCTACTTCACTCAAAAAAATACCAAGGATATAGATTATAAGATCCTGTTTTATGAGGGCAATACAATAAAATTAGAATCTGTCAGGATTTATCAGGGCTGTGTGTCAGAATTTAAGAGAGAGACATTGGCTCTTTCTTGGACTGTGAGGTTTTATAAACTGCATGATTATGAATAAGACAGGGTAAACCCTAGCCTGACCAAGCTTGGTACAGGCTAGAAGCTTTTTGCTCACAGCTGTAGAATATGGAGAAACCTTGACTTCCATCCCTGTTCCCCAACTTCAGCAGTCATTGCTGGGATAACATTAGCTCCTTTCCTGGAGTTCCCTGGGATTACAGCCCAAGTATTACAGTTGCAGCTGTATGATAACAACATAGACAAATAGCTTCCAGTCCTGATGAGCCACATCAGCATTCTACCAGGTTTGATAGCCTACCATACTTGTTTTTTGCATATTTTTATAGAAAAAGTTTGAGTTCACAAATTATTCTCTTCTGCAAGAGACCAGACCACTTTCACCAAGGCTAGTTTGCAAGGGAGTTGTTTTGGACGGATTAATGGTTACCTTATAGTCTGTCACCCTTTGAACTGGTGATCTCTGTGCATCACAGCCCACTTTGTCAGCATTACCTATCATCTCAGCCCATTGGATATGCAAGGCTAGTTGCTGACTTCCTCAAGAAGACACAGCAGGAATAATTGGTTGCTGCCTAGGAAAAAATGGTCATCAATAATACCTGAAACTCTCTCAATAATATGGAATAATACCATGTCTGATACCATGTAGTACTATCACTACTATTCCACAGGAAGTTTTTTTGTTTGTTTGTTTTTACATCATGGCCAGAGGGTAGTCATGAAAACTTGGAAGTGGGGCCCAGATAACTTGGAGTGGCTGTGTGATGAAGGTCTGAGAAAATCTCTCAAACCTTCTCCAAAATCTAGAAAATTATTGCCATTCTCTATGATGAGAGATGTGTTCAACATGGCATGCTAACTCTGGAGATCTGAAGTCTATTTTTGGCACCGGTTTGTTTCACGGAAACGGCAGTATGGCCTGATGGAACGTGCCAGGAGGTTGGTAGGATCTTAAAGTAAGGTTGCATTTTAAAAGGTATTGAAATGAGTACAGTTCTCCCTTGCCTTATTTAGTACCTAATGAAAATATAGCATCATGAAGTATTAATGGAAAAACTCAGCCTCTATGAGCATGCACAACAAATCCAGAGCAATCTGGATGACAGTCTTCCTGGAAGGATCCAAATGAAAGACTGTTAATATGTACAACTCTCATTCCCTGCCTCTCCTTTCTCTGGGAAACATTTATTTCTAGAAGCATCATACCTTCTGTCTCATACCTGGGTGATCACCTTAGCAATTACTCAGAACTAGTAGTCACATTCTTCACCCACGTGGTCCTGTGGTAGTTCAAGTTTATTTATTTTGTACCCACACAAAAGTAATGACAGCCAGCATAATATCTGTGAGTCAGAATATCTGAGTTGAGACAGGGTAGGAGTATCAAGTATTGCTTCACACTGGGGCCACCGTAGAAAGTCAGGAGAAAGCAGCACCTTCAAGTTGATGTCATCTACCTTTTGACAAACAATAGAATCTAGTATTTCCAAATGCCTGAGACAATGAAATTGGAAGAAAATAGGAAAAGTGAGATCATTCATATATTTCTACTACTTAAACTTCTGCCATTTCTCTACTTCTGGGCCCCCAAGAGATTGCAGAGAGAGAGAGAGAGAGAGAGAGAGAGAGACAGAGAGAGAGAGAGAGAGAAATTCTTGCAAAGGATGACCTTATTCAGGGCGTGTGTGGTTTAAGTGTCCCAGTGGAACCTCCAGTCCTACCAGTGAGTGGCAAATGCAGGGTCAGCACAAATGCTTTCTGAGGTAAATTCTCCAGAGTTGTATTGCCCTTGTGTTTTGTAAGTGGTGTCAACAGACTAGTCCTAAGCTGTTTAGATGATATCTACTAATCCCAGTAGATAACTGAGTCATCCCTCTAAGGCAGAGGTCCCCAAACTTCTTGGCACCTGGGACCTGCTTCATGGATGACAGTTTTTCCATGGATGGTCTATGTGTGAGGGAGATAGTTTCAGGATGAAGCTGTTCCATCTCATAAGGAGCACACAACCTAGATCCATCGCATGCACCATTCACAATAGGGTCCACACTCCTGAAATAATCTAAGGCCACTGCTAATCTGACAGGAGGCAGAGCTTAGGTGGTAATGCTTGCTTGCCCACCACTCACCTCCTGGTGTGTTGCCCAGTTCCTAACAGGCCATGGACCAGTGGGGGTTGAGGACCACTGCTCTAAGGTTTCAGTGGTGTGTGTGTGTGTGTGTGTGTGTGTGTGAATTCACTCCTCTTGCTTCTATAGTTGAGTCTCCAGTTCAACACAAATAATTAGATACTCTAGACTCCTGAAGTCCTAGGGCAGTTGACTTGAAATATCTTGGAGACCACAGTGTGGAAACATGTACTTGAATTACACTAATTCCAATGAGATTAGATTTCATGATGTAAAGAAATTTTGCAGATGAAATTAAGGTCCTATTTCATTAGCCTCATGAAATTGGCTAATCACATGAGGTTTCCAACCTTAATAACCTTAAATAGGGTTATTATCTAAATGGACTAATCACATGAGGCCACATGAGGTCAAAAACAAGAACTGGCCTGTAATCCCAGCACTTTGGGAGGCTGAGGTGGGCGGATCACGAGGTCAGGAGATCGAGACCATCCTGGCTAACACGGTGAAACCCAGTCTCTACCAAACATAGAAAAATTAGAGGTGCGTAGTGGCGGGTGCCTGTAGTCCCAGCTACTCGGGAGGCTGAGGCAGGAGAATGGAGTGAACTCAGGAGGCGGAGCTTGCAGTGATCCGAGATTGCACCACTGTACTCCAGCCTGGGTGACAGAGCCAGACTCCATCTCAAAAAAAAAAAAAAAAAAAAAAAAAAAAAACAATAACTCAGAAATCTGAAGCATGAAAAGGATTTGATGTGCCATTACTGGCTTGAAGATAATGGGGAATATATGGCAAGGAATGGCAGTCGGCCACTAGGAGCTCAGGGCAGTTTCCAGCTGACAGCCAGCAAGAAAATGGGTACCTCAGTACAACAATATCTAGGAACTTAATTCTTCCAACAAGAAGCATAAACTTGAAAGTGGATTTTTCACCAGAGAATTTAGATCAGAAATCAGTCCACACAACACCTTGATTTCAGCCTTTGAAATGCCCTGATGCCATACATTATGCCATGCTGGGTTTCTGACCTATGAATTGTGAGCTAATGAATGGACGTTGTTTTCAGCTACCAAGTTAGTGGTACTTTGTTATGAAACAAAAGCAAACTAGCACAAAGCAATATTATAAGAACAATATTTCCACTCAAATTTCATAAGTAGTTGGGGAGGGCAAGATGGCCGAGTAGATGGAAACAAGTGGAACAGCTCCCATGGAGGGAGTGAGATGACTGGTATGCTGTTAATAAATCTTCAGAGGGAAGGCATTGAGAGTGGATGGAGGGAAGACACAGAAGCTAGGCTGAAGGGGGAGAAAGCTGGGAACCCCACATGGGCTACCATACACTGGGACTCATTTTTGAGCTGCAACAGCTCCAGGGGAATGGGTGAACTGAACTGGCAAGGAGTAACCTGCTGCTGCCACAGGCCTCTGGAATCATGCAGGAGGGGACGCCTCAACCACTCATGAACACTTGAGGTGGCAGAAAAAACTGCTTAGAGAAGTGGTGAGGCAGCAAGCCACCTGATGTGGAGCCCAGAGGGTTTGGTGAAGGAGTGTTTGTAGTGGAATGTATCCAGGCTATCCCTCTAGGCTAGATTTGCTCCCAAAAAAGACTTTAGCCCTAGGGGAATAGTCAGACCTGATCTCTGCAGGGCATTCTTGCACATCACATGGGGCTGGTATGACCGGAGCACTCCTTGGTCTTCTGGTTTCTCCCAGGGAATCATTCTGGCCACACCTGCTTACACAGCAGTCTCTGGTGCCTGGGGTTTCACACCATAGCTTCTGCACCAGCAAACCATACCTGACCAGTGGAGGGCTCCAATGAGGTGGTTTCTATGGCTGCACACCAACCTGCACTTTCCCTCTCCATATTGCAGCTTCCCCAGCCCACTCCATTTCCCACATCACTTTGCTGACACATGTCTACACAGGCAGGTTTTGCTTTACTTGCCCTACCAGCATGTGGGTGTACAGTATGCTCCCCACCCAACCCTTGCTGACACCATTGTAGATGGAACCTTTGTGGGCACAGACCCAGCCAACCTCACCCATGCCTGTGCCCCACCATTGAACTAAAACCAAGCAAAGAACAGAAGATCCTCCCACACCCTGAGTGATCACTTCTGTTCGTGGGCACAGAGAACACACCAAGACATGCACTGGCCAGCACCCCACACCAATCCAACACCACCTCCAGTGCGACAGTGCACACATTCTCCAGCAGGGCCACCCACCCTGGCTTGCCCCACAGCTACCTGACCTGAGCCACTGCCGTAAACACCTGCAGGGAGGCAGGCACCCCTGTATCTACTAGCACTCTGTTGTAGCTGCTGCACCTCAGCCCCCACTATTGCAGTGGTCTCCAAACCTCGACCAGCCAGAGAACAAAGTCAGGCCCCAACATAAGAGTATGCAGTTTAGGAGTTGGGAGCTGAGCGCTGGCCCAGTAAAATCTCCCAGAAAGGAAGCCAGTTTGATGAATCCACGTTATACCCCAATCAAACCCTCCAGGTCATCAAAAGGATTAAAAGACAACCCTTTGAAGGTAAGCAAACTCAAAGATTGAAGGTAGAAAAGCCCACAAAGATGAAAAACTCGAAAAGCCAGAGTGCCTTTTTGCCTCCAAATGACCATATTACCTCTCCAACAAGGGTTTGGAACTGGGCTAAGGCTGAGATAACTGAAAAGAAAGAAATAGAATATAAAGAATAATGTTCATTGAGCTATAGGAGTACGTTGTAACCCAATGCAAGGAAGCTAAAAATCATGACAAAAAAATGGAGGACCTGACAGACAAACTAGACAGTATAGAGAAGAACATAATTGATCTGATATAGATGAAAAATACATTACAAGAATTTCATAATGCAATCACAAATATTAACAGCAGAATAGACTAAGTGGAGAAAAGAAACTCAGAACTTGAAGACTGACTTTCTGAAACAAGACAGACAAGAATAGAGAAAAAAGAATAAAAGGGAATTAACAAAACCTCTGAGAAATATGGGATTATGTAAAAGGACCTAATCTATGACTGATGGGTGTACTTGAAAAAGATGGGGAGAAAGGAACAACTTGGAAAAGATATTTCAGTATATTATTCATGAGAACTTCCCCAACCTTACTAGAGAGGCCCACACTCAAATTCAGAAAATGCAGATAATTCTGGTAAGATACTTCAGAAAAGGATTATCATCAATAAACATGATTATTAGATTCTCCAAGGTTGAAGTAAAAGAAAAAAATATTAAAGGTAGCTAGAGAGAAAGGTCAGGTAACCTACATAGAAAAGTCCATCAGACTAACAGTGGACCTCTCAGCTGAAGCACTGTAAGCCAGAAGAGATTGGGGGCCAATATTCAATATTCTTAAAGAAAAGAAATTCTAACCCAAAATACCATGTCCAGCCAAACAAAGCTTCATAAGCAAAGAAGAAAAAGATATTTTTCAGACAAGCAAATGCTGAGGAAATTTGTTACCACTAGATCTGCCTTATAAGAGTTCCTGAAGAAAGCACTAAATATGGAAATAAAAGACCATTACCTGCCACTATAAAAACATATTAAAATACACAAACCAGTGACACTATAAAGCAACCACATAAGCAAGTCTACAAAACAATCAGCTAACATCATGATGACAGGATCAAATCCACACATATCAATATTAACATTAAACAAAAATGGGCTAAATGCCCCAATTAAAAGACACAGAGTGTCAAGCTGGATAAAGAACCAATACTCATTGGCACGTTGTCTTCAAAAGAGCTATCTCACATGGAATGACACACATAGACTCACAATAAAGGGATGGAGAAAAATCTAACAAGCAAATGGAAAATAGGTTAAAGCATGGATTGCAATCCTAGTTTTGGACAAATCAGACTTTAAACCCACAAAGAACATAAAAGACAAAGAAGGGCATTACATAATTGTAAAGAGTTCAATTCAACAAAAACATCTAACTATTCTAAATATATGTGCATCCAACACAGGAGCACTCATATTAATAAAGCAAGCTCTTAGAGACCTTCAAGGAGACTTAGACTGCCACACAATAATAGTGGAAGACTTTAATACCACCACTGACACTATTAGACAGATCATTAAGACAGAATGTTAACAAAGATATTCAGGACCTGAACTCAGCACCGGATCAAATGGACCTGATGATATCTGTGGAATTCTCCACAAAGCAAAAAACAAAATACAAATCTCATCAAAACATGGCATACTCTAAAATCAACCAAATAATTGAAAGTAAAACATTCCTCAGCAAATGCAAAACCAAAGTGCAATCAAGTTAGAAATCAAGATGAAGAAATTCACTCAAAACCATACACTAACATGGAAATTGAATAATCTGCTCCTGAGTGACTTTTAGATAGATAATGAAATTAAGGCAGACATCAAGAAGTTCTTTGAAGCTAATGAGAAAAAAGAAACAACATACTAGAACCTCTGGAACACAGCTAAGGCAGTGTTAAGAGGAGAATTCATAGCACTAAATGCCAACAAAAGTTAGAAAGATCTCAAGTTAACAATCTAACATTACAACTGAAAGAACTAGAGAAGAAGAGGGAACAAATCCCAAAACTAGCAAAAGACAGGAAATAACCAAAATCAGAGCTGAACTGAAGGAGATCTATTAGTTTGTTCTCACACTGCTAATAAAGACATAACAAGACTGGGTAATTTATTAAGGAAAGAGGTTTAACTGACTCACAGTTCCACGTGCCTGGGAAGGCCTCACAATCATGGCAGAAGGTGAATGAGGAGCAAAGTCACATTTTACATGGCAGCAGGAAAGAGATTTTGCAGGGGAATTCTCATTTATAAAACCATCAGATCTCATGAGACTTATTCAGTACCACTAGAACAGTATAGAAGAATCTGCCCCCATGATTCAATTATCTCCACCTGGCCCCACCGTTGACACATGGGGACTTTTACAATTCAAGGGAGATTTGTGTGGTGACACAGCCAAACCATATCCGGAGATGAGGACATGAAATCCATTCAAAAGATCAATGAATCCAGGAACTGGTTTTCTGAGAGAGAAAAAAAAAAAAATGGATAGACCACTAGCTAGAAAAATAAAAAAGAGAAGAGTCAAACACCATCAGAATTGACAAGGGGGATATTAGCACTGACCCTACAAAAATGCAATCAACAATCAGAGAATATAATGAACACCTCTATGCATATAACCTAGAAAATCTAGAAGAAATGAATAAATCCCTGAGAATATACACCCTTCCAAGTCTGAGCCAGAAAAAAATTGAAACCCTGAATAGACTAATAACAAGCTCTGAAATTGAGGCAGTAACAAATGGCCTACCAACCAAATAAAGCCCAGGACCAGATAGATTCACAGCTGAATTCTGCCAGATGTACAAAGAAGAGGTGGCACCATTCCTACTGAAACTACTCCAAAAAAAATTATGAGGAGGGACTCCTGCCAAACACATTGTATGAGGTCAGCACCATTCTAATATCAAAACCTAGCAGAGATGGAACAAAAAAAGAAAATGCCAAGCCATATCTTTAATTAACATCAGTGCAAAAATCCTCAACAAAATACTGACAAACAAAATGCAGCAGAACATCAAAAAGCTTATCCACCATGATCAAGAAGGCTTTATTCCTGGGATGCAAGGTTGGTTCAACATATGCAAATCAATAAATATGATTCATTACATAAAGAGGAATAAAAACAAAAACTACATGATTACCTCAATGGACACAGAAAAGGCCTTTGAGAAAATTCAACATCCCTTCATGTTAAAAACTCTCAATAAGCTAGGTATTGAAGGAACAGAACAAAACTATTTTAAAATCAACAAGAAACCAAAAAGCCTGAATAATCAAGATAATCTCAGGCAAAGAAAACACAGCTGGAGGCATCATGCTACCCAACTTCAAACTATACTACAGGGCTACAGTAAACAAACAGCATGGTACTGGTACAAAAACATGCACATAGACCAATGAAATAAAATAGAGAACCCAGAAATAAGACCCCACACCTAAAACTATCTATTCTATGACAAACCTGACAAAAACAAGCAATGGTGAAAGGATTCCCTCCCTATTCAGTAAATCATACGGGGATAACTGGTGGTCATATGCAGAAGATTGAAACTGAAACTTTTCCTTACACCATATACAAAAATTTACTCAAGATGGATTAAAGGCCTAAAATAAAACCCCATATTATAAAAACTCTGGGAGACAACCTTGACAGTATCATTCAGGACATAGGTATGGGCAAAGATTCATGAAGATAATGCCAAAATCAATGGCAACAAAACCAAAAATTTACAAATGGAATCAATTTAAACCAAAGAGCTTCTGCACAGCAAAAGAAACTATCAACAGAGTAAACAGACAGCCTACATGATGGGAGAAAAATTTTGCAAAGTATGCATCTGATAAATGTCTAATATCCACAGCATGTAAAGAACTTAAATGTACAAAAAGAAAACAAACACTCAAATTAAAAAGTTAGCAAGGGACATGAACAGACACTTTTCAAAAGAAGGCATACATGCAGCCAACAAACATATGAAAACAAGCTCAACATCACTGATCATTAGAGAAATAAAATCAAAATCATGATGAGATACCATTTCACACCAGTCAGAGTGGCTACTATTAAAAAGTCAAAAAATAACAGGTGCTGCATGGAGAGAAAGGAATGCTTATACACTGTTGGTGGGAGTGTAAATTAGTTCATACACTGTGGAAGACAGTGTGGCAATTCCTCAAAGTCCTAAAGGCAGAAATACTATTTGACCCAGCAATCTCATTACTGGTTACACAAACAAAGGTATATAAATCATTCTATTATAAACATGCATGCAAATGTCCATTACAGCACTATTCACAAAAATGTGGAATCAACCTAAATTCCTGATATGGTTTGGCTGTGTCCCTGCCCAAATCTCATCTTGAATTTTACGTCCATAATTCCCACGTGTTGTGGGAGAGACCTGGTGAGAGATAACTTGAATCATGGGGATGGTTTTGTCCATACTGTTCTCGTGGTAGTGAATAAATCTCACAAGATCCGATGATTTTATCAGGGTTTTCTGCTTTTGCATCTTCCTCATTTTCTCTTGCTGCCACCATGTAAGAAGTGCCTTTTACCTCCCATCAAGATTCTGAGGCAACCCCCCCAGTCATGTGGAACTGTAAGTCTAATTAAACCTCTTTTTCTTTCCAGTCTCGGGTATCAGCAGTGTGAAAATGGACTAATACAGTAAATTGGTACCAGTAGAGTGGGGCACTGATGAAAAGATACCTGAAAATGTGGAAACGACTTTGGAACTGGGTAACAGGCAGAGGTTGGAACAGTTTGGAGAGTGCAGAATAAGACAGGAAAATGTGGGAAAATTTAGAACCTCCTAGAGACTTGTTGAATGGCTTTGACAAAAATGCTTATAGTGATATGAAAAATAAGGTCCAGGCTGAGGTGGTCTCAGATGGGATGAGGAAATTGCTGGGGACTGAAGCAAAGGTGACTCTTGTTATGTTTTAACAAAAAGGCTGATGGCATTTTGCCCTTGTCCTAGACAGTTGTGAAATTTTGTATTTGAGACATGACTTAGGGCATGTGATGGAAAAAAAAAAATCTAAATGGCAAAGCATTCAAGAGGTGACTTGGGTGCTGTTAAAAGCATTCCATTTTAAAAGGAAAACAGCATAGAAGTTTGGAAAATTTGCAGCCTGATGATGCAATAGAAAAGAAAAAAACTTTTTTTGAGGAGAAAAGTCAAGCTGGCTACAGAAATTTGCACGACTAACAAGGAGCCAAATGTTAATTCTGAAGACAATGAGGAAAATGTCTCCAGGCCATGCCATAGGTCTTCAAGGCAGCCCCTTCCATCACAGACCCAGAAGCCTAGGAGGAAAAAATGATTTTGTTGGCTGGGACCAGTGTCCTTGTGCTGTGTGTAGCCTGTGGACTTGATGCCCTGCGTGCCAGCCACTCCAGCCATTGCTAAAAGAGGCCAAAGTACAGCTCAGCCCATGTTTACAGAGGATGCAAGCCCCAAACCTTGACAGCTTCCATTTGGTGTTGAGCCTGTGAGTGCACAGAAATCAAGAATTGAGGTTTGGGAAGCTCCACCTAGATTTCAGAAGATGTGTGGAAATGACTGGATGCCCAGGCAGAAGTTTGCTGCAGGGGTGGGGACTTCATGGAGAACCTCTGCTAGGGCAGTGTGCAAATGACATGTGGGGTTGGAGCCCCACACTGAGTCCCTACTGGGGCACTGCCTAGTGGAGCTGTGAGAAGAGGGCCACCATCCTCCATACCCAAGAATGGTAGATCCATCGACAGCTTGCATTGTATGCCTGGAAAAGCCTCAGACACTCAATGCCAGTCACGAAAGCAGCCAGGAGGGGGGCTATACTCTGCAAAGCCACAGGGGCAGAGCTGCCCAAGACTATGAAAACCTACTTCTTGCATCAGCGTGACCTGGATGTGAGACATGGAGTCAAAGAAGATCATTTTGGAGCTTTAAAATTTGACTGCATTGCTAGATTTTGGACTTGCATGGGCCTTGTTTTGGCCAATTTCTCCCATTTGGAATGGTTGTATTTACCCAATACCTGTACCCCCATTGCATCTAGGAAGTAACTAGCTTGCTTTTGATTTTACAGGCTCATAGGCAGAAGGGACTTGCCTTGTCTCAGATGAAACTTTGGATTGTGGACTTTTGGGTTATTGCTGAAATTAGTCAAGACTTTGGGGGAATGTTGGGAGGGCATGACTGGTTTTGAAATATGAGGACATGAGATTTGGAGGGGCCAGGGGCAGAATGATATGATTGGCTCTGTGTCCCCACCCAAATCTCATCTTGAATTATACTCCCGCAATTCCCACGTGTTGTGGGAGGGACCTGGTGGGAGATAATTTGAACCATGGGTGCAGTTTCCCCCATATTGTTCTCATGGTAGTAACTAAATCTCATGAGATCTGATGGTTTTATCAGGGGTTTCTGCTTTTGCATCTTCCTCATTTTCTCTTGCCGTCACCATATAAGAAGTGCATTTCATCTCCTGCCATGATTCTGAGGCCTCCCCAGCCATCTGGAACTGTATGTCCAATTAAACATATTTTTCTTCCCATTCTTGGGTATGTCTTTATCAGCAATGTGAAAATGCTCTAATACAGTTCTCGTCAATGATAGACTGGATAAAGAAAATGTAGTACATATATACCATGGAATACTATGCAGCCATAAAAAAAGATCATTTTTTTTGCAGGACATGGATGGAGCTGGAGGTCATTATCCTTAGCAAACTAACACAAGATCAGACAACCATATACTGCATGTTCTCACTTATAAGAGGAAGCTAACTGATGAGAGCATATGTACACATAGAGAGAAACAATGCATCCTGGGGCCTATTGGGGAGTGGATGGTGGGAGGAGAGAGACATCAGAAAAAGTAACTAATGGGTACTAGGCTTACTACCTGGATGATGAAATAATCTGTACAACAAACCTACATGACCCAAGTTCACATGTGTAACCAACCTGCACATGTGCCCTTGAACTTAAAAGTTAAAAAAATTAATTAATTAATTAATATAACTGCATAAGTGGCAGTTCTAATCTATATGCAAACTTATAATTTAATAATACTAGTAAATTAATTATAAAAAATAAAGGGAAGTGCTAGGAAAAGGGATGATAATTGGAGGGTACAAAATCTGTCAGTATTCAGAAATTATTGTAAAGCTATAATAAAATTAGTATGATAAAATTGCTATATTAAAACAATAGACAAATATATGTATGTAGCATGACAAAGAGTTTCTAAACAGATAAATATGTATATGGGAATTTATATGTGCAGAATCAGCATGCAAATAAGTAAGGAAAGGACAAATTTTAAATAAAAAGTAAAAAAAGTAATTAAACTAAAAAATTAAACTAAAAAAAGTAATTAAATACTCATTTCACACATAATAAGTTCTAGATATTTTAAATATCTGCATTTTAAAAAACAAAGCCTTGAACTCTTACTAGAAATCTAGAAAATTTTTATGACATTCATGGTATAGGAAATAATTGCTAAGCTCATTTTTTCTCCCTTGCAAGGAAAATAAAGTCATATTCCATGAAGAAAGTTATTTATTAAATTTAACTATATAGAACTTAACATTTTACAAAAGTGCTACAAAGTAAAACATAAGTAAACAACAGAAAAAATATTTTTACAATATGTACACTAACAGATATGTATGTTTATATATATAAAAATATATATAAACATGTATTTTAATATATCTACATATTCTGCACATATATATGTATGTTTATATCATATATATGATACAAATGATATATACGAAATATATATTAGTATATATTCTGTACATACACATACATATATGTATATTTATGCATGTTTATATAATACAAATATGTATATTTAAATGTATCATATATATATCAAGAACAGCCAGTTGAAATAAAGTTGCTAAGAAAATGAATGAGCAATTTTACAGAAGGAAAGTGGGAATTGTTAAAATATGTATGCCTAGATGCTTAATAACCAGAATTAGGGAATTGCAAAATGAAATAAAAAGAGACACTTTTTACATGTCAGGTTGAAACAAAAAGTCTATAAATTCCAAGGATTTATAATGATGAAGTCTTAGAACTGCCAATAGGAGGGTACATTAGCATAACCTTTCTACCATCTAATGAGATACTTTCTAGTAGGATTAAAAATGGTCACACTTCCTGACTCAATAATTTATCTTCTAGATTTATAAGTTGGAGAATGTGTACTCAAAAAGTCACATGTACTCAAAATCTCATTTTCAAGAATAGTCAAAATTGTGTCTCTCATAAACATTAGTCGATATCCCAAACACTACAAGAAAAAGAAACACATAAAATATCACCTATTTATAAAATAGCATACTACACAACAGTAAAAACAAATTTTATCTACACGAGTAAATTGTTGAGTATTTTTGCCTTAAATATAAATTGGTGAATGAAGAAAGTAGAATTGAAGCTACTTGGAGAAATGGTTGATTCTAAGACTGGCACTAGATTTATATAAAAGAAGAAAGAATCATCTTGTAGTGCCAAAAAGTAAAGAAGTGAGAAGGAAGAAAGAAGGAAAAGAGGGAAGAAGAACTATAGTAATGAGTTTATATAAAAGGGACACAAAAGACAACTGAAAAACTGACTGAAGTTTGAATAATAGGAGCAACCAAATAATAAATGACTATTACCCCAAATATAAAACAAATATCCATCAATACATACTGTTATGGCTTGGCTCTCAGTCCCCAACCAAATGTCATCTCAAATTGTAATTCCCACATGCCAAGCAAAGGACCTGTAATCTCCACATGTCAAGGGAGGGAGGTAGTTGGATCATGGGGGCTGTTTCCTCCATGCTGTTCTTGTGATATTGAGTGAGTTCTCATGAGAACTCATGATTATTTTATATAAGTGTTTGGAAGTTCCTCCTTTATTCTCTCTCCTGCTGCCTTGTGAAGAAGATGCCTGCTTCTCCTTCTGCCATGACTGTAAGTTTCCTGAGGCCTTGCAAGTCATGCAGAACTCAATTTATCCACTTTCCTTTATAAATTACTCAGTCTCAGAGAAATTCTTTACAGCAGTGTGAAAATGGATTAATACAGTGAATTAGTACTGAGGTAGTGGGGTACTGTATAAAAGATAACCTGAAAATGTGAAAGCAACTTTGGAACTAGGTAACTGGCAGATGTTGGAACAGTTTGGAGGGCTCAGAAGAAGACAGGAAGATGTAGGAAAGATTGGAACTTCCTTGAAACTTGTTGAATGGTTTTGACCAAAATGCTGTTAATGATGTGGACAATGAAGTCCAGGCTGAGGTGGTCTCAGATGGAGATGAGAAACTTCTTGGGAACTGGAGCAAAGATCACTCTTGCTATGCTTTAGCAAAGTGAAGGGTGGCATTTTGCCTTGACCTAGAGATCTGTGGAACTCTGAATTTGAGAGAGATAATCTGAAATTAGAACATATGTTTAAAAGGGAAGCAGAGCACCAAAGTTAGGAAAATTTTCAGCCTGATAATACAACAGAAAAGAAAAAGTTCATTTTGGGGGGAAAATTTCTAGCTAGCTGCAGAAATTTGCATAAGTAACCAGGATCAAATGTTAATCACCAAGACAATGGGGAAAATGTATCCAGGGGATGTCAGAGATCTAGGTGGCAGCCCGTCCTATCACATCCCATAGGCCTAAGAAGAAAAAATAGTTCTGTGGGCCAAGCCCAGGGCCCTGCTGCAGTGTGCAGCCTCAGGACTTGGTGCCCTGTGTCCTAGATGCTCCATTTCTAGTTATGGCTAAAAGGGGCTAAAGTTCAGCTCAGGCCATTGCTTCACAGGGTACAAGCCCCAAGCATTCGTGGCTTCCATATGGTGTTGGGCCTGCTGGTGCACAGAAGTCAAGAATTGAGGTTTGGGAATTTCTGCCTAGATTTCAGAGGATGTATGGAAATGCCTGAATGTCCAGGCAGAAGTCTGCTGCAAGAGGCAGAGCCGTTATGGAGAACTTCTGCTATGGCAGTGCAAAAAGGAAATGTGGAGTTGTTGCCCCAACTGGGGCACTGCCTAGTGGAGCTGTGAGAAGAGGGCCACCATCCTCCAGACCCCAAAATGGTAGATTCACTGACAGCTTGTACCATGCACCTGGAAAAGCCACAGGCACCCAACACAAGCCCATGAGAGCAGTGTGGGAACTGTGCCCTGCAAAGCCACAGGAGTGAAGCTGCCCAAGGCTTTGGGAGCCCACATCTTGCATCAGTGTGACCTGGATATGAGACATGTATATCAGGCGAAATTCACCCCCAATATTTCACATAGATTCTTTTCTATTTTCCCTAAGTGTCAGCCGGTCTGAGAAATAAAAGGACAGAGTACAAAAGAGAGAAATTTTAAAGCTGGGTGTCTGGGGGAGACATCACATGCCGGCAGGTTCCGTGATTCCTCCCAAGCTGCAAAACCAGGAAGTTTTTATTAGTGATTTTCAAAAGGGGAGGGAGTGTGTGAATAGGGTGTGGGTCACAGAGATCACATGCTTCACAAGACAATAGAATATCAGTGCTTCACAAGGTAATAGAATATCACAAGGCAAATGGAGGCAGGGCGAGATCACGGGACCACAGGAATGGGGTGAAATTAAAATTGCTAATGAAGTTTCGGGCATGCATTGTCATTGATAACATCTTAGGAGACAGGGTTTGAGAGCAGACAACCGGTCTGACCAAAATTTATTAGGCGGGAATTTCCTCATCCTAGTAAGCCTGGGAGCGCTACGGGAGACGGGCTTATTTCATCCCACCCCTGCGACCATAAAAGACAGCCGCTCCCAAAGCGGCCATTTCAGAGGCCTACCCTCAGGGACACATTCTCTTTCTCAGGGATGTTCCTTGCTGAGAAAAAGAATTCAGCAATATTTTTCCCACTGGCTTTTGAAAGAAGAGAAATATGGCTCTGTTCCACCCGGCTCACCGGCAGTCAGAGTTTAAGGTTATCTCTCTTGTTCCCTGAACATTGCTGTTATCCTATTCTTTTTTCAAGGAGCCCAGATTTCATATTGTTCAAACACACATGCTCTACAAACAATTTGTGCAGTTAACGCAATCATCACAGGGTCCTGAGGCGACATACATCCTCCTCAGCTTGCGAAGATGATGGGATTAAGAGATTAAGGTAAAGACAGGCATAGGAAATCACAAGGGTATTGACTGGGGAAGCTATAAGTGTCCAAGAAATCTTCACAATTTATGTTCAGAGATTACAGTAAAGACAGGCTTAAGAAATTATAAAAGTATTAATTTGGGGAAATAATAAATGTCCATGAAATCTTCACAATTCACGTTCTTCCACCGTGGCTTCAGCCGGTCCCTCTGTTTGGGGTCCCTGACTTCCCGCAACACATGGAGTCAAAAGAGATTATTTTGGAGACATAAGATTCTAATGACTACCCTGCTAGATTTTAGACTTGCGTGGGGCCTGTGTCCCTTCCCCTTTGTTTTGGCTAATTTCTCCCATTTTGAATGTGAATGTCTATCCAACACCTGTACCCCCATTTTATATAGTATTTATTTCATTCTAATCAACAGAGGGACATTTTGCAAAATACCTGACCACTACTCCTCAAAATTACGATGACCTTTAGAAATAGGAAAGTCTGGCTGGGAAGACAGACTCACACCTGTAGTCATAGCACTTTGGGAGACTGAGGTGAAAGGATCACTTGAGGCCAGGAGTTTGAGACCAGCCTAGGTAACATGGAGAGAGCCTGTCTCTAAAACATTATAATAATAATACAATAAAATTAGTAGTGTGTGGTGGCATGTGCCTGCAGTCCTGGCTACTTGGGAGGCTGAGATGAGATAATCTCTTGAACCCAAGAGGTTGAGGCCACAGTAAATTGTGATCCACTGCATTCTAGCCTGGGTGACAGAGCAAGACCTCTTGTCTAATAAAAAAAGGAAGGAAGGAAGGGAGGAAGGGAGGGAGGGAGGGAGGGAGGGAGGAAGAATGGAAGGAAGGAAGGAAGATAGGAAAGTCCAATAAATTCTCACAGCCTAAAGTCATATGACAACTAAATAAAATGTAGTTTTCTGGAAGGGATACTGGAAAAGAAATAGGACATTAGATAAAAACTAAAGAAATTTGAATAAAATTATGGACTCTAGTTAATAATATTATATCAACATTGATTCATTAATTGCAATAAATGTACCATACCAATATTAGGTGTTAATAATAGGGAAAACTTGATGTAGTGTTTACGAAAATTCTCTGTACTATTCTCTCAATTTTTCTGTAAATCTAAAATTTATTTTAAAAATAAATTTATTAAAAAGGAAAAGCAGAAATAGGATGATTCTATTTTTTAAAAAGAAAGTGTAATAAAAGGCAAAATTATTTGAGGGTGTATTATTATATATTACATCACATTATATACTTCATGTTATATTATTTTGGTATCTTTTATTTTTAATCCTTCAAACTTAAAAAAAGTTTATATCTGAAGAAAAGGGAAGTTCTGTTGCGAGCACATGAAGTTGGATTATCATTGATGCAGACCATCACATAATTACTGACTTGATTTGTTTTATTTTAAAAATTTGGCAAATAATAATTGTACATATTCATGGGGTACATTGTAATGTTTCAATAGATATAATGTGTAGTGATCAGATCAGGGTAATTAGAATAGCCATTATCTTAACATTTATCATTTCTTTGTGTTGGGAATATTCAATATCCTCTTCCTAGCTATTTGAAAATATATAATATATTATTGTTAACTGCAGTCATCCTACAGTGCTATGAAACAGTAGAATTTATTCTACCTATCTAGCTGTAATTTTGTGCCTTTTAGCAAATCTCTCCTTATTCCTCTCCTTCCCAGCCTCTAGCCTTCTCCATTCTACCTTTTACTCTGAAGACCAACTTTTTTTAGTTTCCACATAGGAGTGAGAATGTGTGCTGTTTTCTTTCTGTTCCCAGCTTATTGCACTTAACATAATGCCCTCCAATTTCATCCATGTTGCCTTGAATGACAAGATTTTATTCTTTTTTGTGGCTGAAGAGTGTTCTATTGTATGTATATACCACATATTCCTAATCCGTTCATCTGTTGTTGGACACCTATGTTGATTCCATATCTTCCTATTGTGAAAAATGCTGCGATAATGGAAATGCAGATGTCACTTTGATATACTGATTTCCTTTCCTTTGGATAAATGCCCAGTAGTAGGATTGTTGGATCACATGGTTGTTCTATTTGTAATTTTTTGAGGAAACTCCATAATGTTTTCCATAATGGCTGTGCTAGTGTACATTCTACCAACAGTGTATAAGAGTTTCCTTTTTCACCAAAACTTGTTAGTTTTTGTCTTTTTAATAATAGTCATCCTAACTGGGGTAAGATACCACCCTAAACACATCTGATTTTCTATGACTTGATTTTATGTTACATGTCTTTTCCTTCTCATAGCCACGTATTTTAATTGTGATAAGGAATTCAAACAACTCTATTTAATATTTAGCTTTATAAGTAGCAGCTGGAACATCTTGGCAAATGGAGATGTGCCACAACTTCTTTGCCTTGCAGAATCTTTTCCAAAAAATAGAGTTCATAATAAGCCACCTCAAACCAGGCCATCAGGACTGCAGATTTTCGGATCCTAAAT
This sequence comes from Homo sapiens, assembly GCF_000001405.40. Taxonomy (NCBI): domain Eukaryota; kingdom Metazoa; phylum Chordata; class Mammalia; order Primates; family Hominidae; genus Homo; species Homo sapiens. The sequence continues at coordinate 167,492,695 of NC_000004.12, read as the reverse complement.
GCTAACAGGTAATTTTTGTCTACAAAAAAACTTAAAACAGCTGAAAGCCTACAAAGATATAATGATTTGGAAATAAAATTAGCATGTATTTATGCTATATTATAGATAATATGCCTAATTTCCTCCACTTTGTCTCTACACAGGTCAAGACTGTGCACCCCAGAAGTATGAAAGAAGCAAAAGTGCTCTTTGTTCTCTTCTTATATTCGTTATTCAAACTCACTTTCTACATACAGATGGCAGAAAGCATCTGGTTAATGGGACCTCTATGTAGTTTTTAAAAGGTTCCAAGAGTCTTTTCAAAAAGGGGTAGTAGCAGGGTGCCCAGCTTTCTGTAAAAAAAGAAAACAACAACAAAAATGAGTGGTATAAAGAATCCAGAGAAGGAAGAGGAACCAGAGGAACACACTGAAAGTACAAAGCAGTGGTTATTCAGTCACTACAGAGACAGTTCTGCAAAAGTGATAATGTGGTAATTATTTAAGACTGTGCTAAGTGGACTTGACAGGTAATTACTAATGACATTCTTGTTGTTATGGCCCAATGGGGAATACAGATAACCTGATGCAAGTCATTTGACTAAAAACATCTGGTTAAAGATCATTATTCTCTGACCGAGTTGGCACATAATATTAATTAGAAACCAAAGGGGTGAATGGTTCTGTATATTACCAAAGCAATACAATAGCCAGTCCTTCCAAATCTGCAAGTTGGTTCACTGGTTCAACCTCATCTTGCTTTCCTTCAGTCGTAGTGAGAAATTAGCTTCAAGAACTCATGAGAGAAAAAAGTCAATTTTCTAAAGCAAAGTTTTGTGCATTTATGAAACCTTAGAGGAAAACCTATTTATTTACAACAGTGGTTCTTAACCTTTTTGTAAAAGATGACAGACCTGTTAGAGAATGTGATAAAAGATATGGTAACTTTCTCTGTTGTCTATAAAATGAGTGCACATACGAACCTTTAGTGTTTCACAAACAATATCTTGGGGATCATTCAGGCACTAAGAAATCACAGGTTAAAAACATAATTTTTAAAAACATTTGAAACCAGGAAACTATTGCAGCCTATTACTACTTCTACAATGGTACAAGTGTTTCTACAATCTTAAATAAAAATAATTGTGAAAACAAGTACAATGCTGCATATTGTTATTAATTTATATAAAACATTTAGACACAGATTAAATTTAGCGTTTAAAAGGTGGAACATATATTGGTTTGGTGATAGAGAGCAACAAATTGTACTGAAAGCTTTAAAATATGGAAGGGAGACTGTCTCAGGAAAATAACTTTTCACTTGAAATTGGAAGTGAATAGGAGCAATGAGTTTGCTAAATAAATTATAAATATAATAAAGAAAATATGTAGGGATATTTTAAGTAGCTTATGAAACATATCAGAGAATAAGATAAATATTTTTATTCCATAAAGTGTTATTATGGCAACACAACAAATTTATAGGTGAAAGGAGATTGCTGAACCTAAGCAGAAAACAGATGTCAATAAGTCTTTTTAGATATATATGTTTAATTATTTTAAACATATGTTTAAATTATATGTGTTGAATTATTTTAAACATATGTTTAAATTTTATATGTTTAATTATTATAATTATTCTAATCTAAATTTTATTGTACAGATTGAATAATATCTTTTTTTATTTCTGAATTGACAGATATTTATGGAATGCTTGTGATATGCCTACCTAAAATAAATCGATTCGTACTCCAGGAGGAGATAATAGTAAATTATTAAACAAAATGTATAGTTGTTTTTTTCATGGAACATTCATCAAGCTTCCATGTTAGAAGAGGTGGCAGAGTTAGGGGCTTCTTGTGATCTGATCTTAGCCTACCTTTCTAACCTTTTTCTTTTTTTTTTTTTTGTTATTATACTTTAAGTTCTAGGGTACATCGTGCACAACATGCAGGTTTGTTACATATGTATACATGTGCCATGTTGGTATGCTGCACCCATTAACTCGTCATTTACATTAGGTATATCTCCTAATGCTATCCCTCCCCCCTCTCCTCACCCCATGACAGGCCCTGGTGTGTGATGTTCCCCACCCTGTGTCCAAGTGTTCTCATTGTTCAATTCCCACCTATGAGTAAAACATGCAGTGTTTGGTTTTCCGTCCTTGCGATAGTTTGCTCAGAATGATGGTTTCCAGCTTCATCCATGTCCCTAGAAAGGACATGAACTCATCCTTTTTTATGGCTTCATAGTATTCCATGGTGTATATGTGCCACATTTTCTTAATCCAGTCTATCATTGATGGACTTTTGGGTTGGATCCAAGTCTTTACTATTGTGAATAGTGCCACAATAAATATATGTGTGCATGTGTCTTGATAGCAGTATGATTTATAATCCTTTGGTTATATACTCAGTAATGGGATGGCTGGGTCAAATGGTATTTCTAGTCCTAGATCCTTGAGGAATCACCACATTCTCTTCCACAATGGTTGGACTAGTTTACAGTCCCACTAGCAATGTAAAAGTGTTCCTATTTCTCCACATCCTCTCCAGCACCTGTTTCCTGACTTTTTAATGATCACCATTCTAACTGGTGTGAGATGGTATATCATTGTGGTTTTGATTTGCATTTCTCTGATGGCCAGTGATGATGAGCATTTTTGCATGTGTCTGTTGGCTGCATAAATGTCTTCTTTTGAGAAGTGTCTGTTCATAACCTTCACCCACTTTTTGATGGGTTGTTTGATTTTTTTCTTGTAAATTTGTTTAAGTTCTTCGTAGATTCTGGATATTAGCCCTTTGTCAGATGGGTAGATTGTGAAAATTTTCTCGCATTCTGTAGGTTGCCTGTTCACTCTGATGGTAGTTGCCTTAGCTGTGCAGAAGCTCTTTAGTTTAATTAGATACCATTTATCAATCTTGGCTTTTGTTGCCATTGCTTTTGGTGTTTTAGTCATGAAGTCCTTGCCCATGCTTATGGTACTATTTCTTCTGAAACTATTCCAATCAACAGAAAAAGAGGGAATCCTCCCTAACTATTTTATGAGGCCAGCATTATCCTGATACCAAAGCCTGGCAGAGACACAACAACAAAAAAAGAGAATTTTAGACCAATATCCCTGATGAACATCAATGCAAAAATCCTCAATAAAATATTGGCAAACCAAATACAGCAGCACATCAAAAAGCTTATCCACCATGATAAAGTTGGCTTCATCCCTGGGATGCAAGGCTGGTTCAACATACACAAATCAATAAAAGTAATCCATCATATAAACAGAACCAAAGACAAAAACCACATGATTATCTCAATAGATGCAGAAAAGGCCTTCAACAAAATTCAACAGCCCTTCATGCTAAAAACTCTCAATAAACTAGGTATTGATGGGATGTATCTCAAAATAATAAGAGCTATTTATGACAAACCCACAGCCAATATCATACTGAATCAGCAAAAACTGGAAGCATTCCCTTTGAAAACTGGCACATGACAGGGATGCCCTCTCTCACCATTCTTATTCAACATAGTGTTGAAATTCTGGCCAGGGCAATCAGGCAGGAGAAAGAAATAAAGAGTATTCAGTTAGGAAAAGAGGAAGTCAAATTGTCCCTGTTTGCAGAGGACATGACTGTATATTTAGAAAACCCCATTGTCTCAGCCCAAAATCTCCTTAAGCTGATAAGCAACTTCAGCAAAATCTCAGGATACATGTGCAAAAATCACAAGCATTCCTATACACCAAGAACAGACAAACAGAGAGCCAAATCGTGAGTGAACTCCCATTCACAATTGCTTCAAAGAGAATAAAATACCTAGGAATCCAACTTACAAGGGATGTGAAGGACCTCTTCAAGGAGAACTACAAACCACTGCTCAACAAAATAAAAGAGGACACAAACAAATGGAAGAACATTCCATGCTCATGGATAGGAAGAATCAATATTGTGAAAATGGCCATACTGCCTAAGGTAATTTATAGATTCAATGCCATCCCCATCAAGCTACCAATGACTTTCTTCACAGAATTGGAAAAAACTACTTTGAAGTTCATATGGAACCAAAAAATAGCCCTCATTGCCAAGATAATCCTAAGCCAAAAGAACAAAGCTGGAGGCATCACGATACCTGACTTCAAACTATACTACAAGGCTACAGTAACCAAAACAGCATGGTACTAGTACCAAAACAGAGATATAGACCAATGGAACAGAACAGAGCCCTTGGAAATAATACCACACATCTACAACCATCTGATCTTTGAAAAACCTGACAAAAACAAGAAGTGGGAAAAGGGGTCCCTGTTTAATAAATGGTGCTCGGAAAACTGGCTAGCCATATGTAGAAAGCTGAAACTGGATCCCTTCCTTACACCTTATACAAAAATTAAGTCAAGATGAATTAAAGACTTAAATGTTAGACCTAAAACCATAAAACCCTAGAAGAAAACCTAGGCAATACCATTCAGGAAATAGGCATGGGCAAGGACTTCCAACCTTTTTCTCTACCACTTCTCCATTGTTCTCATTACTATACATATGCTAACCTGCTTTCAGGTCCTACCTTTTGACCTTTCATATTTGGTGTTCTTGGAAAGGAAAGCTCTTCCAACAGTGATCACCACCCCAACATCTACTTATAACCCCAGTGTCCTCTAGCTAACTCCAACTTTTTTTTTCAGGTCTCATTTTATTCCCCTCAAGGTTATTTGAGCTTTTGTAGTTCCCCAAAAATACTTTTTATATTCTTCATACTTCAAATTATTTGCCCAAAGTCTGCGTTACTTTACTAAATGAAATGATCCATAATGACATGGATTCCAAAGCTCAGCAAAATTCCTGGAACAGGGTAGGTAGTTGATAAAGATTTAAAGAATAAATCAAGATGTGAATAAGCAAATTGTTATCTAATTATTACTGAAGGATTATAATTTATAGGAGATTTAAGTGTGTGCTAAGGGATAAGACCTATGAAAAGAATGCAGAGGTCCATTGCTGATGGTAGAAGATGCTGTCACTACAAGCAAAAACTGTATGTCACACCTATCATGGAAGTCATAAAAACCTATTTGGTTGAGACTTCAGCTCATCCATTTATCCCTTCATCTATCCAACCATCCACAATTTACACATTCATAACAATATATGGAATGCCCAATAAACAGTAAGATATTGCTCTCTATTTGTTTTTCATAAGATTCTCTAGCATACAATATTGTGTTGTGGTATAGAGTAGAAGCTCAACAAATATTGATTGAAGCAAATGAATTAATGTGTTGATTTTGAGCCACAGAACTAAATAAAATGAATACATTCTAAGCTCAAGGTAAAAGGAATTTCTAGGTTATATTTCCTCAAATACCAGTATTTTGGCCCAAATTATCCATGTTGAATATTTATATTGCATAAACAGGTTGGCATATTTAAAAATTAGGCTTTATTTTTCTTTCATTAGATGATTTAATTCTGAGTTTAAATCCATTGCAAATAAGCACAAAAAAGGAGTACATAGAATCTCACACTTACAAACACTTAAAATCAAAACAGAAAAACAGTCATCATCTGTTCCTTTCTCATCAAACCTTAATTTGATATGCAAATTAGTATGGCTTCTGCCCATATCTAAGTTTTACTTGGGTTTGCTAATTCATTATACATAATATAGCACACAGACACAGACATCTATTAAAAAATTACACTAAGATCTTGTTATAATTTCTAATATTTTATTTACAGATACTGACAATGTGATGATTTTTAATATTCCAAGGTAACCAGTGATTTTTACTGTAAAATGTTCACTAATCTATTTTCCTGATTACATATTTGATTTTATTCTAATAAAATGACCGTGTTTTCTTGTTATATTTCATATACAAGGGATACAAAGTTGAATTTAATAACAATGGGCTCATTTTACAGAAGAAGTAAAACCCTAAACTAACTTTTTGAATGTGAAATATCCCTGAATTTATCCTCCATACATAAGCTAATTATCGTCTTCAACTAAGATATTAATGTAAATAATTAGTTTAGATTTACTGAATTTGACACATGGCTTGTAAAGCAGAATTATAGACAAACATCTAGAAGAAAAAGTTTACTTGATTGTATTACTTATTATTTAGTTATGTTATTAACTACTGTATATGAATTTTCTATTTTTATTATTGAATTATTCATGTGCAGCAATACTGTTTTTCTCATTCAATTACTTAAATGAATTATGTAAAGATAAATTTATAGTGGCATATATTAAACCATTGACACAATAACTTCAATACACCAATCAAATGTCATTTGTCATCATATGATATTCTAAATTTACCTAAGAAATCATCAGTATCGATTATTACAAACTTTTTAAAATTAATTTTTAAGAGATCCTGACTTCTTTTAAAAAAAAGTGAAAGTCATGCCTAATACCTTCGTCTTTAAAAATCTTTATCTATACCTTTATAATTGGTCACATCTATTAAAAAAAAAAGGAATTTGGTCCAAATTGATTTTATCTCCATTTGAACCCCAGAACATCAGTGAAGGGTATCAGAATATTCCATTCCAAAATATGTCTCTTTAGCATACAGATTATTTTGAGCTAAAGGACATGAAGACTAGTGGATGCGAGAAAAACTCTTTATCTCCTCCTAACTGCCCAAAAATAGAATACAAATGTCCCCTTTTGTTAAGGAAATTTTCATTTACAAATAAAATTTCCATTTATACAGTTATCTCCATACCAAGAAGAGAGCTAGTGTCTGAGAAAACTCTTATCACCTGAGAGATTCTTATCTGCATAATAAGACAACACTTTTTTACCACACGTCTCCCTTCGCCTTCCCATTACTCCCCTCCCCGACCTGGAAGTCTGAGACCCCTTTTCCTTTGTTTAGTCTAAGATGGTATATCCACAGATATCATCTAGCCACCTCCTTGACAACCACATTCTTTGAGAATTCCCATGCATACTTAATAAAAGTGGTTTTCCTCTTGTTAACGTGTTATCTACCTGTTTGATATATGGGCCCCAGCCTAGGAGCATAGAAAGAAAAATATTAAATATTTTTAATTTCCTCACATAAGGTAGAGTCATAGTCATAATTCGCTCTGCTTAGTTCTTCTTCAGCCTCTGGGCATATGAATCTGTCACATACCTCAAACTTGATGAAGGAATTGATGAGAGCTCAATGTAATGGCTGAAAACAGCTTGACTACCAATGTAAAAATAATAAGAAACATACATATTGGTCTCTTCCCCTGTCCCTGACACAGGGCTTTTAAAAATGGTTATAATTCCTGCGCTTTTAGGGTGCTAGGAAAATATTTTGTTTCAATCTTTGGTCTTTGTCCCTGTTCCTGAGACACCTCCTGATATTGTTATCATAGGTAGTCAGGCAGACATTGGCAGGGCAGGAGAGTAACCGCACCCACTACCAGGAATATCAGGCGACCATCAAGGTTGTTAAGCTGTCTATCTAAAATAATAATTGGATTCACCTGGCGCCAGGGAACGGCAGGTCTCCCGATAGAGACAAAACACGTAAAGTTGGTGATAAGCAGCTTTCTGATAAGATCTCAGGAGTTGAGTCAATAGGCTCACACATGCAGAATAAAAAGCAAAATGGCAGAGTTTAGCTGGTATATGACCTTCCTCTAGAAACACTTGACTGGTAAGGGAAGAACCCCTCAAGTGAACATGTGCATAATTTCTGTAAACATACTGCACATGCAGCCCCTCTAAAGTGCTGGCAGGCCACTGGACATGTGGACATCCCACGCCAAGGGAAGAATCGGGGAGAAGAGCCAGAACCGCTTGGAAGCATGCCAACATTTAAAACCCCACGTCAAAGGTCAAACAGCTCACTTGATCTCTCAAGTCACCCACTTTGCCCTCTTCCAAGTCACCCACTTTGCCCTCTTCCAAGTGTATTTTACTTTCTTTCTTTTCTGCTCTAAACTTTTTAGTACATTTTCACTCCTGCTCTAAAGCTTACCTCAGTCTCTTCCTCTGCCTCGTGCTCCTTGGTCAAATTATTTCTTCTGAGGAGGTAAGAATTGAGGTTGCTGCAGACTGCTATGGATTCATCACTGCTAACACTATCCTTGTCAATAGGGGTGATAAGAGAGTCTTCTGTTCTAATATTTGATCTTTGACCCCAGTTTCTGGCACATAGCTCTTATATTCTTTGGAATTTCCTGGGTGATAGGAGTGTCTGTTGTTCTAATTAGGCCACACTTTGTGGGCTCCTGGATAGGGACTGGTCACTAGAAAGACCAACCCATAATTAGAAGCTTGGAGCTTTCAGCCCCATTCCCCATTCTCCAGAAATTAAAGAGGAATGGTAACTATAATAAATAATTAACCATACCTACAGGATGAAGCTTGTGGCTCACGCCTGTAATCCCAGCACTTTGGGAGGCCAAGGCGGGCGGATCACGAGGTCAGGAGATGGAGACCATCCTGGCTAATACGGTGAAACCCAGTCTCTACTAAAAATACAAAAAAAAAAAAAAATTACCCGGGCGTGGTGACGGGCACCTGTAGTCCCAGCTACTCGGGAGGCTGAGGCAGGAGAATGGCGTGAACCCCAGGGGGCAGAGCCTGCAGTGAGCCAAGATGGCGCCACTGCACTCCAACCTGGGCGACAGTGAGACTCCGTCTCAAAAAAAAAAAAAAAAAAGCCCTGAAATATGGGGTTCAGAGAGCTTCCAGGTCTGCAAATACATGAGTATGCTAGGAGGTTGGCACACCTCAACTCCCTGGGTAGAGAAGCTCTTGCACTCAGGACCGTTCCAGGCCTCACCTTGTGCGTCTTTTCATCTGGCTGTTCCTCTGTATCATTTATTTTTATCTTTTATTAATAAACCAGTAAGTTAATTGTTTTTCTGAGTTCTGTGAGCTACTCTATCAAATTCATCTAACCCAAGTAGGAGGTAGATATCCCCAATTTGTAACTGGTCAGTCAGTCAGAAGTATAGGTGACAACCTATTCTAATTTGTATCTGAAGCTTGGGAGTCGGGGCAGTCTTACAGGACTGGGTCCTCAACCTGTGGGATCTGATGCTATCTTCAGTAGATCCTGTCTGAATTAAATTGACTTTAGGAAGCCCAATTGGTATCCACTGGAATGTTGCTTAGTGTGTGGGAACAATACCTCCCGTGCACATGTGGTATCAGTGATGTTAAGGGGTGAGTCACAGTAGAAAAACCACCTTTGTTTCCCCCATATTTTAAAGCAAGAAAAGGGGGAAACACTTCAACAATAAATTCATCTGTCGTTTAACTACACTGATGCCTTAGGCAATTGTCTTAAGTTCTCACTTTTGTTTCTGTGTTTTGTCCTGTAAAATGATGTATAAATACTAAATTCCTCATAAAATTGTGAGAAATAATTAGACAGTCCATTCAATATAGTTAATGCAGTGTCTGGTTCATTGTAATCACTAGATGTAATTTAGCTTGCATTAGCAACAGTATTAATATTTGTATTATATGCATCATGTAAATCTATGAATTTACATTCTGTTCATGAAAATTAATTATTTATATAATAACTATTGCTTATAGATAGAATTTCTTATATCTGGACTTATTGTTAGAGAAGGAGTTATCCTTTGACAAACTGAATTTTACCTGAGCCTTGTGCTCCTAGAAAACAGGGAAAGTTAAAGGAATTCTTTCTTTTTCTGCTCCCTTTTGTATTCCAGGGAACAACTTACTGTATGGAATTTTCTCTCTTTTTTATATGACTTAGACAACACTTGTGCACCCTTTGCTTACCTAGGACAAGGCCAGGCACAGAACTTTCAAATCCTCATTCTTGACTTATAAATGATTAGCTAAACTGTTTTGTACTGTTAAAGAAAAAGGAAATTATCCATGATACTTATTATATATGGTAAGGAAGACTTCATTCAAGGGGGATTGTTGCAATAAGTGTAGGGATCATCACTGCAATGAGGTTTTACAATGGGAGAGAAATTGAGCTCAACTCCAAATAAAGCATGGTCAAGTGGTAATTTATAGACAAGAAGCAAAGTTGAGGTCAGTGGCAGAAACATTACTAAAAGGAAACATCAGGGATAAGGGAGAATCTGGCCAAACTGACCTAGCGTGATTCTTGCTGAAGGCAAGCCAGGATGATCGGGGTGATCAGACATCAACTGGGGGTTGGTGGAGTATGAGAAACTCAATCAGATATCAAGGGTGATTAGATATTGAGAATAAGGAATTGTGGTTAAACTGTTCTAGCAGGATTCTTGTTGAAATCAGACAACGCAGACATGAACAGGGAAGTCCAAAAGTTGAGGACTACTTGAGCAGAGAGTTTAGAAGAAGCCCGAGGAGAAATTATCAAGAGAGGTATGTTTCTTCAGTACCCACTGATCAATGGAAACAAAACTTCGCTTAAGCTTCTCTCCTTCCCTCAAGCCCCTGAAGTTGGGCCCACCCTCAGCCTGAGGCAGTGTATACCCTCTCTTTAACAACCTCAAGGGCCCCTCACAAAAAATAGGCTGTCAACAAAATAAAAAAATTTTGATTTACTATCAAATCCATACCATTCTTCCATCCTACTTCTTTACATCAGTTCTAGCATGTCTATAAAACAGACCACTTTTTGACTAAACCTTTAGACACTAACAGATCATTGTATTTTTTCCTATTGCAAGAGTCCCCTCCAACTGCCACCTTGCAATAATCCTCTCCACTAAAATTCTTCCCTTACTAAGTCTAGATTTATTAATTTGACACCTGGTACAGGTGTGGGTAGTTCTGGCAAGTTGATTCGCCATGTAATGAACTAGTAAATATTAGTTATATATACCCTTTATCTTTCTTCCTTTTCTAGGAGTAATTATGTATACTGAAAGGGGATGTTTGCATGCATAACCAAGACAGTAGTCACCTTTAATTTTAATGTTAGAATTTCAAAGAAGGAAAATGTGACTTTCCTTCCCACTCGAATATCACTGGTATTTTCTGATCATCTGCTTCTAATGAATATGTGACAAGATTCTTGGCTCATCATTGAAGGCTGGTCTTGCCTTTCCCCTCCATAAGGACAAAAAACAAGAAACAAAGACTCTTTTATTTTATTTTGATTTTCCTTACAAAAGGATTTTGTTTTTGCAAGGAGAAACAATTCTTCATAAAAAGTAGTTGTATGCTACAGACATTTTATGAAAATGTAAGGGCCTTGCAGTGAATTTTAGGACCAGGCATGCAATTTAATAATAATAAGAGATATCATTTTTTTAGAGGACTCATCCTCCCATCTTAAGCCTCCTCGACCCCTTGTCTAGTTTCTTTGAAGTGAACAATTTCTCACACTTTGTTATGCAGAACAATTCAAGAATTTCTTATCCCTACAACAGATTCAGCTCTAGGAATACTATAATATGTGCAAATATTCATTAATAATTCTACTAAGCAAATATCCATTTACTGCATAACTCTAACCCTTAGCAACAGAAAGCACTGGCAAAAAATCTTGAAAAATAAACCATAATAATATTATTGAGCAAAACCTTCTAAGTATCATTTCATTCTCTGACAGGTTATCTAAGTGGAAGGAGCAGAACTAAATTTATCCTCCCCTTAATATTAATCATGGCACTTATATGGCAAAAGCATCTTAATATACTTCTCTTGTTGCTGTCTCTTTAAATTACCTTTTTAACATCACAACTATTTACGTGATACTTTACACAATGTATAATTGTGAAAAATACAGAAGAGAACAACCTAACCAAACACTCCCCTTTTCAATTATGAGAGTGTATTAGTCTGTTCTCACAGTGCTATATCTAAAAACAAAAAAAAAAAAAACAAAAAACAAGACTGGGAAATTTATAAAGAAAAGAGGTTTAATTGACTCACAGTTCTGCATGACTGGGGAGGCCTCAGGAAACTTACAATCATGTGCAGGAGGAAGCAAACACATCCTTCTTCACAAGGTGTCTGGAGAGAGAAGTACCAGCAGGGGAAAAGCCAGACACTTACAAAACCATCAGATCTTGTGAGAACTCACTCAGTATCACAAGAACAGCATGGTGGAAATAGGCCTCATGATCCAATCACTTCCCTGCGGGTCCCTCCCAGGACACATTGGGGATTATGGGAACTACAATTCAAGGTGAGATTTGGGCAGAGACACAGCCAAACCGTGTCAATCTGCCCCTGGCCCCTCCAAAATCTTATGTCCTCACATTTCAAAACACAATCATGCCTTTACAACAGTCCCACAAAGTCTTAGCTCATTCCAGCATTAACCCAAAGGTCCAAGTCAAAAGTCTCATCTGAGACAAGGCATGTTCCTTCCTCCTATGAGCCTGTAAAATCAAAAACAATTTACTTACTTCCTAGATACAATGGGGGTACAGGCATTGGGTAAATATACCCATTTCAAATGGCAGAAATTGGCCAAAACAAGGGGGCTAAAGACCCCATGCAAGTCCCAAATCCAATACGATGGTAATTGAAACTTAAAACTCCAAAATGATCACTTTTGACACCATGTCTCACATCCAGGTCATGTTGGTGTAAGAGGTGGGCTCCCACAGCCTTGGGCAGCTTCATCCCTGTGGCTTTGCAGGGTATAGCCTCCCTTCTTGGGTTCTTTCACAGCCTGGCATTTAAAAGCCCGTGACCTTCCAGAACAGCATAGTACTGGCACTGACCTAATGTCTGCAGTGGCTACTGCCTGGCTACTTCTGATGTTTATTCAAGGCCCAAGGCTACTTTAGTTAACAGGTAGTTGATCCTACCAGGACTAAGCCTGCCTATCAATATAGCAGATTTCCTTCCGGAGCAAGGTGAATCTAGGAATGCCATCCAAGTGCAAAGGCCTAAAACTGGGACTTTCAGGAATCTGTTGGTGCTTTACAACTGAGCTCATACCCAAGTTGCAAGACAAAGCCCTCTGTTTTCTTCTCTTGCCTTTTCCCAAGTGGAAGGAGTCTCTCCCTGTACTGGACTTTCTGGACCCGGGGGAAGGGTGATGCAGGCAATCCTTTGGCCACCACAGCTAGCATCTCACTGAGTTGCATCCCTAGCCCACTGCCTCTGAGATCAGCACAGCACCAGGACTCGCCCAAGGACTGCCGTCTCTATGGCCTGACTGCCACTCAAATTTATTTGAGGGGGTCCCAGGCCATTTGTGTCAGCTGATAGTGAAGCTGGCCTGGACTCAGATTTCTTCTTCTGGGATGGAGGATGTTCCTCTGGCCCAAGACTGGTCTAAATACTCCCTCTATGGGCACCAGCCGAATTCTGTCCAATGTGTGTACCACTGTGACGGGGCAGCACTGAGTCCCAGTGCAGAGTCCCACAGTCACTTTGCTCTCCCTCCCCAAGCACATTTTTTGAGCTTACTCAAGAAAGCTCAACAAAGATTTTCTGTCCACACTGTGCTGCCTGGGGTTGGGGGAGGAGTGGAGTAGGCAATGCAAGACTATCTTTCCTACCCTCTTCAACTCTTAAATGCAGTCTTGCTTGTTATGTTACAACTGGATTCTGTGATCACTCACATGATTTTTTGTTGTTGTTCCGAAAAAGACACTTTCTTGTGTGGGTGGTTGTTCAGTTTAGTGTTCCTACAGAAAGAAGGTTTGCTGAGGGATTCTATTGAGCCATCTTGTTCTGCCTCCTGTGATAGTGTTTTTGTATATTTTACAAACCTATCTCAAATTCAAAATTGTTCTAAACTAAAGCATAAAAGGCCAATATTTCCAATGGTTGGTTCTGCTTTTTGTCCCCAAGGTTGATTTTTAATTTTTTAATTGAGTTATATCCCCTTTCAGGGTTACTTGGAATGGGATGCCTCATGAGTCAGACGGTAAGTTACTGCAGGCAGTCAGGTTAAAAGAACCACAGGAATATAGAGGGTTTGAGCACTGACTAAAATAAGACTCTTTTATTTCCTTTCACTATAGAGATCCTGTTTGATAGTATATGTTTTTAGTTTATGTCCCTCTTCTTCAAGCATCACAGTTAGCTTACAGACAGCTAACCTCCAGTCTCACAGATGTATTTTTCTCTGGATTTGACTTAGAATATCTCACTCTAACATTCTTTCATGTAGAGCTTCCCTTAATACATTTTTCTCTAGTCCCAAAACTTCTTTTCATAAACTAATATATTTCTGACTTCCTAAAACTCCAAAGAGCCAAAATAAAATCAACATTATTTTTCTTTTAAATTTTTCTAAACTGACCTTATTTTCCTGCTAGTTCTGCCTCCTTTCTTTGTAATTATAATGCATTCTTACATAAGTATTAAATCTTAGTTATAAAGGGAACTTCCCTAAATTATAACTTCTTCCTAGACAGGGAGGTATAGGCCATAAATATAACTTGGTAAGTTAATATTTTTTGACACAGGCTATGTAATATATATTTATTATTCTTTGAGTCTTTACATATATACCTAGAGAGACTTAATTTTCTAATTCATGAGTTTCAAACATGTTTGTCAGATATTTATTAAGCATAACAGAAAAGCTGGATTTTGTAAGTTGATGTGAAATGTATGGATTATTACCCAACTGGAAAATTATTTTCTTTTACATTATAACAGCATCAACTATCCTTTCACCTCTCTTCACCCAAATAAATCAGATAATCTTATAGCACTCTTCTGTTCAATTTGCTTGAGTTTTTTTGTTCTTACCCTCAAATAAAGCATTGTTTTATTATTTTCGAATAACTAAGTCTAAGAATTACTTTTGCAGTCTGTATTTTCTTAAAATGGGCACTCTCCAACATTATTATATCATTTTGTAAAATCAAAATAGAAAATAAATGAATATTAAATTATAATGAAAGTGTGTTTCTATTGTTCTTATGTGTCGTAACCTTTATTCACTCTTTAGTTTGCTATGAAAACTTATCTTGCTATTTTGTAGAGAAAAGTAAGAGAAAACATGAAGATGTATTTCCAGAGATAAAGAAGTCATTTTATTCTCAAGCATTTTATCCTCTCAAATATCTGCCTTTGAATTTATCACTACATAACTCATCATTACTTCATAACTCATCTGTGAGAGGCAACATAAGAAAATTAATTTCTCAAAATGTGAATGATACTAATAGAAGAGGATGCCATATTAAATCTATTAAGTTTTCAAAAGCATCAGATGCTGCCAGGAAAAATACTCTCAAGACACATTTGATAATAGTGCTCAGTTCATAATGAGGTTCCTCTGAATCAATTTTGCATAGTCTCTGTATCAACTGTAGGGAGATTGCATATTAACAAGTGGGATTGACACTCCGCAGAATGGTGACAATAATGTTTTATCGTTGAAATCCTAATATGCTGATGCTAACATTTTTGTCTCCTCTATTATATGTCTCACTCTTAGCAAATCTTAACACTCTCAATGTACCCAGTTGCTAGACCTTGCATTATCTCCTGTTCACATTGTATCTTTCATGATTTCATTCTTGCCACCTACTCAGAGATGTGAGGACAGGAGGTGGTAAAGAATAAGTATGTGACATTAGCCTGTAGTAGATTCCCAGTTCAAGACCTTAAACCCAGGCCAGGCTTAAGAAAGAGTGTATGAAAAAAATAAATAAATAAGAAAAAAATAAAAGAAATTATCTAGTTGAATGCCAACACAGTCACAATTCAACATGATAATTTTCATATGGATGGGATTCAGGACACACTACCCCACAATATGGCACTGTGGCATTTCAGAAGATAGCAGGAGTAGGAAAAGGCCTCTCTGATCTTCTCTCACCATTGTCCCCTGAAGAAGGCCATAAGAATTCTTTTTAAATTCTAAAGTAGGTAATAAAACTCTCATCCCAGATGAGACCATGGCCTCCCAGGTCTTCTCCCTATGACTGGAGGAAATGAATGAAGATGCAGAGATACCAAAAATGAAAAATAAAAAAATCTAAACAGCTCTTTCTAAGTTTCTCCAAGTTTATTACCATTGCATCATCCTTTTTTTATCCTACAGTCATACTCCTGCACAGCTGTCCATAAAAATACACAGATTTCTCCATTGCTTTGGGTCTTTGTTTCTGAAGGCTCAATGTCATGTAAAACTCAGTTTAAGTTAATATATATGTTTTTCTTTTGTTAATCTGTCTTTTGTCATAAGAGTCTCAACATAAATCTTGTGATGAGTGAGGAAAAAATGTGTTCAACCCTACTGTTTCTGGCACCCAATGCTGGGTGGCTGAGACACCCCACTTACACTGGAGCCTGTGAATGAGATTCATAAACAGCTGGCAAAAAGCTGGTGAAAGGTGAACATTCTTACTAGTCAGTTCACCTGCATCTCTATAGTTCCTGGTCAAGAGACAAAGGTAAACATTTCTTCTGTTTCTTCCTTTCAAAATTTAGATTAACAGAAAAAAAAAATTTTGGATTGTAATGCTTGTGTAAATTTAATCTTTTGGTACCCATTTGTTATTGATCCTTTCCCTCCCAAGGACAGCTGTCTATTTCCTGTTATCTTATTTTGTGTTCTGAGAGAAGTTGGCTTTGTAACCACTGAGAATATTCTGTCTGTCTCTGTCAGCTGGGTGGTGCAAGTGTCAGCTTGCTTTAGGCAGCCAGTCCAAGAGGCTGGTAGCCCAAGCACTCTCTTTGATCAGTCATGCCAGCTGTCAGGGAAGTTTATAGTAAGAGGTCCCAGTCTTCCAGGGGATTTTGTCATTTCAACCTTTGTTATTTTACAACAAAGGTATTCTTTTGACAGCGAAGGTCTTTCAGCTTGTTTCTGTTGTGGTTCTGGATCTTGAGAAGGTTGCATCTTTTTGCATTCTTTTTGAAGATGTTTCTTGCATTCATAGTTAAGTCATAAAAGGCTTACTGTGTTTGGTTTTGAGTCACTTGATAGATATCTTTGATTTTTTTAAATAAGAAAAAGTGAGTTCAACATTGCTAGGAAGGGTTTTTTTATTATTTGTTTTAAAGATCTCTATGATCAGAAGTCAGCGTGGTTGACAGCTGGTACTAAGAATATATCAAGGATACTATTCAGTCCTCTATTCTCTCCAATGGGTCATGCTTCTCCTATGGGTACTTACTCGTCACCAGAAATCACTCTTTTTGAAACCCTGCTAACCATATATTCTGCTCTTTCTGTTTGTTTCCTTTCTTGTTGGAAAGATTTTTGCTAAACATAATGTAGAACATCATTGCCCTCTTTGGGAAGATTAAAATCCCCTCAAACTGGCTTCTGTAAGATTCTTTTATTTGCTTCTGGTCCTCCTTCCTCCTTTTGTCATCTTCAGTCATTCATCCAGTTTCCTTGAATTATCTGTTATGTTGCCCATCTAAGCCCTAAGCATTATCTCACATACTTTTTTTTTTTTTGTGGTCAGAGCACGTAATGTCCACTCTCATTACATTTTTCAAAAATACATCTTGATTAACTATAGTCACCTTGCTACACAATAGATGTCTTGAGATGTATTTATATATAATTATGGATACTTTGACCAACATTTTGTGTGTTTCAGAACTTTTATGAAATTTTTAGAATTTTGTTATGTCTTTTATAATGTTATCAGTTATAATTTTATTTATGTTAAAATGTTGTATCCCACAGAAATAACCAAATTTTCTTGTCAATTGCATCATTATTATAATAAATTCTCATTAGATCCATAACAGTGATTATTTTAGCTCTTTTCTACAGTTATTGTTTTACTTTGATTCTTCTCTGCAAATATTTGCAACCAGTAAAAGTCCAACACTGGTTTTTCTTCAAGGAGATTCATGAAATAGACTCTGATAAGTACTTCAAAATATAGGTTTCTTATAAGTTTAAGTTCACACCATTGGATTCAGTAAAAATATTTAGAAATCCATTAAAGAAACTGATGGGTTTATACAATCACCAATCAAAATTAAACAGATCAATAATTAATTACATAGGACTGAATGAACTGAAGTCATTTTTATGATCTTTTATTTGAAGCATTGCTGCTTCTTTAATGTTTTGTTTTCCAAATTTAAGAAAACAATTCCTACTCTTAAGCTATCTATAGCTTACACAATTTAGTATTTTTTTAATAAACAAAGATAAAACAATTACTTTTTTTTACTGCCTTATCGCTCTATAATTTGGAAACTTAGTATTCTTATTTTTATGGTAATATAGGTATTTGCACGAATTAAATAAGAATCTGTTTCTGTAACAGGACACAATTTGAAGCACTGGTAATAAATTACCAAGATTTTGACTGGAATATCATATTTTCAGATATTACCAGACAACTTTCAGAAACTAAGGTTGACTTTGTAGAGCAAATGAAAGCCTTTGGTTATTATAGTTTGGGGCTGGAGGGAGTAATTGGCTTTATATCCTACACACGATTCCCATATATGGTTCTTGTACATGGTTGCCTTAGTGATGAGTAAGGGATGTCACTTCCTAATAGGCCCAGGAATCTTGATATATTTTCTGCATATTGATAAGAGTTATATTCACTTAAATATGTAGGTATTACAGGCAAAGTCTGATGACGAGCCCTTAGCTTGGTTTCCTAGCATTCAGAGACTTTCAAATGTCTAATCTGAGATTCCTTATTAAAATTTTCAGCAAAGGAGACTTAAAAAGAGACTATATACTCAATGACAGTACTAATACTTGCCTTACTTGTATAAATAATCAGACCATGTTTAAGAAAACAAAAACTTTTGCAAACAAATTAGTCTTACTTTGATCATCTTTGGTAGAAATAGAGGTAACTGTAGAAAGAAAAAATATGATTCAGAAAAAAAAATATGTGGTACACTTGTTATTAGATTCTAGCCCTATTCATTGTTTTTGAGGTTGTATTACAAAACCTGAACCAGATTATCCAATATCTGACTATAACTCTCCAAACTAATGTTTCCAATTTTTCTTCTACTCTTCTCACTTGGTATCACCAAATATTAAAACTCTCCTTTTCCTGAATACCCGCAAACTAAAGCTGGACAGCTTGACATAGACTTCAGAAAAGTCATCACAACTGCTTAAATACAGACGGGCTTTATGCCTGTTGCTATGTGGGATACTCCAAAAGTTTACTGGGGCACCTTATGCAGACTACAAACAAGGAAAATCTTTCAGATTGTCACTGCCTACCCTCCATTTGAAGATGCTTTAAGCTAGCATGTAGAAATCATCTCTACCAGATCTCCTCTAGACTCAAAATTGAGTTTATTCGTTGTTCTAGCCTGTGTCTTTCTGTTGTTTTCATGTAAATGTCTCTTAAATTCCTGATTGATTACACCATACAGTCATAACTTTAGTGGAAGCAGCAACACTGCCTTCTGAAATGAGATACAACTTAAACCGTTTGGACCAACCTAATTCTGGGACTGAAAGACTGGTTTATTAACTTATGAGACAATTCACCAATGCATTTTCAGATGGGAATGATGAGTGTTAGGACATACTACCCCAAAATATGGCACCTTAGCATTTGGGAAAACAGCAGAAGCAGGTAGATCTCTCTGACTCTCTTATTATCCACTAAAGAATACCATAAAAGGATTATCTAAATTTTCTCTACAGTAGGTCACAGAAACATCATTCCAGAAGAATCTTCCCTATACTTGGAGGAATAAAGATATAGAGATGTCAGGAAAAATCTGGAAAAAAAAATATATATATAGATTTTGCTAACCCCCCGATCCTTCCAGTTTATTATCATTAGATGGTACTCTTTTGTTCTCCAATCATACTTCTGCACAACTGTCCATACAAATAACAGATTTCCCCATTTCTTTTGGTTTTCATTTCTGAAGGCTCTCATTTGGTGCAAAACTTATATTAAATAAATTTACATGCTTTTCTTTTATTCATCTGTTTTTTGTTACAGGCATCTCAGTTATAAACCTTGCAATCAGTGAGGAAAACAAATCTTTATTTTCCCTACAATACCAATTTATTTATTAGAGGACAATTTCTGCTTCCTAATAACTATAAGGGATATATTTCTTCTACCTGAATATTATGTGAAAAAATTCTGGTATTATTTGAGTCCCCAGTACAAGCCTTACCTAAACTAACTCCGAATATTTCAGTCATGAGAATTGTATATATTCTTTCCTTTGTTTAGCTAATTTATTAAATAAACTATGGCAATTTTCAGTAGCATATGAAAATGTTACTCTGCTGATGAGAATTTTCAAGAGAGCGTGAAATTTTTACTCTGTAGGAACTGGCTGTTGCACAACTCCTCTGGTGTAACTAATATTGACCTGAGCTAACAATCGAAGGTGCATCAGAAATATACTCCAGTAATCAGATTAAAATATGTGATTTTCTAACAATTTGAATCTATCCCTGGGAACACAAGATAAAAATTTAGAAGCAGTTTGGGTTAATAATGATACAGAAAATAAAAATGTATATGAAGTCATTGACATATTAATATTTTCTTTCCATTTGTCCAACTAGTTAATTGGAAGTTTGGAGATTAAGATCTGCTAATATAATTATTTCCTAATAAACAGATTTTTCTTCCTTTTAGAAATAATATGGCATATAGTATTGTAAAATGAAAAGCAGAAATGAGTACAAGCCAACCTCCATGAGAACATGGAAGTCTATATTTAAACATTATGAATAAATCCAAGAATAGCTGTGGTGATGTACTTATCAGAGAAAATGTTAGGAAGTGATCTTAACTTTAATCTGCAATTTGTGGGCACTCCTATAATTATTTCCACATATTGTACAATTTGCCTTGCTGTAAAGTATTTCTGTAAAACAAAAATTCCAATTTAGATAGTTTCTTATCTGTTGTTACTTTCACTCCCTCCACTTAATTATATACTTTATTCAAAATATGGGCTCAATAGAATAATTCATTCACTGCTTCATTGTAAACAATTCATAAATACTTAAAACTATTAAGAAGTGTCAAATAATTCTTTTACCAAAAAACTAAAATAACTTTCCATTTAAATGCAAGAAGTCAAAATATGAAGTTTTGTTTTGCATAGACCTTTTTCTACTTTGGGAATTAAACTTTTATATCAACAGATTATGTAATACAATGTATTATAGTTAGGAATCGGTTATATTGTGAGCGGAAAGAGTATGTTAAACTTATGTAAACAATGTAAGTGTCTTAATGACATAAAATATATATTTCTTTGGAAACGTAGTTTAATGGTTGCCATGGATTTTTTGTAAAAATGAAAATTTTACTTTCCCTCTTAATGGCTATGAGAGAGATTTATAGATCTGTTTCTCACAAATAATGTCTGACAATAGAAGCATTGTTACAATTTTACCAGATATACTTAATCATGAATAAGTAAATCCTGCATAATATCTTCCCTAGTCACTATTCCACTTTCCTATTTCAACCAGCTCGTTTTCTCACCAAGGTTTTCACCAAGGACAAAACCAGATGCCCAGCTCCCACTGCCCTGAGTGGGGCCTCTCCTGGGAGCCTTCCACCAGCCTCCCGAATCAAAGCAGGAGTTGTTCAGGAGAAGGAATATTTGAAGATTTTAAATGAGACAAACAAATTTCTAGGGGAGCATATGTAAGTCTGGAGTTGTAGTCTGGGGGGATATGACACAAAATTATATAGTTAAAAAACTTTCTTCAGATAAATCTAATGACTCTGTACTGTTTCACCTGCCTTCTGTCCATACACTCTCTGCTGATTGATGGTGCAATATTAAATATTACCAGACTCTTTATATGTTATATTCTGCCCTGCTTTCCAAAAACCTGTAACTGAAATACCTTTCTGATAGACATTCTAGGTCCTGGCAAGTATAGTTCTCATATTTAGTGTGTATATTTTATTCCCACAGTTTATTTACCTACAAAATATATTGTGTCATCAAACAACAATAAACCTGGGCATAGGAAAAGATATTTTAATCAAAGGGATTATTACAATGAGGGGAGGAAAACTGTTGAAATAGGGAGATGTAGGGTTGTTGCAATAGGAAAATCTTCCACCATGTGATCTACAAGCATAGGTAGAGAGAGGGAAAGGCTAGGATTAAGAGCTCTTTCTGCCCCTAAGACCCAGCACTGATGTAATTGATTTGCGAATTACAGACTTTGAAGAATGAGTCCACATTGGAATAGGCAAGGAATCTGTTGATAATAGACTCATAGGCTTCCAGGAAAACTGGCATTTTTTTTTTCCTAAGAAAGGGGTACATTTTTCCTATGAAAATATCCCAGTAATTTGATTCATTGAACTTTTTGGAAATAATTCAAGATTACACAGATCCTCCTATTCTCATTTTCTGTAATTAACTAGTTATGCTATAAATATGTAGATGAAACCCCTACATTTTTTTCTTTTCAATCTCCAGAAATACTCTCCAAATCTTAAAACAATTAAAATTAAAGAAGTCTCCTACATCTGTTTTTCTGTTAGAGTACATTCATCCCCAACCTCAGCTTACTCATGTCAGGTTTCCTTATTTCATCCATTTTAAAATTGCAATCCCAGCAGCTTATGGCTTGGTAAGCATGTCAAAACAAGGTTATGTCTTCAGAATTACATTTGAAACCTCACTGAGTTCTGAAATATCCTTTGTCAAGGAGAGAGCTACAGTATATATTCCCCTATGAAATTCCAGAAAAAAAATGTTTATTTTGTATCATTAACATCGTCCACCTGTCTAGTTGTTCTTTTTATTCACTCATCATGTACTGTATTTATGATGTGTTAGGTGCTAAGGACACAGAAATGGAAATACATGCCCCTGGCTCTCAAACAGCTGAAACTTCAGCAGAGACACAGACATACACAGAGACAAAGATTACACCACCGTATGATAACATCTTAATGTTTATAAGCTCAGGGTACATGGACAAATTATATTTCATGCAACAGTTTTACATTAATATAGGATTTAGAATCCATGACAAAGTACAAATTAATAATTTTCACTTCTTTATGAGGTTCTTAAAATGTCTTATCCTTAACAGAAACCACAGATGAGAAATACAAGAAGTGTCTGGTACAACATGACTGCTGTGATTATTAGTCTAGGTAGAGTAAGTGCCATTTAGAATTTAGTGAGTCAGGGCCTGGGGATGCATACACCACCTGTCACTCCCTCTTAACAGCTCTGATCTTGGTCAACTTCTTAGAATATTATTGCACCATTTTTCAATCTCTGCCTGCAGTAGTTTAACACAGTTCCTGACACTTTACTTATTTATTTATTTTGCAATCTAAGTTGATATAGACAAGCATTTTTGAAGGCAGCCCTAAGGCCAAGGAGAGTATTTATATCTACTGTGATTCAGAGAATAACTGAGCCAATAAAGCATTCAATAGATTTTGCACTTTTCCCATTATGTTTCTGAGCTTCCTGTGGGTATTCTATGAAAGACTGTAGATGTTCTTAATCAAGAAAAACAACGTATTTCTTCCATCATTCTGTACTTGTAATGTTTTTATTTAAACAGATTTCTTGTCAAGTGATATTGAAGTTTCAAAAATATTTTCTTTATCCACTGGAACATGTACAATGATTCCCATGTATTGGTATTCATTGACCATATTCAATTAATTTTGATAGCCTGAGAAATGCATTGAGGTTTTCCACATAAAAATTTTCTCCTTAATATAAGTCCACATGAAATTCAGTCATGGCCAATACAGCTAAAAAGCAAGTACCTAGTAAAGCTCCATTGTGAACACAGAAAAACCAATTTCCTTAAAGTTTTCAACTTTAAGGAAGTGTGGAAGCCTGAAATGTCTAAGCTGTTGTACTGCTCACTGCTTGCTGAATTTCTAGTATTTCAGTATGGAAGATGCTTTCCCTCTGAGGCTCCCTGGCATCCCTGACCCTTGGCACATCCAAAAATTAGGATAGATATGTAGGTAAATACATAGATAGATAGATAGATAGATAGATAGATAGATAGATAGATAGATAGATGACAGAAAAAAGAAGCAAGGAGAATCTAGATGTTGAATCTGCCAATATCTAGATATATATAATGCTAGATATAGCATTACACGGAGGAAATGCTATGTAAATTTGTTTTTAAGTAAGTGTAAATATTTTCAATTAAAGTTTTTATTTTTATTTTTAGTTATTTATTTATTTTTTTGAGACGGAGTTTTGCTCTTCTTGCCCAGGCTAGAGTGCAATGGCGTGATCTCAGCTCACCACAACCTCTGCCTTCTGGGTTCAAGCAATTCTCCCACCTCAGTCTCCCAAATAGCTGGGATTATAGGCATGCGCCACCACACCGGGTTAATTTTGTATTTTTAGTAGAGACGGGGTTTCTCCATGTTTGTCAGGCTGGTCTCAAACTCCCGACCTCTGGTGATCTGCCTGCCTTGGCCTCCCAAAGTGCCCGCACCCGACCTAAAGAATTTTTAACTAAGAAATTCATTACATTTTCCCTCAAATTAGTATCAATAATGGAAAAGAATACAGGGCTACTGTAGAGGGAATAAGAAATAAAGATGGGCTAGCTCATTAAGAGTATCACAACGTGAAGTGTTCTGAAGAACTCACATCCCTTCATTTGAAAAGCACTGCAAGTCATAAACCTGTAATGATGTATCCAGAATCAGGGCAAACTGTTTTATTCAATATTTATTTCTTCTCTAATTTTCACCTTGATGTGGAATTCTAAAACATAGAACTTGATGACTTAATAAAATTCAATCTTTTTTTTATCATTAGGTGCCAGCTCTTCCTTTAATATGTCTAGACTCATCAGAATCTCTGACTGCTGTTTTTAACTACTTTACTCTTTATGTATAAGGCCACTGGAGGACAAAGAGAAAAGCTGGACCTGTTCATGTGAATGATGAAGTTATATTTTTCTTGTTCCTAGAAATAGATGATGCAAGAAAACTCTTTTCTTAACATTATGCACTTAATTTGAATGATTAATTAGGTTCTTAGTTTAAATTTCCTTATATGATAACCTCCTATTCTGTGACATTTAGCAAGCACAACTTAAATATATGAATTCACAGAAGCCACATGCCTTCAATTACAAGTCACTGCAGCATTGATAAATCCTTCATACAGGAATTACTTGATTGATGCTTTTCATGGATAGTTGGCAAGAAGATAAGAAGAGGGATATTAATAGCACTTTCTATATTGGTTTTAGTGAACTGATAAACAGAGAGGGAATATGACAAGCGATACCAACAATCAAATCTATCAGACTGTTGAAAATTGAAACTACTCTTCAAAAACAGAAGTTAAGCTAGAAAATTCTTTTGAGTTTGCAGAATTCAAATTTTCATTTTCATGTCTCACATTTGCAAAAAAATGAAATCAAATAACATGTATTAATTTAGAAACTCAAAATTAAGCTTAAATTATTACAAGTCTTTCAACTCCAGAACTAGGTTAAATTGTTTATGAAGAATTAAATACAAATGTGAAATCATGAAAGGCATACCATTAAGTGACTTTCTTACATAATGAAAAACATTCAAGGTTATTAGAACAAAATACATAGCTTGTTCTTTTATCATTATTCTATTATATTCAAAACATGATATTTAATGATCCAATGTGATCCACTGAATCCCCAAACATGATAAACCTAGCATTATCTATTATCTACTAATTTCATAATGACTCAAAACTCCAAGGCATGAAAAGTTCTAGATTTCTTATATACATGACAGATATGCATTTATATTCTATGAGTCTTTTTTTGTCAAATCCTGACCAAAAGTTTCAAAAATTCATGTTGCCAAATGCCTTAAATTCAATATGAAAAATTTGAATTTTTTAAAAATGATAACAATTTGAAAGGAATATTTAAAAAATATGAATGATGATGGAAAATGATAGACTAGAGATGATTTAATCCAGGGAAAAGAAGTCCAAATGTGTGTACTTAAATTTACCCAGTCTCTGTGGGACTAATGCCACAAGCCTGGGAGGCAGTATAAAGAGAGAAGGCAGCTTCCTTACAGAGGATCATATATTAATTCATCTCTTAATGTCTCCAGAGGACAACTGTATATTTCAATCAAAGATTATTAAATACCAGTGATTTCAGGTGTCATGTTCCTGTCCCAAGAATAGAATTTCTGACTCTTCTATATTTCTTGATGTATCCTCTCACTTTCTCAGTCCCTCAGTATCTGCCAAATCTCTCTTCTCCAGTTGTACTTCCTTGGAGTTGCATTGTCAACATTACATTCAACAAATGATAATTGAGAATATGGGCTGGTCCACGGTGATTCAACATCAAAGAAGAGAACGTGTCTGTATTCATGGAGCTTACATTCAAGTGTCATGGAGAAAAATGTGTCAGGTTATAGGAATAAAGAGAATGTGGTGAGGGCACTATTTTTAAGGAAGGCTTATCTGAGGAGCAAAGAAACCTGTGCATTTAATATCTAGAGAAAGAGTGTTGCTGGCAGATGCATCTGTAAATGCTGGAGAGCTGAGGTAGGAACTAGGCCAGTGGAGCTGAAACAGAATAGGGAGGAGCAGAATGCTGGGGATGAGAGGAGGGATGTTACTGCATGTCAGACCCTAGTGGATCAACCTACCGAATTCAAGTCATTAGAAACCTTACGATAGCCTCCAAATATATAGAGGGACTTGCCATTTTTCTCTGAAAACACAAGAGAAAATTCTCTCACATAGAAGTATACATTCAAACCTAATGTGAAGATGATATTTTAAGAATAAACATTATTAATCGTAAGAATAGATTGACAGTAGTTATATAATCTTTTAGAAGATCATATTTTTAAAACAATGCATATGTATTTATTAGCTCCACAAACATGTATCAGCCTCCATCAATATGAATATAGTGATATTGGCAAGAAAATATAGTGATGGAGCTGCAGTTCCTGCTTCCAAATGAGCTCCAGTAATAAGATCTTTGCTAAGTATACACAAGACTGTAGAAAAATCAAATCAACACTGTACTGCTCATTTATAAGAGTATCATATGGTTCTGAAATTGTTTAGTTGTTTTTAACCCCCTGTCTTATTGTAAGTTTTGTAAGATAAAATGTTGACTGGTTTATTGTTGTATTCTAAACTCGGAACAGTATTTTAAATATAGAAAGCAGTCATAATTATTTATTGCAAGAATGAAAGAACTAATAAAATAAACCGAATAAGACCCACGATCATGATGTATTATGAGGGTTGTGGGACACACCCTGGACCAGGGAGGTAGCGCAGGAGAAAAGTTCTTTAGAGAGTTTCTAGGCAAGATAATAGCTGAGCTGAAGCTTGAGGCACCCAGAAGAGCTAGTCAGAGGAGGCAGAGAAAGCATTTCAAAGAGAGGAAATAGTTTGTGTGAAGGCATATAGTTTACAAAACATGGGCTATTCCAAGGCTTTTAATACATTCTCTATTACTTGAGCAAAGGATATCTATGAGAAAATGGTTTGTGATCAAGAAGGCTCCTATATGTCATGCCAAGGAGTTTGTATTTTAGACTGAATGTGATGAGTACTGATTGAAAGAATAGGACCCTTACATTGCTATTTTAGCAAGATCAGTCTATTGGGAATGAGGAAGATGTTCTGAAGGAGCCAAGAACCAGGGAGTAAAACCTAATTAGGAAGTGTTTACAGTACTCCAGTTAAAAATAATAAGGGCAGTGGCAATGGGTGTGACGAGGCAGAAAGAATATTGAAGGATACATTAAGACATGATAATTGCATATTGAGAGTAAGGGGCAAAAAGATGGCCGGCATGGTTTACAAGTATTCACTCCTCATTTGTCCAGGATTTATTCCTACTAAAGGAAGAGAATAGGCCAACATTTGTTCCTTGATACTTAAATACCATTTTAAAGAGTTCAAAATCTCTATCTTCTAACCCTAGCTCTCTTGTATGTGAACAAATCACTTTTCTTTCCTATCTATTCACAAACTTGGTAAGAAACTCCATTAGACAATAGATGAGAATGCATGTTAAAAGTCACAAAATTTACAAATGTTAATGTCATTATCATTTTACTATTTTTATATACTACTTTTACTTCCCATTCCATCTTACATATTTGATTTTACTTAAACTTTCCCACAGTCAGTCTCCTGCTTATATGTCTTCATTTTTCTCTTTTTCTTCCTCTCTCTTATTTTTTTGTTCTCCCTTTTAATGTGATACAGTTAAGCTAATTCCTCCTCCCCAGCAATGAATGATTTCACTGTTAAGAGAAACTTCAACAAAGTACATATCAGACTATTTTCTGCATTATCATCTACAGCATAGGAAGTATATATATATATATATATACACACACACACACACACACATGTGTATATACACATATATGTGTGTATATATATGTGTGTGTATATATATATGCTAACAGTCATATGGAATGTGTCACATCACAAATTTTAGTATTAATCATAATTATGATAACAATAAATTGATTTTTGAAGATTTACAAATTGCAGGGCGTTTGCATTGTCTCATTTAATTCTTATTGTAATCTTGTAGATAAATAAGACTGTCCTAATTTCACCTAAATCCCAAATCTGAAAGAAGCATATGTAGCATACCTAGTGTAGGAAGATGAAGATCAAATCCGTATGCACATGTCTCCAGAGACTTTGCTCTTAGCGTTCACCTTCTTCTATAGAAATATACCTACTGAGATAAAAGGATATTTTTTGGCTGGGTTACTACCTTCCTATTTCTAAGTTCATTTATTCTATAAGTATATATTTGATACGATACTGTGCAAGATGCTGGAAAAAAGCCACAACAATGCGTAATACAATACAAAATATAAATACAATGCAGGTAAGTGTAAACAGGTTATGAAAATTACTTATTTGTACATAAATATAAAATGCTTTACATTAGATTGTATTTAAATTTAAGGAAGTTTCTAAAATAAAGCATAAAAGCATACAATTACACAGAATGTTCAGAAAAAATTAAGTTTAGGACATTAATAAATCACTGTTTTAAGGAAACCAATTTCTAGATCTTTACCTTTCATATGCATTATTTCTTTTAAAATCCGCACAGAAAATCACCTATGGTGAAGACCTTGAAGAAATTATCTTTTCCCATCTCCCTTTTTGTAACTGCCTTTATTTCACACTTAAAAATGGAAAGCATATCTGGAATCTTCCTGTGACATATTGTCGAAGGTTGTTACACTTCTGTGGTACCATACAGAAGGGCATTTACAAATACTGATATTGAATGTGTGTGTAAATGTTTCTCATTTATAAGTAACCAACTTTTGCAATCAAGTAGTTTCCAATCTTTGCTTTCAACAAAATGAAAGTCTCATGAAAAATCATCTGATGGGCCTTCAAAATTAAATTTGGAGTATAAATAACCTTGTGAATTCAGCAAGGAGTTCAAACTTGTTTAGTGACATTGGTATAAGAAATTTATCTCTGTCTTGTATTTAAAATATTGTCAGTCTTTATTAATATAATAAGAAAAATAACAATAGGGCTGGTGCTATATCCTGTGTCATTCCAGCAAAAGTTGGAATAAAATAATAATAAAATTATTTTATATTATTTTAACTTATTTTATATTATTTTAACTGGTTGGTTTAGACTAGTTAGTTTAATGCAATTATTTATATCTGATATTGTCATTTTATTATTTGTTCTTTGTTCTTTCCCTCTGTTTTTTAATCTTCTATTTCTCCTTTCCTGCTTTCTTGTAGGTTACTTCACCATTTTTTAGTATTCCACTTTGATTTATGCGTAGTGTTTTTGAGTATATCTCTGTGTTTTTTTTAGTAGTCTCTCTAGGGATTACAATGTACATAAGTAATGTATCATAGTCTACTAGAATCAACATTTTATTATTCAAGTGGCATGCAGACTATTCACCAACAGTTAGGACCTTTGACTTTTTCTGTTTGTGATACAGTGGTCTGAAATATTACTCCTACATACATTGAAATATTAAACAAAGTTTATAATATTTGCTTTCACCATCAAATATGATTTTAAAAACACTAGGGGAGAATAGCTCATTTTCTTTATCTAATATCATCCCTTTCTTTTGCTCTTTCCTTGTTCCTGATGTTCCGTGTGTCCTCCCCTTATCATGTCCCTTCTGTTTGAAGAAATGTCTTTATCCATTATTTTAGAGCAAATCTGCAAGTCATGGATAAATCTTTTCTTTTTCATCGAGAATATGTCTTTTTCACCTTCCATCCTCAGGTATAAATTCTCAACTGAGAAGTTTTGTTTCCAAAACGTAGTTTCCCTCTTTTTTTCTGGACAGTTTTAATGAGAAATCTGTTACATTTTGATTAGTTATCCCTCTATACATAATGTATCTGTTGTTCTCTTTGGTTCCTTTCAAAACTTTTTCTTGGCCTTTAGTATTCAAAAATTTGACTCTGCTATGTCTTGATATGAATTTCTCTGTTTGCCATGTTTGGATATTGTTCAATTACTTGAATCTTTAGGTTTACATCTTTTTTTTTAATTGGGGAAGTTTTATGCCATTGTTTTATTTCTTCACATTAGTTTTTTTTTAATTCTTTATCATGCCCTCTTCTTCTTGGGCTCAAATGACAAGAATTATAGATCATATCTATTGTCCCACAGGTGTTTGAGGCTCTGTTCATGTTTTAAAAATCATTTTCATGTCTTTTATGAAGACTGGATATTTTCTATTGTTCTATCTTCAAATGTGCTAATTATTTTCTCTTTCATATTCATTGCACTAACACATTTGTTCAGTTTTTAGTTCCGTCATTGCTTGATGAAATTCTAAAATTTCTATTTGGTTCTTTATTATTTTGTCTATTTCTTTGTTTGGACTTTATATTTTTCCATTTGTTTTAGGAATGTTCATAATTGTTTGTTGGAACATTTTTATGATACCTGATTTAAAATATATGTCAGATAATTCCAACATTATGCTATCTCGGTGTTGGTAATTGTTGATTTTCTTTCCTCATTGAAAACTAAGATTTTTCTGGTCTTGTTAGCAAAACTATTTTGAATTATGTCCTGAACATTGTGGGTATTAAGTTGTGAGATGTGGGTTCCTATTTAAATCTTCTACTTTAGCAAGCAGTCAACCTGTTAGGATGAGAATGCACATTCTCGCTCACTTTCATGGGCTATGGTTTGAATATCAATTTAGTTTTCAAAATATTTGCAAGCAATTCTGGTCTGCTTCACTTGTGTGCTACTCAGAGGTGAATCTGAGAGGTTGGTGTTATTTCATAAAATGGTTTAGTGTTTTTGCTCTGTCATGTCTGATTGGTTTTATACATGGCCCTTCAAAAATTTTAACAGCACTTCATACGTAGATTCAAAGAATTCTTTTCTCCAGCTCACACCTCTCTGTAATCCTTCTCCAAGTCTTTAACTGGGAGAGATGGGGAGCTGTGTGTTTGTTGTCATTCAGTTAGCATGAGGCTGAGAAAGCCAATGGGGCTTCACTCCAAGGGCTCTCTGCAGTGCCTGTAGGAATAAGGAGAGGACTGACTCATGATTGCTGGGTGGAAATGGTTGGCAAGGCTTTGTTGATAGTCTACACGGTCATAACAGTCAGTGGGAAGACAGAAGGGTTTAGCATTTTGAATGGTATTCTTCTGGAATAAGGCAAATTTAGCCAAAAAGGTTTGGTCTTGTAGGGATACTCATTTTCTCATCTTTTTATTCCTCTTTCAGTGTCTTTTAATTATTGTTTTATGTATTTTGTGCAGGGCTTTTATTTGTAATTATATATATAGTAGAATGGTAATTATATATATATAATTACTATGTGTGTGTGTATATATATAGTAGAATATATATATAATAGATCTACTATATATAGTATATATATATATAGTATGTATATATACATAGTAGAATATATATATAGTAGATCTACTATATATATAGTATCTATATATACTATATATGTGCGCCATGTGGGTACTCTTACCTTTTCAGCCTCACTCCTACACTTACACACTCGGCTCCAACTATAATGAACCACTGTCACTTCCCAATTTGCCAAGGTTTTGCCTCTTCTTGACACTCACTTATCACTTTTACCTTGGTAGAAACAATTCATTCTGATATATTAATGTACATATAACCAATTCCAGAAAAACTTCTTAAGTGCTCCTGTTACTGCCCATATAGAACTCAAAAAGTAGCACTTATTATTCAATATAATCAAATTTCACCCTTGATTAACATTGCCTTCCTCAATAGACTATTAGTGTAATAAGAAAGTTACTATTTCAGTTTGTTCATTAGTTTATCCCCAGACCCTGATACATTGTAACTCTAAAAATATTTTTTAAAGAATACATGTGTGATAGAAGGGTTTAGGCCTGGGTGACAGAGCATACAATGGTGTTGTATATAAGACAGAGGACCAAGTAGGTGACTCAATTGCCTAGCAGACAAATTACAATGAGTCTTTCTTTGTACTTGGTGACTTTTTGTGGCAATAGCACTTCCATTTTCATATAAGTGCATTATAGTATGGGAAGGTCCTGGTGGGTCTGTATGTTTGTTTCCCACATGAGCCAATTGCAGTTAAAAGTATGTATAAATCAGCACAAGATAAGAAAATTTGAGGCAGGGTGTGGTGGCTCACGCCTGTAATCCCAGCACTTTGGGAGACTGAGGTGGGCGGATCACGAGGTCAGGAGTTCAAGACCAGCCTGGCCAACATAGTGAAACCCCGTCTCTACTAAAAATACAAAAATTAGCCGGGTGTGGTGGTGCATGCCTGTAGTCCCAGCTACTCGGGAGGCTGAGGCAGGAGGATCACTTGAACCTGGGAGGCAGAGGTTGCAGTGAGCCCAGACTGCACCATTGCACTCCAGCCTGGGTGATAGAGTGAGACTCTGTCCAAAAAAAAAAAAAAAAAAAAAAAAGAATTGAAAACATTTTAAGTGTATGAGGAGTAATGTTTCTTATAATCTGAAGTCTGGACATGTTTAATTGAAAAATACATGCTATTATGAATGAATTGGGTCAGACTTGTAACTGTAAATCCAGGACAGCAAAGGGAGTTTGAAGAGGTCCATAACACAGGAAAAAAGCATAGCTCCCTTAAAGATGTTAAATTAATGAATAAAAAGTATTGTTTGTCCTTGGCTCTAAGTTTCTAAAATGCAGCAATTGCTTTGAGGTTATCCTTTCAAAACCTAATGTGTACAAAACCTAATTCTCTAAGTTGTTGAAATGTAACAAAAGACACTTGTTATAAAGGAAATCTGAGAAATTATTTTTAGGAAACTTATGAAGACACTGAAATACAGCTA
This sequence comes from Homo sapiens, assembly GCF_000001405.40. Classification (NCBI taxonomy): domain Eukaryota; kingdom Metazoa; phylum Chordata; class Mammalia; order Primates; family Hominidae; genus Homo; species Homo sapiens. The sequence goes on along the minus strand of NC_000004.12, from coordinate 167,459,517 downwards.
TTGATACAGTATTGTCTCTTTTTAAAAATTGATCATATTAAACAAGCAATACAGAAAAAGTCATAATGGTAAAAAGCACTGATGAGATGTTGTGTTTCCAGCCTGGCATATAAGGAGTTCAGAAGTCCACACTCCATCCTAACAAGTAAAAAGCAGAACAAACTGAAAAACCAGCAACCTTTCTTAGATCTGTCAGAGAAATGAGGCCACAGGGCAAATTGCTGCCTGCAAAATTGGAGAGATAGACGGATACACACAGAGAATCACAACTTACAAGGTAAAAATAAACAAAAATGAAAACTATAGTGGAAACCTCCGTGGGGACAACTTCTGGGGTAGGAAAACCTGCATTGCAATTGATAAATTCCTGGAGGCTTAGAGTAGACAAGTCTGAGAGTTAAACATTCCCATAGAACCCAGTCATAAGGGGGACCCTATGCTTTTGTGAATTTTACCTTTAACAGTTCAAACAGGTTCTCACACTGAATGTTGGAGAAAAACATCCTCTCATACTTCTGGTGGGAGAGGGGAGAAGTAACACTTGAAATATGTCAAAGCATTCTGTTCTCAACAGCCTGAACTCAAGCAAAGTTAATTTAACCCAGCCTAAACTGTTGGGGAGTTTTCAGGGCCTAAATGATCTGTGTGAAGAGAAGTATTCAACTTCAGCCATCTCTAGCCCCATCCATTCTGGGTAACAGAGTTTTAAAGTTCACAAGACAGAAGCACAGGGTCACTGAAAGACTGAAAATCATAGAACTATAGAATTCACCCTAACTCCACACTTTACCATCAATTACAGTACATCATGCCCAACTACCAAGAAAAAAATTGCAAGTTATGTTAAAAGGCAAATAACACAGTTTGAAGACAAAGAGCAAGCATCAGAACCAGACAAGGCAGGGATGTTGGAATTATCAGACTAGAAAATTTTAAAATTTGCCAAGGGCTTTAACAGATAAAGGAGACACATGCAAGAACAATGGGCTAGGTAAGCAGAGAGATGGAAAATCTAAGAATAAAATAAAATAAAATGCTAGAAATCAAAAACACTGTAACAGGAATAGAGGATGCCTTTGATGGCTCAGTAGACTGGGCCCAACCGAGCTTGAGGATATCTTAATAGAAACTTCCAAATTTGAAAAGCAAAGTGAAAAAAAAAACTGAAAATAAAAAATCCCAGAACAAAGATTCAAGAACTATGGGATGACTAGAAAAAACGTAATATACATGTAATGGGAATTAAAAAAAAACAAGAAGAAAGGAATAGAATAAATATTTAAAGCTATAGTGATGGAGAATTACCATCTGTTAATGTCAGACACCAAACCACAAACCCAGGAATCTCAGAGAATTCTAAACAGGATAAATACTTTAAAAAATACACCTAAGCATATTATATATTCAAACTTCAGAAAATCAATGATAAAGATTAAATATTGAAAAAAAGCTAGAGGTGGTGGTTTGGGGGACTCCCTACCTATAGAAGACCAAGGATAAGAATTACATCAAATTTCTCCTCAGAAATCATGCAAGCAAGAAGAGAGTAGAATGAAATATTTAGTGTTGACAGAAAAAAAAAATCACTCACCTACAGTTCTGTACCCTGTGAAATTGTCCTTCTAAGGTGGAGGAGTAATAGACTATCTTAAACAAACAAAAATCAAGAATAGTTTGTGCGCAGTAGAATTGACTTGAAAGAAATGTTAAAGTTAGAGAGGGAAGATAACATGGTCAGAAACTTGCACCTACAAAAAGAAAGGAAGAACATCGGAAAATAAATAAGTGAGAGAAGTTAGAGAAGGAAATAACAAATAAGTTAGAGAAGAAAAATAACATGGTCAGAAACTCGAACCTATATACAGAAAGGAAGAATATAGAAGAAGAAGTAAGTGAAAGTAAAGTAAAACCTCATTATCTTAACTCTTGTTGTAACAGACAAATATGACAAACTATTCTACTGTATAAGTTGTACACATTTATATTTACTTATGTTGAAAAAGTCAATTAATGAGACTGTCAGGTAACCTGAGAAAATGTCTCTGAGACTCTTCACAGGCAGCAAGGAACACCACTTGTGAAAAGTGAAGGGAAAAGAATTGGCAAGAGGGAGAATCCAAACTACAATGTCTTATTCTAGACATAATGTATAAATGAAGTCGTGGAATACAGAAATTTATCAGAAATTTGAAAAGAAGTAATGAATCTGAATAGGTGAACTTATTTGTTAGTAGCCTAGGTCCTTATATAATTGTCTGTGAAGGAAAGTATTTCACTGCAGAACAGGATACTATCTTAGCAGAGCATCAATTTAATACAATTTTTAAAAAATCTTATAAATTTTACTTTTTATATTAGCATACTCAGGACTTTGCTTCAGAATGGAATTGCATTATGAGACTCAAAACTGAAAAAAAGTCATGCAAAATATTAGAAATGTCTGAGTAATGTCATATTCAGACAATGTCTAATAGATAAAATTATAAAAAAATTCTCAAAAAATAAAAATGCTAAAGCATAAACTAAAACAAAATACTGCTTTGTTAATAATAGTGTTTGTAAGACACACCCACAGAGGTGGAGCTCTTGTAAACCTAGTTTGCATTTTATGGTCTAGTCGAGGGTCAACAAACTTTTGCCAAAGGCTAAAATCACCACCACCACCACCATCACCACCACCACCACCACTGCCACCATCACCACCGCCGCCGCCGCCGCCGCCGCCACCACCACCACCACCACTCCCTTGTTTTATAAATAAATTTTATTGGAACACATCTATGTCTTTGTTTCCTTATTATCTATGGCTGGTATTAGCGTGGTCTACAAAGCCTAAAACATTTACTCTTTAATTCTTTACAGATGATGTTGCTGACCCCCTGGTCAAGCTTGAAGGTTTGAAAGAGCCTCTACTTTCTTATGAAGCCAGATTAAAATCTTGGGAACTTCCACTCCTCTGGCTAGCCACATAATTCAGAAGATAAAAGCATATTTATAAATAATATCACTCAGGAGTCCAACAGAAAACATAGGTCACCCATATTTAGATTATTCGAAGATGATTTATCAATAAAACAAAGATTTATAATGGTATAGATGGGTATATAGCAGAAAAGCTGTTACTGCAAGAGCCAGAGGTAATCAAAAGAAGAGGCAGGTACCAGAACACAAAGCAGAGAGAGAGAAAGAGAGAGAGAGAGAGAGAGAGAGAGAGAGAGAGAGAGAGAGAGAGAGAGAGAGAGAGAGAGACTTGTAGAGAAGATTGCCTTGAGAGAAGCAGTAACCTTTGGTCCAAAGACGCAGGAAGCTTGACTGACTTAGCAGAGAAAGAGCTAGAGCAATAAAACCCTGACCTCATTTTCCCCTTCCCTCCAATCTCCCACTGTGTATCTCACTGGGATTTGAAATAGAAGACGCGGGGCATAGAAACCAAGACTTTCATTGTAAACCAGGTTAGCCTCTTTGGGTAGAAGACAGAGTAAGAAAGGTGAAAAGTGGATCAGAGATGAAAAGCCATTAAATATGACTAGAGAAATATGATTGACTTTTTCAATAAGTGGGGTGCCCAATCAGCCGTTATAAAAACAAACCAATCGATGTTCAGACTAACAGATTGAGAGAGAGAGAGAGAAAGAGAGAAAGAGGGTGTGTGTGTGCGCGCGCACGCATGCCTGCAAGAAAAGAGACAGGAATGGTTAGGAAATTCACCTCAAAGTCTGTGCAAATGCACACATGTGTGTGCACATACAATAAATAACGGGAAACAATATGAATGGAATTAAACTGTTTTCCCCTAAGGATGCAAATTTCTAACATGATATGAATCAGGTTCTCTAGTTACTCTAGAATATTATTGAACAATTTCAGAAAACAGCAAAGATATCAAGCTCTCATGCATGTTCTTGCCAAATCATTGTCTATAAATTATTTAATGTGGAAATTTTCAATTGCAGCTATGACCAAATTCAAACAATGATATTAAGTTTTTGAGAATATCCTCTGTCAAAAATTGTTTATGTAGGTTGCAGCAAATACAAGCTATACCCATAATCTGTAATATAAGTCATTTAATTCTTGTGTTATAAATATAAGAAGTAAAGTTCTGTAAAAATATCTTCAACACTTAATTAGATTAAGATATTTTTATTGGAAGCATAAATTTCATCTAACATTTTTGTAAGCCATGACATTGCAAGTTGTTCATCAGTATCTCCCTTGCATATTTCATAGAATCAGGAAATTTGTGAACAGCTTTGCAGTGGGCTAAAACAATTACTGAGTAGGCTATTTTCTATTAATAGCTATCTTTGCCTTCCATTTTATCTGAGCTATTTTTCAAATCCATTAAACTATAAAAAAAGATCCTATTGCAAATGATTTTGCCTATAAATATGCAAATAAACTCTGTCCACTGAAATGCAATTGATTATTCCCTGTGGATATTGACCAATTTTGCATCTATTTGTAAATTCAGTTCAGCATTCCAGAGTACCTAGTACACGTGTGGTTTTATGAACTCTTCTCAGAACCAGTTGTAACACCTCACTGTTCCCCTCATTAATTGATGAGTTAAACGAAATCCTTAACACATGTCTATTTTATATTTAATGATCTCTATGAGTGTCATGATTTTACCATGAAAAAAATGATCTTTTACTAATAGCATGACTAAAGCTAAGGGACATGATTTAGACTGGAGAAGACACATTAGCTTCTCAAGAAGCTTTAAAAGATGTTGCTCATTCCCTAGAGGGTAGAAGAAGGATTGCTCAGCAGCAGTTCAAGTAAACATCAATTTAAGCACCATAGGCTTTAGGTGTCAAGTTGATAAAGGAAACAACTTAAAAAGACAAACACACACAACGCTTCTTAACTTGATCTGTGATTTTTATGATCAACTACAGTACTTAAAAAGCCTGCTGCCGAGTACTTCGAAAACACCTCAGAGAATGACAGGGTATGATTTCTGTTCTTTTTTATGGTAGAGAAAAAAGTAATTTTATTGTTGTTTGAATATTTGTATACACATCCTTCAAACTTGGGTTCTCTTATCATGAAGATTGTGGGTTTCCTACTGTTACATACTGTTATCAGGTTAAGGAGAAAGGGTTTACATCTCATGCAAGATTAATTAGTTTTTTTTGCCAATTTTAAAGGTACCATCTATATCTTGTAGGCTCAGAGAGAATTTGGCAGCATCATCAATCACTTCCCAGTTTGCTTTTATACTAGTATATATAAATAATCTGAAGGTGAGCATGCTTTGTGTATAGTTACAGAAAAATGTTTTCCCTTGAAGTTTTACAATTTCATGTACAAATTGATCCATAAGAACCTCTGATAATAGCTCAAAGGTTCAACCTATATAAAATGTAAATATTAAAGTAAATGTTTTAAAATGTGTGTCCTTTGTCATGGAAATTATGTTTAATGCCATAAACTAAAGTTACGTGTGATGAGCAATTAGAAATACAACTCAGATGTTTTCAAAAATTGATGAATAAGTGACAACCTGGTTTAAAGAAATAAACAAAAAATAACAATAACAAAATGCTGTGGTTAGGATTTAGATCTATTAACCCATTGAATGGACATATCAGCAAACATTAAGGAAAATGATATTCATTAAATATTGATAATAAATCTTGTTAACAAGTTCAGCAGAGGCCAGACATAGTAGCTCACAGCTGTAATCCCAGCACTTTGGGAGGCTAAGGTGGGAGGATCGCTTGAGCCCAGGAGTTTTAGACCAGCCTGGGCAACATAATGAAACCCTGTCTCTGAAAAAAAAAAGAAAGAAAGAAAGAAAGAAAAGCTGGGCATGGTAGGGTGCACCTGTGATACCAGCTACTTAGGAATCTAAGTTGGGAAGATCATTTAAGCCCGAAGAGATCAAGGTTTTAGTGAGCCATGATCGTGCCACTCTACTCCAGCCTGGGTGGCAGAGTGAGACCAAGTCTTGAAAAAAAAAAAAAATCAGCAGAATAATAGAAAAAGTCTTTTCTCATGCCTCAGCCACTAAAGGTTAGGGGGGAAGCTATCCCTTAGTTCGTCCTCATTCCCTATAGACATTAAAGCTTTGAATTTTTGAATTTATGAGTTGATAAAAATAAGCATAATCTCAACCACATCTTTTTAACAATTGATGACTTATTACTAATGACCAAAAAAACAAAATTATCATTAGTGGTGCTTAACTGCAGGGTCAGTGACCTATAGAAACTTTTGTAGCTTGCTGTGTGAGCCTTAATGAGTCCCAGACAGCCTTGGAATGTAGCCAAGAAAGCAAGTTTAGAGGCTGTTAAACATATGGTGAAGAATAAACAGATCTGCTCACCCCAGGCTAGCTACTCAACCATTTCCTTGGTTCAGATTAATAGTTTGTCGCAAACCGGAAGGCTATCACTCAAAATGATTTATAGCTATATGGTAGCCCAAATTTGTAATTCATAAGCTTACTGGTAAACAAGGAGATAGTTACGACATCAGCTACAAGGTAGATTTCAGGCAACATGGTAAATCTGACACTGGCTGCTTCTACTTGTAATATTTGTTGGCATAAAAATTGAACACAAAAGTGGGAAGTTAATTTGGCCAAAAGTAGAATGATTAGAATAATATACCACTCATCTCTTTTGTATGTTGACATATTTCTCCATTATCTCTTTGGGTAGTTGATCAAGGGAAATTCTATAATTTCTGCCTCTAGGGCAAAGTGAATCTGCCTTCATAGGCATTTAAAATGACAGATTTAATGATTTGGGGTATAGGCTTGAGTGTAAGGCTAAGCATAAAATGCAGGTATATTTTAAATACCATTCCTCATTATTATACCCATTGTCTGCATCACACACACATATATACACAAAACTGTATAAAAGAAAGTGCGTATGTTCTGAACCTTCAAAAATAACAAATTTTAGGTTTGAAGTCTCTTAGGGCAATTTAAAAAATTCCAATAGTCTTTTGTTTACTGAACATTATTTTTTGTACAGAATTCTCATACACTTGTTTCACTAATATAGAGTATTGCCTTTAATAAAAATTGAGATTTTATACTTTCCAATAAGTGTAAGTTATGCCATCTTCTCTTTTCTAGATCATTGTGGTCTTAGTTTGCTTAAAAAGTTTATCTTGCTTCAGGGGCTAAAATTTTTGCTTTTTATTCTTAACACATGTCTACTTTGCCACCCGCAAGCTGTATCACTTGCCCATTTTAACATACCAGAAATCTTTGGAAGCATCATTGCTTCCCATCAGCCATAGGATGCGCTCTGGTTACCTTACATCTTCCATTTAAGTTCTAGCTCTGCTTACCTGTCAAGGAAACCCTGGTTTTCCACAGTGAACAATAGTGTAATGAAAAGAAAGGCACAGCATGCGAAAAGGAGATGTGTACCATGTCTGCTGGGCAGTCAGGGTGATACCAGGGACCAAATGCAAATTTACACTTCTAAATTTTACTAATTATAAGCTTCTGTCACTTTACAATATAATATCCTTGAGCCAGTTTAACTGTATCATGCTTAATAATGGATTAACTTCCAATACTGCCCACACTTCATATATATATATATATATATATATATATATATATATAACTATAGTTATATGGAATATATGTTTAACACTTTTCTAAGTGATGTGAAAAACTACTTCAATATTAGAAGAGGGGATGTAGCTCATTGAAATATTAGAAGAGGGGATGTAGCTCATTGAAGAACAATTAAATTAATTGCCTTTTCCCTATTTTTAAAAGGTAAAAATACCTAAAGCACTTCATATATGTGTGTGTATATATATATGAATATATGAATATATGATATATATATCATATATATGAATATATGATATATATATCATATATATGATATCATATATATGAATATATGATATCATATATATGAATATATGATATCATATATGTGAATATATGATATATATATCATATATGTGAATATATGATATATATATCATATATGTGAATATATGATATATATATCATATATGTGAATATATGATATATATATCATATATGTGAATATATGATATATATATCATATATGTGAATATATGATATATATCATATATGTGAATATATGATATATATATCATATATGTGAATATATGATATATATATCATATATGTGAATATATGATATATATATCATATATGTGAATATATGGATATATATATCATATATGTGAATATATGGATATATATCCATATATGTGAATATATGGATATATATCCATATATGTGAATATATGGATATATATCCATATATGTGAATATATGGATATATATCCATATATGTGAATATATGGATATATATATCATATATATGATATATGGATATATATATCCATATATATGAATATATGGATATATATATCATATATATAATATATGGATATATATCATATATATGAATATATGGATATATATATCATATATATGAATATATGGATATATATATCATATATATGAATATATGGATATATATATCATATATATGAATATATGGATATATATATCATATATATGAATATATGGATATATATATCATATATATGAATATATGGATATATATATCATATATATGAATATATGGATATATATATATGAAGTGCGGGCATATATATACACATACATGAAGTGTGGGCAGTATTGGAAGTTAATATGTATAAATATATATATGTGTGTGTATATATATATACATATATATATAAAATCACAGAGTCAAATCTATATGCCTGTCAATAGCTCTAAATATTGATGTACCTGTGAATAAGCCTGTGACAGCCTATAGGTTGTTTCATGTATCTCTATCCAGTCAGTCTCTTATTCTATTATATAATGATTTCCTATGTTGCCCTCTGTCTTCAGACCCACAGTGCTTCTTCCATGATCCTCACTCTCAGCTTATAAACTTTCTTGCTTATTCACTAACAATATTAATTCAAAGTGAAGGAATATTCGTACAATCATATCTATTTTTTTAGGTCTGCCTCAAGTAACACCACGTGTTCCTAGCCATCTAAGGCCAGACTCCATCGTGCCCTAGCTCTCATTTTTCCTGCTTACTCAGGAATATTGCTTTGAGTCTCTTGTATACTTTACACATCATTAACTTTTTCCTCTTCACTGGATTATTCAAATCAACATACAGTCAGAACTTCATTTTCTCTCATATTAAAAAGAAACAAAGAAACAAAAAACTTCTCTGGACCCCACATATGCTTCAAGTCACCTCACTGTTCCTCTGATTCCCTGATCCCTGTTTTCAATGTTAGTCTTCGATTATTTTTGAATCCACTCCACTCAAGTTTTTGCCTTTGTTATTCCAACAAAACTGTTTTCTTCCGAATCCCAAATTACTTTCATATTTTTAAATCAAAGGCAAATGGCCAAGTCTCACCACGCTTTATCTATCAGCAGTATTTGGCTCATTTCATTGGTCCTTTGAAATCTCTTCTTCATTCAACTTTCAGGATACTATCCCCCTTGAAAAACAAAGATAGAATGGCAAGTATGAGGCTGTTGGCATGTTAGGGAGCAGATTCTGTAAGGATCCTGTGTGTAACATTAGGAAGCCTAGATTACCTGCAAGCCACCTGGAGACAAAACAGAATTTTATGCATAAAAGCAACACAATAGTATTTGCTTTGGAAAGAGAAATCTGAAGGGAGTATTAGTAAAAAGAGAGAGAGAAACAGGTGATTGCATTTTTGCTCCCAAATATTCCTACCCAATAAATATTCACTACCCAAATATTCACTACCCAATAAAAGAATTATCCATCCACCCTCTTCGCAATAAAAAGTGAAGTATCTCTCTCTAGGCCAATTATATTTCTGTATTCATTGTTAGGCTTGGCCATGTGACATATTTGGACCAATAAAAGATAATTGGATTTGAATTATGCTATGTTCAAGCAGAGGTTTTAAATGTAATTGTGTGATCTAGCTTGTTGGTTGTTTCCTTGTCTTCTGAAGTGAGAATAGTATGTCTCCAGGAATAGTTGTCTCCTTAGCCTGGGTTCTAAAAAGAAAACACACACAGAGTAGAGGCAAGTAGAGCCTAGCAATCACAGTGAACCATCGATCTGTAAGCTAGAAGTGCTTTCTGTTGTTTTTAAGTCACTTTGCTCTGGAATCGGAAGGCAGACATAAGTTTATTTTCAACATAAAATAAAAGATACTTGGTAACTGATTATTTGAAATATAAACAAAATGGGAGAGTAAAAGAATAACCTGGTGTTAGAGTGAAAGGGTTTCTTTTTCAGAAATATGTGACTGATGTTAGATATATAGTTAACTTTCCTCAGAAATTATATTGAAAGCTGAAAAGAAATGGCTACAAAATTAATCTTACATGAAGCCAGAAAACCATTGACTATGGAGATGTCTCCTGTCATCTTCAACAGGGTGCAAAACTGCTTGTGGTTGGGAGCAAAATTAAATACGAGAAAACTGTAGATTCTTGGAAATACATCTTCAAGTCAACACACTGGTAATTATAGTAACAGAGAAAATATTATTTCAACAATTCTTTCTAAATTAATTTACAGATTCAGGCTGAAGAATGGCAATACTTTACTGCTAATGTTATTCAATAAATTGAAGCGATATTTTTGCTCAAAATTTGGTTTGAATAATGTGCAATTTAGCCCTAAAAATCTTAAACTTGTATCTGGGAGTTATATATTTTCCTTATTGAAACCAAATAGCCAAGTACCCAATTATAGTTATATGTAATATCTGTTTAACACTTTTCTAAATGATGTGAAAAACTACCTCAATGTTAAAAGAGAGGATGTAGTTCCTTGAAGAACAATTAATTACCTTTTGCCTATATTTAAAAGGTAAAAATGCATAAGGCAGTTGAACTAATCTCATTTAAAGTTCAAAATAATCCTGCTTTACTGGCCTTATCTCATTTAATTTTCATAATAACCAAAATAGGTATTACCTTTATTTTCCCCATTATATAGAAGAGCATAAGTAATTTTCCTAAACTCATGGAATAAGAGAGGGAGCTGGAGTCAAATTTCTGTCTATTTGCTTGCTATACATATTTTCTGCCTCTATTGGACAATGCAAGTATTTAACCATGGAAATATTGTAGCTTGCAATTCATGGATTGAAGTACTGCATACAATTTTAAAAGTAGCAAGTGTTAAGATTATAATTCATACAGGATATATCTCAGGATAAATTGAAGATCCATTATTTAAAGATTGAAGCACAAAATAGGAATTAGTTGGTGGTGATGTATACTGAATTGCTTTGAGAATAATTTCTTTTATTATTATACTTTAAGTTTTAGGATACATGTGCCCAATGTGCAGGTTTGGAGAATAATTTCATTGGAAGCCCCCTGCACTCCACGCACACAAACATATCCTCATCTGATTGCCAAATATTTTCCTATGATTATGTGATTACCAGGGTCTCTTTCTGTTATTACAATACCACCTGCCCACTCACCATAAGCAATTATTGGTTCCAGGTTGTGTCGGGCCTATGCCACAACTGTCTAAGTCTTAGATTTTGTGTTTTTACATTTAGACTACGAGGAAGTTACTCAATCTCACTTTGGAGCTCAAGTTTGAAGTCAGAAAACATAAGAAATATTAGTGGCCACATGTCATTCAATGCTTAAAAAAAGAGTACTAGAGTTTTCTGTCTCAGGCAAAATAAAAGACAAAAATAGAAACTAACAGGCAACAAAAAGGAGGGAAAAGAGAAGTCCTCATGGAGTTCATGTACCTGGTTCTAATTGTTCCTACATTTCCTGTGGGGTTTTGTTTTGGTTTTTTTTGAAACTTGCTTAGATTTCCTGAGGAAATTAATTCCACACTTTATTTAAACTTGTTTGGGTTCAGATTCTATCATTTTTAATCAATATAATCCTGAATAGACAAAATTTTAGAAAGCTTTTATCTTAGCTTAATAAAGTTATCCACAAAACATTTATTACACATTTCAAGGTGAGTTCTAAGAAATTAGGCGACACAGATAAAGCATTATTCCTTGTACAATAAAGAGGAGGACAGACATTGGTAAGGAGACACAAAGATTGCATATGTGCACAAAAATTGCTACAAGGAATAATGAACTTTGCCTACTTCATCTAGTCAACAGCTGGATCTAAAAAAACTCCTATCATCTTCCAACTGTATACCCACAACAAAGGATGAATTTACTTTCCTGAAAAGTCATTTAATGTTAAAACATCCAAATAATGTCAAAATGAAATTCTCTGTCACTTACATGCAGAAAAAAATAAAATGCTAAAGAGTATCCCCATCTACTCAGCCAGTAATATGGAGCAAGAAAATAAAAAATACTACCACAGCCTTCATATTTAGCCTTGAGGTGATTGGAGATTATCAAAATTTTAACTCACTTCCATAAAACAAACTGAAATCTGGAGATTAAACATAACAAGTATATGTATGCATAAATGTATATGTGTGCATGTGTTTTTGAATATATATGTATATGTTTTATGTATCTAGTCTCAACTATAACAATTCTCATCACAATCAAAATTTAAGTTTTTTTCTGAATTACAAAATTTAAGTTTTTTTCTCAATTACTTAAGGAAACTTAAAAGACTGGTAAGAAATTATCACCCTGCCCATCTTCTGTTCACTGCTCTATCCCTAGCCACCAAATCCATTCCTGATGCAGGGTAGGTATCAATGGAGAATTGCTGAACAACTGATAGATCATATTAATAAAAATGATATTAAATAATATTGACCTGAGATTTCCAAGGAGCAGTGAAAGACGTAAGTGTGAGATGATTGGAGATTATCAAACTTTCATCTAAGTTATATTATCAAAGTTGCGGTTTCTCAAGAAGTAATGAAAGAAATGTGTGAACCCCATAGCAGTTCATGAAACATTATCTAGTTTCTGAAAAGCCCAGTGTCCACCTAAGTATTATGGAAGCCTTCAACCATCAAACCATTATTTTGAGCTCTGGTCCTATGTACATACTCACATATTCTGACCAATCTACAATCACAATAAGATGGAAAAGGTAAAACTGTAAAACAGAGGCAAATAACAAATAAAAAATAAATATATCACTACACTGGGACAGTAGCAGCAGAATGTGATTGTATGGAAGTTGGTGACCTGTAGCAGTTTACAAGAACTCTGTGAGAACCCCTGAAAATGCTCACATCTTACAAATATTTAACACAATATTATTATTTTCCTCTTTTTCTGTTGAATTATGTTTATCTTCGAGATTAATTGTTTTGGGGAAAAAAATAAAGTTCTCCAAGAGAATTATTTATTGAGCCTGGATCTATGGGAAGTACTAGTTAGAAGAAGCAAAAAAATCAAATATTCACATTTGGGAGAAGATGGTTGGTAATGTTTGAAAAGAACCATGTATTCAAAAGTAATTTGTCATAGAAATAGTTTTGGTTTTGGTCAAATATACAAATATTTGTGTATTTATTCTATGCATATAAGGAAATCAAGTAATATATAAATGATACATCTCAAGTAATATATAAATGATTTTCTTATTAAGAAGCTTGATATAATAAGAAAACTTGAGAACTCAACAAAACAATATCTTTTTTAATAGCATTGAATAAACCCTTCTCACAAAATCTTTGAACTTGTCTTTGATTTAGATTTGATCTCTCACTTAGAAATACATACTCACTGAATGGCAAAACTTGTTTAACAACATTAGTGAGAATTTATAGTTATTTTGAAAATCTGCTAATCTCATAATAATGTGAGGTATTTTAAAATTTGATTAAACTCTAAAGCATTACACTTCATGTCTTTTTTGTATTTTAATGTTCACTGTAATATAACTTACTAGCAGTAGGTTTTCTTTAAAAGAAAACATTCATTAATAAATGAATATTTGCATTTGAGCCTGGATCGCAAAAGAATTTTTGAGATCTAAATGGATAATTTAGAGTTTTTCAAAAGAGTATGAATTGCTCTGATATTTGTCCACTGAGTACTCAGAAGTCATCCTGGTAATATTAAAGAGAGAAAAGAGAATACATCAATTACTAACGAGATTTATAAAATCGAATCCAGGGCATCTAATAGAAATAAACTGAGGATATATGATGAAGTGAAAGGAGAAAAGTAGAGTCGCAAATTAAAATTGACTTCCATGGAGTATTGCTACAGCATCACTGCCAGCAAATAATTATTAAGCATCACATATAATAAATATAATACTAAGGATGACTACTCTTGGATATGGTAAATATATATTTTTAAATATCTTAGTTAGTAAAAGTCAAAACCTAAATGTTAACTTAGGTCTTATAGGCCTATATTAATTATTTCTTTCTGTGTACCACTTTGTATTCTATGATTCCAAAAACTTGTATCCCTTCTGCAGGCAAAATATCCTCACCTTATTTGAAGGTCCCCAGCAGTCTCATCCCATCACAATATTAGCTCAAAGTCTAGGATCTCATGACCTAAATCAGTCCCTAGTGGGATGAGGCTGCCAGGGCACAGTTTCTTATATACAGTTTCTAGAATGCAGTTCTTCTTTATCTTCAGACCTATGAAACTAAGGAGACAAGTAATTTGTCTCCAACATATCAATATAAAGTTTGGGTAGGTGTAGAATATTTGTTCATCTCTGTTCAAAAAGTAGAGGGATCAACGAGAGGCACAAATGAATCATTGATTTATAGTAATTCTGAATTCCAGCCTGGCAAATGCTGAAAATGTATTCATTAGATTTCAAGGGTGCAAATAGTTCTCCATGGTCCTAGGCTCTGCACTTTGGGATCTGGCTTCTGCTCTTTGGGGGATGCTTCCCCTACCCTAAGCCACCCATGAAAAGTAGCATGGGTTTGCAGATGAGTAGTTTTGTCAGCCCGCCTCCAAATTTTAGTAGAATTTCAGTAGGATTTTGTGGGTCCAATGACCTCTTTACAATTTATACTGTTTCTGTTCCTTTTAGTAAAAGATATCATAGTTTCTGTGGATGTAATCTCAAAATCGTGGTGGCTCTTCTGTGATTTTTTTGTAAGAATTATCCATTTAGATTTCAAAAGCCACAGCTACAAGTTTCTATAATAAGCTTTTCTCCACCTCGGGCTCCTGTTGAGACTGCTGAGGGATAACAACCTTAAGCTTCCTAGATGACCAATTTTTTAAATTGAGAGGATCTGTGGAGCACCCCCTTAATCTCCTTAGAGAATCTTTGATTTGGCACCACCTTTGGTCTTTCTGTCATCTTAACAAACACATTTGCAGTCACATCCCCAGATTCATCTTTAGAGCATGTATTTCTGGCAATGCCCCAGATTCAATATTTGCTCCGAAGCCAATTCTTAATTTTGGCATGATTGTCATTTGGAAAGGTTGAGAATTTTCAAAACCCTCAAGACTTGACTCCGTTCCATTTTCCAGTTCTTCCCTCAACTTATCTTCCTATTTTCACATTTTACTCTAATCAGCACAAGAAATCACATGTCACATTCAACACTTTCCTTAGAAATCTCCTTAGTTAGATCTTTCAAGTAATTAGGCACATTTTCTACTTCACACTGTAGTGCAGGCAGTCACATTGCTAATCTTTTTGGCACTACATAAAGCAGATTTGCCTTCCTGCAGTTTCCAATAATACATATTTTACCTCCTTATGTGGCCTCAATGACACTGTCCTCAATGTGCAAAATTCTACAGTCTGCTGAAGGCAATATAGGCTTTTTCTAATACACTTCACAAAATCCTTCCAGACATCACCCACTCACTGCTCAGTTCCAAAGCCACTACCACATTCAGGTATTTGCTACAGTAGAACCCAATCTTTCAGTACTAATATTATGATTAGTTACTGTATTAGTCAGGTTTCTCTAGAGGGACAGAACTAATAGGATTGATGTACATATGAAGGAGGGTTTATTAAGGAATATTGACTCACAGGATCGCAAGGTGAAGTCCCACAGTAGGCCATCTGCAAGCTAGGGAGCAAGGAAGCCAGTCCTCAAAAGTAGGGACCTCAGAAGTAGGGAAGACAATGGTGCAGCCTTCAGTCTGTGGCAAAAGGTCAGAGAACCCCTGGCAAACCACTGGTGTAAGTCCAAGAGTCCAAAAGCTGAAGAACTTGGAGTCTGATGTCCAAGGGCAGGAAGGATCCAGCAAGGGAGAAAGATGGAGGCCTGAATACTCAGCAAGTCAAGTCCTTCCAACTTCTGCCTGCTTTATTCTAGCTGCACTGGCAGCTGATTAGATGTTGCCCACCCAGATTGAGGGTGTGTCTGCCTCTCAAATTCCAATGACTGAAATGTTAATCTTCTTTGGCAACACCCTCACAGACACACCCAGGAACAAAACTTTGCATCCTTCAATCCAATCAAGTTGACACTCAATATCAACCATCGCAGTTACCCACTGCTGCATAACAAATTACCCTATAACCTAGCATCTTACAAACAAACAAGTGTAGCATCTTATAAACCTAGCATCTTATAAACAAATAAACAAATTCCCAACCTAACCTAGCATCTTACAAACAAACCTAGCATCTTATCCAAACAAACCTAGCATCTTACAAACAAACAAACAAATTCCTAAAATGATTATCTCATAACTTCACTGGGTCAGGAATCCAAGTGTCCCTTAGCCAGCTGGTTCTGTTTCAAGGTTTCTTACAAGGCTGGCAATGAAAGTATTGATTGAGCTGTGTTCTCATCTGAAGGCTTTTCTGGGAGAGTATCTGTTTCTAAGGACACTCACCTTGCTGTTGGAAGGATTTAGTTACTTGTGAGCTGTTGAACTGAGAACCTCAATTTCTCACTTGTAGTTATCCAGAAACCTCTCTACCATATGGACCTGACAACATGTTGGCTCATGACACAGCAGCTGGCTTCCCTTAGAACAAATGGCCAGGGGAGGAAAAGAGAGCATCCCAAGACAGATTCCTCTTTCTGTAATTTAATCTCGGAAGTGACATTTCATCACTTCTCATCACCACAGTCTATTTGTAATAAATGATACAACCTAAGTTTAACATCAAGAAGTGGGAATCATTTAAGTGTAATTTAGAAGCTGCCTACACAAGATTCTAGTCTGAAGTTTTTCCTCCACACCACAGTAGGAATTTATTATTACATTTCTTCTGTATCTCTAGTGACAAAATCTAATGGTGCAAGTGCAACATATTAATGGAATTTTTTTCTTCTGGGCAAAATATAATCCATTTTACAATTATACCTTAAGTTTTCATAAATAAAGGGTGGTAAAACTTGCCTAGGTTAGGATTTCAAAAACTATTACTTTTAGGATTCTATTAGTGTTTTCATTAGTATCAATATTGTTATTTTGAAATTGATTAGAGACAATGATTTATGGATCTTTCATATTTTTATGTAACTTATGTGTAAGGGACTAACATACTCTGTTCCAGAGTCTTTTCAATTTTTGTGTAGTGAATAGCTTTGGAAGGTAGTGTGTCTCCCTCTAGAGCAAAGAATGGACAGGCTCAACACCCAAGATAATAAAGTTAATCTCATCATTAAGAGCAAAAGTTGGACACACTGTCAATTTTTAATTTTTGTTTTCTAAACTCAATGTTCCTATTCTGTAACACAATACTCTGTGCTTGCAGGTTGTATGTGGCCAATACTCTATGCATGCAGGTTATATCTGGCCAATACTCTGTGCATGCAGGTTATATTTGGCCTTCTTAACATGGATTAGGGCTCAGAAAACAGATACAAACATGCTGATACTCTGATTACTGCTATTACTATGTGTAATATTTACCCTTCATCTTGGACTCAGGAGTCTTATGTCTTCAACCAGCATCTATAAACTATGGCAGACGAATGTGTTAACTTTTATATAGGGTAAAATCTCAGGCCTTCATTGTTCTCACAACGGTTTTAGTAAAATTTATTAAATTTTCATTTAAGATCTTTATTATTGATGAGTAATACTCCATTGTGTGGATGTACCACTGTTTGAGTGTCCATAATTCATCTACTTTTAAGCTAATATTGTTTGAAATATGCTATCTGATTTGTTTTAAATTTTAATGACCTATAAACAATTGAAATTGTATCCCCTCAATTTTATCCATTCACATCTTTGCAAACAAAAACTATAACTAAGGATTATTGCCGTTTGTAAAGTTGTGTTTATATTGTTAGTATTTTTTAAAATTCTACCAGTGTTTCCTTTCTAGAAAATACTACAGAATTTAGATTAATTATATGAGGATACTTTATGTAGAAAAAAGTCTATGTATTTTCTCCTGAATGTTGGGAAAATGCCATTACTCATTTTACTTTAAAACACTTGAGTCCAGGCTGACTCTCTTTTCAGACTCAGCCTGCCTGCACCCCGGTGAAATAAACAGCCATGTTGCTCACACAAAACCTGTTTGGTGGTCTCTTCACACGGACGCGCATGAAATTTGGTGCCATGACTCGGATTGGAGGACCTCCCTTGGGAGATCAATCCCCTGTCCTCCTGTTATTTGCTCAGTGAGAAAGATCCACCTAAGACCTCAGATCCTCAGACCGACCAGCCCAAGGAACATCTCACCAATTTTAAATCAGGTAAGCGGCCTCTTCTTACTCTCTTCTCCAACCTCTCTCACTGTCCCTCAACCACTTTCTCCTTTCCACTCTTCAATCTCTCCCTTCTCCTAATTTCAATTCCTTTCATTTTCTGGTAGAGACAAAGGAGACACGTTTTATCCGTGGACCCAAAACTCTGGCGCCGGTCACGGACTGGGAAGGCAGCCTTCCCTTGGTGTTTAATCATTGCAGGGATGCCTGATTACACACTCACGTTTCAAGGATGTCAGACCACGCAGGGACGCCTGCCTTGGTCCTTCACCCTTAGCGGCAAGTCCCGCTTTTCTGGGGAAGGGGCAAGTACCCCTCAACCCCTTCTCTCCTTGTCTCTACCCCTTCTCTGTTTTTCTGGGGCAGGGGCAAGTACCTCTCAACCCCTTCTCCTTCACCCTTAGCGGCAAGTCCCGCTTTCCTAGGGAGCAAGAACCCCCAATCGCTTATTTCCGCACCCCAACCTCTTATCTCTGCGCCCCAATCCCTTATTTCCACACCCTGACCTCTTATCTTTGTACCCCAATCCCTTATTTCCATGCCCCAACCCCTTCTCTGCTTTTCTGGAGGGCAAGAACCCCCCACCCCTTCTCAGTGTCTCTACTCTTTTCTCTGGACTTGCCTCCTTCACTATGGGCAAGCTTCCACCTTCCATTCCTCCTTCTTCTCCCTTAGCCTGTGTTCTCAAAAACTTAAAACCTCTTCTACTCACACCTGACCTAAAACCTAAATGTCTTATTTTCTTCTGCAATGCCGCTTGACCCCAATACAAACTCGACAGTAGTTCCAAATAGCAGGAAAACGGCACTTTCAATTTTTCCATCCTACAAGATCTAAATAATTCTTGTCGTAAAATGGGCAAATGGTCTGAGGTGCCTGACATCCAGGCATTCTTTTACACATCAGTCCCTTCCTAGTCTCTGTGCCCAGTGCAACTTGTCCCAAATCTTCCTTCTTTCCCTCCCGCCTGTCCCCTCAGTACCAACCCCAAGCGTTGCTGAGTCTTTCTAACCTTCCTTTTCTACAGACCCATCTGACCTCTCCCTTCCTCCCCAGGCTGCTCCTCACCAGGCCGAGCTAGGTCCCAATTCTTCCTCAGCCTCTGCTCCTCCACCCTATAATCTTTTTATCACCTCCCCTCCTCACACCTGGTCCGGCTTACAGTTTCCTTCCGTGACTAGCCCTCCCCCACCTGCCCAGCAATTTACTCTTAAAAAGGTGGCTGGAGCCAAAGGCATAGTCAAGGTTAATGCTCCTTTTTCTTTATCCCAAATCAGATAGCATTTAGGCTCTTTTTCATCAAATATAAAAATTCAGCCCAGTTCATGACTTCTTTGGCAGCAACCCTGAGACACTTTACAGCCCTAGACCCTAAAAAGTCAAAAGGGTGTCTTATTCTCAAAATACATTTTATTACCCAATCTGCTCCCGACATTAAATAAAACTCCAAAAATTAAATTCCGGCCCTCAAACCCCACAACAGGATTTAATTAACCTCGCCTTCAAGGTGTACAATAATAGAAAAAAGTTGCAATTCCTTGCCTCCACTGTGAGACAAACCCCAGCCACATCTCCAGCACACAAGAACTTCCAAACGCCTGAACCACAGCGGCCAGGTGTTCCTCCAGAACCTCCTCCCACAGGAGCTTGCTACGCTTGCCAGAAATCTGGCCACTGGGCCAAGGAATGCCCGCAGCCCGGGATTCCTCCTAAGTCGCATCCCATCTGTGTGGGACCCTACTGAAAATCGGACTGTTCAACTCACCTGGCAGCCACTCCCACAGCCCCTGGAACTCTGGCCCAAGGCTCTCTGACTGACTCCTTCCCAGATCTTCTCGGCTTAGCGGCTGAAGACTGACACTGCCCGATCGCCTCGGAAGCCCCCTAGACCATCACAGACGCCGAGCTTTGGGTAACTCTCACAGTGGAAGGTAAGCCCGTCCCCTTCTTAATCAATACGGAGGCTACCCACTCCATATTACCTTCTTTTCAAGGGCCTGTTTCCCTTGCCTCCATAACTGTTGTGGGTATTGACGGCCAGGCTTCTAAACCTCTTAAAACTCCCCAACTCTGGTGCCAACTTAGACAATACTCTTTTAAGCACTCCGTTTTAGTTATCCCCACCTGCCCAGTTCCCTTATTAGGCTGAGACACTTTAACTAAATTATTTGCTTCTCTGACTATTCCTGGACTACAACTATATCTCATTGCTGCCCTTCTTCCCAGTCCAAAGCCTCCTTTGCATCCTCCTCTTGTATCCCCTCACCTTAACCCACAAGATACCTCTACTCCCTCCTTGGCAACCGATCATGCACCCCTTACTGTCTCATTAAAACCTAATCACCCTTACCCCACTCAATGCCAATATCCCATCCCGCAGCACGCTTTAAAAAGATTAAAGCCTGTTATCACTCGCCTGCTACAGCATGGCCTTTTAAAGCTTATAAAATCTCCTTACAATTCCCCCATTTTACCTGTCCTAAAACCAGACAAGCCTTACAAGTTAGTTCAGGATCTGTGCCTTATCAACAAAATTGTTTTGCCTATCCACCCCATGGTGCCAAAACCATATACTCTCCTATCCTCAATACCAGCCTCTACAACCCATTATTCTGTTCTAGATCTCAAACATGCTTTCTTTACTATTCCTTTGCACCCTTAATCCCAGCCTCTCTTCGCTTTCACTTGGACTGACCCTGACACCCATCAAGCTCAGCAAATTACCTAGGCTGTACTGCTGCAAAGCTTCACAGACAGCCCCCATTACTTCAATCAAGCCCAAACTTCTTCCTCATCTGTTACCTATCTCGGCATAATTCTCATAAAAACACACGTGCTTTCCCTGCCAATCATGTCTGACTGATCTCTCAAACCCAAGCACCTTCTCCTAGCCCTCATGTCTTCGTGCAGCGGCTGCCGCTGCTTTAATACTTTTAGAGGCCCTCAAAATCACAAACTATGCTCAACTCACTCTCTACAGTTCTCATAACTTCCAAAATCTATTTTCTTCCTCACACCTGACGCATATACTTTCTGCTTCCTGGCTCCTTCAGCTGTACTCACTCTTTAAGTCCCACAATTACCATTGTTCCTGGCTGGGACTTCAGTCTGGCCTCCCACATTATTCCTGATACCACACCTGACCCCCATGACTGTATCTCTCTGATCCACCTGATATTCACCCCATTTCCCCATATTTCCTTCTTTCCTGTTCCTCACCCTGATCATGCTTGATTTATTGATGGCAGTTCCACCAGGCCTAATCGCCACACACCAGCAAAGGCAGGCTATGCTATAGTACAAGCCACTAGCCCGCCTTTCAGAACCTCTCATTTCCTTTCCATCGTGGAAATCTATCCTCAAGGAAATAACTTCTCAGTGTTCCATCTGCTATTCTACTACTCCTCAGGGATTATTCAGGCCCCCTCCCTTCCCTACACATCAAGCTAAATAGACACTTTCACTGAATAAGTAAAAGCCTTTCCTACAGGGTCTGAGAAGGCCACCACAGTCATTTCTTCCCTTCTGTCAGACATAATTCCTCAGTTTAGCCTTCCCACCTCTATAAAGTCTGATAACAGACCAGCCTTTTTTAGTCAAATCAGCCAAGCAGTTTTTCAGGCTCTTAGTATTCAGTGAAACCTTTCCTCCATCCTCAAGAAAAGTAGAACGGACTAAAGGTCTTTTAAAAACACACCTCACCAAGCTCAGCCACCAACTTAAAAAGGACTGGACAATACTTTTAACACTTTCGCTTCTCAGAATTCAGGCCTGTCCTCAGAATGCTACAAGGTGTATAGGAGCCCATTTAAGCTCCTGTATAGACGCTCCTTTTTATTGGGCCCCAGTCTCATTCAACACCAGACCAACTTAGACTGTGCCCCAAAAAAAACTTGTCATCCCTACTATCTTTTGTCTAGTCATACTCCTATTCACCATTCTCAACTACTCATACATGCCCTGCTCTTGTTTATACTGCCAGTTTACACTGTTTCTCCAAGACATCACAGCTGATATCTCCTGGTGCTATCCCCAAACTGCCACTCTAAACTCTTGAAGTAAATAAATAATCTTTGCTGGCAGGACTATGCTGAATCTCCTTAGGCACTCTCTAAACAGATGTCCTAGGTCCTCCCAATTCTTAGACCTTTTATACCTGTTTTTCTCCTTCTCTTATTCCATTTAGTTTTTCAATTCATGCAAAACCGTATCCAGGCCATCACCAATCATTCTACACTACAAATGTTTCTTCTAACAACCCCACAATATCACCCCTTACCACAAAATCTTCCTTCAGCTTAATCTCTCCCACTCTAGGTTCCCTCACCGCCCCAATCCCGCTTGAAGCAGCCCTGAGAAACATCGCCCATTTTCTCTCCATAACACCCCCAAAAATGTTCACTGCCCCAACACTTCAACACTATTTTGTTTTATTTTTCTTATTAATATAAGAAGGCAGGAATGTCAGGCCTCTGAGCCCAAGCCAAGCCATCGCATCCCCTGTGACTTGCACATATAAGCCCAGATGGCCTGAAGTAACTGAAGAATCACAAAAGTGAAAAGGCCCTGCCCCACCTTAACTGGTGACATTCCACCATTGTGATTTGTTCCTGCCCCACCTTAACTGAGTGATTAATCCTGTGGATTTCCTTCTTCTGGCTCAGAAGCTCCCCCACTAAGCACCTTGTGACCCCTGCCCCTGCCCACCAGAGAACAACCCCCTTTGACTGTAATTTTCCATTACCTTCCCAAATCCTATAAAACGGCCCCACCCCTATCTCCCTTCACTGACTCTCTTTTCGGACTCAGCCGGCCTGCACCCAGGTGAAATAAACAGCCATGTTGCTCACACACACACAAAAAACAAAACACTTGAGTCTAAACTGAGGAACACCTGCTTCTTCTGGAGCCCAGCCTGAGAGCATTTCAGTATCTCATGCACCAGAATGATAAACACCTGTGTGCTTGGTCATGAAGTTACTGACCTTATGCCAAAGGAAAGTGAGCTTGGCTGGAAGTTTGCTATTGTCTAGCAGAATCTTGATATCTGTGAAATGATAACCCAGTTATTCCATCAGGGAATTCTTGTATAGGTAGGTGTCCTGTTCAGTCAGTTCAGTATCCATCTACTTAATAGATTTTATTTAGCATTTTATTAGTTAAATTATGAAAATAGAAGCTACTCTAGTTATTCTGAGTGAAAAGATACACTGGGAATTAAATAGAATTTTAAAATCACTGATAAGGTGGGATAAAAAGTTTATGAAGGTTTTCAGGAATTCCTAAATTGTAGTGATGACAAGGTAACCATCACCAATAAAATTAGCCAACTGCAGATTCAAGGTACACTCTTTTCAGGGGAATGCCTGCAAGCCACAGATAAAGGTTTATATCTGCTGTCTTCCAATGCCCACAGACATGCTGACAGCAGCATAGTGGCATTGCTTTTCTTTTCGTCTCCCATATTTTCCACAATTGCCTCCAAAGCACAGAATCTAACTGAAAATTGATGTTAAGGAAGTCTTGGCACTGTGGTTTTCAGACTTCACATATAAGGGATAACTTAGAAGAATAGAGATGGCAGTAAGTATCAGCCAGTGAGACACAGTAGAGTCCACCCTTTATCATCATCCTTATTAATCATTTTATTTTATTTTTTAATTAAAGCATGGTGAGTTTTAAAAACTATTGTTTGAGCATGGATTTAAAATTTAGAAAAGAAAAAAAAGTCAACAAATGGAAGATATAGAGCCCATATATCATTGAAGGAGTTTTGTACAATGGAATTCAAATTATGATCATAAAAAATGGAATTTTAGACTTTGTATCCCTCTTACTAAGATTAAACTTAGGAGGGTCATATTCCATTGGCTGGCTATTTGATTCCTAGACCTGTGGGTTCTACATTTCCAGAGAATGTGCTAGGACAATACCTCAAATTCACAAACTGTTATCTCCTAGAGGATGCCAACCTGTATTTCAATAAGCCATTCCTCCATTCTATAAGGCCAGATGCTTCTGGATGTTAGGGTTCATTGGTAATGCTGAAGAACATCATAGCTATTATCTCATTATCTTACATTTCACTGTGATGTGATTTCCTCATTCAGAAGCATTTCTGCTTAGACTCCTACAATAAAGCATAGGTCATTCAGAAAGTTGAGTGTATAGGTCTGGAAGTGGCATAATTGACATAGAAGTAAATACAAACTCAGAATGTATTAATTTAATTGAAGATAAATTACTACCTTTTGCTTGCTAGAAGGAATCTAGTATAATTAACATCTGGTATTAGGCTAGTTCAGCTGAAGTATGGCTATATTGGAGGGCTATAAGGTATTCCTACCACTCTATCCATTCCATTCCCAAGATCAAACATGCTGTGAGGTGCCTAGAAAGTAGGTTGTCTGAAGTACATAGAAAAGTTATTTGGATTATAAAGAGCCTCCTCTGAGGTAAGGGCCCTTTAGTAAGCATCCCTCTGTGACACAGACATTAATTTAGCCTATTCAGAAAGGAGAACTCACTCCATTTCCCCCACTTTATCAGTCTTTGTATTTGTCTTTCCAAGTCTTCGGTTATCAGGATAACCATTGGTTCTTTACATCTCTGTTTTCAGGAAAAGGGGAAAACAAGGTGTTTCAAAAATTTTCCACATAGAAGATTCACCTTCTCTAGTGTTGTTTATGAATATCTCAAATGGGATTGTAATATAGGAGTAGACCATTTTCAATTCATCCATGCATATCATGCAGGACTTTCTGTAAAATAGGCCCAATTATTTTTTTCTACTCATTTAACTGACAGCCAAAACTTCCTACAAAGACCTATGGGCATACTGAGAGAAGCACTGTACCAGATCTGTAACTGAATCACAGGAAATATCAATAAATTTTTACCCTGAAACTTACTTGGGCCTTGAGCAATGTATTCTAGCTAGATTGTATGTATGCAGATTCATGAATACTCGCATGCCTCATGATGGAATGCTCCCATGTATTTTTGATTCTGAGGCTACAGTCACCTCTACCTACCTGATTTGTGATGGATAGCTCTGGGCATATGGTTAAATGGCATCTAAGAGTCATACATTCATCTTCTATCAGATTCTGGTAAAAATCCAAACAGCTGATTTGCCAAGGGAATTGCTTTCTAGAGAGGGAAAAGTTAGGCTTGAAATTTTAGTGTCATTCTCTAATTCTCTATTGTAGGCTGCCATCATCACTCTTCAGTGTTTCAGACAACCACAGATATTTCAAACACTATAATACCTGCTGGGACACATAGGTGAGTGAAAGAACAACGTATTCTTCAAGGTTTATGACAGCTATGTAGCCATTTCATTCTCTGAATTTCTGTGAAAGTTGGCAAATTTGAGTAAACTAGATTAGATCAGAACAGAATTGCAAATTGTTACATTTTTATTAGCAATAGATGATGTAAATCATTGAAGGGATTATCGGGAAACAAGTAGGTTGACAAATTAGGAAGATAATTATAGTGGCCAAGTTGGAAAAAGGAGAAGGAAAATACTTAGAAAGTCATTTAGTTAGTCCAAGTAGAAAATGTTAAAGTTCAAGTGAAAGCCATGGTAATAACAGTTGAGAAAATGAGATTCAGTTGAGAATTGTGAAGGCAAGAATAGCTCGATTTAGTGACAGATTAATTGTGAAGGAAAAGAGAAAGGCATTGGATATGATGCCCAGACTTTATGTTTTGGCAATTGGTTAGCTAATAGTGTCTTTCACAAAAATAGAAAATACCGTATAAAGAGTCTCTGTAGCAGGACTGATCTAGGGGAGCATTCAATTTTTAAACATGCTTACTTTGAGGCCTCATTTGAAGCCTGTTATCTATGTGGGACTAACACAGAGAATAGAAGCTTGAGCTGTTGATTTAGAAGTCACCAATGTTTGACTCCTGGCAGTTAAATATGCAAAAATTAGTAATAGAGTCTTTAAAACTGAAATATAACTGTTGATGTGCAACTAATATTTAGTGATAAAGATGTTATTGGAAGATTATTGGTGAATCTCCGCATTATTACCCCTAATTTAATGGCTTAAAACAACTGCCATCTTAATATACTTCAAGATTTTGTGGGTCAGGAATTTGGAGATGGCTCATGCGAACAGTTCTTGCTTAGGATCTCTCTTGCAGTTTCAGCCATTTGTTGGCTGGAGCTCCAGTCATGTGAAGGCTGGACTGTGCTGTCATCAAAAATAGCTTGCTTGCATGGCTGTTGGCTGGAAGCTCAGCTGTGCAGGTGACCGGAGTTGCTGCTCATCTCTGTGTGAAGTCTTCTTCAAGGCATTATGACCTTGGGGTAATGGGAATTCTTATATGACAGCTAAAGGCTCCAGGTTGACTTATAACAGCACAAAACAGAGTTATAGCTAATTGTCTTCTATGACCTAGACTCAGACTGCATGTAGCATCACTTCCTCTGTATTTTCTTAGTATAAATAAACACAGATTTTAGTACCAATATAAGAGAAGATGACATAGATACCCTTCTCAGTGGAAAGAATCTCAAAGATTTTACAGATATGTTTTAAAACTGACAAGCTTCCATCTCAAATGGAGCTTCCTCATAGCTCTCTTGTATTAGTTTCACTTTACTGTTGTAACAAATTCCTACAAATTTAATCCATTAAAGCAAAAAAAAAAAAAAACATTTATTATCTTACAGTTCTGAAGGTCAGAAGTCTGAAATGAGTCTTACAGAGTCATGGTCAATGCTTGTGTCCTCTGTGGAGTCTCCAGGGGTGACTCTCTTCCTTGCTTTTTCTATTTTCTAGAGTCAGCCTGCATTCCTTGGCTCCTGGCCCCATCACCCTGACTTTAGTATCCATTGTAACATGTCTTTCCTAACTCTGATCCAGGACAATCCCCTCATCTTGAAATCCTTAATTAAATCATCTGTAAATCTCCAGTTAGCATGTAAACTAATAAATAAATAGGTTCCATGGGTAGGATGTGGATACCTTGGAGGGGCCATTGCTGGACTTACCACAGCCGTGGATGGGAACTGGAAGGCTTAGCATGTTTTCACACAATTTGTATGTAAGCAGTACAGATAGATTTATAAGTATTGATCTGCTGTAACCCTCAGTCGGCTTGGCTCTATAGTTTCAAAATATGTTAATATTTATAAGAACATTTAGCGATAACTTTGTTCAACTCTATCATTTTGCAAGTTATAAAGCTGAATTCCATTGGATTACATACATGCTCTAGCCTATTTGTAGCAGAAACATAAATAGAATATAATCTGTCTGACTCCTGGCCTAGCATTCTTTCAATTACACTACTCGGCCTGTGAGTTTGACAGAAAATTGTAGTCTTGATGACTTTACATACAGTCCAAGAAAAGCAGTGGAAAAGCATCCACACTCCTTTTTTGCTCATGCTAACTGCTTCAGGATGAGAGACTCTTGCAAAAGAATATTCATGATGATAGTACGAAAATGAAAATCAGTCACTTACATCTACTTTCTGACTTTAAACCAACTTAAATTCTATATCATTTTCTTTATTCTTTTTCTTACTGTGAACGTGTTATTTATTTTCAGTCTTTAACAGCATATATACATAATTTTATTTTCCATTTGGGCTAAATCTGAGTGCTTCGGTGCTCAGAATACCTGGATATATGTTTTTTCTTCATCTGTGCTTATTCCTGAAGGACTAATTAATATATTAATATGTGCTAAAGCTGCAGAAACTAGTAATACTATATTTTTAAGGTTAGCATATTGAGTAAATATACCATTATATAGTTTTTCTTTTATAAAAGAGCTTCTTTGGTCAATTTGCATTTATAGTCAATCAAAATAATTTTCTATATTTATGATAGATGGCTTAGGGATACCAATTATATTTCTGATATAATAAGTCATAGAACTTGAGTCCCAGTTCAACAACCCACACAGTAAACTAGTTCTTTAACCTCATAAGGTTGTTGTCAGCATTAATTCACAATTGTTTGAAAAACTGGTTTGTAAGCTGAAAAAATGTCACATGAGTAGTAAATATTATGACTACTGTCACATTTCTTGCCTTTTCTTTCAGGGTTGCTATTTCTTCTGCTAATGAATAAAACCTCAATTTATCTCCCAGTATAAATAGCATCTACAGGGATAATGTTAGTGTATGATGTTTTCAAAGCACCAGAAAAAAATAATCAAGTCACACAAACAAAAGAATGTGGTTGAAGAACTGGAGTTATCCATCCTGATATGATGTTTTGAAGGTCATCACAGAGCCATGATGGATCAGACATACTCTCAGCCTGTTTTTTGCCTGCAGTATAGAAGCAATTTTTGCATGTCATTACCTTTAGCTACAGCCTACTGTCATTGGCCCTTCCTCTCAGAGTGACCTTTAGCTTGTTTCACCCTGGGGAAACTGCTAAACTTGTATTTAGCAGATTCTGTATTCCACTCCTGGAGATTTGGATGAAGTGGGTTCTGGGTATGCAATAGGAATCTATAATATTGCCCAGATGAATCTGATTCAGCCAGTAGATTATACCAGGAAGCAGGATCCTAGTATAGCCATGTTAGAGTATAGACTTTGTATATTCATAAAAGTAGAACTAAAATGTATTTACAACTCAATTTATGGATGTAGGTCAGTTATAATACCTAGTTATATTCATGCAATTCCTATACCAGTTTGTGAAACTTGCTTAAGTACTCTGTCTCTCTAAGGACCTGGCTCACATAGCATCAGATTGCAACTGCTTTTTCTCTAATTTTACCTCTTTTTATTTGATTTAGACCCATGATATGTAAAGCTGGTATTCACTAAATGTTTTCTTTGTGTTACATTTTACAAAATTTGAATTGTAAGAAATCATTAACTTCTCAAGAGACTTTTTCAACATATAGTTTGTGTTTTGCTACAGTTTCTTCAGCTAAGCTATGGGCTACATGTTCCATATTCCTTCATATGCATGCAGAGTTTGCTTTCATCAGTGTTACTACATATATATTAGTTAGACATTATGGTCAGTCCCATCCTACAGAGGGAGATTGGACTTAAAATTATTATCTTAATAAAGACAACACGAAGTTCTAACCCACTACTTCCTTTACTGACTTTGCCTGGAGTAAGCATCCTGTATTCACGAGCAGGTGTTAAAGGTGGCAGGCCTGTGTTTCTTTTTCTTTCTCTTCCTTTTAAGGTTTTCCTTTTCTTTCTCTTCCTTTTAATGTTTTCCTTTTCTTTCAGCACAGGAAATCTGTATGCAAATGCATGTACCCACTTTCTCCCATTTATGCAAGGAAACAATCGTAAGTGAGACATTATTTGTTGAATTAGGGAAGGATAAAGTGTTTAGCCTTCTAATTTCTCTTAAATATCCTTCCAATGACAGACACAACATCTACATCTTTTCTTCAACTTTACCTCTCAGTGGTATGAAAAACAATTTTTACAAATGCACTGGCTTTACAGTCTTCAAAGATACAAAACTGTACAAGAAGGAACTTTACTGTATTTAGTAGGTTGCTGCTTTTCTTACATAATAATATTCTTGTGCCAGAAGAATTATTTAAGGGAGTACCTAATTATGTCACTGGCAAGGATTTAGTAATGGTGAATATTTAACATTTTAAGAAATAGTCAAGCATATTGCTGAAGTTTGAATGTGTCCCCCAAAGTTCAGATGTTGGAAACTTTATTCCCAATGTATCAGTGTCGAGAGGTGGGACCTTTAAGAAGTGGTCAGGTCATAAGGGCTCTGCCTTCATGAATTCATTAATGTCATTATTGAGGGAGTGGGTTTACTATCACAAGAGTGAATTTTTCATAAAAATGAGTTTGGCCTCTTTTGCTATCTTGCTCACATGGCCTCCTACCTTCCTGCCTTCTGCCATGCGATCATGCACCAAGGAAATCCTCCCAGGAAGCGGCCCCTCAATTTTGCACTTTCCAGCCCCCAGAACTGTTAGCCAAATAAATTTCTATTCATTATAAATTAGCCAGCCTGTGTCACTGCAGCACAAAACAGACTAACACAGCCATAATACATAAAAGGATGAAAAAAATAAAAATATGTAATTTGAAATATGTAGGATGAGCCACAGTTGGAAATCAATTGAGAATTATCAAGCAAATTATAAATTAACCTGATTCTCTACCTCCTCAAAAAAGAAAAACAAACAAAAAACCTGGAGTGTATATTTACTTCAATAAGAACCAGTTTGAACATTTAGGTGATATGGCTACTTAAATCATCACAGAAAAAATAAGTGCCTCTGAAATCCCATATATTTAGTAATATATACAGCAGAGTTCCTTATCTGAATTAAATTACTATCTGGTGTATATTATGACCTTTCCTATCACATTTTATTATGTGATTGTCCTTTGTGAAATTTCTCTAATGTGCATATATACCTTTAAATCTGCAGAGAGGAAAAATGCCTACAGGAAAAGGTCACACCGCTCTACACTGTGCAGCTCCAATTTCAAGGGAATATGAAATTCAGGGACTGAGTAGCTCTGGATCGCTTCCATGAAACTGTCAGGAGAAAGTGGCGGCCTTTAATGATCACAGGCCTCTATGTTCAATTGAGTGTGACTAGATGAAGCAAGAATTCAAACTGAGTCTCCTCGGTGAATTGTCTACTGATTGAGATGTAGCTCACTGAGAGGGAAATGGTCCCAAGGGATTGTGAGTCTATTGAGAAAGCAGGAGCAAAACCTGCTTTCAGGCATGGTTTGGGTGCGCTAGGAATTCTAATGTAGTAAATAAGTAAAGAGTGGGCTGAAGTTTTTAAGGTATTTTCTTTTATGTCTATTAGACATTCTAGATATGTTTTAGGGAATTTTTTTATTCCCTGAAATTTCAACAGGAAATAGTTTTTGCAGTAAATCATGGTACCTTTAGAAACATCTTAACCTCTGATTGTAGCTAGATTTCCAATAGTACATACTACCTACCTAAAAACAGATTGATCTACATTGAAATAGAAACAAACCAAAAGGGACAATAATAGCCAACCCATTTTTGTGCATTGATATATAATCAAACTACATTTTACTGTGTGACCAAGGTCGTGGTTATAAAGTGATACCAAGAATTCAACATGAAGAAAGGTCATTTTACCCAATCTATTTATTTCACAGATGAGCAAGCTGAGAGCCTATAGTACATTGAGAGTAACTGGCACATTAAACATCAGAATCCCTGTGTCTTTCTCATGAGTCTAGGATTTTTATCATTATGCTACAATGAAAGTAATGGAAGTTCTACAAATACATACAGTCAGTACACTTATATAGCATTTGTTCAAAAAGGGTAGTCTAGACCAGCACCATTAGCGTAACCTGGGAACTTGTCAGAAATACAAATTCTCAGGCTCCATTCCAGACTGAGAAACACTCAGGTTGGAGTCCAGAAATCTATGCTTAAAAACTTATTCTCCAACTCCGGGTAATTCTGATGCATATTAAAGAACCATTTTAACAAAAGTGATTTCAGGGCCACTGATGTATGTAACAAAACTTGGAACATCTTAGACCTTTGCTCTTTCCACATATATTTTAGAATCAGCTTGACAAATTCTATAAAAGGAAATTATTGCTGAGAGATATTAAATTGGTATTGCATTCAATCTAGTGGTCAATTAGAAAATTGACACAGTTTGATATTTGGTCTTCCTATCTAAGAACATGAGTTAGGTCCCCATTAATTCAAATGTTATATAATATCTTTAAATAAAGTTACTTAGTTTTCTTGGTTATATCCTTGTTCATATTCTGTCATATTTGTCTTTGTCATATTTGTCACACCATTCTCCTGCCTCAGCCTCCAGAGTAGCTGGGACCACAGGCGCACGCCACCAAGCTCGGCCAATTTTTCTATATTTTTTAGTAGAGACAGGGTTTCACTGTGTTACCCAGGATGGTCTCAATCTCCTGACCTCATGATCCACCTGCCTCGGCCTCCCAAAGTGCTGGGATTACAGGTGTTTGCCACCACACCTGGCCAGCTTTGTTCTTTTTACTTATGATTGCTTTGGCTATTTTGACTTTCATTTTTGGTTCCATATAAATTTTAAAATGGTCTTTTTTTTTTTTTTTTTTTTTTGAGACGGAGTCTCATGGCCCAGGCTGGAGTGCAATGACATGATCTTGGCTCACTGCAACCTCCCCCTCCCAGGTTCAAACGATTATTTTGCCTCAGCCTCCTGAGTAGCTGGGATTACAGGCACCTACCATCATGCCCAGCTAATTTTTGTATTTTTAGTAGAGACGGGGGTTTCACCCTGTTGGTCAGGCTGGTCTCGAACTCCTGACCTCATGATCCGCCCTTCTCGGCCTCCCAAAGTGCTGGGATTAAAGGCAGGAGCCACCACGTCCAGCCTAAAGTGGCCTTTTCTAACTCTGTGAATAATGAATGTCATTGATAGTTTGATAGGAATAGCATTGAAGCTGTATATTTCTCTGAGCAGTATGGCCATTTTAACAAAGTTGATTCTTCCTATCCATGAGAATGGAATGTTTTTCTATTTGTTTGTGTCGGCTTTGATTTCTTTGAGCATGTTTTGTAGTTTTCATTGAAGACAGCTTTCACCTCCTGGTTAGCTGTATTCTCGAGTATTTTATTCTTTTTATGACTATTGTAAATGGAGTTGCATTCCTGATTTGGCTGCCAGCTTAGACGTTATTGGCATGAAGAAAAGCTGTTGATTTTTCTACACTGATTCTGTATCCTGAAACTTTGCTGAAGTTCTTTATCAGATCAAGGAGTTTCGGGACTGAGACCGTGGGGTTTTCTAGGTATAGAATCATTTCATCTGCAAACATGGATAGTTTGACTTCTTCTTTTCCTAGTTGGATACCTTTATTTCTTTCTCTTGCCTGAATGCTCTGGCTAGGACTTTCAGTACTATGTTAAATAGGAGTTGTGGGAGAGAGTATCCTTGTCTTGTGCTGGTTTTTAATGGGAATGGTTCCAGCTTTTGCCCATTTGTCTGATGTTGGCTGTGGGCTTGTTATAGATGGCACAGATGTTATACTTCTTACCATTTTGAAGTATATTCCTTCAATGCCTAGTTTGTTGAGGGTTTCTAACCTGAAGTGATGTTTAGTTTTATTGAAAGTCTTTTCTGCATCTATTGAGATGATGATGTGGTTTTTGTCTTTACATCTGTTTATGTGATAAATCACATTTATTGATTTGCATGTGTTGAACCAACCTTGCATCCTTTAAATGGGTTCTTTTGATTTTATCTTTTTTTATGCCCTTAATGGTTTGATCGTGGCAAGAGGTAGTTATAGTGGACTGGCTTCAATTTTATATGATTTTAGGCAGCCAAGGCTCAGCTCCGCACTTCTGGGCTGCATGCTCTAACTCTATTATTAGGGCCCCAGCTTTGTTCTTTGAACCCTGGAGGTTATGATCCTGATGTGTTAGGGGGGTCAAAGTATTTTCAGACCACTGGCCACAACACTCTGATGGGTGGTGCTGACCAAAAAACATCATTGGGGCAGTAGCAATGAGGTCTGTGCTCATTCATGTGTGAGAGGAGCAGTGGCAGTACCGCAGGGTGCATGTGTGTTGGCTGGGCTGGGGTACCAGTTGGGAAGGGGCTGTGGCCTTCATGTACATGCTGATGCCGGTGGAGGCAGCAGCAGAGGATGCAGGACACTGGTTCACCTGAGGATGCTGGCTTTCCTTTGTGTGTGCTTTTGCAGCAGTAGTGGTTGTTGCTCAGGGTGGGGGACAGTGTTGTTGATGTCTGTGTGCTTGTTGGTGCCAGCAGTGATGGCCGCACAGAGAGTGGGCAAAATCGCTGGCATCTATCTGGGCATGTGTTCACACCAGTGGTGCAGTGGTGGTGGAGGGGGATGGAGTACACTCATGCCAGCAGTAGTGGTGTAGCAGGGGGCATGGGCACACACTGCCCTTGCAAGGGGAAGGAAGCAATGTCTGCCCACACACAAGCTCAAGGCAAAGCAGAGGAGGGGTGGCTGTGAGTGAGTGCATGCTGACAAAGCGGTGCTGGGGGAGGGTGCAGGTGGGCTGATGCTATCAGTGGGTGCCATTCTGCTGGAGCGCTGATGGTCAGGCGTGGTCTTCCAGTGAAGGAGCTATGATGTGGGCCTCTGGGATGCACCCTGGTTGGGCATCAGAGACTGCATGGCAAGTGGACATGGCCAGGCTGGGGTCCTGGGAGTGGCCAGCAGACATGGGGCACCAAGACCAAACTGGCCCCATCTCACTGGCAAGACTGCTCTGCTCTGTCTTGCTCCAACATCCTCCTGCGGCTAAAGTCTTCCAGAGGACCATGGTGAGCCTTGGGGGATGGGCATCTCTGGCCATGCTCCACTGCATATGTTCCTGCACCAAACCTGCTGGGCTCTGCACGGGCTGCAGTCCTGACCCTACTGCCTCTCTAAGCAGTCTTCCTTTCCAGCTCAAGTGTCTGTGGGGGTTGCTAGGTTTCCAGCTGCCAGGATTCCAGACCTCTGGAATATGTAACAAATGAACATGATATGGCTCTAATGACTGGAGGAACACCAGTGTCCTTTACCTTGAGCCAATTCAGGTAAAACTACATAGACATACGTGGAGTGGTTTTAGGGAGCAGAGAGTTTAATAGGCAGGAAAGAAGGAAGAAGTTCCCCTGTATTAGACAGAGGGAGGGGAGCTCCAAGCTGACAGAACAAACTGTGAGTGTGACAGAAAACAGTTGGTTATATTAGGAGGCTGGAGGAAGAAGTGTCTGATTTACCTAGGGCCCAGGGGATTGGTTTGACAAGGAATGTCATTCACGTAACCCACGAAAAAACTGTTCCTCTCACTGTAACATTTTAATATGCAAATGCACAGTGTCGTGATATTTTACACACGTGGAAGTATCTGGGGGTGGCCATGATGCTTGGCACACATGTTGTCAGAGGAAAAAGGTGGGAATTGCCATATTGGATGGACCCAATTTCTAATGGCCAGCATTTGCATATCAAAGCTTGCCTGCCTAGCCCTTCAAGCCCTTTTTCTGCTAGAAAAGAAAAGTTTCTCGAGCTGCTTTAAAAGAAAAAAAGGCCTTACCAAGGACCCCTTATTCTCTCTATCTGCCTAAAATAACTTCTTAATAACTCCTATAATACTGCCCCCTGAGAAGATGTCACCCTAACTGCTATTAGGGGGTTTTGGGCGACACCTCTTTCTGGATACTTCTTCTGGAAAGGGGCGTAGAGTGGGGACAGAAGCTAGGGTTCCTCCTGGGGTCGATCTAAGAGTCCTTGGAAGAATGGAGTGTCCATGCATCGTTTGGTTTGCAGCACCATTTGGAATTTGATTTTGCTTCTATGCAAGAGGAAACAATTCAAGTTATAGTATTGTGTATACAAGCTCCAAATATTAATACAAGACATATAAGCAAGAAGGGGCTTAAAAAAGGAGCTAACCAATTCCATAAAGAAGACTGGAATTCATTAAAGAGGGATTGTAGCCACCTGGGGCTGAAGCCTGCATTTTCTCTTAGCCTGTCAATAATTTTGATGCCATCTTTAAGTACCTGTAGATTTTCCCCTACTTTACTAGGGGTGTTAATCTAGAAGCAGTGCATTTTATTTAAAAGTGCACAGGTGCCTCCTACTTCAGCTGTAAGGACATCCATGACCCGCCATCTATTTTGTGCTACTACTGAGACTAAAGGATCTATAGATTGTTATTTTGCCTCTATGGCCCTTACAGTTGACTTCCAACCTCAATGCATCATAATAGGTATATTAAGTACTGATCTTTCAAGGAGAGGGATGCCCGTAAACCAGAATAGACCTTGGCTATAGAATTTCCCATCTATGGTTTTTCAAGATGGGACTGTCATTTGCATGCCCTCTCCAGTCTGCCTTTCAGTTAAATCTCCATATGAGGGCATGGAAATGATAGATTTCTTTGTCCAGCGTGTTTGAGATAGTGCAGTTTCTAGAAAAGATCCTACGTTAGGGATGTCCACAGATGATGCTGCCATCTCGGTAGAATTTAAAAATAATAAGTCAAGAGCTACTACTACTATAGTACAAGTTCCCTTCCAATGCCTTTGGATAATTAAGCGTATCCAGGAGCCACAAAGGAAATCTAGCCCTGTTCCTTGAAGGGACGGTTTTAAGTTGTGGCTTGTGAGAGACACCAGCAAATTTTCTTCATATCTTAGAAGTTTCCCCTCTTTACATACAATAGGGGCATCCTTGGGATAAGGAAATCAAATATTTAAGATAGTCATTTACGATGCTGTTTGGAATTTGACATACCAAGTGAGAAGGATCCACTTGACAAATGGAGTTTCAAAACATTAGAGACATCATATGCGCTGGCCAATATCTTAGATGATCATCCTTGTGGCAAGGGCTCTTAGTCCAGATGTCTCCAGTTTGCCTATAGATCTGTAACCTGCTACTATTAGCAAACATCATACAAGAGTCTGGAATTCTATCGGGGGGAATGTTTGGAAAGGCCCATGTGTTATTCTTTACATTATAGTCAAGGTGGTTATTTAGAGCATGCCATTCCCATTGGGACTTCCAACCAGGAGGAGAAGCTAGATTCTGAAAGCCCCCTCTAGGGCTTCTGATCCTTTTATATTACGCTTTTTGCGCTCTCCTCCCCAAATCTTTGAACTATCAGCAATTACAAGTGTGATGTTACAATATCTGAGATCTCCCACGTATGGTCCTTCCCACTGCTTTTGAAGCCGAGGGAGGTGTTTGCTATTACTTTGTCAACTTTCCCCAGCCTAAGGGTGTGAAGTTTATCTTTGGGGAGAGTGTTATTTGGCACTTGGGGGCCCAGTGTTCTCTGAGGGGAATTAGTCACCTAATTGTAAGTGCTCCCATACCTTGCCCAATTTATGCCTGATAAGTCTTTAAGGGTTAAAGGGAAAGCCAACAAAGGGAATCCTAAGATGGTGAGATCCAGGTCATTGTAAGGTTCCTTAATGTCATTGAACTGAGCAAACCACTTAGGAGAAACTCAACAATTAGTCTTATTGTACGAATGGGCCATGGCAGATATTGTAGGAGCTAAATGGTGTGATGTATTACTAAGTTGTATAAAAAGTCCTAACAGACTTAGTGATAGCAAAATGCTCATGTTTACTTCTTGTTAGTAACAGTTATTACTACTATGAGGATAATAATTAAGCAAAATGCTATAGTAATTGAGATTCTCTTTCTAATATTCCACACTGAGGGTGCTACAGTATATAGTCCCACTGCAAATAGAGTGAGGATAGCAATTCCCGCAAGGATGGCATAGTACATAATTTCCATCTAAAAGAAGTTCTAATATTTGGCTCAAAAGGAGAGGTAGAAATGACAAAAAGTATTTGGTGAGGTAGGAGTGAGACTGAGTAAGATAAGTAGTTCTCACTCAATTGCTTATTTTTTGTGTGTGATTTTCAGCTTAAGATCTCCTATTTCACCACATTGATATTCAGGACATTCCTCTGGGCTGCCAGGGGTTACTCCCTCAGCTCTCCAGGCTTTGACTTGAGTGTGATGTATGCAAGAGTCAATTCCTGTAACTTATATTGCTGAGGGGGTTGAAAGAAGAACAGTGTAAGGCCCTTCCCAGCTTGAGCTTAGGGAGGGAGAGAGAGAAGAGAGAGCCTTTACCAGTACTATATCTCATGGGTTAAATAGAGGTTGTCCAATTTCCGGGAAATTGGCTTTCACTAATTGTGCCAATTCCTGTTGGAAGGGAGCCAGAGAGGTTACATGCTTAACTAGCTCAGAGGTTTCCCGATCTAATAGAAAATCATTGGTAAAGAAAGGCCATCTGTTCAGCAACTCAAAAGGGCTAAGACCTAATTTTGAAGGGGTGTTTCTTATTCATAGTAAGACCATGGGAAGAAGAGTGACCCAAGGAAGGTGATTTACTTGCGATAATTTTCTGAGGTGTCTCTTGATAATATCATTAGTTTTATCTACCTTTCCTGAGGATTGGGGTCTCCAAGCACAATGGCAATGATATTCTACGCCTAGTGCTTTTGAGACCCCTTGTGGGACAGCTGCCTTAAACGAGGGCCCATTGTCACTTCAAAGGTACTTAGGTAGACCAAGGCAGGGAGTTATTTCATTAACTAACACTTTTATTACCTCAGAGACTTTTTCTATATGGCATGAAAATGCTTCTACCCAGTTAGTGGAGGTAACTACCCATACCACCAGGCATTTAATACCCTTTGTCCTTGACACATGGGTGAGGTCTATCTACCAGTCTTCCTCCAGATGACTTCCTATTTTTTGGGTTTGAGGAGGAAGGAGTTGCCTGTTCAGGGGATTATTTTTAAAACAGACTTTACAAGCGTTAACAACTTACTTGACTGTTTTTAGTAAGTTCTCTCCTGAAAACAATCTCTGGGCATACTGATAAGTTTTATCCTTTCCCAAGTGAAAAGTTTGGTGAAGGATTTTTAAGGGCTTTCCATTGGCTGGAGGCTGGCAAGTGGAGTTTGCCATCCTCTGACTATAACCATCCTGAGGGCTGAAATGTATACCCTCAAGAAGTGGCCCATTCTATTTCTATAGGGCAGTATTGAGGTTTAGTTTCTGTTATGGAGCCCTCCAAGACTAGAGGGGTTTGAAGTGTATTGATGTTTTGAGGCTTCCTTGCCGCTGACTTAGCTGCCTGATCAGCTAATCTATGTTCTTCAGCTGCCTAATCTGTTCCCTTTTGATGCCCTTACAATGCATCACTGCTATCTCTTGTGGAAGGAATACTGAGGATAATAACCTATTAATTTCCAGGTGATATTTTATAGGAGACTCATTGGTGGTAAGAAAATGTCTTTCCTTCCAAATGGCAGCATGATTATGGAGAACCAGGAAAGTATACTTGGAGTCAGTGTAAATGTTAGCTGCCTTTCCTTTGCTTAATTCAATTGCTCTTGTAAGAGCTATTAGCTCAGCTAATTGAGCGCTTGTGCCTGGAGGGAGAGATGCACTTTCAATGACGTCATTTAGAGTGACTACAGTGTATCCTGCCTTACGGATCCCTTGTTCTGCAAAACAGCTCACATCTGTGAAGAGGGTCCAGTCTGGATTGTCTGGTGGAGTTTCCCTGAGATCTTCCCTGGCTGCATAGGTCTGTACTGTGACTTGTTCACACTTATGCTCAGGTTCCCCAGTTTCCTTGGGGAGGAAATTGCCTGGATTTAGGTGAGAACAAGTCTTTAACTGGATGTGGGAACCCTCTAACAGCAGGGCCTGATAGTTAAGGAGTTGGCTCTCTGTTAGCCAAAGGCTCCCCCTATAGTGCAATAGTCCTGCCACATTGTGTGGGGTGTAAACAGTTAAATCATTTCCTAGGGTTAATTTGGAGGCTTCTGGATCAGCAGAGCCACTGAGGCAATGACTTGGAAGCATGCTAGCTATCCTGTAGCCACCAAATCTAGTTCCTTACTTAGGTAACCCACTGGCTGTTGATCTGGTCCTTGGGTCTGTGTTGAGACTCCC
This sequence comes from Homo sapiens, assembly GCF_000001405.40. Lineage (NCBI taxonomy): Eukaryota > Metazoa > Chordata > Mammalia > Primates > Hominidae > Homo > Homo sapiens. Next base: position 167,419,438 of record NC_000004.12, on the reverse strand, counting down.
GGAGCCATTCCCTTCTTTTCTGATACATACAGATTGAAGGCCTTCCCTACAGGGAGGCTGAGAGCTGGTGCCTTAAGCAAGCCTTGTTTTAGCTGGTTAAAGGCCTTTTGTGCTTCAGATTCCCAGGTTAAAAGATTAGTTTTAACTCTCTGAGTTTCTTTTATGAGGTTGTATAATGGATAAGCTATTTCACCATACCCAGATATCCATTGTCTACAAAATCCTCTTAGTTGCTTGAGGGTTTTGGGGAGAGGAAAGGAAGAAATAGGCTTAATGCTTTCTTCCCCTAATGCTCTGGTCCCCTTAGATGGCACTAAGCCTAGGCACTTCACTGAGGTTTTCCAAAGCTGGGCCTTGGGTTTTGAAACTTATATCCTCTGTTAGCTAAGAAGTTGAGAAGAGCGTTAGGGCCTTTCTGAGAAGCTTCCTTAGTTGGGGCACAGAGCAGAACATCATCAATATACTGCAAGAGCCTAACTTGGGGATGAGATAACTCAGAGAAGTCTTTTGACAGTGCCTGTCCAAACAGGTGAGGACTATCTCAAAATCCCTGAGGCAGCACCATCCATGTTAACTGCGCGGTCTTGCCAGAGGCATCTTTGAATGCAAACAGGTATGAGAGTCTAGATGTAATCTTATGCAGAAAAAGGCATCCTTTAAATCTAGGACTGTAAGCCATTTAGTTCCCTCAGGTATTTGAGTTAACAGGGTCTAGGGATTAGGCACCACTGGATGGATTGGAACTACAGCTTCTTTAATAAGGCAGAGGTCCTGAACTATCTCCATTCCCCATTGGGTTTCTGCACTCCTAATATTGGGTGTTGCAAGGGGCTATTACAGAGTTTGAGGAGACCATGCATCTTTAGGTTATTAATAATGGTTTTTAGCCCTTTCCTAGCCTCTGGCCTCAGGAGATACTGTTTCTGGTTAGAAAAGTAGTGGGATATTTAAAATAGGTTTGGACTGGCCTAGCAGTTACAGCTAGACCTATTCTTGAGTTGCCTACATTTCTGGATTAATGTTAGCTTCCATCAGGGGGAGATAAACCATTTGTCCTGAGGCTATAAGGATGCTGGTCCCCACTAGGCATAAGGATGCTCCTCTGCCTAGTAAAGGAGGGGGACTTTCAGGCATGATTTACAAGGCATGTGTAGATAGTACGTCCCCCATCTGCAACTAAGGCATTGAGCAAAGTATCGGGTTAGAGTTTTTCCTGAGACACCCCTATCGGTCATGCTATGGGAAGAGGGGAGCCCTGGATTAGAGAGGAGGAGAGAGACACTGGCTTCAGTATCCAGAAGATCTGCCTTCCCTCCTTCAGTCTCCAGAATCACCCAAGGTTCCTGTGCTGTAATGGCAGCCTGAGCCAGGGGTTTGAGCCCCAGGACCTGTCAGTCCTGCTGGACCATTTGTGAGACTGATTCTTCACCCAGTGAACTCTGCCTCCAGGGGCAGATCCATCTCCAGTGGTTTCTGCCACAGGCTGGACAGGGCCAAGGTGGCTTTGTCTTGCTGCCTGGACATTCCTTCTTAGAATGCCCTGACTTGCCACATCAATAACAGCTAGCGGATGAATCTCAGGGATCCTGGACTTTGCAAGCTTGCAACACTGCCACTAAAGCCTCTGTCCTTCTCTTGTATTTCCTCTCCTTGCCTTGGACCTCTTCTAGATCCCTATTGTAAAAGACCAAAGAGGCTATTCTCAGGAGGTTTTCTGCACTGCTCTCTGGTCCTACAGCTTGCTTTAGTAGTTTCCTTCTAATATCAGGAGCTGCCTATGTAATAAACTTGTCCTTCAGGATGAGCTGTTCTCAACTGAATCAGGGGATAAAGAGGTGTGTACCTCTCTCAGCTTTTCCATAAAGGCTGTGAGATTCTCATCTGGTCTTTGGTCTATCATGGACAGTTTAGAGTAATTGAGAGGTTGGTCCCTGGTTTTCTGGAGGCCCCCTATATGTACCTTAAAAAGTGCTTCCTTTTCCATTCATCTCTTGGGTTATCGGAGTTTCAATCCAGGTTGTCTACTGGAACTGCTTCCCTTACTAGTGGAAATGGAGTTTCCACTTCTTCCTCACCTTCCCTATCCCCTTTTCCCCTTGATCTGCTATGGGAGGCATGTTTCTTGTCTCTGCATTTTTCTGCTGCCTTCAGAACGGCCTCCTTTTCAGCTGCAGTGAGGGTCTGACTTAGCAGCAACATAACATCCCACCTTGTGGAGTCAAACATCTGAGTTAAATTTTGGAAAATTTCTATATACCTAATGGGGTCATCAGAAAATCAGCATAAGTCTCCCTTTATTTGCTTAAGGTCTTATAATGAGAAGGGAACTTGAACTCTCATGGCACCATTTCTATCAGGCATTTCCTGCAGAGGTAAGAGTGAAGAGGGGAGAGTAGGATATACTGGAGATGGTGGAGCTGGAGAAGCTGATGGTACTATTGTAGGGAGACTGGAAGGGTTGGGAAATTCAATAGCTGTCTCAGATTGCTCCTCTGGAACCTGTTTTATCTCTGCAGATCTATTCCCTGTGGGCTTGCCTGCCGTGGCTGCTAAAAGGGGGGCTCCAAGCCGAGAGAGGAAACCCTACCTGTGGCAGAAAACAGTTGGTTATATTAGGAGGCTGGAGGAGGCAGTGTCTGATTTACACAGGGCCCAGGGGATTGGATTGACAAGGTATGTCATTCATATGCCTGCAAAAATACTGGCCCTCTGGCCCTAGCCTTTTAATATGCAAATTCAGGGTGCTATGATGTTGTACACACGTGCACACATGGAGATATCTGGGGGCGGCCATGATGCTTGGCACACATGGTGATGAGAAGAAGGCGGGAATCGCCATATTGGATGGACCCAGTTTCTAAAGGCTGGCATTTGTATACCAAAGCTTGCTGGCCTGGCCCTTCAAATCATTTTTCTGCTAGAAAAGAAATGTTTCTGGAGCTGCTTTAAAAGAAAATAAAACCTTACCAAGGACCCCTTATCCTCTCTATCTACCTGAAATAATTTCTTCATAACTCCTATAATAAAAGATGAGGTGTTGAATTATGATCCTTCTTGTATGAGTCTATGGAGTAGGGATTAGCAAACTTTTTCTGTAAATGGCCAGAGAGTAAATAGTACTGGCTTTGCAAGTTTTATCATTTCTATTGCTGCTACTGAGCTCTGACATTACAGCATGAAAGCAGTCATAAACAATATGTAAGCTAATGGGTGTTGCCATGTTCCAATATAACTCTATTTAAAGGAGCACAGATAGAAAGCACGGAAGATAATTTATGTATAAATAATATTTATTCCTTATATGACTGCTGCTATTTTTTTGTTTGCACTAAAATTATCAAATTATTATGACAACTTCCTTGAGAGAATACTAACCTTTCTTCATCATTTTACTTTAAAATATTCAAAATGTTTTAAGTATGCTGACAATAATTTAATAGCATTAAAATGATGAAATGGTGAATTCCCGAAAAACTAATTCACACCCACAGCTTGTTAGTAAATGAAAAAGCTAGATATTAATTATAGGGATTAACATTTAGTATGTGCCAGATCACAGAAATGTTCAGCAATTTATTTAATCTATTTGATTTTAAGCTTCTAATTTGAAATATTAGATTTTAAAGTTAAAATATATTTAATGTGAATTTTACATTAAAAACAAGGATCTTCCTCACTTAGTGAGTGTTGTCACATTAAGGTGAAGACCTTGAATTCCCATGCACATTGCTGAATTGCAACTGGGAAAGAAAACTCGCTAATAAAATTGCTGATTCACGTAATTACGAACAGAAATAAATTTCATAGTCATAAGCAGCGATGTGTCACTCTTGTCATCTCTGCCTTATGCATTAATTTTTTGTTTACATGATATAATTTTATGACTCTAACTTTAGGGTCTCAATTCTAAAAATTAAAAAAAAAATACTAACATAACATCTTAAATTAACAGCCAAGAAAGGAAAAGGAAGTGAGTGTAAATAATAGGAGATGCTAATTGCATAATTTTACTGTTCAGAATTTGGAATAAATGTCTAATTATTCCATTTTTCTAATACATTTATAGCATAAAATTAATAAAATTCTGAGTTTTGTTAGGTTTAAGAGGAATTTAACATTTTATATTCAAAAAAGACTGGCTTTATTTAAATTTTATGAAAATGTGCTTTGATGTATTAGTGTCTATAGGAATAATTTAGCAACCCTTCGTCTGTAGTGTAATTCCAGGGAACTTCTTTAATAACCTTTGCTATTTTAGCACCTGTGAAAACAATGTTCTTCTAACTTACACTTTTAATTTCCATTATCTTAATTTGCATCTATTAAACTGTCTCATTTAAATTCATAGTTTTTCATTAAAAAGACTTAACCAATGATATGGGAAAGATGCGCTGAGGACTTTTTCCCCCAAATCTTTGTCACTATGAATTCCATCCCTTACTAAATCTTGGGTAGAAATTTTATTCTGGGCAATATATTTCCAAAGGATAAAATTTGTTTGATTAAGGAAAACACCAAATGTTTTAAAATTAATCTCTCTCCTAAACTAATAGTGTGAGTACTCTTATAATAAGTCAAAATACAGCAAATCATATATAGAAATAAAGAAGGGGGCAATTGTAGGCCAAGAGCATTTTTATGTGTATCATAATACTACATCTACATTGAACATCAAGAATGTCATACCCTTCACGTCTACTGATTTTTCATCCATATCTTTATCCACAAAATACTTTGGGACACTTATTTTTAATTTTATACTTATATTCCCACATACTGATTTTACATAGTTATCCACAAATATCCAAAGTTTTAAAAAGAGCTGTGTAGAAGCTTATTGGTTTTCCTTCATATGTTAGTAAAGATAATGACATTGTCCTTCTTGACAAGGATATATACGTGATAAAGATGCAGTTTAAAATTCTAACATCCATTAATTAAGTAAATTTAGAATACTGATCGTGTCCTTGAAGTGCAGATCATTGTGCTGGGGCTTGTGTGAGATAAAACCTTGAAGTTTTGTCTACAAAGAAGTCTATGTTATAGAAGTTACACTGTAGTAGAAGAAATTTGTAGTCATCATTTTATGTACATTTTGAATCACAATAACCCACTGCACTTTTGTAGCTTCTGTTTGGACTACAGGGAATAACTTTGTACTGTGTGGTCTAGCAATCTAACAGGGTTTGATAAAAACAGTTGAATAAACTGTTTCCAGATGGCTCTGTTATTCCCCTTCACCTTTAATCCCCCACTTTTCCCAACCTGAGGCAACTACAATTCTGACTTCTATCACTCATTGGTTAGTTTTTTCTCTTTTTAATCATTTTGTAAATATAGGCATATAAAGTACACTATTTTGTGTCTGGCTTTCTTTGCTCATCATTATATATATGAAATTTAGCCATGTTATTATGTGCATCTTTTCTTGTATTTAAAAAAAATCACTGCATGACGTTTGCTTGCATGAATATATCATAGTAGCATATTCATGTGGTTATTTGTGAGCTTAAGTTTTCATCTGATTTATTCATATCATGAACAAAACTACCATGGTTTGGATATTGGATATAGATTCACTATACTTAATAGTGGAATTTGCTGATTTAACAGGTTGGCAGCTGCTTAGCAATAGCAGATAATGTCAAACCATTTTTCAACTATGTAATGATATATCATTGTAATTTTTATATGTATTTCCCTGGTAATTAATAAGACTGAGCAACTTTTTATATGCTTAACTGAATTGTGTTTTTAAGTCTTTGTCAATTTTGTTTTTTAATTGAATTGTATTTTTTTCATATTTGCTTGTAGATTTCTTTAAATATTCTACACGTGTTCTTTATTATATATATTAATTATAAAACTATTTTCCCAAATTATGGCTTGTCATTCTTTTTATCATGCCTTTTTAATACAAATTCTTAATTTTAATTAAGACCCCTGCCAATCTTTTGCTTTAGGATTAATGCATTTTATAGTTTTGTGCATTGTTTATGAAATCTTTGCTTACTCCAGGATCATGGATATATTCCCTATCCCCTAGAAGCTTTATTGTTTACCCTTTTACATTTGGTCTCTCATTCTTTTCTGATTTAATTTATTTATTATGTGATGTGGAAGTCAAGTTTCACTTTTTTCATATTGTTATCCAATGATTTAAACATCATTCATTTTTGAAAGGCCATCTTTTCCCCCACTGAATCGCAGTGGGCTTTATTTTAAATTAGGTAGCAATACATGTATGAACCTTTTTGTTATTGTCGTCGTTGTTGTTTAAATGCTTTATTTGTATATCTTTGTGCTAATCTAGCTTTGTCTTACCTACTCTTCTAAGCTATTTGTGATAAGCTATTCTTGAGTTTCTAATTTTCAGTGTTTTATAACTTTAAGTATATTACAAAATGGTACTTTATATTGCATTCAAATACCTTCCTAAATTTTAGAGCTATTTTCTAGTAGTAACAGTCAGAGCTAGTTGATTTTAAGACTAGTTATCTGTGGCATACAATACCAGATGGAAAGAAGTAATTGTGAAAAACAATTGGTCAGGGGAACTACAACCACTATGACCAGCTTTTTTCTTATGCCGGACAGCAGACTCAAGATTATGACAACCCCCCCCCCCAATTCTGAATAATATATGGATAGTCTTTATTACTTAGGATTTAATGAAAATTTTAAAAAGATAATAATTTACTTAAAAATGCCTGAACTTTTGTCTGAAGTGAAACTGTGTACTGAACTTTTGTCTGAAGTGAAACTGTGTATATTTGACTAAACAAATGACAATTCATAAAGAGAGGTGTTTGTATGTATTTTGTTTTTCTGTCAAAGAGTATTGCAGAAATCTATAACTAACATCAGTAATGTAATCTAGTCTGAAATTACTTCTAGAGGTCCTGTTGATTTGCTTCTGAGTCATGTGCTAAATTATTTTATTCTCATTATATGGAAATTAAGTGTAATTGCTGCAAAGCTTTCTTTAGTAAAACTGATAATTATATTAATTCTCAACTATAGCAAGTTGTGAAAAATTTGCTTAAAGTAAGAAATCTTTATTTTTAACTTTTCAATAGAGGCTCTGTTTTCTTCCCTTAAACTCTACATTCTAGAGCATGTTTGCTGCTGTTCCACTCCTTTTGCTAAATCTGAGTGAACCAACTGCAGGAAGGAAATTTCTAGATCTCATCTCAAATGTGCTATAGAGTTATTTCCTCGGCACCAAATGAAAATTTCTTTTCCCCTCTTGCGTGCTTCACCGTCTACTAAGGTATTCCAGGGCAGTACAACAGGTAGTCAGGAGTGCTTTGTGATTAGGTGTAGCAAGTTACCTGGAGCTAGTAAATTCCAATGTCTGTTACTAATCTCCTCAAGAAGGTGGCTACTTGAAACATTCGTTTACTTCAAGAAATATAAATCGTATTTTCCATATGTTCATTAACAGTTGTCTCAAGAAGAGCAAATGAACAAAATACTCCATTTGAGATAGTTAACGTGAAAATAGATACAGAGATAAGATCATGCTTCAATGGACTTTTCAAAATACACCATTTAGGTAATCTCAGTTCATTGACGTTCACTTTTGCTTTTACAGACTGTTTTCTAAATCACAAATATAAAGGAAAGATTCTGAAATAATCTTTTAAAAATTAAATGTTAGAGAACAAGAACAGAAAAAGCAACACACTAGTCACAGTATTTGAGTGTCTTGTTTTAACTTTCATTTTGATTTGTAATGACTGTAGCTTCTCCATCAGAGTTGATGAAAAGGTCAAGAAAATGGTTCAAAAAAGAAAACTACTGGCCTAAGAACAGAAAATTGTCAAAATAATATAGTTATTTTCTTTTCTTCTTTAAAATTGTTCTTTCTTTTCTCTTCTGTTCTCTCCTCTGCTCTCTTCTTTTTTCTCCCCTCATTTTCTGTTTTCTTTTTCTTTCTCTCTCCTTACTTTTTTCTTTCTTCTTCTCTTTCTTCTCTGCCTAATATTCAAGTTTCTGATGTCTGTGTATTTCCAGTATTGTTTTTGAGGGTAAGGACGGCACATATGTGGCAGAATAAAGACAGCTACCATAGAAGTGAACATCTATATGCTTCTTATTCTAACAACAAAGAAATGTCTCTGCATACCTTAAATGTGTCTCATTTAAGTAAAAAGAGGACGAAACAGAAGAAACAGAATAGAAATGTTTTGTATTATTAGTTGAGATTCTGAGTTATCAAAAACTTGGTACATTTTCTATATACATGCATTAGATCGTTTAAATATATTTCTTTACGTATCCAGAAATTTTTCTGTTAGACTCTCATTGCTGGTTTCCACATCACACTAATCACATATGTGTAAATGAGACTCATTTCAGTCTCATTTCTTGATCCTCCGCATTGTTTTACATTATCTCTTGTCCAAAATACTCTTACCAAAGTTATCCTAGACTTCCATAGTATACACACTTATGAATTGTTTCTATTTATCTAGCCATTGCTTCACTTTCACTATATTAAAACACCTTTTCTCTGTCTTTAAATATTTTATTAATAAAGATCTCTGCCTTAGCCCTAGGCTTTTCTTTTCGGATGTTTCTACTCTCAGTGACCTTATCAATTTCCTTGGTTCAATTAGTAGGGTAATGCTTATGACTTCAGTTTGCACCTACAGTCATCCATTTAAAACGTTCAAATCAGTATATCCAACCTGCTACTAGAAATTTTGTCTGGCTGTCTTATAGGTAATGCATTCAGTATGTTCACCATTGACCTCATTACTTTCCAGAGCCCTCTCCTACCCAACTTGCAAAATTTGCTCCTCATTTAATATTCGATTTTGGCCAATGGAACAATCATTTATTTGCCTCAAACAGAAACTTTAGAATCACTCCTGACCCTTATTTTCCTCTAACCTACAATACCCAGTCCATATAAATAAACACCAAGCTTTTTAGTTCACTTTCCAAAACACCTTTAAACTTGTCTATGTATCTCTAATTCCACTAACATATCCTATTCCAAGACATCCAAGATCTTTTCTTTGAACTATTATAATAGACGGCTAGTGAACTTCTCTGTGTCTAATCTTCTTCTCTTCTAATCTATCACACACTGATAAAAGAATGTGATCTTTTAAAGTACAAATTCTGTCAATTTTTGGCTTATTAATTGTTTTTCAGAAAAAGTTCAAATATTTTAACATGATTGTCAAAGCTCTCTGTGATCTACACCTGCCTATTTGTTAAGATTCCATGTGTTATAGTGAGCAAATTCCTACTGAAACTATTATAAGCAAAATATGAAACTTTAAATGACCCAAGGTAGAATATATATGCATGGGAGAATATATATATGGTATATTGCCAAGTTAGAATATCTATCTATCTATATAGCCAAGATTAGAAAATGAGGTATCTGGTATAGTGTAGAAGATTCTCTTTTCAACTCTCATCTGCATATCTTGAGTGCTCATCACACATTTTTTATGAGTTTAGATTGGCTTATTCTGTGTTCTATGGCACACATTACAACATAGATACTGGTTAGCACTCTGAATTTTACGTTTTGTTTGTTGCAGGGAACAAATAAAGCCTGACATATTTAATCAAACTAAATTTATCATAAAGAACTCTGACATAGAATGTGTCAAAACCCATTCCTAGTCAATTGATTGTATTGTTGAATTCTCTGAAATATTGTCTGTTATTAAAGCAAAACTAAGATTATTTAACTCATTGCAGTAAGAAAAAATACCCTCTTGACAGACTACTTAGTGTTTCAGAAGAGGAAACACTATTCCTCTTCAGATAAATATTCAGATATGGAATATTTATCGGACTTTGAGGTCTGAGCTTCAGTGGCTTCATGATATATTTTCACAATGGTGAACTGTTGTGAAGTGGGGTTCATTTGTGATATAATAATTTAGAAATGACACAGCAAATCAAGCGGCTTAAAGTGAGCTTGTTGCTTATTAAGTAAGCAGTTTGCCTAGATAAACCCTCTATAGCCTTTGATAAAGTAATCTGTAGGGATTTCCTGAAGAGAACATGATAGTTATTTACTGACTTAGTCTCATATTTCCCTTGCAAAGTTTTCCTGGAAGACGCAACTAAATAATATTGGCACACATGGCCTATTATTATTTAAGTCATATTTAAAGACATTTTCTCAGGTCACAGTCTCCTCATTGTTTTCATTGTTCAACCATTCCTGGAAGATTGACCATTACAGTCTGAGGACATAATCAATCCTGGTGTGTATCACTATTTGAAGAGTCATGCTTGAATATCAGGCTTATGGTGGCACTGGTTTCAATTAACGTATATATCAAGATTTTCTCTTCTTTGGGGTAGGTGATTGTTGTATCATCTGATGGATTTATAAGTCTGAAGATTATACCTTTAAACACCACAGTAAAAATAAATATTAACAGAAGGATTCTGGTTTGTTTGCTATGTAATTCTAAGTCAAGAACCAAAAGTGTTAAGATTAAGCCTAGAGAACATATTCTATCCCCAATATGAACTCTCAGAATTAGATACATGGGTATTAGCCAAATACCTAATTTCACAATGTCTTCATTTTATTCCCAAATCTGCTAAGTAATATTAAAAATCAGAAAAGAGTATAGCTATATACAGTAGTCTTCTTCTAAGATGGCATGTATACAAATTCAAAAGGCCAGTGTTATATCTAGGGCTGCTCTGTTTTGGACCACCATCTGTCCAATCTCATAAACTTCTTAGGTGAGTAGGTCTATAGGCTGACTGATAGTGTATATGTTCCCTGTCAATGTTTTAACATTTAGAATTCTCCCCACTTGCCAGGCATCTTGTAAAACATGATATATATAAGCTTCAGGTCAAAAAACAATCCAGTATTTTCTTTGGTATGGTTAAGGTTCTAGATGTTAAAAGGAGACCAACTTTTCTCTTTATAAAATAAATCTCTTTAACCACTTCCAACACTATAAGCGTCTGCTGATTCATATGGCTCATGTAGCAGGGCTTCTTATAACATAGCCCTATGCCAGCTATGGCGTTCTTTCTTGCTTTGTTATCCACTCAACACTGACAGCTTTTCATATTGTTCAGTAATTGGGCCAGAGAAGTATCGCTAAGTATGAAATATGCTGAATTCAGAACCCAAAGAGGCTCATCAGGCAATGAGATTTTCTGGGGGTAGGAGGGGCAAAATGTAATAATTAGCCTTTACTTTAGAGACCACACACAGGCATGCCCCTGACCCCTGAACTCTTGGACTCCTAAAATTTTATGGATGAATCCAGAACATGAATCTGTAGAATATCCAGACCAGAATCTGTGCTCACCCTCCAGAACACGTGCATCTTACCAATGCCTCCATGGTGCTAGTTACCTCTTGCCCATCTGGTCCAAACAATATGATCTCATCATTGTAATGTATTGATGTGATGCTCTGCAGGATGTCAAGATGGTCTGTACTTCCTTGGACTATATTATGTTATGTTTCTGATTGGGATAGGAAACGATTTATTCACCAAATCAGTGGCTGCATACCATATACCTGGGGTCATATAAGACTGCTGTGACAAAAGCACTACAACTGTAATAGCAGCTGCAATTAAGGCCACTATTGGACTGAGCTTGCAGTAGTCTACAGTCACATTGGTGAATGTGTTTGAAAGTGTCAATCTGTACTTTATCTGCCATCATTATTTGGGTCCTCACTGGCAGTGAGGAAATGAATAATCCAGTTCTAAAATCCCATGTTATATACATCGTTGCAGCTGGGTTCTCCAGAAGCAGGTGTTGGGACATATTTTGGTGCATGATGTTAAGGATTAATACCTGTGTAAAGTAGGTGAAGTTAGCAGGATTAAGTAGAAGACAAAGCTGAATAATGATGTAGACCTGAAAAAGCTTTAGTCTACCTAATAGAGAGTTCTAGCATAAGTATTGTTCAAAAGATTGCTCCATGTTAGGCCAAAATAGTTGGGCCTTTTTACCACCACCTCAAGATTCAGGATTCTGTGGGAAAGGTGTGGTATTGATTAGTTCTCTTTGGTTGAGCTAAACTATCCACTGACTGTACTTGTCATAGGTGGGCAGAAAGTCCTTAATTAAAAAGGGATGTGGGTGGTATTTGTGTCTAACACAGATGGTAATTCATGTTTACGGTACCTTCTCAACAGCAGGTTCATGAATTCCTAGTGCATCTGAGGAATGCTCAGTCAATTTCCAAAGGGGAGAGAGCACAAGTAAATCAATGTGCTCGACTCAAATATTACAAGGCACCTACATTTATGAGAATGTCTATTAAATGAATTGTATTCATTAGAGTACAAAAAGGTAAATATCTTTACTCAGCTCTGTAGACTACTTCCTTCATCAACTTTCACATGTTTATTTTGCTTTCATGAAAGACATTTATATATAAATGTACAAATATATAAATATATATTTATATATTTTATATATAAATATATATTTATATATTTTATATATAAATATATACTTAATATATAAATATATATGTATAAATTTATTTACTATGTAGTATATATTTATATGTATAAATATATATTTATACATTTATATATTTATATGTATAAATATATATTTATACATTTATATATTTATATATAAATATATATTTATACATTTATATATTTATATATAAATATATATTTCTATACAAATATATACATGTATATATAAATACATATATTTAATATATAAATATATATTTATAAATTTATATATAAATGTATATATAAATATATATTTATATATTTATACATTTATATATAAATGTATATAGAAATAAATATATTTAATATATAAATATATATTTATATATTTAATATATAAATATATATTTATATATTTATATATTTATATATTTATATATTTATATATAAGTATATCAATAAATATTAATATTTATATAAGCATATAAGTATATGAATATATTTATATATTAAATGTACATATTTATATATTTATAAATAATAAAACTTATAAATAAATAAATATTAATATTTATATAAATATATAAATGTATATAAACATATATATTTTTTCAGGCATTAAGACATCTGGATCTGTGTAAAATAAAAATCTTACACTCTCAGCTTTGTACATTCTCTCTACTGCAGCTTGGTCTGACTTCACCCGAGGAGTCAGTAGGTAGAAAAGTGCATGATCTATTTCTTCTCTATATCACATGAAGCAGTTTGAAACCACCCCATTTCAGTATGCTTCAGATACTTTTTCTTCTAAGTGATGTTTATAGCCTCTACAAGGGTCTCTGCATCTCAATATATATGCCAATACTGTTCTGGTGATATCACCTTGCCTCTAGAAACAAGGCTGTCTTAATGAAGAGTCCTTTTCAAAAAGCCTTATAATCGACCACATTTTGCAGGGTTTATCTCCAGCCCACTGAATCCTTAAGAATCATTTTTTAGATCTTCTGTCCCAAAGTAGATACAAAGCTAGCCATTTGAGTTGAGCCAGATATTATTTCCTGAGCTATTTAGTCTCCAAAGCACCCATGCCAAAGTCTACAAATGGTTATCTTGAACATTCTCTCACAGAGCTTTAGGTGATATAGGTTTATCTTCAAAAGCAAACTGGCAATTCCAATAAAATAAATTCACCATCTCCAATCTCCACAACTTTCTAACAAATCTCATTTATGTTCCTCAGTCAGGTAATAAACTAAGGGTCACAAACCAGATTCCAAATATTTTATCTAGTCCTATTTAGGTGATGGCATTTCTGTCCAAACTTTAAAACAACAGGAAAAGTCTCATTTAACATATTTGTGTATATAGATCCACTTCTCCCAGCCATAGAAATACATCAGAATCCTCATATTCTTTATCTGCAGAAGGATGGTAAATTTAGGAGAAGAAAATGGCTCAGGATTTCACAAAGCGAAAATGGCAAAAGAAATAATTAAATTGCAAAATAGATTACATATAAATAGCTCAATGGTACTATATATCTTTCATTTTGAGGATGTAATGATATAATACATGTAACATGCCTACTACATATCATGTGATTTGCTTTATCTGATCCCATGTATCCCTGAAGATGTAGTCTCATAGATACCTCTGTTTTGGAGATGAGCAAACTACAGCTGCATGATTTGTTAACATTTCACTACCAGTAAATGGCATTCTACATTTCAAACCCAGTTCTGTCAGCGTTCAGAGCCCAAATATTTCCAAAGACGTTTTTCCAGTCTGTATTTAGGTATGATCAGCAATGAAGAGATGGAAGGAAATTAAGGGTCCTGCTTAATCTTCTTACATTTATTTATAATCTAATTTATGTTTGTTTGTATAATATAACTCCTATTGTACCACTCACATTTTGTCACTGCCAGGCATTAGTTTGTCTTTAATCAACCTAGTGTGTTTATACTAAAAACATCCAAGATTGAAATGGATAAATTTGAAGAAGGCCATTTGGGTGATGATAGAGGAATCTCAATATTAATGACTCCACAGTGCAGGTATCAAATAATAATTTATTCCTATTGGTGGAACCCAAGAGAGAGATTTGTGTGTATGTACCACCCATATATACATAATATATATACATACACATATGATATATATTAATATATAAAATAGATAAGATATAGATGTGTATGTACATGAATATATGTGGGTGTATATGTAGAGAGAGAGAAGGACAGTAAACACACACACATATTCAAGTAAGATAAGATGATTTGCATAAGGGTGCATTTATGTATAAGATAAGGTGCATTTGCACAAAAAACTTGAATACAGAATTGAAGATAGACAAATTATTTAGATTGTTAAATTGTGTAGGAGAGGGGCATTTACTTCAGCCACCCGTATCTAGGCAGTAACCATAAGAAATATTTTAAGCACTTAATATATAGCAGGTGGATAAAATAGACACATTTTTCTATCACAATGCAGCTTATATTTTATCAGCATTAATAATTAAACAACTAAAAGTAAGGGTGTTTGGTTGGTATATGGTGAATGGGGTCACCACTACTTAACCCATGTCTGTTATTAGAGGTAATTAACAACACCTCTGTTTCAAACAAACAATTATAATTACACTTGCCAAATGCATTCCAAAATATTTAGCTATTAATCATTTATTGCCTCTTTTATCAAGAGCCAATCTTAGGTTACAAAGAGAGAATATCGCCTTAATAGGCAAAAGTAATTTCCTAAGGTGAATATACAAAATGGATCTTTAATGACTAACCCTCATCAGCTTTTAACTTAAATGCCTGTCTCATCTAAATTAGCTAAGAGATTTAGATGATCAAATATGATAACCTGTTAAGAACCCTTGGATTGCATACCATAATTATGTGACTCAAAATAAAGCTGTATCATTTACATGGGGTTAGATTGCTAACTCGCATTTGCAGAATATTTTATTCAGCACTTACTCTGGTGTGTAATTGAGCATGAGGAGGGGCTGTAATGTGGACAAGTTATATTATTTTTTTTTTTACTTTCAAAATTCTTTTTTTTAATGTGTGTATATATTTTATATTCCTTTTTTTCTTTTTTTTTATTATACTTTAAGTTTTAGGGTACATGTGCACAACGTGCAGGTTAGTTACATATGTATACATGTACCATGTTGGTGTGCTGCACCCATTAACTCGTCATGTAACATTAGGTGTATCTCCTAATGCTATCCCTCCCCCCGCCCCCCACCCCACAACGGGCCCTGTAGTGTGATGTTCCCCTTCCTGTGTCCATGTATTCTAATCTAAACCTAATAAGAACCTAAACATTTTGTGTTATTATTTCTGAGCAAGTTCAACACGGCCAACCAACCATGTCACTGCTGCTGCCACCATTATTGCTACAGGTAGCGAAACCTCATATTTGTGGTGCTAATTGACAAGGTGAGACCATGGCAGTTAGCATTGGCCAGAGTAGACTCACAGAGAATCTACATTTCCCGGTGACAATCTGGAGAGGTTTTGATACAAAGCACAAAGCTGTAGTATAGCGATGCCCAATGGGAACGTTGACCAATGGAAGACAGGTTTTGGCAGGGGGCTTTTGGATAAATTATTCACAGTTCTTCATGGCAACTGAAGAATGACAAGGTTCATATATTTGGAAAGGAGACTTTTACTTCTCATAAAGGGTTGCGGCCTGCAGGGTGGCCAATCTGATGTGTTGGGGAGCACAGCCTCCAGTCAGAAGCGCAAAGCAGTTTGAGGAAGAGGAAAGGGGATTACGAATTTATGCTGAGCAGTAGGGCTGACTATGCATACTAAATAAGCTATAAGAAGAGCCACAAATATTTGTAATGGGAGAAATGTGCGCATGCGCGATGGAGCTTCATCCTCTTTCATGGGTTCCAGGTAGACTGGCCAGAACCACTCTGTGGTTGGTGGTTTCTTCTCAGGAAAAACGTTGGTCAATTGTTGTGTCCAAACAGCAAAAGAGAGGGCAGTGTTAGTCGGTTGGTTGATATCATTGGTGGAGTTTTTTTGTAAGGGCTGGTTTCTGTATAGCCTTTAGGGAAGAGAGCTTAATAATGACTGTTAGGGAAGTAGGGAGTATAACTAAGCAAGGTGTGTCTGACCTTCTGTCTGTCCTGACCAAAAACTCAGTTTTCAAGTTTACTCTGGGGTCCCCTTGGCCAAAAGGGGTTCCATTCAGTCAGTTGTGGGGCTTTCAATTTCATTGCTATTTCTCACTTACCTGGAAAGGACCCTTTCAAGACATACTACTTCATGTAACCTCCGTAAAGATACACAGAGAAACTGGGCAGTTATCTGCTTCTGGCTGGGATAGGATCTTACACAATGCTGTTTCTTAAAAGTCCTTTTGAACTTGAGGAAAACTTACCCATTTCCTTTATTAATAAAATATGTCCCACCAATTTCCCCACAGGCAAACCTTCACTCCATTGCCTATTCATTTATTATCTTATTTTTAAAATATGTGTTAAGCATCTACTATGTGCTAGTAACTATGCAGGATATAGCAATAAAAAAATAACAGAAATAGTTTCTACCTTCCTGGAGCTCACATTCTAATGTTACAGAGTAAAAGAAACACATGAATACATATATATTTATGTAGGCATAGCAGTTAGCAATTAGTGCTGTGCAGAAAAATGAAGCACTGGAAGGGGAGGGATTTGTTAGTTAGCAAAAGGCTCTTCAAGGATCTGACATTTGACTCTAAATAAAGGGGGCTGGCTGAATGAATATTAAAAGAAAAAGACATTCCAGAAGGAAGAGTTAAGGCAAAGGGCTGCAGAGCTGCATGCTCGGGGCTTTCACAGAACTGGAAGTCTAGTGTACCAAGGGAAGCCATTGCTTCTGATGTTCTTGTTTTAGGAATGCATATTCACAGCTAAGGACACAAAGGAGTAAATATAGACACAATAATAGCATGCTTTGTGCACAATGAAGGGCTATCCTTAGACCCCATTAATTTTTATCAGAATGAGCTTTCCAAATCTCAAATAGAGGCAGGGCATCACTAATATGACATGAGCATATGTATTTGTAGCTAACTAATTAACTAAGTCTCATTCTTTGCAAATATTCACTTACATCACATCTCTTTGTGAGTGAGAAAAAAATCTATGATGTCTGAGAAAATTTTTTTTGTTATTAAAAATTAAGTGTTATTTATTAAGTGTATCTTCTCAGTCCCTCTTGTGACAGACTGATAATGTGGCCCATTTCACAGTCCCTATGAATGAATTTACGTAAGAAAAGTCCCACATTTACTTTCCTCTGGATGAATGTAAATATGGTATCAATGGAAATATGAGCATTTTAGAGATAATAGGAAGGGAAATGCATAATCCACATATATAGCTATATTTCCTCCTTGACAATGGTGATTAGATGGTTCCCAATTTAAATATTACTTTCTATTCAAACAAGCATTTTCAATTCCATAAATGTTTATTGTGTGCGTAGTATCTGCCATGCACTGTTCCAGGCTGTGGGGACATATTTGGAAATACAACACAGGAAAAGCTCTGCCCTCTTGGACTGATTTTTCTGTTTTGTGCTCTTAAGTTTGTACCAGATTTTAGGTGTGATAGGAATTTATTTTGTAAAGCTATAATAAATTTTCAGATTTATTAAATGTTGATTTGGAGCATAGAGATACGAGATTAAGGCAACCACTATGGAACTCAAGAGTTCCATTTGAAAGATTTACGCTTTCTTTCTTTCTATGTGGGCAACAATATAAAACACCTTTTTTAATAAAATGGTATGCCATTTTAATAATAGAAAATGTTTTTATTAATAGACCTATTCTAAGTTGTGAAATAGTGTGTTCATTGTGGTGCTTAAAACATGCTAGCAAGCTTTAGTTTAAGCATTTTATTTATTGCTATAAGTATGTTTATCTACAGTAGTTTTACAAGCAAATATTCCTAAGTGGAAATACAGCAATTCTGCTTTACTTTTTCTAAAATTTATTCAATTTACATTGACTTGTTTGCTCTCTTTCATTCTTTTTGACACAGCATTACAAAGAGATTTCTTAAGTGAGCGAAAACCAGACCATACATTTCTTGCAATTTCCATAAATCCACTGTGGAACTTCAAAAGCAATATTTAAAAAGTTAAGCAACAAGACAAGGTGTACTTAGAAATAAAAATAATTGATATTTTCTCGAAGAACTACAAGCACATGTTTTGTACCTGTAGTCCAAGCTACTTGGGAGGCTGAGGTGGGAGGATCACTTGAATGGAGAAGTTCTGGGCTGTAGTGCCCTGTGCTCATCAGGTTGTCCTTGGCATCAATATAATGTCCTCCTGGGAGCAGGAGACCACCAGGTTGCATAAGGAGTAGTGAATTGGCCCAGATCAGAAATAGACTAGGTCAAAATTCGCACACTGATCAGTAGTGTGATTGAGCCCCTGCACTGCAACATGAGCAACAAAGTAAGACTCCATCTTTAAAAAGAAAAAAAGAAAAAGAACACTGTTTTGCATGTTTATAGAGCTAATTGTATGCTAACTCCCTCTTGATTTTATCTATCAACATTTGGATTTTAAGAAATGTTGTTAATGGCATTATCTTTAGAACTGGGTAGTCTCCAAGATGTTGCCTCTCTACTTGTTTCATTCAACATATGTTTATAAGGTACATACTATGTTTCAGGCACCAGGACTATAAACAAAGAAACAAATAAAACATGATCCTTATACATTACATTTTATTAATAGAGGCAGAGTCGTGAGAAAATAATTACACTGAAATATGGCAGGTATATTTAATGTGTGGACTATGATACAAGTTCTATGATTGGAAAAGTAAAAAACCATTCTGTTTCAAGGAATCTATAAAATAACTGAAATATCTCAAGATAAGATGGAAGGATATTCTTAGTGTATCATAGCAAGAGAGAAGGGAGTGGTGTAAGGAATAATTCTCAGGGAATGTCACTTCTAAGCCAGGTCATCAAGGACAGAGATTTTATCAAGCTAAGAAGAGGATAAAAAGTGATACAAGTAGATGAAGCAGCATGCAAAATAGCATAGAAGAAAAGGGGATTGTGGAGTTCTAGAAACTGTAGAGTGATCAGTGTAGCTACAGAAGGTAGGTGATTTTAAACAAATACATATTTTTACTCTAGTAGCAGTGGGATAAATAGTTTAGAGGGAGCTACATAGAAAAATGGGTGATTTGGGAAATAGTTGTAATAATCCAGGGAATAGTGATTTTCTACTTCATAAAGAGGTAGCAATGAGAAAAACAATTTAAGAGAGAGCATAGATGAAGAATTGATCATACATGGGAACTGGTAGGAAATGGTAAGAGAAAGGAGGTATTAAGAAAGACTTCTAGTTTTCAGGAGCTATTCCTGGAAAAAATGGGAGCATGAAAATATAATTTCATAAAACATTAAATGTGGAAATGGCACAGATTTTGGAGATACTATGTTTAGATTGGGAGATTAGAGATAGCTAAATATTAATAGAGCACAGGAAAGAAGAAGGAAAGTGTCTAATGTAACAGAAAAGACAGGTGATAAAAACCTTAAAAGCTGACACTGCATTTCCCAAGTAGGACATTTTTAGTGACCAAAAGGAGGAGTTCCAATGGGGCAGTGAATTAAAATTTAAGATTGTAGTGAATCTAACAAAAGGACATAGAGCCACAAAATATGCATTTCTTTTTAAACACAATGGGCCTAATGGGAAGCAGGAAATGTGTATTTTCGATATTTCTTTTATTAAAGAAATGATAATTTAATAAATGGTGCTGGGAAAACTGGCTAGCCTTATGTAGAAAGCTGAAACTGGATCCCTTCCTTACACCTTATACAAAAATTAATTCAAGATGGATTAAAGACTTAAGCATTAGACCTAAAACCATAAAAACCCTAGAAGAAAACCTAGGCATTACCATTCAGGACATAGGCATGGGCAAGGACGTCATGTCTAAAACACCAAAAGCAATGGCAACAGAAGCCAAAATTGACAAATAGGATCTAATTAAACTAAAGAGCTTCTGCACAGCAAAAGAAACTACCATCAGAGTGAACAGGCAACCTACAAAATGGGAGAAAATTTTTGCAACCTACTCATCTGACAAAGGGCTAATATCCAGAATCTACAATGAACTCAAATTTACAAGAAAAAAACAACCCCATCAAAAAGTGGGCAAAGGATATGAACAGACACTTCTCAAAAGAAGACATTTATGCAGCCAAAAGACACATGAAAAAATGCTCATCATCACTGGCCATCAGAGAAATGCAAATCAAAACCACAGTGAGATACCATCTCACACCAGTTAGAATGGCAATCATTCAAAAGTCAGGAAACAACAGGTGCTGGAGAGGATGTGGAGAAATAGGAACACTTTTACACTGTTGGTGGGACTGTAAACTAGTTCAACCACTGCGGAAGTCAGTGTGGCGATTCCTCAGGGATCTAGAACTAGAAATACCATTTGACCCAGCCATCCCATTACTGGGTATATACCCAAAGGACTATAAGTCATGCTGCTATAAAGACACATGCACACGTATGTTTATTGTGGCACTATTCACAATAGCAAAGACTTGGAACCAACCCAAATGTCCAACAATGATAGACTGGATTAAGAAAATGTGGCACATATACACCATGGAATACTATGCAGCCATAAAAAATGATGAGCTCATGTCCTTTGTAGGGACATGGATGAAATTGGAAATCATCATTCTCAGTAAACTATCTCAAGGACAAAAAACCAAACACCGCATGTTCTCACTCAGATGGGAATTGAACAATGAGAACACATGGACACAGGAAGGGGAACATCACACTCTGGGGACTGTTGTGGGGTGGGGGAAGGGGAAGGGATAGCATTAGAAGATATACATAATGCTAAATGACGAGTTAATGGGTGCAGCACACCAGCATGGCACATGTATACATATGTAACTAACCTGCACATTGTGCACATGTACCCTAAAACTTAAAGTATAATAATAATAAAAAAAAGAAAAGAAAAAAAAAGAAATGATAGTCTTGAAATACATTTAGGTTTATTTTAAAGCCAGTATAGAATTTGAAGATAAAGATAGGAATAAGAGTGGATAAGGAAAAGTCTCTGAAGATATGGGAAATTTATTCAACATACAATTGAAGTACAAAAGAGGAAGCAACTTCCTCTGCCTGCGAGAGTTGATAAGCACTTTGTGGTAAGCATCCTATCCTATTTATTACATTTTAAAATATTTAACAACTAGTGACATATAAATGTATATGTGCCTTTTTTTCTTTTTCTATAACGATATGAAATGTTACCAGTGCAATTTATCTCTTCTGTCGTCCTTTGCATGGTGTGTTCAATCTAGACAGATTATACCTAAATATATCTATTTATGGAATAATGAAAGAATGGAAGACCTATGAGTGATTTAAAGCTTCTCTGGTTATCAGTTTTACCCAATAAATGTCATTTTCTGTTTAAAGATCACAGTGCTCCTGGTGTGTGTGTGTTCCTGTTGCTGAACCTTATTAAAGGTTTGCTAACTGCATAAAGATGAAGGAGTACCAACGTAAAAGGGTAAAAGGAAAAGATGAAGGTTGTTTGTTTGTTATTAGAGTGGTAAGGTATTTTAAGTTTTGGTGTGACTAACCTTTTCCTGGGAATGCATTTCAGGCTACTCTAATCTCATTCATTAAGTCACTACTCAAGGAAACTCAGACTAATGCTATGTTCTTGCAGGAAGTATTTTTTCCTTTAGAATAACTTCTCTCATTTTTCTAAAATAATATCCTTATAAGATATTAATAAACATTATCTGATAAAAATACTACTGGCAAAATAATCAGATAATGCAAAAAAGATTGCCCTGTTTTAAAAATTTCAGAGTGTCTGTGATAGCTTCAAAGCACATCTCATATTCTTTGGTAGTCTTTTTACCAAAAGGAGTCCAATTCTCTCCCCATTGAATACAGGATGGTCTTAGCAACTCGATTTTAACCAGTGCTAGTAGGTGGAAGTGCTGCTGTCGAGACTGTGCTAAGTCATAAAAAGGCCACGCAGCTTCCTCCAGCTCCCTTTCTACTAGCAGGATGCTTATTCTTGAAATACAACCACCACGCTGTGCAAAGGCCAAGCAGCCACATAGAAAGTCCATATGTTGGTGTTCTGGCAGCACCTCAAGCTGAGGTAGCAGCTGACAAACAGATGAACTATAAGAAATACAGTCAATTGAAGGTGCAGGTGATTCCAGCATCCAGCCTTTGCCCAGCCCCAGCTGATGCCAAGTAAGCCCTATCAAACCTTTCATGAAGATTCACAAGCAAAGTAAATGTCATTGTTATAATCTTTGGATTTTGTAGTGGTTTATTATCTAACTGTAGATACTAGAATGACCATCTACTAGCTAATGATATAATGCAGTTTGTGAGAGGAAGAAACTATATGTTGTTTTCTGAAATTTTCTCATAAATGTGTGTACTGTAGAATCCAATTTGAGGAATGCTTAACAGCAGTCTTTTTTCTGAACTTTTCAATCATCCTCTTCCTTTAAAAAAATTTGCTGAGCATTATATAGGGTATATGTCTTAAAATGTCTACTGTTTTCATCTATGATTTTCCAAAACTATAACCTGATAATGCTGCATTTTTCCAAGGGGCCTGTCACTTCCACTACACATACACATACACACACACACACACACACACACACACACACACACACACACACTTTCCTTTTTTGTTAGGACAGAATAATGTATAAAGTAGAAGTTACCCCAACTTGTTATTTTGGTTTATTAGAGAAGAATTTATGAACCAAATAATTCGGGAGTTTCTTGGACACTATATTTTAAGCAAATGAATACTGGATAGAGCTGGCTATTTGAAGTACTTTCATAAAATATTGTGTTCTATCAAAACCATCTTTTTCACTATGTGAATGTACATAGTATGTTTCCTTACTGATATCATTTCAGTCTTATTCTTCTTTGGTTTTCAGTAAACTTCTACCTTCACATTCATACATTTCCATGAAACTATGTGCTTTCAAGAACTACATTTTGTACTCTGCCTTTCCTCTTCAGAAGTATATTTCTTTTGATTATGGAATACCTGTAGCACATTGCCATTTTCCAATCTTGATTTCCATTTCACAAAGTCACAGTGAGAACAGTAAGATTATATTTACCTTCCTGTTTTAGAGTAATTTCAGTTTACTTATTATCTATCCTTGATATGTTGGTTTATAGATACTGAATCTATAAATATACTAAAATGATAGAACCTTAAGCTATGGTGCTGAAATGCAATTTCAAATCACAGATGGTGTTTTCAAACAGAGAAACTCTTCATAGATTTTATTTTCTCTTCCATAGTCTCAAAGCTCCAGGATAATCTGTTACACTGTAATACAAGGTTTCATTAGACCTATTGAGTTTCTATATTTAAGACTCAGAGTACTGAAAAACACGCTATTTATTTTTTGTATGTTTTTCATTCTTCCCATATTCAATTCCCTAACTGTAATCAAATGTTGAAATTATTTCATTTTTAACAGTTTTTCTATCTATACTAAATCAATAATAAATGCATATGAAGTCCCTTCTAAAAAAGTATCATGTTTAGGACAAAACAATCCTGTATTAATAACAGAAACACTCTTTTATCTGTATGTTGTTATTTTTTGTATGGCGTCTATGAGTAAAACTAGAAAACAACATAGCGTGAAGGAACATAGGGCTAATTTTCTGAAAATCTAGACAGTAAATTAAATTTTATGATAAGCCAATAATTAATTAGCTATGGGTGAATGGACAAATATAATTACAATAAAGCATTATACAATTCCAAAATAATAATTCTGCATTATCCTATGTCAATTTTTAAAGCATCTAAAATGTTTTTTCAGAAGTTGTTCTGAAATATAAGAAAATAAATTAATTCAAATATATTTATTCAGTATCTCTTATAACAGTTTTAGACATAAGAAATACATAATGAATTGGAAAAGAAAATCTTTACTCTCCTTAAAATACATTGCAGTAAGGGTTATAAAGAATAATTGTATAAAGGAGGAAACAAATAGAGTCTTGTGTCACTTAGTGACAGGGATGTGTTCTGAAAAATGTGTTGTTAGTTGATTTTGTCTTTGTGTGAACATCCTAGAATGCACTTACACAAACCTACATGGTATAGCCTACTACACACTTAGGGTATATGATATAGCCAATGGCTCCTACTACACACCTAGGGTATATGATACAGCCAATGGCTCCTACTACATACCTAGGGTATATGATATAGCCAATTGCTCCTACTACACACCTAGGGTATATGATATAGCCAATGGCTCCTACTACACATCTAGGGTATATGATACTGCCAATGGCTCCTGCTACACATCTAAGGTATATGATATAGCCAATTGCTCCTGCTACACATCTAGGGTATACGATGTAGCCAATTGCTCCTACTACACACCTAGGGTATATGATATAGCCAATGGCTCCTACTACACATCTAGGGTATATGATATAGCCAATGGCTCCTACTACACACCTAGGGTATATGATATAGCCAATGGCTCCTACTACACATCTAGAGTATATGGTATAGCCAATGGCTCCTACTACACATCTAGGGTATATGATACAGCCAATGGCTCCTGCTACACATCTAAGGTATATGATACAGCCAATGGCTCCTGCTACACATCTAGGGTATATGATATAGCCAATGGCTCCTGCTACACATCTAGGGTATATGATATAGCCAATGGCTCCTGCTACACATCTAGGGTATATGATATAGCCAATGGCTCCTGCTACACACCTAGGGTATATGATATAGCCAATGGCTCCTACTACACATCTAGGGTATATGATATAGCCAATGGCTCCTACTACACATCTAGGGTATATGATATAGCCAATGGCTCCTACTACACATCTAGGGTATATGATACAGCCAATGGCTCCTGCTACACATCTAGGGTATATGATATAGCCAATGGCTCCTACTACACATCTAGGGTATATGATACAGCCAATGGCTCCTGCTACACATCTAGGGTATATGATACAGCCAATGGCAGGTTACTGCACTGAATACTGCAGGCAATTGTAAGACAATGTATATGTTTGTGTATTTAAACATATCTAAATAGAAAAAACACATTGAAAACATGTTATTATAACTTTATGGGATTATCATGGTATATGTGGTCCAACATTTGCCAAAATGTTATGCTGCACATGACTGTAATTCAATTTCAGGAAATACTAAGGGCTAAAAGAAAGAAAAAAATCAAAGCAAAGCATTAGTGAATTAGTAATTAGGACCCAGGTTAGCAGTAGTGTATGGGTTGCCAGAGACACAGAATATTTAGGTGATAAAATCTATGGTAAAAAAAATAATATTCGAACGTACATTTGAAAACTGTGTAAAACCAAGGCATGTGAAGTCTTGGAGAATAGCATTATAGGCAAGGCGAAAAACCATCCAAAAAGCCCAGATGAGAGTCATTTTGAGTACTGAAGAAATCAGAGACACTCGTTGCAGCAAGAGAAGCAAAGAAAAGAGCTAGAGTTTAGCACGGCATTAAGAGCACTGCCTGGAGCCAGAAGGCTTCAGTTAAATCCTGGCTCCGCTATTACATAATGCCGGGCAATTTATTTAGCCCCTCTGAACTCTCTTGTTTAATCTGTTAGTTGGGACTAATAGCATTCTTGTCTTATAGAATTAACAGGAGTATGGAACAATTAATACATCTGAAGGCCTCGGAACAGGGTGGGAGCTACATCAGTGTTCTCTGATGCTGCACTTACGGTAGGTGAGGTCACAGAGTTAGGCAAAGACCAGATTATATAGCACTTCGTAGGCTATGACATGAAGTTTATATTTTATTCCAAATGTGATGAGAACGTTGGAGAATTCCAAGAAGATGACAGATGTGATCTGATTTATATTTGGAAAAGATCAGTTTTTGTGTGCTGAATTCAGGACAGATTGTGCCGTGTGGTGTTTGATGAGCAAGGAGACAAGTTATGAGACTATTTCCATAACCCGGGCCAGAGGTGAAGTTGGGTTGTGCACTGATGAAATTAAAATACTTTTATTGGTCTTGATTTTCACAACCGTAAAATTGATTCTACACCTGAAATATAATTCCTGGACTTGGATACGAGATATTATGGAACATTGAAAAAATATGAATCTTTAAAGGATAAGAAATATCTTGATTTTAGTCCTACCTCTGCTATTAGTGTATTGTATTAACTTGGGTTGGTGGCTTGATATTTCTAACATCACTTATACAGAAAATCTGTCACTTATCTAGATGACAAAGGAGAGGACTTCTGGCTCTAAAATTCCATGTTACTTCTGGTCCTAAAATTCTAAGCTAACTTATATTTGGAGTTTAAAATATATATTTTAATATGAAAAGATAAACAAAGTGTTACATATTGAATCAAAAATAATCTTTTAAATTGTTGATCAGTTTAAGTTTAGCTTTTATTTCAAATAAATTTTTGTTATTTTCCTAATTGAAAATATTTGTCAGATAATTATCAATAATCATATAATTTTCTCATGTTTTATAAGGCATGCATAGTTTCTTAGTTTTAGAGTTATGGTTAAGGGAAAAATCCAAAACATTTCGAAAATTTGCATTCATCAAAGTGAATTGTTCAGTTATTTTCAGAACTACATATGATTATGTCTAAAAATATTTTTAGGATAAAAACTTCTCAAGGCTAACACATGAATATCAATTTAAATTTATTTCTGTAGTGCACAGTCCCTCACTGGCATTTATACCCATCTCTCTTTCTCCTGTTTGCTATGATACTGCTTTCTCTTTATTTGCTTCCCATCCCTTGCATATTCTTGTCCAAAGCCAACAACCCAGCGTTCTATATCAGTTCCCTCCGGTTTGTTCTTAAGGCACTTCATGTTTTCTGTTGAGCATTAGAGCATTTTATGAAAATAAATGAGCATCATAAACTCAGTAGCAAAAATAATTTAAGAACTTTGATATCTTAGGGTTGCAAGTTCTTCTGAGGCTTTAAATTCCTTGGATTTTTCTGATTTAAAACTCTATATCAGGGATATTTTTCACAAAGAATACAGCCATTTTTTCATTTAATTGCATACTTCATACTTTATTTTTAACCAAATATTTACTTTAAAAATTGCAGCTAAAAAGTTTTTAGTTTTTAAACCAGTGTACTGCCAAGAAACATTTAAATCAATAAACTTAGTATTAGGCTAAATTAATTTGTTCAATGAGTTATTTAATAGTAATTTTCCCTTAATTCTACATAAAATATAGAATATATTTTCTTCTAATGGTATCACACATGTTGATAGATGTTAGGAAGTATACCATAGCTTTATCTGGATATGATGTGCATTTTACTTCTTTTTCTTTTTATTACTTTTATAAATGATAATGTTAACTGTACAGGTAGTTTTTAATTTTTACAAAGTACACTTTTAGAAAAGCATCCATAAATTTTTGACAATGCATTTAACAAAAAATGCTCCTAGAGAAAATAATAGATATCATTAACACGTTAAAGTAATTGTAAAATAAAATTTATGAGAAATGATATAGAGTTTCAAAACCATATTCCAAAAATTGTCTGAATATATTAGAATAAACATGTTTGATAATAATAAAAAGGTAGAAATGAAACCATAATCCATTTTTAGAATACTACTGAACTAAAATAATATCATTATGATAATATTCCATAGATTTGAATTTATATATTCTTTGAAATTTCAATATATTCAAGAAAAAATTACTCAAATGCTGTCTATTATCATTTGTCTTGAATATGATGAGGCAATTTTGGTCCTTACCATGAAAAGAATATTCCTGTGTATATTACCACTGCTATCTTATGATAAGGGAATATGATAACTCTCTCATTTTTACATTTTCTCTTTCTTTGCTAAAATAGACTATAAAGTCATTAGCCAAGAGAAAAGAGGCTCAGAGGCAATTTTAAGTGCTAAAACAATGACATCCAGTTTTTTCTTGCTTCAGTGATATGAGGATATGGGGAAATAGCAGCAAATTGAGCTTAAGAAAGACTCTTGAGAAACAAAAGTTGAAAAATAATAGGGACATGGGTATCTAGAAGGATTAAAAATGTTCTCCCCTCATGCCACTGCACTCCAGCCTGGGCGACAGAGCGAGACTCCCTCTCAAAAAAAAAAAAAAAAAAAAAAATTCTCCCCTCAATGTTTAGGAAAATTGGCCCGAGAGGTCCATCTGATTTTAGAATTACAGGAAAAATGGTCAAGATTACATGTTAGGGCTGCCTTTTATCTAATTTGTCTATAAAGTTTCTCTAGATATTTTATTTCACAATTTAATTATCAAATTAATTTGTACCTCTGTTTAACAGGGTAGCATGCAATAAGGTAATTAGTTTTGATTCATAATATATGAAAGAGGTTTTGCTTTCAAATGTTAATATTTAAGTTGATTTAAGACTATAGACTAAAATAGTAAATACAACATTAACTCTTAACTTATGCTTATTCTCCATAGATGTCAAATTACAGGTAACTATGAGTTTTTAAATAGTCTTTTAAATCAAAATGAATATTTCCAGAACACAGAATTCATATGAAAACTAAAACAATACACCTCAGATGATACTTAATATTACCTTCATAATAAAATATCCGGGGGAGAGTACAAATGATGAAAGGTTTTAAAACATGTTACTGCAGGCATAAAGACCTGCGTATTTATTTAGGGAAAAGAAAATGAAAAAAAATTTAAATCAATGTTTCATAGGTTGTCTCTTTTATTTAAATGAAAATTACTAAAACATTTAGAACATAAAATCATACTAAAGATAAGTGTCAGACTACAGGCTAATGTGAAATAGCAAACAAAACACTGTTATTCATCAATTTCTGTAATTCACGTTAGTGCAAAATTGTCTATACGCAAGTAGCTGTGTTATCTGAGTTGTTAATCCTTATACACTATGAGATTTAGAAAATATGTTTAAAAATCCTTGTTCATCTCATAGCACTGTGAAAGCAAAAGTTGCTCCAAAGTTAGGCAGGGAAGACTTTTTCAAGCTATTGCAATAGTGGAGAGAGGCCACAGCTGTCTGCACTCAACGCCACTGAAACAAAGGGCAAGAATTTTAAAAAGCTAGAGTGCAGAAAGGGAAGATCAAAGGCCATCTCTGTTATAACTACAGAAAAAGTTAGACTCCTACTCAACCGCACAGCCTGGGAGACAGGGGCACTATCTTGCTTGATAATTACATTTCAAAGGGATGACTCCCAGGTTCTTGACAGCCCTGGGTTGTAAAATTGGCAAGTTTTTTTTTTTTCAAGATTTACATTTCAAAGGGGCGGAGAAAGAATTTACAATTATAAGTTTTCTAAGGTAAGTGCTCCAAGAAAAAAAAAGGTCAGAGCATAGAGTCAGGAAGAAGCCTGACTAAAATCTAGTCACAAGAGAAACATTCAGGCTCCCCTGGTCAGCATGCATGCACATATGCACATACGTGTTCGCATGTACCAGCAAAACAATAATGGTGATCATCATAACAACACCTAGGTGCTATATTTTTATGATCTTATTTACTAATCTGAGTTAATCATCAAATCAATCCTATACTCTTGTTCTTATCGTTATTCCCATTTCAAAATGAGGCATCTGAAACTCAGATACGCTAAGTAACTTGCAGAAAAGTTTAGAATATAAATACCTGTAGTATGAATTCTTCAGACCCTAAACTCTTAAAAATCAGGTAATAGGCAAAGTATCTTTGATTACAGTAAGGTCTTCTTACTTAATTTGAACCTCACTGAGGTTTGCTGGGCCCCTTTCCTTGGCTGATGAATGTCACAGAAAAATAAAACTCAAGTTGCTTCTACTCAGCCTCAGCACTTGGAATGGCTCTGTTTAAAGAAGCAATGGAATGGCTCTGTTTAAGAGATGACACCAAGAGAGGCATCCCTCCTTTCCCTGTGGAAACTAGAGTGCATCTATTCTGTTTTGTTTTGTTTTGTTTTGTTTTGTTTTGTTTTGTTTTGTTTTGTTTTGTGAGATGGAGTCTCGTTCTGTTGCCCAGGCTGGAGTGCAGTGGCGCGATCTCGGCTCACTGCAACCTCTGCCTCCCGGGTTCAAGCGATTATCTTGCCTCCACCTACCGAGTAGCTGGGACTACAGGGACGCGCCACAACGCCCAGCTAATTTTTTGTATTTTTAGTAGAGACAGGGTTTCACCATGTTAGCCAGGATAGTCTCGTAATCCGCCCGCCTCGGCCTCCCAAAATGCTGGGATTACAGGCATGAGCCACCGTGTCTGGCTGAGAGCATCTATTCTTATTTCCAAGAAGGCTGTCTTACCCTTCTGTCTTTCCATCCTCTTGCATGTGGGTCTGAGATATATATATATCTATGATATCTATGATATATAGATATCTATGATATATATATCTATGATATATATATCTATGAGATATATATATCTATATATCTATGAGATATATATATCTATATATCTATGATATATATGATATATATCTATTATATATATGATATATATATCATATATCTATATATCACATATATCATATATATGAGATACATATATGAGCTAGATATATATGAGATATATATTTTTATTTGTTTCCATCCAGCAAGAGGATGGAAATATATATGAAGGAAAAAGAGGACTCTTCTTCCTTTAGAGGGGATGAGGCTAGAGGTCTAGTACAGGAGCACAGGCCTGGAGTGAAAAAGACCTTTCAATGTTAACCTTGGTGATTTCATAGGATTAATAAGGAGAAAGATGGATGAGCCATGGGTAATTTTTAGCTTCAGAGCATGCATTGAACACTCCAGCAAGCCCTCTGTGCTGCAGAAGATATGTTACTCACATCACTAAGGAAAATTCTTTGCAGTCTTTACTAAATTTCAAAGATAAAATGGTAATTTCCATCTCTCCTTCCTATAAACCACGAGTCTTATCTTTGTTTAGCCAGGTATTTCTGATTGAAAGCAAAAGGACTATAGCTCTTTGAGTTGTATCCAGGATGAAATGATGAAAGGAGTCTTGAGTTGGAACGGATGTACAGGAAGAAGAATATGAGTTTGCCACTCAATTCATCCAACAGCCTTTTTTTTTTTTTCTTTATTCCATATAGTGGGAGATGACTACCAAAAGCTCAGTTCTAGGGGTTTTATTCCAACTAATCTTAGCCGGTTCAGCCAATAAACACTTCTGGAAGATTAGAAGATGAGAAGAGAGAGATGCCAGGGGATTCCTTTTACTCCTTTTTTTCTGTAAGTAAATGGCCCTCAATGGCTGCATCTCCTCTACTGACTAAAAAAATAGCAGTTCGAAGAAGAATGAACCCATTTGTAATCAAAAGGAGCCAGTATCTATACAAACACAGATAACACAGAAGCAAAGAAGAGAGGAGAGAAAAAGCAAGCAGCAGAAGGACATTCACCAGAAAATGTTAGTATACAGCAGAGAAAAATGTTTAATCATATATTTCACTATAATTTTTTAAATGAAGCAATTACTTGTATAAAAAAGAACACAAAGGTCTGTTATTCACATTGTGGTTTCACAGAAGAGTTGGAGAGACAGCAGGAAGAAAAAAACATGAGAAAACATAGCTTAGAAATAAAAGTTAAAAATTAAAAATTAAATTGTATTTATTATTATTTTTGAGACAAGGTTTTGTTCTTTCACCCCAGGCTGAAGTATAGTGGTAATCATAGCGTGCTGTAACCTCCAACTCCTGGGCTCAAGTACTCCTCCAGCCTCAGCCTCCCAATTAGATGGGACTGAAGCTAATTAAATTATTGAATTAAAAAATATTAAACTGCCATATTGTAAAGAGTAAATTTCTTGAATCTGAAGATTAAAACATATACTATATGTAAGAAAAAGGTAAACATAATGTAAAAAACAGTATTTCACTAAAATGTCTAGACTTCAAAGATAAAGAGTTCTTTGTTTACCCAGGTAGAAAGAACTGGTTGTGTATAAGGAGAAACGTTATCTGCTTCATGGTTCATACTTTCGAGCAATATTTGCTTTTAGAAGCCAGAGTAAGAATGTCCATAGATTTCTGGGGAAATGAAAGTTATAACTAAGAATGTTACAGTCAGGTAGACTGGGATTAGAGTACAAAGGCAACACCAAACATTTTCAAACATCGGTGCCAATAAACCTTTCTTCAAAAGTTATGACAGGATGAGTTTTAGCCAATCAAGGCTTGTATGGGACTAAATATTGCAGACTGATGCTGAGTATTATATCTATTATGATTAAAGGGGAGAATGTAAGTGTTATGAATGCTACTGGAGTTTTTATTACATAAATATTAATAGCTAGAACTAGAAAGGAGAAAGAAGCTGAGAGGTAGTGTATGTATCATCTTTAACATACAGGGATTAAAAAAATTTCTAGTACAGTGTTCTGGGCACAGTGGCTCACACCTGTATTCCCAACATTTTGGGAGGACAAGATGGGAGGATCACTTGAGTCCAGGAGTTCAAGAGTAGCCTGAGCAACATAGCGAGATTCTCCGATCTCTACAAAAAATCAAAACATTAGCCAGGTGTGGTGGTATATGCTTGTAGTCCCAGCTAATTGGGAGGCTGATGCTGGAGGATTACTTGAGTCTGGGAGTTGGAGGTTACAGAACGCTGTGATTGTACCATTATATTCCAGCCTGGGATGAAAGAACACACTTTGTCTTAATAATAATAATAATAATAATAATAATAATAATAATAAATAACATGTAAATAGAATACAAAAGTTTAATCAATGAATAGTGAGCCAGCTGCAAAGACTTGCCCTCACTGTCTGGGGGTTGATTTCAGTAAGCCAATTACAATGGGGGATGGGGGTGAGGTGCAGAGAGCATTAGGAGTGCCTATAGGTCAGTTGGGAGTTTCTCAGGTGAGGCATCCCAGGTAGCTCCTTGGGGTGGGGAGGGTGTGGGGGCTGATGGAGTCTGCATAGTGGTTACTGGGATACATGTTTTTGTTAAGTTCAAAGCCCTGACTGTTGGCATCCAAACATCTCTTCCCTGCTTATTGCCTCCCCCAGCCACTCAGCCATGCTGATCCCTTCAGTGTTCTTGGTGGGGTGAGAAAGATGTGGGAAAGCAGGGGAATTGCTCATTACACTCTCAGTTTCACCTGTGGGAGGAATCATTGGCCAAGGGGGTCTCTCTTGGCACTGAGCTGTGTGCCCTTTGGGTGCCATGAGTAAGGTGAAAGTTTTACCCCTTTCTTTGTGTCTATTCTAAGATGTTTTTACTCCTACATTACTGGAACTTCTCAACTGAACTCTTGAACTCCCACAAGAGTACTTTTGTCTGGTGGGTGGATGTCAAAATCAGTACAATGTGGGGAGATGATAGCAGAAAACTTCTATTCCACCATTTTGTTGGCTTCATTCTGAGGGAGGCCATATTTTGGGAAAATGGTAGCATATTGTCTGGAGTGCATATAATTATGAACTTTGCCTTCTAATTCTGAATTCACAGTTTCTCTCAAATCTTCATGTAGTTTCTTTCTTCGGTCATTCTCATTCAGTGCCAATAGTAAACCAATATTGAATGAGATCTTGACTTCATTTCTTAGTTTATACCAACTTTTCCAGACAAACATTAATATAACTAAACAAAATTACATATTAATTCTCCTTGCCCGAGGTTCAGTGGAAAGTTTCCAATTATAAATAGATGTTTTAGGAAGACTTTATTATTGGTATGTCCAAATTTTAATTAAAGAGATTGAATGAAGACTGAAGCTTTTATTGTTATGCTTCTTTGTAAGTATATTGATAAAAATTTCTTCTCACACGAAAATATTTATCTTTTGATATAAATAACACTTTATTTTTAATTGGAGTTTTTACTTGGAGTTTTAATGGTGTTGAGTGTATGTTATGCATTTAGATTTTATGACATGATATTTGCTATAGATTTTACTGTACTTTGCAGTATGTGAAGGTATTTGCACAGGTTAATTTCTATGTTATCAAGTAGAATAGCTTATCTAGCATTTTAAATGGAAATGTTATGAAATGCTGTGAATTATGGCTTGATATGCAGAGCCAATTTTCTCAGGTTTATAATAATTTATGTCATAGGTCTCCTATAGTAATTTGAACAGTTAGAAATTGATTGTAACTTTCGAAGTTTTTTTCCACATAAATACTGTCACTCCTGACCTCTTTTTCTGGAGTTGCAGATTTTTTTTTTTTTTTTTTTCAGCGTGTGACTTGGAATTTTGGCTAGGGATAAAGTTGTTTTCATTAATACCTTACTATTTGGTATCCCTAGAACTTTCTTAAGAATAAATTAATTTTTTATGAAAAATAAAAAGATTCTGCTTCATGACAATTTGAGGCTCTTAGGAAGCCATATCTTTTGGTGCGGAGAAAATAAACAGAACAGATATACGTGGATATTTGTATTGAATTGTGTATGAATATATATTTTTAACATTTCTGTGTAGGTTCTAGTTCTTACTAGTTAGACAGAAAGCTAGTAATAAACTGTAGTGAAGAATAATATTTATCCTTTTTTTTAACCTCTTTCT
Source organism: Homo sapiens (assembly GCF_000001405.40). Lineage (NCBI taxonomy): Eukaryota > Metazoa > Chordata > Mammalia > Primates > Hominidae > Homo > Homo sapiens. The sequence continues at coordinate 167,384,341 of NC_000004.12, read as the reverse complement.
ATTCTTTAAAAAACTTTTCAGCTCTGAACTGATTATAGCTCATGAGGCATAAATCTACAGATTTCTAATTAATGTGTAAGCCTATAGTTTCTTATATCATAACCAGTCTGTTATGTAAGATTTCTATAATACTGTTTTTAAAAGTATTATTATACTTTTTTAAAATTATTTATTTATTTATGTATTTTTAGATATGGGGTCTTGCTCTGTTGCCCAGGCTATAGTGCAGTGGTATGATCAGGGCTCACTCTACACTCTAACCCTAGGCTCAAGTGATTTTCCTGTCTCAGCCTCCTGAGTAGCTGGAACTACTGGCACATGCCACCACGGCCAGCTAATTAAAAAAAAATGTTGTAGAGATGGAAGTCTTGCTATGTTTCCCAGGCTGTTCTCAAACTCCTGGCCTTGTGCAGTCCTCTTGCCTCAGCCTCCCAACGCACAAGGATTACTGCCTGGCCAAAAATAATACTTTGTCACCAAGAATAGTGTGATTTTAAATATATTCGAGCCCCTAGGTAAATTAATTAATTAACTAAGCTGGCAAGCATGACCAATGTCAGTTCAGTCTTGTTCATTCTATGCTTGCAATAAATCTGTAGTTAGATGTTAATGAAGGCTTCAAGTTCACCCATTAGTCACTGTATTTTTCTATGTGATTCCATATGCTTATTAAGTTGTTTCTTTTAAACTACTTTTTCAACTAACCTCATTTCCCTGAATAAAAGCTATAGAAGAAAAAAAACCCTCCTAACATAATCCTTTGATCAAAATGTACAGCTGTTAAAGGAACTGAAGTTGATTGCTCTTAAAGGCACATAATCCCATTTCTCCACAACTGTGTACAGCCACAAATGGGCAAAAAACATGCATGACTGCTTCTCTGATCCTGTGCTTTGAATTTTTAGTGATGACAGCTAACTAATAAGAGCTCCCAAAGGTAGCAAACACATAGTAACCGGCTGGAGGGTCTCTTTAGTCCTATGTGGAGACAGTACATCTGTGGAAGAGGCTCTTCTTCAACACTGTGGAATAGATCACGTTTAAATTGTCTACAAAAGTAAATCTTTAACTACACATGAGAAAGAGAGGGTAATATTTTTACATCGCAAGTGCCTCTATCAATGTTTGTGAAAAACGGTGGCAAAAAGTCTGTTGTTACTTTGACTGGTAACATAAAGTTAAGAAAAGTGACCTGTAACCATCTCAAAATGTTCTTGTTAAAATCTATTTATTATATAGTATGGCCCAAAGATTGATCAACTTGTGGGGGGTGATTAAGAAATAGACACTATTGTGGCTCACACCTATAATCCCAGCACTTTGGGAGGCCGAGGTGAGCGGATCACCTGAGGTCAGGAGTTCGAGACCAGCCTGGCCAGCATGGTGAAACCCCATCTCTACCTAAAATACAAAAATTAGCCAGCTGGTGGCAGGAGCCTGTAATCCCAGCTACTCGGGAGGCTGAGGCAGGAGAATTGCTTGAACCCGGGAGCAGAGGTTGCAGTGAGCTGAGATCGCACTATTGCGCTCCAGCCTGGGGGACAGGAGCGAGACTTCGTCTGAAAAAAAAAAAAAATAGACACTAATGGAAATGACTTAAAAAGATAAATATCAAGGAATATTGGAAAATTGCAAGAAAAAGTGTTTGAATGGCAATGTTTAGGAAGAAGTAAGACTATAAGACATTAGAAACCAAAAGAAATATATTTTGAGAGTGAAATCACCTACTGTGTTTTAAATTACAATTAACTTTTTAGGGGAAATGTCCCTGGCTTTCAAATACTTGACATTCATACAACCTAAACTTCATACATTAAATTTTGATGCCTAAATTTGTATATTTATGCAAAATGTTGCTTTTCATATATCATCGACAATAATTCCAATCCTCATTGCCAGCCTCTACCATTGGAGAAAAGGTCCGGGTGTCAACCAAATCAAAAGAAGGTGTTTGTCAGCTTTTAATATGGCCAAGGGGCTGTGTCTAGTGTAAGCAACTCTGTACCCCTCACTTGCTATGAGAATCATAATTTTATCTTACAGTTTTAATATGGTTTTGACTCTTATTTATATAATCTCTCTCAAAATATATCTATAAATGATTCTTTAAAGTCACAGGTTTTGGTTTTTATAAGTACATTAAATACAGGTCAGAAGCCCCCTCCACATATGCAAATCAACATCAGCTAATTTGATTCATCATATTATTCACCCTTAGGGTATTTTAGAAAATGTATTTCCCCGTAAACATCAATAAATATTTGAAATATAATAGTAATCATAACAATTTATTATAACATTGTTTATCCTGACTCCATCAAATGGCCATTCATCTGAACAGTTATTACAATATCCATACAGTATTCAGATAACTCGCTTTGACACTAATAAAGGGCATATGACATTTTCAAAATTCATAATCTTTCTCTTTGCTTGAAAATCTATTGGAAACAGTGTTTGGCAATAGTTTTGAAATAATATCCTTTGGAACTGGTTCATTTTTAAAGATCCTAATATTACCTCTCCTCCATGTACCTCCAATATTTCAGAAACAAAATGGATTTGGAGAAAATATCTTCTTTATTATTATATTACATTAATTAAAATAGCTCTGACTCTATAAATTTTCATTCTCTTTCTCTAGTGCTTGATTCATTTATTTCTTTCTTTTCTGTCCATATTTTTTCCAATCCAGGATTGGTGTTTTTTCTCCAAATCTTTCATAAAATATTGATACAACCACACGTCTTCACAGTGTTTCTTAAAAGCACAAGTTCTCAATTACTTGTTAAATGTAATCTGCAATGCTGGATGCCAGAAGAACAAATAATAAAGAAACAAGAGAGCCAGTCAGCCAAATGGGATCTACACTTCTCAGGAGAGGCTCAATATAGTCCTTTTATTGGTGTGAGAGTTGAGGGGAAGCCCAACCACTTGATGAGAGAGAGAGAAAAAATTTTGTTACATTTTCCTGGAGATCACGTCTAAAGGCAAGGTAGCTGAACTTCAGAGAGGTATCACAAAACAGGTTGCATTTAGAGCCAGTCAGTGCCATACGGGAGCCAGAACTCTCTACAACCCATTGACATCCCACCCTCACCAAGTCAATAAAGAGGAGTGAGAAGCTAGGTGGTTGTCAGCCTGTAGATGAAGTATGCAATATTGTGCGAGGTTATTCTCCCACTTCCTCATGGGGGAGGGAGGGAAGGTGCTTTCCCCTTCTTCAAGAGAAGTGAGAGAGATTTCAAAAGATCATCCTCCGAGTGAAAGAGTGCTATCTCATTCTTCTGATGGAGGATACTGATAGGCAGAACTTATAGATCTACCCAATTGCCACCATAAGAATGCAGTTCTTATGCATTCCCATGAGCTCCCACAGAGTTCATGGGAGAGCATTGTAGGAGCCTAAGAGAGTGCTGGTTTGTTGCTTTCTGTACCCATCCCACATGTGAGTGAAGAAGAGTGGGATGCTTAACAAGTGATCTCTGAATTTTAGGGGCACAAATGAGCATGGAACCCAGTGCCACCTTCCAGTCTAGAGATTCCTGAAGGCAGGTAACACAATCTCTCTGGTCCCCGCTAATCCCTCCTTGAAGAGCTCCATGGCATTCCAGTTTCCAGCCACCTCAGGTCATATGAAAAGATGGTCTGCCATTCTTGTGGCTTTCTCACGAGGAACGCAGAGGATGGAGGTGGGACAGGAGCAGCACATCTCCACAGGCAACTACAAAGCCGGGTGATTGCTAAGCCTGTCCTGGAGAAAGGATGAGGCATCCATACCTGAAGAGAACAAAGGGATACATGGAAACCCTCCTTGGGAAGTGGTGTTCTCAAGCTAGAAAAGGCAAAGACAAAATTGATTCTTAATTCAAGAAACTCAGGCACACCAATTCGCAAAGACTACAGCATAATCAGAGCCACTGACATTACACAGACGCTGACTGAACCAGAGAAAGACTATGAACCTCTTTGCAACTGTGTATCACATAAGAAAGAAATATCCAGCGGGGCGCCGTGGCTCACGCCTGTAACCCCAGCACTTTGGGAGGCCGAGGCGGGCAGATCACGAGGTCAGGAGATCGAGATCATCCTGGCTAACACGGTGAAACCCAGTCTCTACTAGAAATACAAAAACAAAATTAGCCGGGCGTGGTGGCGGGCGCCTGTAGTCCCAGCTACTCGGGAGGCTGAGGCAGGAGAATGGCGTGAACCCGGGAGGCGGAGCTTGCAGTGAGCCGAGATCGCACCACTGCACTCCAGCCTGGGTGACAGAGCAAGACTCCGTCTCTAAATAAATAAATACCTAAATAGAAAGAAATCTCCCACTTCTCATCTCTATCCTTAACCTCAAAGGCTCCTAAGCCTAGAAAATGAAGAAGGAGCCAAGACTTTGGGGTCTGACCACACCTGCCTTCCCCTACTTTAAGCAGCTGTACATACTTTGGTGGTCTGCTCTGGGGAAAGGAGTGAGATCATTTTTGAATTAAACGTGAAACCAAAGTTAGAAAGGAATAAGTCTGAGGCTTAAACGTTAAAATTCTGCTATTCTAGTAAACCAAGTGACAAAACAGTTGCAGAGCCAGAAAATAAAGTGTTGTTAAGGACCTAAGCATGCAGTGGGAAAGACAAAAAAGCAGTTACTGGGAGAAATAAACACATAAAAGAACTGAGATTACTCGTGTATATATAATAGACATTTAACAAGCTGATTTTATCCTAACTCTTCTGAAGTTCTGTTCCCTGCAAAGGTATTATGGCCACATATCTCTAGATCTGGTGTTAATATGCATTAGAATTTTTTCTTAAATAAATATTAAAAGTAGCCAAGTCACAGTGTGTACACAATTCTGGAACACTGGTCCTACAGATTAGGCTAGGCAGAGCTAGACAGCCGAGGTTACACCATAATCAGCATTCCAGTAACAACCCCCACCCCACTCCACCTTGCCCAGTACTATCAATATTGATAGGAAAATGGGACGACCCTCTGTACCATTATGTAGCAATGGCAACACTCTAGCCAGTCAAAGAGATGGCTTTATTAGGAAAGAGAGCCTCTGGCACTCAAGGCTGTCATCACCCAATCTATCTCTGAGCTAACTGAGTGTTCCTGAGCCAAATTCCTGCTAAACTCCCCAAATATCAGAAAAATGAAACCCCCAGGCCACCAGATCTGTCATGGTTCTTTCCTTTAGATATTTGCATTCCACTGATATGCATGTCTATTTTCCCTGATCTGCTAGTCCATCAACCCTGCCTGAAAAATAAATGAGGTTAGTGTGGCATGAATTGTACTTAGTGTGCCCATGGTGGGTCTTAATGATTACGCCTTCCTCTCCTAGGGGCTCACAAATCATTCGTTTAATAATTGGATTTAGAATCATTTGGGGAATTGATGTCAAGGTCACAGACATGTAGTTTACAAAAGGCACCTGCTTTCCCTTTCAGAGGATCAGAGTAGGCATCTCCCAGCACCTCTCCGTCTTCAGTGGCTCACACAGAGCCCCTGCCAGTGGTCTCCATGGTGAAATGTCTTTATTCCCTGACAAGTCCTCAGACCTGGAGAAATGAACACATTTAAAATTGCTAGGGGTTTTCTTATAAACCCTTCACCCACCTTAGGTTTAAATTCATTTTCCTCAATGTTCATTCCAACTTTTTTGTGTGTCAGAAATTCATTCTATTTAGAGAAGGTGAATGCAACATCAATGTATTGATATTCAGTTTGTTGAATGAGAGCGATTGTGAATCTTATATAATCTGCCAATTCATGGAGGATTGGGGATGTACTTAATTATAATATCTAGCATTCTACTTCTGCATGGGACATTGCTGATAAAGATTTCCTTATAACTTAGCTTTGAGAGATCTAATTCATCCATTAGGCTCCTGCTGAAGCATATGTAATGTCTAAAGACTTCTTAAGATGAAAAAATGAATATGTATTCATTTCAAGTCAAATTTCCGAAGTTACTTCCAAATACCTGGAAACAAGTCTTACAAATGTGTGTGGAAGGATAAATTTTGTCTAATAGTTATGTGTTAAAATCATTTAAATTTGTCTCATTTTATTTCTAATTTTTTTGGCATACCATACATGTTACCATCCAAGAAACTAGCTTTAATAGGTAATTTGATTTAAACTCTACAAAGTTAACTAGCACATTTGATCAACAAGTAAATCAAGGTCCCATCATGATGGAAGAAATGAATACCAACTTTTAAATTAAAAATTTAGAAAGCTTATTTTTTTACTATGTATAACTCTTCATTCTTAGATTTTATTTGCTGAGCAATGAATAATTTTTCTTTTTACGTATTTTTAAGTTTTGTGCACATGGGTCTTGTTTTCTGTGGTATAGTTCCCTACAATATCTTAGAATGTGCAGTACTGTTTGGCAAAGAGACTGAATAGATTCATCACATACAGTGTGGAACTGTAATGTGGGACTGATTTCCACACACAAAAGCTCCAGATGTTTATATGTTTCCCAATATCAACTTAATAGACTGAGAAACAATGGCAAGGACAGTGAAAAGCTTCCTTTGCCCCCCATGCCGCTTCTCCATCTCCCAGAATCAAGCAGTTATTGCAGAGCGCATTTTTAAAAATTTTAAGTGAGACATTGTAATGTTTTAAAATGTCATTGATTTTTTAAAAATTGAAAGTTAAAAAATTTATAACATTAATAAACATATTGCTTCTTATTTTTAAGTTTTTTTTGTAAAGAAAGGAAAAGTCTGGATTTTCATTTTTTTTATGGCTTGGGAAATTCAACCTAAATTTACCAAGTGACTAAAATAAATAATAGTGTACAGCATAGATATTAAGCTTTTCAAGTAGTCTGAGATACCCACAATAAATTCATTAAAAGTTAAGCAAATATGACAGATATTAACTTGATTTTTTTTCTTTTTTTTTTTTTGAGATGGAGTTTCGCTCTTGTTGCCCAGGCTGGAGTGCAATGGCGTGATCTCGGCTCACTGCAACCTCCTCTCCTGGGTTCAAGCAATTCTCCTGCCTCAGCCTCCCCAGTAGGTAGGATTACAGGCATGCACCACCATGCCTGGCTAATTTTGTATTTTTAGTAGAGATAGGGTTTCTCCATGTTGGTCAGATTGACCTCAAACTCCTGACTTCAGGTGATCCGCCTGCCTTGGCCTCCCAAAGTGCTGGGATTACAGGCATGAGCCACCGAGCCCAACAAGAACCTATAGTCTTATAATTATCTACAAGGTTGAACATTATCACATGAAAATACATATAGAAAAATGAAAACATAAGTATAAGATATGGCATTGGAAAATCTGTGAGAAACAAAGGAATTGACTCTGTTCTAAGTAATAGTTAGCAGTAACATCTGTCCATCTTTATTTTCCATATCTTTAGACATGCACAATTTTGTTCATGATTTATCTACTATAATTTCAGATAACAGTTCTAAAGTATCAACCAAATGAAAGGCGATTATCACCAAATTATAACACTAGATATTGACAATATCTCCAGAATGGAAACATTTTAAAATTTTGATAAGGACCACATACTGCATTATTAAACTTCTTGGAATTTACCAGGTAAAATTTGTCCAGGCCAAATCAGGAAAAATACAAACCTCAAAATTTCACTCTGTATTAAATTGTTTATATCATATTTTATTTCAAAACTTTGAAAAAGGCAAGGCACTATCCTTATTAATAAATGATGACCTATTCTTTAGGGCTTAATTTGCTCCATCTGAAAAAAAGTGATATTATAAATAGAAAACTATATAATCAAAAATATATATTGTAATGATTTACTTGGAAGCCTCTGAACTTAGTGTATTATTCATAATTCAAAAACATTTACTGAAATAAGGTAATTTTCACTTTCATGAACAAAACTTTGTACAGACATAAATTTAAAAGCTTGTGGTCATCCAATATAAGTGACAAGAAATCACATAATGTGCGTTACCTGTTATCCTTTTAAAGAGTTAGTTTATTATATCTTAACACCCATTCTAATCAACCAGATACACTTTCTCAGACCATAAGCATGGCAGAAATAGAAGGCTATTTAGAGTAGAAAAAATCATTGATTTTAGAAGTGTCCACTGATAGACTATGAACAGACACAGAAACAAAAGAGTTAAAACATAGATAATGTGTTCTGTTATAATTAATTATGCAATAAAATAATTGTGATTCATGAGTATAAATTGACAGTGAGTCATCAGAAAGTTTAGGTTTAAGGTCCACATGTAAAAAGGTAGAAGTGGCTGGGCACGGTGGCTCATGCCTATAAATCCCAGCACTTTGGCAGGCAGAGGCGAGTGGATCACCTGAGGTCAGGAGTTTGAGACCAGTGTGGCTAACATAGTGAAACCCCATATGTACTAAAAATACAAAAAATTAGCCAGGTGTGGTGGTGCACGCCTGTAATTCCAGCTACTTGGGAGGCTGAGGCAGGAGAATCGCTTGAACCTGGGAGGCAGAGGTTGCAGTGAGCTGAGATTGCACCATTGCACTCCAGCCTGGGTAACAAGAGTGAAACTCTGTCTCAAAAAAAAAAAAAAAAAAAGGTAAAAGTATGTTGTGTTAGTTTCCTAGGGATACCAGGGATATCATAACAAAACACCACAAAAACAATGGCTTAAAACAACAGAAATTTATTCTCTCACAGTTCTGGAGGCCAGATGTTCAAAATGCAGGTGTTGTCAGGGTTGATTCCTTCTGGAGGCTCTGAAGGAAAATCTGTTACGTGCCTCTTTCCTCACCTCTGGTAACTGGCAGCAATCTTTGACATCCTGAGCCTTATAAAGGCAATACTCTAGGCTCTGCCTTTGTCTTCACATGGCATTTTCCCCCATTTCTGTCTGTATCCAAATCTCTCTTTTCCTATAAGACATCAGTTATTTAATTAGAGGTCCCCCTAATTTAATATGACCTCATCTTAACCTTATTCATCTGGAAAGCCCCTGTTTCCAAATAAGGTAATATTCATAGGTTCTGGATATACAGATTTGCAGGGGCCGGGGTGGGGGTGTGTGGAAGCGGGACAAGCAGACTATATAACCCAGTTCAAGTCTATTCTATATTACAGAACAGATTTCCATTAATTTTCTGATAATTTCACCACAATTGCCCCATCAACAATATGCTAGCCTCAAAAACATTTCCCTTTGCACAATTGCATATTAGAATCTCTGTAAACAGAATATATATATATATATATATAAATGTATATATGTGTGTGTGTGTTTGGTTATACATAGATATATAAACTATTCATAAATATATATGTATGTGTAAAAAATATATATAGAGAGAGAGAGCCCCTTTTTATTTCAAAGTTAATTTTATAGAACTGACCTCAGTTGCATGTGTTTCTAATTGTTTCTTTTCTTTAAACTTCGAATTTTTAATTGTGATGGTAAAAAACACATAAGACCTACTGTCTTAACCACTTGCAAATATAACAAGCTTCCTAAATGAAAAGCACTACTGTAAAACAAATTCCATTAAATAAGGTGAAAATAAATTGTCAGTAGAAAGGGGAATTTCTAAAAACTAGCAAATTAAATTTATTCCAACTTAACTGCACAAGAACTTGGTGATTTTTCACTAAATAACTTTATGTTTTATTAAGAGAACAGTAATCATCAATGTTCATGGATGAAAAGAAGGGATTAAAAACTACAAGACCATGGCAAAAATGAATATGTTTGAAACTGCAATTTGACATCACCTTCTGAATCAGTCTATGACCCTCAAAAAAGTGCAATATAATTATTTATGAATTAACATGGATTACTTAACAATTACCATAGTAATTTCTCCTTTCAAATGTATGACTCATTTTGATTGTTCAAGTGATTTTTGTCTAATAAGAGTTATCTATTATCATTAAGTAGAAGAATGATTGCCACAAACGAAAATATCTAAAAGTACAATCTATAATTTTTAAGAATGCAAATAAACTAAATCCTTGGAGCACCTTTAAATAAAGGTATCACAGAAATATCCAGAACAGGAGTCAAATACATCATTTTGGCCAATATGGAGTGGCAAGGTTTTCTACTTCACAATTGAAAGAGTTGTAGCTTTTATAATTTCTTCTCAACACTGTGAAATACGTAAAACAAGAAGATACTTCTGAGTCCTACATTGTCTTTTTCTCTTATTATACGTAGTCTTAAAGGGTCAGTAAATGTGTTCTGAAATGTTTAAAAAGCTAATTTTATACTAGTGAAATCAATAAATAATGATGATAGTAACACAAATTAACTGAAGTGTTAAATCAATATAAAGGACTTGAATTTTATGCTAGTTTCAATTATTTACTTTAACGTTCTGCTATGAAAAAATCAAGAGTTGACTATAAGTCAATAAAACACAGTCTCCTACACTTCGTGGATATTTTTACTACAGAAAAATTATTATCAGGATTGCCTGTGGTTTTGGATTGCATATTCCCTGTTCTCCACAACTACAGTGGTGGATACAAACGTCCACACACACACTTTGAGAATAGATTCAATATTACACCTGCACTTGCTTAAATTCAAATTCAGTCTCTGCTAGTAGCTATGAGATAGTGGTTTAGTTTCTTATTCTCTGTTGTCTTTGCTTCATCTGCCGTGAAATGAGAATCGTATAGAAGCCCTCTCATATGCTTGTATGTAGATTCAAATGAGATAATGGACATAAAAGTGCTCAGCTCAGGGCCTGGCAAGTAGCAAGTGATTAAGAACATCACCTGTTCTTACCTGTTCTGATTTATACCTGTATATCGGAGGAGCTTTGCCCCACATGCAAGAAGACGAAGAGCAGGGCTTTCGTGGACAAACAGCACATGTTGAGGGCTCCATATTTTTGTGAATGAGTTAAAAGCCGTATGGGTAATAATGATGAGTAACAAAAAGCAACATGTAGTATTTGGAAAATGTGCTTCAGAGAAAAAGAACTTTTTTTTTTTAGATGGTGTCTTGCTCTGTTGCCCAGGCTGGAGTGCAGTGGTGCGATCTTGGCTCACAGCAAGCTCGGCCTCCCGGGTTCATGCCATTCTCCTGCCTCAGCCTCCCTCCCGAGTGTCTGGGACTACAGGCGCCCGCCACCACGCCCGGCTAATTTTTTTTTGTATTTTTAGTAGAGACGGGGTTTCACCGTGTTAGCCAGGATGGTCTCGATCTCCTGACCTCGTGATCTGCTCACCTCGGCCTCCCAAAGTGCTGGGATTACAGGCGTGAGCCACTGCGCCCCGCCGGATATTTCTTTCTTATGAGATACGTTGAAAATCCACAGTGGAAAGAGGTTCATGGTCTTTCTCTGGTTCAGTCAGGGTCTGAAAAGGAACTTTTATACTGCTGTTCATTCAACCTGGAACGCTTCCCGTCATACGTTTTTGTGGCTTGCTCCCTATCTTCGTAAATGCTTCTGCTAAATATCACCTCCTCAGAAATGCCTCCACTGACTGCCCTCCCACCATATACTCTCTTTTCCCTTATCTTCCTTTGTTTTTCTTCCTATCAGTTATACCACTTGGCAACTTCATTTTCTTTTTTAATTTTTTTCTCCTTATTATATGAGTCATGACAATGATCACTGTTTTCTTTGTTCAATGCCATAATTTCAATGAACAGAAAATCATCCTTGACCAAGTGGACACCACAAAAATATTGGTTGAATGAATGGATGAGAGGATGAATATATTTCATCCATTCATTGTGAATATTTCACATTCACAATGCCCAAATAAGATAGGTATTGCTTAGATTCCCATTTCACCAATAGGAAAGTGAGATATAGACAGGTTAAACAACTTGCCCAGCTAGTGAGCTGAGCAGCAGAGCCAGAACATTTTGTCTGATTTCATTTCATAGGTATAAAGATATAGACACCAACTATGTTACAAATCCACCCTACCCCTTGAAAAGCAATTCAAAGCTCATATCCTTCCATGATGGCTCAATAGCACTATTCACAGGTACAATTATTAAAGCCTTACAAAGTACACTTAAAATCCTGACCCACTTAATGCCAGATCGAAGAGTTATGTATATTAGCTAATTAGTAACCAAATAACATTCTTTAAATCCTCTAGGAAATGTGTTTCAGAGAGAAATTAGCAAAACCATTGCCAAATCGCTGGTTCATTTGCCTAAGAAGTCACTTTTTTCATTATTAATAACCTGTGTTCCGGGTATTGAGAGCCTTAAAAATCAATGAATATTGTTTCAGTTTAATTGTCAGGCTTCAGACCATAAAGCACTACATCATAGATTTTCAATAAGGTGGTAATTGTGGACAAAATTGCAATAGAAATTTACTCAGTAATAATGTATTTTCATAATGTCTGTGCTCACTGAGAATCATTATCAGCTGAATTTTTTTAGGGTAGGGCTGCAGAATGGGAGATTATGAGTTGGAGCTAATGGACTGTTCAAGTTTTATGATAATAATAAGCTTTGTTCTTATTTAAGGGGCAGGAATTCCAATATTCAAAATGCCATTTTCCTAGAGAAACAGATTATCTTCTTGGTCATGATTTCTTATGATTTGAGTAAGGAACAGTTTATTTCTGACTCTGTGAAATGGGAATTGTGAAATGCAGTTATCAATACCATCACCAAATGTATACAGCATGTACCTGTTATCAGACACTGAGATCCTTGTATAATTTGTTGATTAAAATTGTCTCTTGGAGAAAGACAAAGACAAGTTAAAGGTTGAAAGAAGAGCAGCTGTGGTTAGAAAGATGCCGCAAATAATTTTAATTATTTTCTTTGCTTTAAAAATATTTAAAATACAGAAATACTAACCAGATGCTAAAGGTAAGTGTTGCATTCATAATTTCTTTGGAAACAGAATGGGGCTTTCCTTACCATTTAGAAACTCTCCCTATCCTTAATTTCCCACTTCAAACTAATTCAAAATAGCTAAGCTTATTGTTTTAAATCTCATCAGCCATTGAAAATATTGGTTATTACTCCTTATCTAAGTGTTTCCTTTCATTATCTCTTCTGACACAGTAACATGTTTGTTTTCCTCTTAGCACTTGACATACTTCTTTATCTCCTTTGAAGTTTTTTCCTTGGTTACTAGGTCATTAAATGCCGAAGTTCCTCAAGCTTTGATGGTAGATATCTTCATTCTGTTTACTCTTCATTAGACACATGGTGTCAACATCTTACCTATAAACACACTTACATAAATGTACAGCCCTAGCCCAGACCTTTTCTAGTATTAGCACAAGACTCACAACACATCTTATTACTGGATATGTCTTCTAGGATGACTCATAGGCAATCCAAATTCTATTATTTCAATAGTGAACCTGTGATCTTATTTCCAAACTTCATCAATATCCAGTAATAATTATCTCAGCAAATGGTATCATATACAATCCTGTCACTTGTTTTTCTTTTACTCTACTCTCTAATTCTCCATATTTGATTCATTACCAAATCCTACCAATATTATGTCCTACATCTTGAATCCATCTAATTTTTCCATTACTATCACAATAATCCTAGCCACAGTCTTTTCTGATCTATTAAAATAGTTTCCAAACTGCTAACAATCATATCTATACCCTTGCTTTCTGCAATCTCTTCTTTGTAATGCAACTGACGTAATTACTCCAGACCACAAGTCTAATAGTGTCAGTATCTTGCTTAATTCCATTCAATGGCTTCCCAATCGGTTCCATTCAAGGAAACTGAAAATTGCAATAAGTACTTGAAACATAAATTCAATACAGGAAATTGCTTATTACATTACTGAAAGGCAAAAATCAGATAATCCAGAGTTTAAAGATGACAGAAAGCAGTTACTCTCTCTAGGACTCAAGAAACAAAAGGGAAGAGTTAGTATTCCAAGAATCTCCAGGCTCAGAGGAGCCATCCTAATGGACTCTTGATCAGACCTGTGAAAGGAAGCTTCTTGCAGCTGGTGCAAAAAATGACAGCAGAAGTTGGCGACTGGAGCCCAGTGCTGCTGCTGTTTCCTAGAAAACAGGAAGAAAGTCACATCTCCCTTCTTCCTACTTTTCAGTCTCCCTCTAGAATGCTTACCTACCAGCAGAATCTAACAGAAGGAACTCCAGGACCTTGTTAGGGGGCGGTGAGGAGCTGGTCCACTTCCCACAAGAGCAAAGGGTAAAAACTGCCTATTTTTAATGCAGAAAAGATTTTTTTTCACTTAAAATCATTACTGTACAAAAAGAAAGAAAAGAGAAAGCGATGTTTGTAACCTTGAACAAAACCTATGGGTGCCATGGCCATGGCCACCTCTGTGTTTTGCATTCCTGACTTAAGTCACTCTTTCTCTATGTTAACTAAAGGTCAAGATTGCAAACAGTAAGAGTAAGTCAATATTTGTCTTCATGTATTTTGGAATATGATTAAATAATTACCTAGTGCCTTCCAATAAAATAAAATCAAACCCAATGCCTGTATCTGTCTTACTTTATGTGAACTTGGAACTCCATTTTCCTCAGCCAGTTTCCTATAGGGAATAGGTAACATTTCTTTATTGAGGAAGGATACAATCACTCTAAAATTCTTGGAGTTGAAGCTGTACTCTTTGTGATATACATGATAGTTTTCATTCCTGGAAGCTGTGCTTAATAGATAGTAAAATTAAATTGTTTCTGTCTCAAATTTTTCTTGATATTATAAAAATTTAATTGGAGAAATTTTTAAGTCAGATGAAAGGCAAAATTATGCTGGAAGGTGATATTATTAATAACATATCTCTCATTAGAAAGTTAGGGAAAATGCATAATTATATAGTGGTAAAACCAATTTCAAGATGTTCCCTTTAGTTATACTGCCAATGTACAAAAAGAGATGGAAATTAATTGTACTCGTAGCAAAAATTGTTAGTGGAAAAGTTTGTCTAACAGAGGTTTATATCTTTAGGACTCAATCAAAATTTTAATGAAGGATTACAGTTGGGACTTATGAAAAATAAAGAACTCTATGTGGATTTAGCCTGAGCAAAATCATTTAGTCTGAAACATTGATGATTTAAGGATTTTAGGATTTCAGCTATTCACTTCCTTGTGTGTATTAAGGTTGTTTTATAAGATCGGCGCTGAATTTGAGCCATTAAAGAATCATTTGCCAAAACAAATTTTCAGTATGGTGCAGCTATGTAGGAATTTTCCCTTTGATTTTGCAGATTAAAAATCTCCTCTTCATCTTATTATAACTGGCAATATATTCATCTCAGTTAACACCACTTTTTTTAAATATTAAAGCTAGTGAAGCAATGATTGTCTTAATTTTTTAGGACACAGTCTCGTAACTCCAACAATCAGTTTACTTAATTAAGCACTGCCTGTCACAGTTACTAATATCGATCATGTTGTGTATATTTATTAGTATTCTGACTTAAAAATTGTTAAGTGCTTAAAAACCTTATCATTTGTTATTGTTACTTATGCTTCAGGAGCCCACTTAAATATTTTAAAATGAGATTTTTAGAAAAATAATTAAAATTACTTTTTTATGAATATGTAAGTATACATCAGGTATTAAAGCAATACATTAAATAAGAAAAAAAATTCCACTGCTATATTCAATGGTTTGGTGACATAAAACTTTGAGACATCAGCAATGTAAGAACTGGACTCAGATAACATGATACAAACTTAGGAGTGAATTGTCCTCTATTCCAATAATTATTTCATATTTTGATATTTATGCTATTTCAGTTTCTTTTGTATAATTGGTTCTTCTCAGCAGATGACACTCAATGTGCATTTTACAATTTGTAGGACTGATTTTCACTAAGTACGAGACATCTGCATACTGTCTGCTGGGCCTGACCAGTACCTTGAACAATCAGACTAGACACATTATACATCTGCCATCTTTGATCATATAAACTGCTGCAAGAAGCAAAATGAATTTAAATTTCATACTGAAAAGAAAGTGTCTGAATGCCAACTAGTACACACAAAAGATTACTATCTGCATTGCCGGGCTTGGTTTGTCTGACTTTAAATGTTTTAGCAGCTAATTCTTATGAACTACTGATGTTCTCATCATTTAGCAAATGGATCGAACCACTATAGCAGTTAGCACCCCGCCTCTTCTGCTTATTATAGTTAATGTGTTATGAAAAAGCCTAGTGTGAGACTTTTAAAAAATGATGAGGTTTGTTTACATTCCACTGCTAAACAGAAAATAATAATCGAGGACTTAAAGATAATGTTCAAAAGGTTTAAGGCCATGACAGGGTAAATGAAGCTAATGTTTCTCCTTTGGGTATTTCTTTGGAGGAGTGATGATGATCTGTTCACTTGGGAAGATTACAACATGCTCCCAAGTAGCCAAAAATCATGTCATTTCTATTACTGCAATTGATTTTAAACAGAGAAAAATAATTTTAAAACAGTTACCACTTAATAACACTAGCTTTGTATCACTTATTACACTTTATTGTTGACAGTTATGACTGAAAACATTCTACTTAAAAATACTTTAAACAATGCTCATCTAAACTAATGCTAAATACATCAAAATAATAATACAGATAATAGATATTTCGCCTTAATTCTCTTTTTGGTTTTTAACCCTAATTTATAATGCAGTAATTATGTCATAGCTTCAACATCGTTGTCACCTGGGCATATGTGAGGATTCTCAAGAAGAGAGCAATATATAATATGAGGATTGAATAATCCTCCAGCAAGGTATGTTTTTTTATAATCAGAAAATTTCTCATTGTACTCAATATTGGAAACAATTTCATTTTTGCAAAAGTCTATTATCCCAAATATTCAAGTGATTTTGGCTTCAAACATTCTCTATTAAGATAGTAATTTAATCTGGGAAGAAAAAGCACATCAGCTGCTCTTATAGCCTGCCTAATTGAACATCAGAAACGAAGATCCAGGATTTTTCCAAAAGAGCCCTCCAGCAGTTTATCAATTACTACTAGCAACAGAATCGTTGCTGGTTGTCAGCCAACTAATTGCACAAGTTTCTAGGTCCTAGGGTTCTAGAAATGTGACAAATCAAAAGCTAAGGAGTACGCTCAGAAAATATCTTCTACTAAGGCTTCTTCTACCGCCTTGCTTCTTTCTATAAAATGATGAAAATTGCATTTGCCTTCTATCTGTAGAACAATACAAATTGCTGGAGCAGGCTGTTGACTTATTGACTGATTCTAACTATGTTCCTAGTAGCTTGAGATGCATGTACCTGTAGGACAGCATTACATGGAAATTGTCTTTACCCTATGAAGTGGAAATTTAAGGAAGCCAATGCTTATACTGGCAGTCAGGAAAGGTAGATGCAAATCATGAATGTAAATGTTGAGAAAAAAGTAAATCAAGATAAAACAGCAAGTGGGAAAAATGCTCATTCTTTAAGCACTGGTAATAAGTGCCTTCTGTAAAATTGAAAGCCGTGGATATGACCCCTGTGCCTAAAGTTGCAGGTTTTCTTTTTTCAAGAGAGTGTTCAGTTATACTGATCACCAACCTTTAGTTTCCCTGGAGACTGCCTTAGCATCAATCCTAGAGCACACCTTAGACTTGAAATCACCAGGTCTCTAATTGTCTCTGGGATGATAGATTGTGATTGTATGATAACAATTCTGCATCACAGTTGGGTGTGAAAACGTTAGGCTGGAAATATCTTCTGGAATTTAGAACACAAACAAATTTGGCTAAACTCTGTAAAGTTATAGAAACTCTCCTACTAATTCATGATATTATTTCAAATCATGATATCACTCCTATCATAAACACACACACACACACACACACCCCCCTATGGAAATTATATTTTTAGATAGATGCACTCTTTAATATTGAGTACTTATCCTACACTCAGTGTCAAAGCAGTAAAATTTTATGGGCCTATTTTTAAAAATCTATTCTATTTCATATAATCTTACCTTTTAAGATCCAGCACAGAAAATAACATCAAAATTTCTTCAGTGATCCAAGCTAGAATCTTTAAAGTGTTTGGTAAGTCAATCAAAATATATTTATTAAAATGTACCATATGTCAAACTATGTATTGTAGATGCCAAAAATATAATAGTGAGTAAGGCACACTGAGTCTCTGCCCTCAAATCATGATCTATATTTTTTTTCAGAGGGTGCAGAAAATAAATGCACATGAAGTATGTAAGAAGGAATATTTTTGGTGCCAATGAGAAGAAGATTTTGGATGCATAAGAGAAGATTGCGGGTATTGGGGTGTGGCTTTAGCCAGTGCAACAGTAGAGGTCTTTTTGAGAAGATGTCTGAGCATAAGACAATCATGCAAAATTTGGAAGAATCGTGTTTTAAGCAGAAAAGAGAATGAGTACAAAGAACTTGATATGAGGCTGAGTATGCTGTGCGGAGTGAACAAAATATAGGCAAATATGATGAGAGCAGAGGGAAGGAAGGGTAGGATAGAGGATGGTATATGGTAAGAAGCAGTCAGAATCCTGTCTCCAAAGGCCAACTGCAATGTAAGGAGTTGGTGAAAACAAGTCTGAATTGACCCACTGGCCTACAATATTTATACGTGTATGCCTTTCAGTTAAATCATTTGAGCAGGTGGAGTTAAGCTCCTTCAAATATTGATGCTACCGAAGCATTTAAAAGGAAAATCCTAACCAGAAGTGTTGTTTGACAAAGTAACAGGAAATGAAAGTGGTCAATAGTAATTCTGTAAAGTTTGGTGCTTAATTCTACCGGATTTATGTCCTAACTTCTCCTTAACTCCTAAGGATGGATACTGAACCCGTCTTTTTCACTCTTCTTCAACACAAGTGACCAGACAGAGTAGTTGGCAACCAACAAAACTGCACGTTGTGCACATGTACCCTAAAACTTAAAGTTTCATAATAATAAAATTTAAAAAAAAAACATGTACTCACAGGACAAAATAACAAGACCTCTCAAGATAAAAACAACAAACTGCACAACATATGCTACCTGAAACAGAGTTACTGAAAGAAAATAATTTTAAGAAAGTGAAAATATATATAAAGAATTAAGGAACAACACAAGAAATGATAATAAATGGCTGGGTAAAAGCATTAGATATAAAAATTGTATAATAGTTCAAGTATCTGATGGAGAACAGTAAAGTTGAAATAGCTAAGTAATTAATTGGGGAATTGGAAGAACAGATTGAGGAATTCTCTCAGCATCCAAAATAAAAGTAGAAATAAAGAATGTATGTGAAATAAATCTAAGCAACATGGAGGACAGAAGTAGAATTCATAGAAGCATGAAAACAAGAGTCTTACAAAAATAGAAACTAAGTCAGAGATTAATACATATATGAAGAAAAATTGAAATAAATTTCCCAGATCAAAAGACTTTTTCAAGTTCCCAGATGGAAAGAGCATAAATGAGCCACACAGGAGGGATCAGGGAAAACTCACACCAAGACTTATAATAAATCTAACATGGTTAAATACAAAGGTAAAATGTTAGGAGCTTAACAGGAGAATAAGATTACTAAGGAAGGAATAAGAACTAGGTTGGCATCGGAATTAGTTGCAACTTTGGTTGCAGAAGCCATTAGAGTGACATTTTGGAAAATGAAGGGAAAAATTGGACACTAAAATTTTATATCCATCTAAATTATCATATAAGTATGAAAGCATAATAGTATTTTCAGGTATATGGGGTTTCAAAAAGATTACCACATCAAAGCAGACATTGAAACCTCTTTTGCAAGAAGCATGAAAGTAAGTAAATAAATAAATCTAGAATGTGTTGCAAGGCATGTGGGAAATAAGTGTAATTAAATATAATGATAATAATAATTGTTGTTCTAAAGAAATGTTAAGTCCATTTGTTTATGTTATAAACAAAATATTGACTCATATTAAAAAATTGTAAATATTACCTTAAATTTTATGTAGTATTACTTAAAGAAGAAAAATGGAGAGATAAAAGAAATATGAGAGCACATTGAAATGCTTGCCTTGTTAGGGGAAATATATAGGCAAAAAGTTTATGAAATCATTTAAATTATTTTTAGTATCATATTTAAATTAAGGGCAACTATCTTGCATAGTAAAATAGAATGTATAACATAATTCATCAGAAAAAAAGTCAGTCTGTTCAAGCACAGCACAAAAAGAGGAAAAATCCATTCTTTATTATTCATGAAATATACAGTATCGATTAGCACAATTACATATTGTTGCAGTGAAAGATTTTAAAATAAACCATTGTAACCCTGAGATTTGCATTCCTTACTTTAGAATCACACTGGAATGTTTTTTCATTGTATCTCTCTAAAATATGCTTTGATTTTTTTCCACTTAAACTTGTGAGTAAAAACAACAAAAATAAAATAAGTGGAATAAAATAATGATGAAAAAGTTTAAATCAATTAAAAATAACATTATAGGGCAAACCGCTTGGGTCCCCTTCCCCACTGTGGAAGCTTTGTTCTTTCGCTCTTCGCAATAAATCTTGCTGCTGCTCACTCTTTGGGTCTGCACCGCCTTTAAGAGCTATAAAACTCACAAAAACAAAAAACAAACAAACAAAAAAAATTATAGAGTTGAAGGTGTTTTTTCAGATACCAGTGGGGATAAAAGAACTTCAGTAGTTTATAATCTAATTAATGTATTTAACATACATAAGAAGACCTCTCAACGCTAAGGAAAAACAGAAGGCTCCAAGATGTACATGTAAAGGAAGTGTAATAAATAATAACAGATTAAAAGAGAAAGTAAACCAGAGCCCATGGCTCAAGGAAGTTTTCTTGACAGAGATGGAATCTGAGCTAAGACTATAGATTTGGAGAGGTTGAGGAAGAAGAGAGTATCACTAACTGACATGTGCTATGTGCCTGGCACCCAACACATTTTATACAACTTAGTTACCAAAATTCCATTGACTGAGGCTCAGACAGTTTAAGTTAATAGCCATGGTTCGCACTGCTATCTATTTGCAAAGTTCATATCTGTACCCAGGTATTGACCCCAAGACCTATCTACTTTCCATTACACAGTGCTAAAATGTATTTTAACCTGAAAACAGGCAAGCAAAAGTAGCCAAAATTCAGGGAAAAACATGATTAAAACATCCAGGGGTTGTCCAGAATAATTTTATTGGTACATACAGTTGTTTTGGGAGGAAAAGGCAGAAAAAGCTCAAAAGATAAGTGGAAAGTGGACCTAAAATAGTTGAACTCAGGCATTGAGAGCAGCTGAGGAATAAAATTATAAAAATATCAGTTTAGGAAGATTAATATAATGTTCAATAAGCAGAAGCAATTAAATAGAAAATAAAGGCAACGGGACCTGTTGATTATGGCAACAGTAAAGAAAAACCTGACACAAGTTTGGAAACATTTTCTGAGACTGTTTAGAATAGACGTGTCATTTAAAAAAAGAGAAAATATTAATGTTCAATTACCTGCAGTACTTTTAATTTTAAGTGGGATGATTACCTTGGATATGCTTTAAACAGTAACTAAACTTTATTGCTTCAATTTGTTTTTATAACAAATATAAACATTAATACATATTGTAAACAAAATGCCTTTTATGCTTCTGTAATTTTTGGATAGACAAAATTAATTAAGCATATGTGTGTGGAAAGTGGAAAGTAGCACATTGTTATCTGAAGAATGAGATGTAGAATAAATAAAGGTTGAATACAATATTTCCAAATAGCAATGAAGTGTCAGCTGAGATTCAGTAATGTGAATTCCAAATGTGTTTGATAAAGATGATTTCAATGCTTCCCAGGAATCTTTCAGGGCCTGAAATAGAAGTAGAGATTTTGGCAATGAGCTTCTAGATGGATGTAACTACTGTAAATTTATCAGTTAGGGCAAGTAAATCAGTACTGCTGTTTTAGTATTTTGTATTCTTACTATTTTTTTCCTACATATTGTTTCAATTACTGCAAGAGAACTATTAAACCACCAACTGTAATTGGAATTTATCTATTTATTTTCACTTCTGACAGTTTTTGCTGTATTTTTGAAACATTATTAAATAGGTATATTAAAGAGGTAGTTTGCTATGTCTTTTTGATCAATCAACCTCTTCATCATTACAAAATGTCCTTCATCCTGTGATACTCCTTGTGAAGACTTCTACTTTGTCTGATATTAATACAGATATTTTATTTTTTTAAGTTTTATCTATGTCTTTGTATGTAAAGTGCCCCATTTGCACAACTAAAATTATAGTATCTCTTGACTGGTAAGAGAATGGAATAGAAGTGGTAAGAATAGGTACTGGGTACTGGGCATTTAATACTAAATGAAAGTGATAAGATCATAGGGCTTATTACATAATTTATTTCTTATTAATCAAGCAATCAAATGAACCTGAAGTCTTCCAAAGATAAATACAGAACTAAAAGAAACCCATCATTCTTTTACATTTTATAACATATATGAGTTAGACATTAACTTCACAATAAAAGCAAAGGGCCCACAATAATTTCTTTATAGCTTTCCCACATTGAAATGCAAATAAACCATTTTTTAAAGTGGAAATTAATGAAGAAACAGTAATGAACCTCAACTATAAATGACAAAGAGTATGTGGCAAAATGTGAAATTTATGCCAAGATAAGGGATGAAGAAGAAAGTTAAATATTTTTCAGATCTCAGAATAACAGATTTCCCTAAAAGCAAGTGTCTGGACTGTGAAAGGCCTTTTCTATGAGTCTTTGATTGTTAGGAAGAGAATCTGATGGAGAGAGAAGTGGAGAATACATGTGCACAGACCAAGTTTGATAGAACAAGAACAGAGGTGGATGCAAAGTAGAAATCCGGCCAACACAAAATTATTGGTTTTTCTTACATTTGGATAGCTTGTTATCAAAGAAAATGATTCTTACTACTGCAAAAGAGTTTTTTTTTTTTAAATTCTACTTTAAGT
This sequence comes from Homo sapiens, assembly GCF_000001405.40. Taxonomy (NCBI): domain Eukaryota; kingdom Metazoa; phylum Chordata; class Mammalia; order Primates; family Hominidae; genus Homo; species Homo sapiens. Next base: position 167,361,469 of record NC_000004.12, on the reverse strand, counting down.
CTTATAGCTAGTAAATGGAGAAAAAGATATTTTGATTACCATGAATTTCTATTGCTCGGCCATTTTACCGTATCATAGTTGTTTTTAGAAGAGCCTCTTTATTCTAAGTATGGCATCAGATTGCAGTGAGAGAGTTTGCTCTTCTTTTCATTTTCTCATTCACGACACATCCTTCTATGTCATTAACTAGAACCTTCAAATGACATTGCCAGCATTGGTGATCTTGACTACGTGTGTATGCTTTCTCTGCCACCAACCACACCACATTGGCGCTCATACCTCCAAGGTAAGAGTAGTGTGGGAATAAACCCAAGCAATAGTCTATCTTGCTCTGATTCCCCATGCAGAACACCAAGTCATATCTCTACTGCTTCTCCTGAAGTTACTAACTTAATTCTTTCTCTAATATTGATGCCATCTTCTGCTACTACAGATTCCTGTCTGTGATCAATACTTCCTATTTACTGGTAATACTGACCATTCATTGGAAATGCTTTAAACATTTTACTATTGATTTGGAGGGCCCTTATTCTATTAGTTTTCTTCTATTCTTATTTAGAGAATTTTCAATAATTGGATGGTAATTTTAATTAAATTAATTTTTGGATTTTTTTATATAATGTGTAATGTGTTTTATTTTCATTGTTGGTGTAATATTGATGTTAATTCCAACACTGGTGTCTGTAATGAGAAACTTGTACTTTCTGTCTGGAAATATGTAAGGTTTTTTCACAGTATCCTTAGCAATCAGTACTTTCATAAAGATAAATCTAGGGTGGTACATACATTCATTAAATATAGTTCATTGGTACCAATGAATTTGTAGATTGAATATTGCTAAGTTCAGTACATTTTCTTTATTATGTTTAATAATTGCTTCTCTGTATCTTTCCTTTTACCCTTCCCAAGTTCCTATTGGACCTTTTTTCAGTCTCTCACCACTTTTTTTTTTTAGTTTTAAACTTTATCCTTATAGGGCGAGGCAGGAGTTATTTTACTTTTGTTTGCTTTTTGCTTTTCCTGTATTATTTCTTTATTCTAAGTTGTGAAATATTATTTTCAATTGAATTCCTTGATTAAAAATTTAGAGGTAAGCAATGATCAGTTCGATATTCCATTTGTCTATTAACTTTTAAATTTTATAATCTTGGTAGTCATCTTTGTAGAATTTTTGAAGAAGCAGTTGAACAGTTATGCATATGTTTTATATGCATATTCTTAAGAATTCGTATCATTTATTTATTAAAGTAACTTCAGATCTATTTGTAAAGAAACCACCAAGCATATGCAACTTTCTCTTTCTCTCAATTCATTCTTTGAGTAGTAATTTTCCTTTTTCAGATTACAATTGTGTTTCACAATGGCCACTTTTGTGTTCTCTAATAACAACAAATTTTGTCATTCATATTTTCAGAAAATTAGAAAAACAGTTTTTGCTTTTAAACAACACAAGTCTATAAACTGGTGAACCCTCAGTCTGCCTAAAGTGTGGGGAGCAGGCGCCTCTGCTGGACCTACCTGGGGCAGCATCCTTCTAACCAGCATCAGACTAACAGCTTCTTGCTCAACAGCAAAGTTCACTTCCTGCTCCTTGTGTCCCCTGAAGGTCAACAGGATTGAGCACTCACAAGAGGGAATGCGACAGCCTTTCTTAGAGAGCATCCCCAGGCTCTGAAAAGCTGAAGAATCTTAAGGACTTGTAGAGCCCTCACCTTTGACTCAGTTCTTGAGAGCGAGCTTATTCTTTCCCTTCTCTGAGAACAGGCCTGGTAAAACAGAAAGTAATACGTCTGCAGTCTAACATCATCCATGCTCTTTCTTGCTCTTTATTTACAGTCTAGTGCTGAAGTAGCTACTTTATTTTCAAATTTTCTGTATTTATTAATTTTTCTATTAACAAATGCATTTCAGGATATGCTTTTTCTTCTAAGCACCAATCTGTCCATGAATCAACAGTTGTTTTAACCCACGAATCCTTTAGAATAGTGACTTTTGCATTGACAAAGCAAAGGACATTTCAAATACTTTTGATGATTTTAAATTATATGTAAACATATAAACAGAATATGTAGGCACATGTACAGCATATGCATTTATATAAATGCTGGCATATATATTTTCTTTTGGCATAATACACTGTATTGTTTTCTAAATGTCTCAAAGTTGTATAAGAATATACTAAACTTTTCAGTTGTGTGTGTATATATTTATGAATAATAATCCTTTCAACAAAATTTTATTGGACACTATGTGTCAGACATTCTTTTAGGCACTGGATATACAAAAGTAAATAAAACAGACAAAAATCTCTACTGTCAGGAGCTTACATACTAGGAGAGGAGACAGGCTAGAAAAGCAAGATAAGTTCTATTGTGTGTTGATTTCATACCATGCAACTTTACTTAATTCGTTTATTATTTCTAACAAGTTTTTGGTGGAGTCTTTAGGGTTTTCTACATGTAAAATCATGTTATCAATGAACAGAGACAATTTCACTTCTTCCTTTTCAATGGGGGTGCTTTTTTCTTTGTCTTGTCAATTGCTCTGGCTAAGAGCTTCCAGCACTATGTTGAATAAAGTGGTAAGGATAGGCATCTTTGTCTTGTTCCTATTCTTAATGGAAAAGCTTTCAACTTTTTACTGTTGATTACGATGTTGGCTATGGTTTATCATATATGACCTATATTGTGCTAAAGTATATTCCATCTATACCTAATTTGTTGAGAGTTTTTACCATGAAAGAATGTTGAATTTGGTTAAATGCCTTCTCTGTATCTATTGAAATGATAGCATGAGTTTTTCCTTCATTCCGTTAATATGCTGTATCACATTTATTTATTTGCCTATATTGAACTATCTTTGCATCTCAGATATGCTGTTGGTGTGTGATTATTTTAATGTACTGTTGAATTTGGTTTGCTAGTATTTTGCTGGAGATTTTTGCAGCTATGTTCATGAAGGACATTGGTCTATAATTTTCTTTTGTGTGCGTGTGTCTCTGCTTGGCTTTGGTATCAAGATAATACTGGTCTCATAAAGTATGTCTGAAAGTTTTCTCCCACCTTCATTTTTGTGGAAGAATTTCTATTAGTTTTTTAAATGTTTGGTAGAATTCAGCAGTGAAGCCAACAGGTCCTGGGCTTTTCTTTGATAGGAGACTTTTTGTTACTGATTCAATCTCCTTATTTATTGGTCTGTTCAGATTTTCTATTTCCTCATGATTTAGTCTAGGTATACATCTAAAAAATTTTCCTTTTCCCCTAGGTTATCACATTTATTGGAATATAGTTGTTCATAGTATTTGTCTCTTATGATCCTTTGTATTTCTGAGATACCAGTTTTAATGTCTTCTCTTTCATTTTTTATTTTATTTATTTCTGAGTCTTCTTTTTTGTTAGTCTAGATAAAGGTTTGTTGATGTCATCTTTTCAAAAGCAAACTAAATTTCTATTTTTTTCTATTATTTTTCTATCTTCCATTTATTTCTGCTCTGATTCTTCTCATTTCTTTCCTTGAACTAGCTTTGAGCTTTGTTTCTTTTTCTAGTTTTCTGAAGTTGTTTTTACATTCTCTTTTCTTTTTATTTTATTTTAGTTTATTTTTAACAATTTCAAATTTTATTTTTGAAACAAGGGTTTCATGTGCATGCAGGTTTGTTACATGAGTATATGGCACCATCAACAGTAGATTGCACATTAAGTTATTTCATTAAGTTATTAAATAACCTAATAACATTAAGTTATTTCTATTATTATTAAGTTTACTTCTATAAACTTCCCTTTTAAACTGCTTTTGCTGTGTCTCATAAGTTTTGATAAGTTGTGTTTTCTATTTTCATTTGTCTCAAAAAATTATTTTCTTTTTAATTTTTTCTTTAATTGGTTTTTAAGAAGAATGTTGTTTAAGGTCAACATAATTGTGAATTTTCTAAAATTCCTACTATTATTGATTTATAGTATTTACCATTTTGGCTGGGAAGGATACTTGACATGATTTCAGTTTGGTTGGGGAGTATACTTGACATGATTTCAATCTTCTAAAAAGTTTAAGACTTATTTTGTGGCCTAACATATTATTTATCCTAGATAATGTGCTTGAGAAGACTGTATATTCTGCTGCTATTGGATAAAGTGTTCTGCATACATCTATTAGGTCCATTTAGCTTAAAGTGTAGTTCAGGTCCAATAGGTCTTTATGGATTTTCTGTCTCGATGATCTGTTCATTGCTGAAAGTGGAGTATTGAAGTCCACTATTATTATTATATTGTAGTCTCTTTCTTCTGATCTATTAATATTTTATTTATATATTTAGATGCTCTTATAGATACATATATAATGTGTTTATAATACGTATAACTTCTTGATGAACTGACATCTTTATAATTATACAATGACTTTAGCTGTTATCATTATTTAAAAGATTTATAGGAAAATATTGACTGAATGGGTGAACAGGTGGGTAATCTCAGGAGAGAAACAGAAACTGTGAAAGAGAAGCAAGTGGAAATTTCAGAACCAAAATATACAATACATAAAACTAAAAAAGGAGGGATAAGCTAACTCAAAATATATATTAGAGACATACAGCTATCAATACTGATATCAATATAGACAATTGGAAGTATAACATATGATTTGATATTTTTGTAATTGGATTCCCATGAGAAAAGAAATGAAAGAACAGAATAAATAAACATTTGAAGAATTAATGATGAAGAGTCTTCAAAATTATGGTGGAAACTTTAATATCAATAGAAAAGAAAAAAATGCATAAATACCAAGAACATTTTTTTCTTATCATTATTATAAGTGGTTTAACTTTTCATCCTATACAAATCCTGTATATTACGGGATTTATAACAAACACAGAAGTTATGTATATGTATATATATACACACAGCTGTATATATGTACAAACTGATACATATATCAGTATATACTTATATATATGAACACTGATATATAAAAGTATATATTTATATATGTACATTGTTTATATATCAGTTTATATATGCAATTACAGAGATGTATGATTTATATAAATGGTGGATGTTAAAATCAGTTATACATTTTTAAGTTTCTTGAATTGTATGTAAAGTAGTATAATATTAATTTAAAACTCGATGTGATATAAGTTAATGATGCACATTGTAATCCATTCAGCTCACATTAAATTTAAAGCAACAGTATGTATCTAAAAAGCCAATAAAGTATATAAAACCAAATATGAAAAATTACTAGGTTAATCCAAAAGAAGGCAAGAAAGCTATAATTAATAGGCCAAGTTGTTGGACTAGATTAAAAAGAAAGACTCATTTCTATGCTATTCACAAGAGACATTTTAACTATAAAAATATGAAGAATTTGAAAGTAAAGAGAAGGGTAAAATGTACCACGCAAAAAATATACAAGAGAGATTGTGTGCCTATATTAAAATAAACAAAACAGACTTCAAGACAAGGAGTGTTCACATGATAGACAGGCCATAGATATAGAGACCTATGTCATGCAGTAAAAGGGCTAATATATCAGGAAGACATAACAATCAATAATTTGTATGCATATAATAACAGAGCTTTTACATTTATGAAGTTACCATGATGGGAACTAAAGCGATAGTCATATCTACAATCATTGCTGGAGAATTTAGCCTCTTACTAAATGATGGACTAAGCAGTTCAAAAATAATAAATATATGAAAAATTGATCAGTACTTTTGAACAACTTAATCTAAATGCATGTAATGAATACTGCACACAATAACTTCAGATTAACATTGCTAGTATTTTATTCAGGATATTTTCATCATTATTCATAAGTTATATTGTTTAGTTGATATTTTCTCCAGATTTTACTAGCTTTTATCATCAATATACTTGTTTCATAAAAATAATTTAAAATTTTAAATCTTTTTCAGAGATCTGGAATAGTACATATAACATTTAAATTTTATATCTTTAAAAATTCGATAGAGACAAAGTAAATTGAAAATCTTCTGGAAAGCATACAATCATCCTAGATGCCATTAAAACCATTAATGATTTATGGCTTCCATAATAAAATGTCAAAATATCAACATTAACAGGAGTTTGGAGGAAGTTGATTTCAACCTTCATGAATGGCTTTGAGGGATGCAAGCCTTCAGTGGAGGAAGTACCTGCAGATGGGGTGGAAACAGCAAGAGAACTAGAATTAGAAGTGAAGCCAGAAGATGTGACTGAATTGCTGCAATTTCATGATCAAACTTGAATGAATAAGGAATTGCTGCTTAGGCATGAGCCAAGAAAGTGGTTTCTTGGGATGGAATGAAATCTATTTATGGTGAAGATGCTGTGAACATCGTTGCAATGACAACAAAGGATTTAGAATATTTTGTAAACTTAACTGCTGAGTAACTACCAGGGTTTGACAGAATTGACTTAAACTTTGAAAGAGTTTCTACTGTGAGTAAAATGCTGTCAAATAGCATTACAAGCTATAGTCAGTCTTTTGGGAAAGGAAGAGTCAAGTGATAGAGCAAACTTCATTATTGTTTTATTTTAAAAAATAGCCACAGCCATCCTAGCTTTCAGCTACCACCACCCTGATCAGTCAGTAGCCATCAACATCTAGGCAAGAACCTCCACCAGCAAAAAGATTGTGACTCACTGAAGTCCCAGACCATCATTAGCTTTTTCTTTTTTCTTTTTTTTTTTAGATGGAGTCTTGCTCTGTCGCCCAGGCTGGTGTGCAGTGATGTGATCTCAGCTCACTGCAACCTCATCTCCCGGGTTCAAGCAATTCTCTTGCCTCAGCCTCCTGAGCTGGGATTACAGGTGTGTGCCACCACACCCGGCTAATTTTTGTATTTTTAGTAGAGACAGCATTTCACCGTATTAGCCAGAATGGTCTCGATCTCCTGACCTCGTGATCCGCCTGCCTCGGCCTCCCAAAGTGCTGGGATTACAGGCGTGAGCCACCGGGCCTGGCCAATCATTAGCATTTTTAACAAAAACTATTTTTAAATTAAAAAAGAAAATCTGGCCGAAGTCCTCTAAGAATTCATCCAGAACTGGTATTTCCTCACCATTCAATACTCCGTAATATATCACCTCCGTGGTTAAAATGTTGATAATTTGTATAGCTATGTATGAAAATTAATATCTTTAATCATTCTCTTTCTACTGTAATCAATTTTGGTAAACACTATTTTCTTAGAGATTTATTAATTTCACCTAGGTTTTGAATGTATATGTCTACAGTTGTAGAATATACTTTCTTGTGATTTTTTTCAAGTGATATATTTTCTTTATTACAAAAATAATTCACTTTCGTTGTAGAACATTTAGAAAATAGAGATAATTTTTTTTTTTTTTTTTTTTTTTGAGACGGAGTCTCGCTCTGTCACCCAGGCTGGAGTGCAGTGGTGCTATGAAAATACAGATAATTTTTTTAAAAAACCAACCCACTCATCATTTACCCCACTCCTCTGAATAGCTAAATATTGGCTACTTCTGGTGTTTATTCTTCTGGGCTTCTTTTCCAGGCATAAATACACTTTAAAATATTTGCCTAACAAACATCAGATCTTACCTGATTATTGCTTTTCAACATTCTTCTTTACCTGATTGAGTGGTAAATATTGTACAGTATCAATCAATATAAATATTTATAATTTGCAATTGTAAATTTTAGTAGCTTCTGGTATTCTATTCTAAGACCATGCCATATACTTTTAATTATACATTTATATACATTGTATATACATTTATTTTTTATTTCAATAGTTTTTTGGGGAACAGTTAGTGTTTGGCTACATGAATAAGTTCTTGGTGATGATTTCGGAGATTTTGGTGCACCCATCACCTGTATCTACCCAGAGGAAAATAAGTCATTATATGGAAAAGATATTTTCCTGTGATTTTTGTAAAGTTCCTCTATTGCATTTTGAAGAATACATTAGATTTAGAAGAGCCAAAATGATAAGTGAAATCAGTGTAGAAACAGAAACTACAAATCATTATTTCTTACCTTATCTGTACTTTTCCTCTGTCTTTTTTTTTTTAATTTGATGTGTTAGTCAATAAGGTCTTTTTAGTTTTAAGATTTTTGTCTTTATTTGAACTTGAGACAAACCTTTTTATGATTATGATTATAACAAAGATTATTTTATCTATTAAACTGGTAGATTTGTGCTCCAAACGTTTTTCTCTTTTCTTTAATATTTACATCATTTTTCTTTTTGTACTATTATCTTGCACCTTGCATTTCTTTAATCCTTCAATTATTAAATCAGATACATAATAGTTTTCTTTTATCCATAGGCCAAATGATCCAAGTCCCCCAGTGGATGCTTGAAAGCTCAGATAGTGCTCAACCCTATAAATACTATGTCTTTTTGATCGGATAATGAGGTGGCTACGAAGGGACTAACTAGCAGGAAGTGTATATAGGATGGATACACTGGACAAAGGAAGGCTCCATCACCCGGGAAGGACAGAGTGGGATGGCAACAAGATTTTATTATGTGACTCAGAACAGCATGCAATTTAAAACTCATAAACTATAATTTTTCACTTACTGGATTTGGATGTCCATTGACCACAAGTAACTGAAACCACAGAAAGTGAAACTGTGGATGATGGAGGCAACTGTACTACTATATCTTTACAATATCCCGTTTAAGACAATTTAACTTCTTAATTTATAGGATTTTTTTCTTCATATCAAGTGTCACAATTTATGGATGTAGGAATGTCTAGAACAGTAATTTTACTTATACTAAAATCTTCTTTTTGTCTGTTTGTTTTCATAAATTCTGTTTCTACTATGTTACTTCTTCAGTTTAGTGTGTTTTGTTGCCTCTCACTTACGGTGCTGTTATTCTAGAAAATATTCGAGAATTCCGATTGCATTTTTATATTTGTATGTGCTAACTTCTGTTTACCTTTGCATTCTTTTATTCTGCATATTTATGGCTGTTATTTGTGTTAGTTATTTCTTTCTCTGAGTTATCAATCAGATTTCTGCTTGTTCTTTTCTAAGAATTATTTCAAATGAAAGTGGCACACTCTATTACTTATTTTTTTTCATCTTTTAAGGGGTTTTAAAAGATATATGTGGGAGGCCGAGGTGGGTGGATCACAAGGTCAGGAGATCGAGACCATACTGGCTAACATGGTGAAACCCCGTCTCTACTGAAAATACAAAAAATTAGCCAGGCGCAGTGGTGGGTGCCTGTAGTCCCAGCTACTCGGGAGTCTGAGACAGGAGAATGGCGTGAACCCGAGAGGCAGAACTTGCAGTGAGCCAAGATAGCGCGCCACTGCACTCTGGCCTGGGTGAAAGAGCGAGACTCCGTCTAAAAAAAAAAAAAAAAAAAGATGATGTATGTGTCTTCAATCTAACTTCTTGTTTTAGCCTTCCACATTAAACGTTTTTTTTTTCTTTTGCCATAAAATTATAAATTTTTCTTAAGATGGTTGACATTTTTTAGCTTCCATTTATTTTTAAATGAGAACAAAATATGGCAAAAATATTAACTAGGTTTTTTTTAATCTTTTTTATTATCTCAAGTGTATCATTAAAATCAAAGATTGGCCTAGCACGGTGGCTCACGCCTGTAATCCCAGCACTTTGGGAGGCCGAGGCGTGTGGATCACGGAGGTTAGGAGCTCGAGATCAGCCTGGCCAACATGGTAAAACCCTGTCTCTACAAAAATACAAAAATTAGCCGGATGTGGTGGCAGGCACCTGTAATCCCATCTACTCAGGAAGCTGAGGTGGGAGAATTGCTTGAACCTGGGAGGCGGAGGTTGCATTAAGCCAAGATTGCACCACTGCACTGTAGCCTGGGCAACAGAGTGAGACCGTCTCAAAAAATATAAAAAAAATTAAAGTCAAAGATTATAATAAGTTCTTTTCAGTGTTTTTGCCCATGATTAGCTTATCTGTTGTACAATTTTTATAATATTTAACTGTAAATAAAGGTAAAAAATACACAAATACAGTAACAATCTTTGAATTTAGCCTACATTGATGAAGCTTTGAAAAATAATTACATTAATAAAATTAAAATAGATTAGAAAAAATATAAAAATTATCCTTTAGTTCACTCTATTAAAGAGGCCTGTTTTCATTAAGCTTAATGCATGAGAAAGGTATATAATAAGGCTTAACATATGGAAATGCTTAAAGAAAGTGATAGTGTTATAACAATATTTGGAAAGTATTACCTAAATTCTCTTTTCTAATTGTAGCATTTACAAATATACTATAACGAATGTTCGCTTACATTGTTCGTAATTGTTTTTGCATTACTCTGTATTTTGAAAAAGTGCTATATGAATTAGAGAGCAAATAAATATGCAAATTAAATATTTCAGGAAATAAAAACAACATAAAGGCTAATGATAGCAATATAATTTTGAAAATGCCTACATAATTTCAAAACACTTTCTCATTTCTTGTTCACGAGGCACTTAACACTTTGAGGTTATTATCAATATCAATAGTAAACTAAAATTACTAATTGATATTGCTAAGTACCTGCAGTATATCAGACATTAAGTTTCCTTCCATATTTTTGTTCAAGAATGTCTTCTTCAAAATATAAAAGTTTATACACCAATAATGTTCAAGCTGAGAGCCAAATCAAGAATCCAATCCCATTTATATCAGCCGGAAAAAAAAAGAAGAAAAGAAAAAATAAACTTAGGAATGCATCTAACCAAGAAGGTGAAAAAAACTCTACAAGGAAAGCTACAAAAACTGCTGCAAAAAATCATAGATGACACAAACAAATGGAAAAACAGCCCATGCTCATGGATTCAAGGAATCAATATTTTCAAAGTGCCCACAATGCCCAAAGCAATCTATAGATTGAGAGCTATTCCTATCAAACTATCAGTGTAATTTTTCACAGAATTAATAAAAAGAAAAACTATGCTAAAATTTACTTGGGACTTAAACAAGAGCCCAACTAGCCAAAGCAATCCTAAGCAAAAAGAACAAAACCAGAGGCATCAAATTACCCGACTTCAAGCTGTACTATAATGCTATAGTAACCAAAACAGTGTGGTGCTGGTACAAAAACAGACACACAGACAACTGAAACAGAATAGCGAACCCAGAAATAAAATTGCACACCTACAGCCATCTGATGTTTGACAAAGTCAACTAAAATAAGCAATGGAGAAAGGACTCCCTATTCAATAGATAATGCTGAGACAGTTGGCTATCCACAGGCAGAAGAATTAAAGTGGACCCTTCCCTTTCACCATATACAAAAATTAATTCAAGTTGAGTTAAAAAATTAAATGTAAGACTTCAAACTATCAGACTCCCAGAAGGAAACCTAGTAAACACTATTCTGGACATTGGTCTTGGGAAAGAATTTATGACTAAATCCTCAAAAGCAGTTGCAACAAAAATGAAAATTGGCAAGTGGGCCTAATTAAACTAAAGAGCTTCTTCACAGCAAAAAAAGAAAACCCACAAAACTATCAACAGAGTAAACAACCTACAGAATGGGATAAAATATTCACAAACTATGGGTATGGCAAAGATCTAATATCCAGAATCTATCAGGAACTTAAACATTCAACAAGCAAAACACAAATAGCCCTATTAAAAAGTGGGCAAAAGACATTACAACAGACACTTATCAAAAGACAACATACAAGTGACCAGCAATCAATCACATGAAAAAAAATGCTCAACATCACTAATCATCACAGAAAGGCAAATCAAAACCACAATGAGATACTATCTCACACCAGTCAGAATGGCTTTTGTTAAAAAGTCAAAAAATAACAGATGTTGGTGAGGTTGCAGAGAAAAGGGAATGCTGATACACTGTTGGTAGGAATGTAAATTAGTTCAGCCACTGTGAAAAGCAGTTTGGAAAGTTATCAAAGAACTTAAAACAGGTGAGGAGCCAAGATGGCTGAATAGGAGCAGCTCCGATCTACAGCTCCCAGCGTGAGCGATGCAGAAGACGGGTGATTTCTGCATTTCCATCTGAGGTACCGGGTTCATCTCCATAGGGAGTGCCAGACAGTGGGCGCAGGTCAGTGGGTGCACGCACCGTGCGCGAGCTGAAGCAGGGCGAGGCATTGCCTGACTCGGGAAGCGCAGGGGGTCAGGGAGTTCCCTTTCCTAGTCAAAGAAAGGGGTGACAGAGGGCACCTGGAAGATCGGGTCACTCCCACCCAAATACTGCGCTTTTCTGATGGGCTTAAAAAACGGCGCACCAGGAGATTGTGTCCCGCACCTGGCTCGGAGGGTCCTACACCCACAGAGTCTCGCTGATTGCTAGCACAGCAGCCTGAGATCAAACTGCAAGGCAGCAGCCAGACTGGTGGAGGGGCGCCCACCATTGCCCAGGCTTCCTTAGGTAAACAAAGCAGCGGGGAAGCTCGAACTGGGTGGAGCCCACCACAGCTCAAGGAGGCCTGCCTGCCTCTGTAGGCTCCACCTCTGGGGGCAGGGCACAGACAAACAAAAAGACAGCAGTAACCTCTGCAGACTTAAATGTCCCTGTCTGACAGCTTTGAAGAGAGCAGTGGTTCTCCCAGCACGCAGCTGGAGATCTGAGAACTGGCAGACTGCCTCCTCAAGTGGGTCCCTGACCCCTGACCCCCAAGCAGCCTAACTGGGAGGCACCCCCTAGCAGGGGTAGACTGACACCTCACACGGCCTGGTACTCCAACAGACCTGCAGCTGAGGGTCCTGTCTGTTAGAAGGAAAAGTAACAAACAGAAAGGACATCCACACCAAAAACCCCATCATCACCATCATCATCATCATCAAAGACCATCATCAAAGACCAAAAGTAGATAAAACCACAAAGATGGGGAAAAAACAGAGCAGAAAAACTGGAAACTCTAAAAAGCAGAGTGCCTCTCCTCCTCCAAAGGAACGCAGTTCCTCACCAGCAACAGAACAAAGCTGGACGGAGAATGACTTTGATGAGCTGAGAGAAGAAGGCTTCAGACGATCGAATTACTCCGAGCTAAGGGAGGACATTCAAACCAAAGGCAAAGAAGTTGAAAACTTTGGAAAAAATTTAAAAGAATGTATAACCAGAATAACCAATACAGAGAAGTGCTTAAAGGAGCTGATGGAGCTGAAAACCAAGGCTCGAGAAGTACGTGAAGAATGCAGAAGCCTCAGGAGCCGATGCGATCAACTGGAAGAAAGGGTATCAGCGATGGAAGATGAAATGAATGAAATGAAGCGAGAAGGGAAGTTTAGAGAAAAAAGAATAAAAAGAAACGAGCAAAGCCTCCAAGAAATATGGGACTATGTGAAAAGACCAAATCTACGTCTGATTGGTGTACCTGAAAGTGATGGGGAGAATGGAACCAAGTTGGAAAACACTCTGCAGGATATTATCCAGGAGAACTTCCCCAATCTAGCAAGGCAGGCCAACGTTCAGATTCAGGAAATACAGAGAATGCCACAAAGATACTCCTCGAGAAGAGCAACTCCAAGACACATAATTGTCAGATTCACCAAAGTTCAAATGAAGGAAAAAATGTTAAGGGCAGCCAGAGAGAAAGGTCGGGTTACCCTCAAAGGGAAGCCCATCAGACTAACAGCGGATCTCTCGGCAGAAACTCTACAAGCCAGAAGAGAGTGGGGGCCAATATTCAACATTCTTAAAGAAAAGAATTTTCAACCCAGAATTTCATATCCAGCCAAACTAAGCTTCATAAGTGAAGGAGAAATAAAATACTTTACAGACAAGCAAATGCTGAGAGATTTTGTCACCACCAGGCCTGCCCTAAAAGAGCTCCTGAAGGAAGCACTAAACATGGAAAGGAACAACTGGTACCAGCCACTGCAAAATCATGCCAAAATGTAAAGACCATTGAGACTAGGAAGAAACTGCATCAGCTAACGAGCAAAATAACCAGCTAACATCATAATGACAGGATCAAATTCACACATAACAATATTAACTTTAAATGTAAATGGACTAAATGCTCCAATTAAAAGACACAGACTGGCAAATTGGCTAAAGAGTCAAGACCCATCAGTGTGCTGTATTCAGGAAACCCATCTCACATGCAGAGACACACATAGGCTCAAAATAAAGGGATGGAGGAAGATCTACTAAGCAAATGGAAAACAAAAAAAGGCAGGGGTTGCAATCCTAGTCTCTGATAAAACAGACTTTAAACCAACAAAGATCAAAACAGACAAAGAAGGCCATTACATAATGGTAAAGGGATCAATTCAACAAGAAGAGCTAACTATCCTAAATATATATGCACCCAATACAGGAGCGCCCAGATTCATAAAGCAAGTCCTGAGTGACCTACAAAGAGACTTAGACTCCCACACATTAATAATGGGAGACTTTAACACCCCACTGTCAACATTAGACAGTTCAACGAGACAGAAGGTCAACAAGGATACCCAGGAATTGAACTCAGCTCTGCACCAAGCAGACCTAATAGACATCTACAGAACTCTCCATCCCAAATCAACAGAATATATATTTTTTTCAGCACCACACCACACCTATTCCAAAATTGACCACATACTTGGAAGTAAAGCTCTCCTCAGCAAATGTAAAAGAATAGCAATTATAACAAACTATCTCTCAGACCACAGTGCAATCAAACTAGAACTCAGGATTAAGAATCTCACTCAAAACCGCTCAACTACATGGAAACTGAACAACCTGCTCCTGAATGACTACTGGGTACATAAAGAAATGAAGGCAGAAATAAAGATGTTCTTTGAAACCAATGAGAACAAAGACACAACATACCAGAATCTCTGGGACACATTCAACGCAGTGTGTACAGGGAAATTTATAGCACTACATGCCCACAAGAGAAAGCAGGAAAGATCCAAAATTGACACCCTAACATCACAATTAAAAGAACTAGAAGAGCAAGAGCAAACACATTCAAAAGCTAGCAGAAGGCAAGAAATAACTAAAATCAGAGCAGAACTGAAGGAAATAGAGACACAAAAAACCCTTCAAAAATTAATGAATCCAGCAGCTGGTTTTTTGAAAGGATCAACAAAATTGATAGACCGCTAGCAAGACTAATAAAGAAAAAAAGAGAGAAGAATCAAATAGACGCAATAAAAAATGATAAAGGGGATATCACCACCAATCCCACAGAAATACAAACTACCATCAGAGAATACTACAAACACCTCTATGCAAATAAACTAGAAAATCTAGAAGAAATGGATAAATTCCTCGACACATACACTCTCCCAAGTCTAAACCAGGAAGAAGTTGAATCTCTGAATAGACCAATAACAGGATCTGAAATTGTGGCAATAATCAATAGCTTACCAACCAAAAAGAGTCCAGGACCAGATGGATTCACAGCCGAATTCTACCAGAGGTACAAGGAGGAACCGGTACCATTCCTTCTGAAACTATTCCAATCAATAGAAAAAGAGGGAATCCTCCCTAACTCATTTTATGAGGCCAGCATCATCCTGATACCAAAGCCGGGCAGAGACACAACCAAAAAAGAGAATTTTAGACCAACATACTTGATGAACATTGATGCAAAAATCCTCAATAAAATACTGGCAAATCAAATCCAGCAGCACATCAAAAAGCTTATCCACCATGATCAAGTGGGCTTCATCCCTGGGATGCAAGGCTGGTTCAATATACACAAATCAATAAATGTAATCCAGCATATAAACAGAACCAAAGACAAAAACCACATGATTATCTCAATAGACGCAGAAAAGGCCTTTGACAAAATTTAACAACCCTTCATGCTAAAAACTCTCAATAAATTAGGTATTGATGGGATGTATTTCAAAATAATAAGAGCTATCTATGACAAACCCACAGCCATATCATACTGAATGGGCAAAAACTGGAAGCATTCCCCTTGAAAACTGGCACAAGACAGGGATGCCCTCTCTCATCACTCCTATTCAACATAGTGTTGGAAGTTCTGGCCAGGGCAATTAGGCAGGAGAAGGAAATAAAGGGTATTCAATTAGGAAAAGAGGAAGTCAAATTGTCCCTGTTTGCAGACGACATGATTTTATATGTAGAAAACCCCATTGTCTCAGCCCAAAATCTCCTTAAGCTGATAAGCAACTTCAGCAAAGTCTCAAGATACAAAATCAATGTACAAAAATCACAAGCATTCTTCTACACCAACAACAGACAAACAGAGAGCCAAATCATGAGTGAACTCCCATTCACAATTGCTTCAAAGAGAATAAAATACCTAGGAATCCAACTTACAAGGGATGTGAAGGACCTCTTCAAGGAGAACTACAAACCACTGCTCAAGGAAATAAAAGAGGATACAAACAAATGGAAGAACATTCCATGCTCATGGGTAGGAAGAATCAATATCGTGAAAATGGCCATACTGCCCAAGGTAATTTACAGATTCAATGCCATCCCCATCAAGCTACCAATGACTTTCTTCACAGAATTGGAAAAAACTACTTTAAAGTTCATATGGAACCAAAAAAGAGCCTGCATCGCCAAGTCAATCCTAAGCCAAAAAGAACAAAGCTGGAGGCATGACGCTACCTGACTTCAAACTATACTACAAGGCTACAGTAACCAAAACAGCATGGCACTGGTACCAAAACAGAGATATAGATCAATGGAACAGAACAGGGCCCTCAGAAATAATGCCGCATATCTACAACTATCTGATCTTTGACAAACCTGAGAAAAACAAGCAATGGGGAAAGGATTCCCTATTTAATAAATGGTGCTGGGAAAACTGGCTAGCCATATGTAGAAAGCTGAAACTGGATCCCTTTCTTACACCTTATACAAAAATCAATTCAAGATGGATTAAAGACTTAAACATTAGACCTAAAACCATAAAAACCCTAGAAGAAAACCTAGGCAATACCATTCAGGACATAGGCATGGGCAAGGACTTCATGTCTAAAACACCAAAAGCAATGGCAATAAAAGCAAAAATTGACAAATGGGATCTAATTAAACTAAAGAGCTTCTGCACAGAAAAAGAAACTACCATCAGAGTGAACAGGCAACCTACAAAATGGGAGAAAATTTTCGCAACTTACTCATCTGACAAAGGGCTAATATGCAGAATCTACAATGAACTCAAACAAATTTACAAGAAACAAACAACCCCATCAAAAAGTGGGCAAAGGACATGAACAGACACTTCTCAAAAGAAGACATTTATGCAGCCAAAAAACACATGAAAAAATGCTCACCATCACTGGCCATCAGAGAAATGCAAATCAAAACCACAATGAGATACCATCTCACACCAGTTAGAATGGCAATCATTAAAAAGTCAGGAAACAACAGGTGCTGGAGAGGATGTGGAGAAATAGGAACACTTTTACACTGTTGGTGGGACTGTAAACTAGTTCAACCACTGTGGAAGTCAGTGTGGCGATTCCTCAGGGATCTAAAACTAGAAATACCATTTGACCCAGCCATCCCATTACTGGGTATATACCCAAAGGACTATAAATTATGCTGTGATAAAGACACATGCACACGTATGTTTATTGTGGCACTATTTGCAATAGCAAAGACTTGGAACCAACCCTAATGTCCAACAATGATAGACTGGATTAAGAAAATGTGGCACGTATACACCATGGAATACTATGCAGCCATAAAAAATGATGAGTTCATGTCCTTTGTAGGGACATGGATGAAACTGGAAATCATCATTCTCAGTAAACTATTGCAGGAACAAAAACCAAACACCGCATATTCTCAGTCATAGGTGGGAATTGAACAATGAGAACACATGGACACAGGAAGGGGAACATCACACTCTGGGGACTGTTGTGGGTTGTGGGGAGTGGGGAGGGAATAGCATTGGGAGATATACCTAATGCTAGATGACGAGTTAGTGGGTGCAGCGCACCAGCATGGCACTTGTATACATATGAAACTAACCTGCACATTGTGCACATGTACCCTAAAACTTAAAGTATAATAATGAAAAAAAAAAAAAAAAGAACTTAAAACAGAACTACCGTTCAACCCAGAAATCCCACTACTGGCTATATATCCAAATATAATAAATCATTCTATGAAAAAGACACCTGCACTAGTATGTTCATTGTAGCACTATTCACCATAGATACAGATTTATCCCAGGTGTCAAACAACATTAGATTCAATAAAGAAAATGTGGTACATATACATCATGGAATACTATACAGTCTTAAAAAAGAATAAAATCATGTCATTTGCAGCAAAATGAATGGAGCTATAGGCCATTATCCTAAGCATATTAACACAGGAAAGGTGAACAAAATACTACATGTCCTCACTTATAAGTGAGAGTTCAATATTGGATACTCACGAACATAAAGATGGCAACAGTAGACATTGGAGACTCCTATGAGAGGAAAGAAGGAGGTGGGTAAGTGTTGAAAACCTAACTCTTGGGTACTACACTCACTACCTAGATGATGAGAATTCTGCATACAATATATTCATTCCACCTGCAAAATTCTCATGTAACAAACCTGCATATGTACCCTCTGAATCTAAAATAAAAGCTGAAATCCTTTTTTTAAAAAGTTTGAATTACCACTTGAGGAATATATTAAATTTAGACAAGATAAAATGATAAATGGAACCAGTATGGAAGCTGATATGGTTTTGTTCTGTGTCCCCACCCAAATCTCACATTGAATTTTAATTCCCAGTGCTGAGCGAGAGATCTAGAGGGAGGTGACTGGATCAAGGGGGCAGATTTCTCCCTTGCTATTCTCATAACAGTGAGTGAATTCTCTTGAGATCTGATGGTTTAAAAGTGCATGGCACTTCCCCTTCACTCTCTCTCTCTCTTCTGTGCCAAGTGGAGATGTGCTTGCTTCCCCTTCCCCCTACTGCCATGATTGCAAGTTCCCTGAGGCCTCCCCAGCCATGCCCCCTGTCTAGCTATGGAACTGTGAGTCAATTAAATCTCTTTTCTTTATAAACTACCCAGTTTCAGTATTTCTTTATAGCAGTGTGAGGACAGACTAATACAAAGCAGAAAATAGAAGTCACATTCAGAAAACCACTGGTACATCATTTAGGTGGAGATGAGAGGATTCATGCAAGGATCATCAGACACTGAGAGCCTTCTTTGGTTTTTCCTGTGTCACTTCTTATCTCCCTCTTTTGTTTATTTCTTGTTTACTCGTGCATCTCTTGTCTTCTACATCATATTGAAGGTTGATCCCATGCTCCTGGTCAGTAATTTAGATACTGTCTTATACTCTCAAGGAAAACGAAAAGTTGCCTGCATATTCAGAAAGGAGACAGGTTAGTGACTGTGTGTGTTATCTGTCCAAAAGACTGATAGTTTCTTCTAGTAGATGCTGAGATCCACATTGACGAAATGTGTATTCTGCAGTTATAGCATGTCCTCTAAATGTCAGGTAGGTCAGCCAGACTTGGTGGCTCATGCCAGTAATCCCAACGCTTTGGGAGGCTGAGGTGTGAGGATCACTTGAGCCAAGGAGTTTGAGACCAGCCTGGGAAACACTGAGAAACACCATCTTTAATAATAATCATAATAAATTAAACTAGATCAAGTAGAATGATGGGTTTTCATAGATCTCAAAATTCTCCAACTATTTAATTGCAGCTTTTTCTATTCCTCCTTTGTATTTTGAAGCCCTCATAGTATGTGAACATGCATTTAGAATCATTAGGTGTTCATAAATTAAATCCTTTATTATTATGTAATACCCTTCTTTACAAACATTTGTAATTTTTCTTGTTCTGAAATGTACTCTCTGATATTAATATAATGGTATTTTTTCATCCGTTTAACTTAAATTTATGTCATTATATTTAAAGCGTGTGTCTTGTAGAAAATATATATTTGGAAATTTCCTCTTATCCAGTATGACAGTCTGCAACTTTAGTGTTAAAAAAATTCATATTCACAGTGATTTTTCATTGTTGTTGAGTTTAAAGATACTGTATTTTTGTTTTCTATATGTATTTTTTCTTCCTTCTTTTGGGTTGATTCTTGTTTATAATTCTATCTCTACTGATGACTTATTAGATATTGCTTTTAAGATTTTAGATGTTCTATTTCTATTTAAAATAAGTGTATTTTTTCATATGCTGTCATCACATAATGTTACAGAGTTTCATGCATAGTGTACAGATGATTCTCGATTTACATTGGGGTTACATTCAGAAAAACTAATCGTAAGTTACAAATTTATTTAATACATGTCACCTATTGCACATTATAGCTTAGGCTGGCCTACTGAAAACATGCTCAGAACACTTACATTTGCCTACGGTTGGACCGAATCATCCAGCAACACAGTGCACTGTACGGCATGGCTGCTTACTCTCTTCATCGTGGGGCTGACTGGGAGCTGCGCCTCACTGCCCTTGCCTAGCATCGTAAGAGAATATCAGACTTCATATTGCTAGCCTGAGAAAAAAATTTGAAGTACAGTTTCTACTGAATGCATATCACTTTTGCACCATCATAAAGTAAAAATATTGTCAATCAAACTAGTCAGGACTATTTGTATAGTTCTTTATTTTAGACAGGGTCTCATTCTGTCACCCAGGCTGGAGTACAGCAGCCCATTTATAGCTCACTGCAGCCTCGACCTCCTGTGCTCAAGTGATCCTGTCACCTCAGCCTTCTGAATAGCTGGGATTATAGGCACACGCCACCGTGTCCTGCCTGTCTGCAGTTCTATTATACCCCTCTTACACTTTGTGCTATTATTGTTACTATGTATTCTCATTCTGTTTTTTGTTATAAAGCCCACAATACATTAGAATTACTTTAGCTTACAGAGCATCAATTATCATTTATGGTGATTAAAATAAGAAAAAGTCTTCCATATTTACCTCATATATACCATTTTTAAAGTAGTTCATTTCTTTCTGTAGATCCTAATTTTCCTCACGTGTCACTATCCTTTTGCATGACAAACCTCCTTTAACATTTCATGTAGTGCAGATTTTCTAATCGCTCTCTTTATTCACTATGGTTTTTCTGAAAAAGTCTCTTTTATGCTATTAAAATCTGGGATGACAGTTATGATTTCCCTCATACTTTAAAGAGATCACTTCGTTGTCTTCAGGCCTGCACAGCTTCTAATGAGAATCCTTGTGGAATTCTTACATTTGTGGTTATATATGGGATGTTTCTTTAACCTTTGCCTGACTATCAGTAGTTCTTTTTATTTTTGTTCTTCAGGAGTTTGTGATGTGTATAGGTGTGGCTTCCATGTGTGTGTGTGAGCCTGTGTGTGTTTCCTGCTTAGGATCTCTGGGCTTCTTGCATGGGTGGCATGTTATCTTTCAAAAAATTCAGCAAGTTCTAAGCCAGTAACACTTCTAATAATTCTTCTACCCAAATCTCTCTCTTTTCTTCTTCTGGAACACATGTTTCTTTTCTGTAGCATTGCTTGATACTGTGTCACGATTACTGGATGCTCTATTCTGGTTTGTGTTTTTTTTTTCCTTATGTTTTAATTTGTGCAATCTCTATTGACATACTTAAGTATGCTCATTCTTTCCTCAGCTGTATCTAGATGCTTCCAGTATGAGTCTGCTAGTCAGCAGATCTTTTTTGTTTCTTTTTTTTATTTAGACGGAGCCTTGCTCTGTCGCCAGGCTGCTGGAGTGCAGTGGCATAATCTCGGCTCACTGCAACCCCCGACTCCCTGGTTCAAACGATTGTCCTACCTCAGCCTCTCAAGTAGCTGGGATTACAGGCACGCGCCACTACGCCCAGCTAATTTTTGTATTTTTAGTAGAGATGGGGTCTCACCATGTTAGCCAGGCTAGTCTCAATCTCCTGACCTCGTGATCCACCCACCTTGGCCTCCCAAAGTCCTGGGATTACAGGCATGAGCCACCGTGCCCGGCCTAATCAGTGGATATTAAAATAAAATAATATCTCAAATTAGTCAGGTGAGTCTGATATAATCACAACAGTCCTTAACAGTCAAATAAGGAGGCAGGAAAAGGGTCAGGTAACACAGATAAAAACAAAACAAAACAATACAACTTAATCAACAATTGGAACGGGAACATGTGCTAAGAAAAACAGGCAGGTTTTGGAAGCTGGAGAAGGAAAGGAAATGGGTTCTCCTCTAGAGCTCTGGAAACAATGAAACTTCTGACACTTTAGTTTTAGTCTGGTGAGATCTGTTTTGTACTTCTG
This sequence comes from Homo sapiens, assembly GCF_000001405.40. Taxonomy (NCBI): domain Eukaryota; kingdom Metazoa; phylum Chordata; class Mammalia; order Primates; family Hominidae; genus Homo; species Homo sapiens. Next base: position 167,339,315 of record NC_000004.12, on the reverse strand, counting down.
AGATCCAGATGGGTGAGGTAATATACGTGTGTTGTTTTAGACCACCATGTTTGTGGTAATTTGTTGCAGGAGCAACAAGAAATTATACATTGGTTTTCCTACCAGGCACAGGGTATTTACTTGTACATCTCCTCCAGAAGCAAAGTATAAATTGTCGGTATCCTAAAGCCAGAAATGTTTCCTACTCTTTTCTCAGAGGTGGACAGATTTTGTTTCTATGTCTTCCCTGGAAACAATAAATTTTCACCTCAACCCCATAGCCAAGAAGGCTTAATGGCCCCTCCTAGTGGCCTAAGGCTTTGTATTCTTATGAAAGAAGGGTGAGTTGCAGTAGGGCAGATCTTTGCTCCTGTGAACAAGCCTCATCTCTTAGACACCTGCTCTGTCAATGGGGCTTCTAGTCTTATGCCCTGCCACCAACCTTTTTCATAAGTGTCTGTTGGAAGCCTGTGGAAAGGAGCCTGAAAGTCAGTCTCATCTCTTTTTCCATCGTATGCTACTAAGAATTTTTAAAACATCTTTTTTTCTTTGCAGTAAATGTTCACAGGACGGCTCCATGAATTGAAAGGTTTTTGTGAAATATGAGCTATAAGGGAAACACTCTAATATTTTTATTTTGCATTGTATTTACCACAAACATGTTTCCAGGGAGTTCTTCATATCAACTCAGGTCGTAACTACTCATAAAATTTTCTTTAAACATTTCCCTTCCATTATGCTCAGTCTGCATGTTCTCCTGCCATTTTAACACTGAGATATTATTTAAAAGCACCTTAGGGTTACAGTTAGTGCTTCATACAGTTGCTTCATATCCACCCACTTATACATCACTAATTTAACCTTTTTAAATAGAAATTAGCTCAATTTGGAGAAAGCCAAATTAAAGTTGGAACAGGTTAGGATGAGAAAAGACAGAAGGCAAGCCAGGAGCAAGGACAGAAGAGTCAGTGGTTCACATTGCATGAAGCATACCAGTTGGAAATCTCATGTGATTTTAACCTGTATGCCAGCAGAGAGAATTTCAAGGCTGTCATATCAAATAAGGAAGTTCAAGGTAAAAGCCAAGACTATCAAAGGCAACAGCGGATAAATTCTTATGAAGAGACAAAAGGTGTTGAAAAACACTTAGGATTATTGCCATCTTCTTAGAAGATTCATAATTCTCCACCGTGGTTGGATCATGACCAAGGAAAAAGAAGGAAAAGATTTCTTCTAAATATGTAGACTCTCCTATGTTTCAATCTTGTATTTTTCAATTGTAATGATAGATAAAATTTTTGTTCCCACATTTTACTGAAAGTGCTGAATTACCAATAATCTTTCTTTCAGTTTGCAATTCCCTAAACATGACACCAGTTTTCATTCTTTGACTACTTCATGGCCTTCACTACCCTTTAACCCATAATTTTCAGCACAGCACAGAAATTAAGCTACCATTTTACTTCTCTGACTCTTTCTCATCAACACCATCATTAATATTAACTTCTCTAATCTCAGAATGCAGGCTTTGCCCTCATTGTCTTCATAAACTTTTTCAATCATCAGTAACTTTAGTTGCTCATCTTACTGATACCAACTCCTTTGTCTGTCTGTCAAGATTTACCATGCTCTTACACCAATATACATTTTCATTTTTCTTTTTAGTACACATTTACAGTCAAGCAGGAATAATCTCTTCCTATGCTTTGCAGCTCTCAATATCTCTAACTTTTAAGCTCTTTGCAGGAAAGAAAAGCACATCTTTTCTTGCTTGCACTATATACTTAAATGCACGATTAAATACATAAAGTGAGATTTTGGGAGGGCAAGTGCATTGCTGTAGAATAAGGTAGAGTTACTTTTGTATTAGAGAGTTTAGAAAACAATGTCTGAGTGGCTATTTCTAGTTATAGCACAATAAGCAAGAAAAGTAACATTATCCCCCAAATCACGGCTTGTTTCTGTTATGGGCCTGGAAAAGGATCCCACTTTGTACCATAGGAATTTATAACCCTCCCAGGTAAGGTTATAGATATAGAGTCATCTAAGACTGAGGGAATACATTTTTAAACCAAATAAAGTTAAGAACTGAGACTGGATGACCCCTCACTCTGGCTGCAGCACTGGCAGTCCTTAAATGGAAAGACTTTTGTGATTGGGAAAGAGAAAATCCATCCAGGCTAAAATGCAGCCAGTGTGTGTCAAGGCTGGGAGTGGGCATGGGGGTGGGGAAGCATTGCTAAGTGTTTTAAATGAAATTTTAGAAGGAGCTTGATAAAAATTTTCCTCTAGGACATCAGTCATCATAAAAGTACTTAATATGAATCATTCTGCAATTTTTCATAGTCCATATTCCTGATGCCTAAGTCTCCACACCTCACCTCCTGCTCATTCTTGTAAACTTATATCAGAAGACTAAATATCTATATTTAGAGTTTAAAATGTTGATAACTTTAATACGATTACATTATCTTTTCAAATTAACAAATAATTTATGTGTTGACCACAAAGTACTGCATGCTTTGCTAAGCGCCTAAAATATAAAGAGGGATGCACACCAAATCCTCTCCCATGATATTGGAAGAGAATGTTTTTTAACAATTACAATCTAATTATTTGTAATAATTCTTCTGGTTGATATCTCTAAAAAATATTGAGAATGTATAACAAAGAAGGTAATTAATATTTCATAAAGCAATTCAGGAATACTTCAAAAAGGTAGTACAATTTGGTCTCATTCACAAAATATAGATGGAAGCTAATAAAGCAGATAAAAAAGAGAAAGCATAAGAAGCATTCTGGGCATGGCATATTTGGAAAATTCAGCAAACCTGAAACCTTGAATTATAGGTGCATGGTAGAAAGTGCTAGGTGAGAAAGGTAAAAATGAACTAATTTTAAGGGTTTTGTTGAAAATATCATAATTAGGATTTTTGACTTTATATTATAGACAATTGAAATTGTTTTGTCAGGTAGTTGCATAATAAGACACGTGATTTAGAAAGATAACTTTGAATACAATGTAACAATTAAATGGCAGGATAGAGAGAGAGAAAGGGAGACCAGTGAGTAGAAGGTTTTGAAAGAGAACAGGTAAGAAATGATGTGGGCCTGAATTAGGTCAACAGAAGTGATGACTAAGAGAAGGGGATTGCTATTCCTAAAATGAACTTGGTCGGATATTATGTGGGTCCATAGTAAGAGGAGGACAACAGAAAGGAGTGCAGGGATAAGAGGAGATGTCAGGATAAAGTAGAATGGATAGGAATTAAAATGTTAACAGTGGGTAGCAAGACAGGTATGAGCAGGGCAGGAGAGGGCTCCCCCTTGCACACACAAGGAGTGTCAGGTGACCATCCAGTGATGGTCAGGCAGTTATTAACTGTCACTCTAAAGTAATAATTGGTCATAGCCATTGCAAGGGAAAGGCAGTATCCCAGTAGATTAAAAAAAAGACCTGAAACTGATGATCAGCAGCTTCCCAATAAGATCTCAGGAGGGGGTTCAAACGTGCACATTAAGAGGCAAAATGGTGGAGTTTAACTGGTATGCTAGACTGGTGAGGGAAGAATGCCTCAAGAGAGCATGCGTACAACTTCTGTAAACACACTGTGCATGCCCTCCTCCCATGTGCTAGCGGGCCACTGCACATGCAGACAGTCCACCGCAAGGGAAGAATCAGGGCAAAAGAAATGCAAGACTCTGGAAATACGCCAGTGTATAAAACCCCAAGTCAAAAGGTCAAACCACGCACCTGATCTCTCAAGTCACCTGCTTAGCTCTCTTCCAAGTGTATTTTACTTCCTTTCACTCCTGCACTAAAACTTGCCTCAGTCTCTCCTTCTGCCTTATGCCCCTCAGTCAAATTCTTTCTTCTGAGGTGACAAGAATGGAGGTTGCTACAGACCTGTACGTATTCACTGCCGGTAACAAAAGCTGACCTTGGAAAGTTAGAGTCTCCAAACATGAATTAGGAATAGGGATGACAGGCTGGTAGAGCATTAGTTTCAAATGATACTGCAACTGCCCAATAGGTTCATTTTGCCCGCTGCCCAGATAGAGCTAATTTATCAAGACAGGTGAATTGCAATAGAGAAAGAGTTCAATTCATGCACAGGGGACTGAACAGGAGACCAGACTTTTATTATGATTCAAATCAGCTCCTCTGAAAATTCTGAGGCTAGGGTTTTTCCAGGATAGTTTGGGGGAAAGGGGATGACTATGAAATAGGTGTTACTGACTGGCTGGGGGTGCAATTATAGGAGTGTGGAAAATGGTCTTTGTGCATGTTGAATCTACTTCTGAGTGGGGACACAGGACAAGTTGGCAGGTCCAGGTGGAGTCATCATCTTCAGAAATGCAAAAATCTGAAAAGAAATCTCAAAAGGCCAATCTTTGGTTCTACAACAGTGACGTTGTCTGCAGGAGTAATGGGGGAAATTCCAAATTTTGTGACCTCTAGAATAATAGCTGGTAATCTTTAGGTCTATGCCTTAGCGGGATTCAGACTCCTCTATCCTAGTGGTCTCATTAGCTTCACGGGGCAGTGGAGTTTTGGGGAAAGGCTATGATCATTTAAACTATAAACTAACTTTCTCCCAAAGTTAAAGGGCCCAAGCTCAGGAATGACTCACGAAGGTTTGAAAGTTAAAGGTAAGATGGAGGTTGGTTAGACCAGATCTCTTTCTCATAATATACTCACTGTTATAATTTTTGCAAAGGTAGTTTCAATTCTAGGGCCTGGAAAGTCAAGTGATTCTGGGACATCTGTCCCTATATAGGAAATTCAGATTTCAGGCTGGGATCAAGTAAAAAGTTTCTTTCACAGAAAAATGAACTATGTGTGTTACACTGAACCTAATTGTACCTGTCCAAAAAAAAAACAAGGAAGCTGTATTGTTACAGGGCCTTTCTCTTAGGTAAGGAAAAACAGGCCCCAATAACAAGTTATGAGCCTGGAGGTGATGTTCTAATGAGAGGACAGGATACCAAAAGATGGTAAAAAAAAAAAAAATACAAACTTATCTGTCAATTAAAATAAACAAATAAAATAACTTAGTATACAAAACTGTTCACAAAACCAACAGCTACATGACATTTTTAATTTATATCTGCTATGCTATCATTCCTTTTGGCAAAACTGCATTAAACAAAAAAATTTCATGTTAGTCTTGTATGAGCTGTGACTAGACAATAATGAATGGTATTTGTGATGGCATTTGGGGAAGAATGGATCAGGGAGCACTTGGAGTTTGCTATGATAAAGGACTGTAATATACACTTTCCAAAAGTGATTGGAGTGAAGCTAAAGTCTATTGGTTAAAACAAGAAGTAATGTAAGCCACAAGGAGATTATAAAGAGATTATAAATAATCTTGCTTCTAGAGAATCTTCTGAAATAGCTGGGAACTAAATTTCCCATAATGAGTTAGCAGTCATCAGTCCTGTAGTCAGTGAGGCAATGTGCCTCCAAAAGAGAGGTAATCTCAGAAGGTTCTAAAATTTAAGAATATGCTGGAAATTAAAGCACTGCCAAGTTATAACAACATTGACAATAAGATATCTCCAGTGTCTGATTGTGTGGTTAGTAAAATCAATCCATGATATCTCCAGGATTTAAATAATTTTGAGTAGTCTTAATCACTCCCAGACCTTCAGAGGGACACATGTACTCTATTGCGGAGATAAGGTACCATTTTTATAACTGCCTAAATATCTAAATTATTATTTAGGCATCTCTCTAGAAATAAACATATATGGATTTATTATCAAAATATCTTACTTAATTTGGAAAGAGTGCTATAATTGTCCCATAACTGATCATATGCTTGAGTTATGAAAATTATTTAATATTATTTATGATGATGAAGAAAAAATCTGATTTTCTGTCTCTCTCAACTCTGAGTCTAAAAGGCTCATAAGCATTATGCAATCTATTCTACTTTAAGCAGGTTATTGATTAAACTTTTATAATAGTGGTTTATGACTTTGTTTTATGTTTTATGAATCCTAGTTCAACATTAATTTACTTAAATGTATCATCTCTCTCTTTTGTCCTGTCCATTCTGTCACAGAGATTTCTCTATTTGAGCTGAGTTGCTTTCTCAGAAACACGAAATAAGTATGCTTCACCAAACCTAATTGTACTTGTCAGAAAAAATACTGTATTGCCATTACAAAAATTGTCAAGACAAATTAAGTCATAGAGAATGTGATAATTCATTGGGAAATCATGTTTTAAAATTTGTTTCATTTTGTGTGACTTAACATAGTTCTAAAAGAAAGAAATAAAAAAAAAGTTCTCTCTTTAGAAAATGTATGAACACCATAAAGAATGACAGTTCTGTGAACAGCTGTCTCTAGCTAAATGATAGATCTACTTCCAGACTTGAAAACAAACAAATGGTGTATTAAAGATTGATATAAAATATATCTTTGGCTGCTATATAAACATTTTAGTAATGTGATTTCTTTAGAAGGTATGCTTAATATCTCTGCCAAGGAAGTTTATGAGAAAATATGGTTAAATATCTGACCTCACATCTCAGTCACAAATTCTACATTCATATTTATTACTATATAGATAATAAAGATAAGGAAAGATGAAAAAGTGACTACTCAGTTTTAATGACTAAATCATGTTTCAATTTCAGTGCTCCAAATCATGCATTAAGAACTGACTGTAATAGCATGGACACCTGACATAAAAAAAAAACAAATGCCAGGCTGGGCTTGGTGGCTCACACTTGTAATCTCAGCACTTTAGGAGGCTGAGGTGGGCAGATCACCTGAGGTCGGGAGTTTGAGACCAGCCTGGCCAACATGGTGAAAACCCGTCTCTATTAAAAATGCAAAAATCAGCTGGGCGTGGTGGCGCCCAGGCTACTCGGGAGGCTGTGGCAGGAGAATTGCTTGAACCCAAGAGGCGGAGGTTGCAGTGAGCTGAGATTGTGCCACTGCACTCCAGCCTGGGTGACAGAGCAAGACTCCATCTCAAAAAAAAAAAAAAAAAAAAAAGAAAAGAAAAGAAAAAAAAAGCAAGCTTTTAAGGGTGAAATAAATTACATATTAATACAATTCTAAGTTAATATTATTAACAGAAAACATGAGACAAAAAAAGAATTAAAAACTTTCTTACAAATATTTTACTTTCATGCTGGTCCTAATTGGTATAAGTAGGAAAAGGAGAGTTTAAGGTGGGAGCATAAAAGCATGACAGAATATAGATTTAAGGATTACAAAAGTTGGATTTGAATTCTGCCTTTACTACTTTCTAAATATACATTAATACAGTGTATGGTATATTGCATGTAATACTATACATTAATGCACTAGTGGTAACTATCCATTAATACATCTTACTTTTATGCATTTCAACATAAACTACAAGTATCAATATCCTTCTTTGAGTATCTTGGCATGCATATCAGTATCTAGCCATCCATGTTTGTTTACAATTTTCTCCTTTTGCTGCAAAACTCAGAGGCAATTAAATGTACATACTTAACTGCACACTCATTGAGCTTTTGACAAATACAGTCAACAGTGTATCCCAAACCCCACAAAATAGACCATTACTATCTCCCAGAAAGTATAACATTGTTTCTTAATATTCAACACTTCAGTCATCTTGTGACTTAAAGCTGAAGAAGTAGACATTGATTAAAAATCACATTGGTAATATATGAAAAATAAATGAACAAGGCAATTTTGCTATTCTTACCATGACAACTGGAGATGATAGGAAATTGAGACTACTACAAAAAGGGAGCAATGTCCAATGATGAGAGTAGATTTAAAAAAATCATTCACTCAAGATCAAAAGAGCAGAGCCAAAATGGTACCATAAAGGATATTGTAAGCTCAGGAGTCAGAATTCAAAGAACATGACATCTTTGTATGTGTTTGTGTACCAAACGACAAAACGTATGTACGTTCACCTGTATTACTCAATAACTATTTGTTTAATTTTTAAAATGAACATTTTGATAAAACGTATCAAGCAAAAGTAATACTAACATCAGAGATAAATTACACAGCTTCTGTAGTAAATAACACAACATTATTAAAAAAGAAAAAGTAAATGATTAATTGGAGACGTTGAGCTAAAAAACAAACCAAAAAATAAAAACAAGAGATTTGAGTTTGGAAAACTTTTTTATTAATCTTTCCCTTTCAGAGTCCTCCATATCTAACCAATCTTCAAGAGGCATGTGACTATATCTAAATAGTTTTCTAATTCTAAAAATTGCTTATTTTCCAAATTACTCTGTTGACTTCCTTCTTCCTACTCTTCTATACCAATGACTGTGTCATCCTGAAATAAACTACAATGTTTAATGTTAGGAAATTCAAAGGCTTGAAAGTTTGATCTTAGTAGGCTAAAATATGTGAAAGGCATAGAAATAATGGTATGCAGAATATTAGAAGAATAGACAAACTAATTGGAGTAGTACTCCTCACTCAACTGCAGATAGGCACTGCTGGAACACTTACCACGGACAACTGGCTATAATTAAGCCATGTGGAATTTGAGTACATACCCATTATGAGATAAATTAGGTCACAACTTGTATAGTTTCGCATAATGGAAGAGTGCCACTCTGCATTCACTATATACATGATTATCTCTAAATATAACAAGACCAACAACAATTTTAAGTGCATAAGTTGATGATAAAAAGTAATCATTACAATAAGTGAAGTAAGATATCAGCTTTTGTTGGAGTAATACACTAAAGCCTTGCCACTCATTAACAACCTTCGTTATAGTCACAGGAATTAAATCCTGAAGAATAATCCTCCTTCACTCATGAAACATGACCTATGAACACATATTTACACACTTGTATACATATATATATATATATATATATATATAATTTTGACTTTGTTGGTTTGAGTTATCTATTTTAAATTCATTTATTGGTTTGCCAAATTTCATCATTAGCCTACTTAATTTCTACATCTTCGTGAAACTTCCACAGTACTTGAGAAATAAATCTCTTTTAATCATCCTCCACTTCCTGAGAGGGTAACATTCCCCTACCTGTGCCCAAAAGTTCTTTCTATTGTCTGCAGGGAGACTCATTTTTCCTGCATTCAGAAAATATTGACTTAAATTTGCTTCATAAGTGTACTGTATCTCTTATTCCCTGAGATCCTACAAACTAAGTACAGCAACACTATTCTTCATTTATACAGCAAGTGAAAAAAAAATGGACCTTCTCTGAACCCCACACCTAAGGGCTCCATTTTCCCAGACAAAATAATTAATACTTATGGGAGGGCTCAACTGGAGAGCATGCAGTTGTGGATGTCGCTGCCTTTAAGCCCAGTTGTTGTTACCTCCTTTTGTGCTCATTGCAGTGTCATTCATTCATGGAAACTTTGATAATTGATACCAGAAAACTGGGCTGCAAATCTGGAAGGACTATTTTTAAAAATTTGCAGACTTTAGGCACCAAAACTTTTGAAATGTCTCTCCACATCAAGTCAAATATATTAAACCCAGGAATATCTTGCTTTAAACAGTTTTCTGGAAATCTTTAAAAAGTGTATATATTAAAATTGTGTTAAGTAAATTATTTTGTTCTGTGATATAAATTTATTTTTTCAATATATTGATTTACAGTTTATTAGTGCATGCATTTATTACATTTTCACTAATTTAAATCTTTTAACTTCATAATCTAAAATAGTATATTTTGTACTTATTTCTGTTTGTATGTATGCATATGCATATATATGTATGTTTAAGTCTCAGAAAATTTTCTATGTTTTTGTAAAGTTTATAGATCTTGGATGCTAGCTGGTTTTTTTGTTGTTGTTGTTGTTTGTTTGTTTTAGACAGGATACCAATCTGTCACCCAGGCTGGAGTGCAGTGTGGTACAATCTCGGCTCACTACAACCTCCTCCTCCCGGGTTCAAGTGATTCTCCCACCTCAGTCTCCAGATTAGCTAGAACTACAAGCATGTGCCACCACTCCCAGCTAATTTTTGCATTTTTTGGTAGAGATGGGGTTTCACCATGTTGGTCAGGCTGGTCTCAATCTCCTGAACCTCAAGTGATCCACCCACCTTGGTTTCTCAAAGTGCTGGGATTGCAGACATAAGCCAATGTGCCCTGTGTATTCTGGCCTTTTAATGATCATTCTTTAAAAATGCCCTCCCCAAGACCAATATTGATAATATATTATCCTAAACGTGTCTGTAATAACTGCAAACAAAAAGACAATCCAGGAAACTGACCTAACTCAACCCATTTACTCTCATTAAATTTGTCTATGCCAATATGAATACAAGAAGAAGGCTCTTAATGTGTTTCCTCAGCTACCTTTAGTTGTCTCAAAGATTCTTTGTAAAACCATCCATTCCTGCTTTCCACAACCTCTCCTTTCTTACTTTTTTTTTTACCTCCAAATTCCTCTTTTTCTAAATATAACAAACTGTCATATCATTCTGTCCATCTGAAGTCCTCTCACTTACCTAATCACTTTATATAAAATTCCTACATGTTGCTTTTTAAAGCTAAGTTTTTTTTATTATGAAGGAAATATCAAATCATACTAGAAATTGCAGAATGTTAGAAGCAAAATTATCTGTAGGTCTTTAATTCATGTTTCAAATTGTTAATATTTGGTGTATTTGCTTTACATATTTTTACATTTCCTTATAGTGTATAAACAATTCTGTATTACTACTTTATACATAGTTTCTGCTGATTATAAAAGTAACAATTGATCATCACAAACATTTTGAAAAATTTCAGTGCAATAATTTTTTATGAAAACACCCAGAATCCCCTTACACACAACTATTATTAACCTTTTTCTGCATGTCATTATAATTTTTCTATGCTTGTTTTTATTGAATTATACACTATATGTACCTTTATAAGCACAATTTATTAAAAGAAACAGGCATGGGTGCAAGATAAAGCATGATTAAAGGAAAGAGGTATATTCAAAGCAGCTCCAAATGACTATTTCATAGTATTTCTAAATTTAAAAGACATATTGATGTGAATTTTAATGCTGGAGAAAATAACTTCTTAGGTTTTTTAATAACAATGCAAACACTTAAACAAATAATAGCATCTAACATTTAATGAAGACATACTCCAGTCTGGACATTGCCAGTTCCTGTGTGTGTGTGTGTTTCAGTTTAATAATAACTTATTATATAAAATAATATATAATATTTTATTTTCTGTCTACGAGTGAAGATAGGCATAAAGTAGTTACATAATCTCCATTTTTTTAATGCATTAATTTTGGAATGCCTATTATACTAGGTCCTGCATTCGTTTGTAAAGATAGAACATGAGAAATACCACAAAATCTAAGGTACCCTGACAGTAAGTGTCAGGCCAGAATGTGAAACCAGGGTTTGAAATACTCCTACTCTGGAGCATAGTTACTTACTATTACTCCATGCTGTCATTCTGCTGCTTTCTGGTTTTGTCAGAGATACTTTGTTATTTTTCCCAGCAGGGTGTTCTAAAAGTAAAACTATTTTAGCAATATTTGCAAGGAATAAGTAGAACAGAACATGAAACTATTTTATGACCAGTAAATCTGGCAAAGATTCCTTAAGAAATGTGAAATGAAGTTAATGCAACTGATGTCATGATACCATGAAATGAAGAAATTGGGTTACAGAATGGCTTAGACCAAGACGTCTGACCACAGATCATGCAATTAGGTTTCCTTTTTTTTTTTTTTTTTTTTTTTTTTTTTTTTTTTTTTTTTTGAGATGATGTCTGACTCTGTAGCCCAGGCAGAAGTGCACTGGCGCGATCTTGGCTCACTGCAACCTCCGTCTCCCAGGCTCAAGTGATTCTCCTGCCTCAGTCTCCCAAGTAGCTGGGATTACAGGCGTGAGCCACCACACCCAGCTAATTTTTTGTATTTTGAGTAGAGACGGGGTTTCACTATGTTGGCCAGCAGGCTGGTCTTGAATTCCTAACCTCAGGTAATCTGCCTGCCTCGGCCTCCCAAAGTGCCAGGATTACAGGTGTGGGCCACTGCGCCCAGCTCTTTTTTTTTTTTTTTTTTTTTGATGGAGTTTCGCTCTTGTTGCCCAAGCTGGAGTGCAATGGCTTGATCTCGGTTCACTGCAAACTCCGCCTCCCCGGACAATCAAGCGATTGTCCTACCTCAGCGTCCCAAGTAGCTGGGTTTACAGGCGCCAACCACCACACCTGGCTAATTTCTATCTTTTTTTTTTTTTTTTTTTTTTTTTTTTGTATTTTTAGTAGAGATGGGGTTTCACTATGTTGGCCAGGCTGTTCTGGAACTCTTGACCTCAGGTGATCCACCCACCTCAGCTTCCCAAAGTGCTGTTTTTACATAAGTTTCTTAATTTGAGGCTTGAGTATAAGAAGCTTCCCAAAACGATTGTTCAACAATTTCCCTATCTTAAATTTCTTATCCTTTATTCAGTTTTAAGTTGGCTAAAGATTATCTTCAAAAATTTATTTAGTGTAATTCTATAGAAAGCTTATCATCTGAATTTTACATATTACATAATGTATTTTAGTTGACTTCATGTATTAACATAAATTTAATAATAATATGACATCAGATTTATTTATCTTTGAGGAATTTCGCATTACACAGTGGTGTGTTATCATCCAGCATATTTTCTAGACCTGAGTAGATAATATCTGCTCTTTTAATGCCTTCAACATCGGCATACATTTAGAATTTTTTAAAATCTATTTCATTCCCAATTTTTGCTAAAAAATTTCCAAGTTTGTGCCCGTAAACTAGAAAGCAATAGTCATATGTGAGCTAAAGAATACCAAATTAAAGACAGGAAGAGTATTTACACATTATACTCTGGATGCAAAATCATCAAAGTTATCTTCTTCTAGTTCACTCTCCAGAGGAAATTGCATGGGCCTTCTTGAGGAATCTGACTAGTTCGGTAAGAAAAATCAATGCCCAGATAGAAAACTCTGCAAGGAAGGCAGCAGTTTACCATTTCTATCCTCATGTTCAGGGTTTCCAGTCAGATTTAATACCCAAAAACAGATAACTAGGCGGTAACTTCGGGCTATTGCAACACATAGAAACGTATGAAGAGACTGAGAATTCTCTCTCCAAATACCAAGCATGAAATTGAATAAATAGAAGAAAATTATCAAAAACAACCATTCCTCAGGGTTCTAGAAATTGATGAAAGACAAAGTAAGTCATGGAGTAGCATTTATTCATGAAAAATTGATAAAAGTTTTGGAGATAAAGAGAAGGCAGTAGGCCTTTTTGCTCATGGCTGCTACCATTTTAGTCATTACAGCTCATTCAGAGTGGATGTTTTATTAGAGCAGGACTTAGGAGGAAAACCAACAGCTTCTGAACTGCAGTGTAGACATGATTCTGGAGACAGGGCAAAATGAATGGCTGATGTAATTTTTAAGCAAGAAGCAAATGCAATAGGAAATAAATGTGGAAAACACACCACTCTGCTGGTGTGAGGAGGCAAATAGTGGTCCAGTCAAAATTTTAACAGAGATCCTGGAAATAAGAGAGCCATAGCAGGGCTAAGATAAGCTGCCAATAGCTCTTTCTGACTAGAAAACTTTATGCATCTAGAGAGAGGAACTGTGAAGTCCTGGATGAAAGTATAAGTCAAGGCGGACTTAAAAACTGGCTGAACTTTGAATGCACTCCCCAAACTACACATAAATACACCAGCAAAGGGTACATGCTTTATAGAATTGAAGTATTTGAGTAGAACCCCTTCCCAAATTATTAGCTGACCACTAAGCTATGCAGTGACACAAAAGATCTCAGTCAGGCTAAAAAATAAAAATAGGATTTAGCAAAACTGTGGAGAGTCATAGTGGCTGCTCACACTGAGACAGATTCAGCTAAATCATGGGGTAAAACAATCAGAATCAGGTATTACTAAAATATGTACTATAAAACATAAAATATCCATTTTCCAAAAACAAAAAATCCTAGAAACATTCAAAAAATATGACCAATAATCAGGATAAAATATTATCAGTACAAACTGATGCAAATTGGGCTAAGTTAGGTCTAACAGGAAACATTTTATTCAACTATTATATATATGTTCAAGGAATTGAAGTATATGTGATAACTTAGAAATAAATGATCACAATGACTTAACAAACATGGAATGCAAATAGATTAACAGCACCTATTTAAAAAGTCTGAAATAAAAATTTTAAAGTTGAAAATTAAAATAACCAACATGAAAAAATTACAATATGGATGCAACCACATTTGCAAAGGCAAAAATCAAAGAGTGCCCAATAAAAGGTGAATCAGTACCCTTGGATTTGGGCCAGCATTTAAACAGCTTTGAAGTCATCACTCTTGCTCTCGCAATAAGGAAAACCTTAGCAAAAGAAAAATCAATGATTTTTTTTTGAGAAAATCGAGGTTGTAGGGCAAACAACCAATCTGAAATCTGGAGAAATAGGCAAATCCATAGTCACATGGACTAAGACCTGCTTACCTGGTGCAGATGCTGCCAGAGCAGTAAACAGGGAGAAACACCCACATTGTTAGAAGCTGAGTGTGGACTGGTATGAGAATGAGAAATTACTGGGGTCTGCAGTGTTGGAGAACCCAATTTCATAGGTTTTACTTCTAGAAACTGTGCCAGGTTCTTACAGTGAAAAGCAGAAAAGATCCCCGTGTGGCTCTGACAAAGAGAGGGAAAGAATAACCCCTGTGAGATACTCCAGAACATTCTTTATAACAAAGACCTACCCGCAGAGAAAGATGTTCTACCAGAGCCTAATCCCGCCTGAGGAAAGAACATTTCTCTGACTCCGAGACCCTGCAGCCTTCCAGTCTCGCATAGGGGGAAGAGGAAAGCTATACCCCCAGAGAAAGCTGTGAAGGACACAGGCAAGAGAATGCATTTGGTAGGCACTCTGGAGAAACAGCTGATTCTAGAACTGGAAAAGAAATGTAGAAGATGATGCATGTGAAACATCTTGGAGTGTCAGAAAGCAAGGAAGTGCTCAAACACACACACGCACACAACACACAGTGACGGGAGTATGTCAAAGGCATACAGGAGTCAACTGAAAGAACTGCCACTGGCCAAAGCAGGAACAACTTGAGCAATAAAATAAAGTAGTATTAGATTATAAAGCAAAATATAAAATAAATATTCAAGAGTTTCTTACTCTTTACTGATAAAAGTGAATGATTGAATAAAGAAGGAAGACATGAAACATCTGTGCATTCCAAGGAACTTATGTAAATGATCCTCTCTCAAGAAGGTGGAATATAACTCCCAACTCTTTAAGTGTGGATTGTTTACAGTAAATTCTCTCCAAAAAGTACAATTTGGAAAGGGGGGTGAAGGAAGAGTGACTTTGGCATGGGCGGATCGGACAAACACAATCAGCCAAGTGATCAAGGTTAACAGCAACAGTGAAAAGTCACATTGATAGTTGGTACCCTTGATATGGTAAGATGGCACTTTACCTCTGTGTTCTTCCTCCCAAAACTTCCAAACACAGTCCTAATCATGAGAAAAATAAAATCATACAAATTTCAAAAAAGGGACATTTAAAAAAACCTGACCAGGATTCCTTCAAACAGTCAGGATCACAGCCACCAGAAGCCTAAGGATTCATGCCTACTAAATATAACGCATTCCCCTCAGTAGGACTCTGGGACAGAAAAAGGACATTAAGAAAAAACTTAACACAGTATATACTTAGTTAATAATAAAATGTATCAATATTGATTCATTCATTGTAACACATTTACCCACAGTTAAGTAAGAGGTTAGTAATGGGAAAAATGTTGTACCTACATAATTTTCCTACAAATTAAAAATTGTACTAAAATTATAAGTTTATTTTTAAAAAGTGTGAGTCATGTTAAAAAACTCAGGGTGTTAATCTAACAGATTCCCCAATGCCCAAAACTGCAACAATTTGAGCAATAAGATAAATAATATTATTATAATGCATTAAGATAACATATCCCTATAAATATAAATAATTAGTGGAAAAACATATATGGGAGAAGAGATAGCTTTTTTACAGAAGAATTCAAACTAATAAATGCAGAAAGAATGCAAGAAATTGGAAAATCTTGACAATGCAACAATTATTACTGTGCTTTTAAAATAGCACAGTAATAATTGTTGCATTGTCAAGGTTTGATAATGGATGCTAAAATTAGTGGATAAACACCGAAGAGAAACTAAGATATTTGTGTAATCTTTTAGTACCTCCACAAAGATATTTACTAGTTGCTAAAGGAAAATGTTTATGGTGGGAAACTTTAGCAAACACCACCTTCTACAAATGATTTAGTTTAACATAAATAACAAGACATAGCGACATTATATGTGCTGTCAGATATGATGAAATTAGAGAATCCTTACTTTTGTGACATTCATGCCAAAAATAATAATCTCAATCAAATACTAAGAAAGCATCAAACAAACCCGAACTGAAAGACTTAAAATACTTGGCCAGTCCTATTCAATCAAAAAGTGGGCAAAGGACATGAACAGACACTCTTCAAAAGAAGATATTTACGTGGCCAACAAACATGAAAAAAAGCTCAACATCACTGATCATTAGAGAAATGCAAATCAAAACGACAATGAGACACCATCTCATACCAGTCAGCATGGCAATTATTAAAAAGTCAAGAAACAAAAGATGCTGGCGAGGCTGTGGAGAAATAGAAATGATTTTACACTGTTGGTGGGAATGTAAATAAGTTCAACCATTGCGGAAGACAGTGTGGTGATTCCTCTAGGATCTAGAACCAGAAATATCATTTGACCCAGCAATCCCATTACTGGGTATATATCCAAAGGATTATAAATCATTCTATTATAAAGATACATGCACACATATGTTTATTGCAGCACTATTCACAATAGCAAAGACATGGAATCAACCCAAATGCCCATCAGTGATAGACTGGATAAAGAAAATATGGTACATATACACCGTGGAATACTATGCAGCCACAAAATGGAATGAGATCATGTCTTCTGCAGGGACATGAATGAAGCTGGAAGCCATCATCCTCAGAAAACTAACACAGGAACAGAAAACCAAACACCGCACGTTCTCACTCATAAATGGAAGCTGAATAATGAAAACACATGGACACAAGGAGGGGAACAACAAACACTGGGGCCTGTCGTGGGGGCAGGGCAGGGGAAGGGAGAGCATAGGGGCAAATAGCTAATGCACATGGGGCTTAATACCTAGGTGATGGGTTGATAGTTGCAGCAAACCACCATGGCACACGTTTACCTATGTAACAAACCTGCACATTCTGCACATATATCCCGGACCTTAAAATAAAATAAAATTTAAAAACAAAAAAAAGTGTCAAGACCATCTACTGGGGAATGCAACTATAGACCCTAGTGGGAAAATGACAGCTTTCCTCCTAGAACACTAATCCATCAGAGCCATGTTCACAGACCTGCATTCTAACTGTTGGGTGAGCTCAGAATATGTGTCATTGGTTAAAGGTAAATGCTACATCCTCAAGGATAGTGCACCCTGACAGGTGCACTCAACATTGGCTTCTTAGCTGAATATTAAGTAATCTATTTCAGTGTTCTATTTCATTGCATCAGGGTAATTCATTAACTAGGAAGATCAGTGGGGTTCACAAAATTGTCTCGAACAAATCCCTTGTGAAATATCTTGCAATAAATTGATCATTCGGTAAGATCACTTGGGTAGTGATGAGAAAAGTGGCATTGCAGTAAGGAAAGACAAATCCACATCCAGCATAGGTATTAATTCCAGTAAAGACTATCCACTCCTCCAGAGTAGAAAGGTGTGATGTCATCATACAACCAAGTGGCTGACTTGTCTTAAAAGATGTCACCATAGCAAGATCGCATCTCTAGTCTTGCTCCTGATGATTGAATAAGCAGCATCATGAAGAGTAATGTTAGCCTTGCTGATAAGGAAATGTTGAGTCCATTTGTAACTTTCACCTCTGACTCTTTTCATATATCTATTTTGCGTGTGCTATGGTATAGATATCCCAAAAATAGTTTTGTGTACATTTTTACATTCCTTACAAACTTGTTATCAAAAATATTAATATTGTTTATTAATTATCTTAATATAAAAATCTCTCAAAAAATTATTTGGATGGTTTAACATCAGAAATGTATTAATATAAGGAATATTTCTTGATGTTTAGAAATTTTTCTTGGGGGGCAACATGTGCGGTGGCTCACACCTGAAATCCCAGTGCTTTTGGAGGCCATGAAGGGAGGATCACTTGAGGCCGGGAGTTTGAGACAAGCCGGGGCAATATAGAGAGTCCATCTCTATGATAAATATTTGTTTTTAACTGACTTTTATAGATAATAAAAAAGACGTGATACATTATATTACACTGATTCATTTCGGAGAGCTCAGAGCTGAATTTAGTAAGCAAATATAGTACCCAAATCACTTAGGGTTTCTACGTCATCCTCCAATATATTACAAGACTGTGGTCACTCACCAACCTTTTTAAATTTCATATATAGAAGAACAGTGTTATATAGAATAAGCAGCATTGGACTGAGTGGGAATAATGAAACCCGAGAAAAGCTTTACTATGCGATAATTAGTCCTAAGGTTCTCCTACCTTTGTAAAACCTACAAGAAGAAGATATACATGAGGCTTTTGGGAGAATAAAGTAATATACTTCATGTAAAACATTTGTAAATTAAAAGGAACTATAATAAATTGAGAGTTCTGTCTAAAAGGCATTAGCAACTTTTTTAAAACTATGTGTACTTGTTTGCATAATTACATACAAATTTATGAAAAAAATATACTTGTTCAAACCCAAAATAGTCTAGTTTATAAATTGCCAGTAAAATAATTTTACTTGTCAAATATATATTTCAAAAGGTTAAATAGTTATTAAACAAAAATTGTAATATGAAATTTAAACAAAGCCATACAAATGAAAACAAAAGCCACATTAATCACTCTCAAGTTCCAGTAACAATGTAACATTTTATATACACTATGACTACTATGTCTTTTACAAATTTGCTATTTCTAGTTTACATTGTGATTTATATTTTTTTAATTTATACTTTAATAAGACTATCATAACAGTATGTGATTGGAAATCACTACATTAAATCAATCAATAGGAGAAACAAAACAAAACTAAAAACCCTTAAATGAAATAGTAACTATGATTTTACCGGAAAAAAAAAAAGTTTAAAACTTAGTAACTTCTGATGACAAATATTTCTTCAGAAAGATTGTGGAAGTTTCTGAGGCTAATCTGAAGAATATAAAAGATGTCTGACTTTTTATAAATGTGCTTACAGTACTTTATAAGGGCTTAAAAAATACAAAACATAAAAATTGAAAACTATTAACAAAGGATCAATAAAAACTAGTTTTATTCTGTTTTATGAAAATTAGCACTGAAGCACTGTGTTTTAATATTTTAAACGTAAATGTGGTAATAACTCAGTTTATAAAGTATGATAGGAATTATTGTCCACAAACTAGTCTGAGCTTCTGAACACGATCTTATCAGCATGTTTACAAAAGAACTTCAGTTTTGAAGATAAAGTAATTAATGAAATGAACTATTAGGTTGAAAATTAAATTAATTCCTCAGAAGAAGTATATTTTAACAAATAGGATCTTAAAACTATTAGAGCAATAAATTGCCTCAGATAATTTTAAACAAATTTTAATAATATTTCAATACAAATCAAATCATTCTGGTTACATTTATGTTAAAGGATGCATGACATATGCATGCTTGCATAATTTCCTAATTTGGAAAGCTTTATGTGTTGCAAAGGCACTTGAAAACTAAAAGCCTATACTCATTCATTTGAGAATATTTTATTCTGCCTGATCTCTCTTAATTTCTATATCTCAGTTTACAGAAGCCTCAATCTCCCGAGAAGAGCAAAAGGATTCAAAACTGTTAATAACTAACTCGTCAATATCTACCACTTATGTGAAATAAATCAATAGGGATAATAAATTATTTAATACTTCAATGCATGTCGTTATACAAATATTTATTCATTTTATAAATAATGTTCCATAGTTGACCCAAAACTATCCACAGTGAATATTTTCTCTCTTAATTATGTTTACCTTTGCTATTCTTTTGAATTCATATATAATTAAATTATCTTTGAGGCATCCCAGAGAACTAAACTTGTTAGCAACATTTCTACGAAAATTTGTTTGGTGACGTGTGATTTAAGTGGCATGGGAATTTTATTCAATTGGATCTAAATATGAGCAAATGGCTCTAAAAAAATCCCTTTATCTGAATTATAATATTATTTGGAAAGCTAGTTAATTTTTATATTTAATTAAAACACTCACATGGCATTTGATTAATAGTTCAGGACATACCTTGAAATATACTACATAAAATAATTGATCAATATCAATAAATTGCTTGGTTGGGAAGGATGCTTCTCTGTTAAATTCTAAAGAAATAAGTTACTACTGAAACACTCTACTCTGTGAAACCTTCATCATATGGTTGCCTTAGGGCATCTAAATCTAAGTTGCATGAGAGCAGGAACTTGTCTGTCATGTTCTTTGATATATTCCAATTACTTGGAAAAGTGGCTGTAAGGAAATAAATAAATCTCTTCCTCAGAAGACATTCAGTGTACAGGCCATCCATGTCTTCCAACCCCGGGTGTCACACAAGGTCATAAACTTGATTCTGATCATATTTCTTGAGTCTGTACCAATAAATTTGATCATTGAAGTAAACGTTAAAAAACGGAATTTCAAAATGTAAAGAATATTTAATGTTTGCACATTTCTTTAAAGGAAATGTGATCACTAAAAAAGTTGTAGAATAACAAAATGTCTAAATTTTGAATAAACAAAATCACAATTAAAAATATGGGTGTGTGTGTGAGTGTGTGTGTATGTGTGTATTTAAAGAAAGCAGTTGGGTTGTTTGATGAAAGTATACACTTTGAAAGAACAAAGTATGATGGAAACACTAGAAATAAGACAAAATCAAAATATCAAAATTATTTTTCAGAATTATTAAGTTTAGTATATGAAACACCAGGAACTAAGCACAACATTTTTTCTGAGTTCTGCTTGAAACATAAAAGAAAATTAAGAAATGGATAAGTCTAGTGGATAATCTGTATGTTAAGAGATGGCAGAGAAGGAAAAAGTGTGCTTTTCTATTTAGTTTCTATATTTTTCTAATTATGAAGATAATCTTCAACCTGAAAGAATAAAACAATAGTTTTGGAAGTACAACTCACGGTTAAGGAGGAGTTGGTAAGAGTTCACCACAAGTCTTCAAATAAATCAGGTCTCTAGCTGAGATGAGTTAGATTGAGGTGCAAATTTTGCAAAAGTGACTTCAGGTCTAGATACCACTAGTATTTGAAGAATCATGGAAATGAGAGCTTTGACAGAAGATTTAAGATAGGCAAATACCATGCTTTTTCAAAGAAAAAAATTGTAAAGGCCAGGTATAATTGCTAAGATTTATATCAGTCACATATTTATATTGTTTTAATTTGTATTAAATTATTTAGATAGTTTGTAAGGTTAACTAGTGAATAAAGTATAACTAGATTCTAAATATCATTCATTCAAGCTATAAAGAAAATTACTTCTTTTTCTTTAGGGTTTTTGAATAAAAAAAATGTAGACATTTTGTATAAACATACTATATTAAATTTGCTGGTAAGGTTTTCCCTAAAAATAAATAGCTATTATGAATATTTGAGGGTTGGTAGTCATAGATTTATTAAAAAGACGTTACCTAATGACAATAAAAAAACTGAAATCAAGGGCTCTGTATTTGGCCCTATCTTAATCTATAGTTTAATCAAGTACTTAGATCAAGATAGAAAATGCAAGTATATCACAATATTAAATTTGAAATAATAGCTAATATGTTGAATGATGGAATCAATGGCAGCAAGGTTGAAAATGACTGCTAGACTAGACTTTAGCTCAATGAGTAGAGACATGTTTATCTTTGTATAAGTCTCTTTTTAAAGATTAGACAAAAATCTATTTAACAAGGAAAGGGATAATATATGTCTATTATCTTCACATGGATGAAGAACTATCTTGTAATTATTACTTAGGGATCAAAATAGCCTATTTATAAAATGATAAAGTTAACGATTTTATTAATAGTAAGGTTCACAGGACAAAGGTAACATTTCCGCAGTTATTTTTTATTTTATTTTTATTTTTTTAAGACGGAGTTTCACTCTTGTTGCCCAGGCTGGAGTGCAATGGCACGATCTCGGCTCACTGCAGCCTCTGCCTCCTGAGTTCAAGCAATTCTCCTGCTTCAGCCTCCTGAGTAGCTGGGATTACAGGCACCTGCCACCACACCCGGCCAATTTTTTGTATTTTTAATAGAGACAGGAGTTTCATCATTTTGGCCAGGCTGTTCTTGAACTCCAGACCTCAGGTGATCCACCCACCTTGGCTTCCCAAAGTGCTGGGATTACAGGCGTGAGTGACCGTGCCCAGCCCAGCAGTTCTTAATGCAATTCAACATAGAGTCAAAGTATGGCATTCAGTTGGAAGCATTTATTGTAAAGGAAAATAACATACTGAGAAGATTGAAAAACTGTTGAGTAACAAGAAGGCAAGTAACAACAGAAAATATTAAACAGAAAGAAATACACGGCCAACAAGTATATTAAAAAGTGCTCAACATCACTAATCATTAGAGAAATACAAATCAAAACTATGATGAGATACCATGTTACATCAGTCAAAATGGCTATTATTAAAAAGTCAAAACATAACAGATGCAGATGAGGTTGTGAAGAAAAGGGAATGCTTATACACTGCTGATGGGAGTGTAAATTAATTCAGCCATTGTGGAAAGCAGTTGGGTGGTTTCTCAAAGAGCTCACAACTACTATTCGACCCAGTAATCCCATTATTAGGTATATACCCAAAGGAATATAAATCATTCTACAATAAAGATACATGCATGCCTATGTTCATTGCAGCACTATTCACAATAACAAAGACATGGAATCAACTTAAATGCCCATCAACAGTGGACTGGATAAAGAAAATGTGGTACATATACACCATGGAATACTATGCAGCCAGAAAAAGGAAAAAGATCACATTCTTTGCAGCAATATGGATGGAGCTGGAGGCCACTGACCCAAGTAAACTAACACAGGAACAGAAACCCAAACACTGCATGTTCTCACTTGTAAGTAGGAGCTAAACATTGAGTACGTGTGGATATAAACAAGGAAGCAACAGACACCAGGGCCTACTTGAGGGTTGAGGTGGGAAGGAGGCTGAGGATCAGAAAACTACCTATCGGGTCCCATGCTTATCACCTGTGCAACAAAATTATCTGTGCACCCAACACCCATGATACACAATTTACCTTATAACAAACCTGCACATGTACCCCTGAACCTAAAATTTATTTAAAAAAGAAAAACAAATGAACTTGAAATATCTAGTCCAGAGAATCAGAGATATCTGGTGAAGTATGTATGAGTTCAAACAAGGGAAATCTAGATTTACATTTTAAAAATTGGAAATCCTTTCTTATCTTGTAATACATGCCCATCTAGAGGAAGAGTAGGGATAAATATGCAAGTAGCAGAAAAAGGCAGAATGAATTATAAGTCATAAAGAAGAAAATTGCTGCAAAGTGAGTGGAAAGAACATGAAGTTGTGATAGTGATTCTGGTTGATAAATACAAATCATGAAGTATAGAAATTAAGTTAAATGGTTATTAGTAAATATGAATAAGTTACGTTATGAATAATCTTCTAGATAAAAAAACAAGCACAGAGAAAACAGAGATGGGAAAGTAAGAAGCTTGCTTAGGATACAGAAAATGGTTCAAATTGATTACAGTTTTGCTAACAAAAGGTAATAATCAAAAACGTCTACTTTATTTTATTTAGAGAGGTGATATGATTTAACCTATGCTTCATAAAACATAATCTGGCAGTAGTGTTCAAGACAAAATAAGAGCCTATTCCAATGAGAGTGTGCGGCAAGACAATAGTACTAGGAATGGTGGTAGTGGCATAAGGGTAGTCAAAGACATCACAAGGTACAGTTAACAGAACTCAGCAACTAAATGACTAAAAATGAAGGCAGTTCAATAATGTACTATCATATTCAAAAAGAGGACAGAGGCTGGGCGCGGTGGCTCACGCCTATAATCCTAGAACTTTGGGAGGCCGAGGTGGGCAGATCACGAGGTCAGGAGATCGAGACCATCCTGGCTAACACGATGAAACCCCGTCTCTACTAAAAATACAAAAAATTAACCGGGCATGGTGGCGGGCGCCTGTAGTCCCAGCTACACGGGAGGCTGAGGCAGGAGAATGGCCTGAACCCAGGAGGCGGAGCTTGCAATGAGCGGAGATCGAGCAGCCTGGGGCGACAGAGCGAGACTCCATCTCAAAAAAAAAAAAAAAAAAAAAAAAAAAAGAGGACAGAGGGTCAATGATGCTGAATGGAGAAAGAGTGGTATCATTAATAGAAATAGGGTAGAGGAAAGGGCCAAGAGGTGAAACAGGAAGCATAATAACACTTCGGCACACACCAAATCTGCAGAACCTCTCACATATTAGAGAAGTATCTGTATATCCCAAGGAATATTTCAATTCACACCGACTACTGTCACCACTTAGTTTACTTCATGTAGCTATGGTTCACTTCATACAATATGCATTTTTCTAAATCAACATATGTACATTTTTAAAAATTACATGTTAATAAGCCTTAGGAAAATTTTCCAAATCTTTATTTTAGTGTCATTACCTTTCATTGTATTTTATTTTTAATTTTTTTTTTTTTTTTTTTTTTTTTTTTTTTTTTTTTTTTTGAGAGGAGTCTCGCTCTGTCGCCCAGGCTGGAGTGCAGTGGCGCGATCTCGGCTCACTGCAAGCTCCGCCTCCCGGGTTCACGCCATTCTCCAGCCTCAGCCTCCTGAGTAGCTGGGACTACAGGCGCCGGCTACCGCGCCTGGCTAATTTTTTGTATTTTTAGTAGAGACGGGGTTTCACCGTGTTAGCCAGGATGGTCTGGATCTCCTGACCTCGTGATCCCCCCGCCTCGGCCTCCCAAAGTGCTGGGATTACAGGCGTGAGCCACCGTGCCTGGCCTTTAATTTGTTTTTATAGGTTTAGGGGATACAAGTGCAGTTTTGATACATGGATATTTCCTGTAGGGGTAAAGTCTGGGTTTTTAGTGTATCCATCATCCAAATAGTATACATTGTACCAACTCAGTAATTTCTCATTCCTCACCCCTCTCCCAACCTCCTACCTTTTCAAGACTCCATTGTTTATTATTCCAGTCTCCATGTTGATATGTACCCATTATTTAGTTTCCGCCTATAAGTGCTAACATGCAGTATTTGATATTATATATATCATATTATATTATATGTTATGTCATACTATATATAATGTTATAGATAATATATATAGTTTTATATAATGTTATATATTATATTACATATAACATTATATATATAATATTATATATAACGTTATATATAATAATATGTTTTATATATATAACATTTTATTTATTCAATCATCTGTTGATGGACACTTAGGTTGATTTCATATGTTTGTTACTGCAAATAGTGCTGCAATAAACATATGCGTAAAAGTATGTTTTTGATATAATGATTTCTTTCGGGTAGACACCCAGTAGTGGGATTGCTGCATTGAACTGTAGTTCTACATTTAGCTCCTTTAGAAATCTCCATGCTGTTTTCCATATATTTTATACTAATTTATGTTCCCAGCAGTGTGTAAGTGTACCCTTTCTGCCACATTTTTGCCAACCTGTATTATTTTTAGCTTTTTAATAATAGCTATTATAACTGGTCTAAGATGTTATATTATTGTGGTTTTATTTTGCATTTCTCTAGTGATAAGTGATGGTGAGCATTTTTCAAATGCTTGTTGGCCATTTGTATGTCTTCTTTTGGAAACTGTGCCTTCATATCCCTTGCCCACTTTTAAATGGGATTATTTGTTTTTCTCTTGTTGAGTTGTTTGAGGTCCTTGTAGATTCTGGATATCAGTCCTTTGTCAGATGCATATTTTAGAAATATTTTCTTCCATTCTGTAGGTTGTCTGTTCACTCCGTTGATTATTTCTTTTGCCGTGCAGAAGATTTTTAGTTTGAGTCCCATTTGTCCATTTTTGGTGTTGGGGGTTGTTTTGTTTTGTTTTTGAGATGGAGTCTCACTCTGTTGCCCAGACTGGAGTGCAGTGACAAGATCTTGGCTCACTGCAAACTCCACCTCCCTGGTTCAAGCGATTCTCCTGCCTCAGCCTCCCGAGTAGCTGGGATTATAGGCACAGGCCACCATGCCTGGCTAATTTTGTATTTTTTTAGTAGAGACAGAGTTTTGCCATGTTGGCCAGGCTGGTCTTAATATCCTGACCTCAAGTGATCTGCCTGCTTCAGCCTCCCAGAGTGTTGGGATTATAGGCATGAGCCACCACGCCAGGCCTGAGTTGTTCATTTTTTTTATTGTTGCATTTGCATTTGAAGTTTTAGTTATTGATATTTTGTCTAGGCCAATATAAAGAAGAGTTTTTCCTATAAAGAATTTTTATAGTTTTTTCTATGAAACATTTTGTAATTTCAGGTCTTAATTTGTCTTTAACCCATCTTGAGTTAATTTTGTATATGGTAGGCGATATTGGCCCAGTTTCATTCTTCTGGATATGGCTGTCCAATTCTTAGAGCGCCATTTATAGAATAGTTTGTCCTTTCCAAAGTGTATGTTTTTGTCAACTTTTTCAAAGGTCAATTGGCTGTAGGTATGTGGCTTTATTTCTGGATTCTCTATTCTGTTTCATTGATCTGTATGTGTATTTTTATACCAGTGAGATACTGCTTTGCTTACCATTGCCTTGTAATATCATTTGAAGTCTGATAATGTAGCGCTTCCAGCTTTGTTCCTTTTTCTTAGTATTGCTTTGGTTATTTGGACTTTTTTGGCTTCATATTAATGTTGGGATTGTTTTTGCTAATTCTGTGAAAATTGACATTGGTATTTTGATAGGATTTGCATTACTTGTCTAGATTGCTTTGGACAGTATGTTCATTTTAATGATATTGTTTCTTTCAATCCATGAGCATGGGATGTTTTTTCATTTGTTTGTGTCATCTATAATTTGTTTCATCAGTGTTTTATAGTTTTCCTTGTAGAAATCTTTCACCTCCTTGATTAAATGTATTTCTGGGTATTTTATTTTGTGTAGTAATGATAAATAGTGGTTACTTCTTGATTTGGTTCTCAGCTTGATTATTATTGGTCTATAAAAATGCTACTGATTTTGTACATGTATTTTGTATTCTGAAACATTGCTGAATTCATTAACCAAATTTAGGAGTCTTTTGGAGAAGTCTTCCAGATTTTGTAGGTATAAGTTCATATTATCAGCAAATAGAAATAATTTGACTTCCTCATTTCCAATGTGGCTGTATTTTCTTCTTTTAATCTTGCCAATTGCTCTGGCTAAGATTTCCAATACTATGTTACATAGGACTGATGAGAGAGGGCATCCTTGTCTTGTTCCAGTTCTTAGGGGAAATGCTTTTAGCTTTTCCCTCTTCAGTATGACATTAGCTGTGAGTTTCTTACTTATGTCTCTTCTTATTTTGAGGTATGCTTTTTCTATGCCTAATTTGATGAGAGTTTTTATCACGAAGGGGTGCTGAATGGCAGTAAATGCCTTTTCTGCATGTATTGAGATGATTATATTTTTCTTTTAATTTTAATTCTGACACCAAGTCAGATCCAGAACTGGGTAGGGTCCAGGAGACTCCCTGAGGCCTGGATTGCCCAGCTTCTCAGTGGAAATATACACCACAGAGAAAGTCTCTCTCCCTTTCCACACGCTGAAGACTGACAGTTTTTTGGCAGGGCCGCAGCCTGGGCTGTTGCCCACAGCTCCTTTAAAAGTATGTAAAGTTTCTGGCCGGGCGCGGTGGCTCACGCCTGTAATCCCAGCACTTTGGGAGGCCAAAGCAGGTGGATCACGAGGTCACATTTTTTTTTTAATCAAGCTCCTGTGTTCCTTCTTGGATAAAAATTCACAGTATGAATCTCTACACACTATTTTGCTCTTTCTAAGTGGGTGAGGCATGAAAACAAAGCCTTCAATCTGCCATCTAGGGGGAAAAAACTAAAAAAATTTGATGTATAACATACATACATAAAAAGAGTATAAATTCATGCATATATAGTTTGATGAATTTATAATAAATAAACCAATATGTGTAACCAGCACCAAGATCCAGAAATCAAATATCTTCATCACCACAGAAGACTCCCTTGAACTGGTTTAAAAACTCCTCTCCTGAGGTGATAATTGGTCTATCCTAATTTCTAACAGCCGGCTTTTGCATGTTATATAAATGAACTAATACAGTATTTACTCTTTAATGTCTTTCTCCTGCTCAGATTTATAATATTTATTTATATCTTTTGTATAGTTGAAGCATCTTTATTTTTATTACATATAATAGTTTACTTTCTGAGTATACCACAATTTATGTATCCAATCAACTCTTGATGGACATTTGATAGACATTTGGAAAGCTTCTAGATTTTGTGTTACTAATTATGCTGCTATTAATATTCTTATACACTTAGTGAGTGGTGTGTGTGTGTGTGTGTACACAATGCATATCTACTGAGTATGTACTTTATAACTAGAGGAGGAGTTACTCGGTCAAAATTATGCATATGTTTGGTTTTAGCAGATAGTGGCAGCTTTCCAAAGTGGTTGTACCATTTATATTCCCACTAACATTATTAGAGAGTTCTGGTTGCTCCATAGTCTCACCAACGCTTGAAATTGTCAGAGGCTAGTATTTTAGCTATTTCTGGTGGTGATTTTAATTTATGTATCCTTGATGACAAATAAATGTGAGTATTTTATTCAGAATTGGCATTTCTGAGAAAAAAATTAAAAAAACAAAAAAATAGGCATTTTAAATATATTTACTGAACAGTTACATATTCCATTTTATAAAGTGTCCTATATAAATCATTGGCCTATTTTTCTACAGGTATTTCTTTTTATCTAAGATTTGTGTTACTTCTCTATATATTCTGAGTATGAGTCTGTTACCAGATATATGTATTGCAAATATCTTCCCCCATTCTGTGGTTTTCATTTCATTTACTTTCTTGTGTCTTTTGAACAGACATTCTTCACAATAATGTAAGTCAATTAAAACAGTTTTCTTTCCTTATGGTTTGCATTGTTTTATATTCTGTTAAAAAGTATACTCCAGGTCATGAAATTGTCTTCCCATAATGTCTTCCATGGACTTTATCATTTACCTTTTACATTTAGACCAGCAATTCACGCATAACTTGTTTTCTGAATGGTGTGTGGAAACAGTCAATATTGTTTTTAAAAATGCAAATACCTCAAAAAAAGTCATTTGTGAAAAGAGTATATTTTCTATATTGTGCCGTGGTGTCACCTTTATCAATCATCTGGTGTCTGTATATACGTAGAACTCCTTTTCAAATCTATTTTTTTACTGATCTAT
Organism: Homo sapiens; assembly: GCF_000001405.40. Lineage (NCBI taxonomy): Eukaryota > Metazoa > Chordata > Mammalia > Primates > Hominidae > Homo > Homo sapiens. The sequence continues at coordinate 167,309,743 of NC_000004.12, read as the reverse complement.
TTTTTATCTTTGTGCCAAGACTATGATGTTTAATTATTATTGCTTTGATAGATGGCAATATCAATCTTTCAATTTTATTCTTCAAGAATGCCTTGATGTTTCCTGGACATTTGCATTTTTGTATAAATGTTAGAATTAGCTTATCAATTTACATACACATAAACACACTCACATTCCAACTGATATTCTGATTGAAATTACATTGACTCTATAGAGTTGATATTTTTACAACACTGAGTCTTTCTATTAACATATTATTACATTTCTTAAGATATTATTTAATTTCTTGAAATAAGCAGTAAAATTTAAATTTTTTAAAATAAACTGTCTTATATATTACATTTTGTTAGCTTTATTCCTAGATATTTTCCTGATTTTTAAAATAAACTGCTTGGTACGGTAAATATAAAAAAATTGTCATTCAATTATTTTATAGTATTAGATTTTGTATTTTGTATTTACTCAAGGTAGTGCTCAGTGAACTGCTACTGTAGATTTTTCTTCAGTTTTCATTTCTTGTTTTTAGAAGCTCTTCTTCCTTTGTGGATGTCTTTGGTTCCTTGATATTCTTTTTAGGATTACAAAGGGTTATGAATGCTACTATTCTCGTTATACAGTTGGAGTGCAGAATTCGCTAAATGCCATGCTGTTAGAAAATCTCTTAGGTAAGCAGTTTCTGTCACAGTAGTCACCCTCAGGAGTGACAATGATGAAGTAAACCACCTATATGTGTGTGGCAAGGTCATGATAGATAACCTTTGTGTTTTCTTTCCCCATCAAGCTGTAGCAGCTGTTTGCATAGATAACAGTGACCAGTAGTAATAATACATTCTAGCAAATTCCTTTTTAAATATTAATGCCAGGAAGTAAATAATAACATATAAGTAAAAAATGATGAATGCTATGAGTAATGCAAAAAGTTTCATAGCAATGAATGTTATCTGTTTGATACCTAGCCCTCCCTGAATTATCCATCATGAAAACAAGGAGAATAAACACAGAGTAAGACAACATGGGAGAGTAGAAGAGAGAAAACCAAATAAGGAATCTCAAATGCAGCCTCTCCCTTGCCTCCCAACCATTGTGAACACAGATCTCAATGAACATTTTGGTGAATAAGGCAAGTACATTTAATTAATTTTAGTCAAGCAGGCAAGCACAGCTTTTGTTTTGTTTTGTTTTAGATATTGAGGGCTCGCTTTACAGAAAACAATTGTTCAAGGGATAACTGATTTATAATAATCCCTCAGTGTGCTCATGAAGAATATACAGTGATATAAGTATAGCTAGAAGGATGTGAATTTCTCACTACTATAACAAGGATTGGTTTAAACTGGGAACAGTTACAAGCAAACTGTTTGGGCTTAGGGAAGATCAAATGTTATGGAACAGAATTCACTTATTCATTCTTTGATTTATTTTTTCTTGGTTTCCAATATTAATCCAGTACCTACTCTATGTGAACAGAAAGGGAAAGGACAAAAGGAAAGAAAGACAAAAAGGAAATATGTTTGCTGTCCTCAAGGAATTTCCATTTAGCGGGCATTAAACATTCTGATTTATAAACAGTGAGTTGACATTGAGTACAAATATTATCTTCCTAAAATAAGCTATTGGTTAATAACAGTGACTATATGAGAGCCTGATGTGTCAATTACAGTGGTTAAGATTTGAAAGGATATACTTAGTTGGCATGAAAAAAATCTAAGACCTTTTCAGTGTAACTGAGGATTCACTGAAAGTGCTCATTTCTGATATTCTGGAGACAGTGTTATTGAACATTGGCTTTACAAAATTTTAAGTGGCAAAATGTAATTTCAGAAAACACAGAGTGCCTGGTTAATGGAGGCATGCACCCTTTTTATGCAGTTGTTTAACTGCAAATGATCCAGAGGCTGAGTAAGGCAGATTATGTTCCTAGATCTATTCAGGGTCCTCAGAGAGGCCCATCTATGAAAATATATATTTGCCATTATTTTTGTTAAATATAATTGGGAAGCTAGGGTCTGAAAGAAAATATACAATTGTTTTTTGAGAAAGGATAATATTATAAAATCAGATAGAAAACAGTCTGAATTGTAAACTTTAGGTATTCCTTCTTGTACTTCTGCTTTGAAATGAAGGGGAGAAAAGTATAGTTAAGGGCACATTTATTCCTTTGTGCCCTTTCTACATATTGCTGCTTATCTGTAGCATTACTTCATAAGCTCATGAAGTTGTTGCTTTATGACATGTTATTGAGCTCTTGACCTATACTTTGAGTAACTTTATTTTCTAAGTTATAACCTAGCCAAACTATATATATATATATATATACACATATATATATATCAGAATAATACTGTTAAAATTCAATAAACTGGGAATGATTTTCATATTTCAATTTAAAATATGTAAAGCTAGAAGAAGATAATGCTTCAATCATAGTTCAGAAAGCAAAATCCAACACTTTTCAAGTAATTGCTCTAAAATTCCTCTCAACTGATCAGTTCTTCATAATCAGAAGATTTTTTATTCCTTCTTATTTTCAAGAACATCACATTAAAAATATTTATGAAAATATTTATGAAAACAAGAACAGAAAGTCCAAGAGAGGAAAATGGAAACCAGCAGAAGGCTCTACACGTTACATTTCCACTACAAAACTATAGGCAACTTCTGAAGGAAATAAGAAAAGATAACAAGTATTTACCCTTAACCATGTGCCCTTTATTCTGCTTGACAAATGTTTATTTTGAGCAGCAAGTACACTGAATAATTAGTAATGAAGGCTCATGATATGAAATCCATAACTTAAGATTCAGGACAAAATATATATACCTGAAATCAAACAATTTCTAATTGTAGCATTCACATCAATATATTTGCATTTTAAATGTTATGATCTAGTAAATAAATTCTAGCTGCTAATTGTGAGATGCGTGATAAGAAAAATTGCCACGTTGATGGCCTTTTCTTAAATTAATATGTAAAGCACTTTACTAAACTATGGTTCTCAATTGTTGAAGTAAGTAGACTTTTTTTCCTTTTTCTAAAACATCTCAACCAAGTCAAACTATATATACACACACACACACACACACATATATATGTATACATATATGTATGTATGTATATATGAGTATATATATGTTTTAGAAAACTTTTACAAAAAGAGAAGAGCTTATATAAAAATTTATTTCAACATTTTATAATTTTTAACTGAGTAAAATATATTTTAATATAATCTTTGTCAGTTTACAGTTTAAGATATTCTCTAGAATTTCACTGCATATTTAACATAATAAAACATGCAGGCCATTCATTCCTATATTCATTTTATAATCGATGATGTCATGAAGAATCTATTCTTAAGGAACTGTTGCTTTCCTATTTCTCCATAGATAGTAAACTTCTCTTCCTAGTGGCTTAAAAATCTTTGAATAAGTTGAGCTAATGTTCTGTTAGCTCTTAACCATCGTTTTCTACACCCATAGGCTTTTCTATAACTAGACTTTTAGAGAAGTGACCTACTATTAAGCAGAGGTTCTTTTTGTCTCATTTGTTTTTTTATGAGAACAGAAGGTAAGTGTGAAGCAAAAGCAAGTATTTATTTGGATAAGATGAGTATAAAGTACATTTGATTTTATAGAGAGAAAGAGACAGAGAGAGAGAGAATAAATAAATAAATAAATAAATAAACAAACAAACTGGCTTGATGTAATGTTAACCTCTAAGCCATTAGTAATCTATAACCCATATAAATCATCCTCAATATCCAAACATATATGGAAAAAATCGAGTAAGTCTTTTCATGCCAACATTACTCTTCAGTACACACTTCAGTGATTAATTTTTCATTTTTCTCTTTACACTCTTCTAGCATATAAATACAAAGAACTTAAAAAATAATATTAACCTGACATTATAAATGGTTTTTTGTCTTCTTATTGTTAGGCTTCATAGCTTCATTAACCTTTCTCCCAAACACTGTTATTTATATTAAGTTTATACTTTCATTCTGCAAAAAGAGTAACATAAAACTAAATTTCATAAGAAAATGAGACACAATATCTATTTCAAACAAATATTCCTTTTGTATAAAAAAGCTGGGTAGATGATGTATGTGACATAAAGAGACAGCAAAAGCTTTGCTGGCTGCAGTGGGACAAATGAGAGGAATGATGGTGTTACCAATGGGCATTCACTGGGGTGACGCTGACCTGTGTCAGTCCTCTGCTTTCTTCCATTCAATACAACATATGTTTGATTGAAGGATTTTTCTCAGGTAGGCCTTAACAGTTACTTCATTAATGATCCCAGTTTCAACCAGTGACCCAGAAATGAAACACTACATTTCACAAAACTGCTGGAGAACACTATAAACAAGACTTAAAAAATGTTATGTCCTTGAAAACATGAAATCCAATATACTGGCATATGTCTTTTACTCAAAATAGAATTCAAAAATAAAATGTTCCATGGGCCACAGAAGCCAGGCTAAGTCTGTGTTTAAAAAGAAATACAAATCTCTTCTCTGTAAGTCAAACATCAGAAAATCTGAAATTTGAAGCTACTGTGGTACAAGATCAACCCTACAGTTTCTTTCATATACTAGTTGTACCATTTCAATATTATTTATAACTCTGAGGAGACTACACAAGTTATTTCACGATTTTTGGGAAGTATTGATTTCAGAAGAGAATGGAGATTTTTTTCACATACAGAAAGACCATTAAACCTATTTTGGCACTAACTGATAGCCTAAATGCTCATCTTTAATTCAAACAATAATTATGCTGACCCAATTCTTAAGAAAAAACCTTGCTTAGGAATTTATATGTTTAAATAAAATATTAAGGCTTCTTTGATTCTCACAAAATGAAGTGCAAATGTAAGTCTAACAGATAATCAGTTTAAATACAGTATATATGAAAACTGAATTTCATATCAACCTGCATAGACATTTTCTTGACTATTTATATATAAAACGATTTTAGATCATGATAAGGTTATACTTATTTAACCCAAACATCATAAAGATCTCTCTCTCTCTCTCTCTCTCTCTCTACCTACCTACCTACCTACCTACTTACCTACCTAACCTACCTAACCTACCTACCTTACTATCTATCCTGATGTAATAGTGCGGATGTAAAAGACTTCATTCTGTGATTGCTGATCATTTAGCACCAGTGACTGCTAAGTAACTTCCACTGAAGTGTTCTCCAAAATGCCCACAACTTTGCATTCACACCAGCAAAACATGTTCTAGTTATACTGCATTCCCACCAGCATTTGGTATTGTCAGATTTTAATTTTAAGCATTCTAAATGGCATATAAAGTAAACTCAGTGGGTTTCATTTTGTATTTCCCTAATGACTAATGATGTTGAGCTTTTTTTGTTGGACTAATTTCTCATGTGCACGTGTTCTTTGATAAACTACCCGTTCAATCTTTTGTCTATTTATTTCTAGTTAGTTACTATTATAATTTACTTTTGATCATTTTTGAGGTATTCAATAAATATGTCTTTTACCAGATAAATGATTTGCGAATATTTTCTTCTATGTTGCGTTTGGCCTCCCTAATCTCTAAACAATGTCTTTCAATATCCAATTTGTCATTTTTTCTTATGATTTTTTTTTGATATTTTATCAAGGTAATACTTAAACTAAGGTAACAATAGTTTTTTAAATATATTTTATTTTATAAATTTTATAGTTTGGGGGTTTAAATTTCAGTCTATAGTGAATTTTGATTTTGATTTTGTATCTGCTGTGTAGTGTTGATTAAGTTTCATGTTTTTGCACATGGATAGCCAGTTGATCCAGCAGCATTTGCAGAAAAAAAAAATAACTACGCTTAATGCATTGAATTGGCTTTGCACCATTGTTTGCAAACAACTAATGACATACATATCTATTCCAGGATCCTCTTTTTATTTCCAATGATCTATATATCTATTCTTTTGCCTATACCACAAGTCACCAGATTTTTTTTTTTTTCAGTAAAGGGCCAAATAGTACATGTTTTAGACTTTCCAAGTCTCATATTTTTCTTTGTATTTTTACTTTCCTAATCTTTAAAAATACTTGTAAAAGGCCAGGCATGGGTGGCTCATGCCTGTAATCCCAGCACTTTGGGAGGCCGAGGCGGGCTGAGCACGAAGTCAGGAGATCGAGACCATCCTGGATAACAGGGTGAAACCCCGTCTCTACCAAAAATACAAAAAAAATTATCCAGGCGTGGTGGCGGGCGCCTGTAGTCCAGCTACTCTACTCGGGAGGCTGAGGCAGGAGAATGGCTTGAACGCGGGAGGCGGAGCTTGCAGTGAGCCAAGATCGCGCCACTGCACTCCAGCCTGGTGGACAGAGGGAGAGTCCATCTCAAAAAAAAAACACCAAAATTTGTGAAAAATAGGCTCACAGTTCATACAAATAGAGACTATGAGCAGAACTTGACCTGTGGGACATATGTTGCATTCTCTTAGCCTATACCACACTGTCTTGATTAGCATAGCTTTTCAAAAATTACTGAAATTAAATAGTGTGAGTTTTTCAATTTTGTTGTCTTATGTCGACTTTTTTGGCTATAATAGTTTTTTTTTGCTTTTCTATATACATTTTAGAATTAGCTGTTAGTTTCTATAAAATTTCCTTAGGAGATTTTGAGATTTTGATTGAATTGCATTAATCTTTAGTTTGGTGAAAATTAAAATCTTAATAATATTGATTTCTTCAATTTGTGACTACAAATTATCTCCGATTTATTAGATTCTCTTGTTTTTCTTCATCAATGGATTGTACAATTTTCAATATACAGATGTTGAATATAGTTATTAGATTTATACCTATTTTATGGATTTGATACTATTATGAATTATAAGGTTTTTTAAAATTCAAATGTCCAGTTGTTCATTGTCAATAAAGAAAAACCACAACGATCTTTTCCTGAATTTTAACATTATATCTTATGAAATTTCTAAACTCACTTAGTTCTAGAAGTTTTATAGTAGTTCTTTTGGACTTTGTATGTAGACAGTGTCATCAGTAAATAAACTAGTTTTATTTCTTCCTTTCATTTTTTTTTCTCTTTTGTGTGGTCTTGCACTGGCTAGGACTTCAAATACAGTATTCTGTAAAAGTGGTGGGAGTGAGGGCTGTTAATATGCTTCTGATCTCAGGAGAGAACTTACTCTGAATTTAATCATTAAGTATAATGTTGATTGTAGTAGTGGTAGTTTCTGCTGCTGTTGCTGATCTTTTACCAGATTGAGGAATTTTTCTCCTTTTTGTATATAGCTGACATTTTATCATGACTATTTGTTGAAGTTTATCAAATATTTTTTCTTCAAGTATTTTTCTTCTTCAGTCTGTTGAATTATATTGATGGATCTTCAACTGCTGAACCAGGTTGGAATAAATACCACCCAGAAAATGGCTGTCTAGAGATGTCAGATGCCAGTTCTCAGAAAGAAGAACCAAAGTTGGTTCTTGCACATAGTTATTCATAACTCGAACAGAGCATGAAGGGGAAAGTGCTGGAGCCTAGCAGAGCCTCATGGGATGAACCTGGGGCATAGTAAAAGCACAAGCAAGAGGATCTGGTTAGGATCCCCGAGGAACTTGTCATCTGGCAGAAAGGGCAGGTGAGAGTGCTTCGTCTCTCCTCGCCCCTGCAGCTGACCTCAGGTATCCAAACTGTTGGAAAGCTCCTCTTCCCTCATGAACCCAAACAGTGGTGTGGGTAGCAATTTTGGAACTTCTTAAGAACATTACACCAGACCACCAACTCCCACAGAATCTCTGGCCCTTCCTCCCGACCCAAGAGGCAGTGGCAGGTGCCAAACTGGGGGCACAGCCATTGCGGGGACTGCGTCCTGCACAGAGAATCTGAGCCCTTGTGTCTCTACATCACCAGAGCCCCTGCAGACATTCCCTAGCCTCTGCCACACAGGGCTGGGGGATCCGGAGAACTGAGGGGTATCCAGTGGTCTAGGTCTCCTCTTGGGACTACTGCTCCTAAGAGAAGGGAGAATGCAGAGCACCAAGGAAACACCACTTGGGACAAAGAACACAGGGTCTCCAGGGAGGGGAGTAAGACAGCTTCATGTCTCCAAGTCTTTCCCAAGTTCCTTATCATCACAGAGACACTATCTCTAGCTTTCAAGTGTATCAAGCAAAGATCCTTGCAGTAACCTTGTCTCCCAAGGCTTAGACTCTTCAAAAATACCAAGAAATCCATGGCAAATTGTCTCTCAACAATTTCGATCGTTTTTGTTTTTATTTTCTTTAGATGGAAGACAAAATCGTAAGCATTCTATGTCCTAATTTAAGCAACTAATTGTGTACTGTTCTCTTGTCTTGCTTTACGTATCTGTTTCCATTTTTTTAATGTCCTTTCCATTAAAATATTTTCTTATTTCCCTTATGATTTTCTCTTGGATGCAACTATGAGTAACGTATTGTTTAAATTTCTAATTATTTTAGAATTTTCCATATTTTCTGTTATTAATTTTTGACACTTGATTGCATTATAATTAAGAAATATACATTATATAATTTCAGTTCTTTAAATTTGTAAAGTTTTTTTCTGGCCTCACATATCCTCTATGTTGGTGATTACTTTCATATGCATTTAAAAGAAAGTACATTCTCTTGAGTATTCCATAAATGCATATGAGTGTTCCATAAATGTCAATTAGGTCAAGTTGGTTGATAGTGTTGTTCAAGTCTTCTTATAGTTATTAGTTTTCTGTTTATTTTTTCAATCAGTTCTTGAGAAAGATTGTTGAAGTCTCCAACTGTATCGTGATGTATCCATTGTCCTATCATCCTTAACTGATTTTGCTTCACATTTTGAAGTTTTAAACATTATGTAATATCTCTACCCTTAACAATTTTTTATTAGGTAATATCTCTGCTCTTGGAAATTGTTAAATCTGCTTTGACTGATATTAGTATTCCATTCCAGTAAAATTTATCTGCATAATTGGATTACTATTTACAGCTTTTTTCTTATTTTTAAGCAGCTGTCCTGATTTTACAATATACTTCTTCAGTTATAACCGACTACCTTCAATACTATTATGCTGTTATATGTGTAGTGTTAGTAACTTACAAAAATGGAGCCCCAATACCTCTCTTCCATTTCTGTGCTGTTATTTTTATGAAATTCATTGCTGCTGTTTTCCTTTAGACAGCCAGTTCTCTTTTAAACTATTTACATGAAGAAAAATGACTTTATCTGTGTTTATTCAAATCCATGTTCTCTTTTGTGTATGCACAGATCTATGTCTCTGCCTAGTGACAAATTTGTTCTATCTGTGGAATTTTCGTTACTATTTCTTCTGGTGAAAACCTACTAGCAAAGAATTCTCCCAGTCTGTCTAAAAGATATCTTCACTTTTTCTTTATTGTCAAAAAAATATTTTCACTGACTATATGATTTAGAGATGACTTAAATTTTAATTTTATCAGGTTGATGAGGGCAGTCTATTTTCTTGTATACATACTTTCTGACAAGAAGTATCCTGTAACTCTTGTTCCTTATATGTTGCGTTTTTCCCTCCTCTGGCTGCTTTCAAGAGTTTCTCTTTATCTCTTTATCTTTGCTTTCAGCATTTTGACTATAATATGTCCAGTTTTTTGTTGTGTTTCGTTTCTCTAGTTTATCCTGCTTTGTTTTCTCTGCACTTGTCAGAACGTCCGTATAATGATTGTCATTAGTTTTGAAAATTAGTCATTTGTTTGTTTGTTTCGAGATGGAGTCTCACTCCATCTCCCAGCCTGGAGTGCAGTGGCACAATTTCTGCTTACTGCAACCTCCGCCCACGGAGTTCAAGCAATTCTCCTGTCTCAGCCTCCCGAGTACCTGGGATTACAGGAGTGCACCACCACACCCAGCTAATTTTTTGTATTTTTAACAGAGATGGGATTTCACCATGTTGACCTGGCTGGTCTTGAACTCCTAAGCTCAAGTGATCCACTCCCTCTTGGCCTCCCAAAGTGCTGGGATTATAGGTGTAAACCACCGCACCCGACCTGGTTAGTCCTTTTCTTGTCAAAATATTTCTTTGGTCACTGTCACTCTGTTGTCTCTTTCTTAAATCCCAATAATATGTATGTTAGGCCATTTAATATTTTCCCACAGCTCTTGCATACTTTGTTCCTTTTCTTCCTTCTGTCCTTCCTTCCTTCCTTTTTTCTGTATGTCTTTCAGTTTGGGTGGTCTGCATAGATGTGTCTTCAAAGTTCACTGATTCTTTCCTCAGCTATGCAATAATGAACATATAGAAGGTATTCCTTATCTCTGTTACTATTTTTTTCTTTTTTAGAATTTCTGTTTGCTTCTTATAGTTCTTATCTATCAGCCAAAACGTCCTATTATTCATGCTTGTTGCCCACCTTTATCATTAAAACACTTGAGAGATTAATTATATGGACTGGTTTGCAGATAAGTTTTTTTTTAAAATATCTTCTCTACTTTCAATTTTTGGTCTTCCCTTTGTTGCTGTGCCTCAAAGCTTCTCTTTCTGTCCAGGCTCTAACTTCTTCTCCAGCAGTAGACTACCATTATTTGTTAGCCTAGCGGTGGGAGGAGATGGTGGGGAAAAAAGTATTCTCTGCTTTCTGGGTCCCCAATCCTAGCTATGTGGTGTTTCCCTGGTTTCAGGAGATGGGCCTTCCCAATGATCCTGATATTCCTTCTTCTTTGCTTTCTTTCCAATGTTCTGCACCAAGAATAGTTTCCTTCCCCTTCCCCAGAAGTAGAAGATTTTTGTTTGTTTTACTGTTTTTGATTTTCTTCTCCCAGCAGCAGATCTTCACTTGTGCCCTGAGAGCGAAGTTTTGATCTTCTAATTCCAAAACATTTAAGGTTTTGTTCTATAAGGTAGGAGGATCCGGCTGAAGTTTCTTGCTTTTCCAGAATGGCTGTTGCTCCTGTGGTCCATGTACTATCAGGGACACTTTTTTTATTTGTTTTATCTCTTACCCTGGCTGCAGTCTTTATTTTGAGCACCCAAAGATTTCTATGGGGAAGAGCGTACCAGTGAATATAATAAGTTCTCTTTGTGTCTGCATTTTCCAGGGATTCTGTGTTCTCAGACTCACCTACACTTGGCTTTTAACAATTTGATAAGAATTTTTAGATGACAATGCTATTCTTCTTAATAGCATTTATGGTACCCAACACCTACCCTATGCTATGTTCCTTGGAGGCACTTATCTTTCTTTAGCATATAGACTTGTGAGTTATTCTTCATCCAGGTCTTTCACTGATTCAAAATAGTATTGCTTTTATAAATTATATAGCTTTTTCTTGTGATAAGTGCAGGAGCAATGTGTTTTCCAGTATTTTATTTTCTAAGTCAGATACCTGATACATTTGAAAAGCTTGAATTATATTTGAATTGAATTTTATGTGATTTTCATATAGAAAGCAAGAAATCTTAAAAAGCATCATTTTATATACAATCTTTATTACAAAAATCTAAAGCAATATTTTATATATACACATATTTAAAATTATTATTACTTAATGAGATGGGGTCTCACTATGTTGCCCAGGCTGGTCTTGAATTCCTGGGATCAAACAATTCTCCCACATCAGCCTCCTGAGTAGCTAGGATTATAGGTGTGCAACATTACACCTAACATTTTATATACTATTTATTATATCTATATAATATATTACACATTTTATAATACTTTATATCTATAAATGATTCTAAGAACCAGAGTATATTATTTTACCTGTGTCCCAAAGATTATTTTCATATATGATATCACAAATATTGGTTGCATCCAGATTCTGTTGAGTCTCCAAATGGAATATTACAATTTCTGCAGTGTAGTAAATCACTGCAACAGGTGAGTGGCTGCCAGAATGAATGTTTAAAGGCAACTTTATATCAAATTACTGAGTATATATGCTTTTACTTGTTTCAGGTTTAAAATATAGAGAAGTTAAAACACATAAATAAAGACCCGTATAAGTCAGGATGGCATAAGTGGACTTCAAGTGGTTAAGGTCTTGCATTGTCTAAAACAGCACTGTCCAATACAAAATTATACAAAGATGAAAATGAAATAATCAGATAACGAAATAATCAAAGTGATAGCAAATTTCCATTGAAATATATGTGTGTGTAAATATGTTTGTGTGTTTTAACAAAGATAGATGTTCATTCTTTGAAAAGACTAACCAACATAGTGACCAAGAAAAAAAGGAAGCATAAATAATAATAATAATAATGTATACAGCTAACAAAAAAGTGACATTTATATACATCTTACAGATTAAAAAGATATAAGTAGCTTTATGCTAATGAATTTGATGATTTAGATGAAATAGTCAAAACCTGAGAAAAATTTAAGCTTTGGAGATAAGATAAAATAGAGAATCTGAATAGCCTATACCTATTAAGGAAATTGTATCTGTAATTAAAAACAAAAATTAAATACCTTAACACAAAGAAAAATTCCATGCCATAATGGATTCAGCAATGAATTCTACCTAATAACTAAGGAGGAAATATAACTTTTCCAGGAACTAGCAAAAGAGAGACTTCCTCAGCCTTTTCTCTTGCAAATCATTAAACCTCATTTTAAAAATAGGAGGCCATTAAGAGAAGAGAAAACTGGTTATTCTCATGAACATAAAAGCAAAAATCTGAAATAATATTTGCAAACCAAATCCATTGAGATGAAAATGAATAATATTTTATAATTAAGTTGTATTTAACTCAGGAATGCAGAGTTAACCTTTAAAAAAATCAATTAATGTATTTCCACTAAATAAAACAGAAAAATCATATCATCTCTGTAGCTGCAGTAATAAATAAAAATTAATTAATGATAGGCCGGGCACAGTGGCTCATGCCTGTAATCACAGCATTTTGGGAGGCCGAGGCGGGCGGATCACCTGTGATCTGAGTTTGAGACCAGCCTGACCAACATGGGGAAACCCCATGTATACTAAAAATTGAAAAAATTAGCCAGGCATGGTGTTGCATGCCTGTAAACCCAGCTACTCGGGAGGCTGAGGCAGGAGAATCACTTGAACCCAGGAGGCACAGGTTGCAGTGAGCCGAGATCGTGCCATTGCACTCTAGCCTGGGCAACAAGAGTGAAACTCCATCTCAAAAAATAATTAGAATAATAATTAATGATAAATACCCATATAAAGTAGATATAAGTGAAACAAACTTCCTTAATCTGTTAAAGAGTATCTATAGGCTGGGCATGGTGGCTCAACCCTGTAATCCCAGCACTTTGGGAGGCCAAGGTGGGTGGATCACTTGAGGTCAGGAGTTTGAGACCAGCCTGGTCAACATGGTGAAATCCCATCTCTACTAAAAATACAAAAATTAGCTGGGCATGATGGGATCTCTTTGAGATAATCCCAGCTACTAGGGAGGCTGAGGCAGGAGAATCACTTGAACAGGGAGGTGGAGGCTGCTGTGAGCCCAGATTATGCCATTGCACTCCAGCCTGGGTGACAGAGCAAGACTCCATCTGAAAAAAACAAAACAAAAAAGAAAAAACAACTATCTACAAAATATTTACAGCAAATGATGATAAATAGTGAAATATTGAAAGAAACATCAGAGATTCGGTGGAAGATGTCAATATCCTTTTTTCTTTTAAATGTTGTACTGGTTCTAGCCAGTGAATTAAACAAGCAAATGAAATAAAAGTTACAAAGACTGAAAAGAATTTCTACTAGGGAAAAAAAGCACAAAATCAGGTATGGCCAAGAACTCAAGCAGGCGTATCATAAGATATGCAAATAGTCAATACATATGTAAAAAGGTGGTCTATTTGATCTGACATCAGTGAAATGGAAATTAAAAGTAATGCAAATTAAAAATAAGATACAACACATACTTTCACCAGTGTCTAAATGAATGATGTAACAAATGTAGCTGAGGAAATGGAAAAACTGATCTTTTATATATACAGGTGATAAAAAGTTTAAATTTCTACAGAACTACTGGAATTACCTAATAATGTTGAATATGCATATATCTTACTAACCAGAAAAACTACTTGTATGTTTGTACTCAATATAAATGTGTCTGTGTCTATGTATGTGTGTGTATGTATTGTTGACCTGTTAAGCTTGATTCAATTGAGAAAACAAGGTAAATTTACACATACACATATACACATAAACAGACACAGACACATTTATATTGAGTACACACATACACACACACAAACATAGACATATAATTTGTAATAGCCAATACCTAATAAAAATCTAAATGCCTATCAATAATCCAATGGTGAACAAATAAATTTTTATTTATTTATGCAATTTAATACTAGAGCAATGAAATGAATAATATTACCTTAAACACACCAACATGGATAACTGTCACAATGATAGAGGCAGGAGGCAGCTAAATGCCTAGGCAGATAGGGAAGGGTCTCAGAGAACCCCTGACCCACCCAGATCATTGTTTATAGGGGGCTGACCTAAACATGCCCACGGTGAAAAATTTCATCCCTTAACCCATGCACAATAAGGGAAATAAATCAATGTGGAGTGGCTCAAACGAAGGGCCCGCATGCACACTGGAAGCATGGGGTGGGCCCACCAAGAATTCATGGCTTATGCTAGGAAGGAGGAGCCTGGCCTCTTCAGCTCCTGTGTGGGAGCCCTGGTATTCAATTGTGAGGTGCAAACCTGTTTGCAGGACCCCTCTTTGCTGAGAGCCTTCCATTTGCTTATTAAATTCTGTCCTTCTCACCCTTCAATGTGTCCGCGTGGCTAATTTTTCCAGCTTGTGAGACAAGAACCGGATTTAGCTGAACTAAGGAGCAAAAATCCTGCATCAACAACATATGGCTGGATGAATAAAGACAGACATAAAAGTATAAATATATGTATATTTGCATTTATATAAAGTTTTAGAAGCAAAACTAAACTCTAGTGTTACTCTAGTGTTAGAAACCAGAAATTTTTTGAGGGAGAGTAAGGGAAGAGTTGATGGGTAAAGATAGGAAGGATTCTTCTTATACATTAAAAAATTTAAATTCTTGTGTTAGGTAGTGGTTACACAGATATTCTCTTTGAGATAATTCAATGGGTTTCACATGTATTTATATTTGCCTACTTTCCTTCTATATGTGTTTTATTTCAGTATTTTTAAAGCAAAAAGACAAAACAAAAATGTGAAAACTCTATTATTTTTAGATGGCATAATTTTTTTATAAATTCACATCTCTTTGTATTAGTCAAACTTCTTCAAAGAAACGAAACCAGTTGGATGTGCATATATAGAGAAAGAGATGATTTTAAGAAATCAGCCCACGTAATTATGGTAAATGGGACATCCAAAATTTACAGGTTGGGCCTGCAGGGTGGAGACACAGGGAAGGGCCAATGTTGCAGTTGGAATCCTAAAGACATCCGCTGGCCGAATTCCCTCTTGCTCGGTGTGGGGAATGGGGTGGGAGAAGTTAGTGCTTTGTCCTCTTCCGGCCTTCAACTGACAGGATGAGGCTCATCCACACTGCAGTGGGCAATCTGCTTTATTCACAGTCTGCTTTATTCAAAGTCTACTGATTTCAATGTTAATCTCATCCAAAAACATGCCCACTGAAACACCAAGAATAATGTTTGGCCACATATCTGGGCCACATATCTAGGCACCGTGGCCCAGCCAAGTTAACACAAAATTAATCATTACACTTCTTTTCTGAATCATATTTATATAAAACTTTTCAAATATTAAACAATATAAAATTATTCAACAATATACATATTGATTAAATGCAAGCCAGAAAGTGAAATGCAAAGGACTAAAAGCTATTATTCATTTTTTAAAGCTCAATCCTCTGTCACATTTTCCCCTTATTCCTTATAATAAATTTATACAAACCAATTAAACTTTAGTATTTAGGCATGGCTAACAGACAGCTGTTAAGTAAGTAGACTATAATTTGGGGAAGCGTATATAAAATCAATAGTATTTAAGATCATGTTATCAATTTTAAGTTTCACTTATACATAGAAAAATGTATTCTTAGCCAGTGTATAATAATTGATTAATGGTTTGATAACTATATGTTCTAGAATGTTAAAGCTAGATTGTCCAAATTTCTGTCTACAAAGAATTCATTTTTTATTTAATGATGACTGATCTCTCTAAGAATACATAATATAGAGACTTTTAAAATATATATATAATTCTGTTAGCAAAATGGGTAGACTTAGTAGTAATTTTCCTCCAAGTTGATTAGAATTCTAGGGATTTGCATTTTGGTTCAGTTTAATACATTTGTCAGATGGAATCTTAAATTATATAGTAAGCTCTGAAGGCTAAATTCCTTTATAATGGCATTGTTTCAAGATTTCTCATGCTGATTAATGCAAATCTCTAAATGGATTCTTATTTGGTTAACTGTAAAGCTTGATTCAATTGAGAAAACACTCAAGGTAAATTGTTTGCATCATTTAGGTAGTCACTTTCCCCTCAAAGTTGTACACAGCTCTGTTAGTGTTGTTTTTAAATTATCGTGGTTGTATTTATGATGTCTAAATTGCATGCTTTGAGATTGAATGAATGACATTAGTATTTCATAGATATGTTACTGGTCATTTTGATAGCATGCCCTGTGAAATAACAAAAATGTGGCTTATTCATTAGAGATTTGCAAGTAAATT
The DNA here is from genome assembly GCF_000001405.40 of Homo sapiens. Taxonomy (NCBI): domain Eukaryota; kingdom Metazoa; phylum Chordata; class Mammalia; order Primates; family Hominidae; genus Homo; species Homo sapiens. The sequence continues at coordinate 167,293,080 of NC_000004.12, read as the reverse complement.
CTACAATTTCATTTTTAATGATTGAGTATAGGGACTAGGTGGGTTTGTCTTATTTTGTTTTATGCTAGAAAACTAAAAATAGGAATAATTAATGGCTAATTTAAAAATATATTAAAATTTTCTCTAACACTTAGAAGGTACTCAAAGTCACCCCTTGGTCTATGATTTCCAATGTTGTCTTGCATTCTGTTCCAAACTCTCAGAAACTTTGATCATTAAAAATACACAACAAAAACAAAGTATTCTATTTCCTTACATGTAATCAGATACCTAGTTTTTAAATCTATTTTTATCTCCCTGCCTTCTCTCCCTCCATGTTTCTCTACTTAAGGTAAAGCTGGTTTGTAGACTTTTCTCTGCCAGGGAGAGAAACAAGAAAACAAGTTTAAATATGCCCCATATTGAGCACTGGAATTTGTAAAATAATTTTGTGTAAAGATAAAGGAATATTTTACTGATGAGAATCTTCAGGGGAATCTGCGTAGCATTTTTCAAAATGTAGTCTACAAACACCTGTGGGATAATCACCTGGGTATATTATTTAAATGTAGATTTCTGGACCCCATCCCGAATATCTGAAGGTCAGGGTGGGAGACTGGGATGGAGTACTGAGAGAGTGATAAACCTTGGATTCTACATATTCATTAATAATTTTCCTTTACACAGTTTTTTAAGAAAAATATCTGTTGTAGGATATTTTACACATTGGTAGAAATGTTTTTAAGTAAAAAAGGAATGGTAATATTTGTAAGCCAAGTTCTTCCTATCACAAACTTCCACTGTCAGCCTGATTTCAAATGAAGAATTATGCAAAGGAGCATACAAAATCTAGCAAGGTAAGGCCTTATAGGTTATTAAAATCTAAAATTCTAAGTCTACCTATTTGGACCAGAAAATTCTTTGTTATTGGGAACTATTCTGTGCATTCTAGGATGGTTAGCAACATTTATGGCCTCTACTCAGTAGATGCCAGGAACACGTCCACCTTATTGTGACAATCAAAAATGTCTTCAGAGAATGCCAAATGTCCCAGGGAGTAAAACTGCTCCACCTCTGTTGAGAAACTCAGGTCTAGGGAAATGTTCACAGGAAACGGATTTCTTTTTCTTGTACTTTCATCTACAAGTTCTATTTTTTGATGACTGTGAAATTTGAATAATCTGAAAAATATCTAACATTCATATAGTTGTTTATATTTTCAACTTTTATTACAAGTAGCCTAAAAAAGTTGGTCTACTTTTGACAAATTGGCTTTAACTGGAAAAGCTAATATTCTTTTTTGCCTCCCCGATCTATCAATCACCCTTTTATTCTACCAAACCATTATTTTGTCCTTCAATATTATTTTTTGGCTAACTAAATTGAGAGATTTTTTTTTCATGGTTAGAAATGGAGAGTCAAAAGTTATTTCAAACTAAGCTATTCTATTACATATAAATATTTTTTGTCCTTCCAGAGAAGTATGATACTCTGCAACCTTAATTAGCTACATTGCTAATAAATTATTGACTGAGTGTAAACAGTGGTAAAATTAGCCTAGTAATTTTATATTAAATCCCCAGTCTTCCATTAACTTAATTTCATAATTTCTCATTGGTACCACATTCAGTTAATGGTATATCGAATGTTCTCCAGTGTTTCAGATATGCATGAGCCAAAGCTCCCAAAGTCATGACACTCCCAGTCTCAATATGAGCTTTGCTGTTTCTTGGATCTACACAACTGCCTGCTGGTATCCCTGGGAGTTCCATTGAGGACTCAGAGGAACATATGGCCCTATGTATTGTGTCCTAGGTTCATAATGAAGAATAAGCACAAAACATGTCAGAATTATGCTGCACTGTCAGGAAAATTCCAATCAATGTAAGCTCAGCAGCTTTATTCTCTAGAAACAGTGTTCTGTCTCTAGAGAGCCACCTACGTGGGCATAAAAATGGAAAACAGCAGCAGTATATGCATTCTGTGAGCTGGCGTCCTAGAATGTTTAGTGGTTTTCTTAAAACTGCTTTCTGATAAATCTCCATGAAATAAATTTTTTCTACTTCCAGTAAAATAAATTTAAACTTAAAATAGTTTCATGTGCAAAAATAAAGTGTTGGTTGTATTTTAAGGATGAGAGGAGCCTTTTTTTCTTAATTAAAAATTTTTCCCCAGGATTAGTAGACCTCACTGTTGTATAAGTATTCAGAAATCACAAGGGGGCACTCTTTTACTAAATACACCAGGAAAAATGGTAAGATTTCAGTGTGTGACTTTTTTTAAGTGTTTTTTTTTTTCATAACAGTAGTTCTATTGATATATACAAAATACTATTTTTAATGATAAATTTAGAATATTCCTCACATGTTACTGTGTCCATAAAAAAAAATCTCAATTCACTAACAATTGCAGCACAAAGGTTAAATAATTGAACTCCCTTTAAAATTGTACTACAAAAATAATTTTCTCTTGAGAATGAGAAAATATTTCCATTGAGAATAAAAGTTTTAGAATGTATGGAAATGACATTTTTTTCTGCTTATACTTAGAAATATATTAATGAGTTTTCCATTTGCAATGTTTGTTTGGTCAGCTAGTAAACATTTAACATTCCATGAATTTTACATGATTTAAACATTTTAGCAGGAATGCATAATATATTTTACTTTAAAATGAAATTGTATTGTTCTCTTTATATGGTGCAAATGTTATCTGGAGTGTTTCAGAGATGGTAATGATATTTGAGGATGAACCAGATAGAGTTTTTACCGTTATGACAACATTAGGACTAGAAATATGAGGTAGTAGGAGTAGTAATAAACTAAGTGTTTCACATGAGTATAAAGCCAACATTATGCTAAGTCATAAGATAATCTATTCCTCTTATTAATAATCATAAATAAAAATGAAAAATAGATAATAACTCTTACAATTTTAATTTTAACACGTTTTATGTGAAGAGGCTAAGAGTATTCCAAGATGAACAATAAATGACAAATTTATTGATGTGGTATTACCATTTTAATTTAGGATGATTTCATTAGATTTCAATTGTTTCAAATGAATGATTTAAATGAAAGTTAAGCCAATCAATGAAAGAATTATGAATAATAAATATAATCATGTTTCCAAGGAAGCTACCTATAATATCTAGAGAAGAGCTTAGAGTAGTTAAAAAGTTCTAGGAGAAGTAAAAAGAATCCTTAGTAGTTAGAAAAGGTAGGTGGGGCAAGATGGCTGACAAGAAGGAGCGGCGATCAGAGGCTTCCATCAAAAAGAACCATAATAGCATGTGAATCTTGCCCCAACAACCAAGCTATCCAGGTTTTCTCATCAGAACTGACTAGGCGGCTGGTATGATCCATGGAAAGGAAGGAAGAGCAATGTGGTGCCATGGCCCACCTGAGAGTCACAGAGGGCAGAAGAGCTCCCACCCCCCAGTCAAGGGAGGCACCTTCTTGAGTGACATCTACAGGCGTGGGAGCAAATCAGATGAATAGGGCCTGAAGAGAAAACCCAGCAAACCACAGCAGCTCTACAGAAAAGGGACCTAACCATTGAAAGATAAACAAACATACAGAAAGCAACAACAGCATCAACAACAACAAAAAGAAAAAGTCCCCACAAAAGCCCCATCCAAGGGTCAGCAGCCTCAAAGATCAAAACTAGACAAAGTCATGAAGATGAGAAAGAATCAACAAAAAACATGCTGAAAACCCAAAAGGCCAGAATGCCTCTTCTCCTCCAAATGATAGCAATGACCCTCCAGCAAGGGCACAGAACTGGACAGAGGATGAGATGGACGAATTGACAGAAGTAGGCTTCAGAAGATAGGTAATAAAAAACTCTGCTGAGCTAAAGGAGCATGTTCTAACCCAATGCAAAGAAGCTAAGAACTTTGATAAAAGGTTAGAGCTGCTAACTGGAATAACCAGTTTAGAGAGGAACATAAATGACCTGATGCAGCTGAAAAACACAGCACGAGAACTCTGTGAAGCTTACACAAGTATCTGTAGCTGAATCAACCAAGCGAAAGAAAGGCCATAAGTGTATGCAGACTACCTTGCTGAAATAAGATCCGAAGACAATATTAAAGAAAACATAATGAAAAGGAATGAACAAAGCCTTCAAGAAATATGGATCTATGTAAAAAGACCGAACCTAAGATTGATTGGAGTACCTGAAGGAGACGAGGAGAACAGAAACAAGCTGGAAAGCACACTTCAGAATGCTATCCAGGAGAACTTCCCCAACCTAGCAAGACAGGGGAACATGCAAATTGAAGAAATACAGAGAACATCACTAAGATGCTCCACAAGAAGATCAACCCCAAGACACATATTCATCAAATTCTCCAAGGTTGAAGTGAAGGAAAAAATGCTAAGGGCAGCCAGAGAGAAAAGCCAGGTCACCTACAAAGGGAAGCCCATCAGAGTAACAGCAGACTTCTCAGCAGAAACCCTACAAGCCAGAAGAGATTAGGGGGCCAATATTCAATATTCTTAAAGAAAAGAATTTTCAACTCAGAATTTCATATCCAGCCAAACTAAGCTTCATAAGCAAAGGAGAAATAAAATCCTTTCCAGAGAAGCAAATGCTGAGGGATTTCATCACCACCAGGCCTGCCTTGCAAGAGCTCCTAAAGGAAGCACTAAATATGGAAAGGAAAAACCGGTACCAGCCACTGCAAAAACACACCAAAATATAAAGACCAATGACACTATGAAGAAACTGCGTCAACTATGCACAAAATAACGAGATGGCATCATGATGACAGGATCAGATTCACACATAACAGTATTAATCTTAAATGTAAATGGGCTAAATGTCCCAATGAAAAGACACAGACTGGCAAATTGGATAAAAAGTCAAAAAATCCATCGGTGTGCTCTATTCAGGAGACCCATCTCACATGCAAAGACACACATTGACTCAAAATAAAGGGATGGAGGAAAATTTACCAAGCAAATGGAAAGCAAAAAAAAAAAAAAAAAAAAAAAAAAAAAAAAAAAAAAAAAAGCAGGGGTTGCAAAGCTAGTCTTTGAAAAAAACAGACTTTGAACCACAAAAGACAAAGAAAGGCATTACATAACAGTATAGGGATCAATTCAACAAGAAGAGCTAACTATCCTAAATATATATGCATCCAATATAGGAGCACCCAGATTCATAACACAAGTTCTTAGACACCTACAAAGAGACTTAGACTCCCAGACAATAATAGTGGGAAACTTTAACACCCCATTGTCAATATTAGACAGATCAGTGAAACAGAAAATTAACAAGGATATCCAGGACTTGAACTCAGCTCTGGATCAGGTGGACCTAATAGACATCTACAGAACTCTCCACCAAAAATCAATAGAATATACATTCTTCTAAGCACCACATGGCACTTACTCTAAAATTGACCACATAATTGGAAGTAAAATACTTCTCAGCAAATGCAAAATAACTGAAATTATAACAAACACTCTCAGAACACAGTGCAATCAAATCAGAACCCAAGATTAAGAAACTTACTCAAAACCACACAATTACATGAAAATTGAACATCTGCTCCTGAATGACTCCTGAAAAAATAATGAAATTAAGGCAGAAATCAAGACGTTCTTTGAAACCAATGAGAACAAAAAGACAGTGTACCAGAATATCTGGGACACAGCTAAAGCAGTGTTAAGAGGGAAATGTATAGCACTAATTGCCCACATAAGAAAGCTAGAAATACCTCGAATTGACAACCTAACATCACAATTAAAAGAGCTAGAGAAGCAAGAGCAAACTAATCCAAAAGCTAGCAGAAAGCAAAAATTAAGATCAGAACAAACTTGAAGGCTTTAGAGACCCAAAAAAACCTTCAAAAAAATCAATGAATCCAGGAGCTGTTTTTTTGAAAAAATTAACAAAATAGGCCAGGGGCGGTGGCTCACGCCGGTAATCCCAGCACTTTGGAAAGCCAAGGCGGGCAGATCACAAGGTCAGGAGATCGAGAATATCCTGGCTAACACAGTGAAACCCCGTCTCTACTAAAAATACAAAAAATTAGCTGGATGTGGTGGTGGGTGCCTGTAGTCCCAGCTACTTGAGAGGCTGAGGCAGGAGAATGGCGTGAACCCGGGAGGTGGAGCTTGCAGTGAGCCAAGATCGCGCCACTGCACTCCAGCCTGGGCGACAGAGCAAGCCTCCATCTCAAAATAAATAAATAAAATAAAATAAAATAAATACACCACTAGCAAGTCTAATAAAGAAGAAAAGAGAGAAGATTCAAATAGACACAATAAAAATTGATGAAGGGGATGTCACCATTGACCCCACAGAAATGCAAACTTCCATCAGAGAATATTAAAATTACTTCTATGCAAGTCAACTAGAAAATCTAGAAGAAATGGATAAATTCCTGGACAAATACACCTTCCCAAGACTAAACCAGGAAGAAGTCGAATCCCTGAATAGACCAATAACAAGTTCTGAAATTGAGACATTAATTAATAGCCTATCAACCAAAAAAAGCCCAGGACCAGACAGCTTCACAGCTGAATTCTACCTGAGGTACAAAGAGGAGCTGGTACCATTCCTTCTGAAACTATTTCAAACAATTGAAAATGAGGGACTCCTCCTTAACTCATTTTATGAAGCCAGCATTTTTCTGATACCAAAACCTGTCAGACACAGAACAAAAACAGAACATTTCAGGCCAATATCTCTGATGAATATCGATCCTAAAATCCTCAGTAAAATACTGGCAAACCAAATACAGCAGCACATCAAAAAGCTTATCCACCACAATCAAGTCAGCTTCATCCCTGGCGTGCAAGGCTGGTTCAACATACGCAAAGCAATATAATCCATCACATAAACAGAACCAAAGACAAAAACCACATGATCATCTCAATAGATGCAGAAAAGACCTGTGATAAAATTCAACATTGCTTCAAATTAAAAACTCTCAATAAACTAGGTATTGATGAAATGTAGCTCAAAATAATAAGAGCCATTTATGACAAACCCACAGCCAATATCATATTAAATGGGAAAAAGCTGGAAGCATTCCCTTTGAAACTGGCGTAAGACAAAGATGCCCTCTCTCATCACTCCTATTCAACATAGTATTGGAAGTTCTGGCCAGGGCAATCAGGCATGAGTAAGAAATAAAGTGTATTCAAATTGGAAGAGAGGAAGTCAAATTGCCTCGATTTGCAGATGACATGATTCTATATTTAGAAAACCCCATGATTTTCAGCCCCAAAACTCCTTAAGCTGATAAGCAACTTTAGCAAAACCTCAAGATAGAAAGTCAATGTGCAAAAATCACAAGCATTCCTATACACCAAGAACAGACTAAAGAGAACCAAATCATAAGTGAACTTCCATTCACAGTTGCTACAAAGAGAATAAAATACCTAGGAATACAGCTAACAAGGGATGTGAAGGATCTCTTCAAGGAGAACTACAAACCACTGCTCAAGGAAATAAGAGAGAACACAAACAAATGGAAAAACATTCCATCCTCATGCATAGGAAGAATCAATACTGTGAAAATGGCCATACTGCCCAAAGTAATTTACAGATTCAATGCTATTCCCATCAAACTACCATTCACATTCTTCATAGAATTAGAAAAAAACTACTTTAAATTTTATATGGAATCAAAAAGGACCCCATATAGCCAAGACAATCCTAAGCAAAAAGAACAAAGCTGGGGGCATCATGCTACCTGATTTCAAACTATACTACAAGGCTACAGTAATCAAAACAGCATGGTGCTGGTGCCAAACAGGCATACAGACAAACAGAACAGAGGCCTCAGAAATAACACCACACATCTACAACCATCTGATCTTCAACAAACCTGACAAAAACAAGCAACGGGAAAAGGATCTCCTCTTCAATAAATGGTGCTGGGACAACTGGCTAGCAATATGCAGAAAACAGAAACTGGACCCCTTCCTTACACCTTATACAAAAGTTAACTCAAGATGGATTAAAGACTTAAATGTAAAACCCAAAACCATTAAAACCCAAGAAGAAAACGTAAGCAATACCATTCAGGACATAGGCATGGGCAAAGACTTCATGACAAAAATGTCAAAAGCAATTGCAATGAAAGCCAAAATTGACATATGGGATCTAATGAAACTAAAGAGCTTCCGCACAGCAAAAGAAACTAGCATCAGAGTGAACAGGCAACTTACAGAATAGGAGAAAATGTTTGCAATCTACCCATCTGTCACAGGTCTTATATCCAGAATTTACAAAGAACTTGAACAAATTTGCAAGAAAAAAACAAACAACCCCATCGCAATTGGGTAAAGGATTTAAACAGACACTTCTCAAAAGAAGACATTTATGCGGCCAAAAAACATATGAAAAAAAGCTCAACATCACTGATCATTAGAAAAATGCAAACCAAAACCACAATGAGAAACTACCTCATGCCAGTTAGAACGGCAATTATTAAAACGTCAAGAAACTATAGATGCTGTTGAGGCTGTAGAGAAATAGAAATGCTTTTCCACTGTTGGTGGGAATGTAAATTAGTTCAACCACTGTGGAAGACAGTATGGTGATTCCTGAAGGATCTAGAACCAGAAACACCATTTGTCCCAGCAATCCCATTACTGGGTATACACCCAAAGGATCATAAATCATTCTATTATAAAGACATATGCACACATATGTTTATTGCAGCACTATTCACAATAGCTAAGACATTTAATTAACCCAAATGTCCATCTATGATAGACTGGATAAAAATATATGGTACATATACATCATGGAATACTATGCAGCTATACAAAGGAATGAGATCATGCCCTTTGCAGGGTCATGGATGAAGCTGGAAGCCATCATCCTCAGCAAACCAACACAGGAACAGAAAACCAAGCACCACATGTTCTCACTCATAAGTGGAAGTTAAACAATGAGAACACAAGGACACAGGGAGGGGAACAACACACATCAGGGCATGTTGGGGGGTGGAGAGCCAGGGGCAGGAACTCAGAGGATGGGTCAATAGTGAATACTGGCAGCAAACCACCATGGCACACGTATGTCTATGTAACAAACCTGCACATTGTGCACGTGTATCTCGGGACTTAAAGTAAAAATTTTTTTTTAAAAGTTAGATATACTTCTGGCTCTGCCATTTCATTAGTTGTACAACTATGCGTCTATCTATTAACCCCTGAGGTTCTCATTTTTTTCATTGCAAAATGAGAAAAACTTTATTAACTTTTAAGTCCTTTCTATTTCTAATATCTATGGTTCTAATAATGATCTTTAATAATAGTTATGCCTCATATAATAAGCAATCGTTTGCTCATCCTTCAAGTAATTAAGAATCAGAACAGTTAGTAGAGGAAGACAAACTACTTATTCATGGAGTTCTTAAATGTCAAGTTACATGATGATATGTCCTAAGATTGCAATAACCCTATGTGAAATTTTACAAAGCAATATATAATAATCATTTATATTAAAATATATTTAAGAAATTTGCAGGACCTAAGTTAACATTCCAGCAAAGTTATGTGACTTTTGAAAATAAATACTGTTGAACCAACGCTAGAGAAATGACAGTCACCGTTCTAAGCCATCAGGGTGGGGATTTTAGAATTTCTTCTCATTATACTAAGATTTGCCTTTTAGAATTTATATTTATGCCACATATAATCATATGTTGGTTGTGGTTCTATGTATGAATTTTTATTATATTGATTTTTAAAATGGCCTGTGTAATTTAAGAAAATGTTACTATTAATGATTACATTGGGCACTCATTTTTACATTGGGTTTAATCATTCAATTTCAACAATATTTCATTAGCTTCTTGTTCACAGAAGCCAAACCATATGTCAAAAGCTCACAGCTGGTTTTAGTCACAAGCTTTGAATTGGAATTTAAGTTTTCTAGTTGAAATCCCAGTGATTTCCCACAATGTAAGAACTACCAGAAAATATGTTTTCTGTGTAGTTGACCATTAGTCTGAAGCTTTAGAAATATCTTAAATTTTAAAGCTATAGATACTTGAAAAAAAACTATGTTTATCACAATTTGCTTGTATTAAAATACAATGGACTCTAATCACATGGATGTTTTAAAGAAAACTGCACCCCTAAAAAAGAAAGTCCAAGTTCTCTGTCAACATATTTTCTTAATATTGTCATGGTATATGTCTACATCACGGTCAAAACTGTCGTGGGTTTTGAAAAAATATGATAATATCCTTTAAGGAGAGATGGTAAAAAAAGAAAATAGATATGACTGGAGAAGTGTTTAAATGCTAGAGCCATGAAAAATCTCTTTTTCATTCAAAAACAAATTTAATTTGTTTCATTCAAAAACACCTATTGTTTTTCAAGATATACTCTATTGACTCAGACCTGAAATTCTGAGTAATGCACATACACCAGGAATGACAAATCACACTGAGAAAAGACAATGTGTATGACCGCATAGTCTTTCTGTAATATATCAAAATGTGAGTCTGAGGTATCATTTTCTCTTTTTCTTCCTTTTCTTCCTTCCTCCTTCTTTCAGTTTTTCCTTTACTAATTCTTCCTACAAACTGTCTTTGACTTTATCCTTCTCTACTTTATTTTTTATACAATATAATTGCCTAGTAATTTTTTCACATCAGTTATCTGCAATATTTCCAAGAATATTTTTTAGACATACTAGTAGGAAAATGCTGTGTTTCTGTTTCCTGTGTTTGTTTTTTACTTAATGATTCACCCAGAATTTAGTGATGGGTTGAGTCAGGCTAGATTTTTATGCCAATAAATGTAATCACCAGCTGAATGCTTTCTCTTCCAACACCTTTTATAAAACTAAATGACTCATCATCTTTCTTTAAATTAAAATATGTGGCTAATTTTCCCTTTCACTCATAATATGCATTATAAAAATATTAAACCCTAGAAAATAATAACAAATACTAGGAGGGAGGAGCCAAGATGGCCGAATAGGAACAGCTCTGGTCTACAGCTCCCAGCGTGAGCGACGCAGAAGACAGGTGATTTCTGCATTTCCGTCTGAGGTACAGGGTTCATCTCACTAGGGAGTGCCAGACAGTGGGCTCAGGTCAGTGGGTGCGCGCACCTTGCGCGAGCTGAAGCAGGGCGAGGCATTGCCTCACTTGGGAAGCGCAAGGGGTCAGGGAGTTCCCTTTCTGAGTCAAAGAAAGGGGTGACGGACGGCACCTGGAAAATCAGGTCACTCCCACCCGAATACTGCGCTATTCCGACAGGCTTAAAAAACGATGCACCACAAGATTATATCCCGCACCTGGCTCAGAGGGTCCTACGCCCACGGAGTCTCGCGGATTGCTAGCACAGCAGTCTGAGATCAAACTGCAAGGTGGCAGCGAGGCTGGGGGAGGGGCGCCCCCATTGCCCAGGCTTGCTTAGGTAAACAAAGCAGCCCTGAAGCTCAAACTGGGTGGAGCCCACCACAGCTCAAGGAGGCCTGCCTGCCTCTGTAGGCTCCACCTCTGGGGGCAGGGCACAGACAAACAAAAAGACAGCAGTAACCTCTGCAGACTTAAATATCCCTGTCTGACAGCTTCGAAGAGAGCAGTGGTTCTCCCAGCACGAAGCTGGAGATCTGAGAACAGGCAGACTGCCTCCTCAAGTGGGTCCCTGACCCCTGACCCCCGAGCAGCCTAACTGGGAGGCACCCCTAGCAGGGGCAGACTGACACCTCACACGGCCGGGTACTCCAACAGACCTGCAGCTGAGGGTCCTCTCTGTTAGAAGGAAAACTAACAAACAGAAAGGACATCCACACCAAAAACCCATCTGTACATCATCATCATCGAAGACCAAAAGTAGATAAAACCACAAAGATGGGGAAAAAACAGAGCAGAAAAACTGGAAACTCTAAAAAGCAGAGCGCCTCTCCTCCTCCAAAGGAATGCAGTTCCTCACCAGCAACGGAACAAAGCTGGATGGAGAATGACTTTGACGAGCTGAGAGAAGAAGGCTTCAGACGATCAAATTACTCTGAGCTACGGGAGGACATTCAAACCAAAGGCAAAGAAGTTGAAAACTTCGAAAAAAATTTAGAAGAATGTATAACTAGAATAACCAATACAGAGAAGTGCTTAAAGGAGCTGATGGAGCTGAAAACCAAGGCTCAAGAACTACGTGAAGAATGCAGAAGCCTCAGGAGCCGATGCGATCAACTGGAAGAAAGGGTATCAGCGATGGAAGATGAAATGAATGAAATGAAGCGAGAAGGGAAGTCTAGAGAAAAAAGAATAAAAAGAAATGAGCAAAGCCTCCAAGAAATATGGGACTATGTGAAAAGACCAAATCTACGTCTGATTGGTGTACCTGAAAGTGATGGGGAGAATGGAACCAAGTTGGAAAACACTCTGCAGGATATTATCCAGGAGAACTTCCCCAATCTAGCAAGGCAGGTCAACGTTCAGATTCAGGAAATACAGAGAACGCCACAAAGATACTCCTCGAGAAGAGCAACTCCAAGACACGTAATTGTCAGATTCACCAAAGTTGAAATGAAGGAAAAAATGTTAAGGGCAGCCAGAGAGAAAGGTCGGGTTACCCTCAAAGGGAAGCCCATCAGACTAACAGTGGATCTCTCGGCAGAAACCCTACAAGCCAGAAGAGAGTGGGGGCCAATATTCAACATTCTTAAAGAAAAGAATTTTCAACCCAGAATTTCATATCCAGCCAAACTAAGCTTCATAAGTGAAGGAGGAATAAAATACTTTACAGACAAGCAAATACTGAGCGATACTGTCACCACCAGGCCTGCCTTACAAGAGCTCCTGAAGGAAGCACTAAACATGGAAAGGAACAACCGGTACCAGCCACTGCAAAATCATGCCAAAATGTAAAGACCATAGACACTAGGAATAAACTGCATCAACTAATGAGCAAAATAACCAGCTAACATCATAATGACAGGATCAAATTCACACATAACAATATTAACTTTAAATGTAAATGGACTAAATGTTCCAATTAAAAGACACAGACGGGCAAATTGGATAAAGAGTCAAGACCCATCAGTGTGCTGTATTCAGGAAACCCATCTCACATGCAGAGACAAAAATAGGCTCAAAATAAAAGGATGGAGGAAGATCTACCAAGCAAATGGAAAACAAAAAAAGGCAGGGGTTGCAATCCTAGTCTCTGATAAAACAGACTTTAAACCAACAAAGATCAAAACAGACAAAGAAGGCCATTACATAATGGTAAAGGGATCAATTCAAAAAGAAGAGCTAACTATCCTAAATTTATATGCACCCAATACAAGAGCACCAAGATTCATAAAGCAAGTCCTGAGTGACCTACAAAGAGACTTAGACTCCCACACATTAAAAATGGGAGACTTTAACACCCCACTTTCAACATTAGACAGATCAACGAGACAGAAAGTCAACAAGGATACCGAGGAATTGAACTCAGCTCTGCACCAAGCAGACCTAATAGACATCTACAGAACTCTCCACACCAAATCAACAGAATATACATTTTTTTCAGCAGCACACCACACCTATTCCAAAATTGACCACATACTTGGAAGTAAAGCTCTCCTCAGCAAATGTAAAAGAACAGAAACTATAACAAACTATCTCTCAGACCACACTGCAATCAAACTAGAACTCAGGATTAAGAATCTCACTCAAAACCACTCAACTACATGGAAACTGAACAACCTGCTCCTGAATGACTACTGGGTACATAACGAAATGAAGCCAGAAATAAAGATGTTCTTTGAAACCAATGAGAACAAAGACACAACATACCAGAATCTCTGGGACACATTCAAAGCAGTGTGTAGAGGGAAATTTATAGCACTACATGCCCACAAGAGAAAGCAGGAAAGATCCAAAATTGACACCCTAACATCACAATTAAAAGAACTAGAAAAGCAAGAGCAAACACATTCAAAAGCTAGCAGAAGGCAAGAAATAACTAAAATCAGAGCAGAACTGAAGGAAATAGAGACACAAAAAACACTTCAAAAAATTAATGAATGCAGGAGCTGGTTTTTGGAAAGGATCAACAAAATTGATAGACCGCTAGCAAGACTAATAAAGAAAAAAAGAGAGAAGAATCAAATAGACGCAATAAAAAATGATAAAGGGGATATCACCACCGATCCCACAGAAATACAAACTACCATCAGGGAATAATACAAACACCTCTACGCAAATAAACTAGAAAATCTAGAAGAAATGGATAATTTCCTGGACACATACACTCTCCCAAGACTAAACCAGGAAGAAGTTGAATCTCTGAATAGACCAATAACAGGAGCTGAAATTGTGGCAATAATCAATAGCTTACCAACCAAAAACAGTCCAGGACCAGATGGATTCACAGCCGAATTCTACCAGAGGTAGAAGGAGGAACTGGTATCATTCCTTCTGAAACTATTCCAATCAATAGAAAAAGAGGGAATCCTCCCTAACTCATTTTATGAAGCCAGCATCATCCTGATACCAAAGCCAGGCAGAGACACAACCAAAAAAGAGAATTTTAGACCAATATCCTTGATGAACATTGATGCAAAAATCCTCAATAAAATACTGGCAAACCGAATCCAGCAGCACATCAAAAAGCTTATCCACTATGATCAAGTGGGCTTCATCCCTGGGATGCAAGGCTGGTTCAATATACGCAAATCAATAAATGTAATCCAGCATATAAACAGGACCAAAGACAAAAACCACATGATTATCTCAATAGATGCAGAAAAGGCCTTTGACAAAATTCAACAACCTTCATGCTAAAAACTCTCAATAAATTAGGTATTGATGGGACGTATTTCAAAATAATAAGAGCTAACTATGACAAACCCACAGCCAATATCATACTGAATGGTCAAAAACTGGAAGCATTCCCTTTGAAAACTGGCACAAGACAGGGATGCCCTCTCTCACCACTCCTATTCAACATAGTGTTGGAAGTTCTGGCCAGGGCAATTAGGCAGGAGAAGGAAATAAAGGGTATTCCATTAGGAAAAGAGGAAGTCAAATTGTCCCTGTTTGCAGACGACATGATTGTGTATCTAGAAAACCCCATTGTCTCAGCCCAAAATCTCCTTAAGCTGATAAGCAACTTCAGCAAGGTCTCAGGATACAAAATCAATGTACAAAAATCACAAGCATTCTTATACACCAACAACAGACAGAGAGCCAAATCATGAGTGAACTCCCATTCACAATTGCTTCAAAGAGAATAAAATACCTAGGAATCCAACTTACAACGGATGTGAAGGACCTCTTCAAGGAGAACTGCAAACCACTGCTCAATGAAATAAAAGAGGATACAAACAAATGGAAGAACATTCCATGCTCATGGGTAGGAAGAATCAATATCGTGAAAATGGCCATACTGCCCAAGGTAATTTACAGATTCAATGCCATCCCCATCAAGCTACCAATGACTTTCTTCACAGAATTGGAAAAAACTACTTTAAAGTTCATATGGAACCTAAAAAGAGCCCGCATCGCCAAGTCAATCCTAAGCCAAAAGAACAAAGCTGGAGGCATCACACTACCTGACTTCAAACTATACTACAAGTCTACAGTAACCAAAACAACATGGTACTGGTACCAAAACAGAGATATAGATCAATGGAACAGAACAGAGCCCTCAGAAATAACGCCACATATCTACAACTATCTGATCTTTGACAAACCTGAGAAAAACAAGCAATGGGGAAAGGATTCCCTATTTAATAAATGGTGCTGGGAAAACTGGCTAGCCATATGTAGAAAGCTGAAACTGGATCCCTTCCTTACACCTTATACAAAAATCAATTCAAGATGGATTAAAGAGTTAAACGTTAGATCTAAAACCATAAAAACCCTAGAAGAAAACCTAGGCATTACCATTCAGGACATAGGCATGGGCAAGGACTTCATGTCTAAAATACCAAAAGCAATGGCAACAGAAGCCAAAATTGACAAATAGGATCTAATTAAACTAAAGAGCTTCTGCACAGCAAAAGAAACTACCATCAGAGTGAACGGGCAACCTACAAAATGGGAGAAAATTTTCGCAACCTACTCATCTGACAAAGGGCTAATATCCAGAATCTACAATGAACTCAAACAAATTTACAAGAAAAAAACAAACAACCCCATCAAAAAGTGGGCAAAGGACATGAACAGACACTTCTCAAAAGAAGACATTTATGCAGCCAAAAAACACATGAAAAAATGCTCACCATCCCTGGCCATCAGAGAAATGCAAATCAAAACCACAATGAGATACCATCTCACACCAGTTAGAATGGCAATCATTAAAAAGTCAGGAAACAACAGGTGCTGGAGAGGATGTGGAGAAATAGGAACACTTTTACACTATTGGTGGGACTGTAAACTAGTTCAACCATTGTGGAAGTCAGTGTGGCGATTCCTCAGGGATCTAGAACTGGAAATACCATTTGACCCAGCCATCCCATTACTGGGTATATACCCAAAGGACTATAAATCATGCTGCTATAAAGACACATGCACACGTATGTTTATTGCGGCATTATTCACAATAGCAAAGACTTGGAGCCAACCCAAATGTCCAACAATGATAGACTGGATTAAGAAAATGTGGCACATATACACCATGGAATACTATGCAGCCATAAAAAATGATGAGTTCATGTCCTTTGTAGGGACATGGATGAAACTGGAAATCATCATTCTCAGTAAACTATCACAAGAACAAAAAACCAAACACCGCATATTCTCACTCATAGGTGGGAATTGAACAATGAGATCACATGGACACAGGAAGGGGAATATCACAGTCTGGGGACTGTGGTGGGGTGGGGGGAGGGGGGAGGGATAGCATTGGGAGATATACCTAATGCTAGATGACGAGTTAGTGGGTGCAGCGCACCAGCATGGCACATGTATACATATGTAACTAACCTGCACAATGTGCACATGTACCCTAAAACTTAAAGTATAATAAAAAAAAAGAGAGAAAAAGAAAAACAAACAAAAAAAAACAAAAAACAAATATTATTATATTATTATCATCATGCTTACACAATATTATCTTTTTTGTTTTATTAGTTTTATCTTCATTTTAATTTTGATCAATTTTTGATCACACTATTAACAATTTTATGTTGTTGCTGTTGTTTTTTATGTATTTATTTCATTTCTCCACATAAAATGCCTCATGTTCTTTTAAGATCTTTGGCAACATGTTTAATTGCTGTATAATATCCCATTGGTATATAATATCCTTTTGGTTAGTTATATGATAAAATCATAACAAAAATTGCCCAGAGAAATTGGGGCCTTCGGAGGCATTTTAAAGAAGAATTGAGGTTTGAAAGTATGCAGGTGTCATGAAACTGTCTAGGAAGATGAAATGGCATGTGTTAAGATATGGAAACTTTTCACATGTATTATAAAAATCCAAAGGAGGATAGAGTCGTAAAGAAAAGTGTAGTAAACTGTGAAAACTGCCACAGAGATGTCAGGAGGAAGACACAATGTTATTTGGACCTTGAGAAATAGTTGCAGCACTGTGGTATGGGCAAAAGCCAGATTGTTTTGAATAGAGTGGTGAATAGGGAGTGAGAGAGTAGAGACAATAAAATGAAAGATATAGACTCATATCTAGGTGGTGGAATAAGATTAAGGGAGGTTGGTTTCATTTCTGTTTTCATCAGTAACTCATACTTATTGACCACTTACTCTGCATTGTAAATTGTAAAAATATAGCAGAGAACAAAAGAAAATCTCTGCTATCTGTTACTGATTTTCCATTTGAGGTAAATGGGGGTATAATATGAATATACACAAAGTAAATAAAATAATCTTAGGTATGTAGATTCCTTAAAGAAACCCAACAAGGTAATATGGCATTTAGCCACGGGGCAGACCTGCTTGGACCAGAGGTCATGGAAGATCCTATATTGAAGTCATAGTTGGCACTTAGCCATGGGGCAGAACTGCTTGGACCAGAGGTCATGGAAGATCCTATGTTGAAGTCATAGTTAAGCTACAAAATTTATGTTGTAATGAAGACAGTCATGAAAAGATCTGATGGAAGAGGATCCTAAAAAAAAAGTGGAAAGGCATTGAGACTGTTAGGAGCATCACATATTGGAAGCAGGGAAGTTAGTGTGTAGCTAATGAAAAAGAGAGAGAAGAGACAACGGGGTGGGAGGGAAAGTTGGCAGGCACATTACCAGAGGGCCGTGTGGGAAGGAATTAGGCATCCCAGTTTGTACTCCAGTTGTAATGGCGATCTGTCAGAGTCTTAAAGAAGGAAGCAGCAAAATATATATTTTAGGAAAATTGTTTTGCCTGCTCTGTGGACTTTAAAATAGAGGAGAGAGCAGCACAATAAGAGGAAGCAATGGGAGTTGAGCTTCCTGCTAATTTAAGCTGTTGCATTGGGAGAAAGTTATGTTCTTTTCATAGTTACCATATTTTCTTGAGTATACTGTATTTTGTAAATTTGTACAAGCTACTTGAGCCTTATAAGCCTCAGATTTCTAAGCTATGACATGGTTTAGTAAAAATAACTTTCCTACTCCTCACTGGTTTGTTGTTTGGATAAAGTAGAGTCATCTCTATGAAAGCTTTAAATAAGCTGTAAAGCATTTGACTTGCGCTATTATGGTCTGCTCTTTCAAATTGGCATTGGCAACAACATCTGCTTCCTCAGAGTTACTTCTGACATTGAAAGGACTAAAAGGAAATATAACATAAAACAGTTTTCTTAATGAAACTCAACAAAAAGTAGATACATTTCTGTGAAATATGACTTAATGGTTTTGGTTTTGATGCTTAGTGACTTTTCCAAATTCCCACAGTTATTTATTAGCAGACTTGACCTTAGTCAATTTATCATGCTCAGATGTCTATTCTTCCTTTCAGTATTCAGAGATTAAAGATTAAAATTCCAGCCCAAATAGTATAAAAGAAACAGCTTAAGGGATTATGCTTAATCAAGATTAAAATTATGCTTATTAAGTCAAGAAATATGGTATCTTCTTTGTGTATATATAAATATATATATATTTTTAAATTTTTTGGGTGGTTGTTATCCTGATTAGTTGCAAAAAGACTCAGTGTGACTGAATCACAAATTACAGATGCATTTAGGGGAAAAGTCAAGGCTTTTTATTTTCCCACTAATGTGGTCTCTATGCATTTTCTGTCAAATTTAACTTTTAAGTTACATAACACTCTAAGCTACATGGC
The DNA here is from genome assembly GCF_000001405.40 of Homo sapiens. Classification (NCBI taxonomy): domain Eukaryota; kingdom Metazoa; phylum Chordata; class Mammalia; order Primates; family Hominidae; genus Homo; species Homo sapiens. The sequence goes on along the minus strand of NC_000004.12, from coordinate 167,273,891 downwards.
CACTATTGGTAAGTATTGGTTTGGTTTCTGATGTGTTGTAAGTACACACTGCTTTCTGCTTACTCCACTCATGGAAACAACGAGCAATCTAACATCAAAATGACACTGCAATTTTGTTTTTTTACTTAGTATTTTTTATTTGTTTTGTCAATTATGAGCAAATTTGAATATCCAAACTTAGAATTCAGTTAGATTCTTGACCTGTACATTTTAAATAAATTCTAAATCCATCAGATTGCTCCATTTCATTTCTAATCAGAATTATACCCTTTATTGAAACTCATTTTTTAAATTTTATTTTATTATTATTATGCTTTAAGTTTTAGGGTACATGTGCACAATGTGCAGGTTAGTTACATATGTATACATGTGCCATGCTGGTGTGCTGCACCCATAAACTCGTCATTTAGTATTAGGTATATCTCCTATTGCTATACCTCCCCCCTCCCCCCACCCCACGACAGTCCCCAGAGTGTGATGTTCCCCTTCCTGTGTCCATGTGTTCTCATTGTTTAATTCCCACCTATGAGTGAAAACATGCGGTGTTTGGTTTTTTGTTCTTGCCATAGTTTACTGAGAATGATGATTTCCAATTTCATCCATGTCCCTACAAAGGACATGAACTCATCATTTTTTATGGATGCATAGTATTCCATGGTGTATATGTGCCACATTTTCTTAATCCAGTCTATCATTGTTGGACATTTTGGTTGGTTCCAAGTCTTTGCTATTGTGAATAATGCCGCAATAAACATACGTGTGCATGTGTCTTTATAGCAGCATGATTTATAGTCCTTTGGGTATATACCCAGTAATGGGATGGCTGGGTCAAATGGTATTTCTAGTTCTAGATCCCTGAGGAATCGCCACACTGACTTCCACAATGGTTGAACTAGTTTACAGTCCCACCAACAGTGTAAAAGTGATCTTATTTCTCCACATCCTCTCCAATACCTGTTGTTTCCTGACTTTTTAATGATTGCCATTCTAACTGGTGTGAGATGGTATCTCATTGTGGTTTTGATTTGCATTTCTCTGATGGCCAGTGATGGTGAGCATTTTTTCATGTTTTTTGGCTGCATAAATGTCTTCTTTTGAGAAGTGTCTGTTCATGTCCTTCGCCCACTTTTTGATGGGGTTGTTTGTTTTTTTCTTGTAAACTTGTTTGAGTTCATTGTAGATTCTGGATATTAGCCCTTTGTCAGATGAGTAGGTTGCGAAAATTTTCTCCCATTTTGTAGGTTGCCTGTTGACTCTGAAGATAGTTTCTTTTGCTGTGCAGAAGCTCTTTAGTTTAATTAGATCACATTTGTCTATTTTGGCTTTTGTTGCCATTGCTTTTGGTGTTTTAGACATGAAGTCCTTGCCCATGCCTATGTCCTGAATGGTAATGCCTAGGTTTTCTTCTAGGGTTTTTATGGTTTTAGGTCTAACGTTTAACTCTTTAATCCATCTTGAATTAATTTTTGTATAAGGTGTAAGGAAGGGATCCAGTTTCAGCTTTCTACATATGGCTAGCCAGTTTTCCCAGCACCATTTATTAAATAGGGAATCCTTTCCCCATTGCTTGTTTTTCTCAGGTTTGTCAAATATCCGATAGTTGTAGATATGCGACATTATTTCTGAGGGCTCTGTTCTGTTCCATTGATCTATATCTCTGTTTTGGTACCAGTACCAAGCTGTTTTGGTGACTGTAGACTTGTAGCATAGTTTGAAGTCAGGTAGAGTGATGCCTCCAGCTTTGTTCTTTTGGCTTAGGATTGACTTGGCGATGCGGGTTCTTTTTTGGTTCCGTATGAACTTTAAAGTAGTTTTTTCCAATTCTGTGAAGAAAGTCATTGGTAGCTTGATGGGATGGCATTGAATCTGTAAACCTTGGGCAGTATGGCCATTTTCATGATATTGATTCTTCCTACCCATGAGCATGGAATGTTCTTCCATTTCTTTGTATCCTCTTTTATTTCCTTGAGCAGTGGTTTGTAGTTCTCCTTGAAGAGGTCCTTCACATCCGTTGTAAGTTGGATTCCTAGGTATTTTATTCTCTTTGAAGCAATTGTGAATGGGAGTTCACTCATGATTTGGCTCTCTGTTTGTCCGTTATTGTTGTATAGGAATGCTTGTGATTTTTGTACATTGATTTTATATCCTGAGACTTTGCTGAAGTTGCTTATCAGCTTAAGGAGATTTTGGGCTGAGACAATGGGGTTTTCTAGATATACAATCATGTCATCTGCAAACAGGGACAATTTGACTTCCTCTTTTCCTAATTGAATACCCTTTATTTCCTTCTCCTGCCTAATTGCCCTGGCCAGAACTTCCAACAATATGTTGAATAGGAGTGGTAAGAGAAGGCATCCCTGTCTCATGCCAGTTTTCAAAGGGAATGCTTCCAGTTTTTGACCATTCAGTATGATATTGGCTGTGGGTTTGTCATAGTTAGCTCTTATTATTTTGAAATACGTCCCATCAATACCTAATTTATTGAGAGTTTTTAGCATGAAGGTTGTTGAATTTTGTCAAAGGCCTTTTCTGCATCTATTGAGATAATCATGTGGTTTTTGTCTTTGGTTCTGTTTATATGCTGGATTACGTTTATTGATTTTCATATGTTGAACTAGCCTTGCATCCCAGGGATGAAGCCCACTTGATCATGGTGGATAAGCTTTTTGATGTGCTGCTGGATTTGGTTTGCTGGTATTTTATTGAGGATTTTTGCATCAATGTTCATCAAGGATATTGGTCTAAAATTCTCTTTTTTGGTTGTGTCTCTGCCTGGCTTTTGTATCAGGATGATGCTGGCCTCATGAAATGAGTTAGGGAGGATTCCCCCTTTTTCTGTTGATTGGAATAGTTTCAGAAGGAATGGTACTAGTTCCTCCTTGTACCTCTGGTAGAATTCGGCTGTGAATCCGTCTGGTCCTGGACTCTTTTTTGTTGGTAAGCTATTGATTATTGCCTCAATTTCAGAGCCTGTATTGGTCTATTCAGAGAGTCAACTTCTTCCTGGTTTAGTCTTGGGAGGGTGTATGTGTCGAGGAATTTATCCATTTCTTCTAGATTTTCTAGTTGATTTGCGTAGAGGTGTTTGTAGTATTCTCTGATGGTAGTTTGTATTTCTGTTGGATTGGTGGTGATATCCCCTTTATCATTTTTTATTGCGTCTGTTTGATTCTTCTCTCTTTTCTTCTTTATTAGTCTTGCTAGTGGTCTATCGATTTTGTTGATCCTTTCAAAAAACCAGCTCCTGGATTCATTAATTTCCTGAAGGGTTTTTTGTGTCTCTATTTCCTTCAGTTCTGCTCTGATTTTAGTTGTTTCTTGCCTTCTGCTAGCTTTTGAATGTGTTTGCTCTTGCTTTTCTAGTACTTTTAATTGTGATGTTAGGATGTCAATTTTGGATCTTTCCTGCTTTCTCTTGTGGGCATTTGGTGCTATAAATTTCCCTCTACACACTGCTTTGAATGTGTCCCAGAGATTCTGGTATGTTGTGTCTTTGTTCTTGTTGGTTTCAAAGAACATCTTTATTTCTGCCTTCATTTCTTTATGTACCCAGTAGTCATTCAGGAGCAGGTTGTTCAGTTTAGACCAAAATACTTTTGAATTTGTTGGACTACCTAAAAATTGAACAATAAACTTATAGCAAAATTACATATTCTGTGGCATAAATCTGTTATTTTAAAATGAGTCCAACTTGAAACTAATAGTGATTCATTTTTTTGAAAATTATTTATTGAACACCTTCTCTTTAATAGAAGGGCTAAGGCACTGTTCTTAGCACTTGGTGCACATGGATAGGAAAAAAAAATCCTGACAAACATGGAAATAAGTTTCTAGTTGTAGGAGACAAACAATAAGCAATAAACATAATGTTGAATAAAGTATATGATATTAGAAGTAAATGAGCACTAGGACAAAATTAGAGCAGGGTAAGGATTTGTGTATCTATTTAATGTGTTCTTTTTTTCTGATGACCTACTTTTATAGAATTGGCATCCTCAGCATCAAACTCTGCATTTGTAGTTTCATTGTGGTGTTCAGCCCAGACTGGCAGGAATTCTTCAGTGCCATTTCCTAATTTCTGTGGGACAGAATCTGACTGTTCCAGCTTGAGTCAGGGTTATAGTCAGTTATGAACCAGGGCCAAAATATGTCTTATAGATCTCCAGTTAGAGGCTTATTTCTGTGCGTAGAAGTTCTCACAGATGAGGGTGGTGAGCTAGACATTCACGGTGCATTGGCTTTTTGTCTTCCAGTTCATAATTGTAAAATGGCTCATAGAGGACACATTCTTAGAGCACCAGTGTCCCAATTTAGGGGCAGATTGGTGAGACAGTTTGATGAGAACTGTATTCATGCATCTCTTTTTTTTTTTTTTCGGGAGGAATGTCTTCTCCAGACAGTCTTCTTCAGACTCTCATATCTCATTGGTCAAGACCAGGCCACTAGATCAAAAGTTAATATCTGGCAGTTTGATAGGCAGGCCACGCCGGTAAGGAAAAGGTGGTAGGAGATTTAGTCAACCCATGGAATCAGCTCGTATTGAATTATCAGGTTTTTTGACACTCCATCAAAGTATTGATTTAAGTGCATTTTATTTATCCTTTACTCATTAACCTTTATAGAGGTTAAGAATAAATTAATTTTCTATGACATTTTATTAGAAAAATTAGCTTGGTTAAAATTTTCAAGAAACACTAGGAAGTTTGTTAGTTAAATATTGTAAATTCCCTTAAACCAATACTTACATAAATAACTTATTGAACATAAGTAATATATGAAAAAGCCAAAGATCTTAAAGGTATAATTTAATATATGATTACCAATTCTTTTACTCAGGTGGCTCAATTAAAATATCTAAAGTCATGTTTCCATTAATAAATTTCGGTTGAAATTTATGGCAAACACATAGAATTTAATCATAAATTAGGATGTTTTTGGAGAATGGATTTTGGGGGATATTAAATATAGAGCAAAAACTCAAAAATCATTCCTTTAAAGACAATGTTTTGTTCTCCCTTCTCTGTGAAACACAGGGACATTCTTCCCATACTGAAGACTAAAGAAGATGGCAAACATGTTATTCTTTCTTTTAATAAATAGGTCTTGACTGATAGTTACTATTCTGAAGCTTAGGGTACAATGTTAAATTATTCATATACTCTTGTTACAGGGAAGGGGTCCCGAACCAGACCCCAAGAAAGGGTTCTTGGATCTCATGCAAGAATTGAGGGTGATTCCATAGAGTAAAGTGAAAGCAAGTTTATTAAGAAAGTAGAGGAATAAAAGAATGTCTCCTCCATAGACAGAGCATCCCCGAAGGCTGCTGGTTGCATATTTTTATGGCTATTTCTTGATGATATGCTAAACAATGGGTGGATTATTCATGCCACCCCTTTTTAGACTATATAGGGTAACTTCCTGATGTTGCCATGACATTTGTAAACTGCCAGGGCCCTAGTGGGAGTATAGCAACAAGGACGACCAGAGGTCACTTTCTTGGCCATGTTGGTTTTGGTGGGTTTTCGGCAGCTTCTTTACTGCAATCTATTTTATCAGCAAGTTCTTTATGACCTGTATTTTGTGCTGACCTCCTACATCATCCTGTGACCCAGAATGCCTAATCGTCTGGGAATGCTGCCCAGTAGGTTTCAGCCTCATTTTACCCAGCCCCTATTAAAGATGGAGTTGCTCTGGTTCACACGCCTCTGACACTTTGGTTTTAGGGACATTGCTGTCATCCGGTGAAGATATTGGCATTAAAAATTAATTAAAATAAAGTATAAAGGCTAAAATAGAAACATGGGAACAACATACAGTATTTCCTGGGAACATGGAGAAGAAGTATCTACTAGCATTGCATAGAGAAATAGAGGAAGTTTCCAGAGAAAGGGGGCATCTGAGCTGGTCGAAGAAAAATTATTTTCCCAGAGAGTAGAAAACAAGTGGCCTCCAATAGGGAGGAATCAGCATACAACAAAGCACAGAGATAGGAGAAGGCACCGAATATTCAAGGAATGCTTAATCCTTGCATTAAGAACAGAAGAATAAGAGTAAGAAAATAGACAAAGATGGGACTGGAAGTATAATCCCATGACACGATATGTTCTAGGAGCACTGTGAAAGATCCTTTTGTGATGTTGAGGAGAGGGACTTTCTTTTTTAAAGCAGCAGGAAGCTACCAACTCACCAGAGGTGTTGAAAGAAGAGACGGTATGGACTCGTTTAATTTTTAAATTGTCATTCTGACAGCAACAACGAAATACCATTAAACACCCACCAGATTTCAAAAACTAAAAGGACTAATGACATGAAAAGTTGACAAGAATATGGGAGTCACTGGTGCACTCAAACACTTGTGGGAGTGTAAAATGTACATCACATTAGGAAAGTGTTCAGCAGCTTTTTTTATAGTGTTAAACAAATAAACTTACCCTATGACCCAGGAATTTTATTCCTACTTATTAACTCAAGAGAAATGTGTATATATATATATACACACACACATTTATTATATATATTTAAATATATATATTTAAAAATATATATTTAAATTGCACAAGAATTTTACACTAGTATTATTTTACAGTAGTATAATAGCCAAAAATTGTATTCAATCCAAATGTCCATTAATGGCAGAGTAGACAAACATATTGTGACATATGCATACAGTGGAATACTACTTAGTAATAAAAATGAGTAACCTACTTTAAAATGGGACAACATGAATAAATTTCAGAAATATTATGCTGAGCAAAAAGCTGGTCATAAAAGAGTATGTACTGTGTGAATTCACTTATATGAAGTTAAAGAAAAGCCAAACGAATCTATTCATTTGAATAGATCATGACTAGATTAAGTATGTATTTATTAAAACTCATTAAATATTTCATAGTATCTGAATTTTATTTAATTTTGCTAATTGAGGCAAACATTACCTCAATTTGTAAATATATGACATCTTTGAAGGTAGCAGAGGTAAACTACAAAGGGAAGAGACTGATACCAAGAGTAGCACGAAGGATGACTTATTACAGGTAAAAGGTACGGGTTTGAATGAAGACAGTGTGATGACATGTAAGAGAGCAGATTTTATACAATTTCAGAAGAGATGATTGGGTTCACAAGAGCGTGATGTCAATGTTGGTGGGTGAAGACAAAGAGGAGAAAATTAAGAATGGAGGTACTTTGATGTCATTGTTAGAAAAAAACATTGAAGGGCAACAGACCAAGAATAGCCAAAGTAATAGCCAAAAATAATGAAGGCTGACATTGTCAGACTTCAAAACTTACTCTAAAGCTTCAGTAATAATTACAGTGTGGTGTTGGTGAAAGAATAGGCAAATAGATCAATGGTACAAATAGATAACTAAGAAATTGACCACACAAATATAGTTAACTGGTCTTTTACAATGGAGCAAGGGCAATTGAATGCAGAAGAGATAGTCTTTGCAGTCAATGACGCTGGAACAACTGGACATCCATATGTAAAAAAGTGACAGATTTTATACTTTTCACAAAAAATGAACTGAAAATGAATTGTAGACCTAAAGGTAAAATGCAAAACTATAAAACTCTTATGTTAAAGGAAAATTTTTGACAAATTAAAGTTAACAGAGTTTAACTGAGCAAAGAATGATTGGAAAATCGGGCAGCCTCCAAACCAAAATGGGATGAGGTAGACTAGCACTGCCATGTTGTCAAAGAAGATTTACAGACAGAAAAAGGAAAGGAAGGCACAGAAAATGGAAGTGAGGTACAGAAATAACCAGATTAGTTCTAGCACAGTATTTGCCTTATTTAACATGGTTTGAACAGTTGACTGCCACTGACTGGCCGAAGCTTGGTGATTGGCACAAGAGAAGGTTACAGTCTGTTTACACATCCAGTTAGGTTATACTTTCTATGTACACAGAGATCTTCGGCTGCACTTAAAATATGTAAGAAGTTAGCTTTCAACTAAACTTAATTTAATACCTAGAAGGATCTTGGGTTTGGCAATGAATTCTTACATATAACATTGAAAGCATGGTCCATGAAAAAAAAATTGATAAGTTGAATTTCATTGAAATTTTAAAACTTCTGCCCTGCCAAAACACTGTTAAGAGAATGAAAAAAGCCAGAGACTGGAAGAAAATATTGACCAAACACATATCTGATAACAGAGAACTATCTAAAATATACACAAAATCCTTTAAATTCAACAATAAAAAGAGAAACAACCTAAAAAAATGGGCAAAAGAGATCTGAATAGACACCTCACCAAGAATATATACGGATTGCATATAAGCATATGAAGTGATGGTCCATGTCGTATGTCATTAGGGAATTGCAAATAAAAAGAACAATGGAATACCACTACACATCTTTCAGAATGACTAAAATATAAAACACCAATGACAGCAAATGCTGGTGAGGTTGTGTAGCAACAGCAACTCTCGTTTATGGCTTGCGGGAATGTAAACCGGTATAGCCACTTTGGAAGATAGTTTGGCAGTTCCTTACTAAGCCAAACATATTTTTACTATGTGATCAAGCAATCACACTCTGATATTTACCCAAATGAGTTGAAAAGTAATGTCCACATTAAAAGCCTGCACTGAAATATTTATAGCAGCTTTATTCATAATTGCTAAAACCTGGAAGCAACCAAGAAGTCCTTGAATAGGTGAATGGATATATGAATTGTGGTATATGAAGACAATTGAATATTATTCTGCAAGACAGGAAAATGAATTATTAAGCTACAGAAAACTTGAAAGAATCTTAAATGCATATTGCTATGAAAGAAGCCAACCTGAAAAGACTGCAGACTGTATGATTCCACTTATGTGATGTTCCGAAAAGGCAAAACTATGACAACAGTAAAAAAGATCAGTGGTTGCCAGGGTTTTTAGAGGAGGGAAGGAGGGATGAATAGATATACCTCAGGGCATTTTTGAGGGTGTGAAATTATCTCATATGATACTGTAACGGCAGATACATGTTATTATACATTTTTCAAAACCCGCAAAAGGTACAACACAAAGAATGAATCCCAATGTAAACTAGGGACTTTAGTTAATAGTAATACATCAATATCAGCCCATCAATTGTAACAAATGTACCACACTGATGAAAAATGTCAATAGGGGAAATTGGTGAGTATTGGGGAGGGAATATATGAAAACTTTCTGTACTTTCTGCTCAGTTTTTCTGTTAACTTTAAAGCTCTTCAAAGATATTTATTCAGGAAAAATACTGAAGAAAAGATTCAAAATAAAACAACGATTTCAGTTTGATATAGGCTATGTAGGTCACATTTGTTATTCAGGTGAAGAAACATAAAAGCAGTGAATATATCTAAGATCCAATAAGAAATGAATGTAAATCTACATAGAGAAAAAAAATAATAGTCTACCTTAGAAATCTAAGAAATATTAACATTTAAGATTAAGTTGAAGGCTGGGCGTGGTGGCTCACGCCTGTACTCCTAGCACTTTAGGAGGCCCAGTCAGGCAGATCACTTAAGGCCAGGAGTTCAAGACCAGCCTGGCCAACATGGCGAAACCCCATCCCTTCTAAAAATACAAAAATTAGCCAGGCATGGTGATGCATGTCTGTAATCCAAGAATCGCTTGGACCTGGGAGACAGAGGTTGCAGTGAGCCAAGATCGCAACACTGCACTCCAGCCTGGGTGGCAGAGGAAGACTCTGTCTCAAGGCAAAAAAAAAAAAAAAAGAACAAGTTGACAAGCCAGAAAAAGAGAGAGCGAAGGATTCAGTAGGAGCTGAGAAGGAACAGAATGGATTGGTTTTATGTAAGCCAAGAATGAGTAGGTTTTGTTGTGTCAAGTGCTGCAGAAAGATAAAGTAGCTTATAGACAGTGGGAAACAATGTGAAACCTAGGCTACTATTTTTAGTAAAGTGGTAAGGATTTAAGCCGGTCTGTAATGAGTTGAATTTTAAAAAAGGGTTTAAAAATTTAAATTGCAAGAGCAGAGTCATAATTGAAAAAGTATGATGAAAAGAAAGAAGAAAGGGCAACCACCAATGAGTCATGATTTTTTTCTGAAATTTCAAGGCAGCTTTACCTCTCTGGACTTAAAATGGAAAATTCAGGTCTTTGATGAAATTTTGATGTTGTTGCTATTGTTGACATAGCATATAGCCAGTTAGTGATATTCTAGATAATTTTGAACTATACCTACAAAATGTGGTAAGTTCATGGAATATTCAATATGTAAAGGAAATTTCTCCAGAATAAACATAGCAACAAATGATTGAAGCTTTTTTTATTTTTATTTTTTTTTGAGACAGTCTTCTAGAGTGCAGTGGCATGATTACAGCTCACTGTGACCTCCGCCTCCCGGGTTCAAGCAATTCTCTGCCTCAGCCCCCCGAGTAGCTGGGATTACAGGCGCCCGCCACCATGCCTGGCTAATTTTTTTTTTTTTTTGTATTTTTAGTAGAGATGGGGTTTCACCATGTTGGCCAGGCTGGTCTTCAACTCCTGACCTCGTTATCCACCCACCTCACCCTCCCAAAGTGTTGGGATTACAAGCTTGAGCCACCGTGCCCGGCCATGATAGAAGCTGTGTGTGTGTGTGTGTGTGTGTGTGTGTGTGTGTGTGTGTGGTTTTCAAAGTGACTGTAGAATTTTTATTTTATTTTATTATTATTATACTTTAAGTTTTAGGGTACATGTGCACAATGTGCAGGTTAGTTACATATGTATACATGTGCCATGCTGGTGTACTGCACCCATTAACTCGTTATTTAGCATTAGGTATACCTCCTAATGCTATCCCTCCCCCCTCCCCCAACCCCACAACAGTCCCCAGAGTGTGATGTTCCCCTTCCTGTGTCCATGTGTTCTCATTGTTCAATTACCACCTATGAGTGAGAACATGCAGTGTTTGGTTTTTTGTCCTTGCGATAGTTTACTGAGAATGATGATTTCCAATTTCATCCATGTCCCTACAAAGGACATGAACTCATCACTTTTTATGGCTGCATAGTATTCCATGGTGTATATGTGCCACATTTTCTTAATCCAGTCTATCATTGTTGCACATTTGGGTTGGTTCCAAGTCTTTGCTATTGTGAATAATGCCGCAATAAACATACGTGTGCATGTGTCTTTATAGCAGCATGATTTATAGTCCTTTGGGTATATACCCAGTGATGGAATGGCTGGGTCAAATGGTATTTCTAGTTCTAGATCCCTGAGGAATCGCCACACTGTCTTCCACAATGGTTGAACTAGTTTACAGTCCCACCAATAGTGTAAAAGTGTTCCTATTTCTCCACATCCTCTCCAGCACCTGTTGTTTCCTGACTTTTTAATGATTGCCATTCTAACTGGTGTGAGATGGTATCTCATTGTGGTTTTGATTTGCATTTTTCTGATGGCCAGGGATGGTGAGCATTTTTTCATGTGTTTTTTGGCTGCATAAATGTCTTCTTTTGAGAAGTGTCTGTTCATATCCTTTGCCCACTTTTTGATGGGGTTGTTTGTTTTTTTTTTTTTTTTGTAAATTTGTTTGGGTTCATTGTAGATTCTGGATATTAGCCCTTTGTCAGATGAGTAGGTTGCAAAAATTTTCTCCCATTTTGTAGGTTGCCCGTTCACTCTGATGGTAGTTTCTTTTGCTGTGCAGAAGCTCTTTAGTTTAATTAGATCCCATTTGTCAATTTTGGCTTTTGTTGCCATTGCTTTTGGTGTTTTAGACATGAAGTCCTTGCCCATGCCTATGTCCTGAATGGTAATGCCTAGGTTTTCTTCTAGGGTTTTTATGGTTTTAGGTCTAAGAGACACGTGAATGTTTCTGCTTGCGATGTTAAAACAGAATCCCCTGGAAAGCTAAAGATATTTTTACACACTTTATCTTTACCTCTAATTTGTATTTTATTATTAAATTTAACATGAGGTGTCAGACCGAAAAGTATAGCTTTTATTTTTAAATGTAGTATTGATTACAAGAAAGTATTTGTCTTATGAACCCATTTTCTGTTTAGAAAAAAAAGTGGAACTCACTGCCAGCGCTTATTTAATTTTACATAAACATGCTCTTTGAGGCTGAAGAAAATGTGACTGATTTTCCATGTGAAAATAAGACATAAAAACTGTTCTTGGAGTTCTCTAAAAACAAAACTGGTCTCTAATCCTAATGTAACAGAAATGTATGTGATATAGGATTAGAGACAGAGTATTCTCAGGACAAATGAGAAATGGGTAAATAGTTAATTTCCTAAGATAATCAGGTTGACCATAAAATAATTCAGCATTTAGGCAGTTTGAATGGTCAATCACATTTGCTTTTGTCAAGTATATTTGTGTTACTCTCAAAAAATGTTTATCAAAATAGTGAGAATAATCATGAAATCACAAAGGTGATTTACTGAATAAATGAGATATAATGTTTTAGAAATACTCAGAACAACAAACATTTTAAATTTTTTTTTGTTTTCTGATGTGCTTTTGGTTGTTAAAACATAGTTCATAGGGCTGGGCCTATGTTCCCAACTTTTATTAGGTTTTTCTTGTTGGTTTTTTTGCAATACTTTCTTTTAGTCTAAGTAGATATTTTCTTCACTTTTTTTGCTAAACATGTTAAATCTTGAAATATATTGTATGAGGTTTTAAAATAAATCTAAGTTCTGAAATATTCATACTCTTTAGTTGTCATTGTACATAAACAGTACAGTATACCAAAAATAGTCTATTTATGTTGATTTCATGTCTTTTGAAGATAAATTACTAAACTTCATCATGTTTCTAGCAACAAACGCACACATGAGAAGGTCGTGACATGGTTGAAGCTTTCTACTTGCAGAAATTAAATCGATCCCACAAGACAACTTTAAGAATTGCTAAGCATTCTATGATAATCGTATTTCTATCAATGAGCTGCTTATTAGGTTGCTCTGGTTAAAGCAATTAAATTAAGAGCAACAGCTGGCATAAAAATAGATTGCTACAGGATGATTGCTAATAATTGTAAAAAATTGTTCCAGAACCTTTTTAGTTTTACCTGGGATAAAAAACCATGAAAGTTCGATTTAGTTATGTTGATGTAGAAAATATTTGTAACAATGCAAAGATATAACAATGGGTATTAGTTAATTTCAAGATAGTACAGTCATATAAAGTAATACTATGAAATCATTTAAAATTATATGTTCAAGACTGTAATGCTATGAAAAATATTAATAATGTATTGGGAAGGTGAAAAATTCAATTCCAGTGTCTTTTGGGGAAGACTAATTCTTACTGTAACGGGTGATATATCTCATGCAGTTTCTGGAGACCTGAACCCAGTCTCACAGAGAGAAGATGCCAATTCTACAAGCTTTCCTTCTATGCTGGTATTTAAGTTCAGTTCAGGTGGGAAAGGAAAGTTTCCTCACCACAAGGAACAATATTTTGATCCTTAGGTTTCATGCATTTCCTTAATTTTTACAGTAATAGAGAAAAAAATTATTGTGAAAAAATGGTTCTCAAAGGTGCCTTAAATTCATTATAAATTAAAGTCAAAGAATGATAGATTTGGCGGGACCCTTAGAAGTCATCTGGTTTCACCTGTTGTTTTATTGCTAAGGGACATTGAGGAAATAAACTCTTGATTTAGTTTTGAGCTCAAAAGTTGATGGTACAATTGGGGCTAGAATCTGAAACATAAATATTATGCAAAACTCATCATAGATTTTACATATGGAACAAACCTGATAGAAATTTAATAAGAAATTGACAAAAATCACAATTTCTCAGTATCACAACTCTCAGAAAACAACAGATGGCTTAGTAAAACACAAGCAAGGATGCAAGGTTTTGGATAAGAAAATTTTCAAACATGATCATATATAATATATCTGTAGAGATATACACATACGACTGTAATTAACAGAAATAATCTATTACTTTCAAATGAACATTGAACATTCACAGAATATGATAGTGTAGTAGGCCACAAAGAAAATCCCATCCAAAATTTGAAGTAAGTGTTTTCAAGCCACAATCTATGTAATATGAGTCAGTACTTAAAGAACATATATGTTCAAGTAAATAGTCTACTGGCATGTTTAAAAATGCATACACCTAGATAACTCTTTGAAGAATAAACAATAAAAATTAAAAATTATTAAGGATTAAATGACAACATATCATTATATGTAAAAAATTGTGTGATGCGCTCAAAATAGTAAATAGAGGGAAAATTTTAGCCTTAAGAGCATGCACTAGAAATCAAAACAAAATAGAATAATTTTATTAGAAAACAAAAATAACTTTAAAAAACACAAAATTATTTCCAAAAACCCACAAGAATAAAATAAATAAAACCAAATATACAAGAAAAAGAAGAATGGATCAATAAACCTCTGGAACATATGATCACAAATGAAAAAGAACTGAGGAACAAAATGAGAAACACAGAAAAAGACTGAAATATATATTTAGAATACAAACATTCTAGAAGCATATTTTGTACATCTAGAGTTAGATAAATGCAAATGACTAGAAAAATGCATAAATTTCTTGGGAAATGTAATTTCATGAATTAGAAGCTTGAATTGATCAAAACTCATAAAAGGTATTCTGAAATCTACCACCTGAATAAAAACAAACCAAAATAATATTATGAATTACTTCCATTTAATCTGCCTCAACAATGGGCACTACAAGTTTTCTACCAGTTTATGTAAGAACATGGTACAAAACAAACATATTTCCATATTCAGTCTGCAAGTGAAGGAGAATTCTTATTTAATATTTTTTAAATTTCAGTAGCTTTTGGGGTACCAGTGGTTCTAGGTTACATGGATTAATTATATAGTGGTAGCTCTGAGATTTTACCAATATGTAGCTTTTTGTCCCCCGCTGCTCTCCCACCCTCCCCCTTCTAAGTCTCCAGAGTTCACTACATCATTCTGCATGTCTTTGCGTAGTCACAGCTTAGCTCCCACTTATAAGTGAGAACATACCGTGTTTGGTTTTTCATTCCTGAGTTACTTCACTTAGAATAATGGCCTCTAGCTCCATCCAAGTTACTGTAAAAAACATTATTTAATTCCTTCTTATGGCTGAGTAGTATTCCGTGATGTATGTATACCACATTTTCTTTATCCATTTGTTGATCAATGACCACCTAATTTGGTTCCATATCTTGCAATTGTGAATTGGGCTGCAATAAACATACATGTACATGTATCTTTTTCATATAATGATATTTTTTCCTTTATATAGATACCCAGTAGTGTGACTGCTGGATTGAATGGTAGATTTAATTCTTTAAGGAATCTCCATACTGTTTTTCACAGAGGTTGTACTAATTTACATTTCCATCAGCAATGTTTAAGGGTTCCTTTTTCACCACATCCATGCCAACATCTTTTTTTTAATTATTTTTAATAATGGCCATTCTTAGAGGAGTAAGGTAGTATCTCACTGTGGTTTTAATTTGCATCTCCCTGATGATTAGTGATACTGAACATTTTTTTCATACATTTGTTGTCTATTTGTATATCTTCTTTTGAGAAATGCCTGTTCATGGAATTTGCCCACTTTTTTATGGGATTATTTGTTTTTTTCTTATTGATTTGTTTGATACACGTGAAGGAGGATTCTGACTTGAATTCTAAACATGAAAATCCCGGAGAGAAATCTCCCTTGTGAAAATAAAATCTAAACCTAAAATATTAGAAAATAAAATTAAATAACACATTAATAAATCATAACTGATCATGGTTTATCCCCATGTGATAAGAAGTCTGTTTAATTTGCCACATGAAAACTTGGGGGACAAGACGGAGAATCATGTGAAGTTAAAAAGCTTTTGATAAAAATATGTGAAAATTGTTGTATTTAGATGGAAAACCATGTCAACATAAAAATCAGTTATCTACAACAATCATTATATTTAATGAAGAAATAGTGAGTACTATACGTCCTCACTGACATATGAATATGTCCTCTTCAAAATTTAGGTGTTGCTAATGTCATAATATTTTTAGAAGTGAATAGACCCTGAGGGGTTTATCCCTCATGAATGGGATTAAGACTCTATAAACGAGGCTTCATGCAGTATTCTCCTAGCTTGTTTTGTTGCCCTTCTAGCTTTCTCCACGAGGAACAGTGTTTCTTCCCTCTGGAGGATGCAACCCTCACCAGAGAAGCAAACCTGCCAGCACCTTGATCTTGGACATCCAAGTCTCAAGAAATCTGAGAAACAAATTTTCTGCCATTCTTAAACTACCAGTCCAAGGTATTCTGTTATAACAGCAAAAATGTAAAAAGACAACAGATAAATTATCATTACATAATAGAGGAAAAAACACCAAAATCTCCTTTCACCAGTATTACTTAGTATTTTATTAGAGATCCTACCCAATTTAAATACATAAACATCATGAAAAAGTCATGTAAACTACAAGGACATAACTTTATCAAATGACGAAGAAATAACTGTCATTATTTACAATTAACTTATTTGATTTACTACAGCCATCAACAATCAATTAGAAACAATATTTGAAACAGGATTAACAATAACAGTAGCATTACCCTGAACAACAATACCATACATTTCCAAAATATAAGAAAAAAGTAAATGTTTATACGAAGAAAATTCTAAAATGGTACAGAAACTTGGTAAAGAAGACTTGTTAGTTGAGATAAACTATGTAGTATGTATCTACATATGTATGTATCTACATACAAAGTATGTAGTATGTAGTATCTACTAAGTATGTAGATAAACTAATTTTCTCCCTCTTTCTTGAGTTACTGAGCAGTTTATAGTATGTCTTATATATGTTAAAGGAACTCTTTAAAAAATACCCCCATCTTTTGTCCATAGATTTAGCTAACATCCATTGAATGCTTAAAGCATGATAATATTTATTTTCTGTTTAACATATGATGCACTAAGTAAATTTTTTAAACTCACTTAAATTAGATGTTTTCTATTCTGTACCTATCAATTTAATCTTTTTTCCATTGAATTGTAAAACATTTTCTTATTTTTTTGCATAATAAATGAATTGATCCTATGTTGTGTGTATCAAATATATTTTCTCTCAGTTTTTGCTATTGTTTTGGATGCTTAATTTGTTTTGCCTAAAAATTATTTTCTTTTAATGTTATCAAATTTAACTATTTTGATGTTTTTGCTTTCTGGACTTTGGTTATGCTAAACAATGTGTTCCCCATTCTAAGATTACAAAGTCAATAAACATTTTTTAAAGATTCTGTTTCTATAATTTAAATGTTTGATACACCCAAGATGTACTCTGATATGATGAGTGAGGTATTAGATTTTTAAATCAGTGTTATGCTGGCACCCACAAGATTCCATTCTTTAACTTTCAAATACTTATTTAACTGTATAATTATCTGCTTCTAGAAAATTTGAGGAAAATTAATCCATGTAACAACCCCTACCAGGCCATTTTTTTCAATTTCATTTGTGCCAGTTAGCACTTTTAGTATAGATTATAACTTTTTTTATCTTTTTGTGGTCAGTAATGGTGATTTATATTTTTATGGAAAATCATTAGTTTCTTCTAAATTCTTTAAATTTATTTGCCTACAAAGGGGCTAAAGATATTTGTATTACTAACATGTTTTCTTCAGAATATGCGACTATTTATATAGTCAGAGGCCAACTTTGGAGCATTATTCTTGTTTGTATTCCTAGATTAGGTTACCTAGATGTTTTCCATGTTTACCCAAACATTTCTAAAGTTATTTATCAATTCCGTTTTTTTAAATTAATATTTTTATATTGCTTTATAGTTTCAACGGGCTTTCCTGGGTTTCTTTTGTTCTTTTTTGGTTCTTTATAAGTTTTTATGAGATAATCGCTTCATTCATTCATTATAAAAATGTGTACTTTTCAAAGTTGTACATTTAAGGTTAATCATATCTTTGTCTCTCTCTTTCTCTTTTATTTATACCCATGGAAGAACTCCCCATTCTCCCCTCTCACAGTCCTTGTAAACCACAATTGTATTTTCTGCTTCTACTAGTTCGAGCATTATAGATACCTCATGTAAGTGGAATCATGCTATCTATTTTTCTTTCTGTCCCTGGTTTGTTTCTCCTTCCATACTGTCCTCTAGGCTTATCCACATTGTAACAAATGACAAGATTTCCTTCTTTTTTTAAGACTGAATGTTTTTCCATTATGTGTATATGCCACATTTTCTTTATTTATCCATTAATAGACTGGTACTGTTTCCATGTCTTGACTATTGTGAATAATGCTGCTGTGAACATGAGAGTGCAGATATCGCCTTAAAATCCTGATGTCAGTTCTTCTGGATGTATACCCAGAAGTGAGATTGCTGAATTATGTGGCTGAATTATGTGAGATTGTTTTTGAGGAAAGTACATACTATTTTTTTTTTGTAGATGATCCACGATTTTATGTTCCCATCAACAGTGCATAAACAGAGTTTCAATTTTCCACAAACTCCTGCAAACTTATCTTTGTTCTTTTACAACGGACATCCTAACAGGTGTGATGTGACATCTGATTATAGTTTTGATATGCATTTCTCTGAAAATTAATGATATTGAGCACTTTTTCATATTCATGTTGGCTATTTGATGTCTTCTTTGAAGAAATGTCTGCTCAAGTCCGTTGGCCATTCTTTTTTTTTTTTTTTTGAGTTTTTGCTATTGACTTGTAGAAATTCTTTAAACATTTTAGAATTCAACTCCTTATTATATATACAGTTTGTGAATATTGTAGGTTGCCTTTTCATTTTGCTGATTGTTTCCTTTGTGGTGCAAAATTTTGACCAACAGAACAGAATAGAGAGCCCAGCAATAAACCCACATATATATAGTCAACAGATCCTTGAAAAGAGGTCCAAGAATACACAATGGCAAAAGAATAATCTGTTCAACAAATGATATTGGAAAAACAAGATATCCACATATACAAAAATGAAACTGAGACCCTACCTTATATCATAAACAAAAATCAACTCAAAATTAATTAAAGACTTAAGTACTCCTCATCTGGATGGCAACAAGCAGCCTGTGGTGGCCAGCCCCTAAATCATTCCTCTGGTCCCCTGGCCTTTTCCAGTACCAATATCTGCCCTAAAGTGGGCTAGGGAAGATAAATGACAATAAAAAATCTGTCAAAGGAAAGAACCTTGCAAGACAACAAGACATTTTCTCTCAGAGAGGAGATAGAAATAGATATATTGAATAATCAAATCAGTTAATCCTTTAGGAAAAAGCTCAAGTGCTGGCAGCTATTGACCAATAAGTTCTGTGCTTTCCTTTTACAACTGGGAATTTTTATTTGGTTATTCTGTTACTCATCCATCATTGTACATTGGATGTACAGATGGAAGATATCATGTCTATTATTTGATTGCTAGGATATCAGTAGCTATATCTTATATTGATGGAGAGGATGGCCCACTGCTCAGAAAACACAAATTTAAGCTGATGGAACAAAAATTTGGCTCATTTATGAAGGACTGAGTATATGCAAGCATGGAAGAACACATGGACATATAGATACTCAAAGGATAGTTGATCATATGTAGATAGATACAATCCAATATCTATTCTCCCTGTCTTAGTAAAAACCATCTTGGGTTTTGCTGAGCACATTGCTAAAGCTAGAAGACTACATTCCTCAGCTTTGCTTGCAGGTGGATGTGGGCCAATGCTTAAGTTTTGACCAATGACCAATGACCATACAGATTCAATGTATATTGAAAAATATACCCTTATTATACCTTTCTTTGCTCCCTCTTCAATTCTATTGTTTGAGTATGATATCTGCATGTCCAACAGTCATCTGGGATAACATGAAGGCCACTACCTTGGGATGGTTCAGAGAACTGGAAGAATTTCCAGTTTCCGATTAATGTGACACTACCTTAAGAGACATGCTTATGTATGGAATTCTATTATGTGCTATTATGCTAGCTAGATAAGGACAATCTTAATTTGGGTTTCTATAATGTATTCGGTCAAGCTTCATTCTAGTTGATATATGTTTTGTCAGCTGTTAAAAATTTTATTATTCATCTCTTTTATAACCTTATATTTTTCCTTCCTGATTGGCCATGGGCTAAGAAAAAAGAACTAATATTTTAGTATTATTAAAGTTCTACTGATTTCCCACATACTGCCTTTACTCTTTAGTTTACATATTTAATATGATTTGTTGTAATTATTTGCATATTTCTAACAGTGACTTCATTAACATTAAATATTCCCATCAAGCTATACATAGCTATACAGCCTTGTTAGGTTATATAACTTTAAAAAAACAATTCTCTATTGAATTTGATCTTATGTGATATTAGTATATCAACCCATGCTTTCTTTTCCTTGTATATACCTGGTTTTATTCACATTTTAATTTCAACCTTTTGAATCACTCTTTCTTTTTGACAATTTATTGATATAGTCAATTTGAAGCTTAGCTATTGATCAAATCTGATAATCTTTTCTTACAAAGTGAATTAATTGCATTTAACATGTATTTCATAATCAATTTAGTTGGCCTTAAGCCTGTGTTCTAATTTTAGTATTATATATTGTTTTATTTTCAAAACTTCCTTGCTTCTTCATTTAGTTTCTCTTTTTAATTATGTAATCTTTGTTCATGATTTTTGTAATTTGAAAAGAATGGTTTCTTTAGTTCCTTTAGTTTTTACTATTTTAATATTGAGTAATATAGGTAAACCTTCAATTTGCAACGAGAGAGTTCAGTAGGTAGTGGCTGGGGAACACAGAGTTGAGTATGTCTCTTTTAGTCTTGACATCATCAGGAAAATCCACAGGAAGCAGATTATGAATAACAATGCAGATACAGCTTAGGATAACTTAATTAATAATTTCAAAATGTTTAGACATATGATATGTAGACCTCTGTATGTACTCTGGCCCCAGACCTGGAAAATTTTAGGGGCAGACATATATTTTAAAAACCACCATACTGAAATATAATTATTATTAAATATTTGAAGCAACATTAAGTGTGTTCAAAAGCTTCTCCCATTCATAAGTCTTGAGATTAAATTAATATACTTAGTGTAACTGTGATCAGTAATACTATGCCTATGAAAGACCCATTTTCTCTCTTCAGAAGCACAAACCCCCAAACTCCTATTATACTTGAACATTTCCAGTCTGAATTTACCAGTGGATTCATTTATACTCACCTACAACATTTGAGAGTGTGAAATGTTCTGCATCGTATTGACATATTATGAATTTTTATGTAGTAGATATGTATCACTTTGTCTTTGGAAATAATCCTTCATACATAGCTTCTATATTCCCTACTCATTGTTCTTCTATTTCTTTTATCCCTTGAAGCAAATACAGTTTTCTTCTGTTTTGTTTTAATTTAATGAACTATTATCTGTTGATCAAAATATGTGAACTCAAAGGACTACTTTGAGTTGATTGTCATCTAAGTCAATATGTAAAAGAAGTTTGATGAGGCCAGTATGACAGAGCAAGAGAGTTATTTGTGAGGCTGATAAAAATGTTGCAAAGCTTACCAGACAGCAGTGGCAGTGAATAATATCTGCCTGAAGAATTCACTCAGTAGAACCTATTTTCTAAACTTATAGTAGTATTGTGATGTCATTTTAATTGATTATTAATATTCAAATTCTCAATGTGATTTCCTTTTCCCTATAGTAAGATAAGAGGCATTTTACAATGGATTTCAAAAGAGGAAGATTCTCCCAATGGCAAAGGATGTTCTATTAAATGTTTCAGGAAGACTCATTTTACCACTGAAATATTTAATATGAATATATTGTCTTGTTTTAAGGTGAGAAAGGTAAGCTTAACTCAGGGCTCATAATACTCACGTGGCTCTGATGGACAACACTGACCTTCTATGTGAGCTTTTTAATTTGTAAAACTAAACTGAAATCTCATCTCCAGTGTTTCCATCTTGAAACATCAATAGTTTCATAATAATTTCTGGAGAATTATAAATCATTTTTCTCCTCATAAACTAATGAATAGGTTGGAACTAATCTAAAAATAGGGACATGATTCATTCTGAAACTCCCCAAATATTTTATTTTATTAAAAATGATTTCATATTAAAAGAAGACTTCAGGAAACACGGAAAATAGAATACATTTATTAACTTTGACCCTCTCTTAAAACCACACTAAAATAAAGATAAATAGATTTTTAAAGGTGCATAAATGAACAAGGGAAGAACAGAGCAGGTTACATCAGCTACAAAATGCCGATGATGAACATTAGATGTCGAGAGAAAATAATAAGTGACCCCAAAACACAGAGTCCTTAGAAGGTAAACAGGGAAGCAAATTAAACCATAATAACACTGCACCATCCCCAGAAGACTACAGAACAAGTGGCACCCAGTTACTTCTTCATGTGTAAGTGAAGAGAGAGTTAAAATAAAGAGGATTGGCTGAAAATTCACTTAAGAAGCATATTACCAAATCAGATCTCCCTGAGTTAATACTCAGAATATATAAGCCCCATTATACAGTCAAAATATTCAGCCAGTATATGAGTTAAAAGAAATAGTTATCTGAAATATGAGGAAGCATCTGAAATAAAACATAGAAAGTAGATAAACAGAAGAAAGTAACATGGAGGAAACAAAGTTTGTGCAGATTTTAAAAACAATTCAAAAACTATAATTAGCATCCTCGGAAAAATTGGCAAAAATATTGCAACCATCAATCAAGAACAGAGTACAGTAAAATCGGGGACTGTCAGAGGAAACAAAGAGCTCTTGAACATATATGTGTTCACATATATATATATATATATGTATATCAGAAAGGCATATCTCAACATAATATTCAGGAATTGCCTTTGAAGAGAAAAGGGGAATTATTTTCTCTGAGAGTGGAGAAAATGTGAACAGACACATAAAAGTGGGCCGAAGACTTTTTTTTTGAAAAGTTCAAGAGGTTAAAAACACAAATTAAAGGAATTCTAGAAAAGGGGAACCAAGAAAGTTGAGATAAAAATCACTAATAAGATATTGTTAATGAAGATTTTTACTTCCCTTAGCACACTCATAAGGGGACCTACTAGATGGTGTATTCCACCAAACAAGGGCAAATTCTGAGAAAGAGGATGGTGTCAGGTATGGGGATGGGAGGTCTGTGGCAGAAGAAAGGCATCAGAACTCAGCAAGGTGACAGTGAAGGTCAATCCCAGGAGGACAACTGTGTGCCAAACCTAGAGACAAAGACAAACCGTCCAGGTGGGAGCAGTCCAATGGCTCTGAATTAGATTTCCTCCAAAAGAGAAAAGCTGGCAAAACTGTTTTCTCTGTCATTGTTGGAGAGGATTTAGAGAATTGGTAAAAAGCTAAAACGTTAAAAATTGAAAAGATCTAAAAAGAAAATAACATCAACAGTAAAAAATTTGCAAGAAAGGAAAAGCAGTTACAACTTATTACATGGTTCAACTCGGAAAAGCATTTACTTCATGAGATGAAGGTAAAAGCCATATGTATGTATTATCGAAGTGATAATACACTGGTGCTGGGATGATGCAGGTGTGTGGGCCACAGGTAAGGTGTAGAGAAGAGAAGGAGGCCAGGAGAATCAATAAAGGAATACCTAACAACAGAAAAATAAAGAGTAGTAACAAATGTATAATGGAGAGATATGGAAGTGAAAGGTAAAATTAACAAACGGCTCAAAAAGATTAAGAAGTGAGAGAAATGGGAGTATTGTTCATACAGTGCTATGTACGTAGAATGATTTAGCTTGCATTGGGAGGCTGAGGCAGGCAGATCACTTGAGGTCAGGAATTCAAGACCAGCCTGTCCAACATGGTAAAGCCCTGTCTCTACTCAAAATACAAAAATTAGCCTGGCGTGGTGGTCCCTACCTGTAATTCCAGCTACATCAAGTTTCATGTCAAGCTCATTAGTGAGCTATGAAATACATCTGTTGGTTACACTCCTTTAACCAAATGAGCACAGTTGGAAATAACAATATAGAAAATATCAAGGCAATGAGAACATTGTTATCAATGTAGTAAGGGTGAGTTGTTTTTGTGAAACTTGTGTCTGGGTGTATATGAGTTTTTGTGCTTTGTGTTAGTGTGACTAAAATAAAATGTATTTATGTACTTCTAATTTGAAAATCCTTTGTTTAGTTGGTCTAATTCTCTAGTTATAAAGAGGGAAAGAGTGCCAAGTAGGTGTTGACTTTTACACATAAGCAGACAACTGAGAACAAAAGTCCTCTTACATGAGGGTTATTTACAGTAAAACATCTAATGTAATGGAGTGTTCATAGCCTGTAAAATCAAAAGGCCCTGCAGTGATACTCCAGCCCTATCATTTAATTGATTTACAAATAGTGTTGACCCCTACAGTTTTCTGTCATCTCTTCTCCTGCTCTTTTTGTCTATGTCGTTTATAACATTTGTATTGTTTTATCATTTTAGAAGTTTCCTAAGGAGCCAGAGATAAATGCCTATGTTTGATCCCCCAGGTTTGACTACAGTCTGCTATCCTTCTTCTATTACACCATGTTTAGGAAAATGTGCTACCTGAGGAATTGTATTGCTTACTAACTTTATAGTTTGTGATAACATTTATTCTGTGGCCTTCAGCTTCTTTGTTCATAAAATAATGAGGCTGGACTTGTGTCCTGTCTCTACAAACTCCACTTCAAAAACTGAAGTATTTCCTTTATTTTATGGCCTATTCCTTTCCAACTCCTATTTTTAGAATTTGTCTATATAAATCTTCCAATTTGAATAGTTAACAGTAAGTCTCATAATTTCATGAGGAATTATTTTTCCCTTTTTCAGAAAAGCGACACAAAATAGAAGGCAAAGCTTACCAAGTTACTAGGATCAAGTCACTATTGTAAATAATATGAAATTAGTTTTCACCTTGGTATTTAAAATTTTTCCCTGGACCAGATACCAAAATGAAATTTGTTTGACTAAGAAAATCAAGTGTTAGTTTGAGTTTATGCATGTGTCTCTGTCTCTGTGCCCGTGCAGATAGATACTATATACTGGTTTGTCTTTGGGGTTTGTCACCATCACTAAAAGAAGTTCTAACAAAAAAGGTTAGTAGAGTTGGTGGATGAATTACTTCTTTGAGGCTGAGATATTCTAATAAGATGCCTAGGCAGATTAAAAACTGTATAGATTCAGAAGTTCCAGATTAGAAGATACTTTCCATTTGTTGTTATCCATTCAACTGAGCCAGAAATTTCCTTACAGATATTTCTCATACCAAGTATTTCTCCAGCTACTACCCGACGTTATGCAATGACTGAAAATTTGTCAAATCATCACTCTGAATGTAATCTCTAAGGCAGTATTTTTGGATTCTTCTAACTGTGGTGGATATTTGCTATATTTTGTGATATCTTTTGAAGAATCTTCTGTTTAAGGAACTTTCTTACAGGTCCTGCCTATCCAAGACAGAAGTCAGAAGCTTGCTTATACAGTCTTGTTGAAGTTACGCTCTATGGATCAGACACTATTACATTCCAACAATGTCATACAGCATGCGTAACTCAGAACACATTTTTCTGGTAATGATGGTGGAAGTGAATAGAGTGATAGAATCTTCACAGGAATGGTTCTGGATAGGTCAGTGTTTTCAAAAGTTTAGTCTTCAAGAATGCTTTTCTGGCTCTCCTGGATACTTCATGAGTTTCCGCAAATCTTTTTATTAAGCATGTTCTGTTTAACCTCAGCTGTCTGGATTCTGTAGAAAGAGAGTGACCAAAAGACTGAGATTTTTTTTCATGTCTACTCATATTAGGTGAAGAACTAGGGCAGAGTCAAAAAGTATTAAAAAGGAAAACTATATATGATGTAATCAATAAGATAACCTTTTCAAAATTTAATTCAGTCTCTCTTACCTCTAGTCACAGATTTGCTCACTCATTATGTTGAACACCTATTTTGGGCCCAAGGCATGCAGAGCTCATTAAACAAGCTCTCCTCCTACAGGAATATACAGCATAGTGGGAATATAACAAACGGACAACATTTTAGGGCACTGTTTTAATAAGTACTAGAACATAGATATGCACAGAGAAAAACAGAGAGAGCAGAGAGTAGCCAGTCAAGATCAAGGGAGTCAAGGAAGGCTTCCTAGAGGAAGGGCTATTTAGGTTGAATAGACACATCTCTTTCTATGACTTACAAATCTCTTAATCCTTATCCTAAAGTTAGAAAAAAATATGTTAGCCAAGCATGGGCTCAAGCCTGTAATCCCAGCATTTTGGGAAGCCAAGGCGAGCAGATCACCTGAGGTCAGGAGTTCGAGACCAGCCTGACTAACACGGTAAAACCCCATTTCTACTAAAAATACAAAAATTAGCCAGGTATAGTGGCAGGGGCCTGTAATCCCTACTTGGGCAGCTGAGTCAGGAGAATCACTTGAACCCGGGAGGCAGCAGTTGCAGTGAGCCGAGATCGCGGCATTGCACTCCAGCCTGGGTGACAGAGCGAGACTCTGTCTCAAAAAAGAGAAAAAAGAAAAAGAAAAAAAGATATGTTGTCTTGTGCAAGGAGGTAGTTCATGAAGAAGAATGAACCAAAAAAGCTTGCCTTAGGAAACTGTAAAACAGCATGTGTAAATGACTTAAATGGGACTGTGTGTCACACATTTCTCCATCTCATTTTACAGGAAATGTCTAATCCCACCCTCCTCAGATATCTTCCTTTTTTAGTTGTTTAATTGGAATATGTAACCTATCTTCTTTTTAATAGGAAAGACTTAGCCCCTCCCTGAGAATGGATATAGTACATGGTAGTATTGATGGCCCCATATCATTCAACGATGTGGAGAATGTTGCCTACGGTTAAAGAAAATTAGGTTGATGTGTAGAGGAACTGAAAGATGTGGCATAGTCATGGTGGCTGTCAAGCCTCAGATCATTACTTTTGAAGCCCAATTACATCCTAGTGCTCCTTGCAGTGTTTTCATCCCCTCCTTTGATTAAGTCCCTCAGTCCCGATTGAGTTCAGATGCCTATTACAACATGCCACACACACACACACACACACCCCACAAAATAAGTGACCTACCATGATAGACTTTGTATTACTTATCTATTGCTGCATAAAACAATTATCTCCAAAACTTAGTGGTTTAAAACACTAAGTATTAGGTGGGTCACAATGGCTTGCGCCTGTAATCCTGGCACTTTGGGAGGCCGACACGGGTGGATCACGAGGTCAGGAGTTCGAGACCAGCCTGGCCAACATGGCAAAACCCTGTCTCTACTAAAAATACAAAAATTAGCTGGGTGTAGTGGCAGCTGCCTGTAATCCCACCTACTCAGGAGGCTGAGGCAGGCAAATCACTTGAACCCGGGAGGCGGTGGTTGCAGTGAGCTGAGATCATGCCATCACACTCCAGCCTGGGTGACAAGAGCAAGACTCCGTCTCAACAAAACAAAACAAAAAACCCAGTAAGTATTTATCACTTCTCATAGTTTCTGTGGGTCAGGAATTCAGGAGGAGCAGTTGACTGGTCAGTTCCAGTTCAGAGGCCCTCATAAGGTTGCAGTCAAAATTTTGACCAGAGCTACTGTCATTTAAAATCTTAACTGTGCATGGAAGATGTGCTTCTCAGGGGGGCTCACTCAGGTGTCTGGCTGGCTGGTAGCAGCTATTTGTGAATAGTCTCAGATCTTTTCTATTCCTGTCTCTTGAGTGTTATTACAACACGGTGGCTAGCTTTTCTAGAGCAAGCAATATGATAAAGAAACACACACAGAGAGCCAGGTGAAAATTATTATTTTTTATTACCCAGCCTCAGAAGTCACATAGCATTATTCCTGCCATGTTTGATGTGTAAGACATGTGTCACTAAGTTCAAAGTATTTGCAGACACGTTTTAAAAATATCCCACTTTTACGAGTTTCTTTCTTGCTTTTTTTTTTTGATGGAGTTTCACTCTTGTTGCCCAGGATGTAGTGCAATGGCATGATCTCAGCTCACTGCAACCTCCGCCTACTGGATTAAAGCGATTCTCCTGCCTCAGCCTCCTGAGTAGCTGGGATTACAGGCGCTCGCCACCATGCCCGGCTAATTTTTGTATTTTTAGTAGTGACAGGGTTTCATCATGTTAGCCAGGCTGGTCTCAAACTCCTGACCTCAGGTGATCCAAAGTCCTTGGCCTCCCAAAATGTTAGGATTACAGGCGTGAGCCACCGCACCCAGCTGAGTTTATTTCTTTCTATCTGAAATGGTTACCCAATATCATCAGGGACTCATGTTCCTATCATGTTTTTCTGACATCTTCAATAATTGACTTGCATTATAGAGATGACAAGATGTTGGTAGAGTTCTAGCCATCTAGGCCTTTATCCCAGAAGTGGGAAGAAGAAAACTGGTACTACCCTTACCTTGTAAAGACATTTCAAGAGAGAATTAATGAATTCTATTTAAACTTAATTGGCTAGAACTATGTTGCTCCCTCAGCTACAAAGAAGACTGAGAACTATCGTCTTTTATTACCAGCTAAACTTTAGAGTTCTGTTTCAGAGGGATGGTGAAAGCAGATATCAGGGTAGAGCCAATGAATTAGTTATTTAAAAGCAGTCAAGAATGTCCAGGTGCAGTGGCTAATGTCCGCAATCCTGGTACTATGAGTGGGCAAGTTGGAAGGATTGCTTGAGGTCAAGAGCTCAAAACAGAGTGAGACCACCATCTCTATGGAAAACAACAACAACAGCAACAACAACAACAACAAAAAACTTAGCCATGCGTGGTGATGGGCACCTGTAGTCCCAGCTACTTGGGATGTTGAGGTAGGAGGATCACTTGAGCCCAGGCGTTCGAGGCTGTACTTGTGCTGGGATGATGGGGGTGTGTGAGCCGCTGGTGAGGTGAAGAGAAGAGATGGAGGCTATGGTTGCACCACTGCACTCCAGCCTGGGAAACAGAGTAAGACCCTGACTCTACAAAACACATCAAAACAAACAAACAAAAAACAGTCAAGAGATTCCTGGTTTTGGTGAAAACGACGGAGTATCCCATTTTACCCAAAATCTCCTTCTTACAGCAGAAAAAAAAACCCTGAACACAATTCAAAAAATCAGTATAGGAAGACTCTGAAAGGCTGGAAAGAAGGAAATGAACTGCTTAGGGACCTCAAGAGTTGAGAAACAACAGGGAGGTGAGTTCACTGGGCTCCTTATTCTTATCCGTATATCCCAGACAAGGTAACGCAGAAGGCTCCAACCTGGAAGTGGCAAGGGGAACAGACAAAAATCCTCAGAAAAAAATCTGGTTTTCTTTAGCAAAGGACTTGGAAAAGGGTAGCCTTACAGTGAAACCTGTTTTTGGCAATAACCACTCTACTCCAGCCAAATGTCAGTGAATAAACTGCAATTTTATACAGGGGCACCTGTAATCCCAGCACTTTGGGAGGCCGAGGCAGGCAGATCACGAGGTCAGGAGATCGAGACCATCCTGGCTAATACAGTGAAACCCCGTCTCTAGTAAAAAATATAAAAAATTAGCCGGGCTTGGTGGTGGGCGCCTGTAGTCTCAGCTACTCGGGAGGCTGAAGCAGGAGAATGGCGTGAACCAGGGAGGCAGAGCTGAGCCTCCACCCTTACTAGTCATTGAGAGATTGAATAAGGCAGTGTGAGTCCCAGAAAATCAGCACTCCATTTTTTCCCAGTTATTAGTGTTACTGGAGTCCACTGAGGAGTCAAACTTCCATACTCACCAGTTATTAACAAGGGTGACTGAGGTATTGGGAGTAAAAGCTAGTTGGCATTTCTGCCTCCATCCCATCCTTTAATGTCAGGTGGCTCCAGAGTAGTTGAGGTTTTCCCCTCATGCTAAGCAACAAAGAGGTGTGGGTCACTCTTCTAATTCCCACCTCCCAGATGCCACTGTGGCTAAGTAGGGAGCTCAGTTCCCTGCCTTGCTCCCCAACTCAAAGGCAAGGAGGTATCCCACTTTTGCTGGGAAGATGTTGGCAGTAGCTGAATGTCCATCTCAAGCATCTTCCAAAGGCAATATATTGTTCCACTTTTGCCAGCAGTAGGGTTGGCAGGACCCAGTTGGAAAGCTGAACTTACCCACCTAACTCTGGTTATATAATTCAATAAGGGGTACATACTTAAAAAAAAAAGATGAAATAGAATCCAGTCATAACAGAATATCCAAATTGAGAAAGGCAATTGACACACATTAGTACTAAGGTGAAATCAGTTGTTTGAGTTAGCTGACAAAGATTATTGAAGCATTAAAATGCTGCTTCAACAAGCAGTTACAAATTCTCTTTAAAAATGAAAAAAATAAGAAATATTAGCAAGCAAATAGAAAAATATAAAAAGAACAGCCAGGCGCGGTGGCTCACGCCTGTAATTCCAGCACTTTGGGAGGCTGAGGCGGGTGGATCACGAGGTCAGGAGATCGAGACCATCTTGGCTAACACAGCGAAACCCCATCTCTACTAAAAAATACAAAAAAATTAGCCGGGCCTGGTGGCGGGCGCCTGTAGTCCCAGCTACTTGGGAGACTGAGGCAGGAGAATGGCGTGAAGCCGGGAGGCGGAGCTTGCAGTGAGCCAAGATCACGCCACTGCACTCCAGCCTGGGCGACAGAGCGAGACTCCGCCAAAAAAAAAAAAAAAAAAAGAACCAGGTGGAAATATGGAAATTATAGAACTGGAAAATATAATAACTGAAATAAAAACCTCACTAAGTGGTAGGGTAAAGTTGACCGGGCATAGAATCTGTGAACTTGAAAATCAGTAAACACATCAATTGAATTTATTAAAAAAGTACGGAATCTCAGTGAGCTGTGAACCAATAACAAAAGAACTAACATTTATTTATTGGAGTCAAAGAAGAGGACTCAGAAAAAAATGCTGGCAAAGTACTTGGAAAAAAATAATGGGCAAATACTCCCCAAATATGGTGAGACACAGACCTACTAATTCAAGAGATGAATTAACACCAAATAAATATACCCCCCACACATTCTAAGCTTCTGAAAACTAAGAATAAAGCAAAACATCTTGAAATTGTCTGGAGAGAGAGATTGTGTTACATAGAGAATAACAATTCACATAACAGTGGATTTCACATATGAAACAGAAACCATGGGGCATAAAAGAAAAGGTTGCATCATTTTCCAAGTGCTAAAATAAAAGTACTGTCAACCATGAATTATCTATCTGGTGAAACTATCATTCAGGAATGAAGAAGAAATAGAGACAGTCTCAGATGAAAGAAAACTGAAAACAAGAATCACTAGCAAACCTACCTTTGAAGTATGGCTAAAGGAAGTTTTCTAAAGAAAAAGAAAATGATAACCAAAAATAGTCTTAGAACTTCCTAAAGGAAATAAGAACATTAAAATGGGTAAAAAGTAGGGTAAATAAAATAATACTGTTCTTATAAGTTAAATCATATTTGATGGTTGAAGCAAAAATTATAATGCCATTTAAATGTGTTGCCTCATGTATGTAGAGAAAATATTCCAGGTAACAAATGAAGGTAAGGTCTTTTAAGTTTTGTTCAAAGAGGTAAAACCTCAATATGAGAAGTTAAGTATGTATATTTTCTTGTCTAAAATAACTAAGATCTTTGGCCATAAAATAAATCTCAACCAATTTAAAAGAATTGAATCATACAGAATGTGTTCTCTGACCATTTGGAAAAAACTAGAAATTAATAATAAAAAATATAAAAATCTCCAAACATTTGGAAATTAAACAACACATTTCTAAATAACCTATGTCAAAGAAGAATTCTGAAAGAAAACCAAAAATACATTGAACCGAATAAAAATGAACACAAAATACATAAAAATATGTGAGGTGAAACTAAAGCAGTGCAGAGAGGGAAATTTCTTCCACAAAATGCTTATAATTAGGAAAAAAGAAAATTCCAAAATTAATAACCTAATTTCCTACCTTAAGACATTAAGAAAAAGGGAGCAAAATAACCCAGACAAGCAGAAGGAAGAAAATAATAAAGATTTTTTTAATTAATAAAATTGAAACCAGGAATATGTTAGGTTGATGCAAAAGAAATTGAGGTTTTTGTCATTAAATGTCATTAAAGGTAATGGGAAAAACTGCAGTCACTTTTGCACCAATGTACTAACAGAGAAAATCAATAAAACAAAAAGTTAATTTATCAAAAAATTAAAAAAAATCATAAAACTCTAGCAAGACCAACAAAAGTGGAATGAAGAAACAAATCACCAATATTGGTAATAAAACGGGCGCTATTACTACAGATCATGCAGCCACAAGAAACATGTGAAGAGAATGGTACAAATAACTTTACACTCGTAAGTTCAAAGACTTGGGAGAAATGAATCAGTTCCTCTAAATCCACCCACTACCAAGCCAAGATGAAATATATAATCTGAATAGTTCCTATACCAAGTAAAAAATTAAATTTGTTATTAAAAACTCCTTTAAAAAGTCAAGAAAAAATACCTCAATTCACAGTACAACCCGAGCTAAATTGAGCTGTGTCATTGTTGATTGCAACCCAGAGCTTGATTAGAAGAGTAAACTTTTAAATTATTGTTGCCTGTTTAAAAAATTGTAAGAGCAAAAATATTTTACTTATTAAAAAAAACAAAAGAGGAGTTTGCATTATTGATCTGTGCTATCCCATGTGTATTTATGTTCTAAAAAGTAAGACAAGAATTTGCTTGATTCACAGGGGAATTCTCTGAGCATCAATGAGCACTAGAAAGCTTTCCAGGCAGCTAAGTGAGGCATATTAGATTGAAAAACACTTCAAAAACATTATTTTAAGAGAGATATTTTTTCGCTTCAACTTTTCACTTAGTGTTATACACTCTATTTGTGTCTATATATTAACATTTTAGATAAGGAAAAACATTATTGTGAACATCATGTCATTTCACATCTCTCTGATTTTATCTACCTTCTTCCCTCCACAAGACATGTTATTTTTACCACTCTTTTTCTGACTATTAAGGCTTATTTTTCAAGGTTCACATCTTGTCTCTTAAATGACCCCTTTCTTTGCTCCCACAGTATCCCCTGCAAGTCTCTGGTAGAAATCGGTTACATTTGCCATCTTTGATCCTGCCATTGGTGAAACAGTGCTCTAATCTTCTGTTCTTTGAAGAACTAGTCCCTCTCAGACTTACAAATCAAAGATTTGGTAGAGACTGTTTCCTATCACTGCTTGAGTGTTGGGTTATCACTGTCCACTTCTCATCATCTTTGCCACCAGGGATTATTTTAGGGTTGGACATGTAACCAGATGAAAACCAATATGATACAAGGTCAGAACTGTTAAAGCTTCCAAGGTGGAGGAACTCTTCTTTTCTTGTGAATGAATTTTAGGAAAAGAATCTCTCCCTTTTCCATAATGTGAGATTTGTAAGTGCTATGCCATTGTTTAAGGCACCTGAATTTGGAAGGTTGAAGTTTCATGTTATAAAGTCCACTGATTGAACTGGCACATGATGGAGAAGCTCACCAGCTTTGTTTGAGCTGTTTGTCTGAGGTCAAGCCTACCTGTCAACTTTTTATTTCTATAGGACAATACATTCAGATTTCAGTGCCCTCATTAATTCAGGAAGAAACCTGCTCCATATATTATCTATCTTCACTCATTGTACTCTAATTAAATTATTAAATTATGTGTTTTTGCTCACAAGAGTGTGAGAGATCATGTTTCAACTTAGCCACATTTTTTATCCCTAGTTTGAAGCTTATTGTATAACATTTAGAGAACAATCAATAAACATATTTAAAAATTGTTTCACATTTTAGTTTAATTTTTAAACTAAAATTAAACTAATGCCTGTTAAAGCCTGTTAACATCCTATTCCTTTCCTTACTTTCATTTATCTTGTAGAAAACGGGATGCTTGGCATGGTATGTATGGACAGTAATCTTAACCTTATACTCCTTCTTAGTATGACTGCCTCACATTAAGGGAACTCTCCATTTACCCAAGAGGACAGAAATAAGTGGCATGAATTTGCAATAGCACTTGGGATAGTTTTTATCCTCTGAAAATAGCTAACCCATGGTAATTTAACAGCGAATGATATATAATGCCCGTTTTGCACTGGTCAGCTAAAAATAAACAAACAACAACTTACAAAGATAAACATAGAAGGTTCTTTGTAGATCTTGACTATAGAAACTCTATAGCCATTTTAGAACAATATACCTTACTCAGCCAAGTAGAATTCTGAGTCAAAGAATAAACTGGCTCCCCATATATTTTTATATTAAGATCATTAATAAATATGCAGGTTTAACAAAATTTTAAAAACACATTGGTATAAATCTCAAGAACCGAGGTGTTTTTAGAAACCTTTTTCACATGCAAATTTTTAAATTTAATAGTCTTAATATAAGAATGTGTGTCTTTCTGTGCATGGGCATAGAGTGAAATTATTTTTAAAATATTCTTAAACATTTTATTTTATCCTTTTTTGTGTCAGTGTCTCATAGCCCTCAGGAAAATTTAAATATTTATAATTAATGCTCATTGAACTTTTCAGAAAGTCTTTATTTTACAAAGTCAAAACATATATCTCAATTTAAAGAAAACACAAACTTTAATTGCCTTATTGGCCATTTTCCTATCATCTCCTTAGTAATCAGTTAATTCAGTCAGTTTCACCCTATGGTTTAAATGTTGAAAAATACCTTTTTAAGAATTATAGTAATTGAACTGACTAATGAGTTTCCAATATCTACTACAGCTGTTAAAGTCTGTTTATCTACTGAATGTTTTAGATTAAGTTAAATCACAAGAGGTCCTGTTTATCAAATTAGGTACCTAATATCTTCCAAGTTTGCTTCAGTGGGTTCATCTCTAAAAACAAAGAAACAAACGAACAACAACAAAAGTCTGTTAACATCCTATTCTAGAAATTCCATTCTGGTTTTGTTTGTTTTTGATATCCTCAATGCACATACTAGTAATGGTGCTACTTTCTATTAAATTAAGAACACACGATTTTTAAGACTTACAAGACTTCAGTAAACACAATTCCAAAATGAAGACATAGAGTGTTCCTTCTTGACATCATTTTATGACGTCTTTAATTTACTCCTGAGTTTTTAATACCCAGGGTTTTCCTTCATTTTTTTTCCTCTTTTATATGCTTAATTTAAACTCAAAGATGGATTTGGTATAAGGCACCATTCTAGATGGTTGACTTTTATATATCAGGTATTGTTTCCCTAGCCTTATAATGAAATATTTCAGAAATGGCCAAATTTTGTTTTTAGGTTAACTCATATATCATTAAACTACAGCTTTGGGTGAAGTCAGACACTTGGAAATCCCTTAATGCACATGTCTCCTTACCTTCCACCAGCTGGGAAGGTAATGGGAAGCATGTATTCCTACAGGGAAGACAAACAACACTTGCTTGATTGGCAAACACTTTTGCAATAAGGAGAGAGAGGCAGTCTTGGTTAATTCTCTTCTCAGCCAACCAGTCGGATTGCCTGCTGGGCTACTGGCTTGATGCTGCTGAGATGAAAGATTCCAGTGGACAGGGTCATCATTTGAGTCAGGGACTAAGGTGCTCATTATACAAGTGGAGCTGCTTCTGCCTAGCTTAGCAAGCTCCCTGAAGTAGCCATTCTCTCTTTTCCTGCCTTTAATTATAGATGAGTCCTAGCTCTTACTGAAATAGAGATAGATAAATAAATATGCAACAGGTGGAGAAGGAAAGATATGGGGGCAGAAGAATTAAAGAGCATAAACAGAAGATGATTCAGAGATATTTCTACATAGAGAAAAAATATCTAGAAACAAAGTAGCTTGATCATTCTCCAGAACTTTCCTTTGCACTTAGTAGCTATAGGATCTTAGGCAGTGAAGGCTAAAAGGTATCATGCATGTAAATTGCCTGGCTCTGTGTGTGGCACATGGAAGATGTGCAATAAATTGGACCTTTCCTGCATATCCTCATGTTGGTTACAGATAATGGAGTAGCATGCTTTTATAGTTGTTGGGGAAAAAAATAACCTATGAAAGACCACACCGTGTGTGTGTGTGTGCACGTTGTGCACGCATTTAAATAAATGGAGTTATATGAAGGTCATGGATCCAACCTCAAAGGCGGTTAGAAATGGACCAGCTGTCATTATATATGCTTAGCATTTTTATTTCTAGAGCTGTGTCATGTCTGAAAATGAGGGTAAGGAAACCTTCAGAAGAAATACATTTAATTAAAATAATACCTATCAAAAATGTTCCTTACATCTTTCATGATAGATATTTGTGGACT
Source organism: Homo sapiens (assembly GCF_000001405.40). NCBI lineage: Eukaryota > Metazoa > Chordata > Mammalia > Primates > Hominidae > Homo > Homo sapiens. Next base: position 167,237,640 of record NC_000004.12, on the reverse strand, counting down.
GATTTACTGAACGTTTAGAGAGAAAGAACAACTAAAGGGACAAATACACAAATATGAAAGCAAAGTTCAATCTAGCAGTGGCCTCAGCATTGGCTTTTCATAATGTATCTAAACTATGTTTCTGCATCAGGTGGCAGAATGACAACAAAGGGGCTGGGAATCTGAAGCCCTGTGTCTTGCTCTGAGTTCCAATTTTGTAAAGCATGATCTGAAAAATAAAATCAAGTCCCAGCCCTGGCACCAGCGTCTCACTTTACCCACCTCATATGCTGCACCCCACTTTCTGCGTTTTTGGCTTCTCCAGTTTTTTAGACTGGCTCTCCATCTATCTGGGAAGCAGTCAGTGAAGTATTTCTTGTCTACTCACCTACCTTGACATACAAGGCTCCTGACTACTCTCTTCCAATATCTTACTGCCCACCTAATACTCTTCCCTTATTATTCTCTGCTGTGTTTTGCTCTCAGCAAGCTTTCAATGAATCCCCACTGAGGTGATAACTGATAACCAAGGTGTTAACTGAAGTGTGAATTCTCCTAGGATTATTTAAACCTTGAAAGCAGGCTGTTTGAGGACCAAAATATTGATATATAGAGAAACTGATAGAAACCTTTCCCTGTGATTAATAACATCACAACATCACACCTACTAGACTTTGACTCTCACTACCAACATGCCCACTTAGCCTAGACAATGGCAATGGCTTGGAAAGAGAAGCTTAAGGAGCTGTAGGAGCAGTCAGGTGACTGGACCACACCAGGCCAACACAAATACACTGTAGACAGGCTCACTCTGCCTCTTTTGACTTTAGAATTTTAAACTTGCAATTTGCTAGTAAATCCTACTCTATCTTCAGATCTGTAGTTTAAAACCCTATCAAAGGCATTTCTCCCAAGATGAATTCAACTGTCATTGTTTGTTTTCAACAAATTTCACAACTTGGAGACGTCCCTGTGGAGCTGCAGTATGGGAAGCTGCCAGTGAAAGCTAGATGTGAAAACATGCTCTGAACATTGGAGAGTCAGCCACAAAATAGACGTATTTGGGGGGGAAATGCTGTATAAACATAAATATATGTGCTTCCATAAATCTAAAGGTGACCATGTTGGCCTTAGATGGTGCCAGTTATTGAGCTAAAATGTATAGCAGATGCTGAAGGGGATGAGTGTTAGAGCATTATTCCTCATCAAGTATTTTGTAGCTAATAACAACTATCTTTTTAAAAGGTAAGTTACAAAGGTTAGAAGGTCATTTTTACTTTTAGAATTACTGACTTCTGCCAAGTATCAGTTTCTTGTAAGAAACAATTTCTGTGCTTTCCCTATTAGACTTAAATTTAGAAATAATGAGGTTTTAAAACATGATGAGATATTCTTATTAATAATAAAGTATTTCTTCAAATTTTGAGGAAGAGAGCTAAGGATGAGAGTGTGGGAGGTCAAAGGACCAGGGGTCAGGAAAAGGTGATAGTGGAGAATGGACCACCTACTATTGTCTTAATAAATTTACTAAACAAGAATTTAAATATGTAAACTACATGGTAATAACCCTCTGTGAACAGGCAAAAATAAATATCTTTGAAGAATTAGCACACATCTATATTCTTAAAGTTTTCTGACATTTGTTCGTGTCAATCAGGGCTCCCATGAATTGCAGTAGTATGTTCCGTGTTTTTCTCCACTAATTGCATTCATCACTGTAGAAATGGGGGGAATTGAGAAAAACATCTTTTTCTGAGTTAAAAATAGTAATAGAAATTTCTTTCCTATATAAATATTACACTTATATTTCCTACCATACATATTATACATTTATTTTGAAATATTACATTAAAAAAGGAAATTAACATTAAACATTGAGTTTGGTCGTTTTGTTAATATAGATTGCAAAATGTTAGACGAGATTGATATGGAAAATGTGTACTGCTGCTATTCGAATAGCTTCTGAAGTTTTGGAGGCTACAAGAAATGTTCAAAGGTCGTAGCTTTGGGAGATGTAGTTTTGGCTGAAATCTCTAATAATTCAAATAGAGATTCATAATGTTATTGCAGTCTATTGGCTTGCAGACATTTCTTGATTTATGTGTAATATTCACTTCACCTAAATTCTCTAAATATGAGAGATTCTCTGTATCAGATTTTCTCTACAAGGGGCTAATTACTGATTTCCTTCCAGTTTATTTAGAATATGTAGAAACGACATGGAAAGCCAAATATTTTGTCATAAATGGAAGTTTGGAATACAAAATTGGTGTTCGGGCTTCAAAACTGTCTTATTTTGCAGGAGGGAGACAGTAGGCTTTTAAAGTTTCCGATTCAGGTTCTACGTTCTAAAATAAAGCTGCCAGGGAGTTTTTATAAAGGGAAAAATGCAGCTACAGTATGTAGGAGATATAGGTGTTCTCAAACGCCCTACCTCGTTATGCTTCTGTCTCTCAAAACAAAACACACACACACACACACACACACACACACACACACAAAGGAAAAGAAAAAAAGAAACTGCAACCTTTAACATGAAAGTTTGCTGTCGGTAGTAATCCAGAAGCTCACAGCAAACTTTAAATTTTCTGAAATTAAACAGATCTCCCAAGACCTTGTGGATAGATGGCCTTTCTTTAGGGAGGAGCTGAGTTCAGGAGCTTTACAGGGTAGGAAGTCCAGGTATTCTTATTTATTAATGCATAAAGTTTTCCTCAGATCTTGTTTCTCACGTCTGCCTGACAACCCTGGAAATTGTGGAGCAGAGGCAACTGCGAGAGATAGTACACTTTGTGTTAAATCCAGGAGCAGAGAATGAGCAGGCTGTCTCGCGAACATGAGAACCTCTTCTGGAGGGGAGAGGTTACAAAGCAGATAAGGATTCCTAGGCTAGGAGCTACCTCGTCCTCTGGCTCCAGCCAAGCGTCCTATCCGGAGCCAACTGTAGCTGGGATCCAGCGAGAGGAAGGTGGGATAGGAGGAGGTGGAAGAGGAAAAAAACGGAGGTCGGGGAGGGAGGGGGAACGGAGGGGAGTAAGCTGGAGATCCGCGCGCGAAGGGAGGGTGGAGATGGGGGGAGCGCGCCGGGCGCAGGGAGCTGAGTGGACGGCTCGAGACGGCGGCGCGTGCAGCAGCTCCAGAAAGCAGCGAGTTGGCAGAGCAGGGCTGCATTTCCAGCAGGAGCTGCGAGCACAGTGCTGGCTCACAACAAGGTGATGTGCCAGGAAGCGGTTTTGTGCCCGCTCGGGCTGCTGCGGCTGGGGCTTGCTTCCTTATACCCACCTCTCCTCCTCTGGGTCTGCGTGTGTGTGAGTGCCCGGCTTTTGGGGGTAAAGCCTGCGGGGAGGGGACACGCTTGCCTCTGCTTGTCTCCTCCTCCCTCTACCCTCGTCGTTGCTAATGCATGTTTTCCAGGGTCGCTCCTGGCTTCGTACCCCTTATTTGACACTGACATGCCCCCCCACCCCCCGTTGTGTCTCCTCTCCCAGATGCTCAAGGTGTCAGCCGTACTGTGTGTGTGTGCAGCCGCTTGGTGCAGTCAGTCTCTCGCAGCTGCCGCGGCGGTGGCTGCAGCCGGGGGGCGGTCGGACGGCGGTAATTTTCTGGATGATAAACAATGGCTCACCACAATCTCTCAGTATGACAAGGAAGTCGGACAGTGGAACAAATTCCGAGACGTAAGTTCCGCGCACCCACATCCCCGGGCACACGCGCGCGCTGCTCCGAGGCGGGGGCCGCGGCCGCCGGATGTGGGTGGGGAGTGGGCTCCGTTTTCTGAGGAGAGGGGTTTAGGGAAACGCGGCGGCGCAGGGCTGCTGGAGAAGTTCACAGTTCCGCTGCCCCCTCCCAGCTGGTTCAAGGGCTTGTTTCTTGGATGCACAGGAGTTCAGGTCTCACCAGGTTCACACTCTTCCTCCCCCACCCTGCTCTCCCCTGTGCCCCCTCCCGGCCCACAAAGGTTACAAAGTGCTGGCTCTAACCTCTCAACTTTTGAATGGTGTTTCTGGCACTGGTAAACACAGCAGATGTGCCTTTGCGATGTATCGCTACTAAAGTAACTAGGATCGATCCTGTCACTAATGGTCCATTAAGGAATTTGAGGGAGGAGGTAGGAAGATGTAAGATTTATAAATGCCCGCTCTCCAAGGGTGGGAGGATGTTTGGCGGCACCAGTAAGGACTCGTTGAACGCTCCCGCTTACATAAAATTGTCGATCAGATTTGTGCTTCGACATGACTTTAATCTAGAACATCTTTGCAATGCATTTGATTATATTTTATTCCAAAATGAATCACTGCCTTGAACTCTGCGGGAAGAGGTTGCGAGGGCGGGAGGATTGCAGGTGACAGCGATAAAAGAGTTAAACCATAGACTCCCCTGGGGAGTTTTCAAAAGGGTTATTAAGAGGGAGCCAGGTTTCCACACTTGAAGCTAGTGGCCATGGCTTGCCAGTCATTTTTATTTTCCTCACCTGATCTGAATGGAGCCCAGTAAGAGCTGCTCACGTACAGAGCACGATACAACTGGAAGCCTTGAATTTGGTTGTCCCAGTGAGGAGGCCGCCCTGTTGGCTGAATACCGCCCCTAGCCCACCCTTTAAAACGCGGAAGGCCTGAACTGGAGCGAGAGTGGTTCCTAGACACATTGCCAATCCTTACCGTGACATTTGAGAGAATTTCTCGTGGAGTCCATCTGCAGTGCACTACGTGGAGATGAGTTAACTTCTTTCATCAGCTCCGACTCAGTCACCATTTAGGAAAATAAAAGGGAGCCTAGGCTAGCTTTCATCCTGCCTCCTCTAACCCATTCTCTCAGCCTCTCCATGAAGTAGCTGACAAGCCAAATCTAGCAGAGGGATTCCTGAAGAAACACAAATTTTTACTTTAAAATTAGGTTTAGCCATTTGATTGAGAATATTTAATGGAGAACCTTGCCTACATACTTCATGAACAAAGCTTAAGCATCATTTTATTGCTAAATAAATGCCCTTATAAAAGCATACCCGTTGCATATTTGTTTTAAGTTTACACCAATATTGAGTACAAGCAAAAAGGATAGCGAGTGAGATATTCCTAAACCTAAAGAAAATTTGTTTATCATGCCCTCATTTGGCAAAATCAAAAACAAAAACGAAAATTGAACACTTCATCAGTATTTGAACAGTGTTTGACATTATGACATTTCATTATTTAATGGCTGCTTTAAAATCTTCTAGAAATGAATTTTTGAAAGACCTCCCAACAATGGGATATATTTAGTAGGTAATACTGGTTGCATGCTGTTTTCTATTTGTTTTGGGTTTTTTTTTTTTTTAATAAAATCAACTACACAAGATTCCTCGCTGGGAGAATTGTAAGAGTATTACTATCTTCAATGAGAGCAGAGATAAAAGCTTTCTTCTCTAAAATGTATTTTAAATTTTGAATAACTTAGTATTCTCTTATTTTATTCAAATTACTTTATTAAATTATTGAGGGACTTGGACAGTTTGTGAATGTGTTTGACTTAAACTATTGAGACAAGCTGAGTTGCCTACTATAGAGCTAAATATGCTAGAATTTATGGAGTCAATTTCTATAGAGATGGAGATTTTATTGCTATATCATTCTCAGTTATTCTAGGATCTCAAGGAAAAAGTCCATCAAAATTGTACATAAATTTTAAAAAGGATTTACTGATACATTTTATGCAAATATCTGTTTTGAAGTATATGCAACACCTAAAAATAAATATTGATTTATTTGAAAAACTTTCATCAGGTTTTAGTATTACCATTTTAGTAAGACAGTTATGTTTTTGCAAAGATGACTTCTGGAGGGAATGGAGCGGATAAATGCCATCATTTTTTACCCTTGAACCACCTGTTGCTTATTATTAACATGATGAAAGGTATGCTGACAGTGTGGTTTCTCAAATAATAATTCAGAATGCATAATATATAATCCTTATCTAGACCATCCACCCCACTGCTATTTATGTATATTCTTTCCCTTTTGGGGAATCATTAGCTTAATAATCTTTTCTGTAGCTCTCAGGATGTTATTTTTCAGTTGGTTTTCAGCTGGAAGCACATGGCGATAAGGCATTACTTGAAATAATACTATACTGCATGAATCTACCTTTAAATGTTCTGCATGAGCATTCATATCTCAAATAATGATTTATGTACTCACTTTATATGAGGGCAAAGAAACATGGAATTCTGAACCTCTTATTTGAGAAACAATTTAACTGAAGTACTTTTGTGCTTTTTTCCCATAAAATATAATTAATTTTATTTATACAAAAGCCTTGGAAAGCATCAGCATAATTATTGCTTGGATTAATCCTTATGATTATTTTTTCTTCCGAAGTGACTGTTTTACATAATCAGCACTGTTTAACAAGTGACTCCTTAATGAAAGTTTGAACTGTTCTTTCTTTTGAAATACATTTTAAAAGTATCTTAAATAATATTTAAAAATACAATTTAGCATTATATTTTAATTGAATAATTTTAAAAATAAATGTTACTCTTTATATATTTGTAATATACGTATGTAAATATAATTGATTTACAATAAAGCTTTAGGAACAAAGAGCATGGATAGAGTTACGAGAGAGTAGGTGAGCATAAAAACTACTGCCGTTGAGGCTCATTTTCTTGATTTCCTCAATATAAATGCTAAAGAAGCAATGAAAGCAAAGACAAGCTTACAGTGAATAGGTATTAACACAGGAGAAACAAGCTTGCAATGAGTAGGTGTTAACACAGGAGAAACCTCAAGTATTTTTGACTGCTCTATGCTAGCAATGTCTGTTGAATAAAGTTTGTTACCTTTGTTGTCCTTTTGAAGGACGCTTGGAGTGTACGATGCTTAATGTTATAGACATAAAGAGCTTTCACTGTTTTGAAAATTATTAATTTATTTGGTTATTAGTATAAAAATTCTGATAAGGATTTTAATATCTATGTCTTAGGAAAGCATACAAGTTTCACTTAATCTAAAGATACAGAAAAGTCAACACATTTAAACATAAGTACAGTAGATAGAACCAGCATGCTTTACTTAGGTTATAATTATGTGATTTTGAAATAAAATAAAATAAGAACTCCCTCAACAGTGGTATATATTCAGTAGATATACTGGTTACATGCTGGTTTTTTTTTTTTTTTTTTTTGGTGGGGGGCTCTGTTGACTAGTGATAAAATTAAGTACACAAGATTCCTCAGTGGGAAAATTGTGGGGTACCATTACTTTCTCCCAGAGCAGGAGTAAAGGATTCATTCATCCCATTCTTGTGAATATATTAGGAGAATTGGAAATCAGCATCGTTATGAGGAAACTGAATTATTAGCTCGAGTGGCTTATGTATTGCATATTTCAAATATTTATATTTTATAGTTTAATTAAACCATACCCTTTATCATGTAATAAATGAGTATGGAATTTGGAACCAATGAATTACTTAGTAATGCATGGTATAATAACATTATCAAAATTATCTATTATTGATTTCACTGAAATACATAAATTAATTAGGAATGACAAAAAAAGATAAAATATGAGAAGCCCTCAAATATTGTATTTTGGAATCAATATAATAAAAACTTAGAAAAAAGAGGAATGATGGCCATGCTAATTTTTAAGTAACTCATATAATAAAAACAGGATTGTACCCTTTAATGGAAATTCAAATAGTTCTAGATTAAATTAAATTTGTTTTTCAATAAAAATACCTGGGGCTCATTCTGAACTTTTTGTTTTAAGGAATGGTGACCACTAGTGTTATAGAAACCATAATCAACTTCAGTTTACATTTATTCCTTAAGTGATGTTTAATATCCTTTGGGTATATTTAACGTAATAATAAAGTTCTACAGTTTAACTTTACAGATTTAACCTTAATGTAAGCTAAAGAACATGTAGAATATTGAGAAAATGTAAAATACAGGCTGACATGTCTCAGAGGCACTCAAATTATAAGTTGACTTTTAAAAAATATCTGATTTGTGGGTGTTGAATAGTAAGCAGAACATTCTTAATTTGTTTTTTCTTTTTATTTGCCTTTTTCATCTAAGGTGAGGTTCTTAAGTGCACAGATTATTTAAGAGATAATGGATGATGGTGTGGGATATTTCCTGGAACTTAGTGGGCTACAGAGGGGTAAAGATTCTCGAGGGTCTATCAACTTCTACTGTTGTTAGAAAGTAAATACAACAATTTGTTTCTATGTCTACTCCAAATAAAGTATTCTATGGCTCTACAGGCCATTAAAATTCAAACAATGAGAATCTTTAAGGAATGCTCTCTCAGTACTTTGTTTAGGTTTATGATGTGCCTTGATTATATTTCTTGAGTTACAGGCATACTCTTAGCATTGAGGGATCCTCCTTTCTGGCAACAAAGTTGTGCTATTATACTTTTCAACAATATGTATCAAAAATAAAATTAAAGATTTATTTGTAATTTGGATATATTTAATAAAGTGAACTACTGTTCTCTCTGTTTAAGAATGCTTTCTCAATAATGGATATCCAATTCTTATGAAAATGTACATTTTCAGTGTTTCTCACTATGAAACAACATTTGTAACTGTGGTAATAATTACCTATATTTCACTGTAGTTGAGAACATAGGCATTTCTTGGGAATTCTTCACAGTTAATTGAGTGCATTATCATGAGTGTTTTTCTCTCTTTCTTTTGCTTTTTTGGTGATTACAGGCACTGGGTTTAGTTCTTAAAAGCTTGTGAATATAGTGTATATATTTGCAGATCAGAGCTGGTGAAGACTGTAGCATGCAGTAATATTTTTATTGGACTATTATTCATATTGTTTAAATCATGGGGAGATTTAATGGAGAGAGGCAACTGACCTCTTAAGAGAAGCAATAGGCAATCTTTGATGATTCTGGGACCAGTGAGTAACCACAGCAGCAAAGGGCTAGGCTCTGGCAGCATCCTGACTCTTGTTTTTGTCATCAGGATCCTAGTTAAGCCGTGATCACAGCACAAACTCCACACTCCTATTTTTTAAACCTGCTACTACAACCACTATCCTGCTTGCCAGTCAGGATTTAAGTTTGGTTTTGTCATCAGGTTATCACATGACGAAGGAAGGCAGGTCAGAGAATGTCCACTGATCTGCTTGTTTCTGAAGGGAATCTTAGCTAGAGCTGGTATCACATTATCAGACTCTGTCAGGAGGTATGAATTGATCACAAAACTTTACTCGATTTTCTATGTGTTTATCCTAACAGAAATTAAAGAGAAGCAAGCAATACTTTTAACCCTCTAGCTTTCATAACTTCCAGTCAATGACTAGAAAAGTGTAACTAAGTGTAAAAGTGTAAGTAAGAGAAACAAATTACTCTATGTATGTTGTATATGTTTATATGTATTTATGTGCGTAGATTCTTGCATAAATGTATATCTACATATATGTGTTATGTGTGTATGTCAAGTTGACAACAGATTAATCTGAAAACAGAGGCAATTATATATTGTGCTATAGGTTTTTTGTATGCACCAGATATGTGTATAGTTATTACACATAACATGTTGAGTAGAAAGCCAACATCCATCTAGCCACCCCCAAAATGTTAAGACATGTTAGGTTTCTTTATTTATTTCTTTTCTTTTCCTGGTTAGGTTTTCTGCATCTTATAACTTGAGATGATTTCATTTACTGTTACATGTGTGGACACAGTGTGCTTTTCTGTTTCTTACAGCTAGTCAGCTTGCTTGGGATTATATATTTAAACTTTTTATCTAGATATACAAAAGGAACATCGTGTACCACTATAGAGCATTTATGTTGCTACTCTGACAGTAAGACTTTGGGGTTGGATGCTTTTAGATCTTATGATTGTGACTCAGAGTGACATTTTATGTTCTCACACAACTTTAGTTTTCATGATCTGGGTCATAATTTTATTTCATTTTATGTACTTATTTTTAAAGGCTGATCTTTGACTTCTGTAAATACTATCCAAGTCCTGTAAGCTCCTGGAGTATTTATATGTCTTTTTTCATTTATGAAAATCATTTCATCTTTTCTATTCTTTCTACCTCTTCTAGTTTACAGATTTGGACACCCCATTAGACTGTGAACTCCCTACAGCTACAGATTGTAGTCTCCCTTCCTCTCCATGATCCTACAACTCACCTAGCATTACCACAATAATTGTCTCAGAGTTATCACTAGAAAATACTTACTAAATGAGGTGACATTATATTCAAAATACATTGCCAATTGAAAAATCCTTACCTAAAGGTTTTTTAGAGCTGTGTTGTCTTTTATTGGCCAGTTCAATTTCTGGCCACCTCAAGCCCAGTTTTGTAATTTAAATAAAAATTCAATTTTTATAAAATATAAAGTTATAAGTATTGAACCACTTTAGTCCTATAAGTTCCAAAACTTGCCAAAATAGAAATGCCGTGTCTAAGCTGTCGTGTCCAGTTTTAGAATGGTCAACAGCAGATGACAATGACATGCATCATGGTGCTCCCTTGGCCAATTAGTTCAATTCTTTTTTCCACAGTTCCTCTTCAACAACATAATTGTGTTGCTCTAACATCTTTAAATATTTTTGCTGCCTAATAGGTAATATCAAGCACTAGCATCTTCCCTTTCTTCTTCAACTACTGAACTTCAATTAATGGTTATATAGGTAAATCCAGATACTTTACTGACAGTTCAGATTTATTTCTTTCTCTTCCACCTCACTTACAACTGCCAATGCGTTGGTTAGAGAGAGGTTAAGTTCCTGCAGAAAGGAGACCCTGAATCAGAGTACCCGAGTAACGATAGAATTCTCTTTTGCAAGCATGAGACCATCAAGAAACGGGTGTCCAGGCCTGGGCTTTCAGGGTTACTCCCTCAAGCAAGCTTCTCTATTAATGGCCATTTCCTATCTAACAGGAGGCGTTTAAGAGAAAATCTAGGACAATCACCTTGTCCTAGAATTCACCTGAAAGTCATCACACATTACTTCTACTTGTATCCCACAGGCCTGAACTTGGTTACATGTCAACACCCAGCTACAAGGGATACTGGGAAATTTAATCTTTAATGGGAATGATCAGCACTAAAAGAAAGCAAGCGATACTCAATACTCGGAGAAAATGTTGGTAACTACGGTATCTGGTTATGCTCTTTCAATCATCTAAATATCTATTGAAAATATTCTCAGTCTCCATCCCCGTGTCCTCTGATGGGAATGTTTTTTATCATTGCCTGTCAGTTGTTTGCCTCCCTAATCAATCTTTCTTCCAAATTCCATATTATCCCAGTATCCTCTTAGCCATGATGGACATGCTTGAGTAGTGCTTGCTGGGCCAAAACTATGACACCTAGTACCTACTGTTCTAGATGTAGGAGTTTGGTAGTAAGTAGTAGAGTGCTAATTTCTAAAAGGAAATTTTGAAGGTCAAAACCAAAGCAGAGTGTCCAAAAAGCTACCATGTTAAGGAGAGACTGAATCTACTTACCAATGCTGTTTTCCTTTAGTGAAATCATTTAGCATGACTTCTGTGAAATCTTTTTGAGCTGTAGAGCTTTGGTCATAGGAATGGAATTCCTTGTGTTAAGGCATTAATGGTGATTGGTGGGCAAGAATCAGAATTTACTTCTCACATCTCTTAGTTAAAGAACAGGATATTTTCTTGCTGTTACTGGTGTATTTCCTCCGATGCAGAAAAAGGAAAGTACCACTAACAACATTTTGCTGAAATAATACTAGAAGTGACACCCTTGCCAGGTTCATGCAGCTCTTAGGCTTGAAAGCAAAGAAAACAATCTTTTTGGTTCTAGTATCTCTGGGACAGTTAGGAAATAAAAACTGCAGCAAATCAGATTTGCCAGAATTCCCATACAGGCTTTACTCTTTAGATTTTTTTTTTTCTTAACATGCGAGATTACTGGCAATTAGAATGCCTGAACTTCTTAACTGAATCATAAACAGAGATGGTGAGTTGCACTGTCTATCAGGTTTTGTTTTTTGGAGAGATCCTTGAGTTTTTCCATCTTCATACTTGCTACAGAAAAACGTTCCTATTTATTTATCATTTTTCATATATATTCATGGCATGATTATATTACAAGGGATGATTATATAATTTTGCTTAATATGTTACACATAATTAATTTAATAATAGTAATAATATAGTATACAAATATGTAAGGTAAAAGGGTAGGTAAAAAGTCTTCATAAAGTTATTTTTCCCTTGCAGTCATGTCATTTCTCCCAAAGGATTGATGCTTTCCCTAATATTCTTCCACCAGAAGTCATCTGGCCTTCGATTTTCTGCTCACAAGCTGTTTCCTTTATCGAGGAAATAATGGTCTGAATCAGAAATGTTGTCTCCCACCTCCAAATATATATTGCAGATTTTTCTATTTGTAAATTAAGAATAATGGCCTAATAAAAATTTTTATTCCCTCCTTCAGAAATAGCACTATTATATTTCATTAGTTCATTTATTGGTTTTAAAAGCATCATGTTGAATAAATAATAATAATCTTAATCTGTGTGAGGTAGATTCTTCCTGTTTTTATATGTGGCTTGTATATTTTGGAAACTTTTAAGCCATATTATCACTCTTGTTGTAAAACAGAGATAATTAAATTCAGTATTCTGTTTTCATAACTGTTTGATTAGAATAGTTATTGATTATTTAAATTATGCTATTTCAGTATAGAAAAGAAAGTTTTGGATGGGTGTGGTGGCTCATGCCTGTAATCCCAGCACTTTGGGAGGCCAAGGTGGGCAGATCTTGAGGTCAGCAGATCGAGACCATCCTGGCCAACATGGTGAAATCCCATCTCTCCTAAATACACAAAAATTAGCTGAGTGTGGTGGCACGTGCCTGTAATCCCAGCTACTCGCTACTCGGGAGGCTGAGGCAAGAGAATCGCTTGAACCAGGGAGTCAGAGGTTGCAGTGAGCTGAGATCATGTGCCTGCACTCCAGCCTGGCAATAGAGCAAGACTCAGTCTTAAAAAAAAACAACAAAGTTTAAGTACTTTTTTATTGCATTTATCTGTATTATATATCTTTTTTGTTAAGTTTGAACATTTGGTAGCTTGGTTTACTGTTGATTAGGAAATTAATTAGGAAAAAACTTACATTTGGTATACATGGCTATTTTAAACAATCAAATAACGAGTGGCATATACAAAAATTGCTTCTTTTTCCACAGCATTCTCTTAAGCTTTTTTATGTGGATTTAGAATGAACTATATGTTAATGTTTCTATTTTCAGATTGTTATAGCATTTCATCAGTAAAATATCCCACATCTTTATCTACATTTTTGAATATGCAAGGACAAATAAACTCTATTTTAACTTTTCCATACTATTTTTTCATGGATTCCTCTTTTTGTCCTATTTTATTCTCTGAAAATTCCAGCTAACTATGGTAATTAAGTTTAAACACAATGTCTTTAATAGTGCACTAAACATGTATATAGTAAGCAAGATGACAAAGATAATAAAAATGAAAAAATATGTGTTAGAAAACTATGATGTCAGAATTTATAAATACAACTTTATTAGATATTTGATGGAAATAATTTTAAAATCTTTTAATTTAATTAATGGCTGTTTTCTAACCAAATTACTTTTAAAAATAAGTTAAATCCACAAATAGTCTGTATTTTATATATGAATAGGGTACTCAAAATTTGACTCACTATGGCTGTAGAGAATGATGATGGTAAAAATGCACTCACCCAAAATATCAAATGAGGTAAGTACTAAAAATTTTATAATAAAAATACGACAGACTCTTCCTTGTCTAGAAATTGATAATAATATAATAATAACAAGCACTTTAATACAGCATATCACATGCAAGGAGTATTATAAGTTCACTTTTAATTTAATTTTTTAGGAATAAGGACTGGCTATATTGCCCAAGCTGGTCTCGAACTCCTAGGCTCAAGTGATCTTCCTACCTTGGCCTCCTCAAGTGCTGGGATTACAGGCATGATTCACTGTGCCTGACTAGTTTTTAAAAATGTATTAATTAGTAATATCCCCATATGGAATGTGCAACTGTTAATCCATTGTGCAGCTGAGGAAACTCAGGGCCAAGATCACACAGCTAGTATCAGTCAGGGCTCTCTCCAGTAGTAGAATTTTGGCTCTAAAGACTTTGTCCTTAAACACAGAAGAGTAATGCTTCTTCATCTGTTAATGCTGTTTTGGGTCTGTGTTATATGCTAGGCACTTTAAATATATTATCCCACTTTAATATATATCTCTCTCTATATATAATATAATATCTCCCTCTATAAATATATATTTATATATAAACATAATATACATAAACATATATAAATATATATGCTTATATATGATTATTCATATTTATAAATGAATATATAAATACATATTTATAAATGAATATATACATATATTTATAAATGAATATAAAATATATTATATATTATATATTCACATATAAAATATACATTATTCATATATAAAATATATATTATATATTCATATATAAAATATATATTCATATATAAAATATATATTCATATATAAAATATATATTATATATTCATATATAAAATATATATTCATATATAAAATATATATTCATATATAAAATATATATTCATATATAAAATATAATATATTATATATTCATATATAAAATATATATTCATATATAAAATATAATATATATTCATATAAAATATGTATAATATATATTATATGTTTACATATTTATATATTCATATATAAACATATCTATGTTTATATATTTATATATTCATATATCAATATATATCTATGTTTATATATTTATATATTCACATATCAATATATATCTATGTTTATATATTTATATATTCATATATCAATATATATCTATGTTTATATATTTATATATTCATATATCAATATATATCTATGTTTATATATTTATATATTCATATATCAATATATATCTATGTTTATATGTTTATATATTCATATATAAATATATATCTATGTTTATATATTTATATATGAATATATAATATATATCTATGTTTATATATAAATATATAACATATGTGTATATATTATATATTCATATATGAATCTATAACATGTATATATATTATATATTCATATATGAATCTATAACATACATGTTATATATTATATATTCATATATTCATATGTAATATATATGTTTATATATAAATCTATATAATTTTTAATTGTAAAAAGCACGACATAAAATTTACTATATTAGCCATTTTTAAGTGTATAATTCAGTAGTGTCAAGTATATTCACATTGTTTTGCAACCAGTCTCCAGAACTTTTTCATTGCAGAACTGAAACTTTATACTCATTTAACCACATCCCATTTTGCCCTTCCTGCAGCCCCTGGTAACAACCATTCTACTTTTTGTTTCTACGAATTTGACTACTTTAGATATATAGGTGGAACAACAGTATTTGTCTATTTGTGACTGGCTTTTGTTAGCATAACATCCTCAAGTTTCATCCATGTTGTGGCATGTGACAGGGTTTCCTTTTTCTTAAAAGACTGAATAATATTCCATTGTATGTATATTTTACATTTGTCCACTTATCTGTCAATAAAAAACCTTGGGTTACTTCTACCTCTTTGCTATTGTAAATAATGCTGCTATGAACATAGGTATGCAAATATTTCTTCAAGATCCTGCTTTCAGTTATTTGGATATATACTCAGAAGTGGAATTGCTGGGTCATCTGATAATTTTGTTTTTAATTTTTTTAGGAACTGCCATACTGTTTTCCGTGGTGGTTACGCTGTTTTACAGTCCTACTCACAATGGATAAGGGTTCCAATTTTTTTGCACCCTTGCTAACACTTGTTAATTTACATTTTGTTGTTGTTGTTGTTAGTAGCCATCTGAATGGATGTGAGTTGATATTGTGGTTTTGATTTGCATTGCCCTAATGATTAGAAATGTTGAGCATATTTTCATATAATTGTTAGCCACTTGTACAGCATTTCTGAAGAAATGTCTGCTCAAGTCCTTTACCCATTTTTAATTGGGTTACATGTTTTCCTTTTTGGTAAAATCTTTTAACAATCATAAAAGTAGAGATTATTAATCTTCTTTCACAAATAAAGTGACTCAGTATCAGCAAGCTTAATCAACCTGCTCAAAATCAGTGAAGTTTGAAACGACTTTCTAACTCTAAAGACCATGTTTTTTTAAAATTAACAGTTGACCACTTTAAAACAGTTACTACAGACAGCTCAAATTGCTTTTTTTGTTGTATTATATTATATTATTTATTTTTTAAGAGACAGCAATTTGCTCTGTTGCCCAGGCTTCAGTGCAGTGGTGTCATCATAGCTCACTGCAGCGGGAAACTCCTGGGCTCAAGTGATCCTCCCACTTTCGCTTCTCAAGTAGCTGGGACTACAGGCATGTACCACCATGTGTGGCTAATTTTTTTTTTTTTAATTTTTTGTAGAGACTGGGGTTTCACTTTGTTGCCTAGGCTGGTCTCAAACTCTTAGGCTCAAGCCATCCTCCCGCCTCAGCCTCCCAGAGTGTTGGCGTTACAGGTGTGTCACATTGTGCCTGGCTTGGTTTTCTATCTTTTGACATAAAGTTGGTCCTTTTAAACGGTCACATTGACTGTCTATTTTCTTACCTGCTAGACCAAGGAATTGATTAAGGTTTGCAATTTGTATTAGAATTTATTGTCCTTTATACAGAATCACCATGATCTTGCTATAATTTGATCAGTATATCTTGAAGCTGCAGTAGGAAACTTCTAGTTGCCTGTCCTTCATTAGTCTTACAAATGTCAGTAGTTTCAAATCACATACTGTTCAAATAGTAATGTTTATCCCTACAGAGGTACTATATTTGGCAACAGCATATTACTGGCATTTTTATTACTGACCTTTTTTGATATCAAAGTGCAGGTCTGAATATCTTATGTGGTCAGAAATAGCTGTTAAAAGAAATACTAGGCTGGGTGGGATGGCTCACGCCTGTTAATTCCAGAACTTCCAGAGGCCAAGGTGGGAGGATGACTTGTGGCCAGGAGTTTGAGACCAGCCTGAGCAAAAAAGCCAGACCTCATCTCAGCAAAAATGAAAAAAAAAAAAAAATTAGCTGTGTGTGGTGGCACATGCCTATTGTCCCAGCTATTCAAGAGGCTGAGGTGGGAGGATTGCTTGATCCAGGAGGTAGAGGCTGCAGTGAGCCGTGATCACACCACTGCACTGCAGCCTGGATGGCACAGTGAGATCCTGTCTCAAAAAAAAAAAAAAAAAAGTTCTTACAGTATCTGTTGTTTGGATTAGAAGTTTAACATCTTCAGAAGCTGTTTTTTAAGTGTTACTGTGCCTAATTTTTAATTTCTACAGTTGTGCCACCACCCCCTCCTTTTCTTGGCTGAAGAGAATTTGACTTCTTCCTATTATCAAATTATGTAAAATGGAAAAAGGAATTATTTTCTTTAATTAAATTCTAGGATTCACAACTTACTATCATACGTAATCAACATACATATCATTTGTAATACAACATAAATGTAACCATTGTTGACTGGGTTCTGAGAAAACCAAGCAATCTCTGTCCTAGTAGAAAACATAGTTTTCTGTTTTCCATGTTGAATATCAAAGAGAGATGTAATGTTATTGACTTAAAAAAATGAAATCCTATCATATATAAGATAGGTTGGAATATATGTAAGTTTTTAAGAATATTTTGTTGTCTACATATATTTTGAAGTCCTCTACGTCTAGAATTTCATTTAAGATATTATGAACAATAACACTGAACATGGGTTCTGTTTTGGAGATTTTAGCAAAAAAGCAAAATTAATTTGCTGCTACACTGAAGAAAATATAAATTTGAGTAAATTAAAATTCAATGATTTCTGTAATTTATTTTTAAATTACAGAGAACTTAATGCCAAATTTTATACTAAGTATGTGAAATAAATGGTTATATGGAATATTCTGTAACGAAAATTAAAATAAATCTTTCAGTCAACTTGAAATCTTTATGTTGAGTGTTCTAGATAATTTTGTGAGTTCTTTATTCTTAGCATAAGTAAAAGCTCATTTAACAGGAATGAGAAAGGAACCAAAAATGCCAAAACTCAATCTAATTAATTGTCTTCTGATATGTAAAACATTGCAAGACATTGTGCGCCTGAATACTGGTAAAACATTAGATATACCTCCTAAAAATAGTAATTTGATAGTCCGTTAATCACAGCTCACTTTTGCTTTTCTATTACCAAACTACTTTGTGACTTTCAAAATATTTACATAGGGTACAATAGGCAAGATACTCTGAAATACGAGCTTGCTAATTGCCTTGGCACATGGTATTAGCATCTGCTGAGAATCGGTTTTAGAATATCAAGACAATATTTATAGCCTTTCATGGCATACAGTATAGTGTGAAATTATAGACAACCTCCTAGTCTTCCAGTAAGGCTGCCTGAGGTGCCCTTGGCAACATCTGATATTCTCCTCGGATGTCCCTGAGGCAGTCAGATTCATCTAAAATGAACAATCCCTGAGGCAAAACTTTTCTAGAACATTGTATCAACAGCATTAACCTAGTATTACCTGAGACATTTTTCCTTGACATAAAATATATTTTTTTGGAGTTGAGATGTTATACACTTTATAGTTTTAAGAACTATTGTACTTACTGAAACTGTGAATTAAAGGCACACTCCACACTGATAACTAGGGAAGTGCTAGTTTGGAAGCTGTGAAATTTGAAAGTAACTCTAGGCAAAGGAGCATTCGTACATAGACCACACACTTAGTACATTATCCTTGGAATTTCTTTTTGATTAAATATGCTAACTTTCTTTGCTAATGTTATTGTCATTTAAAATTGTTTATTTCAGAATTTAAAGTTTTTTTGTCTTTCGTTTACATATTTTTCTAGATAAAAATTTTTTAAAATGGGAAGGTGGTCTATGGGGAATGACATGTTTAATTCAGATAACAAATTAGTGGTCAAGATAGGAAAAAATATCCCACATTTGTTTTTAGGGACTAAAATATATTAAAAACTTTTTAAATGTATACCATGAACCAAGTTTTGAATAAGTTTGAGAAGCATAGGCAGTTTTTAGGTCAGTGAATGAGATCTGGACATCTAATTTCAGAACTGCTTTGTTTGCTTTGAGTCACTGAAAGCTACCTGGCTTTGCTACAAGAAGTCTTATGTTTATTCTTGGGAGGAGTGCCTCTTTATTGAATATGCTGTTTGCTCTAATGTGTAGGTTCTAGAGGATCTTTGGCATCAGCCTCAAAGGTGACAAAAGCACCCCTGGTGCTAGTTGCTACTCTTGAACTAGGATCAGAAGTCAAGTAAAACGTCAAAACATCATCTGAGGCCAAGTTAATGTTTACTGGGGATCTCAGACACTTACTTTGCTATTAACACACGATTATTTTTTAGCTAAGGGCAGTTCCCTGACTTCTAATTGTTCAGCCTGTGTGCCCCTGAATAGCTTTTAAGTGCTATTCAGAAATGTGCCATGTTAGAAACATAAGAAAGCTTGTTCTTGTAGCAGTAGTTCTTGTAAGTGGTAGGTAGTTGCGTGATTTAGGAATTGTAATTAAAAAAAGTTTGTTCTTAGTTATTGGACTTTCATAACTTAATTTTCACCTTTTTATTTTTGGACTATACTGTGATGTTTCTGATTTGTGTTTGTTGTTTGCTAAAACCCTTTGGTTTGTGGGTTTAACTTTTTTTTTTTACTTTAATGAAACTGTATATTTAAATAACTTCCTCCTAGATGGCCTAATAAAAAATCCATAGTAATTTTTATAGCAATGTTGCAATATTTATATCATGTATAGCCATTTAGTATGTGAAAATATGTATTTCAGATTGAGTTTTAAGTTGGGCACATGTTATATTATCCACCACCAAGTTTCTTTCTTAAATAAATATTGGCTAACTCACCTAATAATCAAAATAAGCTGTGTAAAGGACATATTAATAGAATTTTGTATGTTATACGAATTTGCAGTAGCATATTTTTTAGGTTTTTGAAATATTTTCATATACAGTCTTCTCTCAGTATCCATGGGGAATTGGTTCCAGGACACCCCCACCAGGAGAGATACCAAAATCCATGGATCCTCAAGTCCCTTATATAACACAATGTAGTATTTGCATGTAACCTACACTCATTCTCCAATACACTTTAAATTACCTCTAGAGTACTTATAATACCTTATACAATATAAATGCTATGTAAATAGTTGCTTTACTGTATTTTTTAGGAAAAAATACCAAGAAACAACAAAAAAAAACATCTGTACATGTTCAGTAGAGAGGCAACCATCCATTCTTTTTTTCCTCGGTATTTTCAGCCTGTGGTTGGTTGAATGCATGGACGTGAAATTCATGGATACAGAGGGTCAACTGTATTACAATTTTTAACTGAAATAACCTTGTAAATAAAATTGTCCAACTTGTTAAGGATATTCAAATTATTATTTAACAAACTTTTGTTTAATTCTTTTTAAAGTTTACATTCATTAATAAAAGGCAAATAAAGTAGCCACATAAATTTTTTTTCACCGTGTTTAACAAATTGTTTTTTGTTCTTTAACAAAGCCATTGGATAAGGCAATTTGTACATGTGTTTAGTTTGGCAATGTAGTTTATCTCTAGTCTCTGATCTTATTTATATTTATTTTAGGATTTCTCTGTACTATTGTCATTCAGTTATGAGTGTTTACTTTTGCAACATAATAAAGTGTTTCTACATGTATTAAACTGATGCTTTTCCAAAGCTAATCTTCTGGGCCAAAAATCCTTAATTATTTTGGGGCGCAGAAACTCAGAATTTGAGGATATCTATGGTTACTTTTTCAGAAAATACTTAGATATACAAAAAATTGTGTATAATATTCAGAGAATTCACAGTTCTCAGCTGTGATTATTTAAAACGTAGGTAAAAGTGAGCTGTGCAATGCCATCATTTCTACAGAACACAACTCTTAAAGCTGTGCAAAAAAAATTTAAATGACCTTGCAATTACAGGAAGTTTATTATTGATGATATCTTGGACTCTTGTCTTCCTCCTCAGCGTTCCCAATCAAATCGCTTGCATATCCTGTCAGGGTCTTCTCTGCAGTATTTTTCAAATCCAAGACTGTTCACCCTTCTTTGGGCCAGATCCTCATTATCCATCCCTTAGGCTAGTCTTGTAGATAACCTTCATGTTTTCAGGCTTCTCCCTGCCTGCAAGCACCAATAATACTTTTTTGATCAATTATTTTTTTTCCCAAATCATAGTTCTGATCTTGTTCTTCTGTTTAAAATCTTCTATTCATCTTTTAATGTATTACAGAACAGGATTGTATATAGCTGCAACTGTAAGTTGCCTTCCAAAAATCTGTAAACGGTATTTTTTTCGGTGGGATAAACCGCAAACTCCACATAATGGATCAGTTCATATATATGTATAGTCACGTTAGAGGGAGATCATGTGATTCCTAAGTCTACTGGAGACTCTTCAAATATTGTAACATATACTTGGAGGGTGGCTGTTCATCAGAAGAAGTCTGAAGTGAGACACAGAAAAATCATTTACCCAGGCAACATTTGCCAGTACTAAGGAAAGACAGTGGTCATTTCTAACATTACTCTAATGCTCTACAACATGTACAGGTCAAAAATTTTCCTTTCTTCAATTCCATGCTCACCCAGCAAATTTCTGATTTTAATGCAGCTCAGCCTCAGGGAGCAAATGTACCAGTCTTCCTGAAACATGTTTTCTGCTGACAGAACAAGGTTTCTGAGGCTTTAGGGCTGAAGGCCAAATCATGGATGGTGGGAAATTCATCAAGGTAATACTGCAGTGTGAGCTCTTTCACAGGCAGCCAGGATGTTCCTGATGATAGACAGGTCTTACCAGAAGCTTTCTATTCAAACATCAACACCAAACAACATCCACATTTCCTATTCCCAAATCCAAAATCTCTTCACTACCTGCCTCCAAACCATATTTGCTTTCGGATCCTTGTTTCCTCTTTCATGCATTCTTCACACAAATCAGGTATCACCTATCTTCACGCCACATTCACTGCTCTTTCTTTTTTTGTGTCTTCCTCACAGTGAGTTTTTCATCTAGAAAAGGCGGCCTTTGTCCTGTTACGTATCTCATTCTCATTTTTCATGACTTATTTTTATGTTTTCCTTTTTCCATGACCTCTTCCATGATTACTATAGTCACATGCAACCTGTCTTTTTCATGAGTCCCTGAAGCACTTTTTGAAAGGCGGTGTCAGCAGTGGAAAGAGCCGTGTTTCTTAAGAGTTCTGTACCTTGCACTCCAGGAGTGCAGAAGGAATAGTCATAAAACATTCAAATATGGGTAAGTGAAGCAAACTGAAACCTATTCTTTGCAGATCAAGTATAGGAGTTAGTAGTTAGTATAAATACCCCAACCCAGGTTAATATTATTAGTTGATAATACAACATTTTATCTTATTTCTTCTGTAGAAATTTTCTATTGATCCTGGTAGTTACGGAGCACATATTCATTTTTAATTTCTAGACAGTCTTTCCTAAATTTTGATTTTTGCATTTAAACTCTCATTTACTTTACAAGAACACTGTAACTTTTTACTATCATGTTTGAACTACAGTAAATATATATATAGTAAATATATATACAGTAAATATATATATGTATATTATCGAGGGTTTGCCATGGCATATGCAACATGTTTTTGCTCTTCCAAGCAGCCAACTCCTGATCTATGAAAATGTCAACAGTAGGCTGCTGGGTTTCTGCTGTAAGTCATCACATAAATTAGGTGCCCCAAGGTAAGCTTTCAAACCTAGAGAAAGGGTTCTCACTGCATCTTGTCTGAACTCAAACTTTCTAAAAATGAGAAACATTTTAGGTAAGAAGAAACACTGGTGAAATGCTATTAAGACTCAAATGATTCATTCTAAGATTCACCCTAAGATTCATTCTCTGTGTGTAAAATTACAGAAAAGTGAAATTTATAGACTTTATTTTTCCTGGAAAAGCATCTATTTTAAGATAACTTTTAAACCTGATTTTATAATAAAAATGGTAAGAACAATCACTTGGGAAAAACCAAATGATTGTTATTGAGAAGACAAATAATCTAATGTATATTAAGTAATGTGAAGTTGTAGTCATGAATTTTAAAAATGACAGTGTTTTTAGTACCCCAAACAAAATTGAAATCATAATTTCTCGCTAAACTGTTTTTTTCTATTTGCTGATAATGTTATAGTGTTATGCATTCAACTCTGGAGAATCTAAAATACTAATGAGAGACAAGTGGGGTTTATAATCTATGCTATATAGTTACTTAAAAAAGATAACGACAAATATTTTTATAGGTATTTTATTCTTTAAACTACATAAAAACAGTAGTAACAACAAATACAATTCTGAAACCATTACAACTGCTACCTATTGGGTGGTTTCATGATGGTATGCTTTGCTATATTCTTAAAACCTTTTCTAAATTTACATCTTGGAAGACATCCTCAACCAATATAATAAAGGTTGCATCTTTGCATCTACACTCATAAAATCAAAAGCAGAAATGAGGCCTTTGAGAACGTAATTTGGTATCAAATCATGTACTCCAATTGCTTGAATATTACCATAGCATTTTATAGTACAGGATTATAGTGTTTCAATTTTCATCATAATAAAAAAGACAAATATTTAAATCAAGCAGTCTTGTGACAGTACAATAGATTAAGTCATCTGTGTGATGAAATGCCACCTTGACGTTTACAATTTTTTATGGTGACTGCTTATTGGTATTGTGATCTGATATGTTATATATTTTGTGCTCTTTTGTAAAATTTCTAAAGATTCAAGATTCACCATATGTCATCTTTTAGGATTTCATCATCAAACACTGGTAATGCAAGGTAGTTGAATGTATTTATATTGAAGCCTTGATGTTTTGACTTATAATTGGTGTTGAAATTGATCATGGAGGAAAAAGAGATTTCTATTTCCTCCATTATATTTAAATGAATATTTCTGGTAATAGTGTTTATGTTTCAAACTCTAGCTCCATTTTATCCATAAAGTAGCAGATGATATTGGCAAAAAGACAAAATGAAAGACCACCAAAATAAAAGAAAATTTTCTTGTTAAATATTAAAGTTTTCTCACTTATGGGGAGAGTTAATTTTATAATATCACATAACCTTTTTTATAATGTTATCATTAATGCAATTTGTGACATGAAAAAAGCAAGAATATTTAATATCATCAAATAGCAGAAAAGATTTAAAAATAGTTACAATTTTGAATAAACTGTGACCTATCTCTGTGGCATTCTGGCTCCACGTAACACAGAATTGCATCTGTTTTTGCACAAACACAGGAAGAAATTGCACATGTAAACAGTTTTATTCCATGGACAAAAATAAAACATTAAGTTGATTTTCCCTAGCAAGGAACTGAGGCCTAGAAAAGCAACTTTGCCATTTACTTTGCCATCAATTAGCATAGGCTGACACCAGGCCATCTATGCTAAACTTAAACGATTCAATCACATGCTGCCAGTGGCAGTATTAACATTTCTGTAAATAAACGTCTGGAAAATGCTTAGATGTAGATTGTGCTCCAGCATCTTCACTACAGACGGGGTAGTGGCCAAACCAAATGTTCTAAGGTAATTCTTAAAGGCACGTGGACAAATGCTCTATGTTTCATTTGTTTTGTATTTTGTCATGTAGCTTGAAAAATATTCAAAAATCACTCTAATTTTCTAAAATACCTTGACCACACTGTTTCTAATACCCTAGAGTATAATTTTCTAGTGACATTATGTAAGCAAATTGGAAAAATGTACTTTATCAATTTTGAAATGACTCTAAATGTATTTTGAATTGAATGTGATTTCTGTTCTCTATTATGATGTAGTGGGTGGAGAAATGTGTCCCTTGGCTGTTGGTTCTCTGAATTACATTAAAGTTTACTGAGACAGATACAACTTGTGCTATTATCAAAGCAATAGGAATAGAAAAATATGGTTTAGGTTAAAATCATCAAAATTTTCTTGAGTCCAGATTTCTGTCTATATTCAGAGGTATAAGAATAAATCTTTGGCTGGGCGCCGTGGCTCCCGCCTGTAATCCCAGCACTTTGGGAGGCCGAGGCGGGTGGATCATGAGGTCAGGAGTTCAAGACCAGTCCTGGCCAACATGATGAAACCCCGGCTCTACAAAAAATACAAAAAGTAGCCAGGCATGGTGCTGGGCGCCTGTAATCCCAGGTACTCAGGAGACTGAGACAGGAAATTCTCTTGCAACTGGAAGGCGGAGGTTGCTGTGAGCCGAGATCACACCATTGTACTCCAGCCTGGGCAACAAGAGTGAAAGAAACTCTGTTTCAAAAAAAAAAAAGTAAATCTTTTTTAAAAAGTCAAATAAACAAAACAAAACTGTACTGAAAAATCTAAAATGAACACAACACAGAGTGTAGTGCCTTGGAGTAAAGGCATATATTAGAACTGGTTTTGTCATTTATTATGTGTTTGTTTATATTAATAACAACCCTGTATTGTAGGTATTATTGTCATTATTTTCCAGAAAGCCAGAATAAGCAGACAAACAGATAATAGTGGTCAGAGATTTGCCTAATGATGCTGGAGTCAGTATGTTTACACTGTCCATTGTATAGCAATTTGAACAATTTGGTAAATAGTAATGCAAATAGGTCTTGAAGTTTCTGTTTTATATCTGCATAGCTCAGCAAAGGAAAATTGCTTCACTAAAACAATTGATTAAAAGTATGCTTTTGTCTGTTGTTAAAATGAAAAGTACCATATTTACTATGTTCCAATATGTACATGTATTAGTCCTTTTTCATGCTGCTGATAAATACATACCCGAGACTGGGCAATTAACAAAAGAAAGAGGTTTAATGAACTTAGAGTTCCATGTGGCTGAGAGACCTCACAATCATGGCAGAAGGTGAAAGGCATGTCTCACATGGTGGCAGACAAGAGAAGAGAGTTTGTGCATGGAAACTTCCCTTTTTAAAACCATCAGATCTCATGAAACTTATACACTATCACGAGAACAGCATAGGAAAGACCTGCCCCCATGATTCAATTACCTCATAGAGGGTCCCTCCCACATCACATGGGAATTCAAGATGAGATTTAGGTGGGGACACAGCCAAACCATGTCATTCCGCCCCTGGCCCCTTCCAAATCTCTTGTCCTTACGTTTCAAAACCAATCGTGCCTTCCCTGCAGTCCCCCAGAGTGTTAACTCATATCAGCATTAACTCAAAACTCTACCGTCCAAAGTCTCATCTAAGACAAGCAAGTTCCCTTCCTCCTATGAGCCTGTAAAATCAAATGCAAGTTAGTTACTTCCTAGATACAACAGGGGTACAGGGATTGGGTAAATACACGCATTCCAAATGGGAGAAATTGGCCAAAACAAAGGGGCTACAGGCCGCACGCAAGTCCGAAATCCAAGGGGCAGTCAAATCTTAAAGCTCCAAAATGATCTCCTTTAACCCTATGTCTCACATCCAGGTCATGCTGATGCAACTATGTATATTAAGTACATAACATATGTTAATCATTTTTTCTGTCATTATCAATTACATAATTTATAACTTAAGTTGAACTTTAAAAAATCGTTCATTGTTTAGCAATTAAACCACATTTAGATTAAGCATGTTTTCCAAAATATGCAGGATCTATCATTTTCCAGTAAATCAGAAGTGTCTATGCAATAACTGAAATATGTGATCAGATATTAAATTAAAAATGTGTTTGCATATATATAGAGAGAGATACACAGAGAGAGAGAGCCTTCTGCACTTACCTATTTTGCTCTCGAGCTAGTCATATATTTGTATGACTCAGCCTTTAAAAATGAGAATGATATTTGTTTTTTCAGGAAATGAGAGGATTATTATGAATATCAGGCAATCAAATGTATGAGAAAACACTTTAGAAAATAAATTGCTAAAATATATCATTTCAAAAACAAACATTCTTCATCTATATAAAGTTAAAGTCCTTCTTTGCTAAATACACACATTTATCTTTTAATATTTATAGAATTTATATTAAATAATCATTGAGATTGAAAGCATGTCAGTAAAGAGGAAAAGACCTCTTTGTTTTTAAATAATCATGTGTGCCACTTTTAGCCCACTACCCAAGACGTACCATCTCCTCCCTGAAGAATCCTTGTGATAGTTGAAAAGATTGACATGTTGAATAATGATTCAATGCACTGTGACAATGGAAGTCAGATAAGTACATGCAAATTACATCTGTAGTGGGAGGTGATTCAATGAAGGCCTCACAGAGTCCATGACACTCAATCTGTGTTTTGATGAATGAGCAGAGTTTGTTCTTTGAACAGGTGGAAGAAAGCATACCTGACAGGGATCTACACATGCAAAGTTATAGAGGTATAAAAGTACGTGGCATGTTCCATAGGTATAAGAAATTAAATGTGCGTAAACAAATTGTGAATGATAGAGAGTCAAGACAGAGGAGACTGAAAATTGTTAGGACTAGGATCTGAAGTTATTTCCAAAACCTGCTAAGCTGATGATTTTCATAAACAAAGGAGTGCTCCTACAATTGCCTCCTTGACAGATTTTGATGGATATCCACAAAGTCAGAGGAAGACTTTTGCAGTTGTTGCTACCTGAACAACTTGTGATGTCCCCCTTCACTGCCCTATATTTGATTCAAAATAGAAAGCAGAGTGAGAAATTAGTATAAGGAATTCCCATTAAGTTCTGCTTTTTTTCCCATGATGTCTACTTTGCATTATTTTAGAAAAACTATAAATACAAAATTCACTAAGGTTTAAAAATTTTTTTTGTATATTGTAACTGTCTGAGTGTCCCCAGTTGTCTGAGTGTCCCCAATTTGCTAGTGTTCTAAGCACATGCTCCTGCATTCTCAGGTAATGCAGTACACAATTATTGATCTTCTATGTAATGGCTGGTGCATCCATCCACATTTTATAATCTGGCTATTTAAGTGAGAAAATGAGAACTGAGGAAAATGTGTATTCTAGATAGGGCAACAGGAGCTCTTTAAGGAAAGTGGGGATTTTTTGAACATAGGACGTACAAAGACATGAAAGATTTTCTTCTAGCCTCCAAACACAGAAAACATGATTCATTTCCATACCATATCAGATTGAAAAATTCTTCAGTGTTAGCATTGTGAAATATCTTTGAAATATCATTTTTATTTAAAATTTATAGGCCTTTTGCATTTTGTTCCATTCTAGTACTAGTGAAAAATTCTACTCATCCATCAAAACCTAGTTTAAGAATCAAAAAACATATTTGCTTCAATTTAAAAATAATATTTTCAAATATTACTTAGAAAACTGATATATTGGGAGTTCAGGAGAAACCACTACATTTCCAGTAACATGGAACATTCCATATCATGGCACCCAATACAGGAACCCCAGTCCGAGAAGCACAATGTTAACAAAAGCCATTTTACCTTTCTCTTGGCTTATTGAAACTAAATTGCAGATGCCCTTCTGTCTTTAGTGGTGACTCTAGTAGTTGTGATTGTTGTACAGCAAACAAGACAATAATTGAATTATAATATATTCATCCACTTCATTTGTAGATTAAAATGACAAAAAAGATATTTCACTATTAGTGATCTATGTGCAAATACAAATAAATAGTTAACTAGCATATGTAATTTTTGAAAAGAGTGATTGCAAACAAATATAACTCTAAGCTGTTAACAGGATTTTAATGTTTTCCTTATCAAGATATTGTTTTAAGATTCTCATTAGTTGTAACTTTTATAGGAAAGTTTCCTTGCTAAATATTAACAAAATAATCACTATTCCTTTTCACAGATAAAATCATGCTAAATTTACAGAAATATTTTCTCATATTTTTAGCAGATCTACATGTATAAACAAAAATCTAAATCAAATGTCATTCAGCTTACTATCATCAGGTGGTAAATATGTTATCAAAAATGTGCTTAGTTCAACAAGGAGTAATGGAATAGAAATGAAAAAAAATAAAGACCAGTTAAATTTGGAATATTAGAATGAGAATTGAAGATGTTTGCCCAAGATAACATAGCTAGTAAGTCTTAGATTTGGCCTGTTTGACTCTGAAGCCAAAGATCTTAGTCAGTGTTCTCTACTGATTTCCTAAATTACAAAGAATTTTCCTAAAAGTAAGCGACTTGAGTCTGTAACTATTTGGAGAGAAATAATGCTCCAAAATAAAATAAACCAACTACATTTCCTATTATATCTCTGCTCACAGAGGGAACAACTATGAATAAAATAGCAAACTACAAATAATTGAAACAAATGTTACCTCTGTTGTTGTTATTATACCATTTTAATTTTACTTATCATTCAATAAATCTCTAAGAAATTGCCCCCGACCAGTTTTTTTTTCCCACTTTTCGGCAATGGTGATTCAAAGACAAATATTTTAAGGGAACTACCTTCATCTTTTCAGTTGGAAAATTTCTTATAGAAGAGGTTTCATTGGCACAGTATTGAGGAATGAGAAAGTGTTTGCCAAATACTTAGGAATCTGGGAGTAGGGGTGGTCTTCAAATCAGATGGAGCCCTGAGTAAGAGTATCAAGTACCTGAGAAGCTCAGAAGGCCATTTACACAACAGGCTTCCTTGGCTTAGCATTAAAATGCGTTGTCATGTAATGAAAAGCATTGCGGCTCAATTCTTGGTTAGCAGAGACAATCTGAAACTGAATTTTTTTTTTTTATTATTATACTTTAAGTTTTAGGGTGCATGTGCACAATGTGCAGATTAGTTACCATATGTATACATGTGCCATGCTGGTGTGCTGCACCCATTAACTCGTCATTTAGCATTAGGTATATCTCCTTATGTAGTTCAGAAAATGAGTGATCCAAAACTTATAATTGCATATTAACTTATTGAAATAGGTTTACATTTGTATTAACTATTATTCAAAAATTGTCTAACATGCTTCACAAGATTTAAAATGAGATATTAGAAGAAATATTTTAAATAGGGCTACAGATGGTGGGTTTGTAGGTAATAAATGAATAAACAACATTGTTTTAAATTATGCTATTCATTGTTTAAAATAGTTAAAGATTCATGTTTTAAAAATATAAAGCTATAGTGATTTTACACCAAATACATGACATATGATGTAGTAATTGAAAATATTATTTTTATTTCCTACATTTTTTTTAGTTTTTTTATTAGAAAGTTAGACAGTATTCTGTTAATATATAATCTTTCTAAAATAAATCTTTCTAAAGTCATAATGGTAGGACTCTGAGAGTCGTAGTATTGGAATGTTCATTTACCTCTATAAGCAGGTGTTTATTTTGTCAAAGTAATAGTTTATTGTCAAAGAGTTTAAATAAATCACAATATTATATAAACAGTAAATCAACACATCTGTCAATACTTATTACCTATGCATTCTCAGGTAATTTTATTTCAAATAAATAAAAACAACTTATAGACAAAATCCATAGTTTATTTTTATAAAATTTAATTTAATTTTTATAGTTGACACGTAATAGTTGTGCACGTTTATAGGGTACACAGTATTGTTTAAATACATACAATACATAGTGATAAGATCAGGGTAATTAGCATATCCATCATCTCAAACATTTATCGTTTTTTTTGTGTTGGGAACATTCCATGTCCTTCTAGCTATAGTCATCCTACAGTGCTATAGAACACTAGAACCTATTCTCCTATCTAGTTGTAACTTTGTATCCTATAACAGATTTTTTTTCTATGGACTACTTTCAAATTGGCAGCTGGCCTCTTAGTCATTTAGTTTTGATAATTTTCAGCAACATAAGTTTTTCATTACACTAAAAATCTCCAAGTCCAGGACCATCACAAAACAAAAGAAAAAAGAAAAAAAAATTGGTATCTGTTAACAGAATTACTTGAGTCTTAAGATGGAGTTTTATTGTGTTCAGTTGATATAATATTTCATTTGAACTGAATAGCTCATATTTCACTGTAAATATTTAGTTTTCCTCAAGACTCATTAGCTACCAAAGCAAACATATATTTGTTGAGAAAAGTGCCACAAGTCATTCTTGCTGATGAACTTTTTAAACAACATAATAGTTTTATTTTTTAATGTAATTCTTATATATTTTGAATCAGCTGTCATTTAATAAGAATAATTCATTAAATTTTGTTTGCAGATATATATATTTATACACATATATGTTATTTTCTCTTCAGGATTTAAGGGTTCAATTTGTGTATGCAACATACATAAACATACTTATTTTTTTTTATTTTTCAAGATGGAGTTTCACTTCTGTCGCTCAGGCTGGAGTGCAATGGCAAGATCTCAGCTCACTGCAACCCCCGACTCCCGGGTTCAAGTGATTCTCCTACCTCAGCCTCCCAGGTAGCTGGGATTACAGGTGCATACCACCATGCTCAGCTAATTTTTGTATTTTTACTAGAGATGGAATTTCACCACATTAGCTAGGCTGGTCTCGAACTCCTGACCTCAAGTGATCCACCCTCCCCGTCCTCCCAAAGTTCATAAACATACTTCTTTAAAAAATCTAAAATTATAGGAATGTAATAGGAATGTACAGGTAGTTACATTAACTAAATTGAAAAATCAAGATTATTTTCTAAACTATTTCAACAAATTTAAACTCAAAATAAAAACCTAAGCAGTTTTCCTATTTAAAAATTATTTTGGGGCTGGATGCGGTGGCTTATGCCTGTAATCCCAGCACTTTGGAAGGCTGAGGTGGGCAGATCATGAGGTCAGGAGTTCCAAGACCAGGCTGGCCAACATGTGAAAACCCGTCTCTACTAAAAATGCATAAATTAGCCAGGCATGGTGGCGCGCCTGTAATCCCAGCTACTCCGGAGGCTGAGGCAGGAGAATTGCTTAAACCCCGGGGACAGAAGTTGCAGTGAGTTGAGATCATGCCATTGCACTCCAGCCTGGGTGACAGAGTGACTCCGTCTCAGGAAAATATATATAGATATTTTATATATATTATAGAAAATATATTTTATATTATATTATATATATAATATATATTATATATTATATAATATATATTATATAATAATATATATAATATATATTATATAATATATATTATATATTATATATTATATATAAAATAAATTCTATATATTTATATAATATATATTATATTATATATTATATATTATATATTTAATATATAATATATTATATATAAAATATATATATTATATATATAAAATATATAATATATATATTATATATATAATATATAATATATATTATATATATAAAATATATAATATATATTATAGATATAAAATATATATAATATATATTATAGATATAAAATATATATAATATATAATATGTATTATAGATATAAAATATATAATATATAATATATATTATAGATATAAAATATCTATAATATATAATATATATTATATATATATAAAATATATATATATGTATTTTTTTTTTCAGTCAGGCATGGAGTGTTCATGCCTGTAATCCCAGCCCATTGGGGCACGGTGGTGGGAAGCCAGGAGTTCAAGGCCAGCTTGGGCAACATAGAAAGACACCTTCTCTACCAAAAAAAAAAATAGCTGGTGATGGTACTGTGCACGACCCCCAACACCCATAGACATAGCTACCTAGGAGGCTGAGGGAGGAGGATTGCTTGATCCCAGGAGTCGAAAGGTGCAGTGAACTGTGGTAGTAACACTACACTCAAGTATGGGGTGACAGAGCAAGACCCGATTTCTAATAAATAAATAAATATGATTTTCATTAGGACAAAGGCTGTTCCTATAACAAAGACCCGTCGCCCCCCACCCCGAAAAAAAACAGTGACTTTAAAAGGTTAGAAGATGATTTTTTTCTCATGTAACAACTCAAGCCTAATTAACCAAAGAGAGTTCTGATAATGGCACAGTGTGGGGGTGACATGGTCTGGCTCTGTGTCTCCATCCAAATCTCATCTTGAATAGTAATCCGAATTGTAATCCCCACATGTTGGGTGAGGGACCTTGTGGAAGGTGATTAGATCATGGGGTGGTCCCCCCACGGTGTTCTCATGATAGTGGATGAGTGCTCATGAGATCTGATGGTTTTATAAGTGTCTAGCATTTCCCCTGGTGGCACTCATTCTCTCTCCTGCTGCCCTGTGAAAAGGTGCCTTCCGCCATGCTTGTAAGTTTCCTGAGGCCTCCCCAGCTATGTGTGGAACGTGAGTCAATTAAACCTCTTTTCTTTATAAATTATTCAGTCTCGGCTATTTCTTCGTAGCAGTGTGAGAACAGACTAATACAGGAGGATACAAGTTTTTTCTTTGTTGTTTTGTTTCACCCTTGTATCCAGAGAGTTTCTATCCAGTGGTTTATGATAGCCACCCTCCTTGTGCCACGACATCTATATTCCAGCCATTGGGAAGGGGAGGAAAGGAGGAAGGGCAGGATTACTTTGCAGGGCTCAACCTAGGAAGTTGTATACAACAATTTCACTCATACCTGTTTTGCTAGGATTTAGTGATATGCGTTCACATAGTTACAAAGGGATCAGGAAGCCAAATCTTATAGCTGTGTGTACATCTAAAACTAGAGGTTCTATAACTATCACAAGGAAAGAATGGGTATTAAATGAAAACAAGCAGTTTCTGCTACAGAAATGTTAGAATATATTATTTTAGAAATTTTACAGGGAAACAGTCCTTGCCTTAAATAGTAGTGTATCATTTAGAATATTTCCAGCTGCAAGTATTAGGCAATGCAGCTAAAAGTGGTTTGAACTATAAGAATATTTTTTATCTCATATGTGTAGAGCTGTGACAGGATTGGTTATTTCATTTCTCAGGGAATTTTTCAAGGGCTACACTCTTTTTCTTTATTTTTACTCCACATCTTCAGCAAGATTGTCATTCATAGTTTTTTCTACAAGGTCGTAATTGGCTGTTGTAGCTTCAAGGCATTACATTCCCAGAAAGCCACATCCAAATGCAGGGAGGACGGTTCCTCATTGCTTTACCTTTCTTTTCTGTCTTTTTTTTTTTTTAATCAGATAGAAATATCTTTTCTGTGATCTCCTAAGCAGTCTCATCTCAGGTTTCAGTGACAAATATTGGGTCATACATTCTTTGCCTTGGTTTCAAGGAGTATTAATACTTGCTATTTTTAGCACTTTAACAGAAAAGAAGATATTTGGGAAAGTCTGCTGTAATGGCATCCAAAAGTCTCTACCACAATTAAATAATGTAACTTAAAATATGTATATAGGTAAGATGTTTGCTTATTTACTAAAAAAATCCCTAGAAAGTTTATGTAGAAGCTATTATACAAAATGGAAGTGGTTTGCTTCTTTAACATTGGATTTCTAATACATACAATTTTTCATGACCTTATATTACTGTAGTAATACTACTCATAAGCCTTACTAAAAAAATCAGTAAGTAATATTTTCACATTATAACAGTAAACACAAAATACAGAAATTCATTAATAGCTGAAAAGAATTTTGGAGTGTCAAGTCATGACTTCATCTAATTAAATATTTTATAATTTATTCACACATTAGGAATAATCAGGTTTTAATTGTGTATGCATCAATACAAATATCAAAAGAACATGATTATTATTTTATAATATTTACTTTTTAAAAAACCAAATAAAAGAAACATAAAAATGACAAAAGAATGCTTAAGTGGAGAGAAAAAATTACTATTAAATATCTTTAAATATAGGCCAAATGGTTTAGTATTCCCCTTTATCTACATCTTAATATTGCTGACATCTGGTTTTGAGCTAAGAATGCATGAATAGGGGAAAAAAAGCAATCTCCATAGTTTTTTTTTTTATTGAATACACATAAGTTTATTTTGGGAACAGTTCATTTATCAAAAGTATAAAGAGATCCTTATTTCATGGGTGGAAGGTGATGCAGTCATATCTCTACCCTTCACAGTTGAGATTGGCAACATGGTTTGTAATAGAAGTATTAAAAAATCAGAGGGAGAATTATAACAGTTAATTTCATTGCAAATAGTAACAATTGGGTTATTTAAAGTGGTTGTGGCATAAATGCTAGGATGCATGTGGTAATCCCAAATGCCCCAATCCCAGGTATAGCAAGTGTGTTTTAATGATACCTGCTAACTAGTTAAAATGGTCACTTTCACAAAGCTGACTATATTTTATACACTTTGCATAAACTGTCATGTAGACAATCTATTTTTTCTTTCTCTCATGTCTATATAAACCTTTATAAAGACTATAAAGTGATTCTGTATATACTACTTTAATCAAAATTCCTATGTGATTTGCATAAATAATAGATTGCAGTTGCTGCTATGAGACTGCTGATATAGAACTGCATAATTGGAACAAAATTTGATGAAAATTACATTGTTTCAAGTGTGCAGGCAGGACATGGCATCTAAGAGTGAAGTTTAACACTTAATCCAAACACTTATATTTGGAGTAGGTGAAGCAGGTAGTACTAACAGTGGTTTTAAAATTATAAAACAACATTTTCTATACTGTTATTTAATAAATTACACTTAATTTTTGAAGCCTAAGTGTATTCAGTTGACCAAACAATCAATAAATTCTGGTCTATAAATTAAATGTCATGAAGGTGAACAAAGGTGAAGAACAGTAATTATATTTTCTTGAGTTTATGATAACAATATATAAAACTGAAAAATTTGCTCCAAAAGAAGTCATACATAAATCATACCATCAGTTTGGTTTATTCTAGAAAGGTCTGCAGGTATAACTCTAAATTTCTTTAGTTAGGATCCTTAGAAGATACATTAGTTTAAATTTCATTCTCCTACAATACTGCTAACTTTAGATACATCACAGAACTACCAGATGCAATGTTTGGTTTAGAAATTGTCCCACATTAGTAGTCATTAAAGAAGAAAAAAAAAAAGGTGATTTCTTCTTCTGCTATAATTCAGTAAATGTGTTTTTAATATGCATATATTTATGTGGGAATATATATTTGCACCTTGATAATTACATAAATTTATACAAGCATTTTATTAATTAGACAGTATTACTCTTGCAAAAGCAGGCATGCATTTATTTTGAGATATTTATTTCCAATAATAATAAATAGGATTTCAATTTAAGAAGTGCATTAGATATATTAAGGATGATATGACAGCTTCTGAGCTCATAGCCTCCATATTTTTGTCTTCCCAATTCTCATATATTTTGTAGAATTTTGGGATGTGGATTATGTATTCTACATTATTTCTTTTAATGACTGAGGAAAATATTATCATCAATCATCATCATTATTTCAAATAAGTTTTAATCCATCATAATTTTATAAGAATGTACAGTAATCATAGTTGTTACTACTGTTGAAAAGAGATAATACAGTATAGCTTTGATTTTCAAATTTTTTATGTTCTTACCTAATTCTTAAAGGAATGCATGTTTATTTTTCTTCTCTTGACTTTTCTCTTAGAACTTAAATTATCTCTCTTTTCTTTCCATCTCTGTCCCTGTTTTTCTATCCATCATGCCACCAAAGAGAAATTGCCAGTATCTTAAGGAAGAAATTTTACTCAGCTCAATTGTTTTAAAGTGTGATGAGAAGCTTTAATAACCTATGCAGCAAGAGGTAAAATTAAGTTGTTTAATCATAGCTGGTGTGCCCGCATACACAACAGTGGGTGGCTTCTGCTGAAGAGATGTGTTTGGGATGAATTGCTATAAAGAATGCCATACCAAAAGGATACACTTTCTTTCTTTGCCAACCAAAATTTCCAGGTACTTTTGTTTTTAATACAATAAATAGTGTTTTACTCTCCTACATTTACAATAAAGTGACGTGTTATAACTCAACAGAATTTCCAACTTGTTTTCTCAACTTCCAAGGTTAGAAATTGATAGTTAATCTTGTGGGAGCCCTGTTGATGGTGAAATCAGCAACTCTGGGGAGGCAGTTTACTTCATTTGACCTTCTCTTGCTCCTTAGTATCTGCTCATTATCTGATGACTTTCCTATTCATAGCTGTTATCAGTTGTAATATTATATGTATGTTATTAGAGTAAAATGCTTAGGTTTGAAATGTACGAAAAAATTGTTTGCTGAGAGCACTTTATGGTGTATCTAGTGGCTGATGGAGCCCATTGCTTTTTCAGTATAGTACTCCTTGCCGTACTTTGTAATTTCAACCTGTAAATTTAGTTAATGAAATCTAATGTGCCATCCTTAAACAACATAAAGGGTATATTTTTTAATAGTATTGTACCTGTGTCAGTGAAATAGACTAGATTTTAATTTCTACACTAGTCATATGTGTTTAACAGTAGATGCTGTTGTGTTTCTTTGAATACATAGAAATATCTAAGCTGATCATCTGTTTAAGCAGGATTTCAATCCATCAAGTAAATGAATCCCCTTCATATTTTATCTTTTGTATCCTGAATTTTCCTGCAAGCAGTGATTATTGAAAAATACCTGATTGTATTTTTAGTAATATCTATGGAACAAATTTCATATGCTGCTGCTGAGTTTCCCTTCTGGAGAAATTCAGAAATTTAAAAAAGTACTTTCTTGTCTATATAGTAATTATGCCAACATTTCAAAGCAACTATTATGTCTTCTGTTTTCTCAGTCAAACATTCACTATTAAATAGATTACATATTATTCATGGGTTTTTTTCATTTTTAGTAATTACATATTTTTTTATTTATTTGTAGAATTTTTCTAAAGAAGGATTATTTTTTCCAAATTTGTAAAGATGCTCAGAGTTTAGAATAGTACATATGATAAGTACAGGAAAGTGCAGAAAAATTTTTCTATGATTTCATTACCCAGAGATAATCATAGATACTTGTATTGGCACTTAAAGTTATTATTATTATTATTATTATTATTATTATTATTATTATTATTTATTTCACACATTATAAGTTGGGTTTCACAGAAAACCAGCTTTCAGATTTGAATGGAAGAGTTTTCCTGGGGGCTATTCTTGCAAACATCTGTGAGAGGACAAGGCGAGAGAACTGAGTAGAGGAAGAAGCTGACCTAGAATGAATTCACAGCAGCTGTCATAACCAATCACATGAAGAACTGTGGAGCTAAAATGGCTCTTAAGAATTCAATCTCTTGAGGCAAGGGGCCAGTCTTTGTTCTTGCACATTGACTAGTATTTGAATATGGGTAACCCAGGGATGGAGTGTACCTTTGGGTTAGGCAGCTGCCATTGGCAGAAGGCAATACCTGGAGAATATCTCACCTATAAGCCATCAGCAGCTAACACACCTCACAGCTGGGGAATCAGATACCTGAAGAGGTGTCTGGGGAACACTACATCTACTAAATACACACACACACACACACACACACACACACACACACAAACAAATATTTAGCATATTGAGGATCATAACTAATATACTTCCTTGAAATTTTTTATACTAACAATGATTTCTGTGACTTTATGTATTAGAAATTTCAGGCATCAATCAGTGCTGTGCTGCTTTCAAGTAACTTGAATGCAATTTTTACTTTTCTGATTTGTTTTTCTGATGAGTCTATACAAATAGTGATCACTTTATTATGTACACAAAAATATACTTATGGCCAATGCAATATGAATAATGGGATATTTTCCATAAAAAATGATGGGTGTTTTTAGCTACTACCTAATATGTTTTCTGGAGCTTCTTAAATTAATAAATAAACTTAAGAATCATATATTATAGGTCTGATTAAATAGGATTTAAATCTATTACTTTTGCTCCAATCTATTACATTAGAGACAAATTTATTGAGTTTAATTTTGTAACCTAAGTAGGTTGCTGTAAAAGTCTGCCCTTGAGTGAGCTGAAATCTGTTATCAGATTTGAACTATCGTTCTCAGAAACTGAGCTGGGCAAAGAGATGAGGTAGGATTCAAAGCATGGACACTAAGAGATCTGAAACAGCGTTACAAAATAAAAGAAAAACACAAATAAAAACTAACAAAAAAGTATGTTCTTTCCTAATTTTTTAAATTATTATGAGCAATATCCCAATTGTAGATTGTATATACTGGCCTTGTATCAACCAAATGCAGATTTTGGTACTTCTACATCTAATTGACATTTGGTCATTTTAGATGTATGTGTGGGCATATTTGCGTAGACATGGGATTCATTAACTCTTACTTTTTAGAGAAGCTATAACTTCAACAAGGTGGGAGTTCACTATTTTCCTCCAGAAAGCTCTGAGACATCTATAACCAAACTATCACATAGGGATGTCATCTAGCAGGGCCATAGCCATTCCAGATATTCTAGTCTGGCTTTGGGGGTTGTGACAGGAACCTCCACAGAAAGACTTTAATTTTTTTTGATACTAAGCAACAAGAAGTTTATGATAGTATTAATAACACCAAATGGATCTCATTCATCGTAGCTCCATTTTGACATTCTTATTTTCAAGAGGAAAATATATTTTCAAGACCCATATTACTATGGTTGGCTAAAAATATGTATAATCTGATTCCAGCTATATTCTGTTTTAGGGAATTAAATACAGCCATGGACATAGATTTTTTATATATCATAAAGATGGACCAAACACAAAAGAATAGAAGGCACACTCTTTAGTGAGACAAGCGACATCAGCAACTTAGTGGAATTGTTGTCAAGAATGTTGCAAAGCCACACATTGGTTGGCCCTTTTGGAATCGGAGAGAATGAGGTGTCTTCTGCAGGCTTGCCTTACACAGTTTGGATCTGTCCTTTATAAATGGTAATGAAGAAAATAATGTTTTTTGTAAGGATCAAAATACTTTCTTGCAAAGGCCATTGGGGATTCACTTCAT
Source organism: Homo sapiens (assembly GCF_000001405.40). Classification (NCBI taxonomy): domain Eukaryota; kingdom Metazoa; phylum Chordata; class Mammalia; order Primates; family Hominidae; genus Homo; species Homo sapiens. The sequence continues at coordinate 167,197,773 of NC_000004.12, read as the reverse complement.
TTTTCATGCTTATTTTTTGAACACAAACTTAAAACATAACATCAGATGAGCGTGGAAGTGGAAATAGCTAATTGGGGCAAACCTGATTTTTGTCCAGTTTCTTAATTATTTTAACTTTAAATTTCACAAGTTTATTCCCACTTTTGTGGGATTTTTTTTTTTTCTGGTTGAAGGCAATGAAGACATTCGAGTACAATCTTAAAATAATATTAAGGAAACTTAACTTTTGAGCATTTATGTACAAATTTAGAATTAATGAACTATAGATTTCTCACACTTAAATTTCCATTAGTTTATTTTCACTTTTGTTCTAATTTCATCTACCTTATAAGTAATAGCCTAAATTTCACGTCATGAATTAAAATGTGTAAATTTAAAATAATTTCTACTTTTATAGATGTTTAACTTGTCTGTTTTGCATTTAGTATCATTTTTGAGTAGCTGAGAAGGTACTCCTTAATCTATATTATTGAAATTGGTGAATTTATACAACTGTGCACAATTCTGCATTTAGGTAGATTTGAAACTTAATTTGACCTCTGATAAAGGCAAATTGAAAGCACCCATGAAAGCTTTAACAAAAATGTGTGTAATAATCCATCCCAAGGCTAGAAATTCAAGGTTGGGTAAATTATCATGGCTACCCAGAGTTGACCCAAGCCTGGTAGATGCACCCTAAGGTAACCCTCAATGAGTCACACCCTCACACCTTTGTATTAACTTCTACCCTTAAGTGTAGGTGGAAACTGTGATATGCTTCTCAACAATAAACCTTGATAAAGGTAATAGAAGGTCATTCCCATGATTAGCTTCTGTTATATGGCAAAGATAATGTTATATGGCAAAAATAAATCATATATACTATGATAATGCCATAGTATATAAAATTCCATTTAGGCAGACTGTGGGAAAAGATTGTCCTGCTGGCCTTGAGAAAGCAAGCTGCCAGTATATGAGAGGGCCTGTGTGAGGACCATCTGACAACTGTGAGTGGCTCCTAGGAGTCAAGAGTGGACCCTGATAATATAAAAAATGAGGTATTCACTCCTACAATAGCAAAGAAATTAATTTTTGTCAACAAACATCAAAGCTCAGAAGAGAACCCTGAACTCTAGAAAAGAATGCAGCTGCACAAAATATGAGGTCTGCAGCTACACTCAGCCACCATTTCAGACAGATGATTCATCTTGTAAACAGATGATGTAAACTTACGGAATCAATAAATTCAGTAAGGCACTCTAAATGTAAAAAAAAAAGAAAGAAAGAAAGAAAAGAATGCAGCTGGTTGACACCTTGATTACAGCCATTTGAAACCCTGATTTAAGGACCTAGTGAAGTTTGTGTCCAGACTACTGACACATGGATAGTGTGAGATTAATGAATGAGTGTTGTTTTAAGCTCTTATATTTGTGGATAATGTGTTACATGGCAATAGATAACTAATACAACAAACGTGTTAATGTTGGCAGTTCTGTGTAGTTTAATGAAATAATGAAAATGAAAATAAAACCCCAAAATACAAGCAAGTACAACATAAGAGGAATATTTTGGTATATTTATATACCAGGGTGCTAGGCATTAAACACGATATAGTAGCTTTTGGTATATTTTTAAATGAATACAAATTGGTTGCAAAGTATATACTCTTTGCAAGCATTCTGAGTATACACAGAGTATGCTCTGTATGATACAATTTTTTCTTAAAAATCAGTAGATATAAATGCATTACAAAAGAACTGATAGAATATACACTAAATTAAATATGGAGAAGAGGATTATGGTAATCTAAAATTTCTTTGAGAGTGACATCAGCAATACGACAGAATAGGAGGCTCCCCACTGGGTATTTCCCCCAGCAATAGTAACTTGGCAGCCATTCACAAATAAAAGTACCTTTGTAAAAGTTTTGGGACTCAGGTATTCGGTTGTGACACCCCAGCGTGTCTCTGAGAGCCATTTTGAGAAGGAAGGTCTGCACCCAGGTGGCAGAGCTTCCTTGACCATGGTCCCTGCCACAGACACAGAACAATCCCATCCTCCTGTGAACACATCTGCAATGCGTTTTAGCCTTGGTCCTACCTCCAGCGTCATCTACCAAGGGACCTGAAAAGAGTCATACACACCCACACTTTGGGTAATAGGCCTGCTGACCTTGGTTCCACAGTAAATACTAAAACAGATCTGAACTTGGCTCTAGCCTGTCTCAGTCCCAGTCTAGGAGAGGTCCTGCCCAGCTAGGGACTCACACATTGACATGCCTGTCTATGCCCTCAGATGCAGGCCCACTAACCTGGTCCCAGAGCAGATCCTGAAATGACCTGTAACTTGGTTCTAGCCTCTCTCAACAGTTCTGCACTCCTAATTACCTTCTTGGGAACACATCCATGGTGACCCTGCAGGCAGGCATGCTTACGCTAGTCTGACTTTGGATCTTGAAATGGCCTTGTAACTCATCCTCAGTCCCTCTTAGTCATGGTCTGAAAATGGGACAAGGGGTAACCCAAAGAGAGACTCACTTGAAGCAGCTCTGTACTTTGGCTCCAGCTCCTCTCAGCTACAGTCTGAGAACAATCTTGCCTGCCCAAGTACCCAATGGGTGAGACACCCATCTATGTCCCTTGGTCTGACTGCAGATCCTGAAGCAGCCAAGTAACCTGTCTGCAACTCTGCTTACTCATGCTCTGGGGCAGTACTGCCCACCCTGGAACCCAGCAGGACTCACGCCCATCCATGTCACTAGAGGTAGGCCTGCAGACCTCAGTATCAGCTCTGGACCCTGAAGCAGGCCTGACTCAGTTTCAGACCCCCTCAGCTGTGATTTAGGGGCTAGTACTGCCAACACAGGTATCTTTACAGGGACCGAATGGGAGACCTCCCAGATACCTAGTGGGAGCCATATCCATCCAAGCCATGGTAACAGTCCCCATGTCTTTGGACCCTACTGTGGAGCCTGAAGTGGTGTATCCTTGTCCCAGCACTAGCCCTACTGGCCAAGGTCCTGGAGACAATCCAGTCTTCTCAGGGAACAGACAGGATCCACAACTACCTAAGTCCCTGAAACAGGCCTGCCAGCCAGGGACCTGATATTGGACCATGCAGCAATACTGTGACCTGGTTTCAATACTAATAAGCTACATTCCTAATGGCAGTCATATCAGCCAAGGCACTAAAACAGGAAAAGGTCTTTACCTGCTGAAACTAGTCTGCACACTCGGAGAGACATTAACTCCTTCAGATGCACAGACACCAGTGAAAGGCTACGTGGATCACAAGGAAACTAATGACACCACACAAGTAAAACATGACACCACACAAGTAAACTAATAAAGCTCTAGTAGCATGCCTGAAAGAAATGGAGATCTATAAGCTGCCTGATTTAAAGAAATTCATCTTAAAGAATCTTTCATCTCAATGAGATGCAAGAGAATGCATGTAGGCAACTAAACAAAATCAAGAACACAAACATGAGAAGTTGAACAAAATAAGAAGTCTCATACAAAAATAGAAAGTGTAAGAAAGAACCAAACATAAATTCTAGAATTGAAAAATACAATGACAGAAGTGAAATATTCATAGAGAATTTTAAAACCTGCCTTAGTAATGCAAATAAAAGAATCAGTGAACTCAAAAACAGGGTGTTTAAAGTGAGACAAACAAAGGAACCAACTGAACAGAAAATGAAAAAGAGTGAAGAAAGCAGAGGAACAATCAATAGAGAATGCAAAACAGTGTAGAAAACATACTGGACCTATCGGATACCAAAAAGCAAATTAATATACACATTATGTAATTTTCAGAACGAGAAGAGAGGGAGAAAGTGGTAGAAAGCATATTTAAACAATGGCTGAAACATCCCAAATCTTGAGATATGGACATCTAGATTTGTGAAACTCAAAAAACCCCATGCAAAGTCAATCTAAAGAAAATAACCATGAGATATGTTATAATCAAATGGTCAAAAGTCAGACAGAGAAAAAATTAAAAGCAGCATGAGGGAAGTGGTTTGTCACCTATAAGAGAACTCTCATAAGATTATCTTTGGGTTTCTCAGCAGAAACATTGCAGGCCTGAAGGGAATGGATTAGTATATTTAAAGTGTTGAAACAAAAATAACTGCCAATTAAGAATACTATATATGGTAAAACTGAGCTCACTGATAAAGACAAATATATAGTGAAATTGGGATATTCTGATACTGTAATGGTGATGTATAAATGGTGCTGCATAAATCACTTTTAACTTTATTAAAAAGTTAAAAGGCAAAAGTATTAAACTAACTATAGCTATGATAATTTATTAATTGGTGCATGATATAAAAATGTGTAAAGTATTACCTCAATAATATAAAATGTATGTGGAGGAGGAAAGTAAATGTGTGGGGTTTTTATGCCATTGAAGTTAGTTATAATTTTGAAATAGACTACTATATTATAACAAAGGTATTTTATGTAAACCTCATGGTACTAACAAAGCACAAACCTCGAACAGATATGTAAAATATAAAGGGAAAGGAATAAAACCGTAATACTACAAAGAAAATCAACAAGTTAAATAAGAGACAGCAAGAGAGAAAGAAAGGGACAAAGGTACTATAGAACAACCAGAAAACAACAAAATGGCAAAGTAAGTCCTTGCAAATTAGTAATAACTTTAAATGTAAATGAATGGACCCAACAGACACATAACGAAGACTTCACCCAGCAGCAGCAGAATACACATTCTTCTCAAGCTCACACAGAACATTTTCCAAGATAGATCATACGTTGGGTCAAAAAATAAGTGCTGACAAATTTAAGAAGATTATTTCAAGTGTCGTATTCTACCACAATAGTATAAAACTGGAAATCAATAACAACAGAACATTGGGAAATGCACAAATATAAGGAAATTAAACAAGACATACCTGAACAACCAATGGGTCAAAGAAGAAATCAAGAGAGAAATAAAAAAGTATCTTGAAACAAATGAAAATTGAAACACAACGTATCAAAAGTTACGGGAGGCAGCAGAATAAGTTCAAAGAGGAAAGCTTATAGTGATAAATACCTACGTCGAAAAAAAATAATTTCAAACAAATAACTGTACATCTTGAGATGTCAGAAAAAAGACACTAAGTTAAAAGCTAACAGAAGGAAAGAAACAGTACAAGTTATAACAGAAATAAATGAGACACAAACTAGGGAGGCAACAGAAAATAATGGTAAAGGTAAGAGCGTTTTTCTTAAATAAAATAGATAAATTTTTAGAAACATACAACCTACCAACAACGAATTAAGAAGAAATAGAAAATTTAAACAAGCCAATAACAAGGGTGAAGATTGACACATTAATAAAAAAGTCTCTCAACAAATAAAAGCCCAGGAACAGATGGCTTCCTGAGGTGAATTACACTAAGCATGTAAAAAAGACTTCATTCCAATTCATTTCAAACTCTGCCAAAAAAAGTTTGGAGAGAACACTTCCAAATTCATATTATCGGGTTGGAATATTATGAGGCGTAATACCAAAGCCAGAAGAGGAAATTACAATAAAAGAAAATTATAAGCCAATATCCCTGAAGAATTTAAATGTCAAAATATTCAAAAAATACTATCAAACCAAATTCAACAGTGAATGAAAAGGACCATATACTATGAACAAATAAGATTTATCTTTGGAATGCAAAAATTGTTCAACATAAAACAATCATTAAGTGTGATATATGACATTAACAGAATGAATGGTAAAAATCAAATGATCATCTCAATAAATGGAGAAAGACTATTTGGAAAAATTCAATATACTTTTATGATAAAAACTCGCAAAAAAATTAGGTAAAGAAGGAATGTACTTCAACTTAATGAAGAACATATATGAGAAGCTTGTGGCCAACCTTATATTAAATGGTGAAAACTGAAGGTTTTTTTCCTAAGATCAAGAACAAGAGAGGATCACCACTTTTATCACTTCTATCAACATATTACTGGAAGTCTTAGCCAGAGCATTAGACAAGAAAAAGAAATGTAAAACTTTCAAATATGAACTGAAGAATTTAAATTGTCCTTGTTTGCAGATGATATAATCTTATATGTAGAAACTTATAAAGACTTCACAAAAAAAAACTGTCAGAACTAAGACATGAATTCAGTAGAATTGTATCATACAAAGCAATATAAAAAATTATTTGCATTTCAATCTACTACCAAGTATCTGAAAAAGAAAGCAAACAATCCAATTTACATTAGCATCAAAAAGAATAAAATGCCTAGTAATAAATTTAACCAAGGAATTGAAAAATCCATACACTGAAAACTAAGATATTGATGAAAGAATTTGAAAAAGACACAAATAAATGAAAAGATAATCCATGGATATATTCGTAGATTGGAAGATTTTAATGTTGTTAAAATGTCCATACAATTGGCTCTTGAGCCACTTGCTTGAGCCCACTCCCACTATACTGAGGGTAATTTCATTTCAATAAATCTGTGCTTTTTTTGCTTCATTCTTTTCTTGCTTTGTGCATTTTGTTCAATTTTTGTTCAATAATAAAAAAATTTAAAATATCCATACAATCAATGTTAATTATAGATTTAATGCAATCCTTGTAAAATTTCCAATGACATTTTTCACAGAAATAGAAAATAAAAAAACAATCCTATACTGTGTATGAAACCACAAAAGACCCTGAATAGCCAAAATAGTGATTAGAAAGAAGAACAAAGCTGGAAGCCTTACACTTCCTGATTTCAAAATATACTACAAAGCAAAGCTATAGTAATCGAAACAGTATGTTCTGGCATAAAAACAGACACTTAGACCAATAGAGCAGAATAAAGAGATCAGAAGTCAATTAATGCACTTAATGGTAGACTAACCTTTGTCAAAGGGGTCAAGAATACAAAATGAGAAAAGGATATTGGATATTCTCTACTATAAATGGTAGTAGTAAAACTTGATATACAAATGAAACAGAATGAAATTGGACCCTTATCTTATATCATACACAAAATTTAACTTAAAATGGATTAAAGACGTAAAAGTAAAATCTGAAACAGTCAAACCCCTAGAAAACAAACATATGAACAAGGCTCCTTGACATTTGTTTTGGCAATGATCTTTTGGATATGATACCAAAAGCACAGGCAACAAAAGCAAAAATAAACAAGTGAGACTACATCAGAATAAAAAGCTTCTTCATCGCAAAGCAAATAATCAAGAAAATGAAAAGGCAACCTATGTAAACTATTTGTGAACCATAAATCAGATAAGGGCTTAACATCCAAAAATATGTAAAGAATGCATGCAACTCAATATGCCAAAACAAATAAAATACAATTCAAAAAGAGTCAAATGACATGAATAGACTTTTTTTCCAAAGAAGATATATGAATGTCCAATAGGTATGTGAAAAGATGCTCAACATCACTAATAATCAGGAAAGTGCAAATCAAAATCACAAAGAGATATCACCTTACTTGGCTACAAAAGGTATTACCAAAAAGATCAGAGATGAATGTTGGTGAGGGTGTCAAAAAGGGAAGCCTTATACACTGTTGGTGGAACTGGAAATTAATACAGCCATCATGGCAAGTAGTATAGAGTTCCCACAAAAAATTAAAAACAGAGTTACAATACAACCTAGCAATCTTGCTCTGAGTATATTTCCAAAGGAAATAAAATCAATATGTTGAAGAGATATCTGTATCTGCATATTTATTGCAGCATTATTCACAATAGATGAAATATGAAAACAATCTAAGTGTCCTTCGTGAATTAATAAAAAGTGATATATATGTACAATGGAATATTATTCAGCCAAAAAGAGGAAATATTTTCATAGGTGACAACATGAATGAAACTGGAGGACAGATTTCACCTATACTAAGTAAAGTAAGCCAAACTCAGAAAGACAAATATTGTAGGATATCACTTATATACAGAATCTTAAAAAGTTGAACTCGTAAAAGCAGAGAGTAGAACAGCATTTGGCAGAGACTAGGTGGTGGAAGAAATGAGATGTTGGTCAAGGATACAAACTTTCAATTATGAGATGAAAAAGTTCTGGGGATTTAATGTACAGTGTGTGAGTGTGACTGTAGTTAATAATACTGTATTATATACTTGAGTGTTTTTAGACAGTAGATCTTAAGTGTAATCACCACACACACACACAATGGTAGCTATTTGAGATATGAGGGATGTGTTAATTAACTTGGTTTTGGCATATCAGATTTCACAATGTGTATGTAATAATCACATTGTACACCTTGAAACATACAATTTTTATTTATTGTACCTCAATAAAGCTGGAAAAAAATAATAAATTTTTTTTGGACTGATGAATGCCTTTAAAAGTTTATAAAATCAGCTTGTTTCTTGGTTAAATACTTATGAATGGCATTATTGGCTCATATGGTAAGTATATTATTAATTGCATTTGTAATGAGCTGACAAACTATTTCTAAATATGATATGGTATATTAATTGATTTTTAATGTTGAAGCAGTCTTGAACATTTTGCATATTTAAGTGAACTTCAAATTTGACTTTGTCTAGTGTACTTTTCTTATTATATATTGTTGGGTGTTATTTGCTAACATTTGTAAAGGTTTTTTATTTTTTGCCCTTTGTCTAGACTCATGAGAATACTCATCTGTAGTTTTCTTGTAATGTGTGTAGTTTTGATTTTGGGGTGAGGTTAACTTCATAAAATGACTTGGAAAATGCTTCCTTCTTTTCTTTATTTGAGAAGAATTTCTGTAGGGTTGTTACTATTCATTCTGAAATGTTTGACGGACTTCAACAGTGAAGCCTGGAGTTTTCTCTGTGAGAAGAATTTTAAATGCAAATTCAATTTCTTTAATATATCTAGGGCTATTCAGGTTACCTCTTTTCTTGTCTGAACTTTGGAAGTTGGCATCTTTTAATCATTTTGTCAATTTCATTTAAACTGTTGCATTTATTGGCAAATAGTTCTAATATTCCCTTATTATCAATTTAATGTCATAAGATCTATAGTAATGCTCCCTCTGGCTTTCTTTATATTAGCAACTGTGGCTTTTGAAAAATAAATCTGGTGGATGTTTAACAAGTACAATGATATTTTCAAAGAACCAGGTTGCTTTGACTGGTTTTTGTTTTTTTCTGCTCTTTTCTTATTTATTTTTTCGCTTATTTGGGGCTCAAATTTATCTCCACTTTCCATGTTTATTGATTTTAGGCTTTTTATTTTGGCATTTTAATTATTTTAATCTTATTACTGTCATTGTGCTCTTAAAGTTCCCCATCTTTCATCTATTGTCCACTTTTTTCTGTTATATCGTAACATATTAATGATAAATTTTAAAGACCTTTTTTCTTATCGTTCCAGTATCTGGGCTATTTCTAGTTCTATTCTGTTCACTATTTCATTTATCAGTAGTGACCTCTTTTCCTCTTTTGTATGCTCTGTAATTTTTTATAGAATGCCTGATTTTGTGAGTAAATGTATAAAGGAACAATAGAAAGTGAGTTAAGTAATATTTACTCCCCAAAAGGGACCTCTCTCTTTCTCGTCAGGTCTTTGGTGTGGGAGTCATAATCAATACAGCGGGCTGTTTAGCTGAGTTCGGGTTTGATTGCTGCCATATATACCTTTCGTGCATGAGTCTTCAAATTCTTTCAGTCGTGAACCTCCACTACTTTGCACTATCTGGATTATCGTGGGATTTTTCTCAATATTCTTTCTCTATCCTCAACTTTTAGCAGCAGACTCTTTTATGAAACTCAGAACTGCAGATTTCTCAGTATTCCTATCACTCATCTGGTGACAAACAACCTCTGTCTCCCACTCAGTTCAGGGTAGAGTGGGCAGTCTTTTTTCTTCCCCTTACCCTTGCATGGCAGCCCACATCCACTTCATATTTGTACATTATCTAAGGCACAATAAAGTGTCCTTCATGGCTTTGCATAGCAAATGTCCTCTGTAATTAATGGTGTCAGAATAATGTTTACTAAAGTAGCACTGCACATAACTCATACTCATTTTAATTGAGGAATCATTTGATAATAAAGGAGTTCATTTTTCTAAAATTATTAATCATAAGATATATATAAAAATGGAAGTTCCTAATCAAAAGATTTTAAGTGAAAAATTAATATAATAGTATTTATAGTGTCTTAGTGACCAAGAAAAAAAATTAAACAGCATAAAAAGATTAATCATAGCACTTTACAATAGCAAAAAAAGACTGGGGCAAGAAATACCTCTAATGCCCAGCAGTAGTTCATTTATTAAAGAACTTGTGGAATCAAAAGTGGATGGTTATAAATGAGGGAGAAAAAATTGTAATGTGTAGGGTGTTATATCATGGAGAAAGTAGAGACCATGTTGGGTTCATAATTAGGGTAGTGATAAAATGAGAAAAAAATGTAAGAAAGAGTAGTCTGAAAATTAATTCTTGCTGATAAATAGGAAGAAAGAGTACAATGAGGGAGATCATCCTGGCAAATTGTCATTGAGAGTGGAAAAAAAAAAAAAAACTGGAACCCTAAAGTTGCTTCTAGAAACAAGAGGCAAAGTTTTGTGTGAATGAAACGTAAAAGATGAAACAGAAGTTGCAGCATGACATCCTGAAAGAATTGTAAGGTCACCATGAAAAATGAGATGGTACATGTCTGATGCTTTAGGGGAATATGATCCTTGCAACTCTATTAACTGTATATGTTTTTAAAATTAACCAATATAAAATTAATCTAAAATTATAATTTCTGGCTTCTTAGTGAGATATCTTATATAGCAAGTGGACTACTGTCTTTTTTTTTTTTTTTTTTTGAGGCACAGAGTCTTGCTCTGTCACCCAGGCTGGAGTGCAGTGGCACGATCTCGGCTCACTGCAGCCTCTGCCTCCCGGGTTCCAGCGATTCTCCTGCCTCAGCCTCCCAAGCAGGTAGGACTGCAGGCATGTGCCACCACGCCCAGCTAATTTTTGTATTTTTAGTAGAGATGGGGTTTCACCATGTTGGCCAGTCTGGTCTTGAACTCCTGACCTCAGATTATCCACCTGCCTCAGCCTCCCAAAATACTGTGATTACAGGCATGAGCCACTGCACCTTGCTGGACTACTGTCTTGAATAGAGATTTGTTTTCTGTTTTTTTTGTTGTTGTTGTTTGTTTTTTGTTTTTGAGACAGAGTTTTGCTCTTGTTGTCCAGACTGGAGTGCAATGGCATGATCTCGGCTCACTGCAACCTCCGCCTCCTGGGTTCAAATGATTCTCCTGCCTCAGCTTCCCAAGTAGCTGGGATTACAGGCGCCCACCACCACGCTCAGCTAATTTTTGTATTTTCAGTAGAGATGGGGTTTCACCATGTTGGCCAGGCTGGTCTCAAATTCCTGACCTCGTGATCTGCCCACCTCGGCCTCCCAAAGTGCTGGGATTAACAGGCGTGAAACACCACGCCCGGCCTAGAGATTTGTTTTAAATGTGAACAAGTATTTATGAAATGAGAAAAATGTAAAGCTGGAATATGTATTTTTAAATGTAAAATAATTTTTTTAGATTTTTCTCTTTGTATTTTGAATCTTATTCTAATTTTGCACTTAGGTTTCTAGTTGAGTTGTAATATCCAGGTATAATATTTTATAATTAATTGTTGAATTTGATTTTGTTTTTCTGAAAAACATTCATTCTAAAGAGAAACTCTACATACTATGGGAGTCTTCTAAATTATTCTTCCATCTCTGTCCTCTTTCCAATATCAATATCATCTACTTTTATATCTTTAGAGCTCTGTTGTAAAATAAATCTCAGCAAATTGTAGGACTATTGGGCATATGTTATATTTGAGGGTACATATGCAGTTTGGAAATAGTACAAAGCATTTTACTGTCCCCTTTCTGTAATACAGTAGTTGTCAAAGTATGTAGGTTATCAGAATCTGGGATAAGGGTGAAGGAAAGAAATGAAATAATATTTGCATTTTTATTTTAGAAACTCGTTGGTTCAAAAAAAATCCTATCATTGTATTGTCAGGATCTACCTTCTAATTTTTGTAGAAGGGCAGCTGTTACTAGAGAGGAATGCCCCTCCCACACTATTTGTTTATGCTAAAATATAGTGAACTCCAGTCTTTCTGGTTTTTCATGTTTCTTGTCATAGATATGACTTCACCGACGACTGTATTTTCCTAATCAGCTCAATTATTTGTGGGAGTAGAACCCACACAGCAGATGGCATTTATACAGGGAAACTTGACTTATGGCCATGGCAGAGCTTTGGATGATTTAGGGTTGGTTCTCTGGTGGAGAAAGAAAAAAGAAAGGGAAGAAGGCAGAGGAATGAGAAAAAAAAGTTAAGATTAAAGAACAGACAGAAATCTTCACTGACTGTTAAGTGTGTAGGCACAGGATGAGGCACCTGCTCTTGGAAGTATGGGTAACATTGGAGGTCAGGATAAGATGGCTGCCAATTTATCAATGGTGGGAATATTACAGTAAAAGATAAATGCGTGACATAATGTCAACTGGGTTTAATCACTGTTTTAATATTTAGTTAAAAGTGATTCCTAATCCCCCCATATTCCATGCCCTGATGAGAGTCCAATGCCTTAAAAATTTTTAAAGATTTCTGTGAATGTTTAAGAACCTAAGATTGTTATGATTACTACCACATTTTATGTTTTGCTTTCACCCAGTTAATTTAATCTATTAACACAGAGGTAGAACCCAGACTCTTGATTTCCAACCATCCACAACACATAATGCGAACAAAATATAATTCATACAAGGCAGATAAAAGGTAACCAACTTGTTTGTTTGAAATAGGGAGGGGCAGGGGGTTTTACATTACATATTCAAACAACTTACAATTGAATATCAGACATCTCTGTTCTTAACAACAATTTCTACTTCCTTCACTACTACTAGACTTACCCCAGCTCACTCTTCAACACCAATTGCCTTCCATTTCATATTTAAAGGAAGTTAATGATGATTTTGTTTTCTTCCCTAGAATACTACAGATAGCTAATTCTTTCAGAGTCTCAGCTTCCAAATTAAGAAATTTTAAAGGTATTTTAAAATCAGACTGTTCTTATACTCAGAGGAAAGCTGGTGATAAGTGTTTTATTTTCCAGTTTTTAAAAGTTGTGATATAATGGCTAAGAGAATCAGTCTTCCTGGAATAGTATACTGGTTCCATCTCAGGTTAGCAAATCTATTCCTTACTTCTCTAACCTATAAAATGGAGATGACAATATAATCTATTTTATAGTTTAGTGATGAGACTTAAAGGAATTAATTCTGGTAAAGTGCCTTCCTGCAGTGGTACCTGGCTCAGTGTGAATGCTCAGTAAATGTTATCTCCTACTAAATCTTGCATAAATGAGTTTTTTGCTGGATACGACAGAGTACCAATTATCATGGGAAAGAATGATATATAGTGAATTAGGAGCATTTAAGACATACATAACCAAGTGTCCATGCTATTTGCCTTCTGAATTCCTGTGAGTTGAAACATGCCACCTAAAACTGAATTGGCTGTTTCTTGATTAAATTTAGTGATATATTCTCTTGTCAGACTAAAGAAATAGTTAATGCCCAGATACATGTATGATGATTCTTTTGGGGAAATAGGCATAAGAGTGAAAGGGGATTAATTTCAAAGTCCCTCAATATTGAAGCCTCATTTTTAAGAAATATGTTCAATGTGCACATAAAGAGAACAATTTCTTTCAGTGTATATACATTTAACAAGAACAAATGGGAAGTTAAACAAATTACCTTCACAACCATTTTGATTTATTAGCATCTTGGTAACTCATGAACCATTTGGGCTTCAAATAAATGATCCTGGTATGATATTCAAAAAGGTTTTTCAATCAATGTTTTATGACCATCTCTAATAAAAGTTTCTATGTCTAGATATTTCTTCTACATCTTCCTTTAATGGGCCCTGAGGGTAATGTTAGGTTGATTCTGGTAAGCTCTCATGGCTGAAGACTATTTGCTGTCATTGTTCTCATAGTCTTTTAGACAATCTCTTATTTACAGTCTGATAAATTGTAGGCTTCTCTTCATTCTATTTTTCAAAGGATAGCTTTTATTATTCCGGGAATTTGTTTCTTTTAGGCAAACTATAATTTTATGTGGCTATTGTACCCTAAGATTCTTTTTGCAATAGTAAAATGCTAACATCAATGAATATCACAAGGCTTTTATTCTCTTTATTCCTATTTTGTTTTGTTCAGACTCTTTTTTTATCATGAAAGCACTTCAGTATCACATTTTATTCATATGTCTTTAAGAAGATAATTCATTAGAAATTCCTTCTATGCATTTTGTTTTAAAGAGGTGTCATTTTTTTTCATGCTGAGTATTTCAACCTAAATTCTGACTAGAAGTCATTTTTTATTTTTGTACTTGAACTTTTTATTTCTGACTTATGAAAAAAATCTTTTAAGTAAGTGTAAAAGATATTTTGGAAAGAAGATTATATTGGTTTTATGATGTGCATAATAAGCTACCTAAAAACTCAGTGGCTTAAAACAATGATCATTTATTATCCTTCAGATGTCTGCAGTTGGGCTGGGCTGGGCTGGACTGGGCTGGGCTGAATGTTTTCATTAGGGTTTTCTGGCTGGGAGTCTCTGCTTGTTACTGCAGTTCTGTGGGTTAGTTGGAGTTGCTCTGTTCCATATTCTCTAACTGTCTTAGGACCAGGAGGGCCTGCTGTAATCATTGTAATGCTCAAGAAATAAGAACAATCAGGAACTTGCACAGTCTCTTCAACTCTGTGCTCATAATGGACACACTGCCATTTCTGCCTTCAAAGCAAATCACATGGCAGGATGCAAAGTTAAGGGATAGGCACCTGCTTTGTCAATGATGATGCCATGGACAGGATATGAGTACAAAGACATGTAAAAGATTGAAGTCAGTGTTACAATCTGCCAAAAGATAAGTAAGAAAGAAAATGGGACGGGCACAGTGGCTCACGCCTGTAATCCCAGCACTTTGGGAGGCTGAGGCGGGCAGATCATGAGGTGAGGAATTCAAGACCAGCTTAACTAATATGGTGAAACCCTGTCTCCACTAAAAATACAAAAATTGGCCAGGCATAGTGGCGCGCGGGCCATCCTACCTACTCAGGAGGCTGAGGCAGGAGAATCGCTTGAACCCAGGAGGCAGGGGTTGCAGTAAGCTAAGATTGCACCACTACACTCCAGCCTGGGCAATACAGCAAGACTTGTCTTGAAAAAAAAAAAGAACATGAAAACTGCTTTGCGAACACTTGTCAGGTATGTTTTTATGATTGCATATTTTTTTTTTCCATTGACTTCTGACTTCTTCCAAATATCTTTCTTTGAGCATAAGACTCAGGAGTAGATTTTTTTTTTTTTTTGTCTTTCTTTTGTCTTTAAGGAATTCCTTCTAGAATCCTTTTATTCATATATAAATGTGAAAGGGTTAGGTGGAATCAGATTGGGGGGGATCATGTTAGTTCTGGCTAAGTATGCATACTTTCTTTTCTGCTGGAAAACTAGACAGATATTGCAGTCTGTGGTTGTACTTTGAGGGCTAGAAAACTAAGCATTATTTAAAACTTGATAACCAAGGGAAAAAAAAGTTGCCAGATTAGGCAGTATGCATTCTCTAATATTTTGTTGTAAACAGAAAAATTGCTAGAATTTTACAAATTGTAACTCTCTACAATGAGTTATTTAGAAAGTCATTAAAGGATAGATTAAAAGACAGTAGCTTAAAAAATCATGAAGTTCTAATTTTTCTGCTATTATTTAATTTATCCAATAGCATCATATTGGGCATCTTACTGAACACCTTATTGAGCATCTTATCACATGTGCTGGGTGGGGATACTACAGGGGACTTCATGGTACTTACATTTCAGTGGTAGAAGACACATAGGAACAAAAATGTGTATTACTTGGGTGACTATTGAAATGAAGAAAAATATAGCAGATAAAATTAGTGAGAAGAAGCAAACATGTCTTCATGTATTGGGTGGTCAAAAAAGACCTCTCTGCAAATGCAACTACTGAGTATAGCTTGGAACAAAAGGTAGGTAAGAATCATATGTTTATTTAATTAAAGAGCTTTCCAGTTAGAAGACAAAGCAAGTGAAAACATCCTGGGTTGGGAGTATGGGAATTTGAGTTACACCAAGGAAGTCTTTATGACTGGAATGAAGGAAGCGGAGGGGAAATACAGAAGATAAAGTCAGAGTGGTAGTAAGGAGGAAGATCATAAAACAACTTTTTAGGCCAAGACTAACAATCATAACTTTAGACAGATAAAGAGTTATTGGAAGGTTTTAAACAAGCAATAACTTGATCAAATTATCTGGAGAATAGAACAAAGGTAGAAACATGGAGGCAAGTTAGAAAATTCTTCCAACAGTTTCAGAAGATAACCTGTAGCAACAGAGATAGTAAGAAGGGGTCGGACTGGAGATATATTTTGAAGGAGGAGGTCACAGAATTTGCTAATGAATCCTTGGAGAGAGGAGTCAGGGATGACTCAAGGCTTTTTGTCCTGTGCATTTTAAGAATAGAGTTGCCTTGTAACAAGATGGGGAAGATTACTCAAGGAGGATGTTCACAGAGAAATTCAGGAGGTTTTTAGGGAGAATGTTAAGTTTAAGGTCAGTAGGGATATAGATTTCAGAGTCTGGAGGATTAAGGAAAAAATGGGAACAGAGGTATACATTTGGAAGTCATTAACCTATAGGTTATATGTAAAGCAGTGGATCTAGCTGAGGTCCTCTTTAATTAATAATTATGAATCAGTGCCATGGATTGGTCCTATTCAATATAGTCCAAATTAATGTAAACATTTAAATAACACCCAAATAATTTTAATTTTAATGTAAATGACTTCTATATTTTTAAATTTTATGTAATGGTTCCATATCTACTTATTATCACCTCATCGGGCTGAAAATTTGTCTGTAACATATGCTTTTAAAAACAAAATATTTTCTCTTACATGGACGTTCTTATTCTAAAAATGTTTGGCCATGTCTTCCTGATTTAAATCTAGCCTTTCTTAAGTACCTGGATTATTGGACTCATAGTCATAATCTTAGCTATTTTTCTGGTGGCTATAAAATATAAATAGGCCAGGCACAGAATGAACCACCAACCAGGTTATTGATTCTAAAATATAAATGCTGCAATATCACTGTGATTCATCATTGTGTGCATAAAAATGAGACCACCTTATAGACCTCAGTATTTCTTGCTTATTAGAACCTATTTACATATTTATAGAAACGTAACCTCTCTTTCAAGGTTCTCTTAATTTTATCCTTTCTCCTCACGGGTAATGAAACTTGAGCTCGTGATTGTGGCTTAACACTCACTCTCAGGCTGCTGCTCACATGGTGATGTCCCTGTTCTGTCCTGACCATGACAGCCGCTGCTTTTGGGGGCATTCCTCAATGTTCAGGTGTTCCTGCTGCTAAGTACAACTTTGTATGAGTGGAATCATCCTCAATTCTACCTCACAGTCTCCTTGGCATATGTCCTCCTCCTCTGATGTCTATGTCAGAAGCATTCCAGAGCAGGGTTTTTTTAAGACCCTGAGTGGTTACTGTTTTTCCGTATTTTACTTGGCTCTTCTCTATCAAGGTGCTCCCAAGGAAGGCTGAGTTCATTTGAAACAACAGTGCCCAATTTTACTTAAAAGTACTACTTCTCTCAGACCCTCAGGCTCTGTCATTGAGTCCAGCTTGTAAACTACACCCCTTTCACTGAAATGGAGTCCCTCCCTGGAAAGCCACATTCCCTTCTTGCAGTATAACTTCTTTGGGGCATTAACCTTGCTCCTCTGTCCATCCTGTACTAATCCTGGCATATTTGCCATTCTGTGAGTTACTTAATTCTCACCATTATATTTTGAGTTTTATTCTAGAAAACTCACAAGCCTCCAAGTCCATCAATAGACACAAATTTTAAGTGTAAGGTGAAAGATTTCTTCTTAGTTCTCCTAAGAGACATGCCTAAAATTCAGTTCTGACATAGCTGAGACCCCTGCCTCTTACATACCGTGAATGAAAAGATCTTTATTAATATAATGCGGTATCATTCTGACATGCATAAAACAAAATGTGCAAAGTCTACTTCTTTAGAAGGTTAAAGTATAGCAGGTAAAAATCAATATAGATTGTCATGGCTGTTCATTAAATTTTTATATTAAGATTGTAAGAAACCCATACATAATAAATTAGATAAAGAAAATAGAACATCTATGAATGAATAAAAGTTACTTGATTATAAAATATATTTCCTGTGGGAAATTATGTTAGCAACTCAAAGAGTTTTGTGGAACCAAAACTGCTCAGGGAAAGAATGGGAAGTAGATTAATAAGTAGATTTATGTGCATGTGCCTGCCCTGGGACATTTGTAAGCATTGTCTATGGTATTTTTTGTTTTGTTTTAAAGACTTTGAGCGGGACACAGGCTCTGCAGCAGAGAGTCTGGCTCATTGGCTGTGGCTAGCATAGACGCATAAAAATGGAGACTTTCATCCTAGAAAGTTTCTACGTTGGCCAATAAGGAAGAAACTAAGGAAAATGCAGTTTTGTAACAATGGAATGAAACATAATATCTAATCAGGGCCTATATCCAGTGTAAATCTTACCCTAGCCACCTTGAGTTCCATTTGGCAGACTCTTCCAGGACTCTGATAAAAATAAACTGTTTCGTGCAAATAGCAGTGTTACAAGTCAGTCATCTTTACAAAAGTTTACTCAGGAAATCCCAAAAATAATTCTGGAAAAGAAATAACTGCTTGCAAAATTTTTAAATTGACATTGAAAGTTTTTCATCAAATTTAATTTGATATGACATAATTTCAAACATCTTATAAAAATTGTCATTTTAAAACCAATTAAACAATTCTCTTTAAGCACCTAACAGGATATAAAAATATACCATTTTATAATACCATGTATTTTATTTTAATTATGTATGTATTTTGTATTTACATCATCTTTTATTTTTATGAAATCATGGTTTTTATCCCCTTTCTTAAATTGTACGAATTCCCTAAATTACACAATGAATTTTTGAAAATCTTTTGCTCAGTATGTTATTATCATATCTCTTTGAATAAAACTAAAAAGTTATTGAAATTTTTTCTCACATCATGAGTCTCTAAATGTTAAAAATGTCTATAGGATTAAGTTATGTAACAATTAATATATGTTGGTCAAACAAAGAGCATATATTACAAACGTATTCCAATTGTTAACATAAAATGTTAGGAAGGAGGTGAAATTGGAACTTTCAGTGAGACAAATGGGGAAGTTTGGTGACTTGATTAAAGGTAATTTCATGGACAACAGTATTTTAAATTGCCTTAGTGATTTTCACTTAGGAGGCTTTTTCATCTTGGGGTAATGCTCAATGTATAGTAAGAGTCTGCCTAAGTGAAAATTGTTATTTATATGGAAGAATGTTAAATTATTTAAACAATGGCAAAGGGTTGAATGTAAATGTTGAGAAGTGAAACCCTCACCATTGGCACTCGTTCAGGCAGAGTAGTTTTAAAAATAGAAGTTTACAGTCACAGAAATTGAATCCTGTGAAAGCATTCACAGCATCATACCTCTTAGAAGATCTTTGTGGTGAGCTCTGGGCTGGGAAATGTGGCATTATGTTTGTCACTACAGCTGCTGCTGGCTGCTGATAATACAGCACAATGGCCAAAGACTTAGAATCTGGAACTCAATTACCTGGGTTCAGTTCCTGCTTTGCACATAGCTGAGTGACCTTTGGTGAGTTATTGAAACTTCCTGAGCCTCTGCTTCTCTATAGATAATTCAGAGACAGAAAAAGAGGAAAGCAGCCCTGATATTTGGAAAAAGAACTTGAAATCTTACAGCTAGGTCTTAGTATTGGTAGGAGCTGGACTGACAATCACAGCAAAGCCTTGGTGTTCTCCTATGAGACATAAAGAAATCTCACAGAACATCAACATCAGACAAGATGATTCTGGACCTGTGTAAAGATAAAGACAGGCAAGTTGACAATGTTGACTAAGTGCAGATAAAAGAAAAAGGTCAGTGTAAAAACCACAAAATGTCTGCTGATATGAGTGATTGCTGCTTTGTTAGCTTTATTATAGTCTGCCCTCCATTTAGAAAACATTTATTAATATACCTAATCATAGACTTATTCCTGTCCCTTCACAGTACCCAGTCCAGTCTGCCTTCTGGAGCTCTCTTCCAAAATCATCTTGCCTAAGCCTGAATCCCATAATAAGTCCTTCCAATCACTCTCTGAGGTGCCCCATGATTCTCCACGTACATCCCTCACTGCCACAAGTATTAAATCCAACTCATGGAACTATAGGCGTTCCCTTTGTGGTCCTTGCTTGGAAGGCATGTCAGTGGTGATGATAATAGTGGCATCTTCCTTATAAGGTTTTCATGATGATAAAATTAATTAGTGTGTGGAAAGTGCTCAGAACGTAACTGACTGGAAAAAAAAAAGTGCTGTTAGTTGTCCCTCTGTCCCTTCTTCCTGGGCCTTTTGATCTGTGCTCTTCTGGGTTCTTCTCCTGAAGAATTGCCATCCTCTACCATACCCCTGCTCTCAGGTTACTCAGGCCACGGATCAATAACTCAGTTGTCTGCTCATGTCAGGAAGAGCCCATGATAACTAGTTCCTCGTCAAATAATTGCCCTTCTAGTTTCTTGAACTTGGCACACACTTTTCACCTATTTGGTAGAGGTTAGTGGAATACTGCCTTGTTAATGATAAAATTGGGGCTATCTTGAAAAAATAGCCCTGTCTGTCATCTTCATCAACTGATTTGCTCAGCAATCAACAACGCTGTGGACATAGAGTTGAACAAACATAGTCCTTGCACTTAGTACTGCTGTGATCTCATGCTGTGCTTTTGTGCTGAGTAGCTATGTTTGCAACGTTTGACAGGTCTCTCTCTGCCCCCGTGAACCACTTGGCCTTGTCTCCATATGGAGCAGTTCTTACTACATGCTTGCAAATGCTGAGGATTTCCCTGCCATGTTATGAACAGTCTTATTTCTACCCTGTCCAGTTCCAATCCCTTTCTTTATATCACACTCATTATCTAGGTGCTGCTGCTCCGTGTTTAGTAGACTAGACTGAATGGGATATAGCGAATTGATACCCAAGAACTGAAAGAGATGGAAGCACTTGTCTTTATGCAAAAAATTAGTTTAATATACATACTGTGAAGATACATTGACAACAAAAAAAATGGCATTTAATTATATAATTTAGGAAGATTTAGACTAGAGCAATTCATTAGAAAAACATACAATTTGAAATTCTCAGGTAAAAATGGGCATGCTAATAGAATGTACATTATAAAGTGGTTGGGAAGATGAAGATGAAGTAGTTGGTGAGAACTTAAGGTAACGTGCTTAGCTGGTTGCTTCCGTGTGCTAATCACTCAATATATCTGTGATAGGTAGAAAAATGGTTCCCCAAAGATGGTCATGCCCTGATCCCTGTAATCTGCATATATTACTTTACATAGCAAAAGGGATTTGGCAGATGTGATTAAGTATTTGAGACTGGAAGATTATCCTGAATTTTCTTGTGGCCCAATGTAATCACAAGGGTCATGATAAAAGGGAGGCAGGAGGGTCAGAGTCAGATAAAGAGATTAAGTCACAGAAGTAAAGGTCAGAATGACTGGGCCATGAACCAAGGAATGCAGACAACCTCTAGAAACTAAAAAAAGCAAGGATAGCATTCTATAGCACCTCCAGAAGGAATGCAGCCCTGATTACACCTTGATTTTAGTCCAGTGAGACTTCTGACTTCTGGAAATAGATGATATTAATTTGCATGGGTTAAATCATTGTGTGTGGTAAGTTGTTACAGCAGCAATAGGAAATTAATACAATACACTAAACAGATTTTTTATTATTATTGATAGTATTGTATTAGTTTGCTGGGGCTGAAATAACACAGTACCAGAGTGGCATAAATAGCATAAATCTATTTTCTCACAGTTCTGAAAGTTAGAAGTCCAAGATCAAGGTGTGAACAGGGCTGGTATTTCCTAAGGACTCTGAGGGAAGGATCTGTTCCGGGCCTCTGTTTAGCTCATAGATGCCTGTCTTTCCCAAGCCTCCACAGCATCTCCACCTCTGTGCATGTTTCTGTGTTCAAGTTTCCCCGTATTATAAGGACGCCAGTCATATTGTATATAGGCCCACTCTAATGAATTCACTTTAACTTGATTACATCTGTAAAGATCCTGGCTTCAAATAAGGTCACACTCTGAAGTACTGGGGCTTAGGCTTTCAACGTTTAAATTTTGAAGGAAACAAAAAATCCATAATCATTGTTTTGTGCCTTTAAAGCAAATCCTAAAATTTTAGAGCAATGACTATATTCTCAGAAACAAAAAGTATCTAAGGATTATTTTAGTCGTAACTTTGATTTGACAAAGGTGATTCTTTTAAAGGACACCATAATTGGGAATGTGCTGTATTGCAGAGGGACCATGACTTATTGGTTTAATAAGAAGTAGTATCATTGATTCTACCACTGGGATACAACCTCAATTATGGGAAATGGCAATTTAGCAGTTCTAAAAACAACTCCCTTTTATAATTATAGAGAATTTCCTTTAGTGGCATCAGAAGTTCTATAAGTCACTCATGTTTTCCCATGAGGTCCCCATAAGTATGCGGTTACTACATCATTTTGAGCATCCCCGATAATTCTGCAGGTAGTAGGTAAAATAGCTTGTCTAACATAGCACGTGGCAGCTGTATCCTACTACAGAAGAAGGAAACCAAATCATAATTAACAAAAATCTGACTTTCATTAGATTTGTCCTGGATCAGTGGGGCGTAAAACTTCAAGGACTCCTTTGAGAATGTATATTACAAAAGAAAAAAAAAAGATTAGTTTCTCATGAGAAGAGTTTGTGTGCATGCCTGTGTGTATGTGTGTTTGTGTGCGTGTGCACGCGCACTTAAGTTTGCATAATTTTCAAACAATTTGAAGAACTTTTAAAGCTTATTTATGGAGCCCCCAAGGTCCCACTCTATAACCTTTTATCTGAAGCAGTTTTTCCTCAAGGCCTCTCGTTTGCTTTAGCCACCTTTCAAGATGTCCTATCTTTATTGGCTTCTAGAGCCTTCATTCTCATCCGATAGGCTCTAGGCTCATCTCTTGATTCCAAGCCAGTACCTGCTACCTAGTGTTTGACCTGACTGGTCCTTTAAAACTTCTCTGAATGCTGCACTTCATCAACTGCCTCCTCCTTGTTTCAACCCGGGGAACTGTAAATCCCTATATATTTTTGGTCACCTCTGTTTAGTGGAGTAATTTTTTTTTTTTCAAAATTTTAGAGTATAATCTGTAGTGTATGTATAACTAGTAATTTTGCTTATATCTTCTTTCCCTGAAACATAAAATGTACCCTTAAAATGCATTTTTATAAGAAAGATAATGTATTTTTAAATCGTATATATTTTATTATCCTTTAAAAAATACAGTATGATTTTAAAAATTTTTTAATAAAATTGCTATTTGCTTTATGAGTTCCAATATTTCTTGTACTGGACAAATCATACACTAATATAATATCTTATGACTGCTGTTTACATTAATATTATATAGTTGTATGTTTTATTTGGATGGATATTCCATGTGTTCTTGCATAAATAAGTAAGGAATAAAATGTTATTGTTTCATTTCTGAAGCTATTAAAAAACAATGGTAACCAAATATTGAAAATCTTGAGGAAAATGTAGCAAAGAACTTAACTTGGAATGAATTATGTTGCATGTTACCTTTGCTCTAGCTATTCCTCTGCCTGGAATGTCTGGTCTATCTTTGCTTTCTCCCAGTTAAAACTCCATCAATGAAGCATTTCCTGAAACCCTCAGGCCTATAGGGCCCTATGAATCCAGGGATTCTCTGTTTCAGCAATGACCACATAAGGCTACAATCACTAATTTCTTCTTCCTCTCCTCCTAGTCTTGCTAGTCATCCTCCTCCTTCTTTTTTGTCAGTTTTTCTCACTGTACTCTGAGATTCTTGAAGTCAAAGTTGGTTATTGTTTGAAACCCCAGCATTAAGCACAGTACCCATTACTCAGTAGGCACTCAAATACGCCTGTTCGATTAAGAAAAGAAAGCTCAAGCCAGTAAAGAAATGACTGGGGAGAGGAGTTGGAATATTCTTTGTATTATAACACATTTTTCTTGTCATTGTCACTATGAAATAATTTTAGAAGGCCATATGAAGAAATTTACTAGCAGGATGTAATAAACATCCTTCAGATTCAGAGCACTGGTTAGATAGATATAGTGGGGAAAAAGACTAACACTTCTTTCCGTAAATTTACCAAGTAGTTGGAAATACAGCCTCAAACTACGAGAAAGAAAAGTTACAAAATTCAAAGGAACTTAAAAATATGGAAGGCAATATTGTGCAGGCAATTTACATATATATTGAGAATCTGTAATAAAGGTGATTGTACTCACTGTAGTAGAAGGAGCAGAAAATAATGAAAAGTAAAAATACAGAGATATTTCACTTTGTGTTGCAACATCAAATAAAGTGCCACTTCTGCATTGATAAACAAAGTGCTTACGGGTATCCATTTCTCGCCTTTCATCCTGAAGAATGAAAGTGGGAAGTCGTAAAAACATAACTCAAGGCAAGTGAAACATAAACATGGACTACTGTCCTGGACTGCAAATGCCTCGTGCTAATGAATGATAGAGATGAAATGAAAACATTTGATTGGCATATGGCTCTATACATTTCCAGCCTAATTAATATAGAGAATATGAAAGAGAAATAAGAGGAGGATTTATTTCTGTGATCAATTTTCTAAGATTTTAAAATAATTTCTACCTGAAATATTATTTAAAGTAATGTGCTCTTGAAAAAGCATAAACTCTGAAGTCTTCCAAATTCCCTGAAACCTTTGGTGAATTGTCAACCAGATATGTCTTTCCAAAATGAAATACTTGCATATATACATAAACACATATACATATACACACACACACATATATAGATGTATACATACATATGCACACATATATGTAGATATTCTCTATGAAAAATGTTTATTATAAGTCACAACCAATTTATAAAAAATATGTCCCTAGATATAACTTGAGTATAATAAAAACTAACTGATTTAACTCATTTGGACAAATTAAGGAAAACTAGTTTGAAGTTGCTTATGTATTTTAGGAAATATGCTTTCATTTATATCTATATATACTAATGTGAACTATCAAAAGGAAGAAATAATTATTAGGAATCCTATTTTAATAAATATGAATGGTTGGTTGTCAGTTTATATACATAAACATTGGATTGGGCAGCTTTTGCCTTCATTATGTGCTGTTTTAGAAAATGAATGACTCTCTGTTGGGTATGAAAAATGGTATTTGATTATTTACTTCCAAACTGCGAAACTAAAAATTGGTATAGTCCCAGTGTAAAGAGAGATATTAAGTCAATGAAGTTTGTAAAAATGACTTTGTGAAGAAATTTTGATTATGAACTTTGGTTCTGATTTGGCATCAGCAATACTGGATTTGTAGGCACAGCAAATGTTGTACCCTGGCCCTTGCTATGTCTGGCTGTCTCTGTCAGTCTCTTGGTGCCTGTCTTGAGTGCCCACTGCTGAGAGATTCCAGGCTGGCCTGCACAGACTGCTCTGCCTAGAGACTCGCCAGAAGCAGCTGACTTTTGCTGTCCTTCCCATTAGCTTCTTTCATTTCTTAAAACCCAGTTAAGTTCATCTCCTTCCATATCTTTTTACCTTTATGCAGTATCCTCTTTAGTCCTGTTCCTGTACTTCAGCCTTTTCTATTGCTTTTTTCATTATGGGGGGAGTGGGGGGTGGTAATCTTCTTCTTTTTCTTTTCTTTTTTTTTAAATTTACTTTTTATCTTTCTATTTATTCCTGTCTCGTCCCATGTACAAGAGAATATAAATAGATGAAATCATGATAGTGATGCCTAATAAGACAGAAATTCCTTTATGTTAAGGAAAATTATGCCATAGATTTTAATGCAAAGTTAGATATAATCAAAATATAGTATCATTAACTTTCAAAATATTCTTACTTCCCTAGGGTTTGTTTTGGATTGTCTCACCTGCCTCGTAATTTTCTTCTAATTAAGTCTATATTGTTTTCTCAAACGAACATTTAAGAGGAAATATAAAATTTGGTCATTTGGTTAATGAGTACATTATATTATTATCTAATGATTGTAAATATTAATATTTCAGCTAAAATAAGGCCTGATTAAGCAATTGATTATTAGCATGAGAACTTAAGCACCTTTTGTACATTTTTCCCCATTGGGAAATGGGTTACATGCTGTAGACAAGTACTTAAACACACACTCTTGGAAGCTAACCTGCTTTGTATTTGGAAATGTCTGAATTATATTAAATTTCTAATGATGAACTGAATACCTTATACCTTTTATTGGATGTGACCAAACAAAACTGCATAATTTCAGTTCTTATCAACCTGTGCACATTCTACACCTTTAATGTGCAGCTGGTTAGTTTGAATAATCAAAATAAATAATTTGTCAAATAAATAAGCCCTTCTTTCCTCATTTATTGCTTTAGTAAGTCAAATTTTTATTCATAGCAAATGTGTTTTAACTGAAAAACTTGGGGGATTGGGTGCTTTAGTCTTTCAATCATCTGTTCTTAATATAGGTAAGGCGAAATACTTGAAAGTTACTCTCCTCTTGATAATTTCTGCTTCTTTGTTGCTTGCAAATTTCTCCCCATTGTTCCATCCTCTTCTCCTCACCCCATTTGCTTTTCTTTTGAAATCATGAGCCCTTAGAACTGACTTGATTTTTTTCAGCTGTAAGTCAGGGACCACTGTACTGTCAGTAAATAGAATAATCTGAAGTTTGAATTTTGAAAAGTTGAAACACTTGAACTCTGACTCTTCTCCACCTTGGGGCTCTAACACCTCCACATTCTGAAACATGATGTTCTTTCTGAAGTGTTTTCAGGTTTTCAACAATTGTTTATTTTCTTTATCAAGTTTTCTTAAGAAAAGGTAAACTTAAAAACTTGATAGAGACTAACAGCTTAAATCTTGGGCTCAAAGCTGAATTGCTGGATTCAAAGATAAGTTCTGCCACTTTCCAGCTGTGTGACTTTGGCAGGATATTATGACTCGTGTGTGCTTTGGTCTTCTCGTTAGTAAAACTGGAATGATTAGAGAATTGTCATGGGGATTTAATGAGTTAATACAAGTAAAGTATCTAGATTAGTGCCTTTCCCATTCAAATTGCTCAATAAATGTTAGCTCTCATCATTATCTCTGCTTAGAAAAGTGTATAGTTGATGATGGCCATATAGCAAATATTATTCAATGAATGATGGATTGCCTCTATGTACTGTCAGCACCTGGTGCATTTTTAGCGCTTTTAAGTTGAGTTGCTTAAAGGTATCGGACATTCAAAAACTGTCTTAGAGTAGATAAAGTTCAAGTTACTTTTTCTTCTAGCATTTTATATAGAACAAATCAAATACACATCCCTTATTTGTATGTACAATAGTGAAACAGTAACTTTCCTAAATGGTGACCCTGGTCATAAACATAAGAAATGACTAGTCTTTTGAATTGAATTTCAGCAATGTTAATACTATTCTACCATTATTAAATATACTGTTTGTATTAGTCCATTCTCAGCTGCTAATAAAGAGATACTTGAGACTGTGTAATGTATAAAAGAAAGAGGTTTAATGGACTCACAGTCCCACATGGCTGAAGAGGCCTCACAATCATGGCAGAAGGAGAATGAAAAGCAAAGTCACATCTTACATGGTGGCAGGCAAGAGAGCTTGTGCAGAGGAACTCCCATTTATAAAACCATCAGATCTTGTGAGACTCATTCATTACCACGAGAATAGTATGGGGGAAAACCACCTCATGATTCATTTATTGCCACCTGGCTCCACCTTGACACTTGGGGATTATTACAATTCAAGGTTAGATTTGGGTGGGGACACAGCTAAACCATATTTATTCCTCCCCTGGACCCTCAAAAATCTCATGTCCTCACATTTCAAGATCAATTCTGCCTTCCAACAGTCCCCTAAATTCTAAACTAATTTCAGCATTAATTCAAAAGTCCACAGTCCAAATTCTCATCTGAGACAATGCGAGTCCCTTCCTCCTAATAGCCTGTAAAATCAAAATCAAGTTAGTTACTTCCCAGATACAATGGAGGTATAGGCATTGGATAAATACACCAACTCCAAATGGAAGAATTAGCTACAGGCCCCATGCAAGTCTGAAATCCAACAGGGCAGTCGATTCTTAAAGCTCCAAAATGATCTCCTTTGACTTCGTGTCACACATCCAGGTCATGCTGATGCAAGAGGTAGGCACACACAGACTTGGACAGCTCCATCCCTGTGGCTTTGCAGGGTACAGCTCCCTCTTAGCTGCTTTCACAGTCTGGCATTGAATGTCCATGGCTTTTCCAAGCACACATTGCAAGCTGTCAGTGGATCCACTATTCTGGGTTCTGGAGGATAGTGGCCATCTTCTCACATCTGCACTAGGCAGTGCCCCAGTGGGGCTTCAACCCCACATTTCCCTTCTGCACTGCCCTAGTAGAGGTTCACCATGAGGGTCCTGCCCCTGCAGCAAACTTCTTCGTGGGCATCCAGGCATTTCCATACATCCTCTGAAATCTAGGCAGAGGTTTCCAAACCTCATTCTTGACCTCTGTGCATCTGCAGGCTCAACACCTCATGGAAGCTGCCAAGGCTTGGGGCTTGCACTCTGTAAAGCCATGGCCCAATGTGTACCTTGGATCCTTTTAGCCATAGCTAAAGTAGCTGGGACTTAGGACACCAAGTCCCTAGGCTACACATAGAAGCAGGGCTGTGTGCCTGCCCCACAAGACCATTTTTTTTCTCCTATGCCTCTGGGCCTGTGGCGGGAGGGGCTGCTGTGAAGGTCTGTGCCATGCTCTGCCAAGACATTATTCCCATTGTCTTGGTGATTAACATTTGGCTCCTTGTTACTTACGCAAATTTCTGCAACTGCTGGAATTTCTCCCCAGAAAATGGGTTTTTATTTTCTACTGCATTGTCAGGCTGCAAATTTTCCAAACTTGTATGCCCTGCTTCTCCTTTAAACCTAAGTTCCAATTTCAGATCATCTCTCTCAAGTTCAAAGTTCCACAGATCTCTAGGGTAGGGGCAAAATGCTGCCAGTCTCTTCTCATAGACAGAGTGACATTTACTCTAGTTCCCAAAAAGTTCCTCGTCTCCATCTGAGACCACCTCAGCCTGGACCTTATTGTCCATATCACTATCAGCATTTTGGCCAAAGCCATTCAGCAAGTCTCTAAGAAGTTCCAAACTTTGCCACATCTTCCTGCCTTCTGAGCCCTCCAAGTCTCTAGGAAGTTCCAAACTTTCCTAGATTTTCCTATCTTCTTGTGAGCCCTCCAAACAGTTCCAACTTCTGCCTGTTACCCAGTTCCAAAGTTGCTTCCACATTTTTGGGTATATTTACAGCAGCACCGCACTCTACCAGTACCAATTTACTGTATTAAGTTCTTTCTCCTGCTGCTAGTAAAGGCATACCCAAGACTGGGTAATTTATAAAGGAAAGAGGTTTAATGGACTCACAGGTCCACATGGCTGGGGAAGCCTCACAATCATGGCTGAAGATGAATGAGGAGCAAAGTCACATCTTACATGGCAGCAGGCAAGAGAGCTTGTGCAGGGGAACTCCCATTTATAAAACCATCAGATCTCATGAGACTTATTCACTACCATGAGAACAGTATGGGGGGAAATCACCCCCATGATTCAGTTTTCTCCACCTGGCCCTAACCTTGGCATTTGGGGGTTATTACAATTCAAGCTGAGATTTGGGTGGGGTCACAGCCAAACCATATCACTACTATTCATACATATGTTAAAGGTACCGATATGAACAGTCCCCTGAATTTTCAATGCCTGCAGTAACATATTTATTAATACATATACAGAATTATAAGTATATATTGATAAACTAAAAAAGGTCTTCTCAACTACTTGATACTGGAGCAAATGTTCCCTGTCTACATTTGACTCAATTTAATCCTGGTGTACCTTCTCACTATACAGATCCTCTATCACAGAAAGTGGGGTTTTGTACTTCTTAGGATGAATTGTTTCACAAAAGATACTAACTAATTTTCCTTCATGCTCTTATCTTCATAATAGTGAGAAATACCATACACTTTGATGATTTATTTACAGTTTTCTGAAAGTATTTTAATAGGCAGATGGAGTTTGACTCAAGGTAATTACACCAAATTGCAAGGCACTTGCAGAAAGAAATACCAACTTTTAAATCATGTCTTATAATTAGGAATTGCCAAAGGCAGTTGGTGAAAGAGGAATCTTGGTAAAAATACCTCCATTCTCACCAAAACGCAATCTTAGCTTTCACAATGGCAAAGGAATTACACTCCTTACATCCTCCTCCATTTGAAACTATTTTTTAAAAATTCAAATATCAATACTGTGAATATGATTTTTTGTATGCTTGTTTCTTGGATTATTGATGATCTCATTCTTTGTAATCAAAATGCATCATTCTTAAGAAAGATATAGAAAAGAGTACAAAATGTCAAGGTGAAATTTGCATCGGGAAAGACAGGAAAGTTACATAAGGAGTTCAGCTTGCCCCAGCAAGAATAAAAATAAAATAAAATGAAACATCATATGAGGACATTTGAGTTGGAAGTGTCCTATAAACTCCTAGAAATATACAGAAAGTTAATTTATTCCTGGTTCTTTAAAAATATTTAGGGCATGGAACTCCACTATAAGTGTAATTCGTTATGAAAAGACTCAGTTTCTTTCTTAAGACTAAAATCTTTGAGAAATACTCAGAATAGTTTGGCTTAATATTTTATTCCGCTACAGAATCATGATACAAAAAGGCTCCTTGGTATTTTAAAACCATTGCCATTTTCAAAATCCCATGCATACATTTTTAACAGTTTTCAAAAGAAATATGTAAAGTGCTATTCTCCCGCTAAGGAGTGAAATTAATGATTGGTGGGCCACATTTCAACAGACCATTTACCTTCCATTGTCATAAATATTAGCTGTCTGACAGGACACTATTAACCAGTCCCCAGGAAACTAATTGCTGAAAAGCCTTACAGGTGCTTTTATAACCAGAGTTATAAAAATACAGAAAACTCTTAACAGCAAGAGCACACGAACTCTTGACAGTCTAGTAAGAAATTCAACATTTTCCTGCTCTTGAGAGATAGATTGTAGTACAGTGTCACTGACAGATCAGTTTACCTTTTAGTACAGTACAAAAAGAGAGGGTTGTAGGCTGTCAACTACTTCAGGAAGTAAGAAAAAAAAATGTATGTAGCCTTGAGGTACAGTTGAAAAGAATTGTGCCTACTGGATTCTGTGGAACATTCAGTTATGTTTTAATTTCTTGGAATGTTAGGTACTGACTTCTTATTTTTAAAAAGATTTTTTTTCTGCAATGTTCTAGTTTTGTCCAGGGAATATTAAAATAGTGTAAAATTTCTAGTTCTCTACAATATCAAAGGAAATAGCTATATTGGATTTGATAAAATACAAGTTTTATAACAGTAGTAATTTTCCAAATTTTTGCTATAGAATTTCATTGCATGTGGGTTATGAATTTCTCATTGTTGTCTATAATCCTCTATTTTGAGCAGTAACTTGTCATCCATCTTAGAGTTTATTGCCTTTTCATTAAGATGTTATTTAAACCATATAAAATTTCATAAGTCAGTTTCATAAATAAAGATTTTCTTTTTTTTAAGAATAAAGATTTTCTTAACCCATTCCAAATAGATTATATTTCTTTAGTTCACATATGTCCTCTCAGGGTGATGTCATATCTATCAATTTACATTTGGATTTTTCTTGAATCTCTGATAACTCCCTCTTATATGCAACTGCAATATTGTGTGATCTATAATAGTTTGGTGTGTGCTCAACAGGCCTCTCTCACACTACATGCTCCATTTGAAAGTCATTCCTTATGGCATTTATATATAGTTTTAACCATTATATTTTTGGTTTATGTATATTTTTCAGTACATGTATGCTTTCAGGTATTGTTTCTAATTTCTAGGAATTGAACCAAATTTAACATTGAAAGAGGTTAGGTTTTACCTTGTTTCTTGTTTAGAATTGGTGATCCTGACTTTTAATAATCGCCATTCTGACTGGTGTGAGATGGCATCTCACTGTGGTTTTGATTTGCATTTCTCTAATGACCAGTGATGATAAGCTTTTTTTCATATATTTGTTGGCTGCATAAATGTCTTATTTTGAGAAGTGTCTGTTTATATCCTTTGCCCACTTTTTGATGGGGTTGTTTTTTTCTTGTACATTTATTTAAGATCCTTGTAGATTCTGGATATTACATCTTTGTCAGATGAGTAGATTGAAAAAATTTTCTCCCATTCTGTAGGTTGCCTGTTCACTCTGATGCTGGTTTCTTTTGCTGTGCAGAAGCTCTTTAGTTTAATTAGATCCCATTTGTCAATTTTGGCTTTTGTTGCAATTGTTTTTAGTGATTTAGTCATGAAGTCTTTGCCCATGCCTATGTCCTGAATGGTATTGTTTAGGAAAAAGTCAGAAAACAATAGATGCTGGCGAATTTGTGGAGAAATATGAACACTTTTACACTGTTGGTGGGAGTGTAAATTAGTTCAACCATTGTGGAACACAGTGTGAAGACTCCTCACTGATCTAGAACCAGATATATCATTTGACCCAGCATTCCCATTACTGGATATATACCCAAAGGATTATAAATCATTCTACTATAAAGACACATGCACACTTATGTTTATTGCAGCATTATTTACACCAGAAAAGATTTGAAACCAATTCAAATGCCCATCAATGATAGACTGGATACAGAAAATGTGGCACATATACACCATGGAATACTGTGTAGCCATAAAAAAGGATAAGATAATGACCTTGAAAGAACATGGATGTACTGGAAGCCGTCATTCTCAGCAAACTAACACAGGAACAGAAAACCAAACACTGAAGGTTCTCACTCATAAGTGGGAGTTTAATAATGGGAAGACATGGACACAGGGAGGGGAACATCACACACCGGGGCCTGTGTGGGGGTTGGGGGAAAGATGGGGGAGAGCATTAGGACAAATACCTAATGCATGTGGGGCTTAAAACCTAGATGACAGGTTGATAGGTGCAGCAAACCACCATGGCACATGTATACCTATGTAACAAACCTGCACATTCTGCACATGTATCCTGAACTTAAAGTAAAATTAAAAAAAAGAATTTGTGATCCTAATAAATCCCATATAATCTCATTAATTTTTTTGAATTCATGTTTATATCAAATTCATGTATACTGACTTAGAACAAATAAATACTTTTAAATTTCAGAGTAATATAATCACATTAATCATAAAACCTCACATGATTATGGTATATATGTGAATATGCTGAAATATTTTCTTAGCTAGAATGTTACTTATTTTGAGTGATACAAAAATGAATAAATTGGAGTTAGAATTAATTTATTATCAAATTACATTGATCACAACTTCCTATTCCCAACTGAAGCTTTGTTAGTTCTTGTCTGGACAAGTCTGAATAGTTTTGTTTTTTCTGGGTTTAGTATTTTAAAGAAAATGAGATCTGGAAATTTTAACCTTAAATCCTAGGATTGTATTTTTTATTCCAGGTCCTCAAATAAAATTTCCAAGATTTCCTCACATGTCTAGATTTTATGGAGTAAATGAAGACTTTTCTTCTAATAGACTATAATTGATAAGCTATAAAACCAGTTATATCACATAAAAACATCATAACTCTTGTCCAAAGACATAATTTATCTTCACATTTAAGGTCAGGATTTTTTTCTGGATCATACTAACTTGAATCATATTCATTGTTCACTTGAGTGATTATCAGCTAATTTGCTGATTAGGAAAATCTGGTATAAAGAACACATGTTCTGAATGAAACTGGAGGACATTATGTTAAGTGAAATAAGTCAGGCATGGAAAGATAAGCTTCACATGTTCTTAATTATTTGTAGGAGCTTAAAATTAAAACAATTGAACTCATGGAGATAGGCAGCAGAATGATGGTTACCAGAGGTTGGGAAGGGTAGTGGGGAGGGGTGGGGAAAGTGGGGAGAGTTAATGGCTACAAAAACATAGTTAGATGAATAAAATCTAGTGTTTGATAGCACAACAGGCCAACTATAGTCAATTATAATTTATTGTACATTTAGAAATAAGAGTATAAGTGGTTTATAACACAAGAAATGGTAAGTACTTGAGGTGATGGGTACCCCGTTTCCCCAGATGTGATTATTACATGCTGTATGCCTAAGTCAAAATATAGCATGTACTCCATAAACATATACACCTACTATGTACCCATAAAAATTAAAAATTAAATAAAATTTTCATGTAAAAAATAAATGTTTTAAAAAAGGAACACACGTTCATGTAGTGACATTTTCTCATATTTAACATGATGAGGATTACCTAAAATTTAGGTTTGGCAAAAAAAAAAAAAAAAAATCCCCCAACAAAAAAACCTATGTTTTAATTGTTGCATTCAAGTAGTACAAAATTGTATGTAAATAAAAATTATAATAAAAGCTAAGAAAAATTTTAAATAACACTTTAATATAATTCAAACAGGTTTTAGTATCAAATATGTGTCATAAAACATGGATGACGTATAAGTTGATATTTATATTGTATTTAGTAATTATAAATAAAAAAACTAACCACCCAGAGAATGAAAATAAGCTGTCATTGCCACTGCTGAGTTCACCTGTAATCTCTTCCAAAGTTTAATTTTTCCACTATAATTTTGCATACTAAACTTAATTTAGTATGATTATTGTATGAACACTGCACGTCTTCATATTTGGTGGTAAAAATTACCCTCATATTTAAAATCATATAAAAAAAAGTCGAGAGTAAATACAATTGGCATTTGCTGAACATTTGCCATGATAGGGGAGGCAGAATTATGCAGTGGAGGCAGACCGCCATAATTATATCCCAGCTGCAGCACTTTCAGTAACTCTCTTTCCTCTTCTGTAGTATTAAAAGGTGATAGGTAATAATGTATACCTTCGAGCAGCACTGTCCAGTGGGCCTTTCTGTGGTGATGGCATTGTCTATATTCTGTGCTGTCTAACACAGCAGTCATCGGGCACATGTGCCAGTTGAAGTGAAAAACTAAATTTTACTTTTGATAATTTAAACTTAAGTAAGTACATGGGGCTAGTGTCAACTGTATTGGACAGCACAGATTTGAAAGAGTGTTGTTCAAGTGTTAAATGAGATAATTCATAGATAGTGCTTAAAATAATGCCCAGGGTAGGGAGGAGAATATTTTCCTCACCCATTGCTAAGTCTGGGGCTAAGTCTCCTATAACAAAGGCAGATTAACCAAAGTAATGCACACAGATTTATTTAAGTTTAGTGTAACACAAAAGCTTTCCTAAATAAAGACATCAGAGAAACAGATAAACTGGTGTATTTTTTTGTGCTAGGTTTGGTGAAGAGGTGGTTAGTCAGGGAGAAGTGTGATTAGACAAAAGGGTATGACCTAATGTTCATAAATAGGTGGGGAGTGGTTTAGCAAGACCTGTTTGTCCAGAGCCTTCTCTGTGTCTTCTTTTTTTTTATTATTATACTTTAAGTTTTAGGGTACATGTGCACAACGTGCAGGTTTGTTACATATGTATACATGTGCCTTGTTGGTGTGCTGCACCTATTAACTCGTCATTTAACATTACGTATATCTCCTAATGCTATCCCTTCCCCCTCCCCCCACCCCACAACAGTCCCCCGTGTGTGATGTTCCCCTTCCTGTGTCCATGTGTTCTCATTGTTCAATTCCCACCTATGAGTGAGAACATGCAGTGTTTGGTTTTTTGTCCTTGTGGTAGTTTGCTGAGAATGATGGTTTCCAGCTTCATCCATGTCCCTACAAAGGACATGAACTCATCATTTTTTGTGGCTGCATAGTATTCCATGGTGTATATGTGCCACATTTTCTTAATCCAGTCTATCATTGTTGCACATTTGGGTTGGTTCCAAGTCTTTGCTATTGTGAATAGTGCCGCAATAACCATACGTGAGCGTGTGCCTTTATAGCAGCATGGTTTATAATCCTTTGGGTATATACCCAGTAATGGGATGGCTGGGTCAAATGGTATTTCTAGTTCTAGATCCCTGAGGAATTGCCACACTGACTTCCACAATGGTTGAACTAGTTTACAGTCCCACCAACAGTGTCGAAGTGTTCTTATTTCTCCACATCCTCTCCAGCACCTGTTGTTTCCTGACTTTTTAATGATTGCCATTCTAACTGGTGTGAGATGGTATCTCATTGTGGATTTGATTTGCATTTCTCTGATGGCCAGTGATGATGAGCATTTTCTCATGTGTCTTTTGGCTGCATAAATGTCTTCTTTTGAGAAGTGTCTGTTCATATCCTTCGCCCACTTGTTAATGGGGTTGTTTTTTTCTTGTAAATTTGTTTGAGTTCTTTGTAGATTCGGGATATTAGCCCTTTGTCAGATGAGTGGATTGCAAAAATTATCTCCCATTCTGTAGGTTGCCTGTTCACTCTGTGGTAGTTTCTTTTGCTGTGCAGAAGCTCTTTAGTTTAATTAGATCCCATTTGTCAATTTTGTCTTTTGTTGCCATGGCTTTTGGTGTTTTAGACATGAAGTCCTTGCCCATGCCTATGTCCTGAATGGTATTGCCTAGGTTTTCTTCTAGGATTTTTATGGTTTTAGGTCTAACATTTAAGTCTTTAATCAATCCATCTCGAATTAATTTTTGTATAAGGTGTAAGGAAGGGATGCAGTTTCAGCTTTCTACATATGGCTAGCCAGTTTGCCCAGCACCATTTATTAAATAGGGAGTCCTTTCCCATTTCTTGTTTTTGTCAGGTTTGTCAAAGATCAGATAGTTGTAGCTATGTGGCATTATTTCTGAGGGCTCTGTTCTGTTCCATTGGTCTATATCTCTGCTTTGGTACCAGTATCATGCTGTTTTGGTTACTGTAGCCTTGTAGTATAGTTTGAAGTCAGGTAGAGTGATGCCTCCAGCTTTGTTCTTTTGGCTTAGGATTACTTGGCGATGCGGGCTCTTTTTTGGTTCCATATGAACTTTAAAGTAGTTTTTTCCAATTCTGTGAAGAAAGTCATTGGTAGCTTGATGGGGATGGCATTGAATCTATAAATTACCTTGGGCAGTATGGCCATCTTCACGATATTGATTCTTCCTACCCATGAGCATGGAATGTTCTTCCATTTGTTTGTATCCTCTTTTATTTCATTGAGCAGTGGTTTGTAGTTCTCCTTGAAGAGGTCCTTCACATCCCTTTTAAGTTGGATTCCTAGGTATTTTCTTCTCTTTGAAGCAATTGTGAATGGGAGTTCACTCATGGTTTGGCTCTCTGTTTGTCCGTTATTGGTGTATAAGAATGCTTGTGATTTTTGTACATTGATTTTGTATCCTGAGACTTTGCTGAAGTTGCTCATCAGCTTAAGGAGATTTTGGGCTGAGACAATGGGGTTTTCTAAATATACAATCATGTCATCTGCAAACAGGGACAATTTGACTTCCTCTTTTCCTAATTGAATACCCTTTATTTCCTTCTCCTGCCTAATTGCCCTGGCCAGAACTTCCAACAATATGTTGAATAGGAGTGGTGAGAGAGGGCATCCCTGTCTTGTGCCAGTTTTCAAAGGGAATGCTTCCAGTTTTTGCCCATTCAGTATGATATTGGCTGTAGGTTTGTCATAGATAGCTCTTATTATTTTGAGATACATCTCATCAATACCTAATTTATTGAGAGTTTTTAGCATGAAGGGATGTTGAATTTTATTGAAGGCCTTTTCTGCATCTATTGAGATAATCATGTGGTTTTTGTCTTTAGTTCTGTTTATATGCTGGATTACATTTATTGATTTGCGTATGTTGAATCAGCCTTGCATCCCAGGGATGAAGCCCAGTTGATCATGGTGGATAAGCTTTTTGATGTGCTGCTGGATTCAGTTTGCCATTATTTTATTGAGAATTTTTGCATCAATGTTCATCAGGGATATTGGTCTAAAATTCTCTTTTTTGGTTGTGTCTCTGCCCGGCTTTGGTATCAGGATGATGCTGGCCTCATAAAATGAGTTAGGGAGGATTCCTTCTTTTTCTATTGATTGGAATAGTTTCAGAAGGAATGGTACCAGGTCCTCTCTGTGTCTTCTAAGAGAAGGATGTTCCTTTCCTCCGGTTATAGGGAGGGCATCTCAGGAATGAGGATATTATGACCTGCTTTATGAGAGAAGGGCAAATGGAAAGTAAGAGAGAAACTTCTGCTTCTGATATTTTCTCAGGTTCCAAGATGCCATATTTTGGGTAGTTGTTTTGAACCCTATCACAATCATATATTAATTATTATAGTAATAATCACCATGGTACCATTGGGATAAATGTTAAAAAGACATTTTTTCTTTTAATACTTATAGTAGTTATGCGAGATAGTTATTACTTTTTAGATGAGAAAATAAAAGCTTAATTAGGTTAAACAACTTACCTCAGATTATAAAGGATTCACACCAAGGACAGATGGATAATTAAACCTCTGTTCTTGCTAGTTCCTGTGCTTTTGCTAACATATATCATTGTATATGTTTGAGGATTGAGCTCAAGTAAGATGTTTGCTTTTGAAATTTTTGTTCTAACTATGTATGTATGAACACTTTTCTGGTTAACTAGCTCTGCCTTCCTTCTAGTTTGCATGAGTAGGTATTTTACTGTTACTGAGATCTTTCCATGGAAAAAACAGACAATAAACAAAATAAAAATATTTTGATGAACATTTACCTCAGTTACATTTCTTTAAAGATCCCAAGTGATATCTATTATAAAGATTTCAATTATAAGTTCAGGTAAAAAGTTTAGATAATATGTGTGGATTTGATTTTGTTACCCATTTTATTTCTCCTACACTATTTCAAGTAAATAGAGTTTCTTTGAATTGAACTATGTGAAAACTGTAATAATCTTAGGCTTTTACTAATAACTATTACACATCACACTCTGAAAGAAAACCACTTAAGGGCTAGTTCACATCTTAGAAACTCTCAAAGGTTATTTACTTGGTTCTAGAGAGAATGGTGTTCTGGTAAGGAGAATGATCTTTTGTGTATAATAACAAATCCTGACAAAACTCTACTGTACTTCAGAATAAAAACAAGATGTGTGATAGATTGTTGCTGACAAGTTGGTGATGACACCCACTGCATTTCATACAAATGTGTATATGTATTCACATTTGATGGCCAGGCATGACATTTTAATATATTTTTCAATTATTGTTTAAATAATTATGTTTAAAACCGCAGCAGAGACCATTCTTGGGGGTGATGACATGAGGACTATATTATCTCTGTGACTTATTACCAAAGACTATAGTGTATATCCTATTTCTATATTTTTTAAAAAACATCTCATTTAAGGTTAGAGATTAAAATTACTGTAAACTACAACTGAGTAGGCTTAGATTTGTATTCTTTTACATGTATATTTATTTTCTCTATCCTCCTCAGACTATAAACAATCATCTTCAGCCTCAAATATCTATGTTAATATTAGTAAGTAAAATGCTGTAAGGATATAGTTGTTTTTACACTTGATCTATATAGCACTCAAACATATTTGCCATTTAAAAATAAAAATTGAAAATAATATAAAGACCTCTGGATTATTATCAAAACAAAAATCCACAATGACTTGCATATAGGGCTCGTTGCAAACCCTATTACTTTCATTACTTTCAGTGAAGTGGAATTGATGTGGCACAAAAGAAATACAGGCAGAAGGGGTGGCAGATTTCCAAAGATGGGGAGAAATATCTGAGAAACCAAAACTACGTTTGGGGGTGTGTCTGTGTGTGTGTGTGTGTTTAAACAATAATAAAAATTGCACTAGCATTTCCAGAAGTGTGCTTTTTAGAACTCTGGATTGGTAATATGTTTACTGTTACATTAAAAAGTTAAAAAAAAAGTTTTAAACAATGATTTATTGTGTTTTTTTTTTTAAAAAAAACCTTTCCTATCTGAAAATGCTTGGTAAATGTCTCACAGAAGAAATATAATATGTGACATTTTTCCAGATGTTTTTAATGTCAGAAACTCCCACCCCAACTACCCCCACCTCATTTTTTTCTGTTGATCAATCTACAAGGTTATTTAGATTTAAAAATTTTATATATAGTTGGTCAAGAAAATTTCTAATAGTTTTATGCAAGTGTTGTTTTATTGCTTTGCATGAGTAACATTTAAACCAAAAAAATTGTAAATTGCTTTAAATTATTATATGCTTCACCTTTTAAATTCTTATCTTTCCGAAGTCATGAGATAATACTATACTTAGACCATGTCAGAGCTTGGGAGATAAACCTTACAATCTTTGTAGAGCTGGTTGTTCTCAAAAATATAATAGCTAACAAACTAAGCTTTATAATTTTGAATTTTCTCCCGCTTTCTTCTTCTACTATTTTTTTAATTCATAATCTGTTTCATAGATTGTTAAAGCAGAACTTGGGCAAAACCATAGGTTTTGAAGGAGTTGTTCTGAATATTATATTTTCTGTACTTCCACTACCCCTCCCAGAATAATGCACTGACAGATTTTGCAAGTAAAACTTAATGCAAGAGATCCAGCATTTACTGTCAGAATTTCAGATCAGGTTTCAGTATCATGATATTTGATAAAAATTACAGAATATTTTCAATGAGCCCTTTGGTAGAAATCCATTGTTTGGCCTAATTCCAGTTTAAGTAATTGTCTTTCTTTAAATCTTGCCCTGTAATTTCCATTCTTGAATTGTGGAAGAGTCTTAATAATTCCATTTTCAGCTCCAGATGTTTTGGATGGGAAGCTCTGGATGCTGTCAATGCTTACCATGGGATTGGCATAGCTGATCATGCTTTAGGGCTCATTTTGAAGAGGCTGTTTTACATAAAATAGGGAAATTATGCACACATCAGTAAGTTACAGAATTTCTTTTTCTAATTCTTTGCTTTATGTTTTTACTTTTAAGTAAATCCTGTATTTCACATCCTTTATAATTAAAAGAAAACTCATTTATGTCTTGTAGTTTTTGTCCATGGAGTAGCTGTTGTTTATCTTTTCACATGCCTGAACTACAAAAAGGGGACTAAAGCACTGAAAGATTAACACTCATGCTCGAATCATTGCTCATGGTGCAGATAGATTAAGTTTTGCATGTGTACATATGTGTGCAGACATTTCTTCAGTTGTTACAACATAATTGGGAGGTGATCTGGAAGCGTTCTAAGTTACTGCATCCCTGCGTTTTTATGGATTGAAGTTGAAAGAGTTATGAAACAGAATTATCATCATTGCACCCTTATTCCCATTAACTATATCTCTATATCTGCACTGGCCCATAGAGTCACTATGAAGTACTTGGAATGTGGATAGCACAAGTTAAGATTTTGCTGTATATGTAAAACAGAACACACAATTGTGAAGACTTAGCGTTAAAAATAATGTAAAATATCTCAACTCATATTGACTAAATGTTATGATACTATTTTGAATTGTATTAAGTCAAGCATATTGTTAAAGTTTATCTGTTTTGTTTTAACTTTTCTATGTGGCTGCTAGAACAACTTTTTTTTTTACTTTTTAAATTTTTTGTTAAATTTTACTTTAAGTTCTCAGATACATGTGCTGAACATGAAGTTTTGTTACGAAGGTATACATATGCATGGTGGTTTGCTGCACCTATCAACTTGTCATCTGAGTTTCAAGCTCTGCATGCATTAGGTATTTGTCCTAATGCTCTCCCTCCCCTTTGACTACTAGATTTTAAATTTCATATGTGGCTCGGATAGTATTTCTATTAGATACAGCTGCATTATGTCTTCAAATATTGCAGTCAATATTTTTCTCCCTGCTATTTTCATTTAACTTCTTTGACCCTTTCAAGCCTTTCTATGTTTTCCTGTTAACAAAGTCCACATTTAATACTCTCTGCCCAGTGATTTCAAATTTATTCTGTGAAAGTTTTAAAACTCAAGTGAATTAAAAGTGTGTTCAATCTTTAATGAGTTGAAAAATATTAGATTTTGAGCTGCTTTACACGGCAATTTTACTGTATCTCATGTGTTGTTTTCTTTCTTTCATATATTTATCATAACTTTAGTTTTAACTTGGGAATATTGTTTGGTTCCATTTTCTGGATTTAAAAATAGTAGATATTAGCAGATATGCTGGGCGTGGTGGTTTATGCCTGTAATCCCAGCTCTTTGGGAGGCCGAGGCGGGTGGATCACTTGAGGTCAGGAGTTCAAGACCAGCCTGTCCAAGATGGTGAAACCCCATCTCTAACAAAAATAGAAAATATTAGCTGGGCGTGGTGGCGGAGTGCCTGTAATCCCAGGGACTCAGGAGGCTAAGACAAGAGAATTGCTTTAAGCCGGGAGGTGGAGATTGCAGTGAGCCAAGATTGCACCACTGCACTCTAGTCTTCAACAGAGCAAGACTCCGCCTTAAAAAAAAACAGTGGATAATCACAAAATTTTTGAATAAATTATGATACATTTATAATACATTACTAGATATACTATATAACTTCCTGTTATGAGGGCAATAAAAACTTACTTGGATGAATGATTTAACACAGGTATTAGGTTAAAATAATTTCAAGGCAAAACATTAGGATAATTGAATACTGTTTTTCCTCTCATCATCACAATTACCAAGCACCAAGGAAGCAGGAGAGATTGGAAAGTGCAGCATTATTGTCACTACTTTGCTAGATGCTAGCAATTTCATGTAAAGTTCCTGTGATCCGATTTTGGAGATGCTATTCTACAGGGCTTCTATTTCTCAACCATGGACTCCAATAAAGATGACATACTGTAATGATGCCCTGAAAATCTGTAGTCATTCTGTAATGTGAAGATTGATTTACAAGAGGATCACAGAAATGATAGAAATTTTCAATTTTTGTTGAATCCCAAGTAATCATAGGCAGGGGGGATTTCTCAACAGGTTATGGGAGGATTGTACCGGAAATGAATGTTGAAGAAACTTCTTTCCTCCCATTTCTATTGAGGTAATTTCTTTCTTTAGCTCAGTTGTTTAAATCTAT
Source organism: Homo sapiens (assembly GCF_000001405.40). Lineage (NCBI taxonomy): Eukaryota > Metazoa > Chordata > Mammalia > Primates > Hominidae > Homo > Homo sapiens. The sequence continues at coordinate 167,154,532 of NC_000004.12, read as the reverse complement.
GACAGCTGCATAGGAACTGAGAACTAAAATAATCTTTTAGCATTGCAGCCAGCTATTATTTTTCCTTCCCCTAACCCTCTCATATTGGAAAAATAACCTCATTTTTTCTCGGTTGCTGACCACACTCATTCTGCATGTATGCTTTGCGCTGGGGCCTCTGAGTGTCCCTAGGACCGTAATCCTGGTCCCAAAACAGGCACCAAAATTGAGCTGCTCAAACCCTTTTCTGGGAATTTTGGAGATGAGGCTGGAGGGAATATAATCTTACTCTCTTTCTAGATGCAGTGTTCATAAACATTGTGTGTGTGTGTGCACGCGTGCATGTGTGTGTATGTGTGTGTGACAAGGATCACTTACGTGAAGTCTATGAACCCCTTCTTGGAATAATATTTCTATAGGAACATAATAACATACTTGGGATTGTAAAGGACCCCATTTTTATTAAAATTTATCAAAATATAACAGAAAAACTAAATATGTGATAAATATTGTACGTGATCCTTAACAGAGAGAGCAAAAACTAGTATTGGGGGCTTGAGGCAGAAATGAGAGTGAAACAGGTATGTAGAGAAAGCAGAGAGGAGTATGGAAAGGAAGGCTCTGACAGTGATTAAAGCCTAGTTTTTCCCTGAAATCTACCTATGTCTTGTCATTTTTCCCCGCTTAAACTAATTTGAAGTCAGTTACTGTCACTTGTAATCAGAATATCACTAAGTAATATAATTGTCTTTGTTAGTTGATGACTTAAAAACTCCTTGTGTTTTGATGCTATGTGTCATTTGAACGCTAGTGCAGTATTCACTGTGTTTAATAGACATCTAACATGCTAGGAAAAATACTGCTAAAATTTAAAGCCACAAAGTGAAATATACGACTTTCTGTCTCTTAAGATTTTTAAGGTAATGATATAGAGTGTTGTCCAGTAAAACTTTCTATGGTAATAAAAATGATCTATATTTGCATTATCCAATACTGTAGCCACTAGTGCTGTGTGGTTATGGATCACTGGGAATGTGGCACGAGTTTCTGAGGAGCTGAAGTTTTAAAATTTAATTTAATTTTAATTATTTTGATTTAGGTTCAAATAGTCACATATGGGACAGCAATCCTATAAAGCAATCCTCTTTGATTTATATAATCTAACAGTTTTCTAAGAAAGAAAGTCTAGAATTGATGCCAAAAGCTGCTCTGCTTTACTGTCCCATGGGCACCCCATTTATTCCCATGGTTTTTTGCTTTGTTTTGTTTTTGTTTTTTGAGAGTGATCGCTAAGTGCATGTCAGGAAGATAGCCTCATGGAGGGCAAAGAGCATTAGATGATCTGCAGATGATCTGTAATTCAGTCAAAGCCCAATCACACATACTAACCATATGTGGTGGTAACCTTAGGCAAGTTATCTCACCTTACTGAACCTCAGTTTTATCATCTGTAGAATGGCAAAAATAGTATCTCTCTCATGGTGTTGTTAGAATAAAATTAAACACCTTTAAAGAGCTTAGCATAGCATCTAACACTATTATTAATCAATAAATGATAGATATGATTGGATTTCTTTACATTGGGTAATTGTTAAAATATCCAAATAGATAAGTTCACTTTCGTGCATGCTAAACAAATAAATAGATAGGCTAAACAAACAAAACATTTCATCTTAAGAAAAAAATTAATTTTTTTCTCAGTATATTTGGAGCAAATTTTAAAAAACATATTTTGATAAATACTCTGGTCAATATATTAAGATAGATATTAGAGTGGATTACTACTTTGGAAGCATGTGATGCTTCATTTATTTGTTTTGTTGAACTTTTCCTACTTTTTAGAAATATGATTTATCCTCTTGAAATGGGAAATTCTGCTCTCAGCCATCAACAAGCACTCATAATTACATTTTACTTCTATTTAAGTGCACAGTGATTATTTAAAAAGTTGAAATTTCAGTTTAGTCCAAGCTTAGATGATTATTTAAAGTGTTCAGGTGTTGCTTTTATCACACAGATGTGTCAGATATCTGTTATGAACTGTCAGGAAAATGAGTGTTCAGTGATGCTACTCGACTGTCTGGATTAGTTATATTCTCTACCCTGAGTAAGCTGAGAAACTACTCCATGGTTCGTTGTTATATATGTAAAATATCAGCATTGGTTATGTTCTCCTAAAATGTTTCTATCCTTAATCATTTTGCGGCTCTCTTCATCCTTGTGTAGTTATTGGTGGATTATCTGATCTGTGTACACTGAAACTTTGAGTCATCTAACAACTGTTCCACAGTGTTCTGGAACATTTGTATTAACGGTATACTTCAGCTTGGAATCTTAAGTTGTAAAATTATGTATGGATGTTCCCATAACTAATGGCCACTTTAGGACGCACGGTGTTATTTTTTACAATGATGTAAGCTACTTATATTTGTATCTCAAAATACCTTATCTCACTTTTTAGAACTGTTGTTGTTTCTCTTTATTAATTTGCCTTGGGGCTTCATTACATATTTTAAATTTTAAGTAAAAATTCCAGAGACTCATTGTTGTGTTTTCTATGAACAAAAGAGGTTTGTTGATAGGGCCCGTCTCTACTGTCTAGTACTGAAAGCCAGTGTGACACTAAAAATGCAGTAAGTCATTAGCTGTGAGATGGCTTACTTAGCAGAGCATAGCAATGAAACCATACAGCTGCTGAATATGACAATATTTTCACAGTTAGAGGAAAGATATTTAAGATTTTATTTCACACTTTAATTCCCTCCCTTCTTTTTCTCTTTATCCTTCTATGACATTGAAATTAAGAACGTGGAAAGTGAGGCTGGGCGTGGTGGCTCACGCCTGTAATCCCAGCACTATGGGAGGCCGAGACGGGCGGATCACGAGGTCAGGAGATCGAGACCATCCTGGCTAACATAGTGAAACCCCGTCTCTACTAAAAATACAAAAAAATTAGCCAGGCGTGGTGGCGGGTGCCTGTAGTCCCACCTACTCCTGAGGCTGAGGCAGGAGAATGGCGTGAACCTGGGAGGCGGAGCTTGCAGTGAGTCGAGATCATGCCACTGCACTCCAGCCTGGGCAACAGAGCGAGACTCCGTCTCAAAAAAAAAAAAAAAAAGAAAAAAAAGGAATGTGGAAAGTGAGAAAACACTAACAACAAAAAGTTAGCCTGAGCAGCCTTTGGGGTTGTTGGCAGGCTTGCACCAAGTGCTGCCGCACCCTCTGTCTTTAGCTCTTGCTAGCCTATGTCATCCTATCCAAAGTGAGGATGCTATGCAAAACCTTAGAGCGTCATTTCTTCAATTTAGAGTAATGAATTTTAACTCGACTACGCGTTGCAATCACCCCAAAAGGACTAAAAGTTGTTGATGTCTGAGGCCTACCCCAGAGACTCTAATTTAGCTCATCTTGGGTGTGGCCTGGGCATCGACATATCTAAAAAACTGTCAACAGATTCTAATTTGCAGCGCAATTTGAGAACCAACTCAGTAAACATCAACATGTGTCATGCTTCACCAGATGATGGGCTCAGATGCAATATTGTCTTCAACTGCCTCAATCAAAAAGGTAAATAAGGCAATCAATGCTCTTAAATTTTATACTCTGATCATAAATATTTTTAAAATAAAGGACATGCTTATCATTCACAGTAATTTGGGCATTCATATTGGTGACTCTCTGGATTACTTGATTGTGTTGATACAATGAATTGCCCAATATTGACCGTGGGTATCAGCTGCCATCCTTAAGACTACTTAGGAAAACTCTACCTCTGCAAACACTAAGTCAGTATATTCACGCTGACGCAATCAGATAACCCCTTGCAGCCTTACTCTCTCACTTTGTGGATCAAACATAATGTCCTTACTTCTTCAGTAATATCAAATATTCATCTCCCATTACACACATACCACTATAGTGATTTATCACAATCATAAGTCTACGGGTTTTCTATTTTCCTACTATATTTAGGCATTTATTTTTCAGTACGGTCTAAGCTGGTTTGCACTCCCCAGACAGTTTAATATTTGGCTGTGTCTTCCACTCTTTCCACCCTCTTTCAGGATATCTCTTCCTCTGATCACTTCTGATTTCAACCTCGCCTTTCCCTACCTTTCCTGGTTGTACGTAAGATTTCCTTTGAAAATCTACATCTGTTCTTTCTTTTTCACCTAAATATATCTATTTCTTCAGTAACTTTTCTGCCAAACTCCTCTAGTATTTAAAGTATTCATTTTTACATTAAAAAAAAACCATCAGTAGTCTTTATAGTCTACACACTGACCTTCAGACTAACCATGCTTCTAATAATTCTCTGTAAAAAAATTTAATAGGGTCTTTATTGCCAGATTCAAGGATAGCATTTCAGGGCTCTAAATGCTGTAGGAAAACAGATTAAAAGCCCTTATTCCACTCATGCATTACTTTGAACAGTTATGGAATATCTACTGCGTAGGTGTCTCTTTGAAAAATAAAATTAGTTACACATCAAGAGAACAATTCAGCTGTTTATTGAACAGTTATTGTCAGTCAGATGCTTTCCCCCAAATCACCCAATTTCATCCTCATGACAGCCATTTAAATGAATTACCTGAAGCTTAGAGAAGTAACCTGCCCAATGTCACAAAGCAAGTAAGTGGCTGAGTTCAAATTCAAACTCACATCTCTGCATCTATACTTTTAGTATATGTGTGTGTATATATATATATATACATATATATATACACACCATATATATAGTGCATATATATCTCTCAAATGTGGAACGTTCTCTACAATTAAGGAACTCATACATTAATAATAATAACATTTGATATTTTGTTAACAGCTTAAAGAAATCCTGATATATAGACCTTAAGACTCCAAAATGAGAGAAAGCAATGTCATGCAATAGTAATAGCCATGTGTTCATGTGCAAACACTAATAGGCCCAATCAACATTTAGATTTTGACTTGATTTCAAAATATTAGTGTATAAATTAACAGTGTAAAATTATGAAATTATGAGCAATATCAAGCAACAGGAGAATCTATATTTTCTTCAAAGCATAATTGTAGCCCAGGGTATATCAGTTTATAGTATCCCATTGGCATACTTCTTTTGGCAGGTATTTCCCTCATGAAGACTTCACAGGAATCTTTAATTGTTTGCAAATGAACAGTTTTTAGCCAGAAGCACCCTTCTGTATAGCAAATAGGGATTGCTTAGGGAAAAAAAATAAAATGAGTAAGTCAATCATGAGTAAGTAAATCAGCATGAGAACAAAGATTATGCCTTATTTGCTGTTGTTTTCTCAGTACATAGGAAATTTTATCATAGTAGACCATATATATTTGCTATGTAGAAGAATTAATTGAGAACTACTGAGAGAACTGAATGATATACTATTGTAATTGCTTTCAAATATCCTTTAGACCAAAAGCAGATATTGCTCTTGTGGTCACATGGCTTAGAGTTCTTTTTGATTTAATTTCCTATATGCATTATTAATGCTCAGTGAATTTAGTTCAAGAGACATGTCCAAATTTTCCTTTTTTATATGATAGATATTCAAAAGAATTACTCAAATTAATACATCCTTCAAAGTGAAACAAAATATTCAGTCTATTATGTAGCACATCTTAATTTTATTTAGATGTTGTTTGATTCTAAAATAATGTTCCAAATTTTTTTTAGCTTTTCAGAACAAATGTATTCACCTTGTTCACTTTGCCTTGCAAATTATTTTTAATATGTATGAATAACTTTATGAAATTAATTTATTCAGTTTTGGTTTCAAGGAAGGCACTATATTCAAAGAAAAAACAATTTGTTAAATAATTTCAAAATCTGAAATTAAATTTAAAAAATTGCATATGTCCCTAAGGGCTATTGGTTTATGTATACACATGAAGGTATATATGTGAAGACTATACACGGTTATATTTATAGGAAGCTTAGAGAGATATCAGTTATAACAGAAATCTGTAGTTAGAGAATGACTTACTTTTACAGAAATAATTATATTGCCCTCCTTTTAATGATGACTAAACAGGTAAGTGGTAGTAGAGTAAAAGTTTAACACGATTGGTTGAAGCCAATTAGTTATAGTATTTTATAATACTTAAGCCACTATGCCTCATTTGTGAACTCTGAGAGTCTTTATTTCTCAGAGTCTATTATCATCTCTGACCAGATGATAATAGAAAGTTATTTTATAGAAGGGTTTTTCAGTCTCACCACCACTGACATATTTGGCTGAATAATTCTTTGTTGTGAAGTAGAGGCTCTCCTCTTTGTATTAGGACATTAGTGGCATCTCTGGTCTCTACCCACTAGATGCCAGTAGCAACTCCCCAAACACCTAAATTGTGACAATCAAAAATGTCTCGTGATATTGGCAAAGATCCCCTGGAAGACAAATTCACCGGTTCTCAAGAACACTGTTGAGAGTGATGAAATATGGAAATGAGGCCATATCTCCATCATTGCAGTGGAACTCCTAATTTCAAAATCACCAGTGAACTGCTGGTTACAGAGGTCATTTTTTGGATCTCAATTTATTGTTTTATCGGCAGTATTTTTCAGTTGATCTTTCTTTCTTTCTTTCTTTTTATTATACTTTAAGTGCTGGGGTACATGTGCAGAATGTGCAGGTTTGTTTCATAGGTATACACGTGCCATGGAGGTTTGCTGCACCCATCCACCCGTCACCTACATTAGATATTTCTCCTAATGTTATCCCTTCCCCAGTCCCCACCCTCCGGACGGGCCCTGGTGTGTGATGTTCCCCACCCTGTGTCCATGTGTTCTCACTGTTCCAGTCTCACTTATGAGTGAGAACATGCAGTGTTTGGTTTTCTCTTCTTGTGATAGTTTGCTGAGAATAATGGTTTCCAGCTTCATCTATGTCCCTGAAAAGGACATGAACTCATCCTTTTTATGGCTGAATAGTATTCCATGGTGCATATGTGCCACATTTTCTTTATCCAGTTTATCATTGATGGGCATTTGGATTGGTTCCAAGTCTTCATTATTGCGAACAGTGTCATAATAAACATACGTGTGCATGTGTCTTTATAGCAGAATGATATATAATCCTTTGGGTATATACCCATTAATGGGATTGCTGGGTCAAATGGTATTTCTAGTTCTCGATCCCTGAGGAATCACCACACTGTCTTGCACAATGGAGTACCTCTGGTATAATTTGGCTGTGAGTCCAACTGGTCCTGGACTTTTTTTGGTTGGGAGGCTATTAATTGCTGCCTCAATTTCAGAACTTGTTGGTCTATTCAGGGATTTGACTTCCTCCTGGTTTAGTCTTGGGAGGGTGTATGTGTCCATGAACTTATCCATTTCTTATAGATTTTCTAATTTATTTGCATAGAGGTATTATAATATTCTCTGATGGTAGTTTGTATTTCTGTGGAATCAGTGGTGATATCCCCTTTATCATTTTTTATTGCATCTATTTGATTCTTCTCTCTTTTCTTCTTTATTAGTCTGGTTAGTGGTCTATCAATTTTTTTGATCTCTTCAAAAAACCAACTCCTGGATTCATTGATTTTTTGAAGGGTTTTTCGTGTCTCTATCTCCTTTAGTTCCGGTCTGATCTTAGTTATTTCTTGTCTTCTGCTAGCTTTTAAATTTGCTTGCTCTTGCTTCTCTAGTTCTTTTAAGTGTGATGTTAGGGTGTCAGTTTTAGATCTTTCCTGCTTTCTCTTGTGGGCATTTAGTGCTATAAATTTCCCTCTCCACACTGCTTTAAATGTGTCCCAGAAATTCTGGTACGTTGTGTCTTTGTTCTCATTGGTTTTAAAGAACAACTTTTTTTCTTCTTAATTTCATTATTTACCCAGTAGTCATTCAGGTGCAGGTTGTTCAGTTTCCATGTGTTTGTGCAGTTTTGAGTGAGTTTCTTAATCCTGAGTTCTAATTTGATTGCACTGTGGTCTGAGAGACAGTTTGTTATTATTTCCGTTCTTTCGCATTTGCTGAGAAGTGTTTTATTTCCAATGATGTGGTCAATTTTAGAATAAGTGCGATGTGGTGCTGAGAAGAATGTATATTCTGTTGATTTGGGGTGGAGAGTTCTGTAGATGTCTATTAGGTCCGCTTGGTCCAAAGCTGAGTTCAACTCCTGGATATCCTTGTTAATTTTCTGTCTCGTTGATCTGTCTAATATTGACAGTGAGGCGTTAAAGTCTCCCACAGTTCTTGTGTGGGAGTCTAAGTCTCTTTGTAGGTCTCTAAGAACTTGCTTTATGAATCTGCGTTCTCATGTATTGGGTGCATATATATTTACAAAAATTACCTCTTCTTGTTGCGTTGATCCCTTTACCATTATTTAATGCCCTTCTTTGTCTCTTTTGATCTTTGCTGGTTTAAAGTCTGTTTTATCAGAGACTAGGGTTGCAACCCCTGCTTTTTTTTGCTTTCCATTTGCTTGGTAAATATTCCTCCATCCCTTTATTTTGAGCCTCTGTGTATGTTTGCACATGAGATGGGTCTCCTGAATAAAGCACACTGATAGGTCTTGACCCTTTATCCAATTTACCAGTCTGTGTCTTTTAATTGGAGAATTTAGCCTGTTTACATTTAAGGTTAATATTGTTATGTGTGAATTTGATCCTGCCATTGTGATGCTAGTTGATTATTTTGCCCATTAGCTGATGCAGTTTCTTCATAGCATCTATGGTCTTTATAATTTGGTATGTTTTTGCAATGGCTGGTACTGGTTGTCCCTTTCCATGTGTAGTGCTTCCTTCAGGAGCTCTTGTAAGGCATGCCTGGTGGTGACAAAAATCTCTCAGCATTTGCTTGTCTGTAAAGGATTTTATTTCTCCTTTGCTTATGAAGCTTAGTTTGGCTGGATATGAAATTCTGGATTGAAAATTCTTTTCTTTAAGAGTGTTGAATATTGGCCCCCAGATCTTTCTTTCTACATTGAAATACCCTCTTCAGTTGGCTTCTGAGAAACCACACTCTTGATTTTTCTCAGACTTCACTGGCGTCTCCATCTCAGATATTTTTCTTGGTTCCTTTTCATTTCCTTGGCCTTTAAATTAGGGTGACACACAGCCTTACTCATGACAACTCATTTTTCATAAATTTCCTTGGTGACCCTGATCAGCCGAACCTGTTCAGCCCCATGGCTTAAAAAACATTATATGCTTCCCATGTTTATAACTTCAGATATCACTACTAATATATCTAACAGCTTAATGGTACTTCCACTTGATTATGCAATAGGTTTCTTCAAGTTCATATGTCCAAAGCAGAAATACTGGTCTTCCTGCCTGCCCAGCTACTTCTTCCACAGTCTCCCAAGTCAGTAAATGGCAATCCTCTTCTTTTACTTTATTCAAATGAAACAAACAAAATAATCCTTGACTTCACTCTTTAATGGTGCATATTCAATCTATCAGTAAATCATGTTGACTGTATTTCAAATAAATCCAGAATCAGTTTCTCCCCAACTCCAGCATGACCATCCTGGATATATTATCATGTATCTCTGGGATTAATTTAATATCTCCCAATTTGCTGTGTTACAGTTTTTTTTTTCTGAACAGCATTTCGAGTGGTCCTTCTGAAAATAAAATGAGCTTTTATCAACACTATTAATTTTGAGATGCCTGTGACAATGCTATGTTAAACCCTCCAATGGTTCTCTGTCTCATTAGGGTCTTTGCTCAGCAACTGTCTGCTCTCTGGCTTTCTGCTTAACTCTGACCTCTTTTCCACTCTCTTCTCCAGCTTCCTGTTTTCAAACATGTGATATGTTGCTTCCACATCAAGATTAATTGCACTTGTGTTTCCTTTTCCCTAAGGTTTTTTTTTTTTTCCTAGATATCTGCATGGCTCTGTCCTTCACATTTCTTTCAGTGGGACCTGTCCTGTTTAAAATCACAAGCTTCCACTTTTCTCTTATTTATCTTTCCTACTTTCTCCCTTCTCCATATCATTTATTACCTATCACTATCTGATGCTCTTCACTAATATTCTTTTTCCTCTGCTTTTATATTTTATGGAGTGCTTGTTAAGCCCAAAACCTAGGTCTATGCCTGGCTAATAGTAGATGCTTATTAAAAACTTGCAAACTGAGCAAATAAATGTATGAAATGTAAACAGCATTGAGCGGCTATGTTTTTTTCAAGTAGACATTAAGCACTTGAAATTATTTTAAGAAATTAGTGCATAATTTTACACAGCATATTTTCTTATGTTTGGGTAATTGACTGTACATTATAAATAATGGATATTTTTAGTATAGTTGAGAAGTTATTTCTAATAAAGCACAAAGATAATTGTTAGGGTGCTTTTAGCAGCTTATTTGTAGAAAACAGTAGAGAAAATAGACTGTTTATGATAGTTCCATAGACTTTTAAGTTGAGCTTATAGATATCACCAAGAGAAGAGGAAAAGAACAAAATAGGAAAAGGGGAAGGCTAGAAAGAGGAAAAAATATATGAAGCAAGTAGTAGCAAATAATGTTCTGAAGAGCATGTACTCGTTTGACTCAGTTGTATTCTGGTGACTTCTTCCATGCCTGGAGCATAACATGTGCTGTGTAGTATTAGTTATGTGAATAAATTATGGATAAATATCTTCAGTGACTTTTAAACCCTCTGCTCTCTCACCCATCTGGCTGGCCCCATGTTAACTCTCATGCCACTTTCCAATCCTTGTTCATGTCTATTATTTTGTTGGCTAAGTACCTCATTCATTAATAGAATTTTACATATAAGCTAAATGTTTATTTAAAGTATTTGGCCTGTTTCACATTGAAGTTTTGTCTTTTGGAGCAGTGAGGTGGTGAGCAGTGCCTGAACTCAGGGTTTTCCATTTGGAAAATTAGTGCTTTTAGTTTTTGATTTTTTAAACCGTATTTTTTGTATAAGATGCTATTATAAACCAGCCCAATTTCAGGGATAAAAAATGTAAAAAAATGGCAGCTGCCAGTTTTAAGACACCGTTGATTATCCTCAACTCAGCAAAGTGAAAGGTATGTATGTTTGAATCAAGAAAATACAGTAGTTGGCTTTTCTACTGCCTGCATTATGTTATCCAGGATGAGAGGGAACTAAAAATAATGATCACTTACTGTTTGCTAGGTATGTGTTAAGAGCTTAACTTTTGTATTATTTAATTTGTAATAAAAAATATTATCACACTTGGAGATAGGTGACAAATCAGAAATTCAGGAGGTGAAATTGAAATCCATGTTTCTCTGAATCCATAACCCAAAATCTTTCCACTTTACAAGTTACCTGAAGATACCTGAAGGACAAAAGTATATTTGGCACCTCTTTCAGTTTGCCTATGATTCAGTAGGAATGTGGGAGGGATGTGTGGTCTATTGGACAGAACCGATGTATTTGTTTACTTTTATGCATTAATTGTTAAGTTATCTGAGTAGCGTATGCACACAGTTTTAAAGACTTGAATAGTGCTCAAAGGACATAATAAAATAAAATAAGTCTCTGTCTCTATTTCCCCTCCTTTGATGCAACCATGATCTATTTTTAAACCATTATTCTGGCTTTTACACATCTCTATATTTCTAAATACATGGGAAAGTTGCTAACTATTAATTCTTCAGCTAGTGGCATAATATTATGTATTGACTTCCTTTTATCATCATGAGGACCTGGTTGTTTTGTTGCATCCACACGTTTGTTGCCTTGCTCCATCCTCCAATTTATTTAGCTAATATTTTCACTAAATCAAAAATATTAAAAAAGAATTTATATTAGTATACCTTTGTCCCTATTGTTCATTTTTGAGCATTATTGTGTGCTCTGATCCATTTTCCATTCTTAATCTATTTCCTAAAATTAATAATTAGGCAATTAGTTTTCATCGGCTTAATCTCCTTTGCATCTATTGCTACTTTTCCTCACACCTTCCAATAAAACTTTAGTTCGGTTTTCAATGAGGTCAACAGAAGGTGTGATTTCTTTATTCACATTATTTTCTTCCGTTTGTTTGTTCAAAGCATTCCTCCTAAAATAACTATACCCTTTCTATCTTTGTTGCTGTCATGTGACTCTCATTCTAAGACATTCTTTGTCAGTATATTATATTTCATTTGCTTATTTATATTGATGGATTTTTTTTTCTCGTGGCTGCCTCTTTTTTGATTTACTACTTTAATAGGAAAGAATAGCTTCCAGTAGTTTCATTACCATAAAAGCATGATGATGGCATGCCTGCTGATTGAATCTTACTGCATCAACCTATTATGCCTTAGTGTGGTTGCCAGCCTGGGTTCTCATCTCACCACCATTTTAGAGACATCCTTGACTATTCTTTTGACTGGGTCTTCAGTTTTCTCTATTTTGTGGCTGCTATTTACTTGCTCATATTGCTTGGGGACCTCTTCCAGCAGTCCCCTGAAGAAGAGTCTGTTAAACACAAAAGTTTGGAGACTTTTCATGTCTAAAAATGCTTTACTCTTCTCACATACTTAATTGATGTGTCAATAAAGTATATTCTAGATTTTGGCAGGGTAAAAAACTCTAAATTGGAAATAATTTTCCTTTAGAAGCCATTGGTCCATTGACATCTTCCTTCCAGTGTTGCTGTTGAGAAAGCCCAGGCCATTTGATTTCTTTCCTTTGCAAATAAGCTTATTTGCTTGCTGAAAGACAGTTAGATTTTTTCTTTGTTCTAATTACAATATTTTGTCTTAGAGTTTTCAATCTGTTGTGCTGGGTTCTAGGTAGCCCTTTTAAATTTGGGAACTGATATACTTCAATTATGATTATTTAGTTTATAATTTGTTGCCTTCTGTTATCTCAGTGGAATGTATCCTGTACTTTTATTCAGAAATTGGACTTCTGGATTTGCCCTCTAATTTACTGATCTTTTCTTTCCTATTTTCCATTGCTATCTTTTTGCTCTACTTTCTGGAGGTGTAATAAAATGTATCTGCCACCTGTGTTGTGCAAGCAAAGACAGATGGACAAGCACACACACAGCAGACCTATTGGATCAGCTGCCATTGGGGAAAACACAGTGGCAGAATAAAAGCAAGTTTTGAGATTCCCATTTATGACTGCATTCTAAGGCTGAATTGGACACCAGATTTTGGAGAGGGACCCTGATTTTAGAGCTGTGGGGCTTTTAAATGTAATGGTTGGAAAAGCACTAGGTCCTCCCCTATTGTGATTAGAGATTAGGATAAACTAGAAATGTGGTGTTGTGGAACAGTTGCTCTATTTAAAGCCTTTCAAGTCAACCCTGTTGGTGACAGACGAGCACTAGGACGTCTGGAAAAATTAGGAGGCTGAGGTCCAAAACCTTTTTTTTATGACTGTACAACATCTCATATGAGCTTCCAGATTTGCCATATTGGCATTTTGGTATGGAAAAGTATAAAATATCCATCCTTCTCCTGGTGTAATTGGGGCTGAAGTCCAAATCTGTTAGCTGATCAGGACTTATCACCTTAAGCAAGGAGCTAAAACTGTTTTCCATAGAGCTTCTCAGGAGGCCAACTCCTCTGGGGTCAGCCTGATGGGATTGCAGGGGCCAAGAGAATTTTTCCTCCCCCTCTGAAGGCTAGAATCTGCTGAAATGAACTGACAGTAAATAGATTAACAAGAAAAAAGGTATATATGTTTATCAATGTGCACATGAACATGGGAATCCCTCTATCTGAAACTTAAGGACTAGATTGTTGATGCTTAAATAGCACCCTCTTTAAAGCAGAGAGAACGATAGGGGATGGAGGCAACTGTGAGGGGTAGCAAACAATTTTCAGGGAAAATAAATAAGCCCAAAGAACAGACCGTGGGCTGAGACAAAGTTTTTCTGAACTCTGGGGGAGGTGGCAGGAAATTGAGGGGTGGAGCTTCACTGTGAACAAAGGTTTTCTCATTTTATTGATAAAATCTCCCAGATAATTTCTTGAAACTATCATCAGGAGAATAGATACACAATCTGTCTGGTTGTGGTGACAACTTTTAGTCTTTTCTCCAGTGCTTAATGTTTCCTGGTTAATGGATGAGATTCCTAAGGAAAGGGTCACAATTATTTGGAAGAAACTTTCTTCAGGCAGATAAGTTCCCTGTCACCTAGTATAACTATACAGTATTGGGAAAAAGAGGATCTAATTGAATGAGTCATGATGTTATTTGCTATGGATTACTTTAAGTGCAGTGAAGCTATGCACATCATAACACTGTTTAGGTATAAGCTATGTCTATTAAGATAAATATGTATAACATTTTCCAGTAATCTTCCAGAATATTTACAACTGTTACCAACAATATGTTCTGCAAGATTTCTTGTCTTAAATGGAGTTGATGGAGCATATACACTCATTCACTATTATCCAGTGTGCTTTGTGCTACAAGCAACTGAAAACCAAATTCAAATTTAAAAGTAAACTAATGCATCATCTCACAGAAGGAAATCAAAGGTAAGATGGCTCCATCCGGTGCATTCAGCTACTTAATTATGAGACTGAGCAGCCGGATTCTTTGAACGTCTACATTCTGCCATTCTGTATGACAACTTCTACTGCAGACTTGACTACGTCATATTGGCAAACTCGTTCAGGTATCATATTCAGGTACAGTAATGTCCAGGAGGGTAAGAGGGGCTGCCTACTTCTTGGTGGAAGTATAAAACTTTTCCCAGAAGACTGTGGTGCAGAATTGGGTTACATGGGGACAACTGAGTCACAGAGCCTTTTGTAAAACAAAAATTGGCTAGAGTAAGGTAATTACCACAGCTAAGTTAGAGTACTAATCTGAGAGATGAAAGATATAAGCTCTAATGGAGATGTTATTTAAGTTTCTTTTTACCTTGAATGGAAATGGTTTTGTAAAATGAAATTCAGGGAAATAACTGAAATTTTGACAAATAAAATTCTTGTGAAAATATGAGCCATTGCTGATTGTGTTAACAAAACTCAATCATTTTGTTTGGAAAATTCTCATAGCCACATCCTCCAATTTTACATTTAAAGAGAAATAAAAGCACTTTTATATATTGAAAATATATCAAGAAATTGACTATTAATTATTACCCAACATGTCAGCTCTATTAGTTCATGTGTTTCTATTTCATACTAGCATAACATTCAGATTGGCAATAATTTTAAATATGGTTTTTCCAGAATTACTTTCCATGGTTTCTACCAGAATTATTATTTCTCACAGAAATTTGGGCCATATTTATAAACACATTTAACATTTTTTTTGTATATTTCTTTTTCTAGTGTAGTTCATTAATTTATATGTTTCAGCTGAGTAAATAACATTCAGTGATGGGCACATAAATTATTTTCTAAGTGCCTTCTGAAAAGTTGCTTGATGCAGTTATATATCACATTTATATGCTCAGCTTCTTATCTGCTTTCTTACATGGTTTTAAATGGATCACCGACTAAATGAATCTATTATATGGGCTTACAGATGAAACATGGTTGTAGAATTGAAGGGCTTTGGCTAGAGTCCCTTCATATCACAGAGAAAAGTAACCTAGTAATAAGGTCTTGTCAAATTGATCCTATTAAGTGAAATTTTTCATGGTCCTTATCTTCCAACAAAGTTTTTGACACTGCTGTGTTTAACATTTTATTGTTGTTAAAATTTTAATGAATTACTTTAATGATAAATCATATTAATTGAAGATGATGGAATTGCATTAATTTATTCTAGTCTTATGATTTTTTCCTTTTCAAATGATTCCTGTAAATGTTTAGAAGATAAAAATATCTCAAATAAGAGCTTCCCTCTAGTATATTTCCTTTTATCCACTTTTGCATTTGTTCTTTTCTTTTTTGAAAACACAATGACATTTTTTAGGGTATCTTTTCCAAAGCAAATTGGCTTTCTCTTAAGACAACTCTTTCTTATCAGTGGGACTGCAGCAAGGAGCAAGCTCTCACTTCTCCTTTCTCCCAATCTTATGCATTCTTGATATGGGCTTATTTATATTTTTATTTACAGGATCCAAAAGATAGATTTTCTGTTTAAACACTTAAAGTAGGTGGGAAATGAACAGAGTAATTCTAGGCTATGAAGTGTAAGCAGCTCTTCCTTCTTCCAAGGCTGGAAGAAGAGAGAAATGCAATCCTGTATCTAATTATTGTTTTTCATTCACCTCTAAAAGTCTCTGTATATGTCTCTCTCAATGACAATATAAATCTTCAATAAATGATACTATATATGTATACAAACAATTATGAAATAATAAGAATAACCTTTTTCAGTGACAAAAATTCAGTAAATAGGACTAAACATTGAAGGAAAAATAGTAGAGACAATAGAGATGGTCTGAAGTTAAAACCTAATGTTTTTAAGGTTTTCATGATACCCTATTCTAGAACCTTCTTCCTTTATCATGTCTGATCCTGTTATGTCTGTAGATACTATGAAAAATAAAGAAATGATCTGAAAGGTGCTTGGATTCTAGTTATCTAACATCACTCAATAAAAAGTGACTTTTTAATAAAATGGTGCTCAGATAATTGGTCATTAAAGAAAATATAAATTTGAAATACTATTAGAGTCAAAACCAACACTAAAATAAATTTAAGATTATTTAAAATGTTAGATATTAAAATGTGGCATCATAAATATCTTAATAGAAAAATATGAGTATTTGATTTTTATTACTCCTAATAGAGAAGGATTACCTTGGCTTAAAACCAATAGAAGAGTCATGTTAGAACAGTTGAATACATTTGAATACATATACATGTATTAGATTTTTTTTGCATCAGAATTTAGGCATATTTTAAAATGTAACAGTATGAAAAATAAACATACTTAAGCCCAAGTATTTTAGTAAATATTTTTGTGATTTGGTGTTTTAAAAACTTTTATCTCCTGTCCTTTTTCTGTATTTTGCCTATTACCTACAATGGGCAGGAGTTAGTTGTATAGTCAGAAAATACATAAAAAGTGATACCCCTTTATGAAAGAATCAATGATATATAGGAATGAGGTCAGGCTAAAGTGTTGTAAAGTTGATAACTGAGATAAATTAAAATTGTATTTTAGATTTTAAACAGCATATATGGAAAAATCAAATTTTGTCCAAAGAATTAATCAATAAAAGTAATAGGGTTTTCAATTTTTAAATAAAAATAATGGATTTTAAAATTTATTCTATCCTCCTCCATATTGAATTTTTTAAAAGATGAAAAACTAAGTTTGAAATGTAACCACACCTATTTTATATGATATTTGATTAACTCAGGTTCTATTATTTCTTTATTTTCCACTAGATCCCATGGATGAGAAACACTCAGGAAAAAATGACTGTATTTATGATTTTTGTTTTCACTGAGCATTTTTATTAGCAATTTATCTACTTATTTATTTGGGTATCGCCTCAAGATATTTCAGAGGTGATGCAATTTTTCTCTCTGCTCAGTCCATATTTGCTTTAGAGAAGCACTCACATAAGGAAGAGAAAGGGAAATAAGAGGCTGCATTTAGGACCAATACAATATTTTACATAAGAATTACCTATATTTAGTATTTGGCAAGGCTATTTGGGGTAGCTATTACCCCAGAATTATAATGCTGGATTTTTCCATAATCAAAGATGTTAATTTTATGGGTGAGAGAACTGAGGTGCCACAGGATTAAATGACTTAATCAAGGTCATTCTTTCGTCAAACAACTACTGACCACTCACTAAGCCATCTTCTCAGCACTGGAAATCTAACATTAATATGGTTCATGAAAATTTCTACTGTCCTGGAACTCATATTCTAATGGAAACTCCCCAGTGTTCTTAAATGCCATTCTGTATACATTCCATTGCTTAACACTCCCTCAGCATTTGAAAATTTTGTTAATATGAGTAAACACTCATGTCTGGTATTTTAAAAAATTATAAAATGAAATATTTCTCAGATTTCTTGTAATTTAGGTCCTCTCCAGCAATTCGAAATGGGCCAGAAATACCAAAGATTCATAAAAAATAAACTGCAACAATAATCAGCAAAATCATTTGACAATATTTTGACTGATAGATCTTTATTGTTGCAAATAGAGAATACTGGTGGTTAAAATAAGTGTTTCAAAACTTGTCTGAAATATATAGAATCTTTGATATGACAATAGGTTTCACTTTCACTGTTGACCACTTGAGTACTTTTATTGTCATATTTATGTTGTTCTTTTTACAGAAATATATGTTATTGTTGTACACAGCCCAAAAAAAGGTATTAAGAAAAAATTTCAAAGCATTCATAATCTCACAACTAGAAAATAAACTATTTTTAATCTTTGCGTCATATCTTCACCACACACACACACTCACACACACTTAAGTATCCTCTGTTCCTAGATGGCCATAGAACAGTGGTTCTCAACTTTAGCTTACATGAGAATTACATTGAGGCCTTACAAATTCCTGGGTTGCACCACCAGTTTCTGAACCTCCTGATTTGGGGTGGGGCTAGAGATTTGCATTTTCAACAAGATTCCAGGTGATGCTGGCACTGCTTGTCTTGGAGTTCACACTTTGAGAACCACTGCCTTAGAGGGAAAAAAAAATGAAAATAAGCATATTTGGACATTAGCTAAAAGGTGGGATATTCTTTGTATCCCTTCACTGTTTGTTGCTTTAGGAGGGTTTTCACATGTACTTTTAAAAAATGGTCTATTCTTCATAGGACATTGAAAGGATATGGTTGCCTTTTTAGCTCATTAACAGATCAAATCGGAAGTGGAATGACACCTATAGCAGCATTATGTACACTGGAGAATGAATGTGTTTTCCTTCAATCATTCCATTGACAAGTGCTTTATTCAGCAGTCAATCACTAAAACTTTTGTTTTAGTTTCTGGTGAATTAAAACAGCCTAACAATTTTACACACACACACACACACACACACACACACACACACACGTTTTATATAGGACAATAAATAATATATCTAGGTTGAAAAAAATGGTGAGACATTGTATATGTTCTGGGTTTTTGATCTGCCATGAATTTCCAGTACACTTCCAATATGACTCATATAGTACACTGGTGGTCAGAGTGTTCATAGGCTGCTAAGACAGGTGAACTCACTCCAGTGAGATGCTGAACAGTGAGAAAGATTACAACTACTTGTGATTGAATCTAATTAAAATTATTGTCTTCCCCTGATGACAATCCCAAATTATTCTTTTAGATCTATGCACTTTCTATTAAAAATGGTAAGACTGGGAATTACTTTCTTCCTCCCATGTGTGCTACGTTTTAAAAATTGAACATTGTCATCTCTTAAAACTTTCCAAATCTTTTGTATATTTTGAATGCTAGTAGATATAAAGGCTTAAAACAGGACATTTTCTATGTATGCATTTTCAGACTTTGAAGATAAATGACAAGACAAATGGTCTTTTCACTTTTCATCTAGACATAATATTATGTTCAGGAAAATTTAAATCAGTCACTAATTATATATAAATATGTAATTATTGATGTAATATTTAATATATTAAACACATATTTTATATATATATTTATATTTATATGTGTTTGAGCCAACAGCATCTTAAAAGTATTTTCTTAAGTTCTACTTGAACTAAAAAGTCAAGATCAGTGTTGGGATCAATCTTTTTCACTTTATGGATCTGGAAACTCTAAATAGAACTGGGAATAAGGTATTGAATAATGCTGACCAATGCACTAAGAAAACAGTCTTATTGACTGTTCATTTTATTAATGAAACTGAGAAATAATCCAAGCTAGGAAGGTAAATATGCTACATAGTTATATCTTTTTACATGACTTTTAAGGAAATCTCCTATAATGGAGCAATGTGGGGAATATAATAACAACTGAAGGACTGTATGCAACAACATAATAGAATATTCTGAGTAATGGTAAATACGACTTTTGAAGTCCTTTGAATACTTTTGATAACCTTCAGAACACAACTTTAGAAAGAAAATTAAAGTTTGTGATGCATAAATTAAACCAGCAGAAATTCTTTTTTTATTATTATTATACTTTAAGTTTTAGAAATTCTTAAAGTGACAATCATATTTGGTAAAGCCATAATATGAATAACTACCCAGACAGTTTTCATGCTATTAAAATGTAACAAAATTGAAAAATAATAGCAAATAAAAATTAAATTGAGAAACAAGTTTATTAATATCAGTACTCCTTGCCATTTGCCCTCCAGTAACAACGCTTCCACTCCCAAATATCTAGTTTTTCCTTCAGGAAAATTTAAATAAAAGGTGTACAAGTCATCAAGCGCCACGTGCGATGGCTCACACCTGTAATCCCAGCATTTTGGGAGACTGAGGCAGGCAGATCGCCTGTAGTCAGGAGTTCAAGACCAGCCTGGCCAAAATGGCGAAACCCTATCTCTACAAAAAATACAAAAAAAAACTAGCCAGGCTCAGTGACGCACACCTGTAGTCCCAGCTACTCAGGAGGCTGAGACAGGAGAATCACTTGAACCAAGGAAGCGGAGGTTGCAGTGAGCCAAGATCATGCCACTGCACTTCAGCCTGGGCAACAGAGCAAGACTCTGTCTCAAAAAAAAAAAAAAAAAAAAAAAAGAAAAAGGTGTAAAAGTTATGAAAGTTATAAGGCAAAGCATAATAAATATAGCATGCCTACACCAACATATTAATTTTTGTAGTAGTTGACTGTGCTTATTTTGAAGAACAACAGATTCTGTTTGAAATTTATTAGCTGCCTAATACTCTCAAGTGATTTTTATAGCAATTTATTTTGTAGTTTTAAACAGAGATAGAAAATTTTGGACACAACCTTACTAATAGGGGAAGGACTTCTGAGAATGTCCCATGAAATGCTGTGTCCATTCATTACATGTCCTCTTGCAGCATGAATCACAGGCATCATTTAGAAGCCAAGGGAAAACAAAACAAGCTTCTAATTACTAATTATGTTAGAATTAAACCCAAGTTAAGTAAGATAACTCGTGTGATTAAAAATAAAATAGATTTTACTTCACTTTTCTCTGTTAGGCAGCCCCAGCTATCTATCTGACCACAGTAATCAGGCTCTGTTCTGTAAGACATCTACTACTGGATATCTGCTTTACAAAAGAATGCTGGACAGTGCATTCATTTCCTATTGCTCTGCAACATATTGCCTCAAATGTCGTGGCTTCAAACAGCACAAATTTATTATGTTACAGTTCCGGAAGCAGAAGTCTACAGCTGGTCTGATGAGGCTAAACTCAAGTGCTGTGTTACATCTGGGGACCTGCAGGAGAAACCTCTTCCTTGCCTTGTCCAGTTTCTAGGTGCTGCTGGCATCCCTTGGATCCAAGTTCCATCACTCTGACCTCTGCTGCCATCCTTACATCTTTCATGCTGACCCTCCAGCCTTCCTCCTAAAATGATCCTCCTGATTACATTGGGCCCACCTGAATAATCCAAATACTCTGTCTATCTCAAGATCCTTAATTTAACCAGTTTGGAAAAACCCATTTGCATTGTAATATAACATATTCCTGGAATTAGGATGTGGACATATTTCAGAGGCCATTATTTTGCCTACTATAGGCAATAATGAAAATGTTTATATAATGATAATATTTAGTCTCTGCAGTGGATTGAATGGTAGTCCCCAAAAAGATACATCCATGTCAAATCCCTCAAACCTGGGAATGTTATCTTGATTGGAAGAAAGGATTTTAGCAGATGACATTAAGGACCTTGAGAAGAGGAGGCCATCCTTGATTATCCAAATCCAATGGCATGTGTGTATATATAAGAGACACACAGATGAGACACATGCAGAAGAAGGAGAAAGTGTGTAGATGGAGGCAGAGATTGGAGTGAAGTGGTCACAAGCCAAGGAATGCCAGGGTTTACGGGCAGCTATCCGAAGCTAAGAGAGAGGTAAAGAATGGATTTGTTCCCCTAGCTTCTGCCAAGGCTTTGATTTGTGGCTTCTGGCCTCCACTACTGAATAAGAATACATCTCTAGTTTCAAGCCACCTAGCCTTTGGTAATTTGTTACAGTAGCCAAATGAAAGCAATATAGTCTCTAAATTTCAAAGTTCAGAAATATCCTTCAAAGGCTAAGGACTTTTTAAAGGAGATTAAAATAAATAACTTTTGATAGTTATCTATTTCATAAACTGTAACTGTATAATCTTAAAGACCTTAACATGCTAAGACATGTCTTTAAAAAAATACACAGAACTTTCATCTCTAGAGACATGATTTGTCATTTATGATATTTGGCTTGTCTTCTGTGATAACAATTGAAAGATAAATGCTTGGTCTCTGATATGAAATGTTTTAGAAGTTGAATGATTTTCTATAGCATTAAAAAGAGTTGACTGTAGTTCTGCTATTGATGATTTAAGCAAAGTAAATTTATAAATATCTTGTGTTTGTATTGGTTGAATTCAAATGATTTTTAAGAGAAGGGATAGAGTGGATATGACATCATTTATCCTAGGTGAAAAATACAAAACTTTTTTAAAAATTCACATGAAATGTGTCTTTAAAAGAATACTTAATAAGGGAGGTAGGTGATTATTTATTGGTGTTGGTATTTGTTTCTCAGTCTTTACAAATTTTCTTGGAGAGATGCTAGATAAAAAAGTAACATTCAAATATAAATACCTGGGCTTCACTAAAACTTTCCAGGGAAACAACCATATACTTACAAATGTCCTAAAATATTATAGAAATACAAATATGGAACAGATTTTTCTTAGGTTTTGAGATTCATAGTACTTATACTTCATGGGTTGGTTTGTTCTGTTTCTCATAATTTCTCTTGCAGCGTTAAAAAAATTCTATTCAAGCTTTTGAAAATGTTTAAATTGCTTTCAAATGAAAATAGTGGCATGGTGAAAATGATTGAGAAAACCATACACAAAGACTTTAAAACAGAATGGTCTACAGTTAACAGAGAAGTGAAGGGATTAGGACTGTTATCTGTATACTCCCAGGTTTTTGTTGTTGTTGTTTGGTTTTGGTTTTTTTTGTGGGGGACGGAGTCTTGCTCTGTCGCCCAGGCTGGAGTGCAATGGCGTGATCTCAGCCCACTGCAATCTCCGCCTCCCAGGTTCAAGTGATTCTCCTGCCTCAGCCTCCCAAGTAGCTGGGATTACAGGTGTGTGCCACCACAGCCAGCTAATTTCACACCCAGCTAATTTTTGTATTTTTAGTAGAGATGGGGTTTCACCATGTTGGCCAGGCTGGTCTTGAACTCCTGATCTCAGTTGATTCACCGTCTCAGCCTCCCAAAATGCTGGGATTCTAGGTGTCAGCCACCATGCCCAGTCCTACTCCTAGTTTTTGATGTCATAGTGTAGCACATTTTATCTTTGGTTGAGTTCATTTTTAAAAAGTTTATTTTTAATAATTTAATTCTTAATGTGATAGAGAAAGTGGCAAAACTTTAGCTATGGACAATGAAAATAAAGTAATCCTGGCTATGTCACTCACCATGAGATCTTGTTCATGTCTCGGTGTGTTTGTACAATTAATTTAGTAATATTTTTAAAAACCTTGAACCTTAGATTTATTCAACTAATATACATTTAGAATATCAGGTCTATTAAGGTTTGTTAATTTTTGATCACCATTTGGTCTAGAGTCTTGAACTCTACCTAACATCAATATAATTGCTTAACAAAAATAGATATGAATGACATCTCTAAGCTATTTATTAGTAATATTTCCCTCTGGAATTAAGACATCTTTTAAGTAAAGATCATATTTTAGTATCTTGAAGCATATTTTAATCTAAATTTTTCTAGTGACATGGTTTATAATACAGTATTTTGTGATTCAGTCCTTTGCTTGTAATTCTTATATTCTGATTGACTGTAAGACAAAACTGATTTTATGTAGCATTTCTAGTGGAGAAATTGTTAGTCATACCTTGTAAATGTCTAACTGTCTTACTTGGACTGGGTTTTTTTTAACTGCCATTTTTTGATAATTATATTGATTTTACACAGATGAATGTGTTTAGTTGCAAACTGCTGGTGGAAAGATGTTTATATTAAGTACAAAAACATCTAAATTAAATAGTATTTTTTATTTTAACTTTCACAAATGACATATTAGGTTAAAATATGGGTAATGAGTATGAGCCATCAGAAATTTTTAGGCATTATATCTAATGGCTTGACTTCTTTGTTTTCTCTATATTGACTTTGCCTCTTATTCTTATATTCCATATATTACCCACTAGTTATGTAAAATATGCTTTTTTCCAGTAAATAAAAAAACTCCAAATTTTTATGTCTAATTTAAATATATTTAACTTTGATAATTAAAAATTAAAACAATCTATTATTTTTAAAATATTTGATTTGCCTGGGTACAGTGGCTCAAGCCTGTAATCCCAGTGTTTTGGGAGGCTGAGGCAGGAGGATTGCTTGAGGCTGGGAGTTTGAGACCAGGTTGGGCAACATAATGAAAACCTCTCTCTACAAAACTGAGAAGCTGAGCGGGGAAGACGGCTTGAGCCCAGGAATTGAAGGCTGCAGTAAGCTATGATTATGCCACTGCACTCCAGCCTGGGTGACAGAGCAAGATCCTATCTCAAAAAAAATTTTTTTAATTAACCTTATTTTTGGAAAACATAATTGGAAATATGTTTTTGCCTTAGAGTGTTAAATATAGATGTCACCAAAACACCCTCTCATGACAAGATAGCTTCCAGATTTTCACTGTGGAGATTAAATCAAAAACTGTGCAAGTTGAGCATAAGAAATTTTAGTGCAACTTTAAATAATATATATCTCACCCTTTTATGCAGTTTCAAAACTGACAGTTTTTCTCCTTCCATTATGACAAATTTATATTTTATTTTTTATCTAGGTTCTTTCACTGTGAAATACAAGCTTCTAAATTTACGTATTCTCAAGTCCATAGGTTTAAGTGCATTTGCTGACTACATGTTTTATGATTCTACATAGCAGTTTGTGCTTTAACTATAATATTTTTAAAAATATCATTGTATTTGGAGTGACAAGGAAATGAAGAAATATTATATCTGAAAAAAAAAGAAAGAAACAGAATGTCTGAAATTACAAAAGGAATAGACCAAAAGTATACAAGAAAGAGATTGCTCAAGCACTAAACAGAATGGGATGAAACAGATGAAATAGAACACTAGCAAGGAGAAACTCCAGTGTCCTGTGCCTGCCTCAGTAAATAGATGATTCTGGAGACAGGGCACCAGATAAGAGTGTGTTGCCAGTAATATTCCCCAGGGCTGTTTTTAGTAAGTCCAGAGCTAGCACATTGGCACTTAAGCCAGGTATCTGATACTCTACAGCCGTATTTCTCAAACTTGGACCTCCATCTGATTCATGTAATGGGATGCTTAAAATGCAGTTTGCTGAGCCCTATCTTCACAGTTACTTATTCAGTAGATCTGGGGCAGGACTTGAGAATCTGCATTTCTGAAGTCTTTGTGGGTGATGCTGATTATGCTTTTACATGTCTCAAAGGCAGTACGTTGAGAACCACTACTCTGTGTCATTCTCAGTCTTGTACCTCTCCTGGTGTGTTTGTCTTAGGAGATGTTGTCAGTGGCCAGCAGCCCCTGAATCAAGGGTATAGAGCAGGAACACAGTACACTCTCAGGGTCATTTCTCATCAATGCATTTCACTCCACAGTCTGGTAGGGTTTGGAAATGGCCCAGGTGCCCACAATAATACAATAAACCCCATCCATCACCCTGGAATCCTCCATTCAGGGTGGGCCACGAGGGAGACTGTTGGGAATGGATGTTCTTGGTAAACCTAACAGAAGAGACAAACTGAGCAGGCAGAGTGGACTTTAAATTCCTTCATGTAGAGGGGTGATTAGGAGGAGAACAAATGGCAATACTAGTTTCCAACCCTTTGAATGAGAACTTTTTTGCTTATCTGTGGTGGCAGGTATCACGAAAATGTTGCACAGACCTTTTGTTTAGCTCATCAGCTATCATTAGTGTTAGTGTATTTTATGTGTGGCCCAAGACAATTCTTCTTCTTCAGATGTGGCCCAGGGAAGCCAAATGGTTGAACACTGTTTGTCTTCTCTGGGCCACAGTATATGAACACCTCCATATGCTATACGGGAATGGGCAGTAGGCACAAGTAAGAGACAGGGAGATAAATATTGAGAAGAAGATGAGGACCACTACTTTTTTTGCACAAAGTAATAAATGGTGGTGTACCCAAAATTCATGTGGAGAAAACTAAGAAGAGAGGTAAGTGATCTACAGTGTTAGATGTTACAGAGAGGTCCAGTAAGATGAAGGGTAAAAAGCCTTTGTTTGGCAATAAAAGAACTAACTTTGGGAAGAGTTTGGTGAAGTGGTCTTGGTAGAAGCAAGGTGGTTTTGGGCTTAGGAATGAATGAGAGGAGGTGTAAGGAAAGAGTTTTTCAATGTGCTTGAGTATTCGGGGAAAAAGTGAGAAGGTCTATCTAAACAATTTTGCAATTTATGCATGGAAAAGAAGCTTGAACAATTTTATCTGCTGAAAGCAAAGATCTAGTAAAGAGAGAGTTTGAAGAACAAGAAGGAAAGAGGTAATTAATTATTGGAGAGGAAGGTGATAATTGATTCTGCAAGTTCTTTTGGGAAGTGAGAGAGGCCCAGTGTCCAGAGCACCAAGGGAGCTATTAAACGTCTAATGCTGTTTCAAAGGTCTTCCTCTGACTGTTGTCACAAGTGTATGGTAATTTATTTTGATAATTTCGTTATACCTCTTCTATAATGGGAAACCAAAGTTTGAAGAAGTTTAGGAGAATTTATTTTCTTCTCAACTTTTTCAGATCTTTGCTATTTATCATCACTCTATTTTTGTCCACTTCTATAAATGAATAATTGGTTACCAATTAAGAAATTTTCCAGGCTGTGCATGGTGGCTCACGCCTGTAACCCCAGCACTTTCGGAGGCCGAGGTGAGTGGATCTCCTGAGGTCAGGAGCTCAAGACCAGCCTGGCCAACACGGTGGAACCCTGTCTCTACTAAAAATACAAAAATTAGCTGGGCGTGGTGGCAGGCGCCTGTAATCCCAGCTACCTGGGAGGCTGAGGCAGGAGAATTGCTTGAACCCGGGAACCAGAGGTTGCAGTGAGCCGAGATCATGCCATTGCACTTCAGCCTGGGCGACAGAGTGAGACTCCATCTCCAAAAAAAAAAAAAGAAAATTTCCAACAATCTTTTCCCCAACAACCTTTTAGGTGGCTTATTTTTTTTTCTGTAATATAAAAAAGTAGTTTTTTTCTGTAATATAAGAAAGTAGTCTTGGCAATACAACTAAGTACAGAAGAAATCAGTTCGACTTGATTGTGTATGTGTGTGTGTTTTTGGTATCCTGTATTTGTCAAAGCAAATTAGTATCTGTTGACACATATGAGGCAAAATAAAGTACTAATACTTGATTTTGAGTCAAATCTTACTACTATTGTTCATAAATACTTTATTGGAAACCTTTATAACATATCTCCTTTTAAGCTTAATTTTCCCTTCTAAAATATCAATCAATCAGTCAATCAATTCTCCTCACCCAATTGTCTATTCTATTGCTGGTCCATAATGGTCCGAGCCATTCATCACCAGGACACGTCCTGGCTGTACTTTGCAGTATGATGGTAAAGTTGCCAGAAGAAGAGAGAGGGGGAATACATAGGCCCAGGCACAGGGCAGGTTTCTTTGGTTTTGTTTTCTACCAGCAACAGTATGAGATTTTGTGAGTAGGGAAAAGTGAGGGGTGGAAGAGGAACCAGAGGCTGAAATGGAAGTTGAAGTAGGGTTGAAATGCCTGGAACAGATAAAATAAAATTAAACAGATTTTGCTGGTGTTACTGCGTATGTGGTTTTCTAAAAGGATAAGTTGTGTGCTAATTAGGACTTGATTGTAAGGATAAAAGGCTGGCACACTTAGGTGAGCTCAGGTATAGTGGGCCTGAGAAGAAGACCATTGTCTATTTTAAGGATTTTTTTTTTTTGTATTGCAGGGGTTGGAAATTCATAGGTATATAAGCTTATCAATATGTTGGCAATGAACTTTTTTTGTTTGTTTTTTTGACAGAGTTTGACTCTTGTTGCCCAGGCTAGAGTGCAATAGCATGATATCGGCTCACTGAAACCTCTGCCTCCTGGGGTCAAGCAATTATCCTGCCTCAGCCTCCCAAGTAGCCAGGATTTCAGGTGTGCACCATCACGCCCAGCTATTTTTTTGTATTTTTAGTAGAGACGGGGTTTTGCCAAGTTGGCCAGGCTGGTCTCGAACTCCTGACCTCAGGTGATCCACCCACCTTGGCCTCCCAAAGTGCTGGGATTACATGTGTGAGCCACAGCGCCCGGCCTACAATGAACTTATTGTGAGGTCTTCACAGACTTGTCCAGTCAGACTGTGGACTGACTGACCTTACCGTAGGTGTCAAACATTGTGCTTGATGTAGGGTTAGGAGTTAAGAGTTTGGGCAGACTGTTGCCTCTTTTAATCCAATAACAATTTTCACTCTTTTCTTTTTTAAGCTGGGTGTATAGTAACCTAGAATAAGTATATATTTTCAAGCCTCTGTTGTGGTTAGGTGTATTTTGTACCTGTTATTGCCAATAGGATATGAGTAAAAATAAAGTGTGTAACTTCTGGATTGTGCTCTTGAAGAGAAAGGAGGTCATGCCCTCCATTTCCCTTTTCCTTTCTTCCTTGCAACTGTAAATCGGAAATAATAATTGTGGGATCATCTTAGAACATGAAATGAAGCCAAGATGTTGAAGGTGATAGAGCAATCAGAAACAGCATCAGTCACCAACACTGTCAAACTGAACTACTATTTCTGCATCCTCTGAGTGATCTCCTACATGAAAGAAAGAAATGGAGGGTTTTTAATTTTTATTTATTTATTTTTTTGAGACGGAGTCTCCCTCTGCTGCCGGGGCTGGAGTCCAGTGGCGCGATCTTGGCTCATTGCAAGCTCCGCCTCCCGGGTTCACGCCATTCTCCTCCCTCAGCCTCCCGAGTAGCTTGGGACTACAGGCGCCCGCCAACACGCCCGGCGAATTTTTTTATATTTTTAGTAGAGACAGGGTTTCGCCGTGTTAGCCAGGATGGTCTCAATCTCCTGACCTCATGATCCGCCCGCTTCAGCCTCCCAAAGTGCTGGGATTACAGGCGTGAGCCACCGCGCCCGGCCGGGGGTGTTTTTTTTTTTTAAGCACCGTTTTATTTTTGTCTTTTGTTTCAGCAATCTGAGTCCTAACTAATATACTTGTTAAGATCTCTAATCAAGGTATTCAATAAACGTTTACAGAGTGCTATATGCCTGGCACTTTTCTAGATTCTACCAAGAGTGAACAGCAGTCCTCTACCCCAGCCAAAAAATAAAAATAAATAAAAATAAATAAATAAATAAATAAATAAATAAATAAATAAAAAATCTCTGTGCTCATACAAAGAACCTTCTAATGGAGGAGCTACCCCATAAGAAGGATAAATACATGGAAATATATAATTTCTTAATTAGTACTATGGAAAAAATATAGTAAGCAAGGGACGAAACTAAATTTTAAGTGATAAGTAAACTTTAAGATAGCATGACAAGAAAAGACTTCACTAAGATAGTGACTTTAGAATTAAACACTGAAATAAGCAAGGAAAGCAGCCATGCAGATATTGGGCCGAGGGAGGACATTCAAGCAGAGGCCCAATGAGAGCCAAGACCGCAAGACCTTATTGTGCTATAGCAAGGGGAGAATACAATTGGAGGTAAGTGAAGGAGAAGACAGTTTTAAAAGATGAGGTCAGTGTGATAAAGGGACCGTATATTTAGAGTCATGGTAAGTATTATGGCTATTCCACAGAGGAACTGTGAAGACAATTGAGGGCTTCTATCTGATGACATAATTCAATTTATGTTTCAAAAGAGGCATTCAGTTTAATTTGTAGAAAATCAACTGAAAGTCTCAAGAAAAAAAAAAGATAAGGCAAACTTAATAGAAAGCTGTTGCATCATTTAGATGAGAGACGATGGTAAATGGGTTACGCTGTTGACAGGATATATTTTGAAGGTACAGCTGACCAAATGGAGGGTGTGGGGGAGAAAAGGGCATCAAAGATTTCATTAAAGATGTGGCATGAGGAACTAGAAGAACAGACTTTCTGTTAACTGAGATGAAAATATCTGACTGCATGAAAACCTGATGCTGGCTGTGGGGAACAAGAAATAAGAGGGGTTTTAGACATTCTGAATGTGAGGTTCCTATTAGATATCTGAGTGGAGATATTGAATAGAGATGATAGACATCTCTGAAGTGTAGGGGAGAATCTGAGTTGGAGAAATAATTTAAGAAGTCTCAGCATCTAGACTATATTTTAATCATAAGACCAGATGAAGTCCCTGGGGAGTGACAGGTTAAAAAGAAAACAAATTCAAGGACTAGTCTGTAGCCTTGGGCCATTCAACATTCACAGGTCAGGAACATTAGGAGGAAGCAACAAAAGATAATAGGTGGGAGGAATATATGGGGGTGGTATCCAGAATTCTTAGTGAAGAAAACATACCATTAAGAATGTCTTTTTGGGGCAGGGCGTGGTGGCTCAGGCCTGTAATCCCAGCACTTTGGGAGGCCGAGGCAGGCAGATCACGAGGTCAGGAGTTCGAGACCAGCCTGGCCAACATGGTGAAACCCTGTCTGTACTAAAAATACAAAAAATTAGCCAGGCGTGGCAGTATGCACCTGTAGTCCCAGCTACTTGGGAGGCTGAGGCAGGAGAATTTCTTGAACCTGGGAGGGTGGGAGGTTGCAGCAAGTGGAGATAGCACCATTGCACTCCAGCCTGGGTAACAGAGGAAGACTCAGTCTTAAAAAAAAAAAAAAAAAAAAAGAAAAGAAATGTCTTGTTGGAGCTGTCTTTTCTGGGCTCAGGGAAAAGCAGAAAATATGACTGACTGAGTACTGTAGTCTGCAGACACGCCATGTGTTAATTGGACTGTCAATCTGGCAGAGAGTGGCAGAGGTGGGTGGAACAGTATACAGTCAAACCTAGAACCATGGAACATCTTGGTACAGACAGATAATGGCTATTGTAAACTATGACTGAATCCAGCCAGGAGTGTAGATTATCTGAATCGCTGCAGATCTACACATTTTAACCTTAGCACAACTACCAGTATATTTTATGCTTTTTAAAATAAATTTGCAGTGCCTAGTCTGGACAGCCCATGAAATAGAAAGCCACACCACCATCTTCAGGAGAAGAGCTGTGAAAGAGAATCTTAAGTTATAATACTTTTCCTTATAAAATGATGCTGGACTTCTAATGATATATAGCTACTGCTGATATCATTTATTTTTTATTATTAACTTATATATCATTCATATATAAAAATCATTTATAATAGGCTGCTTTGTATCATTGTATTGAAATATACTTTATCACTTTAAACATTATTCAACTTTTCTATGTTCTTGTAATTTTATTTGCCTCACTCAATGTTATGCTTCTTGAAGACTAAAATGATACTTTTTAACTTTCTTTATTCTGTCCTCTGCTTGTTCTACCTTTTTTTCCCCTTTCACAACACTAGTGTTACTGAGGACATGACGTTTAATTTTTTTAAATAATCTCTTTAGCTCTGAAAACTCTCCGTATTTTTTTTTATTTAATTATTTGGTAACATAGTGTTTAGTGCTAGTTACCGTTATTTTAAGGCTGGTACTACTATTATTTTGAATAAAAGATAAAGATGTTTGGTAAAGATTGCAAAGGTGGGTAAATTTTATTGAGTTGATTATTGTTCTTTAGCACCACTCATGTGAAAATATCGAAAATTTATTTTATAATTTAGTGTTCTCCAGAAGTTGTAAATGAGTTAGCAGTAATTATACATTTCATTAATATTCATATATCTCTTTACTATATTTACTTCCTCTTCAAATGGCAGCTCTAAGAAATGAAGGAAGAATAACGGATATGTATAAACATATGTCTGTGTTGTATTATATTCATCAGAATGGGTGATGACTTCACAAGTACAATGTGACAATGTTTTCACATTACATTCTAGTTGTATCATGTTCACTGAGGTATTGTAACCCTAAACGACTTTTCCTCTCTATCTATAGGGATGACAAAGGTAACTTATGGCCCTTTACAATTTTTATTGCATAGTGCAATATAATAGCAAAACAAATGTACAATTGAAAATTATTAATGGGAGGCTGAAGTGGGTGGATCACTTGAACTCAGGAGTTCTAGACCAGCTTGGGCAACATGGCAAAACCCCGTCTCCACAGATCAAAAATTAGCCAGGCATGGTGGCTCACGCCTGTCCCAGCTACTTGGCAGGCTGAGCTAGAAGGATTACTTGAGCCCAGGGAAGCCAAATCTGTAGGCTGCAGTGAGATGTGCTTGCACCACTGTATTCTAGACCCTGTCTCAAGAAAGAGAGAGAAAGAGAGAGAGAGAGAGAATGAGAAAAGAAAAAGACAACAAAAGAAAAAAGAAAAAAGAGAAGAGAAGAGAAAAGAAAAAAGAAAAGAAAGGAAAAGAAAAGAGGGAGGGAGGGATGGAGGAAGGAAGGGAGGGAGGCAGGGAGGGAAGGTTATTAATGAAAAACTTGAAATTATGGTTTGCCATGGGTAAATTCACAGGTTTCTTTTTGTATTTCTTTGCAGTTATCTGACATTATGTGAATGATTGTACATTTTATTCATGATTTTTATGTATGACACTTATAATAGTTTTATTAAATATAGTATTAATATGTTGAAATTACCTGAATTATTATTTCATAGGGGATGGCTTCTTAGTGCCCCCAAGCTGCGAGGAGGTTCAAAGCAATTATATTTTGACAAAAATGTTTGGAACAGCAGGCTATCACTGCTATGTGGTTGTTCTCTAAGGGTGAGGAAATGGGGAGCTAGTAGATGAACATGAATCCTACTGATAACATTTTTCCAAGATTAGAAATGAATAGTATAAAATTTTGTTATGCAGTCACATAATATGAGGGATTCTATCAGATAAAATTTTGCCTTCCACTATCTCTTTCAATATTTTCCTCTTATCTCTTCCTATTGCTTCCTATCACTTGATTTAGCTCCGAGGTAGGAAAATTAATCTCATCCACATTCACTTTTTTTTTTTTTGTTTGAAACCAGAGAAGAAATCTCTACATGAGGTACTAATGGATTCTGACATCTCTCATCTAATACTATAACACAAACCTCAAGGGAAAATACAATTGAATTGCTGACACGAAGAGAGATGAGAACTGGCTAAGAGAAATTTTTATGAGGAATTTATTATTGTTATCCATCCTCTGATCTGGAAAAATATGAGCCATGTCCAAGAAAAGAATAAACTTCTTTAACCTGGAGAAGTCCTGTGTGCTAAATGTCAATATCCTGGAACTGCTCTGATCATTTGCTTATGAATTTATATAAATTATATATTATTTAAATATATATTAGATTTAGGCATGGCTATCATTTTTTCATGATTGATTTTAAATAGATTTAAAAAAACACCCAGGTTAGATTGTTGAACTTTTCAGTGCTGTTGAATGGTTTCTGGGTCTGCAGAATAACTATCAAAATCCACTGAATGATAAGGAGTACTAGTAATCCAGTGGAGTTAGGCATTTTTTTATATTGAAAAAATAGACATTTGGTAATGATAAATGTAAGTGACTTAATCTTCATTCAAACTATGATGTTACCCAATGTTGGAATTGATTTAAATGGTAACATTGGGAAGAATAGATCTTTAATCTATAGGTTATAGATTTTAAAATAACCTTTCTAAAATGAATCTTTTATTTATGCAAAGATAACCATTTTTGATGTTTAAAAACTTTTTAAAAATGCACTTCTGTTAAAATGAATGAAGTTATAATCATGTAAAGTCATATTTCCTATTATATCAAAGGTTAATATTTGTTAAAATGTGCAGTTAGCAAATTCAGCCACAAATCCTAAATTCAAGGACAAACAAAAAAATCCTCTTCATTATTTCTTGACAATGTATGCTAACAGAAATTACTAACTATAATACTAAGTACAAACACTGAGTAATCGAATTATTTATTTTTCCAAAGCATTTTTATAATCAATGCTAGATTGTCAAGTCATTACTACTTTAACATGATAGCCAGAAGCATCAATATTGTTCTTGTTTACATGAATGGTCTTTAACATAAGTATTAATAATAACTATAATGTCTAAAATTATAATATCTAAAATTTCTACAACCTTACTATGTACCAGATATGGTGGTAGGTAATTTATATATATTAGTCCATTTAATCCTCACATCAACCCTCTAGGATAAAATACTGTCATTTCCACTTTATATATTAGAAAATTGAAACACAATGTTTTTAAATAACTTGTCCAAAGCTTCATAGCTAGAAAGTGATAGAGCAAGGATCTAAACTAAGAAACCCTGGATCCAGAGTCTAACTCGTCAACCACATAATTATTGTGCCTCTTGAAATTAGGTGTAATTTTGAAACTTGCATTTAATATACAAAGATATGTATGTGTACATTGTTTATGACCCTTATTTATAGAAACATAAAATCTACCATGTATGTAATTTAAGAGATACACTGCTTTAACATAAAATATTTCAGTGGAAGCGATTTACCCATTTTTAAATGTAGCTATTTTCATCAGAAAGGGGTTTATTCTTTTCTTTCTTTCTTTCCTTTTTTCTTTTTTGGTTGAAACCTTTGGGGCATTAGTAAGAAGAAAAACGATTATTTGACAGGACAGTAGTGATGATCACACAAGATCACATCCACATGTCTTCTGGGCTCAGTCAGGTAATGAAAATTGTTAAATATATGTTAACGTGAAATAGTGGGTAGCAGAGTACCCATTATGTTATAGACATAACGTTCTCTATTTAAATACTTCAAATGTGTTGTTTTTCTGATATGCATCAAACAAACAAGTCTATGACTGATGTCATCCCTCAGCCCTTCACTTGTGGTTTATTTTTGCTACATAATAATGCAAGTATTTCTCATGATGGTTTAAATGACTTCAACAGATGTTACTTTGGAGATGAGTATTTTGTTAAGAGATGATATAAACCTTTGTTATTCATTCTGAAAACTTTAGTAACCTGTTATTTATTGGCAGAACTTATTTTTAAGGGATATTATAATAAAAATCATCAAAAGATTTCTTTATAAGACTTGGGGATGTCAAATCCTAAAACATCTGCTCTCATATGTATTTATTGGGAATTATTTCATATCCTCACTCCATCCTTTCACCAAAGTATATATGATTACTCTCTGATCACACCCTCTATGTGAGAGATTGTTGAAATGCTGCTCTTCACCTCTCTTAGAGCCTACATTCCAACATAATCAATAGGAATTTTCTTTCTATTTAACTATAGAATTGCCATTACAGATTATTTTTGTTATTCTCCATAGTGAAAAGGAAATGGTGTTCCCCCCCCTCCCCCACCCCGCCTTCTAGTTCAGAACTTAAAATTGCAGTGAGCTAGCTTTTGTATATTACAGCTGTTGGTTCACCTTTCATGTACTTGGGAACATGATGAACTTCTTGATTCGGCCCAGATTTCTAGGCATGTAGATAAATTGGAAGGGCTGAGATTGGTCACTGAGAGAACAGTGAGAGTCTGAAATAATCAAAGTACAAGTAAGAAGGGCTTAAACCAGCAGCGGATAATAGTAGAAGGGGGGATGAAAATGGGAAAGTTGATATGGGTTACATGAAATCCCTTCTCATAGATTTGCTATTGACCCCTGAGTATTTAGGAAGAAAGTAACAAAATAGCCAAAAGAAGCCAGCATTTATGCTTCCTGATCAACAAATGCCAAGTTTTCTTTTTTTTCCTGTAGAAAAAATATAACATACTTGTAAAACAGGGCATAATGCCACTTTGATGAAGCTTCTTCAAGAATAACTGTACATGAAATATGAGCAATTTGTCTATTTAAGATTTAACTGAGATGGCAGCTGGTGTTGAGAAGGATTCATTGACATGAATTTTAAAGTTGAAAATGCTACATAAGCAATCATAAAATATAGACACAGTCAAAATAAATGAGACCATCTCTAAAGATATGAACTGTTCACAAGGACCTTCTGACTCTATAACGTCACTGCCTTTTAAAAAGATTAATATGGGTATTTCTAGGTATTATTAGGATGAATTTATTTAATTAAGAGTGAACTTTAGAGGTAGGCATTCTTTGAAATCTTATGGAGCAGTAACCGAAAGAAAAGTAAGGAAATAATTACACTGGATTTATAAGTGATTATGGAGCTCCTCTAGTAAGAAAGCACCTAAATAAGATGTGTGATTCTCATTATGTTCTATAAGCTATAAAATTACTTCCGGATCTAGGTTGTTTACTTTTTGGATTAATTATAATCATACACACATAGAAAGAAACATCACATTCAATACATTATTGCTTAGCAAAATTCAAACAGTCTGGCAAGTAGGAGAGGGTGTTATAATACTGAAAGAACTTTTCAAGCAGGAGATCAGAGCTCATATGTTGGTTTGACCAAAAGGATCTCATGCTTCTAATTATAGGTCACATAATCCTGCATACCAAACATTTTATGTAAAAGATTAGTAGAAACTGAGGAAGGTGCCATTTCCTCTCACTGTTTTTCTGCTGTGCTACCAAAGTGGAGTCAGAGTCATCCTAATTTGTATTTGTGCTGGGTTTCATGGCACAGTCTGTTGGGTCTTATTAAGCTTTGTTGCATTTTAGTCAGACTTTGTTCTCCTCTGTTTCAAAGATGCAGAATGAGACTAGGTCTTTCCCTGGAATGTGTGCATTGACTTCCAGAAATCTCTTTATTCCTTGCAGCCTAACCATCAGTTCTCAGGATAACTGGAGATTGCACTTTGCTCCCCAGAGCCTCCCTTGGATTTTCACCTTCTGGGAGAGCCCTTCCCACCCTGCTGCTCTGCCCCCAGACCTCAGTTGCTTGCTGTTTTGTACTTCCTGAAAGCCCAGGGCATGTTCTGTCCACAATCCGGCATCGACCCTGGCTTTGGGCAAGTTCTAGCCTATAACTCTTCATGAAGGTCTGTGTACTACGTGGGTGGGGGGTTCCCCTCACTTGATTGCTCTGCCTGAGCCAGCCTGTTGCAGCTTTCTGCTGCTCTGTGCACTCTAGGGCAGATCTCTCCTCACTCTTGCCCGGGACTCAGGCTTCCTCATATGGCCCCTAGGTGCTCAGTCAAGGTCCTGTGGAAAAGAATTGGTAGGCAGGTCAGAACACATTTTGTGACTAGGGCTCTTAAGAATTCTACTCCCTCATACCAGCCCACAAGTGGCAGTTTAAATTGTGTTACATATTGTGCTGATGTTCCTTTTCCTCTTTTTTAAATTTTTATGGATATGTAATAGTTTCACATATTTATGGGGTATATGTGATTTTTTGATACAAGCATACAATGTGTAATGATCAAATTTGGGTAATTGAAAGATCCATCATCTCAAACCTTCATCATTTCTTTGTGTTGGGAGCATTCCAGTTTTTCTCTTGCATTTACCATGGCCCCAGTGTTGAAGGCAACCATTGGTCATTTCTGTCCCAAGAAGCATTTGTCTATATCTGGAATTCAGTGCCTCTAATTTTCTCTATGGTGGGATATATATATATACATATACACAAAAGTATATATATATATATATATACACACACACACACAAAAGTATATATGTATATATACAAAAGTATATCTATATACAAAAGTATATATATAAAAGTATATATATACTTTTATATATATACATCTATATGTGTATTTATGTGTATATATACATATGTATATATACTATATGTGTGTATATATACATATGTATATATACTATATGTGTGTATATATACATATATACTATATACGTATATATACTATATGTGTGTATATATACATATATACTATATACGTATATATGTGTATATATATACGTATATAGTATATATGTATATATATACGTATATAGTATATATGTATATATATACAAAACTATATATGTATAAAAGTATATATACTCATATATATACTTTTATATATATATACATATACGTATATATATTTGTGTATATATATATATACACAAAAGTATATATATACAAAAGTGTGTATATATATACTTTTGTGTATATATATATTACAAAAGTGTATATATATATACTTTTGTGTATATATATTTACAAAAGTATATATATAACTTTTGTAATTTATTTGACTTGCTTTCATTTTTCATTTCAAAGAGGAAGCAATCATCTTTTGTAATTTTCTATATCTTAACTATAATTGGAGCTACACTTATTATGTTTCCAGGTTTTTGCCATTAAAATTAATATTGCAAGGAATTTTCTTCCTCATGCCTTTTGGGGTGTGTGTATGTGTCTGTACACATACAGATACCTCTTGGGTATTTTTATAGGAGTGAAATTTCTGGGACATAGAGCATGCATAAGTCATTTTATTTACATATATTTTGTACTCCATGAGATGTTATTAAAGCCTTAATATTTATTTAGGTTACCACATATTTTTCCTTTTCATTACTCTTTATTGCTTACTGAATTTTAGTGCTTTTCTCTGTTATCATATCCTCCTACCTGAAGAATTACTTTTAGTAATTGTTTCTGATGTGAGCCCACTGCTGATGAATTCTCTGTTTTAGTTTGTTTAGAGATATTTATTTTTCTTCTGCAATTTGAAGTGTATGGATACAGACTTCTGTTCTGGAAGCTATTTTCGTTCAGGACTTTAAAGATGTTTAAAATCATTAACTTCTGTTATTAACAACTTTCCCCTGTCTTCTGGCTTTCATAATTTGAGTTGAGAATAGTTAGCTCTTAATTTTCATTGTTGCCCCTTTGAAGGCAACCATCTCGTATTTCCCTACTTCCTAACAACTGCATTTTCCTTTTACCTTACATTTTCCCTTTACCTTATGCTTTATTGTGCCTGGTTAGTTTTTATATGTTTGTTTCTATTCCCCAACATGAAAATCATATTTCTTGAATCTATAGCACATTTCACTACTTTTAAAAATACCTCAACAATTATTTCAAGTATTACAGCAGTATTACTTTCTCCTTCTTTCTTTAATTATAATTATACATAAGTTACCCAGGACCAATATTTTATCTTATGCTTCAATTTTATTTTCATTTAAAATATTATTTTGGTGCTTCATTCTGGAAATTTTGTCCTGAAATATATTTCAATCAGATATTCTTCCTTGACTAATTCTTGTGTCATTTTTTTTTTTTTTCTGTACAAGGCCAGATAGCAAATATCTTTTACTTTGCGGGACATACAGCCTTGGTTCACAGCTAGACAACTCTACATTTAGCATAAAAGCCGCCACAGATAATATGTAACCAGATGGGCATAATTGTATTTCAAAGAAAAATATCTCTCAAAGCAAGGAATAGGCCAGATTTGGCTCATAAACTTCAGTCTCCCACTCTCTGGTTGAATCTAATCTGTTAGTTGTTCGCAATATCAAATATTATGTTTCCCGTAGCTATATAATCTTCTTATAGGCTCCAGTTCCCTGGTGAAATTTAACATATTTCCTGCTATTTTCTAAGCATATTATTTTAAATTATTTTAACATAGTATCTCATAATTTTCATGTGTGCATCTGATTCTATTGTTTTTTTTTCTCTTAGTCCTGTCTCTTGCTATGCCTGTTAACTTTCCATGAATGCTGGAGTCTTAGTATGAACACTGTAGCAACTCTGAATGAGACACTATCTTTAGCACATGGTTAACGTGGAAACATAGCACCTTACCACAACACGGGTTTGAGTCATATCAAGGCTGAGTTTTAGTACCCAAAAGACCTGGTCTGTTTCTTGTTCTGCATTACTCAGAGTTATTTATTTTCAGAAATCTCAAGTGAAAGTCTCAGGAATTTACTAGAAGCTCTATTCATTGCCAAGTCTTGTCTGTCACACTTTATCTCCCTGCCACTCTGTGACTGCTGAAAATTACATTTAAAGGCTCACTCCTCCATACTGGATTCCTCATAATTTTTTTCTGTACCTGCACTGCTTATAAATTTGTGAGAATTAGAGGAGACACGTGCAAGCCTTCTTATTTTTCCTTTCTTGAGGGAGCTCGTATATTTAATCTTGGCTGTCTTAGGATCCCTGAATTTCATCTCCCAGTCCTAAGAAATGGGAAGAAACTCTGTTCGGGTTCTCTGTCTCTTCACAGCCCTTCTACTTAGCTTATCAGCATCTTTTTCTCAACTTAGAAAAAGGTATTTTTACCTGTTACTGAGAAGTGGCATAGCTATTAGGTTTTCGTCCATGAGTCCCTCTTCTCCAGGATTTTGGCTCTTCAAGTACTGACTCACTTGCTAGCTCTCCGATGCCTTCAAATAGATGTGTATTTTCTCATTGTTTGTTTGTCGAATTGACCTCTCTCTCGTTTATTTTAGAGGAGAGTTTGGTCTGCTATAAGCTAGTCTGGTATTCCTGGAGCATGAACATTCACCTGTGACTTTTTAATCTCTTGAATACAATTAAAAAGGGAAGTTTTCCCCTCTTTCTCTCACTTTGCGCTGGTGATTTTCAGCTGGCTGTTTCAACTTTGTTCTCTGCATATTTCTTCTCTGCTCTGTGCCTCAGATGGTCCTATAACCTCCTTTAGCCACACTCCCTTCCTGAATGGCTTCTTATTGGGTTTAGAGAGTGGGAAGCAGCAAATGAAGGAGCAAAGCACTGCAGCTGAGAGAGGCTGAGACATTCATTCCCTCTCTTCATGGAAAAAGATACTCTTCACCTTTGTCCATAGCCCTTGTGCGGTGGGTGATCTTCCACAGATGCCGCTTCCTCTTGGTGTTGGTACCATTACATCCTGCTTCTTTCTTGTACCGTAGGCCTATGGGTAGGTAATGAGGTTTACTGCTGTTGCTTGAAACTTGGCATGTATCCTGCCTTTGGTTGTTCCTTTAATCCTGCCAACTTCTCCCTTAATAGACCCTTAGGTAAAGTTTTTATCAGTTAATCCTTTGAATGTGCCATCTATCTGCTCAGACACTGACTGAAACCCATTCTTATTCCTATTCTGATAATTAGATGGTGTTTTAAGGCTGAGTAGCTGGGATAGTTTTTTGCTGAAAACTGTGGCCTTTTTACTTATGCAAACTTGTGTTTAATTGAGAGCAAAACCTAAAAGATAGTTAATGGTAAAAAAAAAAAAATTGTAAGAAGAACCCTCCTGCCATGCCAAGTGCATACTCATATAAATGTATAATCATAAAGCACAGGATTAAAAAGCAAAATGTTAGGTTACTGTGTAGAAAAAGATTTATAGAGTTGTTCAATACGAATCTAAGTAGCAATGTACTTCAGAAATTAGTCAGTAATTAAAATGCAGTGGTTTGGACTAAAGTGAGATTAAAAAAGCTCAACTGGCTTTAGTTTGTCACTGGCATTGACTTTGAGTATTTTTCATACTACAACAATTGGCCTAAGATTTGCACTTCTTCTCTTGACATGTTGACCTTTTCACGTTGATTCTTTCTACCTGCTGCTAAGATACAAAATCAATATGATCAAGCAGGCAAATCACCTGATACTGAAATAGCCTGATGATAGGGGAGGAAATCTAGTTATCCAGCGTCCTTGGATATGCTTATACAAGTATACAGACAAGCACACAGGCCTACTTTCATGTAGTTCTTGGTTTACACTTAACACATCTAATATATATGATTTTTTTTTTTAAAAAAGAGCACTTTTGAACAGAGTCCTTGGAGCATATATTTTAGGGAAATTTTTGATGGGGTCTCTCCTTGATGACACCCCATGGTATTTCTATCTGTTTTCATTCTAAGGCAATTTTGTGAGGCTTCTTCCAAACCTCATTTCTTTCCTATTTCTGCGTTTCACCTGACATAGAACTATTTGAAACCAGGTCCATAATGGAACAATTTTAAAGCAGTAATACAAAGGAATGGTGAAGTCTTGATGTTTTCCTACCCTTTCCCATCTTTTCCACCTCCTGTTGGAGACATGACAATCTTTTGGAGACATGACAGCCCCCTCAATCCCTATGTTTTCCTGCAAGAGTCCTGGATCTTACTTAGGAAAAGAGTGAACCCATTGTTTCTTTCATATGGGAATGAAGTAGGTAGGCAGACCCTGACAAAATCCCTTAAACCATAACAAGTCAGTACCTATCTAGTCATAAATATGCTTTAATACACTATTTAAGCAATTTATATTTAAAAAACTGACAGGAGTTGCATACTTGTAACATTTTAGAAGAGTCATTTTTAGAACACTTTGCTCTATTTTTAAAGTGTTTATGGTTACTTACTGTTCTATCCTCTGTGAAAGACACTCCTCTAGGGGATTCATATGATTTAGACATTTTCAGCAAATTATATTGCACTCAGGTATTATGAGCTAATAGTTTTTAAGAGTGATAAAGCATATATATAGATTTAAGATGCTAGTATATTTCCTGTTGAATGTTTCACCAAACTAAAGCTTCTTAAAAGTTACTTCGAGGCTGGGGGTGTTGGCTCATGCCTGTAATCCCAGCACTTTGGGAGGCTGGGGCAGGAGGATTGCTTGAGCCCAGGAGTTCAAGACCAGCCTGGGAAACATAGTGACACCTCATCTCTACAAAAAATAGAAAAAAATCAGCCAGGCATGGTGGCTCACTCATGTAGTCCCAGCTACTTGGGAGGCTGAGGTGAGAGAATCACCTGAGCCTGAGAAATCAAGGCTGCAGTGAGTCGTGATTATGTCATTGCATTCCAGCCTGGGCAACAGTGCAAGACCTTGTCTCAAAAAAAAAAAAAGTGCTACTTTTAAGCTAGTGGCACTATCTTTTATAGTCTATTGTTATGAATTCAGTCATCAACTCTGGCAACAGGATGCTTTTCAAAATTTACAACCTGCTTTGGCCTTTGTCAGCAATCTTCCCATAACTCAACTATGATAATGACATTGCATATTCGCACATTAGGATGAATTAATGTTAACTAGAGATAAGCTGAGATATTTACTTTTAGTATCTGGTTAGAAATTAGTCCTAAAAATTTTTAATTGTTATTTTAAAAAATTAAGCAAGTATTATGTAGAATAATGTCTTTTAATAGTTTGTTTAGAGTGAATAGGTCAGATGGGGCTAATTGTGATCATCCTGTCAGTGAGGGCCTCATTCTGTTTGGCTGGGATTAGGTCTCATGAAAAAAAAAGTGATCACTGTGACTGTTCAAATTATGAAAACCTTTCTAGGATTGTGCTGCAATTGCAAAATATGTTCTTGAGTCCGCGGGCTTTGTTATCTATCTTAATGATCTTACTTGCATGTTTACATTTGGTATTTGCTTCAGTTAAGAAATTTCACCAGTTTTTAGTTGTGAATTTTTTTCCTCATTTAATAATTTCATATAAAGTATACATATAGGCTATATATACAAATATATAGTCTATACATCCACATTTGAAAATATGTCATTTATTTCAAAAAAGGGAAAATAAATAACACATCAATTATTTTATATTAAATTATATTTCTTTTTTTGGCCCTGTAAGTGTCCAGTAGCTTATTATCAAATAAAATATATTAGTATGTCATTCCAAAATATTGTGATAACTGTGTAGCAGATCCTTGATGATTATATTTTCAAAAAAATGAAAGAAAGTAAACAATAAAATCTCTCAACCAGTATAATAAATTATATGGTAGCATTGTTAGCACTGACACACTCATCTTCATTTTAGGAACATTCACTAGTGGTTACTAATCTTATGTTGAAAGGAATTTTTTTTAGAGATATTTAACTATATTATTAAAAGTTTCCTGGAATTTGGGGCTCTATTTTGGAATTTTTTCCCCCTTAAGTGTATTTATTCATTTATCCATAAAATGTTTATTACTTCCTTACTCATAATAGGGGTTCAATGGGTATTGTCTTATGGATAAATGATTAAATAGAACGCAAATGAAGGTGATATGCATACTTTCTTTGATGAATTCTTCCCTATCACCTTTTTGTTCTTTGGTTCATTGATCTTTCATTGATTAAGAATCTGTAATTTATCACCCCTGACACTGGATTTCATACTAATAAGTTCAGAGACAGGAATCATATAGATAAGAGGTGAGAATTCTTTCTGCAAGTGTGTATTTCTTAAAAAACGTAAAGACATTTTTGTACCCAGACCCCTCCATCACCTAAAAAGAAATGTACATATGGTGGTGAGAGTTTATTTATTTCTTTTTCTTTCTTTCCTCTGAGAAATAGAGAAAAAGAGGCCATAACCTGAGGAAAGATGGGAGAGGAGATATTTCTGCTTCAAGAAAGAAAGATGTGGAATACTCTTGGGGGAATGGGGGAAAGTGAATGCATTATAGGACAAAGGGTGTTGGGTACCATTAAGCTCCCACTTGAGATGAGAGATCACAAACGATGTCAAAGCTTTCTTGCCTGAGTGCTTCCCTCCAACTACATGCAACTTTGTGATTTCAGACCCCAAGGAGGGTTAGATGTGGCTTAAAGAATTATGCTTTACCCAAGCAAATACCCTAGAGAGAGGAAGGCATCAGGGAGTTGTGTGTTTACAAGTCTAAAAGAAATGTAAGTTCAGGCTAGTAAGGCTAGAAAGTAAGAAATGGAGTTCAGGCTAGTAAGACGAGAAAGGAGGACATGGGCGTGGGGTGGTAAGGAACATAGAAAATGCAGTAGAAAGATATGATTTTATGATGGAGTATACTATTTGGTTTATTTTCTTTTTTCTGAATGGAAGCTTTCATTGCTCCTTCATATAGTATTTTGGTTTTTCTCTGTTTTCTTTTTTCTTCTTTAAGGTCTTGTTTTTCATTCTATTTTATTTTTAGAGCAATTTTAGGTTCTTAGCATATACTTTTGTATGCTTCAAGA
Organism: Homo sapiens; assembly: GCF_000001405.40. NCBI lineage: Eukaryota > Metazoa > Chordata > Mammalia > Primates > Hominidae > Homo > Homo sapiens. Next base: position 167,109,674 of record NC_000004.12, on the reverse strand, counting down.
GTTTCTCTTTGTAAAACAAGTAAGACCAAGAGGTATTAGAAGAGTTAAACTTTATTTTTAATTTTTGTGGGTACATACTATATATATATATAATAAATATATATATTTGTAACATATTTATATACATATATAGTTATATTTATATAAAATATATAAATATTATATTTTATATAAAATATATAAATATATTTTATATAAATATATTATAACTATATATGTATATAAATATAAATATATATTTATCATATATATATTTATATATATATTTATATATAAATATATATTTATATATTTTATATAAATATATATATAAATATATATTTATTTTATTATATAATATTAATATATATTAATATATTAATATATTAATAATTATTATTTATAATAATTAATACTTAATTTTTATAATAATAATAAATATATAATAAATAAATATTAAATATATATTATATACTATATATAATATATTTTTATATAAATATATAATATTTATATATATTTTTATATAAATATATAATATTTATATATATTTTTATATAAATATATAATATTTATATATATTTTTATATAAATATATAATATTTATATATATTTTTATATAAATATATAATATTTATATATATTTTTATATAAGTATATATTTATATATATTTTTATATAAGTATATATTTATATATATATAAATATATATTTATAATATTTATATATTTATATATATAATATTTATAATATAAATATAAAATATATATATTTGTGCGGTATATGAGATATTTTGATACAGAAATGCAAAGTAAAATAATCACATCAGAGTAAATGGAGTATTCATCACCTCAAACATGTATCCTTTGTGTAACAAACAATCCAATTATACTCTTCATTATTTTTAAAAGTGTAGTTAAATTATTTTTGACTACAGTTACTGTTCTGTGCTAGCAAATACTGTTTTCTACCTGTCTTTCTAACTACTGTTTTTACCCATTAACCATCTCCACTGCTTCCCCCACCCCACTATGCTTCCCAGCATCTAGTAACCATCCTTCTACTCTCTCTTTCCATAGTTCAATTGTTTTAATTTTTATCTCCCACAAATAAGTGAGAATATGTGAAGTTTCATCTCTCTGTGCCTGGCTAATTGCACTTAACATAATGACCTCTAGTTCCATCCATGTTGTTGCAAATGACAGAATCTCATCCTTTTTATGGCTGAATAGTATGCCATTGTGTATATTTACCACATTTTCTTTATCCATTCATCTGTTGATGTACACTTAGATTGCTTCCAAATGTTGGCGATTGTGAATAGTGACGCAGTAAACATGAGAGTGGAGATATCTCTTCTATATACTGATTTCCTTTCTTTTGGGTATGTACCTAGCAGCGGGATTGCTGGATCAAATGGTAGCTCAATTTTTAGTTTTTTGAGGAACCTCCCAACTGTTCTCCATAGTGGTTATAGTAATTTACATTCCCACCAACAGTGTACGGGGGTTTCCTTTTCTCTACATCCTCACCAGCATTTGTTATTACCTATCTTTTGGATAAAAGCCATTTTAACTGGGGTGAGATGATATCTCATTATAGTTTTGATTTGCATTTCTGTGATGATGAATGATATTGAGCATATTTTTATATGCCTGTTTGCCATTTGTATGTCTTCATTTGGCAAATGTCTATTCAGACCTTTTCTCATGTTTTGATCAAATTATTAGATTTCTATCTATAGAGTTGCTTGAATTCCTTATACATTCTAGTTATTGATCTCTTGTGAGAAGGAATCTTTCACTTCTTTTGTTAAATTAATTCCTAGGTATTTAATTTTATGTGTGGCTATTTTAAATGGGGTTACTTTTTAATTTCTTTTTCACATTGCTCACTGTTGGCATATAGAAATGCCACTGATTTTTGTATGTTGATTTTGTATCCTGCAACTTTACCGAATTTGTCCTAATTATTTTTTTGTGATGTCTTTAAGTTTTTCCAAATATAAAGTTATATCATCAGCAAACAAGGAATTTGACTTTTTCCCTTACAATCTGGATGTCCTTTATATCTCTCTCTTGTCTGGTGACAGTGGGCATCCTTACCGTGTTCCCAATCTTAGAGGAAAGGCTTTCTGTTTTTCTTTATTCAATATGATACTAGCTGTGGGTCTGTCATACATGGATTCTATTATGTTGAGGTATTTTTCTTCTATCACCATTTTTTGCAGGTTTTTATCATGAAGGGATGTCAGATTTTATGAAATGCTTTTTTTGGCAACAATTGAAATGATCATATGGTTTTTGTCCTTCATTCTCTTGATATAACACATTGATTGATTTGTGTATGTTGAGCCACCTTTGTATCACTGGGGTAAATCCCACTTGGTCATGACTAATGATCTTTTCAATGTGTTGTTGAATTCGGCTTGCTAATATTTTGTTGAGGATTTCTGTGTTAATATTCATCAGGAATATTGGCTTGTAGTTTTCTTTTACTTATGTATCTTTGTCTGGTTTTGGTATCAGGGTAAAACTGGCCTAGTAGAATGAATTTGGAAGTATTCCTTTTCCCTCTATTTATTGGAATAGTTTGAGTAGGATTTACATTAGTTCTTTAAATCTTTGGCAGAATTCAGCAGTGAAGCCAGTGGGTCCTGGGCATCTATTTTATTGAGGACTTTTTATTATGACTTTGATTTTATTAGTTGTTATTGGTCTGTTCAGGATTTGGATTTCTTCCTTGTTCAATCTTGGTAGGTTGTATTGTCTAGGAATTTATCTATTTCTCCTAGATTTTCCAATTTGTTGGCATAAATTTGCTTGCTCATAGTAGCCACTAATGATCCTTTCAATTTCTGTGGTATCAATTGTAATGGCTCCCTGTTCATCTCTGATTTTATTTACTTGGGTCTTCTGTCCCTTTTTTTTTAATTCATTGGTCTGCCTAAAGGTTTGTCAATTTTATCTTTTCAAAAAAAAAAAACAACTTTTTGTTTCATTGATCCTTTGCATTTTTTCTTTATTTCAATTCATTTTTTCTGCTTTAATCTTTATTATTTTTTTCTTCTACCAATTTTGAGTTTAGTTTGCTCTTGCTTTTCTAAATAAATGATGCATTCTTTAAGATACATCATTACATTATTTATTTGACATTTTTCTTAGTTTTTGATGTAGGCACTTATATTTATAAACTTTCCTCTTAGTACTGCCTTTGCTATATCCCATAGATTTTGGCATATTGTGTTTTAATTATCATTTGTTTCAATAAAGTTTTCAAATTTCCTTCTTAACTTTTTAATTGACACAATGGTCATTAAGGAGCATATTTGTTTAATTTCCATGTGTTTGCATAGTGTCCAAGACTCCTCTTATTATTGATTTCTAGTTTTATTGCATTGTGGTCAGAGAAGATGTTTGATATTATTTCATTTTTTTGGAATATTTTAAAATGTTATTTTAACATGTTATTCTAACATGGTCTGTTCTTGAGAATGATCCATGTGTTGAAGAGAATAATGTGTATTTCCAAGCTGTTGGATGAAATGTTCTGTATATACCTATAAAGGTCATTGGTTATATAATGCAGATTAAGTCTGATGTTTCTCTGTTGATTTTCTATCTGGGAGATCTGTCCAGTGCTGAAAGTGGGGTGTTAAACTCTCCAGCTATTATTGTATTGGCCTCTCTCTTTAATCTAATAATATTTGCTTTATGTATCTGGGTGCTCCAGTAATGATTGCTTACATATTTACAATTGTTATATCCTCTTGCTGAATTGACCACTTTATCATGATATGATGTACTTCTTTGTTTCTTATAGTTTTTGTCATACAATCTATTTTGTCTTATATAACTACTCCTGCTCTTTTTTTGGTTTCCATTGGCATGAAATATCTTTTTTCACCCCTTTATCTTCAATCTATATGTGTCTTTACAGGTAAAGCATGTTCCTTGTAGGCAACAGATCATTGGGTCTTTTTTTAATTTTTTTAATCCATTCAGCCATTCTATATCTTTTAATTGGATAATTTAGTCCATTTAACATTTCAATTTAGTCCATTTAACATTTCAATGTTATTATTGATAAATAAGGACTTGCTCCTGCCATTTTGTGATTTTTTTTTTTCCTGGTTGCTTTGTGGTCTCTCTTCCTTGGTTTCTTCCTTCCTATCTTTCTTTTAGTGAAGGTGATTTTTTCTGGTGGTATGATTCGTTTTTTTTTTTTTTTTTAATTTTTGTGTATTTGTTGTAATTTTTTAATTTGAGATTATCATGAGGCTTGTAATTACTATATTATAAATGATTATTTTAAACTGAAAACAACTTAACACTGATTGCATAAACAAACAACCAAACAGAAAACTAATAAAACCCTACACTTTTAACTTTGTTCCTCCACTGTTTAAAATTTTCTTGTTTCTATTTATATCTTATTGTACCTTCTCTGTCTTGGAAAGTTGTTGTAGTTCTTATTTTTGATTGGTTCATCATTTAGTCTTTCTACTTAAGATAATATTAGTTTACACATCATAATTATAGTGTTATAATATTCTGTGATTTTTTTTTCCTTCTGACTGAAAAACTCTCTAGCATTTCTTGTAGGATAGATCTGGTTGATGAAATCCCTCAGCTTTTGTTTGTCTTAGAAAGCTTTTATTTCTCTTTCATATTTGAAAGATATTTTCACTGGATATTCTATTCTAGGGTAAAAGTTTGTTGATGTTGTTTTTCTTTTCTTGCTTCAGCACTTTAAGTATGTCATGCTGCTCTCTCCTGGTTTGTAGGGTTTCCAGTGAAAAGTCTGCTGCCAGATGTTTTGGAGCCCAATTGTGTGTCTTTTTTTTTTTTTCTTTTTGCTTGCTGCTTTTGGGATCGTTTATCCTTAACCCTTGGGAGTTTCATTATTAAATGCCTTGAGATAATCTTTGGGTTCAATCCGCTTGGTGTTCTATAACCTTCTTTTACTTGAACATTGATATCTTTCCCTAGGTTTGGGAATTTTCTCCGTTATTATTCCTTTCAATAAACTTTCTACCTCTATCTTTTTCTTTACCTCCCCTTTAAGGGCAATAACTCTTAGATTTGTCCTTTGTTGTCTATTTTCTAGATCTTGTAGGTGTGCTTCATTCTTATTCTTTATTCTTTTGTTTTCTCTGACATCTTATTTTTAAATAGCCTGTCTTCAAGCTCATTAATTCTTTCTTCTCCTTGCTCAGTTCTGTTACTGAGAGACTCTGATACATTGTTCAGTATGGCAATTGCATTTTTTCAACTCCAGAGTTTCTGCTGTTTCTTTTTAATTACTTCGATCTCTTCATTAAATGTACCTGATAGAATTCTGAATTTCTTCTGTGTTCTCTTGTATTTGCTTGGATTTCCTCAAAAGAGCTATTTTGATTTCTCTGTCAGAAATGTCACATATCTCTATTTCTCCAGGATTGGTTTTTGGTGCCTTATTTAGTTCGTTTTGTAAGGTCATATTTTCCTGGATGGTCTTGATGGCTGTTGACGTTTGTTGGTGTCTGGGCATTGAAGAATTAGGTGTTTATTTTAGTCTTCACAAATTGGGCTTGTTCGTACCTGTTCTTGTGAAGACTTTTTACGTACTTGAAAGGACTTGGGTGTTGTGCTCTAAGCCATATCTGCATCAGGGTCCACCAAAAGCCTAGTAATGCTGTGATTCTTGCATACTCATTGTGGTACTGCCTTGGTGGTCTTGGGTAAGATCCAAAATCTTCTCTGGATTACCAGGCAAAGATACTTGTTCTCTTCCCTTATTTTCTCCCAATCAAATGGGGTCTCTGTGATGACCTGCCTGGAGTTGGGCATGAGGAGGCACAAGCAACCCTGTGGCCACAACCAGTGGGACAGCACTGGGTCAGAATTGAAGCTAGCACAGCACTGAGTCTCACCAAAGGCCCATGGTAACCGCTACCTGGCTACTGCCTATGTTTGCTCAAGGTCCTAGGGCTCTACTATCTGCAGGTGGTGAAGCCAGCTAGGCTTGTGTCCTTCCCTTCAGAGCAGTGAGTTTCCCCAGGCCTCAGGCAGATCCAGAGATGCCATCTGGGAGCCAGGAACTGAAGTCAGAAACCTTAGAAATCTACCTGGTGTGCTATTTTATTGAAGGTAAGATGGTGTTGAAACTGCAAGACAAAGTCCTTCCCACTCTTCCCTGTCCCTTCCATGGACAGAGGAGCCTCTCACTTTGGCAGACACACAGGGAGTACTGCCAGGCTAGTGCTGATGCTCCCATAGGCTAAAAGGCTCATCAGCGAGCTTATGGTAAATGCTGTCAGGCCTGGGATTCACCCCTCAGGGTAGTGGGCCACCCTCTGGTCCAGGGCAGACCTAGAAATACCATCCAAGAGCTAAGGCCTAGCATCTGAGACCCCAAGGGCCCACTTGGTGCTCTGTCCCACTGTGGCCAAACTGGTCTCTGAAGCCAGCATTTCTCAAAAATCTTACTCAAGGTCCATGGTGTAGTACCTGGGTATTGCTGTTGGTTCTTCAGTGACCAAGGGCTCTTTAGTCAGCAGGTAATTCATTCTTCCAGGACTAGGTCCTTCCCTTTCAGGGAGTGGGTTCCCTTCTGGCCCAGGGTGTTCCCTGATGTGTTATCTGGGAGCTAGTACCTGGAATGGGGGCCTCATGTCCCTACCACGGGGTGGGCTTATATTCAAGATGTAAGACAAAGTCCTCTTTACTCTTCCCCCTTTTCCCCTCAAGCAGAAAGAAGGAGTGACTTTTTTTTTTTTTTTTTTTTTTTTTCTGCAAGCTATATTGCCTGGTGTTGGGGAGGGGCAGTACAAACACTTCCTTAGCCGTCCTGGCTGGTGTCCCACATCCCCTGTCTCTGAGCCTAGGACTTGCCTAGCAATTACAGTCCTTATGGCCTAGAATGCCTTTCTAGTTTATTTGGCCATGGTGGCGAGGTTTGACATAACCCACGTTTCAACCGCTGGGATGGATAATTCTCCTCTAGCTAGGAGTGGTTTAAATGCTCCCTTTGTGTGTGGGCATTGGCTGAGTTTAGCCCAGTTCTGATTTTCACCATGACAGAGCAGTACTGAGTTCAGGGCAATGAGTTCAGCAGCACTGGGTTCCACAATCACTGTACTGTGTCTCCCCAGAGAACACATATTCTCCACGCCATGGAGGCCACTGCTTGAGGATGGGGGAGGAGTAGTATAAGCAGTTCAATACTGTCTTTTTTACCATCTTCAGTGCTTCTTGGTGATATGAAGTAAAACCAGGTAATGTGATTGCTCACCTGATTTTTGGTTCTTATGAAGGTGCTTTCTTTGTGTAGATGTTAAATTGCTGTTCCTGCAGGGGAAGGGAGGAAACTGGTGAAGGCTTCTATTTAGCCATGTTGGTCTGCCCCATCTGGAATGTTCTCTAGAATATTTAAACTTTAGGTTGTTGTCTACTGAGGCCTGATCTTTGTGCTTTATTATGAGGTCATTCCAAATAACAGCTGAAAAAAGAGATGTCACCTGTAATCTATCTTGTTACCTGAGGTTTCAATCTGATCTCCTTATAAGGCTTCCTCTTCCCAGTCTCCACTTGTTCTCATTTCAGCTTAGGTACACAAATAAAGTGGTTATTTCAACCCACAAGGATCCAAGTTATGACACTCTTGCTTATTTAGATTTTAGGCTACAAAAAATGAAAAGAAAAAAAAAAGTAAGAGGGCCAGGTGCAGTGGCTCATGCCTGTAATCCCAGCACTTTGGGAGCCCAAGGCGGGCAGATCACGAGGTCAACATGGTGAAACCCCATCTCTACTAAAAAAAAAAAACTCAGCCTGGCATGGTGGTGCATACCTGTAGTCCCAGCTACTTTGGAGGCTGAGGCAGGGGAATTGCTTGAACCTGGGAGGTGGAGGTTGCAGTGAGCCAAGATCGCATCACTGCACTCCAGCCTGGCAGCCTGGTGACAGAGCAAGACTCTGTCTCAAAAAAAAAAAAAAAAAAAAGAGTAAGAATTATGAATTGAAGATACTGGTGAGTCTTAGGCATTTAGAGAATTAGCATATTGAAGGAAACAACCTGGAGAGATAGGAGTAGTGGTTGGTGAGGAGGATGTTTCCATTGAGTTCTTAAATAAATAGCACTTATTGGTAATTAACAAGCATAGATCATAGCACTTATTGGTAATTAGCAAGCATAATATGATCATGTGAGTTTCTGAGGTATGTAGAGAACCATACATTGAAGAAGAGGACAAGCAGCTGAGAGGCCAGGACTGAAAGTCATCAGTGTGGATAATGAAATTACCAAGGATTTTGATGAGAGTGGTTGTGGAGAAATTATCATTAAGTCAGTCTCAGGGAATAAGTAGGGAGACTAACGAGTCTAAAAAAGGTTATAATTAGGGAGAAAGTTAGTGAGTACAACAAGAAGGGTTTGGAGAACCAAAGCCATAAAATTTTGGGGAAGTGGGAGGGAGAAAGAGCTTAGAAATGACTAGCAGGCCCTGTGACAGTTCTTGAGAAGTCAGATGGACACCTACTCCATGTCTAGGCCTTTGCAGGAAGAATGTAATAAAGAAAACAGCCACCACTTAAGAGAACATTAGGGAAAGCAGTATCCTTAGTACAGAGCCAGTTTCAATTAGTGAAAAATATTAATGAGAATGTCGAGACTAAAGATGTAGGAAGTTTCACCAAAACTGACCATGAGTTTCAATGAATTACCATGCATGGGTTCCAGGATATATATAGGGGTGTTATATAACTGAATGAAATTTGAGAGTGATGGTAACACATTTGGGGTTTAAATCCTAGAAACTCATTATGCAAACATAAGAAACTAGAAAGATTTGTATAACACTCTCTATTTCACAGAAATATATTCTAGAATGTGCAAGTGATTACTTGTTTGGGAATAATTGGATTTGGGAATATAATGATTTGATTGATGGTATTTTGCTTAACTGAGATTATCTACTTATAAATTAACCAACATTTAAATAATTAGCATACAATAAAATAGAATCATCAAAACTCTTTTAAGAATATTTTAATATTTTTATTCTATGTAAATCCATTGCTTTTCAGTTGATATTTTATATCCTAATTATTTGTGCATATTTTTAATGCAGAAGGGATAAGATGGGAGGGTGAGATTGACTCTACATTGATTAATAAATATAAGAAATAATTTTCTGAGAGAGAATGAGGGTTGTGTGTGTGTGTGTGTGAGAGAGAGAGAATGTGGGTGTGTGTGTGTGAGAGAGAGAGAGAGACAGAGAGAAAGAAAGAGAGAAGAGAGAGAGAGAGAGACAGAGACAGACACAGAAAGGAAAGTGGAAGAGATACCTTCAGGATGTTTTTGATTACTGAGCTAAGCAAGCAGTGAGTCACTTTTAGTAACAGAAAAGAGAAAGCTGGCAGCTACTGAATAGAGTCAGCTGGTTAGGTCAGTCAGTCAGAGAAAGAGAGGACGTCTAACAATAGCTGCCTATGTTACATGGCATTTGAAATTACTGAGATAAGAGGCCTTGGCAAATTACACCTTGGTTGCTTTATTTATTGATGGAAATAAAATATTTTATAGGAAGTAAATTGATAGTGAGAGTTTGGTATTCATTACTTTTAAAAAGGATAGACATGTCTTAGTGATCCAAGCTTAATTCACATCAAATGTGAGAATAAATAACTTCTGAACATATTATAAATAAAAAGTGAAGCCTAAGTGATGTTAGTTATTGTGATAGCTCAGACCAAATTGTACATAATTGTCATGAAGAAAGAAATTAATGTGTCAAATTATACTTCAATTTTGAAAAGCTCTTCAATGCTTTACCAAGATGCGTTTGAATAGTAATATCAGTTTTTCTGTGAAGTAATAGGTTAATCATTCAAAAAGGGAAACTTGAGCAGAGAAAAGGAAAAATTACAGACAGTGACAGACATGATTCAAACTGAAGTCCATTAAATGCCAACCCAGTGTTCTTTTAAAATTTTTTAAAAAGTATAAAAAATAACAAATTTTAAATAACTACTGCTTATGTACCTGGTGGTTTCAGAAAGTAATGAAATGAAGAAATTATGATTAAGAGAAACTTTGCATTTATTATGTAAACGTGAAAGATACGCATAAAGTATAGCTTTGGGTATATGCCACCAATTTCTGAGCCTTTACAGAAATTTGTGTGTCAAATATGCTTGTTTTTCATTATCTCCAACTTTTGCAGGTATTAAATTTCACGTACCTCTGATCTAAGTTATTTGTCACATGTGCATCTAATTTTCAACAAGAAAAGATTATTTTGATATATCAAAATGATCATTATATTTTTCCTTGTGTATTCATATTTTGTGCCTTTACAGCCACTTCAGTAGGAAATCAGGAATTATATATGCTGTTAGATCTGCTATATTTAATTCCAATATTTTAAAATATATAAATAACTTAAAATCATAAAACTACTAAAAAATGAAGAAAATGTTAAAATCTTGCAGTTTTATGCTTTTAATACATTAACCGAGATTCACAAATATAATTGTATATATTAACTATAAAAAGTATAATACAAATGAATGGGAAAAATCTCGAGAAAGAATCAAAAACAACTATTATATTTTTATTCATTTACTACATAATGATTCTACACATCCTATGTGACAGACTTACTGTACTTGGTGCCCTGGAGCATATGAAGATGGATTAGATGCTGATCCCTTCCTTCTAGGTGCATAAATTCCAATAAAGTAAATAATTCATAAGATAAATAAGCATAAGCTTGTTAGATAAGGAGCCATACATCAGAAAGTGATAGATAAAATGTTACAGGCATTTTGAAAAAAAAGGCATAGTTTCTTCTGGGGAATCTGGAGAGGCTTTTTGGAATATTTGGCATGAAGATGCTTATCAAAGGTTAGATAGTTTTTGGAGTTGAAGACAGTATCAAAGAGTGAGAGTTAACCCACCAACAAAGAGATGATAAAGCGAGTTAATTAAAATGCTGGGAACAGAAAAATAAGCTGAGTGGGAGAATCAGAGATGTGAAACAGAAAAAAAAACAAGGTTGGAAAATCGTTGGACTTTGTTCTGTAGGTGATGAGAATCTTTGAAGATTTTAAACAAGGCTGTGAGACAATAAGAGCTGTACATCAAGATTAGTTCTGTAAATATGGAATACTTTCCTAAGTGGGGCATTATTTTTGAAAATTTTAAAAGTAAAAAGAAGGAATTTAAATAAATAATAGATAGATTAGATGGAGAGATAGATAGTTTATATCTCCTTACCTGCAGCAGAAGCCACTGAGTCACAAAGTTCTAGGAACATTTAAAAATTAATCAAGAAAAATTGTTGGAGAGTGAATGAAGACTAGGCAGAGATTGGGCAAGCCCTATAAGTCTGCAGTCTTAGCAGGAAGAACCCACTTTATTCTGTGTTTCATCTCTGGAATTTCCAGCAGGTTCTCATAGTAAATCTCTGAGAAAGATTCCTTCTTGGTTCTAGCAGGTGGAGGGGAAGAGTAATCATGGCTAAAAACACTTAGAATATTCTCCACAACAAGACTTAGTTTCCAGTAGAAAAGACCTTATAAGAGTTGCGTCACAGGTCTGGGATAAAGGCATTCCTGCCGCTAATAGATACTCTAGGTTTTCTGTCACACCTAAGATAAGGTGTTAGGAAGGAAGCTATACCACAGGGGACACATTTATGAAGGTCACAGGCCAGAGACACAAGCACACTAAAAGATTAAGGTTAATTATGCATTATTTAGTTTGCTGTTTTTGTGTTAATTTGCTTAGAATAATGGGCCCCAGCTGCATCCATGTTGCTGCAAATGACATGATTTGATTCTTTTCTATGGCTGCATGGTATTCCATAGTGTATATGTATCACATTTTCTTTTTCCATTCCACCACTGATGATCACCAACATTGATTCCATGGCTTTACTATTGTGAATAGTGTTGTGATGACATGAGTGTGCATGTCTTTTTGGTGAAATGATTTGTTTTCTTTTGGGTATATACCCAATAATGAGATTTCTGGGTCAATAGGCTCACTACCTAGGTAACAGGAACAATTGTACCCCAAGCCTCAGCATCATGCAATATATCAATGTAAGAAATAACAAATCTGCACATGTACCCCTTGAATTAAAAATTAAAGTTGAAATTAAAAAAAATTAATTGTAAGGTGGCAGATAGCTTCTACTCCACACATCTTACCATGACACCCATAAGACTCCAGTAGAATAATAATAGTAGATTACAGTGAAAAGCAATGTAAGACACAGATTTTTTTCTGAGGAGCAGTATTAACAGAAGCCTAATGTCAAGAAAAGAGAAAAAAAAATGAAGATACTAGAGAAGATTTACTGATATACCAAGACAGGTAATAAAATGAATCATATAAAATACTCAAAACTTGAGAATATAAGTTCTCAAATAAAACTGAGAAGGCAGAAAACAAGAGGTTTAAAGAAAAATGACATGAACAAATAGAAAGCAGTTATTTAAATGTTAGATATTAACCCAAAGCCCAACTATATGGTGGTTCCTAGAAACTCAAATATAAATATATAGATAGGTTAAAAGTAAAGGAATTAAAAAACACATGACATGCTAACTCTAATGAAAATAAAATAAGAGTAACTATATATTAATTTTAGATAAAGTCACCTTCAGAATAAATAAAATTATTAGGGATAGAGGGGGGCATTACACAATGATAAAGAGATCAATTTTCTAAGAAGACATAACAATACTAAACATGTATGTACCACACAACAGTGTCAAAACATGTAAGGCAAAAACTGATGGAACTGAAAAGAGAAATAGATGTATCCATTACTATAGTTGAAGATTTCAACCTTCCTCTTTCAGTAATTGATATATCAAGCAGGCAGAAAATCAATGAAAATACAAATGAATGTACAATAGTATTAATCAACTTGATGTAATTTACATATTTAGAATACTACATCAAGGAACAGCAAAAAAACACATTCTTCTCAAGCTCATATGGAATACTCATGACAACAGACTATACTCTGGACTAAAAAACACAACTTATCATACATTTAAAAAATAAAAATAATTGAAAATATGTTCTCAGAGTATAACAGAATTTATTATAAATCAGTAACAGACAGTTAGTTGGAAAAATCCCCAAATATTGAGGGACTAAAGAACACACTTCTAAATCACATATGGGTCAAAGGAGAAGTATCAAGATGTTTAAAAAATAATTAGATCTAAATTAAAAAATGAAGTTACAACTTACCCAAATTTGTAGGATGCAGCAAAAGAAATGCTTATAGGGAAAGTGATCATGCTGAATATCTATGTCATCAAAGATAATTCTAAATTCAAGAATCTAAGTTTACACCTTAGAAAAATTCGAGAAAGTATTGTATTCTATTCTCTGACTAATCCTAAAGTAAGCAGTAGAAAAAAATAACAACTGCTTTTAAAATAAAGTTTATTAAAATATAGTTTGCGGGATTTTGATTTTGATTGCACTGAACCTGCAGACAAAAATGACAATAATTGGCATCTGAATGATATTGAAGCTTCCTATCTATGTACATGAAATATCTCTCCATTTATTCAGGTCTTTTTATGGTGTTCTTCAGAGATTTATAGTTTTGCACATAGAAAGCCAATAGCTATTTTGTTAGATTTATGCCTAAGTATTCCATTGGTTGATAATATTGCAATTGGTTTTTTTTCTTTAGAATCAAATTCTTATTGTTCCTTGAAAGTATACAAGAAAGCCAGTAACATTTGTATATTATCCTTGTATGCTGTGTTTCCTTGCATTCTTGCTTATTAGTACCAGGAATTTTTATTTCATTGCATTTACTAATAAAACAGTCATGCTTGTTCTTTCTTTTTAGAAGGTCATTAATTATTAAAATAATTATACACATAAGTGCACATATATATATATATATTCAGATTTTTAAATTTCCTCATGCAAGTTTGGGAGGTTTATGTCATTCACAGAACTGAATCATTTTGACTAAGTTATAAATTTTGTGAGTACAGAGTCCTTCATACTATTTGTTTATTATCCTTTTGATGTCCATGGGTGAGTAGTAATTGATTCCTCTTATATTTTGATATTGGTAACTTCTTCTTTCTCTCTCTCTTTAGTTACTATGGCTACAATTTTATTTTTCAAATAACATTTAGGTGTTAATTTTATCTACTGTTTCCATTTTGAATTTCATTTCTGCTCTAATTTTTGTAATTTGTTTCTACTGCTTGCCTTAGGATTAGTCAGAGAATAGAATACAATATTTTCTCTGGTTTTCCTAAGGTGTAAATTTAGATTATTGAATTTAGAATTATCTTTGATGACATTACTGTTATTCAATATCCTACTGGTACAATAAGACAAAATAATAGAATAAAAAAAGAAGTGAAAGTTATGTAGATTCACAAGGAAGAATTAAAACCATCTGTGATGGTTCATTTTATGTGTCAGCTTGACTAGGCCAGAGGGTTCCCAGATATTTGGTTAATCATTATTCTAGGTGTGTCTGTTAGGGTGTTTCTGAATAAGATTAACATTTGCATGATAAACTGAGTAAAGCAGATTGCCCTCCTCAATGTGGGTGGGCCTTATCTAGTTTGTTGAATACCTGAATAGAATTAAAGGCTGAGTAAGAAAGAATGCCTTCCTCTGACTGACTGTCTTCGAGCTGAGAGTGGTCTTTCTCTGCCTTCAAACTTGGATTCAGACTGGAACTTATACCATTGTCCCACTCAGACTCAAACTGCATCAATACCATCGGGTCTTCTGGGTCTGAACTTCTAAGGTCCATAATCACGTGAGCCAATTCCTTAGAATAATCTCTTTCTCTCTGTGTCTTTCTCTATGTACATTATTCTGGAGAACCCCGAATAATACATTATTTTTGTTATTCTATGACAATGTCTTGTATATAGAAAATACATATGAATCTAATAACAGTAATGAGAGAAGACATAATTTACTTTGTTTCTGATCTTAAAAGGAAAGTGTCTAGTTTCACATCATTAAGTATAATACTAACTCTCGCGTTCCTGTGGATATTATTTATCAAGTTAAAATGTTGACTTCTATTCCTAGTTTGCTCATAATGAGCAAATTCACATTATGAATATAATGGCTGGCTTTGTCAAATATTTATTCAGCATTAATTGATATGATTGTTAGATTTTTTTCTCTTTACTTTTTGATATGGGTGGATTACATGGATTGATGTATGAATTTTGAACAAGCTTGTATACCCAGAATAAATTTCATTTTGCCAGGGTATATACTTATTTTATATGTTGTTGATTTTTACTTGATAATATTTAGTTGAGTGATTTTACACATATGTTTATTAGTGTGTATGTGTAAATTTATTAATACAATGAAAAGAGCTCAACAGTGAGCAGGAAGAAAATAATGTGTGTATATTATATTTTAAAAATATTTTTACATTTTTGCTCATGCAGTACCTCAGCTGATAGTCCTCTGTCTTCTTATAATTTTTCTGAATTATTGTATTTTTAATTTTAATAAATGGTCTCCTTTCACATGTATTGTCACATGTATTATACTTGATATTAAATACAAAATATTTGCAGGGAGTTTAAATTTACCTCTATTTTATATTTACCAAAAATCTGTTACTGAAAGTTAAGTCACTGTGGCAGATGCAGTTTAAGAAAACTATGGATTTATTCTAGCCCAAGAATTCTTAGTCTATTTACTCTGTACATGCATGCTATAATATGAGGTAAAGGCACATAAGTTTGGAAGAAATCAGAATGGGCTTAATAGAAGAGTCATCATTTGACATAGACCAAAGATTGCATATTGAGTTTCCTCAAGGATCTAGAACCAGAAATACCATTTGACCCAGCAATCCCATTACTGGGTATGTACCCAAAGGATTATAAATCGTTCTACTATAAAGACACACACACACTTATGTTTATTGCAGCACTGTTTGCAATAGCAAAGACTTGGAACCAACCCAAATGCCTATCAATAATAGACTGGAAAAACAAAATGTGGCACATATACACCATGAAATACTATGCAGCCATTAGAAAAGGATGAGTTAATGTCCTTTGCAGGAACATGGATGAAGCTGGAAACCATCATTCTCAGCAAACTAACACAGGAACAGAAAACCAAACACCATATGTTCTCACTCATAAGTGGGAGTTGAACAATGAGAACACATGAACACAGGGATGGGAACATCATGCACCGGGGCCTGTCAGGGGATGGGGGGTTAGGGGAGAGAGAGCATTAGGAGAAATACATAATGTAGATGACGGGTTGATGGGTACAGCAAGCCACCATGGCACATGTATACCTATGTAACAAACCTGCATGTTCTGCACATGTATCCTGAACTTAAAATAAAAAAAGACTCATAAAATTAAGGGATATATTCTGTTAATTGGTTATCAATATGTATTGATTATTGGGGAATTGAGTAATTCCCCAAGCAAACAAAAGGATTCTAAGATTTGCAATGTAATTATGGTGCAATATGGCATGTGCAATAAATAAAAGTAAATAACAGCAGTAGTGCATTGTAATGGAGGCAACATCTCCAAGTTGCAAGAATTAAAGTGGGTGATGTTGATAATAAGAAAATACTAAAATGACTGAAAAGAATTAAAATTAACCACTTAATCATTCAAAATTATTCAGAATTTCTCTATCATTTTCATTATATAATATTTTATAGAACTTACAAAGTATTTGGCAAAAGGAAAAATGAAATGCATAGACAAATGAAAAACTCGCTATTATTTATTTGACATTATAGGAAGTATAAAAAGTGACAAGGTGGAACACATTTTGCATCAGGGAAATTTTCAGAGTTGGTGAGTGTAATAATTTTGGGAGCTTGTTTAATTTTTCATTCAAGCCTTTGAATGGAAAATTTTCTCTATTATTCTTCACTGTTGGACATTTTACAGCTTCTCAGCATTTTCCTCAGTATGTGGAGAAATTAAGTTAAAAGGACATAGACTTTGCCACTGTGTAGAACAGAATAGAAAGTTTACAAATTACTGATCAAGACATGGAAAGATCTGTCTAAAATTCATATTTCGGATATTCTGGTAATTTATATTCTCCAAGTTATCATTGTTCTCAATTTCTACGAAGAATGTAGAGTTACCTAAATAAAAGGAAGATCAAAAGCAAATCACTGCAAGTTTCAAATACATTTTATCAAATCAGATCAATGCAATAATTCAGAGGAGAGAGAACTGAAAGAAAGGCACTAAGATAAAATAAGAATGCTTGCCAGGAGCGTGTGAGGTGATCAGGGAGCAGGTTGGGACCCTTCGTTACAGAAGGAAATCAGGAGACAACCCAGAAGGCACATCAAAGAGGATTTGTTTATGTTTGTGATACTAATGGGGAAATCCCTTGGACTAGAGATTAACGTTTTCTGGGTCAGAATGCACTGTTCCTCACGGCACAGTCCCTCACAGCTTCCCTTGGCTAGGAGAGGGAGTTCCCCGACCCCTTGTGCTTCCTGGGTGAGGCGACACCCCACCCTACTTCAGCTTGCCCTCTGTGTGCTGCACCCACTGTCTAACCAGTCCCAGTGAGATGAGCTGGGTACCTCAGTTGGAAATGCAGAAATCACCCACCTTCTGCATTGATCTCTCTGGGAGCTACAGACCAGAGCTGTTCCTATTCCGCCATCTTGCCAGCCAACCCCTGGTGGAAGGAGGAGCAGGCACTTATTTTCACAAGGCAGCAGGAAAGACAGAGATATTTTTTATTCATAATATCCATTTTTTCACTTACTGCCTTACCATTGTCATTGCAGGGGAAGAAAAACTTACATAATTTCATTTTGAATATTATTTGGCAAAAATATAGATTATAAATTATTGTTCATAGGACATAAGGATTTAGAAAGTGAGTAGAGGGAGAAATGATTCATGGGGATTTTCCACTTTCTTTATCCCTTAGGATTTCATTATTTGGCCACAGTATTACAAAAATTAAACCTTTTCTATTATTCTCCAGGATTCATTAGAATGCACATTTGTTTCTGATGATGACACTGCATATGACATGTAAAAAGTTGTGTCCAACACGGTATTAAATAAATTATATCCTAATGAGGGAGCAGCAATTTTCATATTTTAAATTATATATGAAGAGATACAGTATTAACATTTAAATATCAATATATAATCTAGAGAGTGATTTTACATATTTTTAAAAACCTGCTGATATTATCACCATTTGCAAATGAGGAAATTAAGCTTTGAGAGTGAATATAACTTTGTCACATAATTAATAATTTGTAGTGTCGTAATTCCATGCTGATCTTCAAAATCTCTGATCCTACATATATTGAACAGTTCATTATGAAATAATAATGTAGCATGTTATTAGTACTTGTAATCAGTTCATTGTTAATAATATGCTATTTTTGTTATACCATGTAGGTATTTAAATATTTCAAAGTCCTTTAAAATAAGTGAAATATAATTTTTTATTTGGTGTCTAAGCCCAAAGGTGGTCAGAGAGGCATCCAGGGCTAGCTGTTAGGGGACAACTTGCAGTAGTTCAGTGTGAAATGCTTTAAACTATGATGTTTCTGTTGTACTTAGCTATCATTAAGTATTTGGCCAAGTCTGCACTAATAGGATGTAGCCATAGCAATGAAAATATTTTTATTTGATTATAATTGGATCATTTTGATTACTTGTTAAACTTTTAAAGACAGTATGTCCTGATTTCTACTTAGCTCTCTCAATTTCTTAGATCTGCATTATTTGTTGGAACAATGTAATGTTAGTTAATATTGGTTAATTTTGTTCTTTAAGCCATTCAACTATACTTGGAAAAAAAAAACAGGTTAGTAAAATAGTTTTCAAAATATTCATGTCAGCTGAGCTCGGTGGCTCATGCCTGTAATCCCAGCACTTTGGGAGGACGAGGTGGGTGGATCACCTGAGGCCAGGAGTTTGACACCAGCCTGACCAACATGGAGAAACCCCATCTCTACTAAAAATACAAAATTAGCTGGGCATGGTGGTGCATGCCTGTAATCCCAGCTACTTGGGAGGCTGAGGCAGGAGAATCACTTGAACCTGGGAGGCGGAGGTTGTGGTGAGCCGAGATCTCGCCATTGCAATCCAGCCTAGGCAGCAAGAGCAAAACTCTGTCTCAAAAAAAAAAAATAAATCCATATCTACTACTGTTGCCTCAGAAATTAAAAATATTACATGCTAAAAATATTTAGAGACTTCACCAAAGAGGGCATAAAAATGGCCAATCAGCACATGAAAAGTTGATCAACATCATTAGTCACTGTGTAAATGCAAATTAAAACCAAAATGAAATACCACTATACATTATTAGAATGACCCAAAAAATGGGGTGAAAAGAAAAAAAAAGACAATGCCAAGTGCTGATGAGGGTGCAGAGCAATTGTAATTTTTACACATTACCCCTGGGAATGTAAAATGGTACAACCAATTTGGGAAGCAATTTGGCAGTTTCTTACAGTTAAACCTACACATACCGTATGACTCAGCAGTCCTACTCATAAGTATTTATGCATAAGAAATAAAAACATATGTCCACACAAAACTTGTTATAAATATGCATAGCACTTTGGTTCGTAATTACCCCATACTGAAAACTACCCAAATGTGCAGCTGCCGAAAGGATACCCAAATTGTTGTACATACAGACAATGGAATATTACTCAGCAATAAAAAAAAACCCAGACTACTGAACATTACCACAATATGGATTAATCCATACTACGGGAAAGAGCAAGGATTGAAAAGCTGTGTACTCCATTATTCCATTTGTATAACATTTGAAAAAGACAAATCACTGGGGGAAGAAAACAGATCAGTTTTCACAAAGGCCTGAAGATAGAGGATTTACTATAAAGGGATATGAAAGAACTTTCTCAGGTGATGGAACTGTTCTATATCTTGTTTGTGGTGATATTTACATGACTGTATATATTTGATACAACCCACTGATGTGTACATCTAAAGGGAGAAATATGACATGCATAAATTAGACCTCCCATAAAATTGACATAAATTTAAAACATATATCATTTTTTTAAAAGTCTGATTTGTGGGGTTAAAAATTCCCCAATATACTGGATATGTGTATTTTGGGCTGAAGCTGTCAAGGCCTTAACTTTAGATTTTGTATAAAAGCCATATAAATTTTCAAAAGTAACCAATCACAGAATAAAGAGTGTACAATTGTCATATCAGTGCACGGGCTAAAAGAATTAGAAAACAGAGCAAAAACTGATATTTTTAAAATTCAGGGAAAAAATTAGAAAATTAAATTTAAAGAGTAAGATAGAATATCTTAACTCATGCCACTTCCTCTGGGAAGCCATCTCTGGACATACTATGTGAAATTGCTACATCCTAGACATTCTTAGTCTTCTGTATTTTCTTGTAGTTTTTGTTTGTTTGGTCGGTTGTTGTTTTTTTATTAACAGTTGTATTATCTCAAATGGCATGTAGAAATACATGTATTTATATATATATGTACACACACATATATATAAACTTATTTTTAATCTTTATTTTAAGTTACATATCAGATTTGTCTATTGTTTTTCATTTATAGAATACCAGCACCTCATAACTAAGTGCAGTTTCAATATGTATATGCTGACCTAATGAATTGATGAATTATTGAACATAACAAATAAGCTTGGTTTTTGACATATGCAATAACCACATCTATGATGAAGAATGATTGATTAGTTCTTTATTGTATGGGAACATATGTGAATGACTAAAAATAAACCAAGTATTTACAACTTGTTTAGTACAATTACAAGGTAGGATTCATCATCGAATGTAGGTACTAGCTACTATAAAATGGATTTTTTTATAGTATACAAAGTTTTAATACTTGCATTGGCCTTAAAAATGAGCAGCCAGGCATGGTGGCTCACGCCTGTAATCCCAGCACTTTGGGAGGCCCAGGAGGGCCGATCACGAAGTCAAGAGATTGAGACCATCCTGGCCAAGGAGGTGAAATCCCATCTCTACTAAAAATACAAAAGTTAGCTGGGCATGGTGGCACACACCTGTAGTCTTAGCTACTCGGGAGGCTGAGGCAGGAGAATTGCTCTAACCTGGGAGGCGGTGGTTGTAGTGAACCAAGATCATGCCACAGCACTCCAGCCTGGTGACCAAGTGAGATTCCATCTCAAAAAAAAAAAAAAAAAAAAAAGTTTTCATAGGTGTTATTTGCAAGACAACCTACACTTTCTCCATGTTTGGAAACAGAAAGTAATTCAAGACTGGTGGCCTTGCACACCAGGTTTCTGAGAAAAGATTAAAACCCTAATGCAGTGATTCTCAGTGTGGTACTGACCACAATGGCATCAGCATCATCTGAAACCTTATCAGAAATGCAAATTCTGAGGTTTAACCCAAGACCAGCTTACTGCACCTCTGAAGGTTGAGCCCAGAAGTTTATGTTATAACAAATTTCTATGTAACCAGAAATCCATGTTATAGAAGGCATCTATTGTATGTTAACTTTTCTCCTATGCATCTAGAATAGTACTTGTTATATATCATCCTGCGGAAAAATTAAGAAAAGAGCCATCTTTACTTTTGCTTCTAAGATTTTTTTTTTCAGGAATAATTTCTCTTATTTCTGATAGACACAGCTCATAAACTCTCTTAGTGTCAGTATATTGGTGGTATATGTTATCAGCGTTTGCTTATCTACTACCATCTTTTTCTGGTTCCATAAAAACAACAGCTAAAAAAAATCTATACCTACATCATTGATTTTATTAAGCACAATTCTGATAGCTAAAGGCAGAAGGCTTTTATTTAGATTATAAATAAATGATGTTTTGAAACAATGTGTACCAGAATTCTATCCTGATAGTCCATTTTAGCTCCCTAGTATGTGGGAAGTAAATGAAACATGAGGAAATGAAATATCTTCCATGTCAATAATGGTGTTTACTTTATATGTGATAACTTGAAATAAATTCAATAACTTTAGGCGATTTACTGCAGGAGCAATCTCAGATAGCATGTACTCACCATCAAACAGTTCTAAATGACTCTGAACGATTCCTAACATCTATCTTATGGTGAAATGTTGTAAGAATTGTTTAAGCACCTAGGAGGAAAAGGAACAGATATGTTCTGGGGATAAGATTTGTGGAAAAGTATGCTCTGTTGTCACTAGTATAAGAAAAAGTAAATTTTCTATCAGTGGTTCTTACTGTAACGTCAATATATTTGTTACAAATGTCAGAATAATTGCGTTCTGTATTTCAAGAGAGTAGTGATGACACATGTTTTGAAATTCTACATCATAATATGATAGTTAGGAAAGCAGAAACTGAGGATTCTCTGCCTAGTTTCAAATTCTGGCTCTGAAATTTATAAGCTCTGTGGTCTTGGGCATGTTCTTTATGGAACAGCTATGTTTCAGTTTTCTCACTTATAGAAAAGAAGTTATAGTAACAACTGTACCTCATAGAGTTATGATTATTAAATGAGTAAAAAATTTTAAGTTACTACAAACACTGCCTGGTACAGAGTAAGCATTATCTAAGAAATAAAATTATTTGCCGACAAATTATTTAGATCATTTTGTTCAAAGAAATATGTTTTGTTTATATTCTTATAGATCCAGGTAGGCCAAGTACTATAGTCTGCTATTCCTGCATCATGATTGCTATCTGGGCGGTCTACTCATTAATATTCATTGTCAAGTCCCTAAACTACCTTTACTTATCCATTTCTGAAGATGGTGAAAAAATACTATACTTGAAAAAGTTTAAATTTGTAATCTCATTAATTCAATGATCAAATATTTCTCAGTCAACTGTTTTGTGCGTTGTGCTAAAGGCTGTAGAGGCTATATAAAGAATGAGCCTTGGTTGTTTTTAGGGAGCTTTTGGCTCTGTTGAGTAAAGTAGATATTTATATAATATAGCAGAAGTAGAAAGTGAATATTTTCATCTGAAACAGGGAAAAATACAATGACAGTTTAATGACCCTTCCTCTGGGCTTGGAAGAATAAAAGTGTTGATTGTAGCAAAAATGCTGTGAAATAAACATTATCATTATTCCCATTTAACAGTTGTAAACAGAACAAATCTGAAATTTCAAGGTAACTTTCCTCAAGCCACAGAGCCCGTCAGTTAGCAGAACCCAGAACCATGTTCAGACTCATCTGATTCCAAAGCCAGATCCTTTTTAGTCTACTTCTTAGGTAAAGGGATGACAGAAATAAGATCTATCTGAACTTCCACTATCAGCATCCTTTTGTTTTAACTTCTCTTGTGTTTGAGCTATTGATCGTTAGTGAGTGGACAGTATGTTAGTCTCACTTTAATAAATGGATTTTATTATATGAAGCTATGATGTAATTAAAATGTGGTTCATTTTGCAATAACAAAACAAGGACTAAAATTAATGTCTTCTGATGAACTATTATAGTTAAGTATATTATTTCCCACAGATTTTCAGAAAACATTAAAATCAATAAGCTAAGTAAAATTTCGCTATTTTATTATCAAATAATTTTATTTTTATGACATTTAAAAAGCTTATTTGTTGAAAAATGGTTGAAACAGATAAAGAACATAACCCCATGAATACATTAGTGAAGAACTGTAAAAAGAAAGTTTCCACCGATAATTTACTTTCTCATAGCCTAGTAGGTCAAATATCTTATTCTGTTCTTCCCACATCACCATTGTAATCTGGGTAGTTTATCCCAACAATGGATGTTTATTATTAAGTACCCATAATATATCATGTGCTGTGTTTGACATAAATACCTATATCATAATGAGATGTCATTTCTGTTCTGGGAACTTAAACTGAATACAAATATATATTACTTCTACTTTGAGGTGGTATGGACTTACCATCTTGCCAAATAAGTTGCCATCTGTACAGGGCCTTATAAAAATGGACTGTATTTCCCCAAGTAAAAATGATGAAGGAAAGTTTTACAGAAACTCAGTATAGCACAGCATGAAAATCCAGTCATTCCTAGAATGTATATTTAGAATGATTCTCTTCTCTTTTGGCTATGACACATCTTCCATCATGACGCTAGATTCCTCTTTTCAAACGATGAATTTCGCCACATGGCTCTCCCTCATTAAAAGAAAAATTACCTCCCATTGAAAGGAAGGAAGCAGATATTTCAAATGAGTATTGTTTGATTCCAAAGTCACCAAATTCATGACCTCTTAAAAATGGTCATGGAAAGAACATTGAAACTGGAGACAGAGGTCCTGGAATAAATTTAACTTTCATTTTTTAACAACCAATATGACCTTTCTGGGCACCTGCCAGAGATCAGTCCAATTTGATAAGCAATTTAATAGCTAAGGAAAAAAGTCTGTTTGGGCATTTTTTTTTCTCTCTTTTCATTTTTTCTCTGCTCTATAAAGTCTTTTCCCTTCCAAGATAAGCATCTCAAATTCCTATAGTCATTCCTCAAAGGACATTTGTGTTTTTTTTTTTTTTCTAGATTCAACTATCAGACAAGGGAGGAATGAACTGGGGTTATTACTTCCTTTGATCCCAACATTTTGCTTGCCTGAATTAGATGACATTAGAGTTTTTATCCAGATCACTATTAACTGTGTCAAATGGTTTGCTCATATAAGCTTCCAGTCAAGTGAACCCATCACCCTGGATCCCTCTGGACAAAAGTAGAGGGAAGGGATCAAAAACAGATTCTTCAATTAATAAGCCTCCCACTGTCAAACTGAATTTCCAGGGGCTGTTTGTACCTACAAGACTTTTTATTATATAATGGGTTTCTATGTATGATTGCTCTCATTTTTAATATATTTATAAATCACATTGTCGTCTAATTTAACCTTTTAATGTGAAACTTAAAAATATTATTCTTGATGGTTATTAATAATCAATGTGTAGTTTATATTTACTTTCATTCTAACTTTCACCAAAGACACCAAGATGTAAATTGAACTCTTAGGAGGGTGGGCACCTCAGATACCTAAGCTCCTTTAGTGTGGATCCCTCCCAGACTTCCCACTTCCTATGATAGGAAATTTAGAATAATTTCAAGACCGAAGGCAGTACTAGTCATCACTATGACCTTTTCGGCTACACTCCACATACATAAGGGCTGTTGCAAAAGCAGCTGTCAAGACAATGTTTCTGGACTATGCAAGTTCTATCTAGATTTCCATTGACATCAGTGTATTTGCCTTGGGGCTGTGCAGTGACATTGAGTATCAATGGTGAACTTATTCTCAGAGAAGAAAAAATATAAAAGAGAGAAATATACAGAAAAGGAAAATATTGCAGAGAAACTGAACTTAAAAAAAGAAAAAATATGCAATAGTTTCTTATGGTAGAACCAATGTTATTATGTACATTTCCTGTTTGGAGGTTGACAGAGATTATGATTTCCAGCATATTCAGGCAATGATCAACTATATCATTTTTTCTGGTTCACATTTTCTCATGATATGGCCTATATCTTTTAATAACTTTTAATATATAATAAATTGAGAGACCTAATATTAGGTGCTCTTGTACATGTATGTTAGCAACACATATTCTCATAAACCATGAAATTTGAGACTAATTATTATACTGTGCTTATCCTCTTAAGTTTCAAACATTGCAAACCAAGGATTATTCTCCATATTTTACATGACCTTGAAAAACACCTGACCTTTCTGCTAAATAGTCACCCAAGTTACTGACATTTCATATCAATAAAAAGTTTTCAGTTAGCCTACCCAGGCGATGTACCATTATTTAACATTTTGTGATCTTGGTAGAAAAATGTAACATAACAATTTAGGTTTAAAAGCCCTGAAGCTAAAGAAACTAATTTCTAAGACTTCAGTGTTATAACTGATGTTCAGGAACTATGAACAAAGAAAATTAATAACTTGTATAAGTTTCTATAATCCTCTCTTGTTATCCCTATCTTTCTGAAATTCATATAAATTTTATCAATGGGTTTCACATCATTCATGCAGACTCAATACTCTGCTGAATGATATAACCTAGTTTGACCACAGCATTTCAAGTAGACAATTATACTAGCAAAAGTCCTAAACTAAGCCTGCCCCTGAAAGTAAGTATAAAATGAACCTGAAATGAAAGGTCATACTTAGTTGTCTAAACAAAATGACAATACAGTCCTTCACACAGCGGAGCAGTCTGCATGGAGATACCAGGTTGTACACTCAGCTATATTGTAGATAGAAGCACTGGGAAAGGAAAGGCCACGTCAGTGGGCTTCATCCAGCCACAGGGACACTTAGAGTTGAGCAAGTTGAATTCGTTATTCACTGCAGCAAGAGAGAATGCACATGGTGGGGAACTGTGGGGCATCTCAGTAGGAGCAGATGACAACCTGACACAGGATTTGGGCTTGGTTGGAGGAATCTTAGGGAAAGTCTGAGGAAGTAGAGGTTTGCTTTGGGTTGGGTGTCGACAGAAATTTTGTGGCAATTCTATGACTAGCTATCTCAATACATCTTGTCTGTAGGAAGAACAGCCTAGGGCAACCATAAAGCTGTAATTAGTTAAGAAGTACCACTCATTCATTGTGTGAGGGGGGCTCTTTGGTATTTTGAAGTTTTTACAACGACGTTGTCTGAAATGAATGTTCTTTAAGATTGTTAATATCCGACAGGAGAACATTATGGCTTATCTGTGAACCCAAGAATTATAAAATCACAATGGGCCTGAGCTGTGAAGTCAGATCAGTTTCCGGTATCACGGTTGGCCTTTCTCTCTCTCTCTCTTTCTCTCTCTCTCATACCCATTCTCTCTCTTTATTACTCTCTCACCCCTCCCTCTTCCCTTCCTTCCCTCCCTCTGTCTTCCCTCCCTCCCTCTGTCCTCTCTCTGCCCCTTCCTTCCCTTCCCTCCCTCCCTCCCTCCCTCCCTTCCTTCCTTCCTTCCTGGAAGAAAAACCTCCAACATGGCAGTCTTTTGAGATTTGTGTTACAACTAAGAACTGAACAAAGATCAAGGAAGGCTGTAGGTCCCTGACCCCACAACCTCACCAAGACATGAGAATAAGAAAATCTTAGTCTAAATTCATCCAACTTCATTTTAGTAAACAAGCATAAAACAGTCATATTGCCTGCTCGTATGTCCTTGAGTATCTTTCCACAGATATTCCTCATAACTATGAAACTCTGTTGTTGAAGTCCCCAAAGCAGTCACGGACAATATGTAAACAAATTACAACACAACTTTATTTACAAACAGACAATGGCCAGTTTTGGCCTGCCAGCAGTAGTTTACAAAACTCCCATGTAAAGGCAAAACCAACTGATCTTCTGGTCATATTGGGCAACTTCTGTAAAAGATTTGGCATAAAACCAAACAGATCACACAAGGGGTTTGAGGCTCACACTTTTTCTATCCAACCATATGACTAACTTATACTACATAATTAACTACCTTTCTTGTGCAGATTTCTATGACATGAATATTGATTCCTGACTAGGGGATTTCAAATGCTAATTAATCAAGTGCTAAGCACCTTTTAAACATAAGTTGCACACATGTGCTTCAAACTCTTCATACCAAAGTATTTAAAGAAAATTATCACTCAGATGATGTATTTGTGAGATTTGGGTTTGTCAGAACAGAGATTCACTTGGGTACCCTAAGTATTGGATATTGAGTGTGAGGATGCATGTGTTGATAAGAGACATGCATGAAGAATTCATGGGAGGAACAAAACTGTACTACAGCTTGACATTAGGAAGGCTGGAATGAAATGCCATTCAGGAGATGAGACAGAAGTTGGCCAGTTCTTTTGGTTTCCTCCTGTATCTTAATAAGACTCACTTCTGCTTTCCCTACTCCTATTACCTTATCCATTCTGTATCTATATATTTTCTCCTTCACAATTTCATATTAGCTGTAGATTTTGCTTAGCCATCCCTTGACTTTCTCCTATTTTTGGCTCCCTCCTTGCCTCTCTCTTTCCCAAGGTATTTCCACCTGCTGATGTTGCTACTGAATCGTTAGTCATTCACAGAGTTCCCATTTGAATTCTCCAGACAGAGATTTTAATGACAACTTAATCCTGTTGTAAAAGTATTTTTCCATCCTTGGTTTTGCTTTTCCTTTTTGGTGGGGTTGTGGCAGAAATATCTAAATTGTGTGTCAGTATTGTCTTTATTTCATATTAACTACACATGAACATAATATGCATGAGTGAGTGAGTGAGTATATGAATGGAGAGTTGACTCTCTACAATGTTAACAGGAGAGCCACTGACTTTTTTTCCTTTTAATATTATTTCATAGTAAAAAAAGAAGACATCAACACTTTATTTACTGAAAGTGTGTTAAATGCCAGCAATTGTGCTTGGTGTATTTATGTGTTCCATGTAGTAATATCTTCAAAGCCCAGCAAAGGTGATATTATTCACAGTTTTTCAGTTGAATAAATTGAAGCTAAAAGTATATAATTTTTTCAGTGACCTTCACCAGTTAGTTGTTGAGCTAGAACTTTTACCTGTCTGTATTATTTCTAGATTTTCTGCTATGCCATGCTGCCTCAAAAGCCAGCATAAGAGCAAAAACAGGGATTTATCAGGTGAGCTTCAAAGAAGCATTCTTTGAAGAATATAGGATATCATCATCAAGAATATAGGACATCTGTAATTCCAGCTACTCGGGAGGCTGAGGTAGGAGAATCACTTGAACCCAGGAGGAGGAGGTTGCAGTGAGACGAGATCGTGCCATTGCACTCCAGCCTGGGCAACAAGAGCAAAACTCCATCTCAAAAAAAAAAAAAAAAAAAGAAAGAAAGAGAATATAGGACAGAATCATCAAGATAAGACAAGAAGTTGGCATAGAAAATGGTAATCTCAAGGTCTCCTTTTGACTTGTGGTGGGTGTGCCTCCTCCCAGCCTCCTTGCAAGAGATAATCTAACATGCCATTTATTTTTCTATCTCGGGTAGGTAGAGGTAGATAGTATGACTACCATCAAAATCTGAGTTAAAATTGCATGGCCTCTGTTGCTTTTGTCATTCCACTTACTCTTCTAAATCTCACTCTTAACCTAATTCCTCAAGGTGCCCCCTAGATTTTTAAACACTCTGTTTAGACGTCACTCCTAGAGCTCTGCTTTCCTAAAATGGAATATGATCTTAAATGATTCTTTGTCCTTTCTATTTCCTTTGGGTGGAGATGAGAGAAAGGCTCATTCCCGTTAATAAGAGCACAGTACTGCTCAAGATTGCTGTGATTTCTTGTTAGGAATGACTGATTGTATGTTCTCAGGTAATGTTTGCAATATAAAAGGAAAGTTAATCAATCAAAATAACTAATTGTTGGGACAATTGGAAACTTGTTTGCAAGTGGCATTCCTTAGTATCAACTGACCTTCTTATGCCTTCTCACTTCCTCAGCCACTAGTGCAACAGAACATAAGTCAGACAATACTGATGGCAAATTGTCTCTTCACCTGCAAGGTGAACTATCTTAGAGAGTAAGCAGTTGAATATTAGGGACATATAGAGTTCTAAGGCCAAAATCCATGAAAAGTACTCAAGTTTGGAAAATGGTGGGAGTGGAGAACATCTGTTAAAGGCAAATTTGCCATCTATGCATTTTGCAAGAACTCTGCTTGGTGAGAGATTACCTCCTCCCCCCAGATAGCAGATTCTCTCAACTTCCTCTTTGTAGGGATTTTAAACTCTACTCACTGCTTTTTCAACTGTCTAAATCCTTTTATCTTTATAGCACATATGGCCTCCCACCCTGAAACTGGTAGGCACAGTTTCTGATCTAATTTAATACCCACATTAGAGTATGTTTTAAATATCATATCACCAAGTCCATAAACAACTATGCTAATGTATGAAGTAGCTCAGCACTGCTCAAAACACATTACAGTTGCCAACACCATAAAATCCCATTTACTTTTTCTTAAAAGTGTTTGATATCGAATTTGCTTTCCCTGAACTGTAATTAACAACATTCTGAACTGCTTACAAGATTCAATTGACTGGCATTATTAATCACACATTCACAGAGAAGTTGACCATTACATTTGATTTTTTTTTCTTTCTTATGTGTTTTTGGCATCTAATCACTGATGAAAACTAAGGAAATGGCCCTTTTCACCATGTTCCATGAACATTTATTTTCTTGGTGTATTTAGTCTATAAAGATTTATCCCCATTTCTATTGGATGCTGATTCTAAATTTCTATAGACATGGAATTAAACCAAGAAACAGTATTTCTTGTCAAGAGGAACAGTTTATTCCAGATAATTAAACCCAGAAATGTTCAAAGAAAACACAGCAAGGAGCATAAATTAGATTCTATCAAGGGATATAGGTTGTTCCTCATGAATGGATACTGACAAAACAATTTTGTGGGAAGCTTTGAAAAGTCATTAATAGTTTTGAAAGTTTTGAAGACTAGCACATTTTGAAGAGGAAAGAAATAAGGTTTAGTTCTGTGTTTTAAAAATGTACTTCAGATATTCACAGATGTTTCAATGTTTTGTTTTCTTATATTTGACAGTATCTTTGAATATGAATCTAAGATTTCTGTGCATATACCTTTATAAATGCTAGAGACTTTTTTTTTTTCATTTGCCCAAATGCCATTTGGAGATGCAAAGAATAAAATGTAAACATCTAAATAGAATAAATTTAGAAAAACTGAGATCTTTCCAGTGATTGTAAAACTGCTCTCCTATTTATAAAAATTATATAGAACTGTATTGAGTACAAAGCCCCAGAGTCAGACTCTAAGCTCCAGGCATACAGGGAGCACTTTAGCTTTTGCCTAGAGCTGCAATATAAGACGACTGTAAGTATCTGCTGAGTAAATCAATAAGCAATAATAATTTAGGTTAGGATTCCTAAATTATTTTCCGTAGCAGATTGCTACTTGCACTTGGAAATTAAATAATAAAATTAAATATTAGAAAATTGAAGCATAATAAAATTAACCTCTTCTCATCTGTAAATTGAGGTAAAGGATGATACCTGCATCATAGGGTGATTATGGGTTATTATTATTATTATTATTCAAAGAAAACTTAATACCTGAACTCTCTCTAGGTATTAAGGACTCATGAAAATATGTTAATTTGTTGATTTTTCCAGAATGCATACATCAACCTTAAAACACTTAGGCTTGCTTTGAATCTGGAAATAAATAAGAAATATATATCTTGCAAAACCAACTCTGATTATGAGTTTGCCTATCTATTTCACCTTAGACAACTTACCTTTTGCTGTACTACCTACCGTCCCCATTCCTTCCCAACATTCCAGATCCCTCTGCAAACACACACACACACACACACACACACACACACACACACACACACACACACACACACACACAGAGTTATGACCTGGATACACATAGGTATACATTTACCTATTACATAGGTAATAAACATTATGACCTGATAATACAGAGTTTCTGATCTGATAGTGCCTGTAGTTTCTAGATTTCTTTATACTTCCTTGCATCTCCATCTTTTTGTTAGTACTTCTGCATGAAACATCTTACCTAAGCCACAGCTCTCATGGCATGCATTCTGACCCTGATCATGTCAAACTAAGGAAGGTTTAACATTTTGTATTAATACGTAGCTACATTATGTTGCTACCATGACTCTCTATAGAATGTAAATTACATGAGAGCAGAGACTATGTTTATGCATTTTCATCTTCCAGTGGTTACAGGCTACCATGGTATGGCATAAAGGTGTTAAAGGAATAATTTGTTAAATTAAAGCCACGTTTCCTCTCCATGTTGCCTCCTTTTTCTTTTCTTCCTTCTTTCCTTCCACCTTTCTTTCCTCTCTTATATTTATGAATGGACTCACCTGCAGGTAATAAGTGCAATAAATAATGAAATTAAATATACAAAATACATTACAATGGTTACCAATAGTAATATTTTCTTCTATAATATTCAAAACTTACATAACTTTGGGCCATATTAAGGTGCAAATGAGGAGTACAGAGCATCGATAAAATGAATTATTTGTTAAATATTAGTATTGGGCCACATTAGAAAATCATTCTTTTTCTTTTATTCAAAAGAAGGAACAGGGAAGCAGAATTTTATGTCTTAGATGTTTGAAGCAACTTTCTTTTTTTCTAACTTAAAACACATGTAATATAGAGATTGTCTTTCTGTACACAGGATTATTCTAAAGGGAATCTTGTTCTCTTAAAAATGTTCTGGTAGTTTGAGCTAAGATGCAATTAGATAAGAACATCTTGTGCATTTCCTTGAGTTTCATTTCTACACTTTTCATTTGGGCTATAGCTTTTTTTTCTGTTATGGGTGAGAGAACATTAGTGCAAAATAGTAGGCAATGCAGGATTATTTGTCTCTAAAGAATTTTGATGTGTGTGTGTGTGTGTGTATGTAGAATGATTATCCTTTGAAAACTTATCTCTCTATATTTAATGAAATTATTATCCTTTTAAAACTGACATTTTCAAATCATAAAATAAATACTGAAGGAATCCCATTATTTTAGATGCATATATTATGTAGAGTCACTTAATATAAAATGAAATGAGAAATCTTCTGGTGCCTTTCATCTGTACAATTTTTTGCTTCTTATTTTGATCTCAATTGACATATTTTAATGCAATGTCTAAAATATCAACTCAATTCCATGCATAGTTTTACACATAAGTCTCAGATTGCCAGATATTCATTTTAATCTCATGTGCAGACTTGACTGAATTATAGTAAACGTATATTTATTGGTATGTTTCTAAAAGGATGTAAAAATCGCAAGCTAAGTTATTAAAAGAATATATAAAATTTAAAATGTTTCTAATTTTTACCTTTTGATGGCTCAAATCACATCTTTTTTATTTTCTTGTTATACATTATTGTCTATTATATTGGCTAATGCAAAAAATAGTTTCACAGTGGGTCATAAGCCTAATCAATTAGTGGACACCTAAGAAAATAGGCAGTTTGTACAGTTTTTTAAAATTGTTTATTTTGTAGATTATCATTATAAGGGATATTTGTGAACATACAGAGTATAATTTTTACATTGGTTTCCATTGCATAGAGTGTAAGCATTATTTAAAATCTTCTACTGTGTGTAGTTCATTATAATTAGAGATGTAAATTCAAACTATATAATATTAGCTATGTTATAAAATTTTTCTGTGATTTATTTTTTAATATAATAGACTTTTCTTTTTTTTAGAACAGTTTTAGGTTCCTAGCAATATCGAGCAAGCAGAAGGTACAGAGTTTTCCCACATACTCTCTGCCTCCAGTACTCAAGTCTCCCATGATCAACATCCCTACCAGAGTGATCACACTTTGTTACAATTGCTAAACCTTCTGGACATATCATTAGCCTCCAAAATCTATAGTTTACATTATGGTTCACTGTTGATATTGTTCATTCTACTGGTTTGGACAAAAGTATAATGGCATGTATCCACCATTATAGTATGGCACTAAATAGTTTCCCTGTTCCCCAAATCCTCTGGGCTCTGCCTCATTCTTCTCCCCACCCAAACCCTGGCAACCATTGATCTTTTCATGCCTCCATAGTTTTACCTTTTCCAGAATGCCATACAGTTGGAATAATACAGTATACAGCCTTCATAGAGTAACTTCTTTTGCTTAGTAATATGACATTAAAATATATTTCCCTCAATGTATTTTAATGGCTTGGTATCTCTTTTCTCGTTAGTGCTGTGATTCATTTTAATGTAAGTTTTTAAATGTGCAAACATATTTATCTTCCATGGCTACATTTGTTGATAGCTGCTTGATGGGCGTAGATTAATGTAAGAGAGAAGAACACATATATATCCTAATTCACATACAAAATAGAAGTAAAATATTGACCAGGTGTGGTGGTGTGCACTTGTAGTCCTAGCTACTTTCAAGGCTGAGGTGGGAAGATTTCTTGATCCCAGGAAGTCAAGGTTGCAGGGAGCTGTGGTCATGCTACTGAATTCCAGCCTGGGCATACAGTAAGACTTCATTTCTAAAACACAGAAAGAAAAAAGCAAAATATTGTTATTGTTTTTATCTCCCTTTACCATAAGCAAAAATGATTTAAGTGTACTTTTCCCAGCTATCAAATTAACTGAAATATTCACAGCCTTTTGGAGATGTGACATTTTATTATTGGTTGAATTCGTAGATTTTTATCAGAAATTGCAAACTTTGAGGCAGCAAGTCTGGGAGACACATCTCTAACTGCATTTCTCTATGTCATAGAGATCAGTGTGGCTCAAAGAATGGTCCACAGATTGGTGCTGCTCTGTAACCCGAGTAGGATGGGTGCAGAAATTGAGTGTCAGCATTGGAAAAGCTTTCACAGCAACTTGACGGAAAAATTATATATTGATTAATTCTAAAAGCAATGAATTTGCCTTTGTATTTTGCATGTCTTTTTTTCATTTCAATTTTTAAGTGGTTAATTTTCTTGTATTTTGTAAAAGGTTTGTTCCATAATCCATTGGAAAAAAAAAATAAAACTGGTTCCTCCTGACAAATAGCTTTAGAAGTGCTGCCAAATAGTACGGGCATACACAACAAAGTTTACTGAATTTGAAATTAAACAAAATGAGTGCACAGTAGGGCGACTTTAGTTAACAGTAACTTATTGTTTATTTCAAAATAACTAAGAGTGGAAATGGAATGTTCCTAAACCAAAAATGATACATGCTTGAGGTGATGGATATTTCAATTTCCCTGATTTGATCGTTACACATTGTAAATTTGTATCAAAACATTGTACGTACTCTATGTATAACTATTATGTATCCATGAAAATTTTTTAAAGGAAATGAGTGAGATTTGACCTCTCTTTCTTTGAAAATCCTGACAATAGAAAAACTGAAGTACTGTTTTGTCAAATGAGAAAAAGAGTTTCCAGAGATTTTCCAGCAACTCCTCGCCCTCCCTCTGTGGAAGAGAACCTCTAAAATGGCTGCCATGATCCCTACATTCTGGTATTCATGCTTTTGTGCTCAAATTTGGGCTAGTGACTCACTTCTCCAAAAACAATGCTATAGCGATAGGATGTCATTTTGAAATCAGCTTTAAAAAGACCACACTCTATATTACCCATCCTCTCACGCTCTCTTGGAGTTCCCACAGTAGGGGAAGCCATAATGTGAGTTGCCCTGTGGAGAGGCCCATGTGGCAAGGAACTTGAACTGAGCCAGTGAGAAACTGAAGGCCTCAGTTCAAAACTTAGCAAGGAACAAATCCTGCCCCCAAATACGTGAAGTATTGGTCAAGACTTCAGAAGAGTAGGCAGCCTTGGTTGACACCTTAGTTTCAGCCACGTGGAAGAGTTGCAGGCAGCAGCGTTCAACTAAACCATGCCCAGATTTCTGATACTCAGAAAGTGTAAGATAAATGTCTGTTGTTCTAAGCTGCTAAATTTTGGCATAATTTATTTTGTAGCTATACACAAGTGATAAATCTTTACTGAAAAAGGGGGTGAGTCACGTACTGCCACTGCAAACTCAAGTGGATTCCTGGGGAACTGTTGTTAGCTACTATCTTCCACATAACCCTTTACTGATTATTATAATTCTGTTTTAGCTTTCAAGTAAACTAGCTATTTTTTTTTTTTTTAGAAAGTGTGTTGATTATTTGGCAGTATTATTTTAGTGTTTTGAAAAAAGTGAAATCTAAAACTAAATATTGGGACAAACTCCAAGATATACACATTATACTAAATTTTTGAGTAGTGCAAAGGGTGTTTTGAAAGTCTTATGTTTATATAATTTTAAAGAGATAATAAAGGATATAATAGTCACAAAGCAAATCTTTTAGATAAGAATGAATCATATTTTAGTTCAAAGATTTTAGAAGCCATGAACTATGAATGTAACACTGTTACTACAGGTAATAGCAACTATGCATCAGATTCTCAATTTATACATGTAGAAACCAAATAACAACAATGAAATAAATTAAAAATAGCATCTTAAAAACAAAAATCAAAACTCAGTGGGAACAAAACAGCTTTCAGTTTGTGTCTAAAAACAGATATGTTCAAAGAAGGTATTCACAGGTATTAATCACAATAAAGGACTCAAAGGGAAATAATTAAAGTTCAGTTATAAATACATCCTCCCTAATACCTAACCAGTATACAATATGAAAGAGCTTATTTTTGCTACTAGAGGGGAAAAAAAGCACAGAAATACATTCTTGACTCAATAATGAAACAATGAATGCACCATTTTTCAGGATAGTACTTTCTTAAAAAGATAACTATTATTTTACTTTCATTTATGATGACCGTTATTTATTTTATACAGTATTTAGTTGAAATTTTGAACAGCACTGTATTTTTGTTGACTCTATATGAAAATATTTAATCAGACGGACATGCATTTAACATTTTTATGTTATATAAATGTATGTATTTATATTTGATGATATAATTAAACAGTCTTATAAACTATATTCAATATTTAGCATTATAGATGATTTAAAATTATGAATTATGAACACTAAGATAATGTTATAAATATCAAATGTAAAATTATGGAAATACCATAAATATTTTTACATTATTAATATGATACAAATGTATTAATATTTATTGCACATATGGAAACATAAATTTTTACAAAGAATGCAAAATAAATATGGAAATATTGGTATTGTTATTTTGCTTAAGCAGTAAACAATATCTAAAGTTTTGATTTACTAACCTAAGAAGCATTCTAGGATTAGAAGCACATTTTTAGTACTTAGAGGCACTTGACCTTAATTTAGCCTTTGATTTTCATTTTAAATTGAGGATCATGAAAATGTGGAATAGATATTTGCAACCTGTGTCTAAAATTTTTTCTATATAGTACATCATAAAGCTTTTTATAATCTTATTTTCCTTGGCTTCAGAATACATATCGTGATTACTTTTTCTAAAAATATGATAAATTCATCTGTAGATTGTCTCCAAAGCTAGATGAGATACTGATGGTCAGAAAAGAAAAAATAAAAGTACTTAGAAAATTTGGAGACATTAAGATTTGAGAATAGAATTATGCAAATTCTATTAACGTTCTTAAAATTAATGTTCTTTAAGAACAATAAATGTCTTCTCCATCTCAACAAAAGATTTATTGTTTCCTACATGGAAATAGAGAAGTATTCCATTAAATATTGCTTTCTCATTTTTTTAAGCCTTCTTTTGTGGGTGAAGTATAGGATGGTATAAGATAGTGTAGTAAAAGACCAGATACTGAATATTTTAAGCTTTTCGGGCCTTATGGCCTCAGTCATAACTACTGAACTCTGCTGTGGTAAGCACTAAAGCAGTTATAACATGTAAAAAAAAGGGGTGTGGCTAATAAAACTTTATTTACAAAAACAACTTGTGGGCCTGGCCCATAGGCCATCATGGCTGCTGACCTGTGGTATGCTGGAATGGTTTCAAATGAAGGCTTTGGGGCTATACTTCTGGGGTTCTAATTTCAAGAGTACTTCTAAATAGTTGTGTAAACTTTAGCAGATCATGTAATCTCTCTTTGCTTCACTTTCCCATCTGTACAATGGGAGTGATAGAATCACTTACCTCTTGCAGATATTGAGAGTAAAGTGTTCAGAACAGTTCCTGGTACAGGGTGAGTGAGTAATAAATTCAAGCCACTATTTTTATTAAATGTTTTTACATGTGTTAATGTCTTTATAGTTACAATGAAAATTCTTAATATTTAAAAGTTCTTACCACAATGAGATACCATCTCACACCAGTTAGAATGGCGATCATTAAAAAGTCAGGAAACAACAGATGCTGGAGAGGATGTGGAGAAATAGGAACCCCTTTACACTGTTGGTGGGAGTGTAAATTAGTTCAACCATTGTGGAAGACAGTGTGGCTATTCCTCAGGGATCTAGAACTAGAAATACCATTTGACCCAGCGATCCCATTACTGGGTATATATCCAAAGGATTATAAATCATGCTACTATAAAGACACATGCACACCTATGTTTATTGCGGCACTATTCACAATATCAAAGACTTGGGACCAACCCAACTGGATTAAGAAAATGTGGCACATATACACCATGGAATACTATGCAGCCATAAAACAAGATGAGTTCATGTCCTTTGCAGGGACATGGATGAAACTGGAAACCATCATTCTCAGCAAACTATCAGAAGGACAGAAAACCAAGCACCGCATGTTCTCACTCATAGGTGGGAATTGAACAATGAGAACACATGAACACAGGGTGGGGAACATCACACACCGGTGCCTGTCAGGGGGTGGGGGGCTAGGGGAGGGATAGCATTAGGAGAAACACCTAATGTAGACGACGAGTTGATGGGTGCAGCAAACCAACATGGCACATGTATACCTATGTAACAAACCTGCACGTTGTGCACATGTACCTTAGAACTTAAAGTATAATAAAACAAACAAAAGATTCTTAATTTATTTATTGAGGCAAAGTATTTCTTTGTGTCTTTCTCTGACATAAATGAATTTTAAGTTTTGCATATCAATTTAAAACTAACCAGTACACAGTCTCTATATATTCAGAGGGATTCTAACCTCAATTTTCAGAGACTTTCAGAGACAAATGAGGAATTGTCCCAATGGCACTGTCCTTTTGACACTATTTATTTTATTTATGTTTTTAATCTGTGGTAAGTCAGGGGGCATAAAATGCTCTGTAAAAAATAAAAGGCTCACCAAAGTGTTATAAATGAATTCTTTCAGGATTCTAAGACACAACATGGAAAATGAGTGCTACCTGGGTAATAAATGTGACACTTGGGGGCTTGAAGCAGATAGTTTGTCTCATATAGATAATTCCTTTATACCCAGACAAAGCTTTACCTAATCTATTTTGTGATCAAATCATGTATTAAGTATTTCTACACAGGAAAGTTTCCTCTTTTGTGAAATTTATTGGCTTAACTGTTATGCTAGCCATTCTTCCCCTAATAAGATGAGATGTGTAAATGAGATCATATATATGCCATAATATATAACCTATTTCAGAATAAAACAGATTGCCATTGCTATTTTTTAGCTTTAGAACTAGCAATACCTTATGATTTATCCAAGCTATCAAAATACAGGAAGCAATAAAAGTTAATTATAATAGGAAAATTCTAAAGTTTGGTTTGAGAGGGTTTGGGAGATTATAATCACGTAATACAGAAATCATAGAAAATTTCCCTCCCAACTCCTTAGCATAGAGTTACAAAATCATTATATTATTTATATTTCTGTATAGATATATAAAGATTAACAAAGTATTTGTCAATAAGTGGAACAATAGCATATTAAACTTTGCTTTGATTATGGAGATTTGAATGAAAATAAAATGGTTGTAGAAAGGTTAAAAATCAGGGGTCTCCCTGCCATTTATGCTTCCCACAACTATAAATATTTGGCTGGTTGACCTACTCCTTGGGAAAAAGTAGGATCTTTCAGTGTGGGACTTCTGGCCCAATCTTTTCTTTCCTGGAGAAGACTAGGGGCCCAAAATACTTTCTGTAATTTTTGTTGTGTTTGTAATTATGTTCTATTTGGGTGGAATTTGAGACTAGGACCTATTTTTCCACTTACTGGCTTGTGGAAAAAATAATTCAACAGTGATGGTTGTTGCTTTCAAGCGAGACTTAATAGAAACCAGTGGGTCAAGATTGGGGAGTTAGTCAGGAAAGTAAGTTTGGATTCAGAATAACTGATGAGCAGTAGGGAATGAATGAAAAATCCAGAAGGGAAAACAAGCCAGTGGGTAAGAAGGAAAAACTCAGAGAAATATGGATGGAATACAGATTAACATTCATATGCAGAGCCAAGTTGCTACATGATTCCTCAGGATTTTCTCTAAGATTCTTCTACAGGGTTACATAACCATTTTCTAAGGCTAAAGCCAGCATTTAGCATCAGGTACTCAGTAGGGGAATGACATTGGAAGGATTTGCGTGATTAATTACAGCAAAATCCTGTGAACAAGGGATTGTTTGGAGGTTCTGTATCTGTGTATCCGAAGATGCACTGTTATGAAAGACATGCTTGACCTGACTCAAGATCTTGTATATTTTATTTCATCTTAACCATTGACTAATTGTATGGCCTGGAGACCTTCCATCTAGTCGTTGTTCTGCAACAAACCCGCCCGCTACGAACCAGCCCAAAATGTAGTGGCTTAAAACCACAGTTTATTATTTTTATCTTATGATATCATGTTCTGACTTTCCTAGCTGGCTGCTTCTCACTTTGAGTCTCTAAAGTGATGGCAGTAAAATGGATGCTGAGTTTTGAGTCAGTTAAAAGTTCAAAATGGTTCTCTCACATGGTTGGCAATTGATTTTGGATGTCATCTGGTAGCCCTGCTGGGGATATAGACAAATGGCTTCTCTATGTGGCTTGGGTTTCTCTTATGGTGGTTGGCTGAAAGGTTTCTCATGAACTAGCACGAGAATGTCCTGAAAGCCATTCTGCCACATATTATTAGTCACGCAAGTCATAAAACCATATGCTATTCAAAGGGAGGAGGATGAAAATTCATCTTTTGTTATGAGTAAGTAGCAGGATGAATATGCAGTGAGGAAAGCCATTGATAAAGGCCATCTTTGGAGATCATCTATGCCTATACAACAGAAGCTTTGGATTCTTTATCTCTAGGAAGAACTAGGTGATACTTCAGATACCTTGGGAAATTAAATTTTTGGGTTCCTATGTCCTATATCAACATGTTTATAAGTTAGGTTCACCATGAAGACTTCTCACTAGCAACATTTCAGATTTATTTGTTTTCTCTTCTTGCTCCCATCATGCTTTGAATAGGTTTCTCTTTACATACTTAGTCCATTCTGAATGCATCTGGCTTTCACATTAGATTCTGAGCTCCTTGAAGTCACAAGCTGTGTACCACTCAATTTTCTTTTTCTGTAGAATCTACTGGAGCACAATAAATATTTACTGGAACAGTTGAAAAAAATAAAATCATAAGTCTGATATGACACTGGAAGATTAATAAGGTCATAATTTATATGCATTTGGCATCAGAAGTCAAGGGTCAGGGGTCACAATGGAATGATCAAAAATCTGCTTTCTAACCACCTATTCCATATATTATAATCTTCCTAAAATATACCATATATTTTATTCAAAATTTTTATTTTTACATGATATAATTTAATAAATATATTCATTTGTAGCATAATGATTGATGACAATTACTAGAATGTTTTCCTGGCTATAAAAATAATTAGTGCCATTTTTAAAGGCATATTATGAACTAGAACTATATTAATAGTTTGTATACATTAATATTTACAAAGCTTAACAACATTATTATTAGTTTCAATTTTCAGAAAA
Source organism: Homo sapiens (assembly GCF_000001405.40). NCBI lineage: Eukaryota > Metazoa > Chordata > Mammalia > Primates > Hominidae > Homo > Homo sapiens. Next base: position 167,068,323 of record NC_000004.12, on the reverse strand, counting down.
TAAAATTGGAAGTCAGAGTTGAAATCAGAGTAAATGGTAGATATAGGGTTCAAGTTTAGACTTTTCTTCTTCTAAAAGCTTGGTCTTTTCCCTGATGTTCTATTATTCCTTACTGTTTGCTTTCTTTGATATTTATTTTTCATTCTAATATATTAATTGAAACTGTTAAGCTAAAATTTGAAAATTTGTTCCAGGACAAATTCATCCTTAGATCTTCATAATTATTCTTTTTAGCATTTTATTAAATTTTTATTTTTTCATCCTAATTTAATTGAAATTGGAGCCAATTGTTATGTGAACAAGATCACTCATTAAACAGTGAGGTATTCATTTTGGGGACAAGAAGAAAAATGACATTTTAAACATTTTAAACAGTGATACATTAATGAAATACAACTAATAAGTATTAACATAATAAAATGTAATTCTGAATGCCTTAGAGTAAACAATGTAACATCAATTGGGACCCTGTGAATTAAAAAGAAAAAAGTAAGACAGTACTATTGTAAAAGCCTGTCTCCTTTTTGGGTGTAGTATAGCATTGATGCTATTACTTTAAGGGAGAATATTGCTAAGATGTTCATTTTAATAATAAAGTGTCAGTAAATATAGTTGGCAGTACCATAGCTGAATCTAATGTTGGTTTTTATGTATTTCAATTGGATGACTCTATACAGAGGTCTTATATGAAATCCTGGATAGTTTGACATCAGACTTCAGGTAAGAAAGTGAAATGCTATAGGAATATTATCAGCTAAACTCTTTTCATATAGATTGACCAGAATATTCTATACCCCACCCAGAACTGGACTGTCATATTTGCTTAGAATATGGGCATAGAGTAACAAAAATAGTTACCATTGATAATCATCACTTTGACATTCATTTCATATTTGAAGTGTGTCTTCAAAAGCATTATCCTCTGTGTCTCACTTTATAATGATGTGATCTTTTTATAGCAGTTAACGTAAATTGCAAAATAGTTGTGAAAATATACAACAAAATTGTGTTCAGTAGACTTCAATAGTGTCTCTGTTTAGTAATATTTAAAAGTGTGGTGCTTTGTAAACTTTTTTTAAACATAGATTTTAGTAAGATTTTATTGCCGAAACCACTCTTCATAGCCACTGGGATGACTTAAATGGCTTAATAATGGCTAACATAATGCCTGAGTATTACTCTTTTTATGTTCATCGGTAGGCATTTATGGAGCTTTTGGGCATCAAGATCTCCTATTCCCAACTGATTCTGTATCAAACTCTGTGAGGATGCTTAAGCAATCTCTGACCTAGTTCTGTGCCAATCCAAATTATTCCTTCAGACAATGGGAGAGTTTATCAGTACAGATGTAGCTGTGTGGACACAAATGAACCAAACAGTTGACCTTTCCGTGTAAGCTTATCCTTCCGACCCACCTCACCTGTACAAAGCCTAGTTGTAACCAGTTATTGGAACAGGAAACTAGCTTCTCCATACTGGGTGTGGTGTTTATTTACACTGATCACCTTTCTGAACTTATAGTTATATTCTGTATTTATAAGAAAATAGAAATTTAGTCAGATATATTTGTATGTTATTTATTATAGCTAAATATGATAAGTAATATAAAGGCATAGAGCATGGACATATGACAGCATAGTTATATAAATGACAGTAAGTCGATACCAAAGAGTATTATATAGCCATTAAATATTTTGGAGAAAAAAACCCATACAGTTGTAAAGTGTTCTTAATAAAATATTACACAAAAATCTGCATTTAAAATTGAATGTTTAATATACTTTCAATATTATATTTGTGGAGAAAATCTGTTACTAGTAGCAGTACTTTGTTGTAAGATATTTTGATTCATTTGTCTTTATTTACCAACAACTCTACATCAGCTGTATTCAAATGAGTGAATTTTTCTTCCAGAGGATATTTGGCAATAACTTGTTACACTTCCCTTTTGTCACACCTTGTAGTAGTATCCCCACCGGTATCTCATGAGTAGAAGCAGAGGATGGTACTAAATAGCGAGCAATGCACACAATAGTCTCCCTACCCCTAACACAACGAAGAATTATCTGGCTCAAAATATCAATAATGCCAAGGCTGAGAAACTATGCTCTACAATACATAGGTGTGCTCAATAAAGTGCACATATATTTTATTTAAAATTAGAGAAAAAATGCAACATTAAAACCACAAGGAAAAAGACAGTTTAAACAATAAAACACATAAACCCAATTTTTATGTAGACTTTATTTTGTGGAAAACTTATAGTTATTATTTCTGTAAGTACAAGAAGTAGGCAGTGGTTTAATATTAAATTCTAATGGTGTCTGTAACTCACTCCATAAGTTTTTGAACATATGTGACAATAATCCAACTTTGCCTCTTGAAACATTCAGGATTGGTTTCAGTCGTTTAAACCCAGAATTTCTCCAATTGAGGGCAACTCTTGTAGTTGTTTTCTAAATCCCTGGTTGGCTTATTTTGGATATAAATTGAAGCCTGAGAACAACCAATATTCACACAAATGTTTTGAAACAAAAGAAATTGCGCCTGAATGAACACTTATGTGAAAATACTTTTATTTCTCATCCTGGCAAAATTCCTAAGATTTAATGAGGTGAAACTATTTTTTTGTTTTTTTGTTTGTTTGTTTTAATTTAAAGAAAACAAGTCTAGTGATGTGAGAACACAAAGAATATGTCTAAAAATGGGTTAGTAGTGGGACTACTTTGCATTTCCATCATATATATGTCTGATCCCCACAGTGGCCAGGCTTCGAGATTGCCCTTGACATAACCAGGAAAACCAAGTTCATGTTTTACAATTGTGATTATAGATTTTTATATAGCTGTGGTCCCAAACGAACCAAGCTTGACCATATTATTCTGAAGGAAGATCATTAAATGTGGTTGAGGTTAGATTTTAAAATTATATTCTTTTTAAATATACATTCCCCTAATTCCTGCTCATCTCTGCAGGTGTTCAGTGTTGCAAACACTATGTGCTATGTGAAACATGCTGCTTTGACATCATCTGACTTCAGTGCTAACAATGTCAGTTCTACACGGTTTCCACCTTCTTGGGCTCTGTGATGTTTACATGAATGGACTCACTATTAACAATAAAAACTTGGCCACATCCTTTTGGGTGTTGCCACTGGTAGCTGTACCATGTCAGTACAGTCTGAGATGACAGCAAAAACATTTTTTCTTCTTGCATTTACTATAGCAATAAATGTAGGTATTTAAAAATTTGCTGCGTTTGACTTTTTTTTTTTTTTTTTTTTTTTGGAGAGGGCATTGGATTTGAAAATAGGAGGAGGAGGAGTTTATGGCTGTTTGTAAGAAATCAGAAAAACAAAGGATTTGGTGAGCAGTAATGACAGCTTGTCCGTGGTGTTGCCCAAAGACACTGACAGACATAAACTTGACCCTTATGAGTAGCTATTAAGATTTAGCACCTCCTTTATTCCAGATACTGTGCTGGCATTTTACACATTTGATAACTAATCCCAATATCTCCCCCTCAAATAGGTAGATATTATTTTTCCAACTTTCATCACAGGACTCTGAGGATAGTCTAGGCCATCATCTTTTCTAAAGTGATGCAGCTAATAAGTGGTAGAGCCAGACTTAAAATTCTGGTTTGCCCGTCTCCAAATCCATCACTCACGTGTGCATGTCTAGCTTTCTGTTCTGCTTCAGGAGAGGCCTAAAACTGTAGCTGCCCAATTCCTCCCCATGCTTGGAATGAATCATAGTCATCATCCTCAAATAGTAAGATACATTTTTAAAAATAAAAGATATTAAATGAGTATGTTACGTTGCTCAGCTCAAGTTTTGAGACATTTAGTGGAGTAATTTAATTTGAAAGTCTAATTTTCCAAGAATTGTATCATGCTATAATTGTATTTAAAAATATTTTAAAGACAATACATAATCAGTGTTTATTAATTATCCAGTAGCATTATCCTTTCTTAATCTAATCCTAGATAATTTAGTGGAAAATCTATGTGTATAGATTGCTATAATTTGCCCTCCTCTTAATATAACCCTATCTGGACATAAATATATCAACTACAGTGATGTCATTTTTTTCTTTTTGTTTCATTTTTTAAAAAATTTGAAATTGGTGGGGTGCAATTACAGAAGGTAGTGATTAACTGTTAGTCACATTAAAAAAACTTCTGAAACTTAATTTAAAATTTTCATAAATAAATTAAAGGATTGCATTTATTTCTATGATTGAAGTCAGTGCTACATTTTCTTCCTTATACAGTGGAGACACTAAAAAAGAGGCTAGAAAGAAGATTCAAAAAAGGAAGATAAGTCATTATATAAAACTGATAATTGCACTCATATGTTTATCACAGCACTATTCAGAACCGTAAATATATTAGATTTAATCTAACTGCCCATCAACAGTTGATTGGATAAAGGAAATGAAATACTATTCAGCCATAAAAGGGAATGAAATTATGTCTTTTGCCTCAACGTGGGTGGAACTGAAGGCCATTATTTTAAGTGAAACAACTCAGAAAGAGAAAGTCAAATACCTCATGTTCTCACTTGTAAGTAGGAGCTAAATAATGTGTACACATTGACATAGAGTATGAAATAATACACGAGATACTTGGAAGGGTGGGACGGTGTGAGGGGTGAAAGCTGAGAAATTACTTAATGGGAACAATGTACGCTATTCAGGTGATGGTTACACTACAAGCTGAGACTTCACCACTATGTGATATTCATGTAGCAAAACCGCATTTATACCCCTTACATTGATACAAAGAGAAAGAATCTCTGCTGACCCCTTTTGAATTCTGTAACTTCTGTAGCTTTCCAATTAACTGACTTGAGTGGGTCTAACAGTTTAGAGCTTGGAAATGTTACAGCTTCACCATGATGTGCTACTCTCTTTTGGCAGGTTACCATAGTGACAACAGTATGTTAATTTCAACAGTGATATCTTTTTAATTTATAATAAAATATGATATTAATGAGGAATTTTATAAGGCTTTTAGAGTGGTAAAAACGGTAAATAGACATAGTCTATTTGGCCTTACTTTTAAAAATTCTTTTCAGTATACGTTGCCCTACATTTGTGCTGTACTGTCATATTTACTAAGTATATCGTAAATATATTGCATTGATTCTTTTCCATATTAAAGAATTAAACTTTAGGCAGGACTTAATTAGGTGTGCATTCTTTTCAACCTCTAGATTGCATTTTGATGAACTTCTTAGATATTCGATTAGCAAGAGAATGATTTGCATAAAGCATATTTACACTCCATGGGCCACTGCAGAATCACTTGGTATTTTCCCTGCTAAATTAATAGTTCCACTTATTGTTGTACTAGGGGACAATGAAGTTGTATAATTGGAAACTGGTAAGATACTTTATAGCTTATTAGCTTTAGGTAATTATCTGCATGTTATATTATGCACTGAATTGTAATTGAAAATATTGCATTGTAATATTTAGGAGAAGTGGCAACCAAAAATAGTTAAATTGTTATAGTAACCATTGACTTGCAATGAAAATGAACAGGTTTATTGAAAGACATTTCTGTAACTTGAAAACAGTGTGTTCCTTTTTGATAACTATTCTTTTTCTCTTGTTTCTTTTTTATTTTTATTTATTTATTTTATAATTTGCTGCTTGCCATTGCAGGAAGTAGAGGTTTGTATACAGCTTCTGTGTTTCATATTTAATTTTAGATTTTATATGAACCCTTGCGTTTTAATTACTTGTATACACTCAATTCACATTATTTTCCCCCTTAGGATGATTATTTCCGCACTTGGAGTCCAGGAAAACCCTTCGATCAGGGTAAGAATCTAACTATTTTAAAATAAAAACCTTTACATGTTCATAATCATTGTACTTTTAGAAATGATATTTACTGTCTGGTTAGGCTTGAAAATACTAAATAGAAGAGCTTACATGAATGGAAAAATTTGTGCAATAATTACTTACATTTCAGCATAATATTTTTAGAAGTAAGCTAATTAGTTATCATGATTATGTCAGGATGTCTTTTATTTTTAGATACATGTTTTAGATGACTGATTTGGGCTTCTGAACCTTACCAGGTTTATTTTTATCAGTAGATACAAGTCACTTCATCCAGTTTTCAAGTACATTCACTGGGCAATAGATTTATTTGTACAAACTTTTAAAACAAATGGCTTTTTTTGCCTCTTTTCCAATTAATAAAAGGTTTCCTTTAAGACTAGTAAATTAGTAATTAGACTCAGCTGGGGTCTTAACAAGCCCCAAAAGGAAACGTGTTATACAAAATTAGGGCTTCCCCACCTCCTTTCAAACAGTTTGCAATTCTGATTAACTTACCTTTAAAAGGAAAACAAGAAATAGGGATGAAAATGAAAATACTTCTACATGTGCAATGAGAATGGACACATCAAGCCCCAAGCAATCATAGTTACATAAATGACTAAAGAGATTTGTTTACTAAAGTTCACATTTAAAAAGTATCTTACTTTTAAAGTTTCTTTTTGTAACTTTCTGTAGTCTCTGCAAAGTAGAAAAAAAATTTCTTCTTTACATAGAGTATATAGTAACCGTGCAAAAGATAATACTTTGTGAAGTAGTCAGACTTAAAAATAGAAGTTTTTGTAAGAGTGTTTAGTAAGTGATTAGATGATGAAGACACAATATGTTATTTAAAGGAGCTCAGAGTATTTTGCTATGTTACCAGATTTTTACTTAATATTTGGGGTGACTGCTACAACAACCAAGCTGTATGAGTGAGAAACCACCTGTGTGGACCTAGACATAGACCATCATCAACATTGGTATTAACATGGAGTCTGAAACAGTCATTCAAATCTAATATCTTCTTAAAACAACTTTTTTCTTATATATTTCATTTGATTTCACTATTATCCAGTGTTTGTTTGTGAGATCAGCATTTTAAAATTCTAAAAGAATTAATTTTGAATTTGTTACTAATAAGTCAAGCCAATGCTCTAAAACACAGGCAATAAAAAAATAATGACATGCAGACAGAGATGTTATTTACTGGCTTTCTTGGGAAATGAATTTTTATGATAGAATCACAAACCTTGTAAAATGGGTGTTAGCTATGGAATTTGTCATACTTGGTGCATCCAGTTATAATAAAGATGTTTTTATTTTCCTTTATGTGTGCATGACAATGTGTTGAATTGCAATTTATCTCTCATAAAAAAAAGAATGCTATTTGAGAGTCTTCCAAACAATTAATGATACAAGATTGATTTGCTTTAATATTAAGAGAGGTTTTTAACCTACTAACTTAAAAATATTATGTTTATCAGACAGGGATAAGCTTATGACATGATAATAGCTAATGTTTATGAAGAATGTCCTATTTTGAGTCACTACTCCAAGTGTTTGATATATATTACTTAATTTAGTTGTTATAACCCTGCAAGGTAGATGAAGAAGTTAAGATATTGAAAGCAGTTAGTTAAGCTCCTGCTCAGGTTATATTCCCACAGTGTGGCAGAGTGGAGATTTACATTCAGTCAGTCTGAACCCCCAAACCTGTTTCCTAACTGCTATGCAATATTACCACTCATATGATAACACTATCAAGAAATAATGGCATCCCGATGATATTTTGAAGTTTATGCTTTAAAAATGCACATTTACTTGAACAAAGCTTTATTTCTATATGTTAAAACAGTATTTTTTAGACTATCTGATCTCAAGTTTTGATTTCTTGAACATATATAGTTGATAAACATGTAAGAAAGTTTTGTATCAAAAAAATAAAAATCGAACAAAAATTAGATTGAGATATGTGTATTTGTTTTTCGCTTTGAGTCAAATTGACCAACCTAGTTGTAGACCACACTGAGGAGTGAGCAAAATAATCCTATTTCCATCTAAATAGTGTCCATCATCTACATAGAAAAGACATGAGATATGTTCATTTCTAGTATGTTTCTTGCTTTTCTTGGTGACAGACTCTTCCTTCAAGTATTATTTTCTTTTTTGTTTGTTTTTTCTTTTTTTTTTTTCTGTGCCTGGTTTATTTTACTTAACATAATGACCTCCAGTTCCATCCATGTTGCAAATGACAGGATATCATTCTTTTTATGGCTGAATAGTACTCCATTGTGTTCAAGTCCTTCATTTTCTTTCTTTTTTTATTTTATTATTATTATACTTTAAGTTTTAGGGTACGTGTACACAATGTGCAGGTTAGTTACATATGTATACATGTGCCATGCTGGTGTGCTGCACCCATTAACTCGTCATTTAGCATTAGGTATATCTCCTAAAGCTATCCCTCCCCACTCCCCCCACCCCACAACAGTCCCAGAGTGAGATGTTCCCCTTCCTGTGTCCATGTGTTCGCATTGTTCAATTCCCACCTATGAGTGAGAATATGCGGTGTTTGGTTTTTTGTTCTTGCGATAGTTTACTGAGAATGATGATTTCCAATTTCATCCATGTCGCTATAAAGGACATGAACTCATCATTTTTTATGGCTGCATAGTATTCCATGGTGTATATGTGCCACATTTTCTTAATCCAGTCTATCATTGTTGGACATTTGGGTTTGTTCCAAGTCTTTCATATTGTGAATAGTGCCGCAATAAACATAGGTGTGCATGTGTCTTTATAGCAGCATGATTTATAGTCCTTTGGGTATATACCCAGTAATGGGATGGCTGGGTCAAATGGTATTTCTAGTTCTAGATCCCTGAGGAATCGCCACACTGACTTCCACAATGGTTGAACTAGTTTACAGTCCCAACAACAGTGTAAAAGTGTTCCTATTTCTCCACATCCTCTCCAGCACCTGTTGTTTCCTGACTTTTTAATGATTGCCATTCTAACTGGTGTGAGATGGTATCTCATTGTGGTTTTGATTTGCATTTCTCTGATGGCCAGTGATGGTGAGCATTTTTTCATGTGTTTTTTGGCTGCATGAATGTCTTCTTTTGAGAAGTGTCTGTTCATGTCCTTTGCCCACTTTTTGATGGGGTTGTTTGTTTTTTTCTTGTAAATTTGTTTGAGGTCTTTGTAGATTCTGGATATTAGCCCTTTGTCAGAAGAGCAGGTTGCGAAAATTTTCTCCCATTTTGTAGGTTGCCTGTTCACTCTGATGGTAGTTTCTTTTGCTGTGCAGAAGCTCTTTAGTTTAATTAGATCCCATTTGTCAATTTTGGCTTTTGTTGCCACTGCTTTTGGTGTTTTAGACATGAAGTCCTTGCCCATGCCTATGTCCTGAATGGTATTGCCTAGGTTTTCTTCTAGGGTTTTTATGGTTTTAGGTCTAACGTTTAAGTCTTTAATCCATCTTGAATTGATTTTTGTATAAGGTGTAAGGAAGGGATCCAGTTTCAGCTTTCTACATATGGCTGGCCAGTTTTCCCAGCACCATTTATTAAGTAGGGAATCCTTTCCCCATTGCTTGTTTTTCTCAGGTTTGTCAAAGACCAGGTAGTTGTAGATACATGGCGTTATTTCTGAGGGCTGTGTTCTGTTCCATTGATCTATATCTCTGTTTTGGTACCAGTACCATGCTGTTTTGGTTACTGTAGCCTTGTAGTATAGTTTGAAGTCAGGTAGAGTGATGCCTCCAGCTTTGTTCATTTGGCTTAGGATTGACTTGGCGATGCGGGCTCTTTTTTGGTTCCATATGAACTTTAAAGTAGTTTTTTCCAATTCTGTGAAGAAAGTCATTGGTAGCTTGATGGGGATGGCATTGAATCTATAAATTACCTTGGGCAGTATGGCCATTTTCATGATATTGATTCTTCCTACCCACAAGCATGGAATGTTCTTCCATTTGTTTGTATCCTCTTTTATTTCATTGAGCAGTGGTTTGTAGTTCTCCTTGAAGAGGTCCTTCACATCCCTTGTAAGTTGGATTCCTAGGTATTTTATTCTCTTTGAAGCACTTATGAATGGGAGTTCACTAATGATTTGGCTTTCTGTTTGCCTGTTATTGGTGTAAAAGAATGCTTGTGATTTTTGTACATTGATTTTGTATCCTGAGACTTTGCTGAAGTTGCTTATCAGCTTAAGGAGATTTTCAGCTGAGACAATGGGGTTTTCTAGATATACAATCATGTCATCTGCAAACAGGGACAATTTGACTTCCTCTTTTCCTAATTGAATACCCTTTATTTCCTTCTCCTGCCTAATTGCCCTGGCCAGAACTTCCAACACTATGTTGAATAGGAGTGGTGAGAGAGGGCATCCCTGTCTGAGAGACAGTTTGTTAAAATTCCGATCTTTTACATTTGCTGAGGAGAGCTTTACTTCAAAGTATGTGGTCAATTTTGGAATAGGTGTGGTGTGGTGCTGAAAAAAATGTATATTCTGTTGATTTGGGGTGGAGAGTTCTGTAGATGTCTATTAGGTCCTCTTGGTGCAGAGCTGAGTTTAACTCCTGGGTATCCTTGTTAACTTTCTGTCTTGTTGATCTGTCTAATGTTGACAGTGGGGTGTTAAAGGCTCCCATTATTATTGTGTGGGAGTCTAAGTCTCTTTGTACGTCACTCAGGACTTGCTTTATGAATCTGGGTGCTCCTGTATTGGATGCATATATATTTAGGATAGTTAGCTCTTCTTGTTGAATTGATCCCTTTACCATTAAGTAATGGCCTTCTTTGTCTCTTTTGATCTTTGTTGGTTTAAAGTCTGTTTTATCAGAGACTAGGATTGCAACCCCTGCCTTTTTTTGTTTTCCATTTGCTTGGTAGATCTTCCTGCATTCTTTTATTTTGAGCCTATGTGTGTCTCTGCACATGAGATGGGTTTCCTGAATACAGCACACTGATGGGTCTTGACTCTTTATCCAATTTGCCAGTCTGTGTCTTTTAATTGGAGCATTTAGTCCATTTACATTTAAAGTTAATATTGTTATGTGTGAATTTGATCCTGTCATTATGAAGTTAGCTGGTTATTTTGCTCGTTAGTTGATGCAGTTTCTTCCTAGCCTCGATGGTCTTTACAATTTGGCATGATTTTGCAGTGGCTGGTACCAGTTGTTCCTTTCCATGTTTAGTGCTTCCTTGAGGAGCTCTTTTAGGGCAGGCCTGGTGGTGACAAAATCGCTGAGCATTTGCTTGTCTGTAAAGTATTTTATTTCTCCTTCACTTATGAAGCTTAGTTTGGCTGGATATGAAATCCTGGGTTGAAAATTCTTTTCTTTAAGAATGTTGAATATTGGCCCCCACTCTCTTCTGGCTTGTAGAGTTTCTGCCGAGAGATCCGCTGTTAGTCTGATGGGCTTCCCTTTGTGGGTAACCTGACCTTTCTCTCTGGATGCCCTTAACATTTTTTCCTTCATTTCAACTTTGGTGAACCTGACAATTATGTGACTTGGAGTTGCTCTTCTCGAGGAGTATCTTTGTGGTGTTCTCTGTATTTCCTGAATCTGAATGTTGGCCTGCCTTGCTAGATTGGGGAAGTTCTCCTGGATAATATCCTGCAGAGTGTTTTCCAACTTGGTTCTATTCTCCCCGTCACTTTTAGGTACAGCAATCAGGCGTAGATTTGGTCTTTTCACATAGTCCCGTATTTCTTGGAGGCTTTGTTCGTTTCTTTTTATTCTTTTTTCTCTAAACTTCCCTTCTCGCTTCATTTCATTCATTTCATCTTCCATCACTGATACCCTTTCTTCCAGTTGATCGCATTGGCTCCTGAGGCTTCTGCATTCTTCACGTAGTTCTCGAGCCTTGGCTTTCAGCTCCATCAGCTCCTTTAAGTACTTCTCTGTATTGGTTATTCTAGTTATACATTCATCTAAATTTTTTTCAAAGTTTTCAACTTCTTTGCCTTTGGTTTGAATGTCCTCCCATAGCTCAGAGTAGTTTGATCGTCTGAAGCCTTCTTCTCTCAGCTCGTCAAAGTCATTCTCCATCCAGCTTTGTTCCATTGCTGGTGAGGAGCTGCGTTCCTTTGGAGGAGAAGAGGCACTCTGCTTTTTAGTGTTTCCAGTTTTTCTGCTCTGTTTTTTCCCCATCTTTGTGGTTTTATCTACTTTTGGTCTTTGATGATGGTGATGTACAGATGGGTTTCTGTTTGTTAGTTTTCCTTCTAACAGGCAGGACCCTCAGCTGCAGATCTGTTGGAGTTTGCTAGAGGTCCACTCCAGACCCCGTTTGCCTGGGTACCAGCAGCGGTGGCTGCAGAACAGCGGATTTTTGTGAACCGCGAATGCTGCTGTCTGATCGTTCCTCTGGAAGTTTTGTCTCAGAGGAGTATCTGTCCATGTGAGGTGTCAGTCTGCCCCTACTGGGGGGTGCCTCCCAGTTTGGCTGCTTGGGGGTCTGCTGTCAGGGACCCACTTCAGGAGGCAGTCTGCCCGTTCTCAGATCTCCAGCTTCGTGCTGGGAGAACCACTGCTCTCTTCAAAGCTGTCAGACAGGGACATTTAAGTCTGCAGAGGTTAGTGCTGTCTTTTTGTTTGTCTGTGCCCTGCCCCCAGAGGTGGAGCCTACAGAGGCAGGCAGGCCTCCTTGAGCTGTGGTGGGCTCCACCCAGTTCAAGCTTCCTGGCTGCTTTGTTTATCTAAGCAAGCCTGGGCAATGGCGGGCTCCCTCCCCCAGCCTCGCTGCAGCCTTGCAGTTTGATCTCAGACTGCTGTGCTAGCAATCAGTGAGACTCCGTGGGCGTAGGACCCTCTGAGCCAGGTGCGGGATATAATCTCCTGGTGCACCGTATTTTAAGCCCGTTGGAAAAGCGCAGTATTCAGGTGAGAGTGACCCGATTTTCCAGGTGCTGTCTGTCACCCCTTTCTTTGACTAGGAAAGGGAACTCCCTGACCCCTTGGGCTTCCCATGTGAGGCAATGCCTCACCCTGCTTTGGCTCGCGCACGGTGTGCTGCACCCACTGTCCTGCGCCCACTGTCTGGCACTCCCTAGTGAGATGAACCCAGTACCTCAGATGGAAATGCAGAAATCACCCATCTTCTGCGTTGCTCACGCTGGGAGCTGTAGACCGGAGCTGTTCCTATTTGGCCATCTTGGCTCCCCTCTCTAGTATTATTTTCAAAAGCTTATTAATGTATTGAACTTAAAATCATTTAAAAGACTTTTTGTGAGCATTTTTAGTTTTTAATTTACCATATTTTTCACTGAATTATGGACATCCATATTAGATCACTATAAGTTGATTTTCCCCTTTTTCATTTATAAGAGGTTTGCATGTTTTCTAAAAAAAGTGAAGAAAAACTTACATTGTCATTATATTTTTATACTGATATTTATATTGTTTTAACTATTAATATATCCATTTAAAGTTATCTTTTACTTCAATTTCCATAGAATGCACCATAAAGCATGCAGAAATTAAGGTATCACCAATGAAAATGTTAATCAATATTTTATAATATGAATGGTGTAAATTCTCAGCACAAAACTCCTTTCTATATATGCATACCAATACATACATACATACATAAACATATCGATTACATATTTTCACTTGGACAGACACATTTACACTTGCAAATTTGCTTCTAGATAAAATCAACTAATTGTTCGTGTACACCTGATCTACCTTTTGGTTTAACTATGACATATTTTTCATCTCATTTAAGTTTCTTTTAATCAATCATTTTTCCAGTTTCTTTATGTTTTACCACTAAAACAGTAAGAGTTTTGGGGAAATAAAATGTTTTCAAATGAGCTTAAGTAAAAACTATTTTGATGATGGTAATCTGCTGCAAAATGAGCTAAAGCATGCCAATACCAACAATATATTGGTCTGGGCATCTCCACACTGATTTTTCTGTGATATTACTTCTCTTCATTAGTGCAGTTAATCATGAGTTGACATGACAGAAATTACCTGAAAAATTGTTTTGATGAGGACATACATCTTGAATAAGGCATAAAATGTATATGGTTTGCTACATTTACTATGATAAATAAACTGAAGGGAAAATGCATGTGTGAACCTAGGTGGTAGCATGATAAAGATTTTAAACAATTAATCAATGCTTTAGATGAATATGCTGTAGCTTTCAAAAATAAATATTCACATCTTTCCATTCACTGTGTTAAATCTGCCTTGTTTGTGGTCATAAATTGATATTGGTGTGTAACGGATACATCAGTAAAGTTCCTAGCAGTGAATCTTGACAGTTGCTCAGAGAATCTGCTTGAACTGAGGTACCCTATCTACAAGGATCACCTTTTATTTAAGTGTTATTTTCTCCAGCACACGATAAATATCATAAATCTCTAGGTGTCCTAAGGTGAAAGATTTAGAAGGAAAATATGCTTTCTAGGTTTTCCTAACTTTGCTATCCAAAGGAACTTGGAGCGTCCCTACTTGTTCTCTACCATGGCAGTAAATTATTATGAATAAATTAAAAATGAAGAAGATCAATATACAGAGATCCAGAGATATAAGAACGAACCCGTTTCATTTTTTGATGTGTTTCTCCTGCTCCTCCACGTTTTTGGGGATGTTGAATTAGGGGCAAGAAGTGTAGCTGTGGCTTAGATCAGCATCCTTCTGTCTTTTCTCAGTGGTTTCATTGTGTGCTTTCTTCTTAAATCAGAGCCTCTCAGGAAGGGCAGCCTAACATCTACTGGTTCATTAGATTGCAGTTAATTCTCTTTTTTTTATTTATTTGTTTATTTATTTATTTATTTTTGAGATGGAGTCTCACTCTGTCGCCCAGGCTGGAGTGCAGTGGCCTGATCTCGGCTCATTGCAACCTCTACCTCCTGGGTTCAAGCAATTCTCCTGCCTCAGCCTCCTGAGTAGCTGGGATTACAGGTACCCTCCACCACACCTGGCTAATTTTAGTATTTTTAGTAGAGACAGTGTTTCACCATGTTGGCCAGGGTGGTCTCGAACTCTTGAACTCAAGTGATCTGCCCCTCGGCCTCCCAAAGTGCTGGGATTACTTGTGTGAGCCACAGCGTGTGGCCAAGATTGCAGATAATTCAATGAAAGTTCCCAAAGAGGAGGTATGTGAGGAAACCATTTCTAAACTCAAGCAGCTCAGATAATCTAGCCATGAGAGACAGATACACGGCAGCTAAACTTATAACTAGAGGAAGCATTCTGGCAAGAATTAGAGGGTCTGGGGAGGGGCAGTTTTGAGAAAAAAAAACAAAAACCAGCTCTTTGGAAGGGCAGTCATGTGTTTAGCCATATACTTATCCATTGTATTTATTGCTTCAGGATCATTTCTTAGAGCTTTATCTGACTCCCATCATTTTTTCCATCCATTTGCAAAACGTCTCACATATAATAACATTCACAGCCTGATATGTCCTTTTGCAATCAGTATTTGGCTACAAAGGAAAAGCTGTTAAGATTTCATCTGGAGCTTTTATTCCCTTCAGTGAACAGAGCTGTTCATAGTATTATGGGTGTAATTATTTCCGAAACTGAAAAAGACTAGTGTTTGAGGAAATGCACTCCTAACTTAGCTTCCTCTTCTTAAAATGCACTATTATTACACTTCTTAAGGAATAGTTTATGTAGATTAGACAATATCAATATTGGCTGTCTCCCAGATGCCTTTAATTTTTACTTATTTACATGAGTATCATTTATTTTTTATGCTTTCAGATGACATTTATTGACAGTATTCTGAAACAATAGAAAGGTCTGATCCATGCTTCACAATAGGGGCATGGTGGTATCATAATGCTGCTTTGTTTAAGAGCTTAGGGACTTTTGGCATTTTTCTAGTGGAAAAATTGGTGTTCCCAGTATTGAAATTCAGTGGAGGGAACATGCAAGGATGATTACATGATTACAGTATTTTCTGAAAGTGATTTCAGTCATTTAGAAATGTAAATTCTGAGCCTTTATTTGATTAATTCACATGAATTGATTTAGGAGTTTTGAATATTTTTGGACAAGTTCCCTGTTTAGACATTCAACTTCTAATAATCTTATCAATGTATATATCCTACATTGGTTGTATCATCCATATTGGCTACCTTAGATCATAGAAGTCCTTTGTATCCCTGAGGAAAACCTGCTAAGAAATTATATTCAAGCTAGAAACCAACAGTAAATGCTCATTTATTCTATGTCAGATTTATTACCTAAGAACTACATAGGGCTTCTAAATGAGAAATTTATTTCATTATCCAATTCTTACTTCTTTATACAATGATGGTGTTTTATTTGTTTTACACCATAGCCCATAAAATATAGCACCAAAAATCTTTGATTGTTTTGTTCTATACCAAATGAAGGTACATGTTCCATAAAATAATAAATACTGTGTAAAGGTCTGTGTTTTTAATTCATAAGGTAAAATCAAGATTACTATATAATGCTTGATTTACTTCATATCACATTAGCCTACATAGGTGTGCAAGAAGGCAAATTATATCTATTTTCCGTTTCCTTATATGTTATTAAATTGTAATCAAATATATAGAGCAGGAAGTTAATCAAATTAATTTAGAAGGTGTTCAGTGATTTAAGAAACAATATTCTTCACAAGCCGACCCTGACTTTCAGGAAGTGAAATGACAATGGCAGAATTTAACTGAAGACACACAATCTAGAAATGGAACCACTGCTCTTTTGACAGGCGCCACCTCAGTGGCATCACTGCAAAGTCCAGATTGCCTGACACCCTGATAACCAATGATTGGGGGTCAGGTCAAAGTCAGGGTCGGCTTGTGAAAAGTTGTTAAACAACATGCTAAGTGTGAAATGTCAACCCTCACTCTAAACTTTCCCTGTTCAGAGCATCAGATGAAGACTTCATTGGGTTTTACAGTGGTTTTCTGTGTTTTGCTAGTCCATTGAAGAAGGGAGTTTGAAAGTTGTTGTATACTGCTAATGATTGTCTGCCCATGTCCTTCCTGAAATAGCACGATTGTTTATGGAAAGTATCTTTAATAAAGCTGGATACAGTTTGTCTTGGAAAAAACAAAGAAAGAAACAATATTATAATCTGAAGCCTTGTTAATCTAACACAACAAGAAGAATTATTAAGATTGAAAAAACTCTGGACATACATAGAAAGTCATACTTTTACCAGGAGGCCTCTGCTGGCTAGAGAAGTGATTCTCAGTCCTTGCTGTGCAGGAGAATTACTTCACACTCATTTAAAAAGTATAGTTGTCTAGGCTTGATCCCTGAATGTTTTGATTCAATTGATCTCTTGATCCCTGAATGTTTTGATTTAATTAATCTGGGCACTTTGGTGTGTGTGCTTAGGCTTTTTGTTTATTATTTTACTTTTTAAAAAATTACAGTAAAATATATATAAGATAAAATTTACCATTTTAACCATTTTTAGGAATATAGTTCAGGGGCATTAGGTACATTCATATCGTTTTGCAATCATTGTTATTATCCATCTCCAGGACTCTTTTCATCTTCCCATTAATGACTATCTTCAGTTTATTGGGTATGAACTGAAGCTATACATGCATTAGACAATAACTCTCCTTTCTCTCTTCCCCTCAGCACTTGGCAACCCCAATTGTGCTTTCTGTTTCTTTGAATTTGACTTTTCCAGACATCTCCTATAAGTGGAATCATACAATCTTTGTCCTTTTGTGGTTCACTTATTTCACTTAGTGTAATGTCTTCAAGGCTCAGCCATGTTGTAGCATGTGTCAGAATTTCCCAGTTTTTAAGGCTGAGTAATATTTTATTGTATGTATATCCCACATTTTGTTTCTCTGTTCATCTATCCATAGACACTTATGTTACATCCACCTTTTGGCTATTGTGAATAGTGCTTCTATGAATGTGTGTGTCTAAATATGTTTGGGTCTCTGCTTTCAGTTCTCTTGGTTATATACCTGGAAATGGAATTGCTGGATCATATGGTAATCGTATTTATTTGGGAAACAACCATATTGTTCTCGACAGCAACTGCATGCTTTTATATTCTCACCAGCAATCCACAGGGTTCCAATTTTTCCTCATCCTTGTCAACATTATTATTATTTTAAATTAAAATTTATCCCAATGGTTGTGAATGTGATTGTGTTTCAAACTCCAAAATTTGTTATTTTATGCAGGTATAGTAGAGAATCATAGGGTACTAGCAATGGCTTATCAAAATAATTCATTTCTGTCATTTTCTTTAGTAGTACTGAGAATTTTGTGTAGAAAGAGTTCTTATTAAAACAGTCCAAAGTGTCAGAGAATTTTAACTAACCTATTCACCTTTCAGATCTGGTGCCAGAAGCAGGTACCAAAGGGCTTTGAGAATAAATTGTGGGAAGCAAGAAAACCCCCAAAGAAAAATCATTGCCTCCATTGAACACACACTCCCTATATGTCAAGTATTTTATAGAAGACACTTACACTACCTTAAAAAGTAGATACAAAGCTAGTAAGTGGTGTAGCGGAGGTTTGGAATTTTGTATTTGTGGTTTTGAAGGACGTTTACTCTTTTGTTATGAAATACCGATTTATAATCAGCTTACCTGGTTTATTTCTCAACTCAGAGTATACCCTTTTCATGAGAAGACATGGTGGGAATGGCACAGGTGAACACAGGCAGCTAAAGGGTCAATCATTTGGCATATGTTGTTGAATCATATATAGAATTGTTCCACAAGAGAGGATATGAGGTGTTTGTAACTTGTATTCTAATTTTTAGAATCTAGAAATATAGTGTTTTAAACTGACTGCCTCTAATGTCTGATCTTTATAAATGATTTTTAGATAGATTTAGCATTCATCTGATAATATATCACTTAATATCTAGATTTTAGAGCATGATTTTTCTGATTCTAATGAATATTTTATACCAAATATTATTTAAAAGTCCTTTCTCAGGTCAAAATAAATCTATTTGCACTGCTCCTCAAACTGACTCATGGTCTATATAAAAAAGAGGTGATATAATCTGAGTTTGTATTTCAAAATCCTCATTGAGACACCAGCGAGTCTAGTGTGTTTGTTTGCTTTCACGTAAACCCTCTAAAAGTTCCACGTGTAATCAACCTGTACTTCACTTCCAATCTTTAGACAGTATACTTTGTTTTGTGGAGAAGCAAATATCCTAAAGAATTTGAAATTTGCTAGTATTGTACCCACTTTACTTACAAATATTTTATAATTCAGTTTTGAACCTTTTTTGTTAGTAAGTAGGGAAATAACTCAAAGACAATAAAAACTTCAAAGATGCTTGAACCCAGGAGGCAGAGGTTGCAGTGAGCTGAAATCATGCCATTGCACTCCAGCCTGGGTGACAAGAGCAAAACTCTGTCTCAAAAAAAAAAAAAGAAAAAGAAAATTAACTTTTCTTGAAATACATTGGAATATGCTGTGCTTCTATCTTTGCATATCTGATCATCTCCATAGGTTTAAGATTTAACTTTCATATGAAAAAAAGCTAAGTGATTTTTCAGTTAACACTTCTCATTGGAGAACTAGATAAATTATCTTTTTATGGTTCAACCACCAGTAATTCTTCAAAGTAAACAAGCACTTTTACATAAATACCTGCCCCCACATATGTATCTATCATTATTTATCCATGATGTCATGATGATTATTGTGTAATTAATTGTGCCAAAATTACAAGGATAAATAAAAATGAATGAAGAATAAATAAATATACTATGACTGCTCAATTCTTCAATCCCAGTTGTATTGAGATTGCATCTAACTGGATCCTTCCACTTAATCAGAAATGAATTAATATGGCCTTAGATTTAGAAAACCATAAAATTATCTTCACTAAAACAAGTTTCTCTCTATTACACATTTTCCACCATGGAAATATTCTTTCATAATTTATGTGTTAGCTGAAAATACGTTTTTCTAAGGCATTTGTTATGGAAGGAAATGCTATTTCCTAAGCTGTTGAAGTTTCCAGGTATGTTCAGTTTTATACAGTTGTCAGGATCTTCTAGTTTTCCTATCATCTGAATAACAAAATACTATGTAATAATATATATTGGGCATGTCTGGTTTCTTCCGACACTTATTTTAGAACAGTATAAAATCACCTGTATAATACTTTCACTTTTGAAATACATCACACACTACTTTTTTTTCTTTTGCATTTTTGTAAATTACCTAACAATCTAGTATGTAAACTCTAGACTAATGCTTGTTTACATAGTCTTAGATGTCTAGAAAGATGATGAGTTGAACATGTTTACTTCTACTATTGAATACTAGATCTTTTTTGACAATATAATTAATATATAATTATTTTAGGTAATTGCCTCTTACATGCTTTAATTAAGATAATGTGTAGTATTTTTATACACTTCCTATAACTTTCTAGAGGAAACCATATATGGAACTCAGGAATAGTTCTACTTAACATATTTTCTTTTCTTTTCGATACAAAGTATCTCTCAGGAGTGCAGTGACACGATCTTGGCTCACTGCAATCTCTGCCTCCCTTGTTCAAGCAATTAATTCTCCTGGCTCAGCCTCCTAAGTAACTGGGATTACAGGTGGACATCACCACACCTGGCTAAATTTTGTATTGTGTAGAGATGGGCTTTTGCCATGTTGGCCAGGCTGGTTTCAAACTCCTGACCTCAAGTTATCTGCTGGCCTGGGTCTCCCCAAGTGCTGGGATTACAGGCGTGAGCCACAGCACTAGGGTTACTTAACATATTTTCAACCACCATTTAGCCTTCTCATTTAGTTTCAATTGTTATAAAATAGATAGTAAAGATAGTGGAATCCCCAGTGAAGACAAATATTAAAATGCCTATAGAAAAATCATTGTCTGACTGCCAAAGTTAGAATCTAAATTTTTATAGTGTCTTAAGTTTAGGTCAATAATGTTAAGTGAGTTGGCAAGCTTCATAAACCAACCAATCCAATAATTCTAACATAACCCATAAATTCATATTATGCATTTTTCTTAGTGGCTTATTTTGGGAAATTCATACAATGATTTAAAAGTCATAATTTGGCCTTTGCAAAAAGAAACAAAAGTTTACGACTAGTTATCAATCAATATGAACTTATATGTCTAGCCTCATCAGGTTGTTAGAATACATCTTCAGTCAAAAGCAAAATAGTACTTTCCTGATTTTTAAATCTTTAACTTTCTACTTAGTATAACTTCTCTCTACTCAAATTATTTTTATAGTTACCCTATTTTTAAAATACTCGTTAGATGTTACAAGCAGTTACATTTATGACAAGATGTCATCTATCAAACTCAAGCTCTACTTTCCCTATGAAGATACCTCTTATGACTGTAAATGCATTCTCTTTTAAATTCACTATACTTATCTTCAGAAATGCCTGCCTTAGAATTCACTTGGTCTTTGTTTTGTGAGAGTTAATATGCCTTCTTGATTGAGATCATAAGCTCGTCAAAGTCCTAGCATGTAGTTATATCCGTATGTCCTCTACAAAGTCCTGTACCGTTGCAGATAAATATCATATACTCTTCACTAGAGTCAAATTTAGACATTTCTCTTTCTCCATTTTGTTTCTGTTTCTGAGTCTTTGCTTCTGTCTCCCCACAACTTCTTTGTTACTTCAAGTCTAGTTTTAATAATCAGCCTTCCTCTTAACACTATTGTTTATTTCATGCTCATTGTGTACAATTATCTTACAATAAATTGAGTTTTAAAAATAAATAAGAATCTCAGAAAGGTGCCAGGTGTGGTGGCTCAGGCCTGTAATCCTAGCACTTTGGGAGGCCGAGGTGGGTGGGTTATGAGGTAGGAGTTCGAGACCACCCTGGCCAACACAGTGAAACTTCATCTCTACTAAAAAACATAAAAAATTAACTGGGTGTGGTGATGCACACCTGTAGTCCCAGCTACTAGGGAGGCTGAGGCAGGAGAGTCACTTGAACCCCGGTGGCAGAGGTTGCAGTGAGCCGAGATTGTACCACTGCACTCCAGCTTAGGCGACAGAGTGAGACTTTGTTAAAAAAAAAAAAAAAAAAAAAAAAAGAATATCAGAAAGAAAAAAAAGATAATAAAGGAACAGAATAAATATTTGAAACAATAATGACATAATTTTTCAAAATTTGTGTCAGACAACAAGCACTGATGCAGGAAGCTCAGGGAACACCAAGAAGAATAAATGCAAAAGAAAACCACCCACATCTAGGCATATTATTTTTAAGCTGCAGAAAATAAAGCAAAAACAAAAACAAAACAAAACTCAAAAGAAGCCAGGCAGGAAGAGGGGAAACACATTTCCTGTAGAGAATCAAACACAAGAATCACATCAGCTTTGCCTCAGAAACCATGCAAGCAAAAAGAGTCAAAAAATCAACATGCTGAAAGGGGGTAAAAAAAACAAGTTAGAAGAATATACCCTGATGTACCCTGTTAAATTTTACTGCTAAAGTAAAGAAATAAAGAGTTGTCCAGACAAGGAAAATCGAGGGATTTGTTGCCAGTAGACATACATGACTTGCAGGAAATATTAAAAGAAGTTCTTCGGAGACAAGGAAAATGATATAATTCAGAAACTCAGATCTACATAAAAAGGAAGGTTACTGAGAAAAGAACAAGGGAGGGTAAAATGGATTTTTTTTCTACTTTTAGTTTATTTAATAGATTGTAGTTTGTTCAAAATTATAATAGCAACAGTGTATTCAAGTAGATATGCTTATATATCTGTCCTTATTTATGCTTATGTATAGATGAAATGAATGACAGCAAAGTTATGGAAAGAAGGAATTATAAATATTTTATTATTGTAAGGTACTTGCACTACCCATAAAGTGGTAGAGTATTATTTAAAAGTGGACATGGATTACTTATAAATACATGACACAAACTCTAGGGAAACTACTTAAAACGGTATAATTTAAGTAGTAGAAACTACTTAAAGCAGAAGTATAATAAATATTCTATGAAATGAGAAAAATAGAATCCTAAAAAATGCTCAATTAAAATCACAAAAGGCAAAAAATGAAAGAAAATAGAAACAAAGCACAAAGCTAACAAATAGAAAACAGTAAGACATATGGTAAATATTATTCCAACTATATCAATAATTACTTCAAATACCAATAGTCTAAATGTGCCAATTGAAAGACAGAAACGCTCATAGTGGGTCAAATACAAGAACCAACTATATGCTTAAAAGGAACCGACTTTAAATTTAAAGCTACGTATAGATTAAAAGTGAATGGATAGAGAAAGATATACCATACTCACACTAATAAAAAATAAGCAGAAGTAGTGGTATTAATTTCAGAAAAAGTAGACATGAGAACAAAGACAATTATCAGGGACAAAGAGGGACATTACATAATGATTCTCCAAAAAGATAGTCTTTAACTTGCATATGCCTAACAAGAGAACAAAATATGTGAGGCAAAACCTGAGAGAACTACAAGGAAAAATAGTTGAATTCACTATTGTACTGGAGACAACATCCCTCCACTAGAAATGCACAGATCTAACAGGCAGAAAATCAGTAAGAACATAGTTGAACTCACAGCACCATCAATGAAACAGATAAAATTGACATCTATAGACTGCTTCATCCAGCAACAGCAGAGTAAACATCCTTTTCAAGCTCACATGGAACATTCACCAATATAGGACACATGCTGTGACATAAAACACACCTGGACAAATTAAAGTAATAAAAATCATACAATAACTGCTGACTGCCCATAATGGAATTAAAGTTGAAATCAATAACAGAAAGATAACCAGAAAATTCCAAAGTATGTGTTGATTAAGCAACATACTTGTAGATATCACATGTGTCAAAGAAGAAATACCAAGAGAAATTTTAAAATATTTTGAATTAAATAAAAGTGAAAACAAATTATCAAAATTTGTTTGTGGCGTGCAGTGAAAGCAGTGCTTACAAAGAAGTTTATACCATTGAATGCATACATGAGAAAATAAGAAAGATCTAAAATCAGTCTTACAGGCTCTTAGTAAACTTGAAAAGAAATTTAAGTCTGAAGTAAGAAGGAGAAAAAAATAATAGAGTAAAAATCAATTAAATTGAAAAAAGGAAATCAATAGACAACAAAACCAGAAACTGGTTCTTTGAAAAGGTCATTAAAATTGACAAAACTCTAGCCAGGCTAAGAAAAAAGAAGGGTCACAAATTACTATTATCAGAAGTGAAAGAGACAAAATAGCTACAGATTTCATGAACATTAAAAGGATAATAAGTAAATATTATGAACAACTCTGTGCCCACAAATTTGGTAACTTAGATGAAATGGACCAATTATTTGAAAGACACAATCTGCTAAAACCTGAAAAAGAAGAAATAGTCAATTTTAGTAGACTGATATCTATTAAAGATGTTGAGTCAAAAATTAATAACCTGTCAAAACAAAAAATATGAAACTCAGTTGGATATACTGGTGAGTTCAAATCAACCTTTAAAGAAGAATAAAACAATTCTCCGCAATTTTTTAGAAGATAGAAGAATCAAAGGAAATACTTCCTAACTCATCCTAAAAGGCCACCATCATGCTAATATCAAAATCAGACAAACACATTACAAAGAAAAGAAAACAAACACTGTAGACTAGGATCTCTCATAACATGGGTGCAAAAGTCTTCAATAAAGTATTGGCAAATCCAGTCCAAAAATGTATTATAAGATTAATGCACTACAATCAAGTGAGGTTTATCTCGGGAATGCAAGGCTGGCTCAATATAATTCAAAACCAGTTATCCCAACACATTAAGAATATAGAGAAGAAAAAAAATTACATAGTAACATAAAGAGATGGAGAAAAAGCATTTAACAAAATTCAACACCTATTCATGATAAAAACTATGTATAAAGTAGGAATAGAGGTTGACTTCTGCAACCTGATAAAGAACATCTATAAAAAACCTGTAGCTACCATCATACCTAATTATGAGAAACTCTAAGCTTCAGGAATAAGAATGTTCCTTTTCACCACTGCTTTTCAACTTTATAACGAAAGTCCTAACTAATGCAATGAAACAGAAAAGGAAGCAATGATATACAGATTGAAAAGGAATAAATAAAACTGATTTTGTTCCCTGGTGTCATTGATGTAGAAAATCCTAAAACAAAACCTCCTGGAATTAATAAAGATTATAACAAGGTTGCAGAATACAGAGCTATCATACAAAAGTCAATGGCCTTCCTATACTTCAGAACAAATGGGATTTTACATTAATGCAATATCATTTACATTAGTACCCTCTAGGATGAAATACTTAGGTATAAATCTAACCAAATATAAACAAGCTTTCTATAAGAAAAGCAGAAAACACTGATGAAATAATGAGCTATCAAGCCACAGAGGAATGAAAGATGCAGACTACTAAGTGAGAGAAGCCAATGTGAAAAGTCTCCATGCTATATAATGCCACCTAAATGACATTCTGCAAAAGAGAAAACTGTAGAGACAGAAAAAGTGATGAGGTTGCTATTGAAGAGAGAACCAGTGGTGTGTGCCTCACCAAAATTCCACCATCTCTTAAAAAACAGGATAATCTGCTGCCAGTAATAAGTAAACATTAGTGAATAGCAATGATCAGGGGCACACAAATAACTACCCCTTAACCCACTTATTGGCATGACTTACTTGACCCTTAGGTATCAACCTAAAGCCCTTATAAAGCATCTGGAAGTAAACTTGGTTGATTATTCTATTTTATCTAAAAATTCTGTGAACATGTTCAGAAACACTTGATCATTTTTGAAGATGTTCTAATGAAAGCCTTTTTAACCTTAAGAGGGATTTATTGTTTTTCCTTTATAGGGGGTGGTGTAAGTATAAAACTGTCCTAAATATGAATTACTTTTCAGGTTTCTCTTTTCTTCCACACACAAATTTAAGACATATTTGGTAAATCAGAGTTTTCTGATCAGTCTACTCATGAAACTCAACTAGGTAGGACTTTAACAGACAAAAGTATGAACACCAGGCCTGTCTACTACATCATTAGCTCCATGCCTGGATCTCTGAACTTTATAGTTTCACAAACTCCACATCATATGTATTTGATCCAGACATAGTTTAAGTTAAAACAATTACATAACAATTACATAACATATCCTATTTGTTGTTTCTGTTCCTCTAATTCAGTATTCTATAAGCAGCAGTTACAGTCAGCCCTCCTTAACCATAGGTTCCACATCCAAGGATTCAACCACAGATGGATAGAAAATACCTGCATATGGGTTGAATCCCCTGATTCGAAACTCATAGATAAGGAGGCCTGACTAAAGGACTTGGGCATCTGCAAATTTTTGTGTCTTCTGGAGATCCTGGAATCAATTCTCTGCCAGTGCTAAAGGATGACTGTACATTGTGTTATCTGTTATGTTTGGATAGCTATTGCTACACTTGATATATCTAATGAAAGGATTAAATAAAATTCTAATAGGAGGGAAAATGGAATTTTGAATATACTTTTATTTCATTCAAATCTAAACATGAAATTGTTTAATGCAATGCTTATTATTGAGGAAGTTATTTTAAATCATATTTATAATTTACATTTTACCATTTTTTCATTTAATTTTTATTTGTAATTAATACATAAAATTGTATATATTTATGAAGTTCAGTGGGATGTTTTAATGCATGTATACATGGTATAATGATCAAATCAGAGTAAATACCATGTCCATCACTTTAAGCACTTACCATTTCTTTGTGGTGGCAGCATTCAAAATACTTCCATCTATCTTGAAACATACAATACATTGTTATTTGCTGTAGTCATCCTACAGTATAATAGAATAGCAAAGCCGAGTTTCACTTCTGTCTTGTTAGTGATTTTGCCCCTTGTTAGAGCATTTTCAGAGTATTTTTCACATACATTTTTTCATTTGTTCCTCACAAGAAAAATCTTTCAAAATTTGTAGGGGGAGTAGGATTGTTGCTAATTCTAACACAAGAACAAACTGGGAATAATTTAGGGTTTGATTTGCACAGATTACACAAATATTAATAAATGCAGTTGAGATCAGATTTTAGATCTTCTAGATACTAGTTTTGTGGTTTTCAAGATATCATGTAGCCTCTGTTAATTTAATAGTTTAATAATGGTTTATTGTTAGAGAATAATTTTCATAAGTGCAAAATTTAATAATATTAGCTGTCATTTGTTGAACACATACTACACACCATTAGAAGCTAGCCAATATGTCACTCAAGTCTCACACAAGCTCCCATTTTTATTGCTTTTATTCTGTTGCCATGTTTATTATTTTATTGCTCCTTTTACAAAGAGGAGAGACAGTGATATTCAATGAGGAAAAATAATTTGCCCATGATCCTACAGCTATTTAGAGTAAGAAGCAGAATTTTAATCTATTTTATTTTACTCCAGATTCTGAGATTCTC
Organism: Homo sapiens; assembly: GCF_000001405.40. Taxonomy (NCBI): domain Eukaryota; kingdom Metazoa; phylum Chordata; class Mammalia; order Primates; family Hominidae; genus Homo; species Homo sapiens. The sequence goes on along the minus strand of NC_000004.12, from coordinate 167,041,075 downwards.
CACTCACACATGCTGTCTCTGAATCATGAGCAAGGTGGCCATTTATGCCAGTGAGCCCGGCTCTATCCATGACCACTCATTACACCTTCGAGTGAGACCTCATGAGAAAGCTGCTGTTACCACTAGAAAATGAACTAAATTCTTTCCACTCACTGTAACTTTGTATAAATCATTTAAATCAAACCTGTTGGGTTTTTAATTTCTGATTTTTAAAATGAGAAAATAATTGCAGAAAATAACTTACAAGGTCTCTTTTATCCCCTAAGTTTCATCTTTCTAATCTTCTACAAATTCATTGAATGGCATATTAATAATTGTATCTTTGAATGTAAATATTGACATGTTATAACATTTCATTCTGCCATAGTTTACATTTATATTTCTTTACAAAAGAATAGTGATTTTTCACTATTTTCACTTTACAAAAGAATGAATTTTACTTTCAGGAGAAATTTACAAAAATATGTTGGGGGAATCTTTGTTAGCAACGTATTTCATTAAAGGTATTTTGAAGCACATTGTTACCATACATAAGGCCAGCTAAGCATTAGTTAAGAAATGCTTCTGTAATATTTTGCAGTTTCTTATACATTCTAATTTGAGGCTAACAGCATGTTTATATGATTGGGATAATGAGGCTTGCTATTTCCAACTTCACAGTCACTTAATCAAAAAGGTAAGGGACTTGCCTAAAGTTACATGAAATAACTATAAAGCTAGTCATTTATATTAAGTGGTACATCCAGGACCACAACTCATGTCATTTATCACTGAGTGCTGTGCCTTCCCACTATCCTATATTCTGAAATAATCACACGCTACTTTTCACCATCATATTAAAGATGAGCTAGCTATTGCCTTACTGCAGTGGGGTTGTTTGTGTTTCCAGTTAAAGCCAGAACTTTTAGAAATTAAAATATTTTAATGCAAGATAGGAGGCAGTATATTTAAAGTTTCTAAGTGACGTTTAATGAAACATAGGCTGCATAACTTAAGAAAATTTTGTAGGCTTTGGAATCAGATAATACTAGACTTGAGTGTGGGCTTTACAACTTAGTCGTTCTGCAAAACTGGAAAAATTAATTAACTCAAGGCCAAAGGCAACATTTTCAGATTAACATTTAGCTTAAGCCCAAAAGAATTCCAAGAGATAGATAATAAAAAGGTAGAGGAAGAGGAGAGGTGAGAATATTCAAGCTGTCATTTAGGCTCAAGGTGTCTTAATTGTTTATACAACTTTGTGTGGTATATATACATAACATTCATACATTTTTAAAATGTTTTCGCTATACATTTAAAATACAGATAACACCTTTTATTCCGAAATATTAAATAGTCCCAATTTTCACTTAATTTTGACAGTGTATACAGTGCAACTTTTCAGCATTTTTTTTTTTTTATTTAGTAAATGGAGGTAGGAGCCAATGCATACATTTCTATCCTCTACTCATTTTAAATTAAAATATTCTCTACTCATTTCTATCCTTGACTCATTTTATTTCTTAGGAAGAAAATGGATGTCAATGCTGTAAAAAAAATACATATGTATAGACACACACATATATACACACACACATACACATATATAATGTGCTAGTTGTTAATTCTAGAAATAAAATTTTTACATTTATTACACTTAATAATTGATTTTAAGTGTTATTGTCACCTATGAAGTAAGGTAAGATCAGTGTTGTGGATGGAGTTATGTCCCCGCAGAAGATACACATAAGTCTTAACCTCCTGTGCTTATGAACGTGACCTTAACTGAAAATAAAGTCATTGTAAATATAATCAAGTTAAGATGAGGTTATTAGGTGGACCTTAATCCAATATGATGGGCGTCTTTCTAAGAAAAGGAGAAAAGACAGATAGACACACAAGGACAAGGCCACACGATGACAGCAGCAGAGATTGGGGTTAAACTGAGGGAAGCAAGGAACACCAACGATTGCTGAGAAGCCCGGGAAGCTAGGACAGAAGCATGGACTAGAGCGTCTCTTGGAGCCCTCAAGAAGGACCCAGCACTGCTGATTCCTTGATTTCAGACTTCTAGCTTCTATAAATGTGACATAATAAATGTCTGTTTTTTTTAAGCTACCTAGTTTGCAGTACTTTGCTACAGCAGTACCAGGAAATGAATACAATTAATCTTATTAAAATAATTTTTAAATTTATATAATTGCTAAACATATTCCATCACATAAATGCAAGAGCTGATGTAGAATAAACCTAGATGAATGCCTAGTTTTGATTTTAATATTAACAACAGTATATATTAATTGTAACTTTTACTTTGTGAGTTAATTCTGTAACTTTATATAGAGTGTATGTATTTTGGATGAATATTTTTGCTCAAGTAGCAGCTGTTTTTCTGGCTTTAGCATTCTGATTTTTTTTTTTTTTTTTTTTTTTGGAAAAAATAAACAAAACATGCACCACGCTCTTACTGTTAGACCACAGGTTCTCTATAGGTGGATGGCACCCTGGGAGTGGTCATGTGACACAGATCTGACCAATTAGAGCCTCCCTGCCCCTGTTCTCAGTGAATAGTTACCATAACCAGGCTATTAGATTCTGGGACGTGTGGAGTGAATCACGGGAATGAGAAGCTCTCTTTTTTCAAGATTAGCTAGAAAATATAACATAAATTTGTAGATAATCAGAGCCACCTTGGCAAGAACACAAAATGTAGGAATGCTATGTTAAGAGATGAAGAAAGTATGCCATGTCTGAAGTGAGCCGTAAACATAAATTTCTTTACCCTTTCTTTTCTTTCTTTGGTCAAACCATTTTTAATTCTCTTATGTCCAACTGAAAGTGTCCTAATGATATAGACACTAGTATCTGGACCTGAGTTGTAAGGAATCCTAAAATTTTTGAAGTTGAGTGAGCTGAGACAGGAGCAGAGGGGATTCCTCACATATAAGAAGTTGGTACATCATGCTGTATTATAGGAATGCAGTGACTATTTTGTAGCCTACTGTCTCTGGGGTCTCATAGCATGTGCCGTTGAAACTGGTCCTTTTAGGCTCATGCTAGATAATTGTCCTTCTCCTGAAAATTGCGCATGTTGATAGTGTATAGAATTGTACTTGTCCCAGAGCTTTCTGTTTCTGTGACTGGTTTGTCGTTATATCAGTGCTTAAAAACAAAAACAAAAGTAACAACAACAACAACAACAAAAAGTTTTTTACTTTCTCAAAAGCTAGACATGTACTTTATCTAATTAGATGTGCAGACAAGTTCAGGAAAATACTTGATAAAACTATGTTATGTCAAATTATATATTTGGTATGAACCAGATTTTCCTAAAAGGTTAAAGCCACCTCCACTTAAGTTAGGTGTTCTAGGTGACACATTCATCTATAGTGACTTCTTTGTTTCTCTTCCATTTGGCCCCAGCAATGCAGAAGAGTTCAAGTGCCTTCTGGGCTCTCAGACTTTCACAGTGTGCCTGTGGAGCCTGAACTCTGAAAACAGTGAGCTGATCTGGGCAGTCATGTTGAAGATGCTTTTAGATATTTCAAAAAATCCTTAGTGTGTGGACAGTGTTCCTGTAAAATAGTTTTTTTTTTTTTTTTCTTCTTCTTTTTTGAGATGAAGTCTGGCTCTGTCGCCCAGGCCGGAGTGCAGTGGTGCAATCTCGGCTCACTGCAACCTCCGCCCCCAGGGTTCAAGCGATTTTCCTGCCTCAGCCTCCTGAGTAGCTGGGACCACAGGCACACCCCACCACGCCGGGCTAATTTTTGTATTTTTAGTAGAGACAGGGTTTCACCATGTTGGCCGGTATGGCCTTGATCTCTTGACCTTGTGATTCACCCGTCTCGGCCTCCCAACTTGCTGGTATTCCAGGTGTGAGCCACCGCGCCTGGCCCCTGTAAAATCTTTTACCTGCATAGTGTATATAAAGCACAAGCAAATATCCTCAATTTCTCCCCTACTTTTGAGGATGGCAACATTGCCTCAGTGAGTGAAGAGCTGAGCAGCAATGGTCTCAAATTCTCAACTCTACAATCTCTTTTGTAAAAAAATGCACAATTTAAAAGTGTAAATCTTCAACTTACCTTATCACTTGATAATGGTCAAGATCTTTCAGGCAGTAAGAATAAGATAAGGATCTAGATCCAAAATCTCACCCAGGGAGAAGCACTCTATGTGGTCTCGAGAGTAAAATTACAAAATTTTCAAACAATATGGATCTCCCAAAATATTTTTTTTGTTGTTGATATAACAGCGTTAGAGGGCATCCATACAGCTAAGCCATCTAAATATTAAAAAAAAATAAACCATAAAAACCTAGAGAGTCGTATTTATTTTTATTAGAATATAGAATAATATAAACAATATGTGATGCTATAACTTTGCTTAGCCAGTAGCTGTTCATTTTTGTTTTGATGGATTGCACTTCACAGAGAGGAGTAAAAAAACATAGAATTTAAAAGTAGACTATTCCGTTAAAAAATTTAAATGTCAAAATACACCATATCTTAAAGGCATGAGCTACTCTATCAGAAGTCTTTTATTTCAGAGGCCACTAAATAACAGCCTAAAATGATCCTAAATAACTAAGTCAGCAAGAATATTTAAAAATTGTTTTTTTGTGTATTTCTTCTGCACCCGGCTTACAGTAGGACTAAAAGTTATTTTTGGTTGAAACTGTGACTGGGCACAAGGCTGCAGTTGGGATATAAATAAAGAAATAAGGTCAAGGAAAAAAAGAACATCCATGAAGGAGAAGAAACTTTCAAACTTTGGGTGTTTTTTTACTTCATATAGAACAGAGAAAAAACGCAGATAAGGGCACTGTGAAGTCAAATGATCAGTTCTAAATATCCAGGGAAATACATTTTGGCACGTCGCAAAAGCATACCAAACAGAGCTCAAAATAGTTGAGCCAATTTGGGTGTCTCATTAGGAATATTTCCTTCTATCAATGGGTAACTAAATGAGTAGGGAGATTCTGATTTAAATATATTTGGGCAAGATAGATTAAATGGTCTTTCATAAAACTTTAAAATATGAAGTTAAAAAATGGATTATCTCATTGGGAGCTGCGTTCAGCGGAAGCTCAAATGTAATCTGTAGTGATATTTAAGCTATGGTGAATAATTTAATTTTTCTAAAAGATAAGGGAAATGGGGGTTGTTAAGGCAGAAATACATTGGAACAGAATTGCTAATGCAGAATGACATGGAGTTGCAGAAATCAGGAAGAAGTAGTAATTGTGGAACTCCTGATAGTAGGCACATAAGTTAGCAGGTTTTAACTGGCTGTTGTATTAATGTTCAAAGACAGGGCATCTAATCTTTTAGGATGAGAATGAAGGTTTGACTAAATAAGGATAGATATAGGTTCACGCTAGGGTTCTAGGAAATGTTTCCTAGCCAGGATTCGGGTAGGGAAAAAGACAGGGAAACAATTACCAGAACTGTGAAAATTGCAGATTGGGTTTCAGGGTTAGACAGCAGCCTGCTATCACATGTGAGAGACATGATCAGGGGTGGTTTTGCAACAAGGGTAGAACATGGTTAATCCATGGAGATGTGTTAAATTTGGAGCTGTTTAACTTCCTTCTGCTTAAGGAAAGGTAGGTCCTGTAGGGACTTTTCTTGAGCTGGCTCGTAAGGTTTCAATTTCCTACCCTAGGATACTTTTTTTTTTCATCACATCTTACATTACATTATCTGCTTATCCTAACATTTAAACCTGTTCCACTTTCTGTATTGTCCTTCACTCTAAATATGGGATCACACTGAGATGTTCTGGTAATCATATAGAAATAATGGAAGGCATACAGCAAAACTCACGACAGCAACAATAACAACAAAAAAGTACTGCTACATCAGGTCTCTTGAGTCATTCAGTCTACAGAAGAAATAGCTTTTTTTGTCCTTTGACCTTTATCCCCAAACTTTACCCTTGTTTGTGTTTTTCTTCTATTTGGAGTTGACCTAAGTATTTAAGTTGGCAGAGTTACTCCCTTATTTGCTACTCACTCGTCTAGTTTTTTGGTTGTTTTTGAAACCTACACTGAATAGGTTCCTATAAAGGTTTAAACTGGTTTATAAAGATGTATGTTTTATCAATGAGTAGATATTAACCTGGGAACTAATACATAACTCAGAATATACTTGAACACACATGTATTTGTTGGCAAAATGTTTGCTTAACACAGGAAGAGTCTCAAAATTTGAAATTCTGTATGGAGATAAATTACTTTTATATTTATGTACTCTGCCTATTTTTGTTTTCACCCTGAACAGTACATTATTGTTGATTAATTTAAAATAACTATGTCCTTTCAAATGAATTTAACATTGCTTTATATGTAGATGTATTAACCTCCAACGATTTTTCTAGCTACAGCATTGTTGGCTTAAGTTAAATTGGAATTCTCACCAGATATAGATCTTGGAGGCCATATTTTATCTGGATTAAAAGTTTGCTAGTGACAGTACATATGTACGAGCTATGGTTTTAATCACAGAACATGACTTAAGTCTTGCTGAGCTGATAAAAATGAAATCATTCCCATGCTGCCAAGGTAGGTTTCATTTTGTGGTAGTGTTTTTAATTAGATGGTTAAGCTGGTATCAAACTGTGCTTTTAAATCTTATCTCTATCTTTCTATTAAGCAAAAGACATTCAGTATCTCATACTGAAAAATACCGGGACGACCTTGTATCAGTTGAGTCTCTCCCATACCCAGGATAATTTGTTATTCAGCAGTTTCTTTTTTTTTTGTTATTTTGATACAGCTTGGGTATATGGACTCAAATTTTATCTCTAATTTCTAAGTCTAATATCTTGTTTCAGAATGCCTTTTTTGCACAAGAAAAAATAGTAAATACAATTTTGTGTATGTATATTAAAATATTTTTTCACTTATTCCTAGATTGGCTGCATTTAAATAGCTTCATAGAATTTATAAGAATTCTGAGGGTTTTGATAATCTGGAAATCTTTTAATTCCAATAGTCAGATTCTTTCTGAAAGTTACTTTTTATTATAAGATATTTCTGCAAGAAGATAGTGGCTATTTCTGTTAATATTTATTTTCTTATGTTAGATACAATTTCTGTGGGATAGGACTCTGAAGTCCAGTAGTATATAATACATTTGCTAATTTGCTTAGTAAAACACTTTTAATGACATAAGACAGCTTATGAATTTGACATGTGATCATTAGAAGAAAATAAAGAATGTATTATAATTTTATAGAGGGCTGCCTTAATCTAGTAAATTCAAATGGAGAAGTGCCTTCATCTAGTAAATTCTAATGGAGAAGTAAGACTATTTACTAGTAACAGCAACCTTAAATTCATCTTAAATTTCTATAAATATTTTTGGTAACACTGGGGCCCAGGCAGGCAAGGAAGATTCCCTGAGCATCCTAATTCATGTGTTTTGGGAATACTATAGTGTTGTGTTGAGAATCATTCTGAGGTTCACCATGGATTAGGGGTGTGAAGGCCTGCATGCCATGTATTTACTGATTTGCTAGAGTGATTTCAATTATTGTTTGTTTCTGCCTATTCAATTTAACCTTCACTTTCCTATCTTCAGATAAGGAAAAATTCTTATAAGACTGGTGTGAGAAGTAAACAAGATCAATGAAGCCTTGAGAACTTTACTTTGGCCATATCAAACCCTTAATAATAATAATAATAATAATAATAATAATGAATAATTGCTTATATTATGAAAATGTAACTTATTGAATTTTTATTTAAAGGACCAAATATAAATTGTTTTACCCCAGAATTATGCTACCTTTCTTTATTTAAAATATATTTATAATATATTGATTTAAAAATATAAGCTCTTAAAAATGCTCAGTGGTGAATTACTTTGGCACTAGGGAAGAATTCCTTTTAGTTTAAAGAAGTCATATAATAATGCTCGGCACTGGTGATTTCCCACTCCTAATTTAGTAATAATGTTTATGATAATGATGATGTCATGATACCATGATATTATGACTAATATGTCCTGCCAGTGGCTCTGAACTAAATTAAATCACAGTGGCAATAATGGGCAATCCTGCTGAGTATCTCTGCTAAGCATGAACAATTAAGAAACAAAGCCATTAGTCGTAATTGAAGAATTCATGTTTATATGTAGCAGTTTTTCACAGGGAACTAAGAAGATGAATCCAAATCGGCCCCAAATAATAAAATAACCAGTACTCATTGTCTCATTAGCATCTTAAGAGATAATGACAATTGAGCTCTTTAGTATGTTTTTCAGAACCTAATTAGAAATGCAGCTTATAATTTTTAGAATTGGATACAGAATATGTATTTGTCAAAATGTCATTTAAGTTGAGATCTTCCCTTCTATGCCTTTTTTTCTATGATAATTAATAAAATCATAATTATATCTTAGTAGAATGCAGTATTTTCTTTTTTTTATAAAGCTCGGGTATTTTAGTCATAAACACACATGTATGTTCTGCATACTAAGGTCTCAGGAGTCAGTTAGCAATCATTAACTGAGCATACAGTACCTGCTGAGAGTGACATAAGATACTTTTTATGATCTTAGGAATTGCACAAATCCATTATGTGATTTTACAGATGAAGAAACCAAAATTTGACACTATTGTAATCTGTGAAGCTGGTCAACATCTAGCCCTATGTGCCATTCTCTTCAACAGCAGAGCGGTGCCAAGCTTCATTCCTCAGTTTATTTTATTTTCTTTGTGATACTCAGTTTGCTATGCCTAGAAATAATTACCACCTCAATTTTTGCCTCTGGAGCTCTAGCTGACAACATCTTTATATTAATGATCATTGATATTAACTGAGCATCTTTATACTGAGGAATTAAATCATATGTAAGAAGTGGAAAACTTTCTTTGTCTTTGCTTCATATACTACCCCTCTCTCAAAAACAAAATCCTGCCCTAAAATCTTGATTTTATTTAATGATTTTTGCTATTTTGATTTCTTGGGCTTGTAAATTTGGATTTGTTTTTCAGCCTCTTCTTCTAAATTCAGATTTTCTGTTTATTTGTTGAAGTAGGTGTACTTGCTCTGGCAAGTTTATGTGAATTTTGGTCTTTTAATGCAAGCAAAATAAACCAGCCCTGGCTAAGTTAAACAAACAGGAAATGACTAACAGAACTCTAGATACTTCAAATAAAGGAATTAATAACATTGCTACCCCTGTACGTGGTCCAGATACAAAACCCTAAAGAACTGAATTTGAATGGCAGCATTTAGTTTAATATTTCCTTTATAACTAAAGTTGTGTCATGTCTATCATTGGAATACAAACACATTGGCATGAAGAGGGGCAGATCCCTAAAGGAAAAGAAAGGAGTTTCAACAGAGAGAGGGAAAGATTGCTGGCAGATGCATAAACCCTATTTTTAATTATTTTCTCTCTCCATTCTTACATCATAATACTCTACTTCATGCCCGGTCTTGTCTCTAGTTTTTCTTTGCTCAATGTTTTAATCCACTGTAGGCGAGCAGACATCTTTCAACTTTTGGCTCTGTAATTCAAATATTTTTCTCTTTTCTGCCCTGTTCACTTAACAGTGTGCCTTTTTCTTGTAAGTGAGCCATTTATCATTATAATAATATTGGAATGTGTTCTTAAATAATTTGATCACAGTAACTGTGCTTTTTTAACACCTTATGTTGTTGTTAGGGAATAAAGTATTTTAGTAAAACGGGATAATATTTGTGTTTGTAATAGACAATAATATCAAGTAGATTTGTTCTTTTCCCCCTCAGTAAATGTGAATATCCCTTTTCTAAAGTAGCTCATATAATAAAACAATTGATAATATTTAGGCTATAACAAATATAGTTATTCTATTTACCTTGTCTTATTTCATACCTCTAATAGAGTCAGTAACCTTGGCACAGTAAGACTCAATAAATATAAAACTATCAATATCAGACCAGGTTTTTATTAATTGGAAGCTATTATTCTGAATATAAAAATATATGAATTTATCTAAACATTAAGGTGAAGATTAAATCCAAATTTTAACTTTTGGTTGTTTACTCATTAAATGTAATTTGTCAATTATCCTTCAAAGATATGATGCTATATATGAAATATGATGAGAGAAAAATTTTAAAACTCAACACATGACAAATATCTCACAGACGGGAAATGGAGCAATGTGCCTGGTTCAGGCTATGGGCTTTTTGACTTCAGTCTGACATCATAAAGAGATGGCCAAGAGTTCCTGCAGCTTGTTGGAGAAACAGGTATTAAAAGTGTCCTTGCTAGAAACTTTATTTAAAAACTAGGATTACTGTTTGAAAACATGAGTAAGGTAGGATTCTTACCTATTGGGGGTTAAGTGCAAGAATTCAGCAACCATGTCCTATATGGTAGAGTCTCTTATTGGGGACATTCACATAGGTTTATTTAAATGACATGTCTATCCTGAACCATGAAATTGAGCCAGTCCTCAACAAAATGAGGTACAAATCATAAAACAATTTACCTTAACCAAACAATGTAAACAGGCTAATATATCATACCCTCCAAAACACTCATAGGCCCTTTGCTACAGAATGTCATTTTCTTGCCTTTAATTAATACATTTCATTATTTTGGCCAACAGTCAATACCTTGAGGTAAACAAGAAGTCAATCCAGACTAGCTAAAATTAACCTGTGCTTCGCAGCCAAGAAACTAAATCAATTGCTAAGAAATAAATTCAGCACAAGCAATTGAACAAAATATGGTAATCTGATCTTGATAAAAAATAATGTTTATCTTGCTCAAAAAGACAATAAAAACAGGTATAAAAAACAAAAGATTAATCAAAAGCAAGTAAAAATGAAATGAGATTCAGTGTATACTAAAATAATTTTATTGAAAACCTAAAAATAATTACTCTCTGCCTCTTTTCTCTCTCTCAGGCTCTCTTTTTCTAGATGGATGGATAGTTGAGGATTAATGGATGGATGGAAAGATAGATAGATAGATAGATAGATAGATAGATAGATAGATAGATAGAATGAGCCATTAAAATAACACTAAAAACAAAAATAGAAATCTTTATGAATAGGTGAAACAATAGAAGAGCGAGAAAATACTAAGATACTATGTGATTCTGAAGAACAGACATAGTAAAACAGAAACAGAAAGAAATAAAGCCCAATACAAAGAATACATTTTGAATAATAGAAGGATGATTAACTCAACATCATTCTAACATGAGTTCCAGAAGTTAATATTAAGTGAAAATGGAAATAACATGAAAACATTTAAAAATGTAATCATTGATAATTTCCATATTGAAAGAGGAATATAAAATACATGTGCAACAAATGTCACAAAAGATTGAAAAAATTCATACCTACATCCTTATTGAAGAACAGCAAATATAAAGAAAAATCATAAACATGCCAGAGAGAAAAGACTGATTATCTAAAAGGAAAGCCAATTATGCCTGCAGCATGTATCTTACTACTAACAATAGATATGGGAGGAAAATTGACCCATGTCTTTAAAATTGAAGGGAAGTAAATTACAATCTACAATTCTGTATTTAGTTAAATTATAATCTTAAAGCAAATGTAAATAATGGTAATTACAGACACACAGAAAGATAATTTTCACCCTTAGTCCCCTTCTAAAAAACATCTGAAAGGTATATTTCAAAAGAAGAATAAAATAAAACCTGGGAATAGAGTAAAATGCAAAAAATAATGGTACATTTAGTAAGATTATCAGAAATTGGTAACAGAAGATGGTAAATTTAATTTATTATGACTCTAAAAAGGTCAGAGACTAATTTTATAAGCCCAAAATGTTTCAGCCAAAATGTTAAAAATCAATAGTGACTTGGATGTGAGTAGTAGTTGGTGTGATTAATGATTGCTGGAAGCCGTTATCCTCAGCAAACTAACTCAGGAACAGAAAACCAAACACCAAATGTTCTCACTTATAAGTGGGAGCTGCATGATGAGAATACATGGACTCATGGCGGTTAACAACACACACTGGGGCCTGTCTGTGGGGGCAGGGAAAGCATCAGGAAGAATAGCTAATGGATGCTGGGCTTAATACCTAGGTGATGGGTTCATCTGTGCAGGAAACCACCATGGCACTCGTTTACCTATATAACAAACCTGCACATCCTGCACATGTACCCCAGAACTTAAAATAAGCATTGAAGAAAAAAGATTGCTAAGATCCTAGTGTTGTTTGAGAGAACAGGCAATGAAAACTTCAGGATTTGTTAGTAGAAACAAAGAGTTAAGTTAGTTTATGAAGTGTGATATGTTACCACTTAAAAACAATATCTTCAATCTAGTGTTCATGGCAGAAACTGTATGTTGTTCCTATCCTTTTTGAATAGTATTAGAATGTCAAAATTTTGTTGGGCACATGGCTACCCAAAATAAAGAGATTTTTCAATCTCCTTGGAAGCAAAGTATGGCCATATGACTAAGTCCAAGTGGAATACTTTTGAGAAAGTCATATGTAACTTTGGAAAATTATACATAACTGCAACTCAAGAGATCATGATAGACACGAATAGCAAGCTTGCTGCCAAGAATGGCAGAACAACAATATAAGGGGCCCTCAAGTCTGTAGCTCCATACTTGGCCCTTGGCCCAGAGAGCATAAATTTTTATTAAATTATTATTATATTTCATTTCAATAGTACACATGCAGGATTATTCTTTTGTTGTTGTTGTTGTTGTTGTTGTTGTTGTTTTACCGGTTTCACTCTGTCACACAGGCTGGAGTGCAGCATTGTGATCATAGCTCACTACGGCCTCAATCTCCTGGGCTCAGGTGATCCTCTTGCCTCAGTCTCCCAAGTAGCAATGCATGTACCACCAAGCTTGGAATTAAAAAAAAAAATGTAAAGACAGGGTCTTGATCTGTTTCTCTGGCTAGTCTTGAACCTCTGGCTTCAAGTGATCCTCCTGCCTCAGCCTCCCCTTATTCTTAAGTGATACAAAATTTTACTCAATTAAAAAGAATTTTAAAATGAGAAGAACAAGGAGCATTACCAGTCCAACAGAAGATATCAAAGAGAAAAACAGAAGTATGGTAAATAAAACATAAAATAAGGGGACAGGAAGTTCAAACATGTGGTGATCACAATTGAATATAAATACATGCAACCCAACTGTTCCATTGAAGAAAACAAAAAACAAAACTTAGGTACAGTTGATTCTTGAACAACATGGGTTGAACTGTGTGTTTCCTCAACACAAATTTTCTGCCACCTCTGACACCCCTGAGACAGCAAGACCCCCTTCCTCCTCCTCCTCGGCTTACTCAACTTGAAGACAACGAGAATAAAGAAAGATTTTTATGATGATCCACTTCCACTTAATGAATAACAAATATATTTTCTCTTCCTTATGATTTTCTTAATAACATTTTTCTCTAGCTTACTTTACTGTAGAAATATAGAAAAAGAATGCAAAACATGTGTAATGGACTGTTAACGGTAAGGCTTCAACAGTAAGCTGTTAATAGTTAAGTTTTGGGAGACTCAACAGTTATACATGGATTTTTGACTGCATGGGGGTTGATTTCCCCACCCCTATGTTTTAAATCAAAAGAACTAAAACAACATAGAAATTTTATAATAGAAGTCTTAATTATATATACTATTAAATAGTACAAAGAAAATCCCCAAACAAAATGCAAGACAAGGGACATTACCTAGTGAGCAAAGGAATGATTTCCCAAGAAAATATCAGGTACGATGAGGTTGTATGAACCAGACAACATAGTCTTTAACATGTAAACATTGACAAAATTAATGAGAAAGTGGATGAAAAGTGCAAACATGAAACAGAAATTTAGCACAATTTAATCAGAAACATTTTAGAACAAGCAGATATTGTTCTAAATTGTGAAGACTGTGTGAAGAAATTTTTCAGGGTGTTACAGTGTCATATTAGAAGAAAACCTGATCTTTTCTGTCTGAAGGAGTTGGGAAAAACTTCCCTGAAGAATGACATTTCAAAAAATGTCAAGGATAAATTAGGAATTAATCAAGGTGAGGGGGTGGCCAAATTCCAGGTAGAGAGAACATGAAAGAAAAGATTTGGGGATTTAATGATTTGATTACAGTTCAGGGAGAAAATTATATGATAGGAGGTAAGGATAGAAAATTCTGCACAAACCATATCATATAAGGTATTCTCTGATCCTCTTCAGTCACCTCAAAATGTCACGTTTTAGGAAGGGGAAGATACATGAGTTCAAAAATAAAAGCCAGACGCTTGAGAAAAAAAAAAAAAAAAACTTCAAATGCCAGAACTTACTTTTCAACCAATGCGATATATTTTCAGATTAAAATAATTTAACATACAGGATGAATTATATTCAAAATGCATACAATATCTAGATGTAAAATAGTGTATTGTCATAAGCTATTTTCACTTTATCAATTAATTTGTAGAAATTTTTATGTTTTAGTTCTTTATTATTTTGACTTCAAACAATAGGGAAGAGCTGATTTAAAATTTAATAATTCAATTACTACTATATAGTGATATCTGCAGTGTGTTTAGAGCTATTATTATTCTTGCTCAGAGGCTTAAGCCAGATGATTTTATTTGGCAAAGGGTGTCACACCAGTCATCGTCTTCTCTGTCTCAGAGAGAACTTCCAATAGGCAGAAAATTGCAGAGTGTTTTTCTTCCTTATGTTACTATCCTTAATACTTTCTTTCAGATATTGTTTGTAGTTCTTAGTAAAGATGCCCATACCTCTAATATGAAGAATTTCTTGTGAAATAGTGATCTAACATACATGGCAACTAAGAAATTCCAGCACTAAGTTTTATTGAATTACATAAAGTGAGGAGATTCCCTGGGCAGTTCTTCCCTTTTCTACAGTATGTGGCCAGTTAACCCGACACAGGGCTCTGCATGGCATGTATTCAACATTAATTGATTTACAGTCACATACCACATTATGTTTCAATCAACAACAGACCACATATAGGATGGTGGTTCCATAAGAAAACAATGGAGCTGAAAATGTCCTGTCACCTAGTGATGTCATAGCCATGGTAACGTGGCAGTGTGACATAATCACCTTTTCTATGTTTAGATATGTTTAGATGTACACATTCTTACCATTGTGTTACAAGGGCCTACAGTGTTCAGTGCAGTAACATGCTGTACAGGTTTGTAGCCTAGGAGCAATAGGCTCCACCATGTAGCCTAGGTGAGTAGTAGACTGTACCATTTAGGTTGTGTAAGTACACTCTACGATGTTTGCACAAGGATGAAATCACCTGACAATGCATTCCTCAGAGGAAATCCCCATTGTTAAGCCAGGCATGACTATATTTTATGTTACGTAGTGTTTTTAAAATGTAAGAATGATTAAAGAGGTAACTATAATTAAAAAACACATGCTTTGGGGGTGATATCTGGTGCATTTTGTTTGTACTAGTTTGGGATAACACACTCTTGGTCTGAAGTTCTTGGTGATAATGACAGTTGCTAAAGCTGTCTGTAATCCTGCTTTTGGTTCTCACAGACCTAAGTACCTGACCTGGAGGAGAAACCCCTGGATGATCAAACAGGTCTCTAATTGGGTTAATATCGTTATACATATTATTTCTAAGTTAAATCCATATTAAAATGTAATTAAACTTCAGAAACTCATTGTACACACGTTATTTTATTTAAGGCCACAGGTATAGTGTATTTTTACCCTTTCAACTTGTTTAAGACACTGCCAGTTTCATCAGAGAGCCTCATGGTGGCTGTTTTCATTGATGGATAGTTTTGGTAGGCTTGGCCTGCTGGTTAATGGGGGAATTTGAAGCTTGAAGTCAGGGTGAAACCATCTGCAGATGGGCAGTTTTTTCTAAGGAAAAAAAAAAAAGCATTCAGTGGCCAAAGAATTGTCCACAGCTGCCAAAGATCAAAGAGTGGCCAAAGAACATGAGCAGAAAATGATAGAACCAGTTTGACCAGAAGGACGAAGATATTTTCAGATATATTATCTACTCACACTGCATCTATTTCTAGAGGACTATCCATATAGCTCTCCTGCTGCATCTTATCCTCAATGATCCAGTCTGGCCAGATAGCTTTTTATGATACATGCTATAAATCTAAGAAAATAATAATTTACATTTCTACCATAGAAAGATAAGCACAGTTTCAAGCACTTAAGAGGCACAAATAATAAAATATTAGTAAATACAATATTTTTTAAAGGACTCTTTTAAAAATTTTTAAAATTTTTTTTTATTTTTCCATAGGTTATTGGGGTACAGGTGGCATTTGGTTACATGAGTAAGTTCTTTAGTGGTGATTTGTGAGATTTTGGTGACCCACCACCCGAGCAGTGTACACTGCACGCAATGTGTAGTCTTTTATCCCTTGCCCACCTCCCACCCTTCCCGCCAAGTCCCCAAAGTCTATTGTATTATTCTCATGTCTTTGGGACTGCATAATGTCTTATTTGAGGGGTTACTGACACATATCCTAATGTATTTGTTCAAATTGAAATTGAAGAATATTTTAGTTGATATAGTTTGTTTACATCTTGCCCACTGATTATTTCAGGGTTGATTTCTAGAAATATAATTGTAGGGTTAAAATTAACTCTCAGGGCATCTCTTACATAATCTAATAGAATTTATTAGAAGAAATTTATAAACCAGTTAACGTGTAAGAAATTTATACATTTAATTGTGACCCTTTTATACTATTTGAGCTCCTGATCTTACCTATAAGTAAAAAATAAATTTGAAAATAATTCTGACTATTGGAATTAATAATAATATGATATTTCTAAACTCATTTTTAATTTTTTTAGCAAATCTGTCATTTTCAGCTGGAAAACGTCAGGGAAAAGACTGTACAAATCAGTAATTAAAGAGAGTTGAGTAGAAGTTGTGCGCAAAAGTGTGAACAGGTTAAGGGATCCAAGAAAGGATGGTGAAGCACCCAGGATCTAGCAACAGAGAAAATTGTCACCACTCCTAGGACTGACAGGATGCAGGGAACCCAGGCAATTCCTCCAGGCAAATTGTAACCACGGGAGAGAGATTCACCGTTAATAGCATCTGCATAGGTGAGGCATGCAGACATGGAGTAGCAGGGAGAGAAAAGGGAGAAATATACATTTTGACTTCTTTCTGCCTCTGCCCACCAATAACTTTGTAGAGGGCAAGGAGGTCAAGATGATAAATTTTAAAGAGGTCAGACTTACAGCGTAGAGCAGGATAGAAAACAGTCTGGCTTTGCATTAGGGGGATATTCAGCAGGGTTTACTTTCTTTTCTCCCCAGCATGTGTAATCTTGTCCTTTCTCTAGCCCATTTCTCCACGTGGGAAACATACAAAGTCCCAGTAGTCTCACCATATCGCTGTAAGGGAGTTTCAGTTTTGTCATATCTTTACAGAACCATGCCTGGAGCATTACAAACCACCAGTGCTCTTTAAGTACAGAAGCAGAGAAAAAGGGGGAAAAATAACTCATCAAAGAACTACGGCTGTTAAAGTCACCACTGGTGTCATGAAAGCTAAGTTAGTAATTAACTGTAGCTTCCTACACTGGCATCCATCCCATACCTCCACCCCCTTACTCTTTGCCAACAACTTTTTGCTTGTTGAATTTTTCTTTTCTTTTTTTTTTAACCTAGTGTGATGATCCAAGTCTTAATTCCCATATGATTGATATAATTATAGTATCTTTATTTGGTGGTTGCAATATCCAATAAACCAGTACTATTAGACATTTGAGTACTAGAATGCACCCAGGTGAATCCTCTGGCTACCAGACACAGTACCCATGGCTATCAATAAGTCTTTTTTTCTGAGTTCATAAAAGTTAGTCCAGGGAGATGCATTTTGGATTCCAAGATGCAAAATGGTCCCCCTGAAGAATTGTGCCATATCGGGACCTCAGCAATGACCTCTGCTCTTGGCAGTTTTGGCAAACATCTGTATCCAGATAAGCCTTGTGAGGGGAAGACCATTAGCTCGCATTGACTAAGTGAAAAACCATTTAGCCAAAAAAAAAATTCCTGTGCATAGTCTCTATACATGTCACCACAATCATTGTGTACATGAATTTCTTGAGCAAAAACTGGGAAGACTGGAGGAAAGACCTTGGGGACTAGAAAAAGAGCTGACTGTTATAAAAGATTTAAGAGCTCTCTCTGAGTGGCATTTATGTGGAACAAAAAAATCTGCTTCCTCTGAGTGTATTCCTGGAGGATCATCTACATATCTCTCTCACTGACTTCTTGTCCCAATCATTTAGTCTTGTTCTTCCCATGTCCATAACCAGCTGGCCAGCATATCAACCCTGGCCATGACTCAGGGTCTATTTGTAATTTAAGTCATGTTGCCTCCCACATACAGCACATTATGGGATATGCTGCCCTAAACTCTAATAGGATTTACCTTTATCACTATGTTTCAGGGTTACCTCTGAAGAGGTTCATAATGCAATGGAATTCATTTCTGACCTATCCATAAACTTGGGCTGTACTTTCAATTGTATCTTTTTCACCATCTGAGGCCCTACCTGTGGGTTGAGGGAAAAGTGGTACAACAGTATGGCTCAGCACCATGGGCATCTGAGTCACTCACTCAGTGTATTTGTCTTCTCCAGAACTTCTTGGCCTTGATCTTATATATACACATTTTATTTAATGATGGTATGTTCCTACACATTAGAAATCACCCAGTTTATAATGGGCAAATTGGGCTGCCTGGTTTCTTGGTTTACTCCGGTCAGGCTTTGGGGACAAGCTGGATAATATTTTTCAGTTGCAGAACAGTTGATGGCAAAAGAGGAATGTGTCTCATGTGAATATCCTAGAGATTTATATTATATTCTCCTACTGGGTCTTGGATCATAAGGCTCGCATAGCCTGGCTGCTTGCTTCTCAATCTGGATCTGGTGCAGGTCTTTTGTTTGCTCCACGCCCAACCTAGACACACAGTTTTATGAGTTATTCAGTACTAGATGGGAACAGCACATCCAAATGACGTTCGGGTATCACACTGTGCTCCAAACTAACAGAGTTCCTAGAAACTTTACCAACGTGACACATCCCAGAACTTTTGCAGGGTTTATCTTCTATTCTCTCACAAGTAAAAGAATTACTAAGTTATAGAGGTAGTATTAGGGTACTGCAATTATTATTGTTATTATATAAGCTTAATACCCACCGAAGGAGAATTGGGGTCCAAAAACCTTTAGTTAAAATGTACATTTTCTATTACTGAGAGATTAAAAAACAATCTGGACATGTCTGTGTGTCTGGTTGTTTGAGAACTCCGTGGGTTCATTTGTGCCATCCGAAATTATCTTGATTTGGATTGCTGTTTGGCGCCACCTGGTGGTGGCCGTTTGACCTTTTTTTTGTATAGATATGGGTCGTTCTGGCTCCTGTGCAACCTACTAGGACAGTGGCTGTAATTCTAGGAATTTCCTCAAGTTAGTTGGTGCCAGTTTTATCAATCTGATCTGGGGAAATCGACCGGAGAGAGGGGTAGGGATGTGGGAACTCTCTTGATCCCTGTCATTCCCCTGTTTAGCCTTCCTTGCCTAAGTTACCACAGTCCCCAGATAAGAACTTTTGACACCCACTTTTGAGAACTTGACTGGGAAGAAATAAGAGCCAGTCACACATCACTGTTTATATATCTCCAGTGAGAGGACTGATGGGTGGGCTATCACAAGATTTTAATAGATCTATTTTACCTTACAATTTTTTTACTTCAGGACTAACTCGCAAGAAATGACAACAATAAAGAAAATCATCCAAATTTCTGAAGTGTATAAGATTTATAAAATTTACAAATTATATAAGATGACTTAAATAGACATTTAATGAGCCACTTTGTGTTAATATTTTCTATGTTTTTGCTATAGTAAATAGTAAATATCTTTGGAAGAAACATTTGATTTTTAAAAGTCTGAGCATTTTATTTTAAGATTAAGTTTTTTCAAGGTCCAGTATTCTTATAATTTTTATTCAATGAGTGACACAGCATAATAATATTTTATCAATCGGTTTCAATAGGTAACCCAACTTAACAAGTGCTTCTTCAATTTCATTCTCAGGAAAAGTCAGTACTTTAATGAATCTAACAGTATATTTCCAATTAGAATTTGGAATTCACTTTTTCCACCTTTTAGTTCTGGCCCTAAGAAACTGATGCATCTTAACTTACTCCACCCATCTTCTTCAACTTTATCCCAACAATTTTGAAACATGCTGTTTTGATTGTTGTTTTGCTTGTATTAGTGGTTATTAGAGGTGAGCTTCTTTTTTTTGTAATGGGAAGTAAGGATATGGTTATTTCATGGAAAAAATGATGCTTCTTTCATGTGTCTTTGTGTTGCTAAAACAAAATACCACAGGCTTGGCAATTTATAAAGAACACATACATATTTCTCACAGATCTAGAGGCTGGGAAATACAAGATCAAGGCACTGGCATCTGGTAAGGGTCCTCTTGCTCTGCCCCCATATGGCAGAAGGTGGAAGAACACAAGGGACGTATGAACACTGTTCTCACATGGCAGAAGAGTGAGAGTGAACTCACACCCAAAAGCCCTTTACATAAGAGCCTTAGTTCATTCATGAGGGCAGCACCCCCATGACTTAATAACTGCTCCAAAGACTCCATCTTTTAATATGCCAAAATGCAGATTAAGTTTCAACATGAATTTTTAAGGGCATGCATTCAATCTATAAGCAATAGAGAAACTTTGAAGACATGTTACCCTCTTTGGAAACTGCAAATGCTATTCTAGAAATTTCCCCTAGAGGCCAAATAGGCACTTCATCTGCCTTAAAAGTTATATGGCTATTTTACAAAATGTTTTATTACTGAATGCATGGGTTTCCATATTTCCAAACTGCTGTATCTATTTTCATACTACCTCCTACCTGACCAGTAAGACAATGCACACATTTTAGATTTCTTTTATGTAGGCACTCCACTGCAAGATAGCAATATCTGCCTCCATGAGATTGGTTAGGCTACAGTAACAAAAGGTCCCAAAGTTATCTCATTTCAATTAAAGTTTCACTTCTGTAACATCCAATAGTATTTCCAAGTTCAGGGGGGCTTGTGCTCCAGTCACTCATAGCAACCCATGCCAATGCAGCTTTTCCCTCTTCAGTACCTGACCTTCCAGTGCCTTGGAGAGCACCATCTCAGCTGAAGTGGAAATATATCACAGAGGATGGTGAAGGAGAGATAATTATGGGATGAGTCTAAAATTGGTACACATTGCTTTTATTTATGTTCTATCAATTAGAATTCAGTCACACGGTTATAATTCTTTAGAAAAGAAGGTCGGAAAATGAAATGTTCAGGAGAAGAAAAAGTGATATTTGGAGAATGCTCAGTAGTCCCTAACACACATTTTAATTTTTGGTAAATAAATACCTTTAATGTGTACAGGTACAAAATTGAAGAATACATGATTTATTGCTTACTACTTTTATATTTAAGAATTCGGGATAAAAAACTAAATGCAAATAATTTAAAATAGAAAACTGCATACTTTGTAGTATTTACAAAACAAGTAACATGTAAAATATGAAATATATGTATATATTGTATACTATATATAATTTTGTATATTTAACATTCTCTATAAATTATATATGGTTATAACTCTATGTATATCACGTATATCTAACTGTATATATTTATATATCATACGTAAGTGGAAAAATACAGAAATGATAAATTTGCATCATTTTACCACAACCCTAAAGCTTATCAGAAAAATTTAGCCTTTTATTTTGAATTATAGGACAGAATAGGTTACATTCTTCTGTGATTTAGAAGCCTCAAAGGCCACAAACAATAAAATGGGTGCCAAAGACCCAGAGATTTGAAAGCTTAACTCAAAATGCAAGACCACTTAGTTGGATAGTGCAAAGAGATTGTGAAACTCGTTTTGTGAACCTCAGCTCTGAGTTTTACAAGAGAAATTGAAGACTGATCAGAGGGAGGGTTGATATTCACTTATAATGAGTTGGTGGTGTGTCGGGTGCATCCACTGCCTCTTGGGAAAGGGAAACAGCTGATTTTTTATCGTTTCAAATGGCTTCATTGTGCTCACTTGGAGAGACTTGTGTCCCATTGATCTTGAGGGACTTGAGAACTAGTGGTGATTCTGGCCTGGATATTTTAATGATAAATATCAATGGAAATTGCTACTTCTGTTTGTAGCAGGGCAAAATTGAGGTGGCTTCACTGAGAAAGAAAGTATCTTCCTTCAAAGATAGAGTTAGTGCTTCCATTTGCTGCATACTCTGCTGATAGAAGCCAACATGAAGCTATTCCAAATGGACCAAACAGACCACCTGAAGGACAGGTGGCATTCCAACTGAAGGATAGATAATAAGATATTGGATTCTCAAAGGCTGCTAGGTAGTAAAAATTGACTAGCCAGAGGGGAAAAATGACCTATCCAGAAGACACAGTCAGATATCCTCTGAAGGAGAATCTCCAAAGAAACAAAAGTAGCATGCCGGAAGAGGAAGAACCAACAATTGAGCATTGGTCATCGAGTGCACAGATGCCAGCAGGACCTGTTTTCTTTTCCACTGTTCTTTTATTCTGGGCGAATGGCTATAGAATCACAAACCATATTTAGTGAGTGGAGGGTATGGGAAGAAGACAAGAATTTTCCTCATCCCACTCCAGAATTCCAAAACTAAAGTAGGACCCCAGGTGGAGAGTGAATGGAATATGGAGACATTCTAAAGTATGTAATGATTAAACCAGGCTGGACACTTCATTATATAAAGGTGACTAAAAATACTGCCTGAGATTTTATGTGAGAAAAGGAAATATTAGGTGCAAGGAGAAATAGTAGGTGTAAAAAGCAAAACTCATCAGGAGCAAATTGAACACTGCAAACACTTTCTAAGAATTAGATTGTTTTTTATTAATACTTGTACTCTATTAATCAAGATCATTTATTATACAAGTTATAACTATATATCAGCATAAAAAACTTAACTTGAATGTGTGAAAAAATATAATATTTTTACTTAGTCTATAGTATTTGGTTTCTTCCCAAGTCCCTAAAAGAGAAAAATCTCTTAATAAGTCCCTTCGTGAGAAAGAAAAAAATGTACAATACGACTTGTTACTTACTCTAATTTAACAATTAGATAACAATTGAATAAAATAATTCAATCTAATCAATATTGGGTGTTTTTAATCAATATCACCCAATATTGGGTTTTAATCAATATCCTGTTTTTAATTTTTTTAAAGACTGAAACAAAGGTTTTAAGTACAGATGTGTTGAAAGCTGTGTCAAACATTGCTATCAAAATAGCTAACACACACATGCATACACACACTCACACACACACACATACATTCATATACAAACGGTCAGGATGGGGCTGGGCTGGCAGTGAGGATGGAGATGGTGAGAGAAATGTTCTTAACTCAGGTATCTGCATTGGATGTTAAGTCTCTTAACTGTCTCCTCATTCACTTTTCCTCTTTCCAAGATAGTGTCAGTCTGGGTGTAAGGTGGGCATGGCTGGTGAAGGGGAGACTTAGCCCTGCTGAGTACAGACTGCAAATTATCTATCATGGCCTCTATCTATCCAGTGGCTCTACTCCACTCTGGAGACAAGATCACTTCAGTCTGGAGAATGGGTCTCATGCCAAGCCCTAGTGGCTCTCAAGTTAGTGACTATGCTGGGTAGGAACTGAGGTGGCCTTAAAAGTGCAAACAAAGATTTCCTTTTGACTGAGCAGCTCTCCTCCCAAGGTTATTAAGATATGTTCATGTCTGAGACTGTCCCAGGACGGTTTTGTGTGATGGCCTCTGTGTTACTGTACAAATGGTAACAGTAACACAGGGGTGCAGATGATCCCCTGCCCCACTGTTTGGAGTTTTACTCTCACTCTTCCGAGCATTGCCCAAAAGTTGAGCTGAAGCCCAAGGAAAGGGAAATGGGAACCCAGGTTCAATTACTTTGCTATCTGCCCTTGTTATTTCTCCATTTTTCCCCTCATTTATTCCAAGATAGAAAATATGGGAAGGCTCTTATATTCTTTGCATGTTTCAAATCTTGTCTTTACTACACCCTAGCCTAATAGAGATCCATTCCATTCCATAGAATAATCCTATGATCTTGGTCTTTCAGACTCATTGTTGATAGCTTACGTAGGGACAGCAATGGTGTAGTTAGAAATCTGGGAAACACTTCCAAAGCTTTGCATCTCAAAGTAATTAACTTGCAAGTTCAGCCGTGGCTCACACCTTGTAATCTCAGCATTTTGAGAGGCCAAGGCTGGTGGATCAGCTGAGGTCAGGAGTTCAATACCAGCCTTGCCAATATGGTGAAACCCTATCTCTAGCAAAAATACAAAAAATTAGCCTGGTGTGGTGGTAGACGCCTGTAATCCCAGCTACTCAGGAGACTGAGGCAGGAGAATCGCTTGAACCCAGGAGGCAAATGTTGCAATGAGCTGAGATCGCGCCACTGCACTCCAGCCTGGTGACAGAGCAAGACCAATTAAAAGAAAAAAAAAAAAAAGATTTTCTGGGTTCCTTTTGCATCTCTCAGTGACATATCCAGCTTTCTTCATGGGGAAATTATACGCAATATAGTGAAGATTTTACATTCTAAAAGTTAATTGTGCAACGGAAATTTACAATTTTCCAAACATTTTATCTAAGTTTTAAAGTTGAACAAAAATATATAGCAGCATTTTATCCTCTTTAACCTTTTTTACTATTGATCAACCCTGAAATACTTTGGAATCTCATGTTTCAGATTCATTGTTGTTCTGTTTTTTAAAAAATATGTTCTTTTTATTCTCCAATAGCTTAATCAGAAAAATAAATTTCTAATATTTAATATCAAAAACTACTTACAGACTTAACTGCTTAGCCATTTGTGTTGCTTGCATTATTTTTCATATCATCAAGCCACATATTATAATTCCACAGGCTTTCCTGTCAGTTTCAAAAATTGGATTCTGCTATAACTATTCAGTCAGGCCTAATTGGATCGTCAATTTACAACCCGAAGAAAGTGACTATAAATACTTTTTGAACATTTTGAATATTTGGATAAATACTTTTTTTAACAAAAAATTCCCAGTGTCTTTAGATTTTTAAATTAGGCACTTTGGCATATTAGCTCACCAGATATGGCAAACTATTAATCTGATAGATCAATGTTAAAGATGCAGTTCTTTAGTAAATAACAATTAGGAATTTTCATTTGCACCAGGATGAACTACAGATTAGCATGTCTAACAAAATAAGGTTACCGAAAGGGCTATGAGTGTCAGAAACCACTCTATCATTTGATGCAATTACTTGGATAATTTCTGGGTTTTAATCTAATCACGCCTAAGTAGATGGCAGTCAATGAAAGTTTCGTTTAACAACAGTCAGATCATTACTTTCCAACGGATTGTTTTTTGTAAGCAGCGATATTAATTGGAAATGACAAACTGAAGACTAAGAAAGATCCATAAGGCTCATTTACCTGCCAGGTTGATTGTTAACCTTGCTTAGCTAAAATAGTTTATTATTCTTGCAATTGCAGCTCTATTTAAGCAACATCAATCTTCTGAAAGAAGAAATTATTTGAAAAACATTTACAAAGCTTTAATTTGTAAACTAGGTTCTAAAAATTTCTATGCAAAATTAAAGATAATTCTTAGGTTTAAATTCTATTAAGTTGTAACTTTAGCCAGTATTATTATTGGTTTTACAAAATAGTCTCAGTTTTAAAAGTCTGGGCATATATAAAGCCTCTTTTCATTTTTAGAGTATTTAGATTCCAGTAGTGAAACCCAAGTCTTTTATAAACATTGCCAACAGTATTTGAATGAAGTTTTGGGAAAATGAGATGTAGTTCTGTGTCTTCTTTCATGTCATAACTTGGTTTTTTAAAATTAGTTTTATCTATCTATAGGGAGCAGTATTTACCTTCTAGAGGAGCACCCTCTGTGAATGGGGTAGAACTGAATTATACTATCTAAATTTTAATAGTGGAATTTTTGATGTTTATTTCTGATTGCATGGTTTTGTTGTCCTGAAATAGTTGATTTAAAAGGCTTTTAATATTCTTATATTACAAAAATATTTTTAAAATAATAATATTTTAGAAAAAAGAGTAATTTTCTTTTCCATTGAGGTATAATTTACTAAAATAAAATGCAGTAATTTTAAGGGTAGTTTGAGACATTTTTGTGAATGCGGATACCCGATTTAAGAACATTTCTCTCACCATCTCCATCCTAACGGCCAGCCCAGCCCCACCCTGACCATTTGTGTAGGGGTGTGTGTGTGTGTGTGAGTGTGTGTATGCATGTGTGTGTTAGCTATTTTGATAGCAATGTTTGACACAGCTTTCAGAGAAAACATATCTGTACTTAAAACCTTTGTTTCAGTCTTTAAAAAAAATTAAAAACAGGATATCTCTCTGTCACCCAAGCTGGAGCATAGTGGTATTATCATAGCTCACTGCACCCTCGAACTCCTGAACTTAAGTAATCCTTCTGCCTTAACTTTGTGAGTAGCTGAGACTACAGGTGTATGTCACCATGCTCGGCTAAATTTTTATTTTATTTTATTTTTTGATGTCACGGAGTCTCACCTTGTTGCCCAGGCTAGTCTTGAGCTCCAGGCCTCAAGCAATCCTCCTGCCTCTTCCTCCCAAAATACTGGGATTGCAAGCATGAGCCATCTTGCCTGGTGTGTTTTAAGGCTTAGTTTCATTATTCTTTAAAAAGAGTTTATGTGAAAATTATTATGTTTACCTTAAAATAGACAAAAAAAAAAAAACCCACTCAAGAAAAAGTAGAATTTATTTAGGGAAGTGGTGAGTTTAGAGTCAAAAGGATTTTATTGCATGGAGGAAATTCTGTGTCCTACTAGAGGGCTGAGAAAGGCAGATTGTTACTCAAAGTGGGCCAGAGATCCTCCAGGAGGAGCTCAGTAGAAGTGCAGGGCACGTTACAAGAGATTTTATAGGGGTTTCATAGCTAATCAACCAAAAGTCAAATGATAATGGCCAAATATAATGCTTTCTATGTGCCTGTAAATACTCTAGGCACCTAACACACATTCATTCAAAGTTACATACACATCTTTTCAACTCAATGTGAATTCTTAAATATATTTCTTATGTGTTTATGCACTACCTCCCAGGCTAGTTAAATCACACAATTATAGGATATTTTATTTTACATTTTAGAATTAATAGCCCAGTTTTTCCAATTTACAAATTAAAACATTAGGTTTAGGATGGTTAGGGGATATCATCAAGGAACTACCGATAAACATTACTTTATCAAGCCAAAGCCAAAATCGCCATATTAGTAGGGGCTTTCTTTTATGATTCTATTTGAGACAGCTTTTTTGTGTTAACTAAATCATAGATATATTCAGTTCTAACACCGGAAAGACAATCCCAAATATAAATCCTTAGGGTGAGAATTCAGTATCTTCATCTTTATTATATATCATGTAATAGATTACAAAATGGAAACCGGTAAAAATATTTTATGATAATATTTTATAATACAATAGTTTTATAAATAATATTATTTATACTAATATTCACTGTATTTAACATATATGGTGATCAATATTCTGAAAGGCATCTATTTTATAAAAGAAATCCTATTAGCATTTATTTTATTAAGAAATTTAGAAGACAATATTATATATTGACAAAGAAAACAAATGGTAGCAAACCAAAGAGAATGGTATTTTAAAATCTTCCTCAATCCTTTGTCTAGAGTAGAACAATAGTAGAATAAATTTCTGCCTTGTAATAGCATTTAGATTTTTCATTAGCTTTGATTTGTCAATGTAGTAGCTTTTGCTTTTAATAAACATGTATTAAGATATCATTGAAATAAATATTATGGTATTTTGGTATTTATTTATTACAAAATAAATTAATCCTGCAATGCATCAAAATCTGCTAATAGGTAGCCTTTCACATTTCATATTTGCAATGGGGAGATCAGAGTTAGAGTACATGGATTTTATACAACTGAAGTAATATTAAGGTTTGAAACTAATAAAGTCAATCCAAAGACTCACTGTATTTAATCACTTTTAGTACCACAAAATTGACTGTCAAAAGTCTAATTAACTATCAAGTATTACCTCTACTTTCTATGCTGCTCAGTTGCAAAGCCTTTCATTATAACATCTGGCAAGTTTAAAAAAATCCCAAGAAAACCACTTCTTCCTATAGCTTTACAGCATAGAGTTACAATGAAAGAAACTGCTATCAGAACAACAAAAACATATTTAATGCTTTATTATTAAACATTAAAACGATTTTAAAATCATGTTAAAGTTACTGGTCACTTCATTTTTTGTGAGAGCACACAAATAAGCTTAAAGAAACATTTTAACAAATGAAAGATGGCTATGTACTGATTGCATTATTTCGTGTTGTGATTTTTCCAAAATTGCCACTAAACTCTGAGTTTTACTATTCATCTGCTTTTAAATCATGATAACTGTCCAACTTAGTCTTAGTTTTCTTAATTTTTTTCCCCAAGTGCTAAAGAGCTATCTCATCACCTAAATATAACTTAATCACCTAATATAACTACATCACCTAAATGTAACTTAAATACTTTAAGTTACAATTGAAATTCAAGAGAAGGGTATATTTGCTTATGTGTTTGCCATAATAGTGGCAGATATATGTGCCACAATACAAAATTTTGATGATAAAATATAATACCCAGGAAGGAAAACTGAATTTTTACATATACAACTTTTTTTTCCAGCTCATATGAGGAAAGTTACACGTTTGCATATATACTAGTAGAGGCTGTATAATACCAATAATTTTTAACACTTGACAACTTCATTCTAAATGAATTACATAACTGCTTGTACCTTTATTCACTGATATTTGTGTTTGTATGCATCTTTCTTTTAGATTTTCATTTTTAATTATTAAAACATAGTCCCAAAACATTACTGGAAAAATCAATTTGAATAGAAGTTGCCTCATTTTTTCAGTTTTTTAATTTATTCATCCCAACCTTGAAAAATGTCACTCAATTAAATGTGAAATAAACTGTATTTTTAAAAGAATGAATGGAGAGTAGAAAATTATTTTTATTTGAATCACACACAAAAATATTAAAAAGATATAAAATAAAACAATAAGAGGATTATTATACAAAATGTATACCCTAAAAGATTTTGCACAGTTGTAAAAAGCATACCTCACATTTGGTTCTGAACTTCTTGATGGTTAAATGAAGGATGGAATATAATTAATATTTACAAGGTTAATGGTCTCCAAAAGAGACTGAATTCAATAAAAGCAATAGGTCTTTTATGTATTTATTTGTTAGAAAGCCACATTTGCTGATGAGTTGATGTTTATATGGCCAACTAATGTATTCATCTCCTTAAAGCTCAAGGCTTACTATTCTAAGACATACTCAAATTCTTGAGGAAAGGACATAGCATTTAAAGCTATATTTTAACAACATTGATCCTGGGGAAACTTTTTGTTGTCGTTATGGTTATTGTTAATATTTTAAAATTGTTAAAATTACTTTAACATTTGCATATTGAAAAATGTGAAATTGTAATAAATAACAAAGATTTGAATTTTGGTGGAGGAAAGTAACAATACAAAGTAGAGGTTGAGGAATACTGGGGCATGGAAACAATGATGACTACAGAATAGAAAAGGAAAGTATTTTAGAGAGGTTGTTTGAATAGGTATGCTTAAGGCAACAACCCCTGAATCAACTGATGACATTTCCAGCTCTCTCCTTCCACGATTTGGGGATTTTTGTGTGATGTGAATATTGCCATAACTGCCTTCCTTTGGATTAGTACTTGCCAGGTAAGCTTTTCCCGCATTTTTTTTTGTATTTTTTACTCAATTTGTATTATATTTTAGGTGCAGCTCTCAAGAACCCTTAAGAGGTTTTTATAAGTCCAATCTAAGATTATCTCTTTTTTTTTCTGTTTCACCAATTGTGAGTTTTGATATAATTGAGTTCCTTTTTATCATTTTACTTTGTGCTAGTTTAAAAGTTATGAAATCTCTTGCTCTTCTTTGAGTAATTTGTTTTAAATGTTTACATGCACCACCAGCAAAACTGGATGAAAGTAACTATATAATAATTTGCTCCATTGCCCTTCTGAAGAGTGCTGGGATTTTAGATCACATTAGTCACAAATCTTTGACATTCGACTTCCTCACTATTTTTAATGAGTTTCACCTCATTTTATCTCCCCCCCACTGGAAATTAATCATTTTTCTATTAATGTGTTTACTAACATAACTAATTTCAAATCATCAAATTTTATCAGTTTATTGCTCATCATCGCTTCTTGCAATTCACTATTCCTTCTGGGTCCGTCGGTAT
Organism: Homo sapiens; assembly: GCF_000001405.40. Lineage (NCBI taxonomy): Eukaryota > Metazoa > Chordata > Mammalia > Primates > Hominidae > Homo > Homo sapiens. The sequence continues at coordinate 167,010,692 of NC_000004.12, read as the reverse complement.
ACTTTCCCCCTATTTGTTGAAGCATATCCTTTTGTTGTTCTTTCAACATGTACAAATTGTGCTATATATACATTTAATAATTTTTTATGAATGTATCTTTATGAACATATTTTTCATAAATGTATCTTAAAGAATAATATGGATGTGTCTGGATTTTTTTTTTTTTTTTTTTTGAGACAGAGTCTCACTGTATCATCCAGACTGTAGTGCAGTGGCGTGACCTTGGCTTACTGCAGCCTCAACTTCCTGGGCTCAAGCGATTCTCCACATCTCAGCTTTCTGAGTAGCTGGGACTACAGGCATGGCCACCACACCCAGCTAATTTTTGTACTTTTTGTAGAGATGGGTTTTTCCATATTGCCCAGGGTAGCCTCAAACTCTTGAGCTCAAGTGATCTGCCCACCTCAGCCTCCCAAAGTGCTGGGATAACAGGTATGAGCCACCACGTCTGGCCTGGAATTCTTATTTGATAATTATTTGTTCCTCACTGCAATATATGATTTCACATGTTTTGCCATGATTTGCCATTAACTCGTAAATTCACTCTTAGTCTGTGGTTGTTCCCTGAAAACAAACTGCTTTTTCCTTTTGGTTGCTTTCAATTTACTCCCCCCACCCACTTATTGTTTATTTCTTTGCAGTTTCAGCATAATGTGCTTTGGTAGTTAAATTTTAATAATTATACTCAGAACTCCCTATTATTTCCTCTGAAGGCTAGGGTTGTTAATCTGCAACTACTTTTTAAATTTTAGTTCTTTTTAATTTCTAGAAAGTCTGTTTTAATTTTTTTCATATTATCATGTTGTTTTTATATTTCTATATTTATTTTATATCTTTAATCAAATATTTTCTCTTATGACATGAATTAATATAAACATGCTTAATATTTTGTCCCTTTCTGATTTTACAAGAATATTTTGATTTCTTGATATGCTAGTTTTTGAGTGGATTAAATTTGGATTTTTGAGTGGATTGGATTATTTGTTTCCTGGTGTGGTTTGCAATTTTGTGTGTGTGATCCTCTTCATTATGTTTATTTTGTTATTTTTGTTGTTGTTTTTTTTGGTATTGTGAGGGTTCTGTATGCACTGGCTGGTGAAAAATTCTGATGCTGCAGAAATTGCATTTGTTTCTCTCACAGCCTTAGAATTTGTAACTGGTTTCCACCAATATTTTGTTAAATTATGAGCTTGAATTTTTTTACACCGTGAAAGTAATATAAATTAAAACCTCACCACCAATGTGGAAAAAGACTTGGAGTTTTATATCCTTTCATGGTAATTATTTTTTAAACCAGTGTCTGGATACACTTGCAATTTTATGTTTATTTTGGTTAGTTGCTGGGCTTTCTTATTTAATTAAAGAAGGAGCTCTTCAGGAATCCAAGCTTTAAAGAGTTCCCAAATCTAGTTCCCATTTTCTTTGCATTACCCAAGAGAACAGGTAATGCCCTCGGATACATACTAAAATTGCCAGATCCTAGCCTATGGTTTAGTATTTTTTTAAGTTATTTTGTTGTTGTTGGATGTTTGTTAATATTTTTTAATTATAATTTTTCTGGATATGGGACAGACATTATTGAAGGATAAATAGATTATCATGTAAATATGATATGAAGCATATTAGTTATACAAAAGAAAAAGTAATTGAAGACCTTTTATTTTTTAAAATTTTTTAGGGGTGTATTATTCTTTTTAATTGTTATGGATTCTGGGGGTACATGTGCAGGTTATTACATGGATGTACTGTGTAATGCTGGGGTTTAGCATCTAGTGAACCCATCACTCAAATAGTGACCATAGTACTAAATAGGTAGTTTTTCCAGTCCTTCCCCTGCTTCCCTCCCTTCTTGCTGTTGGAGTCCCCACTGTCTATTGTTTCCATCTTTAGGTCCATGTGTACTCTTTGTTTAGCTCCCACTTGTAAGTAAGAATATGTGGTATTTGATTTTCTGTTTCTGTGTTACTTCACTTAGAATAATGGCCTCCAGCTGTATCCATGTTGCGGCAAAGGACATGATTTCATTCTTTCTTATGGCTGTATAGTCTTACATGGTATACATGTACTACATTTTACAAAAGACATTTGAAAACAGTAGTCAGCATATAAGCACAGGTTTACTTGGTTAAAGAGAAAAATGTGACTATCTAAAATGAGAATTCATTTTTGAAGAAAGAATTTCTTAAAAAGCCTGCATAACATCATTATATGGTCCCTAAATATGTAAGACTTACATATTCAAATCCTCTACCATAGCCTTTTATGCTACAATTTTTATAGCTTCATGCTAATATTACCTCTAGTAATATAGTTTATAATGTTGCTAAGAATTATAAATGTCCTAATATGACTTAATCATTCTATATTTGAAAATAAGAATTAAGTATATATTTATATTACAGTAGGATCGACATGGTATAAGAATCACATATAAAACATTACAATAGAATATTAATCTTCCTGAAATTCTTTATGATCTAGTACATTTTTTTAGACCTTCAACTCTGTATATAAAAAGTTATTTTTAGATGTAAAACTTGCTATTATAATACTAATGGACTGCTACTACTGCTCAAGCTCAAGAAATAAATATATTTATAGTTTTAAAACTTATTTTCATTAAGTGTCTTCTTAGCCTTACCAATTTGCATGAACCTTATGCACATTTTATTAGCACTGAATTACCTTTTATTCTTTTTCCTTTTGACACTTAGAAACATGTGAAAAATTTATTTCTTTCATAAATCCTCTTGAAACAAAATAAAATTTTGAAATAGAGTGATATTTAGAAGGTCTAATACCTTAGCATCATTAGACTGTGGCCAATGGTAATATTCATAATTAAACACTGTCCTGTCACCTTCACTCACGAGAGGAGGAAAAGCTGTTGACAAAAGCATCATCAGTAAGCTCTTAGAGGTTCTATTGAACACAGGCAGGCTTGTCACAAATTTAAACTTTTTCATTTTAAAGTTATAAAGCCTAGTCAATACTTTTCTTGCCACAGAAGAAGAAAAGGATTTTCTACAGCTATAATAAAGGGCATTTTAGATTTCTACAGGGCAATGACCTTGTTTTATGAACAATGTGACTGACTTCTTTGCAGCCAGATGGTTAAGGTTTTATGGAGAGTGCAGTAAGGACTGACATGTTGCTTAAATCAGATTACAACTGGCCCTCAGAATAGGCAGTCTCCACATCTGTGGATTCAAGCAGCCACGGACCAAAAATATTTGAAAAAAAAATTAAAATAGCAATATAACAATTAAAATACTGATAAAATAAATATAGTATACCAACTATTTTATAGCATTTACATTGTATTAGGCATTATGAATAATCTAGGGATTACTTAAACTGTACAAGAGGATGTGTGTAGATTATTTGGAACTACTACACCATTTTATATAAGGGTCTTGAGTATCTGCGGATTTTGGTACCCTCTGGGGTCCTGGAACCAATACTCTACAGATACAAAAGGATGACTGTATATATACTGTGTTAGCCACAGAAGAATAGAGCCAGAAGCCAGGGTATTAATGTTTCCTTGAGCTCCATTAAATTCACACATTTCTGAGAACTGAAAAATAAGGCTTCAAGGTGAATGCAGGGATATATGTACTCCTTGGAAGAAGGCTCTGGTGATGGAGAACAGGCTTATGAATTCTAGTGATAACAACAACAAAAACTTCCCTTAAGTACATCTCCATGGAAAGGAATCTCTATAGAAAAGAATGACAGCATATTTACCCAAAGAATCCTTGGACGTGGCCATGCTGTGATGAAAGAGCAAAGTGGCACCTGAGAGTTTTGAGTTGCGAGGGATAAAGAGTATGTGAGAGAAGCAGTGCTGTAGTAGCAACAGGTATGAGGAAACAATACCCGTAGCTAGAAATATGCCTGGGAAAAGAGGCGGAATTAAAATAGAACATATGATGAATATTTTAAAAATAGTGAAAAATTAATGAACAGATCAAATAGTTAAAGGTTTCCCCAAAAAGTCTGTATTTTGCATTAAAATGATAGTGCTTTCATATGAAATGTAAAGATCAGATTAAATAGATGGCTTTTAGGCATTGTTGAATGATTTTCTGGGTAGGCGAATTATCGGAATACAGTATTAGGTTCCAAGCAATTGCATATGGAACTGACTTATTAGAGAGAAAGTAACATATGTAAGCATAAGAATGAACTCTCAGAATCAAAACTAGACAAATACTCTGGTAATAGTCAATCTTACAGTCTTTTCTGCTTGTCTTACTAGATATTATATATGAATATTATTTCAGCAAAAGTTTTAACTTTTTATTCTGTTATAGAGAATATAAAGGTCAGCTGATCACAGGACATTGTTTCAGCTACTCTGAATCTCACCGAAAGCTCAGGAAACGGGATTCTTCAGTGGCAAATTATTCAGGTTTTGTAATTCCAAGGGCTTGGGTTTGAAACCTGGTTCTACTAATTGCTAGTTATACATCCTAGGATAAACATTGTATTTGATCTATAATTTTCTGATATCTAAAACTGAGATGCTAACATGTTTCAGAAAATGGTTTTAAGGATATTTTACACATAAACAAAAAAGAACTATACTGGCACAGAGCAGATACTGAATAAATTGCAATAATTGAATGCTCATAAAATATCCCATCCAAATGCTTAGAACGGATGTGTATAGAATTTTGAAATTTTCATATTGTAAAAAATCAATATGATTTGTGTATCATATAATGCATGCAACTATATGTATACCCTGTAAAAAAAATTATAATTCTGCAGCATACCACCCTGCAATTAAAAATAGTAGTCCTTTTGAAGCTAAATGCTAAATTGACTTAAAATCATAAATTAATTTACATTAATTCACAGTATCCTTTTCTTTATCAAATGAGATTTTCACAAGTATTTGCAAGTCCCCGACAACAACAACAACAAAAACAAAGACCTTTCAATTATCAGAGGTTTTTGGGTTTTGTGATTGTAAGTCAGTATTTTAAAGGACATTGAAATTCTAAGGTTTAAGAGCTTTCCAATCATTTCTCATCCAGAGTAGAGGGTTTGCACAAAGTATATAAAAGGATTTTGAGTACTGTTTTTTTTTTAATGGTTTCTGCATCCCTGTTCTCAAAATATTAAGGCGATGGGCAAGAAGTTGATGACTCCAAGAAAATCATTGTCCAGTCTGTGCGCGGTGGCTCACACCTGTAATCCCAGGCCTTTGGGAGGCCGAGGCGGGCGGATCACGAGGTCAGGGGATCGAGACCATCCTGGCTAACATGGTGAAATCCCATCTCTACTAAAAAATACAAAAAAAAATTAGCCAGGCGTGGTGGTGGGCGCCTGTAGTCCCAGCTACTCGGAAGGCTGAGGCAGGAGAATGGCATGAACCCGGGAGGCAGAGCTTGCAGTGAGCTGAGATCGCACCACTGCACTCCAGCCTGGGCAACAGAGTGAGACTCCATCTCAAAAAAAAAGAATAAAGAAAAAAAAGAAAATCATTGTCCATTATTCTGTTCTCAGTATGTGTAAAACCTGGGAGATGGTGCCTGCGTTCTCTGTTCCAGCCCAAAAATGTGCTGTGGGAAGAAGATAAGAGAGTTGGCCATAAAAATAAGTTTTCCATCTTTTTACTTTAAATATGTCATCAAGCTGAACATCCTAAAAATCTAACTAGATTACAAGACTGATTATGTTTCTAACGTACATTCTTTGAGATGACTGCTGGAGGGACATCTTTCCCCTAACCTCTCCTTGGAATACAAGATCCGAATATCTAGGTGACAGCTGAGTATTAGTATCTGGATGTCACCACAGGCATTTCACTAATATGAAAGATAAGGTCATCACCTTAACTTCTCACAACTAAACTTGCTGTATTTTTTTTCTCACCACCAAATATCTTATTTATTGTTCAGTGGTGCCACCAAACACCATTTCTTTTATTTCGACCAATTTCCCCCTTCTATTATATTAATAATTAGACCCTATTGAATCAGTGTCCTTTTTGAAATGCATCCCCTCTTCTCCATCTTCACACCCATTTATCTTAGATCAGGTTCTTATTCTTTCTCTCTCATACAGCTGGTTAATATCCCTGTCTTAATCACACACACTTCAAACCATCTCCAAATTCTTGTGTGTGGTCTTTCTGCAATAAATAATCATGCCACTCTTCTAGCTAAAATCATGCCAGGCCATGACATTACCAAAACGATAAAACTCTGGAAGGCTAAGAAGCTTCCATCTCCCTGTTCAGTGTTTTCCACGATACTCACAGGCGATATGAGCATTTTATATTTCACTGGTCCTGAACTATCTGCCATTCCATGAGTAGGGCATCCTTTTTCTACATTTTTGCTATTTATTCCATCTACTTATACTGGAGCTTCATTTTGTGCACTTGGTGGGTCCTATATTCTTGTAAAACTTACCTAAGGTGTCGCTCATTCTAGTTTTCTCCCATTCACCATCATGTGATCTCTCTGTCTCTCTGTGTATGCATATTATATATTGTTATGTAAGTTCCACTTAACAATGTATTCTAATTATTAATAACTATTTATACATCTCTGCCAACAAAAATGTTGAGTCTGCTGGAGACAAGATACAATTCTTGTACGATATCTGTCCTAGCATAAACTAGGAAGAATCAGGCCTCATCCAGCCCATAATGGTGGGAATGCCTGAGGCAGCAAGGGTAGGTGAGACCAAAAACAAATGTGAATGAAGCCCAGGGCTTTGTCTGGAAGTAACTGGGAAAAATTCTGGACTAAAAAACAAGTATTCTGGCAAAAGATTGAGGGAGATCCTACACTGCGAATGTAATGACGCTCAAAGGATACATTATATGGCAGTTGTTTAAAATACAGATGGTGTTTTCTGAAACACAACCAAAAAAAACTTACTTGTCAGGTACCCAGGTTAGTTTACACTGACCAGAAAGTTTATTAGAGATTAGGATGAAGAAAAGAATATAGCCAAGTGAAGTCAAATGCAATTGCTGAAATCTTTCTAGAGGTAGTTTGACTGGTTGCTGGAGAGAAAACTAAATACAATCATGCGGAACAGAAGAGGAGACGCTAAATGGAAAACAAGACGGAAAGAAGAACACAACAGAGGGAGATGATGAATTTATGCCAGGTCCCTTTAAGGCAGAGGATTGATTCTAATCCGTGGACTTCAGCCAAGAGAAATTTGTTGTGTTATTGTTGTGGTTTCAAGAATAAAATCTTAGGCATCTGTATTTACAGTGTGTAATGTTTTGTATTTTTTAAGCTGCCAACAATGTGAGTTCTACTAAAAAATACAGATGGTTAAAATCTCATGCACAGAAAGTGGTCTTTTTGTTATTGTACATGCTATGTATCTGATTCTTTATATTTATTTTCTCCTATATTTTCCATCTCCTGACAAATACTGCTCCTCTCTTATTTGGTCATTTACATAAAATCCTATGTAAAACTCATTACATTATTTTTCATGTGTTAAATTTGTTCTATTTTCACTGTATATCAATTTTTGAGTTCCATTTTCTTGAGCATACATGACAAAACTGTGTGACAGAACTTTTGGAAATTATCGAATGCAGATTTTATAAGGTAAAGAAACAGCTATAATCATACCAGTCTGCATTGGAATCGTAACTAGATTAATCAAAATTTTATATGTACTATAGTGTTTTATTTCAAAATGAAAACACTCCTTTTTCAGAACATAAGTCCAAGATTAAATATACTCAAAAGGAGTATATGACATATATGTACATATAGTACAGAGGCAGTACATTATTTAATTGTTAGGCAGAATTGTTTAATGAATTTTAAAAAGTGATTTTAGTAATTAGACATCAACATAGGCTAAACATTAGAAATAGCTCAAAACACTTTTAATGTCTTCTAAGTTATAGTGTGTTTTTTTCTTTTATGTTGTCCAACAAGAAGTCATACACTTTTGTAGTGCAGTATTTCGAAGACAGCTTTTTTTTACCTAATGATGATTCAAACTGTGATAGTCTGAAAAGAATGTTGTAGCAATTTACATTTGCATAGTGAACAAAGTATATTTAACATGTTATAGACAATGAAAAATTAATATAGTTTATTTTCATTATTAAAGCTACTGACCAAACAAGGAAAGCTATAATTAATCTAATCATTACTTATTTAAAAAATTATCTTAGTATGGAGAAAATTGAAACATTTATCTTCCAAATAGATGCATTTAATGTCTTGACCACTTTAGCATGGAATAATATAAAATGTCTGTTAGTTAAAATGTCACCAATGATATGTGTTAACATTCTTTATTTTAAATCTCATGGTTATGTAAAATCTCTAACAAGAGTTTTGCAGAAATATACTTTATATATTTGAAATCAGTAAGATATATGTGCATATATATTATAGCTTATATCTGTATTTTATATTGATTATCAGGCCGAGGGCAGTGGCTCACCATTGTAATCCCAGCACCTTGGGAGGCTAAGGTGGGTGGATCATTTCGGGTCAGGAGTTCAAGAGCTGCCTGGCCAACATGGTGAAACCCCGTCTCTACTAAAAATACAAAAATTATCTGGGCATGGTGGTGGGCGCCTGTAGTCCCAGCAACTTGGGAGGCTGAGGCAGGAGAATCACTTAAGCCTGTGAAGTGGAGGTTGAAGTGAGCCGAGATCGCACCACTGAACTCTAGCCAGGGCGTCAGAGAGAAACTCTGTCTCAAAAATAAAATAAAATATAATAAAATAAATAAAATGCATTGATTATCAAAATATATTCACTTTATTTAGGCTATTGACTAAATATGCTTAAGAATCAGCTTGAGTTACCCTCAAAGATTATCTCAAATCCACATTTTATTTCCGCTGGTCAGCCTGGAACCCTTCCAAATACTTCTGCATATTCCAAATGCACATTTTTCTGGTTTTATTTCTCTTTGTGCACTAGAATTTTTTGTTTACCATATTTCATTGTTTCTTTCTCTCACTTTTGGCATGTACCAAATCTGGACACTCAGTGCCTTTTGTTTATTTGTACCAACTCCTCCTCTGGTCTGCCCCCAACAATAAATTACAACAAAGTGTCACTGGGATTAACCATGAACGATCACCAATAGCAGTATTATTTACAATAGCCAAAAAAGTGGAAACAACCAAAATTCATATCTACTAGTGAATAAATAAAATGTGGTATATATGTAAAATGGCATAATATTCAGCAATATAAAGGAATTAGGTAGTGATTCATGGTACAACATGATTGAACTTCAGAAACATTGTTCGAAGTGAAAGAAGCTAGTCACAAAGCACCACAAATTTTAACATTCAATTTATATAAAATGTCCAGAATAGGAAAATCTCTAGAGATGGAAATTAGATGAGTAGTTGCCTAATACTAGTTGGAGGGGAGAGGGAATAGGGGATGATAATGATAACAAGACGATATGTTTGGGTATTTTTGGTGATGAAATTCTTCTAATATTGATTGTGGTGATAATTTTATAATTGCAAACATACTGAAAAATATTGGTTGTAAACTTAACTGCCCAAATTGTGTAGTATGTGAATTACATATAAATAAAGATGTTATAAAATGAAACCGTCGACATTTCACATAGCCTTTTTGTTGACAGCCATCAAGACAGGTTTGTTTGAAGAAATGGTGGTCCAAATATTATGCACAAATGATGTAAAAATGAAAATGCAGAATCTCAGTTCTTACTATGATATATTCATCCAGTCTCCAAATACAGCTCTAGACTATTTTTGGATAGCCAAAGATATCCATTAATGTCCACTGACATTTTTGTTTGTTCATTTTGTCCCTTTTATTGACCCACCAGCATTTATCTCGGGAAAGCAAGGGTATAGATTGCAGTTTTCCACTGTCATAAAATACTTCAGTAACATACTCTATTTCACCACCTTTGCTGCTTAGAAGGCAGTAGCAACTACAGAGAGTTTGAGTCTTAAAGTTTCTATTTTGATAACACATTGTCTGATCATAGGCATATGTGCATCTTAGCTTCTGAATAGAGTGGATGAGACAACTACAGCTAGCTGTTAACTCTGAGTTATGTGGGTAGAAGCAGAAGTTTCTCTTAATAGAGAAAGAATGTGAAGAAAGTTTACAATTAAGCATTATGTAAATGACCTGATCAAATTGTGTTTGATGGGATTTGATACCTCCATTTTACAGAAGCTTATTTTAATATTTTCTTTGCAATTTTTTTAGCTTTAGATCCAGCTAAGGATCCATGCTTAAAGATGAAATGTAGTCGCCATAAAGTATGCATTGCTCAAGATTCTCAGACTGCAGTCTGCATTAGTCACCGGAGGCTTACACACAGGTAAACATTGTTAAATTTAATCCCACTGATTGAACAGCGCTCCTTACCAGGAATAACTGCAGAGTATAAATATTTGGCAGTGCCTGCTAATCTTTTATGCAGAGTTTTATTGAAACAGTTACAGAAGCTTAGTTAATACAATTATGATTCACTTGGGTTAAACATTGGTATCAGTCACAATTACTACAGATTATAGAATTTGAGGCATATATTATTAAATAAAGAAGGTCTTATAAAGATGATATTTAAAATGTTATATCTAGTTGTTTGTGCTTTTTCAAGTTTAAGGAACAATTAGTTTTGTTCCCTCTACATATTTTTGTTTGTGGCTATTCAAACATCTTTATTTCCCTCAGGAGAGAGTTAGAAAGTTAGAGGAGAGAAAATGATTGATGTTCATAAAAAGAGATTAAAAGTCACGAAATAGGGACTTGGGACTTGAACCCCTCAGGATGCCTTCTTTAGGGGTCACTCATACCAGTGGAGTCATTGTATCTATTCGGTGGATGCTGATTCACAATTTCTAAAAAAGAAGGGAGGATTTCAAGTATCTTATAACAACCAGCACTGCTTCTGTTAGACGGGCTCTGTTTTGGGAAGGACCAGTAATTTAGAAATAGCCTGTGTAGTTTGGTGCTGAGTCTTAAAAATTTGAACGCGCCACAATCAAACATGAATTCATTGTTTAACCGACTGAAACAAGTGGTGTATTCGTTTCCTTTATCATTTTTAAAGTTATTTTTTGAGAATACTCTTTCTCTGATAATGGACTTATGTATTGCTTTTAAATCAAATGAACAAAGAAAATTTTGCTATTTGTGTGTGCTCAGAGAAAAATTGGATTTTTGGCTTTAGTGTACTTGCATATAAATTCTATTAAACACACCAACAGTAAGAGAATAAGAATAATAACATTGGAAAATAAGAACATAAATAGCATTTCTAGGAAACAGCAAATATTTAAGTTACATTGATGTTTCTCATAATGTAAGAGGACATATACATAACACCCTGTTGTACATGCCAAAAGGATTAGAAGTCTTTATTCCACAATGTTAAGTCTATAGTGGCAGATTTCTAGAACCAAGGGAGTTGGATATAACAAAGGTATGCGGGTTTGAAAATGTGTTCACTTGGGTTAGAATCATGGTATATCAATAATGTACTCGTGGAACAGAGAGAGGGAGTAGGAGAAAGAAAACAACAGTTTGGTGATATAAAGAACAAAAGACTTCTTGGAAATCACAATTCTGTAAAGTTAGCCTACTAGGGGAAAGCACAAATGGGTGAAGCAGTTATCAGTAACATATCCCCCATCAATCCTGACTTTGATGCTAATTTTACAGAGGGATAACAAAGCTTTGGGCCAGAAACTCATTTTTCTATTTATTTCCTTAGGATTCTAAATTTCTTGGCATTTCTATTAATTAATCATACAAATTTAAAAACATTAGTATGTGAATGTGTGTATATAGGGGGTGAAATAAAAAAGAGAAGGGTGTCAAAAGGGATTCATATATGATCTCTCACCTAAGTTACAGAGACTAAGTCAGTTTATCTCCCATAAAAGCAAAAAACTGTTTTATCACAAGTTCTAGAGACCCTGGGAAAGATTTCCACGTGCAGACATTTAACAGCTTTGAAAAGATTCACCTGCCACTTCACCCCTGGCCCCGTGAACCCAAGTCAAAGAGCAACCAAAGACGTCGCAGTTAATATCATGTCTGTGGCAGAGACACACTCGTTTTGACACCTGCTGGACACTGAAGCTAAGAGAGGTTAAAGTAACTGCCTCAAGACTACAAAGCTAGAAATTTTCAGAGCTTCAATTCTAATCTGTACTGATCGACCCCAGAGTCTAAGCTTTTTACCACTATGCTGTCTCGTTACTTCTCTGACTTATTAAACAGCTTAACTACAGGCAAAAATCTTCCTTAACATGATAAAGACTATCAGAAACTGATAGCCAAATGTCCCTTAATATATAAAATTGAAAGATCCTTAATAGGGCACTACTGAAGCTTTGCCTTTGGTGTAGTGGTGGAGAGGGTTCAGAGGGGAGACTAATATGCTTTTAGTGGGTGAATTTCAAAATGTTTTATGTAAATAGTATTTAGTCCTGTTCTATTTCTGATAGAGACTATTTATAAATGTCCATTCAATCCATGCTCTATTCAATAAATAAATCACTAGTTTCCAACAAATTGATTTTAAGATTAATATTTGATATGCTTTATTTGCCTTGAGGATGTCAGTACATAGTGATTATTTATACAACGCTTAGGGAAGAAGAGCTTTGCCAAGCACTTTGATCAATAAAAATGGCTAATATAAATAATCTAGATCTTAGATTTGAGGATTGTGTGTATTTTGGGGATGTGGTAGAGAAAGCAGGGAAAGACGGCTTAATTGATCAATTTTTGTCCATTTGCATAGTTTAGAATACAAATTGCTACCTTTTTTCTGTTTAAAGGAACAACTTATTCTTTCTTCCCTAGATCTCATAAAAGAGAAAGGAAACCCGCTGTTTCTTCCTGCAAGGGGAATACAGTTTTTCAAACACACTTTCCAGTCTCCTCTTCCCAATACAATATATCACACTCATTTCTCCATTGCTTTAGAATTTCAACCTTCGCATCTTACAGTGCTCACAACATTTGTAATAGTTTGTCTAACATTGATCTCCTTCGACTGACTGAGCTCAGTGAAGGTGTCTTATTTACTGCTGTGTACCCAGATCTTGAATTACTGCTCAGTACATGTTTTCTTTGAGGAGGTTAGTAAAACAGCTGCCATTTGTAAAATATTTAGGAAGAAAATTTTGACAAATAGTTTGATCAATTGAAATGGTCAATCTAGATAATCTAGGTTTAAACATTATTTTCTTAGTGCTTTGCGTATATTTGCTGAAAATGAATTAAGAAGGGTATAGGCATCAGTCAACAAGTATGTTTTAATGGCAGAATAAATGAATGCATGATTTATCAAATAAAAGGAAAAGGAGGATTTTTAAATATTTTATTTTATTTTATTTTAAGTTCCGGGATACATGTGCAGAATGTGCAGGTTTGTTATATAGGTAAATGTGTCCCATGGTGGTTTACTGCACCTATCAGCCTATCGCCTAAGTATTAAGCACCGCATGCATAATCTGTTTACCTTGATGCTCTCCCTCCCCCTAACCCCCACCGACAGGCCACAGTGTGTGTTGTTCCCCTCCCTGTGTCAATGTGTTCTCATCGTTCAGCTCTCACTTATAAGTGAGAACATGTGGTGTTTGGTTTTCTGTTCCTGTGTTAGTTTGCTGGGATGATGGCTACCAGCTCCATCCATATCCCTGAAAGGCACATTATCTTGTTCAAGAAGGATATTTAAACATGAAATGAGGGATGTAACGATTGGTTTTAAGAAACTAGTAGGTCCTTCACTTGGATTTGTAAATAATTGAAATAATTAGTAAATTTCTCCTTCCTCAGCGTTTTAAATAATAATAATTGTCCTCTGAAATCAGAAAAATAACATGATTAGGTGAATCATAGTTTTAGTCTAGTTTTGACCACCACTGCCGGTGTAAAGGATGGTGTAAACCATCCAAATATGTGATGTTCAAAGTCATATATTTGGATATTGTCTCCAAATGGCTTTTTCTGTGAAGAACTGGTCTCAGAGCAGGTGATATCTTTGTCATTGTGCTAACTTTCTGTTACCTTTATCATTACCAGTTAAAAGAAAATAGTAGTATGAATAATGAGAAGGAACTTTAGCTGCAGCATGTTTTTCCAATATGGTAACATAACCCATTATTTAGATGCTTTAATATGAAATACATGATGGGTTTCCCAAGCTTTGAATGTGATCCACTTGTTATATTGTTACCCTTGGGGAAAGATCTGAAGATGCTGACAGCTGAGGGTGATTGTTTCATTGTTTTTGTATATTGTGAACAAGAAGCCCAGTGTTTTATGCTCCCTTGCTGCCTGTGCAGCTGCAGATAATTAACACTATTTCTAGATCAGTGTTGCTGGCACCAATCGATGCTGCTGATATTAAAAGGAAAAGGTTTGGCATAATAAGACAGAGTAAGGTTGAATAAGTTGTAGGACAAAACTAGCCATGTTAATTTCTACTTCATTTACACTGAAGGATTAAAAGAAAAAAAAGAATAAGGAAGTGCTTTTGACCTCCTAAGAAGGCATTATATAGAAAATGATGAAAGTAGTGTAAAATGCTACTTATCAAAAATAATTATCAAAAAAGTGAGTCCTAAAATTTATCTATTTTAACTATGCAATCTTGGAATTCATGGTTTATAATGACTATTTTTAAAAGAAGATCTAAATGTATTTATATGATCACTGATTGAATAGCTATGGCGTTTGTGTTTCCTTTGTTGAAATATTGAAAGCAGAAAGATTTAATCACAAAGCATAAGTTATATAGTGTTCCACAAATGTTTGCTGAACTGAATTGAACTTATCATAATCATTTAAAAATAATGCTTCTTATACTTGAGAGACATTTAACTTCTATGGAATATGACTGTATTAATAATGTCTTCAGAGAGAATTAAATCCAGTATTTATTTCACACTTAATGTATGCAAAACTCTTTCCTAAATGCCTTAAATTGATTTAGCTTTTACAGTGATGCTAATGCTTTATACTAAGCATTATTATGCCCATAACTGAGGCTCAGAGTTTCTGGGTGTTCTGCTTGAGATTAGTTCTATAGAAGCATAATTGATAGGTATAGTTAGATAGATAGGTAGATAGATAGATGATAGATAGATACAAAGTGTAGATTTCAGATTTGAAATCATGCCTATCTTGTTTATATATACATTTTTTCCATAATTATCAATTTTATGTATATGAACAGATGTTTATAGATACTTAACTTTTCATAAATTTATTTTAGTTAGGATGACGAAGGTTTGCAAAAGTTTTTAAAATTAATTACTTTTACAAATGGTCATTGTACTTTGGATAGTGAATTAGTATAACATTGTTTGATTCCTCTTCTTAAAAGATAGATCATAACTAAACTTCATAGTTTCCTTTATGTCTGGAATTTGATATCTGTATGCACACACACACACATACATACATACATGCATATATGTGTGTAATTCATTTAATCTTACAATAGTTGGAAGTAAGATGACTTACAGTTGTTATCCCCATTTTACCTATGATAAAAGTTGAGACAGAGAATTCACTTAATTTATTCAATTGGTAGACTTGGACACTGAACCTGGCCATTGTGGTTCTAGAATTTGTGCTCTTATTATGCTTTATTGTCTTATGTTACTTATAAAGTATGTTATATAAATGAGACATTCTTCTAAGCATTGTAGAATTGTTACTTATCTTACCACCACCCTATATTTTCAAAAAGAAAATTTCTCTACACCTATTGCCTAATGTACTGTTTCTCAGCATGTTTTAGCCCACATTCTTTTTTTGCTGAA
Source organism: Homo sapiens (assembly GCF_000001405.40). Taxonomy (NCBI): domain Eukaryota; kingdom Metazoa; phylum Chordata; class Mammalia; order Primates; family Hominidae; genus Homo; species Homo sapiens. The sequence goes on along the minus strand of NC_000004.12, from coordinate 166,994,878 downwards.
TATACACTTTTTAGGTTCTCCAGTTATTCTATTATCACCCTGAAGGGAGCATAGTATCCCCTAGTTGAGAACTGCTATAATCAGAAAATTCAACTACTTAGATTGTACATCTTAGTCAGTCAATGTGATTTGGTCAGGGTTTATATTAGGTGTTATGCATTACAAAAACAGAAAGCATGTTTCTCATATATGAAAATAAGTCACAGGATTGACTTTATTTTTGAAGTACACAACACACCTTATCATTATTGGGATATATTTCCTCTCCAGTTGAAAATCAGGAACCTGTTGGTTAAAGTCCAAAATCCTTCTCGTGGTCCTTTATAATCTGGCCCAGGTAGCTTTAGAGCCTCCTCTGTAGTTTTCTCCCAATGGCACATTGCAGATTTCTTACAGCAGGAAATTCATTCTGTAGAGAGCCCAGAATGTATGTCAGAGCACAAGGGGCCAGAGACAGAATGCCTGGCTTCACAGTTTAGCCCCACTGTTCTTAGCCATGTGATCTTGGACAGGTTACCCAAGCTCTGAGTGCTTCAGATTTTTCTGCTGTAAAGTAGGTATCATACAAATGGTACTTTCTGCGATGTAGTTTTAAGGATTAATGACTTAATGTGCAAAAACAATTAGAACTACTTCATCCATGATAGGCATTATGATAGGGTTAGCTATTACTATTTTTTCCTAAACACGTTGTATATTTTATGATCATGGGTGTTGGTTCTGGCTGTGTTTTATTTTCTCGCGAGATGTCCTGCCCACTTGTTCCTTTGTTCTTCTGGCAGACTCCGTTTCTGAGAAGGCTTTTCAGCATAATGGTTAATGGATGTAATTTGAAGCTGGACGGACTAGCTTTGAAGTCTGGCTCCATCTCCATTTCTCCAGAATGACTTTGAGCAAATTAAATTATCCCAGACTTAGTTTTCTTGTTTAAAACATAGAGTTGATAATTATACTATGTATCTCCCTCTGTTTTTGTGAGAATTAAAGACATAATTTGCTTAAAGCACTTTTCACAATGAAAGCACTCAATAAACATTAATTATTGAGAAAGGTCTATTCAGTCTCCCCTCCCAACCCAAGGTAGAATTAAATATGCTTGCATCTTTGTGCCCATAGCACGTTAGAAGTGCTTGTTAACCCACGAATATTATAGTGACTGTATATTTAATAGCTAACAGGTGAATTGTTGGGTTGCCATAGACAAAGTAGTTGAGAAAATTGATTTACTCCTGTCATGATCATAGGATATGAAATTTAAGATTACCTTATACGTTAAATAAAAGGAAGGGCGTGATTTTGGCAGTTGAGAAGGAAGAGAGTGGAAACAATGAGCCACCATTGTGTTATAGAAAATGTGAGACAGATGCTTAAAGAGAAATAGCATGAGGGTGGGCATAGCTTTGGTGGGTTAAAGATTATTAGGGTACTTAAAATTTCAAAAAATTTGCTGCCCTTAATGATTCTCTGCTTTACATCCTTTAGCATTGCCTATGTCCCCATGACCAGAGAAGACGATCTTTAGACCAGAAGTTCCAAAATACACGAGAAGGATTCATAGGCACTAGACGCCTCAAGGGATGTCAATTTTTTTTGAGTGAGCATAGCTAAGCCCTTGCATGTCCTGTCAGAGAGATTTTATTTCTCCACTGGGCCTAAAGGCTCCTTCTGCTTAGCAGGAACCCTCCTTGCATTTGAAGGAAGGAAATTCTGGATCTGAGTAGAGATCCTTCGCAGTTCTGCTTGCAATATATACTGGCTTTGAAGCCTGTATAACAGATTTGTAATGAATGTGCCTCCGTGTATACTTCTGAATCTTGTATACCAAGATTTCAGCTGTGAGAACAGGGGTTTAAATCGATGATCGGTAGAAGAGGGCAAATAGAGCAGCTAGCCACAAAAAGGGTGCACTATGACACAGGGAATAGATGAAGGCCAGTTAATGGTGTAATGTGAACAGTGAACAGAAGGAATTCCTTCACACATAAGCTGTTACTCTGCCATCCAATTAAGGCTTCATTAATGTCCCCTATAGAAGGAAAAGAGTATGAATTGGGGGGAAAAAGTACAGCAAAGGAAGATTCAAATAGTTCCTGGTTTCTTGTTCCCCAAATAGACAAGAATCTGGTATAAACCTTTGGAGAGAAAAAATTGGATATTAATGAAGGTTACTTTTAAAGAAGTATTTTGGATGGACCTTAATATCTCTTAATCAAATATCCTTAAGAGATGAAGATTAAAATGCTCAGGTTCAAAGTAAAGTTTAATCAACATTACTTAGGTTTCTGAATTGCAGGAAGGGCTGTATTTACACAAATATGTAGTAGGTGCCTTTCATATAAAAGAAAAACTCTATTTTTTTGTCTATGAGAAAGAGGAAACTAGCTGCCTATTAAGAATAATGATTATTCTAGTTCTTCCAATTCAGTCTATTTCTATATTGCTTTATTATTTTGAAAGAACTGAGAAAAACTATGATTGTTTATTAGCTACATAGAAAAGGGTAGAAAATATTATACATAGGTGATGTCAGTGATAGCAATTTTAAAACTTCTTTATTTTTAAAATTTAACGCTTATGAAAACAACATGTGGATAAGGTAACAACTCCATATGATGGAAAGGAGTACAGATTTGATTCTTTCCTCCGCAGACCACTCAGTTCCACTCCTACACTTCCAGGAATTATCTACACACACACCCACACACACATTTACACAAACACACTTACCTCCAAATGGGAATATTTTAATATATATTTTTGTGCCTTGTTTTAACATAACATGTTTTGAACATTTGCAATTCAGCAAATGGATTTTATCTCATTTCTTTGAATGGCTGTAAAGAAACCCATTACAAGACTATCCCATAATTTACTTAACTTAATACTTTATTGATGGACATTAGGGTTAGTTCTACTTTTTCTTATTATCATGCTTTGTACAACACGCTTCAGCATGTATCTTTATATACACGTGTGTGAATATTTTTGCCATAAATTCGTAGTTGTTGGATTGCTATGTCAAAAAGAAAATATGTTTAAATATTGACATGTATTGTCAAACAACCTCCAGAGTGTGTCAGTTTCTCTACTGTAAACAATATGCTGATGCCTGCTGTTTCACCCCTTTACCAGTAAAGAATACTGTTTAGATATTAGTAATTTTGAGTTTTCAACTGTCGTAGTTTATTTTTTATTTAAAATTGGTATGGACTGGGCACTGGTGGCTCATGCCTGTAATCCCAGCACTTTGGGAGGCTGAGGTGGGCAGGTGACTTGAGGCCATGAGTGTGAGATGAGCCTGGCCAATATGGTGAAACCCTGTGTCTACTAAAAATACAAAAATTAGCAGGGTGTTGTGGCGCATGCCTGTAATCCCAGCTGCTCAGGAGGCTGAGGCACGAGAAATCACTGAGCCAGGGAGGCAAATGTTAAAGTGAGCCAAGATCGTGCCATTGCACTCCAGCCTGGGTGACAGAGGGAAACTCTGTCTCAAAACATAAATAAATAAATAAATAAATAAATAAATAAATAAATATAAAAACAAAAAGTCACATTATCTTTTTTCAGCTTCAGGAATAAATGTATGTGTGTGTGCCTTTAATAATGGAGGGGCTATGTAGATACTGTTGGTGGTTTCATATCAGCCATTATCTCTAAGTTGTAACATGGTGAATCATGGTAAAAAATAGTGGTGAATTAAAGGAAATTGACTATACTGATAACATTTTTTAGAACTTAAGCAATTTTTTCAAAGAAGAGGATAGTTTTAGCACAAGATAAGGAGACTTAAAAAAAGAGGCTCCACAGTGGAAAAGAAGTACTGGATCCACAAGCTGTAACAAAATGTGCATAATTTATTTACTTTCACTATTATTTAGACCTATTACTTTAAAGCAATTAGTACTTGATGGACAGGTGCTATAGTGAACTTAATTAGTCCTTTACATATTTCTGTTTTTAATAATCTCTTCATTAAATGAGTATTTCTTATTCTAAATATTTCTCTCTCCAGTTCATCAATTATATTTCTTAAAATTTTAGAGTATTTAATATTATCATTATTAATAATGTGATTTCCAGTGATCAATTGGGATGATGCTTGCTATGAATTCATTAATAAATTCATTTTATTTTAATCATGACATTTTAAATATTAAATCCAAACTTGCTGTTACTGAATTTGTATTAAATAATTCAACATTTTGGGTAAATTAGAGCTAAACCTCCTCCTAGTCAACTGTTGGCAAAGAGACAATTGTATTTCTGGGTAATGGACATTAAGGGCTGGAGCATATTAATTTTTAAACTTTGTATAAAATCTTTTTTCTTGTTGCTGCCTAATGTAGATAAATAATTAGGAAATTAGTAGTCATTTCTGCTATATTTCAGCCTGAATAATCTTTCTATTCCTAAATTCTTGCTTTATTTTACTATTTTCTTTAGATTTTTAAAAAAATATTTGTAAGAACATTTTTTTTTAATTTTTTTATTATACTTTAAGTTTTAGGGTACATGTGCACAACATGCAGGTTAGTTACATATGTATACATGTAAGAACATTTTTACTGTTGGGCCTATCTAATGTCAAAATATGGAGCTCAATTTACTTCTTATTTATTTCTGTCCTCACATTGTGATTTTGAATATGTAATTTGTAATCATTGATATTCAGTTTTGGGCAGAGAGACAGCTAGCCATAGAACAAAGGATGATGTTCCTCTTTCACAGGGTAGACTTGTTTCTGGAAAGTGCCTGCCAGGGCAGGTACTAGTTTCCTGCAGCTCTTCCCACTAGCCCTGACATCTTTCTGAGATCATGGGATTACTTCTTGCTTGTCAAAACAGAACAAAAGTAATGCTTATCACTTCGGAGTTCAGATGGTTAAGATATGGGTGTGACTGCTTCCCCCTTCCCTTTCTACTTATAAGATGGAAGCAGATAATTCTGAGATCTAAGGGATGGTATAATCACAAGATATAATGAAATTTATTTCCAGAATCACCATAGGAATGATCATCCAAGAAATAGCCTCATTGGCCTATTATATGAAAGAAAAATAAACTTTTGTATTAAGACACTGAACTTTTTAGATGTGTGAGTAGCTATCATTATCCTGATTAATAAATCTATTTGAAATTTACTACCAAAAAAACGTAAGAATTACATTGATGGTGGAAAAATAATAGAGGCGTGTGATGGGATCTTAGTAATTATCTCATCAACTTTTTCATTGGTTAAAAGCATAGGAGACTGTGTAAGTGTTTTGAAGAACTTGTCTCCTGGGGACTAGCTGTGGATATGCCCTAACAATTGCACATAATTCATTTCCAAACTTAAACACTTATTTACTCTTACAGAAAAAGCTGTAGCACATAAGACACAAAAAATACTGGAATTTCCAGATGATCATAAAAAATTACTCTAGACTATGGGGCTTCACTAAACTTAGAGGGATTTTGCCTGTTATTAAGGCTTATATAAAACAGAATATAAATTATATTAATTTAAGCCTTAGGTCCCAGATACTTAACACATAATTATTTAAGTGAGGAGTAAAGTATATTCATCTGTAGTGATATAAAGACAGCCACACAGGTCTCGGTAATAATGTGTGCGATAGAGAAACCTAGATTTTAGTCATAAATATATTAATAAATAGACAACTGTGTGACTCTGGACAAGTCAGTTAACAGGCAACTAACTGTGTTAGCAAATAATGGGAGGCTTTGAAATCCCACAGGTCTACTGGTTTAGTGACAAAATATAAACAGCTAATACATCTGTAGGGGTAGAGTACATTCTTTATCATTTTCGTAGGTTTCTTTCCTTCCGTTTTAGCATTCGGTTGACTGATATGTATCTAGGGTTTGCTTGTAACTAGAATAATTTTGGATCTGGAAAATTCTTTAGAGATATTTAATTCCATCCTGCATTCTAAATATAAGGTAAGGATTATCATGATTATGAAAATATAAGGAAGAGGATTAGGTTGAGAATCATAGAAATAACAATACCTGCTTATTGATAAGAGTTTACTAAGAAATTTGTAGGTATTTTACATGTATTAATTTATTTTGTAGTTACTATTATTTTCGTCCTTTTACAGATTAAGACAATGCAACTCAGTTGATGTGAATTGAAAAGGCTATACCAGTAATAATTGCCATAGCTAGGAGTTGAATTTAGACCTGTTCAATTTCAAAGCCTCCCATTATCTGCTGCCTATGAATTCTATTATTAGTTGCCTGTGAACTGACTTGTCCAGAGTCACACAGCTGTTTATTTGTTACTATATTTAAGACTAAAATCCACATATTATTATTGAAACCTATGTGGCTGTCTTGGTATCACTATAGATGAATATGCTTTATTCTCAACTAGACCATTCACATTTTCTGCTAATTGTTCTGTGTCCTGAATCAGTTTATATCTCTTTTTATAAAATGCTACTGTAAAACTCTATTTGCATTAAGCTGTATATATTGCTATCTTCCCTTCTGTTCTCAGTGGGCAAATTCAGCATTTTGTTCACAGAGAAAAGAGAAAGCATCCAGTAGAGTCTTTTCTGACATTTTGCTTACTGACTTGTGCAGATATCAGTTTAATTAATACTCATGAAACACTCAGGACAGTGGCTTCTATTCTTATTCTTGCTTTTATTATTGTTACTATTATTGTTATCAACCACGACCTTCATCATCCTCTTCTGCATATCCCTAATCCATCAGCTTGTGTTCTCAGCTCTAGAACCATCATTTCTTATGTTTGTATTCCTTGATCTAACAATTATTGCTTTGTGTAATATGTTTAATCTTTCTGTATCTGTTAGCTTATTGCTTAGCATATATGAACAAATGCAAATTTCTATATTTTTTAAAGCAAGCATACGAAAATTCCACTTCTTTTACAACATAGGAGGAGAAAATTATTCCATACCCTCTCTTTACCTTTGGTTTCCTTCTAATTCATATTGAGCAATTATGCTGCTCTTTGCAGGCAAATCTTTTAGAATAATTTTGTTTTTATTTTCTTGCCTCCCATTTGCTTTTCCACCTACCACACATTATAAAAATTTTCAACAAGTTATGTAGTCCTTCTGTAAATAGAAATTTTTACCTGCTCTAACTTGTGATTACTTTATTTATTAATTTGCAATGTCTATTCAGCTAAAGCAGTGAAACTACTTTTCCACAGGGCATTGGTAACTTCTATGTTGCCAAATTTATTGTCTAGTTTTTTGTTATAACTTGAGATTTCTATTGCATTCATTTACTCAAAACTTGTTTATCATTGAACACACATATTGATCATCTATTGTGAGCCAGTAATGCATATAGGCACCTGGGTTATGGTGTTAGAAGGACAAAGAAAACCTCTAATTTTGTTACTTTCACATTTTGGAGTGGAAGACAGACAGTAAAGAAATCAAACAATACGCAATATAATTTAAGATAGTGATCAATGACAAGGCAGATATAGAGGTGACTGAGGGAAGAGGCAAGGTGGCAGAGCAGTTAAGGAAACTTTCTCATTATAGATAATGTTTGAAGAATTACTTGAGTGAAAAGAAATGAGTCATTTTCAGATATCAGGCAAGAGTGAGCCAGACACAGGGAACAGAGATTGCAAAGATCTTGTAGCAGAAACGGACTTGGCATGTTCCCATAAAACAGTAAAATGGCCAGTGTGGTCATAAGAGAAGTAAGATATCAGGTCCAAAACTGTGCAGCACTCATATCTTATAGGGCTTTGAAGCTGTGTAAAGGAGGTTTTGAATTTTATCATAAATGTAACTGGCAAACCATGGCAGGGCTTCAGTCAAGATACAAATAAGAAATGAGTTTCCTTTCCAAAGGATCACTGCATGTGCTGTGAGAAGCAACAGTTAAATTCTAGGTCCAGCTAGTCAGAGGGTGAGGGCAGTAACTCCTGGGGGAAGATTCTGGTGGTGCAATGGGGTTGGTGAGGGTACAAGTGTACAGAATGGACAGTCAAACCAAACACTTGAGAATGAATTGGATATCTCATTTTGGTGTGTGTGCATGTGTGTGTGTTGTGGAAGAAAGTTGTGAATCTGTAATAAATCATTACAAATAGTCTGGTATTTGTTGAAATGGCGATGTAAAATCACTAGATTAAAGCTGTGTCACTGATATATCATCCTAGATATATTATTTTACTTCTCTTCTTGGAAATTAGAGTCCCTTTTATTGCTGCCCTAGTTTTCCCACTTCACTTGGTGGTAGTGATCACAAATTGTGAGCCTGCTTTTGTGATGATACACATCGCAGGATTCAGGAATTCTTCATTCGTGTGCTGTAAAATTATAAATGGTAAGATGGCTTGGAAACACAGGGGCCTAATCCTGAGAAGGTGCAGATTTCCCAGCCAATCACCACAGACAGGCTAAGGGGACACCGTGACAAGGCAATCTGTGTGATATGTGTTTCTCTTTAGCCAGAATATTTGATATCATTGGGAGTCCCATCACAATTGTATGGAATTTAAGGAGGACAGTTTCTCCAACTAAGGAAAGAGACTTTTTATAAAGTATCTGTGTGTCAGAGTGGGGTGTGATGGGTAACACTTCAACATGCTAGCATCCTTGCTATGAGTAAAATCTCCTGTGGAAAACATGACAAAAAAGGAGTTTTTAATTATGATTTTAACTTATGATTGACATAATAATTACATACATAAAAAGAAGAAATTCTTCAACAAGTGAAACATGATAAAATTTGACATTGAGATGTTTTGCTTTCCAGCATTTTACTTTGTTTTTTAAACATGAAGATCTATTGAAATGATAGTATTGTAGATTTGGAAAATTTAGAAGAGTTAAGTTTGAAGTGAAATTATTTAATTTACAGTTTCTGTGATTCAGAATTTTATATATTTTGACACACTAAAAAGGGGAAAGATATGTTAAACTCTTAGAGCCTAGAGACAGAAAATGTAATAATATCACCTTAACTTTATCTGTTACGTTTGTTTGGATGTACTAAACCAAATTGGAAATGTTGATATCCTAATATTTGTATGATTGCAATTTTCTATTGAGATATAAGCAGTATCTGCTTATCTACTTTTCCCATTTAGCTTCATAGAATAAATAATCCTCACTCCAAGAAATGGCCTTTGCATTTCTTTTAATGTGAAAGCAAAATTGCTTGCCTTCCCAACTAATTATATAATACTAGTGTTCATCTGAGTGCAAGAAAATGTGGTTCATTATTATCATTTTATAGTCACATCCCATATTGACACTTTGTAATATTGTAGAACAGGTTCCAAGGATTATTATTGTGATACTTTTCAATTTAAGAAATTCTAACATTGAGGACAACATTGAGTCCTGAATGTTTGCTAAAAACAGATAATGAGTACAAAGTGACATGTTTTCTGTGAACAGTTTTTCTTTTAAGGGAGATGTGCACTATAACTAAAAATTGCTAATCCATTTTAATAAAGTTATTTGATGCAAATATTTCCATTGTAACCTCCATATATTCAAAATAATGGGCCTGGAAGATTTGAATTGTTGCCTCTTCACTTGGACGGATTACGTCTAAACTATAGCCAGCTGATGATTTTTGCAGTCAATTTGAAAAGACATTTCTATTCTGATTTTTATTCCAATGTTGAATTTTCATTGTGGAGGATTTCTTAGGTTCTGGTTTCAAACAATCCAAAGGTACCCTGTAAGAAAATAAGCCAGAGTTTAAGTCAATTTCTTTCCCAACTTCTGTAGTGATTCAAAGATCTGAGAAACATTAAGAATAATGAAATTATCAATGATAAAGAATATTACACCTTGGGCTTCTCTTCTGGAAGCTAAAGTATCTCACCATTTAAATGTAGACACTTCTGGGGCCATATTCTGAATGGCTCCTTGACAGCAATTTCCCTGTGTTCTTCCAAGCCAAACTCACTTTGGTTATAAAGACCATGTAAGGAACTAAAAGCATGATCATTAAAGACAGGAGTTAAAGAATTATTGTTATGAAACAAAATGATTACAGAGGACAAATTAATTTTTAAGTTAAACTTTAAAATGGATACTGTATATACATTTCATGGTCTGTAGTTAATTGTATAGACAAACAACATTGCTGCTAAGAGGCTAAAAGGAAGAAACCAAGAATTTTGAACTGTCTTAGAAGAGAGGATTTTATTTTATGCATCGTCCAGGACATGTATGCACCTTGAGAATGAACTCTTACCTTGTCCCTGTTTATTCAGTTTCTGCTGTTGTGATAATCTGCAATCTCTCCCTCATATATAGAGAAATCTAACCCTGTTAGCACCCCTCCTGTTGATCCTTATGCCACGAATTTTTTAAATGGAGGAGCATATCAACAAACAATACAACTCCCAGTATTTTCTTATAAATTTATTACAAAGCACTTAAAAGAGTAAGTATTAATGTTTGACTAATTCAAAAGCTGATTAAATTTTTCAGCTACAAGAGGAAGAAAAAGTCAACTTTTGTTGAGATCAAGCTATACGGTTTATCAAATTACATATTTGATGTTGTATTGTTTTCGATGTTTTATATCCTAATTCCTAATTCGCCTTGGTTCTCACTAGATTCTGGAAAGCCATACAACCTTGCTCTTTAATCTGGTAAATTATCATTATAAAGATGAATAAACTATTGAGGAAAATATAAAAAATATTGCATAATTTTAAAAGAATTTAAGTGCATTTGTGGTGTTAAATTTATAAGAAGTACCCTTCTCTAGGTAAAGAGAGAGTTGCTTCAAACAATTTGTATTATTCTTTTTAAACATAATGGTCTAAAGAATGATTAGCATATTGATGAAGGTGATATTATTTTATTATTTTTTAGGTTTTCTACAATTTTTCTAAAAGAAGCCACACTGTATTACAAGTATTTCCGTGATGCATGGTCTTTTCCTTCTCTTGTTTTATTATATTGAAGTAAATAGGAAAAAGATTTTCAACTCAGTACATATTCATTAAGTACCTACTATCTGTAAGACATGGTACTACCCATTGTAGAAAATTCAAATTAATAATGAAGGCTACTATAGTCTTGCTTTTCAGTCAGCATTAATTCAATCGAGAGATAACTACATAATTCCACATAGGGGCAATATACATTTTTCAGGGGCTCTATGATTTGAATATTTTATTTTATATTTAATTAAGACATTATTATACATATATCATGGTAACATATTAATCACATCAGATTTTATTATTTCTTTGTGTTGAGAGCATTCAAAATCCTCTCTTCTAGCTATTGAAAAATATACGCTAAACTATTAACTATAGCCATCCCATGCAGCTATAGAACACTAGAATTTATTTCTCCTATCTAGAAGTAATTTTGTTTCTGTTAACCTCTCCCTTTGGAGAAACATGGATGAGCCCAGAGGACATTACATTAAGTGAAAAAAGTCAAGGAACAAGAAGGTAAATATGACATGTTATCACTAATACATAGAAGCTAACAAAGTTGAGGTCATAGAAGAAGAGAATAGAACTGTGACTATTAAAGTCTGAAAAGATTGGGAGGAGTGAAGATAATATTCATTTAAATATAAATATAAAATAATTGTAAACAAGTAAATAATAGGTTTCAGTTTTATGAAGTCCTGTGCTATGCTGTGTGTCAGAAACAAGCAGAGAAGAAAAAAGCAAAAACTGGCAAGATTAAAATTAGTAGTCATTAAAATTGTCTCTTTTCAACTACACCATAGTCTAGTTTTCCTCCTTTGGGTATAGACTCAATACTACGTGGAAAAAGTCCTGAAAGTTAATGATTGCATTATTAAAATGCAAATACATTTTATATAGTATATAGTTGTATGTATAGTATATAGTTGTACAATATAGTTGTACAATTCTTCCTTACTAACAAGATCTCCACTTATACTCATTGAACAATTACCTCAGGAAAGAACTTAGGGAAGAGGGGTTGATAAATCACAAATATTGCCCCTTATGCTTATCTATAATTGGCTACTCTCCTAGTTCCTGGGAATGCATTATTTAAGTACAAGTATGGCCTCAAAATATAGGGCCACTGTGTTCTTAATAAATGGTCTAAAAATAAATATGGCTTGAGTTTTACATGTTATGTTTCTACTCATTTTAACTTTATTCATTTAGTGACTCAAAGGTATAGTTCTTTTCAATGTGTATAGAAACATAAACATAATAAAAAAATCCAAACTGCATTTTCTCTATTTAGTAAAATTCATAATTTATTTGATTTTATTTATATGGATAACCCTAAAATGTTATTTTCACCTATAGGAGTTATTTATTTTTTATTTATTTGATTTATTTATTTCTGAGACGGAGTCTCGCTCTGTTGCCCAGGCTGGAATGCAGTGGTGCGATCTTGGCTCACTGCAAGCTCCATCTCCCGAGTTCACGCCATTCTCCCTCTTCAGCCTCCCAAGTAGCTGGGACTACGGCGCCTACCACCACGTCTATAGGAGTTATTTTTAATGTGTTTATTATTATGTGAGATTACAAAATATGTGTTCTGATTTTTCTACGTAAATGATGGATAAAAGAGATACAAAGTCATCAAAAGACAGTTTTGCATTATCAGTAAACTCTGTATTGATGATATGGTATATCTTCCACTACACTGATGGCGGCAGCAGCCCATCTGGGGCAGCCACTGTGAAGACACTGGCTGCAACAGGGGAGGCATGGCTGGGGTCACATGCTCCATGGAGCCAGAGGGGAGTTAGGAACAGGTGAGAGAGCCTGGCCCCCTGCTGGTTCAGCAGGGCGGGAGCGCTGTGCTCCTGGGCACAGCTGCAGCCAGCCAACTGCAGCTCCAGATCCAGGCATTGCTGCACTCTGGGGACCCAGGATCCCCCCTGTTCCCACAGACTCAGAAGTGCCTGCTCCCACTTCCTGCCCTCTCCGAACTCTGGCATCTGCTCTGTGGTGGGGCAAAGTTGCAGAGCGTGTGTGAGCTGAGGGTGGTGCTGACACACCAGCCTCCCCACCTCAGTCCCCACCAGAGTTTGGGTGCTGACCAACATGGGACAGAGGCCAGGGGTGCTGAGTCCAGCTTGTGCAGGCCAGCAGGCTCCCCTTGGTGTAGACTGCCAGGGTGCCATGGATGACAAGATTGATGGATGGCAGGAGTCAGACAGGTGCCTGGTGAAACCCGTCTTTCAAGCCAGGAATGACCTGAAGCCCGGGAGCCAGACTGAATGAATAGTTCTGAATGAAGTTGGTGGACAGGAGCGAGAATTATGTTGCTTTTTCCAGGCCTGCCCGTGGACTCCCATGGACCAATCAGCATGCACTTCCTCCCTTCTGAGCCCATAAAAACCCTGGACTCAGCCAGACTCACACAAACATCAGGACTACCAGCTACAGAAGGAGCTACCCACGTAGAGTCTCTTCAACTTGTCGGGATGACATGCCTGCAGAAAGGAGCTACCCACTCCAGGTCGCCTACCCTCTGAGAGCTGGACACTCATTGGGATCTCCTGCCCGCAGAAAGGAGCTACTCACTCCAGTTCTCCTCTTGGCTGAGAGCTGGACACTTGTTGGGATGACCTGCCTGTGGATAGGAGCTTCCATTCTCCTCTCTGCTGAGGGCTACGCTCATCAGGATGATCTGCATGCAGAAAGGAGCTACCCACCATGGGTCTTCTCTCTAACGAGACCTGGACACTCACGGAATGCCCTTCCTGTGGAAAGGAGCTACCCACTATGGGTCTCCTCTGGGCTGAAAGCTGGACACTTGTTGGAACGACCTGCCTGCAGAAAGGAGCTACCCATTTCAGGTCTCCTAAGAGCAGTTCTATTGCTCAATAAAGCTCTTCTCTGCCTTGCTCACCCTCCAGTTGTCCATGTACCTCATTCTTCCTAGACCGCGGCAAGAACTTGGGACCTGCTGAATGGTGGAACTGAAAGAGCTTTAGCACAAACAGGGCTGAAACACACCCCCTCCCCCACTCACCATATTATGGGTGACAGGAAGGAGAGAAGAGCTGTGGTCATTCTGGGAGCCCAGATTTAGGGGCCTCCCAAGCAGGGCTGTGATACCCTCTTTGGAGCTTTGTGGTTTCTAGTGGCTCCAAGCTTCTAGGCATTGCCACATTCCCCTCACACAGGTGCCTACAGCAGAAGCTGCTTGCGGTACATCTGATCCAGCCATTGGCTTGCATGGATCCAGTGCCTGTGCCAGAGCCTGGAGCTGCCCACCCTGCTGCAGCTGCTGGTCTGCCTAGCTGTGCACAGTGGCCGGACCCCACGCTTGCTCATGCAAGCACCCTGCACCACTCTGCTCCTGGCTTGCCCTTGGCAGGTGTGGGATCTTGGCTGCTAGCATGAGCCAAGCACAGCCTGCCAGGCTGAGTGGGTGGAATGAGCCCAGTGGGCCCAAGCAAAACTTGGGCAAAGGCTGATACCACCAGCCACAGAGGTTTCATGCTGGAAAAGTGACACCCAAAGGATCCTGTGACACTTGTGAGCTCTCAATTGACATAATCAAGCAAATTCTTGGTAATGGTAATGGAGAAAGATTAAAGAAGATATTATTGTATCTCTTCATTCATTTATTCAACAATGATTTATTATCTGCAATATGCCAGATATTCTAGGCATGCCAGATACATTAATGAATAAAAGAGATGTACATATTGCTGTCCTGCAGGCTAAAGTCTAATATGTTTTTCTTTAAGTGAAGAATAGACATATAAATACAGTATAAAATCACTGCTGTGAAGTTCACCATGAAAATGAAGTTGGTATGATATCCAAATTGGCAGACTTGTCAGGTCTCTGAAGGTGTGCCATCAAAGCATGAACATGGAAAACTAAATAGAAGTCATCAGGCAAAACACAGAAGGAAGAGTGAGGCAGAGGAAACAGCTTGTGCAAAGGACCTAAGGAAGAAAAGAATGTGACATGTTTGAGGAACTGAAGGGAAGGGGAGCAAGAATCTAGAGCTGCATTTTGAACATGTTAAATTTAAAAAGCTCATGTGGTAACCAGTAAAGATGTGAAGTAAAGTGGGTGGGAGGTTACAGTTATCACAAGAGCTCAGCTTGGAGATAGATTTCAACACATCAATAATATTAAAACTCATGGAAATTGATGAGAACATTTAAGGAGAGATTGAAGACAAAAATAGAGAATAGATCCCTGGGAAATTCAAACTCTTTAGAGTTAGGCATTGAGGAAGAGTCTACAAAAGAGACAGGAAGGAACAACCAGTGAAGTAGGAAGATGATAAGGAGTATCTGGTGTAACAAGAGCCAAGCAAAATTTTAAGGTGAAGGTGGTTGTTGGCTGTTTTGTTCTGCACAGAAGTAAAAAGAGATAATTACAGAAAAAAATAACCATTGAATTTGGCAATCTGAATTGGTATTCAGAGCAAAACAGATGGAGGAGTGAAGGGAAAATAGGAAATTAGAAATTAGATTTTGGGGAAAAAACAATGGAAATGTCTCATTAAAAATCAAGGAGTTTTTGTAGTGTTTTATGTTGGTTTATTGTAGGGTTGGAGTTTACCACCAGAGACTGTTTTTCATTGACGGGGAGTTCAGTAAAGCAAGAGAGATTTATGGTGCAGGAGAAAGAGGGGCAAAGTCTTTGAGACAATGAGAAGAGAGGCACCCTGCATATGGATGTGTGTATAGGGGCTTACTCTGGGTAGGAAGAGGAGCTCTTTTTCAGTCTCACCAGAAATAAAGAAGACATCTGCAGAGATGCATGTGAATCTGCGGCTCTTAAATTGTGAAAGGGATTTTTTTCCAGGAAACTTATATTTTCTAAAAGCAGTATAAATAGATAACCACAGTTCTTAGAACATAGGAAGTGTTTGAAAAACAGAATTATTATGATTGTTCTTATTGTAATTTGAAGAAGAATACATTCACATACTTCACGATTCAAAATATACTAAGGTATGTACAGAGAAATGTCTCCTTCCCAGCCTCTTCCGCACTCATATCCCTTTTCTGGAAATAAAAATGTTTTTGATGTCTTCTGAACATTTCTAGAAATATTTTATTCACATACAAACAAATGCATTTTATTATTTTCTTTTTCCCTTAATTTTCTATCATCTTCACTTTGTATATGTGTGTGTTGTATATTTATACTCAATAAGTTACTTTGAGATCACACTTAGTAAATAAAACCGTCTTCCTTCTTCTCCTTCTCCCCCTCCTCTTCCTCCTTCTCCTCTTTCTCCTTCAGAGTTACATTGCATGCCTTATTACTGTTTTTAAACTGTTAATGCAAGTGGCAATTTATATAAAGTACATCACTCCAAGCTCAGAACATGGTGGGTATACAATAAATGTTAATTTCCTTCCTTTTCTCCATGTATTGGAGATTTTAAGGGACTCCAGACCAAACTAAGCAGCACAAAATAAATTCATCTGTGTTTTTTATTCATCTCTGACCTTAAAATTTTGTTCAAACAATAGAGATCTTGTACTGTTCCCAATACCATCTTGTTCAAGTTCTTTTATTACTCTCCCTATTTGACTCATAAGGCCTTGCTTTGATTGCTGTTCATTATCCTTTTTCCCTACTTGTACTCAATCTCTGCTTGCCATTTCCCAGTTTGTCTTAATCAGGGCTCCTGAGTGCAATAGGTGCCAGGAATTATTTCATGTAACAGAAAAAATAAAATAAAATATGAATTGGAAAGAGAAGTAAGAATTATGGAGTATAAGAGCTCAACTGTTTTAACTTGTGAAATTGCCAATCCTAATAATACTAATATGGGCTTGGCCCAACATTAGTGAAAACATGGTTATGATATACTTAATGGCAGACTAAATCAGAACCCCTTAATCAATATCTGCTTCCTCTGTAATAGAAGACTCACTCTTTGTTTTCAAAGAGTCAATGGAGACTTTAAGCAGATTTGTAGCAATAACTTTGAATCATGGCTAGACTTGGGTCAGAAGCTTGTGTTACTAATAGGAATCTAAAATCTTTGTGCATATGCAGTTGCAGTTTTATCAAGAGGGAGAAAATTGATCTAATGCTATACTGATTCAAATCTGTTTTACATCTTTCTTCTTAAAAGAGAAGAGCTTTGGCAGCCTTCCCAACTAATGGAAGATTTCCAGAAAAAAAGTTAGTGACTATCAGATTCTGGCTTCACTATCAATGGAACAATCATTTAAGAAGCATTAGGTTTAAATGACTTACTCTAGAATGCTCATTCTGACTTATCTGATACTCAAATCCTCCAAATATCCTTGAAAATATATATTCTGCAAATGAAAACACAAGTATTTGTTATCAATCCATATTACACATTACTATGAAAGTAACACAGAGAAAAACATTTCTGGAATTTCTGCAATTCAAAATGACAGTCATTTTAAAAATTGGCAAGGAAAAGATACAATATTATCAGAGAATGCTATGATTATGAACATTCATAAATAGTTCTTTCTTGCCTTTCTTGCCTACTTAATAATTATCATAATGAATATTTTAAAGTATTTGTAAGATTTACAACTCTTTATACATTTTGGTCTTCATCATTTTGTCTACATTTTCATAACTGAGATTAAGTCTAAATAAGTCTGAATTAATTGACTCTACAAAACAAGACCTTTAAAAATAAGTTAATCAATCTCTAACTTGTACATCTCTATTAAATACAACATGATTATAAATAAATTATAAACCTAATAATGTAAAAAAGACAGACTTAATAGAAGATATATTTTGAGTAAAGTGTCTAAAAACAGCAAAAAGTAATCCACATTTAATTGCATTAAAGACATAAAGAAGAATCACCAGATGCTCTGTTTTTTGTGACAATAAAAGTTTCAAATACAAGTTTCAAAATAAGACTGGCTTAAATTTTTGCTCTGCCTTTTATTAACCATGTGTGCTTATCACGCCATCTTTCTCAATTTGTTTCTTTGCATATAAAAATTTAATTTTAAATAAATTTAATTATTAAAAAGAATCAAATGGTATAATAAAATAAATACAATTTGATTATATATATATAATATCTGTGAGATTTTTATGGCAAGTATAAAGTGAGTAAAACAAGTGGTGAAAATATTTAGAATTTAATGGCTAGATTAAATTCTTGAGACTAGAAATAATAGGATCAGTTGTGGCACCACTTAAGTAAATATTTATTGAGCAATTCTTTGTGTCGTGTGCTTTTCTTTATGCTAGAGGTACAGAAACTTAATTTTAAGGAGAAAAATAAAGAAGGAGGACAGAGAGTATTGGTAGGATGAAGGGAGAGAATGTTGCAGGACTAATTAGGGTAGCCGGGATGGCTGCATTGAGTATGGAAGAACCTAAATAAAGAAAGGAAGTAGGTTGAGTCACTTGGGTATCCAGGTTCAAATTCAAATATCAAGGACTAAGGTTGAAGTCAAGACTGAGAGTTTCAGGAACAACAAAATTCAAGCCCCTAGTTACATTTAAGCTCTACCTAAACTCTTGGGCTATACTGACATTGGGTTGCAATAGGCAAGCATAGGGCCATGCAAATCAATTGCAGTTATTCAGGTGGGAGATGTTGATGGCTGGGATGATAGCAGTGCAGGAAGTAAAAAAAGAATTGAGCTTATGAAATACTTACATTGAAGAGCCAGTAGCGTTTGATAACAAGTTAGAGAGGAGAAGTCAATGATGCCTCCAAAAGTTTGATCTGAGCAACACAAAGGATGAAAAGTAAGATGGGAAGAAAGTGGTAGGAACAGACATTTTTCTTGGTTAGTTAATTGGCTGTTTTGTGTGTGTGTGTGTGTGGTGGGTGGAGAGTGTTGTATGTAGGGGTTGAATAGACCCTCACTTCAGGGCATATTAAGATCAAGATTTCTATGCATCCCATGCTAGATATATACCCAGAAGAAAGGAAGTCTATTGAAAAGATATCTGCACTCCCATGCTTATTGCAGCACTACTCACAATAGCCAAGATTTGGAAGCAACTTCAGGGTCCATGAGCAGATGAACAGATCAAGAAAATGTGGTACATATACACAATAGAGTACTAGTAAGCCATAAAAAAATACTGAGATCCTGTCATTTCTAACAACATGGATGGTACTGGAAGACATTACATTAAGTGAAATAAGCCAGGCACAGAAAGACAAACTTCACATGTTCTCACTGATTTGTGAGAGCTGAAAAGTAAAACAATTGAACTCATAGAGATAGAGAGTAGAAGGATGATTACCAGAGGCTGGGAAGGATAGTGGGGAAGTAGGAGATGAGGGCAGTGGGAATGGTTAATGGGTACAAAAAATACAGTTAGATAGAATATATAAAATCTAAATATTTGATAGCACAACATGGTGACTACAGTCAACAGTAATTTATAGTATATTTAAAAATAACTAAAATTATAGCTGGAATGTAACACAAAGAAATGATAAATGCTTGAAGTGATGGATAACCTATTAACCCTGATGTGATTAGTGCACATGGTATGCCTGTATCGAATACCTCATGTACCCCCATAAATTTATATGCCACCTCTGTACCCATAAAAATTAAACATTAAAAATTTTTTAAAAGATACATATGTAGTTAGATACATGAATCTGGCATTTTGATAAAGGTATAGCATGATGACTTATATTCCAAATTATACATATTGTCTTAGTCTGCTTTCTGTTGCTGTAACTGAATACATCTGGATACATGAGACTGGATAATTTATAATGAAAAGAAATGTATTTTTTACAGTTCTAAAGACCGGGAAGTCAAACATCAGGCAGCTACATCTGGTCAGCTGCTGTGGAGGGCCTCATGCTGTACCCTAACATGGACAAAAGCATCACAGGACAAGAGGGAAAGGGTGACAGCCTAAACTGGCTGTTTATGACAGACCGACTCTCAGACCCACTCTCATGATAACTAACCCACACCCATGATAAATTGTTAATTGATTAATCTATGAGAGAATTAATTTCTTTATGAGGGCAGAGTCCTCATGACCTAATCACTTCTGAAAAGCCCAACCTTTCAATAATGTTACATTCGAGATTAACATTCAGTGTAAGTTTTGGAGAGAACAAACATTCAAACCATAACACAAAGATTTCTAACTGAATGATAATAACAAAACCATGTCTGTAGACAAAATATTTAGCAAGTACTGAATATTATCAGATGCTACTGAAAGATCAAATCAAGGACTGAGAATTTACCATTTGGCTTTTAGTAATGTGCAAATCATTTGTAAACTTGACAAAAATATTTTTGGTGTAGTGAGAGTTTAAGAAAACTTGGTAGGAGAGAAATTAGAGACAATGAGTATACACACATATAGAGAAAGAGACAGAAAGAGGAATTCTGTTGTAAAGAAAAAGAGAGAAATGGTAGATACATATTATAGATTATTATTTGGTATTAAAAACATTTGTTATGAGGATTAATTTGTAAACATTATAATGATTAGCAAAATAATATGCACATAGGCATGGATTATTTGACTGTAAATGAATTCAACATGTATTTGAAAATTATTGAAGTATTATTATGTTCTTTTAGTATTAATAGATTTCAAAATCTGAAAACTTTCAATGTCTGTCCCCAATTCCAAACTCTATGATCTTGATATTCTTAAAAAAATCCTTCATAACCAAAAGGTAGACATTGGTGGATACTTGATTATTACTGTCAGAGGATTTTGCATGATGAGGTAAAAATAATATGCTATTCACAATATTCACAGTAATCTTACCTATTTAAAAATTTTATTAAAGGATTGCTAGACTTCCATGAGAATCTTAAAAATGACTTTTCAAATTTACCTCATGAAGATGAACTGGTGGACTTTGCCATTGATGTTATTTTTCAGTTTACTCTTTAACCCATGAATATTTGTCATGCAGTAGCTTCATATTTTAAAGAACTATCAAATTTAGGTATATAAATAGGCAATATTTGTTTATCAGATACATATCTTAGCCATAGCCAACTGATTTCCATAAGTAAAGATTTTTTTAAAAATGTGTATATATATTTATGTATTCCAAAGTCTTGTATCATAATGTTTCTTGGTAAAAGTTGTTTTATTTTCCTTAAAAAATTAAAAGTAACTTGCATTTCCATTGAGGTTATCTTTTGTCAGTCTTGGATCTATCTTTTCTAGCGGCCATTAAATCAACTTGTGATCAAACTACTCACTTTGTCTAGCGACAGTGTATTTAAGGCAAATTTATTTTGCATGAAATTTAATCCAGGCATAGCAGACAAATATTTTTCATTTCCATTGCATACTAATTATATTTCTTTCTTCTTATATTTCTTATATTTCATACTAATTATATTTCTTTTTATTAAATTAGTTGATAATGTTTAAGAATTTAATTGGTAAACCTCATCTGGTTTCAGCGACAATAACCTGTAATGAACTCAGTACTTTCTATTTAGCTAAGAGGTGAGCCCTCTCCCATTAACAAACTCTTTACTCTGCACTGTGCTATTATTGAGTATATTTTGGAGACACTTCTTAATATGGATATTGCATCATGGAAATAACAACATGTATTAATTCACTTTCACACTACAGTAAAGATACTACCTGAGACTGAGTAATTTATAAACAAAAGAGGTTTAATTGACTCACAGCTTTGCATGGCTGGGGAGGCCTCAGAAAACTTACAATCATGGTGGAAGGTGAAGGGGAAGAAGGCACCTTCTTCCCAAGGCAGTGGGAGAGAGTGGGGAGGGGCGCAGGGGAAACTGTCAAATGCTTTTAAAGCAACAGATTTCATGAGAACTCACTCACTATCACAAGAACATCATGGGAGAAACTGCCCCCATGATCCAATCACCTCCCACCAAGTCCCTTCCTTAACATCTGGGGATTACAATTCGGGTTACAGTTTAAGATGAGATTTCGGTGGGTAAACAGAGCCGAACGATATCAACATGTACATCTGAATATGCCTAAGCCATTGTTTGTAGTTTAAAATGAGAAAGGCATACTTTATTCCAAGTTTATCCAAACTACTGAATTACTTTAGTGTGATGAAAATCAAGTGTAATTTGATTCAGTTTTCAACATGTCACACCTGTAGTTATTTTATATATTGTTAGTAGTAATTTACTTATTGTTATATATTTTATATTATTTTATATAGTTTAATATATTGTTAAGACTGTAGTATAACTGACTCCAGTCAGTTGTTGATCAATAATTAAGAAAAATAACCAGCATGTGCTTGCTTTAAAATAAACATCCTTAAAACAATGTGGACTCACCACTGGGCAAATTTTAGTATTTATTAAATAGGTTATGAAGCATTTGACATAGGATTATAGAACTTTTCATTTTAATGTGTTTTAATAATCTTAAGAGCTATCGATGTGAAAATCATTGTTTTTGTTGTTTCTTTTTCTCCCCTCTGAGAGTTTTAAAAAGTGGGTGATGTTCTTTTGATTTGTCAGTTTTTCTTTTTGATGTGCTTGTCAAAACAGGGAGCTAACTTGAGACAGTCTGCTGAGGCTGCCAACCCGGCTATTTAGAATGTCATCATTTTACATTGTAACATTGCTGAGTGATGAAGGCCAGCTGGTGCATTTAAGTTTCTTATTGAAGATTTTCATCTGATTCATTATTGTGATTTGTGGTTTTGTACAGAAACACTTAATCATGCTTATGTAGCAAGCACTTCTGAAGCTGCTGAAGGCTTTCTCTTTCGCTGAGTAATTTGTGCTATCAATCTGCTAGTTTTGAAGAATTTCCAGCTTGTTGTATTATCAGTGTTTGTTTGCACAGGAAGTGATGCACCACAGAGGCTGAATTTATAGTAGTGGTTTGCAATGGGATAATGAACAACACTGCTTCCTTCATAATGTTATTATTATATAACTTGGATTAGCACAATTATTATGTATCTATCCAGTTATAATTCTCTCATACCATCTCATGAGCCAGCAGGAATCACTTGTGTTTTTGCAAAGCAAAAGTACACTGTACCTTGTGCCTTGGCTATGTACCTTCATTCGAAAGATACTGGCCTTTAATATTTTGGCATGTTTCCTTAGTAGTAGTAGTAATCTGACAGAGAGTAATTCTCCATTTGCCATTGGTGAAAATTGCCCTAATATTTGTGTTTAGTTGTAAGCCGAAGCTAATAATGTCTAGTATGTTTCAGGAAAATACATACGTAGGGAATGCATTACTTTAGTGCATTATTGGAGTATTCGTTGAGTTAGAGGAGTTATATTCTTAAGCAGTTAGTGTTTTGGTTTATAGCTTCTTTTAGATTCACATCTAATACTGAATATTGGGCAAATAAAAGGTATTCACAGAAGATCAAGATGAAAAATTATTTTTATTAAATACTTTAAATTATCTTTTATTATTAATTGAAAAAATACTTTCTCTTCTTGTGAAAAGAGAAATATGACTCCATATTTGCTTGTAATTGGGAGAAATAGACATGTTAAAAGCCACAGACATGAATGTAAGTACAAAATATCAAGTAATCTTCGAATCCTCTTAAAGACTTTTTTCTGCCTTTGCCCATGTTTGCCTTCTAAAAGAGTCAAGCACTTTTAAAAAAAGCACCTCTGTTCTCTTTTTGGAGCTAAACAATACAAAAATATATGTGACACATTGGAACATGGGGGGAAAAATAAAAACACAAAATAGCAGAATTATTTACATGATGGAAAACCTAGGGATAATCTATGTACAAATATTTATGTGTCAGAAAATTCATGAACCTTTTACCTTTCTCTGTGTCACATCTTGCAAACACCTCTAGACCTTTCTTCTGAAGTATGTAAATTATACATTGAAGTTGGGTGCCAGAAAACGTCTATGCCTATACTTCTGATGTGTTTCAACTTGTCTTTCCTAATTTAAAAAATCAAAGCCAGGTATGCTGGTATGCGCCTATAATCCCAGCCACTCAGGAGCTGAGATGAGAGGATCCCTTGAGTACAGGGGTTTGAGGCCAGCCTAGGCAACATAACAAGACTCTGTCTCTTATAAAACAAAAGTAACAAAAATCAAATTTAATAAGTCATATGACTGTAGTTGGAGTTGGCAATATACCAAATGGCCTTGATATATTTCTATTTCATGGGGTTGGGGTTTTGTAATTGTAATTTTATGATACACTATAAGTGATCAAGTCCTGTGTTACTCTGTTTTTTTTTTTTCTTTTTCTTTTTTGACGGTGTCTTGCTCTGTCGCCCAGGCTGGAGTGCAGTGGCACAATCTCAGTTCACTGCAGCCTCCACCTCCTGGGTTCAAGCAATTCTCCTTGCCTCAGCCTCCCAAGTAGCTGGGATTACAGGCAACACCTACCTCGCCTGGCTAATTTTTGTATTCTTAGTAAAGACAGAGTTTCACCATGTTGGCCAAGCTGGTCTTGAACTACTGAATTCAGGTGATCCACCCGCCTCAGCCTCCCAAAGTGCTGGGATTACAGGCACAAGCCACCGCTACCAGCCACTCTGTTTTTGAAATCTTGTTTTTGGAATTTATAGTTGTCTGTATGCCAAGAAACATAAGAGTGGTGGTACATTGATGTTAGAGTCACAAAGAATTCCAAAGAAGTGTAGCCATTCCATAATAAAGTCCCAAATCTGAACATTATAGGTAAGGAGCTAGTGTAAGTCAGCCTGGTGTGAAGATCTGTGTAACTAATAAATGACCAAAAAAGAAAATGTTTACATGTAGATGGAAAAGGTCAATGAACTCCTCAGACCAGAATCTGGTAAGATGATGAAGTGGGGGAGTCAGCATACTCAGACTACAGCTACTTTACCTCTGATAATTAAAGTTATTCATAATTGCATTTTGGCAAAAGAAAGACTAGTGTGTTTCTAAGCCTTGAGATATAATTAGCTGAAGAAAAATATTTGCATTTGATAGACTGAAATACTTCTAAATTCATGTGGTCATTATTGAAAGAATTATTTTTGTGTATATTGACATAGAAAAATCAATAAAACATAATGCATTTTTATCAAGATCAGTATCAAGATCATATTTTCCTAAGACTACCCATAAAGCTGCTAGAAGACATAATAGGCAATGGCTATAGGTATGTCCAATTGTTGAATTACCTAAAAAAAAGGAGGCTTTGATGGAATGACTGGTATTGGATTAGCCTTCTGTATTAGTCTATTCTCACCCTGCTATAAATGACTACTTGAGACTGGGTAATATATGAAGAAAAGAGGTTTAATTGGCTCATGGTTCCACAGGCTGTACAGGAGGCATGGCAGGGAGACCTCAGGAAACTTACAGTTATGGTAGAAGGGCAAAGAGGAAGCAAACACATCTTCCCATGGCAGCAGAAGAGAGAGAATTAAGGGGGAAGTGCTAAACACATTTAAACACATTTAATGTGTTAAAAGTGTTAAACACATTTAATGTGTTAAAAGTGTTAAACACATTTAAACAACTAGATCTCATGAAAACTCACTACCACAAGAACGGTGAGGAGGAAATTCACCTCCATGATCCAGTCACCTCCCACCAGGTCCCTCTCTCAACATTTGGAACTACAATTCAACATGAGACTTGGGTGGGGGCACAGAGCCAAAGTGTATCATTCCATCACTGGCCCCTCCAAAAACTCATGTCCTTCTCACATTTCAAAGCACAAGCATGCCTTCCTAACAGTTCTCCAAAGTCGTAACTCATTCCAGCCTTAACTCAAATGTCCAAGTCCAAAGTCTCTTCTGAGACAGTGCAAGTCCCTTCTGTCTATGAACTTAAAAATTTAAAAACATATTAATTACTTCCAAGATATAATGGAGGTACAGGCATTTGGTAATTACTCCCATTCCAAAAGGGAGAAATCAGCCAAAAGAAAGGGGCTACAGACCCCATGCAAGTTTGAAATGCAGCAGGGCAGTCATTAAATCTTTAAGCCTTGAAATAATCTTCTTTTACTCCATGTCTCACAACCTGGTGCAAGGGTTGAGCTGTCATGACCTTGGGCAGCTCCACCCCTGTGGCTCTGCAGGGTACAGCCTCCTTGGCTTCTTTAATGGGCTGATGTTGAGTGTTGCAGCTTTTCTAGGTGCATGGTGCAAGCTGTCAGTGGATGTACCATTGTGAAGTCTGGAGAATTGGCACAGTTCTCATACGTCCGCTAGGCACTGTCCCAGTGGGAGCTCTTTGTGTGGGTTCCAACCCCACATTTCCCCTGTGCACTGCCCTAGTAGAGGTTCTCCATGAGGCCTCTGCCTGTGCAGTAGACTTCTGCCTTGACATCCAAGCCTTTTAATAAATCCTCTGAAATCTAGGCAGAGGCTCCCAAACTTCAATTCTTGCCTTCTGTGCACCTGCATGCCCAACATCACATGGAAGCCACCAAGGCTTGTGGCTTGCAACTACTGAAGCAACAGCCTGAGCTGCACCTTGGTCTGTTTAGTCATTGCTGGAGCTGGAGCAGCTGGGATGTAGGGCATCATGCTCTGAGGCTACACACAGCAGCAGGGTCCTGGGCATGCCCTCCAAAAAGCATTTTTTCCTCCTAGGCCTCCAGGCCTGTGATGGGAGAGGCTGCCACGAAGGTCTCTGCAATGCCCTGGAGACATTTTCTCCATTGTCTCAGCTATTAAAATTCAACTCTTAATTATGCAAATTTCTGCCACCTTGATTTGCAACCCAGAAAATGAGTTTTTCTTTTCTACCACATGTTCAGGCTGCAAATTTTCCAAACTTTTATGCTCTGCTTCCTTTTAAAATATAAGCTCTAGTTTCAGGTCATTTCTTTGTTTATGTGAATGAGCATAGGCATTTGGAAGCAGCTAGGCCACCTCTTGAACACTTTGCTGCTTAGAAACTTCTTCCACCAGCTACCCTAAATCATCTTTCTCAAATTCAAAGTTCCACAGATCTCTAGAGGAGGGACACACTGCCATCAGTCTCTTTGCTAAAGCACAGCAAGAGTGATCTTTACGCTAGTTCCCAATAAGTCCCTCATCTCCATCTGAGACCACCTCAGTCTGGACTTCACTGCCCACATCACTATCAGCATTTTGGTCATAACCATTCAGTAAGTCTCTAGGAAGTTCCAAACTTTCCCTCACCTTTCTGTCTTTTTTTGAGCCCCTCAGATTGTGCCAACCTTTGCCTGTTACCCAGTTCCAAAGTTGCCTCCACATTTTCAGTTATTTTTATAGCACTGCCAGATGCCTTTTGCCAATTTTCTGTATTAATTCTCACACTGCAATAAAGAATTACCCAAGAGTGGGCAATTTATGAAGAAAGGAGGTTTAGTTGGCTTACAGTTACATGGACTATACAGTGGGACTGACTGGGGAGGCCTCAGGAAACTTACAATCATGGTGGAAGGCTGAAGGGGAGGCAAGCATGTCTTCACATGGTGGCAGAATAGAGAGAACAAAGGAGGAAGTGCTATACACTTTTAAACAACCAGATCTTATGATAACTCACTATCATGAGAACAACAAGGGGGAAATCTGCCCCCATGATCCAATCACCAGGTCCCTCCCCCAACATTATGAATTATAATTTGACATGAGATATGGGTTGGTGGACACAGAGCCAAACCATATCACCTTCCCTTCAAAAACCACTATAACAATGGGCACAATGTATGAAACAAACATATTCAGGCACTGGATAACCAGCTGTACAGCTCAATCTTTGAGTTAGAGGGAATCAGATTAGGCGGGTGCCAGACAACTATGCAGACAGGTAGAACCCAGAAGATGAACCCTGGTTTCCAAGCTTAGAATTCAGGGCTGCTGAGGTGACCAAATTTGCAGATCAGGTTGATAAAGATCAGGGAACTAACTACTTGGAGGAAGTACTTCATAAATCAGCATGGGGTAGTTCTCACATCTTTGACCAAATAGAGAAGATGCATAAGTTTAGGGCAAAATTTAGCTCCTAGGGAGCTGTGAATTCAGGGGATACCTAGAGGTTGCATGATGCTGGTAGGTATAAGAGTTTCAATGAATCAGAACATGGAAACCTCTTTTTGGAATCTATGGGGCTCATGACACTCTAAATGAATCAGTCTTTGGGAAATAGAGCTAATTTATCACTATAACAGTGTCATCAAAGTGTGATCTATAAACTCCTTGGGATCCCCAAGACTCTGCTAGAGGGTCAGTAAGGTCAAATTTTTTAAATAATAATGTTATTATTGTAATAATAATGTGTTTGCATTTTTTCCACTATGTTAAAATTTGCAGCGATGTTACCAAAACACAGTGAATAAACTTTCTAATACTTTAGCACAATTCAAGGCAGTGGCAACAAACGATGATTGTAGTCATTTTATTCTTCACTGCTCAGAAACTGCGGTATAAAATAACAGTTTCACTTCAGAATGTCCTTGACAAAGTAGTAAAATGTATTAATTTTATTAGCCTCAACTCATGAGTATGCTTTTGAATTATCTGCATAAAGAAATCAGAAGGACGCATAAAAACATTCTGCTGCAAAATAGAGTAAAATGGTTGTCTGAAGGGAAAGCACTTGTATGATTGAGCTGAAGACAGAACTGGCCACATTTTGTCACAGAATAACAATGTTATATGAAATAATGACTGAAAGAAAGCCATGGTTATTCAGAATTGGGCTTTTGGAGCATATATTTTCAATAATGAGTGAAGTAAATCTGTCACTTCAAGAAAACACTTGACGGGAAAAAAAAAAAAACGCTGAAAGGATGGATGAATAAGTGGTGATCCATCCGACAATGAAGTACTCATTAGCTCTAAAAAGAAATGAGCTATCCAGCTATGAAGAGACATGGAGGAAACTGAAACCCACATTACTAAGTGAAAGAAGCTAAGCTACATACATATTATATGATTCCAACTATATGACATTCTGGAAAAGGCAAAACTATGGAGTCAGTAACAAGATCAGTGGTTGCCAGGGTCTGAAGGAAGGAATGGAAAGGTGGAGCACAGAGGATTTTTAGAGAATTGAAACTATTCTTTGTGATACTATAATGGTGAAGACATGTCATTATACATTTACCCAAAACCCATGAAATGTATACCAAGAGTGAATATTAATGTAAACAATAGATTTTGTGTGATTATAATGTGTCAATATGGCTTCACTGATTATGATAAATGTACCGCTCTAGTGGGGATGTCGATAATAGGGGTGTTGAGATCCATTTGCTGAGTCAGCAAGTATATGAGAAATCTCTGTACCTGCTACTCAATATTGATATGAATCTAAAGCAGCTTTAAAAAATAAACCCAGAGACCAAATGTTTGATTAATGGCAATAATTTTTCAGACTTGATAAAGTAGACAAGTTATAGATCTGAGAAGTCCAGTGAATGTCCAGAGAAAAATTACACATTCCACAAAGGAGAACAATGATATCAATAATGACTAAGTGGTCATCAGAAACAGTGAAGGCTTGATGATAATAGAACGACACATTTAAAGTGCCAAAAGAAAAAAAATACCAAACCAGAGTCTGCAAAATTAACTTTCAAAATTGAAGAAGGAACAAAGAGATTTTCAGAAACAAAAAAAAAAAAACAATAATAGAAAATTCTTTGCCAGCAGACCTTTCACTACAAAAACTCTAAAGGCAGAGAGAAAAGGAGAGGGTAAGGAAAGAAAGAGAGAGAGAAAGATAAATACAGCCATGAAAACAACAGCAAAAGGCTGAGTGTTGGCAAATGGAAATGCACTATTACCCAGTTTTAACATTTTACATGAATTGGTAAAATATTGACTCTAAGTAGTCTGCATGAATTTTTGGGTATTTCAAATAATTAATAATAAAAAGCATGTTCTTTCCATAAATAATTACCTTTCTATTTTTACTAAGTTTTCCAGATAAACAGTCATTAGTCCACTAAAACACATTAGGGGCTTTTTCAAAAAAGTGTAAGAGCTCAAAATGGCTTCATTGCCAGATGCCTAGAGATTAGCCTTGTAAACACTGAAAAGTCCCAACACAAGAGAGATTGGTATTTTTGTCTTTACATCTTTACAGTTGTTCACATTCCTGGGCATGGAGTCACAAAATAATAGCATTCAAATTATTTTTAGTTAATATATATTTATTACTGATGACAGCTTAAAAATATCCTAGAAAAAAAATAAAATGTATTTCCTTATGAAAGAGAGGTCCAATTTATTGACTTCTTTAATTTTAGTTCTTTGATTTTTCAAGCTGTTTATTTTGTTTTCCTTTAACCTGTCCTGTTCTCTTTTAGAACTGGAATATTTTGGCAAGCCTAGTAGATTTGCGTGCCTTCCCTCCATCTCCTCATAGAAATATTATTATATATAATATCAACTATATATTTACATACGTATATTTAGATGTGAAATATTTGGGGAATCAAACTCATCCTGTTGTATACCATATGATGAAATAGAATACAAATATGTGATGAGAACATTACTTGAGATCCTGTGTTCCCTAATTGTTTAAAATTATTAGTATTTTGTGTGCATTTTGAGTTACCATTTTTCTAAGGACCTAGAAAATATTTCATATAAATCAATAACAATATGGTTGAGACTTAGGAGAATACTGTAAAATATCTGATGTCTAAATACTTTTAAATCCCATAGCAACATAGGTTAATCTGCTCCTCTTTAGCTTTGTTCCTATTTTTACTTAGTTTTTTTCTCTCTCCTCAGAACATATGCAATAATGAATACTGATAGGAAGAAATGAAATGTTTATTCACAAGTAATACCTCAGGAGAAATTAAAGTTATTTTGAAAATAATACCTTTAAAATACAGGACTGTTTATCCTTTAATTAATTTTATTCATTCAAAATTTATTGATCATCTAGTATATATTCACCTCAACACAAGGCAGTAGGTTTGCTCTCAGAGTACACAATCTTATATAGAGTATAAAAAAGTACAAGATAATGGACTAATTATTATGTGAAAGGAAGTGCAGATTTTATGAAAACAGATAGGAAGAGTACCTGAGTTTAATCTTTGCATCCTGAGACTATAATTATGACTATAATTTATATTTTAAATAATATTACTAATCAAGGTGTTTGACCCACTGACTCATGATATCTAATATCTGATATAATAATTGTCTCTCATTTATGCTTTTGAAAGTCAGGAGAAAATAAAATCTGACATTGGGATAAAAAACAAGTTGCAAATCATGCCAACACTGTATTCATATTCATGTCCTCCCACTGACAAATAAATAATGTTAGCCAAAGGCTTTGCATAAAAGGAAGTCAACAACATTTTGTGTGCAGAATATTTAATAGCAAATTTTAATTTGTTTTTTTAAATTGAATAAAAAAAGAAATAAAGTGTCAGTTTTACATGAATCTTGCCTATTCAGTATCATCCCCTGGTGCTTAAGTTAATGAATTTTAATACCAAAGACTTTTTGGCTGCTTGAAGGCCTCAAAAATCCTCTTAGTGTTACGGTGCTAACACTAAATCATTGAATATATTTCATTATCAACAATGATGATTCAAGAACAAAATTCTAACTGACAGAAAATAATGTTACCTTCTTATAAAGAGTACGAAAGAAGCATCTGTGTCATTCTTTTGAGGTTAACATCTCAATTTCCACATAACACATTACATTAAATAAAATAAACATCATTGCTCACTCACATTTCTATTTCTCTTTTCAAATCACATGGATTTTTTGCTACCTGTCAAAAACATCAAAAAGATGCTCTTACTTAACTAATTTTAGTAATGGTAGTCAAGTTCAGGACAAAAATTTTTATGATCAGGGAGAAAGTTATGAGGTCTGATTTCAAGTGACAGAAATAGTAGAGCTGAAGCTTAAAAAAATCAGGAATTAAGATTTGATGATGCAGGTTCCTAGGACATATACTTGGAGAAACTTGGACTGCAGCAAAGAGAAGGCAAATTGTCCTACCTAGAACATAGTGTGTGTGAATGACTGCATGACAAAAGGAATGGCATTTATTCAATGATGGATCTAAATAAAATAACATACAACAAATTTTGAACTGACCATGTTGTGGTCTTTGCATGTTGACATTCTCATGATTAAATGAGCTGATGCCTCTTATTTTAAAATTATTCTGGGATTATTAGAGTCTGATGAAGTTTCATCTGGTGCATCACCATGCTATTTCCCATAGTTAGATTTTGAAAATAATTTGTTCTTTGATTAAAAATAGAATAAGTCATTTTCAACAGCTACCTAGGCTTCTCTGTCCCTGAGACCTTGTAGGGTCTATGGAAGTCGTGAAAATGGTGACATAAGTAGTTTTCTAATGCTGAAGTGTCATGCACTTCAAGATAATATTCTAGAATTTAGATACAAATTCAAAGAAAATAGGTTTCCACTATAGCACTTTCTTCTTTCTCTTCCTTTCCTACATCTGTCCTCTCTAAAATATTTCATTGCAAATGGCATTCTTGTTAACTATAGAAGGTTCTCTAATGCTGCTGAATATCACGATACAAACACTGAAAAAAGTTCTAGTTTAAAACAGATGATGGTTTATTACTCACAACAATAGCAGTACTCAGAGAAGTGTCGTTTCTACAAGTTCCCTGGGCCCCAATACCCCCAGGGTGACATAATAAGGGCCATGTGACACCTTAACACACTGTGGTTTCTATTACTGAGAGGACATCTAAATATCTTATAAGCAGTGTGGTAGACAGAACAATGGCCTCACAAAGACATCCAACATTACCAAACTTGTGAATATCTTACATGTCAAAGAGCAATTAAGGTTGCTAATCAGCTGACCTTATGATATGTTAAATTTCATGGATTATTGGAGTAGGCTCATAGTAATCATAAGGGTCCTTAAATGTGGGAAGGGAGGAAGAATAGTCAGCTTCAGAGTGATGTGATTTGAGAAAGACTCTGCCTTCTTTGAAGAAGGAAGGGGGACAGCAGGGAATCCAAGCTAAGGAATGGAGGCAGCCTATGGGAGCTAGAAAAGACAAGGACTAATTCTTTCCTAGAGCTTCCAGAAGGAAAGCACTGCTATGATGTTTGAACTCCTGCAATGCTCACAGAAACTGGAATAGGAATGATAATGACTCTCATTTCTCTGATGAAGATGCTCAGGTTTAGAGCAGCTGGTAAGTGAGGCAGAAGATTTTGAACAACTGGTCTTCCTCCAGGGCTTATTAGTTTAACAATTAAAATAATATTTTTGACGTTTTTGACTTTTTTGTTTGTTTGATTCTTGAATTGCAAGGAAAAAATGTCCCGGAAACTATCTTTTGGAAGGTTTTGAAAGACTTTCTTGTATAAGCATTAAGGAATATCTCATAGAACTCAAAGAGCAGAATTGATTCCGGCCTCAGGAATAAACTTGAGCCAGAAGCTTGAATCATATCTGAACACTTGATAAGCTTTTTTTTTTTCAATTTTTCTTCTTAAAAGGAAATGACATCTTGGTTTCTTTGCCCATGACTATAAAATTTATATATATCCAAATTCAAGAGACAAGCTGAACAGGTCAAACAAAAAACACATTTTATTTTTATGACCCCCCACTAAATTATCCTCCAGAAGTTTTCTTCAATTAATACTTCAATCCTCAAATTTGGGAGTGCTCAATTCTGCATATCCTCTGTTAGATTATATGCTTAAAATGTTTGTACATTTCTATGGCTGCAAATGTATTCTATGCACTCATGTTTTAAAATTTTGCAGTTTTTTTTTTTAATTTCGTGGGTAAGACTCACGTATTTAAAGGTTTTTTTTAAAATTGATGTTTTAAAATGCTGTGAATTTCATGGGTATAAATGTGATTAGATTATTTTGTACTTCGCCAAGGTTGACAGTTTTTTAAAATGTTTTCTTCTTTTATTGTATGATTATATCATTTGCCTGTCTTTCCATATTTATCCATTTTGTTAACATTATGAATACATGTAGTTCAATAAATGTAAAACTCTAAATCTACAACTGCCAGATTATTTACCCTTAGAAACAGTAATGGTCATCTCTAATCTAATCTACAAGCTTTGTTGGATCTAATTATCTAATATGTGATAAATTCTCCTCAGCCCTTGATTCTTCCTAAAACATCGTATCCCACTTCATTCCAACTATTCAGTTCCCAGTTCCCTGAAAGACTGACCAGGTGGGATTTCTTAAAACTCGATCCCTCCTGTGCCTGTCCACTGCCAAGTGTCTTTCTCCTGCTATTCTTTGCACATAAATATTCTCGTGCATCCTTCACTTATCAGTGTTCATCCTATTCTGGGTACAAACACAATTTGTCACATTCTGATCCCAAGCATTGATTTAGCTTATCTCACTAAACTGGGTGAGACCTCTCTTGTTTTAACAATTCCAAACCCAATTGTCACACTCAGGGAAGAGGCTGAGATGCCTGAGAAATCCCTTTATTTGTATGGCATAGTTTGAGTAGCTGTCCTCCACTATCAGACTCACTGCCAAAGCTGCTAAGATTGATTATTTTATATTCTGGGGTAATGAGTATTCTGAGACAGCAGACACATATATCCATCCTTCAGAGTAAATTCCAAGTGCTTTATATTCAGTGAATTTTTTATGATGTTCCCCACCTAAAGTTATTTCTCCTTCTTCTATATTTCATAGAAATTTATATCCCTCATTGTGGCCTTTCACTATAATATGAGTGATACCTACCATCTGCTAGGGTCTATAACTCTCCTTGTCCTTTTTTAATCTTTGCATTCTCCATATCAGCCTGCACAAAGCCTTGCTTTGATGTTAAAGTATAACAATTTCCAAATTAAGATAAATAAAATTGTTTTAAAAAGTATCTTTGAGTTATCAAGGGATTTTACTTTTCAAATCAAACATTTCCATACTGTCTAATGTTTTTACAATGAGTAATACTACTTTCATAATCAGAAAGATAAAAATATATATGGGAGTTATTAGGTTTATACTCTAGGGGTAACATTATGAAATAGCTCCAAAAATCATTAAATCTAATTAGAGTAAATTGTTTCAATTATTAGTCTAATATGCTTTTATTGTGCTTCATTTTGAAAATAACCATAAAGAGGAAATGGAAAAATTTTAATTTTTTGTGCCTACTCCCTTAATTAAATTCTATGTTTACTTATTGTGAATATTTCCTTTATTCTTTTGTCATATATTATATATGGTGCACATAAAATAGTCAATGTAATTTTAATAGTATTACTGGTCTTTAGAAAATACTATCTCAGCTCTAGCTCTACAAGGTTTAAAAATTGTGGTTATATTATTAAGTAAAGATAGTATTTCACATTTTTTCCAGTTGTGTTTCTCTCTTACCTTTCTAGTCCTTGAGAATTCAGTCTTTTTTTTTTTTCTTTTTTTGAGACGAACTCTTGCTCTGTTGCCCAGGCTGGAGTGCAATGGTGCGATCTCAGCTCACTGCAACCTCCACCTCCTGGGTTCAACAATTCTCCTGCCTCAGCCTCCCAAGTAGCTGAGAATACAGGTGTGTGCCACCATGCCCGGCTAATTTTTGTACTTTTAGTAGAGATGGGGTTTCGCTATGCTGGCCAGGCTGGTCTTGAACTCCTGATCTCGTGATCCACCTACCTCGGCCTCCCAAAGTGCTGGGATTACAGGCATGAGCCACCACGCCTGGCCGAGAATTCAATCTTTTAGCTCACCTACCCAGTTAACCTAGTTTTCTCATTTTTCTCATAAGCACTAATTCGTTGAAAAAAGTCATAGGCTGTATTTTCTAACTTACATCTTTCTTGATCACTTCTTATTTCCTTTCCTATTTTTTTGCTTCACTAACTTAAGAGGAACCTGGTACACAATATCAAATGAGCAACCCACATCTGCAATAACAACAACATTTCACACATTCTAAAATTATTAACATGTAGTTAATGCTATGCTTATAGCATCAATTGGATGCTTGTCACCCTTTATAAATAAAAATTAATCTTTTTGTAACTAGTTTTCATTGAATATAAAATGTTATCAAAGACATAACATTTTTTAAGCCTGTCACTCTCTTCCCTTCCCCAACACGTTTACTGATTTTATGTTCAAAAAAGGAGAGAAGGCTTTCTGTCTTGGTCATCCCTTTCCTGTGCCTATGGAGCACTTGTTGAAGGAATGAAGTTTTCAGTTCTGGTGATACAGTAGTAAACAAAACAGACCAAAATGCTTGCCATCACAGACCTTAGGTTCTAGTAGAAGGAGACAGACAATAGCAAAATAAAGAAATTTCAACTTAAATATTGCATTCTCAATTTGGACTTTCATAATCACCTGAAGTTTCAACCCTTCCTTGTATGTGATATATATTTTCCTGTACCCTGATTATTCTCCATATAACTTTATCACCTTCTGTATATTTTACTATGTAGTTAAGGTAATAGGAGAAAAGGATCACTCTAGTTGCTTTTTCTGAGAAAATACTGAGGGGTCAAGGACAAGATTTGAGTCAGGGAGACCTGTGAGGAAGCTGTTGCAATAACAGATGAGAGATGACAATGGCTTAGTCCAGATTAGTGGCAAAGGAGGTGTATTAGTTTGTTCTCACGTTGCTACAAAGAAATGCATGAGACTGCTTAATTATAAGAAAAAAAGGTTAATTGGCTCACAGTTCTGCAGACTGTAAGGGAAGCACAGTGGGGTCTGCTTCTGGGGAGGCCTCAGGAAGCTTCAAATCATGGCAGAAAGCAGAGGGGGAGCAGGCTCATCACACGGAGAAAGCAGGATCAAGAGAGCAAAGCTGGAAGATGCATACACTTTTAAACAGCCATACCTCAAGAGAGCACACTCACTATTGTGAAGACAGCATCAAGGCGGATGGTGTTAAACCATTCATGAGAAATCCACCCCCATGGTCCAATCAACTCCCACCAGGCTCTCCCCCTAGCATAGGGGATTACATCTCAATATGAGATTTTGGCAGGGACATGCATCCAAACTATATCATTCTGCCTCTGGCCTCTCCCAAATCTCATGTCCTTCTCACATTTCTAAATACAATTGTGCCTTCCCAGTAACCCCCCAATTCTTCACCTGTTCCAGCATTAACTCAAATTCCAAAGTCTCATCTGAGTAAAGCTAATCTCTTCCACCTATGAGCCTGTAAAATAAAACACAAATTGGTTACTTCCAAGATACAATGAGGGCATAGACATTGGATAAATACTCCCATTCCAAAAAGGAGAAATTGGCCAAAAAAGAGAGACTGTAGGCCCCATGCAAGTCCAAAACACCGCAGGTTAGTCATTAAACCTTAAAGCTTCAAAATAATCTCCTTTGATTCCATGTCCAACATCCAATGCACACTGATGCCAGAAGTGGGCTCCCAAGGGCTTAGTCACAGCTTATAGTAAGTGATGCATACACAAGATATTTTGAAGAAAGAGCCACCACTTCTGCCTTAGACTGTGAAAATAAAGAGGAGTCAAAGATGGCTCCAGGAGTTTTGCTTGAGCAACTAGAATGATGGAGTTGCAAATAAGTGAGATGGAGAAGAATGAAGGAGAGACCCATTTAGGGAATGAGGAAGTCAGGAGTTCAGGCTGATGTATTATTACTAAAGGGAAGTGTACTTTGAGAGAGTGAAGAGTCAGTGTTGCAGGAAAATAATGCATGAGTTCAGGGCCCACTTGAATTTACTAGTTATTAGTTTAAAGTGAGACAAAATATTCACATCATGTGGGGGATTTGTTTTTGCATTTATTATTCTCTCTTTTGACATAGGATGTGGCTCTGTCACCCATGCGGGAGTGCAGTGCTGATCTTGGCTCACTGCCACTTCTGCCTCCTAGGCTCAAGTGATCCTCCCACCTCAGCCTCCCAGTAGCTGGGACTACAGGCACCTGCCACCTTGCCTAGCTAACTTTTTGTATTTTTCGTAGAGACAGAGTTTCACCATGTTGGCCAGGCTGGTCTCGAAATCCTGGACTCAAGGGATCTGCTTGTCTCTGCCTCCCCAGTTGTTCAGATTACAGGTGTAAGCCACCATGCCTGGCCGTGTTTTCTTTTAAACATGTACAACTGCAAGAGTGCAAGGGAAGAGTTGGGATGCTGCTCACTGTGTATGATGAAGTAAGCGAGAGGCAAGGAGGATGAGAATGTTTGCAGGAGAGTGAGTTTAGTAATAACTTATGGATTCTAAACTGGGTAAGTTGAGAAGGGTTCTCAACTTAGCATGGTGAGGGAGACTGAGAAGATTCTGGTGAAGTGGAAGAATTGAGGGCGTTGGGTATGAGAGGGAGTGGGCTTAGATGTGAGAATATGGAGATTCTACAGTTTTTGGTAATACGGTACTCTCCCCTTACCTATGGTTCTGCTTTCTGTGGTTTCAGTTACCCATTTTCAACTGCATTCCAAAAATATTAAATGGAAAATTTCAGAAATAAACAATTTATAAGTGTTAACTGGCTTGCTGCTCTGGGTAGTGTGATGAAGTCTCATACCTTCTTGCTCTGTGAATGCTCCCTTTGTCCAGAGTTCTTGCACTGTATGTGCTACTTACCCATTTGTCAATTAGTAGCTGGTTTGGTTATTGGATCTACTGCTGAGGTATTACAGTGGGTGTGTTCAAGTAACCCTTATTTTACTTCATAGTGGCCCCAAAGTGCAAGCACAGTGTTGCTGGCATATTGCTATAATTGCTCCATTTTAATTATTGTTGTTTATCTCTTACTGTGCCTAACTCATACATCAAATTTTATCACATATATGGATCTATAGGAAAAGAATTGTGTGTGTGTGTGTGTGTATGTGTGTGGTTTAATATTATTCATGGTTTCAGGCATCTACTGGGGGGCTTGGCACATAACCCTCAAAATAATGAGGGACTAATGTAACCTGAACTAATGTATAACCATAGAAGTGAGTGGCTGAATTTGGGTGGAGGAAAAGATCATGGTTATCAAAAGTAATGAAAGTATCTTCTATATGGATACTGAACTCACCAAGAACTGTTGGAGTTAGTGACAATGTACCAGGAACAAAAGCCATTGAAGAATAATGACAGTATGGGGTCTATAGAGGACTGTAAAGAGGAAGGATGGTGAAATTTGATGATGTGAGATTCAAAAATGAACGCTTTCCAGGAAAAGTGACAGAAGAGAGATAGGGACATCTATCCTGCTCCTCAGCTCATGATGTGAGTCACCTAAGAGGGAAAAATAAAAGTCATTGCTTGAAAGGGCTGAAGAAACAATGTATCAAGGGACATACAAGTTGGATTAGAGCAAGAAAGAAATAAATATAGTTATAAATTATATATTTGTAAAAGAAAACTTTATTAATAATTTATATTTCTCTATATATTATAATTTATATTATAATTAAATTTAATATAATTAAATTATATTAAATTTAATCTAATTTGATTATATTAAATTTAATATAATTTAATTATATTAAATTTAATAATATAATATAATTTAATAATATTAAATTTAATAATATAATATAATTTAATAATATAACTAATTTAATAATATAATATAATTAAATATAATATAATATTTATATTATAATTTGTATTTCTATATTTTAGGAAATATTCAAAACTATGCTGATGAGCTACTGACATGTGCTGAAATGCATAGAGCCCTGTTTAATCTGTGGTAGTTACGGACTTTGAGTGCCTATAGGAATGGCAAATTAGTAATATAGCAGTCAGCTCAAGGGAGTGAGTGAGAATACTTGATTAAAATAAATATATGTATTATGACAATACAATATTCTTTAAAAATATATTGATATATTTTCCTAGACATAGAAACTCATACATTTTTCTGTTTAACCCAGAAATATTAACAAAGGCTTTTGTATGTTTGTAGACTATTTAATTAAAAAATGATTTGTGTGAATCATGAATTTACATAACAGTGATCTCACTTAATAGTTTCCTGGATTCAAAAAAATAACCTTGAACCAAGAGTTAACATTAGAAAGGATTTCTGTGAACATATAATAGATACTGTAAGTTTTTGCTGTGAATTAGTAGAAGAGTCAACAATGATGAGTCTCAGAAAGTTATGCTATGTGAAAGAAGACAGCTCCAAAAGACCACATGTTGAATGACGTAATTGACATGGGATATTCAGGAAGGGCATATCTACAGAGATAGAAAGTAGATGATTGGCTGCCTGGACCTGCGGGTGGGGGATGGAGTTTCATGCCAATAGGCACTAAGAATCATTTGTGATAACAGAGAAATTGGATTGAATTTGGATTGTGGTG
Source organism: Homo sapiens (assembly GCF_000001405.40). Taxonomy (NCBI): domain Eukaryota; kingdom Metazoa; phylum Chordata; class Mammalia; order Primates; family Hominidae; genus Homo; species Homo sapiens. Next base: position 166,954,742 of record NC_000004.12, on the reverse strand, counting down.
GAAGTTTATTTAAAACCATTGACTTGTAGAGTTAAAAATGGATACCTTTTAAGGTGGGTATATTATGCTTCAGTAGAAACACAGACCAATGGACTAGAATAGAGAGCCCAGAAATAAATTCACACATATACAGCCAACTGATTTTTGACAATGGTGCCAAGAACACACAATGGGAAAAGGACAGTTGCTTCATTAAATGGTGTTGGGAAAACTGGATATCCACATGCAGAATAATAAAATTAGATGCTCATCTCTCAATATATACAAAAATAAACTTAAATGGGATAAAGACTGAAATGTAAGACCAGAAACTATGAAACTACTAGAAAAAAAATCATAGGGGAAAACTTCCATAATGTTGCTATAGGCAAGAATTGTTTTGAATAAGACCTCAAAAGCATGGGCAACAAAGCAAGAATAGACAGATGGGATGATATCAAACTATAAGCTTCTGTACAGCAAGGAAACAATTAACAGACTGAATAGACAGCCCACAAAATGGGAGAATATATTTGCAAACTATATAACTGATAAGGGGTTAACATACAAAAATGTTATTTTTGCACCAACCTATTATAAAAGGAACTCAGATAACTCAATAGAAAACAACCTGATTTAAAAATGGGCAATATACTTGAATAGATATTTCTTTTTTTTTATTATACTTTAAGTTTTAGGGTACATGTGCACAATGTGCAGGTTAGTTACATATGTATACATGTGCCATGCTAGTGCACTGCACCCACTAACTCGTCATCTAGCATTAGATATATCTCCCAATGCTATCCCTCCCCTCCCCAGCACCCCACAACAGTCCCCAGAGTGTGATGTTCCCCTTCCTGTGTCCCTGTGTTCTCATTGTTCAATTCCCACCTGTGAGTGAGAATATGCGGTGTTTGGTTTTTTGTTCTTACGATAGTTTACTGAGAATGATGATTTCCAATTTCATCCATGTCCCTACAAAGGACATGAACTCATCATTTTTTGTGGCTGCATAGTATTCCATGGTGTATATGTGCCACATTTCCTTAATCCAGTCTATCATTGTTGGACATTTGGGTTGGTTCCAAGTCTTTCATATTGTGAATAGTGCCACAATAAACATACATGTGCATGTGTCTTCATAGCAGCATGATTTATAGTCCTTTGGGTATATACCCAGTAATGGGATGGCTGGGTCAAATGGTATTTCTAGTTCTAGATCCCTGAGGAATCACCACACTGACTTCCACAATGGTTGAACTAGTTTACAGTCCCACCAACAGTGTAAAAGTGTTCCTATTTCTCCACATCCTCTCCAGCACCTGTTGTTTCCTGACTTTTTAATGATCGCCATTCTAACTGGTGTGAGATGGTATCTCATTGTGGTTTTGATTTGCATTTCTCTGATGGCCAGTGATGGTGAGCATTTTTTCATGGGTTTTCTGGCTGCATAAATGTCTTCTTTTGAGAAGTATCTGTTCATGTCCTTCGCCCACTTTTTGATGGGGTTGTTTGTTTTTTTCTTGTAAATTTGTTTGAGTTCATTGTAGATTCTGGATATTAGCCCTTTGTCAGAAGAGTAGGTTGCGAAAATTTTCTCCCATTTTGTAGGTTGCCTGTTCACTCTGATGGTAGTTTCTTTTGCTGTGCAGAAGCTCTTTAGTTTAATTAGATCCCATTTGTCAATTTTGGCTTTTGTTGCCATTGCTTTTGGTTTTTTAGACATGAAGTCCTTGCCCATGCCTATGTCCTGAATGGTAATGCCTAGGTTTTCTTCTAGGGTTTTTATGGTTTTAGGTCTAACGTTTAAGTCTTTAATCCATCTTGAATTGATTTTTGTATAAGGTGTAAGGAAGGGATCCAGTTTCAGCCTTCTACATATGGCTAGCCAGTTTACCCAGCACCATTTATTAAATAGGGAATCCTTTCCCCATTGCTTGTTTTTCTCAGGTTTGTCAAAGATCAGATAGTTGTAGATATGTGGCGTCATTTCTGAGGGCTCTGTTCTGTTCCATTAATCTATATCTCTGTTTTGGTACCAGTACCATGCTGTTTTGGTTACTGTAGCCTTGTAGTATCGTTTGAAGTCAGGTAGTGTGATGCCTCCAGCTTTGTTCTTTTGACTTAGGATTGCCTTGACGATGCGGGCTCTTTTTTGGTTCCATATGAACTTTAAAGTAGTTTTTTCCAATTCTGTGAAGAAAGCCATTTGTAGCTTGATGGGGATGGCATTGAATCTATAAATTACCTTAGGCAGTATGGCCATTTTCACGATATTGATTCTTCCTACCCATGAGCATGGAATGTTCTTCCATTCGTTTGTATCCTCTTTTATTTCCTTGAGCAGTGGTTTGTAGTTCTCCTTGAAGAGGTCCTTCACGTCCCTTGTAAGGTGGATTCCTAGGTATTTTATTCACTTTGAAGCAATTGTGAATGGGAGTTCACTCACGATTTGGCTCTCTGTTTGTCTGTTATTGGTGTATAAGAATGCTTGTGATTTTTGTACATTGATTTTGTATCCTGAGACTTTGCTGAAGTTGCTTATCAGCTTAAGGAGATTTTGGGCTGAGACAATGGGGATTTCTAGATACACAATCATGTCGTCTGCAAACAGGGACAATTTGACTACCTCTTTTCCTAATTGAATACCCTTTATTTCCTTCTCCTGCCTAATTGCCCTGGCCAGAATCTCCAACACTATGTTGAATAGGAGTGGTGAGAGAAGGCATCCCTGTCTTGTGCCAGTTTTCAAAGGGAATGCTTCCAGTTTTTGCCCATTCAGTATGATATTGGCTGTGGGTTTGTCATAGATAGCTCTTATTATTTTGAGATATGTCCCATCAATACCTAATTTTTTGAGAGTTTTTAGCATCAAGTGTTGTTGAATTTTGTCAAAGGCCTTTTCTGCATCTATTGAGATAATCATGTGGTTTTTGTCTTTGGTTCTGTTTATATGCTGGATTACATTTATTGATTTGTGTATATTGAACCCGCCTTGCATCCCAGGGATGAAGCCCACTTGATCATGGTGGATAAGCTTTTTGATGTGCTGCTGGATTCAGTTTGCCAGTATTTTATTGAGGATTTTTGCATCAATGTTCATCAAGGATATTGGTCTAAAATTCTCTTTTTTGGTTGTGTCTCTGCCCAGCTTTGGTATCAGGATGATGCTGGCCTCATAAAATGAGTTAGGGAGGATTCCCTCTTTTTCTATTGATTGGAATAGTTTCAGAAGGAATGGTACCAGTTCCTCTTTGTACCTCTGGTAGAATTCGGCTGTGAATCCATCTGATCCTGGACTCTTTTTTGTTGGTAAGCTATTGATTCTTGCCTCAATTTCAGCTCCTGTTATTGGTCTATTCAGAGATTCAACTTCTTCCTGGTTTAGTCTTGGGAGAGTGTATGTGTCGAGGAATTTATCCATTTCTTCTAGATTTTCTAGTTTTTTTGCGTAGAGGTGTTTGTAGTAATCTCTGATGGTAGTTTGTATTTCTGTGGGATTGGTGGTGATATCCCCTTTATCATTTTTTATTGCATCTATTTGATTCTTCTCTCTTTTTTTATTAGTCTTGCTAGCAGTCTATCAATTTTGTTGATCCTTTCAAAAAACCAGCTCCTGGATTCATTAATTTTCTGAAGGGTTTTTTGTGTCTCTATTTCCTTCAGTTCTGCTCTGATTTTAGTTATTTCTTGTCTTCTGCTAGCTTTTGAATGTGTTTGCTCTTGCTTTTCTAGTTCTTTTAATTGTGATGTTAGGGTGTCAATTTTGGATCCTTCCTGCTTTCTCTTGTGGGCATTTAGTGCTATAAATTTCCCTCTACACACTGCTTTGAATGTGTCCCAGAGATTCTGGTATGTTGTGTCTTTGTTCTCGTTGGTTTCAAAGAACATCTTTATTTCTGCCTTCATTTCATTATGTACCCAGTAGTCATTCAGGAACAGGTTGTTCAGTTTCCATGTAGTTGAGCGGTTTTGAGTGAGATTCTTAATTCTGAGTTCTAGTTTGATTGCACTGTGGTCTGAGAGATAGTTTGTTATAATCTCTGTTCTTTTACATTTGCTGAGGAGAGCTTTACTTCCAAGTATGTGGTCAATTTTGGAATAGGTGTGGTGTGGTGCTGAAAAAAATGTATATTCTGTTGATTTGGGGTGGAGAGTTCTTTAGATGTCTATTAGGTCCTCTTGGTGCAGAGCTGAGTTCAATTCCTGGGTATTCTTGTTAACTTTCTGTCTCATTGATCTGTCTAATGTTGACAGCGGGGTGTTAAAGTCTCCCATTATTAATGTGTGGGAGTCTAAGTCTCTTTGTAGGTCACTCAGGACTTGCTTTATGAATCTGGTGCTCCTGTATTGGGTGCATATGTATTTAGGATAGTTAGCTCTTCTTGTTGAATTGATCCCTTTACCATTATGTAATGGCCTTCTTTGTCTCTTTTGATCTTTGTTGGTTTAAAGTCTGTTTTATCAGAGACTAGGATTGCAACCCCTGCCTTTTTTTGTTTTCCATTTGCTTGGTAGATCTTCCTGCATTCTTTTATTTTGAGCCTATGTGTGTCTCTGCACATGAGATGGGTTTCCTGAATACAGCACACTGATGGGTCTTGACTCTTTATCCAATTTGCCAGTCTGTGTCTTTTAATTGGAGCATTTAGTCCATTTACATTTAAAATTAATATTGTTATGTGTGAATTTGATCCTGTCATTATGAAGTTAGCTGGTTATTTTGCTCGTTAGTTGATGCAGTTTCTTCCTAGTCTCGATGGTCTTTACATTTTGGCATGATTTTGCAGTGGCTGGTACCGATTGTTCCTTTGCATGTTTAGTGCTTCCTTCAGGAGCTCTTTTAGGGCAGGCCTGGTGGTGACAAAATTGCTCAGCATTTGCTTGTCTGTAAAGTATTTTATTTCTCCTTCACTTTTGAAGCTTAGTTTGGCTGGATATGAAATTCTGGGTTGAAAATTCTTTTCTTTAAGAATGCTGAATATTGGCCCCCACTCTCTTCTGGCTTGTAGTGGGCAGACTGACACTTCACACAGCCGGGTACTCCTCTGAGACGAAACTTCCAGAGGAACGATCAGACAGCAGCATTTGCAGTTCATGAAAAACCGCTGTTCTGCAAACACCGCTGTGGATACCCAGGCAAACAGGGTCTGGAGTGGACCTCTAGGAAACTCCAACAGACGTGCAGCTAAGGGTCCTGTCTGTTAGAAGGAAAACTAACGAACAGAAAGGACATCCACACTAAAAACCCATCTGTACATCACCATCATCAAAGACCAAAAGTAGATAAAACCACAAAGATGGGGAAAAAACAGAGCAGAAAAACTGGAAACTCTAAAAAGCAGAGCACCTCTCCTCCTCCAAAGGAACGCAGTTCCTCACCAGCAATGGAACAAAGCTGGATGGAGAATGACTTTGACGAGTTGAGAGAAGAAGGCTTCAGACGATCAAACTACAAGCTACAGGAGGAAATTCAAACCAAAGGCAAAGAAGTTAAAAACTTTGAAAAAAATTTAGACGAATGTATAACTAGAATAACCAATACAGAGAAGTGCTTAAAGGAGCTGATGGAGCTGAAAGCCAAGGCTCGAGAACTACGTGTAGAATGCAGAAGCCTCAGGAGCGGATGCGATCAACTGGAAGAAAGGGTATCAGCGATGGAAGATGAAATGAATGAAATGAAGTGAGAAGGGAAGTTTAGAGAAAAAAGAATAAAAAGAAACGAACAAAGCCTCCAAGAAATATGGGACTATCTGAAAAGACCAAATCTACGTCTGATTGGTGTACGTGAAAGTGATGGGGAGAATGGAACCAAGTTGGAAAACACTCTGCAGGATATTATCCAGGAGAACTTCCCCAATCTAGCAAGGCAGGCCAACATTCAGATTCAGGAAATACAGAGAACGCCACAAAGATACTCCTCGAGAAGAGCAACTCCAAGACACATAATTGTCAGATTCACCAAAGTTGAAATGAAGGAAAAAATGTTAAGGGCAGCCAGAGAGAAAGGTCGGGTTACCCACAAAGGGAAGCCCATCAGACTAACAGTGGATCTCTCAGCAGAAACTCTACAAGTTGAATAGATATTTCTTAAAAGAAGACATATTAATGGCCAACAGATATATGAAAAAAATGCCCAACATACTAATCATCAGGAAATACAAATCAAAACCACAATGAGATATCATCTTTTTACAGTTATAATGGCTGTTGTCTAATAGTCAGAAGATAAAAAAAAATGTTGGTGAGGAAGTGAAGAAAAGGGATCTCTAACACACTGTTGGTAGGAATACAAATTAGTACTCCCATTATGGAAAAATAGTGTGGAGATTCCTCAAAAAAATATAAAACTTGAATTACCATATGATCCAGCAATCTTACTACTGGGTTATATATTCAAAAGAAATGCAATCAGTAAATAAAAGTAATGTCTGCACTCCCATGTTTATTGCACTACTATTCACAATAGCCAAGATATGGAATCAATCTAGGTGTTCATCAACAGATAAATGGGTAAAGAAAATGTGGTATATATGCACAATGGAATACTATTCGACCATTAAAAACGTCCTGTCATTTGCAATAACAGGGATGAAACTGGAGGACATTATGTTAAGTGAAATAAGCCAGGCACAGAAAGACAAATAGCACATGTTCTCACTCATATGTGAACTTTTAAAAAGTTGAGCCCATAGGAGAGTAGAATATAGGTTACTAAAGGCTGGGGAAAGTGGTAAGAAGGAAGGAATGGGGAGAGGTTAGAGAATAGGTACAAAGTTACAGTTAGTTGGGAGAAATAAGTTCTGGTGTTGTAATACCCAGTAGGCTGACTACAGTTAACAATAATGTATATTTCAAAAAGCTAGAAGAAATTGATTTGAATGTTCTCACCACGAAAACAAAAAACCAATAAATATGTGAGGAGCTGGACATGCTAATTACCCTTATTTGATCATTAAACAATATATACATTTATCAAAACATCCCACTGTACCTCATGAATCCGTGCAATTATGACGTGTCAATTTAAAATAAAATTTGTAAAAGAAATAAAAGAAGTAACACAGAGAATGTTTTAGTACAATCTTTAAGCAACAAAACTGGGATCAAAAATTTAATGAGTGCTGGTGAGTTTTATCAGGAAAAACTGTTACGTTTTTCTTTTTTTTAAATTGCCAATGATACTGTAATTGGAATAGCAACATATTACATTCTTAGATCCAATAATCTCATTTGTGAGAATGTTTCCTTAGGAAAATTATTTTCAAAGGTGGCAAAAGTTACATGCAAAACTTTGCTACTATTGGGAAAAATGCTTTAGTAAACAAAGTTCTGCACAGCGTTATAATGAATGAACATTCAGGAAATCATGCAGTATTTGTGCTATGGAATTTTTAGAAAATGATAACGCTCTAAAAGTTTAGAAAATCTGTGTGCAGTATTAGAAAAGGTGATACACTCAGTATGTTAAACTATAAATATATATTCATTGGCCCCAAAATTCAAAAGTTAGAACAAAGCATGGGGCTGTTGGTTGACTATATAATTGCAATATAATTTCTATGTAAGAGATAATGCAAAGTAATAGGAGATGAAAAAATTGTGACTTGTTATTTCAGAAGCACAAATAAGTTAATTTTATATGGTAAAATAATGGGTACTTCTAATTTCTTAAAAAAAAATAGTGCCTAAAATTTGGTCGTTATGGGAGGGTATCAGGTAAAATGCTCAGTGGTATTTTAGGATACATTTTAAGTAAACCTGGTATAGTTAACTTAGAGATGACAAATTGACAAAATTATTGTCCATCTTAAATCAAAATATTTTAGGGTTTTTCATTGGTGATGTTGATTGTTTTGTACTGAACACCTTCATTTATCCATTCGACAATTATGGTATTGTTCATCTACGATGTGCCAGATACTGTTATAGGTGCTATCTGTGAGAAAACGGAACTAGACACCATTCCTGCCCATGCTGTACTTACATTATAGTGTAAAGAGAAAAACTAAAAGCACTAACAAGTATTCACAAAGTAACTAGGATATTTTTTAAAGGACCAAGTGCTATACAAAATGTAGAGTAGGGGAAGAGGGATCCGACATGCCAAAGAGACAGGGCAGGGCCAGAATGCAGTGCTGACGAGGATGATGGTCAGGGAAAGCTTCATTGTGAAGGTGATAGTTAAGCCAAGATTTGAAGTACTGAAGAAGCTAATCGATTGGCTGTCTGGGAAAGAGTATTTTGGGCAGAAAGAAAAGCTAGAGCAAAGGACTTGGCGGCACAGGTTAGCAGGAATATGCTAGCATGCTCATGGAACAGCAAGAAGGCCAACGCGCAGGAGCAGGCTGAGCCTGGGAGCAGACTGAGCCTGGGGTATGAATTAGATGTGCTCTGAAAAATAAGAGTCTGATTATGTAAGACATTGTATACTTTTGTAAGGCCGTTGGCTTTTACTCTGAAAGGAAAGGGGAGCCATTGCAGGGTCTTAAACAAAGGAGTATATGGCCTGAGTTATGTTTTGAGACAATTACTCTGGCAACTGTATCAAGAACATATTGTAAGATGTGGGGGTTTGGAGAGTAAGTTATTACTCTCCAAACTGGGACATTTTTATGAGCAAAACAGAGATAACCAAATGAATTAAGAATGTCCCAGATAAACAGGGCCTATGGTTATCGTAGTTATTCATGGTCCTAACCAATAAATAATAAATATATATTTTTACAAAATGCAAGAAGTTTTGCAGAGTGGTTAGGGCAGACACCTCATTGAAATGGGTTTAAGAGAGAATAGGAGGTTCTTCCTCTTTTACTACTTCTGAACAATTAATCCCTGAAGGCTTTAAGTGGAGCAGAGTATGGGAGGTTTTCACCTCAGGTGGAGAAGGTGTGAAGGCTCGGAACGAAGTATCAATTCCCATGTAGGGTAAGGAGGGAAAACTACACCTGTGTGATCCTGTGGGAGGTTTTGGAGCCTGAACAGTAGAAGCAGGATGTGTTTACCCAGGAACTCCTACTATGAGATGTCAACTATGCCCATTGAGTGATGGTCTTGTGCAGAGGATCAGAGCCCAACTAGGGATGCCATCTAAGCATGAGATATTAGTGGTCAATTGGAGTGAGGAGGGTACCTGCACAGGACACAGATTGATTAGGAGAGGGTGAGAAAATAAGTGGTGATGGCTATATGTTGATGGGTGGCAGGAACAAGAAGGAAATCAGTGTGAAGCTGTAGGCAGAATCTATATGGGAAACTGATTACGTCAAGGGAATCTGTCTAACAGATAACATATGAAAGAAAATCCGAGCCTGGTTTCTTGTTTTAGAACAGAGTTACAAATATGAAAGGGAGGAAGTCATAATAAATCTTGAAGTGTTATATTAGAATCATCATGATTTATAATTTTGAAAACCTATAGTTATAAAAATGAATATAGATGCAAATATAGGTATTTATATGTATATATGGATGTACATAAATGAATGTATTTCCTATATCTATTTACTGAGGGTGCCAGGGAGTCATTACATCCTAATTGTAATGAGTATACCTGGTTCATAGGTCTTGGTTTCTAAATATCATCCTCCACCAAAAAAGGCCAAGGCTTCTTGCAGTAATGGTTGAATCTAAACTGAAACAAAGTTAACAACATGAGCCAATAACATCTTATTGTTCCAGAAAGCAAAGAAGTGCTCAAAGATTGATAGTGGTATATCAAAAGAACACAGAAGTCAGCGTGAAGGGTCTGCAACAAGACATGTGGAAGAATTCAAGCACCATAATAATGATGGTATCAAATTATAACCCACTGAATACAATTGGAAATCATATCAGTAATATAAATAAATGAGTGAATAAAATGAAAATTTGATGAGAAATGGGATATTTACATAGTCTTAAAGTACTTCCACCACAAATACTTTTGAACCACAGAGGGAAATGAATAACTTTAGAGTGAAGAATACTGGAAGATACCACCATAATCTAGTGATAGAAGTTACTGTCACTCTGAAAGGAAAAAATAAATTATGAGCCACATAAGAAGATGTGACAAAAATAATATGTAATTTCTGTGATACTCCTGCCAAAGTTGCAGAACCTCAATCTAATCTTTAAGGAACATCAGATAAACCCAAACTGAGAAACATTCTACAATGTAATTGATCTATAATGTTTAAAGGAATAAAAGTTATGAAATCCACCCCTCCCTCAAGAAAAAAAGAACACTGAAGAACTGTAACTGTTTCAGGCTAAAGGGGTCATTAAAAAAAGTGTCAACTATATACAAAAAGTATGATTCTAAATTACATTCATTTACTAAAAAGGACATTATCGGGACAATGAGCAGAACTCAAATGAGGGTTAGATGGGAGTGATGTATCAATCTTATGTCCTCATTCATATGGTTGCATTGTTGTTATGGAGGAGATATGTCGTTGTAAGAAATACAGACATATTGGGGGAATGATAGAATATCATGTCAGCAACGGATACTCATATATCTATACAATCCCCTCCCTTTGAGGTTAAAAAAAAAGAGACACTTCTCTGTTTTGAAGAATGTTTTTTGTAATTCTTAACATTTTTTAATTTTTTCAAAAAAAATTTTTTTTGAGACAGTCTTGCTCTGTCACCCAGGCTGGAGTGAAGTGGCGCAAACCCGTCTCACTGTAACCTTCGCCTCCCGGGTTCAAGTGATTCTCCTGCCTCAGCCTCCTGAGTAGCTGGGACTACAGGCATGGGCCACTATGCTCGGCTAATTTTTGTATTATTAGCAGAGATGGGGTTTTGCCATTGTTGGCCACGCTTGTCTTGAACTCCTGACCTCAAGTGATCTGCCCACCTTGGCCTCCCAAAGTGCTGGGATTACAGGCAGGAGCCACTGTGCGTGGCCTATTTTTTTAATTAACATAAAATTTCATATATTTATCATGTATCATATAATGTTTTAAAGTATGTATACATGTGGAAGAGTTACATCTAACTAAAGGAAGTGGAGTTTACATGAAAAGCATACGACCACTTTAGTACTTGTCATAGCAAGCCACAATAAATAAGAATATACTTTGAAGTAATACCCTGAAACATTTCAAAATGATATCTCATGTAAGCAAAATAGAAATACATTATGTACTTTTCAGTTTTCCTTAAACATTTTTCCCCTCCAATTCATTATATTTTCACTGAACTGTAAAAAATTGAACAACTACTTGAGGTTTTTAGCCTGACATTTCTGTGTTTTCATGATGTGTCTTCTTTTTGTCAAATTTTAATGTAAACTTTCACTAAATAATGTGATTAAGTTCCAAAACATTCTGACTTTTTACTATTATGTCTCTTTTTTATATTAAGTATTATATCTCTTTTTAACTTACTTTATGCCTGCAGAAGATATGCATGGCTCAATGTGTTTTCTCACTGCCTGGGGACTCCCAAAGAAATGCCTATGACCAGTAGCTATGAGTGGCCGGAAATCAATGTTTTCCTATAGGTGGACATTAAACAGATATCTGTACTCCAAACACCTTGGAATTTGTTTAGAAACTTTACAGAAGCAATTATCACTTTATCATTTTTAAAAATTCTCAGCACTAGAATTTGAAGTGTGCTATAAAATGTTTTTTAATTGGTGTGTTCTTGCACATGTTAATGTAATGCCCTTGAAGAGCAAGCTGTCAAGAAAACCAAATAGAAATTATTGAACATTTTGTTAAAATGACACAAAAACTATTTACATGGAATGCAATGTTTTCTTCTTTCCTGGTATGGAAGAAAAAAAGACAGAATATATGCACACATTTTCTCCCAAACTAACTAATATAAACAGCTTCCACATGTCAAAGTTTTACATAATGATGATTCTAAAATGACTTAAAATTGCAACAAGTCACTTTCATTAAGCCATGAATATTGAATAGTAATTATTGCTTAATAGACTTTTTATAAGACACTATTTACAGTACAGCTGCTAAGTTGTTATAAATTCTTCTTGAATGTATCATGCAAATATCAACACCTGTGATACTTTCTAAGTGTTATGCCAAATTCTATAGGGTATTCTTAGTCTAATCTTTTCTACCCCATTGCTTTTGAGTTTTTGGCTTATTTACATTCTTCTTTGCATTTCACCTCAAGAGAATAGTATCCATTTATTGAAATATATATAGTGTTCTATGAAAATTGGAGGTTGTTTTGAGGGAAAGGATTTCTCAGTATTTCCAGAGTTCATGTCGCCTTTGCTTTAACTTTTGTGTTTTTTTTTTAACTTTTGTTTTTTTTTTTTTTTAAGTGGAGGCCAAGGCAGGTAGATCACAAGGTCAGGAGATCGAGACCATCCTGGCCATCACGATGAAACCCCGTCTCTACTAAAAATACAAAAATTAGCTGGGTATGGTGTTGCGCTCCTGTAGTCCCAGCTACTTGGGAGGCTGAGGCTGGAAAATCACTTGAACCCAGGAGGCAGAGGTTTCAGTGAGCCAATATTGTGCTACTGCACTCCAGCCTAGTGACAGAGCAAGACTCCATCTAAAAAATAAAAAAAATTAAAAAATCAAGAAATGGAAATGGAAACACCGAGTGACCTATACTCAAATAGTGCATTTATTAACCACATTTTAATGTCTAGTTATATTTTGTTAGAAAGTCTAAGGGAGATACAGTAACATTTAAGTGTTTATAAAGTTATGTATTAAAATATCAAATGGCATTATAACAGTTTTTTTTATTTCTGTATAACAAATTACTGGAAAACTTAGTGGCTTAAAACAGCAAATACTCATCTCAGTTTCTATGAGTCAGATGTCTGAGTGCAGCTTAGCTGGGTGCCTTTGGCTTAAGGTCTCTCATGAAGTTGTCTTCAAGCTTTGGCTAGGCTGGAGTCATTTCAAGACTGCCTGGGGCTGAATGATTCACATCCAGGCTCATCACACGGTTCCCTAAAGGCTCGGTTCTTACTATGCCCCGGGAACTCACTACAGGACTACTCACACCGTGGCAGCTTGCTCCTCAGTGCGAGTAATTCAAGAGAGAGCAAGAGAAAGTGAGAACCCACTGAGGGCAACCACAGTCTTCTTGTAACCTAATCACAGACATTTCAACACGATTGTCTTCTGTATATTAGAAGGAAGTCAGTGAGTTTAGCTCACACTCAAGGGGAAGGATCACACAAAGGTGTGAACCAGAGGCAAGGATCACTGAGGACCATCTTAGAGGCCAACTACCCACAGATATTAAAATGTTAAAAGGACAACACTGTATTACAAAAAAACACAAAATCCCCTCTTGGTAGATATTTTAGCTTTCAGACTGTAGCTGGAAGGAATAATACTGCAATTGATAAAAAAGGAAACAGTTACAAGACATATGAGATAAACTCTCTTCTAATGGTTCTGTGTTTCATCCCGGAGTTAATAACCAAGATGTCTTTCTTAAATTCACTTTTGCTAATCCCAAGGACAAAATCATGACGGAAAAGGATCCATTTTTTTCTGTTTCTCTTGTCCACAGATTCTAAGTTTACTTTCTTATGGTTTTAAATTCCCATAGAAATTGACCAGCTTTTTTCTACATTCTTGGGAGGCATAAATTGATTGGCCTAGCTTCTGGCTGACAGCCCTCCTGAATCTGTTTTAACTGTGACCAAACGTGACTGTGCTGATGGCTAATGTGACACCTTGGTTCTTGACTTCTTGCTTTAAAAGAATTTAAACAAGAGATGCACAGCAAAAGAAGTGCAGCATAGAGTAATTTACTGCAAAAGAAAAATAATATTTGGAAAATTAGGTGCAGAATAGACAGTTCATCCTGAAAGGGAGGGAATTCAGGATGGGCTGCTCATAAGGATGAGACAGCAAAGATCAGCACTCGGGAAACTTCCTTAACAGGGTCTTACGTTCTTCATAAGGAGGTGGGAAGAGGAGTTACCAGTAAGCACTAGTTGCTTACTAGTAGTAGCAACTAGTGCTTACTTGCTAATAACTCCTCTTCCCACCTCCTTATGAAGAATGTAAGACTCCTGTAAAGGAAGTCTCCCAAGTGCTGATCTTTGCTGTCTTAGGTTCTGGGTGCACATACACAGTAGCTGTACAAGCTTGTTCATATTTCACATATCTCATTAGCATCTTAAATCTCTTCCTAGGGGTTTTTTATTATTACAATGAGCAAAGGGTCAGTTTGAGGACAGGTAAAATCAAAATGCACATGCTGTCTAGAAGAGAAAGTCTCTACCGAAGATAGCTTTGCTTGAATGAACTGAATTACAGTGCAAATGCTGAGGCCTATTGTGTTGATTGTACGGTCACCATGGTTGCTGCCTCCCAAGAACATGGTCACTTCCTTGACTCCCTATCCTGCCTCAGATGCAGCATCCACATCTGTTTGTATAGAATGGTCAGTTTCTCTGTCGCGGACTTCGGTAGGGAGGCTGTAGTGGCTGAAACTCAGGCCAAATCACCTTGTAGTTTTGAGAGAAGAGAGGATGTTGTAATCTAGGCTCATACTCAAAAGGTAATTTCTAGATATTATTATATCATCATAGTCAGAAGGATAACTGAATCACCAGAACAAATATTTCTTCTCTCTTGAAAATCATTCCTAGATTGTTTTAGCAATAGTAGAAAAGATGTCATTGACCAGTCTGACTGCTCACCATGCGTGACTTATACACTTGGTCATTGCATGTTCATGTCCATTTTCCCCATGTATTTTATTAATCCCATTTTAAATATCTTTCCTTTAGTAATGCAGAAAATGTTATTTTTTTGAATCATTAAATCAAGTTATCTGTTTATTGCCAAATAAAACCTGGAAAAAAGTAACTCAACTAAAGAATTTTTGCCTTATGTGTTTCTAGTTTCTCTTAATTTTATATTTCTAGTACCAATGGCCTTAAACAAGATAAATAAATTCAATTATGTTTACCAATTTTGTTGGAAATATATTTGTTGGAACAGCTTTTCCTCTATTAAACAAAAAGATAATGTGATTTATTATTTACAGTGTTATGATCAAGACTCTGGTTTCGAACTATTTTAGCAAGACCGAGGTGACTAGATAAGATCAATTTAGAAACCAGTTAGCAGTTAATGAGCTCCTACTATGTATTATATGTGCTACAGCCTCTTCCTCCCAGCCCAGTAACAAACATAGACACATTTTATTTGCCAAATAACTTCTCTTCCTGCAGATCCCAACTCAGGTATCATTTCCTGCATAGAACTATGGATTTCCTTCCTTGTACTTTGGTAGTCACAATTTTACATCTATTTGGTCTTCTTTAAAATTCACAATTCTTCCCACCCTACTGTTATCTTCATAAGAAGAAAGTTCTTATGATATCTGTTTTTATTGCTTTGTTCTTATTATTTTATTTATGCTGAACTCTTTTATCCCCATCATCTTGTATAGCTTATTTTGCAGAATAAATAATAAGTAAATATGTATGGAAAGAATAAATGAAAAAAAAGAATGAATCCAAGTTATGGGTATGATATTAACTCTTAACTGCATTCTCCAAGTAAGTTTTTGCAATCTATTTTCATTCCCATCAATTCCATCACCTAGTTTTTAATTATATTACATTACTAAAATCCATCCTTTCTTTCTGAGGGTCACTTTGGAAAAAGAAAGAATCTATGTTCTACCAAATACTAGCTTCTAGTAGGGCAAGCATGCCATTTAACTGTATAGAGCCTCTATCTTTACTTTGTAAACATGGATTATAATACGTACAAACATATAAACATGTTTCATACATTTCATAGGATTTAAAGAGAATCTGTGTGTGTGTGTGTGTGTGTGTGTGGTGTGTGTATGTGTGTCTTTATATATCTAATCAGACAAACAGTAGATTCTCAAAAAAGGTTGGTGTTCTTATTCATAACCACTGATATATTTGTCTTTGCACATTAGCACCTCTTTTTTGGAACTCTTTTCTTCTTTAACATCTGTGGTATCACACTATATGATTACTATATATGTATAGTATGATTATTCTTTTATTTAACTAGAGTGTGACTGGTAGTATGTTATGTTGTATTTATTTACTGACTAAATGTTGATTATGTTTTTTCTATTCTCTTCATTTCCTTCTCTTTTTTTCCTGTCTCCTGTGTGTGCATGAAATAATATTTTTATTCTTTTCTCCCCCATTCTTTTTCTTAGAGATTTCATTTGTATCTATAAATTAAAATAATGGCTTCACATTTTTATCATGAATTCTAAAACTTTGTACTTATGTGCTTTTCTGAGTTTGTTATAAGTTTGCAATTACCTACTAAACATTTTTTTTACCAGATTGATCACCAGCATCTGAAATTCAAAATGTCTTTAACTCAAGTAATTATGAATGTATACTTCCTGTATTCATATTCATTTTCTAGAAATATAATTTTACATTTCCCAAATCAAAACTTCAGAGGAAACTCATTCTTGCACATAATCAATGGCAAAATTACATCAATTTCTCTTCCCAAGCGGTTTTTACACCTGCTCCTTCCATAGTTTTTCTCTGCCTTCCACTTTTGTATTTGTATTAATTTATAGCTTAGCAATCCTTTAACTACTTGAGAGGATTCCCTCTGTCATTCTTCAGATGACACTGCATTAATTTTTCAAAATCACTTCTAGTCATCTGTTAAAAAAGTTCTGCTTAAAAATACAAACTCATGGCTGGGCACGGTGGCTCATGACTGTAATCCCAGCACTTTGGGAGGCTGAGGCGGGCAGATAGGGTGGATAGGCCGAGGTGGTCAGGAGATTGAGAGCTTTCTGGCTAACACGGTGAAACCCTGTCTCTAGTAAAAATATTAAAAAAAAAAAAAAAAGAGATTAGCCGGGCGTGGTGGCGGGTGCCTGTAGTCCCAGCTACTCGGGAGGCTGAGGCAGGAGAATGGCGTGAACCCGGGAGGCGGAGCTTTCAGTGAGCCGAGATCGCCCCACTGCACTCTAACTCTAGCCTGGGCGACAGAGTGACACTCCGTCTCAAAAAAAAAAAAGAAAAAAAAATAGAAAAAAGAAAAAATATATATAATCTCACATTACTTTAGGGATAAGCTTGAAACATCTTTACCTAATAATCAAAACTCCAATTATCTCTCCAGCTGTATTTCTTACAACTTTTTGGCTTGAAGAAATTTCTCTTTTAGCTCAACTGGAACAACTACAATTACTGAAAATGGTTTTCACTGGAAATACCATATATATAGTAATATATAATATATATTATATAACATATAAATATATGCTTCTAGAAATGTATGTGCTAGAAATAATCAGACAAGAACTCATAGATGTATGGAAAAGGAGTGTTTATCACAACATTGTTTTAATAATCATAAATTATAATTATATATAACATATAATATATACGTGTGTGTGTATATATATGTATATGTATATATACACCTTACACATCATTCATAGCCTTGATCAAATGCTACATTTTCTAAGATTCTCCATGGTAATCCTGGGAAAAATTACTTTCCTGATTTTTAAAATTTCCAGAAATGTATTACATTTATTTTCTAGTCACGACTTGATGCTTATTGAAGTTATGGTTTCTGCTGCATTAAACACTTGTGCCTCTCAAGTGCTTATTTTTGGTATCTACCAAAAATCTACCTTTTGTTGTGACCAGGACAAATACTTGGGTTGTAAAGCAAATCTCAACTATTTATTCACACTATGTTCTTACACATAGTGAAATTCAGCTAAAATCAATCAATTAAAAAATAAATAAATAAGTTCTCAATGTGTGAATATCAAGGAATATTCTTGTAAATAACCCATTATCAAAGAAAAAGTTACAATTAAGGTTAGAAAATATTTCAAACTGAATGAAAATAAGATTATCAAACATGAAAATATGAAGACATTTGGAATATAGATAAATTCGTGTTAGTGAGAATCATATAACCTTAAATTTGGTATGTTAGAAAATTTTTAGAAAGTTGAGAATTATCATTTTAAGTATTTAACTCAAGACAGTAGAATAAGAATCAGTCATTAAAACTAAAAGTAGAAATAAGGAAATAAGAAATGTAAGATAAATCATTAATCAAATAGAAATCAAATACGTAGTAGAGAAATTCAGCTCACCTAAAGCTGGTTTTAGGGGGAATTACTAATAAAAAAGATTTATCCCTGTAAAGAAAAATAGACAAATCTCCTATCAAATATGGGAAAAGCTGTGCCACTGGATAACTAGAGATCCTACAGACATTAAAAAAATCCTAAGGGCTAATTACCAACCACTTTGCTGTAATAGATTTGGTACTTTTGGTTAAATGTACAAACTTCTAGAAAAATTTATCTTATCTCATTCAAAACAGAAATCTCTAGACATAAGTGTTTTCCTCATTAATTATTTTAAATATTTAATGATGAAAAACAAATATTGTATACATACTTCTAATTAATAGGATTTTAACTTTTAAAAATTAATTGTGATTAATTAAATTAAAATCAGACAAGAACTTTTTAAAAAGTATATGTTAATATTGCTTATGAATACATATGTAAATTCTTTTTTAAAATTAGCATAGTCAAGCCTATGTAAAATGATAATGCATCACAGCTCAGTATTGCGTATTCTAAGAAAATAAGCCAGTTTGGTTTGAAATCCAAAAACTAGTCAATGTAATTAATACAATAAAAGAAATAAAACTTATAATCTTCTCATTAGATGCAGATATTTATTAAATTTCAATACCCCTCAATACTAATTCATGATTAAATGTCTTATGAAACCAAAAATGGAAGGAAAAATCTGAACTTTCCAAACCTGACCTTCTCATACAAATTCAATTAATTCTAGCTCAATCCTTTTAGTAATTCATCATGATCATTTTTTATTATATACCACATCTAACCTTTAGGCAAATGTTGTTATCTCTATCTTCAAAATATATTAGAATGCAGCCACTTCTCATCACCTCCACTGCTATCACTTTTGTTTAGACCACCGTCATGTCTTGCCTGTGTTAATGGAATTACTTCCTAACTATGTGGCTTTTTGTGTCATCCTTGTTTTATTGTACTTTTGTTTCAGTCTACACAGCTGAGAGTGATCCTTTAAAACTCCTCATATTAACCCTTATGCTCAAACTCTATAACGATTCTTCTTATCACTCAGGGTAAAAACCAAAATGGTTTTTACATTTACAGTGGTTAACATGACTTTGTCAAGAGCTGTGGAAGTTTTGAAATTTTACCCTACTTGCAAGCTAAAAGTTAGCCTGTTATTGTTTCATGAACACTGGCAGAAAGCATGAGATTCCTGGCTTTGTTAAACTAGAACTTTATTAAAGCAAAAGCTGTAACCAGAGCTTCATGTTTGTGTTGGTTCCCCATGTCCCAAAGTTCCATGGGCACAGTACTCATGCTGAAATGGCTACCATTTCGCCCGTTGGACTGCAATTGAGAAGAACATCGAGCTTGGAGTTTTGCCACTTTTATTGTAAGTGGGAGCAAGCCTGCCCTTTGCTGAGGGAGATATTATCTCAAACTCATGGTTGTTGGATGGAAATTCAACCCCAGGAAACAGTTGGGATAAGGAACAGTCAGGGCCTGTTCTTGGCATACCCCAAGGGAAAGTACAGGTGGCCAAGCCCCATGGTGGATTGACTCCCTCCACAGCCCCGTAAGTCTGAGCTTCCATTACATTTCTGACCTTTTCTTCTACTATTTATACTCCTTGCTTATCTGAGGTTATGCTGCCCACTTGCTATCCCTCTAACAGGTCAAGCCGACTTTTTTGCTTCTCAGAGTGACTTTACTCACAGTTTCCTCTAATTGGAATTTTCATAGATTCTTCCTTCACCTCCTTCAGTTTTTTTTTTCTTTTCTCAAATGTTAACATTTCAGCTTTTAGCTTTCTATATAAAAGTGCAACACAACCACTTTTGCTTCTTTGTTTGTCTTCAAAGTACTTATTACCATTTAAACTGCCTTTCTGGAAGGCAGTGAAATGGAGCAGGAAGCATTTCATCTTTGATTTGAAAATTTGCTTCTAGAAATGTATGTGCTAGAAATAATCAGACCAGATCTCATAGACGTATGGAAAAGGAGTGTTTATCACAACATTGTTTTAATAATCATAAATTATTATTATAAATAAACATATATAGAGATCACATAGATTATTATAAGTAAACACATATATAGATCATTTCTAAATACATATATGTACCAAACAACTGGCACGGGGTATCTTTGGGTGGTGATATTAAGTGTGACTTTTCTTTTCTTTCATTTTTTTTTTGAGACGGAGTCTCGCTCTGTCGCCCAGGCTGAAGCGCAGTGGCGCGATCTCGGCTCACTGCAAGCTCCTCCTCCCGGGTTCTCGCCATTCTGCTGCCTCAGCCTCCCGAGTAGCTTGGACTACAGGTGCCCCCCACCACACCTGACGAATTTTTTTTTTTTTTTGTATTTTTAGTAAAGAGGGGGTTTCACCGTGTTAGCCAGGATGGTTCCATCTCCTGACCTGGTGATCCACCAGTCTCGGCCTCCCAAAGTGCTGGGATTACAGGTGTGAGCCACTGCGCCCGGCCGTGACTTTTATTTTCTTATGTATGTGGTTTCATAATTTCTTGCTATTCCCTACTATTTTGAACTCATTTTTCTCCATTGTTTTCTTTGTATTTTGTTATATGGCTCATATTTTTCCTCCTCTTTTCATGCATTATTAAGAATTATGAAGAGTTTGAGATTTTACCCTACCTGTAATCTAACAAATCTGCCTGTTTTCATTCTATGGATGCTTGTAAAACACTCCTGGGTCACAGATAGAGGACCTGATTACCTGTGAAACAGAAGGCAACATGGAACATCAGCATATTTATTCACTCCTCTTGTTCCTAGTCCCATGGGGCAACATGGCTGGACCCAGCCAGATACCTGCACACACCATGGATTTCATTGCAGGAGAAAGATCCTGAACTTAGATAACCAAGAATTTTATAATGGTAGTAAGCCTCCCTCTGTTTTACTCTAGAGGGAAACATTATATTTATTATAAAGGACAGTGAAAAATTATGCCCTTTCTCTCAGAGGAAAGCCTTATCTCTATGTTCTAAGTCTCTTTGCAAATTTACTCTTCCTCGAAAAGATTTTCTAGCAGAGCAGTTGGTGCCTTGCTATAAGATGAGCAGACATGGAAGATTCACATGAATTGTCTCCTAACATTAATAATACATGTTAAATAATAATAATAATGATAAATTTCCTATTTGGAAAGAGAATTGAGATTTCCTGTGAGAGAGAGGTGAGGGAAAAACATAACTTTCTGAAAGGAATTTAACCATTCAGGGAGGGATTCCCTGTGGAACCAGCACTTGAGCTGAGATTATGGCTGGGCATCCAGAGCCAGAAAAGCAGAGTGAGGGGAGAGGTGGGGAAGTCAGGCAATGCCATAGCTCCCAAGTAAGGTGAAGGCCTTCTTTGTTTATGTAAATATCAAAAGGAAGCCGTTAAAAGTTTAATTATAGTTTTTTGGTTATTTGGTTATTTCATTTTATCATTTTTTAGCAAGAGAGTGGCAAAATTAGATTATCATTTGAAAAAGCTCTTCTAATTTTGGCATACAGAGAGTCAAAAGGGATTCAGAGAGCTCCTTTAATGTTATTTGTAGTATCATCATTTTAATATTGTATTAATGAAATTTATTTATGTTTGAAGTTTGAGTAAATTTGGCAATCACATTAAAAAAATTCCCCCAAAATACCTTCTGAGCAAATTTATTAATGCATGGATTTGTCACTGCTTTTATACTTACTAGGATTCTTATTACAAGTATAAATTGCTACTTACATTGATTATTATATCAACAATCAACCTGTTACATGAAAATCAGAGGGATACTAGACACACAATAAATCTTTCCCCTATCAATTAGATAGTTCTTAAAATCAATTTAGTTTGCCAGAAAAGCACTTTACTTTGTAATATCCACAGATAAAGAAGCAGAGTGAATAAATTAAGCAAGTGAATTTTTTTAACCTCTATTTATCTATCTACTTACCTGTGCATCCATCCATAGATCAAAGAGACTACATTCTCATGAGGTTGAATTAAACAATTAATTTAAATTTTTTTCTCCTAGATTTTGTTTCAGTGAGAAACAAATCAGTTGACATTCACCAAATTGGCATTTTTAGCAACAAAAATCTCCCAACATTACATTTTATTATAAAACATAATACAACTTCCAAGGAATTCACTTGTGGCTGGATTTTCTTAAAGAAAGTTTGTTTAATAACAAGGTTCATATCAAAGATAAATTATCTATATTGGCTTAATTATCATATTGTTGTTTATAGCTTTAATGTTACCAGGATAAATACTTGGTCTGTATTTGAGGGAAAAGCATGATATTATGTGAAGGATATCTGACCACTTGTGTAGGAAAAAGGCTTTTGGTAATATGACTGAAGATTTATATCCAAGAGTACACACTTTAGGAATTTTCTTGATAAAACAGATATGATACTTTCCCATTATTTCCAGAATAAAATAATACTGATTAATAACTCATGGGACATTTTTGGCTGTCTCTTTTATACATTAACTGTGGTCTTACTGAACATTGTTAAGTTAAATAATGCAATGAGTTAACATACTTTCAGGCTTATTACTATGGTTCAGGGATGTATTCTTAAAATATGCATGTCAAATGCATTATTCTGAAAGCAATAATGGTAATAACTGAAATTTGTGTTTCTGTCAATACTTAGAAAACATCACAATTCTTATTTTCTTCCTCTGTATTTCTATATTCATGGACTTTAAATGTGTAGAAAGTAGGACACAGGAGAAGTGTCACGAAAGGAAGAGAATAAAAGACCTAAAATACCAAGAGTAATAGGGAAGGTCCAATAGTAATGGAGAGGGCACATCCATTTCCCCAACAATTTTCTGCCTAATGCCTATTGAGATCCTGATACTGGCCGCTCCTTCTCTCTAAAGAAATGTAAAACATTTAACTATGTCCCTGTCCTAAAATCAGAATTAGAAAACATAACACAAGTGATCAATACTTGGGAAATGAACTTTAGAGTGAAAATAAACACAAAATATAAATTGAATGCTCTAAACAATGAAATGGAGGTAGATGAAGAATAGATACCAATTATTGTCTATTATTCACGGTTTTTAAAATAAATATTTTTGAGCACTTATGTATTACAGAGTATTCTAGTCATAGGCATAGAGTAAATTAAGATATGCATAAATCTCTGTTCAAAAGGAACTTATATTCCAGGGGAATAAAATTATAAACAAAATTAATATGTAAAGAATATAATATTAAATATTAGGTAAACTAATGTGATATAGTTTGTTTTTTTATGTGCACCAGTGGATTGTTTTAAAGCAATATTCTAATTGCAGGGCTAAAAGCAACTCAAAGGTTTTCTTGCCCCCCCACCCCCCACACACACCTAGAGTAGTGTGTTTGTATGCATATAGAAAATTGCCTCTGGGCCGGGAGCGGTGGCTCACGCCTGAAATCCCGGCACTTTGAGAGGCCGAGGTGGGCAGATCACTTGAAGTCAAGAGTTTGAGACCAGCCTGGCCAACATGGTGAAACCCCATCTCCACTAAAAGTGCAAAAATTAGCTGGGCGTGGTGGCGGGCGCCTGTCATCTCAGCTGCTCGGGAGGCTGAAGCAGGAGAATTGCTTGAACCTGGTAAGTGGAGGTTGCAGTGAGCTGAGATCGCACCACTGCACTCCAGCTTGGCGACAGAGTGAAACTCTGTCAAAAAAAAGGAAAATTGTTTCTGTGTGTAGGCAAATAACTACAAGAAACGTAGAATGAGACATTAATGAAACCCCTAAAATAGCCCACTTACCCGTTTTGGCAAATGACAAATTGACACATTTATATGTTGAGTAACAAATCTAGTAAGTGACTGTGTTTTACATTTAAAACTTAATTTTAAAAAGTGATATTAGGAATCTTATTAAAAATGTAATATTCTGGGACAAAAATAAATTGATCTCATGGACATACGTTTTATAGGATAATGCATGCTAACTTCCTGTCTATGCTTTGCCTTATGATCACTTGACAGGAAATGCAAATGTTTTCCATAAGTGCCTTCTGTGGTAATTTAAGTGTCTGACCTTTTCATCATGTAGTAATTTATTTTTAGTCATTTCTCTTTGATGTATTGTCCTCATGAAAGGTTGCTTTTTTCTCATTTTTATGGTGCCAGCAGAATTATTAAAGAGTTGTCCATTGAACTGTGACTATCATTGTCTTTTTTTTTTTAACAAGGGTAGAATACTGAAAGGATTTATGTCAGTTTCATAAGACTAGCTCCTTTCTACAAAAATACACTTGTTGCTTATAATGACAGAGGAAACTACCATAATCAATGATGATTAAAATGACCTACACACATATAGCACAAATAGTAAAAGAGGTATGTTGACAGCTTTTATATATGTAAACATGTATTACTTTGTGTTTATGGCTCAATCTTTACTCCCCTTTTTCTTC
Source organism: Homo sapiens (assembly GCF_000001405.40). Taxonomy (NCBI): domain Eukaryota; kingdom Metazoa; phylum Chordata; class Mammalia; order Primates; family Hominidae; genus Homo; species Homo sapiens. The sequence goes on along the minus strand of NC_000004.12, from coordinate 166,930,257 downwards.
CCTTTCATCTCCAATGTTTTGAGGGAAAAATATGTTTTCTTTGTAATTTTATTAAAACTAGTTCCTTTTTTTTACAAAGATTAGTTATGCTTCTAGCAAAACATTTTTTTATAAACAAAGTCAGTCGATTATATCTAGCAGAAAAAAGATTCAATAAAAATAGTATATAGAATTAAGGAGTCAGAGAGCTAAAAGTTTATTAGAAAGTATTCCAAAACAAAATGACTCTACATCATGGTTCATTTTCCTCATTTGAAACTTTAAGTATGTCATTTTTTAAACATTATTTAGATGAATAGTTCTTAACAGACTAAGTAAAGACCACTACATTTTGCTATGATAGTTATTATAACTTTTAATTGATGCAAACATTATACATATAATCAAATGTTTAAAATTTTTTAATTATGTTCTCACATGTATTAGACTAATAATTTACATATCTTAGACTAATAATTCAAGCTAAGTAGGGTGTGGGGAAAGGCTAAGAGGAAAAATCATATAGCTAATGGATATCGTATCTTCCAGTTGAGCAAGGTGAGTAGTATACATCTTGTTTTTATACTTAAATGAAGCAACACCTCCCAAAAGCACTCAAGAACTGAACAGATAGTGGAGAAGGGGTTCTTGAATTTATGAAGAATCTGCATAAAAATGGGAGATTTCTGATGAAAACAATTACCAGGATTCACAAAATCACTATAAGGATATTTAAGCTACTGAAATCTTGCTCTTTGGAGTTAATCCCCCTGAAATCTTCTAGGGAGAAAATACTGATCCCAACTTTGAAAATAAAGGAGTTTAATAACATTGATCTACAATCTATTTGCACCTACATTGTGAGCACAATCAAGAAGGAAAAATTCAAAACATTCAGTTTCTGAAGCACTTTGACAGCTCTGGGAAGATTTAGAATATGCATGAAAATCATCAAATTACTCACTTCTGCAGTGGGAAGAAATAGGAAATTACCCCTAAACTAGTATTCTCAGAGCACTAAACCATCAATTCAAACCAGAACACCTCTGCTATGTGTTTTAAACCTAAAGCTAACATTCTGCCTTTCTTTTTAAAATACTTACTTTTTTAGAGCTGTTTTGGTTCACAGTAATACTGAACAGAGGGTACAAAGATTTCCCATGTACCTACTGCCCCCACACATTGCAGAACCCTCCCCATTATCAACATACTCCTCCAGTGTGGTGCATTTGGTACAGTCCATAAACCTATACTGACACATTATTATCACTCAAAGTCCATAGTTTTTGTTGTTGTTGTTGTTGTTGTTTTGAGGCAGAGTCTCACTCTATCGCCCAGGCTGGAGTGCAATGGCATGGTCTCAGCTCACTACAAACTCTGCCTCCTGAGTTCAAGCGATTCTCCTGCCTCAGTCTCCTGAGTAGCTGGGATTTCGGGCACCCACCACCACACCTGGCTAATTTTTGTATTTTTAGTAAAGATGGGGCTTCACCATGTTGGCCAGGCTGTCTCGAACTGCTGACCTCACGATCCGCCCGCCTAGGCCTCCCAAAGTGCTGGGATTACAGGCGTGAGCCACCGTGCCTGGCCTCAAAGTCCATAGTTTACATTAGAGTTGACTCTTGGTGTTGTACATTCTATGGGTTTGGACAAATTTAAAATGACATGTATCTACCATTATACTATCATACAGAGTAGTTTCACTCCACTAAAAGTCTTCTGTGATCTGCCTATTCATCCTTTCCTCCCTAATAACCCCTGGCAAACCACTGATCTTTTTTGTGTCTCATAGTTTGCCTTTTCCAGCATTTCTTATAGTTAGAATCTTACAGTAGGTAGCCTTTCCTGGTTGGCTTCTTCCAGTTACTGCATTAAAGTTTATTTTTAGTGCTGACTAATGTATCATTGTCTGGATATACCACAGTTTATTCAATCACTTACTGAAGGACGTGTTGCTTGCTTCCAAGTTTTTGGAATTATGAATAAAGCTGCTATAAACATCTGTCTGCAAGCTTTTGTGTGGACATACCTTTTCAACTTTTTGTGTACATACCAATGAGTATAATTGCTGGATCCCTTGGTAAGAGTATGTTTAGTTTGAGAGGAAGCTGCCAAACTGTTTTCCAAAGTTGCTGTATCATTTTGCATTCCCACCAGCAATGAATCAGAGTCTCTATAGTGCCACATTATCCCCAGCTTTTGGTGTTGTCAGCGTTCTGAGTTTTGGCCATTCTAATAAGTTTATAGTGCTATCCCATGGTTTCAATTTGCGAGTCCTGAATAACATATGCTGTAGATCAACTTTCAATGTGCTTATTTGCCGTATGCATATCATCTTTGGTGAGGTGTCTATCAAGGTCTTTGGCTCATTTTTAAGTTGCATTTTTTTTTCTTATTGTTGAGTTTTTTATATTATTTTCATATTTTGAATAACAGACTTTTATCAGATATGTCTTTGGCAAATATTTTCCCCCAGTCTCTGGCTTGTCTCCTCATCATTCTCTTGACGCTGTCTTTCACAAAACAAAAATTTTTAATTGTAATGAAATACAGCTTTTCAATTCTTTCTTTCATGGATCATACCTCTTGCGTTGTATCTAAAAAAACTTTCCAAAACCGAGGTGATGTAGATTTTCTTCTATGTTAAATTCTAGGTGTCTCATAGTTTTGCATTGTACATTTAGGTCTGTGATACGTTTTGAGTTACATTTTGTGAAGAGTGTGACAACTTTATGGGTGTATTCATCTGTTTTCATGCTGCTGATAAAGACATACCTGAGAGTGGGGAAAAAATAGGTTTAATGGACTCACAGTTCCACGTGGTTGAGAAAGCCTCACAATCATGGCGAAAGGTGAAAGGCACTCCTTACGTGGTGGCAGCAAGAGAGAATGAGAGAGAAGCAAAAGTGGAAACCCCTTATAAAACCATCGGGTCTCATGAGCCCACATGAACTACCACAGGAACTGTATGGAGAAACCGCCCCAATGATTCAATTATCCCTCACAGCATCCCTCCCACAAAACGTGGGAATTATGGGAGCCAAAATTCAAGAGGAGATTTGGGTGGGGATACAGAGTGAAACCATATGAATGGGATAATTTTACTAGTCAGGTTGTAAAGTATTATTATTGAAGAAATTATTTGAAATTATTCTGTATTATGTCTTCCAACAAGTAAATCCATATTTTCTACCTTAACTTCATATTAGGTTTTCTGTCATAATTTGCAGCTTTGAAATATATATATGTGGACTTTTTAGAGAATTTAGGGTCCATTGCTATTAGTCACCTTACACCCCTTTTTCAGGGATTTAAGCATTATAAATCTTGAAATTAAGTCATTCTGAATTTTTTCTCTTTCACACCTTACGGAAATGTTGAAACGCGAGAGAGACAGACTCCTCTCTTGCTTTACTTTGTTCAATGTGGCCATTGTCCCTTTAAGTGTATTTCAGAGGGTCCTTTTTGCAGAGTTTGAGGTAACAGGGCATTAGTTACTAACTTGCTAAAATAGAACTTGGGATGATTTTTGTCTAAAAATAATTATTCCATACATACCTATTACTAGTTTCTCCTGGGTCTCACATAGAGGAAAAGGAGGTCAGGTGTCATAGGGAAGAGGTAAAAGTTAAAGCATCTCCTACCAGCTGTTGGGTTGCTTGGACATAAAGGCAACATTTTAAAATTCTGTCAAAGAAGCCAAAAACTAAGTTCAAATACTCATCAAAAAAAACAAAAAAAGCAAAAACAAAAACAACAACAGCAAAAAACACCCAGGTATCAAACCTTCCCATTGAATTATTTCAAGCGGGATCTGAATAGCATAGCCTGAAGAAAATACCAAAGGCAGCCATTTTCTCTTAAAAACATGTATAATATTCCTCAAATATTTGAGAAAACTGAAGTTCTACAGATTTGGCTATCTGTGCTGTGTGGCTATGAGTATGCTGACCTACTCCTAAGAGCCCATAGGGTTCAAATAATTATTGAATATGAGACTCAATGAATAATTCATAAACTGAATGATAATTTTTTCTCATGTTCTATATTTAGTAAAGCTTTACCATTTATTCAACACCTGTGTTTCACTCCGGTCAAAGGGCTTGTAAAATTTAGCTTCACCAAAGGGATTATTATGTCATCACTTATTTTCTCTTGATGACTATGCTATTCAAATAATAATTTTCCTATAAAAATTTCTCTAAGCTTTGAAAAAATCTGTCTACTAATCATTCACTCAAGTGGTTGTGTAAATATATGAGTGTAAATTAATGTGTGTAACTTAGAGAAGAAGTTTATTTGATTTTCTAGTGGGACATAGATATATTTGCATACTTGTTTAAAGTGAGTTGTTAAACAAACAGAAACTGGTAAATAAGCTTAATGCGTTCATGTGGCTCCATGAGTTTTCTTAAAATAAATTGGATTTTAGAACTCTTTCACTTTGCACATTGGGAAATTCACAAGCACAGCATTGACTCTGAGGTATATTTTGTTGAGAATTGTATTTTTGCTTTTAAAATTTCTTCACACTCTCAAGTCCAAGATTGAGATTCTATGCTTTGAAAGTTAGAATCGTTTGTAAATATTTAAAAAAAAAAATTTACCTTGGAGTGGTTGAATTGATGTCTCACTAGAAACCAAGAAGGCTAGAAATCATTTTCTATTATTTCATTTTTTGACTGTGTTAAAATAAGATGTATTTTAGATATTAATATGTCTAGATTGCTTCAAATATCTATATTATTTATCATAATGCTATAACAAATTTACCCCCAAATTTCAATGGTATCACACAATATAAATGTACTTTTTACACACACGTTAAACTAGTAAGCGTATTCTCAGGTTCAGGCAGTGAGGTCTCTTTTTTGTTGATTTGGGGAATACGTTTTTTCTTCTATTTTGTAGTTCTACTATTTCTTAGAGCAGGGTCAAAAACTAGACCTGTGTACAAAATCTTGCTGACAGTCTTTTTATGTAGGACCTGAGAATTAAGAATGGTTTTTGTATTTTCAAAGAGTTGGGGTAAATAATCAAAAATGTAATATTTAGTGATACATTACATTATATGAAATTCAATTTCATTGTTCATACAAATGTTTTATTAGAATACAGCTATGGCTACTTGCTTATGTATTGCCTGTTCTATAAGCATGCTTGTAGAATTTCCTTCTCTAGCCATGCCATAGTAATATATAAGCATAGATATTTATCTCTCTATATATCCACTGACATTTGTGGGACAAGATTACTACAAAGTTATATTTAATCTATTGCTGGGAAGTGATTAAAGTACCCCAGGGAACCCCAATCCTAAATAATGCTAGTGTTACTTTTATCAAATCAATATTAAAACAAATAAACTTCTAACAAGAGAAACAAATGAGAGTAAAAAAGTGTTATTATTTTATCAAAAGTCTCTAACAAGTTGCACTAGATTAAGTTGCCCATTTCAGCTTCCCTTCAATATGGTGGGAAGACGGTGGCTAACTCCTTGGCAGCATTTTCCAGGTCGGTTTAATTTAACCATGGGAGTCCACACCCTGGGACCTACTAACCTTTTTCTTCAGCCTAGCCATTCCACTTACCAGCCATGTGTTCAGCAAACATGATAAGTCATTAGTCATCTTTCTATGCCTTTCAGGCATTGTTAGTGAGGGAGTTAGGAAGTGTAGACAATTCTTAGCATGTAGTATATTTTATGGCCTCCAGTTGGTCAGAAAAAAGCTGTCAGAAGGGCAAGAGAGACTGTGGTGAGCATTTTTCAAGGGGAAATTAGCATGAGTTCGTAGATTAAATGGATCTTGTTATTCTAAAAAGTCATGTGACAAACCAAAACATGCAGTAAATTAACAGTGTTCTGAAAGGTTTAAAGTATTTTTTAAAAGCCTTTATAAATTACTCTTTCACTTACAGTTGTGAAGAGCCAAATTTTTAATTTCCTGAATGCTTGCTTCCTAAATAAATAATGGAAAGCATGCTAAAAATTCTAAAACACAGGGCAGAAAAGAGTCTTTGATAGGCTGAACCTACCAAAGGGAAGAAATTATGTTAAATATTTTGTGATGTTCCTTTATATTATGGCATAAAATAACATTGAGGAAAAAAAGACACTTGTTTGAATTCAGAGGCAAGTTTATTATTTTTATTTTATTCTAACTGACTGGCTTTTAACGGGCAAGCTAATGTCAACCTTGGATGTCACAAAGCCTGTATCTTTCCCAATTCTGTGACACTAAGCCTTGTACCCACTACTTTCTTTCAGCTTTCCTCCAGTGACCACGACTGCTAAATGCAAAAGAACAAAAAGAAACCCCATTATCATTAGCCCCTGCTTTAATAAAATTTAGGGTCAAATGAGGGATGTTGATATGCCTGCCATTTTTAATTTTTAATGCATAAAAATGGGGTCTATTTTTTTCTACTCTTTACAACTTTAACAGTTATGTAGTGTCTAAAAATCAGTAAAGTGTAAAAAGTACAAACTGTGCTGAAATTCACTGGGAAATTAGATGAATTTAAATACCTTTTGTTTGGGAACCTACAGTTGGTCTTTACTGACAGAAGAATCAGTTAGACCTGGCTGTGGTTTGTGATTAAGACAAAGCATAGATGGGAACAGTCTTGTGGCTGCTAATGGGCAATGTATGAGTCCCAAAATATCATCATGGACCATACGTTTTTCCATTAGATGTGAAAGAATTGATTAGACAGGGCAAAATATACTGTCTATGTGAATTTATGCATGGAATTAATTATGACATCTCTCCAAACTAGGGACTCCATTCCTGAAGCTTTTTTGTTATCAGAGAAATAGAATCTCTCTTTTCTGAGTATTCTCCCTGTTGTGAGCTAAATGATGGCCTAAAAGATATGACCATATTTTAGTTCCCATAATCTGCGAATATCATCTTATAAAGCATAAGAGTGAATATTACTATGTGTGCCAAAAGATATGGTTACATTAAGGATCTTCAGAGGAAGAATTTATCCTAGATTATCAGGGTGAGACCTAAATGTAATCACATGTATCCTTATAAGAGAGAGACAGGGAGTTTTGACACAGACAAAAACAGGAGAAAGTGATAGGAAGATGGAGTAGAAAGTTGTAGCCATAAGCCAAGAAATGTCAATAGCTACCAGAAACTGGAAGAAGCAAGCACAGATTATGACCTGGAAACCCCCCACTGGGAGAGTGTAGTCCTGCCAACACCTTGATTTCAGTCAAGAGATACTGATTTTAGACTTTTAGATTCCTAACGGTGAGAGATTAAATTTCGTTGTTTAAATCAGCAAGTTTTTGGTAAGTTATTACAGCAGACATGGGAAACTAACACATCCCCCAATCTTAGAAACTGTATTTCTGGAAGTGTGATCTAACGAAAGGAAAAACAGGCATTGATTGGGCAAATTGCACAGAGGTCAGAATGCTTGGTATGTTGACTCCAAAGGATGCTGAGATTAAATTCAACTTATATGCAATATCATACTGTGATTAAAATGACATCTTTTACTGCCCTGCTGCTTCCTGCGTGCTTGTAAGTGGAGTTCAACAGAAGTTAGAAATATTTGTAGGCTACAGAAAGTGGCCTTTGCTCTAAGTGGGTCCATAATCTCCCAAACTTCAGAATTAGAGAAACAGCATAAGGAAGGAAAGAGTAGGTATTAGGCGCAGATACGTCTCCTAATGTCATGAGAGATGTCATTAGAGCATGAAAGGGACTCAGAATTAGGGGAGTGTGAGTATAAATTGGGTTAAATAGGAAAGATGACTATATAGGTGATTGTTAGAATTGACAAGACATATAAAAGCATAAGAGGAGTTAGAAAATATTTACAAACCAATGGCATCAAAGTCAGGACCTCAAAGATGAATATAACTTCATGAGATAGGCTCTATATTGTCCTTATCACTTCTTAGACTATAGAAAAATCCTACAAAAAGCTACTCCTACTTTTTTGTCCACAAATAAATTCTGAATTCCATGAATGTAATGATTCTATCCCTCTGATGCCACTAGGGTGTGAAATTGTTCCTGAATATCTTGTAGGGCAGCGGTCCCCAATCTTTTTGGCACCAAGGACTGGTTTACAGGGGAGTGGGAGATGGTTTGGGTATGAAACTGTTTCACCTCAGATGATCAGATGCTAGATTCTCATAAGGAGGGCAACACCTAGACCCCTCGTGTCCGCCGTTCACAATAGGGTTTGCACTAATGCCACTGCTGATCTGACAGGAGGCGGTGCTCAGGTGGTGATGCTGGCTTGCTTACCTCCTACTGTGCAGCCCGGTTCCTAACAGGTGACGGCTACTGGGCCACTGCCTGGCTTTTGGGGACCCCCGTTGTACGTTTATGAGCAAATAACTAAACAGTATCTAGAAGGGCGCATAGGTACTATTTGTAGGTTAGAAGATGATAATTTATTAGGAGAGATAGTGATGGGAATTTTAATGGTACCTGATTCAGTTCATAGAACATTTATGTAGCTGTAACTATAAGTAATAATATATAAGTAACAATAATAAAACTGTTTTTGAAAGGCTTTTTTATAGTCTTTAATATATAGTACAAAGTATTGAGATACAATTTCCAGGAGAACAGTTCCTTGGCTAGTGAGTCTGCCCCTACTCCTGGTTATACCAATAAAGAGTCAACACGGGCTGGGTGCAGTGGCTCATGCCTGTAATCACAGCACTTTGGGAGGCCAAGGCGGGCGGATCACAAGGTCAAGAGATTGAGACTATCCTGGCCAACATGGTGAAACCCCTGTCTCTACAAAAAATACAAAAATTAGCTGAGCGTGGTGGCGTGCGCCTATAGTGCCAGCTACAGCAGGCTGAGGCAAGAGAATTGCTTGAACCCGGGAGGTAGAAGTTGAGCTGAGATTGTGCCACTGCACTCCAGCCTGGCAATAGTGTAAGACTCAGTCTCAAAAAAAAAAAAAAAAAAATTCAACACATGTTTGAAAGTATACTCTTCCAGGACAGGAAACCAATACAATCTGATAGAAAAATGCTATAGGATAAAATATTAGGCTGCCTTTTAAATTTTATTAATTACTTGTTAACTTGAAAAATCAGACATGTGATTGGGCAAATTGCTGTACTTCAAATATAGCTGTCAGAGCTAATGCAGAGTGGAGGTTTCACACTTAATCGTTTGTTTCATCCTGTAAATCAGACTCAAGCAAAACATGGTAGTTTCTTTCTTCTTTCTGCAACTTTCCTTTCCCAATAAAGCAGTAAGCTAGGAGAAAGGCAATGATAATGACTTCCACAAAGACAGGGTATGAAGGAAAAGCTGTGTTTTGTCTCCCTGAACTTTGGATGGTCCTTAATGACGGTTTACTTAAATAAAATGCAGCATTTAATTGTTAAATGGCTCTGCTGAAGCTTTCAGATCTATTTTTAAAAGCAGCTAAAATCATTGGCTTCTGTTAAGAAAATTTTTTAAAAATTAAAAGAATTTTTCACAATCAAGACATTTATATATATATAAAAATGTGTTTTCAATAGTCAAACAATATTTTTCCATGTCTTTTAGGAAATGTTGCGCTTAGGCATTTTCTTTTGGTAAAATATTTTTCTCGCTTTAAGCTGCATATCTGTCACTGCTATTTTTAAAATGTGAATACATTTTTCCAAATATAGAATCTCCTTGATATTTAAGAATCACATATTTTTATGAACTCAAATCTTAGTTCACACTTTGCTCAGTGCTGACACTGTAAGCTAGTTAAGGTTAAAATAGTAGCACAGTTAATGGTTGAAAGCTTGTTTTGCTTATGAACATTAATATCTTGAATGAAAATAAATATACCTGTCAATACAAATTAAATAGAACCAATTCATACCTTAGTTAGTTAATCCTTTTACTAATTCAGAATCTAGATTATGATATTTTATTACTTATTTCACACCATATAAATTTCAGATTTCATTAGCCAGGAGGTATACTCTCCAGACACCACCTTGTATTTTGGTGGTGGTGAAGATTCTAACTAAAATTTGAGGTAGTGATGCTGTCATTTTTAACCTATTACATCAACGGGTCTAGAAATTTATGGAATATTGGAATGTGGTTTTCCATTACGTTTAAAATTTTATATGTATGCTTATGGTAGGAAACATAAATGGCCCAGTGGAAAGGATAACCCTGGAAGTCCATATTTATGAATTGTACGCACCAGAGACTTGATAATTAAGCTCCGTCAATTTACTTCTTCCTAGCCTTACAATTTAAATGCTAATACACACTGTATAAGATTGTTAAAATGATAAACAATGTAATATATGTGTCTGTCACATAAGGCTATCAGCATACATGTAAATCTAACCTTAGATTTATTTAAATACTTGGTTTAGTTCTTAAAATAATGCATTTTAATATTATACTGATTTAAAAGAAAAAATAACTTTCTAACACTTCTTTCAATGATGATAACTATACATAGCTTTTAATGAGGTAATTAATTTGTCACACATGAGATTATAAATTCTTAATCTGTTGGCTTGCATTTTGCTGGAAACGGGTTTATAAAGATTTCTTGTCCATTATAACTCCTGGTAATGACTCTTTATATCTTATACAATGAAGATCATTTGCAGTTGAATATACCTTTTTAAATGAAGGGGTTTTTAGTAATTGAAATAGTGTGGAATTAAGTAGGTGGAAAGAGTATGGACCTGGATCACTACAATCTGAATTTGACATCATCTACATTTTATACATTTCAAAGCTATTTTACTGTTGAGGGTCAGATTGAAAAGGAGATTGGAAATATGCAGTCATGTCATTTGTCGTGATGCCTATTGAAATTTTGAAAGAGTTTATTGATGCCTTCAGTAATTATGAATATGCCCACCACTTAAAAAATCATTTACTTGACAGCATATATTATTCAAGTATGATAATAACTGGATCTGTTCAAAGAAATTGGTGCTCATTATAAATTATCCACTTCTCTTTAAACTCTAAATCCTGATGTTTAATTTAAACGCTCTGTAAAGCATGTACTTTAAATCACTGATTGCTTTGATTTCTTGGTAACTTTTCTACATCATACTTGTTGGCCTCATAAGCACAGTTCATATTGAAAATTTATTATTATAATCATTCTTTAGATTGTGTCTTAGTTTATGTTGCTATAAAGGAATACCTGAGACTGGCTTAATTATAAAGAAAAGAAGTTTATTTGTCTGATGGTTCTCCAAGCTGTACAAGAATCAAGGTGCCAGCATCTGCTTCTGGTGAGAGCCCCAGAGTGCTTCCACTCATAGCAGAATTTGAAGGGGATCTGGGGTGTGCAGAGATCACATGGCCAGAGAGAAATCAAGACAGAGAGGCCAGGCTCTTTAAATAATCAGATCTCACCAGAACTAATAGAGCAAGGACTCACTCATTACCATGAGGATGGCACCAAAGCACTCATGAGGGATCCACCCCTATGACCCAAACACCTTCCCCCAGGCCCCACCTCCAACAATGGGAATCAAAATTCAACATGACATTTGGAGGGAAAAAACATGCAAACTGTATCAGATTGTAGTTAATTTATCTTAGGAATAATTTTTAAAGGTATTTTTCATTAATTACTTCTCCCACTGTATTTTAAAATATGTTTAAAAATTGTTTTTTTGTGAATTTCTGTCCTTTGAAAATATATAGAGCAAATCAGGTTGTTATTCATATTGCAGAATAAGCTATGTCAAATGATTTCTTATATAACATCCATTTTTTATAGCAACATTGTTAATAGTATTTTATTTTATAAAGTATTTTAGTCTACAGCCTAATTCTATACCACCCTGAACCTATCTGACCTCTTCTGATCTAGGAAGCTAAGCAGGGCTGGGCCTGGTTAGTATTTGGATAGGAGGCTGACAGAATACTTTTTTGCATTCATAGAGTATATACCTTACTTAAAATTTATTTCTTATGATATTTTCCTTTAATGCTCAAATTCCTGACATACAATATAGAAATCATTTAAAGTAAATAGTGTTCATTGTAGATTTAGTAAGTTCCATGTAGGCTTTTCCAGCTTTTATATAATTTTCTCACACTGAAAGATAATTTACTGCAGTCAGCTAATAGCAACTGTCCTTTGCTAAGACCCATGGCAAAATGTAATAAAAGTAGCCTTCTTTCCTGAAAAGTTATGACCAATAGGGAAGAAATCATGACTTGGCAGTCATATCTGAAGAAATAATCCTACCACAACTCTGGCAGAATTTTAAAAAGCAAATGATTTGGGACGTGAAATAGTAGGTGTATTGAGTGCAGAAGAAATATATTAAGTCACCATCAGTTGAGATATTCCACAGAATATCTCTTCTCACTTGAATGTTGTTTTATGAGATTATAATCAAATCCTTCTGTTAATAATTAAATTAATATTGGTATGTATTAGTTTTCACACTGATATAAAGAAATGCCTGAGACTGGGTAATATGTAAAGGAAAGAGGTTTAATTGACTCACAGTTTCACATGGCTAGGGAGGCCTCAGGAAATTTAACAGTCATGGGGGAAGGGGAAGCAAGGCACTTCCTTCACGAAGGAGCAGGAAAGAGAAAAATAAAGGAGGAACTTCCAAACACTTATAAAACCATGAGATTTCATGAGAACTCACTCACTATCACAAGTGAGTGACAGTGACCCTGTATAGGATGCAGTTATAAACTAAATAAATTTTAAGTCAGATTTTTAGAAATGAATATTTTTTTGAAAAAATAATTCTCTGAAAGTCATACATTTACTCCAGTGGAGCTACTGTCGGAAGACCAATTTCAGAAAATGTTCAGAGTTTTTCAGCCAGCTTAGGTTTTTTACGTCATAATCCAACCACATCCCTCCCTCGACACGTGGGGATTACAATTTAAGATGAGATTTGGGTGAGGACACAGAGCCAAACCATATCTCTCCTAAGTTAAATATATAATGCATAAATTGGCATTTTATTCTGCTTGCATATTTAGGACCTTAAGAACTGAGACTTTCTACTATATGGTATCAGATTCAAGAACTACAAGGTTTAAGAAAAATATTTATTTAGAGAATCAATGTGTTATACCATTTATTTTTATGATTTCTTGTTTCTTGACATTGTAATGCAAATATTATTTTATTTGTAGATAGCTTTCATGGAAACTGTGCCTCTTTTAACACAACCACGCCACATTTTATTTCCTTTCATTCATTGGTTATCATATGACTGGGCTCCCTCCATGTCTTTCATTTGCTACTTGAGACAGCCCAGCATTGCAACTTCAGCATTTCTAGCTCTCTCTTTTAACATCCAACCTCATCCTTCACCCCATAATGATATATTTGCTTCACTTGTTAACACTAAATCAAATCCTAAAATCATAACATGTGGCCAATATGCACTATTTATGCTTCTAACTTTTGCTAAGCATCTTCATATAAGTAATTGTATTAAAGATTTATAGACTGATGGATTACTCAAGATCAAATGATCCATAATAATGAAACCTGTCATTGCACAAGTGAAGAAATTAAGACCGAGGGAGGTGGCTGGCTTGCCAAGGCTGATTAATGAAATGGGCATATGTTAAATTCAAGTCAAGTTAGAATGAGAGGGTTTTTTGTGGTTTTTGTTTTTTTGCTAACCATTTTGGTAACATCATTTACCCTCTTTCAGAAATCAGTGTAAATCCTGAAACATGGAAGTTTTGTTCAAATTATTTTGTTAAAATGAACATGATTAACTTAAACAGAAAACTAAGTAGAACATAAATGAGTAAATGAATGTAGCAGCAATTAACATTATAGTTATTAGGAAAATGAGACTGTTGAGCTTTCATATGAGACTGATGCTAGAGACATATTGAAGACTAGAGTGAAAGTTAAATCATGAATACAAGATAATAGTTCAGGTGGTAAGAAGATAATATGATTCAACTGCCTAGAAGTGAGTCACCTAAAAGAACGCTAGCAATAGTATGAATTCCTCTTTAGTTATTAGTTTAATTTTCCAGCTCTTAAAAACATAATAATATTTATAATTATATGAAACTATCTTAGGGCCTTGAATCTGGAATCTTTGAAACGAATGATTCTGAGGAAAAAAAAAAGAAAACTTGAGTTTATTATATGTTATTCAATTTGCTTCGTTTCCCTGGGTTCAAAAATACAATTTCTTATTCCTTAAGGGAAGGGTTGTGACCCTGTATAGGATGCAGTTATAAACTAAATAAATTTTTAACTCAGATTTTTAGAATTGAATATTTTTTTGAAAAAATAATTGTCTGAAAGTCATACGTTTATTCCAGTGGAGCTACTGTTGGAAGACCAATTTCTGAAAATGTTCAGAGTTTTTCAGCCAGCTTAGGTTTTTTACTTCATTAGTGGAAGCAAGTTGTATCACCCTATTTGTTAATAATTTCAGATAACTAACTGCAAATGACCTTTGGTGTATCAAAAAATTAGATGTATGCTCGAAGGTTAATCTTTTCTGCACCTAGAATATTCAGAATAATGTGCCTAGTTGTGCTCTCCCCAGATCTAGTTTCTTACCTGGGGCATTCCTCTTGCCACAGTTGCCAGGCAACCATTCTCATAGCCTGAGCCAAATACACCTTTCCCTAATCATGTTGCTTTGCTCATCTTCACCTATACAATGACTATGTGACTTCATTTCTCTCTTAGAAACACGTTGCTCTCTCTTAAATGGGGCCTTCAAAATAGAATTAAAAACCGACCAACAACAGATGATTTCCGTGTATATATAATTTATATATGTTTACATATTATATATCATACACAGGTATTAAGTGTTAAGTTTTTAATGTTACATCTTCATCTACTTGGCTAATTTTTCTAAGAACAAAACAAAAATTTAAATGACTAAGAAGAACACTAATTCTGAGAACAATCTCTGATGCCAAACCAAACACATTATGAATCATAAGAAACATTTTTTTTTAATTATTTTAAGTCCTGGGATACATGTGCAGAATGTACAGGTTTGTTACAGAGGTATACACATACACCTGCCATGGTGGTTTGCTGCACCTATCAACTCATCATCTAGGATACATTTTTATAAAAGGAGTCTGGAAATGCAAAAATCTCTCCCATGATGAATAGTGATATTACATATAGGTGGACAGGTGATATCACATAGAGTTGGACTTCTATAAATTTGTAGAAGTACTTTGTATTCCTATAATAAGACTGAGAAATGCATTTGTATATTGTTGGTGATTATATTTCACTCCAGCAAATCCTGACCAGCATCAAAACTAAATAAAAAGTACCATTTTTATTGATACACTCATAAAACTTAAAGTATAATAATAATAAAAAAAAGAATATGAACATGTTTATTTAGTGTTCCGTATGGTTAAAACTGGAAGGAATAAGAACAACTAATCTTGTTTTACTTCAAAATCTATTTTACAAGTACATTACAATTTTACTTTTTAAGAGCTCATTTCAATTTCACAAATTTCTAATAAATCTTCAATTGTATTTTATTTTATTTTTTGAGACGGAGTTTCGCTCAGACTGGAGTGCAGTGGTGTGATCTTGACTCATGGCAACCACCGCCTCCTGGATTCAAGCTATTCTCCTGCCTTAGCCTCCTGAGTAGCGGGGATTATGGGCATGCACCACCATGCCTGGCTAATTTTGTATTTTTAGTAGAGACGGGATTTCTCCATGTTGGTCAGGCTGGTCTCAAACTCCCAACCTCAGGTGATCCGCCTGTCTCGGCCTCCCACAGCACTGGGATTACAGGCGTGAGCCAACGTGCCCAGCCAAATCTTCAAACTTTTTAAAAATTTACTTCTAGTTATATTTACTCTTTAAATTAAAATTGAAAGATTTTCTAAGTCATAAATGTTATATTTATAAGAGAAATTTATTAATACAACAATGTTTAGTTTCCAGATATCATTAGGGTTTTTTAAATTATATGTGTTAGGAAAGGAGAATGAGATGAAGTAAAGAAGAGATATGGAGATGGGATATAAACCTAAGCATAAAGGACATATACGTCTTATTTTTTTTTTACTACAATCCTCTTTTGCTCTAATAAAATACTTTTCACTGATTAGAAGCCCAAACTTGCTTATACTTTCTCCTAATGTATCTGAAGAGCAAATAATTGTTGCGTAATTTCATGTCTTGTTTGATTACACACAGTGAAAGTTCAGTGCAAGTAGAATGGTTTTTTTTTTTTAATTTGTATCTGCTACATTTTCGTAATTTATAAATCTTGAAGTGTTACAGAATAGCCCACGTTTTTCAATCATTGTTTTATCTCTCACTAGGATATTGTGCCAACTGTTTTTCAGGAAAAATTGGCATGTTTATTTTCTCCCATTGTATCTATTATAAGATGAACTTTGTAGCAAAGCAAGGTTTTAATGTGGTCTTTTGGCAGAATGTACAAAACTGAAATAAAGAGAACGTATTTGGAACTATGATAGGCTTCATGAAAATCTTTGAGAGAGAGAGAGAGAGAGACAGAAAATAATCTATGTGTAATGCCCACCCAAACTCTGGCAAAATTTGAAACACATAGTTCAAACTTCTTTCCTTATAATGAAAGCCCTTAAAATGTGTCTTGATAGTCTTTTGGGACCACTATTTTGTAGGTTTGACATATTCATGAAAAGAAAACAAAAAGCAAAAAGAAAAAAAATGTTTCTGGTAAAATATCTATTCTCATCCTGACATAGGCATCAAATTACTCTCTCCATAAGCAGTTGTAATAAATGAATATTGATTTACTACAGGACTTTCAAATATTAAATGTGTTTATATGAACTCTCAGTTAATTTTTTTTCTAACTTTCAAGCCATTTTCCTGACTCTGTGTAAATTGTTCACACAAATAGGCAAAGGAATAAAGCAATTTAACCAAAGTGGGGAAACAAACAATCGTAAGTGTAGGTGGCAGAAGAGAATGGATTTTTTTCCAGTTATTCTGTATCAAAGCTGCATGGATCTATTTGAAGACACTTTTACACAACAAAAGGAGATTTGTTATCACTAAACCTAGCAATTTGGCTTTCTAAATACTGATAAATCCTGGAAAATTGTAATTCTTTATTTCTGTTTTCTCTAAAAGTAAGCCACTCTTACTTTTAGGCACCCAGTGGATTAGATGTCATCTTTTTTATATTGTTCCTAATGGAACATGAGGATGGCTTTTAAGAAGGTGCCAGATGTGTGAGTTCTTTATTGCTGAGCAAGTGTTGCTTCTGTTTCTGAGTCTATCAAAAGGGTTCACATGAAGAAATACAGCTATCATTTATATGTGACTAGCAGAATATATTTAAGGAACATATTCTTTTTTATCAGAGGCAAGCCTTAAGATATAAATCAAAAGATTATAATGAAAAATATGGCATGAAATAATAAATTAAAAATGAGAATAGTTTGTTGATTCTAATGTATCTTCAGGAGTTGGAATGGCAGTTTAGGAGAGGAATGAGCTAATATAAATGTATATTTTAAAATAAATATGCTCAATATGCTTGCTTTATTTTTTTAACAGGATGAAAGAAGCAGGAGTAGACCATAGGCAGTGGAGGGGTCCCATATTATCCACCTGCAAGCAGTGCCCAGTGGTCTATCCCAGCCCTGTTTGTGGTTCAGATGGTCATACCTACTCTTTTCAGGTAAAGACACCTACAGTTGTTTAGTTTGAAATAAGGGATGCATACTTATTAGTAAATGATTAAAACCATTGCTTATCCAATGTGATAATTCAAATTATTCATTTAACTTATAAAATAAATTAATAATCTCACTGGTTTGGAATATGATTCAATGTGCATTTGTTTTTTCTATATCAGAATTTTTAAGGTTTGAAATACTAAAGCTATGAACCCTCAGATATCAAAGCCAACCTTTCCTTTGTTGCTACTATGAAAGAAGTCAGAAATGTTAGCATGCTGTACAATAGCTTTAGTGATCAATATTATTTTAACAACAATAAATGTGCTACAATCTGTCATTAGAATTATTTTTTAATCTCATATTTTATCTCCTATATTATCTCATTTAAGCCACCAAAAATCTCTTTACCAGATGAAAAAAACAGGATCAGAGAGGCAATTTGACAAGTTTCACATATTTAGTTGACATTGAAGCTAGGATTTGATATAATCTCTGATTCAATGCCTTTGCTCTCTCTTCTACATTGTTGTTCCTCCCAATTAAGTGTCCCATATTGTTAAAATATTTTGGGATTTTTACAAACTTTGCCTAAATAAGACATTGATAAATTTCCTTAGCTTATGTAACAGAAAGTAAGGAGTTCAGGTTCACTGTCTTTTATCTGAAACCCTAGGGACTGCATACATTTAAAAATTTAGATTTAAAAAATATATATTTTAGAAAGGTAGTGTAGCATATTATGCAGTGTCCCTAGAAGGAGCTTACCCTATAATTAAACTATTAAGCCAGGTGCAGTGGTTCACGCCTGTAACCCCAGCACTTGTGAGGCCAAGGTGGGCAGATTACCTGAGTCAGGAGTTTGAGACCAGCCTGGCCAACATGGTGAAACCCCGTCTCTACTAAAAATACAAAAATGCATCAGGCATGGTGTTGGGCATCTGTAATCCCAGCTACTCGGGAGGCTGAGGCAGAAGAATGACTTGAACCAGGGAGACGGAGGTTGCAGTGAGCTGAGATTGCGCCATTGTACTCCAGCCTGGGCAATAAGAGCAAAACTCTGTCTCAAAAAACAAAAAACAAAAACAAAAACATATTAATACATTTTTAAGCAACAATTTAAATATTCTTATTAAAGAGTATACATTAAATCTATAAATAACCTTTCTTCAGTTCATATCTGATTGTGCTTACTGCAGTTATTTCCAGAATTTTCCTACCTTTTATATGTTTTGGTTTTGTGGATACCTGCTTATGAATCATAATCTGTCTGAGCAAATATTTCCCCAAAACTTCCACTTGCCTTTTACAATTACAAATCTGGGAAAGTGCACTACAATGCTCTTAATTAATTCAGTCACTAAATACATAGTACACACTAGGTGCCAAGTACTGTGTATCCTTAGTGAAGCTGTCATATGTCTACCTGCTAAACTTTTATAGATGTATATAGAAGCGGAGTTATCGCTAGGAGAGGAGTGTGTCAGGGGTCCTTTCAACATGGTCTTGATCTTGGTGAATTTAACATGGTATAGGTAGGGCCTTGGCTTTGCAAGTTTAGTGAATTCCTGTTGCCAGTACAAGGGAGAGTGAATCTATCTCATATTATAAAATTCCACATGGAAATGATGTATAAATCATTTTGCTGATTTATTGACTTATAATGAAGGATGCAGATTGTAATATTCAAACTGATAGGAAGAACTACAGAGGAAGTAAATTTTAATCCTAATTTTATCTGGTGAGTGTAGATGATTGAATAAATTGAGTCAGTGGTAGAGAGATTGGAAAGTTTTACTGGCATCCACCTAAGTAGAAGTATGTCTTTCTCAACATTGGAAATATGTGCCAGAAGTACTGATATGTTTGTGCCTAGGGTGTCATCATCCCCAGAGAGTGCTAACAGAAGTCTACTGGCTTCTGCTGACATTTTTGGGACTCTTTTGAGGTTGCTCCTAGCAGGTGATCCTTCCTTTCCCAATTTAGTTTCATAGGACACCAAGTTACAATTATAAGTGGAATTCTACTTGATAAGACTTGATTGATGATGTTAGAGTTACTTAGCATGTAAGAAATAGCTCTCATATTCTCATTCAAGACTAAAAGCACGTATTATACGTAGATTAATTCAGGTATATCTTCAATTTCATGGGGTTTCCTCATTGTTCTCCTTGGGCGTGAGGCACACTGTGATACCTTGGCTTATAAATCATCTAATTTTATTAGTAGTATCAACAAAACCAATCTTATAGATAATCCATATTTGAATTATTATTTTAATATTTATTTACATAAATGTCACTTTTAACAAATGCTTTTTTACATAGAAAGACATTACAAAAAGCATGCTTCAAGTGAATATGGGTCTTTAATAACCCTAAATCATCATTTTTATTTCTGTTAATTCTAATTTAACTTAATGACTTTTCCACTTTGAACCATCCATCCTAATCTTAAACTTTTGCATTGACAGCAATGAGACTGAGCTATATAAAACAATGAAAAACTAAGTAGAACTCTTAGCCCAGTAAAGATTTAGGTGAAACTATCCTTACTAATCTTTTTTTAAGAGTTTATTTGATTTGAATCTCAAATTAAGGACTTCAATATGTTGGTGTTTTTTTGTTCCCCCCTCATAAGAAAGTATTGCCCTAGGCTATTTAGCTACTGATCAAAAACAAAGACCACAAAGGCCAGTACCTTCTTGTAAATGTCATTTTATTATGTTCCCAACATCTGCTTATGAGAGTTGAAAATAGAATATAGATAAGAGATCACAAGATCTTTCTTCTGGCTCTTGGATCACTAAATTTTGTCAATAAACTTGCAAATTATGACAGGTCAGATTTAAACACATTTGAACAATAATGATGAGCTCCAAATTCTAAGCTCAGTAGGGTCCATGAAGCTCCTTGCTTGAAGTTTTAAATCCTCCCCTGAGTAGTCCTGATATGTTAAAGATTAATCAGAAGCCAGATATGATGAGTCTTGGATGTGGGGCCCTACATTCAGTGTGGAAGTGCAGTCTTGCTGTGGAAGCCTTTCCTATTCGTCTGCTGAATTGTTGACCCATGCATTGATACAAATGGTTTTTTTTTAATACTACAAATAATATTCCTACAAGTTCTATTTTAGACCCACAATGTTTGTTCATTACTTTCAGCTTATTTTATAGAGAGGAGATTATAAATGATATTTTCATTGCACATCTTAACTGGAGGTGAGGTCAGGTGCAGGAGCTGGGGGATGTGGTGGGAAAGAGGAATATCAGAAGGTACACAAAGAAAGACTTTAGCCAAATGATATAACTAAGATATAATTTTAAAAGGTAAACCTCATTATGCAATGTGACCAATTTTGAATAATTATTTTATTTGAGTTCAAGCTTTGAAGTTAATCAGCGTTTTTAGAAATCCTCAGTAGAGTATTTTAAAAATGCATACACAAAAAGAAAAATGAATAGATGAGGAACTATGGATAAATAGGCTTACTTGAAAAAATCTTGGGACATTTGTGATTTTCATAAAAAGTATTTTTGGAACATTGCCTTTTTTCCTGTTAAGAAAAATTATTTACTTTCTTTAGAAGCCTATTTAATCTTTCTTTTTAAAAGAACCAGTGTTCTCTGAATTCTTTCAAATTCAGCAATGCCAGAAAAATAAAAATATAGTTAGTCTGTTCAAGGTTGTTTGAGAGGTAATCATTCTTGAAATTGACACAAAAGATGAAGGCCTTCATTTCTTTACTTCAGGCAAAGTCTATTTTGATTGTATTGTCAAGCTGCGGTAAGAACTAGGAATGTTCTTCAATATACCATTTATGTTAGATCATGGATGTATTTCCCACTTTGTTATGTAAAGTGTACGTTACATTTGCCGTGAGCACAAGTCAATAAATAATATTAACCTTTTAGACTTGAGTAGAACATGTGTAATATAAATTCCCTGAGGACAACAGTGGATGATTTTAAACTCTTTTCTATCATATTTAGTGATGCAGTGCTTGGCAATTGAACTAAACAATCATGAATTCCTTAGAAATTAGTATTGTTCATAAAATTGTGTGTGTGTGTGTGTGTGTGTGTGTGTGTGTGTGCATGGTTTTGAAGGAAGGCAAATATAAAGCTTACCTATTTTAGACTGCAGTTTTCAAATCCAGCTGTAGAGATGCTACTTAAATTGATTTGGAATGGGGCCCCATGAATTTGAATTTTTAAAACTCCTCATGTGACTTTTATGTGTAGCCATGGCTGAGAATCACTGTGCATCCCTTCAAATTATTGCCTTTGAATACTTAAATAAAAGGTAGGGGTGTGTGTGTGTGTGTGTGTGTGTGTGTGTGTGTGTGTGAACAATAACATTAGCATTAAAGGGGAAGGCCTAATTTTTTTATTACAATTCAAAAACTTTCTATTTTAAGTTTCAACATGCTACTATAATGTTTTAACCTTTCTGTCATTTATTTTTTCCATATTTGAGGCATGTTCTTACTTTCTCTTAATAGTTATTAATTCTAGCAACTATATGAACATTTTGAAAGGTAGATAATTTCTGACACCTAATCATGAGAAGTTTGGTATGTTATACTTTTTAGTATTTAGTTGTTCTATCTTCTTTCCTCTGAATATTTAGAGCTGAGATCATTTGATTTTGGAAGATCCACTGTCAGAAATGGATGTGCACTCTTTCTATTTGACTTGCTTTTCCACTTAGGTTGCGTTTGATTTTTGGCTGAGGTATGCCAACTCGATCAATATTACAGCACCAGAACATTATCATGATCATTTATGGGGATACTTTCTTATTACAGCACTGAACATTAAAGGAAATAATATGAATGAAATTTATCATAAAATTTCAAATTTAAAAGGAACTTAAAAGAACATCTAGGACAAATGTCTATGCAATAAAGTCCCTGGTATGAAATCATATTCTGCGAGGTAAACCTCTATATTTGAGGAGTGTTCTAATTGTCAGAAAAGCCTTCCTCTCCTTACACTGATTTTGTTTCCAACACTCGCTATCCTTACTCCCTGGAACCATGTGCTGAAGCACAAAATACATCCTCTCTTGTCTTCAGTTACTGGGAAAAATGTGAATTCTTAAATTTGCCACTTACAGTGAAGCAAACAACTAAAAGACACTTGCAAAGAAGCTTCACAGGTAGGAAAAGAACTCATTTTTTGTGTGTTTGTTTTGTTTTTTCAAATCCCTGATTGCTCATTGACTTGATCAATGACTGGTGCCTTTGAATAGAGGCTTCTAAGAGAACACAGGGTACATTGCTCCAGGATACCTCCACCCCAGTCCCTTTACTTTTACATGCATTTCTAGATACTAAGTTCTTTTCCTAATGCTCTGATCAGTGTTTCCCACAGCTTGTTGCCAGTGGTCTATCTGTAGGGAAGATATAATGCAATGAGTTAGAGACACAGGTGCCTGATTTTTGTCTACCATTTACAATAACTTGTGTTTTGATCTTGCAATATGGGAACCCATGGCCTTTTCACTACATTAACTTTCATAACCTCATATATACACTTGTGTGTGTGCATATGTATAATGTGTGTGTATATATATAAATCAAACATTTATGTAGACCATATTTTCTGGCAAATACTTTAAATATTTTAAATATGTTAACTGGTTGTTATCCCTCCTTTATAGATGAGAACTGTGAAGCACAGAGAATTTAAGTCATTTGACCAGTGTTACTCAGCTAAGTCCAGAGCCCATGTTATTAATTGCATTTCAATTTTTTAATGTAAAATTGAAGCAAATTCATTTTCTAAATTAATTACCCTTCATTTTTTTCTATATTGCTACACATGATGTGGTGACTACCTTTATTTGAATCACTAAAAAAAATTAAAAAATAAAAATATGTGGCTTTTAAATTTATTGAGTTGTTTCTCACTGAATTAGAGCCTGTGATATCAGATTAATGATAAAAATATATTTTTAGATATTATGCATGATAAATAAGCCTATATTGTCAATTTTCTGTGATTATTACTCGTTGCAGAAAACAATCTTCTGTGTCTTCTAGAAGCTTTAAAATTTTAACTTTTAGGGTTAGGTCTATGATACTGATTAGTTTTTGTGTATAGTAGAAGGTAGGTTTTTTTTTTTTTTTTTTTATGTAGCCAACCAGGCCAGGCATGGTGGCTTACGCCTATAATCCCACCATTTTGAGAAGCAGAGATGGGAAAATTCCTTGAGCTTCGGAGTTCAAGACAAGCATTGGCAACATGGCAAAAACCCGTTTCTACACAAAATTTTTAAAAAAGTGGCCAACCAGTTGCAGAATCGTTTATAGCATCTTACTTCATTGGATTGCTTTGATGTCTTTGTCAAAAATGAAATGGTCCTAAAAGTGTGGGTCTGTTTCTGTCTTTAGTATGGTCAGTGAACTATTTATCCTTAAGCCTGTATCACATGTCTAATTTGTTGTACCTTAATGCTGACTTTTGAATTCAGATGCAAAGTCTAACTTTGTTATACCTTTTTAATATTGCTTTGGTGTTTACCCTTTGCATTTCCATAAGAATTTCAGAATCAGTCTGTCAATTTCTATAGAAAACAAGCTAGAATCATTTTTTAGATATTGTGCAGTACTGAATCTTCAAATCCACACACTTGGTATATCTCTCCATTTAGTTATATTTCATTAATTAATGTTTGGTAATTTTCAGTATAGAATTTCATAATGCCCTTTATTAAATTTGTTAAGTACTTTTTTATTAGTACTATTGTAAATTTAATTTTAATTCAGTTTTTAATGGTTTGCTGATAGTATATTGTTATATTGTTAATTTTCTATACTGACTTGTATATTGCCACTTTGCTAAATTCACTTATTATTTCTAGTAATGTTTTGTCATCTCTCCAGATTTTTTTACATATAATATCCTTCTCCATGAATACATGCAGGTTTATTTCTTCCTTTTTTATCTTTCTATTTCTTGCCTTAGGTTTTGGTTAGGACTTCCACTACAATGTTCAATGTATCTCCTTGCCTTAGTCCCAATTTATAAGAAAAGTGTTCAGTATTTTCAACATTAGGTATGAAGTTACCTATAGATTTTTGCATGTAAAAAAAGAAAAGTTTTAATAGTGCTTAAGCCCGTGTTAATTAAGTTTTCTGTAGCCATCACAGAATAGAACATATAATATCAGTGTCTACATCTTTTGTTACTATATACTAAAAAAGGACTAACACCACATATATTCAGTTGTGGAATTTTCATGTTAACTTTTATATCTTAGAGATCTTGTAGTTTATAAACAGTCCATCTAGTTTGTATTTATAAGGAATGCATTTATCTAAAAAATCCTAAACTATGTAGAACATGTTTAAATATACATGTTCTTTAAGAGAAGTGTAATGATAATAATAATACTAGGCATATACTAGTTGTGGTAATAGAAGTTCTAGTAATATTTGTAGTAATTGCTAAAATAACTGTATAATAATATCAGTTAATATCCTAAATATTTTATGTGTAGTAAATTAATCTTTAAAAAAAATTACAAGACTTTTTTTATAATGTCTACAAACTAGGGATAAAGAAAAGGAAGCCCATGTCAGCCATAAAGCTGGTGAATTACAATGCTGGAATCAGAGCCCAGTTAAGCGCACACACAGTTAACCACAGCACTGTACTGTGCAATAAAACTCCCAGCAAGACCTTAACTGATGCATTTATCACATGTGAATTTTACCTGAATGATGTCCTTTGTAACATTAATTATTCATCACTTTGCCAAGGAAAAAGAATACAGGAGGTGATGGGAGAGATATAAAGAAACCATATATATTTCAACTCTTCAAAAAGGTTATAGAAAAGTAAATAGGTTATCCATGTGTATCTGTAAACCAACCTCTTTTTATCCTCCCTATTTTTCTCCCCTTCTCAGACACTAACACCCCCAATTCTACTCTCTACTTCCAGGGGCTCAAAATATTTTTTAAATCCCACATATGAGTGAGAACATGTGGTATTTATCTTCCTGTGTCTGGCTTATTTCAACTAATATAATGTTATTCATATGTAAAGATAACTATAGCATGTGCCATCCTTACTATGTTACTAGAATTTATTTCAGCTGAGTTACTCAAAAAGTTTCTAGGTAATTAAGTAAGTGTATGTACAGTACCTTTGGAAGAGTTCTGTAATCTTTTTGTCAGAGGCACCCAACTCATATCAACAAACAAAATATTCTTTTAAGAAATTAACATATCATGATTGCATAATGTGTGTTAATAAGTATTCTAAATTAATGTATTAATGAATGACTCAATTAAGCTAATGCGTTAATTTTTATATGCATTAACTTCTTAATTTTAACAATGCTATAAGATATATAACATACACTAACATACACTAATATTGTTCCCATTTTAAACATAAGAATTTGAAACAGAGAGATTTTAAATTAGTTCATCGGGGATAGAACTAGTAAGGAGCAGGACTAATAATATGGCTATGAATAAAAATATAGATTATATAAAAGTAATAATATAATAAAATGATTTTGCATAATATGTAATTAAACATGCTAATTTTATATCAACAACTAATACACAAATGATTTCAAAATTAATATGACAATTATTTTTCTAGATAAAGAAAAAATAGTATGCCATATATTGTATCTATCTATATCAGTTTATAATCATTTGAATTATAAAATAATAGAATGTGACTGTCATATCATTTTTAGGGTATCTGAGCAAATTATATTCTTCCCACAATCACACTGGATATACTCTATGAGCACTGTATGTTTTAGTGGCCTTTAACCGCTTCCCACCCTAAATGCACTCTACCAAGAAAATTAGTCTTGTTATGTGAATTGACAGTGGATTAAGTATGTTTTTGTATCTGAAGCAAGCCAAATAAACAGCCAAATGAAACTAGAAGGTAACAACACTAACACAGAAACTGAGACAGGAAAAAACAAAACACCTGTCAATAACTACAATCCGGAAATATTAAGATTAATGGCCTGTGAAAGAATGGTAGAGTAGGCTCGATATGAAAGCACAGTCACGTCGATGAATTAGACAACCCCTCTGAACAGCTGTGCCTCCAGTGAAAAGAAAGCGGGAAATATTTGTCATCAGGCACTAGAAATCTGAAAAGTAACCTACAGGTCCTTCCAGTAGCATGGGGTAATAATACCATTATTATGGTATAATGTTGATGCTTTTGAGCTGCTCTTGCATGGGTCTGGTGTTCTGAATTACACTACAGCTGAGCAGAGGTCAGGCAAGCCCAAAGCTGAGAACATTTAAGGGATTTCATATATTAAGTTACACCAAGACTTGGAAGCCTCAATATATACTTTCTCTGTAGAAATCTATTATTAATTCAAACGTCTAAGGATTCCACAGAGTTTGTTCTGCCAACTCAAATTCACAATTTATTTAATAAATTTTAATATTTATTAATTTTTAATAAATTAAATTATAAATTATTTATAATTTATATTATAAATAATTTATAAATAAATATAAATTAAATAAATATAAATAAAGGGGCACACTAATACAATACAAATAAACTAATAAACAAAATGAAGCAAGCTAACAGGAGCAAGAGTGAACAATGCCAACAGCAAGAACAAGACAAGATTTGTATTTTAAATACTTAAAATTCTAAAATTGTTAGAGACAAATTATTAGTAACAGACATCAACTGTATAATATATATTAATGTATGAAACATTTAAACATTTAAAAAGATATTGAAATATTCAAGCATTACCAAACATAATTTCAGAAAAAATTACTCAGCTTTTAAAAGAGCCAAATAGCATTTAATTAAAATATTATTTAATTAAAAATTAAGTCAATAGATTAAACAGCAGATTAGATGAACTTCAATCAAGATAATGAACTATAACTTATATATATGTGAGTGTACATGTATATGTATTATGTACGTAACATAGAATAATAAGCTATAATATATGTAAATATCATGTTACATATGTGTGAAATATATGCAAATATTATATATATCATATATTTATGTACATGTATACACATACGTATTTCTGAAAAATAACCCAAAAAGGTAGAATATATAGACTATAGAGTAGAATGAGAAAGTCAAAAGTTTAATCTGAAATATAGAGAGTAATCAGAAGTAATAACACAGAGAAAATATTAGAAGAGAATTTAGTTGAGAATTTTAGTTGAGAACTTTCCAGAAGTGATGAAATACATGATTCCACAAGTACAGGAAACACAGTGTATACCAAGTAAGATAAATAAGAAGAAACCCAAGTCTAGACACGTTACAGTAAAATGAGAGATTACCAAAGTAAAGTCCATCCAGACAAAAAAGCCATATTACCTACCAAAAATATTGTACCATTATACCAACAAAAAGCATCTCAGCAAGATTAATGTGATTCAGAAAACGGTGGAAATGTACACTTAAAATATTGAAAGAAAATTTTTAAAATTCAAAAGCCAGTATTTCAGAAGAAAATACCTTCTAAGTCCGTTTGCTACATAAACATCCTTGAAAAGAGTGCACGGAACAAAAGCTGTCAGTGCCTCTGATTGCATGATGTGCAAAAATGTGAGTGAACCCAGGAGATCTGCCTCCAAACAGTATCTGCCCTTTGTTTCCATATCTTGGCTTCTAGAGAATGTTCCTCTACGTAGGCCACTCCATCAACAGGTGTTTGAACCAAATCTGTTCAATTTATCTCATGTAGCTTTTAATTAAGGATATCATCAAGGGAACTCTAAGCAGGAGGATGATAAAAACCTGCAAGCAAAATTTATCTCAGCAGTGTCTCCGACCCCCCACTCCAGAGTCTCAGAACCAACCTCCTGGACACGTCGCATAAATCATCCAGATCTACCTTATACATCCAACGTGGCTTTTGCCTTATGTGTTTGTCTTGGGCTTTCTACTTGGCCTGTGGAATTAAGTCAGGTGCAGCAGGATACACTAGTGATTGCATAGATGTCACTACTTGACCTACAGAGAGGCATCCTGGACAATTGTGTCATCCAAAATATCTGGTCAGTGGACTGTGACTGACCTGAATGCCTTTCAGAAACAATGTCCTGTCATTGATCACTTCACTTCGCAAAATGTGTTAGTGAAACATTTATTATCAACTTTTCTAATTGCATACCTCCTGTTACGAAAAGAACTTCCTGCAAGGTATCTATAAATGATGAGTCTGTTGTCCCATTGATGTGACTTTGCAGGTGGGACCTATATCGTTCAGGGGACATAGACTGACAGTGCATCAAATATGGCTCTCCAGCCTGCTGTCAGATCTCAGGTTTCCCAATTCAGTTAGAATAACAGACTCTACTCCTTGTTTTTGGAGTGATAGCTGAGGGAAGTGTGCCTAATTTGTCTTGGTTTTTCTAGCAACCAGACTGGTAGCATTCATTCACCCCACAGAATGAGAGGGGAGGTGGGAAAGACGTCTGATGGTGTTGACAGGTGATTTGCATGGGAGGTTCAGGAGCTGGTGCCATCTCCTGTTTCTAGACTTCTCTGGTAAGGTTAAGTGAAATGGAAAAAAGGAATGTCTGGGGAAGTCAGACACAGCACGCAGTTAACTTTAAGACACTTGCAACACTTTGAGAGACATACAAGGACATTTCCTTGGGGAGGAAAGATGTCAGGGTGGCATGGAAAAACAAAAGCTCATGAATGTATCTTGCCCCTCTATTTATTTCAGAGTTGAAGGTGTTCCCTCTCCAGGAATACCTGTTGTTGTTCCCCTTCTATTACCACAAGATTAGTGGGTCCCATTACGATCACTAAAATTTTTCTTTCTTTCCATCAACTCCTAAACTTTACACAAGAACATTTTATCCATAAGAGTATATTAGGAGGGACAAGGGAAGTTTTATAAAGAGAGACCCATTATGTTTTCGACTATGGCCTGCATATACTACTATCAGTGGATTCAAAGAGCAGCGTGATCCACAATTGAGTTTGAATCCCTAAGGCCTCCTTTGGACAGGCTGCCAACTGGAGGGCATAGCGACCAGGGCAGCCTGCAGTTGCTGGCAGGGAAAGTAAAGAGAAATTCTCAATGTTTAAAATAGGTATATATAGCCTCCTTGCATCTTATTCGCTACCTAAGAGCCAGCTGAGAGGGTATGCTCCTTTTCTGGGGACAGCAAAATTCAGGGACCAAATTGCCTTACTAAGATATGTGAACCATGTGGAGGTGAGGGAGGCAGAGACATAAATCTTTTTGAGTTTATTTTTTAAGAGCCAATCCCAATGCCCAACAATATCAGATTCTTGTGGGTGGTCGGGAGCATGAAAAGTGCTTAACTACCTTGCCGGCCAACACATTACTGAGTAGATTAGGTGATAAAAAGTGCACTGTTGTCAGAGTGCAAATAGCCCAAAGAGCTAAACATATGACACAGATTAGTTTTAAACGGTACAGTGATGCTGTCAGAGACAGCTGGTAAAACTGGAACAGTGGCAGCATTACCAGAAAAAGTCTCAATAGAGGTTTGTAGCTCAAGGTGCTCATGAGGGTTGTGGAGTCCCACAGGTAGGAGATGTGACACAACTTGCTGAGTGGCTTCCAAATCAGTCTGTTGGTTTAGTTGAGTTGTAAAGGACCAAGGAGAATGCCTAAGTGGGGAATATACTCTCTCCAATACCCAAAGAATGCAATAAGATTTTGGGCCTACATTTTGGTGGTAAGAATCAAAGAGATAGCAGTTTTTCTTCACTGTTAGAGAGATAAGCATTGTAAATCCACCTGCATAGCTCTAAGAAATATAGTAAACAGGGGCTGGGCACAGTGGCTCATGCCTGTAATCCCAGCATCTTGGGAGGCTGAGGCAGGCGGGTCATGAGGTTAGGAGTTCGAGACTAGCCTGGCCAATATGGTGAAACCCCATCTGTACTAAAAATACAAAAATTAGACGGGCATGGTGGCGTGTGCCTGTAATCCCAGCTATTCAGGAGGCTGAGGGAGGCTGAGGCAGGAGAATCGCTTTAACCTGGGAGGCAGAGGTTGCAGTAAGCTGAGATCATGCCACTGCACTCTAGCCTGGGTGGCAGAGCAAGACTCTGTCTCAAAAAAAAAAAAAAAAGAAAGAAAGAAATACACTGAACAGATGCCAAACTTTGTTAGAGTTTATCAGCCATCTCTTCTGACAGAGGTGTAATAATACTGTAGTCAGAGTCATGGAGATAGAGGCTTTGGACTTGCCAAACAACAGGGTATCATCTGCATAGGAAAAGCTTTAGGCATTTAAGGTTTGTTAAAGTTATCCAGAGAATTACAACCCATAGGGTACATAGATAGATAGATAGATAGATAGATAGATAGATAGATAGATAGATAGATAGATAGATATGAGGAGATTTATTATAGGAATTGAGTCACGTGGTAATGGAGGCTAACAAGTACCAAGATCTGTTGTCCACAAGCAGGAAAGTCAGGAAAGATGATGATATAATTCAGTCCGTGGCCCAAGGTGTGAGAGTCAAGGGCCAGATGGTTAAGTCCCAGATGTGAGTCCAAAACCCTGAGTGGAATGAGTGCTGATGTCAGAGGGCAGAAGATAGATGTCTCAAGCAGAGAGAGGCAATTTGCACTGCCTAGGCCTTTTTTATTCTATCCAGACCCTCAACCAATAGGATGATGCCCACCCACATTGGTGAGAGGGTCTTCTGTACTCAGTCCACCAATTCAAATGCTCATCCCTTCTGGAAACATCCTCATAGTCATGCCCAGAAATAATGTTTGACCATCTATATGGTATCCCTTAGCCCATTCAGATTTACACATGAAATTAACCATTGTATGAAGTTACACACACCTATTTTTGGCAAACGATAAGAGGTTTCCATCTCCCACAAGAAAACTTCTTTACACATGAATCTTGGCTCACTCATGGTAAGGGAGAATCTCTTCTACCATTTACCAGATAAAAAAGTACAAGTATATAGCACATCACTACCTAATGTGAATTCAGATGTGGAAGTAAGAATAGCATGCATTGAATTGGCCCCAAAAGCCTCACAGGAAAGGTCACGTTGGCTTACCTTCCTTATTACCTTTTATAGTGTAAACCCTGCCCAGATATTATCAGTTGAATCCAGTGCCACCTTCTCCAACAGAACCAGACATAACAGTGACTTGGGTTGGGTGCCTGCATCCAACACAGTCTTAAAAGCTTGTATCACCCCCTATCGCAAAGTTCTTCAGTATAGGTGAATGAGTGTACTGGGCCTTCTGTCTCACTTGGAGAGAGAGAAACCTTGAGCCCATTGTCAAGATAACAACCCTTCCTCCCCCTGCCCAGAGGTTAGTGAGCAATAACCAACCAAAGCACCATTGGAACAGTTTGAGCCAAACCTACTGTCCAGACATGAAAAATATTTTTTTTTCTTTTTTAGGGAGAGGGTCTTTCTCTGTCACACAGCTAGAATGCAGTGATACAATCACAGGCCACTGCAGCCTGGAATTCCGGGGCTCAGTGATCCTCCTGCCTCAGCTTCCTGAGTAGCTGGGACTACAGGTGCACAGTACCAGCCCAGCCACTTTTTTTTTTATTTTTATTTTTGTGTAGAGATGGGATCTCACTATGTTTCCCAAACTGGTCTCAAACTCCTGGCCTCAAAGTGCTCCTCCTGCCTTGGGTTCCCAAAATGCTGGGATTACAGGCATAAGCCATGACACCCAGACTAGGCTTGAAACTTTTAATAACAGAGAATATGGTTGAGCCTTTCACTACCCTTGTTCATGATTTGGGTGATATAATTCACTACTAGGTCTTCTAATATGGTCTGTGAGACTTGTGTTCTTTCACTTACAGAAAGCCACTTCTCAGCCAGCATCTCATCATCGTTGCCAAAAACCACTAGAACTGTGAAGGGTCTGAAAATTTTATCCCATTTGCAAGATGCTGCAATTTCTTGGAGGTTGGCAGAAGACATGATACCCTGGGCCAGAGACAAAGAATATTGTACTTAGTGCACGGGCAGCATAATCTTTGATGTTCGTGTCAGTTCTCCTTTGCTCACAAGTCCCGCAGGGGTAATGCACAGTGGCATAGTTTGATGTTCTTCACACATTGATTTTGTGTTGCAGCTAAGGAAATCCCAATATTTTCTAAAAGACTGCAAACAATCCCACCCAACCTTTGCTCATGCAGAGATATTATCTTTTTTTACTGGACAGGAAAAAAACCCTCCTCTCTCTTCTAGAAGGAGACACTACCTCTGTCTTGCAACTATATTTCCTAAACAAACAAAATTGAATAGATAATACAGAACAAAAGGCTGCCAGTGTCTCTGCTCCCACAAGGCACAGCAATACATCGGGTACTTGTCCCCCAACACTACACAATAATAGGGCAATTCTATTAATATTAGACAAACTAGATTTTCACATAAAAGCCATAGAAAATGGCGGAGAGAATTACTACATAATGATTAATATGTTAATTCTCCTGGAAAATCTGATACAATAGTTCCAATCATGGAAGTATATAATAAAATAGTCTCGAGATATATAAAGCAATTTTTACCAGGACAAACTGTCATATCTCAACGGCACATAGTGAGATTTTAGTACTCTTAGTAATTGATGGAGCTATGGGGGAAAAAAAAGTTAATCTTTTCCCCTGCCCTCCCTGGCTCAAAGTAAATCAGAGGGGCCCCCCAGTTGGTGAAGGGGGGAAGGGTTGAGCTCTCTAATATAGTCCTGATGGTAAACCCACCTGTATTTAAGAACATGGGCCATGTAGTTGGAAAAGTTCCTAGAATTTTTATACTACAGAGGAAGGCAGCAAGAATGTAAGACTGATTCTATTGCACATTTAAGAAAATTGGTTGAACATATAACTAAATGTAAGTTTCTCATTCATGGAGAAAGTATTTACAAACATGGAAAAAGGCAATCGGCAAAGAATGTTGACACATTGGATTGGCATTGAGGAAGGCAGTCTCATGTGCAGTCTTCTGACCCCCACTCATCCACATAAAGATGGGCCATGAGCCTGGAACACATCCTTACCGAGAGATAGGGAGGCCACACAGCCTGTGCTTGGCTTAGCACCTTGTGTGGGAGTATCTCTTCCTGTTTCAAATGTAATGAGTGTTCCTTTGTTCTGCTTAAGCATGCACCTCGGTGGCCCCCAGGCAGGCCCAAAGCTTTCTGGATTTCAGATTACATGTAAGAGAGGATGGGTCCTTCTACTGCAGCAGGAAACAGGTGCACATCAGTTGCCTTGTGTCAGCTGCTGGAGGGTCCATTAGCCATGGGTGGGGGCAGGGCACAAACACACTGAAGCCGATCTTGCTCTGTCTCTTCTTGATGTGAGTAAAGCATTGTTTCTTCCAGGGCTGCCTTGTGAAAATTTCCCTTGGTGACTCCCATATTAAGAAGCAATAGACAGAAGTGTGTAGGGTTCTCCCCTGAGATTGATAACCCACTCTCTGTTTCACTTTATCCTCATGTTTCTTCCTTTTTATACTCACTTTCCTATAGAAACTTACTCTTAATAATGTTCTAACTGCTCTGATTAACAGTTCCTTCCTCTTCGCTATGCCACCATTGCCAGGACTTCTTCCCAAATGTGTGATCTGGGCCCTGGTGTCAGATGTACACATTTTCTTGAAGTGAGTCAACAGAGGGCATTTTAGGGCTCAGGAAATCATGGCTTTTTAGGTTAATCCCTCAGATTTACTCAAGGGGAGACTTTACACAGAGGAAACACTATGTTTTATGTGTTTGTATAATTGTGCCAAAGCTAAATTCACCAGCTCTTGCCCATCTTTCTCATTTAGAAATCCCAAAATATACTGTTGCTACCAGTGCATAAAACAGTTTGGTGACCATTGATCATTTCACATGTATCTTGGTTATAAAAATAGTACATATTTTAAAATAAGCCCTTGGTATTTCTTAAGCATAATAAACAAGGAATTTCTTCACATTTTATATATTTTAAAGCAGTTAATGTAACAATTTAGTTATGTAAACCACATAGACATTGAAATGTATGTACAAGCTATCACACTTCAGTATTTTTATGTTTGGGTAACCATTGAAATCATCTACTACTTTGAAGTATTCAAAGTCTTTTCTTTGTTAGCTAAACTTAACCTTCTGCCCTGAATCTTTCCGCTACTTGCATTCTTTTTTTACAATGCATCCCTTCTTGCTTACTCCCATTCTTTTAAAAAATTGACTCTCATTTATATCTGTATAGTTAATTTCTTCTGAAATGCTATACTCATGACCTTCTATTCTCATCTTATTTTTTATTATTTTTAACAACACTTGTATCTCTTTGAAAAATCCTCTTAGTTGTTATTTGGCAAATCTCGTATTATATACTAAGGTAAATAATAAAAAATGTAAGTTAAGAGTAAGTAAAAATGATTTTATTAATCATATGTATCATACCAATAATTAAACAACCTATTTTTATAGGTTTTATTTTACTTGAAGCTATTTTAATTGAAAGCAACATTAATCTGGAATAATTCAAACAAGAATTTTGATTTGAATGACAAAGTTTAATTAAACAAATAAAATGAAATTATTATAAGATAAACCTACTAGCCTTTTGATCTTTCCATTTTTAAAATTTATTACATTTTGAAGTTTAGGATCATCCATGTGTCCAGTTGTTTTCTTTTTGGCATTTTCTGATATTCCACTGCAGGCTATTGTGAGCTTTGTGTCAAATGAGAAATTTTTGCAGAGTATTTTGAGGTGTGTTTAGTTTTGGGAGAAAAATAAAATATTCGTATTAATAATTCCTGTTTGGAAAATTAGAGATATACTGGTCCAGAGGATATAGTACATCTGAGAGAATGGGTTTAGTAAGGTAAGGGTTAGGTATGGTTTTGTTACTTTTTTTCCCGGAAGTTCTCCTTGGTCAGTTAATCTGGTTACCAACTGGAGCAGTATTTTAACTTGTTCGTGACTACATGACAAGGATTGCACACTTACTAACCTGGGTTGTCGTGTCCTTACTTCCTCATCTCAGCTTAGTTAGCTTAAATTCAACTAGTTCTTTACAATTGCCAGTTTCTAGATGCCATTTTGAATGCCTAAAGTTTGAAGTATAAGGTAAAATGAAAAATTAACTTGTATATCTGTGAGCCTTAGAGACTGCTTGAATTAAGAACTTTAATATTCTCAGGACTCTGTGGGTCCATTTCTCATTTTCAGTTTGCCTAGGAGCACCTATGCTCACATCTCTAGTGTTACCCTTGCAAAGGGCTTGCCTCTCTTCCCTCTGACTGAATTAAGAAAGCAGGAACATGACTCTCACCTGCCCTATGGCACAAGATTTTTTTTCCCTGTGGTGGGGCCAGTATGATATATTATTAATATAACATTTTGTGATATAAAAAGAAGTTTTTCGAAGTCAAGTTTCTGGTGAGAAAAGGAAATGCTCCTCCAATGAAGCAGGGTGTTATTCCGTGATGAAATGTAGAGTGTTCCACAAAGAGAAAAATGGTGTAGTGTCCACTGTGGTGCAGAGGGTTTTTAATGTTGTTACTATGTTTAACTTCCTGTGTGTGTATGTATGCTGCAATTAAGACATTTTGTGCAAATGATATATCCTGATTGAATGAACAAATGGATTTAAGGCTGGAGTCCTCATTTCCTCCTGTGGTTATGTTTGAATGGAGAACACCATTCAATAGGGATCAGAAGAACTTTAGTGAACGGTGTTTTCTTGGGAAAGGGTTAGCTACAGCTGAATATGAGGAATGCTGTTTATGAGAGTTCAAAGCATGTCTTTGATATTGGCTATTTAGAGCATTAAAAATATAATACATTAGTCAGTCCAAGATAGATTAAAATGGGGAATAAAAAAGTGACTCATGACATTCCATATTTTCTGATTTGTTTTTCACTTGAATGAAAATTTGTATTGCTACCATAAGAAAATAACATTGCTGCTATTTCTATTGCTGATTACATACTTGTTCTACATTAGAACTATAAAATAGTGCTTGAATCCCATTTCAGCCCTATATTTTTTTATCAGTTGCATAAGCTCTCTAAACTTCACTTGAAAAATTTATTGTAAAAATATGTCTTGTTTTTATGATCAAAAGAATAATACATCTAAACTGCTTAACACAGTGTTTGACATATAGTAGTGCCTCAGTGAAAGTAGGCTATTGTCAACTGTATCTTTTCTCGCTTTAGCTGATTTGTATTTTCTGGTTTCTCTAGATAATTAAGTTGGTTTGTAGAATTGTTATTGACAGTTGGTTTGTAGAATTGTTATTTTATATGGATTACTTTAGTGAATGCCCAAGAAAAAATTCCTAAGGGAAATATGGAAGGGATCTTGAGAATTGAATTAACCCTTTCATTGCCTTACAGTAGACTAATGCCTAATCAAGGCTTCTCAGTCTAGGCACTGTTGACATTTGGGGCCAGATAAATCTTTGTTCTGGCAGGGGGGTTGTCCTTTGCATTGTAAGATGTTTAGCAGCATTCCTGGCTTCTAACTAGTAGATGCCCAAACAATCACTCTCCCTTCTGCCTCCAGTTGTGACAAACAAAATTGTCTCAAATGTCAATTTTGACATTTGAGGGGGGAGTGAAATTATCCCCAGCTGAAAACCTCTGCTTTAAGCCATGTAGCAGGGCCATGATGATTTCATCAGTTTGAAAGCTGGTAACAACAGCCTGTCGCAGTGTTTGCTGACCCTGAAGGTTGGGCTCTTTTTCATATGCCGCATTTTTTTCCAATAATATGATCATATTTTCTTCAATCCTCTTATTAAACAAATGACTGTAAAATAACTTTCCGTGACTAGTGTCAAAATCATTCTGCAGGCTTGCTTTTCACAAGAACTCGTAACTTAAGTGATCTCAATACTCGGGGTCTTAGATAATCAGGAAAGCATTAATCATGTCTTTCTCTACATTATTTGCATTTTTTGGTAATTATAGACTAATGAGCATGCCCTTTATGTGATATTTTAGTTCACATATACCTTTATAAATATTTCAGCTTCGTGGTAATTAAGTAAATTGAACATTATTAATTAGAAATGCAATCAGTGGGTATAGCTAAAAAATATTTTAAAGTAGCATTTTTTAATGTCCTAATATTCTTTGAGTAAAATTCTCCATGGAATTTTTTTCCAATTTTAATTCATAAGTAAATAAAACTAAGTAGCTTTCTGATAAAAAGTAGCTAAAATCATATGATTATATACAAAGGGCATATTTGCTATACATCTGATTCTGTTATTCTTTATAGAAATGCATAGAAAAAAAGGTGTTGAGTAGAATCATTCTGAAATCATTTCACATATAAAGTAACTTTTGCAAAGCTATAATTTTATCATTTCATGAAAATCATAAAGACAGCTTTGAAATTTTAAATTGTAATTATGCCAAAGAAAGCTACAAGCTGAAACATATTTTGATGAAGAATTAACCAAATTTTTATAAAGATTATGTAATTCTCTTGTAAGTTATTCTCCTAGTGCCTAATGATATAAAAAATGAATCATCAACTTTTGGGCAGAAAATATGATTCCTGTTATTAATAAACTAATAGTTGTTGTATGTTTGTTGTTCATTCAAGTATTAGCCAGGCTTTTATGTTGTTTATATTTTAAAAATCACTACTAAATAAACTACATTTAAAGCATAAATGAGTGTGGTATAACACATCTATGAAGGGAGATAAACATATATTCAAATGGTAAAATGTAATATTAGCTATAATTAATATTGACTTTTGGCTTTGTCTGCTCCTATACCACTCACAGTTGCTCCTGAACTTTCCTTAAATTATGTCATGAATCAGAATTATTATATGAGAAAGTTCAGGGTTCTGAAATATTAAGTTAACAGAAGATACAGTGCAGAATATTAAATTTGAAGTTATAATTCATTTGGCTTTCATTAAAACATTCATAATTGCTTAACTATTTATGTCTACCTTCGAATAGATTTTGGACTTTTAAATTACATTTAAAAATGCACTGTGATTTTACTGACAAAATCTTTTTTTTCAATTTTTGAAGCATTGAATAATGAAAAATAACAATACCATTGAAAGTGTTCTCTTGAAAGGATGAATATGCTACTATAAACATGTTCAAAGTCCTTAATAATTTTTAATCATTTGTTGCAGGGCTCGTTAAGAATTTCAACTGTCCATTAAGGAGTCACTTGACAAGAAAAAATAAAAATATTGTAGAGACATGAGTAATCTGATTAGCTATTGGGTGCATTCGGTGCTTCTTGATATCAGCTAAAGCTGAATTAAATTAGTCACTGGTGCATTTGTCGATTGGAGCCAGAAAGTCTACCCTATTTAATTTTAAAATCATTTTCTCTGAGTAAATTATGGCAGTAGCCACCAAAGAAGTCATATTACTTCAGAATTAGCAAGATCTATTTCTTTTAGAGTAGGAAGATAATTATTGACTCTTAAAAGATGGAGCACACATAGGCTCAAAATAAAGGGATGGATGGAGGAAGATTTACCAAGCAAATGGAGAGCAAAAAAAGAAGGGGTTGCAATCCTAATCTCTGATAAAACAGACTTTAAATCAACAAAGATCAAAAATGACAAAGAAGGGCATTACATGGTGGTAAAGGGATCAATGCAACAAGAAGAGCTACTATCCTAAATATATGAGTACCCAATACAGGAGTACCCCGATTCATAAAACAAGTTCTTAGAGACCTGCAAAGAGACTTAGACTCCCACACAATAATAATGGGAGACTTTAACACCTCATTGTCAATCTTAGACAGATCAACGAGACAGAAAATTAACAAGGATATTCAGGACTTGAACTCAGCTCTGGACCAAGCGGACCTAATAGACATCTGTAGAACTCTCCACCCCAAATCAACAGAATATAAATTCTTAGCAACACATCACACTTTTTCTAAAATTGACCACATAACTGGGAGTATAATTTTTAATCATGTCAAATATACAGTTATAAAATATTATTCTAGAAATAAATGAAAAATACTTAGGCTTAAAATTCTACCAGGAGTAATGTTTACAAAGAAAATCAAGCCAGATATAAGTAAAACTAAACTAAGAAGTTAGCCAACAAATGAAAATATCATGTGTCATAGTATTTTTGATTGTTTAAGAGTATTCAGCTTTTACTAGCATTTACCGAGAGCCTGGTTCATGATAGCTACTGCGTGGGGAAAAACTGGCTGTTTGGTTCTTAAAACTCTGGAAATTAGGTATCATTATCCCAGATTTTTTAATGGGAAAATTGAGGCTGAGAGCATTTGAGCAACTAGCCCTAAATGTTACTTTTAGGAGATGGTACTCAGAAGATTTAGATTCAGGCATTCCTCTCTTCTAGACCACTTATTTATCTTTTTCCATTACCTGTGTGGTGGAATCAGAAATGCACTGTCATCACCATCTTAAGTGCTTTCAATCCTGTGGTCATACAAGCACCGAAGAGAGGCATGCTATACTGTTTTTTGTAAAACAAGTGAAATAAACTCTGGGGCTTGTAGAAACGTAAGATATGTGACAATATCTTATTACAAATGCACATTTATTCCAATGTAAGACCTATGGGAAGTTCAGTCTAAAAACCATTTGCACACGAGGATTAGAGAGACACTAAGCACATCATCACACCAAAAATATATGTGAAATATATATACATACAGAGTATATTATATAAAGGCTACATAAATATTTGGTTTATTTTGTATGTAAATATATATGTTTGTTCTCTATGTGTATGAATGTGTGTTTGAGCTATGGTGCTATGTTTGTGGAAAATCACAAGTAACTATAGAACTATTTAATGAACACATCAATTTACATATATATATTTTACAATTCTTTGCCTGGGGGATACAAGATGGGCCATTTGATGCTGTGCAAGTCACTGGCTAAAGACTGATGCATAGAGTCTCTGTAGCCAAAACTTAGAGTCCAATAAGTAAGAGAAGACATGCTTACTTAAGTAACCAAAAACCGAGATTATATTTGAGAAGCTCAAGAGATGTACTGTCAAACTCTATGTCATGCGTCTCTCCATTTGATTCTAAAATGTTCTACTCATGTCATATAATAGATCTGACAAACTAAGAATGACTTTTAAACCTATTATATTTCTCAGTGACTGTTCACCAAAATGATACCCAAAGCAACTGCATTTCTGCCTCTTTTACGAAGTAGTAATACTCTACATAAGTGTGTAATATTGCACTTTAGTATTGGAGACGTATTACCTGGTGGAAAAATCTCCAAATTATATGCATCAAAAATTACCTTTCTTTCTAAAAATTTCTTGAGTTTTACTGATATAACTAAAGCATTTGAATTACTTTTTTTTTCTCTTTTTATACAGTGCAAACTAGAATATCAGGCATGTGTCTTAGGAAAACAGATCTCAGTCAAATGTGAAGGACATTGCCCATGTCCTTCAGATAAGCCCACCAGTACAAGCAGAAATGTTAAGAGAGGTAAGTGACAAAAATATATTTATAATTTTACATTCATCACTCTCTACTAAAATGTTTTGCAATAGATGTTGTCATTAAATACACAATGAAGTTTGTTTTTATACAAATACCCAATATCATTTATATTTTTATTGAAGATATTTTCCTGTTAGCCTCAACTATTATAGCAAGAAATGATTTTCTTTAGATTTCTATTTATTTTGATAGTAATAACTAGATACTTCTTTCCTATGTGCTCATCATATATAAGAAATCTAAACCAATGCATTCTATAAACAGTTGTGTCTAAAACATGTGTTTTATATCATTTTTTTCTTTTAGAGCAGAAAACTGATTATTGATAAAGTAGTAAGTAATTAAGTGGTTTGATCAGATCTGCAACTGCTCAGTCAATTAATACTAACCATTTTAAATAAAGATGTCTACCCCATGTATACAGCTGGTGTTTCATAATTTCCTGTGTAATAATTTTATAAGTTAAACTTTTTTTTGACCAGATGAAGTCTTTAATTCATTGTTTTTATTGGTTTACTATCTAATAAAAATAAAATGCATTCAACTAGATATGTACTATAATATATAACTTGACTTAAGATTATTTATTATAGTTTACATGGTATCATTATTATATTTGAAATATTGTTTATGCCTTTTTAAAAAGTCTCCATGGCTGCTAGCTCCAGCCCTCAGCACCTCTAGATAAAGAAGGAAGTGTGGAGAATAGATGCTTAAGTCAAAAAATATTTTACAGCATTAGAGCACTGTCATCAACAGTTATATAATTTATTACTATTGAACTCTTCTAATCTAATAATTATTATTGGATGCCCTTATTAGTGTGGATAAGTAATTTTTGCCCTTTTTCCTAAAAAATGTGAAGAATGGATATGCAAATAGGAAAAACGTATTGAGTATGAAATTTCTTTAATATAAACTTATGTATTTCATTGAGCATGATATACTTGTTATTCCATATTAAAGTACCACATAAATATTTTATTACAGATATAACTTCCAAACTTCAGTTATGCCACTTATATTGGTATTAACTCTTTAAGAAATATTTAAGATGAAAAAACAAAATAAAACTAAATGTTATAGCATTACCTTTAAGAGAGACTATTTTTATTATTCAAAAATAAATTAGCCGATTTGAAAATTAATGGTAAATTAGTGCTCAATCATTAGATCCTGTGAAGAATGACACCAGTTGGTAGAAGAGAGATGCCACGCTGCCTTTCAGGAGCTCTCTTCTTTTTTTTTTTTTTTCCATAAGTTATTGGGGCACAGGTGGTATTTGGCTGCATGAGTAAGTTCTTTAGTGGTGATTTGTAAGATCCTGGCCCACCCATCACCCGAGCAGTATAAACTGCAACATATATGTTGCCCAGGAGCCCTGTTCTTTAAGCCTCATCCTTGCTGACATGCCCCAGTCTAAGTTTAACTACCCAGTGTGGTTCCTTCTGTAGTCCTCAGCCCTCATCTCCTCCAATCCACTCTCTTCAACACAGCCCAAATAAGGACTTTCAGTACCACCTTGAATATACTAATTAGCCCCCAGATAATCAAAAAGCTACTTGTGGTTTCCTTTTAACTGAAATTCTTTGATGTTTGTGCCTTCCTCATTCCCACTTCTGATGGAGTACATTTTCACAATTAAATTGAAGACAAAACTGACCACATTTATCTTTGGAAATCACTTCAGGTGGGAAACAAATCCTACCAGGTTCACTATCCATGAGCCAGTTTTTTCACTGAAGGCTATTAAGAACAACATTTGAGATGTGGTCATAGTAAGTGTATATCTCTAATGTATCACAGACTTTGAAAAAGACTTTACTTCAATGAGATTTCCCGCTTTTAAACTTTGTTTTGAATGAAAAGGTATTGCTGATGTAGTATTAATTTATGATAACCAATCACAAGCTGCAAAAGGAACTCTATGTGCATTAAAGATGGAAGGTAGCACATCTGAGAAGAGGATCTCTTGTGAATAAACAATAATTATTTTTCATATTGTCAAATTTTCTGTATAGTGTGTATATTAATATATCAAGAAAGAAACTTTTAAAAGTCATATCATCAAGGGATAAAGATCATTTGTGTTCAATTGTGCGTAGAAAGAGAGGCAAGAAGAATTTAAACTAATCCTCCTCTGACAAATTGTCAGGGCAACGCAAGTACAGGATTTTGCTACCTGCTGTGGAAAAGCAGTACAGTCAATTTTGAGTGTCATTTCTACACAGTGCCAAAGGCTGAGAGACAGGGGAAATATAAAACTGAGTTTAGTATCATTTCTAATCTTTCAACTGTCATTTACATTAGAAGCATGCCTTAGGTAGACTGTGCAGTGCAGGAAATTCTATTTAATATCTTCTCTGTTCTAGAAAAAGTG
Organism: Homo sapiens; assembly: GCF_000001405.40. NCBI lineage: Eukaryota > Metazoa > Chordata > Mammalia > Primates > Hominidae > Homo > Homo sapiens. The sequence continues at coordinate 166,886,734 of NC_000004.12, read as the reverse complement.
AGGAATAAACTACCAACAATGAGATATTTCTTAAATCTTTCTGACTTCCTATATTTAAGGTCAAATTAGCACCATAGTATGTTTTCCTATGTTAAGATCAGAATCTTTAAATCTACTTGAAATGCATTAAAACTAATAAATATAGATTTTCTTCATAAAGTATGAATAAATAAAGTTTTTCTCTATTTCTCTAATGTACTTATTAAGAAATGTGCATAAATTGGTCCAAATACATACATTCAAGTATTTTAAATAAATAAAAACAGATAAATTCCATGTTTTAAACCCTAGATTCTGACTTTACATAAGTAGATAAGCATACACCCTTCAGTTAGTAACTTAGCTATACAGTTTTCTCATTTTCTAACTCATAAATTTAGTATTACACAGGCCAGTGTTTTGCAGTCCCTTTAATGGATTCCCTCCTTTTCTTCCATCTTTTTTTGTTAACGTACTGTTCAATTGCAAATAAAAAAGTATTATTTGTAAAGTAGATCAAATTCATTCAAAGGATATTGACATTTCAGCTGATTTTTAGAGGCCTCTAATATTTTTATGGCCAGGAAAATGTGAGATTCATAGTTGTGAGCATGGTCTATGAATAGACCATTTTCTACAGATTTTATGTATGTGTATAAAATGCAATCCTAAGAATTAGAAAGGACTTGCAAAACAAAAGTTCATTGAAAAAGAACATTGAAAAATATTGTAGAAAGCATTTATTTTTAAGTAGGATTTTTCTACCCTAGACAAATCTTAAATTGTCTACACAACAATGGTACATAAGCACAGTAAACTTTAGACATATGACACATCTAAAGTGCTCCATTGGTTTACTCATTTCACTGGTTAGAGTCAAAAGATCATTTTAATTAACATTTTCTGTTTGTTTCAAATCTGGGTATTCCAAAGTTCAAACTACTTTTCTTATGATTATGAGTTTTATGGTTTTATATATCTAACCTCTTAAAATTTAATTCATTTCAAATTATATCATTTTGAATATTTTAACCCCAACATGCATTTAAACACATACTCTTTATGCACCTTGTAGTTTGAATTGTTGAGTTTCAGTGAAGCCTGAATAGAGAAGGAAAATAACCTATTTTAAAAAGTAACAGGTGAAGCTGGGTAAAAAAGGAGGAAGTAGAAAAGGAACGTGGAATCCTAAAGGCCTTGGGCACCTTCAAGAAAGCCATCCCTTGCTTCTAGGATACAGAGTACTTTCAAGGAGGATACAGTGCAAATCGGTCATTGCCAGACATGAAGCTTTGGAATTAATTTATCTGAGTCAAACATATGAAAATGTTTATGTTCTTGAGCAAAGAGTTAACATTTCCAAAACTGTTTTTCTAAGTTTTACTTGAAAAGAGTTAACAGTTTCTAGTAAATCTTAGAGAAATTTATTATGTTACTGAGACAATTTTTTTGTTTGTTTGTTTGAAGTTGGGGTGGGTGGTTATTTTAGAAATAAGGCAACCAAGTCCCAGCAAGGATACTAGATGAAGAAATAACAGGAAAAATTGAATTGGGGTAATATTGCTGAGATGAAATTCACAAGGCTTTAAATCCAATTGCATATGATGGACAAGGAAAAAGAATCCCTCTAAGATTATTCTGAATTTAGTAATCTGGGTGATTTATAGAATGCTAACCAAAAGGACTAGCTTATTTTTCTGGACCTGTGGTTTGTAATTCCTACTAATCCTCATCTGCATTTTTAAAAATACTAGAGGTTTCTTTTATTGGGAGCTGAGAATCATGTAACATCATATTTCTCGTTTTGCCTTATTCATATAACTCTGTTATCCTACATACTAGACTTTAATACTAAGTGTGTGTGTGTGTGTGTGTGTGTGTGTGTTTAACCAGTTTATGGAATTTCTTTCTGGTTTGTGCATTGTTATCCTGTGGAGAGCCTAACTTATTCATTAAGGGTATAAATTTTAGAATTCCAGTCCTTCACTGCTGTGTGGTTCTTAGCTATATACTTAAGTTTATGAGTCTCATTTCTTCAACTGTAAAATATAAAATATATAAATCATTAGGATTTATGGATGTATTTCCTCAAATTTAACCAACTTTGCATTTCTATTTCATTTCAAAAGATTATACCTGTAAAATGCTGCTGAATCCTAGTAAATTACATAACTTTTTCACATATTAAATGCCATTTGTAATTTTATTTCTGGTGCTTTTAACATCATATTGGGTGGTAAAAATTGAAGAGATTTAATTTTTTCTATACTTAATAGTATGTATTTGCATATTTTGCAAAATATTTGTACATTGAGAGCTTGAAACAACTCATCAGTACAATCCTTTAGCCTGAAAGTTATTATCGGTCATTTTTTTTTTCATTTTTTTTTTTGTTGTTGTTGTTGAGATGGAGTCTCGCTCTTTCATCCAGGCCAACTGCAGTGGCGCTATCTTGGCTCACTGCAAGCTCCACCTCCCGGGTTCACGCCATCCTCCTGCCTCAGCCTCCCGAGTAGCTGGGACAACAGGTGCCAGCCACCACGCCCGGTTAATTTTTTGTATTTTTAGTAGAGACGGGGTTTCACTGTGTTAGCCAGGTTGATCTCGATCTCCTGTATAGGTCATTTTCTTTGACAAGTCTTTCACATTCTTTCATAGCTACTAGCCATTGCAACATATATTTCCAGACACAGAGAGAGGGATATGTAGCCATGTATGTAGTTATATACTGCTTCTTGATACAATTACTAGTCTAAATGTACATTATAATATTTTGTAATTAAAAACAGCTTTTCTAGGTGATCTAGGTCATCAGGAAAGATAATAGTGAACTACCATGTGGACACATTTGTTAATGCCTGTACTCCCATTCCTTTATGTTTTAGCGGTTATAATTTTGTGACATTATTTAAATTTTCTTAAATTCTTTAGTACTTGATTTTTGACAATTTCTATCAGAATGTGTGTATTAAAATGCAAATTAGGCACTGTTAAAAGAAAGCAGTTTTAATGATTCATATGCTGTTGTCACGAGTTACTAAAAGACATTTGTTTCAAACCTTGGCCCTTGATGTGAGCTACGCATTTCTAAGTACAATGGGTCCAGCAATAAAGTACAAAAATCTTGTGCTTGCTTTTATTCTTTATTGGGACCCACACCAGACACAAGTTTGAGACAGATTTGTAATGAGTCCTTCTCACTTCAGAGATCATTGGTACCCATGAAATTTTGGTATGAGGTCAGAGATCATTCAACAACCACAACATAAACAAAAAGATAGCTGTTTATTTAACAAAAGATATCTCATCTGAGACTGATTGTATTATTTGTAAATGGATGTGGGGACAATGAGTATAGGTTTGTAATCATTAGCTTCCTTTCCATATTAAACTGCAAAGCCTGATAATTTTTATTTACAGTATGACAAGGTATGGGACTGAGTTATTCTATAATCTGACACAGTCATTTTTTCCATTATTCATTTCAGTACTCTGAGTGCTATGGAACCCTATCAAGAAACAAAGTTTATTTCATTATTGTGCTATGATTATAAGTTAACTGATTTAAGGAAAAAGTATTATTGATTAAGAATTAATGTATGCCATTTTCCAAGTGACAAATAATTTAGTTTTAACGTTTAATTTTGTATGATGGAATTTTTTTATATCCTCTGAATTATGGAATGGATTTTCAATGAGAAACAGATTAACATCAGTGTATTAATATACTCTTGCAACATGCATGCTTCTCCGTAACTAATATAGTGTATTCATAAATGGTAAGTTCTTCTGTAATTTTGTTTAATTGGAGCCATGGAAAAATAAAATTAAGTCAGTTTATTGGCAAGTGTTGCATAATTATTTATAATAAAAATTAAGTTTTACTCATTTGGATTATTTGAAATACATTCTTGGATTAAATTAATGTGTCTGAAAACAGAACATAACCTGAAAGAGGAGTTTTCAATGTCTTCTCTGAAGACTATTTTTGTGTTAAATAATGAATTTCATATTTTACACAAATATTTTACATTATCTGTGAAACTGATGTTGGACTAAATTTTAACTTCCCTACTAATTTTACTTAGAAATTTTGAATTTTGAGCTTATGTAGTTGTATGTTATCAGATATAAAAGTGAAAAATAGCTCTGTATTAATTCTTGTAGCACTAAAGGACGTTTAAACTTATTCCTTCTTTAACTCCTTTCCAATACATAATATGGCATGTTCTTTTAAGACAACTATTTACAAAATGCAGTATAAGCACTCACCTAAAAGCAGTGGTCATAGTCAAAATATTTAACAGGTTTGAACTGGGTCCCGACAAATCACAATTGATGCAAGCCCAGACAGCACCATGGTACAGTGTGGTTTGGCCAGAAGATGAAATCAGAAACTGAGCATTTCTTGGTTTAAAATGGATATGTTGAGATATATTAAGAGGTTGATATTTGTGAACTCTTTTCCTGAGATCTGTATGTTAAGATGAATACATTTCTTGAAAAAGCACATAAAATTACCCTGGAGGGAGTGATACTGTTTTTCAGACTATCTCTACACTTTAACTTATATCATGCTGACCTTAGCTTAAGTGTGCTTTACACATGTTAATTCTAATGTAGAAACCACATGCCATTCAAGCTTATTACAAGGAAGGAGACAAATAATAATTATATGCACACAAATAATAGTGCAAAATCAAATATTATTTCTATAATGCACATGGCTGTCATCCCCCTTTCCACCCAGTACGTATCTTAAAAAATATGATCTACCACATATTCAACAGCATTTACTTGTACCAATATTAAATATAATGTACGATAATAAGGAGATGTTTGCTATTCCACTTCTAGTATAGGACGTATTAGCTTTCCAAATATATAAATAAGGTCAATTGATTTGTATTTAGATCTTCTGTGAAATCCTTTTGTGCATGGAAGATTAATGAAATATTTGAAGTTTAGCATCACACATTCTGAACAGTCTCTTAAAATGATATTTGAGCTTATAGTTTCTTTATGTAACTTAGCAGCTTAAAAAAGTCTAGGAGGATTTCAGGATCTCATGATAATTTTAAGCCTCAAGATAAGAAAGGAAAGCAAAGTTAAGGCAGTATTTACAGAGCCTCATAAAGAAATTGTTGATTTGATATTTCAGAAATAGGAAAAAATTCTCAAAGACTGTCAATTTTAGATATAGTACAAATATTATCTATGTTTTGTGGAGCGAAAATAAATCATGAAGCCATATTGAATTAAAAGTAATAAATAAAAATGAATTCTTTTTCTGTAAAATATATTTGATACAAGTAAGTTAGTTGAAGTAAAGACACTGTATGTACAATTCTATGCTTTTTTATTTTGTAATTATACTTTGAAATCACTTGGTTAATTACTATTAATCAATTTACTACATTAATTTATCGTAGGAATAAATCATTTCTGTTATGGATATATCATTTTCTGTTATTTGCAAATAACAAACTTTAGACATTTTGCAAGTGACTAAATAAGAAAAGGAAAAAAAATGCAATTATGTGACTGATGTTTCTATTTACATGTTAATGTAAACTATGCCTGTGAATTTTTTAATTTCAAAAACATTACAAAAGTAAAATTGTATTACATTTTATTCTATATAACAACTAATTTAAAAGTATATGTTGAAAGTTTGTATGGTTTTCTGAGTTTTTACTTCTTTTCAGTATTAGATTATTTAGAAATCATATTACAAAGGTCTATGAATAGATAGGGAATAATATAACAAAGATGTAATATATTTAGCAAATTATTGAACATACCAGTCCACAAAGATTTTCAGTGAATTCAACATTTATGAGGAATGTTATATATGGATTTTTAAATACTTAATGAGGGATATATAAAGGTTAAACCGGATGGTTCAAGAATGGAGGAGCATGAGCAGTTAGGAAGTTGGTAAGAATTGAGGCTTGAAATGATTGTGATTAAAATATTAGAGATAGGAAGCAGATGATAGATTCAAGAAATGTTTAGGAAGCTAAATGGTTATGCCTTGTCGATTGACTTTAGGAAAGGAGAGGAGAATTAATGATAACTCCTGAGAAGATTATGGTGATAAAACCGAGATGGAAAAATTGTTAGAGAATCAAACGACATGGGAAAGTTGTTAAGTTCAATATTGGACACAGTGTTTTTAAGGTGTCAATGGCCAAACCAAGTATAGACACATTTGCCTTTACACATCTAAGAGAAGTAGTCTGGGTTCTTCTAAAGTAAACGCTGGAGAATTTACAGGTAATACATCAAATCATGAGAGTGAACAAAATCCACTGAGGGACAGAAAGTGAGAAAAGCAGTGGCTCAGTTCTGGAAAAGACTATACATGCATGGGTCAGAAAAGGAAGAAGAATCTGTGGAGGACTTAAGGAGAAACAGGAGAGAACAGTGTACCAGAAGCTGAGGAATAATTCTGACTTGAAAGAGATAAAGAGCTTGACTCTTGACTACAGAAGGAATGTTCAGTAATATGACACCTGAGAAATGACCACAGACTTCAGCTATTAGAATATCAGTAGTAACTATAGAAAAAGCAACCTCAGTCTACCAGGAGTTCAATAAAATAAAGTGAACAAATTACTTGGCATATATAGTAGGTATCTGTATTAGTCTGTTCTTGCACTTCCATAAATAAATACCTGAGATTGGTAATTTATAAAGAAAAGAGGTTTAATTGGCTCACGGTTCTGCAGGCTGTACAGGAAGCATCAGGGCTTCTGCAGCTCAGGAGGCCTCAGGAAATTTACAATCATGGTAGAAGGCAAAGGGGAAGCAGGCATGTCTTACATGGCCAGAACAGGAGGCAGAGAGAGAAGAGGGAGATGGTACACACTTTTAAACAACCAGATCTTATGAGAACTCGGGACAGTACCCAGGGGAAAACTGCCCCCATGATCCAATCACCTCCCGCCAGATCTCACCTCCAACATTGGAGATTAAAATCCAACAAGAGATATGAGCTGGGACACAGATCCAAACCATATCAGTATTCAATAAATGTTTCTTCTCCCACTGGTCTTCCATCCCCCATTCCCAACATATAATTTGTTTCAGTGGAGTTCAAAGAACACAGTACAAATGTAAAATATGAGGGAAAGTGGTGAAAATAACATTTATCTGGCATCTACTATATGCAAGGTAATTTGCCTTTGTCATTTCATTTAGTTCTCAAAATATGTACATATTTTTTAAATCTTACACTTTTTTTTAGAGACAAAGTCTTGCTATGTTTCCCAGGTTGGTCTCAAAGTCCTGGTCTCAAGTGATCCTCCCACCTCAGCCTCCTGAGTAGCTAGAACTATAAGTGCACGCCACCATGCCTGGCTAATTTATTTTTATTTTTATTTTTGTAGAGACAGGATCTCAGTATGTTGCTCAGGCTGGTTTCTAAATCCTGGCCTCAAGTGATCCTCTTACCTCAGGCTCCCAAAGCGCTGGGATTACAGGCATGAGCCATCATGATCATGCCTGGCTATAACTCTTATTGGTAAACCAGCTGGGAACATGAGGAAACTGAAGTTCCAAAGTGAAGAGACATTTCCTTAATTTAAAATAGTTGCCAGATAGTCTTTCTGCCTTCTCCATCTACACTCTGCATATATATTTTTTTTAATTAACAGGCTGATTTTACCCCAGGTTTGTCACTTTTCTAAATTTTGGTTAAGATTCTTAAATTTGTTAAACATAAATCCATAGCCATTTTAAAGTAAAAGGGCTAGATTAATATCATTTTGCCCTTATTAGTATATGCTGGACACTCCTTTAGCTGCATGTATTATTTAAATGTCTTATTTCATCTAGTCCTCACAAAGCCCTAGGATGTGGATGCTATTTGTATCCTTGCTTCACTTTACAAATGATTAACCTGAGCCACGGATAAGTTAAGTAACCAGTCTAAAGTCACACAACTAATAAGCACCAAAGCAAGGTTTTGAAGCGATGATTGCTGCCTCCTAATTACAGTGTCTTACCAGCCCTTTGGAGTCTCTCTTTCTGTTATGGTCACAGGTCATGTGCTCCTTCAATAACAGTATATAATTTTGGTGATATGTGTGAAATAACTTAGAGTATTTGTATTATTTTTACCAAGCAGAGATATATAAAGAATTGACATTGTATTTTTAAAATGAACTTACTACAAGCTATGAGTTAAATATACATTTTAAAGATTTTTTATACATTTAAAATATACATTTTATACATTTAAAATATACATATAAAATATACATATAAAATATACATTTTAAAAATTTTAAAAATTTATTGGCCTATGTTGCCTATGATTTTGGCCAACTTCTTATAGTGTATATATTTGGGAGCCAAATTTTCATGAAATATTACATAATAAACATTCTGAGATGCCAACAAGTAAACATGCATCATTTATTTTTCTCTCCTTAGAAGTGTTGTTTATAACTTTGTTTCAATTATTTTTTGAGATGGAGTCTTGCTCTGTAGCCCAGGGTGGATTGCAGTGGCGTGATCTCGGCCCACTGCAACCTTCGCCACCCGGGTTCAAGCAATTCTCCTGCCTCAGCCTCCTGAATAGCTGGGATTACAGGCATGTGCCAATTCGCCCAGATAATTTTTGTATTTTTTTTAGTAGAGATGGGGTTTCACCATGTTGGCCAGGCTGGTCTCGACTCCTGACCTCAGGTGATCCACCTGCCTCGGCCTCCCAAAGTGCTGAGATTACAGGCATGAGCCACCGCGCCCGGCCATTTTGTTTATATCTTTCCTGGTAGCATTTTTCATATTTCCAAGGTGATGCAGGATGATAGCTATGGTAGCAATAGATGATTTACTTAATGTATTACTAATTAATCTTTTCTGTGCATTTCTTGTAAAGTATATTTATACCAAATTTCTACTTATTGGCAAAATTATTACTGTTTCTACTATTTTTACATAATTAGTAACATCAGTTAAATGTAAAATCACTTGTAATGAAGTTGTTACTACAAACAAAAAAATCAGTTCAAGAATTTTAATATATTTTTCCCAAATCATCTCTAAGAATGAAAGTATGGTTTATCTCTGAACAAAAATGACCTGTTAATGAGAACTTTTACATTATAGTGTACTCTGAAATGGATTGTGGAAACATTTTACCTCCTGCTTACTGTTCTTTTGAGATTTTCATTCTTTTTTCTTCTATCCCTACCAAAGATCTAGTATTTAATAGCACTTGATTTAAATACTGTTACATTTGCCTAATAATACGTTTATATTTATTTGTATTTAGCTTATGTTTTCTGAACGTGAGAGCTCTAATTGCTTTTATTTTCTGTAATGGAACTCTTTACTTAAAATTTGGCAGTTTTAACACCATAAAAGAAATATCTCAACTCTAATAACAGAATTTACCCAAAGCAAGAATAATCAAGGAATGTTCAATGATACCAGAGAAAATAGCTGCAGAGAAATCTACTTTTTGAATCACAATCAGTAAGTCTAAAATGGCTCTGAAAGGTTCAGAATTTTGGTTTCTATAGGAGAATATTTTGACACAAAATAATTTGTGTACATGGTAAAATACTAACTAGTACAAATCAAAATATAATGAGATCAACTGTTCTTGCACAAACCCTTTAAATCCTGTTTTATTGATTAGAGGTAGCCACTTTAACCACTATGGTATTTCATTCTTTTGGTTGTTTCTATTGTAACTTTGATGTGTGTATCCCTTCACTGATAATGTATCAATTAGAGACAATATTTACTATTTTGAAAAATAAATATTTATCTTATTTCTCTACCCCAAACTTCCCATAGTGAAAATAAATTATTATTAAAGTTATCTCACTGATAATTTTTAACCTTTCAATAAATGTAAACTTTTTTCTTGTTTCATCAAGTTCAGAAAAGTGTCACCAGCACCCTTAATTTTGCAACAAGTTCTGCTCATTCATCTCGACTTCCTTCACCTACATATATTTTATGTTTTTTACACTTAAATATTTAACTAAAACAAGTCTTCCATGATTAGTCTGGAGTTTGATACTAAATGTTAAAAATCAAAAGATACTATTAATATCGTTTGTAAATAATTTTTGCTATAATATAGTATATTATGCTCTATATACATGTTCATCACCACTATAAAATGCTGTACATCCTTGTGCCAATAAAACTAGAATGCCAAGACCTGATGGATCATCTATTCAACATTATCGTTTGCTTAAAATCATGCCAAATTTTAGTTAACATGATATTTGATATTTTTCTGCTTTTACTTTTATGTGTATTTATTTTATGCTGATTGTTTTCCCCAGGCCATAAGTTTTTGTTTCTTCAGTTTCTTAACTCTCTTCCACGGAGCTTCTAAATAGCTTTCTTTTTCATCAAGAGGAAAGAAAAAATTCCATTGCCATATTTTCAAAATTCTTTAGTCTCAAATTGTAAGAAAACACCAGTCACATTCGCAGCGGTATGTAGGAAAGCAGTTCTTCACAGTGTTCCCACAAGTCTTGAACTACCTTCCCAAGCAAACATTCTTGGAATAATGTTTCCCTTCAAGTGAGTGGGTGGAGTTATTGAATTAGGCTATAACAAAGCCCCTCACTTCTCTGAGGAGATTTGTTTAATTCTCGCGGTAGTAAAGATAATGCCTTCTTCCAAGGCAACAGCGAGTTAAGTTTGCTCCCAATCCCATATAGGTTGTGCTTTTCCTGAGCCCCGTGCTCCTCAGCTGTGCCACAGATCTGTGTGCTCCGCCTTCCACTGGGCTCCTGTTGCTTCTGTGTGACTTGAGGGGGCAATGGGAATTCATGTGAACAAGAAGAAGCTTTTGCTACCTGCTGTGCCATGAGTAGTAAACTGTCTACATTCTTTCAGAGTTGTTTCAATTACTGACCAAATTTCTGAAAATGTGGTAACATCACAGCTTTCTGCTGCCTAGAAACCGCTTGCTCTTCACTTGGCACTTTGTCTATTCTAGACCTTTCTACATTCTGATCCAGTCCAGTCCTGTCTGGTCCTAAACCTGCACAAATTCTCATCTGTAACACTTGTAATTTCCGCTCCTAGTTTATGTCCATAATTACTCTAATTTAATATTTTCCATTTTCTTATATTGTCTCCTTTGGTTTTCTTCACTACAGCTATATGCCTTAATATTTTCTTAAAGAGGGTGTGGGTATGGTAAACTTTTTAGGAGCTTCAATATCAGACAACTCTTTATTTTGAACATAGAATTGTTAAATAGTATGGTAAATAGAATTTAATACCGGATAAAATAGCATATTTCCTCAGTATGTGAACGCTTTGATCATTTGTCTTCTAGCTTCTAATATTGTAGACAGCAATAATATTATTTACATTATAGAAAATGATGTATGAATAACTGAAAGGAATATCATGATTAAGTATTTCACCATTAAAATTAATAATATAGACAAAAATATCACACCTACTAGAAAATCTGAGGCTATATAAACTAACTTGGGATTTTTGAACTATTAACTTTTTCTAGAAGTAAATATTTTAATAATACATAGTTTCAGCTTCTTATTTTTTAAATATGCAAAAGTGTTGCAGAAAAGTGATACTGATTATCAAAAGTAATAACCAACCTATCATAAATATTTATATGGCATTAGTGATTTACATATTGTAAATATGACAAATATATCTATATGTCCTTTAAAAAACTTGTAGATCACTCACTCCTCTATGAGATAATTTTCTTAAAGATTTTAGCCATATGTAAGCATAGCACAAACTAAGGTGCACAGTTATTTGTTTAAGACAAAAATGTCTTACAATATGGGCAGACTAGAACAACTTTCTGATATTCTAGTCTATTTATATAAATAGAAGGTATTGACATAATTACTTAACTAGGTCAGGCAAAAGAGTTACTATTAAAATTCTACTACTTTAGGGATTACTTTTTCCAATAAGATATTAAATTTGCATCTGCCCTAATTTCTGTCATTTTGCATATACGTCATGTACCAAATACAATTCTACAATCTACTTTTCCAAAACTTTTGATTATCATAAAGTCTTCTATTTAAAACCCAAGTGTCCAGGGAGTCACTTGATTCCTGTATTTAAACTCACAGTTGTAGGGGCCACACATGTGTGTGCTTACATGGTGATACTGCCACTGACCTGAAGTTTGACATTGAGGAGATTAGCAATTACATGCTAATTCAGTTTCCTCTTCTACAATGTAGGTAAAGTAAAATCCACTGAGTATTTGTGAAGATCAAATTGAATACACAGATACGATGTCCTTAGCACGTTATATAAATAATCAATTCTACTTATCAAAGACCTATATTTTTCAAGGGTCTGATGCTTTTTCCCTACTTGGAAGCTAACAAGCCTGCCTGCCACAATCTCACAGATGCTGGCAGCATACAGGAGACTTTGAAATCAGAGATATAGGACTCTGATTGTTGTTCACAAGAACTTCTTGCTTGCGTTCATTCTCCTTGGTCACAAGCTCACAGGTGGGATTCAGCTCAGGAGAATGCTGTATACATGGTGGGGTTGAGTATTAGCTGAGGAACGCCAAGCTTAGGTAACCCCCATCCTTATAAAGAGGATAGTAGCAAACTTGTACAACCTCTACCCCAGAGAAAGACATTATCTTTACCATTCTGGAAAGCAACAGATTTTGTTCTCTCCCCTGCATGGCGACACTACTTCAATCTCCCAAGATCATTTGCTATACATGCATCTTCAAAATGACAGTCTGGGACAAAAGCTACTACAAGGTGCATGTACACACGAGAGACACTTGGGAAATTGTTCTTAACAATATTATTATCAAATCCATTCCTTCTTCTGAGTGAATACCCACATGCTTTTGAGATCTTTGATGCCAATTTGCCTTCCTCTTTTTCCTTTAGAATCTGTCCCTTTTGTTTCTATTGAGTTCTATACCCTTCCCCAACTACCAACCTATGTTCTTAGCATCTACAGTGCCTAGTGTAGAGAAAATAATTGTTCAAATTAAATGAGTTGAGTTTATGAATTTATTGGTCAGGAATCAAACTAATTTAGTAGTAACAGGGAATCTTAAAGAAAGGACATCAGAATTTATCTACACTATGATTCTCAAAGTCCAATATATATCTCCTATAAGTATTTGAAATGAAAACTTTCATTTTCATTAAAATAGGCTTTATTTGTGCCGCAGTTTATGTTCACAACAATATAGAGCAGAAGGTACAGCGATTTAACATATAACCCATACATCCACACATGTATAGCCTCTTCCATTATCAACATCCTCCATCATACTGCAATTGCATCATTTGCTGCAATTGATGAAGCTATTGATATATCATTATCACCCAAAGTTCATAGTTTACATTCAGGTTCACTCTTGTTATTGTACATATTATGGGCTTGGAGAAATTTATAATGACAAGTATCAGTCATTGTGGTATTATACAAAGTAGTTCATTGCCATAAAAATACTTTGTGCTCTACCTTTTCATCCCTCTCTTCTCCAAGCCCTGGAAACCACTGATGTTTTTTTTTTTTTTTAACTTCTTCATCACTCTTCTTTTCCAGAATGTCATTGCTTTGGTTTGGTTTGTCCCCACCAAAACTCATGTTGAAATTTGATTCCCAGTCTGGTGGTGTTGGGAGGTGAGGGCTAGTGGAAAGTATATGGGTCATAGCAGCAGATCCCTCATGGAGACTAATGCCCTCCGAAAGGCGTGAATGAGCTCTCCCTCTCTCCATGATGGATGAGTTCTTGAGAAAGAAGGTTGTTAAAAAGACTCTGCCTTCCCCTGTTCCTCTTTCTTGCTTCCTTTTTCACCAGGTGATCGCTTTACACATGCCACCTTCCCTTCTGCATTCCACCAGGAATTGAAGCAGCATAAGACCCTCACCAGATACAGATGCCCAATTTTGAACTTGCCAACCACCAGAATCATGAGCCAAATAAAGCTCTTTGTTTAAATAAACTGTCCAATCTCAGGTATTCTGTTACAGCAACAAAAAAATAACTAAGACATTCATATAGTTAGAATCATACACTATGCAGCCTTTCATATTGGCTCCTTTCACTTAGTGATGTTTATTTAAGTTTCTTTGATGTCCTTTCATGGCTTGATAGCTCATTTCTATTTGGTGTTGGAGAATACTGCTTTGTCTGAATGCCCCACTGTATTTATCCATTTACATACTGAAGGATATCTTGGTTTCTTCCAAGTTTTGGCAACCGTGAGTAAAACTCTTATAAACATCCATGTACAGGTTTTTGTATGGACATAAGTTTATGTGTATACCCATATGTATAGTTTGTTTTTGTTTTTCCGTCTTGAGTTTCAGTTTGTCATTGCTAGTGTTTAGGAGGCTCACTTTATATCCTGCAACGATGCTAAATTAGCTTATTAATTTCAGGAGACTTTTGTAGATTCTTTAGCATTTTCTATGTAGCCAGTAATGTTGTTAGTGAATAAAGATAATTTTATTTCTCTATATCCTATATGTATACTTTCTACCTTCTGTTACATATTCTATTACTCATTCTTGTCTTATTACACTACTAGGACTTTTACTGTACTGTTTAATATGAGTGATGAGAGGATATTTTTCTTGTTCTGAACCTTAGGGGAAAATTTTTCAGTTTGTCATAATTAAAATACTTAAGATTATATATATATATGTGTGTGTGTGTGTGTGTGTATGTTTGTGTGTTTGTGTGTGTGTGTGCCCTTTATTAGATAGAGAAAGTTTTTCTTTATACCTTGTTTTGTCAAGAGTGGGTATTAAACTTTGTTAAATTACTTTTCTGCCTCAATTGGTATGCTCAATTTTTTTTTCTTATTTGGTATTCTAATATGTTACATTGCATTGATTTATTAATGCTGAACCAGGCTTACTTCTTGGAATACTGCTTACTCTTTTTATATTGTTTTATATATAAAATAATTTATTAATATTTTTAAATATTTTTTTGCTAAAATATCATAAGATATTTTAGTTTGTAATTTTCTTGTAATGTCTTTATCTGGCATTAGTATTAGGGCAAAGACTGTCTTATATTATTTGTAGTGTTTCTTTCTCTTCAAATTTCTGGAAGATTTTGTGCAGAATTTGTAATTGTTTTTTTCTAAATGTTCCATAGAATTCACCACTGAAGTACCTTGGCAGATCTTTTCTTTGTTTGCAACGTTTTAACCAAGTGTTCAATTTTTACAATAGATATACGGTTATTCAGATTATGTATTGCTCCTTAAAAGAGTTTTGGTGGTTTGAGTCTGCCAAGGACATGGTTTGTTTTACTAAAATTATCAAATTTATGAGCATATAGCTGTTCATAATACTATCTTGTTATCCTTTTAATGTCTATGAAAGCAGTAGTGACGACCCTTTGGTCTGTCCCAATATTGCTAATTTTGCCCTCTTTTTATTTCTTGGTTAATTCATCTCTATGCTTCTCAATTTTATTGATCTTTTCAAAGAATCACCTTTTGGTTTCATTGATTTTATTTATTGATTTATTGTTTTAGTTACATTGACTTCTGTTTTTTTATTATCATTTTCTTCCTTTTACTTGTTTATATTTAATTTTTTCTTCTTTCTCTAGTCTCTTGAGGTGGAATTGTATTAGTCCATTCTCACACTGCTATAAAGAAATGCCTCAGACTGGGTAATTTATACAAGAAAGAGGTTCAATTGACTCACGATTCCACATGGCTGGGGAGGCCTCAGGAAACTTACAATCATGATGGAAGGCAAAGGGGAAGCAAGGACCTTCTTTACATGGTGGCAGGAGAGACAAGTGTGAGCAGGGGTAATGCCAGATGCTTATAAAACCATCAGATCTTGTGAGAACTTACTCACTATCATGAGAAGAGCATGGGGGTACCATCCCCATGATCCAATCACCTCCCACCACATCCCTCCCTCGACATGTGGGAATTATGGGGATTATAATTCAAGATGAGATTTGAGTGGGGACACAGTCAAACTATATCAGGAAACTTAGGTTATCTTCTTTTCTAACATATCTATTCAATGCAATAAATTTCCCTCTAAACACTTCTTTATGTTTCAAAAATTTTTATGAGTTGTATTTTCATTTAGCTCTAAGTAATTTTTAGTTTTTCTTCAGACTTCATCTTGACTTGTGGGTTACTTAGAATTATTTTGTTTAATTATAAAATATTTAGGGCTTTTTCAACTATCTCTCTTATTGATTTCTAGTTTTATTCTTTTGTGTTCTAAGAATATACTTAATATCGTTTTTATTATATTACATTTTTATTGTGTGTTTTATGGCCCAGAATGTATTCTGTCTTGGTGAACGTTCCATGCACATTTTAGAAGAATTTGGGTTTGGGATGGAGTATTCTGTAAATATCCATTAGACTGACAAGATTGGTGGCACTTTTTAGGTCCCCGATACACTTACTAATTTTTTTGTGCTTTATCAGTTACTGATAAATGTTGAAGTCTTCAACTATAATAGTGCCACTATCAACTTATTACTTTGATAGCTTTGGTTCCAACTAAGCTGATCTCAGCTGTCCCTCTTTTATGGGAGTAGAGCAGAATTCCCATCCCTGAAATGGGATACTGGACCAGCATTGCCCTCTGGTGAAGTCCTTCTCCTAAAGACCAGGGATTCATTAGTGAGAATAGTCTAAGAAGATTTCATGATAGCCACACTTCCTTTCCTTCTTCCAGGGTCATGTGGAGAACTTTCTCAGATCCTCCCCATGAGGACATCGTAGGGTTCCTAGAGGACAAACTGTAAAATGTGAGCCTTTGATTGTAGCCCCAGGAGCTTCTCAGTTTCAAGCTGGATCACACTCAGCCTCCAGCAATTAATAAAAATTACTGTTTAAGTGTTTCTACTTGTTTATGGCATTCATCAACTTATGCTTTAAGTAAAAAATCCGAGGTGCTGTATCTCTATGAAATTGCCCGACTCTCCAGATTTCGTGTGATGATTTGCCCTATAATATCAGTTATCTGAAGGGTGCCAAAAGAGTCAGTGTTTTCCAGTTTCTTCAGGTTTTCTTAGTATAAGTATGGGAATGACTTTGAAGCTCCTTACATGTTGGAGGTAAAACTGTAAATCTCAAACACACACACACACACACACACACACACACACACACACACAGAATTCTATTGGTTATAATTACATAATGTACTGGTGTATAATGCTATCAGTTGCCTTTTGAATACAAAGATGGCACTGTGACTCAGTGTAAACTGTTTTTACTAGACATGGTGCCATTTCTTTCATATAAATATTGTAGATGTTATAGTATTGTTATCTTCTCACCCAGATTTTCTGGAAACCAAGAGCACAAATATGCCAAAAAGCTGTGCTCCTTGAGGGTTTAGTTTGGAGCTCTGAGAGAGAAAAGGGAGAGCCAAGGATCTTAATTTCCCTGGTTTACTTAGATGGCCTTATGCCTACTGCTTTAAGACTTTTGACTATATAATTTGGCATGTGTTTAACTCTGATTGCTTGAACTGAAAAGACCAACATATCAGCAATTTACATTTTGTGAAATTAGCAGCACTGTCCTTTTAGCTATTCCTGCTGATCCTGCAAGATCAGGCACCAGAGAGTCCTCCCAGGCATTTGTCTGTGGTTGCTCAGTTGAGTCAAATGGAGAGCTCTGCTCCATTAGCCTGGGAGCAGCTTTGTAATTTTCTGAATAATTAATGAAAACACCAACAGTTCTCCCATCTAACTAAACATTTGGTTTTAATTGATTTTCTTAGCATACAGTTCTTTAAAACTTTATTTCCAAAAATTAGGCTTGATTATCAAAACTATAAATTTCGTTGAAGCCACTAATGTCTAAACATAAAATCATGCTAGTACATCATAGCATAGAAAAAAAAGATAATAGAGAAATTTTGTAAATTTTGGCCAGAGACCATTCCGTTTAATTTAAATAGGCCCTGATTCCAAGTAGTTTGAGAAATGTACACATAGCATGTAGCCATTGTTTTATTTTCGCGGGATTAAGTGAAGAAAATTATATTGATATAGTTTGACTTTTTCAACAATGTTGTCCTTTTCTTCTTATGTTTAAATAGATAAAAGTATGCATAAGCTAGATTACTGTTTCTCAGAGAAATGTGAGTTTTCCTGGATTTATTTTATGATCTATACTTGAATACTATGGTCATCCTCCTGAGATTACCTGGACATAGGTTTTAAGAAAATTCAACTTCATACTTCCAAATTAGTTCAGGTGACACTCAGTGTAAGATTTATACTCATTGTAAGATTTAATTTTTTAGAGACAGGGTCATACTGTGTTGCCCAGGGTGGAGTTCACTGGCACAATCATAAACCATACCTCACCATAGCCTCTATTCCTGGGCCTACGCAATCCTCCCACCCCAGCCTCCTGATTAGCTACAGTTGCAGGCCTGTGCCCCCATGCCTAGGTTTTTTTTTTTCTTTTCTTTTCTTTTTTTTTGTAGAGATAAGGTCTTGCTATGTTGCACAGGCTGGTTTCAAACTCCCGGTCTCATGTGATCCTCCCATCTCACCATCTCAGCCTCCCAAATTGTTGCGATTACATGTGTGAGCCATGGCACCTGGGTAATTTTTAAATTTTGCTTCCAGAATGTGTAACTAGAGTAGCAAGAAACAACAAAAACTCAAAATTATATAGTGGTTTGCAGTTAGCTAATTTATTTCCTTAAAATTACAACTGAAATGGAAATAAAGAAGTTTAAATTCTCAAAACTTATTTTTAAAATAATGCCATTTATTTCTTAATCCAACAAATCAAATGGTAGATGTACCATATACATATACTATATACATATAAAAGTAATTAAATTTAAATTAAATTTAAAACAAACTTTTTTTCTGGAACATATATATGTTGGCAGTCAAGAATATTTTTACTTCAACATAATGTGTTTCTCAATTTCAGTTTTTCCTTTCACAAATTAGTATCTGGTACTTAAGATTAAAAACATCATAATACTTTTATGGCCTAATTTATATGCCTACTATTAATGTTTTGTAACTATGCCTAAATATAATTATTTTATATTACCTTTATATGAGCATATACTACACATTTGCCTAATCTTTAAAACCATTAAATAATTTACCTGTAATTAATTATTTTTACTTATTTAATATAATTCATTAGTCAATAATCATTTAAAATTTAGCCAAATAACTTTTCCAAAATTAGGGAATTCATTTCTAGTGTATTATGCTTATAAACCATTCATCTCAACATGTGATTACTTATTAAATAATAATAGTGACTGTTTTATGATAATCATAGTAGCTTAAACTCAGACTTCATTTGTACTGAAACCTGTCCATTATATCCTATAATTTTAAATAACATTTTCTTTTTCTCACGAGTATGGAACACTCTTCTCTATCTCTTTCTCATGCATATTAAAACTTTATGGATGGAAAATATAAAAATAACTTCCATCACTTTATCCGAGAAATTATTATCATTATTATCTTTATAGTTATTATTATTGTGATATTCATCCAGAATGTCAGAGGAAACAGTAATTTGAAATAAGACTGTAGACTGTGTTATTCCACAGAATCTCACTAAATCACTTCACTCTCAATTCTGCAAACTGTGCATTAAAATGATGCCTTCATCAGATGTCTTCTTTACTCTTCTTATATGGGGCTTCTAACTTAGGTTAAGCTTGCAGAGAGGAAGGTTCAATTTGTTTGCTCTTAGTAGCTCCAGAGTCATGGTCTAATTTAGTTAGAACTGAAGTATTCATGATTATATTTATTCAGAAGCTCAGTTTTGTGTACGATAAATAATTTGTTTTAAGGATCATGTTTTTAACTATATTTATCTTGAAGTATTTCAACCTAGAAATAACACGGACATGCAATATGGAGTTGATGAGGTAATAATGCATTCATGAAGATTAAAAATGATTTTCAATAGAGAAACCTATTTATATTTGCAGGTATTTCATTAGCTCATTTCTGATTGGAAATATAATACTTTCCGGAGTATATCCTTTTGAAATACTCAATTTTCATAAAAGTTGTCAACCAGACTCCTAGTTTGATCATAAGTTAATACTATACTCCATCTTACTTCTCTTTTGAGAAGTGTCTGTTCATATCCTTTGCCCACTTTTTGATTGAGTCATTTTCTTTTTTCTTGTAAATTTGTTTAAGTTCCTTGTAGACTCTGGATATTAGACATTTGTCAGATAGATAGATTGAAAACATTTTCTCCCATTCTGAAGTTTGCCTGTTCACTCTGATGATAGTTTCTTTTGCTGTGCAGAAGCTCTTTAGTTTAATTAGATCCCATTTGTCAATTTTGGCTTTTGCTGCAATTGCTTTTGGGGTTTTAGTCATGAAGTCTTTGCCCATTTCTATGTCCTGAATGGTATTGCCTAGGTTTTCTTCTAGGGTTTTTATGGTTTTAGGTTTTACACTTAAGTCTTTAATCCATCTTGAGATAATTTTTGTATAAGGTGTGAGGAAGAGGTCCAGTTTCTGTTTTCTGCATATGGCTAGCCAGTTTTCCCAGCACCATTTATTAAATAGGGAATCCTTTCCCCATTGCTTGTTTTTGTAGGGTTTATTGAAGATCAGATGGTTGTAGATGTGTGGTGTTATTTCTGAGGCCCCTGTTCTGTTGCATTGGTCTATATATCTGTCTTGGTACCAGTACCATGCTGTTTTGGTTACCATAGCCTTGCAGTATTCTGTGAAGTCAGGTAGCAATGATGCCTCCAGCTTTGTTCTTTTGTTTAGGACTGTCTTGGCTACAAGGGGTCTTCTTTAGTTCCATATGAAATTTAAAGTAGTTTTTTCTAATTCTGTGAAGAAAGCCAATGGTAGCATGATGGGGATAGCATTGAATCTGTAAATCACTTTGGGCAATATGGCCATTTTCATGATATTGATTCTTCCTATCCATGAGCATGGAATGTTTTTCCATTTGTTTGTGTCCTCTCTTATTTCCTTGAGCTGTGGTTTGTAGTTCTCCTTGAAGAGGTCCTTTATGTCCCTTGTAAGTTGTATTCCTAGGTATTTTATTCCCTTTGTAGCAATTGTGAATGGGAGTTCACTCATGATTTGGCTCTCTGTTTGTCTGTTATTGGTGTATAGGAATGCTTGTGATTTTTGCACATTGGTTTTCTATCCTGAGACTTTGCTGAAGTTGCTTATCAGTTTAAGGAGTTTTTGGCCTGAGATGGTAGGGTTTTCTAAATATACAATCATGTCATCTGCAAACAGAGACACTTTGACTTCCTCTCTTTATATTTGAAAAACTTTATTTCTTTCTCTTGCCTCATTGCCCTGGCCAGAGTTTCCAATACTATGTTGAATAGGAGTGGTGAGAGAGGGCATCTTTGTCTTGTGCCGGTTTCAAAGGGAATTCTTCCAGCTATTGCCCATTCAATTTGATATTGGCTATAGGTTTGTCATAAATAGCTCTTATTATTTTGAAATATGTTCCATCAATACCTGGTTTATTGAGAGTTTTTAGCATGAAAGAATGTTGAATTTTATCGAAGGCCTTTTCTGCATCTATTGAGATAATCATGTGGTTTTTGTCATTGGTTCTGTTTATGTGATAGATTACTTTTATTGATTTGTATGTTGAACCAGCCTTGCATCCTAGGGATGAAGCCGACTTGGTTGTGGTGGATAAGCTTTTTGATGTGCTGCTGGGTTTGGCTTGCCAGTGTTTTATTAGGGATTTTTGCGTCAATATTCATCAGGGATATTGGCCTGGAATTTTCTTTTTTTGTTATGTGTCTGCCAGGTTTTGGTATCAGGGTGATGCTGGCCTCATAAAATAAGTTAGGGAGGGCTCCCTCTTTTTCTTTCATTTGGAAGAATTTCAGAAGGAATGGTACCAGATCCTCTTTGTACCTCTGGTAGAATTTGGCTGTGAATCCATCTGGTCCTGAGCTTTTTTTTTGTTGGTAGGCTATTAATTACTGCCTCAATTTCAGAACTTGTTATTGGTCTATTCAGGGATTTGACTTCTTCCTGGTTTAGTCTTGGGAGGTTGTATGTGTGCAGGAATTTATTCATTTCTTCTAGATTTTCTCGTTTATTTGTGTAGAGGTGTTTATAGCATTCTCTGATGGTAGTTTGTATTTCTGTGGGATCAGTGGTGATCTCCCCTTTATCATTTTTATTGTGTCTATTTGATTCTTCTCTCTTTTCTTCTTTATTATTCTTGCTAATGGTCTATGTATTTTGTTAATCTTTTACAAAAACAGGCTTCTAGATTCATGGATGTTTTGAAAGGTTTTTCGTGTCTCTATCTCCTTCAGTTCTTCCCTGATCTTAGCTATTTCTTGTCTTCTGCTAGCTTTTGAAATTGTTTGCTTTTGCTTCTCTAGTTCTTTTAACCGTGATGTCCAGTGTGTCAATTTCAGATCTTTCCAGCCTTCTGATATGGGCATTTAATGCTATAAATTTCCCTCTTAACACTGCTTTAGCTGTGTCCTAGAGATTCTGGTACGTTGTCTCTTTGTTCTCATTGGTTTCAAATAACTTCATTATTTCTGCCTTAATTTTGTTATTTACCCAGCAGTCATTCAAGAGCAGGTTGTTCAATTTCCATGTAGTTGTGTGGTTTTGAGTGAATTTCTTAATCTTGAGTTCTAATTTGATTGCACTGTGGTCTGAGAGACGGTTACAATTTCCATTCTTTTGCATTTGCTGAGAAGTGTTTTACTTCCAATTGTGTGGTCAATTTTAGAATATGTGCTGTGTGGTGCTGAGAAGAATGTATATTCTGTTGATTTGGGGTGGAGAGTTCTGTAGATATCTATTAGTTCTGCTTGGTCCAGAGCTGAGTTCAAATCCTGAATATCCTACTTAATTTTCTGCCTCATTGATTTGTCTAATATTGACAGTCAGGTCTTAAAGTCTCTCACTATTATTGTGTAGGAGTCTAAGTCTCTTTGCAGGTCTCTAAGAACTTGCTTTATGAATCTGAGTGCTCCTGTATTGGATGCATATATATTTAGGATAGTTAGCTCTTCTTGTTGCATTGATCCCTTTACCATTATGTTCTGCCTTTGTCTTTTTTGATCTTTGTTGGTTTAAAGTCTGTTTTATCAGAGACTAGGATTGCAACCCCTGCTTTTTTTTTGCTTTCCATTTGCTTGGTAAATATTCCTCCATCACTTTATTTTTAAGTCTATGTGTGTCTTTGAATGTGAGATGAGTCTCCTGAATACAGCCCACTGATGGGTCTTGACTCTTTATCCAATTTGCCAGTCTCTATCTTTTAATTGGGGCATTTGGCCCATTTACATTTAAGGTTAATATTGTTATGTATGAATTTGATCCTATCATCATGATGCCATCTGGTTATTTTGCACATTCGTTGATGCAATTTCTTTATAATGTCATTGGTCTTTGTATTTTGGTGTGTTTTTGCAGTGGCTGGTAGTGGTTTTTCCTTTCCATGTTTAGTGGATGTGAATATGGAAAGAGCTCCTTTCCATATTCAGGAGCTCTTGTAAGGCAGGCCTGGTGGTACAAAATCCCTCAGCATTTGCTTGTCTGTAAAGGATTTTATTTCTCCTTTGCTTATGAAGCTTAGTTTGGCTGGATATGAAATTCTGGGTTGAAAATTGTTTTCTTTAAGAATGTTGAATATTGACCCCCACTCTCTTTTGGCTTGTAGGGTTTCGGCAGAGAGATCCACTGTTAGTCTGATGGGCTTCACTTTGTAGGTAATCTGACCTTTCTCTCTGGCTGCCCTTAACATTTTTTCCTTCATTTCAAACTTGGAGAATCTGACGATTATGTGTCTACAGGTTGTTCTTCTTGAGGATTATCTTAGTGGTATTCTCTGTATTTCCTGAATTTGAAGGAATAATTTTAAGTATATAAAAATTATAATATTTGTGACCACAAATTGTAAATGATAATACAAATAAAACCAATGAGTAAACATAAAAGTTATGTGATAAATAGTAAATGCTTGTTGAAAGCTCTTGAAAGAAAAATAATGATAAGGATTTAGTTCAATCTTCATTTTTACTTGACTTATCTGCTAGAAAAGGGGAAAAATCAGCATCATCAAATAAAATGATTTGTGTAGTATTAACAAAGCATTTTATTGACTTTTTAATGGCTACTCAGGAAGATTAAGTCATTTTCCCAATATTTATGTATTTAACAAACATGACAAATATTTGTAAAAGAGAACACTTAAAATGTTTAAAGTTTAGATTATTTTGTAATGTAAGATAAAAAAGTTAGTAGCAATACTAACTCTTAACCAAAATTGGTTATTTTTCTTATACTCTCTCAATGTCATGTCACTTGTGTATGAGCCCATGAATTTGACAGGTGCATTCCCTCTTTGTTACTTTTTATTCAATTTGCTACATTCAAGTCTTTTTCATAGTTTTACTGGCTTCCTATTTTTTATTTTTTTTTCTTTCCAAGACTCCTAACTTGGTTACCTTCAAACATCCCAAGGCACAAAAGCCATATCAAGTTCATCGAGTAGGAAGCCTACTTCCCACCTGCTTTTTCTAAATTTAATTACTGCACTTATTTTCTAGGCTTCTATTTCTGTCTTTTGATCCAATCTGAACCTACTTGCTGCATGAACTCCTGAATTTATACACACTTAAGCATCATTTAAATTGCTGTGCTAAAAAATACAGCCAACTAAAAGTGCCAAGGAAAAACTTAATTTGATTAAGCAAAATATCTATTGAACAAAATGCCATCATTCAGATTTGCTAGGATACACTGTAAATTTCTAGAAGGGCAAAAGGGAATAAAATACTATCTGGGGATTGCTAAAGTGGAGCTAATGGATCCACAGATGTAAAAGCAAATTATTATAATATAGAAAAGCAAAAGGAAGAGTGTGAAGAGGAATCCCACACCAGACAAATGTTGAAAAAATTTGCAGCTGCTGCCAAAAAACTCTACTTTGTAGGGACTTTCCTGAAGTTTTCATTGCAACACAGATTGCAGTTAAAATGTCCAATCAGAAAAGGAAATGTCTAATCAGGCTCTTAGGAACCCCAGTATGTTGTGGATGACCAGCATGAGTTCAGAGGTCAGTTCTTCAGGGAAGTGCTGCCTATTGGAGCACCTGGCTGGAGAGAGCCACACATAAATAGCACAGGAAGGGCAATCGGGATCCTGCACACTACAAAGGAAATTTATTTCACTTTAATCTTCAACAAACGTATTGCTCAAGGCACTCTTGGCATTATATTTAAACATCTACTGAAATGGGTTATTTTGCCATTTTTAAGAAGTGCTGACCTAGAATTTTGAAGTGGAATTCAATAAATTGGGATTTGCTTTTATCCAAGTATATCTAAGCACACATGTTTTTAGTATTGCTAGTAAGAGACTTTGAGAAATACAGAAAGGCAGGAGAGAGAGAAAAAAAGAGAGAGAGAGAGATTGACTGGTTGCTACTTAACCTAAACTACGTGAGAGAAAGACTCTTATTCTTTTGCACAGTTGCCTTCAGGACAGGCTCTTATCCAGGTTTTTAATTTTATCATTTACCTTTACATGATCATATTCTGTGGCTTGAAATCAAACTAATTAAATGTGTTGCTTACTGCACTTATCATATGGAAAGGCCTATATGTAGACATTCTCCTAGTGGAGATTGAATCAGAGTCATGGCTTTTGGATGATCCTAATTGTTTATCATTCTGAGTCGGGAGAACTAATTACTGCAGCTACTTGCCTAGGAAACAAAAACCAATAATTGACAGTTAAGGCTCTTCCCATTAAAATATTTATGTGCAGTGGTACCCAAAATAATAATTTTATTCCAGACGTTATAGTGTTCCCAGTAAAGACTGAGAATCACCAAACCCACATTATAACAAGTATTCTATGAGGTTTACAAAGCAATTAAACATGGAGTTATATTTTATGCATATATATATATACATATATATATATATGAATTTGTGTGTGCATGTACACGTGTGTTTTCCTGTGTTCTGAGTGAGGAATGTAGTGGGAGGTTCTGAAACACCTCCAGTCTCTTCCCATCATCTACTTATTAACCCTTAGTAATAAGTGGTGTTGAGAAGTGTATGTATGCTGGGCCTCTTCTATCTTCCTGATTCTTTATTGAATGTGTGTATGATATATCAAACATCATTTGCACTCCTTGATCATTGATTTTGCTTGCACTCCTTTATCATTGATTTTACACAATTTAAGTATGCATCTCAGTATTTCTATTTGCAGCACTTAAACATTTATAATAGTCTCATTAACTATTTAAAGTCTCTCTAGCTCTCTCTCCTCTTTCTCGCTTCCTTTTTAAAATTTGTTTTAAAGCTGTGTCCCTCATGTTTTCTCACAGTGGTGTAAAAAATTCTATTGCTGCTAAATTTTTCAGTAATAAAAAATTTTCCTGAATAATTATACTTAAAATGTCTCTACCCCAGGTAAGAGGTGATCAGCAATATGATACTTATCAAACAAAAGATTCTAATGCAAACAACACCATCCTGGCTAAATAGGCATCAATGCTAATGTGATCATTCCATGCATAATCTTCCCTAGAGAGCCCTAAAAATTCACTGTCAATAGATTTCTTTTATTTGACTTACAACACTCTAGGTGATATGATACCAGCT
Organism: Homo sapiens; assembly: GCF_000001405.40. Lineage (NCBI taxonomy): Eukaryota > Metazoa > Chordata > Mammalia > Primates > Hominidae > Homo > Homo sapiens. Next base: position 166,860,115 of record NC_000004.12, on the reverse strand, counting down.
ACGCCTGATTCATAAGAACACAGAAAGTCTGTCACTCATTCCTGCATAGTTGAGTGACTTGCAGTTGTATTAGATTATCTTACGTTCTCTTACATTCCAGTGGCAAGATAAATTCTAGTCACTGTGGTTAACCTAAATAGGTTATGGTCTTCTTGATAGATACTGGTAAATATTTGCTCTTGTCACCGATACATTTGTAAACTCTCTTCACAGATTACTTATAAAATATAGGATACTTCTGCTGTTGTTGACTGTGTAGGATTTTCCTAGAATGTCTTTGGAAAGTGTTATTTTCAAATGTGGTGCCCTATTTCTGAAGATGTGTCCTATTTAGTACAAGGAACCCCCTGGATGCTAATTATCCTTAAAACATTCCCCTTCTGATCTTTCTTTACAAAGAAAAATTATAGTTTGTCTATTTTCCCAAGGCCCGTTGAGTGAATTATCTGATTCATAATAATAATTTTATTCCAGTCGATTATAAGACACGTGAATTTTCTAAGAAAGCTCATATACTGGCATATGTGTGTGATTACAAATATAAAAATGCTCTGGCACTAAAAATAGTCACTGTTTATCATATGTTGTATCTATTGTGTGTCAAATATTAGCTGAAATATCCAAGACCAGTTTGTTTTCTTTGTAATTGATGATTAAAGAAGAGTAAATACATTTGTGCAATTTTAAACTCAAGTTGACTTAATAGAATTGCTCCCACAGAATAGATGTGGTTAAGACATAAACCTCTATTAGAAATAATATCAGTGTTTATTTTTTATATTTGTATATCAGTCTAGGCCTTCTACATGTCTATGTTTATGTATATTTTTATAATACTTAATAACAGAACTATATTTTGAGAAATGGGTCAGGACGTGATTTCTTCATTGTGCAAACAACATGGAGTGCACTTACATAAACCTAGATGGCATAGCCTGCTGCACATCTAGGCTATATGGTATAGCCTATTGCTCCTAGGCTACAAACTTGTACAGCATGGTAACTGCACTGAATACTGTAGACAATTGTAACACAATGGTAAGTATTTATGCTTTTAAACATATCTAGAGATAAAAAAGGTAAAGCATTGTGCTATAATGTGACAACCTCTATTACATTACCAGGGGATACAAATTTTTCAGCTCCACTATAATTTTAGGGGACCACCATTGAATATGCAGCCAGCTGTTGACTGAAATGTTATGTGACTTGTGACTGTGTATATACATATAGCAAATTGTGTGAGTGTGTCTGTGTGTATAAATTTATTTCTGCTCACAATGAAAAGAGCCCAACAGTGAGCAGGAAGAAAATAATGTGCTTGTATTTGTTTCATTTTAAAAATATTGTTACATTTTTGCTCGTGTAGTACCTCAGCTGATAGTCCTCCTCTGTCTTCTTATAATTTTTCTGAATTATTTTATTTTCAATTTTAGTAAATGATCTCCATTCCACATGTATGATCACATTTTTATGCTTGATATTAAATACAACATATTTGCAGGGAGTTTAAAGTTACCTCTACTTGATATTTATCAAAAATCTGTTACTGAAAGTTAAGACACTGTGGCAGATGCAGTTTAGGAAAACTCTAGATTTATTGTAGCCCAAGAAGTCTTAGCCTATTTACTCTGTACTTACATGCTATACTATGAGGTAAAGGCAAATAAGTACCATAAAAATATGGAGACAAAATTGTGTTGAAGTTTAGAAGAAATCAGAATGGGCTTAATAGAAGAGTCACCATTTGACATAGACCAAAGATTGCATATTGAGATAGAAGCATGGAGAATGTAGACAGAGCAAAGAACCCTATGAAATTCACAGCAATAAGATTTCACAAGGAGTTTGGGAAAATAGGGAGCCTTCCAAATTCTCAGTAGAATTATTTATACCTGATGCTGCCAGATACTAACTCTTATCTATGTGGTATTAAATTGGGTCTGAAATGGTCAGTGAGTATAATGGAAGAAATCACATTCTATTAAAATAAATCTATCAAGTATCGCTCATACCCAAGTGCTGTGCTAGGTACTACAGGAATACACATAACCATATATTGTCCATGTTCTACATAATTATATTACAAAGCCAGCTTTGTTAATGTTAGAATTCAAAATGTTGGCTAAAAGAATTGGCCAGGGTTAGTTTTACTTTTGGACTATAGGTTGAGGAGAATTTATTCCATTGTAATGTTATCCCCAAGATACATAGAAAAGGAGAATACAATTATAAGAAAATAGGATAATATAGATCACTGCTTTTTGGCAAGGCAAAAGGGCTAAAAGCCTAACCATGTACAAACAAATCCCTGAAGGACTGTGGTTAGCCTGTCTGGCAGACAATTCCTATACTACTTTCTCAGCATATGAATGAGTTACTTGAATGACTTTATATTTGGAGCTGGAAAGACATAAATTTTATCTGTGAAATATCTTCAGAAAAGTTTTTTTCTTAGTATATTCAAACCACTTATAATAGAAAATTTAAATTCAACTTTTAAATTTTCTTCCAAGTTTTACCTCAGTTGCAGGAAAGAAGATGACTCTGAAATTCCTATCTTCAGTTATTTGTTGAACAAGTTTGGGTCCAAGACACACTGGGACCTCCATAATGGATGAAAAGAAAGCCTAGTTCACTTTAGATAAATGAAATACCGAAGCTGGAGCAACAAGACTTTCCAGCTGGCTCATGCAGATTTCTGAAGGTCTCTGTCCAGCAGAATCCCCCTTGTGCCCAACTGTGTCCCCCATTTGGTACAGGCCTCTACACCCACCAGTGTGAATGCAGCTCAGCTTCCTGCCAGAGGTGGGGTCTGAGCCTTGGGCGGTGATATGGTGGCCACATTCCCTGAGGAGCTCAGTGCAGCTCTTGTTGACCGTTGAGTGAAGACCATGCTATCTGCATGAGTGAGCTGGATAAACAGAGAGAAACTACCACTTAAAATTCTTAAAACTTTAAAAGACAAACTATCTTCCATATGTAAATATGATATCATTTACCCATTGTAGAGTCAGAACAAGAAGTCAGTGTCTCTGAGTAACTCATTTTACCCTTGAATCCTGCCTAGATGTGACTTCAGATGATATGATGCCTTGTATTTGGTTAGTGCAGCAGATGTAGGAATCCAGGCATGGCTTTGTAGAATTAGAAAATCAAACTGCCAAAGAAAAATACTGCTTTAGTGTACATATGATTTCAATTCAGTCAATTTTTATTGACCTACTAATGGGCAAGACACTCTTTTTTTCCAGTCGATTGCATATCTATCTATATATAGAGAGATATCTAGATATCTAGATATCTAGATAGATAGATAGATAGATAGATAGATAATTTTTTTGAGAAGTGCCTTGCTCTGTCACCTAGGCTGGAGTGCAGTGGCAAGATCTCGGCTCAATGCAACCTCCGCCTCCCGGGTTCAAGCAATTCTCCTGCCTCAGCCCCCTGAGTAGCTGGGTCTACAGGCACATGTCACCACACCCTGCTAATTTTTGTAGTTTTAGTAAAGACAGGGTTTCACCATGTTGGCCAGGATTGTCTTGATCTCCTGACCTCGTGATCCACCCACCTCGGTCTCCCAAAGTACTGGGATTACAGCTGTGAGCCACCGTGCCTGGCCGACTGTATATATTTTTATGATTTTTAAATGACAAATAACAATTACATATATTTATGGGGTAAAATATGATGTACAATGTATTCATTACAGAATGATCAAATTGGGCTAATTAGCATAGCCTCAATATTTTATCATTTCTTTGTGGTAAGACCATTCAAAATTCCCTCAGCTATTTTGAAATATACAAAACATTATTATTAACTACAGTCACCATGCTGTGCAATAGAACATCAGCACTATTTCTCCTATCTAATGGAAACTTTGTGCCCATTGGCCAACTTCTCCCCTATTTCTACCCACTCCACTTCCTCCTCCTCCTCCTCCTCCTCCTCCCCTCAGTCTCTGGTAACCACCATTTCATTCTTTACTTCTGTGAGTTCAGCTTTTTTAGACTCCACATATAAATGAGATCATGCCATATTTGTCTTTCTTTCTGTCTGCCATACTTATCTTGCTGTACCTGCCATATTTGTCTTTCTGTACCTGTCACTTAACATAATCTCCCCTACATTAATCCATTTAACCTTTTCAATAGTCTTCCACTAGAATGTAAACTTGATGAGAAAAGATGATTTGTCTTCCTTGCCCTTGTAACTCCTACCCCATAAGAGTGTCAAAATGTGTTCCCCAGATAATCAGGATCAGCATCACCTGAGAAAGTGTTAGAAACTTGGTAGAATTAGAAATACAAATTTCCAGGCCCCTCCCCACACCTAATGAATCAGAAACTCAAGAAACAGGGGTCCAGAAATTTGTGTTTTAATTACCCTCTGAGTGATTCTGATGTAAGATTTTCCTGGCACATGATGCATAAACTACAAGTTAAAGGAATTAAGTAAGGTTAAATAAGAGTGGTAGTAGTGAAAAGACAGTAAGAACCACATTTTTTGTTTTTTTTCTTTTTTCCTGTGCATACAAAATATTGAATAAAGGCATTTATTTTACAGCGAAAATATTTTTTCCTGTGTATAAAGAGTAGCTGACCCAATTTAATAAGAAACAGTTTGTACTACATGGAAAAATGTTGGTTAAAATTTCAGAGCAATCAGGAGCTGGTGCTAACCCTGTGTTACCAATAAAGATCAGCTGCTTTTAGGGAAAAAAATAGAGTCGCTTTGTCTCTGTAGGTGGCTATTTCTCTCTGCTCTCTTTGGTTTGTATATCACAGGTTGCTGTGAACTTAAGCTGCATTTTTTTTTATTTTTTGTCTGTATGTTTTAAAAATTTATGTTGCATTTCTCAATGAAATGTCAAGATCATAAAAATTTGTGTGAGAAGTGCTGAGCTGATTGTTGGGGGGTCAGGGGGAAACTTTTCTCTTGGCCCTCTGAAGATTTGCTGAAAATTCACTGACAGCAAATTTCACTGTTCTCTTTGACAGTGTATAAGTCTGTTCTGGTGTGGTTACATTCTGGTTTTAAAGGAAAAGGAAAACAATTGTTCGCAGGGATGGTTGTGGATCTTAGGCAGATAAAGGAACATCAACTTCTTTGAGACAGGCAGTGGGGCGGGATACAGTTAGAGACTTTGAGGATTCTTCAGTTCAGCATGTCAATGCATTACGGTTTGGAGTATTGGTTTCTGAGTCCCAACGTAATACTCCTGGTGATAACAGTAGAAAGAACTTTCCTAGCACTTGATCAACAGAAAAAATGCACTCACCCCTTAGAAGCTGCTCAGGGATTGTATGTATTTTTGTGTGTGTGTGAGTTTTGTCAACAGCTCATTAACTTATTAATTACCTCTTGGCTATTAGAATTCCAACTGGAAAACAGTTTTGCTGTATCTGAAACTCTCCAGCCTCTCTCCACCTCCAAAAATCCCCTTCCTACTTAATTGAGTCAACAGTATAATTTTGATAACATATTTTTCAGTAATTAAATTCTTAAGTTATATAAAAATAGCATACATTATTTTAAATATTATGGACAGTCTATAATATGATTGACAGAAATCTTGAGATGAATTATAGCTGATGATGAGGCTGTACATTTTTACAAAGTTTTTTAACAAAGAATCCAATTTATTGTAGCTATTTGTGTATTTCTTAATTATTCTGTTCAGTGAACAAAGCTGAACAAACAGTACCAAACATAATCTGTTAGTTAAATCAGGATTTGGACAATTGAAAATAGAATATGTTTGTATTTAAAATCAAATCACATATTTATTCAGAGTTTATTGTGTACAGATTACCATGTTAAAGTACTGTTGGAAAACAAAATGAATATCAGAATCCTCCTCTCACATCAAGAATCTGCACAAAACATGAACACCAATGCAATGAAATTCTAACATTCTAAGGTTTGCTGATGTAGGACAGTACTCTTCTTTGCTTTGGGAGGGAGAGTTTATTTACGTATAAGTTCAATATATCTATAATGGTTAGAATGCTACTAAGAAATGCAAAATATATTGAGTTGAGCTATGTGAAGTTGCCTTTTTGTAGGTAAAAATCATAGAATATCAGAAATTTCATATTGCTCAAACTAACATTGTTTTAAAAGGCTGATTTACATTTTGTAGAAAATGGTGCTTTGTTTTTGGCTAATTTTGTTATTGATTCTGTCTATGGCCGACTTTGGAGACCATCTTTTTTTCTTTTTTTTTTTGAGAGAGAGTCTTCCTCTGTCGCCCAGGGTGGAGTGCAGTGATGTGATCTCAGCTCACTGCAACCTCCGCCTTCTGGGTTCAAGCTATTCTCATGCCTCAGCCTCTCAAGTAGCTGAGATTACAGGCACGTGCCACCATGCCCAGCTAGTTTAGTATTTTTAGTAGAGATGGCTTTTTGCCATGTTGGCCAGGCTGGTCTGGAACTCCTGGCCTCAAGTGATCCACCTACCTCTGCCTCTCTGAGTGCTGGGATTACAGGAGTGAGTCACTGTGCCCAGCCCACCATACAACTGTTATTTAGTTCATTACCCATCCTGTAAAATGCTTTGAAAACTTCTGAGTGAAAAATTGAGAGAGAGTTTTAATGCCTTTGTGAACACCAAATTAAAAGGTGTTATTGTGACCTTGAATAGTTGTTTCAGTTTCAAAAGAAAATATGGTCCTCTATGAAAATAATTTATAAAAATAAGAGGAGATCAGCATGTAGGAAAAATTTTACGCTGCTTAATATTTCCATTTTTATGTTATAAAATTGATGTAAACCATTTAGAAAAAAGTCTTCATACTTATTCTTACAATAAAATAACTATTCACCTATCTTACATTTGACTTTGAATTTCACCTATTACCAGTTTTAGTTCTTCTTCTATTACTGTTTTTTGTGTTGAATAAATTTAAAAATATGTCTTAATTTTCAGAAATACTAGCAACCTATTTCAATATCTAAATGGATACAATTTTAAATGTGACATCAAATTTTAGATTTTTTCCTTTGAGAATTTGTAATTTTGGAGTTGATATTAGGTCTTTATTTTATAAAAGAAAAAAAATCACATCATAAAAGTAAGAAGAAAATAACCAGCCTAGAAACTGAGGTTAAAACTGAAAGCTGCTTACATCTAGTCCAAAGGTGGTCTCACTAATTCAGACTTTTACAGGCAGTTCATATACTTCTTTTCTCATGGTTATGTTAATATTTTAATACCAGCAATAAAATGTAACAGTTACCATTTTAATAATATGTTTTGAGACTTTCTTCTACTTTATTCAATCCCACACAATGTTTCCATATCCTGTATATACCTCTTTCCTTTAAAACCTCTGCTAACTTCTGTCATCTAAAGAATGAAGTTCCTAGATTTGGAAAGGGGAGGTTTATTTCTCATTAAGGTTTGTTGCATGCAGGGTGCCATACTGACAGCCTGGGAAGCATAGCCTCTGGTCAGAAGCTAGAAACAAACACTTTGAGGAAGGAAAGAACAAGATGGGGATTTGTGACTGGACAGAATCCCTCTATGGTTGGTGGTCTCTTATCAGAAAAGAATGCTAGTTGGTTGTTTTATGGAAACCACAGTAGAGCAGGGCAGTGTCAGGAGTGGTACAGGTCTTTCCAAAGGGTTCGTTTCTGTTTAACTCTTAGTGAAGAAAGCCTAATGGTGGTTAGGGATGGAGGGGGTTTAATGGGTCCTGTCTGACCTCCTATCCTATCATGGCAGCACCTCAGTTTTCAAGGTTTCTCTGGAATCCCCTTTGCCAGGAGAAGAAATTCAAATTTCTTTTTTTTAATTATTATTATTATTATTTTTATACTTTAAGTTTTAGGGTACATGTGCACAATGTGCAGGTTAGTTACATATGTATACATGTGCCATGCTGGTGTGCTGCACCCACTAACTCGTCATCTAGCATTAGGCATATCTCCCAATGCTATCGCTCCCCCCTCCCCACAACCCACAACAGTTCCCAGAGTGTGATGTTCCCCTTCCTGTGTCCATGTGTTCTCATTGTTCAATTCCCACCTATGAGTGAGAATATGCGGTGTTTGGTTTTTTGTTCTTGCGATAGTTTACTGAGAATGATGATTTCCAATTTCATCCATGTCCCTACAAAGGACATGAACTCATCATTTTTTATGGCTGCATAGTATTCCATGGTGTATATGTGCCACATTTTCTTAATCCAATCTATCATTGTTGGACATTTGGGTTGGTTCCAAGTCTTTGCTATTGTGAATAATGCCGCAATAAACATACGTGTGCATGTGTCTTTATAGCAGCATGATTTATAGTCTTTTGGGTACATACCCAGTAATGGGATGGCTGGGTCAAATGGTATTTCTAGTTCTAGATCCCTGAGGAATCGCCACACTGACTTCCACAATGGTTGAACTAGTTTACAGTCCCACCAACAGTGTAAAAGTGTTCCTATTTCTCCACATCCTCTCCAGCACCTGTTGTTTCCTGACTCCATCAGCTCCTTTAAGCACTTCTCTGTATTGGTTATTCTAGTTATACATTCTTCTAAATTTTTTTCAAAGTTTTCAACTTCTTTGCCTTTGGTTTGAATTTCCTCCTGTAGCTCGGAGTAATTTGATCATCTGAAGCCTTCTTCTCTCAGCTCGTCAAAGTCATTCTCCGTCCAGCTTTGTTCCGTTGCTGGTGAGGAACTGCGTTCCTTTGCAGGAGGAGAGGCGCTCTGCTTTTTAGAGTTTCCAGTTTTTCTGCTCTATCTTTTCCCCATCTTTGTGGTTTTATCTACTTTTGGTCTTTGATGATGGTGATGTACAGATGGGTTTTTGGTGTGGATATCCTTTCTGTTTGTTAGTTTTCCTTCTAACAGACAGGACCCTCAGCTGCAGGTCTGTTGGAGTACCCGGCCGTGTGAGGTGTCAGTCTGCCCCTGCTAGGGAGTGCCTCCCAGTTAGGCTGCTCGGGGGTCAGGGGTTAGGGACCCACTTGAGGAGGCAGTCTGCCAGTTCTCAGATCTCCAGCTGCGTGCTGGGAGAACCACTGCTCTCTTCAAAGCTGTCAGACAGGGACATTTAAGTCTGCAGAGGTTACTGCTGTCTTTTCGTTTGTCTGTGCCCTGCCCCCAGAGGTGGAGCCTACAGAGGCAGGCAGGCCTCCTTAAGCTGTTGTGGGCTCCACCCAGTTCGAGCTTCCTGGCTGCTTTGTTTACCTAAGCAAGCCTGGGCAATGGTGGGCACCCCTCCCCCAGCCTCGCTGCCACCTTGCAGTTTGATCTCAGACTGCTGTGCTAGCAATCAGTGAGACTCTGTGGGTGTAGGACCCTCCGAGCCAGGTGCGGGATATAATCTCCTGTTGCACCGTTTTTTAAGCCCGTCGGAAAAGCGCAGTATTCGGGCGGGAGTGACCCGATTTTCCAGGTGCCGTCTGTCACCCCTTTCTTTGACTACGAAAGGGAACTCCCTGACCCCTTGCGCTTCCCGAGTGAGGCAATGCCTCGCCCTGCTTTGGCTCGCGCACGGTGCACGCACCCAGTGACCTGCCCCCGCTGTCTGGCACTCCCTAGTGAGATGAACCCGGTACCTCAGATGGAAATGCAGAAATCACCTGTCTTCTGCGTTGCTCACGCTGGGAGCTGTAGATGGGAGCTGTTCCTATTCGGCCACCTTGGCTCCTCCCGAAATTCAAATTTCTTAGCATCACATTCAGAGTCCTTCCAAATCCAGAACCCTATTATATCACAAATTTATTGCATAGCACTTTAACTCTAGACATCTTTTATTCCATTCAAATTTTTTTATTAAAACATAGCAAATGACCCACATTGAGATACACCACCTTAGACACATTCATATGTCTACTGCCTACTGTCAAAAAACAGAAAATAATAAGTGTTGATAAAGATGCAGAGAAATTGGTACCCTTGTGTACAGTTGATGGGAATGTAAAATGATGCAATTGCTATGGAAAACAATATGGCAGTTCCTAAAATAATTAACAATAGAATTACCATATGATCCAGCAATTCCACTTCTGGGATATACCCCTGCAAAAATGAAAGCAGAGTCTCAAAGAAAAATGTGTAGATCTGTGTTCATAGTAGCATTCTTTCCATTATTTAAAAGGTGGGAAGCAATCCAGGTGTCCATTGAGAGATAAGTGAATAAACAAAATGTGATATATACATAAATGAAATATTATTAGTCCTTTAAAAAGTTAGAGAATTCTGGCACATGCTACAATATGGATGAACCTCAGGGCATTATGCTAATGCCAGTCCCAGAAAGATAGGTACTATGATTCCACTTACATGAGGTAGCTAACACAAATTCATTGAGACAGAAAGTAGAATGGTAGTTGACAGGAACTGGGGAAGTAAGGGTGAATGGAGAGTTGCTATTTAATGAGTACAGAGTTGCAGTTTTGCATGACGAAAATTACATTGTTGTAATTATACAACAATGTGAATGTACTTAATTCTACAGAAATGTGTGCATAAAAAATGATGATGCTGGTAAATTTTATGTTATGTGTATTTCAACACAATTAAAATAGATGTTTTATAATAGTAAATGAATATAGATGCCTTTAAATTTCTTGTTCTCTTATGAAACCTTCCCTGGCCAAACAAGTATTAAATGATTTTTCTCTAATTGTGCCTATTATTAGTGGTCTCTCCTGTGGGGTGCAGACTCCAAGTTACTTACATTACTTTTAATGACAAAAAAAAACCACACAATTACTTTTGCATCAACCAAATAAGACAATCCACTATAGTACAGAATGAACAGATTTGAATTTCTTTTTATTTTTACTAAATGAATTACCATCTCCTTTATATGTAATATACAGACTGACAGAAATATAAATGCACACACATAAATTATGTGTATAGAAACAGGAATGAATACAAAAAATTCACTGATCAAGATACCAGCTAGTTATCAGCCCTTTAAATTGATTGTATATACTATTTTTCTAACCTACTTGAAAGACTATATGCCTCATTTCAACAACCCATAGTCTCAATGACAAGGCCTGTGTTTTAGATATTCATGTATTTCTAAATTCTCTGAATATATTCATGTGAAATTAAAAAACAACAAGTTGGTAAAATGTTGGCTTCTTTACTTACACGATTTCTTGAGTTTCTGAATAAAATGAAGTCTAATGATGCCCATGGTGTTGGTAAATATTGAACAGCAATCAACGACATAGTTTACATCACCTGTTAGAATAAAGTAGTAAACAAAATTATCCATGTGATAGTACAGAAAGGGTACAACATTGCACTTGGAACTAAGGGAGTAACAAAAAGGAGGAAAACAGTAGCATACAGGGAGAAATTACACCAGGAACTATGCACATGCCCTCCTCAAACACTGGCCGGCTTGTTGGCTCCCAGAATCTTATCAGTGATCACCTGCACAAGCGCCTCACATTTAAGCTCTGAACCAAAGAGTAGCAAATGTAGATATAATATATTCTGTTAGTACATACACAAGAGTTCAAATGTTGGGTCACTTTTGTTCATCTGTTTTTGAAGGCAAGTACTTACTTCATGAGGTATCCAACCTGGAACACTCAAAGCACCTGGCAGCTCACCAAGGATTTCAAAAGGGAATGCTTTCCTAGTACATCCAGCAAAAGACACTTATTGACCATTTCTCTACATTGTGTTTTATATCTCAGAGCATTTCAAAACATCACTCTAGCAAAAAGAATTCTGTCTGCCTTAGAGCCAACTGATTGGCCCCAAGGATGCTGGAAACCCTGACAGAGGTAAACGGCAGGCAAATGTTTTAGTATTTTTTCCCCTTTTCCTCAAATTCAAAGTTTCTGACTCCCTTTTCTAGTCAACAAAAGTACATCTATGCTGTAGTCATTTGAAGAGTTAATTGATCAAAGCTCTACTGTACTCCATCAGTTTGTAAGTAACTTGCAATATGAGCATTTATAAACTTTAATGCAAGTAAATACTGAAATTATTATGGTAGCTATAATGTACTGCTTCAAAACTGAAGTTTGGCTTGTTATAATTTTTTAGAAGTTTCCATGAGAACACCACCATCCAACATTCTGAATTTTAAGAACTATTGTGTGTAATTTGTAGGAAACTTGATTGTGATTTGATTTTGGGTTACAAGCCAGATGGTTTCTAGCTTTGATTTTAGTAGGTTCATGAAATGTTCACAGAATGCAGATGATACAAATCTTCTGCCAGTTTGGCTGCATAACTAGAAGTCTTTGAATTATTACGTGCTTGACATCTGAATTATCAAAACTTTAGTGATGTTCCTTTTGTTTTTCTGTTTTATTTCATTGTATATAGAGCAATTTCTGCCTAATCAGTCTTTTTAAAGCTGACCTATACAGAGATGGCTGGTGTTGGATTATTAAAATAATCCTGAAAATTGTCATTGCAAGCTGTAAAAAAAAGTAAACATGATTCTTATATATATATATATATATATATATATATATATAAACTAGGATTTTCCTTTTGAATTGTGGCTTAATTTTACCCAAAAATGCTCTACTTTCTCCAAATTCTAGGACAGCATGAAGGTAGCTTACTAATGTGTTATGAGCATAATCTCCAGTGCTGCTCATACCATCACAACACTGTGTCCAGGTATAAATATCTGCATATTCCTGAACAGAGCATCAATGCTTTTTCCCTCAGAATTGCAAGTTTAGTGTATTCAGGTGCCTTATGATATTAGAAAATATAACATCTTGATATGTTGCATTCCTCAGAAACCTTTAATTTATATAAATAATTGGCCTGAAGGCAGAAATTCAGTAAATGTTTAACAAGTCTCCCTATACTACATATCTGACTGAATAATAAAATAAAAGGAATCTCCAAAGTTGCTTAGCTCCTCCCAAATGGCCTGCCAACTGGTAAATGAAAAGCACTTAGCTTGAAAAAGAAACTTACATCTGTCTTATTTCCTCCATCATATGACCAGACTTTTGCAGTACAGGATGACATATCAGTCTTCCATTTTGATGTAAATGAATGCTTGATTTTTGTTTTCTTCTTTCACTTTTCTTTTTAATAGATCTCTTGATGGCTAGTGGGATTATTTTGCTTACTCACAGGGTAGCATTTTACTTTTGTCAAAAGGCAACTTTTTGACAAAATTAAGCACAGGCTTTCTTCCTGTGAGATAGATTTGGTTTAATGTACTTTATAATTTAACCACATTTTTGGAACATTTACCTGGGTTGATACTGTTTTGTGTACATTTCTTGGAAAATCAGGAATCAATTTTCTTTTTAAATCTTCTGGTTCATTTCTTAAATATGTCATTAAAGACTACAATATTCTGTTAGGCTATTGAAAATTTTTAAATTGCCTTGCAAATTACCAGAGACCTAAGAAATTACACCCAAATCATTAAAATATAAATAAAACATAACACTACAGTATTAAGCTCTTATTATTTACTTAGGGTATTACAGTATACCAATTTCAGGTATGTGAATTAAAGTGAGCTAATGTCCAAAAATAAAAACAGGCTTTAAAGTATTTTACCAACTGTCTGACAAAAATGTATGACCAATGATGTTTTGGTTTGTGCCTCAAATATTAAACATTAGACATCTTTTTTGTCACTTAGGATGAATCACAAATATTTTTTCAACCATATTTATTCCTATTCACTGTTAGGATGTTTGGACTACAGTATTAGTCCAAATTAATAAAAAGGATAATCTATTAATCTACAATATCTAAAATTATATATGATAATATTACTTACATTTATATCATGTATTTTTTACATAATGAACAAATATGAATCTGTCACTTAAAAGGCAAATGATAGAAACATACTAAACATTTTTTTGCTATATTCTTACACCTTTAGTATATTAATAGCATTTCTCTAATTTTCCTTCTTAGCCATAATCCCTGGCAGACCAAAAAGAAGTCAGGTACCACATAACAACGTTTCAGTCAAGGATGGATGGCATATATAAAGATGGTCTCATAGATTATAATGGAGCTGAAATATTCTTATTTCCTAGTGAGGTTATAGCCCTCATTTAGTCTTAGCTCAAAGCATTACCTTTTTTATGTTTAGACTTGTTTAGATGCACAAATAGTTACCATTGTGTTTTAATTGCCTACACTATTCAGTACAGGAGTACAAACTTGCTGTGCAAGTTCGTAGCCTAGCAGCAATAGCTTTTACCATACAGGGTATACTCTCTAGGCTTAGGTAAGTGCATTCTGTGATGTTCACGAAAGGACCAAGTCACCTCAGGATGCATTTCTCATAACCTATTCCCATAATTAAGTGACATGTGACTGCATACCATTATACAGCTAATTTTATTGCATCTTAAAGTAATTTTTTGTCCCATTGCTTTAAAAATCACCTAGTTAATAACTTGGTGGGAAAAATTCAGAAGAGGGCTTTTTAGATTACGTGTTTGAAGTTGTTGAACTATTGCTTGGTAATTACAAAAGAGATGTTCTGGCCATTTGCAAACTGAGCTCCCAACCCTGTTTTCTACCCTCTGGTAAAGTTGGTTTGTTTGTTCTCCTAGAGACATTGTTTACAAAATAGAAACTACTTCAAAATTCCTTCAATCACTTAAACAGTACTCAGGAAGTATTTTTTTTCTGAAATATGAGAAAAAATATAAGATTATAAGTTATAGCACAAAGTGAAATATTTAACATAATTTAAAGCCACAATTAGATTTGTAGTTTTTTTGTACAAGGAAGTGTAGTTGTATAGGGCATACGGTTTTTCTGCTAAAATTTCATATGCCCAGTGTCACTTTTTTACATTAATAAACATGTATTAAAATGAAAAATTTATTTTGGTTTACCAATTGTTCTTTTTGCAAATGGTTCAGTCATAAATTGCTAATTATTATATGATTTCAACATTTTAGAATTATAAAATATGATTTCTTGTAGCTAATTTATCCTTATCTGTGATATCACAAAGATTCATAAATTATTTAATGTACAATATTACTGAATAATGTGGGTTACAGTAGAAAATTTTATATTGTTTAACATAATTATTTTAGATTATAGCAAATTCAATCATGTTTGTGAATTGTCATACTAGGTTACACCTATTAACAAATCTTTTACCTTTGATAACAGCACATGCATTTGTATTCTGCCTCAGCAATCCAAATATCAACAAAGAAAAAACCACGGACAGGTAAGATTAGAACCAGATATCACTAAGCAGAGAGCTATTTCAGCATATTTTGAGCAACTATAGTCAGGAAAAATGATGATAGTTACTCATTGTATATACACTGTATTAGCCAGGGTTCTCCAGAGAGACAACAAATAGGATCTAGGTAGGTAGGCAGGTAGATAGATAGATACATAGATAGATATAGATATAGATGTAGATATAGATATGTATAGAGATGTATATCTGTATAGATATGTATATCTATATCTACATCTATCTATCTTTATCTATACATATATCAAGAAAGAGACAGATAGACAGACAGACAGACACTGGCAGGCAAGACATCCAGAAAAGTGTTGCAGTTTGAGTCCAAGGTGGTCTGCTGGCAAGAAGTCAACCTTTTGCTTGTATGGTCTTCAGCTGATTGGACGAGGCTCAACCCCACTATGAAGGGTAATTTCTTTACTCAGAGTTTACTGATTTAATTGTTAATTGCATCTAAAAAAATGCCTTCACAGAACCATCTAGAATTATGTTTTATCAAACATCTGGATACCATGGCCTAGCCAGGTTGATTCATAGAATAGACTATGACATAAAGTATGTGCTAAGACATGTATTACATCAATTTCCTGTAGTCACTACAAAAATACTCTAAGGTAGGCATATCATACCCTATTTAAAGGTGGGGGAAAAGTGGTTAATATAAGTCGAGTAACTAGTAAATGACAGTGGTAGAATTTGAACTCAGGTAGCCATTCTGGTACCTTTTGTTTATTTGTTTTTGACCCAAAGAAACACAAGACATCAGTGGGCTTTTCTAAGTAACTTCCCAAATTGTAGTGGCTTAGAACCACTTTCAGTCTGGGCTGGCTCAGCCGCACTCTGTTGGCCCACATTGCGTTTATGCTTAGCTGGTTGCTGGGCTGGGGCTGAATTGTCTAAAATGGACACATTCACATACCTGGTCATTAGCGCAACGTAATCTGGGATGATGAGGATAGCTAGGCCATGTTTCTCATCACCTAGGAAACTAGCTCAGCCTTTTCTACATGATGATCTCAGAGTTTCAAGCCCCATTATTTAGGATGCTTTCAAGCCTCTGTTCATGTCACCTTTGGCAACATCCCATTGACAAAGGAAGTTACATTGCCAAACTAGAGAGAGAGACATGTATTATTTTCTTATTGCATAACAAATTACGACTTAGTGGCTTCAAACAACTTGCATTTAGTACATCACAGTTTCTGTAGATTCAGAGCCAACTGGATCCTTTGCTTGAGTACTCACAAGGCTGCAATCAAGCATGGGCCAGGGCTAGGGTCGTGTGGGAGTCTCAGGGCTGTCTTTCAAGCTCCCAGATGGTTGGCAGAATTTATTTCCTTGAAACTACAAGATTCATGGTGGCTTATTTTTTCAAGACGAGTAAGATAATTTTTGCTGCTGTATCTTGTCCCTTAATTCTACACCATTTTTAAATGACTCACTATTAGGTGAGGTCCAAACGTACTGATGTCCTTTTTGATTAACTCACAGTCAGCTGATTAGAGACTTAATTGCATCTGCAAGATCCCTTCACCTTTGCCAGATAACATAATCTAATCATGGTGAGAGGGGACAATGTGCTGGTGGCCGTCGCTCGCTCTCAGCGCCTCCTCTGCCTCGGCGTCCGCTCTGGCCAAGCTTGAGAAGCCCTTCAGCCCACCTCTGCCCTGTGGGAGCCACCCTCTGGGCTGGCCAAGGCTGGAGCTGGCTCCCTCTGTTTGCGGGGGGGTGTGGAGGGAGAGGAACTCGCGGGCCAGTGCTTGTTCTGGGTGGGCACGGGCTTGGCGGGCCCCGCACTCAGAGCGGCTGGCAGGTCCTAGGCAGTGAGGGGCTTAGCACCCAGGCCAGCAGCTGCGGAGGGTGCGCCAGGCCCCCCAGCAGCGCCGGCCCACTGGGGACACGCTCGAATTCTCGCCGGGCCTCAGCTGCCTCCCCGCGGGGCAGGGCTCAGGATCTGCAGCCTGCCATGCCTGACTGTGGGGTCCCCCGCAGCCCAAACCCCCTCGATGGGCACCATCCCCTGCTACACAGCACCCGGTTCCATCTACTGCCCAAAGGCTGAGGAGTGCAGGCCGGCAGTGCGGGACTGGCAGGCAGCTCCGCCCACGGCTCTGGCACAGGATCCACCAGGCGAAGCCAGCTGGGCTCCTGAGTCAGGTGGGGACTTGAAGAACTTTTATGTCTAGCCACAGGATTGTATATGCACCAATCAGCACTCTGTGTTTAGCTCAGGGTTGGTGGATGTGCCAATCAGCACTCTGTAACTAGCTACTCTGGTGGGGACTTGGAAAACCTTTATGTCTAGTTAAGGATTGTAAATACACCAATCAGCACTCTGTGTCTAGCTCAAGGTTTGTAAACACACCAATCAGCACCTTGTGTCTAGCTCAAGGTTTGTAAATGCACCAATCAGTGCTCTGTGTCTAGTTAATCTGGTGAAGACTTGGAGAACTTTTATGTCTAGCTAGAGGATAGTAAATGCACCAATCAGCACTCTGTGTCTAGCTTAGGGATTGTAAATGCACCAATCAGCACCCTGTCAAAAGGGACCAATCAGCTCTCTGTAAAATGGACCAATCAGCTCTCTGTAAAATGGACCAATCAGCAGGATATGGGTGGGGCCAGATAAGGAATAAAAGCAGGCTGCCAGAGCCAGCAAAAGCAACGTGCTGAAGTCCTCTTCCTCACCGTGGAAGCTTTGTTCTTTTGTTCTTTGCAATAAATCTTGCTGCTGCTCACTCTTTGGGTCCGCACTGCCTCTATGAGCTATAACACTCACTGCAAAGGTCTGCAGCTTCACTCCTAAGGCCAGGGAGACCACAAACCCACCCGGAGGAATGAACAATTCCCGACGCAACGCCTTAAGAGCCTTAACACTGACTGAGAAGGTCTGCAGCTTCACTCCTGAAGCCAGCGAGACCACAGACCCACCAGAAGGAAGAAACTCCAAACATGTCCGAACATCAGAAGGAACAAACTACAGACACACCATCTTTAAAAACTGTAACACTCATCGCAAGGGTCCACGGCTTCATTCTTGAAGTCAGTGCAACCAAGAACCCAACGATTTTAGACACAATGGGAGAAATATTTCATCATAGTCACTGATGTTGCTCGTACTCAAGAAGGCATCATATAGGCTGTACAGAGCAGGAGGTAGGAGTGTTGGAGAAGTTCTTAGAATTCTGCCTTCCACAGGCACAGGGGAAGATTTGTAATATTACTTTGCAATAACATGTATGCAAAAGGGCATTTATGGACATTTTTATAATTTTCCATAGTAAGAAATGAAAGCAAATTAAGGAAGGCCATATTTATAAGAACTAGTGAAAAGTGACAGACACAAAAATAAGAGCTAGAAAGTACAAGAAAACTAAATAGGTTTAAATTTGGAAGAAGCAGAGAATGATTCCTTATTTTTTAACAATAGAAGCCAGTGCATAATGTAAAATAATCTTTTTTTCTTACTTTAAGAAATTTTTTTAAAAATTATTGTAAAATGACAATTTGTAATTCTATAAGTCTATGTGAAATTGTTTTTCTTTTGCTTGCATCTACACTTATTATTCTTATTCTGTGACATCCTACTGGTATGGCTAACATCTGGAACTCCACAGACAGAAATGGAAATGATTGAAGAAATTAGGAATTGATAACTGACCTTCAGTTAAATTGCCACAGCTCCTTAAAGCGTTTTTGCACCCACGTTTCTAGCGTGTTTATGTCGGTCTCCAATAATTGAAGAGGTAAACTTCAGACCCACAACACTTAGGCTTGCTTCTTTCCTCTCAAAGAATCACTCTAAAATTAGTAAAAAAAAACTTCTGCGGGCCGGGCGTGGGGGCTTACGCCTGTAATCCTAGCTCTTTGGGAGGCTGAGGCTGGCGGATCATGAGGTCAGGAGATCGAGACTATCCTGGCTAACACGGTGAAACCCCGTCGCTACGAAAAATACAAAAAATTAGCCGGGCGTGGTGGCGGGCACCTATAGTACCAGCTACTCGGGAGGCTGAGGTAGGAGAATGGCATGAACCCGGGAGGCGGACCTTGCAGTGACCCGAGATTGCGCCACTGCACTCCAGCCTGGGCGACAGAGCGAGACTGCATCTAAAAAAAAAAAAAAAAAAAAAAAAAACTTTTGCTTCTGGGAAGATGAATTAGACATAGCTTTTCCTATTCCTTCTCTTAAGTGCAACTAGAAATTTGAAAATTATGTGTCTGAAAATCATGAGTCTGAAATGTAGGGAGAAGGTGGACAACTAGCTAGGGACCTCAGGAACCAAGGAATAGGTGAGTTCCCTGGTTTATTTTATTTTATTTTATTTGCATTGTATAAACAAGACTTGGAGCTGACAAACTAGAAAACCCAAAAACTAGAAAGCCCAGAAACATCAGATATGATGAGCACAGATAAACAAACAGAAAAGTCCAACTAAACCCTTTTCTCTTTGTAGCCAAAGGGCAAGGACAGGTAAAGCTAGGAAGAGAGAAACCTTTAGACAATAATTGCTCTCTTGCATCTAAATAAGATTTTAAAAATAATGTAGACGATATTCACCCAAATCAGAGAAGGCTGAATGGGGAACCTGTACTTTCAGCATTTTCAAGTGATTGTGAAGCACCTCAACTATGTCCCAAAGTACTATGAAAAAATGCTGTGTAGGGAGCTGGAATTTTCCTCTCCACTAGGTGGAAATGAGTCTCCCTACACTCAAGTGTCAATACAAATCATACGGAGAACTTAGATTTCACTTCCGCTGGAGATAATGAGGTACCACTACTTTTTCCTACTGAAGATATTACTGGGAATTCTGCATTGGGATAGACCCTTTAACTGAGGAGGTCAATGGAGCTGAAGCTCTGGGCCACCAATCTCAGTTCTTGTGATAGTTAGCAAAGAATTGCAAACACTAAAACGCAAGCTCAAAGCAAAGTTTATTGAAGCACAGTAATACACCCTCAGAGGGAGAGTGGACAGATTTCCCCGAAGTGAAATTAGCCCCTCTTTACAAAACCCAGGGGACTTTTATGGGGGTTTTCTGGGGAAGAGTTGTGGTTTGGGCTGTGTCTGAGTGACAGGATGATGGCATTTGATTGGCAGTTTATGGTTATATAGCTAAAATTAAACTGTGCACATTCATACCCATAATTTGTTAAGAAAAGCCCACAGGCAGGAGGTAAAACCACATGTAAATTGATTATAATGATGGTAAATGAGCTTAGGGTGAACTTGAGGACACAGTTCTATGTTACTTGACCTGTGCCATTTTAAGAGATTTTCCCTAGTTTTTCGTTCTCCGTGATGTGCTGGCCACAGACTTTACCAGGAACTTCATCCATTAGTGTGGAGTTAGGGCAGTTCTGGGACTCTCCTTAAGTGGGCTGGCCATGGTCTGCCTTAGTGACAGCCTTTTTTGCCCTCTTCTCTTACCCTGTGCTAATGTCTATCTAACTACCAAACAGAGTGGTATAAGAGGAAGTCTAGTGGAAAGTCAAGACTTTCACTACCACCCAGTGGTAATGAGACCCCTTCTTCCTGTTGTCAGTGGAGGTAATTTTAGCAACAACAATGAGACATTCCATATGAGTGGTGGCCTACTAAGGAATAAGAACTCCCCTCTCACTCATCCATAACCAGGAGGCACAACTCCTCAGGGTCAACAGTGATGAAACAGTGAAGCAGGCTTCTGACACCACCTGGCAGTAATGAGATGGTGGCCCTCTGACTTCTGCCAGAGCAGTGTCAGAAAAAGCCAACTAAAATAGAACTATGAATCAGATCCAGAGTCTTACAAATTAGTACCCCAAATGTCTAGGTTTCAGTAGGAAGCTGCTCATCATTCCAACAACCAGGAAGACAACAGACTGAATGAAAAATGTAACCACAGACACTAATCCTCATAAGATAGATATGTTAGAACTATATGACAAAGATTTTTTTTTTTAAGATGGAGTCTTGCTTTGTTGCCTAGGCTAGAGT
The DNA here is from genome assembly GCF_000001405.40 of Homo sapiens. NCBI lineage: Eukaryota > Metazoa > Chordata > Mammalia > Primates > Hominidae > Homo > Homo sapiens. Next base: position 166,838,926 of record NC_000004.12, on the reverse strand, counting down.
GCAGTGGCACAATCTCGGCTCACTGCAACCTCCGCCTCCCGGATTCAAGCGATTCTCCTGCCTCAGCCTCCCAGGTAGCTGGATTACAGGTGTCTGCCACCACGCCCAGCTAATTTTTTGAATTTATTATTATTATTATTATTAGAGGTGGGGTTTCACTGTATTAGCCAGGATAGTCTCGATCTCCTGACTTTGTGATCCGCTCACGGCCTCCCAAAAGTTCTGGGGTTATAGGCGTGAGCCACCACACCCGGTCTATGACAAGGATTTTAATGTAGCAATGATAAAGATATTTCAGTAACCAAGTATGAACATACTTGAAACAAATAGTTTTTCTAAAGTCCCAGCAAAGCAATAGAAAGTCTCAGCAAAGAAATGGAAAATGTAAAAAAATAACCAACGGAAATTCTGGAATTAAAAAATATAAAAACCAAAATAAAAAACTCAATGGATTGACTCAGTAGCATAGTGTAGGAGACAAAGGAAAAAATAATCAGTGAACTTAAAGATAGAGTAATAAAATTATACAATCTAAGCAACACAGAGTAAATAAACCAAAACAAAAAACAACAAAAACACCCAGATCCTTAGGCATCTGTGAGACTACCACAAAAGACCTAACATTTATGTCATTTGAGTCTTTGACAGAAAAGGAAAACCAAGTGGAGCTGAAAAAGTTTTTGAGAAAATAACAGTGGAAAATGGCACATTTGACAAATGACATAAACTAATTCAAGAAGCTGAGCAAACCCCAAACAAGATAAAGCTAAAGAAATCCACACCAAGACAAATCAAAGTCAAACTTCTGCAAAACTAAAGATGAAGAAAGAATCTGGGAAACAATGAGAGGAAAACAACATTTATCTATAAAGGAAAAACAATTTGTTTGGCAATGGACATAACATTAGAAACGATGAGGGCAAGAAGAAAGCAACACGATATATATCATGAGATGAAAGAAAAGAACTGTCAACCCAGAATCCTTTGTCAAGTGAAAATATCTTTCAAGAATTAAGGGAACATCAAAACATTTTCAGATGAAGGAAACCTAAGAAAATTTGTAGCAACCACAGCTTCCATAAAAGAATAACTATAGGAAAGTCTGGAAAAAAGAAAGAAAATGCTAAAGGAAACAATATTGAAACATCAGAAAGGAAGAAAGGACATGGTACAAAAAAGTAAAAGTCAATAAAATTGACTTTCCTTTTCCTATTGAGTGTTCTAAATTATGTTTGAGGATAGAAGCAAACATTATAACTGTCTAACGTGATTCTAAATGTCCACAGGATAAAGAAATATTTACGACGTTATATCTCACATAAGGGAAGGTAAAGTGATGTAATGGGAAGTACAATTTCTATAGTTCTTTACAACTAGTGAAATGATAATATCAGTGCAATCTATTGATGCTTTGTATATATAATGTAATGGCTAGAGCAAGCAGTAAAAAGCTATACAGGCCAGGTGTGGTGGCTCATGCCTTTAATCCCAGTATTTTGGGAGACTGAGGCAAGAGGATCACTGGAGTCCAGGAGTTTGAGAGTAGCCTGGGGAACATGGTGAAACACCATCTCTACCTTAAAATAAAATAGAGCTCAAGTCCAGAAGGTATTGGTGGGCTTATTCTGAAATTATTCACAGGGGCATTGAACTATTAAGGTTTAATGGCTAAAGCTGGTGTGTCTAACTTCACACTACTCAGAAAGAAAAAAACCAAAACTTACACACCTAAAATCAGCCAAGAATCTTAAAGACTTCCCAATCTTTAAAGAAGAATGAACAAAACTCCTGCCAACTTTTTATAGATGTAATAAGGAAGGAGAAAGTCCTCTCTGGGCACTTATTAAAGATGGTGAGGCAGTCTTTATTCAAGAGGTGCCATTGCAACAGGTATAGGAACCATGGCAATGAGGTCTTGCAATGGGAGCGAGATTGAACTCAATTCCAAATACAGTATGGACAAGTGGGAATTGATAGCCAAGTAGCAAGGTCCAGTTAATGAATGGAAAATTACTAAGATAAAACATCAGGAGTAAGGGAAATTTTTGTTTGACTCATCAGAATTATCTCTGAAAGTAGGCCGAGGTAATAAGATACAGATGGTAGTCAGATACCAAGATCGGGGAATTTTCACTAAATTGATTTAGCAGAATTCTTTCTCAGGCTAAGGTCGAACCTGGTCAGAAAGTACTCAAAGGAGAGTTACTAAAGGTTTGATGGAAAGAGTCTTTTCAGGAATGGAGTGCCAGGTTCAACAGAAATCCATAGGGCACTAGATGAGGCAAAAACAAAAACCACTCCATAGGGGCCATTTTTACCACCTAGGAAATGGAACTGCCACAAAAAACAATCTTCACTGAGGTAAATTCACAGGGCAAAAAATCTCAAGTCACATAAGAAAAAATATGTCAGTAGATTCAACTAAAATAAAGCAACAACAAAATTTCCTCTCAACCCCTACAAACAACGATGCCTTGTGGCAGTTTTAATATAAGTTCATTGTAGTTGTTTATTTATGCCATTAAAGAAAATGAAAAGAATGGGCAACCAAAATATTAGTAATATGCTATTTTAAAAATAATTCTTAGAAAGCTGAAAAAAATGATAAAATCGTGTTGAGAATTTAATACATGAATCTTTGTTATATTATTCTTGCACTGTTTTGTTCTTTAAGCTTTCAGAAAATAACTCAAAAGACTGAGAAGGGGTACTATAATTAGCTAAAGTACCCAGGATATAGTGGGTCCTCACTTCATCTATTTATTAGACACAGACAACTTGAGAGCAGAAAGACCAGGATAAAAGTTATAATAAAATTGTACTCCGCTAAGATTCATATTGTTAACATAACAATACACTTTTTTAAAGGCATCTCAAAGGTTTCAATAGTAAAACAGAATTTTTTGTGTGTGTGTGTGTGAGACAAGAGTTTTGCTCTTGTTGCCCAGGCTGGGGTGCAATGGCATGATCTTGGCTCACTGCAACCTCCACTTCCCAGGTTCAAGCGATTCTCCTGCCTCAGCCTCCTGAGTAGCTGGAATTACAGGCATGCACCACCACATCTGGCTAATGCTAATTTTTTTATTTTTAGTGGAGACAGGGTTTCTCCATGTTGGTCAGGCTGGTCTCGAACTCCCGATCTCAGGTGATCCGCCCACCTCGGCTTCCCAAAGTGCTGGCGTGAGCCACCATGCCCGGCCAAAACAGAATTTTTTGAACGAATATTTATATTGTCTCATGAAATTCCTCTGGTGATGAAGAAAAAGTGTCTACAAAGGATAAACAACGTTTAGAACCCACAAACGTATAGCCCACTGAAGCTAAAATACAGAACAACATACAAGATAACTAACAAATTAGTTAAGAAATAGTTTGACAGAAGAGGAATAGTGAAGGTTTCATACAGATGTATGAAAAATGAAGGCCTAGTTTCACATTAGCTATTCCCTTTCAGCCTTTTTTTGAATAGTTTAAGATACAACACAAAAAATAACTTCAGATGTTTAAAAAAATAAAGGATTTGTTTTGTTTCCTTTGGTGTCTTCTACTTAAATATTGTTTTTGAATATTTCTAACAAAATGCTGATGTCATTGTTGACACTAGAATCATTCTTGGCTTTATGAATTCTGTAAATAGACAAAAGTTTTTTGAACATTATAATATTTAATAGATGTTTAAATTGTAGGAAGAAATAATCTCAGCAATGATAATAGTTCTTTACACTCTAAGGTATAAGTCAGTATAGCCAATTAGTTCAGAAACCTTTACTATTCTGTGATGAGTAACAATTTTATAGATAAATGTAAGACATCGTTACTATTAACAGTACTTATATAAATATCACAGTAGAATAACAGAAAAATATTTTTATTGGTAATCGGTTTATACTTTGCAAATTCAGATTTTTACATATTAATGGTAAATCTTCATAGATCTAGTTCAGGAAGAGTAAAAACCATCCAAATTTACCTAGGAAAGTGTTGGGATAGTAAAACAAAAAATAAAGATTTGTTTATATAACTATTATTGAGAAATCAGAGTACAGTGGAAGTACAGATTGATCAAAACATAGTCAAATTTTTCTAATTAAAAGAGAGATAAAAAAGATGGGGGAGAAAGAGAGAGAGAAAAACATTACTTAGAATCCCTAACTCAAAAAAACTTCTCAAGCAAAATATAGAATTCTGTGGTCATATATATTTTGGGAAACGGGATTCATTTTCTAGACTAATATTTTTGTTCAATTTGTTTGTTTTTTCTCATCTAATTTCCAAAACTATTTAGCAGTTCAGATATTTTGTGAAACACACTTGAATAAAAGATACCAAAGAAAATGTCCTATTAGACTCACATGAGAAAGCAGACTTGGGCTTCTCCTTGGCAGTAGAAAGCGCTAGAAGAACAATGGTTCCCAATTGAATTTTCTCACCTGACCATAGAGAAAAAGCCTGGTACTCTAAAAATTTTTAATCTTCTTGAGCTCATCAGAGAGCAGTGGTGGCAAAGCCATCAAATAAACTGAATTTCAAAGAGAAGCAAGAACTCTCCAATGAAGATAGGCCACAGGGCTGTTTCAGATTTGGCAAAGCGTGTGAGAAAAAGGTGGCTACCTATGAGCGATCAGAAGCTGGGGATTTAGGTGAGTTAGCAAAGCCCAATTACAGCAAGATGAGTTGGTTTGAGATGCTTGGGAGCCACAGAAACAAAGAGAGTTTGCAATCAATTCTAGGTTATTTTCCGTGGACTTTCATTGGTGCTCAAGAGAAATATCTGAGACAGGGCAAAAGACCAGAGAAGTGTGCAATAGTGTTAAGTCTCTGGGGGAACACATTTCTCTCACCCCTCCTCCCCAAAGCAGGAAAAAAACTCTTGATTCTTGGGGAGGAGTAGAAGGAAAACGTTTTTGCTCTGAGTAAGATATTGGAAACCGTCTTAGCCAGTTTCCTTCAAAAGCTGAAGTAGAAGCAAAATCTCTCTACATGAGGAAAGACAAGACCACTCTTGAGCAGAGGAACAAACCGCTCTTGAGCAGAAGAACCACTTTTCCTCCAAGAGGGGGCAGGTGACATGACATGTGCCCAAACGCAACCACAGATAGAAGACAGAGTTTGGCTACCACTGGGAGGAGAAGCAAGAATGCTAAAAAGGACACACCACAGGTTCTAGGTGCACCAGGCAAGACTAAGAGATTTAACTAATAAGCCATTAGTGGAGAAAAAAGGATATCATAAAAATTCAGTTAATTCAAAAGGCAGAAAAAGAGGCAAAAAAGAATGGGGAATATGTGGGGCAAATAGAATGTAATGAGCAGTATGTAACTAGCACATGGTAGCTTTAAATCCAACCATATTAATATTACTATAAGTGTAAATGTAATGCCAAATGTGTTTGCACCTAACAACATAATTTTAATGCACACGAACCAAAAACCGATAGGAACCAAAAGGAAATACACATACCCACTATTAGAGCTGGAAACTGCAACATTTGCCTCTTAGTAACCAATACTACAAAAATTGAGAAAATCAATAAGTTTATAGAAGACCTGAATAATACTATCAACCAGCTTGACATAACTGACATTTATTGAACATATCACCCCAAAGAGCAAAATACACACTCTTTTTAAGTGCACACATGATAGTCACCTAGTAACCCATATCTGGATCATTAAACAAACATCAACAGAATTGAAATCATGTGATGTATATTATCTGACAAAAATATAATTGAACTAAAAATTATTAAATATTTGGAAATTAAACTTCTAAATAAGCCATGGATTAAAGTGGTAGTCACAAGTGAAATTAAAAAGACACACACACACGTATATAATATTTGTTTGCTTTTTTAAAAATGATATCAACTTTAATTTTAGATTCAGGGGTACATGTGCAGGTTTATTACATGAGTATATTGCATGATGCTGAGGTATTTGGTACAATCAATCCTGACACCCAGGTAGTGAGTATAGTACCTAATAGTTAGTTTTTCAATCCTCGTCCACCTTCTTCCCACCCCACTCTAGTAGGACCCAGAATTTATTGTTGCCATCTTTATGTCCATGCTTACCCAGTATTTACCTCCCACTTATAAGTGAGAATATGCACTATTTGGTTTTCTGTTCCTGCATTAATTTGCTTAGGATAATAGCCCCTAGCTGCATCTACGCTGCTGCAAGGAAATTACTTTGTTCTTTTTCATGACTGCATAGTATTCCATGATGTGTAAGTACCACATTTTCTTTAATCCACTATTGATGGATCTCTAGGTTCATTCCATGTCTTGGCTATTGTGAATAGTACTGCATTGAATATACGTGTGTCTTTTTGGTAGAACAATTTATTTTCTTTTGAATATATACCACTAATGGGGTTACTGGGTTGAATGTTAGTTCTCTTTTAAGTTCTTTGGAAAATTTCCAAACTGATTTCCACAGTAGCTGAACTAATTTATATTCCCACCAACAAAGTATACATGTTCTCTTTTCTCCTCAGCCTCACCATCATCTGTTGTTTTTTTTTTGATTTTTTAATAATAGCCATTCTGATTGGTGTGGGATGGTGCCTCATTATTGTTTTGCTTTGCATTTCTCTGATCTTGGGCATTTCATTGCTGGCTAGCCATATTCAGAAGAAAGAAACTGGACTCCTACCTTTCACCATATACAAAAATTAACTCAAGATCAATTAAAGATTTAAATGTAAGGCCTCAAACTAAGAATCCTAAAAGAAAGCATGGGAAACATCATTCTGGACATTGGCCTTGGGACGTAATTGATGACTAAGTTCTCCAAAGCAATTACAACAAAAACAAAAATTGAAAAAGGGTACCTAATTAAACTAAAGAGCTTCTGCACAGCAAAAGACACTATCAACAGATTAATCAGACAGCCTACAGAATGGGAGAAAACATTTGCAAACTATATATCTGACAAAGGTCTAGTACTCAGAATTTATAAGGAACTTGACAAGCAAAAAACAAGTAACCCCATTAAAAAGAAGACAAAAAGCATGAACAGATGAGTCTCAAAAGAAGACACGCGAGCAGTCAAAGCTTTTCCCTTAAGAACTGAGAGAAAGAAGAGGAAATTAAATATAAAGCAAGCAGAGGGTAGGGAATATTAAAGAGAAGAGCAGAAATAAATGAAATTTAAAAAAAAAAAAACAAAAATGGAGAACATTGATGATACCGAAAGATGTTTTCGAAAAAAAAAAAAATAGGTCCATATAATAGACAAGACTACTCAGATTGGTCAAGAAAATAAAAGAGAAGACACATATTACCATTATAACCATAGATGTTATTTAATAGGATAATGAGAGTATGTTGTGAACAACTAATTTCAATGAATTTGATATGTTAAATGAAATAGACAAATAATTTAAAAAGCATAGATAACTAATGCTTACTCAAGAAGAAATTCATATCTTGAATAGCCGTATATCTTTTTTATCCTATATAGTTTAATAAAATTTAATTTGTAATTAAAAACTGTCCCACAAAGAAAACTCCAGACCCAGATATCTTCACTGGCAGGTTCTAACAGACATTTAAGAAAAAACAAAAAATGATACCAGTTTCTACCCCAAATTTGCTAGACAATAAAAGATAAAGAAATACATGCCAGCTCCCCTTATGAGGTTAACTCTTTGTGTTGACACAACTTACTATGTTAAATGAAAGCTACAAACATTAATAAGCAAAATCAAAAATGACTTAACAAATTCAGATATATATACCATGTTAATAAATCTGAAGACTCAACATGGCTAACATGCCATTTCTCCCCCAATTTTTCAGTAGATTCTACACGATAACAAATTAAAATTCCTACAGATTTGTTTTTGATATTTTGCTAGTTTGTATGTTTTTGGTAGAAGTTGAAAAATTGATTCTAAAATATATATGAAAAAGCAAAACAGAACAGGCAAAATAATTTTGAAAAAAAAAGTGCTGGAGGGCTCACATCACCTCATTTCAAGATTAGAGATAATTTTTAATGACATTTTTACAAACCAATGAAGAAATTACAAAAGAATTAAATAGTTTCTTCCTTGAGGAAGTTCTCTAGCTTTTTTTAGATGTTAGTCTGTCCTTGGTCCTACCTTGTTGATCACACTTTCCCAAAAACATAGGAAAATACCGAGAAGATATGATTGTCGGATCTTTTTTTCGAGCGGGGCGGGGAGGGAGACAAAGTCTTACTCTGTGCCCAGGCTGGAGTGCAGTGACACGATCTTGGCTCACTGCAACCTCTACCTCCAGGGTTCAAGCAATTCTCATGCCTCAGTCTTTCAAGTATCTAGGATTACAGGCATATGCCACTAATTTTTGTATTTTCGGTAGACAAGGTTTTTGCCATTTTGGCCAGGCTGGTGTTGAACTCCTGGCCTCAAGAGATCCTCTTGCCTCAGCCTCCCAAAGTGCTAGGATTTCAGGAGTAAACACTGCGCCCTGCACTTGTCGAATCTTAATATGATACAAGCTGAAGAAGAATGGTTCCTTTAATGAATGATACAGTGAGATTCAGAATTGTTAAAATAAGTTATGAAATATGTTTAAAGTAACAAGTTTTAAATGAAGAGAAACATTTATTTAGACTTATATTCAGAGTCCTAAAAATCATTTCTGAAATGACAAAATAAATGATCTGATTTGAAAGCAATTCATGTAAAAAACAAATTTACTTATAATAGTTTCCAATATGCAAATTAAGAGACAACAGTTACTATTAGGTTATTAAGGCAACCTTGTTTAATGGGAGTGTCTAGATTAGGATACGCAAACCATAGAGTAGAAAGGGTGGTGATTGAGAGATATCTTACGTAAAATGAAGAGTGGTATAAGAAATTAAGGTATTTAGTCTGAAGACAGTGAAACATTGCTGGTTCAGAAAGGTGAGCATTTAAAAATTCAAATACTTGCCAGATAAAAGAGAAATGAGATTCTTAAAATTCTCACAAATACAAATTTTCAAGAGACATAGATGATACAGTCAATTCCACCACAGTGTCAAGGAGGAAGCTTTTTCCTTAGAATCTTATCTGTTTTTATCTTATGATAATAATAATCTGTGTGCCTTGGGAGATAAGTAATAAGATACTATTAGACAACTCCTGGTGTAAAACAGTAAGTGGGAAAAAATCTTGCCCACGTGTTATGATAAGCTACACAATATTATCTAAGACAATATTATCTATCTGAGACGTAGATGATACAGTCAATAAGTCCTGTTTGTTTAAGCAATTTAAATTTGCATCAATAATATGGACTGTCCTACCAAGCAGGAAACTTCCTCAATAAAAATTTGCATAGAAAGTATTTCTGTATTGAGACGATTAGTAAGTTAAAAGATCTTTCCAAAATGCTTGTGCTTTTAGAATTGTTTTAGTATTTTTAGCAAATAACTAAATAGTAAAATGCAATCATGCTCTACTTGATTAAAAAAGTGGTAAATCAAATAAAAAATTCCAAGTTGGAAAGTTGGAAAAAACAGAAAAATAGTTCTAATAGTCTTTTTGCCCTAAATGTATAAAATATTCAGCCCTATTTACAAAAGAAAATACCATGTTAGTGAGTAGAAATATTTTCTGCCACCTGGCTAGTTATGAATGCTGTCATTCTTTACAAAGGTAGTCTTTATCTGCTAACTTTTACATAGTGTAATCTCCAGTTAAACAAAATTACTACCATTTTGGATGTGTCGAGCCATGTTAATCTGATATGTTATGTATACTTTATAATCTATATCAACAGTATCTAATCTAATCTATGTCTGTGTTTGTGCTTGAATCTGTGTATGTGGTGAGGTTACATCATTTCTGTAAAGATTTGTGGAAACCACTTGCAAAAACCAGGTAGACCCACTATCAGTTATGTATATCATTTAAATTGGCTAATTAAAATCCTCATAAGCAAACACAGAAGATTTTCAATATTTCAGATAAAATTATTTTTAATAGGGAAACAGTAGATGCATCATCGTTCTTTTCAGTAGAAATATTACATCTCAGCACATTCCTCTCTATTAAAAGCAAGATACATTTCTCTTGGGGGATTCAAGCCTTTTTGGAAAAGCTTGAGTGAAATAAAGATCCATGGTCAAAAGAAATACTTACTTCATTGAAATGTAACATTTGTATATCCACAGTCACTGTGTATGTGATATCCTATATTCTGTAGACATTTTTGTTCTTAATGTGTTAAAATGAACAAAGAATTGACCCAGGTAACTGCTTATTCTGCATTTTCACAATGCAAAACAATCATTTTCCTACCACCACAATGTCAAGGAGGAAGCTTTTTATCTTAGAAATATGGTTAAACTCTATGATAATATAATAATAGTGTGTGTGCCTTGGGAGATAAGTAATATGAAACTGTGAGACAACTCTGGGTATAAAGTAAAAAGTGGGAAAAATTGTTCCCCACATAATATGATAAGTTACACAATATTATCTAATTCCTATGTATTGCTGATAATAAATATTTTTCTTCCCTGAAAATAGTCAAACAAAAATGTGTAAATGCAAGCTAAATTACATTTGGAAAATAATCTAATTTTCTAATTGAATACAAAGGAAATTTTGAAAAATTTAGGTTATAAAAATTTATTATTTAAGTATGAAATTGTAGAAGAAATAATGTATCATGGCACTAAATGTATAAACTGTGACTAGTTGTTTTCTATATTTTTCCATTTATAAGGAATTAATATTCAGTCTAGTTCTATGGTATTTAAAATATATGTAACAAGAAATCTATTGGACATATCAACCAACAAATTTTGAAAAGCTGAAGATATTATACTAAAACTAATTAAGCTTGTAATTATAAAAAAAGAAATAAGGGGAAATGATTAAACCATTGAATGCTGTGCTGCTTAAGTATTTTTCTGATGTATTTTCTTTTAAATAACAATTCAGATTCAATGATTTGGAGAAATTTAAATCATATTTATGGGCTGCTAAAAGTTTTTCATTAAAAAGAGAGATGCTCTGTAATATATGAGGCATATTTAGCATATGTCCTCATAATGTGGTCTTAGAATGATTTACATTCAGTCATACAGTTTTTTTTTTTTTCCCTTGATGAGTAAGGTATGTATAAGGACCATTATTCTCACTCCCAGATTTGAAGTGGGTGTCAGGTGCAAAATGCTGTAATGTATGGGGAACACACTTGGTTTCAGCAAACTCTGCAGATTTACTGCTAATCAGAGCAAGTAACAGCCAAGTCAAGCCGGCCAGAATGTACAGTCCTAATATATTTTTCTCACTTAAAATGATGCTGTTATAGTTGTTTTTGCTGTACTTTTCTCTGAATACTGACCTGAGCCATTTATTTTTCCCATGGGAAAGCCTAGTGGTAACTGAGGGCAGCTCTGTGTTGCTGTAAACAAAATAAAACTTGCTACTAGAGAATTCAAATCCATAGCACAGTAAGTGTTGAATAAATGTTATTACATTTTATTCAACTCAATGAACAATTGTAATGACTGCCATTCGTTGGCTGCTTATCTCATGCCAGGCAGTGTTCCCAGCTGCTGTACACATCCATATCTCAGGTAAACAGCAAATCTCTTAATTACCTCTTCTTATCTCCTTTCCAAAAGGCAGGAGGTGGTTCTTAGGAAGGAGATATATAGTAATTAAATCCCTTGTCAAAGATTGAGTATTCAAGGAAAACTTCACTTAGAATTAGTTCATATAGTTTGACACTATTGGTTCTTTATCAAAAGGTAAGTTAATTCTAATTTTCAGGCTATACGCTCCAGAAAATATTGGCAAAGTAAAAGCAAAATGAAAAACACTATTGGAAAGATAAAGTTTGATTGAATATAGGGACCACTGACAGAGTCTGTACTTCCTTTAAACTTTAGATTACTAATAAACAAACAAAGCAAAATGAAATAAAGTCATGTTTTTATTTTTTTAATGGGCCCAGCAAAATTTTTAAGAAGGTCTCTAATTATTTCAGTTTTGTCTTAGTCTCATTCCTTATCTGATCTCTGAAGGCAAGTAAGACTGGACAATCTGATTCTCTGTCCAGGCCATTTGCCCTCTTCGAGGGCTAGAGGTGGATCAGACCTAACTTCACCTAAAACACAAGATGACTACAAAGGGGTGAGTGACATAGATTTAAAGAAAAGAACAAGAAAGGAATGCCACAAAGACAAAAATCATACTCATATTAAGGTACTGTGCTCCCAGAAATATGGGATGTGGGCATTCCCACATAATCCAAGGTTAGAATGTAAATTGAAAAAAAAATTTTATTTATTGACTGTAAAATTATACGTGCTCTTTGGCCTATTAAGTTCATGGCTTGGAAATTATCCTTAATATCCATTTGGAGAGTTCTCCACAAAAATGTTAGCCACACCACATGATGTGGAGTCAGAACAACTAGTTTGGCCATTCTCTTTTTGAAATGATTGCTCTTTCTTGTTATTTGAATGAATGAGTGAATGAATAAATAAATTTTGATTTGACAGTCTATTAAATTATCATATTCTATTGACTCAGAGATGAACAGATGATGCACCATTATTTTATATGCCGCTAAGAAGTTGCTTATTTTACTTTTAAAGCACCTTCAATTGCCAAATTGTAAAACACTTAAGTGAGAAAAACAAAGTGCATCTTAGAATTGATGACATACGATAACACACAGTACAAAATACAGCTCGGTATTGATGTCTGCTTTGTAGGCTATAGAAAAATATATCTTTTTTTGCAAGTTATTTTTAAAAAATGTTTACAATCTCTGTTCTGCTTTTGTTTATTTGAAATATGAACAGTCTTTGCTTATCTAATCCTTACCCACATCTTGGCTCTTGGATCTTACAACTCTACTATATTACTGTCTTTCTTAAAAAATTTAATAGTTTTTGGGGAACAGGTGGTTTTGGTTACATGGATAAGTTATTTAGTGGTGATTTCTGAGATTTTGGTGCACCTGTCACCCAAGCAGTGTACACTGTACCCAATATGCAGTCTTTTATTCCTCACTCCTCCCTTCCAACCTTCCCCCTGAGTCCTCAAAGTCCGTTCTATTGTTCTTATGCCTTTGCATCCTTATAGCTTAGCTCCCACTTATAAGTGAGAACATACAATATTTGATTTTCCTTTCCTGAATTACTTCACTTAGAATAATGGCTTCCAGCTCCATCCAGTTGTTGCCAAGGCTGTTGTTTTATGGCTGAATCATATTCCATCCTGAATATACCACTTTTTTTATGGTATATTCCATCCTGAATATACCACTTTGGTTGAAGGGCATTTACACTGGTTCCATGTTTTTGCAATTGTGAATTGTGCCGCTATAAACATGAATGTGCAGGTGTCTTTTTCATGTAATGATTTCTTTTCCTATGGGTAGATACCCAGTAGTGGGATTGCTAGATTGACTGGTAGTTTTACTTTTAGTTCTTTAAGGAATCTCTGTACTGTTTTCCACAGTGGTTGTACTAGTTTACATTCCTACCAGCGGTGTAAAATTGTTCCCTTTAAGTTGTGAAAGGTGTTTTTTGACATCTGTTATATTTCAGATGAGTATAGATAAGATTTGCAGTAAAATAACTTAACTATACAATAACAGGATATTATTGTAGTAAATTAACGTAACAATAAGAGAATCTTAATAGTTTTACTTCTCAGGTCAGAAAATATAAAAGAAAAACACTGGAACCTACGGTAAAATTAGGGCAAGATCAAATCTAATGTTACTTGAGACGTAGACCTTCATCAAGTGGATTATTTTCTTAGGTACCTTATTTGTCACATAATAGTGACTTTTTATTTCCATGGGTCATATATATTTGAAATCTTTAGATTTCTTATGAGTATAAAACTATCATGAATAACATAATGTCTGAATAAATGAAATATTTCAAGGCCAAATTATTATTCCACAGTTCCATCTAATTAAATGTGATTCCATTCTTACGGGAGACTAATATTGCTAATTTCATGTATTCATCTTCATAGAGTAGGTTTAAATTGCTTTTTTCCCCACTGGCAATACAACTGTAGTAAAGTGTATCAATTAGTGTAATTTTCCCTGCAAGGATATGAGAACTCCAGTCAATTACGTAAAAATAATGGGATTGATGATCTCTCATAGTATGTATAGTGATAGGTGACCTGGGATTGATAAATTTAGTTAACACTGTCATCAAAAGTGAAGATTCTTTCTATTTTTCTATTCTTGTATCTTTAGTCTTCTTCTCAAGCTAACATGTAACAAAATACTGGCCCCTGCTAGTTCAGGAATCATGGGAAGAAACAGCAATGATCAATAAAAGTATAGGGCTGATTCTTCCTCATGTCTTTATTTCATTTTTTGTGTGTTAACCAAAGAAACCTTTCACAGACGCTCCCAGCAGACTTAGTGTTCTGCGTCTTTGGCCAGAACTGGATCACATGCTCATTCAGAAATGTGTCAGTAGCAAATTAACTTAGATCAGTCAGATATTATCATACTAGAGAGAGAAGAAATACTCTGGAATAAGATCTAGGCTCTGTAAGAGTGGAATAAAAGGGAAACAACTTTGGGATGGCAGCAATCAATGTTGGCTTCAGTAACTCAATGTTCCAAAGGCTCTACTTTTTTAGTTATAAGTGGGATAATCTATTGGATGTATTGTAGAATACTTCGAGGGATTTGAGGCTGATCAAGGAAAAAGATGTGGTCACTAGAGTTAGTAACAAACAAGCTTTATTGGGTAGCAATTGAACAGGTTGCATAAGATGAGAAATCCATCACAGCATGAGACAGTTGAGAGGCTATGGCTCCCAGGGGTCACTATCTAGAAGGGAAATCAATGTAGAGGCGCACTGGAATGGGACTGACCCGTCTTGGTGATGTCACTCAGGAGCAGGGCAAGGGACACTGGGTCAGAGAACTCCCTGGAAGCAGCAGCTTAGGGACTTAATACTGCAAAGCCCTGTCTCATTAACCGATAACAGCTGTTGGGTGAGGTTTGATAGATTATGCAAACCAGGAAGGTACTAAAGGCAAAAACTTGCTTGCTTAGGCTATTTTCTAAAATAATGGGATGTTTATAAATTTGAGTGTGGTGCCAGTGGGCTTTGGAGGTAATGAGTCTCAGCCTGCCATCAAGAAATCAATAACTTAGAGGCAAAAAAATAGAAGTTATCTTTGGCTCATTTATATAACACCTATCTCATAACACCATTGAGTTGGGGCCAAATGAAACCAGGGATGTAGATGCAATGCATATTCACAAAGGAAATAATGGATATTCATATTTTAATATTGGTGAGAATTCATTCTTCTCTCTAGTGACTTGCTGCAGGATCACAGTGCTGCTGCCAGTGTTCCCTGACCCTTAAATCGTGTTTATTGTTGTTGTTGTTTTGGTAAAGAGTGAGTCAGAATTTTCACAGAAATTATAAAATGACTTATGTCAGTCAGCATAAGCTAAGTATTGCAATAAGACAATACCTAAATCTCAGCAACTTCACACAATGAAAGTTTACCTCTTTCTCACATAGCAGTCCAATAAAATATACATCAGTCAACTTTTCATGTTGTGACTCAGGCACCCAGGAATTTTTTTTATCTAGTGTCTCTGCTTCAGAGTCCTGTATCAAGTCCTCTGGATTTGGTCAGAAGATAAAGGAAAATAGTAGAGAAAAGGGAAAGCTGTTTTCAGTTGTCTCAGCTTGAAAGTGTTTATCACTTTGACTCACATTCCGTTGGTGAAAACCCAAGATTGTTTTTGAAAAAATGAAATGTTTATATTTTCACAATGAAGGTTTTAAATGTGTTACAAAATAAGAAACCTTTTCGGAAAGTCCAAAGAAGAATGTGAGTGTTCATCATAATGTGAACTCTTGGGAAGGAATGAGTTGAATTCCTGAATATCAACTCCAGTCACATATGCATATGGCTTCCTAAGTATGTATTTTTGGTTACTTGTTAGCCAAGATAAACTTATTTTTTGCTAGTTTAATGTTTTCTGTTTTTGTACCATAAACAGCAAAAGAAAAAATGTGAGCTTCTCTCACTTTTTAAAAGAAGATATTAAACCAAATGAAAGCTGCTTAATAAACAAGATAAATTCAAATCCTTAACATCTGTACTTTCATATTAACTTTCTAGAGTTAAAGGCCCAGAACTTACTCACATTTTTCTAGATGGACTGAACAGAAGACATATGTACTTAAGGGGAAAAAAAGATGATAAATTACAAGAATAAAAGATTTTAGGAACCAATTGTTATCAGGATTTCAATCCTGTTTGAAAAAGACAGCTTGGAGTGTACGGAGTGCAATAGTGCCTTTGAAAATGACTGTTATTCGATCCAAGAAACAATCAGCTTAGCTGCCAGTTCTCCGCATGAGAGATCAGACATCCTATGAGTGCCAAAAAATTTCTCAAAGAAATTATGAAACTGCTTCTATGGGTGAATCTATGCATCCTTAGGGCTGAAAAATCTCAGAGACATTTAAAAATAATAGCCAGAATTTATCGAGGGCTTCTGATGGCCAAAGAGTGTTCAAAGAGGTTTTCATGGGATAGCTCCTATAATTCCCATAATGACTCTGTGTGACAAATACTGATCCACATTTTCAGAGAGAAAATTAAGAGACAGTGAGATTAAGCAATTTGTTTGAGTTCATTTCGTTGGTCAGCGGGAAAACAAGGATAAGAAGGCAGAGCATTAAGCTTCAGAGCAAATACCATTCATGACTGTGCTATGTAGACTCTCACTAGGGAAATATGGCAGCTTCATTGTGAGATAAGCACTGATATGATTAGTGTGATTATATAATTCAAAATCAAACCTCAATATTATTTTTATTGTTAGGATCAAATTACGTTTAAAAAAAGACAGAAATATTTCCAGAATATTCTATTTCAGAAAGCATTTTAAAAATGCTATTCTACTTAAATACCTACTCGATCATTTGTATATTTTTTTCACATATTTGATAGTTAATTGATCTATCCTATAAACAATAACACATGCAATTTTAACAGTTATATTTAGATAATTGATATACCATAAAGTTCACTCGTTTCACATATACAGTTAATTTTAGTAAATTTACAAATGTGTGCAAACTTTACTACCATCTAATTTTAGAAAATTTACATTATCCCCAAAGAAACCTCATGCTTATTTGTAGACATTGTTAATTCCCATCTCCATCTCCTGGCAACCACTAATCTACTTTCTGGCTCTATAAATTTTCCTTTCTGATCTCTGGTGTCTGGATTCTTCTTAGTGTCACTTTTTTTGAGGTTCATCTATGTTGTAGCAGGTTTCAGTACTTTGTTCCTTTTTATTGCTGCATAGTATTTCATTGCATGGATATACTACATTTTGTTTATCCATTTACCAGGAAATGAAAATTGGATAGGTTCCACTTTTTGGTTGTTGTCAATAATACTGCTATGAACATTTCCATGCAAGTCCTTGTGTTACCATATGTTTTCATTTCTCTAACAGTGGGATTGTTGAGTCATACAGCAAGTTTACAGTTAAATTTTTGAGGTACTACCAAACCAAACCGTTTTTCAAAATGTCTTCACCATTTTACATTTTCACCAGCAGTGTATGAGAGTTCCAGTTGTGACAACACTTTGTATGCTCCGTAACAAATTGTAGCTGTGAAGTGGTATTTCACTTTATTTCTTATTTGCATTTTCCTAGTGACTAATGATGTTGAGCATCTTTCCATGTGCTTATCAGAAATTTGCATATCTTCTTTAATAAAATATTTATTCAAATGTTTTATATTTTTAATTTGATTTTTCTATTTCAACTGGATTATTTTAAGTCTCCTTATTGAATTATAATATTTCTTTATGTTTTCTGGCAGTTCATTATCAGATATATCATTTGAAAACATCTTCTCTTTCTCTCAAGCTGTGACCTACCTTTTCACATTCTTGATAATGACTTTGATGTGCAGACATTTTTAGTTTTTATGAGGTATGTCAATTTTTCATTTATCGATAGTGTTTTTGGTTTTGTAGCTAAGACGTCATCATCTAACCAAAGGTCACAATGATTTACTTCTTTTTTTCTGAAGCACTTTATAGTTTTAATTATTTTTTTAAAAATTTTGAGACGGGTCTTACTCTGTCACTCAGACAGAGTGGCATGATCTCTACTCCTTGCAGCCTCCACCTCACAGGCTCCAGCGATCCTCCCATCTCAGCCTCCCAAGTACCTGGAACCACAGGTACACACCAACACACCTGGCTAATTTTTACATTTTTGTAGAGATGGGGTTTTGCCATGTTGCCCAGGCTGGTCTTAAATTCTTGGGCTCAAGTGATTCACTCAACCTCGGCCTCCCAAAGTGCTAGGTTTTAACTCTTAAAGTTGGGGATACACTCGCTTTAAGTTAATGTTTGGTATGAGAGTTGGCATCTTTGTAAAAAAAAAATCAATTGACCATAAATCTTAACAGCTGTATGACCCTAAATGTAAGGATTTATATCAAGACTGTCAATTTTCTTCCATTAATCTAAATGTATATCTGTATAAACCTCTACTGTTGTACTATACCAGTACTACATTGCTTTGTTTATTTTTACTTTATTTTTAGTTGATGAATAATAGTTTTATCTATTTATGAAGTACAATGTTTTGATATATGTACATGGAATGACTAAATCAAACATACTAACATATACATTGTGTCATCACTTTTTTGTGATGAGAACATATAAAATGTGTTTTTATAAATAACTGTCAAAATATATAGTTATTAACTATAGTCAGTATGCTGTTCACTGTTTTAATTAGTCAACTTGCTTGTTTCCGAAAAAGACTCTCCTGAGAATTTGATAGGCATTGCCTTCCATCTGTACATGAATTTGAAGAGAATCATCATCTTAAAAATTCATTGTCCAGGCTGGGCACAGTGGCTAATGCCTGTAATCTCAGCATTTGGGGGTGGGTGAGGCAGGAAGGTCACTTGAGGCCAGGAGTTCAAGATGACCCTAGGCAATATAGCTAGACTCTGTCTCTACGAAAAATTATAAATATTAATCTGGGCATGGTGGTGCATGCCTGTAGTCCCATCTACTTGGAAAGCTCATGCAGGAGGATTGCTTGAACCCAGGAGTTCAAGGGTGCCACTTCAGCCTGAGTGACACAGTAAGACCTTGTCTCCAAAAAAAAAAAGAGTCTTCCAATTCATGAATGTGGTATCTCTCAATTTATTTAATCTTTAATTTCTTACAGCAACTTTTGTAGTTTCAGTGTGTACATGTTAAATTTATTTTTATTTCATTCATTTTGATACTTTTGTGAATGGAATTGTGTTCTTGATTACTTTTTGGATTGTCCATTGTTAGGAATATATAATTATATTTGTGTATATTGGTTCTGTATCCTGTGACCTTACTGAACTCCTTTATTAGTTCTATTAATTGTATGTATGTTTATGTGTATTCCTTAGGACTTTCTATACAGATCATGTTGTCTGTAAATGAGGACTGTTTTACTTTCTCCTTTTTAAATCCTGATACCTTACGTTTATTTCCTTTGCCTCCTTTCTCTGACTGAAAGCCCCATCACTATGTTGACTGTAAGTAGTAAGAACAGATATCTTGGATTGTTCTTTATGTTAGAGGGAAAGATTCAGCCTTATGCCTTCAATTATGATGTTAGTTGCAGGTAATTTTTTGTAGATGCCCTTTGTCAGATTGAGGAAGCTCCCTCTCATTCCTAGTTTTTTGAGCATTTTTCTTGAGAATGAATGAATGGGTATTAGATATGTTGCATGATTTTTCTGAATCTATTGAGATCATCATGTGATCTTCTTTCCTTAATATGTGCAATTTAAAAATAATGACAAGGGTAAGCAAGGATTTGGATTTGCTTTATTGTTTGTCCAAATATTACCAGGAGAGTATTTATATGATTTGCTAAAAATCAGTGGTAATTTCACAAGTATACAATGTGTGGGAATAGACTTTTATGTCTCAAATTATTAAAAAGTCTAGAGACTTTAAAAATATCTTGTGTTCCTATTAATTTTTCACTTATTAGTCACTTTCAGTTATAAAAATAGAAAATTCGCAAGGTTCTGTTTTAAGTCCTGTTGATTGAAAAGCATTTTAAGAGTCTTATCTGTAGTTGCAATAAGACTTAAACTAAGCTGGAATGTTTTAAAATAAAGTTTAGTATGGATATAAAGTTATACTTTAACAGAAGAAGTTTTGAAAGAAGTACAAGTCTTAGGTGCAATTTTCAACAACAGCTTTTACCATTAGTTGTGATAAGTGAAGTATGTGCCTATTTTAATTGGTAATGAGAGAGAGAAAAAGAGAAAATTACTAGATATGATGTTTTAAGTTTATATTGTATAGAAAGCAAGTATAGCTAGTAATTTGTGATCCAAATAAAATTACATAAATCGAAAGTAAGTTACACTTAATCATGCCAAGGGAAGAAAAATTGAAACTACTTTTTAAAAGATTACTGTATAAGTACTCATCAAAATGTTTTTACTATAATGCTAGTTAAGGTATTGGTGTATTATACTAAACAAGAGTTTTGAATCACATAAAAAAGCTAACATTTATTGAACACCTTTATAATTATAGGCACTATATTGAGAGATTTAAAAGGATCCTCTTTGATTTTAGTTAGTTGGCACATAATAATACACACACACACACACAATGGAATACCATTTAGCCACAAAAAAGGATGAAATCCTGTCATTCACAGCAACAGGAATGAGCCGGGGGAATATTATGTTAAGTGACTTAGATGAGGAACAGAAAGATAAATATGACATATTTTCACTCATCTGTGAGAGCATTAGCTATTTTGTTTTCAAAACAGTTATCTGACAAAAGTGATAAGTGTGTAATCTTGGACATATTATTTAACTCTTTGAATCTTTTTTAATTTAAAAAAATGAACATTATAATAGTAACCTAAGTCATACGGTTACTGATATTATTTTTAAAAGTTGGTAATTTTAAAGAGTTAAGAACAAGACCAGACACATTACATGCATTAACTCAATGCCCTTATTTTGTGTTTTAGGGCTGTATAACTATGTGTGTATCTGTCAGTCACTGTCACAGTTTCTTAATCCACTCCTCCTCCTGAAATCTGTATTATATCTCTCTCTGCCCTTGAAGCTATTTTTCTTCTTGTATTATATTTTGTTTGATATAAATGTTGTTACCTTTGTTTTCTTTAGATTTTAATTGCCTGTTTTTCTTTTTACATTCCTTAAATTGGATTCTTTCTTAGAGCTCCTCTTTCTCTTTATTTAATGTCTCTGGACTCAGGATGAGGAAGTGTTGACCAGGGGACACGCAGCAGTGGATATTGTGTTTGCATGAAACAAAATCTACTTTTCACCCAATTTTGATTCTTGTTTCACTTGATATTACTCTGTGACCCTGAACTTCTGCTACTATCAGTTGGGATACAATACTCTACGGGTCCCTCACATTTAAGCCCATATTATGAGCAAAGGCACTGTCTACCCTCATTCTGAAATGCCTTTTCAAGGATGTCTACATGGTGAACAGCCTTAGAAGAAGATGAAAGTGTCTCCCTTGAGAGTAAAAAGGTTTGCTTATGTCCTGGAACATAAGAGGTAATGTTTCTCACCCAGTGAAAAGGGAAGGTTTGTCTACAGCCCATTACAAAAGATACAGTTTCCTAAGCTCAAGTTTCCTTTCCTGTAGTGCAACACACTATACAGGCAGGTATCACCTGTCCTTGTTGTGTCATCTGGCCCTTATCACATTGCCCTGTGAATCAGACCTTCGGGAAACAGCAAGAAAATGATTATCCTCTGACTGCTCCTGTCGCTGTGGGTAATAAACTGACCTTGGTTTCTTGCCTTGAGTCTGGGCCTTCTGCCAATATTCATAAAACGATGTCAGGCTACTGTGTAAGTAGGGTAAGCATTCAGACTCATCATGTTCTTGACACTATTCTTCTAACACAAAGTGGAAAGAATATAAAATGGTGCACCCAGTACAAAGTTAAGATAAAAGGGCATCAAACCCCTCCCATTGCACTGGGCCCTCGACCTCTGGGCTAAGTTTTTCTGCTTAACACCATACCACAGAGGCCTTCTGTCTTCTAGGAGATTTTTAATAGTGTTTTCCTTAATGTTTTTATCCATATTTGTTTCTTACTTCTGTGGTTTCTCTAGGTTTGGGCTCTGGAAGAGAATAAAGATTATGTGCCTTTTCAATATTTTGTCAGACTGCATAGAATTTCTGTGATTTAAAATTAGTTATGCATTCATCTTAACATAAAGTGTTTGACTTGTATATAATATCCTCTCCAATCAACACAGTGATATTATGTGTCTCCAGAGGAAGCTTGTCCTTGAAGGAAAAAAAACAAAACAAATTTGGCAGACTGCAAAATTGCATCCTTACAAAACACACAAAATGCTTTATAAAAATGCTACTTGATGGCAATGAAATTAATTAAAAATCCTCAGGGCCAAAATGTACACATACATAAGAATCAATTTTGGCATGAATTAGCAGAATGAATAATGCAGTATTTAGCACCAATTACCTAGGATATATAAAGAAGGTTGAGACAGCCTAGAAGGACAGCACATACTAAAAATTACATACATATACACAGTTGAAATAGAATCTGTGAACAAAGCCTATTCATTTTTAAAGCTAAAAAATTTTGAAGCATAACTTAATTTTTAGCAAAACAGGGGCTCTTTATATAAAAATGACATTAAATGAATTTGAAATGAATTACTTTCATTTCCAAAGAAGACAGAAAAGGACAAAACGAACTGCAATTAAACCAGAAATTATTTACATTCATTTTCTAGATAATTACTTTATCTTAATAGAGGAATTATTAAATAGTTCCTACCAGATTACGTTGTTATATTTTTAACCTCTGTAACTATAAGAATGCAGTAGCATAGTAGCAAGAACAATGTGAGTTGCAAAGCCTTTAATAACAGGATTTGTTACATTTTTATGCAATTTAGCTAGCTGTATAGATTTGAGTTAACTATGTACATAATCTAAGTCTCAGTTTCCTCATCTTTAAAACAGTGATAATGCCTCTTAGGGTTGATTAATAAAAACCTATTAGTAGAGGTAACACTTTTTTATTATTTATTTATTATTTAAGAGAGAAGGTCTTGCTCTGTAGCCGAGGTTGGAGTGCAGTGGCACCATCATAGCTCATGTAACCCGGAATTCCTGGGCTCAAGTAATCTGCCTCAGCCTCCCAGGTTGCTGGGCTTATAGGTGCCCACCACCAAGCCCAGATAATTTTTGTTATTTTTGGTAGAGAGAGAGTCTTGCTATGTTGCTCACTCCTGGCCTCAAGTGATCTTCCCACCTTGGCCTCCTGAAGTTCTGGTATTACAGGTGTGAGCCACCTTGCTTGCCCTACATGTGTTAAATCCTAAAAATATGCACATCTTTTTAATAGATCATATTCAATGTATGTAGGTGTTTTATGAAAGACATAATTTATTCAGAATTTTATAATCACATCAAATAAATGTATAGTTTTCCACTACTAATAAGGTCAGTATGGTCAGTATTTAAGCTACATTTAATACCATTATAATTTTTTTATTCACTTTTTGTAATTATACAGTTTTGTGGTCATAGGTCTTTTTTTTACTAATTAGTTGATGGGCACAGTATCATCAGTCTGATAATGTGGGGAAAATTCCCAAATACAGAAAGGGTTTCCCTGTACATCAGTTAGATCTTAGTTTTGAAAAAGAAAAAAATTATCATGAAGTTTTAAAATTAAGCCTTTCCATACTCATTCTAACAGTCATTTTAAGAAATGAATATGCATACACAAGGGAACTTCAAAAAGTTCATGGAAAAATGGAATCAAAAGATAAAAGTAAAAAATATGGATTTTGTTTTCCAACATAAGCTCCATCAGGTTCAAGACACATTTGTAGCAATGATATCAGCCATCATTGAGTCCATCCCTAAATAACTGAGGGGGCTCTGGGAATTTACCATGCAGTCTTTTTACATTTTTAACTAGAGAAAAGTGGGTGCTGTATTAGTCAGTGTTCTCTAGAGGGACAGAACTAATAGGATATACATATATATGAAAGGGAGTTTATTGGGGAGAATTGGCTCACACAATCACAAGGCGAAGTCCCAGCATAGGCCACCTGCAAGCTGGGGAAGAAAGAAGCCAGTAGTGGCTCAGTCCACCCAAATCCTCAAAAATAGGGAAGCCAACAGTGCAGCCTTCAGTCTGTGGCCAAAGGCCTGAGAGCCCCCAACAAACCACTGGTGTAAGTCCAAGATTCCAAAGGTCAAAGAACCTGGAGTCTGATGTCCAAGGTCAGGAGGAATAGAAGGAAACATCCAGCAAGGGAGAAAGCTGAGAGCCAGAAGAATCAGCAAGCCAGCTTATCCCACCTTTTCCTACCTGCTTTGTTCTAGCAGAGCTGGCAGCCTATAGGATGATTCCCACCCACCTAATGAGGGTGGGTCTTCCTCTCCCAGTCTACTGATTCAAATGTCAAACTCCTCTGGCAACACCCTCATGGACACACCTAAAAACAATACTTTACCTATCAGCCATCTAGGCATCCTTCAATCCAATCCAATTGACACCTAACATTAATCATCACAGGTGTCTTTTAAGGATTTTTTAAGATTAGGAAACAAAAAGAAGTCAGAAAGAGCCAAATTCGACTCTAAGCTGGATGCCTAACGATTTCTCACTGAAACTTTCACAAAATTGCCGTTGTTTGATGAGAAGAATGAGCAGGAGCATTTTCATAGTGAAGAAGGACTCTCTAGTGAAGATTTTCAGGGTTCTTTTCTGCTAAAGCAGAAAGTTATCAATTTGTAAGTTGCTGATTTTAAGGTGGGGGATATTGTTCCTGTAAACTTTTTGTAAGGCATCAGTAATTTCACTATTCTTTTACTCAAGTTTTACCATCAATTTGATGTTTTTTTGTGCTTCAATTTTAGCAGAATTCAAGTTGCTCTGATAGGGACTCTTTGCAAACCAATGCCTTATCCTCCTTAGTGCCTCAAATTAGATTCTATTCAGACATGTTATAACAAATTAGTATCAGTTTATTTATTTGTATTTTATGTTTTACTTTTTTTCATACCTTCTCTGTCTGAGAATATGAGTTTATTTTGGTACAAAAGAATTTTGAAATCCATGCAGTTTTTTTCATAATATGCAATTTCCATAAACTTACTGAAGACTCCTCTATATGCAATATAAAATATATATTTTCTTTTTTACCTCAAATTTAATTGATATCTAATTATATTTTACAATATTATATTGTATATGCAGCATATGTTATGTTATAAAAATATGTAATTATTACTCTGATTTTTCCCAATTATATTTTTGGATATTTCTTTTTCTGATAATAATTCCTCACTGAAATGAATTATTATTTGAGCAAATAAATATTTGATAATAAACTTCTAGTTGCTATGTAATAATTTTAGAGTTGCTGTTCTTCAAGTTGAGGTAAGTGATGCATGGATGTCACTTCAGGTACATTCCTCAGAGCCTGCCTAATCCTTGAGTTTTCATTTCTAACTTCAGATTTGAATCTCGGGGTGTGACTGTGATGTGTTATGTGAGAATACGCTGCAGACCCTTTCTAAACCTTCCCTGGATATTTATTGCTTATTCGATTGTGCAGTTATTTAGCCTTTGTCCTACAGGCCATTAGTGGTCTTCTCAATTGTGGAGAGACAATGAGATCGGATTTACTTTATGAAAATATATTTTAATTTAAATCATTTTAAGGTTTATGTTACATTAATCATGGACAGAATGTGTGTATGGAACATTAATCTGAAACAGTGAGAATAAGCAGCTGTGTTTCCCTGATATGATAACTATAGTATTTGTGTTAATTATGCAATGAAATGGAATCATTGGAATGGAAAATTCATTATGCTACATTAAAGAGAGAGGAAATAAAAGTGCAAATATTTATTGATTTTAGAGTAAACTCCCACCAACCCCCCAAAAGCCATACCTTTGATGATAGCATGTGACCAATGAACTTGAAAGAAATCATAATGTATTGTTACTCTGTATGTATACATGTGTGAGTATATGTGTGTATGTGTGAACTTTGAAAATATATAGCCTTTAAGACTTTTAAATAATAAATTTAATTCGTCCCAGTGAAGAATTATGATCTGATGGAAGTATATCCCAAAGTAGAAAAGTTCATTCCAATATCATACTGTTGACATATTTTAAATATTTTAGTTGAACTAATACAAATATAAATGCAATGGAAATAGAAGCACTATTTCTAAAAAGTTATCCAATATCATTCATTTGGAATCTTTTTCTGCATTTAGAGTGAAATATTTATGATGAATTTGTTATCTGAGTATGAAAATTTATCTTAAGTGAATCTCTATCACCTGCATACTTCCCTTAAGAGGAATCACATGTACCACTTTATTTTTATGTGAATGAACAGTTACTTTGTGTTAATTTTGCCTGCGTTTTCTTACTTTATGTTAACTTTAATTCTTATGTTAACTTTACTTTTCATATAAGCCCGATTATAGTTTAAATTTAAATTAAACAGCATTTGTTAGAATATTGAAGACCTAGCTGAAAGTAAGTCAAATATTAAATGGTAATCTCATATATTGGGTCATAGAAAATCATCATTATGGAATAAATACTTGATTAATTTTGTGCATTACTATGATTTGGGTGAGGTCCTAAGCTCATTAAGAACAGGAGTTAAATTATCAATGAATTTGTTAAATCAAAGATATTGCATAGAAAAATGATTAATACAGGAAAATACTGACTGGAAACACTAATCAGTATTTGAAAGTGAACATTTCTAGATTCTTTAATGTTCCGATTAAATATTTGTTAAAGTATGCAACAAAATGAGCAAAACACAGATCTTTAATTCTGAGAGTTGACTATGGCTTACTATCTTTGTACAATTTGAAAAAATTAAGAAACATCCTTATTAGCCAATCTAGGCAGTCTCAATCTAAATAATAAAATGAAAACATTTTCCTAAAATACTGTTTCCAAGTAGTAATAAAAAAATACTAAAAGCTTCTTTCAAAACTAAAATTTGATTGAGATATAACAAAGTATAGCTTTGAAAATTAAATGAGGTAATTTTATCACTATGAATAAGTATACTGTATTGCAAATAATAGCAATTCTCTTCCATTATTTTCCTGGGATCACTGCTTCAAGGTTAGGACTACACTCCATATTACTAAATTTAGCAATCACCAATCTCTTATCTTAACTGATCTCTGAGGAGCATTCTGTACAAGTAACTTTGCCACTCTCATATGTGAATCATTCCATGGTCTCTAATCATGATGCAATCAAACTAGAAATCAATATCAAAGATGATACTAAAATCCCCCACATCATTACACATTAAGAAATATACTACCAAATAATGTACAGATCAAAGAAGAAATCACAATGGAGTGAAAAAAAACATGAAACTATAGGATAATAAAAATACTAGGTTATCATAACTTATGGGATAAAGCTAAGACAGTGCTTAGAAAGAAATCTTTAGACTGCAAACTTTAGATGTAAAAAAAAAAGAAGAGTAGAGTATCAGTGAGCAAATAATCTATCTTAAGAAGTTAAAAGAAAATAACAAATTAAACCCAAGAAACAAAGAAAAGAATAAAGACAAAAGGACAAATGAATAAAAATGTAAAATAAAAATACAATTCAGAGGATTACAAAAGACAAAAGTTAGGTAAAACAATTGATAATGGGAATGCGAAATAGAAGAAATGCACAAATGAATAATCGTTTATAGAGAAGAGGATAATACAAGGGTCATTAGAAACAAAAATATAATAAAATTTTAAACTTTTGGTCAATACATTTGAATATGAAGTTGAACTAGATAAATACTGAAGAAAAATCTTACTTAAATTAACAAAGAAGAAATGTAAAATTTAAATAATTCAATCCTATTTGTAGAAGTAGAGTTACAAATTTACAGCTTTCTACAAATAAAAACCTAGGCCCAGATTTTTTTCAAACACTAATTTTGTTTACAGATCTTTCAATAACAGAAGATAAAGTGGCACACTCCAGTTTATTTTATATGCTCAATGTTATTTGGTAACAAAATATAAAGGAAATTAATAGGTCCTTCTCATCCATAACCATAGTTATAAAAACCCTAAACTAACAATAAAAAATGATAATCTAGGAATATATTTTTAAGAAAGTATGATACATCACCACAAAGCTGGATGAATTCCAGGATTTGAAGGAAGTTTTAATATTAAAAAATCAGTTTTGTTTATAACACTGAAAAAATGCATTGTGAATCACATGCTTGAAATTATTTAATAAATTTCAATACCCATTGATGATGAAAAGCTCAAGGAATTAGTAATTAAATTGAAATTCCTTAATCTGAAAATAAATATCTATAAAAACATATAGCAAATATTTCTGTTAAAGAAATATTGAAAATATTGTTTTTGAGAAAGTACAAGGACACACTCTGTAATGTCTAGCATTCAACATTTTATCTAACCGAGTTAGGTGGTATGTAAAGGGAAATTAAATAAAACTAATGTTAGTGATATGTTATTATATTTTATTTGCTTTATGCATGTTATTATATTTTATTGGCTTATGCACATGTCAGTTTCCTCTAGTTGAAGACTATCAGGGACACACATGATGTTGAACAAAGGGAGGTTGATTGGCTTACTGCAATAAAGGACAAGACACATTTGGATTTGTGCTAAATGATTTGGGGAAGGGTTCAACAAAGTGGGGCTTGACTCTGGATTGGATATTGGCAGAGGAGAAGATAACTGGATGTTTGGGTTGCTTAATAATTTTTATGGAGAAGCGGGTAGGAATGAAGTAAACCTAAAACTGTAATCGATAAATTTGTGGTTGTTATTCATATTAGTCAGGAAAGGTGTTGGAGAGACATATTTGATTAATTTCATGGTACGAAGAAATTTTTGTTTTTGTCTGTGCTCATACATGATTACAGAGTAGACTTAATTTTTGTCTTGCTCCATCATGGTCACGGAGTGGGCTTGTCTGATGTTGATGTTCTGAGAAGCACTATGGCTTAGCTGGGAAGCCAGAACAACTTAGGAACACCAAAGCTTCACAATTGGTGCCCAATCATCTCCAGCTATCAGGGGCTGCTTATCTCTTTATCTCATATTATGTCAGTTGATTATTATATCAACATAGCAAAGTAAATGTCATTAGCTTTATCGTATTGATGAAGCAAAAACAAAACCTGAAAGAATAATTTGTCTAAATTGAACCCAGAGTTCAAACATTGACTGTCTGACTCAAAGTATTATTCTATTTCAACATCTCTTCATTTAGGGTCAGAGTTCATGGAATGAACATAAATATGTATCAGAATTGTTTGTTAATACTTAAAATTATCTTCATTTATTCATTAGCCATAGGATGATGTTAATCACTGAACAGAGGAGAATGACCTAAATATTTGGAATAATAATTGAAAAGGAATATTCATTGGAATAGTATGGCTTAAGCCATAAAAGGAAGTGGCCCTACAGTATATAATCTGTTTAACAAGAGATTTCTGAATTTCCTGACCAACTGTCCACACTGACACTTTATAAGAATAGTAGGGGGATCAAAAAAGGAAGGAAAATAGGAAAGAATGAAGGATGGAAGGCAAGCAGGAGGATGGAATAAATAACAAATATATATATATTGAGCACATTAGTTTTCTAATATCCACTTATTTATTTTTTACTGTTTAAACTCATTATTAATGAGAGAAGTATGACAGAGTCTACAAACCATGTAATATTTGATCTAACTGTACTTTAATTATCATGTTTTTTTGTAACTCTGGTTTTTATACTCCAAAGATGTGTAAGAAGCAAATTTATATCTATTTCCTAATAAAAGATCTTTGTTTAAAAGATCATTGAAATCAGTCTTCGTAGTACTGATTCTGATTTCAAGTGGGAGGAAAATGACTTCATTTGAGAAATAATGAGGTTTTCACACCATCAAACAGAAATATTCCTAATCCATGAGAACCCATCCAATTTTGCCTCTGTTTGTAGATGAGGACTTTATAGACAAGACTTAGAAATGCAGGAATCACTCTAGGTATTTCAAGGTAATATTATATGTTGCCATAACACTGAAAATGTTGGAGAAACAAAAGTCAAGGGTGGCAAGTAGTAGAATCAGATTTTTACTAGCTTTCAGGAAGTATATTAGTTAGCTCAGGCTGCCATAATAAAATACCATAGGCTGGATGACAAACAACAGAAGTGTCTTTTCTCATTGTTCTAGAGGCTGAAGTCTGAGATCAGAGTGCAAGGCAGCATGAGGGAGTTTGGGTGAGGGCTCCTTTCCTGGTTTGCAGATGGCAGCCTTCTTGCTGTGCCCTCACATGGCAGAGAGAGAGAGAGAGAGAGAGAGAATTTCTTCTTTGTGTGAACCCACAGTCCTATCACATTAGGGCCCCACCTATATGTCCTCATTTAACTTTAATTACCTCCCAGAGACCCTATTTGCAGATACAGTCACATTGGCAGTTAGGGCTTCAACATATGTGTTTGGGAGAGAAATAATTTAGTCTATAGCAAGGAGAGAGATGGTAGATACCAAAATCAGCTACTAAATCAACTAGAGGTCAGTGACCTTTTTGAAAAAAACAAGCAAACAAACAATCACACAAACAAAGAAACAAAAACAAAGGGGCAGCTGCAAAATTTCACATCTAACAATGCTCATAGTTCTACTTGCTCCTACTAGAGGAATAAAAATGCTATGACTGTGCTTTTTCTGTGTTTCAAATATAGCTTGAGTCCCTGTTAAGGTAAAATCTACTCTGGAAATATGCTGCAGGGATTCTGGAAATGTGATTTAAAGTTTTGCAGCCTTTTAATAGAGAACATAGAAAGATAAAATGGTCCCTAATTAGAAGTAGTTATTATGTCATTGACATGCTATCAAAACTAGTATAGAGAAGAAAAATCTCAAGAAAACTGTGAACTTCTATGGAAAGAAAATTTAGGAGCAGAGAAAATATTATGTAACTCAAATGCCATCTGAGATCAAGAATTGGAAAGTATATATAATCTAGGAAGGAATACAAATAGTAAGAATTTTTTCTTCTTACCTGATAAATAGAAGAGTTGAAACAGATGATCGTTAAATTTTGGTTTCTTTTTTATAGTATGTGTCCTATTCAAACTTCAGCATTGGCAAAAGCAACTGGCAGAAACGAGTTTAATCAAAAAGGTATTGTTGAGTGCCTCCTTCACTCTGCTCAACTGGCAGCAGTGGTCTTGACTTCACATCATTGAATAAAATAATGAGACAGGTCAGGTTTTAACTAATAAACATTTGCTTTGCTTTATTAAAGAACACAGGACAAACAACAACACAACATGCATAGCAACAGCATGGTGAAGCTCTCAGTGCTCCACGCATGACTTTGCTAATCAGTCACTCTGCACTTAAACATGTAAGAAACTCCTTAAGTGACGAAGATGAGATAACATGATCCATCGTACCTTGAGAATCCACTGACCCTGTTCTTTTTTTTTTTTTTTAGGCTTTATGCATAGTCACTCAGTCCCAAAGCTAGCCATACAACCCTTTGAACATTTTATGTCCAGCTTCTGTTCTCCAAGCCAGCTGCATCACCTCACTACAGATTGCTTATTACTTGCAAAACTCAGCAACAAAGTATACATTCTTGGTCTAGCATACAGTGCTTGGCTGAATTCTCATTTATCTTTTATCTGATATAACTATAAAGTATTCCCCCTTTATCTGCAGTTTCAGTTACAGTCCTAAAATAGATGAGTAGTTATAATACGATACAATATTTCGAGAGATAAAGATCAAATTCAAACAACTTTTATTAGAGTATATTATAATAATTTTATTTTTATATTAGTTATTGTTGTTAATCTCTTACTGTGCCTAATTTATAAATTAAAGTTTATTATAGGTAGGTATGTATACAAAAACACAGTATATATAGGCTTAGTACTATCCTAGGTTTCAAGTATCTACTAAGGGTCTTGAAATACATCTCGCATGAATAAACTTGGGGGACTACTATACTACTAAAACTTCCTTGAGTTAGTGTTGTAAATATTTGAACCATAATTATAGGGATGTATACTTTAAGACAATGCATTAATAGTATGAAACACTAATAATCCAAAGAAACAATTGTGTTTTTCCAAATTTTACTAAAATGTTGTCACCTGCTTTACATAATACATTCACATATTTGATATATATGTAGGACAAATAGTGTTTAAGATTTCTTAAAAATACATTTCATTTTATAAAAAATAATATTTTCATGAGAAGCCTTGAAAATAGCTTTCTCAAATACCTATATTATATGTTGCCATAACACTGAAAATGTTGGAGAAATAACTTAGTTCATTAACATGCAAAATAGAAGCATCAATTGTAGGTTAATTGCCTGAGAAAGAAATAAACAATCTCCAGGGAGATGACCTTGTTAAAACAAAATTATTCACTTATGGTAAACTGTAAAATAGAAGATATAAAAAATGTAGCATTATGTATTGATTGTAATCAAAAAGCTTCCATAATTTATTATTGAGGCCTTGCCAAAGACTTGAGCCATGTGAAGTATTTGAGACACTAATAAATAACATTTTCTAATCTGTGGATTCAAATTAAAAAGTGACATACATCTAAATGTTTGTATATTGTTTATATACATGAAATTTAAATAGCAATGAGGTGGCAATTAAGAAAAATATTCTTGTTTTAACAATATCACATAATTTAAGCATTTTTTTCAACATTGCTTTTAAATAACATTACTTTTCTACAACTCTTAATTACCTTTGAATCCAGTGTATGGAGTATAAACTCATTAATGTTTTCTTGTGCTTTCCCGCAAACAGCAACTACACTTGAATGCAGTTTTAGATTAGACCTTTTACTATGTGGAAGAAAACTGGCTAAACTATTTAAATAGTATTTATTGTAAACAATTTTCTGACACGTGTACTTATGGTATTTTATGAACTTGAAAATTTGTCTGCTTGTTTCAGACTTACATATTTTGCTCTTGCAAAGCCAGTCAGTTTTTATTATGTCAGATGATTGCCAAGTGTACCAACCTTTGAGCTTATGACTTCATTTTTTACCCCACAGTAATTTTCTTAATGGCTACTAGAATTGATTGTAATAGCAGGCATGCCTTCTATCAATATTATGCAGAAGTAAAAGCAGTTCTTGGCAGGTTCCTGAATGGAATTCATCTGATTAAATATGCATTTTTTGATTACTGTCTAACCTTCTGCAACCTCTACTGTCTGTCTTTTGCCATTAAAGATTAATCTGCCAGTCTATCAGATAAAATAATAATCTGAATGGATCTGCATGACTTTACCTAATCTATCAAATCGTATCAGACTATTATTTTTACACATTGTAGGTATATGTGACCATTAAATTACCATCAAGTAGGAAAGAAAACCCACTAGAATGCAATGTTTGTTTTATATGTATTATAAAACATATTTTCTGGATATTTACAATTTGCCAGACCTACAAAAGAAGAATCTCAAGGAAAGTTTCTTTTAAAAAGAGTAACATTGTATTTTCCATTGTTTTATTCAGCCATCCATCCAATAATTTTAGAGATCTGTTTATTATCAGTGTACTTCTATTGTGAAAATTAGGTATTCATGAAAATATATAATAGGTGTAGTTCAATTTCCCTTTTGTGAAGTATCATTTATATAAAGGGCATATATTACACACACATATCCATAGAATATTATTGCCCAGAAGAAAATATTGTTCTGTTGTAATGAAAAAAGAAAGTGTTGGTGATACTAGATATTATCTCAATCTTGGAGATGCATATTGGTTGAAAGCATCTTAAATATCTAAATAAATTAACATATTTTCAGCTCTGGCATTTTTTAAACTTACTTGACTTTGGAACATTTCCTCATGAAACAACATACAGCACTCCACAGAATAGTAATTCTTAAGGATGTCTTGGGAAATGCTGTAGTAGAGTTGGCTGCCTAATCAGTGTATTTTTCTCAGGGTGGCTAGAGACAAAGGCATTGTTTCTAGACATAGCATCATCAATTGCACTTGGGGACAAAGGAAACATGTACATTTGGTTTTCCCATCACTTTATGCAATAGGCAAGTATGAGTGATTATTGTCAAGGAAATGTAATATTTAAGATTCCACAAGAAGCACATACAAAGATTTCTAAATGTATATGAAGATTTAAAATATATCTAAAAACATGTATTTGAGAAGAAGAGCTTCTTAATGTTCACAATGCAAGTTTTAGATGGTAACAATTACATCCTGTGACATTGTGATAATGTGCCTCCAGCTCAGGGCTTGTCTACTGTTATGGCCTGAATTGCATCATATGTTGAATCCCTAACCTCTTCTACCTCAGAATGTGACTGTATTTGGTGATAGGACCTTTAGGAGGTAAATAAGGTAATATGAGGTCACATGGGTGGGTCCTAATCCAATCTGATTCATGACCTGCAAAGAGGAGAAGATTGTCTTCTGCAAGCCAGACACCACAGGACAAAGAAAACCTGCTGACACCTTGGTCTTGGACTGTACCCTCCAGGACTGTAAGAAGATACATTTGTGTTATTTATCTTTCACCCAGCCTGTGGTACTTTGTTATGGCAGCCCCAGAATTCTGACGTCTTACAAAGCTTATACTTACTAAGAAACCTTACTACTACTCCTAAGCATGGATTGGGCCAAACCAAGCAAAAGGTCACAGTGCAATGCTGCATTCACCCCTTTGCCAATAAAAAAAGTCTTCGAACCCCCTTCATCCCATAGAAGCTGCTAGTGAACCCTTCTTTCTTTCAGTTTTATTTATTACTGCATGGTTCTGTGGTTTCTTTGAGAATATAGGGTAGCTATTAAAGTTAGAGAAGGCCTCTTTCTCTGACCAACTCTACAGTTAATTTGCATTTAATAAAACAGTAGGAACAATCATGTATACATTCAGATTAATTAGATAAGAACATCTCACTGCTCTTTCCAGAAATACAAATTAGTAATAACCCTAGGCATAAAATTTTAATAGCATTTTGGTTGCATTATTAAATGTCATAGATAAATTTAAGTTTTAGTGTCATGTTCCATTAGTAGAAAAGATCAGCAGATATTTGAAGCCACAAATATATTGATTCAAATGTTTTAGATTAAAAAGTGTGTTGGCACAAGCTAATATTCGTTCTCTCACTATCCTCAGGACATACATTGATTTATCTATGTTTTGCAGGACATTACATATTCCAACAAAGTTTGTCATCTTTAAGACGTTTGCCCGGAATACCACTTTTTCACTTGGTCTTGTCCCTAGTTGCTCCTGCTTTTTGAGAGACCTTTTTATAACCCCAAATGCCACCAGCTGTCAGAACATAATGAATCATGTATTACTACTGCCCAAATGCCTGCTCGGAGACTCATCTATTCAACTTGTACTCTCTAATGTCTGAACAAAATGCCTTCAGTACAGAACAACTCCATCCTTAGGCTGGTCCTCAAAAGGCAAATTATTTATGAATCAAAGTTTCAGAAATACTTGTGAACATCAATATTCTTTAATGGCTATAGAAATTGTACCTCATGTTTTAATAAAACTGCGTGATTTATAGCAATGCTGAGGACTCATGCTTTTACTTTCAGAATTTATCACTTAAAAATTTTAGTGTGGCTTTAATATAGAGCACACTCAGACTGAAATAATCCTTGGTAAGGAATAATTTTTGAAGATATATGTGCATGTGTGCTCATGTGTGTGTGCTTTATTTGTCAGAGAGCAATTGGAGACCAAGTTATCTGATTTTACACTTTTGTGCAACAGAAACACCACTACCGCAGACTCTACTCCAAATCTGTCCCTCTATGACAATTCCTGGAGGAATTTTTAAACGGAACTTTTTAAGAAAGAGCGTTTAGAATTGCTCAAATCTGCCCTGGAATGAGGCTTATGTGCATTTTACTCTAAAATCAGGCAATTAGTTGTAAGTTGTACACACACACACATATGTATGTGTGTGTATATGTGTGAACATATTTATTTTACATATATATCCTGCTTTAGATTTTCAGTTCCTCTTCATTTACCAGGCTAACCTTCCAGAATAGTGCTAGGGCTGAACATTTGTGACCCCTTCAAATTCTTACGTTCAAATCCTAATCCCCAAGCCGATGGTACCAGGAGGTGGGACCTGTGGGAGGTGATTAGGTCATAAAGGCTGAGCCCATGTGAATTTGATTAGTACCCTTATAAAGGAGGCCCAAGGGAGCTTGTTAGCCTTTCTGCCATGTGAAAACATAACAATAAAAAAATGCCGTCTAGGAAGGGGGCCTTCACCAGACACTGAACCTGCTAAATCTGCCAGCACCTTGGCACAGTATGCAAACTCTGAGAAATATATTTCTTTTTATAAGCCACTCAGCCAAAACGGCTGTTATTACAGCTGATCAAAAGAATTGCTGTTCATCAGGCCAAAGACATGCTGATCCTTTTCCCTTCATTCATGCTATTCTTGTCCCTTCAATCTTTTCCTAATGTCTTGAGCCTCTGCTTGTTTATTTTCTCACAAAGTCTTTATTCATTGATCTTTACAGACAGAAACTCAAATATACCTGCAAGCATTCAGCATCATTTACTTATTAGGCAGAAAATGTTTGCTTATTCTCTAATTTATTTTTTCTCTAATTTATGTGTTCTCGGTGTTTTGTACATGTATTGTCTACCTCAAGACAGTGATGGATATATTTTTTAATTTTTTGGGAAAAACTTTCTGACTTGGCTCTGTGTCGAAAACATATCTCACAATTGAACAGAATGTAGAAGCTGACATTTACTTTAAAGCTTCATGAACATATTCCTGGGAGGAATTCAGGAATCTCTCTGTTTCTGGCTTTCTTTCATTGTGCAGTGTCTGCTATTCTGTAGATTACACATTCTACATTTATTTTTAGTGAGATTGTCCTAGATTAATATGTAATTCCTGCCATTTATGCTACTTTATATTGGAGAACTTTTTCTAACCTTCATTGAGTTGTTTCAATTGCTACATACCTATACTACTTCATTTCTCAACAATTCAATTATTCATAAATAAATTATAAATAAAACAATGCACATTTTAAATATATTTGAAATATTTTCTGGAATTTAAATTTTGTATATTACAGAAACGAGTTGTCTATATGTATTGAGAGTCTTTAAATATTTATATTATTTGATCCAGTAACTGAATTTTTAAGGTTTTTCAAAGGAAACACAGTAATAAGATACAGTAATAATTTGTTGAATAAAAGTTAATCCTAGGTCTTTTTAATAAGCCCATAAACTAGGAACTATATTCTTGACACAATATTTATTGTGGAAATTTTTAACATGTTATGATATATTCATATAATGGAATTTTTGTATCTACCATATACGGTCATGTGTTGTTTGATGACAGGAATATATTCCCCTTTTTTTGGTAGGGAAAGATGGTAACTTAAAACAATAGAAATTGTTTTGAATTAGGAGTACCAGATGTGCTACCGAATACCTATGATTTGGACAAAGTAACATGATTCACTAGCTGATGGTGTTATAAAAGAAGCTGATACCCCCATGTTTGAGTTGATGAGTATGATCAATAATATATTTTATCATTTGTTATTGTGGGAGCATCATAGAGCATAGTTAAATCAATCTACATGATGTAGCTTACTATACACCTAGGTTATATGGTATAGCCTGTTGCTCCCAGGCCACAAATCTGTACATCATGGTAATGTACTAAATATTGTAGGCAATTGTAACACAATGGTAAGTATTCGTAAAGCTGAACATATCTTAACATAGAAAAGGTACAGTCAAAATATGGTATAAAAGATTAAAAAT
Source organism: Homo sapiens (assembly GCF_000001405.40). NCBI lineage: Eukaryota > Metazoa > Chordata > Mammalia > Primates > Hominidae > Homo > Homo sapiens. The sequence continues at coordinate 166,800,940 of NC_000004.12, read as the reverse complement.
GATACATGTATATAGGACGTTTACCATGAATGAAGCATGCATGATGGGAAGTTGCTCTGGGTGTCACTGAGTGAGTGGTGAGTGAATGTGAAGGCCTAAGACACTACTGTAGACTCTAGAGACACTGTATATTTGGGCTATACTAAATATTTAAAAATATTTTCTTTCACTAATCAAAATTAACCTTGGCTACTGTAACTTTTTTACTTTATAAACTTTTAATTTTTTTAACTTTTTGATACTGTATATTTCCTTTAACATGCAAGCACATTGTACACTGTACACAAATTTCACTTTTGTTATATCTTTGTACTATAAATATTTTTCTATTTTTTATTTTTTACTTTTTAAACATTTTTTTGATAAACCTGACACAAACACACACATTCGCCTAGGCCTACATAGGGTCAGGATCATCAATATCACTGTCTTCCACCTCCACATCTTGTCCCACTGGAAGCTCTTCAGGGGCATTGACAGGCATAGAGCTGTCTTCTCCTACGATAACAATGCCTCCTTCTGAAATACCTTCTGGTATTCTTCTGGAGTACCTCCTGAAGGATCTGACCAAGGCTTTTCTTGAGGAGGTGTCACTCTTTTCAGAAATATGTCTATATTGGTTTGCTTGGTTTATTTCTTTTTTTAAATCATAAATTCGCTTGTAATCAGATAATGCACCATGAATATTCCTCTTTATTAATAAAGACCTTACAATCATGAGGTCCATGTTTTCATTTTTTTTTTTTTTTTTTTTTTTCTGAGATGGAGTCTCTCTCTGTCGCCCAGGCTGGAGTGCAGTGGCACAATCTCGGCTCACTGCAAGCTCCGCCTCCCGGGTTCACGCCATTCTCCTGCCTCAGCCTCCTGAGCAGCTGGGACTACAGGCACCCGCCACCACGCCCGGCTAATTTTTTTGTATGTTTAGTAGAGACAGGGTTTCACCGTGTTAGCCAGGATGGTCTCAATCTCCTGACCTTGTGATCCACTCACCTCGACCTCCCAAAGTGCTGGGATTACAGGCGTGAGCCACCGTGCCCGGCCATTTTCATACTTTTTAAGGAACTTGTTGAGGTCTGCAAAGCTTTCTGCTAAATCTTTCACTGTGAACTTTCTTGTCGGGGGGTTCCTCTTCTTTTTTCTTCTCAGTTCGCTTTTATTTTGCCTCTTTAGCTATGTGTTCCTGCTTCAGTTCCAACAAGTCCCATTAGTCAATTTCTCAGGAATGACTTCTAGGAGCTCCTCAGTGTCATCCTCATCTACACGCAGATTAAAGTTGTTTGCCATCTCAACTACAGGCTTGTTGGTCTTTGCAACCTTCTATTCTTGGAAAATTGTTTGAAATCATGGATGAACCTTTTAAGTATCTTCTTCCTGATGCCATTTATACACTCCTTCGCAACATCACCCTATGCCCAAGCAAAGTCCAGGATACAGTCACAGATGGCATAATCCTTCCAGAGTAGCCTCAGTATCTTCCGAATGTCTTCCTCGGTTGTAGCAATAGCCTGGGCAAATGTCCTCAGGTATTCGGCCTTCAAAGCTGCTGTTACTCCTTGATCCATTGGTTGGATGAAAAAGGTGATGTTTGGAAGAAAAAATCCTCACTTTGATATTGGGATGAAAGTCACCAATAAAAGGAGGCTGTGCAGGAGCATTATCAACAATAAGCCAAATCTTGACAGGTATGCTATTCTTCAAACAGTACTTCTCCATTTTGCTCACGTAGCAAATCAGACGGGCATCTTGGAAGAGGAGCTGGGTCATCCATAAACTATTGCTCCTGCAGTACACAGGCAGTGTGTGTTTATTGATAATAGGCTTGAAAGCCCTGGAATTCTCACTGTGCCAGATCACAAAGGGTTTCAATTTGTAGCCTGCAACATTGCCCCCAAACAAGACTGTTATCCCATCCTTAAAAAATCTTGGCATTAAATTGGCGTTCTTAGGGATGAAAGTTCTTTCAGGCATTTGTTTCCAGAATAGGGAGTTTTCATCCATATTGAAGATTTGCTCATGCAAGTATTTTTTTTCTGCACAATCAGCTTATCTGATTGTGGAATTACACAATCTGATTTTTGGAAGTTCCCAAAATTCCTCAGCTGCTGCTGTCACATCAGTACTTGCATACTCACCACTCACTTTTACATTATATAATGAATAACTATTCATGAATTGTTTAAACCACCCAGAGCTAGCAGTAAATTCCACATTGTAGTTGGGTACTGTCTTTTCTTAGAATATTGCAAACAAATTTTGCTTTGGTTATAATTATCATGGTGCCAAGAGGGATGTGTTTCTGTGTCTGCTCTTTAATCCAGATCATAAGAAGTTTCTCCGTATCTGATATAGGCCATTCTTGAATTTTTCTTAGTCTTGTTGCCTCCAAGAAGCAGATTCTCTAACAGCTTCTGTCACTTTGTTCTTGTTGTTGATCATAGCTATGGTGGAATGGAATATGCCTGCCTGGGGAGCAATAACCATCACTGGTTTTCCACCTTCATAGTTCTTAATCACTTTTCATTTAGTCTCCATGACAATCACTCTAACGGGCCTCTTACTGGCAGAATTAGCAGTGGCTTTTGCATTGTTAGGGGCCGTGATGAACAAAACAAGAGAGTAAATCAACTGAGGTTACACAATCAAGGGCTGCAGTAAACACGAGATGTGTGAGGCTTCTGTGGGCTTAACACAGCATACTGTCTTAATGGAAACTTTTTGCTTAGTAAGTAGGATTACACTCTAAAGTACTGATAAAAAGTAGAGTATAATAAATACATAAATCACTAGCATAGTTGTTTATTATAATGATCAGGTATTATATACTGTACATAATTATATATATCAGACTTTCTTACCACTGCAGCACAGTATATTTGTTTACAACAACATCACTACAAACATGAGTGATGTGTTGACATTATTAGACAATAGGAATGTTTCAGCTCCATTGTAATCTTATGGGAGCAACATTGTATATGATGTTCTTTGTTGCCCGAAACATTGTTATGCAGCATTTGACTGTATTTTGTTTTCAGATATTTTAATGACCTAAAAAATTATCATTTTATAACATAACGAAAAGGTGTAAAAGTAAATATTGTTTATCTAACATTATTCAAGCTATGTAAAATATGCATAGCAGATATACACAATAAATATTTTATAGTAGCTACTTATTGATTATAGTGTTAAATATACTGGTTTATTTTTATTATTGTTAATATACATTAGAATCTGCATTTACAAAATTGGCATCTCTTACTGTGTACTCAGAAAAAAAATAAGTTTTTAATACTGTTATAAAAAATGTTAAAATGTTTCCATCACTCATGTAAAGTAAAGTAGAGTTTAAAATTTCTAACAACTAGATGATTCATAATTGGCCTTTCAAATGAAAGAAGGAAACCATCATTATGGAAGATTACAGCCTAGGAAAAGGAAATAGAGATTCTTGGAAGGATATCATAAACTAAAAGTCACCAAAAAATAAATAAAAAGCCAAAAGAGTTCTTTGAGATTATGTAATTTCTTCTTGTTGTTTACATATTTGTAGCCAGGTTTATCTGAACATGTATTGAATAAAAAAGATCAAATAAAGCAAATATCAAAGCTTTGTTTAAAAAAAAAAAAAAAGCCACTTAGAAACATTGCACTCCAGCCTGGAGGACAGAGTGAGACTCCTTCTCAAAAAAAAAAAAAAAAAAAAAGAAAGGTGGAAATCCATGCCACTTAAATTATAAATATTTATTAATTCCCTTTTGTACCTGTCCCAGTGAGGTATAAAAATAGAGTTAATTCAAGAATATATGATTATCTGTACTTGAATAATTAAGAGTCCAACAAGTAATAAATCCTCCTTACTCCTCTTCAATCTGAAATAAACATTGTGCCATCAGAGCACTTTGTCTTATATTGTCATTTTCATGTCTCTAGGACATCGTGGCCCTAGGTAATGGGAGGATTGGAGTTGACACTGAGAGACATGTACTTTGGACTTTTCTTTGTGTAATGGACATATCTTGAAAGAAAATAATCACATTGGAGCCAACTTAAGCCTTTTTGCCTTAGAGTAATTGTATTCTGCCAGATTTTAACTGTACTACACTTATATACAAATCAATCCCATCAGGAAGACCATCAAAATTCCTAAACATTACATTGTTGGAAGGTGGTGGTAGCAAATATTTTTTATTTATGAAGAGTAAGGAATGATGTGTTGCATTTCTTCACCTCATAGATCAGACTTAGAAAAATCTCTTTACCAAAAATTGATAAGGGAAAAAATAATAAATTATGCCTGGTATTTTGTGAACTAAATTTACTGAATTTGTTTAAATCACCAATACCTATACCACTTCATTTCATCATCTGTGACATAAAGTATTATTTTTTAACATTAAGCAAAAATGAATGGTGACCTTAGAAGTGCTTTAAAAAACTTTATGAATCAAGCCTAGTAGAGATACGAGACAGCTTGTTAAATATACTATTGGAACAAAACTTAAAAATTTTCTGAAAGATAATGCACAATAAAATGCGGACTCTGCCTCTGATTTGAAACTTCCCAGAGCATCCCCTCTGCTTGGACCTCTGTATTTTCATCTGAGCTTCCTTATTGTATAACATAATCATAATTAACAACTCATATTGCCAGATATGAGTATATTCATTCTTTAATAAATTCATGTTCTTGATAACTACATTTAAGTATGTTATAGTGTGTCTTAGTCAATTTAGTCTACTAAGAATAACAGAATGCCACAGGCTTATAAACAACAGAAATTATTTCTCACAATTCTGGAGACTGGAAGTGCAAGATCAGGGCAGCACCAGCAAATTCGGTATCTGATCAAAGCCCAGGTCCCGGTTCATAGATGGCCTTCCTCTTGCTATGTTCTGACATGGTGGAAGGGGAGAAGGATCTGAGTGGATTCCATTTTAAAAGAGCACTAATGCCAATCGTGAAGCCTTTGCCCTCATGGCCTAATCACCTCCCAGAGTCCCTATCTTCTAATACCATAAGACTGTGGATTAGATGTTATAACATATGAATCTGGGGGAGCATAAACATTCAGTTAGTACAGTGTGTGGGAATGAGGGGACATTTTAAGAGATTTTTGTAATAGGCAGAGAGTTTTGTGCCTATTAAAATGTAAGAAATTATGTAAAAGTTTGACACCTGAAAAAAATATTTATTGACTCTCAAATACAACATGAAAATGATAATTACTATTAATAAATACTTCATTTATTAGTTATAAAATATATCAACTTTATTAATATTTAAATTTTATATTTATCAAATTTAATTAATTTCAGAAAGTGTATGGTTTAAACTTTCTAATTTGGCAAGAATCCCTGTTTTGGCCAATGGTTTCAGATAAATTATTGCCAATTTTAAAGTAAATCGGTTAATTATTGTCAAATGAAAATTAAATTGAAAAATTATTTAAAATGTTTTCAAAAGTTTTATACGTAAAGTATTATTTTTAATAATACTCCAAAGCTAAGATGTCCTGGGCTTATGGAAGTTACTGAAATGTTCCTGAAATCTCTCCATCAATTCTCATTACACATGAACCTTTCTGAATAATAAATGCTAAGAATCTGGGATGCGACTATACAGTATTTCTGTGTAGATATATTACTGATATACGGTTTTTTGGTAGGAAAAGATGTTAATTTGAAATAATAGAAATTGTTTTAAATTAGGAGTACCAGATGTGCTACCAAATACCTATGATTTGGACAAGGTAACATGAATTCACTAGCTGATGGTGTTATAAAAGAAGCTGATACTCCAGTGTTTGAGTTGATGAATATGATCAATAAATGTTCATTGTCTTCTCTTAGATCTCACCTCCATAGTGTACATGATGGAGTGCTATGCTGTTAACAAACTTGCTATTAAACAAGTGCTGAATACACAACATAGCGCAATTTAAATGAATGTGTTTGTATACATGTAGTATACCTGCACGATACATTTTTAAGAAACGGGCCGGCGCGGTGACTCACGCCTTTAATTCCAGCACTTTGGGAGGCCGAGGTGGGTGGATCACCTGAGGTCAGGAGTTCGAGACAAGCCTGGCTAACATGGTGAAACCCCGTCTCTACTAAAAATACAAAAATTAGCTGGGCCTGGTGGCGGGGGCTTGTAATCCCAGCTACTCAGGAGACTGAGGCAGGAGAATCTCTTGAACCCGAAAGGCAGAGGTTGCAGTGAGCCGAGACTGTGCCTCTGCATCCCAGCATGGGCAACAAGAGCGAAACTCTGTCTCAAAAAAAAAAAAAAAAGAAAGAAAGAAAGAAAAAAAAAAGAAAAAGAAACAATTGCTGGGTCAAGGGTTAGATGCATTTGTAATTGTTTTTTTAATTTTAAAAATTTTTTGTTGACTTTTGAACATTAATACAGCTATATAGTACATAATTCAAAAGGAGAAAGAGATGAATGGTAAAAATAAAACTCTCTCACACCACTTTCTTCCATTAATCCAGTTCCCTTGGTAGTTACTTCTTTATATAAATCCTTCTAGAGATATGTGACGCTTACACAAGTATGTATGCATATGTAGAATTCCTCCTTTTCAAGTAGGTTTTTGTTTTCTTGTGCCTATCCCTTTAAGGGGAGCAGAAGACCCATGTCAAGATGGCTTAAACAGAGACAGCAGGCTACAGTGTAAGCATTCATATCAAGAGTGTGCTATTTTTTTTTTTTTTTTTTTTTTTTGCCTTATCACCTCAGCCTCAGCCATGGTGGACCTTATCAGTAAAAGTGATGGTTTCTTTGATTTTCACTGTAGCTTATTGTTTTCCCTGGATGAAAGGATGGCAATGAATTCTGTACATTGCTCTGTCCCTGGCCAAGAAATCTCAATCTTACTGCCATCTTGCTCTGCACTGGGCACAGAGCACACACTCTGTAATTATCCTTCACCAGCTTCCTATAAATGCCCTTCACCTCTCTCTTCCATTAGTTCTTGTGACCCAGACATCCTCTTGTTGATTTAATCTCTGGTGTATCACATATTGTACTAGCATCCTGGGGAAAGATTGTATGGATGGTTAGTTTTTCAGATCCTGTATATGTAAAAATTTCTTTACCTTACTTTCCCACCTGATTTCTCTTAGAAATATGAAATAATTTTTATGTTGCTATGCTGCCTTTCAGTGTTATTTAAATATTGGAAGGCATTTCTGATTCCTTATTCTTTGTATGTAACAATTTTAGTTACCTTCCCCCATGGAAGTTTATGAGATCTTCATTTTGTCTCCAGTGTTCTAAAATGTCACAATGATTGGCTAATTTGGTCATCCCACCATACCAGGTACTGGGGGATTCCTTTTAATTTAGGAGTTTATTTCCTTTAGAGCAAGCTTGTCCAACTCATGGCCCACAGGCCACATGTGGCCCAGGACAGCTTTGAATGCGACCCAACACAAATTTGTAAACTTTCTTAAAACATTATGAGATGTTTTTGCATTTTGTTTTTTTCAGCTCATCAGCTATCATTACTGTTAGTGTATTTTATTTGTTGCCTAAGACAATTCTTCTTCCAGTGTGGCCCAGGGAAGCCAAAATATTGGATACCCCTACTTTAGAGCTAGGAAATGGTCTGGGATGGTATTACATCCAATTACATTACATTATGTTATTTATGATACATATAATATAATGTATATGGTATATATTAAATGTAATAAAACATACTATAATTGCATAATTTTTAATCAAATGGACAAATGAGTATTAGCATGAATTACTTGTTAGTTGAGGAAATTGCACATTTACAGCATGCACAAGGGATTGGTCTGCAGTAACAACGTCCTCTAAACAATGTAAATTAGTGGCTTTCAAAATATATTTTCAAAATATTTTTGCAGTAAATTACTAAATTTGAATGCTATATTTTAAGCCAGTCACACACACATATTCTGCTAATTGCTTATTGCATAAACTATTTTTAAAGAATATAATTGTTGATAAATAATGATATCTTTAAAAAACAAAGAGGAAGTTACTTTAGTTCCAAATGTTAAAGTTTGCCAGTACAATCTTTTTTCCAATAGAAACATTATAGTACTTTCTTAAATATTTTATAGTTTTTTCCTAATCACAAGTTATATAGCTGTTTCTTTTCTGTGCTTAACAAATATATAGCATTAAATCAAATAGGAACAGTATATATTTATAATAGTGCATTCCTACATATACTGAGTATATGAATAAATAATTATAAATTGTGACATCTTACAAGAGGTATGGCCAACAATAAATGTATAATGATCATTTTGGATTTTCAACCCTTTATTTTCTCTGATAACCTATCACCCCAGCATAAAAAAGTATTTATGACATAAATATTATGACTCAATTTTTGTGATGTTATCAATACAAATCCTCCAAGTGTCATATTCTAATGAAGAGCACAAGTAGAATTCCACTAATAATACTTCTTTATTAAGTAAAATGTTTTTGTCATATTACATCTTATTTTAAGGCATATATTTAACTTTGAAAAAGCTGAAATGCAGTCACACCTTTTTCTTTTAGTCGTTCTTACCTTTCAGTTTATTGGACTAATGAGAGAAATAGCACTAACATTATACTAAGATATTATTCAAGACTTGTGTTGTTTCTCTGTTTTTAGCATGCAGTGACCTGGAGTTCAGGGAAGTGGCAAACAGATTGCGGGACTGGTTCAAGGCCCTTCATGAAAGTGGAAGTCAAAACAAGAAGACAAAAACATTGCTGAGGCCTGAGAGAAGCAGTAAGATTTCTAAATTTGATCATTGCTACTGTATCTGTTATGAAGTTTTATTTCCAATGAACCACTTAGAACAAAACACATATTTCAGTATTTATTCACTGCATATATACTGAATAAAAATCAGAACGTTATTACTTCCAAGCACACCTGTATTATTTTGCAAGGAAATAAGGCATTTAGGACAACTCTTATTGGAGGAAAAGGGAATGTCTCCTCAGAGGGTGTTTAGCTTTCAGTAGACTAGAAACAATGGGAATATTCTTCAGTGTTTTATTAAGGTGGTAAAGAGTAGAACAACATAGAAAGTAAAGGTAAAAAATTGGAGTACTTAGATTTTTAAAGAATACAACAGAACTCCCCCGTATGGTAGCCTTTCCAAGATTACTTTGCTGGTGTCTCTATTTTGACCCTGTGTGAAATGGATCAGTAGACAAGAGAGGATATCTGCAAATTAAATAAGTAAAACACAGAAGGAAAAAAAAGAGCCATATACCTCTTACAATTTTTTTTAATTATCAGTATAATTCTCTAAAAGTTTTTTTAATTCCTTGGAAATAAGAAATACAAATTGAAATAGGGTACTTGTTATGAATAATTTTATAAACTTTTCATTTTATATTATTTTCATTTGTATAAAAATGTGTTTATCATGTAATGCATGTAAAAGGATATCGAAACACGGGCTGAATCTTTCAAAGATTGAAGCATGTGCTCCAAAACACAAGAAAAGGGGAAGGAGTAGCAATTACAAGCCACATCTCTTGGCTGACAAAGAAGAACCAGATGTGTGACATTCATCGCCTATCCTGATGTGATCCATCCACTCTCACCTGCTACCCTCAAAGTGCAGTTTCTAACAAAATGGTGTAGTAAGATAATCCTCTGTAGATTCCTAAAATGCCTTATTTATTTTTTTCACATTAAGGAATTTTCTACAATTTCAATCTATTTTAGTTATGAATCTAATTTACATAGTGAAATGATTTAATGCAGAAGTGCAATTAAGCCATTACTTTTAGATTAGTAATTGTCTTTGAATGCGTAATGACTAATCCATATATTTCTTTTTATGAATTTCATGAAGAAATTGTAGTATTTTTCATTTCCTATAGAAGAGTTCCTCAGGCTTATCTCTGGATTTATTGGTTAATTTTTTGGCAAATGTAAATATTTTGATGCCTTTGAGCTTTAACTTGCCTAATAGAAATAATGATTCAGTATATTTGCCTCTGTATTTATGAAGAAAAGATGTCTGGAGTGGGGAGAAGGTTTCTTCCATACCCTTACATATTGATTTTTTAAAGATTCATGTTCACACCTGTTTTTAAAATTCATATCCACTCCCAATATTCATAGATGAACATTTTTATTGCTTGCGCTAAAATTTCTCCTTTAACCTAAGCTTGAGTTCAGACTGATGCGCACTTCCAGATATGGAGATAGATAATGAAGAACATTTGCAACACTCAGCAAGGTGCCTGGGTAATTGTACACATTCACAAATATTTTCCTTTCTAGCTTTTTCTGTCAATAAATTCCATGTGTCAATAAATTCCATGAGACTCTCTAAAGGTAGTAGATTAATTATAAGAAACTTCTTTAGAGTTGAATATCTTTGGACAGGATCGGAAAAAGTGGGCCACAGGATTATGTATACTGCTTGAAGGAGTCAGAGACCAGCTAGAAAAAAATTTCCAAAGGGAAGTTATCCATTAGAATAGGCATGACAAATCCACAGACAAGAAATGGCTGGGTCCCTCGGCTCCCTCAGCTCCTCAGATCTGTGCACCCTATGGGTGAATTCTTCTTTGGGTCTATCTTATTTAATTTGTGAACCAGACCTCCTATATCAGACTCCCATCTCCTATTTTTATTTTCCCTTCAGAGCATTTATCAGATCTAATATAGTGATAATCTACTTGTTTATTTAAATGTCTCTGTCTCTCTCCCAACCAGAGTACTTAAACTCAATGTAGTAAGAGGTCTTTATTCACCACTGTATTTCCAGAACCTAGGATAGAGATTGACATATACTATTCACTAAATAAAACTGAAAGGAGTTAATGAATGAATGAAGCAAAGAAGCAATCAATATACTACATTGTGTACCCATACCATAGTTTAGTCACTCAATTAGTGCCCTAGGAATGATTATTGATAATATTCATTATTTTCATCATGACAGTTATTACTGTAGTCAATTTTTATGCTTTTATTTCTGTGAGAAAGATTACAAGCAGTGGAAGCAATGAGTCAAAATGTGCATGCATTTTAAATTACATAAGATAATAGATATTGCCAGACTGCTTTGTAAAAAGCTTACGGCATTTTGCATTTTTACCAGCAAGACATGAGAGTTAACTTTTCCCTGCATCCCTAATAGCAAAAAATATTACCATTCATTTTAACTTTTCCATTCTGATGAATATGCCATTATATTTCATTGTTAATTAAATTTGTATTTTATTTATTAGTAGTGAATTTGAACATTAAAAAATAGGGGGAACTAAAAAGCACAGTTTTCAACTTATCTGATATTAATGTTATCACCCCTACATTCCATTTTATCACATTTGTTTAATATCTTTGTTAAAAACTTTGATCAGCTTTTCTTTATTATATTCATTTAAGTGTCTTTCTTGTGAAAATCCATAGTTTGGTTTTGATTTTTTAATATGACAGTGAGCAAATGTTGGGGTGTTTTTGTTTTTGGTTTTGGTTTTGGTTTTTTTCTTTTTTTGAGACAGCGTTTCGCTCTTGTTGCCCAGGCTAGAGTGCAATGGCGTGATCTCGGCTCATTGCAACCTCTCCCTCCAGTGTTCAGGTGATTCTCCTACCTTAACCTCTCGAGTAGCTGGGATTACAGGCATGCATCACCACGCCCGGGTTATTTTGTATTTTTAGTAGAGACGGGGTTTCTCCATGTTGGTCAGGCTGGTTTTGAACTCCTGACCTCAGGTGATCTGCCCGCCTTGGCTTCCCAAAGTGGTGGGATTACAGGGGTGAGCCACCGCACCCGGCAAGTTTTTGTATTTTTAATAATTAAGGATGTGGTTAAGTCAACATAAGGCAGAGAAAAATATTCTGATAAGATATAGAATGTCTTCAGGCATTTTATACTGAAGCCAAATAAAAATGTATTTTACAATCTCTTATTTATAGCAGACAAAAAATCCAATAACATTGTGTCATTTTAATAAAGAGAGAAAAATCAAATTTTGGGTTTGCATCAGTATTATATTTGATACTATTGTTAAAAATCTTATAAGAAATCTTTTAAAAATTAGCCAGCATTGATGATGAAAAAATGTTTTTCATGAATCTTTTATAATTTTTACATTTTATTCATTTTTTACACATTTTTAGGATGATTAGTCATTTTCTATTAAGATAGCACTATAGTTTTTTAAAAAAACGTCTTGTATATCTTGTTTACAAAGTTGCCTTATGTCATGATTTTTCCTAAGAAAATCATTTATAATTTTTTGTTATAATAATTTTCACTTTATAGCTATAATTATGAGGTGGATAATTGTAAGGTTTGTCAGCATTTTGTAGTAAATAAGCAGATATTATGAATATAAATTTTATACATTTTTAATATTCATATACTTCTTTATAGTATATCATTTTAATGTGGCAAGAATGAACATGTTTATTAACAGAGCAAAGTATATACAGCTTCTCTAAACTATAAAAATAAGAGATAAAAAGTATATAAATTACAAAGCATGCTTTTGTGTTTTATCTTTTTAAAAATGTTGTAGATGTTAGATTAGATAGTGATTGAGGAATACCTATTAACTAACTTAATCTAACATACCTCTAACATTTTAAATTGCCAAAAGTTCTTGGAGATTTTTTTAAGTTGGCTTTATTGAAAAACATAATTACTGTTGAAATAAAGCTTGTCATCTACATGATTTAATTTGGTTAAAAATAAATTTATGATTTCTGGGTTTTTTTGTTTGTTTGTTTGTTTGTTTTTTAAATGGAGTCTCACTCTGTTGCCCAAGCTGGACTGCAGTGGTGCCATCTCAGCTCACTGCAACCTCCGCCTCCTGGGTTCAAGCAATTATCCTGCCTCAGCTTCACAAATAGCTGGGATTACTGGTGTGTGCCACCACACCAGCTAACCTTTTGTATTTTTAGTGAAGACGGGGTTTCACCATGTTGGCCAGGCCAGTCTCAAACTCCTGACCTCAGGTGATCCGCCCACCTCAGCCTCCCCAAGTGCTGGGATTACAGGTATGAGCCACTGCTCCTGGCCAAATTTATGTTTTTTATAATCTCAAACACTTAGTAGATATAATGCTAACAATTGCATCAGTATACCTATATATATTTAGGAAAAATATATCCAAATAGAATAATAATGTAAGCTATGTTATATTTAATGCTGATAACACTAGAATCATCACTATGTTTTATTAAATAATATAAAACCAGTCATTTTCGCCAGTCTTTTTAAAATTATGTGAATTGAATTTTTAAAACAGAGTTATTCTTAGTAACCCTATGCCTAATCATTCCATTTTCATATAGAAAACGTCACAGTAGGCCTGCATAATAATGTATAAAAACGCTTGTTTGTGTTTTTTATTAAATGTTGTTTATTTTATGATTTTACTTAATTTTAAAATTATTTGTTATTGATGCTTAGTGAATAGAACTATATATTCTTGAATAGTAATTAAAATCAGAAAATTAACCAAATCACCTGTTTCTTCTAACAGCAATCTCTATTTTTATTAGTTATTAGTTACAAAGTATTTTGTGCTTATTTATATTTAGTGTCAAAATAGTGATATTATGTGCAAACATGCAAGAGAGAGCCAAATCACACGTTTTTCTGGTTGTACAAAGAATGTTTAAATGCTAATATCTATTGTTTAATGTGTACAATATTACCTTTGACTTAGATCTTTGTCTTTTGATGAATCTTTATCTCCAATTACATTTAAATTATTAACGTAATGTTCATTAAAATGGTCATTTTTACTATCTAGAAATACCATAGAGCTTGTTTTCTATAATATTAGAATACGTGTGAATAGAATATATAGTTTCTTAAAAACTAATTCTCAATATTTACATCTGTTTGGTCTAACTTTAAAGACTAGCATACAAGTGGAAAGTTAATGAATGACTTCAAGAGGTGCATCTGAGCTGGTGCTGAGCTGCTTGGCACATAGGAGGAGAAAGCAGAAAGGATGCTAACATGTGTCTTCTTTGTCAATACTTTATCTCCTTAAATAATCTTAAAAATTCAGCACTCCGTTTCCCTGCAAAGTCTTAGATACGTGATTTTTCCAACCCCAAATATAGGGCAATAAAGGCCATAGGTACAATCCAGTAAAGTTGGCTGGAAATAGTGGCCACGACAAGGGCCAATGCTTTGCCAAACATTGTTGAGCATGATTACAAATATTAAGTTGAACCTTATGAAATTACCAATTTTGGAACTACAAAACAATAGTTTTTAGAGGTCAACCTGACATAAGTCATCTAAGAATTGACTACTTGTTATATTTAAGTTAGTCTTTAGACTTTAACCTATTTTCTGTCCCTGAGTATCACATACCTTTTATTTGTGTTTAATTTCCCAGTTGTGTTATAATAGGTAAGAATACAAATTAAGCCATGATATTTTTTTCTCTTTTTCCTAATCTCATGATCCAGGATCATAATCTCATTCTTAGTATTTATATCCTAACTGCATGGCAGCTAGTGATCCTTACGCTGAGTGCAGAAGGGTAGCATACTCTCTAACTTCATTTGTTTCCTAATCATAAGCCAGACTGCTAAAAACTGTGAGTACAGATTACTCTTAGGGACTAACCATTGCCTGCTGACTTCTCTGTGACTTCCAGAAAGTGTTGTAGAATTTTTGATTAATATAATTCTTCATAGTAAAGGCACATCCTTCATATTTGTCTTTTACTTGTCCTAGAACACTCTTCCCCCAGGTATCTGTATGGCTCACTCCCTCACTTCATCCAGCTCGTTGCCCAAACATTCCTCACTAGGTGCCTTCCCTTCCACCCCATCTAAAATAGCAACAGCACCCCAGAGCATTCACCTCCTCTTTATGTTGCTTCATTATTCTTTCTAGTAAATATTGCTACCTGATATATGAATGTTTACCAGCTTATTTTCTCTCTGTTCCAAATAAAATATAAGCACTCTAAGGTCAATAGTTTTCCACTGTAGAACCTGCAGGCACTAGAAAAGGCCTTGGCATATGGTAGGGACTCAATAACAATTTGTTGAACGAACAAACCAAAAAGTCTAATCACAAATTGTTACCTGGACAATGTCCTAACTTCAGAAGAGTGATAAATTAGCCTGTAGCTGCTTGCTTATATTTGCTACATAACATAGTTTCCAAAAGGGCAAGATTCTGATGATAGCAGAATTGGATTAAAAGGGTAAAAGCTTAATGAAATTTAAATGGAAAGATATTTTGCTTTTTCAAAAAAGTCAATGAACCTTGAAAGTGGAATATAGTTCTACAAAGAAAGGGGGATTTTCTAGCTTCACATACCATCAAATCAACATTGCTATATATTTTGCATTAGTTAACATTTAAAATATAATGAAATATATAGTCTTTTTAGTAGCTATTTTAGTAATTATACTTAACTCTTAAACACATTATGATAGTAATCTGAGATTTTAATCAACCAAATTGTATTATAGCATTTGCATAAAGAATTCCACAGTCATTACTCAAGAATTGTATTTTACTTGAATCTTGGACAGTGTAAATATTTCATAGCTAAATGATTTGAGTTGACAAAATGGTCAAAAATGTCATAGCTTTAAAAAATGGAGTTTATACAGTCTGTCATTATTTTTTAACAATCGACACCTAATTTTTATTTTATAAAATCAGGCTTCTTGAATATATTTTGTTTGGATTTACTTTAGAGCTATCACTGAAAAACAAAGGAATGATCATAGAAAAGTAACTAAGATGGTAAAAATCTTAAAATATGTTTTACGATAAGAAGTTGAAGGAAATGCAACTATTTAGCCTCTCATCCTATTATCATTAGCATGAAAATGCTTGGTGATGTTTTATTCAATAAGAATATGTTGTGCTTACTATTATCAAGATACCTTGATTTTATTTTATTATTTAAATCTCCAAAAATTGCATAGCAGAAATACTATACCCAGGCTTTTAAAAATATGGCTGCAATCAAGAATACATAATTCTTGAAAGTGACATTGTACTAATTTTCCCTTTAACAATTTGGAGAGCATCAGGACATTAGCATCATATGCAAAATCCCCAGATTAGCAGAGTCTGACTAAGATTAAGATAATGTCTTATATCTGCTTTCCTACAAGCCAAATGTTCTCCTCAGTCGGAGAAAATGATAGAATTATGTAAACCTTCAGGGTAAATGAATACATTCTAATTTCTTACCAAGATACTGCTCACTTTATGTCATGCTGTCTTCACATTAAGAGAAAGACTGAATGTGGAATCAGATGGTTTAAAACAATGCCACATTTTAATGCAATTAGGAGTCTTCTAGGTATAGCAGGAGACTTCATCTTTTGGAAACAAAATATTTGAGAAGATTAGATAAATTTTCTTATTTCAAGTAATAAAATGAGAGATCCATATCATTGCTTATTTTGGTTCTAATTATTGAGACATCTGGCATTTTATTCTCTTTTATTCTGTGGACTCTTAACTCCTTATAATAAAATTTAATTATATGCTTAAGTATTACTAAGGTATTGTCTTAAGATTTGTATATTTTAATTTTGCTGAAATTATACGATTCATATATAGCTAAATTAACGTAATCACATGTAGTTTAAAAGTATTGCTATAAAATAAAAGTACTAAGTGATTGATGTACTGCAGTAAAATTATTTTGTTACATTATCGTGTCCTGAGAAATTACTGCATTGGATCTGCTAGGAACCAAACTTTTGGTTATCCTTTATTCTTTCTTTAGGAACTGTATTATTCCAAACAATGGCAATTGCTATCAGCATTGGCTATTTTTTAACATTTCTCACTGGGTGAATGAAATGTTGTCAACTTTATTACATTCTGTTTTCAATAATGTAAATATTTAATTTCAAAATAAAGCCATGTAGGGTGTTAAGCAATTTTAGCCAGTCATCTGAACTATCGGAACCTATTCAAAATGAAACAACACCTCCCCCCAAAAAAAAACAATGAAGAGGTTAAGAAATCTGCAGAAAAATAAAACAAAACAGAAAATTTTATGTTACCACATATATTTAGTCAATTATAGTCAATTATAAACATTATTCCTGTTAAACTTTACTCCAATGCCAGTTGAGTAATACATAAAATCCTTGAATGTTTGCAAAATAGGTGTCTTAAAAGCATCAAGAAGTGATAGTTAAAACCAATAGAAAAAGTATACATAAAAACAAGTAAAATAACTTAAAAAAATTATTTGGGGTTGTTTAATGAGAAAACATCAAGGACTGCAGTCCTTGAACCATATGCTAGCCAATACAAAAGCCATTAATTTTATGATGATTCCTTTGAGACATTAATGAGTGTTAAGTGATTTTCAACATATCACAGCAAGGAAGAATCCATATAACATTGTATATTTTCCATTTTCTTTATTTTTATATTTTGTATTTTGATTGTGCAAGTAATGCATGCTTATTTTTTAAAAATAACACGTGGAGGTATATTAAGAGAATATCTTTTCACCAACTCCATTCATTCCCTTTTTTCATGAGGTAGAAAATGTTAGCAGCCTGAGTTATATGGTTTTCCAATACTGCTTTCTTTTTTTTTAGACAGACTCTCGTTCTGTTGCCCATGCTGGAGTGCAGTGGCATGATCTCAGCTCACTGCAACCACCACCTCCCAGGTTCAAGCAATTCTCCTGCCTCACCCTCCCAAGTAGCTGGGATTACAGGCATGTGCCACCATGCCTGGCTAAATTTTGTATTTTCAGTAGAGACAGGGTTTTGCCATGTTGGCCAGACTGGTCTTGAAATCCTTACCTCAAGTGATGCACTCACCTCGGCCTCCCAAAGTTCTGGGACTACAGGAGTGAGCCACCATGCCCCACCAAATCTACTTCATTTTCATACAAAGATATGTACTTACAGAAACAGACCTATTTTTAGCAAATATAAGCTCATACTATGCACAGTATGTGCCAGCTTGCTTATTATTACTGTTTATTTTAACCTTTTAACACTTCATTGTGTTGCAAATATTTTCTCACTACATCCTTTCTATTTTGACTTTAGAATATCTCTTAGTTCATGTTCTTTAAGAAAGTCTTTCTCACAAAAATACTGATTTGTATATTCTCCTAATGTATATATTTTTTGCACTTAAATCTTTAAACCTATTTACAATTTATTAATGTGAGCTCAGATTCTGGCAATAAATTATGTACCCTTATTGAATTAAAAATAATATATTTACAGTTAATTTATGTTTATTCTTATGCTTGCATTTTCTTTTTAAATGCTACCTATTTTTTCATATTTCTTTCTGTTATTGATTTCTACTGTAATTCTGGTTAGTTTTAGTATCAGACTTTGAATGACTTTAGTTCTTTAAATTTGTTGAGGTCTGTTTTATGGCCCAGAATATGTCCCATCTGCACATAAAAGGAACATGTATTCTGTTATTATTTGTTGGACTATTCTGTCAATATAAATTATGCCAAGTTTGTTGACAATGATTTTCAGATCTATACCCTTACTCTTTTTCTATCTACTTACTTTAGTGAGTACTTTTAGAACAGCGTTGATGTTTTCAGATGTAATTGTCTATTTCTCTGTTCAGTTCTATTAGATTTTTTCTCAGGTATTCTGAAGACTCTTTTAAGATACATTATACATTTAGGGTTACTGTATCTTCTTGTTGAACTCTTTATCATTATGTGATGTATGTTGGTTAATGGGTACAAAAACAAGTAAAAAGTAATAAGATCTCATGTTTGATAGTACAGTGGAGGAACTATAGTAAACTCTAATTTATTGTGTGTTTCATATGTTTCAAAATAACTAGAGAAGAGGACTTGGAATGTTCCCAAAACAAACAAGTGATAAATGTTTGAGATGACAGATACTCCAATTACCCTGATTTGGTCATTATTTGTTGTATATTTGTATCCAAATATCACATATCCCATAAATGTGTAAAGATATTATATATCCAGAAAACTTAAAAAATATTCATTTTTCTTTTTTAAAATATATTTTCACTGGGTAAAGTATACTGGGTTGAGAGCTTTGTGTTTTGTTTTGTTTTGTTTCAGCATGTTACCCCTGTCATGCCGCTGTTTCTGGCTTGTGGGTTTCAGCTGACAAATCTGCTATTTTCTTTACTACTCTGATGAAATATGTAACTATTTTAGAGATGTTTCTCCTCATCACTCTTTAAACAGTTTGACGATGGTGCATCTAGATTTTGTTTGTATATCTGTTTGTTTGATTGGTTGGTGTTTATTCTGTTTAGTGTTCTCTAAGATTCTTATCTCTGTGGTTTGATGTCTTTCATTAATTTTGGAGAATTCTAAATTAATCATTGAAATATTCTTCGACCCCATTTTTCTCTTTCTTCTTCTTCTGACATTTTAATTACTTCTCTCTTAGATTGTTTGATAATAACCACAGCTCTATTAAGTTCTGTTTTCCTCCTACTCCTTTTCACCTTCTTCTTCTTCCTCCTTTGTCTTCTCTCTTCCTCCTCCTCCTCCTCTGTTTTATTTTCTTCTCTTTCTCCTTATCATCCTCTGCCTCCTCCTCCCAAACAATTGTATTTGTTTCTTTCCTATAGTTTCCATCTCTAGTTTTAATGCAAGTGTTCGCCATTTATACTACAGCCTTTAACTTATTAATCATTGTAATTTTAAAGTATTTCTCTGATTATGTCTAAATCTGTTATTTCTAATCTGGTTCTATCAAGTGCTTTGTCTCTTGGCCGTGTTTATTGTTGGTTTATTTTCTTCTTCCTTTTATACATGTCTCTATCTTTTTGGTTAAAACTGGATATATTGTGTAGAACAGTAGAGATGGATGTAAATAACATTTGTGCCTGGAATTAGTGATGCCTCTTCTTTTGCATGGCTTTTAGTACGGCAGTTGAGCCAGTCTATTCTGATAATTAAAAATTTTGGCTTTGGTTTTTTTCTTGTTATCCTCAGTGCATCTCAGGCTTAAAGTAACTATAGGGTTGCCTTGTGCTTAGCGTGAGACTGGCTTGCCACAGCCTTTTTCTCCACTTGTTTCTTGATTTTTCCTTTGCAACTGAGCCTCAGAGAGGGTCCCCCTTCTTGATTGTACCCCTCCACCATTGATAGAAGGTTGGCACTTCTTAAGCAACATTTGCTGCTCTGGTAGTGAGAGCATTCCTTCATATTTTTGTTAAGCTACAGCTTTAGGAAGGTACTATGTATCTGAATCTCAAAGGTAGGACTTTCTCAGAAATCCTATTGCCCCCTTAGTGGAAGAGGTTCTTTAATGGTCTATACTCAGGATATTCTCCTGATCCTTTCCCAGGTACAGCTGTGTTTTTAACTCTTTTCCTTTGGTGCAAGGGATCCTCACCTATATCTAGAGAGTGACAGGATATTGGGCTTACCCCTAGGAATTTAAGGTTTTCTTCCATAAGGTATGTAGGGAAGATGGATGTGGATGGGAGTTCATACCTTTCCCACAGCAGCTTCTGCTTCTCAGGTGGTTTCTTGGGTCCCTTATCTTGCCCTAAGTCTTCTTTGAGAGCACACACTGAGATCCTGGAGTCATGTCTGTCAATGTTTATGAATTCTTCTTTTTTTTATGGTTTCCAGAGTTTATTTACTGTCATTTTAGCCTACACTCAGCCTTTAGCAATTCACTGAAAATATAAATTGAATTTTTCTTATTAGCTTACATGGTATTTGGTATCTGTCTCAAGTAAGCCAGTGTTCACATTCCATCCTTTCTTGGAGGCACATGTCTTTTTTTAGATTCTGGGTTACTGTATTGCTCTAGGACATAAACTCACTTATGGATTCAAGAAAATTGTGGTTTGCTAATTACTCAGACTTTTCTTATTGTTTATTTGTGAACAATACTCTTTTTAACTTCTCACATTCTAGGTGAAACCAGTGAGTCCTTGCCTTTAATCCTAAGTAATATTTTCATGAATGGAGATTATTGGGTTGAAAGTTTTCAATTATTTTTTTCTTCACTTAATGATGTTATTCAACTCATTTTTGGTCTCTAAAATTTCTGACGAGATGCCAGACAAATTGAATTATTGTTTACCTCTATGTGTCATATTCTTCCTGCTGCTTTCAAAATTGGCCTTAATCTTTAGGTCTTGAAAGTTTGACTATGATTAGGAATGACCTTTGTGTCATTCTGCTTGGAAAGTCCTGCATATCTTTAATTTGTAAATGTAAGCATTTAAGCAAATTTTCTGCCATTATTTCTTCAAATATTTTCTTACACAATTATCTCTCTTCTCTCTTCTGGAACTTCAAATGTATATGTCATAGCACTTGATATTACCTAACAGTTCCCTGAGGTTCTATTTAGTTTTTTCTCAATCTTTTTCTTTTTTTTCAAATTAGATAATTTTGATTGATCTATATTCATGTTTACTTACCTTTTCCTTTGTGAATTTAGTTTTAATTTAAAAGGTTTTTTTTGTTACTGTCATTCTTACATTCCATTTAGTTCATTCTTATAATTTATATTTCTCTACTGTTAGTTTCTATTGTTGCAATTATTACAAGCATGTTTTCTTTTACCTTATTGAATTTAACAATCTTAGTTGCTTTAAAATGATATCCGCTAATCCCAACAACTGGATCACCTCAAATTTATTCTTAATTGATTATCTTTACTTTTTTTTTGAGAATGAGTTCCATATTTCTGATTTTTAACATGTCTCAAAATTCAGGATGGTGTTCCAGACCTTATGAATATGGAATTGTGTGATGCTGCATTGCATTATTTTTCCCCAGAGAGTGTTGCTTGATTGATTTAACAGATGATTAACTTTGTTGGTCTCAAAATGGAAACTCACTTTCTTGGGTGCCAGCTTCAATCTCAATTCAGTGTTCTAGTCTTAGCAGAGGTGATTGAAGCCTGTGGAATACATATGTGGCTGATAGATCATCCGAGTTTTGGGTAGGTGGTTTTTGGTGATAATTTATCTCATTTTCTTCTCGGATTTCTTCGGCTTTCCTCAGTGGCTATACACAACTTTCTGATTCTCCAGGCTAAAAAGTCTGCATTTTTTTCTACCAGTGTTATTGCTACCTTGCACCATGAAAACTCTGCCTACCCCCAACTTAAAAAACAGCAAAAATTGGAAATTCACTACACATAACCTCCTTCCTCAACACGCAGACTACAAGAATCTGCCTACTCTATTAACTCTTCATACCCTTCCTGCTTTAGAAAAAAAAAAAGTCTAGAATTCAATTATTTATCTGCAGCAGTGCTGGTTCTATAAGACCATATTCAACAATTACTGAAAGTGGAACCTAAAATAATTTTTAAAATGACAGTTTGAAGAGAGGAATTTTGTCTTACCTGTCCTTGAATAATCAAGGCCTAGTAGTGTGTATTGAATCCTGTGTGGACCAGAATGGTGCTTTTCTTCTCAATACCTGCTGTTTACCCCTTCCCCTCGCCAAATCTGACAGTATTACAGTACTTTAAAAATATTAAACTGTCATTAGTGAGGACAATTCAGTCATTCAGAATAGGTTTTGAAATGCACATTTACCCAGATTTTGCTTTCATTTGAATGATTTTACTTCGATTTATGTTCCTCGCAGCTATGCTATTGATTTACTTGAGGACTAAGCAAGTAAAATTGATAATACAGGCCTACTAGTTCATAAGATTGGGAAATGTACTGCTTATGTGTCTACATTGTAGAAGTAAATAACCTCATTTACTACAATAACATAAATAATCAGGAAATGTTGAATTTTTTATTGTAAATATTTATGTTTGATAGCTTCTGCTTTTCAGAATTTTTTGAAATATCTTTGAAGAGAAGAGACATTGCTTGACAATTCTTACAAAATATGACATGTCTTGTAGGCCTCTGGTGCTTTCCAAGGGATTACAAAGATTGGTGAGTGTGGGAGGTTGAGGAAGCAGGACAAGCAAAAGCATTTTCAGTATTAATAAGCACACTGTGGTCTGGACCTGGAATTTGTAATCTATTAATAGTACTGATACCATAGGGTTCAGCAATTAAGCATAAGTATTTGCCTTATTTCATGTAATCCTTACAATGCAAAATAGTCATTATTTACTTCACTTTCTAGTTGAAATGGTTGAGAGGGAAAACCCAAAGTCACACAGTAAATGGTAGAGCTAGGATTTAACCCCAGGTTTTTTGGTCTAAGAAATGTAACTTTTAGGTATTTATATACCTTTTTTGAGACAAGGCCTCACTTTGTGACCTGGGCTAGGGTGCAGTGGTGCAATCATAGCTCATTGCAGGCCCAAACTCCTGGGCTCAAGTGATCCTCCTGCCTCAACCTTCTCAGTAGTAGCTGTGACTGTAGGTGCATACCACCACAACTGGCTTAGTTTCTTGTTTTTCATAGAGACATGGGGTGATCCTGCCACCTTGCCTCACAAAGCGCTGGGATTAATGGCCTGAGCCACCACACTGGGCTTGAAACCTATACTCTTTCACTAATCATGTAATCTCCCAGTCAATCTCTCAGAATCTAAGTAATAGCAAACCAATATCAAGTACGTGACTCAGCTAGGTTGCAATAACTGCCTCTGGTATACATGTACATGCTGGCACATTACATGCTCGCACAAAGAATGTTTTCCTATTGCATTTTACCTAACTTGGGAATGTTTACAAAATATTAATAACAATTATTTTGCTTTTATTATACTGTTTCTCAATGTTTTTGTTTCTTTTCATGTAAATAAAAAATAACTTAGATTGAGATAGATCAATATATGCATTTAAAACAATTTGAATTATATTAAAAACCTCTATCAACTCTCTAGAGAAAGATTTTTGTTCATTTAATTCTTCCTGTGTTTTGTTTGCTTACATTTATTATTGGCCTGTGTGCTAACTATTCAAAATTTACAAAATGTATCTGAGTTTTAGAATCCTGGCATTTAATAATTACAAACATGTTTGTAATATTCACATTTTTCACAGTTAAAAATGTTTTCTCAATGTCCTTCAGTCTTTGCATTTCTGCCTAAAGGAATTATTTTAAATCATTACTTTTAATGCAATTATTTACTTATTGTTTATTTCCTTGATAATTTTCTATGCCCTTAAGTGAAGATTTCTTTATGTTAATGTATTCCATAAGTCATGGCATCTGCATCCAGCAGATGTTTAGGTGGTTATATTTCTTTCTTTTTACAATTAAAGAATGCTCTCTTCTCTAACATTATTTTCATCAGGACACGTAGGATATTGGTCTTTTTCCTTAACTTAGTCCTTGAGTGAGTGTTGTTAAGTATTTTCCTTCCTAGATCCCTTTGTTAAGCTGTACCTGCCAGCTAATAATGATAAATTTGTACTGTTTGGGTTGTATTCTCTACCTGTAATCTCACTTAGTTTTTAGCATCCAAAGTTGTCAATGTTATCTAAGAAGATGAGGAGTTAATTGAATATTTTCTTCCAATTCATATTTTAAAATGTCCTTTGAAACCCAGCAGAAAATGTTTTTGTTGTTTTTTGTTTGTTTGTTTGTTGTTTTTTTGTTTTCTTTTGTTTTGAGATGGAGTCTCACTCTGTCACCAGACTGGAGTGCAGTGGTGCAATCTCGGCTCACTGCAACATCCACTTCCCGGGTTGAAGCGATTCTCCTGCCTCAGCCTCCTGAGTAGCTGGGACTACAGGCACCCACCACCACACTTAGCTAATTTTTGTATTTTTAGCAGAGAGGGAGTTTCATCATGTTGGCCAGGATAGTCTCGATCTCCTGACCTCCTGGTCCACCTGCCTTAGCCTCCCAAAGTGCTGGGATTACAGTCATGAGCCACCGTGCCCAGCCCAGAAAAATGTTTTTTATCTGCTTCCTCCTCTCCTTCTGTCCCTCTGTCAAATTTCTCTCCATCACAAAGTACTATTACTGGTTTAACTCTTCTTAGATTTTCAAATTTTACCTCATGTGTTGTATCCTTTATTGAGCATTTGGGGCACTTTGCACTATTTTCTTTTTTCTCTGTTCTAGAGCACCTGCTGTACCACTTGTCACTTTGGGTTTGTTGTTGTTTGAATGCACATTTATATCTGTTCCATATTTAGTATTCTTCATGCGTGTGCCCCACTCTTTACAGTGTTTGGCATATACTTAGCACTTAATTCATTTAATCAGTCTTTACAAAATATTCTTAAATTCATACTATTTGCCAAGCATTGCCACAGCCATTCAGGATTCCAACAGTGAATAGACCTTTTTCACTTCATGGGCCACCCTCTAAGTCTACCTTCCTGATTTCTTCTCACCTGTTTGATATCTAAATGTTGGTAGTCCCAAAGACTTGATACTTTTTCTTCTAGCTGTAATCATTACCTTTAAGATTTTGTTCAGTATCCCATTTAGAAAATCAGCCATATACAGATGATCTTCAAATTTATACTTCTAGCTTTGATGCCCAGAATCTTACATTTAACTTTGTGTTCCAATCTTCTCTTGAAAGTTCAACAGGCATTTCAAACTTAACATACCCAAAGCCAGATACCCCACACAAACCCACTCTTCTGCTGTCTTTCTCAACTCAGTAAATGTCAAGTCCATTATTTCAGCGGATCAGATCAAACACCTGGAAGCCATCCTTGAGAAAAAAGAAGCAGAGATGAAAATGGGTGATCTCTAGGTAAAAGGCAAGTTTTTACTGTGACATATGTGAGTGAGCAGACCACTCATGCTCTGACCCCGTCACCTGCCACTTTCTCCTCATCCACTCTACTCCAGTCACGTTGGTTCATTTTTTTTCTGCAGTGACATTAATCATGCTCTGACCATAGATCCGTTACTCTTCCTCTTCCTTCTACCTGGAATGCCCTTCCCTCACTCCCCCAGATAGTCATAATTTCACTTCCTTTATATTTCTGCTCAAATAATCTCTCTTTAGAGACATTGTGGTAGGAAGAATTCTAAAGATGTCCCTCCCAAGGTTTCTGACTCCTTGTTATTCAGCCACACAGTAGTCTAGGTACTGCTATGATATGAAGGTATTTGCAAATGTAAGCAAGTTGCACTTAAACTGTTAACATATCCAAAAGGAAAATCTAAAAGAGTAAAGACAGCAAAGGTGGCAACAGAATTTGTGAAGAAGGTTTCTTTGGAAAGAGCTATGCTATGATTCCACCATTCCTATAAGGAGGGATGAGGGTGCTTACACTTCAAATTGTGAGAGGGATTTCAACAGAACCACTCAGACAGCTTTATATGTGTTCCCAGACAAGCAGACTGTGGCCTGAATTTCACCAGAAAAATCTAAAAGTCGTCAGAGGCAGCTGTGATCTGCTTACTTATTTGTTGTCAAAGGAAAGTTGCTGCTGCTTTGAAATTAAAGGTCTGGGCAAGAAATACAAGAATATTTACTGTGGATCAGATTTGAATGCCACAGGTGAGAACAAATGTACATTCTGCCCGAGATGGCTGTTGGGAATACAGAGTAAACTCCAGTGGAAACATGGATCACAGATATCCAGGGACAAAGAGGTGGTAGCCAGAGAAAAATATCACATATGACAAGACATATGCTTGTATGTTTACTCCACAGACCCCTGAAAGACCCAAAAAGGTATCTAGGGGTATGAAAATAGATGAAGCCTTTAAAACCTGATAGGCCCATACAGCACAAAGTCTTCCTAAGACAGTTATCAATTTGGTAAGAAACTCCCTGTCCACTCTTACGTATCGTTCATTCATCCACGTAAAAACTGGAGGTGGTCATAAAAAAGATGGAGGAGGAGAGTTAGAAGTAAAAATAGAGAAGGATTAAGGAAACATCATTTTCTCCTTACCTGACTTTGCACCAGCAAAATATCCAGCTACAGAAAGAAAGAATCAGATTTGGAATTGTGATTATTATATAACATTAGACATTTTGCAATGCCAATTATCTTATATTTGTACCTTACAAGGACAATACAACTTTTTGTTACTGAAAGCTGAGATGAACAAATTATGGGACCTCCTGAGTTTTCTTCCAGAGATAGGAGAAAACCTTTACCAAAAATCACACATTTACAGAGTATAAGAGAAAAAAAGAGTGGTTTTAGATTATATCCTATAAGCCCCATTTGTTCAATATATGCATATATGTGCATGGTGTGATCAATATACTAGTTAATATAAAATGTGTATGTGTGCCTATGCTTATATACATGTAATGTGAAGTTCAAATGAGGTAGGTGGATTAGAGATAAAGATTGTGAGCTAATGGAATGTTAGCTAAAACAGTATAATTGAATCAGCACCCATAAAGAGCTGATGTAGACTAGAAAAAAATCAGCTGAGAAGTGAACACTGAGAATACCAATATTTAAGAGCTAAGTAGTAAAAGAACATAAGAAGAAGACTGAAAAAATGAATACATAAGATAATAGAATGTTGTAAAATGTCTTAAGAGTTAAGTATTATCTTCTTATACAATCTCTGGTATAAATTTTTCAACACAATGCGATCTAGCTTTAAACTCTAGAATCCTATTATTGATTGTCAAACATCTAAGTTAAAAGAAACAGTTACTTTTATTACACTGCAAAATAAAGCATCAGTTTTTTCACACCTTCATTACAGTCTCATAACAATTAAAATTTTAGCTTAAATATTGAACATCTTTATGATAATTACTTGACTTTTGCAACATAGATAACTTACAAAGGTTTTGCTTAAAAAGATTTTCCTTTATTTTCCGGTATGATATTTCTTATAAGATTTAGACCTGGTCAGTTCCATTTAGAAAAATTATTACAAAAGTTTGTGAAAATAATCATAATGAATAGAGGAGACCCTTATAGAAACAATGATCTGAGAAGTAACTTTAATGAAGTCAAGGAATGCCAGAAACCTTAAGATGAAGCTAGGCATGCTGGCTCATGACTGTAGTCCCAGCACTTTGGCAGGACAAAGCAGGCAAATTGCTTGAGGCCAGTAGTTCGAGACCAGCATGGGCAACACAGTGACTCTGTCTCTACAAAACACAAAAATAAAAAATTAGCCAGGCATGGTGGCTTGTGCCTATTGTCTTATCCTTAGGAAGCTGAGGTGGGAAGATCACTTGAGCTCAGGAGGTTGAGGCTGCAATGAGCCATGATTACACCACTGCATCCAGCCTGGGTGACAGAGTAAGACCCTGTCTCAAAAGCAAACAAACAAAAAGGAAAGAAACCTCAAGATGACTACACTTAGAGTCATATCTAGGAATCTGAATTCAATCTAAAAGTAGTTTTTGCACAGCTCTGCAGTTTACTGTTTCTGAATTATTTAAAAGTTCATTTCAAGTAATATTCAGACTCCTAAAAACTGCTTGTGAATATTCTGTTGTATCAATTTCCCAATAATATCATATTTCAATTTTATAAATTTAAATTTTCCCTTACTTTTTTCCTCTCTTTCTTCTAATTTGATAGAATAGCAGATTTGATTGTATTAGATGGCTATTAGATAATATTTCATATGCAATTTCTTCACCATTATTATAATTATGTGAATTGTATGCTCCTGGAAATTGGACACAGAGTCTTTTAGGGAAAGAAAAGTTTTCATTGATATACTTAGGAGGTCACATTGCAATTCAGACACAATATAGATACATTCAGAATAACATAATAGAAAAAATGAATATGGAATGTGGCATTTTTGGAAATACAGCAGATAGCATTGCATACTTTAAACATATATTTTATGTACTTTTTGTTCATTTGACATACTACTGCATTATTTGTAGTATTTGGTTCACTAGTTCTAAAATCTTAAATGTGAAAAAAGTAAGGATCAATAATAAATCATTACTGTTTATGTTTAACTTTCCTTATATAGCATTATCTTCATGTGGTTTTAAGACTGACTATAAAATAAAATGAGATTATTTATAATAATCCATAAATATACTGATTTTCCGTGATTTTCTTCAAAATCTTCGGTTTTATGGAATTTATTTAGAGGCAGTTTTGACTGAATATTCTTCATTGCAATTTTACCAAGCATGCTAAGAACTATAAAAACATGGTCTATAATTAGGTGAAATATAAGTCCTGAAAATATTACTGGAAATAACAGTGGCTATGGGAGGAAGAATTTAAAACAGCTAATATAAATAATTTTATGATGTACCATGTAAACAACCTTGACAGTTTAAATACATTATTAAGTACTGTTTTTGTCAATATAGTGTGAAACAAAAGTATATTTAAACTTCCAATAATTTTTCTCACTCTATTTGAGGAAAGCTTATTCCACAATTCATATATCAATATAAAAGAATGTTTCTAAACATATGATGTGCAACAGGTATTTAATGACATTTAGGCACATTAGAACTAAGAGTTTATCTTTTATACTAAAAATAAATGAAATTCATACAGGTGTGCATGCTTGCTAAAAAAACAATTTGATGAAATGTAATAATAATGGTTTGGACTGAGGATGTCAAACTACCTAACTTAGATTCAGGTCATTGAACTGTGTTCTACCACTACCTTGCTTTGTTTGTTTTTAATATACCTAGGCCTTAATGTGCACATCTAGACAATGTGGGGATTCTTCAAGATAATCTATTTACCTTGAAATTCAAAGATAGAGAAAGCTTATATTTTTGTTATATTTTAAATATCTCAATAAACAAAAGTGTGTTACAAGAGTCATCAGGATGATGAAGCAACAAATGCTGAGAAGAATGTTAGATATTAAATGATTACAGTATTGTAAATTATATATATACCCTTCAAATATGATTCTTTTGAGGCTACAAATATAAAATGAAATAAATTTGGTGAAAAATTTTCTTATTCTGAACTTTTTAAACAATAGCTACTATTGGGTGACTTTGAGAGCTCTTGAATAGTGCTATCATTTCATCACTATATAATACAATACAAATATAATATAATATTATATTTATATAATCTATCATACAATCACTATGTATAATATATATAGCATTGTATATATAGTATTATATGATAAATATTTATAAACAAGATCGATAGACATAAAAAGGAAACTGAAGTTCTAACCTGAAATCTCATTCATGTCACCACAATGAAAATTAGATTTTTAACTCAATTTCTGGTGTCTAATTTGTCTTACGTAAACATAGCCACTCCAGCTTTTATGATTAAATGTTCCATTATTTTACTCTTAACCAGTCTGTATCTTTATATCTAAAACGGGTCTCTTAGAGACAGCATAGCATTGAGTTTGACATTTTTGTCTGGTCTGACAATCTCTACCTTTTTATCTAAGGGTTAGACCATATTAATTTAATGATTGTCAATACGGTTGTGTTTAAAACTTCCATCTTGGTATTATTTTATTTTATTGCTGTTATTTTCTTTTTCTCTTATCTTGCCTTATTTTCAATTAGACATATCAGTTTTATATTTTTTCACGATTCACATTTCAGCTCCACAACTGGTTTAGATGGGAGGCAAATAATGACTTCTCAAAGATGTTCACATTCTAATCTCAGGACCTGATATATTACATGGCAAATGGAACTAAGATTGCAGATGGAATTAAAGTTATGAATCACCTGACCTTTAAATAAGGAGATTATCCTGGATTATCTGGATAGGCCCTATCTAATCACATACATTCTTAAAAGAGGACATCTTGGGCTTGGTTCCAAGATGGTCGAATAGGAACAGCTCCAGTCTGTAGCTCCCAGTGTGAGCGACACAGAAGATGGGTGATTTCTGCATTTCCAACTGAGGTACCCGGTTCATCTCACTGGGGCTTATCGGACAGTGGGGGCAGGACAGTGGGTGCAGCCCACCAGTGTGAGCTGAAGCAGGGTGAGGCATCACCTCACCAGGGAAGCTCAAGGGGTCAGGGAATTCCCTTTCCTAGAAGAGGGAAGGGTGATAGATGGCACCTGGAAAATCGAGTCACTCTCACCCTAATACTGTGCTTTTTCAACGGTCTTAGCGAACGGCACACCAGGAGATTATATCCCGTGCATGGCTCGGAGGGTACCATGCACATGAAGCCTCACTCGTTACTAGCACAGCTGTCTGACATCGAACTGCAAGACAGCAGCAAGGCTGGGGGAGGGGCGCCTGCCATTGCTGAGGCTTGAGTAGGTAAACAAAGCTGCCAGGAAGCTCCATCTGGGTAGAGCCCACTGCTGCTCAAGGAGGCCTGCCTGCCTCTGTAGACTCCACCTCTGGGGGCAGGGCATAGCTGAACAAAAGGCAGCAGAAACCCCTGCAGACTTAAATGTCCCTGTCTGACAGCTTTGAAGAGAGTAGTGCTTCTCCCAGCACAGAGTTTGAGATCTGAGAACGGACAGACTGCCTCCTCAAGTGGGTCCCTGACCCCCGAGTAGCCTAACTGGGAGGCACCCCCCAAGTAGGGGCAGACTGACACCTCACATGGCCAGGTACCCCTCTGAGACGAAGCTTCCAGAGGAACGATCAGGCAGGAACATTTGCTGTTCAGCAATATTCACTGTTCTGCAGCCTCTGCTGCTGATACCCAGGCAAACAGGGTCTGGAGTGGACCTCCAGCAAACTCCAACATACCTGCAGCTGAGGGTTCTGACTGTTAGAAAGAAAACTAACAAACAGAAAGGACATCCACACCAAAACCCCATCTGTACGTCACCATCATCAAAGACCAAAGGTAGATAAAACCACAAAGATGGGGAAAAAACAGAGCAGAAAAGCTGAAAATACTAAAAATCAGAGCACCTCTCCCCCTCCAAAGGAACGCAGCTCCTCCCCAGCAACAGAAGACAGCTGGACAGCGAATAACTTTGACGAGTTGAGAGAAGAAGGCTTCAGACACTCAAACTTCTCCGAGCTAAAGGAGGAAGTTTGAACCCAACAAAAAGAAGCTAAAAACCTTGAAAAAACATTAGACAAATGGCTAACTAGAATAACCACTGTAGAGAAGTCCTTAAATCACCTGATAGAGCTGAAAACCATGGCAAGAGAACTACATGATGAATGCACAAGCTTCAGTAGCTGATTTGATCAACTGGAAGAAAGAGTATCAGTGATGGAAGATCAAATGAATGAAATGAAGTGAGAAGAGAAGCTTGGAGAAAAAAGGGTAAAAAGAAATGAACAAAGCTTCCAACAAATATGGGACTATGTGAAAACACCAAATTTACATCTGACTGGTGTACCTGAAAGTGATGGGGAGAATGGAACCAAGTTGGAAAACACTCTGCAGGATATTATGCAGGAGAATTTCCCCAACCTAGCAAGGCAGGCCAACATTCAAATTCATGAAATACAGAGAACGCCACAAAGATACTCCTCAAGAAGAGCAACTCCAAGATACGTAATTATCAGATTCATCAAAGTTTAAATGAAGGAAAAAATGTTAAGGGCAGCCAGAGAGAAAGGTCAGGTTTCCCACAAAGGGAAACCCATCAGACTAACAGCAGATCTCTTGACAGAAGCTCTAAAAGGCAGAAGAGAGTGGGGGCCAATATTCAACATTCTTAAAGGAAAGAATTTTCAACCCAGAATTTCATATCCAGCCAAACTAGCTTCATAAGTGAAGGAGAAATAAAATCCTTTACAGACAAGCAAATGCTGAGGGATTTTCTCACCACCAGGCCTGCCCTACAAGAGCTCCTGAAGGAAGCACTAAACATGGAAGGAACAATCGGTACCAGCCACTGCAAAAACATGACAAATTGTAAAGACCATCGAGGCTAGGAAGAAACTGCATCAACTAACGAGCAAAATAAACAGCTAACATCATAATGACAGGATCAATTTCACACATAACAATATTAATCTTAAAAGTAAATGGGCTAAATGCTCGAATTAAAAGACACAGACTGGCAAATTGGATAAAGAGTCAAGACCCATCAGTGTGCTGTATTCAGGAGACCCATCTCACATGCAGAGACACACATAGGCTCAAAATAAAGGGATGGAGGAAGATCTACCAGACAAATGTAAAACAAAAAAAGCAGGGTTTGCAATCCTAGTCTCTGATAAAACAGACTTTAAACCAACAAAGATCAAAAGACAAAAAGAAGGCCATTACATAATGGTAAAGGCATCAATTCAACAAAAAGAGCTAACTATCTTAAATATGTATGCACCCAATATGGGAGCATCCAGATTCGTAAAGCAAATACTTAGAGATCTACAAAGAGACTTAGACTCCCACACAATAATAATGGAAGACTTTAACACCCTACTGTCAACATTAGACAGATCAACGACATAGAAAGTTAACAAGGATATCCAGGAATTGAACTCAACTCTGCACCAAGCCGACCTAATAGACATCTACGGAACTCTTCACCCCAAATCAACAGAATATACATTCTTCTCAGCACCACATGGCACTTATTCCAAAATTCACCACTTAGTTGGAAGGAAAGCACTCCTCAGCAAATGTAAAAGAACAGAAATTATAACAAAGTGTCTCTCAGACCACAGTGCAATCAAATTAGAACTCAGGATTAAGAAACTCACTCAAAACCACTCAACTACATGGAAACTGAACAACCTGCTCCTGAATGACTACTGGGTACATAATGAAATGAAGGCAGAAATAAAGATGTTCTTTGAAACCAGTGAGAACAAAGACAAAACATACCAGAATCTCTGGGACACATTTAAAGCAGTGTGGAGAGGGAAATTTATAGCACTAAATGCCCACAAGAGAAAGCAGGAAAGAGCTAAAATTGACACCCTAACATCACAATTAAAAGAACTAGAGAGGCAAGAGCAAACACATTCAAAAGCTAGCAGAAGGCAAGAAATAACTAAGATCAGAGCAGAACTGAAGGAAATAGAGACACAAAAAACCCTTCAAAAAATCAATGAATCCAGAAGCTGGTTTTTTGAAAAGATCAACAAAATTGATAGACTGCTAGCCAGAGTAATAAAGAAGAAAAGAGAGAAGAATCAAATAGATGCAATAAACAATGATAAAGGGGATATCACCACCGATCCCACAGAAATACAAACTACCATCAAAGAATACTATAAACACCTCTACACAAATAAACTAGAAAATCTAGAAGAAATGGATAAATTCCTCGACAAATACACTCTCCCAAGACTAAACAAGGAAGAAGTTGAATCCCTGAATAGACCAATAACAGGTTCCGAAATTGAGGCAATAATTAAGAGCGTACCAACCAAAAAAAGTCCAGGACCAGATGGATTCACAGCCAAATTCTACCAGAGGTACAAGGAGGAGATGGTACCATTCCTTCTGAAACTATTCCAATCAATAGAAAAAGAGGATATCCTCCCTAACTCATTTTATGAGTTCAGCATCATTGTGATACCAAAGCCTGGCAGAGACACAGCAAAAAAAGAGAATTTTAGACCAATATCGCTGATGAACATTGATGCAAAAATCCTCAATAAGATACTGGCAAACCGAATCCAGCAGCACATCAAAAAGCTTATCCACCACGATCAAGTTGGCTTCATCCCTGGGATGCAAGACTGGTTCAACGTACGCAAATCATTAAATGTAATCCAGCATATAAACAGAACCAAAGACAAAAACCACATGATTATCTCAATAGAGGCAGCAAAGGCCTTTGACAAAATTCGACAGCCCTTCATGCTAAAAACTCTCAATAAATTAGGTATTGATGGGATGTATCTCAAAATATTAAGATCTATTTATGACAAACCAACAGCCAATATCATACTGAATGGACATAAACTGGAAGCATTCCCTTTGAAAACTGGCACAAGACAGGGATGCTCTCTCTCACCACTCCTATTCAACATAGTGTTGGAATTTCAGGCCAGGGCAATCAGGCAGGAGGAAGAAATAAAGGGTATTCAATTAGGAAAATAGGAAGTCAAATTGTCCCTGTTTGCAGATGACATGATTGTATATTTAGAAAACCCTATCATCTCAGCCCAAAATCCCCTTAAGCTGATAAGCAACTTCAGCAAAGTCTCAGGATACAAAATCAATGTGCAAAAACCACAAGTATTCTTATACACCAATAACAGGCAAACAGAGAGCCAAATCATGAGTGAACTCCCATTCATAATTGCTTCAAAGAGAATAAAATACCTAGGAATCCAACTTAAAAGGGATGTGAAGGACCTCTTCAAGGAGAACAGCAAACCACTGCTCAACAAAATAAAAGAGGATACAAACAAATGGAAGAACATTCCATGCTCATGGATAGGAAGAATCAATATCATAAAAATGGGCATACTGCCCAAGGTAATTTATAGATTCAATACCATCCCCATCAAGCTACCAATGACTTTCTTCACAGAATTGGAAAAAACTACTTTAAAGTTCATACGGAACCAAAAAAGAGCCCACATTGCCAAAACAATCCTAAGCCAAAAGAACAAAGCTGGAGGCATCACGCTACCTGACTTCATACTATACTACAAGGCTACAGTAACCAAAACAGCATGGTACTGGTACCAAAACAGAGATATAGACCAATGGAACAGAACAGAGCCCTCAGAAATAATACCACACATCTACAACCATCTGATCTTTGACAAACCTGACAAAAACAAGAAATGGGGAAAGGATTCCCTTTTTAATAAATGGTGCTGGGAAAACTGGCTAGCCATATGTACAAAGCTGAAACTGGATCCCTTCCTTATGTCTTATACAAAAATTAATTCAAGATGGATTAAAGACTTAAATGTTAGACCTAAAACGATAAAAACCCTAGAAGAAAACCTAGGCAATACCATTCAGGACATAGGCATGGGCAAGGACTTCATGTCTAAAACACCAAAAGCAATGGCAACAAAAGCCAGAATAGACAAATGGGATCTAATTAAACTAAAGAGCTTCACAGCAAAAGAAACTACCTTCAGAGTGAACAGGCAACCTACAGAATGGGAGAAAATTTCTGCAATCTACTCATCTGACAAAGGGCTAATATCCAGAATCTACAAAGAACTCAAACAAATTTACAAGAAAAAAACAAAGAACCCATCGAAAAGTGGGTAAAGGATATGAACAGACACTTCTCAAAAGAAGACATTTATGCAGCCAACAGACACATGAAAAAATGCTCATCATCACTGGTCATCAGAGAAATGCAAATCAAAACCACAATGAGATACCATCTCACACCAGTTAGAATGGTGATCATTAAAAAGTCAGGAAACAACAGGTGCTGGAGAGGATGTGGAGAAATAGGAACACATTTACACTGTTGCTGGGACTGTAAACTAGTTCAACCATTGTGGAAGACAGTGTGGTGATTCCTCAAAGACATAGAACTAGAAATACCATTTGACCCAGCCATCCCATTAAGGGGTATATACCCAAAGGATTATAAATCATGCTGCTATAAAGGCACATGCACATGTATGTTTATTGCAGCACTATTCACAATAGCAAAGACTTGGAACCAACCCAAATGTCCATCAATATAGACTGGATTAAGAAAATGTGGCACATATACACCGTGGAATACTAGGCAGCCATAAAAAAGGATGAGTTCATGTCCTTTATAGGGACATGGATGAAGGTGGAAACCATCATTCTCAGCAAACTATCGCAAGAACAAAAAACCAAACACCGCATGTTCTCACTCATAGGTGGGAATTGAACGATGAGAACACTTGGACACAGGAAGGGGAGCATCACACACCAGGGCCTGTTGTGGGGTGGGGAGAGGGGGGAGGGAAAGCATTAGGAGATATACCCAATGTAAATGACGAGTTAATGGGTGCCGCACACCAACATGGTACATGTATACATATGTAACAAACCTGCACGTTGTGCACATGTACCCTAGAACTTAAAGTATAAAAAAAAAGTGGATATCTTTTCTCCCCTGTATTGAAAAAGAAATGAGATGGAAAAGGAAGTGGAAGAAATGGCTTTGAAGATGAGGAAAGTGACCACAAGCCTAGAAGTATGGATGGTGGCTAGGTGGAAATTGTCCTCCACTGGTAGCCATCAAGGGCCCCAAACCATCAAAGGCCCCAATACTATAACTTCAAATAACTAAATCTTGCCAGCAACCCCGCTGAAAAAAGAAACAGATTCTTTGCTATGGCCCCAAGAAAGGAACTGCAGATACCTTGATTTTAGTGTTTTGAGATCTCTGTTGGACTTTCAGCTTACAGAATTATGAAATAATGAATTGATGTTACTTAAGATATTAAATTTCGTGGTCATCTATTACAGCAGCAATACCAAACTAACATAGTTAATTAACTATATTTTACTTTTTGGTGTTTGCTCTAGGGTTTATAGTATATATCATTAACTTATCACAATGTACCTTCAAATAATATTGTTAACACTTTACATATGCTGTAAGAAACTTACCAGAGTACACTACCCTCCCTACCCCAGCACACACATTTTGTGCTATTAGTTTCATACATTTAATTCTACCTATGTTGTACACTCCACAGTACTTTGTTATGGTTTTTGCTCTAAACAATTCATTAGCTTTTAAAGTGCTTAAAATGAAAGGAAAAAAGTTTTCTATGTTTACCTACATATGTAGCATTTCTGGCCCTCTTCATTTCTATATGTAGATCCAGATTTCCATCTGGTATTATTACATTCTCTGTCATGGTATTATTACATTCTCTGTCATTATTACATTATTATATTTCAAGAGTTGTAACTCTTGAAATCTTTCAGCTTTACATTGTTTTTAGAAGGTCTTTCTTTTAGCTTAATTTTTGAAAGATAATCTTGCTAGGTATGGCTTTTTCTTTGTTTGAGTACTTTAGAAATTTTCCATTGTCTTCTGGGCTTCATAGCCTCTGAGGAGAAGCTTGCTGCCATTCTCATCTCTGTTCCTCTGTGCAGAATTTCTCCTGTTTCAGTATTTGTCTGGCTACTTTTAAAGTTTTTTTTTTTCTTTTTGATGCTGGCTTTCACCAATTTGTTTATGGTATGCTTTAGTTTGGTTTTCTTTCTTTCTGCTACTTGATGTTAATTGTACTTTGTGTATCTGCATTTGTAATTGTTATCAAATTCAAAAAGATGTAAGTAATTATTTCTTCATATAATTTTCTGAACCCCACACTTCGAGTATTCTTCTGAGACCTCAATTGCTGATATGTTAAGGCAAGTGACATAGTCCCACAGTTCAATAAGGCTCATGGTTGGTTTTTCTTTTTCATATTCTTTCTCCTATGTGCTTTATTTTGGATAAGGTCTTTCATATGTCTTCAGTTTCAAGGATTTTTTTTCTTCTGAAGTGTCCAATGTGCTTTTAATACCATCCAGCATATATTTCATTTCATTTATTGTATGTTTCATCTCTAGACATTCTAGTTAGAATGTTGCATATAGTCTCCAGACAGAAAACCCTAATTGGTGAATTCCTAGCTCCTGGTATTCTGCTCAGTTTCTCTGGGCAGTTCCTTCAACTTACAGAACCCTGTAGTACATATCTCATCTACTTCTGCATCCTCCAAACTGAGTCTGAGCTTTCAGAATTGGTTGAATCCCAGAGAAGTTTTTGTCTTTCATCTGTTGGGCTGTACCCAACTCTCTTTCCCCAGTGTTCTTTTCCTGCCAGCCATAAGGTAGATAACAGATATTCATTTTGGAATGATATGGCCGTTTCTCTATGCAGACCCTTTTATACTTTGGATCAAGGGCACACCAGAAATCTCACACCAACATTGCTTTATTCATGTAATCCCTGGGCATTTGGCAACTTCTGGTAATTAGAATAGTTTAAATCAGTATCTCAAAATATACTATTTTAAAAATTTGCTTCAAGGTAATAGGGACCTAATCTACATTTTTAACCTTACATTTCCAGAACCAAGGTGAGCACTTGCACAGAAAATAGGAAATAAGGAATTCATGTTTACTGTTTGTTTGAGTGAGATAACTCTGTTTTGATTCTATAAACAATTTTACAAGAGAATTTAAACAACAACAAAAACACTGAAATTCTTTAATACTTTTATGAAAATGCCAGAAATACCTCTTTTACCTTTGTATTACCATTTTCTAATATGGTGATTCACAGATATGAGCATTAAATATCTTCTGAAAATTAACAAATTCCCAAAAGTTTGTGAAATTGTAAATTTTTCAAGCCCCCAAATCTCTTTTTTTTTTTTTTTTTTTTTTTTTTTATTATACTCTAAGTTTTAGGGTACATGTGCACATTGTGCAGGTTAGTTACATATGTATACATGTGCCATGCTGGTGCGCTGCACCCACTAATGTGTCATCTAGCATTAGGTATATCTCCCAATGCTATCCCTCCCCCCTCCCCCGACCCCACCACAGTCCCCAGAGTGTGATATTCCCCTTCCTGTGTCCATGTGATCTCATTGTTCAATTCCCACCTATGAGTGAGAATATGCGGTGTTTGGTTTTTTGTTCTTGCGATAGTTTACTGAGAATGATGGTTTCCAATTTCATCCATGTCCCTACAAAGGATATGAACTCATCATTTTTTATGGCTGCATAGTATTCCATGGTGTATATGTGCCACATTTTCTTAATCCAGTCTATCATTGTTGGACATTTGGGTTGGGTCCAAGTCTTTGCTATTGTGAATAGTGCCGCAATAAACATACGTGTGCATGTGTCTTTATAGCAGCATGATTTATACTCATTTGGGTATATACCCAGTAATGGGATGTCTGGGTCAAATGGTATTTCTAGTTCTAGATCCCTGAGGAATCGCCACACTGACTTCCACAATGGTTGAACTAGTTTACAGTCCCACCAACAGTGTAAAAGTGTTCCTATTTCTCCGCATCCTCTCCAGCACCTGTTGTTTCCTGACTTTTTAATGATTGCCATTCTAACTGGTGTGAGATGATATCTCATAGTGGTTTTGATTTGCATTTCTCTGATGGCCAGTGATGATGAGCATTTCTTCATGTGTTTTTTGGCTGCATAAATGTCTTCTTTTGAGAAGTGTCTGTTCATGTCCTTCGCCCACTTTTTGATGGGGTTGTTTGTTTTTTTCTTGTAAATTTGTTTGAGTTCATTGTAGATTCTGGATATTAGCCCTTTGTCAGATGAGTAGGTTGCGAAAATTTTCTCCCATGATGTAGGTTGCCTGTTCACTCTGATGGTAGTTTCTTTTGCTGTGCAGAAGCTCTTTAGTTTAATTAGATCCCATTTGTCAATTTTGTCTTTTGTTGCATTGCTTTTGGTGTTTTGGACATGAAGTCCTTGCCCATGCCTATGTCCTGAATGGTAATGCCTAGGTTTTCTTCTAGGGTTTTTATGGTTTTAGGTTTAACGTTTAAATCTTTAATCCATCTTGAATTGATTTTTGTATAAGGTGTAAGGAAGGGATCCAGTTTCAGCTTTCTACATATGGCTAGCCAGTTTTCCCAGCACCATTTATTAAATAGGGAATCCTTTCCCCATTGCTTGTTTTTCTCAGGTTTGTCAAAGATCAGATAGTTGTAGATATGCGGCATTATTTCTGAGGGCTCTGTTCTGTTCCATTGATCTATATCTCTGTTTTGGTACCAGTACCATGCTGTTTTGGTTACTGTAGCCTTGTAGTATAGTTTGAAGTCAGGTAGTGTGATGCCTCCAGCTTTGTTCTTTTGGCTTAGGATTGACTTGGCAATGCGGGCTCTTTTTTGGTTCCATATGAACTTTAAAGTAGTTTTTTCCAATTCTGTGAAGAAAGTCATTGGTAGCTTGATGGGGATGGCATTGAATCTGTAAATTACCTTGGGCAGTATGGCCATTTTCACGATATTGATTCTTCCTACCCATGAGCATGGAATGTTCTTCCATTTGTTTGTCTCCTCTTTTATTTCCTTGAGCAGTGGTTTGTAGTTCTCCTTGAAGAGGTCCTTCACATCCCTTGTAAGTTGGATTCCTAGGTATTTTATTCTCTTTGAAGCAATTGTGAATGGGAGTTCACCCATGATTTGGCTCTCTGTTTGTCTGTTGTTGGTGTATAAGAATGCTTGTGATTTTTGTACATTGATTTTGTATCCTGAGACTTTGCTGAAGTTGCTTATCAGCTTAAGGAGATTTTGGGCTGAGACGATGGGGTTTTCTAGATATACAATCATGTCGTCTGCAAACAGGGACAATTTGACTTCCTCTTTTCCTAATTGAATACCCTTTATTTCCTTCTCCTGCCTGATTGCCCTGGCCAGAACTTCCAACACTATGTTGAATAGGAGCGGTGAGAGAGGGCATCCCTGTCTTGTGCCGGTTTTCAAAGGGAATGCTTCCAGTTTTTGCCCATTCAGTATGATATTGGCTGTGGGTTTGTCATAGATAGCTCTTATTATTTTGAAATACGTCCCATCAATACCTAATTTATTGAGAGTTTTTAGCATGAAGGGTTGTTGAATTTTGTCAAAGGCTTTTTCTGCATCTATTGAGATAATCATGTGGTTTTTGTCTTTGGCTCTGTTTATATGCTGGATTACATTTATTGATTTGCGTATATTGAACCAGCCTTGCATCCCAGGGATGAAGCCCACTTGATCATGGTGGATAAGCTTTTTGATGTGCTGCTGGATTCGGTTTGCCAGTATTTTATTGAGGATTTTTGCATCAATGTTCATCAAGGATATTGGTCTAAAATTCTCTTTTTTGGTTGTGTCTCTGCCCGGCTTTGGTATCAGAATGATGCTGGCCTCATAAAATGAGTTAGGGAGGATTCCCTCTTTTTCTATTGATTGGAATAGTTTCAGAAGGAATGGTACCAGTTCCTCCATGTACCTCTGGTAGAATTCGGCTGTGAATCCATCTGGTCCTGGACTCTTTTTGGTTGGTAAACTATTGATTATTGCCACAATTTCAGAGCCTGTTATTGGTCTATTCAGAGATTCAACTTCTTCCTGGTTTAGTCTTGGGAGAGTGTATGTGTCGAGGAATGTATCCATTTCTTCTAGATTTTCTAGTTTATTTGCGTAGAGGTGTTTGTAGTATTCTCTGATGGTAGTTTGTATTTCTGTGGGATCGGTGGTGATATCCCCTTTATCATTTTTTATTGTGTCTATTTGATTCTTCTCTCTTTTTTTCTTTATTAGTCTTGCTAGCGGTCTATCAATTTTGTTGATCCTTTCAAAAAACCAGCTCCTGGATTCATTGATTTTTTGAAGGGTTTTTTGTGTCTCTATTTCCTTCAGTTCTGCTCTGATTTTAGTTATTTCTTGCCTTCTGCTAGCTTTTGAATGTGTTTGCTCTTGCTTTTCTAGTTCTTTTAATTGTGATGTTAGGGTGTCAATTTTGGATCTTTCCTGCTTTCTCTTGTAGGCATTTAGTGCTATAAATTTCCCTCTACACACTGCTTTGAATGCGTCCCAGAGATTCTGGTATGTGGTGTCTTTGTTCTTGTTGGTTTCAAAGAACATCTTTATTTCTGCGTTCATTTCGTTATGTACCCAGTAGTCATTCAGGAGCAGGTTGTTCAGTTTCCATGTAGTTGAGCGGCTTTGAGTGAGATTCTTAATCCTGAGTTCTAGTTTGATTGCACTGTGGTCTGAGAGATAGTTTGTTATAATTTCTGTTCTTTTACATTTGCTGAGGAGAGCTTTACTTCCAACTATGTGGTCAATTTTGGAATAGGTGTGGTGTGGTGCTGAAAAAAATGTATATTCTGTTGATTTGGGGTGGAGAGTTCTGTAGATGTCTATTAGGTCTGCTTGGTGCAGAGCTGAGTTCAATTCCTGGGTATCCTTGTTGACTTTCTGTCTCGTTGATCTGTCTAATGTTGACAGTGGGGTGTTAAAGTCTCCCATTATTAATGTGTGGGAGTCTAAGTCTCTTTGTAGGTCACTGAGGACTTGCTTTATGAATCTGGGTGCTCCTGTATTGGGTGCATAAATATTTAGGATAGTTAGCTCCTCTTGTTGAATTGATCCCTTTACCATTATGTAATGGCCTTCTTTGTCTCTTTTGATCTTTGTTGGTTTAAAGTCTGTTTTATCAGAGACTAGGATTGCAACCCCTGCCTTTTTTTGTTTTCCATTGGCTTGGTAGATCTTCCTCCATCCTTTTATTTTGAGCCTATGTGTGTCTCTGCACGTGAGATGGGTTTCCTGAATACAGCACACTGATGGGTCTTGACTCTTTATCCAACTTGCCAGTCTGTGTCTTTTAATTGCAGAATTTAGTCCATTTATATTTAAAGTTAATATTGTTATGTGTGAATTTGATCCTGTCATTATGATGTTAGCTGGTGATTTTGCTCATTAGTTGATGCAGTTTCTTCCTAGTCTCGATGGTCTTTACATTTTGGCATGATTTTGCAGCGGCTGGTACCGGTTGTTCCTTTCCATGTTTAGCGCTTCCTTCAGGAGCTCTTTTAGGGCAGGCCTGGTGGTGACAAAATCTCTCAGCATTTGCTTGTCTATAAAGTATTTTATTTCTCCTTCACTTATGAAGCTTAGTTTGGCTGGATATGAAATTCTGGGTTGAAAATTCTTTTCTTTAAGAATGTTGAATATTGGCCCCCACTCTCTTCTGGCTTGTAGGGTTTCTGCCGAGAGATCCGCTGTTAGTCTGATGGGCTTTCCTTTGAGGGTAACCCGACCTTTCTCTCTGGCTGCCCTTAACATTTTTTCCTTCATTTCAACTTTGGTGAATCTGACAATTATGTGTCTTGGAGTTGCTCTTCTCGAGGAGTATCTTTGTGGCGTTCTCTGTATTTCCTGAATCTGAACGTTGGCCTGCCTTGCTAGATTGGGGAAGTTCTCCTGGATAATATCCTGCAGAGTGTTTTCCAACTTGGTTCCATTCTCCACATCACTTTCAGGTACACCAATCAGACGTAGATTTGGTCTTTTCACATAGTCCCATATTTCTTGGAGGCTTTGCTCATTTCTTTTTATTCTTTTTTCTCTAAACTTCCCTTCTCGCTTCATTTCATTCATTTCATCTTCCATTGCTGATACCCTTTCTTCCAGTTGATCGCATCGGCTCCTGAGGCTTCTGCATTCTTCACGTAGTTCTCGAGCCTTGGTTTTCAGCTCCATCAGCTCCTTTAAGCACTTCTCTGTATTGGTTATTCTAGTTATACATTCTTCTAAATTTTTTTCAAAGTTTTCAACTTCTTTGCCTTTGGTTTGAATGTCCTCCCGTAGCTCAGAGTAATTTGATCGTCTGAAGCCTTCTTCTCTCAGCTCGTCAAAATCATTCTCCATCCAGCTTTGTTCTGTTGCTGGTGAGGAACTGCATTCCTTTGGAGGAGGAGAGGCGCTCTGCGTTTTAGAGTTTCCAGTTTTTCTGTTCTGTTTTTTCCCCATCTTTGTGGTTTTATCTACTTTTGGTCTTTGATGATGGTGATGTACAGATGGGTTTTCGGTGTAGATGTCCTTTCTGGTTGTTAGTTTTCCTTCTAACAGACAGGACCCTCAGCTGCAGGTCTGTTGGAATACCCTGCCGTGTGAGGTGTCAGTGTGCCCCTGCTGGGGGGTGCCTCCCAGTTAGGCTGCTCGGGGGTCAGGAGTCAGGGACCCACTTGAGGAGGCAGTCTGTCTGCCCGTTCTCAGATCTCCATCTGCGTGCTGGGAGAACTACTGCTCTCTTCAAAGCTGTCAGACAGGGACACTTAAGTCTGCAG
The DNA here is from genome assembly GCF_000001405.40 of Homo sapiens. Lineage (NCBI taxonomy): Eukaryota > Metazoa > Chordata > Mammalia > Primates > Hominidae > Homo > Homo sapiens. The sequence goes on along the minus strand of NC_000004.12, from coordinate 166,756,466 downwards.
AGGTTACTGCTGTCTTTTTGTTTGTCTGTGCCCTGCCCCCAGAGGTGGAGCCTACAGAGGCAGGCAGGCCTCCTTGAGCTGTGGTGGGCTCCACCCAGTTCGAGCTTCCCGGCTGCTTTGTTTACCTAAGCAAGCCTGGGCAATGGCGGGCGCCCCTCCCCCAGCCTCGTTGCCGCCTTGCAGTTTGATCTCAGACTGCTGTGCTAGCAATCAGCGAGATTCCGTGGGCGTAGGACCCTCCGAGCCAGGTGTGGGATATAGTCTCGTGGTGCGCCGTTTCTTAAGCCGGTCTGAAAAGCGCAATATTCGGGTGGGAGTGACCTGATTTTCCAGGTGCGACCGTCACCCCTTTCTTTGACTCGGAAAGGGAACTCCCTGACCCCTTGCGCTTCCCAGGTGAGGCAATGCCTCGCCCTGCTTCGGCTCGCGCACGGTGCGCACACACACTGGCCTGCGCCCACTGTCTGGCACTCCCTAGTGAGATGAACCCGGTACCTCAGATGGAAATGCAGAAATCACCGTCTTCTGCGTCGCTCACGCTGGGAGCTGTAGACCGGAGCTGTTCCTGTCCCAAATCTCTTATTTAATTTTTAATCCTAAGTGTCTACATTTTTATTTCTATTATTTTTATAATTCAAAGTATAACAAGAAAAAAAACTATCAAAATAGATTTTGTATTACTAGAACATAAAATTAGCTACAAAATCTGAGAGAATTGCACTTAGAAATGTTTAAACTACTCTTCAAACCCTGTTGTTGAAGATTACATCTTTTTGATACTGTTTTCATAAGTCCCCATGTCTCCAATACATCCTCTTTTCCATGCAAATAACTGAGTTATTAGTTTACTTTCACTTGTAATGAGTAGAAAAGAGAAAATTAAACAACAACTAGATAAGCAACATACATATGAGAGCTCACTGAATCCCTCAAAATAAGAATTGTTGAAAGCAAATTTTTAAAATAGTTCAAAACACTGACATTGCATCTGATGCTATTTAGGAAACTGAGGTTCGTGAGGTCTGCAGCTTACCAGGGGTAACCCATGTGGAGTAGTGTGTAGCTTGAATACAAACCCAGTTCCGTCATCTCTCTATACCTGCTCTATCCAGTGCACCATCTGGCCTCTCATAATAACACATTTGCATTTGTAAAATTTCCTTGAGGTAAGCAGGAGACCAAGTGGCTGTGTAAATTACATGATGATTATTCTTTCTCTGGTCAACAGGTTTATGTGAAATAGCACAGTCACCATAATCCTACCAAGATATAGGGAATTATTAAAGTTATTACTTATTTTGTGTAAAGTCTGCTTTTAAGATCATATTTTCAGTGCTGTGAATAAATATAAATTTTATTTTTTGTTCATAGGATGTTTTAAAATAGTATTTACATATATCTAATGAGACATTTATCATGATATACTATTTATTCAAAGAAGCTTGATCAGTAAAGTAATATAAATAATATATAATTATAATAGTAACTGCCATTGAATGAATGACTAATTAGTACCAAATGCTTTCTGGTTAATTAATTCTCACAACTATCCTGAAATGTAGATACTACTATATCCACTTCAATTTGAAACAAACTACTCATGATGAATTTAATGCTCTACTTCTCTAACTATTCATTAGATGTCCTACACTAGCTACCTGCTATGTTGACTTATTTTGCTTTCTGCTAATGGTGTCTTTCATATTTAACTAATCATTTTCTTTTTTTTGCCTTTAGGATTCGATACCAGCATCTTGCCAATTTGCAAGGACTCACTTGGCTGGATGTTTAACAGACTTGATACAAACTATGACCTGCTATTGGACCAGTCAGAGCTCAGAAGCATTTACCTTGATAAGAATGAACAGTGTACCAAGGCATTCTTCAATTCTTGTGACACATACAAGGACAGTTTAATATCTAATAATGAGTGGTGCTACTGCTTCCAGAGACAGCAAGGTAAAAGATGAGACCCTTACAGACGCAAATAGTTGACCTGCATGTCAAATTTTACTTATTTTTTAAGAAAATAAAACAGTACACTATGCTCATTCATTTTGTGTATGTTTTTGTAATTCAAGTGTTGAATAAAAGAGCAAATAAGAAGCATGTTGAACAAATAACTCTGCCAGAGATACAACACATGCTAAATAAGATGAAAAATAGTAATTAATATTTTGTATTAATGCCACTACATTATAGTTTCCATTATGAGCCACCAAGAAGCACACAGAAATATTAAGAACTTAGATACTGAAAGTAATCATTAAAATTAATTTGCTATCTGCTTTGCCCACAATGTAAAATAAATGGATTTTTTATCACTATACGGTGGAGTTTTAATGTTCTATTTTGTGATCTTATTAAATGAGTTGAATGAACCAGAGCATTCACCATAAAGTTATTTTTACTCATGTGATTTTAAAATGATTTAGTCTTTCAAACTTTTCAAAATAGCTTACCTTTTATAAAATTCACTAGCAGAAAAAGTGTCTTAATACTAAGGAGGAGGTGAGGTAAGTGAAAAGTTGGAATGGCACCAGTTCTTCATGCATCTTTCTGTATTAGGAAATGTAAACATAATGTAAAATTGGAATCAGGCTTATGGAATCAATTGAATGATAATTTATATTAAATATGAATAGGGGAAAAAACAAGAAACTCACATTATGATAAAGTTTTGAGAAACTAAAGAAACAATGGTAAGTGTAATGTTGATGTTAATTTAGGAAAATACCCTGGGAATTAATGTGGTAAAGCCTGCTGTTGTCAATGCTTTTTTAAATTCTTGAGAACTAAGAGAAAGAACAAGATACTTTACAATATCAATGATTACCAGTCTTCGATAAGGAAAACCAGCACATTATATGGGGTAGTTTATTATCTCAATAACTTTTCCACATTTAGTAATAGTTCAGTAATTAGGGATGAAATGAATATGCATAAATTGATTAGTGGTGAGTCAACAGAAGCTTTAGTTGAGTACAGTAACTTAACTATTAATAAACCACTCTAAACAAAGTTTAAAAAATACATTTACTGTATTAAAATATTTATTACACACACAAACACACATTGTTGGCTACATTACATATGTGCTTTCAAGTTAAATACTCCTAAAAACTTACATCCTAGTATTAATGACAAGTGTGCATTTAAATAATTTAAATAATAAAAAGTAGTAAATCCAGCTAAACTGCCAGAAAAATACACGTAGTCATGTACTCTTTTCTTATGATGACAAACGTTATTTTAATTTTTTATTTTTATTTTTTGGTGTTATGGTAGCATATTTTTTGGTGTCTATACACAAACATTTAAAATATTCTGAATAACTCAGAATGCTTTGTCTACAGAAATCGATAAATTCTTTATCTTAGAATATTCTTAGGTTTTGTAGCAATATTTGCAGGATTGATTAAAGGTCCCCATAGAAAAATTTTATGTTATCTATGTTTCATTTAAATTGTAGCATTCTCCCAAAGTGTTAATTTTTATATAGCCATATGAAGATTTACTCTCTGAGGTCATTTAATGCATAGCAGAAATAGTTTAATAAATGGTACCTAAGCTAGTAAAAGAGCTTATACAATTTCTCTAATGCTTAGAAGGGTTTGGCTAAACTCTTAGCCAACATTTCATTACTTTAATTGCTAGAAGTTACAAAAGTTCTCAGGGTAACTGAGAAGGCATGCTAGTGATACGATACAACTTTGTTTTTATGTATTCTTTTAGTTCAATAAGTAATTTTATTAAAAAATCACCATTAATTTATATGCTGATTTTTTCAAATATTCCAGCTTATAAAAGAATATTTTCCTGAAATTCTTGTTTACTGTAGCTATAAATATATGTGTGTGTGTGTGTGTGTGTGTGTGTGTGTGTGTGTGTGTATATATATATATATATATATACACACATATAGCTACTCTATATATAGCTGCTATATATAGAGCTCTCGCTCTCAAAAATAGGATGGAATGAGAGGTTATTTAATCTAGGCTTACTTAAAACTGCCATGAAGACTACAGTTGCATAGTGTGGAAAAACAACTGGAAAATAATGATGTTTTTCTAAAAAGTAACTTTCACATTATAAAATTAAAGTTAATTTTGAAAGTTTAATAAATGAGTTTGTAAATTTCAGCTGGGCACAGTTGCTCATGCCTGTAATCCTGGCACTTTGGGAGGCCAAGGAGGGTGGATTGCTTAAGCTCAGGAGTCCGAGCAGTGTGGGCAATGTGGTGAGATCCTGTCTCTACAAAAAACACAAAAATTAGCCAGGATTGGTGGTACATGCCTGTAGTCCTAGCTACTTGGGGATCTGAGGCAGGAGAAGGAGGTTGGAGGTTGCAGTGAGCTGAGATGGCACCTCTACACTCCAGCCTGGGCAACAGAGTACCAGAGTGAGACCCTACCTCAACAACAACAACAACAAAAGGAATGTACAATTTCAAGCAAGTGAAATATTTGTAGTTTTCCAAGGGAAAAAAATGTTATAATTTTAATTGAGAAACAAATTTGTTTCTATGGCTAATTTTCTAAAATCATGACAATTAAGCAATACAAAATGAACATGGTTGTAATTTGTAGAATTCTTTATTCTAAGTAATCCTGAAAAAGTGAGTAGGAGGAATATCAATTTGGGATTTTAGCTACCTTACGTGTTAAGAATGTGCTTTCATAAAAGTATGTCTACTTTTACTTACTCTAAAAAGTTAATCATTTATTAGTTGCTATTCTATTGAAAACGCTGTTGTGTAAGATAAAGGAATGATAAAGAAAACTAACATTTATTCAGCTCCACCTAGTCTTTTGTGTACATAAAATTATTACTGAAATAGCCCTGTGAAAGTATAAATATTCCCATTTTATGGCTAAGGACTGAAGTTTATTCATATTCAATAACTTCACATTATGAAATGAGTACATGAATAAACTGGTATTTGAAATGAAACTCCTTGATTTCTGTCTTCAAATATTTGTAATTCTACTTTCAGAAATAACAAAGTAATTATATATAAAATGCCATAGAATCATCAGTGCAACTTATTGGATAGTCTTATTCAGTACGAATAACATCAACAAGTCCTTTTCCAATAACTAGTTTATGCAGGGTTTTTTCTCAGGAATGAAATGAAAATTAATGACATTATTGGAGGTTATGTATACATTTAATAAACAGGAAGAGATGTCAAAGTGTAGTGCATGGGGGATTAATTCATTCTTTTTAAAAGATATGATTTTCCTATTAAATCAAATAAATATGGAGGATTTGGAATTGTGAATATTTGTAATTTCTATGAATGAAATGAATCTAATAAAGTTTTAAAAGTATAACCATTCTATGAGAGGCTACGTGACCAATAACGTATGGAGAAGAAAAGTGATTAAGGGCAGTGGCTTACTTAAAAAACTGCTAGAGGGCTGCCTTGTTGTAAAACTTCAGGGCACCATTGATAGTGCAATTCAGGTAGATGGTACCCTGTTGGAGTTGTGCAGTACACAGCCTGTGCAGCCATATGCTGCCAACTTAGAGATTCATTCACAAACCTCCATAATGCCCACTTTCTTTTCAGTTTTGACTCTATATTATCCATATATATTTGACAGCTAAAAACAAGTATTTCTTAGAAATGACTTCTTTCAAGTATAGAAAACATACTTTGTATTGTAGTAACTGTTGGAAACATATACGTATTTTAAATTTATTTATCCCAATTACATTTTCTTTAGTTCAAAATTTCATGGGTAAATAAAAGTGCATTGTTACTGTTGTATTGAAAATTACCAATTCCTAATATAATGACTCCAATGTAGGGGTTTGGGTTTTTAAATTCAGAATGCAGAACAATCAACAATTTTATATTCAAAACAAACAACATCTGGAAATTTAACTTCTATTTTTTTTTCATTCTTCCCTACTGGTTTAGAACAGTTAATAAAAAATTCTGATTAAATTTTATATTTTATTAATTTGTGATTCTCATACAGTTTTTAAGCACATAAGATAAGAATTTAGCATAAACTTAAAACACTCGTTGGTAGCAAACACATTGGGGGAATTCATCTTATGAGATGAATCCATGTCTCTACCCTAAGCTGACCTATTAGTCCTTACCCTGTGTAGACCTAATAGTCTGATTCTGTCCAAACTTTAATGCAATTAGTTAGGTTACTATTCTTTTATCTAGATCAGTTATTTGCAAGTGAGTTTAAATGATAGATGAAGTCTCAGTTAAGTGCTCTAAGAATACCTAAAGGCTAGACTTACAGAGCTGGCTAATAAATAATAAGAAAATAGTTTAAAATCAAATATTATATATACTTGAACAATCCAATCAGTCATGATTTTCTTGAAATTCTAAAATGTTCTTTTACACAGAGCTTGTAACGCTGGTAGGCAGACATATTCTCTGAGGTTACTAATCAAAATTCCGATCAAATGTACGTGCATTTTCAGGTATAGACTCAAATGCACGAGGGTGTTCAAGTAGACATTAGAAATCCTATTTCTGCTTTACAATAACTAGCCAATTGCAACTAGAAGAACTGTTTTCAATATAATATTGAAACTTCAGCTGGACTCTTTCCTCTTAGTTCTTAAATGTCATATTTGGAGAGCTATAAAATTTTAAATGTCTGTATAAAAAACTATACAATATGATTCCTAATTCTTTAATATAAGAGACTCAGAAGATTATCAGGAATAACAAAGGGATCAATTGGATCAATTTCAAAATGAAATAGAACAATATACTAATTATACAAGATTTTAAAACAGGTTTTCTTTACATTTTATTATTTTATTTTTATTTTTTTTTATTTTTTATCATACTTTAAGTTCTAGGGTACATGTGCACAACGTGCAGGTTTGTTACATATGTATACATGTGCCATGTTGGTGTGCTGCACCCATAAACTCGTCATTTACAATAGGTATTTCTCCTAATGCTATCCCTCCCCGCTCCCCCCACCGCACCATAGGCCCTTGTGTGTGAAGTTCCCAACCCTGTGTCCAAGTGTTCTCATTGTTCAATTCCCACCTATGAGTGAGAACATGTGGTGTTTGGTTTTCTGTCCTTGTGATAGTTTGCTCAGAATGATAGTTTCCAGCTTCATCCATGTCCCTACAAAGGACATGAACTCATCTTTTTTTATGGCTGCATAGTATTCCAAGATGTATATGTGCCACATTTTCTTAAACCATTCTATCATTGATGGACATTTGGGTTGGTTCCAAGTCTTTGCTATTGTGAGCAGTGCTGCAATAAACATACGTGCACATGTGTCTTTATAGTAGCATGATTTATAATCCTTTGGGTATATACCCAGTAATGGGATGGCTGGGTCAAATGGTATTTCTAGTTCTATGTCTTTGAGGAATCACCACACTGCCTTCCACAATGGTTGAACTAGTCTACAGTCCCACCAACAGTGTAAAAGTATTCCCATTTCTCCACATCCTCTCCAGCACCTGTTGTTTCCTGACTTTTTAATGATCACCATTCTAACTGGTGTGAGATGGTATCTCATTGTGGTTTTGATATGCATTTCCCTGATGGCCAGTGATGATGAGCATTTTTTCTGTGTCTGTTGGTGGCATAAATGACTTCGTTTGAAAAATGTCTGTTCATATCCTTTACCCACTTTTTGATGGGGTTGTTTGATTTTTTTCTTATAAATTTGTTCAAGTTCTTTGTGGATTCTGGATGTTAGCCCTTTGTCAGATGAATAGATTGCAAAAATTTTCTCCCATTCTGTAGGTTGCCTGTTCACTCTGAAGGAAGTTTCTTTTGCTGTGAAGAAGATCTTAAGTTTAATTAGATCCCATTTGTCTATTTTGGCTTTTGTTGCCATTGCTTTTGGTGTTTTAGACATGAAGTCTTTGCCCATGCCTATGTCCTGAATGGTATTGCCTAGGTTTTCTTCTAGGGTTTTTATGGCTTTAGGTCTAACATTTAAGTCTTTAATCCATCTTGAGTTAACTTTTGTATATGATGTAAGGAAGGCATCCAGTTTCAGCTTTGTACATATGGCTAGCCAGTTTTCCCAGCACCATTTATTAAAAAGGGAATCCTTTCCCCATTTCTTGTTTTTGTCAGGTTTGTCAAAGATCAGATGGTTGTAGATGTGTGGTATTATTTCTGAGGGCTCTGTTCTGTTCCACTGGTCTATATCTCTGTTTTGGTACCAGTACCATGCTGTTTTGGTTACCATAGCCTTGTAGTATAGTTTGAAGTCAGGTAGCATGATGCCTCCAGCTTTGTTCTTTTGGCTTAGGATTGTCTTGGCAATGCAGGCTCTTTTTTGATTCCATATGAACTTTAAAGTAGTTTTTTCCAATTCTATGAAGAAAGTCATTGGTAGCTTGAAGGGGATGGCATTGAATCTATAAATTACCTTGGGCAGTAAGGCCATTTTCATGGTATTGATTCTTCCTATCCATGAGCATGGAATGTACTTCCAGTTGTTTGTATCTTTTTTTATTTCATTGAGCAGTGGTTTGTAGTTCTCCTTGAAGAGGTCCTTCACATTTCCTATAAGTTGGATTCCTAGGTATTTTATTCTCTTTGAAGCAATTATGAATGGGAGTTCACTCATGATTTGGCTCTCTGTTTTTCTGTTATTGGTGTATAAGAATGCTTGTGATTTTTGCACATTGATTTTGTATCCTGAGACTTTGCTGAAGTTGCTTATCAGCTTAAGGGGATTTTGGGCTGAGACAGTGGGGTTTTCTAAATATACAATCATGTCATCTGCAAACAGGGACAATTTGACTTCCTCTTTTCCTAATTGAATATCCTTTATTTCCTTCTCCTGCCTGATTGCCCTGGCCAGCACTTCCAACAATATATTGAATAGGAGTAGTGAGAGAAGGCATCCCTGTCTTGTGCCAGTTTTCAAAGGGAATGCTTCCAGTTTTTGGCCATTCAGTATGATATTGGCTGTGGGTTTGTCATAAATAGCTCTTATTATTTTGAGATATGTCCCATCAATAGCTAGTTTATTGAGAGTTTTTAGCATGAAGGGCTGTTGAATTTTGTCAAAGGCCTTTTCTGCAACTATTGAGATAATCATATGGTTTTTGTCATTGGTTCTCTTTTTGTGATGGATTACGTTTATTGATTTGCATAGGTTGAACCAGACTTGCATCCCAGGGATGAAGCCAACTTGATCATGGTGGATAAGCTCTTTGATGTGCTGCTGGATTCGGTTTGCCAGTATTTTACTGAGGATTTTTGCATCAATGTTCATCAGCGATGTTGGCCTGAAATTCTCTTTGTTTGCTGTGTCTCTGCCAGGCTTTGGTATCAGGATGATGTTGACCTCATAAAATGAGTTAGGGAGGATTCACTTTTTTTCTATTGATTGGAATAGTTTCAGAAGGAATGGTACCAGCTCCTCCTTGTACATCTGGTAGAATTTGGCTGTGAATCCATCTGGTCCTGGACTTTTTTTGGTTGGTAGGCTCTTAATTATTGCCTCAATTTCAGAGTCTGTTATTGGTCTATTCAGGGATTCAACTTCTTCCTGGTTTAGTCTTGGGAGGGTGTATGTGTCCAGGAATTTATGCATTTCTTCTAGATTTTCTAGTTTATTTGTGTAAAGGTGTTTACAGTATTCTCTGATGGTAGTTTGTATTTCTGTGGGATCGGTGGTGATATCTCCTTTATCATTTTTTATTGCATCTATTTGATTCTTCTCTCTTTTCTTCTTTATTAATCTTGCTATCAGTCTATCAATTTTGTTGATCCTTTCAAAAAACCAGCTCCTGGATTCATTGATTTTTTGAAGGGATTTTGTGTCTTTATCTCCTTCAGTTCTTCTCTGATCTTAGTTATTTCTTGCCTTCTGCTAGCTTTTGAATGTGTTTGCTCTTGCCTCTCTAGTTCTTTTAATTGTGATGTTAGGGTGTCAATTTTAGATCTTTCCTGCTTTCTCTTGTGGGCATTTAGTGCTATAAATTTCCCTCTCCACACTGCTTTAAATGTGTCCCAGAGATTCTGGTATGTTCTGTCTTTGTTCTCATTGGTTTCAAAGAACATCTTTATTTCTGCCTTCATTTCGTTATGTACCCAGTAAGGAGCAGGTTGTTCAGTTTCCATGTAGTTGAGTGGTTTTGAGTGAGTTTCTTAATCCTGAGTTCTAATTTGATTGCACTGTGGTCTGAGAGACAGTTTGTTATGATCTCTGTTCTTTTACATTTGCTGGCTGAGGAGTGCTTTACTTCCAACTAAGTGGTGAATTTTGGAATAAGTGTGATGTGCTTCTGAGAAGAATGTATATTCTGTTGATTTGGGGTGAAGAGTTCTGTAGATGTCTATTAAGTCTGCTTGGTGCAGAGCTGAGTTCAAGGCCTGGATATCTTTGTTAACTTTCTGTGTCATTGATCTGTCTAATGTTGACAGTAGGGTGTTAAAGTCTCCCATTATTATTGTGTGGGAGTCTAAGTCTCTTTGTAGGTCTCTAAGGACTTGCTTTATGAATCTGGGTGCTCCTGTATTGAGTTCATATATATTTAGGATAGTTAGCTCTTCTTGTTGAATTCATGCCTTTACCATTATGTAATGGCCTTCTTTTTGTCTTTTGATCTTTGTTGGTTTAAAGTCTGTTTTATCAGAGACTAGGATTGCAACCCTGCTTTTTTTGTTTTACATTTGTTTAGTAGATCTTCCTCCATCCCTTTATTTTGAGCCTATGTGTGTCTCTGCACATGAGATGGGTCTCCTGAATACAGCACACTGATGGGTCTTGACTCTTTATCCAACTTGCCAGTCTGTGTCTTTTAACTGGGGCATTTAGCCCATTTACATTTAAGGTTAATATTGTTATGTGTGAATTTGATCCTATCGTTATGATGTTAGCTGCTTATTTTGCCTATTAGTTTATGCAGTTTCTTCCTAGTGTCAATGGTCTTTACAATTTGGCATGTTTTTGCAGTGGCTGTTACTGGTTGTTCCTTTCCATGTTTAGTGCTTTCTTCAGGAGCTCTTATAAGGCAGGCCTGGTGGTGAGAAAATCCCTCAGCATTTGCTTGTCTGTAAAGGATTTTATTTCTCCTTCACTTATGAAATTTAGTTTGGCTGGATATGAAATACTGGGTTGAAAATACTTTTCTTTAAGAATGTTGAATATTGGCCCCCACTCTCTTCTGGCTCATAGAGTTTCTGCTGAGAGATCCGCTGTTAGTCTGATGGGCTTCCCTTTGTGGGTAACCCGACCTTTCTCTCTGGCTGCCCTTAACATTTTTTCCTTCATTTCCACCTTGGTGCATATGAAAATTATGTGTCTTGGGGTTGCTCTTCTTGAGGAATGTCTTTGTGGTGTTCTCTGTATATCCTGAATTTGAATGTTGGCCTACCTTGCTAGGTTGGGGAAGTTCTCCTGGTTAATATCGTGCAGAGTGTTTTCCAACTTGGTTCCATTCTCCCCATCACTTTCACGTACACCAATCAAATGTAGATTTGGTCTCTTCACATAGTCCCATATTTCTTGGAGGCTTTGTTCGTTTATTTTTACTTTTTTTTTCTCTAAACTTGTCTTCTCGCTTCATTTCATTCATTTGATCTTCAATCACTGATACCCTTTCTTCCACTTGATCGAATCGGCTACTAAAGCTTATGCACGCATCACGTAGTTCTCATGCCATGGTTTTCAGCTCCATCAGGTCACTTAAGGTCTTCCCTATGCTGTTTATTCCTGTTAGCCATTTGTCTAATCTTTTTTCAAAGTTTTTAGCTGCCTTGCAATGGGTTCGAACATCCTCCCTTATCTTGGAAAAGTTTCTTATTATTGATCTTCTGAAGCCTACTTCTGTCAACTCGTCAAAGTCATTCTCCATCCAGCTTTGTTCTGTTGCTGGTGAGGAGCTGCGTTCCTTTGGAGGAGAATAGGCGCTCTGGTTTTTAGAATTTTCAGCTTTTCTGCTCTGGTTTCTTCCCATCTTTCTGGTTTTATCTACCTTTGGTCTTTGATGATGGTGACCTACAGATGCGGTCTTGGTGTGGATGTCCTTTTTGTCGATGTTACTGCTATTCCTTTCTGATTGTTGCTTTTCCTTCCAACAGTCAGGACCCTCAGAGGCAGGTTTGTTGGAGTTTTCTGGAGGTCCACTCCAGACCCTGTTTGCCTGGGTATCACCAGTGGAGACTGCAGAACAGTAAATATTGCAGAACAGCAAATGTTGCTGCCTGATCCTTCCTCTGGAAGCTTCATCTCAGAGGGGCACTCGGCTGTATGAGGTGTCAGTCAGCCCCTATTGGGAGGTATCTCCCAGTTAGGCTACTCGGGGGTCAGGGACCCACTTGAGGAGGCAGTCTGTTTGTTCTCAGATCTCAAACTCCGGGGTGGGAGAACCACTGCTCTCTTCAAAGCTGTCAGACAGGGACGTTTAAGTCTGCAGAAGTTTCTGTTGCCTTTTGTTCAGCTATGCCCTGCCCTCAGAGGTGGAGTCTACAGAGGCAGGGAGGCCTCCTTGAGCTGCTGTGGGCTCCACCCAGATCGAGCTTCCTGGCTGCTTTGTTTACCTAGTCAAGCCTTAGCAAAGGTGGACCCCCCTCCCCCAGTCTCGCTGATGCCTCACAGTTGGATCTCCGACTGCTGTGCTAGCAGTGAGCAAAGCTCCATGGGCGTGGGACCCACCAAACCAGGCGCAGGATATAGTCTCCTGGTGTGCCATCTGCTAAGACCGTTGTAAAAGTGCAATATCAGGGCAGGAGTGTCCCAATTTTCCAGGTACCGTCTATCACGGCTTCCCTTGGCTGGGAAAGGGAATTCCCCAACCCATTGCACTTCCCAGGTGAGGCGATGTCCCGCCCTGCTTCGGCTCATACTCTGTGGGCTGCACCCATTTTCTGACCAGTCCCAATGAGATGAACCCAGTACCTCAGTTGGAAATGCAGAAATCACCCGTCTTCTGCGTCGCTCACACTAGGAGCTATAGACTGGAGCTGTTCCTGTTTGGCCATCTTGGAATGATTCTCTTTCTTTACATTTTAGATTCTATAAGATGAATTTTTTTTTAGATTCTGCAAGATTAAGTTCACATATTAAACTACAATGTATATGTTAAGCACCTATCTCATTCTTTATTCCACTTTGTTACGTAAAATTTCATAATTGAATATTTTGAATTCAATGTATTATAAAATTTTAAAAACATTTAAATTAATATACTTTGCCTTTTTCCTAAAAAGTTGTACCATGGGACAATAAGATATAGTATATTATTTTGCAGTTTTACTATTTTCTAATGCCACTTTTATATAGCAAGCATTAACAGCAAGCTTTTAGAATATGAATATAAAATGCACTAAACTGCTTTCAGATAAGACTGTATATATTACATATTATATGTGTATATAATTATATACAGTTATCTCTTAGTATCCGAGGGGGATCGATCTCAGGACCACTTGTGAACACCAAAATCAAGTCACTCAAATGCCTTCTATAAAATGGCAAAATATTGACATATAACGTACGCACATCCTCTTATATACTTTAAATCATCTCTAGATTTTTATTTTTTGAAAATTTTCAATTAGCGGTTGGTTGAATCTATAAATGCAGAACTCACAGATATGAAGGGCAACAGTAAATATAAGAGTAATAATATAAGGCAAACTATATTGTGACTATTTAGAATTTTACATTTCTCTACGAACGTCCTCCTTCAAGTGGTTGAGTTTGAAAATAGGCAAAGACTATTTCCAGATCGGTTTAAATGTTTTCAGCTTATTTTTAAAATAACAGCTTATCAGAAATAATTTTATATTATATCCTGTTCCTAAATTGCATATATGGCTGAAACTAAAAAGACTAATATCTCTTAACATTATACAATATTAAAATTTATAATAAGGTCTTTAACATAACTGGAAAGAAGCATTAACTTTTTCCTAGATTACTTTTGTAACACAAAGTTACTTGTCTATATCACAGAAACTTTTAAATGAGGGGAAAACATAATCAGTTAATTGCTTCAGCAGCAGTCAATTAGTTGAATTTACATTTCTGACTTGATTGACCTTTTAAAAGTAAATGATAAGAAGTATTTTTCATCATATAAGTATCTTTTATACTTTTAAAAAATCCAATCCAGGAATTCTGAGGAAAACCAAGGTGATATATTGACAATTAGGAAAGTAGTATGAGTGCTCTCTCTGTCTCTATAGATAGATATTAGATAGATAGATAGATAGATAGATAGATAGATAGATAGATAGATGATAGATAGACACATGTATGTACCTATATGAATGTATCTTTATAAGTAAACCAATTAATATGTAATACATGTCTTCCAAAGGCACAAAAAGACTAAGTGAAGTTTGATAACATAGAAATTACACTTTCTTTGTTTAACTAGAATCCTTGAAGTAACATTTTTAATGTCATTGCAGACCCACCTTGCCAGACTGAGCTCAGCAATATTCAGAAGCGGCAAGGGGTAAAGAAGCTCCTAGGTGAGTAATAGATCATTCTTCTGAAGGCTTTATTGCTTACATAAATAACCCCAGGGAAACAGCAACATAAAATCAATATTAATCCAACAAAGATAGACTGCACTAAATTTCAGCAACAAAATTTATGAACTTTTTGAAAGCCATTAAACTTACTTTTATTACCTTACCTATTGAAAGATATTATGTCTGTTTTATTACCCTAATATAATGTTCATTTTGAAAGTTATTAAGTAAAAAGAAAGATTTAAGCAATGCTAAAGTTAAAACATCAGCAGAAAATTCAGTTCAAATTATATGGTGAAGATTTAAGAATTGATGGCAAATATATATATATGTATATGTGCTATTTAAAGCATGTAGTTTTATAAATTGGGTGAAAAGTGCTCTGAGTACCTCAGGGAAATTTGAATAGACTTGTTGGTATTTTTCATTAGTGTTTTTTACTACCCTTCTTTTAATAAGTAAATGTATAAGTAGATAGATATTTCAGATTTTATTCAAAGCCTTGAAATATTTGAATGTTTGGATATAAACAGATTATTAAACTGTTACATATGAGTGGTTTATTCTTATAAACTTACAATTTTTAAATAAACTATTTTTGGAATAGTTTTAAATTTATAAAAACAGTGACAAAGGTACATAGTTTCCAAACATTCTTCACCCAGCTTCCACTAAATATAACGTCTTGCATGTGCCAAATAACGATGAAACATTTGTAAATATCTAAGAAATTAGCATTGCTATAATCCTATTAAGTAAGCTTCAGACTTTATTTGGTTGTCACCAGTTTTGCCACTGTTCTTTTTCTATTTTAGAATTCAAAGCATGACAGCACACATGCAATATTTCTTTTCACGGATATTAACACACTCGTGTATTTAATGGCACATAACTCTAATGTCTCTGGATCTGATTAATCTGTTTTATATTTTGACTTACTATCTTTGTAATTACAATATATTACATTTAAATAAGAGGATTTTTCACATTACTTGCAAATCTTTGTTTCAGTGCCCATTGTACAAAATTAAAAGTTTAATGTTTTGTAATAAAACATTTTTAGGTGTGAAAATTACTGATGATAAATGCTACAATGTGTCATGTTTCTTTTGACCCTGTTACAAGATGCAGGAGATACCACAGCTCACAAATGAAAATAATACATTCTGGCTGGGTACAGTGGCTCACGCCTGTAATCCCAACACTTTAGGAGGCCAAGGTAGGCAGATCACCTGAGGTCAGGAGTTCGAGACCACCCTGGCCAATATGGCAAAACCCCACCTCTACTGAAAATACAAAAATTAGCCTGGCGTGGTGGTGTGTGCCTGTAATCACAGCTACTCTGGCGCCTGAAGCAGGAGAATTGCTTGAACCGGGGAGGAAGATGTTGCAGTGAGCCGAGATGGCACCACCGTACACCAGCCTGGGTAACAGAGCGAGACTCCATCTCAGAAATAATAATGATAATAATAATAATAATAATAATAATAATAATAATAAGTTCTTATATAGATTTGTCTTGGCAAATCAAAGTTTAGCCATGTACCATAAAGAAAGCCATTGAAATTCAACTTAAAAATATTTTCTACTTAAATTCTATTAGTAGCAAAAATCTATTAGAATACAGGTTTTTATTATTTGAAGGTATAAAAAAATACTTAGTTCCCATTTGGGAAGAGTTACCTTCATTATTCTTTCATAATATAAATGAAAATTATTATAGAGAACACTAAAGTCTTTAAGCATTTCTTCTAATTTGGGTGGGGTATTAGTACGCGTCTGAAATTGATCACTTGTTATATAGGAGTATGATGCCCCATGTCCTGATTTGGAGATTCAGTCTTTGAAAGGAAAAGAGAATATTCTTAAGAATTATGCTAAAACTTCAGACATCAACCAACTTTACTGGCATAAAGTATCAATTATGGTCACACTAACTATACATCATAACATGTTTATGTCAAATTCAAATGGTAGTTGTAAAAGCTGTAGATGTGACAACAGTGAATTTTTTCCTTATTTTTTCTGGCCTTTAATCCATAGAAAGCGTTCTGAAGTTAATGATATTCTGTCTATCTAATTGAAAGATTAGCAGTTCAGCTATTTTGAATAAATTATAGTTTTTTAAACTAAGTTAATCTACGTATAACAATTTTCAAACTTTTTGAGATAGTGAAGTTATGATGTTATATGGTTACAAGACTAAGTTTTGTCTTTTATCCATTTATTTATTTATTTTTTAAATTTCACCAAATAACTATTATGCTTCTGGTCACAGAAAAAAAAAAAGTCAGAAAATAAAAGAAAATATTCTTATCTCCTGGAACTTATATTCTGGTGTTGGAGTACTTATTAAAAAACACGACTTCACTTTTAAATTACTAATTAAGGGTTTATCATGAGCATTGTGCCATAGAGTATGTTAGATTTTATAGATATAAAAAGAAGTCTCTAGTCGGGGATGACGGCTCATGCCTGTAATCCCAGCATTCTGGGAGGTTGAGGTGGATGGATGACTTGAAGTCAGGAGTTTGAGATCAGTCTTGACAACATGGTGAAACCCCATCTGTACTAAAAACACAAAAATTACCTTGGTGTGGTGGTGCATGCCTGTAATCTCAGCCACTCAGGAGGCTGAGGTAGGAGAATCACTTGAACCTGGGAGGCAGAGGTTGTAGTGAGCCGAGATCGCCCCACTGCACTCCAGCCTGAGTGATGGAGTGAGACTCTGTCTCAAAAAATAAATAAATAAATAAATAAATGCTCACCATCACTGGCCATCAGAGAAATGCAAACCAAAACCACAATGAGATACCATCTCACACCGGTTAGAATGGGAATCATTAAAAAGTCAGGAAACAACAGGTGCTGGAGAGGATGTGGAGAAATAGGAACACATTTACACTGTTGCTGGGACTGTAAACTAGTTCAACCATTGTGGAAGTCAGTGTGGCAATTCCTCAGGGATCTAGAACTAGAAATACCATTTGACCCAGCCATCCCATTACTGGGTATATACCCAAAGGACTATAAATCATGCTGCTATGAAGACACATGCACACGTATATTTATTGTGGCACTATTTACAATAGCAAAGACTTGGAACCAACCCAAATGTCCAACAATGATAGACTGGATTAAGAAAATGTGGCACATATACACCATGGAATACTATGCAGCCATAAAAAATGATGAGTTCATGTCCTTTATAGCGACATGGATGAAATTGGAAATCATCATTCTCAGTAAACTATCGCAAGGACAAAAAACCAAACACCGCATGTTCTCACTCATAGGTGGGAATTGAACAATGAGAACACATGGACACAGGAAGGGGAACATCACACTCTGGGGACTGTTGTGGGGTGGGGGGAGGGGGGAGGGATAGCATTAGGAGATATACCTAATGCTAAGTGACGAGTTAATGGGTGCAGCACAGCAGCATGGCACATGTATACATATGTAACTAACCTGCACATTGTGCACGTGTACCCTAAAACTTCAAGTATAATAATAATAAAAAAAGAAAAAAAAACCATAGAGTAAAATTAAATAAATAAATAAATAAATAAATAAAAAATATTTATCTATCTGTTCTACTATTCCCAATAGACTGTGTTCCCTCTCGACCATGGGCTTGAGATGTTGTTCACACAACAATAAAAATGAAGAGAACCTAAATATTTCTAACCATAGATGATATCACAATGTAGTGGTGAAAGTATGCAAGGACAGTCAACACACACACACACACAAACACACACACACAGAGAATGGAAGAAGTAATCAGGAATCTTTCATTTTGAGGAAGACTTTAAATTGTGGGTCACATTTATGTCAAATCTTAAAGTGGAAGAGAGAGGAGAGAGACTCTAGTCGACATAATGTGTAAAGAGACAAAACAGCATTGAATTTGGGAAAAACACATAGCTTGATTTGGAAAGAACTTGGAATATAGGAATGAACATTTGGGGAAATGAAAGTAGAAAGTTGGCAGCGATGAAGGCAGATGGTGGCAGGTCTTCTGCCATGCTAAGTGGTCTGGGTGATTTAATATAAGCATGGCACTAATCAGATTTTAATTCTGTATTGTGCCTCTGAAACACTACCCTTTGCACAGTGAGAACTAGTAAGATAGTACTTTGCTTTACAAAGGAAATGAATCCATGAACTATAAGCAGTTCATTGTGGCAATGGCCAGCTCCATGACACAAAAGACTTCCCTGATTTCTTCTAAGGCATCACTGGTATCTATCCTGGAATACAGTGGACACTCCATATGTGTAAGTCTTTAATGCATTAATGCATAATGGGTGCTTCTCAGAAAGGAGCACAGCTTATTCATAAACTACATGTGTGTGTTTGTATGCCTGTGTGTTGTTTCAACAGGACAGTATATCCCCCTGTGTGATGAAGATGGTTACTACAAGCCAACACAATGTCATGGCAGTGTTGGACAGTGCTGGTGTGTTGACAGATATGGAAATGAAGTCATGGGATCCAGAATAAATGGTGTTGCAGATTGTGGTAAGGAGAAGGGTTACTTATTTCATAATTTTCTAAGCACAGAATTAAGTGCTTTAGAGCCTCATTCATTTGTTCAAGCATTTAATGAGGACTTACTCTATGCAAAGACTGTAGAATATCTAGGGTGGAGGGAGTGACAAAAAAAACTTACTCCTAGCATGTTAAAAACTTGGATAGATAATAAGTGGTCATTGCATAATTTAGATTTTCTAGAGAGATTAATTAAAAGCTGAGTTCCTTTCCTACTTCAAATTCAGAAAGTTGTTGAGGTACTTCTTTTCCTCTCAGCTAAAGCAGACCTTTCTCATTCATCCTACTGCAAGTCAATAAACTCTATTTATCGTGTCTTCAGATGACACCCTTTTGTCTGTATACCTCTGGAGATGGTAACTTAGGGAATATGTGGGTTCACCAGCCAAAGAAATACAAACCTTTTTAAAGTAAAAGTCCATAAATTACAGCTATATGAGCATGTTTCCTTGTGCTTGAGTGAGGAAAATGTAGTTTGACTGTTTAAAGGGAATTATAGCTAATATTCTAATTCTTTTTTAGGAACATGCATTTTTTATGTATATATTTAAAATAGAATGTAACGCTTAGTTGAGCATAACATACATGCATTTTAAAGTTTCCATTGTGGTACCATTTGTACTTCATAAAACATTTTTCTAGAATGCAAGTGTCAATTTTCTTGGTATTATAGACAGTTTTCATGACAAAAGCCACCTCATTGTAGACACACACACGCGCACACACACACACACACCAGGAATTAATTCTTTGTGTTTCAATTAATATAAATGATCAAAAATGAGAATAAAATACTTTTTAATCTTGCATTTTAGAAAATATTTAGATGTATTCTTCAAGCAAATTTTAGACTAATAAACTAAGACTATTAAAAAAAGATAAACAATAAAAGTAATCTCATTTAAACTTTAAATTCCTGCTCTGAATCCATTTGTTCATAACATTTTTAACAGCTTAGTTTCGGTTTGCTGACCTGGCCAATGCAGTTAGATTTAAGTAGGAAGAAAGAGGATTCAATAGCTGCCTTACATAAATTTTACATATAGGGAACACATCTTTGTAATGTGTGCTGTAAAGTAGTTGCATTATAAATTAATTCTGTTGTCATTGATGACAATGATGGATACATAACTTTTTTATGTTGTAAATAAAAGTTATATGGAGATGAGTTCCTTAAGTGAACAAGAACATTGCTTTTGGAACGTGGACATCTGAGTTTTCTTTACATTTTATAACTAACACAGTAGATGAAGTTGGAGAACTAAATATTTTCTTCAGTTAAGATGGGAATTTTAGTGTGTTGTCTTGTGAGATCAACCAATTTATAAACCTTGAATTACATCAATAGGATTTGTTATAATTAGATACCAAATAATTATAAGAATAAAATATTAGAAAGAGTATAAAATAAATCCACGCTAGCATTTGAGGAGTTGAAAAGTCAATACACAGTGAGTGCTAAGATGTATGTGCATTATTGCCTCCATAAGTGTTAATAGTTATTTTTAAAATATTTTGTAAAATATTAGTTTTCTGTTGCTTTAGTAACAAATTCCCACTCAGTGGCTTAAACAACACACATTTATCCTACATTTCTGTGCCTCAGAAGATCAACACAGGTCTCACTAAGCTCAACATCCAGATGTCAGCAGGATGGTGCTCCTCTCTGGAAGCTTTAGAGGAAAATCTGTTTCCTTGCCCTTTTCACCTCTTAGAGGTAGCTCTCATCCCTTGGTTCATGGACTCTTTCCTCTAAACTTAAGCCGACAACACTGCATCTCTGATCATTCTTCTGTAGTCATAGCTCCTTCCCACTCTATCTGGAAAACATTTTTTTTTTTATTTTAAGAACCTAAGTGACAATTTGGATCCACCTGGGTAATTCAGGATAATCTCTCCAATTCAAATTCCTTTACTTAACCATATTTGCAAAGTCACTTTTTCATGTTAAGGTAACATTATAGATTCTGGAGATTAGGAAATGAATATCTTTGGTAGGGCAATTTTTCTGCCACACTTGTAGAAGAAATTTTGAATTCTTTGCAAAATGCACAGTCTGACATGAATTTCTATAACAACTGGGATGAGATCAATATTACTGGACTGGAAATCTTGCATAACATACCTCAATAATGATTCTGCTTTTAGCACATACATTTTAACAAATGATAGATTTTTAACATGTGATAATTTTCCAGAAAATGGATCTTTCATTATCTTTGATAAATAAGATAGAAAACAAATTACTTTCTAAAAAATATTCTTAATTTTTATAAGGATTTTATCTTGCAGAAATTGACAGTATTCAGTCAAATAAAGGTTATGTTTACTTTCACTTGTTTTAAGCTATAGATTTTGAGATCTCCGGAGATTTTGCTAGTGGCGATTTTCATGAATGGACTGATGATGAGGATGATGAAGACGATATTATGAATGATGAAGATGAAATTGAAGATGATGATGAAGATGAAGGGGATGATGATGATGGTGGTGATGACCATGATGTATACATTTGATTGATGACAGTTGAAATCAATAAATTCTACATTTCTAATATTTACAAAAATGATAGCCTATTTAAAATTATCTTCTTCCCCAATAACAAAATGATTCTAAACCTCACATATATTTTGTATAATTATTTGAAAAATTGCAGCTAAAGTTATAGAACTTTATGTTTAAATAAGAATCATTTGCTTTGAGTTTTTATATTCCTTACACAAAAAGAAAATACATATGCAGTCTAGTCAGACAAAATAAAGTTTTGAAGTGCTACTATAATAAGTTTTTCACGAGAACAAACTTTGTAAATCTTCCATAAGCAAAATGACAGCTAGTGCTTGGGATCGTACATGTTAATTTTCTGAAAGATAATTCTAAGTGAAATTTAAAATAAATAAATTTTTAATGACCTGGGTCTTAAGGATTTAGGAAAAATATGCATGCTTTAATTGCATTTCCAAAGTAGCATCTTGCTAGACCTAGTTGAGTCAGGATAACAGAGAGATACCACATGGCAAGAAAAACAAAGTGACAATTGTAGAGTCCTCAATTGTGTTTACATTAATAGTGGTGTTTTTACCTATGAAATTATTCTGGATCTAATAGGACATTTTACAAAATGGCAAGTATGGAAAACCATGGATTCTGAAAGTTAAAAATTTAGTTGTTCTCCCCAATGTGTATTTTAATTTGGATGGCAGTCTCATGCAGATTTTTTAAAAGATTCTTTAATAACATGATTTGTTTGCCTTTCTAGATTTCTTTATCTTTCTGACCAGCAACTTAGGGAGCAGAATTTAAATTAGGAAGACAAAGGGAAAGATTCATTTAAACCATATTTTTACAAAGTTTGTCATTTGCCCCAAGGTCAAATTTTAAATTCTTAATTTTCATTTTATTTCCCATTTTAGGTAAAAGTTTGCATTTAATCTTAGAATTATGTTATTTTTGTTAGTAGTGTGGAAACTTAGAGAACTTATTGTATGGTGCCTTGCAAAAATAGAGATAGAAAGATTTTAGCATGCATACCAATATAGTATATTACGCAATATATAAGCACACCTAATTAACAGATTAATATCAGTAAAGGTATTGCTGCTGGAATGAAGAAAATGGGATACGTTTGTTTCTTTTTTTCTATTGTTACATAATTGCCATGTGGACTTGTTTATGATTATTGTGTAGAGTAGCATTTAAGATTTAACTGTAGCAAAAATTACTTTAACCGCTGTATTTAAGTTAGCATGTTAATTAATTGTGTAGACATTTTGGCACACCATCACTTTTAACTATATCATACCAATGGTTTTGTGCCCATAATAAAAATGGAAAAACCTGTTGAATGTTACGTATTGGTATCTTTAATTTCAACAGTGGGTAAACTGGTTTCCCAGTATACAATTCATTGAAAGCAAAATTGATTAATTATTTCCATTTAATTTATACACACTCAATACAAAATTTAATGTTGACTTTACGTAATAAAGTATAATGCATTTTCTTTTTTACTGTTTATGTATAGTTTACAAAATAAAGAATCTTGTAACCAAATTGAACTGTTCCTCAATGGTCTTTCCAGAGTACACATAGTAGCATGAAGCCTTCTCAATCGAGTCCTTGATTTTTAAAATGAATGCATCACAAACTAGCTAGGGGAGGTCCCTGAAATTTAGAATTTCAAAATTAGCGCTCTTGGAATCTTGAATATTATTTGTCAATGTACGTTAAAAAAAATTTTGTTGGTGGTGGTTTATTTTGTTTCATTTGTCATAATATTGTAAAATGGATCATATTTTTGTCAAGGCTGTATTTTAAAACCCATTTTTATGGTGTCATACTTAACATATTTGGCTAAATTTCTATAGCAACAGCATTTTGAAGAGTAGTCAGCCTTGTCTATTTAACAAATGTATATAAATATAACTGGTTGGGAAGAGACAAAAACAAATTCTATACAGAGGTTTAGCAAATGAATTTAAAGTAACAAATATAGTAATGTTGAAGTTAGGCTTTTTTTAAAGAAGTGTCTCTGAGACTCCCAAGAAAGCAATTAAATCAATAGCAAATAGAAAATAAAAATAGATTACACTATAAAACTTTATGTAAATTATTTGTATACAATATATATATTTGTGTGTGTGTGTGTGTGTGTATAAAAATTCTACTTGTAATGTATATTAGGTCTTTTCATGATCGTTTAATTCATTTTAAATATTTTGACACAATACAATTATACCTATACATTTATCCCCCAAAATATAAATATTGGACAGCTACTGTAAATCAAACAGTATTCTAGACACTATTCATTAATGAACAAAATAATTATGAAGTGTAAAGACAAGCAATACATTATTCCTAGCCCATAATGCAATATAGTTATAATCTCCATTGGAATAAATCAAAGAAAGATATTTACTAGATTTAATTTGAATAAAAAACGAGGTATGTTGAACCCCCAACGAGAGTCCTTGATAGAAACCCAAAATCTTAATATTTTAATTAAAAAGAATCCAAGTATCTCAACAGTTTGTTCTTTCTTAAATTGAAATCTGATTCATAGGTATAAAGTCATACAATACAGTCTATAATAGTGTCTTATTTTTCTCATCTGTGTTATTTAGAAAGCACACATGCAACTCAAAAACTACAAGACATTCGGAATCACAGCAAATTGAAAATTGAAACATTAGAGAAAATGAGTAGAAGAAATATACAAATAAAATAGCAAGTGTTCCTTTTATGCCAAAATCTAGTATGGAAATTAATGATGCTTTATTTTTGTACATATAGGGGATGGTAATTCTGCCTAATACTATTGGGGAAAAAAACCTAAGTTTAAAATAAACATGAAACATTTTAATATTGATCAAAATGATCAATAATTCAAACTCTGTATTTCTGCCAATCATTTAATAGAAAAAATCTATCAAACCAAAATATCAAAATTATTAGCAAAAATTTTCTAATTAATAAAACAGCTGCTAAGAGTACTTTATTCTCTGTATACATTTTTACAGTATTTTTATTTTACATGAAACTAATGATGTGAAAAGTAAGTCATAAGCATTGATCCTTATAGGCTAGTGACAGTTTATTTAGAGCATATTTACAGAATTGCATGAATAAATACACATTTTGTAACAAACACTTTGATGATTTGTTTTATATAAAATTAATGAAGCATTGGTGTTGGCTATATGCAATAGATTATTAAGGGCTCCATACACAGTCTATTTTTAGAGATTCCTAATAGCTGGGGGGAAGGTGGAGAATGAGCCACACCGAATACAGCCATCATAAGTAATGTGCTTGTTCTGCCTGACACAAGTGTGCACATATGCACACACAAACACATGTGTGCACACACGATTAGTCCAGTGTTTTCTTTAAATTTGAAATATTCAGTACATTGATTCACATTTATTTCTCTTTTGTTCATGATGAATAAAAAGTACTAGACCATATCATACATTGCTCAGGTGAAGTAAGAAAATTTAAAAATCTAGAATATTTAAAGTGGCATGAAGGTATAAATAAATGATCATATGAGCTCCTTGTAGCTTATTCTATTTGACATTATTTTAAACCTAATAGCTGATATTAAGGTTAACATAATGAAAGGTGACATTTTCATTCTTTCTAGTACACATTTTTATAGAAAATGGTATCAACTGTTTAATTCTGTGTTTTAAAAGTACTTCATGAATTATAACTTGGCTTCATGAAACTTTTATTAATGACTAAGTCAATGAACACTTCAAAGAGAACATCTTAAGCTTTCGTTGTATACAATATATATGTCATCCCTCCTGGGGCAAGACAAATCAGAATAGCCCTTTTGAATAGTAATTATTTTCTCTCCTCAATTGTGTATGAATATCTGCTGTCATTGTTCTACTTAATATCTTTACCTAATTTCTGTGTCTCGGTTAAAAGCTCAGCAAGTAAAATTAAGATAAATGAATTTATGGTTCAACATGATTTAAAATGGCAAAGTAAGCCATTGTAGGTGGAAAAATTTTTAAAAATTGCAACAACCAATAAACACCATCACATCCATATTCAACTCTTTCGAAGATATCCTTGGGGAATACAATTTTAATATATTTTAATGATCAAATATCCCATTCATTCTTAAGTATACAAATACATATATTCCTAGGTTTGGAGTCCATATGCCTTATATTTTTCATCTGTCAAATGTAGCTTAACGTATTTATCCTGGAGAATTTATGTGCAGGTTACATGCAACACAAATTTAAAGCAGGAGCACTGTGTTTATCCTGTAGTAAATATCCACTAAATGCTAACTTTTTTTTAGATTTTTAAAATAGGTTAACAACAGCGGTATTACTGAAGTTTTCAAGATGAGCTGTCAGAATTATCTTCTCTTTTTACAGCTTTATTCACATTAATTCAAACAAATGATCCAGTCGATAGTACTCTCATATACTAAATAGACATAATAAATCGTGCTCACATCATACAGTCAGTGTGAGGATGAAATGAGTTAATACATGGTGTCCGGAACATAGTAAATACCAAATAAATGTAATTATTTTTGTTACTTATAGAAGCTTATGAGGCATAGAAAAAGTCATATGAAGAAGTGAAAAAATAAACTTCAAACCTAAGTATCTTAACTAGTTGGCTTCCCTAAGTAATTATTCATTTTAGAATAGGTACATTTCAAGAGAAACATGAACTAGGGTTTATGTCAACTTAATATATGTACCACACATGAAATGTCATATACATTAAATTCATGCAATCGGCTAAGATTTGGTTGTTATTTTTTCTTATATTAGAGATAAAGTATCCTAGAAATCACTAATACTCATCATTCCTGGTTCTTCTCTTCTTTCTGGACACATGTGATATCTTCCTTTTTTCCTCACAGTCAAATTGAGGCCATGTAACTAGTTCTGGCCAACTGACTGTGAGTTGAAGTCACATGTATGGTTCTTGACAGGGCAGGTGTCACAGCCATCAGTTTATAGGCAGTTGGGATGGAACAGTGACAGTGCTGTATCTTTACCCGTGTCTCTCAGTTCCACTGGTTATTTAACCATGTCATGCTACTTCCACATTTAAATTTGCAACAACTGTCCAAAACTAATGTCTTCTTCTTAAACAACATGTAACATGTTTTGAAGCCATCTCAAATTGTTGTAAAGTGAAGTAGAGCATAAACAAGTTAATTCTGCTGTGTAATGAAATGTATTTGTATAGCAGTACAGGAAATGCAACTGCTGGAGTCAAATCTCTGAGCTCAATCTGATAGTGCTTTGCGACATTGGGCAAATAATGAACTTTGCTGTAACTGGTTTTCTTCATTTGTAAAGTAATAGTCGTGTTAGGATTTAATTCATAAGGCTATAATAGTGCTTCAGTGGAAATTCTAGTAATAGACCTAGCTCAAAAAATTTAGCTGCAATAAAAAAATAAAAAGACAGTAAGTATAGTGGTAAAAGCCACGGACAGTACGGTCTACCAGGTCTGAATCCTGGCTCTGGCATTCATGGACTGCATGACTTTAGGCAAGTTACTTGACATCTCCATGGCTTAGTTTTCTCATCAGTGAAATAGGTATGAGATTAATTCTCACCTTAGCACATGTGGCAGAGGATTACAAATTTTAATACTTATGAAAGCACTTAAAACAATGCCTAGCCACGTAGTCAGCACTGAATAATAGTTATTATTAAGAAGAGGGAAATGAAGAAAAGTAAAATCAAGAAACCAGCCACTATTTTAGATCTATCATATTTTTAAGATGGGAATATAGAAATTGTTATTCCCGTTTTCTCTGTTAGGAAATAGCTAGTCCAGAGAAATAAGGTGATCTCTAAAGGTCACCAGCGATATCAATGTAGAAACTAAAGCACAAACTTAAGAAACATCATCAGCTCAATGCAGTCCAATATCAACTTGCTCTTGAGCTCTCATAAATGTTCTCTCTTAAAATGTAATTCCTATTTAAAGGCTAACCTTTTCAAAACATCGATTATCCACAATGTCTTATCCAAAAGAGTGGTTATTTACAGAAAATTCTTAATGTAATTTCACTGTAATTCTTTTTTTTTTTTTTTTTTTTTTTTTTTGAGGCGGAGTTTCAGTCTTGTTGCCCAGGCTGGAGTGCAGTGGTGCCATATCGGCTCACTGCAACCTCCACCTCCCGGGTTCAAGTGATTCTCCTGCTTCAGCCTCCCCAGTAGCTGGGATTACAGGCGCCTGTCACCACTCCTGGCTAATTTTTTGTATGTTTAGTAGAGACGGGGTTTCACCGTGTTGGCCAGGCTGGTCTTGAACTCCTAACCTCAAATGATCCACTGCCTCGGCCTCCCAAAGTGCTGGGATTACAGGCGTGAGCCACCGTGCCTGGCCATAATTATAATTTTTAATGTGTCTTTTTAATTGGTATGTTAAATAGTGCTAAGTTTCAATATTCTTTTTAGCCCCATGGGGGTAAGATGTAGAAGTACTGGAGTGGAAATAAAGACAATAATTACAGACTATAAATCTGTTTTAGAGCTTACCAGAGGTTGCATTAAAGTGTAATTTAGAACTTACTAGATTTAAAAGAAAAAACATAA
This sequence comes from Homo sapiens, assembly GCF_000001405.40. Taxonomy (NCBI): domain Eukaryota; kingdom Metazoa; phylum Chordata; class Mammalia; order Primates; family Hominidae; genus Homo; species Homo sapiens. The sequence continues at coordinate 166,728,335 of NC_000004.12, read as the reverse complement.
TTTTTTTTAAAAAGCATTCTTGTAATTTAAAAACAATTTATTATTTTGGGGGGATGAAAAAATAGATGTGGAACTATTAGAAGTATGGACAAAACAATTTCACATTCTCAAATAGTTCTAAGGAGTATAAATAAATATGTGACAAATCATGTCACATTTGTAAAAAATTTAAGAACTCTTATTTTATCATATAAGTAAATATTAGTATGACAATAGACCATTATTGGTAAACTACTTCTCAGTTTATTTTAGCCAGGTACAATATTTCTTGCTATGAAATGTAAATATTAAACATTTCTCTCTTTTAGGATAATGTGTTTCCGGTGCTCATCATTTTCACTCCAAACAACCAATACTTTTTCACAACTAATTTGATCATCTGGAGAAATATAGCTAAAAGATAAAGGGAAAATGCCCTTTACTGTAAGACATGTTTGTGGAAAAATTAACCAAAAGAAGCCTCTAATTTGGACCTTACTTTCTTCTTATAAAATTAAACGATAGCAAAATAGATTGTGTATATGTTACGTTTGGCAAAAGAAAAAAAATGAATGATTTTGTACAAGGTTGGTTCAGTTGGTCACGTGAATCTCGGACTATTGAGACTCTTTATTTGATTGATTAATGTGTATTTGGTGTCAACCTCATAATTACAAGAGCAATGGGTGACTATGTCAATCTTAGTTTATTTTCTAAAATTTGAGGTAATTTGAATAAATTTTTGTTTTCATGTGAGTCATCTGGGTATTATTTTTTATTGGGTATACTTAGAAGGATTATTATTTGAAGTAAAACTGCATGCTGACAATTTATAGTGAGGAGAAACAGAAGTCAATTAATAAGTATAAGTAAGTTACATTACATTATATTTTACGTTAATTACCACATACACTTGGCATTTAATACACTTGAAGTGTTCCAGGGCCACAAATGCATTTTTAACTTGAATCACTCCTACTCTAGGCAAGTGAGAATAAACTGCTTTCTTGGTGCTATGCTTTAAACATGGTCTGTTTGGCTCTGTCAAGTCTCATGTTGAAATTTGATCTCCAGTGTTGGTGGTGGGGGATGCTTGGGGGTGTTTGGGTCATGGGGTGGATCCCTCATCAATGACTTGGTGAGATTCTTGTAGGAGCGACAAGAAGTGGTTGTTGAAAAAAGTCTGGCACCTCCTTCCCTCTCTCTTGTTTCTTCCCTGCCGTGTGATTTCTGCCCGCACTTCTTTCCTTCCCTCTCCACCATGAGTAGAAGCAATCTGACTTTCTCACCAGGAGATGCTGGCACCATGTTTCTTGTACAGCCTGCAGAATGTGAGCCAGATAAACCTCTTTCCTTTATAAATTACTCACCCTCACCCTTTATAGCAGCACAAACTGACTAAGACACTTGGCTGGTAAGGAAACCTAGCCGTTCACCCAGCATCCAATTTCAACATGGCTTTACAAGACCTATCTCTTCCTTTTTTGCTAGTGGCAAACTCTTATTTGTGTTTTAATCCCCCGCCGCCCCGCCTTTTTTTTCTTTTTTGAGACCGAGTCTCACTCTGTCGCCAGGCTAGAGTGCAGTGGCTCAATCTCAGCTCACTGCAACTCCACCTCCCCAGGTTCAAGCGAGTCTCCTGCCCCAGCCTCCGGAGTAGCTGGGATTACAGGCACGCGTCACCACGCCCAGCTAATTTTCTTATTTTTAGTAGAGACAGGATTACACCAGTTTCGCCAGGATGATCTCGATCTCCTGACCTCGTGATCTGCCCGCCTTGGCCTCCCAAAGTGCTGAGATTACAGGCGTGAGCCACCGTGTCAGGCCTAATACCTTTTTTTTTTTTTTGGATAGGGGGGAAATTGCAGTATAGTTTGAAGTCGGGCATCATCATGCCTCCAGCTTTGTTCTTTTTGCTTAGGATTGTCGTGGCTGTATGGGCTCCTTTTGGGTTCCATGTGAATTTTAAAGTGGTTTTTCTAATTCTGTAAAGAATGTCAATGGTAATTTAATGGCAATAGCATTGAATCTATAAATTACTTTGGATGGTATGGCCATTTTCACAATATTGATTCTTCCTATCTATGAGCATGGACTGTTTTTTCATTTGTTTGTGTTCTCTCTGATTTCTTTGAGCAGTGGTTTGTAGTTCTCTAAAAGGAGAACTTCATTTCCCTTTTTAGCTGTATTTATGGGTACTTTATTCTCTTTGTAGCAATTGTGAATAGGAGTTCATTCATGATTTGGCTCTCTGCTTGTCTATTGTTGGAGTATAGGAATGTTTTTGATTTCTGCACATTGATTTTGTATCCTAAGACTTTGCTGATGTTGCTTATCAATTTAAGGAAATTCTGAACCAACAAACATGAAAAAACAGTTCAACATCACTGATCACTAGAGAAATGCAAATCAAGACCTCAATGAGATTCCATCTCATGCCAGTCAGAATGATGATTATTAAGAAGTTAAGAAACAACAGATGTTGGTGAGGTTGCAGAGAAATAGGAACACTTTTACACTATTGGTGGGAATGTAAGTTAGTTCTACCATTGTGGAAGACAGTGTGGCAATTCCTCAAAGACCTAGAACCAGACATACCATTTGACCCAGCAATCCTATTACTGAGCATATATCCAAAGAAATATAAATTATTCTATTATAAAGACATATGCACATATATGTTCATTGCAGCACTATTCCCAATAATAAAGACATGGAATCAATCAAAACACGCATCAGTGATAGACTAGATAACGAAAATGTGGTAAATATACACCATGGCATACTATGCGGCCATAAAAAGGAATGAGATCATGTCCTTTTCAGGGACAAGGTTAAGGTGCAAAGCAATTATCCTCAGCAAATGAACACAGGAACAAAAAAATCAAACGTCACATGTTCTCACTTTTAAGTGGGAGCCGAACAGTGAGAACACATAGACACAAAGAGGCGAACAACACATACTGTGGCATGTCAGGGAAGGGCAGTGAGAGGGAGAGCATCAGGATAAATAGCTAATGCATGTGGGGCTTCATACCTAGGTGATGGGTTGATAGATGCAGGAAACCACCATGGCACACATTTCCCTGAGTAGCAAACCTGCACGTCCTGCATATGTATCCTGGAAATTAAAATAAAATATTTTTTTTAAAAAGAAAAAGAACTGCAAATCATAGGATATACAGAAAACTTTGACAAATATCTCTGAAGAATGTTCAGTGTGTACCAAACTACTGCCAATAGTTTCTAGTTGTCTTTATAATGATCTCTAATAGGAAGTGACTTTATGACTAGTTTCAGCTGGATATCATATCCTCTAGTGTGATTTTAGGAACAGTTGTGCCAGAATCTGATCCAGAATCTTGCAAGGTGAAAACACAGTTGATATAGCAGCTCAGTTGTATTCTTCCCAGGGTGGCTGCAACCCGAGCCTCTCTAATGCCAGGAAAGATATTGTCATGCCTCACCAAAACAACTGTACTCTGTTCATGTAGTACCTCAGGCAGATTGATTTTAGCCCTGGATTTTGATGGGGCTTCATTCCAAGAGCTGTTCATTTAAAACACGGTCTAGGATATGCTATAAGGAAGATCTGTTAAACATTTATAAATATCACAGTCTATTTCAATCCTTCATGCTCAAGGAAAAAAGTGACAAATAATAAAGCCCAAAATGAAAATTAAATTTATGTAATAGATATTGCATGCTCTTTCTGTAGTACCTAGTTAAACTATAGCATCTCTATTAATCATTTTCAAAGGGCATTCCTAGGGCATTGCTCATGCATGCATTATTATGGATGCGGCTACACCTGGATGTGTAATGCTCCATGCAGTCTTTTGTGTCTCCAATACTGACTTCTGAAAATAAAAATGACACATTAAAGAAGAGAAAACACATCAGTCAATTTTACACTTGTCAGTGCCCAAATGAGAAGAGGATAATATTAATACATATAATTAATCTGGGGAACCTCTATTGGATTTTCATGACCTTTGTAATTTCTATACCCCAATAGCATACATATCGTAGCAAATGGCCATTATAAATGGAACTGTTTGTGAAAAATGCAGGCTATTAACCAAAAGGTCTTCATGGGGAGAGGCATTGCAAGGAATTCAATGAATAGTGATATCCCTTTAAGAGAAAAAGAAAATAGCTGAGTCCCTAGAGCCAGAGGTGAACAACAAATGGCTAGTATAATTGTGGCCTGGGTCCAAAATGTCATGCTCTCTAGACTTAGCAGAAACTCCTGTGCAGTATTCAATGGCTACCAAATTAAATAAACTCAAAGTTCTTTGATTGAATAACTATGTTCGTAGGCCTTTTTTTTTTTCTTTTTCACCTTTAGTCAAAAGTATTGCCCTAGCCACCCTCTAATGGAAGAAGAAAATTGTCTTTCTTTAGCATGGTTCATGTGAAGCACACCGTTTTATCCTGATAGTAGTTATATGGCACTTGACATACGCAGTTCAAATAAAGTTGTGAAAACTTATTTTTAATTGATCCCCTCCTTTATCTTGCCAATTCCATATAGCAGCATGTTGGCTAGTGAATAGTTCATCAGATTTGCCGACCAGGTGAGGCCTTGATTTAAAAGTTTCTATCACTCCAACAATTCATCTGTGTTTCTTTTCATCAAAAAAATAAAAAGGATGACTAAATATCATCTTGTTTCATGGTGGTATACGTTGTTAATGTTTCCACTTGGATATTTACAACTGGCTGCAAAATAATGGATTATGCTATGCCATACTCCCTCAAACTTCTGTTAAACATGTTGATTCATTATTTTCCTTCAAGTTCTAGCTATCTCAGAAATGGCTGAAGGTTGTTACCTCTCATTTATATTTGTTACCTCTCTTTTCTACTTCTGTCTTCTTGCAAAGTGTTAGAAATTATGAGTCAGTTTCCAAAGCACATGTGCGCGCGTGCACACACACACACACACACATGGTTTCCTATGCCCGTATACAATAAAGAGAAAGAAAATACCCAAACATTTATTTTTATATAATCAGAGAACTTACTTTGAAACGTATTGAAGTTTTTATTCTTCCCTCCACAACACATGTAATGAGCAAATATATAGAATATAATTACACTTGGAAAGTTGTTTATCAATTTCAATATGTTCAAAACTAATTATGCTGAAGGTTCTATCAAAGTTGTGCTGGTATTGATGGAGCCTATAATGATGTCTTCCTTGCATGAAAAGGCCATAAACAAATTGCTGTTGCCTTAAAAGTACATTAATTTCTCATTGTAGGAGAAAGTTTCTTTTTGACAGACTGAGCATGAAGTCCAAGCATTACCACCTGCTTAATCATAAAAGCATATGCTGTAATATAATTGAGTTCTAAGTTAACTCCTTCATAAAATTAATGAGGAAATAAGTGATTGGGTGTTAAAGTAAAATACCGAGTGATTATTTTATATTCTTCTTATTTATTTATTTTTTATTTTTTATTTTTTTGAGACAGAGTCCCGCTCTGTCACCCAGGCTGGAGTGCAGTTGGGCAATCTTGGCTCACTGCAAGCTCTGCCTCCTGGGTTCATGCCATTCTCCTACCTCAGCCTCCCGAGTAGCTGGGACTATAGGTGCCCACCACCATGCCTGGCTAATTTTTTTGTATTTTTTAGTAGAGACGGCATTTCACCTTGTTAGCCAGGATGGTCTCGATCTTTTGACCTCGTGATCCACCCGCCTCGGCCTCCCAAAGTGCTGGGATTACAGGCATGAGCCACTGTACCCGGCTGATTATTTTATATTCTTATATAAAGCCTATAATTACCAATAGTAATAGTAATACCAATAGTAAAACTATTAGTAAATAATCCACCAAACCTACATAACAATAGTTCTAGTATAACAATGTGAATTGTCTGACTTCTTTAATTGTTTTATAAAAACACAACTTGAGCAACGTACTGAGACCTTGTTTCTACAAAAAAAAAAAAAATTCTTTTTAATTAGCTGGGCATGATATCATGTTCCTATAGTCCCAACTACTCGGGAGGCTGTGGTGGGAGGATTGCTTGAACTCAGGATTTGGAGGCTGCAGTGAGCTATGATCATGCCACTGCATTCCAGCCTGATATACAGAGTAAGACCCTATTCCTAATAATAATAATAATAATAATTTTATAAAAGCAAGTGTTTAACTGAAGTCCTCAATATACTTAACTACAAAGCAAAAGTGATCTTGATACGTAATTTCATAGAGAAAAGCATTTGGCAAATTTATGAAAAAATAATATTTAATCCATTTTCTTACCAAAAAAAATGGAAGCCCTAGATTTCATGCGCGTCCATGTGAAGAGACCACCAAACGGGCTTTGTGTGAGCAACATGGCTGTTTATTTCATCTGGGTGCAGGCAGGCTGAGTCCGAAAAGAGAGTCAGCAAAGGGAGATAAGGGTGGGGCCATTTTATAGGATTTGGGCAGGTAAAGGAAAATTACAGTCAAAGGGGGTTTGTTCTATGGCGGGCAGGAGTAGGGGTCGCAAGGTGCTCAGTGGGGGTGCTTTTTGAGCCAGGATGAGCCAGGAAAAGGACTTTCACAAGGTAATGTCATCACTTAAGGCAAGGACCGGCCATTTACACTTCTTTTGTGGTGGAATGTCATCAGTTAAGGTGGGGCAGGGCACATTCACTTCTTTTGTGATTCTTCAGTTACTTCAGGCCATCTGGGCTTATATGTGCAAGTCACAGGGGATGCGATGGCCTGGCTTGGGCTCAGATGCCTGACATTCCTGCCTTCTTATATTAATAAGAAAAATAAAACAAAATAGTGCTGAAGTGTTGGGGCGGCGAAAATTTTTGGGGGGTGGTATGGAGAGAGAATGGGCGATGTTTCTCAGGGCTGCTTCAAGCGGGATTAGGGGCGGCGTGGGAACCTAGAGTGGGAGAGATTAAGCTGAAGGGAGGTCTTGTGGTAAGGGGTGATATAGTGGGGACGTTAGAAGAAACATTTGTCGTATAGAATGATTGGTGATGGCCTGGATACGGTTTTGGATGAATTGAGAAACTAAATGGAATAACAGAAGGAGAAAAACAGGTATAAAATGTCTAAGAATTGGGACGACTCAGGACATCTGATTAGAGAGTGCCTAAGGAGATTCAGCATAGTCCTGCCAGCAAAGATTATTTATTTACTTCAAGAGTTAACAGTGGCAGTTTGGGGATAGCACCAGGAGATATCAGCTGTGATGGCTTGGAAAAACAGTGTAAACTGGCAGTGTAAATAAAAGCAGGGCATGTATGAGTAGTTGAGAATGGTGAATAGGAATATGATTAGACAGAAGATAGTAGGGATGACAAGTTTTTTGGGGGCCAGTCTAGGTTGGTCTGGTGTCTGGAATGAGACTGGGGCCCAATAAAAAGGAGCGTCTATACAGGAGCTTAAATGGGCTGTACCCTGTAGCATTCCGAGGACAAGCCTGAATTCTGAGAAGGGAAAGTGGTAAAAGTATTGTCCAGTCCTTTTTAAGTTGGCGGCTGAGCTTGGTGAGGTGTGTTTTTAAAAGACCTTTAGTCCATTCTACTTTTCTTGAAGACGGAGGACCATAAGGTATATAAAGGTTTCACTGAATACTAAGAGCCTGAAAAACTGCTTGGCTGATTTGACTAATAAAGGCTCGTCCGTTATCAGACCGTATAGAGGTGGGAAGGCTAAACTGAGGAATTATGTCTGACAGAAGGGAAGAAATGACTGCAGTGGCCTTCTCAGACCCTGTGGGAAAGGCCTCTACCTATCCAGTGAAAGTATCTACCTAGACTAAGAGGTATTTTAGTTTTCTGACTCAGGGCATGTTGAGTAAAGCTAATTTTCCAGTCCTGGGTGGGGCAAATCCTCGAGCTTGATGTGTAGGGAAGGGAGGGGCCCTGAATAATCCCTGAGGAGTAGTAGAATAGCAGATGGAACTCTGAGAAGTTATTTCCTTGAGGATAGATTTCCACGATGGAAAGGAAATGAGAGGTTCTGAGAGGCGGGCTAGTGGCTTGTACTATAGCATAGCCTGCCTTTGCTGGTGTGTGGCGATTAGGCCTGGTGGAACTGCCATCAATAAATCAAGCGTGATCAGGGTGAGGAACAGGAAAGAAGGAAATATGGGGAAATGGGGTGAATGTCAGGTGGTTCAGAGAGATACAGTCATGGGGGTCAGGTGTGGTATCAGGAATAATGTGGGAGGCCGGATTGAAGTCCGGGCCAGGAACAATGATAATTGTGGGAGACTCAACAAAGAGTGAGTACAGCTGAAGGAGCCGGGAAGCAGAAAGTATATGCATCAGGTATGAGGAAGAAAATAGATTTTGGAAACTGAGAGCTGTAGAGGGTGAGTTGAGCATAGTTTGTGATTTTGAGGGCCTCTAAAACTATTAAAGCAGCGGCAGCCTCTGCACGCAGACATGAGGGCTGGGCTAAAACAGTAAGGTCAAGTTGTTTGGACAGAAAGGCTACAGGGTGTGGTCCTGGCTCTTGTGTAAGAATTCTGACCATGCTAACCATGCCTAGGAAGGAAAGGAGTTGTTGTTTTGTAGAAGGTGTGGGGGTTTGAGAGATCAGTCGTACACGATTGGCAGGGAGAGCACATGTGTTTCTATGACAATTATGCTGAGATAGGTAACAGATGAGGAAGAAATTTGGGCTTGATTGAAGTAATGGGGGCTGTCTGTGAAGCTTTGCGGCAGTATAGCCTAGGTAATTTGCTGAGCTTGATGGGTGTCAGGGTCAGTCCAAGTGAAAGCGAAGAGAGGCTGGGATTAAGGGTGCAAAGGAATAGTAAAGAAAGCATGTTTGAGATCTAGAACAGAATAATGGGTTGTAGAGGCAGGTATTGAGGATAGGAGAGTACATGGGTTTGGCACCACGGGGTGGATAGGCAAAACAATTTGGTTGATAAGGTGCAGATCCTGAACTAACCTGTAAGGCTTGTCTGGTTCTAGGACAGGTAAAATGGGGGAATTGTAAGGAGAGTTTATAGGCTTTAAAAGGCCATGCTGTAGCAGGCGAGTGATAACAGGCTTTAATCTTTTTAAAGCGTGCTGCGGGATGGGATATTGGCGTTGAGTGGGGTAAGGGTGATTAGGTTTTAATGAGATGGTAAGGGGTGCATGATTGGTCACCAAGGAGGGAGTAGAGGTATCTTATACTTGTGGGTTAAGGTGGGGGGGGCATACAACAGGAGGACGCAAAGGTGGCTTTGGATTGGGAAGAAGGGCGGCAATGAGATGTAGCTGTAGTCCAGGAATAGTCAGGGAAGCAGATAATTTAGTTAAAGTGTCTCAGCCTAATAACGGAACTGGGCAGGTGGGGATAACTAAAAAGGAGTGCTTAAAAGAGTATTGTCTAAATTGGCACCAGAGTTGGGGAGTTTTAAGAGGTTTAGAAGCCTGGCCGTCAATACCCACAACAGTTATGGAGGCAAGGGAAACGGGCCCTTGAAAAGAAGGTAATGTGGAGTGGGTAGCCTCCATATTGATTAAGAAGGGGATGGGCTTATCTTCCACTGTGAGAGTTACCCGAAGCTCGGCGTCCGTAATGGTCTAGGGGGCTTCCGAGGCGATCGGGCAGTGTCAGTCTTCAGCCGCTAAGCCGAGAAGATCTGCGAAGGAGTCAGTCAGAGAGCCTTGGGCCAGAGTTCCAGGGGCTGTGGGAGTGGCTGCCAGGTGAGTTGAACAGTCCGATTTTCACTGGGGTCCCACACAGATGGGACGCGGCTTAGGAGGAATCCCAGGCTGTGGGCATTCCTTGGCCCAGTGGCCAGATTTCCAGCATGTGTAGCAAGATCCTGTGGGAGGAGGTTCTGGAGGAACACCTGGCCACTGTGGTTCAGGTGTTTGGAAGTTCTTGTGTGCTGGAGATGTGGCTGGGGTTTGTCTCACAGTGGAGGCAAGGAATTGCAACTTTTTTCTATTATTGTACACCTTGAAGGCGAGGTTAATTAAATCCTGTTGTGGTGTTTGAGGGCCGGAATTTAATTTTTGGAGTTTTATTTAATGTCAGGAGCAGATTGGGTAATAAAATGTATTTTGAGAATAAGACAGCCTTTTGACATTTTAGGGTCTAGGGCTGTAAAGTGTCTCAGGGTTGCTGCCAAACGAGCCATGAACTGGGCTGGATTATTATATTTGATGAAAAAGAGTCTAAACGCTATCTGATTTGGGATAAAGAAAAAGGAGCATTAACCTTGACTATGCCTTTAGCTCCAGCCACCTTTTTAAGAGTAAATTGCTGGGCAGGAGGGGGAGTGCTAGTCACGGAACGAAACTGTAAGCCGGACCAGGTGTGAGGAGCGGAGGTGATAAAAAGATTACAGGGTGGAGGAGCGGAGGCTGAGGAAGAATTGGGACCTAGCTCAGCCTGGCAAGGAGCAGCCTGGGGAGGAAGGAAGAGGTCAGATGGGTCTGTAGAAAAGGAAGATTAGAAAGACTCAGCGACGTTTGGGGTTGGTACTGAGGGGACAGGCGGGAGAGAAAGAAGGAAGATTTGGGACGAATTGCACTGGGCACAGAGACTAGGAAGCGACTGATGTGTAAAAGAATGCCTGGATGTCAGGCAGCTCAGACCGTTTGCCTATTTTACGACAAGAATTATTGAGATCTTGCAGGATGGAAAAATTCAAAGTGCCATTTTCTGGCTATTTGGAACTACTGTCAAGTTTGTATTGGGGTCAAGCGGCATTGCAGAAGAAAATAAGGCATTTAGGTTTTAGGTCAGGTGTGAGTTGAAGAAGTTTTAAGTTTTTGAGAACACAGGCCAAGGGAGTAGAAGGAGGAATGGAGGGTGGAAGGTTGCCCATTGTGAAGGAAGCAAGCCTAGAGAAAAGAGAGAGTAGAGAAATGGAGGGAAGGGGTTTGGGGGTTCTTACCTTCCAGAAAAGTGGGAAAAGGGGTTGAGGCGCAGAGATAAGAGGTCGGGGCATGGAAATAAGGGATGGGGCACAGAAATAAGGGGTCGGGGCATGGAAAAAAGGGGTCAGGGCACGGAAATAAGGGAATGGGCATAGAGATAAGAGGTTGGGGCACAGAAATAAGGGATGGGGCACAGGGATATAAGGTGTTGGGGTGTGGAAATAAGGGATTGGGGTGCAGAGATACAAGGTTGGGGCACAGAAATAAGGGATTGGGGCACAGAGATAAGAGGTTGGGGTGCAGAAATAAGGGATTGGGGGTTCTTGCCCCATAGAAAAGTGGGACTTGCCGCTAAGGGTGAAGGAGAAGGGGTTGATGGGTACTTGCCCCTCTCCCAGAAAAGGGGAGAAGGGGTAGAGACAAGGAGAGAAGGGGTTGAGGTACTTGCCCCTAACCCAGAAAAGCAGGACTTGCCGCTAAGGGTGAAGGACCAAGGCAGGCGTCCCTGCGTGGTCTGACACCTTTGAAATGTGGGTGAATAATCAGAGAGGTGTCCCTGCAATGATTAAACACCAAGGGAAGTCTGCCTTCCCGTCCATGACCGGCGCCAGAGTTTTGGGTCCACGGATAAAATGTGTCTCCTTTGTCTCAGAAAATGAAAGGAATTGAAATTAAGAGAAGGGAGAGATTGAAGTGTGGTGCCAAGATTGAAAGGAGAAAGAGGTTGAGGGATAGTGAGGGAGGTTGCAGAAGAGAGTAAAAAGAGGCCGCTTACCGGATTTGAAATTGGTGAGATGTTTCTTGGGCTGGTCGGTCTGAGGACCTGAGGTCGTAGGTGGATCTTTCTCACGGAGCAAAGAACAGGAGGACGGGGGATTGATCTCCCAAGGGATGTCCCCCGATCCGAGTCACGGCACCAAATTTCATGCGCGTCCGTGTGAAGAGACCACCAAACAGGCTTTGTGTGAGCAACATGGCTGTTTATTTCACCTGAGTGCAGGCAGGCTGAGTCCAAAAAGAGAGTCAGCAAAGGGAGATAAGGGTGGGACCATTTTATAGGATTTGGGCAGGTAAAGGAAAATTGCAGTCAAAGGGGGTTTGTTCTCTGGCAGGCAGGAGTAGGGGTCGCAAGGTGCTCAGTGGGGGTGCTTTTTGAGCCAGGATGAGCCAGGAAAAGGACTTTCACAAGGTAATGTCATCACTTAAGGCAAGGACCAGCCATTTACACTTCTTTTGTGGTGGAATGTCATCAGTTAAGGTGGGGCAGGGCATATTCACTTCTTTTGTGATTCTTCAGTTACTTCAGGCCATCTGGGCTTATACATGCAAGTCACAGGGGATGCAATGGCCTGGCTTGGGCTCAGAGGCCTGACACTAGATATGGCAAGAAAGCAAAAAATTTTCAAGCAAATAAAAAATTAAACTCCGCTCAAGTCTCATGTTAGCCATGAAGCCTTTCCCATGAACTACTACCCCTTTTTAGACAGTTAGTCTGCTCCTTCACTGTATTTTCACCATGAGTTATAACACCTTTCACCCCTTACTCATGGAACTCACCCCACTCTCATGGAATGTTGGAATGTAGCTATAATTTGCATATCAATCTCACAGACATGAGGAGAATGGCTTACTCTTTTTTAAATCACAGCAATAAACACCACCACTAGATATAGCTGATGCTGAGCACTTGTTAAGAAATGAAATTATTAGGCAGAAAGCAAACAGCTTGTAATGCTAAAGGGACACCATAATGCAGAGTAGGATGACAGTGAGCTAGAGCTTGAGATGGGGAAGAGGGGCTGGCAATTGAACCAGTTACGAAAAGTTAAGTCTGATAGTTGCTGAGTTCTGGAAATACTTTAATGGAGAGCTGTGTAAGAATGGTTCAGGTTTGGAGAGTTAGAAAAGTATTACAGAAAACAGAATTCGTTAAAATGCAAGTGTGTTTTGAAAAAACTAAAGAGTATTAATGATCAATTCCATCAGTAGAGATTTGACAAATGTGATAGTTGATAGTATTTACTCTGTGGATCACACTAAACCCTAAAGAGGTCTACTCTGAAATGCTTTGATAAACTCAAATATGTCTCAGTGCTGTTTCACTGGAAAAATCAATTGCCAGTCCCACGTGGATGCTTCAGCATCCCTTGACAGCTATGATACTTTCCATTCATTACACAGCTCAAAGATAAGAATCTGTTCATCTGTTTTAGGGACATTGTCTTATACTTTGAAACCTAATGAACAGAAATTGAACCTAAGAAGAACTATTTATTTCAAGGAAATATTATAATTCTAACATGACTAAAGAGTCATCCTAATGCTGAGATAATTTCTGAGAGAATAACCTATTAATTTGATTATTTGGACTACAAATAAAAGAAACCAAATTCAAACTACTATGAATAAAAATAGAGAACATTGCATTTTATCAGTGGAGGTCCAGGGTGTGCCAGCCTATAGTCTCAGCTTAATCTAAATATTTACCCTCTTTTAAAACACACTGTCTTTCCCCTTTACCTGTTCTGCTTTGCTTTGTGTTTACTTTCAGCTAACAAAAGTTGCCTTGTAGCAGTTCTTGGTATTTTCTTGTTAACCTACTGTTAGCTTAAGCCAGTGTAGTAAGAGAGAGCATTATTTTTCTAGAAAAATCTAAGAAACTGTAGAATTAACCCTGATTGGCCCTGTTTGGGTACCATCAAATTTGTGAAATCATCATTACAGAACCAAAGAGTGACCAATTCATCTATGTGGATGGGAAGTAAGAGATTCTCCAAAAAGAAGAAATGGCTCCATAACACAGGAAATTTTTCTTGCCTGGGGTTAATGGTGGATTACAGATTCCATTTGTTTTAAAGAGATGAACTGTATAGAAAAAAACAGGGCTGTCTATTCCCATAAAATTTTAGCATTCAAAATATGTTTAAGACATGATTGCAGCTAATTCCTATTAACTTATTAACTGTGTTTTCCTGCCTTTCTATACAAACCTTCATATGTGACAGCACATCCCTGGACCCTGGGCCCTCTTGAACCCTCTTTTTGACTCTTGCCTTTATGGATTCAAAATGGCTTTGAATTGCCTACCCTGATATAAAATTCTATAAAAAGAAACACATTCTATTATTGAGGCTGTGAAAAAACATGCACTTCAACACATTGCTGGTGGGACTGCAAAGTGGTACAACTTTTGGCAGTAAATTTTGCAATCCTAACAAATACCTACACATCTACTTACTGTTTAACCAACAATCCCACTTCTAAGAATCTTCCCTGAAGATACCATTTAAAAATCCAAAAGTTCATATGCACTCATTCTCTGTAATTGCAAAATATTGGAAATAATATAAATGTTCATATATAGGAGATTGATGGAATTAACCTACAACATATCCACATAATGAAGTACTTCAAGGGTTTGAAAAAATAAATGAGGAAGACCTCTTTGAAGTTAAATGAAGTAATTTTTAGGATACAATTTTTAAGTGAACAAAAGCAAGGATATGTACACAGAATATCTCTCACAAGGTACTTATTTTAATTGCATAGGAAAAATAAAGTAACTTTATATTGGATAAACAGAGCAGACACCATGTTAACAATGAAATCACAGCTAATATTCTTAGAAATAAGACATATCTGTAATCTATATCTCCTGATATGCACTACAAAAAAAAAAGGCACAGTATCATTTCTGCGACCTTGCAAAACTTCGTAATGGCAATTTAATCTCAAGAAAACCTCAGATAGTGCTTGCCTAGAGTGACATCAGCAACATGGTAGAAATAGGAAGTTCCTGAATTCCTCCACGTATGGATGCACCAAAGAAACATCTATTCATAGATCCTTTTCCTCTGAGAGAAAGTCAGACCAGTTGAGAAATGCCTATGCACCAAGCAACTGAGAAAACATTCACATCAAAGGGGTAGGAAAAGCTTAGACATACTCAGGCACTATACAATCAAGAAAGGAATCTCCACTATCAGGCTTCTCCCTGTGGAGAGGAGAGTTTGGACTTCATATGCAGTGCCCTAACTCTAAGGTTCCCCATGATATGGCTCTTAATTAACAACGATAGGAGCAAGGGTCTTTCTAGACTGCGGGAAAGAAGGTGATAATTTAATATAGGAGCTCGAGGGCTTCCAGGGGCTTTACTTCCTGGGACCAGTACCAAAAAGTGGCTTAAAATATGCAGACTTCTGTCTCTCCCCACATCAGGCTTATGATATGCTCTTGTAGTGTCTACTTGGTGGCCTGGCTGCTAACTGTCTTGTATCAGGGATTTAAAGGAGTAGATAAATATTAGCCCAGTTGGCAGCCTGAGAGGCAGACTGACACTTCTCCAACTTGCTCCCATTGCTTGCCCCAGTAAGAATTCTAAGATTTATTAATCTCCCTCCTGGAAGGAGTTAGTTCATACATCTAGCACCCCAACTTTTAAAGCTTCCATTTGAGGGACTGTATCCTACGCCTCTTAGCTCTGGGAGCAGAGGGGACAAAGTGTATGCATGTCTATATAGGCCACAGAAAAAAGTGAGTTTTACACAGGCATGTAAGCACTCTAAGAGCCTTTGTGCCCTAGGAGCAGTTCAAAAATTGGGCTTTAAAAATCCATCTTCTTGTTTTTCCCTGGAAAACATTTATGACATGAATTGAGTATCACAACTTTTACAACTACCTTCTGAAGGACTTCATGCTAAACCTCCTAACTCTGGGAACAGAAGATAATAGGCATATGTGAGTTTCCCCAAATTACAGAACAAAGACATGGTTTTAAACAGTCAGATAAGCGTTATTAGTTGCTACATCCCCTTGGAACAGTGCAGAAAAGTCTGAAAGGGACTTATAGCACAAAATTCCAGTGGCTATTTGATGGCCTGGATGCTAACTAACTTGTATCAGAGAGGTAATTTGGCAAACAATAACCCTATAACAGCAGGAACCAAGCTTGGCATGTCCTTTCAGCCCACCACAGTGATAAATTCACACCTACCATTTTTCCTGGAAGGTGTTTGGCAGTACACTGAGTGCCACAGCTTCTATAGTTTCCACTCAAGGGACTGTCCTCTTAATGAATAAGCTCTGGGAGTCAATGGGGTTTTGCATTTTTGAGTGGCTCTAGACCAAAGAGTTTGATATACAACAGACTGTATTCTGGACAGTATCTCCCCAGGATCAAAAGGTGCAGCATGAAAGTGAGTACAGACATTTGCCACAGACCCTCTCTCTGGCTTAGTGCACAGGGAACTGAAGATAGACATCCGTACTCAGCTCCACTGTGAAGATAGAAGGAACTAGAACACAGCCAAGACTCCAACCTTATCACCTACATCTAAAGAAGCTAGATCCTACTTTTCTGATCTGAGATACTGATAGAACATGGTATATCCTAAGTTGGAGGGGGCCACCTAAAACAGAGACAGGAGTCTGAGCAAGCAAAAAGATTAGAGGGGCAACTTAAAATCTTTGACCAGATGGATTGGTGATATTCTTCTCCTACGTGAGCCCAAACTGAAAAGTCTAGGAGAGGTAGTTGCTACATTCAATATGTAGAAACGAACACAGAAAATCAAGGAAAATTAAACAATAGGGGAATATGTTCTGAGCAAAGGACAAGATAAATCTTTAGAAACTGACCCAAGTGAAGTGGACATATGTGATTCACCTGAGAGAAAATTCAAAATAATGATCATTAAAATGTCTATCAAGGTCAAGAGAGCAATGCAGAAACAAATAGAGAACTTCAGCAAAGATAGAAAGTATAAAAAAGTAGCAAAGAGAAATCATACTGAGGAATATAACTGATCTTAAAGTCCAATAGAGCAACAGCCAACTAGACTGAGGGAATAAAGTGTCAGTGAACTTGAAACAGGTAACTGGAAATCATCCAGTGTGACGAGCAAGAAAAAAAAAAGGAATGAAGGCAGCTTAAGAGACTTTTGAGACACCATCCAATAAAACAACTTACGCATTATTGGCATGCCAGAGGGAAAAGAGAGATAAGAGGACAAAAAAAACAAACACATTATACAGAGAAATAATGGCAGAAAGTTTCCAAGCCTGGGTAAGGAAACAGAAAGCCAGCTACAAGAACCCCAAATACACCAATAAAATGAACCAAAAAGATCCACACAAAGATATACTATAATCAAATTACTAAAAATTAGACTAAGTTGAAAGCAGCCAGGAGAAAATGAATTATCACATATAACGGAATGTCCATAAGACTATCAAAGGATTTTTCAGCAGAAACCTTGAAGGCCAAAAGGTAGTAGAATAGTAAATTCAACATCCTGAAATTAAAAAAAAAAAAATCAGAAGTATCATACCAAGCATTCTTGTGTTTCAATAATAAATGGGTAATAAAGACTTTCTTAGACAAACAAAAGCTGAGACAGTTTACCACCACTAGGCCAGCCCTACACAAAATGTTAAAGGTTGCTTTTCAGGTTGAAGGAAGAGGACATTAGTTGTAACATGAAAACATATAAAAGTATAAGACTCACTGGTAAAGCAAGTACATTGTCAAATCCAGAACATTCTAATACTATAAAAGAAGTAGGTAAATCAGTTATATTTCTAGAATAAGAGTTAAAGGAAAAACTATTAAAAACAATTAAAGCTACAATAACTTGTTAAGAGATGTAAATTACAAAAAGATGTAAAATGTGACATCAAAACCACAAAATGTGGGAGGAGGAGGAGTAAAAGTGTACAGTTTGTATATGCAATTAAAATTATCAACTTAAAATAGTCTACTGTAATATAAAATATTTTATATAAGTCTTAAGGCAACCACACAATGAAAGCCTATAATAGATACACAAAAGATAAAAAGAAAATATTTAAAGCATACCACTAGGAGCCGTCAAATCACAAAGAAAGAAAACAAGAGAGGAGGAAAGGAACCAAAAATTTATAAAACTGTCAGAAAACAATTAAAAATAGCATCAGTAAGTTCCTTACCTATCAGTAATTACTTTAAATGTAAATGGAATAAATTCTTCTGTCAAAAAACATAGAATGGCCAAAATGAACATATATACAAACTCATACAAACTGTCACATGCATCCTTATGAAGAGACCACCAAACAGGCTTTGTGTGCGCAATAAAGCTTTTTAATCACCTGGGTGCAGGCGTACTGAGTCCCAAAAAGGAGTCAGCAAAGGGAGATAGGGGTGGGGCAGTTTTATAGGATTTGGGTAGGTAGTGGAAAAGTACAGTTAAAGGTGGTTATCTCTTTTGGGCAGGGGCAGGGGTCACAAGGTGCAGGGTGGGAAGATCATGAGACTCATTGTCCAGGTGGGGAATGTCACAAGGTCAAATGATTAGTTAGAGTGGGGCAGGAACAAATCACAATGGTGGAATGCCATCTTTTGTGGTTCTTCAGTTGCTCCAGGCCATCTGGATGTATACATGCAGGTCACAGGGGTTATGATGGCTTAGCTTGGGCTCAGAGACCTGACATTCCTGTCTTTTTATATTAATAAGAAAAACAAAAAATAGTGGTGGAGTGTTGGGGCGTTGAAAATTTTTGGAGGTGGTATAGAGAGATAATGGGCAATGTTTCTCAGGGCTGCTTCGAGCGGGATTAGGGGCGGCGTGGGAACCTACAGTGGGAGAGATTAAACAGAAGGAAGGTTTTGTGGTAAGGGGTGATATGGTGGGGCTGTTAGAAGGAGTATTTGTCATATAGAATGATTGGTGATGGCCTGGATGCGGTTTTGTATGAATTGAGAAACTAAATGGAAGGCACAAGGTCCAAATAAGAGAAGGAGAAAAACAGGTAGTAGAGGACTAAGAATTGGGAGGAGCCGGGAAATCCAATTAGAAAGTGCCCAGGGAGGTTTAGCATAATTATTTGCCTGGTTGGCAAGTTTTTGGGCTCTATCGTTGAGTTTTTTATGTTGTCATATACCAGGCAAGATTGACTTAGGTAAAAACAACACTCTTCATTTAAAAATATATACAGTCCTCCTTTTTCAGCAGCGAGTAAGTTGAGGCCTATTCCTGTCATCTTATATTAATAAGAAAAATAAGACAAAATAGTGATGAAGTATTGGTGTCATGAGGGGAACAGAAAGCTGTTTGGTCCTATTTGCAAACAGATTTTTGGGAGTAAGGAAAACTAGTGTTCATGTGCCTGTCCAATTCATACGCAGACACATGTAGGTGGAGGAGCCACGGAGGAAGAAGAGACCTTTGTCAGGCAAAACTGCTCCTTCTAACAACCCCACAATATCACCCCTTACCACAAAATTTTCCTTCAGTTTAATCTCTCCCACTCTATGTTCCCACGCCGCCCCTAATCCTGCTCAAAGCAGCCCTGAGAAACATCACCCATTATCTCTCTATACCACTCCCAAAAATTTTCGGCGCCCCAACACTTCACCACTATTTTGTTTTGTTTTTCTTATTAATATAAGAAGACAGAAATGTCAGGCCTCTGAGCCCAAGCTAAGCCATCATAACCCCTGTGACCTGCATGTATACATCCAGATGGCCTGGAGCAACTGAAGAACCACAAAAGATGACATTCCACCATTCTGATTTGTTCCTGCCCCACTCTAACTAATCAATCGACCTTGTGACATTCCCCACCTGGACAATGAGTCTCATGATCTTCCCACCCTGCACCTTGTGACCCCTGCCTGCAAGAGATAACCACCTTTAACTGTACTTTTCCACTACCTACTCAAATCCTATAAAACTGCCCCACCCCATCTCACTTTGCTCACTCTCTTTTCAGACTCAGCCCACTTTCACCCAAGTGAAATAAACAGCCTTCTTGCTCACACAAAGCCTGTTGCTGGTCTCTTCACACAGACTCCCATGACACAAACACACACAGACCCAAGTATATTCTGCCTACAAAAGACTCACTTAACCTTAGAGGATAGTGATAGACTGAAAGTGAAGGGTTGGAAAAAATATATTTTATGCAAATGGATACAAAAAGAGAGCAAATGTAGCTCTGCTTCTTTCAAATAAAATAAACTTTAGGGCAAAAATGCAAAATAAAGGTCATTATATGGTGACAAAGAAGTCAATCCATCAAGAGGACATAATAATTGTAAATATATATATGTGTGTATATATACACACACATATATACACACACACATATATATACACACACACACACCCCAACATCATAGCATCTTTATATATTTATAAATATATAAAGCAAACATTAAAAGATCTGAAGGGAGACATAGACTGACTGGAACACAATTATAATTGGGGATTTCAATACCTCATTTTCAATACAGAACAGGTCATCCAGACAGAAAACCAATAAGGAAATATTGAACTTGAAACACACTTTAGATCAAATGGACCTACACAGGCGTACCAAACATTGTACTAACAACAGAAAACAGATTTTCCTCAAGTACATATAAACACACTTTCCTCAAGTACATATAAAACATTCTCAAGAATATTTAGACCACAAAACAAGTCTTAACAATTTTAAGAAGATTGAAATCATATATTTCACGTATCTTTTCTAAGACTATATGAAACTAGAAACTAATAAGTGAATAAATTATGGGAAACTAACAAATAAGTAAAAATTAAGTGATATGCTTAATATTTAACAACTATTGGGTCAAAGAAGAAATTAAAGGAGAAAATGTCTGAAGACAAATGAAAATACAAACTGCCAAAACAGAATTCATCAAAAACAGTTCTAAGTGGATAGTTCATAGCAATAAATACACCAAAAAAGAAGAACAACCTCAAATAAGTGGACAACTTTAGACTACACCTCAAGGAACTTTAAAAATGAGCCCAAAATTAATAGAATGAGGAAAATAACAAATAACAGAGCAGAAAATGTGGAAATAAAGACTAGAAAAACAATAGAAAAGATCAACAGAAATTAGAATTGTTTTTTTGAAAAGCTAAGCACAATTGTCAAACCCTTAGCGAGACTAAGAAAAAAAGAGAAAAAAAAATTCAAATAAAATAAAATATGAAAAATGAGATGTTACAACTGATAATACACAAATACTAACGATTATAACAGACACTGTGGAAAAAATGGACAACTTAAAAGAAATAGATAAATTTCTAAAAACATATAACTTACCTAGAGTGAACAAAGAATAAATTGGAAATCTGAACAGACCAATAATGAGTAAGCAAGTTGAATTAGTAATTTAAAATCTTACATCAAAGAAAAGCTTAGGGTTTCACAGATGAATTCTACAAAAAACTTATAAAAGAACTAATATCAATCCATTTCAAGTTCCTTCAAAAATTGAAGAAGTGGAAATACTTCCAAACTTATGAGGCCAGTATCACCTTGACACCAAAATCAGACAAGAACACTATAAGAAAACTACTGACCAATATCACTGATGAATATAGATGCAAATATCAACATAATACTAGAAAATCATATTCAACAGTATATTAAAAAGTTTAATCATCATGATGTTTTGGGATATATCCCAGGAATGCAAGGTTGATTCAACACATGCAAATCAGTACATATGCTTCGCTATATTAACAGAAAGAAGGGAAAAAAAAAAAAAAGAAAAACAAAACAAAACATGGTCCCAATAGATGCAGAAAAACCATTTGACAAAATTCAACACCACTCATGATTAAAACTCTCAAAAAATCAGGCATGGTAAGAATGTTGTGTTAGGGTTCTCTAGAGGGACACAACTAATAGGATTGATGTATAGATAGAGGCAAATTTATTAAAGAGTCCTCAAAATGTCTGATCATTTCCCTTTCCTCAATGCACAGTTACCCTGGTAAAAGGCCAGAGGTCTCCTTGGGTAAAGATAGGAGAAAGATTAACAGCATATATTGTTGGTAGTATAGTGGAGGCTTCCTCAAGGGGAACTGGTCTCCTCTTCATTCAAAGGGTTCTGTGTCTGTAAACTGGTTAAAATCTGAAAACTGATTGAAGGGTCATGATTCTCTGTGTTGTTGTTGTTGTTGTTGTTGTTGTTGTTTTGAGATGGAGTTTTATTCTTGTTGCCCAGGCTGGAGTGCAGTGGTGCGATCTCAGCTCACCGCAACCTCCGCCTCCCGGATTCAAGCGATTCTCCTGCCTCAACCTCCCGAGTAGCTGGGATTACAGGTGCCCACCACCACACCTGGCTAATTTTTTGTATTTTTAGTAGAGACAGGATTTCACCATGTTGGGCAGGCTGGTCTCGAACTGCTGACCTCAGGTGATCTGCTGGCCTCGGCCTCCAAAACTGCTGGGATTACAGATGTGAGCCTCTGCGCCCAGGGATTCTCAGTTTTTATAATTTAAATTAGTCTTTTGTCCACTAGAGCTGGAGGCCTTCTGCTTACATAAATTAAGAATGATGTAGGCTTCCTAACATCTTCACTTCTAGAAATTCTGTGATTCATTAGCCAGTGCCAGAGCTCTACATGAGTCACACTATTCTGATTGCCTCTTTGCCTCTGCTGTTCATTAGGGTAGCTACACCCACCTTACTTTTGATTGTTGAGTGCCACCACTTGGCCCCTGCCACCTCGGGATCCCATTGCATTTAAATTTTGTAGTTGGGTGACTGCAGTTCCTACTGTAAGATCTGGCATACAGAGAAGAGCAATCACAGAACTCTTCAAGGATGCAGGTGCTGCCCTCACAAATCTATTTCACAAAGTACTGGTCAAGGGTATATCTTCTGGACTCTCCCAGCTGGGATAAGTAGGTCTAAAGTGACTAATCCACTCTACCATCCCAATTTCCCTAAGCCTTTGCATCCCCTCCTCTACATTAAACCAAGGGAGATCAGGCATTTCCAGCTCGTTCACAGTGGGCCATCTTTTAATTCGTATTTCAGCTAATCAAGCAAATAAAGGTTCTATTAGAACTTTTTAAGCTCTATTAATAATTAAAGAAATTATTAAAACTTAATTTCTTTAATATAAGTGAATGAAAGATGAATTCCTATCACTTGCAAGTAAGTGTCTTGGGAGTGATGAGTATAATCAATGTTATTTTTAAAAAATAGTAAATATTTGGACATGCTCTATTATATAGTAAATGTCCCTATAAAGCTACCCTCATGAAAATACTGTAATTCTTTCAATACAAAATTTTTAGAAAGATCCAGAAGACATAAAAATAAAAATAAAATGTATTTGTTAGACACAGCGGCTCACACATGTAATCCCAGCACTTTGGGAAGCTGAGGCAGGAGGGTTGATTGAGCACAAGATTTTGAGATTTTGAAGTTGCAGTGAGCTATAATTGCACCACTGCACTCCAGCCTGTCAGAGTGCAAGAGTCAGTCCCTAAATATATAGAGAGATGTATCTATATCTATTTACATATCATACATATATATGATTTATAAAATTAATACAGCAACAATTCATAAGTCAAGTAGTATAATTAGTAAGTCTCCTGGAAAAAATATATAATTCACACCTTAAGTCACAAGTACAAAAAATAAATTAATAAATGTTTGATTATTAAATATAAAAATTAATGCTTAATTTTTAAAACGAACTCATAAAAGTTCTAAAGGAAAAATATAAGTGACTACTCATAGGATCTTCACATAAAATAAGACCTTCTAATAACATTTCAAAAATCAGAGACTCTAAAATAAAGATAGGTAGATATTATTATATTAAAATATTAAAATAATACAACTGTTTTAATTTTATATGAAACAAAATACTGTAAACCTTTTTTAAACCCAACGCATTTGACCAAGAGTTGCAGCAATGAAATACACATAGGGCTAATATTCTAATTAAGAAATATCCCTTAATTACATAAATAATAGATTCTAATGATTACATTTCTAAAACAAAATACATATACACATCCCTCTGATAACAATAGACTCAGGTATAGTAATGTTCCTATACTGTAAAGATGGGATAAAAAATTGAGGATAATATGGTAAACTTCATCTAAAGTCTTAAATACATATCAATAAAATCATGTAAATGTTTGTGAAGATTTATTTACAATATAAGCAACATTGTACTATTTGTAATACAGACAACCAAAAACAAGTGGAATGTCCTAATGCCAGGAAAATGGTAAATTAGTGTTGGTGCACATCAAGCAAACAAACGAAAGAAGGAATATCATGCAACCAATAAACTGGAGACTTGAGGAAAATACTTGATGACTTGTATAATTGTTCACAATATAGTAAATAAAATGAATATATATCTGTATATGTAAAGAGTACTATTTTTATACATATAAAGACCATATAACATATTCATATAGATTTTTTAAATGATTTATATATACACATAAAACGAATACATTTAAATTTTCTACTTAGAGACTATATATATAATTATTATTTTTTAAATGATTTATATATACACATAAAACGAATACATTTAAATTTTCTACTTATAGACTATATATATAATTATTCACACATAAAACAAGATCTATACAAATATATACACATGGATATTGATTTAGTTTGGATGTGTGTCCTAGCCCAAACTTCATGTTGAAATGTAATTCCCAGTGTTTAAAGCAGTACCTGGTGGGAAGTGCTTGTCTGGATCAGGGGGTTGGATTTCTCATGAATGGCTTAGCACCAATCCCGTGGTGCTAATGCTGTCCTCATGAGAGCGAGTGCATTCATGTGAGATCTAGCCATTTAAATACGTGTGGCACCTCTCACCCCTCTCTTGCTCCTGCTTTTGCCATGTGATGTACCTGCTCCCCCTTTGCCTGCCACCATGATTGTAAGTTTCCTGAGGCGTCTAGAAAAGCAGAAGCCACTAAGCTTCCTGTACAGCCTGCAGAACTGTAAGCCAATTAAACCTTTTTTCTTATAAATTGCCCAGTGTCAGGTGCATATATATATATATATATATATATATATATATACACACACATATATATATATATATACATATATATATATATATACATGTATATATATATTATTTTGTTTTAAGTTCCAGGATACATGTGCAGGATGTGCAGTTTTGTTACATAGTTAAACGTGTGCCATGGTGGTTTGCTGCACCTATCAATCCATCACTTAGGTATTAAGCCCCACATGCATTAGCTATTTATTCTGATGTGCTCCCTCCCTCCACCCACCAAACAGGCCCCAATATGTGTTGTTCCCCTCCCTGTGTCCACGTATTCTCATAGTTCAGCACCCGCTTATAAATGAGAACATGCAGTGTTGGGTTTTCTGTTCCCGTGTTAGTTTGCTGAGGATAATGGCTTCCAGCTTCATCCAAGTCCCTGCAAAGACATAATCTTGTACCTTTTTATGGCTGCATAGTATTTCATTGTGTATATGTACCACATTTTCTTTATCCAGTCTATCACTGATGGGCATTTGGATTGATTCCACATCTTTACTATTGTGAGTAGTGCTGCAATGAACATACGTATGCGTGTGTCTTTATAATAGAATAATTTATATTTCTTTGAGTATATGCCCAGTAATGGGATCACTGGATCAAATGGTATGTCTGGTTCTAGGTCTTTGAGGAATTACCACACTGTCTTCCACAATGGTTGAACTAACTTACATTCCCACCAACAGTGTAAAAGCACTCCTATTTCTCCACAGCCTCACCAGCATCTGTTGTTTCTTGAATTTTTAATAATCACCATTCTGACTGTTGTGAGATGGTATCTCATCATGATTTTGATTTTAATTTCTCTAATGGTCAGTTGTGTTAAGCTTTCTTCATATGTTTGTTGGCTGCACAAATGTCTTCTTTTGAGAAGTGTCTGTTCATGTCCTTTGCCCAATTTTTGGTAGGGTTGTTTGTTTTTTTCTGTAAATTTGTTTAAGTTCCTTGGAGATTCTGGATATTAGACCTTTGTCAGATGGATAGATTGCAAAAATTTTCTCCATTCTGCAGGTTATCTGTTCACTCTGATGATAATTTCTTTTGCTGTAGAGAAGTTCTTTAATTAGATCTCATTTGTCAATTGTTGCTTTTGTTGCAATTGCTTCTGATGTTTTTATCATGAATTCTTTTCCCATGCTTGTGTCCTGAATAGTATTGCCTAGATTTTCTTCTAGGGTTTTCATAGTTTGGAGTTTTACATTTAAGTCTTTAACACATCTTGAGTTAATTTTGGCATCCTGTAAAACAATAGACAAGCAGAGAGCCAAATCAAACTTCCATTCACAATTGCTGCAAAGGGAATAAAATACCTAGGGATGCAGCTAACAAGGGATGTGAAGGACCTCTTCAAGAACTACAAACCATTGCTCAAGGAAATTAGAGAGGACACAAACAAATGGAAAAATATTCCATGCTTGTGGATAGGGAGAATCAATATCGTAAAAATGGCCATACTGCCCAAAGTAATTTATAGATTCAATGTTATTCCCATCAAACTACCATTGACATTCTTCACAAAATTAGAAAAAATTACCTTAAAACACATATGGAACCAAAAAAGAGCCCATATAGCCAAGACAATCCCAGCAAAAAGAACAAAGTTGGAGGCATCATGTTACCCAACTTCAAACTATATTACAAGACTACAGAAACCAAAACAGCATGGTACTGGTACCAAAACAGACACATAGACCAATGGAACAGAATATAGACCTCAGAAATAAGGCACATGTCTACAACCATCCGATCTTCTACAAACTTGACCAAAAAAAGCAATGGGGAGAGGATTCCCTATTTAATCAATGGAGCTTGGAAAATTGGCTAGCTATATGCAGAAAATTGAAACTGGACCCCTTCCTTACACCTTATATAGTCTCAGGTATTTCTTTCTTTCTTTTTTTTTTTTTTTTTTTTTGAGATGGAGTCTTTCTGTGTCACCCAGGCTGGAGTGCAGTGGTGCGCGATCTCAGCTCACTGCAAGCTCCACCTCCCGGGTTCAAGCCATTCTCCTGCCTCAGCATCCTGAGGAGCTGGGACTACAGGCACCTACTACCACGCCTGGCTAATTCTTTTGTATTATTAGTTGAGACGGGGTTTCACTGTGTTAGCCAGGATGGTCTTGATCTCCTGACCTCGTGATATGCCCGCCTCGGCCTCCCAAAGTGCTGGGATTACAGGCATGAGCCACCACGCCTAGACTCAAGTATTTCTTTATAGCAATACAGAAATGGACTAATACACATAGTTATACAATTATATACACACACACACATATATACACATAAATACATGTATATATACACAAGAATGTTTATCATAGATAAAATAGTATGTTTATATATGGATATACATATGTATACTGTGTGTGTGTATATATATATATATTATTTATTTGTATCTGTAAGAGAGAACCATTATATTTCACTTACCATATTGAACAATTACATGTGCATTTGTAGTGGTGAAATTTTAAATGAGTTTTCTTTTATTTCTTGTACTATTTTGTACTCTTCAATAGATTCTAAATTTTATATAATGGTTTTGAAATGTCCTGCAATGTTCCTAATTTTGTAATTTTAGATTGGTCGAGAAACTGAATATGAACAACTCTAGATTTTCCACTTTACTGTAGTTGGCTAGCTCTTTTAATAGTTATTGTGTAAATGAAACTATTACTTTTTGAATGCTTCTACAGAAGAACAGCAAGTGCTTTTTTAAAAAAACCATATCTCCTTTTCACATTTTAAAGTGTCAAATTTTCACCGCATAAAAGATGCTCGTCACATGGAAGATAGGTTTTCCCCTGTGATTTCTCATGACTGCCCCTCTGCCTCTTTATTTTTTACCATGCTGACTCATCATTCCTCCTAGTTCAATGCCTCAATCAGACTCTCGTTCTGATTGGCTTTATTCATCTTTTTGCTTCCTTTGACCTTCAGGTTCGCTTGTTCATTTCATACTACTCTCCCTATCTTTACACTTTGGTGATAAGCAATATTAGCCAAACCAAGCTACTCTTAGCTTTTTGCAAGGAGCAGGCTAACCAGAACATTTTAAAAATTGAAAGTATATTTCAAATACTTGCTTTAATAACATTACAAAAATAATATGTGTTTTTACTTCTCTACTTTAGTTATATCAGTTATGCTATAAAAATATTTATCAAAAGATTTTCAAACTAGCTAAAATTGTACACCTTTTTGAATAGATGATGATACTATTCCTTCAAAAAGAGATTATTTTATGACACTGGTCCCTGATGCTAATTTATCCAGAGATTTTATAAAGCACACTAATATACAAGAGGATATAGAAAATGTCTTAAAAGAGATTTTGCATGGGCAGTTTTTAGTTTATAGGGTTTGAAGAAGAAAACCTGTTGTATATTATTAGTTAATTTACCAAAATTTACAAAGACATCTAATACATTGGCCATATTCAAGATTTCTGGATTCTGAATTAAAATATAGCAATTAAAGTAGCTATTTATGTACTTAAAACTCTCTTAACTATTATCCCCGGAAGCTGTGAATGCTATTCACAGCCACTCTAATTTTTAAATTTCCTTTGAAAAATCAAAGCACCTAGATATGCTAAAGGTATGAAACCTGGAATATCAAAACAAGATTGAGAATAGAAATGGCAACCCTTAAAACAATTCCAAACTCTTTGTGATTTAGGTGCCAATAAAGTTTTGTTAGAGTTTCCTAGGGTAGCTTCTCGTTTTGTTTTAGATAAAACTCTTAAACATATGAATGGAGATGTTATTTCTGTAACCTTACTATCCAAGATCTAGGGAAAAGAATTTCAAGATAATTTTGGCCATCTCTCTACTCATTATTTTTCAAGACTACAGCCTCTTATGTTTCATTATAGATTAAAATGATCCAATGATTGCGTAGGGCAATTAAGAATGATAATATATGACAGACATGTGAGCCAGAGTAATTTGCTATAAAAACAAAAGTTACAGTGACCTTTTTTCCAAAGCTTTAGTTTATCTCAATTGAATAACTTCTCCTATGTTCTGAAATAGGAAACTTGTCATTATATCAAAGGTAAATTACTTGAACCTACTCATAAGGCACCAAGTAAAATTGAAGCTGCATAAGAAAACAGGACCTTTCTTGTTGCCCTCTTCTCTTCTGTTCACACAGTATCTCCATCCCTTAACACTTTTTTACCAGGGTTGCTGTAATTGTCTTATAACAGATCACTATTCTTTCCAGATTCTCCTAACTCCCACTTCCATTAACATCTTCTTCAAATGGCTGCAGCTATTTTTACTAAAATGTGCACCGGATTACCCTCTCATTTAATGATTTTCAGTCACTTCCAAACCCTTAGCATGGCCCCTCCAATCTACCCAGGCGTATGTGTGTCCATACATTGTATACTTCGGTTAGCCAGAATAATATGTCCTGCTGTCATTTGCCTTTGTGTTTTGGCATTTTGTCAGGAATAGCGCTCTTTCTTCTCCATCTATATAATTCCAACTCATTTTTCAAGACTCAGTACACGTCAAGATAGGATTCAGGTCACCCATATTCGATGCTTCTCCTTGGGGTGCTTATCCTTGTGGGAAGATGGTGCATGCCCAGCCTGCTTGACTAAATTGAAACTGTGACTTGCTTTGCCTAATTACATGAAGGCAGACTTGGCGAGAACTTATAGAGTCAGAATAAACATAATACTCCATGATCCTTTTCTTATACCATGAGATGGAGGACAATGCAGATAGTGGCTATTCCATCAGTTTGTGTACCCAAGTGAAGATGATACAGACCAGGATAATAACTGACCTGCAATAGACAGGTAGCGCAGAAGCCACTGAGAGATTTTTTCAGTGCTCTGTTGCTACAGCATTAACTAAACTGTCATAACTGGTACATTATATATTTCTACATTGTAGTTGATCACTTTATTGTTGTTTTTCATTATGTCTCTCCCACTGGCCTTTGGAGTCTGAAGAAAGAAACTGCAATTTTCAACTCTTTTTTTTTTAATAGCAAGTAGTACAATGCATCAATCATTAAAGGAAGGAAATAAATGTTGATAGAAGAAATGAGAATAAAGGTTTGTTGTAAAAATTTAAGTCAACTCTTCTAGCAACTCTAGGATGCAGATAAAAGCGTAAATATTTTTTCACTTAAGCAATAAATCAGCATTTTGTTTCTCTGCAATGAGTTTGTTTAGATTTAATAGAGACTAGGTAGACAGACTTAAGCACATGCATTTGTTTTCATTTCTTCAACAACCACTTTTTGGTGTCTATCATTTGCCAAGCACATGGTAGGCATTGTTGTAGATGGATAGAAACCCTGCACTCAAGGAGTGCATTTTGCAGGGCTAGGAGAAAAAATGGGCTAGTGTAATGAGCATTTAACATAGAATATGATAACTACAATGAAGAAAATCATCAAAAGAACATTCAAGAGTTAGTATGACTTATTCAGGTACAAAGAGCAGGTCAGGCATTTTAGTTAGAGGAAGCAGCAGGCATAAAGGCCCAGAATCAAGGGAAAGCAGAGACTATGAAGTAGAGCATGCAACTGATGAGTAAGATGTGAGGCGTGAGTGGTCAGCATGGGGCTGGAGTAGTAATCAGACCACATCACTGGGCACTAGTGTACCACATCACTAGGCACCAGTGTGCCACATCCAGTGCATTCATCACAAACACACTGAGGAAAGCACTGAAAATTTTTCATTAGAGAAGTCACAAGACCAAATTTGTGATATAGAAGTTGCATTCTATGGGTATGTGGAGAATAGATGGAAATGGTTAGGACGGAGAAACTAAAGACATGAACAAGATTTTAAAAGGCCGCCTTGTGTTAAAAAAAAAAAAAAAAAAAGGGTGAGCTGGGACAAGCATATCTTCTTTCTCATGAATTTCGGAAGTGGAAAGAAACTTTCAGCTACAGTTGAAGCAGATGATGTGAGGTGGTGATGGTAATCAAATTTACCAGGAGACAAACTCAATGAAGGGTAGAGACAAATATACATCTGCTGGAGTGACTGATAATGGCTGAGGGAAAATGGGTGATTCATGTCTTTTGTAGGACACTTGCACACTTGCCCCTTGATGAGTCTTTCCTCCACCTCCTGCTTGCATGAACTCCATCTCGAGCATGGCTTCTTCACTCCTTCAAGCAACATGCCTGTCTTCTACATCACTTCCTATGTCTTTAAAATAATCCATCCATTCTGAGACATAAGATTGTTTCTGCTCTTTATTAAAAAAGACCTTAAAACAGATGGTACATTGATAGCAATATGTAATCAATAACTCACATAAACTTCGTACAAGCAGTCATTTCAAGAGGAAGCAATTATACAGGAGGAATGGGAAGACAGGATATAGAGCTTGACAGAAAGGGTGAGAAGACCTTAAAGGAGAAGAATTTTTTAAAAAAAATTTACATGTTCTAAAACAAATATATTCTTCTGCTACTGAGAAATCAATCAATATGTCCCTGTATTTTAATATAGCAAAGTAATTCAAACAGCGCATTTGAAAAAGCACCTTGGGATATTTCCAGATAAGAGATGTTGTCATAATATAAAAGGCTATTTTTCACTCTTTGGTATTACATATTTCTCTTTTTATAAGTTTGTCTGCTTCAGGGTAATAACATTTTGTTACATGTGGCAGAGTGTTTTGATGTGTATCAAGATTCCTGTTTACCACTTTATCTTCTTTGAGACCCATTTTATCCCATTGCACACAGCTATTTGGGGCCTGAGGGAAAAGGGATCTTGGGTGACAGAATGACAAATTGAAATATTTGACAATCTTCTTGCAGTTTTTGGTCCCACTGGGATCTGATGTGAGTAAAATTGTGATGATCCAATTTATGGCACAGTAAACTACATTGGCAGAACAGCCTTAGGTCACTTGGGAAGAGTAGTTGCAAATCAGTGACACATTAGAATTTTTTTAAATATTTACTATAATAACATGGCTTGAAGGATTTATAAAGGCATGAAGGGTAAAAGGTGGGGATTCTTTCTGCAAAGCTTTATGATCTAGGTTTTGTTGTGTGCAGTCACAGTGGCTGTTTCCCCCAAAGGACAGTGTGGTCCAGAGATTAAGCACTAACATAGAAATAAGAACATACGTTCACACATTGGTCTCACCATTTGTCCTTCATTTCTTTATCTTTTAAAGAAGCATAGCCCCTCTTTTCTATTTTGGAAAGTGTTATGACTATGACTGAAGCAAATACACCTAATACTTAGAGTTAGTAAATGGAAGGTTGTTGTTATAAGCGTGCAAAGATCTGAATTAAGAGGGCACCATTTCTTGCAGGTATATTTGACAGGATATGCAAGACCTAAATTACGAAATACTTATTTGAAGTACTTGCTGTTACTTCAAGTGAGCACTTGTCAACAAAATGTTTTTAATAATAAATAAAAATATAAAAACTGAATCTGTATACTAATTATTGAGTATTTAGATATCCTAAAAAGGGACATATGTATAGATATGTATGTACCTAATTGAAATGATAAATAGGATATTTTAATCAGTGCTGTATTGATTTTAATGGATCATTTTATTATAAATCCTGGAAAATATTTGTAGACCTAAGTTAGAACTGTCATAGGAGGTACTCGAAAAGGATACTGCCCGCATTTGACTGTCACACTTTTTAGAATGATTATTCTTTTAATACCTTTAGCAAAAGGACTGTGAGCATCCTCGTCCCATTGGAGGAGGATGTCTGTCTTTGAATCTAGGGCACATACATTGCAAGCTCTATTGTTTTTACCATGCCTTAAGTGAAATAGCGTTCAAACAACCCAAGAAGATTCTTGGTTTAAAATTTTATAAACTTAGAATACCATGTTACTATGTCTATTTTGTGGTTTGTTCTAAAACCTGTGCTGTCCTATAGGGTGGTTTGTTCTAGGATCTGTACTGTCCAATACAGTGATCACTAGCTGATGTTGCTGTTGAGGACTTGAAATGAGACTGGTGCATCTGAGGAACAACTGAATTTTTTATTTTGATTAAGTTTTCATACTAAGGCAATGTGTGATTATTAATTTTATGTGTCAACTTGGC
Source organism: Homo sapiens (assembly GCF_000001405.40). NCBI lineage: Eukaryota > Metazoa > Chordata > Mammalia > Primates > Hominidae > Homo > Homo sapiens. Next base: position 166,695,568 of record NC_000004.12, on the reverse strand, counting down.
TGAATTAAGAAATACCTGGAAAACTGAGAAAGCACTATTTTTGGGTGTGTCTCTGTGATAGTGTTTGCAGAGGGGATGAGCAAGTGAGTCTGGAGAGGACTAGTTGGGAAGATAAATCCTAAAGGTGTACAGGTTCCGTCGAATTTGCTGGTGATCTGCAGAGAAAAAAAAGAAACAGAGGTGAAAAACACAAAGGTGAATGTGTTGATCTATTTGCTTAAACTGCTCAGCCTATGCATTCCAGGACACACACCAGCAGGCACCTGGGTTGTCAGGTCTTTGGCCTCAGACTGAGACAGTTACATCAGCTTCCCTGGTTCTCTGGACTTGAACTGAGCCAACTACCAGTATCTAGGGTCTCCAGTTTGCAGACTGTCATGGGACTTCCAAGCCTCTATAAATTCATGAGCCAATCTCCCTAATAAATCTCCTCTCATATATATTATATATTATAAATATATGGCTCCTATATATATGAAATATATATAGCTACTATACATAAGAGAGAGAGATATATATAGCTCCTATAAATAGGATATATATACACCTTCTATACACATTTTATATATATATATATATATATATATATATATATATCCATTGATCTTATCTTTCCTGAAAACCATAACTAGTATATTGTAAAAAAAATTTCTCTGTTAAACATAATTTTATTGTTTTCCTGGACTGTATCTCATTTTAAACTTGCATTGCATAAACATTTTTGGTGCATTGTAGCATGTTTAGGACATATATCATTTCTAGTACTATACTTAGGAAACACATAGATTCAGCTTGTATAATTAATTGGTGCAGGAAGCTATTTTGTTTTAAACAAACTAGTGATTCTGATGCAAAGATCAAATGAAGATGTAAAAGCTAGAACTGTTACCAGAAAAGTTGAGAGAGAGAAAGAAAACTTTGCACATTTCAGGATTAAAGACAATTATAACCTGGTGCAGTAGAGCAAAATAGAAGATCTGTGTGTTGTGTGAAACAAATAGGTTAAATTTGACAAAAGGGAAAATATTAAAAGACATTTTTGGCAATAGATAAAAATTTGGTGAAGGATTTTCTCCCAACGTTCAAAAACTATTAACAAACTAGTTGTCTAAAATCAGAATAAAGTGAGCAACAAAAAATATTGATGATTTAAAACTATAGGTTATCAGCTTGTAACTTTGGCCAGCTAAAACATGGCTGAGTTGTTGCACAAAAATCCACCGCATTTTTAGGTGAAGATATGGTAAAAGAAAAAAATTATTTTAGTTATAATTTTTTTGAGAAAATTATGATAAAAAACTAAAAAAGATATTTTATGAAATTGAAACATCTTCAATAAAGCCATCAAATTTCCATAGAATATAAAACCATCCTAATAACATCAAAGATTAATGGATTCAAATTCTGAAAACTTGAAAATAGTTAACCTTACATGTGTCATACAAGAGACAATCCAATTAACATACTGGTATGCTTTGTGTGAAAGGGCTTCTAAATATACAAAGAAATGTTGTTATTTTGCAGACTAAATAATTAATATCCTTGCAAAGATATTTTCAATTTTTTATATATGTTAAAGAATAACTTCAACTAGAAAAAAATAATTTTATGTGTAGAGTGCTCCAGCTATATTAGATCAAAGATCCAGAATTATTGGAATTTTTAAATATGAGACAACTTCAAAGACAAATCAGGTTTTCTAAAAAATATGAACCAGGTTTGTTAGTGTATATGCAAATAAAAAAAGAAAATTTCGTGTTTAAATTTATTATGGGAAAAGTTTTAAGTATGATTGGAAAAGCTTGGGTATGTGAGTCTTTTCAACTATAAATTTCAGGACATCTAAATAAAGATTATTTTTTAAAGCAAATTTGCATCAAATTGGAATATGCTGTAAGTGTAAAATACCCATCAGGTTTTAAATTTTGAGTAGAAAAAATGTAAATATTTTTAAATGTTTACATTAATTGCATGTTAAAATGATAATATTTGGGGTATACTTTATTGTATAACATATTATGAAAATTAATTTCCCCTAGTCTTTTTTAATTTTAAAAAAATTGGCTGCTAAAATATTTAAAATACATCTATGGGTTACATCATATTTCCACTGGGCAAAACTGGCTGTTTAGAAATGTTATTGATCAAAGTCTTAGTTGTTAGTATTGTATATTTAGATCCTCCTTCTAAAATTGTAAACTCTTCTAAAATTGTAAACCATTTCCTCTATGCCATAGATTAGCCTTTCAACAAATTATGTAATATTAACAAAACATCTTGTTTAGTTTATAATTAATTATAATTATTTTATTTGTGAATTCAAAAGTATGTATAACAATTGGCATGTTTTATTGGTGAAGTTGTTATCTGACAGAAAACAAATGGATTTAAAGTATCAATAAAATATCACAAAAAAAAAGTTTGTAAAAAGTTAAGCCCCATATTTTGGATAGCAGATAAATCATAGCCAACATGCCAATGTTCAATAATATTATTCATATAATGGTAGCCAGAACTCCAATCTTTTTAATGATTCTAGAGTGCTCCATATTTAAAGATTGCTGAATACTCCACATTATCTGAGTGTTAGATAATATTTTCCAGTTTTGCATTGATAAAATTGATGTATAAATATAACAAATGAATTGAAGTTTCTATGGTTATTAGGATGACAACAATAAGTATATTGATACCTATATCTACATAGTCACAGAACATCAAATTGTGCTTGTCTTCTAAGATTTACACCTTTTTTTATTGCAAAATGGTAACTTGCCATCCAACAATTTATGTGGTGCATGAAATTTTTAGCAGAAGAAAAATCAAATTACATTTTTTATTTGTTTATGAGTTAATTTTATTCTTGGTAAGCCTGTGAATTTATTCATTAACTCAAAATTATTTGCAAATTCATTTTTTTATTCACCAAATCTTTTATCAACTTTGAACTCAGTGATATCAATATAGAGGTCAGGGTTCAGCTGGTCATAGTTGGAATATTATGCCATAATTATGGAAAACATTACAAATCAAGGCTTATTTTTGATTTTTTTCCCTTTGAGAGTTGGTTGTAAATCATGTTACCAACATGCCACAGTGAAAACATCAACTTTTACTGAGTACTACTTTGAACAAATGCTAAGAATGACTTGAAAATACTTGAAAATGAAACAGGTTCAGTGAGTTTTAGTAATTGAAGGATAAACTGCCCAAATTCAGAAGAGTAACTCAAGGCTAATTTTCAGCCTTTTCTTTACTCCCTTTTACCATACTTTCATTGGATTAAAAAGCGTGGATATAAATAGAAATGCATAGATTGTGGTTCTTGGGAACCAAAGTACTAAAATAATCTTTGTACATTTTTGAAAGGGAACTCAGAGTACAGCTAGATTAGCAAATCGGGAAGCAGGCTCAAGAAGAAAATGACTCTCCTAGAAAGACCTGTCTCTTGGGGTTGAAGAGTGAGATGTGTCCACAGTGACAAACTGGGTATTGGCTTGGAAGGGATCATGAACGGTCCTTGAAAAACTCTTCATCCTCACATCTTGCAACATCTCTCTTCAGGAGGATTAAGATATTCTCAGCCTATTCACTTCGTATCTTCATGCTGAAACTCTTTCCCACTTTTGAAATGCACTCCTCTCCTTCCACTTTTCAGTTGCTAATTTGTATTCCTTTATCCTTCCCGATTCAGCTCAAGTATGGAGGGGAATGAAGGCTTTTCCTATCTTCCAGGGCACTCCTAGCTTACCCATATCATGTAACTTACCATGCTGTTCAATAGGATATGTTTATTTATCTGCCTTCTCCACAAGACAGTAAGGGCTTGGACAACCAAAATGTGTCTTTTCCAATTTTATATTCCCATTGACTAACATATTGGGTAGCACAAGCTGGACCCTCAGTAAACGTTTGCTGAAGTATTAAACTGCCAAGTAAAGCCCTGGATTTGGGCAGTTTATTTAAACAAGCCCTTCTGCATATTATCTTTAGGCTTTATGTAAATTCTAAGGACTGCCTCCATATCCCAGCTTTCACTAGAAATAATTCCAGTAAGATTATTATAGTCAGTTTTCAGCCATATAAAATGGTAGAATGCCAAAAGTGACATATTCAGTCCATTAGCTGACAATTTGGTACCAAGTTTAAGGTTGATCTGTTTCCGTTTAGGAATATTTCTCTAAATACCTTGATATGAAATCTAAAATCATCTAGTCGACTACAGAACAGGCATATTATAAGTATCTGATAAAAATATAAACATATGATCAAGAATTCCAATATTACAATTGCCAGCATGAAAGTCATTTCAGACTCAGCTTTCTAAAGTAAAATAATGAGAAACTGCCTATATGAGGCTTATTTCCTTCAGACTAAATATACACTTGCCGTAGTAATAAAAGTTTTAGGAATTTTGTGATCAACACCATCACTACATTTGTAATGCATTTTAAACCAGATCATTCTCATTCAGAGGATGAGTGAATGTCTTTAACATCCATAAGATAATTCTCAATTCATTAATGGCTTCTAGACAAAGATACTGCTGATTCTTAGGGCTTTTCACCTGTTTTGCAGTGAAAAATGACAAATTAATGAAAGTCTTGTCATGAGGTATTTCCACTAAGCACTCTGTAGAAGACTAAGCAAGTTAATTAATTTCTTTGTGTTGCCTTAAGACAGAAGTTAGGACAATTCCCAAACTATACAGACAAAGCAAGAAGGACTGCTTTTGAATATTAACAAACGGTAGGCTATATTTGTCAGGAGGAACTTATTTTTGGGAAGGCATATGTTTAGTAATGTAGGGGAGGAAAAAGCTGGTTATTAAGCATAGAATGTTGCATACAGTGCTATAAGAATAATCAAGAGATCCAAAATCTAACTGAATCTTCACACATTTTCATGATTTCCTGCAGACTTCTATGTCCATAACGGCTTTCAACTTTGGGATGAACCTGAAATACTCTGATTGAATTGCACAGATCATGAGCTGCCAGCTGGTGTTTATGTACAGGTAATCACCAAACCACCAGACGTGGGTGCTGGCGTCAGTGTCCCCATCCACATCTGTTTCCCCACATGCTAATTTCACTATTTTGAAATTTGTTTCTTTCCTTTCTTCTTCCCTTTTTCATTCATATTAAATATTTTTCAAAATATTTATTGAGTACTTACCATGGGCCAAGCACTTCTCTAAGTAATGGAAATAAAAAGGTGACCAAAATCTGTTTTGTCATTGCATTCACAGAGCTGACGATCTCGTGGCTCAAATAGATATTAAGCAGATGATTCCTTATATAAGGAATAACTATAAAATGAAATAAGACTTACAAAAGAGAGATAAGAATGTTGCAAAGATTTAAAGTCTGAGAAAGTGCTTCCACTCTAGAGTCTAGAAAATGTCTTTCCTAAGAGGCATTTTATCTGAGATTTAAAAGACAAGTAAGATCTAAGTGAAGCACAGGTGAAAAACCAGCATGTGGAAAGACTGAAGTAGGAAAAAACATGATATGTTCCAACACCAACATATGAGAAAATTTTATTTACAGACTCGTCTGTAGAGCATGAAAGAGACAATAGTGCAATTTACGGCTGGAAAGGTAAGTAGAAACTCACTCTCACGTCCTTGTAAACTGTGTTAGAGGTGTACATGGCCTTATGGAAAAATATAAATATGTGTGTATATGTACATCTATATTTACACATATAGAGAGAATGCACTTTGTAGACTACATTAAAGATATGTGTATTAATTTATTAGCAGTGGAAAGATATTAAATGTCTTAAGGGGAAGGGATTCTCACAATAGAACATTTACCTTTTTAAAGAGACTACCATCATTGTGGTTTGGAGAATGGATTGGAAAACTGTTGAGTACCTGTGGGGAAACCAATAAACATTGTCCATAAGTTAAACATGGTGATAAATTGATACCCTTCAGTTGTATTTAAGAAATAAATTCAAGGAGTAGATCATATATAGGGGGTGCAAGCTAAAAAAGATATCAAATTGAAATATTTATTCATAATACAATATTATGCACCATAATATGTATTTTTCTGGTCCTATAGAGAAGTCTAGTAAAAAGCAAAGGCAGGAATATTGTAATAGATGGATTAGAATTAAGATCCATTAAAATAACAAGAAAAAAGAAATGCATTCCATCATTTTTAAAAATATTATGAAAATATTATGGAGAAAAGATTGCAAATATTGATGGCAAAATGATTGATGGCAAAGTGTAGTTAAGCTTGCTATTTATAAAATAAATATATTTGATATTTTATTTGATTAAATTTCTTTTTCATTCAAAAGAAAATTCAATCTGGAAAGAATATAATGAATATACATTTGAGGACTTATTTGAGCATATATATATGCTTTATAAAATATAATATGTAGTGTGACTTTGATGAGATTCAAGCAAATCATTGTGTAACCCTCCTCAGAGGAAGAGTTGCTTTGATATGTCAATTGATAGCCCCAGCATTAATCTTGACAATGTTGGATAGACTGTCGACAGATTTATTAGGCTGAGAGACTTTTATTTAAGGCCAGAGATGAATAGATTACAGAGAAGAACAGTGCATTAGATGTCTGTATCAAGATCTCCACATAAGCATAGAATTTAAGTGTACTAATCAAGTTTCCCTTATATCTTTTTATGCAGCAGATAAGGTTTATCAAAAACATAATTATGAAAGAACTAGAACGAAGGCAGAATTGGTGCTTGTCCTTCTTGCCTTATACCTGAGAAATACAAAGACAGAGAAAGAAAAGTGTGAGGCCTACCATTTGATACTAAGGCTGTTTGTCACTGATGAAAGAAGAAGAAATAACAGTTCCAGCAGCAACTAGTTCAAGGACTCCTGGGGATGTAGCAAAGACAATTCTTTTTTGAATATATAGAAAAAAATACCTGTGAGGTTTTGTTAAAAATAATTTTCAATCCATTTAGGTGAATATTCTATCCAGAAAAAAATTACAATTATCAGAACCTCTGTCAATGCTGGTGTTCAGTGCTTGACAACAATACTGCCCTAAGAATATGTCCTATCCCACTTCTATACTCTTAGTTTCCTACCAGATCAGATAGCTATTACTTAATACTGTAGCTAATTCTACCCAGAGTCTTCAGTTTTAATTCAATACTTCAACTGGGGCAGACTTTTGGCTAAGAGTACTCTGCCCTTCTTCGTGATTATGAAAGTGACCTGAAGTTTGAACTTCATATATACACATACAGTACTCCAGAACAGGAGGTATACTTACTACTAAATGATGTGGCTAGTTAGAGAAAGAGACCACCGGTGAGTTTTTGTTCTCCCAATATTATTCCTCAGTATATTACCCCGCTCCCCATAAACATGATACCCCAAAATTTATGTTATATATAGGGTCAACATTTTTAAGATAGATACAGCTTGAGTCACTTATATTCAGCACTTGAAACTGTGGGTTATTTTGTATCATGGCACTTGCCCAATTCCACATAATTTATAGTATGTCAATCATGGCTACCAGCATCTCACAGAGTCATACAAATTCCCAGAGAAAATAACATTCTTATTGAAAGGGACTATTACCTGCTGAGCCAACTGCCTGCTTCCAAGCAGTTGTTGTTTATACATAAGGCACACCATTTTTATTTAAATATATGAAGCATGAAATTAGCCATAGTTTTTTGTTATCACTTATTTATTTTTTTCTTCACTTTAGATTTATGTATGTTATTCTTCAAGGCTGATGGGGAGGAACCTAAATGATAAATGAATGATTTGGCATTCAGTAAGAGAGAAGAGAGAGATCTGCTTCAGTCTGGGCAATCTTGAAGTGATACAATTAGGTTTTTTTAAGGTTGATAAAGAAACCGTGTGTGTGTGTGTGTGTGTGTGTGTGTGTGTGTGTGTGTGTGTGTTATGCTGACTATAAATGAATTCATATTTTAAGCAAATTTCTATCCATTTGTATCCTCAATTATATAAATAGATAACATCTCTGTATGATTGCAACCACACAAACACATAGGGTAGCACGGGCATCTTTTTCAAGCAAAATGATGGCTGGCTTAAACCTGTGTCTGTCTTGGAAAAAGTTCAGTATAATTTTGGCCAGACAGTAGGGTGACTGGATTAAATTATAAGCGTTACACTTATGATGTCATGTCTTTCACAATCAAGTAAATTTGTCTAGCTATCTGTATATACATTTATATGGATACTGAAACAATAGAATTGGATTGGACTAAGTCCATTAACATGATTGTGTATGCCTTCTGTGTCTTTAAGAGTTTTTCATTTTTAATGCTGTGTGTGAGTGTGTGTGTACTTATATCTGTGGGTAGGAGAGGATTAGACAGTGAGGGATAAGGGAGAGGGACAGAAACAGAAAGAGAGAGGTCGAGAAAGAGAACATTGTTGAGGGAAAAGTATACAAAATGCATCACTAATGAAGAGAAAATAATATAAATTACAAATTATTGCACCTTCACTATGTGCAAAAATTATTGGTTGCCTTCTCCTATGCTGCTTTATTTTACCCCATCACAATCTACTTATTGGTTATTATTGTAGACATTTTACAGATGAGGAAACAGGTTCCTACAGTTATCTTTCTAGGTCACAGAATGCATAGTGAAATAGGATTAAATTCATACTTGCCTGTCTGCCAAATTCCAAACCCATTAAATTCCCACTATATTATGTCACTAGTTTTAAGAAAATGAGGCAAGCTATAGTTTATTACCTTGGAATAATATCTCAAAACTTAATAACTGTTTTTGTTGATAGTAATAAACATTATATGTCAGATGAATCTCTGAACAGAAAAGGCAAAAGATCAGTTAACAGGTTTTTTCAGGGAGAATAAATAAAACTATGTTTTAAGAAAAAATATTTTCTTATGAGCAGTTTATAGGCTATTTGGGTCAATAATTCTTTCAAGAATTTTTTAATGTGGCTTTTCATTCATAAAAGAATGAATTTAACACCATTAGGAGGATCTAGTTTGAAATGGCATCTTGTTTCTACCGAGAAACCCTGAACACAAATGGAACAAATCAGACATTAAAGATCAGGATGCTTACTTTTATGGATATTTTAATTTTGCAAATAATAACTAATATTCTTGCAAAAATGAAGAATGTATTTTTATTCTGAAAAGGAATATGCTTTTCCAGGATCCTAAAGAGAGAGAAATAATAAAATATGCCCATGTAAATTTTGGGTTATTACAACTTTATTGGATGGAACTAAAACATGGAAGTATCTGAGTTTTAGATCACCATGAAAACATTTAAGTGCACTTAAATTTTTAAAAGTATTTCTGTCATTTGTACAAGAATATGATCATTCAGTCTAGGGCAGTACAAAGCAAACAAGACTACAGTTTCGAGGGCAATAACTTTGAAAAATAGTGCAAATTTAATTTAAAATAATGGTGCTATATTTCTTATTGACATTACTTTATAAGCTTCCAAAGTGAGTGATCCTTCTTCCAAATCCTCTGCTGATCATTGACCTTCTGTTATGTTTATATGTTTATATCTTGCTACCAAAGAAGATGGTAAATTTGCCATGAGATATAAGGAAAATTGACATTGAAAGTCACCAGCATGTTTTGTAAAAAATGAAAAAACATGCCAACCCATCAGTGACCTATGCTTTTCAAACTATTATGTCTCTGAGGTATATAAAATAGAAACACATTGATTTGTTTGAAGACTATGTCCATAAAAGACATAACTATTTTAACACTTCAACAAAGTTATCTGGAATTAAAGAACCAAGGAGATTTCTATGTCTATGGATCATTTTAAAAAGCCTTCATGAGTCAGACAGCGTAAATCTAGAAGAGCAACCTAAGGTTCAAACAGTTGAAACACAAAATGTCTGCAGAGACCAGAGAGTCGGGGGTAGAACTGAGGTCAGGGCTGAGTATTTGAAGTATTTGAAGCTAAGTCCAGAGAAACCCGAGTTTTGCAAATGCACGATCAGTTGGGCACTAGGTAAAAGGCAGTAGGAGGATGGGATGAGATCCCTGGGAAAGGCTCAAAGAGCAGCATATTTTGGTTTACGCTTTCTTGGACTAAGGCCTTATGGGATTGTGTTTAGCTTAAAGAGCTATGGACAAGACCAAAAAGCATTTTGATAAATGAGACTTTTCCCAAATATTGTTTGGGAAAAAAAGGAATGAGATTGTGGATTAGACAATACTTCTGAATCAAGTCAAAAGTGGGCAAGAAATGCAAATCTTGAGCCATATTCTATGAATGTTCAAGATCCCTGGGATTGAAGAAATTATACTGTACACTTCTCCGTTCTCTTTTTCTCTCAATCCTTGACTTTTCCCTTTCTGATGCTGGGTTTTGTTTTCATTTGTTTGTGATTTGTTTTCTTACTTTTTTATTTTCTTATTTTTATTTTTTAAGATTTAGGAAATTACCTGAGAAATAACAGGCTACTATATATTTCACGCATGAGGAATCAGAGAAGTATGATTTTTTTTCTTCTTATTTCTTTCCTTTCCTTTGACCATACTTCTTTACATTCTTATACATTATTTTCAGTCAAGATTTGCGACAGCTGGGACACTCTGGTGAATTGTGGTTGTAGAGCTGGGAAATCTCTCAAGTAACCACATTAAGTCTAAAATTGGAGAGAGGCAAACTTCCACATCAAATCAGAAAACTAAGCTGTTCGGTGTAAGTGGGTTTATTTATTTTTAATTTTTCAGCTCTAATATCTAGATACATATGCCAACCTATCCTAATGTGTTCTTCCTCTCTCCTCTGAGGCTGTGACTGCAAGAAAAAAAGGTTTATCTTTCTCGTATTTGGTTATGCTTTTGTTTGTTTTATCATGTGGTTATGTATGAACTCTTTTCCCTATGATAGCTATCCATGGACAACATCTAATATAAAACTTCTTATACTGATTTCTTCACGGTTTGTTGCACTGGATTCCTCCTTTTAGCATGTGATTCTTTGGACAAGACTTGAGAGAACTCCGTAAATTTTTTGACATAGTATGCAAAGTTTTGTTTGACGTTTACATGATAAACATGAACTATTAGTACAGTACACTTGGTTTCAAGACATGACACGCTTAATAAATTCCATCAAATATGGATTTAGTCCTAACAGCCCAGTTGATGAAACATCAAATTTCAGTCATCTGGTGATTGCTCTTCACAGCGGTTCCAGTTACACTGCAGAAAATAGAATCCTTAGAAAGGGATTTGTTCCAAGATATTAATGTTTTATGGAATGACTGATAGGGTTACAGATACAGATTCTGGGAGAAATTTTCAATTTGATTCCCTGGGTGGTCTACCAAAGTAGTTACTGCCTTCAAATTGAGAAAGTGCTGTTCCATCTGTTGGCTTTAGAGCCATACCCTGTTGCTCGTCAGGAATCCTCCACATTCAGGAAGCTTCTCACTACGTCAAGCCATAAAACCATTATCTTACACATCAGAAAAATAGATGCATTGTAAATAGTCTCTGCTAACACAGTAGTTGAATGAGTAAATGTCTGTAAGAGTAGGCTTATGTGACAAGTAACAGAAGTTTTGGGAGTACTACTTCTGCCTCAGTTTCTCCTCATCTTACAATGCATCTGATTTAGTACAAATCTGAACCACATTCTGAAATCATTGAGGTCTAGACAACGTAATGTTTAGCCTTCCCAGTATATGGTACAGGAATGAATGGACACTCAAAGAAAGCTGGGATTTTTGCTGCACCTCAATCCCCCATATCCATTATAACCCCTTCTCCTTTCTTATTGTGCAAAACTTGTACATGATGGAAATTATGAAAAATTGTTAAAGACATCTGATCAGTTTTCTTATGGTCACTGATGAAATACTCATTTCCAAGCCTATGTGGACAGCTCCTCCTTTATGCCACATTTTAGAATCACGTACTCTCAGTAAGCTTTGATTTCTGGTGCCAAGTATACCTGCAGCTGCTCTCCTCAGGAGACCTGCCATCTCAGGTTTTATTCATCAGTACTGGGAAAACAATCAACTGTCTTCTGAGTCTCTGAAACCCTAACGCTTTCCATGTATTTGTCAGAGTCTCCTCTTAATTCAAAGTACAGAATCTCCCCTATTCTCTTCTGAGACAATTTAACTCCATTCCACTTTAAAGACTAGAACAGTTGGAAACCCTGAACTCAAAAAACCAAAACAAAATTCCCTCAAGTGCAAGAAAATATTTACAATTTTGTTTATGCTGCTTCTTTTCTGATAAATGGAGTGAAGCAAAAAGGAAAGGCAGTAATTAATTTTACAATAATTCACTGATGAAGTCTATGTGCATTTTCAGTGTGGAACAGGTGGAGAATGGCTCATAGCTTTCTTTGGCTTACTGAAGGGATCTGTGATTGCAATATGTTAAAATCACTGCCTTAGATGATTCCATTCTAATCTAGGGATGCTCTTTATGGCACTTTCTCAGCCTATAGGTTCTTCTACAGACATCTCATAAAAGACTGGCACCCCTTCTAAGCTCTGGCACTCATTCTAGATTTAATTTGGCAAACTCTGTTTTATTTTTTTGCCTGTTGGCCATTGCTTGTTGGAAACACTTCACTTCACTTAGGACTTAGCCTCTCTATGTGCCCACTGACTTCAAATTTCAGATTTCTTATTGCTTCCTCAATTCCCTTCCCTGGAAATCAGAGTCTAGATCTTCTACTCCTCATACACGACAGCTGTCCTCAGATCCTGGAAGCCCAGACTCAGCCGATATCACCTCCTATTGTTAGTGCCATGATTTTCTTCTTGTTTGGATGAGAGAAAAATGTAATCTGCTGTTAAATATATTTTGTGTATGAGACTTTGCAGCATTTAACTTTAGTGCCTACCAAATATAAAAATTAAATTCATTACATAAAATTGATTCAACTTTATTTTATATTTAGGTATGATATATAATATTTTAATATATAATCAAAATTATCACTGTACTATGATACTAGGAAAAGATCCTGACTTTAAAAATCAATTTATATTACTTGAAGAATGTGTGATGTTGCCATACCAGCTGTGAGCGTGAAGGGTAAGTGATAACACATCCAAGATTGATTCCTTGCAGATTGGTCACCCACTGAAATGCCCCCATAAATCAACTACAGCGGAGTGGTTAAAGCAATCAGTAGTAACCAAACATAAAGCTTGGAGTTCACTCCCTGATTGCGCTAGGGGAGAGGTTTGTCCTTTCACAACCATGAAGAAGGCTCATGCAGCAAACCCTGAGAGTAGTTTGCAATATAATGCACCTGCAACTGGAATGCTGGAGCCCAGATCTTCTGATGATTTCAGATGCAGGACTAGCAGCTCCCTTGAACTATAAACACTGAGCTGGCAGGTTCTGCGATGTCATATTGTTATTATATCCTGGACTTTGATCCCATAAGAGGTTGGATCAGTACTTTTCTAGTCCTAGAGCTAAAAAGTCCTGCAGCTCAAAACCCATACCTGGAATTGAACATCTGCACCTCTCTAGAATGCAATTGAAAACATAGAACGTAAACACCTACTGATACTATTCCATCTCCATTACTTTTAATCAATAATGCCACTCCAGCAGGTCTAGATTGGGAGCTGCTGGGCCATTTGCCTCTGTTCTCAGGGTCAAGTTGATGCCAGCAGAGGCACATTTTTAACTCCAGGCTGTTTAAAAAGGGCAAACTAAATAGGACCCCATCTATTTCCTTTACTTTTGCAATGTCATATCGAATTTCTGGATCAATATTCCTTGCCATATAGACATTCTGCTAGCTGTTTACTCTTTAGTGAAGGTGTGGATGCATGCACTCAACTGCCACAGGAGCACGGGAGTAGGAGAGTGTTTGAGTGCCTGGATGAGTTCTCAGTGTTCACTGGGGTGGTCTCAGTGGATATAGGTCATATGGAATGAATACTTTTCATGGAAAACACTTGCTATTAGGAAGGGAATACATGAAGCATACAATGTGTGTTAGCAAAGCTGCATGTTACAGTTTGTGTCCTAAAACCTTCTGGGAAAACTTCCAGGCTGCCTTGAATTCCTTGAAGTGTCTCCTTCAGGCAATGACACTCATCGCTAATCTGTCATAACACTGACTCGCCATCTTGTAATGGACATGGCTGTGGGGTGACAGGGACCCATTTCAGTGTTTGCTATTTTGCTCCTGATGCAGCCAAACCTGAAAATTCCACATAGTTACAGAATCCAGGACCTGGTTCTCAAAAATAGATTTATTGAGATGCTAAGGTAGTTTAAGCTTTGGCTTTACCTCCAAGAGGCCATTGTATCTAATTTTATATTATTAATATTATTTCCTCAAAGGGCTCTCAAATTTTGTAAGTGTCAGGCCCAAAAAGAATGTGGTTACACAATTGCTGCCAATGGAAATAACTGTCAGCAATGAATCCTATAATGAGAGTGGGCAAGTCAAGCCAATGTCTGTTCCACTCTCCAGGACTGACACATTTTCCCCAGGCAGAGGAAGAGGCGTGGAAGCAATACTGCAGGCTCTGGTCAGCTTTCTCTTGAGCCCACAGTTCAGCTGCAGATATAGCCTTCTTGCACATACCAGACTGGATAATGTGATTCTCTGGGCCATTCTTTAGAAGACTTTTGTTTGTCATGTCTGCTTATCCTCAAGTGTCTTCAATAAAAATGTCAGTGACTAGCCTCATAATCCTTGAAGACTGTGGCATGATGTTTAGAAGCTATGATTTTGCATCAGGAGAAGATAGACAGAAAACTGATTTAGGGCTGATCTGCAAGAAGATTTCCCAGAAAATGCTTAATATTCTTACTCCTAATTTATTATTAGAGCTATAGTAGAAGTAGAAGTCTTTTGGGTTGATAAGGAAAAATCAGAAATGGTACGTCTTCTATTCAACAAAGGATCTCTGTTTCCTTTAAATTCCATTAACTGAATGAGACACATTTTTTATTTCTCTGGATGCATGAGGCTATTCTTGCATTGTTATAAAGAAATAACTGAGACTGGGTAATTTATAAGAAAAGAAGTTTTAACTCACAGTTCTGCAGCCTGTACAGGAAGCAGAATGCCAGCATCTGTTTTTGGGAGGCCTCAGAGAGCTAACAATCATGGTGAAAAATGAAGGGGGAGCAGGTGTGTCACATTGGGGAGTGGAAGCAGAAGAGAGACAGTGAGTAGGGAGGGGTCACACACAAACAACCAGATCTGTTGAGAACTCACTCACCATTGTGAGGACAGCACCAGGCCATGGAGGATCTGACCCCATCACCCAAACATCTCCTACAAGGCCCCACCTCCAACACTGGGGATTATAATTCAACAAGAGATTCGATGGGGATGTATGTTCAAGCTATATCAAAGGGTGAATCAAAATTCTCTATTTTAATATACATTAATATCTCCCCTTTTCAGTCTTGCAATGGCATTGTTGACTTGAATAAAAGTGAAAGAATAAATGATACAAGGACAGAAAAAACCTTCCCCAATACACTTTTGCTTATTTGCCAGCTTCTGTTTCAAATTGTGGCCATTCTCATTGCTTTTCCTGCCTCGAATTCTCTTTCATTCCCCCTGAGACTTCACATACATTTGATACATGATACACACACTGCAAAATTCAAAATGGCATTTTAGTATGCACACTGTGAATTTCTCATCTACTTTATCAATTGGGGTTTCGTTACAGAAAACAAGCTGTATCTCTTATGTCAAGTGAAGGCAAGAATTTAATCTGAAAGATTTGAAACAAAATCCAATATCAAGAAAATATTTGGCATTAAGTATTATTTGGAATAGGGGTTTGATATTTGGGAGAATAATATTTTATTAAAATTTTCTTACTCTCGATTGACACTAGCCAGATACCATTGTGTGAGTTAATACCAAATTGTTTGATAGAAGAAGGGGTCCTACTAACAAAAATTTCAGTAAGCCAGTTGGAATTATGTGGCTTTGCTCATTTTTTTCTGCATAGCAGCACCAAGTTAAATTGAATCATGGTCTGATGATGTTGCTTGTTTACTGTGCCCTCACAGGAGCGCCTTTGAACATTTGCCACTTTAAAAAAGAAAGCTGTCAATCCATCTTGATTTGTAGGTCTCCTTGGGAAATGAACATTTCTTTGTTGTTGAAAGGCTCAAAAAACAAACAATCCAGATGGCTGCTATCTGCACTACACATCATTCCTTCCCTTCAGGTTTTTATCTGTAGTATATTTATTACAACTGCATTGTTTTTTCTCAGTTGATATTTTGCCATTATTGGCTTAAACTGATAGAAATCTTAGCCTTATTCCTTTTCTTCCTTTTTCTTTTCGCATTTAGGACAACTGGGTTAAGATTAAAAGATACAAACTTACAGTGTGTTAAGTAGACTGCCTTTGTAGCAAAGCAGAAAGATTTTAAATAAGCTGAATTTGAAGCATTACCATTTAAGCCTTATTTTAAAAAATTATTTTACTTCTTTATATATTTATACATATATAATTTAGATATATATGTTTATATACATTTAAAAATAAACTTTACTGAGATATACTTTACATTTAACAAAATGAACTGCATTAAGTATATATTTTGATGAGATCTGAAAAATTCATATACCTGTGTAACCACTAGAAAAAATAATACACATAATATTTCTATTAACCTCAACTTTCTTTATGGCACTTCCCAGTCAACTGTACACATATCTGACCCCAAAAAAACTACTGGAGTGTTTTTGGTCACTAAAGATTACTTCGTCATTTTTAGAGTTTCATATGGAATCATACTGTGTGTATTCTTTTGTGCGTTGGGTCTGTCTCTCAGTTGAATGGTTTTCAGCTTCATCTCCTTGTTACTATTTGATCAGTAGTGCATTTACTTTTATAGATGAATAGTCGTCCAATGTAATTCTATGCTTTTTCTTGTTAAATCTAATTTATCAACCTCTTGTGGTTACTGCTCTTTGAATTGTAATTAGGAAATTTGTACCAACCCTAAGGTCAGGAGGATATTCTTCAATGCAATATTTTAGAAACATGATTGCTTGGACGTTTACATTTAAATTTAAAATCTATTTGAAATTGATATTATGTATCAGATTAAAGGCAAGGTTATTATATGCATATGGGTATCAGTTCACCCAGCACCATGTATCAATATAATAATCCCATAATAACTCTTACCACAATATTACTTTGTTGTTAAGCAGGTGAAAAAATACATAAATATTTGTTTTGAGACTCATTTATATTTCATTTATGTATCTATTATTGAAATATTACTATATAGTTTAAATTACTATAGCTTTGTAGTAAGTTATGATATCCAAATGGTAAATCTTCATTGTGGTCTACTTCTCGAAGACTGTGTTGGATGTTCCAAACGCTTTGGACTTCCATTTATATTTTAGATCAATTTGTAAATAGCCACCAAAAACATGCAGGATTTCTTTTTTCTGCAATTTTCTTGAAACTATAATTTGGGAAAAATTAAAGTTTTAATATATTAAGCCCCACAATCATAAATGGCTAATTTTATAATCATTAAAGCCATCTTTAATTTTTTAAATAATTTTAACATTTTGACATATTTTGACAACACATTGTGGTTCATGCCTGTAATCCCACCATTTTGAGAGGCCAAGGCTGGAGAATCGCTTGAGCCTGGGAGTTTGAGACCAGCCTGGGCAACATAGCAAATCCCTGTCTCTACAAAAAACACAAAAATTAGCTGAGCATGATGCTGCATGCCTTTAGTCCCAGCTACTCAGGAGGCTAAGGCAGGAAGATTGCTTGAACCCTGAAGGTCAAGGCTGCAGTGAGCTGTGATTGCACCATGGTACTCCAGCCAAGGCAACAGAGACAGACTCTGTCCCTACGCTCACCCAAAAATTGACATATTGAGTGGAATGTTTACTAAACTTCTTCTTAGATTGAATCACAAGTAGTCGTTTTGTGTATACATTTAATGTGCTATTTTTTGTTGTAATTATATACACATTTGAGATTTATATTGACACTAAATCCAGCAGATTTGGTTAATTTACTTAATAATTATATTAATTTATAGAATATTTATTACTTTCTATTAAAACAATGTTGCCATATTCAAATTGTATGTAGTACTGTATAGACACACATACACATGAACTTACATTACACTTTAACATATTTATAAACACACACACACACACACACACACAAACATACATATAGACAAATGTCTACTGTCCAGGTTAGGCACTCTAGTACACATTTAATAGAAATAGTGAAAGTGGATCGTCTGACTTATTTTTCCATATAGAAGAAAAACTTTCAATATTTCACTATTAGTTATGAGGTTAACTGCAGGTTTTTGTAGACACGTTACACCAGGGTGAGGAAATGTTAGTCTACTTCTAGTTTTCTGTTTACAGAACTTATTTATAACTTCACAGACATTGTTATTCTTGTAAACGATAGTAATTTGAGTTTTCTCTTATATTTACAATTTCCAAAACTTTTCATGTCTTCATAACAACATTACAGTCTGGGAACATTTCTATTGTGCCTGAGAAATTTTTTGTGGTATTTTCTTGGTCTGAATCTGCCCATCCAAAAATTTATTAATTTATAATCATCTGAAAACTTTTGCCTCCATTTCTGAAGATTGTTTCTGCTGAATGTAAAAATCTAGTTTCATATAGTGTTCTGATAATGTCATATTTCATCTCTGACTCCCATAATTATTGATGGGAAGTCATTTGTCAGTCCTATTGTTGCTACCCTGAAGGTAACATGACATTTTTCCTTCAACTGCTTTACAGATTTTTCTTTTTGTCTTTCATTTTCAGCAATTTTAATAGAATATTTGTTGGTGTGGTGTTCTTGATTTATGTCTTCCTTTGAGCTCATTGATAATTTTGGATCTCGGGTTTGTTGTCTTTCATAGGTTTTGAAAAATTTTTAGTCAGTAGCTCTTTTTGACCCATTTCCTTTCTCCTTTCCTTCTGTTACTCTAATTACATGGATGTTAGATCTATCGTTACTGTCTCTTATGTTTATTTTATTCCTTACTCCAAGTACTTTTTCTCTCTTTTAGTTTGGATCAATAATCTTCTATTCCAATGTTAATGATCGGCAGCTAAACTCAAAAATGAGTTCTTAGTTTGAGTTACTGCATTTTCTGTTCTAGAATCTTGATTTTCTTTGTAGATTACAATTTACTAGTAAAACTCTCCATCTTGTTATTGACTTCCTTAAAAATAATTATTTTGATCCTTTCAAAGTTTATGTCCAATTATTTTAAACTCTGGACTACTTTTAGTTCTGTTTCATTTTTAGTATGGATTTTGTTAATGATCTAGACGATACATTTTAAGACAATCTCCAGATTTTTTGATACTATTCTCATCAAGTGGTGATATAGCTCCCAGTGGAACTGGTCGGACTCACTTGTATTCAATAAAATACAGTGGAAATGACACTACATAGAAGTCGAAGCTAGGTTAGAAATGGTGATAGAGTTTCCACCTGGATTCCTCAGAATAATAACTTATATTGAAGCCTTCAATCACCATAGGTTATACCACATATCCTAAGACCACCATGCTCCCAAGAATGCCAAATGAAGCCCCATAGAAATATAATACATTGTGAGCTCTAAGTCAGCATTTGGAGAAAGGACAAGAGCCAAAAGAGATGCCTAGAGCAAAATAAAAACAATTAAGAAAATATTCACTGTTAGAGTCTTGCAAGTGAAGGCTTTTTATATTAAAAAAAAAAAAGGAATGTGCTTTTCAGTTTTATACTGTAGGTGTCTTCAGAAGACACTCCCTCTCAGGGCCCTGAAGTGCCACACCTGCACTTTCATGACCCTGAGCAGGAACGCCGCCTTAAATTTTGTGTCCTAAGCACTTCTCTTGCGTCACTCTAGGCCAAGTTCTTCTCTGAGTTTACATGGAGAGGGAGATACTCAGCTATTCCCCAGCTGCTGCAGCTCACACTCGAGGCTTCCTCAACAGTCTGACCACAACTATGTGAAAGGCCTTTTGCCAGAAATGCCAGCCAATCCCTACACCAGTTGCTGATGCACAGAAACATTCTGGATAATAAAATATTTGTTGTTATTTTAGACAGAAAAACCACCAAATTTTTAGATTACCTGCTATGTAATAGTTGATAACCAAAACAGTGTTATTATTTTATACATGGTAATTTCTGGTTGAATGCTATACATTGTGTGTGAAAATTTTCAGGATCTGAAGATCATATTTTAATAAGATCAACTTATTGAAAGAGTAATGAAGGTGATCTGAAGCTTAATTTTCAGTGGGTTTATTCTGGTTTGCAAGTAGTTTAAGGTTTTTTTCTTTGGTTTTGATCTGGTTTAATTGTAAAGTGAAGTGTTTTCTCTTTCTTGTAACATTCTAAGGTACATTTGTGTGTGTGTCTCTCTCTCTTTCTCTGTGTGTGTGTGTGTGTTCTTGGGACTGTGAGATGGACAAAAACTTAAGCCTCTTGTTTAACCTTTTAGCAGCGTGTTTCTACTGTGCTTCTTCCCTTTTCGACCTGAGCATTTCAAGAGTCACCAAATAACATTGAGGACAAACCTGGGCAGAATGTCCAATTCACTCCTCCAGTAATCCAATTTGTCTAGCATTTTGTCCAAGTCCTGTCTTCTTAGTACTTCTACATTTTAATTTTTGCCTTCCATGCCAGCAAGGCTGCCAACAACTCTGGACCACAATTTCAGCTGAACTTCAATGGCCTCAGACAGGTAATGGGAAATGTCCCAGGGGAAAAGTGACAGTTAATGTGAATCTCACATAAATGAATTTCCATCATTTCTTGGATCTTGCTTTCTTCCCACATTCCATGTCTTAGTGGCTGCATTTACTTAACAATGAAACTAAAGAGATGTTTTTCTTTTTCATCCAGTTTTATACTTTTTGGTGATAGAGGTCTTTCCAAGCTTTTTTGCAGTTTGACACATTGAGAAATTTATTTCTGTCTACTCTGATATTTTCTGTTACATTTTAATTCAATTCAAATATAAATATATATTTTGAATACTTACTGTGTAACTTTTATTTTTATAACATTGGTCAAAATATGTTTTCTTTCTTCAAGGACTTTAAACTCTAGTGATGGTTTTGGATCAAATTGATAAGAAACTCAAATCACATGTAGAGTAATATATATTAAAAGAAAAAGATTTATAATAGTTTTGATATTCTTGGTGCTATATGTCTTTTAGTTTTACTGCCTGGTCTAAGAGCCGTCTCCTTCATATATTCTAAATATTAAAATCCTATATTCATCTTTTTTGTAACCTGTGTCTGAGTGAGGTGACCATGCTGCCATCTGTTACATTTCTTGTATGATGGCTGTTGCCCTCATTATAGGTTATTGCGAGTCTCCAGGGGCTAGAATCTCTTTGCCTTTGAGCCATTTTCCAACAAAATAAAAATGGCTGGCATTTCCTCTTGTCACTACACAAGCTGTATTGTAAAGATTGCCTCAATTGTAGCATCACTTATGTTATCTTAAGCAGAATTGATTTTGTTTTCATGTTGTGGGAATGAAAGTTGGCTCAGTAAAAAGCTTTTCTAAGTACCATGTTGCTGTATTTCATGTACCTGAATCTTCACATCATGCTGATTTTGCATAATAATGGTGACATTATTTAGTATTTATTCTGGATATTTAGACAGAAAAGCATTTGAGATACAATCTACCATATGTGTACTAGAGGAAGAAGGCATTCTTTAGAGTTTATTATCACAAAATTAAAACAACTGGGTAGTTCTTTCAATTTAGCATTAAGACTCTAGTGTCAATTATCTTCTATTATTCTGGCCAAAGCCAGTAATTTTTATAGGAGACAGAATGAATCTTGTCACTGAGCTTTTGTACTCTGTGAGATAATGTGAGAGGCATATTATCTGTGTCTCAGCATTTTTCAATTCATCTTTCTATTTTTTCACAAAGGTACAGCTAAAATATTTTTAACTTTCTGAAAGCCAAATGCCAAATCCTAAACACCTTTAGGATCTGATAACACTACCATGCACCATTTCCGTCAGCCTCAGTTCTTGATTTTTCTGTTCAGATATTTCTGTATTCGCTTGAATTGAGTGTAGGCATTTTTTCATCAATTTTAGTAAAAAATGGCACTTAACTTGAAGTAGGAAGAAACACAAAGTAAATCACAGCATATGACTATAGGACAAAACTGAGATCCAAGAGAACTGGGCTCTACTTTTGTTACCATAATTTAATGTATGATCATGGAAAGTAACTTGATTTGGCATATCTTCATTTATAACGTAGGTAGAATATATTTAATAAGCTTTAAGTTTTCTTTCCATGAAACATGTGCGAATTTTATGACAGCTAGCATAGTCCTGGTCACATGTAAGCCATCCCAGAAAAATGCTTAGTAATCCTATTATTTATTAATTCAGCTTCAGAGAGTACATTTTTTTCTCAAATGCTTTAACATTTTTTTAAATATTTTTATATATTTATAAATTTTTATTTTCTTTTACTAGGCTTAATGTCATTGAACTTTTTACATTAGGGTCTATATTCCAACCTTTTATATTTTTTGTTACTTGTCCCTAAATATGTATAATACTCTGAATTATCTCAGCCTCCTTCTGTATTTGGCAAATTCCATCTTGCACTAGAGAATAATAATTAATTTATACAGCTTATCCTCTGTGAAAGTGTAGATCAAATTTAATGTTTAGAAAATAAATCCTGAGCTTCGAACCACCTCCATGCTAGACATTGAATATATATGTCACAGATGCTGATGAGAAGTATCTTATTTAATTTTAGAAGAGATCGTAAGCAGAATAAAATCAATGAAAACCATGTAATAGTAACATTATTTCACTTTTTACACAAAACAAAACATTATGTAGACTTTTTATTGTAGCGACTGATATAAAACTGTTGTCGTACATACATGGTGATATTTTTGGTCAGTATGATAAATCTAAATGCCAAAAATGTTTTTAGGCTGAGAATTACACTAATAATTGAAAATATTTTCATGGTAGCTTTCAGAAATCTGAAAATATTTATGGAATATTTCTGCATTATGTTACCATATCTAAGTTCATATTAAACATATTATCAGACTCATAATGTGCTATTCTTTCTGGCTCCACAATTCTAAAAAACACAGAGACAGCAAATAGAACCATTCTGAAAACAAGTGATGTGACAAAATTTTAAAAAAATTTTTATGTTCTATTAATCCTGAAACTACTATTAAGTAAAAAGCATCACCCATGTTCTAACTATTTATGAAGCACATGCTCTCTCTCTCTATTGAATATACTGACTTCCACTTATCCCTACCACAAATCATGTAGTCAAACATCCACACACACTTTTTCCTACCACTCAACTTGGCAAAAATTACTTCATAATTTTCTCCTAATAGTACTCATATACTAATCAATCACTAAGTTGTCAGATTTTCTGATTTTAAATCTACTTTTCTTACATACTAGATATATGACATTGCTTATTAATTTATGTATTGAAAATTATGCTCCTTACTGGTAATATTTGCACCAACCTTATGGAGTTTAATTAAGGATCCAAAAAGAAACAAATGCAAAATTCTAATTATAATGCCTCCTTTTTCTCTTTTCTCTTAGATCAACTAATGCTGTTGAATATAATGTTGATTATTGGAAGCTTGCCCTTTTAGTATCTTTTGTGTGAAGCACATGCTTCATATAATAATCAACCATTTCCCAATTTTGAAATATTGTTGTCCAATATTTTTCTATTCCAAATAATGCTTTATTGAACATGCTTGCATGCATATGTTTATGTATTTGTCTTACTTAAACTTTAATAACTATTTTCAAATTGTTCTCTAAAATGATTGTAACAAGTTAAATTCTTACCAAGAATACAATTGTCTAAATCTCTAAATCTCTCAATCCTTTAAAATTATCTTCTAATAAGTAAAATGAAATATCATTAGTGTTTTTACATTTTATTGATCATTCTGAAAGATAATAATCCTGGAATTTTCATATGCATTTATCAGTTGAGTTGAATATCTTTAAAATTTTTATTTTATAGGAGCTCTTTGGACTTCGGGGATATTGGCTCTTGTTTTTTTTTTTCCCCACATGGTAAATGTTTTCTCCGTTTTTAAATTTTACTTTGAATATATTTATGGCCTATTTTTGAAGATTTAAATTTAACTTTATGTAATCTGTTCTGCCTTCATTTTTGTTGGTTTTGTTCTTTATGGTTTGCTGAGTCCTGCTTACAAAAGCACCCTCCTGGTAAGGATGTATAAAAGTTTTAGTGTCCTGCATGTCTCTTCCATGTTCTATAACAATAAAATATTCCCTAAGTGTCTAGTAAACCAGGACTACACTTTTCCCTCAGGCTTCCATTGTGACTGTGTATGGAAGTGGACATTCCTGCAATAACGGTCAACCTTTGATAGGGGTAGAGTATAAATACAACAGTAATGGCTTCATTAGAACAGATTCTTTTCTAAAAGTTACCATTTTAAAAAAGAAAACATACATATTGAAGGGCAAGAGAGGTCTGTTTCAAAGCATTTTACAAGGATGATTTTCAAGATATAACCTCTCCTCAAATAACATGAGCCTGGGAATTTGGCAGTTAATCTATTTTGAAATAATTCAATCTTAATCTCAATCTAATCTTAAGTCCTACCTAGTCTTAACTAATGTGTTAATTTCTATTTTTACAATGTTTTTCACTTTTGACTTTCCCTTCCATAAAGTTAATGGGAAGAGAAATACATGTATAAATTTTTGACTACATTTTCCATGAATATTTCAAAATGCATAAACTGTGTGTGTGCATGTGTCTCAAAAACAGTGTGGGAAGAGTTAGATAACAACAGCAATCAAAGAAATTCAAATCATTATGCATTTCTTACTCAGTATCTCACGTCATGACTTTCAGATAAAGACAAGTGCTGGAACCATCTTTAGGTTTACTCACATGTCTGGCACCTGAGGTTGAGTTTCTCAAAGAGTTGAGGAATGGAATAGCTGAGTTTCCTCAGCCAACCCCTTTATCTCTGTGTGGGCTCTTTCTGTGATATCTCCAGCAAGGTAGCTTCCTAGATGACTGACTCTTACAGAGGGAGAAAGAGAGAGGGAGAGAGGAAAAGAGAGAGAGAGAGAGAGAGAGAAAGGAAACCAGGTGGAAATTGTATCACCTTCCTCAACCTAGCCTTGATAATCACTCAGCATCATTTCCACCTTAATCTTTCAACACAGAAAATAACAAGGGTATTTCAAGATTGAAGAAGAGGACATAGCAACTCTACATTTCTATGAGAAGTACGGTAAGTAACTTGTACACATGTACAAAAACAATTGTGATGTCAAAAAATAAGAAATTCTTTAAATTATTTCAGATACAAAAGTACCATAGAATGCCATATAACATGAAACTGATGATATATCTCTTTAATTATTAAGAAGGAAGGATCTCTAATACATTTAATTTTGAAATATTTTCATTTTTAATATATTGAGCTATATCATCACACATGTGTGTTATTTGACTCTTAAAACGTTTGACAGGTTGCAATATAACAATCTCATTGTTTTAGTTATATTTTATTTTTCATGTGGTTAACAATAATACAGAGTTGAGGGTGAACATTTATGATCCAAAAGAATTTTGTTCCTCACAGATTAGCTGAATATACTACTTGAAGTAACTAGAATATATATTTGTTATACTGATCTGGAGAATTTTGTGCCCATTTTATCACATCTCTGAATGTTTTATAACAGCAGAAATTATGTTCTTTAATGTCAACATTCTTATCTTTACCTATCTATATGTGGTGAAAACTATAGATAAATAAGATAGATAAAACTGCATTTTTTTCAGGTTTGTGCTAGTAAAAGAACCAGGAGTTAGTTTTAGGGTTTAATTTATACCTAAATCTTCTCTCACCATAAATTTCTAGAAACTACAGTGAATCTGGACAACTCAATTTGAAAATCACTGCAATGATAATTTCCACTCTCTTTTATCAATAAAACATTCATGTATGAATAGCTCAAATTTATTTTCTGGTTTAAACATAAGAAAGTTTATACCCAGTCTCTTTTATTGAAATACTAATAGTCATGCTTAGATGTATTTGCTCAGTATTTTCTCCACTAATATCCAGTCACTTTCTGCTTCTCATCAGAATTTCTCAAAATACAAGTATATAATTGATATTTTTCCTTTACTTCTAGTGAACTTTAATATTCACATTTAACTTTCTGAAACTCAGCAGTCAATATAATTAACAACAGCATTCAAATAGTATAATTCAGTGGGTATTTTCTAATCCTTCCCACTTAATGTCACCATGTATAGAATTCCTTGAACCACTTTAATCTCTACACTTTTTTCTATACTTGCATTGTCTATTTCATGTAGCTCTTATAGCCTTATTCTTTTATTCATTTGTTCAACATAGACATACTTCCTGCTTTTTATGGAATAAATAGTTTGGTGGAAGACACATAGAAGTGCACAGGAAACTACCATACAGTGTTATTATAATTACTGTAAAGTTCATGATGCTGTGCAGATATATGGGAGAGATGCCTATTTCAGGCTCATGAATTATAGAATGCTTCTTGGAGACGGTGGACTCTCAACTTACTCCAGAGGACAAGTAGGAATTATTCAACAGAAGGATTATTTAGAAGTGGGAAATTATCCCAAACAGAGGGAGTAGTATTAAGAACGTGTCTGAGATAAGAGAGTGTATGGGGAAATTGAAGGCTCAGTCTGGTTGACTTCTGTGAGGTGGAGTGTGTTAAGAGTTGAAACTGAAGGGATAAATCTGGGCCACATTTTGCCAGGATATTATTTCAGCCCTATACAAACTATAAACCATTGAATAGTTTTCAATCATAAAGTGTATGCTCAGATAGGTTTCTTTTATCCACTCTATTTTATACTTGTTTCTCTTTTATGAATGTATGCTCTATTTCCATTTTTTCTTCTCTCCTACTCTGAGTTTACCTAGATACATCTTATAAAATTCACGTATGTTTAGCTTACCAATTTTAAGGCTTCGTTTTCTTTTCATATGTACATTTACTATATTAATTTTTCTCTAAGAATTGATTTAGTTGCACAAAGAAAGAACTGATATCTCTTTTCATTATCCTTATTTTTAAAATACTTTTTAATTTGTATTATGGTTCATTATTTTATCAATGGTTAGTTTGACACCTATATTATAATTTCTAAATTTATAGGCATTTCTTTCTATAAAATTGTATTGATTTTTAGCTTATTTGCAGTGGGGTCAGCATTCATACCTTATAGGATTTCAACTCTTCAAAATTTGTTGATACTTGTTTTTTGACTAAAGTACCCATATAAATTATATCCAAACAACCACACTTTAAAAGGTAAAAGGGGGAAGTAATAATTAATGTTGAAACAACAAGAGAGAACCAAAAGTATCTCAGGCAAACTGGATGTATTATTACTCTATTTATAACTCAATGTGTGGCCAATATTTGTAAATTATCCATGTGTTCTTGAAAATAATACATTATTTGAAGGTCTTGGGTGTAGTGTCATAGTTAGGAGACCATTAGGTGAGCTTTATTATTTTTATAACATTTATATTCTTATTGAAGTTTTATTTGATTGTTTCATTCGTTACTGAGAGATTTATGTTAAAATCTCCGATATGATTTACACCAATTTCATCTTTCAATTTTACAACTTTTGTCTTAACTCTTTGAGACCATGGAATTGCATGCATATAAATAAGAATTCTTAGTTTGAACCCCGGAGGTGGAGGTTGCAGTGAGCCAAGATCGTGCCACTGCACTCCAGCCTGGGTGACAGAGCAAGACTCTGTTTCAAAATTAAAAATAAAAATAAAAATAAATAAGTAAATAAATAAATAAATACTTCTTTCATATTATTAGTTAATTGAACATTTTATTAGGAAGTAATTATTTTTTCTTATGAATGCTCTTTTGTCTCAACATCTAATTCGCCTGACATTAACAATATTACTATCATTCTTTGATAATTTTTATTGTATATCTTTTTATTGATTTCAAAGAAATGGAAAGTCATTATTTCCTCAAATATTATTTCTGAATATCCTGTGTATTTTCTCTTAGTAGGACTATAATTGAACTTTTTTAGTATTTCTAAATAAATATATATATATTTTTGGAGACCTCTGTCGCCCAGGCTGGAGTGTGGAGTGCAGTGGCGATCTCGGGTCACTGCAACCTCCGCCTCCCGCGTTCAAGCCATTCTCCTCCCTCAGCCTCCCTAGTAGCTGGGACTACATGCGCACGCTGCCATGCCCGGCTAATTTTTTTGTATTTTTAGTAGAGACGGGGTTTCACCGTGTTGCCCAGGCTGGGTTCGAACTCCTGAGCTCAGGCAATCCGCCCTCCTCGGCCTCCAAAAGTGATAGGATTACAGGCATGAGCCACCGCGCCCGGCCAATATTTCTTATTCAGAGTATCTTATTGATTGTTTTACCATGAGCAATAATTGATGTTCTTTAATTGATGTTTATTCTATTTACATTTAATGTATTTATTCCCTTTTCATTTAATGTATTTAATGACATATTTATATTTGAATTTACCGTCTTACCGTAGTCTTTCTGTTTGGTCCAGCTATTCAGTTCTCTATCTGTTTTCCCTGCTCATATCTTACTCTTCTTCACTTTAGCAAGGTATTTTAAAATTTTCTCTTTATTTACTTATTGTATTTTGGTAATTATTCACCTTTAATATTTTAATATGTGGTCAATATTTCTAAATTCTTATAGTACTTTTAAGTATGTATTCTTATATAGAATATATACTAATGTACATATCAATAATATGTAATATATACTAATTCTAATATTTCATATATATTCATATACACATTCGTGTGTATAGATTCATATACACATTCGTGTGTATAGATTCATATACACATTCGTGTGTATAGATTCATATACGTACATTCGTGTGTATAGATTCATATACGTACATTCGTGTGTATAGATTCATATACGTACATTCGTGTGTATAGATTCATGTATAGATTCATGTATAGATTCATATAGATTCATGTATAGATTCATATATAGATTCATATATAGATTCATATATATTCAGAATATATAGATTCACATATATATTCAGAATATATAGATTCACATATATATTCAGAATATATACATTCACATATATATTCAGAATATATAGATTCACATATATATTCAGAATATATAGATTCACATATATATTCAGAATATATAGATTCACATATATATTCAGAATATATAGATTCACATATATATTCAGAATATATAGATTCATATATATATTCAGAATATAGATTCATATATATATTCAGAATATATATATTCATATATAGCTTCATATATAGATTCATATATATTCACATATAGATTCATATATATTCATATATAGATTCATATATAGATTCATATAGATTCATATATAGATTCATATATAAATCCATATATATCCATATATATCCATATATATTCATATATATCCATATATATCATATATATATTCATATATATCCATATATATTCATATATATCCATATATATCCATATATATATCCATATATATCCATATATATTCATATATATCCATATATATTCATATATATATCCATATATATTCATATATATATCCATATATATATCCATATACATTCATATATATTCATATATATATCCATATATATTCATATATATTCATATATATATCCATATATATTCATATATATTCATATATATATCCATATATATTCATATATATTCATATATATCCATATATGTCCATATATATTCATATATATCCATATATGTCCATATATATCCATATATATCCATATATATCCATATATATTCATATATATCCATATATATTCGTATATATACATATGTAGATATAGATTCATACATATCCATATATATCCATATATATCATATATATCCATATATATCCATACATATCCATATATATCCATATATATCCATATATATATCCCATATATATATCCATATATATATCCATATATATATATCTGGATATATATATCCAGATATATATATCTATATATATAATCCATATATATATCCATATATATAATCCATATATATATCCATATATATAATCCATATATATATCCATATATATAATCCATATATATATCCATATATATAATCCATATATATATCCATATATATATCCATATATATCCATGTATGTATATCCATATATATATCCATGTATGTATATCCATATATATATCCATGTATGTATATCCATATGTATAACCATATGTATATCCATGTATGTAAATCCATATGTATATCCATGTATGTAAATCCATATGTATATCATGTATGTAAATCCATATATATATCCATGTATGTATATCCATATATATATATCCATGTATGTATATCCATATATATATCCATATGTATATCCATATATATCCATATGTGTCTATCCATATACATATCCATATGTGTCTATCCATATACATATCCATATGTGTCTATCCATATACATATTCATGTGTATATTCTCGTATACATATTCATGTGTATATTCTCGTATACATATTCATGTGTATATTCTCGTATACATATTCATATATATTCTCGTATATATAATCATGTATATTCTCGTGTATATATTCATATATATTCGTGTATATATTCATATATATATTCGTGTATATATTCATATATATATTCGTGTGTATATTCATATATATATTCCTGTGTATATTCATATATATATTCGTATGTATATTCATATATATTCGTATGTATAGTCATATATATATATTCATATGCATAGTCATATATATATTCGTATGTATAGTCATATGTATATTCGTATGTATAGTCATATGTATATTCGTATATATAGAGTCATATATGTTCGTATATATAGAGTCATATATATATTCTTATATATATATTCATATATAGTCATATATATTCATATATATATATTCATATGTAGTCATATATATTCATATATATACACATATATTCATATATACATATATTCATATATATTCATAGACATACATATTCATATATATATTCGTATATATTCATATATAGACATACATATTCATATATATACCAAGTCTCTTACACTACCCTGACAAGTTTTATTCTCTACTAATAAAGGTATCATGATGATAGGAATTTTATACTCCTTTTGGAAAAGAAGACAGCAAGTAAATTAGAATACTTTAACTTCATGACTTACGTTATTGTTCTTGTGTTTTCTGATTATATATGCGTATATATAGAAAGATTATGTAGATACTGTTTATTAAATTTATTCAAATACCTACTTACATTTATTACCATTATCTAATAGTTTTCTATTTTTATTCCTTTATGCATCTCCAACAATGCTTCTGAGAATCTCACCCTCTAATTAAGGATATCTTCATAATTTCCTGTTTTTATTTTTTAGAAGATGATTTTTATTTACTATTATTTTATAAAGATTCTGGAGGAAGTGTTGATTTTTAAGACAGAAGATACATTCAGTTAGGACATTGAATATCTTTCTTATTACCCGTGCTTGTCTCTTACAAAACATATTGAGAAGTATTTTTATGAGACTTTTAAATTGCTTTATTGTTACAAATGTGGCTTTTATTTTTTTATTTTTATTTTTTGCTTTAGGGGTTTTGCTGTTTTACTACAGTTTTTTAAAGCTTTACTTTCATTCATCTTGCTTGTGTTTCATTAAACATCTTGAATTTTTGGATTATTGGCCTTCATCAGTTTTTGAAAACCTTAGTCATTATTTCTTCAAATATTACTTCTCCTATTTTCTATATTTTCTGCTAGTAGGGCTATAATCGAACATTATTTTTAGTACTTCTCACTATATTCTCTATATCTTTTATCTTCTCTTGTTTCATTATTTTGAAACTCTCTCCTTTATTACAGATGGATTACTGTAAGTTCTCTCCCATGTTGGTAATTATCTCTTCAGTTCTGTGTAATACGCAGTTATATAAGGTTGGTGCACCGACCAAATACAAATATTGTATTATTTTTCTAGGACTGCAAACTGGGTATTTAGACACACAGGTAGCCTCAGGTATTTCTTGGCTTTTAGATGACTGTCTTCTCCCTGTGCTTTACATTGTTTTCCACTTATGGTTCTCTTTGTGTCCAAATCTTTCTTTTTTAAGGAATCCAGCAATATGTATCAGGGCCTATTCTAATGAGCACATTTTAACTTGACTGCCTTTGAAACGATACTGTTTTCACTAAATATCTCATTCTGAATACTGAGGAATAAGACTTCAACGTTTCTTTTTTTGGAGGATACAATGTATCTTATAACATCATTCATGGAGTTCTTAATTTTGGTTAATTTTTCTTTTTTTTTTTTTTTTTGGCCAGAGTTTCAATTCAGCTCTTTAAAAAGAAAAAAAGTGTAATTTCCTTTTTATAGTTTCCAGTTCTCAGCCAAAATTATTCATTTTTAACAGTTAATTTACTAAACATTTTAAGCATACTTGCTTTACAGTGTTAACAAAAAAAACCAAGAGATTTGTGGAGGAGTTTGTGAAAAATCTATGTATATTTTTGAGGGAAGTTAAGCACTTGTGTAACAGCTTAACGTATGTAGCATACATTCTACATTCACTTTGCAGTGGGATTTCAATATCAAAATAAGGGAGATTTTGGCTCAATATGTCATATGGTGAACTACTGGGCACAAAGGAGGTTTTTGCATATCCTCTATAAGCCAGTGGAAACTGGCTGGAGATTTGTGGCAGTTTATCATGAAAGAAAGTTTGTAAGGCTCATCCTTAGTCTATTGAAAGTTGTGGCAGGACTGCAAAGCAGGAGAAGGTATCAGAATGGTAAGGAGAAAAGCCTGCATTGGGTGGTCTTTAAGCAGGAAGCTACAAGTTTTTTAATTAGCAGGTTCCAGGTGGTCAGTCAGCCACCACCAGGTGTTCTGTCTGAGGTCAGTTGGGGAATTTTCAGCCGTAGCTGTTTTGACATGTTTTTGAGAAATCGGTTCTGCTTAATTACAGGAATAAAAACCTTGTGACAGGTAGTGACATGTATTTTCTTTGTGAGCCCAGGGATATATGACCAGCTTCTCACCCTGTCGTGGCCATTTGGTTCTGTTTTGTAGTTTCAGTATGTCTCTTTTTAGCCAGAGAGTTCATTGTGTTTGTCTGCTGAGGTGTGTTTTAACAATAGTCAGTATACTAATTTCAATACCAAGAGTCATTGTAGGTTAGTTTTCACTGACTTTCTTTTTTGATTGTTTTCATTTATATTCAATTTTTTCTTGTCTTTGGTTAACATTGTTTTGCCTAAATAATTTTGGAAACAAGGCTAACATTTTCTTTTTACTGAGGGAATTTTTATCTGATTATATAAGGTATTTGTTGGCACAAGCAATCAAGTGGGTGTATCCACGTAAATATAAACAAAAGGTAGACTATAAGAAAAAATGCATCATTATTAGATATAGAGAATACCACTAACTAATTTTAAGAGCATTAGTGAGACAAAAGATTTAACAATTTAAGACACATGAATTTCTGATAGTACATGGAATAAAAACTAATTAAACTAGAGAGAGCAATTGATAAATTTCCTTCTATTGTTGGATGTTTTACCATAACTTTTTCCATATAATGAGACCCTGTCTATATCCCCAAAACAAATAAATATAAAATAATTAAAAAAATAAAAGAGACAAAAAACCAATGGTTATAGAATATTTGGACACAATACACAGGCTTAATCTAATGCAATTATAAAATATGAATGGAGCTTATTAGAGACTACATGTTCTTCTCAAGGAAATCTAGAACATTTACAAAAATTAATCCTGCACTAGACCATTAAGCAAATCCCAACAAAGTTCAAAGAACAGTTTCATACAGATAGAGGTAATATTCAAAATATTTATCAACTGTTACACCATGGGGCTGATAAATTTCAAAAGATGACTGACCACTTAGATGAATGCTTGATTAATAATTATAAAGTAATACAGTCAGCTCTTGCATAACTGTGGCTTTCCCACCACAGATTTAACAAACCATAGATAGAAAATATTTTTTAAAAAGCAATTAAAATATATAGTATAACAATTATTTTCAAAGCATTTACATTGTATTAGATATAAGTAATCTAGAGATGATTTAAAGTATATGGGAGGATGTGTGTAAGTTATATGCAAATATGATGCCATTATGTGAGGGATTTGAGCATCCACAGATTTTGGTATCAGAGGGGGTCCTGGAACCAATTCCTCAGATACTGAGGGATGACTATACATCCTGTCATGTGATACTGGCTGAACGCCAGCCCTGAAAATAGGCTTAAGTTTTTTATTATTAAACAATTAAGATAAAAATAATAAAGAAAATTCATGTATATTTGGAAACTTACAAGCATGCTTTTAAATAACTCATGAGTCAAAGAAAAAAATGAGACTTAGAAATTACTTAGAACTGAAAGATAAAAGTTCTATATTAAAATTTGGTATGCAGAGGACATCTACTGTTGTTTATGATGGAATAGTAGGTGGTAGACACAATGATCTCTCTCCTTTTTCAAATTCTTTCTTCCCTTATTTTCTGAGAAAACGTTCTCAGGTTTCTTTTTTACTTCTGTTGCTGCTTTAGCACAGTCTTACTTTCCAGATCTTTCGCTGTATTGTCTAAATGTCGGAGTTCCCCACAGCTCAGTTCTTAAATCTCATCTCTTTTCCCTCACTATACTCTCCCCCTTGGTTATTTCATCCAGCCTCAAGGTAGTAAGTGTAATCTATGTGCTTAAGGCCACCAAATAAATACCACTAGCCAGCTCTTCTCCCCTGATCATCAGGACAAAATATCAACTGCCTGCTTGGTACCTTTGCATGAGTTGACTAACTAGAATTGTTTAAATCTACTACTTCTAAAACCTAACATTTCCTAAAATGAGCTTCTGATATTTAATTGCCAACCCTGTTACTCTAACAGTTTGTCAAACTCAGTAAATGGCAACAACATTCAGCCTGTAGCTCAGACCGAAATGTGGAGTGTTCTGATCTCCTCTCTTTCTTGCCATATTCTGTGGGTTTTATCTTCAAAATCTGTCCAGAATCCAATTTATTTTTTAACCCCTACTGCTACTACTCTTCTCTAATCTATCATTCCATGTATTGTAGATGATTGGAAGGGCTTCATATCTATTCTCCCTAACTTCTACTATTATCCCTTTTCATTTATGTTCAATTTAGCAGCTAAAGTGATCTAGTTAATCCTAGCTAAATAAATGTATTTTTTCCTTGAAGTCATGCAGTAATTGTCTAGGTACCTTGTTGAAAGCCAATATTGGCTGGGGGTGGTGGTTCACGCCTCTAATCCTAGTACTTTAGGAGGCTAAGGCAGGCAGATCGCTTAAGCCCAGGACCTTGAGATCAGCCTGGGCAACATGGTGAAACCCAGTCTCTACAAAAACTACAAAAATTAGCCAAGCATGGGAGCTCACAACTGTAGTCCTAGGCTCGCTTGAGCCTGGGAAGTTGAGGTTGAGGTTGCAGTGAGCCATGATTGTATCATTGCACTCCAGCCTGGGTGACAGAGCAAGACCCTCTCTCAAAAAATTAAATAAAATAAAATAAATAAAAGTTTCAAATGAATATCCTATAGCTCACCCTCTCATCTTTTTTAGGTCTTCATTCAAATATCAACCCAAAAGTTGGCTGTCTGTCTACACTATTGAAAATGGCATTTCTTCCCTTATCATGACATCACCTTTGGCCTTCCTTGCTCTCTAGTTTTCTCATGAGCCCATTAACAAGATTACTATTTCTATTATTAATCTTTTTTACTGTCTCTTTTCAGTAAGTAATAAATCTCACAAGGATAGATATTTCTAGCTGTAGCATCCTACAATGTATTTACAGACTATTGAACTGTACTTGACCATATTATTCAATATTCTTCAATATATATTTTTTGAGTTAATGAATGATTGGATAAGTGAATAATATACTATGGAATGAAGAAATATTGCAGCAATAATATCTGAGATATACATATAAATATGAGCATAGAAATTGGAAAATTTTGGTAAAATAAAGAGCCATATCTTGGGTAGAGCAGTAATAATTACATTAATTAAAGTTTTATTTCAAAATGTGCATAAGTAGATTAACTGAATTATTATACTTTCAATTAATATGCTATTTAATTAGATTAAAACCCTTTAATGTGAAATACATGTTTGAATTTTTATATGTGATTTTATTTGATTGGACAATTTATTTCCATAATAACTTGGGTTAGTGTGTTGGGTCTTAACCTTAAAAAGTTTACATGTTGCTTAACTAATATTTGAGTCTATTTCACACATCTTTTGTCAGTGCTGTTTTAAAATCTCTCACAAAGACAATTAGTAATTCTGTGGGCACCAAAGAACCATATAGTTTGAAACATGCTTCAAAGAATGGTAAGTTCATACCTAAAATATTTATTTAGAAAATTAATAGATTTTCTCCAAATTCGACTTTAGGTTACACACCAATACAGCTTCACACAAACAAGTGAAGCAGAAAGCCAAGGTTTGTCACACTGACAACCATTCTAATAGCTCTAAAAGTGCAGAACAAGACAGCTGACTGAAATCCCTGTTGGTGTTTCACATTCTCAATCTGAGTCTACTTTTGTTAAATGGTATATCTTAGGCTCCTCTTATCAGAGAAAGAACTTAAGTAAATATGAGAATATTAAAATCTCAGTACCACAAGGATCAACCATAAATGATTTCTGTCTCATGTTATTTCAGGTCAAAAAATCAACCACATGACAGTTCAAAAATACATGAGGAGAAGGCCATTTGTTTCCACAAAACTGAAAAAAAAAAAATCATCTACTAAGTCATACTTTCAGTTTTAAGAAATATTATCTGGAACTTATTTATTCATCTGTACTCATTGCTTCTTAGTTTTCATATACTCTTTTAAATTTTTGGCAATATTATAAGTTCTTATTACTCAAAGCTATCTTCTAGACATTAACCATCATTACCTGGAATCGATCATCTGCAGGCAGTAAAGAAAATCTTCATATAACCCTTGTGCACTAGACTTTGGCCATAAAAATAGCTTAATTCAGGCAAAGTCAGGTTTATTTGCTATCACCTTTTATTTTCCTTTGACTCAGCCACATAGTAAAATAGAGGCACTATATAAGTATTTATATCCAGATTATCACTGTTTTACACTGGGTGCTCTAGAGGCAAAGCCTGAGACAGGGTTTCAAGGGAACATGATTTATTGGAGAAGTACTATTCAGGGAAAGAAAAAAAAATCTGTTAAGAGAGTGAACAAAGTAAGTGGAGGAGGGCAAGAAGCTAAACAAGAATGTGAACTTAGTTCTAGTACTGGCCTGATCCAAATGGTAGAGATTGGATTCTAAAACCTATATTACAACAGAGACTTGGCCTCCATTTCATTGAGGGCTTTGAATTTTGTATGCCTTTATTAGTCAGACGATAGCTACTCTGCTGGTGAAAGGTGTAACCTCCCAGGTCTTCCTGGTGCTATTGATCCCCATCAGCCAAGGAATTCCTTTCAAGAAGGTCACAGGTGTAAACCATTAGCCATGACACTTGCATGCACTAAGGAATGGGCATGCTAACTGGAAAATGGGAACCAGAAAGAATATCAACAGCATCTACATCAGTCTATTCCTTGCACTCACATTACGTTTACTGCATCTGGGCAACATCTATACAAGACTCCAGTTAGTCTGAATTTCATTTTGGAAGAAGTTGGTTTAGTGGGATAAACTACAGCCCCAAATGTTATCATTAATCCTAAAACCATAGGATATATTCACTAGATCCCTCCTTTACCACTTATTTTATTTTCCTCTCACCCTTGGATAGCACTTCCGCTGTTGAAGTGGCTTCCCTGGTGGGGTGACTCAGACCCACGTCGTTGAGAGGTCTGAGCCTGTTTTTTCTGCTTTTATCTGGCTATGGCTGCTGAACTTGAATATTTCCACTTAACACTGTACATAGGAATAGCAAAAGATATTCAGCAGATTATATGAATGCCAAACATTCCTTCCTGACCCTGTTAAGAAGGAGTAGTCCTACATCCTTAGGACATTCAGCTTCAATTACTCCTGCTGGTATTGTAACTCATTTTTGAGCCTGCTGGCCTACTGGAATGAAGAGCTCAGATTCCTGATTCAAAATTATTGAGACTCTGACCATATCCCTTGATACACTTGCCTCCTCTCTGGAAACCAGGCCATCTAGTTATACAGAGTTTAAGAAGCTGTGGGATAAATACAAATACCATCAATGGGTTTTTAAAAGTGAAGGTCACTTTTATTTCTACCCCTTGTTTGCCAGACTCATGTAGTCTGTCAATGGAGGGCAAATAAAGATATAATAGCAATTTGTTTAAGGTCTATTACCCATCCTGAAGGGTGGCACCTTTCAGGATGATTCTCTAAGGTATCATCTCCAAGCTGGTTTCTCTGCTATGTTTTCAAGAATCTTTTCTACTACTCTATTAAGTCAGCCATTTCTGGGTGGGGCATGTCGCAATAGAACCATTCAATCCTATGGTTTTGTGGCCACCAACAAATCATTGCTATGATGTTATGTGGGCTCCCATGTCAGTAGTACAAATTCTGTGAGCCCTTTAATAGTGATGTTGGCTGAGGCATCGCAGGTTAGATATGCATATTTATATCAAGAGTAAATACCAGTCCTGATCAGAATAATCATTGCTATTTCTTGGCTGGAAAAGATTCCATGTAATTCAGTTGCCTTCAGAAGGCTTATTGGTCTCTTTGAGACATGGTACCATATCAGAGATTCAACCTCAGGATCTTCTCATGACAGATCAAAATTCAGCAGAGGCAGTGACTAGATTAGAATTTGTGACAGAAATCCAAGGTGTTGGCCCCATGGATAGCCTCCATCTCTGCCACATGGCTGTTCCATTCATGAGCCTATTGTATTAATACTGTGGAGCCTGAGGATAGAAACTGATACCTGTTGGCCAAGTCATCCTATCCACCTGGTTGTTTAGTGCTCTTCTACAATGGATAGTTGCTGATCGGCATTAACAATTCTTCAAATATAAAGAGCTTCCCATTAGGCACCCAATTCTATAGATCTATCCAGACATCTGTTTCCTAGACCTCCATCCACGTAGGAGATTAGTCAGGGTGGTGGGAGAAACTATAGGAAAAGGAGCAGGCCTTCTGAAAGGTCAGAAGGCTCTGCATAGCTTTGGGGGATAATAAGCTGAAGGCAGCTATTCTCTTACCCTGAGGCAGAGGGCGAGGAATAGGTACAAGGGAGTGTACAGGAATTTATCTTAAATAGGCTTATTAACTTATGTTGTCCGGAAACCGACTTTGATCATCCGTACCCAAGACTGCTCCCTGAAGAGGGGAACAATAATGTTAATTACCCACAGATTGTGTTGGCTCCAGGCTTTCAGCATTATATCTGTACTGAAATAAAGCAAGCAGCTCCAGCTATTTCAGACTGCTCACTCTCCATCCACTAAGTGCCCAGCAGTCCCCTAGGGGCTCTTACATGGCATACCTGTGTCTGAGTACTCCTTTCATCCGTCACTCAGCCAGGGCCTGCAGGATAGACCCAGCACCTCCAGGCTCTATTGATTTTAAAAGTCTCACTGTTTTTAGGCCATCTATATTATCTTCTACTGCTCATAAGTGTCTCTCTTCCTTCCTCCGCCTCTCTCTCTTTCTCTCTTTTTATCCATATATATGTATATATGTATTTTTATGTGTATATATATAAAATTGTATATACTTCTCAGGTGAGAAGAACTGCATATTTATACACATGTATATGTGTACACACACACATACACACACACACCCCTCAGGTGATTTCTATTGCTCACAAACTGCATGATGATCTACACTACCCTATTGGCATCAGTTCCACACCAATTTTTCCCTGGAGGCTGCTTTGCAGACAAATTTTACCCAAAGACAGTTTGGGGTTTTATCTGATGCTGTAAGTGGTAATTCTGGTTTTACCAGGTCATATCCTTCTATGTTGAGTTCTCACAACTCTATCATTCCCCCATGGCATTTTTTTCCGAGTTTATCAGTCTAGACTTTGTGTGTCTATAGATTTGCTACTTGTTTTTGATCTGTAAGAAAGTCTTCTATATGGACTTTATTTGGAACAGCTAGTCAAAGATAAAAACTGCTAAAGGATTTTCTAAAGTATTTGTATACGTTTATGTAGTATTTCTACAGTATGTCTACACTCTTCACAGTATAAGACCCTAGATCCTATAATATCTTGTTTACTGTGAGAATCTACCTTTATGACAATTATTTATGGAAGCATCAAGGTATCAAGTAATTCATGTGTTTATTTTTTATTTTTAAATGGTACCTGAGGAGTCTGCGGAAATATGTTTGTTTCTATATCATTTCAGATAAGTGAATTATCCCAAAATTATATCTGTCACTAGCATATAGATCTATTTTATTTAGGCAATTTGATATGTCCTAGAAAACATAACAGTTCTGTCAATTGAGCTTCTGGTAAGGAAGTGGCTTCTACAGGAATGACTATACTACATATTTTAATGAACCCTGATATTTCCCTTTACATATTTAATATAAAAGTGACCTATTCAAAAACATTAAGTCACATTTGGGTTTTGGGATGTACAAAAAAATCTGTTGTGAGCATGGACAATTCCTTAATTACAGGTATATTCGTGTAATTTTCCTTCATTGGTGTTACAGATTTGGCGTATTAGGAATGCTACATCAGGGGATAGTAAGATGAGAAAAAGAAAGTCACAGTTATCGATCATTTGTTAGTTAGTAGAAATATATTGAGTGTTTTTTTAGGAACATAAAATTTTACTAACTGTAGTAACCTCAGGTTTACAAGTGATCCTGTTACAAAATCTAAAGATGCTTTAATCAATTTAATTACGGCCTGAATGTTTTGGAGGCAAGCAAGTTAAACCTTGGCTACTGGATCAAAGTTAGTTTCTTATTTTTTTAGGGTTGGGTCATTTTTGTTGATACATAATAATTACACATATTTTTGGAGTAATAGGGAGGGAGGATGAAAAGAGGTTGGCTAATTAGTGCAAAAATACAGGTTAGATAGATGAAATAAGTTTTGGTGTACAGGTGGGTTTTTATTTTACTTTATTTTCTACTTTTTATTTTAATTTTTGTGGGCACATAGTAGTTGTATATACTTATTGAATATATGAGATGTTTTGATATAGGTATGCAATACATGGTAATCACAGCATGTAAAATCACAGCATGTAAAAACCATCCCCTCAAGCATTTAGTTCAGATGGGTTTTTGACGTGTATCAAGTTGTTGAGATAACACCTCTTGTAGATGCCCTAATCTCTTCATGTTTACTCAAAAGATTTTTGATAATCTGAATTTTTATATGCTCTACTTTAATTAATCTGTCTAGATCTGTAGTGTTGTAGTGTTTTGTCCACAGGATTCTGGGACTATAACTAATTTTCTGATAATTAATCAAGCCATGGATACTGTAGGTATAATTATGCCTAGATCCATTTTAATCTGATCATAGCTTGGGATTGAAGCATATTTTTTATGAAAAGAGATATTACCTATTATATTTGTAGTAATGCGTTACCACGAATAAGGACGTATTCTTATAATGAAGCCAAAAGATCAGAATTTGGAACTTTGGAAAGGACATAGGATGGTGAAAAATACTCAATACTTAAATGGCTCTAGCAAATTGAGGTAAATGAAGTTCATTTTCCTCTAGCTAGCTATAATTTACTAGACTACAAGTATACCTTTTATTATCTTCTTTCATAATCTGACACCAGTGATTTTTTTCTTTAGTCAAAAGTTCTTTTTCTTTCACTTGCTACAAGTCAATGTGCCCTCTATCTTGGCTTTCAGGTCTGTATTTTACTCTAAGGGATCTGACATATAGAGCTGGGATGAATGGTTGATTATAGTAGCATACATAGCAACAAGAAAGGTGTATTGTCCATATGTAGTTATCAACAAATTCTCCTTGGAAATTTAGATAAAGGTCCTGGAATTTTTGGGTGCTTATGTTTCCCTAGAAGCAATATCATTGGACAGATTTTGGACAGCTCTCTTTGTGTTTCTTAGCCATCAGGGAAAATTGGTTTCTTTAATGGCTTTTTTGTTCGTGGTATGTACTGGTTTCTGTATGTCAAGTTTCCCATTTTACACATAATCTTTTTTTTTTTCTGGAGTGGAGAGTTATTTTGTTTAAAGAACCAAAAGTTTTGCCAATTATCAATTTGTTTACTTTCTAAATTTCTGAAAATGTCCATCCACACACTGGAAATTTCAAGATTTTATTTTATTTTTTAAAAAACTCCCCTAATTCAGGTTTACAAAGAGAGAAGACATAATATCTTTACTCCAGTTGCTGGGCCTAACCCGTAATACTGAAACTTTTAATGTTTGAAAGTTTTCTGGCATCTAGTTTTAGTTTACAACTTTGAGTTTTTGTCTAGTCTAATCTTAAAATGTTCTCAAATTGCTTTATGTAGTGTATTTTATTTTTATTAGCCTGTAAAGGGAATTATTTTAAAATTTAATACAAATGGGTTATTTAAATCTTAATCTTAACATATTTTTAAAGAATTTCTTAAATCCTTAAAAATTTTATTTTTTAAATGCTTAAAAAATAGAGAAACAGTTAATGGGACTAATTGATATAGACCTTTAGGCCAGGATAATTAGAATCTAACAAAATTATTAATTCTGTAACAAATTTCAGCCCATATTCCCAAAGGTTAGAAAAATCCTCAATTATGGAGATACTTTGGTTCTAGGCTATGGCTTTAATTCAGCTCCTCTAGGTCTGCTTCTGGTCTAGAAATTTTAAAATGTGATTGTTATTTTCCTTTGAAAATCCTAAAGAAAGGGTGACATTTGGAAGGTCAGGGAAAGGAACAGAAGGAATAGAAAAAAAATGAATGGGTTGCTCAGATAAAGTGAGTACAAGAGAGAGAGATGTGAGTTGAATAGGATTTAAAAAGAGATAGAGTCTCTGAAAGGGGACTCTCATAGAGTTCAAATTTTCTTTTCAAACCTTAGCATGCTGCCCACATGTTAACTATTAAATGTTTATTGTTTTGACTCCTAGTATTTTTAGGATTTCTCTTAAATACATCCATTCATTGATTTCGACATAAGAAAATTACCCCATAATAGACATTGATAAAGAGTGAGACTTCGGCTCGTAGTGTGATTTATATAGGAAACAGTTCTAGGAGGAATTGAGACTTTGGCATAGACTATCATAGAAACACAAACGGCAAATGAAACAGGTGACCATGGGGTGCTCATGATTATTGAAAAGTAAACTGTTGTGGAGAGTGACAAGCATTTTGAGACCAAGATGAAGCCAGGGAGAGCTGTAAATCAATGACTCAACAGTAAATCACCCTAAGTAAAGTGAACTTCTTTCACAAATTGACAAGTCCCCTCATGATGGTCATGACAGAAAGGCGAAATTTGACAAGTTGTTATTTCAAGATAAAATTATTTAAAATGTCAAGACAGAAACCAAAAAGCATTACACCCTAAGTGTGGGGTCCTTCTTAGCACAGACAGCTCTAAATAACTGTACTGGAATAAAATCGATAAAAATGTTAGGACAGACATAGGGGCTCCTGCCTGTAATCCCAGCACTTTGGGAGGCTGAGGAGGGAGAATTGCTTGAGACCAGGAGATGGAAATCAGCCTGGGCAACATAGTGATACCCTGTCTCTACAAAAAATTTTTTTAAAAAATGTATACCTAGGTGTGGTG
Organism: Homo sapiens; assembly: GCF_000001405.40. Lineage (NCBI taxonomy): Eukaryota > Metazoa > Chordata > Mammalia > Primates > Hominidae > Homo > Homo sapiens. The sequence continues at coordinate 166,651,628 of NC_000004.12, read as the reverse complement.
GCATGCACCTGTAGCCCTAGCTACTTGGAAAGGTGAGGCAGGAGGTTCATTTGAGCCTGGGAGGTCAAGGCTGCAGTGAGTTATGATCATACTACTGCACTCCTGGGCAGCCTGGGTGACAGTGAAAGACCCTGTCTCAAAAAACAAAGAAACAAAAACTTTTACATTACGTTTTAAATGATTACTGACCTTATATTGGTCTTAACATGGATATGTAGTCAAATATTTTGAACTGAGCAATAGACATAATTTTTTCCAAAAAAGGAGGAAGCTTTATAAAAGGCATATTGCAACAGAAAAAACACTTATTCATTTTCATGACATGTAAATTTATTTCCTCTTTTTTAATAGAATTTCTCCAAAAGGGTTTTTCCTATGAAAATAATTCTTACCTCCACCTTACCTTATTTGAAATGAAACATAAAAATTTGAACCGATTTTATTAAACAAAAATTTATTTACTGTAGCACTGTAAATTGATATACAGTGTATAAATTTACAAAACATTTTTGGAGATATTATTTATTATCTATATTCAAAATGCATGGTATCTCTAGATTAGGTTGTTCTCAAAATAAGATAAATTCACTAACCCTCTCACATATTTAAGAAATAAAAAGTCAACTATTTTTATAAAATTAGATTATAAATTAAGTGCTATGACTCTGACTAGAATTTTTAATAATGACAAATGGAATCACATTATTGAGATTGTGCTAATATTGAAACATTGAGGAGTAATAACTTTTTAATTGTCTTGCCATTTAAATATAAGCAAATGCTCTGTTATTATATATAATTACTGAGAATTCTTGCATGTAAGCTGTAAGTCAAAAATATTAAAAATTTCCCTATATGAAAACCACTATAATTAGAGATGGCAGTCACCGTAACTAAAATTAGTTTATATGTTTTACTTCCACAGGTATATCATTATTATTTTTTAAATGATTTTTATTACATAAATGAACCATTAACATTGTATTTCTTCATGTGTTTTTCACTATGTGACCTTGTTCTCACTGTCACCTGAGTTAAAATTTTAATGTCATTTTTAGCTCAGTGCCTGAAACATAGGAAATAAATTTCATGATAATTATGGATATTTATAAGACCAGGTATCAAATTTAAAAGGAAGAATATCTGACAAAATTAGTTGATGTTATAATAATGTCAACATTTTAATGAAACTTTATAATTTCCAAAGTGCTTTTATATATATTATCATTATTTTAAGAATTGTTTTGAGCATTATGTGTCAAGTCTTATTCTAGACACCGATGACAGTGTTAACGAATCAAACAGAAAGATAAATCTGCATTGATGCAATGTCTGCTTACATTATAATAACAGGAAATACTGTCAATACAAATATAATACAATACTGTGGAATACAAAAAATATATTTTTATGTCATGTAATGATAAGTATAACGAAAATGAAAAAATTAGTTTTAATGTTTTAAACATTAAAGGGAGGGAGATGAGGAGTGTGGAAATGGTTGCAATTTTAAGCATTGTGGTCCGAAAAGACCTCCATAGAGAAGCGATTTATAATCAAGGTCTTGATGGAAAAGAGGGAGTCCAGATCCCTATGTGAATAGCATCCAGGCAATGGGCAGTGTAAGTTCAAAGAACCTGAAGTGAGAGTAAACGTGGATACAGTGTACAGTACATCATGGAGAGACTTGTGTAGTGCCAAATCATGTCAATCCACGATAGGAGATCTGTCTTTCTTTAGGTCTGAGTGGGAAACCACTGGGGTGACTTGAGTTGTTAACTAGTCCAAATGAGTTAGAATTTTGCGTAATCATCGAAAAGAAAAAGGATGATGATGTGAATAAAAGCAGTGGAGGTGGAGGTAGTAACATGTTTTGTTTATTTATCTATCTATTTATTTATTTATTTTTGAGATGGAGTCCCTCTCTGTCACCCAGGCTGGAGTGCAGTGGTATGACCTCAGCTTACTGCAACCTCTGCTTCCTGGGTTCAAGTGATTCTTCTGCCTCAGTTCCCAAGTAGCTGGGATTACAGGCACGTGCCAACACACCCAGCTAATTTTTGTATTTTTAGTAGAGATGAGGTTTCACCACATTAGCCAGGCTGGTCTTGAACTCCTGACCTCATGATCCGCCCATCTTAGCCTGTGAAAGTAAGATTACAGGCGTGAGCCACCACGCCCAGCCGTGATGTATTTTAAAAGAATTGACTCCTGGATTTGTTATGGGGCATGAGAGAAAGAGATTAATCAAGAGTGATTCTTGGGCTTTTAGTCAGATCAACTTGAAGATTGGATTTGGCCATGAACTGCAATAGGGAAGACTGCAGGAGGTGTATGTCTTGAGAGAAAGATAAGGAATTTATTTCTGAATGTTTCAAGTTCGAGAGATCAAATACAGTTGGAAGTGGATATTTTAAAACCACGGACATATATGCTTGCCTGGAGTTCTGTGGAGATGATTAGGTTAGAAGTATAATTTGGCAACCATGAACATAGAAGTAACATTTTAAGCTTTGGGTAGGCACAGAAATACAAACGAACCTCAGAAAATACTATAAAAACCTCTATGCAAATAAACTAGAAGATGTAGAAAAAATGGATAAATTCCTGGACACATACAGCCTTCTAAGGTTGAATCAAAAAAAAAGTTGAATCCCTGAATAAACCAATAACAAGTTCTGAAACTGAGGCAGTAAATACCCTACCAACCAAAAAAAAACAAAACAAAACAAAAAAAGGCCCAGGACCAGGACCAGGACCAGACAGTCTTACAACTGAATTCTATGAAAGTTACAAAGAGGAGTTGGTATCATTTCTTCTGAAACTATTCCAAACAATTGAAAAGGAGGGACTTCTCCCTAATTCACTTTATGAGGCCAGCATCATCCTGATACCAAAACCTTGCAGAGATACAACAACAAAAAAAAGAAAACTTCAGGCCAATATCCCTGATGAAAATCAGTACAAAATTCCTCAATAAAATACTGGCAAACCAAATCCAGCAGCACATCAAAAACCTTATCCACCACAATCAAGTCAGCTTCATCCCCAGGATGCAAGGCTGGTTTAACATATGCAGCTCAATAAATGTAATTCATCACATAAACCGAACTAAAGACAAAAACCACGATTATCTCAATAGACACAGAAAAGACCTGCAATAAGATTCAACATCCTTTCATGTTAAAAGCTATCAGTAAACTAGATATTGACGGAACATAACTCAAAATAATAAGAGCCATTTACGACAAACCCACACCAAATATCAAACTGAATAAGCAAAAGCAAGAGGCATTCTGCATAAAATCTGGCACAAAACAAGGATGCCCCTTCTCATCACTCTTATTCAACATAGTATTGGAAGTTCTAGCCAGGGCAATTGGCAAGAGAAAGAAATAAAGCGTATTCAAATAGAAAGAAAGGAAGCCAAACTCTATTTACAGATGACATTATTGTATATCTAGAAAATCTCATTGTCTCAGCCCAAAAGCTTCTTAAGCTGATAAGCAACTTCAGCAGTCTCAGGATACAAAATCTACGTGGAAAAATCACAGGCATTCATATACACCAACAATAGACAAGCAGAGAGCCAAATCATGAATGAGCTTCTATTCACAATTGCCACAAAGATAATAAAATACCTAGGAATACAGCTAACAACAGAAGTGAAGAACCTCTTCAAGGAGAATTACAAACCACTGCTCAAGGAAATCAGAGAGGGCATGAACAAATGGAAAAACATTCTATGCCCATGGAAAGAATCAATGTCATGGAAATGGCCATACTGCCCAAAGTAATTGATAGATTCAATTCTATTCCCATTAAACTACCATTGACATTCTTCACAAAATTAGAAAAGAATACTTTAAAGTTCATATGGAACCATAAAAGAGTGCATATAGCCAAGATAATCCTAAGCAAAAAGAATGAGCTGTAGACATTATGCTACCCAACTTCAAAGTATACTACAAGGCTACAGTAACCAAAACAGCATGGTACTGGTACAAAAGAGACACAAAGACCAATGGAACAGAATAGAGATCTCAGAAATAAGACTGCACATCTACAACCATCTGATCTTTGACAATCCCAACAAAAACAAGCAATAGGGAAAAGATTCCATACTTAATAAATGAAGCTGGGAAAACTGGCTAGCCATATGCAGAAAATTAAAACTGGACCCCTTCCTTACACCTTATACAAAAATTAACTCAACATGGATTAATGACTTAAATGTAAAACCCAAAACTATAAAAACCCTTGAAGAAAGTCTAGGCAATCCCATTCAGGACATAGGCATGGGCAAAGATTTCATGACAAAAACATCAAAAGCAATTGTAACAAAAGCAAAAATTGACAAATGGTATATCTAATTAGACTAAAGAACTTCTGCACAGCAAAAGAAACTATCATCAGAGTGAACAGACAACCTATAGAATGGAGGAAATTTTCTGCAGTCTATCTACCTGACAAAGGTCTAATATCCAGAATCTACAAGGAACTTAAACAAATTTACATGCACACACAAACTTTAGAAAGTGGGCAAAGGACATGAACAGACACTTCTCAAAAGAAGACATTTATGCGGCCAATAAACATATGAAAAAAAGCTCAGCATTACTGATCTTTATAGAAATGCAAATCAAAACCACAATGAGATGCCATCTCACACCAGTCAGAATGGCGAGTATTAAAAAGTCAAGAAACAACAGATGCTGGCGAGGCTGTGGAGAAATAAGAACACTTTGACACTGTCAGTGGGAATGTAAATTAGTTCAACCATTGTGGAAGACAGTGTGGCAATTCCTCAAAGACCTGTAACCAGAACTACCATTTGACCTAGCAATTCCATTACTGGGTATATACCCAAAGAAATATAAATCATTCTATTATAAATATACATGCACATGTATGTTCATTGCAGCACTATTCACAATAGCCAAGCCATGGAATCAACCCAAATGCCCACCAATGATGGAGTGGATAAAGAAAATGTGGTACATATACACCATGAAATACTATACAGCCTTTAAAAGGAATGAGGTCATGTCCTTTGCAGGGACATGAATGGAGCTGGAAGCCATTATCCTCAGCAAACTAACACAGGAACAGAAAATCAAACACCGCATGTTCTCACTTTTAAGTGGGAGCTGAACAATGAGAACATATGGACACAGGGAGGGGAACAACACACTGGGGCCTGTCAGAGGAGAGGGGGAGGGAAGGCATCAGGACAAATAGCTAATGGATGTGGGACTTAATACTTAGGTGATGGGTTGATAGGTGCAGCAAACCACAATGGCACATGTTTACCTATGTAACATACCTGCACGTCCTGCACATGTAATACAGAACTTAAAATTAAATTAAATTGAGAAAAGGATTTGACATACATTAAAAAAAAAGCTTTGGGTAAGAGGAGATTACTACAGAAGGGAAATTGGGTAGAGAAAGAGATCTGAGAACTGAGCCTTGGGACACATCAGTGCTAGTGTATTGAGGAAGAAAAAGAACAAGCAAAAAGAGCTGAGAATGAGGGGTCGTATAACAGGAGCAATAAACAGAGTAAATTTCCTGAAATCAGTGAGAGAAAAATATTTCAAGAAGGAGGACATAGTCAAACATAAGAATGTTAATGAAGGTTCAAGTAAGTTGAGAATGAATCATTTCATTTACCAACGTGAAAATTATTGATGATTTTGCAAGAGCCAATTCAGCAACAATATCCAGGAAAAGGTTCAAGAGTAAATTTGGGGGAGGGAGTAACTGGAATCAGTGAGTAATAGCAACTATTTTAGGAAAGGGAGGAGAAAAAGGATAATGTCCAGAGAAGGATGCGAAGTTTTAGTAAATAGCAATGGAATTGGAGGCAGGTCATGTGGGCACAGGTGCTCGTAGAACTGTGGATGCAATGGTGGAAGGTTGTGGGAATCTCTTCTATTGTATTTTATGAGTCAACTGGATTTCAGGTCATCTCGTAAGAGTGAAGATAGGACTTCAAATCTTAGGGTTTTGAGAAGAGGAACATGTAAAATCATCATCCATGAGAGGAGGAGAGTGAGTGGACTAGATAGAGGCTTGTACTAAAATTACTGGAAAGCAATAATGGCCAATTTGAAGTCAGATGTCCTACATTTAAAGCACAATAGTCAGCATGCCTGCTGTGGCTCAGATATTGTTTTTTGGCCCCACTATGTTTCATGTGAACTTTGATCCCGAGTGCTGAAGTTGGGACCTGGTGGGAGGCTTTTGAATCATGGGGTGGATATCTCCTGTATGGCTCTGTACCATTCCTACTGGAGTGATTGAGTTCTTATACTTAGTTACTGTGAGAACAGGTTGTTGAAAAGAGTCTGGAAACTCTTCGTCTGTCTTCCTTCCTCCATTGCCATGTGATGCCTGCTCCCTTTCACCTTCCGCTATGAATGAAAGCTTCCTAATGCAATCACCAGAAGATGTTGATGCCATGCTTCCTGTACAGCCTGCACAATCGTGAGCCAAATAAACCTATTTTCTTTATAAATTGCCCAGCCTCAGGTATTCCTTTATAGCAAAACAAATGGACTAAAATGATGGATGTGTGTTTTTCTCCTATCATATTTGAATGCACAGGTGTAGTTATAGGAGATGAGATTACATTTCAAATGCAGATTTGTCCAGCACCCGTGTATTAGACAGGGAACCTAAGGCAAAAGTGAGGTTTTGGAATTTCAGCTATTTATAGAGAGGAGTGAGACAATAAGGAAGTAATGAAAATATGTGAGGATCAATGACTTGTACATACTAGTGGGGTCTAAAACTCATAAATAATAATCCATATGTGAAGCCGTATATATAATTTCCATTTTCAAATGGCAAAAAATCCAGTCTCAGAAATTTTAGATGAGATGTCTGTTCCAAAATTGAACACGTTGACACAGTTCATGTCAATCCCCAAATTGTAGACATTTCTGACCCCTCACTTACTGTTTTTCCACAAGGTTAAGCTCAATCCCGCTACAGTAATAATGGAAAATGTCTCTCTAAAATAGTTGATTTTTTAAAGATAATCACTTTGTCATTTTCCACAATAACCCCAGGAATTATTTTAGTAAGTACCTACATTTGAGCAGACATCTCTCGATTTGATAATCTCTCACCTGAGTGCCTTTATACTCAATCTTAAATATCTGTGAACTTTTTCCTTCAGTTCTACAGCTTAGTTGAAACAAAGTAAAATAAAAGTATTAAACTTATTTAAATATGACCCTTGTTTGCCTTTATATTGAGCATGTTGCCAATGCCTTGTGCCAACTGAAACTTCTTCACTAACCTCATGTTCCTCTTAACCATCCGGTCATTTAAAAATTCAGATTTATCACTAGTTAAATGCAACAGTGATTTACAGTTATTCGTGAACATTTGTCAAGCTTATATTTACCCAGTTCCACAAACTCAAAACTAATTGAGAGTAAGGACTTGGAAATAAGGATTTGTTAGCTAAAATAGAATTAGCTTCTCATGTTATCTATTCCTGGCCCAGTGGCCAGGGACAGATTGGTCTAGAGGGGAAAGGGGCACGTATCCAGCGAAACTAATTGGAAAATGGGACAGCAGCAAAGGAAAAAAATGTAATCATTTAAAGTGGTTCTACGTGGTGGTTTTTGTAAAAACCTCTGCTCCAGGAGACTCTCCATGTTTTAGGCCTGCAGCCTGGCACAACAGCATCTGTAATTAACCATGGGGAAACTTCACCCCCAGCATGTCCTCAACATAATAATTGGACATAATATTCATCAGTTTATCACAAATGCCAAAATGAATTATGCTTTCCAATGGCATTTTTTGCAATATTCCATAGTAAAAAACATACTACCTGAGGTTATATAGCTAAGTTTTGAGTGTGACTTTCAATCTAAGAGTTTTGATTCTTTGGGTAAGTCATTTTATTTCTGAGCCTCAATTTACTCATCTACATAATAATTATTTTTTAAGAATGGCAAATTTTTTAAATCTCTATGCTTCAAATTTGACAATCTGAATTAACTCATTTTACTATGAGACATATGGTAATTAGAATTATCATCTATTGTCCCACATCTCTTCCCTTTATCTTATGGTTTTTCTGTTTTGTTTTGTTTTTCTGGTCATATTATTATACATGGACAGGGTTTATAATATTTACAGTCTGTTAGGGATGATAATTTCCAATTTCTTAGGTTCAATCTCACATCTGAATGGACCACCAGACCTTGTATCATGGCCTCTCCATTTTTTAATTCATATTAATTGATTTCTTAATTGGCTACACAACAAAATTTTAATGATAGTAAGAGTAGGGACTATCTCACAAGATTGTTTTAAGAATAAAATTGAGCAAATCATACATAAGACAATTTTAGGGAAGCCATATTCAGTGAGCAATGACTCGTGTTAGGCACATTAGATATACATGCCTTCAAGGGCAAATTATCTCCATTTCTTTAGATGGAAAAATTGAAGCTCACTGGTGATAATTAGTGGGTCAAAGATAACAGGATAATGATGAAAGATAGTGACAATGCTCAAAGCCAGGTCTGTCTGATGAAATTGTGGGCATTTTCCACTGCAGTTTGTAAACTATACAGACATACTAGTGACAGGTTTACTTCTACGGAAGATGTTCTTCCACACTGGGATGCATTCTATCTGTGATTCATCCCCTGTTGTATAAAATTTAGACTTTTGGAGGGCATGCTTGGAGCAAGAGGTAAATTGCTCAGGATGTAACTGGAAGGACCACTAGTAGTGCCCAAAAGGTTGAGTGTTCAAGCTTCAGAAGCAGAACTAGAATTCCTACGTAACTATAAGAATGTATTTAAAGTAATGAATACCCAGCAAAACGATAAAGGAGATAAATCAATTATATGAGCATTCTAGGTTATTCAAATGTTCATTTTGAAGTTTAGATTAAAGCCTTTAAACTAGGCAATATGAAAATGTGTGCCTTACCTCCTTTTTATGTTAAGTAGAAATAAAAGGAAAGATCTTTTCATTATGCATGTTCTTGTTTCTCTTTCTTACAATTTATGAAGATCATAGTAAGATCCCACTTACAATTTATGAAGATCATAGTAAGATCCCACATTAGAGAACATAACTTAAAATTGTTTCTTCCAATTAATAAATACAAGTACATGAAAAAATTAAAGTGATACTAGTTTGACTATTTCTCAGTATCCAAGATGTCTGTATTTATTATGCTTTATAATTTCACCTATTATTTTCTTCACTTCAATGTAAAATAAATTGAAAAATTATGTCCTCCATTTTTTTTTGCCACATCAAATGTCGTAAGTTTACTTACATCTGTATATCTAAACGATTCCAGTTGCTGGTATATTTCAGGAGGAAGTAATGAGTGTATACTATTTTTATTTATATTTAAACTTATATTTGCAGCATAATTTTCAGTAGTCTTTTACCAGAGGCCAGAAAAGGAGGAGGATGTAGGAAAAAATACATAAATGTATTTGTTGTTGCTGAAATGTACACTTAAAAATGGTAAAGATGGTAAATTATATAAGTATATTTTACCTCAATAAAAATAGCTTTAATAAAATTGTGGCAATATGAATACCTCGAAGTAGAAATTTCATGTAGTAGAATACTATAGAGTTATGTATCTATACACACACACACACATTATAGATATCAGTAGTGTCTTTTACTCTGGGTGGTAGAATCAGAGGAAATCTTAAAGATTTCTGTGTACCTTGCAGTAAGTTATAAATTTCTTTCAAATTTATATAACTTTTATAATTTAAAAGATTACTTATTTAAAAAATATAAAAACGGTGTGTTTTCTATAAAATAGCACTTGCAAAATAAAAAAGCTCTCCCCAGAATTTTTTTTTTTTTACAACATTTCATCATTCAAACCTTGGAATAGAACATTAAGTGCAAGGCTTTTTCCTAAGAGCTATTGGAAGAAAAGTATGTTTAACAAAATTACCCTCATTCCAAGTAATCATACAAGCAAAAGAAAAGAAACTTTGTTTGACTTCCCATCATCACAAGTTTAAATTAAATTCTCTCTTCTTTTTCTTTGTTTTCAAATCTGTTTTGTTTCTGTGTAGCTTAGAAAAGGATCATTTTGTGTGAATTCCTCATCTCTATAGGAACTCTAAGAAAATAGAGAAAGAACTGGCGAAGTTGAAACAAACACAAGCAATGAAATTTGTTTTTTTTTTTTTGGCTTGTTTGTTGTTGGTGATTGTCCAGCCATCTATATTTTTTATTGTTCGTATGCTGAAATTCTTCACCTGCCCATTTTGTATTGCCTCTGCCGCCCGGAGGACAGATTGTTCTTCCAGGCCCTCATTGTGAGGAGGAAAGGATGGCTATCATAGATAATAGCATCAGCAGGAAAGTTGTTTTCATCTTTGCCAATGTGTTTGGGAATCTGAGGTAAAGGAAATGAGTGCTTTCTTGTTATAAGGCTTTGCTCTATTTCTTTTCATTCTCCTTGATTGAAACTAACGTTCTATAAATGGCTACTTAGTAAAAGGATTTAGCCTTTCTTTCCTATTGAAGCTAAAATGAAAGCCTTTAAAAGTGTAACTTTTCTCTGGAGGTAATGTATCACCAATGTGTATGAGTGTGTGTGTGTGTGTGTGTATATGATGTGTGCATGTAACATATATATGTATATACGTGTATCTATATGTACACGCATACACACACACATGCACACCCCAAAGATGGACTTTAATCACAAAAATCTCAAAATGAAATTATTTAATAAACTATTTTCCAAAATACACAGTGTAAAAATTAGTTACATGGGAAGATGTAGTTGTTTTAGAGAAAAGATTTCAAAGAATAATAGAAAATAAAATTTGAGAAACAATAGAAAATAAAAGAAAAACAATAGAAAATAAAATTAAACCATGTTTTTAATCAAAGTTTCTTAAAGCTTTATATGCTTATGTGCACTGTAAACTTTATAAAGTAAATAATATAGCCTGTTCTCATCTTATTTGACAATAAAATTCTTTCCTCATGAGGCAGTTTTCATGATTACTGTTAGGTACAATATCTGCTGAGTGACTCTTTTCTAGGGCTTAAGGGGTTGTGATAATAATTGAAAATATCTATTGACAAAAAATAGATATTATGTAAGACATCAACAAGGTGGTGAACATAAATTCAATATATAAAAAGAAAAACAGAATAAAAAAATACAATAGCAACAAAAAACAAACAGAACACCCAAGATCATATTAAAAAGGCAGAATCATTTCGATTCTATATGTGTGTGCGTGTATACATATATATATATATATATGTATACACGCACACATGCTTCTCTTGAACATACATATATGTTCAATTTATATATATTTATGTAAATTCATATATTATATGAAATATATACATCTTATATATTATAAGATATATATTATCTTGTATATATTATATTCCCTATATTAGTATATAAGGTTTATATATTTCATATATATACATGTATATGTTCAAGATTTGCACAAGTCTGTTTACTGTAGCATTTTACATAAATATAAGTAATAAATTGTTAATAAAATTAGCAACAGCTTTATTGAATCAGATTTTATCATGCAACCAATATCCATAAAGAGGTAATTCTCTATGGGTTTCTCATATTTCTTCATGTTTCTGAGAAAAAGACACTGACTGCCACTGATTCATATTATTTTTTTTAAGGATTTTTGTGCAGCGAACAGTCTTAGAAGATAGAAAAATGTTACACATGATTACTGTCCAGTTGAAAACACTCAGGTTCCCTATAGTTCAGTGTTTCTCTCCTGTAACACAATTCTCTGCATGCCCAGGAGTCACCTGGACCTCTTTGAATTTTTCCATGAGTACTGGGGCTTCAGGCAAAAGAAAATGTGTTAGACACTCTGACCCCTGCTACTATTGAGAAAATTAGTATCCTTTGTCTCTGACCCAAGAGTGTTATGTCTTCAACAACTATAAAACTGTAGCAGGCTGACTTGCAAGCTTGCAAATATTATAAAATCTCAGACTTCTCCTAATTCTTGAAAAAAGAAAACAAAATGAAAATTAGAGCCACATATATTAATATCAGCAAATCTATAAAATATAATGTAAAATGAAATAAGTCAATTACACACAATATAATTGCTTACATAAGATTTTAAAATGTGCAAAAATGTTACTATATATATTTTGTATGGGTACATACATATATAATAGATACATAATATTACTCCTCTATATGGTAAACACTTGAAATGGACTGCATGTTTGTGTCCCCCTAAATTTATACGTGGAAATCCTAAATCCCAATGTGATGGCTTTAAGAGGTAATTAAGAAACTGAAGGAAACTGGGTGGAGCCCTCATGAATGAGAGTAGTGCCCTTATTTAAAAAAAAAAAAATCTGGAAGGTTTTCTCATCCTTGTTATCTTATGTCAGGATACAGGAAAAGACTGTCTGAAACCCAGAATAGAGTTCTAACCAGAACCAAACCATCCGGGCACCCCGATCTCAGACTTGTAGCCTCCAGAATGATGAGAAATAAATTTCTATTGTTTAGTCCCATAGTCTATGGTAGTTTGTCATAACAACTGGAACTCACTAACACAAAAATTGGTACCTAAAAGTAGGGATGCTACTGTAACAAATACCTAAAAACTTAGAAGTAATTTTAGAATTGGGTAAGGGGTAAAAGCTGGAAGAGTTTGGAGGTGCATGCTAGGAAAAGCCTAGATTGTCATAAACAAATTTTAAACACAGTTCTGTTGAGAACTCGGAAAGAAAAAAGGAGGGCTGTAGAGAATGCCTCTAACTTCTCAGGGCATATCTGAATAATCATGAAGAGAATATAGGTAGAAATAAGAATGGTAGAGACCACTCTGATGATGTCTCAGATGAAAATGTAGAACACGTTATTGGAAACTGGAGGAAAGACTATCCTTGCTATAAACTGACAAAGAACACAGCTGAATCATGTTTATGTGCTAGTGTTTTGTGGAAGGCAAACTTGTGAGTGATGAAATTGTATATTTAGCCAAGGACATTTCTAAGCAGTGTGTTAAAGGAGTGGTTTGATTTCTCCTGATTGCTTATCGTAAAATCTAAGAAGAAGAAAGATGAATTGAAGATGTTATTGATCATCAAAAAAGGAACCAGAACTTGAAGATTTAGATAATTATTTGCCTGTACATATTACAAAAATGCAGAAACAGTGTTCAGAAGAGAACACTAACGGTGTGAACCACAGACTTGGTCAACCATCTCAGCAAAAGCCAGGAATGGAGACTGGATTACAATAGCAGAAACATTGCCAGCAGGAACTAGAGAAAACAGGACAAAATGGAGGAAGACTGCCAGACTTCTTAGACCCTAGGACCAGACCATAGAGCTGTTCAGCTGCAAACACATGTTATCATTCAAAAACAAGGGAAGACAGCCCCAAATGCATAGGCATAGGGAGCAGGACGCCTCCACCTTGATTTCAAAGGACAAAAATGACATCCAGAAGAGCCCTGGGGCTGGGAGCCACCATGCAGAGCCCTGGGGGTGCTACCTTTTCCATGACAGAGAATCATGGCTTGGGTGGGGCCACCCCAAAGAGCTGTGGCATGGATGAAATGACTACAGAAAGAGATAGCATGGGCAGTGCCCCACTGAGCTGTGGGAGTGACGTTGCCACTTCAGTGGCTCTGGAAGGCAGGACCTCTGCCCCAGTTTATCTGAAGGTGGAACTGCCATTCCAGTGGGGCTGGAAGGCAGGGTATGGAGCCAAAGCAGATTACTGTCAAACCTTAAGATCTCATGGAATTTGCTTTGCTAGGCTTAGTACTTACCTAGAACCTCTTATCCTTTCATTGTTCCTATTCTGCCTTTTGGAATAAGGATGATTATCAATGCTTGTGCCACCACTGTATTTTGGAAGCATGTAATTCATTTGGAGAAAAATTTTGTCTCAGGATAAATTATACCTTGAGTCTCACCCATTTATTAAATCACCATTGATTTAGATGATGTTTAGGTAAGATTTTGGACTTTAGACTTTAGAGTTCATGCTGGAATGAGTTAAAACTTTCAGAGCTGTTGGGATGAAATGAACATATTTTGCATGTGAGAAGGACATGAATTTTGAAAGATCAGGGGCAGAAAGTACTGGACTGAATGTTGTGTCCTCTCAAAATGTAAATTTTGAAATCCTAGTCCTCAAGGTGATGGTATTAGAGGTGGAGTCTTTGGAAGGTAATTAGATTTGGGCACAGTTTCCCAGATCATGAGGGTGAAGCCCTAATGAATGGGAATAGTGCTGCCATAAAAGGGACCCCAGAGAGTGTTCTCACTCTCTGCCACTGAAGACACAAGAAAATAGCAGGCTGCAACTCAGGAAAGCGCCCCCCACTATTTCCTGATGATGCTTGGAACCTTGATCTCAGACTTTCAGCCTCCAGAACTGTAAGAAATTAATTCCTGTTGCTTAAATCTCCCAGGTTATGGTAATTTTTTATATGAGCCAGAACTAAGACGACACCTAAGGCTAGAGCTGGAATGAAATCATTTGTAATAGATTTTTTTTTAAAAGAAATCTGGAGAACTCTGGCATCTTATATGATACATACAGAGCTGAGAAGCCATCATTTCTGCTTTTACAACAGCAAAAAAAAAAAAAAAGTTGAGCAAACTGAAAATCAACAACTCTTTTTAGATCTGTCAGAAAATTGAGGTCACGAACAAACTGCTGCCATAAAAAATTGGAGAGACACGTAAACAGAGAAAAATCACAACTTAATTGAAACCAAAACCCAGGAGCAGAAACTTGCCACTGGATCCAGTGCTGGAAGGAACACTTGAACTGCAACTGAGGAATTGCTGGACTGTCAGTGTGCATGAGCTGACAGTTAAAAATTGAGGGGCCCAGTCTTGGGGGGACTCAAAATGTCATGATTTTTACCTCCAGGAGTCCCACCAGTTTCTCCTGTGAAGGTCAGTGAAAAGTCCCCTCCAGCTTCCAGTATCTGGAATTTCAAAATAAGTCCAGAACATTCTCTTCTCCTTAACAGAAGCCTGCCTTCAAATGAAACTACTTTACCAGAGCCTACACAATTTGGGTTTTCCAGAACCTAACTGGGAGAAGGTGGAAACCCAAATCAAACACCCTCTAGCATCTCTAGGGATTTAAAAAAACAAAAACAAAACCAAAAACACCTCAGAAGCACTTGTGAAGGTCACATATCTGGTGCACAGTCTCCCTAAAAGACTGAAATTGAATTATAGGACTATACACTGCTTCTCTTAACTCACATTTTACACCACATAACTCATGCTCCTGTGTAAGTGATTACAATGGAAAGAAAACCAAGACTCAGGTCCTATTTCGAATGAGTCTCTAAACAGACCCAAAGACATCAAGGAAAACAAAAACAAGGACACTAGAGGACATGATAACCTTTGACACACACAACTACTATGAAGAATAGACACTTCTGACTAGTAAACATAAAACCTCACACTAAGGCCTATTTATTGCAGTTTCTTTTCATGCTCCCCAGCCACAAAATCAGAAAAAAATTAAAAGTCATGCTTCAAGACAAAAAATGCCGTCTGAAGATAAAAAGTAAATATCTGAACCAGACACTGATATGGCTGGAGTTTTGAAATTATCAGACTAGAAATTTAAAATAATTCTAATTAATATGTCAAGAGCTCTAATGGATAAGGTGCACAACATGCAAGATCACATGTCAGCTGAGAGATGAGCATTTTAAGAAAATGTTATAAGGACATTGTTGAGTCAAACAAAAAAAACTGTAACACAAACGCAGAATGTATTATATGTTTATAAGTAGATTAGATATGGACAAGGAAATAATTCACATACTTGAAAATGAAACTTCCTAAACTGAAAAGGAAAAAAAAAGAAAAAAATCAAACAAAATATTCAAAAACTATAGAACAATCACACAAGGTGTATCATATGTTTAATGAATGGAAATACTAGAAACAGAAAATAAAAAGGAGCAAAATACATATTTGAAGTAATAATGGCTGAAAAATTTTCAAAATTAATGACAGACACCAAACCACAGATCCAAGAATCTCAAAAAACACAAAGCAGGACAAATGCCAAAAAGTCGACACCTAGGCACATTGTATCATACTGCAGAAAATCAAAATGAAAGAAAAATACTAAAAGTAGCTCAGTTGAGGGTTACGGGCAAGGACAGATAACTCTACTTATAGAGGAACAGGAATGAGAATTAAATGAAACTTCTGTTTAGAAAACATGCAAGCAAGAAGAAAGTAGTGTGAAATGTTGAAAGAAAAATAAAATACTAACCTAGAATTCTAAACCCATTGGAATTTTCCTTCAAAAGTGAAGGAGAAATAAAGACTTTCTCAGGCAAAAAAAAAATGTATTGCCAATAGACCTGCCCTTCAAGAATTATCAAAAGTAGTACTTCAGAGAGAGGGAAAATGATATAGCTCAGAACCTCAAACCTACATAAAAAAAGGAAAGGAAAAGCATGGCAAAATAAAATACATGATGGCAAAATAAATGGCATTTCAAAAATTGAAATTGATCTAATTCATAGCAATGTGTCCAAAATAATGATATCAACAATGTATTCAGTGATTATAACTGACAGGTAAGTGTAATGAATGGCGGATGTGTTAGGGAACAGGAAAAAAGTATTAGGAACACTCTCGGATAAGGTATTTGCACTATCTATGAAGTATATAGTGTTATTTGAAAGCAGACTTGAATTAGTCAGAAACGTATATTGCAAAGACTACAGCAACCATTAAGATGCAAAAGAACGATTATAACTGATATATTAAGAAAGGAGAAAAATTGGAATCATACAAAATGCTTAATTTAAATTAGAGGAAACAGAAGACCTGGAAAACAAAAATAAAAACAAGAATAAGGGCAGTAAGTAGAAAATAGCAATAAATATGGTAGATAGTAATCCAATTATATCAACTATTTATGGAAATGTTAGTGATTTTAGTACACCAGTACACAGAAATTGTCAGAACAGAAAAAAAAAAAAAACAAGGGCTAACTATATATTGTTTACAAGAAAATCACCTTAAATATAAAGACATGGACAGATTAAAAGCAAAGGGATGGAAAAAGACACACCATGCTAACATGAATCAAAAGAAAAGAAAACTATAGTAACTATATTAATTTCAGATGAAGTGCACTTCAGAGCGACAAAAAGTATCAGGGATAAACGGGACCATTACGTGATGATAAAGGCATGAAGAATCCAAGAAGTAAGAACAATTCTTAAGGTGTATGAAGCTAACCACATAGCATCAAAATACATGAGACAAAATGTACAAGAACTTCAGGGAGAAATGAATAAATTAATTGTTAGAGATTTCAACCCCTCTTAATCAGCAATTGACAGAAATCAGTAAGGTCATAGTTGAATGGAAGAGCATCTTCAATCAACTAGATCTAACTTTCATTTATGGAACGTGTTATTCAACAGTGGCAGAACACACATTCTTCTAAAGCTCACATGGAACATCCACCAAGACAGACCACTTTTTGGACCATAAAAGAAAACTTAACACATTTACAAGAATATAAATCATATGAAGTATGTCCTCAGACAATCATATAATTGAATTAAAAATCAATAACTAAAAGTTAGCTGGAAAAATTAAAAAATACTTGAGATTTAACAGCACACTTCTAAATAACACACGGGTCAAAGAAGTCTCAAAATAAATTAAAAATTTTTGAAATAAAAATATATAAAAATGTGTGGAAGCCAGCAAAAGCAATGCTTAGAGAAAAATTTACAGAAGTGATACATATATTAGAAAAGAAGAAAAATCTGAAATTATTCATCTAAGCTTCTTTAGGAAACTAGAAAAAACTTAAAATTCAATCATAAATTAAAAAAATTAAAAACAGAAAATCAACAGGGAAAATCAAAATCAGACCCTGGTTTTTTATATATAAAATTGATAATGGACTATCCTAGCTAAGTAAGGAAAAAAGAAACATATTACTAATTTTGGAATTAAAGAGAGCCATCACTACTAATCCCATGAAAATTAAAAGGATAATAAAGAATATTATGTAAAACTCTATGCTCATAAATTTGATAACCTAGAAGAAATGGATCAATTCCTTGAAAGACACAATCTGCTAAAACACACAAGGAGAAACAGGCCTCTACATTTAAGAAATCGAGTCAATAATTAGTAACTTTTAAAGATGTCTTCTCTGGTGCAGGGGTCCCCAGCCCCAGGCCATGGACCAGTACTGGTCCGTGGCCTGTTAGGAACCAAGCCACACAGCAGGTGGTGAGTGGCAGGCAAACAAGCATTACTACCTGAAATCTGCCTTCTGTCAGATCAGCAGCAGCATTAGATTCTCATAGGATTATGAACTCTACTGTGAACCGCACATTGCAAGGGATCTAGGTTGCATGCTTCTTGTGAGAATCTAATGCCTGATGTTCTGAGGCAGAACAGTTTCATCCTGAAACCATCCTCTCTCCCTCCCCATTTGTGGAAAAATTGTTTTCCATGAAACTGATTTCTGGTGCCAAAAAGATTGGGGACTGCTGACTGCTGCTTTAGTAAATTTAACCAATTTTTGTTTCTTTCTTTTTTTTTTTTTTTTTTGAGATAGAGTCTCGCTCTGTTGCCCAGGCTGGAGTGCAGTGGTGCGATCTTGGATCTTGGCTCACTGCAAGCTCCACCTCCCGGGTTCACGCCATTCTCCTGCCTCAGCCTCCCGAGTAGCGGGGACTACAGGAGCCCACCACCACACCCGGCTAATTTTTGTATTTTTAGTAGAGACGGGGTTTCACCGCGTTAACCAGGATGGTCTCAATCTCCTGACCTTGTGATCTGCCCGCCTCAGCCTCCCAAAGTCCAGGGATTACAGGCGTGAGCCACTGTGCCCAGCCCCAGCATTTTTTAAAAGAAATTATACCAAGGTCCTACCATTTCTTCCAGACAATAGAAGTTGTGGTAATACTTTCTAACTAATTTTATGAGGCCACTGTTACCCTAGTACTAAAAGCAGACAAAAATATTACAAGAAAGGAAAGCTACATAGCAATATCTCTCATAAACATAGGTGTAAAAATCCTCAGCAGAATATAAGCACATCAAATCCAGCAGTGTCTAAAAAATTCACACCACAATGAAGTTGGATTTATTACAACTATACAAGACTCACTCAACAGTTGAAAATCAACTAAGGTAATCCATAACATCAAAAAGCTAAATCAAGAAAATTGTATTACATTAATAGATGCAGAAAACACATTATACTAAATTCAACACACATTCATGATAAAACTCTCAGAAAACTGGGACTTCATTTAAATTAATCATGTGTTGGAAACTCAATCTCCAATGCGTATTATGCTATAGGACCAGAAGATGGCATGGTCAATTAATTGCCCACTTCCTCAGCAGACTTGCTATAAAGTGGAGGCTTTGTTTTGACACAATACTGCACGTGATTTGTATCAGTAGAAAACAACTCT
Source organism: Homo sapiens (assembly GCF_000001405.40). NCBI lineage: Eukaryota > Metazoa > Chordata > Mammalia > Primates > Hominidae > Homo > Homo sapiens. Next base: position 166,632,105 of record NC_000004.12, on the reverse strand, counting down.
GTCAACTCTCAGCTAGAAGTTGCAATTGAGGCGCTACAGGCAGGAAAGAAAGGCAAATTTATATCCAGAATATGTGTCTGTTCTTATCTAAGTGAGTTGCTATTCAGTAGAATTAATGGGTCACCAAGGAACTGATTGGTCTTCTCAAGGACTAGAGTAATATCAGGAGATTTATATTTTAGGATTGAATAGAATACTCTGGCAAAACCAAAGATCACATATCATGTACCCTAGGCCATAATAATCATCTCCAGATAGGACAACATATCTGGTACAGCAGCTGCAAATGAAGCTTAAGCTTCATTGAATTTGATGTAATTCACTTTCATCCTCCAGTGTCTGTTGCACTTTTGGAAAACCATGTTACTAAAATAAATGGGAATATGATGGAGATAACACTTCTGTTCTTCAGGTATTTAAGAGTGGTGCTGTTCCCTACCGTTCCCACTTAGATATAATAGTATTTTGGTTTGCTTTCTTGGTTGATTGTGTGGAGTTTCAAAAGCTCCTACTTACTCTTTTTCACTGATAGCTTATCCCCTCACAAGCCAAGGAACCAACGTCCAATATATGGTAAATGCCCATTGCAATTACACAGTAGGTGACTAGAGAAAGGTCCATGGAGACCCACTGCAGCCTGGACCTGGGCCTGGAATTCTGCCTATTACTTGTGTCTGTTTTGTCCTTCCCTAGCACAGAGGCCACAATGATATACTGGATCTCTGGAAATCAGTGTTAACTCATGACTGTTTCTAGAAGTTCTCACAATGCCTGAATGTCACCCTATTACCATTGTACTGATATTCATAAATGACTATTGGATCCTTTGAGAAAGACTGGAGGAATCATTGCTGCACAAATTTGCAACGGTGTTGCAGGCTCCTTCTTCCTAGGGGCCTGCCCTTGCCTTCAGTCAGTAGGTTCTAGGTCTGAGAAGTAGTAAGATCTGGGAACTAGGCAATAATACTCAAACTTCTTTAGCCTCCTGATCATTCTCCTTGCTTTCATTTTCATTGTCCAGATAGATCAGTACTCTTGCTCAATGCCTATTTACCTTACTGCCAACAAGGCCATGCTCTGCTAAATATCTTCATGGTTCTCTGTGGTCTGGCCCTCTAGTTGTCTTTGCAAACTTACTGCTCATTTATTTAATTCTACCCACTTTTAATTAAGAAGTTTAAGTGACACTTCTACTGGGGATTCTATTATCTCAACACCTTCCGTATGCCTGATATATAGATATATCTATATCTGTCTGTCTGTCTATCTATCTATCATCTATCTATCTATCTATCTATGCCATAGTATATCTGCTCTTACATGCCCACTATTATAAACCCTTTGGTCCTTTTCACTATGGCAGCTCTGGCATCTTTACTTCACTTAGTGCTGGCCATGGCCCTCTGTTATCTTCCAAGAGCCATCCTAGAATCTTTTTTGCACCAACTTCCAGGGTACATTCTAAGCCTCTAAATGCAGCTTGTTTACATCTTTATGGGAGTATGCTCCTATGATTAGTTTCTGTATATATAGCTCCTACAGAGATGAACTCTCCCTTACGCAGCTTTATGTGTCCCAACTTTAACTGAGGAATTTCAGGATCCAGTCCTTCACATCTTCTCTTGGCTTATGTTCTGTAGTATATGTTGGCTAGATACTGGAGTTACTATGTGGTATAGGCCCTTTCCTTTCTGAGCAGTCCCAGCACGTCTCTGTTATGAATTTAAAATAGTCATTGCTCTGGCACTCAGAAGAAGCAGAATGAATCCTGGAGGCAGAGGCCATGAGTTACCTTGCAAGGCAGAATCCTTGCTAGCTTTCAACAGAGACGAAAGGGCCACTTCTTCAAACTCAAGAATTCCAAGGTATTCGACATTGTGACAATTCGAGATTGTCACTGCATTAACTCTGATGTGTCCATCAGAAGTTTCCAGGTCCTACTCCTTTTCATCAGGGCCTTAACCTTGGGAAAAAAATCACCAGGGTTGTGATTTTTCTCTTCCTATATAAAGTGGATCTTCAGATTTTTTTTTCTCTGCAGCTGCAGTAAATTAATTCTTTTTATATGTTGCCAAGGAGACCTTCACTGTTTTTCTCTAGGGCACCAATCGCACTCCTCAACACCCTATCTGATTCCATTGTCCTTATAATTATGACTTTCTCAACATCTTCCATATGCCTGAGTTATATCTGCCAGGGCATTTGTTCAGCCACTGTTTCCTCCCAGTTCAACATTTCTACAAATTTAACATCTGTACTGCTACCACATGCCAGGTGTTATCATACTCCACTCTCAGTGGAGTGAGGGTGATGATTCCTCTGTGTTCGCAGGCAGGAGGGTTGTCCACCTCCAGATCTCATTTAGAGTATGCTTCCTCAGACCACCTTTGACCAACTCTTTGAGTTTAGATTCTGCAGAAAATAAGCTCTGGGTGTAAAACGTGTGTGCAGGATTTTAATTTGTGTGTGCTTTTGGGAAGAACACCCGTGAGGGGATGATGGAAGGAGACAAAGCTGACTTGTGATGTGTTACAAACTGAGGCCTCAGGAGCTGGAATGTCTCTTCTCAGTTGTTTTAAACTGAGGCAAGGGAGTTGGGTTTTGGACATCCAGAGTGACAAGTATTGGACACAGGCAGCCTCTGAGGAGTTATCTAATTTGGGGCCAGGCAATGTCTTTCAATCACTGGTGATTTCAAGGTGGGACTCAGTTGTGAGCTCTTAGCACTCTGCATTTCTAGCAGCTGGAATGTAAGTGCTTAGGCATATCTGGGAGGCAAACCACAGCAGCCATTACAATGTACTTTCTTCACTTAAGAGGGGCTTTAGAACAATAGAAAAAAGATCATTAACTTGTATTCAACATGAAAACACAGCTTAATACATATGTAATCGTTTTATTCATTTAACAGGTATTTATTGATCATGATAGGCATTGCATTACACAATTTATGTTGAAATCAATGTTCACTGTGGGTATTACAACTATTTTAGTTACAGTAGAGCTTAATTTGAGATGAAAGAGCTATGTTAATGAAACAAAAGTGTCCTACATATCCTGATGACACTTCTTTGCTTAATATTAATAAAAAGATGTGGAGATAATTAGCATGAGAATTTTCTAGTGATTATATTAATCCCTTTATAGCTTTATATTCGTGCATTCTAAAGGTCATCATTTTATTTTAAAAGTCACATGTTCTTTCTAACCAAGTTTTACCTTATCTCTTTTCTTTGTTGTTAAGTGGGACATGTTGACCTTATAGGTTTTTATTCTTAAAAAAAAAAAGTAGATGAGACATTATATGCAGCTCAGTTTGTAAGTCATTACTTTTAGGAATCAAGCCTTGCCGTGGCAACAAATCCTTTCTTTTTTATTGTGCTTGAATACCTGGCTGGGTTTCTCCTCCACTTGGTACTATGATATAACATCCTGCTGGTTTTGATGTAGCTATTACTGCATAATAAGAGAGCAATTGTGTGTTCAATCTCAGTGTGTTCAATTGTGTACTTGATATATCCTCAGTCAGGGATACTTAAAGATATACTCTGGAGCCCTGGATTTGGAAGTTTAAAAAGGCTTATTTTATGTTTTCATGTAATACCAACCGGTTTATTTAACTTTCCTTGATGTTGCCACAAGTTTGAAATGATTTCATTTAATTTGTTTGGCTTATGATGAACTAACAATACAAAATAAGGAGAAATATATTTCTAGAGTCATTTTATGTAGACTCATAGATGTATTTATTCTGAAACTGCTTCTCCTTAGGGATGATGAAACTCTGCTTTTAAAACATTCTGGTTGAAGTGATTGACCTTTTAAAAATAAGATTGTAATAGTCCAGAAAACATAAAGTTGAGAGATTTTCTTCTCTTTTTTCCTGTCTTTTTTTTTTATTTTTTTCAAGACAGGATCTCATTGTGCCACCCAGGCTGGAGTGCAGTGGAGGGATCATGGCTCACTGCAGCCCTGACCTCCTAGGCTCAAGCAATCCTTGTACCTCAGCCTCCTGAGTAGCTGGGACTATAGGCACATGCCACCACACCCTGCTAAATTTGTATTTTTTGTAGAGATAGGGTTTCACCATGTTGCCCAGGCTGCTTTCTAACTCCTGAGCTCAAGCAATCCACCCACCTTTGCCTCTCAAAGCACTGGGATTATAGGCATGAGCTACCACCCCCAGCCTGAGATTTAATTGTATCTGTGTATATGGTGGCAAACAAGAGTCACTCTTTAGTTTGTCTAAGCAAAGTGATGAGCATAGCAGAAAGAATTTAGCTCGAATCACTCAAAGATTCATTATTACAACTAATATCAATAATACTGAATGTACAATCTTCAAACTACATAAAAATACATGTTAAAGAGAAAACCTCATGACACCACCTCAACCATCTCTAGGGGTTTTCATTATCAAAAATTTGGTCTGTATTAATATACAACATTTTATAATATATAAATATCTTCATGTTTGTCAATATGTTTTCTGATTTAGAATGGGATATATAGTTTTCTTCTTCAACTTGAAAATTTCATGCTATATTATGTTGTGGATTTATATCTGCCTTCTTTTAAATGATTGCATGATAGTTTTTATGGTTATATGGTGGTTTGTACCTTCCTTATCGGTTGCTTCTTCATTTATTCGATATGTATTTGCTACTTTATTCTCAGCACTACTGATATAGTTGCAAACATGACAGAATACTTTTTCTACCTTCACAGATTTTCTATAAAGAGGAGATATGTCATAAATAACAAAATATATATTTATGGATGTGAATATTATTAGTTGTGTTTTATTACAAATAATAATACTGTGCATAACATTACCTGTTTCATTTCCACATGTAAGTAAGTATCTGTAAGATAAATTCCTGTAAGTAGAATCACTGGCTTAAAAAATACCTAAAATTCAAAATAGTTCAAATTGCCCCCCTATAAATGCCCTCTCTACATTTTTATGTTTACTAATACTCTATGAGTGTAATCATTTCCCAACTTATTTTCTAGTATTGAATGTTATAAAATATTTCATTATCAGCCAATCTTATAGGTGACAAATGGTGTCTCATTAATGCTTTATTTTGTTTTGAGTTGTGTATGACTTATATTTTGGTAATATTATTAATCTTATTTATTTTTATGAATAAATTTTATTCTGTTTTCAAATCATGTTTATATTGATTGATTGATTTAAAAGTTCCCTTACATATTATAGATTGTCACTGTTCGCTAAATATGTTAGTTAACTGGTTCCACTTTATCATTTATTCTTTCATTTGCTTGTGTAAACTTTGCCATATATTTTTAAAGAAATGAATTTTAATTCATTCCTTTAAATGAAATTTAATGAAATTGTATGGCTAGTTATTCATGCATAGGCTATGTCTTTCTGTGGAAGTCTTTCTCCATAATGATAGTTTAAAATATTAACTAACAGTACCTCTGGATCCAGACAAGATGGAATACATGCATTCTAATCTATTCCTCCTGCTAGTTGCAACTAATAACTCTGAACAAAATACACAGAGTAACGATCAGAAGACTCTGAAAATAACAATTCAAAACAAACAAGACAAACCAAGTAGGGATCTTAGATTCACTGCAATCTCAATTAAAGTCCCAGATATTTTTGAAAGTAACATCAACTTCCAAAACTTATATGAAAATGTAAAAGGCTAAGAATAGTCAAGATTTGACAAAAAGATAAAAAAAGAAGGACCTAATCTAACCTATATCAATGTATTTATAAACCTGCAGTAAATAAAGTAATGTACTATGAGCTCAAGGATAGTCACTTGGACTTATTGTGGTTAAGTCTCGTTTCAGACATTGCCAAATGCAAACAATGCACGTTCTTCTAAATATGGCTGAGACCACTGGCTTATATTGCACAAATATATGCAGTCTTATAATACAGAATTTGTTTGTAATAATATCTTACAAATATACTATTTAAAGATAAAAAGTTTTCTCAGATATCAAATAACATCTTTGTTAATGCATTTTACAAGTATTTTTTAAAGTTTATGCATTTGAAGTAATTCTCTTGATTTTATTATGTTTGGTGGCACACTTGTTTCTTGGAAGCACTTTTTCCCACTGGGATAATAGTTAAGTGAGAATATTCTTCATACTTTTAAATGATAAATATGAGAGGAAATGTAATACTTCAAAAAATTTTAATGTTAAGTTCAGTGATTTCACTTGGCGTTAATCCACGCAATTTAGCCTAAAAAGGGGTAGAAAACAGTATATTTTGAAGATGAAAGTGCTGTAAGATTTAGCGATGCATATCAAGGACATTTCCAGAGTAAACAGCTCATTAGCAACCTTATCCACAAGGAGGATATGATCTAGTTATAATGTTTAATTATTCCTTAAATCAAAATTTATACTTTCTTAAATTACACAAAAGATATGAATTACTTACAATAAAGTCAACAGGATAGTATCGATATTTTGCAATTGTTAGGGCACCAAAACAGACAACTACAAGCAGATTTTTAATAGTAAAACTTGAAGAATGAGTGGTAATTTTCTATTGGGAGACAGAGGGCATGAGAAAAATCACTGATTATTCTCCCAGTGCTTTCCCACTGGTCTGAAACCTAAAATTCCCCTTTCACTGTATGACGTGGCTTTTATTCAGTGATGTACTGAAGGTTTTGTATTTAGCTACCTATGTATTATGTAATATGTAGATGTTTCTACTACATTGTAGATAACATCAAAGGTATCAGGTCATTTTCAGAAGTTTTTGTTAAGTGGAAATGCAATATTGCATTTCCTTTCTGGAGGCTCTGAAGATAATTTGTTTCCTGGCTATTTACTATTTCTTGCCACTAACCACATTGACTTCCTCATGACCCCCTTCTGCCAGCTTCAGAGACAGTAATGGTGAGCCTTTCTTTCTCACATCATATAAACCTGCCCTCCCCTCCCTCTTAAGGATCTCTGTCATAACATTAGGTCCACCTGCATAATTTAGGATAATCATGCTTTATTAACCATATTAGTAATCTTAATTATATCTGCAACATTAATTCCTCTTGGCATATGTGGTAAAATATTCATAGGTTAGAGGGATTCGAATGTGGACCTCACTGGGGAGACATTATTCTGCCTACCACACAAATAAATGTCTTCATAATCATTTAGGATCATGAAGTAGTGACAGAAAAGTGCTGTAGGAACAAACATATGAGAGACTATTTAAAAATACTTAGTTACTCCATTAAACATTTATTTTTCTCTTGTCATTCATTATTTTTCTTTTTTTTGTCATCTAGCTGAAGAGATGTTATCATTGAAAGAACTGTGAGTCCTGGCTACTGCCAATTTTCTTTTTCTCAAGACAGTTTCAGGGAGTTACAAAAAACACACTTTACAGTGGATTAAAGATAGAGCTCAAATTCCAGCAATACAAAATCTTTATTTGTGCTCTAGTTTCTTTCCCTTTCTTAAAACTGAGATTTCAACCTAATAAGCTTAACACAATATTAGTCTTAGAGTTTCACACCATATGAATAAAAAACCCTCAGATGTTGAATTTTATTCTCTATATATAATAAATAAATTATATTCCGTGATTCTGTTATGGGCATTTAAAAATCTTTTTTTACATAAAATGTCTTTCTAAATAAAGTGTTTTCTACAAATGTAGTTGAAGCTCATTTATTTTGATAGCATATCTTGTGCAAGCTATATAGTTGCATATTAATAAGAGGTCAAATCTCCAAGGAACCTTGTTCTATCATATGTCAGGGAAAGGTGGATGCCCACAAAATCTGTGATGTTTTGGCATTTTGTATTTTTTTCCCTATATTATGAGACAATTAGCAATGTTACCATGGTAATTTTTCCATATTTCCTTCAGACGTACAATAGTGTAGAGTGACATTGATCCCAACTACTAGATAATTAAGATTAAAAAATTTAAAATCTTAACATGAAAGAAAAGAATTAAATAGGAATACTTCTAAAAATAAACTGAAAATTATCTAATAATGGGTAAATTCTAGTTATTACTATCATTTTCTAAAACAGACAGTATCATTTAAATTTGTAATAAAAGTCTCAAAATATTAAAACTGATATCTGTTAGCCAAATATAAACTCACATTTTCAACACTTTGTAGGTTATAGATCAAATACAACACCACATAAAAATAGGAGTTTATTCAATCAATCATTCATTCAAAAGCACATTTATTTTGTATTCCAAGCACTGGAAATAGAGTACTGACAACAGTATTATCGTTTATGGAGCTTAAATTCTAATAAATGTTTAATTTTAATGTTTTACACAATGTTACAAAGTGATATGTCAAGAAAATAAGCAATTATTGCTATTATTTATCTGTACTATTTCCAAACCTATTTGAAAGTAAAATGTATCAAGGATTAAATTTTTTTAAGTTACTTTATTTCTTGCAATGATATATTTGTTCTTCCTGGGACAAACTCTTCCACAGATAACAGCTATGACCTGTAAAATAATTACTTAAAAAATCAACTTTTGGAAAACCTTTAGGATTTGGCCAAGGTATCTTATATAGGACCAATAACATTGGATGGAGATTTCATCTGACATTCACATCACAGAAAAAAATACTTTGGAGTTTGAAATAACCCAAGTTAACTGTCTGCTAAAAGAAACAAACAAAAACAGTGGCACCAAATAAAACAACAAACAAAATTTCTTCAGAGGAACATAGCAGAATCAAAAGCCTCTACAATAGCACATCGTGTATAATGTGCAGAATAGAATGCAAATTTAGACATAAAAAGAAACGGGAAAAAGTAAATGATACACATTTACATTTTTGCAATGTCAGTCAATCGAAACTGACCCTTAGTGATGATGATGCTTGAGATAGTTTGGGTATTTGTCCCCCGCAAAATCTTATACTGAAATGTGATCCCCAGTGTTGGGGGCGGGGTCATGGGAGGGGATCCCTCATGAATGCTTGGTGCCCTCCTCGCAGTAATGAAAACACAGAAGGTCTGGTTGTTGAAGAGTCTGAGACATCTCTACTCCGACTCCCTTTCTTGCCATGTCACACACCTCATCCCTCTTGGCCTTCCGACGTTACGAAAAGCTTCCTGAAGCCCCACCAGAAGAAGATGCCGGTGCCATGCTTGTATAACCTGAAGAACCATGAGCCAAATACATCTGTTTTCTTTATATATTACCCAGCCTCGGGTATTCCTTTATAGCAATGCAAAACAGACTAACATAATATTGAACTTAAAGCACCTGTAATAGTTATGCTCAAGAATGAACTGTAGTCCCCGCACTTACTTGCAATTTCACTTTCCACAGCTTCATTTACCCACAGTAAACCACAGTATGAAAATATTAAGTGGAAACCCCAGAAATAAAGAATTGCTAAGTTTTACACTGTATGCCATTCTGAGTAGTAAGATGAACTCTTGCACTACCCTGCACCATACCACCCAGGACATGAATCATCCCTTTGCCAGTGTATCCATGCTGCCTGCACTACTTGCCTGTTAGTCCCTTCGTAGCTGTCTCGGTTATCAGATCAACTGTCACATTATTGCAGTGCTTATATTCAAGTAATCCTTCCTTTACTTCATGCTGGCAATTTGAATGTGCCGAAACAAAGCCATAAAATGCTTCCTTTAAGTGAGAAGTCAAAAGTTCTTGACTTGATAAGGAAAGAAGGAAATTTTATTTTTAGATCTATAATAATAACAAATCTTCTGTCCATGAAATCATAAGCAGTATATTGTTATAATTGTTCTATGTTGTTATTATTAGGTATTGTTAATAAACTTTTACTTTGCCAACAAATTAAACTTTATTATAGGTATGTATGTATAAGAAAAAAAAAATCTCAGAAGTATCCCTGAATAAAAATTGTATGGTATTCTATGGTATTTAATGAAGTTTGGGGGTAGAAAAATAATGTGATTTAAATGAAAGATTAAAATTTTTGATACTATTGTGGCTCAAACAATTGCTGGCAAAAATAATTTGTCAGTCTTGGTATCATCCCAGATTCTCAGACAACATGGGAACCTATGGATTAAAATAAAAGCACAAAACCAAATGTATGTGTCTGTCCGTCAACAGCTAGACTGCAGCCATGATTCAGAGCCATAAAATCATGCTATGCCTTGATTCCTAGCACTCTATAATAATAAATGTTTGTTGTTTTAAGCTGAAAACTGCTGGGGCAATGTGTTTCATGCCATATAATACATAAATCTATTTTTATTATGAAATACACCATAAATATTAGGCTATTATAAAGTGGAAAGTAAAAGGATGGTGTTGTAAATCCAGTTTATATAATTTTCCAGATCTGTTTAACCATGGGTTTACTGCTTGATGTTACTGATGGCCCTCTAGGAACATCATGTAGCACCAACTACATGCTTTAGGCCACAGAGGGGTGATTCCATCTTAACAGTTTTTTAATGAGTTTTAGTTTGTCATAGTTTTATATTTCTTAACATTAGATTACTTTTATTATTTTGCTCCATTTATTATAAAATTTTGATTTACAATCTCATTTTACGGAAAAAGATTCATTTTCATTTTTTGAAATTTTGTGGTTTTGATGTTGGCTGCCCTTGCCTTTATTCCCACATTCCGACATGAATCGGTTGGGGAATATCTTAGAGCTGCACATGATCTCATTAGACGGTTTGTTTTGTTTCTGCTCCCTCCCTAGATTCTATATGCATCTTTTCACCTGTCTAAATCATTTTTTGCTGTAAGCCATACCTTAAGAAACTGTCAACAACAACTTCAACTTTTTTTCCAGGCTTTTTTCACAACTGGGGAAGCTCTCCCTGAGTGCTTAAGGATAAGTAGTGAGCCTGGATACCATCCCCTGTTTTCTCATGAAGCGCTTTCTCTGCCTCACAGGAACTGATTTCTCCACAAATATTGCAGCTTACAGTGGTCATATAATTTATCAACTAAACCAGAGTGAAAAGGGGCAATATTAATAACTGTGTGTAAAAAACAACTGTAGACTTAGACTGTCTCAAGGGAACCAGAGCCTATGGGCAAACATAGCTACCACAGGGTCACAGGATCTCTCTGCAATGTTTTTAGTTTTAGTTGTTTTTTTTTTTTAACCTGATTTTCCTTCATCTCTATATTTAGATATTGGAGGGGGCATATCAAATTTGACTTGAGGTTAAATTATTGCTCAATTTTACATCTTAGCTTCAAATTTTACTTGTTTTCTATTGCTACACTAATTCAATCTGAGTTTCACATACTGCCATGTGCATTTCTTATGCTGTTCTTTTTAATAAAAGGTTTTATTATTTATTTTAACCTTTGAATATTCTCTACTACTCTAAACCACATTGGAATAACTAGTAAAAAGAATTGTATGCAAAGGATAGATAACTTTTGAGCAGTTTTCCATAAAAATACACGCAGGAAGGAAATAACTCGCAGGTTAGTGTTGCTCAAACCCTGCACATTACAAATAAAGTCTTGACTTGACTTCAGAATTGGCCTTGGTCAGCTCCTCGGGGATATCTTCCAAGCTCTTAGAATATTGTGCCTGATAAAAATGCTTTGTTTGCCTAAGGCTTTGGAACATGCATTACTAATTTAATCAGACAGTATGGGACCTGGAAATCGTTCTTTGAGAAAGGAGGAAATACAGGACGTGAGGACACGCAGTCAAGCAACACAATAGAAGGATTGGAAATCTGATAGGATTAAAAACGACCAGAATGATAATGTGGAGGAAATAAATAGAAAAATGAAAAGTGTAGGTCAGGCTGTGATACTGGAGATTAAGATTTTGGAAGTGGTGGATTTTCTGGCAATGAAGGATGCTAGAATATGATCATGGGAATGACTAGTTAAGAAAGGAGTAGGACAACATTATTATTCTGTTACAACATTATTATTACTGTTACACAGGATATATAGTCTAGTTACTGAGTGGCCAGGGTGTCAGACGACATGTTGATGTACATGCTGAGCACAACAAGTTATTGAAGAGTAAAGGTATATTTACCTTGTATTCCCCTCAGCCCCATTACTGTACATGCTTCAAGGAAAGTGATGTTCTTTCATTTTTTCACCATTTTAAATATTGTGGTATAATACATATAACATAAATTGTACTATCTTAACCATTTAAATTATATAACTCAGTGATAATAAATACATTTATAATGAGCAGCCATTACTACCATCTATCTCCAGATCTCTTCAACTTGTAAAATAAAAAGTCTATATTCATTAAACAATAACTCCTCATTTGCCACTCCTCCCAACTCTTGGAATCTATCATTCTACTTTCTGTCTCTATGATTTTGAATACTGTGTGTACCTCATAGAAGTAGAAGAAAACAGTATTCATTTGTGTGTGTGTGTTTGTGTGTGTGTGTGTGTGTGTGTGCCTGGCTTATTTCACTTAGCATAATTCTCTCAAGTATCTTCCATGTTGTAGTGTATGTTAGAATTTCCTTCTTATTAAGGCTGATTAATTTTCCATTGTATGTATCTATCACATTTTCTTATTTATTCAGTGATTAACATTTGGGCTGCTTTCATGTTTTAATTATTGTAAATATGCTGCTATGGATATGAGGATAAAAATATCTCATGGGGATGCTGGCTTCAATTCTTTGGGGCATATATCCAGAAGTAGAATTATTGGATCATATGATAATTCTGTTTTTAATTTTTTGGCCAACCACCATACTCTTTTCTACAGTGGCTTTATCATGTTTCATTTCTACCAACAATGTGCAAAGGTTACAATTGCTCCGTATCGTCACCAACACTTGTTATTTTATGTTTTTGATAGTATCTATCCTATGTGTGTGAGGTGGTATCTCAATGTAGTTTTGATTTGCATTTTACTAATGTTGAACATCTTTTTTTGTGTTTATTGGCCATTTGTACACATTTGTGTGTCTTCTTTAGAGAAACAGCTGCTCGCATCCATTTCTCATTATTGAATTGGCTTGGGTTTGTTGTTCAGTTAGGAGTTCTTTACGTATTCTGGATATTAATCTCCTAGATTATATGATTTGGAAACATTTTCTCCCAATTTGTGCATTGCCTTTATACTCTGTGGATAGTGTATTTTGATGCACAAAATTTAAAATGTTCATGAAGTCCTATTTGTCTAGCTCTTTTTTTTTTTGTCACCTGTGCCTTCGGTATTATATTCTGAAATTATTGTCAAATCCAGTGTCATAAAATGTTTGCCCTATGTTTTCTTCTAAGAGTTTTTTAGTTTCAGGTCTATAATAGGTCTTTGATACATTTTAAACTAATTTTTGTGTATGGTATTAGGTAAGGGTCTAAATTTATTCTTTCACATAGAGGTTATTTATTCCTGTCCAATTCAAATGCACGCCCCCCCCCCGCCCCCCTCCCCCGCCTTTTTTTTTTGACTAATTGCCCTGGCTAGAACTTCCAGTATTATGCTGAACAGAAGTAGAGAAAGTCGGCATCCTTTTCTTGTTCCTGATCCTAGAGGTAAAGTTTTTAGTCTTTAACCACTGAGTATGATGTTCACTGTTGGTGTTTTTGTTGTTGTTTTTGTTTTTATGTGGTCTTTTTATGTTGGGAAAATTTTTGCTATTTCTAGTTTATTGAGTGCTTTCACCATTTAAAAAAAAAACCCTTTGTTTTTATAGAAAAGGTGATGAATTTTGTCATATGACTTTTCTACATCAATTGAGATCATCATCCTTCATTATATTAATATAGTATATTACATTGATTTATTTTTGAATATTGGATTACCCTACATTACAGAAAAAATCTCACTTGTTCATAGTGTATAATCACTTTAATATACTGTTGAATTCAGTTTGCTAATATTTTGTTGAGGATTTGTGCATCAATATTCATAATGAATATTGGCCTGCAGTTTTCTTTTCTTGTAGTGTCTTTGTCTGGCTTTAATAACCAGGTAATGAATAGCCTCCTAGAAGGAGTTAGGAAGTATTCCATCCTTTTCAATTTTTCGGAAAAGTTAGAGAAGGATTAGTGTTAGTTCTTTAAATGTTTGGTAGAATTCACCAGAGAAGCCACCAGGTACATGGCTTTTATGTGTCAGGGAATTTTTATTTACTGATTTAATCTAGTTTACTAGTTGTAGGTCTATTACTTGTATTTAATATTAATTGTTTCATTCTGATTTTCTATTTATTTGTGATTTAGTCTTCACAGTTTTTGTGTTTCTAGGGATTTTTCCATATAAATCTAGGTTATCCAATTAGTTGACATACAGTTTTTCATAGCACTGTCTTATAACCCTTTTAATGTCTGTAGAATTGGTAGTAATGCCCCTACTTTCCTTTCTGAGTTTAGTAATTTGAATTTTTTCTCTTTTTTTTAGTCCATCTAGCTAAAGGTTTATAAATTGTTTGATCGTTTTAAATAAATAATGTTTTATTTCATTGATTTTTTCTTTTTATTTTTTTTCCAGTCTCTATTTCATTTATCTCTGCTCTCTTTTTTTTTTTTTACTACTTCTTTGCTTCTGTCAGCTCTGGTTTTAGTTTGTTCTTCTTTTCCTAGGTCCTTAAGTTGTAAAGCTAGATTGTTGATTTGAAATATTTCTTATTTTTTAATGTGCTTATAGTTATAAATTCCCTTATAGTATTGCTTTTGCTGCACCCCTAAGTTTTAGTATGTTGTGTTTTTGTTTTCATTCATATCTAAGTATTGTCTAATTTACTGTGTGATAAATTGGTGGCTTAAATGTGTGTTGTTTAATTCTCACAAATTTGTAAATTTTTCAGTTTTTCTTCTGTTATTGATTTAAAACTTCAACACCTTGTGCATAAGGAAGAGGCTTTTATCTTTTTAAATCTGTTAAGACTTATTTTGTGGCCTGCATATGATGTGTCACAGAAAATGCCACATATGCACTTGAAAAATATGTGCATGCTATTGTTGTTAGGTAAATTGTTCCTTACATGTCTTAAATCTAGTTGGCTTTTTGGTTGTTTAAGTCCTCTAGTTCATTAGTTATCTTTTGTTTTGTTGTTCCATCCATTATTGAGAATAGGGTATTAAAGTCTCCAGCTATTATTGTAGGACCATCTAGCCCTTCAATTCTGTTAGTTTTTGCTTCACTTATTATGATGGTATGTCTCTGGGTGAGAAAATATAATTGTTATATGTTCTTGCTGGGGTGAACCTTTTATTAATATATAATATCCTTCTTTTTCTCATGCAAACTTTTTAATTTAAAGCTTAATTTCTCTGATACTATTATAGCTAGCCCTACTCTCTTTTGATTACAATTTGCATAAAATATCATTTTCCATTCTTTCACTTTCAATTAATGTGTGTCTTTAGATTGAAAGTAAGTCTGTCATAGACAGTGTATAGTTAAATAGGTATTAAAAGAAACATTCCGACAATCTCTGTCTTTTAATTACAGAGTTTAATTCATTTACATTTGAAGTAATTACTGAAAAAGGAGGGCTTTTTGTCATTTTAATATTTTTAAAATATATGCCATATAGCTTTTTTGTCCTTTACATCCTACATTACTGTATTCTATTGTGTTTAGGTGATTTGTTTTAATAGTACAATGGTTAAATTTCTTTCTCATTTCCTTTTGGGTATTTGCTATGGTTATTTTCTTTGTGGTTCCCATGGGGATTATAATTAACCTCTTAAAGTTATAAAAACTTAATTTGAATTTATACAAATTTAACTTTAATAATACATAAAAACCTGTTCCTATAAAACTCTGCCCATACTCCTTTTAGTTGTTGATATCTTCAAATTACATTGTGCGCCCAAAACATAAACTGTACTTTTAAATGTGTTAGTCTCTTATGTAGAAAATCAAAACAGTAATTACAAACCATTGTTGAAATACGACTAGTTTTATAATTCTCCATGTACTTACTTTTAATGAAGTCTTTACTTTTTCATATGGGTTCAATTTATTGTGCGGTATCTCATCTCTTCATTTAACTCATTAGGACTCTATTGAGTTTTTTTGGTTTTGTTTTGCTTCTTCTTTTCCCCCACAGGACAGGCTCATGGTAATAAACTCCTTCAGCTTTCCTTTGTTTAGAAAATAAAATAAACTTTAGGAAAATAAAGTCATGTGCTGCATAATGGCATCTCAGTCAGTGACAGACTGCATATGTGACAGTAGTCTCTTTACTTTGAAGGACTAGTCTCCCTTACCTTTGAATAACTGATTTGCCAGATAAAACGTTCTTGTTTGACAGTGTTTTTCTTTTCTCTTTTAGCACTTTAAATATATTGGTGCACTTCCTTTTGGCCCCTAAAGTTTCTGATGCGATATGTGGTGACATTCTTTTTAAGGATCTCTTTTATATGGTGAGCCTCTTTTTTTGTTACTACTTTCAAAATTCTCTTTGTCTTTTCAAAATTTAGTTAAATATATCTCAGTGTGAGTATCTTTGAGTTAATCTTACTCTGAGTTCATTTATCTTCTTAGATGTTTCTATTCATATCATTTATCAAATTTGAGAAGTTTGTCAGGGTTATGATGTCCCATGGGTCCTTTAGATTCTGTTCACTTTTTTTCATTTTTTTTCTTTCTTTCCTGCTCCTCAGACTCGGTAATTTCTGCTATCCTGTTTATTGATTCTTTCTTCTGACTGCTCAAATCTGTCTTCAAACCCCTCCAGTAAATTTTTCATTTCAGTTATTATACTTTTTAGCTCCAGAATTTATTTTCTTTCTTTTTGGGGTTCTATCTATTAATGTTTCCATCTTTGTTCACACATTGTTTTCTTGACTTTCTGTACATCTCTTTTTAAATCTGTTTGAGCTTCAAGACAGTTGTTTTAAAGTGCTTGCCTGGTATATCTTCTAGCAGGTCTTTTTTGGGGGATAATTTTTGTTGATTTATTTATTTTTCCTTTAAGTGGGCCACAGTTTCCTATTTTGTATTATGACTTGTGATTTTTGTTGAAAACTGGACATTTAATCTAATTAAGTAATAATTATAGAAATCATATTTTTGGTCTTCCTAGGGTTTGCTGTTTTTTATTGATTGATTGATTGATTGATTGATTTTAGGCTATCTCCACAAGGACCAGCCTAATGTAAGATCTCATGTCTTTCCTAAACCTGCAGTACATGCAGTCACTTTCTATTTTTTGTGTGTATATGAAGTTGCATTTGAATATCCTGATGTTTAATGTCTGGAACCCTCCAAAAAAGAGGATAAAGAGAAAAATGAAGAGGGGAAAAGAGAGCACCAGTCTTTTAACTTACCTAGAAGTGACTTATGCTAGAATGAGGAGGCTTGGAACAATGGATGGAGGTGCAACAACAATGACCACTCATTTCTTCGTCTCTACCTCTATCATTAGAAACAGCAATCAGAGCACAGAACCCCAAGATTGGTAGGGCAAGTAGGATTGCTTTCACCCACCCTGCTTGTGCAAGTTGAGGGCAAGCTGCTCCAAGAACATGTGCGTGGCTGCCTGCCATGGTACTGAAGGATGGGGAACCAGTAGTTTTTGTGTTAAGAATTGAAATTGGCTGAAAATTACTGCAATTTACCATCCAAGCCTTCCCCTGGAAGTCACAAGCCTTCAATAGTCTCTACAGTTCCAAATATGGTTACGTATCACTTAACAAAGGGGATACGTTTTAGGAAATGCATTCTTAGGCAATTTTGTTATTGTAAGAACATCATGGAGTGTACTTACACAAAGCTAAATTGTATAGTCTACTATACATCTAAGCTGTATGGTATAGCCATTGCTACTAAGGTACAAACCTGTACAGATGTTACTTGACTGAATACTGGAGGTAGTTGTAGCACAACGGTAAGTATTTGTACATCTAAACATATTTAAACAAAGAAAAGATGCAGTGAAAATACAATATTATAACCTTATGGTACCACTGCCATATATGCAGTGTGTCATTGACTGAAGCGTCATTATGTAGCACATGACTTTAGTTACCTTAGACAGATTCTGCCACTGCAATTTTTATCCAGGTGTGGAGACAGATAACTGGTACTTCTCACTCTGCCATTTTCCCACAATGCTCTACCTCTTTCATTTATTTTTTACACAATCAAGTTCCTGATATAGACTTTGCGTCTAAAATGAAAATCATAATATGTATTGAAGGAATTGACATTTTATATGACAGCAAATCAAGAGTATTTTTTTAAAATCCTATTAAGATTTCCCTTTCAGGAAAATTGGAAGACCCACTGCTCCTAGTGGTTATAATTTTTTTCTCATAATTTAAACTACCCTTGCTATTCTTTCAAATACATGCATTTACACATCAAAAGGCCCCTCATTAATATAAAAATATAATTCTAATAGATGAAGTCTCTACTTCTTTCCCTTCTATCTCCACGTCTCATTCTTTTTCTATTACACACACACACACACACACACACACACACACTCACTCATACAATCCCCAGTAATGCTTTGATTCTTCCAAGTCAAGGAGGTGGTAACTGTATAGGGCAGAAGTAGGCAAAAAAATATTAAGGCCAGATGGTAAAGATTTTAGACTTGTGAACTACCAGCTCTGTTGCAGCTACTCCACAGTTTTAGGGAAAAAGCAACTGTAGACAATACTCAAATCAATGAGTTGGCCACGTATCAATATAACTTTATACACAAAACTAGGTGAAAAGTTTGAAGGCCTATGTTTGGTGACTCTTGCCCTAGTGCATTAAGAATTAAAAAGACAAAAGGAGTTAAGTCTGTAAATCACTGTTTATAATGCTAAAGTGTACATATTCAGTAGAATTTGCCTATGGCGGTATCTTCTTGTTTCTAGTTTCATATTTTTTTAAATTTGAATTTTTTCATGGTACTTCAAAAAATAATTCTCATCAGTATGGATTTTGAGGATCTAAGTCAAGAAGTGATTCTCATTGAATTCGGTCTCTGTTTTACTTTGTTAATAATTTATATGATTAGTGTTTATTATAGTATAATGCATCTGCTTTTATATTATCATGGAATTATTGCTATATGTCTTTATATAGCTACATATAACTATACCTACATCTCTCTATTTTGAGAAGTGATATCTGTCAGCTTTGCAGAAGATTTTCAAGGACATTAGCCGTACATTTTTTAAAAAAATTCCTCCAAAGAGCTTTTGTATTTCAGATATTTTAAGAGACTATTAAAGGGAAACAAATAATTGTTTATAATTATTTAAAATTGATAATGTCTTAGATTAATATTATGGCGATCTGTTGATCCTCTTTTGGAAAATAGCATTACAAATTTTCTCTCAAAGATATTAAGTAAGACTTCAGGGTGTATACAAGATTTTAAGTAATGACTAAAGTCTTTATTTTTTGTAAACTCTAGGTCTTCTGTAACTTCCGTAAGAATTAATGCTTAGATTTTGGCAGGAGGTTGACAACTTACATATTAGTTAAATCAAGTAAAGATTATTTCTTCCTATTTTAATTAATCCAATTCTTCCTGCTGGTAGGACACAAGTCAGGGATCTTCACTTGCTTTTCTGTCTCTTAGTATCTTTCAGTCATAAAAACTAACAGAGGGGCAGAAAATAGCAAGACATTTTGTAAGGTTCTTGATTCTCACCAAATAAGAATTTCTAGCAAAGTATTCATTTTAGATAAAACCAAAAGATATTAAAAGTGAAATTATGAATAAAGGAGCAGAAGAGATTCTGATGAAGAAATTGCTGAGTTATTTTGCCAATGTCTGTGAGAGAGCACTAAATGTTTAATGGCATTATAATGATGATAAGCTTAGAATTAGCTTGCTTCAGCAGTGTTCATGCCCAGAGAGAATATTTGATTCACTTTAAAATGTCATTTAGGTAGGATTTACATAGATAGGGATAGTTAGATACACCTAGATACACATATAGATATCAACTAATATTTGTTTTGCTTTGACAATTGTTTATTACTGCGATCTATGACAGGGCACATAATATATTAAAACATTTTGCACAGCCATTGAAAAAGGCAAATTAACCAGTTGCCAGGGGATTTTTAATTGAAAAATTGATGACCAAATCCAGGCATGCTAATATTTTAAATTATTACTTTTCTAGATTAGACAACTTTAGAGTCCAGAGTGTTGACCACTAAATGATGTATCCAGCGAATATTAGATAATTTTAATAAATTGAAGATATAAATGAAAAGAAGCAGATCTTCCATTGTTTGTGATTGCATAAGAGAATATTCAGATGTTAGGTATCTAAGTCAGAGAAGGCTCTCTCCCTAGAAAAACAAGTGGTAACAGAGGAGTCTCTTCCTTTGTTCACATGGAGCTTCACAATTTCATATAACTCAAGTTTAATGTTATTATTTTGCTATGAGTATCAGGTCTCTGAATAAGCTAGTAGTAATAACATCCAGAATCCTAGTTAAACATGTTTTATCTTGAAAATTACTATCAATACCCACATATTTTTATGCAAAAATAAATCCCTCAATACAAAGCACAAACTCTTGAGCATTTAATAAACTATTGATAATGAACTTTTTAGTGTTTCAGGCTACCTTTCTTATCAGACCTAATATAACTTCAAATAAACCAGTTAAATGCAGATAAATCTAGAAAGAAAATCTATTTTCCCAGCTCTGATGGAGCTCTAGATAATAGTAATTGACAGAGAAACATTATTTCTTAACTGTGTTACCATAGCTAATTGCGGTTTTCTTTTATCTTTCATGCATTTATAGACATCTAATCATTTAGCAATTATTTTTTTTCTTTTTTAGACTAAGTTTTATACAGAAATAACAGTTATTTCATACTGTGATGTCCTGGAGCTGAGCTGGATATTCAGTCTATTAAAATGATCATATCACAAAACTAGCAAAGTCCTTCATATTCCAGCCTTACCCGCTCCTCATCAAGAGTACATGTTTTTAATAATGCAAGACTCCAGATAAAACAAAGTTAAAACTCACTGCTCACTTTGATTTGAAGAATTTATTATCAAAACAGCATTTTAAATATTTAAGAAGGAATGGCAAAACCACTGAAACCCTCTAAGTCTTCTGGGCTGTAACTGTCAATTTTTGCTTGTTAGTTTTATTTTTTAGCAGTGGTTAGCAGTGTTCTGAAACACTATTTCAGAACAGATATGTTTTTCTATTGGCGATAACTTATTATCTGAATGATGCCTGAGACAGGATCCAGGGGACTCTTCTGCTATTGACACCATTAAAAATAAAACAGAAAGCTAACAAAGTATTCCTTGGATGGTGACTTGTTCTAAGTCTGTGGATTGATCAGATCTATATTTACATGGAAATTTCTGGGGATGAATGTGTGTGACTTTATTGCATGACAAATCCAGGCTAGCAGTACTCTCCATTCAAGATTCCCAAGGAAAACAGAAATCAAGACAGAGAAAAGGCAAACTTTATTACCAACTACTTCATGGTAGTCTACTGGTGAGATGAGCTTGACAATATGGGAAATAACCTGCGTAAGGTTGATGGCACCTAAAGCATAGGACTACTGCAAGTCCAAATGCCAATTTTCCATGTTTCCCACATTACCATGGCACCCAATCAGATCATTACTCCCAACACATAACAGGGTCTCAATATTGTTGAATGAATGAGTAAATATCACTCTCATGACAATGAAAGGCAAATTCAGAACAAGAAACCAGGTAAAATGTGTTTGACCATCTGCTAAGGCTCATTCCCATAAAATGTGAAAAAGCCAGTGGTCTTGGTTTTACAGAAATAGCAAATAAACCACAACAAAAAAATAAACTTTTTCATGGAAGTGCACTGAGTGGGGGGGAATGTGAAAATCTTTGGTCATATCTTTCAGTTATTGTGTGTGTTCTATTATTTTATTTAAAAAGATGAATTTAAAACCACACATGTGGTCAACCAGAGTTTTTATGATTTTTTAATCAGTACACTACTTTTATAACAGTTTTTTATTCATAGTAAAATTGAACAGAGAGTACAAAGAGTCCTCACATAATTTTCCCATAGATTCTTACACACAAACACACAACTTCCTCCACCGACATCACCCACCAGTGTGGTAAATTTGCTATAATCAATGAGCGAAACATTTACATATTATTATCAACCAATGTACATAGTTTACCTTGGACTTCACTCTTTGTGTTGTATATTGTATAGTTTTGACATAGGTACAATGGCATGTATCTGCCATTATAGTATCATACAAAGTAGCTTCACTGCCCTAAAAATCACCTGGTTCTAACTTCCTCCTTTTCTTTCTTCAAACTCCTGGCAATCACTGACTTTTGACTGTTTATATGGTTTAGCCTTTAGAAAAAATAAGAATGTCATATACTTGTAATTATATAGCACATAGCGTTTTTAGATTGGCTTCTTTCATTCAGTAAAATGCATTTAAGGTTTCTCCAAATCTTTTCATGACTTGATTGCTCATGTTTTTCTTTCAGTGAATAATATCCATCTATCTGAATGTAGCACTATTTATTTGTCCATTTACCTACTGAACGATATTATGCTTGCTTCTACATTTGGGCAGTTATGAATAAGCCTGCTGTAAACATCCATGTCAGGTTTCTTTGTGGACATAGTTTGTAACACCTTTTGGGAAATGCCAAGGAATGTGATTTCTGGATCTTATGGTAAAATACATTTAGTTTTGTGTGAAAAGGCCAAAATGTCATCCAAAGTGGCTGTACCATTTTGCATCCCAACTGCCATGAATGAGAGTTCCTGTTCCTACACATCCTTGCCAGCACTTGGTGTTGTCAGTATTTGGGATTTTCTTGTTCTAATAGGTATATGGTGACATCTCATTGTTGTTTGAGTTTGCAAATCTCTGATACCACATAACTTTGAACATCTTTTCAATTGCTTATTTATCATCTGTATATCTACACTGGTGAGATGCCTGTTCAGATCTTTTATGAATTTTCTTATTCTTGAGTTTTAGTTCTTTGTATATTTTGGATAACAGTTTTGTTTTCTGTTCTCCCAGTCCATGGTTTATCTCCTTACTCTCTTGATAGTGTTTTACAGAACAAAATTTTTTCATTATAATGTAATCCAGTTTATCCATTTTTTTTCTTAAGATTGAGTCATTGGTGTTGTATCTAAAAAAGGTATTGCCAAATTCAATGTCACATAGGTTTTTTACTATACTATCTTCTAGGAATTGTGTAGACTTGTGTTTTACATTTTGGCCTGTTATCCATTTTGAGTTGATTTTTTGGGGAGCTGTAAGGTCTACATTGTTTTTTGTTTTTGTTTTTTATATAGATGTTCAGTTGCAAAGGAGCAAAGTTCGCTCAGTTCAGGAGCAAAGTTTAATTGTCTTTGCTCTTGATCAAGGCATAGGCATAGTCAGTCCAGATCAGCTGAATATATATTTGTATAGGTCAAGTTCTAGGCTCACTTTTCTGTTCCATTGATACATTTGTTTGGGTTTAAGCCAATATAATATTGTCTTGATTGCTACAGTTTATCATACTATTTGAAGCCAGGTGTGTCAGTCCTCTGATTTTGTTCTTCTTTAATATAGTGTTGGCTCCTCTTCTCCCTTTCCATATCTGTATAAACTTTAGAATCATTTTGTTGATATCCACAAAATAACTAGCTGGTGTTGCATTAAATCCACAGATCACGTTCAGAAGAACTGACATCTCAGCAATATTGACTCTTTCTATCTATAAACATGAAACATCTCTTCATTTATTTAATTCTTTAATTTTCTTAATCAGAGTTTTGTAGCTTTTCTCATATAGATCTTAAACGTATTCTGTTAGATTAATACCTCAGTATTTCATTTTTGTATTAACATAAATTGTGTTCTGTGTCTAATTTCAAATGCCTTTTTTTTCTGATCTAGGAAAGCTACTGACTTTTATACATTAACCTGTATGCTACAACCTTGCTATACTCACTCACTAGTTCTAGGTGTTTTCTGTCAATTTCTTGGTATTTTCTACATAGATAATCATGTTTCTGCAAATAAATATATTTTAATTTCTTCCTTCCCAATCTGTATATCTCTTATTTAATTTCCTTGTCTTATTGCATTAGCTAGGACTTCCATTATAATAGTGAAAAGGCATCGTGAGAGGAGATAGCCTTACTTTGTTCTGGATCATAGTAGGAAAGCTTCTAGTTTCTCTGCATTAAGTATAATGTTAGCAGTAGGTTTTTACATAGATTTTCTTTATCAAGTTGTGGAACATTCTCTTTATTCCTGATTTACTGAAAGTTTTTTTTTTAGCATGAATAGGTGTAGGATTTTGTCTAATGTTTTTCCTTATCTATTAATATGATCATATGATTTTTCTTCTTTAGCCTGTTGATGTAATGGATTATGTTAATAGATTTTTGAATTTGGAAACAGCCTTGCATAGCTTGTATAAATCCTACTTTGCCATGGTGTGTAATTATTTTATACATTGTTCGATTCAATTTGCTAACATTTTGGTGAGAATTTTTATAACTTTTTATGAGAGAAACTGGTTTGTAGTTTTCTTTCATATAATGGTTTTGTTAGGTTTTAGTATTAGGGTTATGCTGGCTTTATAGAATGAGCAAGCAAGTGTTCTCCCAGTTTCTTTCCTTTGAAAGAGATTGCAGGGGCTCTGTATCATGTTTCTTAAATGCTTGTATAAATTCATCACTGATCTTAGGTTAGGTGCTTTATAAAAATAACTAGAAGGAAAAAAAAGAAAATAATTAAATTCACCTGTGAAGCTGTCTGAGACTGGTGTTTTCTGTTTCTGGTTTAGAGCCTGGTGTTTTCTGTTTGGAATAATAATTACTGATTATATTTATTTAATAAATAAAGATCTATTCAGATTGACCATTTTTTCTTGTGTGTGTTTTGACAGATTGTGTCTTACAAAGAATTGATCCATTTCTTCTAGATTATCAAATTTGTAGACATCGAGCTTTTCATATTATCCCTTTCCTACTCTTTAATGTCCATGGAATCTGCAGAAATGTCATTTTTTTCATTTTTGATATTAATATTTTTGTCTTCTCTTTTTTGCTTTGTTAGCTAGGCTAGAGACATTGATTTTATTATTTTTTTCTAGTAACCAACTTTTGCTTTCATTGATCTTTCTCTGTAATTTCTTGCTTTCATTTGTATTGATTTCTGCTAAAATATTTATTTCTTTTCTTAACTTGGATTTGGTTTGTTCTTTTTCCAGTTTCTTAAGATATATATTTAGATGATGAATTTTAGATTTTTTTCTATTCTAATATGAGTTTCATGCTCTAAATTTCCTTCTCAATAATAGTTTTGCTGTATCCCACAAATTTTCATGTTTTTAATTGTTAATTTATTATAAAATATTTTTAAAATTCTCTTGAGATGTTATTTGACTTGTATTATTTACCCTTTGATTTCTTAACTCTTAGAAGATGCAAATATTGTGCAAAACAGCAGTCCAAAATACTACTCTACAAACATCCTTGAGAGAAATCCATATAAGCACAATGATCGGCATATAGAAATAAAAGTAGCAGTTCTTGTCTTACAATAATCAGAACTTTGGAACTCATGAACTATATAAACATCTAGAAAACTAAACTTAAACACTTATAAAACTTTGCAATTGTCCACTAAAATTTGAGGCCAGGGTTAAGCATGTCTTGCACTCCTAAAAAAGAAAGGTTTATCCTTAAAGTAAGGCTAAAGGAACTAAAAATGACAGTCATCACGAGACCATGGGCTTCAAGTGGGGAAACATCTCTCAGATCTGGTTCCCATATAGGAGTAGATATTAAATTCATCTTTTTATTACAACCAAAGGAGAAAGACCATACCCAAATATAGATGAACTTTTAGACTTGAGGATAAAATTGATCCAACTGGGAAGGCTAAAGAAAGGTTTTGAGGAGAAACTTGAAACTTCTCCAAGAGTCTAATGTTCTCCTTTCCTTTCTTTCTTTCACAGAACAAACTTCTGCTCCCAAAATTAGGCATACAGAAAGCAGAGACAGAGAAAGACAATTTATCTGAGCAAAAATCCATGAGCAGAAACTTCTGTGGGAACTAGTACTAGGGTAGGAACACCTAAACTGTAAATAATTAGTTCTAGAGACTCAGTGTGGACAAATTTGTATGTGAGCAAAAACCCATGCTATCTTTCTGGTATTGAGGTCTATTTACATGTTATCTTTTCATACTGTGTTTCATACTGTCTTTACTTGCTATCTTTGTGGTATTGATTTCTATTTTAAGTATGTTGTCATCTTAAAGCATACTCTGTATGATCTTAATTCTTTTATGTTTTTTAAGGCATGTTTTATGGTACAGAATATGGTCTATATTGGTAGAAATTCCATGTGAGCCTGAGAAGAATGTGTTTGCTGCTGCTGTTGCGTAAAGTAGTCTATCAATGTCAGTTAGATCCAATGCTTGCTTGTGCTGTTCAGTTCTATTATGTTCTTTCTAATATTCTGCTCCCTGGATGCGTCCATTACTGATAGAGGATAACAGAGGTGTGGAAATCTTCATCTATACAGTGTATTCTCTTTCTCCTTACAGTTCTATCAATTTTTGTCTCATGAATTTTGACACTATATTATGCACACACATAATGGATTGTTATGTCTTCTTGGAAAATTGACTTCTTAATCAGTATGTAATGTCCCTCTTTATTCCTGAGAATTTTCCTTAATGTGAAGGTTATTTTCTCTGAAATTAATATAGCTATGTTAATTTTCTTTTGATTACTTTTACCATAGTTTTTCTCCATCTCTTTGCTTATAACCTATCTCTGTCTTCATAATTTGAGTACAGTTCTTATAAGTGACATATAGTTGGGTCTTTCTTTTGGATCCACTCTGACAGTCTATCTTTCAATTGGTGTATTTAGTCCATTTATGTTAATACTGAATATTGATATAATTGCAGTACTCTCTATCATATTTGTTTTGTTTTCTATCCTTTGCCCTTATTTTGTGTTTCTATTTTTGTCCACTGTTTTTCAGTTGTATTTGTTTTCATTTGAGCATTTCTTATGGTTCTGTTTTCTCTTTTCTTAGTATGTCAGTTATACTTCTTTTCCCTTCTTTACTGGTTGACCTAGAGTTTATAATATGCATTTAAAACTAATCCAAGTCCACTTTCAAATAACACTTTACTCCTTCAGTGATAGTGCCAATGCCTTCTAACAAAGTATTCCTAATTCTTCCCTCTTGTTATTTTTTATCATTGCTGCCATGTACTTCAATTATCCCTATGCTATAATCATGGAATACCTTGTGCTATATTTTGAACAAATTATATATTAGATCATTTAGGTATCAGAAAAATAAAAGATTTTATTTTACTTTCTTTTATTTTTTCTGTAGTTTTTAAAAATGTACGTACAAATTTATCATCTTTTATTTTTTTTTCTCTGTTAACTTTTGTAAAAGTTCTTGTAAGACAGATCCACTGGTAACAAAGTCCATCAATATTTGCCTGTCATAGAAAGACTTTTTTTTATTTCCCAGGGGTAATTTTTCTAGTTACAGAATTCTATGTTTTCGCTTTTTCTTTCAACGCTATAAACATTTTACTCCTTTCTCTTGCTTGCATTGTTTTTGAAGATGAATGTAATTCTTATTCTTGCTCCTCATTAGACAATGTACATTTTTCCTCTGCCTTCTTTCAAGATTTTCTGCTATGAATATGATACAGAATGATATGCTATGCCAGTGAACATGACTACGATATAAATGTAGATTTTTTTGACATTTATCCTACTTGATATTTTCTGGGCTTCTTAGATGTGTAGTTTGGTCTCTGACATTAATTGGAGAAAAATTATCAGTCATTATTTCTTCAAGCATTTCTTCTGTTCTTTTCTTTCTTCTCTCTCTGTTATTACTGTTACACACATTATACTTTTTCATTTGTCCCACAATATTTAGATAATCAGATTTCTCTATTTTTTCTTCTTCTTCTTTAGGCTTTTTTCTCTGCTTTTTAGTTTTGGGAGCTTCCTTTGACATGCCCTTAATTTGATTGATTCTTTCCTCAGCCATGCCCAGTCTCCTAATGGGTCCACCAAAGGCATTCTTCATTTATGTTAGTGTTTTTGTTTTTAGTATTTAATTAAATTCTTTCTTAGAATGTTCATCTCCGCCTATATTACTTATCTGTTCATGTATGTTGTCTACGTTATTGACTGGATATTGATGGATAAGCTTTGATATGCCTTGGCATGTTAATTATTGTTTTTGTTTTAATTCCAAGCCTGCTAATTTCAAAATCCTAGCCATATCTGAGTCTGGTTCTTATGCTTGGTCTGTCTTAAAACTGTGTTTTGCTTGGTTTTTGTTGTTGTTGCTTTTTGTTTTTTTGTATTTGTTTTTGTTTTTTTTTTTTTTTTTTTTTTTTTTTTTTTTTTTTTTTTTTTTTTTTTTTTTGCTTTTTAATGTGACATAATCTTAGTTGAAAACAGGCATGCTATATTCAGTAATACGAGCTGTGGTAAATAGGCATTTAGGGATGTGGAGGTAATGAGTTGGGGGGATAGAGAAGAACTAAAAGTCTAAGAACTAATCAGGAGACTACAGAATGCCTTCTTTGCATTCTGTAGTTCTTAGACTTTTAATGAGCAAACATACCTAGGCTATGACCTTCAAAAGTCCTTGTCAGTTTCCCCATTGCTTTCAGGAAGGACAGAATGGCTAGAGGTAGCTGGAGTTGGATATTTCTCTTCCCCCATGTGGAAGGCTAGAGTAGGGTAGAATTGAGTATTCTTACTCTAGGTCAGGTAGGCCCTGGCATAACTCAGTTTACTCTATGGTGAGTAGTTTCTCATGAGGGAAGTCATTGTTAAAAACAAAATGTTTTGGGCATATTTCAATGTGTCTACTTTACCTCTCCCTCTGCTGGAAGAAAGAGTTGTTTTTTCTCCTATCTTCACTGTGAGAATTTGTAGGACTCCAGAAGGTCAAATTCACAAAAGTGTATAGTTTTCTGTATGATCCCTGGATTTATCAACTCTCAAACTTGTCCACATTGAGTCTCTAGAACTCACTACTTACAGTTTAGGTTTTCCTACCCTAGTACCAGTTCCCACAGAAGTTTCTACTCATGGATTTTTGTTCTGTCTTTCTCTGTATCTGCCTTCCTGTATGCCTAATTCTGGGAGCAGAAGTTTGCTCTGTGAGAGAAAGAATGGAAAGGAGAATATTAGATTCCAGGAGAAGTTCCAAGTTTCTCCTCAAAACCTTTCTTTAGCCTTCCCGGTTAGATCAATATTATCCTTGAGTTTAAAAAGCTCATCTATATTTGGCTATTGCCTTTCTCCTTTGATTACAATAAAAACACCAATTCAATTCTACTTCTATTTGGCAACAAGATCTGAGGGATGTTTCCCCACCTGAGGCCCATGGTCTCCTGATGACTGTCATTTTTAGTTCCTTTAGCCTGACTTTAATGATAAACCTTTCTTTTTAAGTGTGAAGGACATTCTTAACTCTTGCCTTAAAATTATGAAGCCTTCTAAGTGTTTATGTTTGGTTTTCCAGATGTTCATATAGTTGTCGAGATCCATGGATGGCTGAGCAGTTCTTCAGGCAGTTTTATGCACAGGTTTTCTCTCTTCTTGAGTCCCCAGATTTTAATATAATCAAATAATATTCCACTGTCAACATATTGACACAGAAATTTTTTCGGTGCTGCTTTGCCAGCTGGAGACCTCTGTGGCTGGCAAGGCCCCGGCCTGGGCCTCGCTTAGCTCTGGGCTCTCCACAAGAGACACCCCACCCACTTGGCCATTCAGGCTGCACTTAGCTTGCACCTCAGCCTGAATCCCTGCTTGCTGCAGGATCCACACTCAGCCTGTGGCTGGGCCATGCGTGCTTCAGCCTGTCCATGCTACAACTTGTTCAGTCCCACAGCCCTGCTCTGGCCCACGGCTCTGGGGCTGGCCCAGTCCCGCTGCTGCTTCCTGTCATGTGGGGTGGCTGCCTTGCATCAGTAGAGGGGTGGACGGTTACAGTGTTACAGCCTTTTTCATACCAACATTCAGCGGGTCCTGAGTTCTTGTCCTGCATCCAAGAAGAATAAGGTTGAACTGACAAAGGAAGGGTAAGACGGGTGGAGAAGAGTTTTATTAAGCAGCAGAACATCTCTCAATAAAGAGGGGACTTGAAGCTGGTGGGTCCCCACCCGAAGGTGACTATTTTCTCCAATCCAAAAATCAAAAGACCCAAAGTGTGGCTGAGTCCGGGACTTTTATGGACTCAGAATGGGGGAGTCCATGATGATTTGTTTGTGAGTATACAAAAAAGGCTAAAAAAAGGCACCACTCAGAAGTGGGCATGACAGTGCAAAAAACGAATTAGGGAAGTGTAGGTATATGTAAAATAGGTGAGGGGTGGGAATCAATCAGAGGAAAGTGCACGAAATGGGAAGAGAGGTTCTCAATTCAGTCTGTGGATTTATCCAAGACTTGGAGCTTGGCTTTCAGGCTTTAAACTGTCTTTGGTTTGAAGCTGGGGTTTCATTGAGGACCCGCCCCTTTCTGTCTAGGATTTGTCTGCCTCCTGCCACTATCAATATTTTCTAACAATGTGGAGGTCTAGAAAATTGCCCTTGCTTTTCAAAAGATTAAGTAGTTGTGACAGTAAACTCAGCTGTTCTAATTCATAATGGAGCATGAAAGTAGCACTATGAAACACTGACATTCCAAAAGAAAAAGCTCAATCACATAAGCAAATGAATGAGGAGTCCATGAATGAGTATAAGCAAAAGTAACATTTCTTGGTACTAAGAGAAATCAGCATGTTGCTACCCAAACACAGAGGTTCGTTCTAGGTCCTGCTGCTTGCCACACAGAAAGCCAATCATTGAGGTGATGAGTAATGCCAGGGAATAAGGCTTTAATGGAGTGCTGCAACCAAGGGGATGGAAGATTAGTCTCAAGTCCGTCTCCCGGACTGACTAAACGTAGAGGTTTATACAGCAGTGAAGAAATGTAAGCATGCATGGGAAGACAGAAACTCAGCAAAGGTAAGGAGGCAATCATGATGAATGAGCAGCCTGGCAACTCATTGTCTGGGTGAGAGGATCTAGGAAGTTTTGGTTCTTTCATGCTTTCTGAGAGGCCGAGCATCCTTTCCTGAGGAAAGAACTCAGAAAAAAACGAATATTAGTTTAAACTTTTAAGACCAGAAGGGTCAATTTATATGTTTATCCAAAAAAGCTGTCTATGGGACTATTGGGTCAGTTTCAACATTAGATTTTGACTTGACTTACTGATCATTTTTGCTTATTATATTCTCTCTATATAGTTGACCTGGACTTTTTCAATGGTAATTTTATAACTTTTAAGGCTTTAAAATATAGTTATATTTAGAGTTAGATTTGACTTTATCCTCATGCAAAAACTGTATATAGCAAGTAAAAGCTAAGTGTAAATCTGTACACATAATTCAGGGAACCTTGAAAAGCTAACTATGTAGGCAAGATGTTATGAACTCCATGGTAGACAAGTATATGTTAGTGACTGGTTGTCTTGGAGATGAGATATTCAGGGCCATGTAGGAATACAATTCAAACCTATTCCCTAGCAAGGTCTTATGAACAATACTATTCTGAAGTGATATAGACCTGTAAAACAACAGTCTACTGATAAGAACTGTGAGTTTCCGATTTATTGAATTTTGTTTATGTAATCAATTTTGGCCCCAGATCTTGAACCACCCTGAAATTTTAATATGGTGCTTTTATTCAACATAGAAATTGAAGAATGTTATTGTGAGCATGCCTAGAGAAAAAAAATGTGTATTTTAAAATGTTATTAGAGTGAAAAACACTTCTATTTTTACCTGATTCATTCTTAAAGGTATAGATACTTGTACAATAGGGTGTAAAGAGTGAACTGAGATGAGAATGTTTTAAAAATACTCTTCTCTTAGCCATTAATACACTCAGGCATTAACACTGATAATGTTTTTTTCATAAATCTAAGTTACTTTTTCTGTGAGTAGAGAAAATTAATGCTGCTTAAAGTATTTCCTAAATTATTTTATTTCACATTATTATGTCTCAGGAGGTATATAAAACTCTAGCCTATGGCAATAAGAGAAGATAACATTTTAAAATTTCTTTTTAGAATTATAATATGCACATATAAACAGAAATATGCATAAATTGTCCATTTCTATCTCATTGAATTTTCATAAAATGAACACTGTCCCTCTAGCACCCAGACCAAGAAACATATAACCAGAAACTTACTCCTTGCTGTCTTTCTATCACTATCCTTCAGTTAGGTAACTATAATCCTGACTTCAAATACACTTGAATAGATATTCCTGTGTGTGAATTTAATGTAAATGAAATCATACAATATGCATTGTTTTATGTTTGTCTTTCCTCAGCATTATATTTATGAGATCCATCCATAATATCCACCACACTCTCGTGGCTTCATAATGTTCTATATTATGCATTTTATTTTGTTTAAGTATTTGTTCTTTGCATGAATACTGATTTTTTTTATTATTTATCCATTCTCTAGTTGATAGGCATGTGATTGTTCTAGATTTTGGCTATATAAATAGTATTGCTGAGATTTTGTATAGATTTTGGTGATTATAAATAGCATTACTTTTGTTTCAGTGGGGATTAAGAGTTATGACAAAGAAGAGTTCACTTTATAGAGTCAAAAGAGGAAACACTGAAAGAGTGTCTGATTGGCAAGTGTTTGTTTAAGGTGGGAGTTTCGGAAGTGGGAGATTTGTAATCCATCTTCAGGCACATTTGGTAGTTTCTGATTGGGTGCAAGGGAACATTTCAAAAGAAAAAGTGCTTTTCATTGCTTGAATGGAGAATTTTCCGTGGCTGGGCCAAATCCTGGAACAAGTGGGGATGCTTTTTCAGAAGTCAAACTGTCATAATGGTTTTTATGGACCTGAGATAGGGAAGTATTTGGCCATAGAAAGAGATTTCTCAGAGCATTATTTTACAGTTTTTCATGGGAGGATTAAAGCATTCATGTGTAGGGTTCTAGCCTGATTTATGGCCATGAAAGGTAACAAAAAGATTTTCTCCTTGGCCAAACTCTATTCAGGCTCCTTTAAGCCCTCTAGGTGTAGATCTTCAGTGCCTGTTCCTGCCGCGTTGCACCACCAGTTGCAGCAAGAATTCTGGTAAGCCTGTTTAGAACAAACCCCTCCTTACTCTTATGGCTCAGGTTGAAGTCTAATGGCGCGATCTAGGCTCACTGCAGCCTCTGCCTTCCAGGTTCAAGTGATTCTCTTGCTTTGGCCTCCCAAGTAGCTGAGATTACAGGAGTGTGCCACCATGACCTGCTAATTTTGTATTTTTAGTAGAGACTGGGTTTCACCATGTTAGTCAGGCTGGTTTCAAACTTTTATCCCCACCCACCATCCTGCAGATGATGTCTGCTCACCCTGGTCTGCCTTCAGCAAGAATCCTCTTAGGTCAACTTAACCAGAATCTCCCTTTATCCCTGAATTTTTTTCTTAGTGAATTTTCATTTACTGAGCTCCACCCCCAACCCAAACTATTCCTTGGCTATGAACACACAATTTTATTGTTGTATTTCAAATTGAGTTTGGTTTATAATGGAGTCTCTTCTCCTCTATTGCAAGAGTTCCTGATTAAGATCTGCTTTACCACACAAACTATTACCCAACTCTGTTTTTCTTTAGCAGAGAAATAAAGAAAATAAAATAAAACAAAGAACACAGACAACAAATGACATTAACTCTGGCTAATGAATTTCAAATATCAGGTGTACACTAACACATCAGTCTGGTTGCATGGTGCCAAAATAAGCCATAGTTCCTTTTCAGTATTTTCTCCATTGTGCTGAGAAGGATATTGACTTGGATGATCCTCCTGAAAGTCTCTTAGGAGTTCTGGCCAAGCAAGGTGCTCGATAGACAATGGTGCAACCAGAAGCCCCAACTTCTCTGCCAAACAACAATTAACTCACTCATATAGAAGAGCAGCTTTCCACTAAAGACAATATAAACTCCAAAGCCTATGTTCAATTTATATTACACTAACAAAGCTCAGCATCCACTCCTAAACAGAATACCCAATAATGCCATCTGAAGCAGGCATGCTTTCTTTCAGTGAATTTAGATATCACCCAAGAAAAAATGAGTAGGTAGCTATTTTATATGTGTATAACTAAAAGGCACATTTAAATATTACACTTAATCTCACATAGGAGATTTCTGCTTCCCAAAGCCAATTGATTTTTGCACTTTTAGAAGAACCGAAAAATGTAAAATTCCTAACAAATTTAAAACGTGTGCTTTCTAAATTAATGAATAAAACAAAGAGCAAATCTCATAACACCTATTCACCACTATGCCACTATTTATCCTTAAATATTTAAAATTTGCATTCTATCTTACTCTGAAATGTTCAAATAAAAAAATGCAATCTTTATTTTTCAAATTTATTAATTTTAAATTATGTGTGTTAGGCCATTATTGCACTGCTGTCAAGAAATACCTGAGCCTGGGTAATTTATAAGAAGAGAGGTTTAATTGGCCCATGCTTCCACAGGCTGTACAGGAAGCATAGCACTGACATTTACTTCTAGGGAGGTCTCAGGAAGGTTTTCCTCGTGGTCAAAGGCAAAGGGGAGTAGGCACAGCTCATGGCCAGAGCAGGAACAAGACAGAAATACTGCAGGGAGGAGATACCACACACTTTTAAATGACCATCTCTCATGAGAACACACTATCACAAAGACAGCACCAAGCCATGAGGGATCTGCTCGCATGATCCAAACACTTCCCACAAGGCCCCATCTGCAGCATTGGGAATTATAGCTTAACATGAGATTTGAGCAGGGGCAAAAATCCAAACTATATCATTTCTGCCCCTGTCCTCTCCCAAATCTCATGTCCTTCTCACATTGCATAATAAAATCATGCCTTCCCAACAGTCCCCCAAAGTCTTAACTCATTCCAGCATTAACTAGTTATTAGTCCAAAATCTAATCTGAAAGAAGGCAAATCCCTTCTACTTATGAACCTATAAAATTTTTTAAAAAATGTTGTTTACTTCCAAGGTACAATGGAAGTGTAGGCATTGGATAATCATTTCCATTCCAAAAGAAATCAACCAAATTAAAAGGACTACAGGCCCCGTGCAAGTTCAGAACACAGCAAGGCAGTCATTAAATCTTAAATCTCCAAAATAATCCCTTTGACACCATGTCCCACCTCCAGGGCACATTGGTGCAAGGGGTGGGCTTCTAGTGCCTTGGACAGCTCCACCTTTGCAGCTTTGCAGGTTCCAGCTCCTGGGGCTGTTCTCATAGGCTCAATTTGACCTGTTGCTTTTCCAGGTGCAGGGTGCAAGCTGCTGGTGGTTCTATCATTCTCAAATCTGGAGGATGGTGGGCCCCTTCCCACAGTTCCACTAGGCAGTGCCCCAGTGGGAACTCTCTGTTGGGTATCCAATGCTATATTTCCCCTCTACAATAGGAGGGCTTCTGTGAAGGCTAGCAGGGCTTCTGTGAGGGCTTCACCACTGAAGAAGGCTATGTCTGTCGATTGCTGAAAGTGGGTTTAAAAATCTCCTGCTATTATTGTATTGCAGTCTAATTTCACCTTCAGATCTATTAATGTTTGCTTTATATATTTAGGTGATCTAATATTGGGTGCATTTTTATTTACATTTGTGATATCCCCTTGCTAAACTGACCCCTTTATCAGTATATGATACCTCATCTGTCTTCTTTTAACAGTTTTAAATTTATAGTTTATTTTATCTGAATATAGCTATTCTGCTCTTTTTAAATATCCAGTTTTGTGGAATATCTTTTTCTATCCCATCATTTCATTCTATATGTTTCCTTGAAGGTGAAGTATGCTTTTTTGTTTTTTGTTTTGTTTTGTTTTTTGGTGGTGTTGTTGGCAGCATATAAGTGGGTCTTGTGTTGTTGTTTTTTTTTAACCCATTGCACGATACTATGGCTTTTAATAAGCAAATTTAATCCATTTATGTTTAAAGTAATTATTCATAGGTAAAAATTTATTACTGCCATTTTGTTATTTATGCTGTAGTTTTGCAGATACTTTCCTTACCTCTATCTTTTTTTTGCTTAATTTTTCTTTAGCAGTATGTTTTGATTTCTTGTTTTTATTTTGTGTGTGTAAGATTTTGCTTTGTAGTTACCATGAAACTTAGACAAAACATTGTACAGTTTTAACTCTATAACTATATAAGTTAATAACAATTTAATATTGATTGCAAATAAAACCTTCTACACTTTACTCACTTCCCTCCATTTTGAATTTTTGTTGTCACAATTTACACCTCCTCACATTGCATATTCCTTAAAATTATTGTAATTATTATTACTTTTAACATTTTTATTTTAATCCTCATACTAAAGATACAAACAATTCATATACCACCAACAGAGAATTAAAGGATTCTGACTCTGACTGTGCGCTTACTTTTTCTAGTGGATTTTGTACTTTCAATGTTTTTGTGTTACCCATTAACATTTTTTGTATGTTTTAGCTTGAAGAACTCTCTTAGCATTTCTTGTAAGGTAGGTCTTGTGATAATGAACTCCCTCAGCTTTTATTTATCTGAGAAAGTCTTATCTCTTCTTCATTTCTGAAGGGAGCTTTGCTGGGTGCTATTTTCTTAATTGTCAGTTTTGTTTTGTTTTGTTTTGTTCATTCAGCACCTTGAATATATCATCCTACTGTCTTCTGGCCTGTAAGATTTCTGCTGAGAAATTTGCTGTTAGGTGTGTTGGAACTCCCTTACATATTATTTGTTTCTTTCTCTTGCTACTATCAGAATGCTTTCTTTGTCTTTGATTTTGAAAGTTTGACTACGTTATGTCATGGGGTAGTCTTAATTGAATTGAATCTGAGTGGAGACTCTTGACCTTCCTGTTCTTGGATATTTATATCCTTCTACAGGGTTGGAAAGTTTTTTTTTTTTTTACCATTATTTCTATAAATACACTACTCCCTTTATCTTTCTTTACTCCCTCTTGACACCAATAACTCAAACATTTGCCTTTGTAATTGTGTCCTGTAAGTCCAGTAAGCTTTCTTCACTACTTTTCATTATTTTTTTCTCCTTTCTCCTCTAGCAATATGTTTTCCAATAACCTGTCTTGAGGTCACAGATTCTTTCTGTCTGCTGTTGACGCTCTCTATTTTATTTTTCATTTTGCTCATTGTGTTTTCAGCTCTAGAATTTCTGCTTGTTTTTTTATTATTATTTCAATCTCTTAAATTTCTCTAAATTTCTGATGCATTACTCTATGTTTTATTTAAGTTTGCTGAGTTTTCTTTAAAGAGCTATTTTAATTTCTTTAGAATGCAGTTAATTCATCCCTTTTACTTTATGGTCAGTCACCGGCAGCTTATTTTGTCTGTTTGGTGATATAATAATATTTCCCTGGTTGTTCTTGATCCTTTTAGTTGTGCATCAATATCTATTCATTTAAAGATTATATATTTATTGAAGATTTTGCAGTCTGGCTTTGACTGAGAATGTCCTCAACAGTAAACCTGTCCAGACATTCTGAGCAGGTTGTGATCCCTAAACCCATGACCACTGCAGCTGTTGTAGCACTAGAGGGCACACTAAGTCCAGGATTGCTGCAGCTGGCACCATCCTGACTGAAGCCTTTTGGCTTTAATGGTTGGCACAGTGGCTGGCTAAAATTAACCTGGGGAAGACTCAATGAGAGCTCCTGGGCTGTATTGGGAATCCATCCAGAGATTTAAGCCTGGAAGACCCACTGACCATGTTTTCTGCAGTGTAATGCAGAAAACTGCTGGTGGGTAGTTTTCTTCATTGGCTAACATGCAGAGCAACCACCAAGATCTACATGCTTGTTGCTGTGAGCCCCATCCCTGTTCTTGGTTTCTAACTGACCCCAGATGGTTTAGCTTATTGATATAACCAAGGTTTCCTATGAAATGAATCAGGTGTGAGCCTCCTGTGAAGGATCACAGAAGCTGAATGTTCACTTCCAACTCACTTTTCCCACTATAAAAACTCAAAGTCTGGGGAAATTCTCTCTGTGTGGTGCTATGCTGTCCTGGAGAAGCGGTGACACAGTCAAAGACAGCCATCCCTCTTACCATTTGATCAAGGCTTTTCTTGGTTTTGTGGTCCGAGAGGATATCTCAGCTTCACTTCCAAGTTCTGGTATACTCACAGTAGTATTCTTGTCTGTGGATAGCTACTAGTTGAATTTCTGCGGAGAGGAGTAAAACCAAAGAACTCCTAGTTTGTCATCTTATAGTGTCACCACTTTAATTTTTTAAATTATCATATTGTGACCCAGAAGTTTGGGTAAATGAAAAATAAATGTAAAAGCTCTGCTTGATGTGAAGGCAAAAGTTCAAGAGAATTCTGTTGGATTTTAATCACAGGATTTTAACTGGTAAGCCATTTGTCTGTGATTGTACTGCAACATGCGTTCTATGTTATAGTAAGATACTATTTAAAATTAGTTGACTTTAAATGATGGGAATATTTTCTGGATATAAAAACTGAACAATGAAAGGAATATTGTATGGTACCTATATTGATTTATCCTTTGGGTGGGTCTTCATTACTTATTTCTGCTATTTTATTCTATCCTAATTCATTTTACAAGCATATTTATGTGTAATTTGGAAGTTCTGTCTTTCTGCTATCCATCTGCTAGCCAGTTGTCTAACATAAAATTAGCATGTTCCAAAATGTTAATGACAATAAAGTGATCTAATATGACTTTGCTTCCATAGCTACTAAAAGAACATTTATCCACCCATCTCTATGTGCACATTATAAAATTTAAAAGCTATCTATGAGATCTCTACAAATCTAGTGTTTTGCCACAAGATTTATAATAGTAATGAGTGTAGGATTTTTACATTATCACTGAAAATAGTGTCCAATTTTTATTAAAATTTCCAGTTACTTTAAAGCTTTTGGGTAGTGAGACGTTTCCAGTAAATATTTCCATAAAGCTTTTGGTAACACAGAAGATTATAATGGTATTAAAATCAATATTCCACCTCTGTTAACTAAAGAAAACTCAAAATTTAAAAAAAGGCAAGAAATACTCTAAATTTAACTGAAATATAACTACATAACATTCTAAAATTTATTTTCCGCCATCCACTGGCCTCTTCTCTGGAGCTATAAATATTCAAGTTTTCCCAGTATTAAGCTAAGTATACTAAAGAGAGGAAAAGAAAGAGGAGGGGGGAGGGAGAGAGAAAGAAAAATAGAGAGAAAGAGGAAAAAATAAAGTTACCAACATGTAATTTTACTTGTAAAAATTTCTGTAATTAGAATTTTACTTGTAAAATTTCTGCATTTTCCTTTTTCTTTTTATTAACATTTTAAAGAGTATTTAGACAGAAAATGAGTAACACAAGTCCAGTTGAGACATTCATCAGCAAACGAAAGGGAAATGCATTTAGTAAAGTTATTCTTCAGTTCTAGAAGACAGTCTACTTAGATCCATATAAAAGAACAACTCTCTTCATTGGTTTCATACTTCGTAGATTAATATTTACTAGCTTTTTAATCATATAGTAATAGGAAATTTTTGCTATTTATCGACCATAAAATATTGTTCTGAAGTTTTTGTTTATACTTTAGAAAGAACCAATTAAGTACATTTTCAATAATATGCAAAATATATAAAAAATACTAAATATTTTTATTACTTTGTGTAGTAGTGAAACAATTTTGAGTTTGAGTAAAAATCTTTGTACTTTTACAAGAAGAAAAGTTATACTCTTAGAGCTTTGCAAGTATTCTTTTATATGTGCAAATGAGATTTATATTCAAAAGAGTTTACATTATATTCATAATATGTGGAAATGTTATTGAACAAATTATTTTTTGTATTAAAAATAATTGTATCTTGTCTTTGATTTATAACAGAGGGGAAAAAATGTTAGGATACATTTTACTTGGCAGAAGACCTGCATTTAATTCTCAATTCACACTGTTTGCATCTCTAGCATATTTCTAAGGGCCCATAATTCTATGGTAAATTATTTCCACAAATTGCTTAAATCTTAAAATATAAAGTTATGCTTAATGAAATTATAGTTTAATATTTTATCTCTTTTAAAGAGTTTATTATTCAAGTTCAAAGGGTTTATTACTATGACATCTCGTAATCCTGCAAATCATTAAAAAATGTTTTCTTGGCTTAAATTACAATTTTACGATTTTGATCAATGTAAAGAGCCTAGACACATATTAAATTTAAATTAATAGTCTTTAGAAACCTGTAAAATTTCTATATTAAAAAATAGATGTTTTATTAACTAACCAAAGTTTAAACTAACATTTTAAATTTTTTATAGAAAAATAACTCCATTAACAGAATATGTGTTCATGTATATACACATGTAATCACCTGAAAATTTGTCAGTTAAACATATTCTGTGGAGAAACAGTTAGTAAAATAGATAGTTCTTTGTTTCTGTCTTTAGTTTTATCTTGTATACAAACAAAATTCTAGCAAATATTCCAAAGTAGATAATTATTTTAAATGATCTGAGAAATAAAATACAAATCAGAGATAACAAAGAAGGGTTTTCTTAAGGGAATTTTTACATGCATAGAATTTTATTTTACATAATGATACATCTATTAAAACAATTCCAAAATGACAATCTAGACTTAATTTTATCATTTGCATAATTCAATGCCAAACTTAAAACGTTTTTTATTCATGTGTCCATTAACATTAATTAATTTTAAATATTTATAAATAATTTTAAAATAAAATAGAAGACAAATTTGAGACCACAGGAAAAATGTAAAAGACCTGAAAGATAAGCTTGTATCTCTGGTTTGATGATGTCTATGAACTGTGAATTTGAAAAAAGAAAGTGTATTTTGTTTAAGTTTTACAAAGTAGTGTCAATGTTAAGGGTTTTATTCATGAAGAAGAAGACTTATGAATAATTTACCAAACATTGTTGTATGGGAGATACGTAAAAAACAAAATTAGAATTAGTGTTCTCTTTCTATAAAGTGACCACATTTTTCTGTATCTAGATACAATTTGCATTATCAAAATATTTACCTAATTAGTTGAAATTTTTGAAATAATCCTGAATCATTTTGACAAAATGTCTTTATTTTTGAAAAAGAATTAAGTTCTTAATATTCAGTGATATTTTTTGCTGTGTATTTTCGAAACATTTTTATAACCACTTCTTTATTTATATACCATTATTTCCTTACTATTTGTCTCTTCTGATGACCCCTCTCAGTATTTTTTTGTCTTTCCCCAATTCAGATTCTAAATTTCAAAGCAAACTAAACTATGAAAAAGCCTTATAAACTTTAACTTGTGCAGAGAGGGGTTTCTTGGAACAATCACCAGGTAACATAAAGTTTTGCTCTTTCTCCATATAAAGTGAATTTAATAGAAATAATTAGGATTCTTTGGCGTTATTTAAATTTTGATTAACTTAATACTCCTACTAAAGCTCTTTAGTTGATTGAATTTAGGCTAAAAATCCTGACCAAAAAAATAAATTTCAATTTTCATAACTATGTATAAATTACAAATACCAATATATTTAAATAACTGTGTAGTTCTCAAGGACACATTTGTTTTTATAGTCAAAGACTGTTTAAAGAAGCTTTCTACCAAAAGATGTATTCCTAAATTACTATGTTCTAATTTCGTTGTTAGTCAGGGATAATCATAATATAAGATATAAGCCAAGAAACCCTGAAGATTTTCAGTACTCTCACTTTATATAGCATTATTTACCCCTGGAGTATAATTAAACGCATCATTATATATTAATTTTGTGCTACATCTCAAAAAGTGATTCCACTCTTATAATTCTGATTCTGGTACAGGAAATTTTATCTTCTGGGTGAGACATCAAAGAATATGTGTAGTTGAGCCTCAAGGAAAATGATTACTAGAGGTTGTCAACAGCTACAGCAACAATAAAACTCTACAACTTTGAGACTTAGCTTTCTATCTCACAATTTAAGAGATCTAAGCCTTCTTCAAATCATGAAAATCTATCTTAGCTTAAAACCTTAGGCCAGGGCCCTTTAGAAGCTTCTAGTCAATTTTTGAGAGGATATAACCTTTTATCAAGAACTTTGATGAAGACGATAAGTACAGAAAGGAGACAGTTTCTACACACAATCCAGAAAACAAACTCCAAATGATTAGAGGCACAGCTTGCCATGTTTTAATCTGCTTACATTTCTTCTCTCATAGTTATATTCTTTCCTCTTCATGTATTCATTGCCTAGATTATTAACAGATTCCTTAACCTCTTATTTATGATATCCATAAATATTTTATTCTTCGTTTTGCTTTTGGAACCTTTGGTCACCCCTTTTTGTGTATTCAATACCTGTCTTTAGATTAAAATAAACCTCCTGTATAATTACTGTGTTTATACTTGCATTCATTTGGATGGCAGCTAATTTCTTCTGACACTAGTTTCATGTAATAAGGAAGATAATTTCCTCCATTAATGGACTCAAGCACCAAATGATGTTTTAGATGACCATAAAATACTGGATCAGATGGTCAGAAATATATATTAAAAAAACTATTAAATCATGCCTAGATATGGAGGTATCTGTCTTAACAATAACAATACTCAGCAACCATTCCTTGGAGTTAATCTTTGTGGCCAAACTTGCACAGAAATAGAGTTTCTGTACTATTATCTCCTGTTTAAAACATGACTACAAACCCTGAATTAGATCCTTCTCTTGGTAATTTTTTGTGCTATGATGTTTGAATGTGTCATCTCCATAGTGTGGAAAACTGCTGCATAGACATTGTTCCATCAAGTGATCCAACAAATGACCTTCAAATAAAAACAACAAAAGAAATCTGGTACCGATAAACGTTGGAAAGACTACCAGCAGAGCCTTTTCGTATATCCACAATACAGCAGAAAAACAGTGAAGATTTAAATGGCTTATGTTCACAGACTGTGATGTAATCTCCATGGTGGGCAGACTAGTGACTAAAGAGGGAAAGGTCTGAGAACTTTAACCAATGTAGTTTTCCCCCAGTGGTTAAAAAAAAAAAAAAAAAAAAAAAAAAGTACAGTTACCTGAATACTTTTTTTGTGACTGTATTATTAAGACTAAGGGAAATAAAAGATATATTAGAGTGTGGTTCTATGAAATATTTATGCTCTGAAAATACAATGTGAATCAACAAAAACACAAGACGTCTGAATTATCAAGACTAGAAGCCTGTTGACCAAATTTTGATGGAAGACGTCATCTCACCATGCCCATGAGTCTACAGTTATTCTGTCATACACACTGCCCAATCTCAAGTAGTTCCCAACTTTGCAATGCTTGTCTTAAATTCAGTTATTCAGTCCAAGCTCTAAAACTTCATTCTTCTCGTCTTTCCCTTTTTGAGGTGCTGATAAGTATCAACCAACATCCAGCAGGGAGGAGTGGTTCACACTTGTAATCCCAGAACTTTGGGAGGCAGAAGCCCGAGGATGGCTTCAGCTCAGGAGTTCGAGATCAGCATGGGCAACATGGTGAAACCTCATCCCTACAAAAAATACAAAGATTAGCTGGGTATGGTGGCACATGCCTGTAGTCCCAGCTACTCTGGAGGCTGAGGTGGGAGGATCACTTGAGCCCAGGGGGCAGAGGCTGCAGTGATCCAAGATCGTGCCACTGCACTCCAGCCCAGGCAACACTGGGAGACCTCATCTCAGAAAAAAAAAGAATCAAGCAAAGATTTTTTTAAAAAATTCAGTAATTCTGTTTATCCAATAGTATTTTCTGATAGTGCTTTGCTAAACTGAAAATTGACAAAAGCTATAAACAAATCTGTAGTTTATCTCTGGGATAGCAGGACATGCCAGAAGTTGAATTGGGAATCAGTTTGTTCCACAATAGATACAATAACAATAAAATGCCTAGAAACAATGCCCACTAGAAAGGCAAAGGACCCACATAAATAACACAATAAAATCATATCAGAAGACATAAAGAAAATCTCAGCAAATGGAAAAGTAAGCCACATACTTGGGATGAAAATATTTCATAATTTTGAAAAACAGTATTCATTTCTCCCAAATTATTATAGAAGTTATATACTTTTAGAAGGGCACAATAATTTTTTTCTTTTTAATTCAGTAAATCTGGCTGGAAATTAGCATAAAAAAAACATGAAAAACCAAAACCATGAGATAC
Source organism: Homo sapiens (assembly GCF_000001405.40). Taxonomy (NCBI): domain Eukaryota; kingdom Metazoa; phylum Chordata; class Mammalia; order Primates; family Hominidae; genus Homo; species Homo sapiens. The sequence continues at coordinate 166,587,921 of NC_000004.12, read as the reverse complement.
ATTTGTCCTACTAGATCAGCATCTTCTCTAATGGCACTGTAATTAAATCTAGCTCTATTGTGCTGGATATGAGAAAAAGAATAATCTCACAAATCATTGGTGGATGCATATATTGTCACAGCCTATTTGGAAAGCAATGTAGTAATATCTATTAAAATTAAAAATACATATACATTTTGACTTCACAGTCTTACTCCTGGGAATTTTTATCACAGAAATAAAAGTATATGGCCACAAAAACGTACTTATTGCACAAATTCTTATAGTGGCAAAGACTAGCAAACCAAGGAAATGTGCAAATGAGAAATGCTTAAATAAATGAAGTCAAATCCACACCAAGAATACCATGTAGTCAATAAAAATAATATGCTAGTACAAAATTTCTCAAAGTTTTATTTATAAAATCCTGTATATATGTACATACATATTCATTTATATACATATATGTATATAAAGTATATATACTAAAAATCTAAATATACATATCCCATATAATTTTGTAAAACAATGGTTGGCCATTGTGGCTCACGCCTGTAATCCCAGTACCTTGGGAGGCCGAGGCAGGTGGATCACCTGAGGTCAGGAGTTCGAGACCAGCCTGGCCAACATGGTAAAACCACGTCTCTACTAAAAATACAAAATTAGCTGGGCGTGGTTGTGGGTGCCTGTAATCCCAGCTACTCAGGAGGCTGAGGCAGGAGAATTGCTTGAACCCAGGAGGCGGAGGTTTTGCAGTGAGCCAAGATTGTGCCATTGCACTCCAGCCTGAGCAATAGAGCAAGATTCTGTCTCAAAAAAAACCAAAAAATATATATATTTATATATATGAAGTAGTAAGATACATATAAGTCTCTAAAATAATTGCCAAAATAAGCTTTTATATGTGTTTAATACATGCATATACACAAATATGTATCTATATAGTTATAGGAGGATTGATAAAAATATATAGGGTTTTTGTATGGGTTTCTGGTTATGGTAACAGAAACTGTTGCGTATGGAGATGAAGAATAAAGAGAAAAGAGAAGTAAGGCATAAAAAACAGCAGAAAATTAAAAATTTGCATATTTATGAAAATTTATATATGTGAATGTATGTGTGCCCAATATTTATACAAATAGATTAAAATATTTCCCAAATTGAGAAAAAGTCAAAGAAAACATATATTAAGAAAGCATTTTGGATCTACGTCTGCCCCCATCCCACCCCTGAACTAACAGGTAAAGAAGGCTATTTGGGAGCTTGCTCTCTCTAGGTAAGTTTTTTTGTTTGCTTGTTTGTTTTGTGAGCTTGGCTTCAGGGCTGTATTTTGGATGGAGCAGGAAATTGACATCTGGCTTCTGGATATGATTTGCTGGAAGCTTGGGGAAAAGGGACAGGTATGCTAACTATGAGGTCAGATCTGAGTGAATAAAAATAAAAGCAAATCCTACCAAAATAATACTGGGTTTTGAAATCTTAAGATAGACACTGGCATAGACAGTTGATGTGCACTGGTGTCCAATAAGCTCCTTTTTATTTCCCAGTACCCATTACAAACATTTTGGAAACATGCAATGAGTTCAGTCAACGAATAATATGCAGATAACAATATGTGTCTCCTATGAGCTGAGATGGTTTGTCTGCTTTACATGTCTCTTTCATAGTGACTTTGGAGGCTGTATGTTTCAGATGGCACAGATCCATGACAGAAAATGGCCATGCAAACCAAGTTGGACGTTGCCTAGCCTTACTAAGGTAGAAATTTTGCTACCTTGAAATGGGTTGCTGCTTTAAGAAATTCAAATGTGTGGCAGAGTTTTAGGGGAAGTAGGTAGTTAAAAAAAAAAAAAACAAGTTGGAGAATAGAAAATGAAACAGTAAATACTTTAAGAAAATTATCAGCCAAAATATGTATAAAAGTTGATATGAGGAATAACTTGAAAAATATAAGATTAGTAATGCAATTTAACACCTCTTGTCTATGTTTGGTATGTGATTACAAGAAAGAAGATAATTCAGGAAGAAATTAAGATTGTGTTTTGTTTTGGTGTTGACTTTTTAAAATGTTAAATGCAAAGGTTAACAGAAAAATTAAAAATGGTCAATAAAAATGGCTCAATTGCATTCAAAGAAAAATGAGATTTAAGGTGTGGCAGATACCGAACTCTCAGTTGGATCAAGTGACTCAGAGCAAAAGTCTGATGAAGTGGTTGACCTTCCCCAAGCAAATCTAATGGCTTCAAGGAAGCCAGCATTAGAGTAAGGCAGATGCCCACGGGGCAAGGAAGCAAAGGAATCACACTTGAGCCTGTCACCAGGAAGGAACTTGACTGCATTTAATGGAAGATGGAAGAGACTGGAAACCATAGACAAAAGCTTACAATAGTCTTGAATAATTCGATTGCCAAAGAAATCACAAATCCAAATTTTACAAAATTTTTAACTTTATCAGCCTTAAAACATTATTTAGGCATTTATACTTTTCACAAGGAAAAGGCTGTGAAAGCTGAACAGCACTCAAGGATGTAGTCTTTCAAACCCTCTTTATACACACACAAAAAAGTAGATAAAGACAAAGGGGCTTCTCTGGAGAAAGGATTCAAATCCTCCTTAAAGAATTCCCCTACACCCTAAAGATAGCAGGCTTTACTAATGCCTGACCAATGGGACTTTAGAATTGCTAAGGATCAGTGATCGCTACATCTTCTCATCTTTTCTCTTTCTTAATAAAGTGATTATTGCAGTTTTCCACTTCATATTTCACCACTTTATTTTGAGCATGTGGTGTGTGAAGGTGGAAGTAATTTTCATTTATGTATCTCTTTTGACTGAAGAAAGAAAATTCCACAGGTGACGAAGAGGTTACTGCATCATTTAGCAATCTTAGATGTTTACGTGGATACATTAATAAGAGGGGACTTTGTGTGGATTCTCTCAGAGAAGTCAGGAACTGTTCTTTTGATGGAAAGAACAAAACAAAGGGATACTTGGTAAACAGAAAGATTGCCTGAATTATTTCTTAGTGGTTATCTATGAGTCCTTTCGTATTTTGCAGCATACCTTAGAGTTAGGAATGGTGCTAGTTTTGATCAATGGATTGAAGGTAAATGATAGTCAGTTCGGGGTCAGAACAAACAGTCGTCAGCATGTTGCCTCCATCTCTCCCTTCCTCCTCTTCAGTAGCCATGGAGCCATGTAATCCACATGAGGTTGGTTCAAGGTGGATGAAGGATGTCTATCTTGCATCACAGTTTGGGTGATTGAGAAATGAATTTTCTTTGTGTAAAGTCATGGAGATATTGGAGTGTTCTTATTATAGCAGGCAGTTTAAAATATACTGACTGGTACACTGAACACACTGACCTAGTCCATGGCTTCAGAAAAGCTTTCTGGGAAATTAATATTTGAATGAGCTCTGAAAGATATGTAGGCATTTACAATGCAGGATATTTCTATGGAGAGGGAAAATGTATGACATATAAAGACTTTATGATCCTTGGTACTGTGCAATAGACACTCTGAATATTACAAATGCAAGCAAAATAAATTTAATAAAGAGTGTGCAGGCTCAGAAGTAGCACTCAGGATAGAGATTTGCACAGATACAGTACAGCCCATAACCTCAAGTAATCATCCTCACCACTGTCATTGGTGGCCCAGGAAAACTCCACAATTCGTTCCCCATATGCTTGAAACACAAGGTGACTATGTCTGAATGCTGTGAGGGTTTATAGATTTTCCCATTGCCAATGTCAAAATTAGACATAGGTTTATAGCTCAGTGAAGATTTGATCAGTGGGAGCTGTTAGGTAAGTAAAAAGACACATTTATTAACTGTCAAATTCTTCTTCTCAGATAGTAAGAACTTAATCAATTCTTACATAAAGAATTCTTCTTTCCTAGTAGTGCTGACAGCCTATTTTCTTGTTTCTTTTCACATTCCATTGTGTGGAACTAAAGTACTCATGAATTAACACTGCATTCACAGTGATGGCAAATAGTGGTTGAAGAGCACTTTACAGTATTAAAAATTCATATCATTCTTAAATTTATAATGTTAGATGAAATATTAGTGAAGTGTTGCATCGGTTATTTATTTTGGCAACAAAATTGAAGTTAAATATAGCATTCATTTTTATAAAGATATATAATGTTTTGCTACATTTTCAGTGTTTAGATTCAGTTTAACTTAAGTAACTTTGATTTGTATTTTTTATTTTTCATTATTTATAATTTGCCTTTTACATTTAATAATAGTTTTGAAGAAATTTAATTATCCTTGAATAAGCCTAGGTGTTTTGTTGAAAGAACAGGGATGGAAATTTTGTTAAAACGTCATATATATTTTGTTAACCTTCATTACCTTCATTTTAACAAAATCACTACTTTTAATTATTAGGTGCATAAATATCAATCTCCCTTCAACAAAACCCTGAAACTTGTACAATAATAAATTTAGTTGTCTTGGACAATTTTGTCATAATTTCAGTCAGATAAAAATCTGAACTTTATATACATTTCTAAGTTTCATTTTTATTAAGACATTTTATTTTATAGTTTATTAGATTTATTAGCTTTTATAATTATATAATTAACATTTTAAATACAAGGTAGTTTTCTCCATGAGCCTACTCCTGCTCTAAGCTCACAGATATTAGGAGGAGCATGCAACACAGTAAAAGTAGTAAATATGTGAAAAAGTATGGAAATTCCAAGAACCAAATTAAGTTGAATGTAGCTGAAGCTGAACAGATCATCACGCTCACTGAGGCTGCAGAGGTGGGCAGGGACACTGTAGGTCCTCAAAGGTCATAGACAGAAGTCTGGTGTTTACCAGAAGTATGAAGAAACTATTTAGGAATGTGATCACATCATTGACTCATTCATTCACTTTGATAATTATTAAGAAATTATTTTTATAGGGTCATACAAATTTCTAGCTCATGGAGATAAGAATTAAGTATAAATACAAATATATGCTAATGGGAACACTTTTTTTTCTGAAAAGGTAAGGGATAAAAGACTACAAATTTCATACAGTATCTACTGCCCGGGTGATGAGAACACCAAAATCTCAGAAATCACCACTATAACTTATTCAGCCGGGCGCGGTGGCTCATGCCTGTAATCTCAGCACTTTGGGAGGTCGAGGTGGAGGATGACCTGAGGTCAGGAGTTCGAGGCCAGCCTGGCCAACATGGTGAAACCCCATCTCTACTAAAAATACAAAAACGTTAGCCAGGTGTGGTGGTGGGTGCCTGTAATCCCAGCTACTCAGGAGGCTGAGGCAAGAGAATTGCTTGACTCCGGGAGGTGGAGGTTGCAGTGAGCCAAGACCATGTCATTGCACTCCAGTCTGGGTAACAAGAACAAAACTCCATCTTAAAAAAAAAAAAAAAAAAAACAAAGAAAGAAAAAAAGAACTCATTCATGTAACCAAACACCACCTGTTCCCCCAAAAACCTATGGAAAAAAAAGATACCATAAATAATGAGCTTGGGAAAACTACTAATGTCGCAATCTAACAAAATAAAACCTTAAAAGCAGTTGCCTTATCTAACTTCCTGACTCCCTCCATTTTGTGTTAATAGCTGGAAGTTACTGGAAACCTTACTGAACTTCTTTCTCCCTTTGGATCTTATTTCTGAGTGACAGAGAGACTCTTCAAAACTTACCCTCTTTATAGATGAAGAAGTAGTCCTTTCCATTCAGACTTCCTTTTAAGAACTTAGGTGATGCTTTATAATCTTTTTCTATCTTATTACAAAATAGTTGACATTACCCACAATAGGTATTAAGTTACTTACATTTATATAGACCACAGAGTACCTTTAAAGGACAGAAAACCTAAGTTTAAAACAAAAGAATAGATCTTGAAAATGTAGTTGTGAGGCCTGTTGGGTACAGAAAGCAATACCCCAAAATATGACACCTTGGCATGTGAGTGCTTGGAATTAAAGAAAATTGAAGGATCTTTAGAAACAAGCCTCAGAACCAAGGTCTTTCTCTGACCTTTCCCCTCCTCCCTGTCTCTCTGATCTTTTTTCTTCATGAAGAAAAAAAGGGCTCTCTCTAGAATTTCCTTTTCTGACTAAGAAAGCTGCTTTCCAAAAGAAATGCAATTGTTTAAAAAAAAAAAAAACAAAACCCTTCCTAAGAATCACATCAAATAACCAGAAAAGATTAACCACCAGAGAAGAAAAGAGACTGAGAATCATCACCACACCTAGACAGACCTCTCTTCTATGCTTCTGAGGGCAGCTCAAAGAGATTACCTGGGAAGCTTTATCTGGATAAAAAGACTACCTTTGTTCACAGTGACGCTCTGCCACTTGCTTTCTCACCATCTCCCTCAGAGCTCAAAGGAACTTTGTTATTTACCCCTTGCTCTATAAAGAAGGGTATGTAAGCATCTGGACCTCATTGGGTTATCAGGTAATCATTTTCCTGTGATTACCCTTGCTTATGTACATTAAATAAATTTTGTATGCCTTTTTCTCCTATTAAAAATAAATAAACAAATAGATAACATATGTACCTATTACCATATATTAATTGTTTATACTTAATTTATTATTAAATAATATATTTAATTTAAAAATATAAACAAATACAAATAATGTTTATATTTAATTAACATAAGTTATATACATAATATATAATATATTATTATAAGTTATTTATATTTATTATTCATCAAATAATATTTAATTAAAAATATAAACAATTAAATACAAATAAGCTGTTTATATTTAATAAATATAAGTTATATTATATATAAACAATATATAATATAATAATTATTATGTTATTTATATTTAATTTAGATTTAAAAGTGCAAACTTTTCCTGAAGTAAAAGGGGGGTAATAAAGAATAGAGTGATGAAAAGAATGGTTGGGGTTAATTAAATCTTTACCAGTTTCTATTGAAAAGATAATATTGGTTACATTATAAAGATTGATGAAGGCCCAGAGTACACATGGAGAATCTGTTTGGATGGCACTTTAATGATTCAAAACAAATTGTTAGCTTTGACTAACATGGGTCAGCAGAAATAGAAAGGAATGAAGATAATTTAAAAATAAACACAGAGAGAAGGGAGAGACTGTGTCAAAGATGAATGTTGGGTTTCCGGCATACAAAGCGGAATCAATGCTCTTATCATTAAGCAAGATCAGAAGTGCTGAAAGTGAAATAATTATAAAGCAGAGACTATGAATTTAGTTTTTTGCGTGTGTATTTTGAAGTACTTTGGTAGCCTCCAAGGGTATCTGTATACATATATACAAGTGTATACTGTATACATATACAATATACAGACACACTTGGAGGCTACAAAAGTACTTCAAAATACACATATATATACATATATACAAGTGTATACTGTATACATATACAATATACAGACACACTTGGAGGCTACAAAAGTACTTCAAAATACACATATATATACATATATACAAGTGTATACTGTATACATATACAATATACAGACACACTTGGAGGCTACAAAAGTACTTCAAAATACACATATATATACATATATACAAGTGTATGCTGTATACATATACAATATACAGACACACTTGGAGGCTACAAAAGTACTTCAAAATACACATATATATACATATATACAAGTGTATGCTGTATACATATACAATATACAGACACACTTGGAGGCTACAAAAGTACTTCAAAATACACATATATATACATATATACAAGTGTATACTGTATACATATACAATATACAGACACACTTGGAGGCTACAAAAGTACTTCAAAATACACATATATATACATATATACAAGTGTATACTGTATACATATACAATATACAGACACACTTGGAGGCTACAAAAGTACTTCAAAATACACATATATATACATATATACAAGTGTATACTGTATACATATACAATATACAGACACACTTGGAGGCTACAAAAGTACTTCAAAATACACATGCAAAAAACTAAATTCATAGTCTCTGCTTTATAATTATTTCACTTTCAGCCCTTCTGATCTTGCTTAATGATAAGAGCATTGATTCCGCTTTGTATGCCAGAAACCCAACATTCATCTTTGACACAGTCTCTCCCTTCTCTCTGTGTTTATTTTTAAATTATCTTCATTCCTTTCTATTTCTGCTGACCCATGTTAGTCAAAGCTAACAATTTTTTGAATCATTAAAGTGCCATCCAAACAGATTATACAGTATGTAAATATATACTATATAACTATTTTGTGTATATATATATATATATATATATATATATATAAAACCTGAAATAAATATGGACTCAAGTTTGAGCTCTGAACATGTTTAAGTATTCAGAAAAAAGATTTAGTTTACAGGTGCTGACTCAACAGAAGAGATTAAAAATCAGTCTTTTTCCGGGGAGACAGCCACAGGGATTATTCTCAGAAGCAAATTAACAACTCTTCAAATATAAAATCAAAGGATGTGAGAATGATGACAGTTGTAGGTAGGTTTTTATATTGGTAGTCAATGCTAATCAATTTTTCTGAAAGGAATGTAGTGTCTCAGCTTCTCTGGGAAGTATGATATAAATGCATTTACTAAAAATGGTGGATGAAATATTAAAGTTTTGAGTATTATTGGAGAAATGTAAAAGTAGTCATTGCAGAGGATAGGAGAGTGAGTTAACCTCGTTATACTGTGGGCTAGTTGATTTTTATTGGGACCAATCTGCCTTGCTGTGTGACTTCCTAACACTCTTCTGCTCTGGTTTATCTAGAAAACACATAAATATGCTTCTGCACGTTTGAACCGACAGTCTCAATGAATAGATAAAGGAGAAAGAAATTATAATATAAAGAGTTGTATAAAGTGATATACCAGGTGATCCAATGAAGGAATTGAGAAAATGAGATCTCAGATATATTAGAAACCAACTGAGTTGTCTATGGATGCCAGTACTGGTTGTATTAGCAATAGTCAAACAAGGTACTCAGGTTGGGCATCTTCTGGTGAGAGAAGGAGCACAGCAGTTCTGACTGGTAGAACAGTTCAGAGTATGTGCCTAGGGGCTGTTTGGCTACAGCACATTATAGGAAAGAGCCTCTCCAACATGGCAGCCTGCTTCATCAACACATGTAAGTCGAGAAAGCAGTAAAAAGATTCTGCTACCAACAATTCATTTTCATAACCTAATCACAGAAGGGATAAACTTTTGTAAACTGATCACAGAAGTGACATCCCACTGTTTTTCCAAATTCTATTGGTTAGAAACAAATCACTAAATTTAGCCCACCCTCCGGAGGAGAGGATTATACACAGGCATGAATACTGGGAAGTAGGAATTATTGGCATCTTAGAAGTCTACCTACCACATCTATCTATCTATCTATCTATCTATCTATCTATCTATCTATCTATCTATCTATCTATCATCTATCATCTATCTATCTATTAGTCAATCATTGTGTGTATGCTATCATTATGTGTATGCTACCACTAAATTATACACTTTTGATACAATGTTAAGTATATATGCTGAATACAGTTAAAATTCAAATATAACTTTTGGTTTTATAAAAACCATATCAAACATATAAATTTTCCTATTTTCCAAGAAACATTGATGGTCTATCATACTTCTTTTGAAATAGACAATATGGCAGACTTTAGGTATAAATTTGTTTAAAAAAATCAGAAGCGTAACTTAAAAATACAGAAATAGCTGATGATTAAATGGTACAAAAGGTAATTCTAACATTCCCTTATCCTCATATTTCCACATTATTTTGGCGTTATGTGGTCCACCATTGTTAAGGTATCACTGTATAGCAAAATACCTCAAGATTTAGTTATTTAAACAATAACCACTTATTTAGCTCCTCATTCGTCTAATCTCAGCTAAATGATTCTTCTGGTTCCTCATGTGTCTATGATGACTTACGGGTCAGTTAGGTGACTCTGTTATGGTGGTTGGCTGGAAGCTGCCTGAAGCACCTAAGCTGTCCCCAAAATGGTCTCTCATCCCCCAGCAACTTAGCATGGGTTGTTGGCATGGCATGACATGGGTTCCAGACAGGGAGCATGAATTTGCCTGGCCCCCTGAAGGATAGGCTGAGAATTGGCACGCCACTGCTTCTGCCACATTCTGTTAACCAAAGCAAGTCACCAGGCCCAGGCCAGTCAGATCCAACAAGTAAGGAAATAGACACCAGTTCTTGATGGAAACTGCTGTAAACTCATATTACCCAATGGTGCAGATGCAGTGAATGGTATGAAATTGTAGCCATTTATTTCTGGTCTTATTTTCTTGGAAAGATGACTCTGGGTTGAAACTATTCTCAAATTATGTTCAGCGAAGTTTACATTTTTTCTGATTTAGATAAATGACCATGTAGTCAAATGTATTTTAGAGGTGAAGTGGCAAGTAAAAGTCACTATGCATTCCAGTGCATTGTTATGTAAGGAAAAAGGGATTGGAAATAATCCTAGCCAACATCTCATGTTTTCATGTAAAACATGAACCTATTTCTCATGTCAAAACATGCACACACACACAACACACACACATATTTGGCCCTCTCTGTATAATAATTTAATAATGAGGATCTAAATAATCAATTATACAAGCCAGATTTTTAAACAATATTAGGTCTCACAGTTGTAGCTATAAATTATAACTTTGTATCCATCAATCCCCTCATCTCAAATCATTAGCAGCTGGCAATGGTGCTCAGTCATTAGCTCATTAATCTCCTCTGTCTCAGTTCCTTTCATGACACATGTCTGTAGGGTGTTGTTCAGTTACCATATGTGGTTGTGCTGGATGTTCCCACCAAATTGGGCCCAAATGTCTCACGGAAGAGGTGAGGGGATCTGAAATGCATCCTATTTTCCAAGGCTGTGTGCTTCGCAGCAGAGCACTTCAGCCCAGAGGAAGGGATGTCCAGAAAAATTGGTGAATGGACTTGAGGGCATTCTGAAAGATTGCCCATCAAAACCCAAAACATATCATTGTAATTTGATTAGTGATGCCTGTCCAATGCTTTGATAAATACTTTGTTATGGAAAACGAAAACATATGACAAAGGTAGAGATTGCGCCTGAGGCTGTTACTGAGTTGCCGTTTCTTGTTATGTACCAACGACTTCAACACCATTGATAGCTCTGAGGTGGTGCACTGCCTGCACAGCACAGGATTCCCTGTGCTTTCATTTTCTATTCTTTACAAAAAAATAAAAAGGAAATGTGTATACATACAAATGCTCAATTTTTTTAACAATGTCACAGAATATCAGGTACTAATGACTATGGAGCATTTCAGGAAATTGAGCAGAGCTTTTAAGCCATTAAGGAAAAAAAAAGATTGAAATAATTTGCTTGTTTGGTTTTGTTCTATTATAATGATAATTGAAAGAAATGTAAGGGCCATTCCCCTCCATATTAGATAAGACAATTTTTATAGGCACTGGTTGTTATTCTATGTGAGTAATTTCAATAGAAAACTGATAATATTATCTAATTATACAGTAGACATGTATACTTATTTAAAGTCAAGCAAATCAGGAGTATAGAATCAAATACAAAAATTCCTATGCTCAAAATACCTCCCACTGTCTGCACTTCAAATTGAGTCCTGTAGTCGTAATAGCTCTTAGTGGTTAGCATGTATATTTCTTCATATTTTTCTATTGATGCATAATACACATATATACATACACACATATATATATTTATTCCAGAAAAATTATTTTAGAATAAAGAGCCTTTATTAATTTAATTTTGTTTTATTTAATAACATACTCAGTACAGAGTAAATAGGAATCTACCATAGTTTTAAAATGTACTATTCCAATTATACATTTAATATAATATACAGTCTTTCATTAATCAATGTTTCAGTTGATTTCAATTATTGCCTAATATGTAACACTTTAATTAATTCTTTTTTTTTTTTTTTTAATTATACTCTAAGTTTTAGGGTACATGTGCACATTGTGCAGGTTAGTTACATATGTATACATGTGCCATGCTGGTGCGCTGCACCCACTAATGTGTCATCTAGCATTAGGTATATCTCCCAATGCTATCCCTCCCCCCTCCCCCAACCCCACCACAGTCCCCAGAGTGTGATATTCCCCTTCCTGTGTCCATGTGATCTCATTGTTCAATTCCCACCTATGAGTGAGAATATGCGGTGTTTGGTTTTTTGTTCTTGCGATAGTTTACTGAGAATGATGGTTTCCAATTTCATCCATGTCCCTACAAAGGATATGAACTCATCATTTTTTATGGCTGCATAGTATTCCATGGTGTATATGTGCCACATTTTCTTAATCCAGTCTATCATTGTTGGATATTTGGGTTGGTTCCAAGTCTTTGCTATTGTGAATAGTGCCGCAATAAACATACGTGTGCATGTGTCTTTATAGCAGCATGATTTATAGTCCTTTGGGTATATACCCAGTAATGGGATGGCTGGGTCAAATGGTATTTCTAGTTCTAGATCCCTGAGGAATCGCCACACTGACTTCCACAATGGTTGAACTACTTTACAGTCCCACCAACAGTGTAAAAGTGTTCCTATTTCTCCACATCCTCTCCAGCACCTGTTGTTTCCTGACTTTTTAATGATTGCCATTCTAACTGGTGTGAGATGATATCTCATAGTGGTTTTGATTTGCATTTCTCTGATGGCCAGTGATGATGAGCATTTCTTCATGTGTTTTTTGGCTGCATAAATGTCTTCTTTTGAGAAGTGTCTGTTCATGTCCTTCGCCCACTTTTTGATGGGGTTGTTTGTTTTTTTCTTGTAAATTTGTTTGAGTTCATTGTAGATTCTGGATATTAGCCCTTTGTCAGATGAGTAGGTTGCAAAAATTTTCTCCCATGTTGTAGGTTGCCTGTTCACTCTGATGGTAGTTTCTTTTGCTGTGCAGAAGCTCTTTAGTTTAATTAGATCCCATTTGTCAATTTTGGCTTTTGTTGCCATTGCTTTTGGTGTTTTGGACATGAAGTCCTTGCCCACGCCTATGTCCTGAATGGTAATGCCTAGGTTTTCTTCTAGGGTTTTTATGGTTTTAGGTCTAACGTTTAAATCTTTAATCCATCTTGAATTGATTTTTGTATAAGGTGTAAGGAAGGGATCCAGTTTCAGCTTTCTACATATGGCTAGCCAGTTTTCCCAGCACCATTTATTAAATAGGGAATCCTTTCCCCATTGCTTGTTTTTCTCAGGTTTGTCAAAGATCAGATAGTTGTAGATATGCGGCATTATTTCTGAGGGCTCTGTTCTGTTCCATTGATCTATATCTCTGTTTTGGTACCAGTACCATGCTGTTTTGGTTACTGTAGCCTTGTAGTATAGTTTGAAGTCAGGTAGTGTGATGCCTCCAGCTTTGTTCTTTTGGCTTAGGATTGACTTGGCGATGTGGGCTCTTTTTTAGTTCCATATGAACTTTAAAGTAGTTTTTTCCAATTCTGTGAAGAAAGTCATTGGTAGCTTGATGGGGATGGCATTGAATCTGCAAATTACCTTGGGCAGTATGGCCATTTTCACGATATTGATTCTTCCTACCCATGAGCATGGAATGTTCTTCCATTTGTTTGTGTCCTCTTTTATTTCATTGAGCAGTGGTTTGTAGTTCTCCTTGAAGAGGTCCTTCACATCCCTTGTAAGTTGGATTCCTAGGTATTTTATTCTCTTTGAAGCAATTGTGAATGGGAGTTCACCCATGATTTGGCTCTCTGTTTGTCTGTTGTTGGTGTATAAGAATGCTTGTGATTTTTGTACATTGATTTTGTATCCTGAGACTTTGCTGAAGTTGCTTATCAGCTTAAGGAGATTTTGGGCTGAGACGATGGGGTTTTCTAGATAAACAATCAAGTCGTCTGCAAACAGGGACAATTTGACTTCCTCTTTTCCTAATTGAATACCCTTTATTTCCTTCTCCTGCCTGATTGCCCTGGCCAGAACTTCCAACACTATGTTGAATAGGAGTGGTGAGAGAGGGCATCCCTGTCTTGTGCCAGTTTTCAAAGGGAATGCTTCCAGTTTTTGCCCATTCAGTATGATATTGGCTGTGGGTTTGTCATAGATAGCTCTTATTATTTTGAAATACGTCCCATCAATACCTAATTTATTGAGAGTTTTTAGCATGAAGAGTTGTTGAATTTTGTCAAAGGCTTTTTCTGCATCTATTGAGATAATCATGTGGTTTTTGTCTTTGGCTCTGTTTATATGCTGGATTACATTTATTGATTTGTGTATATTGAACCAGCCTTGCATCCCAGGGATGAAGCCCACTTGATCATGGTGGATAAGCTTTTTGATGTGCTGCTGGATTCGGTTTGCCAGTATTTTATTGAGGATTTTTGCATCAATGTTCATCAAGGATATTGGTCTAAAATTCTCTTTTTTGGTTGTGTCTCTGCCCGGCTTTGGTATCAGAATGATGCTGGCCTCATAAAATGAGTTAGGGAGGATTCCCTCTTTTTCTATTGATTGGAACAGTTTCAGAAGGAATGGTACCAGTTCCTCCTTGTACCTCTGGTAGAATTCGGCTGTGAATCCATCTGCTCCTGGACTCTTTTTGGTTGGTAAACTATTGATTATTGCCACAATTTCAGCTCCTGTTATTGGTCTATTCAGAGATTCAACTTCTTCCTGGTTTAGTCTTGGGAGAGTGTATGTGTCGAGAAATGTATCCATTTCTTCTAGATTTTCTAGTTTATTTGCGTAGAGGTGTTTGTAGTATTCTCTGATGGTAGTTTGTATTTCTGTGGGATTGGTGGTGATATCCCCTTTATCATTTTTTATTGTGTCTATTTGATTCTTCTCTCTTTTTTTCTTTATTAGTCTTGCTAGCGGTCTATCAATTTTGTTGATCCTTTCAAAAAACCAGCTCCTGGATTCATTGATTTTTTGAAGGGTTTTTTGTGTCTCTATTTCCTTCAGTTCTGCTCTGATTTTAGTTATTTCTTGCCTTCTGCTAGCTTTTGAATGTGTTTGCTCTTGCTTTTCTAGTTCTTTTAATTGTGATGTTACGGTGTCAATTTTGGATCCTTCCTGCTTTCTCTTGTAGGCATTTAGTGCTATAAATTTCCCTCTACACACTGCTTTGAATGCGTCCCAGAGATTCTGGTATGTGGTGTCTTTGTTCTCGTTGGTTTCAAAGAACATCTTTATTTCTGCCTTCATTTCGTTATGTACCCAGTAGTCATTCAGGAGCAGGTTGTTCAGTTTCCATGTAGTTGAGCGGCTTTGAGTGAGATTCTTAATCCTGAGTTCTAGTTTGATTGCACTGTGGTCTGAGAGATAGTTTGTTATAATTTCTGTTCTTTTACATTTGCTGAGGAGAGCTTTACTTCCAACTATGTGGTCAATTTTGGAATAGGTGTGGTGTGGTGCTGAAAAAAATGTATATTCTGTTGATTTGGGGTGGAGAGTTCTGTAGATGTCTATTAGGTCTGCTTGGTGCAGAGCTGAGTTCAATTCCTGGGTATCCTTTTTGACTTTCTGTCTTGTTGATCTGTCTAATGTTGACAGTGGGGTGTTAAAGTCTCCCATTATTAATGTGTGGGAGTCTAAGTCTCTTTGTAGGTCACTGAGGACTTGCTTTATGAATCTGGGTGCTCCTGTATTGGGTGCATAAATATTTAGGATAGTTAGCTCCTCTTGTTGAATTGATCCCTTTACCATTATGTAATGGCCTTCTTTGTCTCTTTTGATCTTTGTTGGTTTAAAGTCTGTTTTATCAGAGACTAGGATTGCAACCCCTGCCTTTTTTTGTTTTCCATTGGCTTGGTAGATCTTCCTCCATCCTTTTATTTTGAGCCTATGTGTGTCTCTGCACGTGAGATGGGTTTCCTGAATACAGCACACTGATGGGTCTTGACTCTTTATCCAACTTGCCAGTCTGTGTCTTTTAATTGCAGAATTTAGTCCATTTATATTTAAAGTTAATATTGTTATGTGTGAATTTGATCCTGTCATTATGATGTTAGCTGGTGATTTTGCTCATTAGTTGATGCAGTTTCTTCCTAGTCTCGATGGTCTTTACATTTTGGCATGATTTTGCAGCGGCTGGTACCGGTTGTTCCTTTCCATGTTTAGCGCTTCCTTCAGGAGCTCTTTTAGGGCAGGCCTGGTGGTGACAAAATCTCTCAGCATTTGCTTGTCTATAAAGTATTTTATTTCTCCTTCACTTATGAAGCTTAGTTTGGCTGGATATGAAATTCTGGGTTGAAAATTCTTTTCTTTAAGAATGTTGAATATTGGCCCCCACTCTCTTCTGGCTTGTAGGGTTTCTGCCGAGAGATCCGCTGTTAGTCTGATGGGCTTTCCTTTGAGGGTAACCCGACCTTTCTCTCTGGCTGCCCTTAACATTTTTTCCTTCATTTCAACTTTGGTGAATCTGACAATTATGTGTCTTGGAGTTGCTCTTCTCGAGGAGTATCTTTGTGGCGTTCTCTGTATTTCCTGAATCTGAACGTTGGCCTGCCTTGCTAGATTGGGGAAGTTCTCCTGGATAATATCCTGCAGAGTGTTTTCCAACTTGGTTCCATTCTCCACATCACTTTCAGGTACACCAATCAGACGTAGATTTGGTCTTTTCACATAGTCCCATATTTCTTGGAGGCTTTGCTCATTTCTTTTTATTCTTTTTTCTCTAAACTTCCCTTCTTGCTTCATTTCATTCATTTCATCTTCCATTGCTGATACCCTTTCTTCCAGTTGATCGCATCGGCTCCTGAGGCTTCTGCATTCTTCACGTAGTTCTCGAGCCTTGGTTTTCAGCTCCATCAGCTCCTTTAAGCACTTCTCTGTATTGGTTATTCTAGTTATACATTCTTCTAAATTTTTTTCAAAGTTTTCAACTTCTTTGCCTTTGGTTTGAATGTCCTCCCGTAGCTCAGAGTAATTTGATCGTCTGAAGCCTTCTTCTCTCAACTCGTCAAAATCATTCTCCATCCAGCTTTGTTCTGTTGCTGGTGAGGAACTGCGTTCCTTTGGAGGAGGAGAGGCGCTCTGCGTTTTAGAGTTTCCAGTTTTTCTGTTCTGTTTTTTCCCCATCTTTGTGGTTTTATCTACTTTTGGTCTTTGATGATGGTGATGTACAGATGGGTTTTCGGTGTAGATGTCCTTTCTGGTTGTTAGTTTTCCTTCTAACAGACAGGACCCTCAGCTGCAGGTCTGTTGGAATACCCTGCCGTGTGAGGTGTCAGTGTGCCCCTGCTGGGGGGTGCCTCCCAGTTAGGCTGCTCGGGGGTCAGGGGTCAGGGACCCACTTGAGGAGGCAGTCTGCCCGTTCTCAGATCTCCAGCTGCGTGCTGGGAGAACCACTGCTCTCTTCAAAGCTGTCAGACAGGGACACTTCAGTCTGCAGAGGTTACTGCTGTCTTTTTGTTTGTCTGTGCCCTGCCCCCAGAGGTGGAGCCTACAGAGGCAGGCAGGCCTCCTTGAGCTGTGGTGGGCTCCACCCAGTTGGAGCTTCCCGGCTGCTTTGTTTACCTAAGCAAGCCTGGGCAATGGCGGGCGCCCCTCCCCCAGCCTCGCTGCCGCCTTGCAGTTTGATCTCAGACTGCTGTGCTAGCAATCAGCGAGATTCCGTGGGTGTAGGACCCTCTGAGCCAGGTGTGGGATATAGTCTCGTGGTGCGCCGTTTCTTAAGCCGGTCTGAAAAGCGCAGTATTCGGTTGGGAGTGACCCGATTTTCCAGGTGCGTCCGTCACCCCTTTCTTTGACTCGGAAAGGGAACTCCCTGACCCCTTGCGCTTCCCAGGTGAGGCAATGCCTCGCCCTGCTTCGGCTCGCGCACGGTGCGCACACACACTGGCCTGCGCCCACTGTCTGGCACTCCCTAGTGAGATGAACCCGGTACCTCAGATGGAAATGCAGAAATCACCGTCTTCTGCGTCGCTCACGCTGGGAGCTGTAGACCGGAGCTGTTCCTATTCGGCCATCTTGGCTCCTCCTCCTAATTAATTCTTTACTCACATATTTTTATGAATGCAAATATTCCTGGATATTTAATTGGGAAATTGAAAAGTATGTGGTAGGCAAAATAAACGTTCTCTCTCCCTTCCCTCCAAAGTGTCTATGTTCTAATCTGCAGAGCTGTGAATGTTACCTTATGTGGCAAAAAGGAATTTGCAGATGTCATGAAGTTAAGGATCTTGAGATAGGAAGACTAGGCTGGATTCTCCAGGTGGATCCTAATTGTAATTACAATATAGGTCAAAGGTGGGAGAAGATGATGTGGGGAGGGAAGCAAAACTCAGATAAATAGCTGAGAGATAAATAGAAAAAAAATACAGAGCTATGTGTACACTAAGTTTTGTATATATACATGTATTTCCTTGCTCTGTTGGCTGAGAGGGCATAGTGCCACTGACACTTCAGTAGCTTGCATCTTGATTTGTAAATATTATTCTCTACTAAAAGACAACTGGGTTTCTTGGAGAAATGACTGATTCCTAGGTTGGGGCCAGAAAATGACAAGATGATCCTGCAGGGTGTGTGTGTGTGTGTGTGTGTGTGTGTGCAAAAAGTAAGGAAGTGCTGAAAGAAACTAAGAAAAAATAAGAGGATAGAGCATGTCAAAAGGGCACATAAGTCAATCTGAAACAGTCCCAATAGCCAAAGCTGAAACAATTTAAGCAACAAAATAAATAATAATGATACAGGATTCTAACCTAAGTTTTTTTATAAGGTCTAAATAAATGGGGGAAGAGACAAATCTTCTTTATAGATGAGTTCTAAACGTGACACAGAAACTTACTACTCCAGGATTAGAGATTAATTTATTTCTTCTTGAATGTGAGCTGGATTTAGTGACTTCTAATAATTAGAGTATGAAAAATATAACACAGTAACTTTAAAGCAGAGAAACTTGAAACTATGGTGGCCAAGTGCTGTGATTTGAATGTGTGTCCCCTTCAAAATTCATGTTGAAACTTAATTCCCATTGTGATGGTATGAAGAAGTGGGGCCTTTGGGAAAGTGATTAAGTTATGAGAGCCCTGCACTCTTGAAGGGATTAGTGCCTTATTCAAAGGCTGGGGGGAGTTCTGTTTAGGCCCCTCTTGCTCTTCTTTCATGTGAGCATGCAGACTTTATTTATCCTCTTTTTTGCCCTTTCATCCTTCCACCTTTTAAAGAAATTTAGAGGGCACCATATATAAGGAATATGCCTTCCCCAGACACTGAACCTTCTAGTGAAAAAATAAAGTCCCGTTTTTTATAAGTTATTCATTCTCAGACAATACTCTCAAGTATTTTGTGATAGCAGCACAAATGGACTAAGACACCAAGTGATCAAAGTTGACATCACCAGGGATGCGTAATATTCTCATGCATCCTTGATATAATGAGAATACAAGGGCACTTCACCTGCATGTTATTCTTCTCCTGAATCTATAGTGAAGCCTAATTGTGAGAAAACATCAAACAAGCCCAAATTTAGGGACATTCTGTGAAATATTCAAGCAGTACTCTTCAAAATTGTTAAGGTCCTGAAAAGCAAGGAAAAACTGACAAACTTCCAGATTTGGCAATGAGTAAGTAGATATGATAACAACTGAAACTGATCTCAGATTAAAAAAATCAGTGGGAACCCTGATAAAATCCAAATAAAGGCTCTAGTTTAGTTAACAGTACACCAATATTAATTTTCTAGTTGAGACAACTATACTATATAAAACAACTATATGAAATGCTAATCTTTAGGGAAGCTAGCTGAAGAGTGTATGGAAACTTTTTGTACTATCTCACAACTTTTTGATAATCTAAGAGAATTTTAAATAAAATGATAAAAAATAAAATAAATTATTTAGCACTTGTGTAACCACAAAAAATTCATCCAGCTCCAAAGGCAGTGGAAAAAATACTATGAAACCTGTAATAATATCAAACCTTTTACTCAACATGGTAGCCAAATAGTCATAGAGCTTTAGTCATTTGTTTTTTACACGTCATCTTAATTACTGCCTTTTTGGAATTATTTAGGAAAATATTTTTGAGAGCATGAAATACAAAGATCATATCATTATTGAAACAAATATAAAAGTGTTCCATTTGTTTGAACAATTTTTTTCAGATAACAGCCAAACCTACTTCTTTATATAAAAATACATAAAAATCCTCACCATATTAATTTACTTTGCAACTGGATTAAATACTTTTTCTTTACAAAGTTTTACTTTAAATAGCTCATTTTAGACTCTGTAAATCACACTGAGATTAGTTTAGTGAATATTAAATTTTTCTCCATGATTGAAAGACCATGCAGTTACACAAATGCAAGGTACTATTAAGTGTTCTATGCGGGAGCACGTGAATTTTTCCCCAAAACAGTCTAGCCTAATAGCAAAGCAAAAATTGCTCACATTGTCACAGATTTACAAAGTGAACTCATGAAAGCAACCCTGATTTTTTTCATTCTACCTGAAAGCTGAGCACAATATCATTGAAAAGAATGTTAATAGAATTAAGGACCCCCCTGGACTAAAATGCCTGATTACTGCCATTATAACCTGTAGGAGAGAAGAAAAATCTCAAAATACTGCCCACAATAGAGGAAGCACTTAAAATACTGAACTTTAAAGATTCTGTAGCTTTCTTCAAAATGGATCCCTAAACTAGATTGCAGATAAGCCTTAGAATTTTACCCTTTTTCTAGCCTGAAGAGCTCAATCTGGATTTGGGTTTCTCTCCAAACTTACCAGGTACCCTGCCCCACCCTGGTCCTTATTTTGGTCATAAGTATCCTCTTCTGTCTCTTTCTTTTTTCTGATATTAATAGATGTTCTGGATCTCAAAAAGTGATTTAGCTCATAATATATCTTCCTTCTCTATCTCATTTGGTATTTTTTTCTTTCTGAGACCAGGGTGTCACTGGGTTTCCCAGGCTGGAGTGCAGTGGTGCAATCACAGCTCACTGCAGCCTCAACTTCCAAGGCTCAAGAAATCCTCCCACCTCAGCCTCCTGAGTTGCTAGGGCTCCAGGGATGTGCCACCCATGCCTACCTAACTTTTTAGAGACAGGGTTTCTCTCTTTGGCCCAGTCTGGTCTTGAGCTCCTGAACTCAAGCAATCCTCCTGCCTCTGCTTCCCAAAGTATTGGAATTACAGCTGTGAGCCATCACACCGAACCTTTTAGTAATTTTTATGAACCAAAATTTTGGCAATAGTTTAAAAGTCTGTTATTGTTCAATTCTGACAGTTGTACAATTGGTTTAATAATGACCAGCTATTTAAGCTATTTAAGATGAAAGAAAGTAAATACAAAATGTCTAATTTTCTTTGCTACACATGTATGTGGACAGTTTATTGCCAACTAAATGTTTCATTCCTCTCTAGTTGGTTGCTACACATAAGACTAAGACTACAAAATCTGTCTATGCAAGTCATTTACTTTCATTATCTTTTACATTTTTGTCACTAAAGATTTATTGAGATTGCTCTAGGAAACTAGCAATGCAGAAAAACAAAAAGGTTGTTACTGGCCACAAGGAGCTTATGGCCTCAAGATCTTAAATTGGCAATTTACTATCTTATATATTATTAATAGTGGTCACAAAACACATTCATAACTTTGTGTTAAAATGTTAATATGCAACTTGCTTAAAAGAAAGATAAAATAAATCTTGGCATTTAAAAATAAATAGAATCTATAATTTTTTGTTTATTATTTAATTGAATACTTAGATAACAATAACAGACTATCATTAACTGCTACCTATATATTAGGTGCTAGGTAACGATCTAAATTAGGTTATTTAATACTGACTAGGGTTTTAAAGGGAAATTTCCATTCATTTTAATGTGAGTTGAGGCACAGTAACTAGAACCAGTCACACAGCTAGTAAGCGAGGAATTTAAAGGTAAATTAAATTATGTCTAGCTGGTTATAAAGCTTATGAACCTATGTGCACTGCAACATGATTTTTCTGGTCGTGTTTTAAAACATAAAACTGTAAATATAAAAAGGATTTAAATGGAACTGCAACTTTGCTGCTATTTTAAAGATATTACTCTATAGGTAATAGCTGTGGAAATCCCATTATGGGCCAGGTACTCTTCTAGGCATTGTGCATGTATTTATTTCTGTAATCTTAAAGACAACTCTGTAAAGTTAGTATAATAATTGTTTTCCCCACTTTATGGCTAAGAAAAGTGAATCTCAGAGAGATTAAAGAATTTTCCCAAGATCACAAAGTTAACCAGAGGAGAGATTCAGGATTACTCAGGAGGTCTATCTTCAGATACAGCACATTTCACTAGTTGACTCTATGCATCGTAAAAATATTCTACAGTACAAAAGAAAAAAAATTGATCCCAAGTTTTTTCCATTTATTAGCATTCTTAATGCATAATTATTATTATGTCTTTGAATCTTAGAATTTGTGATAATGTCATGCACATAAGAATTGAAATTGTATACTGAACCTTTTAAAAATGTTTCTTGCTTAGATATCCACATTGCAACGTCACATATAAATGCTTTATAATGATGTTATTCTAAAAACTTCATGGCATTTAAAAAATGCTCATGTCAATGTCTTCACTATAAAATTGATGGAAAATCTGAGAATAATAGAAAATTGGATGTTTGTATTATATAATACTTGAAACTGGGGATATTTATATCCTAAAAGTAAAAATTAGATTTTCAAACACTAAAGTAACTGGTTAGACCAATAATATCATTTTGTGCTGGATGAAGTAAAATTCAGTAAATAAGCTGGACCTTAAAAAAACTCAGATTTATTTCTGGATATATTGAAAATAATTAAAATTTCAAAAGAGACAATAATAATTGAATAGATGGAATATAGCAATATTTTGAACACTGTGTTGGTTGAAAGACATTCCCTTGACATGTTTTCAATAGAGGCTGTTGTAGGTCAATTTGATTTGTCTGAGTCAATAGAATGAGATGTGTGAAAAAAATGTATAAGTTTTGATCTACTGAAGCTTCTATGGAGGTCTTACAAATAGATTTTGGAGTACAGAGATTTCTGTCACACATAGTGCTAGGTCAACAATTTCCCATAAACTAGAAAATATCTTTTGTTTCCATCAAATCATGATGTAATCAGGTAGAACCACATATATCTAAGTGTGGAGACTATCTTATGAATTATTAAACTTAATCTTATAATACATGAGCCCAATGGATTAAAAAATGACAATCTTAATTTGTATTTATAAACCTGATAACAATCGCTGATCTTGGTTATGTGTACCAAGCATTAGTAGGCACTTTAAATATATTACCTAATTTTCTACATGATTTTTACAAAACAGAAACACTGGATATTTATGTTTAATATTCAATTTTCAGCTAAATTTCACAGAACTATATGAAGAATGGAAGAATTAAGTTAATGTTCTATTTATTCAGGAAAATAATAATGCAGTTGGCTTATCTGGTATATGACCTCCTGGGGACATTTGGCTGGTAAGGGAAGAATGCCTCAAGTGAGCATGTGTGCAACTTCAGTAAACACACTCCTCATACTCTCAAGTGCTAGCAGGCCGCTGCACATGTGGACAGTCCATCTCAAGGGAAGAATCACGGGAGAAGGGACACAAGACCCCAGAAGCATGACAGCATATAAAACCCTAAGTCAAAGATCAAGTCCCACACACTAGATCCCTCAAGTCTCTTGCTTGGCCTTCCTCCAAGGGTTCTTTCTTTCTTTCCTGATCTAGAGATTTCTAATAAACTTTCGCTCCTGCCCTAAAACTTGCCTCAGTCTTTCCTTCCGTATGCCTCATGAGTTGAATTCTTTCTTTTGAGGAGGCAAGAATTGGGGTTGCTGCAGACTCGTACAGATTTGCCACTCTAGCAAACTGATTTTCACTGTATTTCCTCCAAATAAAACTTATTATAGAAATAAATAATATAGAATAAAGATAATATAGCAATGCTATCTTTCCTTTCATTTCAAAATTTATCTTCCATTGTCTTGCTTTCATCAAAATCAGGTTTGTATAGCATACTAAGGTCTGAGTTTTTAGATTAATAAACATGAAGTCACTGAAAAATTATATAATTTCTCCACCAATGGGATTCTTGAAAACCTATCAACACCCTGAATTTTGACATATAAGCTTTCATTCCTAGGGTTTAACTACTGAATGTCACATAACCAAACATCAATAATGCCTTATGGAATTAAGTTTTTGCAAACACAAGAAAATGCATATTTATTTTTTGTACATTTTTATATGAAATTTTAATTTATATTAATGTCATTTACAACAAATTTAAAACATTCAGAAACAATTTTTACATTAAAAAAATCTACCAGAATAGCTTCTGTTAGAAAAATCTATCAGAGTCCTCATTAGGACTGATCCAGGTATATCACCTCTTGTAGGTGAGGCTATAAATGAAGTTGGTAAAAATAAAGTTTAATGAAGTTACAGAAGCCTTACAAGAGACTATTCTAAGTAGGTTATAATTAAATGGTTTTTAGAAAATAAGTCCTTTTATCATTCAATTTAATGTTTTGATGTCTACTGATATTAAGCTTATTACTGATATTATTCAATTTCTACATAGCTACATTTCATGATATCAATACATTATTTGTGAAATTCGGTAATTGTGCCTTCTATTAGTGATAATAGTTTGGCATAAATATACTTTACATTGTAAACATATTTTATTTTATTTATTTTAAAATAAAACCTCACCCTCCTTTTACTACTCCTTCTTTCCTAGGTATCTGTAATTTTATCTTTTTTTTCTTAACAACTTGATTATGTGAAAGAAAAATAAGATCTTGGGAACCCAACATTACTATGCCAAAGGGGAAAGTTAAGCTTGGAAACTGAGCCACACAAAAAACTGCCTTTTCTTTTGTTCCTAAACAGATAGATTCAAGATAGGGGGCCACATATTTCCCCAGTTGGCCTCCCCCGACCCTGATAATGTAAATTCACAGCATATCCTCATGGAGTACAGGACAAAACTAGAAATCATCCTTGTACCCACCCCAAAGCAAATCACTTTCCATTTATTTAAATATTGCCCTTTCAGTAGGTATCTCTATGAGTCTGCAAGAACCACACATTACTGGGCTTGGGGTGCTTCATAAAGCAGAAACAGCTCAAATCACAACACCCAAGCCCTTTCAAATAACTAGAAATCCTTTCCAAGTATGGCTACAAATAAGCACAGACAGTAAAGACTATAATAAATATCTAATACCTTAAATGCCCAGGCACCAAAGAACATCTACTAGCATCAACACTATCCAGAAAAACATGACCTTTGTTAATGATCTAAATAAGGCACCAGGGTCCAATCCTAGAGATATGTGACCTTTCAGACAAAGAATTCGAAATAGCCGTGTTAAGGAAACTCAAAGAAATTCAAGATAGCACAGAAAGGAATTCAGAATTCTATCAGATAAATTTGACAAAGAGATTGAAATAATGTTTAAAAATCAAGTAGAAATTCATGAATTGAAAAGTACAGTTAACATACTAAGGAATGCATTAGAGTCCTTTAATAGCAGAATTGGTCAAGTGGAAGAGAGAATTAGTGAGCTTGAATGCAAGCTATTTGAAAATACACAGTCTGAGGAGACAAAAGAAAAAAAAATAATGAAGCATGCCTACAGGATCTTAAAAATAGCCTCAAAGGGGCAAATCTACTGGCCTCAGAGGGAGGCCAGTAGACCACTCTTGCTGGAACTGCATCAAAGCCTTATTTTCTCAGGGGAAATCAACAAGTCACAGATCAGTTCCACTAAGGGACCTGGCCAGGCTAGGACCATCCTGGACCCAAGGGATGCCCTGACAGACCTCAGGCCTCCTCCGAGCTTCACAGAGTGGCTGACAGCATGGCCCACTTTAACTCCAAGAACCAAGACACAGATGCACATAACTGTGTCTGGAAACTTCTCTTTTATGCAAGTAAAGCAGTGTCTGTGCCTCAAAGAGGAGGTGGAGAAAGAGATAGGAGTATAAAGTTTATTCAAAGGGATGATATCAGAGAACTTCCCAAACCTATAAGAAGATGTAAATATCTAAGTACAAGAATCCTACAGAACACCAAGAAGATTTAAACCAAACAAGACTACCTCAAAGCACTTAATAATTGTGATGGTTAATATTAGGTGCCAATATCATGGGATTTAAGGATGCCTGGATAGCTGGTAAAGTATTATTTCTGGGTTTGTCTGTGAGGGTGTTGCCAGAGGAGATTGACATTTGAGTCAGTGGACTGGGAGAGCAAGACCATCTTCATTATGGGTGGACACCATGCAATAAGCTGCCAGCATGGCTAATAAACAGCAGGCAGAAGAAGGTGGGATATACTGGCTTTCTGAGTCTTCTGGCTCTCATCTTTCTCCTATGCTGGATGCTTTCTTCTATTCCTCCTGTCCTTGGACATCAGACTCCAGGTGCTTCTGCACTTGGACTCTTGGACTTACGCCAGTGGTGTAGGGTCTCCCAGTTCTTCAGTCACAGACTAAAGGTTGCACTGTTGGCTTCCCTGCTTTTGAGGCTTTTGGACTTGGACTGAGCCACTACTGGCTTCTCTCTTCCCCAGCTTGCTAACGGCATATCATTGGACTTTGCCTTATCATTGTGTGAGCCAATACTTCCTAAAAAACTCCCTTTCACATATACGTATATCCTATTAGTTCTGTCCCTCTGGAGAACCCAGACTAATAAAATAATTAACTCCAAAATGTCAAGATAAAGAAATAATTCTAAAAGCAATAAGAGATAAACGAATAACATACATTGAAGCTTAAATACATTTGGCATCAGACTTTTCAGTGGAAACCTTACAGGTCAGAAAAGAGTGGCATAACATATTTAAAGTTCTGAAGAAAAAAACATTTTTCCCTAGAATAGTATATCTGGCGAAAATATTCTTTAAACATAAAGAATAATTAAAGACTTTTCTAGACAAGCAAAACCTGAGGGATTTCACCAAGACCATACCCATCCTACAAGAAATGCTAAAGGGAGTACTTCAAACAGAAAGAAAAGAACGTTAATGAGCAATAATCACCTGAAGGTACAAAACTTACTGGTAATAGTAAGTATACAGAAAAACACAGAATATGATCACACTGTAACTGTGGTGTATAGACTACTCTTATCCTAAGTACAAAGACTAAAAAATAAGCCCATGGAAAACAATAACTGCAACAACTTTTCAAGACATAGTACAATAAGATATACATAGAAAAAAAACAAAAAGTTAAAAAGTGAGAGGATGAAGTTAGGCAAGTTTTCATTAGTTTTCTCTTTTCTTGTTTGTTTGTGCAAATAATGCTAAATTATGATCAGGTAAAATAATGGGTTATAAGATAATATTTGCAAGCCTCGTGATAACCTCAAACCACATAATTTACAATGGATACACAAAAAATAAGAAGCAAGAAACTAAAGCACATCAACAGAGAAAATTACCTTCACTAGAGGAAGACATAAATGAAAGAAATAATGAATAAAAATCACAAAACAACCAGAAAACAAATAGCAAAATGACAAGAGTAAGTTCTTACTTATCAATAATAACATTGAATGAAAATGGACTAAACTCTCTGTATTAGTCTGTTCTCATGCTGCTAATAAAGATATACTTGAGACTGGTTAATTTATAAAGGAAAAAGATTTAATGGATTCACAGTTCCATATGGCTGAGGAGGCCTCACATCATGGTGGGAAGTGAGTGAGAAGCAAAGTCACCTCTTACATGGTGGCAGTCAAGACAGCATGTGCAGGGGAACTTCCATTTATAAAACCATCAGATCTCAGGAAACTTATTCACTACCATGAGGACAGTATGGGGAAAACCACCCCATGATTCAATTATCTCCACCTGGCCCCGCCCTTGACACATGGGGATTATTACAACTCAAGGTGATATTTGGGTAGGGACACAGCCAAATCATATCATTCCACCCCTGACCCCTCCCAAATCTCATGTCCTTACATTTCAAAACCAATCATGCCTTTCCAACACTCCCCCAAAGTTTTAACTCATTTCAGCATTAACTCGAAAGTCTACAGTCCAAATTCTCATCTGAGACAAGGCAAGTCCCTTCTGCCTATGAGTGTGTAAAATCAAAAGCAAGTTAGTTACTTTCTTGAGACAATGGGAGTACAGGCATTGGGTAAATACACCCATTCCAAATAGGAGAAATTGGCCAAAACAAAGGGACTACAGGCCCCATGCAAGTTTAAAATCCAACCAGGCAGCCAAATATTAATGTTTCAAAATGATCTCCTTGAACTCCATGTCTCACATCCAGGTCATGCTGATGAAGGAGGTGGGTCCCCATGGCCTTGAACATCTCCAATCCTATGGCTTTGTGGGGTAGAGCCCCCCTCCCAGATGCTTTCATGGCTGGCATTGAGTGTCTGTGGTTTTTTCAGGTGCACAGTGCAAACTGTCAATGGATCTACCATTCTGGGGTCTGGAGGACAGTGGCCCTCTTTCTCACAGCTCCGCTAGGAAGTGCCCCAGTAGGGACACTGTGTGGGTGCTCCCATCCCATGTTTTCCTTCCACACTACCCTAGCAGAGGTTCTCCATGAGGGCTCTGCCCCTGCAGCACACCTCTGCCTGGATATCCAGGCATTTCCAAACATCCTCTGAAATCTAGGTAGAGGTTCCCAAACCTCAATTCTTGACCCCTGTTCACTGACAGGCCCAACACCACATGTAAGCCACTAAAGCTTGGAGCTTGCACCCTCTGAAGCAACAGCCTGAGCTATATATTGGCCCCTTTTAGACATGACTGGGATGCAGTACACTAAGTCCTAAGACAGCACAAAGCAGCAACCATGGTTCCGACCCACAGAATCACTTGTTCCTCCTAGGTCTCTAGGCCTGTGATGGGAGAGGCTGCTGTGAAGACCTCTGACATGCCCTGGAGACATTTTCTCTATTGTCTTGGTGATTAACATTTGGCTTCTCATTACTAATGCAAATTTCTGCAGCTGGCTTAAATTTCTCCTCAGAAAATGGGTGTTTCATTTCTATCATATCATCAGGCTTCAAATTTTCTGAACTTTTATGGTCTGCTTCCCTTTTAAATATAAATTCCAATTCCAAACAATAACTTTGTGAATAGATAAAACTGAATGCTATTAACAGCACCCAAATCACCTCTTGAACACTTTGGTGCTTACAGATTTCTTCTCCCAGATGCCCTAAATCATCCCTCTCAAGTTCAAAGTTCCACAAATCTCTAGGGCAGGGGCAAAATCCAGCCAGTCCCTTTCCTTTGTTAAAACATAGAAAGTGTCAATTTTTTTCAGTTTCCAACAAGTTCCTTATCTCCATCTGAAAACACCTAAACCTGGACTTCATTGTCCATATCACTACAGCATTTTGGTTAAAGCCATTCAACAAGTCTCTAGGAAGTTCCAAACTTTTCCACATTTTCCTGTCCTCTTCTGAGCCCTCCAAACGGTTCCAACCTCTGTCTGTTAGCCACTTCCAAAGTCACATCCACATTTTCTGGCACCTTTACAGCAGCACCTCACTCTACCAGTACCGATTTACTGTATTAGTCTGTTCTCACACTGCTAGTAAAAACATGCCTAAGAGTGGATAATTAATAAAGGAAAGAGGTTAATGGACTCACGGTTCCACATGGTTGAGGAGGTCTCACAATCATGGCAGAAGATGCATGAGGATCAAAGTCACCTCTTACATGGTGGCAGGCAGGACAGTTGTGCAGAGAAACCCCCATTTATAAAACTGTCAGATCTCATGAGTCTTATTCACTACCATGAGAACAGTATGGGGGAAACTCCACAAGAAAACTATTAGAATTGATAAACAAATTCAGTAAAGTTGCAGGATACTGAATCTACATACAAAAATCAGTAGCATTTTTATATTCCAACAATGAACAAAGTGAAAAAGAAATTAAGAAGTAATTACATTTAAAATAGCCACACATAAAATGAAATACCTAGGAGTTACCCAAAGAAGGGAAAGATCTCTATAATGAAAACTATAAAACACTGATGAAGGAAATTTAAGAGGACACCAAAAAAATGGAAAAATATTCTATGTTCAAAATTGGAAGAATCAATATTGTTAAAATGTTCATAATCCCCAAAGCAATCTGCAGATTCAATGCAATCCCTATCAAAATGCAAAAGACATTCTTCACAGAAATAGAAAAAACAATCCTAAAATTTACATAGAACTTCAAAAGACCCAGAAGAGGCAAAGCTACCCTAAGCAAAAAGAACAAAACTGGAGGAATCACATTACCTGACTTCAAATTACACTACAGAGCTATAGTAACCCAAACAGTATGGTATTGGCACAAAAATAGACACATAGACCAATAGCACAGAATAGAGAATCTAGAAACAAATCCACAGACATACAGTAAACTCATTTATGACAAAAGATGCCAACAACATGCAGTGAGGGAAAAGACAATCTCTTCAATAAATGGTGCTGGGAGAGGTGGATGTCTACATGCCAATTAATGAAAGTAGACCCCTGTCTCTCACCAAAAAGCAAATCAAAATGGATTAAAGACTTAAATCTAGTATGTCAATCTATAAAACTACTACAAGAAAACATTGGAGAAAATCTCCAGAATGCTGGTCTGGACAAAGATTTCTTGAGTAATACCCCACAAGCACAGGCAAGTGAAGCAAATACAGACAAATGGATTACATCAAGTTAAAAAGCTTCTGCAGAGCAATAGATACAATCAACAAAGTAAAGAGACGACCCGTAGAATGGGAGAAAATATTTGTAAACTACCCATCTGACAAGGGATTTACACCAGAATATATAAGGAGCTCAAACAACTTTATAGGAAAAAATATAACAATCTGATTAAAAAATGGGGAAAATATTTAAATAGCCATTCCTCAAAAGAAGACATACAAATGGCAAACAGGCATATGAAAAGATGCTCAACATCATTTATCATCAGAGAAAGGCAAATCAAAACTATAAGAACGTATCACCTCACCACATTTAAAATCCAAAAGATAGGCAATAACAAATGCTGGCAAGAATATGGAGAAAAGGGAACACTTGTACACTGTTGGTGGAAATGTAAGTTAGTACAACTGCTATTGAAAACAGTTTGGAGATCCCTCCAAAACTAAAAATTGAGCTACTCTATAATGCAGCAATCCCACTGCTGCATTTATACCAAAAAGAAAGGAATTCAATGTGTCAAAGAGATACCTACACTCCTATGTTTGTTGCAGCAATGTTTACTGTAGCTAAGGTTCGGAAGCAACCCAAGCATCCATCAACAGATGAATGGATAAAGCAAATGTGGTATTTATACATGATGGAATACTATTCAGCCATAAAAAATAATGAGATCCAGTCATTTGCAACAACATGGATGGAACAGGAGAATCATTATGTTAAGTGAAATAAGCCAGGAACAGAAAGACAAACATTGCGTGTTCCCACTTATTTGTGGGATCTAAAAATCAAAACAATTAAACTCATTGTCACAGAAAGAAGAAGGATGATTACCAGAGACTGGGAAGGGTAGTGGGCAGTTGGGAGGGAGGTGGGGATGGTTAATTGATAAAAAGTAGCAAGAATGAATAAGACTTATTATTTGATAGCATAATAGGATGACTATAGTCAATAATAACTTAACTGTATGTTTTTAAATAACTTAAACAATGTAATTGGATTTGAGTTTGTGACTCAAAGGATAAATGCTTCAGGCAATGAATACCACGTTTCCCGGGATATGCTTATTTCATATTGCATGCCGGTATCAAAATATCTCATATACCCTATAAATATACACACCTACTATGTACCCACAAAACTTCTAAAATATAACACATTTTTAAATTAATTCATTTGGTGAGTGCAGCCCATTGTTTTTAGATAAGCTAAGAGTGAAATTGTGACATATTCTATATAAAATGTTCGAACTTCAAGTGAATTTTTGTCTTGAGTCTCTTTAGCAGTAACAACCAAAAAAGTCCATTAAGAGCAAACTCTGCGAAGACATTTGTTTGAAAGGGAAAACATACCCTTTGCTTTGCTGTGTATCTTCCAGTCTTGAATATTTCTAGCTCTGTTCTCCTGAAAACCTAATAAGGGTAAGAATATCTACTGCTTCTAAGGAAGTTATTTGTAAATCAAGCAATCCCTGATTGGTGTAGCACATCTGTATGAGGATAAATAAATAATGAATTATTAGTACTTGATTGGAAGCAGTGGTTTTGGGTTTCTCTGAGGACAGTCACTCTTGTAACTGCTTTGTTTCTTGTGGGACACTGAAAGACAGGCTTGTCTCTTGTTTTTTTTTTTGTTTTTTTTTTGTTTTTTTTAATTATACTTTAAGTTTTAGGGTACATGTGCACATTGTGCAGGTTAGTTACATATGTATACATGTGCCATGCTGGTGTGCTGCACCCACCAACTCATCATCCAGCATTAGGTATATCTCTCAATGCCATCCCTCCCCCCTCCCCCAACCCCACCACAGTCCCCAGAGTGTGATATTCCCCTTCCTGTGTCCATGTGATCTCATTGTTCAATTCCCACCTATGAGTGAGAATATGCGGTGTTTGGTTTTTTGTTCTTGCGATAGTTTACTGAGAATGATGATTTCCAATTTCATCCATGTCCCTACAAAGGACATGAACTCATCATTTTTTATGGCTGCATAGTATTCCATGGTGTATATGTGCCACATTTTCTTAATCCAGTCTATCATTGTTGGACATTTGGGTTGGTTCCAAGTCTTTGCTATTGCGAATAATGCCACAATAAACATATGTGTGCATGTGTCTTTATAGCAGCATGATTTATAGTCCTTTGGGTATATACCCAGTAATGGGATGGCTGGGTCAAATGGTATTTCTAGTTCTAGATCCCTGAGGAATCGCCACACTGACTTCCACAATGGTTGAACTAGTTTACAGTCCCACCAACAGTGTAAAAGTGTTCCTATTTCTCCACATCCTCTCCAGCACCTGTTGTTTCCTGACTTTTTAATGATTGCCGTTCTAACTGGTGTGAGATGGTATCTCATTGTGGTTTTGATTTGCATTTCTCTGATGGCCAGGGATGGTGAGCACTTTTTCATGTGTTTTTTGGCTGCATAAATGTCTTCTTTTGAGAAGTGTCTGTTCATGTCCTTCGCCCACTTTTTGATGGGGTTGTTTTTTTCTTGTAAATTTCTTTGAGTTCATTGTAGATTCTGGATATTAGCCCTTTGTCAGATGAGTAAGTTGTGAAAATTTTCTCCCATTTTGTAGGTTGCCTGTT
The DNA here is from genome assembly GCF_000001405.40 of Homo sapiens. Taxonomy (NCBI): domain Eukaryota; kingdom Metazoa; phylum Chordata; class Mammalia; order Primates; family Hominidae; genus Homo; species Homo sapiens. The sequence goes on along the minus strand of NC_000004.12, from coordinate 166,554,672 downwards.
CACTCTGATGGTAGTTTGTTTTGCTGTGCAGAAGCTCTTTAGTTTAATTAGATCCCATTTGTCAATTTTGTCTTTTGTTGCCATTGCTTTTGGTGTTTTGGACATGAAGTCCTTGCCCATGCCTATGTCCTGAATGGTAATGCCTAGGTTTTCTTCTAGGGGTTTTATGGTCTCTTGTTACAAGAGAACATTGGCTGATGCATGGTACGTGGCTTCTGAGCCATTGTGAACTCCACAGTCACCCATATGGATCTTACCTTCTGGAACCTGGGCTTTTATAAGGGGAGAACATAACTCCTAGAGGTCTGCATTAAATGCTGCAAAGGATTCTGCTGAAATAAACCTTTGTGCGGCTCCTCTAGTAGGCAGTGATTTGTGACTCCTGCCCCATATTCTTCAGAGTAGATGGGGCTACCCGCGGCCTGGGACAGCCTTGCAAATCAGAATATTTAGTTGGCAAAGAAGACCTCCTGGTGGGCAGATTGACCTTATATGCCACAAAATAACAAGATTTTTAAAATGTCATAAATTTGTTTTATTTTTCTGGCTTACATATTAATCTTTTCTTTTCCCAAAGGATGGGGGTAGAAGCCTCACAAACTACGACAAAATATATTAGAAAAAAAAACAAGTATTTGAGAAATATAAAAATATCACAGCAAATTTGTAGGTATTTATGGTACTGTCCCGATCCAATAACTCAATCACTTTATGAAATTTTTAGTTTCCTTTCAGTTACAGGCACTTGCTTAATGACCGAGATTTTGCCATTGATAACTTTTAGAGACTGAATATTTTAAATTATTGTATTATAATTCAGAAATGCAAGTGAATAAATATGCATGTGTATTTGTATATTCATTAACATTTTTATTTGAATTTTTATTTAAATATTTCGGGGTCAATAGCAAGTGAATATATTATTTTTTGCTTTTGCTCTAAGGAAGATTTTTTTTCTGTCTACAATTATTGTGTTTATTTGAGCTGAAGAAAGATATCATGGATTTAGAATATAATTGTATTCTTAAAAAGAATAGTCATGGCTACGGTTTATCATACTGAAAGGGTGTATAACAGGATAAGTACAGTTTTTGGAGAGAGGACCACACAGAACATATTTCTTTCTCCAGCAATAGCTATAATTTATATGGACTAATTTCAGTATTCTTCACTTAAGGAAACAATAGTTCAAAGCAACGGGGTAAGCATAAAGTTATCTTCAAAATTACATGTAAGAGAAGAAATATCCCATTAAATTAACATAGGTAACCACATTAGGAATTAGACCTTGATTAAAGTTATATTACATTAAAAAGTGTTCACACAAGACTTTAGGAAGAGAGAAAAAGTAATAACAATACATCTGAATGTTATTTTCCTTTTTCAAATTTGCAGGGCCTTTTTAAAAATTCTTGTTTTTACCTATATGTTAGGATCACTTCTCAAGAAAATTTTAAAATCATTAACCAATATCAAAATAATGGAAAATGAATTCTTCCTAAAATACACGCATTTTAACCATTTACATCTTCTTTCACTTCTTTTAATTACAATGAAACGAAATCTTATCATCCTTTTTCCTCATTGTCATTTATCTTTGAAATCTACATATATTTCTGGGTTTTTTTTTGAGACAAGAAGATCTTAAAGAAGAGTCAGGCAAATAAGTAATTGCATTGCTTTCTATATTGTGTATTTGTGAATTGGCAGTGATTTCTGTTTTTTTTTCATAACCTGAGTTTAATTTTCCCTTAGTGAATTTTTATTTACGTCTTTAATATTTGCTTAGTTTTATCACAGAAAATATTGCTTTTAAGTAAAATCCAACCTGTTTGAGAACTCTCAGAAATGTTTGGTCTTGCATGAACAGAAGAAGAAAACCATGTAGAACGGTTTTGAAACTACAACATTTGTGCTGTGTTGCTCCACAAAGAAAGAAATAGGCGTTTTAGAGCCAAAATAGTAACATAATACAAATAAAACTGTGAGTCACAAAAGAATCAAATAAGAAAATTAGAATAAATATTTTAGTATAAGAAAACAATATAATCGAGCTGTAGATAATCCAAATGTGTGTGCTCAAATAAATTATTTAGTGCACTTTGAATGTGAAATAAACATTACTTTGTTAAAAAATGTCACTTTTCTATTTAGGCAAACATCTTGATGTTAAGTGTAAATGGAAGATATCAAAAATTATGCCCCATATTATGAATGCACAATAATATGATATCCATAATTTGAACAATTCTGAGTTTGTGTACTGCCTACATCAAAACATTCACTGGGAGTCCAGAGCTAAAACTAAATTTTCCTGATTAGTCAATGGTGTTCAAGAGTATCAATCAGCAATGATGGACTATTTTAAAATATATACAAGTTTAAATAATTTTGGCTGAATATGCCACATTTTGCCTAAACAAATATTAAATTGTTGCTTACAACTATGAGAAAAACAATACAAAACAGCCATCCAAATCATCAGCTCCATGTCCATTTTCTAGCATTAAAAAAGGAAAAGAAATATAAAAGCAAAAGAAAAAAAAATACTATGTTGAAGAAAAGACTAGAAGTATTCAGATTTTTGTTTTAAAAAGCATATTGATTTCTTATTTATCTAGTTATTATGGTCAGCCGTTTAAATGGTTTCATCTACCACTAATAACCCTATTTTCTCTTTAATGTCAAGACTAAGTCACAAGAATTGGGTTCCGCCTTTTTTTTTTTTTTTTTTTTTCGATACGGAGTCTCACTCTGTAGCCTAGGCTGGAGGGCAGTGGCACAATTTTGGCTTACTGCAACCTCCACCTCCTGGGTTCAAACAATTCTCCCGCCTCGGCCTCCTGAGTAGCTGGGATTACAGGCATGCACCACCCACCCGGCTAATTTTTGTATTTTCAGTAGAGATGGGGTTTCACCATGTTGGTCAGGCTGGTCTCGAACTCCTGATCTCAAGTGATCAGCCCACCTTGGCCTCCCAAACTGCTGAGATTACAGACATGAGACACTGCGCTGGGCCGGTTTTGGCATTTTACCAATAGAACTTTCTACCATGAATTTCAGTGTTTTGAAAATGTGAAAAAAGTGGAATACAAGAAGATACCACAGATAATTGTACGGCCTCAGGCAAAATATTATTCATTTTTAGGATAAGCATGAATAATTTAAGATGATAATCTGGTTAAGAGCTCAAATTAGAAGATGTGAATTTGAGGGTAGGTATTATTAAATGATAAAAGATAATATATTAATCTCAATATGAAATTAACCCTCAGCCCTTCCCACTCCCTTAACATCCCTCAACAGTCAATAGTAAACTAGTAAAATAGTATTTTAATCCCAAACAACAACAAAAGAAACTAACGCTGTGTTTTCTACTCCTCCTACAGCATTTCTCCAGGTACCTCGAATAACTAAAAATTCACCTCTAGAATTCTATCCCAATAGAAATGCCTCTTAAAAGAAACACTTAGAAGCACTCTGAGCCCCACCTCCTTACACCCTCCAAAAATAGAATGCAAAGTCAAAGAGGTAATGGAGTTTAATGTGAGGCCATTTGCAAGGATAGATGTGGGTAGGTTTAAGGAAAAAGAGTCATAGCCACTCCCACAGCTCTAGTTGTGGGTATAGTGACCCTAAAAAGAGTAGCCAGCCTCAAATTGTGTCCAGACAGGTGGAAGAATATTCTAATGTCCCTCTCCTTCCGACCGCTGATCTGTTCAACTCAAGCGGAAGCCATGGGGTAAGGGAGCCGGAGTAATGTAGTGCATAGAGATCTGCCTCTGCTGAAAACAGTGGAACCGAGATGGATGGAGTAAGGAAGACAGAGAGAAAAAGAGGATTCAATATGATGAGATGTGAATGTGGTTCTACCACTCAGGAATGACATGGAAATTTTTAGTCTCTAGCCTTCAAAAAATCTTGTCAAAATTAAAATAATTGCAATGGTAGTAACTGTATTTAATAGGACAATTCTTAACTATTTCTAAGTTTGCTTTTTTTCCTCTCAAATAGTAACTCGATTGCTGCTTCAGTAGTACCTAACATAATATACTTAATAAATAATGGCTGGGCAGAATAATAGGAAACCAGCTAAAGACCAGGAACAGCGGTTCCGAACAGAACTAGAATCAGCTGCTTTTACCACCAGGCAATTAAAATAGACAAAGGAAAGTTTGAGACACTCACATATACACATCTAATTTGATTTTTATTTTCACAATATAATTTGTCATTCTATTGGTCTCTATTCTTCAACAGAGTTTATGATGCTTATTCTAGGAAAAATTAATAAGTATGTTTCTGGCCTGTGCCAAAGGCTTTTTTTTATATTATGTCATTTAATCTTACAACAACCCCGTAAGGTATGTTCTGTTTTCCTGTTTTTCACAGGAGAAAGGAAAACTCAGAACTATTTTGTTAACTATGCAAGATCACATAGCAAATAAAATTTGTTTATTTTAACCAAGTCTTCCTGAATCCGAGGTCCACGTTCCTGATCATCGTACAATACTAGCTTCTTATCATAACCAGAAATATAAAGAAACATAATTTTAAGCATCTTCTTCTTACACATGTTCAAACATACACACCCCAAAACAAAAAGAACTTCCTTTATTGTATTAGTTGTAGGCATACATTTAGTCTTGAAAATAAACATTGAGAATTCTCAAGATATACTTACCACTGCTTTCCTTAAGCCATTTGTTAACATCTCTCATCCTATCAGGATTCTGTCTCCTGAAATCTCCTCTGCTGTGGTCTTTGTTTTGTCACATCTTTCCTTCTTAGGAAATTAAAATAAATACTTGTCCACATTGACCGTATCTGCTTCACTATGGCCCTTAGACATAACTTTTTATTTGATGAGTACAGAAATTAGGTCTTCCTCTAACTTTTCTGTGTTGTTATTCAAATTTATTATCTTCTAAATTCATATCTATGCTATTCCCCCTTTCTATCCTACAGCATTTGCATATTCTGCTCTTTGCTCTTCTCAACACAAAAGTACATAGTGATTTCTTTCTCATTCTATCTGTGCTCTGTTTCTGATTAGCTCTTTGAGTAGGGCCCTTTCTGACTATCAATATTTTTTCAATATCTTCTCACTATTTACATTTATTAAATCTCACATTATATTCCACTGCCATTTGATATTTTCTTGAGTTGTTAATAAGTAGAACCTTTTTGATATTATATATTTTAAATACAGTGTATTTTTCAAGAGCATGGAAGAAAAAAGTAAGCTTAATTCAAGTTGTTAATATTCAATCACCCAACAAATGTTTATTAAGCACTGATTACATACCCAGCACTCCTGTAGGATCTAGACATGTGAGAAATGAATAAGCAATCAAAATCTCTACACTCACAGAGATCAAATTCTAGTCAGGAGAAAAAGAATAACAGAGAATTAATAAGCATATAAATAAACTCTATATCATACAACAGGTGCTATAAATAAAATAAGCTGGAAGAGGGTATAGGGAGGGTTAAGGTGATGATACAGCTTTTTAAAAAGTGGCAGAGAAACATCTTTGAGAGGATAACATTTGAATAATGGTCTGAGAATGGTGAAGCTGTGTGGGTTAAGAGAAAGAGAGAATATAATCCTGGGAAAGGTGCTCCTAGAAGAGAGAAGAACAAGTACAAAGACCCTTGGGTAGAAGCAGGCTGCTGTGTGCTTACATAGCACATCAAGGAAGCCTGCATGGCTAGAGACAAGTGGGTTGAGAGGGATAATAACTTGCAGCCTCCTAAGTCATTTTAAGGACTCTGGCTAGTACACTGAACAACAGAGGAAGGCTTGGAAGGGTTGGGAAAGAGCACCAATAGCTCATTTAATATGAGTAGTCTTTAGAATTATATTTAGCATCCAATTCCATTAGACAGGGATTTTGTTGTAAGTCTCTAACAGAGTCTTAAAGCCAAGTGTTTGTAAGAAAGTGACACACTAAATTATAAATATTGTCAATATTTTGATTAACTTTACTGTAGACTGTACTGATCTTAAAGTGTTTGCCCAATACCAAGTTCTTGTCTTTGGGGTACTGTTATGTTTAAACTATTTATTCAGGAAGATGATTAAATATGATTCTGTGTTATTGTATTGCTGTGTGTGGTGTGCCTCTTATACGTGTAAGGATTTATATATTCTGTTCATAACCATATTGCCAGGAGCCACTACACATTACTATAGTGCTTGCAAACCCAACTTGATAGGAATTTTACACAGACTAATGGCAATCTGGTAATTCATTAAAAAGAAAGCAGCTCAAATAAATAAAACATTGGAAATGCCCAGAGGTACAGTGGCTACTGCAGAATGAGATTTGTATGTGTCTCATGAATGTAAAAACACCCTAGAAAGTGATGATCCACATTTGCTCTGTTATTATCTTAAGTAGAGAAATCTTTCTATAGCCATGTTGCTCTCAAAAAGGCAGTTTTCCCATTTTATACTTTCGCATACGTATTTTTTCCGCTGTAAATAACCAAATTTAATAATAACATTTTATTGATTATATCAGAAAATATTATCTTCAATGGGAAGTTGTTCCAGAAAAACAGATAAAGATTAACCAAAAATAATTAAACTCATTCATTTACAACCATCCTTGGGGCAGTTAATTGCAATAGATACAGTTACTTATGTATTCTTTTCAGAATAGTCATAATTTTGCTATTTAATACTGTATTATAACATGTGCCACTTGCCCATCTTAATATTTTGACAACATACACCTAGATTTTGGTATGTTGTTTTTAACTTCACAAATGCTTCACTTTCAAACCTCTATTAGTCTGTGATTTAGGGCTCATAACTTTCATAGTTTGTAATAGAGTGGGAGAGAGTCTTTACTTTTGATAATATCACTCCCCTTAAGGCATTTTCATGATGATTGCTGTGTATGACAAATGGTCATACTCCATTTGGTCCCTGAATTAAACAGAGAACATCAATCCAGGGATGGGAAGTGGGGGGTTTACAGGCAGGTTATTTCAATACTGCTTAATGTATGTACATGGCCCAACTGAAGTGGAAACTCTTAATATTTTCATAAAAAGGAATTAGACTTACTAATCTGAGTGCAGGGACGTAGCATGATGAGGCACTGACACCTTTCATTCTTCATCTCCTACCCTTGGTCCCAGCGCTGGCTAACCTTACAGCTTCACATCCTTCTGGAAATTTAAAGGACTGGTGATGGATGGTGGTAATGTTAATGCTTCCATTTGTCCTGTGGTCTTTTGGTTGCTTGTTCAATAAGAGGAAAGCAAGTGAGTGGGAGTTAGGTCCAACCAAGCATTCAGATAAATCATATGCTCCCTCTTTAGTCCAGTCCTACTAATGCTTACTTATTCATCAGAAAAGGCATTCTCTGCTCTATCCCCCTGCCAAGAATATTACATTAGAAATAAAGACTTAATTATTATGAACTTATTTACTTCTGAAAGCCAATCATTAGAAGTGAGGTCTAATTATTATTGACTCAAACACATTGTTTTGCTACTTAATACTATTTTGTAGTGAACCATACCAGGCATTGAGAAACATTTCTAGAATCTGCAGATGCTTAATGAGCACAAATTTTCATTTGCTTTTGTTATTAGTTTTAAGTACATAAAATCTTTGCTTGTTTCTTGACATACGTGGTCAAATTGATAGTGCAGGAGGCAGACAAATGTCTAGGCAGAAAGGGGCAGGTCCTTGGTAAAACCCCACCTTCAAGCCAAAAACATCCTGAAGGCTGAAAGACCGGACTACTGGTTCCAGATGAAACCTGCACCTTGGATTGAGAACTGTTTCTGTTAGTCTGCCCCTTCCTGATTGGTTCTTTCTAAATAATGCTTTATAACTATTTGACTGTTGCCTTTTCCAATACTACCTATGGCCCGCCCCTCCCCATCCTGTGCCTGTAAAAATCCAGACTCAGCCACAATGAGAGAGATGACCTGTCTTCAGGTGAGAGACCACCTTCCTATCCCCTCTCCTTGGAGGGCTTTTTGGTTGCTCAATAAAATTCTCTGTTGTCATCACTCTTCAATTGTCAGTGTGACCTCATTCTTCTTGGATGCAGGACAAGAAATTGGGATCCACCAAATGGCAGGTATTCAGAAGGCTGTAACACCATGGCCCTCTGCCCTCCACTGGTGTAAAGCAGGCACCCCATGTAACAGGAAGCAGTAGCAGGGTTTAGCCAGCCCTGGAGCACAGGCCAGAGCAGGGCAAGAGGCTGACTGAGCTGTTAACATGCCACTGTCCATAGGGCTGCAGATAGTGGGACTAAAAGAGCTAATTGGCATGGTATAACACCCTCTCTGGGGATTCAGGGTCATGGGCACCCCTGCCTGGGTGCCCCTGCATTCCCCTTGGGGCACCACACCTGGCCCAGCCACAAGCCCTACACAAAGTACACCCCTGTGCCGGCATTTGGAATGACCAGCTGGACCCCGCATTTGCTTGCTGACACACCCCCTCCCACCAAAGACTGAGTGCACAGTCGTGGTGGCTGCAGGATCTGCACCTGAGCGCAAGCCGGAAGTGACCCAGCAGGCCGAGTAGATGGTGTGTCTCCTGCCACAAGCCTGGCAAAGGGCAGAGAAAAATTCTGCATCAAAATAATCAGAAACTCTTTTGGCAATTCAAAAGAAATTATAAATTGCTTAATATGGCTTGACACTTTGTGATTTAAAATGATAATAATTGAAATACAGCCATTATTTTTATCCAATGAACCTATAACAGTGAATACATAAGTGATTCTTCTGGAATTCTGGAATTCTCTGGAGGAAACACTCCTAACAATATATACTAATATAGCTCTATTTTAGATACTACTATATTGCATTATAAAAGGATAGATATTCTAAATTTGGTGAGGTTGTTGAAATAAATATTCAGGTTTTTAGCAGTCAAATAATTTATTTTCACTTGACTTGGAAAAATAAGGAGACCCTGGGAGGTTGTCTGAAACTGAGTCAGCTAGCTGCAAACCTCTTGGAAACATTTTTGTGGAACTCGTTAGTTGGGTAAAAATAACACCAAAACAAAAAAAAGCAAATTACATAAGGAAAAGAGCTGCTTTTGTCAGCCATAGCACATACAGTGTGCTTGCAATAAAATAATAGTTATATACCTTGTTTACTTGAAGTGTGTAAATATTTTAATAATATTAGGTTTTTTCTCCTAGCATATTTCAACAGCACCATCATTGTTACATTTGTTTGCAAGTATATAGCAACATATAAATATTAATCAATATTTAATCCAATATTTTCAGTTCATCTAGTTATCGCTGTTCATCCTTTCTGTGTTTATTTGGCCTTATGCCTGAGTAATTATTATTTGAAATAAATAAATTCATTGCATAAATGGTGGTCTTATTTTTCACATGCTTTTGCTCCATTGCAACAGGATGTCTTTCGGTTCTGACCATCTTCCTTTATATTTTAAATTTCAGTAGTATTTGGTGTACAGATGATTTTTGGTTACATGGATGAATTCTTTAGTGCTGAATTCTGAGATTTTAGTGCAGTCATCACCCTAGCAGTATACACTGTACCCAATATGTAGTCTTTATTCCTCACCCCCACCCCCAGTTTCCCCTCCCGAATCCCCAAAGTCCATTACATCCCACTGTATGTTTTGGTGTCCTTATAGCTTAGTTCCCACTTGGAAATGAGACCATGTATTATTCGACTTTCCATTCCTGAATTACTTAACTTAGAATAATGGCTTCTGGCTCCATCCAAATTTCTTCAAAACACATTATTTCCCTCTTTCAAAGGCTGAGTAATATTCCATGGTGTGTATATTCCACACTTTCTTTAGCCACTCGTTGGTTGATGGACACTTAGCATGATTCCATAGTTTTGCACTTGTGAATTGTACTGCTATACACATGCATCTGCATATGTCTTTTTTATATAATGACTTCTTTTCCTTGGGTAGATATCCAATGGTGGAATTGCTGGATCTAATGGTAGATCTACTTTTAGGTCTTTAAGGAATATCCATCATGTTTTCAATAGTGGTTTTGCTAATTTACCAGCAGTATAAAAGTGTTCCCTGTTTATCACATCCATGGCAATATCTATTGTTTTTTGACTCCTAATTACGGCCATTATTGCAGGAGTAAGGTAGTATCTTATTGTGTTTTTGACTTGCATTTCCCTGATGTTTAGCGATATTCAGCATTTTTTCATGTTTGTTAGCCATTTGTATATCTTCTTTTGATAAATGTCTATTCATGTCCTTTGCCCACTGTATGATGGGGTTATTTGTTTTTTTCCTGCTGATTTGTTTGAGTTCCTTTTAGATTCTATATACTAGTTCTTTTTCTCCTATTCTTTGGGTTGTCTGTTTACTCATGATTATTTGTTTTGCTGTATAGAAGCTTTTTCATTCAATTAGGTCCCATTTATTTATTTTTGTTTTTGTTGCATTTGCTTTTGGTGATTTAGTAATGAATTCTTTGCCTAAGCCAATGTTCAGAAGAGTTTTTCCGATGTTATCTTCTAGACTTATTATAATTTCAGGCCTTAGATTTAAGTCTTTGATCCATCTTGACTTTATTTTTATATAGGGTTGGAGATGGGGATCCAGTTTCATTCTTCTACATGTGGCTTGCCAGTATTCCCAGCATTATTTATTGAATAGGGTGTCCATTCCCCAATGTATGTTTCTGTATGCTTTGTCAAAAATCAGTTGGCTTATTTGGCTTTGAGTTCTTTATTCTGGGAATTGCATTAAATCTATAAATTGTTTGGGAAAGTATGGTCATTTTCACAATATTGATTCTTCCCATCCTTGAGCATGGGATATGTTTCCGTTTGTGTCATCTATGATTTCTTTCAGCAGTATTTTGTCATTTTCCTTGCAGAGATGTTTCACCTCCTTGGTTACATATACTTTTGCAGCCATCGTAAAGGGATGGAGTTCTTGAATTGATTCTCAGCTTATTTTTGATGTATAGCAGTGCTACTGATTTGTGTACATCGATTTTGTATCCTGAGACCTTACTGAATTGTTTATCAGATCTAGGAGCTTTTTAGGTAAGTCTTTAGAGTTTTCTAGGTATATAATCTTATCATTGGTGAACAGTGAAAGTTTGACTTCCTCTTTTTCAATTTGGATACCCTTCATTTCTTTCTCTTATCTGATTGCTCTGGCTAGAACTTTCAGTACTATATTAAATAGAAGTGGTTAAAGTGGATATTAAAGAAAAGTGCTGAAAGTGAGTATCCTTGTCTTGTTCCAGTTCTCAGGGAGAATGCTTTCAACTTTTCCCCACTCAGTATAATATTACCTGTGGGCTTGTTACATATGGCTTTTATTACTTTGAGGTAAGCCCCTTCTACGCCTATTTTGTTGAAGGGTTTTGTTGTAAAGAAATGCTGGAATTTATCAACTGCTTTTTCTGTGTCTATTGAGATGATCGTATGTTTTTTGTTTTAATTTGTTTTTAAGTGATGTATCACATTTATTGACTTGCATATGTTAACCCATCCCTGCATCCCTGGTATAAAACCCACTTGATGGTGATATACTATCTTCTTGATGTGCAGTTTTATTTAGTTAGCTAGTATTTTGTTGAGGACTTTTGCATCTATGCTCATCAGGGATAGTGGTCTGCAGTTTTCTTTTTATTATGTCCTTTCCTGGTTTTGATATTAGATCAGGGAAGATTTCCTCAATTGTTTGTTCAAATAAGTTTTCCAAACTTGTAGCCTTGTCTTCTCCCTCAGGAATGCCAATCATTCTTAGGTTTGGCCTTTTCACATAATCTCATATTTCTTAGAGACTTTGTCCACTTCTTTTGATTATTTTTCTTTATCTTTGTCTAATTGGATTAATTTGAAAGCCTTGTCTTTGAGCTCTGAAAATCTTTTTTTTTTTTTTTTTTTTTTGACTCACCCTGTCGCTCAGGCTGGAGTGCAGTGGCCGGAACTTGGCTCACTGCAAGCTCCGCCTCCCGGGTTCACGCCATTCTCCTGCCTCAGCCTCCCGAGTAGCTGGCTTAGCCTCCCGAGTAGCTGGGACTGCAGGCGCCCGCCACCACGCCCAGCTAACTTTTTTTTTGTATTTTTAGTAGAGATGGGGTTTCACCGTGTTAGCCAGGATGGTCTCAATCTCCTGACCTCGTGATCTGCCCGCCTCGGCCTCCCAAAGTGCCAGGATTACAGGCGTGAGCCACCGCGCCCAGCCTGAAATTCTTTCTTCTGCTTGTTCTAATCTATCATTTAAACTTTCCACTGCATTTTGTATTTCCCTGTGTTTTTCATTTCGTTTTCATTTTCTGTTTTTTCTTTATGCTATCTCTCTGCAAAATTTTTTATTAATATCCTGAATTGTTTCCTTAATTTCTTTATGTTGATTTTCACTTTTCTCTGGTATCTCCTTAAGTAGCTTAATAATCAACCTCCTGAATTCTTTATTGGCTATTTCAACAATTTCTTATTGGTTTGGAGTCATTGCTGGAGAACTAGTGTAATATTTTAGGGGTGTTATAGAACACTGTTTTGTCATATTATCAGAATTACTTTTCTGGTTCCTTCTCATTTCGATAGATTATTTCTTCAAATTGTCTTGCCAGACTACAGTGATTGATATTGCTTTTCTGGGTCTAGCCAGATGGGGCTGCCACACCCCAGGCACTCCTAGCTAATGCTGGGGAGTATCTTCAAGGTGTCTGGTGATGTGACCTGTCTTCAAGCTTTCCAGGAGTGGGTACCAGTATAAGCACTGATGGAGGTGTCAAGGGAGTGACATACACTCTGTGAGATTCCTTGGTTGTAGATAGGCTTAGTGTCCTGGTTTTCACAAATGCTGGTTATGACTGTAGTGAACTTGTCATGTACTTCATGTCAGAAGTACTCAGGACTTCTGGTTAGTGAGGGTGTTGTATGCAGTGGCTATAGCTGAGGTTATGTATTTATTTTCTCCTTCCTGGGTGCAGTGTTATTCTACCTGGAGACATGATAATACACTGACAGTCTCCAGCCAGGAGGCAGTGCTTGCAAGAGAGCACCAGCTGTAGTAATAGCAGTGGGATTTGAGCTTGCCCCAAATTGCCCAGGGGGAAGTAATCTGGTTTCATAAGCAATGGGCAGCGCTACAAAAGCTCCCAAAAGTTTATGTCTTTTGTGTTAAGCTATCAGGGCAGTTGGCAGAGTACAACAAGGTTGGGGCAGGGTTAGCCATGACAATCTGCTTTTAAATCTTGGAGACTTTTTGTCTTAAATAGTGCGTGATAAAATATGTGTGGAGTTAAATAATACCATCAAATCAGTTTATCAAAACAGAAATTTAGAAATTATTCTTACTCTTCCTTCTTTCAACTAGTCATTACATCCTGTGGAGAGACAGTTGATTAAATAAAGACTTACTACTTTACTTCAAACCACTATTGGCTTTTACTGGGGCTACTGAGATGACCCCCATGAAGTCTCCTGCCTTCAGCGTGGCTTTCCTCTAAATATCAATCTCCTGCTTCAAATCTTTCATAGTTTTTTTTTTTTGACACGTGTGTAAAATTCAAAGCCTTTGAAATGCCACAAAGAATCTTCATAATCTGTATCTTGTGAATCTCACTTGTTCCATTCTTCATACTCAAACATTTCTTTGCTCTGATATGCAAAACCATTTATAATTCTTTTATTCATATCTCCTCATATTTGCACACATTATATTGTTCTCTCTTGATTGCCTGAACTCTACCAATATCCTTCAAGAGTTAACGCAAGTGTTAACTTTTCTAAGAGGACTTATTTGACTCAAGAATAGTTTTCAGCAAATACATTTTGAACACTTCCTTTCAAAAGTATTGCACTAGGCTGCTGAAATAAAATATTGAATGAGATAATTACCTTGCCTTTGAAAATGCCACAGGTTATTATTGACCAACTATATTCCCTTCTCTGTAGTTCCATACTATCTTATATGAACTGTGAATATTACTAGTGTCATAATATACCACGGTGGTTAACTTATGTGTCATTCTCTCCCTTTAAAAAATAAATGTCATTGGTTTAATGATTATGTCTTGTTCATCACTGTGTCTCCAAATTCTGTGAATGTCTTTACTAAATATTTATAAATGAATACAAAATGGTCCTATCCTTGGCATAACTTATTTCTAGTACTTGAGGAATGGAGATCCACTAATTTTCGTAAAGTAAAAAAGTCATATTTTCTGCTTTGTCAACACCATGATTGTAAGCTGCTAAAGTTTTAGAGCCATAACTTCTATTTCTTTTTAATCTCCTTAAATTGTCTTTGAGCTCTCCAGTTACTAGATTCTCACATGTGTTCTTAATGGATTAAAGATAACCATAATTTGAAGACACTGGTGAAAAATAAAAGGCACACATAAAAAACAATAGGCAATTTTTCCAGGTTGTAAATATTTTAACATTTTATTATTTCATGAAGATTGGCATTGTCACTGTGAGGGATATTTTATGTTCATTAAAAACAAATGCATAGCATTTGGAAGTTCTTTGATTTCATTTAAGTTTGAAATAAAAAGAAAAATCTAATATAAGGTAATAAAGATTCAAATTTCAAATATTAAAAATTAAACCACTAAAGAAACAGAGAAAGAAAATTATTGTATTTTATTATTGAATACTTAATTTTATATATTACCAGAGATTATTGTTTTTGATACTTTTTTCTTTGGGAATTTATGTTTTGAAAACTCATATAAGACACAGACTCATCAACATTAAAATTAAATTTTCTTAATATTATGCAGCAAACATAGACTTGACTAGAGTGTCATTTATTTCAGATAATTACCCCACATTTGATGCATTTTGCTTAAACATTCATGTCATTGATTTTCAAATTTTTTACTGCCACAGACATATGTGTTTACTTACAAATTTACAGGGAATACAAGGTGTTAGATAGATAAAATTACCTGAAGACTTGATGGAGGTTTTTGATCTCTATCTTCTCTATCCTCTTTTTCCACTTAGTCTCCTATGATGCCTAAGTGCTCTGCAGACAAGGCTGTAAGGGAAATGATTGGCATATTTTAATTGTGTAAGTGCCAGAAATTTATCTTGTCTTCAAATTATTATACCCTACCCCAGCCGCACTGCAATGCTCTGGTGAATGGTGAATGTTTGCTTCAGAAGTATTGAAACATACATAGTATTTAATTTCCTTCTTGCTACTAGTGTCTTGTTCTTGAGGTTTGGATTCTTTGGACTTTGCCAACCGATCACCACATTACCGCTGTTGGCTTTACTAACAGTTTTCTCTAGTCCCCTTACCTACATTTGTAATATCTGAAATCTGACCAACAGAATTTTAACCTATGACCTAGGTCTTATTTGGCATTTATCTTGCTTGTGTAGAACTGACTTCTAAATCTTTATCACTGCTGTAACAATGAGCTACCAGCAATGCTGCTCTTAGACCTGAGCTAAGGGAGGCCTTCCCCCTGGGCCCCAAACCCGAAGGAATCCTGATTTTGGAGTATCTTTAAAGTAAGCTCCCTTCAGTGGCTAGGATTGGCCATGCAAGCAGGATGTTTTCATCTCTAACTCAGCCTCATGTGGGGTCCCAATGGCCAGGACATCTACTTGAAATTTTCTAAGCCTCTTCCAATGCCTGAGACTAGCAGCGGCTGTCAGTACCTTGTACTGTTTCTCTTATTCAGCAACGAGAAGCTATGTGACTTGCCAGTTCAGTACAAAAAAATAAAAAGTGCAGTTTTTCTCTGGTGTCTTGCAGTGTTGCTCTTCAGACACCGCCTCTCAGAATGTTCATTCTCAGCACCCAGGCACCATGCTGTAAATATCCTGATCTTCAGGGGAAAGCCATGTGGAGATCCACTGAACCCAGACTGTGAGTCATGTCAGACTAGGAACAAGGCATAAGGAGAGGAAAGAATTCTGCAAATTACTCCTGCCTCCAGCAGATTGATCACTCCTAGACTTTCAGTCATTTCAGCTGAGACCCAGGGTATCTTGATGAAAAGAACATACCATCCCCTTTCTGAAGATAAGGAACTAAATTTTGGGACAGTTTGTTACTCAGACATGGTTAGTCAGGAGAGAATGTGGTTCCTGGAAGAAGATTCTTTTCATGGTCATACCTAAAATATGTGGCATTGGTTTGGGGACCAGGTAGTAAACAGAAGCCTGATAGGCCTCAAGGAATACAGGGGTGAAGACTTACAGGAAAAGCTTACTTGTAGCTAGAGGAAAAGGGATATATTTCACGTAGTGGCAGTGTTGCTGCTTGTAGTGATATGGATTATGCAAAATGCACCTAATGAGTTGCATGATATAGCTAAAGAGGCTAAGGGCTCAGTGTTAAAGGTGCTGACTGGCTTTTTCTATTTGCTTACAATAAATTATGAGAGGAGAGAGATAAACTAAAAAAATTAACTAGTCAGGTTTAAAGTAGAATTTTAAGAAAATATTGATGACTTTGGGAATGTGTTTTCATAACAGCAACGTATTCTCAAAGAAAGAGCCTAATCCCTTAGCGTGTTTACTAGCCAAAACGTACTGTATCACATTGTAAGTTGCTTTAAAGTTTGTATTTTCTATTAATTTTGCTGCATGGTGTATTCCTGATCATGTAAAATTGTCTAATGGTTACTATAAAATTAGGGGCTGTCCAAACAAAACTTAAAATCCTAAAACTTTCTCTCCAATGTATGATAATTCTTGGCTACACTAGTAAACAGTTTGACATGTGTTTAAACATAATTCAATTTTTTTATCACATTGTCTTTTCTTAAAGGTATGTCTAATGAAGTGTGTGACTGTATAATAGAGGAGACAGTATTTGATTTTTAATTTTTATGTTAAATGGTTTCCACTGTTGTATGCCCATTTGAGTTTTTACAATAAAAGACAAATATAAAAAAAAAAAAAAAAAAAAAAGAAAGCGTCTCAGAGCAAAGATCAAGTCTTGGGCGCTGTCAGAAGAACCTGGTCTCATGGTAAAGACTAAGACAAGAGTATGATTGTCAAATTCCTTATTTTCCTTGTAGATTGATTTAAATTGGTATGTCATAGCACTTCTCAGTTATACAAAAAGCTTTATGCATTTTAAGAGTGTGCCTCAGAGATTTTTAAAAAATTGGGCTTTTAGGAATCTTCTCTTTTTCTTTGGCAGTCATATTCTCTTTTTCTCCTAAAATTTTAGAAGTGTTTGTTCAAAACATACATAAGCAGCTTTCTTTCCTATTCCCATTCATTAATTTAACATGCTATTTTATGTGTGCATCTTTATTGGAATATAATTCATCAACAGAGCTGCTTTTTATAGAGTCTACAATTTGATTAGTTTTAACACATGTATGCAACTGTAACATTAACAAATTCAACAAAAGGAACATGCTTATGCCTCTATCCCCTCCCCAATCTCTAGGCAAACACTGATCAGTTTTCATTTTTTTAAATAACACGTAAATGTAATCACACATTATGTATACTGTTTTGTTCATCATTTTTCACTCCAGATCAATTTTTTTGAGTTTCACCCATGTTGTGGCATGTATCACTAATTCATTACTTTTTCCTGCTAAGTAGTATTATATTGTGTAGCTATGCCACCCTTTGTTTATTCATTCCCCTCTAGATAGACTTTTGGGTTGTTTCTGGGTTTCTGCTATTGTAAGTATAGCTACTATAAACATTTGAATTCGAGTGTCTGGGATGATATATGCTTTTATTTCTCTGGTGTAAAACACCTGAAAGTGGAATGTCCAGATCATAGGGTTGATAGGTGTAGTTCAAACTTTTTAAGAAACTGCAAACTGTTTTCTAAGTTGGTATCATTTTACCTCGCAGCAGCACTGTAAGAGAGCTCCAGTTATTTCACAACCATGTCAATGACTGGTATATTCTTTTTTTTTTTCTTTTTTTTTTTTTTTTGAGACGGAGTCTCACTCTGTCGCCCAGGCTGGAGTGCAGTGGCGCGCGATCTCGGCTCTCTGCAAGCTCCGCCTCCCGGGTTCACGACATTCTCCTGTCTCAGCGTCTGGCGTAGCTGGGACTACAGGCGCCCGCCACCACGCCGGGATAATTTTTGTATTTTTAGTAGAGACGGTGTTTCACCGTGTTAGCCAGGATGGTCTCGATCTCCTGACCTCGTGATCCGCCCGCCTCGGCCTCCCAAAGTGCTGGGATTACAGGTGTGAGCCACTGCGCCCAGCCCCTGGTATATTCTTAAAAAAAAATAGCCAATCCAGTGAAATGTACAGTGATATCTCATTGTAATTTTATTTGCATTTTCCTAATGAATAGTAATGTGGAACATCATTACACATTCTTATTTCAAAAGGTGTAACTTTGGAGAAGCGCCTATGTTTCTCCTGGTTATGGGTCATCTTTTGTTAGAATAGGCAGATATCAAGACGTGAGCAAGAGGGGGAACCCCTGAGAAAAAGAGGTCAGGAAAATCTCATGCTCCAGAGACCGCTTGAAACAGTCATTCCAAATATGAGCAGAGACGAGAGGAAATACTTAGGCAGAAAGGAACCCCCCTTTAAGATATCCAGTAATCGCATACTCTGCAGCTAACCTGTCGGAATGTAGCTAGCTGCATGCTGATAAGGAAGGAAGGAGGACAAAGGAGAAATTCCTAAGAGACATGCAGCACAGTAAGCATAGATTTAACCGCTATACGACCTTCCTGGGGTTGCAGTAATGAGCAGTGCTGCAATTAAGTAGAATTTGTATCCAACACTCAGCCCGCACTAGCACATCAACTGACAGAGAGTAAGGGAGAATCCCACAAATCTGGGGCAGGAACTAGGTGGGGAAAAGGCAGGGACTTAAGGCAGAATTGGGAAACTAGACAAAGACAAAGGCAGAGACTTGAGACAGAGGCAGGAACAGTCTGACATAATAAAAACCACAATGCAGAACTCTCGGGGCTGCTGGCTCATTCTCTCTCTCTCTCTCTTTTTTTTTTTTTTTTTTTTTTTTTGAGAGGGTATCTCGCTCTGTTTCCCAGGCTGAAGTGCAGTGGCTCTATCTTGGCTCACTGCAACCTCTGCCTCCCAGGTTCAAACGATTCTTCTGCCTCAGCCTCCCCTGTAGCTGGGACTACAGGCGCCCACCACCATGCCTGGCTATTGTTTTGTATTTTTTTTAGAGACAGGATTTCACCATGTTGACCAGGCTGGTCTTGAACTCCTAACTTCATGTGATCCTCTTGCCTCGGCCTCCCAAGCTTATTCCCTTTTGAGCAGCCTGCTCTGCCTCCTCTTTCAGAATATACCGTCTCTCCTACTACTTAACCCTTGCTGCTAGTACTGCTGTTTTCCCAGGCAGACCAGCCTGGAGTTGTTTTGTATCTGGATCAGTCTGTTCCTTTCTTGAGGTGTATTCTTTCAATACGTTCTTTGCCTTTTATTTTTCTTCAATAAACCTTTGCTTACTTTACTAATTGTCTCTTGGCCGAATTCTTTCTCATGAATAAGATAAGAACCAAGTACTCCTGCACTTCTTGGTAACAATCTTTTCCTGCTTCTTGGCATGTATGATAATTATAGATTGGAAATCAGACATTATGAATTTTACATTATTAGGTGCTGAGTTTATTTCTTTAATATAGCTGGCCTTTTTCTAGTATGCAGTTACTTTACTCAGGATTTATTTGATTCTGTCTTTTCTTTAAATTTTCTTTTGAAAATTTGAATTTCTTATTTGGATATTTAATGACAATTCTTTTAACTTTTAAGGGTTGTTCTAGAATTTTATATGCATTATTAATTAATCACAGTATATTTAGAATTAATTCTGTACCATTTCACTTTGAATGTAATTATCTTGGGACAGTGAAGTTCCCTATAACCCCTTCTTTTGTGCTATATTAAAATACATATCTATTCACATTATGAAATCCACAATATATAGTTAAAATTCTTTTTACCAAAAATGTGTTTTTAAGGAAACTAAGATATTAAAAATTATCATTTTATTTATCTACATATATATCATTTCTGGTGCTGTTCATTCGTTCCTGTAGATCTGAGTTTCTAAGTGACATTATTCAGCCAGAATAATATCTGACATTTCTTGTAATTCAGGTGTGACTTCAAACAATTCTTTGAGCTCTCATTTATCTGAAAATGAAGAATTATTTTTGAAGAATATTTTCATTAGATATAAAATTTTGGTTTTACATTTTTTCACTTTCAACACGTCAAATATGTAACTTCATGATCTTTGTGTGTCATTGTTTTTGATGAGAAATGAGCCATTGTATCATTGTTTCTGTATATAATAGCTTATTTTTTTTCACTGACTACATTTAAGATTTTCTTCTTCATTTTGTTTTTAGTATTACGGTTATTCTATGCCTACTTGTGCTTTACTATGTATTTATTCTGCTTGGGTTTCACCTTAATTTTGGTTGATTTTTAAAATCAAATATGAAAATTTTTCATTTATCAGTTCTTATAGCATGTGTTCTCCATCATTCACTCTATCGTCTCCTTCTGAGATTCCAATCACACACTATTAGAACATGGTGTGTGATTCCATAGGTAATTCATGATCAATTCATACATTTTAATTATTTTTCTTCTCTCTTTCAGTTTGTATAGATTTTATTTCTATGATTTCAAGGTCATAATATTTCTTCTGCACTCCTGTAATTTGTGCTTAAGTCCAGGCCCAGGCATACCAAAAATAATGACCTCAGGTATTGCAGAATGCGTTGCACAAAAACATCAATAGATAATGTAAAGCAGAGTTGTGTTTATAATTATGGCTTAATGGCAGCTCATTTATGCTAAAAAAAAACAAGATAAAATACTCCAAATTCCTGCTGTTATCTGCTAATGAAGTAATAGAATAACTAAAGGGAGGAAAATAATCTGTAAAGTATTAACTGAATCCACAGTTTCTACTCTGCAATGGGCATTTACTTATGCAAAAATCATGTTGAACAAACACTTACCTTTCTGATGAACAACGAGAAATGGTTTTCTCACAGCTCTCATAAGATAACATTGGCAACTATTGTCTAGTGGAATATTTAGGGTCAAGGGCTTATTAGATTCTATATATACTGCAAAAATAGTTGATTTGTTTAATGTTGAAAGGAATTATATTTTCCTATAAAAATATTTTTATTGCTAAGATTTTACAACATAGCAAATTTCTTTATTTGTAAGACTAATAATAGTTTTAAAATGCTAATAGCTAAGATTTGATGCACACCTTTGTTGTGATAGATACTGCTTCAATCTAAGGAGGTGTTCCTAAAAATAATTCAATTAATTTAGCATGATATTTGTGGCTTGAACATGGGGCAGTAACAGTAGCCAACAACTCTAAGACAGTTACTCTGATGAAGTTGTTCAGAAATATATTAGCTGGCCAATTATAAGATGATTGCTCCACAATGTGTCTTTGTCTTCCTGCTGCTGCCCTGCGTATCCTAGGAAAATTAACTTTCTCAGGAGTCTTTTTATGTCTTGAATTTTTTTTTGGCTAGTGATGATGATGAGTGGAAATTCCATGCAGAGCCTCCATTCCCAAAACCATGGTCATTGTCAAGAGCTTATTAAGCAAGCACAGGGTGGTGTATTAGTATGTTTTCATGCTGCTGATAAAGACATACCCGAGACTGGGTAATTTATAAAGAAAAAGAGGTTTAATGGACTCACAGTTCCACATGGCTTGGGAGGCCTCACAATCATGGAAGAAGGTGAAAGACAAGAGAGAGAACTTGTGCAAGGAAACTCCCCCTTATAAAACCATCAGATCCCGTGAGACTTATTCACTATCATGAGAACAGCACAGGAAAGGTCTGCCCCCATGATTCAATTACCTCTCACTAGGTTCCTCCCACAACACATGGGAATTGTGGGAGCTACAATTTAAGAAGAGATTTGGGCAAAGATACAGTCAAACCATATCAGGCAGCTAGGAATAGACGTTAACTAATATGCAGTAGGCTTACCCAGTTGATTGATAATAATGTTCTACTTTCTGGATGCCATTTGGTGATAATTTGCTTAAGATATTTATGTGACTATAGTCTCATACTATTTGAGTGTTCCATAAATATAAGTCTTTTCAACACCTCCTAGTTACAATTCTCCACAGTCTTTATCTTGATAAGAGCCACTGCCCATGGAGTAGAACACTGGAACACAATTTAAAATTCCAGAAATGGCACCAGTTTTTGGGAAAAATTAGTATTCAACCAGTTGACATTTTAAACCAATGAGAAAATAAATACATAAACATATTATGTGATATCTATCTTAAATTTTGACTGCAAAAATCATATCCCTACTTACTACTTCAGCAAAACAAAAGATGTTAGCTTAATGAATTAAATATGAAAAGAAATGTATAATTTGACTAGATTTTAATGGAAGTGGATATATAAATAGCTTTTTAGTGAGGAATATTTTCATACACAATAAATTTGTTAAATATATACGATATAGCTAAAACTGTAAAACTCTTGGCACCTGACAATGAATGGCACAAATATAATCTCTGCCCTTGTAGAGATAACATTCAACAAATATAGCTAAGTTTTTTTAAAAAGAATGAAATTATTATAAATTAAAATGAGCTCTATAAAGAAACAAAAGGGAAGAGTCAAAGACAGGTGATCATGTTGTAGAATTCTCCACTTTAGAAATAATGATCAGTGAACATTGATGTGAGATAATTTCTGAGTTGAGACGTAAATGATGAGGTTTGACCACACAAGCTTAACAGGAAAGCATGATATATGAGTGGGAGTAGAATGCACAAATCTTGCAAAGTGTACCCAAAGGAGATAGGATGACTAGTGCCTAGATGAGCTAGGGAGACGACACAGAAGACGGAAAATAACAGGATTGTTAACAACTTTCATTTAGAAAAATGTAACCAAACTTAAAACCAGAGAGGAGTCTAGAATAAATTATTTACAAGTGACTATGTCAGAATAGTATCCTTCATTTATGTTTTTAAAATAAATCAGAAGAAAAACTTAATACCGTGACAGAAAAATGGGCTAAGGACATGAACTGCCAAATCATGATTTAGAAATCCATATAACCAACAAAGGTAAAACAATAAATGTGTTTAAACTCACAAAAGACTTAAATGAACTTAGCATAGGTTAAGTTTTTATTAATTATAAAATCAAATGTTCTCTTGCATTTAGTGAAAAAAATTTTATATTGTTTTGGAGGTAAAAATAATAGCAAGTTGGCAGTACATATGAATACATGAGCATATCATATCACAGATATAAAAGTTTATTCTTGTAAGATGCCTTAATAGCATGTAAAGGTATGATATGTGAGGTGTATATTTTTCTATTATTTACAAAAATAAAACAAAAAATCAAATTCAAAAATCAAAATCAACAATAACAGATTTTTAAATAATTTATTATGCACCAATTAAGTGAAAAGTATATTACAATAATATAATGACTGAATAATTGAGGTATATGTTTTGATGAAAAATCCAAGTTATTACAAAGGGAACAAATTAATTTCTTAACTTTATATATAGCACATATACTTTAATATTATAATGGAAATATGTTTCAAATGATTTACTTAAAATGTTATCACTGGTTATCTGGCACGAGTGGAATTTTTTAAAATTTTTTTTCATTATCTGCATTGTTTAATTTATATTTTTTACTTTAATCAGTATTGGTTATCTAATTTGAAATATTAAGTACGTAGTTTTAAAAATTATAGTGCTAATATAGTGATTATTTTTCATAGCTTAAATACAGTAGTCTTCCTTTGATAATCTTATAACAAGATATTATTTGTCTCTAGTTATTACAAATGTAAGAAAGAAGATATTTTTCCAAAAGTAATTTTTTTCTTCTTTTTGTAGCAATAGCCATCTAAGAGTCTCTCATTATTATACACTAAATTTCACTTGATTGAAAAAACAGTGTTAAAAATAATTTATCTATCTTTTTCCTTAATGGAAAAAATAATCACTTAGTGTTCTTTTATGTGAACTTGCTACTCTTCAAGTCATATGTAAGTATATTTTTAAATAGTAAAATCAAATGTAATTTTATATATTCAAATCTTTTATATTTTTCTCAACTTTAAAATTTTAAGCCTTTTAAAAATACATTTATATTGTATCTAGCACTTATTTTTTTAAATTGCCATTAAGCTTTTCATTTTAGAGAATAAAACATTAGTTGTCATGGTGTTACTCTTGACTTATTTAAAAATATAGTTCTCAATAACATTCTTTCACTTAAAAAATATAGCAAATTGGTACCTGGTTGAATTAACAAAGGAACCTGTGGGGGCTGAAAACGAAAATCCTATAAAAATGTGAGTAAGGTCACTGTAGTTTTTAAAATATAATATCATTAAAAGCCTATGACCATGCGTAGAATTTCTTCAAACTGTGAAAGTTCTCATGTGATACGCATAACTACCACACAAACAATAATTAAACATGGTTCCTTTGTATTCCCCATGATCTAATTCTCTTTATAGAGAATTTTGCTGAGCTTTTAATTGTATTAATGAAAAGTGTACTTGTGACCTTCATCTTACCTGATATAACATTAGACAGTTTGCCATTTCCTTTTGCTGAAGCACTTTCTTCACTAAATAGGGCAGATTGCAAAGAATTCTCACACATTTCTTGTAACTCTTTGCAAAGCAGTTTTAATTTCCAATGTGCTTTTTTCTGAACTGTGCTTGTTGCCAACTTTGACCAATAGCATATGATAGAAATGTTCTTGAGGAGTTCTGAGCATAAACCTCAGGAAACATTGCAGAGTTTGCACTCTCTGTATTGGAAACCTTCCTCCATGGAAACAATCCAAAGTTAGCCTCCAGAAGGATGGGAGACCTTGTGAGCAGAGGCCTCAGCTATGCCACTGTTACCAGATGAGATCCAGAGATATAAAGGAGCCCAGGTGATTACATGGAGTAGAAACAAGCCACTCCTGCAGAACCCAGCCTAACACATCAACCCAGACAACCATGAACAATAAGCAAACAATGGTTTGCTATTAAGCCAATATGTTTTACAGCAGTTTGTTGTAGGCCAATAGATATCTAACGCACTTGTCTTTCAGGACACCAAATCTTGGTTTTCCTCATATCTCTGTAGCCATTGCTTCTGAGTCTGTTTTGTTGATCATTCCTTATCTGTTTCTCTCTTTTGGATGAAATAGAGTTCTCTCGTTTATCACTGTCTTTATAATCAGATTTATAAAGACAAATGGCTTAAAGTCAAATGGCTTCAAATACCATCATCATGCTGACAACTACTAAATGTATATATTTAGAACTGTCGCCTAAACTCTAGGTTTATATGTCCAAATACCTGCTTATTTCCATTTATATATCTATTAGGCATCCAAATTTCATATCTCCAAAACCTTACTCCTGGTTTTCCTCTCCAAGTTCATCTTGATTGCTCATCTCAATGATTGACAAGCCTATTATACTAATTCCTCAGACCAACATCCTTAGTGTGATTCTTGCCTGCTTCTTTTGTCTCACACCCCACATCCAATCCATGAAAAAATTCTTTGTCTCTACCATAAAATTATCATACAGTATCTTGTCACTTCTCATCACTTCCAACCTACCATCCTGCTCCAAGCCACCGTTATCTCTCACCTGGATTGTTGCTATCGCCCTCTAGATGATCTCTTAACTTACTTTCTTGACACATAATCTCCTGTGTTGCTGTATTCTTCAACCTATTCAACAGAGAATTCAGTATCATTCGATTAAAACATAAGTCGGATTGTATTATAGATCTCCTTAAAACCTTCCACTAGATTACAAGGCTCTACATCATCAGTTTTCTCCCATAACCTTTTAATATAACCTATTTCTCTTATTTTCCCTGGATATACTCCATTTCACTGTTCTTTTTTGCTCTCCTAAAAATTGCCAGAAACAAATTCAGTTTGTTTTTTTCCTGCTGGAAACTTATTTCTCCTACTATAATCATGAATCACATGCTCACTTCCTTCCAATCTTTGCTTAAATGTTATTGTCTCAGCGGCGTTTCTGCTGACGACTTTATCTGAAATTACATTGCATTCCCAATTCAGACCTCTAGTATCTATTCTTTCTACTTTATTTATTTTTATGCCACTTATTACTTTCTGATCTAGTGTATGTGTGTGCGTGTGTGTGTGTGTGTGTGTGAGAGAGAGAGAGAGAAGGTATGCTATCAATTTTTTTTCTTGTTACCCTGGCTAGAATATAAGTTCTATGAGAACAGAAAGTTTTGCCTTTGTCATTCACCATTCTATTTCTAGTGCTTGGAATAGTAACTGACATATAATAGTTGTCCTGTATTTCTTTCAAATGTATTAGTTTGGTAATTTATTGAACAGCTATAAAACTCAGTTTCTTAATATGTAAAATAGGAACAATAATGTATTTACTTCAAAGAGTTACTATGAGAATTAAATGAAATGCTCTCCTTCATTTTTGATTTTTGTAATTATTGTTTTCTCTTTTTTCCTAAGTCTGTGTAGTTAACAATTTATCAATTTTGATAATCTTTTCAAAAAACCAACTTTTGGTTTTATTAATTTTATTGTTGTTTTATTTCATTGACTTCTGCTCTGATCTTTATCATTTTCTTTGACTATGTTTGCAGTAACTGCTTTAAAACCTTTGTCTGCTAAATCCAATCAAGGTTCATTTAAAGCCAGTTTAAATTGACTGTATTTCATCCTTAATACTAGTAAGAATTTCCTGCTTCTTTGCAAATCTGGTACTGTTTTATTATGAAAGGTAGACATTTAGATAATACTTTAACACCTCTGGATCCTGTTTTATTTTTCTCCCTCAGTGTACAGCTGCTGATGTCTCTGCTAGTTTTTTATTCTTATTGTAGTTTTCAGTCTGCATCACCCATGGTCAACCCTTTGCATAGTTTAGTCATCAGTTACGGCTGTGGATGGAGGTTATGCTCCAGCACCACAAGCCCACAAGGCTTTCATCTGCTAATTGGACAGGATGCGGGCTGGAATGCATGTGATGCTGTAGCCTGTTCCGAAATCTCCTTTGGAGCTCATGATTTGCAGGACCCTCTTTGATCTCTCTCATGCAAGCAGAGTTTCTGTCAGCCTGGGGACTGTGGAGAACTTACCTCACTCCTTCTATCTATGGTTCCCTCAGTTTTCAGAATCTCCCCATTAAATTTCTGGTTGGGCCGTTTCTTGCCCTGAACCAGGACCACAAACTCGATTTTTCCTGACTGTTTGTAACCAAATCTGCCACTTGTAGTTAGCAAAGCCATAGGTGTTTACATCTCTGGTCCTGGACTGAATTTTCTATGTTGGGCGCCAAAGCTGCTGTTTTATTTATTTATTTATTTATTTTTATTTATTTATTTTTTTCAGCCAGATCCAATTTGATGAAACTAAAAGTGTACACCTGTAAGTGGGGTGGGAGGGTGGAGATTGGGGGGTAATGGGGTAATCTCCAGCAAGAAGACCACTGACTCCAGTTTTTCTCAGTTTTTCCAGGATAAACATGCCTCAATTTGTTTTCTAATTTTGGTTAATTTCCAGTGTACCTGAAATATTTCTGACAAATTTTTCCTGATTTTTATATTTTATTTCTTCTGAGAGGGATTATCCAAATTGGCAACCTCTTCAGGTTACTCTTACCAGGAATGCCTCTTATTTCATTGTGAATAACTCAAATATACTACATTTTCAGAATAACCTCTAAATTATGTGCTTGAAGTCTTACATTTACATGGTAAACACAAATATGGATAATAGCCAGATTTTTAGGTGTGCAGATATTTATAATAATAGGGCTGAATGAAATTTTAAAAAATACTTGGCAATCTGCCATAGTGTCACAGAACTTGACTAAAGAATCTAAGAGCAGGAATTGTTTTTAACAAATCAATTTTCCTACTGATTTGAATTAAGCATGTACCTCTCTGAAACACATCTTTAATCATAAAAGCTTTTATGAAAATAAGTGTTTCAAAATGTGAAGCATCAGAGTATATGTCCCTATCTGAAGAGCATGTATATATGTGGCAGGAATTGTCAAATTTCTTTCTTGCTTTTTTTTTTTTTGAGATGGAGTTTTGCTTTTGTTGCCCAGGCTGAAATGCAATGGCGCGATCTCAGCTCATTGCAACTTCTGCCTCCCAGATTCAAGCAATTCTCCTGCCTCAGCCTCCTGATTAGCTGGGATTACAGACAGCTGCCACCGTGCCCAGCTAATTTTTTTTTTTTAGTAGATTTCACTTGCGTCCGTGTGAAGAGACCACCAAACAGGCTTTGTGTGAGTAATAAAGCTGTTTATTTCACCTGGGTGCAGGTGGGCTGAGTCCGAAAAGAGAGTCAGCGAAGGGAGATGGGGTGGGGCCGTTTTACAGGATTTGGGTAGGTAAAGGAAAAAGGGGGGTTGTTCTCTGGCAGGCAGGAGTGGGGGTCACAAGGTGCTCAGCAGGGGAGCTTTTGAGCCAGGATGAGCCAGGAGAAGGAATTTCACAAGATAATGCCATCAGTTAAGGTAGGAACAGGCTATTTTCATTTCTTTTGTGGTGGAATGTCATCAGTTAAGGCAGGAACTGGCCATCTGGATGTGTACGTGCAGGTCACAGGGGATATGATGGCTTAGCTTGGGCTCAGAGGCCTGACATTCCTGTCTTCTTATATTAATAAGAAAAATAAAATGAAATAGTGGTAAAGTGTTGGGACGGCAAAAATTGGGGGGATGGTATGGAGAGATAATGGGCGATGTTTCTCAGGGCTGCTTCGAGTGGGATTAGGGGCGGCGTGGGAACCTAGAGTGGGAGAGATTAAGCTGAAGGAAGATTTTGTGGTAAGGGGTGATATCGTGGGACTGTTAGAAGAAACATTTGTCATTTAGAATTATTGGTGATGGCCTGGATACGATTTTGTATGAATTGAGAAACTAAACGGAATAAGAGGAGGAGAAAAACAGGTATTAAAGGTCTAAGAATTGGGAGGACCCAGGACATCTAATTAGAGAGTGCCTAAGGAGATTCAGCATAGTCCTGCCAGCAAAGATTATTTGTTTACTTCAAGAGTTAAGAGTGGGAGTTTGGGGATAGCACCAGGAGATATCAGCTGTGATGGCTTGGAGAAACAGTGTAAACCGGCAGTGTAAACAAGAGCAGGGCATGTATGAGTAGTTGAGAACGGTGACTAGGAGTATGACTAGACAAGATAGTAGGGATGACAAGTTTTTTGGGGCACAGTCTAAGTTGGTCTGGTGTCTGGAATGAGACTGGGGCTTAATAAAAAGGAGCGTCTATACAGGAGCTCAAATGGGCTGTACCCTGTAGCATTCCGAGGACAGGCCTGAATTCTGAGAAAAGAAAGAGGTAAAAGTATTGTCTATTCCTTTTTAAGTTGGTGGCTGAGCTTGGTGAGGTGTGTTTTTAAAAGACCTTTAGTCTGTTCTACTTTTCCTGAAGACTGAGGACTGTAAGGGATATAAAGATTTCACGGAATACCAAGAGCCTGAAAAACTGCTTGGCTGATTTGACTAATAAAGGCTGGTCTGTTATCAAACTGCGTAGAGGTGGGAAGGCCAAACCGAGTAATTGTGTCTGACAGAAGGGAAGAAATGACCGTGGTGGCCTTCTTAGACCCTGTGGGAAAGGCCTCTACCTATCCAGTGAAAGTGTCTATCTAGACCAAGAGGTATTTTAGTTTCCTGACTTGGGGCATGTTGAGTAAAGCTAATTTGCCAGTCCTAGGCGGGGGCAAATCCTTGAGCTTGATGTGTAGGGAAGGGAGGGGGCCTGAATAATCTCTGAGAAGTAGTAGAGTAGCAGATGGAACACTGAGAAGTTATTTCCTTGAGGATAGATTTCCACGATGGAAAGGAAATGAGAGGTTCTGAGAGGCGGGCTAGTGGCTTGTACTGTAGCATAGCCTGCCTTTGCTGGTGTGTGGCGATTAGGCCTGGTGGGACTTCCATCAATAAACCAAGTGTGATCAGGGTGAGAAACAGGGAAGAAGGAAATATGGGGAAATGGGGTGAACGTTAGGTGGATCAGAGAGATGCAGTCATGAGGGTCAGGTGTGGTATCAGGAATAATGTGGGAGGCTGGATTGAAGTCCAGGCCAGGAACAATGGTAACTGTGGGAGACTCAACAAAGAGTGAGTACAGCTGAAGGAGCCGGGAAGCAGAAAGTATATGCATCAGGTGTGAGGAAGAAAATAGATTTTGGAAACTGAGAGCTGTAGAGGGTGAGTTGAGCATAGTTTATGATTTTAAGGGCCTCTAAAAATATTAGGGTGGCAGCAGCCGCTGCAGGAGACATGATGGCCAGCCTAAAACAGTAAGGTCAAGTTGTTTGGACAAAAAGCCTACAGGACGCGATCCTGGTCCCTGTGTAAGAATTCCGACTCCACAGCCCTGCACTTCGGCTGTGTGTAATGAAAAGGGTTGGGATGAGTCAGGGAGAGCTAGAGTGGGGGCAGTCTCTAAAGCTGTCTTCAAGGAACGGAAAGAGGAGTGGGGAAAGGATTTAGGATCTATGGGGTCAGCTAGGTTTCCTTTTGTGAATTTATATAATGGTTTTGTTAGGATGGCAAAACCAGGTATCCAAAGGCGAAAGTATCCAACCATGCCCAGGAAGGAAAGGAGTTGTTGTTTTGTAGAAGGGATTGAGGTTTGGGAGATTAGCCAGACACGATCAGCAGGGAGAGCACATGTGTTTTTATGAGAATTATGCTGAGATAGGTAACAGATGAGGAAGAAATTTGGGCTTGACTGAAGTAATGGGGGCTGTCTGTGAAGCTTTGCGCCAGTACAGCCCAGGTAATTTGCTGAGCTTGATGGGTGTCAGGGTCAGTCCAGGTGAAAGCAAAGAGAGGCTGGGATGAAGGGTGCAAAGGAATAGTAAAGAAAGCATGTTTAAGATCCAGAACAGAATAATGGATTGTGGAGGCAGGTATTGAGGATAGGAGAGTATATGGTGTTTGGCACCATGGGATGGATAGACAAAACAATTTGGTTGATAAGGCATAGATCCTGAACTAACTTGTAAGGCTTGTCTGGTTTTAGGACAGGTAAAATGGTGGAATTGTAAGGAGAGTTTATAGGCTTTAAAAGGCCATGCTGTAGCAGTCGAGTGATAACAGGCTTTAATCCTTTCAAAGCATGCTGTGGGATGGGATATTGGCATTGAGCGGGGTAAGGGTGATTAGGCTTTAATGAGATGGTAAGGGGTGCATGATCGGTCGCCAAGGAGGGAGTAGAGGTATCTTATACTTGTGGGTTAAGGTAGGGGGATACAAGAGGAGGACGCAAAGGAGGCTTTGGATTGGGAAGAAGGGCGGCAATGAGATGTAGCTGTAATCCAGGAATAGTCAGGGAAGCAGATAATTTAGTTAAAGTGTCTCAGCCTAATAAGGGAACTGGGCAGGTGGGGATAACTAAAAAGGAGTGCTTAAAAGAGTGTTGTCTAAGTTGGCACCAGAGTTGGGGAGTTTTAAGAGGTTTAGAAGCCTGGCTGTCAATACCCACAACAGTTATGGAGGCAAGGGAAACAGGCCTTTGAAAAGAAGGTAATGTGGAGTGGGTAGCCTCCGTATTGATTAAGAAGGGGACGGACTTACCCTCCACTGTGAGAGTTACCTAAACCTTGGCATCTGTGATGGTCTACAGGGCTTCCGAGGCGATCGGGCAGCGTCAGTCTTCAGCCGCTAAGCCGAGAAGATCTGGGAAGGAGTCAGTCAGAGAGCCTTGGGCCAGAGTTCCAGGGGCTCTGGGAGTGGCTGCCAGGTGAGTTGAACAGTCCGATTTCCAGTGGGGTCCCACACAGATGGGACATGGCTTAGGAGGAATCCCGGGCTGCGGGCATTCCTTGGCCTGGTGGCCAGATTTCTGGCACTTGTAGCAAGCTCCTGGGGGAGGTGGTTCTGGAGGAATGTGTGGCCACTGCGGTTTAGGCATTTGGAAGTTCTTGTGTACTGGAGATGTGGCTGGGGTTTGTCTCACAGTGGAGGCAAGGAATTGCAACTCAGAAATATGTTGCTACTTGGCTGCCTCTACTCTATTATTGTACACCTTGAAGGTGAGGTTAATTAAATCCTGTTGTGCGGTTTGAGGGCTGGAATTTAAATTTTGGAGTTTTATTTAATGTTGGGAGCAGATTGGGTAATAAAATGTATATTGAGAATAAGACGGCCTTTTGACCTTTTAGGGTCTAGGGCTGTCAAGTGTCTCAGGGTTGCTGCCAAATGAGTCATGAACTGGGCTGGATTTTTATATTTGATGAATAAGAGCCTAAATGCTATCTGATTTGGGATAAAGAAAAAGGAGCATTAACCTTGACTATGCCTTTAGCTCCAGCCACCTTTTTAAGAGTAAATTGCTGGGCAGGTGGGGGAGGGCTAGTCACAGAACAAAACTGAAAGCCGGACGGGGTGTGAGGAAGGGAGGTGATAGAAGGATTATAGGGTGGAGGAGAGGAGGCCAAGGAAGAATTAGGACCTAGCTCGGCCTGGCGAGGAGAGGAGAGGTCAGATGGGTCTGTAGAAAAGGAAGATTAGAAAGACTCAGTGAAGCTTGGGGTTGGGACTGAGGGGACTGGTGGGAGGGAAAGAAGGAAGATTTGGGATGAGTTACATTGGGAACAGAGACTAGGGAGGGACCGATGTGTAAAAGAATGCCTGGACGTCAGGCACCTCAGACCGTTTGCCTATTTGACAACAAGAATTATTTAGATCTTGTAGGATAGAACAATTGAAAGTGCCGTTTTCTGGCTATTTGGAACAACTGTCAGGTTTGTATTGGGGTCAAGTGGCATTGCAGAAGAAAAAAGACACTTAGATTTTAGGTCAGGTGAGAGTTGAAGAGGTTTTAAGTTCTTAAGAACATAGGCTAAGGGAGAAGAAGGAGGAATGGAAGGTGGAATCTTGCCCATAGTGAAGGAGGCAAGCCCAGAGAAAAGAGACTAGAGACACGGAGAAGGCGTGGGGGGTTCTTGCCCTCCAGAAAAGCAGATAAGGGGTCGGGGCATGGAAATAGGGATCAGGGCTCAGAGATAAGAGGTCGGGGTGTGGAAATAAGAGATTGGGGTGCAGAGATAAGTGGCCGGGGTTCCTGCCCCTACCCCAGAAAAGCAGGACTTGCTGCTAAGGGTGAAGGACCAAGGCAGGTGTCCCTGCGTGGTCTGACACCTCTGAAACCTGGGTAAATAATCAGAGAGTCGTCCCTGCAATGATTAAACACCAAGGGAAGGCTGCCTTCCCAGTCCGTGACCGGCGCTGGAGTTTTGGGTCCACGGATAAAATGTGTCTCCTTTGTCTCTACCAGAAAATGAAAGGAATTGAAATTAAGAGAAGGGAGAGATTGAAGTGTGGCGCCAAGATTGAAAGGAGAAAGAGGTTGAGGGATAGTGAGAGAGGTTGGAGAAGAGAGTAAAAAGAGGCCGCTTACCTGATTTAAAATTGGTGAGATGTTCCTTGGGCTGGTTGGTCTGAGGACCAGAGGTCGTAGGTGGATCTTTCTCATGGAGCAAAGAGCAGGAGGACAGGGGATTGATCTCCCAAGGGAGGTCCCCCGATCCGAGTCACTGCACCAAATTTCACTTCCATCCTTGTGAAGAGACCAGCAAACAGGCTTTGTGTGAGCAATAAAACTGTTTATTTCACCTGGGTGCAGGTGGGCTGAGTCTGAAAAGAGTTAGTGAAGGGAGATGGGGTGGGGCCGTTTTATAGGATTTGGGTAGGTAAAGGAAAAAGGGGGGTTGTTCTCTGGCAGGCAGGAGTGGAGGTCACAAGGTGCTCAGTAGGGGAGCTTTTGAGCCAGGATGAGCCAGGAGAAGGAATTTCACAAGATAACGCCATCAGTTAAGGCAGGAACAGGCTATTTTCATTTCTTTTGTGGTGGAATGTCATCAGTTAAGGCAGGAACTGGCCATCTGGATGTGTACGTGCAGGTCACAAGGGATATGATGGCTTAGCTTGGGCTCAGAGGCCTGACAAGTAGAGATGGGGTTTAACTATGTTGGCCAGGCTGGTCTTGAACCCCTGACCTCAGGCAATCCACCCGCCTCGGCCTCCCAAAGTGCTGGGATTAGAGGTGTGAGCCACCGCCCCGGCCCTGTATTGTCAAATTTCTACTGAATTGCTTCCTTCTTGTTTGACTATGTATCTGGCACTTTGCTCCAACTGAATAATACAGGGTAGAAAAAGCAAAGACTAAAAATTGCTTTTTCTTGGCTGAGCCAGAAATAATTTTAAGAATTGAAGTGAATGAATTTGTAGAACTCAATGATTCTTAACCATTCTCTCCTTCCCTACACCTTTCCATCTCTTCAGTTCCCAGGAACAGAAAACAAAGAAATAATCCAAAAGAGTGGGTGGAGTCCTAGCTCTGTCCATGTGGCTTTTCCACTGCTGTTTAGTCATGCCTGGGCTTTCCTTCCATGAGCAGGCATTGAAGGGACCACCAACTGGTGCTCAGGAAGTTTGATGAAACTGTGGAAACAGTTGCCACACAGGTGTTGCCTCTTCTGACTGTAAGCTGATTTCTTTTCTGGTGTTCACCCAGAGGAAAGCATTGTGAAATCATTTCTTTGGGTCATCTTAAGTAATTTATAAAGCCGTGTTTGACTAGTAATAATTCTGGGATTTTAATGAAGTGGATAAATTCAGTGAATAGTCAGAAGTCAGTGAGCAGAAAGGCATACTTTTCCTTCCCATGCGGTTGCCAAGGAACGCTTTTCCGTGGAGTAAGAAATGATGGCCTTTCAATGCTTGTCCTTCCCACTGATGCTTTTCACTATGTTACCGATTTGAAAGACCAAGTTTTTTTCTTTGTTTTCAGTTTTTCTCATAAAAGAAAAGAAGGAATCAGGTTTTACCTTCAATAAGTAAGAAAACCCCTATCTCATTACTTTCTACTTTTCAGTAAGTCCCTAAAATGGTGATGGCTTTTCAAATTTCTCTAAGAAAAGTAATGTTTATGCCGTTCTTTACTCTTCACCAATCCTTTGACTTTCTCCCCTTAACATCTAGACAACTGGACACCTTAGGACTGTGTAACTTGGTAACCTTACGGTGAGCTCATAAGGCTGATTTTAAGTTTTCTCAACAATGATCTGAAGTCACTTATCAATATACTAGTTCTTCTTCCTAATGAGTCAATTCTTTTCAAATTTCCAACATTTAAGTAAGCCCAACATGAAAATCAAGACTGTATTGATTTTAAAATGTGAATACTAAACTCTCTTTTCCTTTCATTTAAATTATAGAAAAATTGTGCCACAAAGAAAGAGCCAATCATGCATTTGATGGAAGTTATCATTTGAAATTAATTTAGTTTGTTTGTCAGGCACACCCCTTCTGCATAGTCACTACTTTATCATCTTGGGAAAAATTATCTTTCTCTTTTGTCTAAATAGAAAAATAATGGTGTTGATTCACATCACAGGATAAATTTCATTTCCAAGTAAATAATGTGCAATAATTACAGTGCACATATAGATTTTTTTTGGTCTCAGCCAAGAAGCACTGAGAACAGGAAATCATATCATTTATCACTTTCTGATATGAAAGATTGTTTTCTCCCCGTGGCTGCTGCTTGTTTACAGTTAGTAACAGCAGGTGGGGAGGAAGAAGCAACTCACTGCTTGCTTTGCTTCAAAGTGATTTATCCAATTCTTAGCAATACAGACAATATATATGATGGATGTGCTGTTTAATTAGACTGTTGTAAAAGCTGTAATTACATCTACTAAGTGCACTTGTATGTCTGTGTACATAAGCAATTTCAAAGAATGTCATTTATACTCCACCAGGCATTGTCTGGGCTTTTGGAATTGGTTTTAGGGTATACGTGTGTGTCTTCTGGGTTTTTATTTTGTAATCAATAACGACTTCTAAATAAAAGGATCTATTCAGAAATATCCTTTGAAAATACAGAAGATAAGAAAAATATAAGAGATCTTTTAGTATGAACTTTTGGGACACAAACATTATCAGTTCTACAATTTACATTAAGCCACGTAAGAACATCCATTTTGAACATTTAAAAAAAAGTCTGATAATCCAGTCTGTTGAAGAGCTTATACAGGCATTAGCAGTGAAGTCTACAGAAGTAATAGTGTTCACCATATTCAATTTAGACTAACATTTGTGTCATGTTCATACCCTCTTTGTGATCCATTAGTAAAATGGCTTTGCCTTATTACATGGTGTAAAAGTGATTTATTTTAAGGTTGCTATTAGACTTTGGACTCATGCTGCATCTTCAGCTATTAGAGAGCTATTGTAGCCAATACAAATGCATTCTACATCTGAAGCCGATGAAAAACATTTGCCAAAAGGCAAAAGAAAATTGACTTGAACAGCTCAGAGATTCTATGTAAATGAGCTGCTGTTCTTTTATTGTTTTTGTTTTCAAATTTTCCTTTTTATTACAATCTATTAATAGTACAGGTAGGCAAATTATATGTGCAGTATTTTCAAACTTTATTCCTAGAAAATTATAAATTTACTACTTGCATACAAACTATTTTTAAATGGAAATATTTTTATTTAATAGGGCTAAATAATGTTATTTACTTAAAAAATATAAACAAACAAGAAATTCTAAAGAAGTGACACCCTTCCTCTGCCTAACTTATATCACCTATATTATTAGATATATATATATCTAATATATATATTAGATAAACCTAACTTATATCACCTATATTATTAACTCTTTTATGTTGGCCTCTGTCTCCACTCCACGTCACTTCCTCCCAAGACTTTGCACCCTATGTTGTAAACCATGCCCGGCCTACATTAGACTTTTTGAAACCCCCAGTGAGGAAGAGTTAAAGTCAAATTTTTGGCAATTGTTATGTGATTAGGAACGTAAGGACAAAGTAGGACAAAGTTTTGAAATGCCAGTAGATCAACCTGATTTACTCTGTTGCACATGTGAATAATTGTTGAAGTTGTAAAAATTGATTGCAGCTCCCTCCTCTCTAATTAATATTTTACTGAGTTTAAGTTTCTTCACTCTAAACATTATTAAAAGTAGAACAGTCTGATAGCAAAACAGAGGAAGTAGATGAACCTAACAAACTTCATTCTTCCATATTCCAGGACTCAGCCACCATCATTCCTCATAGGTACTGAAGTCCAGTTTGAGAAATGATCAGCTACATTGACAAAATGTTTTAAATAGCTAATAAATATCTATTTATTTTTCATATCTTAATTTGATTTTGTGGGATTGTTTCATACACATAAACTTGAGTTTGAAATAGCTTTATGAAAATTAAAACCACATCCAAACATGTTCTTGAAATTCAAAGACTTTTGAAAACGAGAAGATACCTTATTGTTTGAGACACGTTTTCTTATTTCCTAAGTATTTTCTTAAGAATCAAATAAGAACTAAGACATTTTTGGATGTACGTTTCACTAAATACAAATTTTCAACAATAATTAACAATAAAACATTTATAAATCTCCTTATTTACATTTAGTTTATAAGCTCATAGTCAATCTATGTAGCAAAGCAGCATGACTTAATGGTTAAGAAGGTGGATTTTGGAGCCAAATTTCCTCAGCTCAAATTTTTATTCTGAGACTTATTACCTGTGTGACCTTGAGCAACTTGAGCTTCCTGAGATTATATTTCAATTTAAGAAATGGGAATAAAAAAGATCTATTTCATACATTCATATATTAGTCATAGTACACATTTTATAAATGATATCTTGTATTACAAGAAGAAATGCTATTATCAGACATATAATTCTCAAAATGATATTCACATCTTTGCTCTCTTGTAATTTCTAACTTTAAGGGCTTTGGACTGCTTTAGATGATATTTCTAGTATTTGTTGAGTGTCTTCTTGAGCCAGGCACTGTCATAGGTGGGAAGAAAGCACGGTAACTAAAATAGAAAAAAACAAATTTCTTTTTGATGAATTAATGACTACAATGACTCACGTACTAGTTGACAACGGAGTATAAGTTGAGGGAAGCTACCATTTCTCTCAGGTCTCGTAGCAGAGGCCAAATTGCTTAGCAGAGAATCTTCCACATAGTAATTGTTCATTAAGAATTAGTTGTTATTATTTACTGTGCATCTCTTCTGAGTCTTATTTAAAGATGATATTTCTGTAATTCAGAGTAAATGTCCTAGCTATGCTAACCTAGCTATACTAGCTATAACCTAGTAATGTAGCTATACTGAAGTCAGACTTTTTTTTTTCTTTTTAGTCTAATATATAAAGGAGTGATATAAATGTGACCTTTCTTCCCTTCCTCCCTCTAGTTGCCCGTCTTTCTTTCTTTCTTTCTTTCTTTTTTTTTTCTTTTTTTTTTGTGACAGAGTCTTGCTCTGTCGCCAGGCTGGAGTGCAGTGGCGTGATCTCGGCTCACTGCAGGCTCCGCCTCCCGGGTTCACGCCATTCTCCTGCCTCAGCCTCCCCAGTAGCTGGAACTACAGGCGCCTGCCACTACGCCTGGCTAATTTTTTGTATTTTTAGTACAGACGGGGTTTCACCGTGTTGGCCAGGATGCTCTCGATCTCCTGACCTCATGATCCGCCCACCTTGGCCTCCCAAAGTACTGGGATTACAGGCATGAACCACCGCGCCCGGCCGCCTGTATTTCTTCCTTTTAAAATTCCATCTTCTCCCAGAGTGAACCTTTAACAAGATGAGCCTCAACAAACTTAGAGAATTATTTGACACGGATGACTGGTTTTATAAGAAATGATAGACATCTAGACGTGGTGTAGAGTATTTAGCACTGACTTCTCTATTAAAATTAACATTATTTATGTTGTTCACACTTAATCAATAGCTATGTAGCTATACTGAAGTAGAACACAGAAACAAAAATATGATTCCAGAAATGTCATATGAACTCAATCACAATCTTCATATACTAGGCCAGAATATATTATGAGGCTCATCATAATTTTTGGTACTTACAACATGTCCATGACTTATTTCTTGAAAGGCAAAAACAACTGTCTTACATTTTACTAATAACTCTCAGTAAGTTTTTAGAAAATCACAAGAAAGAGAAAATATATTTACCATTAAGTAGAAATGGATCATCATAGAGGTCGTCATCTTTATTGTCTTGAATTTACTATCGGTTGTGACTATGAGCATGTGTGAGGAGAAGGATGATGGGAAACTAGCTGGAGCACATGTGAACAGATGTGAGGGACTCTTCAGTAGCCTGGTTTATCTTCTTTTCAGTGTGCTTCTTATTCAAAAGTAGAGCTCATTACGAAATAACAGAAAGACACAGAAGACTTTGGAGTATGATCTATGTTAATTTTCTATGTAATTTAGGGGATTGCCGATATTTTTGAGAGGGTTGGAGCTAAGCATCAGAAGTAGTCTTCTTCTTAATATAATAAGAACAGAGAAAAGAAATGAAGCATTTTTGACTTAAAACATCTGTTTGTATTCAAATGAGCTTTTCTGGGATGTATATGAGAGACATATTTTTTTCATTAAAACACCTATTTAAGAATATAGTTGACCCTTGAGCAACATAGGTTTGAACTGTGTGGATCCACTTATACATGGATTTTCTTCCTCCTCTGCCACCCCTGAGATAGCAAGACCCCTCTTCTTCCTCCTCAGCCTGGTCAACATGAAGACAGCAAAGATGATGACCTCTATGATGATCCATTTCCACTTAATGGTATATATATTTTCTCTTTCTTCTGATTTTCTAAATAACATTCTCTTTCCTCTAGCTTAAAAAAATCAGAAGAAAGAGAAAATGTTTGTACTAATCAACTGTTTGTGTCATCAGTGAGGCTTCTGATCAACGCTAGGCAATTAGTAGTTAAGTTTATGGGGAGGCAAAAGTTTTACTCAGATTTTTGACTGCACATGGTGCTGGTGCCCCAAGCCCCTCATTGTTCAAGGGTCAACTGTATATTCACAGTAAAATTCATTCTACACATCTTCCACACACCATCAAAAACGACATTGAAAAAGGTAGGACATTATTTCTCATAGCAGGAAGAAGACCCAACTTATCTTGAGAAACAGAGAGAGATTAGCAGTTGTCAGCTCTCATAAGTGAGTGAGTTCTTAGATTATTCATGTTCAAAGCAGGAAAAAAAAATAACAAAGTCACATTAATTGGATACTTACTATGTACCACGAACTATGCTAACTGCATTTATAATCTTATTACCTTAATGGAAGTATATGATTAAATTTTTCCTCAGCATTGTGTCAATTATCTCAAGAGTCCGCTCCTGTCATTTACATTTGCCATAAAAATCTATGGAATAAGCAATATAAATGCACTTCATGCTTTCATGGAGTTAAGAAGCCAGCAGAAAGTTTAATCTATATTCAGTAATATAGCTTCAAGATTGGCCAAAGTCTTTAATAAAAGATAGATGACTATGTCTATGTGTTCTGGCTCTAAGAACCTCCCATCTCTAAACCCCTTTTTGGCAGCTGTCATATGGAACAATGTTTTAGAGATTTACAGAGCAGAAAGCAAATATCAGATTTTTTGAAAAACTGCCTATAATCCAACTTTTCATCTTGATTTCTAACATGATTACTATGAACTTCAAGTGATCTCACTTGTGTTCTTGGAATAAAAATAATATGAAAAATTTAGAAATTTAAATCCAAAATAAAATTTCACAAATTTTTTGGAATTAGTGCATTCTTTCTATTTAAGAAGAATGACTTTGACCAAGCCTGAACTCTGGTCAATCTTTCATTTTTATGTTACAATAGAAAATTTCAAAACTTTTTGTTATTATTTAAATATTCTCCTAGAAACTAAACAGAGGGTTTTTTTCTTTTATTTTCAATAAGTGACACCAAAGCTTCTTTATTGTGACAAATGCTGTCCAACATTGAGAACATGGACATCACAAGACATAGCAGTGGTATCTTCTCCTCTGACATCTAAAAGGATGGTTGTTTTTTCAATTTTCTGATATACAATATGTTGTTATAAACTATAATCACTGTGATATTTAATAGATTTCTTGAACTTATTTCTCCTATCTAACTAAAATTTTGTATACCTTCACCAACATATTCCCAATTCCCCCACCCTCAGCTTCTGGCAACCACTATTCTATTCTCTGCTTCTGTGAGTTTGACTTTAAATTTTCACATATAAATGAGATCACGTGGCATTTGTCTTTTTGTTCCTGTCTTATTTCTCTTAACATATGCCACTCAAGTTCAGCCATGTTGTCACAAATGATAGGATTTTCTTCTGTTTCAAGGCTGAATAGTATTTAATTATATATATATTTTATATATAACATGATATATAAAACCACATTTTCTTTATTCATTCATTTTTTGATGAACACTCAAGTAAACTCCATGTTTTGGTTATTATGAGTAATACTGCAATGAACATGGCAGTACAGATAACTCTTTGACATAGCAATTTCACTTCCTTTGTATATATAACCAGTAGTGGGATTACTAGATTTTGTGGCAGCTCTATTTTTAATTTTCTGACAAATCTCCACGCTATTTTCCATAGGAGCTGTACTAATTTACATTTGCATCAGCTGTGTACAAAGGTTGTCTTTTTTTCCACATCCTCACCAACACTTGTTATCTTTTGTCTTTTTTGTAATAGCCTAATAGGAATGAGCTGATATTTTCTAGTGGTTTTGATTTGCATTTCTCTGATGATTAGTGATGTTGAGCATTTTTCCATATATCTGCCAGTCATTTGTATGTCTTCTTTTGAAAAATGTCTATATGGGTCCTTTATTATTGAGTTTTAATTCCTTAGGTTTTGATAGTTAGAGGAAAGGGAACTTTGTTAAAAAGACCTAAGTTTCCTTGAAATAATCTGGGACAATTTGTCTCATCAGTAAGTAACGCATATATTTACTCTTGTTGGAATAACAATAAACTTCATAAGCAAAGAAGAGTTTACTGGTGTACATACATATCATCTAGCATAATCTTACATCAACCAGAAAGACAAGTATTTTAGTAGCTGTGACAGGAAAAGTCTTCACCTCTTGCTGATTGTGAATCCCTGTTAACACTCTGAACACTTTATTTAAATGAGATTTTTTGTGTTCCTCTCATCCTACTTTCTTGGTGATTGACAGTGATCTATCGCTCACAAAGCAGAAGCTCTGATAGAATAATGAAAAGCTGATCGCTTTCCTCTTCCAACACAGTGTCTTTTCATCTCTTTCTCTAATCTCTGCTTATTGTTCATCTTTCACATTGTCAGTCACTGTGCTGTACAGTTTACAAATACGGGTGTAACAGGGGAGAAAAAATCGTCAATCCAATAATGCGAAGTCTATCAAGTATCTGCCTGGCTGCAGCTTGAAACTCCTCCTCCAGGCTCCTATAGAAGCCAGATCAGGGCTTAGATAACTGTTTTTCTTTAAAAAAGCAAATGGATTTTCCCTCTTCTCTCTGAAGAGCTACTCTGAGTGACTGAGTGAGATGGCTTATTCAAGGGCTCAATCTTGTTTTGTTGGATAGAGACTGATCAAGTTTTGGAAAGCAATGAAAAGAGAGCCAATGACACCTGGGTTTCTCCTTGTTAGAGAAAACACATGCATCGTCTATAGGAAAAAAAACCCATATAAACACTTGGCTTTCAGACAAATACAGTTTAATGCCTATTACTATGCTTGAAATAAAAATAAACCCATTGCAAAATTTCTTGCAGATTTTGGTTCACAGAGCTGAATAAACTCATTGAAACAATAATAAACTCTCACTGTTTAAAAAATATCTTTCATTTTTGTGATTTATCTACTTGTATCTTAAAAGTAAATTCAATTTTGATGGAAATTAAGTTTAATTGGTTATTCAGAAAACTGAATGTGTTCTTTATGTAGCTATTTTTACTTAAAATTAGACAATGTAATTTTAAATATAGAAATAATGCCCAACATTTTTCATAATTGTTATACCAAGTAAATAAGGAAACAGAGGAATGTGACCTTACCCAGAGCCTAGCAATTTATGGGTCTTCAATTAATAGTGGCTATTGTAATTATGATTTTCTTCTTGTTATATTAAAAATTCAAAGATATGAAGAAATTTACTAAGGAGTAACTAAAATTGGAAAATATAATGCATTACACTTAGTTTGAATCAAAAGCACACTTCATAAGACCTGATTGAAACTGATCTGTCATCACCATATTCAGTGTGATAAAGCTATTGCACACTGTATTCTGAACTGATCTGACTTCATGTGAGATATTGTGTAGTATTCTGGGTAGACTTTCTTTAGACTCACACACAGAATGTTCTCCCACCTACATATATACAAGAATGTTTTCTAAGTTGGAATATTTGGAAGTCATACCATATAACAAAAACCTAAAATTTATCCTGGAAAAGAAGATTCTTAGCGAGGAAATCTTGATTTTCTTCAAATATTAATTACACCGTGTTCAATGTGATTAGGTATAGTTATTTGAAGTATCAAAGAACAAAATTAGAACCAATAATTGTGATAAGAATTTGTGTTTAATATTAAAGAAAAACATTTTAAATTTAAAGTTAAGGGAGACTCTGCTGCTCGTAAGGTATAAGGTTCTATTTGATCAACCCTCTGGCATAAAACAACTTTAAATTCTACATAAATTATAAAATCAACTATCTGAAGACACTGAAGAGTGAGCAAAAATAGAATGAACCAAAGAAGATAGAACTTATACAGGATTGACTATTGAAAGAAGACAGCATACTAACTAGCCTGGGGCAGACTCTAGACTTCCCAAGCAGAGCTACTCAGATGGAAAACTCACAGTCCTACTGGCTTGAAAAACTAGAAGCTGGGTATGTTAGCCTTCTGTTGTTACCACAACAAATTACCAAAAGCTTAGTGGATTAAAACAATGAAAATGAATCTTATTACAGTTCTTTAGGTTGGAAACTTGACACGATTTCACTGGGCTAACATCAAGGTGAGGGCAGGGCTATGTTTCTTTATTAAAGATCTGGGGGAGGATCCACTTCCTTGCCTTTACCAGTTCTAGAAGCCATTCCTATTCCTTCGCTTATGGATGTGTCCTGTACCTACACAACTAGCAATGGATTAATTCTCTGACCCTTTATTACATCTCTCTCTGACCAAAGCCAAAATGGTTTTCTGGTTTTAAGGATTCATGTGATTAGACTAAGCCTACTCAGAAAATCCAGAATAATCTCTCCATCTCAAGATCCATAACCTTTGTCACATCTTTGAAGTCCCTTTTGCCATGTAAGGTAACATATACAGGTTCTGGGGATCAGGATATAGAGGTCTTAGGTGGGGAAAGTCATTATTCTGCCTACCACAATGGGGACTAGGGAAACTGCAGTTAGTAGAAAATGAGAGAAGTGGAATTCCAGACTGGAAAAAGCCAGACAAGGGTACTGTCAAATTGTACGTATAAGTTTTGTCCAGTTATCTGAAGCACCAGTGCATGACACAGATTCCAAACAGTTCAGCAAAGGCTATGTAAAAGACCTGTGGTAAAATTTAAGCTTCTG
Source organism: Homo sapiens (assembly GCF_000001405.40). Classification (NCBI taxonomy): domain Eukaryota; kingdom Metazoa; phylum Chordata; class Mammalia; order Primates; family Hominidae; genus Homo; species Homo sapiens. Next base: position 166,510,184 of record NC_000004.12, on the reverse strand, counting down.
TCCACTCTAGGGGAAGAGAGGTTTTTGGTATTAGTGTGGCTAAGCAAACTGTGTGCTTACATTGAAATAATAATAGTAATAATAATTAAAGGTGTCAAATATCTTGAAAAAACCTCCCAGAATGAATTCCTTATCAATGAAATATCCAAATAGACCCTGGCTGGCAGTCTTTAGAAAACATTACATTGTATGGAAGGTTGAGCTACCCAGGATTCAAAGTACTTTCCAAATCTAAATTTTTTTGATCATGATATTTGTTCCATGAGAAATAGGTTTACATTTTTTAAAGGCTATGTCTTTAAAGTTTTGAGGCAGTAAAGTTTAAATCTTTTTGGGATTCCAGGATTCCTAGAGGAATTTAGAAGATTGTTAAACTATTGGATTGGCATGATTACGAATATCTATCAAAAGCCCAAAGTTAGTTCACTAAGTTTAGCTGAAACCCTGAAGAGGAAAAGAAACTATTATTTATTTAATTCATTTTATGTGTCAGAAAATTGACTCCATAATTTTCATATACTAGTCATTTACTTTTCACAAATTCTTTTGAAGAATAAATTATTCTTATTTTCAGAGGAAGATACTGAGGGTAAGAAGTTGAGCAGCCCCCTAGAAGTCACAGATTTGGTAAGTGGTAGACCACTATGGTCATTTAAATGCTAGTTGAGTTACATCATCTGCTGTCCTATTGGGAAACTCACTTGGGGAACTTCTGTTGCCCCAACCTTGAGAACATAATGACAATAAAATAAAATCTTCTAGTATAATAACAATTAAGTGAGAAGTTAGATCATGGCTGAATTGGTGTTGTTTTCTGATATTTGTATATACTGACATAAGAAAAAATACATACTTTAGTTGAAAAGGTAACAGTAGTCTTTAACATTCCTTTCTTTTCTAGCTTATCTTTAAGATTTATTTCTCCTTATAATTCTTGCATATTCTCTTTTTAAAGTTTTCCTCATCATGAAATATTTTACTTATTGTATAACAGTCTTCCATATGCCTGCCATATCTCCAAAAAGTACACTATGATTTTATCTGATGCTTCACTTCTCCTGGTGCCTTTACCCAATTGCTTACAAAGCTTCTGTTCACAGATAGTGGAAAGAGGGAAAACATGGCACACCTATTTCTTAAAAAGAGATGAAATCTTGTGGAAAGTTTGGTAATTTAATTTTGCCATTGAAAGTACCAAGCAATAATTTGATACTGACATTAAAGTAAAGGACAAAGAAGAAAATGGGTTAAAACAAACTATTTTATCTAAAGGGGAGAAATCCAAATGCTAACAATCTTAGTTTTGGGGTACAAATAAAAATCCATCAGTAGGAGGCAAGTAGAAATATATTACCCTTTATCAAAGAAGAAACAGACAAAAACATATTGCTATCCCAGTAGGAACATTTCAATTTAGATATAAGAATACCTCACAAGGTATATGGACTTTTAAAGTTTCCCACAGATTAAGGGTTGCATAATTGCAATATTTGAAAGCTTGGGCAGTAAAATAAAATAAGATTTATAATCTCCAATATCAAGTGTATCTTAATGCTAACCCACAATCTCTCCCATTTTCCTTGGCCAGTTCACTTTCCCAGGGGTTATTTAAAATATCCTTTACTTTTTTAAAACATCAACTCTATATTCCACAGTAAATGACCTCCCACCCAGGCTTCATCGATAATGTTAGATAGCATCTTACTTACTTTTCAATCACAAAATTGGTTAAAACAACATTTCATAGACAAATTTGTCAGAAACATTTATCAAATTTTATTAACTTGCAGCAAAGAAATCAAAATCATGACAAAAATTTTGTCATTTCAGAGAATATGAAAATAGGGTACCATTTCAGAGAGGGTAGGCAACATTTCACTTTTATAAGTGGCTAGTTTTGTTTTTCAGGAAGAAAGTTTTGTTTTAGTTATCTAGTTTAAAAGAATGCATGTATGTGTGTATGAGAAAGAGAGAATATATTTTATATATCCATAAAAGTTATTGAAAAGACTGGTAACATGCTTCAAGATGACATCAATATCTTCTATCAGAATAATAACAGCATATAGAAAAAGCAAACGTTAAAGATATATCTGTATATGAAGTTAGAATTTAAAAGTTTCACACCTTAGCATTAGTGCACAATACAGTCAACTAACAGGAAAACATAAAATGGAATCAGACAGAAAACAGAGGTAGAGGACCAAGCAATAATATAGTTCTAATTTTAAACATGCCATTATTAAAGATTGTTGTAGGCTGCAAAGGTTCAGGATACAAAATATACTCATTTGTTATGCTTGGGACAAAACTTTTTCTTTGACAAATCTGTCAATTTACCTGGCTCTTAGTTTCCCTCTTCCCTGTCATTAAGTGTAGTGGAAGTCAGTTTCCATCTTTTTTAAAAAAGCAAATCCTTCTGCCCTTCCTTGTGACTTACTCTATTCACTATCTCTGAACTCCCTTGGATCTCCGATTGCTTTTCTGTACTGAATTATAATAATCAGTATTTACACATACTCAAAGAACTGTCTTCTGAATCAAATACAGTACACACAATCCTCTAGACTTTGATCCTTCCAACTTTTGGTTTGCTAATCTTTCTCAATTCATAGCCAATGATTGAGATGATTTTTTCTGATCTTACAAATGCAAATACCTTTTCCAATATCACCATTGCTCTTTCTCTTTTGCTAAATTTAATATACACTTATATCTGTATTTGTCTAGCCACCTATATATTTATATATAATTTAACCCTTTTATTACTTAATGATTTATTAGCATTGACAATTCATGCGGTTTGGCTCTGTGTCTCCACCTAAATCTCATTTCGATTTGTAATCTCCATAAGCCCCACATGTCAGGTGAGGATCAGGTGGGAGGTGCTTGGATCATGGGAGCCGTTTCCGTTTCCCCCATGCTGTTCTCATGATAGTAAGTGAGTTCTTAAAAGATCTGATGGTTTTATAAGGGGCTCTTCCCCCTTCATTCTCACACACACTCTCCCACCTAATAACCAAGTTCTCTAACATCATCTACTAAAATCTCTACAGTCTGATCTCTGCTACCATCCCTGCCTCTTTATGGGTCATGGCTTCCTACCCTTGCCCACTCAAGCCACAGTGTCCTATTAAAAATTTCAGGTAGTTGCTATAATCCTTTCTATCACAGAACTGTTTTTCACTTGATATCCCCTCTTTGGGAAATGGTTTTCCTCATCCCTCTATTACCATAACACCAACTCATCATTTAAAACTCAGCTGAAGGATTATTCTTTCCAGATCCTTCCTGGACCTCCCTATTATTCCTCTTATTATGTATGTGTCTCTTCATGGTGCTTTTCGTATTATGATTTTACAAGCCCTTCTGTTATGAGTATTTGATTTCTTTTAATTTTAGTAATAGCTCCATGATTTTTTACCACCTTTATATTCACTGTGTCTGGTGAAGTGCTAAGCATTATAAATAAGTAAATGGATAACTAATATCATTGCTCACCACTGTAAAAATAAACATTTTGGTATTGCATTTTCATGTGTTATGTCCAGTTACATGGTGCAAGTAGATCGGTTCTCTTACAAGTGTTATCAATTCATACCAACTACAAATGTATTATCCATTATAAAAAGCTAAAATTTGAAAGGGAGAGGAAGGATAAAATGTCCGCTATTAAAAACTGAAATAACCACTTTGGTTAAAGTGGATACCAAGATTTATAGTTGATTTTGTCCCCCAGATCAACAGTTATTTCAACATGTTTTAGACACATTCGTAGTTGAAAGCATTTCTTCCTGAAATTTGTAAGAAGACTGCACAAAACACTTGCAGAAACTCTCTCTTACACATTTCAAAGTGAAGGGAGTAAAACTGCCTATAAAACTCCCATTAATGTCAATGAGAATCACTGACAAATTCCCAAGCAATACTTTGAAAACATCTTCATTGTTGCCTTGGGGCTATTGCTAATGCTGTGCACAAATAAGATTTCGCTGTTAAAGAGACAATTGCTTTTATGCTGCTGAGCCTGTAGCTTCATTGATGCTAAACAGAGATGGCAACACAAGAACGCACCATTCTTTTTACTTATCTGAAAGGCATTATTACACTCTTTCTCTTCTGTGTCCTAATTTAAAACAAGCAAAGCAAATCTTTCTCAAAATAAAGGCATAATATGATTAAATTGAGGTGACTTCATTTTTTTCTTTTTTTCCAAATATGTAGACATAAAACTCTATTTAGCCACTCTATTTATGAACCAGTTGCTGAAATTTCCCCTCAGATACATAAAATAATAATGATCAATCAAATTTGATTTACTGTACTACATAAATTATCTTTGATTTTGATCCAAACATTAGATTGCAAAAATTAGAAGACCGAAAAGAAAGAGTATTTTTATGTACTCTCTAGAACTCTGTTCTTTAGTGTGATATTTTAAGGAGACACTTTATACATTGGTCAAAACAAGTTTTCAAATTCTAGACCACAGGTTTTTGAGTACATATGTACAAAGCATTTAAATGAGAAAGAAGCAATTGAAAATGGATCTTCAGGAAAACTTTAAATAGCATGAGTGACTATTGCATTTCACTCTGCCACTTCTTCCATAATTGTTTTCTAGGTTTTCAATTTACCATTGGGAAATGAGGATTTTGAAAATAAGCAGACTTGCCTTTTCTAACTGATTAAATGCAGTGGAACGCAAGAAAGAAGGAATACTCATTAACAGAAATCAATGGAAATCCTCAGTAGCTTCAAAATTGTGTTAGTCTTTTTATTTGTTGAAAGAAGTAATTGTTTTTATATTTGTTAACATTTACATGATTATATTTCAATTTTATTTATTATTATTGTTATTATTATTATTATTTTGAGATGGAGTTTTGCTCTTGTCACCCAGGCTGGAGTGCAATGGTGCGATCTCAGCTCACTGTAACCTCCGCCTCCCTGGTTCACGCGATTCTCCTGCCTCAGACTCCCGAGTAGCTGGGATTACAGGCATCTGCCACCATGCCCAGCTAACTTTTGTATTTTTAGTAGAGACGGGGTTTCACCATGTTGGCCAGGCTGGTCTCGAACCCCTGATCTCAGGTAATCCACCCACCTCAACCTCCCAAAGTGATGGTATTACAGGCACAAGCCACCGTGACCAGCCAAATAATCTAATGTCTTAGTTTGCCATTTGTTCATTCCTATTTGTAGATGGCATCTTATTCTGTAGTGGCCGTTGATTCTGAGAATCTCTATATGTTGAAGCCAAAATATAAAAGAATTCCATTATTTTCTTACTGTGAAAAAATTTTCAAGTTCTGTAGTATTGGCATCTTGAACAGCCCTGACTTGGTTTACACCTCCTTTCCTAAAAATAAATTCCATAACTTGGTGTGTAAATCATGTTGAGAAGAACCTCATTTTCTACATTTTGCTTGTGATTATCAGAAGTTGGCCCAAACCTACAACCCTGGTGGGCCTGAAGGAAAATTTCAGTGGTGGAGTTAGTTTCATTTTAGTACCTGGGGAGAAGAAAGGACAATAACTCACACAGTAAGTCCTAGAGACAGAAAGAAATCCACTCTATTCTTCAGTACAAAGGTAATGGATCGTCAATTCTTCTACAGCAGTTTTCAACATCAGAAAATTTAGTATGTTCTACTTGTTCTTGTCTGCCTCTATTCTAGAGAGTCTGATACCTTTATCTGTAGAGGTTTGAGAGGAACATAAAACCATGAATAAGTAAAGAAACATAAATCACTGAAGGAAGCTCAATAAGCAAAGTATAGAACACTAAATTGATTATGCAACATAGATTTTTCCAAATTGCGAGTATTCAATGAAAGAGGATTACTTCAACAATTAAGTCATGAAATTTCTGTTTGTTCCATGAACTACATTCCATGGACTACGTAATCCAAAAACCCTCTCACTAAAAAATACTTTAAAATACTCGAAAAACTGTTATGTCTTTAAATGTAAGGACGAGTTTAGAAGAAAATAAGATAAATCTGAAGAAATCAACTACAAAGTGATGTCTGTGTGGAATTGTAATTCAGTCTTCTATATAAAACTGGATACATCCTCAGTAACATGTGTTCCAGAAAAATAAATAAATAAATTAGTGTCTTCGAAGAGGTAGATGTAATGGAAATATGTCTTTCTTAACTTGGGATCCTTAACATTTCAGAATCACAGTTATGCCCTCAATCAGTCTGTGATGTAAATGCATGTTATTGAGTAGCTCAGGACTCTACACTGAATAAATAACACATTAGTCCTAAGGCGGAGAGAGCCTTGGACACTTGGCAAAAGCAAATGTCAAACTGATGTGGACAGGTACACCCTCAATCCAGGTCACATAAGATTCAAAAACAGGATGATTTGAAATCAAAATAACAAACTAAAAATAATCTCCCATAAACAAAATGCATCACATATAATGAACTAATCTAAATTTCAGGTAACAGAAAAATTGAAGATTAGAAAATAATATTTATGATGATAAAAACAAAATTGTAAAAATGGAAGATATAAGGAGAGGATGACAGTATTTTTAAAAGAACAGATTTGAAAAATAAAATCTTGATACTAACAACAGCCATTGAAATGATAACATAAGTGGATGGTTTAAATAACAGTTAAGATATGGCAAAGAAAAGAATAAATGTCCCCTAGAACTGATTATTTGCTGAGAATGAAACACAGAGTGTGATCAAAATGGAATAAATGGAAAAGGGATTGAGAGATGGAGAATAGAATAATAATGTCTAGTGTATATGCAATGTAAGTTATAGAAAGAATAAAAACAAAAGGTACAGGCAACTTTCAAAGAAATACTGAGAACATTTTTCAGATCTGACAAAAGACACGGCATTCACAATAGATATCACGACTCCAGAATACTTAACACGACTACTGTACCCATTCACATTGTGAGACCATAAAATTCCAACAACATAGAAGGTTGTTTTTCAAGATGTCTGACTAGACCCATTGATTGCCAATTATCTCCATAAAGAAGATAAATGTTACTAGTGAATGGACAAGTTCCAAATGGAAAACTGAGGGAAGAAAGCCAGGGCCTGTTGGAGTGCCTATGGGAAAAGATGCGATGCAGAAAAGGAAAGCTGCAGGAGTCTGCAGGGATTGACTCCCAGGGAACTCAGAGCCCCATGGAAAGGGTTAGTAGGAGTGCCTCTCTGCTGCTCCCCTCACCCCTGCGGCAATCTGCTGACTGCTAACACTGTGGGGAAGCCCCTCTGCCCTCATAACCCAAGGCAATGCTATCTGTAACGATTTGGGAACTTGCCGGAGATGCAGAACCGTGTGGCCAGCTCATGCAGGCAGGCTACACTCCTCCCAGGCCTGAACCCAGATGGCAGGCGCCATACTGGTGGTGCATTCACAGTGGGCCACTGCTCTGCGCAGGGATCTTCTGCCGTTGAGTCACCGCACCACCAGATCCCTCCCAAACACACCTCACAACTGAGTCTGACTCTGGCATGCACAGGGGACTAGCGGGTCACTGAGTAATACAAACCTGGGTGTGGACCACCCCTCAGGGAGAGGGGAACAAACCCTGAGAGAATCCCTCTTGGGACAAAGAAAACGTGGGTGCAGAGCCAATCACTGAAGGGGGCAGCACTGATGCCTGGGAACAGACGTGGAGAGGGGGTGCTCTCCTGCCCCACCCCATCCTCTGTTGAGGTTGCAGCAGTGGTTCTTTACCCTGGGGTCTGGCGCATGTGCACCTAGAGAGTTCTCCTTCACTTTTCGTAGCTGCCCCACCCCCGCTGAAAGCGAGCCTTTATATAAAGGTTTGGGCTCAACTCCCACTTCCTACACAGAGCAGTAGCAATGCAGGACAGACCAGTGACAGAGTTTGGGCCTATCCGCACTGTGGCTGGGAAACAAAGGACAAAGTCTTTATGAACTGAAGGTCATGAGCCCTGCAACAGGGGCATGATAGGGAAGCAGACCGTGTTCCTGCCGGCTCAGGATGAGGAACGGGTGCTACCCCTTTAGCTCCCCTTCCCCCGAGGCCTCAGCGCACACCTCAACAGAATCTCATCCTGCCACTGCTTGCATCACCTAGTATGCTTCCGCTGGTCATCAGCCTGCCTGAGGGTGAGCCGGCTATCGCTCTTAAGCGCCATCTATTGGACTGCAGTAGAAGGCGCGTAAGCGCAAATGAGAGGATTGGGTTCTATTTCTGCAAAGTAAGGGTATCAAACAGTTTGTGAGCATAGTTTATTTTTCAATATCTCTGTATATTATTATATGTTATATACTGTTATTCAAACGAACACTGAATAGATTGACTACAGTTGCTGACTTTGTCTTTCGTCCGTTTATCCCTTTAAATCCTCAACCTAACAACAAATTCTAAAGACACTGCTTCTCAGAAGCTCTTCATGCCAATCAGCCCAAACCACGTTGTCATCACTAAGGCTAACGTGACCTTTTAAAGCCATAACTTATTTAAGAGGGTCCCAGCATTGGGCACTACTGGCATTTCTTCTTCCTTAAAATACTATCCTTCATCGTTTCTGTGGCACCACGCTCTCATGGCTTTCTCTTCTCCCTCTATTTCCTACCCACGTTTTATGTTCCATTTTATCAACCTATTATGAAAGTGTGAACATTCTTCAGAGTGGTGCCCTAAAAACTATCCTGTCCTTTCCCCCTTGGTTCCTTTTTTTTTTTTTTTTTTTGGTCTTTTCCAGATTACATGCAATTCATTTTTTTTTCTTAACAATCTCTTGGAAGGGCATGCACTCTTTGTTTTTTCTTCCACTCTCTATGCATTCATATGGAGACTGAATTTATATGTCTATGTTTTTTTCCTGGGTCCTGCAGCATTAGAGTTCAAGGTGCCTATGTACACTCTCCTTGGGCAACCACAGTTACTCTTTCGACTTGAGTTATTATCTAAGTGCTGCTCATTCCCAAATCTCTACCCTCAGCAGAGACATCTCTACTGAGCTCTTGACCCATATATTCAACTGACTCTTAGACCCTCCTCTCAAATGCCTCTGGCACTTCTACTTCCGCATCTAAAACTGAACTTCTGTCTCCAAATGTACTTCCCTTCATAGCTTTCCAGAGTATCGTCTTCTCTATTCCCTAATATATAACTTTTATGTGATTCTTTATTCCTCCACCTCTCCCATTCAAAAACATTCTTACAGCCCTAGCATTTCTACCCCTTAATATTAGGTGTGTATACTCCCTTCTATCTCCTCTGTCCCTGCATAAACACAAGCATTCCTCAACTCAGCTGCCTCCTAATGACCTTCATCTCTCCAATATTGTTCCATTATGGATGCTAGCCCCAAAGAGACGCTTTAAAAATTCACACCTCATTGTGTCTTTCCCTAGCTTAACAATTTTCAGCTATTTGGCATTCTGTGTGGAATAATGTGTAAAAACTGTAGCATGGTTTCCAAGGCTTCTCATGAGATAATCCCTGCTTACTTCAGGCTTCACCACCACTGCCACTTCCCCACATCTACTGCATTTCAACCTGTTTAATTACATTATTCATTATAAAGATGTCCAATATCTAAAGCAGACTTCCTCCTTTGTCTTTTACTTACAATTGTTTAAATGGCTCCTCTTTTTTCCTTCCCTTGTTATTGAGTAAAAAAAAAAAATTCAAAAATTTCTTTAAAGAAGTGTGTCTGCAGAATTATTTGTCAGGCTCTGCAAATAAAGTTGTAGAAAAATATTAATTGCAGGATTTTTGATGTTTTGCTTAAAGATACATGGTGTCAAAGTTTCAGTGTTTCTGAAAGACAGCTGAAGTTCATAAAATGCATGGAGTAAACAAATAAAATGTCTGGCTATAGACCACCAGGAACATATCTACAGTGCAGCAATGAAGGCCTCTGCAAAAAGCATTAAGTGGGAATTGTTAAAGGATTATGGCTTGTTGTGAATGATTTTTTGAGGGCTGCAGGAAGCAGAGGTTTTCTCTGAACTGGGTGTTCTCAGGAAGAGGGAATAATTCCATAATTTGATCTCTTAGATTTTTGGGTTTTGTTGTTGTTGTTCTTGTTGTTTTTACTGAGAAAGGAGGAGTAACAGTTGGAGCCGTGATTGGTAAAGAAGCAGCATTCACTGAGGCGAGATGGGAGGGAGGGAAATTGGTCATGTTTGTGGTTTGCGCAGTTCCTTGTTTTTATCTGTACTCAGTGAAAGTTAGAAAGGTTTCAGCTTGCATCACGATCACAGAGTGCCTCCTCAGATGTCATTTTTCCTGAAATTGTGTGTGTTTAAAAGAAGAAAGCTATGGCCTAGCTCTTAATGTCATAACAAATGAAAACTCTCAAGGCTATTTTTTTCTTTCTCAAAAAGAGGGAATTGGAGACCACACAAGACAAAAAAAAAAAAAAAAAAAGATTGTAAACCTCCCTAAAAGCAATCACTTCAGCCTCCTCTTCTATGTCAAATAGATGGAAGTGATTGCAGTAAGTGATGGAGAGGGATGGGAGATGAGAAGTGATTTTAGATATAATTTTAAAGCTCACAGAATCTTTGTGAAAGTATTCCTAGGAATGGGGTTTCATTTGGGATATTGCTAACTCCCGTGGTATGGAAGCTGCTATGATGATAATAATTTCTCTTAGGATTCTGTTTCCTACTGGGTTCTGTGATCATAGAAGCTACAGTTACAGTGTGTGGAATGGATATTGTGTAGATGTTGTATATATGCTGACTATCCATAAAATATACATTGATTAAATTTGTGTTTGGTTTCATGAGCATGACAGTCTTGGAGCTTTTGCCCAGAGTGCTTCTTACCTTTAACAGTCTTCTACCCACTTCCCTATCCGCTAAACCCTACTTACATTTTAGGCTTTAGATGAAAATTCTCTTCCTTGTATAATCTTCCCCTTGCCCATTGTGATTATTTTTATGCCTTCCTCAAGATCCTAAACTTTGCTTATCAGACACTTGGCATGATTTATTATAACTATTTCTTTCATTGTCTCTCTACTGCTGGAGTCTAAGTTCAGTAGAGGAAAGAACGATACTTGTCTTGTTAAGAGTTATGTCTTCTGCAACTAGAGATATATTAAATTAAATCAAAATTTACTTTTGCTATTAAAATTGCAAAAAATGCTTGGTTTGTGGTAGGTACTCTAAACAATTGCTGAATTAAGTTATTAATAAAACTTGTGGGAAAGAACTTCAAATGTCTTTAGTAAACTGAAATATTTGCTTTCTTCTCTTTCTCTTGTATGTGTTCTTTAATGTGTCCGCAGCATTCATTCACTTGTATTTCTTTCAACAATGTTTACAAAGGCATACTGTGTGCCGCATATTTGCATATTTTGTTAGACATTTGGATATGAAGATAAACCCTGACTCAAGCAGGGCTTTGTTGCCACAGAGATCTGTTGGCTACAGAAGAGCAATGTAACAGTAGAGTACTTATGTAATAAACATTTGCCTGGAGAAAATTCAGGTTGTTATAGAAACACACAGAAATATGTTAAGGCAGACTTGTTTGTGAGAAAAAAAGCACACTTAAACTAGCGCAAGCAAAGGAGTATTTACTATAAAGATATACAGGACATGGTAAGGGATCCTGAAATGCAAATACAGGAATTGTAAATGGATGTCAATACATTATAGGAAAGGTTCAGAGTTCAGGCTCTCAAAGGAGACTGCAAAGGTTAGTCTTTGGGAGGCATCATTTGCTCACTCTACGGCCTTAAGAAACAGTTTAACTTTTCTGTGCCTTGATATGTAGAGTGGTGTTCCCATATGTAGAGTAGACTGTGGTCCCAACCTCTTAAAGTAGTTGGGAAGATAAAATGAGTTAATCCTTGTGGACCATTTGGAATACTACCTGACACAGGATTCACTCGCAGTAAGTGTTAATTTTTGATTTTAATGGAATAGTGCTTTTTTGAGATGGAGTTTGGGAACTGGTTCCGTATGTAAGACATATCTGGGAGCTAAAAATATCTTGGATCCTGGCTCTCACTTACACTTTGCACACCCAGATTTTCTTGCTTACCACTGTTTAGCTTCTTTATCTCATTTTTAGGTCATTCTCCCAAGGATGACTCTGTAGTCTGAACACTAGCAATGATCTCTTAACTGCAGCTTCTAACAATTATTGCCTAATTATTTTTGTGTTTCTTATTTCATGTTTCCAGGGGAAAGAATAAAATTGGCTTATCCTATCTGCATCACAGGCCAGAGAGGTCCTCAGTTTTCCTTATGTGCCATCTATAGCCCAGCCACTTTTGTTTAGAGATGATTCATATGATACAAATGAGAAAATAATGTAAGATGCAATGTTGAAAATATGCCAATTCTAACATTTTATTATACATTCCTAAGAAGAAAAAGGTTAAAATTTCTAGGGAAAACAATACCAGTGAAGTAAAATGAATTTGTTGTAAAGCAAATTTAATTCTATATATAATAATAAAAGTAAACTTACAAATTTCTTTCCAGCTTTATTGAGGTACAATTGGCAAATATAAATTGTATATATTTAAGGTACATGACATGATGTTTTGACATATGTCTATATTGTCAAATGTACCACAATCAAGTTAATTATTATAGACATCACTTTACAGAGTTACCATATTTTGTGTGTAGGGTGAGAATATGTAAGATCTTTTTCAGCAAATTACAAGTATACAATACAATGTTCTAAACTATAGTCACCATGCTTTACATTAAATCTCCAGAACTTATTTATTCTGCATAAGGGAAACTTCATAAAAAGTATATTTTTCAATGTATTTCTGAGCTAAAAAGAATGTAAAGAAAACTACTATATGCCAAATATATGAATGAAGGCAGAAATCCATAGAGGTAAAAAACTCAAAAGCCTGTGAGTCCCTGAAGGCCCATGCCAATCTTTGCTGACTTCGAGCTTGTGTTTTAATGTCTGTGAAGTATGTGGGAATAGAGGGAAAAGTTCAGTGTTTGCTTGGAGAGATCACATGGGAAAGTTAGCAGAAGAGCCAGCAAGGCACTAGGTGGTGGGAAAAATTATATCTCACCTGAAAAAGGATAAAAACTTTCTGTAACGTTGTGGCCTTATATATATTTGGGACCTACCTGGGTAGTATCCAAAACATCAAATGGATAGATATTTATTGCAAAGTGTTCCCCGGTATGTAGAGCCTGCAGACATCAAATACAAATGCCTCATGGAAGAAAATAACCCATACACGATAGCATACTTAGGAGCAATGACAATATTCATAATGGAATGATTTGGATACTTCAGTGATTACTGAGAAGTATTTTATAACTCTTTATGCATACTTATATTTTTATTTGTAATCATATTTGTATCCATATTCATAACATTTATTTAGAGTGAAGTTTTTGTTATTCAATTTCAATATTCACTGCTTCTACTTTTATAATAACATCCCTAATCATGAATTATTTACTTGATTTCTCTCTCAAATTCCATTGACTAAATTCCATTTTACATATTATAGAGATGTGTGTATATCTGAGTTATTATATACGAAAGCAAGTCCTTCTGTTTCATAAACATATGAAATACAATATCATAAAGAGTATGTTATATTGAATCACAACATTTTTCCCTAAAAATATCTGTCATTGTTCTAGAATTTTAGTATTCAGTGTTCCTGTGTAAAGAATGACTTTCCTTGTTTTGTAGGAAACCTTCTATTTTCTTCCCCTATGTTCCAGAAATCTTTTATCCCTTAAATTCAAAATTGTGTCAGACCAATTTTAGAGGTTTTTTGTTTATTATTATCATTTCAGATTTTAACTGGATGATTGATTGAAAGTAACAGTCCTTGATTATTTTCTTATGAGAAAGAGGTTTATTCCCAGATATCAACGACATTTTTCTACAGCCAGAAACACTGAATGAAGTACTACAACTCCCAAAGTGCACTGCTTCCTTAGCTCTTCCTGGACCAAACCCGTTTCATTACTGCCTTTACATATCCATAAGTAAACCATGCATGTAGATTAATATAGATGCATCAGGGAAGGTGTTGATCAGTGTATGAAATAATCTATATCATACTACCTATTAAAATAATATATGCAAAGATATTCTCTTTCTTGTATCAAACGCTATTCTTCCACCTTCTGCAATACCTTGTTCATCTCTTACACATTTATGTGTTGTCATCTACTATGAATTGATAAAGAAGCTGATTAAATTCAAGATAAATTTATCTTTTAGGTACTATTAATTATTTCTGAAAGAACACATAGTGTGAATAGATATATTATAATTCATATTATAAATACCCTGCATGCTAATACTTAAACATTCATTGTTTCTGAAATCCCAGCTCCAACATGCTTTAGGCAGAAGAATTTAGTTGAAGAAAGAAAGAGCAGAGTAAAGGGGCATGAGAGGGACAATCCTAGAGACTGGGGCTAGTTCACTGAGAATAGAATAGTTCACTAAGAATAAACGTGACTAAGAGCTGTCAGTACTTTAGCTCCATTTGGCCAAGGTGGACTACAGAGCAAAATTAAATGCAGGACATGCCTTCAACAACACACCAACATTTTGGTCTTTGTAGAAATTACTTATTCTGTACATTAAATAAAATTCAAGTTCAGAAGAATAAATACAAAACTTTAGATATTAATTACGATTTCTATCTTTTTTCTGGAAAAAGGTAAAATAAAGTTGCAAAAACTCACTTCTCATAAAAAAGATCTTACCTATTAATATTTCCCCTTTGTATATGAGGTTCCTTTCTACCTCTCCAGTACACAAAATAATGTATTATTCCTTTTATTATCAATATTAGTTTCTTAGATATAGTTTATCACAGTAAAATGACTGAAAAAAAGGCTTATTTTCCTCTTATCTTTATTGGAAACCATTGCAGCTCCAATGAACCATTAGCTGTCTTAGTGAAGAATAGTTTAATGTTTACATTTTTTTGTAATCTTCTTAAAATAAGAAAATGAGCTTGGTAAATGTCATTGCTGAGTTAGCTAAGTATTTAGCTAATACTGTGATCGCTTAATCTTTTACTCATTAATGATTTTACTAAACCTGTAATGGCATCCAGTTGAGGTCAAACATCTCTTGTGAGTTCTATGGAGAATTCATTTAACACTTAGAAATTATGCTTTGAGAAAAACAGATATTTAGTCTCACACACAAATGAACTTCATAAATCCATCATTTTTGGATAAAGCTGTCATCTGGCATGGCTTAAATGAGTTTAAACAATGGCCATTAGAGCCTCTTACAAAGTCAGTGAACATGAGCTCATGGTTTTTCCCAAGGATCTATCATGACTTTATATGGATAGTCTTAAAAAGTTTCATCTTGTCTTCTGTCTCTTTCTACTGGTTTTATAGTCTCCTCATAGACTAATCTAAAAACTCTTTGTTCACCTCTTGCATACTGTTTTCAATCTGACCTTGTTCTCCTATGACAGGGACCATTAGTTAGGAGTGTGTTAATGAGAATAAATGCCAAGATAAAAAGGATAACAGAATCTTTATTTTATTGCCTTATAACAGAATCTTTATTTTATTGCCTTTTCTCTGTCAATGAAAAGAGTCAAACTCTGTAAAATATTCGAAGAGACTTATTCTGAGCCAAATATGAGTGACCATGACCTCTGACGCAGCCATTAGGAGGTCCTGAGAACATGTGGCCAAGGTAGTCTGGGTGCAGCTTGGTTTTATACATGTTAGGGAGGCACGAGGCATCAATCAAATACACTTAAGAAATACATTGGTTTGGTCCAGAAAGTGGGGGCTTCCAGCTTATGGGTAGATTTTAAAACTTTCTGGTTGACAATTGGTTGAGTTTATTTAAAGACCTGGGATCAACAGAATGGAATCTCTGGGTTAAGATACAGGATTGTAGAGACCAAAGTTCTTATTTGCACAGGAAGCCCTAAGGTAGCAGGCTTCAGAGAGAATAGGTTGTAAAATGTTTCTTATCAGACTTGAAGTCTGTGTCGATGTTAATGCCAGAGAAGTATAATGAGGCATATCTGACCCCCACTTCCCATCATGGCCTGAAACAGTCTCTCAGGTTAAATTTTAAGAGTCCTGGGTGAGCAATAAGTCCATTCAGATGGTTGGGGGGAGGTGCTTAGAATTTTATTTTTGGTTTACATCCCCGTGGTTACCAAGAATTTACTTCTCTGTTGAGTCAGGGTTCCATTCATTTGATTGATGGGTCTTCTATTGTAGCTTCATACTGCAAAACTGCCTATTAGTTGTGGAGAAAATTGAGAATGTTATGTTGCCAATGGTACTTGATATGAGTATTTAGATGAAATGAGGAAAAAGAACTAACACATTTAGAGTGACAATTGGTTTTACTAAAGTCCTGCAACTTAATTAAAAAATGCAAAATCTGCATAGATCAGAATGACCACCTGGTGGAAGTGGAGAATAGAATCTTTAAAATTAAATATAGTGAATTAAAAATAGGAGAACCATGAATCTTAGTAGTACTGCTATTAAAATACTCTTAGAGGATATCATTCTATTATATGTTGAAATGTGTAATCAGAATTGATAAATAGTGCAGATTAGCCCAATGGTTTTCAAATCATTTGGTCTCAGGTTGTGACTGAACTATTAAAATATTTTGGGAGTGCAAAGGACTTTTTGTTCATATATGTGCACTATGTTAATAACTGCATTAGAAACTAAAACAGAGATGCTTAAAATATATATGTATTCAGTAATAAAAATAATGAATCAATTATGTAACATGAACAATATTTAAATAATATAGTTATGTTTTGCAAAATACAAAGATGAGAGAGAAGTGACATTGTGTTTAACTTATCAAATATGTTTAGTATCTGGCTCAATAGAAGAGATCTAGATTACTGTATCTGATTCTGCATTCAGCCTGTTGTGATATCACCTGTGAGGTAGTGTCCAGAAAACATCACTGTACACACTTGAAAAAGACAAATAGCATCTTAGTATTATTAGGAAAACAGTTTTATCCAAAAAATCCTTTAAAGGGGCCTCCGGAGACTCCTAAAGGGGTCTGCAGAGGCCTTCAGGTTATGGTTTGAGCCTGCTGGAGTCGTAGTTAAGAGGATGGATTTCAGAGTTGGACTGGCTAGGCATGAGCCCTCTTCACTATATGATAGTTATTTTTCTTGGAGAAAGTTGCTTAACACTTGTAAAGCTCAAATATCCCATCTATGAAATGGACTTAATAACTATTTTGAGATTTAAAATATACATTTGTCAAATGTAACTCACTAATACTAAAAAATCAATAATTGTTTGTTCTTATTAAACAATGCAAGTATCTATCGAAGTGGACTTCTAGAAATCAAATTGTAATGGTTATATATTTTTTTAATTATTTGTTTGACCTGTTCATGACCATTCAACATGTTAGGAAAGTTTTTAAAGAGTTTTTGACTTACACAACCATAAAACTAACTGAACCATGGGGCTCTCTTTATTGTCAACAGGATACAGGATTCCCTGTGTATATAAAACAAAATCCTCCCAAACTCCTTTAAAAGCAAAACAAAACCAAAAAACAAAAAAATAAAGTCTAAAGAATAAAATTAAGAAAAAAAAGGAGAGAGGTGACTGAAGGCAGGTGATTAGACATAGACAATGAATGACTTGCTTCAAGATGGCAGTCTGTGTAATACACAATCTCAATTGCTTTTTTAAACATATATTTTCAACAATTCTAGGTAGGAAAAATTTAGTATCTGAACAACTGAGGTAGTGATGCCATGATTAGGTATAAGTTTGAAATATTTATTTGTAGAAACATTATGAAAGCATGTAAGACATACCATAATGAACACTTTATTTTTTAAGCAGGGGTAAGACAAAAGCTGTAAATTGCAAAGGTTAAAGATTAACTATTGTATTTATTATTATAATTAAACAAAATTTACAAAAGAGCCAAGCTGATACATAGGTAAGGGATTCTTAATGATTGCTGTGTAGAACGTTAACTAGGCAGAGTGAATTTTCTTAAATATTGATTCCACAAATATGAACCTAAGTATTACAATTACATGTTTAATGCTTAATTTAAATCCGTATAATTAAATAATTTAAATAAATGCTGGGTTTTCATCTTTATTGGTTTATTTTACCATCTATAAGTAGTATTTTATCAGTAATTTCTTTTTGTAAATTATTATAAGTGCAGTTAGAACATACCTAAAATCAGTGCTAATAGATAAATGGATTCCTAACAGTGAAAATGCACAGGATGCCCCATTTAATTCCTCCTCTGTCCTTTCTCATAGCTTTCATGCAAGGGTTCTTGTTTAACGTGTTCTGTTCCTATTGTCAATCCTCACCTTACACCACTACCTCCATCTGAATGATTCACTTCAGGTGCCTGGAATGCCACAAACCATGAGGCAGTAGAAGTGCTGCCTCACAAATTTACACAGGACTGAGGGCAAGGGTGGTGTCTGCTCAGGATCTTCATGTAATCATCTCCTTACCTACCATAGATGACAGAATTTAATGAAAACAGGAAAAGACCTCAGTCAGACTGTAAGCCAGACTCTTGGGGAAGGTAAAATACCTATATTTGAAATTATAGGTAGACACCAAATATCAAAGCGGCATCAGAGAAAGAACTAATTAAAAGGCAAACAGAGAAAATTATGAAATCTATTTCTGATTAGAATTCCAAGATTCTTTTTCATCTGGAAATTTTCTCCCCTATCTCAGAAAATTCACGAAATATTCTTTAGCAGTCGTAACACAGGAAAACTCATTCCAAGTTATTTTACGACCCCAAGTGAGTAAGTTTTTTGGGAGAGTGGAGAATAGAGAGAAGTAGATGAAGACACAATAATCTCTTTTCTAGGCATCCTAAATGGATTGTCTTTGCTTCTAGTTTAGACTTATGAGTAGGCTGCTGCTTAATACCCTGCAGGAGTTTCAGGAAACCCAACATGCCTCAAATTACACTTTCTTCATTTACTTGCTGACCCTTGAAATAATTTTAACACCGGTCATTGATTTTAGTTCTATAATTAAAATGTAAAAAATTAAATGATAATAGCCTAGCCATAGAAGAAAAAGCACAGTGATAGTAAAGACTCTTAAGTGCCTTACATCTTTCTTGAAAATTAATCCTATCTGAGTAGAAAGAAAAAGATAATGTACTAAGATTATATGAGGGAAATACAGGTACATAGAAACATAGAAAGATAAGGTTCACCGGGAGGCGGAGCTTGCAGTGAGCCGAGATCCCGCCACTGCACTCCAGCCTGGGCGACAGAGCGAGACTCCGTCTCAAAAAAAAAAAAAAAAAAAAAAGATAAGGTTCAGGGTAGAGAAGACAAAAATCATGTATTTCATATCAAGTAGATTTATTTAACATTAGTAAATATATACAGAAAGATATATAATATAATATGAATTCCTGGGTTGCCTTAGAATAGAATAAATATATACAGAAAGATATATAACATAATATAAATTCCTCGGTTGCCTTAGACTAAATTCCTGGTTGCCTTAGAAAATTGGAATCCTTTCTTGTGCCTTAAAAAGAAAAAAAAAAGCCTGAAATCAACACAGAAGAGCCAATAAAAACACATATAACTTACTCCTTTAGCATAATTGGAAAACAGAGTACCATGAACACAAATTTGTTTGTAAATAGAGAAATAAACATCAAGCTGATATCACATGACTGTTCAGAGAGGGAAATGGAAAGCTTAAAATCAATTAGCACAGTATAACATCAACATCCAAGAAAGTTCTACACCAAGTGAGAAATACCAAGAACATTTCTGACACCTGATAGATCCAAGCACTCCTACAGGGAATGCATAAGAAATTATTCAAAATTTGATAATAAGGAAAAAAAGATACAATTAATTTTATAATTAAAATATATGAAGTTATTGTCATGTAGGATGTTTAGCATGTTTTTATTAAACTATTCAATTTATTTCAGCATTTATTGGTATGTGTGTTTCATTGAACACACACACACATATATACACACATAAGTATTTATATCTTCCTTGTTATCCTATAATACTATTGGTTTATTTCTATTAATGTGGTAAATAAACATTGATTTGGGATCATTGTGTATTTATATTCTAATTATGGTTTTAATATTTTGAAAATTCTACTTGACAGACCCGAGATTTAGTCTTGAGAAGACATTGGTTCTAGCAGGGAAGGTGGTAACAAAGAAGGTAGGCAATCTTGGACATTTGGTGATTGAAGAGATGTATTTCAAGGAACTGGGTTACTTGATTGTGGGGCCTGAAAAGTCTAAAAATCTGTAGGGTAGATCCACAGGCTGGAAACCCTTGGGCAGTAGTTAATGTTGTAGTCTTGAAGTAGACATTCTTCATGGAAACCTCAGCTTTGCTCCTAAGACCTTGCAAGTGGTTAGATGAGGCCCACTTAGATTATTAAGGTCATCTCCTTCACTTAAATCTACTGACTAGATATTAACCATGTTTACAAAATGCCTTCATTGCAACAACCTATATTAGTGTTTGATTGAATAATGGGTACTAGAGCTTAGCCATGTTGACATATAAAACTAAACATCACAGTGGTAAAGGGAATTAGAAAAGTAGAAGTGGAAATTAAGTGTCCTGAAAAAAAGCAAACAAGAGCCAAAAAAAAGATCAATTAATATTCTCCTAGCACCTGAAAACAATTCTGTTTTTTAAAGAATTCACAATATACAGATATAAGGAAATGCTCTTGAACTAAGAATGTCATAAATTCTCCAAATTCTAACTCTCACCTGCATAAGACTGTTGAGAATCTATCATATGGCCATAAATGCTGTTAGACAAATGTATTTACACAAACGTATTTTGAGTATTGAGTAAATTTGGAGTATTATAGGCAATACTCCAAACTGAAAAATGTTCTCAGATAAAAATTATTTGTTATAAAAAAAGTTGAACTCATGATTAAACAATTAAGTGTAGCTTCTCACAACGGAAAAGTGAAAATAACACAGGAAAATACAGTAAGTCCTCACTTAAGTCGTTGATACGTTCTTGGAAAATGCAAATTTGAGAAAAATAGTGTAAAGTAAAACCAGTTTTACCATAAACTGACTAAGATAAACAAGAGTTAAATTCCTGCAGTATATTTCTGGTCACAGAAACATCACTAAACTTCTAAACAAAAACGCAAAACACTTTGAATAATAAACATTGAAATAAATGTGAGCTAGCTGTACATACATTTAAGAAAAATTAAAAAGATAATTATTTACCCAATTTATGGTGAATTCAGGAGTGACGACAGTCATAACAGTGGTAGATTAAATCGAGAAATAAATCTTTGCAAAGCGAACATTGTCGGGAGCACCTCCTCTCACCATGCATTTCAAAAACAATCACAAATATGGTGGGTTCACTGAGACTTTGTACTGCATTATTTATTATTGTGCATTTGTATGATTATAACTCACTTTATGATTTTTTTACAATAATTTCTATTCAGTCATTAATTCATTCATTTTCCAAACTGTTTATTTCTATTCAGAGTCATGGGTGGCTTGAGCCCTACCCCTACAATTTAGGAGCCAAAGTGAGAACCAACCAGTCCTGAACCAACAGGCCTGGATGAGTGCATCCCATTGCAGGGTGCACTCACATGTGCCCACACTCACTGGTCCCACGGTCCCACACTCAGTCTTACTGGGGTCGTGGAGACAAGCTCATTCAGCTAATGTGCACATCTTTGAGATATAGGAGGAAACAAGAGTAACCAGAGAAAACCTACACAGACATGGGAAAATCATGCAAACTCCACACAGATAGTGGCCCCAGCCAGAGTCAATTTCTCGTTCTCATCAACATGATTTGATGATCTGCTATATGCAATGATATTTACCAAATACAGAACAGAAATTGATTAAAAAAATGTTTTTTAAATCTGAGAGAAAATCAGATAAGATGTAGTCAAGAGGTAATAGATATGAATATAAACCGACTAAGAAACATTGAATAAAAGTCTGAATAGAGAATACAAACATAATTTAACATTCTTAAAAAATAGAAATTATATAAAGGATGAGAAATTCACATGTATATTTGGGATCACTAAATAAGAAAAACAAAACAACAGGAACAGAAAAACTAAAGCAATAGTCCAAGAAAAAAATTTCCAGGACCACAAAAAAGGGCAAAGCCAAAATTGAAATCTACATATTGAATAAGTCCATCCTGTACATAGGAAAAAATTATCTATAATTTGAAACTGTTACTAATATCCCAATAAAACCGTTACAGATTTAAGAAAGTCTTCAGGATTTCCAAGTCATTTTTAACAAAATCATAAGTTTAGTGTTGGAATTTTTGAGATTAATTTTAAAAGCATCAAATAAGTTCCATAAAGTTAAAATACACTCTGATCTCTGACTTTAATATAATAAATTAATTTTTAAAAAATTAAAAAATTAAACAATTCTCCTGGAAATCAAAAAAATATATATACTTCTATAGTAGCTATCTATTGCTGCACAAGAAACAACTCCAACATTTACTGGTTTATATATAAAACATTATTTGCACATGAATCTGCAATCTAGGCCAGGATCAGCTTTGTGGTTCTTCTGCTGGTCTTGTCTGGGGCTGGTCATGCAGCTTCAGTCATATGGAGACCTGACTAGGCCTGGAGGAGCCAAAATGACCCCAGTTGCCTTTCTGTTTCCTCAACAAGGAACACTGTAATATTGGGTGAACCCAGAAACTCTCTGGGTTTCTCTCCCTCATTAGTTTCTTCTTCGGTGCTATAACCATAATTCTTAACATGACAGCTCATGGTTCCCAGAAGTCCTCTTTTGGTCTATATCCAGAATTCACATACTATTACTTCTGCAGCATTCTACCACCAATGTAATCATAGATACAGCCCAGATTAAAGGGAATAAAACTATGTGGGAAAGGTGACGTGGCATTGCCAAAAAATATGTGAAATGGAAGGAATTGTTAATAGTCATCTTGTGATATGATCAGTTAAACAGCTTCTGATGAAAGACGTAATTCAAACTCAAATTACAAAATCTACTTTAAAAATAACAATAATGAAAAACCACATAACACAATATATGGGACTCATTCCATTTAAAGCAATGTTTAAAATTGAATAGAAGTATTTGCTTAGACATGAGGATTAGAAAAGAGCAAATAAAACTATCTGTATTTGTAGATAACAGGATAGATAATATGAAAAATCCAAGATAATCAATGGAACTCTCTAATAAAAAATAATTGTACAACTAACCAGGATTCAAAACTGTAATGAAAACCCAGGGTCTTTATATACATGAAAAGTTATTTACAAGGCATAGAGAAGAAACATAAAATAGCAATAAAAATAAAATGAAAAGATATGTACAAATTTAAGGAAACGTAAACATAAATTTTGTTCTTAGATAATACAACTGAACATCATATAGATTTTGTCTCCTTAATTTAATTTCTAAATTTAGCATAACTAAAATAAAAACACTAATTTTTTTCTTGAAGTGAGTCAGTTGGTTATAAGTTGTATTTGTAAAAATAAACACACATAGCTTTCATCAAGAGCCTCTAAATATGTGGTAGACTACCCTCTGATTCCAAATACACAGAAACATTTCTCCTAAATTGACAATATAAACAAATTGCCATCTCATCCCAACATTTTCAGCAATGCTTGAATATTTGTGGAGTCAGAAAATATTGCTTAATGTTTTATTTAGCTTGACTTTTAAATGAAAATTTTGCCTGAAAGAGAACAGTAATAGGATTCAGTCAAAAAATAACCCTATACCAGGAAATTGGGGGACAGTTGATTTTGTTTGAAAAAATTTAAAAAAACAAAGGAAAAGGAAAAGGGGGAAGAAAAAAGAAAAGAGGAGGAAGAATAAAAAAGGAAGAAATTACAACTTTAGTGTGAGAAACAGAACCTGAGTTCTGGAAACCTCACCCATTAAATTTTTAGTTCAGAACCTGTACTCAGCAATCAGCCTGCCTTATCAAAACTCCTTGCTGTATCTAATGAACAGTCCTCTAGTACCGAAGTTTGCACTTGTCAACTAAATATTTGTAAGAAATCTGTGTATAAAACAGTGCCAAAGATATATAAAAGTCTTAAATTAATGTGATGTGCAAATAAGTGGCATTTATTACTCATTTCTACCACTACTTGCACACCATAATGACATAGGTTACCAAGGGACAAGGTATTCTCCCTCTTAATTATTATTGGTTCTACAGAGAATATAGCCGTTTCTTCATGGCACCATACACCTTTCCTCTTATGTAAAGGAAGAGCTTTTTCATCTCTGTACGTCATAGCTTTAGTTTGTGATAAAGATGGAAAATATTTGAAGAAATCAAACATTGACATGAGGCTACAATATCCTGTAGTTTATAAAAGGTATTTGGTGCTGAGCAGGCAGCAGAGTGCAAAAGCTGGTTTCATCATGTTCAATACAATATTGCCCTTCTACCTGTTTTGAGGAGAATTATATAAGATTCCAGATTTAACGCAAATATTTTTGAATTTTAAATATGTTCCTAGATTAATTTTTAATGAGACTATGCCACCAGTGAGTAAGAAATTTGAAACTCATATCAAAGACATTTGCAC
The DNA here is from genome assembly GCF_000001405.40 of Homo sapiens. Lineage (NCBI taxonomy): Eukaryota > Metazoa > Chordata > Mammalia > Primates > Hominidae > Homo > Homo sapiens. Next base: position 166,485,578 of record NC_000004.12, on the reverse strand, counting down.
AAGTCAATAATATCACAGATAATATAGTATTTTAAGTTCAGATTGTCACAGGTAAATAATTTGAAAAACATCATGTTAACAATAAATACTTTAACATATATAAGTGGCAAATTGATAATTACTTTGGTGATATTGGAGATTTTTACCTGTATTCTGATCGGATTGTTTCCATATCTCATAAAACAAATCATTAAAAAGGACCTGTTTTTCCAGGATTTTTGCATCTTTATTTATATTTTAATGATCTTTAATATTTAAAGAGTTCAAACTGAAATTGGTTAAAGATATTGTCACACATTAACTCATTATCTGTGAGAATCTCTAAACATACTGAAATCATTGATAGTTTCCATGAAATGCAAATATAAATTTAACTGAGAGATGGCATATAGATCACTTGGAAGGACATTTATGAATAACAGAAATACTCCTCAAACTTTTATAAGATTATTAGAGTGCTGAGAAATTACACTCCACTTTCTTTTAGGGTATGCAACCTGCGCATTATTGTCAATATTCTAAAAGTCGACTACCTAGTGTGACAATCAACAAGGACAAACTTGGATTACCTATTTGGTACATTCATTATAATTATTTCATTGAGGCACATTTTTGTGTGTTTACATATAAAATATAATATAATTTAATATAGTATGTAAAATATAAAGGCAATTTAATATTCAACACAATTATTTCTTTCTGTTAATTCCCTAGCTGTTGGATTCATACAATTTACAGTATTTTAGGAGAGTATAGGCTATTATCCTTTAATTTCACATTAGGTTGAGCATATTCTATCTACTTTGTTTAAAAAAAATTAAAAATAATGTTATTTGTCAGTAGAGCAAGTATATTTTGAAGAAAAGACAAAAGACTTAATTCACTAACTTGACTTTTAGTAAATCATGGCCAAAATAACTTCACAAATCTTAGGCCAACTCACTTATAATTGTAGGGATGTTGCTAACACCCACTCCACAATGCCTTAGTCCAAGCCTTCAGTGTCTCTTGCAGTGAGTATGGCAAGCACTAACTGCTCTCCTTGCCCATCATCTTGTATCCTTGCTAGCCAGCTTTCCACATACTTCAGAGGTAAACACTCATACGTTGTGGAACTATTAAATGACTTCTCCGCTTAGAAGTTAGTAATTTTGCATAGTCTGTAACATAATCAATATACCTTAGAATACCTCAAAATTCCTGATTCATACTCACTTTAAGTCATACAGAAACCTGGCAGTTTTCCTAAAATTTTTCCTTAGCATATTTCTACTCGTCCTTGAAGGCCAAGTTAAAGCTTACCTAGAGTCAGAATTGATCATGACCTACTTGAGAACTCTTAATTTCAATATCATCATAAGTATATATGTCCCTGCATTTCATTTTTATTGGTTAACTATTTTATATGAAGATAAATAAAATTCTAAGTTAAATAAAAAACTCAGACCAACTGGTAGCCCCATACTCTGGCATAGGGAATCTACATGGTCTCCTTTTACCAGATGCCATATTGTTCCACCTGTTTGTTAGTTTCATCTATGTGATAGGGAGTGTTTGCCATATTGAAGTGTCAAGACAACCCTTTAGCACAAATTCCATTTGGACGTTCTTAAAGTGGAGACATCGAAACAAGCAGCAGTCTTTAGAAGAAATGCCCCTTTATCTATCATTTTACCAGTTCAGGTTACGAAAGCTGACTCAAGTATTTTTGTTTTGTTTTGTTTTGTTTTTTGAGACAGAGTTTCACTCTTGTGGCCCAGGCTGGAGTGCAATGGCACAATCTCGGCTCACTGCAACCTCCACCTCCCAGGTTCAAGCAATTCTCCTGCCTCAGCCTCCCAAATAGCTGGAATTACAGGCATCCGCCACAATGCTCAGCTAATTTTTCGTATTTTCAGTAGAGGCGGTGTTTAATCATGTTGGCCAGGCTGGTCTTGAACTCCTAACCCCAGGTGATCCACTGGCCTAGGCCTCCCAAAGTGCTGGGATTACAGGCGTGAGCCACCGTGCCCGGCCAAAAGCTGACTCAAGGTTAAGCTAATTAAATTACAAAGTTTGTCCATAAAAAAAAATCTATTACCCATTCACTTTGATCATAATTTTGAACATACAATAAATTTCAGCCATGAGTTTTCTAATACATCCTCAGGAGATTTTTATAGACAGGTAAAATCACATGAGTTTTCCTGTTTTCTAATGTACAATATATTGGGGTAGATCTCACTTCACATTCCGCACATTGGCTACCTGTCTACCTGCTGCAATCTGAGCTCCTTAAAGACAAGAAATATGTCTTATCCACGTTGATATTGCTTTTGCCTGACATAGAATTAACAATTAATAGATGCCAAATTCTTAAATAAATGAACTAACAAATTAGGGGGAGCTAAATAAACTACATAGGCTCAGGAAAGCAATATAGGGTATATTATAATTGAGGTAAATTTTTAATTATATATATTTGCAAGGAAAAAGCATCAAATAATTTTTAAAATTGAAAAATACCAAGCATTTGTGTGCATTATGTCTATGTGACAGATGTTGCAAGTGGGCATAAGGAGGAGAGTGACAGTTGACCAACCTCAGTGGTAACAGATATTCACCAAGGTTATTTCTTGTTAAACAAGGAAATATTTGTATTACAGATAAGAGTTATGCACACAATTGGACAATTTCCTTTAGAAAAAAGAGCTACATAGATATGATTATGTAATCAAGCGTCAGAACAAAATGTTTCTAAACTGGCTAAATGCTTGTATTCCAGCATATTTTCTTTTTTCTAAATTATGATATATATTTTTATTTCTCAGTATTACCCTGAATTTATCTTACCTTAGAGACTTGTTTTACATATTCATAGGATTCTAAATATATTTATAATTCGGTATTCAAAAATATATTAAAAATAAAAATATACTAGACAGTGCATTCAACATCCTGAGAATATATGTATATAATTCATCAACTTGATAATTTAAACATACTAAAAGCCAAATATTTATTATAGACTTTATATAACACCTTTATTGACATGTAATTCACATACCATAAAATTTACCTTTTTAAGATGTACAATTTGGTGCTTTTCAGTATATTCACAACATTGCACAGCTATCACAACTATCTAATTTTAAAACATTTTACCATTTCAAAAAAAACCTTGTAAGATTAGTAATCACTCTTCATTCTCCCCTTCTCCCAGCCTCTGGCAACCACTAAACTACTTTCTATCTTTTAGATTTAATTATTCTGAGTACTTTATATAAATGAAATTGTACAATATGTGGCTTTTTATGAATGCTTTCTTTCACTTAGCATCATGATTTCAAGGTTCGTTTGTGCTCTGCTCTATGTCACTACACTTCTTTTACTAACTGAACAATATTCTATGCTATGGATATATCACCTTTTGTTTATACTTTCACCATTTGACACATTTTTGGGTTGTTTTCAATTTTTAGCTATTAAAATGATGCTGCTACATAAACCTACAGGCCAACTCACAGATATAAAACTTGCTATATATGATCTAATATGGAGGTATGTTTTCAGTTTTGTTGTTTATATGGTTAGATGAGTAATTGCTGGGTCATATGGTGGTAAATCTATATTCAACATTTTGAGGAACTGACAAGCTGTTTTTCAAAGTGGCTGCACCATTTCATACTTTCACAAGTAATATATGTGTATTCTGATTTCTCCACAAACTCATCAATACAGGTTATGTCTGTTTTTTTTTATTTTTAGTCATCCCAGTGTGTGTAAGTGATATGTTATTGTGGCTTTCATCTGAATTCTCCTAATGACTTGTCATCCAAAAGACCACCAGTATGGCAAAATAGTAGAAAGAAGAGTTTTACTGGCAATATCAGTTTGTAAACAGAGAAGAGACAGTCTCTAGCATGTACCAAAGATGTTATCTTCAAAGAGAAAAAAGCCAGGTGGGTTTTTATGCCTCACAAGATCTGAATTACGCAAAAAAGTGATACTATTTAGCGGGTTTGGGTGAAAAGCTGTACGTATTTAAAAGAGAAGTGGAGTGTTTGTGCAATGGGGAAACATGTACCTAACATATATCCCATGTTCTCCTTGGGGCAGGCTTTAGCATTAAAATGAGGTGGAATTTGGCTCTTTACATCAAAAGATGAACTATAGAACACAAAGGCAGTTTGTGTGAAGTTTCTACAAGTTGGCTGAAACTGGCTTAAGGTCTGCAGCAGCTTATCAGAAAACAGCCTGAGACCAGTCCTCTGTTCAGCGCTGTAGTGGTCTGGGTTGTAAATCAGAGTTAGGAAGGGTCTGACAATTTGCCTGATAGATCCTATTGGTTAGCAAGAGTGTGGTTTTACTTGTAGTCATAGAGACTTAGGAAGTTGCCATGCCAGCTCATCTCTGAACCCTGGTAACTTTTGTTTCCTTAACCTTAGAGTCCATATTAGTTGATAAAGGGGTATTTGTTTTGGTGTCTCAGATCACACAGACTACTGATGTTAAACATTTTGCGTTTGCCTATTGGTCATTTGTATCTGATTTAAATAAATGTCAATTCACATTATTTCACATTTTAAAATTATGTTTTAATTGTTGGATTGCATTCATTTATTTTGTATTCTGGATATAATATTCTTATCAGACATTTGATATGTTAATCCTATGTATCAATTTGGGGAGTATTTTACATCTTAACAATATTATGTCTTTCAATTCATGAACACAGGATGTCTTTCTAAGTCTTCTTTAATTTCTTTTGATGAAAGTTTATAGCTTTCAATGTACAGACTTATACATCTTTTGTTAAATTTATTCCCAAGTATTTTACTTTTTTGATGCTATTAAAAATTGTTTTCTTAATTTCCTATTCATATTGCCCATTGCAAATTTATAGAAATACAATTGGCTTTTGTATATTGAGCTTGCATCCTGCAACCTTGCTGAACTCATTTGTCAGTTCTAATAGTTGTTCAGTGGATTCCTTAAGATTTTCCATGTGCAAGATCATGCCATCTGCAAATAGGGATATTTTAAATTTTAGACCTTTCTATTTTTCTTGCCTAATAAAACTGTCTAGAACCTCAAAGAATGCTGAAAAGAAGCAACAACAGATATTCTTGCCTTGTTCCAAATTTTGGAGGAAAAACATTCAGTATATCCCTATTAGTATGATGTAACTTGTGGTTTTTTGTTTTGTTTTGCTTTTTGTTGTTTTTTGCTTTTTTTAATAGATGTCCTTTATCGTATTGAGGAGGGTCCATTCAATTCCTAGTTTGCTAAGCACTTATCACGCAAGGATGTTGGATTTTGTCAAACGCTTTCTCTGAATAGATTCAGAAGTTCATATAGTTCTTGTTCTTTATCCTGTTAATATAGTACATCATATTACACTAATTGTGTGGATTTTGCTAAACTAACTTTGCACTTTACGAGTACGTCTAACTTAATTAAGGTTTATAGTTGCCTTCATGTACTGATGGATTTTGTTTGCTATTATTCTGCTGAGAATTTTTTAATCTGTCTATACTGACCTAGAACAGTTGAGAAGACTTACTTCCTCTTCTATTTTTTATAAGAATTTTTGTTGATTCTTTCTATAAACATTTGGCAGAATTCACCTGTGAAATAATCTAGAACTGGAGGTTTCTTTTCGAGAGGTTTTTAAGTTATGAATTCAATCACATTGCTCTTTATTATTGGTCTATTCAAACATTCAGTTTTTCTTGAGTCACTTTCCACAGTTCTCCTCTTTCTAGGAATGTCTCCATTTAATTTAGGTTATCAAATTTAGCAGTTAATTATAATATTCTTTCAAAACATTTTATTTATGAAAGATCAGTAGTGACATCCCTTCTCTTTTTTTCTGATTTTAGTAAGTAGAGTTCTTTTCTTCAGCTAGCCAGCTAAAGTTTTGTCAAGTTTGTTGAAATCATCAAAAAAACAACTTTAGATGTTATTGATTCTGTTATTTTTATATTCTTCACCTCCTTTATTTTGACTTTAATATTTATTATATCCTTCTTTCTTTGCTTTGAGTTTAATTTGGTTGTCTTTTTCTGGCTTTCTAAGGTGGAAGAGGATTATGTCATTACTCCATTTATGTGCCATTTTAATTCATTATTGTTTATTTTACTATATATTTTTGAGTTATTTTCTTAGTGGTCCCTGGAGATTAAATAAACACCTTAATTTAAAACTATCTAAGTGGGAATAATATTGGTCTAATTTCAATAGCGTACACAAAACTTGCTGTAATATAGCTCTGTACTTTTTGCTTTTTTTAAATAGTTATTTTGGCTGGGCACTGTGGCTCACACCTGTAATTCCAGCACTTTAAGAGGCTAAGGCTGGCAGATCACTTGAGGTCAGGAGTTCAAGACAAGCCTAGCCAACATGGAGAAACCACAACTCTACTGAAAGTACAAAAATTAGCTGGATGTGGGGGCGGGCGCCTGTAATCCTAGCTGTTCGGAAGGCTAAGGCATGAGAATTGCTTGAACCCAGGAGGCAGGGGTGGCAGTGAGCTGAGATTGCGCCACTGCACTCCAGCCTGGGTGACAGAGTGAGACTCCATCTCAATAAATAAATAGATAAACAAATAAATTGTTATCCCTTTTAGTCATTGTATTTTATGTCAGATAGAAAAAGAAAGAAGTTACGAATAGAAATATCTTCATGCTGTCTTCCATATTACCTACTAGTTAACTTTACTGATGTTCTTCATTTATTTTCATACTAATTAGTATCCTTCCATTTAACCCTGAAGTTCTTCCTTCAGGAAGATGTATTTTGTGTATGGCAGTTCTTCTAGTAACAAATTCTCTCAGTTTTTGTTTATCAAGGAATGTCTTGTTTCATCTTTTTTGATATAGATTTGTATATAATTGCTCTCATTTTATTGCACCGTATCCTCTTTTTATAGTATATCTGACACATGCATTAAATAACTACAGAGAGACCTTTTCTATTTTTTTTAAAGTGTTGCTAGATGTAGAATTTTTGCTTGGCAATCTTTTTTTCCTGCACTTTGAATTTTGTATTCTATTGCCTTCTGGCCTCCATAGGTTCTCATGAGAATTTAGGGGTTAGTCTTACTGAAGTTTCCTGTATATAATAAATTGCTGTTCACTTGCTCCTTTTAATAATCTTTGTCTTTTGCTTTAAATTATGTGATTATGTTGTGCTTGCAAGTATAACTTTTTAGTTTATCCTACTTAGATTTCATTGACCTTCTTGGAAATGTACATTCAAGTTTGTCATCAAATTTGGCAAGTTGTTAGCCTTTTTTTTTTTTTTTTTTTCCAATATTCTTTCTGCTCCCTCATTGCTCTCCTTTCTTTCTGGAACTCCCATTGTGCATATACCGGTACTTGATGATGCTCCACAAGTTGCTAAACATCTGTTAATTTCTTGTTATTATGGTTTCCTTTTTGTTCCTCCAACTAGATATCATTTGACCTATATTCAAGTTCATTGTTTCTTAATTGTGCCAGTTCAAAATGTTGCTGAGTTTCTCTATATTTTTAAATTTCAGTTACTGTATTTTTCATCTCCAGAATTTCCATTTGGTTCTTTTTAAAAATATTTTCTATTTCTTTATTAATATATTCTATTTGATGAGATTTTATTTTTTACACTTCTTTAATTGTTTAGACATGGTTTCCTTTATTTGTTTAAACATGTTTATAAAGGCTGATTTAAGGCCTTTGTCTAGTAAATCTTGTGTCTGGGTTTCCTTAAGACTATTTCTGTTGACTCTCCTTTTCCTTCCTATGGGTCATACACTGCTGTTTTTTTGCATACCTTACAACTTTTCATTGGAAACTGCACGTTGAGAAAAACATAATGTGATAACTCTGACAATCCAACTCCTGTTTCTCCTTAGGGATTATTGTTGTTTCTGTTTGTTGTTTTTGTTATTGTTTTTACCATTGTGGCTTGTTTATCGTAGAAACTTTACTATTCTAACTCTGTGAAGTTTATATTCTATTTGTATGTAGCCACTTAAGCCTCTGTTTTTTAGTTTGGTGGCTATCCATCTAGTGATTTGGCAAAGATTATATTTAATGCCATGAATAAATTATTTTTAGTCTTTGCTCACAAGCTTTGGTGATATGTTAGGGCACACCTACAATGCTTCTAAGATATACTATTCTGTTTCAGCCTTCACTTTTTGCTTATGCAGAGAGGCAAGGTAAGACAGAGTTGAGAGATTAGGGCCTTCTTAGATTATTCTTGAAGTGCGCATAGCCTTACACATGTGTATGGCCTTTTAGATTCTCAGGATTATGTTAGAACCTTTCAAAGTCCCTTATGAACACATCACTCTTTAGTTTTCACTGTTAAGTTTTTTAGTCAGCACTTCATTAGCCTCAACAGGTATCTCTAACTGAGGCACCTACAATGTTAAACAATTTTCACTGATCATTTTTTGACAAACACCCAGGAGAAAGGCACTTCACAATGAGCAAACTCTGAGCCAGATCTAATAAAGATAAGCCATGTGAATTGGGCTTTTTCAGACAGCTGCCAGACAAGTCAGTTCTCTGAGGATGGGTTTCTTTTTGCAGGAGTCGGAGGCAGGAGGTACTTTACACCTTTCTGTCTCCTTCAGTAATTGCTAATTTTCTGTTTTTCACAAATCCTGTGGGGCTACAGTTTACAAGGCTGCCATGGAGCTATAGACAGAGGAATCAGAATATGGCAAGATAAATAGCATGTTACTATGTATTATTACAGAAATTCAGCCATTTTCTTGAATAATTGTTTTTCATATTGTAGCAAGCCTTTTGTTAATTTCCAGAGTTCTGAAACAGTTTATTCTGAAAACTTTTTCCAGTGTTCTCATTGCTTTATGGAAGAGTGTATTTTTGAGGTCCCTTAACCATTCAAGAAGTGCTTCCATGATAAAGAACTCCATCTATACAGAACTCTGGTAGTCTCAGAGATTAGAAAAGGTATATTCACTATAGTCTCACACTAAATTTTTACTAACACTTGTTCTGATGAAAGCAAAATAAGAAATGTAAGGAAAAAAAATTATTCCAATATAATTTTTAAATTTCTTTGAAAGACAAGTAATTTTTTATTTTGCTGTGTGTTTATACTTTAAAGACCTCCTATTTACATCACTACTTGACCATATAGATGAGTAGAAGAGAAATTATCCCCACGTCAAAGAGGAAGGAGATATGCAGTAAGGTCAACAAATTACTTATAGTTTCTTATTAAAAAATGGAACTTGGAAAGACAATATTAAATAAGGATATTCACATATTTAATATTTGTATTTTTTCTATTAAGTATTTTTTCAGCATAGTACATCATTTTGTTAGATTTCTTCTTTAAAATATTCAAGATTTTCCCTTTGGCTGAAATTTAATATTTTATTTTTTTAACATATTTATAGTTATGGATATAACTATAAATAACATTTTTCATTTTTGCATTTAGTTAGTTGAAATTTTCATAACTCAATAAAATAAACAATCATTTTATTGTATATTTCATAAGAGCAGTTACATTGACTGAAATGAGGTTGAAATGAAAAATAAACACAATAGGAAAACACAAACTCTGTGATCTATACTTCTGTGCTTTATACCTTGACTTATCTGAAAATGTGAGGAAGAAAATTATCTGTTTTATTGACAGAGGTGGTACAATATCCTGGAAAATGACATGATTTGTAATGGGATTTCTGAATTTTAATCCAGTTGTACCTACACCAATTGCTTGCTTATAAAATGAGTTACTTATTTTTCTGAGTCACATTTCTTCATGATTTTACATGAAGAGAAAACAATACTTGTATTATTGTTAATTGTAAGGACTAAATTAGATAATTTATTTGACAGTATTTTGTAGGCCACTTAAAGTGCAGTATAAGTGTAAGCAATTATTCTTTGTTCATCATAGTTCATCACATTTGCTCATTCACAAATAATTCTATTCTTTTAGGGAGTTATCGGCATCAAGTCTACGCATTTGCAATTAATTATATACTTGAAAAATATTTCATCTTTTTTCATACGCTTTATTAAGGATTAAGGGAGTTTTACAACAATAGCAAACTCAAACATTTCACTCACAAAGTGTTGATATGAACATTAGGCATCAGATTACAGGCTACTTAAGGGGAATTTTTAGCATTATAATGTATGCTTCTCAATTAGATATTACATTGTAGCATAATATTATTGAAAAATATCTCTTGAGTTTCTAAGATAAATTAAAAGTACCTTTTATACTTAGTCCAATGTCAGGAAGGTTGTAAACAAAACTCTTCAAATATTTATTAAAGTTTGCTGGTCAGAAAGTCCAATTATCAGTTTCGGTATGAATATATAACTAAATCATCTCACATTTTTGAAAAAAATAAAAGTTTTGTAAAGCCACAAAAAATTTTAACTTTCATAATTTATTTCCAAGCTTCATACTTCCTAGGAGGTATTCTCACATTGAAAAAAATCAATCTGATAAATAAATCTCATTCAAATATCTACTTAGGTAATATGTTGAAGTAATAATCAGTAGAAATATTTTATACAACACATATTGAAGCCTAACAAGCTAAGATTTGCTTTCAGACAATCAATTGATATTTTTGTCCACATTTAGAAATTTCCCCCGTGTCAGCTATACATTTTCTTGCTGATATTTTGTGAGAATTTCCCTGAATAGGGAATCCTAAGTGTAATACCAGAACAGACAGTTAAAGCGATGAGGTCTCTGGAGCAAATGGTGAACTATTTCCCCGCATTTGAATTCACAGATGATTGTCATATACAATGCTTTTTCTCTCACTCTGCAATCGTCCTGATATTTTTACCTATACCCTTTCAAGTGTAGTATAGCCTACATTAAATGAGACTGAATAAGGAAAATTAGTTTAAAAGTGTTGAATGTTTTACAGATTGGCAAACGTCAAATCCCATCAGACAATTAACATGTATCTTTGAGAGTTGTATGGCAAACACTGGTTCTTAAACAGGCCATCTTGTTCTAAACAGACTCATGTAAGAACAACAGAATCAGACCTCTCAGGATGACTTCTCATGTGCTTCTTGGTCATTACATTATCTTCTAGTTTTTATTTTGTCTTCTCACTTTGGACATAGGTTTTAGCTATAGTATTTTTACTTACTAGTTACTTTCTATTAAGGCCTTGATTATTCACAGTATCTCAGGTCACAGATTGAACTTGCCACCTTCTTATGATTAACAAGTGTTGTCACTGTGAACATTCATTTTACCTTCTCTCTAGCTCTATACCACTTTAGAGAGTATGTTACCTCTGTCAGCCTCCAACACACAAGAATTCATCTGCTTTTGGTATATGCTATTTTTCTGCATTTTGGAGAAGGGATAAGGTAAAACTAAAGTAACAGAAAGCCAGAAGGTAGCTTTTGAGAATTTTAAGGAGTAGAAGCAAAACTTTAGATACTACTATTAAAATAATGTCTATTTATGTTATCTATTTTATTAATTTGCTCAACAGATAATAAATAACTTATTATAAATTTATAGTTTTGCTGGTAGTTGTGGTGCTTCTAATTTCTAAGTTGGGCAGAATGTGTTTTTATATATCTATGTATATTCTTTAATTCTATCATGTAAATCACTGGCAGTTTGCAATCTGTCTTTCTCTGCTTGACTTAATGCATTACATTTTCTACCAATTTTTAGTAGCAAGGGAAATGTTCCATATTACTACAACTCCTAAATAGAGCTTCATACTTGAGAAATTATACAATCTGGTTAATATAACAGTATGGAAGGCTATGGTTAAGGAAATGAATGATGAATTTAAAATAAAAGCTCCAAATAGAAAAGGAAAAATGCTAGGCGGTGTATTTGCTTTCGTTTGAGCTGTTTTTTTGATGGACAACTCTAGGTAACATGATCCACATATGTGGCAAATAGATTTTTCTTGAGGAATACTGAAACCTGATACAATTTTATGAAAGGAAACTGATATTGAGTGATGGAAGATCCTCCTACAATCAGTGAGGAAGGAGCGGTAGGTCAGACAGACTAGATAATTGAGTCTTGAAACTGAGGTTCAAGACTCTCTCAAAATTATTCTTTATTTTTCTCTGTTAATTCAGCTTTTCTGGTAGTGTTGAAAATCAGAAGTTAAGATTAAGTTACCTCTACCAGCCTTCAACACACAAGTCAAACTAAGATATTCAGTTCTATCATAGTTATACCGCAACAGCATTCTCATCACCTAAAATTTAGCACGTCTGACTTACTGATTTTTCTCTTCATTTGTATAACAATATTTTATAATACAGTAGAATTCTTCCATTTTTGGTATATGTTTTCATAAACTCTTTGCCATCACCAAGATAAAGATATAGATTGAAATATTTACAATTCATGTCTTTCTCTGACTCTCTGTAAACCATTATTTTTTTTTAACTGTGGGTCTCATTTTCTAGAATTTCATGTCAATAAAGCTATAAATATTACACTATAGTCTCTCATATTAGACTAATATTTTGAGATTCATCTACGTTGTTTCACTGTAACAATATTTTGTACTACAATTGTTTATCCATTTATCAGACGAAAAACATTTGTGTTTTTCCAAGTTTGGGTTTCTTTTGAAGAGAAAACTTTTTCGAAGACTTTTGTCAGATATAGATTTTGTAATTTGTCCTCCAATCTGTGGCTTACCTTCTCATTTTCTTATAAAGAAAAGAATTACAAAAGACTAACTTTTTGAAGTCTGCCTCACTGATTTTTTTGTATGATTCAGTTTTTTGTCTTGTTTAAGAAATCTTTTCCTAACTCAATGTCACAAAGGTTTCCTTCTTTGTTTTCTTATACAAATTGTAGAACTTTAGCTCAGAGAGTGATAAAGAGATAGAAAGGTAGATTTTGATACATTTTATGTGAGGCACAGGTTCATTCCATTTTATTTTCATACAAATATTCAGTCTTTTAAATACCACTTATTGAAAATATTATTATTCCTTATTGAATTACCTTGGCATCTTTGCAAAAAAAAAATCAATGGAACAAATAGGTGTCTGGAATCTATATTTGGTCCCATTAATCATATATCTATTAAATGTTAGCCTATCTTGATTACTGTAGCTACAATAGTAAATATTTGAAGCAATATGAGTTATCTACTGTTGTTCTTTTTCAAAATTCAATACACTATTCTAGATGATTTTCATTTTCAAATAATCTTTGGACTTGCTTTTCTTTCTTCCAAACATATTTTCTAGGATTCTAATAGATGTTACATTGAATTTAGGATTTTCCTTTACATAATTATGATGCATGTGAATAAATACAATTTTACATGCTGTACTCCAATATACGTTACCATTATTTCTTTTTCCAGCCTTAATGCACTGACTATACTCTCCAGTAGATAGTAGTAGATAGAATTCATGACAGATGTCCTGACTTTGTCCTGATCTTAAGTGGAAAGGCTTGAGAATTTTATCATAGATTTTATATTATCTGTGGGTTTTTTTTAGTTGCCTTCTATTACACTGGGGGAATTCATTTCTATTTATAGTTTGCTGAAGCTTTAAAAAATTACTACTACTATTACTTATTATAATTATTATTAGAGACAGGCTCTTGCTCTGTCATCCAGGCTTGAGTGCTGTGGCAGGATCATAGCTCACTCTAACTTCAAACTCCTGAGCTCAAGCGATCCTCCCACCTTAGCCTCCCAAGTAGCTAGGACTACAGGCATGCACTACCATACCTGGCTAACATTTTATGTCATTTTTTTATAGAGACAGGGTCCTGCTATATTGCCCAGGCTGGTCTCAAACTCCTGGCTTCAAGTAATCCTCCTGGCTTGGCCTCCCAAAACACTTGAATTGCAGGTGAGAATCACCATGCTGGGCCCTGCAAAATTTTAACATGAATCAATGTTAAATTTTTTTCAAGATCTTTTTTGATATCCTAATTATGTACTCTGTACATAATTTCTCTTCCTTTTAGTATTAACATGATTAAGTTATATTAATGGATTTTCAGACATTAAAATTGTACTACATTTCCATGATAACTTCCACTTATTCATGATGCATGATCCTCTTGGTAAATGACTGAATTCAATTTGCTAAAATTTTGTTAAAGATCTTGCATCTATTTTCATAAGAAATTTTACTCTGTGGATCTCCCTTCTTGTGATGTCCACAATGTTTGGAAAAAATGTTGAGGTCAGTGTTAACACTGGAATCCTAAATTCAGTTGAAATATTATCCCTCCCCATTTTATTTTCTGACAGAATTTATAAGAGATCATTATAATGTCTTTCTAGAATATTTGAAATAATTCACCAATGAGAACATTTGAGCTTTAGCTTTTCTTTGAAGGTAAGGTTTTCAATTATAAATTCAATTTCTTTATTTAATATAGGTCTTTTCACGTTTTCTACATTTTCTTAGACAGTTGTAGCATTTTTATATTTCAGTAAATTTGTCCACTTTATCTAAGTTGTCAAATTTATTGCATAAAGTTATTAATTCTATTCTGTTATTATCCTATTAATGTCTGTAGGGCCTTTAGTGATGTCTTCTCATTCTATCTTGATATTGGTCATTTGCAATTTCTCTATTTCTTTATCTGCTTGTGTATCATTTTACCAATTTTGTAGATTTTTTTTCAAAGAATTAGCACTTGGTTTTATTGATTTCTCCTCTGCTTATTTTATGTCTAATCAACTTTTGCTCTTAGGCATTTCTCTCTATCTACTTAGCGTTTATTTTTTGATTACGAGTTTCTTAAGTTGGAAACATTGATTTTAGAACTTTCTATATTTCTAATATGTGTTAAAAGCTATGAATTTTTATTAAGCACTGCTTTACTTACTTTTCTCATATATTGTTATGTTTTATTATTATTTAGTTGGTAATATTTTCTATTTTCCCAGTGATTTCACTTTTGAACAGTGCTATGTAAAATTACATTGTTTAAAGTTGTATTTTATCTTAAATTTAAATATTCGGGTTTACCTAGTTGTCTTATACTTGTTAATTTTTAATGTAATTCAACATTTTCTGATAAATAAACTCTGTTTGATTACAATTTTTAAATTTAAGGACTTTTTTTGGCCCAGTAAATGGTATACTCTAGTGGATAATTTCAAGTATTCATATGAATACTTGAAAAAAAAGTGTTCTATAAATATCAACTAGGTCAACACAGTTCATAGTATTGCTCAGATTTTCTGTATATTTGGTAACATTTTTTGTCAATTTATTTTGACAATTGCTAAGAAATGGTGTTAAAATCACTAAATATGCTTTGGTAATTGTGTATTTTTTTAATGTATTTTGAAGCCCTGCTATTAGGCAAAACATTTTTGTAATTATTTTTTCTTTCTGATAAGTTGATCCTTTTAAAAATATTAAACACTATTTTTATCTTGAATGATAAATTATGTTTATTAAAATATATTTATCTGATATTGATTTAGTCATCTCATCCTTTTTTCTGCTGTATGTGTAGTATGTTTTTCCATGAATTTTCTTTCAAACATTTATGCTTGTAGTGCATATCTTGTAGACAGCAAATAAGTAGGTCTTGCTTATTTAATCCAATCTGACAAACCCTTTCTATTTAATTGCACATTTAGTATAATTATTAATATAGTTGAGTTGAATTACCATTTTGTTATTAGGTTTCATTTGTCCTACTTTTTTTCTTTAATGTTTCTTCTTTTTTGAGTATTTTGCTATACTAAAAACTCATACTTTTATGACTCATTGTTTGTGTTTGTTCAGGGGATTACAATATAAATCCTTAGTTTTCCCAATTGTTGCTGTTATTATGATACTACTACAAATTAAATATAGAAACTCTTCAGCCACGAGATGATCACCCCTACCCTATCTTTTATGTGCTAGTTTTAGTATTTTATTTATATGTTCTGTAACCCTACAAAATAATGCTACAAACTTAGCGTTAAACAAATTCTTGAATTACATAGTAATTAAGAAGAAGACAAAATACTTTTTCATATTTACCTAATATTTACAGTTTCCATGCTTGTTATTTCTTTCTCTGGACCCCTCCTCCACTGATGGTGATGCAGACTCCCTGTAAGTATTTAACTGCATTTGTTCTGTCTTTAGGGCCTTCATGTAGTGGCTTGTTTACTATGTCCACTTTTTATAGTTATTTTCTGCTCACAGAGTTGGGAGTCTATGCAATAGCATCTTACACAATCATTAGCAGAAATTCGACTCCGTAAATTTTTTTTTTAATTTTTTTATTACACTTTTAAGTTTTAGGGTACAGGTGCACAATGTGCAGGTTAGTTACATATGTATACATGTGCCATGCTGGTGCGCTGCACCCACTAACTCGTCATCTAGCATTAGGTATATCTCCCGATGCTATCCCTCCCCCCTCCCCCCACCCCACAACAGTCCCCAGAGTGTGATATTCCCCTTCCTGTGTCCATGTGATCTCATTGTTCAATTCCCACCTATGAGTGAGAATATGCGGTGTTTGGTTTCTTGTTCTTGCGACAGTTTACCGAGAATGATGATTTCCAATTTCATCCATGTCCCTACAAAGGACATGAACTCATTATTTTTTATGGCTGCATAGTATTCCATAGTGTATATGTGCCACATTTTCTTAATCTAGTCTATCATTGTTGGACATTTGGGTTGGTTCCAAGTCTTTGCTATTGTGAATAATGCCGCAATAAACATACATGTGCATGTGTCTTTATAGCAGCATGATTTATAGTCCTTTGGGTATATACCCAGTAATGGGATGGCTGGGTCAAATGGTATTTCTAGTTCTAGATCCCTGAGGAATCGCCACACTGACTTCCACAATGGTTGAACTAGTTTACAGTCCCACCAACAGTGTAAAAGTGTTCCTATTTCTCCACATCCTCTCCAGCACCTGTTGTTTCCTGACTTTTTAATGATTGCCATTCTAACTGGTGTGAGATGGTATCTCATTGTGGTTTTCATTTGCATTTCTCTGATGGCCAGTGATGATGAGCATTTTTTCATGTGTTTTTTGGCTGCATAAATGTCTTCTTTTGAGAAGTGTCTGTTCATGTCCTTCGCCCACTTTTTGATGGGGTTGTTTGTTTTTTTCTTTTAAATTTGTTTGAGTTCATTGTAGATTCTGGATATTAGCCCTTTGTCAGATGAGTAGGTTGTGAAAATTTTCTCCCATTTTGTAGGTTGCCTGTTCACTCTGATGGTAGTTTCTTTTGCTGTGCAGAAGCTCTTTAGTTTAATTAGATCCCATTTGTCAATTTTGTCTTTTGTTGCCATTGCTTTTGGTGTTTTGGACATGAAGTCCTTGCCCATGCCTATGTCCTGAATGGTAATGCCTAGGTTTTCTTCTAGGGTTTTTATGGTTTTAGGTCTAACATTTAAGTCCTTAATCCATCTTGAATTGATTTTTGTATAAGGTGTAAGGAAGGGATCCAGTTTCAGCTTTCTACATATGGCTAGCCAGTTTTCCCAGCACCATTTATTAAATAGGGAATCCTTTCCCCATTGCTTGTTTTACTCAGGTTTGTCAAAGATCAGATAGTTGTAGACATGCAGCGTTATTTCTGAGGGCTGTGTTCTGTTCCATTGATCGATATCTCTGTTTTGGTACCAGTACCATGCTGTTTTGGTTACTGTAGCCTTGTAGTATAGTTTGAAGTCAGGTAGTGTGATGCCTCCAGCTTCGTTCTTTTGGCTTAGGATTGCCTTGGCGATGTGGGCTCTTTTTTGGTTCCATATGAACTTTAAAGTAGTTTTTTTCAATTCTGTGAAGAAAGTCATTGGTAGCTTGATGGGGATGGCATTGAATCTGTAAATTACCTTGGGCAGTATGGCCATTTTCACGATATTGATTCTTCCTACCCGTGAGCATGGAATGTTCTCCCATTTGTTTGTATCCTCTTTTATTTCAGTGAGCAGTGGTTTGTAGTTCTCCTTGAAGAGGTCCTTCACATCCCTTGTAAGTTGGATTCCTAGGTATTTTATTCTGTTTGAAGCAATTGTGAAGGGGAGTTCACTCATGATTTGGCTCTCTGTCTGTTGTTGGTGTATAAGAATGCTTGTGATTTTTGTACATTGATTTTGTATCCTGAGACTTTGCTGAAGTAGCTTATCAGCTTAAGGAGATTTTGGGCTGAGACAATGGGGTTTTCTAGCTATACAATCATGTCATCTGCAAACAGGGACAATTTGACTTCCTCTTTTCCTAATTGAATACGCTTTATTTCCTTCTCCTGCCTAATTGCCCTGGCCAGAACTTTCAACACTATGTTGAATAGGAGTGGTGAGAGAGGGCATCCCTGTCTTGTGCCAGTTTTCAAAGGGAATGCTTCCAGTTTTTGCCCATTTAGTATGATATTGGCTGTGGGTTTGTCATAGATAGCTCTTATTATTTTGAAATACGTCCCATCAATACCTAATTTATTGAGAGTTTTTAGCATGAAGGGTTGTTGAATTTTGTCAAAGGCCTTTTCTGCATCTATTGAGATAATCATGTGGTTTTTGTCTTTGGCTCTGTTTATATGCTGGATTACATTTATTGATTTGTGTATATTGAACCAGCCTTGCATCCAGGGATGAAGCCCACTTGATCATGGTGGATAAGCTTTTTGATGTGCTGCTGGATTCGTTTTGCCAGTATTTTATTGAGGATTTTTGCATCAATGTTCATCAAGGATATTGGTCTAAAATTCTATTTTTTGGTTGTGTCTCTGTCCGGCTTTGGTATCAGAATGATGCTGGCCTCATAAAATGAGTTAGGGAGGATTCCCTCTTTTTCTATTGATTGGAACAGTTTCAGAAGGAATGGTACCAGTTCGTCCTTGTACCTCTGGTAGAATTCGGCTGTGAATCC
Source organism: Homo sapiens (assembly GCF_000001405.40). Lineage (NCBI taxonomy): Eukaryota > Metazoa > Chordata > Mammalia > Primates > Hominidae > Homo > Homo sapiens. Next base: position 166,466,723 of record NC_000004.12, on the reverse strand, counting down.
ATCTGGTCCTGGACTCTTTTTGGTTGGTAAACTATTGATTATTGCCACAATTTCAGCTCCTGTTATTGGTCTATTCAGAGATTCAACTTCTTCCTGGTTTAGTCTTGGGAGGGTGTATGTGTCGAGGAATTTATCCATTTCTTCTAGATTTTCTAGTTTATTTGTGTAGAGGTGTTTATAGTATTCTCTGATGGTAGTTTGTATTTCTGTGGGATTGGTGGTGATATCCCCTTTATCATGTTTTGTTGTGTCTATTTGATTCTTCTCTCTTTTCTTCTTTATTAGTCTTGCTAGCAGTCTATCAATTTTGTTGATCTTTTCAAAAAACGAGCTCCTGGATTCATTAATTTTTTGAAGGGTTTTTTGTGTCTCTATTTCCTTCAGTTCTGCTCTGATTTTAGTTATTTCTTGCCTTCTGCTAGCTTTTGAATGTGTTTGCTCTTGCTTTTTTAGTTCTTTTAATTGTGATGTTAGGGTGTCAATTTTGGATCTTTCCTGCTTTCTCTTGTGGGCATTTAGTGCTATAAATTTCCCTCTACACACTGCTTTGAATGCGTCCCAGAGATTCTGGTATGTTGTGTCTTTGTTCTCGTTGGTTTCAAAGAACATCTTTATTTCTGCCTTCATTTCGTTATGTACCCAGTAGTCATTCAGGAGCAGGTTGTTCAGTTTCCATTTAGTTGAGCGGTTTTGAGTGAGATTCTTAATTCTGAGTTCTAGTTTGATTGCACTGTGGTCTGAGAGATAGTTTGTTATAATCTCTGTTCTTTTACATTTGCTGAGGAGAGCTTTACTTCCAAGTATGTGGTCAATTTTGGAATAGGTGTGGTGTGGTGCTGAAAAAAATGTATATTCTGTTGATTTGGGGTCGAGAGTTCTGTAGATGTCTATTAGGTCCACTTGGTGCAGAGCTGAGTTCAATTCCTGGGTATCCTTGTTGACTTTCTGTCTCGTTGATCTGTCTAATGTTGACAGTGGGGTGTTAAAGTCTCCCATTATTATTGTGTGGGAGTCTAAGTCTCTTTGTAGATCACTCAGGACTTGGTTTATGAATCTGGGTGCTCCTGTATTGGGTGCATATATATTTAGGATAGTTAGCTCTTCTTGTTGAATTGATCCCTTTACCATTATGTAATGGCCTTCTTTGTCTCTTTTGATCTTTGTTGGTTTAAAGTCTGTTTTATCAGAGAGTAGGATTGCAACCCCTGCCTTTTTTTGTTTTCCATTTGCTTGGTAGATCTTCCTCCATCCTTTTATTTTGAGCCTATTTTTGTCTCTGCATGTGAGATGGGTTTCCTGAATACAGCACACTGATGGGTCTTGACTCTTTATCCAATTTGCCAGTCTGTGTCTTTTAATTGGAGCATTTAGTCCATTTACATTTAAAGTTAATATTGTTATGTGTGAATTTGATCCTGTCATTATGATGTTAGCTGGTGATTTTGCTCGTTAGTTGATGCAGTTTCTTCCTAGTGTCGATGGTCTTTACATTTTGGCATGATTTTGCAGCGGCTGGTACTGGTTGTTCCTTTCCATGTTTAGCACTTCCTTCAGGAGCTCTTTTAGGGCAGGCCTGGTGGTGACAAAATCTCTCAGCATTTGCTTGTCTGTAAAGTATTTTATTTCTCCTTCACTTATGAAGCTTAGTTTGGCTGGATATGAAATTCTGGGTTGAAAATTCTTTTCTTTAAGTATGTTGAATATTGGCCCCCACTCTCTTCTGGCTTGTAGGGTTTCTGCCGAGAGATCCGCTGTTAGTCTGATGGGCTTCCCTTTGAGGGTAACCCGACCTTTCTCTCTGGCTGCCCTTAACATTTTTTCCTTCATTTCAACTTTGGTGAATCTGACAATTATGTGTCTTGGAGTTGCTCTTTTTGAGGAGTATCTTTGTGGCGTTCTCTGTATTTCCTGAATCTGAACGTTGGCCTGCCTTGCTAGATTGGGGAAGTTCTCCTGGATAATATCCTGCAGAGTGTTTTCCAACTTGGTTCCATTCTCCCCATCACTTTCAGGTACACCAATCAGACGTAGATTTGGTCTTTTCACATAGTCCCATATTCCTTGGAGGCTTTGCTCATTTCTTTTTATTCTTTTTTCTCTAAACTTCCCTTCTCGCTTCATTTCATTCATTTCATCTTCCATTGCTGATACCCTTTCTTCCAGTTGATCGCATCAGCTCCTGAGGCTTCTGCATTCTTCACGTAGTTCTCGAGCCTTGGTTTTCAGCTCCATCAGCTCCTTTAAGCACTTCTCTGTATTGCTTATTCTAGTTATACATTCTTCTAAATTTTTTTCAAAGTTTTCAACTTCTTTGCCTTTGGTTTGAATGTCCTCCCGTAGCTCGGAGTAATGTGATCATCTGAAGCCTTCTTCTCTCAGCTCCTCAAAGTCATTCTCCGTCCAGCTTTGTTCCATTGCTGGTGAGGAACTGCGTTCCTTTGCAGGAGGAGAGGCGCTCTGCTTTTTAGAGTTTCCCGTTTTTCTGTTCTGTTTTTTCCCCATCTTTGTGGTTTTATCTACTTTTGGTCTTTGATGATGGTGATGTACAGATGGGTTTTTGGTGTGGATGTCCTTTCTGTTTGTTAGTTTTCCTTCTAACGGACAGGACCCTCAGCTGCAGGTCTGTTGGAGTACCCTGCAGTGTGAGGTGTCAGTGTGCTCCTGCTGGAGGGTGCCTCCCAGTTAGGCTGCTCAGGGGTCAGGGGTCAGGGACCCACTTGAGGAGGCAGTCTGCCCGTTCTCAGATCTCCAGCTGCGTGCTGGGAGAACCACTGCTCTCTTCAAAGCTGTCAGACAGGGACATTTAAGTCTGCAGAGGTTACTGCTGCCTTTTCGTTTGTCTGTGCCCTGCCCCCAGAGGTGGAGCCTATAGAGGCAGGCAGGCAGGCCTCCTTGAGCTGTGGTGGGCTCCACCCAGTTCGAGCTTCCCGGCTGCTTTGTTTACCTAAGCAAGCCTAGGCAATTGCGGGCACCCCTCCCCCAGCCTCGCTGCTGCCTTGCAGTTTGATCTCAGACTGCTGTGCTAGCAATCAGCGAGACTCCGTGGGCGTAGGACCCTCTGAGCCAGGTGTGGGATATAATCTCGTGGTGCGCTGTTTTTTAAGCCGGTCCGAAAAGTGCAATATTCGGGTGGGAGTGACCCGATTTTCCAGGGGAGTCTGTCACCCCTTTCTTTGACTTGGAAAGGGAACTCCCTGACCCCTTGCGCTTCCCAAGTGAGGCAATGCCTCGCCCTGCTTCGGCTCGCGCATGGTGCACGCACCCACTGACCTGCGCCCACTGTCTGGCACTCCCTAGTGAGATGAACCCGGTACCTCAGATGGAAATGCAGAAATCACCCGTCTTCTGCATCGCTCACGCTGGGAGCTGTAGACTGGAGCTGCTCCTATTCGGCCATCTTGGCTCCTCTCCGACTCCGTAAATTTTAAACGTTCTTCACATTACTAAATTTTGTGACCCTGGGATTATAGTTCTTTTACTGGGATATCATACTGTATAAATAGCAGTGGTTAGACAAGGATTAAAATTCAAGTACACAAAATTCGGGACAATGCCTCTTGTCCTGAAAGAAAACAACATTTCCCTAAAACAGTGTATTCTCAAAGCATTATCTGGTTTATAACTAACAACATTATATAATTTTAAATTAGCAGCAAATCTGTGGATTAACTATTGATAATCCAGATTTTTACCATCAGGATAAACTGGAGTATATTAACATGTCCAGCTTCACAACCGTGAGCCTTCAAGACCTATGCTTTTTCCAGTACACTGTGCTGCAGCTACTGGTGATGGGGAACCTTGTGAATAGAAAAACAACTGGGTGTGGTTGCTCAGGCCTGTAATCCCAGCACTTTGGGAGGCCGAAGTGGGCAGAATGCTTTAGCTCAGGAGTTTCAGACCAGCCTGGGAAAAATGGTGAAATCCTGTCTGTATTAAAAAATAATAATGATTAAAAAAAAGAAAAACAAATAAGGAGTCACAAGAAAAGATCATGCCTTTTCTATCCTGATTCAGGACAAGTGTTATCCATTGTCTATGAGTTTCTTTTTGAAACAAATAATGGAGTTTATCAGGTGTTTCAAATTATAATTTATTTAACATATCTTGCCAATTCACTTACACAGAATTGTTTCTAAAGGTTGAAAGCCTGAATAATAGAAATTAGTTTTAATGAAATGCAAGTGTTTTCCAAATGCAGGACATGGACTACATAAAATGATTTGAAGAGGTCCCAAGTATGTTGAATTCCAGATTTTAGGCCTAGACTGTCTGATATAGTAGGTCTGTAATAGGTTCTGCCAATTGTATTTTTAAATATTTCCCCAAGGGATTCTGATAAGCGTTGAATTTGGTGAACCATTTGAATGATGAATCTTGAAATGTAGGTTATAATGAAGAAGGAGAGGATTTTTGTTTTGTTTTTATAATAAATAAAGCACACATTCCTGATGGTGATGTGTTGTTTGCATTGTTACAATTAAAAGAGTCTGTTTCCAGAGAAGAATGCTAAATTTCTGAAATTGTAGTAATTTGGGGAATTGGTATAAACAATTACATAGCTGAGCAAGCATGTATCTTAACCTTACCTTGAGTCTATTACAGAATCTACCTTTATAGTAGAAAAAATAAAACCCTACTGCATACTGTAGCTTTTACTTAGTTCTTGTACCATTTCTTTGTTTGTTTAAGTATGAGGCAAAGTATAACCTGAGGTCATCTCTGAGATGCGGTGAAGTGAGAGATGGTACTGAGGCCTGGGTGCACTTGAGGCTGCTGCTACATAGTGGTGACTTAGAAAGCCTATTGGTGCTGCAGCCTTCTGCTAGAAAAAATGACCAGAAAATCATTCTTTATCCTTTTCTTCTCAACAAACCTAAGTGGATAAGGTTTCTCTTTCCCTTATGAGCTGCCAGGTGGCCCTTTTGTTAATTTCTAGAGTTTAAAAAGAAGCCGTTGGCATTTCACTTGATTTGTCCTGTGTTAAAATGTTCAAATCAATGAGGCTGAATAAGACCCTATAGGCATCTCTAAACTTCAAATTATTGTAGTTAAGGCCTTGAGGTCTATTGTCATATGAAGCGATGTAATAAAAATATATACCTAGAAATGACTTACAAAGAGAGTAAGTCAAATGTAGAACACTATTCACTTCTCCTGCTAACAAGCACTTGACAGTTAAACCTATTCTATAGATAAAGCCACAAATTGTATTATGATTTAATTCAAACAAAATAAATAGAAATTTAAAAATTAGAAATTTTCACTTATTTGTAAAAACTTTATAGTCAGAAATTTAACAGTCAGATAAGTATGTGCCTCATGGGCAGAACATGGCACTGGGAATCTTAGGCAAACACCGAAGAAGTTAAAGATATGATTCATAAATTTAATGACTCATAATCTAGTTGGAGAACAACCAGCAAATAAAGTTCTGGAAAATTATTACTTAGAACAGAAAGTCATTAACAATTATCTTTCAAAGGAAGCTGCTGAGTAGTGGAGGTCTGGACTACCCTATAACTTGCCGATATCAGGCAATTTCATTGAACATACATGAAGTTACTCCACTAAAATCGAGACTTCATATAGATTATTTAGAATATTTCAAATAATTTTACACCCAGAACATAATTCTTTGTAGACATAAATGTTATTTATCTTGCTTTCTTCATAACCATGTGAGAGGCATTATATTCAAAGGAAAAAAAAAATGAACTAGAAATCAGGATGTCTGCCCCATGGGCTTTCTTTTGCTATTTACTGGCTCTGTTCTTTTGCAATCACTAGACACTCTATTCTTCATTCCTGTTGAATAGACTTCATGCCAATTGCTCTAACACCACTTATGTTTGCTTTTAAAAATCCTAAAACACCATCCAAATGTGCTATTATTATTAAATGGAAAGCTGAAGAGGGAAAACAAGATATTTTGATGTCAAAAGGAAGAAAAATACCTTGTATTTTAGTCTAAATGATCCAGACTTGCTTCCTAACTTGATCATATTTGCCAGGAATGAAACGCTCTGTACTTCCACTATGTGTTGCTGGTGTAAGTAAAGCCATACAGTTCAGATATGAAGAAAGGAGCATGAGGTATGACAAGGAATACGTTAGAGTCTCTTGGAGAATACATATATATATGTGTCTGTATGTGTAAGCTCTGAGCTAGATTTCTATTCCTTGGTGAAGTTGCTTTTTATATTCAGTTAATACAGATTGTAACAATGAGCATTTTCTCTGCATTACAGATATAGTGTAAGAACCTCTAGTTTTACTCTCATCGAAGATCATTTTGGATTATGAATTTCATGACATAAAAGCCTGGCAATGAAATCACATTTGGAATACTGCAGAACGGCTTTGCTTCTTTGTTTATGATGACATTGAATAGAAAATTTCTGCTAAACACTCTATGCCCAGACAGGTACCATATAAAAGATATAACTCATAATCATATGCACACTTTTCTTAGGACTTCGACAATTTCAACAATATGAACTGCATGTAGGGAGCATAATGGTATTATATAAAATATTAATTTCAATCTAAAAACAAGTTGAATGCAGTAATAAATAATCAGTTTGAATTTACTAAAATACCTTATCTACTGCTATGTCCTTTCAATGACTCCTTTTTAATTTAAGACTTTAGTGTAGGTTGTGTAGGAAACACAAAAATAAATACAAGATGAACACAAACACCACCGTACCTGATATTAAGAGCTGAGAGTGGAGTTAGGGAGACACATATGTATACACCTGATAGTAAACTCAAGGATGCCCAAGTGCAGTGGAATTTCAGAAAATGAAGGCGAGAGAGCAGGTTTCTGAATACAGTGGACAGTTTCAGAGGAATGTGGTATTTAAGCTTCCCTTGGAAGATGATATTTAAGCTCCCCGTGGGAGGATGGCTAACGCTGGCAACCAGAGACTATCCCTTTAACATGTGGACAGCTATGTAAATGTTACTCAGGATGGGTAATAAACCAGCACATTAAGCAATTCCATCATGATTTTTGTTTGCCATTTCTTGCCATAGAGAGGAACGTAATGCAGGTGAACCAGAATTAGTTGCATCTATTCAATTTAAAACTGATGCTCTCTGAGGATAAAAACATAAATAAATGAAAGTAAAGATTATAAGGCTATATGTCTACAGTACTGATACAGTACCTGTTTAATTAAGTTTATCTTGACTTAATTAAAGTATGTCAAAATTAGGGTATTGGAATTTAGAAGCCATAATCAGAAACACCAAAAATACATAGATGCTGACCCGGTCCCAGTCTGACACAAATACGTAAGGACAGGTATCTTGTCTCTTTTCATGCATTCTCACGTTTCTAGGAATTATGACTTTCTCTGGGTTTTCAAGTGTCCTAGATGTTTAAAACCAAGTTATTCATGAATAGGACATATTGCTATTCACAATGTAGGACACTTTGAGACCAAGCAGGTTCCTAGAACTTAGGTGGGTGCCACTCCTGTTGGATGGCTAATAGGCAGTGATGTGCTGGCTGCTCTAAAAGGGAGGATGTCACTGGGTCACACCAAGGACAGCTAACATGGCTTCTGGACTTAGCGGATGCACAGGGGAAAGGAGACCAAACAGGTTGGGCACTGACAAGGCTCTGGTGCAGGTTCCAGGGGTGAATTCCCAGTCTAGTGGGGAGTAGATGACTTCTATTGTTCTGACCTAGTTCTGCCAAATGTAGCCATCTAAGCCAAACCTCAGTGGTATCTCCCCTGTCATCCCTCTAGTCCTGGGAACCTACCTAGTCATGGCTGAGAGAAACTTTACTCTGACTCATCAAGCCTTTCCATACTCTGAGTTCCCTCAAGAGTTAGCCTCCTAAATCTCAAAAGCCTGTGTGTGTTTTACCAAAGTGATAGTCATAATCTGCTGCATATATTAGCTAAGGCCACAAATGGCAGGGAGAGGCAGGATGAAGGGAGGATCAGAAATCTCAAAAAATAATAATAATAAAGCAAACACAAAACAGCTGGGAGAGAAAAGCATGCATTTATATTGTCTGAAATATTGTTCCATTGCAGTTTTCTCTAAGTTACTCTTGCTAACCTAAACATTGTGGGGAAATGAACCTAACAATTTCTTTTATTTTGTTTATTTTTGTATGACAAATTTCATATTCTGAGAAAAAATAGAAAAATGAGGACGGGGATGGAGATGGTATATTTTACACACACCATCACATATTTTGCTTTTAACAGCTCTGTTTCTCAGAAAGCAATGGGAATCAGTTCTGGAGCAAACTTTGCTCTTAATCTTAAAGCCATGGTATAAGAGGGAAATAATTGATGGTATAAAACAGGTAAGTTTGAAGAACTTGTAGAGCACAGGAGAAAGAAAAATACCAAGCCCTCTGGAGTCGTGATGGGGGCCCTAAATGTATAGGTTCTGTGAAAGCACACTTGGCAGGTATTAAAATTATAAGATACATACTTTTGGTGTTTCTGATTATGGCTTCTGAATTCCAATACCCTAATTTTGACATACTTTAATTAAGTCAAGATAAACTGAAGCTGTTTTGGAAATAAACTTTAAGGTGAGAAGGACTTCAGTACATCCAAGTTGTAACCACTGGAAATGAGTGATAAAGTTATATCTAATGAAACTGAATAATGGATTAATTATGAATCATAATATTACTTCTTGCTTGTATCTTTTCATAAATAACAAATCTAAAATTTAACATTTATTTTCTAAGATTTTAGCTTTTGATATTTTGGAATGAGGGTTTTTTAGTATGGCAGTGATTTACATCTGCAATTATACATCTGTATTAAAATTTTGACATTAATGTTAACTAGCATAATTTTTGCCATGTTTCTACAAATTCAGTTTTGATTCTAATACATGTCTTACCCATTACTAGTGAAATTCTAATTTTCTGATGTAATATTTATAATAGCTTCTCTAGATAGCCTGAAATTTGGGCCTGATATAAGTCAAATGCAGCAAAACTTTGGTATGTAAAAGATCTGCAAAAAGTACTTGAAGTAAGAATATTTATGGTAACTCTAATTTCTGTATTCAGAATGCTGAAAATATGGCTGTTCATACCTAGGCAGTATCTTTACCTATATATCCCTTTTGACAGTCATTATTCAAAACCACAGACTTCATAACCCACTTTTCTCATCCTTTATCTTAAAACTATAAAGGAAGCAAATTATCTGAATTAATACAGTCACAGTTGTGAGGGAAATAAATCACAATGCATGGCAGTAATAGCTGCTTTGACTTTAAACAGGAGGTCAATTTTTGAAGGTCAGAATATTTATTATCGGAAAACTCACTGTTTTATATAATATGATTCTTCTGCCATTTTGATATAAATAGAGCAATGCCCCCAAATGCCCTTTCCTTCTTAAGTACAGCAAAGAAATCAGGTGCTGAAATGATTGGGTCTGATAAGTTTTATTTCAGCAAGGAATAAAATCAATCAAGGATGTTCAATGGAAACTGCAAAGAAAAGAGGATTAATGCATTCTTTAGACAAAAGAGGTCTTCTCTACTTGAAGTTTATGCCACAGTGTGGGTACAACGAATGGTTGCCCAAAACAAATGGTTATTTGCATTCTTTTTTCACTTAGGTTATTTGCTATTAAAGAAATTCCCAGGGGGTTTATTTCAGCATTAACTGATTTTTGAAAAACAACACAAAGGAACTTCTCATCCACACTGATTTTAGGAAAAGTTTATCTCTGCTCATTCTCAGAATGGAAATCAAGCTTAAGTATATATAACTTTTATATGATATAAAAACTACAGTTTCATTAAGTTTTTTCTCAATATATTCATTTCAGAAAGTTTTCTCTACATTACAGTAACATTTAGGACTACCTGGAGATTATTTTATCGACTTCAAATGATTTTTTAAAAATAAGCAGTGCATTGATAACTTTACATGGCACTTGTAATGTAAGCTTACCTGAACATATTAGGATGTCCCAAAATTGGTTTCCCTACAGCTTATTCTATTGTTTGTATTAGACATATATGTTACAAAGCTATATTTGAGTATCATCTGATTTTGTGTACACATTAACGCTTAGTGCTATATTGGGAACCCTTTTCTTATTTTGCTAAAAACATGGTAAAAACCAACTACTCTTCACATTTGAATATTTTTACCAACTTCTACCAAAATTATATGTATTACTTGAATGTATTTCATTTCAGTAGTTAATTATTTAGCTGTATGGGTTTTCTGCTATCATTTAATTCATTCATCATATTTCTACTGGTTACCTAATATACTCTGGCCCTAGTAATAGGCATTAATAAACATATCATGGATCCTACCCTCAAAAAACTTACTCCAATAACAGATTGTGAAATGCAAAATATTTTCATAACATGTAAGGGATTAAAACATGTAAAATTTACAGCTGTGACAAAATGGGGAAAATTACCAATTCTGTTTTTGAGAAAGGAGAGTTGAAGGCTTTTTTGAACTAGGGGTATTTCAGCTATGCCTGTAAAAGTAAGCCTTGTAAAGGAAAGCAGCAGTACATATATTAAGAAATACAGGTTGAGGCAGCATGATTTATTCAAATATTTGCAATAATTTCTCTGTGTGCATAAATTTAAACCAAACAATAAGTTTGTAAAAACATGAAAAAGTATGCTGGAATCAGATTATGATTGACCATGTTTGTGTGTCTATTGTTTATCTTCTTTGTTCAGCAGAGTTTCTCTCCTAGGTATCCATGCGTCTAATGATTGTCTAGGTTTAATCTTTGTTGACTACTAACACAAATGCCATACTCAAGTAAGTTTCTAAAATTATCTATGCTTATGGGAAATGAAATTTAACAAATGTATTAGTCTGTTTTCACACTGCTGATAAAGACATACCCGAGACTGGGCAATTTACAAAAGAAAAAGGTTTAATGGACTTACAGCTCCACATGGCTGGGGAGGCCTCACAATCATGGTGGAAAGCAAGGAGGAGCAAGTCATGTCTTACATGGATGGCAGCAGGCAAAGAGAGAGAGCTTGTACAGGAAACTCTTGTTTTTAAAACCTTCAGATCCCAGGAGACTTATTCACTATCATGAGAACAGCATGGGAAAGAATCCCTCCCATGATTCAATTACCTCCCACCAGGTCCCTCCCACAACATGAGAGAATTCAGGGTGAGATTTAGGTGGGGACACAGCCAAACCATATCATTCCTCCCCTGGACCCTCCCAAATCTCATGTCCTTACATTTCAAAACCAATCATGCCTTTCCAACAGTCCCCTAAAGTCTTAACTCATTTCAGCATTAACTCAAAAGTCCACAGTCCAAAGTCTCATCTGAGACAAGGAAAGTCCATTATGCCTATGAACCTGTAAAATCAAAAGCAAACTAGTTACTTCCTAGATACTATGAGGGTACAGGAACTGGGTAAACACAGTAATTCCAAATGGGAGAAACTGGCCAAAACAAAGGGGCTACAAGACCCATGCAAGTCTGAAATCTAGCAGGACAGTCAAATCTTAAAGTTCCAAAATGATATTTTTTGACTCCATGTCTCACATCCAGGTCACGCTGATGCAAGAGGTGGATTCCCATGGTCTTGGGCCGCTCTGACTCTTTGGCTTTGCAGGGTCCAGCCTCCCTCCTGGCTGCTTTCATGAGTGGGCTTTGAGTGTCTGTGGCTTTTTCAGGTGCACGGTGCAAGCTGTTGGTGGATCTATCATTCTGGGGTCTGGAGGATGGTGGTCCTCTTCTCACAGTTCCACTAGTCAGTGCCCCAATAGTGATTCTGTTTGGGGGCTCCAACCCCACATTTCCCCTCTGCACTTCCCTAGCAGAGATTCTCCATGAGGACCCTGCCCCTACAGCAAACTTCTGCCTGGGCATCCAGGCATTTCCATATATCTTCTATAATCTAGGCAGAAGTTCCCAAACCTCAATTTTTGACTTCTGTGCACCCACGTAGAAGCTGCCAAGGCTTGGGGCTTGCACCCTCTGAAGCCATGGCTTAAGTGCTATGTTGGCCCATTTCAGCCATGGCTGGAGTGGCCGGGATGCAAGGCACCAAGTCTCTAGGCTACACATAGCACATGGACCCTGGACCCAGCCCACAAAACCACTTTTTTCTCCTAGAACTCTGGGCCTGTGATGGGAGGGGCCGCTGTGAAGGCCTGTGACATGCCCTGGAGACATTTCCCCCACTTCTTTTGGGGATTAACATTTGGCTTATCATTGCTTATGCAAATTTCTGCAGCCAGCTTGAATTTCTCCTCAGAAAATGGGATTTACTTTTTTATCGCATTGTCAGGCTGCAAATTTTCCAAATGTTTGTACTCCACTTCCCGTATAAAACTGAATGCTTTTAACAGTACCCAAGTCACCTCTTGAATGCTTTGCTGCTTAGAAATTTCTTCCAGCACATACCCTAAATCTTCTCTCTCAAGTTCAAAGTTCCACAAATCTCTAGGGCAGGGGCAAAATACTGCGCCAGTCTCTTTGCTAAAACATAACAAGAGTCATCTTTGCTCCAGTTCCCAACAAGTACCTCATCTCCATCTGAGACCACCTCAACCTGGATTTCGTTGTCCATATCACTATCAGCATTTTGAGCAAAGCCATTAAACAAGTCTCTAGGAAGTTCCAAACTTTCCCACATTTTCCTTTCTTTTTCTGAGCCCTCCAAACTGTTCCAACCCCTGCCTGTTACCCAGTTTCAAAGTTGCTTCCACATTTTCAGATATCTCTTCAGCAGCTCCCTACTCTACTGGTACTCATTTACTGTATTAGTCTGTTTTCATGCTGCTGATAAAGACATACCCAAGACTGGGCAATTTACAAAAGAAAGAGGTCTAATGGACTTACAGATCCATGTGGCTGGGGAGGCCTCATAATCATGGCAGTAGGCAAGGAGAAGCATTTCACTTCTTACATGGATAGCAGCAGGTAAAGAGAGTGGGCTTGTGCAGGAAACTCTCATTTTTAAAACCATCAGATTTCATGAGACTTATTCACCATCACAAGAACAGCATAAGAAAGACCCATCTCCATGATTCAATTACCTCCCACCAGGTCCCTCCCACAGCACATGGGAGTTCAGGATGAGATTTGGGTGGGGACACAGCCAAACAATATCAATCAACAAAGAAGACTTTATGAGTTTTCCAAAAAAAAAAAAAAAAATTATCAATATAACATTATGAAAATAATGGAGTTTTCAATTTTACAGATAAGTGACTTGATTAGAATGATAAAACATAATCATCAATCTACATTACATACAATAAACAATACATGTCATACTAATGTCTGTATTGTTGTATATATTGAGCATGTTATTATTTTCTAGAATTTTGTTGTAACATTAAAATAAGATGTCCATAAAACAATTTCTCACTCAATCATGTATTTTCCATAGTTTGTTTCCCTGAACTATAATTGAAATTATAGTGTATCATTTACTGTTGTTGTATATCAAAACAGTCCAAAATTTAAAGAATTAACAACTTATTTCTTATAATACAGTGGGTTGACTGGACAGTTGTTCAGCTGGTCTCATTTCACCTGGGTCACTTGCATCTGTACTGAGCTAGTGTTTGGCTGGGGTTTTTGACCAAGCTGCCTTGATTCCCTTCTACACTGCATCTTTACACGGCTTTAGGTTGGACTTCATCAGAGCATGGTGGCTCAGGGCTCTGAGAGTGTAATAGGGTAACTGATAGATTTCTTAAAGCTTGATCTGGAAATGGCATTGTGCTGATTCTTTCCCCTTCTATTGGGCAAACAAGTCACTAAATCAGCTTAGACTTAAGAGGAGGTAAAATAGTCTCCACTACTTACAGGAGAAAAAGCATTTGCAAATAAAAATTAAGACATTTTTATTGGACACTTTTGGAGTTCACACACTGTGATTAACACAACTACCTTGCTCATTTCTTTATTGAGTAACTTGGTTACAAAATGATATGTACAAAATACAGTGTTGTAAAAAGTGATCAAATTGACATACTCGGCCTAAATTTATTACTTTCAATTCTATAATGCTGAAAGAACTCTTCGATATCAGAAAATAATAAGATATTTTTTCTTCTTTTTTTTCATTTTTTTTTAATCTGTTGATTTAATTTTTAACCAATGGCTTATTTGGAATTCTGTTCTATAGTTTACAAATATTTTAAGGTTTTTTTTCAAGAGAACATTCCATTTTTTATTTCCAATTTAGTTCCATTGTGATAAGAAGAGTAACAAAGCATTGGAGGACTGATATGCATTTGAATTCATTGAATTTTTTTTGTATTTTGTTTTGTTTTGTTTTTAAAGACAGATTCTTGCTCTGTCATTCAGGCTTGAATGCTGTGGCATGAAAACAGCTCACTGCAATCTTTAACTCCTGGGCTCAAACCACCCCTGATTGAGCTTCCCATGTAGCTAGGACTATAGGCACACACCACCACACCTGGAAAATTTTTTTCTTTTAATTTTTTTGTAGAGACAAGGTCTTGCAATGTTGCTCAAGCTGTTCTCAAACCTCTGGCCTCAAGAAAACCTCCTGCTTTGGACTCTCAAAAAATGGATGAGTTTTATTTTTGTTTGTCCCAGAAGATGTTTCATCTTGCTGATTTCTTTGTGTGTGTACCTTAAAAGAATTTCTACTCTCCTCAGTGGAGTGTTCGATTAATGTTATTTAGATCGAGTTGGTGGACTATATTGTTCATGTCTTCTGCATAATTACTAATTTGTGTCTACTTGTTCTATCAGCTATTAAGAGTGGTGCTAAGCTCTTTGAATATACTTGTTGATTTGTCTATATTTTCTTGCAGTTCTATTAGTTTTTGCTTCATTTATTTTGGAGCTCTTCTATCAGGCAACTAAAGATTGATTGATTTATCATTATGAAATGACTCATATTATCCCTGACAATACACATATATATTATATATCTATAAAATACATATTATTTATATATATATGTATATATATATAATATATATGACCTAAAACCAATAATCCACGGATACTGGAGGGACAACTATATGTTAAAAAAAAAAAAGGATGAAAAAGAATGTACTATTAGAATGTACTATTCTAAAACTAATCTTAAGGTAGCTTGAGTGGCTATATTAGTATTAGAAAAAGTAGATTCCAGGGCATATATGTATATAGATTACCTATTATACCTAATAAAATGTGCATGCTATGTAATAGTTGTTACACTGTATTGTTTATGGAATAATGACCAGAAAAATAATCTGTACATGTTAAGTGCAGATGCAATTTTTTTCTGAAATATTTTCAGTTCAAAATTGGTTCTTGTTGTTTTTTTCAGTTTTTCTCTTACTTCAAGGGTATGGATCATACTTCTAAGGATATAGTCCCATATATACTTCTAGGATACTTCTATATACCCTATATACTTCTAGGATATAGTCCCATACTTCTAGGATATAGCTGAGAGCATAGAATATTTGCCAAGCCTACTCATTCAGTTAACTATTGAAACGTGTTCAGTGCTTTCACACAGTCTAAACTGCTGCTTTTGGTTGGGCTTCTTAGAGCTTTCCCTGTACAGCTTCAGAGTTGAAAAAGTCTAAAAAAAAATGGAATACAGATTTTGGGGTTCAGTTATATACATTCCTTGAGATTTTTGTCCCCTGAAATCACAGCTGCTGTGACTGTACTGAAAATCCAATGTTTCCTCAGCCCAGGGAGACTTTGGCTTTCTTCTCTGAATCTATTCCACACAGTAAGCTGAAAATACTCTAAAGGAGAAATGTTGCCATAAGTATGGGTTCTATTGATTCCTTTTATCTCTCAGGGTTTATAACCCTTAAAGAACTATGAATGGTGGTCACTTTCAAATGCCTTCAAATGATTTCCGTTATGTTGTTTGTCCAGCTTTTATACTTTGGTGGCAGGAGTAGACTGCTAGAAGTGAATCAAAGATATCTGAGTCAGACATTCATCAATAAATAACTTAGAAAAAGATAACAATAGAAGTTTGGATATTTAAGAAAATCACATAAATGCTAAAATAAGATATATAAATTAGTACCTTCAGTAGATGTATTCCTTAAATGAGGAGACATAGATTAGTTCTGGAAGATATAATAACAGAATTATCACAAAAACTAGAATAAAAATACATGGATTTAGAAATTATAAGCCTAGAAAGACATAGTTGCTAAATTCAGAATATTTAACACATGAATATTAGAAGTTTTAAAATGAGTTCAAAGAATTTCCATAAAAAACATATAGTGTTGTAATTAATAAAGATAAATTATAGAATGGATTGTTATGATACAAAATGCATATTTAGATAAGATTATTAAACTACATGGATAATGATAATATAAATTTTAAAACAAGAAAATCAAGTTATCCTTGAAACTAGATTGACAATGATCTTTGTATCTATGCCAATAAAAGCTAAAAGTCAGAAGAATAACACAAACTATTGAGACAAAAATATAAAATCCAAGAAAATTATATTCTTGCTATACAGTATTTAGATGTTGTGGTTAAAAATATACAGATACACAAGCAAATATGTGGAGTATATCATCCCAGCATATATCAAATAAGAAAAATAACTGGGAGTGGGTGTGGAGGAACACTGAAACACTTCATGATCCAGAACAGTTTTCACAATGGGGGATGATAAAGAAGAGAAGCAGGGAACACGTAGTTGTAATAAAAGTAAAAAAATAAATATATTAAACAATTTAATAGTAATTTTTTTTTTAACGCAGTCTCTTTCTATCACCCAGGCTGGAGTGCAGTGGCGCGATCTCGGCTCACTGCAAGCTCTGCCTGCGGGGTTCACGCCATTCTCCTGCCTCAGCCTCCCGAGTGGTTGGGACTACAGGAACCCGCCACCAGGTGTGGCTGATTTTTTTGTATGTTTAGTAGAGACGGGGTTTCACCGTGTTAGCCAGGATGGTCTCTCAATCTCCTGACCTCGTGATCCGCCCACCTCGGCCTCCCAAACCGCTGGGATTACAGGCGTGAGCCACCGCGCCTGGCCTTTAATAGTAATTTAATAGTAATTACAGAGGAGCCAAGATGGCCGAATAGGAACAGCTCCGGTCTACAGCTCCCAGGGTGAGCGACGCAGAAGACGGGTGATTTCTGCATTTCCATCTGAGGTACCGGGTTCATCTCACTAGGGAGTGCCAGATAGTGGGCGCAGGCCAGTGTGTGTGCGCACCGTGCGCGAGCCGAAGCAGGGCGAGGCATTGCCTCACCTGGGAAGCGCAAGGGGTCAGGGAGTTCCCTTTCCGAGTCAAAGAAAGGGGTGACGGACGCACCTGGAAAATCGGGTCACATTGCCAAGTCAATCCTAAGCCAAAAGAACAAAGCTGGAGGCATCACACTACCTGACTTCAAACTATACTACAAGGCTACAGTAACCAAAACAGCATGGTACTGGTACCAAAACAGAGATATAGATCAATGGAACAGAACAGAGCCCTCAGAAATAACGCCGCATATCTACAACTATCTGATCTTTGACAAATCTGAGAAAAACAAGCAGTGGGGAAAGGATTCCCTATTTAATAAATGGTGCTGGGAAAACTGGCTAGCCATATGTAGAAAGCTGAAACTGGATCCCTTCCTTACACCTTATACAAAAATCAATTCAAGATGGATTAAAGATTTAAACGTTAAACCTAAAACCATAAAAACCCTAGAAGAAAACCTAGGCATTACCATTCAGGACATAGGCGTGGGCAAGGACTTCATGTCCAAAACACCAAAAGCAATGGCAACAAAAGCCAAAATTGACAAATGGGATCTAATTAAACTAAAGAGCTTCTGCACAGCAAAAGAAACTACCATCAGAGTGAACAGGCAACCTACAACATGGGAGAAAATTTTCGCAACCTACTCATCTGACAAAGGGCTAATATCCAGAATCTACAATGAACTCAAACAAATTTACAAGAAAAAAACAAACAACCCCATCAAAAAGCGGGCGAAGGACATGAACAGACACTTCTCAAAAGAAGACATTTATGCAGCCAAAAAACACATGAAGAAATGCTCATCATCACTGGCCATCAGAGAAATGCAAATCAAAACCACTATGAGATATCATCTCACACCAGTTAGAATGGCAATCATTAAAAAGTCAGGAAACAACAGGTGCTGGAGAGGATGCGGAGAAATAGGAACACTTTTACACTGTTGGTGGGACTGTAAACTAGTTCAACCATTGTGGAAGTCAGTGTGGCGATTCCTCAGGGATCTAGAACTAGAAATACCATTTGACCCAGCCATCCCATTACTGGGTATATACCCAAATGAGTATAAATCATGCTGCTATAAAGACACATGCACACGTATGTTTATTGCGGCACTATTCACAATAGCAAAGACTTGGAACCAACCCAAATGTCCAACAATGATAGACTGGATTAAGAAAATGTGGCACATATACACCATGGAATACTATGCAGCCATAAAAAATGATGAGTTCATATCCTTTGTAGGGACATGGATGAAATTGGAAACCATCATTCTCAGTAAACTATCGCAAGAACAAAAAACCAAACACCACATATTCTCACTCATAGGTGGGAATTGAACAATGAGATCACATGGACACAGGAAGGGGAATATCACACTCTGGGGACTGTGGTGGGGTCGGGGGAGGGGGGAGGGATAGCATTGGGAGATATACCTAATGCTAGATGACACATTAGTGGGTGCAGCGCACCAGCATGGCACATGTATACATATGTAACTAACCTGCACAATGTGCACATGTACCCTAAAACTTAGAGTATAATAAAAAAAAAAAAAAAATAGTAATTACAGCAATACTCCAAAATTTGAGAGTAACGACTATATTAGTAAAACCTAGGAGCGTGGCACAATGAGAAGAAGACTGATAAAGACAGGCCAGGGGACTTATCTAAAGTGGAAGAACAGTGAAACGAAGGGGAAATATGAAGGAATTATTATACAATTATTTTGAATGTCTGCTTGTTTGTGTGGCATGCGGTAAGGAAAATAGGCAGGAAGGTAGAGAAAGTGAAGAGCATCATTGTGGATCAAGCATTAATCTCGTCTTTCTTAGTAGGTAAATAGTCAATTTGAGCATTGCCGTTTTAGTAAGGAGTCATGCATTTCCTCTGGGTGTTTAAATATGTGTTATCAACGTTCACCTTTTCATGGTATATTATTTTACAGTTATTTTAAACCTTCTCGAATCTGTAGTTCGAACTCTAATCTCTTTCCTCTATTGTCTGCTTTTTCTTCACTCTTTTAAAAAATTACTCAGGCTTTCAAGACATTTATCGGTGTTTATAAGAAAACATTTTAGATGTATTAATGCTTCTTACTATTTGTTTTCTATTAAATAATATCACTTTTATCTTTATTAATAACTTCTTTGTTTCGTGTTTTATATTGTTATTCCTTCCTATTTCTTAATCTAAGCATTTTATTTATTTTTTATATTTCTTCTTAAAAATATTTTCAATTGTAAGTAGTCTGTGGAGAAGTTTTATGGTGACACTTTGGTATTAGTACATTCTATCTTATTGTTTTCTTTCTAGTATCTAGACAAAGCACTTAGTGTCTTTTTAAGTCTTTGATCAAAGATTTCTCTAGTGTGAATTTCTTGTCAAGCGATTATTTTTTCTGTGAATTTGTTATTACATATTTTCATTTTATCATATGTTGGTCTGATAATTTATCTTGCTGTCTACTTTTGAATTAGTTAATTTTAAAAATTATGGCCTGGTACATATTTTTGGCTAATGCCCCGTGTGTGTGTGTGTGTGTATGTGTATATATACACATATATATACACGTGTATATATATATATATACACACACACACACATATATATATACACATATATATATGTTCTACTTAGATATATGAGGCTGGTTCTATAAACAAATTACTAATTCAGATTGATTAATAATAGCATTTAATTTTTCTTATGCTTTTTTATCTTTTGTTTATTTTTATATGTTCAATTCTTAAAGAGGCATATTAAGTCTCCCACTATATGTGAATTGTTTTATCAAGTTTCTTTATGATCAAGTAGTTTTTCACTTTATGCACTTGGCTGCTATGTTTTATACATGTAGATTTATAATGGTTATTTATTGTTTTATCATACCTTTTATTATTACCTAATATCTGCTGGTATTATGTTTATTGACTTTAGCTGACGTCTGTGTATAATCTCTGTGCTAAATTCTTTTTCAATCTTTTTTTTTCATTTTAAGTGTTTTTGTTGCTTAGCAATGTTATCAAGCTTTGCATTTTAACGGGAGTTTTTAGTACATATACATTTAATGTGTGCATATATATCTTGCATTTACATTTATTTTGCAGCTAATAGTTTTCTTCATTTTAAAAAACAATTGTGATATGACCAAGGTATGTTTTTTCCCATTATATTTTCCTTCTGAGTATGCTTATAGGATGTACTATTTTTCTATGTTTCTTTTATCTTGACTTTCCCAATCACAGTTGTTTGCACAATTCATTTCTACTTAAAATAATTCATAACTGGAAACATAAGGGGGAAATCATGTATTGGAGACTTTAGTCATGCTTCCTCTTGAATGGATGTCATTTATAGAATCTAAAGGAAAATCTGAACAATTCTTTCTCAACCAGGATGCATCTTACCAGATTCCCATTTTTCATGGGAAGAGATGAAAGATTAATTTAGGCTCTTGAAGTATCATCCTCAAATAATGATTGCCATCAGCCTTTACAACACAATGTGCCTACCCAGCAGATTTATAGGAAATGTCCTACCTCTATGCTCTAGCTGTCACTGACTTCAACCTTTTTTACAGGCCAAAAAATAAAGAGCATATAATTTGTTAAAAGACATGTACTTCTCTTAAACTCTGAGCAGACAATGTTGACAAATTACATGTTGACTTATTTTAAAAGTCCTCATTTAAAGCTGAATCACATTTAAAGGTTTCAGAGGACCTGCCCTATATCTTTTCAGGTCAGAATAGCTGTAAAAGTAGGGGTTCTCCTGATGGATGAGCTAATTTTTGTATATCACTAAAGCACAGGTATAAATAGATACTAATGATTTTTTAGAATCCTTGATGGCTTCTAACATGCTCTACATATTAATTATCTAATCATTCTAAGCTCTTTGATTTTTCTCAGGAGGAGGTTGCTGCAGGATGTCAAAGATTTTACAGCTTGAGGCTGTGGACACATTAAATAGATACAAAGCATGGATCACATGTGAGAAGCAAAGTTGTCACAATGGTGTATAATAATTACGCTAGCAATACTGCATTAATCCAGGTTCCTTAGAAGTTTAATATAAATACTATATATCACACAATTGTATTGCCATTCCAGAAATTTGTACTAATGGATGTAGTAAAGGATGCTACAAGTTTTTGAGGCATAATATATTAATAAGGATAAACCAGATTATGCCACAACAAGAAATCCTTGAATCTAAGTGCCTTTAAATAGTAAATATTCTTTTTTCTCACATAATTTGTCCAGTGCAAGTTGCTCAAGCATAATTGAGCATATCGTGGTAATTTGAAGCACCAGTCTAGTGTAATAATCACTATGTTAAATATTGCCTGCTGCTCTGTCAGAGAGAAGAGAAATAAATGCTGGGAACTCTCAACTAAATACTCTTCTCAGATCTCCATCATACCCATTTACAACTCATTGTCAAGAAATGGCCATGTAACCCTATGAAACCAAAAGTGGACTGTGAAGTGTAGGACTGACTACCTCACAGTATATGGGCACAAACTATGTTTTCTTTATATTTCAGTCATGAATATACAAAATTCAATTTATTATATGTCCAATCAGTGTTATAGTCTGTTCTCATGGAGACTGTGTAGCAGGTGGCCTGTCAAATTCAATCCAGTTAATCAAGCAGAGCATATGGTGAGGACCATGGAATGATTTCTTAGACTTACCTGTGGAAAATTATTTCTGTTTTATTACATGACAAAGATCTTTGGGTCTTTATGAGAAGCAAGCTTTTGATATTAAAAGAAAATATTGACTGAAGTATAAATAAGTGTAATAGAATGAAAATAGACATATTCTGCATATCTTCTAATTTCATGTTAATAAAATATGTAATAAGTAAATAACATTCTATTGAATTCATGCACCCTAATAATTTGTTACAATTTTGCTATTTTGAAGCATTTAGATTTCATATTTTCAAGTCATAAAGAATATTAAAATGGACAAATAATTGCAAAACATTTTTCTAAATTTTTAGGTTATTTACACAAATAAATATAAATGAAATTATTGAGACAGATATTAGTATGCTCAAAGTTCTTTGTCAAATCTCTTAGCTGTTGAATTTTATTTATATTCAATATGTTTATAGAACAAATGCTATATGCTAACCAATTTCCTAAGTGACCACATATTCATAAAACACACACACCACACACCAAAGAACAATCTAGGGTATTGTGGAGTTTTCATTACTGTGGCATAAAACTAGTAATAAAAAGTAAATTAACAAGAAAATTTCAGACTGCCAAAAGTGCCATGATACAGCACGTAGGGATATTATGATAGAGACTTGAAGCCTCTTTAGGAAACAGAAGGAGGGATCTCTTTTTGTAAGGTTTATTTGAGCTGATAACTAAATTATGTGAGGAAAAAAAGCAATCTAGGTGAATGCTTTGTGTGAGATTTTCATCAATATGTGAATGACTGTTAAATGGCATATGGGCAGTATTCTCAGTTATTTAAATAGGTAGATCTCATAGATAAAAATTTGTGTTTTTGGCACCATTGTAGAAAACTGACCATAAATGAGTGGATCAATTTCTGGGCTCTCGGTTCTGTTTCATTGGTCCATATGTCTATTTTTATGGTGGTAACATGCAGTTTTTATTACTATAGGTCTGTAATATATTTTGAAATCAAGTAGTATGATGTCACCAGCTTTTTTTATTTTTTATTATTTATTTTTTTTTTATTTTTTGCTCAAAATTGCTTTGGTTATTTGGGGTCTTTTCTGTTGAATTTTTAGATTGCTTATTCTATTTCTGTGAAAATTTTCAGCAGAATTTGATTGAGATTACACTGAATCTACTGATTACCTTGAGACATTTTCACAATATTAATTCTTCCAATCCAAGAACACGGAAAGTCTTTCCATTTACTTGGCTCTTTTCCAATTTCTTTCATCAATGTTTGTTTGTTTGTTTGTTTGTTTTTGAGATGGAGTCTCGCTCTGTCACCCAGGCCAGAGTGGAGTGGCACAATCTTGGCTCACTGCAACCTCAACATCCCAGGCTCAAACAATACTCCTGCTTCAGCCTCCTGAGTAGCTGGGACTACAGGCATGCACCACCACACCCAAATAATTTTTGTATTTCTTTTAGTAGAGATGGGGTTTCACCATGTTGGGCAGGCTAGTCTGGAACTCCTGACCTCAAGTGATCCGCCCGCCTTGGTCTCCCAAAGTGCTGGGATTACAGGCGTGAGCCACTGTGCCCAGCTTCATCGATGTTTTATAATTTTTAGTATACAGATCTTTCACCTCATTCATTAAATTTATTCCTAAGTATTTTGCTTTTTAATGCTATTATAAGTAGGATTGTTTTCTTGATTTTTTTTGTATAGTTCTTTGTTAGTGTACAATAATGCTACTGATTTTTGTATATTGATTTTTTCTTCTGTGACTTTAGTAAATCTGTTTATTACAATAGTCTTTTGGTGGAGCATTTAGAATTTTCTATTTATAAGATCATGTCATGTTAGCTTGCTTTAACTTATTTTGTTATTTAGAAGCCTTTTATTTCTTTCTTTTGCTTAATTGTACTAAGACTTTCAGTAGTATGTTGAATCCAAGTGATTTTTGTCTTTTTGTTCCTGATCTTAGAAGTTTGTAAATTTTTACTACTGAATGTCATAGATATTAGCTATGGGCTTGCAATATATGGTTATTATTGTTGAGGCAAATTCCATGTATACCTAATTTGCAGAGAGTCTTATCAAGAAAGAATGTTGAATTTTGTCAAATGCTTTTACTGCATCTATTGGTATGATCATATGTTTTTTGTCCTTTACTTTGTTAATGTGATATATCGCATTTACTGATTTACCTAAATTGAATCATCCTTGCATCCCAGGAATAAATCTTACTTCACCATGGTGAATGATTTTTGTAATGTGTGTTGAATTTGGGTTTGCTAGTATTTTGTTGAGGCTTTTGTGGCTATGTTCAACAAGGATATTGGCTTCAAATTTTCTTTTCTGATCGTGCGTTTGACTAGCTTTGGTATCAAGGTAATTCTGGTCTCAAAAAATGAATTTGGAAGTGTTCCTACTGTTCAATTTTTTGGATGAGTTGGGGGAGAATAAATATTAGTTCTTTCAGTGATGGTAAAATTCAGGCATAAAGCCATCAGAACTTGTACTTTTCTTTTGATGGGAATATTTTTTCTTAATTAATCTACTTGTTCGGTTGTTCAGATTTTTTTAATTTCTTTGTGATTCAGCCTTGGTAGGTTGTATCTTACTAGGAATTGACCCATTTATTCTAGGTTATTCAATTTGTTAGAATATAATTGCTCATAGCAGTCTGTTATGATCCTTTTACTACTCTGGTATCAGTTGCTTCTTATTTTAGTTTTGCTTTTATTATTTATGCCTTCTTTTTTTCCTACTGTAAGCAAATATTTATCAGTGCTGCTTATAATTTCAAAGAAACTTCTTAGTTTTGTTCATCTTTTCTGTTGCTTATTTAGTCTCTATTTTATTTATTTCTACTCTAATTTTTATTTCCTTTCTTCTGCTAATTTTGAGCTTTGCATTTCTTTTTTTAGTTATTTGAAAAATAATGTCAGGGTGTTTATTTGTGATATTACTTTTTTAATGTAGGAATATATCACTATAAAATTTCATCTTAGAACTGCTTTTGGCTTTTGGTGCATCTCATAGGTTTTAGTATGTTGTATTTCCATTTCTGTTTGTCTCAAGATATTTTTAATTATCTCTTTTAGGCACAGTCTCTTCAATAAGTAGTGTTGGGAAAACTGGATATTCACATGCAGAAGAATGAAATTAGACCCTTACTAACACCATAGAGACAAATGAACTCAAAATATATTAAAAACTTAAATAAGTAAGAATCTTTAAAGGCACTAGAAGAAAATATAGAGTTAAAAACTTCTTGACATTTGTCTAGTCAATGATATTTTTGATATGGCTCCAAAAGGATAGTCAACAAAAATAGCAAATGGGATCATAGCAAACTAAAAAACTTCTGCACAGCCAAGGAATCAATCAACAGAGTGAAGAACTACGTTTCTGGAGAATGTAGCTCAGATTGGAAGAAAATATTTGTAAGCCATACATCTAATAAAAGGTTAATATCTAAAATATATAAGGAACTCAAACAACTTAATACCAAGAAAATAATCCAACTAACATATGGGCAAAGAACCTGAATAGGTATTTCTCAAGAGTACGTACAAAAGGCTAACAGGTATATAAAAAGGAGTTCAACATCACTAATCATCAGCAAAATGCAAACTAAAGCCACAATATGATGTTATCTCACCTCAGTAATAATGGTTTTTTATCAAAAAGAAAAAGATAACAAGTGTTGGTGAGAATGTGGTGATAAGTGAACACTTGTACACTGTTGGTAGGAATGTAAGTTAGTATAGCCATTATGGAAAAGAGTATGGAGGTTCCTCAAAAATTAAAAATAGAACTAGTATATGATTCAGCAATCCCACTTCTGGGTATATATTCAAAGAGAATAAAATCAGTATGTGAAAGCAAAAGCTTTTGATAAAGTCCAACACCCCTTCATAATAATATTGCTCAAGAAACTAGGCATCAAAGGAACATACCTCAAAATAATAACAGCCATCTATGACAAAGCCACAGCCCACATCATACTGAATGGGAAAAACCAGAAAGCATTTATCTTGAAACCTGGAATAAGACAAGGGTGTCCACTCTCATCACTCCTATTCAAAATATTATTGGAAAGTCCTTGCCAATGCAATCAGGCAAGATAAAGAAATAAAGGGCATCCAAATAGGAAAAGAAGAAAAACTATCTATCTTCGCTGACAATATGATTCTATACATAGAAAATCCTAAAGACTCTGCCAAAATGGTCCTATAACTGATGAATGATTTCAGTAAAGTTTCAGAATACAAAATCAATATAGAAAAATTATTAGCATTTCTATACAACAATAATATTCAAGCTGAGACCCAAATCAAGAAGTAACCCCATTTATAGTATCTTTGAAAACAAAATAAAATATCAAGGATTACATCTAACCACAGAGGTGAAAGATCTCTACAAGAAGAGCTACAAAACTGTTAAAAAATAATGTCAGGTTTTTTTATTTGAGATATTTCTTTTTTTAAATGTAGGAATTTATCACTATAAAATTTCCTCTTAGAACTGCTTTTGGCTTTTGGTGCATCTCACAGGTTTTAGTATGTCGTGTTTCCATTTCTGTTTGACTCAAGATATTTTTAATTATCTTGAGAAATCAGATATTGAAAGAAATCAGAGATGACATAAACAAACGGGAAAATATTCTATGCTCATGGATTGAAAGAATGAATATCATTAAAATGGCCGTACTGCCCCAAACAATCTACATATTCAATGTTATTCCTATGAAGCTACCAACGGCATTTTTCACAGTTAGAAAAATATACTCTAATATTCATATTGAAACCACAAAGAACCTGAATAGCCAAAGTGATCCCTAAACAAAAAGAACAAAGCTAGATGCATTGCATTACTTGACTTCAAACCATACTATAAGGCTACAGTAACCAACAGCATGATACTGGTACAAAACAGACATATAGACCAGTGGAACAGAACAGAGAACCCATGAAATAAAGCTGCACACCTACATCCATCTGATCTTTGACAAATTCAACAAAAGGAAGCAATGGGGAAAGGACTCCCTATTCAATAAATGTTTTTGGAATAGCTGGCTATCCACATTCAGAAGCATGAAACTGGACCGCTAACTTCCCTTATATACAAAAATTAACTCAAGATGAATTAAAGCCTTAAATGTAAGACCTCGAACTGTAAGAGTCCTTGAAGAAAACCTAGGAAACAACATTCTGGACATCAGCCTTGGGAAAGAATTTATAAATAAGCCCTCAAAAACAATTGCAACAAAAACAAAAATTAAGAAGTGGTACCTAACTAAACTAAAGAGCTCTGCACAGCAAATAAACTATCCACAGAGTAAAAAGACAACCTACAGAATGGGAGAAAATATTTGCCAACTGTGCAACCAACAAAAGTCTAATATCCAAAAAGTCTAATATCCAGAATCTAAAAGGAATTTAAACATTTCAACAAGTAAAAAGCAAATAACTCCATTAAAAATGGACAAACAACATGAACAGACATTCTGCAAAAGAAGACATACAAGCAGCCAACAAACATTAAAAAATTCTCAACATCACTAATCATCAGAGAGATGCAAATCAAAATCACAATGGGATACCATCTTGCACCAGTCAGAATGACTATTATTAAAAGATCAAAAAATAACAGTTGCCAAGGTCGGGGATAAGAGAACACTCGTACACTATGTTCTCTTTTACCTGAGGGAATGTAAACTAGTTAAGCCACTGCAAAAAGCAGTTTGGAGATTTTTCAAAGAACTTAAAACAGCACTACCATTTGAGCCAGCAATCCCATTACTGGGTATATAGCAAAAAAAAAAAAAAACAAAAAAACAAAAAAACAAAAAAACAGTCATTTTACCAAAAAGACCCTTCTACTTGTGTGTTCATCGCAGCAGTATTCACAATAGCATAAACATGAACTCAACTAAGGAACCCATCAATGGTGGATTGGATAAAGAAAATGTGGTACATAGACACCATGAAATACTGTACAGCCATAAATAGGAATGAAATCATGTCCTTTGCAGCAACATGAATGCAGCTGAAGGACATCATCCTAAGTGATTTAACACAGGAACAGAAAATCAAATACCACATGTTCTCACTTATAAGTGAGAGCTAAACATTGGGTACAAATGGACATAAAGGTAGCAACAATAGACACTGGGAACTACTAGAGGAGAGGAAAGAAGAAGGGAGGAAGGGTTGAAAAATTAACTATTGAGTATTATGCCATGTACCTTGGTGACAGGATCAATCATACTCCAAACCTCAGCATCACACAAGATACCCAGGTAACAAGCCCACACATGTACACTTGAATCTAAAATAAAAGTTCAAGTTATAAGAAAAAAGAAAGAAGTCAGTATGGCAAAGATATATCTGCACTCTCATGTTCATTGGAGCATTATTCAAAATAGCCACATTATTCACAATAGCCAAGCTATGGAATCAACAAGCACTCATCAAGAGATGAATGGATAGAGTGTGAGATTTTATATATATATATATATATATATATGTGTGTATATATATATATATGTATATATATGTGTATATATATATATGTGTATATATATATATATATATAAAACAATGGAATACTATTCAGTCCTAAAGAAATAAGTAAATTCTATCATTTGCAGCTACATAGATAAACCTGGATGACATTATGCTAAGTGAAACAAGCCAGATACAGAAAGATAAATATTACATGATCTCAATTATATGTGGAACCTAAAATTTGAATTCATAGAAGCAAAAAATAAAATGATTGTCAGAGCCATGATTGGCAGAGCCTGGGGCATTTGGAGGATACAGAAATGATTGTCAAATTTCAGTTAGACAGGCTGGATAAATTTTGGAGATGTAATGTATAGCATGATGACTACAGTTTATAAGCATGCATCGTATATATGAAAATTAAGAGAGTAATCTTAAATGTTCTCAATAAACCCACAAAATAGATAAATATGTGAAGTGATGATATGTAAATTTTCGTGATTTAGTCACATCACAATGTATCAAAACATCACATTATATGCTACAAATATGTGCAATGTTTATTGGCCAGTTATACCTTAGTAAAGCTGAAGAAAAAGAAAATTTATGTGGGACATGTTCACATTTGAAATGTAAATAGTCCTACAGGGGAGAGTAAATTGAATAATCCATCATTAACACCTGATGTATAACTGATATACCAAGTCCTGGAGTGAAGGAAGGTGAACTGGGATTCTGCGGGTAGAGAGAAAAGATTGGGAATCTCTGGTATTGAGCTTAAAAAAGGGCAGGTAGGGAGTTATAGGCTCATGGAAAGAGCTCTGAACCATGGAAAAGAGAGGCTACAAAGATTAATGAATAAGGAATAATCATTAAGTCTCTATATTTCAGCCAAAGAGAAGCCTGGTTACATCACCTGCTTCTTTCTTTTATTCTTTGTCAATTGCCTTTCTGCTTATTTCTCATTATCTATCCGTCTCATTTTACTGCTACTACATTTTTTTTTCACTTTCATAAGAAAGCATTAAAAATACATTACTCCACTCTGATTATAACATGATTTTGCCAAAACTCTTTAAACATCCACCAAAGTAATTGTTGCTAGTTGAATAAGCACTGATATTCTGAGACTAGAAATTCAATATAGGATTCATTTAAGCGTCGAAATGTCTCTGGGTGTCTTTTTTACTCATTATCTTAAGTTGTCTGGAAGCCTGATTTAAACATAAAACTGTTTTTTCTCCCCATGTGCACAGTTTAATGAAACAAAATAGCTTGGTAAAATTAAACCAATATTTGTTATTTGGAGGAAACACCCATCATTTTTCCAGAGAGGACATACTCCTCACATTCCAGAACTCTTAAACAAAAGTGTTTACATATTGTGGCACTACCCATGGATACATACAATAGACCTTTCATTACTCAAAAAGACATTCTGAGCTGACCGAGAACATATATAAATTTCCTGTGTGTATCACAGAAACAGTGCTTTTACTGTCATAATTAGCATTAAGCATCAGAAGCCCATCCTCCAACTTGACATCCATATTCATTGCCCTCTCCAAATGAAAAACAATAACAAGGTTATGATACCACCTAACATGATGCAAACATCTTGTATAGAACTGAAAATGCACTAACACCTTTCTCAAAAAACAAGGACCTTGAGTGATGTTTACTATTCTACTTGATCTGCTGTAACTTAGATACTACAATATAAAATAAGTAATACTTAATATTATATATATTTATATGTATACTATTATATAAAGTCTATATGCATTCTATGTTACATAATAAGGGAATAAGAGATAGGAGATACAAAGATATTTGATATATATGCAAACACACAAATATATTCATAACAAAATAAGGAGGAATACTCATTTCTGCAACTGGTTACATCCTGTAATTGGTATTTATAATTATCTTCTTTCACTATCCATTCTGTATTCTCTTTACCTTCATCAGATATCTGAGCTGATCATGGTTTTTACCAAGTGGGGTGATGCAAAAGTTTATTCCTAAAGGATCTGGGCCATGCATGGTCCTGCTGGATTGGGTTGTTGTCATTTTCCAATGACCCTAATAACAGGACACGGTAGCGCAAAGAAACTCCCTAAGGGAGATCCGATATTCCAAACACACTCTTCTTTACCTCCATTGTGAAGTAGTAGCCCAATTTCCACTCAGTAATCAGGAACAATCACCCCAGTAAACATAGTAACTCTTTGCTTGCCTGTTGAATAAGAGACATAAAGAGCTCAAAGTGGCTAAGCAAGAGTTTTAATTTCAAATTTAATGAAATTGCTGTTGTGTCTCCTGGCGGATGGATTTCTCCCTTTAGAACTGTGACTTCTAGGTCAGCAGAACATAAAGTTTTGGGAACAGAAAGCAAAAATGTTGCTAGTAAGTCACTGGGCATAACAATGAGTGGTTCTACTCCCATTTCCAATTCTTAGTTTCTAGACTCATGAATCCTGGCTATGGGAGAAATAGCACTGTGCATTGCATGCTGATTCAGAGCATATAGTCTTCTGGGAAATTTTGTACCAGTCCTATAAGGTATTACTCCCTAGCTGGCACAGTAAATAATGACTTATTTCCTCTTTAGGATGTGGGGAACATGATAAGACAGTAAATTCCATGAGCATGGACTCATTACTGCACTTCTTTTGCTATGAAGTGAACTACTTGACCAGATGCTATGTGTGGAATGTCACGACATTAGAAAAGGCATTCTGTCAGTCCACAGATGGTAGTTTTGGCAGAAGCATGGCATACAGGGAAGGTGAATCCATATCTGGAGTTAGTGTCTTTTCCACTAAGAGCAACATCCTATTCTTATAAGATAGATAGAGGTGGTCAATTGTAATCAGCCTTCAACCAGGTAGCTGTCTGATATCTTCAGGAAATGGTGCCAGATTGGAAACTCAGAATTTGTTTCTGATGCAGGCAGATTGGGCATTCAGAGGTGGCCATAGCTAGGTTAGTCTTGGCGAGTGGAAATCTACTTGCTTATTCAACATATAACTTCCTCCTAGTGACTATGATCACTTTGTTCACAATCCAACTGAGTGTTAACAGTAGCGGCTGGGGAAAGAGACCAATGGGTATCCATAGAATGGGTCAACGTATACATTTGATTAGTAAAATCCTCCTCTGGTTAGAGGTGAACATTCACATGGGACACAAATATCCTCATAGGTTTTTTTTGGTCCATTCATAGAGGTTTATCTATACATCTCTTCCCAAGATTTCCTTGTCACACATTTTCCAATTATGTTCTTTCCAAGT
Organism: Homo sapiens; assembly: GCF_000001405.40. Classification (NCBI taxonomy): domain Eukaryota; kingdom Metazoa; phylum Chordata; class Mammalia; order Primates; family Hominidae; genus Homo; species Homo sapiens. The sequence continues at coordinate 166,435,006 of NC_000004.12, read as the reverse complement.
ATTTGACCGTATAGTTAAATCATTGGCCACAGTCCACGAATCAGTATATAATCACACATCTGACCATTTATTCTCCCAAGCAAATAAAAACTGTTCTAAATTCTGCCTACTTGGAAGAATTTCCTTCACCACTGTCCTATAGAAATATCCCAGAAAGGGGCAGTAGTTGTCATGCAGCCTGGCAGGTCATGCCCGCATATAGCACAGAACCATCTGTAATCCAAGTTTGTCTTCTTTTGATCTGGCAAATGACCATAGAAAACTCCCATGAGGGGCAGGATGGAGGAGGGAGGGCAGTATAGCAAGAGTGGGGACCATGGATATTTGGACTGCTTCATGTAACTTATTCAGGACTTGCTCAGGACAAATTACATATTTACCATGTTCATTTGATGATGGAGTCTTGCTGTGCATGTACAACTTTATGGCTTTGCGGGTCAGATAATACCCTGTGCATGCTGGGCTGCTCAGGTCACAGGGTAATTTAGTGGCCCATGGTCTCTAAGCCTCAGTAGGAAGCCATACCTGTTTCTCAAAATAAGAGAAGTTATCTGCAGAGAATGGAAGGGCTTTGCTTCAAAATCCTAAAGGCCTACACTGTATTCATTTATAGGAGACTGCCAAAGGCTTTAAACAACATCCCTATCTGCTGTTGACATGTCAAAAAATATTGGATCTGCTGGATCATATTCCCCAAGTTGCAGACCAGCATACACAGCAGCCTGAACTTGTTTCAGAGCCTTTGTTTGTTCTGTGCTCCAACTCAAAGCAAGTGGCTTTTGGGTCATGTAGTAAATAGGTGAGAGTGACATCCAAATGAAGAATATGTTACCTCCACAGCCCAAAGAGGCCCACTAGGATAGTGTGCCTCTTTTACGGTTGTAGGAGAAAACAGTTACAACAACTTATCCTTCATAAAACAAATCTTAACAAATGTAAAATAATTAAATCTTACAAAAATGTATTCTCTGACCATAATGGAATAAAACTAGTAACCAATGAAAGAAAGATAAGAAAATCTCCAAAATATGAAAATTAAACTACATGCATTTGAATAATTCATTGTCAAACAAGAAGTCTCGAGATAAATTAGGAAATATTAGGAATTAAACAAAAAGGGAAGTATAACAAAATTTGTGGAATACAGCTAAAGCAGTACTTAAAAGAAATAAAAAGTAGGAAAAAAAAGCTACACATGAATGATGCAAAATTTATCTTAGTCAAAGTAGAAAGTACAATATAAACTCAAAGCAAGGATAAGAAAAAAAAATAAGGTAAAATAAAAAATCAGTGAAATTAAAAATAGGAAAACAATAGAGAACCATCAAGGAAACCAAAAGTAATCTCCTTTTCAAGGACAATAAAATTGATATACCTCAAGCAATATTTACAAAGATGAAAATAAAATATAAATTACCAACATTGGGGACAAATGAGGATATCATTTTATCCCCTGCAGATATGAAAAGGATAGTAAAGTAACGTAATGAAAAATTATAAACACACAAGTATGAAAACCTAGATGAAATGTACCGTTTTCTTGAAAACTGCAAACTACCAAAACTTACACAAGGTAAAACAAATAGCTAAACTGCTTTATATCTATTAAAGAAATTTACATCATAGGTCAAAACATTCTGTAAAAGAAATATCTGAGAAAATCTATGAAACATTTAAAGAAGCCATCACACCCATTATCCAGAATCTCCTTCAGAAAATAAAGGAGATAATATATTCAAACTCATTTTATGAAGTCAGAATTACCCTGAAATTAACAGAGTAAAACAAAAAGACTACAAACTGATATCTTTCATGAAAAGAGGTGAAAAAGTAAATTTCAACAAAATATTAGCAAATAAAATCTGGGTATATATAAAGTAAAACTCCACTACAACCAAATGAGGTTAGTCACAGGATGGCAAAGCTGACTCAATATTCAAAAATTGATGTAATCCATCTATCAATTACTCTAAAGCAGAAGTTGGCCAAGTCTGGTCAGAGGGTAAAATGAAGCCAATGGACTATTTTGATGTGGATCACATTCTGAAAATAATGTTTACCTTTTAAGCATTGTTTAAAAGAAAAAAGTCAGATGCAACAGAAACCATATGGCCCACAAAATCTAAAATACTTGGTTCTTTACTAGAAGTTTACTAACCCTGATCTAAAGAAGTAAACCACATTATTGTTCAATTTAGACAGAAAAGCATTTGACAAAATCCAACACTCACTTGTGATAAAAATCCCTAGCATACTAGATAGAGAAAGAAATTACTCAACTTGATAAAGGGCATCTACAAAATGCTACAATTAACATCATACTTAAGAAAGACTGAATAATTCTACATAGGATTAGGAACAAAACAATTATGTCCACTATCATCATTGCAACTGGACATCTTACTGAGTCCTAGTCTGTGTAATAAGTTAAAATATAATACAATTTAAAAAGAAATGAAATACATTTAAATAAAGTAAAAGACATTAAATTAAAAAATAAATAAAAGGAATTTATCTTTGAAAAGATTTGAAAGGAAGAAATAAAATTACCCCTATCTGTGGACAACATAATTGTTTGTGTAGAAAATCCCAAGAAATTGACCAAAAAAACCACAAAACAAACAGAAAACAATAATTAAAAACCTCTAATAAATGAGTTTATCAAGGTTATAGGACATGATGTCATCATACAAACAATCAATCATTTTTCTATATACTAGTCATGGCATTTGGAAACAGAAATTTCAAAATGAGTAGGGGAAAACTGGTAGTTATTGAATTCCCTTATGAGACTAGAATTTTGCACTTTTTATATTATCACTCTCCTCATTTGTTTTAACAAGATTGACAACAGTAAGAAGTGCAAGTGAAAAGATGTGAAGTAACAAGAAGTAACAGAAACAAAACATAATCAGCAAAATGCAGGTAAGTTTAGCTCATAGTCCATAGTTCATAGAGTTAAGGCTACACAGTGGTGAAGTGAAACTATTGCCTTATTATTCCATGTTTAAGAGATGGGTGAGGAGCCTAGGGTTTTGCCTAAAGGTGACTTTGGCTTTGAAGTGGGGAGTAAAGATTTTTGGCAATTTTGATACAGGCTTCCTGTCCCTTTTGTTTTAACCATTTAAAGCCTCTATGAAAACTGTATTAAATCAAAACAAAACAGAGCAGGTATCTCTATTTTGTCTAAGGAATGCCTGACTTCTTTTGTTTGATACCCACCACTTGTTAATTTCCTTAATTCTCCTTCAATATTTAATTTCTATTTTTTAACATACGAAGCATTTCTGTCTTTTTGGCATGGTAAAGCCCCTGTAATCAACACTCTAAGGCTTTCACTTAATGTGAAACAAAGGTGAAGTGATCAGACAGATCCAGATAGTCAAAAGTCAGTTTTAATTAAAGATAAATGCATCACCACTATCCATATTCTTATCCATACTTCTGTGGAATTAGGAAGCACAGAAGTATAGAGTTTTCCTTTATAAATAATCAAGGAAAAAGCATGAAGTGTTAATTTCTCTCGAAAAAGAGTAAATTCCTACATCGTAAAAGGTGCATGGGATTTGGATTCGGACAAACACTTATTTAAATTTGAACTTTGCCTTTTACTTGCTGTATGATTTTGGGAAACTACTTAACTCTTTGAGTCTCAGTAGCCTCATAGCAATACCGTAACAACAGCCAAATTACAGAGCTTATGTGAGGATTAAGGTGTTCAAAATTTGTTGAATACAGTTGCTACTGCCTTGGGATCTCTTTTTAGTCCTGATATAAGTGGTCTGAAACGCAGTAGCACCCCATCACCTTTGGCTGAGTTAAAACTTGCCCTCCCAGTTTGGTTGGTTGTGATATAGCCCACCTGTTTATCCTACTAACCCCAAACCTAACACATCTCAGAGCTGCTAACTATGATAGAATCTTGCAAATAAGTTCCATCTTCTCATGTGTTTTCTTTAAAATAGCCCATCCACAATCTCCCTTGGGAAAGCCTAAGGGGTAACCATGGAACCTAAAGGTGTTATCCCACATGGTTCTTCTTTCTCTCTCTTTTCTCACGCTCTCACTCTCTCTCTCTTTCCCTTTCAGCTGCTAGGGATGCTGCGTCCTTCAGCATCCCTAACCTCTCTGGGACTTGTGCTTAATAAATGTCTTCTGTTTCATGCATTTTAGTTTCATCTCCTCGTTGTGTTTCACCTGAAACACACACCCAAACCTAAATTTCCCCTCTTCAGAGCTCTCCTAGAGTATGGCTATGTTGGCTTAATGGCCATTCTCAAGAGAAAGACTTTAAGACCAAATTAGAGAGGAACCATAACAATAAAAATTATAATGTAAAGATAATAACTTTAGTCATGAACTGGGAAGAGTTTGAGCACCAGATAAGTTGAAAGTGTTGTGATTATTTTTTTCCTATGGCATTTGTGAAGCACTGATTCAAAACTGGCATATTGTTATATCGATATATGTGCTATATTTTATTTTGTGTAAACAAATTATCTTGCCTCCATAAATGTATATGAAAGTATATTGGACTTCACTAGTTATATTATTTATTATTGATTAGGCTATTATAGAAAACCCCATAAAATTTTAGCAACTTATGAGAGAAAGGAGGAATAGAAATGTTCAGGCATCTACATAAGCTAATTATTTTGCAAAAGTATACATCTAGACTAAAATTATTGCTGTGTGTTATGTAGTGTTCCATTTGACAGTCTTGGCTTTCTGTGTGATGAATTCAATTTGTGTCTAAACTTTATTTTTAGAATAAATTATACTTTCTTTAATAGTATTTACTATAGAACAGAAGAAAACTTTACAGTAGAGACAGGGAAAACATACAGTTGGTAATTATGGAACTTATATTATTGGATGGGTTGAAGAATTTGAATATTAATCAGGTTCTGTCATAATGCCCAATTAAGGGCCTCTTATTGCTCTTAGTGTTATTGTTCTGATAATATGGGTAAGATATCAGGTATTTAACGGTTTTATTTTTTTGTTTGTTTGCAGACAAAGACAACTAGATTTAGAATTCTCACAAAAGGTCAAACTACTGAGAAGAACATGTAAAATACAGTATAGGAAATAAAGTTATTGTATTTCATGCAACCATAACTAATACTAATTAGCATTTACTGCACATTTAGTTCTGTACAAAGAGTTTAATATACATTTTAAAATGCAATTTTTGCAATAATCTAATGAGATTTATTATTTACCTTTCACAAATTTTCCAGGGTCTTACAAATACTAACGACAAAGCTGGAACCTTGAGACCAGAGCTAGCTGGTGTCACATCTGGGCTTGAACAAAGAGAATGCAGCCATATACTTGTCCTCCCACTTTGGTTGTTTGTGATATAGCCCACCTTCTTTATGCTTTCCAATTCCAGAAGAGTAGTTACTTACCTTAAAAGCTAGATATACGCTATCATTTTGCAAATCTCCACTGCTTGTATAAAATTTCCTGTTCATTTGTACATTGTTAATGTATGTTGCTTTGCTTTTTCTAAAATTATTTATCAATTTGAGCAGTTCTTCGGGGTAGAGTAAGATGTTTCAGGGAGAATCATTCATGCACTGAGAGAACTGTCTCGGTGTGAGTACTATGTACAATTTAGTGGAAAACTGTTATACTTTAAAAAAATTTTTATGGTGTAAAAAGCTATATGTTAGATATAGTTACAAAGTCAAATTACTCCAGTTATAAACTATGTATCATAAAAAAGTAGCAGTAATCTGGCTTCAATAGACAGGGATAGCTTCTCTTGCCATCTTTTCTTGTACTTATCTCTTCCTCTTTAAAGGCCTGACACTATAATTCAACTGTGCTGTAAAATTCCCCATACCTGTAATTCCCTTGGGATTTGGGAAGTTTATAATGTGTGTGTTGGGTCAGTTCTATTCCAGAGCCGTGGGCATTGTGTACCTTTTAGATACAGTTTATAGATAGAACGCTAATTATTTGCCTCTGTATACGGCCTAGCTAAAACATTCTATGTTCTGCATAATGAATTGATCCAGGGTGACACCCAGGAAAGCTCTTTTCTTGTTGTTGTTGACAGTAACTTTCTATCTTAATGCAAAGATATCAGGTGATACTGAATTATAATGGAAGTGATTTATGAGATGATTTTGTCAATCAGCACTCTTTACATTTAAATAGTACACTATGGTTGGAATAAGAAGTATAAAATTATGGCCCCAGACTGCAAGAAGTTCATTCATGCAATGGCATTTTGTGCAGAAATTGCAAAAAAAGGAAATCAATACGGTAGAATAATAACTGCTTAATGAGGGCATACAAATGCTATATGCCATAGAGAAGGGAAAGAAAACTACCATATTACTGGAAGGTGGAGTGGGGGAAGAGGGAGAGAGGGGAAGGGTAAAGTAATCTATTAGGTACTGTGCTTGCTACCCAGGTGATGGGATCATTCATATATCAAACCTTAGTGACACGAAATTTACCCTTGTAACAAACTTGCACATGTACCCCCAAACCTAAAAGTTGAAAAAAAACTACCATACATCTGACTAGAAACTCTGCTTGTGAAATATGGGATTTAACTAAATCTTAAAATATCTAGGAAAAGCAGCTAGTAAAATGTTGAAAAATTTCTTGGCTAATTGAGCCTACTTGGTCAAAAGTCTTTTTTTTTTTATTATTTGGTATCATGATGATACAACCCTATCTCCTTTTTTGGTCTACATTATCTGGAATATTTGACAAGGAAGACAGGATATGGCCTTCTCCATAGATTGAGCAAAATAAACTCAGACTATCTTCTTCTTTCCATTTTCAGCAGGGCAGCATAACAGATACTTGACAATTTTAAATTTTTGACTATCTGAAAATTTGCACTCTTCAACACTGCCCTGAAAAAAAACCTCTTGAAATACAAAGAAATGATAAGCTGATAGTTCAATGGAAGAATTCTTTAGATACAATATGTCAAGTCCCACACAGATACTGAAGGAAATAGTAGCAGATACAGTAAGGCATTTGCAAACTGAATGCATACAAAAACACCACTACATATATCTTTTATCAAAATATGGAAAAATTACTAATTACAACAGTTTTTTTCTCTCCATTCTTCACTCAATATTTTTATTACTTATTTACTAAATAAATTATTCTTAAAAACTTTTTCTCCACTTTTTGGGGTAAATATTTTCAAAAGGCTCATAGGATGGGAGGTGAGATTCCCTAGGAGGCATGCTTTCAAGTAAAATTATGTAATTTCTAAACTAAATTCTGGAGAACATAGGGCTAGTTACACTCAGAGCTTTGTTCTGTTGAATGGGTATCCTTGTTCTGAGAGAAATGAATCAATATGAGCTGCAGAAAGATTTTTCTTTAGGGGCAATGTCTTCTCAAAAGAAAGTCTGAATAGGAGAGAAAAGCAATCCTTCAGTTGAGAGAGGCTTGGAAAGACACAGCTACAGATGCATATTTTAAATTCTAAATGTAGTATGTTTTGTGGGTAAATCATCCTCCAGTTTATCCTGAAGAATATTCAGTACATTTTTCTTTCAGGCTCTTTTGGTATTGATTTGCTTCTGGTAATAAGGAAAAGATTGAATCCCGCTTTAGGGTGCAGCCTGAGTTTTACATTTGCTACCATGCAAAATCAGAGGCTACCCACAGGAGGCTCTTCATATTTAAGTTATGTAAAGTATATAATGTTCAGTTAGAATTAGAGTATCCTAGTTACTGCTAGGTTTGGAGAAATAAAGGGAAAAAATGTGTTTCTTTGATTGAGGTAAACCTTAATACTTGACATATTTCCTTGGGTTATCTTTTTTGTAAGATAACTTAATAATTGTAAACCATTTTAAAGAAAATTGAAATTTGATGGGGAAAGCTAGATGGAACCCCCAAAATAGATATATCAGATTAAGCATAACACATACAGCCTGTGTAACAAAAATAGTTCTTTTTATATGCTAAGAAATAGAAAATTTGAGAAAAATACTTCCTTCTCTAAAAGAATTTAACAATTATATAATAAGAAAACATGCCATTTTCAAAGTACCCTTAAAAATAATCAAATTTTTCAGCCTAAATGATGATAATTATTTATTTACAGAACCTACACTCCTAGCTTTTCAGCTACTGTTTTCACAAATGGCATTTTATGAAAGTATGATTTCATATATATTTATAATAAATAACTAAAATCAACAATAAAACTTGTATTCAATAAACAATGCCTTGAATTGGTTCTAAAAGAAGTCATATATCACACCTACATGCATTTCTTTCTTCTGAGTCCATTTTATGTCACATATTAAAGAAACATTACTTATGGCATATGACTACTCTGGTGATAATTTGTCAGTGGATTATAAAGCTTCCATTAATTTTCCAAATGTCTAAAATGTAACAAATTAGCAGCTATTAAAGTGTAAATGGATTTGTTCCATTTAACAAATCAATTGTTTAGAACCATAGCTGACATACTCAATGTAAAATTTGCAATAATAAATGAGTTTATGGCTTTATTATATCCCAATGCATATGCAGTGGCCCTGTGGAAAAAATAATTTCAAGAACACAACTGTTCCTTTTAAACGGCAACATTGTTTAGAAATGCCCTAAAGAGTTGAAGTCAGTTAAAATTAATACCATAGGTCAGTATAAAAGCAATGTTTCGGAACCATTATAAAGCACAAAATATTCTGATGCAAGAATTTTAAGCCAACTCTCCTTTGGGGAAAAGCTTCAGAAACATCCATGAGTGTTTTCACAGCAAACAAGTATTAACTATTCACTGTTAAATAAGAACAAATAATACAATTTAGAGTAAGGAGAATTAAAATTTAGTTTTAGTCTAGAGAATTGCAGAAATACGGCAATGCATTCTGGAAACATTTGGGGACCATCAAAATTGTTGATTTCCATACAGTATCTGCAATCTATTAACCCCAGGGTGTTTTAGATTCTGTCTGAGAATAGTTCTTTACATAAGTAACTGAACAGCACCTACTTGTAAATACCAAAAACTGCCTCAGAATGAACTGTGGAACGTATGTTCTTTTGAGAACCTGCCCTTAAAACCTCTATTGCATGCACAGATATTTCAGTTTAAAAGTAGATTATTCTGGATGTTCCCAATTTTGGGGGGAATTGTGGGGATGAGGGTTGGATGGTGAAGATAGAATAATGTTGCTCTTATATTTCTTATAGAAAATAAAAATGCACCACATAATGATAAGCAACTCTCTAAAAAGTGAATGAGTTGCTTTTACTTAAATAATTTTTTAATCCACTCTTTAGAATTTTCGTTTTTGTTATTGTTATTGTTTGTTCTAGAAGAGAATTGAGTAACAGTATGCCTGTGATGGTAAAAATAACTCTCCAACCTCAAGAAATCCAGGTAAATCTGTTCTAAGCAATGCAGCTCTTCACAGTCTCCCTGAGACCCAGTGATTTAATGTTGGTTCATCAAGCACATTAGCACAGCCTGAATTAGGAACCAGAGAGAACAGACCTACCTTTATTCTGATTGGAATACATATTAAGGTTTATTCAGTTCCTTGATTAGTACTTACTCTTTCTCACCATTCCTTTTCCCAGTTCTCCTGAACAAATATATTGGGATTCAAATCTCAGCTTAGATGTTATTTCCTTCTCTTGCAGCTTTCCTGGGCTCTAAAATTGGGTTACATACTTAATTTATGTTCCCACATCCCCCAGTAAATATCATACTGGCTTACACTTTCCTGTTTCTCTGTCTATAGCGCCCACCAAACTGTAAACTCAAGTTTACTGCTGGACACTTAGGATACTCAACATGAAGCACTCAACCTGGTATTATGACACCCAATTTTTGTTGAAGACATCACTTGAAGGGATTTATAATGATTTGTATTCATTTAAGGAAATGGAATAAATGAATTATGTGGGTTGGAAGAGTTTATGTTATCTTTGCTATATTATACTGGCTTATTTATTAATAATTGTTTGCCTCACCCACAATATATGGTATTCCCAGCACCAAGTATGTGATTGATGCATATTATGTGCTCCAAGAGTTATCTGATTTACATATCAACAAACAATGCACGATGCTGGCTAGGCAGCTAAAAGAAATATACTGCTGTGGTACAAATGAATCTCCTCAAATTATTCTGTTGGATATTTAACCCCCAATGCAACAGTGTTGGGTGGTGGGACCTGATGACAGATATTTAGGTAATGAGGGTTCCACCCTCACAAATGGATTAATGCTGTTATTCAAAGGGCGTGTGGGAGTGGATTTGCTCTTTTTTGCTGTTCTGCCATGTGAGAAATAGTGTTTCTCTCTTTCAGAGGAAGCAATGTCCAAGGCACCATCTTAGAAGTAGCCACTGATTCTAAGATGGTGCCTTGAACATTTGGTGCTTACTAAACCTGCTAGCAACTTGATCTTGAACTTCTCCAGCCTCCATAACTATGAGAAATAATTTTCTGTTTCTTTATAAATTATCCAGTATGTAATATTCTGTTATAGCAGCACAAACAGACTGAGAAACACATATGTTCTTTTTGTACTCCTGTTGCTTATTTGCCATGCAAGTATGTATATGGTGTAGAAACTTACAAATTTATGCCTAAGGAAACATTCAGAAAGAGGCAATATCCTTTTTGGAAATAACAGCTATTTTTTTTTTTTTTTACATGGTATCTCCTTGGTTCAACATTTCTTTTTCTCCGGCCATATCTTTTTCTTGATATTTTACAAGACAACCAAAATAGGTACTGAAACTAATTCTGAATATTAGATGAGCAATCTACACAGCTAACAATATATTTTTAAATATATTGTTATTTGTTTATAGATACATAACAATATATTTAGAAAATAAATTTATATATTGTTATATACATATATAAACTCTGCTAGTAATTCTCAGTTTCTCTTGAGTAGTTCCTCTTGGTGAATCATTTGGCACAGTACTTTTAGGAAACTGCATTCTTTTGATTCTTCAATTTCTGGTTCTGTGTGGTTAATTTCAGGATGGTCACTTCCTTCTATCAGGTATAAATTACAACCCTGAGTTTGGGGATTCTGAGAAGCATATGGTTTTGCAAGGATGAATCAAGTTAGTGCACATGTATAAAGAACAGAAATCAGGTCTATGAACAAATGAAGAAAACTATGAGAGAATCAAGTGTGAGCGTAGTGGACAGTCTAAGGCCAGAATTCAAGGAATGCAAAAGCCAAGGGAAAGCTCTAAAATGGCTGCTCTGGTGAGCAAGTCCAATGTTTCTTGTTTCATGCAATGCTCTCTTGCGTGTGGGATTTTAAACAGAGCATCCAGAATCTCTCAGGAAATCCACATCTATAAAGATTCTTCTGTACTTTAGCGTAGGGATTACAGATGCCTTTTATTATAAATAGTTGCATATAGATGTCTTTTCTCTCCTATTTGGCAATTTCCAAAGAACACGGTCAGTGTACAGAACAGTTTTGAAGAATCAATATTTTCTTTCTCCAGTCTTTGAATCCTTTGGAATGACGGGCACTATGCTGGATTAAAACCCATTCTTGCTCTTTCACAATGGCCTACTGTGTTTTTACCAGATCTGTGTTATCGCAAATCTCTAGTCCCTTGGCCCTAAACACATCTTCTAAATTCAACCTGTTTCTCCAGAAAAGGAATCAGCAAACTAAGGAATCAGTTCAAATCTAAATGACCACCTGTTGTGTAAGTAAAGTTTAATTGTAATTCTTCTATGCTCATTCCTTTTTGCATTTTCTACGGCTCTTTTACCAAAAGCACACGAGTAGTTTAGATAGAATATTTTAGGTATACAAAACCTAAAATATTTGCTATTGACCCTTTACAGAAAAAGTTTGTCAACTCCTGTTCATGCTGTAGCCTCAATCTCAAGTTTAATTTAGATTACAAAAAAATTCTACTGAATATAACCTCTTTATTTTTTCTCAATTGCCCTTTATCTGTTACTCTGCAAAGTATAAGATAGGAACTGAACGTATTCAGCTGATACTAACATGATACTAATACACATATGCCTGACTAATGTGTCCATTATTAACAACAGATTATTGACAATGTTCAATTTGTAGTTTTCATTATCTGAAATGGAACTCTATCTCGTAAGTAATGCAAGATTATAAAAATAATTTTGACTGCATCAGTAACAGATTTCTAAAAATAATTTTTGTTCTATCTTTAAGCAACTTATAGACTCCAACTTTATTCAGTTACATATGGGCCATTAACAGTTAACAGCTCTCAGATAAAGTCAGACAAAATGACTCATTAATATCATGGTTTAGAAAAGTCTGACCAACTGTTTTTATTTCTATAGTTAGTTACTGACTAACCATTTTGGCAAGAATTTCCTGTCCTTTAGCCTCATGGGTTCACAGAGAGAGAACTACCCATGTGAAATAAGTTAGCCATATTGGAAAAATTTTTAGCATTAATACTGGAGAAATTTTTAGTATCCAAGGTAAAATTAAGTATAATTTAGATGGATTACATAATTATGCGTGTGTATTTGTGGAGCAGTGCAAACTGCACACATGATTTTATAAACTTTAAAGTACAAATTTTGATTGTAACATTCAGTTGCTTTTCATCCAGTTTAGTTAACTTTATTTACAAATTGCATATCAATTAATTAAATAAATAAATGGGAAACTTTTAAATAAGAGTGACTATACAGGGGAAGAGAGGCAGAGCAAGTTGTCCAAATAGAAGCCTCCACTGATCATTCTCCCAACAGGAACACCAAATTGAGCAACTATATACACTAATAAACACCTTCATAGGAACCAAAAAAGGGTGAGTGATCAAAATACCTGGTTTTAACTTTATATCACAGAAAGAAGCACTGAAAAGAGTAGAAAGACAGTCCTGAATTGCTGACACCACCTCCTCCCCACTACCCTGGCAGTGACCATGTGGCACAGAGAGTCTGTGTACTTAAGGGAGGGAGAGCACAGTGACTGTGGGGCTTTGCATTGAAACTCAGTGCTGCCCTGTCACAATGAAAAGCAACACCAGGCAGAAATCAGTGGGTACCCATAGAGGGAGCATTTAGAACAGCCTTAGCTGGAGGGGAATCACCCATCCCAGTGGTCGGAACCAGAGTTTTGGCAATCCTTGCTGCCACTGCAGGTTAAAGGGCTCTTGGGTCCAAAATAGACTTAAAAGGCAGTCCAGGCCTTAAAGGCTGCAATTCCTGGGCAAGACCTGGTGCTCTGCTGGGCTTGGAGCCAGTGGGCTTAGGGGGCACATGACTTAGTGAGAAACCAGCCAGGCAGCTAAGGGAGTGCTTGCATCACCTCTCCCCAAACCCCAGGCAGTCTGGCTTGCAGCTCCAAAAGAGACTTCTTCTTTCTGCTTTAGAAAAGAAGAGCGATGAGTAAACATGACTTTGTCATGCATCTTGGATACCAGCTCAGCCACAGTATGATAGGGCACCAGGCATAGTCCTGAGACCCCCATTCTAGACTCTAGCTCCCAGAAGACATCTCTACACACACTGTTAGCCAAAAAGGAACCAGTTGCTTTGAAGGGAAGAACCCAGTCCAGGCAGGATTCATCACTTGCTGACAAAGGGGTCCTTGGACCCTGAATACCTGGGTATTCAACCAGAATAACTAGGTAGTACTTACTGTCTGCCTTGGGTAAAACTTAGAGATATACTGGCTTCAGGTGTGGTCCAGCACATTCTCAGCTGCAGTGGCTATAGGGAGAGACTCCTTCTTGCAGCTTAGGTACCAGCTTGGCCAAAGTGGGGTATAGCACCAAATGGGCTCTTGGAGTCCCCAGTTTTAGGTCTGGGCTTTTAGATAGCATTTTTGGACCTACCCTGAACCAGAGCAGAGCCCACTGCCCTGAATGGTGATTCCCATAACTGGCAGCATTTACCACAAGCTGACAGGAGAGCCTTTCAGCCTTGAGTGAATATTGAAGGTAACTTGGCAGTGCTTGCTGAAGGCCTGGGACAGTGGTAGCCATGGAAGAGACTCCTCTGCTTGTGGAAAGGGGAGGGAAGAGTGGGAGGACTTTGTCTTGTGGCTTGAGTGCCAGTTCAACCACTGTAGAATAGAGGATCAGGTATATTCCTAAGGTTTCTGACTCCAGGTCCTGGTTCTTGGACAGCATCTCTGAACCTGCCTGGAGCCAGTGGGAACTCACTGCTCTGAAGGGAAGGAGAAATGTCTGGCTGGCTTTAATACCTGCTGATTGTAGAGCCTTAGGGGCTTGAACAAGCATAGGCCATAGCCAGGCAGTGGTTATCATAGGCCATGGCAAGACCCAGGGCTCTGCTGGTCTCAGGTCTGACTCAGTGCAGTCCTATTACTGGTGGCCACAGAGGTGCTTGTGTCACCCCTTCCTCAGTTCTAGGCAGCTCAGCACAGAGAGAGAATTCATTTGTTTGGGAGAAAGTAAGGGAAATGAACAAGAGTCTCTATCTGGTCATACAGAATACTTCTGGACATTATTCAAGGCCACCATGGCAGTACCTCTATGAATCTCCAGGAAGCGCAGAATTACTTGGGCTTGGGGTGCCTCCTAATGCAGATACAGGACAGACACTAAAAACTTAGGCCAAGTCCCTGCCTTCTAATACTTGGAAAAACACCCAAACAACACCCAAGTCTCTGCCTCCTAATACTTGGAAAGTTTTCCCAAGAAACACTGGTATAAATAGGCCCAGACTGTGAAGACTACAAAAAATACTTAAGTATTCAAAGCCTGGACACTAACAAACACCCACAAGCAACAAGACCATTCAGAGGCTGGGTACAGTGGCTCATGCCTGTAATCCCAGCACACTGGGAGACTAAGGTGGGTGGATCACTTGAGATCAGGAGTCTGAGACCAGCCTGGCCAACATGGCAGAACCCCACCTCTACTAAAAATAAAAAAATTAGTCAGACATGGGGGTATGTGCCTAATTCTTGTGCCTCTGTCTCCAGAGGCACAAGAATTGCTTGAACCTGGGAGACAGGTTGCCATGAGCCGGGATTGTGCCACTGCACTCCAGTCTGGGCAACAGAGTGAGACTGTGTCTCAAAAAAAAAAAAAAAAAGGAAAAGAAAACAGGGCCTTCTTCATAGGCCTCCAATATGCACATTAAAAAATGTTTCCTTTTCCATTTATCTGTAGCGTCATTGGGGTTCCAATTAGGGTTGTCAAGAGAAACTGTTTCCCTTCCTACTGGGAATGTTATTTCCAAACAAACTAACGAAGCACCAAGAACCAGTCTTGGAGAGACAGAGATATGTGTTCTTTCAGACAGAATTCAAAGTAACTTTTAAGAAAACTTAATGAAATTCAAGATAACATAGAGAAAAAATTCAGAATCCTATCAGGTGAATTTAATAAAGCACTGAAATAGTTAAAAAGAATCAAGCATAAATTCTGGAGTTGAAAAGTGTAACTGACACACTGAAGAATTCAGTCTCTAAGCAGAATAATTTATCAAGCAGAAGAAATAGCTAGTGAGCTTGAAGACAGGCTATTTGAAAATAAACAGTCAAAAAACACAAAAAAGCAAAAAAAGAATGAATCTTGCCTACAAGATCCAGAAAATAGCCTCAAACGAGCAAATCTAAGAGTTACTGCCTTTAAAGAGGAGGTAGAGAGACAAATAGGGGTAGAAAATTTATTTGAAGGGATAATAACAGAGAAACTCCAAAATCTAGTGAAATATATCAATATTCAAGTACAATAAGGTTACAGAACACCAAGCATATTTAACTCAAAGAAGACTATGTCAAGACATTTAATCATCAACACCCAAGAGTGTTTGAGAATGGCAGCCACATTAACTGTGTTTTTAACTGGCTGATGGATGCCCATTATTGATTTGATTTGGTCCTAAAATGGAGGCTGAGAGCCCTAACACTAAAGAACAGAGTTGGAGTCTGCTCCTCTACTCACTGTTTTGATGTCTACCTTGGCATCCTGGACAATGTCCCCTATATGAAGTGGCCACATTCTCTGGGGTATATACCTGGGATTCGTCATCTCGCACCAGATAAATTTAGGATATGGACACACATGAGAGTTTAGGAGCAGAGGTTTAATAGACAGAATAAAGAAAAAGAAAAACAGCTTTCTCTCTATTGTAAGAGAAAATACTTCTGAGGGGAAAGACAGGCTGGTGGTGGGTGCTCTGGATTTTATAGTCCAGCTTGAAGATGTGGTGTCTGATTTACTCAGGGCTCACAGATTGATTCAATCAGGTGTGACGTTTATGTAGTGTGCAAGGAAGGCTGGTCACCCCACCCTGATCTTATTATGCAAATGAATTCTCCCCTTGACTGGCACCATCTTTTCTGCTCCTTACTTTACACGTGGCCTGCAGAGAAAGGAAGATGAAGCCACCATCTTGAACATGTCTAGTACCTAGTTCCTGTTTACATTCACCTGTTCAAGCTCCCAGCTTGCTTGTCTATGTCTGCAGCTTGACTTTACAGGATGCTCTTTGTTAGAAAATTATTTGGGGCTGATTTTCATTAAAAAGAAAAGCTTTACTGAGGACCCCCATACCCTTACTATATGCTTAAGTGGCTTCTTAACTCCTATATCAACTTCATCTATAAAGATACACATGGACTTAACAAAAAGGGATGGAAAAAGGTATTTCAAAAAAGTGGAAACCAAAGAGCAGGGGTAGCTATACTCATATCAGACAAAATAGATTTCAAAGCAAAAACTATAAAAAGAGACAAAGAAGGTCATCATATAGGTCATCATAAAGGGGTCGATTCAACAAAAATTTATAACAATTATAAATACATATGCACCCAACACTGGAGCTCCCAGATATATAAGGCAAATATTATTAGTTAGAGTTTGGGAGACAGATTCCAATACAGTAATATCTGAAGACTTCAAAATCCCATTTTCAGCATTGGCAGATCATCCAGACAGAAAATCAACAACAACAACAAAAATCAGACGTAATATGCACTATAGTCCAAATAGATATAATAGATTTTATAAAAAGTTTCATCCAACAGCTACAGAATACACTCTTCTCCTCAGTACATAAATTATTCTCAAGGATAAATGACATGTTAGGCAACAAAACAAGTCCTGAAATACTCAAAAAGTTTGAAATAATATCAGTCATATTCTCGATCATAAGGGAATACAATTAAAAATGAGTAAAAATAGGAATTTTGGGAATTATACAAATACATGGAAGTTAAATAATATGCTCCTGAAGAAACACTGGATCAAAGAAGAAATTAAGAAAAAAATTTAAAAATTACTTGAATCAAATGATAATAGAAACACAACATACAAAAACCTATAGGATACAGTGAAAGCAGTACTAAGAGGAGAGTTTACAGCTATAAACTCCTGCATTGAAAAAGTAGAAAAATGTCAGGTAAACAACCTAATAATACCTTTTAAAGAACTGAAAAAGCAACAGCAAGCCAAACCTCAAATTAGTAGAAGAAAGACATAATAAAGATCAGAGCAGAAATAAATGAAATGGAGATGAAGAAAACAATATAAAGTTCACTGAAACATAAAGTTGTCTTAAAATAAACAATTTAAAAAATCAACAAATCTTTGGCCAGACTAATGAAGAAAAAAAGAGAGAAGACCCCAAAACTTACATCAGGGATGAAAAAGGAGTTATTACAACCAATACAACAGAAATTCAAAGGATCCCTAGAGGCTACTATGAGCAACTATGTATCAATAAACTGGAAAGCCTAGAATACATGGACACATTCTTAGACACATACAACTTAGCAAGTTTGAAATATGAAGAACTCTCACACCAGAACTGGCCAATAACAAATAATGAGATCAGAGTTGTGATAAAAATCTCCCTGTAAAGAAAAACCTGGGACCTGATGACTTCATTGCTGAATTTTATCAAATATTTAAAAAAGAACTAATGCCTATTCTACTCAAATTATTCTTCTGAAAAAATAGAAAGAAGATGATATGGTTTGGCTCTATGGCCCCTCCCAAATCTCATCTTGAATTGTACTCCCATAATTCCCATGTGTTGTGGGAGGGACCCAGTGGGAGTTCATCTGAATCATGGGGGGCAGTTTTCCTCATAATGTTCTCATGCTAGTGAATATGTCTCATAAGATCTGATGGTTTTATTAGGGGTTTCTGCTTTTGCATCTTCTTCATTTTCTCTTGCCGCCACCATGCAAGAAGTGCCTTTCACCTCCCACCATGATTCTGAGGCCTCCCCAGCCATGTGGAACTGTCAGTCCAATTACAGCTCTTTTTCTTCCCAGTCTCAGGTATGTCTTTATCAGCAGTGGGAAAATTAGCTAATACAGTAAATTGGTACCAGTAGAGTGGGTGCTGCTGAAAAGATACCCAAAAATGTGGAAGCAGCATTGGAACTGGGTAACAGGCAGAGGTTGGAATAGTTTGGAGGGCTCAAAAGAAGAAAGGAAAATGTGGGAAAGTGTGGAACTTCCTAGAGACTTGTTGAATTGCTTTGACCAAAATGCTGATTACAATATAGACAACGAAACCTGGGCTGAGGTGGTCTCAGATGGAGATAAGGAATTTGTTGGGAACTGGAGCAACAGTGACTCTTACTATATTTTAGCAAAGAGACTGGTGGCATTTTGTCCCTGCCTGAGAGATTTGTGGAACTTTGAACTTGAGAGAGTTGATTTAGGGTATCTGGTGGAAGAAATTTCTAAGCAGCAAAGCATTCAAGAGGTGGCTTGGGTGCAGTTAAAGGTATTCAGCTTTATAAGGGAAGAAGAGCATGAAAGTCCAGAAATTTGCAGCCTGACAATGTGATAGAAAAGAAAATCCCATTTTCTGAGGTGAAATTCAAGCTGGCTACAGAAATTTGCATAAGCAATGAGGAGCATAATGTTAATCACCAAGACACTGGGGAAAATGTCTCCAGGGCAGTTCAGAGGTCTTTATGGCAGCCCCTGACGTCACAGGCCCAGAGGCTGATGAGAAAAAAATGGTTTTGTGTGCTGGGCCCAGGGTCCCCCTGCTGTGTGCTGCCTAGGGAGTTGGGGCCCTGCTTCCCAGTCACTCCAGCCATGGCTGAAAGGGACCAGTGTAGAGCTCAGGCCATGGCTTCAGAGGGTGCAGGCCCCAGGCGTTGGCAGCTTCCACGTGATGTTGAGCCTGTGAGTGAACAGAAGCCAAGAATTGAAGTTTGGGAACCTCCAGCTAGATTTCAGAAGATGTATGGAAATGCCTGGATGATCAGGCAGAAGTTTGCTGCAGGAGCGAGGCCCTCATGTAGAACCTCTGCTAGGGTAGTGCAGAAGGGAAATGTGGTATCAGTCTCTACCAGGCCCCCACCTAGTGGAGCTATAAGAGGGCCACTATCCTCCAGGCCCCAGAATGGTAGATCCACTGACAGCTTGCACTGTTTGCTTGGAAAAGCTGCAGACACTCAACACCAGCCTGTGAAAGCAGCTGGGAGGGAGGCTGTACCCTGCAAAGCCACAGGGTCAGAGCTGCCCAAGTGCATGGGAACCCACCTCTTGCATCAGTGTGACCTGGATATGAGACCTAGAATCAAAAAAGATCATTTTGGAGCTTTAAGATTTGAATGCCCACTGCATTTCAGACTTATATGGGCCCTGTAATCACTTTGTTTTGGCCAATTTCTCCCATTTGGAATGGCTGTATTTACCAAATACCTGTACTCACATTGTATCTAGAAAGTAACTACCTTGCTTTTGATTTTACAGGGTCATAGGTGGAAGGAGCTTGCCTTGTTTCAGATGAGACTTTGGACTGGACTTTTGGGTTAATGCTGAAATGAGTTTAACACTTGGGGGGACTGTTGGTAAGGCATGTTTGATTTTGAAATATGAGGACATGAGATCTGGAGAGGCCAGGGGTGGAATGACATGATTTGGCTGTGTGTTTCCACCCAAATCTCATCTTGAATTGTACTCCCATAATTCCTATGTGTTGTGGGAGGAACCCAGTGGGAGGTAATTTGAATCATGGGGGCACATTCAGTATCCCCCATACTGTTCTCATGATAGTGAATAAGTCTCACGAGATCTGATGGTTTTATCAGGTGTTTCTGCTTTTGCATCTTCCTCATTTTGTCTTGCCACCACCATGTACAAAGTGCCTTTCACCTCCCACCATGATTCTGAGGCCTCGCCAGCCATGTGGAACTGTAAGTCAAATTAAACGTCTTCCTCTTCCCAGTCTTTGGTATGTCTTTATCAGCAGCATGAAAATGAACTAATATAGAAGGAATACTTCCAAACTCATTCAACAAAGCCAGTATTACCCTGATACCAAAACCAGACAAAGATGCATCAGAAAAAGTAAGCTACAGGCTAATATCCTTGATAAATATTGATGCAAAAATCCTCAACAAAATACGTGCAAACCAAATTTAACAACATATTTAAAAGATTATTCATCATGACTATGTAAGATTTCTCCCAGGGATGCAATGATGGTTCAACATTCACAAATAAATCAATGTGATACATCATATCAACAGAATGAAGGATGAAAACCATATGATTATATCAAATGATGCAGAAAAAGCATTTGATATGTTTCAGTATATCTTAAAGGTAAAAACTCTCAAAAAACTGTGTATGGAAGGAACATACCTCAACATAATGAAAGCCATGTACACGGACATACAGCTAGTATCATTCTGAATGGAGCCAAATTGAAAGCCTTTCCACTAAGATCCAGAACACAACAAGAGAACTTGTAACTTTTGGCTTTATTTATTTATTTATTTATTTATTTTATATGGACTCGCTCTGTCACCTAGGTTGGAGTTCAGTGGCACAATCTCGGCTCACTGCAACCTATGCCTCCCGGGTTTAAGCGATTCTCCTACTTCAACCTCCTGAGTAACTGAGATTACAGGCATGCACCACCATACCCGGCTAAGTTTTGTATTTTTAGTAGAGACGGGGTTTCACCATGTTGGTCAGGCTGGTCTCGAACTCCTGACCTCGTGATCTGCCTGCCTCGGTCTCCCAAAGTGCTGGGATTACATGCATGAGCCACCGCTCCCAGACGACCTTTGACTATGTTAAGTGTTCAAGTAGTGAGTTTCTAAAATAAATTGTATAGTTAATTTAGCTTTTTTCTTAATGTTTCAGAAAACTTTCCATGAAGATAGTTTATAAATTTAGTATAAAAAATATTTTTACTTACTCTCACCTTTCATTACCATGTTTTATGAAGAAATATGTGACTCTATCCATAGCAAAATGGTTACTTTTGAAGCCATCAATGAATCATAGTAAAAATAAACATTTTTAAATTGCCCTCTTTATGAAGGGAAGAAAATGGAAGAGTACAATTCATGTTCATTTTCCTTTGAAGTTTGCTATGTGTTATATATTGAACATATGTGTGTAGAATGCTCTGGGGTAAATCTGAAAGCAGAAACAAATCATGACATTTATAACCATTTGCTAACGCTTGGCTAGATTATTTTAGGCTGTCATAAATTTGTAGTGGGTTACCATCTGTGTCTCTTTAAAATTTATAACAAGGAAGGAAGGAGAATATGTCTCAAGATTTTGAGAGTTTACTCTCTGGGCATGAATTTAAAACATCTATTTTTTGCCCTAAATCAAGGGACTGTGTGTGCTAGTGATTTTTCTTACATACATGGCAATTACTACTGAATATTAACGCTGCTATGTTTTATACTGCAGAATCCATTTTTACATATAGTCTCTATTAGACAATTAAGAAATTCTCCTACTTGTTATTTTTTTGTTCTGTTCATGCGAACATAGCTCTTGCTCCTCTACTAAACTGTATGATTATTACTAAAATTAATTGCAACTAGTTAGTAAAAGGTACTCTGTGGGTGTGATAACCCATCTGATGTGACTAATATACTTTTTAGTTCTCACTTCTTTAAAAAATTTGTTCTATCATATATGAAAGTTTTAAGTCACCCAAATTAGAAATGACAGTGATAATAACTTGACATTTAATTCAATTTTAACCATCAACTTCAGTACATGAATTGAAAATATAGAGACAGAGAAGGAAATGAAAATTTTTATTTCCTTTTAAACAGCATATCCTTCTTAGATTGCTTTTTGAATACTCCCATTACAGGTGAAGTACTTGTGAAGTGAAAATATCTCCTCTGAAATGGGCAAAGTGATTATGTACTGATTTCTGTGCTACAGTAATTAGCTTTTCAAAGGTTAGTAATTTTAGTTTAGCATTTGAGGGCTCAGTACTTTATCCTGTATTTTTGTATTTCTGTATAATTTTATTACTGGAATAATTTAAGGGCAGTCACATTCTACAATGCCTATGAACACAGCACTTTACTTCCATCTTATGGATCAGTTGCTTAGCAACTATGTGCTTGATGATCAGATCTGATATCTCTCCCCAGAAAATGTCAACAACTAAATGGAATAGGTTAGAGGTTTCACAATATTTTAGCAGTTTACTGTATATGAAGGATTAGTAAGTAGATTCATTTTCCAATATATTTTATTTTTGTTCCTAAAAACTAAGCCTCCTTTTGAATTACATTATTTGGAGGTTAAATATAACTTTTTACTCTATCTTCAAGTTACTCCTGATAGTTGACAGTTTGTGTCACGTATTAGTTCTTAGATTAATCAAAGTTTTGTAATCCAACCGAAAATGTTATTTTAATTGAACACCTATTATGTTCAAAATTGATTTTTACCTCCACTCAAAGGGTTTACAATACGTTGGGATGACACATATTGACATTACAATTGACAATCCTAGTCAATGTTTTATAAGTGACCAACAGGCTTAGAAGGTAAAGGAGTTAAGGGAAAAAGATAACAATAATATCCCTCGGTGTGATTTAAGAAAGGAAAATTATGATTTATTGGATACTATGGATAGATAAGAAAATGAAAAACTTTCTAGATAGAGAAAATTAAGCTTCCCTCGATGCCTCTTAAATATATAAATAAAAATAACATTTGCAAAGGCACTTAACATTTTTTTCTTAAATCATTTTAATGCAATTAGTATATAATTTAAAATGGAACTGCTACCTCTAGCAATAGCTGCTATGAATGGTTTACCACATCAGATAATACGTGGAAGAGACATCTCCAGGGAAAAGACTGACTGTGTTACATTTGGAGATGTAGATTTGTTCTACAAAGACGTTGTGACAATTTACATTTTGATTTAAACTATTGTATTCATCCAGTGAACAAATATTTATTGAGTATGTACCAGATACAGAAATTGATGCAAGCTATGAAGAAGTGGGAAGGCAGGAAGTACAACAATGTATACAATATATTTAATACTCTCAAGTAGTTAATTGCATGAGTTACAAATTTAGCTTTAAGATTTTCAGAGTTCATCAGCAAAGGTAATAGCTAATCTAAATAAAGTGATTTTACATAATAGCTCAAATTAAATTATCTACATGAATATTTAGAGAATTTTTAGAAATAATTCCACATGTAAATTATAATAGAGTCATAATACTCTTTATATATAGACAATAGTAAAATTAATAGCTTTTTAAAAATTAGGTATTTTAAAAGACACCAGAGAGAAAACATGAAGGATACCAACATAAATTTTGGCCACGAATTGTAATTCTGGTAGATTTTTAGAATAGATATTATGTTGATGAATCAAATATTCTATACAGGGCAGAAACAGAAGTAGTTATTTCACTGAAAAGTACTGATTGCAATGCATATCAAAATCATATGAGCAAAGATTATTAATATTTCCTTGGCAAGAATTAAAATGTGAGAGATTAGTCAAACCCAGGGCCTCTGTGCTTGTTGCAGTATTCCTACATTCCTAAACAGTCTGTGTTCTATTAGGCAATTAGTATATTGATCAAATAGTGACAGCTGGTGCCAAGAACCTTTGAAGTTCAAGAGAATTACAAAATTATACACCAGTTTCTAAATTTTAGTGAATATGTTAAATCCTTTTACAACAAAATGAGACTAAAATAAATCTGTGAATATATCTTTATTATCATAGTGAACCATAAGCACTGACTCATTCAATGGTTTTGTTTTACATTTTTGAAATTATTCTATTTAAAACATATTTTAGACTTATTAAAATGATGATTTGTCATAATGTGCTAAGATGTGATTTGCTTTGAATTAAATATTTTTCTAACTTTATTTGCCCTTATGTTAGTTATGTACTCTATGGGTTACCTTTGGAATTAAACATGCTTTCTTCCCTTATTAGAATCTAATGAAGATTATTGTATTTAAAACCTTAACTTTATTTGTTCCATGTCATTTTTGCATTATTGTTTTCATGAATTTTAATTCTCTCTTATTTTAACTCCATAAGACATTACTATCATTGCATTGTCAGTAAATAATAATTTGTAAATATTCCCATTTTTACTCTTTCTAGCGATCTTTATTCCTACTTACATTTATATATTTGCTTCATGATCATTTTTTTTCTTCATGTATAACTCCATTTAGCACTTAACACTTCTTTTATAGGAGGTCTTCTGATAGTAAATGGACAGGTTTATTTGTCTGAAAACATGTTTCTGCCTTCTTCATTTCTAAAGAATATTTTTACTAGGTTAATAGTTATTTGCTTTTAGTACTTATAATATTTTATTCCATTTTCTTCTTAGGAAGTGCACTTTAAAGTCAATATATATGTTCTCTTTGGCATTAGAACTGCTTTAAGAACCTGACTGGGTGCATGCAGTGGCTCATGCCTGTAATCCCAACACTTTGGGAGGCCGAGGTGGGTGGATCACCCGAGGTTGGGAGTTCGAGTCCAGCCTGGCCAAC
The DNA here is from genome assembly GCF_000001405.40 of Homo sapiens. NCBI lineage: Eukaryota > Metazoa > Chordata > Mammalia > Primates > Hominidae > Homo > Homo sapiens. The sequence continues at coordinate 166,410,228 of NC_000004.12, read as the reverse complement.
ATGGTGAAACCCCATCTCTACTAAAAATATAAAAATTATTCGGTTGTAGTGGCACATCCCTGTAATCCCAGCTACTCAGGAGGCTGAGGCATGAGAATTGCTTGAACCCGGGAGGCGGAAATTGCTGTGAGCCGAGATTGCATCACTGCACTCCAGCCTGGGCGACAGAGCAAGACTCTGTTTAAAAAAAAAAAGAAAAAAGAAAAAAGAAAAATTCTCATTTCTCATTTTCCTCAGTATGACTGATGTATGCTGGGATGTTTGTTTGTTTTGTTTGTTTATTATTTATTTATTTTTTTCTGTTGGAGTTATCTGAGCTTCTTGAATCTGTAGATCTATAGGTTAATGTCTTCCATTAGTTAAGGAAAATCTTTGGCCAGTGTCTCTGAGTATTCCTAACCCAGTCTCTCCTGTCATGTTGGAGATAAAGATATAGATATATAGACATAGATAAATATAAAAAGAGAAAATAGAGAGATAGATATGGACATCTGAGCATGGCTTGCATAATTTTTATAGCTTATTTTTTCCTGTTTGTTTTAAATACCTTAATAAGTACAGAACAATCTTGCAGATGTAATGCGGAAACTGTGGTATTTTCTGGGAACACCTGGAAGGCTGGTACTGACCCTTGGTTAATATAAAAATGAGATATGCTAGCTAGTGATTTATAATGTATTTGTAAAGTTTTACATTTCCCTGGAGGCATCTAATAATAGCATATCAACATCATTTAGGAATACATGGATCATTGGTTTGCATGTGGCGTAAACAGTTACATAGCCTGATTTTAGTAGTAGGACTAACAGAACAAAAACGATCTCTCAGTAAACTTGTGACTGCACTTCCCTGACACAAAGTTACCATCCACGAATCTTGATAATTCATAATCCAATGGAGTAAATCCTATGCCATTTAGAAAGGGGCCTTTAAGGGCTTCACTTGTAAATTTGTGAAATGATCAATGGCTGCCTGTCATTTATTTATCCTGCTGTACTATCAGCATTACCTTTACGTGAGTACGCTACGTAGAAAATTTTGAGTTCTTTTAATCATCCAACCCTAAGTAATTGTGGTAATCTCTGCTTCAGTTTGCATGTTTTCTATTTACCTGTTTTAAAGTTTAATTAACTAATCCTATATTCTCTTCTGTCTGATCTACTCTTAAGCCTAGCCATTGTATTTTTGATTTCAGATAGTATATATTTTAGATTCTGAATGACTTTTAATTATTTACAAAGATTCCATTTTTCATTTTGTATGTCTTATCTTCTACTTGCTTAGACATGTTAATTGTTTTTTTTTAATTCTTGCCTTCTAAGACCAATATGTGTATTACTGGGGAGTTTGTTCCCTTTTTATGTTTTCTTTCTTTTATTTTAGTCATATCATGTTGCTGCTTCACAGGTCTAGACATTTTGATTGAATGTCAGATGCTTTGTAAACACACTCTCTCTCTCTCTCAATTTAGAGTCCTCCAGTGGTATTTCTTCCTCCAGAGTTGGTTCCTTCTTGCCTTTATTTGGCATGCGGAGCAATCACAGATCCTGATGCCCTTCAGCAGCTCAGTACAATCAGGGATTGAGCTGAGTTGGGTTAAGACTTAACTCTATATCAATCTTGACCCTATTCCTAGGGCATGGCCCTCCAGTGTTTCTTTTCCTCTGCTTTCTGTGAATTTATTCTGCTACTTCTGGACTTTTTATTGTTTTATTGCCCTGTCAAGCTAGTTGTTTACCAATATTGCAGTATTTTAATTGTAAATGCTGAAGAGTATATTTGAATATCTGATTGGACTAGGTGCTCTCCATTGCTCTCCTTTGTAAGAGATGCATTCTTTACCATTTACCCTTAATATAACTTTAGAAACAATTGTTTAGCACCCCTACAAAATGGTGCTACTATTCCATTTAGTTAATATATTAACAAGAAAATAAAGGCACATTTATGATGTTGACTTTTCCTTTCAAAGAGGTGGTGTTCTATTTGTTCTATTATAACTTTGGTTTGTTTGGGAATATTTAAGTATTTGTCATATAGATTTCCCACATCTCTTGCATGTATTTATTCTTAAGTATTTTATTTTAGTGTTACTAATAGAAGAAATTTTAGTTTCAATTATATCTTATGAATTGTTACTGTTTGAATGTATGAAGACTATTAAAATTTATTTATTCGATGTTAATTTTATATCTTATTAACTTCCTGAGTTTTGTTTTGTTATTCAGTTTTGCACTGATTTTGTTTTTCCAATATAGTATATTATTATCCATAATAATCTTACATTTTCTTTCAAATTGTTGTACATCTCTTTTCCTTTGACTGATTGCATCACTAGACTGGCTAATAAAACATTAACTAGCAGGTGAAAAATAATAATCATTCTCTTTTTCCTGTCCCAAGGGTTTTACCATGCTAATAGTATACTCTTCAATTTCTATTTCAAGTAATTTTTATCAGTAAAGTATATTGGTTTTGTCAGATGGCTTTTTAGCATTGTAAAGAGATAATCTTTTGATTTTTTTCTCCTAAGAAATATCAATTGTATTAATCATTTTATTAATATTGGCTTGATTACTATTTATTTAAAATAATTAAAACTTTAAAATATGTTAAATAGTAAAATAGCATATTAAAAATACCACATAACATATTGAAACTACCAATACCAAAAATACCATAGCATGCTGTATTATTTTTGTATGTGCTGTTGGATTTTTTGCTAACAGTTTTACTTAGAATCACTCAATCAATAATCATAAGTGAGACTTTTTTCTTATGATTTCTTTATCTGATTTAGAAATCAATGTTATGGTTCCTTAATAAAAACGATTTGGAAATTTTCTTACTTAATCTATAATCTGGAATCATTTAAGAAGTGTTAAGATTTCTGGAGTTTTAAATTTTGGTAAAATTCTTCTGTGAAAGCATCCATATATGACACCTTTATTGGTGTGAGGGATAGGAAAAAGGTAGTGAGAAATTTTATGATTTTATTTTAGTTCTATGGCGATTTGTCTGTTTGCAATTTCTTTCTAGTTTTTTGTTATTTGTTTAATACATGTTATAAAGTTTATTTGAAATTAGTTGCACAAATTTCTCTTTCCAGAATTATTTCTTCTCTTTGTGATTATTTTGTATACTTGTGTTATTTTATTCTTTTGTGATTTCTTAACTTCCATATTTGGGCTATGTCTTTTTATGTTTTACTGGGCTAACTAATAGTTTGTCTATTTTCTTTTTTAAGATCTGACCTTTTGTAAAATTTTAATATTAGTTCTATTAGTCCTATATTTATTCATTTAATTGTTTAACCATATTAAAATATGTTCTTATATGTTCCATTACAGTAGTTTTAGTCCTTTTTGGGGGTGGGGGAAGTAGTGTTGCCAGGGTTTTTTTTTTTTCTTTTTCTAGTTTCAGGAGTTACCAATTTATCTTCCTTTTGTCATTTTAATTAATATAACTACTTAAGCTTTGTATTTTTCAATGATCATTGATGTAATTACATTTCATAGATTATGATATTGGCATGTTTATTATCATTTGTCATTAAACAGTCTGCAATTTTGCTTCTTCTCTGGGCACAAGCATTATTTAGCGTAATAGCATTGATTTTCTGTAGGAGGAATATTTTAGTTTTTATTTTGTTATTTTTAGTTTTTATTATATTCTAATTAAAATAGTATTTGTCTTACTATGTAGCTTATAGTGTTTTTATCTAACACATAATGAATTTTTATAAATGCAATATGATTACTTAAGAATATGGTGCATTTTCCTTTATCAAGCTCTAAATAGCAAACTATACCCTGTAGTTCTATATTAATAATTATGCTAACAAGCGATGTTCTTATATTTGCTATCTTATTTTAAAATTTTGTCCATTTGACTTAGTCTTTGGCTGAGAATAGTTTTTTTATCACTTAGTTTTCATAATTTCTATTTCTACTTATTTATTCCCCAATTTTCTGTAGTTCCTGCTTTACAAAGGAGATTTCTACCTTATTTCGCTTGACAAATACAACTTCTTGCATGTTTTTCCTGTAATCTATGGTCTTTGGATTATCTAATGCAATGCTCTTCTCTGTGTCAGTAGAAAATTTTGTCTTAAATTCTATTATGTCTTTTATTAGAGTTATACCTTATGTGAACAAAAAGTGTTGAATTATTGAATGAAACACACACAAATAACAAATCTTACCATAACCAGACATTTCTAATGATTCAAACAATACAGGTAATCACAGGCTAAGCATTCTTTTCTTGGAGAAGTTCTATAGTACCCATTAATTCCTTTTTTCCCTGTAATAGGATATATCGTGGCTTTAGCTTTCACAGAGATTTGCTATGATTGATGAATGCGGAAAATTGCATACAGGGAGCCACTTATTCTGGAGCGTCCCCATTTTATACAAAGCATAATTAGTATCAATTAGACACTTTGTGTGGCTATATCCTTTCTACAGACAAGGGTGCCTCATAAATCCACAAAATTCAGTTCTGCTAACTATAAACAATACAGATAGACCAGAAATATCCACTCTAATAATTATGCATAGCAGTTTAAGTTCTTACATTACAAATGAATAATAAAATCAGGTGAGTATTTCAATTAAGAAAGATGATTATTTTTAGACTACATAAGTGCTCAAAAAGTTGTGAATTAACTTATCTATGAAGACATTGATTGAGAACAGAATCTTGTTAGTGCTTTTTAAAATACAGAATTCAGATATGCTTAAAACTATAAGCACATTGTTGGACACCAAAGATAATAATAATTAATATAGACAGGGAAATTGAACTTTAGAGAACATACATATTTTTGTTCGTACCAAATTTTTACATCTGAATGTAGCTAAGAGCAATTAATACATTTATTCCTTTTAAAAATGTAAACTTAACTTTATTTTGTGCTACAACCTTGTTGTTTTTTAAGGGGAGGGAATATTTACCATCTTTCACATTTCAGGTACTACGACACACACAACAAGTTTCAAAATAGCAGTGAGTATTTAACATAGATTTTTGAAAAATGTATTCCAGGGAAAGTTAATGGTATATAAGTTTGTAAAACTATAAGAAGCCTAATATAAACTCACTCCAAAACTCTTAGATTCTTCTTCTAATGTACAAGTTATTAAATTTTAAATTAAAACCCATCTCTTCATTTTGTTTTCTTATTAATACTAATATTACAAAATATAATAATTTAGTACTTTTTTTAATGAGGGGGGACAGTTTTATTTTTCCTCACATATACTAAATATGTAATTTCCTTAGAATATTAGGAATTCAATATCAATTAAAATTTTATGATCATACTGCTATTTAAAAATTTTTAATTGTGATAAAATACATAGAACATAAAATGTACCACCTTAACTATCTTCAAATGTATAGTTTGGTGGCATTAAGTATAGTTTGGTGGCATTCACATTGTTTTGCTATCATCACTAGCATTCATCCACAGAACTCTTCATCTTGGAAAAATACAACTTTTACCTATTAAACAACAACTTCCCAACCTTTGTCTCTCTAGTCCCTGGCCACCAATATTCTACTTTTTGCCCCTATTAATTTAACTACTCTAGGTGCTGCTTATAAGTGGAATCATACAGCATTTATGTCTTTATGACTGGCTTATTTCACTTAGCACACTGTCCTTAAAATTCATGTATGTTGTAGTATGTGTCAAAATTTCTTTTAAGACTGAATAATATCCCATTGTACATATATACCAAATTTTGTTTACCTATACCTATTGATTGACACTTGGATAATGTTATTATGAACAAGGGTTTACAAATCTCTTTCAGTCCTTATTTTCATCCCTTTTGGATATATACCCAGAAGTAAAATTGCCTGATCTTATGGTAATTCTATTTTTAATTATTTAAGGAACTTCCTTTTACTTTTCCTATAGTGACTACATGGTTTTACATTCCCACCTGCACTGCACAAAGGGTACAATTTCTCCACTTCCCACCAACAATTATTTTCTGGGTTTTTTTGTTTGTTTGCTTACTTGATTTCTTTTTGGTGTTTTTTGTTAGTTCCTTTGTTTAGAGTAGCTATTCTAATGGGTGTGAGGTCATATCTCATTGTGGTTTCAATTAGCATTTTGCTAATGATTAGTGATATTGAGCATCTTTTCATGTGTTTATTGGTGATTTGTTTATCTTCTTTAGACAAATATCTATTCAAGTTCTTTACCCATTTTTTAAAAATTGTATTGTCCATTTTTGTTGTTTTTTAAATTGTAGTTAGTTTTATACTCTCAATATTAACCCATTGTCAGATGTGTCCTTTGCAAATATTTTCTCCCATTCTTTGAGTTGCCTTTTCACTCTGTTGATGGTGCCCTGGGATGTATGGAAATTTTAATTTTTCTGTGGTTCAATTTGTTAATTTTCTTGCTTTGTTGCCTGTGCTTTTGGTGTCAAGTTTAAGACATTATTGTCAAATTCAGTGTCCTAAACTTTTATCCTATGTTTTCTTCTAAGAGTTTATAGTCTAAGCCCTTACATTTACCCTTTAATCAATTTTGATTTAATTTTGAGTGTGGGGTAAGTAAGGGTCCAACTTTATTCGTTTACATATAGCTATTCAGTTTTCCTGCACCGCTTGTTACAAAGACTGTCTTTTCCTCCATTGAATGGTCTTGGCACCCAAGTTTAAAATCACTTGACCATGTATGTGAGGGTATATTTCTGGAATATCTATTCTATTTCATTGGTCTATATGGAAGCCTTTATGCCTGCCCCACTACTCTGTTTTGATTGCTGTAGATTTACAATAAGTTTTGAAATCAGGAAATGTGAAACCTCCAAATTTATTCTTATTTTTCATAATTGTGTGTGTGACACCTTCTTTTTCAAGATTGTTTTAGGTATTTGGTGTCCCTTGAGATTTCAGGTGAATTTTAGGACGCATTTTTCTGTTTCTGCAAAAAACAAAAAACAAAACACACACACACACAAACATTGTTTGGTAGAGATTATACTGAATATGTAGATCACTTTGATTAGTACTGACACCTTAACAATATTAAATTTTCTAAATCATAAATGTGGAATATCTTTTCATTTATTGGTGTCTTCTTTAATTACTTTGGCCAAAATTTTGGAATTTTCAGCATATAAGTCTTTCCTTTTCTTGGTTAGACTTATTCCTAAGAATTTTTATTAACTATCATCTATCTATTCATTTTTGAGACGGTGTCTCACTCTGTCGCCCAGGCTGGAGTGCAGTGGTGTGATCTCGGCTCACTGCAAGCTCCACCTCCTGGGTTCATGCCATTCTCCTGCCTCAGCCTCCTGAGTAACTGGGACTACAGGTGCCCGCCACCACGCCCGGCTAATTTTTTGTGTTTTCAGTAGAGATGGGGTTTCACCGTGTTAGCCAGGATGGTCTCGATCTCCTGGTGATCTGCCCGCCTTGGCTTCCAAGGTGCTGGGGTTACAGGCGTGAGCCACTGCTCCCGGCCAGAATTTTTATTATTTTTGATGTTACTGTAAATGAAATTGTTTTCTTAATTTTACTTTTGAAATGTTCATGTTAGTTTATAGAAACACAACTGATTTCTATGCACTGATTTTGTATCCTATGACTTAGCTAAATTCATTTACTAAATAGTAATTTAATTTACTAAATTAAATAATTTAGTTTCTGTGTGGAATCTTTAAAATTTTTTACATATAAGATCATGTTATCTGTGAGCAGACATAATTGTATTTCTCCCTTTCCAATTTGAATGCTTTGATGAAGTTGTTTTAATTTAAATATCATTAGTTAAAGTAGCAAGTCCTTTAATTTATCTTTAGAAGTTACATTCAATTTAAGATAAACACAAGGCAACAAAACAGAAAAATATTTTATCCAGACTTAACATCCACTTTGAAAAAATTATCATACTCCCATGAGCTTAGTTCCTAAAATAATTAATTTGTCATTTAAAAAATCTCTGCTTTTACTAGTGTATGTGAAATGTTCATAGCTGCCCTCTGCCCCACACATAAACATTGAAACTGAAACATCCCTCAATATTTAAGATGGTTTATACTCTAAATGAGCTACCTGGCCTAAACTACGTTAACTTTTTTAATATATTATTTAAAGATGTGGAAAAGACTATAAGTGCAATACTTTGCAAAGTGTATTATTTTCTTCCTGCTCCAATTTAGGTCAGGTTTCCTCCAAAAAAATTGATAAATATTTAGGACTTAAGCAAGGCAATTATCACTTCTCAGCCTTTTGCCTAAGATCAAGTGAAGTAAAGCACTTGTCAATGGTGACCCCCGAATGAACCTATATTTTCTACATTTGTTTCAGCAGGGAATACAGTAGTGCTTCTCTGTCATCTCTAAAAATATATACTATTTTTATCATGGAAATTTTATGACCATTTTATCAAATAATACACATTTGTATATGAGATTTATGCCTTTGAAGTGTGAGAAGGACATGCTAAGCAGTGAATTTGTACCTGCAGTTTGCATGAATCCTTTTTAATATGTGTGAACAACTGATACATAGAACAGGATTAATTAACTATACAAATTAATTCAATCCATACTTATTTTAATTTTTCACTAATAGGACTATCAAGAATTTTTCCTACAGATACATTAGCATGAGTATGCAAAGATATATATACATACAAACCTATGTGCATAAAGAATATTTCTGCAACTCTGTTTAAGATTCCAATGTTTTGAAACAGCCCAATAAGTAATAATCATCAATAAATTAATATCTATAAAAATGAATATTTATATATTAAAAAGAGTATGTGATAGCTATTGTTAATTTTAAAACACTTCAGAAAATATGCATTGAATGATCGCCTTTTCTAAAAAAAAATATATGTTCTTGTCCATCTAAATGCTACCTACTTGTGTATTAGCATCAATATGATATTGCTTTAAGAAACAAAAGTCTTAGATGCATAAAAGCTTTTAATATAGTTACCTCTAAGGAAGAGTTTTGGTGTGAAAATATTTAGAAAAAGTTATTATAATTTGGATAACTTAAATTATATAAAATTTTAATAATTTAAAATATAGCTTTTTAATATATTTTCTTTCTGCTGTTGCTGATGCTACGTATGAGGACAAGACCTACATATACACAGATATGAGTATAAATCCACTTGAAATGAATTTTAAAGCATTTATTATACAATTCTGGTAAAGTCTATGAATAAGCTTAATGTAAGAAATACATTCTCAGGCAAATAGTCATGACATTTTTTAAAAAGAAAACATTACAAAAACAAATGTACCATGAGTAAATTTGTATCAGGTCTCTGTTCTATCCTGGATTTAAAAGGATCATTAACTTCATTGCAGAATGTAAGCAGGTGGTGCGTAGAAAGAACCCCATATATCAAGAATAAACATTTTAAAATATATGAGTCCATTGAGGTTCCTTGTGTAAACATCGTGTGCAAGGAGCTAGAAAAGTAAATTTAGTTATTTGATTTGTGTTTGCAGCTAACCAGGTGGTGCAGCTAGACTTTTGTCCTGAAAGACAACAGTTTTCTGCTCCCGTCTCCTTTGCAGCATACACAAGCTAAAGTGACAGCCTGATGATTTCTGCCTGTGGCTCAGCCCTGACGATCTTCAGATCCTAACTCCTTCATAGTGTTAAGAAAACTTCTAACCCCTGTACTCTACTCTGAGGACTATCATTTAGCTGTATGTTTGCTACATTTAAGCAGTGGTATGCCGCAGGGAAAAGAGATCCCAGCCAGCCCTGATTTGCAGTGTTGCATTGTAAGTGCTCCCACCTGGCTGCTTTCAAGCTACCAATGTGCTGTCTCTGGATAAATATGGAGTTGGGAAAAGGTGTCAATAATCAGCTCTCATAAGCCATTGCAACCTGGCTCCAGCACATCACTGATTTAAGACACATTTAGTCTCTATTTGCTTCTTTATACAACATGAAACTATAATTTTGTTACATTCTTAAAATGACTTTTTATTACATACGCTACACATGCACACACACCCATACAAGTTTGTGTATCTATGTGTGTATATTTGTATATGTGTGTGTATCTATCTCTCCATATATATATATACACACACACACATATATATACATATGTATAGATGCATTTTTCCATCCTTTTCTTATTCCACAATGATATGATGACTGGTGATATTCTAGGAAGAGGTTGATGAGAAAAGCTTGGTCCCAAAATGAAGATGACATGCAGCAGGGCCACACCTGAGTCACAGTGGACTGTGTTCTGTGTTATGAGCAAAATACAAGCCTTTGTTGTTGCAAGCAACTGGTTTTGGGGAGTCATATGTTACCCCTACATAATTTACCACATCATATGTAAGATACGGTCTCTGTGACCTAATGGAGTGGCCTGAGGAAGCATGACAGCCTGACAATGACAGAAATTCAGGTTAAAATATACTAGTTGGAGGAAATAATCTTTTCAAAATTGGTTCAAAAAATGTTTGGCAGTGTAGTCCCTTGTATTTTGAAATATACCTTTCTCCTAGTTACGTAACTGGGAATTCGAAATAACAGTGACACCTTACAATGCATTTTTACGTACGTAAGAAGTTATTCTCATAAAGGGCTTTATATTGCGATCCCAGCTCAAGTAAACATTTATGAACAAATCAGCTAACCTTAGTCTTCTTTCTAAAGCACCTCTGAATGAGGTACGATATGCAATCTTTACTTAAGTCATCATAATCCCTTTTACAACAAGAAGTCTAATGCATAAAACAGACTTAAATGTACTGCTGATGTTTCATCAAGATGAGCCATAAAATAATTATCCTAATGTCAATGCTTTCTCTTATAAAAACCTAAGATCAGTCTTCCATTGCCTGCCATTCCTTGTTTTAACCTAGCCCTTTGCAACTTTTGAATGATTGGGGTAGGGAGGGTGTTGCAGACCTTGCTACATTTCAAAAGGAATCACCAAAGCTTCCTAAAGTGCCTCACAATTCCTGTCATAACTATGACATGATACATACAGGCATATTGAACGTGGCTGTCCTCCCAGCTTCCCTCATTTGGCTCCCTTCTTAGAGTCTTTGTCAGTCCCTTATGCTATCTCCCCATTTTGGTTTCACTAATGTCTAGTGCATTTTAAAAAAAAAAAAACAAAAAACCTTCATTAAACATTTTTTAAAGGGTTTTCTCCTTAGTTCTACCAAATCTGTAGTTCAATTGTTGTAAAAGCAGTGAGGGATAGTGAAACTTACCTGGGGATCTTTATCCAATTACACAAATCTTTAAATTATTCCCAAATTTCTGAAGTGATATCACTATATTACACAGAGTTACTAGGTGTAGATGAAGAATCAGATGAAATTAGGAAAAAATTTCCCAGGTGATTTTGGTATGCCCATTTTTCACGTCACTGCACCCCTCACTGCCATCGTCCTTTGGGAATCACGAGTGTTTTAATTCTGTATTTCCCAAACTTGGTTACATCAAAATCACATGAAGAGTTGAAAAACAAGAGCAACAACGAAATCAAAAACTCAAAACAATGTTTAGGCTCACTGTGATGTACTAAATTTCAGTCTCTGGAGTTGAGGCTGGAAACCTGGACTGTGAATAGCTTACAACTAATTCTGATGTAGATTCACTACTTTTAATTATCTCTGTCCCCCCAGGAAAACAACTGGGTAAAATCTCACACTCTGCCATCTTTGACTGAAGGTCTTGAAGTCTCAATTTCAGAGCTGTGGTGGGAATCACTTCTAACTAAGTCTTTTATCACATCTCCCTCTCTGACTGTGACTCTTCCACATTTAAGGATTTCTGATTTCATTGGATCCACTTGAATAATCCATGATAATCTCACTATTTTCAAGTCAGCTGATTAGCAAATTAATTTCCATGTGCAAACTTAATTCTCCTTTGCCATGTAACCTATTTACAGGTATTGGTGACTAGGACATGGAAACCTTTGATGTCCACTATTCTTCCTATCACACTCCTTATAAAATGGATAAAGATTATTTTTTAAAATTTTGTTATGTGTGTGTACCAATGTGTGTCTGTGTGTGTGTGTGGGGGGGGTGTGTGTGTCCATGTCCTGGTACAAAACATAATTCTTACTACGGGTACTAAACAAAACCAAACAACAGCAAATACATCTATTGATCAACCTACCTACCTATCTGTCTATCATTTACCTTTCTATTTTTCTGTCTATCTGTATATGTAGAAAACAACTGATGGCTGAAACTGGATCCCTTCCTTACACCTTATACAAAAATTAATTCAAGATGGATTAAAGACTTAAATGTTAGACCTAAAACCATAAAAACCCTAGAAGAAAACCTAGGCAATACCATTCAGGACATAGGCATGGGCAAGGACTTCATGTCTAAAACACCAAAAGCAATGGCAACAAAAACCAAAATTGACAAATGGGATCTAATTAAACTAAAGAGCTTCTGCACAGCAAAAGAAACTACCATCAGAGTGAACAGGCAACCTACAGAATGGGAGAAAATTTTTGCAACCTACTCATCTGACAAAGGGCTAATATCCAGAATCTACAATGAACTCAAAGAAATTTACAAGAAAAAAAAAACCTATCAAAAAGTGGGCGAAGGATATGAACAGACACTTCTCAAAAGAAGACATTTATGCAGCCAAAAGACACATGAAAAAATGCTCATCATCACTGGCCATCAGAGAAATGCAAATCAAAACCACAATGAGATACCATCTCACACCAGTTAGAATGGCAATCATTAAAAAGTCAGGAAACAACAGGTGCTGGAGAGGATGTGGAGAAATAGGAACACTTTTACACTGCTGGTGGGACTGTAAACTAGTTCAACCATTGTGGAAGTCAGTGTGGCGATTCCTCAGGGATCTAGAACTAGAAATACCATTTGACCCAGCCATCCCATTACTGGGTATATACCCAAAGGATTATAAATCATGCTGCTATAAAGACACATGCACACGTATGTTTATTGCGGTGCTGTTCACAATAGCAAAGACTTGGAACCAACCCAAATGTCCAACAATGATAGACTGGATTAAGAAAATGTGGCACATATACACCATGGAATACTATGCAGCCATAAAAAATGATGAGTTCATGTCCTTTGTAGGGACATAGATGAAGCTGGAAACCAATATTCTCAGCAAACTATCGCAAGGACAAAAAACCAAACACCGCATGTTCTCAGTCATAGGTGGGAATTGAACAATGAGAACACACGGACACAGGAAGGGGGAACATCACACACTGGAGACTGTTGTGGGGTGTGGGGAGCAGGGAGGGATAGCATTAGGAGATATACCTAATGCTAAATGACCAGTTAATGGGTGCAGCACAGCAAAATGGCACATGTATACACATGTAACAAACCTGCACATTGTGCACATGTACCCTAAAACTTAAAGTATAATAATAATAAAATTAAAAAATAATAAATAAAATAAAATAGGTTTTGGAAAGACTTACATTTCAAAAAAAAAAAAAAAGAAAACCACGAGGGTATTATTTTAACCTTTTGCTTTCTATCTTCACATCTAGGTTTTTTCTGAAGAAAAAAAAATTTGTTAATTCAGTTTCAGAAGTAGTGTGAAATAATACAGTCTTCTTTAATATGATAGTCTATATATAGTAAAACATGTCTACTATATGTAATTTATAAAATTCTATTTTTAAATAGATTACAAATAGTTCTTAAACTGATTTACCCTTGAATTCGGAAATTAAAAGCAAAACAAATTTAATTTCAAATTGATTTGGGGTTGTATGTAATGTGAAATCATTTGAAAACATTAGAATTAATATTTTAATGGGAAGAAATAAATACATTTAATACCACATACGTATTAGTTAATAAAAATGTGTTTTCCAGTGATGAAGACAAAATTGAAACCATCAAGAACATAAGTTTTATTATTTACTACAGGGACCCATTCCATTTTTATTTTATTATGTATCACTAGATTCAAAAGAAAGTTACTATGTGGATAAATACAAAGGAAAAAATAATTTGCGTCACATGATGAACAAATTTTCAACAGTTACCAAAAAATATCCAAATTTGATATTTTCAAGTAAATATTATTTTGTAAACTCTGAATAAAATTAAAGTTATAAACCATGGAATACTGACATTCAACTGGTATGCCAGGTTGTCTGGTAAACCTCAAACCCTTCACAGGTTTCTTGTCAAAGAGCTCCATATGTAAAAGTTAGTTTTGGTATAATTAAGTTTATATACTCTTAGAGTTTAATTGATCATAGAAAATATGAACCATGCTGTGATATTAAAAGGTGTACAATTTGCTGCTGACAATAGTTGGCAGAACTTACATCTTAAAATGATTGAGCACTTACTGAAATGTTAAGAAAATTTGTCATTCATGTGCTTAAACCTTAAGCATTTTCTCACAAATGACAACAAAAAGGCAAATAATGTTTAAAGAAAAACTGTGAACTGAACACAAATTAATCAATGTGTAATATAGATTTAATTTAATCATAATTGCTAACTTGTTTAACTCTATTTCTTCCTTGAATTCTCTTCAAGGTGCCACCAGAGAGTCTTATTTACTTGGGAAAACAAAATGTGTTGCAAATAGCAAGCGGTGGGAAATCAAAGGCAGAAATGCTAATATTCAGTTCAGAGAATGGGGAAAAGTCACATATAGAAGTATGTTTCTATCTACAATCTGTAAGTCCTATCACTGACTTTCATATAAGGCCAGCAATTAGGACAGTAATAAAATTCTCTTTTTCATTCTGGCTGAGATTTAACTACTTCAGTTAACTTTGGAAGCACAGCCATTCCATGGCTGAAATATCTGTTGAATTACCAGTGTTGTTGCTTTATGCTGTTGAGTCTAAGGAACCCATAAGCCAAAGAGAAACTGCACACAAATGCCAATTTGACATCTATAGTAAGAATTTAGCGCCAAATATGTTAAGGGCTGCCCATTTAGTAGTAGCTCGCGTTTATTTGGAAATTGCTTTGCCAAGATCTATGTAAGGTGATTAATGTACATTGTCATTTAATTTTCACAGAACTATTTTTACTAGCATTTTGGAGATGAGAGAAAAGGAAAAAGTAGACTTTATTCTTTTTACATACTCATGATGAAGACTGGATCAAGATTTGAAAACAAGAACTGAGAAAAAAATTGTTACATTTTGATCATTATGCTATCCTAAAGTGTAATCCAAGTATGCTAAAAATAGAGTACATATAGTTCTTAAATCTGCTTTACCTTTTAATTCAGGTATTGAATGGATGTAGTTGTCTTTCTTTTTTTATTTTCAGCTTTATTGAGATATAATTCACAAATAAAATTGTGTATTTTACAGTGCACGACATAATCTTTTGCTATACACACACATTATGAAATAATTACAATCAAGCTTGTTAACATATCATCTCACATTGTTACCTTGTGTGTGTGGCGACAGTACTTAAAACCTACTCTCTCAGCAACTTCCAAGTATACAATACAGTATTATTAACTGTAGTCATCATGCTCTACTTACTCCTGAACTTACTCATCATTTTTTTCAATTCAACTTTTATTTAGATACATATTCAGGTTTATTACATGAGTATATTGCACCCAGGTAGTGAGCAGAGTAGCCAATAGGTAGTTTTTCAACCTATACCCTCTTCTCTCCCTTCCCCCTCTAACAGTCTGCAGTATCTACTGTTCCCATGTTTATGTCCATGTGTGCTCAATGTTTTGCCTCTACTTATAAGATAGACCTGCATGTTGAACATAAGTCAATACAGTATTTATTTGGTTTTCTGTTCTTGCATTAGTTCACTTCGGATTATGGCCTCCAGCTCCATCCATGTTGCTGCAAATGATATGATTTCGTTCTTTTTTATTGCTGCATGGTATTCTGTGGTGTACATGTGCCACATTTTCTTTATTCAATCCACCATTAATGGATACCAAGGTTGATTCCATGTCTTTCCTGTTGTAAACAGCATGGCAATAAACTTACTTGTAACTGCAACTTTCTACCCTTTGGCCAGTATCCCCCCATTCCCTCTGCTGCAGCCCCTGGTTGCCACACATGTACACACAGAAAGAGAGAGAGAAAAACCCTCATGTATATGTAGGGAGTCTATACAAGTGATTAGCTGGCTGCTGATCTGTCCATGTTGTGAGGAAACTATATGGAAGACATAAAACAAAAAAGTTACTGCCAGAAAGTAGGTGGAAAATTCCCAAGAGCTCACACAGACTTATTGGACTTATTGACTTTTTATGTTCTCATCAGTAAGATGGAAAGACCTCCTACTACATGGAGTATCAAGTAGAAGTAGAGTCCTCAAAGGGTATTGCCTTCACAGTGAGGAGAAATTAGCCCCAAGCTAAAAACTGCTCTGGATTTACCCTAACAAAGTTGAAAAGTAAGCCTTAACGTTCCAAACTGAGTCCAAGTAACTCAACTACATTGCAGTAAAAGCCCAACACTCTTTGAAGAAATACAAATATATCATCAAAAAATACAAATCACAAAATGTGACATCTAACAAAAGTGATCAGGCATGCAAATAAACTAAATATAATCCATAATCAAGAGAATATTAATTAGTAGATACATAAGAATAAATGACAGAATTGTCAGATAAAGACATTGAAAGAGCAATTACAAATACATACCACATATTCAAAATATAGGGAAAAACATGAACATAATTAAGCAAGTAAGGGAAGTTATAGAAAGATCCAAATTACACTTCTAGAGATGAAAAACATAGTATCTGATAAAAATACACTGGGTGGAGTTAGCTGCAGATTTAACATCATTGAAGAAAAGGTTAATAAATAATACATTTGAAGACATACAATAAACCAGTCCAAATTAAAACACAGAGAGAAAAATGTCTGAAGAAAAAATGAAAAAAGCATCATGTGAGAAAAAAATCAAGCAGTTTACTTTAGATGTAACTGGAGTCCCAAATGGAGAGGAAAAATGGGGTTGGGTGAGGAAGGGGAAGCAAAATATTTGAAAAACTAATAGCTGAAAAGTTTCCAAATTTGATGAAAATTATAAATTTACAGTTTCATGAAATATAATGGACCACAAGCAAATACGCATAAAAAACCCCATAAAGGCACACCATAATCACAGCAGCTGAGCCAAAGAAGTGTGCCCAAATGTGGTATTTGATGCTTTCATATATGAGCACAGTATATCTTTCATAATGGTAGAGTGTACAGGGGACCACCCAATTTATCTTTCACATTTGAATCACTATTTCAGGTATCAGAACAACTGAATCCTAAGAAACTCTACTCAAGCAAGAGGCCGCTTTTTGCCATATACGTACCCCATCTAGATACATACAGATACCTGCTGTTTTCTATTCACTAAGTTCAGTAAACATGATATCACCAATGCATTGAACCAACATGATGTTCTATGGCATGATGAAATGATCAGTTTCTCCCAGGAGAGTTGATATATGCTTGAGAAAAGCAGAAATGTGTTCTGCTGTCCCCGTCAAGTGAAAGCAGAATTCTTCTATTTATTTGTTTGAAGTAAAAATTATTCTCCAGTTAATACCTGTGTACCATTTTGTCCAGTATAAATACCATATTCAACTGGAGACATTATCTAATTTTTAATTAACTTACATTAATTTTTCAAGGAATAAATATCTTCTTTCACAGACAAAACAACTGAGCAAAAGGATCTTGTAATATGTTTCCTCAACTTTTATTTTATTTAAGATTTTATTTATGCAGTAATCTCTGTGATATCCCTAGGGATTTGGTATTGTTTCAGGCAAGCCTCTTTAAACAGAAAATAAGGAACTATTTCTATTGGCATAGAAAAGAGATACTTGGTTTGCAAGTGTACTCAGAATTATTGAAAATTTTGTAAAATTTTACAACTTAAAAAATTTGTAAAATGTCAGCTTTACAATTCACAAGTGAATGTCTTAACTATTTCGTAAAATGCTTTGAAGTCATTCTACATTTACTTCAGAAATTTGCTGGATCAAACTCTAGGTCTTAATTTTGGCTTTATGAGCCCTGGAGCTTAAAAGTTTAAGAGATTATCTTCAAGAAATCATAACAAATCTCTGGATCAGTCACTATCCCTGAAGATATAACCTGATATTTTACTTCTGTTTTGCACAGGACAGCCTAACTTGTATCTATCATACCTATCATATTTTACTATGTCATTTATCACTCCACCTATTCAAGTTGTTTTCAAAGGACAATTTATTCCAGCTAAACACAAATAATCAGGGTTCAGCTCTATGTAGCATGGAACACCAGCTTCCTGTCCTATAACATCAATCAGATTCTCACTGACTTCAATAAAACAGATTACATTCCCATCCAAAAATATCTATTACATAGACCTACTTTCGGTACTAAACACAATATGAGTTGCAGACATTAAAAACCACACTTTAGCTATTTTAAATAAAAGTGGTTTTAATATAAGGTGTCAGATACTTACAAATAATTAGAAGGGCTGCCAGAGCAAGGCCTGAACTGAAACCAACAATGACTCCCTGCCAAATATGCACTTTGAACCCTAAGGACACTGCTATATCTGTTAATAAATCATGATGCTCATTTGTAAACTGGTAGCTCCAAAATTAGCTGCTTTCATCAAAACCTGGGAATGAGGAAGGGATCTCTACAACAGCTGGTTATGGGAACATAGTGCCCTACATGGAATTTGGGAATTGGGAAGTTGTGTCTATTAACTCTGTTTCTAGGAAAATGCTACTTTAGCTATGATATAGGAACAGAAACTTCCTACCAAAACAATCTGCTTCAGTAGATCCTTCATTGCTCCAATAAATTCTGTTAATACAACACTGCCTAGTGTACTTACACAATGCTGCTTCTCTTCAACTCTAGGAAAAGTACCCAAATCTACCATGAGTACTTCTGATTGAACGATTTCAGCGAAATCCTGGATTTAATTTCTAGGATTTTATTTTTCATTCTGTTGTTTTATATTTTTATATAAATAGAAACAATTTACCCACAGGAGTTTTTAAAAAATATGTCCACCCATAGAGAGCATTTATGAAGAGTCTGGTTGCAAATAACTAGATTGCCTTCTCAATCAGTCAAGACAACTTTGTGCATATTTATGTTCTGTAGTTTATACTATTTTATATATATATGTGTGTGTGTATATATGTGTGTGTGTATATATATATGTGTGTGTGTGTGTGTGTGTGTGTGTATATATATATATATATTTTTTTTTTTTTTTTTTTTTTTTTTTTGAGACAGTCTCTCTCTGTCACCCAGGCTGGAGTGCAGTGGTGCAATCTCGGCTCACTGCAAGCTCTGCCTCCCGGGTTCATGCCATTCTCCTGCCTCAGCCTCCCGAGTAGCCGGGACTACAGGCGCCCGCCACCACGCCCGGCTAATTTTTTGTATTTTTTAGTAGAGACGGGGTTTCACTATGTTAGCTAGGATGGTCTAGATCTCCTGACCTCGTGATCCGCCCGCCTCGGCCTCCCAAAGTGCTGGGATTGCAGGCGTGAGCTACCGCGCCCGGCCTGTTTTCCAAATATATAGTTCATAAACTACTTTAACAATACTAAATATTCTCTTATAAATCACATAATAATCTTACACCATGCACTCACCAGGTTTAGATATATATATCTAAAGGTGGGATGGTCCTTCTAGTTGACAATCACCATCACATTTACTTTAACTCAATTATGTCCACTCTCTTCAAATGAGCTATATTTTTATTAATCCTAAATCCTTACCTCTTTTCACAACCCCTTTCACTAATTCTGGATAAACATTTAAAGCTTCTTATTAGAAATATCTATTAGAAAAATCACACTAGCTCATCAAAATCAATGCATCATCTCAATGTGTCTCATTTTAAAAAGTCAACTACTGTTGTAGCATTCTTACATCTTGATTAATGAAATAACTATAGATTATATTCAAACAAAATCCTGACAGCCATCTTTGCTTCTAATTTTCCTTGTCTCTTTGTTCTTCTATTATATTTTAAAATTCTTATGTAAAAATATATCTTTATTATTTGCCATATTCACTATATTTTATTGTAATTATATGTTGGTGTGTCTCTATTTCCAACTGGACTGTCACGGTTAATTTTTTCCAAACAGAAGCATTGGTGCAACATTATGGTTTATTTATATTTATATCACCAGGATTCATTTATTGAATGCCTAACATAATGTTTTAAATAAATAAACCAACAAATACAAACATACATTTTTCTTATCTGCATACACACGCATAAATGGAGTCTTAGAATAAAGTAGATGGAAAACAGAATTTCATGCAGTACATTGAATTTAAGTAGAAATTAAAAAGCTGGCCGGGCGCGGAGGGTCACGCCTGTAATCCCAGCACTTTGGGAGGTCGAGGTGGGTGGATCCCAAGGTCAGGAGTTCAAGACCAGCCTGGCCAATATGATGAAACCCTGTCTCTACTAAAAATACAAAAAAAATTAGCTGGGCATGGTAGCACGTGCCTGTAATCCCAGCTACTCGGGAGGCTGAGGCAGGAGAATTGCTTGAATCCGGGAGGCAGAGGTTGCAGTGAGCCGAGATCGCGCTGCTGCACTCCAGCCTGGGTGACAGAGCGAGACTCCGTCTCAAAAAAAAAAAAAAAAAAAAAAAGAAAGAAATTAAATACATTGCACATGTATTTTAAGTTAATTCTGCCATTTTTTCAAAAAGAAATTGAGCCAGATATTAAATAACAACAAAAACTGTAGGAATTATAAAACCTTTTGTGTTTTGTTCACTACAGGTTTTGTCACTGAAGAACTAAATGTAAGTAGGTATATGTACACAGCACAATGATAGTATCTGCTCAAAACTGTATTTGGTAATAGCCATATTGCTCTCTTGAGCAAAAATTTTAGCCATGCCTAACAACACTAATTTGCCAGAAACATTCTAAAGATCGATTAAATGTATCAAAACATTTGGAGCCTAGTTGATATATGTGATTATGAGTTAATTTAAACTATTACAGAATAACAACACTGGTTTTTAACAATACAAATAAAGCAAAAATGTACACAACAGCATTTTATAAACCAAAATCAAAGTGGTGGTCTAATTTGGTGTGGCCTGTGTTAAAGCTTCATTCAGAACTCCAAAGAGAGAAAGTATTTGGTATCATTCTAAAAAACCGGGCACTATATACTTGAGAGGAATAAAACCTGGAAAGCAGGCAGATAACAAACTTATTTATTCAATTATTTATCTAATAAATGTCTATTAAATAACTTCTTCGTGCTTGGGAAACATTTAAATATCAAACCGATCAATAAGACACACAAAAACTCCTATCCTTTGGAGTGTAAATGCTACTGAGGGGACTGCCCAAAAACTAGGAATATAATTAATATTAAATTAAGTAGTATGATAGAAGATGATGTGAGCAATGCAAAAACTAGAGAAAAGTAACGGGGATTAGAAGTGCCAGGTAAGTGTGTGCAGAAATTTTGGCCATATGACAATTTAAATAGAAGTTCCAGAGAACAGTTCACTGGGAGGGCAACATTTAAGTAAAGATTCGAAGACACTACGGTGGTTAACCGTGCGAATATATGGAGGAATGGTATTCCAGGGAGAGGGAGAATGGAACACAGAAGTCATTAAAACAAAATTGCATAAGAAAGAACTGTAAGGAGGACACTGTAGCTAGAAAAGGGTGGACAGGTGGGAGTAGAAAAAGAGGAGGTCAGAGAAAACAGAAGGGATAGTGTGAAATAATTGTCTAAATAAGGAAGTATAGGCCGCACGGTGGCTCACGCCTATAATCCCAGCACTTTGGGAAGCTGAGGGGGGCAGATCACTTGAGACCAGGAGTTCAAAACCAGCCTGGACAACATGGCAAAACCCTTTCTCTACTAAAAATACAAAAACTAGCCAGGTGTGGTGGCACGTGCCTGTAGTCTAAGCTACTTGGGAGGCTTAGGCAGGAGAATTGCTGGAACCTGGGAGGTGGAGGCTGCAGTGAGCCGAGATTGTGCCACTGTACTCCAGCCTGGGTGACAGAGAAGGACTCCATCTCAAAAAAGAAAAAGAAAAAAAAATAAGGAAGTAGCAACACTGTCAGACAATATTAATGCTCAGTCAATATTCATAGTCATAAATTTAGAAGGTGGCTAATCAGTATCATCTTGTATTTGTCTCAAGCTACATTCAGCTGGGCAGGTGAAGATGTGCAGTAGATGAAGAACTAGATTTCATCAGGGTTGCAGTTACTACAGAGTCAGATCGATAATATATAGAATAAAGCCTACTCAGTGGCATTCCCCTTTCTGACCCAATTTTATGACTCACTTATTTGAGCAGAAGACAAATGAAAATCTATTTGAGACTAGCAAGTGCCTTCAATATAGCAAGAAACAAATATCTTAGAAGCAATAAAAAAGGTATTTCACTGTGAGCTAAGCTACATACTTTCTGTTAGTTATTCAAAATCCACCGAGCTGAAAGTTACAGAAATTGGATTACTATTGAAAATTGAGAAAATAATATAGTATTCCAAAGGAACTGTACAGTTCAGAATTATATAATTTCAACAAAGTGTTTGAGACGAATAGAACTTTCCCCCAAGAGTTTTTTGCTGCACTGAAATTTTATTAAACAGATGATCAGCCGTAACATAAAGCTATAGAATATATTCTATGAAGTCAAAATACATAGCACTTCCTTGTGAATTTTCTTTAAATGGCCAAATAATTTATTATTATTAGTTCAAGTGATGAGGGATTGTATCAAATGGTAAAGAAGTGGATAACACAAAATCTGTAAACTTTTCCTTCCCTACCTTTCCTTACTAATAATTTATCATATGTTTAAGTCCTATTTTCTTCCCGTTATGTCTACAGTTAAAAAAAAATCTCTTCTGTAAATGAGCATTATGATTCTCTTCTGAACTTCTTAAATTTAAGCCCAGCTATGATGCTTCCAATTTAACAACATCATGCCCTTCCAAAGACATAGAAACAGTGGGTAGTTACAACCACCCAACCCCATTTTGCATAGAAGATATTGTTACCATGGCAACAGAGGACAACAGCGAACAGCAGCACACCGGTAAGTTCCCTGAACTTTAATAAATGGCTCTCTTTTATTTAGTGCTACATTCATTGCCTATACAAGATTTAAAAATCAACAGGATGCTAAAATGTGCAATGCCCATATAATAAAATTAAAAAGGCCATTTCTTGCTTCCACAATTTTGTATATGCCTTGCACATTAGTGCTTTTCAGTATTTACATGACTCATCGCTCTACAAAATATGACTGGCTGAAATAGAAGAGTAGTAAATAGAAAGCAATTTAACCTGAGTTAGTGTCTCACTATTTCATATTTAGTTTTGTTGAGTATATACGTGTGGGCACACATCTCTCTCTCTGTAATTATCGCTAGGATTGACTCCATCAGAAAAAATTATTTTCTTTTAAACTTATTTTTAATGAGATTTCTACCTCCATTGAAAATGAAACCACATTACCTAAGGGAAGTGCTCAATATCACTGTGCTTGATTACTCATCAAAGTCATATAGTTTGTATTTATAAAACCAGTAATTAACACTTAAAATAACTGACTCATTTGACTCCTGGAAAATATGATTTACTAACATTTTTAGTGAAAACATCAAAATAAAAGACTACCATTCTCTCAGGCTTCAGTGTTTTAAAATTCTCTGATTTAAGATTGTCTCATAACTCTTTTTTCTACCCCTCACATCCCTCTAGTCTTTATCAGGATGTTTTTATTTATTTATGTATTTATTTATTGATGTGTTCCACTTCTAATTTTAACCAATAATTGGCTTTATTTGTGCTGGAATAATGACTTCCTGCCTTGATATGGTAGGTCTTGATCTTTGATTCTCAGGAACAAGTTGACAAGCCTGGTATGATTTTGTAGCTTTTCTGTGTTCTCTAACTCCTGGCTGTCCAAAATACCTGACACATATTATTTTAGACTGTGATGAATCTATAATCACGCTTTATTTTTCTGGCTTTAAAAAAGGCAGAACTTGAAGTTCACAAAAATATTTTTTTAAATAAAAAGTTTTATAGGCCAGGTGTGGTGGCTCGCACCTGTAATCCCAGCACTTTAGGAGGCCGAGGCAGGTGGATCACCTGAGTTCAGGAGCTTGAGACCAGCCTGGCCAACATGGAGAAACCCCGTCTCTACTAAAAATACAAAAAATACCTGGGCGTGGTGGTGTGTGCCTGTAGTCTCAGCTACTCAGGAAGCTGAGGCAAGAGAATCACTTGAACCTGGGAGGCAGAGGTTGCAGTGAGCTGAGATGGCACCACTGCACTCCAGCCTGGGCGACAGAGTGAGACTCTGCCTTAAAAATAACAATGAAAAGTTTTATTAAGATGATAATTTACATACCATGCAATTCACCCATTTATATGTACAATTCACTGATTTTAGTATATTTACAGGTTTGTGTAACTATCACCACAGTCAGTTTTAGAACATACTTATCATCTTAAAAATAAATATGAATATAAATCCATATTTAGGAAGTTATGAGCGGTAGGCTACTAACTATGAATGATCTTTAACTTTGTTGTAATAGCTGCTTTGCAACATGACTCTGCAGAAGTGTCCTTTATATAATCAATTTTCAATCAAACTATATTATTTATAATTGTATTTACTCTCATTATGTTAATTAGATGTGTCAAAATTGCAGATTTTAATCTATTTTTGCTTTTGATTTCCTAGTGACTAGTTTCATTCAAACTAAATTTTATTAATCAATTTTGCTTTTTTTTTTTTTTTGAGAGGGAGTTTCCCTCTTGTTGCCCAGACTGGTGTGCAATAGCATGATCTCTGCTCACTGCAACCTCCACCTTCTGGGTTCAAGCGATTCTCCTGCCTCAGCCCCCTGAGTAGCTGGGATGACAGGCACCCACCACTATACCTGGCTATTTTTTGTATTTTTAGTAGAGACCACGTTTTGCCATGTTGGCCAGGCTGCTCTTGAACTCCTGACCTCAGGTGATCCACCCACCTCGACCTCCCAAAGTGCTGGGATTACAGGCGTGAGCCACCACACCTGGCTAATTTTGCTATTCTTTGTATTCAACTTCTTAAGTTGAATCAGTCTATTTATTTTCTTCTTTCCATAATAATCTACTTTATAATATTTAATTCTAAATTTTTGCACAGTGTTCAAATTGATATAATTACCCTCATTTCTTAATGTAGGCCATTTATACAGTTTATAATGTTATGATTTTATAACACATACTCCTGTGCACATTTTCAAAGAAAATGCTAAGTGTCTATCATATCATCCCTGGAAGCCATATATTCCAGAGGGCTTAGCTACAAGATAGAAAAGGAGTATCTGACCCACATTCACATTCATTATGGTGCATTCACTCCCATAATCCAGTTTTTGAGCATTTTTCATCACCAAATAAAATCCTTTGGGCCCATTTACAACCCCCATTCCCACTCACAGCCCCAGGTAGCCACTAGTGTATTTTGTATCTCTTCTAGGCATTTCTCATAAATAGAGTTATACAACAAGTATTTTCATGTGTTTGAGTTCTTTAATTCAGCATTATCTGTTCATGTTTGAAGAGAAACCCCTCAATTTGGTTGGGAGAGGGGATAATTTTGAGTTTATTAAGACAAATCAAAGGCTCTATTTTGAGGATCTAGACAGCTCTCATTAACATATAAAATGTTGTTTCTATTGTCATAGAGTTATATTTCTGTAGATTATGTTTCCTTTTAGAGTAAATGTGTGTTTGGTGGTTTTTGTTTTGTTTTGCCCCTATGGGAGAGGTCTATCAGTCTCTGGACTGCCTCCTATTATGTCCTTCCTGAACCATGTGTACTTAGGTAATTTGATTAAAAGTTTACATGTTTAGTGAAAACTCCAGCATTCTACCCAATTACTACAGATATTCTGGGGAAGACATACTTAATTTTGTTTCATTTGAATATACATATTGCACTCTTTTGGTATTGGCCAAACTCCTTATTTTCTTTTATCTTTTTTTTGTTGTTGTTTTAGGTGGAGTTTCCCTCTTGTTCCCCAGGGTGGAGTAAAATGGCATGATCTCGGCTCACTACAAACTCTGCCTCCCAGGTTCAAGTGATTCTCCTGCCTCAGCCACCTGAGTAGCTGGGGTTACAGGTGCCCGCCACCACGCTCAGTTAATTTTTGTATTTTTAGTAGAGATGGGGTTTCACCATGTTGGCCAGGCTAGTCTCGAACTCCTGACTTCAAATGATCCACTCGCCTCGGCCTCCCAAAGTGCTGGGATTACAGGCGTGAGCCACTGCACCCAGCCCAAACTCTCTGTTTCTTCACCTACTAGAGGTGAGGCAGCTTTATCTAATTGGGGAGAAAAAATAAAAGTGGTTCCATGGCTATGCATCACATCCAAAAACTAAATGTTAAATGTTGTATATCCAAATTCTTAAAATACATTGGTCCTTATCTCCTCCAGGGGATATTGCCTTTAACCATGTTAATGGGACTATTCTACCTCAATAAATTCTTTTCATCTCTGCTTCTTTTAAGATTTTATTCTGTTGTGCTAAGAAGAGCTAGTTACATATTAAGTACTGAATTTATATTAGCATTTGCCATAGTTCTTTGATGGTTTTTACTCATTCCTGTCATGATTTGTTGCAATCATGTCGATAACAAAGAGATGTCTTACCATGAGAGAAATTCTGATGTCACCTCTTAAGACACTTGTCTCCTACTTCCTGGACCTCTCCTTCACACTCACTCACTCCCTCTTCCTCTCCCTCTCCCTGCTCACAAGTCCGATGATAACTCAGACTATAGTTGTTTGTTAATCCATATTCAGAATTTTCTGTAGTGAAATGTGTTGCTTTTAGAATCAGAATGCTTTGTTTACCTAACTGTGTCAAATGAGAATATATAAAATAAAAATTTCTAAAAGTCACCAATTTAAAAATCTTTAAGTACAAAAAAAAAAAATGACATGAACTTCTCCTGCCTCTTCAAAACAGGTATTCTTGAGTTAGAGTTTCCATATGAATGGAGTAAGCACAGATGATCTCTGTCTACTTTTTTGCTGGTCATAGCAATATCATCTTGCAGACTAATTGTCTCTGGCCAGATAAAATTAGGTTGAGGCCCTTAGGATCCTTCCCAACATCATTCTTGTTCTAAAATTCTGCTGAACCCTCCCTTGTTTCCCAGGAGCTACTGACATTCATTCTTGACCTTATTTCATAGGTTTAAACAACTTACATGAAGTTTCAGTTCATGCAAATAAAAAAGATGTTTCAGAATTAATGTGGCTTGTAAAAGGTTTGAAAATTATTATAACTTAACTTTTGAATTAAGCAATCTAATGTAAAAAATAAAGCAGAAAACAGGTCAAAGAGGCCATGTGAGTGTAACATTACTAACATACATAACAATGGGGAAATGATAACTTTGAATTGATGCTGAAGTACTGTATAAGCACAGATCAACTGAGAAACACAATTGATTTGGATTATGATGTTTTAAATTATAATCCTTTTATTATCATCAAGGAAGATTTTGGATTAAAAACAAAAAATTTATATAACATTAATTGTTATTGGAGGAAAGTAGTGAGATGTATGTTTTTGTCATATTGGTAAATTTCACCATCATAGAAAATATTATATATTAATATAATACTAACATACAACATTTGTGAATATGTGTGAGATACTAATGAACATGCATGCCTTTTTCATCATTAAACACCATGTTAAAGTCAAATGATGCCATAATCTGTTTTCTTACATGTGTAATCATCTTTCTATGTCCTTTGAAAAGCTTGGCAATTCTCATTTTCAAGAAGAAAATTTAACCTTACCAAATATAAATTAGGCATTGTATTTTCTCTGAGAAATTACTTCAGAAAGTTTCTCAATGTAATTAAATGAATTCTAGAGGTCAGGTTATGTTATTTAAGACTTTTTAAAAATATCTCCTATGTAAATACATATAAATGCACTCTTTAAAATACAGTTGGCCCTCCATATCCCTAGAGGATTGTTTCTAGGACCCCCTGCAGATACTGAAATCCAGGAATGCTCAAGTCTCTTATGTAAGGTGGCATAGGATTTACATATAATCTTGTATCCTCACATATACTTTAAATATCTCTAAATTACTCATAATACTTATAACAATGTAAATGTTATACAAATAGTTGTTATACTATATTGCTTAGGAAATGATGACAAGAAAAAAAATCCCCATATTTGTTCAATGCAGACACAATCATCCAATTTTTTTTCTGAATATTTTTCATCTGCAATTGACTGAATTCACGATGTGGAATCCATGAATATGTGGCGCCAACTGTACATAATTGCATTACCCTTTTAAAAGTGTGAAATATGGGTAAAACAATTAGCTATTTCTTGTGTTTACATGAAGATCAGTACTTCAAAAGTGATTACAGTTTCTTATAGTTATCCTGAGAAGCTTTGACTTGTATTTAGGAAAGGTGTATGTTAAGCTTAGATCTGAAAGGCTTATTTTAACTTCAAAATTAAAACATTATCCTCTTCCAAAGTAACAAAATCATAGCCTCTCATCATCAGCAAAGACCTGAGAGATTTTCTCAGAGAAAATTTAGCTACCGAATGTCCTTACAGAGTTGACATTCCTGGTGATAATCTCTGTATTAGAGTTGCATTCTTGGTACTGCCTTCCTTTAGGTTTAGGTATTAACGATATACTTATTTCATAATTAAGCTACTTTTATTTTCCATGATCTGGAGTAATCTATAGAATGTTTAAAAAATCTGATATTTGATAGTTTTGCAGAGTTCCCTATTCCTTCATTCTATGTTTTCTTGATCTAAATTTATGATTCGTAATTCTGTTAATTCTGTCAAGAAAACATTATATTAATTTGCCAGTTGGATTACTCTTTATTCATTACTTTAAAAGTTTTTAATGTTCATTTTTAGTTCATTTATATTTTTTCATTTTATTGATAAAATTGTTTAAGCATATAAATTTTCTCAGATCGCTGTTTTAAATGCATCCCATAAGATTTTATATATATATGTGTGTGTATACATTATGTATTTATAATTTCTATTAACATATTTTATAAATGCTGAAATTTTAGTTTATACTTAATCTGCCACCAAAGACTTACTTAATGGGAAGTTTTGAATTTTCAGGTGGATGAACTTTTTTTCTATATTATTGTGTGTGTGTATGTGTGTGTGTGTGTGTGTGTGATATGCTTCAGAGAGGAAGTAAAATGTTAAAAGAAAACAATTCAAATAAAAATAAAATTTAAAATATCATTGAATTCGTTATTTAATTTTACTAACAATATACTGTTTAAGGACCATGACAGTATTCTTAAGAGTTTCATAATAAATACTGCATAATATCATTCTAGTTCCTACTATTACAAAATATTTTGGGTAAAACTTCTCATATATAGCATCAGGAAATTTAACAAATACTCTACTACCACAAAGAGATGGCATCACAGAATCAGAAGTATTAGAATATAAATGTTACTCAATTTAATTTCTGGCAAGACATCACACTAAATACTTGAGCAAACATTTTTGGTATGCCCAGAATAACCGAACAAAAAAAAATTGTACGGAATATTGAGGCCAAAAATGTCAAGAAAATGCTCATTTGTAGGGGTAAGCCACTCTTGCAGACAGCATTTACCCTGTGGTATCATTGTCACCTGATACGCCACAGCCAGAATGATAACATACCATATGCCAGAAAGAAGAGTAGGGTGGAAAAATCATACTAGAGATGTCTGCATTAAGCTCCAATTTGTGACAAGTTACATCTTAATGGTTAAACTAAGAGGAAAGTAATTCCTGTTCTTAAGACAGAAATAATTGACAATAATTGTCATTTTCTTCCTTGAATCTGCAAAATAGAAAACAAAAAGAAGATAAGACTATCCCTTGACACTTTCTTATTGTGAACCTGTATTTGCATTTATGTTGGGCTATAATTCACACTACTCATATCTATTGGAAAACCACATGCCTCTATGTGGTCTTTGAAATAATAAAAATAATAATAAATATTTGTTTGAGACATCCCTGAGTTAGTAATGCTTCCACCTGCCAGCAGAAGCGAAGGAAACACTACCTGAAGAAATGCACTTAAATCCAGTCATCAAAGTGTGTGCTTAACAAATACTCTCAATAATTCTGAACTTAAAGAAAAAAATGGAAAAAGCATAAGAGAAAACAAGTCACTATGAGAAAGAGTCAGAAGAAACATATAACAAGACAAGCAATTATCTAATATTTTGGAAAGATAGTAGATATCAGCATAAAGTTACGAGGAATGTAAAACAAGAAAGTGTAATGCAATTAAATAAATAAAGGAAAAATAAAAAGTATAATAAAGGAACACAATATTAATACTATCAATATTCACCAGGCAAAGGCTTTCCCCTGTGTGCTAGTCATCAGGCTGGCACACAAGTATCAAGCCCCTAGGCCAACCCCAGTGCCAAGCTAGATGCTGCAAACCCAGGTTTTAGATCTCCACAGGGACCAGGTATGCCGCACCACCAGGCTGGCCCCAACTAGTCTCAGCCTCCACACCATCCCAATACAATTTCAGCCTCTATGGACTCAGCCTCCAGCCCCTCCCCAGTGTCAGGCTTGTACTCATGAACCCCAGCTCCAGAATGGTCCTTCCTCACGCAGGACCCAATCTGCCAGAGTATCAGGACAGGTTCCACAGCCTCAAACTTCAAAGCAACACTTACAGCCAGCCTCCAGATCCACTCCAGCACCAGGCCAACCTCAGTGGCTTCAAGCTTCAGAAGAATCCTAACACTGGACTGAACCCCAGACCCCAGGCTGGTGCCCACAGACCCAGAATTCTGGCCTGTCCAACACCAGACCAGCCTCTGCAGCCCCATGCTCCAACAGACCCAGGGTCCGATGACCAAGAGCTCACCCTCATTGTAGTAGACCCCAGCATAAGGCCAGAAGACGTAGACCCAGACTCCAGGACTGCCTCTGTAGACTTAGGTTCCAAGTTGGTCCTCAAAGTCCCAGGGCCCAAGCCTCTCCCCAAATATTCAGCCTATAGCTCCGACTCAGAGCCATTCCAGCTCCCGGGGCACCAGGCTCCAGGACTGTCTCTGTGTACTTAGTCACCGGGCCCATCCCAGCAAATGGCTGGCACTTGCACATTCAGGCTTATGAAATAAACTAGTGCCATGAAAAACCTTGTCAATCTGGGATTAGGACGGCCCCCATGAATACAGGATCCAAGCCTGCTTCTGCAGACCCAGTCAAAAGGTCCACCCCAGTGGCTCCTGGGATGAGACCAGCCCCTGTGAACCAATAATCTATGTCCATCATGGCAGGCTCAAGTTTTATGTCCACCTGCAATAAACGCAGGGCCCAGGGCCAACACAGCAGATCCAGGAGCCAAGTCTGCCCAGCTGTTAACCCAGGCTCCAGGCTAGCCTGCATAAGAATTCCAGCAGCAAATTTCCCATAGGCCATGACAGATAGGCTGCCCAGAATCTTGGAATGAGCTGACTGGTAAGTGGCTTTCCCAGCCAAAGCCACTATGCAAAGACTGGAATAGTCCCTATTTATTCAAATCCATAGACAACAACACCATAGCCACAAAGAACATGAACAATCAGGAAATCATGGCACAATTAAAAGAACAAAATAAAGTATGAGTCATCAATCCAAAATAAATAAATCTTGATGATCTGCTTGAAAAAATTGATGTAGTCATCTTAAAGAGGATCCGTGAGCTGCAAGAGAATATAGCTAGAAAACTAAATGAAATCAGAAAAACAATAGCCAAACAAATCAGTTCAGCAAAGAGATAGACAAGATTTCTTAAAAAACAAAACAAAACAAAACAAATGGAAACTCTGGAGCTAAAGACACAATAACCAAACCTAAAGTTTCTGGAGAGAGCTTCTAAAGAGGACTTGATCAAACAGATGAAACAATCAGTGAGGTCATAAACAGGTTATTTGTAATTACCCAGAGTAACAAAGAAAAGAAAAGAAAAAAGAAAAGAGAAGAGAAGAGAGAAAAGAAAAGAAAAGAGATAAGTGAAGAAAGCCTAAGAAAATAATGGGACACAATCAAACAACCCAATTTACACATAATGGATATCTAAGAAGAAGCAAAGAAAGAGAAAGGGGAATAAAACTGACTTTTGACAAGTTTTAGAAAACTTTCCAAATTTGGGGAAAGAATTAAATATCCAGGTATAGGAAGCTTAAAAGCTTCTGTAAGACTCAAGACTCAATCCAAACAAGACTGCGCCAAGACATTTTAAAATCAAACTGTAAAACTCATGAATGGGGATCCTGGTAGCTGAAAAAGAAAAGAAGCATATTACACACAAGGGAACTCTAATATGGCTATCAGTAGATTTCTCATCAGAAACCACACAAACCAGGAGATAATACAATGACATATTTAAAGTGCTGAAAGAAAAAAAAAAAAAGAAAAAAACCTGTCAACCCAGAATCCTTTAATCAGCAAAGATCTTCAAAGCTGAATAAGAGATGAAGACTTTATCAGACTAACAAAAGCTGAGGGAGTTTATCACAAAAGCCCTACCTTACAAGAAATGCTAAAAGGAGTTAGCTGAAAGAAAATGATGCTAAGTAGTAACATGAAAACATATGGATGAATAAAACTCACTGGAAAAAATGAAAACATAGTCAAATTCAGAATACTATAATACTATAATGATACTGTGTAAATCACTTATGTATTTAGTATGAAGATTACAAGATAAAACTATTAAAAATAAAAATAGCAATAATAATTTGTTAAGGGATATATCATATAAAAATGTGAATTGTGACATCAGCAACATAAAATTGAAGACATGAAAAGTATAGGGATTTTGTACACAATTGAAGTGAAGTCTTTATCAACTTTAGCCTAGTATAACCATAAAATGTTTTATGTAAGCCTCGTAATATCCACAAAACAAAAACCTATAATAGATACACAAAAGATAAAGAGAAAGGAATCAAAGCATACCACTGGAGAAAACCATCAAATCACAAAGACAGCAAGAGAGATAGAAAGGAACAAAGGACCTACAAAACAGTGAGAAAACAATTAACAAAATGTCAGTAGTAAGTCCTTATCTGTTGCTAATTACCTTGAGTGCAAATGAATTAAATTATCCAATTAAAAGACACAGAATGACTGAAAAAATAAAAACAAAACAAACAAAACCAAGGCCCAGCTATATGCTGCTCACAAGAAAAGATTCACTTCACCTTTAAGAACACACAGAGACTTAAAGTGAAGGAATGGAAAAGGATTTGTGTGAATGGAATGCAAAAAAGAGTATAGGTAGCTATATATTTATCAGATAAAACAGACTTTAAGACAATAACTACAAAAACAGACACAGAAGAACATTATATGATTAAAATAAATAAATATATCAAGAGGACATAACAATCATAAATATAAATGTACCCAACATTAAAGTGCCAAATATATATATAAAGCAAATATTAATGGATCTGAAGGGAAAAATTGACTGATAAATAATAATAGTAGGAGACTTTAATACCTTCCTTACAGCAATGGATATATCATCCAGACAGAAAATCAATAAGGAAACATTGCACTTTCTCATAAAATACTTTAATATAGTTGTGTCAATAACCATTTTGAGGCCTGACATACTTGATGGAAACCTAGTGTACTGTGTCCCTTTGTCCTGGTTATATTACCATCCCTCCTTGTGTGTTGTTTGTGATACAACCCACTTGTTCCTCATCTGACTGACCCCAAACCCAACACAACCTACAGCTATGGACAACAATAAAACCTAACAGTCAACACCAGTTTATATAAATAATTTTCTCTCTTTGTGTGTGTTTCCTTTTTTTTTTTTTTTTTTTTTTTTGAGATGGAGTCTCGCTCTGTCGCCCAGGCTGGAGTGCAGTGGCACAGTCTTAGCTCACTGCAAGCTCCGCCTCCCAGGTTCACGCCATTCTCCCGCCTCAGCCTCCCAAGTAGCTGGGACTACAGGTGCCCGCCACCACGCCCGGCTAGTTTTTTGTATTTTTAGTAGAGATGGGGTTTCACCATTCACAGGATGGTCTCAATCTCCTGACCTTGTGATCTGCCCACCTCGGCCTCCCAAAGTGCTGCAATTACAGGCATGAGCCACCACGCCTGGCCTGTGTGTGTTTTCTTTAAACTAGCCAATCCACAACCCCCATGGAAAAACCTAAGGGGTAATGCACATGAACCTTAATAAGGGTATAGTTCCATGGGGCCTCTCTTGCACGTTGAACTTCCTGCCACCTTCAGACTACCCACTGTCCTCCCTTCAGCACCCCAACCTCTCTTGTACTTGTGCATAATAAATTCCTTTTGTTTCATGCATTTTGGGTTTACCTCCTATTTGTGTTTCACCTGACACACCTGAAACCAATTTTCTCTCTGGTGAGTTCTTCTAAAGAATGGCTATTTTGGCATACAGTCACTCTAAAGAAAGAAACCTGAAGAACAAAATAGAGAAAAATATCCTAATAGATTACAACAGACTTGAACTACACGTTAGACCAAATAAGCCTAACAGAAACACATCCAACAGTAGTACAATATACGTCTTCCTCAAGAACACACAGAACATTCTCCAGGATAGATCTTATGTTAGGCTACAAAACAAACGTTAACAAATTTAAGAAAATTGAAACAAATCAAGTGTCTTTTCAATCACAATGATCTGAAACTAGAAACAAATGACACAAAAATATTAGAAAATGCACAAATGTATAAAATTAAATAATATGGGAGGTCTGTTCCAAGATGGCCAAATAGGAAGAGCTCCAGTCTGCAGCTCCCAGCGTGATTGATGCAGAAGATGGATGATTTCTGCATTTCCAACTGAGCTACCTGGTTCATCTCATTGGGAATTGTTGAACAGTGGGTACAGCCCACCCGGGAAGTGTAAGGGGTCAGGGGATTTCCCTTTCCTAGCCAAGGGAAGCCGTGACAGACTGTACTGGGAAAATCGGGACACTGCCACCTAAACACTGCACTTTTCCAATGTTCTTAGCAAATGGCACACCAGGAGATTATATCCTGCACCTGGCTCAGTGGGTCCCATGCCCACGGAGACTTGCTTACTACTAGTCTGAGACCAAACTGCGATGTGGCAAGTTGGGCTGGAGGAGGGGCATCCACCATTGCTGAGGCTTGAGAAGGTAAACAAAGCAGCTGGGAAGTTTGAACTGGGTAGAGCCCACTGAAGCTCAACGAGGCCTGCCTGCCTCTGTAGACTCCATCTTGGGGGGCAGGGCATAGCTGAATAAAAGGCAGCAGAAACTTCTGCAGACTTAAACGTCCCTGACAGCTCTGAAGAGAGTAGTGGTTCTCCCAGCATGGTGTTTGAGCTCTGAGAATGGACAGACCACCTCCTCAAGTGGGTCCCTGACCCCCATGTGGCCTAACTTGGAGACACCTCCCAGTAGGGGCTGACTGACACCTCATACAGCTGGGTGCCCCTCTAAGACAAAGCTTCCAGAGGAAGGCTCAGGCAGCAATATTTGCTGTTCTGCAATATTTGCTGTGCTGCAGCCTCCACTGGTGATACCCAGGCAAACAGGGTCTGGAGTAGACCTCCCTCCAACAGACCTGCAGCTGAGGGACCTGACTATTAGAAGGAAAACTAACAAACACAAAGGAATAGCATCAATATCAACAAAAAGGACATCCACACCAAAACCCCATCTGTAGGTCACCATTATCAAAGACCAAAGGTAGGTAGAGCCTCACATGCAGAGACACACATTGGCTGAAAATAAAGGGATGGAGGAAGATCTACCAAGCAAATGGAAAGGAAAAAAAAAAAAGCAGGGGTTGCAATCCTAGTCTCTGCTAAAACAGACTTTAAACCAACAAAGATCAAAACAGACAAAGAAGGCCATTACATAACGGTAAAGGGATCAATTCAACAAGAAGTGCCAACTATCCTAAATACACATGCACCCAATACAGGAGCACCCAGATCATAAAGCAAGTCCTGAGAGACCTAAAAAGACACTTAGATTCCCACACAATAATAATGGCAGACTTTAACACCCCACTGTCAATATCAGACAGATCAACAAACAGAAGGTTAAAAAGGATATCCAGGACTTGAACTCAGCTCTGCACCAAGCATATCTAACAGATATTTACAAAACTCTCCACCCCAAATCAACAGAACATACATTCTTCTCAGCACCACATTGCACTTATTCCAAAGTTGACCATATAGTTGGAAATAAAGCACTCCTCAGCAAATGTAAAAGAACAGAAATTACAACAACCTGTCTCTCAGACCACAGTGAAATCAAGTTAGAACTCAGGATTAAGAAACGCACTCAAAACCGCACAACTACATGGAAACTGAACAACCTGCTCCTGAATGACTACCGGGTAAATAACGAAATGAAGGCAGAAATAAAGATGTTCTTTGAAACCAATGAGAACAAAGACACAACATACCAGAATCTCTGGGGCACATTTAAAGCAATGTGTAGATGGAAATTTATAGCACTAAATGCCCACAAGAGAAAGCAGGAAAGATCTAAAATCGACACCCTAACATCGCAATTAAAAGAACTAGAGAAGCAAGAGCAAACAAATTGAAAAGCTAGCAGAAGGCAAGAAATAACTAAGATCAGAGCAGAACTGAAGGAGATAGAGACACAAAAAACCTTCAAAAAATCAATGAATCCAGGAGCTGGTTTTTTGAAAATATCAACAAAATTGATACACCACTAGCAAGACGAATAAAGAAGAAAAGAGAAGAATCAAATAGACGCAATAAAAAATGATAAAGGGGATATCACTAATGATCCCACAGAAATACAAACTACCATCAGAGAATACTATAAACACGTCTACACAAATAAACAAGAAAATCAAGAAGAAATGGATGAATTCCTGGACACATACACCCTTCCAAGACTAAACCAGGAAGAAGTTGAATCCCTGAATAGACCAATAACAGGCTCTGAAATTGTGGCAATAATTAATAGCCTACCAACCAAAAAAAGTCCAGGACCAGACAGATTCACAGCCAAATTCTACCAGAGGTACAAAGAGGAGCTGGTACCATTCCTTCTGAAACTATACCAATTAATAGAAAAAGAGGCAATCCTCCCTAACTCATTTTATGAGACCAGCATCATCCTGATACCAAACCTGGCAGAGATACACACAAAATAAGAGAATTTTAGACCAACATCCCTGATGAACTTCGATGCAAAAATCCTCAATAAAATACTGGCAAACAGAATCCAGCAGCACATCAAAAAGCTTATCCACCAAGATCAAGTTGGCTTCATCCCTGGGATCCAAGGCTGGTTCAACATATGCAAATCAATAAATGTAATCCATCACATAAACAGAACCAAAGACAAAAACCTCATTATTATCTCAATAGATGCAGAAAAGGCCTTTGACAAAATTCAACAGCCCTTCATGCAAAAACTCTCAATAAACTAGGTATTGATGGAACGTATCTCAAAATAATAAAAGCTATTTATGACAAACCCACAGCCAATATCATACTGAATGGGCAAAAACTGGAGGCATTCCCTTTGAAAA
This sequence comes from Homo sapiens, assembly GCF_000001405.40. Classification (NCBI taxonomy): domain Eukaryota; kingdom Metazoa; phylum Chordata; class Mammalia; order Primates; family Hominidae; genus Homo; species Homo sapiens. Next base: position 166,372,564 of record NC_000004.12, on the reverse strand, counting down.
CTGGCACAAGACAGGGATGCCCTCTCTCACCACTCCTATTTAACATACTGTTGGAAGTTCTGGCCAGGGCAATCAGGCAAGAGGAAGAAATAAAGGGTATTCAATTAGGAAAAGAGGAAGTCAAATTGTCCCTGTTTGCAGATGACATGATAGTATATTTAGAAAATCCCATCACCTCAGCCCAAAATCTCCTTAAGCTGATAAGCAACTTCAACAAAGTCTCAGGATACAAAATCAATGTGCAAAAATAACAAGGATTCTTATATACCAATAACAGACAAACAGAGAGCCAAATCATGAATGAACACCCATTCACAATTGCCACAAAGAAAATAAAATACCTAGTAATCCAACTTACAGGGGATGTGAAGGACTTCTTCAAGGAGAACTACAAACCACTGCTCAATGAAATAAAAGAGGATACAAACAATTGGAAGAACATTCCATGCTGATGGATAGAAAGAATCAATATCATGAAAATGGCCATACTGCCCAAGGTAATTTATAGATTCAATGCCATCCCCTTCAAGCTACCAATGACTTTCTTCACAGAATTGGAAAAAACTAAAGTTCATGTGGAACCAATAAAGAACCTGCATTGCCAAGGCAATCCTAAACAAAATGAACAAAGCTGGAGGCATCACGCTACCTGACTTCAAACTATACTACAAGGCTACAGTAACCAAAACAGCATGGTACTGATACCAAAACAGACATATAGACCAATGGAACAGAACAGAGGCCTCAGAAATAATACCACACATCTACAACCATCTGATCTTTGACAAACCTGACAAAAACAAGAAATGGTGAAAGGATTCCCTGTTTAATAAATGGTGCTGGGAAAACTGACTAACCATATGTAGAAAGCTGAAATGATCCATTCCTTACACCTTATACAAAAATTAATTCAAGATGGATCAAAGACTTAAATGTTAGACTTAAACCATAAAAACCCTAGAAGAAAACCTAGTCAATACCATTCAGGACATAGGCATGGGCAAGGACTTCATGACTAAAACACCAAAAACAATGGCAACAAAAGCCAAAATAGACAAATGGTATCTAAATAAACTAAAGAGCTTCCGCACAGCAAAAGAAATTACCATCAGAGTGAACCAGCAACTTACAGAATGGGAGGAAATTTTCACAAGCTACCCATGTGACAAAGGGCTAATATTCAGAATCTACAAAGAACTTCAACAAATTTACAAGAAAAAATAAAACAACCCCATCAAAAAGTGGGCAAAGGATATGAAGAGATGCTTTTCAAAAGAACACTTTTATGCAGCCAATAGACACATGAAAAAGTGCCCATCATCACTGGTCATCAGAGAAATGCAAATCAAAACCACAATGAGATACCATCTCATGCCAGTTAGAATGGTGATCATTACGAAGTCAGGAAACAACAGGTGCTGGAGAGGATGTGGAGAAATAGGAATGCTTTTACACTGTTGGTGGGACTGTAAACTAGTTCAACCATTGTAGAAGACAGTGTGGTGATTCCTCAAGGATCTAGACCTGGAAATACCATTTGACCCAGCGATCCAATTACTGGGTATATACCCAAAGTATTTATAAATCATGCCACTATAAAGACACATGCACACGTATGTTTACTGCGGCACTATTCACAATAGCAAAGACTTGGAACCAACCCAAATGTCCATCAATGATAGACTGGATTAAGAAAATGTGGCACATATACACTATGGAATACTATGCAGCCATAAAAAAGGATGAGTTCATGTCCTTTGTAGCGACATGGATGAAACTGGAAACCATCATTCTGAGCAAACTGTCACAAGGACAGAAAACCAAACACTGCGTGTTCTCACTCATAGGTAGGAACTGAACAACTTGGACACAGAGCGGGGAAAATCACACACTGGGGACTGTCGTGGGGTGGGGGAAGGGGGGAGGGATAGCATTAGGAGAAATACCTAATGTGAATTATGAGTTAATGGGTGCAGCAAACCAACACGGCACATGTATACATAAGTAACAAACCTGCACATTGCGCACATGTACCCTAGAACTTAAAGTATAATAAAAAATAGATAAATAAATAAATAAGTAAATAAATAAAATAATAAATTAAATAATATGCTCCTGGTTAACCAATATGTCATAAAAGAAATTTAAAAAAAAAATTAAATGTATTGAGAAAAATGGAAATGAAAACACAACACACCAAAAGTTATACTGCAGCAAAAGCAGTTTGAGTGGAGTTTATAGCAATAAATGCCTAAATAAATAAGAAAAATTTCAAATGAAGAAGCTAGTATTTCACCTCTAGGAATTAGAAAAAGAAGAACAAACTAAGTCTAAAGTTATAGAAGAAATGATATAATAATGAAATAGATGCTATAAATAAATTTTAAAAATCAACATAGCTAAGAGTTTTTTTTGTTTTAATAAAAACAATATTGACAAACTTTTAGCCAGACTAAGAGAGAAGACTCAAATAAATAACATCAGAAATGAAGGAGAGGACATTACAAGAGATACATACAAATGGTCATAAGAAACTATTGTGAACAATTATATGCTTTCAAATGGGCTAACCTAGAAGTGGATACATTCTGGGAAACATGCAACCCTCCAAGACTGAATCATAAATCAAAAGCCTGGACAGACTAAAAACAGAGAAGAAGATTGAATTTAAATAGAACATCTCCCATCAAAGAAAACCTGAGGAACCGATAACTTCATGGATGAATTCTACCAAATATTTAAAGAAATAATACCAAGACTTTTTGAAATCTCCAAAAAGATTGAAAAGTAGGAAATACTTCAAACTCATTTTACAAGCATTGCTCTGATAGCAAAGGCAAAGACACTCCAAAAAAGAAAATGATTGTCAATATCTCTATTAAATATACATACAATAATGCTCAACAAAACATTAGCGAACTGAATTCAATGGAGAATTTAAAGGATCATTCGGCATGATCACATGGGATTTATCCCTGTTGCAAGGATGGTTCAACATATACAAATCAATAAATATGATATAAAACATTAACAGAATGAAAGACAAAAATCATAAGATTATCTGAATAAATGCAGAAAAAGCTTTGACAAAATTCAACATTCTTTTATAATAAAAACACACAGCAAATTAGGTATAGAACAAATGCACCTCAACACAATAAAAACAATATATGACAAGCCCAAAGCTAACATTATACTCAACAGTGAAAAGTTGAAAGCTTTTCCTATAAAATCAAGAACAAGACATGGATGCCCACTCTCACTGCTTCTATTTAACTTAGTGCTAAAATTCCTAGCATGAGAAATTATGCAAGACAGAGAGAAATAAAAGTCACCTGAATCAGAAAGGAAGTTATTTGTTTGAAGGTATATGACCTTATATATAAAAAACCCTAAAGATGCCACCAAAAAACTGTGAGAACTAACAAGCAAATTTAGTAAAGATGCAGGATAGAAAATCAACATACAAAAATCAGTTGGCATTCTATACCCCAAAAATTATCTGAAAAAAATTAGGTAAAAAATCTCATTTATAATAGATAAAAATTAAAATACTTCACAGTAAATTTAACTAAGGAGATAAAAAATCTGTACATAGAAAACTATAAGAGATATATGAAAAAAATTAAGAAGATACAAATAAATGGAAAGACATCTTACGTTTATGGATTAGGAGAATTTATTTGTTTATTTGTTTAGAGATGAGGTCTTGCTCTGTCACCCAGGTTTATTCCAGCCTTGAACTCCTGGTCTCAAGCAATCCTTCCACCTCAGCCTCCAAAACTGTTGGAATTATAGGCATGAAGTAAGCCACCATGACAAAATGAAAATTAATACTGTTAAAATGTCCATATTACCCAAAATTCCAGTTACAATTTTCACAGAAACAGAAAAAAACTATCCTAAAATTATATGGAATTATAAAAGACTCCCAATAGCCAACACAATCTTGAGCAAAAAGAACAAAGTAGGAGACACATAAAATCAGATTTTAAAATATATTACAAAGCTACAGTGATCAAACAGCATGGTATTGGCATAAAAACAGACACATAGACCAAGAGAAAAGAGCAGAAAGCTGAGAAATAAATTCCCTCATTTATAGTCAATTGACTTTCAACAAAGGTGCCAAGAACAGGGAATGGGAAAAGGAATAGTCTCTTCAATAAATGGTGCTAGGAAAACTGGATATCCATTTGCAGACTGAAATTGGACCCCTATTTTACACCATGCACAAAAATTTAGTCAAAATGGATTGATGACATTAACATAAGTCCGGAAACCATAAGACTACCAGAAGAGAGCACAGGGGAAAATTTTCATTACATTGGTCTGGGCAATGTTTTTTTCAAAATGACACCAAAAGCACAGGCAACAAAAGCAAAATAGACAAATGAGATTACCTCAAACTAAAAATCTTCTGCACAGCAAAGAAAAAAATCAACAGAGTGAAGAGCCAGCCTGTGAATAAGAGAAAATATTTGCAGACCATACAACTTAATATATCCAAAATATATAAAGAATTCAAACACCTCAATAGCAAGAAAACAAATAACCCAGTTAAAAACCTGGCAAAGGAGCTAAAAAGATAACTTCTCAAAAGAAGACCTACAAATGGCCAACAGGTACAGGAAAACATGCTCAATATTTAACTAGTTTTTTTTTAATGCTGAATAGTCTTCCATTATACACACACACACACACACACACACACACATATGATATTATCTTTATTCATTCATCCCCTAATAGACATTTAAGTTGAGTCCATGTTTTGGCTATCGTAAATAATGAGGCAAAGAACATGAATGTGCCGGTATCTCTTCCACATACTAACTTCATTTTCTTTAGATATATGCCCAGTATTTGGATTGCTGGATCATATGTTAGTTCTGTTTTTAATTGTTTGAGGAATTTTTGTATTTTTTTCCAAAATAGTTGTATTAATTTAGATTTCCACTAACAGTGTGCAGGAGTTCCCTTTTCTCCGAATCCTAGCCAACACTAATTCTATTTTATTTTAAGTTTCACTCTTGTTGCCCAGGCTGGAGTGCAATGACACGATCTCGGCTCACTGCAACCTCCACCTCCCGGGTTCAAGCGATTCTCCTGTCTCAGCCTCCCAAGTAGCTGGGATTACAGGTGCCTGCCACCACGCTTGGCTAATTTTTTTGTATTTTTAATAGAGATGGGGTTTCACCATGTTGGCCAGGCAGGTCTCGAACTCCTGATATCAGGTGATCCACTGGCATCGGCCTCTCAAAGTGCTGGGATTACAGGAATGAGTCACCATGCCCAGCCCCAACACTAATTCTAATAGTTATGGGTTAATAGCTCATTGTGGCTTTAATTTCTATTTCCCTGATGATATGTGATGTTGAGCGTTTAGGTTACTATTTTTTTAATTTTAGGTTCAGGGGTCCCAGTGCAGGTTTGTTATACAGGTAAACTTATGTCAAGTGGGTTGGTTGTACAGATTATTTTGTCACTCAGGTACTAAGTCTAGAACTCAATAATTAATTTTTGTGCTCCTCTCCCTCCTTTCACTCTCTAACCTCAAGGAGGCCCCAGTGTCTGTTTTTCCCTTCTTTATGTTCATAAGTTCTCATCTTTTAGCTCCGACTTATCAGCGAGAACACGCGGTATTTGGTTTTATATTCCTGCATTAATTTGCTGAAGATAATGGCCTACAGCTCCATCCATGTTCCTGCAAAAGACATAGATCTTGTTCTCTTTTACGGCTGCATTGTGTCCCATGGTGTATATGTATGGCATTTTCTTTATCAAATCTCTCATTGATGGGCATTTAGGTTGATTCTGTCTTTGCTATTGTGAATAAAGCTGAGGTTGGGTTCCTTGAGGCTGGAGGATTAGGGGCATACTGAACATAGTTCTGATGATAGCCCACCATGGTCTAAAGGCAAGACTATATTAAAATGGCTGTTTTTTTCTTATCTGGGCACAAGGGAAGTTTTATAAGGCTTTAGGTCATTAACTCATGCCTTATTATTTCAGAACATAATCCATTCTGTAATTGTAAAACATGGAAAATAATAGTACCATATCACATAGTTTTTATGTCATTCAAATGAGAATACATATGATGATATAGTCAGTGTTTGGCATGTAGTAAGTGCTCAATAAAAGTTGGTTATTCTATGGTTGATACTATTTCTGACAGCATGTTTTTTATGCTCATTTGTTATTACATCCAAATAATAAATTTACAAACAATATTACTACAGCAAAAGAAAAAATAGTTTTAAAGCTTATTCTATATTTGGCTAAATGGCCATGCTGTGGTAATTTGTGACTTACACTCTCTTTTAATGACTCATTATCTTTCTTGAGCTAATCTTTCTGAAACCTGCCCGGCAACTTTTCGCAAGAATACTTTTTCCTTTTGTTTGAAAATACTTTTGTCTAGACTGTTTCTTTAACAACACTCATGGAAAGAAGTCAGAAAGCAGTAGTTATTAAATGTAGAAATGACAAATTCTAGAGAAGACATTTAAAACAAACATTATTTCAAATGATGGAAACGGTATATGTGAAAACCCAGAGTAGCTGTATCAGCATAATGGTGGGGCACCGCAGACGGGGAGAATCAGGACCTGCTGTTAACATAGCTGACCCATAAAGAGAAGCAGAGCTAGAGATGCTCTACATTCTGAAATGTATCGCACACTCTGTGAGTCCCGGTTATTCCATGCTCAGATTGCTTTTTGTCTCTCTCACCTTCACTAAAACCCAACTTCTATTATGTAATGTTATCCAATTGTGTTTCCATTTCCTGACACTTGAAAGAAACCTAACTCTGCCAGGATGTGCAAAGTGGCAGCAGGATATTAGCCAGGCTGATAATAAACAAGCATGAGGGGCCTTCCATCAACACTACAACTATGAGCCACATTCTGCAGACACTGGGAAGGCATGGTACTTTAAACAGGAGATTGATGCTGTGTATTGATGGGGTCAAATAAGTGGCTTTGCCTCTTTTGTTGTTGTTTTATAATAACGCAGAAGCAGTAAAAGGTAGAAAAACAAAGTGGGATGGAGAAAATTGGAGTTAGAAAGAAAGAAATGTTAAGAAAGGGATCCATCAGAGAGAAATTGAAGTTAGAATGACCCAAAGCTTTAGATTAACTAACATCCAAATTAATCCTTAGACTTTAGGTGTGAATTATAATAAAATAAACTATACTTGAGAATGAAGGAGGAGAAGTGGTAGACTCATGGCTTACAATGAATTATGATAAAAAAAGAGAAGATTCAACTTTGGACATACTAAATGTGAGATGCTTTAGGGACACATTGGTGTAAATGTCTTCTAGAAAGTTGGATATTCGGGTTTGAATCATAGTAAAGGGATCTTTCTCAAAATAACAGATTGAGTGCTATCAGTCTTTAAGCATAAAAAAGAAGCTGTGTGCCTCTTTCACTGAGAAACCACTATATTTATAGCAGCAACAGAGGCCACAGATTGTCTCCAAGCCATGCTCACAGAATCAAATCTATCACTAGAAGACATTCTAGAAAAGGAAAAACTCCACAGCATTTCTAAGAAGGAAGAACAAATCTTGACCATATTTTGCATTAATGCAATCTAAAATAGATACTTAAAAGAACTGTTTTCTGAATCTTAGAAAACGACATAATAGAAATTACACAAATGCTAAATATTCATTTTTTAATGTAAGTTATTTTTAGTTGCTAAGTTAAAAAAAGTTTCTGTCTATACAATAAAATCAAAGACTATGTTTTCCACATTTTTGTGGAATTTACATTTGTAACCAACAGAGTCTGTCCCTAATTAAAAAACAGTTGATTTTAATTATAATTGTAGTTATGGAGTACATTTTCTCTTAAAACCAAAACAAATATTTGCATTTTTAGATGAGAAAAGTCAACTATCAAAATAATTATAAAATTAAATAATATTTATAAATTCACTAAGTTTACTAAAATAATTTCTTGGTTATTTTTATGTATTTCATTCCTTGCAACTTTGGTTTTATTTATAATTTGACTACACACAAAGAATAAAGAGTCCTTTTTTTGCATAAGACAAATAAGTGAAATGCTTATTAAAAGAGCTTGCTTCTATAATTAACAAAATACTACTCATTCTAATAAAAGTTTTGTGTCTTTTTTTATCTTACTCTAAGAGACTGTTGCTGACCAAATGAACTACATATACCAGGGGTATATAACATATGCTATAGAAAATACTAGAAAGATCACCAAGGGATCCCAAAGAGTAAGTGTGTTTTTACAAGAATCCAGGAAATTAAAGGAATATCTAAGCAACAAGATAAAACCAAGACAACAAAAATCATCTTTTAAATAATTAACTATAGAATGTAATATTTGCAGCAAAATATGGCTGAAATGGAACACATGTAAAAGCTTAAACTATCTGTAATTCACATAGAAACAAATTAAATGATTAATGACTAAATTTTGCTGAGATTGGCAGAGATTAAATTTAAATGTGTCTGACCCAAGCCACTCTAATTTTCACATTGTATTTACTTGAAAATGGCTCTATTTAAATAACAAATGTTCCTCTTGGTTATCATAAATGTCCATCTTCTGTCATAACCAAATCAAAAGATAACAATAATAATAAAACAAACAAGAATAAGATATGATGAGCTATTTTGAACAATATTAACTTTAATCCTAAAATATGATTTCAAATAAATTATATTAAGCCTCACATTCCTGAAAACTGCTATTTTCTTTTATGATAGACAAACGATTATGCCACGAGTATAGCGGAAAGACACCATTTTCAGACCATAATGTTAGGAAAAATGATAAGCCCTCCACCCACTGCACTGATTTTTCAGGGCCTAAGATTATGCAAAAAAAGGACTCTTTATTCTTTTTGTGTAGTCAAATTATAAAAAACAAGAACTTATCACTACCCTAAACACAATTTTAGAGCAAGGAGAATAAAGAAAAAATATCAAATTAATAAAACAAAAATAAATGCACAATAAATCAAATGAAGTAATTGAACGGAGGTTAAACGTTATGGAAAACACAGGAAGCATTTCCACTGAGATCAGGAACAAAACAAAGATACCCACTACCTCCATTATTATTCACCATTTTACTAGAGGTATTAACCAGTACAATTAGAAACTGAAATCAGTCAAAGACATTGCAAAATGAGGAAGTAAAACAATCTGTAGTTGCAGGTGATATGATATCTAGAAAATCTTAGAAAATCAATGATAACACAAAGTCATAAACAAACAATTCAGTGAAGTAGTAAGGTAAAGTTTAGTGTACAAAATAAATTGTCTTATATACAAAAAAAAGTAAACTAAAGAACATAAGAGTTGAGAAAAACACATTTATAATAGCATCAGAGAAGATTTAATAAGTAGGAAAAGATTTAAAAAAGAAATGTGCAAACCCAGTACAAAGAAACATTTTTTAAAAATTGTACGCTAATAGCTTGAGTGTTCTTTTTCTCTTTCTCTGCTAGTTTTCCATCTAAAAATCAGAACCAATGTAGAATTACACTTAATTGTAAGAAATTCTGTTTTTGTGCCTGCCCAAAGATAATTTTGTCTTTTCAACTCTGTGGCTTTGAGAGGTTTACTTGAAAGCAGTTAGTATTCACAGGACAAAATATCAACCTTATAATCGGTAATTTAATAGTGTAAAGTATTGAATTGTAACAAGAGTTTTTCATTAATAAAACTACATAAACACAATTTTTTTTAGATTCTTCGTTAAATGAAAGCAAATATGTGTATGTATTCTGGGAGTAAATATTTTTTGTATGTCGAAGGTATATTAAAAATAAGAGAAAATTTGGAAAACATGTAATTTGAAAATGTCTGGCATTCAAAAATATACTAAATGTAAATGATCTCTAAACCAGTCTATAAAGGCTCAATTCATACCTTTCATACTTCAAAAAGAATGTCAGAAGTGTAAGATGGTTTTCTGGACTGAAGTTACCTAAATTAAGTAAGGAAAGGCTGATTCTGTCCTCCATGTCGGAGCTTTACCAAAGCTTCAGGTCTAAAGAGAAGAACTTAAGTTTGGTTTTTTTTTTCTATTTGTTATTTTAAAGTCTTTATTTGAGGTTATCTGTTTTTGAAAAGCAGCCCCACATTTCTTCCATAGCAAGTAAAGGCTTCGGGAAATAATATGCTTAGTATATCCCAGGGACTAACAGACACAATTGAGAAATTTGGCAGAAAATGAACATAATAATGTTTTCTAAAAGATTATTTTCTTATCTCAACTAAGATTCAAATAAGAAGCCCAGTATCTGGTAAGCTTTTGTGAATTTTGTCATGACCATATCCTATAATTGGGAATCTTCATATCCAGTAAGTTGCCCTGAAGAAAATGACATTGCTGTTCTTCTTTGTAACAATTACATAGTTACCACAAAACACAAAATTGGGAGAGTGGTCCTGTCATATTTTAAATCATGCAAAATTTTTCTTAGAATTTTCTAGATATGACTTGTTATATTTTTTTCTTATACCAAAAAAAGTGGGGAAAGGGAGCTTTCTGGGAATTATACAAGATATCTGAGAATAACTCATAAGGATATTGAAAATTCTCTATCTATCTATCTATCTATCTATCTATCTATCTATCTATCTATCTATCTGGTTAGAATAGAAGCAACCCAGAGAATAAAGTGAATTTATTAAAAGGCACTGATAATTTTAATATAATATAGATTAATTTTGACAAAAAAGAATTTATTTATACAATAGACTTTTAAGGTGAGAAAAGAACACTAAAACTGTCTGTCATCAAAAATATTATTCAAACAAATACAACATAGGTAAATTTTATTCAAAATTTCATAAGACTTCTGTTTGTTCATCTTGCCTGTCACTATTGTTAGTAAACTGTTTGTAATTCTATCTGGGATGCAAGGTATTTTGCAGTTCAGTTTTGAATAGTTAGGGTTTGGTTTTATTTCCAGGGAGTAGATTCACAAATGATGACTTAGGAGGATTATCTGCACCTCCATTCTTTGGTACCAATTTATAGGAGTTGATTCAAGAGCCAAAAAGAGGGAAGAAAGGGATGGATACTCTATTTAGTGGCCAAATTTGAATTTTAGTTCTTGTTGAGTTATAGGATATATAATAGAGCACATCAAACAACAGAAAGGGGGAAGAGAGCATTCCTAAGCTTCAGTAAAAATAAAGTTTAAATTAAAATACAAGCATGGGTTTTGGCTTCTTGAAGCCTGTACTTTTGCTGTGATCTGAATATTTGTCCCCTCCCCCACCCCCACAAAAAGAAAAAAAAAGAAAAAACGATCTGTTGAAATTTTTGGGGAAAAGCCAGAATTTGGTATTTGGGTGTGCTAGAGTGGCTGATAACTGGGGAAAGGAGAGAGTCTGTGGTGTGGTATCTCACCCCTTCTAATTCCTGACTGATTCCTAAACCATAAATATGTGGTACTAGCATACAAATAGCTTGGAGAAGTACAAGAACTGGAAGGCTAAAAATTTTCAGTAGAAATTTCTGATGCTGTTGAACAAAAGGATACAGATGGAGTTGGAGAGGATTAGTTAAAAACCATTGAGTATCTGCTGAAATCTCATTAAGCACACTTTAGAAAGGAACACATGCCTGGACTTAGGGCTATGCTCCTGGCCTAAGAACAAAAATAAAATAACAAAGCTTAAAAACAATACTGCACAAGATCAACTCTGCTACACGATTAAAAAAAAAAAAGAGGGTGGGGGTTCAACACTCTCACATAAACATAACAGAAGCCTTAGCCTCTATAATACTACATCTCAATATGCAAGATGTAACTTAAACATTACTAGACATGGAAAATCAAACATAATTTGACTTGGAGCCTAGCGAAAAATCAGCCAATAGACATAGATCCATGAATGAAATATTTATTAGAAGCCAAAGATTTAAAATCAGGAAAATACATGGTGATTCATGCCTGTAATCTAACATTTTGGGAGGCCAAGGTGGAAGGACTGCTTGAGCCCAGGAGTTCAAGACTAGCCTGGGCAATATAGGGAGACCCCATCACTACAAAAAATTTAATAAATTAGCCATGTGTGGTGGCATGTGCCCATGGTCCCAGCTCCTTTGGAGGCTGAGGCAGGAGGATCGCTTGTGTCCAGGATGTTCAGGCTGCAGTGAGCCATGTTTGTCCCACTGCACTCCAGCCTGGGCAGCAGAGTAAGACCTTGTCTCAAAATATTAACATAAATAAAATAAAAGAAGGAAAACAAATATATCAAAGATTTCACAGAAAATTATAGATGTAATAGGTGAACATATGGACTTTTACGACAGATGTAAAATATTAAAAAAGAACTAAATCAAAATACAAAACTAAAAAAATTGAATGCCTAAATTTTAAAAATCTATTGCAATTAACAACAGATTAGACACAAAATTATAAACCATCCATGCCATTGAAGACTGGTGAATAGAAATTACCCGAACATAAACACAAGAAAAAATAATACGGATAACCAAATGACCAAAGTTTCAATGCAATAGCACATTACCTACTGCCTACAGAGCCGGGAGAGTAACAATGAATGTTGGCTTCTCATCAGAAAGAATGGAGGCCAGGAGAGAGTAAAATGACAGCTTTAAAGTGCCAAGAGGATAAAAACAAAAGAAGACAAACTAAACTGTGCAAGGAGAGAGAGGGCAACTGCTTCTGTTCCCTAATATGGTATATCAGGAACTAAATTAAAGAACTAGAATACCAGACAATATGTTTGAAACAATATTTTCTAGACATTGTGATAGCAGCAAGAGGTAGTCAAATGCCTATGCAAATAGGGGCAGGTCCTCAGTGAAGCCACATCTTCAAGCCAAGACAGTTTAAAGCCTGAAAGCCAAGCTACAAGTCAAATCCATGCACCAGATTGAGAACCTCTCTTCCCGGTGGCGCACTTCCCTCTGATTGAGCCTCATCCTCCACCTCTTTTACATATACCTACCCTTCCCTAATTGTTTTTTTTACACTGTCATGCCTACCTTTGAGTGGTGCCTTTGTTTTAGCTTTTTTGCGTACCCACAAACCAACCATCAGGCACTCCCCCATTCTGAGCTCATAAAAGTCCTGCACACAGCCACAGTGGGCGAAAAACCACTGACTTTGGGTGAACCACCCTCGCATCCCCTCTGAACTGAGAGCTGTTCTGTCGCTCAACAAAATTCTTCTCCACCCTCCTCACCCTGCAATTGTCAGTGTAACCTCACTCTTGGACATGCAACAAGAACCTGGGACCCACTGAACAGCAGGGGCAAAAGGAACTGAAAGCTGTGGTCCTCCCATCCTTCACTAGTGCTAAGCAGCTGCCCCACTTGGAAGTTGGTGGCAGCAGGGATGGGTCAGCCCAGGAGTCTTGGGCCAGAACGGGGTGATGGAAACACTACCTAGAAGGTACTATACTTATTACCTGGGTGATGAAAAAATCTGTACACTAAACCCCCGTGACACAGAATTTATCTGTATAACAAACCTGCACATGTACCCCTGAGCCTAAAATAAAAGTTAACAAAAAAGAAGAAGAAATAGAATTGGAGGAAGGAAACAAAACAATAAAGAGAAAATAACTTGTTAAGTTAAAAAAAAAAAGAGAGAGAGAGAGAAAAGAGAAGGGACTGCAGTTTGGACAGGTGGCTACAATATGCTAGGTAGAGAACTAGAAAGGAGGCAAAGATCTGCCTGTTAGTGTGCCCTACTAATCTGCAGAGGGGTCCATTTGAGTCTTTGGCAGAGTCTTAACATGTGAGTGAATGAAAGGTCACTACCTAAGACCTAGGAAATAATGGCTCTTAAATAGTAATAGTGATAATTATTACTTTTATTGCTTAATGATATTTTATGAAAATATCAGTCAGCAATGTAATGAAATAAAACTAAAACAAAAAATCATAATAAACTGGCCTTTCACAACAGGCTACCCAACAAATACTATGACTGTTTAGCCATTCTTATGAAGAAACTGCTTAAAGTAACTTCAGTTATTTGAAGGCCTACTATGTGCCAGGCACTAGACATTTGCTCCTCATGTAATCCTGCTGAAGTAGGTGATGGGGAACCTGGTATTCACAGAAGTATATTTATTTGAGTGGAGCAAATGAATCCTGTGTTCTAACTCTTAGGAAACAAAGCATGGGAAAGGAGTAACTCAGACACCATAGAGACTAGTATTATTTATAAACATATGTGTAAGAGCAGTTCTAGATAGTAAATATGGTAAAAGAACACCTGGAAAATACCTAGCCCAAATATTTATGTTGATTTTCTTGAGTTTTCTTTGAATTGAATTATTTTTCTCAATATCTCCACATTATTCAAAACTTTCCTTATTACTGGAAGGAAGTGTTTCAGAATATGCTCTGGGCAAAGTGATAGTGATGCTTTTTATTCTTAGGCTGTTGCATCCACAGGCATAAACACTGACATATGTCAACAATGCCACAGCCCTGATTTTCTAGACATAGCAGTTACCCAGTTTTTGATTGGGTTCCTCACACTTTACCACAATATCCATTCCGTGAAATAAACAGGCAGAAGAAAATGTTTTTCCTGACTAACGTGTTCTAGTACAGTTTCAAATACATTTCTTCTTCTAACCTAATATATCTCAATGTGACTCCATTGTGAGGATGTGATTTAAATAAAACAACAAATGTAAATACTATGTCATTCAATCTGGGCCACTGTGTATGTAACTTCTGATAATGTGGTATAGGGTTTTCGTTTTAGGGAATTGTATATGCATGACATCTTGGGATATTTAGAAACAAACAAAGATGTTAATCTAAATTCATTTTCAGTCTAGAGGTAAGGTGTTTCGAAACAAAGGCTTGCTTCATTTGATTGCACTTTGTTTTACTGCACTTTGCAGACACTTCATTTTTTACAAATGAAAGGATTGTAGCAACTCTGCATCAACCATGCTTGATGGTGCAATTTTTTCCAACAGCCTGTGCTCATATTGTGCCTTTGTGTCACACTTTGGTAATTCTCATCATATTTTAAACTTTTTCATCATTATTATATATGTTATGGTGATCTGTGATCAGTGATCTTTTATGTCACTAATGTAATTGCTTTGGGGTGACATGGACTCCACCCATGTAAGATAGCAAACTTAAGCAATAAATGTTGTGTGTATTCTGACTGCTGCACTGACTAGCCATTTCCCCATCTTTTTCCCTCGCCTCAGACCTCACTGTTTTCTGAGACACGACAATATTAAAATTAGGCCAAGGAGTAATCTTACAATGGCCTCTAAGTGTTCAAGTGAAATGAAGACTCATACGTCTCTCATTTTAAATCAAAAGCTAGAAATGATTAAGCTTAGTGAGGAAGGCATGTTGAAATCCAAGACAGGTCAGAAGCTAGGCCTCTTGTGCCAGTCAGCCAAGCTGTAAATGCAAAGGAAGAGTTCTTGAAAGAAATTAAAAGTGCTACTCCAGTGAATGCTACAGATAAATGATAAGTTAAACAGCCTTATGGCTGATATGGAGAAAGTTTGAGAGGTCTGGATAAAAAAAGCAAACAAGCCACAACATTTCCTTAGCCCAAATCTGATCCCAACAAGATCTCAACCTTCTTCAATTCTATGAAGGCTGAGAGAGGTTAGGAAGTTGTAAAAGAAGAGCTGGAAGGTAGCAGAGATTGGCTTATGAGGTTTAAGCAAAGAAGCTGGATCTATAGCATAAAAATGCAAGATGAAGTAGCAAGTGCTAAGTAGAAATTGCAGCAAGTTATCTAGAAGATATCTAGAAGATCTAGCTGAGGTCATTGATATAAGTGGATACACTACAAAACAGATTTTCATTGTAGACAAAACAGCCTTTCACTGGAAGATGATGCAATGTAGAACCTTCATAGCTAGAGAGGAGAAGTCAATGCCTAGCTTCAAGGCTTTTTTTAAAAAAAAGACTAATTTTCTTGTTAGGGGCTAAATGAAGCAGGCAATTTGAAGTTGAAGCCAGTGCTCATTGACCATTCTGAAAATCCTGGGCCCCCATGCTAAATCTATTCTGCCTGTGCTTTATAAATGAAACAACAAAGCCTAATGACAGCACGTCTGTCTACAGCATGGGTTACTGAATATTTTAAACCCACTGTTACGACCTATGGCTCAGAAAAAAAGAAAGATTCATTTAAAAATATTACTGCTCATTGAAAATGCATCTGGTCACCCAAGAGCTCTGATAAAGAGGTACAAAGTGATCAGTGTTTCTATGCCCACTAATACAAAAGCATTCTGCAGCTCATGGGTCGAGGAAAGGATTCACCATTCCAGATTCCATTAACAACATTTGAGATTCAAGGGAGGAGGTAAAAACATCAACATTAACAGGAGTGTGGAAGAAGTTGATTCCAACCCTCATGGATGACTTTGAGGGGTTCCAGACTTCAGAGGAGGAAGTAACTGCACATGTGGTAGAAATAGCAAAAGAACTAGAATTAGAAGTAGAACCTGAAAATGTAACTGGATTGCTGCAATCTCATGATAAAGCTTGAGTGGATAAGAAGTTGTTTCTTATGAATGAGCAAAGAAAGTGGTTTCCTGAGATGAAACCTACTCTTGGTGAAGATGCTGTGAACATTGTTGAAATGCCAACAAAGGATTTAGAATATTCCATATTGGTTGGTAAAGCAGCATCAGAGCTTGAGAGGATGGACTCCAATTCTGAAAGAAGTTCTACTATGTGTAAATGCTATCAAACAGCATTGCATACTACAGAGAAATATTTTGTGAAAAGGAGAATCAATCAATGCAGCAAATTTAATTGTTGTCTTATTTTTGAAAACTTTCACAACCACCTTGCTGTCTTATGCTTGGAAATTTCCACAGCCACCCTTACCTTCAGTAACCACCACCCTGATTGATCAGCAGCCACGAATGCCAAGGCAAGACCCCTTACAAGTAAAAAGATTATGACTCACTGAAGTATCAGATGACTGTTAGCATTTTTTAGCAATAAAGTATTTTTAAATTAAGGTTTGTACATTTTTTTAGACATAATGCTATTGCAGACTTAAAAGATTACAACATAGTGTAAATATAAATTTTATAGGTACCAGGAAACCAAAAAAATCTGTGACTTGCTTTATTGCAGTATGTGCTTTATTACAGTGGTCCGGAATTGAAGCCACAGTATCTGTGAGGTACATCTGTACTATATAGGACTCAGAATATGCATTTTAACACATGGTAACATTCCTCAAATACCAAATGCAAGGCCGGGTGCAGTGACATTCACCAATAGTACCAGCTACTCAGGAGGCTGAGGTGGGAGGATCACTTGAGGACAGGAGTTCAAAGCTATAGTGTGCACTGATCATGCCTGTGAATAGCCACCGCACTCCAGCCTGGACAACACAGCAAAGACCCCGTCTTAAAAAATACAAAAGTATGTTTTTGACAAAGCTAATTGCCCAGTTAAATGATGGGGTGAGATAGGTTCATTTCCTTTTTTTTTTTTTTTTTTTTTGAGATGGAGTCTCACTCTGTCACCCAGACTAGAGTGTACTGGCACGATCTTGGCTCACTGCAACCTCCACCTCCCGGAGTCAAGCGATTCTTCTGCCTCAGCCTCCCGAGTAGCTGGGATTACAGGTGCCTGCCACTGTGCCCAGCTAATTTTTGTATTTTTAGTAGAGACGGGATTTCGCCACGTTGGCCAGGTTGGTCTCGAACTCCTGACCTCAAGTGATCCACCTGCTTCGCCCTCCCAAAGTGCTGGGATTACAGGTGTGAGCCACCGCTCCTGGCTGATAGGTTCGTTTCTATGCAGAGTCATTTCTGTAATGATAGTTACACTACATACTTTTGGATTTATCCTACTGAAATGGTTTCTTCTTTGAAGATACACTGGGTTGGATGATTTGTTTTCAAAAATGCTTCCTGATAGAAGAGAAAAAGATATTGTTCTTCACTGTAGATTTTCTTGGTGAACTGCTATTTGTCTCTTGTTGCAATTATTTTTAAATAACTTGGAAACCTCAACTGTGATGTTCCTTTAAAAATGAAATATGATAAGAGACACAGATTCTTCTAAGTACATATATGCTTTTAATGTCTAGGTAAAATGTTGTCGATCCATTAGCAAAACTAGAGTGTGTCTTCATCACTCCATAAAGGCAAATTGTTTTTCTCGTACCTGATAGCTCTATTTAATAAGGTATATTTGACAAAGTGGTAAGAAAATGTTTATTTGTGGACTACTAATTTGGTAAATGCTACCTAAGCTTGCTTTACTAACTACTAACATTTATATGTGCATATACCAATAAACATGTATACATAGATGAATACACATATAAGTGAACTCACTCCATCCTACATGTACTTACACAGCAGTACTTTTACTTTGTTTCAAAATATTTATATTCATTAAAAGCATAGTTTACAGCCCAATTTATATTAATAAAATAAAGTCCTTTATTTTAAGCATAGACTAAAAATCACTTTTACTGATACACAATTTTATCAAATAATTTTGAACACCTTGATGCAATGTGTAACTCCCTGGGGCAACGTGTGTTACCAAATTTGACTTGAATTGGTGGTTCAGGTTATGGTAGGAGAATGCAGAAGTTTCATTTTCAATCTTTCTTCCCCCTTCTTCTACTAAACACCAGATAAAACAACTAGGATAACTAAATTAAAACTAACAGCAAACTTGGATGACATCTTCAAATGTTGTCATAGAAATTCCACCTGAAAACATGGCTTGAAAGTAGCAAGTCACTCCCAAAGATGGCAGGAGCAGAGGGTTTTTAAATCAAAGGAACAGGAGTGGTAATGATGGATCCTACAATCACAGAATTTCAGAAATAACAAACATGCCTGGCAGAAACGTTACGGCTACACCCTGCATATGGCAAATGGGTCTGCAATAGAGCAGTGAAACTGAGTTAGTAAGAGGAAAATTCTTTGCAGACTCCAATTTGAGTGTGTCATCAAAGGCACTACAAAAGGGCAGACTTCACAGGGAGTAGCTAACGACCTCAGGAAGACCAAAAAGTTCTGAGGTGGTATACACGAAGATTTCAGAAATATCTAGCAAATATTTGCAGACAGTACATTGAGACTGCTCAGGGAAGGAGAGCTAAGATAATGTGGAGAGAGAGGGATCAGAGAGTAGAGAAAAAGTGTTCCAGAGAAAGGAAATCTCAGCAAGTATCAATAAAATACAGTTTTAAAGGTCAGAGTTTGGCCGGGCACAGTGGCTCACACCTGTAATCCCAGTACTTTAAGAGGCCGAGGTGGGCGGATCATTTGAGGTCAGGAGTTCAAGACCAGCCTGGTCAACATGGTGAAACCGTGTCTCTACCAAAATACAAAAAAAAAAAACTTGGCATGGTGGCTCATGCTTGTAGTCCCAGCTACTTGGGAGGCTGAGACAGGAGAATTGCTTGAACCTGGGAGGCAAGTTTGCAGTAAGCAGACATCATGCCACTGCACTCCAGCCTAGGCAACAGTGAGACTCTGTCTCAAAAAAAAAAAAAAAAAGTTCAGGGCTTATCTGTGAAAGTCAAGTTTTGGTTGCCCTGAGACCAAGATATCTCACACATATCTTGGTGTAACAATCTAAAGACAAAGTTATTCTATGTGATGAGAAAGAGCCCTGGGATCTGCACCTGAAGGTTTGCAGACGTTGCTATGGTTGACTACAATTCTTTTTCCTGCTGTACTGTATCTTTACCTTTCTTAAAGCTTTATTATAGAATTTTCTATGGAGTCTTGTGAGTTCTCTTTTTAGTCTTCTTAGTCCTTTCAATTATCTGGCCATGTGTTATTGCTACATGGACTTTCATGAAGGATAAGATTGTACAGATTGCTAGGACTTCATTGAGTTTACAGATCACATTGTATCAACTGGACTGTGTCTGCTAAAATCTGTATTATGCTTGCTAATATACTACTTGTTAACGTACTGATGACCAGCCAAACCTATATCCAAATCCCAAATCACTTTCTGGAGTTAAAATAGTTTTAACCAAACATCTAAATTAGGATGGCTTAAGTGAATCTCACTTTCAATATTTCTAAAACTGAACTTATAAACTTTTCCCTTGGATATACACTCCTATGACTCTCAGTTTCTATTGTTGTTTCCTTGCAGTGGGATCTAGAAGTGCCCAGGTTTGGCCCATAATTTTACCATAGATTCAACTACTTTTCAATTCTCCATTCCCTCTCCACATTCAGGCACCCTCATTTCAGGTCCTTAAACACAGAAGAACTGATTACTTTGTCTGCCTAGACTATTGTTCAGTTTGATTGCTTCCAAGTGAGCTAAGGCCACAGAAGCAAGGGGCATTTTTTTATATATAAAGAGTTCTGGTAGCTTTTTAAAAATAACCCACAAACACTAGAGCAGTGATTACCATCCAGCTCTGACAAAAGAGCATGATTACTTATGAAGCATTCACATCATAAATTCCTTCCATGTCTCCGGGGAGACTTGTCCTCTCTGGTACACATCTCCCTAGATCAGGAAAAAAAACAACAACTTTAATCTCTAGTAGAGCATCTCTTCTTTTTAGGGAAATATGGCTCCAGAGTCAGACCAACTGGCTCCTCCACTTTATCTCTGACAATTCACATCATCTTTAAAGGCCTGTTTCTAATTCATAAAAGAGAATAAAATGATAGAAAATATCTAATAAAGTTATTGTGAAGATAAAATGATTTTCTAAGGAAAAATGGATAATAGCAATTTCATGATAAATTATATATGAATGTGTTATAATATTTCAAAAAATACTCATTTCTACTTGAATGGACTACTCAACGTTTTCTAAATATATCTGAGTCTCATATATATATATGTTTGGTTATATATGATATAAAATGATTTTCTAAGGATAAATAAATGGATAATGGTAATGTCGTGATAAATTATATATGAATGTATTGTAATTATTATTTCAAAAAATATTCGGCCAGGTGCAGTGGCTCACGCTTCTAATCCCAGCACTTTGGGAGGCCGAGGCCAGCCAATCACCTGAGGTCAGGAGTTCGAGACCAGCCTGGCTGACATGGTGAAACCCCATCTCTACTAAAAATACAAAAAAAAAAAAAATTTGCTGGGCATAGTGGTGGGCGCCTGTAATCCCAGCTACTCAGGAGGCTGAGGCAGGAGAATTGCTTGAACCCAGGAGGTAGGGGTTGCAGGGAGCCGAGATCACACCATTGCACTCCAGTCTGGATGACAAGAATGAAACTCCATCTCAAAAAAAAAACATTTCTACCTGAATGGACTACTGAAAGTTTTCTAAATATATCTGAGTCTCTAATGTGATCTTCAAAACCATTTTATCTTGCATTCACGTTTAGGATAATTTCAATCCTACTCAGGAAAATCAATTTGAACTTGATGCTTTCCTGAAATATTAGAGTGTAACAACCTCTTCTTCCCCTCTAAACCAAAAAGTACTTATTCATATATTGCATTTGGCATTGTATTGTAATTTAACTTTCCAAACATTTTATATGTGTGTGTGTGTGTGTGTGTGTGTGTGTGTGTGTGTGTTTGGTTATATATAGAATATATACATGATGCCTATATATAACCATATAAATATCCTATGTATAACCACATATATATATGTTCCTACATATATATATCACATAGTTAAATTATACAAAGCAATATAGTTAAATTATATATAAAACTATAAATTATATTTCTAATTAAATTCTCTATATAAATTATTGAATATATTTCTAGTTAAATTATAAATTTTCTTTTTTTTTTTTTTTTTTTGAAACAGGGGCTCCGTCACCCAGGCTGGAGTAGAGTAGCATGATCATAAACATAGCTCATTGCAAACTTAAACTCACTTAGCTTCCCCAAATATTAATACTTTATAAAATCATAATGCAATTGTGAAAACACAAAATTAATGTTGGGACAGTAGTATTAACTAATCTGCAAACTTTATTCAACCTACCAGTTATACTACTAATGTCCTTTTTCAGGCGCAGTCCCACAATGCATTTCACTTCATGTCTCCTTAATCACCTCCAATCCAGAAGAGATTTGTCTTTCATGATTTTGACATGTTTAAATGATACTGTCCAGTTATTCTGTAGATATCTCTAAATTTGGGTTTGGTTTTTATTGTGAATAAATTCTGATTGTGCAGATACCACACGTATAACATCATGTCCTTCTCAGTGCATAATATCAAGCAAGGTGTCATATTAATATTTCTGCAGTAAATATAACATTGATCATTTGGTTAAGGTGGAATCTGACAAGTTTCTCCACTATGATTTTTGCCTTTGTAATTTATGCATATTTTCTTGGGAGATCATTTGACACTATGCAATTAACCTATTTTTAATCATACTTTTATTCATTAAGTGTAGCATCTACTGATAATTCTTGCCTACAGCAAATAATAGGGTAATGTTCACTAAGTGTTTATTTTATATTTTCATAATTTCTTCATTTATTGATTGGAATTCTACTGTAAGGAAGAACAATTCTTTCACTGCCATTTATTTATTCATTCAATTATTTATATATATCAACACAGACTTATGGATATTTATTTTTCCCATGGTTACAATCTATTACTATTATTGTTGCTCAGTTATTTTTCAGGTTTGGCCATTGGAAGCTTCTCCAAACTAGCTCCACATACTTTTGACATGCCCCTATCATGTATTGAGCATTTTATTTGTTACTAATAAGTCTGAATAATTTTATGTATGTATTCTTCACAGTTTTATTTCTCATTTTATGTATTATGCATTTATGTTGTTAATACAATCTGCCTGAAAATGAACAATTTTTTGAATAATGTATACAAATATAGTATAGTATATTACGAGATGATTCATAGTTAATTATTTTTTGTTGATTTTGAATCTGTGTTTCCAAAATTTCAAGGATGCTATAATTTCAAATACTAATAGTTCTGTTATTCTACTTTCTTCTGAGGATTGTCTTTGTATGCTTGGTGCATAAAAATATTCAGATACACTGCATTTTCTGCAATGCCCATAATGTAATTAGAATACATAATGATTCAATACATTGTAATTTGGCTTCCCCAGCTATATATTCTAAATAAATGCTGCCTCAATAATTTTTTACTTTAAAAAATTGTTCTCTAACGTACAATTTTTAAAAGATTAGCTATTTGTAATGATTAGATTTCTTCCTCAATGATGCTAAACAAATTTTGTTCAAAAAATATTTTTCATTAAAATGTTTATGTAATAATCTTAATAGGATAAAGGTATTGTAACATATAATCAATAGAAGGATGGAGGAAATTACCATGAGTAAACACATAAAAAAGGAAAATATCTGGTTATCTTAATTTTCAATACTTTTGAAGAGTATATACAGACCGAACTTAATACGTTATTTTTATTCTACTTTTCCTTTACCTCAAACATTTTATGTTTTCTTGAAGCAAATTATTTTAAGTGTTTCTGTCATCCTCTTCATATCCTTTATTGAAAAATTTGATGAGAGGATAAAATTAGTAACTATAATGCCAGATGGATATTGAATGTTTGCTATTCTTTCACCATTCTATTTTCTTTATATATGAATATTTTGATTCAGCATAAATTTTTCACATTTATAACATGGCCGAGAAAATAATTTGTATTAAAATCATAGCTGGTGCAGATTTTGATTTATAATAAAACATACATAATATTTTAACCAAATTATTACAATAAGTTTTCTATCAAGTTTTTATATAAGGATAATTACTAATTATCAATCAAATATAGTAAATGACAATAAATAGAAAAAAGTTATAAAGTAGCTCACTTTCTGTGTTTTCCTTTTGTTTTTGTTTTGCTTTGTTTTGTTTTTTGAGACGGAGTTTTGCTCTTGTCACCCAGGCTTGAGTGCAATGACGCAATCTCTGCTCACTGCAACCTCCGCCTCCCGAGTTAAAGGAATTCTAGTGCTTCAGCCTCCCAAGTAGCTGGGAATACAGGCACCCACCACCACGCCTGGCTAATTTTTTTGTATTTTTAGTAGAGACGAGGTTTCACCATGTTGGTCAGGCTGGTCTCAAACTCCTGACCTCGGGGGATCCCCCCTGCCTTGGCCTTGCGCAGTGCTCGGATTACATGCGTGAGTCACAGTGCCCAGCCACTTTCTGTGTGATCTTATTTTCTCTTCACGATCTGCCTGCAATGGGAAACCCTTGCATTTTGCCCTTCCTCCAGTCGCCATTTCTGGATGACCTTTCTGACATTTGATATACTCTTCGTCTTTCTCATCCGGATGTAATTATGTTTTATACCCAATGTTTCCTACCCACTTTTTCAGTCATTTTTGTAACTCTACAATAGATCCAATATATTTTTAAATGTATTTTTTAATTTCCTCTTTTTCACTTTAATTTTTTATTTATTTATTTATTTATTTATTTATTTATTTATTTATTTATTTATTTTTGAGATGGAGTCTCGCTCTGTCACCCAGGCTGGAGTGCAGTGGTGTGATCTCGGCTCACTGCAAGCTCTGCCTCCTGGGTTCATGCCTTTCTCCTGCCTCAGCCTCCCTGAGTAGCTGGGACCACAGGTGCCCGGCACCACACCTGGCTAATTTTTTTTGTATTTTTATTAGAGATGGGGTTTCACTGTGTTAGCCAGGATGGTCTCGATCTCCTGACTTCATGATCCGCGATATCGGAGGAACCACCCCTGATAATTCAATGTAGGTTCTTTTCTACGTTCCCTAAGTGTTGGATGGTCTTAGAAATAAAGGGAAAGAGTACAAAAGGGAGAAATTTCAAAGCTAGGTGTCCAGGGGAGACATCACATTCTATAAATTAGCTCAAGATGTGAAAAACAAAACTAAAATTTAAATCTTCAATTGAATCTATTTCCAGCACCTGAAGGATTTTCCCATGTTATCTGCATTGAGTTAATTTTTTAATATAATATGGAGGAATTTCAGAGAAAGACATGATCGTGGAACAAAATTAAAAATTAAGAAGCTCCACCTAAAATCTCAAAGATCCAGCCAAGGCACTGTTAAATTGAACTTACTGTTTATCTACAATTAAAAAAAAAAATCAAGGCTGGGCGCAGTGGCTCACACCTGTAATCCCATAACTTTGGGAGGTCGAGGCAGGTGGATCACCTGAGATTGGGAGTTTGAGACCAGCCTGACCAACATGGAGAAACCCCTTCTCTACTGAAAATACCAAATTAGCTGGGCATGGTGGTGTATGCCTGTAATCCCAGCTACTCGGGAGGCTGAGGCAGGAGAATCACTTGAACCCGGTAGAAGGAGGTTGTGGTGAGCTGAGATCGTGCCATTGAACTCCTAGGCAGCAAGAGAAAAACTCCATCTGAAAAAATAAAAGAAGAAAACAAAGACATGAGGTGATTTGATGAAAGCAAAATAATATACATATAATAATTGTACAGTCTGAACTTAACATTGTTGCCATTTCTCTGCAGCTTTCAAATTTTTTCATTTACTGGTTTCAAAATATACTTGAATATCTGTTCCAAAAAAGATGATAAATTAGAAAACATTTATAACAAATACAATAAGAAAATTGCCATTAATGCATTAATGATAGGTAACAGCATATTTATTATAAGTATGCTATAGTGATTAGGTGCTCAGATCTTGAGTGAGACAGACTCACTCAAAGCCTTCTCTACACTTAGCTGTGAAATGTTGAGTGTGTTATTAAATTCTCTATGTCCCTCTTCCTTGTCTACAAAACTGGGATAATACCAAAACCAAATTTATAGATTTGCTAGGAAGATTAAATGACATAATACATATTGTTGTAATTATTTGTCATTATTATAATCAAACATGTTAAAATGCAGCCATAAATTTCTAACAGACCTCTTTCCCTTTAAAAAATGACTTAAGTAAGCCAAAAGTTTAACTTTTCCTTCAGCTCCCAAAATAGATAAGGATAAAGTAATCATCATCAGTTTGACTGGAATAAAAAGCTGAGTCAAAAGCATATATATATATATATATACATATATATACATATATATACATATATATGCACACATATATATATGTATATATATATACACACATATATATATGTATATATATATACACACATATATATATGTATATATATATACACACATATATATATGTATATATATACACACACACACATATTTCAAAACCAAGGTGAATGGGCAAATGACACCCAAGTCACACCCATTTCCTGCATGGAAACTGATGCTAAGCACTGGGATCTAGTGTCCCACTGAGTGGAAGACCCACGTTGGAACTTAATAAATGTTTGATTAAAGGACCTGACTATTTTTCATTTCAAAAATTTATATCTAGAATTTTATGTTCTTTCATTTCAGCTTTAGGCATTTATTTCCACCCTCTGCACACATATGAAGTTTTAAAAATGCAAGAATAGGCAGTAGCTAGTTCATGAATGGTATGATCAAAATGCTTTTAAAAAAAACACAGATATAAAGAAAATTTCAACACTTGAAAAAGCCATACAACACATATGGATGACATTCAAGTATGGGGAATATTACAGACATTTTGTGTTGTGAAATAAAGACTTTAAAAGAAATAGAAATATACATTCAACACCCAGGTAAATATTTATGATTTATATGTTATTATTAAGGATTACATATGGAATTTCCATCCTATTCTATTCAAGCTGTTTGTGTTTTAAAGGAAAATGTAAATGTTCCTATATCTAAGCTTCCAATAAATTTTATACCTAAGGGAAGTTCCAGAGCTGAAGAAAATAGCTGGCACAGGTTATACCCAAATAACTTGGTTTAATTTCTTTTTGATGACTTCAAAATGAGGGCCTTCACTCACCAATTTATTCATTAAAGGTAACTGTTATTTGACTGGTTATTTTGTACTAGGATATGGACCTAACTTAGTATATAATAGTTACGAACCTAACTTTTCAAACCCCCGATAGGTCCTGCTTTCCCCCAGATTAATGCTGAAATCTCGTCTACAATATGGCTCACAGATGTTCTACTTCTGCTTGAACATTTTTAGTGATGAAAATTTAGTTTTGACTAGAAATTAGTGACCACAGATTTTGGTCAAAACTAACTCATTTGAAATGAAAACTTTTTTGAGGCATTTTAAAAGTATGTAGAACCAAACTTAAAAAAAACTAGAAACCTAATTTTACCTAAATCAGGCCATTTTAATTACTTTAAATCTCTGTAATAATTAGAAGTAATGTAGTTTTTCTCCTTTTTATTTTAACAGGCCAGAAGTTCAGACACATCCAGACTGAGTAACAATAACAAAAAAATAGCAAATGTGGCAATTATTTTTAACTGCTAGGTTTAGGGTAGAGCAATCTAAAATTAGTAAAGCTTCCATTTTTTTCCAGTACTTTAATCTGGAACTGAGTCAAGTAGTTGTCTACTATGGCAATCTAAATTATATTAAGTCAACTTACAAATGGACCATTTTACAAATCATAGATGAGTGAAAAAGCCTTTAAAGTAAATAAAAATGGATGTAGACGAATATTAAAGGATAACTATTCTGAACTGAGACAAAGGTTGTAATCATATTTTTCAACATATGAGATAGAAGGAGAAAAATCTTATATAAACTCTAATCTTTAGTAGTTAAACCATATTCTGAGAGTCATGTTCATTTTAGGTGTTATAATTTAAGAGTGTTTTTGCCAATCTAAAGCACATAAAAAGGAAAATATGTTGGATCATTGAAAAGATTCAGAGTGGTTCACATGTAAAATAGCTGATGTGACTGGAGTTATTTAGATAAGAAAAGATCAAGAAAGAAATGGCAACTTTGTAAAAAGCTCTAGAATACATGAAATAGAATAGGGATGCTTGTAAATTTCTGTGGAAACGTAGACTAAACTAGAACTGAAGAATGAATATGACCAAAGTGTGCGTTTGTAATTAATTTGAAAAAATAATTTTCTATCAATTCAATATGGACAAACATAATTAAAATTAGTGATTTTCATCACCAAAATGTCACTTGTAAAATATAGAAGATTAAGTTTTAAGGAGGATGTAAAGAGAATCTATGTATTAAGTAGAATGTTAGATTAGATATATGACAACATTATAACTTGTCTAATATAAAAGGCATAAATGTAATCACCCAGTGGATTCTTCTTGCCTGCTGCCCACACAGAGCTGAATTATCAAGGGAGCGGAATTGCAATAGAGAACTCAATACATGTGGAGCCAGCTAAACAGGAGACCAGAGTTTTATTACTGAAATCCGTCTCTCAGAAATTTTGGAGTCTAGGGTTTTTCGTTTGTTTGCTTTTTCCTTTTTTTTTTTTTTTTTTTTTTTTTTGAGATGGAGTTTCGCTCTTGTTGTCCAGGCTGGAGTGCAACGGTGCAATCTCAGGTCACTGCAACCTCCGCCTCCCGGGTTCAAGAGATTCTCCTGCCTCAGCCTCCCGAGTAGTTGGGATTACTGGCATGCACCACCACACCCAGTTAATTGTTGTATTTTGGGTAGAGAAGGGGTTTGTCCATGTTGGTCAGGCTGGTCTTGAGCCTGACCACAGGTGACCTGCCTGCCTCAGTCTCTCAAAGAACTGGGATTACAGGCATGAGCCACCGTGCCCGGCCTGAGTCTAGGGTTTTAAAGATAGTTTGGCAATGGTCCATCAGAAAGCAGGGCCTGAAAAATACCTAGAACACCAATCTTAGGTTTTACAATAGTGATGTTATCCATAGGAGCAATTGGAGAGGTTAGGAATCTTGTAGCCTCTGGCTGCATGACTCCTGAACCACAATTTTTAAGCTTTTGGCTTAGTTGTTAGTTTTACAAAGGCAGTCAGGTCCCTAGGAAACGAGGGGGTTGTTTCAGGAAAGGGTTGTTAACTTTTTTTCAGTTACACTATAAACTAAATTCCTCCTATAGTTAGGTCGGCCTATGCACAGGAATACACAAGGACAATTTGAAGGTTAAAGGCAAGATGGAGTCAGTTAGGTCATATCTTATTTCACTGTCATAATTTTTCTCACTGTTACAATTTTTGCAAAGGTAGTTCCATAAATGGAGACTCAGATGCCAGAAATTCAATTTATTTTGTCTTCTTATAATAGATTGACATGTAGTCTTTTCTTTTATAGAAAGTTACAATTAATATGTGCGATTGTTTTCTCTAAATTCAAAGCCAAATCTGCAATTTGAATCAAATATTAGAAAAACAATTCCTTATTTCTTATCACTGCATATTCCTCCATAAAAAACATAAAATTAAACTTACCAACATGCCTGAGCAAAGACTAAAATAATTTCTCTATGGCAAACTGTCTGAAATATTTTCAATTGAAATAAGCTCAATATCAGAGGTAAGTCGATATTTGCCTCATGTCTTGGTGTGTGGTTTGAAATGTCCAATGTAAATAAGAAATTTCTTTTAAATGGCCAGACACGGTGGCTTACGCTTATAATCTCACCACTTTGGGAGGACAAGGTGGGTGGATCACGAGGTCAGGGGTTCCAGACTAGCCTTGTCAACATTTAATAGAAACCCTGTGTCTATTAAAAATACAAAAATTAGCCGGGCGTGGTGGCGCACTCCTGTCTTCCCAGCTGCTCAGGAGGCTGAGGCAGAAGAATCGCTGAAGGCAGGAACCCAGGAGGCAGAGGTTGCAGTGAGCCACGATCATGCCACTGCATTCCAGTCTGAGTGACAGAGTAAGACTCCATCTCAAAAAAAAAAAAAAAAATTCTTTTAAAGTCTCACTGTGGGTTTTTAAAATGCATTAGAATGTTTTATTCTAGTAAAGTAAAATTGAGAAACATTTAACATAAACTTTTCCCAATTTTTTTTGTGTAAAATGGATGCTTTCAGAAAATGTACCACGTTTATCCAGTAACTTGGTACACCTAAACTTGCAGGAAATCCTAGTCCTCAGGTGGAGAAAGACAATATTAAAATATCAAATATATAGTATAAGAAATCTGTGCTTATTTAAAATCAAAATGCATTATCGATATTCCAATGAATTATTGCCATATTTCAAAATAATTATAAGCACAACAACCTTTATTCAGCTAACAAATACAAATTAAAGAATACATAATTGTAGGAGAGCTATGAACATGAAAGAATATTTGCAAGCTTCTTTCTTAAAGGAAAGTTAAAATCATTTTGTATAAAGCAGTTTTACCATTTATTTGCATTTGGAAAATGTAAAACACTTCCATTTCAATTACATTAAATTAGTATAAAAGCTTTCTAAAATTAAGCCATTATAGTTTAGACAATTGGTCGAAAGAGCTACTAGAAGGTATGAAATGAAAAGTAAGACTATGACAAATATGTTTCATAACCGCTCACTGCCTGAGCAACCAAGTGGAAGATGTACTTTCAATACAGTATGATTAGATTATACAAGGGACAGAGGGACAGAGTTCTCCATCAAGTAGGCTGAACCCTAACAGTTACCTCAGAGTCATCACGCTTATATATTAAGTAAATCACTGAATTAAAAAACAGAAAATTGTGGAGAGGATAAGCACGCTGTTTCCCAAACATGACAAAGAGAATAGAAAGGGACTGATCCTGAAGAGCTTTGTGTTGTCATCCTTCACAATTTTTTTTCTTAATGTACTAAATAATTTTTAAAATGAGATTAACATGATCAGTTGTTTATTTTAGAAAAATTAACTTACTAAATATTTCAAATAAGAACAGGGTGGAAGGATTAGAGATAGACAATATGAAAATGTTTCGGTAAAATATAATGAAAACTTAAAGTGAGGCAGTGACATATGGAGAATAGGAATGGTATTTACGTGACATTAAGTAAAATATAAGTGAAAAGATCTGGTACTCATTTTAATGCAGGGAGGTCAAAGAGATGAAGAAATTCAGGAAAAATTCTAGGTGGCTAGAGTGACCACATGAAAGGGGAATCATTTTTTTTAGATAGATACTGTAGGAGAAAGACCAGTACATCATACTGCAGAGAAGGGGAGATTAAATAAATAATGCATTTGGATATGAACCTATTGAATTTGAGGTGGATATGGGACATTGATGGAAGTTGTTTAGGACAGGATTATAAATAGGAATCTGAAGCTCACTAAAGAGATTTGAGTTGGAGATGAGAATTTGTATATGCATCATGAGTTTTAGATGAGATCTGAGTCAAGATACCTAGAAAATATTGTCCAGGTTAGTATGCAGACTGTAGTAGTCCAAGGATAAAAAATACATTTAAAAAAGCCCACTACCATTAAAGAATATCTCACAAAGAGGATAGGAAAGTCTGTTAGAAAAGAGTACGAAGTGAAAGCACTATAATCAGAATACGAAATGAGAAAGCTTGAAAAATACTGGTGTCTTTTTACACTACTAAAAACAGTCGAATAAATTAAGTTTTCTGTAGGACTCGGTAACCAGAAGGCTTTTGGGTTATGAATCTGCATTGGAGAATGAAAACCAGATTTCTTAAAATGATGTAATACTGAATTATATGTTGACTCCTCTTTCAAAAAACTTAGTGATAAAAGGAAATATTAAGATAGGATCACATTATTTCAAGAGAAATATAGAATGTACAGAGGACTTTATTAGAAAGAAGAGCCTTTAAGATGCTTATAGCTATAGGAGAGTCATTTTGTATGTACAAATTAAAACACAGAAAATAAAATGTAAAGATCATAGATAAGACCTTTATAAGATTTGAAGAAGCTAACAGAGAGTAAGTGGAGAAATTAGGAGGAAAGAAAAACTTTCCCAATATCACAAGAATCCCAACAAAATTATTTATAATTTGGCATGATCTGGTATCAGTTAATTAGCCCTTTTGTCTTCTGTTATGGGAGCTGCAGGCCTCAGACGTTTCTTTCCATTTCCCTGAGTTTCTACTGTTAGATGGATCTCTGTAGAGGGAGATGCCAACACAAAGTTCATACTTCTCCTTTAAGTGTGGTGTAAGAAGGAAACCAGAGGCAGACCACAAACCCTGGTATTAAGAGATAGAATTGGCCCTGCCCATTTTCAGATCTTAAGTCCACTGTGGGCGGGGTGCGGTGGCTCATGCCTGTAATCCCAGCACTTTGGGAGGCCGAGGAGGGTGGATCATGAGGTCAGGAGATCGAGACCATCCTGGCCAACACAGTGAAACCTCCTCTCTACTAAAAAAATACAAAAAATTAGCCAGGCATGGTGGCGGGCACCTGTAGTCCCTCAGGAGGCTGAGGCAGGAGAATGGCATGAACCTGGGAGGCAGAGCTTGTGTGAGCCAAGATCACACTACTGCACACCAGCCTGGGAGACAGAGCAAGACTCTGTCTCAAAAAAAAAAAAAAGAAAAAAGAAAAAGAAAAAATAAGAAAAATCCACTGTGGAGGAGAGAACGCAGTTTCCAAAAGAACCTGAGTCCATATTTTGGGACACTTGTTTTTGTTTGTAAATACAAGACAATGAACAGAACCATCTTGAATTAGACTTCCTAACAAAGTCTGTTTGTTTTTAACATATTTCTTATTCAGGAATCAAATTTGGGACTAGCAAAATGCTCTCTAAAACACAGAGTAATTACAGTTAAGAGAAAGCAAGAAAACATTATTAGATTGCATTAACATAAGCAATATTCCCATCTTCACAACAACATCCATTGAGAAAAAAAAGACATTTGTCTACTGGTTCCTGATAAGAAGGGCATGAACTGCATTCATTAGCATGTGTAAGTTATCCTGGTTCTTTAAGCCAATTTGGTCTGTACATTTTAAGTCCTATACCTCTTAGCGTTGAAAATACTATACTTTTTATCAGATATATAATTTTATAATAATTCAGTGATATTTGCTGCTTGTGCACTAACATATCTGTGTCTATGTGTGTATTCTCAGGCTCAACTCTAGACCTGTAAATCAGAATCTTTACCTTAACAAAATTAACTTTGAAGAAACATTTCTCTAGACCATAATTAAGATGCAACAAATAATTGGGATTAAATAAACCACGTATTGTAACCAGCTTTCCAAGTAAGTTACAAATAAAAACTAAAAGATAACTCACAAGAATCTATAAGTTTGTGAGTTTTAAATGAGGTCAAAATAATGGATGAAGGAAAGAGGAAATTGAAATGGAAATTTAAAATACTTATGAATGAATAATTAACATACTACCTGTGACACTTAAGAAACCAGCTAAAATATTTAGACAAAAATATACAACCATTAATGCTAATATTTACAAAAGAAAAATGTGGAAAATCAAATTTAATATTTAACCTAAGAAATGAGTAAAATATAAGCAGAATAAATTCAGGAAAATTACATGGTAAGAAGTAGTAAAGATACTCATGGAGGCCGGGTGCGGTGGCTCATGCCTGTAATCCCAGCACTTTGGGAGGCTGAGGCAGGTGGATCACGAGGTCAGGAGTTTGAGACCAGCCTGGCTAACATAGTGAAACCCCATCTCTACTAAAAATACAAAAAATTAGCCGGGTGTGGTGGCGGGCACCTGTGGGAGGCTGAGGCAGAAGAATCACTTGATCCCGGGAAGTGGAGGTTGCAGTGAGCTGAGATTGTGCCACTGTACTCCAACCCAGACGACAGTGCGAGATTCTGTCTCAAAAAAAAAAAAGATACTTATGTAATAAATAAAAAAGGAAACATATGATAAAAAAAGATTAAGAAAGCAAAGGTTCATAGGTTCATTTTTAAAAAAATACTGTTAAATAGATTAATAGATTAACATATAGCCAGATTGATTCAATATATAGAGAAGAAAAACTAAACAGTATTGTGAAATAAAAAGGAACGACATTTTAAATGCCAAGGAGTTACCATTTGTTTCCTTATGGTACAAATGAGAAAACGTAGGCTTTGGGATACATCCTGCCCTAAAGAATGTAACGTGTAAGCAGAAGTTCTAAAATTTGAGGACAGGTCAGTCCAACTCCAGAGTCAGTACATTTAAAATCTAGGCAGTGCATCACCCCTTTTATTATGGCAAACAAAACTTTAAAAATTCTGCTCATCAATTCCCCTAATTAAACTTCCATAGTTCAACTAACCTTCTATCATTCTGTCAAGTCATTCTGTGCTCTCGAAACTGAATATGTAGCATTTTGCCTGACATAAAAAAAATTGAGTTAATCAGACATTAATTCCATCTCTTTGTATGAATGTCTTATAAACTTATCTTTATACATACATTCATTTCCTTTTCATTCATATATTTATATACGTACATACATACGTACGTACATACATACATACATACATACATACATACATACATACATACATTTGCTCAAACAAAAATAACAGGTCAATATTCTTTATCCTTTCTCAGACCTCTGGTCAATCCTAGCAAGTAGAACGGGTAGGTGACCAAAGCTGTTAAATTAAGAGTATTGCCAATAAATTATCTGTTAAGTTAATTAAAAAGGCCAGACTCTAAGCTACTTAAGAACAGAGGCCAGGTCTTCTTTTTCCCTTATGTCCTTAGCGCTCAGTATATTAAGTGACTAGGTTTGCACACTTGAGGCCATTTACCATGTAGGTAAATAATTCTACACATCAGTGTTACTTAAAATTGCACAGTGTCACTGAGAAACATTTAGATTTTGCTCTACCTACTCTGTTTATGATGAGAGAGGAATGAAAAATATGCTTAGAACACAACTCATCCCACATAGTTATACAGAAGGAAAGAATGCAGGACCACACGTACACACACACAACCTTTGTTTCCTCTCTAATATTGGCTCTCCAAACTCTTAATCAAATATTAATGAAAGAAAATACATCAAATAAGAATACAGAAACATTCACAATGGAGTTATTTATTTTGCAGCATATATAATTTATATCAACACACTGGTAGAAAGCAATATGTACAGTAAATAATATGTTAATTAGAAATAAACATTATTTGCCATGAAAAACATCTTTGTTACCTTTTATGCCTCCCCCACAATACCTGAAAGGAATAAAATGATTTTTTAAAGAAAAATCTTATCAATTTAACAAGTAGAGTATTTTCCAAATGAAGAAATTATTTTGCTGTTATGAAAATGTATCTTCTAATATCTTCTTTCAGTTCTAATGGGAGATAAAATATTAGCACAAAGTTTATATGTTGAATATAAATATGGTTGCCCTAATAATAATATCATATTTACTGAGTAGTCACATTCTAAATTATATAAATGAGACAAATAACACAGAAAATGTACACAGAAAACGACTCATGCTTCATTGACCAAAAGATAATAGTTTAGAATAAGAAAAACTGTCCTTCAGATCCAAAGAAAAATCTTGCCTAAACTTCCATAAGTTTTTGTTTCATAAAATTAAATAATAAATAATCTAAGTCTAGGTGAGAAAAACTAAGAAAAGTAGAGATCAAAACTTTTAGGAGAACTTCACTTCCAAGAGAATCTTACTTCAAACTAAATCTAAGTTATGTTAAATGCCAAATATGGAAATATGAAATAAGATTTTACTAATGAGAAAAATCTAATTTACCCACAGTGATTTTTCTTAAGGGTTAACTGTTTTGGGAAAATAACTTTACTTATTCAAACAGCCTGTGTGCTATACATATGTAAAGCTGTCTACTGACCCACCTCATAATACTTTCCATAAAAATGTGCAATATTTTTCATCTTTTCATGTACTGAAAAGTCTACTGCCTAAATATTATTATTATAATAGCTGAATTCTTCTTACTGAGGTTATATTATTCTTATAACCAACTGTTTATTTTTCTAAGTAAATATTTTATCCTAATTAGCAAAAACTGGTATTTTGGATTTTAGCAATAGTTGATATTTTGAATTTGAATATTCATATATCAGTATTCATTGATAACATGTCAAAACTGATTAAATATCAATATTAGTATTCAAAAGTGATCTGATGTATGGTATATGGTTTTGTATTTTTATCATTAGTCAGGATTTGGAATCAGATTTTATGCCAGTTTTGGGTTGTTTAGAGACTATGAGATGAATGTCAGTAGGATTAAACAATTATCAAATATAACAACTATATTTTTTAAGATTATATTGATTGAGGTAAAATTTATATAAGGTAACATTTATTCTTTTTAAGTATACAGCTCTATGAATTTGGCAAAAGAACATAGCTGAAATAAAGATTTTTTTTCACCCTATGTTTCTTAGTCCTCTTTGTAAGTTATTTCTAGACTGTTTTTATTTTATTGATATTTGTGTATTTCTTTGTCAGTGCTACACTGCCTTGATTACTGTAGTAAGTTTTAGTATCAGACAGGATGAGTCTTCCAACTTTTTCTTCTTATCAAAATAGTTTTGGCTATTCTAGTTGATTTGCTATTAAATATAAATTTTAGAGCAATCTTGTCTACTTCTACTCCCTACAAAATGTTCACTGTGATTCAGTGGGATTTGCCCTAAATCTATTGATCAATCTGAGAAGAAATGATATCTTAACAATGTATTAAGTCTTCCAAACTATGAACATGGCATATGTATCCAACTGTTTAACACTTCTTTGATTTTTCTCACTAATGCTTTGAAGTTTCCAGTATAACATCTTGCATGTTTTTATTACTATATAGAAATAATTTTTTGGATACTGACCTTTTATGCTATAATACTGTCATACATACTTACTAGTTCTAGTAGATGTATTTATCATTTCTGATATACTTAATGCTTTCCTCTATATTCAGATTACCATCTGGTAATATTTCCCTTCATCCTGAAGAACTACCTGTATTATTTTCTGGGATTGCAGATGTGCTGGTGATGATTCATTTAGTTTTCACTTATCTGAAAATGCCCTGGTTTTACTTTCATTCTTGAAGGATGATTTTGCTGAATATAGATTTGGGACTCAATATTGCTTTCTTTCAGCAGCTAAAAAATATCGATTGTTTTTTGACTTCCAATGTTTCTGATGAAAATTTGATCATCACTTATACTGTTTTCCATATGAAGTTTTTCTTTTGCCCTGGATGCTTTTAAAGAACTTCCTCTTTAACCTTGGGTTTATCGTGTTTACTAGACAAGCATAACCTTTATCTTAGAACTTGAACTTTATTTTTAGGCATGGATTTTCATAGCTCACCACTCGATACTTGAGCCTCTCAGTGAGCTGTCTTGTTTCTGATTGGGCCAGAATGTTAACATTCTCAACATTTAATGTCTTCTGCCATCTTAGCTCAGACATTTTCAACAGACCCAAGGTGAGTCTCATGAGGACTTTTGCCCCTCCACTCCAACTTCCCCTGACATCCTCCTCCTTGACAAATTTCCTGTAAATTTCCGTTGCCTTCACAGATTAGAAAGTGTATCTGTGCCTCCCCTCCATTAGACATCCACTCTGCTTGGGCTACACCTCCCTGGGTCATGACAAGAAAGGTACCCCAATCAGGAAACCAGAGTAATCATAGAAGTCATCGCTTATTTTTCCTTCTCTCAAAAACCCAATACTTCACTGTCCAGATTTCAAAACCTAAACAGTTATCTCATATGTTTTGTCCAATCTATCACTGTTTTTATTAGGAGGACAAGTCTATTATTTTTGTCAGGTTGGGAAGCCAAAATCTATTTCAAGACATAGATATGTTTATAAGTTGTTTGCTCTAGGTTTTTGGTACATACCCTTTATTAGTCAGAGGATGTTTTATTTCATTCCTAGTTTGATTATAGATTGGCAGACTAAATATTTTAAGATGTAAAATTTCCCAAAATGTATCTATGGGTTAATAAAATCTTACCAAAATTTTAGCACCAATATTTTTATAAATGATGAGACTAATTTCAAAGTGTACCTGGAAATTTTAAAAGGCCATAATAGCCAAAATAATCCTAAAAAAATGAACAAAGTTGGTGGACTTACTCTAACTTCAAAAATCAAGACAATATAGTATGACTTTAGTCTAGCAAATCACATGAAAATAAAAGAAAAATTTGAAATTTCTGATACAGACTAGTCTATATTTGATCAGTTGATTATTTTATAAAGATAACAGAATGATTCAGTTGGAATATGTTTTGTTTTTTATTTTGACATTCAAAATAAAAAACATTCAAAATAAAAATGCTACTGGGGCAACTGGATAGCTCTATAGAAACACACAAAAATTAACCACAACTGCTGACTCACACAAAATAAAAATGAACTCAAAATGTATTACGTACCTCAATATACAAGGTAAAACTACAAAACTTTCAAGTGAAAACATAGAAGAAAATCCTCACAACGTTGGGCTGGACAAAGATTTCTCAGATAGGTCACAATAATGCAAAGAACACAAAAGAAACTTCGATACATTGGACTTCAACAAAATTAAAAATATTTTCTCTTTAAAGTTACTGTGAAGGGTATTAGCAAGATGGCTGAATAGGAACAGCTCCCATCTGCAGCTCCCAGTGAGGCCAACACAGAAGGCGGGTGATTTCTGCATTTCCAACTGAGGTACGCTGTTCATCTCATCGGGACTGGATAGGCAATGGGTGCAGCCCACGGAGGATTAGCCAAAGCAGGGTGGGACATCACCTCACCTGGGAAGTGCAAGCAGCCAGGAGCCTCCCTCCCCCAGCAAAGGGAAGCTGTGAGGGATTCTGCTATCCAGCCCAGAGACTATTCCTTTCCCACAGTGTTTGCAACCCTCCAAACAGGAGATGCCCTTGTGTGCCTACACCACCAGGGCCCTGGGTTTCAAGCACAAGACTGGGTTTGGACACACACCAAGCTTGCAGGAGGTTGTTTTTTTGTTTTTGTTTTTTTTTTTTTAATTTCTCCCCAGTGGCACCTAGAATCCCAGTGAGACAGAACCGTTCACTCCCCTGGAAAGGGGGCTGAAGCCAGGGAGCCAAGTGGTCTTGCTCAGCGAGTCTCACTCCCATGGGGCCCAGCAAGCTAAGAATCACTGGCTTGAAATTCTCACTGCCAGCACAGCAGTCTGAAGTCGACCTGGGATGATCCAGCTTGGTGGGGGGAGGGATGTCCACCCTTACTGAGGCTTGAGTAGGCAGTTTTCCCTTCACAGTGTAAACAAAGCCGCCAGGAAGTTCAGACTGGGCAGAGCCCACCACAGAGCCACAAAGCCTCTGTAGCCATACTGTCTCTCTAGATTCCTCTGCTCTGGGCAGGGCATCTCTGAAAGAAAGGCAGCAGCCTCAGTCAGGAGCTTATAGATAAAACTCCTATCTCCCTGGGACAGAGCACCTGGGGGAAGGGGCAGCTGTAGGTGCAGCTTCAGCAGACTTAAACATTCCTGCCTGCTGGCTCTGAAGAGTGCAGCAGATCCTGACAAGGAGGATTCTCCCAACACAGCACTCAAGCTCTGCTAAAAGACAGCCTGCCTCCTCAAGTAGGTCCCTGACCCCCATGCCTCCTGACTGGGAGAGACCTCCCAACAGAGGTTGACAGACACCTCATACAGGAGAGCTCTGGATGGCATCAGGCCAGTGCCCCACTGGGCCGAAGCTTCCAGAGGAAGGAGCAGGCAGCAATCTTTGCTGTTCTGCAGCCTCCATTGGTGTTACCCAGGCAGACAGGGTCCGGAGTGAGTGGACCTCCAGCAAACGGAAGCAGACCTGCAGAAGAGGGGCCTGACTGTTAGAAGAAAAACTAACAAACAGAAAGCAAGAACATCAACCTCAACAAAAAGGACCCCTCCCACAAAAACCCATCCAAAGGTCATCAGCCTCAAAGATCAAAGGTAGATAAATCCACAAAGATGAGGAAAAACCAGCCCAAAAATGCTGAAAATTCCAAAAGCCAGAATGCCTCTTCTCCTCCAAATGCAACTCCTCTCTAGCAAGGGCACAAAACTAGATGGAGAATGAATTTGATGAATTGACAGAAGTAAGCTTCAGAAGGTAGGTAATAACAAACTCCTCTGAGCTAAACGAGCATGTTCTAACCCAATGCAAGGAAGCTCAGAACCTTGATGAAACGTTACAGGAACTGCTAACTAGAATAACCAGTTTAGAGAATAACATAAAGGACATGATAGAGATGAAAAGCACAACACAAGAACTTTGTGAAGCATACACAAGTATCAATAGCCCAACTGATCAAGCGAAAGAAAGGATATCAGAGATTGAAAATCAACTTACTGAAATAAGGCATGAAGACAAGATTAGAGAAAAAAAGAATGAAAAGGAATGAACAAAGCCTCCAAGAAATATGGGACTATGTGAAAAGACCAAACCTATGATTGATTGGGGTCCCTGAAAGTGACGGGGATAATGGAACCAAGATGGAAAACACACTTCAGGATATTATCCAGGAGAACTTCCCTAACCTAGCAAGACAGGCCAACATTCAAATTCAGGAAATACAGAGAACACCACTAAGATATTCCTCAAGAAGAGCAACCCCAAGACACAAAATCATCAGATTCACCAAGGTTGAAATGAAGGAAAAAATGTTAAGGGCAGCTAGAGAGGAAGGTCAGGCTACCTACAAAGAGAAGGCAATCAGGTTAACAGTGGATCTCTCTGCAGAAACCCTACAAGCTAGAAGAGTGGGGACCAATATTCAACATTCTTAAAGAAAAAAATTTTCAACCCAGAATTTGATATCCAGCCAAACTAAGCTTCATAAGCGAAGGAGAAATAAAATCCTTTACAAACAAGCAAATGCTGAGGAATTTTGTCACCACCAGGCCTGCTTTAAAAGGGCTACTGAAGGAAGCACCAAATACGGAAAGAAAAAACTGGTACTAGCCACTACAAAAACACACCAAAATATTAAGACCAACAACACTATGAGAAACTGCATCAACTAATGTGCAAAATAACCAGCTTTCATCACGACATAACAATATTAATCTTAAATGTAAATGGGCTAATGCCCCATTTAAGACACGGACTGGCAAACTGGATAAAGAGTCAAGACCCATCGGTGTGCCGTATTCAGGAGACCCATCTCACATGCAAAGACACACATAGGTTCAAAATAAAGGGATGGAGGAATATTTACCATGCAAATGCAAAGCAAAAAAATAAATAAGCAGGGTTGCAATCCTTGTCTCTGATAAAACAGATTTTAAACCAACAAAGATCAAAAAAGACAAAGAAGGGCATTACATAATAATAAGGGATCAATGCAATAAGAAGAGCTAACTATTCTAAATATATATGCACCCATACAGGAGCACTCAGATTCATAAAACAAGTTCTTAGGGAACTACAAAGAGACTTAGACTCCCACACAATAATAGTGGAGACTTTAACACCACACTGTCAATATTAGACAGATCAACAAGACAGAAAATTAACAAGGATATTCAGGACATGAACTCAGCTCTGGACCAAGCAGACCTAATAGATATCTACAGAACACTCCACCTCAAACCAATAGAACATACATTCTTCTCAGTGCCGCATAACACTTATTCTAAAATTGACCACATAATTGGAAGTAAAACGCTCCTAAGCAAATGCGAAAGAACAGAAAACCTAAAAAACTCTCTCTCAGGCCACAGTTCAATCAAATTAGAACTCAGGATTTAAAAACTCACTCAAAACTGCACAACTACATGGAAACTGAACAACCTGCTCCTGAAAGACTACTGGGCACATAAAGAAATTAAGGCAGAAATGAAGAAGTTCTTTGAAACCAATGAGAACAAAGAGACAACATACCAGACTCTCTGGGACACAGCTAAAGCAATGTCAAGAGGGAAATTTATAGCACTAAATGTCCACGTCAGAAAGCAGGAAAGATCTAAAATTGACACCCTAACATCACAATTAAAAGAACCACAGAAGCAACAGCAAACAAATTCAAAAGCTAGCAGAAGACAAGAAATAACTAATTTACACTCCCATCAAAAGTGTAAAAGTGTTCCTATTTCTTCACATCCTTTCCAGCATCTGTTGTTCCCTGACTTTTTAATTAGGTATACCTAATCCAAATACCTAATGCATGCAGGACTTAAAACTTAGATGATGGGTTGATAGGCACAGCAAACCACCATGGCACATGTATACCTGTGTAACAAACCTGCACATTCTGCACATGTATCCCAGAACTTAAAGTAAGATAAAAAATAAATTAAAAAAATAAAGAAACTGTGAAGACAAGAAAAGAAAAAGATAGCCTCAGCCTGTGGGGAATTAATAGATATACATTTATCTGGCAAAAGACTTGTATCCAGAATAAATGTGTGTGTGTGTGTATACGTGTGTGTGTGTGTGTGTGTGTATGGATATATATATTGTGTGTGTGTTGGTGGATGTGTGTGTTTCCACAAATTATGAGAAGAAAAGCAATCAATAATAAATGGGCATACCACCTATACAGATATTTTTTTCACACAGCCAACAT
Organism: Homo sapiens; assembly: GCF_000001405.40. NCBI lineage: Eukaryota > Metazoa > Chordata > Mammalia > Primates > Hominidae > Homo > Homo sapiens. Next base: position 166,330,243 of record NC_000004.12, on the reverse strand, counting down.
TCACATGAAAGGTAATTTGCCAAACATGATTCCACAGGGAAAAGAAAGTTATAACCACAGTGAGATACAATTCATCCAATTTCATAACTACTAAAATGGTTAAAATGAAAAAGACTTACTACATGAAATATTGCCAAAAATTAAGAGCAATTGAATTCTGATATATTCTTATAATAGAAAACAATACAGTCACTTTGCAAGACTATTCAACAGTGTCTTATACACTAGTTTTCTTCACCTATGCTCTGATCTAGCAATTCCCTTCTAAGAATGAAAATATATATATAATATAATTTGTACAAGAATGTTTACAGCAATTATATTCATAATAGCTGAAAACTATGAACAATCCAGTTGATTACAGGTGAATGTTTATATGAATTGCAGCACATCCATGCAGTGGAATACTATACAACAATAAAAAATTATCTACTGATGTAAAAATATAGAAAAAACTCCAAAATAGTATGTCAACAGGAAAAAATCAGAAACAAAACAGTATAATTCTGTGTGATTTCTTTTATCTGATGTATTAGACTAGAATAAAGTGATCTATGGTGATGGAAAACAAACTTCCTGTAGGGGATGGGAATTAATTGAAAGAAGCACTAAAGAAATGACTGGTATGGTAGAAATGGCCTGATCCAGACCAAACTGAGTAAAATTATGCCCTCCTCTGCCCTCTCTTCTCCCTAATCCTGCTGTTTTTATTCCATAGCACTCTCCAGCTTCTAACATGCAACATAGTCAACTTATGTTAATGTATGTAGTTATATAATATTATATATTCATATATATAATATATATTCAATAAGTTAATATGTATATATTAACACATCTTATGTTCCATATAAGATATATTGATCTTCTGTCTATTGCTTAGTTTTGATCGCCCTGCTTCCTCTATCTTGTAAGCCTCAGAAGAGTGGGGGTCTCTTCAGTTTTCTTTACTGGTATGTTGCTAAAAGGCATCTAGAATTAAATTTAAAAATTACAGCTTACTCTCATCTCATATCTTTCTGACAAAATCTGATATTGGAAGTTGCAGATTGAGTAAATTACCCAGAAGTTTTTAAAGATTTGCCAGTATAATCTCCCATTCTCATTGTCCCTCTTTCCCTCCTTCTTTCTTTACTTCCTTCTTCCCTCCCTTCCCCTGCTCCTTGCCTCCCTCCCTCCCTCCTTCCATCCCTTCCTCTCTTTCTCAGCTCTCCCTTTCTTTTTCTTTCTTCAGTTCACTAGAAAGTTTGCAATAAATAAGGTCCTCAAAGAAAAATGTCTGTTTCAATACCTTTCTAAAAAGGAATTGCAGGGGAACTAATGAATAACAGGGAAATAATCTTTTTTACACTGTTAATAAATGCTTTTCTGAGAGGTCACTTTGATGTTTTGGAAGTATCTTTTTATGACAGAGATACAATAGTATCATTAAATATTTTTCCAGGTCATTCAATTTTATGTTAAATACATAACACCACAAAAGTCTGACAGGCATGTTCTAAGTAACTCTTCCTTTCTTCATTCTTCACAGGAACTCACTAAATCTGTTTGCTTTCAAAGTTAAAATCTGAAGCTCATATTAAACTCAGAAGACAATAAACTTTTTTTATGCTTTTAAATTGGAAATATTTCATAATTCAGAAAAAATAGCATACTCTTAAATTCAAGAAGTAGAAAATCTATATAGATGGCCAGGTTTGCTCCCTAATTTATACCAGGTTAATGAAGCATTAATTTTTAGAGCCTCCAAAGGGATCAGATATCAAAGAAAAATATCAGAGGGAATACTGAGGTGACTCTCACCAAAAAGTTAATTGGAGAAAAAACGTTATGACACTTGTCAGTTGGTATCAAATTTATTCAGGTAAAACAAACTGCTTTTATAGTATGAACTGAGTTATCTATAATAAGGTGGCTTCATGTCAGAATATTGCAAAGCTAAATACTGAAAAATAAAAACTGAAAGCCACAGTAAATGTTAAAAGAAAGCATTACACTAATAGTAAATGAAATGGAAATACATTTAATATCATAATAAAATTGAAAATCTGGGAAAGCAGAAATATATACTGAATTTATAATCTCTAATTTTTGCATTATATATAATTATATATTGCATATAACATATGTAAAAATAAGAATGCAAATTCAGCATATGCAAAATGTGTATATATACACATATATATACATATATACATATATGTATATACATACATACATACATATATGTATATACATACATACATACATATATATATATACATATTACATATCGTTGTAAGTAAAAAGTCACAGTAGAAAGGAATTTAAATTGTAGAACACAGTAACTTGTTAAATGTCTAGGCTGTTTTAACCTGGAAAGGAGAGTCATAAGCTTTAAACTTGGCCAACTCTCTAATATGTTCAGAAGTCTTAGAAATGAAGTAGGAAGGCAATATGCTATTATTATGCTATAAGTATTCTTTTTGTGCAAAAAAGCTTAGCAGCCTCAAGATTTATGTATTCTGTATTAGATGTAGCTATAAACAAATGTTACAGTTATTGAATGATAAGCACTCACGTTTTTATTCCTTGGGGAAAAAAAAAAGACCCCCATTTCAATTTCCATACACAGAAAAAATATCTCTTAAAATTATCTCATGAAAAATAGTTTTACGGAACAGCTCAGATTTATTATTTCAATTAAATTATGCATAGATTGCATTAATACATTAAGGTCATTCAAAGCTTATCACAAAGCCCACCAATATAGAGTAAATTACCACAAAAGAACAGCTTTCAAGAGCTTAAGGTCTATGGGAAGATGAGATTTTAAAAATTGCCTCCTGCAATCTGATAAGCATCCTTTAAAAGTAATTTTTAAATAATAAATATTAGGCCGGGTGTGGTGTCTCACACCTGTAATCCCAGCACTTTGGGTGGCCGAGGCAGGCGGATCACGAGGTCAGGAGATCGAGACCATCCTGGCCAACATGGTGAAACCCTGTCTCTACTAAAAACACAAAAAAATTAGCTAGGCACGGGGACAGGCGCCTGTCATCCCAGCTACTCGGGAGGCTGAGGCTGGAGAATCGCTTGAACATGGGAGGCAGAGGCTGTAGTGAGCCTAGGTCGTGCCCTTGCACTCCAGCCTGGGTGACAAGAGCGAAACTCTGTTCAAACAAACAAACAAACAAAAATCTGTAAACTTTTAAGTTTAGAATTTTAATAGGAGAACGAAACTGTGGCCTCATAGTCTTTAAATTGAACCCTTGCCTTGATTTTAAGTCAGTAATAAAAGCAGCTATAAAATTATATCCTTACTTTTGCCATGATAATCACTCACATGGATTCAAAATGCTTGCTTTGTACCAAGCTGTGAACACAGATCAACAAGATCTTAAAGAGAAAATGGATGTGTTAACTTGCTTCAATTGGCCAGTGGTTTCAACAAACTGAAAATACATAAAATTGCAATTATTCTAAGGTTTCATTATGTTTAACCATAAAACACTAAATTTATCAATATTTAAGCTTTGTGTAAAACATAGACAGTTTCATATCTATGATTAAAACAAACAAGTTTCATCGAACACCAATTTACTAAAAATCTCTTCCCAGAAGACCTTTTGTGAAGTATTTTTGGTTATTTCTGTTGCTTAGATTTGTATTTTAATTTATTTGTTGCATGGTTTTGTTGCTTCCTTTGAAAGCGTTTTTGAGTTGTTTTGCAGATCTCATTTCACAAGTAGTTAATGACTGGATCTCAACAATAAATGCCTTTGTGAATTTGCTACTGTGATTTTTGCAGATTGTTACCTCACCTCTTAAAGTGGCTCATTTTCCTTTTCTTCTTTCATTCTCATTAGCAATACATCGATCATCAAGGCAGTGAAGTGTACCATAATTGTAAGGTAAACAAATTGCCGAATGTTACTGAAAGATAAACTTGGATTAACAATCGTTTGTGCTAAAGTAAATTTGATTTCAAAATATGACATGATGTTTCAGAGACACTTTCAAAATATAGCATGTCTTAACATGTTTTGCTAAAGTCAGAATTTTATTTATGGTGAAATGTTGCCAAATAAGTTTTCTTTCTAATGTGTCAACTTATTTTTATCAGATACAAAAATAGTTACAAGTTCTATTTCTGATAAGAATTTTCATGGAAGACACAGAATGAGGCCTTTGGTAACACAAGCAGAAGAGGAATATGTTAGAATCATAATATTGAGAGACTCATAAAATCAACAGAAGACTAGAGAACAAGAATTAGCAAATGGTTAAAAACCAAGAGATTCCTGTAAGGCTCAAGAGATGCTCAGGAAGCTAAGCACAAGTACACTAAAAAATTTCAGTCCTGTTTGCTTCTACTAAGGATATTCTGCATTTTAATTGGTGTATACAGGCCATTCACATTAAAAGTAATTATTAATATCTACTATGTTTGTAACAATTTTCTATTTACTGTACTTGTTATTTATTTATTTTCTTTTTTAACCTCTCCCTGTTTTTCTGCCTTCTCTGGTTTTTAAATAAGATTTTATGTGATTTTTCATAACTCAATTTTCTCTCTTCTTTAAAATATCAATCATATTTCGTTTTAAAAATTATCTTAATGGTCGCCAGAGAGTTCACAATGTATGTTTTTAACTAACCTAATTCCACTTTCAAATAACCTATTCTCCTTCACTGTTAGTGTAGTTTTCTTATTAGAGAGTATTCCCAAGTTTTTCCTAGGGAAAAATACTTTCGGCTTTTCATTTTGTCTCTCCGTAGCCTATAATCATTCACTACCTTGTTACTAATATTACTTTGAAAAGTTCTGTATTAGAACTTTTATGTATTAAACATAAGGAAAAAAATTTACCTGTATTCATTACTTCTCTGACATTAATCTTTTCTTTTTGTAGAGCTAAGCTTCTGATCTTTATCACTTTTCTTTTCCCTGGAGTACTTCTTTTAACCTTTCTTCCAGGGCAAGTCTGCTGATAATGAATCCCCTCGGTTTTGTTTCTCTGGCAATGTCTTTATTTCTGTCTCACTTTCGATGAAAAATTTTCATGGATATAGACTTCTAGGTTGGTAGTTTTTCTCTTTCAACTCTCAATATTTTACTCAACTCTATTGTTTGCATTGTTTCTATGAGAAGGCTAATGCAATTCTTACCCTTGTTCCTCTATTACCAAGGTGTTTGTCTTGTTTTGTTTTTCTCTAACTACGTTCAATAGTATGATTTCAACAGACTACTTTTAATCTTTGTCTTTGTTTTTCTTCAGTTTGAATACAATATGTTTATATGTAGATGCTTTGGTGTTTATTCCTCTTGGTGTTTATTGAGCTTCCTGAATCTGTGACTTGGCTTCTATCATTACTTTCGAAATAACTATGGTCATTATTAATTCAAATATTTCTTCTGCTCCTTGTCTATTTCTTCGGCTTCTGGTATTCCTAATATATGTGTCATATTTAATATCTTTGGAAACTGACTACAATTCTGGGATGTTCTCTTCTTTTTATTATACTATTGTCATTATTTTTAAAATTGTCTTTGTATTTTAGTTAGAGAAGTTTCTATGGGCATATCCTCAGGTTTACTGATACTGTCCTCAGACATGTTCAGTCTACCGATGAGCCAATCAGAGACATTCTTAATTTCTGTTAAACTGGTTTTGATTTGTGGTTTGTTTTTATAGCCCTTTCCACTGTAATCTGTTATACCAGCGCCCTCTGTTGGTTTGGCGCTAAGGTGTGGGTGACATAAGTGTTCTATCACTGCAGGATAAAGTGTCAATATTTTTGTTTGCCCATGTCTGTAATGTGACTTTCACAAGTGTTTTCTCCAGCGATATAGCTTCCTCCCTCCTCCCTACCTTTGGCTAGACAGGAATGCTAGAGAAGGCTGGAGTTGGAACAGTGCCCTACCTCTAGGTGGGATAAGACTCTGGTAAGTCTTTTTACTGGAGAGAAAATAGGTTTTTGTTTTAGCGAATGTTCAGTATGACTCCAGTGACTGTTCCAGATAAGGTCTCAGCTATGGCTCTCTGGATTTGCCCATCAGTCTAGATTTCAGAATGGTGGTTTGCCTTGGGATCTCAGTTCTCAGATGGGTCCAAGAAAAATAGTTAATTTCCAGTGTGTCACCTTTTACTTATTGTAAGGTTGTGAATGATGGCTTTCATTTTTTTACAGGCCAAAACTGTATATTTGTTGTTGAATGTTTTGTCTCTTCATAAAGCTAAAAACTAAATGCTTGAGATCAAACCAGAAAAAAATGAATTAAAATTACAACAACAACAGAAAACATTGGTTATTTTCAATACACATGCTATCCTATTTTCCTTTCTCTTTTGGCAAGTCATATTTTGTTCCTGAATTAATCATACTGTTTCAGATTCATGCTTCCCCAGAAGCTACCAAGTACCTCCTAGAAATATATTTGTGAGGAAGCCATCCTTCCCTCCCCTCACACACTTGAAGCACTTTAGACGAAGGCAGGATACATATATGTAGAATGGCTAATAAAAAATTGATAATCACACTTGTTATGAAAAAATAGAAAATATTTGAAACTTTGTTTTAAAACTTAGTTTAAATTATGCATACTCTATTATGTGATGTCTTAAAGTGGTTTTTCAAATTTTGTACATTTAAACAACAGCAATGTCCAAAGAATGACATTTGAAAATAAGAGATTAAATGCCAGCAAAACTAAACATCTCCCAACAGAGCCATGATATTTGACAGTTGTGAAATCTCTGAAGACATTTCAGTTTTATTTATTAGGTAAAGCTGTCACAGTTTGTACACACCATGAAACTCCAAAGCGACTATTATCAAATGACAGTACAGCTTGACATATGTGAAGGTAGTTACAGGAGCACATGAGAATAGATAAATCGTATTTAAAAAAAGAAAAATGAATATGAAATTATGGACAGTAAAGAAACTCTGAAAACACTGGGAAGAGTAATTATATTTTTGGGACACAATGTGGAAACATTCCCATCATAATATTATATTAAATCAATTGTCTATTAAACAATTGTCTCACCCTCTATGTATTGATAAGGGAGTCAACTGTTGAAAAGAAGGCATAGTAAGTTTCCACTAATTAGATATTTTAAAAAACACAGCCTTTTTTTTAAATTCTCTCTACGTGAGTGCCCCTATAAAGGGTAAACCCAGAGTTAGGAGTACAGAGAGCTTTTCTTAGGGGTACTATCCATCTCTTCTTGTTTATTTGTGGTCACTGCACTCCAAGGTCCTCAAACTGCCAGGTATTCCTATCAATTTCAGTTCCTGAAACATGCATACATTCACTTCCTTAAACATGTGTAAATTCACTTCCTTTGTTTTTCTTATTCATGAAGCTTCCTTCATTAAATAAAATTTCTGCCATTTTTTACCTAATTCCTAGTCTTTTCTAAAACTCAACTCATATACCATCTTTTGTAGAACATCTTCTCTACTGACTTCATTGTTAACTTAATAATTCCCTCACCATACTTTTTGTTATCATACTATATATTAAGCTATGTCAAAAATAGTAACTGCTCAAATGTAAGAGCATATGATGGGACAACTGGGTATTCACATGAAAAAGAATAAAGTTGTACCTCATGATGGTTAATACTGAGTGTCAACTTGATTAGATTGAAGGATACAAAGTATTGATCCTGGGTGTGTCTGTGAGGGTGTTGCCAAAGGAGATTAACATTTAAATTAGTGGGCTGGGAAAGGTGACCCACCCCTTAATCGGGGTGGGCACTATCTAATCGGCTGCCAGTGTGGCTAGAATATAAGCAGGCAGAAAAATGTGAAAAGAGAGACTGGCCTAGCCTCTCAGCCCACATCTTTCTCCCGTGCTGGATGCTTCCAGCCCCTGAACATCAGACTCCAAATTCTTCAGTTTGGGAACTTGGACTGGCTCTCCTTGCACCTCAGCCTATAGATGGCCTATTGTGGAACTTTGTGATCATGTGAGTTAATACTTAATAAACTCCTCTTTATATATATATGTATCTATTCTATTAGTTCTGCCCCTCTAGAGAATCCTAATACATACCTTTACCTCACACTATTCAAAATTAACTCAAAAAGGACCAAAGACCCAAATGCAAGACCTAAAGTATGGACCTCTTAGAAAAAAACGCAGGAGTACATCTTTGGATTGTCCAATGGTTTCTTAGTTAATCCACAAAAGCACAGCAACAAAAGAAAAAATACATACATTAGGCTTCATCAAAATTTAAAAAAACCTTTTGTGTTGCAAATTATACCATCAAGAAAGTGGAAAAACAAACCTAGAATCAGAGAAAATATTTTCAAATCAAATGTATGATAAAGCTCTAGATTAAATAAAGAACTATTACAACTCCTTAATTTAAAAATTCAATTATAAAATGGACAAAAGGTTCGAATAAACATTTCTGCAAAGTAAGCATATGAAAAGATGTGCAACATCTGTATAGTTTCCTATTGCTGCTGTGACAAGCTGTCACTAATTTAGTGGCTGACAACTATACAAATTAATTACCTTATAGGTCTAAAGCTAAGAAGTCCAAAATGGTTATCATAAGGCTATGCTTCTTCTGGAGTAATGCTCCAGGGAAAACATCTATTTTATTGATTTCCAGCTTCTAGAGGCTGCCTGCATTCCTTGGCTTATGTCCTTTTCTTCTATCTTCAAAGGAAGTCTCATAGTATTAATGTTGGTGCAAAAGTCATTGCTGTTTTTGCCATTAAAAGTAATGACAAAAATTACATAAATCTGTCATAGTTTATACACACCATGAAAAGTAATGGCAAAAATAGCAATTACTTTTGCACCAAGCTAATATCTTCAAATTTCTCTCTCTTTCTCTCTCCCTCTCTTTTGACCTTCATCTGACTCCCTCTTTCACATTTATAGGATCCACGTGATTACATTAGGTCCATCCAGGTAATCTAGCATAACCTCCTTATTGTAAGGTCAACTGATTAGCAACATAATATCTTTCTACAACCTTAATTCTCCCTTGCCATGTAAAATAACACATTCATAGATTCCAGGGATTAGGACTTGGGCATCGTTGAGGGCCCATTATTCTGTCTATCACATCATCATTAGTTTTTAGGGACATGTGAATTAAAACCACAATGAGATATCACATTATACCCATTAGGATGCCATTATCAAAGACACAGACAATAACAAGTAATGACAGTGATTTGGAGAAATTAGAACCCGCATATTTTGCTGATGGAAATGTAAAATGCTACAGCCACTTCCAGTTTGACAGTTTCTCAAATGTCTAAACACAGATTTACTACAGGACCTCAAAAACTATACTCCTGGGTGTTTATCCAAGAAAGTTGAAATATACATTTACCCCCCCCCAAAAAATGTACACAATTCATCATAGATTATTCCTGATATATGAAAGCTGAAAATATCTTAAATATCTTAAATGCCTGTTCGTTACTGAATGGATAGGTAAAATATGATATATTTATACATTGGAATGTTACTCAGCCATGAAAAGGAATGAAGGAAGCACTGATACATACCATAACATGGATGAACTTTTAAAACTTGCTAAGTGCAATAAATTAGATATAAAAGACCATGTAAGATATAATTCCATTTGTAAGAAATGTCTAGAAACACAAATCTATAGATAAAGAATGTAGATCAGTGGTTGCCAGAGGCCAGAGGTAGAAGTGATTAGAGGATGACTACTAAGAGACACAGGGTTTGTCGGGATGGAATGATGAAAATATTCTGAAATTTGAAAGTAATAATGATTGCACAACTTTGTGATTATATTAAAACCACTGAATTGTACACTTTCAAGTGATACATTTTATGGTATGTGAATTTTATCTTAATTTGAAAAAAATTGAAAAGCTCATGACACACATACCAAGCCCTGTGCTAAGGTGTTAAGTACTTTTCTTATACCCTAGCTACTTATTTAACTCTGACAAGTATCTTCGATGTGATTGCTACTATTATTACTATCACTTTGCAGGCAAGAAACCATGGGCAAAGTGAAAGTCAGTGACTTTTCCAAGGGCAAATAGCAAATAGGCAGGAGAAGAAAGAGGTGAGCCCTGGGATCTGACTCCACAGCTCACTCCCTGAGCTGCGCAGCTGTCCAGCTTCACTGTCAACGTAGAGGGGTTGTCTTACCAAACAAACTCTAGGTTTCTTGTTGCCAAAAGTTTTAGGAGATTTTGTGACCTCCAGTGTCCAGCATATGGGCAGTGATATAACATGGACTCTGAAAGAGAGGAGTAAGATTGTGTTATGACTATGACTGTGTGCCTGTGTTGATTACCAGCTGTATGATTTTGAGAACTTGAGACACATCTGTAACTAGCATAGTTATTTTGAATTGTTTTAACTCAGAAAATAACAGTAACTAGCTCAGAAAGCTGTTGTAAGTATTAAATGAGGTATATATAAAGAACCTGTTACAGTGTTTGAGACTCATTCATACATTAATTCATTTATTCATTCATTATTTCAGCAAATATTTATTGTGTGCCTACTCGTTGTCAGACACTCTTTTAAGTGCTAATGCTATATTATTAAGCAAACATAAGAATTCTTGCTGCTGTAATACTTATATTCTGGATGGAAACATACAGAATATAATAAACATATAAGCTATATTGTATGCTACTATATGTCAGGAGATTAGAAGTTCTGTAGAAAAATAAAGCGAGCAATGAAGATGCAGCATAATGAGTATGTAGAAAGGCTGCGATTCAAATGAGAAGACATTTGAACAAAGGCTTGAAAGAGATAGAGTACATATATCTGGGTAGAGGAACAGCCGGTGCAAAGGTTTTGAGGAGGGAATGTATCCAGCATGTGTGAAAATATAAGGCTGGTATGGCTGGAAGTGGGTGAGTAAGAAAGAGATGACGAATAAATAAGAGATTCAGTCTGGAAGGTCACAGGGAGGTCAGGGCTTGTAGATGAGTGTAGGTTTATAGGCTAGGCTTTATAGATCAAGTAAATAATTTTGGATTTGATTTTGAGTTAAACAAAGAGCCATTGGAGAGTTTTGTTTTGTTTTGTTTTTTATTAGAAGAGTGAATAACTTTCATTTTGGAAAGACTACCATGACTGCTATGTTGAGAACAGACCATAGAGAGAAGACAGTAAGAATAGAAGAGAGGCTAGTTAGGAAAGTACTGCTCATACAGGAGAGTTAATGTGACTCAGCTGAGGAAGAGACTTGAGTATGTGGTGACACATTGTGTGATGTTAGGCTATTTTCACAATACAGCCAACAGAATTGGCTGATATTTTGGATGGTTAGTGGTTAGTGTGAGAATTATGAAAGGATTCAAGAATGCCTCTAGTGTTTTTAGCCTGAGACGGGGAAGGATAGTGTTGGAATTAAGTGAGATAGAAGAACTAAGAATACAGCCAGTTAGGAAGAGAGATTAGAAGTTCATTTTTGAAAATCTTAACAAAATTTAACATTTTTGAACACATAAAGGAACAATTTTAAAAGAACAAAGAAGTCATTAGAATTATCTATTTGATAATTTATAAACCTTAGGTGAATAAGTAAATATTTAACCATAATATTTCTTCGACTTAAGAAACCACTTAGCTTGGTAATACTTTCATAAGAAGAGTAGTAATTTCATTTGAAGATAGAAAGCTGAGTTTATTAAAGCTTCTGAAGATGCTTTATTGTTTTTCTCCTACAAATATTAAAGTTTAATCCCACATACAATAAGTTATGTTGAAGATGGATAAATAAGTTATGTATTACTCCTCAAGCTAACATGTATTACTAGACCTTTTTCTTAGCACAAGTCATTTTGTAATGTAGCTATGGCAAGATTACTGCAGCTTAAATTATGTAACTTGAAAGTTACCTAAAAATTACTAATTTAGTTAAAGCAGAACTATGTTTGTGAAAGAGAAAGACAGGAAAATTAATTATTTTCATTTGTCTTAGTTTCTCATAACATATGACGAAGTTAGAGAAATGTTCTAGTAAGGGGTCACTCTTTCCTTACCCAGGAAAATGCTATTATTAATTTAGCTATCATGGAATGTACAAATTAATGCAAAATGTCATTGCCAGAAACACCTGTACACTGTAATTGCTTCTGTATTATTTATAAACTACACAGTAAAAAATGAAGAAGTAAACTGGAAACCATAAAACTATTGTGTGTAATAGAAGACTAGCAGACAGAATTATTTGATATGAGAGACATTTATTCATTCAACGAATACTGATGAGTGCCTATTATTTGCCAGGTAACATTATAGATAAATGAAATTAAGGGATACAAAACAGTTCTACTGATAAAATAACATGGAGAAACAATTATTTTATCTCATGTTTTTGTTGTATCAGTAGCAGCTATAAATCATTAGTTGAGTCAGATTTCTCCAATAATTAAACAACTTAATGGAACAAGTTCAGAAAGCAAATTCACCATCTTGATGTCTTAAACCTTTCTTAGAATAAGAGAGTTGAAAAATAACTCAAAGTTTCTTTGGGGATTAGACTTTGGTCCATTAAAATTAACACTAAAACCCAATGCAATTCCAATGTAATTGGCACAATCACAAACATTTCCTAAACAGGCCTTCAGGGAACTGAATGATTCCTGATGTGTTATACCTGGTGTATTCTTTTTAACGTCTTTAGGAGATTCTGATTAAAAATCAGTTGCAATAGTCAGGTTATTATTAACACATAAAGATAATCAAAGCTCTGTTTACTGAATTTCAGCTTCACATAGACAGTTGGAAGGATATCTGGCAAGTATAAACATCTGGGCTTCAATGCTGTACTCTTGTACTTTTTTCTGTGACTGTTTTTGATCAAACAATTACTGTTGATTAAAGAGGCAAATCCAAAACTCAACCTTTGAAAAGTGCGTTTATTCTATCTTAAGCTATTCTTCCTAGCAAACTTTTATTTTCATTTAAAAATTTCATAAGCAAAAGAATATTTTCCACACCTTTCTCCAAACTTCTTTTTAAAATCTTAGCAGATTCTTCACAAAAAGAATAGTACTTTATCTCTATCTTAGCCTCACATCTAACTTTATAATACTTAGGACTCTATACTGAAACATTTGTTTACGCTATTCTACAAAGCCAGTTTCTTATTTTTTTCTCTAGATCTCACTTAATCCCCATATCTTAGGTTTTGACCATCCCCTTTCCAGAGTTTTCCAGCATGATCTCCCTATTGGGCAATTCTCTTCTGCCTTTCCATGTGCATGGGTATCCTTAGTATTTCTCTTTCTCGCCAATTTGCCTTTGAAATACATGATGTGACTGCCATTTTCATTTCTTTACTATCCAATCTTCCTGTCTCTTTCCGTTTAACATTGATCAATTACTAAAGAGAGAAACCAAGTTTTGTCGTTCTGTTTTATCAAATTCTTGAATACTGTTCTCAACTTTTATTCAGATGGTACATATGATGGAGATTGTGAGTATAGGAGGAAAGCCTTCATGTGGATGAAACCCTGACGATAAGGATGGGGTTAACATTAGATGTAGAATTAGAAAACTCAAGATGAACTCATAATCTTGGCAGTATACATCCTACCACTTTATGATGGTAGAAGTGTCCCAAAAGTACCAGCACTACTACTAGTGTGCATCCACCAGTGCACATGCGTATCCACTATGCAGATCATGTTTTATATTATTATTCAGCCAAAACCAACTGGAATCCTTGCAAGGTAGCTCTTTCCATGACTTGAGTCAGGAACAGTTTTTACACGTTAATGAAATAGAGTGCTCAATAGTGTATTTCAAGATAACACATTAGCTCAGTGTCCTAATGAGTGGGACTAAAGGCACAAAGGTCCTTATCTCCCAGGACATGCTTGGTATTAACAAGGCATTGGTAATTTTTTGAAATAATAATAAATCAGGAAGGTACATTAGGTTGACAAGGAAATGAGTTATGCCCATTAAAAATAAAACATTTAGTGACAGAAGGAGAGAGGGAGGGGCAAGATCACGTGATAACCTAAGGTTTAAATGAAAGGATTAGGTTTAAGAGTCTTACTTATCAAACAAGTAATGTGTACTCTGGTGATCCCCAACCTTTTTGGCACCAGGGGCCTGTTTTGTGGAAGATAATTTTTTCCACAGATGGAGGGGAGGATGGTTTTGGGATGACACCGTTCCACCTCAGATCATCAGGCATTACAATCTTATAAGGAGCACAGGACTTAGATCCCTCACATGCGCAGTTCACAATAGGCTTCCTGCTCCTATGTGAATTGAATGCCACCGCTGATCTGACAGGAGGTGAAGCTCAGGCAGTAACGCTCACTCTCCCACCACTCAGCGCCTGCTGTGCAGCCCAGTTTCTAACAGGACACGGACCACTACTGGTCCATGGCCTGAGGGTTGGGGACCAGTGCTCTAGAAAGAAAGCTGATCTAGGAAACATGAATCAGATTTAAAATATTTAGGATAATTCACGTAAATAATACGATCTGAACTGAGAGGGTCTTTTTTCTCGCGGGGGAGGGGTTCTTTAAGCTTACCTGGAAAGTATCATAGTAAGAAGGTTCTAAGTTCCAAGGGAGTATAAAATTGAACAAAGAAAAAGATAACATGGATTAAACCAATGGTATTATAGTTTAGAACACATTTTTGTTTAAGTATTTTCACATAATGTGGGTTTATTATTGTTCAAAATATTAGGGAAATTTAAAAATCAGACAAAATAAGTGTCATTGCAAAATTAAGTTTTAAGAAAATTTAAGAAATTAAATTTGTGATTAGTATTAAATGTTAAAAATAGTTTTATTAGAACAAGTTTTGGCTGTAAAATATATAAATTTAGTACATTAAGTGTGAAACATAGGAAGTAGAAAATATGTATATACACATTCAAAAGGCCGTGGTGCATTAACAAATATATTCAGCCTAGTGATGCATAAAATATACTCGTTTCCTTTTATCCTTTTTATTTTATTTATATTGGCATTTTCTTTTATTGTAACTCTTTTTTTTCACTTTTCACATATGTTCAGCTAACTACAGAACATTTCCATTTCAATTCAGTGTGTATAAAAATAAACACACCATTTTCTCCAAGAAAAAATGTTATATGTTTTTGGTAACCAATTTCTAGGCCCTAAAAATGCAAATCTTTGGGCGATTTTAGCTCATGTCTGTACTTTAGTCTTAATACCCTATCAGGCATGACATATTTCTTAAAAATAACTCTAGCATCTGTTCTTTCCTTCATATTTCCACTGTTCCCATAATATAAAAAGCTTCTACCACTGAAAATGGTTTCCTAACTGGTAGCTTTCATTTTAATTGTTCATATCTAATATTCTTTGTGCACACCTATGATACAGCTTATTTTTTCTTTCATGGATTTTATCATGTCTTAGCTTCAAACATATTGTCTACAAAGAAAACACTCAGGTGTGTTGCTTGGCTTTCAAGAACACACACACAAACACACACACACACACACACACCCCTCACTCTCAAGCACACACACTCACACACATATGCACACCATGACACTTTATCAGACCTACTTCTTATCTTCTCACTCTCCATCTTGAATTAACCACACAAGTCAAAATGGTCTCACAACTAGCCTTTGGGTTTATCATTGTACTAACAGAGACTAACTAACCCAAGCCCTAGAACATACTCTGGACTCAGTCCAAGTTTATTACACAGAGCTCCATGTGTTTCTCAAATGCCATGCTTAGGGAACCTCTATACATTTTCACCCTTAGAATGCTTAGAATGAACTCATTTTATATCCTGCTTGCCTAAATTCTACTCAGATTTTAAAGCTCACTAATCTCCAACTTATCACTAACACTTTTGCATACTGTTATACATAACTATCTTTTCTTTTTTCTACAGTATTTTGGCATTTAGAAGATAGTATTATGACCTTTAGTTGTTTCTAGAAGTAGATTATAACCTTCCTAAAAAGGATAACTTATCATTTTTTGATGCATTTACCGTAATGTCTAGCAGAGTGTTAAGCATATAACAGGTAATTAATAAAATATGCAATTATATCCTAACAGATTATTTTATATACTAATTACTTCAGCAAAAATGTATTGGGTAACTTTTCTATGATATATATGCTGGACATTGAACTATCATTCCTTTTATAGTCCCTTAAACATTTTGCAATGAGAAAAACAAATTAAAGCTCTGCCAATAGAGTAGGAGAAACACCACATGAAAAATGAATGGAATTATCAAGGAGGTACCGTATATAAAGAATATTAAGAAAAGAATGCGATTATATACACGTTTGGACTTGAGCACTGTAATATTTTGTTTTACGTTGTTGATTACTTGCTTATTACCAGTTTCCCAAAGTAAAATGTAAGTTCTATGAGAAAACAGACCCTCTTTAGCTAACTCTTGATTACATACTCTCTGACTAGCATATTGTCTAGAACATATTAATAATATTAGAAATAAATTATTAAATAAAGTAATAAATATTTACTTAATCATGAATACAAGACAATTACAATGGCTTGGTTAATAGCCATTTAGGTTTGTCTGTTTGTGTTTGGCAGAGGCTGGTGGGTTGGGGGGTGAGGAGTTAGAAAGTTTTAAAGGAGTTACTTATAATACAAAGATTTTGTAAAAGATCCACAGAAAGAGAGAAAGCAAGACAAGATACTAGAATACATGCTTTGCAATGATCACTCTGGCACTGGTATGGAAATGAATCTGAAGAGATAAGACAGCATATAGAAAACTAACTTGGAGTGTATTATCTATGTAATTCAGGACCTAAACAAAGTTAACAGCAATGGAATAAAACAAGAGTATAGATTCTAGAAATATTTAAGTAATAGAAATGTAAATTGATAGAGCCATTGTGAAGAATATTCTGGCACATTTGTAGACCAGAAAATATACATTTAGATATATATTACATAGAAATGCTTAACTGCATAATGTACCAGGATATTGTCACAGCATTACATCTGGCAGGAAGGCATTCTAGTCAATGTAGCTGCCCCTGTTTGGCAGAGTAGATAGATTAAATTTGGTGCATGTACGCTATGGAGTATTATGCAACAGTTATAAGCAACACATTAGATGTATAGAAAGAATTATATGCCTTGAACTTAAAAATATAGTGCTTAGTTTAAAAAGTAAGATTAAGAATATAATAGCTAAGATATTTATATTTGCATAATAAAAACACATGCAGGCTGGTCCAAGTGCAGTGATATTTACAACAAATTGATCACAAGTTAACAGATTTATTTGTTCCTCTTCCACTCCTACTATTTCACTTGACTAGCCTTAAAAAATAAATAAATAAACAATAACATCCTATTCTGCAATAAATAAAATATACATATTAAATTCAAGAAGATCAACCTGTCTTATTTCAGGGAAAAAAATGCTGTTATTTTTATCGGTATTGCAGCAAATCTATAGATTTTCTTTAGTAGAATTAACATTACTATGTTGAGCTTTCTTAATCAAAAACAGTAAAACAGCTTTTCATTTGTTCAAATGGTTTTATTTGTTCTAATCTTGTCTTAAAGGTAAAAATTTAAAGGCAACAAAAAAGGAGGCATAGAAAAATGAAGTTTCAGGGATAGTTTATTTGAACAAACATCTTGCTGCCCTTATAGTGAGAACTATAGGAATATCTATATCCTGGCTTACTAATTTGCTGTTATAAACTTGCCAAATAACTAACTAGAATGATGATGAATAAAATTGTTTCCACTTCTTGCTCTCTATTCAGAAAAGAAGAAAGGGTTTTGGGAAGGTCCTTCCCTGTGCCTTATTTATGCCTGCCCTTAGATGTTTTTAAGTCTTGTTCCAAAAGTCCCCTTTGAATAAATTCCTGTAGCCCACAATCAAAGACCATACCAGGCATTCCTGAGCAACCTCATATATCTTTGACATTCAGTGGCAGCATTACACACTAATAAAGTTTAAATAACTGAAATACATTAAGAGGACCAGGTCTCATTTTGAAGGAGTTTTTAAAACTATAATTTATGCCTAGAAGTCTTTTTTCCCAATTGTTAGCATTTCCCTAAGTGAAACTGCTGATTCAGATCTAGGTTCTTTTCTTCCCCCATATCATTATCTCAGAGATAAAATTGACAATCACTGTAATCACTCAGGTTAAGTGGCTCCTGTTGTGATTATGCTCCAACTCCCAGTCTCTATTGATTATTGATTGAGTCATCATTTTAAAGATGAAACTTTTTTCACTCAAAAGCCTTCTCTAACAATGAGTGTCTCCTTCCGGTGACCCTTGAAGCAGTTCATCCCTGGCAGGATGTGGCATTGCACAAATAATTGCTAAACTGTTGCAAACTCTGGTCTTTATGGGACGACTCAACTCTCTAAGCCAAGTGCTAATGAGCTTCCACTTAATGAGTTATTCTTTGTTTTTAATTCGTTCTGAAAAGATTAATAGAAATTTGCCTTCAAAAGCTAAACAGAATTGTCAAATTATTTCTCTGACAAAGTTTCAATTTGTTTTATTGCATGTCGGCATAAAGGAAAATTATAAAATTAGTCTGCTTCCTAAAATACTATCATTTTCATTTATTTGAAAAATTACAGAAAACTCTTCAAACATTAATTTCCCTGAGTTCGAGTTCCTGAGAGGCAAGATACAAGTTCCTGAGAGGCAAGTTCCTGAAAGGCAAGGCAATGAGACAACTGAGCTGGATTTTAGCTCTGCCCCCTCTAGCTATGAGACGTGGGTCAAGTTAAATCCCACGAATATCCATTTTCTCCTATGTAAATAGAATAATACTGTCCACCTCACAGAACCACTGTGTGAATTAGCAGCCATAAACACAAGGTGTTTGGCCACAGTAGGCATGTAATAATTGAGAGTGATGGTTATAATTATTTAGACATGCAATGATGGAGTAAAAATAAAGGTCAGGGATTTCAGAGCCTGTCACAGATAGATTAAAATCTTAGCTTTCAGTTACATCAGCCAGAAATTTCACTCTACTGGGACACATTTCCTTCTCAGTATTCCATGATTTGTGTGTGTGCTTTGTTAAAAGAGATTTATTTCTATGTCTTTATTAGTATTTGTGATTGGAAAAAAAGGGGAAAGCCCAAGTTAAGATTCTAACGCATTGCTTTTCTAGGGTTTTTTTATTTTTTAAATTTTTATGGGTACATAGCAGCTGTATGTATTTATGGGGTACCTGTGATGTTTTGATACAGGCACACAATATGTAATAATCACATCAGGGTAAATGGGGTACATCACATCAAGCATTTAACATTTCTTTGTGTTAGGAACATTCTAATTCCATTCTTTTAGTTATTTTAAAATAACTAAATTATTGTTGACTGTTCTCACCCTGTTGTGCTATCAAATACTGGATTTAATTTATTCTATGTTTTGAACATTTTTTCAATCACAAATATTAATAAAGACATAGAAATAAATCACTTTTAACAAAGCACACAAACAATAGCTCATCATCTGACTGACTGACTACTAACATTAATGACTAAGGTGGTTTATAATTTTTACCATCTCTTCTAAAAGGAGTAGATGGGGTGAAGGTCTTTCTTAATTCCATTTTAATTTCTCATCTTGGAGACTCTTGCAGGTCTTATTCCAATAGACACTACTTACAGATTATCAATATATGTTTCTGGTATATCTAAGCACAAAAGTATCCATTATGCATCCTCTTCCAAGGTTATCAAAATCTTACCTCTGCTTGTGGCTGTGATGTTTTTAATTTCCCATTCCATTGCTTGTGAGTACGAAGTCAACAGTACTTTGAAATACGTACTTTAAAATTATTTTCAAAACCACTTGCAATTTTCCAAATATGGTGACCAAACCATTCTGACTGGCAGTACATTTACATCATAGAATAATAATATACCCAACAATTTTTACTAAGTATTGTGAAAAATACTTAGTAAAAGAAGTATTGTATCTGCCTCCTGCAACAATTAACACTGGCAAAAGATGGGCATAACAAATGATTTCTGAGGTATAATAAAGAAAAAGAAAATAGGATTACCTCTAGCATTTCAGTCAAGTCATTTCAGCCAAGATGGATACAAATTTACTACTTTTGTGAATGAATCTGACCAAATTTTGGAATTTCAGATTCAGTCCTATTTTGCACTTGAAAAATACAGTACACATTACCTAATTGTTTAACATTAATTTAAAGTAAATTTTATGATCTGTTGATAATACATAAAAAGGTTATATTTGTGTAGTGAAAAATTTGTGATTTAGAGGAGATATATGCATATGACATTGCTGTAAATTAATTTGTTACATGCAAATACATCAAAAGGAAGAAGTTCTAGTGAAGCAAGCTCTCTGCACCACCACATTGTAGTCTCAAAGGTAAACTTTACACCGATGTCCTCAACTTATCAGCTCCTTTCTAGATCTATCTACATGTGATGTCTTTTTTCCTTAACTTTTTTTGCCCAACTGTTTTCAATGTATATCTTCAACCTGGCTGAATCATGACTAACAAAGCTGGATTTTCTGACACAGGCCAGCAAGTGTTACTGTGTTTATCGTAGCTGGGCACATTAAACCTTGTAATGGCCAAAAGAAGTCTCTGTGCATTTCTATCCAAATGCATTCTCCAAGCTTTTAAGTGAATAAATTCACTCAATGACCTTGTAGATATCGATGGCCATTTTGGACTTAAAATATTTGAGATTACTTATTTTACTTCAGTTCAAATAACTCCTCAAGCTCAACAACCAATTAAAGCTCATCAAAAATTCTACTTCCATTAGTCACCTCCTGGTTGGGAATACTTTCAAGTCTCAGACCACTTAGTGAAATTATCCATGGTAATTATAATGTCGATAGGCTAAAGAAGATAAATTATTTTAAAGAATATTTTTTCTTTGCATCTAAGGTATACATTGGCTGGATGATACACTAGGGTATTTTATAGTTTATATGGCACTTGCCTACTCTAGGCTTTAGTGAAAGGAAAATTCCTCTATTAATATCTGCTTCAAATATAGAATGTACATTTTCTTCATGTTTTATTTAAAGAAAACGTGTAGCAACTCCATGAAGGACAAACATTTCGGCATAAACAGATTGACAGATATGACCTTTGACTCAACATCAACATTCAACTCTCAGTTGCCCTGCTTATTAACAAACTATTCATTAACAAGCAATCTGTCACTAGACAGTTCCAGAGAGTTTATCTGTCATGATGATGATCTATGCTGTGTTTACCCAAAAGCCTTATTGCTTAGTGTTCCTCAGGGGGACTCCCATTGAAGGCTTTAGTTGCTTTATGGTTGGTGCTCCCTTATGGGCTGTCATTGCCCTTGTAATCATGGAGAGCTTTTCTTACTAAAGAATAAGCTGCTAGTGATCCTGCCATCACAAGCTCGGCAGGGCTCTCACATGTTCAGCTCGGCCTGTCAGCGTCATGCTCATCCCGGTACTTTTTAATTAGTTTCTGACATGTCCAAGCAGCTGTCTTCTGGAAGCATTTCAACTACCTACAGTTTTCCCCTTGGCTGACTGTGAGTAACTCAATGCCATGATAAGTATTATAACATATATTAACTATGTCTGATGATTGTAAGTCTTGCTCCAACTTCCGTAATATTTTTAGCAGTCATGCAAATCCGAGTCAATCACATTTCAATGGAGAGAATTTCCTAGACTTTGCTCATATTCATTAATTTAAATAATTGTCTTCACATACATATAGCAACATTCATGTTAGCAGAGAGTCAAAAGTTAATGGTTGTTCGTCAGTGACTCTTATATTTGATTTTTTTCAGTATTCAAAAATACTCTTATACACCCTTCATTTCTTCCTAAATACCAATACCCTGAATAAAAGAGGAAACTTACAGAGCTCTGCTTTCCTTATTGAACAAATTATTTCTCCTAGTTCTTTCACAGGATATGCCCAAGAAGCCAAACTCTCTCTCTTTTAATTCTAATGTTATCTGATTCAGTACTTTTTAAAAAATATGCCATTTATTTATTTATTTTCATATAAATTTGCAGGATACAACTACGATTTTGTTACATGCACAGATTGCATAGTAGTCAAGTTAGGGCTTGTGGGGTATCCATCTATTAAACATCATTCCCAACTGAATAAAGTTATCTAATAATATTGCTAAAAGGGATCTGGAGTTGGGCTTTCTCCTTACCTCATTTCACTCCATAAACACAAGTAAAACCATAAAGAAAAAAACAGTGGACAGTTAATGACAGGAATAGCAAGAAATGGCTACCTTGATCAATTTCATAACTGATTTTTATATTCTAGTTACTTGTTTTGATCCCTTATATTTTGTTTTTATCATTTTCTTTATAGCAGTATTTTGTCATAGGTACAACATAATTTTTATTCTCTTTTAATTTTCTTCTACTCAATTATATTTTATTCACATTTAAGTGGGGGAAATATCTATCTGCTTTGATTCTACAAGTACTTTTTTGTTGTGCATCTCCAAAATTGAGGTAAGAAACACATTGGACTGTTGTGTATCTCATTCCTCGAGGCAGCTGCCATCAATGTAGGTGTCTAAAACCACTAAATCCCGTATCATAGTTCTATTTTTCTCTTCACCCTTATTAGTTTAATGGTTCCAATATCTCCCAACTATATGAACTTGGGAGAATAACCTCTTTTTATTTATTTCAATAATCTTGAGGAACAGGTGGTTTTTGGTTACATAGAGAAATTCTTTGGTGGTAATTACTGAGATTTTGGTGCACCCATCACGAGCAGTGTACACTGCACCCAATGTGTAGTCTTTTATCCCTCGTTCTCCTCCCACCCTTACCCTTACATCTCCAAAATCCATTATATCATTCTTACTCCTTTTTGTCCTGGTAGCTTAGCTCCCACTTACAAAAGAGAACATACAATATTTGGTTTTCCATTTCTGAGTTACTTCACTTAAAATAACCACCTCCAATTCCATCTAGGTTGCTGCAAATGCCATTATTTCATTACTTTTTATGGCTGAGTAGTATTCCATGGTGTATATATACCCCATTTGCTTTATCCACTTGTGGGTCAATGGGCATTTAGGCTGGTTCTATATTTTTGCAATTACAAATTGTGCTGCTATAAATGCGTGTGTGCAAGCATCTTTTTCATATAATGACTTCTTTTCCTTTGGGTAAATACACAGACATGGGATTGCTGGGTTGAATGGTAGTTCCACTTTTTGTTCTTTAAGGAATCGCCATACTGTTTTTCATAGTGGTTGTACTAGTTTACATTCCCATAAGCAGCTTAAAAGTGTTCCCTTTTCACCACATCCATGCCAGGATCTATTATTTTTAAATTTTTTTTATTATGGCCATTCTTGCAGGATTAAGTTGGTATCACATTGTAATTTTTATTTGCATTTCCCTGATAATTAATGATGTTGAGTGAGCCTTTTTTCATGTTTATTGGCCATTTGTATACCTTCTTTTGAGAATTGTCTATTCATGTCCTTTGCCCACTTTTTGATGTTATTTTTTTCTTGCTGATTTGTTTGAGTTCATTGTAAATTCTGAATATTAGTACTTTGTCAGAGGTATAGTTTGCAAGTATTTTCACCCATTCTGTGTGTAGTCTGTTTTACTCTGCTGATTATTTTGCTGTGCAGAGGCTTTTTTCTTTAATTAAGTCACATCTATTTATCTTTGTTTTTGTTGCATTTGCTTTTGGGTTCTTGCTCATGAAGCCTTTGGTTAAGCCAGTGTCTAGAAGGGTTTTTCCAATGTTATCTTCTAGAATTTTTATGATTTCAGGTCTTAGATTTAAGTCTTTGATCCATCTTGAGTTGATTTTTGTATAAGGTGAAAGAAGGGGGTCCAGTTTCATTCTTCTACATGTAATTTGCCAGTTATTCCAGCACCATTTGATGAATAGGGTGTTCTTTTCCCATTTTCTGTTGCTTTGTCAAAAATCAGTTGACTCTAAGCACTTGGCTTTATTTCTGGATTTTCTATTCTGTTCCACTGGCCTATGTTTGTATCAGTACCATGCTGTGTTGGTAAATATAGCATTGCAGTATAGTTTGAAGTCAGGTAATGTGATGCCTCAAGATTGTTCTTTTCGTTTAGTCTTGCTTTGGCTATGTGAGATCTTTTTTGGTTCCATATGAGTTTTAGGATTTTTTTTCTAGTTCTGTGAAAAATGATTTTGGTATGTTGATAGGAATTGCATTGAATCTGTAGACTGCGTTTGGCAGTATGGTCATTTTCACTATATTGATTCTACCCATCCATTTGCCTTCGTTTGAATCATTGATGATTTCTTTCAGCAGTATAGGTTTTTTTTTCTTTTGTAGAGATATTTTACCTCCTTTGTTAGTAGATTCCTAAGTATAGCGGGGCTACTGATTTGTGTACATTGATTTTTTTTTTATCCTGAAACTTTACTGAACTCATTTATCAAATCTAGGAGCCTCGTGAATGATTCCTTAGGGTGTTATAGGTATACAATCATATCTTGTTGCTGTCTTGGCAAACAGCAACACTTTGACTTCTTCTTTACTGATTTGGATGTCCTTTATTTATTTCTCTTGTCTGATTGCTCTGGCTAGGACTTCCAATACTACGTTGAACAGAAGTGGTGAAAGTGGGAACCTCCTCTTCTTCCAGTTCTCGGGGGAATGCTTTCCATTTTTCCCTGTTCAATGTAGTATTGGCTGTGAGTTTTTCATATATGGCTTTTATTACCTTGAGGTATGATCCTTCTATGCCAATTTTGCTGAGGGTTTTAATTATAAAGTGATGCTGGATTTTGTCAAATGCTTTTTCTGTGTCTGCTGAGATGATCATATGATTTTTCTAAAACTCTGTTTATGTGATGTATCACATTTACTGACTTGTGTGTCTTAAAGCAACCCTGTATCCTTGGTATGAAACTCATTTAATCATGGTGTATTATCTTCTTGATGTGCTGTTGGATTTGGTTGGCTAATATTGTGTTGAGGATTTTTTCATCTATGTTCATCAAGGACATTGGTCTGTTGTTTTCATTATTGTTATGCCCTCTCCTGGTTTTAGAATTAGGGTTTTATTGACTTTATAGAATGATTTAGAGAGGATTCCTTCTTTCTCTATCTTTTGGAATCGTTTCACTAAGATTAGTAGCAATTCTTCTTTGAAAGTCTTACAAAATTGAGCTGTGAATCCATCTGGTCCTGCACTTTATTTGTTGGCAAATTTTTAATTACTGTTTCAATCTCACCACTTGTTACTGGTCTGTACAAGGTTTCTATTTCTTCCTTATTTAATCTGGGAAGGTTGTATATTTCCAGGAATTTCTTCATCTTATCCAGATTTTCTAGTTTGCGTGCATAAAGGTGTTCATAGTAGCCTTGGATAATCTTTTGTATTCCTGGGGTATCAGTTGTAAAATCTCCTGTTTCATTTCTAATTGAGCTTAACTGAATCTTCTCTCTTCTTTTCTTGGTTAATCTCACTAACAGTCTATCAATTTTATCTTTTCAAAAAACTAGCTTTTTGTTTCATCTATATTTTGTACTTTTTATTGTTTTGATTTCATTTAGTTCTGCTCTGATTTTTTTTTAATTTCTTTTCTTCTGCTGGGTTTGGGTTTGGCTTGTTCTTACTTCTCTAGTTCCTTGAGGTGTGACCTTAGATCATCTATTTGTGCTCTTTCAGTCTTATTGATGTAGGCATTTAATGCTATGAACTCTCCTCTCAGCACCACTTTTGCTGTATCCCATAGGTTTTGATAAGTTGTGTCTCTATTATCATTCAGCTCAAAGTTTTTAAATTTCCATCTTGATTTCATTGTTGACCCAAAGATCATTCAAGTGCAGATCATTTAATTTCCAGGTATTTGTGAGGTTTGGGGGGTTCCTATTAAATTTAATTTCCAGTTTTATTTTACTGTTGTCTGAGAGGATATTTGACATAATTTTGATTTTCTTAAATTTGAGACTTATTTTGTGACCTATCATATGATCTATCGTGGAAAATGTTCCATGTACTGAAGAAAAGAATGTATATTCTGCAGTTGTTTGGTAGAATGTTCTGTAAATATCTGTTAAGTTTATTTGTTGTAGGGTATAGTTTAAGTCCATTGTTTCTTTTTGACTTTCTGTCTTGATGACCTATCTAGTGCTGTCAGTGGAGCATTGAAGGTCCCCACTATTATCATGTTGCCATCTATCTCATTTCTTAGGTTTTTTTTTTTTTTTTTTTTTTTTGAGACTAAGTCTTGGCCTTGTTGCTGGAGTGCAAGGGTGTGATCTTGGCTCACTGCAAACTCTGTCTTCCAAGTTCAATTGATTTTCCTGCCTCAGCCTTCTGAGTAGCTGGGATTACAGGGGCCTGCCACCACACCCAGCTAATATTTGTATTTTTAGTAGAGACGGGGTTTCACCCTGTTGGCCAGGCTGGTCTCGAACTCCTGACCTCAGGCGATCCCCCCAACTTGGCCGTCCAAAGTGCTGGGATTACAGACATGAGCCACCATGCCCGGCCCATCTTTGTCTTTTTTTACTGTTGTTGCTTTAAAGTCTGTTTTGCCTGCTACAAGAATAGCTATTGCTGCTTGCTTTTGCTTTCCATTTGAGCAGAATATCTTTTTCCATCCCTTTTCCTTAGGTTTATGTGAGTCCTTAAGTGTTAGCTGAGTCTCTTAAAGACAGAAGATACTTGGTTGATGGATTTTTATCCATTCTGCCATTCTGCATCTTTTCAAGCAGAGCATTTATGCCATTTACATTCAAAGTTAGTATTGAGATATGAGGTATTGTTCTATTCATCATGTTAGTTGTTGCCTTAATACTTTTCTTTTTCATTGTGTTATTGTTTTATACGCTCTGTGAGATATATGCTTTAAGGATATTCTATTTTGGCATATTTCAAGGTTTTGTGTCTATATTTGGAACTCCTTTCAGCATTTCTTGTGGTGTTATAGCAGTAACATTTGTTTGTCTGAAAAAGACTTTATCTTTCTTCTGTTTATAAAAGCTTGGTTTCACTGAATACAAAATCCTTGGCTGACAATTTTGTTTCAGGATTCTGAAGATGAGACCCCAATCCCTTCTGGCTTCTAAGGTTTCTGCGAAAAGTGTGCTGTTAATCTGATAGGTTTTCCTTTATAGGTTACCTGATGCTTTGTCTCACAGCTCCTAAGATCCTTTCCTTTGTCTCAACTTTAAATAACCTGATGAATATGTGCCTAGGTGATGATCTTTTTGCAATGAATTTTCCAGCAATTCTTTGAGCTTCTCATATTTGGACGTCTAGATCTCTAGCAAGGCCAGGGACGTTTTCCTCAATTATTCCCTCAAATAAGTTTTCCAAGAACACCAGTTATTCTTAGTTTTGGCTGTTTAACATAATCCCTAATTTTTAACATAATCCTTAATTTCCTAGAGGCTTTGTTCATTTTTTGAAATTATTTTTGTTTGTCTTTGTCTGATTAGGTTAATTCCAAAGTCTTGTCTTCAAACTCTGGAGTTCTTTCTTTGACTTGTTTCAGTCTGTTGTTGACACTGTTGGCTGGACACAATGGTTAATGCCTGCAATCCCAGCACTTTGGGAGCCCAAGGCGGGCAGAGGACTTGAGACCAAGAGTTCAAACACCAGCCTGGGCAACAAACCCCTTCTCTACTAAAAAGACAAAACTTAGCCGGGCTGGTGGTCTCAGCTACTTGGGAGGCTGAGGCATGAGAACATCTTGAACCTGGGAGGCAGAGGTTGCAGTGAGCCAAGATTGTGCCACTGGACTCCAGCCTGGGCAACAGAGGAAGACTCTGTCTCAAAAAAGAAAAAGAAAAAAGAGAAAAAAGAAATTGTTTACTAAACTTTGTAGTTCTATAAGTTTGTCTTTCATTTCAAGAATTTGTGATTTTTTTTCTTTATGATGTCTATTTCTCTGGATAACTTTTTTCTATATCCTGTATTGATTTTTACATTTCTTTAAGTTGTTTTTTGACTTTCTCAGCTGTCTCCTTGAGTAGCTTAATAATCAACCTTATGAATTATTTATCTGGCACTTCAGCGATTTCTGCTTGATTTGGATCCATTGCTGGGGAGCTGGTGTGATCTATTGGGGATGTTATAGAAACTTGTTTTGTCATATTACCAGAATCACTTTTCTGGTTCGTTCTAATTTGGGTAGACTAACTCAGTGGAGAGGTCTGAAACTCAAGGGATGCTATTCACAGTCTCATGTCCCATGGGTTGATCCCTTGATCCAGGCCATGAACTATCCCTGCTGAGAAAGCAAGCATGGCTTTTGGCTTTTAGACCTCAACTCTTTCTGTCTGCCCTCTCTGTCAGTGGCAACTTCTGAGCTCCTGTACTAGCTTGCTCATATCCATAGCAGCTCCCACTTGTCCCCCAAGACACTGCTCAAGAAAATCGATGCCTAGTCAAAAGCACTACCAGTTTTGAGAGCTTCCTTTGCCCAACAACCCCTCTGCAATTCCACTGGCGACCTTTCTCAAGGGCCCCTGTGAGATATAGTTAGAGGTTGCTTCCCACAGCTCAAGCTGGAGACTGGGAATGTATTCAAGGCACTTCCCACTGCTACTTTTACTTTTATATTTCTTGGGACTCTCTAAACCCACTTCATCTCTAGGCAAGGTTAAATCTTTCTTTTGTGATCTGGATTTTCAGATTCCACAGTGCAGATGTGTGTGCCGTGGTAGGTTTTCCGCTTCTCACACTTTGGAAACTCGCAATTTTTTACCCGTCACAGAATTTGCAGCGGTGTGCTGCTTATTTCAAAGGATCTGTGAATTATTTTGGTTTTCCTGGTACATTCCTGTGGTGGTTCTTGGAGCGAAATATCAGGGTGTGAGTCTCCACATGCTATTCTGTTCATCCATGTGGGAGCTACATGTTTGCTGTCTCCTATCCACCATCTCCCCCCTACTCATTCCTTTTAAACATTTTAAATAGTGGTAATAGCATTACATTATATATGAGTAACTAAGGGGTAAATATATAAAATGAATTTAACATAGTATTCTAAGTGTTAAAAGCCAAAATAGGATTACAGCTGCTGGATTTCTCACTCTGAAATGCAAAATAGTGGAGGTTATGCAGGTTACCAAGAAATATAGGGTTTAGCCCAGAGATCTAAATATGAAGTCAAGTTAAATTTTCTGTTTCAAATACTGTTCAGATTTGTCCTGCAGGGAGTTCCTTTATTTAATTTTTGCTTTGTAATCAACACGTTTTAACTTTTAGCCATATCTCACCTACATAGAGTACTATGTGCATTCTTAACAGAAAAAGGTTTTTGTATATTAAATAATCAAGCTTTAACAGCTATTTGGAAAATTTAATGCAAATTCATGTTTCATTTGAGGGTTTATAGTGAAGCTAAAATTCATTTTGGCAATTTGTATCCCAAAATTTGTTTATGGCATAGTAGTTTTCCTCCTGCATACAAAGAATAGTTAATACTTGAATTTTAATAAATTTATAATAGAGCATTTGGAAAATAAAAAAGAAGAAAATATAAAGCTCTGTGACCCCAACAAAACATAAATACTGCCATCAACTTTGTGACTGATATTGCATGTCTTTTTCTACACTCACCTCACTTTATTATGGTATGCATAATATATAGACACATCTCTACTTGTACCGAAGCATGATGAAATAACATTTTGTAATTATCTTCACATTTAACAGTTTGTCAACATACCATGCATATTTCCTTTGTTAGTATTAATTCTAATTACTTTATTATCATTATGTCATTAATTATACTTATATATTTTAGTAAGCCATATACAAAATAATTAAATGTTATTATATATTATGTATTAATCTACCACCAATATGTTTGTGGCTGCCAATTCCCTGTCACATGGATTTATTTATTCAATCTGCTAGTTAACTTTTTTCACAATATAAGCAATACTATTATAAGCATTCTATATAAAGGAAAGAGTATGTAAGACTATATTTTTCAATAATGATGATTAGAAATGAAATATATGGGTCAAATTGCACACATATTTAAATAGGATGGAATAAATTTCTCCATTGAAATGACTTACAAATTTATTATGCCACCAGTAGTGTAATAGGGGTTCCACTTTTCCCAACATTTGTGATGGCAGCGACCAAACATTTTATTCCCTCTCCTTATTTCATCATATAGAGAGCAGCTAATTCTCTTTTTGAATGACAGTGGAAAAACCAAAAATAAATAAGTATTTATTTAGAACATTCTAATGTTATTGGATTCTGAGGCCATAGGTACATTGGAAATGATTAAGAACTTTATAATATTTAATTTTCAAAATATAATAATTATACATATACATTTTTGATCATAGAAAAATAAGTGATATGACTGTATGTCATATTATTAACAAAAAAAGTTTGTGTCTTGTTTTTTTTTTCATTCATCCATGTGAAAGGCAGGGCACTCAGGTCACTGGGTTTTTGACATGTTTTACAAATAGTCATTGTATGCCTTGTTTATTCCAAGGGTTCCCTCAGGAAATATAAAATTCAACTTTTGGTCACTTCGGTTTCTGATTCCCTTACAGAATGAATGCAAACAATATTAGCATACATATTACAGTTAAATTCTTCTGAGCTGATTTATTTGTGTTTCATCAAATACATTGGAGTTATTAAATATAAAAGTCACAAAAAGAAAGCTAAACTCAGCTCTCTATTTTTATTAATATACTTTTATATATTCAGAAAGCTGTACCAATATTTCAAGAACTCATATCTTTTTAGTGCATAAAAAACAATAACATGAGAAAAAGTAATGACGGATAAAGACAATTTTTTCATAACAAATCCTTGTTTTGAAATGGTATGTTAAAAAAGATAAATCAGTAAGGAATTTGATTAATTCACTCTATTGTAACCTTATATCTTAATTTTATTCCTTTTTTCTTTTCTCTATTTTTTTCTTTTCTTTTTAACATTTGACTTTTGCTATAGAATAATGATTTAGTTAAGCATTCCTTGGAATAAATAATAACTCCTCTCCTTCATCCAATAAGCTCATAATAAATATTTGTTAAGTGAATGAATGAATAATACAATTGATATTTCCTTTATTTTATTTAATTCATATCATTCATGACAGTTTACAGGCAGGATTTAAATTAAGTGAGAAAACAGAGTATTAATTTCATATAAAATAGAAGTAGGAAATGTAACGTCAGATGACAGAGAAAAATTCGATTCCAAATTATTATATAAAATACTATCTTATTTCATAGAATCACTAGGGAATTTGTTCTCAACAATATGACAGGAATTTTTCTACAAAATTAATCAAAGCAAAAGAAAATGCCAAGCAAGAAATCATTACAGGTTAGAATAAAAGAATTGCAAATGATTGGAAAGCTGTAGCATGTAGGAGATTATTATCAAAGATTTGCCAACAAATCAAATAATCTTTGAAGAAAGTAAAAATAACTTTTTTTATGTTCAGATTAAAAAAGACAGAATACTAAAAAATCACTAATATTTAAATTTCTGATTAATGTCAAAATTAAGCATGTTTTATTTTAAAAATCATTATTAACTGAAGTAACTTTTTAAACATAAGCATCCTTGAGTTATACAGAATAATAGATTATTTAAAGATACAAGGTAAAATATAAAATAGGTTGAAAATCCAAAATTGTTACCTTGGATAACATTTTAATATTGTAAGATAACATCTTGATATTTATTTATAGAATGAACACTCTTTTATTGTCACTCCACAGTTCACAGTTTAGTGATTTTTACAGTCTGTGCGGAAAACATAAAAACTATAAGTGAAAAATCCTAGGAGCAGAAGTGTCCTTTCTGTACTAAGGTAACCCGATTCAAACAATACAGTAGCATAAGAAACTGTATGCTTTGCAAACAGGACTGGCTTCATAAGCATATGACAGGCTCAAAATAGCCAGTACTTAGCTCAATGTGCTTCTGTAGCTTTCTCGAGATCATTACTTTATGTTTGAATTTGTGCCTTGTGTGTGTGAAGTTTGGTGGGACAATTGAGCATGTACCCATGTGAGGAGAGGAGCTTTGTATAATGCCCATGTATGCCATTCCTTGCCACCCTTCTCACATAGGGCTTGCCATGTCTCCCGAGCATAGAATCCTGATGGACCTATGATGTGTTCCCAACTGACTTCAACAAGACTCAAAGCAAGCACAAGGTAAACATAGCCAGGTCTATGACTGAAGTGCTGGTTGCTGATAGTTCCAAGGGGCCAAATTTTCCACTGGAACTAGAACTTGAACTCAGAAAGATGGTGGCATTCTGAGAAATATCAATGACCAAGGAACCCTATCATATGCTTTTTTACTTGTGATACTTCCCTGAATTAGCTAATCTCTTAAAACAAATTCATGACGTACATGGAACACCCCATAGTACCTTTACCTTTTGGTCCTTCATTACTCACCAGCAAGGTAAAGGCAGAAAATTTTGGTAAAATGTACACATATCAGGAAGTAGAATAAAATCGATTGAGTTAAATTTGTGTGAGATTTTTACTCTTCTAATAAGAATGGAATACAGGATACATGAGCCACAAAATATGAAGTATAATAATTTAGTAATTCCACAAATTAGGTAAATGACCTCATATTTGCATTAGACACTGACATTGCAAAATAGAAAGATGGGTGATAAAATTAACGTTAACAATTTAAAACTGTATGTTTTTAACTTATGTCATTGGATAGAAAATGCTACAAATGCCATGACAAGTAGAGAAAGAGCAGCCATGGAAAATAGAAAAAAGTCATTTTATATTTTAGTACACTATAAAATCTTTTATATCTGATTTTGAAATAAGGGGTCTCACATTCTTTATTTTGCATTAGATTTGAAGTAGTTAGCCAATCATGCTCTCAGACTAAGACTTAAACTGATTATTCTAATTTTATTAGTCATGGCATCTGAAATCCTATGTGTCATTCAAACTGATGGGTCTGTCAATGACATGCACATAAAGAAGATATAGTAAAGGCTACAATTATCAGGAATGGGGACCAAAATAAAAAGCAATAGATTTTGTTGTGAACAGACAAAATATCAAGAAATACAGCAAAATCTGTAAAGTTACAAAGATTATGGAGCATCAAATGCAAGCAAAATTTAAAAAAAAAATCCTTCAAAAATAATGGAATGGCATTGAAACCAACCTGGGTAACATAGTGAGACCTCATCTTAACAAAAAATACAAAAATAAGCCAAGTGTGATGGCACACATCTGTATTCTCAGTTACTCGGGAAACTAAGGCAGGAAGATCACTTGATCCTAGGAGTTCGAGGCTGCCATGATCATACCACTGTACTGCAGCCTGGGTAACAGAACAGCAACCTGTCTCTTAAAAAAAAAAATGTGGTCCAGAATAGCTGTCATGTCAGAACCATAAAAAGAGGAGGAAGACATCAAGTGGTCCACGTCTTGGGCCTTCTGTTCTTTCAAGCCAATCTTTTGAGAAAATCTAATCACAATTAGTAAAAGGAAAGAGGATGGCAGTCAATGTGATGTGGCCAGTCTCTGTCCTGCCATGGCAGGGAACTTAAAATTTGGGGGCCTTTTAGCCAAAGGAGAGACTGTTAGTTTGTTGGAAAGGGTTAGGACTTCTATTTCAGTCCTCTACATATATTTTCGTTTCTCTAGGGTATGCACCTAGGAGTTGATTTGCTGAATCCAATAATAAGTGTACATTTTCACCTTATAAATAAATTTGCCAAGCCCTAGTGATTGAGCCATTTTATATTACCACAAAATATATGACAGATCATTTTTCTTTATTCCAACATTTGTTTGCAGTCTTTATTTTAAACATTTTAATGGAACATCATTATGGTTTTTGTTTGCATTTCCCTTAATCACGATGATCACATTTTCACGTGCTTATTCATATATCTCCCTTTGTGACCACTCATTTTCATTTACATTTATTGTGAATTTATACAATTAGTTATTTAAATAGTTTTATGTGCCAACTTGGCTAGACTATAGTACCCAGTTTAGTCAAACACTAATCTAGGGGTTGCTGTGAAAATATTTTCTTACCTTCAATAACATGGGTAGGCCTCATCTAGTCAGTTGAAGGTGTTAAGCTCAAAAAACCCAAGATTTTGTAGAGTAGAAGAAACTTCACATCAAGGCTGAAGAATCAACTCATGCCTGAGTTTCTAGCCTGCCAGCCTGCTCCACAGATTTTAAATTTGCCACAAATGTATTACCTAATTCCTCAAAATAAATCTCTCTCTCTATATATGTATATATACACACACACAATTTTCATATTTACATACATGTATATATATATGCATATGTAGGCATGTGTATATATGTATATAATATACAACATGCATATATATGTATATATAAACATACATAACAATTTTCTCACAATCTTTTTGTTTATGAAATTTAAAATATTTTATTTATCTTTTTATATAAAACCAATTTTTAACTACTGTTACCCTACATTTGATGCCTATTTTCTACTTTTAATTTCTACTCTTATTTTTTACACTTTCTATTACATTTTAGGTATGCTGTTTTACAAACTTTATGATTTGCATGATTAGCTAAGATGCAACCTTCCGTCTTTTCCAATATATGTTCTTCAATGCTATTTCCCATAATGTTATGGATTCCGCAATCAAGTTTTCATTATTTTTTACAAACACAATACCAACTATATTTATCTTAACATAATTTTTATTTAAAAGTATAGAATTTTAAATATATATTTCCTCAGTGTGATTTTTTTTTTTTTGGAGGACCTATAGGTTACTTTGAAGGATGTTTCCAGACTTGCACATTATTTGGTGTTCTTTATTTATACTGAGTTCTAATTTAATTTCATTCTGATCAAAGAATGTAGTTTATATGATAATTGTTTTAATATGTTCTCAGATTTGCTTTATTAACTAGTATATGGTCAACTTTGTAAAAGTGTAATCAGTTCTTGAAAATAATGTATATTCCTTTTATCATGAGATCGAGGTGTTCACCAGAGTATATAAGTTAGTTTGTTGTTATGTTGTTTATTTAACTCTTCTCCCATCATAGTGGTAAGACACAAAGTTTGCCCTTGCAATTTTGCAGTACTTGCCTTATGTATTTTGAAGCTATGTTATCAGATGCACAAAAATTCTAATTATTCTATTACATTGCTTTATTTTGTCACTTTAGCAAATACATCATTGATAATATGTGGTGATTTTTCTTTTTCCCTTTTAGTCTGCTTAATCTGATATTTGTATAGCTGCCACAATATACAGTTTTTTCTTTTGGTCTTTCTGCAACCTCAAGTTTTTTAAATTGATCTTTATGTTATAGATTAAACCAAACTACAGTTTAATAATATCTCTCATCCATTTTTGAACAGTACAAATAACTTTGTGAAGTTCTTTGGAACTCATAACTAGCTTCTCGTCTTTGTTATCCAAAATTGTAGTACTCTTTGTTATTATAATTCCAGGATGATTTATTAGTATTTCATTATCATTGTAACTATCATCACTCTTATTATCTGTTATACTATCGATCTTTGCTTAGATTTACCCATATGCACATCAGTCTCTGAACTGACTATTCCTTTTGGGATTTTACCGTTACCCTCTGGGTTCATTTTCGTACTTTGTGAAGTTAGTGGTCTACTTTCTTTCAGCATGGGATTTTTCCCCTTACTGTGTGTGTCTGTAAACAATTTTATTTCACTCTTCTTGCATGATGGCACATTTAGACATACAATTCTATATTGACAGTTATTTTAACTCACCACTCAGAAGATACTTTACTATCTTATAGTTTAGTCTTTTTCAGGTGAGAAACCAGGCCTAATTCTCATGATCATTAACTTCTAAGTACTCTGTCCTTTTCCCTCTTACTACTTTCAAAATATTGTCCTTGCTGTTGAGTTTTGTTATTTCAGTACAACACGCCAAGGTATGCATTCATTTTTTCTCTTGCTCAAGACTCTTTATAACTCTTTATATCAAGGATCTATTTATTTTATGAATTCATAAAAATTCAGTGATAGTTTGTTTCAATTGTATTGCTTCCCTATTCTCTATCTGCTTTTTCTGAAATACCTTAATGATTAGTGCAATCCTTGATCCATGTTCTATCCATGAATTAAATTCTATTTCTTTTTTGTCTTCTTTTTATTTCTCTATGTTATATTAGAGACATTGTTTAGACCTATGATTTTTTTTCAGTTGTGTATAATTTACTTGTTAATCTATGCATTGAGGGTTTTGTCTATTTTAAATGACTAATGATTTTTATTTATAAAAATTTGAGATAGTTCTCTTTCAAAGCTGCTTTTTACTTTTCAGAGCCTCTAATATTTCTATGCACTCGAGTTCTTTATACCCTTAGCAATACCAAACATTTAATTTAGAGTCTAATTTATCTGGTATGTGAGGTTTGGGAGGAGGGGTGGATTTGTATATTGTGATTTTTTGCTACTGACTCATTCGTGATGGATTTTCCTGTTTGTTATATTTTGTGATTTTGACTTATGAACTCATATTCAACTGAGCTTTATCTGTATAAATAGCATATGACCTGGATCAAGTTGTGTCTATCCAGAGATAGACATGGTTTGCTATTGATAAGAAATCCAGTGGGATTTGCCATAAACAGACAAATTTTTTCATTAATATCTTTCACTGAAGATTCCTAATGTCATGAATAGTAAAAACTCAATCCAAAACATCAGCACATACAGGCCCATAGATATGGATAATGATGATTATTCTGACTTGGAATTCAGGCCAAGACAGACAAGTTTGTCTCATGTCTCTCTGTATGCATGAGCAGAATTTTTTTACATTACAGCCTTTTCCTCAGAAGAGAGCCTTTTGAGATCTCATCTTTATTCATGAATCTTAATTCCATTATACCACTTCAAAAGGAGCAAGGTTTCACCTTCTGTCTCTACCTGATGTTAATGCTTTGGGTTCCAAGTCCCTATTCACTTTTTAGCACCTGAGGATTTCACTACTTTCCTGTAAACTCAACTAAGCATTTTGATAATGGAAGCGCTTTTGATATTTCATTCTGGTGGTCTATAATACTATTAGTGAAAACTTTTGAGATAATCTATTCTAGTGTATTGACAAAAATGGAAATCTGCAAATCAATTTTGGATCCAGGATATTAATCACCTATTCTTCACTGAAAACTTTATGTTTATCAGAATACTTACATATAACTAGGTTTTTATCTCCCCCATATCACTAGAATATAAGTTATTTAGGGGTAACACATTGTCTCTCTTGTTCACTATTGTACCTTCAGCTCATACAGGAGCGACTGACACATAATAATAGATGCTTCATACTAATTTGTTAAGTAAATATATAATGAATAAATGAATTCATAAAATTGTCATTAATCTAACAATTCCCACATTCTGAAATCATTATTAAATGATAGTCTACAGGTTAGCTCCATCTTTTACACCTGTGAGTTAAACACAAGTTTCATGATATAGACTAGCAGTCATTTTTTATTCTATTTATTAATCCCACATTAACCTTTCTGCAGATAGATAGATGTGCAATCATGCTTATGATCATCCTTAACTTTGATAATGGTATTTCTGAAAGCCAAAATTTATTAAATTTTTAAATATTCAATTATAAAATTCATGAAAATTTGCCTCACAACCTCGGTAAAATAGCATTATAATAATCTATAGGACTATAGAGAAAGTATGGAGAGGGCAAATTATCTTACTACTTTAATTACTCATTTCCCCATGACAGAGGCACATCCTGCTACAAATTCTTTTGGTATACTTTCACTTTCCTCCTCAATTATTGATTATTTACATCTGCCACAATCTGTTTTCTCCATGATAACGCTTTCTAGTTAACTTTTCAACCTTCACAAAAAATACGAAAATCTTATTCTTTGAGCCAAGGTCATAAATAGAAAAAGAAAACTGCTGATGATTATGCCCAGCTTTTGAATTGGATTTTAATCTAGGCTGAAACACTGGACTTTGTGTAAAGAATTCAAAGCTTTACTAATAAGAATATAGGAAAAATATAGATAGCCGATAGATAATCGATAGATATTCTATCTGATGATGTAATCTTTATTGCTGGTATCTATTTTCCGAAACATTTAAATCTGATGAAATTTCCAATTGGCTCTGATTTAGGTTACAATTGAATGCTAGATATGTAATTTCCCCAGTGGTCACATTCCTCTGTAAAGAAAATAAGCAGAAAGTCCCCTAAATGACCCTACCATGGTATCTGTAAGGTATTCTGAATATTTCATATTATGGTGGCTGAATACAATATGGCAACAAACTGCCAAGTCTCGATCTGCAGGCCAGCTCTCTCTCTGTGCTTTACACCTGTGTATCTAACTGCCTACTGTGCATCTCTGATAACATGCACACTAGGCTACAATATGCTCAGCAGGCTAACTGTTTATTACTCTTCCCCTTTCCCACAAAATACAAAATATCTGATCTTCCTCTTATATTCCCCATCTCAATTTCCTTCCTTGCCACTGCATATTAGAGGCCTCTGATTCCCTAGTTCTTAACCCCTATACATCCTGTTATCTCTTGATTACTTCAATTGATTGTCATCCCTAATGCCATGCTTAGTTTGTGCCAAAATTGTCTCTTGCCTGGTTTAACTGGGTCCCAGCCTCTAGTTTGTTTTCCTGTATTTCTTTCCCTATATGTAGGCAGAGTGATTTCTTAAAGCCAAAAGATCAATGTCATTCCCCTGCTTAACACTTCACTGTCAGATCCTGAAGGTCCTTCTTGCTCCAGACCTAATTAGGTCATTTACTATATGCATTAAGCTCCAACAATGCTGAACCCTGTTCAGATGGCCAGAGCTGACATACACCAAATTATTTTCTTGATACATTCTTCTTCCTGTAACTCAAGGCTTTTTCTTCAATCTCTAGAAAGACAGTCCCGATTTCCCTCAAACCAAGACCAGGTCATACATTCTTCCTAAGTACTTTCATCAATTTTTGAAATTAAACCCTTAGTAGTTATTACCACATTACTGCAATTGACTATTTTTTCTTCTACTTCACTTCCCCTTTAGCAATCAACGACAAAACTTGGACTTTATTAGCAACATAAATTCTGTTATATTATCTGGAAATAACAATAATTTTTTTAAAGGAGCTATATGTATATTTCTGAAACTTCTTAGAAGAAATGACTAGAAAATATTTTCTATTATGGTATCCCTTCATGGGGATTGACAGTAAGAATGGCTGCCACTTTCTGGTATGATAAATAAATTTATGTGTGTGTGTGTGTATGTGTGTATATATCTCTTATCTCTTAAAGAAAGCAAGTTAGTATATTCTAGATTGTCCACTGTATTAATATTTATCAACTAGAGCTCTATTGCAATTTTGGTTGGGACGATACTTTGTTGTATGGGACTGGCTTTATTTCAAGATGTTTAAAATTTATGGGCACTCCATCCTGATTATATGCCAGTAACACTGCCAGTGATTGTGAAAACCCAATCACACAGATTTCCAAATGCCCATTGGAGAGAAAAGAGGCAATAGCACTCTTAGTTAAGACGCACTGCTCTGTAAATACGTGCTATTCTTTTGCTCAATAGCTTGAGGCTGTATTTGCATTTGCGTCAGCTTTGGATCTTCAACTTGGATAGAAATGCAAAAGGATTACATAAATCAATTTTAAAACCAAGGACATATTTTGTTGCTGTTTTTATTGGTAACATTCTATTACAGCCCTTATTTCAATGTACTACTTTAATGGGTCTCCATACAATTTATCTCTTGGTTTTCTTCGTTTTTTTGTTTGTATTTCTAGGTCAAACGACCTGCAGTGAGCAGGGAATATGACTTTAGTTGCCCAGCACTGTGAGAGAATGTTGGGACCTCTGCCTCAATATTAGACTCAGGAACTAAAAACCCAAATTCAACAGAAATACTATTGCTATAGCACATTTATATTGATTCAGACTTACTGAATATATTTATTTTTAGAAAGTATTAACAAACTTTGGTAAGAACTAAACTCTAAATATGCTGGTCTCTGCGGTGGCTTTAAAACACAGCCACGCATTGATACCCTTCCCTTTGAGAAATGAAGTCTGTTTTGCTTGTCCTTGAATCTTGTGACTGTTTTGACAAGCAAAGCATGGCATAAACACCATTAGGTGACTTTTATGGCTATGCTGTAAAGACCTCGTTCACTGAAATATTCATTCATGGACCCCGAACCTCTATGCAAAAAGTCCAGTAACCCAGAGATTGTCATGTTTGAGGAAGCCCGGTCTATATGGAGAGGCAATGAGAAGACAATCTGATCAACGAGTTCAAGTCTTACCATCCCAGGCACCAGACATGTGAGTAAAAAGTATCCAGATAACT
The DNA here is from genome assembly GCF_000001405.40 of Homo sapiens. Lineage (NCBI taxonomy): Eukaryota > Metazoa > Chordata > Mammalia > Primates > Hominidae > Homo > Homo sapiens. The sequence continues at coordinate 166,289,841 of NC_000004.12, read as the reverse complement.
CCAGCCCTCAGGTGTTCAAGTCACCCTAGGCATTTGAAGCTTTCAATCCAAGATCCCATTCGTCATGGAATAAAAGCATACATTAATGAGGCCAGAATCTCTTAGCATAATACAATAATTTTTATATAATACCACTAGGTTTGGGGGTAGCTTTACACACAGCATTGGCTAAATGAAGTGTGTGTGTGTGTGTGTGTGTGTGTGTGTGTGTGTATACATATATATACTGGTATGATTTGGATCTGTGTTCCTGCCAAATCTCTTATTGAATTGTAATGCCCAGTGTTGGAGGCAAGGCCTGGTGGGAGGTAATTGAATCATGAGGTCAGATTTATTATGAATGGCATAGCACCATCCCTTTGGTACTGTCCTCATTATAGTAATTCTCATGAGATCTGGTTGTTTAAGTATACCATCTCCCTCATAGCTCTCTCTAGTTCCTGCCCCTGCCCTGTAAGACACCTGCTTCCCCTTTGTCTTCTGCCATGAGTGGAAGCTTCCTGAGGCCTCCCCAAAAGCAGAAGCTGCTATGTTCCCTTTACAACCTTTAGAACCATGAATCAATTAAACCTCTTTTCTTTATAAATTACCCAGTCTCAGGTATCTTTTATGGCATTGTGAGAATGGGCTAATACATATATTAATACATAAATGCATTTGTGTAAATACATACATGTGTATATACTGAAATATGGTTATATACATATATACACAATCAAGTATAAAGTAATATTAACAAGTGATGTAAGGTAAGAGTAAGGTGATCTAGATCATAGTTTTAGTTGTGTGCAGGTTAGTCCTCATTGTGAGTGAACCTCTTAATATCAAGTTTCACGTTTTTAAAGTAGGGACAACAATGTTTTTGCAAAGGTCCTATGCGATCAGCATCAAAACATATGATATATATGTAAGCACTTTGCACTTCGTAAATGGAAATATTGGTTTTAAGATCAATTATTTCCATGCTAAGGAGATAAGTAATTTTTTTAAGTCTTGGTAATAATCAGACAGATGTGACATTAATGCCCAAGTGATAATCATTTCTATAGATTTTATATCATTATTTGCAATATAGCTTTTGCAGATTAAGAAATGCATGTAGTGTCATGGATTATGATTACAGTTTGCTGCTCAAATTCACTGCCGGGCACTGTAAAGCACTAACCAAGTTTATAAGTTTCTGGTGACTAAATGGAAACAATCGAGAACTAGAACTCTTTGAAGCCTTTATAAAAAAACACTATTGGGAAATATAAACACTCTGCTGTTTCCAAAATATTTTTTCAAGAGAAAGCCCTACATGCTTACTATAAGCCTATCACTACTCTATAGCTTCAATTCTTGTCTACAGACATCAAGAGAGACTTAAATATCATCCCTTCTATCTTAAAACATTGTCTTCTCACCATGGTCTTTCTTAAAACCAACATAAAATCATCCCCTAATTAATCTTCCTGAAGTTCTCCTTGTCTCACTTAATGGAAAAATTCTTCTTTCAGTTTGCATGGGCCCAAACTTTGGAATCATCCATGAGTCTTTTCTTTCTCTCATAAATTACAACCCACATTTTTTCCTTCAGCAAATCCTATTGATGCCACCTGCTAACAAATTCAGGGGCTGACCACATCTCACTAACTCCATTGATATCACTTTGCCCCAAGCCACCATCTTCTACATTTTGAAATAGCCAACTGACTAGTCTCAGGAATTCCATGCTTATCTCTACTGTTGTCTAAGCAGCACAGCCATAGTGATGCTTCTAAAATTCAAATTGGATTACTTTTCTCTCCTGAACCTCTCCAATGACTTCCCATCTTACTCATGGAGAAATTCTTACAATGACCTACACAATCTGGCTCCTACACATCTCCTAATATTCTCAATTTCTCTCATTCCACTCTAGCAACACTTACCTTCTTACTGTTTCTAGAACCTTCCAGGCATGCAATGATTTCAACAGCTTGTAATTGCTATTACTGCACCTGAATCTTTCACTTCTTCCAATCTGGCTCTTTAATGTTATCTTCCTGGGGAAATTCTTTGTGAACGCTGTTTTTATTAACTAAATATGAACACTCACAAACATTTTCAAAAGCAGAGAGAGCAGTATTATGGACCCCCATGCATATATCATCTAGATAAAAAAAAAAATCAACTCATGGTCAAACTTCATCCATGGTCCTTTCTATTTATCTGCACTGGACCATAGATTATTTTCAAGAAAATGCCAGACATGATATTATGTCATTCATAAATATGGTCACACTTATTGAATGTATACATCTCACTTTGGGCAATACCCTTTTCCTTTACATGCTTTATTTTTCTTCATACCACTTATTATCCAATATTTTGTATCAATTCCTTCTTTGATTTACATTCTCTCTTCAATCTCCATTAGAATGTAATCTCTGTAAGAGTAAAGAATTTTATAGTTTGTTCACTGATAAATTTACATTGATTATTATGAACATGTAATAGTACTGGCCACGTAAGTGTTCAATAAACATTTGATGACTCTGAAAATGTATTCCTTGATGCTCAAAACTATAATATTTATGTGACTTGCCTTTACTAAATATGCATTGTTCCTCCTAGCTGTATATAAAAAGAAGCATAATCCCAAATGCTGAATCTAGAGTTTCAGATATTAAGCTATATGCTGGTGAGAAATGGCTTTTACTTTGCATTATCCTTGCAAAAGGAATGAATCACACAACGTTCACTTCCTAGCATACTCAGAAGGTGAACCTAAAATGCTTTTAAAACATTCAATTTACATTTCTGAAAAATAAACAATCACATATTCAATCTAACAATATTTGCATGCACCTGCCAACAGACAAATACATTCATTAAGCCTATAGAGGGATGTATGCATGTGGAAACAATACTGCATTCACATGACAAAAAAAGGAAAATAACTGTACAAATGTGCCCACTGGTATTAGTGCTGAATACTAATAATGTGTCGGTACCCTGAAGTGACTAAATATATGCCAAAGCGTGCTTGCCGTTTCAATCATTTCAAATAATTTCAACAAATAAAACTATTTTGGAATTCATCTTTCATCCAGAGAGTGATTCTGCACAATCTCCTCTGGGATTCATTTAAGGCCAGCTTTTCTCTATTATACTTTGTGCATAGCCTTGGGCTTATTGTGAATTTCCACGGTTGATTTTATTTTATATGAATGCCAGGATCATATACTTCCATTTCAATTCATTATTTCTGGCCTTAGCATGACCTTTAGGTTTTATTTTTATTGCCCTTTTCTCAACCATCAACAATCCTGGTTTTATTGCAATAGAGCAATAATGTAACATACTTTGGAAAATAAGGTAATTAAGACTTACTTTAGTTTCAACGTGTGTTCTTTGAACCACAAAGTCAGTACATTTTTCAAAGCATTTAGAGTGTCCAATCATCACATATAAAAATGAGCATGTGAAATGACATAGGTTTGCAATATAAAAGTATAGATAATATTTTCCTTGGCCTCTGTTTCTGTTGGAAATAGAAGGCATCTTTGACTCTCTCCATTCTGTAATCAACAGCATTTTGGGGTCCTGGAACTCCATGGTCCCAAAGCAGAAGATGTGAATCAAAACTTTGAGCATCTTTTTTATAAATATTTTTATGTAATAGTTGAATTACCTTTCGATATTGGTCATAGATATTATTATTGCTCTGGAAAATAGCTGCATTTAATAACTTTTTTCATTTTCCACTATAAGGAATTAACAGAAGCAAAACCCTTGGAGAGAGAGAGAGAGAGAGAATAATCTAAAAAGTCATCTTGGCTGGGCACGGTGGCTGACACCTGCAATCCTAGCCCTTTGGGAGGCCGAGGCAGGCAGATCACAAGATCAGGAGATAGAGACCATCCTGGCCAATGTGGTGAAACCCCGTCTCTACTAAAAAAAAAATCCCAAAAAAATTAGCTGCGGGTGGTGGTGAGTGCCTGCAGCCCCAGCTACTTGGGAGACTGAGGCAGGAAAGTCGCTTGAACCCGGGATGCAGAGGTTGCAATGAGACAAGATCATGCCACTGTACTCCAGCCTGGTGACAGAGCGAGACTCAGTCTCAAAAAAAAAAAAAAGTCATTTTAGTACAATTTGCAAAGAGATTAATCAGGAGAACTCAAAAATAAATTAAATAAAAATATACATTTGGATTGCAATATAAAATTTCATTGTGGTTTCAAATAATATATTGTCTAATGATCTGAAAAGTCAACAAAAAGTTGACTATTTTTAGTCTTAGGCATTTGTGTAGACATCAGGCAAAACCCTAAATGATAAATGGAAGAGCTATAATTCTATAAAATGGATAACATTAATATTTTATCAAGTTATGTATCCAATATTTAGCATACTATTACTAAAATAATAGATTTTAATTTATTATATATACTTTATGCATATGAATTCAACCCATGTAGCAAAGCAGAAACTTGAAAAAACATAGCTAAACAAACGAGTAGAATCCATCAATATCTGTAACAGCATTTGAATTAAAACTTTTTCCCTAAAGGGTACTCAGTTAAATAAATTGCAATGTATTAATTCAACAAGTATTTGTTAAGCATCTGTTTTTGTTTGTTTGTTTGTTTGTTTGTTTGTTTTGAGACAGAGTCTTGCACTGCCCCCAAGGCTGGAGTGCAATGGCGCAATCCGGGCTCACTGCAAGCTCAGCCTCCCAGGTTCACACCATTCTCCTGCCTCAGCCTCCCCAGTATCTGGGACTGCAGGCACCCACCACCACCCCAGCTAATTTTTTGTATTTTTAGTAGAGACGGAGTTTCACCGTGTTAGCCAGGATGGTCTCGATCTGCTGACTTCGTGATCTGCCCGTCTCGGCCTCCCAAAGTGCTGGGATTACAGGCGTGAGCCACCGCGCCCGGCCAAGCATCTTAAAATAAGCCCAACGTAGTAATAAGTGGTAGGAATCTAGTAAATTAGAAATAAAGTCACTTTTTCTCCACATTCTTCCAATGGGAGAACGTAACTGAAAATAAAAATTTGCAATAAAATGTGGCAAGAGAAGTAATGGAAGAACACCAGAAATGGTGAATGAAATTGGGCATTTTGGTGAAAACAGTTAAAATCTTCAAGAAAACATAAAATATTTAAAATGTAAATTTAAGCAGGTCCATTATGCTGTTTGAAAGTACAGGAGTATTCACTTCATAGAGAGAAGCATGAATAGAAAGTCTAGAAGGATTAATGTTAAGCAAACATTTAGATTTTAACTTTTTGCTTTTGTGAATAATAGAGCAAAAAGTCTTTGTACCTCCATTGTATTATTGGCTAAAAGCAGAATACTGATTTAAAGACTATGAGCTTCCTAAAAATAAGGCTTGTGACTATTATACTTATTACCATTGGTAGTGCATATTGTTTTTCATAACCTTTGTATTGTAGTTCTTTGTGCAATAATGTTTAGGTGGCACTTTGTCATGTAGCTCTCAGTATTGCAAATGAAGCATTATTAACATAATTATTTTTCCTTTTTCAGAAGTCTGCTCTTTTTGCATGGAAACTTGTAAAACTTTCTGCTTATCTTTTATGGTTAGTCACATATGTTGATTTATATATTTTCTTTGTATTCCTCAAGACTTGGGAGACCTTTTACACAAAGATTTACATGTTGCAGTTCAAAGAAATTTTAAAACTATCTATTGAATTATTACTTCTCCATTCTTTAATTTGTATCTTTTTAGGACTTCTTATACTTAAGTTACCGTTTTCTGGGGTTTGTCCTTGAAATCAGTAGTTGTTTTTTCACTTTTAATTTAGATTACATTCCGTTTTTTTATCCAAGATATGACACATTTCTTTCAAAAGACTGTTTGCTTTTGTTTTGTTATTGTTGTCTTATGTAACCTTTTGGGCTGTAATCAAAAATACTTGGAAATCTGTTTTGTTTCTTGTTAAAATTTTCTTCTTTGAGTTTCATTGTTGCTGATTCCACAGGATCTTTCTTTACTAATTTTTAATTTGTTTTTACTCATCCCCTTACTGAATCTCTACTTTTTACATGTTCATGCATGTTTTTCCTCAAACATCATCAAATGCCTGTTCAAGTCTCATGTTTGGCATCTCTTGTTCTGTGACAGATTAGCTACATAGAAATGTACTGCTATTTCTGATTTTGTGGACCCAAAAGTTTATTCAGTTACTACTATCTGATGGGGATTGGGTTTGAGGTTTCTATTTCTAGAGATCTCAATGCAAAACTAAAGCCTTCTGCCACTGTAAAATAGGGGAGCATCTTGATCCGCCAATGGAGATTCCTATGGTCTTCCTAAATTGACAACATTTAAATTCACTCACATTGCTCACCTGGAGTCAACAGTCTTTTTCTATGGCTTCTCTTTTGCAGAGACTTCTCTTATCATTTGGAGTCAGCAATAATGACTTTTTACACCCATTATTGGATTTAAAGATTCTGTGAGGATCTAGCCTTCTCAGATGTACTTTCAAGCTCCATTATTATCACTTTTATTTGTTGCACAATTGCAAAGGGCGAGTTGGGAAGAAACAAAACGAAGACTAGAGTTTTAAAATGGTAGAATACACATTTAGTTATTTCATGTTTCAATTCATTTTGTTTTCCCCTTTGCTATGGGATTAAGAACAATTAAGCATACAGTGAGTTCTCCTGAGGAAACATTCTTACACAGTAGGTCTAAAGGCTGAGATGAAATGAATCACTCCATCAGTGTTTATTCCCTGGAGAGTTCAGTTGCCTATAATGATGAGTATGGTGGTTAGAGCTAAGTCATCAAATAACTTTTTCTGAGTTTTGTAAGAGAATTGCTCATTAATATAATTAATGGCAGCTGTTCTAAAACAAATTAAACCAAAATATCAATTTTAATTTGCAATAATGACAACAAATGAAACCTAATATAAATCCAATATTTTCATTTCCCATTGCTGCAAGTTATTACTTGTTACAATTTGTCCTCAAGTTATTACTTCTTACAATTTGTCCTCAAGTTATTACTTGTTGCAATTTGTTGGTTGTTCGTATTATAATCATCTTTTGTGTTTAGATTCAACAATAAGAATTCATATAGGAATGCACAATTACTTCATCTAGCTAGAAATAAAACTAAAATGATTTCATAACTAGAATAACAGTTGAAATGAAAACTAACACCAAAATGAGAATGACATATTAGAACAAATATAAACTAAAATGTAAACTAGTTTACTACAACTTACAACACTCTGGTTATAATGAGTCATAAAAGGAAAATAATCATGGGTCCTTATTTCAACAAGATTGCTTAACTTCCAAATACTTGTTTCCATATATTGAGCAGCATAAATATTCACATACATATCTGTTAGTGTTTTTATAACATTTTAAAATTCAAGAATTAACTTGGTTTTATATTAAATAAACCATATTGAGATTTTTTAACTTAAGTTCTGAAATGGGTATTGAGAGAGTAAATAAAATGTTTACCCTGTCAATATAAAGGTACATGAGATTTTATGTAGTACAGTCATACATTGCTTAATGACAGTGATACATTTTGAGAAATGTATCATTAGGTGATTTTGTCCTTGTGCAAACATCACAGAGTGTACGTACACATGGCATTGCCTACTCTACAACTAGCCTAGGTGGTATCATTTATTGTTCCTAGGCTGCAAATCTGTACAGTGTGTTACAATACTGAACACTCTAAGCAATTGTAACACAATGGTATTTGTGTATCTAAACAAAGAAAAGGTAATGCATTGTGTGATGACACTAAAACAGCTACATCACTAGGTAATAAGAATTTTTCAGCTCCATCATAATCTCATGGGAACACCATGGTGTATGTGGCCTGTTGCTGATGGAAATATGATTATGTGGTGCAGACTGTTATTGGCCTTGGAAGAAATTATGTAGAATGTTTCTGATGAATGCTGAAAATCAAGTAACTGATGCTTTAAAGATCTTTAATCAAAGGATTGTTTTGATTAGTAAACACATATAAGTAGGACATGCATTTTGTGTTACTAGAATCTTGCTATACTGCTGCACCACTCAGATATTGATAGACAAATTTATAACACTACCAACCAAAAAAAGAAAACATAAGGGGTGACTTGTGATATGGAAGTTAATACTGCTCTTTTAACATCTTGCAAAATATGCTGCTCACAATGCTATATTTAATGAGAGTTTATATCATATATTGTATCACATAATATATTCTAGAATACGTTACTGGTTCATAATACAATTTTGGTAGCCACATATTTAACTATGTAAGTTTTGTTTCTTTGGAATTAGATGAAATACTATAAAATGATGGTTAACTACTTGATAGAATAATATAATTAATGAGAATCCAGCACCTTTGAACATTGAATCATACACTAAATTTTTGGAGAGATTTGAGCAGTGAGGCGTAGATATGAATGAAACATTTGAAACAGTTGCCAATACTCTGCCTTTGCACATATTCTTAAGGAAAATTCTGTGGGTGAGATTCAGCCTATAGAAGAAAACATTTCCCACAAATACTAAATAAGATTCTACAAAATAACTGAAGAAATTCCAGGAGCAAAATATAAATGTCAAGGACACAATGCAGCATGTATTGGAGCAACTGTACCTGATTCTAAAATCAAAATGTAAGGCACAGCAACAGATTAAAAAAGACACCCTGCTGCATTCAGAAGGGAGGGTAAGTCAAAGTGGAATATAAGAGGAAAAAAACAAAGCTAAGTATCAGTGTGAAAAAAGTGAACTGAGGCCATTTGTAATGCTACCAGCCATGGTCATGAGCCTATAAGACATAACATTATTCACTTTAGTATCATCAGTACTGCAAATTTAGTTACAAAGTATGCAAATACTAATATAAAGAAGAGAGAATACTAGAGTGTTCAAGTGTTGCAATGTGTTTCTTCAGCAATGGCCTTGTATGGGAGGTTGGACCTGCTGCAAACCACTAAGTCAAGCTTGAGGATGAAGTCAATATTGATGAAGGCTGAGATGTGTACAGAACGAAGGTTCTTGGTGAAGAATCTTGATTTACTGGTTGGAACAAGCTTTATCCAGATTTAGATCTTGTTCTAAGCTTTCCAGTTATTAGATATATTTGTCTTTATCTCATTATAAGCCAAATTGCCTTGTGTTTTTCTACATTTGCAGCATGCAATCTTATCTGATGCAACCATCTTCATATATTTTGATTACTTAAGCAGGAAATACATTTATAAATATTAATTAGGACACATGATAAGAATCATTCAAAATAGAAATAACATGTAGATGAACCTCCTTTCATATGATGGCTTATGATGTCCAAGTTAGGAAAGGTAGAAAAAAGCATCCTTAAATTTTCAACTTAATGCAATTCTTATAAAAGAGATATTAATAGTATTAGTAATCTTAAAATCAATCTATACATAGTAGTAGTAATAAATTAGCTAATATAGATACGCATTTATTTTAGACTAGTCATATTTCTGAAACCTTTATATGTAGCTGTGTATATACTAAATTTCAGAAAATGAAAGCTGTTGCTCTTAAACTTTACACAGGGAAAACTGGTATAAAACTGAGACTATACCAGGAAATGTATATGTATAATTATTATTCAATTTAATCCTCACAAAATCCATAAGACGAATATACTATCATTATCTTCATTTCGCAGATGAAGAATTTAAAGCAGTGGGAAGTTAAGTAACTTTTTCTGAGTCATGTAGCTATGATTTGAATATAGACATCGTGACTCCAGAAACTGAGCTCTTACTTTATTCTGATGCTGTCTAGACAGAGTGAAATAGATGTCAATTGTATATTGTAGAAGAAAAAGATTTATATATAATAATTCTTACTGAAAAGTGGGAAAAATTTACATACAGAATTCCCTGCTCTGTGGACATAAAAACATATTTAATTATATAGTCTACCTATTATATATATTATACATTATGCATATGTTTGTGTATATATATAAAATATATAAATTCTATTAAGTTCTTTTTGGTTTACAGTGGTATTAAATTTAAAATATAATTCCTTTAAATGCACTCTTAAATTGGTCACTTTGAAATGAGGTTTTAAAAAGTGGCAAATGTTACTAAGCAACAAAATACATGGTTAAAAATAAAAGAGATAAAGAACTTTTACCTATATATCTCCAACTCTTCCAGCTTTGAGATCATTTCTTCCTTTAATACACAAAAGAAATACTCTAGGAGCTGTGGGAATTGCAGCCTGCATCCTTCTGCATTCTTATTCCCTCAATAACTACCTTCTACTTGTCTGTCAAGAGACAGCTTTTCTCTGGTTTACCTCTGAGCCAGCCCACACTGCAGTCAATTTCTTGATGATTGCCTGGTAACAAACCATTTTTTCTTTCCTGGAGCCCTTGCCCTCTTTCTATACCACTGTCTCACCACTGGATACCAAACCACTTCCTTTACTCTTCACACTTTCAGTAATGAGATTATCATGTGTGGTAGACTTTAACTGAAGGTTTCATCTAATTGAGAATAATTTAAAACAGGAAAATGTTATAAAACTGGATGCTACTTCTACCTTTCTTTTCACTCTGAAAATCTGCCGTCTCTGGAGATCTCGTTCTTGCTAGTTATCAGATGTCTCATCTGATTTTGCTCAGACTACCAGTCCCAAATTCTCAAACCCCAAATTCCTGTTACTTATTATACACAGTAAGTTATTTTATCTAAACTTCTCTAGACTACTATACTATGCCTACTTTTCCCCCTTCCCGAATAACCTAAAAAAGATTAATCAATATATTTCCCAAACAGTAGAATCATGGCTAAAATAAACGATACACTATGGCTTAGAATGCAGAAACAGCAATTTCTTTTATTGAATGGGCTATATTTTTCCTACCTAATACAATTCCTTGGGGAAAGACAGAGTATAATAAGGGGGTGTACTTCTGTGTGCTTTGGACAAAGAAAGGATCAAATAAGTTTGCTGAGTGTTGAAAAATAAACTTTATTATGAAAAAAAGTATGATGCTACCTAACGCCGAACACGTTAGTATTAGGGGAATAACAGAAGCGCATTGTTTACTTAACTATTAATTAATGTACTTGTATTCATTAAGGTGAGGTGAGCTATGCCAGAGAATCAACCCTGGAATCTTATTAAACTCAGATTTATGGCTGGCCCACTTAAGATTCCACTGTGGGTGAGGAGACCCTCCTTTACAGCTTTCCACTCACTCTGGGGTCCAGATTGCATCTCTACAGAAACTGTCGCACCTCCGAACACTTCACTTCAAGCCACAAGAGAGGAAAGGGTATGCTAAAATCTCACACCGACTCTTAACCGACAAGGACCTGGTCACACGATCCCATCTTAACCAACGGGAGGCTGGTAAAAATCTTTTATGCGTACCCAGGACACGAGCCAGAAAATGGCACCGACTCTGCGACAATTCCTATTCTTAACAAATGAATGTCCCAAGTGAATATGAAGCGTTATGATATTTCAATTGTTTAACTCTTTGACACTTCACTTAACATGAAGTTTTGAAGTACCAAAGTGCAAGATTTAAGCAAAATATCTTCTATAGCTAAGAAATAAAATTTAAGTGGATTTCAAACCAGAAAGGTATTGTTAATTCTAACTAGTGAGTGTGAGACTGTATAAACAGAATATTACTTCATGACTGGACATTTCATGGCATTTAAAGTACTTATCAAAGATATGCATACTAACTATAAATTTCAGAGTTGCTAAAAGTTGATGCAGTTATTCTTTTTACTCATCAGCAATTTGTATACATCAGATATTAAAGCCAACCGCAGCATATTGCATTTATATGGGTTTCAGTAGCTGAATCATCTCATTAATCTTCCTAAGCATTTTTGTATTTCATTATCCTATGTAGATATACAAAAACTTTCTTTGCCTACCAGACTTTTTACATTATTTATGGTAACTAGAATAGTCCTACTTTCAGGGAATTTTCTTTTTTAAAAACAGCCTTTTTTTTTTATTTTTTTTTTTTTGCTGTTGTTTGATCTACCATAGCTTTTTGTGTCTAAAAAATGATATGTATTCCCTCTCTAACAAAATATAATTCATGCTCCCTATAGAAAACACAGACCAGGAGAAGAAAACAATCATTAACTAAGATTTCTCACACCAAAAGTATTCAGTATTATCATTTTATCTATATACTACCAGTCACATAAGCGTGTGGGTCTATGAATACACACACATTCCTGGAATACATACACATTCTTTGTCATTCATTTTTGGTTTGGCAAAAATGTGATAGCACACTTCCAAAGGCCTTTCTTTAAAAGCTTAACTTTCAAAACACACAATACCCAATGAAAAAGGAAGAAGAAGCATGAAGACAGTGATTAATTTAAACAACATTCAAATAAACCTACCCTCATTCCAAAATGTGCAGACAATATTCTTTAGGAATAAATAATGTAACATGGGAAGCATTTAAATTTAGTTATGCATTTTATACAATAGATATTGAAGGCAATACTCAAAATCTAGGAATTGAAAACCACTTGCCATTTTCACTGAATGTATTAACTTTTATCAGAAAAGGTTTACCTAACTTAATTTGCAAACATCAAGACCTCTTTGGGTTCTTGTTACCACAATCAGCACCCTGTAAAACACTTGGCAAAAAAAAAGATAATGTATTCTTCATTAATGAACGTTCCGGGAAATGACAGAAAAAATAGTATTGTAATCTTGTTTGTACCTTTTTGACTTTGTGGGTATGTTAACTGAAACTTGAACTGTTTTGAAATTCTTAAGGAAATTGCAGCAAATATATAGTGAGAATTTTGTTTTTAAATTCCATTGTTACTCAAATATTGTCACAAACTTACAAAATTATAGCCTATTATATTCTTCATTTTGTTGCACACATACGTAATGATTATATAACAACATATTATATGTCATGTTATGTTTTATGTTACATGTGCATGTGTGTATGTATCTAAATAGAGATATATACAAATGCATGCCTTGTATAGTTACTATCTATCCAACTAATAGTTAATGTGGCTAAGTAAAGCATAAAAAATCAGAATACTTGGCATTCAAATTCTAGTTCCTCGACCAACATGCTTTGTATACCTACACAAATCACTTTTGATTTTGCCAAAGTTTTATTTAACTTACATTTCTCAGATATTGTCTTGAGCTACAAGAGACATTTTTATTTTATTCTTTGGATTTGTAAGTTAATACTTTGTGTAATCTTGATATTGTTTACAGTGCAGTTTAAGACTATAGAAATTGATGCATTTTCTATCTCTACTTGCTGTGAGAAATGCCTGCTCCAAATAAGGCTTTTATAAATTCTAACATGAGTTGAAATCATCCGGCTTTATTCATGACCCTCTGAGATAGCAATTATTCACAAATTGTATCACCCACTGTGATTTATAAGATTCTCATTTCTGTTATATAAGTTAAAGTGTGTCCATGTAAGTCATACTGTCACCTATTTTATTATTTCAATAATCTCAACTCATCATTTGATATTTTCAGGATCTCCTTATGGTAACCAATTAAGAAAACAGTGCATTCATTTTCATAAATGAACATTTAGTTTTTATCAATAATTCTTACTTCATATAAACTACTTTGATTCAAGAGACACTCCTCTTTTTGCAGAAAAAAAATGTGGGCATTGGTTTTCTGAAAGCCATTGTGAAGAATATTATTAATATATAGTTTATTTTCCTCTCTATCATCCTTATTACTCTCTAAATGTACAAAAGTTATTTTTCTTATATTTCTATAACTTTTCTAAAAGAAAAAAAAGAAGACATTCTCACTATGGTTGTGTTTACAATGTATTCAACACAGAACATAAGAAATAAAAAGCTTTAAAGTAAGATAATGTCTATACAAACAGATTATATTAAAATCTTGAAAGTTGATTTGTTTCAGATCTAAATGGAATTAACATGAGTTTTTATTGACTGAAAATATCAGTCATCACAGACAACCTGAGCCATTCACTCATTTATCTTCACTTAATTAATAGACAATTACTGTTTTTGTTCAAGAACTATTTTGAGTGTTATCACTGAGTATTTTAGAGTAACTGATCTGAAAGTTTTCCAGAGTAGGAAAAGGAAATGTGAATATTTGTATTACATTTTAATTTCTCAACCTTGTCAATTATTTACTTATTCTTCCTGTAATTTTGTTATTAGACCTCTATCATTTCAGTATACAAGTGGCAATACATTGGAAATATTTTAAAGTTAATAAGTTGTAGATATCTGATATATTTAATTAGACATAATTATCTTAGAAAGAATCAGCTAAATGCTTCTTTACTAATAAAAATAACAGATGGTCCAGAAACAAAGTAAAGTACACATATGTTTGATTACCCAAACTTTCTCAGATGAGCATTTCCATATTCAAATTGTAGCACAATTTTAACCTTGGATTTTTAGTAACAAGAACCTTACTTTCGAGATCAATTTTTTTCAACCCACTTACTCACTGCTAAAGAGATAAGAAGGTTAATAATCATCTGTATAACTTTTATTGTAAAACTCTGTGACATCCAATCATTTTTCTCTTCACTTCTTTATTCTTGTCTCCTAAATTCACTCAAAAACTGCTATTTTGCCCTCATTCCCTCAATTCCAACAGCATCTCCTCTCTTTGTTGACTTTAAAATATCAGTTAATTTAATGTACTAGAGAACCAAATCTCTCTTTTACTCCAGAATAAAGCCTGACTCTGATCACATACTTTCTGTGATCTTTCTGATATTTTCTTTCTTTTCTATTTTCATATCTGCACCCTTAGCCCCTAGTTACACTGACCATGCATCTATTGCATCATATCCGTTTTCCTAACAATGTCTCCTTCAAAGTCCATTTATCCTGTGTATAAAGCAAGATGATCAGTTTTTATTTGCAAAATACTGCAATTAATTGCATCACTTTTTTGAAAATAATATTAAATACAAAAATTTGAGTAGACTTTCTAAGAAGGAATTACCATCTGTAATGATTACCCTGGTGGTTAAGTTTAATTCCATATTTTTAAAAAGACGCTGCTACTACGTCTCTGAGGTCTTTCTTTCACATCTTAGAATCTGTGCCAAGCCACGCCACCACATGCACATTATGCTTCAGGCTATGTGATGCTCTTTGTATGTCTTTCAGTGTACCTCCTGCTTTGCACAAACCTGTTGGGGAAACCAGCCCCACACCACCCAGCGGGTACCCCGAGTCCGGCGGAGACAAAGGAGTTAGAAGGAGACAGAATAAACGTTTAAAACGCGGGTCCAGGGGACCGGAGTGTCGGAGGCTTGCTCAGGGCCCAGAGCTCTCAGGCTCCGCCCAATTTATTGGTTTACAAGCTCTTTGTTCTTAGGGCACATGGGACGGGGAGGAAAGGATGAGGAAAATGATTAATCAGTGGAGGAGAACTCGTGAGTCATTGGATAAGATGTATAGCAGTGGCGGTTTCTGTGAATTTCCTTGAGCAAAGCCATGTGTCTAAACTACTTAAAACGGGTGGGAGCAGGTTTCAGGAGGAGCCAAGATGTTTGATTATACTCCACTGCTTCAAGGGAGTGTTATCTCCCTGAGCTACCTGCGGAATGCCGCTGAGCGGTTATGCTCTCGGGGCATAAAGACATGAAAGCAAAAAGGAGACTTTTCTCCTCAGAGGCCGCCCATGGCTCCCCATGGGTGTCTCACACAGGGGAGACCAACTCAACTGGCACCCCAGAAACTCTCTTTCCCACACAAACCACTGCTTTTTGGGATCCTTTCTTCCTCCTCCTTGTCTTGACTGACTCCTATGCATCCTTGAAGACCCAGTTTACATCACCTGGGAGTCTTCCCTGACTCCTAGATTCTATGTTCTACACTTTTTTTAATTCCCCACAAAGCAGCAGTTCTCCATCTGCCTCCTCCAGTAGACATGGGGTCTTTCTTCATGACCATTTTTTCAAAGACTGCATAACATAGTGCATGATACATATTTGATACTCAATGTGTTAAAATATATTATAACAAATGAATTATTATTCAGAATAAGCTACAAGCGCCTTAACAACGAATCCCTCTGAACTTTTTCACCAGTACCCACACTTTGCTAGATTCTGGATCAATTTATTGCATTTTATCAGTGCTCATAAAGTAATCTTCCTTCTCCAAATAGCTTAGTTTCTTCCTAGGCTGGTTTTGTCTGCTTTGCTTTTGTATTCATATGAAAACATTTTCAATCATTAAAACAATTTTCTTCTCCCATGTTCAAAATAAACCCAGTTTAACCAACCAACAAGATCATGATAACCAAATCTTAGCACCTGATGTAACTTAAATTTTTCTCAGCAGGAAGACTTAGAAAACTATACTGCAGAACCCACAGTGGGACACCTTAAATGAGCACAGGGCTCTTAAACAGGCATAGGGAATGCACACTATGGGTTTCATTATTTTAGTAGTTTTCTTGTATATTCCAAGTCATTTTTATGGACATGCTATAAAGTTTTCTATGCAAATAAATTGATTTCGTTTTAAAGAAAGAACTTTAAATACAAAAAAATACTAAGTAAATAATCATAGAGGTGACATGCAGACATTGTGAAAGTTGTGTCAATATTATATTAATGATGTTTGAATACTTTTAATTTTTGTTTGAGAAGAAGTCTCACACTGTCGCCGAGACTAGAGTGCAGTGGCGTGATCTCGGTTCACTGCAACCTCCGCCTTCAGGGTTCAAGTGATTCTCATGCTTCAGCCTCCCAAGCAGCTGGAATCACAGGCGCCCACCACCACACCTGGGTAATTTTTTTATTTTTAGTGGAGATGGGGTTTCACCATGTTGGCCAGGCTGGTATCAACCTGTCTTGCCCTCAAAAAATTTTGGGATTACAGGTGTGATCCACCATGGCTGGCCTGAAAATTTTTATAATAAAGAGACTAGTAGGTTTTACAGTAAATATATTGATCCTAAAAAGAGAAACAATTTTTACATATGAGCAAATCAGCAAAGTTTTGGTGAGTAAAACACACTGTTTTATCACATACACTTCTATTTGTGAGGACTCTAGTGTCACAAGATGATGGCATGTTCCATTTAGCAAAAACCGTTTCCGTTTTCTTAGTCAGTGTAATAGAGAATTTCATTTGCTTTGCTGAAAAATTCCTGCCATAACATGCTTCCAGATTGGGATTTATGATAATTTTTAAATTCTTCTGAATGGATAATGATAAGCTTTCTTGATTGGAAGAAATATTTTGGCCTGGCATGGTGGCATCACGCCTGTAATCCTAGCACTTTGGGAGGTGGAGGCGGGTGGATCACCTGAGGTCAGGAGTTTGAGACCAGTCTGGCCAACATGGTGAAACCCCATCTCTACTAAAAATACAAAAAATTAGCTGGGCATGGTGGCAAGTGCCTGTAACCCCAGCTACTCTGGAGGCTGAGGCAGGAGAATGGCATGAACCCAAGGAGGCAGAGGTTGCAGTGAGCAAAGATCGTGCCATTGCACTCCAGCCTGGGCAACAG
Source organism: Homo sapiens (assembly GCF_000001405.40). Lineage (NCBI taxonomy): Eukaryota > Metazoa > Chordata > Mammalia > Primates > Hominidae > Homo > Homo sapiens. The sequence continues at coordinate 166,272,290 of NC_000004.12, read as the reverse complement.
GACAAAACTCCATCTCCAAAAAAAAAGAAAAGAAAAAGGAGAAATATTTGACTTTTGTAAAACATAATTTTGTCATGACTTCTTATAATGATTGGTGCATATGAAGATCTTAATTTTTTGAAACAGTAAAGGAAATTGACATTATAAAAAACTGGACTTTTAGTGCATTAAGTTGATATAAAAAGACATTTTCTACATCAACATACTCATCTATTTAAAAAAAAAAAATGACCAGCAGCTAGAATTAAGGTTTAAGACTCTGCTTTCTCTGCCTGACAGCAATTTTTAGAAATAATCCAGTCCATCACGTGAAAATATATGATTTATGGCTAAGAAATTAGTCACTTAGAAAAGATCTAGTAATTACCAAATGAGAACTTAAAAATATATATTTATGTTAATCAACAACTGAAGCTAAAGGAAATGAGTGATAATGTTATTTTTGGAAAAACTAATATGTGCTATAGGGAAAGTATTATGCCTTGTTTTAATGGTGCTGGCTTTTTTTGTTTAAAGATTTGCTCATTTACAATTTAGATGTCCTCAGGGACAAGTTCTTTTGCTATTATTTTTCTTTCAGAATGAAAAATTTTAACAATAATTCTTAAATAAATTGGCATACAAATATCCAGAGAGGAGCATCGCGCTGCAATAAAGGAGTATTTCCTAAAAACTTTTTTACTTTATTTTTTATTATTATTATTATTATACTTTAAGTTTTAGGGTACATGTGCACAACGAGCAGGTTAGTTACATATATATACATGTGCCATGCTGGTATGCTGCACCCATTAATGCGTCACTTAGCATTAGGTGCCATGCTGGTGCGCTGCACCCACTAATGTGTCATCTAGCATTAGGTATATCTCCCAATGCTATCCCTCCCCCCTCCCCCGACCCCACCACAGTCCCCAGAGTGTGATATTCCCCTTCCTGTGTCCATGTGATCTCATTGTTCAATTCCCACCTATGAGTGAGAATATGCGGTGTTTGATTTTTTCTCCTTGCCATAGTTTACTGAGAATGATGATTTCCAATTTCATCCATGTCCCTACAAAGGACATGAACTCATCATTTTTTATGGCTGCATAGTATTCCATGGTGTATATGTGCCACATTTTCTTAATCCAGTCTATCATTGTTGGACATTTGGGTTGGTTCCAAGTCTTTGATATTGTGAATAGTCCTGCAATAAACATACGTGTGCATGTGTCTTCATAGCAGCATGATTTATAGTCCTTTGGGTATATACCTAGTAATGGGATGGCTGGGTCAAATGATATTTCTAGTTCTAGATCCCTGAGGAATCGCCACACTGACTTCCACAATGGTTGAACTACTTTACAGTCCCACCAACAGTGTAAAAGTGTTCCTATTACTCCACATCCTCTCCAGCACCTGTTGTTTCCTGACTTTTTAATGATTGCCATTCTAACTGGTGTGAGATGGTATCTCATTGTGGTTTTGATTTGCATTTCTCTGATGGCCAGTGATGATGAGCATTTTTTCATGTGTTTTTTGGCTGCATAAATGTCTTCTTTTGAGAAGTGTCTGTTTATGTACTTCGCCCACTTTTTGATGGGGTTCTTTGATTTTTTCTTGTAAATTTCTTTGAGTTCATTGTAGATTCTGAATATTAGCCGTTTGTCAGATGAGTAGGTTGTGAAAATTTTCTCCCATTTTGTAGGTTGCCTGTTCACTCTGATGGTAGTTTGTTTTGCTGTGCAGAAGTCTTTAGTTTAATTAGATCCCATTTGTCAATTTTGGCTTTTGTTGCCATTGCTTTTGGTGTTTTAGACATGAAGTCCTTGCCCATGCCTATGTCCTGAATGGTAATGCCTAGGTTTTCTTCTAGGGTTTTTATATGGTTTTAGGTCTAACATTTAAGTCTTCAATCCATCTTGAATTAATTTTTGTATAAGGTGTAAGGAAGGGATCCAGTTTCAGCTCTCTACATATGGCTAGCCAGTTTTCCCAGCATCATTTATTAAATAGGGAATCCTTTCCCCATTGCTTGTTTTTCTCAGGTTTGTCAAAGATCAGATAGTTGTAGATATGCGGTGTTATTTCTGAGGGCTCTGTTCTGTTCCATTGATCTATATCTCTGTTTTGGTACCAATAGCATGCTGTTTAGGTTACTGTAGCCTTGCAGCATAGTTTGAAGTCAGGTAGCGTGATGCCTCCAGCTTTGTTCTTTTGGCTTAAGATTGACTTGGCGATGCAGGCTCTTTTTTGGTTCCATATGAACTTTAAAATAGTTGTTTCCAATTCTGTGAAGAAAGTCATTGGTAGCTTGATGGGGATGGCATTGAATCTATAAATTACCTCGGGCAGTATGGCCATTTTCACGATATTGATGCTTCCTACCCATGAGCATGGAATGTCCTTCCATTTGTTTGTATCCTCTTCTATTTCATTGAGCAGTGGTTTGTAGTTCTCCTTGAAGACGTCCTTCACATCCCTTCTAAGTTGGATTTCTAGGTATTTTATTCTCTTTGAAGCAATTGTGAATGGGAGTTCACTCATGATTTGGCTCTCTGTTTGTTATTGGTGCATAAGAATGCTTGTGATTTTTGTACATTGATTTTGTATCCTGAGACTTTGCTGAAGTAGCTTATCAGCTTAAGGAGATTTTGGGCTGAGACAATGGGGTTTTCTAAATATACAATCATGTCATCTGCAAACAGGGACAATTTGACTTTCTCTTTTCCTAATTGAATACCCTTTACTTCCATCTCCTGCCTAAATGCCCTGGCCAGAACTTCCAACACTATGTTGAATAGGAGTGGTGAGAGAGGGCATCCCTGTCTTCTGCCAGTTTTCAAAGGGAAAGCTTCCAGTTTTTGCCCATTCAGTATGATATTGGCTGTGGGTTTGTCATAGATAGCTCTTATTATTTTGAGATATGTCCCATCAATACCTAATTTATTGAAGAGTTTTTAGCATGAAGCGTTGTTGAATTTTGTCAAAGGCCTTTTCTGCATCTATTGAGATAATCATGTGGTTTTTGTCTTTGGTTCTGTTTATATGCTGGATTACATTTATTGATTTGTGTATATTGAACCAGCCTTGCATCCCAGGGATGAAGCCCACTTGATCATGGTGGATAAGCTTTTTGATGTGCTGCTGGATTCAGTTTGCCAGTATTTTATTGAGGATTTTTGCATCAATGTTCATCAAGAATATTGGTCTGAAATTCTCTTTTTTGGTTGTGTCTCTGCCCGGCTTTGGTATCAGGATGATGCTGGCCTCATAAAATGAGTTAGGGAGGATTCCCTATTTTTCTATTGATTGGAATAGTTTCAGAAGGAATGGTACCAGTTCCTCCTTGTACCTCTGGTAGAATTCGGCTGAAAATCCATCTGGTCCTGGACTCTTTTTGGTTGGTAAGCTATTGATTATTGCCTCAATTTCAGAGCCTGTTATTGGTCTATTCAGAGATTCAGCTTCTTCCTGGTTTAGTCTTGGGAGAGTGTATGTGTCGAGGAATTTATCCATTTCTTCTAGATTTTCTAGTTGATTTGTGTAGAGGTGTTTGTAGTATTCTCTGATGGTAGTTTGTACTTCTGTGGGATCGGTGGTGATATCCCCTTTATCATTTTTTTTCGTGTCTATTTGATTGTTCTCTCTTTTGTTCTTTATTAGTCTTGCTAGCTGTCTATCAATTTTGTTGATCCTTTCAAAAAACTGGCTCCTGGATTCATTAATTTTTTGAAGGGTTTTTTGTGTCTCTATTTCCTTCAGTTCTGCTCTGATTTTGGTTATTTCTTGCCTTCTGCTAGCTTTTGAATGTGTTTGCTCTTGCTTTTCTAGTTTTTTTAATTGTGATGTTAGGGTGTCAATTTGGATCTTTTCTGCTTTCTCTTGTGGGCATTTAGTGCTATAAATTTCCCTCTACACACTGCTTTGAATGTATCCCAGAGATTCCGGTATGTTGTGTCTTTGTTCTTGTTGGTTTCAAAGAACATCTTTATTTCTGCCTTCATTTCGTTATGTACCCAATAGTCATTCAGGAGCAGGTTGTTCAGTTTCCACGTAGTTGAGCAGTTTGAGTGAGTTTCTTAATCCCGAGTTCTAGTTTGATTGCAGTGTGGTCTGAGAGACAGTTTTTTGTAATTTCTGTTCTTTTACATTTGCTGAGGAGAGCTTTACTTCCAAGTATGTGGTCAATTTTGGAATAGGTGTGGTGTGGTGCTGAAAAAAATGTATATTCTGTTCATTTGGGGTGCAGAGTTCTGTAGATGTCTATTAGGTCTGCTTGGTGCAGAGCTGAGTTCAATTCCTGGGTATCCTTGTTAACTTTCTGTCTCATTGATCTGTCTAATGTTGACAGTGGGGTGTTAAAGGCTCCCATTATTATTGTGTGGGAGTGTAAGTCTCTTTGTAGATCACTCAGGACTTGCTTTATGAATCTGGGTGCTCCTGTATCGGGTGCATATATATTTAGGATAGTTAGCTCTTCTTGTTGAATTGATCCCTTTACCATTATGTAATGGCCTTCTTTGTCTCTTTTGATCTTTGTTGGTTTAAAGTCTGTGTTATCAGAGACTAGGATTGCAACCCCTGCCTTTTTTTGTTTTCCATTTGCTTGGTAGATCTTCCTCTATCCTTTGATTTTGAGCCTATGTGTGTCTCTGCACGTGAGATGGGTTTCCTGAATACAGCACACTGATGGGTCTTGACTCTTTATCCAATTTGCCAGTCTGTGTCTTTTAATTGGAGCATTTAGTCCATTTACATTTAAAGTTAATATTGTTATGTGTGAATTTGATCCTGTCATTATGATGTTAGCTGGTTATTTTGCTCGTTAGTTGATGCAGTTTCTTCCTAGTCTCGATGGTCTTTACAATTTGGCATGATTTTGCAGCAGCTGGTACCAGTTGTTCCTTTCCATGTTTAGTGCTTCCTTCAGGAGCTCTTTTAGGGCAGGCCTGGTGGTGACAAAATCTCTCAGCATTTGCTTGTCTGTAAAGTATTTTATTTCTCCTTCACTTATGAGGCTTAGTTTGGCTGGATATGAAATTCTGAGTTGAAAATTCTTTTCTTTAAGAATGTTGAATATTGGCCCCCACTCTCTTCTGGCTTGTAGAGTTTCTGCCGAGAGATCCGCTGTTAGTCTGATGGGCTTCCCTTTGTGGGTAACCTGACCTTTCTCTCTGGCTGCCCTTAACATTTTTTCCTTCATTTCAACTTTGGTGAATCTGACAATTATGTGTCTTGGAGTTGCTCTTCTCGAGGAGTATCTTTGTGGCGTTCTCTGTATTTCCTGAATCTGAATGTTGGCCTGCCTTGCTAGATTGGGGAAGTTCTCCTGGATAATATCCTGCAGGGTGTTTTCCAACTTGGTTCCATTCTCTCCGTGACTTTCAGGTACACCAATCAGACGTAGATTTGGTCTTTTCACATAGTCCCATATTTCTTGGAGGCTTTGTTTCTTTTTATTCTTTTTTCTCTAAACTTCCATTCTCACTTCATTTCATTCATTTCATCTTCCATCACTGATACCCTTTCTTCCAGTTGATCGCATCGGCTCCTGAGGCTTCTGCATTCTTCACGTAGTTCTCGAGCCTTGGCTTTCAGCTCCATCAGCTCCTTTAAGCACTTCTCTATATTGGTTATTCTAGTTATACATTCGTCTAAATTTTTTTCAAAGTTTTTAACTTCTTTGCCTTTGGTTTGAATTTCCTCCTGTAGCTCAGAATAGTTTGATCGTCTGAAGCCTTCTTCTCTCAATTCGTCAAAGTCATTCTCCATCCAGCTTTGTTCCGTTGCTGGTGAGGAACTGCGTTCCTTTGGAGGAGGAGAGGCGCTCTGCTTTTTAGAGTTTCCAGTTTTTCTGCTCTGTTTTTTCCCCATCTTTGTGGTTTTATCTACTTTTGGTCTTTGATGATGGTGATGTACAGATGGGTTTTTGGTGTGGATGTCCTTTCTGTTTCTTAGTTTTCCTTCTAACAGACATAACCCTCAGCTGCAGGTCTGTTGGAGTTTGCTAGAGGTCCACTCCAGACCCTGTTTGCCTGGGTATCAGCAGCGGTGGCTGCAGAGCAGTGGATTTTCATGAACCGTGAATGCTGCTGTCTGATTGTTCCTCTGGAACTTTTGTCTCAGAGGAGTACCGGGCCGTGTGAGGTGTCAGTCTGCCCCTACTGGGAGGTGCCTCCCAGTTAGGCTGCTCGGGGGTCAGGGTTCAGGGACCCACTTGAGGAGGCAGTCTGCCCGTTCTCAGATATCCAGCTGCATGCTGGGAGAACCACTGCTCTCTTCAAAGCTCAGATGGAAATGCAGAAATCACCCATCTTCTGCGTCGCTCATGCTGGGAGCTGTAGACTGCAGCTGTTCCTATTCAGCCATCTTGCAATAAAGTCTTAACTGTAGTCCTTGCTACTTGGGGGGCTGAGGTGGGAGGATCAAGTTTTTTACTTTATATTAAATCAAATGATTTTGTCCTTTATATTGCCAGTAAATTTTATAAAATCATGTTACAAAGAATAAGTCAGCCAAAGATGTTATGTGAAACAGTTTAAATAAATTAGTTCTTATTAATAGTGCTTGTTTCATACCCAGAAATAGATAACACTATTTCTTCATCTTGCTCCCACACTCTCAACTTTAGAAATACCTATATACAAAGGAGTAGAGATAATTAATGTAAATAACAGACATGAAAGAACAAGAATGATGCATATATAGAAATTAGAAATTATAAAAATGGTTCCATAATGAATGAATAAAGAAAATGTGGTATATATTTATACCATGGAAAACTATTCATCCATAAAAAGAATGAAAGCATGTCATGTGCAGCAATATGGATGAACCCGGAGGGTATTATACTGAGTAAAATAAGCCAGGCACAGAATACAAATACTGCACATTCTCACTCATTTGTGAGAGCTAAAGAAAAGAAAAAAGAAAAAAAATGCATCTCATGTGGAAGTAGAAAGTAGAATAGTAGTTACCAGAAACTGGAGATGGTAGGGAGGAGGGTAAGATGGGGAAAACTTGTTAATAGGTGCAAAGTTACAATTAGAACTAAGAAAGAATAAGTTCTAGTGTCCTATTGCACAGTAGGGTGACTGTCAACAATAAATTATTGCATATCTCAAAATTGCTAGAAGAGAGAATTTCCTATCTTCCCAACACAAAGAAATAATGATTTGCAGTACTGGATATTCTACTTACCCTGAATTCAACGTTACACATTGTATACTTTTATCACAACATCACTTTGTACCCTATAAATATGTACAATTATTATGTGACAATAAGAAAAAGATTACAGATCCAAAAGAATGAAAGGAGTCAGCATTTATTCATTGATTGTCTTGAGTTTACTGATGAATAGGTGATTTAAAGTGGCATTATCTAATTTGATATTTGCAATAACTCATAGGGATGGTTATAAATGTTGACATTTTACATTTATGGAAAGATATTATTAATAGGTATTACTGTCTTTACAACGTTACATAACTAGTAAGTGGTAAATCAGAAATCTGAGACTGAATCATATGATTCCAATTTCTGTGTATGTTTTGTTAGTTATATGTCTATTTTGCAGCCCTATTTTTTTCTGTTTATATGTTGACTATGATGTTCTTCCTTGGAGGGTGTTATGTACTACTAATCAAACAATATAAAAAGTATCATTTAGCACAGTTCTAGCTGAAGGAAGAATGAATGCAGAATAAGAAAATAATAAATCAACAATCAAGGAGAAGTCAAGGTGAGTGGTTTCAAAAACCATTTCATCATATCTTTGAGTTGAAATTGGAACTTGAATTAAACAATATTCTCATATCAGAAGGCTAAATATGTAGGAAAAACATCTGACTTGTGTTATATTTGAACAGAGAACCTATCTTGAGGCTCAAATTCTACAGTTCTTTCCAGAGAGTCTCAGGATAGGCTTATGCAAATAGCTGTTGAAATTCCTTGGCTTTAGTGGACTGAAGTTGCTCCCACTAAACTTGTTTTCCATTGACCCCTGAACCATAAATACCTGGTCTCACTGAATTGTTTCATTTCCAAACAGGTATGAAGATCATGGACATAAAATAGATGTTTCACGGGTCTGGGTCGCTAATGTGGTAATTTGCATGCACATGAGTTGTCCATGTTTTTTTACAACAGGTTAGAAACCATCCTTGTTTAGGCACCAAGAAGCAGTCTAGTAAGTCCTCATCAAGAAGTTTATATTTGGATTGCCTGAGACTCTCTTATTGTCTAACCTTTCTCCCATCCAATGAGCAAATGAAATAGAAGACCTAGAATCTAAACACAGTGCAAAATGTCACTTCTATTGAGGTGAGACTAGAAGCTTCCCTACCAAGATATCATTCAGAGTGCACAAGTAGAGTCTGGAAGAAGCTAAGAAAATGTAGCAGGAAGGCATAGAAGTAAGTCCCAGATAGATAACTGGGCCCCTAAATCAGCTCAATCAGAGGTGGCAGATTGTCTCTATGAGCCCCATCATTCCTCCAAATTCTACTCTCCATGCCTGTTCATAACCAATGGGCCTTGTAATTCTGCTTCCTTCCCTTTGATCTCATTGGAATGGTCTAGTTCAAATCAGATTATTGATCACCTCAAGTTCACAATGTTCACTCCAAAATTCACCAGGTAACATCAGCATGGTATCTCCATTAATATTTCCTCTCTCTGTATTTTGTAATTTCCAGAAAGTGCCTCTAGATAATCTGGTATCTTAGCTTCTTACAGCTGAAGGCCATCTACCACATTCACCAAATTTTATATTAAATTAACATTATTTTATAATATATTTTCTCTGTGTATTGGTAATGACCCATTTCTATTGATTTACTTTCAATAGTCAAACATGATTTTCCATTTGCCTCTAAAATACATTTTGGAGGGAACAAACTCATGCTCCAAAGGTGGACTCTTTTTCAATTCAGATTATTATCCTCTTTTGCCATTGGTCTAGAAAAGTTTTAGTCTTTAGAGTATCATCCTCTTTTGCCATTAGTCTAGAAAAGTGTAGTCTTTACCACTGCCATAGTTGTCCCCCAAATTAACAGCCCTACACAGTGAACTCTTCTCAACCTCAGGAGCTGGATATCTAAAAATATTGCATAGTTGAGAAAAAACTACAAGGGATATAAAAGTATCATAAAAATTATGTTTAGAAGATAATATAATCATTAAAGATAATGTAATAAGGGACTTCCTTTAAATAATGTCAGTGGTTCATACATGTGTTTACAACCAATCTCTTCCAAAGCCCAACCCTACATGATGTGCATATCATCAACCAAAGTAAGGAAAGGGGACAGCAGCACCAATATATTGGAAGCTGAAAGCAGGCATAAGTAACACAGCATGCAAAGAGCACTAAAACATGTGCTGGCATTGCATGAAGACCAGAAGCAAGCTGGTTGGTGCTGAGATCACCTAAGGCCTCAGAATCCAGAAGTATCAAGTGCTTCTCCAAAACAGAGAAAGCTGAGGCTGACCTGCCTCCCTCCAAAATCCTCTTTTCTTTCCCATGCAGCTGCATAACTCCCAATCCGACAATCTTGGGAGAAGAGTCAAAGTTTTATCTTTGAGAGAGTTTGAACCACAGTCCCTCTAAACTCTGCAACAGTGAGTGTCATTGCAAGTGGTGGCACTTGGGCTGAAGCAGGGAATTAAGTGAAATTCTGCACATGGTACAGTGTGATTTCTACCCTCAAACCTTCACTTGGCTCAAAAAAATTTTGGCAGCCATTTTTACAACTTATGTCCAGGAATTAGAGAATTTCTCACTAGTAAAATTTGCTAATGCAAGAGAGGAAACTCAGAGACATTGAAAATGAGATTTGCCACACACACAAAAAAAAATATTTGAACCTGGGTACATTGCAGTGCAGCCCACCAACAGACACGTAGCACATATAAAATCTGAGGTGATGATAGTTCATGTATTTGCAAGTAAGTGTAGTTCCTAGGAAAAGAAAATGATGTCAACTACTGTTTCTTTTCCACCTTGAGTGAAACACAAATAGAGACTATAAAGGGTAATGTAAAAAGAGGAGAAAAATAAAATATAATAACCTATTTTATTTTCATATGTATGTATAAAGCATGGTATTTGAAATTCACATTTGGCAAAACTGGCGTGAGAGTTTACTCTCTATGTTAAGTGCAAGTAGTTTTTCTTTCCATGATTCTGTTTTTGTTAACAACTAATCTCTGTCTGTTGATTGTCATTCCAAAATGATAGGAAACTTTTCTTGGGATAAATATTAGCATCATCAGAAAAGCTCACTAATATTCAAATTAGTATAATTCAACCAGTCATTTTAACAAGTCACACAAAACTAATGTCTCAAAACTGCAAGATAACGACTAGTAAATTCAATAATTAGATTCCTTTGGTAAAAATCAAGGGATTAATATAGTAGCTTATTATTAGATACAAATTGTTTATTGACTTTTACTGTATTTTCAATAAATCTGTGTGCTTTTTGTTCCACTTAATCATTCCAAAATGAAAAGAAAATACAACATAAACCTAATGAAGTAAAGATATTGACCTTTATTGTTCTTTGACCCAGAAACTAAAGAGCAGTTTTGACTTTGGGTATCTCTACAGATATCATTGTGTTCTCAGGATCCAGTCCTCAATATTTATTAATAATTTTTTATTCCAAAAATGGAATATCATGTTTCCTCCCTCTCTTACCATATATGAACCAACTATACCATTTTATAAGTTGTTGATTTGGAATACTTCTGAAATTCTTGGCTGCACATTTATGATTTGATTCACAGACTTACTTTCTTTGAAAGTGGTTTTGTTACTGAGAACATTTAATCTTCTTTTATAGCTAAGGTAAAAGAAAAAAGAGAATAACTCTGCTTCTGAAATGTAAACACAAATGAACACAATAAGTGAAACTTTAAGCACTTTTCAGTGAAAAGATATTTTACATAAATCATAAAAGCTAAATTCCTTCTTCTTGGCAACATGTTTTTTTCCTGATATAAAACTCAGATTTCAAAATTGTTGTCTGAACACCAATATACTTTTTTGCTAACCCATCACGGCTTTTCCTTTCTGCACACTAAACTTTGTTCATCCTAATAACTAAAATAAGACTTTACTTTTCAGGTGATCACCAATTGTAATACTTAATGACAACAATTTAAAAAAATTGTAGACTTTTGCCATAAAATAATTATTTCCAATAAATCCTATACCCCTTTATATATATATATATATATATAATACATATATAACATAATATATATAAAATATATATAATTTATATATATAATATCTATATATAATTTTTTTATATATATAAAATATCAGTATTTTCTGGTTCCTTTAAACAACAAAACTTGGATTCCAGAAATAATATCATCATTCTGAGGTGAACAGACAATTGTTCAGTGTTTTATTCCTTAGGGGAATTTCTTAGGATCAGGATTAGCCCAGCAGAGAGATTTTGCTAGGAGAAAAGAAAACCAGCATATATTTTTGCAGTTATATTTAGCAGGACTGGCATTATGAATCAGAAAGTTGAAGGGTCACAAACATACAGCTGATTTTCCCCATGGGCTAATTACTGAATTCTAAGATGGCATATGAAGTTGGGGTGCTAAGCCAAAGCTGAAGAGGAAGATGAACAACCTTCACATTTTATGGAACCTAGGAGAAGACCATTACAGGGATGGAGTCTAACATAAACAGAAGGCTAGAATCACCCTCAAAGCATTTGCCATATTATGAAGCAATGCGAGGTTTTGCTCTTTCTCTTTAGACAGAAATTCAAAACTTCTGAAGGATATAACTGAATCTGCCACACCACAGCCTAACAGGACAGAAGGAACACACGCTTGACAGATCCCCCAGCAAGCCCAAGAGATGAATAGAGTAACTCTCCCTCCCCTTCCCTGCCACGTGTCCTTGATTATTAGTACCTATTTTGGCTCCCAAAACAAATTTTGGCAGCCAGTTTTTCAACTTATATTCAGGAACTAGAAACTATTGCTCCTGCAAAATTTGTTAACCCGAGAAAAGAAGCTCAGAGACATTGAAAGTGAGATATCCCACAAAGAAACTGATTCAACCTGGGCACACTGCAGAGCAGCTCACCAACAGACATGCAGTATTGATTAAATGGTACTTACAACTAGAATAAGACAGGGTGCCGCATGAATTGTATATTTTTTATTTTATAAGATGTAATTGCTGGGGTGCACTGTCCATAAAGATAAGCAGAACAGAATGGAAACTTACTTTATGCTAATGTCACACAATTATTTGATCCCTTTAATATGAAAATAAATAGGGATTCGATACCAAGTGACATTTTTGTGATCTGTCAGCTGCCAACTTTTTTACAGTCCCTTTTCATCTCCTGAAAGAAAATTGGAAGCCACTAAGTTTCTTAGTGTTTAATATCCAGTTATTAAAGTTACTCATTTCTGAACTCCTATAGCAATACTTCACACTGTTGCTCCATAGGGGACTCAGAAATATTTCTACCCAGGTAATGTGGTATATAGTAAGATTAGCACTGTACAATAGGGATGCCATTCCTTGTAAAAAATGAAAGAAACTACAAAAGGTTACACTAGCTCAGAGAGTAGTTCTCAGGAATATAAATTTTAGATACTAGTGCCATGGAAATCTAAAATCTGCAAATGGAGTCATTAAAATTATAGTTGTCCCACTGTCCTTGTAAAATCTTTCTGTACACCTAGATGGTATCTGCACAGCATTTTCAATTTGCTCATAAAGGACACCAGCATTTGGAAAATGGGCAGATGAGGAGGAACTGAGAAAGTAAAGCTAGAAGGAAAATCAGTAAAGTGCAGTCATGGAATGAAAGGTTGATGATAAAATAATGTGATGAAGAAGTCAAGTAAAACGAGGAGCGAAATGTCCCTTCCCAAGTCCCCACCTGGTGTGGTTCTCTTCCCCTGTTGGCAGCTCTCCTCTCTGCTCACTGAGCTCCAGTCCCGAATCCAAGACAACATCAGGTTCCTCATTGTCTCAGGATCTGTTCACTGGCTCAACTCCCTGCCAGGAATTATATTTCCTGGCCCTGTTCAGTCTCTCAGCTCTTTCCTGCCCAATTTGCAATCAGGCTTCAAGTCTCAGTATCACATCCCTGTGACAGCTTCCCAAACTCACATATTTGGTTACATCCTTCCATTCCGGAGTTTACCACAAATCACAATTATTGTGTGTTTATTGGTTTAACGGCACTGTCCCTTGCTGAACTTTGTAAGCTCAGTGGCTGTAGAGGCTACTATCAAACTTGGACACTGGTATATCACTAACAACTGCTGTGAAATTCCCCATTAATTCATTTTTATCATAAATATGTGATGTTAAAATTACACATATATCTATATAATATGCATATAAACATGATGACTTTTTTAAAAAGTGAACAAGTGGGTTCACTTTGCAGCCTTCAAGTGTAAGTAATAAAACATTAATCAATTAGGAAATCAAAAACATATTTGTAAAGAGTATATAGCTGACCACATTTAAATTCTCACAGAAAGGGGCAACAGCAGGTAAGAGAAAACAAGAAGGGAAAAGTAAATATCAAGAAAACATGTAAGACAGAATTGGCCCCAAACACAAGCAATCTGCCTCTTCTAAGGTTATAAGAGAGAGGGTAGATATAGGTGGGTGGAAAATGTGTAGGTCTTGTGGCTGGAAGTTGATGAATTTTTCTCCAATAGCCTCTGTTATCATTATTTTTTTTTAGTGAAGTGTGAGTAAAGATAGTTTTTTTAGGACAAGAATCACATTGTCTTGTCCATAGGGTAAATGTTCAAGAAATGTACTTTGAAGTAATGAAAGATTATTAGAGATGTTTAGAGATCATGTAGTTTTACCAGCATCAACCTGGGAATTATATGTATAGCTAAGATGCTTCTAAACCTTTCTGTTGTCAAAAAAACCAATGAATCCCACGGAAGTCTATTCCTCCCCCTTAATACGGCATATGTTTACGTTGGAAAGAATTTGGTCTCTGGTCCTATTTGCTCCTGTCATTGCACTTCAGGAAACTCAAAAGCCAGCCCTCTGGGACTCCAGAACACACACCACAACCATCGTGAAAAGTGCTGCCTCGGGATGGGCAATTTGCCATCAGACACCTAGACTGAATCGTTGGTGGCCCAGGAGAGCTGCCTTTGGAAGAAAAGCTGTCTGCAGTGTCTAGTACTGCCTCCAAGAATGATGTCAGTGTCTGCAACTTGGTATCTGGGGCCAGGTTATTTGCACATGTTGCTTGTATAGAGCTTGACCTTGGCATCACACTTCTCTCGGAAAAGAGGATAACCTTCCCTCAATGTAGTGCTCTTATTCCACTGAGAGGGAGCTGTGGGAAAGGAGGTGCTCATGAACAAGAACTCCTTGGGAGGTGCACACAGCACTGCCCTAGCACAGACAAGAGCCTTTGGAGTTTGAGAGGTTACAGGTTCTGAACCCTAAACTGCCATTTTCCTTGCTCAACAATCTTTAAAATTCTTTACAAGTGACTGAATGTTTAACAGGTTTCAACACCAAGCACAAGATTTCTTATACTACAACTTGCCTACCCCTCAAGTGTTAATTTTAAGGCATGTGGTGGTTAGTTGGAATGTGTTTCTAAGAAGAGTATGAGGGTCTTTTTCAGAGAATCATGCTTTTCATTGATGTCCTATTTCAGAGAATTATGCTTTGTAATTGATGTCTTATTAAAGTTTCATATATATGCAGAAAAATGCATGCATCATAGTGGTACAATGAAATGAATTTTCACAGTGATCGTATCTGTGTACATGCCACCCAGAGCATTGCCAAACACCCAGAAGCAACCAGTCAGGTAAATACTATTGTGACTACTTACGCAATAAATATGTTTTGCCTGGTTTTGAAATTTCTATAAATAAAATCAGTAGTCCATACTCCTGTGTATTTGATCATTTTATTTAACTCAGCCTTTGTGAAAATTACATACTTTGGAAATTTCATCTAATGCTTGTAGGAGTTTTGAATAGATAGATGCTTTGAATAATCATTTGGCAGTATCTACTAAAGTTGAAACATATCCACTGCTAGGTATCTACAAAAAGAAGTATTTACCTATGCACAACAACAAAAGATATGTAAAAAAAGTTGAAAGCATAATAACTTGTCAGTAATCCTTAACGGAAGCCACCAAATTTGGCAAGGACAGATTGGGTAAATATAGCATATCCATATAACAGGATACCATAAAGTAATGAAAATTGATGAAGTATTGCTGCAACTTGTAATATTATTATCACTGGATCTGGAATACCAAAGATGGCTCAATGAATCTCCAGGCTTTCAAACAAGCTCTACTCTTTTCTGATAACTGAGCAGCAACCACAGCTTCTCCTGGAAATCAGACTTGATTACCTACCTCTGCCTATACTGTGGCTTCTTTTTTTGCCTGGTGGTCCCTTGACTAGAGGAGACGAAAGTGACTGGTAATTACAATAAAATTGTAATCTCCGGTAGAATGTTTCCCTGAGAACCAGCAGAGTTTAAGTATGCTTGCAGGAGTTTTGAATAGATAGATGCTTTGAATAATCATTTAGCAGTATCTACTAAAGTTGAAACATATCCACTGCTAGGTATCTACAAAAAGAAGTATTTGCTTATGTACAACAAAAGATATGTAAAAAAGGGTTGAAAGCATAATAACTTGTCAGTAATCCTTAAACGGAAGCCACCAAATTTGGCAAGGACAGATTGGATAAATACAGTATATCCATATAACAGGATACCATAATGTAATGAAAATTAATGAAATATTGCTGCAACCTGTAATTTATCTGGACAGTTGTGTTTGTTATACCTGAACCAATGCTAATTAGTCAACATCAAAGCAGCAGAGACTGACCCTGAAGCTTTGATAGGGCAAGTCTTCTTAAGAAAACCAGGCACCCACTAGGTTCCAATTCAATTCAGCAGACTGCTTCTATCCCGGGTGATCAGCAATTTGCCTTTATTAGAATCAACACCTAGTCCAGATATTGGATGGTTACCCCAGCGACTATCCAAGGGCTTATGGTAATCTAATGACTTGCATATGATGCTGCGATGACTGACCACTTTTACCAACACTCCCTTTCCCCTACTTGTAAAATGTACCCTGCCTGAGTCTGCATATTTAAACTCTGCTGGCTCTCAGGGAAACATCATTCTACCAGAGATCACAATAAAATTTCCACTGGACGTGAAGATGTGATTACCAGTCACTTTCGTCTCCTCTAGTCAAGAGTCCACCAGGCAAATAAAGAAGCCACAGTATAGGCAGAGGTAATCAAGTCTGATTTCCAGGAGAAGCTGCGGTTGCTGCTCAGTTATCAGAAAAGAGTAGAACTTGTTTGAAAGCCTGGAGATTCACTGAGCCATCTTTGGTATTCCAGATCCAGTGATAATAATATTATTAATTGCTACAATAATATTATAGAATTGTTTTATTAGTTGTGAGACATCTGGCCTCCAATGAGTCTAGAGTGCTGCTTTGGGCCTGGAGGCTGGCTGTGTTCATGACTTGGGTTCTAAGCCTGCCCTCCTGCAGGGTGCAAGGCTAGAGAGGTTTTTTGTTTTTGTTGTTGTTGTTGTTTTAAGTTTTGTTGTTGTTATTTCCTAAGTAAAATCAAGAGCCTCCAGGATAGGAACTGGATGTAGTGAAACTAACTTCTGGCCAGTGTTTAGTATGAATGATCCTAGGGTCGTGTTTTGAAGAAACTCTGTCTGTATTTCTGGAGAACATTCAGGGAAATTTGCAAATGAACAGGAATTAGATGGATTATTATTTCATTAATGTAATTTTTAGCTTTTTGTGTCCACCTAAGAGTTATGCTTGTTAGTCTCTTTCAACTAGATAAGCCCTTGCTCTTTCAGTTGTTCTTTTTACTGTTGACTTTCATGACATGAACTCTTTTGTTAAAGAGTTTGGCCAGTCATATTGTAGAATGTCTCATTCTCTGGATTAGTCTTACTTTTCCCACAGGGTTTGGGTCTAGTTAAACACTTTTAATAAGAAAACTGCATAACTGAAAAAAAAGAATACTGTATAAGTGGTTTTGAAAGTTATTGCTTCTAAAGACAAACTGTACATTTTCTGAAAATTGAGTTAGTATTTTGATTGCTCTATGAAATAGTACTCATTATTACATATTAGATAACAGGTCTTAAAAATTGTACCTGATTCTCCAAACAAGGGCTCAGGGCATTTCGTTAAGACCTTAAAAGGAAATAATGGAGTCAGGTCCTGTATCAGTTTCCAAGATAAAATGAGGGAGAAAGACCACAGTCAAATAGATAGGATAAGCCTTTATAATCATCTTAAGACTTTTAAACCAAGATAGGAAGTGTTTTAAAACAAACATTTCCAAAAGCAAATCTACAGAATTGTATAAATCTGTATAAATTTCATATAAACCAATACTCCTAATCATTATGTGTCCTTTACTAATTTAAATTGTTCTATTAAGTTGGTTTTGAAAGACATCTACGTATATCTTCTTTCTGATCTTCTTATGGTGTGGCATATAATGTAAACATAACATTTTTGTTCATTCAGGACTTCTGTTCATTATTGACAAGGATCTTAATGAATTGAAATTCATTAAGAATTTCTTAAATTCCTTAAAATTGTCTTAAGTCAGATAAGTGATCACTTACACCAAGAATTATGAGATTGCACAAATATAAAATTCATATTATAACAAAATATAATGTATAACAATGTAATGTAAAATATATTAACTTTGACCCACATTTAAAAGCAAAATTTGTTCATATATTTGTTATATAATGCTACAAACTGTGGCCTAAAGTTCTCTACTAAATCACCTGAGAAAGATGGTCAGGTACCATATTCACTGATAAGATTTTAAAATAAACTGATTCTGTTGTTCTTTAATCTTAATTCAAATTGTAATTCCAAGATCCCAAATTATCTTTAAGACTATAGCATAATATTAAATTAGAAATTAAAATAAATGGTGAAAAAATAAGTTGAAAAAACATAAATATGGTAAAAAGTTTCTTAAAATATCATTTAAGAGATTTAACTGTTTAGATATTCATTTTAAGATTATTAAATTTTTTAAAATTAAACAGCATTGACATTACTATTTTGTATATTTATATTTGTGTTTAAAATATATGCATATTAGTTATAATAAAATTATTTATATATAATAAAATAGAGATAAATACTAACAATAAAAATAGTGCTTGTTTGAGTATACACTCAATTCTTGGTAAAAGATAGTAACAAAATTGCTTTCTACAGCATGACAGATTTTTTTCACTTCACCAGTTCCAATAATTGCAAACACATGACTTCTCAAGATAAATGGATAGAGAAATAGTGGCATGCATATATATATATATATATATATATGTGTGTGTGTGTGTGTGTGTGTGTGTGTGTATATATATATGTGTATATATATATATGTGTATATATATATGTGTATATATATATATGTGTATATATATATATGTGTGTATATATATATATATATAAAAATATTGTGTGTGTATATATTCTACATTGTGTATGTGTATGGGTGTGTGTATATATCTGTACATGTATACCCGCAATGGAATACTATTCAGCCTTGGAAAAGAGATACTGCCATTTGTGCCAACATGAATAAAACTAGAGGACATTATTCTAAATGAAATGATACAAACACAGAAAGAAAAAGTAGTGTGTGATCTCACTTGTACGCAGAATCCTTTTAAAAAGTCAAATACATAGAAACAGGAAGTAGAATGATGGTGTAGAGGGAAGTAGGTCAAAGGTTATATATTTGCTGTTAGGCAGGATAAGCCTAGAAGTCTAATGTGTAGCATGAGGACTGAAGATAATAAGATTGTATCGTCGTGTACTGAAAATTTGCTAAGAGAGTAGATTTTAAGTGCTTGTAACACAGACACAAAAGGTAACTATGGAAGGTGATAGGTATGTAAATTTGTTTGACTGTGTAATCATTTTACTATTTATATCAAAATCTCATGTTGTATACCTCAAAAATATATAATAAAAATTAACTTAAAATTCTCCTAGCATTATTTTATCATCCTGTTATGATGCTTAGAGTAATTTTATTTTTGTTAATAAAAGCCAAAGTTGTGGCCATATTTCCTTCTTGGGCTCTTGTGTTCTTATCTGAATACTCTTTTTGATATATCTTTTCCCCAGGAGCAAGCCTGAAATTTGGAGTCAATGAAAAGGACAAGGTTTTACACACCAGAACCAGCTTTGGTGCTGCTTAGATGACCACCAGGTGGCATCAAGGGCTTGCTTCCTTATATCTTTAATTAAGACTTTCCACTGAGATGGGGGGGATATAGGGATGCTGCAGTAATTAGGCATTATTGCTATGTCTCATGTTTTCTTAATTAGCTTGAAAATAAGGTACTCTGTTTATCAGGTTTACCATATGGGGATATTTCACGGGGGTGCTGTCAAAATAAAAAGAAAGGATTCAATCTGTCCTGAAACTGACCTACTTTCCTATAATGAAGACATATTGTATACATTTTAGGAATGTATAGAATCACATTCATATTTATTATAAATGCTGACACTGTCAAAAATATTTCTCCTAAGATGACTTTTTTTCCACATTTAAAATATCCTTGACAATTGAAGGTGTTATGACACAAAGTTTACCAGATAAATGTTCGTACATCAGTGCCTTCAATGTCCACAATGCAGTCTTTACTTCATGTCAATCATTGACCAAATCCTTATTAAGTAATTATGGGTGGGTTCACTTGCTTATGTATTGCATCCTGATGGGAAATTCCACTCTCCTCTGTTTTGGTATTTTTAAATAATTTAACCAAAGCCATTTAGTTTTGTCAACACGTGGCTTGCTTTGCTTTACAATTTGCTTGCAGACCCCCTTCTAAAAACCACATTTTTCTATGTGAAGCACCAAAAGGTCACTTTCAGAATCTCAGTGAAAACAAATATATCAGGTACAACTGATACAGGATGGAACTGTGTGCCCCCCACCTTTATATGCAGGATTTTTTTCAAACAAATGTAAATCAAAAATACAGTATTCATGGGATTCAAAATCCATATTTGGAGGGCCAACTTTTCCTGTTTGCCGGTTCTGCAAAGGAGACTGCAGAACTTGAGTACAGGTGGATTTCAGGGTACGCCGGGTCCTGGAACCAATCCCCCATGTATATGGAAGGATAACTTTTTTCTGTTGACACTACCAGGTAATTCAGTTCTAAGGATTCTATTTTAAGTTGACATTATTACTGTGAGATTTCACCAAAGCTTTTAAAATGTAAGATTTCTTGGAATATTTTAGTCCAAAAATAAATGCATTATAGAAATAGACTTTAATTCAAGATCAGCAGAATAAGAAGGTAATTAGGTGAAAAGTAATTATGATTATTAATCACGAAATTATTTTTAAGGATCTATTTTTAGACAAAGAGCCTTTTTCTTCCTTCTGCCTCTACTTATAACTCTAACTTGAGAAGGAATGAACTCCTTCTTTAAGTATCTATTAAGAAATAGCCTAAATTTCCATGATAATTGCCAAGTTAAAATCAAATCTTTCCTGAATTTTTTTATTGTTAAGCTCTTATCTCAAAATTAATGATAATATTAATAACACTGAGTAACCATCTGATGCAATGAGGGAGTGAGAGAATGAACTCTTCAGAATACTTTGCCCAATGAATCCATGCCATCAGAACCCACAAATGCATGAAATTTCCTGTACTGTCTGACTGAGAAAACAGATATTATATAGAACGTTTTCATGCGGAATACTAGAGTTCCTTATAATGAATAATGAATTTCCATGTACTTTTAAAGGGCAATTAATTCCACTGAATTTCAAAGGAGAGATTTAAAATGTGTAATCCTTTGAAAAAAATCATAGCTACCATTTTTAATGGACATGAAGTTAAATTTTACTAATTCTAACTCTCTTAAATACATGAACAATCAAAACATGAATAATGTGGCAGAGTCTACATACATTCTGCAAAAAAATGTGACATATATGAGTTGTCCTAAGCTGCAAAATTATTGAAAATGGTCACATACTATGTAAAATTCCTTTACTGAGACTTCATTTTCTCTTTACTATTTTTTTTTTTTACTTTTAAGTTCTGGGATACATGTACAAAACATGCAGGTTTGTTACATGGGTATACATGTGTCATGGTGCTTTGCTGCACCTATCAACCCATCATCTAGGTTTTAAGCCCCACATGCCCGCCCCCCGCAGTCCCCCGCCAACAGGCCTCAGTGAGTGATGTTCCACTCCCTGTGTCCTTGTGTTCTCTTTGTTCAGCTCCCACTTATGAGTGAGAACATGCAGTATTTTAAGACAATGTACCTGTTTGGATAAGCTCATTACAATTGTGTCTCCTTCATACAACGTGTTTGGGGGAAAAAGCATGATCACGTTTTTTATTTAAAGATACATTTTATTTAATTTGATATCATAAGTTCATTATGAGGAACCAATATGTTGTAGAAACAAAGCATACAAAAGGCTATAAAGAAATTAGCACAGTATCTGTTCTATGTCCTACAACACCCCTGTTTTACAGGCATTTAAGAATATCTCTCCCTGGCAGACCAGGAAACTGGGGGAACTCAAGAGATTCTCAGAAAGAGAAATACCACATGGCTAAAGGTACTGCAGATGAAATCAACTGGAAATAAAGTGAATCAAGGTTGGTTCCTGCTCTCCAGGTAGGTGTGAGCAGTTAAAAATATTTCTGGTATGGCAGAAGTGATAGAACAAATGATCCTTAAGGGCATGTAATTAAATTCTCTGATCTTAGTGGTTCATTTATATCATGTTACACTGAGTTTGTTGGCTATATAACCAGGAAGTGTAAGAATGTATAAATAATATCTGCTCTTAAACTAACGTGAAAAAACATCTGAAATTGTGTGTCTATCTCAAATGTAAGGTGTAATTCCACTAGTAGACTAATTCAAATTTTTACTATTTTTAAAAAAATTTAATAGGAAAAGATTAACAGTTTTGTAGACAAAAGAAAATATTTGGTTAAAAGATACCAGACTCTTGACCTTTAGGCTGCAATAATCAATTTGTTGGGTGGGTAACATGTTTCTCAAATTATGTCTTGCTTGAACATTTTATCAGCAATATTCTTTCCTCAAAAATGAGGTTGTGCATTATATAATTCAGTAAGATTTCATCCTCAACCAGATTTGGGACAATAGTACTTTTAAAATCTCTCCTTTTGAGCAATGAAATCTTTAAAGATCTGTGTTAGGAAAATATACTTCTCCTTGGGTATTTGTGCCCTCTACTCAAATTAAATTGTCTTAAAATTTTTAACACATAATCCATTTTCAAGATGTTAGATAAAATTTATTATGGAATGAAAATATAAATTTAAGAAACTTTCAATAGATTGAAGAATGATGTATAGCATCTGACTTGAAAAAATTGCTCATGTGTTTTACACATGAATGTTGGCGAATATAGCTGATACTTAATATTTATTTTAGTTTATTTAAATTTTTAGGTTAATATTTATAACAGCTGGTAATTTCATTATTTGCAACTGAATCTGTGATAACAAATTTTTAGATGCCAATATAAAATGTGTGAAATATTTATTCAAAATTATTGTAGGGTAATTTTTAATATTTTTTCTGCTCATTACACACATTTACTGTAGATGAACTCATTCTCATCTATGGATTAAAGTATCACTCTGCTGATGATTCCCTTAAATCTGGCCCAGGCTTTTTTCCCGAGTTTTATATTCATTCATTTAATAATTCAAAAAATGTTTTGTGCTTACTAAAGTTATTTCTTTAGGTTACGTATGTTAGTTCTCGTATCATTGAGGAAGAACCAACACACTCCTAGGGGAAGCAGTCAATAATTAAAGGACAATTTAGTACTTTATTCTGCCCTATCCAATGTGGTGGCCACTAACCAAAGATGACAATTAAGAAATGGAAATATAGCTAATCCAAATTGAGATTTCACACAAAAAGCAAAAAGTAAAATATTTTATTAATAATTTTACATTTATATATTGAAATATTTTAGACCGATTAGATCAGATGAAATATATTAATAAGATTAGTATTGTCAACTTCTTTTAGCTTTTCATGGGTCCATTAGAAAATTTAAAATTACATATGTGGCTCACATTATATTCTGACAGACACCACTGCCGAATAATAAAATAAATATGATATGATATGATATAATATAAGTGCTATTGAGAAAATGAGGCTGTGGCCCACCGTTTTACACTGGGCTGTCAGAAAAAGCATCTCCAAAGATTTGGAAATCTGCAATACATGACAAAGCATCTGTGACTATCTGGAGGAAGCTTGTTCCAGGCTGAGGAAATGGCAAGAACAAATCCCAGAGATAGGCAAGTAGGTTCAACAGCATGACTTAGGGCATCTTTCTCACCGTTATCCTAGTCCTTCTGCTTTATTCCAAAAGTGTGGATCCTCTATTGTCCACCTATTTTTTTTAATCCATATATCTGTCAGCCTTCCTTCACTCTTCCACATTCCAACAATTACAAATCCTGTTTTCACTTCCTATCTGCCAAACCTGTTTATTTCTCTTCACTCCCATCTCTACTCCCGAAGTCCAGGTCATCAACATTCTATGCCTTGGTTACTATCATAGTCTTTTAACAGATCTCCAAGCATCTTGCCCACCTCTATTTTAGCGGGCTCTTACTAACTTAGGTGTTGCAACTGCCCCAAATCTTTGTGTCTTACAAGTAAGATTTATGTCTTTCTTACATTGTTCTCCCTCACAGGTCAGCTTTGTCTTTGTTTTATGACTTCTTCATTTGGTATCCAAGCTCAAAAAGTGTCTTCTGTCTGAAATTGAGGTAAAAGAAAGATAATATAACCCCATAGTGGCACATACAGCTTCTGCTTGGAAGCCACACATTCACTGCTTCTCCTTAAACTGGCTGAGTCTGATGTCACTGTTCATTATGTTTAATTCTCCTCCGGGGTCAAATAAAATGATCTACAAAAATTCCACTGCCAGTGTCACTGAAATTTATTCAGAATGTTTCTAAAATATACATCTAACAATTTTACTATCCTAAATAAAATCAATCTTTGCTTTTCCATTATTATTATTGAAAAAAATTAAATTTCTTAATGTGTTTAGAAATCTTTTCAAAATTGGTATCCTGTGTACCATTCTACATCCATCTCTTCATCATTTTTCCTCTCTCTTGATACTTCTAGCCTATACTCTTTGATAAAACTCTGTCTCTTCCAGAGTGGCTCCTGTTATTAAATAGTCTTCAACACAGATGTGACTTTATCTAGAAAAAAAATGCCATTACAGCCTTCCATTACCTCCTCCTACCTTAAGGAGATTATAGATCTCATGTATGGATTTTTTAGCACCGAGGTTTATCCTTTTAAACTCTACTTAATATATGTTTTAAACTATTGTGTTATTTGTTCAATTATTTGTGCCTCAACCCTCATATTTAAATTTTAATGAGAAAAGGGAAAGTTTCTGCCTAGGGTCTGACACATTGTAAATAGTGTTTGTTGAATAAATGAAGTGATTTTATAACAAGAACATTTTGAAAAACTAAATTCATATAAATTATCAAGATACTTATTGTCCATTCAGCATAGTGGAGAATACAAAGGAAATACTATTTTTATTTAAATAAAAAGAGGAAAATTGCATAAAAACAGCTCAATGTACTTCCTCAAAATTAACTCAGCTAGCTGTAATACACAGAAGTTAGTTTAAAACAAACAAACCAAAAAAAAAATTTTGTTTGCTAAAAGTTACTTACAGACTTTCGATTAACAAATCACGAAGTGCTTTGAAGCAGATGGTTAAGATCTTGTTACTTTCTCAGACAAAGGTAATTCTACATAATTTAGGAATTTGAACATTCCAGTAAATTATAAGAAACATGAGAGTTTATTAGAATTATCTTTCACTGTTGCTCTTTGAAACCTGTTCTGTTGTTGCCACATAAAAATCATTCTTCTGTAAAATCCACAGTGACAAAACCATTGAGTACAGATTAATTGATAGTTTAGATTGCTCATTTGTGCTTCATGAGTCTAGCAATTTTTTTAAATGCACAATTTAAAAAGACATTTAAGAACTTATTCCTAAGAGTGTGAAAAAAGATGTATAGTTTAACCATGCTATTATTGGTTATTTTGTGGTAGAAATATTCTGAAATGCTTTTTATGTGCATTAAACATCTTTATTATAGACGCAGTAAATTAATAGATTATATTGTTGTGAATGTATCTCCTTAAGTTTGTTTAGATTTGTTTTCTTGTTTGTTGCTTGCCTTGGTTATAAAATAAATGTATATTTTTTATGCCGCCAGCCAGACTACCAGAAATACTTCTGAAGGGAAACAGAATTGCGTATTGCTTGATTTTGTTGGGTTCATTGCATTTTTAAACAGTTATAAGAATTTAAAATATTTAGGCTCAAAGTTAATCCTTCTTTCTCTTTCCCAAGTAGATACTCAGAGACATCGCACATATACACATATATTCCCCCAATAGTGAATATGCTGTTTTTCCTTTAGCACAGATCTATGCACAACTCACTGTTTACACAGACTGGTATGTACCACTCAGACAATGAGCAGATTAACCCACTCTTTATAAAGCAATTAGATTAACAGCTGAATAAACATGTTAAATATTGAAGTTAAATAATCAACTTTATATTTAAATAGTATTATACAAACATTTTCAAAATAAGTCTCCTCATCAAAGTTATAGACCATACTTCCTGGAGAGAGAATTCAATTATACTATAAATGGATTTCTGAAACATAAGTTTGTGAAAAAAGCATTTGTTAGATTTCTAGTAAAATGACAAAGCATTATGATTTGCAAAATGGAGTATTATTCACATATATGCCCTAATCATCAGAAAAGGAAGTAATTTTATTTTCTTTACTTTGCTGTTGTTTGTTTACAGAAAGGATCACATTAATGCTGAATAATATGGCACTCTTGAAATCAAATAACAACAAATGCAGGGAAAAATAATGTACTATTTTGGTGTGAAATATTTCTTTTAAAATGAATTGTTTTATGTAGAACAAAAAATAGTATCATTAAAGAATACATGTTCTCCAACAGGAAAACAAAGTCAAGAGTTGTTTTTTTTTTCCTCTGAAATGTCTTCCCCATCAACCTCTTTATTTTTCTTGGAGCTTCTTGAAATAATAATTCTGAATCCCATAGTTTAATGTTTCCGTGTTGTACCTGATGCAGATAATTGTGATTTTGTTGTGGCAGCAAGAAATGAAATCCTGAATTTACAATTAGATATAGAGTCGCACAAAGTAGGGTTTTCAGAATTCCATCCATCCATACATCCATATCTACGTCTACCCATCCATATGTCCATAATCCTGTCTGCCCACATGATACAGTTGAAATATTTATCAGCCTGTTGTTCTTCCCTTTCCTCCCTCCCCAAGTAATCCCTTAGTTGCTAGATTATGGGAGGTACCAAGTATGCAGAGGGATGGGTTTGGGTGACCAAAGCAGCAGGAAGGCACATAGGGAATTACGTGGTCTGTTAACAACCAGTACACCTAGACATCAATATGTTAATAACTCTTACAACTGTATCAGTGCAAACCAACTGAATAATTACCCTTCCTCTGTCTAATCAGTAAACACTTTTTCTGCCCTTTTTATATGCTGTGCTTCTGGCCACTCCTAGCATTCTTACCTTACAGTGCTGAAAATAAGATAAATAATTCTATTGCAATGTCGTAAGTTTTAATAAATGAATGAATAAAGTATTTTTGGAGTAACGCTATTATTAGTGTATAGAAACAAACCTGATTTGTGTATATTGACTATATATGCTGCAACTTTGCTGAATTTGTTTTTTTAGTTCTTACAAGTTTTTTGTGGACTCTTCAGAGTTTTATATATATATAAAATCATGCCATCTGCAAACAGAGACAATTTTACTTCATTTCTGATTCTAATGTCTTTTATTTCCTTTTCTTGTCTAATTGCCTCACAAAAACTTCCAGTCCTATATTTAATAGAAATGGTGAGAGTGGGCATCATTGTCTTGCTCACGACATAAATACTTTTGGTTTTTCACTGATAAGTATGATATCAGCTCTGGGCTTATTACATATAGCCTTTATTATGAAATTATAGAAAGAATGAAAGCACATTCTTTCTACACCAATTATAGTTCTATAGCAATAAGCATGTACTTTATTCTTTCTATCCCTAAATTTTTGAGTGTTTTTTATCATGAATTATCAAATTTTGTCAAAAGCTTTTTCTGCACTTAGTGAAATGATCATGTTTTTTATCTTTTATTCTGTTAAAATGGGGTGTCATATTTATTGATTTGCATCAGGTGTTGAACCATCCTGGCTTTCTAGGGATAAATCCCACTTGATCCTGGTGTGTAATGATTAATATTGTCAATCTGATTGGATTGAAGGATGCAGATTATTGTTCCTGGGTGTGTCTGTGATGGTGTTGACAAAGATGATTAACATCCTTTGTTAATCAGTGGACCGGGAGAGGCAGACTTACCCTCAAACTGGGTGGGCACCATCTAATCAGGTGCCAGTGTGGCTGGAATAAAATCAGGCAGAAGAACTTGAAAGGACTAGACTGCCTGAGTCTTCCAGCCTAGATCTTTCTCCTGTGCTGGATGCTTTCTGCTCTGGAACATCGGACTCCAAGTTCTTCAGCTTTTGGATTCTTGGAACTACACTAGTGGTTTGCCAGGGGCTCTCAGGCCCTCAGCCATAGAAAGAAGGCTGCGCTGTTGGCTTCCCTACTTCTGAAGTTTTGGGACTTGGACTGGCTTCCTTGCTCCTCAGCTTGCAGATGTCCTATTGTGGACTTCACCTCACCTTCACTGATGTGAGCCCATATGCCTTAATTATACATCTATCCTATTAGTCCTGTCCCTCTAGAGAGCCCTAATACATGGTGTATGACCCTTTTAATGTATTGATTCATTTATTTGCTAGTATTTTTTTGAGAATTTTGGCATGTATGTTCATCAAGAATATTGGCCTGTGATTTTCTTTTCTTGCAGCATCTTTGTCTGACTTTGGCATTAAGGTAATATTCAGTTTGGAAGTGTTCCTTCCTCTTCAGTTTCTTGAAAGAGTTTGAGGTGATACAAATAAATGAAAAGACATCCCATACTTAGTTTAGAATGATTAATATAGTTAAAATGTCAATACTACCCAAAGCAATCTACAGATTCAATATGATCTCAATTAAAATTCCAATGGCATTTTCTATAAAAACAGCAAATACAGTCTTAAAATGTATATGAAACCACAAAAGACCCCAAATAGGCAAAGCAATCTTGAGAAAGAACAAAGCTGGATGCATCATGCTTCATGCTTTCAAAATATATTGCAAAGCTACGGTTATTAAAATAGTATGGTACTGGTATATAGACAGACCCATATATAAATGGAACAGAATAGAGAGCCCAGAAATAAACCCACACATATACAATCAACTGATCTTCAACTAGAATGTCAATGATACACAATGGAGAAAGGACAATCTCTTCAACAAGTGGTGTTGGGAAAACTAGATATTCACATACAAAAGAATAAAATTAGATCCCCATCTTATACTATACAGAAAAATCAACTCAAATGGTGTAAGACTTGAACATAAGACTTAAAACTGTAAAACTCCTCAAATCATAGGGAAACATTTGCTGACACTGGTCTTGGCAATGATTTCTTGGATTTGACACCAAAAGCACAGGCAACAAAACCAAAAATAGACACATGGGACTGTAGTAAATTAAAAAGCTGCTGCATAGCAAAGACAAGACTCATCAGAGTGAAAACATAACCTAAGGAATATGCAAATATATTTTCAAACTACCTAAATGACAAGGGATTAATGTCCAAAATATATAAGTAGTTCCTAAATAAAATAATTTAATTAAATTAATTTAAATTATACATAGTAAACAAAAATACCCATAAAATTAAAAAAAGGCAAAGGACTTGAGTAGACATTACTCCAAAGAAGACATTCAAATGACCATCAGGTATACGACAGGGAGCTCAGAATCACTAATTATCAGAGAAATGCATGTAAAACATAATGAGACATCACCTCACAACTGTTAGTATGGCTACTATCAAAAATAAAAACAAAATTTAACAAATATTTGAGAGGATGTGAAGATAAGGAAACCTTAATACATTATTGGTGGGAATATAAATGGTACAGCCACTATAGGAAATAATATCGAGCTTTCTCAAAAAATTAAAAATTGAACTACCCTATCATCTGATAAAAATAATTTTTCTGCTTCAGCTATTTTACATAGCTGAATGTATGTAAATACATACATTACATTACATACATACATACATACATTACATAGCTGAATCATTAATGTAAATAGTTTTTCTAATTGGCTGTACTCTACAAAATTTTATTAAAATTTTCTAAAGAATTTTATATTTTTGAAAATAATTTTGAACATATCAATTTTAAAGGTCTTACTATAACATGAAACCAATTTAAATATTTCAATTAATTATGTTATTTTATCTCTTCTTTTTCTCTCAATATTTTATTTTCATATTCTTTTTTTGATGTGAAATCTTTTTTTGAAGTTTACCTTTTTTATTATTATTATACTTTAATTTCATATTCTTTTAGAAGATAAATTATATACTAACCCCTGCCTTATAAACCATGAACTTTATTTGAATTTATTAGATCTGAAAGCTCATGCTGCTTCCATAGGCTGTTTCTTTTTTCCTTCTCCCTCCTTGGAACTGGCATATTGTGCGACACAAATATTAGCACTCAAGAGGTCCTTAAAGTTAAACAAAAAAAAAGCAAAACTCAATTTACAAACGGAGAACTGAGTGTATAGCAAAGCAAATGACGTACCAGGGTCACAGAGGTTTCCGTTGTCAGCCTAGACATAACACACAGGAATCTCTTCTCTCTGTTATTTGTCTTTTCTTTTGGATGGTGCTTTATGATTATGATTATACGGGAATAACAAAATGCATTTGGAATGAAATTCGAAAGGGTATGGTGGTGGAAGCAAATATATCTCTGCTCAAAAGCAAGACCTACTGTCCAAATGTAAACAATGTTAGGATCTGATGTTAATATAGATCCCTTTAACGAAAAGATAAATGAGTGTAATTTTGCAATACATTCCAGAAGGGGTATCCCTGGGTTTTTTGTTTGTTTGTTTTTTTGTTTTGTTTTGTCAGCTCAAATCAATTTTCTTTGATGTGAGTAGTGCAGGCCCCAGTAGGGAAGGGCGCAGACACAGAGCAAGTGAGCAGAAAGAAGGAGCAGACCCTGGGCTTTCACAGGAATGACCAAATGCCTTCTCCAGTGGCCCCTGATTCCAGCCTGAAGCAGCCTCACACAACGTACTGGGATAGGAGAGCCTGAGCTGACTTTTGGCCCCACTTCACAGAAAATGCCTTTATATTAAGCACCTCTGTGCAGAGCACAAAATGCATCTGCGTAGGTTGAGGCCAAGAGGAGAGACTATTTTTGATGAGTGTGTAAAGGAGGGGTTCTTTTTGGAATATACCACATAGCAAATGCCACCTAGCAAATGATCTTCCAAATGACACACTGTACAGTTGCTGTTAACAGCCCTAATGGCCGAAAGTAGTGGCCATGATCCTGTTTACTCTTTTCTTCCTCTCTTTTTTCTTACTTTTTCTTCCTCACTTTTTCTTCCTCTCTTCCTTCTTTCCTCTCTTTCTAGTCTTTTTATTTTTTGTGACGGAGTCTCGCTCTAGTCTTCCTTTTTTGAAGAAGGGAGAGTCATGTAATTTCCTTTTTGACACTAATTTCTTAACAAATACAATGGATAACAAAACTCTATCAATTGGAAATCTTAAATGAGATAAATCAAACAGAAAAAAAACAATGTGTGCCTTGATCTTGGACTTCCCAGCCTCCAGAACTGTGAGAAATAAATTTCCACTGTTGCAGCTCAAATGCACTGACACGTCACCTATTCAACATTTAGCCTTTAACGTGTTAGAGTCAGGAGAGAAGGAATCAAGTGAATTGTATTAGTAAATGATTAGTTATGCCTAAGATAAAATTTACCTGTTTTCTACAGTCTAGCATTAGATATAGAGTTCAAATTAACTCATAAATATTAAAATGATAGGCTGAAGAAAAGGGTACTACTTGATGTGTAACCCATCTTGAAGTAAGGCTAACACAAAAACTGCAGCTAAAGGGCTGCTAGTCTACTGTGGAAACTGTTCAAATATAGCACCTATGAGATCTGCATTAGGACACATTTCCTGCAGTGGGGCAGATAATCCATCTACACCTACTATTAATGCTAATAATAAATATTTCCTTTACCTATAAATTAACACTTTACTCAAGTGTTGCTATTAGAATTTCCAAAGTATTAGTCAAAAAATAAAAAACAAAAACATTTACATTTATTCTAGGTGTTTTTTTTGACTGCTTTAGTTTTTGATAAAAACATTTTATAGTATACTTTCTGCAATTTCCTCTATCAAAATGCCCTTCATATAGAAACTCCCCAGTGACCCCTTTCTTAAAAAGTGAACAAGTGAATTATTTGCTTATATATTTTCTTAAACATGTATTTTTCTATTATTATTTAATAATAAATAGCAGAAATTGTTTACTGATATACATTTTTAATTTAATATGCATATATAATTATAATTTTTCTCCACATTGGAAAGAGTTCATCAGAGCTCAGGAATGCATAACCTTTATGTTTATGATCAATAACTAAATTTGTGATAAAAAAGCTAAAATATATACTACTTTTAAAAAGAGAGTAAAAATAAATTAATATCTGGATGGCCATTGGAATGGCCAGACTAAGTTAATGAAAGTTCTAAATTATTATTTATTTCATAAGGTTTTGAAATAAGTTCAATTTCAATTACATTTACTGACTGGATTTAACAAAATGCAAACACTGATAAATAAATAAATAAATACACATTTTTGAACAAAGCTAATTAAAGTTCCTGGGGAGAAAGACTTCTATATTGAGTGGAAGATATCTAAATTATAATCCAATTATTTAACTCCCTGCATGTCCATTTACATTCTATGAAACAAAGAAGCTAAAGTCAATGATATATTAAGTTTTTTCTCTTTATTTTCAACTTTTATTGTATATATAAGGAGCACATGGGCAGGTTTGATACATGGGTATATTGTACCCAGATAGTGAACACGTACCCAGTGGGTAGATTTCACTCCATGTCCCCCCCCCCACCCTCCCCCTCTAGTAGTCCACAGTAGTAGTGTTGTTCCCATATTATGTCCATAGCTGCTGAATGTTTAGCTCTCGCTTATACGTAAGGGCATGTGGCATTTGGTTTTCTAATCTTGCATGAACTCATTTAGAATAATTACCTCCAGCTCCATTCATATTGCTGCAAAATACATGATTTTATTGCTTTATATGGATAGCAGAAAATTTTAAACCAAGCTTGCACAGATATATATATTTTAAAATGTTTCAAGTATCTTAGCCTCAAGTATTCTACCGTATTGCTATACAATCAAGAAAATGTATGGCTTTTAGGAAGCTAATAATTTTGATTAGTTCATAATATATGACATGCTTTGAAAGTTACTGAGACAATTTGGAAGTATTTGCATAGTCTGCAATTTTCTTTTCATCGTTTTTTATTAACGAGTGAAAAAATATTTCCTTAGTTCCTCTATCAGGGGAGATAAACATTTTACTTTTCTGAATTTTGAAACGTTTTACCATTGGGTAATTAGCTTTTTAATAATCAATTATTATTTTGTGTTATTTTACTTTTGAGTTTCAAATCTGCTTTTTAAGATTATATAAAGTATGGCGGTCTCATTTAAAATACAGTGCTTTTTTCACTGTCTATCTTGACTTCCGGTGATGAATTTTCCGTTTTGTTAAATTTGAGTCCCAACTTTTTTTCAATATCAGCTCATAATCTGGTTATTAATTTAAATCCCACAGAATATTGCTGGAAGCTGACCAGTGTATGCACAACATGACACTGAAACAGATCAAAACAATGCATATTGCAATAATTCTTGGAACTGATGTCCACAGGCAACAACTGTAATTGTTCTTCGCACTAACAGATATCTCCCTTTAGAGAAAATTCTTAACATATGCATTTTAATTGGCTTTAAGAAATGATATAATGATGTAGAAATTGGCAATGGAGTTTAGAACACTAGACAACTGAATGCATCTACAGCCGTAGTGGCCACTGTTTTGAGTGGAAAGTGAACTAACGGTGTTTAATGAATCAGGCTTAATCCATTATTGATGACTAATATACAAATAACAAATAGATTAATTAAAACTCTATCAGAAATCACTTAAAGATCTAACATCCTCCATTAAACAATAATATAAAACCAATACCATACTAAGGAATATTCATCATAAAGTTATTTTCTTTCAACAATGTAGTAGATAGATATATTTTTCCAATAAGTAAACATCGAAAATTTGACTTCATCAACTACAGATGGTCACCAACTTATTATTTTACTTAACAATTTTTTGACTTTATGATGGTGCAAAAACAATACATGTTAAGGAGATTTTGGGCTGAGACAATGGGGTTTTCTAGATATACAAACATGTCGTCTGCAAACAGGGACAATTTGACTTCCTCTTTTCCTAATTGAATACCCTTTATTTCCTTCTCCTGCCTAATTGCCCTGGCCAGAACTTCCAACACTATGTTGAATAGGAGTGGTGAGAGAGGGCATCCCTGTCTTGTGCCAGTTTTCAAAGGGAATGCTTCCAGTTTTTGCCCGTTCAGTAGGATATTGGCTGTGGGTTTGTCATAGATAGCACTTATTATTTTGAGATACGTCCCATCATTACCTAATTTATTGAGAGTTTTTAGCATGAAGTGTTATTGAATTTTGTCAAAGGACTCTTCTGCATCTATTGAGATAATCATGTGGTTTTTGTCTTTGGTTCTGTTTATATGCTGGATTACATTTATTGATTTGCGTATATTGAACCAGCCTTGCATCCCAGGGATGAAGCCCACTTGAGCATGGTGGATAACCTTTTTGATGTGCTGCTGGATTTGGTTTGCCAGTATTTTATTGAGGATTTTTGCATCAATCTTCATCAAGGATATTGGTCTAAAATTCTCTTTTTTGGTTGTGTCTCTACCCGACTTTGGTATCACGATGATGCTGACCTCATAAAATGAGTTAGGGAGGATTCCCTCTTTTTCTATTGATTGGAATAGTTTCAGAAGGAATGGTACCAGTTCCTCCTTGTACCTCTGGTAGAATTCAGCTGTGAATCCATCTGGTCCTGGACTCTTTTTGGTTGGTAAGCTATTGATTATTGCCTCAATTTCAGAGCCTGTTATTGGTCTATTCAGAGATTCAACTTCTTCCTGGTTTAGTCTTGGGAGAGTGTATGTGTCAAGGAATTTATCCATTTCTTCTAGATTTTCTAGTTTATTTGTGTAGAGGTGTTTGTAGTATTCTCTGATGGTAGTATGTATTTCTGTAGGATCAGTGGTGATATCCCCTTTATCATTTTTTATTGCATCTATTTGATTCTTCTCTCTTTTTTTCTTTATTAGTCTTGCTAGTGGTCTATCAATTTTGTTGATCCTTTCAAAAAACCAGCTCCTGGATTCTTTAATTTTTTGAAGGGTTTTTTGTGTCTCTATTTCCTTCAGTTCTGCTCTGATTTTAGTTATTTCTTGCCTTCTGCTAGCTTTTGAATGTGTTTGCTCTTGCTTTTCTAGTTCTTTTAATTGTGATGTTAGGGTGTCAATTTTGGATCTTTCCTGCTTTCTCTTGTTGGCATTTAGTGCTATAAATTTCCCTCTACACACTGCTTTGAATGTGTCCCAGAGATTCTGGTATGTTGTGTCTTTGTTCTCGTTGGTTTCAAAGAACATCTTTATTTCTGTCTTCATTTTGTTATGTACCCAGTAGTCATTCAGGAGCAGGTTGTTCAGTTTCCATGTAGTTGAGCGGTTTTGAGTGAGATTCTTAATCCTGAGTTCTAGTTTGACTGCACTGTGGTCTGAGAGCCAGGTTGTTGTAATTTCTATTCTTTTACATTTGCTGAGGAGAGCTTTACTTCCAAGTATGTGGTCAATTTTGGAATATGTTTGGTGTGGTGCTGAAAAAAATGTATATTCTGTTGATTTGGGATAAGCAACTTCAGCAAAGTCTCAGGATACAAAATCAATGTACAAAAATCACAAGCATTCTTATACACCAACAACAGACAAACAGAGCCAAATCATGAGTGAACTCCCATTCACAATTGCTTCAGAGAGAATAAAATACCTAGGAATCCAACTTACAAGGGATGTGAAGGAAGTCTTCAAGGAGAACTACAAACCACTGTTCAAGGAAATAAAAGAGGATACAAACTAATGGAAGAATACTCCATGCTCATGGGTAGGAAGAATCAATATCGTGAAAATGGCCATACTGCCCAAGGTAATTTACAGATTCAATGCCATCCCCATCAAGCTAACAATGACTTTCTTCACAGAATTGGAAAAAAACTACTTTAAAGTTCATATGGAACCAAAAAAGAGCCCGCATCGCCAAGTCAATCCTAAGCCAAAAGAACAAAGCTGGAGGCATCACACTATCTGACTTCAAACTATACTACAAGGCTACAGTAACCAAAACAGCATGGTACTGGTACCAAAACAGAGATATCGATCAATGGAACAGAACAGAGCCCTCAGAAATAATGCCGCATATCTACAACTATCTGATCTTTGACAAACCTGAGAAAAACAAGCAATGGGGAAAGGATTCCCTATTTAATAAATGGTGCTGGGAAAACTGGCTAGCCATATGTAGAAAGCTGAAACTGGATCCCTTCCTTACACCTTATACAAAAATCAATTCAAGATGGATTAAAGACTTACATGTTAGACCTAAAACCATAAAAACCCTAGAAGAAAACCTAGGCATTACCATTCAGGACATAGGCGTGGGCAAGGACTTCATGTCCAAAACACCAAAAGCAATGGCAACAAAAGACAAAATTGACAAATGGGATCTAATTAAACTAAAGAGCTTCTGCACAGCAAAAGAAACTACCATCAGAGTGAACAGGCAACCTACAAAATGGGAGAAAATTTTCACAACGTACTCATCTGACAAAGGCCTAATATCCAGAATCTACAATGAACTCAAACAAATTTACAAGAAAAAAACAAACAACTCCATCAAAAAGTGGGCGAAGGACATGAACAGACACTTCTCAAAAGAAGACATTTATGCAGCCAAAAGACACATGAAAAAATGCTCATCATCACTGGCCATCAGAGAAATGCAAATCAAAACCACAATGAGATACCATCTCACACCAGTTAGAATGGCAATCATTAAAAAGTCAGGAAACAACAGGTGCTGGAGAGGATGTGGAGAAATAGGAACACTTTTACACTGTTGGTGGGACTGTAAACTAGTTCAACCATTGTGGAAGTCAGTGTGGCGATTCCTCAGGGATCTAGAACTAGAAATACCATTTGACCCAGCCATCCCATTACTGGGTATATACCCAAAGGACTATAAATCATGCTGCTATAAAGACACATGCACACGTATGTTTATTGTGGCACTATTCACAATAGCAAAGACTTGGGACCAACCCAAATATCCACCAATGATAGACTGGATTAAGAAAATGTGGCACATATACACCATGGAATACTATGCAGCCATAAAAAATGACGAGTTCATGTCCTTTGTAGGAACATGGATGAAATTGGAAATCATCATTCTCAGTTAACTATCTCAAGAACAAAAAACCAAACACCGCATATTCTCACTCATAGGTGGGAATTGAACAATGAGAACACATGGACACAGGAAGGGGAACATCACACTCTGGGGACTGTTGTGGGGTGGGGGGAGGGGGGAGGGATAGCATTGGGAGATATACCTAATGCTAGATGACGAGTTAGTGGGTGCAGTGCACCAGCATGTCACATGTATACATATGTAACTAACCTGCACATTGTGCACATGTACCCTAAAACTTAAAGTATAGTAATAATAAATTTTAAAAAGACAATACATGTTCAGTAGAAACCATTCTGTTTTTCATTTTCAGTACAGTATTCAATAAATTACATGAGATACTCAACACTTAATTATAAAGTAGGATTTGCATATGATGATTATGCCCAAGTGTAGGCTAATATAAATGTTCTGAACACATTTAAGGTAGGCTATGTTATGATGTTTATTAAGGTAGGTGTATTAAATCCATTTTTGGCTTAAAATATTTTCAGCATACATGGATCTATAAGGGCTTAATGCCATCATAAAGTCAAGGAACATTTCTACAATTTTTTTTTAACTTTCTCGGGTATATTCCTCAGATGATTCACAGAAAGTTGTTCATCTCCTGATTATCATGCTAAATGAAATTCTAGAAATGACATAATCTGTGTAACTACATTAAAAAATTTACCTATTTCTAAACTCCCAAACACATTAGAAAAATCATTTCAAATTGGCGAACTGCATGTTCTTTCTCCATCCCCTCTCCGTGTCCTCATATATTGCATCTTTGGCCTAGAACTACTTGTTCAATTTCTGTAATCTGTATTATCTTGTGATTTTAATTCAGCTTAATCATAGAACTGAAATGAATAAAACTTTGTTCAATTTATTCTCCAGACTATTTACAAATTAATTTACAATAGTAATTGCGGAATGTAATAATTTGACCCCTTTAAGGAACTTGTAGGCATTAGTCAATACTTGTGGATGGCAAATGTTTAGGAAAAGATTCTCCAAAGTCATTTTATGTCAATTTATGAAGCAGACCAAGAAAATTTTAGTAATGTTAGGATTGCTTTGGGGACAAGTAATACTGAATCGTCCTCTATTTGGGATTTTTCACAGTTTCCAGAAACATAGCATAACATAGCAATCAGAGATGCTTCTTGATTTATGATGGCATTACCTCCCAGTAAACCCATATTAAAGTCAAAACATCATAAGTCAAACCATTGTAAATTGGGAACCATGTAGATAGGAAACTAAAGGAACTTACTTCTGGAGGATCAAACCGCAAAAATGAAGCAGAAACTCTTTTTCTTTTTTTTTTTTTTGAGACAGAATCTTGCTCTGTCGCCCAGGCTGGAGTGCAGTGGTGTGATCTCTGCTCACTGCAGCCTCTGCCTCCCAGGTCCAGCGATTCTCCTGCCTCAGCCTCCTGGGTACTTGGGTTTACAGGCACCCACCAACATGCCTGGCTAAGTTTTGTGTTTTTTTTCGTGGAGACGGGGTTTCATCATGTTGGCCAGGCTGGTCGTGAACTACTGACCTCAGGTGCTAGGATTACAGGCACGAGCCACCACACCTTTTACTCACTGAGCTTTACCGGTGTCTTGAATCAAAAATTGTTCTAGAGCCCAAGATTTCACCCCTGTCTCTCTCTTCTCTCTAATCCCTTATCAACCTGGCAGAGAAAGTTCTCTGACTCCAGCACCTGACCTTTAACTCCTGCACACCTAAACTGAAAACTGGTTTCTTATGTTGATTTTCTCTCTAAACTTTAACCTTCCCTTGCTTCTAGTATTGTTTTTGCAGGGTGGCAAGCAGAAAATAACTGGTCTCAAAGTCTTGAATTCCTCATATGTTACGCAAACTTCATTTAAAGCCATTCTGGAAAAGCCGTCCACATGCCACCTACCCAGCAGTACTCTTTATTCTCTAGGGAAAAAAAGAGAGGACTGTTTGTGGTGCCTTGAATCCATACTGTTTTATACATCTATTTCTTGGTACATATTGTTCATGTTGTTTATCAAAGTCCTGCCTTTTGTCATAAGAGTTTCTTCATGAATGAATACAGGTGTTCCTGGGGAAAATATAAATATTGATAGATAATGTGTTCTGGCTGCACTTAAATGCCAAGAGATGTTTATGAAGCCAAGACAGGCAGGAAAAAACATACTCCTTTAAAATATTCTTTTCCTCTTTCTTTAGAGATATAAGCTTGACTTGTTCCATTGGGAGTATTTAATGGTCTAAATGAGAACAACTTTGCTAGAAGTAGAGCTAGAAGTGCAATCATTTTCCTGTCTAAGCACAGCACTTAACACAAGAAAAAAAAAATGACTCACAAGCATGAGACTAAATTTAATACCATCTTATATCCTCTCCCAACCAAGTAGAGAACAAAAGGCATTTCTCTAAGAAAAGGGGAAAAAAGCATATAGAATTTCAATCTTTCATTCTTCTAGACAGTGTAAGGTTGCACATCTAATGTGGGAAAGAAATTTGTATGTGTCAGTGGTGAGGAGGT
Source organism: Homo sapiens (assembly GCF_000001405.40). Classification (NCBI taxonomy): domain Eukaryota; kingdom Metazoa; phylum Chordata; class Mammalia; order Primates; family Hominidae; genus Homo; species Homo sapiens. The sequence goes on along the minus strand of NC_000004.12, from coordinate 166,232,882 downwards.
GCTGTATAAGCCTAATAACTTTTCTGAGTCCTCTGAGTCTTTTTTGCAAAGAATTGAGCCTAAGGGCAGTTTTGGGAACCCTCAAGAAAGTAAGATACCTTTCAACGTTTAGATTGTTCTTACCCTCTACAAATAACTTTAATTCACTGCCTGAATCACACCTCATGCAAATCTCAAATAAACAGTCATTGTATTATTTTGGTGCAAAAGTAATTGTGGTTTTGCCTTTACCTTTAAAGGCATTACCTAATAAATGAATTGCTTCATGAAGTAAAGGGGATGTATTAGTTTTCAAACTTATTTCAGCCATAAGGACATATATTCAACCAATAAAAGCAGAACTGCTCTGATGGAGAGGGTGAAAGTTGACAAGGAAAGCCCTCCACTTTGTGGGCAGTGGCGGCTGAAGCATCTGCACAGAGGTCAATAAGTCATATTTTGAAAGTCACTGAAAGGTTTGAAAATGACTTTACACATCAAGCCAAGATATCAGTGCTTGTGCATAAGTTTATGTAACCTATAAAAAATCATAAAACTGCAAGCCATTTCAACTGTAACTAGATGGAATTGTATCCGTGCACTACATATAAATGATGCAGAAATCCAGAGGATTGTTGAGTTTGAAATATCCCCTACATGAGAAAAGTATCTCCATAAAGAAATTTTCTTTATCGATAACTTTCAAAATTGAAAGAAAAGTTCATAAAATAACCAAATCATAAGAAAAAGAAAACCATTAAAATGTTTTGAATTCACAAAAACCAGATATCCAACAATAAAACTTCTTAGCCTGGTATGAAGCAATGTTGATTTACCCAATGGATATGATAACATTTTAAAGTACTAGAGAGGGAAGAGTCCCTTCGCAATATAAATGTTGAGACTTAAAAACTGCAGGTACTATAAAAGTAATGAAACAACTCTGGTAACATCCCCCTTGGTTAAAATGTGGTCATATTTTCTAGAAAATAAAACTGAAAACCAATGATATTCTATAATAGATTCAATTTGTTGTGTGTGCCTCGGGAAAAAAGTATCAGAGTATGTTCATGCGTTCGTGAAATATTTTACAGAAAAAAAAATTTGTCACTTCTTCTCCCATAACTGGTGCTGAAATAATTTTATGGATCATTCATTGTGTTAAGATGGACTAGAAATAAATTTATCTCATGCCATACATGCCATGCAATACAACTCATACCATGCAGTACAACTCAGATTTGCAAAGATATTTATTAATAGATGTAATCAATCCCACACTTTCCTAGAGCTCTCAGTTTAGGATACTATAGAGGAAAATGATAATTTGTGGACAGACTATTAACTTAGAAAAGTTTCCATGGTTATCAAACTGTTTTAAAATTTTTTAATTCCTCAAACTTTATAAAACTAAAACAAGAACAAAGAAACACCATACTGAGAAATGTGCAGAATGTTTTATCGCAATAATCTGGGTCTAGTTTTATTAAGTAACCTTGTGTCCATAAGTTTCCGGAGATAGAAAAATAAAACATCGCTGCCCTTGTGGAATTGATACTCATCTAATTTTATTTTAACATAATTAATATTTTAAAACATATATAAAGTTGGTATATTTGTAGATAGCTTCCATAAGTAGAAAAATAAGTAGATTTCATTTTTAAAAGGAGAAGGGAGACACTTTGTCTAAAGATAAAATTATTAGATGAGAAACAATTTCTGTACAATTCAAGCAAATAAGACCTCCTTTGCTAGAATGCCTGAAGTGACCGTATGTTAGAGAGCTTCCTAACAATGATTCATATTTTTAAAACAATTTTCTAATGCAATTCTGCCTCTGAATGCTTTGCTTACATCATCCTATACTTCTCATAAAGATAGTATTACTTGGAGAAAAAAAGCAGTAGCTTCAGGGTCCAGAAGTTAGATGAATGAAAACAATAGGAATGGTAAGGACAACTCAAGACCTTGTGTAACCATTTCTTCAGTCTGAGTCTTCACAACCTCCTCACACTAGTTTTATGTTGTCTCCTGAGGCTGCAAAACACTGTCTTTAAATAGTAAAGTTCTATGTAAAGTTAATAATATATTTAAGCACTCTCATTCAGAAGAAAAAAGCCTTAGGGAAACTAAAGTAAAAAAGTAGATAATCTTTTTGAAATTTAAAAAAAAAAAGTTCTTGATTCTCAGTGTAACTCTCTATGGAAGTTTTTTTATTGAAAAGTAATATTTTATATTCCATGTTTTTGCTTCATGAAATTCAGGAAGATAATCAAAACAAAATAAAAATGTCAAACATTTCAAATTATGTTTTTCTTTAAAAGGGATAGATTACTTCATTTTTTTCTTCAAGATAATATGTAGTCATAAACACTGGAGCTAGTAGGAAGATGCTTTCCATTAACTGGATAATATACAAAAAGCAAGACATTCTAAATATGCAAGTTTAAATAAAAGATCTCATTGCTTAAAATACACAAGTTTTCGTTGAAGACTTCCTTCTCATAAACTATATAGCAAAGAAAGACAAATGCAAGAATTTTTTAAATCAAATTTACTTGCTGAGGCAATTCAACTTTCCAAAGAAACAGGAAGTTAGAAAACATATAGGCCTGGTGCGGTGGCTCACACCTATAATCCCAGCACTTTGGGAGGCTGAATCACAAGATCAGGAGTTCGAGACCAGCCTGGCCAACACAGTGAAACCCCATCTCTACTAAAAATACAAAAACTTAGCTGGGCATAGTGGCAGGTTCCTGTAATCCAAGCTACTCAGGAGGCTGAGGCAGAAGAATCGCTTGAATCTGAGGAGGCAGAGGCTGCAGCCAGCCAAGATCATGCCACTGCACTCCAGCCTGAGTGACAGAGTGAAAGTCCATCTCAAAATAAATAAATAAATAAATAAATAAATAAATAAATAAATAAAACTGATAATCTGATAATATATGTATGTGTTGGGTGCAATTTAGAACTTTTATTATTCTAAGAACACTACAAGAGCAGTTAAAGCCATGGCTTCTCAAATTGGCATGTCCAACCCCCTTATTGTCTCCTATTCCCCCCAGAGTATCAGATGCATCATATAAAAACTGTCATTTTTATATACATGCTCCCTGAGACAGGGCAGCTGTGGTTCTACCTCTTTGACCAGTTATTTTATATTTATTTTTAAATGTACATATTTATTTGAGAGCTGAATTGTGTATACTCAGTATTTTTTATTGATGAGGCTGAGGAAGGGGTAGGGAACAGTGAAGGCAGGATTCCATGAACACAGTCCAAGAGTACCTGTAAGACTAAAGGAACCTAGAGGCTATCAGCAAGTGAGTTAAAGGACCTTTCTTTTTGGCATTGATCCCAACCTGAGAAGAAGTAATCATAAGAGACTGAGGTATACGGGGAAAAGGAAGAAGAATATCATTAATGTTCTAAGATAATGTCATGGGGATAAATACTTAAGAGCTCTGTTCTATACCTTTTTATTTATAAATAATATTAATAGTACATTAACATGATCAAATACAGAAAATATATATTTGTTTTTGAGACAGAGTCTCGCTCTGTCACCTAGGCTAGGCTGGAGTGCGGTGGCACAATCTCGGCTTACTGCAACCTCTGCCTCCTGAGTTCAAGCAATTCTCATGTCCCAGCCTCCTAAGCAGCTAGGATTATAGGCACCCCCTACCACGCCTGGCTAATTTTTGTAGTTTTAGTAGAGATGCTGTTTCACTAAGTTGGCCAGGCTGGTCTCAAACTCCTGGACTCAAGTGATCTGCCCACTTTGGCCTCCCAAAGTACAGGGATTACAGGCATGAGCCACTGTGCCCAGCTGGAAAGCATGTTCTAATCTTGACATTGCATAATCTCTAGGTCACTACTTGGTTGCAAAATACTTATTTTAATATCATACTGAGTATAAAATGATAATCTAGTTTAGAATTGTTATGACTTTATTCTTGGTGAAAATAATCTATGAAGCTGTTATTATGTCGAATTTTATTATTATACGTATATTTCATGCCAAGTTACTATATCTGTCTTCTTCAGAAAACAAACACAACAAAGGATTCTATTACCCATTATTTGGTTCTTTGCTCTCTATGTACAACCATAAGTTCGGTATCAAAAAGTTAGAATAAAGAATATCATTGACACCATACAGGATACCATCAAATTATTTAAAAGTGTTCAGTAATCATTTTCTCCCTTTTACTCAAGTAAAAAATCTTATTATTGAAATAATTACATATTGTATGACTTCAGAGATAAAATCATCACATAATTAAGCTTATTATCATTCAAGCCATGTGATACTTGCATATATTTCCTAGTCACTAACTGAGTTTATATCACTAAAAACATTCTTGGATTAAAAAAGAGTTTAGTATTGACAGAGGATTCTTAGGGTGTCACTTCACCAGCAGGAAACCTCTGTGGCTGACACTACCTGTGCTTAAGTTTTGCTCACCACCGCTAGCCTCGTTCTGCCCACTCGACCCAAGCTGGCTGAGCTTGGCTTGCACCACTGGCCCGGATCCCATGCCTGCCAAAGGCATGTCAGGCACCGAGAGGCAAGGGATGTATGAGCAAGCAAGCGCAGGGTCCGGCCACTGCACACAGCCAGGCATGCCGGCTGCTGCGGCAGGTTGGGTGGTCCCAGGCACCAGCACCCATGCTGGCTCTGTGCAAGGATACAGCTGGAATAGATGTGCTGCAAGCGGCTTCCACTGTGGGCACTCACATCTAGACAAGGGGAACATAGAGGCACCTGGCAGCTTGGAGACACCAAGAACTGCAGAGCCCCAAAGAGGATGTCATAGCCCTGGCTCGGGGAGCCCCTAGGTCTGGGCTCCCTGAAGGGCCACAGCTCTTCTTTCCTTCTCGTCACCAGCAACATGGCAAGCAGGGGAGGTGTATGTTTCAGCCATTTGTGTTACAGTTCTTTCAGTCCCTCCATTCAGCAGGTCCCAAGTTCTTGTCCCATGTCTGAGAAGAATGAGATACATGGACAACTGGAGCAAGGTGGAGAGGAGCATCATTGAGCGACAGAACAGCTCTCAGAAGACCCAAAGTTGGTAGCTCCTTTCCACAGGCAGGATGTCCCAATGAGTATCCAACTCTCAGTGGAGAGGAGACTCATAGTGGGTAGCTCCTTTTCTCAGGCAGATCATCCCAACAAGTGTGTGAGTCTGGCTAAATCTGGGGTTTTTATATGCTCACAATTGAGGAAGTGCATACTGACTGGTCCATGAGTGGCCATGGGCAGGCCTAGAAAAAGTACCATTCAATTGGCCAAATGGTCATCAATGAAATTCTCACTCTGTGCTGCAGACTTTGCCTGGAACTGACAGCCTGGCCCCCAGCCTTCAGGCCATCCCTGGATTGAAGGTGGGGTTTTACCAGGGACCCGCCACTTCCTGCCTGGGAACTTGTCTGCCTTTAGCATGCAATCCATGGCGTCCAGGCTGTCTGCACCAGGAAGCACCTGCAGGCCCATACCAAGCCACCCTCAGCATCCCCAGCCCATCTCCCATGCTCGTTGGTGCTCAAAGTCCAGAGGCAGCCAAGGCAGCAGTGGGCTGGTGTGTCAGCACTTCCCTGAGTGCACACACACCCGGCCAGGTTGTGACAGTCACAACTTTGCTCTGCCCTGAAGTGGGTGCCAGGAGCAGGAAGAGTCAGGGAGCAAGAGCAAGCACTTTCAAGGTTGCAGGGGCAGGGGGTTTCCTGGGTCCCCAAGAGCTCAGGGATGCTGGGGTGGCTGTGGCTGTGCCAGGGAGCACAGACTCCTGCCCCGCCAACTCAGGAGGCAGGGCTCTCGCCTGTTCCCAGCTCCCACTGGTTCCACAGAGTACACAGCCCCACTTGTGCCTCCCCCACTGCAGCCAGTATCCTCACAGTGGCCGCTCCATATGGGCCATTGTCACCATCACTATTGTTGAAGTTCATAAATATACAATTCTTGAAAAAAGCAATTGTAGTTTTGATATTTTCATTAACTTCTTTGTACTAGATAAAATGTGAATTAAGAAGGTGCTATGATTTGAATGTCCCCTCCAAATTTCAGCTCATGTTGAAATGTAATTGACATTGTAGCAGTATTAAGAAGTGGCACCTTTAAGACATGATTAGTCCATGAAGGCCTGTGCCATCCCAGTGTGGTATTACAGCCATTATAAAAGGGTGAGTTCACCCCCTCCTGCTCTGTCACCATTTTGTCTTTGCCAGGCATGCAATGACACTGCAAGAAGGCCCTGACCAGATGCCAGCACCAAGATATTGGACCTACCAGTGCAATCTGCAAGACCAAAATACATGCCCCTTTATCAGGTCAGATGGACACTAAGGTTATGGAAACAAAGTCATCTATTAGTTGAAGATTCAAGGCATCCAGCATGGTAGCTCCCTAAACTCCAATGGCTAAACTCCCTAAAAATAGAAATTATCAAGCCCTTTCTAACTCTGATTTACAACCCAGAGCAGACAACTCTGATCAGACAGAGGACTGGCCTTAAAAACGTTCTTTTCTGATAAGCTACTGCAGACCTAAGCCAGTTTCAGCCAGCTTATAGAGGGTGTACACTAACCATCTTTATGTTCTGTAGTTCACTTTTTGACATAAAGAGCCAAATTTTACCTCATTTTATTGCCCTCCACCCCAAAGTGAACATGGGATGTATGTTTTATGTGAGGCACAAAACCAAGCTGCTCTTCACCTCATCAAAGAGAGAGCACCTTTGGCACATGCTGAAGACTGTTTCTTCCCCATTTGCAAACTAATATCACCAATAAAGCTTTCCTTTCTACTATTTAGCCATCCTGATGGTCTTTTGGATGGCATCAGCCTCCAGAACTGTGAGCCAATAAATTTCTGTTTATTATAAACTACTCCATCTGTGGTATTCTGCAACAGCACAAAATATATTAAGACAGAAATTGATACCAGAGAAATGGAGTGTTGATTTAACAAATACCTGAAAATGCAGGAATGGCTATGAAACTGGGTAGTGAGTAGACACTGGAAAAAACAAACAAACCTGTATTTCCATGAATGAAGCATGTAGGGTAATTCTGTTCAGGGCTCAAAAGAGGAAAGGTGTAAGAAAGGTCTCAAACTTCTTAGAGATTACATTACTGGTTAATATCAAAATGTTGATAGAAATATGAACATTGAAGAACATTCTGATGAAGTCTTAGAAATGAGGAATATCTTATTGGAAACTGGATAAAGGGTCACCCTGTTACAAAATGTCAAAGAAATTGGCTGGCTTGTGTTCCTGCCCAAAGGCTTTATGGAAGACAGAATTGAAGAGCAATGAACTAGGGTATCTGATGGAAGAAATCTGTAAGCAGCAAAGCTTTCAGGGTGCTGTGTGACTCCTTTTAATTGCATATAGTAAAATGTGAGAAGAGAGAAATGATTTAAAGATGGAATTTATAATTAAAAGTAAAACAGAATATAAAGATACAGAAAATTTCCAGCCTGGTCAGGTAAAGAATGAAAAGGCTTGTTTAGGAGAGAAAACCAAGGGTATGACCAAGCAGCCTTTTGATAAGATTAGTTTGAATAGAAGAAAGCCAGGTGCTACTCATCAATACAATGGAAGAATGATCCCAGAGATATTTCAGAAATCTTCAAAGCTGGCCCTCCCATCATAAGCCTGGAATGCTAGGACATTGAAAGCAGAAAAATTTCAAAGGAGAGGCTTAACATGCCCATGGAAGCTTAGCATTCACTGCCCTGTACTACCTCAAGTAACTGCTCCCCACATTCTAGTACAGCATTCCTCAGCCATCCCAGCCATGGCTCCAGCCATCCTAGGTTGGCTCCACCTGTTGCTCTCGCAGGTACAGGTGATGAACCTCACCAGTGTCCACATAGTTTTAATTCTGTGGGCACACAGAGTTCATGAGTTGGGGAGTAGTAGATGATTCCACCTAAATTTCAAAGGATGCTATGGAGACCAGAAACAAGGGTGGAGTAGCCACAGAAAGTCCACAGGGGTGGGGGTTAGGGGTTGCACCACACCTGAGACCCAGTATTATATAAACACTAAACTACACCACCAGCCTGGAAGAGGTATGGGCAACCTATTAGAGCTACTGCATGAGCTGAGCCTAGCAAAGCCATAGAGGCAATACTCCCTAAGGCCTTGGGAGCCCAAACCCCACCCTAAAGAGCCCACAAGGCAGGACAGGAAATCAGAGATTTTCTACAGGCTAAAGATTTAATGTTGTTTACACTATTGGGTTTTGGACTTACTTAGAACCTATTTGTCCTTTTTTTGTGTAATTCTCCCTTTTAAATTGGGAATATTTATTCTGTGTCTGTGCTATCATTGCATTTTGGAAGTAGATAACTACCATGCTTGAGTTCACAGTCTCACAGCTAGAGGGGAATTTGTCTCAGGATGAATTGCTCCTTAAGTCTCATCTTTGTCTGATTTAGATGAGACTTTGGACTTGGACTTCTGAGTTGATGCTGGAACAAGTTAAAACTTGTGGGGCTTTTAGGATGGAATCAACGTATTTTATATGTGAGAAGATGAGTTTTGAAGGGCCAGGGATATGGTTTGAATGTTTGTCTCCTTTAAAACTCGTGTTGAAATTTAATTGCCATTTTCACAGTATTAAGAGGTGGGACCTTTAAGAGGTGATCAGACTGAAGACTCTGCCCTTATGGGTGTAATGGCATAATAAAAAGGTGAGTTTAGCCCCTCCCATTCTCTCATCCTCTCACCTTATGCCATGTAATGACATTATAAGAAGGTCCTCACCAGATGCTGGTACCTTGATATTAGACTTCCCAGCCTCCAGAAGTGTCAATCAATACATTTTCATTCATTATATGTTACCCAATCATCCGTGGCTTTCTGTTATAGCAGCACAAAATGGACAAATACAGAAGAGAATCAATATTTCACAAAATATGCATGTTTAACCCCTTCCTAAATTTCATACTGAAATGACTAAATCAATATAAAAAAGATACAGACCTGTTTAAATCCAGAAACCATTTTACAAATGTATCCAAAACTTTAAGTTACCATCATGATGGTACTGGTAGAGCAATTTGGATGAAAGTTTCAATCCTCTCAACATCTTATTAGGGGTCTCCACTCTCATTGAGAAGACCACCTGTTGTGAACTGATACATGTGACAAAGCCCAATGCCCACCAGCTCCAGGAGCACACTTGCAGAAAAGTCCTTCTACCTACTGAAGTTGAAATTATAAAAGAATATTGAGCAGTACAAGATGTATGAGGAGGATAAACATCTCGAAAGAGGGAAGCCAAACTGAGCACCAATCATAATAACTAACAGTAATTGAGTGCTTATAATGTGCCAGGCATTCTACTAAGTGCATTTAAATACATTATTTCATGTAATCTTTGCAAGAAGTCCAATTAACAAGTGAGTTTAAATAACTTGCTCAATGTCACCAGGCAAATGAGACATTTAGCTGGGATCTGAATTCATGCAGTCTGACTCCATCCAGAACCTTGTTAACCGCAAAGCTGGTTGGTCTCATCCCTAATGCATATTATAATTACCAGGGATAGCAGTTAAAAAAAAATAGTTACTTTTTAATTTAAAAGAAAACCTTACCCCCAATTTTAGATCATTCAAATCGAAACTTTTTTAAGCTTCTAAGTTGATTCTAATGTGAAGCCAATGAGAATTACTGTACTCATGGCTATATTGTGAAGATCAAATAATTTTTTATTAAGAATGATTGTTAGAAACAAAAAAAAAATAAAATTTTATTATTTTATTTTCAATGACAGTCAAAGAGGACACTGAGACAATAGATGTTTGCTGATTTTGTCTGCCTGGAATTTATTCTCTCTTCTTATAATAGCATTATAATTATGATTGGGAGAAACACTTTTCATCTAATCAGGTGATGAGTGTTCTACCATAAAGGATGGCATTCTCTTCCCTAGCCAAAGAGTGAACATCCATTCAGAAATAATTCAATTTGGAACTTACTTCCAGAAATTTGTATCTTGAAAAATGAAACAACAAGATAAAAAGGTTGGGCCTAATTTATCTTAACATTGGTGTCCTAAAGAGTCTTTCCTTGAGCATAAATCTGTAGGGATTATTTGTTTTTATATTCTCATTAGGTAATTTTTATAATCTTTCCTTACATATACACAAGCATACACATCTATGTGTATATAATATGTATGTATATATCTACATATACATATTTTTTCTTTTGTACATTATTCTGAGTCAATTTCTCTTTCTTGAAAAAAAAAAGAGGAACTTTAGCTATAACACATATTTGTGCCAGAACAGACTTCAGGCAATAAATCTTTAGAGAAATTAATAATTTAATTAGCTATGTCACAATAGAGTATCAGGGTGGAATGTGATATTAACCTATAAACACAAACTATGAACAGAGGTTTATTTCTGTTTGCTTTGAGTCAGCCGTGTATTCACTTCAAAATAGAGATTTTTTAAATGATCAGAAATCTTGAAGTATGTGTCATGTTGATTACCTTTATAGCATTGTATAAATCAAAGCAAAATTTTAAAAACAGCAAAATCTCTATATTCTAGTTTGAAATTAGATAATGGAAGTTTCTCATCATGTTATAGTAATCTCTTATTAATATCCCCTTAGAGCTGATATCACCAACATACAAGTATTATGATTGAATCTAACTAAGTGCTGCTAAATTACAGAATCCATGATTTAACAGTCTTACCAAGTTATGTAAAAACTTTATATTTAAGATACTATCTACTTTATGAAATAGATAGGATCCTAACAATTGGAAAAGGTATATCTGAGGTGATTTGCTATGAAGCAATTGAAATAATTAATAAAGATTTTCCGATTTATTTTTTAACCCAAAACTTATTGAAGGAACTTCCATAAAGAACACTGAACATTAGAACAGATGACTATTCAAAAAAGATGATGAGAGCAAAGGGTATGAAATCAGATTTGAACAAAGACAGAGAAAGGAAAAGAAAGATCATATAAAACCATCTCAAATACAAGGTGGTATTAGAAATATTAAATGAAAGAATAGAATTAGGGGAAATCATCAGAAGATATATATAAAACAATATAACAATTGAAACAGTTATGAGAAAAGAGTTAACATAAGTTAAAGACAAAATAAGAATACTGAAGTTAGATAGAATAGATCCAACATGCACCTAGTTAATTTCCCATGGAAAATAAACAAGAATGGAGTAGAGCAACTATTTAAAATTATAATTTAAAAGAGCCTTCTAAAATGAAGTAGACATGTAACTTCACTTTGAAGAAAATCCGGGAAGAAGTTACCCAGAACATTCAACACTAAGATTGCTGGTCCCAAAAGATAGATAATCTTACAGACAGTGAAGAAAATTGAGCAGTGAATTATTAGGAGGGAAAGCCAACCCAACTTCAATTTTCTCAGAGCCACATTTATCACCATTAGGCAATGAAGGGCACTTAACAAACACACAAGGAGAAAAAGTACATAAGTCAAGGATTTTGTGCCTAGCCAAACTCTCAAGTATAAAGACCAGTTACAAATAGTTTTGAAGCTGGAAAATCTCATGAATTGCTTTTCCTATGGGTACTTATCGGAAAAACTACTGGAGATTTCATTTTGGACAACCAAGTAGTGACTGAATAACTTACCACAAAAGGAATCAGGAATGAGCATTGAATATATTTAACAGTCCAACTCACGCTAAGACTAATGTGTTTTATTTAACACATAAAAGTGAGGATTACATAAATAAAATGAAATAAAAATTTTGTATGCAATATTAATACTGAAATAGATTTTAAAAATTGGAAGAAAAAGAAGAAAGTTAGAATGCTTGTGGCCACATTTGTAAAAGAGGGAAGTCAAAGTTACTATATCAAACGGACAAATTATGAAATACCAATAATGGCAATTTATCAGCTATAGATGGGTCTAACTTAAATACAGGAAAGTCACTAATTTTAAAAGTACAATTTGATGAGATATGACAAGTGCAGAGTCAGGGAACTACCACCATAATCAACAGAAATAGATGAAATTAAGCCTAGTAATATCAACATTAAAATAATCATTAAAAACTGTTTTATATGCTTTCATGCACATGCACTTGAAAAGATGGATAATTATAAAATTTTATAGAAATATAATTTAAGAAAACTAGATGAGAGAAGAGAAAAAAGTTCAATTTGGAGAAATGGAAAAAGCTATAAAGTTATAATTTCCCACAAAGTTCAATGCCTATATGATTTTATAAAGAAATTCTAACAAATTGTATAGAGCAAATAATTCTAGAAAAACACTAAAAAGTTATTTTTTACAATTAACTATAATACTCATAAAAATTGAGGAAAGATTGATCAAATTTAATAGTACAAAAATCAAATATATGGAATACAGCAGATTATATAAAGTGTACAAACCCACTACATTAAAAATATTTTTGAAATTCACAAAGAACATATTATTTTTTGTCAAAAACTGAGACTCCATGTTTTCAAAATTATAACACCATAAAAATGCCAATCCTCCATCAGTTAATTTATAAATTCATAGTAAACTCTAAAATTAATATACATTTTATTGTCAAAACAATGAAGCCTAAATTTTGACAAAAACAAATATTTCTTTTAAAAAATCGGTGATAAAGTACTTACTTTATTAGATTTTAGAACATACTAGAAAGTGTCAGTGATTAAAATATTGAAGGAAGAGAGGAAAAATAGAGGTTAAGGCTGTCTCTGGAACAAAACAAAGAACTCTCCCTGACTAGGGAGGAAAAAAAATTTCCATTTAAGAATTTTCCTATTTTATGACTGATTTTTAATTAAATAAGTTTATTAAGTGAGGAAAACATGAATCAATGTTAGATTTATTGTTGAGTCTTCCAGTTTTGTGTTCTTCATTTACTCAGATTTTAAAAATATTTTATTAAAGTTTTATACTTTTCTAATAAAGACCTTGAGCACATCTAATGTTTATTCCTAATTATCTCATAAGTTTCCTCCTTTGTTTGAGTTTGATATTTTTCCATTGCATTTTTAGTGGTTTGTTGGGAAGATTTAAAAACCCACTATTTTTACATAGGTATCTTATATCTGGTCAACTTAAAGAAAAAAACAGGTCATTTAATGCCATTTTAATCCTTCCAATCTAAAGCCTGAACTAGTTGAAAATTACTAAGGCATCACTTCTAGCTAAGCCTACAGAAGGAAGGACACAACATGTATCCTTAAATATTTTTCTATTCTATTTATTTAAAGAATTTACCTGGAGCAATGTCACATCCCCAGGGCAATTCTGGGAAGGATGAGAAACAGATCCTTGAAAACTTTTCTTGTCTGAATTTTACATCTTGAACCCTCATGAAATCAGATATCTGCAGCACTTTATAAAGGGAATATTTGCCTCTCTCCTGTCTGTACTTCAAAAATCGTACGTAAAACTTTAAAGTCAGTTAAAATCTTTCATATAAGAATGCTTCTCTTGGAGAATCCTTTCAACTTAAGAAGGCATGAAGCTGCAGAAAACCATTACCTTTAGAGTTATAGTTTTCAGTTCAACTGTTAGTATTGATAAAGAATAGTTGTCTAGGAGTCAGTGAATTTCATTTGTTCACAAATGAAATTGTTTCATAATGTGCTAAATCTCAGTATTTATGTATTCATGTTACAGGAACATCTTAATACATAACCTCAGGTGGGTAAGTGCTACTCCATCAATATGTTCATTATTTCCAGAGAGGCAAAGCAGGGGGAAAAATAGGCCAAAGTCCCCAAATTAGTGGTAAACATTTGCCAAATATTTTGCAAGTTACTGATCAATAAATGTCATATTCAAAACCATGCCTTCTATTCTAAGAACATATATATGTGTGTATTTATATATAGCAAATATATATGTTCTTAGAGTATACCCAAGATTTTAAAAAAAATTTATTTTTATTCTACCCTACCAAACCCTATCAGTCCCTTGGTCAAAATGTCATTTTCTATTAAAAAATACAGTTTGTTTCTCTTTGGCATTATTTTAGTCTGCATATATTTACCAAAAATAGCAAAGTATAATGCATTTTATAAGGTTAAAATATTTTACCTTGAAGAAACTTGGCAATTATGATTCTACATCAAGACACTATCTATTATTAAGTAAACAGACAGGACAACAAGAGAAAAACAAAGAACAAAATGATGGAAAATTATCTACATTTCTCCTCTTCAATATGTAATAATCTGTAAATATAAAGAAAAAATACTAAATGAATAAATGATTATTTTAATAAAACTGAAGTTTATTTTTAGAATTTTTTTGAGGAAAAAGACTGGAGGGTTTTACATTTTATTGTCCTTATTTCACACACAGAGGGGAAGCGGGGATTTTTGAAGCTAATGAGCTAAGAATTTATTCAATTCTGAAAATGATTAACAAAATGCAGACCAAAATTATAAAAAATATGGAAAACTATATGAAAAATTGGCACATATATATAAAAAAAACCCAGAACTCAGTTCTGGATAATAATAATTAAATTATTTCAGAATAACTTCAAGTAAAATATACAATAGGATGAGAAATATAGATTTTTCTTACTCCATCTTGTAATTACCAAACTAAGAGTCACCCTAAAATCAAAATTAATAGAAAATATTATTTTATCCCATGGGTATTATAGGTATTAAACTAACTTCCCATAAGAGACTCAGCAGGTAAAAAGAACTTAGACAAATAACATACTCTTAGAGTTATTCTGAAATACATCCTTCAAATTTTAAGATGGTTTACTTAGAGCTCTCATTAAATGGTACTTGGTGCCACTGGCAGGTATTATATTGTGATTTCTGATGCAAGCAAATGGTAGATCATGGTAGTGCAGAAAGCCTCCTATTAAGAATACCTAGTAGCCAGGAGTGGTGGCTCACACCTGTAATCCCAGCACTTTGGGAGGCGTAGGTGGGAGCATCACCTAAGGTCAGGAGTTCGAGATCTGCCTGGCCATGATGGTGAAACCTCATCTCTACTAAAAATACAAAAATTAGCCAGGCGTGGTGGTGGGCACCTGTAAACCCAGCAACTTGGGAGGATAAGGCCAGAGAATCGCTTGAACCCAGGAGGCAGAGGTTGCAGTGAGCTGAAATCGCGCAACTGCACTCCATCAATACTAGATACAACCTGAAATATAGTAATAATAAATGTTTAACATAAAAATAAAAAATGTAAATGATCTTCAGATGTTTAAAAAGAAAGTTTTCCTCTAAAAGTCCAAATTATCTGTGAAAATATAAAGGCAAAATACTAACTAAATGAATGTTTTAATAAAGCTTATTTATTATTTAGATTTCTTCAAAATATTTGAAATTGTAATTAACATAAAATAGCAAAAATTACACTTAATATTTTATATTTATGTTTATAGTATTTTATATTTTCATACAAATATACTATTCACAACTCTAGCATTAATGTCCCTCTCATTTTTCAATTTTAAATAGATAAGGGTAATGATGTACATATATACAGAATATATTAAATATAAATATAGTAATATATTTATAAAATGTTAATGAGATGGAGGAAATATACACATATATGTACACACACAAACACACACATTATCTATTTATTTGCAGGACATACGAGTTGTTTCAAATTTAACATTCTTAAGTGGTAGGAGCAATTTTTGGGTAAACTGAGTCAATTCAAAAATATTGTTAGACTCCTATTGAAACACAAAGAAAACAAGGACATGTTGCTTTGTATAACTGGGAAATAGTTCATACTTCAAGAATTATTGCATAGATTAAGCAATGTGTATAGGTAACCTCTATAAAGCATGTGACTCAAAACAGGCTTCTTTCTTGTCCAGGAGCAAGGATGGAAATGGGTAATGGGGAGAAAGAAACGGAAATTCATTCTTGAGAGATACTTCAATAACTCATCTTTCTATTTCATGCCCCAGTGAAAGAGAAAGGTGGATATTAAATATGAGATCCCATACATGTAAAACATTATAAACACATATAATGGGCTATTAAAATAGACGTTTTAAGTACAATTATAGTAGATGTAAAATTAACACAGAAAGATCCTTAAGTGTAGAATTTACTATGCAAATGTCTATCCAACTACATCAAGAACATATAGAGGTTAGACTGTGATGAAGGAATAGAATCTGTGAAGAGATTTTTTTGGAGATTCTTTGCCAAGCAATGAGACCTGCTTACTGCATCGGAGAAATAGAGAACATTCAGTAAATTAAGATATTAGAAAGAAATTTCAAAAATAATATAAAATAAAATGCTTAAAATAGTTGAGGAAAGTGTTATGAGTACATAGATATAAGGAAAAAATAAGTGAGTGAAAAAGCATAACATTAGGATACATATCATGTTTTAAGAAAACATAAAGATTCAAAGATCTACAACTAGCTATTTTTAATTAGATTAAATGGCAAATAGGATGAAATATTAACTTCCTAATTAGGTAACAACCATTGTTCAAATGCACATACCTTATCGCAAAGAGAAGACACACAGAAAAATGAAGAAAATAAAATATTTTTAATAGAGGAACTTTGTTGCAAACATTCCAAAGAAAGATCATATTAAGTACCTAAAACTTTGGCACAGAAGATACGATTGATATGACTTCTTTTAATTTTTTCTTGCAACTCATTAGTATGCAACTAATGTTCATATAGACTGAAGGTAGGCATACATAATTTAAATGTATTTCTAAGTGCATACTAATTCTAATGAGCCTTATCTGTAAACTTTATTATCTACCAAAGTCAACTGTTAGCAATGTTAGCCCTGGTCTCAGGAGACATCTAAAGTTGGATTGTGCAAAACTTATATATTCATTGCTTCCTCAACTTGACAGTTTCCAACTATCCTGAAAAAGCAATGGCTTTCGGCAGATTGTTCTGGCTATTAGCTTTATATACTCTTTTCTGTATATGTTAACTTGAAAGCAGTTTTTTATCAGTTGCATAAATCACAGCCATTTCTAAAGTGAAGAAAATAAACCACCTGACTGCACTACAAAAGCAATTGTAGATCTTCAGAAACACTATCAAATACTTCACAAATATAACCAAATAAGACATGCATAAATCTAAGCTATCGCAGTTTCCTCAGGGCAAATATAAAAAGATAAGACTCTGAATTGTGCATAAGCAGCTTGATTTCATTTTAAAGAGTTCTTTTTAAAATCAACTGACGGATGCACTGTCAGGAAAATAGTTATAATAAATTTGAGGACCAGTTTGAAAGTTTTTCACAAGGTGTGGAATGCTTATTAACCTACTTTGGTATTCACTAACAAAATGAATAGAGCCAAATATAAATTGACAATTAAAACTTAACTGCAGACCAAATATTTAAAAATAAAAAAGGAACTATTAATTAAAGCATGAAGCCCTCTATATTTTAACAGAAGATCAATTTGTAACAGTAGTTTTACTCCAACATATAGTGTTAAAAAGATGTCCAAGTAAAGTTAAATATACAATTATTTAAAATTGGGACTTTTTTCCGTAGCGTAGTGGGTTTTGTGGAACACATGTACCACGTGATCATTTGTGAAAAACTATTTGGAGTCATGTATGTTTAGAACTTACAAACTGAGAGGCAAGTTAGTGCTTAGAAGGGTAGGTTCTAGAGCGAATTGTCTGGATTATAATTTTAGTTCTGCCACTTTCTAGTTCCTAACCCTTGTATAATTTAAATATTGTTGTGTCTTCAGTTTCCTCATCTTTAAAATTGAAATAAAAATAGTGCATTTCTTAGGTAAGTATTGTTAGTATTAAATGAATTAATATGTGAGCAACTATAACAAACACCTGGTACAATGCCTAATTCATAGTAATGTTGGTGATACGGTTGGGCTGTGTCCCCACCCAAATCTCATCTTGGATTGTAGTTTCCATAATCCTCATGTGTCAAGGGAGGGACCAGGTGGAGGTAATCGGATCATGGGTTTGGTTTCTCCCATGTTGTTCTCATGATAGTGAGTGAGCCTCATGAGATCAGATGGTTTTCATAAGCATCTGCCGTTTTCCCTTGCACTCATTCTCTCTACTGCCGCCTGTGAAGAGGTTCCCTCTGCCATCATTGTAAGTTTCCTGAGGCCTCCCCAGACATGTGGACTGTGAGTCAGTTAAACCTCTTTTCTTTATAAATTACCCAGTCTCAGGTATTTCTTCATAGCAGCATGAGAACAGACAAATACAGTACATTGGTACCAGGTAGTGGAGCCCTGCAGTAATGATACCCGAAAATGTGAACATGACTTTGGAACCGGGTAACAGGCAGAGGTTGGAACACTTTGGAGGGCTCAAAAGAATACAGAAAGATGTGAGAAAGTTTGGAACTTCCTAGAGACTTGTTGGATGGCTTTGACTAAAATGCTGATAGTGATAGGGACAATGAAGTCCAGGCTGAGGTGGTCTCAGATAGAGATGAGGAACTTGTTGGGAACTGGAGCAAAGGTGACTCTTGCTATGTTTTAGCAAAGAGATTGGTGGCATTTTGACCCTGCCCTAGAGATGTGTGGAACTTTGAACTTAAGATAAATAATTTAGGGTATCTGGCAGAAGAAATTTCTAAGCAGTAAAGCATTCAAAATGTGACGTGGGTGCTCTTAAAAGCATTCAGTTTTATATATTCACAAAGATATGGTTTGGAATTGAAACTTATATTTAAAAGGAAAGCAGAGCATAAAAGTCTAGAAAAGTTACAGCCTGATGACACAGTAGAAAAGAAAAACCCATTTTCTGAGGAGAAATTCAAGCCAGCTGCAGAAATTTGCATAAGTAATGAATAGCAAAATGTTAATCTCCAAGACAATGGGGAAAATGTCTCCAGGACATGTCAAAGGTCTTCACAGCAGCCCCTCGCATCACAGGCCCAGAGGCCTAGGAGGAAAAAATTGTTAGGTGGGCTGGGCCCAGGGGCTTACTGCTTTGTGCAGTCTCAGGACTTGTTACACTAGGTCCCAGCCATGGATAAAAGGAGCCAATGTACAGTGCAGGCCTTTGCTTCAGAAGGTGCAAGCCCCAAGCCTTGGTACCTTACATGTGGTGTTAGGCCTGCTGGTGCACAGAAGTCAAGAATTGAGGTTTGGAAACCTCCCCTAGATTTCAGAAGATCTACGGAAATGCCTGGATGTCCAGGCAGAAGTTTCCTGCATGTTTGGAGTCCTCACGGTGAATCTCTGCTAGAGAAGTGCAGAAGGGAAATGTGGGGTCAGAGCCCCCACACAGAGTCCTCACTGCGACACTTCCTAGTGGAGTTGTAAGAAGAGGGCCACTGTCCTTCAGACTCCAAAATGGTAAATCCACCAACACCTTACACTGTGCACCTGGAAAAACTGGAGTTGCTCTATGCCAGCTCATGAAAGCTGTCAGGAGTGGGGCTGTATCCTACAAAACCACAGGGGTGGAGCTGCCCAAGTCTGTGGGAGCCCACCTCTTTCATCAGTAAGACCTGAATGTGAGACATGGAGTCAAGGAGATTATTTTGGAAATTTAAGGTTTAATGACTACCCTATTGGATTTTGGACTTGCATTGGGCCTGAAGCCCCCTTGATTTGGTCAATTTTTCCCATTTGGAATGGTAAATATACCCAACGCCTGTACCCCCTTTGTATCTAGGAAGTAATTAACTTGCTTTTGGTTTTACAGGTTCATGGGCAGAAGGGCTTGCCTTTTCTCAGATGAGACTTTGGACTTGAACTTTTGGGTTAATGTTGGAATGAGCTAAGACGTTGGGGGACTGTTGGAAAGGCATGATTATGTTTTCAAACATGAGGACATGAGATGTGGGAGGGGCCAGTGGTGTAATTATATGGCTTGACTGTGTCTCTACCCAAATCTCATTTTGAATTGCAGTTCCCAGAATCCCCATGTGTCATAGGAGGAACCAGGTGGAGGTAATTGAATCATGGGGACAATTTCTCCCATACTTTTCTTCATAAATTACCCAGTGATATGGTTTGGCTGTGTCCCCATTCAAATCTCAACTTGAGTTTTATCTCCCAGAATTCCCACGTGTTGTGGGAGGAACCCAAGGGGAGGTAATTAAATCATGGGGGCCAGTCTTCCCAGTGCTATTCTCATGATAGTGAATAAGTCTCATGAGATCTGATGGGTTTATCAGGGGTTTCTGCTTTTGCTTCTTCCTCATTTTCTCTTGCTGCCACAATGTAAGAAGTGCCTCTCACCTCTCGCAATGATTCTGAGACCTCCGCAGCCATGAAGAAGTGTAAGTCCAATTAAACCTCTTTTTCTTCCCAGTCTCAGGTATGTCTTTATAAACAGTGCGAAAATGGACTAATAGAATAAATTGGTACCAGGAGTGGGGTGTTGCTGAAAAGATAACTGAAAACGTGGAAGTGACATTGGAACTGAGCAATAGGCAGAGGCTGCAACAGTTTGGAGGGCTCAGAAGAAGACAGGAAAATGTGGGAAAGTTTGGAACTTCCTAGAGGCTTATTGAATGGCTTTGACAAAAATGCTGACACTGATATGAACAATAAGGTCCAGACTGAGGTGGTCTCAGATGGAGATGAGAAACTTGTTGGGAACTGGAGCAAAGGTGACTCTTCCTATGTTTCAGCAAAGAGATTGGCAGCGTTTGGCCCCTATTCTAGAGATCTGTGGAACTTTGAACTTGAGAGAGATGATTTAGGGTATCTGGCAGAAGAAATTTTTAAGCAGGAAAGCATTCAAGAGGTGACCTGGGTAGTGTTAAAAGCATTCCATTTTAATAAGGAAACAGCATAAAAGTTCAGAAAATTTGCATCCTAATGATGCAGTAGAAAAGAAAATCCCATTTTCTGAGGAGAAATTCAAGGTGGCTGCAGCAATGTGCATGAGTAGCAAGGAGCCTAATATTAATCCCCAAGACTGTGGGGGAAATGTCTTCAGACCACGTCAGAGACCCTCACGGCAGCCCCTCCCATCACTGGCCCAGAGGTCCAGGAGGAAAAAGTGGTTTTGTGGGTTGGGCCCAGGGTCCCCATGCTATGTGCTGCCTAGGGATTTGGTGCCCCATATCCCAGCCACTTCAGCCATGGCTGAAAGGAGCCAAGGCACAGCTTGAGCTGTGACTTCAGAGGGTGGAAGCCACAAGCCTTGACAGCTTCCACATGATATTGGGCCTGCAGGTGCACAGAAGTCAAAAATTGAGGTTTGGAAACCTTCGCCTAGATTTCAGAAAATGTATGGCAATGCCTGGATGCCCAGGCAAAAGTTTGCTGCAGGGGTGGGGCCCTCATGAAGAACCTCTGCTAGGGCAGTGCAGAAGGGAAATGTGGGGTCAGAGCCCCCCCACACAGAGTCTCTACTGGGGCACTGCCTAATGGAGTTGTGAGAAAAGGGCCACCATCCTCCAAACCCCAGAATGGTAGCTCCACTGTCAGTTTGTACCGTGCACCTGGAAAAGCCACAGATACTCAATGCCAGCCCATGAAAGCAGTCAGGAGGGAGGCTGCACCCTGCAAAGCCAGAGGCAGAGCTGCCCAAGACCATAGGAACCCATCTCTTGTATCAGCATTATCTGGATGTGAGACCTGGAGTCAAAAGAGATTATTTTAAAGGTTCTAAAATTTGACTGTCCCATTGGATTTTGGACTTGCATGGTCCCTGTAACCACCTTATTCTGGCCAATTTCTCCCATTTGGAACAGCCGTACTTTCCCAATGCTTGCAACCCCATTGTATCTAGGAAGTAACTAGCTTGGCTTTTGAGTTACAGGCTCCTAGGTGGTAGGGACTTAACTTTTCAAAGTCGAGACAATGGACTGTGGACTTTGGGGTTGATGCTGAAATGAGTTAAGACTTTGGGGGACTGTCAGGAAGGTATGATTTGTTTTGAAATGTGAGGATATGAGATTTGGGGGAGGCACGGGCAGAATGATATTCTTTGACTGTGTCTCCATTCAGATCTCAACTTGAACTGTATCTCCCAGAATTCCCATGTGTGGTGGGAGAGACTTCTGGGGAGGTGATTGAATCATGGGGGCAAGTCTTCCCTATGGTATTCTTGTGATAGTAAATAAGTCTCATGAAATCAGATGGGTTTATCCATTTTTAATTCTTCCTCACTTTATCTTGCTGCCACCTTGTAATAAGTGCCGTTCACTTCCTGCTATGATTCTGACACTTTCCCAGCCATGCGTAAGTGTAAGTCCAGTTAAACCTCTTCCTCTTCCCAGTCTTGGGATCTCTTTATCAGCAGCATAAAAATAGACTAATATACCCAGTCTTGGATATTTCTTCACAGCAGCATGAGAATGGACTAATACAGTTTATAATCTATTGTGTAATGCTTAAAACATGCTTCTAAACTTCCAAGAGAAAGCAATATAGATAGTCCCTGACTTACAAGGGTTCACTTACAATTTTTACATTTATGATGGTAAGGAAGAGATACACATTTGGAAAAACATGTACTTCAAGGGTTTATCAGGATGTAACCCCATCCTAAGACAAGCAGCATCTGTATTTTCATCTATTCTCAGATGAGGAATGGATATCAGAATTCTTCCCATATTTCAAAGGTTGGGTGTTATATTCAACATGGCTTGAAAATTTTTAGAGATAAAGATGAGCTGTGAAAAGCTAATAAATTATCTTCTTATTCAATTATTGTTCCAGAGATAAATTTTAATTAAATTTTTAACTGCAAAAACAGTGTCTGAACACCCAAACAAAGATTCTTTGACATAATTTTCAGCCAAAAAACACTCAGTCAGGCACGGTGGCTAATGTCTGCAATCCCAGAAATTTGGGAGGCCGAGGCAGGTGGATCACGAGGTCAGGAGTTCAAGACCAGCCTGGACAACATGGTGAGACCCCATCTCTACCAAAAATACAAAAAAATTAGCTGGGTGTAGTGGCGGGTGCCTGCAATCCCAGCTACTTGGGAGGCTGAGGCAGGAGAATTGCTTGAACCTGGGAGGCAGAGGTTGCAGTGAGCCAAGATCGTGCCACTGTACTCCAGTCCAGGTGACAGAGCGAGACTCCATCTCAAGAAAAAAATAAAAACTACATAGTTTTACTTTAAGCAAAAATCAGTGATCGATTTCGAACAAACATTCTTAACTTTGTAAAAAGAATTCTATCACTTGATAAACTATCTGGTAGTTAATTCCCTTAAGTAGATTATAATATCATCAAATACATTGAAATGTTATGTATAATATTTTACATAGGGGATACAAACTATAGACTCAGGATGTTAGAGCAGAAAAGGATCTAGAAAAGCATGCAGGTCACCCTTCCCAAGTGGCTTATCCATGGCCATGGCCATGGCCATGTGACATGCTAATAACAAGGTCTGAATCCCCATTTTACTCCTTTCCAAAAAACGGAATGACATACCTGCTGATGATGATTCACTGAATTAAGCAGATTACACGTAGCAAAATTTTCTTAAAATTTACCAAAGAATTTATTTTGGCTCAAGAGCAAATTTCTTGAAAGAGAAGTTTGCACTTTTTCAATTTACGCTGTAAAAGGTCATTATTTTACAGTATCTAATATAAAACAGTTACCTCTGGAAAGGGCCATATAATTTCCATATACCTTTATTTAAGTACATCAGGTGGCCAAGAAATATAGGTTGAATAAAGAACATTTGTACCTGAAATATAATCAACAGTATTTTCTTCAAATTTTTCTTAAGATTTTTGGCTATTATCTTTTGGTACTATGGAACATTGCGTATTTAAATATATTCTTTTAGGATGACTAAATTTAAAATTCATCTGCATTCAGCACAATTACTACCTACATCTTCCACAATACTGAACTATTTATTTGAACAAGAGCATTTAAAGATGTTCAATTTTGTTCATTGTGTCTTGAGGTATAATTATGCAAGCCACTGAATTTTATAGTTTGTCTGTTTTACAATAAGATTCAATGGTCTGGCAAAAATACTGATATAAAAGGCTATCATTTATTTTCTATATTAGGAACTGCATTTCTAGAGTTCAGGGACTTAACCACAAAGTGTCAGAACTCAGTGGGTTTTGATTTTTACGTTGAATACAGATGATCATTTAAGAAGCTGATCTATCTTAAGAATTAAGTCTTCAAATAAGAGATAAGAGAGAAAATATGACCTTTGAGAAATTCATTCATGGGTAGAAGAATTAAACAAAAAAACTGGGTATGGAATTTCTTATTTCATTTTTAAATGAAATTTAAGTTTTATTAAATTTTAAATAAAACTAAAACTTTCATTTTAGTTTTATTAAAACTAAAAGTGTTTTGAATATAGTTACCATTGATCTCACTGGGCAGCTTTCCAAAGAATAATATTCTTACTGATTTTAATATTAATACTTATAAATTGGTCTGAAAGACTATAAATTATTAAACTGATATAAACATTGTTAAGGAGATAGTATAGACATCAATTCCAGCCTTTGTTGGATTTATGATCAAAACATCCATTGGGCTGGTAAGCAAGATATACTTCAAAGTCAGCAAAAATTATAAACATCTTAATTTCAACAATTAAAATGATTTCAAAGTAATATGATCTATTTAATATTTACATTATCTCAATAACATTTAAATCAGACTTTAACAATCAAAAATTGAATATAAATAAATAAAAGGAGTTAAGCTGTCTTTTAAAAACCTATACGGTTATAGGGGGATATCTCTTTAAATATAACTAAAATTAAATATCTTCTACTGTCCTTTCTTTAGCATTACAGGGAAGTTAAGGAATAATCTTCTCCATTCAACTGACTTTCTCAGATGAAATGGGACTATAGCTATCAATACTTTTTTGTCATATTTTAAGAATTTCAATAGATTAATACATGTTACCACTCTTCATGCCCTTAAAATATGGCACATGAGGACTCCATCGGGCAGGTTTAGTTTTTTAATGGCCCCCAACTGGCATTCTCTAACACAATATCATGCCCTATCTTAACTCACAATCTCATTATTACTTATTCTTCTGTTCATTTTCCTCCTCTTTTTTCTCACTATTTTTCTGAATATTTTTTTGTCCAGCCTCTCTGCCTATTAACACCTACTTTTCCCATTTACCTTGAGTTGCCCTTCAAATACAGGACACTAATGAAGAGTATGGCTGGTAATCAGGAATATAGTTCTTGGACTTTGGATATGTATTTGAATAACTTTGCAACTGAGTTTATTTATTCCTAAACTAGAGTTCCCAATTTAAAAATTTTGGGGAGTATTAAATGAGATATGTGTGTAAAGTGTGCACAATGTAGACAGCCAGTTATAAACACAAAAATGACAGGTATTATCACCAGTGTCAATAATAACGGTAGTAGTGTTAGTAGAATAATAGCTAATGCTTTCTACTTCCTTACTTCCTAAGTCATATTCTAAATGCTTTGCATGTATAAACTAAGTTAATCCCATAATAACTGTATGAGGTATATGTTATTGATACCTCCATTTTACACATAATAAAAACTGAGTCCCAGAGAGGTTACAGGTATTGATCATGTCATAACTGTTGGCAGGATTTTGAACCCAAGCACTTTTGCTAGGAGAACAAGAACTTTAACACCACACTAAATTTACAGTAACAAACATTATTGTATCCAATATATTATATTTTGTTTCTGTTTTGCTTATTGTTTTGCTGTTTGAATTTTCCAGAATGATTTTGTTATCTTTATTGGCTAACATCTGGTATGATTATTTAATATATAGATATATAATAATTATATATATATAAATGTACTTTGAAATATAGAGCACTGATGAAGAACTTTTGTATGTGTAATAAGAAATTCTGGAAAGATTTTCTTAGTAGAGGCAAACAAAACCGAAAGTTTTTCTTTTGCATAGTGATAATTTATGATTTAGGCCAACAGCGCCTCCAACTAGCTGATGAGCAAAATGCTTCACCTCTCTGAGGGAGTGCTCTGTTTCATAACTCATAAATTGATATGTAGATGGCCTAAAATATTCTTCCTGGTTTCAAAATACATGTATAATTATTTAGGAATAGAATAAATATTACATGTTCATATAAATGCAGAAAGCAGTCAAAATCATGTCTAGAAACAAAATTTATATTAAAATAAAACAGGATTATGACTAAATTTATGTGTAATATTTGGAAAAAACTAAATGTTTTGAAGTATTTAAAACAAGTAGAAAACTGTATGACTATTTTATTGCTGGATTTTAAATTATAAATTTCAACCTTATGCTTACATCTAAATAAATATAAGTATATGCAGATATACATTGTTTCTCAGGCATGGGGGAAAATTATAGAATGCAAAATATGAAACAGAAAGAGAGAAGGAGAAAGATCTTATCCACATTAATTAAAATAATAGCTAAACGGTTTTCATATTGAGTATAAAAGTAAAATTGTCTATGAATATAGGAATTTTAGGTGTTCTTTTTGTTTGTTGCTTTTGTTTTGTTTCTTAAGTAACCAAACTAGATCTGATAAAGCCACCTTTGGGGGCAAAATTTAGAAGACATGTTGCAAAAAATGATATATTAAAGGTTAGAGACTGATGTTTATTGAGCAACTAATGTGTGGCAGGGACTGTACCAATCATTTTGACATATTTTACGTGTTTTCATAAGAACACTGCACTGCATTTCAGTGACACACGTAGAATATTTGACACCTGGAGCAAATTCTTTTAACAACCCTTCCTCTGTATGGCATTAATTTCAGCCTTACTATCTTATTGGCTGAATGTGTTTGTATGGAACTTTAGTCCATTATTTGTTATTCCAAGAACCAACTATGGCAGACCCCACTGGTAGCTTACCCAGCAAATTTTTCCATTTGACTTTTTTTCTTGCCTGTCTCCCGCTAAAGAGGCTAAATGTGAGAGGGGTATTTTATTCCCCAATCTCCTCTAGGGCTAAAGCTAGACATGACTCAGTTTTCGGCCTTGATACAAGTCAGAAAGTCTGCTGGAGTACTAAGGAAAAGATGTTTCTCTTTGTAAAGGAACAGGGAACAAGGGAGGAAGGAATAGGCAGAGACAGAGAAATCTTTTTTCATGTTCTTGTATTTTACATGGTTGTGAGAAGATATGATGCAGATTACTCTGGCAGTCAAGCTGTGACCATGAGACAAAAAGTCAATAGAATCCATCTAGGCCTGGCACGGTGGCTCACGCCTGTAATCCCAGCACTTCGGGAGGCTAAGGCGGGCGGATCACGACGTCAGGAGATACAGACCATCCTGCCTACTAACACTGTGAAACCCCGTCTCTACTAAAAATACAAAAAATTAGCCAGGCGTGGTGGCGTGAGCCTATAGTTCCAGCTACTAGGGAGGTTGAGGCAGGATAATCGCTTGAACCAGGGAGGCAGAGGTTGCAGTGAGCCGAGATCACACCACTGCACTCCAGCCTGGGCGACAGGGCAAGACTCCGTCTCACCAAAGAATCCATCTAAATGCGGATGCTGCAACAGACACCACTGAGACACTGAAACAACCCTGGAAGTGGAATTTTTGTTACATTAGATAATTAAATCTTTTATAATGTAAACTC
This sequence comes from Homo sapiens, assembly GCF_000001405.40. Taxonomy (NCBI): domain Eukaryota; kingdom Metazoa; phylum Chordata; class Mammalia; order Primates; family Hominidae; genus Homo; species Homo sapiens. The sequence goes on along the minus strand of NC_000004.12, from coordinate 166,205,355 downwards.
CTGTTATGTGGGTATATGCTACTTTCAATAGCTCCTTACTTGATATATGAAAATGACATCCAATTATGAAATTTTTTTCCTCAAAGTTAAATGGTAAGAAAATATTGGAAAAGCAGATAAAAGAAAAGCTCAATTCTATCACTAAAACAAAACAAAATGAAAACTCCACAAAAAAAATCATACAGATACACGGGATTTTAAGGCCTAAAAATAATCATTTAAAAAAATATGGTACAACATTAATAAAGCCTGGAAAAAAGTGGAACCCAGTTAATATTTGTTGAATGAATTAATGTAACTACAAATTAATTCTTAGTAAAAACACCATTTTTTCAAAATATCTAGCATGAGATGCCTTGTCCCATCTTAAATTTAAGACCCAATGGAGAGAGTAACCTAAAAAAAAAACCCCAAAAAACTTTATTCATTTTATTGGTGGATTTTTCTTTTATATATTATTTTCATTAAAAACTGTTGTTCTAATATTTAGAATGTTTAGAGTAACATTTATTAATAGTCAATGAGCAACTATGTTCACTCAGCAAGGAACACCAGCAACTCAGGTAAGTATTTATACCAGAAACACATGTACCTAAGGAAAAGCAGCAAACCTTATCATTAACAATCTAGCAGTTCCTCTCCTTGTAGAAATCTCTTTAGGAAAGACAAATGCTCTATAAGCTACAATTGCTAAGATTTTACAAATGAGGAAGCATCCACAATCTTAATACGAAGAACAGCATTTCTGTGCATCCTAAGATAGTCCCCAAACAAATCAAAATCTATTTTAAATCTATTAAAAATCATAATCTGTTCACTGACATTGGGAACTCACAATAACATTTAAACCTTCCTTCATGTCCTGTTTATTAAGCTTTATAAGTCTATACATAGAACAATTAAACTATTACCCAAGAGGATCCCGTATCAAAAGGAGTTATATGACCTGCTAAGAAATACGCAGACAGAAATATATTGATGATTCCTGTGAATTTCACTAGCACAAACCCTAGGAACTAAAAGAATAAGACAAGAGACTATTTCTTCCTCCTCTTCTCCAGCCCTCCCCTACCTGCCAAGCGGCATGAAGCCCCTACCTAGTGCTGCAGCTGCTACCTCACCTCACTTGAAAAGCTAATTTGTGTAATAAGAACCTATAGGAATTCTGCTTAGGGAATTACAGAGTTCTTCATCTAATTTTGTGAAATTTCATACAAAAATCTTCCCACTGGGACAAAGAGGAATAAACTTCCTTTAAAATGTTTAGAGTATTAATGATAAAAACAAATTTTAAAAGTAAATTAAATAGAATAGAAAAAAATGTCTTACCTAAAAAAAAAAAACTAGAAAGATACTGGCATTTTTAAGGACAAAGTGAAGTTTGTGCATAACTCTCTTTATTTCATTTCTAAGGATGTATTTATTCTCTTAAAATTGTTTTCTTAGAAAGCCAAGGAAGGACTGCAAGCAAATCTCTCATTTTATAAAGCCAAATTCAATTTTGACATGTATGTGTAGTACATTTTAAAATGAAATATATTAAAGGCTATTAAATAGAATATATACTAAGTACAATATTAACAGCACAAGTTTTTTATATATGTAATACTTTATAACAGTATGATTTCATATGTCAAAAAATTTTTACACCTAAAAACAAAGGATTCCTCCACCCTTCAATATAGCTTATTCTTAAATATTAAAAAATTTGGCAATGTTTGAAAAAATTATGATTTTATCAGAAAACAAAAAAGCATAAACCACAATTTTAGAAAATAAGGAGGACAATTTGATATTGTGAACTGGCTAAAGAGACAGGTATCTGAAGACTAAAAATGCAAACTGCAACATGGATAAATACTTCAAGTAGTAAGTGCAGGAAGAGCTATTACCCCTGGTGCTGGTGTCGCGGGACTTTTCCTTAGTTCAGCTAAAGGTGGGGTTCTTTGTCCCACAGCCATGAAAATTCAGGCTTGCAGACAATTTGATTAGTAAGACAGGATTTTACTGGATGAAAGGAAAGAAAAGAGGGAAACAGGGACTCTCGCAAGACCAGAGTCCCTGCCAGAGCGCTTCCACCAGGCTGCTCAAATCCCAGGTTCCACACAGGAAGAGGAGAAGCCAGACTCTTCACTACTTCATGAACTTACCGAGGCTCCACCCCAGTGGGCGGGCTGGTTGGAGTTTCTCCAGGGACCCCCTCCCATCTGGCTGTCTCATTACCCCTCTGAGGAAATACATCTAACTGCTGTAAGATTAAGGGAAAGGACAAAGACCAATCTTAACTCCTTCCTGCTGACAGGGATGCTGTTTGGGGAAAACAGCAGTCAGATCTCCCTCAGAGGCCTATTTAAGGGTTCCCAGCAAAAGAGGCCATCATCAGAGGCTCTGGTTGCATGACTGTTTGGAGTTTGATGGCCCGAAAGCAAGAACAGACAAACATGGTTATTAGAAAATATGTATGAAAAGGAAACAAGGGGAGGGGTAAGGACAGCTCAAAAATCCGGAGGGCTTTTACCAGTTTGCAAAGGGAGAGGAAGTCCAAAAGCCCAACTGGTTAAAAAAAACTTTACCCTTTTGCTGGCATATCAGGCTTCTGGGTTTTCTTCCCAGAGTCCAATCCTAAACCAACTAGTTTAAGGTTTGGGAAACTAACTCTTTCCAGTTTGGAGGATGCATCTGAGGCGAGTATCTCATAGTAGGGAGACATAATTAATCAGTAAAGAGAGAACCAAGGAGGAGAGAGGGAAAAAGAAGGCACCTTTTAAAGGAGTCCCAGGGGTTAAGGATGCATTTGAAAGGGGTAAGGACTGAAGATGAATGGCTACCCATCTAGAAAGAGGGGAGCAGGTGTCCCTGGTTCCCTTCTCTTCCTAGTAGATAACCAGGGTAAGTGGGGGAGAGAAGGAAGAGTGTCCTCTTTCCCTTCTTCGGTCCTTGGATCCCTAAGTCCCGGTGACCTTGGCAGATGCTGCCATAAGTATAAATGTGGCTTGCACCCATGAAGCAGGGAGGGGCCTAGAGAACAGAAACTATCTGCTCTCACCTATGCTTCTATTTCCCCTACTGTCAGTAGCCTTGGAGTTCCCCAGACCTCATATATGCCATGGATATTAATGTGGCCTTTATCCATTAAAAGGAAGCTTGGCTTGGTTTAATTGGCAAGAATCAGTCCTGCTCACCTGCACTGTGCCTTTTAACCTCTCTTGTTGTCTGTCTCTGGATACCTCAGATCCAGTTTTCCTTCCTAGGGCTTTAACCCAAAGGTTGGAATTGAGTCTAGGAAAAAATGTGTCTCAAGGAGTTGCATGGACTCCTTAATCATAAGCTGAATGCTAAGGGGGAACAGTGGAACTGAATCCTCCTCCAACAAGGGAGAGAAATGGATGTCTTGTGACACACCCAGGTAACTGGTGGCTATACTCATGCTTGCTAGGATTTGGGTGCATGGTGTTGACTTTGGTTAGCTTCCTTGGTCCTATTTTTCCAAAAGGAAACCTCTGGGTGATAGGCACCCTATTTATTCCCTATGTATTCCATCACCTGGCAGGATTTGCAGGATAATTGCTCAGAACTAGAATATTGACCCAGATTTTTGCATTACCCATCCCTTTTGTTCTTTCTGAGCTGCAGCCAGATACTGCTGGTTGTTTCACAGGAACACACAAGGTTAGTCTAAAAGGTAGGCGAAAACTTAATAGCAACTAATGAGTTTAGAATTTAATGACAAATGTGTAAGTTTTGAAACATGATTTCTCTCTCTCCAGTCTTCATTTTTGTTAAAAACTCATCATAGGACTGAGTTGTTTGAAAAAATAGACTTTAGTTTTATACTTGGCCTGATTATTTGCATAAAGTGCAGCAAGAATAATTATTTCTACATAGGTCTTTTGGATTGGCTTTGATGAAAGTTTGTTCCACAAGGAATCTCAGATAAGACCTTCTAAAGCCAAGCTCACCCATGGGTATGTATCTTCAAATACCTGTGAGTTGGGTGATCCTCCCCTCTTATGGTCCCAAGATAAACTTGGAGCTCCTGGACCTGTTAGAAAGTGACATTCTTTACTGACCACAGGTCAGGGACCCTGTACAGGGACTGTGTAGATGACAGCATGAGGCCAGTCTCCCATGGGGCATTTATCAGCTCTACAAGTCAAGTCTGACTCTTTATATGGAAGCATACACTTCCAGTCAAAACCTTGGTAAAATGGCCAGTTTTTCCAATTGTGTCCTATTGCAAAATAAAAATGGATGCTTATTGCACTGATGCAGACAATTATATTGCCATAACAATACTCACAGATAGTTTTCAAATTCTAGAGGAACCAGGCAGAGAGAAACAAACATGCTCCAAATTTTGATCATAGGAGTATACCTTACTCAATTATTAAAGGCTGTAAATAGCTCAAAGTAAGTTTCCTGGACTCTGAGAAACAAAACAAGGATCAGCAATAGTCCAACCAAAAGTCAAAAAGATTTGCTTCACCTTTCTGAGTTCAGTCCATTTAGTTAACTCTGGTTTTGCTTGATATTCGTGAACATTTCACTCTTTATGAGTTCTATACCTTTTCCTTTATTCCAATGTCACAATCTCCAAAGTTATCAGAAACCTGATTGTCTCAAATACAATCAGAAATTGCATTTGAAAGCACCTGTCAGAGCTCTATAGCTCATTATAAACCATCTTCAAAAAGGATTAAAACAAGACAACAATTGTCTGTGAATAGCAAAATGTCCAGGGTAGTTACAATTAAGAACACAATTGATAAAGAAGTTTGGTTATATCCATGGTTTACAATAACTTAACATAAAAGTTGTAATTATGATTGATAGCATATACTTAGATATTAAAATTTTAGAAATCTCACACAATTTTGGAACATATATTAGCATTATTTCCCAAGATTTAACCTAAAGAAGATTAACATTATTTTGGCAATCCCATGTACCTGAACATGGCAAATAATCCTATTTACCTCTTTTTTCTAGACATTCCAGGGGCCCTTTGAACTATCGGAAAAGCCAGATGTCAGGAAAAACAATTTTGAAACTGAAGTTTGATTTGGGGAAGCCTTTTAAATATGTTTAAAGCACTTGATATTATGAAATAGAATTTCAGATTACCATAATTTATTTATTTTGCCAAAATGATGACTCAGAAATTTTAAAGAACCAGAAACCTTTTATAATCCTTTACAAATTTTGCCAAAGAGCAGATTAGTGCCTTAGTAAAACCTTGTTATGCTTTATTTCAATGCACAATTTACAGAAAAACCATATAATACCCTTTTGAATTAGTCAGTATGTTCACATAGAGAACCTCTTCTGCAAGATTCATTTCCACAATTTTTCCACCACTTCTTTGAATTTTCAGCTTTTTTCTATCTAATTTAAAACAATCCTTTAACCCCAGGCAGTTTACATTTCTATGCCTTCTTATAACCTTTTCCTAAAAAACACATTTTACTGCTGTTTCACATCTTGCATGTAAATCTACTTCCAGTAGTTTCAATTAACTCCTATCAATTTTTAACTTCAGGGTAAAACCTGGTAAGTTGCTTTAATTGTGTGCTAACTGCAGCCAGGTTTGCCTTCTTAAAGCCAAGGTTTGCCTTCTTAAAGATGTGGTTAGTTCCATATGTCCCCAAGCCTTACCAATTGTGAAGCCGGCAAGTCAAACAGATCTCAAAACCAAAAAAGCAGTTTTTAACCTTAAAACACTTAGCAAACCTTGTATCTGACATGCATTTTACCAACAGTCATTAGGGCTGTTTTTATTTATTTTTATTATTTATTTATTTTTTATTTTTGAGGCAAAGTCTCTCTCTGTCGCCAGGCTGGAGTGCAGTGGAGCGATCTCAGCTCACTACAACCTCCGACTCCTTGGCTCAAGCAATTCTCCTGCCTCAGCCTCTGGAGTAGCTGGGATTACAGGCACGTGCCACCACGCCCAGCTAATTTTTGTATTTTTAGTAGAGATGGGGTTCCACCAGGTTGGCCAGGATGGTCTTGATCTCCTGACCTTGTGAAGTACCATAGATTTTATCTTCCCTTTAAAAAATATTAGATCCAAGCATTTGTCTTTCTTTAGGCCAGATTAATTGGAGCTTTTTTGACAGACATTACGCACAGGCCACACAAAGGCAGACAAAAAAAAACCTAGTCGCTGGGTGGGGACTTTTAGAGGTAGGAAAACATGCAAATATCGAACCAGAAAGAAACATTCCCTAAGGCAGGACTGCTAAACAAAGCCTTGCCACTGGAGTTACAAGCCATGCCCTCAGGATATAAAACAAGATGGAGGCTTGATTTCACAACTGAAACTTTGCAGAGAATACTCACGGTGACAGTTTGCTGGGGGAAAGGAGTGCGCGGGAGGGCCGACAGGGGGTCTGGCTTAGTAAAACATTTTCTGAAAAAAAAAAAAAACTTTAAAAGTTAACTGCCAACAGGGTGAAGATGAGAAGGGAAAAAACAGTTTTAAAATGCCTGGAGAAGAACCTCTTATTCTTATGCAACTGGTTCCTCCACCAGGGAGAAAAGTTTAAGCTTAATTACCGTCCTATGGAGTAAAACCCCTTGGCTGGGGAAAGGGAAGGCTGCTACTGTGTGTGGCCACCGTGTGGGACCCTTGAGCCATACCTCCCAGCCACGCATGGAGTAGGGAATGGAGGGAAGCCGCTGCTGGCCAGTCCCTCCTGAAAAGGGAAAGGAAAGTCCATGAAAAGTCCCCCGACCCCCAGGAGCAACAGGGGGTTGGGGTGCAGTTTTCTTTAAGCTCAGAAGTCCAAAGATGAAAAGGCTTAGAAACCATTGACAGGTTTTGAGTCCCCATGTCACTCACCGCTTCTCGAGCTCCCACGTTGCGTGCCAAAAATGTTGTAGGACTTTTCCTTAGTTCAGTTAAAGACGGGGTTCTTTGCCCTAGAGCCACGAAAATTCAGGCTCTTAGACAATTTGAAATAATGAGTAAGACAGGGTATTATTGGGTGAAAAGGAAGAGAAGGAGAAAACAGAGTTGCCAGAGTCCCTACTAGAGCGCTTCCCGCTCAGCCATTTGAACCCTGGGTTCCACACGGGAAGAGGAGGGGCCAGGCTCCTCCCAGCTGCAAATGTCAGTGAACTTCCCAAGGCTCCACCCCAGTGGGCAGGCTGGTTAGAGTTTCTCCAGGGAATGCCTTCCACCTGGTGTCTCACTGGAGAAACAAAAGTCACAGGCTGAGGACTTTTAGAATCTTGAAATTTAGAGGAGGGGCCCTTGGGGTTGGAACTTATACCTCTAAGGAGACGACACTGCCTCTTGATACTAACGAAGCACAAACAGACTGCTTCTGAGAGTGGAAAAAAAAAAAAGCGCTGAAAATTGAATCCAATTTCACTACCAGGATGAAGAGCCATTGGCTGGGACGACACCGAGTGGAAGACCAACCAAATAGAATGGCTCCTACATCATAGTCCACAGGATAGGAAGATAGATTTAGAGCTAAGAAGCAATTAAGAATTGGCACAGTCCACTCTTTTGGCTACTTCGCTACACACATTTGAATATAGCAATGATAATAATCTTATGTTGTCGCTAAATAATAAGCAATTGTGTTTCATACACATGAGTATTTTCTCACTTCCAAAACCAGTAGGAAACACAAAGTCCCAATAACAATGGTGTGCGTCTATGGGCAACAGGGTAGTATCCATGACTAGATGATACCTTCTCCTCAAATTGGATGGAGGTCCTACCTGAATATTTCATTGCGTAAAGACTACATTGTGAAGTTAGCAACCCATAGCAATACTTACATAATCAGAAAAAGGAGAGAGGCAATAAGAAATTAATTTATATATATATTCAATTTATAAATACATAACAATTTAGAAAGAGAATATGCACAGCTATCAGCTCTCACAGTTATTGTTCAGGTAATGAGTCATGAGGCCCTGGTTGAGATACATAACTTTTTTCTTCCTTATGCGGTGCCTATTTCCTTTAGTCATGCTTTTTAAAAGCATATTTCTACAGACAGACAGGTTGTCTGTTTCTGATTCACTATGAACTTCGAGCTTCTTTTTTCAAATACTTTCCTTGTGAGTTAATTGATGTTCCAAAAGACTTCCGTATATTTTATAGGCATAATAAAAAGAATGTTTCCATGGAAATCCAAAATAAGTTATCTATGCATGAACATACTAACTTCCATATTGTATCACACTGTTTTCTGTTAAGAATCAAGGTAGCAAAATATTTTTGCCCAAAGTCATATTTGAAAAGTGATTTCAGGAATTTTTATCTAATAGTTATATTAAACAATATAATAACTGTCTCGTATTATAAGTATGACTATACAGCAGACTATATGCAAAGTTATTCAACCTTGTACTGGCAGTTCTAGCCAAGGGAATTAGGCAAGGTAAAGAAGGAAAATAAAGATAGAAGTAAACCTGTATTCACAGATAACATTCTTGCCCATGGAGAAACCTAAGCAATCAGCTAATTACTAAGAATTGAAAAACAAGTTCAGTGAGGTTATAGGATACAACATGATTACATAACAATTGACTGCATTTCTATACACTAGCAATGAATAATACCAAAGTAAAATTTGGAAAACCATTTAAAATAGTCTCAAAAAATAAAACATTAAGGAATAAAATTAACAAAAGGAGTGCAAGTCTGTACACTGAAAACTATAATATATTGTTGACAGAAATTAAAGAAGGACTAAGTAAATGGTAAGACAGCCCATATGTTATTAAAAAGACAATATTGTTAAAATTCACCAGGTTTATCTATGGATTTAACACAATGATTAACAAAAACCCCAGCTTCCTTCTTTGCACAAACTGACAAACCCTTCCTAAAGTGCATTTGACAATGCAAAGGACTCAGACTAGCCACAACCATCTTGAAAAAGTTGGAATATTCAGAGTTTCCTATTTGAAAACGTACCTCAGTATACAAGATGGTGTCATAATAAGGATAGACACACAGATCAATGAGATTGCATTAAAAATCCAGATGTAAATCCCTATAATCAACTGATATTTGACAAAGTTGCCAGAGCATTCAATGATGAAATATTAGTCTTTTCAACAAATGGTGCAGGAACAACTTAATATCCACATGCAAAGAAATAAAGTTAGATCTGTGTTTCACGCCATGTAAAAAATTAGCATAAAATGGAATATAGACTTAAATGTAAGAGCTAAAACTGTAGAACTCTTAGAAAAATAGCATAGTAATAAATGTTTATGACCTTGGTTTCTTACAAAAGACACCAAACACACACACACACAAAATTTATAAATTTTATTTCACCAAAAATAAAATATTTTGGAATTCAAAGGACACTATCAAGAAAATGAAAAGAAAATGCAGAATGGAAGAAAATATTGGCAAATTATATATCTGATAAGGGCCTTATATCAGAATATGTAAAGTAGTCTTACAACTCAGCTATTAAAAGACAAATTACCCAATTTAAAAAAAACTGTAAAAGACAGGTATAAAAATTCAGTTGCAGATGAAGAGTAAGTTCTAGAGGTCTGCACTACAACATGGCACCTGTAATAAATGAAATTGTATTGTACACTCCAAATTTTCTTAATAACATCCAGGCATGGTGGCTCATACCTGTAATCCCAGCACTTTGGAAGGCCGAAACAGGAGGATTGCTTGAGCCCAGGAGTTCAAGACCCGCCTGGGCAATATGGCAAACCCCTATCTCTACAAAAATTACCTAGGTATAGTGGTGTCTGCCTGCAGTCCCAGCTTCTTAGAAGGCTGAGGAAGGAGGATCACCTGAACCCTGGGAGGTCGGAGCTGCAGTGAGCCCTGATAGCACCACTGTACTCCAACCTGGGTAGCAGAATGAAACCCTGTATTGGAACAAAAAAATGTTAACAGGGCAGATTGCATATTAAATGTTCTTGCCTCAGTTTAAAAAAAAGTAAAATGACTGACAGAATTTTTTTTTAAATATTGGCAAAAGATTTGAATAGACCTTTCTCCAAAGAGGTTACACAAATGGCCAATAACCACAGGCAAAATGTTCAGCACCATTAGTCACTAAAGACATGCAAATCAAAACCACAGTGAAATACCTCTTCACATTTACTGGTGAGGCTAAAATTTTTAAAAATCAGACAATAACAAGAATTGACAAAGATATACAGAAATTGAAACCTCCAGCACTGCTGGGGAGAATGCAATATGATGCCACCATTTTAAAAGCAGTTTGGCTTTTCCTCCTGGACCCAAAAGTTCACTCTTATGTATAACCAATAAATGCAAATATAAGCTTCAAACAGAACAAAACAACAACTACATGAATAGCAGCATTATTCAGAATAGCCAAAGGGAGGAAATCAACCTAATGCCCATCAACTCATGAATGGATAAACAAAATGCATGTATCCATACAATGGAATCATTTTTGACAATAAACAAAAGAATAAAGTACTGATATCTGAATAAACCTTGAAATCATTATGTTAAATAAATGTATCCAGACACAAAAATGACATTGTATCATTCCATTTAAATGAACTACACAGAATAGACAAAGAGAGACAAGAAGTAAATTTGTGGTTTTCAAGATAGATGGAGAGTGACTATTAACAGTATGTAGTTTCTTTTTTGAGTAATAAAAATATTTTCAAATTAATTAGCAGTGAGAGTTGTGCAACTCCAAGAATATACAACAAAAAAACCTACAAAATTCTACAGTTTAAAAAGGTGACTGTTATAGTATGTGAATTATATCCCAACGAAGCTGTTCTGATTTTTTTTAATCATCTACGGCAGCCCAGTTGTGCATAAATTCCTGGGCAGGAAAGTGAGAGGAAGCTTTACCACCTCTCACCCATCTGGCTATGGAGTTTGTAAAAGATATAGGATGTCTTTCATCTCCAATCAACTGCTCTGCCAAAATGAGGTACTGATCTTATATCACGTGCTATCAGAAGAGAAGGAGTCTTGAGTTTAACTTTGAAATTGTGTTTAGACAAAAAAAATTATTTATCCAGTTCATGAGATATTTAATTCCTATCCCACCCAGTCACATTTCTCCCACTAACCAGTGTTAATGGAAGCAAGTAATGATTTTATTGCATTTCATTATCTATGCCACTTTATTAACGTGTAAAAGTGACAATGGTAGTTGTAAAGGTACCATTTTAATAGCTTTGAGGAATGAAAACAGTTTGCAACATTAAGTTTTTACATTAGGATTTGCTATATGATTTCATTATGATCAGGTTCAGTGCTTTTTAAGGAAGCATTTGCATCTATAAAATACTCTTAAAGCTAGAAATTCATTGTATCTTACATATTAAAACTTTGAGAACCAGCTCTGTTTAAATAAAAAAAGCAGATATAAAGTTTTATAGGTTTTCAACGAATTTAGTTAACATAAACTGCACAAACACATTCAGAACTTATGTTGTTTAGTTAGTTGATGGTTAGTTTAGTTGTTACTGAATTATCTGAACAGTAAACTGATTTCTTTATGGAGAGACGGACACAATAGATAGAAATAGTAATCAACTTCTATTTTGAAATATCATCCAATGTTTTTTCAAGACAATATAAAAAAATTGAAAAAATAATGATAGTGTTAGAAAATGCTAAATATGTTGTTTGTGTCTGTTTTATTATTTCAAGCCAAAGTGGTTTGATACGCTCTTTTAATAATTCAGCATTCTTAACAGCTATAATAGACTGTACTTTTTTCTTTTCCTTCAAAAGTCTCATTTAAAAAATGAATACAAATTAAAAACTGATAGTCTTAATAAAATAGACAATAATATAGAATTCCATATTCATTTTTTAATATCTTGTAGTATTTGGAAACTTTATTAACTTTGCCACTCTACTATCAACGTCCCTCAGCCATTCAATTCTATTTTGCAATAGAAGCCACAATGACCACTATGACTTCCTGTGTGTTTATAGTCAATGAACAACATTCTATGCACATATATGCTGTAAATTAATTGTATTGTATTTTAAAATATACAATAACAAAATAATGTAATATATTTATGCTTCTTTACATGTTCATTTTAACAATATCTTTGAATGACTCTTATATCCAAACACAAAGACCCTTATTGTAATAGCATTATTATTTTATGTATTGATGTACAATAATTGATTTTAACTATTCCTCTTAATTAACATTCTGCATCCTACATTTCCATATGTAAATGAAAGTATTTTACAAATATAAAATGAATATAAAGAATAAATTGTTGAAAGGAAGATTATCAGGTAAAAGTATATTTGACCCAAAAATGTCTTTAATAGTTTTTATGTTGTCAATTATCTTATTTTTTTATAAATTGAGACATTCACAACTTCCCTCAAATTTTATCAATTTACATTCCAATAATAAATGAATACCTACTTTCCTATAACTTTAATATAATTAAATTTTTTTGTCTACTATGTTAGTTCATTTTCACACTGCTAATGAAGACGTACCTGAAACTGGGCAATTTACAAAAGAAAGAGGTTTAATGGACTTACATTTCCACGTGGCTGGAAAAGCCTCACAATCATGGTGGAAGGCAAGGATGAGCAAGTCTTGTCTTACATGGATGGCAGCAGGCAAAGAGACAGACTGTGCAGGGAAACTTGCCCTTATAGAACCATCAGATCCTGTGAGACTTATTCACTGTCATGAGAACAGCATGGGAAAGACCTGCCCACATGATTAAATTACCTCCCACTGGGTATCTCTGAACTCAAGATGAGATTTGGGTGGGGACACAGTCAAACCCTATCATTCGACCGCCTGACCCCTCCCAAATCTCATATCCTCACATTTCAAAACCAATCATGCCTTCCCAACAGCCTCCCAAAGTCTAATTTCAGCATTAACTCAAAAGTCCACAGTCCAAAGTCTCATCTGAGACAAGGCAAGTGCTTTTCACCTATGAGCCTGTAAAATCAAAAACAAGTTAGTTATGTCCTAGATACAATGGGAGTACAGGCATTGGGTAAATATAGCCATTCCAAATGGGAGAAATTGGCCATAACAAAGGGGTTACAGGCCCCTTGCAAGTCTGAAATCCAGCAGGGCAGTGAAATCTTAAAGTTCCAAAATGGTCTCCTGTGACTCTAGGTCTCACATCCAGGTCATGCTGATGCAAGAGGTGGGTTCCCGTGGTCTCGAGAAGCTCTGCCTCTGTGGCTTTGCAGGTTACAGCTTCTCTCCTGGCTGCTCCCATGGGCTGGCATTGGGTATCTGTGGCTTTTCCAGGGTCATGGTGCTACTGTTGGTCGATCTATTATCCTGGGATCTGGAGGATGGTGGCCCTCTTCTCACACCTCCACTAGGCAGTGTTCCAGTAGGGACTCTGTGTGGGGGCTCTGATCCCACATTTCTCTTCTGCACTGCCCTAGCAGAGGTTCTCCATGAGGACCACACCCCTGCAGGAAACTTCTGCCTGGACCCCCAGTTATTTCCAAACATCTTCTGAAATGTAGGCAGAGGTTTCCAAACCTCCGTTCTTGAATTCTGTGCACTCACAGGCTCAACACCTTGTGGAAGTTGGCAAGGCTTGGGGCTTGCACCATCTGAAGCCATGGCCTGAGCTGTACCTTGGCCCCTTTTAGCCATGGCTAGAGCAGCTGGGACACAGGGCACCAAGTCCCTAGGCTGCACACAGCATGGGGACCCTGGACCCAGACCACAAAACCATCTTTTTCTCATCAGTTCCCCTGTAATGGGAGGGACTGCCTTAAAGGCCTCTGAAATGCTCTAGAGACATTTTCTCCATTGTCTTGGCAATTAACATTAGGTTCTTCATTGCTTATGCAAATTTCTGCAGCTGGCTTAAATTTCTCCTCAGAAAATGGGATTTTCTTTTTTATTGCATTGTCAGGCTGCAAATTTTCCAAACTTTTATGCTCTGCTTCCTTTATAAAACTGAATGCCTTTAACAGCATCCGAGTCATCTCTTGAATTTTTTGCTGCTTAGAAATGTCTTCTGCCAGATACCCTAAATCATCTATCTCAAGTTCAATGTTCCACAAATCTCGAGGGCAGGGGCAAAAAGCCACCAGTCTCTTTGATAAAACATAACAAAAGTCACCTTTCCTCCGGTTCCCAACAAGTTCCTCATCTCCATCTGAGACCACCTCAGCCTGGATTTCATTGTCCATATCATTATCAGCATTTTGGCTAAAGCCATTCAACAAGTATCTAGGAAGTTCCAAACTTGCCCACATTTTCCTGTCTTCTTCTGAGCCCTCCAAACTTTTCCAACCCCTGCCTGTTACCCAGTTCCAAAGTTGCCTCCACATTTTTGGGTATTTTTTAAGCAGCACTCCACTCTACTGGTACCAATTTACTGTATTAGTTCCTTTTCCTGCTGCTGATAAAGGGATACACGAGACTGGGCAATTTACAAAAGAGGTTTAATGGACTCACAGTTCCACATGGCTGGGGAGACTTCACAATAATGGTGAAAGGCAAGGAGGAGCACGTCACGTCTTATATGAATGGCAGCAGGGAAAGAGAGAGACTATGCAGGGAAACTCCCCCTTGTAGAACCATCAGATCCTGTGAGACTTATTCACTATCACAAGAACAGCACAGGAAAGATCTGCCCACATAATTCAATTACCTCCCACAGTGTCCCTCCTACAACACATGGGAATTCAACATGAGATTTGCATGGGGACACAGTGAATCACATCATCAACCAAATTAATAAATAAAAATGGCATGGAACTATAATATAAACAATCACTAACAATGCTTTAATGCCCTACAATCTTTTGCCATCATCTCTTTTTTTGCCTGTCTCCCCTTCATGATGTGAGATCTTGGGGAAAGATCAGTGGGTCTTATGCCTATTTCCTAAAATACATTGTTGCCTAAGGAGCATGAGAAATGATAGTAGGTCCATAGAGCAAACACTGCATGAGGGTGTTGTGATGAAAAGGAGTTGTTTTGTCATTGTCCTGCCTGGAACCTGTGGCCTGGTTGAGAGACAATGTTAGACTACAGGTTATTCAATAATAAACTTCAGTGATTTATATTTAAATAACATAACACCCAGCGAAAATTTCTTCAATGACAATTGTATGCCTGGCTTGTGTTAGATGAAGATAAAGATGAAAAGACAGGCCCCACCCTCAAGGGGATTATTGCTCCAGAAGAGAGCTTATCCTGACTTTTATTGTCATCCGTTCTGTGTTTTGCATTATAATTTCCTCATCTCCATCTGAGACCACCTCAGCCTGGATCTCATTGCCCATATCATTATCAGCATTTTCGTCAAACTTTATAGTTTCACCATATATATATATATGTGATAGCAACAATTCTTAGGTAGACAGGGACGGCTCCCTAGTGAAACTTGACCTTCAGGACAAAGACAGCCTGAAGCCTGAAAATTGAAATGCCAGTTTCAGACAGAGTCCATGACAGAGTGAGAACTTCCATCCCTGCCTTACCCACTCTCTCTCAACTGTTTTTTTTTTTTTTTGAATGATGCCGTTTAACTAATTGAATGGTGCTTTTTCCAAGACCACCTATGCACCAATCAGCATGCGCTCCCCCATTCTAAGCCCATAAAAACCCTGGACTTAGCCTCACAGATGGCTACTTCTTTCAGGTTCCTCTCCTGCAGCTGAGAGTTTTCCTTCTGTCATCCAATAAAATTCTTCTCTGCCTTATACACTCTCTGTTATCTGCATACCTTATTCTTCTTTGTTGTAAGACAAGAACCTGGAACTTGGCAAGCTGCAGGCAACAGGAATAAAGGAGCTGTAACCCTCTTGCTCACTGAGCTGTGTGCAGTGGGAATAAAATAACTGTAACCCTCCCTCCTGCTCACTGAACAATGGGAAAGAAGAAGCCACTGGGTGCCACTCCCTTTTGCTCACTGAACTATGGGAGCGAAAGAGCCACAGGGCACCACTTCCACTCATTTGCCAAGCTGCCGGAGTGAAGGAGTGAAAAGGCTGCTGGGCACCACTCCCTCCCACTTGCCAAACTACTGGAGCTGCAACATATGCACTCATAAGAAATATAATTTACTTTTGCCCAGGTTTGAGATTGCGTACAAATTATATGGTATCACATATAGTCAGTCCTTCCTGTCTGGGTTCTTGCACTCAACACTGCGAGATTCGTACGTGTTGTTAAGTGTGTAGCTGTAATTCGTTCACTTCCACCTTTTCTTGTATTCCATTGAATGAAGATGTCACAAATTATTTATTCCTTCTACTATGATTGACATTTGGGCTGTTTCTGATTAGGAAATACTACAAATAATACTTCAATAAACACTCATATACATATCTCCTGGTCCACACGTGTAAAAGTTTCTCCGTTGGGTCACTGGATGGAGATCTTCAATTTTACTATGTAATGGTTTGACAAAGAATGGTAGCAATTTTCATCCCATCAATAGCTTAAGATGGTTTGCATTGCTCTAAGTTCTCACCAACATTTGATAAAATTATATTTTTAACAACCTGGTTGTTATAATTCTCATTATAAATTAATATGAGTCTACATATATTCACAGTATAATACTAGACCTTAGCATCCTTAGAAGTAGTATCACTTCAGCTTCTTTGATACAAGCATCTAGTTGTGGCTTCTGATGTTACTCTCTTTAAGATACTAGATGAATATATACTTTTAATGTAATGTAACCACTCTTATAATTCTTTTCCCTTAGGTTTAGTAAGTCTTATGTATTGTTTTTAAAAACACTTCTCTCCCCAAGGTTACAAAGATTTTTCCTATACAATCTTCTAAAGACTCTATAGTTTTGCTTTTTTTTTTCTTTTGAGGTGGAGTCTTGCTCTGTCACCCAGGGTAGAGTACAATGGCATGATCTCAGCTCACTGAAACCTCTGCCTCCTAGGTTCAAGGTATTTTCCTGCCCCAATCTCTCGAGTAAATAGGATTACAGGTGATCACTTTCCCTTTCATGTAGGCTTCTTATGCACTTGAAATTGGTGTGAGATGCATTTTAATTTTTCTTTGTATTTTTCTTCCTATATGAGAGCTTTAACATCTCATTATATATTGAGTTATCATATGACATTTCTCATTATGTACTTTCTTCATTTTTGTACTTGATATATTTCTTATTAATTTTTACAAATTCTAAATTAATAGATTGATGGATTAACTTGCTGCCTGTGATGAGCTGAAAGTGTATTGTTCCAATGTGTTTCTTGTGTTCTGACTATGTTTATGGTATTTTCTGCCAAATGGAAAATTGTATTTTTATGAAGTAAAATTCACTATGCTTTTGTGGTTACTGGGTGTAGCTTTAAACTTAGAAACCCTTTCCCATACTGAGGTTTTATAAAATTATGAAAATATTGTTTATACTTTTATATTTATTAATATAACCCAGTCAGGAAGGACTGACTATATGTGAAACCATAATTTAGAATAATAATATAAATATATATTTATTAATATGATCAAAACTCATTTGTATTAGATATGAGATAGATATCTAAGTTAATATTTTTCTTGCGATTATTATAATCCACATTTGATGATAGTGTGAAGACAAGTATTTCACATATAGCAAATTATCATATGGACTTGATTTTATAACTGGACTTTCCAATTTGTTCTATTATACCTTAGGGAACCAGTAATGTAAATTACAGCAGAGATGTTTTTACTATAGGAATTTTCACCAAGACAGAGACAAGATCCCAGGTTAAAGAAAAATAAAAGCAGAAAGAGGGTAGCATAGGGGAAGAGGCAAAATGTAGCTCTAGTTTATGTTTCTACTGTGTAGCTCAGAGCAATGAGGCATAGCCATACTGTTGACTCCTGTACTACACATACGCCTAACCACACCCATAAACACACTGCTAACCAGTAGAAAAGACTGTATTATTTTCACTTGGTCTACAAAAAATGAAAGAGGCATTTCTATGGAGAATTTTCCTTTATGAATGTTGGATATGTATACCAGAATAAAGACAAAAAAAAGATTGATTTCTTTAGATCAATACAATATAATCTTTATATTTTTAAGTGTACAACAAGTGAAAAAGAATAGGATGTAGAAAAGGTTGGAAGAGGCCGGGCGCGGTGGCTCACGCCTGTAATCCCAGCACTTTGGGAGGCCGAGGCGGGTGGATCATGAGGTCAGGAGATCGAGACCATCCTGGCTAACAAGGTGAAACCCCGTCTCTACTAAAAATACAAAAAATTAGCCGGGCGCGGTGGCGGGCGCCTGTAGTCCCAGCTACTCGGGAGGCTGAGGCAGGAGAATGGCGTGAACCCGGGAAGCGGAGCTTGCAGTGAGCCGAGATTGCGCCACTGCAGTCCGCAGTCCGACCTGGGCGACAGAGCGAGACTCCGTCTCAAAAAAAAAAAAAAAAAAAAAAAAAAAAAAAAAAAAAAAGAAAAGGTTGGAAGATAAACATTTGGGGGCAAGAATCTAGAATATGGTAAATAAGAGTAAGAGAAAAAAATTGGAAAATTTCAGAACAAAATAAAAATGAAAAATAACAGGAAAATGTATACTTCTTGGTCTTTTACACAGAAAATGAATGTAATGTTACTTTTAAGACTGAATATTTAACTTCTAAAGAATTAATGCAAATTTGGATAAATGGGGATATTTACCTCCATGCTTAATGCTGCTTTTATTTTTATATCATTCCTTAAACTTGAAATTCTTTTATTCTACAATTTCATTTATACACTCCTTTCCTGGTTTGTCTTCATTTTGAAATACACCTCAGTTGTATTTTGGGGGTTCATCCTTTATCATCCTCCTTTAAATATTGGAGTTCTCTAAAGTTTTATATTTTTATCACTTTGCTCAATTTATACATTTGCATAGCTCCAACTACGACCTAAATGTTAACAACGTATATTTACGACTGGGTACATGTTTGCTGATGTGTGCACGTATTCTAGGTCAGTGTTTCTCAAAATTTAACATGTATTTAAATCATAAGGATCTGATTTAACTGAAGATTCTGATTCTGTGGATCTGAGTTAGGTCCTGAGATTCTGCATTTCTAATAACATTTCAGGTGGTGCCAATGCTATTTTTCCAAATACCATGCTTTGATTAGCAAAGCTTTAGACAATTCTTTGGAGTGCCAGATCTTTACATCCAACTGTCTGTTGGAGATTCCCACATGATTGCTCCATCGTCACTCAAACCATGTACAAACTGATTTTATCCATATATCTTCTCGAACTTTATCTTTCTATATTCTCTCTCAGTGCATAAAACATTCAAATAAGAAATTTCCCAAATGAGAAACATAGGAATTGTCACTGATTTCTCTCTATTCTTCAGTGTACCACTTTCAATCAATTCTTAAATTCCACTAATTCTTCTCAGACATGTCTCTTATTACTAAACCTTGTCAGCTTTTGCTTTATTTCAGAATCACATCAAATTTTGCTCTGATTACTTCAACAACCTCAGAAGCGATCTTACTCCCTCCAATCTTCCATGCTCCAATTATACTCCAAATTATCTCTTTTAGTGAATTTCTAAATTACATAGCTGATGATGTCACTCTCATACATAAGAGCTTCTGATAGATCTTAAGACATAATCTGAAGATCTTAGCACACTTCAACATCGCATTACCTGTGAAGTCTAATATCCCCTTTCCCTAAATCATACATCATACTTCAGTTGTATAGGACACATCGGACTTCCTTGTCATTGTGCCTTTGCATAGAATTTTATTTCTGCCAAGACTGACCACACTGCATTTTTCATGCAATGAAGAGCTTTCCGCTTTTTACAAATAATGTTAGATTTACTATCTAAGCACCACCAACCACCCCTAATTTGAGAAAAGTTCCTATTTGATGATCATCTTCCATATAAATGTATTGGAGCCCTTGCCATACTGTCCTATAACCATCAGTATGCCTCTCTCTCCCCGTTATCCTATATGTTCCTTAAGAACAGAAAATGGGTCTTATGATTCTATATATACTCAAAGCCTTGCACAGTGTCTAGGATATAATTGATTCACCAAATTACCTGTTAATATATTTTTTAAAGTGATGAACACGTCTTTAACAAATATAATATCCTAAATATCTTCTGAACTGGCAAAACATTTGAAATTATTAACAACATGCTTTTAATAGCTCACATATATTACTCTACTTTATTTTAAAATTATTTAACATATGGAATATTATTAATGTCAACTTAAATCCTCTTACACAATGATCTTGATTAGCCACCAATTATGTATAATCTGTCTTCCTGAAATATTCTTCTAATTTAGTTTCCATTTGTCATGTTTAACTTCAACTCAGACTATACAGGTTTACCATATTAATCTCTTTAGGGTGCGCAAAATGTCATTTCCTCTTTCAAAAACCTTTTGTTTCTCTTTATTGTGTTAGATACAATTATCAGATTCCTATCTACGGTCTTAGTCTGTTTAGGCTGCTATAACAAAATGCCATAGACTGGGTGGCTTATGAATAATAAAAATTTATTTCTCACAGTTCTGGAGACTGGGAAGTCCATAATCAAGGTGCTAATATATTCAGTGTTTGGTGAAGGCCCACTACCTTGTTTATAGACTGCCTTCTTCTCACTGTAACCTGACATAGTAGAAGAGGTGAGGGAGTTCTTCGGGACGTTTTTGTAAATAAGGGCCTTGTATTGTTCTCTTCTCATGCTGCTGTGAAGAAATATCCAAGATTGGGTAATTTATAAGGAAAGGAGGTTTAATTGATTCACACTTCCACATGGCTTGGAGGCCTCAGCAAACTTATAATCATGGCAGAAGAAGAAACATGTCCTTCTACACAAGGCAGCAGGAGAGAGAAGTGTCGAGCGAAGGGGGAAAAGCCACTTCTAAAACCATCAGATCTCTTGAGAACTCACTATCACGAGAACAGCAGCGTGGGGGTAACCACCCCCATGATTCAATTACCTCCAACCAGGTCTCTCCCAAGACATGTAGGGATTATGGGAGCTACAATTCAAGATGAGATTTGGGTGGGGACACAGCCAAACCATATCAGGCAAGAATTCTATTCATGAGAGCTCCACCACCATTACTTAATCACCTCCCTAGGTCCCCACCTGGTGATACCATCACATTGGACATTAGGATTTCAACATATGAATTTTGGGGTAACATGAACATTCAGTCCATTGTATCAAGATCTTCTATCTTCCAGTCTCACCATAGCTTTTAGAATTTTCTCACTAACTTTTTTCTATTATGTAACCTACTCTACACTTCAGCTTAGGTTTCTGTAAACATTTTGTGTTTGTGTACCTTAGCTCATACATTCCCCTCATGAGGGCATATGTTCAAATCTTTCAAAGCTCTATTTAAATTCTAGCTCTCTGGGAAAACCCCCTTTCTCTAAATTTAAGCAAATTCTCTATCTGTCAATTTCTACAGCTCCTTATAATGTAGTATTCTAAGGCATGTATTAATTTCCATATTGTGTTATTAGTAGTTAAAAGTGTGTCTTGTTTTCTCTGCTGAATGGGAATCTACTATTGTACATATTAATGTCTAACTTATCTCTTCATTTAATACTTTCTATGGCTCCAAGGCAATAGACAAAAACAAGGAAAAGAACAGAGGCCTCTGAGATAGAAAGAGATAGCAGAGCTACGACACTGCACATTCATTCCTAGATACATAGGCAAAGAGGCAGCTGATGATGTTCAGATTCACTGGAGGGAAACAAAGCCTTCTTAACATTAAAATGATAAATTTGGGAACTTTTCTGTAGAGTGATAAATTGTTTTTTGCCAACAAGTGAGAAAATCCTGGGACGTACTGAATAGGATCCACTGATTATACTTAAAATTAAGATCTATATTTTTAAATAAATATATACTACAGACCAAAAAATAAACTAATTTTAACCATATCCATCTTTTTTATTTTTTTAGAAAATAATTGTTTAGCGACCCATCTGAAGGATGAGATCGGTGCAAAAGGGGCACATTGGACATAAATGTCAGTATGCTGGTACAAAGCACCTGTAGTTTGCTGTATGCGAATTATATTAAACTAACCATAAAGCAAAATGCACATGCTTCTCAACGCACATTTAGGATTAGTCATTCTCTGCAAATCCATTTGTTTTATCCATAAAAGCCCAAGTAAAGAACTCCCAGGTATTTTTTATTGGAAAGAATCAGTTATTTGTATTAAAGTCAAGATTTTAGTTTGCAAAAAAGCAAAAATCAAATGAGCAATACTTCTAATGGAATGTTGCTAAAATAAGATATATTTCTCCCTGTGTGCTATTTATCTCATATATATATATATATATATATATAGATATATCTAGCTGCTAATACTCCAAATTGTGAACATACACGTGAGTATATATATGTAAAATCAATGATTAATTTTAATTTTAAATATTTCATCTTTAATATACAATGCATTTATTTTAGATCAAAAAGTATTTTACTCATTTTTAAAATACACACGTATGTCAATTTTAAGAATAGTATGCATTTTACAAAATGCAAAGCTACAACATTTAACAAAGTATAGGGCATATATAGTAATTTAAGGAAGAAAGTTTGAAACAAATATGATTCAACAGGAACTTAGAAATGGAAACTAAAATAGCTAATTTTAATACATAAGAAAAGTTGACAATTTTATGGTTCTTAAAAATATACTACCACCAGAAAACTTCTATACACCAAGAGCTAATTTAATTTCTTGTGCAAGGTTTGCATTTCCAAATCTCACATATCCCCTATTTTCATAGTCTATTGCCTTATCCATGAATTACGACAAAATGACAAAATAAAAAAGGGAAGCTGCTCTATCATAAATTGGCAATTGTCACTCTAAAAAGCTCACAATCTCAGGCTTGGTATGTTCTTATGCTTTACCAATAAAAACCTAACTAAAATTTATATGGTTTATTTTCTTGCTCTTTTTAAGTGGCAGTTATTCTTCTGCCTCATATGGTTTGCTTTATCTGATTGACAAAGAAGTTAGCTACTCCAATGGCCTAAGGCAAGATCTAATTTCCAGGAAGTTTTAATAAATCAGAGCCTCTAGGCATTAAGAAGAGTCTGACGCAGACATTCTGTCTAATATGATTGTGCTAATAACCTTTCCCAAGCACATTTTTTAAACCTTCTCGTATGTATATATCACCATTCTAAAATTCTTATTATACTTCATCTTTTCTTTACTTAATACTAAAGCTCTACTTCCTCTGAAAAGCTTTTTATCATATACCTGCATTCTCTAAGGTTTCAGAAAATTCCAGAATCACACTGCCACCTCTCAACACACATTCCCATTGGTTTTA
The DNA here is from genome assembly GCF_000001405.40 of Homo sapiens. Taxonomy (NCBI): domain Eukaryota; kingdom Metazoa; phylum Chordata; class Mammalia; order Primates; family Hominidae; genus Homo; species Homo sapiens. The sequence goes on along the minus strand of NC_000004.12, from coordinate 166,182,043 downwards.
GCTGATTCTGAAAGCACATTCACTTTTAAACATGGGATATTTCAACATCACGTTTCTTCAACATCAATGCCATGGATATATGTTAATAGATGCATTTCTTTATAATTAGATCTTATTTTTAACACAATCATTATGTGTATATGATATATTGAGTAGATACATGTAGGACTGATTGGAAATACATACATATATATACACACATATGTATATATATATAATTTTGTCTATTCCAAGCATTTCCTAGAGGAAAGACAGTATAAGATACATCCTCAGAAACATTATCTTGAAATTGCTTCATCATAAGCTGTGACATAGTTAAATCTCTTCTTCAAACTATATTCTGGTAATTTCTGCTGTCTTCATCTTTCTACTTTAAATACAGCTGAGAAAGCCAATTGGGTGGGAGTTGACTCATGTAAACACCATCTGGTTCCTTAGTTAGAAGTTTGATAATGCAGCACTTTCCCAGACCCATATCATTTTTACCAACCCTACTGGCTTCAAAATTCCCTGGGAGACAAGGAGGGTGCCTTTCAGAGTACTACCCTAAATTATGAGATCAAACTGCCTTCTATTTTGAATTTTTTTTTTGAAATAAAAATAAATTGTCAAACAGTGTAAAGTTCCACAAACAGAAGGATCTCATTCTTTAGAAATATGTCACCACATGGTATCTTTGATTCTAAGCAGCAGCATCTCAGGCAAGCAGTTTCCAACTGTCCTTAGAAATGGGTTTCCTCCGCTCATAAGATTCTTATTTCATGGATATTACAACCTGCTGTGTTGTTGCAAACTATGTAACCCGAGGGGAAATAGTAAGCTTGAACATGTGGGGATAAACTTTCCTTGGTTTATCTTTACCGAAGTTTTGCAAATTATCATTATTATGCTTTTAAGGTAACTACAAAGGATGAATTACAAGGTAACAACCTAGTAGACCAAAAAGAAAAGGAAAAGAAATCTTACGATCTTTGGCTCTTGTTTGTGCACTCCATGAGATAAGAAATAGACAGTCCAACTGCCTGAAATAAAGTATTTTTCAGATGCTGTAACCTGCAGCTAAGTGGCAGTAGGAATAGGGGAAAAATGAATTTAATTCACTGAAGCTAGTTATTGTTCAAAATAATTGCCAGTGTAGAATAATACCTTTTGGAGGTTCATGTGTGTGTGGAGGGGGAGATAGCTGCTAGTTTCTCACTAGGAATACAATTTCCTATCTTGTCCATTTCAATGACAGAGGCAACATAGCTTGCTACATAGATCCAGATCAGGAAAGCAACACAGAAAAGGAAGTAATTGGAAAACAAAGAAACAACCAAATGCTGTGAAGAGAAATCTAAGCTAAAATCATATCGTAATATTTTGTGGGGTGTCTTTTATTTCCTTTAAACACAGGGATGTTTTTTTCCATCCCTGTCTCTATATTCCAAAAATTCTGAGAGTTTCATTTTGCACCTGATCAAAAAAAAAAAACAACAGCCACAGCCACACACAAATATAATAACTTCCCACATCCCATAGTAATGATTTCCACAGCCACAATATGCTGTTTTTATTCATTTTAATAACATTTTCTCATTGAACATGTTTAACCAGTCTCAATAGTATCCTAACCTGAACCTCCTTCCTTCTACCAAAACATACCTGCCACATTCTTCACCCACACTCCTAGGCAGAGCACAAAGCTAGTTAACTCCCTGGTGTTTTTATTTTTAATTTTTTTTTTTTTTTTTTGCGGGGCAGCGGGGGAGATGGAATCTCTCTCTGTTACCCAGACTAGAATGCAGTGGCATGATCGCGGCTCACTGCAACCACCGCCTCACAGGTTCAAGCGATTCTCTGTCTCAACCTACTAAGTACATGCCAGTACAGGCACGCACCACCATGCCTGGCTAATTGTCTTCTTTTCCTTTTTTTTTCTTTCTTTTTCTTTTTCTTTTTTTTTTTTTTTTTTTTTTTTGGTAAAAATGGGATTTCACCATCTTGGCCAAGCTGGTTTGGAACTCCTGACCTCAAGTGATCTGCCTGCCTCTGCCTCCCAAAGTGCTGGGATTATAAGCGTGAGCCACTGCACGGGCCCCTAGTACCTCTCTCCATCAGCTTAGCTACCACAGTTAGTGACCACAGCTTAGCTACCACAGTTAGCCTAAGAAGGCCACCCTGTGAACAAACTACAACCAGTTTTGATGGCTATTCTCACCAGTTAATTTGAGAATGACTTATAATAATAAATGCATAGCAATTGAAGTTATTAAAAAGACCAAAATCCTTGCATTGTTTGTGGTCATTTACAGACATGTCAGCAGCAATAGAAACTGTTAAGTCAGGCAATCAGCAGAGACAGTCAGGAGAAAATGACCACTCTAACATAGCTCTCAAGGTCATTCAGTGGTAAGTAGCTAAAATTTAAAGCAACAGGTTTAAATTCATCCCTGTGGATTAGTAGAGACTGGGTAATAGATGTCACTGGGTATTTTTTCAGTAATTTTCTCTGCTTGCTATTCTTACATGGGTTATTTGTCCAAATAATGGATATTGATTTAGTTTTGATCTGAAGGTCCAGAGAACATTTTATAAGTGCATGTAGACTTCAAATAATAAAGTTTATTTAATGTCATGTTTTTATAATTATAGATTTTATTGTATTTGTTGATCATAACATACTATAATTTGAGAATCAGTTATAAATTGTCTGTAGAAATTCTTATATATTGGACTATTTATTTTTTGAAATATATAAAGCATATGTTATATCTTTGCTAAATCAATAACAATCTTCTCAGACACAACTCCATATCAAATTGTACTTTTATTCCTCTATAAAATAACTAAATTATTAATTAACTAAACTTGTAACTAAACTAATAATGATAGTAGCTAATGCATATGAGTGCTTGTCACGTGGCAGATACTCTTTTAAGTGTTTTTTGCATGCGTAACTTATTTATTACTTACAGATCTATGAGATGGGTACTACTATGGTCTCCATTCTTCCGAAGAAAACAATTCAGGCACTGAAAAATAAAGTAACGAACCCAAGGTCACCTCAATGGTAAGGAATAAAGCCACTATTCAAACCCTGGAAAGTCTGGGTTTAGGGTCCACATTTTACCACTTCCTTAAAATGTATATTTACCATACTGCTTTTCCAAATTAACTTCCTCAATCCAAAAGAAGGCGAAACACAAGTATAAAAGTCTGCCACACTTAACACCATTTCTGCATCAGTCAGGGTCGTATTTCTAGGTGATGAGAAGTGCATGCACCCAAACATACTGTCCACTAAAGCCTGAAATTGTGTTAGATGCATCCAAACATCTTTACCCTGCTGATTTCTCTTCATTTGTATTAATTGAAGGCTACTCAATCTAACGTGCCCTTTTAAAATGGGAACATTTTCAAATGGGTAATCTGTCGGTGTCTGGGACTTCAGCCAAAAATACTTAAAGACTAGGAGGTAGTCAATAGCTCCTGGTTAGTATCCTGGGGTGATGTTTTCACTCATATGTCTGCCGATTAATACTACTGTTGTCTGGGAACTTAGACAAGGCTTGTTGATTATTAGCACTGGGTATGTGGGGATGCCGTCTATACAGTTGCACAGGGCCCTAAGTACAGAAGGACCTCATGCTTGGTTTAGTGCTCTGCTGTTGCCATCTTAAAATTCTAAACACTTTTGTCTTTAAGTTTGTGTTTTCTAGTACTGGTGGGTCCACAGAGCATGCATGTGAGCTAAACGGATATGTGCAAGACACATGTCCACCATTCCTTTCTCCCCATTCACATATAATGTTTGTGATACCTCCTGAGCACAGAATTTCAGTGGACCAGGATATGTGGCTGTTTGGTGACACTTGAAGCCCATAAAGGAAAAGCATTTACATCTACTATTGAGTAAGGGAGGTGGAGAGGTGGCTGACAGCTCCAAGAGGACGTATTTTTCTTTAAACCATAATTTGCTTCCAAAACAATAGGAAGGCAATGACATTCTGAGAACTATGTTTAAGCAAGAAACTTTATCATGTCCATTCTTACTCATATTATATCTATTAGCCAATCATTAACACTAAAAATGATGATATGGGAAAAAGGGAAAGATGGAGAAACTCATAGCACCTTTTCCTTTCAGTCTCTCCTTGCTCATAAGCAAGCTGGAGTTGGAGAGTGTTCATAGAACATGTGTGTATGAAGAAGTAAAAACTGAGAGGCTGGGAGTAGTGGGCTTATGCCTGTAATCCCAGCTCTGTGGGAGGCCAAGGCAGGTGGAACACTTGATCCCAGAAGTTGGAGAGCAGCCTAGGAAACATAGCGAAACCTGTCTCTACAAAAAAAATAAAAATGAAAATAAAATTATCTGGGTATGATGTGCCACACCTGCAGTCCTAGCAACTTGAGATGCTGAGGTGGGAGTATTGCTTGAGCCCAGGAGCTCCAGGCTGCAATGAGCCATGACTGTATCACTCCACTCCAGCCAGGGCCACAGAGCAAGGACCCTGTCTAAAAGGAATAGAAATAAATGAAATAAAATAAATTTTTAAAAGAAACTACTGAATCTTGTGTCATGCTTCTATTCTTCTGGCAGGAATAAAATATTTATGCATGTATGAGCTATGAAATATGAATTATGTAATTTTGGTGATTCTTTACATGAGTTAAATGTTCTTATATTTGCATTTATAACTGGAACTTCACAATATAAAGATGATCAGTAAAAGTCATCGAAATAACTTTACATTTTAATTTTCCCTACTTAAAACGTGAAATAACATACAAAAACACAAGAAACTGAAGGAGAGTTTGCAGAAGAAAAATCTTTATAGTTCGGTACTTTAATCAAATTTTTTTCTGCTGTATGAACAAGGAGTCCCATGTTTTCATTTTTGTACTGGGTCATGCAAATTGTGTAGCTGCCTCTCACACCTGCACCTGATCTCTCCATTACATTGAATTTTAGGAAATATTTCTTAGTATGTTGTACACTCAAGTGATTTGTTTCTTTCTTTTGATAATATAATGAATTACGTTACAGAGTGGTATAGTGCAGTGAGTGAAAGCATTGCTTCCCCTTCCTTAGTAGCTCTTTTCATTTTCTCCAGGCTGAGAAATTTTCTTCTAGTCTGTTCTGGGAGGCGAATGGTCAATGGGAGCTGGCAGCAGATGAAGAAGAAATAACCTACCAGTTTCATGTGCTCTGCCCTCAAACATTTAGTTAATTTTAAGACCCCCACCAACTGGCCTCTGTATGACTTTGATTTTTATGAACCAAAAGCAGAAATCTTTTTTTCACCCTGTTTTCAGATAATCACATTCTTGCACTGATGTGAGATTACAGAAAGATTCCAATGCTTGCCTGGAAGAAGAAGCAACGGGCAACAGAAAGTAAGCAACAAATGTAAATGAATACCCCAAAAATACCATCTTGCCACACCATAATAAAATCATGTGCCATGTTTTAAGTTAATTGAATCTTTTTAAACCACAAATGTCTCCATTCTCTAAGGCAAGCTACTATATAAGCATACAAGGCTTTTGAAAGTTGCTGTCCTTTCTTTAGGGGTTTGTGTTTTGCCTTTGCCACAAATCATAACTACACGATGATTTCAATAAATATTTAAGACTACTCTTCCTACGCAGGTTTTCTTTTCTACTGCCATTTTATTATCATTGTTAGCATACAGGTTGTTAATGAATTGCCATTATTTGATAGTATCTTAAAAATTCCTCTAAAATCTTTAAAATTCAGTGCCTTTTGTATGTGTAATATACTACAAAGTGAAATTTTTCTTGTCACCCCCAAATGGGCACATGGGGCTCAAATCAGAAGGAAGAACATTTCTAAAGAAAGTCTCCAGCAATTATGACCAGACAATGCCTGCAGGACTTAAAGACAGATGGCCAGTGTAGCTCAGTAATAATCATCCCAGCAGATCCCAGCAGCACATCCCAAGTCTGTCTGATACACAATTCTTTCATGTTTTAAAATGTCTGAAATCAAGTGCTCTTATGTTCAATACCATTGTAGAGTTACTTAGGCCTGGCAGAAGTTCAGATATAGTTACCACCACAGTTCATATGATACAAGGAGTACAAAAGAGCCAGCAGCACAACTGCAAAATGTGTACTAGTGATGTGGAAGAAGACCCTGGAGACAATAGGGGAACACTGTTAACACTGTTTGTACAGGGCAGGTACGTACAGAAGTCAATCATAGAGACAGTTGCAAGGGAGAATCCATAGTTCCCCAGATATGTATAATCACAAAGCCTACCTAAGAGTATAGGACACTGGCTATTGGGTTGTTTATGGATTCTATTAAAAAATACCTCATCCCTACAACTCCTGATGACACAAAGTACAATAATAAATGAACAACATGGAAGTTGATGACTATAATCCTGCTATGAGACAGTTCTAGAAATACATTAACCAATGTATGGCACACATTCTTGTCCCATTGTGGCACGGTTCAGTTGGCAGTATTGATGTTTACTTAATTAGTGACAACATAAGATAATGCTGCATCCTACGATTGATAGTATTTTTTAAAAAAAGAAAAAAAAGGAAGGGGAAAGGAAAACAAAAACCTTAAAGTTTCTATTAAAATTAATATCCATGGAGAAGAAGCTTGCACCCAAGTCCTGTAAAGTCAAGTGAAGGGAACTTAAGAACAAATCTCATAAAAGTTAGGAGTGACTCAACAGGAAATGAACATCTCTCAGGAAAGGCTGAATGCCTGCTTGTACAATGCATTTGTTAGTCTTCTCGGAATCTGTGTAAATAACGAACAGGAGAAATGAGAGGAGACAGCAGGACAGCTATAGACAAGGCTGCATGTTCCCCATTTGTGTTTGCAAGGGTTTGTTTGTTTCACAGAAGGAATGCTTCAGCTTAGAAAGTAGCCAGGTTTGCTCCCTTTTGCTCTTGCCCCACACAAGAACTTGACTCCCCACGTAAGGTAATCAAACTTCAAAAGGTGAAAGTTTGTACCATTGATAAAGAGCTGAAGTAAATGGGTAGAAAAAACTTCATCAGAATTGGCTTTCCCAAGTCAGGAACTTGGGCACTGGGGCAGACCCAAAGGCTCTGCATAAAAGGGCCATCACCCAGATGCCTGCCTCACAGAAGACATTCATACTCAGACAGTGTCAGCCAGTGAAGCAGCAGAAACATGGAGTGTAATCACATGCACCATTATGCAAGAAGGCTTTTGCCCATCCACCCTAATGCCTGCCTGTCTCCACAGTGGCTAGAATTCAATCAAAAAAAGGGAGATGGTGTTTTGTAAAGCAGACGCTTCTTCATGCAGGTCCTTTTAGTAAAGAGTTAAGCCATTGCTTGAGGATAGAAGAAGAGACAAAATTGGAGTTTTCAACTGGATTGAACTTAAGATAACTGGAAATGAAAGGAAGGCTATGAGGTCTGCCTGGAATGCTGTTAAGGGGCTTTAAATGAGAGATTTGACAGAGCGTGGTAGAAGGATGTGATTGGAAAAGATAAAAGTTCAGACTGCTCCATTATCCAGTTACATTTATGTGACAAGCATTTTAAAACGTAATACATCTTCCTCGTATTCACCTGCCTGAACACACCATACAAAAACAAACATGGAGAGATTCACAAAGTCTATACTGTCATCCAGTTGAACTGTATAGAGATTTTACATAATCTCAGCCTCCAAAGTAATTCATCAAGCACTTTGGATATAATGCTAGAATTTTTTTCTGGGCTTCATTTTTAGACAATGCTACTAACTGTGTTTTTTGTAACAGCCCACTAGTCTACGATTTTAATTGTAATGTCAATAGCACAACTCTTAATAATCTTTTTGCCAATAGTTTGTGCTCCTCTGTTAGCTTACTTCAAATGATGCTAAAATGCATTTTCATTGTCAGATTTAATTTTGTTTACATAAAGTTTTATCAATATCATATTACGCAGTTCAATTTATGCTGAAAGAAGTTGAAAATTATATGTGTTTATTCAACCTGATTTGTTTTAATTTGCTGTAGTAAATCATCAAGCTCTTGACGATTTTTGGTACCTGGCTACATATCAATCATTAGGCTCACCTTAATTTTACAAAATAATTCTAACCAGTCTTGACCTAATTATCATAAACTAATTTTCATGTCTGTTTGCCTTCCATTAGCTAAAAGTATAAAACTAAATACAATCAAACATTCTGTTTTTCCTTAGAATGAGTACTTTGTTAGCAAAATATGTAGATAAAATCCTTGGAACATGCATGCCAAAGATTGTATGCCTCAGAAAAGGAAAAGAGAATAAGAGAAGTAGAATCAGAAAAGTGTAAAATACTTCTGCAGAATGTTTTTAAAACTTTCTTCACTGGATTTTTAAATATTGGAAATAAATTAATGGGTCAATCAGTTTGTCTATGTAACCATTTTAATAGAATTTACTTCCTGAGTCTTGCCCCTTCTACAACTCTTCAGTAGTGTTACCTAAAGGATGATATGATTGCTAATAATTGTCATAATATTGTCTTGCCTTTGAGCAACTTTTGTGCATTCTTGACATCTGATTCTCAATTAATAAGCAGCTGAAACTGTGATTAACACTATTGAAGATTCAGTAGCTGCCTGAATTTTATGGCTTTTATTCTTGTTGCCTTTTATCAACCTCATTCATTGGCAAGTTTTAAAAATTTCTGCTTTTAAATTGAAGGGGAAATTATTATATATTACATAAAAGATTTTTTAACCTAAGTTGTATAGGGCACATTAAGACCTAAGAGTTAAAAACAAGCTTTGAATATAGGGGGAAAAGATTAACACTATCCCAATAGACTCTAAGGTGGGTCTCACACCTGCTCCTTACTGCACAACTGGCTTGACACAGGCACAAGAGTGTGACCCAAAGAGATGGGTCATAGCCTTTCCCAGTAGTTAATTAAATCATGGGTATCTATAAAATGTACATGAGTGTGTATTGACTGACATGATTTTTTAAGACAAAAGTAGAATATTTATAAGAATTCAAAAGTATGAACAAAACTGGCACGAGAGAATTTAAGCTGTGCAAGAAACCAGATGATTCAATGTGAACTATTATTTGTAAATGAAGTATAAAAATTTGTAGAATTAAAAATTTCATACCTAGCAGTATGGCAGCTTAATAGTCTAAAGAGCTCTCACTCTACAACAAAACAGATACCCTCTTAGGTGTGTTGTTATTGCATTCTTGGGCTCAGGCTTTTAGGGAGTGAAAGTGAAAGGAAACATGAATTGGAACTTGACCTGAACTTGAGCTGTAAACCTAAAGGGGAAATAAATTTTCCCTGAGGAAGGAAGGCCAGTCTTTGGGCAAGAAGCAATATGAAGGAACATATTCTTAGCCCAAAAAAGACCGAAATCACGCCAGGTTGGTAGCTTCCCCTTACAAGCAAAAGCACATGCAAATTCTATGTAGAAAAGCATTATAAATTTAGGTCCTCAGGTTTTCCACTAAAAGCCATCAAATATAAAAGTTCCAACTCCAGCAGTAGTGATTATTGCATCACAAAAAATGAACTTTCTTACATATAATAATTATGAACTCTGAACAAAACACCAAACAATTTTCTGAAGCAATTGTCGAGGAACAAAAATGCAGAAACTGGAAGGGAGTCAACACTAGAAGAAAGGTCCAGCACTTTCTTCCTTTTAAGGCTCTTTGATTCTGATCAGGCTCTAGCCTTACTGGCTTGAAGAGTCCGAGGACAGAAGTCAGTGCTACCATAATAGCTGGAAGTAGAGAAGAAATGTGAGAAATGACAGAGATCCAGAGAGGAAGGCCAACTGTGCAAATACAATCTAGCCACATTTCTGAGTGACCCCTGAATTATAAATGTACAAAGTAGGCTTCAAGCAGCCCAGTGAAGCCCAAAATAGATGAACAGATATTTCAGCAGTTCTGACTGCAGGGAAGACAAAGCATGGATTTTTAGTTCAGCCAAGTTAACCAATTGCTGTAAAAAAAAAAAAAAAAAAAAAAACACTCTTAAGAAGAACATAACAGAATCCACAGTCAGAACAGATAACATTGAAATGTTCAGAATATAGTTCACAATTACTGTTTACAATATGAAATCAGAAAATGACACCCATTCTCAAGGGACAAATAAATTAATAGAGATCAAATCTAAGAAAACTCAGTTGCTAAAATTAGTAGACAAGGACTTTAAGTCAGCTATTATATCCATGCTTTAAGGACATAAAATAAAATATGTTCATAATGAATAAACATATAGTAAATATTAGCAGAAAAAACAATAACTGTATCTAAAAATGGAAATTCAAGAGCTAGAAATACTAATATTTCAAATAAAAGTTATATTCAACAGGATTAAGAGCAAATTAGATACAAGAGGAAGAAGGGCTAGTGAATTTAAAGATAGGTCAATAAAAATTATACAATCAAAAGAGACGATACAAGGTTAAAAAATAAAATAATTGGCAGATAATTCACTATTGGACAAGACTAGCTCTTTCAACACAAAGCGAGAATTGGATGAACCCACCTAGACTAGTGAGCAAATAAAGGAGCCGGGTAGTATTCACATCTCCTCCAGGTATCTCTGAACCCTGTGACTGCTTCATTTTATTTAAAATATTATTACTTAACACATAAGTTTATTACTTAACAGATTATGAGCGAATATAAAAGATGTATTCCAAAGTCAAACAGAAATGTCAGTATTATCTGTATTGCTTTTAAAATTATATCACGTATGAATTTCAAAACTTATTTGACAAATAATAATATGTCACATGGGAAAGAGCAGTGATGTGGGGCTTCCAAAGTTCTCATCTTAGTGATCTACATGTGTTACCTTTGAAGAGGTCACTCTTCTCCAAACGTAAGATTGAATTAATCTTTCAATATAGTATGTACAACCTTTCCCTAAAGCCTAGTGTTTTTCAGTAATTTATGATCCTATTAGGAATATTTAGTCCTGGTATTTACAATGACTGAGACATACACTTGGTTCAATTTTCTACATATTTCTTTCATTTTAAATAATGTAATACATAGCTCTCTACAATTAATGTTTTTTTCTCCTATCTCTGCAGAATTGAAAGAGTATAGAGGATTTGTAAAATCCGCTGACTGGGGTTTGCCTCCTGTCCTTGAATGCTCATGCCATTGTAAGAAAAATAATAAATTAAACAAATTACAATCTAGTTCAAATGGAGGAAGCATTCTTAAATTTGACAATCCTTTGAAGAACTTATTTATAGAGAAAATTTAAATAATAAAAAGAAACATTCAAAGTCTTTCTAAGCAATATATCTGAAATATATACACTAAAGCATAAAGTTTTGTTGATTTAATAAAATATGGTAACTACTACTTGACAATCCTTGTTTGATGTGATTTACAAAAATTAGCTCATACAATTTTCAGTTTTACATGAGGTAACTGAGGTCCAGAGTGGTTTAGTAATCTGCCCGAGATGACACAGCTAGCAAGGGCTAGAACCAAGGTTTGAACTTAATATAGTTTCAGAGTTTGAGTTAATTCCCAGACTAACAGGATACTTTCAGTACTGATGTGTGAAAATATGACACCTGAGGACAATCACAAAATTGTTATTCATATATTTCCTCCAAAAAAACCAAAGTCACCATGTATTCTTCTAGATTTCCTGAATAGGAATCTGAATCATATATATGCTACTTTCATCTACATTGCTCTGGTTTTAGACAGATGTCTGCTGAGATCTCTGGAAAAACACAAAATTTTTTCAATTTCTCTTTCTCTAAGAAACTTGTCAACATACTTTTCTGTTTGACCTAGTTGTAAAATTCACAGCTTTTACCAGGAATTTTATCCTGGATAGATCCTTGGAGGAAAACACATAGATTGTTATAAACTTAACACAGAACAAAGATCTGTTGTAAGGAAACACATAGATTATTATAAACTTAACACGGAACAAAGATTAGTTGTGATTAAAAAGAAGATATTACCAGAATATTCACAGAAACATTTTTTTTTATGTATCACATTGTCCCTTCCAGTAATTGAGTTTTGTGGCAATCCTGAAGATAATGAATTCAATAAGGGAATTTGAGGAAAATCAACTAGAACAGTATAGTTTATATCTGGGGGTGGGGGATGCTTACACATTTATGTGCTATTTTTATTATGTCTTGATACTAGATTTGTTTTTCATAACATGCTTTACTTCTTATCCTTTGTAAATTATATGGGCAGATAGATTTTTTTTTCTCTTATCTTTCACCTTGCCTGTTACCTGGGAAATGAGGGAATAAAAAAATACAGCACTAAAAGGAAATTAAGGTGAAAAAACAAAATAGTGGACCAGGTGCGGTGGCTTATGCCTGTAATCCCAGCACATTGGGAGGCCAAGGCAGGCGGATCACCTGAGGTCAGGAGTTTGAGACCAGCCTCACCACCATGGTGAAACCCCGTCTCTACTAAAAATAGAAAACATTAGCCGAGCATGGTGGTTCATGCCTGTATTCCCAGCTACTCGGAGGCTGAGGTAGGAGAATCGCTTGAACCCTGGAGGCAGAGGATGCAGTGACCTGAGATCACGCCATTGCACTCCAGCCTGGGCAATAAGAGTGAAAATCCATCTCAAAAAAAAAAAAAAAAAAGTTGAAAAAAATAATCCCACACTTCCCTGTCTCTTTCATTTTGCAACTAAGTCTCTCCAGCTTCCAATAGTGTACACGAGGCTGAACACTCACCAGAGTGAACTACAGCGCCCCAAGGAGGAGGAACATGAAAGTGAAACAGGGTATGAGGATAGAAACAGCAATACATTTTCATCCTATACATTCTGAATGAATTTTATTTGGATTATTATGAGTCTACAGAAGAGTCTTGGAATTAATTTATAGATGCAGATTCATTCAATAAAAAGATATGTGGGAAAAATATGAGAAATTGGTAATTTACAGTAGCAACTAATTAAAATAATTTTATTTGTCTTTGGACTGTATTTTTATATTTATATTTGCACCTACATGCTGATAGGTTGTAAATTCACGTTTTAAACAAAATGAAGTCAGCAACCTTCAAAGAACCAGTAGAAGGAGGCATAAAGAACAGTCATCTTTTTCTACCTCAAAACTTCTGGTTTACCTCAAACTCATTCTTTTCCCTTTGCCTGTTGAACAGGGATGTCTCTTTCAAAAGAACAAGGTTGCAAAACTTTGGAATGACAATTGGTATTTTCTGTACCATCTCTCTCCGGCCTCAATCAGCCCCTTTTACACCATAATCTCATATCACTGAAGAAAATTAAGTGGAGACATAAAATCTAGCGCTAGAAAAGATCTCAGAGAATAGTTGGACCTGGGTATTCCATTAAAAATACATCCCACGGCCTGACAGGTGACATAAATGGCTGTTGCTGTGTAACTGTGGAAGTAGAGTTCGTGCTCCTTCTGGAGGTCCACTCATTGTCTAGGTGACCACCTGGCTCACTGAATACAAGTTTAATAGTGTTACATATTCAGATGTTAAAATTCAAACCATAAATCTACAGTCGTATACAAGTTATTTCAATTTCAAGTGTTTTAAACAATTTCATTCCAATAACAGCAATGACAACACCATTGTCTAATGAAAGGTCTAGTGGAAACACATATGGAGAAATATCACTGTCCTCAGGATTGCCAACTTGTGAACTCTAGTCTGCATCCTTACAGTTATCTTACAGTTGAGGAAACCGACATCCGAAGAGGCAAAGAGATATTCTAAATCCAAAAAGCAAGTTAGAAGGAGAGCTAAAATATGAATCTCAGTATTACCCGCTGTTTTAGTGTCTGTTTTTTTTATACCTTATGGTATCACCTCTTTCATGCTGCAGCAAAGCAGTAGATATATGACACATAAGTAAAGAACTAGAAAAAAATGTTCATTGCTTACAATCACTTAATAGTTGAGAGAACAGGCTCTAGAGCCAAAATGATTTAATATATATGCCAGTTGCACCAGCTTCTACTAGTTCCTGTGAACGTAAACTCTCTATTACCCAGTTTTCTTCTCTCCAAAGAAGGAAAAATACTGTCCTTCTCTTTGGGTTGCTGTAAAAATTAAATTATTTAATAATATATGTAAAGTGTTTATAAAACCACTTGGCATATATTACTCTTAATAAATGTTTACTGTCATTATCATCTCCATCATCATCATCATCGTAGATTCCATGGCCTCAATCCTGCTATGTTCTCAAACTGACCTTTTGCAATCTCATTTCAGTCTACAACATTTATGTTACCAGGGCCTCCTCAAATACAGCAAGTTTACTTCTACTTCAGTGTTCTTATACTTGCTGATCCTTGCCTTGTAATTCCTTATTCGCTGCCTCACTTAGTTCAGATCTAGGCTCAATTGGTGTCTCAGGCCGGGTGTGGTGGCTAATGCTTGTAATCCTAGCACTTTGGGAGGCCGAGGCGGGTGGATCGCTTGAGACCAGGAGATCGGAACCAGCCTGGACAACATGGTGAAACTCCGTCTCTACTAAAAATACAAAAATTGGCTGGGCGTGATGGTCGGTTCCTGTAATCCCAGCTACTCCGGAGGCTGAGGCAGGAGAATTGCTTGAACCCAGGAGGCAGAACCCGCAGTGAGCCGAGATCGCGCCATTGCACTCCAGCCTGGCAACAAGAGTGAAACTCCCTCTCAAAAAATAATAAGAAGAAATAAATGTCACCCTCACATGTATGTCTTCCAGGACTACTCTTGTGAAACTAATTATACTATGTGATGTCCCAATTATACTATTTGATGTCCCATAATTCTGCATTGTTTTACTTTTCTTTTCTTTGTTTTTTAGACAGAGTCTCACTCTGTCACCCAGGCTGGAGTGCAGTGGCACGATCTCGGCTCATTGCAAGCTCTGGGTTCACACCATTCTCCTGTCTCAGCCTCCCGAGTAGCTGGGACTACAGGCGCGTGCCACCACGCCTGGCTAATTTTTTGTATTTTTAGTAAAGACGGGGTTTCGCCATGTTAGCCAGGATGATCTCGATCTCCTGACCTCGTGATCCACTCGCCTCGGCCTCCCAAAGTGTTGGGATTACAGGCGTGAGCCACCAAGCCCGGCTCTGCATTGTTCTTCTTAATGGAACTTAACATTTGTGAAATTATATAATATATTTACTTGTATCATTTTTTGTCAGTCTCTGCCTGCTACCTTTAAATGTAATTTCCATGAAGATGATAATATAGTTTTTGTTCAGTAGCCCCAAGGTGTAGAACACCATATAGCATAGAGCATAGAGTAGGTATTCAATAACTATTTGCTGAATGAAATAAAGACTGACTGAATGAATGGGTGCCAAATGAAACTTTCTGAAAGAAGCAAGTGGACGGTAAAAACCCTGAGTAACATGTAGCCCCTAAAGAAGATTTTATATGCTAATATAAATATCTGAGTTTGCCAACTGACAATGACCGTGTGGCTTTAGATACAAAGGTGTTTGGAGGATTTTGTCTCAAGATATTCTGTTGTTGATTTTTTTTCCTGGCAAAAACAAAATGCTTAAATATTGCTTTCTAACAACCTTTTTAAAGATGCATAATTCAAATGAGACAATATAAACAAATTATATATAGTTTTGAAAATATTTGATAGTTTGCCTTCTTGAATGCTATTACTTGTATTATATCTTCTGCTATTCATCCATCAAGATCTCAGAGATGTTTGCAATTTAGCTATATCCAAAAGTGATTAGTGGCAGCTGCATTTTATAAAACCATTATTATTAAAAAGGCCTTGACAAATATAATTTTTTTTCTATTATTTTGATTCTACCTTTAATTTTTTCATAAAAATACTGCTCTTTGCAGAAGAGAAATGATAATGTTTCCTTAAAACAACGTGAACCATATCATAGAAAGCCAGAGAGTATATGGTTCCGACTATTTCAGTAAAAGACTCTGAGCTGAACAATTTTCTGTGTGTACAACGTTGCTGAAAGACCGAGCAGGCTATGACATCATTCACTAAGGGCATTGGTTTGGAAGAAAAAGAGCAATACTGACATCTAGCGTTCATGAGTTATAAGACAGGGAGGGTGTTTTACTTTAAAAACATGCATTCTAACGAAGAGCATGTATCACATTGAGGGAATAGGCAGAGACCCCCTTGTAGACAAGTAAAATAATCAGCGCCAATTCATGACACAACCTCTGAATCATCTAACAAAGTGTTTATATTCTTGAAAAACACAAGAGTTTGAAACAACTGTTTACTGCTGACAAAAAAGCAACTAGATGTCCATAGTCAGTTTATGTGGGCTCAGACTTTTGCACCCACCAAGTGAAGACAACTAGTACTGGGACAATAGAAAGAGAAGCTAAGAACATGGTAGAGATTGTGACATAAGCATTCATTTTAAATCCCTGGAGTGGTAGGCATCCGTGAGATGCCAACTGCTGAAGCTACTGAAGTTAAAATAGTACAACATGTGTTCTCATTGTTCGACTCCCACTTATGAGTGAGAACATGTGGCGTTTGGTTTTCTGTTCCTGTGTTAGTTTGCTGAGAATGATGGCTTCCAGATTCATGCAGGTACCTGCAAAGGACATGAACTCATTCTTTTTTATGTCTGCATAGTATTCCATGGTGTACATGTGCCACATTTTCTTATCCAGTCTATCGTCGATGGGCATTTGGGTTGGTTCCATGTCTTTGCTATTGTGAATAGCGCTGCAGTAAACATACAGAACACATGGACGCAGGGAGGGGAACATCACACACTTGGGCCTGTCGGGTGTTGGGGGCAAGGGGAGAGAGAGCATTAGGACAAATACCTAATACCTATAGGGCTAAAAACCTAGATGACAGGTTGATAGGCGCAGCAAACCACCATGGCACATGTATACCTATGTAACAAGCCTGCGTGTTCTGCACATGTATCCCAAACCTAAAGTAAAATAAAAAAAATAGTACAACAGCCCACAAATGCCAACTCTGAGGACTCATCTACTCACTTCAGCTAGCTGCAAACTCTATTCCCTCAAAGGATCAAATAATTCCACTGCCTTAAAAATAATACTTGCTATGGAAAAGACCTTAAGTGGAAATTTACCCTGCCTTCTAGGCATTATTCCACAGCAGCGCTTTCCTGCATACTCCAGAACTCTTCAATAGGCATTTGAATAACTTCGTCTGCTGTCACTATTCAGGAAAGGCATCAGAAAGAAGCTACTGGCCAGGTTATCGTTTAAATGAGGCCATGAGGAAGCATAGTCTGGATATACAGGGATTTCCATTTCACCCATTTTAAATTTTCCTAGAGACATCTACAGAAAATTAGTATGATTCAAGAACAACGTGTCTACATTTATTTTCTCTGGCTCTGGTTTTATTGAGGTATATACCTGCACTGGATATCATTAAGTGTGCCAGAGGGAAACTCGAGAACCAGAACTCTCCTTTCCTGCCCCCAAAACAGTCCTAAATCCCCATGTTTAGCTCTACTACCTTGGAAAGTTATACAGTCAAGTTTCCACCCTAACTGAGGCAGCTAGAAACAAAATGACAAATGAGAACTATGTACTGAAATCAAATACATACATGAAGTTGCTCTGTAGTAGGGAAAGTTGTATATGTTTTCTTAATCATTGTATTTTATTTACTTCTTCATAATGAACACAGGTAATTCTCAGATCTCACAGACGTTTCTCTTTTTTGAGTTTAGATGTGTCTTCCATGGTTACAATCTGATAATTAAACAGAATAACTATTATATTCTGAATCAGATTACATTTGGAAGGTGATCACCAATTGCTCACAAAAGTTCTATTAAAGAATTCCTCCTGTTTGGCGAGGCACAGAGGGCTCTGAATCAAAAGAACCACCTAACGATAGTCCTTGATGTATAGTGTGTCTCTACAAATATTACCTAATACATTTGCTCCATTTTTTAAAAACAAATATCTGGCACAAATATTGTTGTGAACAGATGCTAATAGTCATTATTTCAGAGACCTTCCCTTGTTATTAAAATATAAACAAACACAATGATGATGTGTTTTTAAGGGAAAGGGACACAAAAATAGGAAACTTTCAAGGGAAGTGAGTAAAAATCATAATTATGACCCTGACAATAGAAGAACAAGATGCTGCTGCTCTACCAATGAAGCCTTGGAAGAAGGTATTTATTGTCTTAATCAAAGACGGAGGTCTATCTAACTTATTCTTTCATAGAATAATGTAATGTAGTGAGGGACAGTATATAAGCACCTGGAACAATCAGCTAAAGATATAAGCAGCCTACTAGGCAAGAGACAGCTTGGGCAGGTCATCCTATACAGCACATTATCTTTTTCTTTTCTCTCTCTCTCTCTTTTATTTTTTTTTGACTTTTACAGGTTCTGTGTTGCCCAGGCTGGTCTTAAACTCCTGGCCTCAAGCAATCCTCCCACCTCAGCCTCGCAAAGTGTTGGGATTACAGCCATGAGCCACTGCACCCAGCCCCTAGCCCACATTTTAGGAGCAAGAAGATGTTGAGAAAATTTCAAAGATAGGGAAATCTCTCTCTCTCTCTCTCTCTTTCTCTCTCTCTCTCACACACACATACACACACATACACACACAAACACACTCCAAGTATAGAGTGCATTTGGCATTTGCAACCACCCCTTTGCAAATGTGTGTTAAGTAAGTTTAAAGTGGGGATGTAGGGAAGTAAATTCTTAAAAGTATGCAAATTGCAAAGGGCATAAAATCTTGAGATTAAAAATACCCAAAATGTTAAAATTAAGGTGAAATATGTTTTTAGGACTCAAGAGAAACATAACTTTAAAAACCTGCACTGAATTTACATTTATGTGCAATTCACAAGCAAACTCAGAGATGTTTTTAAAATGGAGCTTAAGGCAAGAAAAAGACATAGATTGAATTGTGTGTTCTTAAGTACAAAGTGCAAGTTTTCTCTGTAAAAATCCACTGAAACGTCTTTGCCTACCTCATTAAAATGAAACTAACCACAAAACACAAAATGAAGTATAATGGCTAAATCCTATATGCCAAAGTTTCTGTTTTGAAATTTGTGCTATCTGAGTACCTGAGAGCTGACAGAATTAAATAAGAAATTAATGAAGAGCTCAGGCTGAGTCTCCTTATTTATGCTGAACAATGTCTGGTACCTTTTCTGACAAAATTAACTACTTAATAGTATTTGATGACAAATACAAAGAAAATGGGCAATTCTATCTCTAAAGTAATAAATTCAGCAATAAACTTTTTTAAAAAAGCTTAAAGCCTTAAGAAATGAAATTTTATGTTCAAATAATAATGGAAATTGCCTATCGTAATTTTTATGCCTGGAAGTAAGAACAGCTCCACATTTCGTTTTCAATTTTAAATCAGACACCTACCTATTTTTATAACCTCCAGGAATACAAGGTTTTGAAAGAATGATAATATGTTAAGTAACAGCACTCTTACTCTGAGAGCAGCTAAAGGAGCAAGATGTAGATTTCCATGAGGATAGATAGCTTGTCAAGCAAATCCAAATGGTGTGTGAAATATTGCCAGTGATGAATGACATTTAGTGACAAGATCAAAGTTCAGTGCAAGTCATCGATGTCTCTGATAGAGGCCATTTAGTTCACTCAACCCAGGTGTTCGTTAAGTAGATAGGACTTGCAGTTTTCAAAGTCTTTGTTTATAGTACATTCAGATAATTATTTGTGCACATTAGTTAGCATTGATTTTACGTATTTTACTTTCATGTAGTAAATCTGATGGAAGAAAAATCTAAAACAGTGATAGTATACTTAGTATATTCTCATGTGTGAATAATAACTAAGCATTTATTGAATTTTTGCTATGGGATATCATTTTTCCACAAGCTTTGTTCACATAATTTAATTTAATTCTCGCAACAAGCCTAGGAGCTAGTTTTATTAACATTATTTTTATTTTCCTGAGGGCACACTGAAGTACTGAAGATTCAAACAAAATGTTCAAGGTTGTGCAACTAACAAGCCCAGAGGTGGGATTTGAGCATAATCCAGGAGAGCCAGAGCTTGTAACACCTTTGTCACATTGTTCCTTACTTGGAAACAATTTTGTGTAAGCCTAGTGTCCAGTCACTTACTATAAATTGTAAATCATATCAGTGAAACAGAAAAAGGGCAGTGTGTCTGTTTTTTATTCTAGATTTCAAAGAGAGTTGAAGTATAAACTTGGAAAAAAAAAAGTAAGGAAATTTCTTTGGCTTTTATATCGAAAAATTACTGTAAGGAAAAGCTAAATTACTTACATATCTAAGTATATTGTATAACTCTTGTTTCACATCCAACACTTCTACTTGCTAGCCATGGAAAAAGACGGGGCTGGATTTTAATACTGGATCTCAGCAGTAATTATATTGATTTAGTTAATTATACTTCAGTTTTTCATTTATAAAATGGGGATAATAAAACCTACCATGAGGTATTGTTACAGATCTATGCTATAAATGAAAAACACGAAGTATGCTGTGCAGCACA
Organism: Homo sapiens; assembly: GCF_000001405.40. Taxonomy (NCBI): domain Eukaryota; kingdom Metazoa; phylum Chordata; class Mammalia; order Primates; family Hominidae; genus Homo; species Homo sapiens. Next base: position 166,161,556 of record NC_000004.12, on the reverse strand, counting down.
TACTACATACCCAACAAATAGTAGTTCTTAATTATGGTGCTGCTGACTTGGTACTCATGGCACTAACAATTTTTTTGAGAACAGTAATATATAATTCTATAATTAGTTCAATCAAAACAGAAATACGCAGTAGAAGAATGAACAGAGTAGACAAAATTAGAAAGTGATAATATTTCAGCCCCTTGAATAAATTAGCATATTCATACAAATGTCATATTTTATACTTATTTGGGTAAAATTAATATAGATGTATATATTTATTAGGTACTTCATCTCACTCTTATTTTGTTCTTTAGTTTTTTTCTTCATTTTACCCTACCATCTTTTATCCCCAAAATTAAATAGAAAAATAGAATCTATATACTTTTAAGACAGTAATATTTGGGGCAATATTTCGACATAATATTTCCTTTGTACATAGACATTTATGTTTTTCAGGATATAATGTATATAATATAGCACTGTAAGTGATTAAGATCCTCAGGCCGTTTTGTTTGATCTTTTATCAAAAAATGAAAAAGAAATCACATGTATAGCAACGTTTTTCATAATCACCAAGAACTAGAAATCATCATTCACCAACAGATGAATGGATAAAAGATGGAAGACTGCTTAGCAATAGAAAGCAATGAACTATTAATAAATGCAACAATATGTAGTCTATCAATCTCAAAGGCATTATGCTGAGTGAAAGAAGCTATGCTCAAAAAGCTACTGTGTGATTTCATTCCTTCTGCAAAAGGCAAAACCATATGGGTGCAAAACAAATCAATGTTTGCCAGATGTTGAACAGAGGAGGAGATCAACTGCAAAGGGACGTGATGAAACTTTTGGGGGGAATGGAACAATATGTTGTTGTGGTTTCCAAGGCTAGCACAAAAATGAAAACATGGAACTCCTTGTTCATACAGCAGAAAAAAATATACGATTAAAGTATTAGGTTGGTGCAAAAGTAATTGCGGTTTTTGTCATTAGGAATAATTAGGGAAAAAATTAGGAAGATGAAATAGATGCATCTTTATAAAGATTCCTAAGTTGTCTCTTTTTTTGGGGATGATCTTAATAATCTTTGATAGCTACCTTATTGTTTGCTATACTAAGTTGTTCCAGTTTCATCTTGTCCATTTCCCGCCTAGGTCTCCAACTCAAATCAGCTATTTCTCCAAGAATTCTTGGTGTCTTTTAACAATAAATAGAATTTAAATTTCACATTTTGCATACCAAGGATCCCATTTACACATCATTTCTAGGTCATTGGAATGGACAGAGTTAGAAAATAACTTAAGAAATCATAGTCTAATTTCCAATTTAAGTCAGCGCTATAACATGCAGAAGTAACAGTAGATATACTATTAACATTTTCTACTACTTAACATTTTCTGTATGGCATTGATAACTTCTTTTTTCACACCAGGGGTCGTTGTTTTTAAGGGCAAAGAAAATGACAGAACTAGAGCATTCCATGTAGACCAATTTGCTTTAAAATGCAATAAATGTAGAACAGCCAGAATAACAATTCTCATGCTAACAAGATTCATTTAGATTAATAAAAATGATTATTTTTGCCCATGCCATCCTTTTTAGCATTTATTCTGTATCCCCATTGTTACATATATTGTTATTATGTCCCATAATCTGTCCCTTTCTCCCTCATTCATTCTTAATTTTGTAAGTAACTACATAGTCAAGCAATGCTAACCACCAGTCGTTTTTTGATGACTCTATTGTCATTATGGTTGTGTGAAGCTCATTTTTTAGTAGATTCCTTTAAAAAATCCCATTAAAATATATTGAGTTACTGCATGTTAAGAGTTACTGCATGTCAATAACACTTTCTTTTTTAGATGAGAGTCAGTTTTGCTGGATATAAAATTGTTTGCTTCCAATTTTTTTCCTTGAGACTCTTAAATATATTACTCCATTTTTTTCTATCATAAAATATTACTGTTGAACAGTCTGATGCTAAATTGCATTTTCCTTATAAATTACATATTCTTTTTACTCAGATACCTTAAGAATCTTTTGGCTTTTTCTTTAAAGTCCAGTAATTTTACTAGATTAAGTGCTGGTATTAGTCTTCCCATTTGCTCTTCTAATATGTTTTGTTAAATCTTTTCCTTTATTTTAGGACGAATTTTGTTTATTATATAATGAACATTTATCGTATTTTGTTGTTCTTATTGTTCTCTTACTTTGGTTTTCTTCCTTAAATATTGACTTTCTCTGTATCTTGAACCTTCTTCAGCTATTTTCAATATTTGCCACTTCTTCTGAAATCCTTTTTAGCATTTTCTTTGAAGTTCTCCTTTTTATCTACTTAAAGACTTTTTTTGCTCTTTTATCTCTTTTATTGAAGTCTTAATTTTTAAAATATTTTTTCTCTTGTTTCTAATTCTTTCGTAGATTTTACCATTTCATTTCAGAGATTTTGCAATTCTGATTTGTGATGTTCTTTCATAATTTATATCATTTTAAATATCTCAGCTTTTCTGAATTGTTTTGAGAGATTGTCTTTTTGAAGGTTGTACTTTGTGTAAGAAGGTGATTCTTCTCTTTAATATTTTTAATATATTAACATTAATTGGATTTTGTTCTTTTTAAAATATTTCCTGTTGTTGATTTTTATGCAAATTTCTCTTTCTGAATTTTAGAGTGAAGTTTAAGGCAGCTTTTCTAACTTCACAAAGCTTCCTCCTCTGTTATATGTAAGTAGTGTTAAAAAACATAAAGTCTTGCCTTCTGAGATTCCCTCACTTTGTAATCTATTCTTACTTTTATCTGGACCTTCTTCTTCGTTTATCCTGCTGCTGTTACACTCTGCTCAGTGAGGAGGCCTCACTCTGAAATAAATGTCTAGTGGTTCACTTTCCCAAGTTCATGGCAGCTAGACTGCTCCAGTGACTTTAGCTCTTACCAAAAAACCTGCATTTACCCACTAGCACAGTTGGCAAATTCCCACCTGGTTTCATCAGCTCTTCTAAAATTTGCACCACTTTTATTTCAGTGAAAATCCATTAGAAATTCGGGGATTCTCCTTTTCTCAGGCCTGTCAGATTCTCTTTGCTTTCTCCAGAGCAGATGATAAAAACATAGGTCGTGTGGTTGATGGTACATTTCCCCTCCCATTAGTAGTTTTGGAATGTCTTGTTTCTAGCTTTATGGTAAATATTCTCCATATGCATTTGTGTTTTCACCTCTAGTCTCTCTGTGTGTTTTAACATAAGGATTCAGAAAGATCAAAAATTATGCTGCCAGTGTCACTGCACTCTTAGCCATTTCTCTCAGATTTGCTTTTAACAGTGTTAATTCGTTTTTATGCACCAAATCCTTTTTGGTCTGTTTAATTTTACTTCATCTGAGTGTTTATGCAGAGGTTAAAGAATGTTTGACAGACTTTGCACTTAGGCAGTTTACTAAGATATTGAATTCTGCATAACTGTGGGAGAGCTCAGATTTTATCTCCGCTAAACATTTTTACTTTTTAAATTTCTGGTTGTGAATTTACTACATTATGTGACTTGTATTAACATTGGAGTGGTCATCATTAAATATGTAAATTCTCCTTGCTTCCCTGTACTCCCTTCCTATGATTTTGAATGCAATTGTTGATATCAGAAAAAGTCAAGCCCCTTTCAGACATTTTTTTTTACTCTTTTATTGGATCATCTTCCAAGTTTCAGCAAGCTTAGTCTTTAAAAGAAAGCATTATGTGGCTTAAACATGACTGACATTTTTCATTTTCATATTTATCTGTCATAGTAAAACTGTCATTGTAAAGCATAAAATATAAAAAGCAAAGAAAGATAAAGAAATAAAGAAGGACAATGCAGGTTGGCATTAAAATGAAAAGATAAAGGAAGAGAAGAAGAACAATTTAAGAATAAGATTTTAAAATTTTGATTTTATTAGTAAGATATGGATGGCAACCTGATAATCGTTAATGCTGTTTTTGCACAAACAGTACTATTCCCTGAAAAAGATACATCCATAAATATTTAATAGTTGCTTATGGTGAAGTATAGCTTATTAGGCCAGCTGATAAATTTAGGACGAAATTTCCTCAAGGGGAAAACTATCCCTAATGTGATATTTCATTTATGCTGACCTAGAAAAGCTCTAAAAACTCAGTGGGGTTTCTAATTTGTGCAGACATCTGTGATGGCTCTCATATGTTTTCTTTATTACTTTTTGATTTTCACATCATGTACTTTTTTTGGCTCTTCTTGTTTTCACTCACTTCCTACTAAATGCATAGTGTGTGGATCCTTAAGAGCATAAGATCTAGAAAAAAGTTTACAATTTAGACAACTACTAAATTTTCTTACGCTTGTACTAACAAGATCTCCAAAGTAAAACTCTAAAGCCTCAGAGATTTAGGGGATTGGAAAGTTTTGAGCGCTATTGGCACCTGCCTTTATTTTTTTTTGAGATGGAGTCTCGCTCTGTTGCCCATGCTGGGGTGCAGTGGTGTGATCTCAGCTCACTGCAACCTCCACCTCCCAGGTTCAAGCGATTCTTCCATCTCAGCCTCCCGAGTAGCTGGCACTGCAGGTGTGCACCACCACACCCGGTTAATTTTTGTATTTTTAGTAGAGACGGGGTTTCACCATATTGGCCAGGCCGGTCTCGAACTCCTGACCTCATGATCTGCCTACCTCGGCCTCCCAAAGTGCTGGGATTACAGGGGTGAGCCACTGCACCTGGCCGGCACCTGCATTTATTACAAGCATCCATTTGCAAATCTTTTACCTCTTCTACTTGTCTGTGATCATTTCCTCTTTTTTCAGTAAGTAGTACCTTTGTGCATTCCCCTAAGATTTACTATGCATCCCAACTGCTTCATTGATTCCTTGCAAAATTCTATGTGTTTTACTTTTTATTATAACTTCTCTTACTGGGAGAAGCATGAATGCATCTGATTTCCAGGAGAGATAAGCAGTGTACAAATTATAAGACAAATTGACAAAAAGCTGAAGACTTCCAAGTGTTAAGTAAAATCCAAATTTGGAAACATGTTTAAGTGAAATTCTCCAGATCTCTACATAATTCAGGGTTATTCAATTATCTTTTTGTTTTATGGTTTACATAGTTGGATTTGTTTGGGTAAATTAGACCCAGGTTTGTTTATAGTTCTAAGTTAATAATGTTTTGCTTTTCTTATTTAAATTTTTCCAGATGTATCAAAATAAATGCACAGTATTTTGGTAGAGCTAAGATATTCCTGTTTTTCCTATTATCTCATTCAATTAGAAGTGTCAGGCCAGCTAATACTTTAAATGTTCGAGATGCTAGATCATGATTATCCCACATCTACCAACTGCTTGAGAGGTCAAATTGAGAAGGAGATGATAATTAGAAAATACTTCTGAAAATAATATTAGAATAACCTCACCACAAGTTATAAAGCTGTTTGCCACAGACACTGATGGAAGACTTCCATTTCTTCCATAACCACTAGGATTCTTCTGTCTATGTAATGGTGACCCAATTTCCTCACATATCTGACATTTCCACTGAACCCTGTTGACTCTGAGTTGGCTGTCAGCAAAATGTTCAACATCCTCAAGGTACTCTGAATATTCACTTTATTGTACTGCTCTATCAGCAATCAAACTACTCTCTGAAGGCATAACTTACCCTGCAGTACTGTCAAGATTGGACACATCATTTTCCTCTGATAATCCTTTTAACTAGAGACTGAAAGCGGGTAATAGCCAACTTATTGAACAATCACTTTGTATTAGGCTTAACTCACTTAATCCCTAAAATTACCCTATGAGATAGAAAATGTCCTTCTCAATTTACCAATGAGGAAAGTGATATCCTGAGAATTTAAGTAACTTACCCAAGATCACCACGTTTACTGAGTGACATAAGTTAATTTGATTCCAAGCTCATCCTTGAAAAAAATCTCTGTGATTTAATATCTCCCAAAGGCAGTAGGTAACCTCATTAAACTTTACTGCATATTCCAGAACATTTCTTTTCCTTGAAAAAGCATAACCCCTTGAAGTTCAAATTACCAGATAATATCACTGACATTTCCTCTGTGTTAAAGAGGTCAACTACTGACCTCCTTGTTATCCTCCCTCATTTACTGCAGTACTAGATTATAGGATTTCCACAAATAGTCATGTCATCATTCTGGGTGGCTTTTATATCTGTTCAAAAGGTAACTATCGAACTCACTCAACAGCCATTCTGTAGTTTTGTCATTTTTAATTACTGCATGGCTCCCACTCTCTGGTCACGACCTCCCCAATCTTCCTAGCTAACTTACTCTAGTAGTTAGAGCATTTCCCTGATACTATGAGCATCTCTAATCAATTAGCCCAACCTTTCTGATTCCTCACCACCTGAATCTCTAACTTTAGCACTAGCCAGGATCCCTACTACATTTTCCTAGTCAATTCACCCTTTCATTCTTCAGGATGATCATTTCATTGTTACCCTCTCCATTTAAATTTTCAACATCCACTCTTCTTCCTCTTTTCAATTCCATGATTTTGCTTCTTATTTCACTGGGAAAATAAAATCACTCCAAAGAGATTTTCTCATCTTCTCACCACCACATCTATGAACCAGTCAGCACAAATGCATTTATATGCACGTATTCTCACTTCCCACATGTTAAAAAAAATAGATTATACATCCACCCTACTCTAATCTAGAGCCAACTCCTTTGCTTATGCACAGGACCCTTCTCTCTCCTCTTAGCCACTACATTAAGGCCTCTGGCCCCTCCAGTCTGATTCACTGAATATGCTTTTATAAGTTCCACTGATTTCTATTTTACCAGTTCCAATGGTCAACTTTTAGTCCCCATATTTTGATTCTACCTCTTTGTAGCCCTGGGCAGAGTAAACCAATCCCTCTTTGTTAAAGCACTTCACTTCCCAAACACTCCACTCTGCCATTTTCCCCTTTTCTCAAGCCTTCCCAGTCTCCTTTTTTTGGATTTTAATGTAAACAGGCATATTATGAAGAAAGGTGGAAGAATCAGAAAGTATTTCAAAAATCTTATAAATAATACATGCTCACATTTGGTTCACTGCTTAGCAAGACATTTATTTTCAAAAGGCTGAAGCTAGAGATGAGCATTTTTGCTAAAATGCCATATATGCCAAAATGTCATATGTATGAAAATGAGGGAACGTTTCCCCATCGTTAGTGTTTAATTTACACATCACTCATGAACCAATTTATATATAAATGTTCCAAAAGATTTCATTGAACTGTTGTCATACATATAATCAGGTTTCGAAATGTGTGGAGGAAATACAAAATGCCATTACTCTTTATACAACCATAGAAAATTATGTCATTTCATAAACTTAACCTTCCAAGAATTTAAGTTAAAGTCTGTGGGAAATATGCAGTGTCTGTATGTGAGAAAGGCCTAGAAGAAAAGCAAAAGAGATGGAGAGTGCTTATTTTAAGATATTTCCATCTTAGTTGAAAGGTACCTCCCTGTTGAAAAATTCATTTAAAATACTCTGTGTTTCTTTCTGAGATCCATTACTAAAGATTCATTTCAAATACACGGATAAAAACCCATGTTCCTAAGGCCGTGCCATTTCCATTTAAGAAAGTGTTTGCTAGTAAATTGGCATGTAACATTTAAAAATTATATTTGATTTGAACAGTTATGAACACAAAAGACATTCTTCCTTTTCCCCTCATCTTCTTTGAACTTGGCAGATTTCTTCTCATGGGAGCTGGCCTCACACTGAAAAACCCTGGTAGGGTGGAGTAAGGTTATGTCAGCAGCTTTGTTTGCAGCCCACACACTGACACAGTGTGGCTGTGTATTAAATCCAACTTTAATAACTCATTCCCCCAGAGACTCATGAGCCAAACCAACAGAGGAGGAGCACATATTCATGTTGCAAATAGCTTTAGGCAGATTGCTCTTGAGTAAAGCATCAAGGTCAGCTTGTCATTGCTAACTTTGTTTTCTATTTTCCAGGAAAAATTCACTGACATACTAATTTCTTTTTAAATTACCTAAAAGGCTGTCCAACCGTTGAGATCAGAATTGTACCTGCTCAAATTCTCTTGTAAGAGCTGGTACAAGGCCACGGTGTTTTCCATTTTCATTTAGAACTTAAAAATTAGAGGCAACTACTGCATCCAACTGTAAAGACAGATGCATTGTCTACACTGACCTATTTGAACTGATATGACATCTGCCTGGCAACTGCAGCATTCTTTATTTTATGCCATGAATATCCTTTGCTCCATCCTCTCTTCTCCCCTACAAACATCCCCATGCAGGTTCAGCTAATTAGATTAGCACCATTGTTCCAGGAACCTTTAAGCTTTACATCCATCTATAAAATTCTATTAAATCGTTTCTATAAAATAGTTTAATCCATCTAGTGAACAGAGGGTAGGTCATTTTAGATGTGTCTGTGTATCTATGTCTTGTATCTTATACCACCGGATATATCTCTTGACATTGGAAGAAATGAGGTTCCCCTCCAGCATATCTTCTTTAATGTATATTATGCTTGCTTTTCCCAATCTTGAGTATTTAAAATGGAAGAACCAATGTAAAAATTAATAACTGTATTTATCAGGGAGAACCTATACTCCAATCAGTTAATCTTCAATCAATTATTTTTCCTAAACAAGTTCGCTAAAAATTTTTTTAATGTAATTTCTTTAACACTAATACATTTTATACAAGAGGGACATTTCTTTAAGTTAAATAGCATATTGTATAAAAACAAACTCAGTATTTTTAAAGGTTCCATTTTTTATACCATCTGGTACTTTTAGCAAAGTATTTTAATGCAATTTTTAAAACTATTTTGTGAAACACTAAAATACTATGAGATGGTAAGAGATTCTAAGAAGTTCTCCATGATTAAACAATATGGGAAAATTGCATGTCCCGTACGTTCCCTACAGATTCACAATGCATGTAAGTAAAATAAATGCTCTGATTTGATCTACAGAAAGGAAACAAATTAACTAGTGGTTAAGCAATTGTCTGGAGGACTTTTTCTTAGAAAACCCATTATTGAAATACAATTTGGCCAACACTCCAATAAGATAGGAATATTCGCTGTATATTTCTTTTGTTCTTATTAAATAAATAATAGAATAATCAATTTCTAATAACCTAGCAGTAACTTGAGAGAGCTTAAAGGAAGCTATTTCTACAGACTCCAATAATCAATTTTTAAAAATCTCGAAAGTATTTAAAAAGACCTTTTAGAAGTAGATTAGTCATTAGATAACTGACTAATCCTTCCACCAGTAAACACCATCTTGTATAAAATAGAAAAAATTAAGAAAAGATGTTCCCAAAGATCATTATATGATTACCTCTTACTCGTTTCTTTTACATACCAAATAATTTTAGTTTCTTTAACAATTCATGCATATACCAATCATTTAGTACAATGTATTGGACATAAAGTCACTACAATGGTATTTGTTTTGTTTTTTTGTTTGTTTGTTTGTTTTTGAGATGGAGTCTCACTCTGTCACCCAGGCTGGAGTGCAGTGGCTGGATCTTGGCTCACTGCAAGCTCCCCCTCCCAGGTTTATGCCATTCTCCTGCCTCAGCCTCCCAAGTAGCTGGGACTACAGATGCCCACCACTATGCCCGGCTAATTTTTTGTATTTTTAGTAGAGACAGGGTTTCACCGTGTTAGCCAGGATGGTCTCGATCTCCTGACCTTGTGATCCGCCCGCCCGCCTTGGCCTCCCAAAGTGCTGGGATTACAGGCGTGAGCCACCATGCCCAGCCAATGATATTTGTTAAAAACAAGATCTGCTTTCCAGGAGTCAGGTGTTTCACAAGGCATGTTATCATGTGTCTCCTAGGCTAGAATCCTACATGCTGGCAGTGACAACTTTTCTCTAACAATCAGAACTCTCCTTGCTTGGGGCCAGTTCAAGTAGTGTTCAAGCTTCATTTGGCACATCTCATGCTATGGTCTGAATGTGTCCCCTTCAAACTTCAGGTGTTGAAACTTAATGGCCAATGTGGTAGCATTGAGAGGTGGGAGCTTTAAGACATGATTAGTTCATGAGGGCTCCTCCCTCCTGAGTGGGATTGAGGCTCTTATATCAAAGGCTTCACATTAGGGTCTCTTGACTTTTTGCCTTCTGCTGTGTAAGCACACGGCATACCTGTCTTACCAGACAACTGAACCTGCTGATGCCTTGATCTTGGACTTCCCAACCTGCAGAACTGTGAGATAAATTTCTAACTTCATCAGAATATCTTGTGGTATTCTGTTACAACAGCACAAAATGAACTAAGACACCCTCTTCCTTACATCTAGTGAAAGTGAGGCCTACCACAGAATTTTTATATTTTGAAGACACAGATCAGATCAAGTCTTGCACTTTATAAACTATCCCACTCTCCTCTTCCTCTTTCTTCTTCTTCTTCTTTTTCTTCTTCGTCATCTTCTTTGCCTTCTTCTTCTGCATCTTCTTTGCCTTCTTCTTCTTCTTCTTCTTCTTCTTCTTCTTCTTCTTCAGCCCCAGGGAGCATTAATGGTGTTGCTCTGAAGATTCTTTCCCCTAACTCCCTTGTTGGGGTATTCATCCCCTAATAGTGTCCGTGCTATGTCCATCTCATGGTGGACAGCCAATCCTAGTTTTAACACAAAAACCAAATTGCTTTATAATGTATTTTTGTTCTTTGTGTCATTTGACTGAAATTTGGAAGAGGGCAAGAGATAAACACATATGCCCATAACCTTTCAAGCTATAAATTTGTCCCATATAATAGCTGCTTTCATTCATTTTGGTTTTACAAATCAAAGGTTTAGATTTGCTTATATCCAGTAAATTAAAATATTCACAAATAGCAACACTTTGCATCTGTGGGCAATAAAACCAAAAGGTATAGTCAGATTCCTACTATGACTATTAAAAGCTAATGTATGAATCACCTCAAAAATCATAAAAATATATAAATGTTTTACCATGTGTAGATTTTGAACTTATAAAATACTACATGATTATCTTAACAATTCTGAATGACTCAGAAATGTATGATATAAACCCCACTGTTCTTCTTTCTCTCCTGCTCCTATTTATAGTAAACTACAACTGTTCAACAGCTTTAGTGAGTATTACTCAAGTTTTTTTTCTATTTCTCACATCTATTCATTTATCACAGATTTTTCTGTTCAGTTTTTAAAATTGTATTATCTTCTACATATAGCTAGCTATATCACAGAAGACTCCAAAAAGCTTTTTATCATTTTAAGCCTTGTTTGTTCATGCAAAAATTTCAAGGTTGTTTCACCCTGGTAGTAAATATAAGCATTCTTTATTATTGCATACCTTTCATTTTTTTGGAAAAATTCACTTTGTCTATTCATAGATGGTTAACTTATTTTCAATCATTTATTTATAATATTTCTGCAAGAAATATTGTCTTTCACCTTTGGAAGAGTATCATAGTGAGATAAAATAACAGAAGTAAAATTGTTGGTTATTTGGCAGACTAATTGTTGGTTATTTTGTATTGTTATACAAGTTGTTAAATTGTTCCCAAAAGAATGTACCAATATATTAGTTCATTCTCATGCTGCTATAAAAGGCTGCCCGAGACTGGGTAATTTATAAAGGAAAGAGGTTTAATTGACTCACAGTTCCACATGGCTGGGGAGGCCATCCTCTGAAATCTAGACAGAGGTTCCCAAACCTCAATTCTTGACTTCCATGCACCTGCAGGCTCAACACCACATAGAAACTCCCAATACTTGGGGCTTGCACCCTCTGAAGTCATGGCCCAAGCTGTACTTGGGCCCATTTTAGCCATGACTAGAGTGGCTGGGACACAGGACACCAACTCCCTAGGCTGCACCCAACAGAGGGGCCCTGTGGCCAGTCCACTAAACCATTTTTTCCCTCTTAGGCCTCTGGGCCTGTGATGGGAGGGGCTGCTGTGAAGGTCTCTGACATGCCCTGGAGACATTTCCCTCATTGTCTTGGTGATTAACATTCGGCTCCTTATTACTTATGCAAATTTCTGTAGCAGGCTTAAATTTCTCCCAAGAAAATGGGATTTTCTTTTCTATCACCTTGTCAGGCTGCAAATTTTCCAAACTTTTATTCTCTGCTTCCCTTTTAAATGTAAGTTCCAATTCCAAACCATATTTTGTGAATACATAAAACCGTATCTTTTTAACAAAACCTAATCACCTCTTGAATACTTGCTGCTTAGAAATTTCTTCCTCCAGATACCCTAAATCATCTCTCTCCAGCTCAACGTTCCACAGATCTCTAGGGCAAGGGCAAAATGCTACCAGTCTCTTTGGTAAAACATAGCAAGAGTTACGTTTATTCCAGTTCCCAATTAGTTCCTCATCTCTATCTGAGACCATGACAGCCTGGACTTCATTGTCCATATCACTATCAGCATTTTGGTCAAAGCCATTCAGCAAGTCTCTAGGAAGTTCCAAACTCCCACATCATCCTGTCTTCTTCTAAGCCCTCCAAACTGTTCCAATCTCTGCCTGTTACCAGTTCCAAAGTCACTTCCACATTTTTGGGTATCTTTACAGCAGTGCCCTACTACTTGGTACCAGTCTACTGTATCAGTCCATTCTCATGCTGCTATAAAGGACTGCCTGAAACTGGGTAATTTATAAAATAAAGAGGTTTAATTGACCAATAGTTCTGCATGGCTGGGGAGGCCTCAGGAAACTTACAATCATAGCAGAAGGGAAAGCAAACACATTCTTCTTCACATGATGGCAGGAAGTAGAAGTGCCAAACAAAAGCAGAAAAAGCCCCTATAAAACCATCAGGTCTCTTGAGAACTCACTATCATGAGAACAGAAGCATGGGGGTAACCACCCCCATGATTCCCTTACCTCCCATCACGTCCCTCCAATGACGTGTGTGAATTATGGGAACTACAATTCAAGATGATATTTGGGTGGGGAGACAGCTAAATCATATCAAGCAATGTACACTCCCACAATTGGTGCCCATTTCTTCACATAGCCACCCACACCAGATATTACCAATCGATTTTACTTTTTGCATCAGTCAAGATAGTGGTACCTTGGCATAGAACTTTACATAAATATGTAATCCCCAAATCCCAATGGTTTAACAAAATCTAAATTTTATGTATTTATCATCAAAGTTTTCTCTCCTCCTAAACTTGTCACTAAGCCATCTGGAAGCAATATTTCTGAAATTTGCTGCAGAAGTCTGGAAGAGAGATGATGTTTAAATGTCCAGGCACAGCAGTGATCTTGGCACTCATCACCTGCCCCATCTAATTGCAAAGGAGTAGGGAAACATAATTTTCTTATGTGCCGTGAAGGAGGGCAGCAATGGTTATGGGTGAATACTGGAAGTTACTATCTTACTCTCACTAATATAATGTGTGAAAAATGTTATCTCATCATGGTTTTAGTTTTTATTTCTCTCTGGTGATCTTTCTACTGTGTTGTTGCTTTTTAAATTAAGCATTTTTTAATTTTTGTCATTGATTTATAGAAGATCATAAAGTACTATGCATAATAACTTTTCTTTCTATATATTACAAATGTCTCTCAGGCTTTCTGCTGTTAATTATAATCATAACATTTTAAATAAATGGACATCCTTGAGAAAATCAATAGATGCCACACAATACAGGTTGGGGTCTTTTATTTACATTAGCCAAACTTCTTTGAGGTTATGAGGCTAAAAAGACACAGACTCAAAAGTGCCATATTTCAGGTGTCAAAGTGAAGATAGTGATGCTGCATTACCTCAGCCTAGTTTCTGGATTATTTTTCTAATCTTCACATCTGTCATTTTATTTTCACTAAAGCTCAGAATTTTTGAGAGGCTGTCCATGATTGAGGACTGTCATTTTAAGCTATAAAGAGCAAAGAAGAGACCCAATCAAATAAACCAGGCCTAAAAGCCTGGTGAACAAGAATAACACAGTGTATGTTATAGTTCTGAACAAACTGGAATGGACTGTCAACAGAATCACTTTAATCCCTTAAAAACATACACAAATAATACAAACACATGTGCCCCCAATTTGAATAATTAACAAAAGGAGCAGGTAAACAATGAGAATTTAAATGAATAAATCAGACTCAGAGTCCAGGAAATAAATGTATAAATGGTAGTACCAAGCCGATTGCACAGATTGCAAGGGAAGGCCTACCTGTTTGTTGCCCTGGTTTTATGTTCCCTGCTGAGAGTTGAGTACAAAGCATGTCCATAGGCTGATATTTGATGGGTTTGGCTGACCTCCAAGCACAAGATGTCCAAAACTACCCATTTTCTCTATTTGCTTTTCCTTTTTATAACCTTCAGAAAAATCTTTCTGTAAAGCAAGAAATAATGGTTGCCCTTCCAAACGAGCATTTCTGGTCTTTTGAAAGCAAGCATGGTTGTTAGAGAAGGTTCTGAAAGGAAAATTTCTTATCACAGCTCCCACGGCAGATGCCAATACAGCAATTCTTTCCCCAGGAAATGTGTAACAAAGCATCATGCAGGTATGTCCACTCCCTTCATGCAATCTGAAACAGACATCCTATCAGAGACCACAAATGATGACAAATATAATAGGATGGTGAATGCACTTTGCACGCCACTGTAACCATGTCTGTGTTATCATCACGTCTGCCGTAAAACACATTTCCACAGACTCTAAATCACATTAGCCATAAGCTGTGTTCCAGGCTGGAAGTTGTACTATAGAGCCATAACTGAAAGCAACATTGTTAAGCTGAATGTCAAAAGAATTGAGGTTACACAGTTGTAAATAAAACAGAAATTCAGCAGGATTTAGGATTAAGGTAATAATCTCATTCCATAAGAGTTTTCTATTTTTAAACTATGTTTTTCAAGGCAAGAATCCAAGATATGGAATTTATAATCTCTGCCTTATTTAATGCACTGTCCATCATATTGCCTGATGCCAAAAGTGTCCTGACATAAGGGTGAGAACCTAAATATAAACGATTGAATCAAAACATCACTGAAATGACAACCATATCAAAATGTAATTTAAAATAAGATATGTTCCACAAATTTAAGTTCTCTTCTCCAGGAACATTCCAAGCTCATAGTTAGTTTTGAAGGATGATTTTTTTATCCTTGCACATACCAGCGCCTTGTAAGTAGAAACTTGGTGGCCTGGGAGTTTCTGAGAATAGACGCATGGTTCAGAAGGAGGTGAAGAAGGTCTTTGAGATGCAGCCCCTGTCATTTTCCACCCTACCACATCATCACACCACTGTAGTGAGCTATAAGCACCAAATGGCATTACCTGCTTATGTTATACTCCACTAGGATCAGAGACTCTATTTACTTCGGGAGTCATCAGGGTGACATTCCTAAGTGAAAAGGAGCAGATGAAATCCAATGGGAGTGCTTAGGTATAAGATAAACTACACTGCAATATGCCTGTGCTGACTAAAGACTTTCACACTTTTAAAGAAATTAATAGAGTTGTCAGTTAAAATTAACCAAATGCACATAAATATTTCTGAATTGATTCTGTTAAAATGAGCACTTCTCCAAGATGATGCTAAGTTACAATGTGCCGGTCCATCCCCCAGAGTTAGAGCGGTATCTAATATTAAGAGTTTTGTGATGACCATTTGTATAGTTGAATTGAGGGAATGCTCTTACGAGAATTGTGATTAGACAGGACATTCAAGCTCCCGTCTTATTTCCTTCAACCACTCTGAAGGCAGATGGGGGCAATGGGAAGATTGCCATCAGACAAGCAGAGCACATAAGCAAGGCCGTGCCATTGAAAAAGAAAAGCAGACCATGAGAAAAACTGTACCCCTCCCTCTGAGCTTTCAGAATTTTCCCTAGGGTCCCCTCCTGGGAGTGTCTCTTCTTTAATCAGTGCCCTACAATTGCTCCATCAAGAGTATCAATGGTCATTGGTATTTCAAATGAATAACTTCTTAATCCAAAATAAATGTGCTAATAATGGAATTTTAACAAGTGATTTAGGGGTATGTGAGAAGTGGAAAATCCTACCAGGATTATTAAAATCATGCTATGGAGATGAACTACTACATAAACTATGTGTAAACGAAGATGTGGTCAGGCCCAGTTGCTCACACCTGTAATCCCAGCATTTTGAGAGTCTGAGGCAGGTGATCACTTGAGCCCTGGAGTTCGAGACTGGCTTGGGCAACAAAATGAGGCGCTTTCTCTACAAAAAATTTTCAAAATACAAAAACTTAAAAAATTAGTCAGGCATGCTGGTGCATGCCTGTGGTTCCAGCCACTCAGGTTGCTGAGGTGGGAGGATTACTTTAGCTCAGGAGGTCAAGGCTGCAGTGATAGCGCCACTGCACTCCAGCCTGGACAACAGAGTGAGATCCTGTCTCAAAAAAAAAATAATAAAAAAATAAAAAAGACATAAAATACTTAGAATAAGAGAAGTATTCCTAGAATTCTGTTGGAATACAGTCAGAAAATACTATAGAGGTTATTAACCCTATCTTATTCTTTTACAGATGGAATTACTGAGACCCAAAAGAGTGATGTTCTATGCACGAGATAGTTTTATGACAATTATCGCCCTTTTAGATCTCTATAACAGAGCTCGAATTCAAATAGTTGGATTCCTAATCCAATCCTGGTTCCTTCTACCACAGCATACAGTCTCCTTGTCAAAGCAAATCTATCTCAGTAGATTGTTTCATTTCCACCATCACAGATAGACTGGGGAAAAAAAGCCAAGAGGAAGGAAAGATCACTCTCCTTAGGTATTCTCGGCATGTGGGGGAGTTGGCACCAGGGTAGGGAAGAGAAATTTTCCTGTGCTGTTGTAGAGAATAAAATAAACTTTGAATGAGTCAGGATATAGCAAGTCTATAATACATTTTACGCTCTTAAAAAGAACAAATTTAGCAATTCAAACAGAGGGAAAAAAACTATAAATTGCAGAAAATCTACGTTCTTTATCAAAATTACAAACTGAGCTATATGATTCACTCAAGTTAGCATTTTCACAAATTCCAAAATTCTGCAGTTAGAAGCATTAAGAGTAGGTAAAAAAAAGTAATAGTTGAGAGGTTGATAGCTTTTGTACCGAGGGAGAAAAATTCTCTACATTTCCACTAAAACTTAGTTTTTATAAAGATCTTTTATTTAACATAAATGCTAGCAACTATTTCCTTCATTTTGAAAATGTTTTTATACTTTGGCTTATACTCTGTGCTTTCTTTCCTGCCTGGGATGTGATTGGGAAATACACAGATGCTCCTCAACTTGCAGTGGGGTTATGTCCAGATAATAAACCCATCATAAACTAAAAATACAATAGTTGAAAATGTACTTAGTACACTTAACCTACCAACATCATAACTTAGCCCAGCCTGCCTTAAATATTTTCAGAACACTTACAATAGCCTACAGCTGTGCAAAATCATCCAACAAAAAGCCTGTTTTACAATAAAGTGTTGAATATTTCATGCAATTTATTGAATACTGTACTGACAGTGAAAATCAGAATGGTTGCATGGATACTTGGGGTAGGGTTTTGACTAAATACATATAACTTTCATAACATTGTAAGGTTGAAAAATTGTAACTCAAATCCTTGTGAGTTGGGGACTGTCTGTCTGTATAAATACATAGTCAATCTTTGGTCTTCATGGTCCCTGCATCAGCAGATTCAATCAAACTTGGATCAAAAATATTTGGGAATCCCAGGGTATGCTTAAGTTAAAACAAAACAAAACAAGCAAAACAAAATTTGGAAAAATAAATAAATAACAATACAACAATAATAATAAAAATTTTTTAAATACAGTATAACAACGATTTATATAACATTTACATTGTATTGTGTATTACAAGTAATTTAGAGATGATTTAAAGTGTAATGGAGGACGTTTATAAGTTATATGCAAATGCTACACCATTTTATATAAAGGGACTTGAGCATTCTCGGATTTTGGTAGCCACAGGGGTCCTGAAACCAATCCACCGGGGATACCGAAGGATGACTTTACATGTATGCAAAATTTCCTCTTGAAAATATTTTCATTTAATTGCTTGATATCCTGCCTATACCACAAGCAGCCCACAAGACACTGGCATTCAAACCGCAGCTCCACGTCATCAGGTTGAGCTTCTTACTCATTTAAATAGTGGAGAACAGACTGAGATCATTTCAGCCTCAAGACAAGCTCTAATCACTTCCTTTGCCGGATAAAAACGTGTGGTTGAGGTGAGCACCACAGATATTCTGAGGGAAACACTAGAGAAGCAAGCTACTGGGTAGTTCAATTAGTCTTTCTCCCCTACAAGGAGCTGAGATGACAGGTTTGTGTCAGGATCTGTAGGAATCTCCAGGTGAAGAGCCCTTTGGCATCGCCCTTCCCAGGCACAACTTCTGTCTCTTGGATCCTGTTCTGCCTCCACACAAGGTGTGTGCATTAGGCTGGAGATACCTCCAGATCTCACCTTGGACAGGAACTTCTGCCTTGACAATGAACTGAATCTTTCTGTGTCTCTCTAAAATTAGTGTATTGAACCCCCATTCACAGTGTGATGGTATTGGGAGGTGGGGACTGCCGGAGGTAATTAGGACTTGAGAGTTTAGCCCTTGTGAATACGATTAGTACTCTTATAAAAAAAAGGCCATGGAACTAACTTGCTCTCTTTCCATCCTGTGAGAATACAATCAGAAGTCGCCTATCTGCAACTCTGAAGACGGCTTTCATCAGAACCCAACCATGCTGGTACCCTGGGCTCAGACTTCCAGCCTCCGGAACTATGAGAAATAATTGTGTGCATTTTATAAGTCTCCCAGTCTAACGTAATTTGTTAGAGCAGCTTGAGCTAAGACAACCTTTATTGCTCCATGACCTTCTGAGCAGCTTTTGCCCGTTTCTCAGGACTCACTGACTCCCCCTTTCAATTGCTGTTCACATGGGACCCAGTTCCTCTTCAGCCTTCAAAGTTCTCATTTGAATATTGGCTACTGCCACCAAGATCTGCACCTGCACCTGTGACAATGGCCTTCTTACTCATAGGGACTTGGGAAGAATGGGAGTTGTTCTGTTCCCTCTCTTCTAGGGCATCCACTGTCTCCATGGCCAGGTATGGGCCCAAAGTTCCTACTCTATTTACAGAAACACACTTGACCTTCCATAGTAGGTAAGTTAGTTGATATATTCTCCCTGTGGATAAATATTTATTTAATGCTTCTATGTGTCAATCATTGCTTAGTTTGGAAACATGATTGTCTCTTCCCTCAAGGAGTTCATTGTCTCAGAAGGAACTCCTCCTATCTTCCCAAGACTGAGAATTTTAACAACTTCTTGTCCTTCATCTAACATTTAGTTTACCATTAAGTTGTTCTAATTCTATTACTTTCTAACCTATTTCCTCTAACCTGAAGAAGCCATTCATTTTCTCAGTCTGAAACTTACTTACTGAAACAATATATCTTACCTTAGAGAAATTGCCCAGCTTATTCTCCATTAAGAACAGCCCTGTGGGGGCGAAAAAAGCAACCACCTCACTATTCCAATAAAACGGGGACAGGGTTAAACACTAATAAAGCTTATACTAATAAAATTTTCTTGCCTGGGAATTTGGCAAGCAGAGAAAGCTAATCCAAAGAGAGACTCAGAGAGAAGATGAGAACATAAAAAAGACAGAGGTAACCATGCAGAGACATTCAAGCGGAGTGACGGTTTTTCTATACCTTGCAAGCCTCTAAGTTCTGAAAGATCAAGCTACTTTTTTACAAGAATTCTCTTTTAGTTCCACTAATCGTTTTTCCTGCCACCGAATGACTTTCACTTAAAATACTTAATTTCCATGTTCAAAATCAGCACCAATTACAGGCAACCTTCATGTCTTACTGAGTGTACTGTAATAGCACTCTTAGTAGTTTCAGGTTTAATACATTCCCTTTCTTAATTTTAAAATATTTCATTCACAAATAGAGATCATATATATTTAAGGAATACAATATGATGGCCTGATATAGATTGTGAAATGATTATTATAATAAAATTAATTAACACAGCCAGTACCACCCGCACTGTACATCAGAGCCCAGAAGTTATAACTCATAAATTATAAGTGTTATAAGTTATTGTGTTCATCTTACAACTGAAATTTTGTACCCTTTCATCAACATCTCCCAATTTTCTCCACTTCTCAGCCCCTGGCAACCACCATTCTACTCTGTTTCCATCAGTTCAACTTTTCTAGATTCCACAAATAAGTGATATCACACGGTATGTGTCTCTCTGTGTCTGGGTTATTCGTCTTAGCATAATTTCTAATATATTCTTAACACGGGCTACAGTGCTACCAGCTAAGATATATACCATTCATGGCATACCTTACTGCAACCTTTAAAATGTCCCCATGATCTACAAAATGATGTCTGCATACCTTAGCATAGCATTCCAGCATTCCAGGACCTGTATAATCTGCACTATTCGTAGCTAGGCTGCCTTTTCCACACACACACACACACACAGAACATTTCTCAGTGGTATACTGAGCATTTTCCTGAACCCACATTAATCGATGCATATTCTTCTTTCCTCATGTTTTATCTTATCTGAATTCTCTTCTCTCTACAGGCAATCGCCTAAGTCTATTCATCCTTCACAGTCTAACTCAACTGGCATTTTCTTGATGAAGACTTCCACAGTTAACATTTCTGTACCATTCTTTGTGCCTCCATAAGACTAGAAATTGATATTTCAATTTCACAACATCCAGTAAAGTTTAATCAACCCTGCAAAACTCAGTGAAATTATTATATTTATAATCATACAGTGTCCAATCACAAAGTTAGCATTCATGCAAGATCAGATTCCAATATGTTTGCCCTTATCACTACGATAATTTTCTCGTTATTATCATAAAGTTTTTCTTTGTTGGGTCAATAATTCTCATATTATGACTTGGATAATTTATTTGTATATACAGATAGACTAAAGAGATGGTTGATTGTTATAATAGGCTTGCAAAGAAAGCTATATTGTTCAAAAGTCATTTCTTTTACAATATGCATTTTTAACCCTAAGAAGAGAACATTAATTTTAGGATCAAAACCCATAGTAACATAAGCCTTTTGTTAATATAATCCAATTGCCTTTGACACTAAATGCAAATATTTTCTTAGAAAAACTTCTAGTTTATGGCTTAATATTTTACTCGAAACCATAAAAATATAAAATTTCAAGCCCAAAGCAATCCTATTAAGTGCTATAATTATTTAATTCAACTCCATACAAAATTTTACATTATTCAAAGGCAGTCTTTTTAAAGAATTCAGCAAATTGATGGAATTATATACTGGGTAAGCCTGGACATAATATTGATTCAGAAAAATGTAGGTATTAATTCCCTATGATTTGCCTTTGAAATTTGAAGCCAGTTGTATGGGTCTAAATCAGGAAAATTGATGAGAAAATGTTTATTTTAAGCTTTTTTAAATGACAAAATTGGGTATAAAGAGAGTATCCTCTGCTAAGGTGTCTTATATCCTATGCTATTTAATCTTCTAATTTTT
This sequence comes from Homo sapiens, assembly GCF_000001405.40. Classification (NCBI taxonomy): domain Eukaryota; kingdom Metazoa; phylum Chordata; class Mammalia; order Primates; family Hominidae; genus Homo; species Homo sapiens. The sequence goes on along the minus strand of NC_000004.12, from coordinate 166,140,033 downwards.
ATTTATCCTAATAGGAAATTCAGAATTTGCATTGATGAACTTTTCTTAAAGTATGTTCTGAAGAACAGTCATAAGTAAATGTAAAATCATTACTTAATATAACTCTCTTGAAGACTTAGAATATAGAAATTATGATAAGCTCTGTGGATCATTACAATGCAGTAAACCATTTACTCTTACATAATTTGTCATTGACTAATCTCTTTTGAACAGAGGAACTATTATTTGATGATATTTGAAACAAATTAAGGTGTGAGTTTCCCTTTGGGAATTTGTCTTGCGCAGAGGGCATCTCTGTGACTTTCCTGAGTCCATGTGATGAAGCACAGAAGATCACCCTGTTGGAAGCTTTTCAGCTTTCCACATTAAGGAGTGCCCCAAATGGAGGGCACGGAATTCCTGAAGGAGGACCTACCTGCTCCTCTCTGAAGAGGTCTTCAGTGAATAAGTGGGCTGGAGGGAAGCAGAGCAAGAGCAAGGCCCCGAGAAAACCATACATGTCACCTACCAGGAGATCACCATTTCTACAGGGCTACTAGGAACTAACTGGAGCAACTGGAAGCAGAGTGGGGACATGGACACCTGTCAATGACTGGCATAGCCTCCCCACTCACCTGTACACTTTCATTCTCAAAAGCCTGGACTCAGATGTGGGAAGTGTAGAAGAGATGACACAAAGGCACACAGGGAGGCCTCTCTTTCAAACCACAGGTGACAAATCGATCCTTTGGTTGAGGGATGTGAGAAACAGAAATTCAAAATCATCTGAGATTAAATTTTTAAATTGGGTGTTTTATAACAAAGTTATCAGAAAATTTTAAAATTTTTTCTCAAGTTGTCTTTATGAATTGAAAGAGATTTTGCATAGCATAATGGGACTCACTAATTAGAAAAAAAAGAGAGAAATTTTATACTTGTATCACTGATTTGAGAATCCTTATAAAAAATCTACAACTTTCTCTCTCACTGCTCCTTGAACGAAGACATTGTAAGTCCTTTATATTTTATCTCAACATGAAGCATAGAGTAGATGTTCAAACTGTGAAGGTTGAATGAATGAATAACTGCAGAGATATTAGTAAAGCAGTGTAAAAGTCAGACTCTCCATATCTAAAAGTGCTCATATTCAAACAATTCTTCTCTGTAAGCATATGTTTAATATTTCTTCAAGCTCAAGAATGATATGTGTATATTACAGAAAGAGGATATCCTAGTTATGGTTTTAAAGATGGATCTAAATGAATTTCCAACATGACTGGATAGAAGATAAGTAGGAACAGTTTTTTGATCATAATTTTTCTTGTAGCCAGAGCTACAGATTTTTACAGTTTTTCAGTAAGACAATATCCATATGACTGAGCAATATATTTCCTATGTATTTACTTAAGTCTTCATATACATGCATAACTCAACAGTGATTTGGGAAGAGGCAAACATAAACATAGATATATCTGTGATGGTAAATAGTGAGACTTTAAACAAATGAAAAGAAAGGATAATGAGAGAAGCAAAATTTCATGCAAAAGCCAAGTGTTACTAGATGTTTGCCTTAAAATATATGTTCTATTTTGTAATGCATTACTTTTTACTTGAGTAGCCACTTTTTAGAGGTGGGGCAGTTTGCCCCTGTAGTCTAATCTGGAGCAATAAGAAATGATCTTATTAACATACTACAACATATATATAAAAAGAGAAACTTTCATGGAAAAGACTTCTAATAATCTTAGAAAAACTAAAGCTATAGGTAAAGGTCCTCATGAAGGATCATGCCTAGTAGCTTGATATTTACGCTGCAGAAAATGGAGATCAATTACTAAAGGAGTTTAAGATGGAGTTTCATGGTCAGATTTTTGTTTTAGATTCACCCCTTTAAAAAAATTAATTTAAGTTTGGGGGTATATGTGAAGATTTGTTACATAGGTAAAAACGTGTCACGGGGGTTTGTTGTACATATTATTTCATCACCCAGGTATTAAGTCCAGTACCCAATAATTATCTTTTCTGCTCCTCTCCCTCCTCCCAGCTTCCCTACTCAAGTAGACCTCAGTGTCTGTGTCTGTTGTTTCCTCCTTTGTGTTCATAAGCTCTTATCATTCACCTTTCGCTTACAAGTGAGAACATGTGACATTTGGTTTACTGTTCCTGCGTTAGTTTGCTAAGGATAATAGCCTCCAGCTCCATCCATATTCCTGCAAAAAACATGATCTTGTTCTTTTTATGGCTGCATAGTATTCCGTGGTGTATATGTACCACATTTTCTTTGTCCAATCTGTCACTGATGGGCATTTAGGCTGATTCCATGTCTTTGCTATCCTGAATAGTGCTGCAATGAACATTCGCATGCACGTGTCTTTATGGTAGAATGATTTATATTCCTCTGGGTATATACCCAGTAATAGGGTTGCTGGGTTGAATGGTAGCTCTGCTTTTAGCTTTTCAAGGACTCGCCAGACTATAGATTAATCCCTTCAGCAGCTCTGAGGTGAGTGAAGTCTAGAATCTCAATGCAGGGAGACTGTTTGCAATAATGCAGACAAAGGATGGTGAGAGTCTACACCAGAGCTCTTTTAGCAGGAATAAAAAATTAGGGACAGATTCAAAAACTGTTTATGGAATTAAATAAGCAGTACACAGTAATTTGATTAAACATTAAACGTAAGAATGGGATACGAAGCAAAGAGAATGCCTAGGTTTGTAGCTTGGGTGACTGGATGAAGGTGAATGGGATTAAGTGTGTTGGAGCACAGAGGAAACATGGGGTTCAGGAAGAAGATGATAATCACGCATCTTTGAGTGAAAAACATTGACAGCTTTTACGGGACACAAGGCATCTTTTAAAACCTGAAGACATAATTCCTGTAACTTGACAATTGTCTGCCTTCAAATTAAAGTACATTTCAATGATAGTACAAATTAGTTCTATGTTCCTCAGCTATTCAGAGAAAATGAAACAAAGGAGTTCAACAAACCACTCATGCTGATTCAAAGTAGCTCTGAAATTCAATGATAATATAAACAACTAATCTGTTTTTGTTTTTTCATTGGCAATTTTAGTGGATACTGGCATGATATATAGATAGAGCTAGGGAGCGAGATAAAGAGATCCCAAATCTCCAGCAAATATAATTGCTTGCCGTCCTTTTCAATCAATGTCAGGTGTTAGATAAAACTAGCTTTGAGTATAACAGATGTTATAACTTCAGGTTTTCATGGGTTAAAAGACTAATGACTAAATGACTGTTAATATATCAAGAAAACCAGTAGGTAGCTGTAAATCCAGTTTGTATCTCAACACTTTCCCCAGTGATGATCTGGTGGCCTCAAGCCCTCAGGAGCTCTGATAGCATGAGAATGAATTGGGAGGTGGTAGCAACCCCAAGCAGAATATAGGGAAAATAATCTGAATATTGCCCCTGGTAACCAATAATTTTAACACATAATTGTAACAGTTTCCTAACTCACTTAACTTTGAAGCACTTGAGAACATCTTGTTTCTTCTAATAGGAACAGATGGGTGTATCATAGATGATCACACTCTAAACACTTCATGCAATGGCCTCCTCAATCCCTCATTCCTACATGGTTTGCACATTTTTTCACTATTTGTTAATATATTTTATAAAATGTCCAAAAGAAAACAACACCAAATATTGAGTTGCCTCAGGAAAAGGTCATTCATTCTACCTGCTTCTTAATATCACAAAGCCTCTAGGCTCCATTCCCTGTGCTCTTCAGAATAAACAAATGTTCCATTGCTGTACTACTGAAAACACGCTTGGATAACTTTTTAGGTTATTTTTTCAATTCATTTGAATTCAAACCTGCAATGTTACATCAACCAATAGTGCTTAAATATATACCTTTTTCTTCTTAATGAATAAAACCAAGGCACTTCAAATCTGTCTGTTCAAATCAAGTTTAACAGATTACTAATTCTTAGAAATTAACTTTTGTGACCTTTAATATATTCTCAAAAATACATCAGCCTATCTTTAAGTTATTGTTTTCGAATCTCAACCTATTTTTCAGAATAGCACAGAGTGTTTTTTCTCAAACTAATATAACTTTAACTGCCTTTTTCCCAGAGCGTAAGCTACCTGACGTCTTCGTGAAGAAGACCAGTTTATCATATTGACAAATCTCTATTTCTTGGGGAAGATTCTGCTATCAAATACAACTTTCAAAAATAAGATTTCGGTGAGGTATGTCGACGAGGTGGTACTTTGTATTTACCCCTTGTGCTTGTAATTGTCAGTTCTCACCAAAAACCCAAATATGTAGTTTTGATTATTTGCTTGTCCATGGTCCATTAAGTTTTGTTTCGTTTCTGTTTTGGATTTTTGGTTTTGAGTTTGTTTTGTTTTGCCTCAGCTACAGAAGGAAACAAAAATCATTGTAAGGCCCAGGCAGCAGAATTGGCTGTTCGTTGGTTTTCTGAATTGCCACCGTCTTCCCCATTCATCCCATGTACTCAACTCAGAGCTTGCAATTGCTTGTCTTCCTTCTGCCTCTTACTCTTGCTCATGGGGTAACAAGACTGTTAGCCAAAATGGCAAGAATACTTGGCACGATGCTTTCCTCCCCAACTGCCAGGTGTTTCTGGCTTTCATTACCTGTATTATCCTCTACCAAACTTGTTTAAAATATTCAATGAACAATATAGCATCATTATCCAGTACTTATGTCCTTGTTTTAGAAAAATGCACACCTACAAGTAACTTAGTCTGCATATTGAATCAAGAAGCACCAGAAAAAAATATGTGTCATAAGGTGTCCCACATTATATTACTTCCAAGTGGCCTGGTTACGTAATTGCTGGAATTGGCACCTCGAGAGATGGACTGATCCATGAGTCCACCACGGATCTTGAAAATGTCGACTACGAGGAGGAGCCAAGATGGCCAATCAGAAGCAGCTCTGGGCCGGGTGCAGTGGCTCATGCCTATAATTCCAGCACTTTGGGAGGCCGAGGCGGGCAGATCACAAGATCAGGAGATCGAGACCATCCTGGCTAACATGGTGAAACCCCGTCTCTACAAAAATAGAAAAAATTAGCTGGGCTTGGTGGTACGTACCTGTAGTCCCAGCTACTCGGGAGGCTGAGGCAGGAGAACCGCTTGAATCTGGGAGGCGGAGGTTGTAGTGCACCAGGATCGTGCCACTGCACTCCAGCTACAGAGTGAGACTCCGTCAAAAAAAAAAAAAAAAAAAAAAAGAAAAGAAAAAGAAAGAAAAGAAGGAGTTTTGGTCTGTGGCTCCCGCGGAGAAGAATGAAAACAGCTAGTGCATCCTACAACTTCAGCTGAGGTATCCACGTTCTCTCAATGGAACTTACTAGGCATTTGGCACGTCCAGTACAAAGCAAAGAAAAGCAGGGTGGAGCAATAACCCAGGAACTGCACGGAGTAAGGGGAACTCCCACACCCAGCCAAGAGAGGTGGGGAGTGGCTGTGCCACCTCACCCAGGAAACCATGTTTTCTCCACAGATCTGTGCATCCTGTGGATCAGAAGAACCCCTCGTGAGCCCATGCCACCAGGGCCTTGGAACCCAAGCACGGAGCTGTGCATCCCCCTTGAGTTGCCGCTGGCAGCAACAGACTGGACACTGCCTAAGACAACTGAGTTCCTGGGGAAGGGCAGCCACCATCACTGCAGCTCCAGTCAGCCATTTTCCCCTGCTGTTGTCAGGGGGACTGGGCGGTTTGGACCAACAGGAATTCCCCACAGCACTGCAAAGCGGCTGTAGCAGATAATGGCCACGCTGCTTCTTTAGGCGCTACCTGGATCCATCCCTCCTCATTGGGTGGTGCCTTGCTGCAGGAATTGCAGCAAATCCAGCCAAGGGTTTATGAACAGAACTGTTATATCCCTGGGAAGGAGCCCCTGGGGAGAGGAGCAGCCATGGTCTCACGTTCAGAGGACCTAGTCTTTCCTGCCAGCTGTCTCTAAAGAGGCCAGGAAGTCCGGACAAGTGTGAGTCCCCCCAGCACAGCACTCCCACTCCACCAAGGGGCAGCCAGGCTGTTTCTTTAAGTGGGCCCAATCTGACGCTGCCTGACTGAGTGAAACCTCCTAACGGGTTGCCAGACCCCACATACAGTAGCGCCATGGTCAGCATCAGCTCGATGGCCCTCTGGGATGGAGCTCCCAGAGCAGAAGGAGCAGGCAGCCATCTTTGTTGTTCTGCAGCCTCCCCTGGTGATATCTTCAGGTCCAGGTGAATTGGGTCTGGAGTGGTCTCCCAGTAAACTGCAGCAGCCTTACAGAAGAAGGGCCTGACTGGTAAAAGAAAAACAAACAGAAATAAACAACAACAACAGCAACGTCAACAAAAAAGACCCCACAAAAACCCCATCCAAAGATCACCAGCCTCAAAGATCGAAGGTTGAAAACCCCACGAAGGTGAGAAAGAACCAATGCAAAAATGCTGAAAACTCAAAAAGCCAGAGTGCCTCGTCTCCAAATGATTGCAACACCTCTCCAGCCAGGGCACAGAACTGGGAAGAGGCTGAGATGGATAAATTGATAGAAGTAGGCTTCAGAAAATAATGAACATTGCTCAGCTAAAGGAGTATGTTCTAACCCAATGCAAAAAGGCTAAGAACCATGATAAAACATTACAGGAGCTGTTAACCAGAATAACCAGTTTAGAGAGGAACATAAATGATCTGATGGAGGTGAAAAACACAACATGAAAACTTCACAATGCACCACAAGTATCAACAGCTGAATAGACCAAGAGGAGGAAGAGGTTGAAGACTATCTTGCTGAAATAAGACAGGCAGACAAGGTTAGAGAAAAAAGAATGAAAAAGGAATGAATAAAACTTCCAAAAACTATGGGATTATGTAAAAAGACCAAACCTATGACTGATTGGGGTACCTGGAAGAGACATGGAGAATGGAAACGAGTTGGAAAACATACTTCACCATATCATCCAAAAGAACTTCCCCAACCTAGCAAGACAGGCTAACATTCAAGGAAATCAAAAGAACCCCAGGAAGATACCCCATGAAAAGATGAACCCCAAGACACATAATCATCAGATTCTCCAAGGTAGAAATGAAGGAAAAAGTGTTAAGGGCAGCCAGAGAGAAAGGCCAGGTCACCTAAAAGGGAAGCACATTAGACTAACAGTGGACTTCTCAGAGGAAACCCTACAAGCCAGAAGAGATAGGAGGCCAATATTCAACATTCTTAAAGAAAAGAATTTCCAACCAAGAATTTCATATCTGGCCAAACTAATCTTCATAAGTGAAGGAGAAGTTAAATCCTTTTCAGACAAGAAAATGCTGAGGGAATTCATCACCACCAGTCCTGTCTTGCAAAAGCTCCTGAAGGAAGCACTACATACAGAAAGAAAAAAACTGTTACCAGTCACTACAAAACTGCACTGAAGTACACAGATCAATGACACTATGAAGCAACTGCATTAACAAGTCTGAAAAATAACCAGCCAGCATCATGATACAGGATTAAAGTCATGCATAGCAATACTAACCTTCAGTGTAAATGGGCTAAATGCCACAATGCACAAACACAGAATGACAAGCTGGATAAACAGACAAGACCCATCGGTGTGCTTTATTCAAGAGACTCATGTGCAAAGACACACATAGGCTCAAAATAAGGGATGACAGAAGATTTACCAAGCAAATGAAAAGCAGAAAAAATCAGGGTTGCAATCCTAGTTTCTGACAAAACAAACTTGAAGCCAACAAAGGTAAAAAAAAAAAAAGGCAAAGAAGGACATTACATAATGGTAAAGGGTTCAATTCAGCAAGAAGAGCTAACTATCCTAAATATATATGCACCCAATAGAGGAGCACCCAGTTTCATAAAACAAGCTCTTAGAATAATAGTAGGAGACTTTAAAACCCCACTGTCAATATTAGACAGATCATCGACACAAAAAATTAACAAAGATATTAAGGAAGTAAACTCAGCTCTGTATCAGTTGGACCTGATAGATACCTACAGAACTCACCATCCAAAAACAATAGCACCACATTCTTCTCAGCACCACATGATACTTACTTTAAAATTGATCACATAATTGGAAGTGACATATTCCTCAGCAAATGCAGAGGAGCTGAAATCATAACAGTCTCTCAGACCACAGCACAATCAAATTATAACTCAAGATTAAGAAATTCACTCAAAACCACAAAACTGCATAGAAATTGAACAACCTGCTTCTAAATGACTCCTGGGTAAATAATGAAATTAAGGCATAAATCAAGAATTTCTTTGAAACTAATGAGAACAAGACAACACACCAGAATCTCTGGAATGCAGATAAAGCAGTATTAAGAGGGAAACTTATAGCACTAAGGGCCCACATCAAAAAGCTAGAAAGATCTTAAACTGACATCCTAACATCACAACTAAAAGAACAAGAGAACCAAGAGCAAACACACCCTAAAGCTAGCAGAAGGCAAGAAACAACCAAGATCAGAGAAGAACTGAAGGAGATAGAGACACGAAAAACCTTCAAAAAATAAATGAATCCAGGAGCTGTTTTTTTGAAAAAATTAATAAAAGAGATAGACCACTAGCTAGACTAATAAAGAAGAAAATAGAGAAGAATCAAATAGACACAATAAAAAATGATAAAGGGGATATCACCACTGACCCCACAGAAATACAAACAACCGTCAGAGAATGCTATAAACACCTCTATGCAAATAAACTAGAAAACCTAGAAGAAATGGGTAAATTCCTGGATACTTACACTCTCACAAGACTGAACCAGGAAGAAATTGAATCAGTCCCTGAACAGACCAATAACGAGTTCTGAAATTTAGGCAGCAATAAATAGCCTACCAACCGAAAAAAATAAAAGCCCAGGACTAGACAGATTTACAGCTGATTTCTACCACAGGTACAAAGAAAAGCTGTTACAATTTCTTCTGAAACTATTCTAAACAATTGAAAAGGAGGGACTCCTCCCTAACATATTGTATGAGGTGAGCATTAACCTGATACTGAAATCTGGCAGAGAGATAACAAAAAAGGAAAACTTCAGGCCAGTGTCTCTGCAAAAATTCTCAATACAATACTGGCAAACCAAATCCAGAAGGACATAAAAAAGCTTACCTGCCATGATCAAGATGGCTTCATCCCTGGGATGCAAGGCTAGTTAAACATATGCAAATCAATAAACATAATTAATCACATAAATAGAACTAAAGACAAAAATCACATGATCATCTCAATAGATGCAGAAAATTCAACATTCCTTCATATTAAAAGCTATCAATAAACTAGGTATTAAAGAAATATACCTTAAAATAATAAGAGGCATTTATCTAGATACTATATCCAGAAAACCCTATTGTCTCAGCCCAAAAGCTTTTTAAGCTGATAAGCAACTTCAGCAAAGTCTCAGGATACAAAGCCAATGTGCAAAAGTCATAAGCATTCCTATACACCAACAACAGACAGCAGAGAGCAAAATCATTAATGAACTCCCATTCACAATTGCTACAAAGAGAATAAAACACTTGGAAATACTGCTAAGAAGGGAAGAGAAGGAATGCTTCAAGGAGAACTACAAATCACTGCTCAAGGAAATCAGAGAGGACACAAACAAATGGAAAAATATTCCATGCTCATAGATATGAAGAACGAAGATCATGAAAATGGCCATATTGCCCAAAGCAATTTATAGATTCAGCGCTATTCCCATTAAACTACCATTGACATTCTTCACAGAATTAGAAAAAACTATTTTAAAATTTATATGGAACCAAAAACAGCCCACATAGCCAAGACAATCCTAAGCAAAAAGAACAAAGATGGAGACATCACATTACCCAACTTCAAACTGTACTACAAGGCTACAGTAACCAAAACAGCATGGTCCTGATACAAAAACAGACACATAGAAGAATGAAACAGAGAACTCAGAAATAAGACCGCACAACTATACAACCATCTGATCTTTGACAAACCTGACAAAAACAAGCAATGAGGAAAGGATAATTAACTCAAGATGGACTAAAGACTTAAATGTAAAACCCAAGAAGAAAATCCAGGCAATACCATTGAAGACACAGGCATGGCCAAAGATTTCATGACAAAAATGCCAAAAGCAATTACAACAAAAGCAAAAATTGACAAATGGGAACTAATTAAACTAGAGCTTCTGCACAGCAAAAGAAATTATCATCAGCATGATCAAACAACCTACAGAATGGGAGAACATTTTTGCAATCTGTCCATTTGACAAAGGTCTAATATGCAGAATCTACAAGGAATTTAAATTTATAAGAAAAAACAACGCCATTAAAACTGGACGAAGGACACAAACAGACACTTTACAAAAGAAGACATTCATGTGGCCAACGGACATGAAAAAAGCTCAACATCACTGATCATCAGAAAAAATGTAAATCACAACCACAATGAGATACCATCTCATGCCAGTCAGAATGGCAGAAATCAAGAAACAACAGATGCTGGTGAGGCTGCAGAGAGATAGGAATGCTTTTACACTGTTGATGGGAATGTAAATTAGTTCAAACATTGTCAAAGACAGTGTGGCAATTCCTCAAAGGCCTAGAACCAGAAATACTGTTTGACCTAGCAATCCCATTACTGGGTATATACCCAGGGGAATGGAAATTCTGTTATAAAGATACATGCACACGTATGTTTGTTGCAGCACTATTCACAATAGCAAAGACACGGAATCAACCCAAATGTCCCTCAATGATAGACTGGATAAAGAAAATATGGTACATATACACAATAGAATACTATGCAGCCATAAAAAGGAATGAGATCATGTCCTTTGCAGGGACATAGATGGAGCTAGAAGCCATTATCCTCAGCACTTATAAGTGGGTTCTCACTTATAAGTGGGAGCTGAACAATGAGAACACATGGACACAGAGAGGGGAACAACACACATTGGGGTCCATACTGGGGTGGTGGGGAGAGGGAGAGAATCAGGAAAAATAGCTAATGCATGCTGCACTTAATACTTAGGTGATTGGTTGATAGCTGCAGCAAACCACCATGGCACAAGTTTACCTATGTAACAAACCTGCACATCATGCACATGTACCATTGTTCTGAAAATTAAATTAAATTAAAAAAAGAAAATGTTGAATAACTCCTCCAAAGCACTTTTTAAAAATAACTGTAGGTAGCCAAGCATATTTTGAGGAGTTTGAAGCTTATCTTCTCTGAAGCAAGAAACGAATATGTTCCAGGAGCACAGAGTACTTAAATCAGACTGTGACAAATAGAATCGTGTCCAAAGCAGACTCTGTGAGTTTTCCCCTCTTCAGGAGTAGAGAATAGGAAGAACAAAACAAATGCTATAGAACCAACATGTGTGACTCATATTATTTCCTGAAATCTTTCCTGTAGAGCTTATTTTATTTGGCAACAATTCCAGAGGTGTGGCTACTGATCATGTTTCTTCCTTGAGTTCTACAAACTATTAGTAACAGAGAAAAACTAGTGATTCCTAAATCAACTTGCTGTGCCAAAAATGAAATGAAGTGGGCATGTTGCAAAACCCTGTGTCATCTTTCACAGTCATTAGTTTGTATGAAGCCCTTCTGTTGATAAATGATAGTTTTCCTGGTTATTTGACCACCAAACATATCTTCACATCTAGAAAAAAAGATTAAATTAATTTATTTAGTGCTTGAAAACTTGAAACACCTATAAATTGCTTACTACTGAAATCTGCCAGTGTGCATAATCTTATGTTGGAGAGTAGGCCCTGTTCTGAATTAAAACCAGGTTTCTAACCTCTAGAGAAGAAATATATACCAAACTCATTTTAAAAACACATGCAAATATAAGCCTGAATTGTATTTGTAATAACTTTTCACCTAGATTTATAAGCCAGCTAACAGTGGGGAATAGCAACATTTCAAGTATTTTAATTGAAAGTATTCAGTTGTCTTATCCATTAATAGAGTAGCTATAAATATATGTATATATTCATATATATATGATATACTCTAATAATTGTTTAAAACTTTGAACTCTGAAGAAAATAAACTTTAACATGTACTTTTAAAAAATAATGTGTAGCTCTGGGACAATTTAATATTCTCAAGCAGAGTTAGAAAGAAATACCAAGTTTGGCCCTGCCTGCCAGCCGCTGCCTCACCAAAGCTTTCCAACCCATGCAATTTCCCTCTTTTCCTTAATGTCTTTCTTTACTGTCTTCTCTTGAATAATAGCCTAGTATCTAACCTCAGCACTTTGGATCATAATGTTCTGTTCTTTTGGAATGTCTCTCTTCTACTTAGGAACCTATTCAATTCCTTTTTATAATTTAAAACTTGCTCAAAACCCCATGAACACCCAAGGCAGAAAAGATTGTTCTTTTCTCTCTAATCTTATCTCATTTATTACCCATATACCAGGCAGGAACAGCAATCCCACACTACCTGTTGTTTCTTCCTCTTTTGTTGCATATAATCAGTTACAATAAATAGCACATAAAAAGCTAGAATCGTCAGTCCTATTTCTAAATAACAAAACTCAAATTTAAGTAGTAGAACTGGATTTCACTGCAGATTGTCTGACTCTACAACACTTGTGCCCAGTCATCAAGCTCTAGGCAAGATTTACAGTGTTATTTTCATTAGGAGTTAAAAAATGGGCCTGGTGCAGTGGCTCACGCCTGCAATCCTAGCGTTTTGGGAGGCCGAGGCCAGCAGATCACCTGAGGTCAGGAGTTCAAGACCAGCCTGGCCAATATGGTGAAACCCCATCTCTACTAAAAATACAAAAATTAGCCAGACGTGGTGGTGCATGCCTATAATTCCAGCTACTTGGGAGGCTGAGGCAGGAGAATTGCTTGAACCCAGGAGGCAGAGGTGGCAGTGAGCTGAGATTGTGCCACTGCACTCCAGCGTGAGAGACAGAGCAAGACTTCGTCTCAAAAAGAAAAAAAAAGAGTTACTATGCAGCCATAAAAAAGGATGAGTTCATTTCTTTTGTAGGGACATGAATGAAGCTGGAAACCATCATTCTGAGCAAACTATCACAAGGACAGAAAACCAAACACCGCATGTTCTCACTCATAGGTGGGAATGGAACAATGAGAACACTTGGACACAGGGTGGGGAACATCACACACCGGGGCCTGTTGTGGGGTATGGGGAGGGGGGAGGGATAGCATTAGGAGATATACCTAATGTAAATGACGAGTTGATGGGTGCAGCACACCAACATGGCACATGTATACATATGTAACTAACCTGCACATTGTGCACATCTACCCTAGAACTTGAGGTACAATAAAAAAAAAGAGAGTTACAAAAGATAATTAAGGTTATATTTATAAAGTAATTCAGGAGCTAGGATTAACACTGTATTAATATTGTAATACACTTTCTATTGTTTTAGCTACTTAGTATATTTTTGTCCAATTAAAACAGTTCTGTATTTACTTTCAACATCTTACCAAATGAGATAGAATTTAATGATAATGAAGTGTTTCACTCATGAAATTAATACTTACTGTAGTCATTATGGTTTTGCTTTGGTCAAGAAACATTTTATTTTACCGATGAAGCATGATTCCTAATCACCCCGCTCAGTGGAATTATATATTCGCAATTGTTTACAGACAGAAAAACTAGAAAGAGTAACTGAGTGGCACGTTCAGTATGAGTAGAAAAGGTGAGTCCTAAGTTTCAAACTGTCATTGATATTAAAGGGGGATCTGAAAAAAAGAACAGACCACACACATTTACCCAGAGTCTGCATCGCTTTCATCCTGCATGAAAATCCACAAGAATTAAGTCATTGTCCCTTAATCTAGAACAAAAATAGATAAACATGATGTTGAGTTCCCTTACTTCTTAAAGTTTAAAGAACTCACTCTCTTATGTAAAAAAAAGATGTTGAAATCTATTCAAATTTAATTTATAACTAATTTAAAGTAACACTATTATTAATGTAATAATAGTGGTCACTATACTGGATTCGACTCTTCTTGTTCATATATGAGATCTTAACTTCAGATTCAATAACAGAAAAGTTAGAATAAAATTTCCTTAGACTCCCCCAAGATTAAAATAATACATTTGTCTTATACTTACAAAACCATATTTTTCTTTATCAGCATTTTGCTCTGCTGTTTCTCTTTGCATGCAGAATGGGCCAAGAAGCTTACATTTTGGAAAATTGCCCACTGTCAGAAAACTGTTCTTACCACAATATTAATAATAGGCACAATTTTGTACACGAGGCACATGTCTTCTTTTTCCTTTCATATCCACTATGGATTTAAGTGGGTGATTTTTTTAAAAAAAGGACATTGAATTAAGGCAGAGTCCAGGAAATTGATTGTGTAAACAAAGTCTTGAGGATAGGTTCTGAAATTTGGCAGATTGTTCATAAGAGTTCAGATGAGTAGGTATATAACTACACATACCCAAGCATCAGAGAGGAAAGTGAGAAGCTGATGTTTAGAGAATTAAAGTCCCTTTAGACTTTCATGTTGGAAGTAAACACTCAAATAAAATACTTTTATTTGAAATATTTTGCAATGATTGAAATATTGTATGCTATAGTACCTTAACATTTAAGAAGAACAATAAAGCAAGGAGTTAAAATAGAAGGAAAAGAACTTTCGATGGAGAGTTGTGGGACCTTGGGCGGCTCACTTAGTAACATAGATTACCTCATCACTTCTCTTAAATGAAATGGTTGGACTGCATTATCTGTGATGTCTCTCCTACACATCTAAACTGATATAAGTTCAAAAATAAATACACTTCTGAAAAATTATTTCTGATATAAGTAGTTTGGCATACAAAATATTTATCTTATAATTCTAAGAGGTAACAGATAGAAACTGTAGGGAAATAAAATTGTAGATAAGGAGTAATTACTTAAATATGAAGATCCTAGTTGATAGTAACAACCAAAATAAAAGCTGGCTTCTTGAAATATTTGGTAATAAATCTTATCACTAGTTTTGAAATAATTATCTCATAATAAGAAAATTTTTACTGCATAATAATGCAGTAACTAAAATAAAATATCATTTATTCAATAACTATCTGTTAAACCAATATTATAAACAACTACTTTGCCACAAGGTAGGTGATAGTCTATTATTGTAGGTGCTAGAAATATAGTAGTGAAAAGATAAAAACGCCTGCAGTCATGAGTCTCACATTCTAACTACACACTCACCCACGCATACACACTCAAACATACAGTTGGGGCACAATACAACTAAGTTTCAGGAAGATGCTGCATTTAAAGAATACATTCCAAAACAACAAATATTAACTAATGCTGATATTTACTTTCAGGTCTCCCATAATATTGTATTAAAGTTCCCTTTCTCTGTTTTCTAGTTTCTTCAACACTGTTCTTATTTCTCATTCTATGAAACCTTCACTCTTGGTCCTGTATTCCAAATCATTCCATTTTCTAGCTCTGGTGAGTTTTAATTTTCTTCCTCTCTTAGGCTCTTCCAGCTGTTCTCTTGGGACAATGAATGTATTATTTTGTAAAAGTGTTGCAGTATCACACCTTCTTCATTCTCAAGCTTCTTGTTTTGATTCAACTATTGCTTGACTGGACTTTTTCCAAGAATGTTTACTAGCAGGTGCATTCAAGCTTCTTGTTTTGATTCAACTATTGCTTGACTGGACTTTTTCCAAGAATGTTTACTAGCAGGTGCATTTTCTGAGTTGTTTCATGTTTCAGAATGTGCCTATACTATATGCTATGGATTGCTACAGGTGCTGTGTGTATAACAGTGAATAAGTGGTTCCTGCTGTCTTGGATATTATCTAGATGATACTTACAGACACATTTCCATTCTCTTTTGGCATTGATGGTTATTGTGAAGATGTCTGAGACCAAATAGATTTTTCCTTTTTCATGCTTCTTGCTTTAATGAGAATGAATGCATGAATGATTATATTTTCATTCTTGTAAAATTCCATAGCTTTACTGAGGTAAGATTTAGTGTGTGCCCTTTCAGTTTACAGATTCAGTGATTTCTTCATTTCAGGGACATTTTTCGGTGATGTATCATTTAATACATCTCCCTTTTATGTAGGTTATGTATTTCCGAGACACTCATTCTTTTATGTCATATTACTGCACCTGTCTTTCCCTATTATGATCCCTTTTTACTTTAATCTTTTTTATATTTTCCCTCTGTATCATGATCATCTCAATCTTTTCCTCTACTTTAGCAATTTAATGTTCAACTGGGCCTGTTCTCCTTTTTGAGATTTCATTTGTTCTGCAGGTTGCTCTTTTGACTGTATGGCATTTTGCCAGATCATTTCTTGCTATGTTGCTCATGCTTAACTTTGAAGCTCTGTTCAGAATCTCTAATTGTTTTTATAGAGTGTGGCAGAATTTTCCCTTTTATGAGACTCCATTTCCAAATTATCTGAAAGCTGTTTGTATTCTCTGGCTATAACAGTTTGAGGGCTTAGCTTAGGTTATATTCTTTTGGGGAAAAAGGGAGAGCTGAACTGGGTCCCTTTGATTATTGGTGGGATGGGGCTCTGTCCTGTGTTCTGCAACAAAACAGCTGTCTCCTAAGGTTCATTTTCCGTAGTGAATGGTATATTCTATGTTTGGGATGGAAATAACCTTGTAATTTCTGGAGCTCCTCTCTTTTGCCTCTCTGAAGCTAACATTTCTTTATAAAATGGCACCTTTACTTTTACATAAAAAGGCAGCCCTGGTTTTACATATACCCCCTTCACCTATCTCTACAAAACTAATGTTTCCATCAACAAACAGAAGAGCAATCAAATAAGTGTTAACCTCAAGCTTGCCTCTTTCCAAAGTTGGAAACATTATTAAACATTCTTATGTCAAGTCATCACAACTGCTTGGTGCAGAAGAGGTAATGAGGTGAGGAAATATTCAAGTTTCCTGTAACTGTTTCTCCCATAAATACCATAGATTATGGATTAACACCTTTATCTTAAGTTGGGACCCTAAGCAATAAAAATTGTGATTCATAAATGTATATAGTAGCTTCTTTGAGCATGAAACTTCATTCTCTGCTGAAAGTCAGTGTATCTGGGGTCTGTGTTATGCCTGAGGGGGTCAAAAAGAATAACAAAATTCCAAAGAGACACAGATTCAGAATGTTCTTTTAGTTTTACACAGGGCTTGCATGAATGTCACTGGAGAGCTTGCCAAGTTTTTACCATGTTCTGTAAGTTGTATAGAGACAATAAACTAGAGGCTACATTAGTAACCTAGAACCTGCCTGAAAATAAGAGAGATCAGAAAGACTAACTCAATGAAAGGCAGCTACTAAGAGCTGTCACAACTGACAGTAAAGAAAGTTACTGAGAGCTGCTGCTTGCTTCAGCAGACCTTGGAATTGAGGGGAAAGGAAGAGCCAATATTTGAAATAGTTGTTAAAAGATGGCCTTTCAACTGGGAGCTCTCAAAGATGGCAGGCATCAGGGTCAGCTGACTTAACTTCATCCAATAATGGCTGAAAACATGACACCAGGAAAGACAATATACATTGTCAATTTTTTTCAAAACGTCCCTTTTTTTGGAGAGAGAACAAAATGTTTCCTCCTGTAAACTTGTGGGTTTCAAGGCTTTGTAACTCTGGATATAGTCTCAACTCAACCACAGAGATTTTGATTTTAAACCCTTCCATTGCGTCCTAATGTAGAACGTCACCTAGGAAAATAAAGTCATTTTAAAATGCAGGAGCTAATTAAATAGCTCTGTAGACGGTCATGGAGTCCATCTGTGTTAATTTGAGATGGACTTTGGAAGGTAATGCAGGTCAGTTTCCTCAGTTGTCAAAACAAGATGTCATGTATACCTCCTGTTCATCTGGAATTTAAATCACATGGATACTTCTATAATCAATACCGGTAGAAGAGCTGTACTTCAGGCACTTGTCAGAGGATGCAGCTATAAATAGGCTGTGATGCAGCACTTGCCTGAGGCTTACTGGAGAGAGCTGATATATGATAGGCACAGTCTAACGACAGGCTAGCTCTTTATTCCTCAACTTTCTCCAAACTCTTTCCCTGTATTAAGTCAAATGTCAGATTATACGTGGAAAAAAAATAAGATCTAGTTCAGATTCCTTATGATTCCCTGTAGGAAGAATTTTAGTGAACTAAAATTTTGACGTTATATTTTCTATCTTGCTCAGAGTTGTAATTTAAGGAATTCCAAGATGAAAAATAGTTACTTTCTGTTTTGTAAGGTTAAATTGAAGACTTAAGAGAAATGTGATTTAAATATTCACAATCTGTTTTTCATAGAATTCAAAGCCAGAAAAATATTTGTTTTTCAAGATCAGATTTTACAATATGGTGTGTAATACTCAGGAGTCCAATAGGTTTAGATTGCAGCTCTTCTACTTACAGGATATTTAGCAGGTTACTTCCTGGGGTGAAATCAGAATAATCACGGTACTGGCCTCCCAGGATAAGGGTTAAATAAGTTAATATACATAAAGATTTGGGGTGACTGGTACATAGTGAACTATTGCAAAAGGGCAAAAAAAATGACTGTTATTTGTACTAGGTAAGTAGCAATAAAGATGGGGAGAACTGGACAGATTTTAGAGATTTAGGAGATGATATTGACAGGACTTGGTATGGAATTGGATATGGAATGTAAAAAGGAAGAAGGATATCTAATATAACACCTAGGTTAGGGCTTAACAACTGGAGGAGAGATGATATCACTCATGGAGACAGAGTACATTGAAAGAAAATTACATTTAGGGGGTAAGATCCTAACTTCAGTTTATATGTCTTGAGTTTGAAAGGTTTTTGAAATAGACGGTAGTTTGATATTCAGATCTCAAACTTTGTAAAGCAGTCTAAATTGGCTTTATACATGTGGACATTAACAGTTTCAGATCAGGATAGCAGGAGAGGGAAACAGTTTCAAATAAAAATACACCTAGGACTGAGACCTGAGGCACTCTCAAAGGCATTATGACATTATCACACTAATACTCTAATCCATACCTTTTAGAAACGAATACATGTACTTCATATCTTTTTAAGTCAACTCTTAGAAATCCTTGTTAATAGGAAGTGAAGACTGTAGACACAGATAATCCCAAACTGAAAGAAGCAAGACAAGACATTTCAAAGCATGTTATAAAATAGTTTTAATATAAATGTTGTTTAATAATTAAGTATAATATTGAGAAATCAAACACATTTGATAATTAACAGTAATAGTATTAAGGATAATACTCTTGACATATTCCATTATACTAAGTGACCTCAATTTGCTGAATCTATAATGAATAAAGAATTATCTGATTATTCACAGCTGGGTTTCATTTAGTTTATTATTCCCAAATACATTTTAAAATAAATTCTGATTTCCTTAACACTCTTCTCAAGCTTACTTTGAACATGTATCTTAAATAAACTTTAATTGGTTAATAACCAGAAGATCAGTGCAGATATAGACCATCAATGCAAGTAAGTCCCAAGGAAAAAAGAAAATAGCACCAAGTTAAGTGATTGTCCTAGACAAAATTGCTAAATTATATTCTGTGAAAGATTGTGGAAGACTCAGAATGAATGAGGGGGTCAGAACTTTTTATTTTAAATATGCCACAATTTTTCTATTTGTAAAAATTGATAATATAATAGTATTTATCTCGTGGACTCTTCTGAGAATTAAAAGAGTTAATACAACTAAAGATCTTAAATTAGTACCTGGCATATGGGATGAGCTTAATAAATAGTATAAATTATATGATTGAGAGATTTGGCACACTTTTGAGTAAACTAATGTACACTTAAAAATTATATTGTTAAAATTATTATTTACTTAAAAATTAATTTTAGAAAGAAAATAGTCAAGAAACAAAGTTGGCTCCAATTCATTAATAGTTAGAGATAGCACCAAATTTTCTAAAACTGAAATAATAAGTAAAGGGTAAATTATCATGAGTAATTTAAAAATATTTTAAATTCATTTGGATGACTAAATGCATGAGTGATCATTAATATGAGAATCTATTGAGGAAGAAAACAAGACATAATAGACCAACTGCTTTACAGGGATAACTTATTATTCTTAAATTATATGTAGATTAATACATGGTTGGATACATAAGTGTATAGATAGATATCGATGTAGGTGTAGATATTTCTCTAGTGATAACCAGCTATTATAATAGACATAATTGGGAGAATTTGAACACTGACTATGTAAAATAACAGCATTGTATAAATATTACATTTTCTGAATAATAGAATTGTGTTATAATCATTATCGGAGAATGCCTTTGTCCTATAGTCATTATAGGAGAATGTCTTTGTTTTAAGGGTATAAATTCTGAAATACTTAGGAATGAAATGTCATGATGCCTGTAACTTACTCTGAAATTACACACGCAAACACATACACAAAGAAAATCAAATGTGGTAAAACGTTAACATTTAGTGAATCTGACAATAAAACAAAGTAAAGTAAAACACAATAAAACAAAATAAATGGCACAATTTTATTCCAAAAACTATGTCAATCAGTCATGTTCTATTACTTTATTAAATTATTTGTATTAACAACACTTTAATATTTCTTAAAGGTCAATATCTTTTCTCTTAGAATGTAATTTTTTTCTGTCTATACATTACATCTCCTAGTACAATACAATGCAAAGTAGAAGCTTAAGAAATACCTTTTTTTTTTTTTTGAGACGGAGTCTCCCTCTGTCACCCAGACTGGAGTTCAGTGGTGCAATCTGTGTTCACTGCAACCTCTGCCTTCTGGGTTCAAGTGATTCTCCTGCCTCAGCCTCCCTAGTGGCTGAGATTAAAGGCACATGCCACCATGCCCAGCTAATTTTTGTATTTTTCGTAGAGACAGGGTTTCACCATGTTGTCCAGGCTTGTCTTGAACTCCTGACCTCAGGTGATCCACCTGCCTCAGCCTCCCAAAGTGCTTGGATTACAGGCATGAGCCACTGGGGCCAGTCAGAAATACTCATTTTTGTTAGTTACCATCTATTACATCAATACCTATTTAAGAGATTCATTTGGGATTTAATCAGTTACATAAAAATCTTATGGACACTGCTGATTCTCTGCCCAAATCTCTTTGGATCACTTTTACCCATTCTGCAGCCTTTTCTCTGGCTTCTCTGTGGGCTTTTGCTTCCATGGCCCATACCAGCTACTATCTTCCAAGAACTGGCCCTTGGCTATAGATTCACTTGCAAACAAGTAAAGTCAGAAAATCAAGAACCAGAAATGCTTGGAGTTGATCTCCCCATTACCACCATGCTAGGATGGCTCTTACCTAATGGCTAATCAATGGGCCAGTGTGGACACACAGCTCCTTTGACTCAGGGTGAGAACCACTCTGAAATATAATTTATATTCCACAGCCTCCATGAAGTCGTATCTGTTACTTGTTCTCTTCTCCTTCCCTGTTCAGTTTCCCCTACTCTCTTCCCAGGCTTCTCCTGGGAACACGTTCCTAATACCACACTTGTATGCAAACCCTTGTCTCAAACTCTACATTATTCTAAGAAAATATATTTCATTATAGAATTTACCTTCGTTTTGGTACTTTTGTACTAAAATGAGCATTTTATATATTCCAAATAGATTATAAATTAGATTCTTCTTCAATTACCACTTGTTTCAAAATAGTGCATACGAGTATATATAAACTTTTCTACTCTCACCTTAAGTTTTATTTTAGCAAAATATTGCCTCCAAAAATCACAAATTCAAATTTAAAAGCCTAAACAAGAGAAACTCTTAAAAGGTAGCAGATGGAGAAATTAGAATTAAAAATACTCAAACATTTAAAATAAATCTCTTTTACTCATGAATATTCCAAAACTTTATATTTCAGAGAAATTATCTTGCTCTCAACCATTTTTTTCCATCTCTGCCCCACAAAACCAATATACAATGATTCTGCTGTCTCAACTCTCCCATTCATTCATCTTCTCCTAAACTCCAGATATTTTATATGAATGTATGCACATATAACCATATGCACCAACAGGTATTTTATAGATATACATATAGAAATAAATATAGATATATAAAATTTTATTATAATTTATATATGCTGATTTTTTTTTTTGAGATGGAGTTTCACTCTGTCACCCAGGCTGGAGTGCAGTGACACGATCTCGGCTCACTGCAACCTCCGCCCCCAGAGTTCAAGTGATTCTCTTGCCTCAGTCTCCCGAGTGGCTGAGATTACAGTCATCTGCTGCCACGCCCGGCTAATTTTTGTGTTTTTAGTGGAGACATGGTTTCACCATGTTGGCCGGGCTGATCTCATACTCCTAATCTCAGGTCATCCGCCTGCCTCAGCCTCCCAAAGTGCTGGGATTACAGGCATGAGCCACCGCGCCCAGGCTATATGTACTGATTTTAATGCAATATTTGTTTAACTTAACATGATGCACATTATAATTTCCAGCTGTAATAGCCTAGCATTATATCTCAATCCTGAAAATTTGAAATTACTGATACTAAGGAAAAAAACCCTGAGGTTAACTCTTTTTCTGTCTTCTAATATTTTCTTATTTACTCTTAATTCAACAACAAAAAATAGTCTGCTTACAAAGATACACAAAATAAGGAAAAATAAAATAGCAATTGGTGATAAAATGAAAATAGAATATGAGAGAAGAGATACAAAATGGAGCATGGAAAGGAGTTAATTTTATTATAGACAAAGAAAGAACAAATTAACCTTGGTCGGGGCAAGGAAACGGAAGTGAGCATAGCAAGCATTCTACATTGCACCTGCCTATCCCTATTTTTCTTTCCAAGTTCCCCTTTGGCACCAGGATGAAAACTGTTGCAAAACTCATTGTTCCTTCAGTGACATCATTTTAAAATGAGTATTTCTAAGTCTTTTCTATTAATTAAATTGGCATAACTCAAGAAAAGAGACTATGAAATGAAATAATAGCTTTAAAAATTATACTAATAAGCTGGATTTTACCTAGCACCTAAGATTAAAAACAAATGTAAATGTTGTAGATTATATAAAATTAAAGTATTTTAGCCACATTTTAATTAAAGGATATTTCATAATATTGTGCCATAAAGAAATGTAGTTAATGGAAAAAAATAGTATTTTTCAAGGATGATTTTCTAAAATATTCTAAATATTTTTAAATTATTTGAAAAGTGAAATTTGATAGTTGCTTTAAACATATATTTTCTTATGTATTTCATTTCAAAAAATTTTCTTTAAAATCTCATTAGAAGTTTGCAGAAATGCTAGAAATTATACAAACCAGCTAGCAAAACAAACAAACGAACAACAGCTACAAAAAACACAAAACAACAACAAAAAACCCAAAATACAAAAACCAAACAAGTGCGTGAAAAGGGATTCCCTTTCTTGCTTCCTCCACCCACTACCGCCCTCAGCTGTTTGGCATTGCCCTGATATTTTTCGAGGGATTTGCTTTCTTACTGTATTAATTACAACGTTTATTTTCCAGAGGAAATTATTTTTGATTCCTTGGGGTTTTTTTGTCTTTTTTGATATTAAAGACAGCTGGAATTCAATGGTCTCATAGCAAGAGTCAGCACTTAGCTACAAATTGTATGATAACAAATGCAGCATTTCTCTTGTTTCTATTTGGCTCAGAAACATGTTAAGGAATATTTAAGAAAAGGTGGTGGAAAAAAATCTAGAAAACATGAGGATCTTGGCTTTAGACTTATGCTAGATGGCAACAGCATGTGTTCACTACTAAAACTTCTTTCTCTTATGCACCCTGAGAAGCAAACAGGAAGGGAAATTTAAATCCTACCACTATGACATTTTCCAGGTCCAATATACGGTAAACATCTATAATTAGTAGACCTGCCATAAGCAATGCCTTCATACTTTTATTTTGTTTTCACCTTTTCCTGGGATTGTGCCACAAAGGATATCTTTATTTGGTAACTTGCATTTGAAATGCATCAATACCCCAAT
Source organism: Homo sapiens (assembly GCF_000001405.40). Lineage (NCBI taxonomy): Eukaryota > Metazoa > Chordata > Mammalia > Primates > Hominidae > Homo > Homo sapiens. The sequence continues at coordinate 166,116,074 of NC_000004.12, read as the reverse complement.
TAAAATAAAAAGAAAAAAATGCCAATTACTGAAAGTAAATCTAACAATTTTAAATTCAACAGCTTTTTTTGTTTTGAAAGTTCTTTAGAAAATTTAAGATGATATTACAGTAGTGAAAGTCACAGAGATTCTGTGGTAGGCAACCACGACTGATGCTTGCCTGCCTGTATAATCCCTTCCTTTTTAGTGTGGGCTGGACCTAGTGAATAACTTCTAGCAAATAGAATATGGCAAAAGTGATAGAATGCCACTTCTGAAATTGATTATAAAAAGGCTGTAATGTGTATCTTGATTGTTCTCTTTCTGTCTCTCATTCAGTCATTTCTATTGAAGCTACATGTTGTGAGCTGCCCTATGGAAAGATACTCATATCTAGGAACTGAGGAAGGCCCCTGTACAACAGCCAGTGAATAACTGAATCCTGCTGACAACCACATGAATGAGGCTAGAAACAACTTTTCCTCAATCAAGCTGTCAGATGAGATCACTGGCCCAATAGACACCTTGATTGGGGACTTGCAAGAGACCTTAAGGCAGAGGCACCCAGGTTGCATCACCTTATTTCTAACCCACAGCATCTGTGATGTAAAAAAAAAAATACTTGCTGTTGCTTCATTTCAGGGTAATTTATTACACAGTAACAGATAACTAATATAGATGCCAACAGCAAATGTATTAGATATTTTGGACGGATATCTGTTTAGAATCTATTCTCATCTCTTTTCATAACAGCATACTTTCTGGGCTACAAAATTTAAAACAACATTTCCTAGGATTCCTTGTAAGCTGAGGTTTTGATTGAACATAATTAAATTCTGATAGTTAGAAGCAAATGTGTGAATTTTGGAAGGCAAAATGAGGTAGAAGCCATCTCTCTGCTGCTGTTTTCAGCTCAGCAGCTTCGTCACGGGTCTGTGATGATTTTCTCCAGCAGTGTTCCTGGATCTACTCTCCAGTTTTGAGGGGGTCAGGAGGCACTAATAGCCATGAAAATCTCTTTCTATCTGCAACAGCCATGTGTTCTTAAACCTAAAAACTCAACAGGCAGTCTTCTGAGTTTCTGCCTTTCAGACTGTGGCACAGGTAGCAATTCTCTAGCAGGTTACTTTTGTGATCTCAGAGAGACAATAGTACCCCTATTGTCTATTAATTCACAAATACATGAATTAATTCTATTTTTGCTTAAAATATCCAACATAGCTTCTAATTATTATGCTGAACTCAAACTCATGCTTTTCATACTTATAAAAAGCAGTTGCTATATCTATTGGGTTTTTTCCAATATCTATTTATTTTTAATTTTAATACAGTTTATTCAAGCAAGGGACAATTCATGAATTGGGCAGCACCAAGAGCCAGAAGAGCTTCAGGAGCTCTGTTCAGTAGTGTGAGCAGCAAGCTTTGATAATCCAGAAACAAAAGCAAAGTAGAGAAATCACCTGACTGGCTACAGCTAGGCATTGGCCTTATTTAGGCATGGTGTGATAAGGCATTTACTTTACCTTGGCATGGCCTGATCAGGTGGCTTTTTAAAGTTTGTATTTTTTAATTGTAAACTGACAAATTACAGCTGTATATATTTATTGGGCCTAAACTGATGTTATGATTTATGAATATGATGCACACACAATTAAATCAAGCTAATTAACATATCCATTACCTCAATTTTTTTTATTTTTGCATGGTGGGAATATTTGAAATTTACTCCCTTAATGATTTTGAAATGTACCTTACATTACTACCTACTATATACACCATGATGTGCCATATATCTCAAAAAAAAAAAAACTATTTCTTCTGAATAACCAAGATTTTGTACTCTTTGATCATAATCTTTACATTCTGCCCATCCCATCCCATTCCAGCCTCTGATAACCATCATTCTATTATTTTTCTTTTAGTTTGATTTTTTAAGATTCCACATATAAGTGAAGATATATGTAATTTTGTCTTTCTTTGCCTGGTTTATGTCACCTGGTATAATATTCTCTGATTTTATTGATGTTGTCACAAATGACAAAATTTCTAAGGCTGACTGTATTCCATTGTGTGTATATACCACATTTTCTTTATCCATTCATCTGTTGATGAACACTTAGGTAGATTTCATAACTTGTCTATTCTGAATAGTCCTGCAATAAATATGAGAGTGCAGATATCTCTTTGACATACTGATTTCAAATATTTTGGGTAAATACCCAAAAGTGGGATGACTGAGTCATATTTTTAGTTGTTGAGGTACCTCTGTATAGTTTTCCATACTGACTATACTAAGTTACATTCCCACCAACAGTGTGTAAAGGTATTTTTTCCTCCACATCCTTACCAACACTTCTTATCTCTTGTCTTTTTGATAATCACCATACTAACAGATATAAGGTGATATCTCATCATAATTATAATTTGCATTTCCCTAATTATTAGTGATATCTCAAGAAATTAGGAAAAAAAATGTACCTTGATGCAATAAGGTCACTTGTGATAAAGCCACAACTAACATTCTACTCAATAATGAAAAATTAAAACTCTTCCCAATAAGATCTGGAGCAAGACAAGGAGGCCCACCCTCACCACTTCTATTCAACATAGTATTTGAAATTTGTGCCAGAGCAAATATTCAATAAAAAGAAATAAAAAGCATCCATATAGAAAAGGAAGATGTGAAATTGTTTGTTTGCTAATGATACTAATGATATAATCTTATATAGAGAAAACTCTAAAGATGTCAGCAAAAAGCTGTTAGAACTAATAAACAAATATGGTAAAGTTACAGGATAAAAAATCAATGCAAAAAATAGTAGCATTTCTACACAGTAACAACAAACTTTCTGAAAAAGAAATCAAGAGAACTACTCCACTTACAATAGCTACATAAATTAATATACTTAGGAATACATTTAACCAAATAGGTAAAAGACCTTACACTGAAAACCATAAAATGTTGATGAAAAAAATTGAAGAACACACAAATAAATGAAAAAATCCCACATTCACGGACTGGAATAATTAATATTGTTAAAATGTCTACATGACTCCAAGCAATCTATAGATTCAATACAATCCCTATCAAAATTCCAATAGCATTTTTTATAAATTCATATGCAACCATAAAAAAATCTCAAATAGCCAAGGCAATCATAAACAAGAGAAAAAAAGCAAAACCGAAGGCATCACACTACCTGATTTCAAACTATATTGCAAAGCAATAGTAATTAAAACAGCATCATACTAACATAAAAATGGATCAATGAACCCAAAAATAGAGAGCTGAAAAATAAACCGACACATGTATATAGTCAATTGATTTTCAACAAAGCTGCCAAGAATACACAAAGGGAAAAGGACAGTGTCTCAATACAAAGTATTGGGAAAAGTAGTTATCTACATGCAGAAAAAATGAAATTGGACCCTTATTTTGACCTGAAGCTATAAAACTGCTAAAACAGAAACACAGGTGAGAAACTGCACAACATTACACAACACTGGTCTAGGTAATGTTTTTTTTAGATTTGATAACAAAAGCACAGGCAACAGAAACTAAAATAGGCAAGTGGGATTACATCAAAATAAAAAGCTTCTGCACAACAAAGGAAACAATTGAAAGATTGAAGAAACAACCTGTGGATTGGTAGAAAATGTTTGTAAGCCATATATCTGTTAAAGAGTTAATATCCAAAATACGTAAGAAACTAAATTATCTCTATAGAAGAAAATATAGTTTGATTAGGAAATGAGAAAAGGGCCTGCATAGACATTTCTCAAAAAATATATGCAATATCTATTTACATTTTTATAATAGACTTATGCATGGTCACCTTTATGTAATACTCTAACATGCGGTTAATTTGATTACATTAATAACACTTGGTAGCACTAAAAAGGTGTATTAATTGCTTCCTTTTTATCACTAAGAATCTCTTTTTCTGGCACAGTTCTCCACCTCTAGACAGAATTTTAATTCTTAGTCTTTTCATTTGACTCCACAAAAGCAAGACTTCATCCAATATTATTCATTTCAGATGAATAGAGGTATTTAATAGCTCTCAATCTGTGATAAAGTAGGTTCAGGTTTGCTGAAGATTAAGGTAGAATAAAAATGAAATTTCTCTTCATCTCAAACTTCCTATCTCTTTGAATTTGCAAGGTTACCTGTTAAGGCTGAGATCCTTATTCTTTTCAGAAATTTTAAAGGAACAAAAGATGTCATTTTGAAAAAACAAATTATCAACTGGAAGTAAAATATGTACAAGTTTAGCATCATTCTTCTGTATTAAACAAACAACTCTTACATTTACAGATTAAATTATAGGTTGATAAGCTAGTCTTTTTAAGGGATTAAAAAATGACTTATCTTTTCATACAGGTAGCTTAAGGTAGTTAAGAAAAATACTTGCTTAAAAATTGAAATATAAGTTTTCCTTATTGCTGAAAATCTAATTTATTTGAGTTGCTGTAAAATGACCCTAGCATCTTAACCCAAATTTGTTTTAAAATACAGATGAGACAAATTGGAGAGAGAAAGAGAGAAGTCTCTTTTTTATTCTAGAAAAGTAATTTCGCAGTTTTGTAATGTAACCAAACTAAACATACTTATGAAGAAAGAAGGATAACATATTTCATCTTCATTATTATAAATGACAATCTCTTTCTGTATTACTCATATGGTTTATTAACTTCATATCAGTGTTACTCAGAAAATATTCCAGATCTTAACGTGACAAGTACTCATTTTTTGAGTTATGTAATTTTTAGCACATTAGGTTAGTTCAACTTAATTTAATTCAATCTCATTTCAATTCAATTCAATTTAAGCAATCTATATAGGAGGTCTTTTAGTGTGCAGTTCTGTGTAAGTACAGAAAAAAATAAATAGCATCTACTTGCTTTTGAGGATCTCAAAACATTGCACAGAAAAAGTATCAACATAAGAATAAACGAAATCAGCGTGACAAGTAATTTGGGAGCATACTGAGAAGTGCACTCAAGATAATTTTCAAAACCTTTTCTGTAGTGCTTTCTAAAGCGTATTATCTTATAACAAAAGCTATATATTTGACGCACGATATAGTATGAAATTGATTTACCTTGCCTTTCTCTACAGAATTACTTAAAGGAAACTGCAGCATAAAATGCATATTATCTTTATAATTCATAGATAACACGCTAACAGAAATCTTTTATAATATCTGGCATTTGGAATATTTTTCTCACATTGAAGTACAATCTTGATCTCATTAAAATTAATAAAACAGAAAACATGAATAAAAATGATTTATGAAATTGTCATTTTAATAATGTTCCTTGAAGTTAGGACAATCCTCTGTAGAAGGCTAAAATTAAGGATAACTCAAATACATTTTTACTTCTGGATTCTCATTTGAGTTGTTAACTGTATTTATTGACGATTATCTTCCACTGAAAATTATTAGGTTTTTAAAATCATTTTGTTTCTTAGTAACTACATCATTTGTTGTCCTTTTTCTTCTAATATACGATAGTGACTTTAGGAGATAGATTTCCTGTGATTTTTCAAAAAATAATTGTTCAAAAATAGTTCCAATTTTCCTACAGTGTTCCGTAATTAGATATTTAATTGAATTATGGATTCAGCATTTTCTGTCAAGTACATTTTGGCAAAGATTAACAGTCAACCTCTGCACAGATTTACAGCCCTTGACTCTGCATCAAGAATGAGCTTACCTCTGGATAGTAAAAGTACAACATAAAATGTTGCTTCATTGTTAACAGGTTCCATTCTATCTGAGTATTTGATCCCTCAAGTCCTAGCTCTGTTGGAAGCTTGAGGATGCCTTAAACATAGAATTGTTTTCTTTTTAAAAGTTTTAACCCACTTTTCTGTTTATTCTTGATGGAATATATTAGTTTTAGGCAAGCTACTCTATTATAACTCTAAATAGAAATCAACAAAATTTAATCAAACTGCATAAAATCATGAAAATCATGTACTTAATGGGAAAGCTAATGACTTTTTTTGCTTTTAAGGGAAATAATTTTGAACATACTAGCATTTAAAATCACACTATAAAGAGCAAAGTGAAAATCTGAATTTATGATTACTTTTTAAATTTAAATATAATTTATATACCTACCCCTCTTTAAAGGGATTCTCTTCATCACAGACATCATGTGCTCTTGTATGTATTTTATATTCAAGATTCCCATCTGTAATATTGGAATAATAATACTTATCTCACAAGGTTATTGTGCACTCTATAAATGCTGAATCTGAATTAAAAATCTACATACACATGAATTATAACATTTTATCTTAAAATCTCTTGAAAACATGTTTTTTAAAAAATCATAGATCATGTTGTAAAATGCTAAAGGGGAAAACAGAGAAAGAGAAGGAGGAGATTGGCATTCCTAGCTGGCAATTTTTTTATAATTTATGGTACATATAAATTTTTGTTTTTAATATAGCCAGATAATTAATTCTTATGATTGTGGATTGATTAAAATTGTGTAAAGGTCATAAATACATAATGTACCTTTATATTCTAATATTATGTCATATTATATGTACCAATTGTCTATTTATTGCTTCTCAATTCTAAATATGTTTTTCATTGCCTGCTGTAGAAAATGGAGCTGGTCCCTTTGAAAAATTATCCTTTGCTCTCCTGATGTGAAGCTGCATCAATACAGAACCACGCAGGATGTTGCTGGAGGAAGGGGCTTCTCTTCCTAGTTTTGGTGTCCTTCTCTGCTTCTCTCAGTAGGCTCTGGAAGACCGCACAGCTTCCCTGTAGCCCAGCTACTGGAGTTCAGGTGACTTCCTAAAACCAGTTCAAAATGAGAGTTTTTCTATAGCAAGGAATTAAATTTATGGTCAGTGAAAAAGAGCATCTGCAAGTATTAGAGTCAAATGGTTATCCAAAATGTTTGCATTACTGGTTACTGCATTTCTGTCAGCAGTGCGTAGAAGTTTCTATGCTATACATCCTTGCAAACACTTGATAGTGTTTAAGGCTTTAGTTACTAATGCAATGGATACAAGATAGTATACTATTCTTTAAATTTGAATTTTCCAAAATAACAGCAATGTCAAACATGTTTTCATCTGTTTTTTTTTTTTAACCATTCTGCTCTCCTCTTCTGTGAATTGCTTGTGTGTATCCTTTGCACATTTATCGATTACATAGGTTGCCTATTTTCTTCTTTAAAGGACCAAGTGGCATTTTAGGATTTCTAGGCCAACAGACAATGTCTTCAAGTCTTAACTTTTCTTGCCAAAAGGCTAACAGTCATTTTATGTATCATTCTTAGGTCATGGAGTGGACACAAATAGGCAGTGAGCTGAATTTGACTCACAAGATGTAGATTGCCAATTCCTCATCGATGGGGTTGTTTGTATCTCATTGAATTTGAGGGTTTTAAAAATAATCTGGTTCCTAATCCTTTGTCAGATATATATCTTGCAAATACCTTATATCATACTATCTCTCTTACTAAGATCTTAGTATCTTCATATGATCATAATGAATTACATTTTTATGATTTTGATAATTGTATATATTTTGAGGCTCTAGATTTACATTAATCAGAAATTTTTAAATGTTCTAGATGCAGTTTCTTTTATCATTGGAGTTGCTAATCTTATTCCAAATAGTCTCTTATGCCTAAAAACATCAGCTATCATTAGCTTAAAATATGCCCAATATATTTTTTCACTTTCAGCTTTTCTCATACTTTTTTACAAGCATCTTTTCTAAAAGCTCATGGATGACACTTTAATCCAATCTGAATATGCCTCTTCTTAAATTGGAAATTTTAGTGTACTTACATTTATTGCAATTACTAGTGTATTTTTTATTTATTTCCTCACTCATAAAATGGGGACAATAAATTCTAACTCACATATCTGTGAGAATTAAATGAACTACTATCTCAGACACTTAGAAAAATGCCTGGAAGATGTGTTTTACATTTTAAATATTACTTATTATTGTCTTTTTACCATTTTATTTTGTGCTATGTTTCTCACTTTTTCTATGCCTCTTAATCTTCCTTTTATAAAATCCTTAAGATTTATTATTTTTATGCTATCTTTCCCTCTCTACTGGTTTAGAAATTATATATCCTACTTTTGTTGTTTTGGTTAGCCTACCATTTTACCCTGAACATTTAACAAAATATTAAAGTAATCCTCTTCTTAAACACTACAAGGACCTTAGAACTTTTCAACTTCAATTAATCCTCTCTAGTTGTACATGATATTATATTACTGTTTTATATTTACTTCCACTTTCCTTTAGAATTATTCATTAATATTATAATTAATCACATTAATTGTAACAAGATAATATTATTTTATAGTAGTAAATATTTTAAATTGACACCTAACCACCAATTCTTGAATAACTAATCCTTCTTGCATATCATTTAGTTCCTATTTGTAAGTGGTATTTAACAGGATATAAAAATTTAGGTTGACAATTGTTTACTCTTGATATCAGGAAGACTTGATTTCACTATATTCGGTATTGGAAAGTCTGCTATATTTCTAAAAGTACCTTCTTATTGATGATCTGCCTTTTTCTTTGACTACTTTTAATATTTTTTTAACTTTGTATTAATCAATTTCAGTACTATGTGTCTAATCTTTATTTTTATGTATTTAGCTTTAAGTGCAGCTTTATTTTTATGCGTTTTCTAAGTGCAGCCTTATTTTTATGTATTTTCCTTGGGAATTTTTTGTGTTTCCTGAATGTGAAGATACATGTTTCCCAAAAGTTTTGGGGCATTTCACATATTTATATTGAATATTTTATTCTCCTTCACTGTCTATATTGTCTTCCTCTGTAACTCCTAAAAATACATATTGAACATTCACATCTACTTCTCATGTCTCTTAAAATATATTTTTTCATCTGTTTGTCTCTCTGTTGTGTTCTGTGATTCTTATATACTTCCACCTCATAAATCGTACCATCAACCATATCGACTACATTTTTCATTTCAATTACTGTATTTTTTCATTTCTGCAAGTTTAACTTATTCTTTAAAAATCTACTCAATATTTTGAAAGTGTCTATAGCTTTTCCACATATTTCGATTTCCTTTCCTTAATTATTTTAATGTGCTTTTCTTTATACTCTACATTTGATCATTCCAGCATTTAAAATTCTTAGAGTCTAATTCTGTTACTTATGATTTGGGATTACTCTTACCTGATCTTTCTATAGATTTTTCTAAATTGTGGCATCATATTCTATGAGGCGTTATCTGTGTGCATAATAGGTTGCCTAGGTTGCAGGTATGTGCGTCCAAAGATCTTTTGTATATATACACACGTGTGTGTGTGTGTGTGTGTGTGTGTGTGTGTGCATGCACCTGTACGCATGCTCTTGAGAGAGCTAGGCATTCTAGGGACTTTACTCACCTTTAAAAAATCACTCGTTGACTTGGAAGAGAAGCAAATAGTGAGACAGTGAGGCATTTTACTGTCCTGCAATCACACTATTGGTAAAAAGACTCCTTTTTCCACCAGTTAGGGCAGCATTGATTGGAGATAATGGGTTAAATCTGTTTCAGATTTAGAACTACAATTTATCAAGTGCTGCTGGTACTAGTATTCGGTAACTCTTTTTGTAAAACATATTGTTTACAAAAAGCCCCAATTGTCCATCCTGAGGTTCAGTAATTTATAAATTAAAAATACAAGTAATACATGCAAAGAAAAACTTACTTTTATAGGACAACTGAATTTTTTTAAATGCTCAAATGCAGAACCAAGGATGTTTATGTTGCTGCTAGTCTCAAAATACAAACCACACAATTTTGCAGAATGCTCCCAAATGGCAGTAGAATACACATGCATGTTTCATTACTGAAATTTCAACTTTGGGGGGTTATTTAAATTAATGCTTATCTCTTTAGTATGTAAACTGCATGAGAGCAAAGGTTGCTACTTTTTCTTTTTTTATCTCGAATTCATAGTACTTACCACAGTATGAAGCATATTGTTCAGTGAATAAACAGAATAAATGAGTGAGTAAAATACATTGTACTATGCGTTTTGGTTTGAAAATGGCAAAACTTATTATGAGCGACCTTTTAATCCCAGGGAATTCAAACACATCTAATACACATATAGTAAAAGTATAAAAATTGAAAACTTTATGAAAAAATTTTTCATAAAGAAATGTTTCATAAAGAAACGTTGAAAAATTTATGATTCCCAAGGAAAATTTTCCTGCTATTTACATTTTGTCTCAATTATAGTCCCTTCAGGAATAGCCACTAAATAATTTTTAGGGGAGGTTGACATATTGAAGCCTTATTATCTATAATCCTTTCACTTTGTCCTTTCTGGGCAATCTTTCTGTTTAAACATTCTTAATGTCATTCCTTAAAGTAATTCCTCTTATACTCTATTACCGCGGTGACATTACTACTGTGTTTTCAATGTCAGCTATCACTTTTGTGAGGCACTAATTCTAACATAAAAATATTACAAGGGAATATAGATGCATTTTTATATTTTGATGGAAATTTATTATATTTAGCTAAATGTTTACAGTTGCTCTTCAAAAAAAAAAAAAAAAACCTAACAGCTTTTGAATGATAATGCAACTTTTTCTTTCTTAGATTTGTTGTAGAATTAAATATTGTGGCTAATATAATCATCCTATAATATTATTCAATAGAAGAAGCACCATTGAATCTATTTTTAAATATGTAATTTGCAAAATACACTGAAACATTGAGCACATGTTTAAAATAGTGTAAATCAGTTTAGTAACCTTCGTTGCTATTTGTTTTCAGATGCAAGTATGCTCTGAAAATTTGATAGTTGAGCAAAAATAAAATGTTATATAAGTAACTTTCCAGATATAAGGACAATACAGACAGACAAAGTAAGGTCAGAGGGACTGGTGAAGCCGTTAGCTTGTATTCATATAGAAATATAACAACAGAAACAGTGTCAATATTTACTCATATACCTCCAACCTGGCAATAAATAAAGATAAGCCCTGATCGCTAGGACCTTCTAAGTGCCTCAATCTGTGTAGAGTTTAATAGATCTCTTTTCAACTGCTTTTTATGCAGATACATTTCCACCTACAAGTTTTTTGAAGTTAGAAGTTGATATTCATTGTATTCATTTGCTGCTTAGAATATTGGATGAGAGGGAGGTTATATATAGTGAAACGTGCTCAGAGCCCTATAATTCCTTTGTTTTCATCCTGCATGGGTACCTGCATTAGGGTGTCATGGCTGGAACTGGAGTCACGTGACCAGCTTGGATTCAGGTTCAATATATTGGAGTGAGGGAAAGTTAGGCAGGTTGGAAACCAGACAGTGAAAATGTAGATGTCAGAAGAAAGTTTGGGGACAAATAACACTATTTCACAAAATATCAGAGTCAGCCTTTCCACTTCTTGTTTCCTAATCTAATGACAAAATTTCTCAGTTTTATAACAATAACATAAAAAACCAAAAGCTAAATATTCATTGGAAACCAATTACCATGCATTGAAGCATAAGAACTTTCAATTCATTCACAGGCCACCTTTTTTCTCTTTTTGACAAGTTCTTATTACACATTTGTTGTTGTAAAATAGAAAGCATTACTGCAATTCGAATTATATATCTTTAGAAGGCAATTATATTTTCTGCTCTCCTCCTCCCATGCCTGATTTAACAAGTGGTATCAAAAATTTTCCATAAGGCAAGTCTTATTCTTATTAGTAAACAATAGTTTCCAAATATTTGATAACTGTTTTAAGTAAGTTATAATGTCACATAGGGTTGCAGTCCTTCTAAATCTACATAAAGATATAATTTAATGTTTCTTTTAAAAATAAATTTTAACCTTGCAAAAATAAAATTAGTCATTTGATGCTTTTAGAGATTTTTCTACATGGCAGAACAAAATTTGATATTTGAAGCTTACCACCAAAAATACAGCAGTATTACAAACCAAATAAAAGAGACCAAGCTATTTTAAAACAAAGTTAAACAGAATTTGAATCTCATACTGTGACATATTAAAATGAGCGACAGGTAGCAAAAATCCAGCCAGTATAGGAATGGGATATTTGAGGGTTTTGGAAACACAATTACTTCTCATCCATTTCTTTTAAAAAGTTATTTTGTCCATTTAAGTTAAGTCACGATCTCCTTAATAAAATACAGTTATTTTCAAAATTGACTTTTAAAAATAATTTAATAAAATCAAGTGAGAACAGTGTTTTTTTTTTTTTCTATGTATAGTCAGTTAGGACTTTGGCAAATATAAAGCACAACCAATATACTGATGTAGGGTGGAAAATAATTTAAAAAATTAATTTAATAAAATGCCTGGAGCAGTAAGTAACAATTATTAACAATACAACAATGAAGCTGTCTGTACTTTCATTTAACAACACACTTAAGGCAAATGTTGAATTAATATAAAAATAATATGTGGTAAACTGATACTTGACATGATACAATAAAAATTAATTTTCACGTTGAAGACCTAGTTATGACAACATCTCTATATGCCTTCTAAATACCTAATTTCTCAGTTGTGCAGAGCATAGCTCACTATGGCCTAATAAGATGTCAATCAGAATATCCAGAATATTTCTTAATATAGAGCAATACATTTCCCCTACCACATCAGGCAAAATAATTTAATATATTTATTTTCACAAAAGGCTCATACTAACTCCAAACTATAGGGTTTTTTAAATTTCTAGTACTAATTCTGATTCTTAAAGATAGCTATCATTGGTATTCTAAATTTCATGCTGTTCTTAAAAAGAGCAAAATGCTTATCCTGTAAGTTTTACTCTAATTCACCCCTAAAATTTACTTTATGTGGGAAAGTTTCACCATAAAAAATCTACTATTTATATAGGTCGAGATTGATTCTACTACCTTTGTAGAACAAGCAGAGGCTCATTTGTATAAGATAAACTGGGTTTCAACATCTAACTTTACACTGTGACTCTGGGAAGGTTACATAAATTCTTTGAGCCTCACTTTCTGAACTACAAAACGAGAACATGATGACAGTCCTCAAAGTGTAGCATGGAATTTAAAAAGAGCTAGTGCACATTCCTAGCACACGGGTAGGAGTAGTATAGAACAGTATAGGTGTTAATGTTAATGACTTTTTCTCCTCTCTTTCCCATTTCTGGCATATTTTGGCTAACGGGAGATTAGTGAGAAAATATGGAAGAAGTTACTGGAATAAATCAGCTCTACTAAAAGGCTCATCTACATTGCAGGCAATAGTTATACATTTTCAAAGTAACATTCAATAAGATCAAAACATTGGTTATAAAAATGTATTTACATTTTACAATTCATATGCAAGAAATTTTTTCAGGGCAACAATTTAAGAAAAAAACAGATAAGCTACATCTGTGTGTATACTTTAATTGTGTAAAACTGAAAGAATACACCCAATTGTATTCAATGTTGTATGCTCATGGACAGGTAACAGACACAAAGCTACTTCATACAGTAATCTATATTGACATCAAAATAGAGTTTCTCTAAAGGAAAGAGCCTTTTTTTAATGGGATTGATCAAAATTAGAAGTTCCCATTATTTGTCCATGAAACCTAAGGAAGGTGCTATTTCAAATGGAATTCTAGTAGAACTTGGCACATACATTTTAACTTTTCAACCACCCATTATTTTTTACCTCTTGTAGTTTCACTCACTCAGACAATCACACATCTACATTCATTAATTTTAAAAACACACATGCCTTTAAAGCAGAAAATTCATCCTCAAATTACATTTTCTACAAAAAAAGCAGGACACCATATTTATATCCAATGCTTCAGTCATGGAAATGGATTTTCTTCATAGAGCTGTTAATTAACATACACTATTATGTTCAACATTTCAAAAGGTGTGTTTTAGGAGGATCTGTTTGATCATGTGCAGGAATTCTAAGGCATTATAAGTAGTTGTTCCACAGGACAAGTGCTGCCCTTGCAATGATATACTCTTGATATATTTGACAAGTCTTTAGTCTTCAAATGCTACCAGCCATAGGGAGACATTCGTAGTCTACGGGTGGGTTGGCTCAAAGGTCAAAAACTTGTTTGAAAAAAAGTTTATGGAATAGCACCATAAGAAGTCTTTCAGAAACAAATCTTTTTTTTCCAGCATTGTGTTTTGAAAAAATGAATCCCAGGAAGAGAAAAATGAAAGAGACCTTTCAGTTCTCACAAGGCCTACTTCTGCTTCATTTCAATTTTAAAAAATAGATTAACCATGACAACATCAACAATAATAATACAACAATAACAGATCGACAACAAAGGAAAGACAATAGCAGCAGCAGTAACTTGAGTAATGAACCATCCAGACAGTCATTCAGAAGAATCCTGCTCACACCTCTTCGGAGTTTTCTCATAAGGTTCATAAGACATCACAGGCTTCTTGGATTTGGTGTGAAAAGGCAGCACTTCCAAAAAAAAGAACTAAGTTTACCAATTCACTGGGCGTTTTCTGAGACTTAAAGAACTGATGTCTAGAATTTAACTGCAATAATTAGACACCATTGAGATTTCAAACTCATCTAAATGTAAGTACACTAAAGTGGTCTCAAGATCATTTGTGTTTCAGAGGTTAAGCTGGCCTGCAAGTGGAAATAATGAAGCTGAAATATCCCAGTTTCCAAACACCAGACACACACATACACATGGAAAGTACAAATCACCCTCAGAAGACTCCCATTTCACATTCACCTTATATGGATCTGGTTTACACTGTATCCAAGATACAAAGTCAGCAATTATCCTAAGACAACCAAAATACTGTTTTCCAGTTTACGACCTGCAAGATCATTTTATGTCCCTAAATCTTGACAAATTGTCAAAAAGAACACTGCAGGGTCACAGTTCCTGAATTAAACTGTCTGAATTGTGAGGCATCTATTTCAAGCTGTGAACAAAAGCTTGTAGAGTCTTCCTTGAAGTATATGATGCCCTTTCACCAGCTTTATTAATACCATCAAGCATGGAGTTCAAATATCCTTGTAATGCTGATGAGGGTTTTGCTGGAAACTTCTCTTTTAGTACAAAGATAATTCTGGTCTTACAGGGATTTTTTGTTCAAACTCTTTGTATAAAACATTTGTGCCAATATCTTCAGTTTTAAAAAAAATATGTCTTCTCTCCATTATGCACATTCCTTTGTGTTCTGACAGAGGTTTTGGTGTTATTTTTTGGTATGTGTGGTATCTGGATATCTTATGCTTTTGTATCTTATATGAAATCCCTTCTTGTTGATTGTGTCATCAGTGTGGAAATGAATTAAAACTGAATCTCCAATTGAATAAATCTCTTCTGGTGGCTGAAGGAAAACAAAAACAACAAGCAAGTAAACAAGCAATAAAACGAATCACTTTTTCTTCAGTGTAACGCATGTTTGGGAATACTTGTCTTTGGAATATAATTTAATCCTCCCAACAACCTTGGAGAGTAGGTGTAATCAACTTCTTCACTTTATAGAGGAGAAAATGGGATTCGGAGAAGAAAATGACATGCTAGAGCTCACGCGACTAGTCGGTGATGTAGCTGAGCTCTGAACATACGTTACATTTTCTAAGTTCTGGGCACTTTTCTCTCTAGAACTTGAGTGTTTTTCCCTAAACTTTTAAGCCAAGTTCTCTTGATTTACAAATCAGTAAAGTGAGGTTCAGAGAGTGTAAAGAGATACTAAATGTGTTTCAGAAGCTGCTCTGGAGCAGAGCCACTTCCAAAATCCAAATTGTCCATTATTTCTTGTTTTAATACTCTAAGCATCAAGAAGCTTTTTCATTATATTTCAGTTGTCATTTGGGCAGGAGTTCAACAGTATTACTGAAGCAATAGCTACTGGTAGACGTTTGAAAAACTGGGACTACTATCTTCAGGACAAAATATGTATTCAGAAGACTATAAATATATAAATATTAATGCAGTGAATCCTGGAGGAAAAGCACTGAGAAAACCTTATGTTTTTCTTTTCCTTATTTCTCATGGTGACGTCTTCTGACCTGTACCTGCACTCTGCACCTGCACAAGTGACACTCTGCAATGGAACAGTGTCTCTGTAGCACTGCCTGTGTACACACACCAGTGGCTGACCCTGCCACCGCCTCCAAATATATTTGTTAAAAAGAGAATGTGAATTAGAATGGTGTGCATATTATTTTTTTCCTTTATGCTTTAATTCAGAAACGTGACAGAATTGTCTATGGTGTGTGTGTAAATATGCTGCTGTTAGATTAAGTATTTAAATATTTATTGCATAATAAGAAGTTAGAACAATGGAAAAGTGACAAGAAATTATACCTACTGATTTCATCGGTTTCACCTGATATTATTCAGGCAAATTCATTAGAAGTGGAGAAGTGATAAGGGTAGAGACGTGTTATATTTTGTCAAGCCATTTATAATACAATGTAGCCTTTTTTTTTTTTTTTTGCAAAAAGCATTGCCAACTTGTGAATGGTACACATATCAATCATGAATCAATAGGCATCTTTAATCATGTCTAGGGTATTCTGTTGGTGGTATATTTACCCCGGATCCACAGAATCGACCAAGCCCCACAGCTGTTGAATCAAGACCATCAAAGAGCTCCACATAGTCATAGCCACAGTCTGCTTCTTCCTCCACTTCAAATGTCTGGAAGGATAATTCAAGTCGAGAGCCCCGTTCTGATACTAATAGCCATTCACAGTCAACCTGTCCTGGGTAGTTGTTATCACCAAACTGAGCATGTGAGTACAGATCTCTTGGTTTTGATTCTGCTTTCAATCGTCCGCCACACTCTGCCCAGGAAAGAAAAATAAGATGAGTAAGGTCAATGAGCTTTAACGGGTCCAATTTAAATTTCAGTGTAGTTTCAGTGTAGCCTAGCCATTGTCTAACTTCTGTTTCTACTTCCAGCGTCAGATATGTTTTCCACAACTGGAGAGTCAGATAGTGTCATGGGTGTCCACCCAGGCCCCAGACATGGACGACCTGGGTTGGAATCTCAGTCCCAGTGCCTGCTGGCTCTGTGACTCTGGGTAAGTGATGTCTTTGAGCCATATTTTTCTCAAGGGTAAAATACAGATGAAAATAATGGTACCAATTTTAGTGAGGTCTGAGAATTTAAAACATGAAAATCACTTAGAATCTACCACTTAGTAACTCAATAATTTTTAAAATTGTTCTACCTAATACTGTCTCTAGTCTCAAATAACTATTTTCATAAAGAAGATGCCAGAGTATTAACTCAAGTTTAATCGTAACAATTTAAGAACCCCAAATGCAAAGAAGTAAGAAGTAACTTAAAATTCAACAATAGATATAAAACTCCTCTGCGTGTGTTTGTGTTATATAGAACTTTCTATATAGAATATATACAATAGTAGTATTTTACTTCGATAGAAATATTTATCTCACTTGATGGGGAAAAACCTACATATATCATTAATTATAATTATCTTCGCAGTTCTACAACCTATCCAACAATAGCCTGTGTTTATTACATGAAAAAATAGTAAATGTTCCTCAAAGCTCCTTTAAAAAAGATAAATTAATAAGCATAGGCTATACCAGTTATTTTTGAGTGAACTTTGTTGCTCAAGGTAAATACACCAAAGAAATAAATAAGTGTCCATAAAACCTTTTAGTTAGTATAATTTAGAGAATAAAAGGTTTCAAACACACTTCTCAGGAACACTTTGTAGTCAGAGCCCCAAAGCTTTTTTTTTTTTTTTTTTTTTGAGAAGAACTCTCGCTCTATCACCCAGGCTGGTGTGCAGTGGCGTGATCTCAGGTCTCTGCAACCTCTGCCTCCCAGATTCAAGCAATTCTCCTGCCTCACCCTCCCAAGTAACTGGCACTACAGGCGCTCACTACCACATGTGGCTAATGTTTTGTATTTTTAGTAGAGACAGGGTTTCATCATGTTGGCCAGGCTGGTCTTGAACTCCTGACCTCAAGTGATCCACCTGCCTTAGCCTCCCAAAGTGCTGGGATTACATGCATGAGCCACCACACCTGGCCAGAGCCCTATAACTTTTTAATTACTGGAGATTAAATAAAGGCAGAAAGCCTACAATGCCCCACCAACCTATCCAAGCAAGCATGGTGGTTAGGAGGGAGATAAAAGAATGGGATATGAAAAGTGTCAGGAGAAAGTAGAGTTTCTTTCTGTCCCTGTTTGTCAAGGATTGAAAGAGTTTCCGGGAAGCAGGAGTTTCACTGCTAAAATGAGGAATATCCCAGGGGAAATCCAATGTGGTAAGATCTGGAGAAGCAAAACCACTGGATAGCCAAGTACGATTGTAATACTGTGATGGTAGTCTGTGACCAGATAGTCCTTAGTGAAGATGGTTAGGCAGCTGAAATTCTAAATTGGACTTTTCAGATTTGAATATAGTTTACCCATATTGTGGTTTGTTGACTTTTAAATAACAAAATATTTCTGAATTACGGGTATGGAACCCCTTTCACATATGTCTGAATTCATGTGTGCCCAAGCAAATCTATGGGCATTGTCATAAACAACAGCAAATTCAGAGACCTTTGTGTGACTAACATATGAAGGAACTTGCAGCTAGGGTTCCAATCACAAGAATGACTTCCCCATTGGGCTGTGTTACACAGTGAATGTAAATGTCCCTCCATCTTCCAAATGGTAGATGAGTATCTCACACAACCTACTGATAGAGGTGCCACTATTACAAATGTATTTATGTGAGGAAATATTCCTGAAAGCTGGAATACCAATTAGCCTTGGGATTTTATCTCCCAAGTCCCACAAACTGGAAGCCAAGCACCTTCCCTTTCCCACTACGGTGGTTTTCTTATCTCAGTAACTCCAAGAATTATTTGCCCCTTCTTGGGATGGAACTCCCAGTCAAATTGCCCAGGTGCAAATCTGGCTCTGTTCTTTACCAGCTGGGGGACTTTTTTCCACAATTTCTTTTCTAAAAAGGGAATCATCCATAGTACTCACATCATAGGGTCCAGATGAAGAGTGCTTAGGTTCATATATGAAAAATGCTTGAAAGGTGCCTGGCATAGTAAAACCCATATAAATTTAAGCTACCATTATTATTGTTATTATTTTCCTATGAGCACATGTAAATGCCATCATCTGTACTCTACGATCCACTCAGGTATGAAATGAAAAACCAGGAAAATTGAACAACAATTTAAAGCACTATTAATCTTCTATTAGAAAGGAAAAATTCTATTTTTGAAGGCCAGTAAAATATTTTGTGAAAAATATTTCTGAATTCAACATGTAAATATGTAAATCACTGTAATCTCATTTACAGATTTTTAAAAATTCTACCTCTTCTCCAAGTTTGAGAATTGACTGATATATTTTGCTTTCAGCTTTTTAAAATAGCTTCAGCACTTGCATTACTTTATTCCACAGCCCAGGAAGAGCTGCAGGGGAGGACCTGGAGATCTGGTACAGGCAGCCTTTTGTGTGTCTGCCTCACAGATACAAGTTAGCACCACAAAGACCAGGATCCAGAAGAAGCAACCCTTCGCCAGCCACAGCTGGGAATAAAAATCAAGGAAGAACTGAAGAAATTAAACAGAAGAGGAAAAATGAGTTCATAGAGGCTTTATGAATCTGAAAATCACTGGAAGTTGTCTTTATGGAACTTTATTAAACACTTCTAGAAAAATGGCCTACATTTAAAAAAAATGCCTTAAATTGCATTTAGGGACAACAAGAAGTTCCCCCCGCCCCCGGTTTTGCTTCTGCTTTCGTTTATCTGTTGCAGTGCACACCCTCATTCCTATGGATCACCGCTCAAACTAATAAATCTGGAATTAATTTCTAACCGTGACACACACACACACACACACACACACACACACACCCATGACAGAATTCAGTCCACAGGATGAATTTGTAAAGAATGAAATGAACATTTGAATGCTATATGCAAAAGAGGTGTGATTTTATTAAACTGTAATTACTGTTGCACCAACCTATAATATGCCCTGAGAGAAATTCCAGAATAAAATAGGCAGCCTGAGGGCAATTGCTTCTGAGTGTTTTCCAGAATCCTCCCGGCCACTCAAGCAATGGTCAATAGGTCATTTATTGTAATAGGTCATTTTAAAAGATGCTTTTTAAATACGGTGAACACATTTTCATCACAGATTTCATCAAATCTACCTATTCATTTACCAAGTCAGAAAAATATAAAACCAGTTATTTAGTATGTTGGCAATAGCATTTTTACAGCAACTAAAGAACAGCTGCCAAAGCGGTTCTTACAGAATTCTGAGAAATGGAAAATGAAGCTGAATAAGAAAGGTAACAAGAAGGGAAGAGAAGCCTAGGGTGAACTTCATTTTAATTTGGAAAGACAGGTTTGTTTATTTCCTGGTAAAGTATTAAACTCCAGGAGATACCTTGTAATTTGACCTATAAATGCTTTTAGTGAACATTCCAATTTAATTGATTTAGATCAAATAATTTCCTTTCCAAAGAGTTTAATAATATATTATTTTTGAATGTCATTGACAAAGAGCATGATGTTTTATGTTACAGAAAAGAAGTCCCAAGAGAAAATGCTTTGATTTTAAAAATTATTTTCTCTCCATGTTTCTCCTGTTTTTCTGTTTTGTAGCCATATCCTCTTAGAAAAGACACAGGATTTTTTTCTTTACTAAAGATTTGTTTCCTTTAATTAACTTATTTAAGACTGGAGTAATACTGTTTGTTACCTATTAAAATAAATTTGGAATTAGAATTTGAGCAAACTATCAGAGGAAAAAAGAACTCTTTCCAATTAAGTCCATTTTCCGTGGACTTTTTTTTGACTTGTAAAGAAAAGCAGCCATCATTACACATTACAACATTTCTAATCACCTAGTTCAAAAATTCATAGTGTTTGAAATTTTTCTTGTGCATAAAATTAAAATTGTATACAGAAATATAAATTTACCTAAGCAAATTAAACTGTATACTTAAGGATCCATCAAAAATAGCCGTCCATATTCTAGAAGACAGTAAATAATGAATAAATGCTTTATACACGTAGCAAATGCTGACAGATACGGTACTGGACTTGGCTGTCTTGTCAGCAGAAATTGAAAGATAAATTGAAAATCATAAGTTTAACTTATCAGACTGTAAGCTGTCAATAGGCAGGATTCCCTTCTATTGTCTTAAAAATTCCCACACATTTACATTGTCCAAAGCAGATGCAAAATAAATATTTGATGAAAGAGTAGAATAAATGAACCTGTTAAAGAGATTTTGAGGAGAAATAAAAGCAGACATAAGTAAGAGTATTTCAGCATGTATGACTACTAGAAAGTAACAGAAAAAAGAAGTCTACCAGAAAAATTCCAACCTAGCTGAAAAAACAAACAAGTAACATAAAAAATTCTCAGAATAATAAAGGAACAGGAATTGCGAAGCCAGGACTCTAATTTCAACTGTTATTAACTTCTTGTGCTATTTCAGTTACCATTAAATGTTTTAGCCTCAAATTTCTCATTTCTGAAATGACAGGGCAGGCTTAAAGAATATCCATGGCCCGTTTTGCCTAACAAATTGTGATTGGGGTTCCTCACGTGGGTATCTGAATGGCTGTGAATGAAACAGGGAAATAAAATGAGCCTAGTCACTTATATATTTTGAAAAGATTTACTTAATATTTCTATAAAGAAGAATTCAATCTTCACCTAATAAGAATGACAGTTTTATATTCATTTTCTTCCTAATCCAAAAGTTTTACATGAGAAAGTATTACTATAGTAGCAAGTACACTATCTTTGGAGACAATCAGAATTAGAATAAAATCCAGGCTTTGACACTATTTTAGAAACTGCAAATTAATCACCCAGATTTTCACTGTCTTTGTCTGCAAAATGAGGATAATATCTATGTCATACAGTTCTTTTGAGGATTCAAATATCTATGTAAACTATGTGTGTATGCCTAAAATGCCCAGTGCATTCTCTACCATTGGATCACAATACATGACTGTAGGGAAAAGAAAGAGAGATCAGACTATTACTGTGTCTATGTAGAAAGGGAAGACATAAGAAATTCCATTTTGACCTGTACCTTGAACAATTGCTTTGCTGAGATGCTGTTAATTTGTAACTTTGCCCCAGCCACTTTGCCCCAGCCACTTTGCCCCATCTTTGAGCTCACAAAAACATATGTTGTATGGAATCAAGGTTTAAGGGATCTAGGGCTGTGCAGGACGTGCCTTGTTAACAAAATGTTTACAAGCAGTATGCTTGGTAAAAGTCATCGCCATTCTCTAGTCTCGATAAACCAGGGGCACAATGCACTGCGGAAAGCCGCAGGGACCTCTGCCTTGGAAAGCCGGGTATTGTCCAAGGTTTCTCCCCATGTGATAGTCTGAAATATGGCATCGTGGGATGAGAAAGGCCTGACCGTCCCCCAGCCCGACACCTGTAAAGGGTCTGTGCTGAGGTGGATTAGTAAAAGAGGAAAGCCTCTTGCAGTTCAGATAGAGGAAAGCCACTGTCTCCTGCCTGCCCCTGGGAACTGAATGTCTTGATATAAAACCCGATTGTACATTTGTTCAATTCTGAAATAAGAGAAAAACCGCCCTATGGCAGGAGGCGAGACATGTTGGCAGCAATGCTGCTTTGTTATTCTTTACTCCACTGAGATGTTTGGGCGGAGAGAAACATAAATCTGGCCTATGTGCACATCCAGGCATAGTACCTCCCCTTGAACTTAATTGTGACACAGATTCCTTTGCTCACAAGTTTTCTTGCTGACCTTCTCCCTATTATCACCCTGCTCTCCTAGCGCATTCCTCTTGCTGAGATAGTGAAAATAATAATCAATAAAAACTGAGAGAACTCAGAGACCAGTGCCAGTGCAGGTCCTTGGTGTGCTAAGTGCCGGTCTCCTGGGCCCACTATTATTTCTCTATACTTTGTCTCCGTGTCTTATTTCTTTTCTCAGTCTCTCGTCCCACCTGATGAGAAATACCCACAGGTGTGGAGAGGCAGGCCACCCCTTCACATGACCTCTATTAAGATAAAATTAGATCATCTCAATGGAATGTTAATCATAATGCAAACACCGCAAATGGCGTGCACGGGCAGAAGTCATGCAAATTAGGGAGTTATGGAGTTTTACTGCTGTAAGTAACCTTGGGAGTATTATTTTACAGATGAGAAAACTGAGATCTGAAGAAATGATCTTTTCAAAAGTTTCCTGCTAGTTAAGGGTTCACTTGTAGCAGGAACCCAGATGTACCAACACACTGGGACATAATGGAACCTCAGTTATCCCACTTACAAGGGGTAAAAAGAGACAGTATAAAAGTAAGTTTTTATAAAACTAAGAAAAAATACATAATCTTAAAATACTATATCATCAGCTATTTAAACAGTTTTGACAGTATATTTTCACACTACCTTCTTGGAACCTATGATGACGATATTTTCTAAAATCTGATGAACTCTGCGCTATCAGTGAAATATTGATTAAGTAATAGGATTTTATTTTTCCACCCCTTCATTAGGTGACAAGTTATAAGAAAAATATTCAAAGAGTAAATGTCAAATGTGTGGAAAATCTCTCATTAGCCTGACATTTCTCTGGTCCATGTAAGATTTTCCTCATGCCATAATATTTATATTTATATTAATCATAAGAAGCAATTAATTTGCATTATTGATAGAAGACCAATGATTACTATTATTAATCAGATTAGTATCCTGACAATATCTTTATCACAGACTTCAATATAAATCTAATGCTCATAATAAAATATACTAGAATGAAAAATAATGTTGGATAATGGAATAGTTAAAATTATGAATTACAAAATCAAGTGAAAGAATAAAAACAATCTGCAGAAATTCATGACAAAATTTCACTAAAATTATTTCATGGATGAATTTGTATTGTTTTTATACTGTGTTTTCCACCAAGGCAAATTTCTCCCGTGTATCAATCGTTTATGCATCAGCAATGCCACTAGGTGTCAGTATAAGCTAAATGACTAGCTAATATACATTTAACTGATATACTGTCTTAACTGAATGAAAAGGGCACATTCTCTAGATATTTTATGGAACATATAACTAAACTGTCTCCAAACTATAAGTAATGTTACTCTATATTTTTGTCTAAAATTTTTCATATTTTTCTAAATTAAATTCTATTTCTTTAAGATTTCCAGAGCAGTTAGTCGAAATCTGTAAGAGTAAATTAGAGAGTAGGATTAGGCAAAAGATCATGTTGCATACCAAATAAACAAAGGAAAAATAGAGGCTCTGTCAAATAGATCAGTCTTAAACTTATTTATAAAAATATATTAATGTAAAATCTAGCTAATCAGATAGGTTATTAGATAAAACACACATTTTTAATAACAAGCCATAGATTTCTATCTGTTAAATATAACATGTAAATCAAACTGCTAATGTTAATATGAAATACATTGTATAAATATTTAGGTACAGTTCTACTTAAACAAACTGCACTGTTCTACTTAAACAAACTGCACTGATCACAAATCAGACAGAAACTAGGGTTTTCCTAAAACTCAACAACTGCAAAGATCTTTAGGTAGGATGCTGTATGGTTCTGCAAATATTTCACAAAGTGCTTCAGTGAAATTTTATCTGCTATGCTTGGAGATTTATTTACAATCCTATTATTGAACCAAATTCACCAGAAGAAAAACCTGGATCTCAGTCAAAAAAGAGAAGCATGACTTGAATTTGCTGACCTGTAGAATGTGTAGCTTGAAAGCCTTTTCTTTGAACAGATGCATCAGAAACAAACCGAACAAACATTTTATTTCCAGTAGCCACAAGGGGATCTGGTATCTTGTTGCCACACAGTCGTCCAAGAATCGGTGACTTTTCTGTTTCTCCATCAAATACTTCTAAGTGGTCATAAGCACATTCTTGATGCTGCTCAATCTCAAATTCACTAAAGGCCTTTTTTAAAAAGAAGAAATAATTTTTTTAAAAAAAAACAAATCACTCAAAATGAGATAATTTTTGGGACAGAAATACATATCAATAAAATATGTTCAGGGCATACTAATAATTTAACACATTTACAGCATAATTAAGAAAGGTGAAATCAATAAAATATGTAATCTCTAAAAAGACACAATGAGGAAAACAATGTAATAACTTCATATGAAATTCCACTATTTGGCTATTAAAACCAATTCTACTATTGCAATTCAATCTCAGAATTTAAACAGAATATAAAAAATGGTATTTTATTCTGAATTTAATCCAAAGGATTCATCAGAAAATTTCAAACAATCATATTAAAAGATTGGGTCCTTCTGGGTTTGATAATCATAGAACCCGTTGAACATTATCCTACCCTTAGGCACTTAAACTAAACTCAATAAAGTATTATTATATTTTTACAAAACTTAAATGCAACAAATCTTCATAGCATAAATGAAAGGAGAATAATTTTCACTATATATTTGTTTATTTAGCTCTTACAAACCATATCATTAGCAAACACTGATAATACTTAATGCTAGAATATTTTTAATTTACTTTTCATGTAGATGGTACACTTATTTTAATATTGGACATCTTGGAGAGTTTGAATGCTTTGCTCTTATTTATGACATTTAAAAACTATTCTAATTTACCTGTGTTGTAATTTTCATCTGTGTGACTTAGCACATTTAAAATAAAAAATAATTAAATGTATAACACACTACAGATCACAAAGCAAAGTTTAATTGAGATGGACTGAAAATAATATTGTCCAAGCTATTAATAATTACATAAATTACAGGTTATTTGCCATTGCCAAAGGCTCTTTCCTTTCCCCAGAAAAACCATCATACATTGAAGAAATAAAGCCGCCATTCCTACTTAAGTCTATAGAAGAAAACTAAAATATTATAAAGCAAATAAACATGAAAAAGTATGAAATATATTTCAAACTTTGTTAATTTGCTATAATCCCTCCAACAAAATATTGGCACATAAATTTTAATATACTTATTTTCTTTGATACAGTTTTACTGAAGTGATCATAATGTTCAGTCTAATTGAAGACATACAAAACAAAAGAGACTAAAAATTGCTCTGTCTCAGTGTGAATCCACTGTCTATTCCATACCACACTACATCACCCACTATCACTTCTGACTTCGGAGGAGTGAGGAAAGAAATGAAATAAACAATTCATATTAACTAGGGAGTAGAAGAAAGGAATGGAGTTACTTAACGGAAGAAAGAAAAGGGGGAAAAAAAGCTGATCTCTCTTTTGTCTCTTTCCACTGCACTCTACTTAAAAAGTAGAAATAAAAAAAATTATAACCAATAAGCATTAGAGTAATTGTTTGTTATAATCATTATGGATGAAAAGGAAGGCTTACTTCATTTGATCAAAGATACTGGCTAGTACAAAAAGACTGAACATACCACAAAGAATCTCACTGGAAAGAGAAGACAGCGTAGGGAAATACAGTGAACAAGGAGACATCAGTAGAGTCTATTTATCCTGAAGCACAACATGCAAAGCAGGTGATAACTGAAGGAATGTGTCACTTGTTAATCTCTGTAACCCAGTGGAGTACACACATTGCGTAGGATGCAGAAGATTCTGAATAAGTATATGGATGTTTGCATAAACCTGTCAATGTATTTACCCAAAAACCTAGCTGACGTTTATGGCCAACCTCAAGTATGAAAATTCTACAGACAGGGCCTACTAAATCTCATTTTCTGCCTCTCATGAAATAGCAGTCTGCTTCTATTACCATTGTGTACATATATACACTCCTAACATCAGTTTGTAATTGATAGGAAACCACTATGAGAAAATTGGCTTAACCGCACCTAGAGTTCTTTACTAAATATGAAACTAAGCTTCTGAATTATAAATATAATGTTATTTCAAGAGGAAAAACATTGGTTCAGGAAAAGAATATCTGAAAACCACTGCATGTTGAGCAAGTATCTCTTTTGATTGTGATTTAAAGTCACTAATCTGTAAATATAAAGAGCAAAGAACCAGGGAAACCTGCTGCATAGAAGAGAGTATTTTAAGAAAGTTGGAGGTAGTGGCATTCTAAAGTATTTGCTATAAGTAATGGCTAAAGCTGGAATCAGAGTTTACAGACCACACATGTTCAGTCCGTTGATTGGTCCATTGAAGACTGAATGAATGAGATAAATAGGTGACTATTTTTCTTCCTAATGAAACGCAGGACGTCTGGCCTAAATCATAACATCTGCTTAACAGAACGGAGCAACACCACACAAAGTAGCATTGAGCTGGTGTGCTGGGGGCCATACTGACAGCTGGTCTGGTGCCAACTGGCTACAGCTCTTTATCAAATTACTGGTGGAATCAGACTGAGTCTGTAAGAGTCATATTAGTCAAAGGTTCCATAGCTGACATATACTCTAGTAATGCAGACAACTCTCATTCATTAAGGTATTAATGAATTTTCTTTTTGGAATAGGTAGCAACTTGTTAGGTCAAATGCCAAGGCTGGGTGGTCCTTTTCCAGAAATCAGCCTGAACTAAAAGCTCCACCACACACAAGCAAAGGTGTGACTAATTCACAGGCTGAGATCTCGGAAGTCTGTCCCTTGTATAGTAAAGATACCCACACAGAGAACCTTCCATACACAGTGACTTTACATCAACAGAAAATATTTCCAGGCCATAGAAATGTATTATAGGAACTCTTCGGAAAGGAAAAACTTCTAAAATATTTTTCAGAGTTCATGATGACAAGGTGTGATATGCCATTTATCACTTTATTCTACAACACAAGCTGAACCATGAATCTCAATATCTAAATAATAAAGAATGTGCACATTTCCAACCACCAGGAACCAATGCCGCAGAAATGTCCCCAGAAGACACTTAGTTTCCCGAAAAGTCTTGGAAGTTCACAATGGAGACAGGATAGCCAGCAAGGCTGAATGTATAAAGCTGTAAGGAACTTGGATTTCCACTCAAGCACTATCTTCCTTTGGTAGACTTAAATATTTTTCTTAAGTGTTTAAGACTTTATAAGTATTTGGGTATTAAAAAACTTTAAAGCATACTCATTCCATGATTATATTTCTATAATTTCAGGGTTACTAATCTGGGTTTTAGAAAGGCCAAAAATAAAGTGAATAACCATGGGCCCTAGTCAGAAATCCTAATGCATTTCCCACAAGACAAGCAAGCTAAGAGATTAAGGAGTCCAATTCAAAAGAAATAAAATTGAACTCTCGTTATAGGCTGTGGAAATAATAACTTTATTTCTGGAACACCCAAGCAAGCCTAATCTACCTGGCTGGCCCCTGGCCAGGCTTCCAGACGCTGTTCTCTCATATGAACATCTGTAGAGGTTCTTTTATTGAACATACAGGCAATAGCTAAAGAATGAGGCCTTACAGAGTAACTGCATATATTCACAAAGGACAAGATAGTAAAATGATAGCACTTAATGCAGAAATAAAATTTAGCAAGGGTGAACATTTAAACTAAAAGAAGTAAAGAGACTGATGCAATTTGAGCAACTGTAAGATAAGCTTTAGAGGTCCCCAGTCCCAGCCATCTTTCACCTTATCCTGTTTTTGGTAAAAGCTGGCATTTGGTTTCCCACAAAATATTTGAAGGATTAGAGGCCACTGGAAAAAAATGGCGTCATGGAGTACAAACCTCAGTCTCCTGATTCAAAAGAACCTTTTTTCTCCATGAGTCCTCTATAACTGTGATCAAATATATTTTTATGGATTTATGATGGATAATTATTTAACAGTTGTAGATGTTTTTGTTTTTTAAATATCCCATATATAAAGCTATAACTTGTAACTGTATGTTATATAGCAGAACTCCAAAACTCAAGGATATGATAAATCAACTAAAAATGATAGAAGCACATTAGCTTATTGAAGTATGCTTGGATGCCTAGAACTTTGTTTGTTTGTATTTTGTTTTGAATGAACATTAATTCAAAAGGTAAAAAGGTACCCTCAAATTTAATGATCAGAGTCTTTCAGAACCAAGACAGGATAAAAACAGGGATAACAGATACTTGTACTTACACATTTAGAACTTTGTCCCTTTTCTAGCAAGAAGACTTTTTTTTCCCCAAGCATCTTTTGACTGCAATTTCTTTGTATTTTAAAGCTATAATCATGCAGTCAGTACCTCATGCTTAAATAAACACACACACGCATAATAAAAACAAAGCAAATGTGTTTTTTGTGTGTCTTGGCTGTAGCAGACTGCCAAACATTTAATGCCTTAAAACAACACAAATTTATTCTTCTACAGCTGTGGAGGTCAGTAGTCTAAATTGGGAAGGCAAGGTTGTGTGTTTCTAGTCTAATTCTCCTCCCTTTGAATCCTGGCCAGACTTAGCGATTTGCTTTACCAACAGAATGTTCCGAAAGTTACATTCAAGGGCTTCTGAGGCTTCCATGGCCTCTTGGGACACTTTGGGGATCCAGGATTGACAGAAAAGAGTCTGGTTCCTTTGAGACCGCCATGTTGCAACGGTCATGTGTAGGTGCTATGGTTGTCCCAGCTGAGTCAGCCTTTTAGCCCTCCACATCAAGATGACAGACATACAATTGCAACCACCTTGACCCTTTACATATGCTCCCAGGTGAATCAATCAATGTCACATGCAACAGAAAAGTTACCAGCAAAGTACTACTTAAATACTGATGCCACTCCCTCATACTATGAGATATAACAGTGCTCATTTTAAGCCATGAGGTTTTGGGATAATTTGCTATGCAGCAGTAGATAACTAGAACAGTCCATAAAAGGTAATAACTGCATTATAATGCCTAAGTCTCGATAAAAATCTATAATAAACTGACTCTGATAGTTCAGTTCTCATATTAATGTACAGTAATATATATTATATTTAAATAATCATACTGTAAAGTGAATATACATACGGTGAATGAACACCATGCACACAAATGCTCCTATCTCACAAAGGGCACATAGGAATTTTATTGTAATTCCTATTATCTATAACTGCTAGATCATCTAAATATCTTTTTGAGCTTATAGTCTTATAACCCAAATTAACCAAAATAATTGTTATCTCAGACACAGTGAAAGAAAGCTTGTTTATACCTATCAGCCACTACCTACATGTCACTCGGTGAAACCATATATCAAATTAGAGAACAATTTGGATTAGAAAGTACAGTAGGCTTTCAAAATTCATAAACTACGATTTAAAAAATTGTCTCATAAAATTGTCTTCAGTGACAATTTTCTTTTCCTTGCTTCTAAACTGAATAGGGAACATGTAGAAATCTTGTGCTATCCTTATACCAAAACCAGACAATTACCCAACAACAGCAACAAAAAACCTGAAGACCAGTATCACTAATGAACATAGATGAAAAGCCTTCAACAAAATACTAGCAAACAGAATTCAACAGCACATTGAAAAGATCATTCACTATGATAAAGTGGGATTCATCCCAAGGATGCAAGGATGGTTCAACATACACAGATCTATAAATGTGATGCACGACATTAACAGAATGAAGGACAAAAATGATCTGATCATATTAATAGAAAAAAGCATTTGGCAAATTCAACATCCTTTCATGATAAAAAAAAAACCTCTCAACAAATTAGGCATATAAAGAATGTGCAACAACACAATAAAGACTATGTATGACAAACTCACAGCTAACATTATAGTCAACCGAGAAAAGCTGAAAGCTTTTCCTCTAAGATCTGAAATAAGACAAGGATGCCCACTCTCACCACTTCTATTCAGTATAGTACCGGAGGTCCTAGACAGAACAATTAGGCCATAGAAAGAAAAGGCATCCAAATTGAAAAAAAAAAAAAGTTAAATTATCCCTGTTTGCAGAAGACACAATCTCATGCGGAGAAAACTCTGAAGACTCCACCAGAAACCTATTAGAAAGTAATAAATAAATTCAGTAAAGTTGCAAGATATAAAATCAATAGGCAAAAATCAGTAGCATTCTTATTTACTAGCAATAAACTATCTGAAAAAGAAATCAATAAAACAATACCATTTACAACAGCTCCAAAAATTAAAATACTTTGAAATAAATTTAACCCAGTAAGTGGAAATCTCTACACTGAAAACTATAAAACATTGATGAAAGAAAACACAAATAACATTTTTTCACAGGAATAGAAAAAAAAACACTAAAATGTGTATGGAACCATAAAAAGACTGCATAGCCAAAGCAATCTTGAACAAAACAAAAACCTAAGAACAAAAAAACCAAAGTTAGAATCATCCTAATACCTGATATCAAAATACACTACAAAGCTATTGTAACCGAAACAGCGTAATACTGGCATAAAAACAGGCACATAAACTGATAAAACAGAATAGTGAGTCCAGAAATAAATCCACACATTTACAGCCAACTGATTTTTGACAAAGATGCCAAGAACACACAATAGGGAAAGGACAGTCTCCTCTAATGGCATTGGGAAAACTGGATATCCACATGCAGAAGAATAACATTAGACCCATATGTCACGCCATATTGAAAAACCAATTCTAAATGAATTAAAGACGTAAATATAAGATTCAAAACTATGAAACTACTAGAGGAAAACATAGGGAAAAGTTCCATGACATTGGTCTGGGCAATGACTTTTTGGATTTCACTCCAAAAACACAGACGATGAAAGCAAAAATAGACAAATGAGATTACATCAAACTAAAAAGCTTCTGTACAGGAAAGGGAGCAATCAACAGAGTGGAAAGACAACCTACAGAATAGGAGAAAATATTTATGAACCATACATCTGATACCAGGCTAATATCCAAAATATAAAAGGAACTCAAACAACTCAATAACAAGGAAACGAATAAACTTATTTATGGGCAAAGGACTTGAATAGACATTTCTCAAAAGAAAAGACACAAATAACCAACAGGTATTTGAAAAAATGCTCAACATCACTAACCATCCAGAAAATGCAAATCAAAACCAAAATGAGATATCACCCCACGCCTGCTAGAATGACTATTATCATAAACACAAAAGATAACGAGTGTTGGTGAGGATGTGGAGAAAAGGGAATCCTTGCATACTGTTGTTGGGAATGTAAATTAGTACAGCCATCAGAAAAAAGTATGGAGTCTCCTCGAAAAGTTAAAAATAGAATTACTCTATGGTCCAGCAATTTCACTACTGGGTATATATCAAAAAGAAATGAAATCAGGATGTTGAAGGAATGTCTGTTGCTCCCATGTTCACTGCAGCACTATTCACAATAGCCAAGATACGGAATGAACCTAAGTGTCCATCAGTGGATGAACGGATTACAAAATGTGGTATATATACACAGTGGAGGAATATTCAGCCACAAAATGAAGGAAATCTTGTCATTTGTAACAACATGGGTGAAACCGCAGGACATTATGTTAAATAAAGCAAGCCAGGCACAGAAAGATAAATACTACATGGTCACACTTACATGTGGAATCTAAAATGATCAAACTTAAAGAAGCAGAGAGTTGAATGGTGTTGACCAAAGGCTAGGGTGGTTGAGATGGGAAAGGGTTGAGTAGATGTCAGTCAAAAAATACAAAATTTCAGTTAGATGGAAGGAATAAATTCAATAGAACTATCATACAACATGGTGACTTATAGTTAATAATATACTCTTAAAAATGCTAAGATAGTGGATGTTAAGTGTTTTTTCCCCACAAATATGATCAAAACATGAATAATACATATATTAATTAGCTAAATTTAGTCATTAAACAATGTACATATACTTCAATATATCACATTGTACATGGTAAATACATGCAATTTTATCTGTCAATGAGAACATAAATTTAAAAAAGAAAAAAAATTCTTTCTTTCTTATTTTCCCACCCTGCCTAAAGAAAAAGGGGTATCAATCCATGAACTGTGAAGAAAGTTCCACTGTATACATAGGGACCCAAGTGTTTTATTTGCCTTTCATCGCTGCCCTTGCCCATAATGAAGCCAGTTGGTAACCAAGTATCTATCAGGAGTTCTTGACCTAAGAAGATTAAAATATTTCATAATTTCTCAAGTTTCATTGAAACTGTTTTCTAAATTACAGTTTTGGTTGAAATTCTTCCACCTAGCAGGGCACGGTGGCTCACTCCTGTAATCCCAGCATTTTGGGAGGTTGAGGCAGGCAGATCACCTGAGGTCAGGAGTTCGAGACCAGCCTGGCCAACATAGCAAAACGCTGACTCTACAAAAATACAAAAATTAGCCAGGGGTGGTGGCAGGCGCCTGTAATTCCAGCTACTCGGGAGGCTGAGGCAGGAGAATTGCTTGAATCTGGGAGTTAGAGGTTGCAGTGAGCTGAGATTGCGCCATTGCTCTCCAGCCTGGGTGACAGAGCGAGACTCCACCTCCAAAAAAACAAACGAAACAAAACAAAAACAAAAAAGTTAAAGATCCTAAAGAAATCAGGCAAAATGCTTTTATTTTGCGCATTGTAACATCTTGATGAAATTTCCTGTATTATAAATGTCAAAGTACACGAGTAGATGATTGAATGGTTTGAACTGTTATTATAAAGTATTGTTCACTAAATGACTATTGGCTGATATACGCAATAATAGTGATTTCAGTTTTAAAGTAGATAACACTAGATAACAGTTACATTACATGCAGAAAGTCAATCGGGGAAACACAAGCAATTATAATGTCAAAATGGCAAGAGTTAAAAAATATAGAACAAAAATGTTACTTGGAGTTGGTGGCTAATCCTTTGTGACACACTTTCTACTAACCCTGGCTCTTAGGATGATATTGAGAGTCAGGTTTTATATGAATATGATCCATGGGATAGGATGGTAGGAGTCAATATTATGCTCTGAATCAGAAGTTCTGGTGTGGCAGCAATGCGTCTTTTCACAAGCCTTCCAGGTAATTCTGACACATGCTAGCATTTGAAAAAACCTGGCTTACACTGTACTTACTTCCACAAAAAACACAAACTCCAATTCCTAAAATAAAGTTTAATACTGTGTGAAAGCTCTCATTTTGCTTCTGAATATTACCTTCTTAGGATACCAGCAGGTATGACCATTGTTGAACAGACATGCTTTATGTCCTAATTCTCAAGTCGAATATTGGCAAGAAAAATAAATCCTGCAATGTGTGAAGGAACAGATTGCCCTAGAGTTAGATGGGATGTTTCAAGCTGAAAGATATATAATTGAGAATGGATTGAGTATTGCTATTTTTAAAACCGGGGTATATCAGGAGTTCTACTTCCCCTTGGATATAGAAAGCTGGAACTAGTTTTGCTTCTACCCTGACAACAAGAAAAAGCCATGATGTAGAGTGTAAAAAAAAAAAAATAACAACTTTGATTGAACACATCAATGTATGGAAATCACAGTAGTCTGAAGTCTACTGAATGTCAGGTCCTTCCAAGGAAAGATGTGATAGTGGCAGACTACAAGAGGAAGAGATGTTGGTATCATACAGCCAGGTGAAAAGCATTCTGATAAAATTGGTGATGGGTTGGTGAAGGTCATGTGTGGATGAGGAGAAGAGGATAGAACTAACGGAAACTGCAGATACGAGGGGAGCTTGCACACACTTACAGATCCTTTTCCATGGACCTCCATCTCCTGCTCACAAGAACATTTGTGGAAAAAGCAGGAGGTGCATGAGTGCCTTCCTTGGTGTTTCAGGCTTGAGAAAGGGAAGTGGTCACTGCCATGAGAAAAGTCTGAAGCCTCATTGTAATCCTTCTTCAGAAAACACAGCTGTAAGCCTCTGAAGGAGAAGCAGAAAACCCTGCCACCCCTACGACAAAGGTACAGACCCACTGGAGGCAGAGGAAATGTTAAAACAAAACAGACAAAACAAAATAAAACCAAAAACAAAACCTACTACCCCTAGGGGAAGTCCTGGATTCAGGATCAAATGCCAGTAATATTAGAGATCTTCTACCACTAGGAGACTGAAAAGAAACTCTCTCCCATGGAAGACTCATAAGATATATAGACAGAGTTTCACTGCCATGAAGAGAAGAAATAGGATCACTGAGAAAGCTCAACACCAAGACCTGAACATGCAGGGCCTGCCTAAGGTGGAGTCTGTACTGAAATAATAAAGAACCCCTCGCCTTCACCACCAGACTAACAAGCACCAAGTAACAAGCAACTGCCACCTACCACTGATAAAGACAAAAAAGGGTGGAGAGGAACAATATTTGCACTGGGGATGAACAGAGAAGGTAAGGGTAAAATAGAAGCATTGAGAAAACACCTCTTAAATCCCAGCCTCCACCCTAAGAAAAAGGAATTTGAAGCCAGTGGTGCAATGAAGATAATAATAGGGCAAGAAAACCCAATCTTGGCTTAATTCCTGATTAGATCCACCTAACACCCTCCTTCATACACATAAATACACTAATAACCTAACACAAGAGATGCATCCGTTTCCAGACATAAAGTCTCTATTATTGCATACATAATGTCTTATTTTAATAAAAAAAGAGACACAAAAAGGCAAGAAAAATAAAAACAACACTGCTAAGAGACAAAACAATCAACAGAACAGACTCGAGCACATGGCCCCTATGTTTATATCAAATGGAATTTAAAGGAACTACGAATTTAACATTGATAAGTTAAAGGTTCTAGTGAAGATGTAGAGAATATGCAAGAACAGATGGGAGATTTCAGCAGATAAATGGTGTTATGGATTGAATTTTGTTTTTCTAAAATTAATGTTGAAGTCCGAACCCCCAATGTGATATGTTTAGGGAGGTAATTAAGGTTAAATAAACCATAGGGATGCAGCCCTAATCCTATAGGGCTGGTATTCTTATAAGAAGAGTAAGAGACACTGGAGCTCTGTCTCTCTCTATGAATACACAAAGAAAATACCATGTGAGGATACAGTGAGGTGGAGGCCATATACAAGCCAGAAAGAGAGGCCTCACCAGACACTAACCCTTGTTAAGTCCAACTTAATCTTGGACCTCTAGCCTCCAGAACTATGAGAAAATAAATTTCTGTCATTTAAGCCATAAGTCTGTGATAATCTGTTATGGCGGCCCAAACAGACTACCACAAATGGAAACTATAATAAGTGAAATGTAAGTGCTAGCAATAAAGAACATGGTAATAGAGATAAAGAATGCTTTTGACAAATTCATCAGTAGATTCGAGACAGCCAAAGAAATAATTACTGAATTTGAAGACAGGTCAATAGAAATTACTGAAACTTAAACTCAGAAAGAAGGGCAAAAAATGAACTGAATATCCAAGAGTTGAGGAATAACAGCAAACAATCTAGCCCATAAGTAATTTGAATCCCAGAAGACAGACAATGGCACAGATGAATTATATGAAGAAATAACAATTGAGAATTTTCAAAAATTAATGACAGACCCCACAATACAGATGTAAGAAATTCAGAGAATTCTGAGAAGGAAAAATACCAAAAAATTACTAAACAGAAATATACACACACACAAACACATACACCTGCATACACTATATTCAAATTGCTGATAAAAAGAAAATTTTGAAGGCAGCCATAGGAAAAAGAATTACGACTTAACACAGAAATAAAGATAAGATTTACAAAAGAAGTATGGAAAACTATGTAAACCAGAAAAAAAATGGAATCATTCAAGATGGAGAAAGAAAACTGTCATCCTAGAATTCTATATGCAATGAAAACAGCTTTCAAAAGTGCTAATGCACATACTTTATACAAAATATAAAAATAAATTCTTCAGAAAGAATATGATACCCAAAAAAAATTTGGATTGAGACAAAGAAATGTCTCCACGAAAATCAATTTTTCCAACTCTCTTAAGAAAATGAACGCCTTAAAAGAATGCAGCCTCTATATTTCAGCCCATAAGGCTCAGGAAGCTACCATAAGGTTCAGGGAATCATCCTCTCAATCAGGACCTTGGACAGGACTGGAGAGCAGTTGAGTTCCTCTAGTGCTGTCATTTCAGCATTTAGTATCCTTCAACAGTGTGGCTGAAATGAATTGATAACTCTGTCTGGGAAGTCACTTACAAGTATAGAGATTGGAAGGACCTCCATACTAAGAATATGAATTTCTTGGTGACTGTCTCTGATTTTATTATAATGTTGTACATAAATAAGGCCTTTTTATTGGCCAATAATATTCACTGAAGGGAAGAGTCAAAACAAGAAATTTAAAAATTAAGCTTATGATTGGACTGATCTAGTGAGCTACCTTGGACTGGTAGTCTCACTCCTCAGACAATTTTTGATATTATAGTGCCTGCTAGGCTCTTTCCTGAGCCTTGTTAGTTGGCACTGCCTTCTGCTTCTAAAAACAACATATTGCAGGAAATTGTTAACATTTCTACATTCTATAATTTTATTTCTTTAGATTATACTGTTTAAACACTCTGTGGCCTATAATGAAATTTAACATTTATTATCAGGTTATTATTTATGACCAGGCCAGAATGCAGAATGCAAAGAATGCAGGAGAGATGAGACATTATACTCATATTTGAATTACTCATGCCGAATAAAATGTGGGCAAAATCTAAGGAAATCAGGATCTTTGTACAGAGGGCAATACATCATGCAAAAATAATATTCTGTAAACCACAAGACAAAATTGATTCTATTATGAAAAATACGTATGTATATGCAATTGGCATAACCAGTAGAATATGTTATGCCGGGTTTAAGTGAA
The DNA here is from genome assembly GCF_000001405.40 of Homo sapiens. Taxonomy (NCBI): domain Eukaryota; kingdom Metazoa; phylum Chordata; class Mammalia; order Primates; family Hominidae; genus Homo; species Homo sapiens. The sequence goes on along the minus strand of NC_000004.12, from coordinate 166,078,389 downwards.
ATATTATTCTATCGCTTTCTGGCAAATTCCGATTTTTTTGTTCCATCGTTTATTTTCCAAATTTGGAAATATAATTACCAGTAATACATTAGGAAGTAAAGACTACTGTTTTGCAGCAACTTTGGTAATGCCTTTTAAAACATCCAGGATAAGAAACCCTAGAGGAGAACAACGTGGCAGTCACCTTGATCTAGGAAGTCAAGGATTTTAGTGCAAGTAGGAAAGCATGAGACAAAAAATCTTTTCCAGCTGCCTACGATTCGATTCAATTAGATAAACCTCCATTTTATTTCCAAGTGCTTGTAGTGAAAGACAAGGGCAGTCAGCTTAATGGAAAGAAAAAGGATGTGCTCACTTACTAATTTGATTCGGTGGCCAGGAGTGGCGCTGATTTCCCAAGTGCATTCTTTCCTGCTTGGGTACTTGTCTGGCCAGTTGGGACTGGTGATGAGGCCACTTGGACTGTGGATCTTCTGTTCACACTCAGCTGCACCAATAACCATAATATCAGACAGTGTGGCAATCCAGCCCAGGTTTGAGGCAGAAAGCAAGCAGCCTATTTACCCACTGCCCTGTTGAAAGATTTTCCTGAATACCAGCTAATTTTCACTCCCGTGTCGGTTATTATATTCATCTGCTCTGGAAAATACGTTGCTGAGTATAATCAGGCAATGTTTGTTGTCTGCCTCACATGAAATTAAGTATTTACCATAAATCAGATAAATGCCTAAAAGAAAATGAACTTTTATTTTAAACTGATGGGTCTGTAGCTCAGACTTTAACAGTGCAACATATATTGACAGTCGAGAATATCCACACTGGGTGTATTTAATCCAATGTCACAAACAAACATCATTGGACTATGCCATTTTCAATTTTTTTCCTATAAAGGAAACATCATTTACAGCTAATTAATATCATTAAGGCACCTTATGAATCATGTATTTACATTTTCTCTCTCTCTTAGTTAAATATACACTTGAATACCTACATCATAATTTTAGCTTCTAAAATAAATTAGCCCTAATTTTATCAAAGCAAATGGAAGCACTAAGGGGAATGATAAATGAACAGCTACTAGCCCTGGAGATGCTTCTGAACCAACTTCAAAGGATACCTCATTCAATCAGTATAATTACTTAAGGGTTTTTTTTTTTTTTACAATTAAAATAACCTCATTTTAGACAAGATCATTCCACATGGTTAATGTTAAATTTCAAAAACATTTAATATCCTCAAGCTGTGCTCTTTCTATATAATTTAGGAAGCTCTATAACATACAACCTTGTTTAGACTGGGATTATTTGTTAGGTACTGTGTATCCCATTCTAAAATACAAATAACTTTCTAAAATTTCCAGAGCAATATATTTGGTGAAATACTTTATTCAATGGACAACACACTTGTTATACCCTTCGGGGCCACACAGCAAGGGTAACATGCCCAACATTAGTTAGTGCACCTGCTGTAGTTGCTGCTGCCCCCACTGCTGCAATCATTAATACTAGACCTTCACCTTAATTGTGCTAGGTTTCCACAGGGAGATTTGTATTTGCAACAGAAGATTACAATAAAGTGGAAGGTAAAATTCAGTTCCTGTCTAATAATCTATGATTATGGTAGCAAGACATAGCCTTAAAAGTTTGGATCCAGTCATGACAAGGGTTTTCTAAATTCCATTGTCCCTGTCTCTGCCTCACAATGTGAAATGTGAACTCTGCAGGATGTGGCGATGACACTGAGACTAGGTTGAGAGGCTCATTGCTAAACTGCACAAGGAGCATGTACCGTAGTGAAGGTAAAAGATGATCCAACCCCTTTCCTGGCAATAGGACAAGTTTATGAAAGTGCGTCTGGATGTTGTTTTATCTATTATGAAGTTTCCTATATCATTTATGTAATGAACAGACAAATTTGCTACCTGTGATCCACAGGCTACATGTATAATCTATAAAAGCTGTCTTGTTTTTTTCTCTGAATGACCTTCAATGTCTGCAAAACAAAAAATAAAAACCTGGGCCAAGTGCAGTGGCTCATGCCTGCGATCCCAGCACTTTGGGAGGCCGTGGCAGGTGGATTGCTTGAGCTCAGGAGTTCAAGAGCAGCCTGGGCAACATGGCAAAAACCCGTCTCTACAAAAAATACAGAAATTAGCCAGGCATGGTGGTGTGCACCTGTAGTCCCAGCTACTTTGGAGGCTGAAGTGGGAGAATTGCTTAAGCCTGGGAGGTCAAGGCTGCAATCAGCTGAGATCACCCCACTGCATTCCAGCCTCGGTGACAGAGGCAGACCCTGTTTCAAAACAAGAACAAAAATGAAAACCCCAAAACCCACAAAAACCTGGGCCTATTTCCTAATCTATTGATTTAATAGTATATCATATCTTACCAAGTTATGGATATTATGCTTATCCATGAAAGCAGAGAAAGAAAAATTCCTGTTTGTATATGATTCTGCACAATGTAATTAGCTCAATGAAAAAAAGAAAATCCCTGACATGTAACCATATTTCAAAGGAGCTAAATGGAACAAGGGTCAACTCAGGATATTCTCTATTATTCCAATGTTTACACAAAACATTCTTATCTAACTGTGGTTAGAGTCAGGTACCTTCCAATGTACATTTGGTGACTAAAGTTATAAAATTTGCCTTAGTAGTTCTCCTCTCAAAACATGCATAAATCCAATTTAAGTAGAAAATTCGGGAACAGACTGTCAAAGGAAGAAATAAGAGCTGAATAACTATTTATTGTTCTCATCCAGTTCATAGTGGCTAAGGGGATTAGGATTACTGCTTTAAAAAAGTTTTGGAATTTTGTAAGGCCTTGGGGACGAAATCTGGTAGGGTATGATTGTGCTACTATTAAGCTTTTCTGGACCAAAACCATGACTTAAAACTTTAAATGACACAGTGTCTACCATTTTCAAATGTCTTCCCTTTGGTAGGCATTTGAGTTTGATGCTCCTGGTATTTAAAGGGACATCACTTATGTAGCACATGCACAAGATATACAAGATATTTTTGGGAGGAATATTACATCAAATGCAAAACATTTAGCAGAAGTTAAGTTTAAATATGCATAGTGTTATAAGGTCTGTTCCACAAAGACCTGGGGAGAACTTGGTGCTTTTCTGGCTACCAGATGGTATCCTAGCAGCTACTATGTCTGCTATACAAAGCTACTCTAATGCCATCTATGTGCGAAGTACAGATCCAGTCATCTGCCTTGGATCTTTGGACATTACACAGAATTTTGTTTTTTGACATTTGGATAGCCCACCATGATATCACTCATTGAAATGATTAACTCTACTTGGAAGCAGTGCTTTACCCAAACCACATGAAATTCTACATGTTGTCAAAAAAAGTGTATTCCGTTCCATACCTTCCTTGCAATCATGTTTATTGTCATGTAGCACAAATCCATTACGGCATTGACACATGTAGCTCCCCATCGTGTTGACACATTCGTGCTGACATCCACCATTATCCTTAGAGCATTCATCTTTGTCTAGCAAAGAGATCAATCCCATAGTCTAGTAAGTAACTTTAAAAACAGAGGATATCAAAGGGAGTCATTTAGTTGTGGTTAACACTGCCAAAGGGTAAACTAAGTCATGGTTTCTCCTGTTCCCAACATAAAACAAACAAAAATGTATGATCTCTTAGTTTTACCCTTTCCTTGTTTAGCTTGAAGCGTTGTACCATGAATCAAGTTTCCAAGACTATTAGCGCTACGATAATAACTTGTAATCCTCTTTTATTCCTATGCTGGAGTAGAAGTTTTAGGTAGGAGAAAGAGGGAATCAATAGATCTTTTTTCAAATTAACCCTAAACATTTATTGCCAATTTAAAAAAATAAATTTAAAATTGTGCATAGTTTGAATAGCGGCAAGAAATAGCATTTAAGTAGAGGGATATCCTTCAATATATTAACCATGGTATACAGACAGAGGCTAAACAAGGTTCCAAGATTTGTATGTAATCACTTAAAAAAATCACTCAGTATAATTACTGTAGTTGATTTTTTTCCCCATTAACTCTGCAGTTATGCTTAGCATTAATGAATTTGGACATTTCATAGCACTCCAAGCAGAAAAAAGGCATAATTAAACTACTCTAAAGAAGAAATGAAATTTATATATTTTAAACAAATCTACTCTGGTAGACAAGTTTATTAATAAGTCATCCCCTAAAAGGGCTTTTAGTGTGCTAGAAGTAAGGTAAAGATTAGACTAGGAAATACGAGCCCCAAGAAATAGCCAACAAATTCACTACAGGGAAAAAAGCCAAACTAGATTAACAGGCAGTCAATTCGGTGAGGCATCAACCATCACTCTATGTCACTCATCTGTCGTTCCATAGCTGGCCTGTCCATTAACGTCAAAACTGGCAGATTGCTCCTGACACACATTCATGATGGCACGTCACTCAGACTTTCATCACTCCCACACATAGAGAATGAAAAGGACGTGTTACAGTCATATGAGGAGTTAGGCTGAATTCAAATTGTTACTCTCAGCTGATTTTGCTAGTGAGCACTAGCAAGCTCTTGGTGGCCTAGAAATTATTCTATTTTTGCTTTTTTATCAATTCAATATTCATTCCATGGAAAAAGGTTAGGGAAGATATTTTCATCAAAGAATCTGATAGTACTTTTTAAAGGTACATCTATTTTGTTACATTTGAAGATGGATTACATGACACATGTGCTTACAGGTGATATGAATGCATTGGCAATATCTGAATATTTTAAATACATACAGGCAATCTCAGTTTTTAAAGAATATATCATAATTAGTGTATTTGTGATTTATGTGTTCTCCACCTATCCTTGACACTTCCATTATTCTTTCAACACTTATTATCGAGAATAAGCAAAAAGCAAAACAAAATGAAAGCAGAATAAAGAAAATTATTCTGTGAAAGAGCATCAAACACCGAAATGTAGAAAAAATCAGGAGTTAATAGAAAATTAGATTTGTAAAATTAATTTTAGAGAAATTTACCATAATTTTGAACTCCTATTCCATTAGCTGTATCAACAGTGAGAATTATAGTTTATGAATTATAAATGACTTCTACAGAATGGGTGGACAGTAAACGATACTTCCTACCACCATGGTATCAGCTGCCTGCATTTTCTAATGCAGACAGTTAAGCAGTAAATTGCGTGAATTTGTTTTTCACTCTGACTTTCTAGAGGCTCTTTACCTTACGAAGCTTCAGAAAGATGCTTCCTTATGAGTGAATGTAGAATTTATCTCTGCTAAATGGAAGAACCAATTAAGAAAATGCTGGTGGCAGAATTATTCTGAAATAGACACATATTTCCTTTGAAAATGTTTATAAAATGATGGTTTGGTATACTTAATATAAGACCCGATAGAGTGAAGCTCAGTTGTACCCTGGGTCAACCAGGCTTTTGAGAGTAGCTTGGAAACCTAACAACTGTATGCAAAGCAGCTTAGAGAAAATTAGTTCACATTTGCAATTGACTAATAAACAGATGAACTGCTCAGAGACGAACAGTGTGGAGGCAGAGATGGCCTGAATCACCCTTTTATTGGTACCTATTTGGATTGCCATGCATGAAACATACAACAATGTTAAAATACAAATGTGAACACAAGTGTTATTCAATAACACATGCATTATTGCTGTGTTTAAATCCAGTCATTTTATAATAAAAATAATTCCAAAACATAAAATATCCCTAATATCCAAACTTCATTCTAGTGGAAAGGTTAAGTCCTTTGCTCATATTTTTGAGTATAATTAATTTCAAGATTTGTTAAAAAAAAAACTGACCTATAGTAATAGTAACTAAAGAGAGATAAAATTAAAAATGAAACCAATTGTATTTCAATGATTTTGTAGCCAATCATTAATACTCTTGTTGTGCTAAAAATAATAATAATAATGATTTCAGAATAATTTTTGGAAGAAGAGAAAGCAGAGGAGGAAGAGGAGCAAAAGGAAAAAGAAAAGAAAGAAGAGGAAGGAAAAGAAAGAGAACAAGTATAAGAAAGGGAAGAAGAAGAGTTATTATTATTATTTATATAGTCATTATTCTCTAAGTATCTGTCATTTTTTACTTTCCCAACTTATCAGAGTTTCCTGCCTTCATTCGCACATCTGATATAGCATAATTTAATCAAGGGTGCATGAAAATGAAAAGTTATCTGTTAGGCGGCTAGAATATACTTATGAGTTAGTCTAAATTTAAGCTAAGATTCAAAACTGAACTAATCAAAATAGCATCTAAAGGCAGCAGAAGAAAGTTATTATATCCTGAAATGCAGCATGTAAAACTGTGCCTCCATGTGTCAAATAGTCATATGAAAAGAGAAAATTTCAGGAAATCATTGGAATACTCAAAATAATCCAGATGTTTTACATCATGCAGACTAAAAAAATTTTGGTATTTTGCACTATATTTTGAAAAATATTTTAATTTGTCTGCGGAGTAGTAAATATGGTGTGGTTGTTTTAAAACCACTTGTTTGAACGGGAGTTAATAGACTATTCTAATTAAAGTGAATACAATTTTGGATTTCTTATGTTGATGAGAAATGGCAACTTCATAAAAGATAAATTCTGCAAATATATTATAGATTTCCTATTTACAAAAGGTCATCAAACTTGGGAAAAAGCTATTAGCAAACATAATTAACTTCTGTTTTCACTTTCTATTTCTGCTCTTAGGACAAAAACTCTGTTTTCAAGAATACAAATCCAAGGAAAGAGAAAAGGGAGAAGGAGAGACATTTAAACATTTGTCATAATGTCTGCATAACACATTTAATAATTGAAATTTCTATCAATAATTTATTTGAAATTTTCTGGCATTTTCATACACTAGACACAAAATGAAGAAAAAAAGTGTTTTACTTAGTGCTAGAAATAAATGTTTTATCGAGGAGAAATAAAAGCATTTATTTTCTGCAGAAGGAAATTAGCCCCCTTCTTTGGAATGGACATGTCTGCTTTCCATTCCTTCATGGAAGATAAAGAAAAGGCCCATCATTAGGAAAAAGGAAGAGGGTATTCTTCCATCAGAGGCCTGCAGCGAACCTCTGAGACTATCAGAGGTCATCAGTCTATGAATGATACATACTGGATGGCACTGAAGTTGCAACCTGTATCAAGTTCTTGCAAGATTCAAAAATAAAAATTTTCTCTTTGCAGAAAGCTTCCTTATCTGTAGGAAAAAGAAGTCAATGGTCCATGCAACAGAACAGAAACATACAAGAGCAGGTATTCTCAAATTAAATGTTCAGGATCTGAAATAAATGGACACATGCACAGCACACACAGGCCCAACATAAAACTATCCAGTAAATAATCGCCTACAAAAAGCACCAATAAACACTACGAGAGCTACAACAGAGACAATTTTCTCTTTCTATAAACATGCAAATATTTAAATTTCAATAATGATGAAAACTTGGAAGCAGGATTCAAAATCATACAAGAAAGTTGTAGTTGTCTTACTGTGTGGAATTAAGCACTTTAAAGTTTTGTTAGAGTAATATCATGTCGAATTTCATTTGCAAATATCAACAACCATTCCATGAGAGAAACAGTGGACAAGAAGGACACTTACAAATATCGAGACACAGTGAAAGAAAGATAGATGAGGAGCATGTCAATTGAAATCACTTGAATTTAGAGCTAGACAGATTGCAATGCACACATTATTTTAAGTGACTCCTCCATTTGTTACAGACAGAAATGAACTGGGAGTCGGAAAACGAGTTTTAGTCCGTTTCTGTCCTTGAGCAAGTCCCTAGGCTTATCAGCAATAGTTAGATCACATTCCTAATAGATTTTTCCCCAAGGGAGACTGCTATTATTCTTCACATTTTCTGTTCTCAGAATTGCAGAGTCATAACTGAATCTTTTCATTAATACAGGGTTGCCTATAAAAGGCAGAATGCCTATGCTCAACTCTCATTGCCTGAAGTCATTGTTATATTATTCCCAAATAATAAATGCTATAATTAAAAATTTAAAATATGTCAAGTTCCCAAATGTGCTATTTTTTTCAGGTATAAAGTCCAACTAATATTTCTGTTATGCTCAACTCATTTAAAGAAAAGAAACTCTTCTGAGTGGAATACTCTTAGCTTTGCTTCCTCACTTAAAATTAAGTAAATTGCATCATGTATACCTATGCAGACTTGCAGACTTGTGCTCAAATATATCATATAAAATTAAGTTTGCTTTTACTATCACATAAATGAAATCATTATTGTTAATCTAGCAACAAATCTCATTTAGTCGAAGAAAATAACACCAATCTATTGTTGGACTATATATCTTCTAGAAAATGTCTATGGCACTATATTCTCAATTACCTGAAAATAAGTGAATACACACATAATTCTACATAATGTCCAAATGGTCTTATGTTGGCTTCCTAATTTCTTTATTTGCTTTAATATTACTTCATTGTATTGCTCTTTAAATATACCCTGGAATAAGTGTAGCATATTACACTGATTTTTATAGAGCAGCTTATAAATTATTTTGTTATAAAATCCAATGACTTCTTAATTTTTAAGCTACAGCATTTTTATGATTCATTTATGATATTTAGTCAGAATTGATAGATGAGAGTTTCTTAATTTTATGAGCATGGAACTGATGTGAATTATTCCTCTAAAAAGTTCTTAGAGACATCCCTTCAATGTTATTTCTTAAATCTAAAAAGTGTTTGTTTTAAAAATCTGAGGCTATGTGCAAGGATAGCTAAAATCTCTTATGCAATTATTTTATTAGACAATGATATGTTGAAAATAATACTATAAATATATTATTTCATTGTATGTTAAAACTTAAATATATTTGTCTTTTTCCTGATGTATCACTTAACTGAAAGAAAGCTAGAGTTTTATTTTTAATAGCTTTCTTTTCCAAATACTATAGAATCACTTATTACCAAATATTATTTTTTACTATTATTGAGTTCCTTGAAAATTCTTAGAAGTTCTTGGAAAAAGAGTGTGGAACAAATAGCTGAACATGTTATATTGTGTTAAGGTTTCATAAAGCCACAACCACTTCGGAAATTTTTAGAACACTGGCTATAAACATAACCACTTTAGACTATGTGTCTATAAAATATCTCTTGATTAATGTATACAATATATTAACATCTTTATTAGATTGCCTGTAATAAAATTTTTGGGAATTTAACTCAATTAAATACACTTGTATTAATACTTATTAACTAATGAAGAAATAGGTGTCTATAAGGCAGTGTTTGCAAACTAGAAATACTTGGCTAACAGTAATAGGTGGAAACATGATAGGAGTTTTTTCTTTTATATTTATTTTTATATTTAAATTAAAAGAAAACTGAGAAGAAAATGGAGAAAACCATAATGCATCGTCTTTCCACCCTAACCAAGCATTCTTGGTATTTTTATATGGCAACTTTCAGGTTTGTTCCAACCTGTATGCTTAGCTGTGTAGACACTGCATGCACTGTTTCATGCCTAGATTTCCACTGACATTTTACCACGTACAACATTTTACACTGTGGAATCGCTGAACCATCTTTGTAGCACAGAAGAGTCCACAAAGTGCATTTGCCATAACTTATTTACGATTTTCCTGTTGTCGTAATTATTAGGTAGCTCCAAATTTCTGTCACTATCATATTATTTTGAAATTCTTCTTCTGGATTTTGAGATATTTCTTGATGAAAAAGTCCCATGAATGGGATTTCTGGGGCAAATAGAATAGTCATTTTAATGACTCTTGATTTCTATGCCAAATTTCTTTCTATAGAATTTGTGACAATAAATCCAGTAACGAAGTTTATCAAAGCCCCCATAGTGAGTTTTAGCATTTAAGAAAACTTCAATTTTGTTTGTGAAGTATAATATCTTTATAGTTGACATACCTACTTTATAATAATGTAGTTACAGTGAATTACTTGGCTTTTGACATATGATTATATATTATCACACTGAAAGCATTATTAGAAATCTAATATTTGCAATGTGAACAGACATCAATTAAATTAGATAATCTTTTGTAAATTATGACTTCATAAGATCATCATAATGAGGATATTTATTCACCTAAATTCTTATTTTCTGCCATCTCTTGATAATACAACAGCAATTTATTACAAACATGTTTTTAACCTTCCCTTTTCCTGGGCAAACATCTTTCCCACTAACAGAAACTCCCAGGAAATTAAATGTGAAATAGATCTAATCACTCATCCAGAACCACAGTATTTTAAATATCAATCTGAAAAACAGCCAAGACTTTTCAATGATTCACAAAGTGAACCCTGAAAATTTATACTTAATAATAATTGTCTTGGACTTTACAAAACAATAATCTAATAAAGAAGGGAAAATTATATCTGCTGTTGTTTTCCAGGTCATAAGGAAAAGAACTAATGCCATTTGCCAAGGTCATGATCAGTTCTTACGGTTAAGAGAATGGTCTTTGGACCAAGAGATACTAGGTTTAAATGCTCTGTGACACTGAGCAGCTTACTTAACTCCTCAGCTGCCTCATCTGTCATAGAAATATATGAATATAACAATATGAAATGAAACTTTGGGGTTTAATTTCTTCATGAACTTCATTGTTCAGTTTAGTTAACTGCTTATACTCCATCAAACAATCTAGGCTAGACTCTTTGAAAACTATTGTCATGTTAATTGATTCATATATATATATTTTAAGTGCACTGATAAATACTTAAAACATGGATGATTTTCTGAAATCATCCATGTTCTAAGTATGCATCAGTGAACATGATTTACAGCAAATTACCTGTTATTGGCTCAAGTACTACCAAGGTGCTCAGTTACTTTTACAAAGCACAGTTCCACAGAGATGAAGAATAAAGACCATATATGCTCATGTGGTGGAGAACAGCATCTTCTGCACAAGGCTTCAGAGCTGTATTTCAAACAATTAAGGAAGCATATCTTATATTTCAACAGTACTGTTTCTAAGGACACGAATAATCTGTTTTTATAATTTGGAAAATTTTTTCTGACCAAAAATATCAGAAAGGGAATTTTAAATTTTCTGGGTAACTAAATTTAATCATACTTTGTAGTCAGTATTTGTAGCATGTTTCTTTTCTTAAAAAAATTTAAAATTAAATATATGACTAAAGTAACATAAAAAGGATCCTGAACACTTTCTTTTTAAAAATCATTTTAGATTCATGTGGGATGTGTGCAGGTTTGTTACATGGGTATATTGCGTAATGTTGGGGTTTGGGGCTTCTATTGAACCCATCACCCAAATAGTGAACACAGTACTCACTAGTAACTTTAATTATTATGACAAAAATCATTTACTTCATAATCTCAATTTTTAAAATAAATATTTAGATAGCTTTAAGATAAGTAACCTTGTCTCTACCTAACCATGGGATCATTTAAACTTTATAACACACATAATATTTATAAAATAGTGAAGTCTTAAAAAGTCTTATTTTCATTAAAATATTAAAACTATACTTTGAATAACATAAATCTTAAATGAATACCTGAGAAGCATTTGTAAAAGGTCATTTAACCTGGGAAAAAAGAAGGGAATGAGAACACGGGAGCCGAGGTCCATTGTATTCTGGAGGCTCTTTTCTGTATGACTTGGAACTCAATGGAGCTTGTGAACCATTAACTTCAATTATACTGAAAACCCCAAACAAACCCTAGACATTGTAAATCTCATTAATTTTAAACACATGAGGACCAGAATAAACGGCCTTTGAATTAACTCAATCCAAATTACCTAACATTAAAACATAATTGGAATTCAGTTGCTCTAAATTGCTTGCTAGTTGCAAAGACAGAATAGATTGCTATACTAAGGTTTATTGCAATTTTATCTACTTTGGAAGTTTCAAAATAATGTTTTTATAAAGCATGATTCTGAGATTGAGAAAAAAATGTCTTGGTTTTTTATATATTTCCATAAAATCTGGGGAGTTTTATAAAATTTCAGCTCTTTAAGAAGGAAATTTTACTTTGAGCTGCTTAAACTAAATGTTAAATTTGAAACACAAAAGTGCAAACCATTAAATACAGCTGACAATATATTATATTTAGTAAAATTATAATTTCCATGTTCCTAGGTTTCTTACTGCAACCATTTCTATAATGATGAGGCTAAGCACAATTTTAATATTAACTTAATAATAATGAAAATATATTAAAATAAGAAAAAATACATTGCTAAATAAAAAGATAAAAAACTGTTGCTAAAATGAGACTACATTTTCCGAACACAAAGCAAAATTATTTTGAAAAATCTGCCCCTTTTTGGAGGTCTTGTATCATTATTCCCATCCACCTGTAAAGAGTAAAGTCACTGTATAAAAATATTGCTATAATTATTTTTGTGTTGTTTGTAAGGCCTACTTATCTTCAAGTTGCATTTACAGAAAACTATGAAAAATAGATCACATACAATTTAATCCAACCCACATTGAAAATCTGTAATATACACATACAACATGTGAATGCTTATACCTGAGAAAAAATGTGCTTTGAAGCCCTTCTTGGATACAGTATTGTCAGATTTGAATTCAATTCTCATATTGTTGAACTGGGATGTGATCACTTCAGGCACTTCAGCGCCACAGAATTTGCCATGCAGTTTAGACTCAGAGGAAAGACCACTCCAGATCTCCACATAATCATATTTGCAAACCTAGAAAAAAATGTGGTTATCAGTTGCCAGATTTGTGAGTACAAGATGATTGACATTTATCTTAAAAAAACATATCTTATTTTTCCCATTTTACTCTTACGGTAGTCAAACTAGAACTAACAGGTAAGGAAAAAAATCAGGTCAGACACAGTGACTCATGCCTGTAATCCCAGCACACAACTACTAGCAATAGAAATAGCTCTTTCCATTGTAGAGATGAGAAAACTGAAGTTCAGAGATTTTTATATAGCTTGTCCAAAATGATACTTGTCATACATGGCACTGGTGATTAACAACAAGGAGTTCGGCTTAGTCCAGTACTGTCTCCCAGAAACACCACATTCTAATGAGAACAGCACCATTAGTAACTTTAAAAGAGAAAGATGGATACTTGATGTATAATAAAAAAGATTATTTGCTTTTTAAACTTACTAAAAGGACTGATATTTCTTAATTTCTTTTTGTTGCTGAGTGCTGTGAAGTTACTCTGTAGGGTTGCTGCAGGACTGCAAACACATAGGAATTCTATTCAGTGCAAAGGAGGTAAGAATTTATATTAAAATAAGGTAGCCTCATTCTGATTTATATATAATATACTAACAACACTAAAATGGAAGAAGCTAAATGAATGCCAGGTATTCTTAAGCAATTTTATGGCCACTAACAGATGTTTCCATAATATACTTTTCCAAAGTTCCAACAGGGCACATGTTCAAGAACAAATCTTGCATGAATGACCTTATTACATAAATATGTAATTAGCAAGGTTTAACAATGCATATGATTGAACCCTGGGGCAAGATCTGTGCTTTGAAATATGTCAACTCAAATTACTGGTTCTTCTGCTACTAAATAGGTGATGAATAAGCAAAATGCTGCTAGGGAAAATGAAATAACTTTTCTACTTACTTTGTTACAATTGCAATTTTTGTTTGGAGAGTTCCAATATAGTATAAAAGACTGTTTCCGAGGCTAAAGATGTTGTCATTGACTTTCCTTTGGAATAGCAATATAATGAATAAAATAATGATGTTTTAAGCCTAACCCATTATTCTGTAAGTCAAGTTTTTGCTCAGGCCTTTTATTTTAAATAGCTAAGATATCAAACTATGAAAATACAGAGAATTCTGTAACAGCTTTCTACACAGTAACATGATTATAAATTAAAGAACACAAGAATATGTTAACACAGTTTGTAAACAGCCATTCTATGAATGGTGACCCTGACTATGAGAATAATGCTTTCAGAACACAATACCTCAATTATATAAAACCATCTCCCCTGCTTTCTCCTGAATGCAGACCTCTAGACTTATTACAAATATCTATCAATTAATAAATCAAAATGTCACACCCAACACAGTAATAGCTTAAGGGAAAACTATGGGAGTAGATGTCATTCAACACTAAGTTCACATCAATCCCAGAATTGGTAGGGAAATTCCCATTTTCAAAAGGTGTAGCTCAAAAAGAAAAACCTCTCTAAAAATAGTATAAAAATAATTTTCTTTACTTATTAAAAGAAAATTATATTTCATGTAAAGTATGTTAAAATGATAAATTGCAGTCTTTCTCATTATAAAACTTACACATAATGTTAAAAAGAAGCTCAAATGGCCCATTGAGTTCCAAGATTCTGCAATTCCTTGAAATATGTAAGTTCATCACATTTCTTTTTTTTTTTAATTATTATACTTTAAGTTCTAGGGTACATGTGCACAACGTGAAGTTTGTTACATACGTATACACGTGCCATGTTGGTATGCTGCACCCATTAACTCATCATTTACATTAGGTATATCTCCTAATGCTATCCCTTCCCCCTCCCCCCACCTTATGACAGGCCCCGGTGTGTGGCGTGATGTTCCCCACCCTGTATCCAAGTGTTCTCATTGTTCAATTCCCACCTATGAATGAGAGCATGCAGTGTTTGGTTTTCTGTCCTTGCGATAGTTTGCTCAGAATGATGGTTTCCAGCTTCATCCATGTCTCTACAAAGGACATGAACTCATCATTTTTTATGGCTGCATAGTATTCCATGGTGTATATGTGCCACAGTTTCTTAATCCAGTCTATCATTGATGGACATTTGGGTTGGTTCCAAGTCTTTGCTATTGTCAATAGTGCCACAATAAACATACGTGTGCATGTGTCTTTAAAGCAGCATGATTTATAATCCTTTGGGTATATACCCCGTAATGGGGTGGCTGGGTCAAATGGTATTTCTAGTTCTAGATCCTTGAGGAATCGTCACACTGTCTTCCACAATGGTTGAACTAGTTTACAGTCCCACCAACAGTGTAAAAGTGTTCCTATTTCTCCACATCCTCTCCAGCACCTGTGGTTTCCTGACTTTTTAATGATCACCATTCTAACTGGTGTGAGATGGTATCTCATTGTGGTTTTGATTTGCATTTCTCTGATGGCCAGTGATGATGAGCATTTTTTCATGTGTCTGTTGGCTGCATAAATGTCTTCCTTTGAGAAGTGTCTGTTTATATCCTTCGCCCACTTTTTGATGGGGTTGTTTGATTTTTTCTTGTAAATTTGTTTAAGTTCTTTGTAGATTCTGGATATTAGAACTTTGTCAGATGGGTAGATTGTAAAAATTTTCTCCCATTCTGTAGGTTACCTGTTCACTCTGATGTTAGCAAATCAATAAATGTAATCCATCATATAAACAGAACCAAAGACAAAAACCACATGATTATCTCAATAGATGCAGAAAAGGCCTTTGACAAAATGCAACAGCCCTTCATGCTAAAAACTCTCAATAAACTAGGTATTGATGGGATGTATCTCAAAATAATAACAGCTATTTATGACAAACCCACAGCCAATATCATACTGAATGGGCAAAATCTGGAGGCATTCCCTTTGAAAACTGGCACAAGACAGGGATGCCCTCTCTCACCACTCCTATTCAACATAGTGTTGGAAGTTCTGGCCAGGGCAATCAGGCAGGAGAAAGAAATAAAGGGTATTCAATTAGGAAAAGAGGAAGTCAAATTGTCCCTGTTTGCAGATGACATGATTGTATATTTAGAAAACTCCATCATCTCTGCCCAAAATCTCCATAAGCTGAAAACCAACTTCAGCAAAGTCTCAGAATACAAAATCAATGTGCAAAAATCACAAGCATTTCTATACACCAATAACAGACAAACAGAGAGCCAAATCATGAGTGAACTTCCATTCACAATTGCTTCAAAGAGAATTAAATACCTTGGAATACAACTTACGAGGGATGTGAAGGACCTCTTCAAGGAGAACTGTAAACCACTGATCAACGAAATAAAAGAAGACACAAACAAATGGAAGAACATTCCATGCTCATGGATAGGAAGAATCAATATTGTGAAAATGGCTATACTGCCCAAGGTAATTTATAGATTCAATGCCATCCCCATCAAGCTACCAATGACTTTCTTCACAGAATTGGAAAAAACTACTTTAAAGTTCATATGGAACCAAAAAAGAACCCACATCTCCACGACAATCCTAAGCCAAAAGAACAAAGCTGGAGGCATCATGCTACCTGACTTCAAACTATACTACAAGGCTACAGTAACTAAAACAGCATGGTACTGGTACCAACACAGAGATATAGATCAATGGAACAGAACAGAGCCCTCAGAAATAATACCACACATCTACAACCATCTGATCTTTGACAAACCTGACAAAAACAAGAAATGGGGAAAGGATTCCCTATTTAATAAATGGTGCTGGGAAAACTGGCTAGCCATATGTAGAAAGCTGAAACTGGGTCCTTTCCTTACACCTTATACAAAAATTAATTCAAGATGGAGTAAAGACTTAAATATTAGAACTAAAACCACAAAAACCCTAGAAGAAAACCTAGGCAATACCATTCAGAACATAGGCATGAACAAGGACTTCATGAATAAAACACCAAAAGCAATGACAACAAAAGCCAAAATTGACAAATGGGATCTAATTAAACTAAAGAGCTTCTGCACAGCAAAAGTTCATCATATTTCAAACTTTAATTTTCTTTAAGAGAACACAGAAGTCAGCTACCTCTTTTTTACCTAAAAGCCACTAGTAAAAAGCTAAAACCTCCTTGGTTACTACAAGCAGAATTAAGAGGAAAAAAAGTAATTAAAAGGAAAGAGGCCAGGCACGGTAGCTCATGCCTGTAATCCCAGCACTTCTGGAGGCTGAGGCAGGCGGATCACTTGAAGTCAAGAATTCGAGATTAGCCTGGCCAACATGGTGAAACCCCGTCTCTACTAAATGCAAAAATTAGCTGGGTGTGGTGGCGCATGCCTGTAATCCCAGCTATTCGGGAGGCTGAGGCAGGAAGAATTGTTTGAACCCAGGAGGCGGAGGTTGCAGTGAGTCAAGATAGCACCACTGCACTCCAGCCTGGGCAACAGAGCGAGACTCTGTCTCAAAAAAAAAAAAGAAAAAAAAAAAAGGAAAGGAGGAAAAGTAGGCAGTAAAAAAGGAAGAAGAAAAATAGACACACAAAAGCAAAACTATGGTATAAAACCCACAAATATTACCAACAATTACTGCTTCAGTGGCACAGATACATTACATTTCCGTTCTCTGATATACATCAGAGACAAAAGTGTCCAACTGATGTACATCAAAGACAAAATATTTTTTGTGGGTTAATTTTATTTTATGGATGGATAAAAATCATGTTCATTTAATAAACGTTAAAAACGTTGTTGGGAGAAAAGGATGCAAAGGAAGTTAGAAAAAGAAGAGAACGTACAGAAGACGAAACAAAACAAACGTTTATAACCTTTCCTCTGGAATTAAACCAGTGTTGACCAATCACACAAAGGATGTTTTTCTAAAAGTTCCCATTTCAGGCTTGACATTCCACTTGAATTTGATGTGTGTGTGTGCACTAGCACAAAGGAATTTTCAAATAAATGATTTCACTTGTTTAAATGTAGTCACCTGACAGAAACTGTACCTTTAGTAGAGTAAGCTATATTCTGCATTAAAAAAGGATAGCTTTAAATACATCTTTTACTGAGGTTAAAAAATTAATCTTTCCTTCTTTATGAACCACGAGCACATTCATAATGAAAAGCTACATATATAATGTAAATATACCCATTTCCATAAGTAAAATATGCCAGGTTCTTCCAAATGATATTTTTGTTATGACTCAGCCACAGGGTTTTGGTTTATTTTTTTCTAGAAGTGTCTATGTGACATGAAGTTGACCCTAAATACTCCATAGTTATTTAACAAATCAAGAAAATGGTAAATATTAAATACACTAAATAAAAACTCCCTCTAGGTAATTTTCAATCTTCCAGAAAGAGTCTAAAGTATCATCCAATGCCAACGAGATTCATAAGCAGTTGCAGAAATGAGCAGTAAGACAAAGAAAGAATACAATGTCTATACTATTTTACTACATCTTTTTTTTTTTTAATTTCACAGTTTGCCTTCAGGGAGTTCCAAAACATGATTTAAAAAATTACAGTTATTGTTCACTTACTTCATTGCCTTCCAATTCAAAAAACTCAAACTTCACAGAAATTCTGTACTGGGTTGGTGCAACCACTTGCCACACACAGTTCTTATTAGGAGGGTACTCCTTGGGCCAGCCAGGGGTGGTTATGGTGCCGTTAAGTTTGGTAAGAAGTCCACCACAAGCAGCTAGAAGAAAAGAAAAGAAAAAGGTATATTCTCCCCATGAAGTCACCCACTTCTTAGCACCTGTCCATTAATTAATACCCAAACATCTCAGCACTAAATTTCAACTATCTTCTGGATTTTAAAATCCAGAAATGGCAGTCTCTGCTCCTTAGTCTTGATACAAGTATTGTGGTCATTAAGTCTCATTTTTAAGGTGTTATTTTGTAGCTTAGTAGCCGAGAATATTATGGCTGTACTAAATTTTAGTAACTTTAAAGTAGGGGGAGCAATTTAAAAAAAATTAAAAATCTAGGTCTCAGTTTTCTTATCTTTAGAGTTGGTCTAATAATATCTTGTAGTGCCTTGGCCACTACAGAATTAAGGAAAAAAATTTTTTTTTTGTCGGAATTGAGAAGGGTGTTAGGAGATTTAAGGAAAATATACATGTAAAGCACAGTTTAGGATGATGTAATAAAACCAAATCAATTGTTCATTTCCTCAAACTTTTTTTCCAAGACAAGTAACTCAATATTACCTGAGCTACCAGACAAGATAAATTATGGTAAATAGAGCATATTTGTTATTCCAAAAAGTCCAATTTAAATACTGATTTTCTTTTTAAATAGATCTGTGATGATCTATTTTTAAAAGGTTCTATTTAAATTTCATCTCTTCCTTATTGACAGTGAAATTAGCAAAATCATGGTATCCAAAAGCAAGCTGAGTAAAAAGAACATACATTGTACACAGTTCATAATTAATTCCTAAGGAGTCAAGAGTTACCTAAAATAACTGGTCCCTTTTTTGTCTTTGTGCACGTGTATGTGTGTGTGTGTGTGTATACACATATACATATATGCTATATTTATAAGTATATACAAACACTACCTGTAGTTACTTTTACCACTTTCTTGGTAAATTATGATAAGATAAGTATTTCTAGTTGCTCCACAGAAACAGTAGTCTTGTTATTTTTTGATTGTCTCATATACAATGTCCTCTTTTAAAAATATACTGCTTCATTACTAGGTCTTTTTTATTCTAGTAAAGGGGGAAGATTAGTAGGTTAATAGGTGGGATAGAGACTTCTGGAAGCCAAACAGGAAAGTTCAGACTTTTAAGAAGAAACAGGGAGTCTCTGATTTTTGCTAAATAGGTCAGCAGGGGGGCGTGCATTAAGCAAATAATTCTTTCCCCTTTGCCACTTATTATATCCTCTATTACAGGTACAGTAGAGAACAGGTGCTCATTTTCAGAGGACTAACATTTTGATGGGAGACATCACAGTAAACCAATAAATACATAAATATAAATAATGTTAAACTGCTACACATTCTATGAAGATGAATTTTGCAGAAATTTTAAAAGAGGAATAAAGGAGGAACAGACTGGAGTAAGAAAGATCTTCCAATTCATCCTGCCTGTAATAGCGGTATGGGGCCTGTAATAGGGTGGAGGCAGGGAAAATAAAAAAGAGTTAGCTTTAAAATCTGAAGGAAGAGATCATAGATAATGGTAAGAAAATGCTTTACAAGAAACCTCATCTTAAAACATAAAGACGAAATGCAGATAACCACGACAAAAAGTCTTTTTAAAAAAATCAATCTTTTATTGATAAAACACATATTTATCTCCTGCTTTATGTCTGACTGTGCTAGATATTAGAGATACAAAGATGATTCTAACTCAGGACTTCTCATTTTAATAAGGGAGATATACCTAAAGACTATATTAAGAAAAAGATAAAAACAAATGATGGATAGACAGATGGATGGATGGAGAAATGGAGGGATGAATAGATATATAGATGGGTGGATGAAAATCTGATCTAGATAGAGACAGAAATAGATCTAGATATAGTAACATACATATACATGGTGGCCTGGTATGAGAGATGGATGAATGAATGATGGTAGGATGGATAGATAAAAATCTAGATCTAGACAGAGATATCTACAGATACATTAATATGTACAAACACAGTGGCCTGGTGAATGGATGGATGGATGAAAGGAGGGATGGATATAAATCTAGGTCTAGATGTAGATTTATATATAGATGAATCTAGATAGAAACAAGTATAGATACATTTATTTATATATGTGTGAAATGGTTTGGCTGTGTCCCCACCCAAATCTCATCTTGAATGACAGCTCCCATAATTCCCACATGTCATGGGAGGGACCTGGTGGGAGGTAACTGAATCATGGTTGGGGGGAGTCTTTTCCATGCTGTTCTCACGATAGTGAGAAAGTCTTACGAAATCTGATGATTTTACAAAAAGGAGTCCCCTGCACATGCTTTCTGGCTCGCTGCCATATACGACGTGCCTTTGCTCTTCTTTTGTCTTCTCCCATTATCGTGAGGCCTCACCAGCCATGTGGAACTGTGAGTCCATTAAATCTCTTTCTATTACAAATTACCCAGTCTTGGGTATGTTTTCATTAGCATAATAAATATGCTAATGTGTCTGTATTAGCAGCGTGAGAATGGACTAATATGGTGTGTTATACATATATAAACAAGGTGGCCTGGTAATCAAAGGAGGAAAGGACCCATTCTATAACAAGAATTCAGGTAAGGTTTCACATCAGCTGTGACTGTGAATTGAGTCTTACTAATTGAGGAAAGAGGTCACTATAGGAAAAAGGGAAAGAAAGAGGAAGACAGACAGAGAATGAGAATATAAGAAATAAATAATTGTGGGGGGTGGGGGTCCAGGAAGGAGTGCAGTCATACCTTCACAGCTCCTTCTGTCTGGGCCCAGCTCATAGCCAGGCTCACAGGCACACTGGTAACTGCCCAGAGTGTTCAGACATCGCTGCTCACAGCCTCCACGGTCAGGTTTGGCACACTCATCTTCCTCTATGAAAATGGTCATAGTTATAGAACAACTATACATATATATGTGTGTATGTATGTGAAATGGTTTGGCTGTGTCCCCACCCAAATCTCACCTTGAATGATATCTCCCAAAATTCTCACGTGTCATGAGAGGGACCTGGTGAGAGGTAACTGAATCATGGTTGGGGGTTCTTTTCCATGCTATTCTTATATATATATATGAGGGCGTAAATCTTTCTAAAAAACTACCATGCTTAATGGTTCCAAATAAAATGGAAACAATTCATTTCTTCCATTGCTTCTATCAGCAAAGGAGCAGGAACAACGTATAAGCCCCTGATGGATAACGTATACAAATTCATGTTGCTGCTAACTGAGCATTGTCAAAAAACCCACAGAAGGCCTGGAAACCTATTGCTGGGCCAACTGAAGATCACCTTATCTCAGACACAGTGTGTGTTTTTCTGAATTTGAAGTCAAATGAGGATAATGAAGCCTAGCCTTTTTTCAGAATGAAATTTAAAAACTTACTAAAAAGCATAGCTTCAGCAATGCTAATTTTACATTATAGCTTAATAGATATATCAGCAAAAATTCTTTTAAAGAAATATCATTATTAAGAAATAGATTGTGGTGAACATAAATTAAAAGGTATAAAACTCAGAAATTGACTGGATCTCTTTAAATTTAAAACATTGTGTTTCTTATATAGACATTTTGCTCCAGAAAATATGATAACCCCATTTTAATAAATATACATACTGTATAATTGTATATTGAAACCCAAAATATACATAAAGTATATATATACAATATATAATATTTTTTAAAATGTATATGACAGGATACTCCATAATCTCACTCTTCAGGAATAACCTCATGTGAGTTAGACAAATAGTAAACATCCTCTGAAGAAATTATGCATCAGCAAGACACTTGATTTTGATAAGTAAATATATGAATATCACATGAAAGAAGCTTGATAGCATGTTTCTTCTATGAAATATATCACATACAGAAAATTTCAAACATGTAAATGGAGATTTTAATGAATTCTTTTAATACCTGTAGTAAAAGTGCCAAGCTTTTCTATCTTTCATTTCATATGATGAATAAAATAGCTTCCAGGGAAAATCCATTACACTGATCTTCTTTAAATTATGACAATATTTACATATCTATCACTCTAAGTTTTGCAATACACAATCGAATCCTTTATCCTATCCTATATCATTTATCCTATAAAATCAATATGGAGGAAAATTTTGTTTTCTCTTCCCATAGAAAAATTTTATTCTATAATGACACACAACATAAGTGTCAATGAATTTCCTAAATGCATATGTGATGTTAATATTTTCACCAAAATATTTGCTTTCCTTTCACCTCACAATACATACAAAATATGGGACATAAGAATAAACTGAAATGTAGTTATGCATTTCAAAATCAAAGCTGATCAGAGATAATTATCTGTCAAAAAGACATTTGAGATACCAGAATATTCTGCTAAGGAGGTCATAAATTATTTTCAATGTGGGGGAATACTAGTCTGAAAGGGAGTAATGCTGGCACCTGGAAACAAATAGATAAACTTCATGTCAGTAACCTTCTTCTGTTCATGAATTCTTGGTTGGTTATTTTCATTGCAAATATTTTCTTTCTGTCTGTATATCCTTTTCTGGAACTTGCTGTTTTGACCATTTCATAAAAAACAGATGGTAGAATATCCTAATGGAATTCCTATCCTGTGCTATGAAGTTCTAAACTCTAGTATTTTATTAATAACCTTTTCTATCGAAACTCTCCAAAATATCCTTATTCATATTCAACTTTCAATACAACTTTCTCTAGTTCTCCCCTAAATCAAAGCTAAACACTACAAGTATCCTTGATAAAGAAAATCTCACGTTTGAAAATTATTTCAAATTACCTTTAAAAAAGTTAGCAGCAAACCCTGCTTTGTTCACAGTTCCGTCAGAAACAAACTTCATCCACAAAGTATTGGAGGTAGATCTTATGTCTTCAGGTTTGTCATAACCACAGAAACGCCCTATCAAAGGGCTATTTTCACTGGTTCCATCTCTAACTTCCAGGTAGTCATAAGCACAATTGTCATGTCTTTCAATCTGCAACAGAAAAAAATATGTGAAAATATATGTTTATAGATAAAACATTTTATATAGGAGGATAGATGTCTTCTCAGTGCCATACTTCTGATTTGTTAATATAAAAGTTATTTGTATCAAATGAGTGTACTTGAATGTTTCTCATGAACGTACACTGTAATATCCATGAACAAAGGATGTTATTCTGGTAGACAGGGAAGGATAAAAAATAACTATGAAACAGTACATCCACATGAGTCAGGATCAGCAGAAATTAGTTGTCTTTTAAAAGAAAATTAAACTACAAGTAGAAATTCTTCATTCAATAGAGGCTGAAAAAAATCCAAAATTAAAAATTATCACTAAAAATCTGGGCCTGATACACTGCTGCAAGTAATATATAACTTCTTCTGAATCATAGTTATAAAAATTGCTGCATATTCTCACTCATAGGTGGGAATTGAACAATGAGATCACATGGACTCAGGAAGGGGAACATCACACTGTGAGGACTGTGGTGGGGTGGGGGGAGGGAGGAGGGATAGCATTGGGAGATATACCTAATGCTAGATGACGAGTTAGTGGGTGCAGCGCACCAGCATGGCACATGTATACATATGTAACTAACCTGCGCAATGTGCACATGTACCCTAAAACTTAAAGTATAATAAAAAAAAATTGCTCCATAGTCTTTCAATAAAATCATTATTGTATTCATAGAAGATTTGGATTCAAATACTCTGAACAAATGTAGCACTATTTTTGGTTATAAATCTCTTTTTGAAACGAAAATCTGATAATATGGGATTACTGTTCTTCCTCAGTCTATTGAATTCTTTCTCCATAATTAACCTGGCTGTGTAGAGAAAGACTACTATATAGTAGAATCAACAGTGGTTTTCCCTTTCCCAAGGAAATATGGCCTTGTTTGGATGAGGCTTTTTATCTCAACACACTCCTCTCAGCCCAGATAATCAGGGGAAACTCAATCTCTTTCCTTAACAAATGAATGCAAATATCAGGTGAGACTATTGGCCTATGACACTTTATGGGGAACTATATGTTCATGGACCCATGTTTCAGCCCTGAACTTCTGAAAACAAACCAACAAAAAAAAACAAAATTTATAAATTGTTTTAAAAATTGTAAGACAATTTTTATGTAAAATTCTTGTTTTTCACCTTTCACAGAAGTTGACCACTAGAACTAAAGTCTTCAAAGAGTCAACTGCTTATTAGGTATTTAAAAGTAGAAAGCAGAGATATCTACAATTAAAACACCAAGAAAAGTATCAAATGTTGTCAATATCACTCAACATACAATTCGTTAATTTATGGAACTCTGTTACTAGTGTTAAGGAATACGTAGAATGTCAAGGAATATCGGGGAATGTCCATGGAACTGCAACTTGAACGCATGAAACTGCCAGTATAGTTGGTAGAAAAATATGTTTTCTGCCTTATCAAAACACTAACAATAATAGTCTTCAAATGAGGTAGTATAAAGACAAACAAAAAAAATACACTTTGAAGCACAGATTTAGTTAGAACTAGGTACTACATTTGCTGCTTCCTAGTCACAAAATACTCAGTGCCTACTCTCCACTAGGCACTCTCTCTGCTTGGTATGCATCATTCAGAAAAATATCAAATAACCTTGCCCTCCTGGTGCTTGCATTCTACTGATGAGTAGCCAGAAAAGCAACAATAAACAAAATAAATAATTAAATCATAAAATATTAGAAAGTCATAAATTCAATGGAAAAATAGAAAGCGTAGCAAGATAAGAAGTGTGAGAAGATGGCTATGGCCTTACCACCCTGAAGTTTCCTGATATAATCTGATCTCAGAAATTAATTAAGAACAGGTCTAGTTAGTAACTGGATGAGAGATGTATGAGAAATTGGGTGGGGGAGAGAAGGCTGTGATTTTAAGGTAGGTGCTCATTGGATACTTTTCATAAATCCATATTTTTCCTAAAAATAAATTATTTTTGTGAGTGTACAATTATGGGAATAAATGGAAAATATTTATATAAAGAATATCTAATTTTAAAAGCACATTTTAAAAACTAACTCAATTGGTCACCAGGGGTGACAAGCCCAATTTGGCCAAATATATATATATATATACACATAACCTCTTATCTCAGTCTTTAATTTAATCCCTTCAAAATCAGGGTTCTCTATAAATATGAGAACATTTCCAGATGGCCAAAGGCTGTTCTTGGTCAAGGGGACAATACAGAAAATAATATCTCAGATTTCAAGTTATAGAGTTTGATAACAGAATAAATGACAAAACTGTAGACAAAATAACCAAAGTCTTGGCAAACCAAACTATCCTCCCCTGCTAAAGCAGCACAGAATGAACTGCTCCTGATTCACCAATCCTATTGGAAGAGGGGGAGAAAGAATGAGATAGAAAACCACAAGAATTGAGAATACACAATGAAGGAAGCAACATCTTGTAGTAGAAGGTCCATTAATAAAAATAATATTATGACCAGGCACGGTGGCTCACACCTGTAATCCCAGGACTTTGGGAGGTCTTAGCAGGTGGATCACATGGTCAGGAGTTCAAGACCAGCCTGGCCAAGGTGGTGAAACCCTGTCTCTACTAAAAATACAAAACAATTAGCTGGGCATGGTGGCAGGCACCTGTAATCCCAGCTACTTGGGAGTCTGAGGCAGAGAATTGCTTGAACCCAGGAGGTGGAGGTTGCAGTGAGCCAAGATCGTGCCACTGCACTCCAGCCTGGGCAACAGACTGAGACTCCATCACAAAATAAAATAAATTTAAAAAAGATAATATTACATTGCTTCATATTAGAAATCAGGCTAGTGTAAAAATTAAAAATGTTAATTAAAAAGGGTTTTAATTACTATTTTAAGAAGATTATTATTAAAAATTATGGTACAAACAAGGAAGACAACATAGTTCCTATTGAAAATGAAACTCAAAATTTCAGATTTCTTCAATGATTAAAAAGAAATAGGATAATTTATATATTGCCTGGTCTATAAAACTCACTCTATTCCTTTAATAGATATACAATCATTCACTTTACATTTTAATTTACAGTGTATTCACTGGTTACTTAGTAAAAATTGTAATTTTAAATATTTTATATGATACACAAAGAGTAAATATTTCACAGGTAAAAATAGCTAATTATAGGGTTAAATTCACTAGTACATATTTATGCATTACATATTATTTACATATTAAATATGTACCTGGTATTTGGGGCAACAGCATTCTCACACAGTGAATGCCACAGATTTTGAGTTGCCTAGAAAATAATATGTGCCTCATCTACATGAATTTATGATATTTGGAAATACATTATATCTTTACAACAACAATTCTAGATATCTCGTCAATTACCTGAATGGTCTTCAGTTACTTATTTTTCCAGTTTAATCCTAAATGCAAGGCTTGCACAATGAATTTACTCCATTTGTACTAATCATAATTATACTTCATCAGCTACATCAACACGAGTGATAACAATGAGCACAAATGAATATTTGAGTTACTTTATTTGTGTCATTTGTGTAACATTTTCTTGAGCTACATCAAATTACTTCATCAATTAATATATGGAATGGATAGAAATAAATATGATTGAAACTAAAATGTGAATCAAGTCCATCGATGTCATGCCAGTAAGTTTAAGCTTCATCAGTAAAAGAACACCAAAGGCGATGATTTATAGAAAGAATGAAAAAGAAACAAAGAAAAGAAAGGAAAGAAAGAGGAAGGAAAGAAGGAAGGAAGGAAGGAAGGAAGGAAAGGAGGGAGGGAAGAAAGAAGGGAGGGAGGGAGGGAGGAGAAAAAAGAAAAAAGAGAAAAAAGAAAAGAGAAAGAGCAGTTTCTTTTTGAGTTAAAGCATGGATACAGTTCAGATAACTGGGAGCTGAACTCAATGTCTTGTATAATTAAACACACAATAAACATATAATAAATAAAGATGATGCCGATTTCTTACACACTTTAAGGTAAGCAGAGCATAAACCATGTATTAATATGACAAGTTTATCATAATGTAAACAGACCTAATATCTTCATAGAGAATATAGGGAAAGTGATAGTAAGCTCTGAACAATTTTCAGAAAACTAGTAAGTAAATGATATCAGAAGTAGAGCCAAATACACAAAGAAGGAAGAACATGTACAAAGACTAGTCAGAAGGGATTCATAGTACATTTCACTACTGAGGGTTCATATCTTTAATGCAGAATGAAGACGAACCATAGAAAAAGTAAGTGATTTCTATTTAGCAACAACTAAAATAAATTTAACCAAAAGTGGTCAACCTCTCATTCTAAACCTGCCAACCTGTACAGAGTTTAGTGGTCAGTGCATGTGGGTGAGCTCTGGCACTGAAGGAAAGCCAGCCCTGGAGGTAGGGGTCATGGCCAGGCTTGGGACACACTCACATGCTTGCCTTCATTTGATAACCAAATTTCCAAATCAATATACCATTGCACAAATATCTATTGCAGTATCTAGTTATTTATAAAAATCTCTGAAAACTTAGAAATTTCTAGATAATAATTTTTAGTAAAAGGTATCCCATGCTCCCTAAAAAATAAAAAATAGAATTACCATATGATCTAGCAATACCACTTCTGGGTAAATACCCCAAAGAATTGAAAGCACAGTCTTGTAGAGATATTTGCATACTTACGTTCATAGCAGCATTTTCACAATAGCCAAAAAGTGGAAGCAATCCACAGGTTCATTGATAGATGAATGGATAAATAAAATGTGGTATACACATACAATGGAATATTATTCCACCTTAAAAAGGGGTACTTAAAATTCTCTAATTCATAGAGACAGAAAGAATGGAGGTTGCCATAAGGAATTAGGGGAAGGAGGAAAAAAATAGGGTGTTTTTGTGTGATGGGATAGTGTTTCGGCTTTGCAAGATGAAGAGTTCTGGAAATTGCTTGAACATTTTGAATCTACTTAACACTACTGAACTGTACACTTAACAACTGGTTAAGATGGAAAATTTTATGTTATGTATATTTTGCTTTAATCAAATATAGCTCTCATGACTGTTACAATGTAGCTTTAAAACATAGCTAATGTAATCAGATATAATTAATGCAATCTAAATGATGCAACTTGTATAGATAGTATTATTTTAAATGATATACGCTTGGAGCAATGTTAAAGCTGTTTATGCTTTGGGGGAAAATGTTAAATAAAACTCTGATTAATAAAAACAATGCAAATGAGCATTTATCATTAAAAATTAAAAATAATTTTTATAATGAGAAAAATCTAGTAAAGTCTAGGAAATAATAGTATAAACAAAAGGAACATTGAATAAAAAGGTGAAAAGTTTAAAACATAATTATTTTAAATTATATTATCTTATTTATTTAATAATATTTATTAGTAGTAATATTTAAAATTAAGTTGACACAACACATGAATAATTACAGCTCAAAAAAAAGTTCAAACATGTTAAAAGCAACATCATAGGTCTTGCTTAGGTTTATTTTCATGTGAATGATTTAACTGCTGCCACTTCATTTTTTTCTTCATGATTCAAGTATTTTTTGATTACTCATAAATTTAATAATTTTATTGTAAACCTGCTATGGCCAAATAATATTCACTTGACAGTATGTGAACAGTGGTGAATAAAACAGACATGCCTCTGATGGACTGACACATAATGATTAAACAACAAAAATGTGTAAGTGAAGATAGTTACAAAAGGAAAGATTTGAATGCCGTAATATTATATCAATAGAATACTGACGCTTCTCTTTACTACTAGACCTGGTGACATAAATGCACAGAGCCAGGGCTTGGTTTCGATCATAGTGCTACCAGTTGTGCAACCTTGGGCAAGTTGATTGAAACTAACAAGTGCTAATCTTTCAGACACAAGGATAGCCTAGACCGTAATTCATGAAGAGCTGCATAACTCCTCTGTTTTATAGTCATTACTAAAATATATTCTCAGCTAAGTTCCCAGAAACAGTACATGGCAAGCAGAAAATCCTTAACTAATTAAAACCTCCTTATCTCGGCTTTTTAGTTCACTCACAAAGACTAGTCTACTTATCATTAAATTAATAAAAAATATTTAAAGGATTTAGAGGATTACTTTTAGACAAGCAATCTACCAAGTACCAAGATAAAAACTTATGCACATAGTTTAGAATGTTTCAGCTCGCAGCTGTGGTGGTTAACGGTATTAATCAGCTCTGGTTTTCATAAGGAAAGTATCACCAAATCAGAATGTGTAGTAATGTTGACAAGTACCTCAAACTTAATACCGTTTGAACTAATGTACGTGGTAATTTCAATTTAAACACAAGTAAGCTCCAGGTTTATTTCACTTCTTTTCTGCTTTGGTGACATTCCTTTGAAGTTGTTACTGTAAACATTTCCAGCCTTCCAAACTTTTTCTCTTTTGTATTTCTTCTTACTGAAAATTCTCAAATAAAATAATAGTACTAGAAGCTTCTTTACAAATGACTCTGCTGCTAAATAGAGAACAAGCTTTCCAAATTACTTTCAGAGGGAATCTATATTCATATACAAACTCACTTCAGTATACTGGTCTTAAAAAATAATGTATCCAATAACTACCAGAGGAGAGAAAACTTCCTGTATTAGTCCATTCCAGATGCTATGAGAAAATATCATAGATAGGGTGGTTTACAAACCACGAAATTTATTTCCATAGTTTTCAAGGCTGGAAGTTCAAGGTTAAGGCACTAGCAGATTCAGTGTCTGGTGAGGGCCCTCTTCATAAGCGTTGCCTTTTCATTTTGCCCTCACATGGTAGAAGCTCCCTAGGCCTTTTTTTTTTTTTTTTTTTCCGAGACGGAATTTCGCTCTTGTTGCCCAGGCTAGAGTGCAGTGGCACGATCCTGGCTCACTGCAAACTCTGCCTCCCAGGTTCAAGCGATTCTCCTGCCTCAGCCTCTTGAGTAGCTGGGATTACGGGCGCCCACCACCACGCCCAGCTAATTTTGTATTTCTAGTAGAGACGGGGTTTCACCATGTTGGTCAGGCTGGTCTTGAACTCCTGACCTCAGGTGATCCGCCTGCCTAGGCCTCCCAAAGTGCTGAGATTACAGGCATGAGCCACAGCACCTAGCCCCTAGGCCTCTTTTATAGGAGCACTGATTCATTCATGAGGGCTCCACTCTCATGACTAATCATGTCCCAAAGACCCCACTGCTAATACCATCACCTTTAGAATCAGTGTTTCACCATATAAATTTTGGGTAGACACAAACATCCAGACCACATCACTTCCCAAATGGTATAATTACAGAGGCATCAAGATTCTATTACCTGCCAAATAGTGTTCCTTCCTGCTCAAAGATTCCTGAAACTCATTCACAAAGACACATAAACTTTATTTGAGCACTTTCATGAAAATGCAAATGGCACTGGCAAAGGTAAAGCCATGACATAAATTCACATAGAAGCATGAATGATGGACAGCTAAGAAGTTCTTTAAAGTAGATTTCAACAGCATGATGGACAAGTTTATCTTCATGGTCCTTATATCTGAAGAATAATAATATAATATAATATATTATTAATTATATATTATATTAGTTACTATAAAGAATAATAAATGAGGCCAGGTGCGGTGGCTCATACCTGTAATCCCAGCACTTTGGGAGGCCAAGGAGGGCAGATCACGAATTCAGGAGATCGAGACCATCCTGGCTAACATGGTGAAACCCTGTCTCTACTAAAAATACAAAAAATTAGCCAGGCACAGTGGCACACGCCTGTAGTCCCAGCTACTCGGGAGGCTGAGGCAGGAGAATCGCTTGAACCTGGGAGGTGGAGGTTGCAGTGAACCGAGATCGCGCCACTGCCTTGCAGTCTGGGCGAAACAGAGCAAGACTCCATCTCAAAAAAAAAAGAATAATAAACAAAAATATAAACAGTTTTTGAAACAAGGCAAAGACTAGAATCAGTGAATAAAAACTGTACTTTATCAGGTAAAATCATATAATATTGAAAATTTATGAAAACATTTTGATTATACATTTTCAACATAAATATGTATAAAATGTATAATACCCATATTGAAAACATATGTAAACAAAAAAATTGATATAAACAGATAATTGACTAAATTAAACAACCACCTAATGACTATTAGAACAAATAAGAAAATATATAAAGCTGATTCTTGATATTCATGCTAGTTACATTCTATTAAGTTGCTCGGAATACTGAACTGGCAAGTACTGATTCATTGCTCCTAGGGTTACAGTTCCTGTGAGATTCTAGTCACAACATTTTGTTTTGTGCGTTTCTGTTTAAAGACGCATTAATACAGGTTGCCCATTTATTAATACTGAACTCTTACCCAACAGCCCTATATATACACCATACATGTCTGAACGAAGATAATCTGACACACGTGTTTTCTCAGTAAGGCACATCACAGCTGGCAATGGGCACATTAGGTGACTCAAAATTTGCTGCTGTGTACATGTCTGTGAATGACCTAGAAGGCACTGCAAATATTAATTTTAGGCTTCCAAAATTTTAGTAAATAAGCAGATTTGCAAACAAAATCAGGATCAAATGTACCTGGGTTTTAATGCTCTTTTAGTACTCACCAGTGTGATACTAGGTTAGCGGCATAAACTCAGTTTCCTTGCCTAGAAGATTTAGATGTCTATTAGGCACCTTTAAATCCTGTGACTTGTGAATTTCTTGAAACTCAGCGTCTCTAGTCTAAAGTCAGTCTAACTTCACCATACCAGGTACTCCATAATCTAAATCTTTCTTATGTATCCAGGCTTGTTTCCCTCTGCATGGAAACTTACATGCCTTTAATAAAGGATATATTCATTTTCATCTGCCAACCATCACACATTCATACATTGACTTACATATAATCCATCCATCCATTTTTCTCATCTATTACCCAACATTAATCTCACAAACAATGTTGCTGGAGATAAAATGATCAGAGACACAGGTAAAATCCTAACAAAATGATCAGAGACACAGGTAAGATCCCAATCCGTTGGTGGACATATTCTAGTGAGAGAGACAGATAATAAACATGTACATAAAGAGATATGCAGCATAAATTCTGGTAGTTGGAAGTGCAATTTACTAAAAATAAAACAGAGTGATGATTTAGAGGTAATTGTAGGTAAGAAAGTATTTTAAGTAGTGTTATCAGCCAAGAACTTTTTAAGAAGGCAGTAATTAAGCAGAGATCCAAATAAAGTAATAGGAGAGTAAAAGCAAAGATCTGAGGCAGCGGAACATCAGTGGTAAATGCTGTGATGTGGGAGTGAGGTTGGTGTTTCTGAGAAAGAGAAAGAGGGCGAGACGAGCTGACACAGAGGGAGTGAGGAGGAGCCAAAGACCAATCAAAAGTACCGTGGCCCATGATAATCGAGTCTAGATGTTATTTTAGGTGTGATGGAAATCCCCTGTCAGTAGCGCAGTGTCATAATCTAACGTACATTGTAAAAGCATCACTCTGGTTTTGAGGTGAAGAACGGGATATGCAGAGCAAGAGTAGAGACCTGAGGTTCTTCCTGTGAGTTCCAAGCAAAGGGGTGATGATGAGAACAGTGGTGGTGTAAAGTCATCGTGTATGAGGTATAGTTTGAAGACAAAGCAACTGATATATGCTGATAGATTGGCTGCAGGGCTTAAGAGAAAAGGTAGAATTAAGGATGTTCCTTGGGTAAGCGGTGACAAAAAGTACTGAAATAGTACTGACATAAATAGAAGAAGAGTGGGTTTAGTAAGTAAAATAAAATAAGCAAGGGTTCGGTTTTGGTCATGTAAAGACAAGAGATCTACCAGATATCAAAATATGTCTAACATATAAATGAGGGAGGCAGAAACATATAGAAATAAAGTAATATGAAGATAGGACAGGAAACTAGAGACAATAAATAAAATGTACTCTCAGCCATTCTATGACATGACTTTTCCCAGGTCATAAACTGTAGTCATCACTGATTCATTCATTCAGTAAACAAGTATTTATTAAGCAACTACTGTGTGTCAGGCATGGTTCTAAGTGCCTGAGGTGCATATCTTTTCCATTTGTCCTTATGTTATCTTATTTTTGAAGACTGTCACTGCTATTGCATTGATAAATAAAAAAATAAACTACAAATCAACTAAGGTAGCAACTTCATGCATCAGTTTTCAGGCTGATGGAATGAATGCATTTTCTGACATCATGTCTATAATAGAATTCCACAAAAAAACTGAATTACATATTAAAAGACAGTTAATCTCTTAATTCTTGAAATATCACAAAACAGCAAACACAGACATTGGGTGGATAATTTTTATGAGCCTTTTTTTTGTCTAAATCATGGGTGAAATTTTTCTACTCAATTTTAATTAACTATCAACAATAAACCGGTCTATTTGAACAGTATTTGCAAACCTATTAGTCCATTAAATTAACAAAGTTCAACTGTCAATCAAATAATGGCAAAACCAGTTTCCAAAAGTACAAAAAAAAAATGGTCTGGAGCATAAAATACAACATAATGATTAAAGTAGAAAGTATATATTTTTTTGGTAACAAAAGGAAATACATCTGGGAAGTTAAATGGTACATGCAAGGGGACAGAGACAAGTACTGAAGAAATAGAATTTACAGGCTTCCAGATGAGGATGAGAGATTCTCTGGCTTTACTGGCAATCCCTGGATTCTCCTGGTGCTCCTGCTGCAGGTACAGACACACAACCATGACCACGGTCACTGCCCTCAGTAAGTAGTGTTCATAGTGCTCATTACTACCCACTGGGTAGTAGGGCTCATGACTACCTTCTGATCACTTAGTGAATTAGTCTTCCAATCAGTAAAGACTCCATCTCCAATCATGTATCTAAATTTCTAACCCTGGTTGGGACCTACCACCTGCATCTCATTGTTCTTCTCCACTTCAGCTTGGGCTCTCAATTACTAGACCAACTCTGATTTAAACATACTCTGGAGTTCCTGAGAAATTCCTCTATTTCTTGGCTTTAAATGTTTAACTCAGTCCCTTTCAACCCACAAAAATGACTCACGGGCCAGCGTGTTAGTTCTGGACCCAGACTTTGATCCAAAAATTCTGATTGGCCTTTGGTTTCTTCTGACCCGTCATCTAATAACACAACGATGCTGCTGATCTCCCTGATGAATATTTTTAACGAGGTTGAAAGCTCGTAAGAACACTTAAAATCCCTATTTTTGATATAAACAATTATCTGTGTTATGGTAAAAAAAAAAAAGGTGAAAAATGTTTTGTTCCTCTTACAAAAAAGACTTTCTACCTTTTAATCTCTTAGTTTAGAAGAGAAATAAAAGTTCTATTACTTAATGGACACTCTTGTGAAATAAGCCTGTGCATTTGTCAAAAGAAACTATTGTCAGTACTTCAAACATTCTAATTCAAATAGCACAGATAATGTAAACTCACTTTAATCTTCTTGAAAACGTCTCCAAACGAGGAAAGAAGAAAAAAAACCCTTTTGCTCTTGATGTTGCATTTTATGAGCGATCCTTTGCTTCTTTGCTGATTAAAAGGCTGACTCTCTGTTTCTTTGCTGATTTAATGAGGATTCTCTTAAATGCCATTGTCGTTTATGGAGAATATTTGCCAGGAAGATAGCCTAAAAGACTTTACCTCAAAGGACTGAAAGGTCAGCCCGACGTGGTAGCTCTCAGACACTGTTATTTTCCACACACATTCTTTCATCGGGCGATAGTCATCAGGATAATTGGGAGACTGAATCTGTCCTTCATTTTTACGTATCTCACCTCCACAGATCGCTGAAGAAAGCCAAAAAATAAACAAATAACTAAGCCTGGACATGCTATTTCATTTTCATTTTCTTCTAGGGTAACATTGAAGTTCAGCTCCTGTAGCTCAGTACATAAAGACCAGGCTATAAAAATCAAAGTTGACTGGTTGTAATGTAGCAAATATTTATGTGGTAAAAAAAACCTAGTAAAGTAACTACAAATATTAGATAATGGTCAAGGAATAAATAATTTTTAATCCTATCTTAACGAAAAGGTATTTTTTAACCTTTAAAAACCTTTAGTGGCTTTGTGAATTTATTCTCTGTGAGTTTGTTCTGTGATTCTCTGAGCTGCTTCCTTTGGTCTTTCGACCACAGGTAAAATAGCTCATCAGAAGAGGAGCCTCATCCTGAACAGAACTCACTGGGTCTCTGGCAGCGAGTTAGTGTCATGTGCGCAGCGTCCGTGACTCCCTCCAAATAATCCTCTTCACTACTAGGCAGTTAATCCTTAAAACAAAATGCTTCCGTTTACTTAAAAGTTTAAGGGAAGCAGAAATCTTCTGTCTTCAAAATTACTTAAACTGCTGTACTAGGAAGTGTCTCCTCCACCCACAACCTGGCAAGAAAGGAGCTGGTTTTAAAGCCAAGAAAGCACAATGCCAGTTTATTGTTTTAGAGAAGCATAAAACAAAGCATTTAATAAGTCCTTCCTCAAATGCTGACTCTCTTATTTAGATAAAGCATGCCTCAGAAATCGGCACAATTACTTTCTGTGCAATTTCCTCTAATAAAAAGTATTTCGGGAATACAGGGACCAAACAGACACAAAATCAGTACAAAGGAAAATGATAATTTCTTCATAATGTTTTAAAACTATCATGAAACAATTAAACTTTAAGAATTCTTGAGCCATTTGCTTTTTTCTCCACACATCCTGAACACATTTAGATATTATTACATCACTGATACTAGACAACAGGTTGTTCTTGCAATTTAAATTTACTGTTAAAATTATCTGTATGAATATTATAATACAGATTCAGAAAAATTCATAATTTTACAATATGGTCACAATGTCATTGTAATGAAATTAAGAAACGAACATTTCTGTTGAGATATAAGATGAACTACTCTCTAAAATTCAATGTGACTTACCTTCATAGACAGCTGCAAAGCCTTTTCCTACCCAATTACTGCTGCTACGAAACTCAATCCACATTCTGCTGTCTGTAGAAGTAAGAACTTCAGGCAATTTGTCCCCACAGAATCTACCTAAAAGAAATAAAAGAATAAAGAGAAACTCCTAAATAGGACTCTATATTCTACGTTCTTTTTGTACTAGTCACAAATAATATGTAAACACCGATTTGGTTCACATTTCTATTCCAAGTGATTGCAGCCACAACTGTGCCTTAAATTTACTTACTAATGGTAGATAAACAAAACAATGTCTTCATATATATTTATAAAGTATTTGACCATCAGCCTCAGAGTAGCTGACTGATGTCAGTATTGTTACCATATGTAGAAGTAAGATGGTTACTCAAAAACAATATTTGAAAAAGGTCAAATGATGCATCAAGGTGGGGAATATTATTTAATGGGGAACAGAAAAAAGGTGCAAGTCACCCTAAGAAAGTGGTTTCAAATTGTCAACCTGGCCAATAGCAGGGAAATGACTTGGTTAAGAATGTGCTCTCGGCCAGGCACAGTGGCTCACGCCTGTAATCCCAGGACTTTGGGAGGCCGAGGTGGGTGGATCATAAGGTCAAGAAATCGAGACCATCTTGGACAATATGGTGAAACCCTGTCTCTACTAAAAATACAAAAATTAGCTGGGCGTAGTGGCACGTGCCTATAGTCCCAGCTACTCGGAAGGCTGAGGCAGGAGAATCGCTTGAGTCCGAGAGGCAGAGGTTGCAGTGAGCCGAGATGGCACCACTGCACTCCAGCCTGGCGACAGAGCAAGACTCCATTTCAAAAAAAAAAAAAAAGAAAGAAAGAAAGAAAGAATGTGCTCTCAGCTCAAAGTGGAGTTCTTTATTCACCTAGGTTCAACAGCACTCCTGAGGAAAACCCCAAGGCTACTCTTGGTATCTTTTATCACTGCACACATTCCATCTCATCTATAAAGCTATAATCTGTAGATTATATCTGTTTAGGCAGAATAACAAATACTATCAGAAGACTTGAGCATAATTTCTAATTTCTTCTAATTCTGTATCCAGAAATATGAATTACAGCAAATAAATATAATACCTGTCATTCCTTCCTTCCTTATCTTTCCACAAATATTTATGCTTATGTCTGCCTCTATGCTCAAAGCTTTCACATGATCACAAAATGCTTAAATATAACAAAGCACATGCAATAATTCTACAAACATGTTATCCATTTTTGTGTCTCTGGAAATGGCATACATAGTTTTAGTGTATGAAAAATGTAGCTGACTTGCATAAAGCAAGTTCATACTAACAGCTAACAGGTGAAGACATATTGTCCTAAATTGCAAAGCAAATTAGAGGCAGATAACACAGAGCAGTGTGTTTTAAACTGTAGTGTGCATCTGAATTTCTAGGAAATCTATTAAAATGCAAACCCTAATTCAGAGGATATAGAGTGAGAGCCAAGTTTCTACAATTCTAACAGCTTTCCAGATGATTTTGATGCTACCAATCTAAGTGCTGCACTTTTTGGAGCAAGGTCTTAGAAGAAATAGTAAGGAAAGCTTTTCACACAAAAACCATGATTACACTGCCTCACTCTGGTGGTCCATTATACATTGAGCCATGTAATGCTGATGGTGCTCTAAAAAGAAGTGTCGTTCAGAATTTTAGCTCTAGATTTGTTTCTCTAATATGAGTTTAATGAAATATTTTCTTTGGCTTGTGCATACATATGTAAAAAATTGCTTCATCTAGGCTAAGAAACTAAATATGGAAGACAATGTTTTCCTCAACCTGACTTACCACATTAGTTCAATTCTTTATTTTTAAATATTTCTACAGATCTCTTGGATTTACTATGGCTGCTGTCACTTTTAATACAATTGTGCCCATTCAGTAGGTGTTAGATGTTAAAAGAGCTGTACAGTTCATCAATGCAACTGAGCAAAACTACTTCTAAAAGTAAAGAAAAAGTTACAATCTCAGAAAAAGATCAATATAGAGTAGATGCCTGCATGCTCCAAACAGCTCTCACCTTTAAGTAAAACAGAGGGCAACAGTAAACTGCCTATGCAAGTTAATAGTGTGGTCTGTGGTTAAACGTTGACAGCAGACTTTCATGAGCACCAGATCTGAGCTACAGTTTATGACACAAACTACAAATGTCTCTTCTCAGCCACAGAAAACTCTCTGAGAAGCAAAATTGTGACATCTATAATATAATAAGAGTTAATATGCTTGGCATAGGAAGCCAGCTACCAAACATGTACCTAACAGTTTACATTATACTGGCTTAGCAACAAAACAAAAACAAAACACACAAACACACAACATGAACACCCACAATTAGTTTTTTTTAATCAAAAACTGATTTTTAAAGCAAAAATACAGAAACACTGTGAGGAGTACTCATGATAGGCACAATATATGAGAAAGCTATTCTCAATCATTATATTCAAATCCTAGTATGTACCTCATAAGTTAAGCTAGCTCAAATTAATTAATCAGTCAATGTATTTATCCATTTGTCTTTGAGTATTTTTGGTATGGTTGAAAAAAGTATAACTAACATAAAAATAATGTTAGTCACACACATTTTTAACTCTACGATGACTCTTGAGAGAATCGGTTGGTTTTTTTGGACGGGACAGAATAGATACATAGCCACATAAAAGGGAAAGGATATCTTACCAAGGAGAGGTGATTTTCTCCAGTACCCGTCTCTTACTTCAATATAGTCATACCAGCACAAACTACTCTTGTATAGATCCATCGTTGTAAAATTTAAAACAATCTGCAAAATGGAGGTAAGCAACCCACAGAGTAAAAATGATTGTATCTACATATAGTGATTTGATTCCTAAAGGTAAGGAACCCTGGTCTACAGTAAAAATGCATGTGCAGCTAATTGTTTTTCTATACTATAATTATCCTAATAGTTTTTTTCTGAACCAAACCTTGAAACCATGTTTTCCCATTTTCTTTAACTGTTTTACAATGTCAGGAGAAGTACAATATGAGTAGTTGAACAAACTAGATATGTTAGCAATTAACAAAAAGTTTCTGTAAAGTTAATCTGGACAATTGTAAAGCAAACAGAAATTTTTATTCAAATAGTTTATTTTGAATTTTCCCAAGATAAACATGGCTTGAGCCATGAAGAATTCTATTTTTTTCATGAAAGTCTTTTAAAAAATAATTTATTTCAAAAATGACCAGTCAGACATCTATAATTATGTTAAAAATAACCACCATGTGCCACTTTCCCAGAACATATAATATCATTGTGCATGTTGAAATGTTTTAAATACAGTCCTAGAATTAGAATTTGTCCATCTAATGATAATCAAAGGCAGATGTCACTATGTTTCTCTAGATCCAAAGATGTATATACAAAGACCTTTCAAGTTACAGCATCTTGTACATGACCCTTATTCTGTGCTTTGTTTCAAAATGATGCTGTTGCGTAAAGATAACTCAAGAGACAATTCTAGGAAAGACAACTTTCTTACTGCTTTATAAATGGACTTTACTTTCCAAACAACTTTTTTCTTCTTACTTGATTACACCAAAAGTAAAGCCAAACTTACGCGAGAAGTATGCTTATCTGATGCAAAGGAATTCATCTGGTTTTTTTTTTTTCACATTCAAAAACTCATTCTAACTCTATTCTGCTTAAAACATCTGAGATGCTTAAGGCTCATAGTAAGCCAGTTCTCTACTCTAGAAATTGTGATGGACTTTGGCCAAAAGCAACAAATGTTGAGTATTCCAAATGCTCCTACTACAAAACTATAGTTTGTAGCAATATTCAAAAATCCCTTTTGTGAAAATACAAAAGGCTGAATGTGAAAGAAGTCTCAAGGAATAACAAAGGAAGGAAGAAAAAAAGAAGAAAGAAAGGCAGAGAAGGAGAGAGGAAGGAAAGAAAGAAGGAAAATAAAAACATAATCAATACTGAATCCATATTCTAGAGAAGTATTACCAATTCTGTGCTGGAAAGTATATGCTTCTCCCCTTTCTTGAACACAATATTTAACATCAAGGTAAGCACTAATTATTACAAATCAATGCTGAATGAACTTACTTCTTTCCCAAATGACACAGGATAACTATAAATATTTCTCAGGGCATCTCATATCTAGGTACCACAGTGATCAGTGATGAAACTGTACACCAAAGTTGGTTTCAAATATCCATATAGACTAACATGTACTTTCCTAGTAACAAAGAAAGAAATCTGCCAAGGATAAGAAAATAGGGGTGGAATTTTTTAAAAATGTAGTACATTAAGTTGTGGAATAAGTTTTTTTTTTTTTAATTGGAGACAGAGTTTCACTCTTGTCACCCAGGCTGGAGTGCAGTGGAGCAGTATCAGCTCACTGCAACCTCTGCCTTCCGGGTTGAAGCGATTCTCATCCCTCAGCCTCCTGAGTAGCTGGGATTACAGGTGCCCGCCACCACGTCCAGCTAATTTTTGTATTTTTAGTAGAGACAGAGTTTCACCATGTTGGCCAGGCTGGTTTTGAACTCCTGACCTCAGGTGATCCACCAGCCTCAGCCTCCCAAACTCTGGGATTGCAGGCATGAGCCACCGTGCCTGGCCATAAATTGGTTTTAATAGAATTGTTCATTTATTTTTATCTTCCCTCTTTGCAGTTTATCTTTTTTCTGTTTTTCTTTTTCTTCACCTCATTGTAAGGTTCCACTTTTTAAGTGTTTACAAAAATTTTCAAAATATCCAAAGGCAAAGCATTGATCATTTTTACCAATAATCCTCAACACTTGATTATCAAAATGCTTTAGTATCTAATTTATTTTTATGAATTTCCCACAATATTTTCTCCTACATCTCTAAATACCAACGCAACATTAGACTATATTCAGGATATAACTAGGAAATAATACCTGGTTTTTCCCTTTAACTTTGTGTTTACTTTAAGTCTGCTCCACATGGAGAATACTATCACTGCCTGATACTATGTTTCATTTTGCATTTATGTTTTCCCTATAGCAACCACCAAGGTTTCAACTCTATATGATTACATAAGAACTCATTTATTAAAACAGAGACAGCAAAACTTGAATATAGACACAAACAGAGACTCCCCCAGGGCTCACGTTCTGGCTTCCCTCTTAGATTGAAAGGGTAGTTTTATAATGATATGCAAATAGCTTCTACTGCCTTCTTCATGAGGAAAAAAAATAAAGCTAAATTAGAAGTATGTGTATTATCAATTTCATCCAAAATTAAAAAGTGCATTTGGATTGCAAAGAAATAGTTAATATTTGCTCTCTTGAAACACACACACACACACACACACACACACACACACACACACAGTTGGATAGGGATAACTCTAAGCAGAAAATTTTTCTAACTTGTTTTTAATCTTCTAGTTTAAACACCAAGCACCATGGAGGAACATAACTGGCCTGACATTAACATAAAACACAGAGTCCTTTAAAAGCAGAAAATGTAATAAAGATAGGTTTTCTAAAATCAAATCATAGGGCTCTGATTATAGACATAAAATTCTGGCCTTTGACTAAGGTTGCTAGCAGGATTCGTACTTGAATAACAAATCAAACACACTTGGAAAATATCTGCTTGTTTTACATTATGTTATTTTACGTGAACATATTGCATCTTTCCCCAAAGAATGATCAAATGAAAAATACAAAACACAACTATATAAATATTTTATTTTTGACGTAAGTATAAGTAACAACTCAAAATTAATTATAGCTCCCTTGGAGTATGAGATTGAGGGAACAATTTTAAGATTTCCTGTGATCTGTTAGGAGTCTAAGTTGCAACGTTGAATAGATGTCACTGCTGCCAATTGTGCTTATTAAAGACTGTTTTCCAATGCTGGAGAGTGAAGAATCCTGAAGAAAGGCAGATCAGCAGTTCAAGGGACTGGGTGTCTGTGAGTCTCCAGAGAAAGATATAATCAATGAACTTTTTTCAGCACAATTAAGATATTATTGGCTACCTAAACAAATTCCATGAGCACCACAAAAAAAG
Source organism: Homo sapiens (assembly GCF_000001405.40). Taxonomy (NCBI): domain Eukaryota; kingdom Metazoa; phylum Chordata; class Mammalia; order Primates; family Hominidae; genus Homo; species Homo sapiens. The sequence goes on along the minus strand of NC_000004.12, from coordinate 166,036,101 downwards.
CCAATTAGCGTAATACTTGCACCATACCTTATAAGGCTGAAGATACAGAATGTACAAACCTTGCCAATTAGACTGAAAAAGCAGCAAGATAAACTAGATTGCTATGCTATAGCCAGAAGAAGCCTGCACAAGTCTAGTAAACTTTCCAGAGTGGCGATATTTTTTTTGCCTCAGAAATAAGGCTGAGAGAGAGTAAATCAGGTATCAGTAAACTATAACCCATGGATCAAATTCTGCCTGAAGCCTGTTTCTGTAAAAGTTCTATCGGGACCATTCCTTTACCACATGTTGTTTATGTCTGTTTCAATGCTACAATGTTAGAAATCAGTATTTGTGACAAATACTGTACAGCCTGCAAAAACCAATATATTTACTCTATGTTCTTTCCAGAAATGTTTGCCAGTCTCTGGAATAACTGATCATTAAGCTTTTGTTCAGCTCTGAAATTATATCATGTTATAGGAAAAAAAAAATACAACTTTTTCTACATCTGGAAGCTATTCTTGATTGGGAGTCAGAAGACCTGGGTTCAAGTTCTAACTTCTCAGTTCGCTGGTTTACTTAAACATTCTGAGGTTGAATGAATCTTAACTGCTGTAAACGGGAGGTCACCATATCAGGCTTATCTCACCAGAATTAACTCGCAAGAGTTTAATTGAATGATGTGGAGAAAAATACTCAGGTAATCCCAAAGCACTATTAAGATTCTTATGTATTATTATTTTCATGGTATATATTCAGACATTCCTCACAATATAAACCCTGAAAAAATATATAAAATAAGGTATTACTCCATTTCCTTATTCCATCTATGCTCTGAAACATACAAACATCAGTTTGATGACAGGTGGAAACCAAGAGCTGAATTATTCTATTAAAATAACTTTTCTGCTTAAACCTATGTGATAACATCTGACTTTGAAATTTTGATGAATCATCACTCACTAGTCATCAGAACATTTTTTACACCTCTCGCTATGGTTTGAGTGTGTATGTCCCTCCAAAATTCATATGTTGGAAATTAAATTTCAAAGTGATAGTATTAAGAAGTGACCACTGGAAGCTGATTAAGCCGGGAGGGCTCTGCCCTTAGAAATGAGATTAGTGCCCTGATAAAAGGGCTTGAGGAAACAGGTTCATCATTTTATCCCTTTGTCCCTTCCAACCCTTCAGCCAAGTGAGAATGCAAGAAGAAGCAGAGAATGAGAACTAACCAGATACCTGAATCTACAGGCACCTTGACCTTGGGCTTCCCAGCTTCTACCTCTGAGAGTGAGAAATAAATTTCTATTGTCCACAAATTACTCAGTCTGAGGAGCTTTGTTATAGAGGCATTAATGGACTCAGACTTCTCTTTCCTAAATTCCCACTACACCCCTACATCTAGTTAATTGTCAAATCCTATAGGTGATATTCTATAATATCCCTAAAAATACTCCTCCACTTCTTTTTCCTTTTTCATGTCAATGCTGGCTATACTTCTTTTCTGAATATAATGTAATAGTTTCACAAGATGTGCTTTGGCTTTTAATTTTACTCTTCTCCATTTCATCCTACACTTTATGGCCATAGTAATCTCAATAGAGTTTGCTTCCCATCAAGGTTTTGGAATCAATGACTCTAGTCATAACCCAATTTTGCTGCCTCATCTTTCATTATCTCAAGCACATAAACTTCATCCCACTCATCCCTAACTGCTTGCTATTGTGCTCTGACAAAGTATTCCAATCTCAGCTCTATTCCCATTCCTTTACTTAAAGTGAACATAATTCTATGTGGACTCTACTTTCCCCTTCCTTGTTCCTTGAAATTCTTCATATCGCTCAAAATCTTTATTGAATGCTACCATCTCTTCAGTCATGCATGGATCTTCCAACAAGATCTGAGCTTTCCTAAAGTCCATGATAAATTGTATTTTCTTTTTTCAGTTATTTTTCAAAGTTTAACCATTATATTACTAGGTTATAAGTTTATAATAGCAATAATTTATTTCACACATCAAAAGATACATCTATTTTAATAGAATAATTTAATAGTAATTGCTAAATTTAAGCAATGTCTTTGGCAATATAAATACACTACTGCGAATTCACTCCATATGTGTAAATCATAGATGAGTGATTAAAAAGAAATATCTGCAAAAAATAGTCAATAGCTTCTAAATGGGTTATATAGGAAAATAGAAAATATTAAGTCCATTCAAGACATAAGCAATCTGCCCTTGTTCAAAGGTTAGTCAATTCTAAGGGATGCAAGAATCAATACCATGCGCTTCTATCAGCTCAACACAGCTACCCTCTTCGCTGCACATTTTGGATTGTTGCCAGCATGAACCATGCAACATCAAGGATAACCTTAGATTGAACAGAAATCCCTCTGTACTTTGAGAGTCTCAATCTAAGAAAGATATGCATGTGAACTGAAACCCTTATTTTTAAATTGTGGTATAATATGTGTGCACAATGTAAAAGTTACCATTTTAACCATACTTATGTATACAGTTCTGTGCATTAAGTACATTCACATCATTGTCCTACAATGACTGTATTTTTTAAAGACAATATTTTTCTCTTGCCCAAAATAACATATGCTTATTGCTGGTAATTTTTTAAAGGAACAAAGAAGACATAAAAACTATTTGCAAACTCAGCAGGTAGAAATAAGCATCATTTTCTTATATATTCTTCCATAAATTTGTCTCTAATGTACATAATTTAAATTACAGAACTTCTCATACCACTAACTTTTGATTTGCCTTAAATATTTCATAATATATTGTAAACATTTTCTCAAATCAGAGTTTTCTTTAAGTTTTCAAAATTTATTTTGTTTCCAACTTTCACTATTATAATAAACAGTTGCCTTTGCACACACTCAGATAATTGTTCTAGGATAAATATCTGGGCAAAAGCGCAGGTACATTTTGTAAAGTGTAATACAAATTACCCAATGTGCTTCTAAAAGGTTATTTTAATTTCTACTTTCAGGAGTTGCGTATCTTTATGATCACTTGATATTAACATTCAATTCTATCTTTACCAATATTACAGGTGAAATATGACAAATTATTGTTAGTTCAAATAGCATTTCTCTGATAAAGAATAAGATTAAAGAATTTCATATATTCATTGAATATCTACTTGCATTGATACTTCACTAAATTTTCTACTTTCTCAGGCATTTTCTGCTGTGGGGTGAATCTTTAGTTATCAGTTTATAACAGCTCTTTACATATGAATGACCCAATGGTCCCTCATCCTTATGTGTTATAATAGTCTCCGTTTTCATTTTTATTTGTGCTTTTTGTATTTTTATAAAAACAACTTTACGTGGATAATCTGAACAAGTTATTTTAAATTTTCTTATTTTCAACTCATGTATTCAACATAATCTTTTTCAGAAAGCAAATAAAGCATTGTTTTCTTTAGAAAACTATGCAATATGAAGTAGAACTTGTTTAATTTTTTCACATATCCTTTAAAATGATTTAAGTATTATTTACTGAGAAAATCCATTTTCCCAATTTATTTGAAAAATGATCCTTACAAGTATATGACAGAAGTCTTCTATGCCCTCAGGCATAATTCTGGTCTTTTTAGTTTGTCCATTGATACAGAAGACTTTTTGACATTGCCACAGAATTTGAATTACTGAGGCTTCATAATGTTTTTCTATCTTATAGTGCAACCCACTCCCCCATATTACCATTGTTTGTGAATTTGCCAACTATTTTATTTTTAAGATAAACTCTAGAAAAATTTGGTCTGGTACAAAACAAAAATCTATTGGAATTTAATTTGGAATTACTATACGTTAATTTGACAAGAACTGATAATTTGTAATACTACACTTTTACATTTCGGTTCATGACATGTTATTCTGCTTATTTTAGTCCCACAGTAAAGTTTCTAGTTTTCTAAAATATGTTATATTTTAATATATTTGTTTTTATTTGAATATCTCTAGTCTTGCTTAAATTTTGGTTGATTATTTTGATTTTAGAGAAAAGAAAAAACACATTCTCTATAACTAAAGAAAAATTTAATAATTAGCTCTGGCAAATGTCAGATGCCACATGTGTGACGTTAGATAAGTTACTCAATCCTTTCTCAACTTCAATTTCTTTGTAATATGAAGATAATTCTAGTACTAATGTCAGTAGGGTGCTGAGAAGATTAGAGAAGCTTGGCACAGCACCTAGTGTAGTGTAGGCACTCAAGAAATACTAGGTTTTTTCTATTTATTGTATTTTTAAAAAATTCCTTCTACTCCTATTTATTCAATTGTTTATCATTATACGTTGAATTCTAATTCATTCAGTATTTGTGGAAATTTTGAGACAGGTTTTTGCTAAATTTTGACCTATTACTTTTCAAATTAACATATTTTATAACATTGAAATAAACTCATATTATTGGAATCAAAAAAACTTAAAGCCGGGCATAGTGGCTCATGCCTGTAAGCCCAGAACTTTGGGAGGCTGAGGCAGGTAGATCACTTGAGCTCAAAAGTTCAAGACCAGCCTGGGCAACATGGTGAAACCCTGTCCCTACTAAAAATACAAAAATTAGCCACGTGAGGTGGTGCATGCCTGTAATTCCAGCTACTCAAGAGGCTGAGGCACAAGAATTGCTTGAACTGAGAAGTGAAAGTTGCAGTGAGCCGAGATCATGCCATTACACTCCAGTCTGGGCAACACAGCAAGGCTCCATGTCAAAAAAAAAAAAAAAAAAAAAAAGACCTTGCAATCGCCATAATTTATAAAATTTATAAATGATACATCTTGATTTAACTTATTTATATAACAGTCATGTGTTTATATTCATATAATAAGCCGTACATAGTTCTATTTTTTTGGATTGTATGAGGTGTGCCTTTCAGAATTTTACTTGTTTAAAAAATAAATAAATGGACTTCACATTGATTTATAATACGTTTAAGATACATTTTGTTACATGAGAGGTATCCAAGAATTTGGGAAAACTGCCTTCAGAAATCATCTTAAGCAGCTTCATTTTATGAGTAATTCTTTGTTCATTCATTTTACATGGGTATTAACTTATTAAATTTTTAGTGCTTGTTAAATCACTTTTGATAACTTTAATGTGCAAAATCGTACATTAAAAATGTTTGAAATGAAGGTATTTTTGCAAGCTTTTATTTAAAACAAAGTTAAATGTGCAGCCAACTATATCCAGTGAAACTATAGTTTTATAAATTCATGTAAAAAATCCACATTTTCAAACAGAAAAAAACAAAAACGCTAATTTAAAAAATAATCTATAATGTAAGCTATAGGCAGGACCAAAATAAGCCATAATAGAAGTCAGAAACATGAGCAGGAATGCTGAATAAAAACATTTAGTAAATCTTTAACAAATGGTGTTGAAGAAACTGGATATCCACATGTACAAGAATGGTTTCTATTAACACAATATTGATTAAAAACCTACATATAAGACTGTAAAACTATAGAACTCATAGAAGAAAACACAGGGTAAAAACTTCATGTCATTACATATGGCCATGATTTCTTGGCTATGACACCAAAAGCACAGGCAATAAAACTAAAAGTAGACAAGTGGTATGACATCAAACTTTATAATTTGTGTTCATCAGAAGACACAATCAACAGAGTGAAAATACAACCTGTGAAGGAGGAGAAAATATATGCAAATCATATCTCTAATCAGTGCTTAATAACCAGAATATATAAAAACTTCTACAGTTGAAAGACAAAATCAAATAATCTGATTTAAACATAGGCAAAAGACTTGAATAAATATTTCTACAAGGACGATATACAAATGGCTATTAAGCATACAAAAAGATGCCCAAGTTATCACTAGAAGATGTTCACTAGTCATCAGAAAAATTCAAATCAAAATCACAATGAGATATCACCTGACACCCAGTAGGATGGCTACTATCAAAACAACAGAAAATAACAAGTGTTGGTGAGGATGGACAGAAATTGGAACCCTTTTGCAGTCTTAGTGAGGACTGTGAAATAATGCAAATACTATGGAAAACAGTATAAAGGTTATTTAAAAAATTAAACATAGAACTACCATATGATCCAGCAACCTCACTTCTGGATAGATAATCAAAATACTTGAAAACAAGGTCTCTGAGAGATATTTGCAATCCCAGGTTCATATCAGCACTATTCACAATAGCCAAGAGGTAGAAGCAACCTAAATGTCTACCAATGAATGAAAGGATAAAGAAAATGTGTATTCATACAATGGAATATTATTCAGGCATAAAAAATAAATCATGTCACATGGATGAATCTTGAGGGCATTATGCTAAGTGAGATAGTCCAGTCACAAAGGGACAAATACTCTATGCTTCCAATCATATGAAGTTTCTCAAATTCATGGAAACAGAAAGTAGAATGATGATTGCCAGGCACAAAGGGATGGAAGGAAAAGGGATTTGTTGGGTTTAATGAGTATAGGGTTGCAGTTTTGCGAGATGAAAAAGTTCTGGAGATCTGTTTCACAACAAAGTGAATATACTTAACATACTGAACTGTACACCTAAAAATGGTTAAGATGGTAAATTTTATGCTATGTAGTTTTTACCACAATAATATTATAGTTTATTTTACCACAATAAATAACAAAAATCCATGGTAGCATTTGCACATGTAAAACTAATGTTAAGTGCAAAAGACAATAGTGTCTCATTTGCTTGATTAAAAAAAGGTATCAACAAATATGCAAAGCAATATCTTATAAAAAGCGAATAATCTTATATGTTTTAAGATCCTTTTTTGAATTGGGATAAGATCCTTTTTTGAATGGGAAGAGGCTAAAGATACAAATTAAATATAATTTGATTAAGAAAGAAAGCTGGTAGAGAGTACCAAATGATAGAGTATACATTTAAAACTTTCAAACCAGTAGAGAGAAAAATACGAAATGATAAAAAAACATAATTCAATGCATAAGAAGGCAAAGGGGGAGAACAAAAAAAGGGATGTATTAAAATGCAAATAAGAAATAAAAACACACCAATAGTCACAATAAATAGAACTGCAATGAGCACTCTAATTAAAGACAAAACCTGCCATCATGGGTTAAACGAAAAATAAACTGGACTGTATACTGTCTAAAACACACCAATAGTCACAATAAATAGAATTAAAATAAGCACTATAATTAAAGACAAAACCTGCCATCCACTGATTAAATAAAAATAAACTGAATTGGATACCTGAAACAAAAGGTTGGAAATTATTGAATGTCTAGATGTCTAGAACAGGACAAAGATATACCTGGCAAATATATTAATCAAAATATAAGTGTAGCTTTATTAATAATAGACGAAATAGAGTTTTAACCCAAACCATCTCTAGAAATAAAGAAATTCATTATACAGTGATAATAGTTTAATACATCAGGGGGATAAAATGTTGTAAACATGTGTATAAAATGATATAGCATAAACATATATAAAACAAAAATTAACAAGGCTATGAAGAGCAATTAACAAATCTACCATAGTGACAAATATTTGTAAATATCTGATAAACAGATAAAACAATAATATAGAGAATCTATGAGCATCACAATTAAGATGATGCACCCAACCATTGCACAAAACATATTTTTAAAGCAAAGATTAGTCTTATGAATACTAGTCACTTCCAAGGTCATATCAGCCTGAAGCTATTGCAAAGACTGACACACAAAGATAGTGCTTTACCTAAAGGTGACTCAAGGAGAGATAAATAGGAAAAGGATGATTGAAGAAACAATGTTTGCAAAGAAGAAAAACACATTACTGAAAAAATATGTGGGTTAAGAAGAAATAATAACAATAGAAAAAAGTAGAATTGAAACATAACAAATCCTCTATTTTGAGCTGGTGGAATTCAGGTAAAGTATTTCTGAGGGGAAAATTACAGCCTTCAGTGTCTGCTTTGGAAAAGAAAAGATGCTTGAAATTAATGAGTTAAATTCCCAGCTCAAGAAGTAAGAAAAAAAACCCAGCAGAATGAAACCAAATATTAGGAGAAAGAAAATAAGAAAATAATAAAGACACGAGGATTATAATGAGTTAAAATTGTTCACTGGCTTCTTATAACACTCCAATTTATTTGCTAATCGTCATAAATAATATTAAGAAAAATAATAGATGATAGATTTTTTCTTCCTATTTACAACATTTTTGGAAATATAGTTTTATAGATAATCATACATACAAGAAAAATAAATTAGCTCAATGCTAATGGCGAGAGTTTTGGAATTGGACAGGAGAAATGTTTTTCCCAGATATTAACTTGCTGTTATGAAACAATTTAATTTGATTAACCTTGTTCCCAAACTTTTCATATTCTATGAGGTTTTCTTTTTAAAATCATGTATACTTTAAACTTGTTCTCAAAATTTGTATCTTTTAAAGTTCACTTTTCAGTGTTGTAGTAAGAATGACCTTCAGAATATATTTTCTGGCTCTTGTTAAAAGAACTTAAATAAAAATCGATCAACACCTATGATCATATTACAACACTTATAATTTTTAAATTATATCAAGAACTATGCATGCATTCATGTATTCCAAGTCAGTTGTAACTTTTTGCACCTAAAAATTATTTATGTTACATGAGTATTTCATTTAGAGTTTCCACTGCGAATATTACAAAATCCTGGACAACTCCATACCCATGATTATCTCCTAATACCATTCAGTTATCATCAAGAACATCAAACTTTTAAAAAAATTGCAATTGCATTCCCACCACGGCTAATGAGAGTACTTAAGTTCTTCCAGGTAAATAAGAATCAAAGACAAAGTACAAACTACCCATAGGTCGTTTTTCAACCCATTCCCCCTTTTCAGGCTCCCCCATCTAGTAGTCTTCAGTGTCTATTACTCCCATGTTTGTGTCTATGGGTGCTCAATGTTTAGCTCCCACTTATAAATGAGAACTTGTGGTATTTAAATTTCTGTCCCTGCATTGATTCACTTAGGATTATGGCCTTTTAGCTCCATCTATGTTGCTACAAGGACATGAGTTCATTCTTTTTTACGGCTGCATAATATTCCATGGTGTATGTGTACCACATTTTCTTTATCCCATCCACCATCGACGGGCATCTAGCTTGATTCCATGTTTTTGCTATTGTGAATACTTTTTAATTTCTTCTTGAATAAGAACTGAGTTGTAACATTTTATAGAAATTTGCCCATTTTACTCATTGTTTTTAAGTTATTGATATAATGTTCAAAAGATTCTTTTACTCTCATTTTGTTGTCTAAAGACTCTATGGTTCTAACAATCTTTTAAATTTTTTTCCCAAATGTTAGATAATTGTGCTTTCTCTATTATTCTTCATCTTTCTTGATCAGACATGTTTTCATCTATTTCCTTGGGGTTTGTTTTTGTCTATTTTTTTTTTTGAGACAGAGTTTCGCTCTTATCGTCCAGGCTGCAGTGCAACGGCGCCATCTCGGCTCGCCGCAACCTCCGCCTACTAGGTTCAAGCAATTATCCTGCCTCATCCTCTCGAGAAGCTGGGATTACAGGCACATGCCAACATGCCCAGCTAATTTTTGTATTTTTTGTAGAGATGGGGCTTCACCATGTTGGCCAGGCTGGTCTCAAACTCCTAATCTCAGGTGATCCACCCTCCTCAGCCTCCCAAAGTGTTGGGATTACAGGCGTGAGCCACCGCACCTGGCCTTGTTTTTGTTTTTGACAGAGCCTTGCTCTGTCACCCAGGCTGGAGTGCAGTGGTGGTATGGGATTTCAGCTCACTGCACTCTCCCTGTCCGGGTTCAAGTGATTCTCCTGCCTCAGCCCCCGGAATAGCTGGGATTACAGCTGTGTGCCACAGTGCCAGGCTAATTTTTGTATTTTTAGTAGAGACAGGGTTTCATCAATGTTGGCCAGTCTGGTCTCAAACTCCTGACCTCGAGTGATCCGCCCACCTTGGCCTCCCAAAGTGCTGGGATTACAGGCGTGAGCCACCTCGCCTGACCCATTTCCTTGTTGTTGTTGTTGTTGTTTTTAATCAATTCAAACTATCAACTTTGTTCATACTTCCAATCATATGTTATTTTCATGTTATTAATTTTATCTTTTACTATTTACTTTTAAAATATCTTTTATTTTATTGCTCTTTTTCTAACCTCTTCATATGGTCGTCTAGGCTCATTAGTTTGAGGTCTGAATTTCATATTTCCTACTGTAGTATTTAAGTCTGTGAATTTTCTTTCAACTAAGTACTACTCTATTTGCATTTTACAGGGTTGGTCTTCAATATTTTTCTGATATTATAGTTGAAAATAGTTTACAATTTTCATTATAATTTTTTCCTGGTTGAACTGGACATCTAGATATATATTTTTAAATCTTAAAATATATGGGGATTTTTCTAAGCGTCTTTCTGATACTGATTTTTACCACAATTTCATTTGTGTCTGAGAATATAATTTGTATTATTTCAACCCTCCTATTGCATCAAAAAGTTTAAAATTATATCTTTCAAAAAAATTCCTGGAGTTTAAGCAATTCCCATTATGAATTTTCTGAACTTTTTAGTCCATTTGAAAACTCAAACAAGAATAAAGGATAAAGCAAATTTATATTTGAAGGATGATGAACTTTTGTACTTATATAAGAATAAAATAGTGGGCTTGACGGTATAAACTACCTTCTCCCCTGGGGTCACAGAAACTCTCCAGATGCAGTGTGTGTAAGAAGGGTAGCCATTGGGAAATCCTGGAGAGGAAAGGTTGCCATTGGATTCTTGTAGAGTTTCTCCACATGCTGAAAGGAAAAAAATATATAAGATCATTGGTTAATTTATATAAAATACGTGAATATCATAAACAAAGCCATGAAGGGTTTTTTTGGTAGTAGACAAGACTAAATGTTTGTCTTTTATAGAAGACGTTTCCTTTCTAAGTAAATTTATTTTTATGTCCCTTACTGGAATTCCAGTATATTTAATGGCATCATTATGGTGAATCACCGAATAAGATTATAAGAGAAATAATGTGGCATTCATAAAATTCTTCCTCATGGAAACCTTTTTCATTCATTTCCAAGGAGCCAGTAGCCCCTCTAAAGCACACCCATGTTCAGATTCAGGCCAGTGATACCTGGACGATATGGCTCTGGGACCACGTGAAACATTTCACTAATATTTTTGATTTAAATTGAGGCTAAGCTTAAGTGAATATCATATCAAGTTTAAAAAATGTTACATAATAGCTAATGAGTAGTCAACAAAGGTAATATCAAAATGTGAAACAATAAACTTTTTTTTCAAAATAAGAAAAAATATATATGTATATAAACATCATGGAAGATTCAAATTTTCCAAAAAGATGTAAATATTTATTTACTTTTCTCGGTTGAGGTTAAGCAGAAATTGCTAAAAAAGCAATTTGTGTATTTTCCTCTTGCTAAGCTTGTCTAATTCCCTGGAACCAATTTTCAGTCATTTGAAATAGCAAATTATTAGCTGCATAGCATCAGGATCTGTGTTCACCCAGGGCTAGTTCTCAGCACCATTCTACAACGGGCTTCCCTGTTGCTCTTGCAAGAGATGCAATGTGCCATGAACCTAGGCTGTTTGAAGTATCTTTAACTTAAGAATAATTCCTCCACTGCAGCCAGTCCTCTTTCTAACCTTCACTCAACAATTTGAAAGAACAGTTCCTTCCCTCTGAAGGACACTGCAATCAAAACAGAGCTATTATCATATTACAAGGCCTTAGCTACCAGCAGGTGAACTCTCATCTCATCAACTCCTCAATAAATTATAAATGGATCTTCTAGCTTGTGTTAAAGAAAGAAAGATAGTGAATATGAAAACAAAGCATAGAGCTCTAAAAATAGATATGATATAAATGTTTATTCAGAAAAATAGGTATTATGTTTGTACAACACAATATATTTGAAGTAGGAGTAAACAATGTTTAGTCTGATGAACAGGCAGACAAAAGCAACTTTGGGACAACAAAGCTCAAGGTCAAGAATACATAAATCGGCACTGTTCTATAAATCATCCAGGGCACTTGACAAATGTAAGGTTAAAAGAAGTCTTAGAAAAATGAAAATGTACTCAGATTTTATTAATGCAAACAATGTGCTTCTAAGTAGGATCAGTTAAATGCTAAACAATGATTTGGGAGTTGAGTGTGTTTCTATAAAAAAAAAACCAAACCTATAATTAACAGCAGTTTAAAAATAAATTCTGTAATAATTTAAAACCCCACTAAGCCACAGAGAATGCCAGTACTGAATTTCCTCAAGTACAATTAAATAAATTAAATATACTTAATCCATAAATGTATGCATACAACACTGTTCTGATTAAGAAGATAAATACATGCTAAACAAAATACAACATACACTAAAAATTAATAAGTCCAGATAATATAGTGTCTGATTATAATGCAGGAAGTGGAAACATGTATATTCAAGTTGTGGTAATTACTTGTGAATTTTCTTCAATAAATGTGATTGTCCCAGGCTAGCTGACCCCTACTACATAAGATGTTTCAGAGTTTGTTGATTTATTCTCAGATATAAAAGTCAAACTTTATTATTTAAAAAACTAAAGGAAAATTAGCAAAACAAAAAAGTGGGCACTACTAAGTCCAAATGCTTACTTAGACTGTTCATTGACAGCAAGGTGAGTGGATGAGATGACATAAACTTTTTATTTTTCTTTGGGGAAAGAGTCTCAATCTGTCACCCAGGCTGGAGTGCAGTGGCTCAATCTCAACTCACTGCAACCTCCACCTCCCAGGTTCAAGTGATTCTCTTGCCTCAGTCTCACGAATAGCTGGGATTACAGGCATGCACCAACACTCCCAGCTAATTTTTGTATTTTTAGTAGAGATGGGGGTTTCACCATGTTGGACAGGCTGGTCTTGAACTCCTGACCTCAGGTGATCCACCTGCCTCGGCCTCCCAAAGTGCTGGGGTTACAGGCGTGAGCCACTGCTCCTGGCCAAGATGACATGTTTAAATGCTGTCATTGTCACTTATTAATTACATCATCGCATGCAAAGCTCAAAAGCTTTATCCCAGTTTTCTGTAAAATGGCTATCATGATAATATAAACTTCACAATGGTGTTTCTTGTGAGAGTAATAATGTGTGAGCAATACAACTACTTCTGCAATAATATTAGGGAAAGTAAAAGCATAAAGAATTATTAATATAAAGAAGCATACCAATGTTCTAATCACAAGAAATTTAAAACAAAACAACTGAGAAGTTAAATTTACAAAACCTTATATCATGTGATCCATCTTATTTTAAATTAGATAATCCATATGTATGTTCCTTCTAGCATACAAAATTGTGTTTGAATTGTGTAAACACCACTTAGATTGTGCATTGTTGAGGAATTATTATAATAAACTCTCATTCTTTTAATTACATAGTTACTTTTATAGCTGACTCCACATCCATCTGCAAATATTTTTGCTGTCTAATGTCTATAGCTCCCATCATATCTCAAAGGTTGAAAACTTCCCATTCTCCATATTCTGTAGGAACACATTTATAATTTTACTAAGAGTAATGATAACATAAGTAGACACACAATAATTTGTATTAGGTAAGTCTCCAAAGCAACAGATAAACTTGGCCGGGCACAGTGGGCTCATGCCTGTAATCTCAGCACTTTGGGAGGCCAAGGCGGGCTGAATAAAATAAAAACACCTGAGGTCAGGAGTTCCAGACCAGCCTGGCCAACAGGTGAAACCCCGTCTCTACTAAAAATACAAAAACTAGCCAGATGTGGTGGCGGCAGGCACTTTTAATCCCAGCTTCTTGGGAGGCTGAGGCAGGAATCGCTTGAACCCGGGAGGCAGAGATTGCAGTAAGCCCATATTGCATCACTGCACTCCAGCCTGGGTGACAGAGCAGTACTCCATCTCGAAAAAAAAAAAAGGAAAAGGAATCTTTAGGGCAAAGAAAGAAATAAAAAGATGTTGAATCAACTTAGTAGTTGGTAAATTTAAACTATTCATAAATCCATAGTTCCTTTCCATTTTAAAATATCATAAATACAATTTTGGTTTAAAATTATGTTTAAATAAGGAAATATTAAAAGAGATAAATTACTAGAACATTTTAAAATACATTTCCGTTATAACTGCATAGCCAAGCCCAAACCATCCTTTAAAACGAAGCACCAATATCAACTCCAGGAAGCTTTTCTCATTCAGTATGCAGCCCGGACAACAAGCAGCATAGCTGGAGAACAGATAGGATATAAAAATAAAGGCAAGAGGCCAACAGGAGTCCTGCAAGCTGTCCAGAAAAGAGAGGATGACACCTAGACAAGGGATTCACTACAGGAATGTGAGATACTAAGAGGGCAAAAATAGGCCAGGCGCGGTGGCTTACGCCTGTAATCCCAGCAGTTTGCGAGGCCGAGGCGGGTGGATCATGAGGTCAAGAGATCAAGACCATTCTGGCCAACATGGTGAAACCTCATGTCTACTAAAAATACAAAATTTAGCCGGGCATGGTGGCACACACCTGTAGTCCCAGCTACTTGGGAGGCTGAGGCAGGAGAATTGCTTGAACCCAGGAGGCGGAGGTTGCAGTGAGCCAAGATCACACCACTGCACTCCAGCCTGGTGACAGAGTGAGACTCTGTCTCAAAAAAAAAAAAAAAAAAAGGCAAAAATAATAGTAATAACCCAGGAACTCATTGAGTATCAGGAGGGAAGCAGAGGGAGGAAGGAGGCAACAATGTTCCCCACAGTTCTGGCTTGGGCTGCTGGATGGCCCTGGCAACCATTCACTAAATGAGGGAATATCTGCTGGGTAGATGAATAAACATATCCATGAATAAATTAAAAGAAATAGCTAAATGCATTTTTTTTTTGCATCTTGGCAATATAGTTTAGCCAAGAATCACATATACAAAAGCAGTTATATAAAATATATTCCATTCAGAATATAGGCGAATTCTCTCAAAATATAAGTAACTATGAATTAAGTAATTGAAAAGAAGCTTTAATTCATTTTAACGCTAAATTAAGTGAAGCAACTGTTTAAAACAATGCATTCAGACTCCATGTGTGTTGAAACTGGCCTGCCATTCCTACAGCCTCCACATAAATGTGCATCCATAGATATGTACACTCTATATAAGTATTCTTTGTTTATTAAAAGTAGAAACACTTGCATATTTGGGAACATAGGTTGTACATATGTTCCTGTGGGAACAGGCAACACTTTTACATAACAATAGAGATTCTAATCCTCAAAATCCCTTTATTTTTAGATTATCAATTTATGTTATACTTTTAAAAATTTCACTATGTTACTTGACATAATTAAGGAAGACTTACTGAGAGAATATTAGGGACAATAGTTGGTCTAAATACTAAACAGTTATAAGCAAAAGGTCATGGGATTATAGAAAAACTAAATTAAGATAAAATGCAGATTAAAACAAAAGAATAGTTAAATTAAGCATCTTAGTAATAAGAAGGGAAAGTAATCCTATGAGTAGGGTAAAGTGGAGGTCAACGCATTTAGAAAATGAGAATCATAGAAAAAGGGGACCCCAAAAGAGAGAAAATCTGAGAACAAATCAATCATTTAAGACGAGAGAAAATACGTTACAACTCGTATACCTTAGAAATGATCTCCTTCACAAATAAACTGCTAATTATTGGGTTAATGGGAAGATGAAGTGTTGTAATAATAACCATTCTCCTCCCTATGTGGACATCTGTTGTCACAGTATATGGAATACTGTTGTCACAGTACATGGAATAGAAAAGATTGTAAGACAGGCAAGTAGCATTAGCTACTAGTTGTCCTTTAAAATGCCTTATGCGTGAAAGGCTTGGAAACCATCATAAAGACAAAGGATTTGCCTTTTGGAAGCAGTGTCCAGAAACCTATTCAACCCCAATGTCGAGCAGCTCTACATTCCTTTCCCACCTGCTTGTGGCTACGTGATGTGGCAATGAATGAGGGTGTCTTATAGCAGTAGACTGCCAGAGCTCTAAGGGATCATATTCTTTCTTAACACAACAATGCATAAAAAGACTACTCTCCTGTCTCTAAAGCCAAGAGCAAGAAATGGCAATGAAAACAACTGCAAACTGAAGGAAACATATCCTCATACTATCCCCTTCCTAACCTTATTTCTGTATTGAGCTTTTTCATGATGAGTATGCACTGACTGTGTAATAACTAATTGTGGTTTCATATACCAACCTAATTTATATTTTTGGCATATATGAATAAATATAAGAATGTATTACAAGGTATTTATCAGCTATAAATTTCATAAACTGATAGTATGATTTTAAGGAAAATTAAAATGTATACATTTTAATGCCATCACTCTTCTGATACATTAAAAAATTTATATATCATTTAGTAAAGTTCAGCAGTATTTACAGTCTGCCTGTTAGAAACTTGCCCTCTTGGACCCAAGGCCCCACTTATCACAGACCATAAAACCCATAGTCTTGTATATCTAACTATATTCTTTATCAGGTCAGTATTTTTTTCAAGATTAACCTCTACAAAACAGTGCCATAAAATGCCCTAATAAAGCTGTGAGCAAAAACTGATGAGAAAAAAAAGCTGGCATTAAAAGTAGCCAAATATATTTTATTGGCTTCATTTGCCAGCATTTCTTTTATTTTTTAATTTCAACTTTTATTTTTAGATACAAAGAGTACATGTATAAGATAGTTACATAGGCATATTGCACCCAGGTAGTGAGCATAGAACCTAACTGGTAATTTTTCAATCCTTGTCGCCTCCCACCCTCTCCCCTCTAGTAGTCCACAGTGTCTATTGTTTCCATGTTTACGTTCATGTGTGCTCAATATTTAGCTCCCACTTATAAGTGAGAACATGCAGTATTTGGTTTTCTATGCCTGTGTTAGTTGATTTAGGATTATGGCCTCCAGCTCCATCCATGCGGCTGAAAAGGACATGATTTCATTATTTTTTATGACTGCCTAGTATTCCAGGTCTATAGGTACCACATTTTAAAAATCCAACCCACCATTGATGGACACCTAGATTGATTCCATGCCTTTGCTATTGGAAATAGTGCAGTGATGAACATGAGAATGCATGTGCCCTTCTGGCAGAACAATTTATTTTGGTTTGGATATATACACAGTAATGGGATTGCTGGGTTGAGTAGTAGTTCTGTTTTAAGTTCTTTGAGAAATCTTCAAATTGCTTTCCAATATGGCTGAAGTAATTTAAATTCCCATCAACAGTGTGTAAGTGTTCCCTTTACTCTACAGCCTCTGCAGCATCTGTCATTTTTCATCTTTTTAATAACAGCTATTCTGACTGGTGTGAGATGACATCTCATTGTAGTTTGGATTTGCATTTCTCTGATGTTTAGCAATGATGAGCATTTTTTCATATGTTTGTTGGCTGATTGTATCTCTTCTTTTGAGAAGTATCTGTTCATATCCTTTGCCCATTTTTTAAATGGGGTTATTTGTTTTGTTTGTTGATTGGTTTAAGTTCTTTATAGATTCTGGATTTTAGACCTTTGTCAGATGTGTAGTTTGTGGATATTCTCTCTCATTGTGTAGGTTGTCTGTTTGCTTTGTTGATAGTTTCTTTTGCAGTGTAGAAGCCCTTTAGTTTAATTAAGTCCCACTTGTCAATTTTTATTTTTGTTGAATCGTTTTTGAGGACTTAGTCATAAATTATTTCCCAAGGCCAATGTCCAGAATGGTGATCCCTATGTTTTATTTAAGGCTTCTTATAGTTTGAGGTCTCACATTTAAATCTTTAATTCATCTTGAGTTAATTTATGTATATGGTTATATACGGTGAAAGATAGAGTCCAGTTTCATTCTTCTGCACATGGTTAGCCAAGTATCCGAGTACCATTTGTTGAATAGGAAGTCCTTTCCCCATTGCTTGTTTTTGTCTGCCTTTCCACCAGGAATTTCTGACAAAAGAGTAAGAAAAAAACAAACTCCAAAGGAATACTCAGCTTTATAACCCCCTCCTCTCTGTATGAAAACCAAACACAATCCGAACTCAATTTATAAACTCTTACTCTCTTCTGGGTTGTTCACAGATGAGTCACCCTATTAAGACTCACATGTACAGTTATGAATCTTTAACTCTACTCCATTTATATACTTGCAGTTATTGGTAAACCTACTGCATCAGTGTAGCTTAATGTCATTTGGCTTGTGGTAAGTATTTTATGCCAATATCATTGTCCTTATCCTGATAAGTCATGAGTGCACTTCATTTAAGGAAAAGAAGAACCTTAAACATACAACTATATGTAGGGCTCAAAGCTAACTATTTCAGAAAGAGAAAGAAGTAAAAAGGGAGACAGATATATCCACATGCACAGAGTGGCTGAGAGGGGCAGAGAAAGAAACATAAAAAAAGAGAAAGAACAAGAGGAAGGGAGGGGGCTATTTGTTGAACATTTAAAATTCCAGCTCATACCAATCAAAATAGCTATTATTAAAAAAATGAAAAACAATAGACACCTGCAAGGCTGTAGAGAAAGAGAATGCTTACACACTGTTGTTAGGAATAAAAAGTAGTCCAGCCATTGAGGAAAGCAGTTTGGAGATTTCTCAAAGAACTTAAAACACAACAACAATTCAACCCTGCCATCTCATTACTAAGCATATATCCGAAGGAAAATAAATCGTACCACCGAAAAGACACATGCACTGGTATGTTCACCGCAGCACTGTACACAATAGCAAGGCCATGGAATCAACCTGGATGTCCATCACTGGTGGATTGAATAAAGAAAGTGTGATACATACATACCATGAAATACTACGCAGCTATAAAAGGAATGAAATCATGTTCTTTGTAGCCATGTGAATGGAGCTGGAGGCCATAATCCGAAGTGAATTAACTTAGGAACAGAAGACCAAATACCACATATTCTCACTTATAAGTGGGAGCTGAACATAGAGTATACTTGGACATAAAGACAGGAACAATAGACAGTATGGACTACTAGAGGGGAGGGAGTGGGAGGCGGCAAGGGTTGAAAACTACCTGTTGGGTTCTATGCTTAGAACCTGGGTGACAGGATCATTCATTCGCAGCCCAAACCTCAGCATCACACAACATTCCCACGTAACAAGCCTGCACATATAGCCACTGAGTCAAAGATAAAAGTTTAAAAAAAGGCCAAGATAGAAGAAAAAGTCATTCCCAAAGATTTGGGGAACTAAAATTTAACACTAAAAGATATATATACAGAGAGAAATAGATATCTATATATATGTATATTTATATATCTCTCTATATATCTGTATGTATATTTATATATCTCTTTTAGCTGTCCCTTACTCCCGGTACTTTATTAGCTGTAATACAGTAATTTGCTTTTCATACTGTTTCAGAAATACAAAATATCTTTTTCCCAGATCATAGTGCTTTCTTCAATGTGGTTTTATTGTATTAAATAAAATAATGTACACATTATTATTTCTATATTTCAGGTAAGAAAATGGCCCATTAATGTATTTTACACAATTGAAATCTAAAGTAGAAACTATACTTCTAATTATCTTCCTGTTTATAACTGAAATATCCAAGAATTGTAGGCTAAAAAATAAATTACAATATCATAAGGTTAGTTTTTTATTCTTCCTGACTTTCCTACAGTTCAGTGTGCATACAAACCTCCAGTGTGCTTCTCAAATGTAATGTATGTAGACGTACATTTAGAGATATAATCAAGAGAGTTTTATACACAAAGTGTTCACTTATTTAGTTGCTGTTAATCAAATAATTTTCACTTTTTAAAAGTTGAAAAGTATATGCCCAATGTTACTAGACATTAGTTAAGGATCACCCATATCTTTTTTCATAGCAGTATCATTCTCTTATAAATTCATTTTTTCCTATGGAAATTTGATTTTAAAAAATATACCACATATACATGTGTATCTTACATACATACATAAAACATTTTAAAGGGATTTACGTAAATATGAATGCAACTTCAGTAAACAGCATGAAGTAATAAATTAATGAATATTAAGTAGAAATGTCTTTTGGTACATGGAAAAATTAGGCAGACATATATTTATACACAAAAAATTTTTGAAAACTCACTTTCATTATTGAATCATTATGATGCAAAAAGTTTTACATACAGCTTTAAATTCCAAAAATATCAACTGGCCCTTTTAAAACTTAATAGTCCTAAGTTACAAGAAAACTAACAATTACAGTAAAATTGAAAAAAAAAAACATAATTTCTTACAATTTTCCTTAGCAAATCTAGTATTAAGGAATAGGAAATCCCTTCTCTCAGCAGGAATGTCAACAGAATCCACTGGGTTGAATCAATGAATTACGTACCATCACATACAGAATTATGAACTTCCTGGGAAGTTTCCAGGTATTTCCTGGGATTATTCAAACAACTCACTTTTTCTTGCTTGCACTTGAGTTTTATCTGTCCAACAGAAGGGTTCTATACCATATGTCAACGAGTACATATTAATTTTTTATGAATGAATTAGCTAGCCCTCTTCTATGGCCTAAAAGTTCCCTGGACTGACACCAGAAATCATAAAAATTTAATTAATATAAGAATTTCCCAATAACAATATATAAATAAACATAACCAATTATCTATGTAAAACTCCAATGATTAAGATATCCATCATTTCTCTGATTTTCTGCAAACATTATCAGATTTGCAGCCAATTAAAACTTTTATAGTTATTGTTTTATTGTATCTGCAACCTTAAGTATCTAGAACAATACTTCCAAAAGTGAATTCTACAAGTAAGTATTGGGTAAAAGGAGGTTTCCTTGGACAAATAATTTGGAAAAGACTGTGTTATGCAAAGTTAAACATGTTTCTTTGCTGTAGGATATTTCAAATATTGTGAGTATACTGGAGGTACATAGAATCTAGATTTCTAATGTGGAAAACAGAATCTTTTTCTTTCTTGGATGATTAAGGCATAGTGCTCCCTTAGAACATTAAGACGTTTCATGAATCTGCTTTTGAAACTTTATTTAGGGGCAAAACATAGAGTAGTTCACTTGCAACCGGTTAGAACATTTTTTTTTACAACAAAGTTATAAATTCCTACTGATAAAATTGTAATTTATATGCCATTAACCATGGTACTTGCAAAAAAATATCATCCAGGATCCAATTCTGAAGTTCAAATAAAGGATATTCTTTTTATGTCAGAAAGGAAACTTAGCATTTGACTATGAAATCATGCAACTATTTAATTAATGACTATCAAGCAACCATTCTATTTTGCTCTTTCACTCATTAAATTAAAAGAAATAAAATATACTATCCCTGTGTTTGAACTTTGATTTCAACAACTTGTTTTTATTTACAGCAATTAGGTGTTCCAGAGTTCCCTCCTGCCTCATTTTATGATTACTGACTTTGAACTGTACACGTCACTTGCCAACAGGGAGGGAGACAAACAAACAGTTGAGTAAATCATGGCTTATTCATCTGGAAGAGCACAATCAAGTACAGTCATGCTCTTGTGTTTGTGTAGTGCAATACCTGGACATCTATACAGCTTTCTTGCCTGTGCGATATCTCCTTTGCTTAGACGGGTTCGCTGACCAATTGCAGGACGTATGCCATTATCATCACGGGAGGGGAGAATGGTATCCAGAAACATCCCCCTGAAAAAAAGCAGAAGCAAACCACACCTAAGTCACCAAATGAAAACTCATGAATTCCTTACATTTATAAGGTATTTATTTCAAACTCAAGTCAATCAAAGGGGAACTACACCTTGTGTGCTTTAAGCAGTGTATCAGGCTTTCAAAACACTTTCATCAAAGTAGAAAAAAAAGCATGTTAAATGTGTATGCCTAGTATAAACTCAATGATGACATTCATTTGTTTCCTTGAAACATGTATGTTCTTAAAAATATGGAATACCTTATAATCCCCCACAAAGTACACCATGACATTTGTTTTGGTTTCCCAAGCAGATCTAAGAATTCCTTAGATTATCAGGTTGTGAAACAATGATTCCTCATAGAGGTCTATTTCCCCAATAGCAAACTACAGTAAATAATGTTGAAGTTACTAAAATTGTTAAGAGTAAAACAAAATATACATAGGTTAATTTTTCTGAATTAAACTACTAATTTAACCTAAGTATTCTTAGAAGTCCAAGTATTACAGCATATGTTAAAAAAAAGATAAAAAAAAACAAAGAATGCCAAAACTTAGGGCAGTTTAAAGCAATTTTTTCAATTTTTCTATGGTAAAACTAGTAAATAAGAAAACCTAATCAATGGCATAATAATGTTAAACTACAGATAGTGAGTTGTTTGGGACTCAAGATTGTGGTAAAAGATTCACTAATTTTTCCTAATATGCATGATCTAAAGTTCTGAATATAGTGCCCTAAAAATACTTTCTAATTTTTTAAATGTATGTCAAATATTTATAGCCCTAAAGAAGTGGGAGCTTAAAAGTTAAATGAACTGGGAGGCTATTCCAAGGGTTTGAGAAGTATGAGTTGTGTGTTTGTGGATTTACCAAAAACAAACAACAACAAAAAACCTTTCTATAAAAATATTTTAAATTAAGAAATAAAATTTTATAATATCTTTTAAATTGAGAA
Organism: Homo sapiens; assembly: GCF_000001405.40. Taxonomy (NCBI): domain Eukaryota; kingdom Metazoa; phylum Chordata; class Mammalia; order Primates; family Hominidae; genus Homo; species Homo sapiens. The sequence continues at coordinate 166,013,479 of NC_000004.12, read as the reverse complement.
AATGATGCAGCACTTCCTTCCAAAACTTATAAATGAATTTAATGCATTTAAACTAACGCTTGCATTAAAAGAACAGCATTTTCAGCTCTACTTAGCCTCCATTAGGAAATAGTTCTAGGTCTGGATTTGTAGCAGTAAATAAAACAAACAGAAATTCCTTCCTTTATGATTCTAATATTCAAATATGAGGAAAGAGACATTAAACAAATGATTAATAATCCAGGTAGTAATAGGTACTATCGAGAAAAATAAAGGTGAGAAGATGGATATTGATTGTGCAGTGATGGGCTGCTTTTAAATAGAGTGATCAAAGTGAAACTCACTTGAAAATTGACATTTTAGTCACACATGAAGAAAGTGAAGATCAGAGAAATATGGGTAACGGGCAGTACAGTGTTTCCAGACAGAAAGAACAAGAAACACAACAGCTCAGAAATGAGAGGACCCCTAAAATGTCTGAGCACCAGCCAGATAATTTAACTTTTACTCTGAGGACAACTGTTAATCTATAGGAAAATGGTAAGCAGAGGAGTAATATGATCTATGAGCAATTTTATTACTAACTGCCCTAGCTCCAAGGTAAGGGAAAGGGCACTGATCTATAGATAACACTAACTCAAATAGGGAGACTGGAACTCTTTACTACAAGATCTAAACATCTACAGAACTCCATATGTACATTGTCTGAAAAGACAGGAGAGAAGTAGAGCTAGTGATTTACGGGAATTGACCATCAAAAGTGAGATCTGTGCATAGTTCATAAGAAACCACTCCAGGCAGGCCAGTGTAATTGAAAAAGAAATGAGTTACAAGGTAGCATTGAGAAAGGCCTTGTAACTTGAGGCATGAGTCAACAGATACATTAATTACATAAACCCAAATTAATGGAGTATTAAATTTCTGTAGTACTTCAGTACTAACAAAGCATTTACCATTTTCTTTTTCTATTTCTAAAAACAAATTTGTGGCCTCTGGGGTTCGATTTTTTCCTAACTTCCAAAAAAAGGTTCAATTTGAAAAGGTCAATGACATCTTGGAGAGAATATATTCAATTTCAGACAACAGAATTATGAATTTTGTTTCATTCTGTCTACTAAGGTAATCTCCCTTCCATTTCAAGGGAGTTAGTCACTCATGCTTTTCTTCTTTTTTGTGGTCAGGAAGTTAACAATTATTCTTCTCCATATCCTGACAAGTAAGCAATGCAAAATCTTACTGAACCTCCTCAGTGAGCCACTATCAATAGGCAGAGACAGATCATATCATGGTTCACTTACTATTCTTGATTTGTTCTAACTACATTGAAAGAGCAAATCAGCTATACTTTTAACAAAAATTTGTAAAATTTTACGACTTTTTAAATGAAAAATGGGCAGTCCACAGTTCAGAAGCATGTATATTACAAAATAGTCACTCATATAAAGACCCTATAGATACATTCCTGTTCTTCCCATAAGTGATTTCCTAAATATATTGATGGGCAACATCATAAAAACAATTGGAACTTTTATAGACTCTGTGAGTTCAGAATTTTTAAAACTAAGAAACTTCAAATACCTACATTAACAGAATAAAGAACAAAAACCATATGATCATGTTAGCTGATATAGAAGAAGTATTTGACAGATTCAACACCCTTTCATAATAAACACACAAAAATCTAGGAATAGGAGGAAGCTACCTCAACATAATAAAAACTATATATAAAAATCCCACACCTAATGTCATAATCAATGGTGAAAACCTGAAATATTTTCTTTTAAGATAAGGAACAAGGCAAGGATGCCCACCCTTGTCACTTATATTCAACACAGTACTGAAAGCCCCAGCCAGGACAACGAGAAAAAATAAAGCAAAATAAAAGCCATCCAAATTGGACAGAAAGAAGTAAAATTCTCACTGTTTGGAAATGACTTGATCTTATACACAGAAAATTCTAACTGTTCCACACACACACAAAATCCGTTAGAACCAGTCAACGAATTAAGCAAAGTCATGGGATATAAAATCAAAATGCAAAAATAGCTGCATTTTTATGCATTTACAACAAACAATCCAAAAGATAACTGATTCCATTCACAACAGCATAAAAAAAACCTTAGAAAAAAACTTAACCAAAGAAGTGAAAGATTTTACACTGAAAACTAAAGACACTGCTGAAAGAAATTAAAGAAGAGACAAAGATCCCTTGTTCCTGAATTGAAACACTTAACACTGTTAAGATGTTAATACATCCAAAGTGATCTACAGATTCAATGCAATTTCTATCAGAATCCCAACATTTTTTTTGCTGAAATAGAAAAATTTATCCTAAAAATCCTATATGATCTCAAGATACACCAAATAGCTAAAACAGTTTTGAAAAAGAAAAAATATTTGAAAAATTCACACTCCAACTTTGCAGAACTGATTTCAAAACATATTACAAAGCTACAGTAATCAAAACAGTGCAGTATTGGTATAAAGACAGATCTATAGACGGGTGAAATAAAAGAGAGAGCACAGAAATAAACCATCATATACGAGATCATATTATCTTTGACAAGGGTGTCAAGATTCCTCAATTAGGAAATGACAGTTTTTTCAACAAATGACACTGAGAAAACTGGATATCTACATATAGAATAATAAAATTGGTCTCTTTTTTAAAAAAAACACTTTAAAAAATTAACTCAATGCATTAAATAAATAAACATAAGACCCAAACTATACAACTTCTAGAATAAAACACAAGGGGAAAGCTTCATGGTGTTGCATGTGACCAGGATTTCTTGGATATGTCACAGAAAGCACAGTCAATAAAACCAAAATAGACAAACAGGATGACATCAAACATACAGCATTGTGTACATCAAAGGACACAGCCAACTGAATGAAAAGGCAACCTAAGAAATGGAAAAAAAATTTCCAATATTTATATTTATATATATACATATATAAATTAAGTGGTTTAATCAGAATATACAAAGAACTTCTACTACTCAACAACAAAATAATCAAATAACCTGATTTAGACATGGGCATAGGACTTAAATAAAGATTTCTCCAAAGATGATATACAAATGCCACCGAGCATATAAAAGGATGTTCACTAATCATCAGAGAAATGTTAAGTCAAAACCACAACGAGATATGACATCACACTCAGAATGGCTACTATTCAAATAACAAAAAATAATGTGCTGGAGAGATATTTGCACACCCATGTTCATATTAGCATTATTCACAAGAGGCAGAAGCTACACAAATGCTCACTGATGGATGACAAGATAAACAAAATGTGATATATACTTACAATGGAATATTATTTGGCCTTAAAAGTGAGAAAATACTTTCACATGCTACAACATAGATCAACCTTGAGGAAATAATGCTGAGTGAAATAAGCCAATCACAAAAGGACAAATACTATATGTCTCCAGTTATATACAATATCAAAAGTAGTCAAATATATAAACAGGAAATAGAATGGTGATTGCAAGAGGCTGAGAAGAGGTAGAAAAGAGAAGTTGTTTAATAGGTATAGAGTTTACGTTTTGCAAGATGAATAAGTTATGGACATCTGTTTTACAGTAATGTCAATATACTTAAATAACACTACTGACTTGTATGCCTAAAATGGTTAGGACAGTAAATTTGATGTTTTGTGTTTTTCCATAATTGAAAAAAAAAGAAATTTCAAAAACTTTGAGGGAGTAGCAGAATGAGACCTATGTCAAATTTTTCTTTTCCTGAAAATCATTTAAATATAAGTTAATAAACAGCTTCTTTAAAGACTTAAAAAATAAAATAACGTGAATGAAACAATCAGGCTATCCTTCTAACAGGTGGATATGATCTCCTGTATTGTAAAAGTGTTGAGTTTATTTATGAAAAATGCATAGGATGGTTTTGAAACAATAAGATAAGTAATAAACAAAGGCTGATTGGCATTCAACTCATAAGCAGGTGTGGGTGAGGTGGACTACGGGCAACAAGAGCAGATTAATTTATGGGAAAATACACAATGCAACATGGAAAAAAGTATAGAATAAGGGGAAACATACAGTTAGAACTTTGCTAAAGATTTATCATCTGTGAAGGACAAAAAGAATAAATTGTTTTTCTCTACTCTCCAGTACCTTCTCTGTTCCAAGGAACCAAAACTCAGGTTAGTTCTAAACAATATAACTCAGTAGCAGAAGAGAGGCACTTTGACTGAACTGGAACCTAAATATCCATTTGTTAAATGTTTTATGGAAAACTCCATTCCAAGCATTTACCAGAAAATAAAATTCTGTAACTCTTTATGATTAATTTCAGGTCAAATTACTGAGCATGTTATTTCTATCAAAACTTAAATTCATATTCTAGAAAAAATAAACATTTGGACAGTTAATTATATTTTAACAAATGAATGCGTATGTCTATAAATAATGTACTTTAGAAAAGCATAATTTTAAAAATACAGTTAACACAAATTTTTTAAATAATAAACTTTGGTTTGGAAAAAATGGGTAATTAATAAATGTGTCCAAGTATTAAGGTTTCATTTACACACCCTTCTCTACTTTTTACCAAGAAAGTTTTATAAAAGCAGCTTAATACATTTGAATATTTTTCCCTTTTCCTGACCTTGCCTTCAGAAATAGATGTCAATGAACTGTGAAATGGACATAAGTGGGCAAAAAAAAAAAAGAGTTGAAATGACATACGAGCATAAAATGGGCATAAATGGAAAAAGGGGTGAATTCAATGGTTTAACAGTTCCAAATTCCTTACCTGGGAACTATTTGCTTGATGACATCATCTTTAGAATGAAGTAGATCAAAACCCAAATTTATTGCATTCTTTAAAAGTAGCTTTAAGTCATTAATGACATAATTTTAGGGTTAATGAGTGATGAACTATAATTCTAAATTATATGAGGTAAAATATCTTTCTAATTTGTTATTTGACAATTCATTTAGTAATATCAATTTTTGAGTGTAAGTTGTACTTGAGCAGTAGAAAATACACAGTATAAAGCACAAGTCGCCTAGATTGTGACATTTTAACAGAACTGCTAAATAACCTATTTAGCTTATAAATATCCAATTTTCATTAAACAATTCTTTGCCAATTTAACATGCTGATTGGTTTGGTAATGCTTTTAATTCAACTTTTTAATGATTTAGGAATATAAAATTGTTTACATAATTTATGCCATCTTATTGGTATAAATTTTATATATTAAATTCATATATTTGGTAGAGAATTTAAAAATATATTTTTAAAATGCCTTTTAAATACTTGCTCTTGTCTATAAATGTTCATGAATTATTTTTCTACTTTCTGCAGTGAGGTAGCAATATTTGAAAGTAATTCTAGTTCTAATGTCAGGCATAGCTTTGTGAGGAGCCACATGGAGGAAAGGAATTAAAAGTCAAAAGGTATAACCTGAGACTCCAACCTTGAGAAGGTGTTCCTGGCATAGTGCATGATACTGTCGAAATCATATCTTTCTCCAAGTGAGTTTACTTCTCCAGGCTCCATCTTCAGAAAATTGTACTCTTGACCTAAGAACCAGGGATAAACAAAATCTCAGAAGCCTTTTAACTGACAGAAAATAGACCAGAAGGCCTTTCCTACACCTGCATCTGTTCTTTGTGAAATGACTGATCTTGCTGATCGAATTTACATACAAAACACACAGGCACATGCAGAAAGCATCTGTCTTCACTCTACCATCATATTGAAAAGCAATATTGAATTGGAACAAAGTGTTAATTTCTGAAAAAAGGTGGACTATGAAAAAGCATACTTTCTTTTATATGTATGCTCTTTTACCACCTCATAATATTTATTTCTTTAAAATCTTACTGCACTTTTGGTAATGTACAAATAATTACACAAAGTTATGTTTTTATCTATGAGTTTCCCATTTTTATGACTAGGTTTTCCAGGTCATACAAAAATCATCTTCCTATTTGGTTTAGATCCTTTCTATGAAACAATAGGAGAAGATATAAAAGCAATATTAGTTAAACAGAGCTCTGCAGGCTTTTGCTCCACGATTTCATCACTGAAGATCAAACAGTAACAGCAAATTCTCTACTTTCATTTAAAAATGAAACAAGTTTATTCTTGATGAAAAGGCAGTTCTCCTTTGAGATTAAGAAGAACATGCTTCAGAACGTAAATGCTTTTCCAAATTTCCACATCTGTTAGTTTAACTTCTGGACATCTTCATTTTTAACAGATTTTTCAATTGCCTGTTTGTATCTGTATTGTAGTATTATTTCTCGAAATTTGAAAAGAACACAGACTTAAATTCAATGATTCCGGAAAGACACATTTCTTAAAACAGAGTTTAAGCTTTGGTGACTCAGTTTTCACAATTTAAGTACCCAAAGATTGTACAAATCATATCACTTATGTAACAAAAAGCTTTGAAACATCAAAATACAAAGAAAGATGAGCTAAAGGAATTCCAAATTCACTTTTGGAGCTAAAAATGGAACTATTATGCCATTCATCTACTTAGGTTTTTAATTCCAACTGTCATATTTCAATCAAATATAAAAAGATCCCATTAATACAGAGTTTTCTAAAGGCAATAAAGAAATTGAGTTATGTCTCTCCAATACGTGATAAAGGAAATGTGGGGTATTCACTTGAGAATTAAGAATGAAGAATCAACCTGAAGTTACAGAACCCAAGTCCCAGAACAAGGTGTTTTAGTCTGTCTTTGAATGAATTTACACAATACATAATTTAAAATTAACTAACCAGACCTTATAATGAAATACGTGCTCCACAAATCTCTGATAGGTCTATTTATGTTACAACCATTCTTGGGAAATATTCAACATACTCTTCAACCCATGATAGAGGCAACTGTTAAAACACCTGTCTCATAAGGAATCTGAAGTCTAATATAACAAATCTATGATCAGATTTTCAAAAAGCTATGGATCTAATTTTATACTTATTAACCTGTAAGATTTCAATTTAGAACTTAATATGGGACCAGATTCTCTAACTAAAGCAAAATATTCCATAAAAATTTCTGAAAGTAGAACATTACGCAACTTCAGCAATACATTTTAATGCATCTAACTTGAGAACTTAACGTGCATATGACACAACAATTTTTGTTAGTTAAAAACAACATAGCCATACACAGCCCAAATAACAGAAAAGTAGACTTATTACATGAAAGGAAAGAGAAGCAGAATACATAGCACTAAGGGAAACCACATTTGACAATTTTAAAAATGGCAAGCCTCCTTCTTGAAATCATATTCTAACATGAATTAGAGTAACCCAATCCTTATACCAATTTGGTTCCTATCATAATCACTGATTTTGCATATAAATGTGAGGCCAAAGTTTGTGCTTATTAGACATCACCCTTGACTAAGACTTGATCTTAAGTTTCTGAGTGACAGCAAATCATAAATTTTTTGAAGATTAATCTTCAACATGAGCACTTTTATACCAGAATTGCTCTGTTACAGTGGTTCCCATCATTCAGGAAATCTCACCCAATAGATTTTTTTCTGTTGGCCATAATGTTTAGTCAAAAGAAAATATTACAAACCATAATTTCCTTAGCACTGTTTTAGGATTGCGCATTTATTTATACTACACATTATATACACTTCTCCTTGTTTCAGGTACATATTTATATTGAAACAGGATCCTATTTTTAAGAGTAAAAACCATTTTTGAAAGTTACATCTTTTATAAATTTTTTCCACGTAATTAAATGTTTGGCAAATAAAAAACACGAATAATTCTTGGTAACAGCAAAGTTCTCATTTATGTGGTAGTTGAAATAATTTTCAGATTTATTTCCTCTTTATTTCCCTCCTAGTGGTATATAGGACGAATCTTGATAGTCGGCTCATTCATTAGAGTCTTCTATATAGAGGAGAATACTTTTTTTTAACTTATTTTGATATCTAACCCTACAGATCACTTCACCATTCTTCAAATTATTTATTTCCTTGGCTTCTAGGACACCACAATCCACTGATTTTTCTCTTACCTTTCAGGCAATACCTTCTTAGTCTTTTAGGACATACTCTACCAAGTATTGCTTAAATATTGTTTTTACCCATTTTATAGTCTCAACCTTTTTCTATTCTCCATCCAGTTTTTCCCTAATTAGTGAAATCTATGTCAATTTTTTATCTTTAGATACATCCTGAAGTCCAGACTCACCTTTCCTTTCTCTACAAAATAAGGATCATACAAAGGCTTTTTAAATTCAAGGATATGCTAAATTGAATCATTATTTGTCCTTCTCTTTCTCAAAAACATGCTGTTTTATCAATATTTCAATATCTCAAATGTTTCATGTGATGGTACCAACATTCATCTTGTTGTCTAAAAAGAAAACTTTTGAAGATTTCCCCTCACATGATGATATTCCTCTTAAAATATTTTTGAAAGACTATTTCCTCTTCTTCCTCTTGATGTGTACTACCCTAAGAACTTAGTCACCTCTCATACCTACTTATTTAGATTTCTATTAGGTTTCCTGGACTTCAGGCACCCCCCCGCCACCACCCAGTTAACGATCGCTATAAGTCTGACTGGGAAAATGAGTTCTCTTTATTTTAATCTGAACTTTTCCTGCTTATAATCCTTTAATTATTCCCCACTAGCTAGAGAATAAAACCTGAATTTCCTCCCCAGGTTTACATCATAGAGAATCTTTCCTAAGTAAAGGATAAGATACCAACTAATCTCCCACTTGTAACTTACCATCAACCATAATGGTCACATAAAAATAATTCAATTTTCTGTAATTGTAGCTTTGCTCATGAAGTCCTTTTCGCTTGAAATTTAATCACTCTTCTGTCCGCCTGAAATACTTCTGCTTTACTTCTAAATTTCCATTCCTTTACAACTCCCTTGACTCACTAAGGGACTTTTCGTCATGCCTTGCTTGGACTCTATGGTATTTTCAACATATATTACTAATTACTGTCACTTTTCTCACTCACTTGCAATCATTTATATATATGCACATATCCCACACTAAACTTTGTATTTTCCATGACAGTATCTTCAACGCCTAACATTGGCTCAATAAATAATCGGCATCAAATATATAATGAGCAAATAAAGAGATCAGTATTGTTAATTACAGAAGGAATTCAATGTTTGTAACAAAACTGATCATGAATAAGAAAATAAAAACACATTTTTACTTTGCTTATGCTTAAAATACCTTACAAGAAAATTCCAAACAACAGAATATTTTTCGGCAACTGAAATATACTGATCTTTATGCACGTAAAAGTTAAAAAGTCTTACATTGAGGCCATTATCAAATATCAACTATCAGAGAAAAATAGGTTTTAAGTAGAAATTATATTTCAATTACTGAAAATTTTCCTAAGAATTTGTCTTTAGGGTAGTCAAGTTTAAGAGGAAAATCTCAGAAAAAACTATTTATATTAGCTTGGAAATGACTCATTTCACTGGATTTTCTCCAGAAATTGTACCTGGTATAACACAGATTCCTATGGTAGCAGCACGTGTTATGGCAAACCCCAGGCCTTTTTAAAATCCTTATAACATAAATTATAGAACTAAGTACAAAAAATGCTTCAGTAAAAAAGAAATATTTAATAATATTAATTTATGGCTCAATAGCTCACACTCATTCTTGGAAAGCACCAAAGTTTAGAAATAAAACAGCTAAATCTTAAAAAAGAAAGCAAGTCTAAAAAATGCATGAAATCACACAGTCTCCAGGAAAAATAAAATAAAATATAAAATCATCATGGGTGATTTTTAATCAAGCAAAATGTTACTCTATCATATCAAAAATATCAGTTTACATTTTTGGGAAAGTGAAATAATAAACTGCATAAATACAATTCAAAGATACCCAGTCAGCCTTAAACCCAACACATTCTATGCCTCTCACCTGGCTGGATGTTTTCTCTTATGATAGTTACGTGGTTATCTCGATCTGGTCTTGTGTGTTCATGCCAAAAGCCTATCACATGACCCAATTCATGAACAACAATCCCAAATTTATCACAGTTCTTGCCGATAGAGATTGCCTGAGGTCCATTTCCTCGCCGACCTACATAGGAGCAGCATCTGGAATAAAAGAGAAAGTGGAGATGGTGGTGGAAAGGTGGTGCTGGACAACTGACAATATGGTGAATTTTTTGTAAAGAATAGTGATGAGCTATAAAGTCCGACACATTCAGGAACAGAACAACCTCTTATTACTACATATGACTAGTTTCTGGTATCCTTTCAAATTTAAGTTCAACAAAAGCTTCCAAATAATCAGTTCAAGTGCTTTTGTAATTATCTATATATTAGAAAATATGCTTACATCATTTTTAGAAGCATTCGGAAATACATCAGAAAATAAACTAATTATCATGGTGATGACACTTATATCATGATGACGATGTTGTATTTCTAAGACATATAGTTAAGCTGAAGCCATCAATACACATTTATTTCTAATATAATTTTATCCTCAGAATTCATATTAATTACTTAGGTTACTACTTTGTCAGTGTGGTTATCTGACAATAATTCAATATTATTTCAGTACTAAATATGAAAGTAAAGAAAGTTTATTTTTCCTCTTTGAGAAAAAGAGAGTTAAACTTATTTATCAAAGATGTTGGTTTATCAAAAAGAAGAAATTACTTTTTCTACTCATGGAAGAATTTTGTTAATAAAAGAAACGTTTCAAAGAAGAAGTTAATTAAAGAAAATTACTTTTGGCTGGTTGCAGTGGCTCATGCCTGTAATCCTAGCACTTCGGAAGGCCAACCTGGGAGGACTGTTTGAGGTCGGGAGTTTGAGACCAGCCTAGGAAACATGGTAAGACCCCATCTCTACAAAAAATTCAAAAATTAGCTGGGCATAGTGGCGCAAACCTGTAATCCTAGCTACTTCAGAGGCTGAGGTGGAGGGATGACTTGAGCCCAGGAGTTTGAGTCTGCAGTGAGCTAGGATCGTACCACTGCGCTCCAGCCTGAGCAACAGAGTAAGACCCTGTCTCTTAAAAAAGAAAAAAAGAAAGGAAAGAACATTATTTTCAAAAGATGAATTAAGTAAGGTTAACAGTAAAGTTAACAGTTAACTGGTGCTAGGAACTGAATATTATATCCCCCCAAAATTCACATGTTGAAACCTGATCTTCATGGTGATAGTATTTGAAGGCAGAGCCCTTGGAAGGTGATTTGAGGATCAGGAGGACTCTGCCTTTATGAAGAGATCACTGCCTTTATAAAAAGGCCCCAGAGAGCTCCCCTGATCCCATCTGACATGTGAGAACACAGCAAAAACACATCTCACATCCGTCTATGCACCAGAGCAGGCCCTTACCAGACACCAATTCTGCAGTGCCGCGTCTCCAGAACTGTGAGAAATAAATGTTTGTTGTTTAAAAGCCACCCAGTCTATGACATTTTGTTATAACAGCCTGATTAGACTAAGACAAGTAGTAAAGAAAAATCAACAACTGGGAGTAGTATAATGAATGATATTTATGATTTGTGTCAAATGAGCAGTCTAATAATTGAGATTGATTTTTTATTTCATCATCTGAAAGAATCTCCTGGACTGTCAAATAGAATGTGAAACATGCAGGAATGTCTTTCTGCAAATTTTCATCAATTGATTGATATTTATACATATTCAATGACATTTTTCTTTTTTTTTTTTTTTGAGATGGAGTTTTGCTTTGTCACCCAGGCTGGTGTGCAGTGGCACAATCGGCCCACTGCAAACTTTGCCTCCCAGGTTCAAGTGATTCTCCTGACAGCCTCCAGAGTAGCGGGGATTACATTCACCTGCCACCATGCCTGGCTAATTTTTGTATTTTTAGTAGAGATGGGGTTTCACTGTGTTGCCCAGGCTGGTCTTGAACTCCTGACCTCAGGTGATCCACCTGTCTTGGTCTCTCAAAGTGCTTGGATTACAAGTGTGGGCCATTGTGGCCAGCCTCAATGGATAGAAAAAATGATGTTTTTCTATCCAAAATATAGAAGTTCCATCTAGTCATTGTGTGTGTCTGCAAGTCTAAGTGTGTGAGTGTATGACAGTCCCAAATATTCTTGGGACACAGGGTGGGAAAGACTGAGCACACAGGATGCCCACTTTAAAATAAATTTTAAATGGCATAATATTATAGTAGCTACAATTATAAATATATCTAAAACTTTAATAATTAGAGTTTAAATTAAAATAACATCAATAGCACAGCAACAGAGGGCACTAAATGGTCGGCTTTGAATAGTTGGGATCATGATGCACCAGACATTGCCAACCGCCTCTTCTGATATATTAAATTGGAAGAGAAAAATGCCAAAAACTAATTGACCGAATGATTAAAAGGAATTTCACTATTTCAATTTCTGGGATAAGGACATTTGACAGCCCTTTTGATTTTCCACAAATATAAATCCTTATCTCCCTCTCCCCCTACCCTTTTTTTTCATTTTCAAATTGTTTCTGTAGGCTTTAGTCGCCTAATAATTTTCATCCATACTACGCCAGTTAGATGAATTAATTTGTACTCATCATTTACAAATTTATTATAGCAGTTAACTGAGTTTAATAAATCAGTAATAGAAAGAAGAAAGAGGTGATTGGTGGGTGAAAAGAGGAATCAATGAAATTTGTTTTTGCCCCAGGTAGTTTTTTGTTCAAATAATATGCTTTAATTCATATATAGGTACCTATTATGTATTTGAATATTATTACATGCCTAAAAATATATTAGATGAAGAAAAAAACAAAAAAAAATTTCAAATTTTGGAGATATTTAAACTAAAATATTTGCTACCTTAAGTCAATAGTAAGGAAACTGAAGCATCTGATGATTATACAGCAACTAAATTACCCCTATTGAGTCATTCTTACTGGCTTTATTCAGGGAATATAGTTATTTGCAAGTCAAAATGTGGGAGACAGTAAAGCAATGTGGTCAATTTATTTCATCTAAAACATCCTTTTTAGCATAATTGCTCTCATAGCAATTTCCTATAAGATGAGGTTTTACACTGGAAAGGAAAAATAGATTTCACACTGCCTTATTCAGAGGTATTATTTTACAATGGTCCTGTGAAAAAACAAAAATGTGGTGTTTTGATCCCCAACTAATTAAAGGTCTTGGAGACAGATGAATTCTAGACTCTCAGATTAAGAAAATAACTACATATATGCTTAGACAAATATTAGTCATGGAAAGACAAGGGTAATATGTATTTTTAATGTGATTTTAAAATGTCTAAATATTATCTTAGTTTCTAATGTCATCCAGGTTTGATGCTGTTTTCTTGTATACGGCTGTTGGATTTTTGTTTCTCATTTGTGTGCCACTTTTAAAGTTTGGACATTTTAAGGTCTACCTGTAGCATCGAGCAAAAACTTTCCCTATCAACAGAAAAGCCTCACCTCTCCATAAGTCATAGATGGTAATCAGGTAAATCAAAATCTGCTACTTCCTACTTTTGCCTTGGTTTGGTAGAACAAAACCCATTTGGAACATTATTTGGTAGACCAAACCCTTTTGGAACAAAACCCCTTTGGAAGCTAATCTATTAGATTATCCATGAAGGTGGAACTGGTTCTGCCTTTTTATGTGCTGTATTTGAAATAGTTTCAATTATTTAGGTTAATCGCCATTTACCTTTTCATTAAAATAACTCAGTTTCTTTTTTGTTTTGATTTAATAAGTTTTCCAGGGCTGAGCATGGTGGCTCATGCTTGTAATCCTAGAAATTTGGGAGGCTGAGGCAGGTGGATCACTTGAGCCCAAGAGTTTGAGACCAGCCTGGGCAACATGGTGAAACCTCATTTTTACAAAAAAAAAAAAAATACAAAAATTAGCTGGACTTTGTGGCTGATATGGTTTGACTCTGTGTCCCAACCCAAATCTCATCTCAAATTGTAATCCCCACATGTCGAGGGACCGAGCTGGTGGGAAGTGATTGGATCAGGGGGGTGGTCTCCCCTGTGCTGTTCTCGTGATAATAAGGGAGTTCTCACGAAATCTGATGGTCTAAAAGTGACAGTTTCCCCTGCACTCTCTCTCTCTCCTGCTGCCTTGTGGAGAAGGTACTTGCTTTCTCGTTTGCCTTCTACCATGATTGTAAGTTTCCTTTGGCCTACTCAGCCATGCAGAACTGTGAATAAATTAAACCTTTTTTCTTTATAAATTACCCAGTCTCAGGTAGTTCTTTATAGCAGTGTGAAAACAGACTAATACAAAAAATTAGTACTGGGAGTGGAGCACTGCTATAAAAATACCTGAAAATGTGGAAGCAACTTTGGAACTGGGTAACGGGCAGTGGTTGGTACAGTTTGGAGGGATCAGAAGACAGAAAGATGTGGAAAAGTTTAGAACTTCCTAGAGACTTGTTGAATGGTTTTGATCAAAATGCTGATAGTGATATGGACAACAAAGTCCAGGCTGAGGTGGTCTCAAATGGAGACGAGGACCTTCTAATAAATCGTTTTTTCTGCTTAAGTTAGCCAGTCTCTGTTGTTCGCAAAGAAGAATCCTGGCTAGCACACCCGTACTGCCTAACTATATAACCTTCTTGAGGAGAGAAAACACCTTATGTTCAACTCTACATTCCCAAAACTTAGTATGTTAAGTGGGACAAAATGAGAATTCAACAAGTATAGGATGAAAAAGTGTCTACTTTTTTTTTTTTTGAAGACAGAGTCTTGCTCTGTCCCCCAGGCTGGAGTGCAGTGGTGCAATCTCGGCTCACTGCAAGCTCCGCCTCCCAGGTTCACGCCATTCTCCTGCCTCAGCCTCCCGAGTAGCTGGGACTACAAGCACCCGCCACCACGCCCGGCTAATTTTTTTTTTGTATTTTTAGTAGAGACGGGGTTTCACCATGTTAGCCAGGATGGTCTTGAGCTCCTGACCTCGTGATCCGCCCGCCTCGGCCTCCCAAAGTGCTGGGATTACAGGCATGAGCCACCGCGTCCGGCTCAAAAGTATCTACTTTTATAACCTGAATAATCAAATAGACCAAAGTTAAATACCATTTAATCATAAAATTTAAAGATTAGTGAAACAGGTTAACTGTAATTTTTTTGTTTATTTACTTTTTTGGCAATCATTAAAGATAAGTAGATTAAAAAAAGTAAGATTGTTCCACAAAAATTATCTAATAAAAGGAGAGAAGTCATGTAAATAGAATCTATTTAGCTATAAAAGGCTACATAATAGACTGAGGTAATAAACATAGTTATATAAATCTCTCACAAAGAATGAAATCAATCTCTATCATAAAATAATCTCACATTTTGCTAATAATAATCAATCATCTTGCAAAATAAATAAATGCCACTGATGACAATAACTGTTCACTGAAAAATACTTCGTTGAAGAAAAAAATAAGGAAAAGAAGAAATAAGAAGGCAGTTAGAGAACCTCCTCTCTTACCTGTCTCTATAAGGATAAGTAGCTGAGAAAGTCTGATGAGCAGCCTGCTAATCAGCTACAACCAGAGTTCTCTCATACTGTTGTACTAAATGCAAATGTAAATAAAATACTTATAGCTCAGTTCAAACCTTTTACCAATATAAGGGTGAGGGTTAAAGCATATGTCCCACTGAAGATGAATCAAAGAGATCATATATTTAGAAACATGCATGTGCCTATATATACAAATATGCTTGCAGTCATACATAAACTGTACTTATAATACAATTTAAGGAGGAAATGCACTGAAGCTAAGTGGCAAAAAGTCCTGACCTCCACCTTTTGCTTATTATATTTTATTATTTTCCCATCTACTAAAGGCCTGATACAGAAAAGTTACCAATAAATGTTAAATGAATAAGAGCTGACTATAGTAGAATAAGGTGGGAAACAATAGTTAATGTTCTAAAAGACACAGGTAGTTTCATGCATAATAGTCCTTCCTATAAATATGGGCAAGATTATTTTAGCTCTTATTTTAAAAAATCGCAAGAGTTACCAGTTGCCTAACTTTGTGGGAGAGCTAAATGAAAGTGATGGTAAGATGTGTTTCTTATTAGATTAAAGTTAGAAATAGAATTGATTTATGTTCCATCAATATCAATGACACTACCTTGCAGGTTCTCAATGAACAATTACACTAGATATTGTTAAATGCTACACATTTATTGCCACACTGTTGTCTTTTTTTATGAGATGAAAGACCCAATATTGAAGCCCCATAGGAGTGCTAATGTGCTTGACTTGACAAGTATCTTATTCTAGTTGAGCTGAAGTACTTTGTGCACACCAACTACCAAGCTCTTTAATAATTTAAATGAATTTTTATGAGATTTAAGTGAAGCATTATCATAGAAAAATCATCATGAAATATGATGTTTTATGAAATTGTGTCAACAATGGTAATTCCAAATGAAGTTAGAATGATTATAATGCTTTGCCAGTCAGTGATCAATTCCTATACAAGTATCATCCTTCCTAGCACCAAAAACACAACACAGAGAAAAGTTTGAACTGTAAAATGAGTAGCAAGATAAATTACCAAAATTCAGCATTACTGCATTACTACTATAAAAATCACAAATATAGGTATATATTAACACACATATGTATATGCATGTACAAATAAATATTAATATATACATATCACATTATATGAATTATATATATAGATGTATATATTAATTAATACTATATATGTATATATTAATACTCAAGGGGCTAACTTCAAGAGTGCAACTACATTTAGTTTTCACATTTCTAAAATAATTGAAATACATGTCCTTAAATATCCCCTGAAAGTCTCACAATCTTCTAACGTAAAAGAAAAATTCTTAACATTCTTTTATTGTGTGTGAGGAATATGCACAATGTACTTACATAATGTTTGTTTGTTTGTTTGTTTATTTATTTATTTTGAGATGGAGTCTTCCTCTGTTGCACAGGCTGGAGTGCAGTGGCGTAATCTCGGCTCACTGCAACCTCTGCCTCCCAGGTTCCAGCTATTCTCCTGCCTTAGCCTCCTGATTACAGGTGCGCGCCAACACACCTGGCTAATTTTTGTATTTTTAGTAGAGACAGGGTTTCACCATATTGGCCAGACTGGTCTCGAACTCCTGACCTCAAGTTATCCATCTGCCTCGGCCTCTTAAAGTGCTGGGATTACAGGCGTGAGCCACCGTGCCCGGCTCCTTAGTTGATGTTTAAATTGTCAGTACTTTCTTGATCGCCTACGTGTAAAGTAGTGGGCTGGGTATCATGAGGGACACAGAGGTAACTTAACCATCCTCATCATTGAGAAAGACAGACATTTGGATAAACTGTGGTAATATTATGATTACAGCTATGGGTAGGAGCAAAATCCCAATGTGGGCAGCTCAGGAATGGGTAAGAATGAAAGATGTGAAAGATTTCCACTGATAAGAAAAGGAAGGTAAAGGCATTCCAAGCATCAAAACTATCATGAGCAAAAACATGAAGATGTGATAGTGAATGAGGAAAAACAGTTTGGCAGGATAAAACACGTGAAATGGGAGATTATTAAAAAAAGATAATTTATATAAATATAAATTTATTGAAAACAGATATTAGGCAATAAAATAATAAGTGATCAGAACTTTGGATGTGTTTTACAAAATTGATATGTGGGAAGGAGGAAAGATGTACTGATCTGAATAGATTATGGATTTAGAAATATGCAAGATGAGTTTATATCCTTTCCTATTAGATAAGCAGAAAGATACAAGGATAGCCTAGATTTGTATCTCTTAAATATTAAATAGATAAGATGGAGGAAGTATTTCAAATGTAACCAAAACATATCAAGCCAAAGTTAATTTAGAAGGAAACACTGCTGAATAAGTCATAACTAAAAATTTATGGAACTATCCAAAAATATCTAGGTTAATGATGTATAAACAGACCAGGTGTGAGATGATAAATACGTGAATGAACTAGGGCATTGACATGGAATAGAAGTTGAAATCAAAAGATACAGTGACTATCAATAAAAACTTACTGCACTATTTTAGAGACAACACAACAGAATCCCTAGTTGACTATACTGAAGTTTCTAGCTCAGGTGAGTGGGATGTTGGTAATGTCATTGTTAGAAAGTAACTGAGGTGGTAGAAAAGAATACACTTGCAGTAGATGCACAGAGGACTGTGATCAAAGAATACACATACCTAGTATATAATATTTTTATGGAAAATCCAGACTTTCTCATGGCCAAAATACAAAGCAAATCTTAAGAAATAAATCTTACCTATGGACATTTAATTGTTTTCCTTTTAATTTTTTTTTTCCTTAAGTCAGTCCCTACCTAGTTCTACTTACCCACAAGGCCTATAGGTGAATACAATGTAACTCTCTTCATCACTTCTTTCTATGAAAGTCACACATGTGTGCTTTTCCCAGTGCCTCATGGCCTGCTTGAACATGGCTCTCTGGCTGCCTAGAAAAAATGTGTGATGTTAATGAAAAGGTGGCATCCCCAGGAAGAATGCTTCTTGCTGCATCCTCTACCCTAAGTCTGGCTGAGCAGTGCAGAATGCCACCACTATCATCAACCAAAGAATACTAGTTTATGGCACCACAAATGAGTCATTGTTAAGAACGGACACTCACTTTATAATCAGAGGGCTAAAGCTCACTATCTCTACAAATATGTGTCTACAAGGCTCTATAAATGAGGCATACATTCTTCCTGTCAGTTGAAAGAGATCAGCTTCCAAATTTAATAGGCACATCTGAAACTCTGTTTAAAAACCAGAACAGTGCTTTAAACTCTTAGAACACAATACCAAAGATATGCTTTCAATTTCAAAGACACTCTACACTAATAACCTAAGTTAATGAAGTAGTTTTCCAACCTTGACTTAATACTATGTATCTTATGTTAATATTCTATAAAAATAGACACTTAATCTGTATGATAGTTTTTATTTCTTTATGAAAACAGACATGCTGGGAGTATCTTACCAGTGAAGTTTCCTCCTATAACATAAGGAATAACGCCTCCAGGCCATATTCTTTCCGTTCTTGATGTAGCGGCTCTGGGAACTCGATTTTTCTCATTTTGCCCTGAGAATTGTAGAGGTACTTTTCCCTTAACTGTGTTGTTTTGCTCCAAGCCTGCAGTGACATTTAAAACATTCTGTGAAACAGAAGTTCTTGGTCAGGGAATCATTTACCTCTTAAAGGACAAAAGTTAAAATGTCTTATTTACATATTTTTTGTATAAATGCCAGAAGTCAAAATGCATTAAAGAAAAACTTCAGTTATATTACATACTTGAACAAAAGCATTAAAATATTGAAGTATTTCATGTCAAAATACTATATCTTAATGTTCTGTGAGTGAATTTTGTTGGATATCCATACAACAGCCTAAAGTGGATAGAAGTCAGTCAGGCTTATAGGCCACAGAAAATTTGTTTTCTGTTTCATGTCTTGCTAGTCACTATCAATTCACCAACAGTTAAAACAAATATTGTTTAATAAAGTCCCATGATATTTAAGATTCTTGTTACTCCTGCTAGTTTCCTAATCCTTCAAATCTGAACTGATATTCCACAGTACAGTCTAAAATTAAGAATACTATATTATACAGGTAGTAAATGAAGTAACATTAAGACAAATATGGTCTCAGCCTCCCGTACAACAAGCTATCTCCATTCCAGTTTCCTCAGTATTCATATTAAGGAATGCAGCATGATTTAGAGGTCAGTACACAACACGAACAAAATGCATTCTATTCTGGAGCAGCTTTCAAGTCTATAGTCTTTTCCTTTTCTTAATGGCCTTTCATAATATTTTTGTTGCTGTTTTTGTTTCTCCTAAATTTACATGATTATTCTTTCTTATCTATCACTGTCAATATGAATATCCTGCCACTGGTGTATACTTTGACACAACAAATAGGGACTCTGTCTCTAACATGTCTGTCTTTTCAATAGCCTGGAGCAAAGCACTTTTGCTTGGGAAAATTATTCCTTGGAAATATGTACTTCAAGCATTTAATTAGTAATCCATCAATTTAAGGAACGTTAGAATATGAGCTATGCATACAGGATTTTAAACAAACCTCTAAAATCTACAAATAATTTTTAATACATTCAATACTGTAAATATTAACTAATTATGAGCCAGAGGCATAATTAGTTCTGAATGTTTATATATATTTATAACTATTTTCTATTTTTTGAATGGTCAAAACATTTTAACTTTTTAAATCCGGTAATAAGTTTTTCATTTTACTTTAAGTAGATTTATTTCAAAACAAATAACCATGATATTTTTTCACTTGATTAAAATTGATCCAGGCTTTATAAAAATACCTTGGTGTGATGCTGAATTGCCTGGAAATAAGTATCAATAATAAAATAAACACCTGATACATGTTTAAATAAAGAGAAGCTTAAAATAAATTAAAGGAACATTTCAAATTATTCCAAATGAGTTCTAAAAGGCTTTGATCAGATATGAGCTAGCAAAATAAAAAGTTTTAGAATATATCATTTACATACTTCACATCATAATGGCACACTGATTTTAATAAACTGAACTGCTATGAGTATAATATTTACTGTACATCAAGTCAAGCGTCTGCAACTTTAAACATTGATATACCAAAGCCAATTCTTCTTATCCTGTCTATAAGTTGGTAGAGGGCCCCTCGCTTCTTTGACATAGCATGGTCTCCAAGTCCACCTTAAAGAATAAAAGGAAACAAGTTAAACTCAAAATATGTTAAAGTTCTTGCAAATAAAAAACAGTCATAGGCAACAATGATTTCTCTTTGGTCATTTTTTATGTGGTCTTAAAGTGTTGAAATTATGAATATCCATGAATCTTTGAAGGGGGTAAAAACTCTACAGCAACCAATGTTGGTAACTAAAATAAGGGGATGGGGAGACTCAGAGAGCAATGTAAATAACTTTATTTGGACATCATGACAATTGAGTCATCTATTGATAATTTGAAACATTTTTCTTTACTGTGACCTTGACATCACATAGTGCTACATAGAATGACAGCAAGTTGTTCTGCCCTGTTGATTGCATGCCAGCTATTTCCCCAGTGCAAACTGAATATTTTCGGAGGCCAAATCAGCAAATGGAAATAAAAACATTAGAAGAGCAAATGTGTAATGCATGTTTTCTTCCAAAGCTTCCATGAATTTCAAAAACTTTTTAAAGCATATCACATTTTAACAATATATTCAACTGCATTTTGAAAATTTAGTTGAATTTATAGAAATCAAAAACGTAATTTGGAAAAAGCCACAGGAATCCAAACGAATGTTCAGCTGCAAAATATATTCTGTTACGCTGTGTAATTTGAAAAATTTATAAAAAACAGAGTGTAAAAAAAGTCTGTAGTGCAAAAGGAATAGGAAACGGTAGGAATAAGGCAATATGTGTTCTTGCAATTTTACCAACAAAACCTAGAAAAGGTAGATTCCTGTCATAAGTCAGAAAGCATAGCATTTGGCAATAATTCAAGTCTCCAGATTTTCATTCCAGGGCTTTTATAAAATGCTACTCTCGGTTTTGTCACCTATTTTCTCTATTCTCCTTGAATTTTTATTAGACAAATAGGAAAAAGTTATCATTCAGCAAACAACCAATACAGCCACTAATGACATCTTAACAAGTGCCTATGAATTTGTAGTAACATGGAGTATCTATGGTTCATAGAGTATCTTTGGGCTAAGACAAAGAAAGCTATAATTCCACGACGACAACTTGAACTATTCACAAATCACTTGAACTATTTCCTTCCAATATCTATTTTTTTATTTAAAATTGTGATGCACCTAATTACCTAGACTGAAGCTAAAAAAAAATGATAAAATCTATTGCTATATAAGCCTCTTAAGGGAAAAATCAAATAAGTCCTTATAAGGCAAATAAGTTAGAGTGCTTGTTCACTGACTAATAATCTACTTAATTACTTCCATTACATGGCCACATTTTTGCTGTGCATCTTGAGAAACATTTTTGAAATTTTTTCATTGCACATTTTAGAAAGATGAGGTAATACTTAAATACATTCATTCCTAAGCAATTAGGAGAAACATTTTAAAAGTATGGCATCAATGATGTTTGAAATGACCATTATGTAACAACTATATTTATATTACATTGTTTGCAATTCAACTGAGTAGTGCAAGTTACTATTGAACTTTCAAACATGTACCTTCCACAGAAAAATTTAGAATAAGTGTTTTTATTATTATCAGTATGATCTGTTTTATTCTATGTCTAAAATAACACTATTTTTCTTCCAATTATTATGGTCTCAGAGTTTAACAATAAATAAAATTAAATTAAATAACAACATTTTAAAAATTTAAAATCACAGAAAATCAATGCCTTCAAAATAATGGGAGAAGGGAGGTCAAAGAAGTGATCTAAAGCTTAGAGCTAATGAAAATTTTAATAAAAGTTGGAAATGCAACTTATAATAACTCTAGCATTTTATTGTTGTATCATTGCTCTACTGTCCAGAATGCGTTGTCTCCATGACAGTGTTACAGGTGATATAGCAACTGGAGATTTGGCCAAGAAACATAATCTAGAGGGATACGCTATCTGTGGTGACACTGCACAGCAATATTAGCACCCATACTGATATATGTTTTAGAAAAGATTGTCACTATGCATAACAAACACCAAAGCACCCTATTTTTACATGGTGTTATTATTTTAGATGAATTCCTTAGGCTTTCTCTTACATACTCCCTACTTTAAATAAATTTTTATATCTGATAGTGGTATTTTGATTATATAGAATAATATCCTTATTCTTACAAAGTACATGCTAGACTACCTAATAATATTAAAGTGCGTTTTCTGCAGTTGACTTCAAATTTGTTTTAAACACACGTATGCATGTATGCACACACACACAACACACACACACATTCAGTGAAAATCATAAACTGTTAAAAACTGCTGAATCTAACAAGTAAGAATACCACTATTCTACAATCTAATAGGTAGAAATATTTCGATATATTTAAAACTGGTCATAGTAAAAAGTGGCAAAAAAAGTAAATTGGGCAAAGTAAAAAGTCACAGTAAAAAGTCTTAAGTCCATAATATATATGTGCATTTGATATCAGAAAGGACCACATATTGTACTTCCACAGAATAGGAGAAAATAAAAATACTAAAAAGGGAGAATGCAATGAAATCAAAAGCATGACATGAAATAAATATTTTAGCTATTAATATAATTAGAGAAAGAGATTTTAACTTTCTAACCTTGCAATTTTCTCCAGAATAATACACAGATAAAAATTTTACCAAGATACTACAAAGAATTTTGAAATTTTAATTTAAAAAATTGTTAAATGAGAACTGAAATAATCTTTTACATATATCAAGTTTCTTACAGGCATAATTCAAACATGTTTAAATCAACTAAAATTAAAATTGCCTTCTGGGGTTTTTACAAAAATTATATAGATATATAAATTTTCCAAATATTATTCCTATATAATTTCAAATACATTTCCTATATAATTTCTCTAAGAATAATTTACATTTTGCAACTCAATATCCAAATGAGAGGCAACTTAATATAATACTCAAGAGGACAAAATCAAGCTTTTTTCAGAATTGAATTCTGGTTCTGACATGGCCACTTCCTGATGATGTGACGATAAGAAAGCTGTATAGCCTTCTAAATCTCAATCTGCTGATTTCTAAAATCATAGTAATATTAGTAACTACCCTGAGGGGGTTGTCATGAAGATTCAGAGAATTAATACCTGCAAAGCACTTAAACCAGACCTAGTATGTAGCAAATACTACAACCTGTTTGGTAAAAAAAAAAAAAAATTAATAAAATGAAAACTATGAATAAAACCTGCATTTCTAAATATGTATATTTGTGTATAGGAAGTCAGAGTTGATCAACAGGAGATGAAAAATGATCCAAAAATATTTATAGCACTTCAAGAGTATATTTTCTCCAAAATAAAGACAAATTTTCTGAAACAATCAACCATACCTGTGGTATGTCCAAGGTTTCCAAAGGGGTTCTGCGTAAGGTCAATTGTCCTATCTATTTGAAAGATATTTAAGTCTTCATCATCTAAGGCAATATCGCCCCAAAATACAGCTAAAAAAAGAAAAGTTGAATTAAAATGTAAAATATTTCCGTGAAATCAATACACACAAAGCTAATTAGAAAAGCATTGTTAAAAATATGGAAACGTGGTCTGGATAGAGACAGATCTTTCAGAAAGTAATCATAACTGAATGCACTGGACCTGTTACAGGACAAATATTAGCTACCTGTAAAAGGGCATAACTCCATTTTTTTACATTGTTGCTTGTGGAGAGGGGGAAAGTAGTTTCCTTGAATAAGAAGGTTACTGATTATGGAGATTCTAAATAAAGAGAAATAGGCAATCATGAGCTAATTCGCAAATATCTGAAAATCGGATAAGAATGTCTGCATCTTCTGTGGATTCTTATGACCAGCAGCAGGTCTTCACTGAGAGGAAAAAGGAAAAGCAGTAACAACTAAACCATGTGATATTTTATAAACTAAGATAATTTTATAATGCAAGGTGCAATCAAGACAAAAGAATACCTAGTGCTATTGTAGCAATTCATTCACCACATTTCATACAATTTATAATACACTTTATCTTAAGATGGCATTGCCTCTGAGTCTCTGTAAAATGGATATATAACTACCAAAAGTAATACTTAAGTCAATATTTATTTAGGCAACAACTAGATGCCAGATTTTTTATCTTTAATGACAAATATAACACGGTCCATATTTTCAAGAGCCACCAAGTCATTACCCTAAAACCTGAAAACACTCTGACTCTATTATTATTATTTTTATTATTTTTGAGTTAGGGTCTCTCTGTTACCCAGGCTGGAGTGCAGTGGTGCGATCACGGCTCACTGTAGACTTAACCTGAACCTCCCAGACTCTAGTAGTCCTCCTACCTCAGCTTCCCAAGTAGCTGCGACTACAGACACACTCCACTGCGCTGGGCTAATTTTTGTAATGCCTGTTAATTTTTGTATTTTTTGTACAGAAAGGGTTGTGCCATGTTGCCCAGGCTGATAATGAACTCCTGGCCTCCAGCAATACTCCTGCCTCAGCCTCCCAAAATGCTGGGATTGCAGGAGTGAGCAACTGCTCTCAGTCTGACTCTATCTTTTTTACCTAGTGTATTATGCTACTTAATAAAGCAAAGCTCTATAAACCATTGTGAAACCATGGGAGAGTTCATTGATAACTAGTATGTGAATTTCTCTTTTAAAGTTCGTCATATATATTAGTGTAACAATAAAATAGTCTCCCTGCTTATTTGAATACAAGCTACACCAACCAATCCCTTAGTACTGCCAGAGTCAAAGCACAGTAACTTTAGGAAGCACAAAAAACTCGAGAAATAAGAAATTAATCATGAGACAGTAGAACACTGAAAAATACCTAGAAATACAGGGATATTTGTTTTTTACAGGTTTACCAATTTTCTTTATTTTTAAACCTTTCTTCAGATTTTCTTCTGTGAAACCAAAAGGAAAAGAAAGAAAATACATTAAAATCGTAGAAAGTGACAAAATCCATGCTTTTCAAATTACTGTCTTTCATTGGATTTAAATCTTAATATTTATGAACTTTTCCACTATAGAGAATTAGTTATTTATGAAGTTTAAACTTCAGTCCTAAAAGCTGTGCAATGTTTTAGGCTTTGATCAAAGGTTTATCATATAAAATTATTTACCCAGTGCAAAACTGACATGAGATAAGAAGGAAGGGGTTAGATTTATGTGGGAATCTAGAAAGGAAGAAAATAGAAATTAGTAAAATGTAGGTTATCACTTCAACATATAGAAAAATCTTTACTATAATTAGATTTCTCTCTTAAACCCCTCACTGGCCCTATTTCCAATGGAAAGGCAGTCTAAAGAAGCAAAGAAATGCTTACTTTCGTTTACTCTCATAGCAGCAAAGCCACAAAGAGTGTACAGAATAGTTTATAACACTAGCTAAGAGGGTGGTTTTGATGCCTGAAATTGAATCGAGATTCTAATCAGCTTCGTACAGACGCAGCAGAAAACACTAATGCTCCAGCATCCCTAAAGCCAGACCCCCGCAAGAAACTTACCCAAGTTAAATATTTTGCCAATTATAATATAAGGCTTGTTGGTTTTCATAAAAATACATTTTACACTTTTTAAGACTGTAAGGTAAATCCAAGTTGACTAGTTATATGAAACTTCCATCAGGTGCATTTACAATGCAAATAGCTCTGATCATCCACTGGCAGGGACTCTCAGCCTGTCTCTTCCTTTCTTAGTGCTGGTAGTGTGGTGGCCACTAGACACTGAAGCAGTGCTTCACTAACTTTAATTTGCATAAGAATCATAGAGAATCTGGCCAAAGTGCAGACTCTGATTTGGTAAGTCTGGAGAGGAGCCTCAGATTCTACATTTTTAACAAGCTCCCAATCACTACAAATGATTATCATTGTCATCATCTTTATTAGTATTAATTTTTTCTGCAAGAATAAATTCCCACTCTTCTTTGAGTCAGATGGTTGACTTGAAAACGGAGGCACTCAACTAAGCAAAATGTACTTTGTCAATACTGCATTTCAGATAAAAGCAGTACACATAAAATAAAATTCAAATATGTTTCAGATTTTATTTTCTTGTAATGGCTTTTTATATGCAGTAGGATCCATGTCTTGATGGATTATATCAAACACAGATCAACAGTCCAAGGATAAGTCACTTCACAGAAGCAAAAACATTACTTCTGGGGAGAAGAAAGGGCACCAGGCTAGATGATACTTAAAGGAGAAAAAACAGTTCTGGAGGACATAAGCCCATTTATTTATTGCCATATTTTCTAAACTAATAACTTCAGAATAGTTTGGTAGTGATGAATACACCATAAATTGCTTTAGGAGAAAACCAAATATTTCTTTGAGAGAAAGCAATAGTGAGTGACTAAGCCAATTCATTTACGGCCAGACTTGACACACTGTAGCCCATATACATCTTTAAATCTTGATATTCTCAACAGAAAAAAAAAGGCACGTTAGAACTTTCAACCTGTCATACAGTTTAAAATGCATTTCTTTCTTCATACTGCACACATTTGAAGATTTCCGTAATTCGCCTTCTATTTAAATCTGTGTCCTATTTCTGTGTACTAAAATATTTTACTTATGCGTTGGCACAGTAAGTTGGACCATGACAATTTATACTCATATGTATTAGGATGCATTATAATCTAATATATATCTGACACTTAGGTGCAAAAATACATATGAAATTCTCGAATCCACTTTGGAATTTTGTTTTCGTTTTTATGTGGTATTTTCTATTTATTTTACCTCAAAAAACAAAGTTGGAGATAAACAGTCTTAAAGTATGAATTATCGTTCATTTGGCCCATTTAATACATGATTTGAGGTTAGTGAGATCAGAACTAAAAAAAAAATGGGAAAATGGTTATTGGGACGATACTAGGAAAATACTCAAGTGCAATTAGAATATTTACTATCTGTTTGGAATTCTGCTTGGATTCTTATGGTCAAATAGGGGGTTGGAGCTAACCAGTAAGCCAAAATTAAATGTCAGAGAGAACAATTTTTAAGCTACAGGGAAAACCACAGGTTTTGTTTTTCTCCTAAAGGTTATTTGCCGTTAATGCACAACAAACATTTTTTTAATCAGAGACTAAAACAGAAAGACTGCTTTTATTATAGTATGCAGAATAAGTGCATTTTATAAAATAATGTATGATGAGAATAAGCAATTCAAGATTGTGATTCCCTAGGCCTTAACTTTAAAAAATGCCACTTCCACCCATGTCCCCAATTCCTCAGTGAGCTCTAACACTTCAGTCTGAAGCTGAGGCCGTCAGCTTTAAGGAGGCTTTAAGTTTGTGATTTCTGAAAAACTATATGCAAAAATATGTACGAATTTATAAACACAAACACCATGTATTTTTCTGGGACAAGTCCACAGTAGATTGTCAAAAGGGGTTACACAAAGTAAAGAACCACTACTTTTGCCAAGGGTGAAGTCTTTCTGTCCACTCAGGAGAAAATACTTGGAAACCAAATATCCTCAAGAAAATGAATACATTTATTTGAATTAACACTAAGATATCTGATAGCTGGTTACCAGTCGAGAGCACACTGACAAGAAAATTGAGTCTCTTTAGGCCTTCCCAGAAAAACCTTCCTAGAAACCTGCTCTTCCCATTTGCCCTAATTAAGTGTCTCTACTTCCATGTCCTGACTGTGCTTCTGCCAATAATAAGGCAACACACAAGATTTCATAATTGTTTTCAGCCGGCTTCCTCGACTAATTTTGAAAATACTAACAACAGGAAGTATGTATTGCTCACCTTAATATCCTTAATGCCATAGTACCAGAAATAAATAGGTCTTCAATATACACATTTTGAGGCACAAAAATGTGAATGAGAACATACCGTGAATTGGAGTATAAGTTGTGTATAACAAAAGAGTCCATATAAGAGTTTATGAGGCTGCTTGTGCTACCTATTTGACAAATTTGCTTTAAGAACCAAAATACTAAATATTTAACTATTCCAAGAATAAATATTTACAAGCCCCTCAATCTCTAGTGGTTACTGTTATAAACATTTTTAAAGCAATTAAAAGACAGGTGCCTTTTTGATTTTAGTGACATATATTATTAAGTGTAATTATAGGAATTGTGTCCCCTTTTCTCCAAACACCACACTTATATGCCCAGGAAATACATGATTGAGCTAGAAGATTCATTATCTTGAGATTTATGGGATTGGAAGAGATAGCTCAAAGATTCAACAATAGCCAAGAGCATTTGTTCATTACACTTTTTCCATATACAGTTTAAGCTTTCTGCTTTTATTGATATTGGATTTAGGGAGGAAAGATGATGTCATGTGAAGGTCTGAAAAGGCTGCTCTGACCGGTCTTGCTCACAATGAAGGCATAATGAAAATTTTCTCAGACAAAGGCAACAGTGAAGTCTCAAAAGTCAACTATTTTTACATGATTGACAACCACTGAGCAAATTCCCAAGGAAAAGTAAGACTTGGCAAAAGTTCTAAGACATATATTTTAGCTAATGTTACACCAGTTAAAAGAGAAAATAATTTTCTGGTAGCATTTCATGTGCATAGAATAAATCTCCCCCAACATGACACACAAAGTTATCACAAATTCCAAATTTGAGAAACAATTATCAAAAATGTTAAAAGCTCTTGATACAATAGAAAAATAAATACAAACATATTTTATATAGAATCAGAAACATTCTTCAGAAAAAGACATGTTTTAAGGTAGTATGTGTCTTTGTTAAATTCCTAATAATAGAAAAGGAAGTATCTGCAGTCCATTATTTTAGTGTTTGTTCATACAAAGGCATCCCATGCAATGTTTTATTTAAAACATTATCATTTTTTTCAAAATCTACTTTTCCACTTTTACCATACACTACCATATAAAATCAACAAAATCATCTAATCTACAATTAAAAAGTGTGCTTGCAGTAAAGTACTATTAATGAGTTAAATAAAATTGTTCACTCATCCTTTCCTCGCACACTGGATTGGAAGGAGCATCTAGGTAACCTGATTTTTACCTGGCCATTTGAAAACAGTATGTCTTCACCCAGTGTAGATTTTTTGAAAGATGGTAGGAGTACTATATAAGAAAGCTAGACTTTGGATAATTGACTCTAGGAAGAAAAAAATAAAGAAAGAAACTGTCCAAACATACTTCAAATTTAGAAGTTCCTTCAAAGGGCATAGAACTTCTCCTCAAGTTAAACACAGTCTTCTTCAATTACTTTTTAAATCAGGAAATAGAATATAATCTCAATACACAATCAGATGTGAATCTGAAGTGTAAGACAAACAAATCTATATACATATACAGATACAGACACATTCTGTTAGTACAAGGACTCTTCCGCCAGAATATGAAAATATTTGATAATAAAGACATTTTTCATGATGTTTGTTAGTTTCAAGATGAATCAAAATTGATCAATCCATTCTGAACTTAGACACAAGCAGCATGTTGCCTTTTTCAATCCTTTTCTGTTTTAACGTAATTTTACATTATGGAAATGATTAAATGCTAAATTTCCAAATAAACATATCTTTCTATTTAGGTCAGAAAACAAAATTGTTCCCCTAACAAAAGATCCATTGAAATATCATATCAATCTGCACTTATAGCCCACAATGTCTGCGGATAGGATTTCTCAGGACATTTTTAAAATATCATCCATACCACAAATATTCATTCTGAACTCTTTGTCTCAAAAGAGAAAACATTGACAGAAAAGTGCTTTGATCCAGAAACGTAAAAGTAAATATTGAAACTTTTTTGTGTGTATGGCCTAATATTTTCTCTCCTGAGCTTTAAGAAAATAAATTATTGTAGTTCAGAAGTTTTAAAAAAACTTCCATTCTTACACTGCTCAAATATTAAGTATACAATCAACCACTAGCAAGATTTAGTTTATTTATATTTCCCACGTCATATATTTTGTAAGGACAGGGCAAACATTTGTTTTTTCTTCCCTTATGCCTGTAATTGTTTACGTTTGTGGCCAGGGTGGGAGTCAACCCTGATACGTCTTTTTGAATTAAGTTTCCTTATTTTCTAAATATTGACACTAGGTCTTGGAGTAAATCTTGATCTCTTTCTGGAAGTAAGACAGTTCATGCAAATTTGCTTTTTTTTTTTTTTTACATACATTGCTCTATGGCTTACCCACTGGAAGGTCATTTCTTCACACAAACACAAGAATCTTTTTTCCCACTTTTCTGCATTTTTATTTAGTCTATTTTTATGATAGGTTGAGAAAAACTGTACTACAACCTTTCTGGTTATTATTATTCTTTGTAAAAGACTTCCCTTTTGGCACAAATCAAAGTCCGGAGTCCTTTCTCTTTGGTTAATACCTCACACTGCACAGCCATAAAACAACATGGCCTCAGCGAAATAAACTTCCCAAAATTTAAAAACTCACTGACTCTCTGAAACTTGACTTAATATATTGATTTCTATTTCTTCTTTTCATAGTCTTAGAGACCTTAAACAATGGGAAGAATATTTAAAGATAATTTTACTCACTCTAAAACAAGCACAAAATTGAAGATCTATGAAATATTCCTCTCAATATTATTTGTAATGTTTTACAGCTTTAGAAGTTTCATAGTGTCAGTAACACATATTGCTATTAAATGCATGATGTTTAATATTAATAAGGCACCCTCCCTGACATTATTCTATTTGAGCCACAGATAATTAAGTGATATTAATTAATACTATTAACTTGCTGACATAATTTACATTTGAAAAAACTTCCCATTCTCTTATTGTCTATCAATCACATTATTTGGCGTCTACACTTTGCTTAATATAGCAGAGTCTGTTAGCACTGATAACAGACAGGTCATTTCTTAAAGCAAAATTATTCCGCGTCAGAAACATCGTTTGTCTAAGAGTTTCCCTTTGAAATCATGCTGATGATCCATCTTAACCACTGCAAAATCTCATATAGGGAATGAAGAAATAGATGATTCTTTTCTTTTCGGGTTTGCAGAAACAGGGATGGTGCCTGCAATGGCACACAGAGATGATACACTTTATTGAAAAATGAAAGCAATCTGCAAAGA
This sequence comes from Homo sapiens, assembly GCF_000001405.40. Classification (NCBI taxonomy): domain Eukaryota; kingdom Metazoa; phylum Chordata; class Mammalia; order Primates; family Hominidae; genus Homo; species Homo sapiens. The sequence goes on along the minus strand of NC_000004.12, from coordinate 165,981,805 downwards.
AAACATTTACTAAAGGAAAATGGAGTTCATCATAATTTGCATCCTGGTAGCAACAAAACCACCCAGGGCTATGCCCATGTTCTAGGTGTAATTTCAATGTTAAGTAATCCGCCAGTGTTGTTTCAAAGCTTGTTTGAGATAATAAAGGAAAAAGATGTTGGAATCCATATACACATGAATACTAAGTAAATAAAATCTTTATAAATAACTGCAAATCACGGTCCTTGGTATGTCCTTTTAAAATTTACATATTTAGAACTGACATAAGTTTTAGCTAGTAGATATAAATTGGAAATTTGGCCCATCCAAACCTCCAATCTCCCTGCAGCATTACTGATTAACTAATTTAAAATTCATACTTTGACTCAAAGCTTATCAACTCTGTAAATCTTGGACTCAAGATAGAACTTTAATTTTCCACTTAAATTATTCACAGCAAAAGATTGTTGAAGGAATCCTTTTGTAATCTTTGGAAAACAAACAAAAAATCCACAGGTTTCTGTGCATTTTATTTTGCTTGTAACAATATAACATCCAAAACATTTCAGTAATCACTGTCTCTTGGGGAGTGAGTGTCAAAATCTATTGAACTATCTGGTTAACTGAAAGATAACCTCCTTTTCAGTAAAACAAGAAGAACCATGGGGGAAAAAAACTCTATAGAGGAAGAAGGCAATTATCATCTGCTGCTGTTATTAACTGAGTTTCAGATAATTATATTGGTTACTCTCTCATGTGCAAAATTTTAGAAATACAGTAGTTCACCAATTGGGCCTAAAATTTCATAAAGAGCTCATTTATACTAAGTCACTTTAATGAAGCCATGGAGGCTTACAGAACAAACCAATGTCTAAAATGAAGCCCTCCAAAAAGAACAGAATTTTTAAAAAACTGTTTAAAACATTTTATTTTACTCAGACATTGAGACAATTTAATTATCATTATAATGTATTGAACTTATATTTTGTGTCTGATATTGTGCTAGGCAATAGGAATTCAAAAATAAGGCAATGTCCCTTAGAGATTAATAACTAACAACATCAAGTAGGCTCTCTTAACAACTTAAAGTCCATTTTAAATGGACTATTTTGCCTTCTATTTACCATTTAAAAAATTCCAGTAGGCTCAGGTATTTGAAGGCTACTTTGAATATTAAAAATAGACTTCTCTGCCAAAATTAATCATATTACCATAGCAACTGCTCACAAGGTGTCTAGTTTTACCAGTTCTGTACATTTGGTGCTAACTACATACAACTCTGAGTTATTTCTGAATGAGAGCTTATCACTACAATTGGCTGCACGTTTGAATTACTTTATTTTCTTAGGCTATGCCTGCAACAGCCATTAATTTTCTACTTCACAAGAGATCACTAATTTAAATTCAAGAAGAATATGCTATAGAGAATAGAAGGATGTTCCTGGGGAGATGCAAACTTTTGATGAATTTAAGGTCTGGGTTGAGCCTTGCAGAGTCAGAAACTTGGTCTTGCCCATGTTCCTGAATCCATTACACTTGGAAATACAGACATCCCTGAGACAGCGCATATGAGATTGCTATCATGAAAATAAAGTGCCAGCTCACAGTAAGAACATAAGGGGACTGGACACTCAGAGTGTCTGCCCAACATATTCTCAATATAAATAAAAACATGTGAAGAAAAACCATGCTCGGAAGAGTGCTTGTTAAACATGGAGCCAGAACAAGGAAGATTACTTATATGCTTCCAATGTTTAATGATAACATGGATACGGTTTGGATAGGCACTTGCAACATTTGCCTCTGAAACTGTCGTTTTACCCTGGTTTTCACATCTAACCAAAACCTTTCTGATTGTCACGTTCATTATCCATGTTAATACAGTCAGTCAACAAGACTGGTTCTCCCTCTCTATTTAGAAATCATGATGTATTTCAACTGTATAGAAAAGCATATTCACCACGGAGTTTTGCAAAAATCTGAACAGCTTGCAAAATTTGCCTCAAATCTTTGTTTATTTATTTGTTCATTTATGTAGAGATGGGGTTTTGCCTTGCCACCCAGGCTTGAGTGCAACAATGCAATCATAGCTCACTGAAAGCCTCAAATTCCTTGGGCTCAAGAAATTCTCCTGCCTCAGCCTCCTGAGTAACTAGGAGTACAGGCGCACAGCACCATGCCTGGCAAATTTTTTATTTCAGATCTTTATTATTAGAATAGTTCTTACCTTATCTATGTTTCCCTTCTAATTACCATGACCCCATGTTCTCTCAGAGTAACCAGTATCACAAATATAGTATTTGTCACTCCTGTACATGTTTCTATTCTTCCAAACTCATATGTATCTGTGGAAAAGTATAGTACTTCTTTTTGCTTAATAATTTTTATTATATAAATATCATTAAACTGTTTTCTTTTTCATCTGTATGATTTTGCATAATATTTAATATATAATGTTTGTTACACACATTTGACTACAGCTTTTCTTAACTTCTAAGTTAGTCTTTTATACGAATATAACATTTATTTGTATCTTTTTCTATTAATATAAATTTACATAGCATCAAACTTTTCCCTAATACAAACAATGCTCTAGTAAACACCATGTATTGCACAAGACTTGTCTAGGATATATACCTAGGTAGTCAATCAGTGGGTCATAGGATATGCATGTATACACCTTTTTTAGAAATTGCCTAGAATTTGAATACAGAGTAATAATGGCAGCAGCAATAGCCACGTAATAATGGAATATTCTCTGATCCTGCTATAAAAAAACACAGAACAACCAGTTAAAGAAAACCCCAAAGACCCTTGGACAATATATAGCATAGATCTAGGTTACAAAGTATCACCTCAAACTTTCAAATACAAGTGGATGGGAACAAACTATTTTACAACTCTTCTGCTGTGAAAACAGCTACAAGAACCACACAGTAAACAGCACATGAGTAAGGAAATAAAGGATGACAACTAGGTTTCTGATGGGCAGGGGGACAGGAATATGTCAAAATCACTGACAAGATACTCATTGGAAAGCACAGCAGACCAACCTGAGAACAGCTAAAATTGGGAGAGAGTTTTGCAGAATCCAATTTACAACTTAATGCAAAGAAACAAATGAACGTATGCACATATTTGGTGGCATAGCCACAAAGACAGAAACCATCCGAAGTTCTTTGGAAACAAACAAACAAAAACAAAAAACAGCAACTTAAATATATATATCCTCATTGAAATGTATCCTAAAAGCAAAAGAATTTTAAAAAGTAAACTTTTCAATAATCATATTATTGGTGGTAGGCAGTGATGGTGATATTATTTTGAGATTGTGTATGTATTATAAGATAAAGTGTAAAAAGCAAAAACTGTTATCTTTAAGAACCCACATTTTTACTATGTTTGAAGAAGGCTGATTCTGAAATTGGGGAGGTTAATTAAAAGCTTTGGACCCCAAAAATGAACTGGAATTATCTATATAAAATTATAATTAATTTTATAACTAAGAATTGTATGTATATATATTTCCTCTTTCTCACTAATAAAAAAAACCTGGAAACAATGAACAACCAACACAGTGGTAATAAAAACCACTGGCACCCAAAAAACTCCCCAATAAAAAAATCAGAGCTTTTTGGAAAAAAATGATTTCAGGGTTGAGGCAGAATCTGAGTAAAATAAGCCTTGGCTATTGTAATACCAGAAAGCAATAAGGCTTCTAAATATGAAAGTGTTCTGTTAAAAGAGTTAGGAAAAATTGTGTAAGCTCCTGCTGGCCTAAATTAGGATAACATGAATATCAATAAAGAGAATAATTGATTGGATTGAAACACATTATCAAATATGTTTAAACCCATTAGTTCATAGTAACACTAAAAATACAATTAGAGGATGCTAGGAAATCAACTCATCTATTTTGCAAACATATATATACAGAAATGTATTTTAAACAACACATTACCTCATAACTAGTGAGAAGGACATTTGTATTTACGTTTTGGGAATCCTTCCTCTTTTGTGAACGACCTATTCCTTTCCTTTGGGATGTATTTTCTTTGTAAGATTTGTCTTATGCTTATTGATTATAAGTATTGCTAGATATTAATTTTCTCTCATTGAAGAAGCTTTTCCAAGTACAGGTTTTGAGTTACACTGGATGTAGTTTATTTAGTGCATTCAACTTAAATAAATGTATTTAATTTAGTGCAATAAATTTTATAACCATTTCTCCTTTAGATTTTGGGCTTCTGAGTCCAATTTAAGCAACATATCTTTTCCTGAGACCATAAAAATAGTTGACTATTCTATTAGTCCATTTTCACACTGCTATAAAGAAATATTCATGACTGGGTAATTTATAAAGGAAAGAGGTTTGATTGACTCACTGATCCACACGATTGGAGAGGCCTCAGGAAACTTACAATCATGGTAGAAGGGAAAGCAAGCACATCTTACATGGAGGCAGGCGAGAGAGTGTGTGCAGGAGGAACAGTCAAACATTTATAAAACCATCAGATCTCATAAGAACTAACTCACTCTCACAAGAACTCACTCAGTAAACTTTCAGCATGGGGGAAACTGCCCCCCATGATCCAATCACCTCCCACCAGGTTCTGCCCTCGACATGTGGAGATTGTGGAGATTACAATTCAAGATGAGATTTGGGTGGGGACACAGAGCCAACCATATCGCCTATATTTCCTAAAACTTCTAAAATCTAACTTCTAACATTTATGTCTTTAGTCCACATTAACCTATTTTTTTCTTTTGTTATAGTTAAAGATTAAATATCTCTTCATTCAGGGGTATCCAATCTTTTGGCTTCCCTGGGCCACACTGGAAGAACTGTCTTGGGTCACACATAAAATACGCTAACACTAACTATAGATGATGAGCTAAAGAGAAGAAAAATACAAAAAAACCGCATAATGTTTTTAAAAAGTATACGATTTTGTGTTGGGCTGCATCCAAAGCCATCCTGGGCTGCACACAGCCCAGAGGCCATGGGTTGGACATGCTTGATCTACATGGATAACAAACTGTCCCAGTTCCATGTAAAGAACCTCTATCCCTTTTCCAAATATTTTAAATACTGTCTCTGTCATATATCTAAGCCTTTTATTCTGTTTCATTGGTGTATAGCTTTAATATCCTACTATGTTGGTAACAATCACTTTATATGAATCTTTATATCTAATAGAATTAGTCCCATACCTATGTTATCAAATTTTCTGTTTTTCTTAGCAATATGATTTTCTATATAAATTTTAGAAGCAGACAGTCAAGCTACAAGAAAAACCCAATGAGACCTTGATTAGAATTGCATTGTCTATGTAAATTAATATAAGAATAATTGTCATTTTAAAGATCATAGTTCAACTTATTTTGGTTTTATTTACATCTTCCCATAAAGGGAATGTAAGTTTCTTCCTAACGTATGCCTTGTTAAGTTTATTTCTAGGTAAACTTTCAGACTGTATTTCTTTAACAAATATTAACATTTTAAACTATATTTTCTAAGTGTTCCTTGTATATAATAAAAGAATTGTTATACTTTGATCCTGTATTCATCAGATATCCTGAACATTTCCATTGGCTCCAATAGATCTCTTGCATTTCCTGTGAAGTCACTTTTACCATCTGAAAGTAGTGTCATATTCATTCTTTTCAGTTGCTCTGTGTGTGTATGTGTGTTTTAGCTAAATGCTAGAATCCAAACCATAATACTGAATATAAGTAGTGATGGCAGGAATCCTCGCCTTATAATCTTTTTTTTTTTTTTTTTTTTTTTTGAGATGGAATCTCACTCTGTTACCCAGGCTGTGCAGTAGTATGTTCTGAGCTTACTGCAACCTCTACCTCCCGGATTCCAGCAATTCTCCTGTCTCAGCCTCCTGAGTAGCCGGGATTACAGGTGCACACCACCACGCCCAGCTAAGTTTTGTATTTTTAGTAGAGACGGGGTTTCAGCATACTGGCCAGGCTGGTCTCGAACTCCTGACCTCATGTGATCCACCCGCCTCAGCCTCCCAAAGTGCTGAGATTACAGGCATGATCCACCATGCCTGGTCATCTTACAACTTCTAAAGAGGCTTCTAATAGTTTCCCATTGACTATGGTTTTAGCTAAAAGATTCTAGCAGTTACTTTATCAAGTCAAAGAAACCCCTTAGTTCCCATTTTGGATTTTAGCATTTAGCTTTATAAGAGATCTAACCCATAATATTTTTTCTTTTATTTTCATTGTCCAGTTATAGTATCAAAGTTATATTCACCTTATAAAATGAGCTGGAAGACATTATTTCTTTTTTAGTCATTCAGACAATTTGTATAAGTTAGAATTATTTTTTCCTTAAACAGCTGGCAGAAATTGTTTGTAAATGTATCTAGGCATAGCATTACATTTAAGGGCAGATTTCTTTTCCTATACAGTATCTTAGATGTTCCCTGCCTCTACTGCCCCTATAAATATGGAGAGGGGTTGGGTGGCGTGGGGGAGGGGGAAGGGGTACTACTACTAGAGTTTTTTCCATGGTGTTTTTTAGAGGATGCTTTGATGGTCTGCCCAGTTCCAACCTCAAGACTGAATAATTTATTCCCAGATTCTGGGAAGGCTGTTCACTGAAAGACTTCAGCTGTCAGCTCTCTTGGCTGAAAAGCTGCCTCATCCATCGCCAAACCCACTTCCTGTGGGTAGCCAGCATCTAATGACTGGTCTAGAAGGGTATATAAGGGCGTAGCTCCTTCCAACCAACATGAGACATCTCTGATGGATCATCCTAGCATCAGGGTTTCAGATTTGTCTAAGACCCACACTGAAACTACACTGAATCCCAATAAATTCCTCTTCTCACACCTGCTTCCTCCCCTTCCTTTTCACAAGTGGTGATCCTGAGAACTGTCCCTGAGAACTCCCGACATAATAATCTCTATCACAGGGTCTGCCTCCTAAGCAACGCAACCTGTGACAGTTGGTGCCAGTACTGGTCCACATAAGCAGGTACTGCCACGGTATTTTGGCAATGGAGATTTGGAGCTGGCAATGAGAATCCCATCCTGGGTTGTTGGAGCTTCAGCAAAAAATAGCCTCTGGGATATAATATAAGTATAATTATTAAATCTTTCTCTTGTACTGATGGTAAATTGTAAAAATAAATGCTGGTGTTATATATCCAGAGTTTGTGCAATACAGGGAAAATAGTAACTCTAAGGATAGTAAATTGGGTAGCTAATGCTAAACTCCATTAATGCTTGTTAAATGTTAACAAAAGATTGGTCACAATTAATGAATCATTAAAAGCTATGAGTGAAAGCCAGATAACCTTCTCGGTAATATACAAAAATACTGTCATCTCCTACAGCTTGATAGCAGAGAAAACTAAAGATGAGGCCAGGCGCGGTGGCTCACGCCTGTAATCCCAGCACTTTGGGAGGCCGAGGCGGGCGGATCACGAGGTCAGGAGATCGAGGCCATCCCGGCTAAAACGGTGAAACCCCGTCTCTATGAAAAATACAAAAAATTAGCCGGGCGTAGTGGCGGGCGCCTGTAGTCCCAGCTACTTGGGAGGCTGAGGCAGGAGAATGGCGTGAACCCGGGAGGCGGAGCTTGCAGTGAGCCGAGATCCCGCCACTGCACTCCAGCCTGGGCGACAGAGCGAGACTCCGTCTCAAAAAAAAAAAAAAAAAAAAAAAAAGATGAGGTCCAGGACTTAATCCTAAGAGTTACAGAGTGCAGTTGGCCTCTTGATCTCAGCAGGTCAGCTATGCCAGGGTACAGTTCTACTTTGAAACCCAGACACATGGGATGAAAAAATATAATCTTGAAACTCCAGACTTCTCTGATCCTATTAAGAACTAACGCTGGTTGGGCACAGTGGCTCATGCCTGTAATCCCAGCACTTTGGGAGGCCGAGGCAGGTGGATCACCTGAGATCAGGAGTTTGAAACCAGCCTGACCAATATGGTGAAACCCCATCTCTATTAAAAATACAAAAATTAGCTGGGCATGGTGGCTCACACCTGTATTTCCAGTTGCTTGGAAGGCTGAGACAAGAGAATTACTTGTACCTGGGAGGTGCAGATTGCAGTGAGCCGAGATTGTACCACTGCACTCCAGTGTTGGGCAACACAGCAAGACTCCATCTCAAAAAAGAAAAAAAAAAAAGAACTAATGCTTACTCCCTTGTTAAGGATAGTGCTGCAATATTTTCTCCCCTGAAAGACAAAATGCACCCCTCAAGATCTGCCCTTACCTCCCCTTTCCAGCCACTAAACCAATAAAAGGGTTAAATCACAACATAACCCAAGCAGAATGAATTGCACCTGAAACAGGAAGCAAGGGACTGTAACCAAAAGGATCTACAAAACCTTGCCTACTTGTAGCCCAGAGAATACTCAAGGACTCGATTCCAAAGGTAGAACATGAAGTTGTATAAGATAGTTTATTTATTTGATAGCACCATCCTGGGATGGTGCTATCCCAGGATAGGAAATCCTGGGATACAGGATTTGATGCCCTTAAAAGAAGACTGAAAGACAACGTAAACATGCTTTAAGATGGTAAAGGCTGCACTATCAGCTTCCCTTCTTTGAGGCTTTGGGACTCAGACTGAGCCACTACTTGCTTCTTTCATCCCTAGCTTGCAGATGGCCTATCGTGGGACTTCAGCTTTTGATAGTGTGAGCCAATTCTCTCTAATAAACTCCCTTTCATATATACATATATCCTATTAGTTCTGTCCCTCTGGAGAACCCTGACTAATACAGACAGCTCCTGGAAGAAATAATAAAGCACGGACCTGCATTAAGTAATAGAGAAATGCCAGGGAGATTAAAAGGCTCAAGTAAGCATGCTTGAACAAATATACTATTCTCAGCCAGAATGCCCATCAGATGACTATACTTCATACAAAGGCACTAAAGATAGACCATTTACCAAGGCTACAAGGAACACATTGGTGAAAGGAAAAACATCACTAAGAAGTTCAGACTTGATGTTCCTCTGAAGGCCAAGACTGATGGTAGAAGGTGGTATTATGGAATGGGCTCACTGACCACAATGGACATGATGGAATCCTGAAAAGATAGATAGGGTAATATCCAATTATTATAAGCCAGGTAGAGGTAATTATAATGTTTGTCAAGGTTGTAGTCACATGCAGGAACACTGACCCTTAGAGAGTTATGAGATAGTTAATAGAACATGGTGTCCAAGGAGTAAAATAGACAGACAGTCAACCAAGAGTATTATTCAGGGTGTACAATCAAAAGAATGGATGCTGGATGATCAGAAGATAGAATGTGTTTACTCCCCACCCCACCACCTACCATCCAAAAATATCTTACTGAGATTCAGGATATGAGCCAGTTTTCAAACCTGGAACCCATATGCTGAAGTGAAAAAACAGATTTCCAGGAGGAACAACCATGTAGCATCATGAAAAGAATATATGATAATGATATTAAAGTCCTTCCACAAAGGTGCCAACAGTCATATCTTTGGATAACCATATACAGGCATTTTAAGGACTGTTGGAAACAGGGTCATTGACACTGAAACGTGCAAAATCAAAGAGCTTTCATGGGCTTTTCTGGAAATAATAGATTGAGTCTTGTCCCAGGTTTGACTCATAGTCTGTCCACTATGTCTGTGATCTACCTAATAGTTATTTTCCAGGTCATAAAATATATAAGTATGATTCACACAGGTGGCTGGCACAACTTCCAGATTGCTCAAGCAATCTGTCCTAGAGGGAAAGCCTCTTGGACTGCAATCCACATTCCCCACCCCAGGCAAGATATCAACTTAAAAACAATTATCCTGATGGTTCTACTTATACGTAGGCTACACAAAGCTGGAAGAGAATGTTGCTGTCACTCTAACCCTGTAAATAAACAACAAAAAACAGATCACTGACAAAACTGTAATTTTTCTGGAACCCAGAGAGCTAACATTACAAAGTCCTGCTGAATTCCATCGAGTGGCAAGCCCCTCCAAAAAGAGACAGGACACAGCAACTATTTCACCTCTGGCAGAGCTTGAGAGGAAGAGGCAACATCCTAAAAGTGGATAAGAAGAAAACATCTAAAATTTTTAAAAAATTTTAAAAGGCTGAGTGTACACTTGCATTAGAATAAAAAGCCAAAGGGAAAAGCAAGCTCTCCCAGTGACGCACTGAGAAATTTGGGCTTCTCATCCCCCACGTTTCTGGACTCTCAGCATTCAGAGATCCTGATTCACAGAAAAGCAGTTTTCTACCAGAAGCCATGGCAAGAATGCCACTGAATTTTAAGCTAATGCTGGGCACTTTGGGATCTTTTTGCAAAAAAATCAGCAGGCAAGATAAGGAGTCACCGTCTTGGCAGAATCCTTTAACATGATCATCAGAGGATTTGGGGTGCTGTCACACAACAATGGGAATGGAGTAATACGTCTGGCATCAAATGAAGCCCTTGGGCACCCTCATGATATTCTTGATCAATTTTTATTGTAGATGCAGCACCTATGGCTGAATCTACAAGGGGCATGGCAAGCAGTGGCTTAGAGTCCTTAGGGACATGCATGGGGGTGATATCACTAGCTAAGCTGCCTGGACTGGCCAAGGGAAATCTAATACTGACAACACACACTGAATAATCTTAGCGGGGGAACCCCCATGAATTCCAATTCCTGTTGTGCATGATAGATTACCAGTGAAGAATAATTATAATCACTTAAATAATTTATTTAATTATTTACATATAAGTAGAATCATCAGGATAATTGTTTTTAAGTTAATATCTTGCCTGGGGTGGGGAATGTGGATTGCAGTCCAAGAGGCTTTCCCTCTAGGACAGATTGCTTGAGCTAAGAAAGCAATCTGGAAGTTGTGCCAGCCACCTGTGTGAATCATATATATTTTATGACCTGGAAAATAACCATTAGGTAGATCACAGACATAGTGGACAGACTATGCGTCAAACCTGGGACAAGACTCAATTTATTAGTTGCAGAAAAGCCCATGAAAGCTCTTTGATTTTGCACGTATCAGTGTCAATGATCCTGTTTCCAACAGTCCTTAAAATGCCTGTATATGGTTATCCAAAGATATGACTGTTGGCACCTTTGTGGAAGGACTTTAGAATCATTATCGTGTGTCATTTATTACTAAATAATAATTTATTTATTTATTTTAGAGTATGCGGGAAATTTGAATAGGTTAAAAAAGTAAAGGGAAAGACTCTTAGAGTCCAGTCCTACATGGTCAAAAGAATAATGTCTATTTTAAATGCTAGCATTCTTATGCCTCCTGTGAAGAAAGAAGGTTTTAACCCAACCTCCTCCTCCACTTTCACTTGCCAGGAGAAAATAAATATTGAGTATGGGAATTAACATTCTCAAATAGAGTTTAAATGTCTCAAACAATTCACCTGCTTTATGTAGTCATATTTCAGTTAAACACTCTGTTGTGGTAGATTCCCACTGTTTCATTTCCAAAACCACTGTGAATGTTTATGTTTATATTCCTTCCTGATTTTGTTAGAAATCAAAGAAAAAAAGGTTCCACAAGAAAACAGCAATGTTTACAATATTTTAAAATATGTTTAAATAGAATAGAGCATCTCTAATCACAAAAGTAAATAATAAACATAAATATCGTCTGATTAATTATAAACATTAACAGACAAAAGCAAAGACTAAAACATTCTTAACAAACTTAATTCAAAAAAGAGGTCTTCTACAGCCTTAGAACACTCATTAAAGCTCAATGTTTACATCTTATAAAGTAATGAGACTTATTTAGCATCCTTTGTAGCTTGCATATTTCAGGCTAATGAATTTCCTTAGAGTTACACAGGATGAAAATCCGTGTAGGAACTACAAATTTCTGTAAAATTACACATACAACGTTACATAGATTAAGACCCTACCTGGGAGTAACAACTTCTAATATACTTGATATGATAAGAATGTGTCCAAGTGAGAATACATACAAGATTCTTCAAAGGACGAGTTAAACTTTAATAAGTTAATAAAAATTAATAAGTTAACATTTTAATAAGAAAAAGTCCATTGAAGTACAGTGATTAATAACTCCAATCTTGTGCTCTATTTTCATGACATCAAGAATGCTACAGATCCCTCAAGGGAGAGAAAAGCAGGCCCTGAATAATGTGTGTTAGGTTATCCCTAAAATAATAACCAAAAAACCCCACAACCAATTTATGACATTCTCTGCTATCATAACTTTTATTGGTTTGAAGAAAGAGAAGACATTTTTCATACGTTTTTCTCAGAACTTGGTTTAAAGCTAGACACTGGAACCCATTCGAATATAAACAACATATATGCAGCATTTTTCAAAAATGTGTGTACGTATAAATACTTATAATGTTATGCACTCCACCTCCATCAAATAAAAGATACAGCAATCCTGATGCTTAATGGCTTAGAGTTGTAAACTCTTTCTAAATGAATGTCTACTGAAATATATAAAGGTAAAACTACATTTATAATGATAAGATAGACTACTTAAGCATTTCAATAAAATTAAATACAAACATAAAATGAATGACTGAAGATATCTGGTCAACCATCAGGAAACAAATTAAAAATTGTAAACTGATCTCAGGCTTTCTGGAATAGAATACAATTTAATATTGGCAAGATAAAATTTCCAGGTTCAAAGAAAAACGTCCCACGGTTATCAAAAATCTCTCATAACATGTTGGAAATAACTCAAACAAAAATAATATTACTTAAAATACTCAGAGGGATAAACTTAAGGGAGAAAGAAGTTTTCAAAATACGTTTTGGGTTTTGCTAAACGCAAAGCATCTCAATGTGAAATTCAATTTTTCCCAGCTCAAAACACTTCCAGGTTCTACAAGGCTTAACACATACACATTTACATTCTTTCTTTTCACCACTCAGGCAGCAATAAAAGTAGCTTTCTAAACCACAATCAGTATTTCTTTGACTCAAAGTAACACAGTTCTCTATGTAGGTCATCATAACTATTGCTACAATCACAGAATGGGAGAAACTCTGACTTTTAAAAGATGAACTACTACAACAATTCTATCTCACAGATAGAAAAAAACGACATTTTGGTAGAAAACATTATGACTGAAATAGTTTTCTTTAAAAGAAATTGACATGACAAAACTCATCATCTCCCCCTTTTAGGCCATTGAATGTGGTAAAATTGACTTAGATTGTTCTCTGGGAAAAAGTCAATACTTCCACATTCACTTAAATATTCATGTACCTAACTATTTTGGCAAAAATAGTCCTTAGCTCAAAAAGAGTAAGGATTGAACCTTAAACAGATAACCTTACTCTATAGAATAGTGGGGAAAAAAGTGTTTTCACCAATCATTGCTTAGTCTGTATTCCTATGTAGAGAATTGATAAATTAGGAATCAGGGATAAGAATTCAGAATTGGCAATAGGAATAGAAAAAGTGTATTCTGAAATCCTTTGGACAACAAGCAGTTTGTTTACTATTACAAGAATGGCAGTCCTTTAGGTATATCATATGATGGCTACTAATGTAATAGTTCTTCAAAAATAGTCAAAACAACCTCTGAAATTTAGATATTTACTTCTTGCTTAGAAATGCTATGTTGTAAAAGAAAAAGACATGTAAACACAAAACTCTTGTTCAGGGAACAAAATTTGGAGACCAAAGACAGGTAAAACGCTCATAGAAAGTTTTCTCTGATGTTTACAACTTAGAGAAGGGATGAAAAGCCGCACTGTATGTGCACTTATTTTTCTTAACAACTCTGTGAGGGTGGTTCGCCCCTTGTAAAGATAACTGAAGTTCAGTGCCGTGAAGACACTTGTCTAAGTTAGAAAGTGGAATTCAAACCTAGGCATTGTATTGTTGTTATGTAAACATCCAAATAAACCTTAAATAGGCTAATCATGACCAGATAAAGGATACACTCAATATAAAGTCTATCTATTGCCTTAAAATTGTTTTCCTTTCCAATTATATCTTAGTACATCAGCTTTGCATTGCTCTACTCCTTTTCTCTATCCAATATTCAGTGTGAATCATCAAATTCCACTGACTCTGCCCTTTACACACCCCTATAACTTTTCTGCCCTTCTAATGTTCCTGTCAGCATGTCCCATCATGCTCTCACCACCTCTGAGCTGAACTAATTAGTAGCTTTCATATTGGCCTCTGGCATGCCACTCAACCAGATTAATCTTCCTGGAATGCTTTTAACATCACTCTTTTGCAAAATGGCTAACAAATATTTCCATCTTTGTTGTGGGCAGTCAGGAACCCCAAACGGAGTGACCGGCCAAAGCCATGGCAGAAGAACATAAATTGTGAGTTCCTCAAATTAATATTTTTATAATTTCTTATGCCTGTCTTTATTGCAATCTCTGAACATAAATTGTGAAGATTTCATGGACATTTGTCACTTCCCCAATCAATGCTCTTATAATTTCCTAGGCCTGTCTTTAATCTCTTAATCCTCTTCATAAGCTGAGGATGTATGTCACCTCAGGATCCTGTGATGATTGTGTTATCTGCACAAATTGTTTGTAGAGCATGTGTGTTTGAACAATATGAAATCTGGGCATCCAAAGGAACAAGATGGCTGCGATTTTCAGGGAACGAGGGAGATAACCATTGGGCCTGACTGCCCGAGGGGCCAGACAGAACAGAGTCATATTTCTCTTCTTACAAAAGCGAATAGGAGAAATATCGCTGAATTCTTTTTCTCAGCAAGGAACAGCCCTGAGAAAAAGAATGCATTCCTAGGGGGAAGTATCTAAACTGGCTGCTCTGGGAATGTCTGTCTTACACGGTTGCAGATAAGGGATGAAATAAGCCCTGGTCTTCTGTAGCGCCCCCAGGCCTGTTAGGACTAGGAAATTCCTGCCTAGTAAATTTTAGTCAGACCAGTTGTCTTCTCTCAAGCCCTGTCTCCTGATAAGATCTTAACAATGATAATGCGTGCCCAGTGGGACATAAAACTTCATCAGCAATTCTAATTTCACCCTGGTCCTGTGATCTCTCTCTGCCCCCATTTGCCTTGTGATATTTTATTGCCCTGGAGGCATGTGATCTCTGTGACCCATACCCTATTTGTACACCCCTCCCCTTTTGAAATCCATAATAAAAACTTGCTGGTTTTGCAGCTCAAGGGACGTCACGGAACCTGCCGACATGTGATGTCTCCCCCAGAAACCCAGCTTTAAAATTTCTCTCTTTTGTAGTCTTTCCCTTTATTTCTCAGACCAGCCGACACTTAGGGAAAATAGAAAATAACCTACATTGAAATATCGGGGGCTGGTTCCCCCGATACATCTTCCCTGGTAAGATTTCTCAGAGTGTGAACATTAGAATTAATTGGAAAGTTACAAAAAAATGTTGATTCCTGAGCCTAACCTGTTGCCACTGGAACATATGTGTGATGACAGAACCCATAAATCTGCATTTTAACTGGAATGCTGGGTGACTTCCATAAGCCACAAAGTTAGGAGGTCCCCACACCTCAAAGTCTGGTTTGATCCTTTGCTCCAGTCTTGTCAGCTTTCCAATCGTCTAGTGATCATGGCTTTGTTCTACCCTTTTGTCTTTATTGAGGTGGTTTGCTAGTGCTCCCTGTCCTCTAATCCTTCTTTTTTTTTTTTTTTTTTTGAGATGGAGTCTTGCTCTGTTGTCCAGGCTGGAGTGCAGTGGCACAATCTGAGCTCACTGCAACCTCCACCTCCCAGGTTCAAGCAGTTCTCTGCCTCAGCCTCCCAAGTAGCTGGGATTACAGGCGCCCACCACCACACCCAGCTAATTTTTGTATTTTTAGTAGAGACAGGGTTTTGCCATCTTGGCCACGCTGGTCTTGAACTCCTGACCTCGTGATCCACCCACCTCAGCCTCCCAAAGTGCTGGGATTACAAGTGTGAGCCACTGCACCCGGTCTAGTCCTTGTATTTTCTAAGTTCAACTCAATGTCCTTCATGCTACCACTCTTAATACTATGATGTGCTCTAGAATTTCAGGTAAGTGAGCATTCCACATCAAATTCTTAGATGGCAATATAGTAAAGTATGAATAGAAGATACATGTGCCTGTCTTTGTAAATAGTGGTTAACATTCTTTCTCAGTGACTCACTGTAGGCAATGTGAACGTTATTGGAAACTGCAGGAATACGTATCTATGCTGACATGAAGGTGCCCATCTCCTCCTCTGATCATGTAGGGTACTTCTCTCCAGCCATTGCTATTTACCTCCAAAACCTTTTCTCAGTCCTTTTCTAGTTCTCAGACTCAATATGCTGTGGGTTAATGCAGCTGATAAGTAAGCTTATTAAAAATACTGTGCTAAGAAAGAGTCAATAAGACTCTGATAGAAAATCCAAGAAATAAAGTGCCCAATTTAACACAGGGTTTTGTGACACAGATTTGTGTTGGATATTGGAGTCCTACATTTATTGCAAAATTCAAAGCTGTGCTCCATAGGGTTGAAATAGCTCTAAATCTGACTTTAGAGTAAAGGGGTGTTGACATAAAATCTTTTGCAAAGAGATTTTTGTATGTAGGGTTTTTAAAGTAAATATAACCTCATCAAAAATTATCTAAACTTATCTACAAAGAAACATATTATGTCTTTTCAGAGTCTAAATACTATCCCAACATGATATACCTATATTTAGAATTTAATTATTCTAATTTAACATAGAAACAAAGTCAAGGACAGACTAAAAATGCAGTTTTTGAAATCTAAATGATTTGAACATAACCAGATAACATCAATCAACATAATTTCATATATTAAAAATAAAAATATATAAATGCTTAAAATTATACATGGGTAATTAAGATAGATGGATCTATTTATTTTTATTGCATTTATTTATTTATTTACTTATTTATTTATTTTTGAGACACGGTCTTACTCTGTCACTCAGTCTGGAGTGCAGTGGTGTGATCATGGCTCACTCTAACCTCTAACACCTGGGCTTAAGCAATCCTCCCACCACAGCCGCCTGAATAGCTAGGACTACTGTCATGCACCACCATGCCCAGCTAATTGTTGTTGGTGATTTTTGTTTCTGTAGAGACAAGGTCTCTTATTGCTTCCCAGGCTCCTGTCCTCCCGGCTCCTGTCCTCAAGCTAGCCTCGCACCTCAGCCACTAAACATGCTGGGATTATAGGTATGAGTTGTCACACCTAGCCTTGACTGTACTTTTGGAAAGTATCTTGAATACTCATACAACAACCCTCGGAGGTAGGAATTGCAACATGTGAGACTAAATATAAGAGAGATTTAATAACTATCCAGAGTTACATCTCAAACATCAAGGCTGGAGGAACCCAGATCTGCATGATGAATTTAAAGTCAAAGCTCTTAGGTCCATCATGCCCAAACACATGCAGTCACAGACAAACATACCTAGAGGCATTAAGTGTTGATACTTTATAGCTTGTACATTACAATGTTGCTCTCATAACATTTTATGCATAATTATCCTCATAACTAACTTACTATGTGTAACTAGCACCAAAGTTAGTATGGTGAAAATAATTTTACACAACAGCCTATTAAATCATTCAGTTATTTTCCCCTGATTTTGAAAAACTGATGAAGATATTGAAACTCAGAAATTCAGCCAGTAAATCACAGAACAGATTCAAACCCAGACAGTCTGATTCCAGAGCCCAAGTATTTAACCATGATGACTTTCCTAGTATCTTTCTTTTGAAGCACTTAATTCATTTTAATGTATATGCTAAGATGTATCTCCCCATTAGGTAGTAAAATTTTAATGAGACTCTGCCAAATGTAGCCTAAAATTTTGAGATTCTAGTATACAGCATGGCAGATGGGAGATTTGCAGTAGGAGATACTGAAACACACCTCTCATAAAGATATGGTTTAACACATGTTATTTCAGTAATTGCTGAAATTTTTAATAACGTGCAGCTGAACTGATATCTCCATGTCTTCCATTCTTCCACTTCTCCCCAACCACACATTTTCACTTCATCAGGTCCATACTGAGCCAAGCACAGCTGCTCCCAATCTGTAAACCTGAGCACTGTCACTGTGGAAACATGTTCTCTTCTATCCTACCAGGCGAAGACAGAGTGTGTTATCTGTTGAGCATCACTTGTACTCCTTATAATTTATGATAAATTATAGACAATTATGGTCCTTTCAGTCTTCCAAAAATTCTGTGTATTTCTTTCCTTCCCCTGGATTACCTTTTCTTGTTAATTTATTATTCTTCAATTCTCAATTAAAAAATCTTAAAATTACAACATTTAAGTTCAACATATCTGAGCTGTAAGGAGAATATAATCTCCCCCACTTACCTGATAAAGAGAGAAAAAAATGATATATGAAAAGCATAAAGTACTGAAAATGCCATCATGAAAAGAAACTATAATCCAAATATTTGCTCATTTCAGCCTTTGTTCAAGAATATGGAATCTTAAAAACCTAGATTCTCCAACTCAACAGTTCTTTTCTTTTTTTGTTCAACTTTTATTTTAGATTCTGGCTGGGGGATGGGGGTACATGTGCAGGTTTGTTATAAAAGTATATTGAATGATTCTGAGGTTTAAAGTATGACAGAACTCCCGGGCATTTGGCATAGTACCCAATAGATAGTTTTCTATTCCTTGCCTGTCTTGCCTGTCTCCTTCCCTCTCCCTCTTGTATTCCCCAGTATTTATCTATTGATCTATTGTTCCCATCTTTACATTCATGAGTACCTAATGTTTAGCTACCACTTTTTTTTTTTTTTTTTTTTTTTTTTGAGACAGAGCCTCGCTCTGTCACCCAGACTGGAGTGCAATGGCACGACCTCAGCTCACTATAACCTCCGCCTCCTCGGTTCAAGTGTTTCTTGTGCCTCAGTCTCCCTAGTAGCTGGGATTACAGGCACGTGCCACCATGCCTAGCTAATTTTTGTACTTTTAGGGAGACATGGTTTCAGCATGTTGGCCAGGCTGGTCTCAAACTCCTGACCTCAAATGAGAGCATTTGGTATTTGGTTTTCTGTTCCTGTGTTTGTTCCCTTAGGATAATTGCCTCCAGCTGCATCCATGTTGCTGCAAAGAACATGATTTCTTTCTTTTCTTTATGACTGGGTTGTATTCCATGGTGTATATGTACCACGTTTTCTTTATCCAGTCCACCATTGATGAGCACCTGGCTTACCTTGCTACTGTAAATAGTGCTGCAATTATCATGCAGATGCTTATATCTGGTAGATCAATTTATTTTCCTTTGGGTATATACCCAGTAATAAGAGTGCTGGGTTACATGGTAATTTGACTCTCAGTTCTTCGAGAAATCTCCAAACTGCTCTCCACAGTGGCTGAACTAATACATTCCCACCAACAGTGTGTAAGGGTTTCATTCTCTCTGCCAGCACAGCCAACACCTGTTATTATTTGACTTTTTAACAAAAGCCATTATGAGTGGTGTAAGATGGTGTCTCACTGTAGTTTTGATTTCCCATTTCTAATGATTAGTGATGTTGAGAATTTTTTCATACTTTTGTTCACCACTTGTATGGCTTCTTTTGAGAAGTGTCTGTTAATGTCCTTTGCCCACATATTAATGGAGTTATTTATTTTTTGTTTATGGATTTAAGTTCCTTGTGCATTCTGAATATTAGGTCCTTTTTAGATAAACAGTTTGAAAATATTTTCTCCCACTCCATAAGCTTCTTGTTTACTCTGTTGACAGTTTCTCTTTTTGTTCAGAAGCTCTTCAATTTGATTAGATCCCACTTGTTAATTTTTGTTTCTATTGCAATTTTTTTTAGAACATAGCCATAAATTTTTTGCCAATGTCAAGAAGAACATTTCTTAGTTTTTCTTCCAGGATTTTTGTATTTTGAGGTCATGTTTCTTCGATGTCTAGTTTTTGAGGGTTTTTATCCTGAAGGGAGGCAGGATTATATCAAAAGCTTTTTCTGCATCTACTGAGATGATCATATATATTTTTAAATTGTGTTTACACTTAATTCTTTAATCCATCTTGAGTTAATTTCTGTATATGGTGACAGGTAGAGATCAAGTTTCATTCTTCTGCATATGGCTAGCCAGTTATCCACACACCACTTATTTAATAAGGTGTCCTTTCCCCTCTGCTTATTTTTGCCAAGTTTGTTGAAGATCAGATGGTTGTAGGTATGCAGCTTTGTTTCTGGGTTCTCTGCTCTATTCCACTGGTCTTTGTGTCTGTTTTTGTACCAGTACCATGCTATTTTGGTTACTGTAGCCTTGCAGTATAGTTCAAAGTCAGGTAATGTGATGCCTCTGGCTCTGTTCTTTTTGGATAGGATTACTTTAACTATTTAGGCTCTTTTGGGGTTCCATATGAATTTTAGAATAGTTTTTTCTAATTCAGTGAAAAATGACATTGGCAGTTTGACAGGAATCATGCTGAATCTGTAAATTACTTTGGGCAGTATGGCCATTTTAAGAATATTGATTCTTCCAATCATGAGCACAGAAGGTTTTTCCATTCGTTTGTGACATGTCTGATTTCTTTCAACTGTGTTTTGTAGTTCTCCTTGTATAGATCTTTCACCTCCTTTGTAAGGTGTATTTCTAGATATTTTATTCTTTCTGTGGCTAATGTAAATGGGACCGTGTTCTTGACTTAGTTCTCAGCTTGAACATTGTTAGCGTGTAAAAATGCTACTGATTTTTTTATGGTGATTTTGTATCCTGGAACTTTACTGAAGTTGTTTATCAGTTCTAGGAGCCATTTGGTGGGATCTTTAGGGTCTTCTAGGTATTGAATCATATTGCCAGTGAAGAGACATAACTTCACTTCATTTCCTACTTAGATGCCTGTTATTTCTTTCTCTTGCCTGATTATTCCGGGTAGAACCTCCAGTACCATGTTCAAGTAGGAATGGTGAGAGTAGGCATGCTTGTCTTGTTCCAGTTCTCAAGGGAATGGCTTCCAGTATTCCTGTTCAGTATGGCCTGTTCAGTATGATGTTGGCTCTGGGTTTGTCAGAGTTGACTCTTATTATTCTGAGACATGTTTCTTCGATGCCTAGTTTGTTGAGGGTTTTTATCCTGAAGGGAGGCGGGATTATATCAAAAGCTTTTTCTGCATCTATTGAGATGATCATATATATTCTTAAATTGTGTTTATGTGGTGAATTACATTTATTGATTTGAAAATGTCGAAACAACCTTGCATCCCAGGAATAAAACCTATTTGATTGTGGTGAATTAACTTTTTGATATGTTGCTGGATTTGTTTTGCTAGTATTTTGTTGAGAATTTTTGCATCTATGTTCATCAGGAATATTGGCTTGAAGTCTTCTTTTTTCGTTGTGTCTCTGCCAGATTTTGGTATCAGGATAATGCTGGCTTCCTAGAATGAGTTAGGGAGGAGTCCCTCCTCCTTCACTTTTGGAATAGTTTCAGTAGAACTGGTACCAGTTATTTGTACATCTGGTAGAATTTGGCTGTAAATACATCTATTCTAGGGTTTTTGTTTGCTTGTTTACAGTTTTTTTGCTATTGATTCAGTTTCACAATTCATTATTGGTCTGTTCAGGGTTTCAATTTCTTTCTGGTTTAATCTTGGGAGGTTGTGTGTTTCCACTACATTTTCTAGTTTGTGAACATAGGAGTTTCATAATAGTCTCTGAGGAATTTTTTGTTTATCCGTGGGATCTGCTGTAATATCATTTTGTCATTTCTAATTGGGCTATTTTGGATCTTCTTTCTATTTGTTAATCTAACTAGTGATCTACCAATCTTGTTTATTCTTTCAAACAACCAACTTGATTTTGCTGAACTTCTGTATGGATTTTTGGGTCTTTATTTCATTCAGCTCTGCTCGAATATAGTCATTTATTTTCTTCTGTTACCTTTCGGGTTAGTTTGTTCTTGTTTCTTTAGTTCCTTTGGTGTGATATTTGATCATTAATTTGAGATATTTCTAATTTCTTGAGGTAGGTGTTTAGTACTATAAGCTTTCCTATTAACACAGCTTTTGCTGCATCCCAAAGATTTAGGTATGTTGTGTCTCCGTTTTCACTAATTTCAAATAACTTTTTTATTTCTGCCTTAATTGTGTGTTTCATCCAAGTCATTCAGGAGCAAGTTGTTTAATTTCCATGCAATAGTGTGGTTTTGAAAGATACTCCTGTTATTTGTTTCTATTTTTATTGCACTGTGGTCCAAGAGTATGCTAGATATTATTTCAACTTTTTCAAATTTATTGAGACTTGTTTTATGGCCAAGCATGTGGTTGATCTTCAAGTATGTTCCATGTGGAGATGAGAAGAATGTATATTCTTTAGTTGTTGGGAGGAATATTCTATAGATGTCTATTAGATGCAACTGGCCAAGTGTTGAGTTAAAAGAGAATAAAATACTTAGGAATCCAACTTACAAAGGACATGAAGGACCTCTTCAAGGAGAACTACAAACCACTGCTCAATGAAATAAAAGAGGATACAAATAAATGGAAGAACATTCCATGCTCATGGGTAGGAAGAATCAACATCGTGAAAATGGCCATACTGCCCAAGGTAATTTATAGATTCAATGCCATCCCCATCAAGCTACCGATGACTTTCTTCACAGAATTGGAAAAAACTACTTTAAAGTTCATATGGAACCAAAAAAAAGCCCGCATCGCCAAGTCAATCCTAAGCCAAAAGAACAAAGCCGGAGGCATCATGCTACCTGACTTCAAACTATACTACAAGGCTACAGTAACCAAAACAGCATGGTACTGGTACCAAAACAGAGATATAGATCAATGGAACAGAACAGAGCCCTCAGAAATAACGCCGCATATCTACAACTATCTGATCTTTGACAAATCTGAGAAAAACAAGCAACGGGGAAAGGATTCCCTATTTAATAAATGGTGCTGGGAAAACTGGCTAGCCATATGTAGAAAGCTGAAACTGGATCCCTTCCTTACACCTTATACAAAAATTAATTCAAGATGGATTAAAGACTTAAACGTTAGACCTAAAACCATAAAAACCCTAGAAGAAAACCTAGGCATTACCATTCAGGACATAGGCATGGGCAAGGACTTCGTGTCTAAAACACCAAAAGCAATGGCAACAAAAGACAAAATTGACAAATGGGATCTAATTAAACTAAAGAGCTTCTGCACAGCAAAAGAAACTACCATCAGAGTGAACAGGCAACCTACAAAATGGGAGAAAATTTTTGCAACCTACTCATCTGACAAAGGGCTAATATCCAGAATCTACAATGAACTCAAACAAATTTAAAAGAAAAAAACAAACAACCCCATCAAAAAGTGGGCAAAGGATATGAACAGACACTTCTCAAAAGAAGACATTTATGCAGCCAAAAGACACATGAAAAAATGCTCATCATCACTGGCCATCAGAGAAATGCAAATCAAAACCACAATGAGATACCATCTCACACCAGTTAGAATGGCAATCATTAAAAAGTCAGGAAACAACAGGTGCTGGAGAGGATGTGGAGAAATAGGAACACTTTTACACTGTTGGTGGGACTGTAAACTAGTTCAACCATTGTGGAAGTCAGTGTGGCGATTCCTCAGGGATCTAGAACTAGGAATACCATTTGACCCAGCCATCCCATTACTGGGTATATACCCAAAGGACTATAAATCATGCTGCTATAAAGACACATGCACACGTATGTTTATTGTGGCACTATTCACAATAGCAAAGACTTGGAACCAACCCAAATGTCCAACAATGATAGACTGGATTAAGAAAATGTGGCACATATACACCATGGAATACTATGCAGCCATAAAAAATGATGAGCTCATGTCCTTTGTAGGGACATGGATGAAATTGGAAATCATCGTTCTCAGTAAACTATCACAAGGACAAAAAACCAAACACCGCATGTTCTCACTCATAGATGGGAATTGAACAATGAGAACACATGGACACAGGAAGGGGAACATCACTCTGGGGACTGTTGTGGGGTGGGGGGAGGGGGGAGGGATAGCATTAGGAGATATACCTAATGCTAAATGACGAATTAATGGGTGCGGCACACCAGCATGGCACATGTATACGTATGTAACTAACTGGCACATTGTGCACATGTACCCTAAAACTTAAAGTATAATAATAATTTAAAAAAAAAAAAAAAGAATGATCCAATGGACTTAGGGTACTTGGGTGGAAGAGTAGGATGGGGACGAGCGATAAAAGTCTACAAATATGGTGCAGTGTATACAGCTCGGGTGATGGGTGCACCAAAATCTCATCAATCTCTACTAAACAACTTACTCATGTAACCAAATATCACCTGTACCCCAATAACTTATGGAAAAATAAAAGTAAATAAATAAATTACATTTAAAAAGGTAAAAAAAAAAATCCAGAATTTCTTTGTTGATATTCTGCCTCAATGATCTGTCTAAAGCTGTTAGTGGAGTGCTGAAGTTCCCCCACTATTATTGTGTGGCTACATTTTTTCATAGGTCTAGAAGTGCTTGTTTTATAAGTCTGGGTGCTGTAACATTGGACGCCTATATATTTAGGATAGTAAAGTCTTCTTGTGAATTGAATCCTTTACCACTATGTAATGCCCTTCTTTGTCCTTACTGACTATTGTTGGTTTAAAGTCATTTTGTCTAATGTAAGAACAACAACCCCTGCTCTTTTTAATTTCCATTTGCTTGATAGATCTTTCTCCTTCTCTTTACTTTGAGCCTGTGGGTATCATCACATCTGAGATGGGTCTCTTGAAGACAGCAATTGGTTGGGTCTTATTTTTTTGTCTAACTTGCCACTCCGTGCCTTTTAAGTGGGGTGTTTAGATTGTTTACATTTAAGGTTAATACTGATATTTGAGGTTTTGATCCTGTCTGTGGTTAGCTGGTTGTTTTGTAGATGCAATTGTGAAGCTGCTTTATAGGGTCTGTGGGCTATGTACTTTAGTGTGTTTTTGTGGTATCAGGTATTGCGGGAAGTCAGGGACCCCAAACAGAGGGACCGGCTGGAGCCACAGCAGAGGAACATAAATTGTGAAGATTTCATGGACATTTATCAGTTCCCAAATTATACTTTTATAATTTCTTATGCCTATCTTTACTTTAATCTCTTAACCCTGATATCTTTGTAAGCTGAGGATGTACATCACCTCAGGACCACTGTGATAATTGTGTTAACTGTACAAATTGATTGTAAAACGTGTGTTTGAACAATATGAAATCAGTGCACCTTGAAAAAGAAGAGAATAACAGTGATTTTTAGGGAACAAGGGAAGACAACCATAAGGTCTGACTGCCTGTGAGGTCAGGCAAAAAAAGTCACTTTTCTTCTTGCAGAGAGCCTATAAATGGACGTGCAAGTAGGAGAGATATTGCTAAATTCTTTTCCTAGCAAGGAATATTAACATTAATACCTTGGGAAAGGAATGCATTCCTGGGGGGAGGTCTATAAACGGCCGCTCTGGGAATGTCTGTCTTACGTGGTTGAGATAAGGACTGAGATACACCCTGGTCTCCTCCAGTACCCTCAGGCTTATTAGAGTGGGGAAAAACTCCACCCTGGTAAATTTGTGGTCAGATCGGTTCTCTGCTCTCGAACCCTGTTTTCTATTGTTTAAGATGTTTATCAAGACAATACGTGCACCACTGAACAGAGACCCTTATCAGTAGTTCTGCTTTTGCCCTTTGCCTTGTGATCTTTGTTGGATCCTTGTCAGTAGTTCTGCTTTTGCCATTTGTCCTGTTCCCTCAGAAGCATGTGATCTTTGTTCTGCTTTTTGCCCTTTGAAGCATGTGATCTTTGTATCTACTCCCTGTTTTACACCCCCTCCCCTTTAGAAACCCTTAATAAAAAGCTTGCTGGTTTGAGGCTCAGGTGGGCATCACGGTCCTACTGATATGTGATGTCACCCCCAGTGGCCCAGCTGTAAAATTCCTCTCTTGGTACCCTTTCTCTTTATTTCTCAGCTGGCCAACACTTATGGAAAATAGAAAGAACCTACATTGAAATATTGGGGGCAGGTTACCCTGATAATCAGGTAGTGTTCTTTCATTTCCATGTTTAGAACTCCTTTAAAGACCTCTTGTAAGGCTGGTCTAATGGTATCAACTTCCCATAGCATTGCTTTTCTGGAAAAGATTTTATTTTTCCTTCACTTATGAAACTTAGTTTGGCAGCATATGAAACTCTTGGTTGAAATTTCTTTCAATAAAGATGCTGAATATAGGTCCCCAGTCTCTTCTAGCTTGTAGCCTTTCTGCTAAGTCTGCTGTTAGCCTTATGGGTTTCCCTTTGTAAATGGCCTGCCCCTTTTCTCTAGCTTCCTTTAATAATTTTTTCTTTCTCATTGACCTTGGAGAATCTGATGACTATGTGTCTTTAAATGAATCATTTTATGCAATATCTCCCAGGAGTTTTCTGAATTTACTGAATTTTCATGTTGCCCTCTCTAGTGAGACTAGGGAAATTTTCATGGACCATATTGTCAAATACCATTTTCCAAATTGCTTACTCTCTCTTATCTCTCAGGAATGCCAATAAGTCACACATTTGGGCTCTTTATATCTTATATTTCTTGGAGATTTTGTTCATTTTATAATTTCTTTTTTCTTTCTTTTTATTTTTATTTTAATTTTTTGGTCTGATTGGGTTGATTTGAAGGACTGGTCTGCAAGCTCCAAGATTCTTTTCTCAGCTTGCTCTATTCTGTTGTTACTGATTCCACCTCTATTATGAAATCCTTGCAATGAAATTTTCAATACCAGAGTTCAACTGGTTTTTTCTTAAGATGGCTACGCTGTCTTTCAACTCCTGTATCATTTTAGTGGCTTACATGGATTGTGTTTCAACTTTCTCCTGAATCTTAATTCTGTCTATCATTTCAGCCATTTCAGTCTGGTTAGGAACCATTGCTGGGGACCTAGTGTGACAGCTTGGAGGTAAGGAGACACTCTTACATTTTGAATTGCCATTGCCAGAATTCTTGCGTTCATTATCTCTCATCTGAGAGGGCTGATGTTCCTTTATCTTTGTGAAGTTGCTGTCAATTGGATGGGGTTTTTTGTTTCTATATTCCTTATTTCTCTTGGGGTTTGACCATAGTTTATATTGAGTGCAGTCAATTACCTTTGTTTCTGGGTGCTTTCAGAGTGCCAAGGCTCTCTATGGGATATTTATTTCCAGCAAGGTTCCTGACTTGGGTTTCATATGCAATGTGTGCATTTTCTGGTTTCCAGGGTGTCCTGACATCTTAGCTGTGGCTCTCCCAATACCTGCAGGTCACAGGGCAAGAGAGGTCTGGCAAAGTTACATAGGCATCCAAAAGCAGAGGACACAGAGCCATGAAGAAGAAACCAGAATCCAGTTCTTTTCTTTCTTTCGCTCTCACACTCCTAATGCTGTGCTTTACTGTGTTTTTCTCCCAGTACTATTATTAAGTTTGTGGTCATAATTTTTTCCATTTATCTTTTTATAAGCCCATCAATATTTTCTGGAATCATAAAAAATCTTCATTTTGGAGAACCTACTTATTCCTTCTAAGTGTATTTATCCCTTCCACTCCTCTCAAGCGTGTATGTGTTCTGGGTATTTCAGACAAATAGTCAATCTCACCCCAAAACATTCTTAAAATCCTCCTCCTCTCCCCATATCCTTTTGTTTCTCTTCTTATTATTGGGTAATGTTGTATAGCCGTTGGCAATATTCTGATATCCAGCCAGTTAGTGAATATTTGAATGAAGCCAGCCATTATTTGAGGAGTTAAATAAAGATCTCAAAAAAGACATAATAAAAGTAAATCTTGAGTTTAAAAGTAAAAACAGTAAGATAATATCCAAATTAGGAATTCAGCCATCAGAGTAAAATTGAAAAGAAATAAATAAATTAGGTGAGCACCAATGTTTGAAAACAAAGATCACTTTTGAAAAGTAAAAATATAAGAAAATATTATCACTCTTTATTACAAGAGATTTTGCCACAGGATCCCTTCTTGGGCTTAGAACCTTACGTTTCCAATGTAATTATAATTTCAATTATAAAATGCTAACATTCACATAATTCCATTTCAGAAACCCCTTCTCCCTTAAAAAGCTGCAAAAGGAGATTTAAAGAAAAGTACACTCCAGTGTTAAATAAAGAGGTGTGTAAATGGCATTTCGTCCTTGACTAGACTGAGTGAAATTCACTCTATTCATTTGTACATAATATTTATATATATATATATATATATGACAGAGCAAATAGATGACCTATCTCGAAGGTGTTTCCTTCTTTCTTTTTTTTTTTTTTTTCTAAATGAAAAAGAAATACCACTGCAGTTAACATCTCTGCAAATGGAAAGCAACAACAACAAAACCAGCTGGATGCTGCAGCATGAGGTGATATATAAATAGATGCTCCGTCAAGAGAACATAGCTGAGGAGAGGCAGGTAGAAATTAGCTCCTGGTGCTGCAGTGTTGGCAAAGTCCATCAGACTCCAGATGGAGAGGGAAGCATGGGGGAGCTGCAGCATGTGAAAGCACAGGCTGTCCATCTGGCTGTACCTCACGGTTCCTGAAAACTGCAGGTTGGGCAACAACCCGAACAACAACAATAAATACCAAAGGACAAATACTATATACACTCACTTGGACCCGTCTCCCACACATGACCTAAAGCTATAGTTTAGTTTCAACATGTAGAAGTCACTCATCCTTTCACCATGGCACTCTGATAATCATGATATCAAACCTAATACTTTTTGTATTATGGCTTCAACAAAACAACAACTGCTTTTAACATCTTATTCTGACCTTCATTTTGATTTGATATTTTTAGACTTGTTTTGTGTTTGAAAACATCTGCCAAAAAAAGTTTGAATCCACCAGGGTTAGAAGTAAGTAAACGTACACAAGTGACGTTGGAAATTGAAGCAAAAAATGTCAGCAATGAAATCTATATAACACCTCAAGTTTTCTGTTTCTTTTAAAACCCATTCTTGCTCTTTAGTGGGGGGATGCTATGTCCATTATAATTTGAAGGAAAAATGACATTTTTTCTTTAAATTTTTTTATTTTTTTGACTTTTGAAAACATTGATTACCCCCCCAGCCACCAATAATATGAAATATAATGAATGAATATTTTGGCAGTGCCAATTTTATCATGCCTTCCACTGACTACTAATACATTAGAATCATGAAAACAATAACTGTTGGTGTCCTTAGAAGGAGTACACTATTCTGGGGCTATAACTTCATGTCTTTATTTATATTTTCAAAACTTTGAATTCATCCATTCTCATCAGTCTTAAAAATAAATCTGTGAGATGCAAGGGAAATTATTAAGTGAGGGGTCCCAATTCATAAACTGAAAATCAATATTTAAAACCCACTATTTCCTTCCCTGTCTACTTCATCCCATAACTATTCAAACCATTGTTTAAAATATTCAAGTTAATGCATAATTTAGAATTAACTCCCAAGCAAGTTTTCTTCAAAACCAGAATACAATATAATCTAATGTTCCAAATGCTTTCTGGAAGCTGTACAAAAATGTTTAAAAGTTATACTGAATCCATAATATTTTGTAGTTTTAATAGATCAACAATATGGACAAGGAACTATAAAGTACTGCAGAAATTTAGTATGATCCTTTAGTATTTTTCAGATTTAGAAGAGCATCATTTCACATTTTCCTTGACTTGGCCAACATTGTGGAGTTTGTAAGAATAATTTGGTGAGCAGGAAATTCTCCCTTTTTAATCACATGGGAAATATTTGTACCACAAGTACTATTTGTAATTTTGAAAAGTCAACTTTTTATTTCTATCTCTTAAGAGCTACCTCAACATAAAACATAACAGAGCAGTTTTTCAGATTTATAATAAAAGGGTAAAAATAAGTACAATGCCACATAAAGAATGGTACAAAGTAGATTAGTAGTGCTCTAGCACTGTGCTCTCTTTTAAGATCAACAACATTGCTATAAAAAGAAAAAAAATTATCAACAACTACAATTAGATTAACTTGGTAATAATGGATCAATTATTATAATAGAGTTCTGGAATATAGCAAGATGTTTATATTCATTGCCTGGAAAACTTCACTCCAGTGTAGAACACAATGGCTGAGTAGGGAGCTTATGAAAGCACTCAGGCCCACAGGAACTGTCTCCACTACCAGTAGCACCAAGACCTGAAGTCATACACAACTTAGTCAAATTCTTCTCCTCCACATAAGTACTATGTCATTAGGGTAACACATCTAATATAGCTCTTTCTTTTTAACATGACATGGTGTCCTCTTGAGACTCTTTCTCTTCTTGAAAGATCACCTAGACCTTCTTGAATGTAGCCACTGACCACATTCACTGCCCATGGCATTAACTGTCTAAATGAAGATAATAACTGGCATTAGCTGTGCATGGGCCAATTATGACCAAGACAGACTTTTTGTTAGGGGTTCCATTCCATTCCTGCCAGCAGTCTGAGTCGAAGATTCCCCTATGTTTCAGCACTACACCACAGACTGCCCAGACATCATCTGGCCACTATTTTTCTCATTCGAATTCCTTACTCTAATCCCAACCCTCCTGCATCTGACATTTTCTCTGTTTGTAAGATTTTAAACAGTAATTCAATTTATTTAATAGGTGTAGGCTATTCAGGTTATCATTTCTTTATGGGTAAGGTTTTGTAGTTTACATCTTTCAAATAATTTGTCTATTTCATCTAGTCTTTCAAATGTATGTGCATAGAACTTTCATAGTTTTCCATTTTTTGTGATGCTAATATCAGTAATTACATCCCCTCTTTTCATTCCTGGTATTTGTAATTTGTGCATTATTTTTCACTTGGTCAATCTGGTTAGAACTTTATCAATGTTATTGATTTTGTTCCCAAAGAATCAGCTTTTGGTTTCATTGATTTTTCTCTAATGTCTGTCTCTTTCGAGCTTAAATGACTTTTGCTTTGATCTTTATGATTTCCTTCCTTGTGCTTGCTTTAGGTTTTCTGTTCTTTTTCCAGATTCTGTAGGTAGAAGCTAAAATTATTGATCTGAGAACTTTTTAAATATAAGCATTTAATGCTATAAATTCTCCCCTAAGAACTGTTTTAGCAACATCACAAATATATTGATGTTGCATATATATTTTCTTTCAGTTCAAAATATTTCCTCCCTTCCTTTGATATTTCTTCTTTGACCTTTTGAGTATTTATTGATATGTTATATACGTTATTTAATATTTCCAAATATGTGAGATTTTTAACATATCCTTCTGTTGTCAACTTCTACTTTACCTCTATTATTGTAAAAGTTGAATAATTTCGATTTTTTAACTTAGATATTTTTTACAAACAATGTTGTCTATCTTGGTGAATGTTCCATGCATACTTGAAGGAATCTCTATTCTGCTGTTGTTGGGTAAAATGTTCTATAAATATCAACTGGGTCATGTTGAATGATGATGATGCTCAAGTTTTCCAAATATATTTGCTCATTTATCGCCTATTTGTTCTACCAATAAGTGACAAAGGGAATGCTAAAGTCTCCAAATGCAATGGTGTATTTCTCTCTCTTTTCAGTTCTTGCTTCATATCTTGTGATAATTTGTGGTAAAAATAAATAAAACAACAAACAAAAAAACCTATATAAATAGTTCTGAGTTGCTAAGTTGACACTTTTTACATAATATTCCTTCTTCTCCCTGGTAATTATCCTGGTTCTGAAGTCTTCTTTATTTGATATTAATATTGACACTCTAGCTTTTGTTTTAATTTGAGTTTGTGTGGTATATTTTTTCCATCCTTCTATTTTTAACTTAATAGTATAATGATAGTTAAGTTTCCAGTAGAAAGCATACAATTGGGCCTTTCTTTTATATCCAATCTGATCATCTCTGCCTTTTAATGGTGTGGCTAGATCATTTACATTTAATGTGGTTATTAATATGTTTGGATTTATGCCTGCCATTTTATTATTATTTTTCTACTTGTCGTTTACGTTTTGTTGTTGATATAATTTGGCTGTGTCCCCACCCAAATCTCACCTTGAATTGTATCTGCCATAATTCCCACATATTGTGGGAGGGACCCGGTGGGAGATAATGGAATCATGGCAGTGGTTTCCCCCATGCTGTTCTTGTGGTAGTGAATAAGTACCATGAGACTATATTGGTTTCACAGGAAGAAACCCCTTTTGCTTGACTCTCTCTGTTCTCGTCTGCCACCATGTGAGATGTACCTTTCACCTTCTGCTGTGATTGTGAGGCTTCCCCAGCCACGTGGAACAATCTCTTTCTTTTGTAAATTGCTCAGTCTCGGGTATGTCTTTATCAGCAGCATGAAAACGGACTAATACAGTTGTATGAGTTTTCTATCACTGCTGTAGCAAATTAGCAGAGTGGCTTAAAACAATACTCATTTATTATTTCATAGTTTCTGTTGGTCAGAAGTCTGGAGACAGTGTGGCTCAGTTAGTGTCTCTGTTTAGAGCTTCATAAGGCTGAAATCAAGGTATTAGTAGGGCTACATTTTTTTGTGAAGGTTCTGGAAAAAATCGGCTTCTAATCTCACTCAAGTAAATTCAAAAAATTCAGTTCCTTGCATCAACAGAGTGGAGGTGCCTGGTTTCTTCACTGGCTGTTAGTTGGGAACATTCCTCAAATCTTTATATTACCTGCATTTCTCCTCACCTTGCCCTCCGGTAACAGTGGGTTGGGTCTTTCTCATGTTCCCAGTCTCTCTTACTTCCCCTTTTGATGAATTTTTCTAATTCTTTGCCTTGCTTTTCTATTTTTAACAGATCATTTAATTACAGTAGGTCCATTCAGATAATCCAGGATAATCTTCCTATTTTAATATCAGGTGATTACATCTTAATTATATCTGAAAAGTCCCTTCACAGCTATACCTGTATCATCACTTGATTGAATAACCAGAAGAGAGGAAGCCTGAGGAAATATCTTTAGAATTATGTCTACCACAGTCTTCCCTCTAACCCTCAAAGATTCAAGCCCCTCCCAAATGCAAAATACCTTCATACTTCTTTCAGTGTTTCCAAGAGCACTGCTATGCTTTGAATGTTTTTCCCCTCCAAAACCCTTATTGAAATTTAATCACCAATGTGGCAGTATTGAGAGGTGGGGACTTTAAGAGGAAGAGCTCTTATGAATAGATTAATCCATTCATGGATTAATGCATTAATGGATTATCACAAAACTGGGACAGGAAGAGAAGCCTGGGCTAGCATAATCAGCCCCCTCACCATGTGAGGCCCTGCACTGCCTGTGACTCTGCAGAGTCTCCATCAGCAGGAAAGCCTTCATCACTTGTAGCTCGTCAACCTTGGGTTTCTCAGCCTCCATAACTGTAAGAAACAAATTCTTTTTCTTTATAAATTCCTTAGTTTCAGGTGTTCTGTTATAAGAAACAGAAAGTGGACTAAGACAAGTCTCATTCCATTATAGCAACAACTCAAAGCGTAAGAATCTCATTTAAATCTCATTTGCTCAAAAATCCAAAATCTCTCAACTAAATCTAGTTTAGTTGAATAATCCATTGGGTATAACTCCTGGGAACAATTTCTGTCCATCTGTGGACCTGTGAAATTAAAGACACAAGTTATCTGCTCGTAACATACAATTGTGAGACAGGCATTGGATGTCAGTTATAAATACACCAGTTCCAACAGGGGGAACACGGATGGTAGAACAAGCTGACGGGTACAAAGCAGTATCCACGTACAGGTCAGCAAAATACATTAGGTTTCTAGGCCTGGGAAAACTCCTCTGTGGATCACAGCTCTATCCTTTAGGCTCAAAATGCCACGATTTGGGCAAGCTACTCTGCCCTCTGAGTCAACTTTTTTCCTGCAAGGTAGCACGTGTTGGCAGCTAAGAGTTTCATCAGTAGTTTTATTTACCAGTAGAATTTGAGGGTTCAAACAGCCTTATTTCGTTTTATAGCCTCTGTCCCTTTCTGTCCATGCTGGCAGTGTTCTACTGGTATACAATTCTCAACAATCTTGTGAGTTTGGCATTAATTTAACAGGGGTTCACTACATTAGACCAGATGCCTTCCTACAGATTTTTCCTAGATGATCTTGTTTGGCTTCTGCAAACATGGATCAGTGACAACACCCTTCAGATTTCTAGAAGCACCCTGGTTTGAATGAGGGGGTTCTGTAAGTCACACCCTTAATCTCTTTAAAGAGTTTTTTATGTAACTAAATACTCTGATCTTTTAATCTCTCTTGAGATTTCAGAGAAGAATCATACAATCATATCGTTAGCCTTTTCTCCAGTGCATTCTTTGCTGACAGTGAATCTCTTAATTTTAGTCTTTTGCTGGGTAAAGTGAAAATTTCTAAAATCATTAAGTCTTTGCTCCTTTTTGTTTGACAGTTTTTCCCCTCAGTTTATCTCTTTCCTCTCACATATTTCTATAAGCTGCAAGAAGAAGCCAGGTGTTACGGACTGAATATTTGTGCCTCTTCCTCCATGACCCCAGCCAAGGAAAGTAATACGTTGAAGCCCTAACATCCAATGTGGCTGTATCTGGAGTAGGAAAGTAATTAAGGTTCAGTGAAGTCTTAAGGATGGGGTCTTGATTTGATAGGATTAGCATCCTCAAAAGAAGAAACATCCGGGAGCACCCTGTCCCCACCAGCTCACACAAAGAAAAGGTCATATGTGTACACAGTAAGATGATGGCCACCCACATGCCAAGACAGCAGCCTCAGAATGAACCTACTTTGCCTACTTGATCTTGGACTTCCCAGCCTCCAGAACTGTGAAGAATAAATTTGTTTTTATTCCACCCAGTCTGTGACATCTTGCTGACAAATACACTAGGTAATACTCTCAGTATTTTGCTTGGAAATCTTAATATCCAAGTTCATCACTTAAAAGTTCTGCTTGCAACATAACTACAAGACATAATTTTGCCAGTCTCTCTTCATCATATAGCAATTGTTCCTCTTTCTCCAGTTTCCAATCACATGTTCCTCATTCCCTTTTAAGTCCTCATCAGAAGGATTCTAAATTTCTACTATTGTCCTGTTCAAGGTAATCTAGGCTTTTTCTATAATGTTCCTCAAAATTCTTCCAGTCTTTTCCCATAGTCTGATTCCAAAGCCACTCATGCATTTTTATGTATTTGTTGCTGAAGCACCCTACTTCAGAAACGAAAATATGCATTTGTTTTTATTACTGCCTTAATAAAGAATGACAAATTTTTACGGGCACCATGGCTCACGCCTATAATTCGAGCACTTTGGTTGAATGAGATGGGCTGATTGCTTGAGCTCAGGAGTTCCAGACCAGCTTGGGCAATATGGGAAAACCTCGTCTCTACAAAAAAAAAAAAAAAAAAAAATTAGCTGGGTATGCTGCCATGTGCCTCTAGTCCCAGCTACTTGGGAGGTTGAGGTGGGAGGACTTGAGCCTGGGAGGTCAAGGCTGCAGTGAGCTATGATCATGCCACTGCACTCAAGCCTGGATGACAGTGTGGGATCCTGTCTCAAAAAAAAAAGGAATGACAAATTTAGTGGCTTAACACATTATTTATCTCACAACTCCTGTCGGTCTTGGCTCAGCTGTTTTCATTGCTTAGAGTCTTACAAGGCTGATCTTGAGGTGTCAGCAGAGCTGCATTCCATTCTGGAGGCTCTGGAAAAGGCTCAGCTCCCAAGCTCATTCAGTGTTGGCAGAATTCAGTTCCCTGCAGTTAGAGAGTGAAGTCCCAGTTCTTTGGCTGTCATCTCGGAACCACTCTCAGCTCCTTAAGGCCACGTGCATTCCTCCTCACCTAGCCACTCCAACAACAGCAAGTTGAGATCTTCTCAGGCTTCATTTCTCTCTAATTTCTCTCTTCTGCTACATCTTTCCAACTGACTCTTCTGTTTTCTTATGCTTTTAAGAGCTTTATGTGATTACAGTGGGCTCACCTGAAAAATCTAGGATAATCCCTCAGTTTTAACGTGTGCTGTTTAGCAAACTTAATTCCCTCTGCAGAGTCCCTTCAGAGCAGTACTGTACCTGGATTAGCTTGACTGAACAGCCTGTGGACAGGTATCTTGGGGTGGAGGTGGCAAGACATCTTTCGAATCTGCCTAACACATTTATGTTCTTGTTTTTCATTCCCTGCCATTTTTTGAGATATCTGAATATATTTTACATTTCCGTTTTAATTTTTCTCTTGGCTTTTTTATTATAATCATTTATACAGTTCTTTATATAATCTTTTTAGTTGTTGTTCTAGTGTTTACAATATACAATTCATACTTTATATCACCTATTTAGAATAACTTTATCATTTCAAATTTTAAAAAATGACAAGTACATAGCTCCCTTACCCTCTCTCACTATGATGTTGTCATATACATCACACTGAAAGCCCTACCATTATCTCTGCCCTCTGATGAATCACCAACCATTCTCTCTCTACTAGACAACTTCTGTCAACATATAAATTGCTCCAATATGTATCATTCTTTTCAAAGTCATCCCCTGATCCCAAGTGTCCCTAATACTTCTATACCATTATCTGCTAATCATTCAGATAAATGTTTGAAAATTGTCTAGATATGCTGCCGTTAGATCCTCCTCTCCTACTTAATAAATCCTACTCAATTTTTGTCCCATTCACATCACTAAAACTTCTCTTGCCAAGATTAGTAATGTTTCAGTGGCATCAGGCAAGGCTGACCACTCATTCTCGGTCCTCACAATCCTACTTTTTCTCCTATATCATCAGCTATTCCTCATCGGTCTATTTGCTAACTCTGCAAAATTCTATTTCCTAAATGTCTGAATTTCTCAAGCTTTATCCCTGGACTTGCTTCCTTCTCAATACTGCCTCCCAGATTATTATACCCATGCCTGTGTATTTGAATAATAGTGATATATCAAAGATTACCAAGTTCATTTGTTGAATTAAAACCTCTTTTCTGAGTTACCGACTCCCATATCCACTGCCTAATTGATATCTCTACTTGGATGTCTCAGACATCTTCCACATAGCATATCTAAAATCTTTTGATCTACTACCCCTAATGTGTAGCCTTAATGCCAGAATTACACATCTGCAGAAATCTCACAGATTTTATCTTCTCCCAGTTTCAATCTTATTTTTTTCCACTAACCACCACCACAAGAGTCACCATCTTCTTCCCTGGATACTGTACAAGCCTCCTACTGGGTTTCTCCTGGTTTCATTCTTGCCCACATCTGAACCAGTCTCCGAGAACAGCAAATTTAAACACTCTAAAATTCACTTTGTCATCTCCTGCTTAAAACCCCATAATTATTTCTCTTTATACTGTGAAAGAAATCCAATTTTTAAAAAATATGGCCTTAAGTCCCTGATAAAGTTGATAATCTCACCTCATGCCATAGTCCTGCCACCCATTATGCTCCAGAAACACTGGTCTTCCTTCAGGTCCAGGAACACATCACGCTTCTTCCTGCCTCAGGAACTTTGCATAAGATGTTATTTGTGTGTGAAGGAATATACCCTTAACCACTCATTCTTTCTTTTTCTTACATTGTTTGAGTATAAATCATGTGCTAATCACTTTGTTAGACGCATAGACTGCTGTTAAAAATACAGATAAATTCCAGGTCTTCAAAGTCTACCATGTAGGTCAGAGAAGACAAATAATTTAGACTCTGTTGCTTAAAAGAGCAATAGAATGTCAAAATTTGATGTACAAAAATAACTTTAATACAGTACATTTTAAAAAATCTTTTCATCGGACATAGCTTAAAACCAGCTGTTGGAAGTACCAATAATAAAAGCATCTTCAAATGCTACATGTACTTCCAAAGGGGCATTTCATTATTTTATTATAAAGATATATCAGAAGACAGCTTATTCTCAAATAGCTGAGCCCATAAAGCAT
Organism: Homo sapiens; assembly: GCF_000001405.40. NCBI lineage: Eukaryota > Metazoa > Chordata > Mammalia > Primates > Hominidae > Homo > Homo sapiens. Next base: position 165,943,972 of record NC_000004.12, on the reverse strand, counting down.
AAAACAAGACTTTATCTGAAACTACTAAAAATGTGTATGTACAACCACAAAGAGGTCAATTCCTAAAAGGAAAGCGGAATAGGAAAACCTAATAATACCATGATGAGCAGAAGCCAATATACACTGTGCACATGTAGCTGCAATAAAATATCCTAACTATAAATGATCAATTCCCAATAAAATATAGAGCAAGAAGTCAGAAATAAAAAATAACTCCAATCTAATTTAGCAGCTTTATTTATATAGTAGATGCATTTTTTTTCATGGCTTTAAGTGATGAGGTCAGTAATAAGTATTTTGCTTCACATTTTCCAAATGTGGCTTAGGAAGACGATAGGAAACAATTTCCAAATAACCACAGCTAGAACTCAGACTCATGATTTACTTAATATTCCCTGGCATGAGTATTTTAAAGGTCCAATTTTTAAGGAGATAAGCAGTTTTATTTCAAGGAAGCATTCTCTTTTACGTGCATTTAATCTATGCTTAAGAAAAATCATATTGAAGAGTATAAGAAAGAAATAAAAAATATAAAATATTACTAAGGAGGAAAAAACTTCTGATCTTTTAAAATTTGGAACTCACAAGGCTCTCTCAGAAGGTTTATAAGAGCATAAATAAAATTAACATTACAGTACATACAAATAATGAAGAGAGTTTTTCTATCTTATCGTGGAGATGACTCTTAAGAAATTAAACATTTTGCTTTTTTGCATGAAAGCTTAAAATTTTCTGTTTTGAATACAGGTTTTAAAACCACTAAATAATTAGACTGCAAGGAAGAAAAATCCATTTAAGCAATGATTCTATTTGAATGAGCTAGCAATCTTTACTCATATGCTGAGTAAAGGAAATGAATAATGGAGTTAATCTTGCAATACAATTAATTTTGATTTAACGTACCTAGACAAATGTTGCAAATTTAAAGGCGAATAAAGGGAACTTGAATGTCCTATTCACCTTTGGTAAGTGAAGAATTATTTTCTGCTCTTTTCAACAATTAACTGAAATATTCTCAGTGAAAATATCTGACATGAAAATAAATGGTGCCCATGATCCAGGACCAGTGATAAACTACACATTTTGGTTTCCTGAGAAAATGTCCATATGTGATTACATGAAAAGTCTCCATATAATCTAAGACACTAATAATGATCATAAAAACAGCTGTCACTTATTAAGTAAGCATTCTAAGGGCATGTATGCGCTTAACATATATTATCTTTATTCTTACAGTTATCCCATGAGGGTGGAATAGTATTGAACCCATTTTTACAATGGAAGAAGCAGAAGCTAAAAATAAATAATTTGTTCAAATTCCACAGCTTATAATTAATATATATAGTATATATATAATTATGTAAAATATATACACACACATACAAACACACACACATTCTGCTCTCAATTACTTCCCTACTACTTTATACTGGAAGGTATTCGGTTAGATTACGTTCTGGTGATACAAATACAGATAGGAGGTTACTTTTGCCTCAACCCAATCATGGAGATAGACAAAACAGTAACTGCAATGCAAAATGAAAAGATAAAACATGAAGAATGACATGGGAGCCCACAGTATTGTTTTTAGTTCAGCCTAAGGTGGACAGAGAAGGAAGGCTTCCTGCTGTAAGTGATGCTGTTGTTCAAACTGAGTCTTGGCGGAGGATGGAGGGTTAGCTAGAAAAAAAAAAAAAGGAGGGTGGTGGGAAGCACCTTGGAGGCAAGTGCATGACAAAGCCATACAGATATAAAATGGCTCACTTATTCCAGCAACTGCAAATGCCAATGTTGTTGGGAGCATAATGTTTGTGGAGAGAAATGGCCAAAAAATAAAAATATATCAGCAAAATGTTCCTGATGAAGAAACCATGATTTGAGTTCTTTTGGGAAAGCAACTTAATCTTTCTCTGAGTGCCCATTTCCATCTGTAAAATGGGTCAATAATATCTAGAGTTTCTCTGAGGAATAAAGGTGTTAATATCCAAAACTTAAAACACAAGATTGACTAGGACACCTTACACATTGAATCATTTGCTATTACTAATAGAAGAAAAGTAACTGGGTCCAGACCATACAGCTAGTAAGTGTACTAGCCAAGACCTAAAATCAGACTGAAGGAACCCTAAAGTCATTGATTATCACACTACCTGAACCCTAGTGGCCTATGAAATGCAGTAATTATGTTTTAAAATCTAGAAAAATAAACACTAATAAACAGCTATTGGTTATAGGATTTTGTCCTTGTATGTGGGAGTGCTTTGTTTAGACAATTATTTCCTACATTTAGATTAATTTTAAGTTTCTTTTCAAATGAATATACTTCAAATCAGGTACATTTTTATGTTGACACTGGGCATTAAATATCTAAACAATTTGTTAAGGAGTAATGCCAAATTAGATCAATTACTAAATCTCAGCAACAATGAATTACAAACTATATTAGTTTTGTCATCCATTCAGCAAGCTTGTCCTCTCTCTCTAACCTTCTGCATAAATTCTACACTATGCTCTAATGGCTTGCACTTTTGGTTCATCCATTCATGGTACATGCTATCTATGCTTTCAAATGATTTCTTCTCTTCCACTTAACTCTAGACTCTTTCCTAAAATGGGATTCTTGCCTCATCATTACGACAAGTTCAATTTATTCTGTAGGACATCAGAAAAATTACCCCTTCTCAAAGTCTCTCTTTTATAAACTGATAAATAAGGAGTAGAAATCATCTCTGCATCATCACACAGCAAGGACCCATTAAGTAAGTTCTTTGTGTTCAGAAGTAAAGGCAATAGCGCGAGTCATAAACAAACAAATCATGTCTTTCAAACTTACATACCAAGAAGGCATCCATTTTAAGTTTTATATGAGCTTGACACAATTACGAAGACCTGAAGAGGGAGAAAACCTACCTGTCTCAGATCTAAATGATATAAAATGATCATAAAATCTCTGATATAACAGAATTATGTTAAATTCTGAGTTATTCTGTACAAATAATAAAATAAGCAATCTAAGAGACAGAGTTGAGCAAATGTATGGCATTTTCAGCTAAATGGCAGAATGTAGAACAGCCTAGGAAGAAATAGCCCCCAAAATGGTGAAGGCTTATCAAATGAAAGCAAGTCTGGCTCTGCCCAATATCATATTCAGTCCAGAAATTAAATAACAAAGGTTGGCCATGTGCATTCTGCTCTCTAATAAAATTGACGGTATAAGGAAAAAGTCACATATCCTCATCATATCTTTCCTAACAATAACATAGGAAGGAATATCTAGGAGGAAAAAATCTCATGGTATTTTGCTTGGAACCATTTCTACTTTGCATATGTGCATATTAATGAGAAACATTTTTTTGAACAATTAAGAAATAAATTTATCCTTTTCATATAACGAATTCAGCCACCATAAAATTACCAACCTCTTTAATGAATTTTATGCCTAATGAATATATATATGTGTCAGTGTGTGTGTGTGTTGAATTTAATATAAATACACGTATGTATTTTTAAGTTCTTAGAAATTCCAACTTCCTTACATCAGTTTTATGAAATTTACACTCAGTAGATTTCTTTAGTATACGAATGTGCACTGTATAACTCATATTAGAAAGAGAAAAAAATAGTTCAAATTGGATTCAAGCAGCAGTGATGGAATGGAAACATTGAATGTAATCACATACAACTTTGAAGAAAGAACCAAACAGATTTAATTGCCAATTAAATACATAAATTATAGTTAAAGGTAATTCCAAAACGTCAAGCCTAATTACATAGAAAAATTGTGCTGTCATGAAAACAGAAAAAAAACATAAATGAAAATGTCCAGAAAGAAGATAGATATGTGGAATTTTAGTTAGGTCAATGCTAGATGTGATAGTAAAAGTGATCACTGATGAAAAGACAGAAGAAGGACAATAATAAAAATCTGAATTGTATCCATGTATAAGAGGTAGAATAGATAAAAAGTGGCACCATAAAAATAGACAAAAGAGAATGCAAGATTTAAAAGAGAGTAATGAAAATCAAAGGAAAGAAAATTCCAGCACGAAAAATACGTGTGTCGAATGCTACAAAAGGCTGCAGTTTATGTACAAGAAGTCCATAGGAATATTTAAGCAAATAGCTGCTGTAGACTTCCCATTTCAAGATTGATGTGAAGACATTTCCATACCTTTCTACTCTCAAAAACTTCCCTTAAGCAATAAATAAAACAAGAAACCAAAATCTAGACACTATCTTAAATGAAACTAAAAAATACCTGTGACTCAAAGAAAAAGTAGATAGAGAATTAGTGGCCCAGCAGAGGTGAAGAATGAATCTTACAGTAATAATGAAGAAGAAACAAACCAATTTGCCCTGTAGAACTCTAGAAAGCTTCAATAGCTTGAGGATCCAAGGGTAATGGAAGGCTGAGATGAAGCTCGCTGTGAAAAACAGTGGGTCATTTGAAAATCTGTTGAAAAAAATGTCTGTATGCCCAGATTTTACCCTATTCAGATCTATTAAGCTACATAGAATAAAGAAGTTTTACAGATATCAGAGGAAATGCACTAGTCAGATGCAAGATATAGGAACACTAAGTATATAATAAACCTGCATGAGGCATAAGAGTCACAACAAGAGGGTTAAGTGGTATTCTGCATAGTCATTAGTAAGATTCAAAGCCCCCTTTTCCTGCCCCATATCAAGAAGATTGGCAGCTTATATAATCAAGAAGGACATTGGTGGCTATTTCTCTGAAAGTAGAAAACCACACCAAGAAAAACATTTACAGATAACTTGAGGGTCACCAATCAATGACCAGCTAGTTATTCAATCACTCTACGATGAAGCCTCAAAGTTTGCAAGATCCATCCATGCACATAGAGCTTCTGATCAGATTTTCTGCACTTCAAACTTAATATCATTACATCATTAAGAACCATCAGATAGCTGAGAAACATATTCAACTTTAAAAAAAAAAGCAAAACAAAGAGAGAAAAAGAATTCTGAGGAAACACGAAAACAATCTTCCAGGAAATCATAATTAATATTCACAAAGAGATACAATGACATTGCAACCATGAAGCAAGAATAGATGTTTAAAAAGGTTTAAATGTAACTTAAAGTAAAATACTTATTAGAAGGGTAGTTTAAAAATATTATATACAGGTTGAGGAAACCTACAGAAAGGAGTACAAAAAAAAAAAAAAGATTTTAAGGAGAAATTCTAGGAACAGAAAGTTCCAGAAAGTGGTTGGCAGGAGCCAAAGGTAGGGAAAGGGACTGGCTGCAAATAAGCACAGGGAATTTTTGCAATGACTGTGTGGCAGTTAAATGACTGTAATTTGTCAACATATAAAACTGTATACTTAAAAAGGGTGATTACACTTTTAAAAAAGGTGTCAAGATGGAAAGTAGACAAATAAAGATAAAAATAATTAGAAAATTCATCCAGAAGACCAAGTATTCAACTAATGAGTTGTAAAATTAGAAAATTAAGGAAAGGAAGAGAAAATTTCAAAGAAATAATGGAAGAAAATTCCTCAGGCGGAAGCACCAGACTGTCTAGATAAAAATGGTTCACCTAGTGCCTATCCATTGAAAGAATGAAGACCTGCACTAAGGCACCTGTTTGAGAAACTGCAGAACACTGGGAATAAAATCAAGATCATGAAGGCTCACCAAAAATAATCAGAAATAAAAGAGAAACCTACAATAAAACATGACTCAGAATGGCTTCTGAAGTTTTACATAAGACACTAAAAAACAATGGGATGGTACTTTCAAAATAATTAAAGAAAAACACATCCACTCTATTATCTAGGCCCTGAAGGGAACCAAACAAACACTAAAACTATAATTCAAAAAGCTTTTTTCTAAAGTACATATCAAACTGTGTATCCAAAGAGCACATGGTGTACCAGAAAGTATCAACCCGTAATGCCAACGTTAATACATAATCTAGGAAATGCTGAAATTTTTTAAAATAAAATTTAAATTTTCTTTAAATTTAAATGAAAATTCTTTAAAGAAAGAAAAAATAATCCTATGGGTATCTAGATAAAAGGAGCATATGACATATAAAAGAAAAAAGAAATAATTTTCTTTGAGAGCAATGCTTTTTTTTGGGGGGGGGGTGGGGAAGGGAATAAACCAGAAAGTATAATTAAGATGCCCAGAAAAATAAAAATGTGAGTCAAAGATTTTATACCAAGTAAAACACCCTTCAATATAAAGGACAAAAACTGCTCATAACATTAAGTAGATCCAAAATGTGGTTGCTATTAGTCCTTCTTAAGAAATCTACTGGAGACCAAATTTCAAAAAATTAAAATAAATTGCATAAAAAACATCAAAATGACAACAGGAAGATCAACAGAAGAAACTGTGCAGAGCATTAAATAAAAAAATCACTTGCAGAATAAAAATAAATGAGGGTTAGAGAGAAGAAAATATTGTATGTGACAGCTATAAGCTCTGACAATTAAAAAGTAGTAGGTAATAGATGTAGCATATACAAAGTCATTTTGTTTTGTTGTTTTCAGTAATCAGAATTGGTAGTAATAGTACTAGCATAGTTATTCTGAGAATGTGTATGTGAAATGTGGGATAGAATAATTATGGAATATTCTAATTCTAATGTCCCCTGTGTCCTTGAGAGCCAAAGTGAAATAAAGAGAATAACTAAAAACCCAGTCATCCAAAATTGGAATTGGACATATTTGAACAAACACATCAGGTTTTTTTATTGTTAAAAATAAATAGATGTGTCCTAGTTCTTCCAGAATAGACTAAGAAACAGTAATAAATGATAAATGAAGGGATCTTGGAGCATGAATAAGGAAGAAAGAGGAACAGAAGTAGCAGAAATTTGGGGTTACATAATAGTCTATTCTTTTCCTGAGTTTTATAAATCATATTGGATAATTGCAACAAAAATTATAACACCATCTCTGATACTCAAGATAATGATATTTAAAAGTAGGGACAATAAAGAGACCTAAGTGGAAGTAAGGTTTCTACATTTCTGGGTGTCTTTCGTTTTTTGCTTTTTGTTTGAGATGGAGTCTCACTCTGTCACTCAGGCTGGGGTGCAGTGGGGCCATCTCGGCTCACGGCAATCTCTGCCTCCCGTGTTCAAGCTATTCTCCTGCTTCAGCCTCCCGAGTAGCTGGGATTACAGGCGCCTGCCACCATGCCCAGCCAATTTTTTAAAATTATTTTTAGTAGAGACAAGGTTTCACCATGTTGGCCAGGCTGGTCTTGAACTACTGACCTCAGGTGATCCACCCACCTCAGCCTTTCAAAGTGCTGGGATTACACCACCATGACCGGCAGATCTCTACATTTCATTCAGTGTTGTAAAACGCCGATACCAGTAGACTGTGTATACAGTTACATATGTATACTGTAGTTGCTCTGGGCATTATAACTATACAAACAAATACAATCAAATTATACAAACAAATACAATTAAAAAATATAAATAGTCCAGGTGCAGCTGTAATCCTAGCACTTTAGGAGGGCGAGGCAGGCGGATCACCTGAGGTCAGGAGTTCAAGACCAGCCTGGCCAACATGGCGAAACTCCGTCTCTATTAAAAATTAGCCAGACATGGTGGCGCATGCCTGTAATTCCAGCTACTTGGGAGGCTGAGGCAGGAGAATCACTTGAACCCAGGAGGTGGAGGTTGTAGTGAGCTGAGATCACATCACTGCACTCCATCCTGGACAACAGAGTGTGACTCCATCTCAAAAAAAAAAAAAAGAAAAAAGAAAAAAAAATATATATATATATATGAAGCAAAATGAATTTCTAATTATTTTAATTATAGTGGGCTAGAACACATCAAATATTTAAAATTATATAAATTAAAAAGAATGATAGAGTATCATCATTTTTCAACTCTCAAGGAATCAACGATCTTTCTAACCATTAAGAATCAACAGCTGCTGACATGAAAAAAAAAAAGTTAAAACCAGACATTATGTGTGTCCTGATAAAAGAACACACCACCACTCAAGAGATTAACTCAACTCTGATTACATCTCTGTATCCAACTGCCAATTGCTGGAAATATAAAAGAGGAACAGGTTGAATGCATTATAAGTTTCCAAGTCAGTAACACCTAGATTAAGGTAAATTATACTAGTTAAAGGGTACAAGTACAAATTCTCCCTCAGATAGATTATAAGGAAAAGAAAGAGATTGAAGAAGAACCTGTAGATTAAAAGACTTAAAAGACATCAGATTTCTAAAATGGGCCAGACTAAACTATAGTGTGTAGGAATGCACTTTTAGCTGATACATCCATAAAGAAAAGTGGTTATTATAAAAATCAAGATTGCAGTTACATTTGAAGAATGGAAAAGGCCTGTGATCATGAAGGGCACATGGATAGCTTTTGCAGCCAGTGGAAATGTTCTATTTCTTGACTTGGGTGGTAGTTACATGGGTATTCAGCTTGTAATTCGCTAAGCTGTATGTTTTTTATTTTTATTTGTTTTCCTCCATCTGAGTTTTATAATACTAAGGTCTAAAAAGGTTAAGCATAGATCATGTGCATTAAATTAGTACTACATTAAATTTAAATACTGCTAGAGCAAAAGAGACAGATGCCAGACAGGTAATACTGACTCTTTCAGCATAACTTCCCAAGTGTGTTCCTAAGGTAACTAAGCATTAAGCATTATTTATTTCCCACAAGGTTTTCTGTCACAGAGGTATTTCTAGCATGATTTATTTACTGAGGCTTATTAACTTGAAAAGACATGGATGCTGATCTTAAACAAGTCTAAATTTTAATCCCAACTCCACTGCCTTTTAGTTTTGTGACTTAGCCTTTCTGATTTTCCATCTCCTTATGTGCAAAATGAGAGTAACTACTGCATATTATTATTATTTTAAAAACATTTTATATAAAGTGCCTAGAAACAGTTAAGGCACTTGGGAAATATTATCTGCTACTCTGATTACAGAAATTCCCTTTATAATCTCAGTATTCGCTGTAACAAAATAACAAACCCCAAAATACTGACTCTCCCCAGCAGTATTCTATAACAAAGAAAACACAGATCTTTGGTTCAGGTTAATTAATCTTAATATTTTTACTCCAATTTCTATGATTGGCTTACAGGTGTTTTTAATCAGTAAGAAATAGTACAGTTATCTTTTTATTATGGAATCCTACGGCCATTGTGACAAACATGTTAAAATGTATCAGTTTCCTGGAGCCACTAAGGAGCCACAAAGGCCACCAGGAGATGGGTTACAGGTGATCCAGGGAGTCTGTTGGAATCAAATCAACCCAGGTGTTAAAGAAAGAACGTGGTACAGAATAAGAAGAAAATCTGTTCCTTTACCTCTGCCCTTTTCTCTTTAAGTGAATCTCTTCCTCAGTGCCATCAGCACACTGGGACACTTCCCTAAAGGGGGATGTCAGGTCTTGTGTCTGATTTGTAAACACCACTTTCTGCCATCTTTACAAGGTATTTTATCACCACTTGACACAGAGGCCTCATCTTCCAACTTCTAGTTGTCAGGATAAATGTAGTCAGTTTAAGTCACATATGAAAGGCAAGAGATTAATATTTAAAAACATCATTGTATTTTTTTATTTTTTATGTCATAAAAAGTGTTTCCCAGCAGGCATTGTGCACTTAGAAATGGAGAATGAGGCCAAGCATGGTGGCTCATGCCCGTAATCCCAGCACTTTGGGAGGCTGAGGCGGGTGGATCACCTGAGGTCAGGAGTTCAAGACCAACCTGGCCAACATGGTGAAACCCCGTCCCTACTAAAAAAAAAAAAAAAAAAAAAGCAAAAAATTAGCTGGGCGTGGTGGCAGGCACCTGTAATCCCAGCTACTCGGGAGGCTGAGGCAGGAGAATCACTTGAACCTGGGAGGCAGAGGTTGCAGTGAGCCAAGATCGTGACATTGCACTCCAGCCTGGGCAATAAGAGCAAAACTCCATCTCAAAAAAAAGAAAGAGAGGATGAACGTCACCAGTGGAAGGTGGATGAGACACAGAGGAATTTCCAGTAAAACAGAAAGGAGAACTAAAAGGAGTTCATAACAATTTGAGGGATAAGAGGAGCAGCAGAGGACTCATTCAAATGTGTCCCAGCTCCCACATCAAGTGTTGAAATGGTGAAGGTTGCAGTGGAGGGGAGCTGCTCGGACATACTGGAAGAAAAGCAGAAGTGGAGAGTGCTTGAAAATCTGGGAGGGAAGTGTCTGTGGAGCGGACCTGCTCTGAGGTGGTGTGGTCCTGTCAGAATAAAAAGACAGGGCTGCTATTCTAGGTAAGAAGCCATCCACGCTAGCACTCCCAGGCCCTCCTCAATTCCCATGGGCAAAGATGACATTTGGGATACTTCTCTAAGTCCTGTGCAAGAGGCAGAAGGTACCTGATATGGCTGGATAAAATTTCCAAGGATGGTCACTGCAACAGAGTCAAAGTGGTTCTGAAATTAATAGCTGATGGACAGGCTGCCAGGATGGAATGGACTGCAGACCTCGAGATGCGCCATGATGATGACGGTCTGTGCAGTCTGCCTCAGCTGAGACACACACCCATCATCCCTGATTTCCATAGTGAACTGTACGGGCACAACACCGGAATCATTGCCTCCCAGGGGAGGCCAGAGAGAACCTGGGGAACAACACTCAGATCTGAGGCGTCCTCTCCCCACAAGACCATGATGTCACAGGACAACACTGGGCTCTATGTACCCAGATAACATCTCAGGGAGTGTATGGGGGGAGATTGATCTGACAGGGAAGTGAATCCACTGAACAATTATGCAGAATGAGGCAGAGATAACTTGATGCTTTAAGTACCCATTACTGCAATCAACACCACCAGCAGCAAACAAAGTAGGCTTGAAAAATACATGTGATAGGCTAGAGTATTGGTTTTGCACATATAGTACAGTATAAAATTGTGATGTCTCATGCAAGAATATTTTGAGAAAGTTCATATACTTAAAGATGTTTTAACTTTCTAATCGGAAGCTGTAAATGTACCCCGGTAACATAAGTGTCTTATGTATAGTTGATGAGAGTGGTATTATATCCAACTGGAATTTACACTGCAGCTTTAACAGCTCTTTTCCATACATTGAACAATTCAATATCACAATTTATTCCACAGTTCAGCAAGTTTATTGTCTCGGAGGAAGTTTAAATGGTCAAATCAATGCATATAAAATAGAAGGCCTTTTTTGCAGAGTCAAGCAAACAAGGAATGCAACTGACTTTAAGTGATGTTTTAAACACTTTTCTGACAAGAAATTCCAAATCTCTTCAATAACAACAGATTACAAACAAACTCTAAAAAAAAAAAGAAGAAAATCTGAAGCTTAAATATCAGAACGTCCAGTTAAAAGCAGTACTAACTTCCCATTCTGTCTTCATTTCTAGCCCCATGACTGAGCTCCATCCTCAGTTACGCACAGTTACTGCAGATGCTGATAGGCATTCCCAGTCTGAAGGATTTATAAGTCATCCTTATTCACTAGCCTGCCTTTTGCCTTGATGTAAACAGTTACAGTGGTAGAACTTTGCAAAAATGGTATTAATCAGGAATGAGGAATACTTTCTATTAGAAATACTTCCTGTTCACACAACATTTTTTAATCAACTGAGAAACGCTCAGTATAAAGAAACAACCTGGAAGAGATGGTGCTATGTGGAACAAGTCACACAGCGTTTTCAGAGTTAAAAGCATATAATACATGTCAAATAGCTGAAACAGCAGTGCTTGGGTTCATAAAAGCAGAATAGGGTGAATCTCGTAAGTGTGGACTGCCTAACTAGGAGACCTTCTGATTTTGAATGTCTCTGGTGGTGTTTCTTACCTTTGCTTCTCACCTCTTTTTATTGTATCCTTTGTGCTTTCTCAAGACAAATTCCAGAGTAGGCGAAGAAGTGGTGTGACATACGGAACTGCAAACATCTGCTTATCACCTACTTGTCCAACCATCACCTGGCTTTCCAGCAAAGGAAAGTCCCCACTAGGGCTTCTACTCACAACCAAATTCTGAGTCACTCGCCTGACCTCCTTGCTAATCAACTTAGCATAGCTTCTACTTTACTACTAAATGCCATACATCTGCTTATCAATTATCAAGCCACCTGCTAAGAATTTGTCTTTGCCTCAGGGCACTTTCTCTTAGTGCAAGTGTGGTATCGTGAAATGAGCTGCTCAATGGAGAACTACCCCGTGCAGTATCTGAAGTTAATCATTGCAATTTCTTTTTTTTTTCTTTTGAGACAGAGTCTTACTCTGTCGCCCAGGCTGGAGTGCAGTGGTGCAATCTCAGCTCACTGCAAGCTCCACCTCCCTGGTTCACGCCACTCTCCTGCCTCAGCCTCCCAAGTAGCTGGGACTACAGGTGCCCACCACCACACCCGGCTAATTTTTTTTGTATTTTTAGTAGAGACGGGGTTTCACCGTGTTGGCCAGGAGGTCTCAATCTCCTGACCTCGTGATCCGCCCGCCTTGGCCTCCCAAAGTGCTGGGATTACAGGTGTGAATGACCACGCCTGGCCAATCACTGCAATTTCTAATCACAGCTGAATGTTTTTAACTTTAAAGGATGAGAAAAGTAAACCCAAAAGAAACCTAACTGTATAAAGTTAAATTAGGCATAGAAGAAGCTTGAGAAAATTAAATTAAGCTCAGAACTGAAAACTATCAAATTCCTATTCAAGATAACTCTCCTATGCTATTAAAACTATTCTCTATCATTTTTAATGCTTTAATTATGGAATATAGTCGAATGCCTTGGCTTTATGATCTCAATAAATATAATTATTGTTGTGTCCATAAACCTATGAAATAAATTACAAATGATATTTTATAAGTTGTTTTTCTTACCTATTCTTCAACTTTATTTACAACAACAAAACACATAATCTATGAAAGAGAGGTAACAATTATCCTACTTTAAATGGTTGCTGAAAAAAGAAATGTAAAATTACTTAGAACAGTGCTTGACACCCAAGGAGCACTTTAGAAGCATTTGCTATTGTTATTGTTATTTATTCATTTCCCTAACACAACCAATAACATACTATTCAAGATCACTTTACAGTCACTATACTACATATATGCATATGTTTTTTTCTGGAGTGCTTATAAATTACAAGAAGTGTTTCTTTTGACATTATTTAAACAATTGCATTTTAAAAGAATTTCTCAAGTATTATAAAGCAAATATGATGAGAAAAACGTATTTGTTATCACTTTTTCAAAAGAAGAATTTCATTTGTCTAGGTGAATAATGACCCTGAGAGAACTGATCTCAATTGCAGAAATTCATTTTTGTTTTAAAAGGTGTTTAGTTAATGCAGGAGTCAGTAAACTTTCTCTGTAAAGAGCCAGATAGTACATATTTTATTGTAGTCTTTGTGGACCATAAATCCTCTGTTGGAGGTACTTCACTCTGCCTTTGTGGCACAAAAGCACAGTAAATTTTACTGTGTTTCAGTAAAATTTTAGCTATCCCTGCTCTAAAACATGCAGTATATGATTATTCATTTAGAAAGCAAAATCTAACAGAATAAAAGAATATAAGTTATCACATATTATATAGTGAATAGTCTTTAAGAACTCAGAATACTTTAAATTCTCCTATATCATACTTAAGATTGATCATCCATTAATTGTTTATTATAACCCCTCTACTACTACCGCCAAAGGTCTATACACATACCAGAGGAAAAAGTGGTGTCTGCTATGCATTTATTTATACCTCCCCCTCCTCTCACCAGGCTAATAAAGCCAGCTGAGCTCCAGTGATTTCTGGGAGAATGCACCCAGACCTTGATTTCTGAACATTCCCCCTTAGCTCAATCCAGATTAAAAAGTATGGGCTTAACTTAGTGGCCAAATCAGTAAAGCTGTACTGATTCAACTCCAGCCAAGTCTGCTCTTTCTGGGATATTTATTAGGTTAAGTGAAGTTGTGACAAATTCATAGCGAGCAGTGAGTTAATCATGAATTTTAGTTTCTGGTGGGAAAAAAAAAGAGTTTGCCAAATGTCAGACTACTTCAAACTTAATCATATAAACAAGGAATGAGCTGATATCAAGAGTGGAAAAATACTTTGTGTGATAGAACCTTTTTCTTCTCACATAGTCTGCAGACATTACTTCAGAAGTCCTGAGCAACGAACAGCAGGTATTATTAGATTGATTTCTAGAAAGAATCTCAGACATCAAGGAATAATGTGTCACAAAAAGTTATCTGCTAGGCTAGAAATAGAAGTCAGATTTCCTGAACTTTCTTTAAGTCACAGTGATATCTACTACAAAACTTCTTTTTATATCTGGATATTTCTAAAGGAAACCAACAGAGCTATTCCACTTAAACTCCCTTCTCCTGAGAAAAGTCAGATTTGCTGAGGAAAAACTCAAGTAAAATTTATCTACTTTTTTTTTTTTTTTGAGATGGAGTCTTGCTTTGTCACCAGGCTGGAGTGCAGTGGCACGATCTTGGCTCACTGCAACCTCTGCCTCCTGGGGTCAAGCGGTTCTCCTGCCTCAGCCTCTTGAGTAGCTGGGATTACAGGCATGTGCCACCACACCCGGCTACTTTCTTTGTATTTTCAGTAAAGACGAGGTTTCATCATGGTGGCCAGGATGGTCTTGATCTCTTGACCTCGTGATCCGCCCACCTTGGCCTCCCTCTACTTCTTTAAACAATAGAAAGATGAGTTTCCCTCAGAATACACAGTTTCCTTTTGTGACATTCTCTAAGCTGACTTTCACGGCTACCAAAGAAAATCGTGTTGGTGGCTTAGTTCACACTAAGAACCCCTTGTTAAACAATGCTGAGCAGCATTTGATTGCCCGAAGCCAAAAATTAGTGCTGCCTGTCATCAGATTGTGCCAGGCCAGAAGTCTTGGCACTATTTCTGCCGTCAACTTCTCCACGTGGTGTAGAAGGGCTCAATGGGATGGTCCGACACTTGCTTCTCCTGAGTTTGTGAATTAAATCAGCATTTTTAATTACCCAAATCCACTGCCCCAAGGGGGCTATTAAAATTCAAAAGTACTTCAAGAGAATTTGATGAGGAAAAAAAATCAGACACTTTTTAAAAAATTGGATTTGTTGTACTTGAACTTGTCTGCATCACAAGTCCCAGTATAAACAATGAGGCGCAAGTTAAGACAAGCAAAGTAGGAGAATGAAGTCCGAAGGAATCTTGGGACTGTAAATGAGGCTGTGTGTGCTTGTGATGCACACACTCTAGAGGAGTGAACAGCTAAAGTCCAACAGCAATGGCTAGATGGGAATATTTATTTTTCCTGGTTTTAGATTGTTTTGGAAATTTTTGATATGTTAAAGCAATACAAAAAGAATATTTTTATTCAGTGATCTGCATGTTCGAGACAGACAGAAGCTTTCAACATTCCAGAACATCCCAGGGCTTTTTGTAATTCTAAGCTTTAGCTTTTGCTGTTCCTTTTGCCTGAAATGCTCTTCCTCCTTTTCTCCTGGCAAATCCCTACTCTCCTTCAATAGCCAATTCAAATTCCATCCTCTCTCAGAGGACTTACCCAACTCTCCTATAGAGAGTGGCTTTCCTACCCTGTTCTACTGTAGAACTTTCATTAGAACTATTATAACAGTGTATGGTTATTTCTGTTTACATGCCTGCCGTCTCCCCAACTAGATTCAGGCGTTTAGACATCAGGAACTATGTCTTCTGTATCATATGAATCTTAGAGCACATTGTTTGACAAAATGGGTGCTCAAGTCCGGTTGAGTCAATGATTTCACCAAGTTAGTTTGAATTTGTTGCTCTAAAAGAAATCTTAGATCTCATTTAATTCTGATTTTTAGAAACAAAGAATTGAAAGCATAAGTGACATGCCCAAGGTTATACAGTTACAATGCATGGCTTTCGACTCCCTTTCCACTCTGTACAAAACCACACCCTGAGAAATCACTCTGAAAAGC
Organism: Homo sapiens; assembly: GCF_000001405.40. Taxonomy (NCBI): domain Eukaryota; kingdom Metazoa; phylum Chordata; class Mammalia; order Primates; family Hominidae; genus Homo; species Homo sapiens. The sequence continues at coordinate 165,928,018 of NC_000004.12, read as the reverse complement.
TTACATTTAGCGTAAAACAGAGAGACGCTTACTCATCTCCATACCAAGTGACACATACCTATTTAACTAAGAGGAAGGGAAAAAGAAAGAAAGGAAAGGAAGGAAAGGAAAAGGAGATAAAGAAGAAACCAAACTGGAAATATTCCTAGAACAAAGAGGTCTCAACCTCAGCCCTACTGTAATTTTGGACAAGATATTTCTTTGTCGTGGAGGGCTTTCCTTTGCATTGTGGGTTATTTAGCCACATCTCCAGCCTCTACTCCCTAGATGCCAGTATCAACACACTCCACCCCCAAATGTGACAATCAAAAATGTCTCCAGACATTGCTTTATGTCCCCTGGAGGCAAAATTGCTCCTGGTTGGGAATAACCGCCCTAGATGAACAATCTTACAGGAGATAATCTTCTACATTACTTCAAGCAAAGTAGCAATCAATTAGCATGTATGGCACACTGGCTTCAAACCAATACTCTCATATTAAGCATAGAAGCCAGAACCTGAAATGCTTAATCCTCTTACATTTTTATTAATCCGTTTTATTAAAAACAACGATGTTGTCACTTGGTCTATGGCTGCTAATGCAACAGCTAAAGGGAAAAAAACTAACTAAAACTTCCAGTTCATAAAAAATTTAAACACATTTAACAAGTTCTTAAGATAATCTTAATAATTTTTACTTTAGCTTGACTTTAAACTTAAAGTTCCTTGCTCAGTATTAAGCATAAGAACCAGCAATTCAGTATTACTACACAACATCGCCTACGGAAATAAAATTACTAAGAGAGTGATTGAATGTCCTTCATTTGCTTTTAGTATATATCTTCCAAAAACTATCTATTGTTTTATGGTATATAAAGCTTTCTAATTGAGATTTTTATACATACTTGTGCATTTTAGGAATTTGGGATTTCCTCTCTTTAACCCTTAAAGTTGCTTCATAGTTTGCAGAGTTCTACTCTAGTTTCTAAATATGCAGCATAACATCAAATTCACATTTCAGGACTGTAGGAACAAACATAAATAGTCAATGGCCAGAGCTAGTACTTTTTATTTTTGAAAAAGAAACTGAGACTGTTTTTTGAAAAAAGGAGTAACATTAACCTAGTATATTTTATCCATCTAGTGCAATAAAACTTCATCATTACAAGTAGATACAGTCCAAAACCACCGTTGTTGAACTGCACAAACCAGGAACTTCCATTACTGCAAAGTTAATGAAACGACAGAGTTGCCAGTAAAGCTAGCTGGCTGGGAATTCTTGGAGTCTGGCTTCTAGCTCCTGACTTTGGTACGGCACCACTGGGTAGCAACTGTCCACTCTGGCTTAAATATCAATAAACACGATACCTGGCACTAATGCCAGCTTTGATGTCCAAGACAGCAGCAGGGATACATGGAACTCGAGTGATTCTATCACCAGATTGTGCAAATTAGACCCAAAATGTACTTAAGACAGAGGACTCCCCCCTCTGCCTTCTGCTTCCTGAGACAGAGTAGTATCCCATTTCCTATCCGCATCACCTTCCTCTGTGGAATTCCTGTCCCCACAAGATAAGAACTTCTACCAGAGATAAGAACAAACTGAAAATCATACTATATCCAAATTCCAGTTCTCGTGCAAATTTTAAGTCACTCGCGTGTTTAAAATGCATTTAAGTATCATGACTTCAAGTGTGAAGTTTTTAACCAGAAATCTTCCCCATCCTAGTTTCTACCTTCTCTGTATTGTCTTAAAGCTGTATGAATGTGTCAAAAAATAGATAGATGGACAGAAACATTATCTGGTATAGTACTTCTATTTCAATATATACTTCCTGAAATTTCAATCTTTCATTTAAATCAAATTGCTTTCCTAGCCCCAAATCTCATTAAATACCATAGAAACAATTCTTATACAGGCATACCTTGGAGATATTGCAGGTTTGATTCCAGACTACCACAATAAAGTGAATGTCACAATAAAGTGAGTCACACAAACCTTTTTGTTTCCCAGTGCATACAAAAGTTATATTTATACTACGCTGTAGTCTATTAAGTGTGCAATAGAATTATCTCTAAAAAAAAGTATATGCCTTAACCTAAAATTACTTTATTGCTAAAAATGGCTAACAGTCATTTGAGCCTTCAGTAAATAGTAATCTTTTTGCTGATGGAGGGTCCTGCATCAGTGTTCATAGCTGCTGACTAATCAAGGTGGTGGTTGCTGAAGGTTGGGGTAGTTGTGACAATTTCCTAAAATAAGACATGGAATTTGTCACATCAATTGACTCTTTCACAAGGAATTTCTCTGTATCATGCTATTCTGTTTGGTAGCATTTTACCTACAATAGAACTTCTTTGAAACTTGAAGTCAGTCTTCTCAAACTCTGCCACTGCTTTACCAAGTAAGTTTATGTAATATTCTAAATTTTTTGTTGTCATGTCAACAATGCTCAAAGCATCTTCACCTGGGGTATATTCTATCTCAAGAAACCCCTTTCTTTGCTCATCCATAAGAAACAATTCTTTATCCACTCAAGTTTTATCATGGGATTGCAGCAAATCAGTCACATCTTCAGGTTTTACTTCTAATTCTAGTTCTCTAACTATTTCCATCACATCTGCAATTACTTCCTCCACTAAAAATCCTGAACCCCTCACAGTAATTCATATGAGTTGGAATCAACTTCTTCCAAATCCTGTTAATGTTGATATTTTGATCTCATCCCATGAATCTCATTGTTCATAATGGCATCTGGAATGGTGAATTCTTTTCAGAAGGTTTACGATTTACTTTGCTCAGACCCAAATCCATCAGAGGAATCACTATTTATGGCAACCATAGCCATACAAAATGTATTTCTTAACCAATAACACTTGAAAGCCAAAATTGCTCCTCTGTGAGATATAGAATGGATGTTGTGTTAGCAGTGTGAAAACAACATTAATCTCCATGGACATTTCTTTTGGAACTCTTGAGTGACAAGCTACATTGCCAATGAGCAGTCATATTTTGAAAAGAATCTTTTTTTTGGAGCAGTAAGTCTCCACAGTGGACTTAAATATTCAATAAACCATGCTGTAAACAGGTGTTCTGTATTACAGGGTTTGTTGTTCCATATACAGAACACAGGCAGAGTAGATTTAGTATAATTCCTAAGGGCCTTAGAATTTTCAGAATGGTAAATAAGCGTTGGCTTTAACTTAAAGTCATTAGCTGCCTTAGTTCCTAACAAAAGAGTCAGCCTGTCCTTTGAAGCTTCGAAGTCATGCATTGACTTCTCCTCTCTAACTATGAAAGTCCTAGATGGCATCTTCTTCCAATAGAAGGGTGCTCCATCTACATTGAAAATATGTTGCTTAGTGTGGCCACCTCCATCAATGATCTTAGCTAGATTTTCTGAATAACTTGCTGCAGCGTCTACAAAAGCACTTTCTGCTTCACCTTGCACTTTTAGGTTATGGAGAAGGCTTCTTTCCTTAATCCTTCTGAGCTAACCTCTGCTAGCCTCCAACATTTCCTCTGCAGCTTCCTCACCTCACTCAGCCTTCATAGCCTTGAATAGAGTTAGAGCCTTGTTCTGGATTAGGCTTTGGCTTAAGCGAATGTTGTGGTTGACTGATCTATCCAGACCACTTAAATTTTCTCCATATCAGAAATAAGCTGTTTTGCTTTCTTATCATTCATGTGTTCACCAGAGTAGCACTTTTAATGTCCTTCAAGCACTTTTCCTTTGCATTCAAAACTTGGGTAACTCTGTGGCCCAAGAAGCCTCGCTCTTGGCCTATCTCGGCTTTGGACATACTATCCTCAGTCAGCTTTATCATTTCTAGCTTTTGATTTAAAGTGAGAGATGTGAGACTCTTGTTTTCACTTGAAAATATAGAGGCCACTGTAGGGTTATTAACTGGCCTAATTTCAATACTGTTGTGTCTCATGGAATAGAAAGAACCAAGGAAATGGAGAGATACTGGAAAATGGTTGGTAAGTGGAACAGTCAGAAGACACACACAACATTGATAAAGTTCTCTGTCTTATATGGGCATGGTTCATGGTGCTCCAAAACAATTCCAAGAATAGCATCAAAGATCATCAATCCCAGATCACCATAACAGATATAATAATGATGAAAAAGTCTGAAATATTGTGAGAATTACCAAAATGTGACACAGAGACATGAAGCGAGCTCATATTGTTAGAAAAATGGCATTGGCACAGGGTTGCCACAAACATTAAATTGTGTTAAAAAAATGCAGTATCTGTGAAGCATCATAAAGCAAAGTGCAATAAAACCAGGTATACCAGCCAGGTGCAGTGGCTCACGCCTGTAATCCTAGCACTTTGGGAAGCCAAGGCTGGCGGATCACAAGGTCAGGAAATCGAGACCATCCTCACTAATACGGTGAAACCCCGTCTCTACTAAAAATACAAAAAAAATTAGTGGAGCGTGGTGGTGGGTGCCTGTAGTCCCAGCTACTCAGGACAGGAGGCTGAGGCAGGAGAATGGCGTGAACCCGGGAGGCGGAGCTTGCAGTGAGCCGAGATCGTACCACTGCACTTCAGCCTGGGCGACAGAGCAAGACTCTGTCTCAAAAAAAAAAAAAAAAAAAAAAAAAGGTATACCTATATTTCCGATGCACTTTCCTATTTATATCATATTACTACAATATTACTTTATTTAAAGCTTTGAATATTTGATTTGTCAAATATTTAAATATTTGACAGATAAAATGTTGATAATCTCTTACTTACAAAAGTCAGCAATGTCTGATTATTGACTAAGACTGAAAAAAATTTTGCTGTGGTTTGAAGACTTGATGATTTATAAAGCACCATCATTTTTAGAGAAAAAAAATCACATTTTCCCTAGGGATTACTGCATATGATTGTACTGTTTATTTATGTGCAGAAGTTCCTGGGTGGCATGAGGGGCCTAAACTCAGCCCAATTTCAATGCCAAGCCAAACTGAAAAGTGGTTTATAATTCTTTGGCTCAGAAGGGGCACTTTTTTTGTAATGTTTCCAAGACAAGTACAAGCCAGCTAATGATATCCCTACTTGAGAGACAGAAGTACACTACAGCAGCTCAATAACCACTCAAATGCAGAAACCAGGTAAACAAAGAAATCTCAAGGAATCAGAGACTGATTTTCACAAATCCTGTGCTGGCTACCAGATAGTAACCCTCAGTAAGATTAGGCTCTATCTAAATATCATAGTCCAAAATTTCCAGTGTTTACATACATATAAATTCTGAGAAGCATAAGCTAATGCTCAAAAATAGCCCAAATTTCTGAATATTCTGGTTTTAACTTGTATGTTTTTCTCAAATACTAGTCTCTTTTCACAGTAGAGAAAATTTGAGAATTCAAAGTGGCACATTAATCTTCTTTGAGTTGATATTACTTATTATTGATATGCCTGAAGAAAAATATTTCTGAGATTTTACAGTGTCATGTAATGACTTGTAAGTCTGAATAAATCATTCTAAAATTTTGGAGTAGGGGAACAGAAAACAAGTAAGCAAAGGAAGAACAAAGAGACATGGGAAGAAAGGCAGGGAAGAAAAGGGATGATTATATTAAAGAAACGAAGGAAGAAGAATAATAGAGAAGAAGCAACCCCAATTTTCTGCCTTAGGGTAATAACAGGATGGCAAACCATAGCTACGGAAATATTGAGCTTTCTAAACCACTCTTTCAACCAGAGGTTTCAAAAACAACCAACCAATAACAAAGAATCATAGCAAGTATTTGATGCTAATAAGTTTCAATAGTTTCAAAACAAATACTCCTCTTAAGTTTATGTTGTTTAAACTATGAAGGCCAGAATAAATGAGTCCTTACCTTCTGTTACCCATTCACTTCTGGCTTTTTCTCCCTTCCCAGTGTTCTTGGCATAGGTCAACTGGGGAGCACTGATTCCCTGGGTTCCAGAGCCCTAGTCAGCTTTTCTGAAATAAGCCCTGAAAAGCTAGAGCAATCCTGGTAAAATCAGTTTTCTTTTCTTTCTCTCTCATCCAAGTCTTCTCCTCATCTCCCAACCTAAAATTTATCTTTGCCATTTTCATTATATAATTCAGGTTTCTCTGTATTTCTTCTCATGCTCTGTTTACTTTCCTTTGTATGCATTACTTTTCTACGTTTCTGCTCTGAGTTACTTTATTCTAAACATGCAGTGATGCAATGTTTAAACTTTTTTTTAAAAAAAACTGTAAGTGGTATGACAGATACAGCTAAAGAGTTTCAAACCACAGAACAGTCTCAGCTGAAGTGTGACTATACACACCTGCCAACACTACCTGTAGTTTTATCACTCCTTGGGGACCAAACACTGCTTTTCCTGTTTCTGGTCCAGTGGCTTAGAACGTCACCTTGTCTAACTATAAGACATCAAGGGAAGGGTGTCAAAAATGCCTTATACAAAATCTGCCAGAATAACTAAGTGATATAACACTTTGAAAGAAGGGTCCCCGGGGTATAAAGCTTATGGTCAGGAGATAAACAGAAAAGACGTTTCAATTTGGAAGAAACAGTGTTAAGAAAGAAAGAGAAGGAAGGAGGAGAAGTTAAAGAAAGGGAGACGGGGAACTAATAAAAACAGTTTGATTCCAGAATATGCCATGGTAACTGAAGCTATTTTGCATTTTGATGTTGTTATGCCATGCATTTTAGCCTACTCTATATTAATTACTTTGTTTCTTGCTTTAACCAAAATACACGTATAAAAAAGACAACCATCTCTAAGGTTGTTGGATAAAATATCCTGATTTTTATAAAAGTTTTGTTCTAAATGCTGCATCCAAAAGAATAACAAATTTTATTTAGCTTGTTATACTTAGCAAGGCACTTTCGCATATGCCATATGTCATCTCATTTGGGCCCCATAACAACCCAGGAGGGTAGGCAGGACAGGTTATCAGGTCTGATGCTGAGAGAACATAAATGACACTGTAGTAAAAAGGGGTGTCTGAACTTAGAGTATACCTGAAGCTTTTGAACTGCATGTTCCACGCTCTTCCCAATGCATGTGATTTTAATGTGTTACAGGATAGACTCAATTAAGGAAAGTACTATTTGTAAAACATTTGTTTGTATAATATTCATTGCTCAAATTTATCTAAGTTGGATCTAAGCCATGACAAAGGAAAAAAATAAGCTAATTTGAACCTTTACTTATTGTAGACCTTTGCTTTCCCTCCTATTCAAATTATTATAATTTTATGCAAAATGTTCTAAAGTTGAACTGTACTAGATAAATGATCCTCACATGATCTCCAAACACCATTACCATATAACTTATAAACAAAAAGAATATTTGAAAAGATATTTAGATCCTCAGGATTTGATAAGAATGAAAATGGGATTGTAATATTTTCTATTCTTTCATCACTTTCTCACCTATCTCGGTTTTTAATGAAAATTCCATCTTAATACAAGCATCAAATTAGGTTGCCTTATAGGAGAAACCTAATTCTATTCCCCTACAATTTCTCACAAATAAACATTATTTCTACCATTTCTATTGTCCATTTGTGTACATGGCAAGTATTTTCTGATACAATTTACTGAACTGTTACTTTTGAGAATTATTACATGATTGGGAGTTCCTGAAGCAACATCATTGAAATGATATAAAGCTGTATTAACCAACAATGCTCAACAACAATTCTCTAACTCTAGCAAAATTAAAACTATTCTCAAAGTTATAAATGTTTCACCTTTGCCCACATATGCATTTCTGCCTGACAAATAAAGCTCTCTACTTAGCTATAAAGTCCAAGTAATTTTTAAATTAGACTTTCTAAGTTTTCTCTTAATTGATGCCAACGTGCAAAGCAACTCCAATGTCCTCAAAGTAGTATTTTCATGGAATTGAAAATATCAATGGATAACTCAGGGAAATGATGATTTTCACAGGAGACGCATGGCATTTATTACTTGAGAAACACTTCTAAAGTTTTATTTTAGGTCAATGGCAGTATTTTGGGGTATGATGCTGACATAAAACACATTGGAAATAGCTATTTATATGGCTGACTTCATACAGACCTCAATCACTGAAGGGATTTAGCCCCCCAAATTAGGAAGTCACTTACATTGACTCTGACCTCCCCTCATGAGAAGTCCAGGTGCTTCTTCTTGAACTTCAAGGGCTCGGGCAGCCCAGGCATTGCCCCAACACTGCTTAGAGCAGTGGTCAGTCTGGAAGTAAAGAAGCACAGTAGTATCCCAGAGTGAGTGTTTTAAACAAGGCCTGCAAGAGGCACTAATACTGCATCCACGTCTGGCCACATGCCATTTCAGACTACAACATTATCCCGCCACAGCAAGAAATGGGGATGAAAGCCTAGAATAAGCTGTATTTATCCAAAGAATGTATCATAAGTGAGTTACAAACACATTTCTCCATATTGCCATTCATTTGGAGGTTAGCCTTGATGGCGTGATAATATTACAACTCCATATTCCAAATAATTATGGAATACACAGAAAGTCAGTTAATTATATATATACTATATGAATTATATTGTCTATAAATAACAACAAAATTGTAATAATATCATAAAATAGGTAAAATTATTTTAATTAAGTTATTAAGTTCCAATGACAAAGTAATATTGATTTTTGTTTATTCTTTTTTTTTTTTTTTTTTGAAGCAGGGTCTCATTCTGTCACCCAGGCTGGAGTGCAGTGGTGTGATCACCACTTACTGCAGCTTTGACCTCCCAGGCTGAAGTGATCCTCCTGCTTCAGCCTCCCAAGTAGTTGGGACTACAGGTGCACACCAACACAGCTGGCTAATTTTTTATTATTTTTGTAGAGGTGGGGTCTCCCTATGTTGCCCAGGCTAGCCTCAAACTCCTGGGCTCCAGTGATCCTCCTCCCTTGGTCTTCCAAACTGCTGGGACTACAGGTGTGAGCCACTGTGCCTGGCCTATTCTTCCATCTTTTCAAAAAACCTAATATATGCCTGAAACTAAAACTATTCTATTACACATATATTCCATTATTACTGAATAAAGTACAATATAATTAATACATAGTCCATAAGATTTAGAGTAACCAACTAGAAATGCCACAGGGTTTTCTCCTGACCACAGAAGAACTCTATTTACAGAGCAGTTTGACTAGTCCAGTTGAGGTACACTGGAGCTACGCCAGGGTCTTCATTTACTCTCCAGTGTTTCAGGAAATCCAAATGGGTGATTCATCTGGGGTCATCCACCAAAACCAGGCCTAGCTACAGGTGTAGCTCCTACCCCAGTGGTTTTGGGGACCCTCACAAACTCAAAATAAAAAACACAAACTAGAGGAAATGAAAATGATAGCATCGTGGGAGAGGGGAGAAACCACCGTGTAAGAGGAGACCAAGATGCTATTTCAATTCTAAAGATAAATAGCTCTATGACTTTACCAAGATTTACAGCAGTGATCTGTTTCCTCTTGAAACAGTGGAAAAGAAAAAAAAAACCCAGAAAATGTTTTTTATAATTGATATCATTGTAGGATCACCAGGTGAGCTTTTAAAAACTAGGAATATTCAGGACCCCTCACAGAGATTCTAATTTCATGCATCTGGGATACAACCTAAATATTAGTATTTTTAAGACTCCCCCAAATAATTTTAACGTGCAGCAAGTGTTAAAAACCACAAATCTGAAATTCCAAATGAGCTCAAAGCATCTTCCTTGACTCCAGAGATTCTTAGCCTGTAAGTGTTCTATGACTGTGTGCCTCCAAATTCTATGATGCTGTACCTTAAGCTCATTCTGTCACCCTTAAATCTAAGAAGTATCACATTATTTTAAAAAAAGGATTTCAAATGATGGACCAAAAAAAATTACACAACGATTGAACTGTAATAAATATAACCTTGACAATTTTTCCTTCAAATGGTATACTATTATCTTACATGTACATTACTTACTATACTATCTTCTTATGCATGTGTATATGTATGCTGTGGGGGGTAAGATACGTATCTAATAATCTTCCAACTAAAATTTCCATTTGTCTAAAATTACATCTTCAAATAACACCAATATTTTTTATCAACTTAATAAGAAATAGTAGCATCTTTGCACTGCAATTTTTTAAAGTTACGCTAATGATAAAAAATTTAATTAGTTACTAATTCGGCCTTATACATTTCTCACATTTTGAGTTATGCAAGGCTACAATTCTATAATTCTTACATTTTGGATTCTAGGGAGGAAACTGAAAAGCAGTAATCAATGCCAAAATTTAAGAAGGCCAAAAGAGTCATTTAAAGGAAAACAGAATTGAGAAATAAATATGCCCAATCTTAACTAAAATGTGCTTTGTAGATGACTCATGCTTTGGGGTAAACAACTGTAAGAGCAAACACTGCACAGGCAAGATGTAAATCCTGTAAATATGCAGAAGCACAATCCCATGTAGAGATGAATATCAACAATAAATAAAAATAAGATAATATATAAATAGATGTTATAAGTACAAATATAATACAACAAAGATATATCATTCACTAGCAAAGTCTAAGTTTACTACTAATAAAAGTTACACCTGATACCTATTAAATACTAAGAGCCATAGGATACTAGTATTATTCCCATTTTATACCCAAGGAAAAAAAGGCTCAAAGAAGTTTAGTAACTTCCCCATGTTCTCACATCTGGAAATACCATAACCAGAATTCAAACCTAAGGCAGACTTGACTCCAGAGATTCTTACCCTGTAAGTGTTCTAGAACAGTACAAGAGTAATGGAGAAATCACTTTTAGGTTGTCCTTTACCATGACATGCTAGTCAAACACTAGAAGCAAGGCGATTTTTTTTTCAATTTCAGAAAAGACATCAAAATAATCTATAGAACGTTCACGGACCTTTTCTAAGATGTTACCTTCATTTCTGAACTTTCAAAGGAAGATATTCATCATAAAATATCATGCATTTAGGTACTTGTGAATTGAAAACAAGGAAAATTTAAGCCGTAAATACTACATAATATAGAAATTCACAATAAACTCTAATGTATTAAACTACAAGCAGCACAAAAATTGCCTCAATGTTACCAGAATAAAAATTAACAAATGGGCATGAGAAGATAGCATCATGAAAGTAAGAGTTCCAATAATCCTGCAAAATGCCTTTTTTCATCATTAATAATACTATTATTTCATCAAAAATACATGATTTTTCTGGCATTCATGCAAAAATTCTTGGGCAAATGCTAAAATCGGAATGTATAGACAGGCAGCAGAACCAGTTCTCTGAAGATTTTTTGGTACTAGATCTTATTCTGCCAATGATTTGATCATATTCTCCCTGAGCATCACTTTCCTTATTTACAAAAATGAGAGGGCTAAACTATATTGGTGAGTTTTTTCCCATATAATATTTTAAGAAAGTTTTCAATCATGCAGCAAAGTTGAAAGAATCATACAATAAGCACCCCTACATATATCCTTTATCTACCTTCTACCATTACTATGTTACTATACTTGCTTTATTGGGTATCCACCTTATATCCACCCATCAATGCACCTTACTTCTGGTTCACTTCAAAGTAATTCACAGACGCTGATGTACACCTCCCCCTAAATATTTCAGCATGCCATAATTGAGTTCAGTAACTTTTTCGTCTTTTTACATAAAATTTACAAATCTTAAGTGTGCACTCAATTAGTTTTAATAAATGCATGCACCCAACGCCTGTCAAAATATAAAATACTGTATTAGTGTGTTTTAAAATATGTTTTCTAAGTAACAGAGATCAAGATACAAAACAGGTATAAGCAAAATGGCTTTATAAGAAATAAGTAAGAGTGAAGATCTTCACCCTCAGTGGGTCCCTCTACCCTATCTCTGGGGTTCCAAGAGCTCGCAGTTCTTCAAACGGGTGAAAATCATCTGATCATTTGCTCTCAAAGATCCCTTCCAGCTCTCTATGGAAATGCCTCTGTCCACAGACGAAAGTAATTAAACCACTCTGCCTTTCACCAAACATGAAACAAGGCCAACTTCTCAAAGCTTGCAAGTTTCACTGGTAAGTTATAATTGGTTTAATTATTTGTTTATTATGCCTAAGGCAACCCCGGGTTTGCATTTTGGATAGTCATCTTTTTTTAAGTGATTTTGAATGGTAATTAATATTTTTCTATACTAGGGCCAAGCTCTAGTCACAAACTGGAATGAGCTTTCATACATTATGGCCAGTTACCAAATACAATACTACTATGGGTTGGTATTTACAGTGAAGAGTGGAGTTTTCTATACATAGAGGAATTACAATTCCTGCTGAGATCAATCAGTCTTGGGAGCATGCACGCTCCCTCTGTCTCTCTGACCTTAACATAAGCTGTACCCTTTGAATAAACAAAGCCCCTCCAGGGAAATGTGAGAGGCTAGCCCTGCTCCTCCCTCACATGTAACTTTAGGCAACTCTCCCAGCCGACTTGGGCCTCAGTTTTCTGGTTGGTAACACTGAGGGAGGGGTGACTAAATAATCCTTGGCATTAATAACTTCAATCATATGAACAGTGAACACAAAATTCACTTCAAAAAAGCCAGCTTCCTGCAGACAATTAAGTACCTAGAAAAGAAAGCTATAAACCTGTAATTCATCAGATCACTCAATCGTCATAAACATTCAGCCCTAACCACAGATTTGACTCAGACTGCAGGAAGACTTAATCCTGTTCTCAGTATTTATATAGATCTTTTTAAATAGCCGATTCTTGTTTCTCCAACACAAAACTTTCTTTTTTTTCCCAGACTATCTTCCTTAAAAAGAATTCCAGTTTGAGCTATTAGTATTTAATGAATTTTCTAGAACTTCAAAAAGGTCAATATTACTTATAGTACATATGTATGAAATGGGGCCAAATCAATGATGAGCTCTCCTCTGTACTTCTTGTTATTTATGTCTTAGCCAGTCTATTGATCATCAATAATGCCTATGATAAAGGTAATATAAAAAGACCCACTCCACGGGTAACTCAAATAAATTAGAATTAGTAGAGTGGGGAGACAATTCTGGTGGGAAGAGTTTGAACCATGAGCATATTCATTGCTCAGGACTGTTGGCAGACAATTCTCCATGGATCTCTTGGGTTTCTGCACATCTTGTCAGTAGAAGTACCGATCTGATGTCCTTTGTTCTAGATTATATTTTTAAACATTTTCGTATAAAGACAAACTAGCCAGATACAGCAGAGGGCAGATTTGTTTGCTGATCAGTATAACATCTCTCTCTGGGGAAAATCTTGGACAGGTTTGCTTCCAGCCTATTATAAAAGAGTTCCCTAAGTTCAGGGTCCTCAGTTGTGACAAGGGTCCTCTGCATTCACAGTATCCACCTTCGCACTCCATGTCACCCCCAAGGGACTTAGGGTGCAAGAGGAACTCATCACAGAAATGAATTCCATACCGTTTGCTATGCTAGACATAATAAAAGTCTTTATCTGTGAAGAAAGAGCTACTGTGAGCATCTATGAAATTGTGGCAGCCTAACAAGTTAAATGTCACAGTTCTTCACAAGGACATTGTCAATATCCATGCTTGCTGTCTGGGTGCAATCTCTGTCCATCTGAAGAATCATTCAGTCTTTCAGGTAACACTGAACTAGCTTAAACATCATGCCTCTACATAACTTTCCTGACAGACAAATTGCAGTTCATAGAATCAAGAAGTTATTAATGTTTATTTAGAAAACAAATTCTGGGGAAAAAAATAGCATGAGTAAGTTCAAGACTTCTTTATATCTATATAAATATAACATTTTTAGTAGGGACTATTGTTTTCTGGGGTAGCGATGGATAAATAAACCATAAGAATATTTTTCACACGCTAATAGAGAAAAAGCCAAACAGGAAATGCTATCTAATGAAGGTAATGATTGTGAAAAATAGGTAAGCGTTCCTGAAAAGAGTTTAAACATCATTTCTTGATGGTGCTAGAAGCAACCAAAGAAGGCAAAGAATGAGAGGATTCTAGAGACTTACTACATTGCTTTCTCTTTTTTTTTTTGGAGACAAGGTCTCACTCTGTCACCCAGGCATCCAGGCTGGAGTGCAGGTGCCATCATGGCTCACTACAACCTAGACCTCTCCAGCTCAAGAGATTCTCTCAACTCAGCCTCCTGGGTAGCTAGGACTACAGGTACACACCACCCACACTCTGGTCATTTTTTGTATTTTTTGTAGAGATAGGGTTGCACCATGTTGCCAAGGCTGGTTGCGAGCCCCTGATCTCAAGCAGTCCACCTGTGTTAGCCTCCCAAAGTGCTGGGATTACAGGTGTGAACCACGGTGCCCAGCCTACACTGCCTTCTTGTAGTACCTAAACTTCCCCAGTGGATGCTATAAATAATTATAAACTAAAATATAACTGTCTTACATAGTATCTCAGTTTAAATGGCTATTAAGAGACAGCTGTTAAATTGTATAACAGCAAATTAAGGGCAATATGCAGAATGGAAAGGCTCAGTGATATAGGATTCTGTTTTGCAACACAGCACTTACATATTTTCAACTAGACCTTCATACCTAAAAAGGATCAGCTTTGCCCTGAATTTCTCAAGTGAGTAAGCTACATATCATTGATTTGGTTTAAGAGTTCTTTCTAATTAAACCGTATTTCAAAAACTAACATATATATGCTGTCTCTGAGAAACAGTATGAGATACCAAACAAAAACACTCAGCTCTGAGAAGGCCTTCTCTCACAATAAAATCAGACAACATTCAGCAACATAAGGATATAAACTATGTTTCCAGAACCTATTGAGATTCTTAGAATTTCAGAGACATGTATTAAAGATTCATTGAGTTAATAAGCATAAATAATTTCATTTTCACAGAAGACTTTAATTATAACAAACTATCATGTACTAAGGGAGTTTTGTTGGTGTTTTTTTAAGTCAATGATCTGGACTTGTTATTTAAATAAGAAAAGTATCCATTGGGAAATTGGCCGAAATCTCTTATTTCAAAAACTGCTTGGAATAAACACGTAATTGCTTCATAGTTCATGTGGCATGGTGATGATTTTTTCAAATATTTGCTGGTGAACTCCAATGCATAATTAAGGTATTTTATATTTGATTAAAGAAGAAAAATGAGAAAAAGAAAACAGCTCAATCCAAAAGCTTTTTTTTTTTCTTTCTATGGTAAGATAAGCACCTCTATGGGAAATGTAATTTCAAATGTAATTTTCTATGATGTGTTTACACAACAGTAAGTATAAACAGATACTTTTTTTAAGGGAATAGAATGCAGTCTTGTTATAATTATCTCTCAATAAAAAAGTTCCTAATCAAGATACCCTGACAGAACGATACCGGAGTCCCTAACTTCTCACATTCTATTGAACAACTATGGAACGAGGAGGAAATCGACTTGGCAACCTGCTTCCAGTAAAGCTATCACATGGGCAGGGATTCTAATCAGGCTGTGCCTGAAAGCGCTCTTTTCAATGTAGATTTCCAGATTCCAATCCAAGCAACTGGTTTTGCACTTCTGATGTGTACTTTAGAGTCTTTAATTTTAAGAAATTTCTCCAGGTGCTTCTAATACTCTGGCAGGTTTGAGAGCTGTTCACATGGGTCACGGACACTGAGTAGGAAACCAGAACCGTAAGCAAACCAAATCAAGTTTTAGAATGA
The DNA here is from genome assembly GCF_000001405.40 of Homo sapiens. Classification (NCBI taxonomy): domain Eukaryota; kingdom Metazoa; phylum Chordata; class Mammalia; order Primates; family Hominidae; genus Homo; species Homo sapiens. Next base: position 165,912,387 of record NC_000004.12, on the reverse strand, counting down.
AAAGTAGGAAGCAACAAAGGAGTGGATCAGATCTGAGAGGGCTCCGTGGCTGACAATGAAGACAGAAGTGGAAGTCAGACACTCAAGCTGGACATCTGAATAACACAGTGTGTTAAGACCAGGAACGCAGTCAGGAAACTAGGTGTATGGGTCCCTAGATTGTTGAACAAGGCAACAGTGCTTCCAACAGAAAGACTATTGTCTTATTTTCTGGCTCCAGGGACAACACCATGTTTAAGAACACCATTACTTTGGGAGGCCGAGGCAGACAGATCATGAGGTCAGGAGATCGAGACCATCCTGGCTAACATGGTGAAACCTCGTCTCTACTAAAAATACAAAAAATTAGCCGGGCATGGTGGCGGGTGCCTGTAGTCCCAGCTACTCGGGAGGCTGAGGCAGGAGAATGGCGTGAACCCGGGAGGCAGAGCTTGCAGTGAGCCAAGATCATGCCACTGCACTCCAGCCTAGGCGACAGAGCGAGACTCTGTCTCAAAAAACGAAACAAAACAAAACAAAAAAACACCATTGACTTAATTTTTCCTGTAGCACGAAGAAATACTGTCACATTAAACAGACCCATTAATTACAAGACATTTGGGTTTCAGAAACATTCAAGCTGGGGCAATGCATTTTATGAATGAAATACATGAAGGTAGGGTTATATCAATACGAGACACAGGAAGAACATTGAGCAGTTTACTTAGTTAACTAAAAAAGTTAACTTGAAAATTAAAAAAAGGGGGTTCAGAAATGAGGGCACTTGACAAAAATCAAGCAGATTCTGGTTTCTCTCTTTGTAAACCAAAATAAATCACTGCTTTCCTATATCAAGGAAGTCGTTTACCACCAAAAAGACTGAGACAGCAGATGTATTTAGTGATTACGATTTTAGGCTTAGACTATTCTCATCATCAAAGATATGAATCAACCTAAGTGTTCCTTAATGCATGAATGGATAAGGAAAATGTGGTATATATACACGATGAAATACTATTCAGCCATAAAAAAGAATGAAATCACATCATTTGCAGCAACATGGATGGAACTGGAGATCATTATGTTAAGTGTAATAAGTCCAGCCCAGAAAGACAAATATTGCATGTACTCACTCACATGCGGGAGCTAAAAAAAAGTTGATCTTATGGAGGTAGAGAGTAGAATAATAATTATCAGAGACTGGGAAGAACGTGGGTGTGAGAGGGATGAATAGAGATTGGTTAATGGGCAACAAAACACAGTTAGATAGAAGGAATAAGTTCTAGTGTTTGATAGTAGAGTAGGGTGACTATAGATAATAATAACACATTATATATCTCAAAATAGCTAGAAATGAGGACTTGAAATGCTCTCCACACATAGAAATGATAAATGCTCAAAGTGATGGATATCCTAAATGCCCCAACTTGATCATTACACATTCTATTCATGTAACAAAATATCACATGTACCCCACAAATATGTACCAATATTATGTGTCTATCAACAAACAAAGATTTTAGGCATAGTACTCAGGCTTGGGTTTCATCACTTGGCAGCTATATAATCATGGGCATGTTACTTAATCTTGATAAGCCCCAGTGTTCTCATGTGTAAAATTGGATAATGGGCTATAACAACATTAACTAATTCAAGTGATGGGCGTAGTTATTTGACATAATGCATTGTTTTATTAAATTACTTAGTACTGGTGCAAATTCCAGTTTTAGCCTTATAGTGTTATCAGAGCATTTCAGTTAACTGATTTTCATGAAAACATCAGTGCAAAGATTGTCTTCTATACACTAGTTACAAAAGGGCCCCACATCTTGAAATGTGTGGCTCTACATAGGATGACAAGATGCCAGAGATGGAATTGGTTTTAGGGACTCTTGAAAATTCCCTAATTTTATAGCAGAAGAAATTAAGATTTAGGAATCAATGGATATGAGCCACATTTTTCTACTGGTGTCTAGAAATTGCTTAATTGAATTCTGTCTTACAGTTTTTCCCATTTTCAATTTTTGATGAAACTAAAAAAATGTAGCACATACACATTATTAATAATTCAAATAATAATGAAGAGGAAAGTAAAAAACCCTCCATTTGTTGCCCCCTCTAAGCTCATCTGCTCCCAAGAAGTTACTCCTGTATCTAGGCATCCTCCCAGGCCTTTTTAATGAGCTTACAAATCCATCCTGTAAGAAAGTCATGTTCTCAGAAACACACTAAGCCTTAAGAAACTGGCTTCCAGGCTTTCCGAAAGTGAAACAGCCAGGACTGGTATCCAAGTTTCCTGATTCTCAGCTAGTGCTTTTCACCACAGCGTGATTCCTCCTGTCCTTGTAGATCATGCTTCTGTTTGGGTTCCAAGTGTTCTCTTATTTTCCTTAATGGCAGCTCCTTTTCTCTAGTTTCTTCTGGCCTCTGTTTCCTGCTTATAAAATATATCATTCTAGAAATTTATAAAGATCTTTGTCAGTAGGTATTTGGGGAAAAAAACTGTGCTACTATTACTTGCAAAACTACATGTAACCCTCTCACCTCTAGTCTCAGTTTCTTTATGTTAAAAATGAGGGTAATGATCCCTGTTACTTACTTCTCACTCTGCTGTTATGAGAACTAAGTAACGGCTTAATCCCATAAATAAAAATGTTTGATCACTATAGTGTTTTATTATGGACTTTTCTTGAACAATTCAATGCCTATCATACCATGAGGCCCACAGCATGGTCTACAGACAAAACTCACTAGGTTGCTTTGAAGTTATGTTTCAACAAACCCTTATAGCTTTTCCCACATTCAGTGGCCTCACTTCAGCTCATTCTAAAGCAACTGCATAAGTATCGGGCTCCTTACTGGTTCCTCCTCATCTCCAAGAACTCAAAACGCTGAAATGTCCCAGACCTAAGTCCTTGGAACTCTTTTCTTTATCTACAATCATTCCCCTAGTGATGCCACCTAATCTTACCACTACAAACATCACCTGCATTCTGACGGCTTCTAAATTCATGACTCTCCTCTGAACTTTAAATCTGTGTCCACTTGCCTACTTGAACTTACCGTTTGAATGTTTAATTGGCATCTCAACTCTACAGGTCTAAGTCAACCCTGGCCTCCTCATTTCTTAGTTGTTTCCCATCTCATTCAACCATAATTTTATACTTCCAGTTGCTCAAGTTTTAAACTTTGGAGCCGTTCTTTTCTTTTTTCTTTTTTTTTGAGACGGAGTCTTACTCTGTCACCCAGACTGGAGTGCAGTGGCACGATCTCTGCTCACTGAAACCTCTGCCTTCTGGGTTCAAGTGGTTGTCCTGCCTCAGCCTCCCGAGTAGATGGGATTATAGGCACACCCGGCTAATTTTTGTATTCTTAGTAGAGATGGGGTTTCACCATGTTGGCCAGGTTGGTCTCAAACTCCTGACCTCAAGTGATCAGCCTGCCTCGGCCTCCTAAAGTGCTGGGATTACAGGCATGAGCCATTCTTGTTTCCTCCTCTTCAAGCCCTACAATCAGTTCATCAACATATCCAGTTGGCTCTACCTTCAAAATACATCCAGAATCCATATACTTCCCTCCATAACTAACACTTTGGCCTGTGCCACAACCATGCCTGGCCTGGATTACTGCAAGGGTTTACTCACAGTCTCTCCTGCCTCTGTGCTTGACCTACCCCTTCCCATCACAGGTATTTTCTCAGCCATTTAAAAAGCTAAAAGTTGAGTCCCTCTCTGACTCTGTATCTCCAACCTCCTTTACCTGAATTCCATGCAGACTGCTATTAGTTTAGTGTTTTCCACGCTTCCCTTTTTTTTTTTTTTTTTTTGAGACAGGGTCTCACTCTGTCACCCAGGCTGCTGGAGTACAGTACAACCATGGCTCACTACAGCCTTTCACTTCCAGGCTCAGGTGATCCTCTCACCTCAGTCTCCTGAGTAGCTGGGACTACAGGCAAATGTCACCGCACCTGGATAATTTTTAGTACAGATGGGGTTTCTGCCATGTTGCCCAGGCTGGTCTTGAACTCCTGGGCTCAAGTGATCCTCCTGCCTTGGCCTCCCAAAGTGCTGGGATGACAGGCATGAGCCACTGTGCCTGACCCATCCTTCTATTTAAGGGGTGCTACAATGCAAAACTTAGATGATCTGGAGTTGGAAGACCGGAGTATAAGTAGCACCTCCACCACTTACCAGCTGTGTAAGAAAGTCATTTAACTCTTCTAAATGTCAAATTATTTTTAAAATGAGAATAACAATTACTACTTATTCTATCAAGTTGCTGTAAAATCAAATTACATATTTGAAATTGCTTTGAAAAACATCAAGTGCCAGAGAAATATTTAGTATTCATTGTAATCTCATCCTTCCTGTCTACTCAAAACCCAGCTCACACCTATTGTGAAGCACTTCCGTGGTGAACTGGTAAAGAGTATCTCTTCCTTTACAGGCCTATAGCAGTGTTTGTTGGAAACATTTGTAATACTTTTTATCAATTGATATAATGAACAGGTATTTCAATATTAGAATGCTGCTTATCAGAAGTTTATAAAAGTGTCTTACAAGGCCAGAAGTGGTGGCTCACGCCTGCAATCCCAGCACTTTGGGAGGCCAAGGCGGGTGGATCACTTGAGGTCAGGAGTTCGAGACTGGCCTGGCCAACATGGTGAAAACCTGTCTCTACTAAAAACACAAAATTAGACGGGCGTGGTGTTGCGTGCCTGTAATCCCAGCTACTCGGGAGGCTGAGACAGGAGAATCGTTTGAACCTGGGAGGCAGAGGTTGCGGTGAGCCAAGATCATGCCATTGCACTCTAGCCTGGGCAACAAGATCAAAACTCCGTCTCAAAAAAAAAAAAAAAGGCTTGCATTAAATTAATCTTACTCTACGTTTTATTAAACTAATCTGTATACTTACTGTGTTACTCCTGACCAGACATACTCTCTTTGCAGGACAAGATGCCTTTTACAAGCTACCCTTTTAATTCCTCACATATTCCACACATACCTAGTAAAATAAAATACACACATTTTTGTAGCCATTGTGGCTATTTGGATTCAATGAACAGGCTATTTGGATTCAATGTATCATGATGAGCAAAATCATGCTTCCCATGTTAAAAGAAATGTCTACTATGGCCCTAAAAAACAAAAAAAAATATGGCTTGAGTCCAAAGACAGTCTTTTAACAAAAACATTACTATGACATACTCTTAAATATTTGTTCATGCTAAACTGGGGTCACAAGTGTAATCTTCATGAGGACAAACACAAAACTGTATGTTCTTAATTTTTAAACTTTTTTGAGACCATTGATATATGTATGTCAAAAACACAAACTGAAGTTTCAAGAAAAATAAGCAAGCTGTCAGAATCTCTTGAGCCTGTTTTGTTTCACATGTTTTAGTTGCAAACAATTACTGAAATAAATGTTGACTGATTTCTCTATTACAATGATGCAGAAAATATAAAACAGGTTTAAAGAAAAATCAGAGTTATGAAACTAAAAATTTGGAAATGATTCTGATTCCTTGGTGGAACAGTTCCTTGGATATGACACTGAACCAAAAAAAAAAAAAAAAAAACTGGAGAAATAAGCTGACAAAAGGATCTGTAGTCTACTATCCTATAAAATCACTACACTAAGATACAGGCCTAATTCAAAGAGACAATTTACTAAGAGTGAATAAAACCAAATATTAAAAGAATTGTCTACTCACAATTCTTTCATGGATGAGCCTGAAAAACTGCAATAATTAATCTCAAATTAATTAAATATATCTTATCTCCTTTCTTATAATTTAAATATTTCCAAGATTTTCACTAAACTGGTTGGTTGTATATTATAATTTCACTGTTTATTAAAATAGTTTGTATTTCCTCTATTTCTCCAAATGGAGCAGCAGTACAAGAAGCTATTAAAAGCCCAGGCTTGGAGTCAAGCCACTTTTGTTCAAATCCTAGCCCTTGTATTTCTTCACTTTGTGACAGGGAAGATTAACCTCTTTATGTCTCAGTTTCCTCACATGTTAAATTGGTATTGGAACAATATCTACCTTATAAGGTTATTAAGAGTATTAGAACTAATATTTTTACTTAACATATGACAAGAAGCTGGCACGTAGTGCATACTATGTGTTTGTTATTATTAATTTTAATTAACTAAGAGGTTAACATGCATTTTCTTAAAGGGCCGAAAAATAAATATTTCAGGCTTTCTAGAGGCTCACACTATCTATAGTGGCTGCACGTACTCAAATACGCTGTTGTAGCATAAAAGTAGCCATAGACAATACAAAATAGAATGAGCACAGCTATGTTCCAATAAAACTTTTTTTAATGAAACTTTTATTTGCCAAAACAGGCATCGGGCCTTAGTTTGCTGACTCCTGAATTATAATGTATACAAAACTGCTCCTATCCTAGAAATGAACTATGCCATTATGACTCTCAAAAGGCAAGCAGAATCATTCCTAGAACGTAATGATGGTATCTGCCTCAGCAGACATTTGTGGGGTGTCTCACGGTGAGGGACTGGGAAATGAGTCAGAAAAGCAACCGATGACGCTTTTCAAAAATAGATTAGGAATCCTAATGTTTGTTTTAACACATTCAGACACCTTCTCTTCACTTCAACCCCTAATCCTAACCAGTTCCAACATTATCACTCTTAATTGTTCTATGCTCACTTCAAAGTTGTATGTGATGCTAATTTCAACCAAATTTCACCTCTATAAAAGTAGGAGTGTGTGTAATTCCAGGGAGGAGGTGCAAGCAGGGCATGCCAGTAAACAGGAAGACAACAGGAGGAGAAGATGACGAGGTGAATAAGGCCCAGGAGATAAGATCTAAACAGGAGTCAACAGAAAATCACAATAACCAGGAAGAATTTAGTACACGAAATCCTTTGTGAATCAAGACATTATAATACAGGGCTAAAGGAAAGTTTAATATGAGTTTAATCTGATGAGGGAAATATTTAAATTTTTGTTCAATTAAAATCCAACATAAGTTGAATTTCAATCTTAACAGCTTTATTGAATAAAATCAACATAAAGTAATCCACGTTCTAACATGTACATTTTGTTTACTCATTCACCTAAGGATGGACATTTTGGTTGTTTCCAATTTGGGACTATTAGGTATAAAATTATTGTGAATAAAGGTTTGTAGGGACATATGCTTTCATTTCTCTTTGGTAAATGTATACGAATGGGATAGCTGGATCGCATAGCAGGTATAAGTTTAAATTCTTTAGGAATTGCCAAATAGTCTTCCAAAATTGTATTGCTTTACACTCCCACAGTATTGTATGAGCACTGCAGTTACTTCACTAACACTTGGTATTTATTATCAGGCATTTGGAGGGGTACTGGTCCAGTATTTTGTAAATTGCCCTTCATTTGCCTAATGGTCTGTCTATCTGAGACGTTCTAATAGGTTAAAGAAGTATCTCACTGTGGCTTTAATTTGCATTTTCCTCATGGCTGATGTTAAGCTTATTTCCATGTGCTTATTTTCCGTCCAATTTCTCTTTTTGATGAAGTATATTTGGTAAACCATTTAAATACATTGCTTATTTTTTATTAAGTTGCTAGTTTTCTTATTAGATTTTGAGACTTCTTTATAGGTTGCATATGCAAGTCTTCATCAAAGATGTGAATTGAAAAGATTTTCTTAAATCCGTGGCTCACATTTTCATTTATTGAAATAATTTGTGAAATTAGAAAATATTTGTTATTACACAGGAAAACAAAACATGGTGCTTTTATGAATTAAGAAGGAATTAATTAGCTGATAGATAAATCTACATATCAGAAAATATTCTACAATTTATAATTTATCATAGAATTATCTAAGGGTTCAAATGATTGACATCTTCATTTTGTCTCCTCTAATTCCTCCTTCTTCCCTGCCTGCTTATAAGGGGTACACACTTTGGGCAAAATATCCTGCCCTTCATATCGATAAAGTTTATCAAATTCACCTTCACAGAACTAAGAACAAATGCCAAGAGAGCTAGTGTAATGCCAAGACTGAACTAGTCAAACAAACAGGGACAGAAACAAAATTAGAAACCAAGAGACCTGAACACAGGTAGGAATGGATGAATGAGAAAACATGGCATTTTTCCAGGAATCATGAGGTAATAATCTTATTAGACTTCAGAGCAAGTAGTTGGCCGAGTAATCAATATAAGATTGTATTCATAGGCAAGTTCTTCCATTTTCTAGGAAACATTTCATGGATTTTAACTGTTCTAGACTCCAGAGCATAGAGAATGAAGGAAAACTCGACTGTAACATTAATACAGACTTTTTTGAAAAAGATGCCATATAAAAAAAAATTACAAAATAACAAAAGATATATGCAAAATTCTAACATATCAGCAACAAGAAACTAGCGTTTGTTAAACGTATAATATAAAAAGACTAAATGAGATTTTTTCCTGAAATATAATGGTGGTAAATGTATTTTATTTACTTTTATACCAAAAAAACCCTATATATTTTATGTATACCCCTTGATGAATTTGGAAGTAAGCATCCACCCATGAAACCTATGCCATAGATTATACCACAATATGTGCCATAAACCTCTTGTGATCACCAAGTGTCTTTCTGCCTTATTATTTATTATTATTATTTGTGTGTGTGTGTGTGTGTGTGTGTGTGTGTGATAAGAACTTAAGATCTAACCTCTGCTGGGCGCAGTGGCTTACGACGGTAATCCCAGCACTTTGGGAGGCCGAGGCAGGCAGATCACAAGGTCAGAAGTTTGAGACCAGCCTGATCAATATGGTGAAACCCCGTCTCTACTAAAAATACAAAAATTAGTGGGGCATGGTGGTACACACCTGTAGTCCCAGCTACTCAAGTGGCTAAGGCAGAAGAATCGCTTGAACCCAGGAGGCGCAGGTTGCAGTGAGCCAAGATTGTGCCACTGCACCCCAGCCTGGGCGACAGAGTGAGACTCCGTCTCAAAAAAAAAAAAAAAAAACAAGAAAAAGATCTACCCTTTTAGAAAAATTTTTAGTATACAATACAGTATTGTCACTTTCTTTGTTTTGTTTTTGAGACAGAGTCTTGCTCTGTTGTCCAGGCAGGAGTGCAATGGCACGATCTCGGCTCACTGCAACCTCCACCTCCTGGGTTCAAGCCATTCTCCTGCCTCAGCCTCCTGAGTAGCTGAGACCACGGGCATGCACCACCACACCCAGCTAATTTTTGTATTTTACTAGAGATGGGGTTTCCCCATGTTGGCCAGGCTGGCCCCAAACTCCTGACCTCAGGTGATCTGCGTGCCTCAGCCTCCCACAGTGCTGGGATTACAGGTGTGAGCCACCGCACCCGGCCTATTGTCACTTTCTTAAAAGTATCTTTTGATGAGCAGAACTTATTAATTTTGATGAGCAGAACTTAATTTTGATGAAGTATAATTTATCAATTATGCACAGTGTTGTTGGTATCTTAAATCGTTGCCCAACTGAAAGTCACAAACATTTTCTCCAATATTTTCTTAAACAAGTTTTAGAACTTTAGGTTTTACATCTAAGTCTGATTCATTTTGAATTAATGATTTATATGGTGCTGTATATGTATCAACATTTTGGGGGTAGGTTTTACACATAGATATCCAATTGTTCCAGCCTCATTTGTTGAAAAGACTATACTTGGTGTGTGGCTAGGAAGATGGCCTAATAGGAATAGCTCCAGTCTACAGCTCCCAGCAAGATCAATGCAGATGGTGGGTGATTTCTGCATTTCCAGCTGAGGTACACAGCTCATCTCACTGGGACTGGATGCAGCCCACGGAAGGCAAGCCAAAGCAGGGTGGGGCGTCGCCTCACCCAGGAAGCAGAAGGAGTCAGGGAACTCCCTCCCCTAGCCAAGGGAAGTCATGAAGGACCATGAGGTGAGGAACGGTGCATTCTGGCTCAAATACTGTGCTTTTCCCACAGTCTTTGCCTACCTGCAGATCAGAAGATTCCCTCAGGTGCCTACACCACAAGGGCCCTGGGTTTCAAGCACAAAACTGGGCAGCCATTTGAGCAGACACCAAGCTAGCTGCAGGAGGTTTTTTGTTTTGTTTTTGTTTTTTTGTTTTTTTGTTTTTTTTTCATAACCTGGTGGCACCTGGAACGCCAGTGAGACAGAACTGTTCACTCCCCTGGAAAGGGGGCTGAAGCCAGGGACCCAAGTGGTCTAGCTCAGCAGATCACACCCACATGGAGCACAGCAAGCTAAAATCCACTGGCTTGAAATTCTTGCTGCCAGCACAGCAGTCTAAAGTCAACCTGGGATGCTCAAGCTTCGTGGGGGGAGGGGCATCCACCATTACTGAGCTTAAGTAGTCGGTTTTCCCCTCACAGTGTAAACAAACATGCCCAGAAGTTCGAACTCGGCAGAACCCACCACAGCTCGGCAAAGCCACTGTAACCAGACTGCCTCTCTAGATTCCTCCTCTCTGGGCAGGGCATCTCTGAAAGAAAGCCAGCAGCCCCACTCAGGGGCTTATAGATAAAACTCCCATCTCCCTGGGACAGAGCACCTGGGGTAAGGGGTGGCTGTGGTTGCAGCTTTAGCAGACTTAAATGTTCCTGCCTGCCAGCTCTGAAGAGAGCCATGGATCTCCCAGAACAGCACTCCAGCTCTGCTAAGGAACAGACTGCCTCCTCAAGTGGGTCCCTGACCACTGTGCCTGCTTACTGGAGTCACCTCCCAGCAGGGTTCAACAGACACCTCATACAGGAGAGCTCAAGCTGGTATCTGGCTGGTGCCCCTCTGGGACAAAGCTTCCAGAGGAAGGAACAGGCAGCAATCTTTGCTATTCTGCAGCCTCCGCTAGTGATACTCAGGCAAACAGGGTCTGGAGTGGACCTCCAGCAAAATCTAGCAGACCTCCAGCAGAGGGGCCTGACTGTTAGAAGGAAAACTAACAAACAGAAAGGATTAGCATGAGCATCAACCAAAATGACATCCACACAAAAACCCCATCCGAAGGTCACCAACATCAAAGACCAAAGGTAGATAAATCCATGAAGATGAGGAAAAACCAGTGCAAAAAGGTTGAAAATTCCCAAAACAAGAACGTCTCTTCTCCTCCTCCAAAGGATCACAACTCCTCACCAGCAAGGGAACAAAACTTGGCAGAGAATGAGTTTGATGAATTGACAGAAGTAGGCTTCAGAAGGTGGGTAATAACAAACTCCTCTGAGCTAAAGGAGCATGTTCTAATCCAATGCAAGGAAACTAAGAACCTTGAAAAAAGTTTAGAGGAATTGTTAACTAGACTAACCAGTTTAGAGAATAACATAAATGACCTGATGGAGCTAAAAAACACAGCACGAGAACTTCGTGCAGCAAACATAAGTATCAATACCTGAATCAACCAAGCAGAAGAAAAAATATCAGAGGTTGAAGATCAACTTAATGAAATAAAGCATGAAGACAAGATTAGAGAGAAAAGAATGAAAAGGAATGAACAAAGCCTCCAAGAAATATGGGACCATGTGAAAAGACCAAATCTATGTTTGATTGCTGTACCTGAAAGTGATGGGGAGAATGGAACCAAGTTGGAAAACACTCTTCAAGATATGATCCAGGAGAACTTCCCCAACCTGGCAAGACAGGCCAACATTCAAATTCAGGAAATACAGAGAACACCACAAAGATACTCCTTGAAAATAGCAAACCCAATACACATAATTGTCAGATTTACCAAGGTTGAAATGACGGAAAAAAATGTTAAGGGCAGCAAGAGAGAAAGATCGGGTTATCCGCAAAGGGAAGTCCATCAGAATAACAGAGGATCTCTCTGCAGAAACCCTGCAAGCCAGAAGAGAGTAGGGGCCAATATTCAACATTCTTAAAGAAAAGAATTTTCAACCCAGAATTTCATATCCAGCCAAACTAAGCTTCATAAGCAAAGGAGAAATAAAATCCTTTACAGACGAGCAAATGCTGAGAGATTTTGTCACCACCAGGCCTGCCTTACAAGAGCTCCTGAAAGAAGCACTAAATATGGAAAGGAAAAACTGGTACCAGCCACTGCAAAAACATACCAAATTGTAAAGACCATTGACGCTATGAAGAAACTGTATCAACTAATGGGCAAAATAACCGGCTATCATCATGATGACAGGATCAAATTCACACATAACAATATTAACTTTAAATGTAAACAGGCTAAATGCCCCAATTAAAAGACACAGACTGGCAAATCGGATAAAGAGTCAAGACCCATCGGCATGCTGTATTCAGGAGACCCATCTCACAAGCAAAGACACACATAGGCTCAAAAGAAAGGGATGGAGGAATATTTACCAAGCAAATAGAAACCAAAAAAAAAAAAAAAATCAGGGAAAGCAGGGGTTACAATCCTAGTCCCTGATAAAACAGACTTTAAGCCAACAAAGATCAAAAGAGACAAAGAAAGGCATTACATAATGGTAAAGGGATCAATCCAACAAAAAGAGCTAACTATCCTAAATATATATACACCCAATACAGTAGCACCCAGATTCATAAAGTTCTTAGAGACCTACAAAGAGACTTAGACTCCTACACAATGACAGTGGGAGACTTTAACACCCACTGTCAATATTAGACAGATCAACGAGACAGAAAATTATCAAGGATATTCAGGACTTTAACTCAGCTCTGGACCAAGTGGACCTGATAGACATCTACAGAACTCTCCACCCCAGATCAACAGAATATGCATTCTTCTCAGCACCACATCACACTTATTCTAAAATTGACCACAGAATTGGAAGTAAAGCACTCCTCAGCAAATGCAAAAGAACGGAAATCATAACAAATGGTCTCTCAGACCACAGTGCAGTCAAATTAGAACTCAGGATTAAGAAACTCACTCAAAACCGCACAAATACATGGAAACAGAACAACCTCCTCCTGAATGACTACTAGGTAAATAACGAAATTAAGGCAGAAATAAATAAGTTCTTTGAAACCAATGAGAACAAAGAAACAACATACCAGAATCTCTAAGACACAGCTAAGGCAGTGTTTAGAAGGAAATTTATAGCACTAAATGCCCATAGGAGAAAGCAGGAAAGATCTAAAATCAACACCCTAACATCACAATTAAAAGAACTAAAGAAGTAAGAGCAAACAAATTCAAAAGCTAGCAGAAGACAAAAAAAAGTAACTAAGATCACAGCAGAACTGAAGGAAATAGAGACACAAAAACCCTTCAAAAAATCAATGAATCCAGGAGCTGGTTGTTTGAAAAGATTAACAAAATAGATAGACCACTAGCCAGACAAAAGACAGAAGAATCAAATAGACACAATAAAAAAAATGACAAAAGGGATATTACCACTGATCCCACAGAAATACAAACTACCATCAGAGAATACTATAGACACTTCTATGCAAATAAACTATAAAATCTAGAAGAAATGAATACATTCCTGGACACATACACCCTCCCAAGACTAAACCAAGAAGAAGTTGAATCTCCAAATAGACCAATAACAAGTTCTGAAATTGAGGCAGTAATTAATAGGCTGCCAACCAAAAAAAGCCCAGGACCAGACAGATTCACAGCCAAATTCTTCCAGAGGTACAAAGAGGAGCTGGTACCATTCCTTCTGAAACTATCCCAAACAATAGAAAAGGAGGGATTCCTCCCTAACTCATTTTATGAGGCCAGTATCATCCTGATACCAAAACCTGGCAGAGACACAAAAAAATGGAAAAATTCAGGCCAATATCCCTGATGAACATCAATGCAAAATCCTTAATAAAATACTGGCAAACCAAATTCATCAGCACATCAAAAAGCTCATCCACCATGATCAAGTGGGCTTCATCCCTGGGATGCAAGGCTGGTTCAACATATGCAAATCAATAAACATAATCCATCACATAAACACAACCAATGACAAAAACCACATGATTATCTCAATAGATGCAGAGAAGGCCTTCAATAAAATTCAACACGACTTCATGCTAAAAACTCTCAATAAACTAGGTATTGATGGAATGTATCTCAAAATAATAAGAGCTATTTATGAAAAACCCACAGCCAATATCATACTGAATGGGCAAAAGCTAGAAGCATTCCCTTTGAAAACCAGCACAAGACAAGGATGCCCTCTCTCACCACTCCTATTCAACATAGTATTGGAAATTCTGGCCAGGGCAATCAGGCAAGAGAAAGAAATAAAGCATATTCAGATAGGAAGAGACGAAGTCAAATTGTCTCTGTTTGCAGATGACATGACTGTATATTTAGAAAACCCCATAGTCTCAGCTTAAAATCTCATTAAGCTGATAAGCAACTTCAGCAAAGTCTCAGGATACAAAATCAATGTGCAAAAATCACAAGCATTCCTATACACCAATAACAGACAAACAGAGAGCCAAATCATGAGTGAACTCCCATTCACAATTGCTACAAACAGAATAAAATATCTAGGAATACAACTTACAACGGATGTGAAGCACCTCTTCAAGGAGAACTACAAACCACTTCTCAAGGAAATAAAAGAGGACACAATCAAATGGAAAAACATTCCATGCTCATGGGTAGGAAAAATCAACATCATGAAAATGGCCATACTGCCCAAAGTAATTTATAGACTCAATGCTATCCCCATCCAGCTACCATTGACTTTCTTCACAGAATTAGAAACAACTACTTTAAATTTCATATGAAACCAAAAAAGGGCCCATATAGCCAAGACAATCCTAAGCAAAAAAAAAAAAAAAAAAAAAAAAGCTGGACTACCTGACTTCAAACTATACTATAAGGCTACAGTAACCTAAACAGCATGGTACTGGTACAAAAACAGATATATAGACCAATGGAACAGAACAGAGGCCCCAGAAATAATGCCACACATCTACAACCATCTGATCTCTGACAAACTTGACAAAAACAAGCATTGGGGAAAAGATTCCTTATTTAATAAATGGTGTTGGGAAAACTGGCTAGCTATATGCAGAAAACTGAAACTGGACCACTTCCTTACACCTTATACAAAACTTAACTCAACATGGATTAAAGACTTAAATGTAAAACCTAATCCATAAAAACCTTAGAAGAAAACCTAAGCAACACCATTCAGGACATAGGCATGGGGAAAGACTTCACGACTAAAACACCAAAAGCAATGGCAACAAAAGCCAAAACTGACAAATGGGATCTAATTAAACTAAAGAGCTTCTGCACAGTAACATCAGAGGGAACAGGCAACCTACAGAATGGGAGAAAATTTTTGCAATCTGTCCATCTGACAAGGGCTAATATTCAGAATCTACAAGCAACTTAAACAAATTTACAAGAAAAAAAAATCAAGAAGTGGGTGAAGGATATGAAAATTTCTCAAAAGAAGACATTTATGTGGCCAAGAAACATATGAAAAAAAGCTCATCATCACTGGTCATTAGAGAGATGCAAATCAAAACCACAATGAGATACCATCTCACATCAATTAGAATAGTGATCATTAAAAAGTCAGGAAGCAACAGATGCTGGAGAGGATGTGGAAAAATAGGGATGCTTTTACACTTTTGGTGGGAGTGTAAATTAGTTCAACCATTGTGAAAGACAGTGTGGCGATTCATCAAGGATCTAGAACCAGAAATACCATTTGACAGCCAGGTGCGGTGCCTCACGCCTGTAATGCCAGCACTTGGGGATGCCAAGGCGGGCAGATCATGAGGTCAGGAGATCAAGACTATCCTGGCTAACACAGTGAAACCCTGTCTCTACTAAAAATACAAAAAAATTAGCCGCACATGGTGGTGGGTGCCTGTAATCCCAACTACTTGGGAGGCTGAGGCAGGAGAATGGTGTGAACCCAGGAGACAGAGCTTGCAGTGAGACAAGATCATGCCACTGCACTCCAGTCTGGGTGACAGAGTGAGACTCGGTCTGAAAAAAAAAAAAAAAAAAAAAGAAATACCATTTGACCCAGCAATCTCGTTACTGGGTATATACCCAAAGGATTATAAATCATTCTACTATAAAGACACATGCACACGTATGTTTATTGCAGCACTATTCACAGTAGCAAAGCCTTGGAACCAACCCAAATGCCCATCAATGATCAACTGGATAAACAAAATGTGGCACATATACACCATGGAATAATATGCAGCCATAAAAAATGATAAGTTCATGTGCTTTGCAGGGACATGGATGAAGCTGGAAACCATCATTCTCAGGAAACTAACACAGGAACAGAAAACTAACCACTACATGTTCTCACTCATAAGCTGGAATTGAACAATGAGAACACATGGACACAGGGAGGGGAACATCACACACCGGGGCCTCTTGGGGGTAGGGGGTTAGAGGAGGGATAGCATTCGGAGAAATACCTAATGTAGATGATGGGTTGATGGGTGCAGCAAACCACCATGGCACATGTATACCTATGTAACAAACCTGCAGGTTCTGCACATGTATCCCTGAACTTAAAATATAATAATAATAAAAAAAGACTATACTTTCTCTGCCAAATTGTCTTTGCAACTTTATCAGAAAGCAACAGAAATGGAAGTATACACCTATTTCTGCATTCTCTATTTCATTCTATTTACGTATCTGTTGCTCTTGATGCCAAAACATGCCCTGTCTTGAGTACTGTAGCTGTAAAATAAGTCTTGAAGGCAAGAGCTATAAGTCCTCCCACCTTTTTCTTCTTTTATGAGATTATTTTGCCTATCCTAGGTTCCTTGCATTTCTATATGAATTTTAGAATTACAGTGTCTTTTTTTTTTTTTTTTTTTTTTTTTTTTTACAAAAAGTCTTACTGAGCTTTTTGGGGGATTGTGTTGAATCTGTAGATCAAGTTAGAGAACATTGTCTCTAACATCTTAACAATATTGAGTCTTCCAATTGATGAACAAAGTGTATCTTCCCATTTACTTAGGTTTTCTTTAAAATCTCTCAGCAATATTTTGTAGTTTCCAGTGTACTGATCTTGCACATACTTTGAAAGATTTATCCTTAAAATCACATATTTTAATGCAATTGTCAATGGCAATTTTGGCAGTTTCCATTTCTGATTGATCACTCATTATATAGAAGTGAAACCAATTTTTGTATGTGATCATATATCCTGAAATCTTACTAAACTCACATAGCAGTTTATAAGAACTGCTCTATTAGGAATTCCATTGGATTTCCACATAGACAGTCACACTGACTGCAAACAGAGTTTTGCTCTATCCTTTCCAATCTGTATTCCTTTGATTTCTTATTCTTGGCTTACTGCATTAACTAGAACTTGACTTATTGCATTGACAAGATCAGGTGTGGTTCTTCCCAGGAATGCAAGCAGGCCTTAACAAATTAACATGTGAAGATCAATCAGTGTAATTTATCTCATTAATAGATTACATATAAAACATGTAAATGTGGTAAGTTATACTGAATGATGGTCACACAATCTGTTTATTATATAATTTTAAAATTATATAGTCAATTTTTATAAAATGCATGTGCATGTATAAACCACATTTTACATTTAAACTGTTAATGTCACACACATAACACACACACACACACACACACACACACACACACACTCATCATTTGACAAAATCTAGCATTCCTAATTAAAAACTCCAGAAAGGTAGTAACAGAAAGGAACCTCCTCAACCTGATAATAGTCACCCATGAAAAATCTCCAGCTAATACCACACTTAGTGATGAAAGACTGAATGCTTTTTCCCTAAAGATAAGGAAAAAATACGAATGTCTGCTCTCACAACTTCTGTTCCACAATAAACATGGTTCTAATCTATTTAACGTCTACATTAATCTGTTATTTGCCACAACTTAAGGGAATTCTTTTAACATTTCTCATAGGTTAAGTTGGATGGCAATGAAGTCTTTCAGATTTTGTATATCTAGAAAAGTATTTATTTCACTTTCATTCATGAAAGATATTTTTGCTGGGTAGAGAACTCTAAGTTGACAGTGCATTTCTTTCATTATTTAAAGATGTTACTCCGTTAAGTACCAGTTTGCATTGCTTACAATAAGAAATCTGCTGTCATTCTTATTCTCCATGAGTAACTCCTCTGTATGTTCCCCTGTAGTGTGTTCTTCCCTCTGGCTTCTTCTAATATTTTCTCTTTATCACTGAATTTAATCAACTTGATTGTAATGTGACATGGTGCAGTTTTCTTCATGTTCCTTGTACTTGGGGATTTGTTGAGATCATTAGATCACACAGATCTACTGTTTTCACTAAATTTAGGAATTTTTGGCCATTATCGCTTCAGACATTATTCTATACATTGTCCTCCCCTGCTCCAATCTATCCCCTCTCCAGCAACTCTGATTACTTCAGTGTTATAATATAAGATATTCTAGCTACCATTTGTCTAATGATAAACATTTCCATTGTTTCCAGGATTTTTTGACTCTTAAAATAACGCTGTAATACTAATTGGGTGCAAGACAACAATGATTGAATTTCAATTTGTTGGTGGCTGGAAATGTTTATATTTCAATAAGTCTTTTTGAGTTTTATCCTAGGAAGCAGTAAAGTTGCTTGGATCCCTTCTGTATTTTTTTCTAGCTTTTTTAGGTGGGACCAGAGTGTTTAAATTAGGGTTAAGATCTCCTCATTAACTGTGGCAAACTCTTCTCAATATTCTATGTGACGCTCAATAAATTATGAAGTTGTACAAGTGTACTGCATGAGAATAGGTACCGTTACCTGCTCTGGGTGAGCCCCAAGGAATTTTTTTTCTTTTTTCTTTTGGTAGTTATTTCCTCAGCCATAGGGAGTGTCCTCCCATGGAAGTACTAATCAGTAGTGAGGTAAATCTTTGGGTTGGATATTCTGAATACAAGGTAGGGATTCTCTGCATGTCTCCAGAGTTCTTTCTCTATGCAGCTTTCTCCACTCTGACACTTCACCCTGGAAATTCTAGCTGCATTGGATTCTTTGAATTCCCAGCTCCACCTCTTCAACAGAAGGAGACTCTGGTCTCTGCCTGGATTCCTCAACGCTGTTGTATAGACAGTAAACTGAGGCACTCACAGGACTCACTTTATTTCTTTTCCATCTCCCAGCAATAACTTTTCTTTGCTGCCTGATGCCCAGTGTCTTGAGAACTATTGCTCCATATATTTTGTCCAGTTTCTTAGTTGTTTCAGTCACAATGATAAATGTAGTCCCTGTTACTCCATCCTGTACAGAAGCAGAAGTTCACATTGCTTGGATTTGTTAAGATTTTATGTAGTCCTATATCAAGAAATATAATAACTCAATTTGGACCAAATATCTTTAAGTAGCAAACACTCAATTACAAATCCTTACTAAAGATAGAGTTTAAAAATTATCATCATTCTTTGGGAGGTAATGTGCCTATAGAGTGATAGTCTCACTCAAATGGTCAGTGCTGACTTACATGCAGTCATTAATGACTCAGTGCAAGCACAGTTTGGATTTACATCAAAAAATGGCATTGAGGGAAATAGCTACCATCTTGAAAATGAAATCCAATATAAGGTCAGAATAATTTCTTTACAGAAAAAAAACTCTGTAACCAGATAAAGGCTAACAAAGAATGAACATAATACAAAGGCTTCAATATAAGGAATGCAAGAGTTTAAAGGGTAAGAGAGTCACTGAGGTGCTCAGACTATAAGCTGTCCCAAAACAAACATGTGAAGTAGTTTAGAATAATTCTCAGGGTTGCTTTCCTGCCTTCCTAGTGAATATGTTCTTAGCACATTTATGAAATGGGCCTGATCTTTCACTTTCCTGATTTTCAGATTAATGAATTAATAGTTATTCAGAAAAGAGTACTTGAATTTTAAAAGAAAAGAGGCATAAAGGGATCAATGCTTAACTCAAAAAAAACATTAATGGCATATTTTCAGGAAGCCACAATTAATTAGTGAATGGCACCTTGTAGGGCATCTCTATTCATACATACAAGTCAAGCATGATAATTGGAATTGGCTTATGACTTCAGAAAAGCATTATGGTGCCTCTTACATGAGGAATTTGGGGTTATAATCTCTAACAGTCCTTTAAAAGGTACATTGCCATAAATTGAAGCATAAGATTTCCTTTGAGGCCCTGTAACTGAAAGTTATTAGAGGAAATTTTGAATGAGTGTTGACATGGTTTGGTTGTGTCCCCACCCAAATCTCATCTTGAACTGTTGTTGTTCTCATAATCCCCATGTGTCATTGCAGGGACCGGTGGGAAGTAATTGAATCATGGGAGCAGTAACATCCATGCTGTTTTCATGATAATGAGTTCCCATGAGCTGTGATAGTTTTACAAGGGGTTTTCCCCCTGCTTCACTCTGCACTTCTCCGTGCTGCCGCCATTTGAAGAAGGATGTGTTTGCTTCCCATTCCACCGTGATTGTAGGCTTCCTGAGGCTTCCTCAGCCATGCTGAACAGTGAGTCAATTAAACCTCTTTCCTTTACAAATTACCCAGTCTCAGGTTTGTCTTTCTTAGCAGCATGAGGACTAATACAGTAAATTGGTACTTGTAGAGTGAGTTACTGCTGTAAAGATACCTGGAAATGTGGAAACAACTTTGGAACTGGGTAACTGGCAGAAGTTGGAAGGCTCAGAAGAAGATAGGAAAATGTGGGAAAATTTAGAAACTCTTAGAGACTTGGAGGGCTCAGAAGACAGGAAGATGTGGGAAAGTTTGGAACTTCCTAGAGACTCGTTGAATGGTTTTGACCAAAATACTGATAGCCATATGGACAATGAAGTCCAGGCTGAGTTGATCTCAGATGGAGATGAGAAACTTATTGGGCTGGAGTGAAGGTGATTGTTGCTATGCTATAACAAGGAGGCTGGTGGCATTTTGCCCCCAGCCTAGAGATCTGTGGAACTTTGAACCTCAGAGAAATGATTTAGGGTATCTGATGGAAGAAATTTCTAAGCAGCAAAGCATTCAAGAAGTGACTTGAGTGCTCTTAAAAGCACTCAGTTTTATTCATTCACAAAGATATGGCTTGGAATTGGAACTTATGTTTAAAATAAAAGCAGAGCATAAAAGTTTGGAGAATTTATAGCCTGATGATGATATAGAAAAAGAAAACCCACTTTCTGAGGAGAAATTCATCCAGCTGAAGAAATTTGCATAAGTAACAAGGAGCCAAATGTCAATCTCCAAGACAATGGGGAAAATGTCTCCAGGGCATGTCAGAGGTCTTCATGGCAGCCCCTCCCATCACAAGCCAGAAGGCTTGGGAGGAAAAAATGGTTTCACAGGCCAGGCCCTGGGTCTTCCTGCTCTGTGCGTCTCAACACTTAGTGACTTGCATCTGAACCGTGGCTAAAAGGGAAAAATATGCAGCTCAGGCCATTGCTTCAGAGGGTGCAACCTCCAAGCTTTGGTGGCTTATATGTGGTGGTGTGCCTGGGGGTGCACAGAAGTCAAGAACTGAGGTCTGGGAACCTCTGCCTAGATTTCAGAGATGTATGGAAGTGCCTGGATGTCCAGGCAGAGGTGTGCTGCAGGGGCAGAGCCCTCATGGAGAACCTCTGCTAGGGCAGTATGGAAGGAAAATGTAGGGTCAGAACACCCACACAGAGTCCCCACTGGGGCACTGACTAGTGGAACTGTGAGAAGAGAGTCCCCAGACCCCAGAATGGTAAATCCACTGACAGCTTTCACCTTGTGCCTAGAAAAGGTGCAGACACTCAATGCCAGCCCATTAAGGCAGCCAGGAGAGAAGCTGTACCCAGCAAAGCCATAGAGGCAGAGCTGCCCAAGGCCATGGGAGCCCACCTCTTGTGTCAGTGTGATTTGGATGTGAGACAGGTAGTCAAAGGAGATCATTTCAGAGCTATAAGATTTGACTGCCCCCCTTGATTCCAGAGTTGCATGGGGCGTATAGCCCCTATGTTTTGGCTAATTTCTCCCATTTGGAAGTGGTGTATTCACTCAATGCCTGAGCCCTCACCATATTTAGGAAGTAACTAACTTGCTTTTGATTTCACAGGCTGATAGGCAGAAGGGACTTATCTCAGATAAGACTTTGGAATGTGGACTTTTGAGTTAATGATGGAATGAGTTAAGACTTTGGGGGACTATTAGGAAAGCATGATTGTGTTTTGAAATGTGAAGATGAGATTTTGGAGGGGCCAGTGGCAGAATGATATGGTTTGGCTGTGTCCACACCCAAATCTCATCTTGAATTGTAGTTCTCATAATCCCCACATGTCATGAGAGGGACATGGTGAGAGTTAATTGAATCATGGGGGCAGTTACCTCCGTGCTGTTCTCATGATAGTGAGTTCTCATGAGACCTAATGGTTTTATAAGGGGCCTTCTCCCTTTTGCTCTGGACTTCTCCTTGCTGCTGCCATGTGAAGAAGGATGTGTTTGCTTCCCCTTCCGCCATGACTGTTAGTGTCCTGAGGCCTCCCCAGCCATACTGAATGAACTGTGAGTCAATTAAACCTCTTTCCTTTATAAGTTATTCAGTCTCGGGTAGGTCTTTACTAGCAGCATGAGAACAGACTAATAGACTGTAAACATTAATTGAGGTCAAAGTTGTATTATTAAAAGTTTTAATAACCACACAACAATGTAAATCAATTCAACTTATTTTAAATAAAGAAAAAATGGAAACCTTATTAATTGTTTTCAAAAAACTGAAATGACTGATGATGGTGAGCTGCTTCTCTATTAATATCAATAAAACAGAATGCAATAAGTATCACCTAAGCATCAAAAGATGCAGAAACATATTTCCAATCCACCTCACTGACAAAGAAAAGCATAATCCTACTTAGCTGTTCCACAAAGTTAAAGAATAATCAAATCTGCCTGAAGGCAGCAAGTCAGTACAGGTAACTTGTGATACCACTTTACGCAAACACTGTCTTTCCTCTGCAAATCACAATAGGTAGTTTGAGTTACATTTGGATGTTCTTCTCCCAAGAAATCTGAATTGAATCTTTTCAAGTGAAAGGTACAAAAATTTTTACCCTTACAATGAAATGTTTACAAATAATTCAAAAAACTTCTGGATTTATCACACATGCACAGGACTGAATGAATATCCTCAAAAGTCAGCTTAAACAAATAGTAGTTTGATTATTATAAAATCCCCATGTTAAGCAAATTAGATATCTGATATATTTTCAGAGAGGACCTTAGGGTTATATTTGATATATAACGATAAATGAGTTTCAAATAAAGCCATTTAATCATCATAACATCTAAGTTCTGTAACAAAGTTCCCTGATGATGTTTAACATTTAAAAGTCCATGTTAATGACTGCTGTTTCTGTCACAATGACAGACTAGGTACTGGCGCTGAGCTTCCTGCATAACTCAATATGCTAGATAAAGTATTTTTTAAAGCCCTGAATGTATCAATAGATGACAGAAGAGTGAAATATATTCATCACTGAGTGAATGAGAGAATCCAGAGAGATAAGCAGAGGACTAAAACCAGCTTTCAACTGAGGGCATTTGCCAAAATTTGTTGGCATGACCATTGAATTTTGATGTCTCATAGGGCTTTAAGGATAGAAGACATAGGGCAAGGCCCACCCAGGCTGGAAAGTGTAATACAATAATCCCTCCAAAATCAGGGATTCCCACATCTGGGGCTTCTAAGTATAAGGAAGAATGAAAATTAAACTCATACCACCCCAGGTACTTGCACACGAGAATTTTCTGGAAGCTTGAAACTAAGTAGAGGGGAGAAAAACAAATATCTTCTGAGACCACATAAGCAAGAACCATACCCAAAATAGGTAATAGGTCTGCATTCTGAATTGACATTATGACAGAAGCCTAATACACTCAAGCAG
Source organism: Homo sapiens (assembly GCF_000001405.40). Classification (NCBI taxonomy): domain Eukaryota; kingdom Metazoa; phylum Chordata; class Mammalia; order Primates; family Hominidae; genus Homo; species Homo sapiens. The sequence goes on along the minus strand of NC_000004.12, from coordinate 165,888,605 downwards.
AGAATTTAGTTTAAAGTGATCTTGTGCTGTTACGGAGGCAAAAAAAAAAAATATTTTCCAGTGTATTAAAGGAACAAATAAAACCCAACAGGAAGAGTAGAATGAGGAGAGATTTAAGTCAATTAAACTGATAAACACAGAAACAAAGTAACAATAAACTGCATCCAGAGATGTAAAAAAAGGAATAGACTATGCCTAAATTGTCTTCATCCCAGGAATGCAAGGTAGGTTAATATTAGTAAATTAATTATTCTAATTTACCACTTTAAATGGTGAAATAAGGATAATTATATCATTTTTAGTAAACACAGAATTCCTAATTTGATAAAAAGTGCCTATGTTTAAAAAAATACCAAATAGAATAATTGGTAAATAATTGAAAGCATTCCCTTTAAAATTAAGAACAGAGCAAGCTAGCCCTCAGTCAGCACTTCTGTGCAACACTGGGAGGCTGTCAGCACAGCAAAAAAATAATTAAATTAAATTAAAAACAGAGGGACTATAAAGGAAGAAATAAAACCACGTTTATTTGCAGATAATCTGATTGCCTATATGAAGAATATACATATAAATTATTAAAACGTACAAGACTGTCAAGAATGTTGGAATAAAGTAAAAATATAAAAAATCAAACACATTTCTGCATAATAGCAACAACTGGTCTTAACAATAATTTTTTAAAGCTACATTATATCATCAAAAAATAAAAATATATGAATAAATCTATATCAAAAGCAGGCACAAATTACAGATAAAAATATTAAATATTAAACAGTATTTAAGGAGGCCTAAACAAATACAGATATATACCATGTTAATGGATTAGAATGTTCAATATTATAAAAACAATTCTCTTTAAAATAATCCATAGATTCAATGCCATGGCAATCAAAATGTAAATGTTGAGGCTTGACAAGTTGATTTCAAAGTTAATATGGCATACAAAGTCCAAATTTAACCAATATACGCCTGAAAAACAACAACATGAGGGGACCTGTGATACCAAATAAAGGATTGTATGCAAGTCAAAGGGTTCTCAAAACCAAATTCAATTGCTTTACAAAACACAAACTTAGCTTTTTATTGTTTAATACTTTGCTCATCTGTATCACTGTCTATCCAGTCACTAAAGTATGAAGCCATGAAGTCATCTTTGACTCCTCCTTTTCTTTTCTTTTCTTTTACTTTCTTGACCTTCACCCCAAAGCCATCCAGCTGGTCACTGGTCTCTTACCTCCAATCCCTCTTTTCTGTGGCTACTGACACGGTGCAAATGCAAGCACTCATCCAGTGCTTGCCTCTACTTCTACTATAACCTAACAAGCCTCCCTCCTCCCACTTTCTCATTACTTCTTCCACCAACTACACCAGCTCACTCTTTACCTCCTAACATATCTTTATAACATATGACTATAATCAAGCCAATGATCTGCTTTAGATTTTCAGTAAGCTCACTTCTCATTGCCAACAGGATCAAGGTCACACCCTGGGCTCTAAAGATCCCTTTACACTATTTTTCAGAATCATTTATTGCCAAAGCATTAACTCTTACACATCCTTTGCTCTGTCCATGTTAGACCATTTGCCACTTCCTGTATTTTCATAAAATTCAAGAACTTTCACAGCTTCAACTTTTATCTTAGTTATTTGACTCTAAAGTTTTGCCCCATCTTTTCTCCAGGAAGAAAATCACAGGACTTCAAGATCCAGCTTAAATGTCACCTTCCCTGAGATGCATAATTAATGCATTCCCTCCTCTGTGCTACCATAGAACAGTCAGCCCTCCATATCCACAGATTCAACCAACTACAGATGGAAAATATTCCAAAATAAATAAATAAATGCAATGGTTAAAAAATATGAATTTTAAAAATACAGTATTACTATTCTCATAGCATTTATATTGTATTAAGTGTTATATGGAATCTAGGGATGATTTCAAACATATGAGAGGATTGAATGGTTTATATTCAAATACTATGCCATTTTATATATAGGACTAGTGCATTCTCAGATTTTGCTACCTGGAGGGGTGCTGGAACTAATCCCCCATGAATACCAAGGGAGACTGTACTTTGTTTACTGCATTTTTATATTGATAGTTAAAGTATTTGTTACTTTTTTTCTAGCAGATTTTGAAATCCTTTTAGGAAGAGAACACATCTTATTTGTGTACCCCCCAGGCATATTCCTGAAACATATCATATACAAAATAGTGCTTGTATTAATTTAAATCTGTACAGTGCATCATAGTTTACTAAGACCTTACACATGTAATCATTACATGTTTCATAGACTAGGGATCACTATCCCCACATTACAAATGTGTGAACTTAAGCTCTGAAGCACTTGTAGGTAGACCAAGATAATATAATTAAACAAAACAGCCAACACTTGCACCTAAGTCTCCTACAGAATATCCAGTGCTCTTTTAATTCAATTACACTACCTAGATTCATTTATTGATTTCTACTGGACTTCCTTCTTACTATTATAAAAGCCACAAAAGTGAAACTTGCTTTGGCGATGATTTGAAAATTTAAACTCATCAAAAAAATACATAAAATGAGTTAACAAGAATAGTTCCTTACTAGACACTTTAAGAAAAATTAAAGGTTTGTGGAGCTGAATTTTATGAAGATAAATAACAACATCCAATTGTGGCAAGCAGAAGTATATTTTCAAGGATATATTCAAGTAATTAATTAATATAAGGATATATCTGTTAACATGTCATGTACTTGGTAAAATGCTTTCAGCCAGAACAATTTTCCTGTAGTTTTGTTGCCTATAGTTCTTCTTCTCTCCATTATGAACACTGACCTCAAACTTGACAGAATAGGCTTTCCCTCATCCCAATATACCAATCCATTTTTTTCCTGTGAAAAAACATCCGACTGAACAACCTTCAATTCTGATGGTAATGTGACACTAACATGCTCTGATACACACGTAAGATATCTGCTATTCTCACATACCTTGCTACTCTTTGGTAGTTTTTTTTTTGTTTGTTTGTTTGTTTTCAGAAGTAATGAGATAGGAAGAGGGAGGGAAATTTAGGCATTGATTGCTTTCGGGGCTAATTCTGGCAGACAAGTCATGAAATTGCATGGCCTACTTCAGGGCCTATGGTGGCTGCCATGATATGAACAAAACTGTCAGAAACCTGAGGGTTTAGCAAGAGTGACCCCAGGAGAGGTGTGAACACCTTCCCCTTCCTCTCGGTGTACAGCATATGCCCCCTGGCACTGCAACTTCTTGGTACCACTTGAGAGGAGCTCTTGCTTCTGATGTCAGAGACACCAGGATTCAGATTGCTTTAGGCCTCGAACAGCCTTAGAGATTTCCAAGCCTCAGAGGCTGAGGCCCAGGAAAACCAAAGGATGTCCTGAGGGCAACACAAATACAGCCATAGAGCCAGTACTGGAGTTTCCATTTCTTGACTACCAGTCTAGTTTGTTTTCCAGTTTTCATACCACTACCCAGATACGGTTATTCTTTAAAAAGCAAAACTTATATTTACTTTTCAAAATCACAGTAGAACAGGAGAAGTAAAAAGAATAAAGATTCACCTCATTCATTTTACTGTTTATTTTTGCTTCTACTGACCTATAAATGTAGAAAAAGTGAACCCGGTAACTTCAAATGTATTTAAGAATAAGGATACAGTGTGAAGAACAGAATTGTGCTCTACCAAATAATGTGGGAGAAAACAAGAAACAAGTTGAAATTTTATTTATTTTATTTTATTTTTATTATCATTATTATTTGAGACAGAGTCTCACTCTGTCACCCAGACTGGAGTGCAGTGGTGCAATCTCAGTTCACTGCAACCTCCACCTCCCAGGTTCAAGCAATTCTCCTGCATCAGCCTCCAGAGTAGCTGGGATTACAGATACTCACCACCATGCCTGGCTAATTTTTGTACTTTTAGTAGAGATGGGGTTTCCCCATGTTGGCCAGGGTGGTCTCAAACTCTTGGCCTCAGGTGATCCACCTGTCTCAGCCTCCCAAAGTGTTGGGATTACAGGCATGAGCCACTGCGCCCAGCCACAAGTTGAAATTTTAAAATCAAGTTGTGTGATTTTAAAACCAAGCTGCTTACACAGACTACTTCCAAATATCTGCATAAGCAATTATTGGTTACACTTGTACTAGTCCACTGCCAAATAACAAAGCCTACAAAGTACTTACTTAAAAGTTGCAGTGCTCCCCACAAAGCATTATATTAATATTATATTAATCTTCATTTATCTTGAGTAAAGAAAAATCCAGCAAAAATGTATAAGAACACATATTCAGATTACCATAATTTATAATAGTATCTATTTTCAAATGCTAAATTAAAATAACTTAGCATGCAATTATGTGATTAATACATAAACAACTATTTACACATGAGCAATCATCTACCTGCAAATGGCAATGTGAAGACTATACTAGGTGAGGCATACTTCTGTAAATCCCTCGGGTAAATCTATGTTTCCTTCATAAGAATGTTCAAAAATTGTTTAATGAATTAATGAATATTTGTAGTTTAGAGCCATGTGCTCAAACTTAGCTCTGTGTAAACATAGATTGTGAATATCTAAGCTCTTTAAATTGATCCAGATGGCAAACAAAATCTGAACCAGAAATTACCGAAAGACTATATATATAGCCAAGACTCTATTCACACTTTAGTCAACGTGAATTGAAAATTGTCAATATATTTTGAGTGTATTAGGCATATGAGCAAATAGCCAAGAGAACAACATACGGAAAATGTTTCTATCGGTTGCCTCTGGTATCTTTTAAAACAAGGTCTATTGGGGGGATTTATCTTCTCAATTGAAAAGTTCAGAGGACTTGAGATATGAAATGTTTTTACGCATGGGAAGAAACAAAGACATTTATCCCACAAATGATTTCATAAAGATCATCTCTCCACAAATAAGTAGTTGTGATTAAAAATCCTCCACATCTTATATATTTATACTACTGTGGATAAAATAATACAGTGTTTGTTATGTTCCAGAAAAAGCGATGTGTACTTTACAATTAATTCTTATAACAACATCATGAGGATTATAATATCACCTTTATTTTATAGCTCAAAAAACAGAAATGTAATGAGGTTAAATAACTTGCTGAAAGCCACACATGGTTATTATGTGGGGGGTTTAGTATTAGAACTCATGGCCCTCTCACTCCAAAGCCCACATTTTTAATAGATCATTATTCTGCCTCCTTGAAACCTGAAAAAATAATTTTTAAACCAACTCCAATTTGCAAAAAAGTACCCACATAAAAAAAGAAAGGAAATGAAAGGCAGACCATGGCAGCTCATGGAGTCCAGAGTTTTGAATTCAAAATCTGATTCTATCACTGGGAGATATTAACAAAGTTAACTTAAAACACTCAGCTACACGTGCCATTCAATACAAGAACAAGATTTAATATAGGACACTTGTTTTTGAAGCATACAGTTTTGCGTATGAAGCCCCATGCTACTTCTGAGTTCCATTGTATATGCCAGAGATCTGTTCTTACTACAACTATTTTCATCCTGGAACAAACTGGAAGTATATCCTACAATCAATATCTTCTTTCTGTGCGTTAACTCTTGGTCACTAGTTCATCTGTTCTTACTGTAACTATTTTCATCCTCGAACACGTATCTTCTTTCTGTGTGTTAACTCTTGGTCAGGAGTTCACCCAGCAAACTGCTCACAAATCTCTTCCCAAGTAGAAGCTGAGGCAGGCAGATCACCTGAGGTTGGGAGTTCGAGACCAGCCTGACCAATATGGAGAAACCCCGTCTCTACTAAAAATATAAAACTAGCCGGGCGTGGTGGCGCATGCCTGTAATCCCAGCTACTCGGGAGGCTAAGGCAGGAGAATCCCTTGAACCTGGGAGGCGGAGGTTGCAGTGAGCTGAGATCACACCACTGCACTCCAGCCTGGGCAACAAGAGCAAAACCCGTCTCAAAAAAAATTGAAAGAAACATAAAGCAACACAGGGGCCCTGATTTAGGTCATTATTTCCTTTACCCGTTCCAGATACCAAAACCCAATTATTCTGACCCTGGTGACTGCCTGCCAGCTACACTGCATTCAGGTTTAGTTATATACTATTTCTTCTCTTGGGACTAAAGAATATACATATATAAAAGAAAATTTTCCACTAGGTCTTAGGTAGAAAAGAAAGAGGCAAGAAAAAAATGAGAAGCCTGTTTTACCAGATTTTGTTCTACCACTTGTTAGGAAACAAGTACAAGCAGGAATTCTTCATCCTAGAAAATATGATAATTTGCTAAATAATAATATGTTTTCTTCAAAAAAATTATAATACCCGTATAGTAAATATTACATATGGTATATATTTTGAATTTGCCAGACTTCCTCCTCTTAGGAAACCAGGCCAGAGTTCCAAGCAGTTTATTTGATCCTATTATCTCTAGGAGTTTTCAAGCATTTGACCTTAGGCTTTTAGACAAGTTAGGATTGAAAAAGGTGAAGTTATTTAAGTAACTTCACACAGCATATTTGTTTTCTCAAAGGCATTCACACATAATTTACATACATAGTGTACACTGTAAACCACTTTCCTGAATTTTTTTCACCTGCATTTGAAAGGATGTTCTTGCACTCTGTATGGGCTCATAATCATGAATTCAATGAATACTCCGAGTAAATTTAAAGTGTGAAACAACATGTTACCATACAAAATGTCAGAGCCTGTGCCAGCAGCAGGGCACTCATGACTAAATTCTACCCACATCCAACCCAGCCCCTGTCTTAATGGACATGGAAAGCCTGCTGTCACAATGCATATACTTGAGGCTACATACAGCATTGTCTCCCCTACACTATTCACCCTCAAACATGTCTCTAATCCTATTAAAATTAGTCATTTGCATTTTTGTTTGTTTCATCCATAAGTAGGTATTTCACTCGTAACTTCTCACACTACGAGAATGCTCTCAAGAAGGAGGAGGCCCTGCACTAAACTCCATGTGATTATAAAACACTGGTCTTACTCTGACAATACAGTACGTGGCTTATAAAAACGCAAGAACACTAAAAGCAAGAGGCATTCTCAACAAAGAAATCACAACGGATGGATGTCCACCACCATGTAAATTGACAGTCTCACTGCAGAGCCAAGTGTGAGAAATTTGAAAAAGGAAAGTCATCAGAAATATAGAAACTCAGGTTCAAGCCCTCACCACTTGCCTGTTTTCCTCACGTATCCAGAAGGAGGGATAATGTTAATTGATGGGGATATGGTGAAGACAGGAGGCTCTAGATTTTTTAATGCAAAAATGTAAACTATGTTATGATGTGAGCCATGAAGAGACTTCCTAGATATGCGAGGTACTTGAGATAGGTGAGGACTCATTCCCTTCTTTAATATTCTCCATTTGGTGTTTCCTAATTATTCATGGTGTTTCTCCCGGGGATATTTGAAAGATCTTAACTTCTATGCAATGAGGCATATACTTAATTATCTTTAATCTGAATACGAAACACAAAATACCATAAGCCTCAACTATTAGGTATTTGTGCTCTGAAAAGAATAGGGCAGAGGAACAAAGTTCCATCTTTTCTGGATGGTCAATCAACTGAGCTAATGCCAAGGTGGTTTCCAACACTTAACAAGAAACTGAGATTATCCCAATAAACTCTTCAAATACACTCAGAGGCAAAGAAGAGAGCTCAGAAGACACTTACAGCAGCAACCCGGCCAGGAGCTACCAGAGGTGGCTCTGTGGTACACAATCCATGTGCTGACAGTTTAACATAGATGAGAAATGTAAGGAATGAGGGAACTATTTCACCCTTTTACCCCTCCATCTCTGCCTCCCTCATCACACAAATTAAATGTCGTCAATGGAAAACTCAACAACACAGAATATTTAAAATGCTGAGAGTAAATATATGGCTTTTATCTCCACCTCCGTAACAACTCCCCTGACTTGTAAAATGGTATGGTGTGTTAAAAACTGTTGAAGTCTTTTTTAAACACTGAGTTGAATGCTTCAAGTAGCATACCAATACATAAAACTAGATTTTGATTGGGAAAAAATAATATATTTAGAGCACTTCTGACCCATTTAATATATGATTTCAACTTTTTAAAATTACTATCATTCAAAGAAGTTCTTTTAAAAAATACAATGGATAGCATTTGTTTTAGCTTAAACTCTAAATGTAAGTGGCAAGAGAAGAGCTGAGTAAGATAAACACCACCTTGCTTCACTTTCTGGATTTCAATTAACACCTAATTTACTAGACTTCTTAATACAAAATATGTAGTTGAGCTCTTCAGAACAGCTTGACAGGATTAGCACACATTCTATAAGGAGCTGACAAAACTAGCAGTCCATTAGCCAGTCCACAATATCTCAAAGTCCAATAGTCAGTATTCCATTTTTAGGGCTCACAATGACAAGAATGAAATAAATAAGCAAGGGATTCTCTCCTCCTGCTTTCTGGAAAAGAACACGATCTATGTCATTCATTCCATAGCTTTGAGGTTATATATTTTTTAAGTTTTCCTTCCCAAGTGTTAGTATTCAATAGATAATTAAAGACAAAAACCACGAAAGCCATATTGCTAAATCATTCTGCCATATCCAGGGTTGGGGAGAGGACTCTGCACTCCTCAATTTAGGAAGGATAAGTCCACAATTAATTCCAGATCCTGGAATATGAAAGAACTGTTAAGAGGTTTCCAAACTCCCCTCATCCTGAGGATGAGGAAATCCTACATCCTCAGGAACCTTGCCAGGCCCCCGAGTCCTGGCCTAAGTCTGAGCTCAAGATGCTGCAGGGCGGAGTTCTGACAGTTCAGGGGAGCAACATGGCTCACCCACCCCCACCACTTCCCTAGACACCAGATGGTCTCAGCAGGATGTGCAATGCCTCATTTTAAATGGATTATTTGCCTCTGTCTTCTCTAAGCATTCTTAGAAAAGCTTAAGGAGGGTCCTAGTTTTAAATATTTTAAGCAGATGGGTCTAAGGAACTATTAGAATAAGTAATATTCTAAAATGAATGATGGTAAATTATCAGCACTTAATACTACCTACCTGAGTTCCAGAAGAATTTAAAGGCTAACCTCTTTTCTGTAAGCGATCATATCAAGGCCTCAATAATTGAAAGGTCTGAAGGATGATTAAGGTGACTAATAGCCATAAGAAGGTTTGCAAAGAATATTGTTTTAACTATTGGCAAGTAAGTCTCAATTTCACATGAGAGAAATTTGCTAAGATGTTCAAAAATAGGATTCCTGCATACACAATAGAGGAAGACAATATGGTTTCTGATGGAGGAACCATACATGGCTTATATTAGGCTTTCATAGAAAAGGAAACTGTCAGCCGGGTGCTCACGCCTGTAATGCCAGCACTTTGGGAGCTTGAGGCAGGAGAATCACTTGGTTCAGGAGTTCAAGACCAGCCTAGGCAACATGGTGAAACCCTGTCTCTACAAAAAAATTAAATTAAATTAAAATAATAAAATTAGCTGGGCATGGTGGCATGCACCTGTAGTCCTAGCTGCTACAGAGGCTGAGGTAGGAGGATTGCTTGAGCCTAGGAGGTCGAGGCTGTGAGCCAAGATTGTGCCACTGCACTCCAGCCTGGTGACAGAGTGAGGTCCTGTCTCAGAAAAAAAAAAAAAAAAAAAAAAAAAAAAAGGAAGCCATCATCAGGGTAAGAGGGAAAGCTGTGGAATTATGTTAACTTTTTCAAAAAGCCTTTTCTAGGCTCTACACATACGAACTGTTTCACCTTGGTCTAAGGAGGCCTACACTGAGTCAAGTAGGGTTGACTGGGCACCTACTTGAATCAAGAATTCTATGCATTATTACAGCAACTAGCTAAGAGAAGAGGTTCCACTTAGGTTTTGAATTTGTGAATGACACTACCCAGAAGCAAAACGTGGGAGGCTCTCAGGAGACTATGTAAACAAACAAAAAGGAAAAGAAAAGAAGAGCTTTTGACCTTGCTCAGTCTGAGGGAATATATTTAGGAAAAAAAAAATCTATCTTTTTCACACCTAACAACAGTAACTGCCATTGTGGACCAAATATGGATGTGGGCCCTCAAGACAAGGACTAACGACTTACTACTGACAAACCAGGAGCAGAATTCAAGTGTATGGAATATAATGTCTTATCCATCCCTTCTGCAAACACTGTATTTTGGCGACTTCTGAGTTGGCACCCAAGGCAAGAAGAGAAAAAAAAAAATCAAGATCTGAGGAAACGAAAACTAAAACAGAAGAAACAGATTAGGAGAAGCAGCTCTATGAAATGCATTTTTAAATGAGAGTGCAGCAGTCTAGAGAGGCACCGACTAAGAAATAAATGTTTGCATATCTAAAATTATGATGGAATAAAGATATGGAAAAGAACATCAAATTCGAAAATGGCCAGTTCAGCTAGAAAGTACAACACTGAGGGCCAAAAGAATGAGGCAATGTTACCTAGAAATTATAAACTGAGGAAAATTATCACAAGGCCTAGCATACTAGGACACTGGGGCACTGACTATAAAGAAAAGCAGAAATAGTTTTCTAAAATGCCAAAAGCCTATTTCTAGGTTTTTGGACTTTCACTCAGGAGCTTCTAGGTAGAAAGTCTTTTGTCAGGTGTTCACAAATGTCTACAGAGAATAAGGATATTGTTCTGCAAAAACATCTTACTCCACCAATTCTATACCCCTCTACCCAAAATTAAAAATACTAATTTCTTCAATTTCTCCTATTAGATATTCTATTTACAATTGCCTGAGCTTTCTTAATATTCCCGTAAATACAAAAAAAGAAAAAAAAAAAAGAAAGAAGAAGGGAAAGAAGGGAAGGAAGTAAAAAAGCAAGGAATGGAAGGGAGGGAAGAAGAGAAGGAGAGAAGAGAAGGAAGGGTATGTGTTAATACGCAGTTCATCAGGTATCTGCTTTTCCATGTAATCTGTACACATATTTGGCAGAAGACTAACTTACAAACTAAATTTGCCCAGGCTCCTCACAGATATTAATACTCAGATTCACATTTATTTCTATAGTACAACAATGAAACAGGACACCTCAGTCTCTGCTCTGGAATGAGCTCTTGCAGCATCAGCTTCCCAGTGTCCCTTGGGAGCCTCCTGACCTAGAGAGTAAGAGAAACCTGATTGTATATTCAGATGATTGTGTACTGCACTGATGAAAGACAGACAGATATTCATTTGAATTATCTGTATCTTTGTGTATATCTACTTATATAGAGAAATAAAGTACCTATATTTTGTCCTAATGGATTTGGCTATGTAAATATATCCGCAGCTGTGCTGCACTGACTCACCTACTATCACTTATACCTATAATGTCTTTCTGAATAAAAATCCTATCAAATTAACACAAGGATTCCTTCCTACCCTATAGTTTCATGAACTTGAAATCAGAATTCTGATAGGTAAACAAATTGTATTCTATTTCACAAATGTGTTGAGGATAGTGTAACTTTTAAAGTTGTAATTCAGAAACAAATCTCATTGGGTAACACACGTTTGATCTTGTTTAGAAAAAAGTTTGTAAATGGCAGTATCAACAGTCTATAGATATCGAGAAGGTATTGAGAACATATTAAATTCCTAACAGTAGTAATCCATTCCTGTGATAAACATTACAAACCAGTTATGGTCTCTGTCCTCAAGGATTTGAGTTTCAAAAATATGAAGCTATGATCTTCGCTTCACCTATATCAGATATGCAAGCAATCGCATCTCTAGTAGTCTGGACTCCTGGTAAACCTGGACTAATTTCTATTGTTATCATCTCAATGAAAGCCTCCAAAAGGCCAACTAAGAATGCAGTGTAATTGTCAAATACAGCCAGACTTGCAGCCAGGAAACTTGGAATTGAGTTCTGAATAATCTTAATGAAGACATGTAACCTCACTGGGCCTCTGCTTTCCTATCTGTAAAATGGGAAGAGTAACAAACTCTACCATATTGAGCTGTTGTGAACACCAACACTCAAAAGTGCTTTAAAACCACGAAGCCATGATTGTCATTGTGATATCAAGCCTCTGTGTACTTTGAGGAATATGAAGACCCTATTAGAGGAGCTCAGAAAGGGCCTTTTATTTCATGGGCCATGCCCTCCAATCTGTTATTTGGAAAGGGCAGATCAAAGATGCCCCAAGTGTCTGGAAAGTACCTTCTCTTTTGCTTTTGCATGGCTTTCTTTCACAGACCCGTCCCCATCTTCCTTATTTCAGTGATTTTTTTTTTTGACTCTTGCTTGGGATTTCAATGTAGTATTTCATTTTTTTTCTGTTATTGGAACTTTGATTTGACTTTCCCAGTGGTAAAAAGGAGGCACTAAAATTTTGCCTGTATTGAGCCAAGATGGTAAATTGAAGCCTAAATTCAAAAGCAGGGTAGATAATTTTAAAAGGGATTCACATTCTGTGCATACTTCTTAGCCCTCCACTTAGGCCATTCTTATTTCCCTCTCATTACACACACACATGCATGCGTGTGAACACACACACAGGTGTGCACTGGTATGCCTCTTCTCAAAAACAGAGAAGAAATAAGATTAGGGTAATAATCCATTCAACGTTGGTTTTATTGTTGCTTTATTTTCAACAGCTATATTCAAAAATAAACCAGCATCAAAGGGGAAACAAAAAGTAAATGCTATTAAAGTTTTTTTTTTTCCTTGCCTAGATGTTTATTTGCTGAGGAAACTAAACACTAATGTCTGAGGTGTGTTTCAATACACATGGTGCAAATACTTATCTGCTTGAATCTTTCACAGAACAGGGTATCAAAGTAGATGTTTTCCTAGACAATCTTTTGAAATAATGTACTTCATCTCTACCTTACCACAAACAAGAAAACGCACAATTTTCAGCAAGTTACAACATTATTCAAAAGAAATTTCTTAGCAAAAAGTACATTTAAGGAGTTGCAGAGAACAGATTCTGAATGCCCAGCCACTAGTCACCCACCACAGCAATCAGCATCTCCTTGTCCAAACCATCCGGGGTGGCCCAAGAAACTTTCAGTGGGAAAATAGATACAGTTATTAAAAGTGACAGCAGGGAATTCATCAGCAAAACTGAATTAAATCAGAATTCTGAGTTCCAGCCTAACAGGCTCCTGCTAAGCTACTCTGGCTTTTAAATAAGTACCTGCATTTAAGGATGCACCGAGAAAGATGTGATAATGTGAACACAACACACATACCCTTTTTGTCAGAACAATGGGTCATCAAAGGTAAAAATTAACTAGGGAATTTCCAGCATTTTTCTTCATTGTGTACACCTCTCCTTCCTCCAGGCCCAAGAGAGGGTGAATAATGCTTATCTAGTTATGGAAGGGAAGAAAAGCTAGTCACAGAGCAACCCCGCACGGAATCTGCAGAACCCTAGATATATTTGACTTTGTCCACTCCCTTCCTCTGCGCTTCGCTAAAGCCCACACCTCTTGGGATGGAACCTAACGTGCCTTCCGCTTACAAACCGCTCTGCTAGGTTAGCCCCAACCACCATGCAACCTTTACGAAGTTACTTGTGCGTCCACACTGAGCGCGGATCACCTCAGCCACAGCCCAATAGAGCAAGGAACCAGGAGCTCCCGAAGCCCGGACACGAGCCGCGGCCAGTGCTGGGCGCCCTCAGGCGCTGCGCTCACGTGGTAGCGGCCCCGGGCACGTGCGCCTCCGACCTTAGGCGGCGAGAGGGAAGCGCCGCCCCGCGCGCGCGAGAGGCTGGCAGCGGCGCCAGAGGCGTAGAAGGGAGGGGAAGGACCTGGGACATTCAGGGACCCTGCGAGGCAAGAAGCTGAGCTTCAGGCAGTGCCGGTCCGACTGCATTTCCCTGGGGTGTTAGCTGGAAGGAAGACACAAATTTGAATGGGGTAGCAACTTAAAAACATTTTTCTTTTCAGTTTATTTTAAATGGGCAAATGCATCAGAATCCCATCTAGAAGTGAGTTCTTCCGAGATTGTCACAATCCCTTTCTAGCCTGGAACCCACACTTGAAATTCCTGGTAAAAGAGGGAGCCAAGGTGTCTCCAGGTAGCAATGCCATCCTCCTGTATCTTTTGGGGAACCCTGCCAACTCGCTCTCGAACAAGCGCTGGGAAACCGCGCCCTGGGGGAGAGGGGAAAGAAGACGGTGTCCCTTCCATATGCATAAAGCCCGCTGAGTGTTGGAATTTAAAACCTACAGCAGCAAGCTATATTTACGACTTGTTTCGTTTTGCTGGGGGAGGGGAGAGGGATCAGAAACTCTAGGACCTTATTCCCAAACTGGGAGATGGGAGCTTGGCAGTGGATCCCACTGGCACAGAACTCTAGTCAACTGGGGCCGCAGCGGCTGCCACTTGCGGGTGGGGAAGGGAAGGAAAAGGAGGGGGAGAGAAGGAGGGGCGGCGGAGGGGCTGACGCGGGAGGGAAGGAAACAGGTGAGCTCCCACCGCCACCCATGGGAAACCCAGCGCAGCGGCCCCCGGCGCGCCACCGTCCCAACCTGGAGAGCCACTTACCGGCTTTACACGGGTCCTTGTAATCTATAGTCTCTGTTTTATCCTCTTCGTTCCCATCAAAAGTGTAATCATAATCGAGGCCAGCGCAGACCCATAGCTCCCCGTAGAAAACAATCCCCGAGGCCACCAGCCACACGAGCATCCTCGGGGAAAGCGTTCCCAACCCCATCCTCCTCCCCCGGAGGAAAAGGAGGGGACGGGACCCAGAGGTTAGGCAGCCGCGGTCCGCGCTGATGTGCGGGGCTAGGGGCACCGGTGCTCTTCTCCCCACCCGGAGGCTCCTCGGCGGGACCGGGGTGCTCAGGTGTCCGGAAACATGTGGATGCCGCCGGGACAGTAGAGAGGGCAAGCACTGCCTGTTACCCCCAGTCGCAGGGAGAAGTTGGCTAGGGGCCCACGGGTGGGCGGAGGGCAGGTAAGGAACTCTGCACTCGGAGGCGGGGAGGGCGCAGGCAAACTCGGCTCTGGCGGCGCTGGCGCTCGCAGCCTGCCAGGTCGTCCTTCTGGCTGCCGAACTTCCCGCGGCCGCGGCTCGGCGAGCGGCGCCCCGCGGGCTCAGCTGCCACCAGAGCTCGGACTCCCGCGCCGCGTCCCCGCTGCTGCCAGGACTCCGCGGCCGAGCGCGAGCCGCCGCCGCCTGAGCCCAAAGCCGCCGCCGCAGCTCCGAGAAGATGAATCCGGTCTGCACATCAGCACATCTGAATTGAAAGGGGAGACCGAGGAAGGGGGTGGGGGCCAGGCATTTCTACGCCGCGAGACCTTAAAAGCCTGCAGAAGCCAGCAAAGCAACTGACTGCAAGAGAGCAAAAGTGTGAGGATTTGGGGATGCACTGTTTGCCTTCCCCCCGCCAGCCTGTCTTTTTACCCTCTTCCTAACTTGAAAAAAAAAAATATTCGCACCATCTAACCCAATCACTTGCATCCTGCTTACTTATTCATACAATCAGGGTCAGGATCCGGACCACAGCCTCCTCTCTTGACTTCTTTTGATAGCCTTAGACAAACAAACAGACAGGAGCGCGCTGACAATTCCATTTATATTTTACCAAAGATAAAAATGAATATATTATGTATCTGTGTACGCAAACAGCAATTAATAGATGATGTACGTGTCAGTTGAGAGTGCCAGACCGGGGGTGGAGCGAAGGATCGTGATAACTTAGCTGCAAATCCATATTTCCCCTCCCCCCAAATAAACAGCGAGTGTGTATTTCTTTCCTTTGCTGCTGTTTAACCTTAGAGCAGCGCAGGAATGGAGGAAAAGTGTGCGAGTCTTCACGATTTTGGTAAGAAAATAAACAGACTACTGTTGGTCTCCTAACCAACAAAGTTTTGCTAAGAACTAAGATCCTCAGAACTGCAATTAAAAAAAAAATCCAAAATCGAGTTACAGATTGCAGCAGCAGGAAACGCTGAGACCTTGCCGATGGGCTGGCGCTATGGCTCACGTGGGCGCAGGAAGGGAAGCTGGATGGAATACTCGGGAAGCAAATTTTCTGTGACAGTTCTGGCGCCCATGAGCAGAGTTGCTCAGTATCCTTCGGCTTCAGTAATGTTTTACTTCTTCAGAGGAGAGGGTGTAAAACCTGGCAGGAGGGTCAGCGAGGTAAACCACATGTCAGCCGAGCAGACTCAAGACAAACACAGGTTGTGGGAAATTGGGGAGGAAAAAAATCAGAGGAAATCTCTGTAAAACCCCTGTTGTGAGCAATTCCGAGGTTTCCCCACATCTGCAAGTAGTTTCCAAAATAGGTGAGATGACTTCTCCCCCAACAAGCTTCCAAGGGACTGGTGATTGGGAGCTTTCCTTTTCCAACTAAATCTTTAAAACTGTCACTTTAGCAAGGACTTGTAAAAAAAAAAAAAGCCTTACATATTATTTGACTAGTGTTCCCCCTATCCAAGTTATCATCTAGAGGAATGTATGAAGGTAAACACACACACACACACACACACACACACACACACACACACACAACTTTGACAGATAAAGTCATCTTTGGTTTGGAGATTTTACTAGGTTTTATTCATGTTTGTTAGAGAAAAGTAAGAAGCCAATCTTGAAAAAGTACCAAGTATTTTCAACTTAAACTAAAAGTATAGGAAGGCTAGGTGGAACTGAACTGACCAAGTGTTCTTTGCAAAACTGGGTCTTTCTCAGAGGCCACTGCAATGATGGAGCTTCCCTTCCATAGATCTTAAGCTTTTAATGCCCAGGATACAGAGCAGAAGTAGATTTTTAAAAAGAACATGTTCAATAAGCAGGTAGAGGCGTTTGATTTTGAAATCTCTTGCTGAGTCATTCTCAAATTCTCTTACCCATCCAAAAAAAAAAAAGTTTGCATAATTAATAATAGTGTTGCCCTAGTGCAGAGCTCAACAAGAATATGTCCTGCTTAGCCCATCTGAAAGCCTAGAGAATGCATATGTCATCTAGAGGATTCCTGCTCTTGAGCTGCTGACAGTGTTCCCATTCCCTATCCCAAACCTTAAAAATGTCCCTTGTTAATCTAAATGCCTGCAAACATCTCCTTAGACTATTTTATCATGTGTAAATTTGCAAGAAGTTTTACCTGTGGTTTGCCTAAACATCACTTACTTTGCAGGAATAAATATGTTTTATTCATTTGTTCTGGGAAAAAAAGTACTGTATAGGGATAATAGCTTCATTATGTATAATGACACCTATTACTTTTAACATGTGTTTCATTATTTGGTTTTATAATTTTATGAATTTGTAGTCCAGAGAGTTAGAATGATTTTCATAGTAGAACTTCAAGTCAAAATACAGGAATGTTTCTTTACAGCTAATATACTTGCAGAGAATACCTACATCACAATACCCAGGCTTAATCCCTGATTTATTTTTAAATATTAAATCTAACTCTAGGTTGTAATAAGAAACTTCATTTTTTTAAACTAATTTTGTCTCTATAGTTGTTATGATTACAAACTAAAAATAGATTTTTCCTTGTCCATGAAAGAAACATAAATTTGCAAGAATATGTATGTGAGCAAGGAGTTGATTGCTGTGTCATAGTATAGCTGCAGACACGCAGTACGTGAATTCAATCTCCTCAGAAAGACAAAAAGGAGAAATTGATTCCCTTAGTAAGACATGTGCTGATGTTGCCCTGGCTTCTAGCTGACAAGCTCTCTTGATCACCATTGCCACCTACAACAGGACCCCATCACTCTCAGCAATAATAGGGAATGAAGCCAACCAAGAGTGCTGCAAAAGGCAAGCTCTATGCCAATTAGTATATCACGTTGGAAATACCAATTAAAATAAATTTCCCTTGTAGAAAATATCAATTAGACATGTACTCTTTCTAATCTAGATTTGTGCAAAGCTAGATGTGATCTTTTTGTGTTATAAGACCAAGTAATACATGAATGAATATATTTCCCTTTTGTCCCTTGTGAAAAAAAATACCCAGGGGATAAAAGGAGCTTTCCTTCTGCAATGGATTCCGGATTATAATCTGAATAGGGGCCCCTAAACAGAATCTCTGGTTATTCTTTAATAGTTTACTGTACTAGTCTTTCTCTCTACCATGCCCTCACTGGCCCTCACTGTGGGGAACAGAGATGTCCTTTGTTTTTATGGCTTTTAGCTACTCCAGACCATTTAACTCTTATTTTCACCCCATTCTGATGTGACCCTCTACTGGATAGATACAGCTTTATTTCATGAGCTTTCTTTCAGTTCTACATGGCATCTCCTAATAGTAGAGTTCAGTGTCCCAAAGTGTGGTACTTAAATTGCTGAGAGTACATGAAGTGATTTTAGGTAATGTAGTAATAAACTACATATAGATGTGTATATGTATCAGAAAAAAATAGTTATTAAATTTGCCATTGCATATATAGTTCTTACAATCATGCTTAAGCTAAAAACCAAGGCACTTGCTTTGTGAAATTAAGCCAGTGATGAAGGTAGCAGGTGAAGGTTGACTAATGTTTGATAAACACTGATCTAGTTCAGCTCCCGTCCTCTGCTACACCACACTGCCTGTGGGTTCCTGCCATTTGCCTCCTCCATCACACCTGTCCCACAGTTGCTTCCTTCTCGTACCTGCTTATCAGTCATTTTCACTTCCAGTCCTTCAATACAAAAGGTCTGAGTCTGGACGGGGAAGCTGCATGTATTCATTGTTGGCACTTTGGATTTGTTTGCTGTTTTAGGCATCACTTGCTGTATCACTCTTCAGAATATCCACTGACTTGTGTATTAAAAAAACATATATAATTGCTTAATGACATCCAGAAATGATTGCATTCTTCCTTTGGGCAACAGCTTGGCCAAAGTGAAATGGGGGCAGTGGAATGGAATAAGAAGGAGGTCTTCTTATTTCCAACCTAATGGGACTCAAAGGCTTGAGTCCACTAGTAGGTTTCCAATTATGTAACCTCTGCTCCTTTACTGAATCCTCACTGTTGTACCCTGAACACCTAGTTAAGGAGGCACAAGAGTATAGAGCTTGGAAACAGTCCCTCAGTGCAATTTCCAGCTCTCTACTTCCTAGCTTGGTAACTTTGTACCTGCTTTTGTAACCTCAAGTGTCCTCAGTTTTCTCATTCATAAAACGCAGATAATTTTAGGGATAGTGATATTTCATAGAGTTGTTACAAAGAATAAGTTAATTAATATATGTGATATTTTTTATAGTTCCTCATATATAGAAACTATGTGTATACTAGTTCCTAGTACATAAGAACTTTTGGTAACTGTTATTATTATCATTTTAAGTGAGTTCTAAAAAGTCAAATTATTTCCAGTCCCTCTAACTACATTATTTGAAAAGAAGCTTCTCTTTCTTCACTTGACCTAAAGCAGAATAACTTACTCAAAGTGATGCTGGAGAGAAGCAATGAACAAATCGGTTAAGAGCACAGAATTCAGCCACAGAAAACACAGACTTAATACTCACTTTCCCATTTAGTAGCTATCTTGCCTTGAGCAAGTTACTTCCCTAGCTACACTCTCCTGGTTTTTGAAACAGAAATGAAATACCTAATAGGGTTAAACTGAGAACTAGATAAAATTATGCATGCAATGTACTCCCTAGCAGATGTAAGCTAGCAACATTAAAAAAGTTGGTTATTATTATTAATTGGTATTTTTCTAGTGATCGGCAAAATCTATACATAGTTTTTCCACTGGCAGGCAAGAAATTCAGCATGCACACACACACACACACACACACACACACACACACAAATCTGGCTACAGATTAAATAAAACTAGGATAATTTTCTTTGAAAAATTCCATTAATAATACAAAACCCCTCAAACTAAAAAATAAACATTACTGGTGTTCTTTATAAATTCCCCAATAATATAGTGACTGACATTAGAACGCCTCTCATCTGGCCATTTTCTGTCCCCTTTATTTAGCTAATATAGTACTGTTTTCATATTTTTACATTATGAGCATAAAGTATGTCTCCCAAGACTTCCTAAGCAATTTCCCTATAAAATTTAATTTGTATTTTATTTTACTTACTTCATAGGTGATTAAAAAATAGACTCTGAAACCTTTGATGGATCGTATTATATACTTCCAACACAATGAGAATAATTTAGTTTTAAAACTATAATGATGGAGTATTATCAGCTTCTTGGAAGAAAGGAATACACTCAACTCCTTAAGGCACATTATCCAGGTCAATCACTTGCCAAAGTTTTTAGAGTCTTAAGCTATTTTAAAGATGGGGAAAGGGAGTTGAAATGAGTGAGTGATTCATGGACATATTATGGTTGCCTTATAACCCCTGATCCTCCACTGTCTCCTTTGGCTGGCCACTTTTTGGGAGCCTGCATTTCTACTAATCCTGCTAAACAGGTGCTGGGCAGTGGAGAGCTATATGCCTAACAATGGCCAATGACCTCCATCCCCAGCTAAAGCCCATTCTTCCTTCCATCCTGGCTGCATTGTATCCTTCCTGACTCCCCAGATGATAGTCTACAAAGAAGTCCCTCTACTCTGCCTTGCATTCAAGTTGTCCATCTCATAGAGGATAGGAGCCACATCTTTTCCATAAATGAATCCCACAAAATACTTTGTACATACAAGATGCAAAATAATTTTTTATGGACAAAAATAAAATTAACTCGATTTTATAATCGAAGTAGTATTCTAAAAGATTCCATCACTGGAAACACTGAACACTAAAATATCAGTGAAAATTAATTTTAAAAATCTATACATTCAGTATAAAAGCAGGGTTTGGGATGGGAAAACGTGTTTAAGTCCTTGTCGCTCTCCTTGTTAGATGTCTTTGGACACTTATCCTTTCTTAGCTCAATTTTTCTCACCTTTAAAATAAAATAAAATAAAATGCTTACCTCATATGGTTATTTTGCAATGCAAACACATCAAGTATGTAAATCACTTCGCATGCAGCCTGGCACGTGACAGGAACCCGTAGCTATGAAGTCCTCACCTCTTCTTCTGCCCACTGATACGGAATTCCAGAGCACCAGCAATCCAATCTGAAAGGAAATTTGTAATAAGTATTTATGAAACTTTTAATAAGTATTTATGAAACGGTTGAGAAAAGCAAGATTTTTCCTTGGCAGGTAATAAAAGATTATGAAGAAAGCAGTAAAGAAAGTAGAAGGTTTAAATTTCTAACAGGACTCATTCACTTGAGGATTTCATCTGTCCTTTCCATTCCCACCCATAAATAACTAAATGTCCAAATAATAGTAATACCCTATTGCTAACTTTATTAATTTACCTTCACAAAATAAACCTTGTGAAAATAAGTTGATAAAATAAATTTTGTTCTGGATCTATGAGAACAAACATCTTAATAGTAAATAAAAACACAGTGTGCTGAAATAAGTTAAACTGAAAAGGCTGATATTGTTTACTGACCTCTTGAATACATACGTTGTTGGGTAATTGGTTGGCATAAATTTAAAACTTGTGTGATTTCATTTTTTTATGATGCATTGTAAAATCACCAAGTTATTTTATAACTAATTTAACTCTATTCATAATATGCAGCTGCACTTGAACACTAGTTTTTCTGTATTTCTGAACTCCCCATTATGCTCTGCGCTTAGTTCCAGGACCCAGCCAAATTTATTTTGTAAGCTGCCCTGGGCTTTCGGGTGGCAATAATTAATGACCTTGGCCCTCATCTTCCAGCTTATAACTCACTTTGGGTGGCTTTTCCAACCACTAAAGCAATAGTTTTACACTATAAAACCAGCCTCCAATCAATATGAAACATCTGAAGTGTGTTTATTTATATATTTATTGCTTTTCATCTCCAAAGCACTTTAACAACATTAACTAATGGCCCCTAAAATAGGTGAAGATGGTTTTCTCTAGTCTCACGACACCAACTCTAAAAGCCTGAGACACTGAAGTGGCTACAGCTCAGAAGGAACAATTTCCTTCATAGTTTTCTTCTTCCTCACCTCTTGGGGAAAGAATTCATTCATATTTACTCTGGGTCTGACAACCAAAAAAAAAAAAAAAAAAAAAAAAGAAGAGGGAGAGAGAGAAAGAAAGAGATCTTGAAAACAGAGGCAGGGTTGGGCCAGCAGGGATGTCAACCATCTTAACAGTGGACTCCCACTGTCTCGCATGTCAGTAGATCACTAGCACATCCACAGTGCTTTTGCCAGGGTACACAGGAGATTGGGTTATCAAGAGCTAATTACTCAGACAACGTTTTGATCCTCAATTATCTAGCTATTTCAGATGAAAACGGGTGTGGTGTTTTAATTTTTCCTAGCAAGAAAGTGCTGACATATCTGGATAATTTCCTCAGCTTTCTACTTTAGTTCGCATGTATTCAACAGAAGGTTATACCGGTGCTTTGTAAATTATTACCACTCCTCTGAAAACACCACCACTTGTGAGTTGAGGTCACAGTTCATCTGTGAGTCTGAGCCTCATATCTCACACCTCACTATTAAGTATTCTGCTTGTAACATAAAAGCAGAGCGTTGCTATCTTTTTTTCTCTTGCGCACTGCTCTTTAGAAGAATTTTTAAAAGTCTGCTCATTCATTTGGGTTCCAACATCAACATTAAAAGTAATTAAATCCTTTGCTAGAATAATGTTTTACTACAGCTCTCATTTAAAAATAAAACACTTTAATAATTTCAAGGAATTAGATTGAAACATTTCTAGAAAACCTGTAAAAATTAGTTGGTTCTCCTTTGTTTTCTTGCTCTATAGTAATAATTGCTATGAGAAATGGAAGTTGTCATGTGTTTGGCTATAAAATCAGTGCAAAGTTTATGGCTTACTCTTTTAAAACCATGAGACCACATGCAGAGAACCTGAAGCTGTTCGCTCTTAATTCTAGTAAAACAGGAAAGCAATTATTAGAGCAATTAATTCAATATGTAATGGGACTTTTTATTAGCCATTTTTATTCTAATATAGTAAATAAATGCTTCCTTTCACAGGACATGCCCAGCAAAAATAAATAGAATTATCATGAAATAAGAAGCACTTCATAAAATTGGCAAACATATTTGTTAATGATCTTAACTATGTAAAAAGCATGACACAGTAAATCAGTTTCTAACTTCGATTCTTCCAACACCCCAGTTAAATTAAATTAAATTAAAATTAAATTAAATTAAAATTGCTTGGTATCTGACTCATTGCTAATAAATAATTTCCCAAAATAATAAACATCAAAGTGAATAATGGGATGATAAATTTTAATTTAGTGAAATAGAATGTATTTTATTGCAAAATTAGTTGCTTCTTCTTTCAAATATCAAGCACTATAGGCTAAAGTAATGGTTATATTTTAGAACTATAAGATTCCCTATGGTTTTTGAATTTCTATCAAAGGTAAAAATCTGTTTTTTCTTCAATTTTTATAATACACTTTTTCATAAGATTAATTATTTAACTATGTCACTCAGTGTAAGTTTTTGAAGTGATTTCTCTGTTGAAAAGTACTTTGTACTTTTATAATTTATCATTTCTACTTCCATATTTATAATTTATACTTCTATATCACAATTGTGAGGGATTTTTGTATGTGTTTTAAGCAATATTTTATTAATGTTCTAATTAATATGATGAGCAAAAAACTAAAAGTATGAGCTCCACATTAAAGTTTGAATATTGAAAGTACTGTATAAAATGAATCTTGAAAATTAAGATTACCAAAGGAATACTAATATTTGCGTGTGGAACCTAAGTGTGTTAAGGACAGGACAATATTATCTCTTCTTCAAGCAAAATGATTAGAACTCTTAAAGAAATACTGATTTTGTAAGTGTTGAACTTATAACATTGAGAGTGATGCTAATTAAATGTCTCTAACACTCCCTAAAAAGGGAGAGAACATGATAATAATTAAGTCATCAGATAACCTTAACTAGATTGAAGCATTTGCTCTGGAGAATGTTATAACAATCCTTCAGATCCTGTTTTTCTACTAGGCCTTCAAAGGCTGCATGGCACTGAAACTCTGAATTTCAAAGAAACTGTTCAGGAGTCAGGACACTAATTGGCCCTAATGTGTTTTAGAGTATGGTATTCTAATTGGCACACTGTCGAGGCATTACCCAGATGTACAAAAAGGATGCTTTATGTAGACTAAGGTTGGCAGCTGTGTCCCTGTTGGCTGGTCAGTTTTTTGACATCCTGCGACCTCTAGTGAGAACCAGAAGTTGTCAGCCAACATAAATTTCCTTGCCCAGTCTGAGTTTCTATAGGAGCAGCAGATAAAGAAAAGCCCCTCAGCTAGACTCATAGAATACTTTTGCTTTTTTCAGATCACAGCGTTTTTTTGGGCTTGAGAGGATGAAACTATTTTCTTAAATACCTTTAAATTTTTTCCTCAAAATCTCTAGAAATTTTATTTCAGTCCTTCAATTACTATTTCAGTACCTTCAATCATTATTTCAGTACTTTCAATTACTACTCTAAAGTTAGTAAAAATAAAAAAGCGTGAAAAGTCCAATGAAAATATGAAGTAAGTCTTAAGGGTAAAAAAAATGTGTCTCAACTATATATTACAAATAAGCAAAAGTAGACTGTTATCTCACATATGTTTTTCAGTAAACATTTTTACAAATTATATGCTCAAATTTTAGAATGGTTCTATTATACAATATTTTTGGTTAATCCTAAAAGCATAGTATTATTCACTGAAAATAAGATACAAAACAAGCGGATTTCAATACAAAATAAGTACATAAGGTTAAATGAGACTGTCCTGACTTTAACTCCCAAAGCATGTATAGCAGAGTACCTGATATACTGCTCATTCTGAAAAGTTTCCTTGCAATAGCTATAACTTTTATAAAGATGCTTAGTTGCTTAAAGGCAACGTGTATTTATTAACAATAAAATATAGGCACAGAAAGATAAATAACACATGACCAGCACCCAAACTGAACATACAATCTAATGGGTGGACAACAGTTATAACTTCACAGAATGTGATAAATACCTGACACGAGGAACAAACGAAGAATTCTATATGTTCTACGAAAAATGATCATTGTCGGCCGGGCATAATCCCAGCACTTTGGGAGGTTGAGACGGGTGGATCACCTGAGGTTGGGAGTTTGAAACCAGCCTGACCAACATGGAGAAACCCCGTCTCTCCTAAAAGTACAAAATTAGCTGGGCATGGTGGCACATGCCTGTAATCCCAGCTACTCGGGAGGTTGAGGCAGGAGAATCGCTTGAACCCGGGAAGAGGAGGTTGCGGTGAGCCGAGATTGCACCATTTCACTCCAGCCTGGGCAACAAGAGCGAAGCTCTAACTCAAAAAAAAAAAAAAAAAAAAAAAAAAGGAAAAAAACAAAGAAAGAAAGAAAAATGATCATTTTCACTTTAGGAAATGAGGGAAGGATTTATATAGCAGATGCTACATGACTTGGACCTAAATAGAGACTAAGGAGAATGAGGGAGAATGAAACAAGTGGCAGCAAGTACCTTTCTGCCTTCTTTGATGCTCTGTAAATTCTGTTCATCCTTTTCAGCCTTATTTTAGCCTCACTTAATCTGTAAGATAAATGTGGAAAATATACCTTGGATACTAATCATATATTTTTCCCCAAATTTACCTAGACTTTCAACTTTCTGCATTTTCACTTTTTTGTTGTTAATAACAGTGAACATATTAATGCATTGTGTGCACTAGGACATTTGGTATAAATAATACTCATTGAAAATGGATTTTACACTTAAACACTTAAAAATAGTTTTTCAATGTTTCCGAACTACAGTTGCTATGGAAATTATAAATGTTATCTTCACTTAGAAAAACTGGAACACTTCATACCTATTCTTTAGTGCTATCACATTTAACAGTGTTCCAAAAACATGAGTTCAAAGATTTTTTCCAGAAAAAAGGTAAGATTTCTTAGTCAAATAAACCTTGTCCTGGAAATTTGTAAGCTATATATATTTAATATACATAGGATATATATTTTATATTTAATATGTATTATATATATCAAATGTATTTAACTATCTCAAACTTTTTGACAATCTCTTAAAATTTCTGTTCCAGTGATTACTTTTTGGGAAACATTCCTATAGATATTTATACACAGCAGTAATATTTTATACTCACACATATGACACAATATATTTATAATGTTCTGATATAATTATATAACTAAGTAAAAATAGATACGTGTATGTATGTAGGTATGTAGTTATTACTGGAAATGTAATTTTGCTTAGATTTCAGTATAGGGGATTTGAGCATGGGGATCTCATTATGTCCTAAAGATTCTATTAGATAAACTCTACCAATATAATGACAAAATATTTTATCATTTAGTCAATCAATAGAATACAAAATTTATCGATTAAATTGGGCCATATTGTGACTTGCGTGCTTTGATTGTCTTTCTTCTTTCTTCTTTTTTCTCCCTTTCTCCCTTTCTTCATCTTTCCCTCCCTTCCTTCTTTCCTTTCTTTTTTAGTTTTTTTGTTTTTTTTTTTTGGTAAGGAATTTAGTTTAAATAGTTCTAGAGATATTCTTTTGGCTCTAGCATTCTAAACTTTTTTAAAATTCATTTTTAAACTAAATAAGAATATTGTAAGAAACACTAGAGGTTTGCATTTGTTTTCTTTATAATATTTGGCAGTACTGAGCTAGTTTCCAATTTTGTAATTAGTAATTTTGAAAATAATTTCAATTAATCACCCAATATAATTCAACTAAACTACAATATATATGATGAGGGGACATAGAATCAAAAGTTGTATTAAATTTAAAAACATTAGTTATTTGACTCTTTTAATAATTTTTTTATCATGGATCATCAGAATCATAGCAATTAAAATGATCTTGTTCAACTCTCTC
Source organism: Homo sapiens (assembly GCF_000001405.40). Lineage (NCBI taxonomy): Eukaryota > Metazoa > Chordata > Mammalia > Primates > Hominidae > Homo > Homo sapiens. The sequence goes on along the minus strand of NC_000004.12, from coordinate 165,861,746 downwards.
ATTTCTAAAATGATTGAAATCCTGTTAATACCTTGTAGATCTGCAAGAGTGGCAGGTAGCCAATAAAAATCTTAGCTATTTTCATGTTCTTTGGTTTTAGGCTCCACTTTTTCCTTTAAGTTTATGAGTCAGGATCTGAGCTAGATGACTGAGTCTTCATTCATCACAAGTTCTTTATAATATATGTGAATATTCGAAACTATTTGAGACTCAATGCAGCCTGCCATAGGGAGCAGCATTACTTAGCTATGTCTCCACATGCAAAAGGAGATGGATAAAGATACTTTCTTTTATATGATTGATGAGGGACAACTGAGCAATGGCATTATATTCTCTATTTCTCATGTTTATTAAGTCATCTTATGCCTGAAACAGAACTGGTCACTTGCAAGCTCTCTATGATGCAGAGAGAAATTGATAACAAGTTTAATGCTATTCAAAGATTATATGGCATAATTTGTTCCTGTAGTTATTTTACTGCTCTATGAAGAAACTGACCCATAAAGTAAACCAATACTGTGAAGTAAATTCAGTTTTACTTTATTTCCAACTCAAGTCAACCAGCACTTTGCTGTGTACTCCAAGGAATAAAATAAAAAGGACATGGTTTCTGACCTAAAGAAAAGTACACTTTTATAACATAGAAATAGTCACCTACTAGCTGATTATTTGACTGCCATGGAAATCCAAAATGGCTTCACCACCATAAAATGAAGAGTAAAAGGAAAAGTATGTTTTAAGTTTGATGTTTTCTATGTCTGTTTTAATTCGTTCTTTCATGAACACAACACTAGGTAGAATAGGCTCTCTCTATTACTTCCTTCATAATTAAAGAATAGTTTGTAAACATTATGCTACATAAATCAAATGCTAGATATCCAATCTCCCTTCTAGAGTAATTTTATCATCTACTTTGTTGATTAGCTAAACTGAAAGGTGCACTCAATTTGGCAATGTTGGAGAAAATATTTTGCTTCTATTAACCTGTCAAAGAGTGTTTGCTCATAAGTGTTAAACTGCTACAAGAAAAATAAAATATTCAGCCTTTTTTTGATTGTTTGGATCATATTTTTTATCACTTAAAATTATGGTTTTATTTGCTACCTTTGATAAATATTTCTGAGTGCTAAGTGTACTAAGAGTTAGGGCTAGCAATATGGAATCTAAACAATTTGAAGACTTATCTCAGATGACTATTTTTTTAATTTTTTCAGATTGTTTCATTTTGTACAGGGATTAAGAAGAGTGATTTTTCCACCAGTGGAAGTTCTTTTTTAGAAAGATGATGCTTTGTCATCTGAGATGCTTGGTTCTTTCATGGATATTTAGGTTTTCCCCATGTCTTGAATCAAATTTGAAAATTTTATTTTTCTTAGAAAAGTATGGACCCCATTTCATTTGTTTTGTCAATGTTTTCAAATTTGTAAATACTTATGTGTACAGTGTTTTATCATTTCTCTGTTTTGGTACATCTCATGCCTTTTTTGTTCCCAGTTTTATAAATTTCGTATTTTACTTTATTAAACTAGTCAAAACATGTTCTTTTTCTAGTTAATTTATCTATTTCTTTGTTAATTCTTTTTAATTTCATGTTCATTTTATTGAAAATTGTTAACATCTTAAGTCTCCAGTTCATTTATTTCCATTTCTTCAGGAATGAGCAGATTTATGATGATGTAGTATACATTTGGAGTTCAGTTGCAGGAAGCAAAAACTGTTCTATTTTAAGCAGAAGGAAATCTGATGGAATTGTATGCTTAGAAAGATCTTGGAAGGCCTGGAGAAACAGGCTTGATTCTAATTCAAGAACGACCCCAGAATAAGATCACAAACCTGGCCTGCCGAGGGAGGCACCCATTGGATAGACTCAGAGAAGGAAGAATTAAGCTATCACTGGAAAGGTTGACTTCAAGAACACACCCCTTTAGCTTTGATGCAGAAAATCAGGAAGATGTTATTACCATCACATCTTCCTCTGAAGGAACTCTAGAGAACTGCTGCAGAAATAGTTTCTACCCTGAGAAACTGCCTCAGCACCAGGAAAACGCCTCCTTGACTTTCATCTTCTAGACCTCTGCTGCCCAACACAGCAGCCACTAATCACATGTGGCTACTGAGTACTGGAAATAGGACTAATCCAAATGGAGACATGCTCTAAGTTTAAAATACCACAAGATTTCAAAGACATAATGGGGAAAAAGAAAGAAAGAAGGTAAAATATTCCAATTTTTAAATCTTGATGACATAATGAAATGAAAATATTTTGAAATGTATTCAATATTAAATATATTGGGTAAAATAAAATGCATTCTTAAAATTAATTTTTAATTTTGGCTGTTTTCTTTTTGCCTTTTGTAATGTGACCACTAGAAGATTTAAAATTGTATAGGTGGCTCACACTATATTTCAATTGGGCAGTGTTGTTCTGGAACTCATAAGAACATATCTCTTAGCCAAATCAATTTCACACCCAAAAATTTAGGTGCAACAAAGTCATGGAAAAGTAGATTTTAGCCTTCTAGTTTCTGTCATTCAGAAAAATCCCCCTAACTGGAAGCTGAGAGATACTCAGTGTGCTAAGCCACTATATCTTCCACATGAAGTTTTTTGGGTTTTTTTGAGACAGTCTCGCTCTGTCGCCCAGGCTGGAGTGCAGTGGCGGACTTGGCTCACTGCAACCTCTGCCTCCTGGGTTCACGCCATTCTCCTGCCTCAGCCTCCTGAGGCAGGAGAATGGGACTATAGGTCCCGAGCTGGGACTATAGTTGCCTGCCACCATCCTGGCTAAATTTTTTTTATTTTTTTAGTAGAGACGGGGTTTCACTATGTTGGTCAGGCTGGTCTTGAACTCCTGACCTCTTGATCCACCCGCCTCGGCCTCCCAAAGTGCTGGGATTACAGGCATGAGCCACCGCGCCCGGCCCACATGAAGTATTTTTTAGGAAAAAGTTCAGGCAATACTTCATGAGGTTTAAAACTTAGTTTTCTCATTGCAATGATCTTTGATACTATGTAGTTTTATTGTAATTTTATTTTATTTACCCAAAATTATTTAGAATATTTATTTTTTAATCTTCCAGAGAGCTTATTTTTTTAACTTCCAAGTACTGCATTTAAAATTTTAAGTTTTCTTTACCAATTTATTATTAATTCTTATTTTATTATATTTTTGTGGTGTAATCAAATAAGGTAGCCTTGCACATTTTTTGTGTGTTTGGAATATAGTCACATTTTCTTTGTAGTCAAAATACAACCAGCTTTTGCAGAAGCCTCATGGGCATGTGAATGGAACAGGTTTTTTCCTACAGAAGCATAAAAAACTGAATTTGTATGTGTGAATGTCTTTATTTACATTAATCAAACTGTCAGCACCCTTGCTTTTGGTCTTGCTTTGTTGTTGTTTCATTTTGTTTTGTTTTGTTTTGGGCATGACACATCTTTTAAAGACAGGGATATGTAAACGTCGCCAATTTTGCTAAAAATGACTTACAATTAGGAAACAAAGTAAAACATTTAGCATAGGAGCAAAATATAGGCTGGTATGAGGTAAATCTAATTAAAAAGGTAATAATAGGAAACAAGAAAGTTTTGTAAAAAAAAAATTTGTCTGTGAGGATTGGAAAAAGGCACCACATAGGACAAGATATTTTATGTGATTTAAAATAGGAGGATTTGAGATTACAGAAAAGGAGGAGTTACAGCCCATGAGAGCAAATAACGATGGGCTTGTGACAATATAGTGAATGTTTGCCGAACCTAATGATACAGGTTTTCTGGAATAGAATTGTATATTGGGAAAAACAGTAATGTTGAACGATGTTTTCTTTTATTTTTAAATTTTATTTTATTTTATTTTTTTGAAATGGAGTTTCACTCTTTCACCCTGGAGTGCAGTGACGCAATCTCGGCTCACCGCAACCGCCGCCTTCTGGTTTCAACAGATTCTCCTGCCTCAGCCTCCCAAGTAGCTGGAATTACCGGCACCTGCCACCATGCTCAATGTTTTCTTGTATTGGTTGAACATTTGTATTAGTTCTCCTGGAAATACCTTTTTTTTAATAATCTTTGACTAGTTTTCAATTGAATTTTTTGGATTTCCCTTAAGGATTTGTACTTCTTACATAATCACTGCAAGTATTTTCCCCATGTTTGTTATTTTCTTTTTAATTTGTGTGACATATTTGCGACATACAGAAATTTTCATTTGTGATCTCAATTTAATTGCTCTTTACTTTGTGATTTCATTTTACTTCATGAAAGTAAAATGTTCATTGCTAAAGTTCAAATATTATGTGCACTTTGCTTTCTGCATTCTCTGTGTTTTTCCTAATTTAATAAACTGGGAAATCAATTTTCCTAACACATTCTTATTAAATATTCTTCCTTTCACTATAGTTTGTGACACTAAAGTCTACTTTTCAACTATAGATCCTGTTCTTTGGAAGTACCTGCCCATATAATTCTGGATCTACATTGTTCTAATCATTTTGGCTTCATATTATATATGTTTAATATGGTATATAGGGCCAGGTGTGGTGGCTCACACCTGTAATCCCAGCACTTTGGGAGGTCGAGGCAGGCAGATCACCTGAGGTCAGGAGTTCCAGACCAGCGTGGCCAACATGGTGAAACCCCGTCTCTACTAAAAATACAAAAATTAGCCAGGTGTGGTGGCGGGCACCTGTATTCCCAGCTACTGGGGAGGCTGAGGCAGGAGAATTGCTTGAACCCGGGAGGTGGAGGTGGCAGTGAGCTGAGATCGCACCATTGCACTCCAGCCTGGGCGAGAGAGCGAGACTCCATCTGAAAACACACACACACACACATTTTTTATATTTATATTTATTTTTTTATATATAGGGGACTATATATACATATATATAAATATATATATATATAAAATATATATAGGGTCCCCAAACCCCTAGCTGTGGACCAGTACCTGTCTGTGACCTGTTAGGAACCTGGCTGCACAGCAGGAGGTGAGGGGAGAAAAGTGAGCATTACTGCTTGAGCTCCTCCTGTCAAATCAGCAGGGGTATTCGATTCTCACAGGGATACGAACCCTATTTTGCAAACTGCACATGTGAGGAATCTAGGTTGCACACTCCTTATGAGACTCTAACTAATGCCTGATGATCTTAGGTGGAGCAGTTTCATCCAGAAACCAGCATCTCCACCCCGTCTGTGGAAAAATTAACCTGTCTCTGGTGCCTAAAAGGTTGGGGACCACTGGTATATCATATATATTATAGAACATACATTTTATTCAGTATACAGTTATTTGCTAGCACTATTCTCTCTTTAATCTTCTTGTTAAAAATGCATTTAGCTGTTTTTCCCTGAACTTCTAACAAGTTTAAGCTATTGAAGCATCCATGGAGTTTTTTTTTTTAAATTATATAAAACTACAGTTAATTAGGAGATAATCAACATCCCTATTCTAATATTTTTATTCAGGAACATGTTTCTTGTATTCATTTAAGTGAGCTTTATTGTCTCTCAGCAAAATTTCATACTTTTTTTCACAGAGTCACTGAACTTTCTTGATTAAAGTTATTCTTAGGCATTTTTATTGCAAATAAGTGGGATATTTTCTAACAGAATTGCTGGTAGCATATTTAGCTTTAAATTACAATCTGTGGACTCTGATTTTTCATCATTGTCACAGCCTAATTTCTTCATGTGATTACGAGGCACTCAATAAATAATAAAGATATGATTTTTGCCTTCCTTTAGTTAATGCTTATTAAAAGGGTAGTGAGTTTTGCTTACACACAAAAAAGTATTCTTCGGACCAAATTCATGTTCTGCCTTAAGTTTCTCAAGACTAGTTCTATTACAATACTGAATTAAGAGGCAGTAGAGGAAACGTTGGAGAAGGGTAGTTTGTGCTTCTCCTTGGCCTCCAGTTACTTATTCTGGAAAATTCTATCTTAGTTCTCCCAGTGAGAAGACAATAACTCTCCTTCGCTAGAAATACTACACAAATGTAGGAGAGAAAGGAAAAAACATATTTGTTTCTCATTATCTCTTTTACATATACCATCAGTTTGCATCAGCAGATGGGTCCACAGCAATGGAGTTGTTCAGGTAGGCCCCACCCTTGACTATTAAAATATTGACAGTCAAACAATAATGTTACAATGTGAAGTTTATTGAAAGGATAACAAAATGAGCATTTTCATTACAAATTAAATGTCATTTTAAATGTACCACATCAAACTTAATTTGTCTTGTTTTTATATATTGAGGTAGTTGTAATTCAAAGTATTAATGCCAGTCAGTAAAGCATATACCAATTAAACTTGGATATTTGCATACATTCTCTGTAGGTGTCAGCATTGCTTTGTAATAGTCTTATGCACAGAACTGTGTTTTCATCATGTCATAGGATGTAACTTTCATGTTAAATTCTAGTTAAACACCAGAAGGGCCTCTCTAAGTCTCTAAGACATCTCCTGGATTATTCTGTATTTCTTAATCACAAATGTGACTGAATGATTAATCAGCTTGGAAAAAAATGGATATTTATTGTCTTTCTTTAGGCATGGATAAGTACTTTCAAGGTTTTACGTGGCATTCTCTGGATATTAAAATAAGATGCTTTGAAAATATACAATACAGCATACATAGAACCTAATTCTATTTGGCATATTTAGAAACGACATTCATTATTTATTGTCGGGAGAACAGTTAACATAGCATTCTATGGAGTGATTTAGATTGCAGACACCACCACATCACTGTTTTCACAGTTTGAACTAATTATACACAGACTTTTTATTGGATAAAGTTATTAGGATTCAATCTAGGGAGTGCCTATTTAAGAAGGAAAGACATATACAAATTTATGTTCACACTAGGAGGGTATCTATTCTTGGGGCAATTTTCTGATTCAGAGACTTAGAGATGAATGAAATCCTAAAGTAGTAGAATCTGAATGCTTTGTGCATACGAACTTGCACCTGCAAGCAGTCCTGCTATGGACAGCCTCTGTCATGAGACCTGTATTCATTGTGTACATGGCTCTCATTCTCATTTTTTTTTTTTTTTTTTTGAGATGGAGTCTGGCTCTGTCACCCAGGCTGGAGTGCAATGGCGCGATCTCAGCTCGCTCACTGAAACCTCTGCTTCCCAGATTCAAGCGACTCTCCTGCCTCAGTCTTCCAAGTAGCTGGGATTACAGGCACATGCTGCCATGCCTGGCTAATTTTTTTTTTTTTTTGTATTTTTAGTAGAGACGAGGTTTCACTATGTTGGCCAGGCTGGTCTCGAACTCCTGACTCTGTGATCTGCCTGCCTCCGCCTCCCAAAGTGCTAGGATTACAGGCATGAGCTGCTGCGCCCAGCTATGGCTCTCATTCTCTACAGGATGGTGGATAATACAAGCATGTTGGAATTACTATGGAGGCACAATGCTTACAAGAAACCCAACTTGCAAAACTAAGATTACAGGTATTTATAATTGTAAATGATTGCATATTATAAATTGTAAACGACTACTGTAATTAAAAATGTAACAGAGAAAAATCAAGGTCTCAGAAAGCACATAGCCAGGTGTAACTATTCAGTGTGGAAATCATTTTTAGTAAGGGACAATAAGCCTTTCTGTTCACCCAGTTTCTTTAAATGGTACTCTAGTATCTAGCAAAGTTACTAGCTGCCTTCTTCTATGTAATGGTGTGAGAAAATGTTAGTAAATACTATCCATTTTTCCTTCAGTAAATTATGCCAGGATAATTTTATAATCTATTTTGCAGCTCCTTCTGAGGTAGACATTCTTTGGAACATCTGCAATAGAGTAGTTCAGGTGTGAAAGAAATCAGGAGCAGTTTCTCTTTATATACCACACAACATATGGACTCTCACTTGTAGCTGGCAGAGATGCTTCTGCAAAGAAAAAAAAAATAGAAATTTCCGCCAAATTTCTCCAGAAATTGAATCCTTATGAACCAAATTTGATTATTTTCTCATATAAAAGTGAAATTAAAAAATGTGACATACGGAAACACAGTATTTAGATAATGCCACTCAGAGCAGCTGATTGCCAACATGAAGGTATTTGGAGGGAAACTTTTAGAAAGGTATTATCATTCTAGGTTGGAAATCCAAAACAAAAAACTTTTTTTTCTAGTATTCATTTAAATACAATTAACTTTTGATGCATTTTCATGAGAGCCATTTTCTGACTCATAAATGCTTACAAGATAAGAGGATCATCTTCTAGAGTCTAATGGTCAGATAACAGTAAAACAGTTTTGGTTGTTTGAATCACTGGGACAGAAAGTATACAATGTCAGAGCTGGAAAGGACCTAAGGGACAATCTAATCCAGTACTTTCCTCCTTATAGGTTAGAAAACTAACTCTCAAAGAGACTTAACCATTCACCCACAGTTTCACAAGACTAGTTCCATCCAGCTAGGCCTCCTGGTTGTTATTTCAGTATTCTTTTCATTGATCCCAGAAACCTATCGATCAGTTTTAGACTTGGAATGTCTAAACAGAGTCAGATTGTACCACTAGATATGACGGGTTTAGGTGTTTTAAATAATTTATTCAATTAAAACTCAAAGTAGATGTATGTATTTACTAGTTGCCCTTTAGATAGAATAAACGAACTTTGGAATATTTTAGTGAAATACCACAGTTTCACATAAAAGCAGCCTTAAAAATTAAGGTAGCAATTGAAGGAATAACTAAATTGGGCCTAATCTTTGGTGTTCATGTGTATTTTGATACTATTTTTGACAGAAATTTCCTTTTTCCTAAATGATTTGTCAATAGTATTAATTATGACTACTGAATTCTCTAGACTGATTGTTAAATATCCTTCTACAAAACAGAAACATACTGGAATTTCTGTGTGGGGATCCATACATATATTTTATTGGAATTCCCACAATGTTCTGCAGGTCTTTAAAAACAAAAACTGCACCCGAGGAGATTTCTACTGATAGACCTATATTTACACCAACTTGTTTTATTACACTTGCAATTCATACAGGAGACTCCATTTCTGATACTTGTTAGATCATATTATCACTGTCCGTTGAACATAACTTTTAAAACATTGTGGCTGAAACTTGGGTGAAAATAGATCACTTTTTTTTTCCTGGCAACAAATCTCTATGTTAATCAAATTTGCCAGTTGAACTTATTTATTGTTAGATTGTGTCACAAACTAGAACCCACTATTCAAATCCCAGAGGGCACATATGCTTAATAACATCTTTTCTTCATCATGAATATATTTCTAGGATGACTATGTAGTCTCACTTCCCGTGGACAGTCTCGGTTTCTTCCTCTTCCTGCATAATAATAATAGCATCCCTGTCACTATCAAAAGATGATAATATATGATCAGTATAGTGATAATGCAAACAAGAAAAGTACAGTATATGCAATCCTCCTATGTTCAAAAAAGGTAAAACATGGAGGAGGTTCTGCTTAGAGTTTATGTGAGTCTGATGTTGCTGCTATAATTTAAAACAAAGCCTCTTGTGGCTTCTGCCTATGTACTTTACTATTGTTCATAGTCATAATGAGGTTATTTTGGGGGTCAACATGTTATTTGTTCCACAAAAGCTTCAGTTTAGCCTAGGAATGATTACAGTGGATTGCAAGGTCAGTGTTGCTAATAATCTTTATCTTTTCTCTCTAAAAAGTTCTGACTCTTTTCCAAAAATCTACATGCTATAGCTTCTGACCTTCTTTCATTACCACAGATACAAAGCTTTTCTGCTTTCTCCTTTATTCCTTATCATAAAAGAACATCTGAGGGAGTTCTGAGTTAAAAGAGCTTTCAAACATTGGCCAGCATCTTCAGACAGTACAGTTGGCAAAAAGCATGGTAAAAATAGCTCATTTACATCAGCCTCTCTGTCAGGACTACTTTAAAATTAGCAATACATTAATTTTTATATATTATGTTACTTGAGCTTATAATCTTGAATTATTTAACTTGAGGTTTGGAGATGATCGAGGTTGACAGTAAAAGATAATTCATAGAACCATATGTAATTACACCGTTTAACTTGCATTTTAGGAGAAAAAAATGATATCTCGATTGCTGCCGGATGTTGTAAGATGGCTGATAATAATTATAATACTAATTTGCTAACTGGGCTCTGGCAAAGGGGCACTGTTTCTTCCCATGAAACTGTGTGGCGTGTCTTAGCAGTCACAGCAGTCCTGGCACGAAAGATCATGAATGAAAAATTCATTATCTTAGGGGCATTCCAAACATTCTTATACCTAGAATTCCTCCGGATCATTACAGATTAATAGTGGCTTTCTGTGTGTGTGTGTGTGTGTGTGTGTGTGTGTGTAGTGTATGGCTATATGTGGCAATGTGTATATGGGAAAGAGAGAGAAAAAAAATAGCTTTTAACCACATTCACATGCCTGGAATGGCTCTTGCCAACCTAACCACCATAGTAGCTCACAGAGCAAGAAATGATTTAAGAGGAAAAAAGGGTTTCCCTTCTGAACTGGAAGATACAAAGGAAGATACAAGTGACAGAAAAAATTAATACAATTAAAATGTTAATGTACAGTAATAGTTTTGGTATAATATATCCTTAAATAAAAAAAGGAATCTATATGTAATTTTTCATATTGCTTAAAAAAATTCATGATAAAATATTTCATTTGACTCGTGCTATATCAATGTAACATAAGAGACTCAGTTAGAGGACTGCGTGATTTTTCAGAATTCAATTAGAAACCTGAAAAAATTAAATTCCTTACAGTTAATACTGAATTATAAATAAAATATCAACTGTGTCAAGGAATTACAATATAATCAAGTCATACACTGGAGAGACCATTTGATTAATTAAACTTAAGGCTAATATGAGGATATACACTTGTAGGACCTCGCATTTCAAAGAGATAATACTGGGATTCAGCTTCCCTAAGTGCAGAGAGGAGAAACAAAGCTATATACTTGAATGGCCTGTGACACTGCCTTCATTGCTTGGCCCAGAAATTATGGCATCAAGCAAATGACCTGGCCTCTTTTAAGTGTATTATTTTGTCAGATTGTTGCCCAATGTTGAGCCTGCATGACTTTCAGTATTCTTCAACCCTCATTAAGTTATTAAAACTCTAAGCAGAATAATGAAAAGGAATACTAATAATAAAGAGAACAATTCTAATCTGGCGAAGTATCCAGATTAGGTAAAGCACAAAAAAACAAGGAAAGATGAGTACAGCGATATCTAAGAGATTACTGAATAGAAGCTATATAGTTAAATTATCTTGATGCCTTCTTTAAGATTTTAATTATTATTTTAACTTATTTTTTAAATCTGTGCACACTTGGTCTTCCCTTTAAGGCTCCTTGTGGTCTCCTCGGGAGCCAGGTAGTCCTGACACACTTGGGTGCAACCAACATGGTGATATGGTTTGGCTCTGTGCCCCCATAGAAATCTCATTTTGAATTGTAATCCCCAATGTTGGAGGTAAGGCCTGGTAGGAGATGATTACATCATGGGGGAGGATTTCCCCCTTGCTGTTCTCAAGATAGTGAGTGAGTTCTCATGAGATCTGGTTGTTTAAAAGTGTGTGGCACCTCCCCCTTCACTCTCTTCCTCCTGTTCCAGTCATGTAAGACGTGCCTGCTTCCCCTTCGCCTGCCGCCATGATTGAAGGTTTCCTGAGGCCTCCCTACCCATGCTTCCTGTACAGCCTGCGGGACTGTGAGCCAATTAAATCTCTTTTCTTTATAAATTATTCAATCTCAGGTAGCTCTTCATAGCAGTGTGAGAATGGACTAAGACAACTGGCCTTCGCCTTAAGTTCCTAAATTCATGTGGGTGTACCTGCTCCCTGGATCTACACCTTTTTGGTCTGGGCTCTGAACCTTCTCAGTAGTGGGCCCTAGGCTTTGATCCAGGCCACAGGGAGAAATCCTAGCATCATTTTTCCCTTCCACTGCTTTCCAACTCACTGCTTAGCTAAGGAGAGGTAGATACTATGAACTTGGGAGTTGATAAGGTGGACACTTTGGGCTTAAGTTTTCTAGAAAATTAGGCAATCATAGTTGTAATATTCCATATGTCCATAAGCATCAAACAACTCTGCTGCAAACAAAAAGAATAATCTTTTTCTTGAAGTCTAGTAAGGAAGGGTTAGAGAGCTTCTTCTGATATTTCAAAGTAGGAATTTTCCTATCATATAAACCTTGACTATATTAATATGTATATCAACATGTATTATATTAATTGTATGTGCACACTATATTAAATATATATCAATATAGTATTTATTTGTACATTTATATATTGACAAAAATTATGTTTGAGAATGTGTTGTAAGTTAGCCTAACATAAGAGAAGTGACCTTGTTTTAATTTAACTTAATGAACATGGGAAAATCTGTTCTATTCTTTGTAAAATAAAACATGTCTGTAATCCCAGCACTTTGAGAGGCAGACACACGAGGATCACTTGAGCCCGGGAGTTCGAGACCAGCCTGGACAAGATAGTGAAAAGTATCTCTACAAAAAATAAAAATAAAAAATTAGCCAACTGTGGTGGTATGTGCTTGTAGTCCTAGCTATTCAGGTAGCTGGGGCAGGAGAATCGCTTGAGCCCAGGACTCCAAGGCTGCAGAGAGTCAGGATGGTACCACTGCACTCCAGCCGAGGTGACAGAACAAGACCTTGTCTCTAAAAAAGCATACAAGCAAGCAAGCAAACAAAAACCTACTAAATTAGAATATTCAACAAGGTAGTTGTTTTTCTCTCTGCTTTTAAGTTCCGGCTAGTCCATTCTGGAAAGACAGGGACTCTTTCAATTAACATACTCTGCATGGCTAAGTTTTCACTAAGAAAATAATTCTAGATCTAATTAATGTAAATATCTAATAGCAAATTGTAATCCATCTTCACAATCTGTAAAATGTTTTAGACTATGCTGAGAACACACTATTTTCTAGCCTTCAACATCAGCTAATTATCTGTTGGAAAAACTGAGACTAATAATTGCTCCAAAGTTGGCAAATTTGAAGCCAGAAGCTTCTGACCCAGATAAAGATAATGACAAATTTACTGTAAATATTTTTCTCTACATACATTTATTTATTTATTCATAGAGTTGTGGCACAATAGAAACATATTTTCAAAACTGTTACTTTATTTGTACCCATGAGAACAGAAGATTTATAAATTGATTTAAAAAATTTGAGATTTTCTTTAAAAGGCAAGGTATTACAATTCTAAATTGAAATTCTTCCGGCAAAACATTTCCTATTGATGCATAATGATGAACGTATGTATTTATGGGGTAGATGTGGTTTGAAAAATGCATACAATGTATACAATGTATAATGATGAAATCAGGGTAATTAGAATTCAAACATTTATCATCATCTCCTTGTGTTGACAACATTCCACCTCTTCTCTTCCAGCTATTTGGAAATATAGAATGCATTATTGATATCTATAGGTACCTTACTGTGCTATGAAACACCAGAAATTATTTATTCTATCTAATTGTATTTTTTGTACCATTAACCAGCCTCTCTTCATTGCCCCCTTCCCAGCCTCTGGTAACCACCATTCTATTTGCTACTGCCATGAGATCAACTTTTTTAGACTAAGTAGGATTTTTTGAGTGAATATTATTTTGTTTATTTTTGTTTGTTTATGATACTTTTAAAGGTTCTCTTAAGGAACCACAGCCTGAAGAAAAGTTATTTGCAATAATGCCATGTCCTCAGTAGGTACTTGATAAATTCTCAATGATGATGATTAATCCACATCATACACAGCCAAGACTCCAGCGCCTCACACTGAATTTGGTTGAATTGCTGAAAGAAGAATGTCAAGTACACTTCTTTCCTGTTTTATTTTGTTATGTAATCTATTTAATTTATGGTCTTTTAAGGAATAATAGCAAGCCTAACTTTTCAAATGTCCATATAGGGAAGCAGATTGTGCGTACATGTGTGTGTGCGTGTGTGATCTACAGGACATATAAACAGATTCCCATGGCTAGGCATCCCTGTGGTTTTGCAAGTGTGTGCACTCTTGTGATTGTTCGTGTGAGTGTGTATGTGCATAAGTTACAAAGAGAAGACTTGTCCACAGTCATGTGTGGTTCACCGTGGAGGAGCCAACCAGATATTCTTCAGGCAGTTTTCACTAGCTTGCCTACAGTCTTCTAGAGTTTTCAAGAGGGTATTATTGTTCTAAGATCAATTATTACATTTTGGCTCAAGAAGATCTGATAACAAAACAGGATCAAAATGGATGTACATCCTTTATAAAAATGTTTTGCAAAGTGTATTGAATTCACTTTCTTATTCTTTCCTCAAGTAGTCAAAACCCACAAATGATTGAAGCCAGAAGATAAAATCTGAGTGCGTATTGGCCCCAGATGAAAATACTGAGTTTTGAAAATACTGAGTTCATGCTGTGAACACAGGCACTGATAGAAGACCTAGGTCAGGCATGAGAGAAGGCAAATGATAAGAGCCATGGAGATTGACACCTGAAAATCTTTTTTTTTTGGAGATGGAGTCTCGCCATGTTACCCAGGCTGGAGTGCAATGGCGTGATCTCAGCTCACAGGAACCTCTGCCTCCTGGGTCCAAGACATTCTCCTGCCTCAGCCTCCCGAGTAGCTGGGATTACAGGCATGCACCACCACGCCTGGCTAATTTTGTGTTTTTAGTAGAGACAGGGTTTCACCATGTTGATCAGGCTGGTCTCGAATTCCCGACCTCAGGTGATCTGTCCGCCTTGGCCTCTCAAAGTGCTGGAATTACGGGCGTGAGCCATCGTGCCCGGTTGACACTTGAAAATCTTAAATGTCAGTTATGTCCACTCTTCCTCACCTCCACTCACAAGACATTTTTTCTTCCAAAATATTGGACTTTAATATTGTCAAGGCCTGAAAAGTATTGCATCAAGGAAATGGATTTTTTCCCAAATGTGATTGGAGGCCTAAAGTCCAGATGCAGGTGGAGATGACACCACGGAGGACAATTTCCTGATGCTATTGGAAAGAAAAGTGACTAATTTAAAAGTATTTTTAATCTTATTATCTATGCCAAAATGTCAAGTTTTATCAAATGTTAAATGTTGCTTCTTCAAATCCATGATCTTGAGTTGTTACTGTTTTATTAAAGATTTTCAGTCTGACCTAGATTAGTGATATGAGTTATTTCACAGTATGATTTGACAAGTACCTCTATGTCTTATTGCTTAAGAAAAATAAAACCTGTTTAAATATCTCTTTTATTAGAATGAAAATATTAATGATGGCAGTAATTCATGCAAAGTATGAATGTTTATTGATCAGTACCAGATTCTTTAAAGTACAAGCCTTTCCTTTTAGGTTGAAAGTATGGACCAACTTTTAAAATACATAAAACCTAGTACTTCATTTTTGTTTTATTTATTACTTTTTATAAATGACCATTCCTGAGTTAATAGTTTACATCTCAATGTGTTGTTTAGTTTCTAGCTACAATATCTGGAATTTCCGAAAGAGATAGTGAATTAAACTTATTACGGAAGATAGAATTTGGAGTTCCTAATGTCTCCAAATTTGAATAAAATTTAAAATATACCTCTTGATTGTACTTAAGTTTCAGAACTCTGGCTAGTGGTTAAGAAAGCAGGGGAGGAAGAAGTTAAGTACTAAAAAATTTTGTTGCTTAGGACTTCAAAATAAGTAAATTCCTGCCATGTTTCTTGAGTTTACACACTGAAATTTAAGATTAATTTTAGTCAGATCATTCTCTTTTTTGTCCTGTTGTTTGTGCTTGAAATAGAACGAGTTATTTTTATCATTTTATAATTAAATGCTATATTTTTGATATTTTAAAACCTTAAATTTAATACTCCAGAGACAGAAGGATTTTGGAAAACAGTGAGAATAAATAAGAAAAGACTCATTTCAAATCTTTACTTTGAAGATAAAGAAATTTCAAGAGCATTCAATTTCACATGATTATGTTTTGAGTACCCTCTGGGAAGGACCAATAATTACAATGGTGCATCTTAGAAGTCTTTCTATATATTTTGAAACTTTTGCCTGGTATATTGTGTTAATTCCAAACTTTTTTTTTTTTTTTTTTTTTGAGACGGAGTCTCGCGCTATCGCCCAGTCTGGAGTCCAACGGCACAATCCTGGCTCACTGCAACCTCCGCCTCCAGGGTTCAAGCAGTTCTCCTGCCTCAGCCACCAAACTTTTGTGTACAAGACTACACTGAACTCTGGCAAGCCATTCTTCCGTAACATTGTATCCGAAGATGTATCACCTGAATTCCGTGTCTTTGGAAGCTTTCAGGGATACAAGTTTGCTTATACATTTGTCCATGTTGCTGCAGAAACACTGTTCCATATGGTTACCTAAGGTGTTTTCCCCCAATAATATGTATTATCTTTGATTCTGATTCAAAATAATGCATTTACTAAAGTCCTGACTTAGCTGCAATATTCCTAAAACATTTGTGCTGAGAGAAAAAAATGTTTTGCCTTGTAAAATTTCTAAAATGTTTTTGCTGAGAGAAAAAAATTAAATATTTTGGTTCTTAAATAGGACATAGACTTTTCTCAAATTAACAACAACAAAAAGCATTCTAGGCTATGGTGTCTGTCAGAGATGCATGGAGCTGTGCTCCTGTCTCCTGGAAGGCCTGGGTAGAATTCCCCTAGCTGCTATAAATATTTCAGAGATCCTGGCAGCTAAAATATCTCTAAGTTAGATGGGACTGATGATCGCTTTTAGCCAGGTTAAAACAGTACACACTTAATCATAGTCCTTGTCTTCATCATAAAGATAACACTAAAAACCAGGAATTATAATAGTAATAATAAAATATCAACTACTATTTATTAAGTACTTAGATACTGCTATATCTCATTTAATCTATGTAACAGCATTATGCGGTAGGCACCAAAGTTTTCCCATTTTTTAGATAGGAGAGCTAATATTTATAGAGGTTGAGTAATAGCCCTCATCATATAGCTAAAAACAGTTGAATCATGAGCAAATGTTGTCCATTGTTAAGCCTGCACTCCTCACCACCACCCTGTTCCTTGCCATCTAAAGGTTTCAGTTTAGTCCAAAATTACTCAGAACAAATATCTGGGTAAGTGAGAGGAGATACACTGCAAGTTTTCAGTATCTCCTCTGTGCATGAGAGCTCAGGAGCAGGTTTTTATTCCTAAATATAACTTAAAGTAGAGCTTTTGAAGAGCAGGAAGGAAGAAATTATCGTTTGCAACGAAGCTGTTACAATACGACCACCTTAAAACTAATTTTCTGATGCCGTGTGTGTGTATATGAGTGTGTGTATGTGAGCGTGTGTGTGTGTGTGTGTGTGTGTGTAGGATACTCAACGAACAATCAACCTCAGAAATTTGGCTCTGATCCATCCTGGGCTGCCAATAGAGACCTGGCCGGAAAATGAACTCCATTAATTAGAGTGCAGAGTCAAACATGGTTTTATTCATTGGGCCAGACACAAGTCAGAAAACAGGCTTGATGTTTTTCACATTAAAGAAAAAGGATGCACAGAAGTTACATTATTAGGAAATTTTTAAAATTTGATTGAGAAATGTTTCAAAAATGTCTATGTAGGAAGGAAAGTATTTTTCAAGCAATGCGTATATAAAATTAATTAAAATATAATACAAATAAATCTTTCTATTTTAATTAGCTGGAATCCAGTGTAAATTTTTTAAAAGGCAATAATGGGAGGCAGAAGGGCTTGCATGCTAGGAAGAGGATACAATGGGGTGTCAACAAAAGAACAGAGCGTTCTGAATAGGACTTAAGATTGAAGTGAGGGAGTCAAGTGCTTCTCTAGCATTCAGGAGCAGGAACTGGGCTAGATGAAGGCCTGAAAATACTAAATGTGAATACTCACCCCAAACTAATTTTCAACATATTCATCAAATATTTTATGTTTCCAAAAATAAAACTTTTTAATTTTTTTTGAAATAGCAAATATCAAATTTTAAAAATGGTACCCGTGCTTTGCTCTTGCTCCTGGCATAGCACAGTTTACTTATTGGGTAATCCTGGATAGTGCGGCACTAGGAAAGGGAACTCGGAGGTGCAGAAGGTGCTGGAGACCAGCATGAACGCTGTAAGTGGCGCAGACATCATGCTAACAAGAGTGGAGCTTTCCCATAATAGAGGTGTATTGCTTCTGGGAGAAAAAGTGAACTAATTGGTTCCGAGTTGAATGGTTCTAACAGAGAAGGTGTTTAGTCCTGGTTTGCAGTGAGGCATATGCTATGTGAGATGTGGAAGACTGTGTTTCTTTATCTAAGTAGTTCTGAGAATGATAACAGGAAGTCAAACCGTGATCCAAAAGGTATATTTTGAATTCCTCTATCCCATCAATAATAACTTTCATTTTTTCTTTCACATTTATCGTGGCTCTCATTTTCCAACCTTATTTGTTTAGAGGAGGCTTAGTAAGCCTAAACCAAGGCATTTGAACACATACACACTATTTCACTATCACTCACACTTGAAAAAATACAGAGGAGAAAACCTATTAGGTTAGTTGTATAGCATTTTCAATATGGTTATTGTTACCATTATTGATTTTTCATTATAAACCTTTACACAAATAAAAAGAGGTATGAATTTTACAGGGGTCTTGATCCAATGGACACACATGGTATTATGAGTTTAGTTTCTCTTAGAATGGTAACTAACCAGAAATGTAATCTACAAAATTGTCAATAAAATATTTAACATTACATGTTCTCCCATAGTGAGAAATCAGACAATCTTTTTCTGTCCTTCAGACAATTGAGTTTAGAATAAAAACAGTCAAGACAGCAAAAATGTCACTTTCCATGAGGGCATTTATTATTCCTTGACAGTGATGGAAGTGTATTCAGAGATCTAGAGTGCCCTTGTGTGACATTAACCTGCTGATGATCCATTCCATTCACCTAAGCTGAATTAATAGTCAGAAAAAAAAACTCAGGTAAATATTAGCAGAGGAGGCTTTCTTATTCTTTTTATTTTTTTATTTTTTTGGTGGGGAGTAGAGATGGGGAGGAGCCAACATTTTGTGAAATATCCATTTAACAGAGAAACCTCCTACATAGGATCTGAATCTATTTTTAGTGCTTTCTTGCTCACGATTTTACAAAGAATGAGCAATAGGCCAATATAAGCCCGTGTATTTAGAATCTATTTCATTTGGAAAGAGAGGTAAGCTACGACATCGGGTTACCAGGTACTTTGCCGGCTTTACATTTGCTTATGTTTGTCCCTCCTGGCAGTTGCTTACACTGATTAGGTGCATTAATTCAAGGGCAAAATTTCTTAGTCACAAAGAAAATTGCATTAGTGCCCAATGACTATGGGATCATTCAGAAAAATAACCTGAGGATTTATGCAGCACCAAGTTAGCTGGATGTTTGGCATTGATTTTTTTAATACTAGATACGATTGTATTTTCTTAAAGATTGAAGAATACTTCTCCAGCCTACATTTACTAGGTAACAATTTCATGAGTCTTTTGTATTATGTTTTTCTCCATATAGGAAAAAAATGAATATCAGTTTTTAGATTAGACAGGCAAGAGGAAACACTTGAACATACCCTGTGTATACCAGGAATTGCACAAGATGCTTCCCATAATTTACTTGATTTAGTTCTCAGAAAAGCAACGTGTAAGCATTATAATCTTCATTTTGTGGTTAAATAAACTAAGAGTTACAGAGAAGGTTATTTGCACACAGTGTTTTAAATTCAAAGAGCTTCTGTTAGAATTTATTATGATGGATTTTAAAAGTCCTGCATATCATGCCGTATTGTACAATCCCACGGAAACAACTGTTTGCTGCTCATAGGCACATGAGACACTATAGTTGTGATTCAATAGTACAAGCATTCAGTATGTGAATGACGTTTTTCTGCCTTCTAATCCTAGATGTGAGCTAAATATGATTGAGTGTCTTTGGTTATATGGGAATTTAAATAATACTAATTTGATGTCATTGTTATTGCTGCATTTTATAATATTGTTAGACATATAAACAGAACTGAAATGTCACTGCAATACTATTTTTTTGTCATTGCTCAGTTCTCCATTGACTTTATCATATAAATTAAACTTTGGATTCCTCTAAGATATTTTTTCTTGTCTAATACCTCTTGTGATTTTTTTCTCTCTTTTTAAGGCAGTGTAACTATACCTACTTTTGAATATACTGTTATGCCAGCTCCTTCTAGAAACTAGTCTCACAGAGTCAATAATTTCACACTGAAGTAACCCAACAAAATGTTTGATAATACACAAATATACTAATAAACCATACGGTTTTCTCACTAAGAGTGATTCTGTCACCAATGATTGAAATAGCTGCTTTTTCCCTCTGCCACAACATTCTGGATTTTTTGTTGTTTCTCTTGTCTTCTCTCTTCAGTGACCTCCCCCTCCCTCTCTTCTCCCTTGCATCTCCTCCTCCTCCTCCTCTTTCTTCACCCCTCTCTCTTTTCTTTCTCTCTCTCTCATATGTTCTCTCTCCCTCCACCCCCTTTAGTAATCCTATCTCTGTCTGTATTTCTCCCCCTTTCTTCCCTTCCTCCAGTAAGGTAGTTTTTTACAACCTTGCCTTTTTCTAATTAACACCTACAATGGGCTGGCCATCGTCCTAGACTTTAAGCACACAAAATATTGACTCAGTTCATGTTTCCCTTCTTTCTTATTCTGTTAAACTTCCTCTCTTCTTGAATCCTGAGCTAAAGACTCCATGAGAGCTCCCTCAATTTCCTCCAGACAGAAATAATCCTTCTGTATTTCTGCTGAAAGAGTATATTAATTATAATATTTTGTTACAATGAAATAATGTTAGTTGGGGTTGGAGGTGGTATGATGTGCGCCCCATCATGGAGATTAGCACAGGATTAGAATTTTGTGGTAGAAAATTTACTAATGGGATATGTTAAATGTGGATAAGCAAAAGGTGACTACATCCTGTAGCTACTCAGACTGCCTGTCACTTACTCTGGAGAGCAATATGGAAGCATGGAAGATGTGTGAACGATGTTAGTCTCAGCATCCAGAGACCCTGGTCCAGGTCTTGCTTCTGTCTCTTGTTAGCTCCTAGCACTGAGTAATGGATTTTATCCTTTTGAATCTGAATTTCTGTACTTCTGTATTCTGAACATCTGTAAAATCGATAAACTGTCTAATAATTAGACAACTCCTAATGTCCTTTCCCTTTATAAATCCTAGGATGTGAGAAACTTTAAATGCCTTGAGGAAGTAAATCTTGGTGGTTTATCCACTCCTGTGTTATAAACTACCTTGTCTCCAAATGCCAGCAAGGTTTAAGTATACCTGATTTAGTAAAGTTATTTTCTCTTAGTCTTACTTGCTGTCTGGCTGTGGTAGGTAAGGTTTTTGTTTTGCTTGGGTCTTGTTCCTGTTGCCTCTCACTGTGTCTTGAAAACAATACAGTAGTTTGAATGAAGTGAGATGAGGATAAATATTGTCCTCACAGCAATGGTAGCCAAAGTTCAGCAAGTAGAGAGTGGGATAATGGCCCATTTCCTCTTTTGTATAAGCATGGGTGGTAGCCAAAGGTGCTCTGTTGAATTTTGCTTCCTGTATACACTATGTATCATTGTGTGTGCTACTCGGGCCAAACTTTAGAGACTATGCCAAGTGGAATTTCACACCAGGTTTGGAGGAAGGGAAAGACAACAAAATGAACTTACTTCCCCTCTCTTCACCCTATTCCCACCATTTACCAAACAAGAGGGAAGACTCATATATAACAAACATTTTCAGTGGAACACAACTCTAATTGGCCAAAAGGATGAATCAAATAATGATTTGTTGTTTTTGCCTTGTGTCCCAGCAAGAATTCCAGGCGGTCGTAATCAACTTGATCATGACGGAGGGAACATGCTTTCCTGCCCTCTACTGACAGAAACACTCATTATGACTAATTTCCCAGCTTCCAGTTATCTTGTGATCTAATAACACACCTGTAAATGGGGCCTTGTGTACTTCCAGATTTAGTGTGGATACCCAGATAATGCTGAGGATGTATGAGATGAAAAACAAAACAAAACAAAACACACACACACGCACCTCATCAGTTAAGTGGAAAGGGGATTTGGAAGGAACTAAGCATAACTACAGAATCATGTCAGGAAAAGTCAGTGCAGGAAAAAGATAGAGGACAGCCAGCAAAGGAAAGGAGCCCCAGACAGCTGCAGAGGTAGAGAATCATTGTTTAAAAGAGAGCTTTGGCAAAAATCGAACCAACGAATAGGTGAATTGGAGAGCAACCAAAAATGTGGGGTGGATGGCTTATGCTCTGTGCCTCAGTGTTGCCATCTTAAAACGGCGTCCACATGAAAGGGTTACTTTGGAGGTTGAAGGAAGTAACACAAAACATTTAGCTTCATATATATTAAGTGATGCAAAAATAGAAATTATTGTTATTAATATAATGATAGTAAAGAACGGGTGATTATTTCATGAACAACTTAAGAAAAAGCATCGTTCTTTTGGCCTAGAAAAGGGAGAGATTGTGGAAAATAAAAGGGTGTAATCATCTTAAACTACAGAAAGAAGAATGGAGGTAAATCCTAGGGTGAGAAAATAAAATATAAAAGACTTCATAAATACAATTATGTATAATTTCATTTTATCTTGACACAGAGAAGTAAATTAAAAAAGGGAATTAGAAGCAAATCTAACAATCCAAGATTTTCACATTGAGAATTTTCAATTACATTTAAAAAAAGTCTTAGGCAGGAGTCAGAGCAACTAAAAAAATAATAAATATGGAGGCAAAGGCCAAACAAAGGAGAACAGGGAAATCCTGGAAACTTCTATTAGCCTGCGTAACTTCCTTCCCAATTATACTCATGGAAGATATATTAGTAGAACAATTTGTAAACAGCTTGATATATTCCAAATCTGACCAATCACAGCTAGCATTTTTTTTTAAGCCAGGTCATCATTGTCCTTACCAGGGATACTGGTATCTCTATGTGAGAAATTTCCAATGACTGTGGAGTTAGAATTCTCTGGCAGAATCAACTGGCTGCTTTCCATGATAGTATATCCTCTCCAGACTGAGTAAAGGCATTGTCTCATTTCAATGAACTGAAAGTGTGTTTAATTATGAGATGGAGCTCTAGTGTGCAGTAAATAAAATAATTTGTTAAATCAGTCTTTCACTTTCTGAGAGTTTTAGATGTCTGGTGAAAAAAGGGCAAGAAATATATATACACAAAAAAAGCTCATGAATAGAAACATCTTAGGACACTGTGTGTGTGTACCCCACAGACATATATACCATATCACAATATGTATATGTTTTCCCATAATGGAGGGGTATTGTTATTATAGTTGTTGCTGTTAAAAAAGAAAAATGGGCTGGGCGTGGTGGCTCCCTCCTGTAATCCCAGCACTTTGTGAGGCAGAAGCAGGCGGATCATGAGGTCAAGAGATTGAGACCATCCTGGCCAACATGGTGAAACCCCATCTCTACTAAATATACAAAAATTATATTAGTAGTGTAGTCCCAGCTACTCAGGAGGCTGAGGCAGGAGAATCCCTTGAACCCGGGAGGCAGAGGTTACAGTGAGCTGAGATCATGCCACTGCACTCACTCCAGCCTGGTGACAGAGTGAGACTCTGTTTAAAAAAAAAAGGAAAATAAAGAAAAATGAAAAGTTGGAGAGGAGGCTAAGTATAAATTGTGGAAATGCAGACATTGGAAATGTGTGCTCTCCCATATCTGCAGCTATAAATAATTATGAGAAATGAATGGGTAATGGAGTTCAGTTAAATTTTGTGTTTGGAGGGCAACTTGAAGATGAGACTGAATTTGAAAGTGAGCTATAGTTCAGATCTGTAAGAAATCATAGTATGCTTAAAAATCCTGGATATCATCTAGAATGTAATTTTTTTAACTATGTAATTTTTAAAATAGATCTAGTTACTGAATTTTCAGACATTGATATGTTTAGTTCATGGCTCACTAGATCCTTGGTTCTTTGATAAATGAGATTCCTCAGCTTGAGAAAAATTGTTGTTTTACTTTGTGGAAATTGTCCTTTATTCCTGATAAAAATGCCGTAATATATGTCTTTTTATATTCCATTGTTGTCTAATAAGTTGAAAAAGACTGTTTTGGATTCTCCATGCAATTAATTTTTATAGGGAAGGGTATCCATAGTATAAGAAAAGAGATACTTTTCATGTATAGAATGATGGGAAAATGTTATTTGTATATGCACAAAACTTACTTGACAAGATAAAAGGGTTAGCATATATAATATTATCCATGCAATCCTGAATATGTTTAAATCCCTAGCAAAGTTTTCTCTTACCAACATACTCATTGTCATTCTTTGTATTTACAAAAGAGAGTATGTTAAATCTAAATGTTCATGCCTGTCACAGACTCCAGCTAGACAACCTAACCTGAGCTGTACAGAGGTCTTGATTGTATTTCATGAGACATTAAGACAGTTTGGGACGGGCGCAGTGGCTCAAGCCTGTAATCCCAGCACTTTGGGAGGCCGAGGCGGGCAGATCACGAGGTCAGGGGATCGAGACCATCCTTTCTAACACGGTGAAACCCTGTCCCCTGTCTCTACTAAAAATACAAAAAAATTAGCTGGGCGTGGTGGTGGACGCCTGTAGTCCCAGCTACTCAAGCAGGAGAATCACTTGAACCCAGGAGGCGGAGGTTGCAATGAGCCGAGACCGTGTCATTGCACTCCAGCCTGGGCAACAAGAGCGAAACACTGTCTCAAAATAAGTAAATAGACAAACAAAACATATTTATAACAGGTATTTGCTGCTGGTTTTTTTGTTTGTTTGTTTTTTGCATTAGAATAGTTTTCTAGTATGCACAGAATTCAAATGAATTCGTGGTCTGCATATTAACAAACTGGTAGACTGGAGATTGGCATATGTAACTAAAGATGAATTATTTGAAATGGAACATAATGGAAAGATAAAAAAGACTTGAAAAAAAGAAGGCATATTGTCTAAACCATCAACGATGGGTAAAAACAACTGGAGTGCAGGCTTAATAATAGGTAATGAAAAATGAGGGGATAATTAGGTGCTGTCAGAGGGATGAGAACAGCCTAATTGTATTTAAATCTGCCTAAAAAGGTAAGCAGCACTTTAATTAAATTTATAAATAATACTAAATTAACAGATATTACAAACCCCAAAGGTTTTTAGCTTGCTTTCCACTCCAACTAATTTTGTAGGCAGATTAAAAAGGCTGTTTTAATCATTCCTATCTGACTAATCTAACTTCTAAAAACTGAAAAACATTCTATTCTCACATTCTCAATTCTGTACATTTCCTCTGCTATATCTCTAATAGATCTTAGGGATTTATCCCGAATTATGTAGAAACAACCACATGGGGAGACTTCTGGTAAGCATCGTGGAAAAGCAAACATGAAGCTGAGACAACAGAAGTTACAAAAAATACATCTAAATGTAAGCCAAATATAGTTAGAAATTTTGATTCATTCAGAGACAGGCAAATTAAACTTGA
Source organism: Homo sapiens (assembly GCF_000001405.40). Taxonomy (NCBI): domain Eukaryota; kingdom Metazoa; phylum Chordata; class Mammalia; order Primates; family Hominidae; genus Homo; species Homo sapiens. The sequence goes on along the minus strand of NC_000004.12, from coordinate 165,836,195 downwards.
ATGTAGGCCATAATCTAAACGATGTGTAAACATCTATATAGTAAAGGAGATTTAACCAGGGGCCATCAACCTAAGCTTAAAGACACGTAAGACCTTAAGGAGCTAGTCAACACTAGCTACAACAGAAAGACACTCAGTTAATGCAGATCACCCTGAAGACTTCTCAGGCAGGCTAATGACGTGTTTAGATAGGTGCACCTGGATGTTTATTCCCAGACTCAGCTGTACCTCATTCCCAAATGCCAGAAGAAACTATTTGTCATCAGAGAAGTTTGCAATTATAGCGCTCACGTCACAAAAAATTTTCCATGAGAAACTCAATTTTTTTCCCAAACCTAGAAGCTCATGATTACACACAACATCACAGCAAAGTCAAGATGAACTCAAACAGAAGGATTCCTGATACATTTTAAATATCCTATGTGGTCATGTCATGTTGGCCAAAATCCAGTGATGCTGACTGTATGAAACCAATATATTTAGTAGAGAATTTGAATCCCAGACAAATATTGAAATAAATACTTTCTTCAAAATGGAGAAACTTCATTATTTACCCAACATTCACAACAAACAGTGTTTTGATCATTGCTCATATTTTTGCTTCCTGAAGGAAAGCTTTGCAACTAGAAAAAAAAAAAGTTAGGTCAAAGCTCAATTATCTAAATACCTTTACAATTCTAACTTGTTTACCATTCTTTAAGTCATTTCCAGGCTTAACAAATAATAGTAGCTTTTCATCATCTCAGCTTTGGGCTTGTGGGAAAATTATTAGACAATGAAATAAATTAATTCCCCACCAAAACGTACAAAGTTTAATATAAACAGCCTTTACCAAGAAAAAATATAGAAAGATTTTTTTTAGTTGTGTGCAGATCCAGTCATTGTTGACTCTGGGAAACAGTTGACTTCTTCCTCTAACTGAAGGCAGCTTCACTCAAAGTCTCATTTGTTCACCCTGCACCTATTTCCTAGGAATTCCTCAATCTCCCAGCATCTTTTCTGATAATTGTACCATCTACACATTAAACTAAACTTGTTCCTTATTTCTCTAGCGGCTCTTCTCCCAACTTTTCCAGGAGATAAGTAATTAATTCAATAAGCAAATTTGGCTGAGTGTGACGGCTCACGTCTGTGATCCCAACACTTCCAGAGGCCAAGGCAGGAGAATCTCCTGATACCGGGAGTTTGAGACAAGTCTGAACAATAGTGAGACTTCTGTCTCCACAAAAAAAATATAAAATTTAGCTGAGTGTGGTGGCATGTGCACCTGTAGTCCCAGCTACTCAGGAGGCTGAGACAGGAGGATCACTTCGGCCCAGGAGTTTGAAGCTGCAGCAAGCTAGGATTGAGCCACTGCACTCCAGCCTGGTTGACACAGACCCTGTCTCAAATAAATAAATAAATAAATAAATAAATACATACATAAATGGTGAATATTTATTAAGCAGATACATTCGCATATAAATAGTAGCTTTGGTGGGCTACTGATGAACTATGTTTTAACCCTAAATAAGGAAGGTACAACGCAGTCAGGGCTCTGATCTGTTAGTATTTTCCTAATTTTAACACCTAGTCTAATATATTAAGGGTCAGCATTCTTCAAAATGAGTTCCAGTAACATACTTTAAAGCAAAATATCATTGAAATATAATGGAGGTAAGCTTCATTCCTACTACCTGCACTAATAGTATCACTACCGGGTACTCAGAGGGATTTCACATGATAGACACTTGTGCAGGGAATTATTTCACTGGTTCTATTTTCAAGAATCTTCCTTGTTCAAGAGTTAAATCACTATTGCTTTTGTAACATGTGACAGATTTGTTCTCTTCTCTCTCCCTCCCTCTCTCTCTGCCAACATTGGCACCCTGGTTATTCTCATGCTGCTTTACATAATTGGTCTCTGAATAGATGAAGCTGCCACCTGTTCACAAATATAACAAATCACTCTCCTTTGAGAGTATGATTTTACTGAATTGCGATGGGATAGTGGGCCTGGACAGCACATTCACATCTGAATAAACCTATATTCACCCTTCATTCAGTCTGGTCATTTCTCCTAATAGTGTAAGTACTATATTTAACTGATAACAATGTAATTATTATCTTGATCTTATTTTGATTTTAAGTAATTCTTCCATTTTACCCTTTTCACTTTTTTTCTTTAGCTACTTTACATCACTTCCACCGAGAATAAGCTATGTCCAGATTACCCAATCAAAAGCAAAGTTAGCTCTCCCCAAAGACATTCCTCCAATATAAAATAATCATGATATCACATTTCTGGATCTTCATTCTTCATCTTGCCTAGTTCTAAGAATACGGGCTCTCAAAATAATAATTTTATTCATTTTTAATGTATTGAAGTCATCTAAAGGTTTTTGAACAATGGGGAAATCAGCATTAACACATAGCTAGAAATGCATTGTGTCTTCCCATTGTAAAGTGTTTTAAAAGATTTAAAAGGATTAACTGTCATTATATTACACAGCAAGATTAAGTGGCTAAAGAAAATCTCATTGCTGCAGGGTATTTCTAACCACATCCAAGGTGGTAGACACTGTCACCTGTAAAAGAAATGATGAGTTAGTGGGTGCAGCACACCAACATGGCACATGTATACATATGTAACAAACCTGCAGGTTGTGCATACGTACCCTAGAACTTAAAGTATAGTAAAAAATTAAAAAAAAGAAAGCGTGAAGAAAATTTACAAAGTCTCCTCAGTTGAAGACTTGGTGACATGTAACTTCTACTTGAAATAAGTGATTTAAGAGCTAAATCAGATCCCACTATATCAAGAACATTACCCTATTTTCTACCAGAAACGTTCCCAGTGCTATTTGTAAAATACATACCAGAAAAGGACTTTAACATGATAGTGAAGTTGACCTGATGACTAGAAAGAATACAGACACCCAACAACAACAAAAAAGGATAATATGCAAATTTCCCCATCTTTGAACATCATCTAAATTCTTGATTCCTAAAAGGAAGGGTAGCATTTTTATCCAAAACCTCAAAAAGATGTAGGAAATGTCTGATAATGTCTTTGACTACCACACCTAAATAGCAAGTGAGTTTTCCACCCCCCAAACTCCAAGTTTTATAATTACCATGTTTTATGACATGGTATGTGTGAAAAAACATACATATAATATAAAACTCTGTATAATGCATAACTTAGTTCATGTCTCTAATATAGATATTTAATCTTACAAAGTGTGTCCTGCTTGTGAGTCTTCATAATTTTCAAATTGGAAGTAGCCTTTGAAATTGTATAAACTTTTTATTTTATAGATAAAGAAACTGAAATCCTATAAAATCTGTAAATCCAGAGAGGGTTGCTCCATAAAAGGAGTGACCACATCTATTTTATTGATTCTTGTATCCCTATTGCTTCACAAAGTGGCATGCAAGCACTTGATAAATATTTGCTGGAAGAATGAATGAATGACAACCAAGACAAGAAACCAGGATTGCCCTCTATACTTTTAGCACTAGAACCTCACAAGCAACATCTATTTCATCTTTAGAAAATTCAGTTTAATAATCATTGAGTTCTTTCTCATAAAGGAGTATGCAAGGTAATAGAAAACAATTGGTTAAGATGAATGGAATAACTTTTTTTTTTTTCTTTTTGAGATGGAGTCTCACTCTATCACCCAGACTGGAGTGCAATGGCACGATCTTGGCTCACTGCAACCTCCGCCTCCCTGGTTCAAGTAATTCCCTGCCTCAGCCTCCCAAGTAGCTGGGATTACAGGCATCTGCCACCATGCCCAGCTAATTTTTGTATTTTTAGTAGAAACGGGGTTTCACCATCTTGGCCAGGCATGTCTTGAACTCCTGACCTCATGATCCGACTGCCTTGGCCTCCCAAAGTGCTGGGATTACAGGCGTGAGCCACAGCACCTGGCCAACTTGTTTTAATGAAATTAGTTATGTATGGTTTACTGTAATACTATTGCACAAGATAAATGCTAAAAGATAGTTACAACACAGTGGAATACTACACAGCCATAAAAAAAGATCAAAATCACGTCCTTTGCAGCAACATGGAAATTTGCTTATCCTAAGTGTATTAACTCAGGAACAGAAAATCAAATACTGGATGTTCTCATTCACAAGTGGGAGCTAAACATTGAGTGCACATGGACTCAAAGAAAGAAAAATAGACACCGGGGCCTACTTGAGGGTGGAGGATGGGAGGAAGGTGAGGGTTGAAAAACTACTTACGCTCATTACCTGGGTGACAAAATAATCTGTACACCAAGCCTGCAGGACACCTAATTTACCCACATGACAAACCTGTTCATGTACCCACTGGACCTAAAATGAAAGTTACGAGGAAAGAAAAGATAGTTAAAAATATTTAAAAAGGAGAAATCTTTTCTCATTTGGGATTTGGTAAGTCTTCATGGATGAAGTGGTATTTGGCCTAGGCCTTGAAAAATTTTTAGAACGCCAATCACCAGAACTGTTAGAAAGGTCCTAAGGACATTCCAGGAAGAACAAATTTGAGCAAAATCACAAAGGAAGGATAAGCCATAACTTGTTACAGTAATGATGCGTGACTGGCAGGAGAATTGTCTGTGAAAAGTTAGAATAGCCTGGGAGAGATCGAGTGAAGCCAGACTGTGAAGGCCTTGAATGTCTGTGCAGTCAGCCTCCATATCCATTGGGTTCCATATTCACAGATTCAAACAACCACCGGTTGAAAATATTTGGGAAAAAAATAGATAAAAATAACCATATGACCCTAAAAAATAATGAAAAAAAAACCCAATAGAGTATAACAACTACTTGTGTAGCATTTACATTGTATTAGGTATTATAAGTAATCTAGAGATGATTTAAAGTATACGAGAGAATGTGTGTAGGTTCTATGCAAATACATATTATATGAAAGCCTAGGTATCCAAGGAGGGGGCCTGAAACCAATCCCCCGCAGATATGGAGGAATGTACTAAATATAGTAGGCAGTGCAGAAATAAGGCTTTGACCAAGGAACTACCAAACTAAGGTTGTTTTGGTTGCAGTGTTCAGGACAAAGGAAAGATTAGACCTTTCCTTTAGGGTCTTTGTATAAGGGACTGCATGATGTGCTGGGTGGTACAGACAATAAACACTTTCTTTAAACATCCAACATAGTTGTCTAGACACAATCATTTTATTTGTTATGAAATGACTACTTGTAGCATGGAGGTAGGAGAGGGATGTGAGTTGTGAAAGAAGAGGAAAAGAGGAGTAGGCTTTTGCATTTTGAGGGCATTTATTGTTTTGAGAAAGAAAATGTTATTTATGCTTTCCATAAATGCTTTCAGTATTGAAGATTTTTTTTGAGACATAAATGCTGTCTCCCCAGGAAACCAGGAGAAATAATAGAAAACTAAAATAGACATGATGCAAAGAACCTGATGTATGCACTCTCTCCTCTCGAGTACCTGTAAAAACCACTGCAACCACATCACTCTGCTGTATTATAGTCTAGATAGCACCAGATGCCAGCATCTCTGAGGTTATTTCACATCACATCTAAAAGTGTGTTTGCTTTGCTTTAGTACTAAAGTGACTTCAACCTGATTGTGAACTCTCCTCCCATCATCAGACATGAGGAAAAAATATAGGATCACATTTGATGAAGTTTAAAATACTTTTAAAGTTGATCAGCCAATTCCAATTAGAACACTGTTAATCCAACAGCATTATGGTTAGACAAACTAAACAGTGTTAAGTATAATTGTTGATACCTATTTTGTGTGTACATGGTATATCCCAGACATTGTAAGTGAAAATTGAAACATACAGTGTAAGCTGAAATGGATCTCCATATTTTATTAAATCGTAGCCTGTTTAATATTAGTGTTGGGATGGAATGCTATCTGTTCTTATAAATAAATATATGTAAGAATCCTTATTGCTTTGGCATAAAAAATGCAAAATTTCCAAATTACCTTTTCCTTTCCCCTGGCATCCTGCAGTAGTCTCCCATTGAGATTTAAACTCAAGACCCCCAGAGAACAGATGGTGAAGACCTTATCTTCTTGCTGATCACAGCATGGGACAGTGTGACTTGGTCTGATAGTTTAGTCACTTGAAATATAACCTTTCTTTGAGTTTTCTATTTGCCTCCATTTTTAGATAAATGTTTTATTTTTATCAACAATGGATATTTCATTTCTATTTGGCTTGTCCCCACAAACCAACTTGGAGCAAACAAAACTCACAGAAACAACCCTGTCTATTAAATTTAGGTTTGGCTGGTAGTTTGCAATTAGTAATCCAAATTTCTTCCTTTTGGTATTTATTGCCAAGCGGATACAATTCAAATTGTGTTTTTAAGTTTTACTAAGCGCAAAGTAAACTGAATAAATATTTTGGAGAAGGACATGAAGAAGGACAAGATAGATGCTATGACTTAAATAATTCCTTATGTTCAACAGATAAATGATGATCCTGATGAGACACTGTAATGGATTTTTTTCTTCCTATTTTTTTTTCTCAGATTTATTAGGTTATCTTATGTGGATTACATCAATGGGCATTTGAATGGTACTAACATTTCTGTTTATGTCTCCATTAAATATATCTACACACATATACACAAACACATAAGTTACATTTGGCAATAGAAACTAGTTATAAAAGATGGAGGATTTGAGAACACAATCAAAACAAAAAACCCTAACAATGATAGCATTACCTTATTATTATTGGATGTTATTAATACTTGACTCAATTTTCAGCCTGTTTATATTATGCTTGGAAGAAGACATAAGATATAAAGAGATGAGAAAGAAAAAAAAACAAAGAAAGACTTGGAGCACTTCTTTATGCTCTTTAAAGGACATTAAACATAGCATGTGAAAAAATATATAATTATACCAGAAATCACATTATTTTCAGTCATGGTCTAATGAACAATATGTCCTGAAGGGCCTATGAAAGATAAATTAAGAAACAAACATAAAAGAGAGCAATACTTCTCACGAAATGAACTCAAAGACTTGGTAGATCAGAAGGCATTTTAGAACATGTCAGAGCATGCTTAAGAAGGTGGCACTTGGCCAGAATCCTATCCTCGAGGAAGATTTTCACACTTACAGTCTAGGGAATAGCCTAATTGACATTCAATGAAAAGATAGAGAAGAGAAAGAAATAGACAAATGACATGGGTAACAAAACATTACTTTTGAGGTGTTTACTCTCACAACATTTGAAGATAATATGCAATAAAACTATTTCTAAAAGGAACAATTTAGGCAATGCCTTGCTACTTCTAGAAAGGAAAATGTGTCTTTGTTGTACACTATTCTGACCAGCACTTGTCACGAGTTTTTTGTGGCATACGTTTTCTACAAGAGGTATTAAAAACAATTTATACACATCCAGAGAAAATGACTACTGTAGGATAACTACAGTTTTCTTTTCTTCTTTTTCAATTTTCCTTCTGGTAATTATAATCAAATTTACATATTAGATACCTTTTTAATACAGTTCTTTGAAAAAAAGGAGAAAGTTTTCTAAGTTAATAAATACCTCTTTATGTATACCATCATCTGGTAGGAACACTGTTGTTCACAGTAAATGACTTACTAGGTAGAATAGTTTTTAAGGCCTTTTAAGTGTTAAATCTGCACTGTGCTGCTTCTGAGTTTAAAATTGACTCCTAATTGAATTAATATTTTAATACCTTAACAATAACTGCAGTCACTTTGGAAAGCTTCTATTTCTATTTTATCCACAGAAGAGGTTAATTCTCCTACTCCTAAAATCTGGTTCATAAAACTTCCAAATTTGTCTTAAAATTCACACATTACATGAAAATGTTGAGAGTAAAAATTGTAGCTTCACAAATAGTGTATTAAAATTACACTGCAATTTTAACTTAAGAAAAAGCTATAAATATTGATGACATCAGGATAGGAAGCAACTGTAAAGCAGATAATTTTGTTCAAGAAGTAACATGGGTCAAAATGATTTATACGGATAGCATATAACAGATAACACTGAACATAACTCCTGTATAAAACAAATGCCTCCTATTGTCACAGCCTGGAGAGTGACCTTTTCAACTTTCTAAGCCTCCACTTTTGTGAATTATTGGCAATTTCCTCTCTATTGGGAAGGCATCCCCTTCCTCAGCACCATGTTCTTTCTGCCTCTTTCTGTATCTGTGTACACAGTAACTAGATGAAAAACAAGGCTATTGGCAGGTTGAATGTATTTGCAGTGCAAACCACAGTTTTTGCTGAAACTCCTTTTTAACCAAAATCTAGAATTTTGAGTAGCAATTATAACATTAGAGAACAATCTGAGAAGTGCCCTGGAAATGCTCTTGTTGCTTAGTGCTTGTTAGAGAATCATTTCAGATGATCATTGCAAAGGACTGGAGAACAGAGGACATTAGAATGAAACTTCCATTTGCAGGAGAATAAACAGTAGTTTATTAAACAGTGTTACACTAGTGGTTAATAAACAGTAGTTTAATAAACTGTTAACATTGTTCTTAAGGTGTTTAGAAATTAACTCTTAAACTTAATCAGCCTAACAACCCGCAGCTCACAGGGAAGGGCAACAGAAATGCAAGCAAGATTTGAGCCACCCCAGGCTGCTGCTGCTGAGGACCTGTTGACCTGGCTGAGTTTCCAAAGTCACCTCAGCGCTGGTTGGACTCCATAGGCCCCTGCACTGGTTTAAATGGTCTCAAGGGACTTCATTTGTATTTATAACAGCTCTTGTGTTATTTTACATGTCTGTGGAACATTTTCCTTTTCCAAAGTGTTTTTCAATATTATTTTATTTGTTTCTTGTAACAACTCTCTGTTTCAAAGGAAGAAATCAAGGTAAACTGATCTTTCCTGCATAAGATCATGAACACAGAGTGCCAAAAAGGCCCAGTAGGGGTCAAATCTCAGCTTCTTAGTCCTCAGTGCTTGCTGTTAGACAGGTCTGCATCCTTGGAGCTCCCAAATGGCTTCAGGGCGTTCCTGTTACTAACAGGAACCTCAGAAATACAGTAACACTTCCACAGGACTGGATCCACTGAGGGCCCTTCTGAGTTCTGATGGCTTTCTAAGTAAGTGGAAAAGCTACCAGAATTACCTAGTTAAATTATCCATGTCAGTGTTTTCTATATTTGCCAGTTGGTAAGTTCCTTATAAATATAAGTCAAGGGCTCCAAAACCACATTTGGGACAGTCAATACTCTCTGTGGGGACAAGCAATACTCTTTGAGAAAAATTTAGCAGGGACTTCTGATTCAAGTAATAAGGAGAATTAAAGTCCCTGAAAACCTTGCCACCCAAACCATGTAAAATTGCTAGTTAGAATTTTAAAGAAATGATTAACAACACAAAAACAAAACAATGCAGATTGTTTATTTATTAAACATTACACATCCCATAAAAATAAAATGGAAAATAGGAAGGAGGTGGGGAGGCAATGTCCACTGGACTAAATCCCTCTACATTTCTTTCCAATTTCAGTGTAGATAACTACAACCTCAAAAATTATGAGACATCAAAGAAAACAGAAACAAGGACTGTGTTAATATTTTAAAGCAGCATGTGTTCCTCTGGTCAGGTTAGAGATGCTAAAATAGACTTAAATTGGGGTGTAGTCAAGAGAATAATCCCTGGAGCTAGAGGTCTCAGAGAACATGGGGTTTTGGGAGAGAAGGCGGGGAGGGAGGGAACAACATTGAGGTTAAATAATAAATATGGTACAAAGGTTGAAAACCTACATATGACTCATTTTCTTCTCTCAGTACCTCCACCTCCACCCCCTCCACCCTTTCTCTGTTTTTCTAAGTCCAACATTACAGGGTTGACAACAGAGAGTGGCTGTGGGTACACCACAGGCTTTGCCACAGCTCCCAGAGATATGCTCAAGTGCAAGACACAAGGACACTGAGGGGAAATCTATGTGAGTTCTGTGGGTGGAATAAAGATTGTAGGATAAACAGATCAATGGCATTCTCATTAGGAATATTTCTCCACTATGAAATGGGACAGATTACAGAACACTGATACTTGATGTATTAGTCCATTTTCACGTTGCTGATAAAGACATACCCAAGACTAGGCAATTTACAAAAGAAAGAGGTTTAACTGGACGCACAGCTCCATGTGGCTGAGGAGGCCTCAGAAGGCAAGGAGGAGCAAGTCACATCTTAAATCAATGGTGGCAGGCAAACAGAGAGAGCTTGTGCAGGGAAACTCTCTCTTATAATACCAACAGCTCTTGTGAGACTTATTTGCTATCATGAGAACAGCATAGGAAAGACCCGCCTCCATGATTCAATTACCTCTCACTGGACTCCTCCCACAATATGTGGGAATTATGGGAACTACAAGATGAGATTTGGGTGGGGACACAGAGCCAAACCATATCACTTGATATTCCACAGCAAATTTTCCTTTTGTACTTCATTGTTTCTCTCTTCTGCCTAGTTCAGTCATTCTTTGGAATGGAAATTTACCTGTAGTATTTTCCTTTTTTTTTTTTCTACTTTCTTGCTTGCTTGCTTAAGTGATGATAGTGATAGAATATTTTTAAAATGTTCTTAATTTACTGCTAAATTGACAAAAAGGAAGGACATGTGAGAGGACAAAAATAAGGTAAAAGCAGGAATCCAGAGAGGTAAGTGAGCTCTGAAGGTGGCTTCTAACTTGAGATCATTCACCAATTCTTGGAGACTTTTGGCATTGGTTTTGTGTTAAAAGCCTGGGAAAACAACTTCTATAGGCTTCCCAATGCAAAAAGGCTAACAGAAACACTGAACTAAACTGGAGAACACGAAGAGCTGTGTGCTTTTCGAATAAGGGAAACCCAAAATAAAACTGAGAAGAGAGATATATAGCAAGAAAACTTGTTTGTCTAGTCTTGGTAGAAGCATTTCTCTAATGATCAATGATCTTCTTTTGAGAAGTGTATGCTCATGTCTTTTTCCAGTTCCTTTTTATTTTATTTTATTAATTTTTTTTTCTTTAGGCGGCGTCTCACTCCATCACCCAGGCTGGAGGGCAGTGGTGTGATCTTGGCACTCTGTAACCTCTGCCTCCTAGGTTCAAGCAATTCTCCTGTCTCAGCCTCCCTAGTAGCTGAGATTACAGGCACACGCTGCCATCCCTGGCTAATTGTTTTTTGTATCCAATCATTTTTTTTTATTATACTTTAAGTTACAAGGTACATGTGCACAACGTGCAGGTTTGTTACATATGTATACATGTGCCATGTTGGTGTGCTGCACCCATTAACTGGTCATTTACATTAGGTATATCTCCTAATGCTATCCCTCCCCCCTCCCCCCACCCCACAACAGGCCTCGGTGTGTGATGTTCCCCTTCCTGGGTCCAAGTGTTCTCATTGTTCAATTCCCACCTATGAGTGAGAATATGCGGTGTTTGGTTTTTTGTCCTTGCGATAGTTTGCTGAGAATGATGGTTTCCAGCTTCATCCATGTCCCTACAAAAGACATGAACTCACCGTTTTTTATGGCTGCATAGTATTCCATGGTGTATATGTGCCACATTTTCTTAATCCAGTATATCATTGCTGGACATTTGGGTTGGTTCCAAGTCTTTGCTATTGTGAATAGTCCTGCAATAAACATACGTGTGCAAGTGTCTTTATAGCAGAATGATTTATAATCCTTTGGGTATATACCCAGTAATGGATGGCTGGGTCAAATGGTATTTCTAGTTCTAGATCCTTGAGGAATCACCACACTGTCTTCCACAATGGTTGAACTAGTTTACAGTCCCACCAACAGTGTAAGGGCGTTCCTATTTCTCCACATCCTCTCCAGCACCTGTTGTTTCCTGACAGTAATGATCGCCATTCTAACTGGTATGAGATGGTATCTCACTGTGGTTTTGATTTGCATTTCTCTGATGGCCAGTGATGATGAGCATTTTTTCATGTGTCTATTGGCTGCATAAATGTCTTCTTTTGAGAAGTGTCTGTTCATATACTTTGCCCACTTTTTGATGGGGTTGTTTGATTTTTTCTTGTAAATTTGTTTAAGTTCTTTGTAGATTCTGGATATTAGCCCTTTGTCAGATGGGTAGATTGCAAAAATTTTCTCCCATTCTGTAGGTTGCGTGTTCACTCTGATGGTAGTTTATTTTGCTGTGCAGAAGCTCTTTAACTTAATTAGATCCCATTTGTCAACTTTGGCTTTTGTTGCCATTGCTTTTGGTGTTTTAGACATGAAGTCCTTACACATGCCTATGTCCTGAATGGTATTGCCTAGGTTTCTTCTAGGGTTTTTATGGTTTTAGGTCTAACATTTAAGTCTTTAATGCATCTCGAATTAACTTTTGTATAAGATGTAAGGAAGGGATCCAGTTTCAGCTTTCTATATATGGCTAGCCAGTTTTCCCAGCATCATTTATTAAATAGGGAATCCATTCCCCATTTCTTGTTTTTGTCAGCTTTGTCAAAGATAAGATGGTTGTAGACGTGTGGTATTATTTCTGAGGGCTCTGTTCTGTTTCATTGGTCTACATCTCTGTTTTGGTACCAGCACCATGCTGTTTTGGTTACTGTAGCCTTGTAGTACAGTTTGAAGTCAGGTAGCATGATGCCTCCATCTTTGTTCTTTTGGCTTAGGATTGTCTTGGCAAGGCGGGCTCTTTTTTGGTTCCACATGAACTTTAAAGTAGTTTTTTCCAATTCTGTGAAGAAAGTCATTGGTAGCTTGATGGAGATGGCATTGAATCTATAAATTACCTTGGGCAGAATGGCCATTTTCACAGTATTGATTCTTCCTATCCATGAACATGGAATGTTCTTCCATTTATTTGTGTCCTCTTTTATTTCATTGAGCAGTGGTTTGTAGTTCTCCTTGAAAACGTCCTTCACATCCCTTGTAAGTTGGATTCCTAGGTATTTTATTCTCTTTGAAGCAATTGTGAATGGGAGTTCACTCATGATTTGGCTTTCTGTTTGTCTGTTATTGGTGTATAAGAATGCTTATGATTTTTGCACATTGACTTTGTATCCTGAGACATTGCTGAAGTTGCTTATCAGCTTAAGGGGATTCAGGGCTGAGACGATGGGATTGTCTAAAGATACAATCATGTCATCTGCAAACAGGGACAATTTGACTTCCTGTTTTCCTAATTGAGTATCCCTTCTTTCTTTCTCCTGCCTGATTGCCCTGATCAGAACTTCCAACACTATGTTGAATAGGAGTGGTGAGACAGGGCATCCCTGTCTTGTGCCAGTTTTCAAAGGCAATGCTTCACTTTTTGCCCGTTATGATATTGGCTGTGAGTTTGTCATAAATAGCTCTTATTATTTTGAGATGCGTCCCATCAGTACCTAGTTTATTGAGAGTTTTTAGCATGAAGGGCTTTTGAATTTTGTTGAAGGCCTTTTCTGCATCTATTGAGATAATCATGTGGTTTTTTTCCTTGATTCTGTTTATATGCTTGATTACACTTATTGATTTGCATATATTGAACCAGCCTTGCATCCCAGGGATGAAGCCCACTTGATCATGGTGGATAAGCTTTTTGATGTGCTGCTGGATTCAGTTTGCCAGTATTTTATTGAGGATTTTTGCATCAATGTTCATCAATGATATTGGTCTAAAATTCTCTTTTTTTGTTGTGTCTCTGCCAGGCTTTGGTATCAGGATGATGCTGGCCTCATAAAATGAGTTAGGGAGGATTCCCTCTTTTTCTATTGGTTGAAATAGTTTCCGAAGGAATGGTACCAGCTCCTCCTTGTACCTCTGGTAGAATTTGGCTGTGAATCCATCTGGTCCTGGACTTTTTTTGGTTGGTAAGCTATTAATTATTGCCTCAATTTCGGAGCCTGTTATTGGTCTATTCAGGGACTCAACTTCTTCCTGGTTTAGTCTTGGAAGGGTGTATGTGTCCAGGAATTTATCCATTTCTTCTAGATTTTATAGTTTATTTGCATAGAGGTGTTTATAGTATTCTCTGACGGTAGTTTGTATTTCTGTGGGATCAGTGGTGATATCCTCCTCTTTATCATTTTTTATTGCGTCTATTTGATTCTTCTCTCTTTTCTGCTTTATTAGTCTTGCTAGCGGTCTATCAATTTTGTGGATCTTTTCAAAAAACCAGTTCCTGGATTCATTGATTTTTTGAAGGGTTTTTTTGTGTCCCTATCTCCTTCAGGTCTGCTCTGATCTTAGTTATTTCTTGCCTTCTGCTAGTTTTGAATGTGTTTGCTCTTCCTTCTCTAGTTCTTTTAATTGTGATGTTAGGGTGTCAATTTTAGATCTTTCCTGCTTTACTCTTGTGGGCATTTAGTGCTATAAATTTCCCTCTACACACTGCTTTAAATGTGTCCCAGAGATTCTGGTATGTTGTGTCTTTGTTCTCGTTGGTTTCAAACAACATCTTTATTTTTGCCTTCATTTTGTTATGTACCCAGTAGTCATTCAGGAGCAGGTTGTTCAGTTTCCATGTAGTTGAGCAGTTTTGAGTGAGTTTCTTAATCCTGAGTTCTAGTTTGATTGCACTGTGGTCTGAGAGACAGTTTGTTATAATTTCTGTTCTTTTACATTTGCTGAGGAGTGCTTTACTTCCAACTATGCGGTCAATTTTGGAGTAAGTGCGATGTGGTGCTGAGAAGAATGTACGTTCTGTTGATTTGGGGTGGAGAGTTCTGTAGATGTCTATTAGGTCTGCTTGGTGCAGAGCTGAGTTCAATTCCTGGATATCCTTGTTAACTTTCTGTCTCTTTGATCGTCTAATGTTGACAGTGGGGTGTTAAAGTCTCCCATTTTTATTGTGTGGGAGTCTAAGTCTCTTTGTAGGTCTCTAAGGACTTGCTTTATGAATCTGGGTGCTCCTGTATTGGGTGCATATATATTTAGGATAGTTAGCTCTTCTTGTTGAATTGATCCCTTTACCATTATGTAATGGCCTTCTTTGTCTCTTTTGATGTTTGTTTGTTTAAAGTCTGTTTTACCAGAGACCAGGATTGCAACCCCTGCCTTTTTTTGTTTTCCATTTGCTTGGTAGATCTTCCTCCATCCCTTCATTTTGAGCCTATGTGTGTCTCTGCATGTGAGATGGGTTTCCTGAATACAGCACACTGATGGGTCTTGACTCTTTATCCAATTTGCCAGTCTGTGTCTTTTAATTGGAGCATTTAGCCCATTTACATTTAAGGTTAATATTGTTATGTGTGAATTTTATCCTGTCATTATGATGTTAGCTGGTTATTTTGCTCATTAGTTGATGCAGTTTCTTCCTAAACTCAATGGTCTTTACAATTTGTCATGTTTTTGCAGTGGCTGGTACCGGTTGTTCCTTTCAATGTTTAGTGCTTCCTTCAGGAGCTCTTTTAGGGCAGGCCTGGTGGTGACAAAAATCTCTCAGCATTTGCTTGTCTGTAAAGTATTTTATTTCTCCTTCACTTATGAAGCTTAGTTTGGCCGGATATGAAATTCTGGGTTGAAAATTCTTTTCTTTAAGAATGTTGAATATTGGCCCTCACTCTCTTCTGGCTTGTAGAGTTTCTGCCGAGAGATCCGCTGTTAGTCTGATGGGCTTCCCTTTGTGGGTAACCCGACCTTTCTCTCTGGCTGCCCTTAACATTTTTTCCTTCATTTCAACTTTGGTGAATCTGACAATTATGTGTCTTGGAGTTGCTCTTCTCGAGGAGTATCTTTGTGGTGTTCTCTGTATTTCCTGAATTTGAATGTTGGCCTGTCTTGCTAGATTGGGGAAGTTCTCCTGGATAATATCCTGCAGAGTGTTTTCCAACTTGATTCCATTCTCCCCGTCACTTTCAGGTATGCCAATCAGATGCAGATTTGGTCTTTTCACATAGTCCCATATTTCTTGGAGGCTTTGTTCATTTCTTTTTACTCTTTTTTCTCTAAAATTCTCTTTTTGCTTCATTTCATTCATTTGATCTTCAATCACTGATACCCTTTCTTGCAGGTGATCAAATCTGCTACTGAAGCTTGTGCATTTGTCACGTAGTTCTCATGCCATGGTTTTCAGCTCCATCAGGTCATTTAAGGACTTCTCTACACTGGTTATTTAGCCATTTGTCTGATCTTTTTTCAAGATTTTTAACTTCTTTGCAATGGGTTCGAACTTCCTCTTTTAGCTCGGAGAAGTTTGATCATCTGAAGCCTTCTTCTCTCAACTCATCAAAGTCATTCTCTGTCCAGCTTTATTCCGTTGCTGGTGAGAAGCTGCATTCATTTGAAGGGGGAGAGGCACTCTGATTTTTAGAATTTTCAGCTTTTTGGCTCTGTTTTTTCCCCATCTTTGTGGTTTTATCTACCTTTGGTCTTTGATGATGGTGACGTACAGATAGGGTTATGAAGTGGATGTCCTTTCTGTTTGTTAGTTTTCCTTCTATCAGTCAGGACCCTCAGCTGCAGGTCTGTTGGAGTTTGCTGGAGGTCTACTCCAGACCCTGTTTGCCTGGGTATCAGCAGCAGAGCCTGCAGAACAGCAAATATTGCTGAACAGCAAATGTTGCTGTCTGATCATTCCTCTAGAAGCTTCATCTCAGAGGGGTACCCAGCCATGTGATGTGTCAGTCTGCCCCTACTGGGGGGTGCCTCCCAGTTAGGCTACTCGGAGGTCAGGGACCCACTTGAGGAGGCAGTCTCTCTGTTCTCAAATCTCAGACTCCGTACTAGGACAACCACTACTCTCTTCAAAGCTGTCAGACAGGGACATTTAAGTCTGCAGAGGTTTCTCCTGCCTTTTGGTCAGCTATGCCCTGCTCTCAGAGGTGGAGTGTACAGAAGCAGGCAGGCCTCCTTGAGCTGAGGTGGGCTCCACCCAGTTCAAGTTTCCCTGCTGCTTTGTTTACCTACTCAAGCCTCAGCAATGGCGGGAACCCCTCCCCCAGCCTCGCTGCCGCCTTGCAGTTAGATCTCAGACTGCTGTGCTAGCAATGAGCGAGGCTCTGTGGGTGTGGGACCCTCCGAGTCATGCGCAGGATATAATCTCCTGGAGTGCCATTTGCTAAGACCATTGGAAAAGCACAGTATTAGGGTGGGAGTGACCTGATTTTCCAAGTGCTGTCTGTCACCACTTCCCTTGGCTAGAAAAGGGAATTCCCTGACCCCTTGTGCTTCCGAGGTGAGGCGATGCCTCGCTCTGCTTCGGCTTATGCTCGGTGGGCTGCACCCAGTCTTGCACCCACTGTCCGACAAGCCCCAGTGAGATGAACCTGGTACCTCAGTTGGAAATGCACAAATCACCCATCTTCTGTGTCACTCACCCTGGGAGCTGTAGACTGGAGCTGTTCCTATTCGGCCATCTTGGAACACACCCCTGGCTAATTTTTGTATTTTTAGTAGAGACTGGATTTCACCTTGTTTATCAGGCTGGTCTTGAACTCCTGACCTCAGATGATCCACCTGCTTTGGCTTCCCCAAAGTGCTGGGATTACAGGCATAAGCCACCATGCCCGGCCCTATTTTATTTTTTATTTTGTTTATCTGTAAGGTATGGGGTACAGGTGGTATTTGGTTACATGAGTAAGTTCTTTAGTGGTGATTTGTGAGATTGTGGTGCACCCATCACCTGAGCAGTACACACTGCACCATATTTGTAGTCAAAACCACAGTGAAATACCATCTTATGCCTATCAGAATGACGATTATTAAAAAATTGAAACAACAGATGCTGGAAAGGTTGTGAAGAAAAAGGCACACTTTCACATTGTTGGTGGGAGTGTAAATAAGTTCAACCATTGTGGAAGACAGTGTGGTGATACCTGAAGGATCTCTCAAAAAATGGTAGACCAAGCAAGAAAAAATAATCTGTGAAGATATCTCAGACTGCAATAGTGTAATAAACATGGTTTATCTAAAGGGTGTGTGTGTGTGTATATATGTGTGTGTGTGTATACATGTGTCTGTGTGTGTATGTAAACCTTGTACTTAGAAAAACATATTCATTTTAGGTCCAGAAATAGCGACCATGAACTAAGCCATCAACAGATCCTAACAAATACCAAAGGATTAGAATGTTTCATATTATATGATCTACCACAATCCAATTAGGTTAAAAATCAATAACATATACAAAATCAGTTTTAACACAGAGAAAGAATAAAGTAGAGTCCATGATCAAATTAAATGGTTAAATTTCCATAATTGATTAAAGATGTTACTTAAGTTGAATAAAATAATCACTAAAAAAAGAAGAAGGGAAAAAAATCCTAAACAACTCATAGACAAATAAGAACGCATTGAAAGTAGAATATATACAGAATACTTCAAAACCCAACAAAAGTTTCAAAGTACACATACCAAAAGTTGAGAGATAATTGCTGATGCAATTCTTAAAGGAAAATTTATAGCTTTAAACATTATCCTTAGAAAAGAAGAAAAGTGGAAAAATTATTAAAATAATTACTCTGTGAGTTAGAAAAAGGACAGTAGAATAAAACTAGGGAGGTAAAAATGAGAAAATAATAAAGCAGTAATATAGAACAGTAACATATAATAGAGAAAATTTTAAAACCCCAAAGTTGGATCTATGACAAAAAAGAAATAAACATATCTAATTGTAGATGCTAACAGATTCAGAGAAGATAAAACATATGTCATCAATACTTTTATACCAATAAATTTGAAATATTAAATTGGAAAAAAAATTAAGTGTAACTTGATTAACTCAAGAATAGAAAACCCATGTTGGCCTATAACTATTAACATAATTCCATTTTTAAAAAAACCATAGACCCACATGGTTTTCTAGGAATATACTAACAAACACTCAAGTACTTAATTATCCTAAAATTAGACAAAATAATTTTAAAACATCGAAAAAGCAGCAATTTTTCACATACTTCCCCGTACTTTTTTTTTTAGTCTGGAACAAACTTGAAATAAAAACAAATAGGCCTTTACAATAAAGAAAAAGAATAAGCCATGATCTCATTCCTTTTTATGGCTGCATAGTATTCCATGTTGTATATGTACCACACTTTTTTTACTCAGTCTATCATTAATGCACATTTAGGTTGATTCCATGTCTTTGCTATTGTGAATAATGCTGCAAAGAGCATACACATGCATGTATCTTTATAATAGAATAACTTATATTCCTCTGGGTATATACCCAGTAATGGGATTGCTAGGTCAAATGGTATTTCTTCCTGCAGATCTTTGAGGAATTCCCACAGTCTTCCACAATGGTTGAACTTATTTACACTCCCACCAAGAGTGTAAAAGTGTTTCTTTTTCTTTGCAACCTCTCCAGCGTCTGTTGTTGCAACTTTTTAATAATCGCCATTCTGAGAGGCATGCAACAGTATCTCATTGTGGTTTTGATTTGCATTTCTCTAATGATCAGTGATATTGAGCTTTTTTTCCACACATTTATTGGCCACATAAATGTCTGCTTTTGAGAAATGTCTGTTCATGCCCTTTTGTATTTTGTTTTTCCATATGTTACTGGAGTACAAGTGATATTTGGTTACATGAGTGAGTTCTTTAGTGATGATTTGTGAAATTTTGGTGCACCCATCACCTGAGCACTATACACTGCACCATATTTGTAGTCTTTTATCCCTCACTCCCCTCCCATTTTGCCCACTTCTTAATGGAGTTGTTTGTTGTTTTATTGTAAATTTGTTTAAGTTACTTGTTGACTCTGGATATTAGACCTTTGTCAAATAGATTGCAAAATTTTTCTTCCCTTTTGTAGGTTGTCTGTTTTCTCTGAGAATAGTTTCTTTCTTTTGCTGTGCAGAAACTCTTTATAGTTTACTTAGATCCCATTTGTCAATTTTTGCTTTTGTTGCAATTGCTTTTGACGTTTTTGTAATGAAATCTTTGCCCTTGCCTATGCCCTGAAAGGTATTGCTTAGATTTTCTTCTAGGGTTTTTATAGTCTTGGGTTTTATATTTAAGTCTTTAATCCTTCTTGAGTTAATATTTGTATAAGGTGTAAGGAAGGGGTCCAGTTTCATTTTTCTGCATATGGCTAGCCAGTTCTCCCAGCACCACTTATTAAATAGGAAATCCTTTTCCCATTGTTTATCCAAAAACTTATTTCTCAAAAAAAACTCCCAAATTTCCAAGTATTTGCTATTGTGAACAGTGCCATAATAAACATGTGTATGTGTCTTTATAGGGGTAGGGGGCTAGGGGAGGGGTAGCATTAGGAGAAATACTTAATGTAGATGATGGGGTGATGGTTGCAGGAAACCACTATGGCACATATATACCTAGGTAACAAAACTGCATGTTCTACACATGTACCCCAGAACTTAAAGTATACTTCAGTATATTTAAAAAGTATATTTAAGTATATTTAAAAAACCCCAAAATTTAAAGAAAGGCAACCTACAAATGGGGAGAAGACAGTTTTAACACCTATAATGGAAGATGCATGGATATCCAGATTACAAAAAGAACCCCAAATTAGTTTTTAAAAATAAAGAAGAAAACACCATGCAAACTAACAAAGATCACATCAGAGGAATAAGGAAATAGAACATCTGGGCAAAACCAAAACAAAATATCCCTTGGGATTCTCAGAACACAATGTTAAGATGAGGGGCTTAGTTCACACACCTTGAAAATATTATCCTGTATTTCCAGTAGCCAATATCAATTTCCTTTGGGTGTGTTTTGTCTTCAGAAAACTTAAAGGCATACAGGAAAACTGGACACAGCTCCTAGAATAATCAATCAAAATAGTCAATATAAGGGAAAGTAGATCTTATGAGTAAATACTTTTAAGAAACAGGATCTTGTCATATTGGAAAAAAAAAAGAACAAGTTTAGATTAACCCAGAGTCAAACTGTGAATAGTGACGTCTAACCTGCTTGACTCTGTCTCTCTGTTTTCTCGATACTTCGAGAGTAACAACAACTTTCTCTTGCTGAATCTTCTATTCTCCTTCCCTTGCTCAATCCTAGGAGACAACTAGAGTTATCATTTTTTCTATCACTAGACTTGAAGCATGAAAACCAACAAGTTTTGGGATTTTCTTGCTCCTCTATCTTGCCCAGGCACTTTCTACTTGAAGGCTAATGAAAAGGAAAATAAGTTGTGAAGAACTAAAACAGAATTTGATATTTAACATTATTCCCCCACCCCCCAAAAAAGAAAGAAAGGTGGAAAATATTCTTTTGTATTATTAACTTAAGTCCTAGGTGACAGGTCTCCAATATGGAAAACCACTAGGTTTTCATGATTTTACAATGCTGTTTATGTGTGTGTAGGTAGGCCCATTTTAATAATGTTTAATAGGTATTAACGGAAAAATAAAATGAAAGATGCCTTCTGAACTACATCATAATTTTGGCAGTCTTAGTTTCACTATTAACTTCTGTTGTCATAGCAAGCCTTACTGAAGAGAATAAAAGAGGATTAACTAAGATTCTGTACTCACTGAGAATGGAGCAACCTCTGGTGACTCTTTCTGATTCAGTAACCCAGAAAGCAAAGTCATGGATATGGTTGGAGAGTGCATTATTTAATATTTAGAATTAAAGATTGAGGATATATCATTTTGCCTCATATTATTCTAGAAATATTTCTGATGGCATCTTTAATACTTAAAAGACTATCTTTAAGCTGAGTTTAACGGAGACCTGGGGGAAAGACATTTAAGGTTAGGCTTCCAAGACCAAATGATTTGGGTTAGATCCTCTGTTTCTCATTGGCTACACAGTCTTGAGCATGTTACCAACCCAAGTTCACTATGACTCAGCTTCTCACTATGAGGTGAGGACATAATGAAATCATACATATTAAGTGCCAGCTCACGGCAAGTACTCAGTAATTTAATAATGACAAGCTGGCATTCAGCCAGGTTCTAGGTTCTAAGAACAGCTGGGAGTCACAGAGAAATTAATATGCAGGAATGACATAGACTCCATTTCTTAAGTTTTTTACTATTTTCAAGTTCTATTCTACCCGCATATTAAAAATAAGGGCAAACACTGATCATTTATGGTGTTAAAAACCACAGCAGATTAAACAAACTGCAGCCTAATCAACTGGCCACTGGTTTTTGTAAATGAAGTTTTATTGGAACAAAGCCACATCCATTCGTTTACATATTATCTGGGCCACTTTGAAATACAACAGTACAACTGAGTAGTTGTAACAGAGATGGTTTCGCCTGTAAGCCTAAAATATTTACTATTTTTTCCTTTAAGAAAAATTTGCCAACCTGTTTCTTCCCAAGTCCCAAACAGCATTTTAATTCCTTGCCTCTAAGATCCAACTTAGCTTTCAAGATCAAGCTGAAGTTTCTTCTCATGAAGGCTATCCAGAGCTAAAATTCATACTCTTCTTTCTCCTGACCATTAGCACATATTTAAAATTGGTCCTTACACATGAGTAGAGTAAGCCTGTGCTTTCCAGCAATTTTACCAGTCATGGCTCATACTGAATATTTGTGGCTCACTGAGTTGCAACAGATGAAGCTTATCATGGCTAGATGCTCACTGCCACTAACTCTGGTCTCTTGAGAACTAAGAGATCAAAGTCATGAGCTACATATATAACTAATTCTTGGCAAAGTGGCCAGCACATCTTTTGGTGAGTTATCACTTATGTTGATAAGTGTGACCCAAGAAAGGCACTTCCAACACAGATACATGACCCACCAGTTCTTCAAAAATCAAGTTGGTTCTTCGATCCCTAGATCATGTCTTTTGACATTCAGATACTCCTGAAAAGGGTGAAGTCTTCCTGTCTTTTGGGTCAGATATCACTTCCTCTCCCTAACATCATCTCCCCTCACAAGGCCAGATAAAGAGAGAGAATTTTAATGGAGTTCCATACAATGACTCGAAGGGCTGACACATGACTGCAATGCTAAACTGTTGGGAAGGCCAGCATGGTGACACAGGAGTCTTTACAAAAAAAAAAAAAAATAGCGGAGGAAAGCAGAAATAGAAAGAAAAATAGAATGCTCCATAATTTACTAAAAAGTCATGACTTTACCACATGTTTAACTCATTATTAAATTCTTTCACTTTTTTTCATATTGTTCTCCACGGTTTTTTGTTTGTTTGTTCGCTTGTGGGAGAACTGTGTACCAACGAAGGTTACAAGCATTTTAAAACAAGCACTGCTGTAATTCTTGTTTGTCTCTCATAAGGTCTATGGCACTGCCAAGAAATGTGCTTCTGGGGATCCAAATGACATAGGATACAATGGGAATGGGGTCCGTAGAGTTGCTCAACAAGGTGTTCTTGATACTGAGCACATAGAGAACACTAAATGCTTGAATTAAATGAAGTGCATCAAGGTTGTAAAGTGATAATATGCCTCTTAAATGCAGTTCTTAACTCGGTCAACCCCATTGCATCTGAATATTAAAACACAGTAACTTGCAGTGTTGACTTCTCTCAGTCATTACTGCAAGTTTTACAAGGGCATAGATTTTAGTGTCAATCTAAAAAAATCTAACGAATCTAGGTTCAAATCCTAACTCCTTCACATATCTTTGGCGGCCATGGGCAAACTGTCCACTCTCTGAACTTCAGTTCCCTCACCTATAAAATGTTAGCTTCTGAATCTTTTCCCACTCTTTTACTATTGTAGAAAGTTGACTTAAGGCTATAAAGAGTCATTATTATTTATTACCATTGTAATTATTCTTAAACATATGATTTGACAATGTATAAGAAATAATAAAATCTTCCAGACAACTTTCATATTGGATACATTTCAAATGATTGTAACTTTTAGAAATACTCATCTAAAATAATATTAAATATTTGACCATTCTACATACAGATAATTCTGTTCTCAGAATGTGAAAAACTCCAAGCATCTTTGAATTATAAAAGTTGTTTCCTGTAAGAATGCTAAGTTATTTCTTCAAGTAATATTTTAATCTGTGAAATGTCAAGTTTAATATGTCAGGAGAAATAAGAGTTTACCAAAATAGAAAAGGTCTGTGATTTAAATAAGCTAAAAATAAGATTGCTCTTCAGGACAATATTCTGCTATCAACAGTGAGCAAATAACCACTATGATACACACATACAGTGACTATAATACACATAACACACGTACATCAATTTTAAATGCAGGGCTGGGCATGGTGGCTCACACCTGTAATCCCAGCACTTTGGGAGGCCAAGGCGGGTAAACACCTGAGGTCAGGAGTTCGAGACCAGCCTGGCCAACATGGTGAAACCCCGACTCTACTAAAAATACAAAAATTAGCCAGGTGTGATGGTGGGCACCTGTAATCTCAGCTACTCGGGAGGCTGAGGCAAGAGAATTGCTTGAACTCAGGAGGCAGAGATTGCAGTGAACAGAGATCATGCCACTGCCCTCCAGCCTGGGCAACAGAGCAAGACTCCATCTCAAAAAAAAAAAAATTAAATCCAGACTGTTAGAGAGTAAGACTGAATCCCTCAATGCTAGCCTTATGTGCATGTATAATAAATACAATGCACATTTATTTGTTACCACATACTCTCATAAGTCTGTGATAGAATAATACATACATTTTTAATTTGTGGTAGGATCAGCTATAAAGAATGTATTGTTTATATACAGGCTGTCTTTCAGATGCAAGAAGTCATTGCAGAAAAAATAAATCAAATACATTTCCTACCAAGGGATTCACTCTATAGCAGCCCAAAAAAACTAGTACTTAAGCCTACTACTTTCCAAAAACTCTTACCCCAGTTTGGTGATATTTTTCAAAAAAAACGCTTTACAAATGCTTCATCAAGTAAATAATTACAAAGAAAAAGGTACAAAATGAAAGCAGAGAAAGTACTTTACAATTGAATTATCAGCATAATCTACACTCCCTATTTTACATTTGTGTGTATTAAAATTAAAAGAAGGCAATCTAATGCAATATGTGATAAAACAGGAGAACAAGGAGTTCATCAAGATAAGAAATGCAGTTTTTGATTACAAAGAATTTTTAATGCCTTAAATCTTTCAATTATTTTGTGTTCCTAATGTGTAATCTTTTTTCTTATCTCTACCAAACTTCAAACAATTCTTATTGTTTGTACAACAAAGAAGTTTCTAAATTTTGAAAGGTTTTGAGAAAACTGCAATCACTACCCAACATTTTAGTTAAACACTTTCTAAACTCTAAATATTTAGACATCTTTCTGGAGTGAAAGAATAGTAGTCTAAGGTTAGAGAAGATTTTCTGCTCCTGAAGTGGAGATTAAATAAAAAACAGGTTGCATGAATAAATACAAGTATGATGAAAAGCACTACGCTTAGAACTGATTGTCTCATAGTAAATTCCGAGGATGGTTTGAGGGTGAATCAATTAAATTCTCTTCAGATTTATTACTTTTCTGATGAGGAATTGGATTTCATATATCACAGTAATCTTCTGTGTGTGTGTGTGTGTGTGTATGTGTGTATTACACACACAGAGACATACTCTCTCTCTCACCAGGCAAGAAGACAATAGAAATCAAATATATAAGGAGGTCTTAATACATACTTAATATGTACTCAATCATCTTATTGCAGCAAATTCTCATTTGCTATCGTTCAATTTTAAAAATAAGAATAACAAAATCTGACACTATGTTTGCCTTCCCCAGACAAGGACCAAAACTTAAACTGCTCATACAACTCTTTAAAAACTCAAATTACTTTTTCTCTTAAGATTAAAAAAAAATCTGGCTAAATTCTTTACTTTGTAAGCCTGCTACTGATTTAATTTTATTCACTGTCTATTAATTTAAAGTGATACTTAGAACTAAAAGATATTTCTCAGCACTGCTCTAGACCCTTCAGTTTTTCCAGAGGACAATACTTCTAAGTAACAAAGACAACTATTCATTTCTGCCAATGGTTTCCCAAAGGCTGTATCTTCTCAGTAGGATATGCTAAATATTTCCAACCTGTACATGAAGCAAATTATAAAGGAAACTCACACAATGAATAAAATAATTAAATTATTGTCTATTTGAATTGAGAAAGATGAGTTATGGATGTGATCAGGAAAACCAATGATTGTCTACTGCCACTTAGAGAACTTAAGTAGATCTGAAAGGATTAAACACAACCTTGGGACCACTGTGCCACAATAAATAATGATAATAATAATAATAAATTAGATAGACACTGGAAAGCACTTAAAAAAGAGTGTGTGTGTATGTATGTGTGTGTGTGATTTTATGACTTCAAAATATGTTAAGATCTCAACACATCAAAGCATTTTAATGAAATCTCTAATACGTTAGCAAAATTTAAATGGACACAGATTATCTATGCCATATCTAATCTGATGAGCTGAGAGACAACCATCACCCTGGTAGTCTCACCGTGTTTTCTCTTCAAGGCCTAAGACAAAAACTGTTTGGAAAATAATTTGTCTAGAAAACCAAATAGTAATAAATGAATGTGGATTTTATTTTTATTTGTGAATTTATTCAGTTGAGATGCCCATCAGATGGCTTGGTGGCCAAGCTTTGTACTTTAATGGGTAATAAAATTACTGTAAAAAATAATAAAAACTAATTAATTTTCACTAAATATCATGTTTTGTTAAAATGGAAACCTTTACAGCATCACTCAAATCCTTTAATTTAGATAACTTTTTCACTTTTATTTTATTAAATTATTTGTTGCCATTACAATCATTATTATCATTATAGTACTTACTGTTCCTTTCTTATTATTCATTATTATTACTATTATTATTGTCTTGAAGAAAACAGGGAAAATATATGTAACATTGAGAAGCTGCTATTTTTTATATTGTCAAAAATTTCTACCTTGTTGCTAAATGTGGTATGTGGAGATTAGACATTATAAAGGATTCCATTTGGGGAGTCCATACACTGTTTCTTCTTAGGGTGAAAGATGGGCTTGGTGTTTTAGGCTCTATCTCCCCTGGTTCTCAAGCAGATTAGACAGGAAGATGTATGGTTGGCCTCTTTCTAATATTGCAACGATAAAGGAATCTAAATGTAGATGCTTCTAAGTGAAATGTTAAGTGACTTGTTCTTTAGGGACAAAATTGGATTTTTGTTGAGATTATTATGAAGGCAACTGATATGGCTTTGATCTGTGTCCCTACCAAATCTCACATTAAAATGTAATCACAAATATCGTAGGTGGGGCCTGGTGGGAGGTGATTGGATCATGGCAGCAGATCTCTCATGGCTTGGCGCTGTCATTATGATAGTGAGTGAGTTCTCATGAGATCTGGTTGTTTAAAAGTGTGTGTCACTTTCTCACTTGCTCTCGCTCCTGCCATGTGACATGCCTGCTCCCATTTTGCCTTCTGCCATGATTGTAAGTTCCCTAAGGCCTCCCCAGAAGCCCAGAATGTGCCAGCACTGTGCTTCCTACTTATACAGCCTGCAGAACTGTGAGCCAATTAAACCTCCTTTCTCTATAAATTACCCAGTGTATTAACCCGTTTTCATGCTGCTGACAAAGACATACTGGAGACTAGGAAGAAAAAGAGGTTTAATTGGACTTACAGTTCCACATGGCTGGGGAGGCCTTAGAATCCTGGCAGGAGGTGAAAGGCACTGCTTACATGGTGGCAGCAGGAGAAAATGAGGAAGAAGCAAAAGTGGAAACCCCTGATAAATCCATCAGATCTCGTGAGACTTATTCACTACCACAAGAATAGCACGGGAAAGACCAGCCCCCATGAATCAATTACCTCCCCCTGGATCCCTCCCACAACAAGTGGGAATTCTGGGCGATACAATTCAAGTTGAAATTTGGGTGGGGACACAGTAAAACCATATCACCCAATCTCAGGTACTTCTTTACAGCAGTGCAAGAACAGCCTAACACAGCAGCATTTTCTCATTTTAGATTACTGGAAGTAGGGTAGCTTCTTCAACTTTGCATCATGACACAGCTAGGAATACAAAAGGCCAATGATGAATGATGGACATCTCTGGAGCATCAATCTTGATGGACAAGAATGATATAGAATACTTAGCATTTAGAATTGTCTCCTTTTCTTTGCATTTTAATTCCACTCTGTTTTCCTCAAGGTCTTCAATAACATTTTATTAAATTCTAAGCTTAGTGTGAGTTGAGTTTTCAAAAATTTAAGGGGAAAGCTTCTATGCACACTCAGTATGAAGTCAATTAAGGAGATTTGCTACAAAAACACAGAACTGTTGGAAAAGCCCAAAGCAGCATTCAGGAGACAGAGATGAGAGATAAATTTGTAAAAAATGTAAGGCAAAAATGAGTTAATGCTGCACATTCTCTTTTATGACCTACTTTTTCATTTAACTTGTTTTGTAAGCAAGTTGCAAGTCATGAAATAGTTTCCATTATTTTTTCAAATGTGTTTTAGCCAAGCAAACCTGTATTCAAAATAAAATTTACTAGAAAATTATACAAACATATGTTAGAAAATGTTTTTTAAAGACAAAATTATGACCCTTATGTGTACATAAAATAAGTACATCAATGTATTTATTTTACTCAATCATTAATGAGGAACTAATGAGGTGATATAGCCAGTTCAAAGGAAAATTCAAAGAACCACACATACATGCATACACAAGTAAGGAGTGTTAAAATGCACTTTCAAGTGGATGCAAAATGTCCTAATCAATTGCATTCTGTGAAGACCCACTTAATTTGCATTTCTAGGGACCCAAATAATTTGTATTATCAGTTTTCTACAACTTCCAGAGTTGTCAAATAGCTCAAGGACCATGAAAAGCAGATACGAGCAGGCAGGTGCACCTAGATAGGACACTCAATCATCTGTATTTTTAAAATCTTTCAAAATTTTTTCTGACATTTAATGAACATTTTTCATTGTTTTTTTTCTCAATGGTGTTTTAACCATCTAAACCTATGTCAAAAAATAAATATTAAACGTAAAAATCAGAAACATGAGAATGCCTCTTTGAAACAAAGAGGCAGATGGAAGGTCCACAGCTCTGTTGCCCTCCTCCTAGGTGACCTCTGTGTGTCTTCATAGAATCACTCAGGCTCTAAGGATCACACCTGAGAAACTATTCCTCCATGATGACATTTTAAAATGGCTACATACAGTTGCATCCTTGCACATATAAACATTTATTTCTGGTGAGTCCCACCCCCTTTTTCCTAGAATAGATAAGGTATTTGAAAATAAACTTCCTCTAAAGGTTTATCAGGAGACATATTTTCTCAGATTTTACATGTAACAACATAGCCTCAAAAAATGATTTTCAAGAAAATAAACTATATCAGCATAAAAGGCTGCCACAATCCCATATTGTAAAACATTGAGGCTGTTTCTAATATTTCAGTGGATAAAGCTGTAGAAGCATTTTTAAATATATTATGCCCTTAAGTATAAATTCCTAGAAGTGGAATTTCTGAATTAAACAATATAATGTTTTTTAAGACTTTTGGTACCTATCTTCAATTTACATGCCAGAAAAAAATTGCACCTATCAGCAGTATATGACATTTATCTAAATAGTCAGCAATATTGTATTTTACAACTTTTTAATATTTGCCAATTGCAGAGTTGAAAGAAAGTATCTTGTTTTATTTGCATTTTTTGACCAGAGAGGATTAACTTTTTTAAACATATTTTTTGGCTGTTTTACTTTCTACAATGAATGGTTTTGTATATGTATTCTCTTGTAAGGGAAAAGAAATATCTTTCCATCTTATCTTAGGTTCGTGGCTGAGGCCTCTATAACAAAAGATAGATTAACACAAGAAAAACATACAAAATGTATTTAACATAAATTTTGTGTGACACAGGAGCCTTCATAAGGAAATGAAGGCACAAAGAAATGGATAAACCTGGGTATTTTTTATGCTAGCTTTGATAATGAGTGGACAGTTGTAGAGAAATATGATTGGCGGATAAAAAGGTATGACATATTAGTAATAAACTGGGAGAAAACTACAAAGACTTATTTGTTCAGATTCTTGGTGTCTTTGTATCTTGAGCTCATTTCCTCTAGGCACATATTGGGCAACTCTAGAATGAGGGTCTCATGACCTGTTTCAGGATAGAATCAGAAAATCCCTCCTAGGATTTGATGACCTGTGGAGATGGGAGAGGAGAGGTCAGAGAAAATTTCCTGCTTCTGCAGTTTTCTAAAATGCCATATTTTGGGGTAGCAGGTCCTATACCCTATAGCTCTATTTTTTCATATGTCTAAAGTTAATAAAACTGGCATTATCTAGCCTGTCGTGCAGTCTTCTTTGAACCTTGAAATCTTTTACCTCACCTAACACCTCTTAATATGATGTAGAATTGGTGTTCAATAGCATACTTCAGGAAACACTGAGTTATCAACCTAATTGAATACCTAAAGAATTCCTCAAACAACTAATCTTTTCTAAACCCAAATTAATGCCATTATTTTTTTAAAAAAAACTAAATATTTACTTAAACATGAATGTCTACTGGATTTCTTATTCAGTTCTAATTGATCTATTTCTGTTTCCTGTTCCACACATTTTTATTTAATGCAATTTTATGATACTTTCAAAACATAAGATAAACTGGCCCTTTCTGTTTGGAGGGTCTTTTTGCCACTTTTAAATAGTTTTCATGAACTTTGATTTTTTCAAGTTTCCAACTTGTTTTTGTTAAGCTTGGAAATTTATATTTTATACAAAATTCTCAAATGTAATTTGTCTAGTTTGCATAATTTTCAAAACTTTCCAAAACCTTCTAATTATATGTTCCTTCTAATCATAGTGTTTTAAAGTTATGTTTTACTTATTATTTGACTAGCAATGTAAATATATTGCTTTTTTCAAATAGTTTTACATATAATTTTTTAATTTTCAAAATTGTTTTCATTTTGACTTATGATTTCATTTTAAAAATTATTCCTTCTGTTTCTGTTCTTTTTCCAAATTCTTTGTGTAAATGCTTGAGTCCCTGAATTTGTTATTCTGTAAAGGTCTCTGTATGCTCTCCTGAGAACATTTGACCTCATGTCATTTTAAATTTATATTATATACATGTTTGAATGTATAGAAAAACATAGAGAATGGTATAATGGACTTGAGAATCCTTGACCCAGATTTAATCATGATCATGATTAGCATTTTACCCAGGACATAGTAAGTACTCAACAAATGTTAGCTCTTCATATTATTGAGATGTTGAGGGCAGCTTAGAATTAGTGTTACTTTTAAAAATACTAATAGATGAGGCAATTTTTGCCTCTTAAATGGATGATAGGTATTTTCTGAAACATTCATGAAGAGCACTATAGGTATTCCCTGTCTCTTTGTTATTCATTCTGGAATAATTACGTGTTAATTCTGGGGATGAGGTGCAGAGTAGGACAAAGAGGCTGAAATAGCATGAGAGGTAAAAAATATGGGGGAGGCTTTCTAGCAGAGTAAGGATTACAGTAATGAAATGGATTCAGCAGGCAGCATCTCAGCTCTGTTAGACCATCAGACATATGGCACCCACAGTGTGGCAGCTGCCAAACTATTGCCAGAATCATTTCAAGTAACAAGGTTATAAGGCATCTTGTATAATCTGAGTGTCCAAATATTTTCCTTTTTCTTATCATGTAAGTATAGAGAGTACCATTCTTAAGCCACAGCAATTACTTCCCATAGTATTTCATCAGTTTATTGTACCCTCCCCCAAAACTTTATTATCTCTACTGTAAACTTTGCTCAAAAACACAAGCATTATAGTGAATTGTCTGGAATGCTAAATAGAAGTCATCTATTACTTTCTTTTAAAAGTAATTTCTTTTAAAAGTAATGTTTTACTTTCTTTTAAAAGTAGTGTTTAGATTCGGATAGTATAGAGCCCAGTAAGCTGAGCCAGGGAATAATGAATTTGAACTTTGAGTTCTAACTTTGACAGGTTAGAACATTGAGTTCTAACTTTGACTGGACTTCAAGTTCTTTTGAAACTTAAGGATAAAATAATAAAATTAACTATATATGTAGTGGTTGTAAGGTATAGAGTTTAAAATTATAAATTAATTAAA
Source organism: Homo sapiens (assembly GCF_000001405.40). Taxonomy (NCBI): domain Eukaryota; kingdom Metazoa; phylum Chordata; class Mammalia; order Primates; family Hominidae; genus Homo; species Homo sapiens. The sequence continues at coordinate 165,804,280 of NC_000004.12, read as the reverse complement.
AAACAATTGAAATAAAACTGAAAATAAGTTTTATGACAATAAAGAACATGATCATGGAATTTAAAGACCAGAGCTTGTTAATTATCTCAGTGCCATTTTCATTCATTTCTGAGATATGAGATATTAAATATATGAAATAGTGAAATTAAAATAATATATAAAAAAAGAATGTTATAATGATTTAAAACTTTAGATTTTCAATAAATGTTACTAACACACTTATCAGTGAAGTATAAATATCCATAAAATTTAGAACAGGACTTTAGGGGTTATTTAAACGATGATCCGCAAAGTATATCTCCTAGCGTCATTGTCTCATGGTGTAAAAAAAATAATTTTCAGAAACATTGAGTTAAACAAAGTTACTAGGTTTCTTTACTGCTGTACTTCTCAAAGTCTTTCAAATGTAAATTTCTACATGAATTAATAAATGTGACATCAAGAGAATATAGCATTGATGTTTCCTGAACTTAGTTGATCAAGGAACTCTCTGCTGCAGATCTTGAAGAGCTAAGATATAAGTTTTCTTTCAGAAGTGCTAATACAAATTGAGCACTCTGTTAAGCAACAGAACTAGAGTCCAGAAAAATTAAGTGCCTGAAAAATGGCAGAGACAGAACTAGAAACAGTAAATCTTGACTTTGTCTAGTGATTTTTTAAAAACTTATTTTCTGACTGATATGTACATAATATGGTGGTGAACTAATTTTTTTAGGAGGCAGTTTTGCCACATTTTCTTATTTCACAAATTATTGTCATTGACATAGGTTGAAACTCACTAAAACTCTTGCTTTACTTAGGCAAAAATGTATCCTCCCACTCTCCACACACGAAATGCATAGTATTGTTAACTTGATTTCATTTACCTAACTTAGTTCTTAAATCAGGGAAAAATAAGAGGTGTGTCTGCCTAAAGCACAAACTTAGCTCACAGCCCTTCACATCACATTTTCTTTTAAAATATATTTGAAATTGCTTCTGAAAAGTTCAGAATGCCCAGTGACATGGAAATGCATTGCACACAGCAGTGCACATCACCATCTGCCTAGGCAAAGTTGTCCTTTTTGCTGAGTTGAGTGGAAAGGTTAGTTTCAGCTTAGCTCTGTGTGTGGTTGGGCAGTTCCCAGCTGCAAACCAAAACAGCACAGGGAAATGTTTATTAAAAAAAGAAAAACTGCACAATTAGTGTGTGTGGCCAGTGTGAGCTGGATTAATTTCCTGTGTGGGTGAGATTATTACATGGATAGGCTCAGGTGGCTGAGAGAAAGGTGTGGCTCCCTCTTAGGGCTATTGAGGAAACCTTAAATAAAACAAGGCATTGCTTATGTAATTGCAAAGGTTGACAGAGGAATTGTGAACAGTTTACAGTACAAAACCAAGACACATTTCACCTACTATGGAAGTTAATCTAAATTGGGATCCAATGGAAGAAACGGAGAATATTTGTCTTGAACATTTAGCCTGCAGTAAGTTAACAGGATCTCTGTCTTAAGGAGAGACGTCAATTGGAACAGCATTACTTATTCTCCTATGCATACAGAAAACCAATTTGGTTGCTGGCAGTATCAGAAACTGATCATGTTCCTGAATCATTTATTTTTGACAGCAGAGCCATCATGTTCCTGAATCATTTATTTTTGACAGCAGAGCCATAGGCCATGCTTCACATGTGTAGATAAAATTCAGATGGCATGTGCAAACCTGTCAGTAAAATATCATTTAAAATCAGAACTGATGTTCTAGCCATTCTCAAAAAGAGATGATTTCACAGTCTGGTGATAAATACAGAATTATGGCATCTGTTCACTTCACAGAGTTCACTATTCTCTAATTTAAGAAAAGGCATACAATGCACATGTCTCTGGGCACATTTTCAACAAAGAACAATGTGTTGTAATAAATTAAGAAAAGAGCTGAGCTTTTGATGAATTGTAGTGAAAACTTGATTAAGATAAACTGAGCTTTTCAATACACCCTTAAGTGCATAATTCACAAACTATAAAGGAAAAGGAGGAAAATTTTTCTGTGAATATCTAACCTCCATGTCTTACAACTTATAGAACAGATCAGACAGCACAAATTTCTGCTAACTGTGCACTCTTCTGGAAGTTCATCAACAACCATGATAGCAAGTCTTGAGTAAAAATATGTAAAGAATACCCAAAACTGCTTATTTCCTACTCGTTGACACAAACAAGCAAAATGAAATGCACCTGTTCTGAAAACTGTTTATGTACAACCTTACAATTTCTTTCCATCACATTATTAATTCCAAGTACAAAGAAATTGAAGGACAGAATAACCTGTTACAACAGTTATATAATTGTAACTTCTTGCGATTGAAGAAAGACTAAAGAGAGATGGAAGGAAGAATATCCAATAAAGCTGAGTTCTAGGGAAAATATTCTAGATGAGTGGTTTCTAGAATTTGGCCTGGCAAGATTTCTGGAGTCTCACATGAAGCCCCATTACCCTAACTCTTGTGTTGAGTAAATTCTGCTACTGTATAATTCTGTTGTAAAATCTAGATCAGGTCAAAAGAATGTATATTTTTGAATATAGTTAAAGAGAGTAACAAAAGGAGTACATTACAGTAATATCTCATCTTGAAACTACTTGAAAATAGATCAGATTTTGTTGATATATTTATTTACAAACTTCCTTCTGAATCTTTAAGATTAAATGAAATAGTGTAAGAATACATGTCCACATATAGTTATATAACATATCCTGCAATGTATATAATATATAAAATGCTAATGTGTATATATTGCATATAATATGCATATAACATATGCATATTATGTATAGTGTAGCATATATGTAATATACATATTACATATAATATATAATGAGTGTATAGATTATGCTTATATAAGTGCATATAGATGTATAATATTTCTATGAATGTAAAACATTAATTAGTATCTCATTCAAGTTAACTAAGCCTATATACATTTTTTTCATTTTATATAAATATATTTTGTGTTAGACATGCAATTTTAAATAAGAAATTATCAAGGGATTAGTATATTGTTTTGTTTACATAGTGTCCTATTAAATGAAATTTAAAATATAGTAGCGAAAATCTACGATATTTTCCAGTTGTTTAATATCTTCAGTCATTCATTCATCATTTGTTCATTAACCATTTTGAAAATTAATTGTTAAGCAGGTAAGCTATACTAGGCTTTGTGATTGCTGTTGCCTATCTTAGGTAAGTTAAAAGCAGTAGATAATGTAATCAGCAAATAGTTAATTGCTGTTTAATGTTGTCAATGAAAAGGAGTGTTACACAAAATCAGACGTTTTTATTACTAGGCTTCTTAAATTTTTAAAAATTAATAATGATAACAGCTCTCCAAATGATCTTACAATACTGAGGAATCTCTTCAAGTTAAATACAACATTGTAGATTTTGAGTATTATGTCAAATGACTTAAAATTATGTTTGCTTTGCAAAAATGACTTTCTATAGGAGAATGAAGGAAAAAGAAGTGGGTAAAGATCCCTTATTAATGGTGATTTAGCTTCTTTAATATCATACACTTCTCAGCAAAAACTTTGATCAGTTAATTGTAAATAAATCAGAAACGTATGAATTAAATTTCTTCTGAAATGTACTTGGGTCTAAAAATAAACGTGAAACATCCTTGTCAAAATGCATTTTAGATTTTATTTTACCCAAAATGCTTGAATAATAGTTCAAGATGTTCAATGAAACCAAAACACAGCTGGTTTCCTCCATCCTTAATGCTGTAATTATAGATTTACTGTGGATGAGATGAAGCCATAACTTTAGCAAGCATTCAGTAAGAATACAGATAGCCAGATAACTAGATTAAGCAGTTTTTAGTAAAACTTGCAACACTTTCATGCTTGAAGTACCATAATATAAACTTAATTTCAAAATATCAATGACAGAAAAAAACAGAAGCTTATTAGCTATTGCATATTTATGCAATAATATATTCAAAGAGACCCAATATTTATAAAATTGTATAGTAGCTAACACTGCCAAATTCTGCTAATTTCTACTAATTGAGAAAATTAACTCATTACAGTCTCTGGGAAATTCTGTTCATAGTTTCAAAACAAGCATTCCCAGTGTCTGAAAGGTAGCCCTTTTCATTTTTTATATTTCTGTGTCATTAGCTTTACTTCAAATATCCTCACTATTCTGAAGGTTTTCATTTATAAATTATGGGGTCCCAGAAAAGATTTTTAGATAGGATTGCTTAACTGTCATTAAATGTCTAAATTCTTAGCATGTATGAGTTTCTTACTTTGTCTCTCCCACCTCACACCCTTGGGCTTAGAGAGGTTGCTTAGATGATATTGAGAGGTGCCAGCATGCTGGCAGCCCTTGCTCGCTCTGGGAGCCTCCTAGGCCTCAGCGCGCACTCTGGCCATGCATGAGGAAGCCCTTCAGCACGCCGCTGCACTTTGGGAGCCCCTCTCTAGTCTGGCCGAGGTCGGAGCCAGCTCCCTCTGCTGTGAGGAGGTGTGGAGGGAGAGGCACAGGTGGGAACCGCGGCTGCGCACAGGGCTCACCGGACAGTGTGAGTTCCGGGTGGGCGTGGGCTCAGCAGGCCCGCACTCTGAGCCGCGCCAGCCCATGGCAGTGAGGGGCTTAGCACCCGGGCCAGCAGCTGCGGAGGGTGCGCCAGGTCCCCCAGCAGTGCCAGTCCGCCGGTTCTGCACTCAAATTCTCGCTCGGCCTCAGCTGCCTCCCCAGGCTGCAGGGCTCGGGACCTGCAGCCGGCCATGCCTGAGCCTCCCACCCCGGCGCCCTGGTCTCCTGCACCGCCCAAGATTCCTCGACGAGCCCCACACCCTGCTCCGTAGCTCCTGGTCCCATCCACCGCCCAAGGGCTAACAAGTGCGGGCCACAGGGCCAGACTGGTGGGCAGCTCTGCCTGCTGCCCTGGTGCAGGATCCACCAGGTGAAGTCAGCTGGGCTCCTGAGTCTAGTGGGGACTTACAGAACCTTTATGTCTAGCTAAAGGATTGTAGATACACCAATCAGCACTCTGTGTCTAGCTCAAGGTTTGTGAATGCACCAATCAGTGCTCTGTGTCTAGCTAATCCAGTGAGGACTTGGAGAACCTTTATGTCTAGCTAAGGGATTGTAAATACACCAATCAGCAGTCTGTGTCTAGCTCAAGGTTTGTAAATACACCAATCAGCACTCTGTGTCTAGCTCAAGGTTTGTAAACGCACCAATCAGTGCTCTGTATCTAGCTAATCTAGTGGGGACTTGGAGAACTTTTGTGTCTAGCTGGGGGATTGTAAACACACCAATCAGCACCCTGTCAAAATGGACCAATCAGCTCTCTGTAAAACAGACCAATCAGCTCTCTAAAATGGACCAATCAGCAGGATGTGGGTGGGGCCAGATAAGGGAATAAAAGCAGGCTGCTGAGCCAGCAATGGCAACCTGCTCAGGTCCGTTTCTGCATGGTGGAAGCTTTGTTATTTTGGTCTTGCAATAAATCTTGCTGCTGCTCACTGTTTGGATCTGCACTGCGTTTATGAGCTGTAACACTCCCTGCTAAGGTCTGCAGTTTCACTCCTGAGGCCGGAAACCATGAACGCACGAGAAGGAAGAAACTGCGAACACATCCGAACATTAGAAGGAACAAACTCTGGACATGCCACCTTTAAGAACTGTAACACTCACCGTGAGGGTTCGCAGCTTCATTCTTGAAGTCAGTGAGACCAAGAACTCACCAATTCCGGACACGATATGATTGTCCAAACAAGCACTGTTTGGTAGAAATATAAGGTGAGCCACATGTCATTTTAAACTTTCCGATACACACATTTAAAAAACACTTACAAGCAGGTGAAATTCATTTTAATAATATATTTTAATCTAATAGATCTGAAATATTGTCATATTAACATGCAATCAACATTTAAAAAGCACTGAGATAGTTTATGGTTTTTGGTAAAAATCTTTAAAGTCTGATGTATATTTTCTATTTACAGCACATCTTAGTTTCAACTATTCACGTTTCAAGTGCTCAATAATCACTTATGGCTAGTGATTACTGGTTAGCTCACAATAGAATTTAAGTCTCTACCCTCCTTATCTGCGAGGTGCTGATCCATTTTTCTCCACTTCAACAGGAAAATTTCATAAAAGAGTTATCTCCAATTTTGTCTCCAATTTAAATACAATTTCCTTGAAAGCTCTTGTTTCCAGTTACTCTTCACCACATAATTCCATCAGTCTCTCATTGCCATCTTTCAACCAAAGCTGCTTGGGTCAAGGTCGCCAATAGTTATCTTCATGTTGTTAAATCAGTGGTTACTTTTCTGTCCTCCACACGCATGATATACACAGATAATTAACTCTTTATCCTTTGAACCCCTGTTCACTTGAACTCAAGAATACCACACTGCTGTTTTCCCTCATACCTCACTGGATGCACCTTTTCTTTTTGCTTACTCCTCCATGTCTTAGCATTGGAGTCTTCCGAGGGTCAGCTCTTGACCCTTTCCCCTCTGTGTACTCACTCCACGTGGAGATCTCATACAGTTTCATAGCTTTACATATCCTCTATGTGTAAATGGCTGACAAATAGAGTTCTTTCCTGAACTCTGGACTCACACATTTAAAATGTCCACTTGATGTCTGATAAATATGACATGAGCATATCCCATACTAAAATCCTATTCGTTCCCAAATGTGCCTCACTTATGGTTCCTCATCTTAGTTAATAGCAGATCCATCTTTCCAGTTTCTCAAGCCCTGGACTCCTTCTCAAACTTGACTCCTCTTTCTCTCATTCTTGACATTCAATCAGGAAATATTGTTGGCTAAATCTTGAAAATACAACTAGTACTCCTCAACAGCTCCAGTTCTACCAATCTATGCAATCCACCATCTTCCTGTGCCTGGATTATTACATAAGCACCTTGACTATTCATTTGCTAACTACCATGTTTGTCCTTTTATAATCTTTTCTCAACAGAGCCCTCAGAGGCAAAATAAAGACAACTACAGTTAAATAAAAACTGGGAGAAAATTCCCAAAAGAGCTGCTGTAAAGAAACTTGTAAATAAGCCATTTAAAGTAGCAAAATATAAATAACATTTTCTGTATCAAAAAATAGTGTTTAATTTGTGAGGCTAAATAATTAAGCACTTAATATTGAAGCTAAAATTTTCTAAAATCTTATTGTTTATGTAGGGAAGTCTATTTTTAAAAATTTTACTTTGAACTTTGTCAAGTTAAAGATTCTTTATAAAATAAGATTAACCACAAAAAAGGAATAAAAATAAAGTTATAAATTTTTAGCTAGTGCAACTAAAAAATGGGAGAAAAGGGAACCAAAAAAGTCAGTCATTCCTTACAATAGAAGAATAGGTGGGAAGAAAACTGTAATAATCTGAATAAAAATAAATCTGAAAAAAGAAGGTAGAAACAAGTACATATATATCAATAATTAGCATACATGTAAGCTCACCAGATAAAATACAGTATTTTTCAGATTTCATTTTTAGAAACCTAACTATATGTTGTTTATAAGAAATAGACATAAGTATAAAAATGGTTTAATGAAAAAACTGAAAAGATATATATTAGACAAATATTAAGAAAAAAAATCTGGGCATATCCATTTTAGTTCTGAGCACAATAGATCTTAGGGCAAAAAAACTTTGGGTATGTTTACTAATTATACCAGAAATGCCATTCACCAGAAAAATACAGTTCTAAACACTTTTGCACTTAATACAAGAGACTTAAGATATGTGAAAGAAAAGCTGGTAAGACTACTGGGAAAAATCAATAGAACTACCAGCATATTGAGAAAATCAATACAACTCTCAATTATTGATGAGTTAAGCATACAAGCAAATCAACAAAGATAGGGAAAATTTAAGAAGTAACACAAATAAAATAACTTATCTAATAGGTATATTTAAAATTCTGCATACATTTAAGTAAAAATACATATTCTTTTTAAGCACTCATGGAAATTGACTGAAATTGACCAAGTAGGTGAACACAAGTATAGTCTCAATAAATATCAGAAAAATAGATTTCAAAACATTCCATACTCTGACCACAAAGCAATTGTGTTAGGAAGTCATAAAAAAGATAAAAACTTTAAATTCCTCAATGTTTGAAAATTAGAAAGCACATTTCTAAATAACCCATGTGTTACAGAAAATGTCATAATGAATGTTTACACATGCTTATAACTGAATGAATAAGAAAAGATTATATATAAAAACGAGAGATGTAATGCAAATTGAGATACAAAGGAAAATTATAGTCTTAAGTGCTGGTGGTAATTAAAAAAAAGAAAGACTAATAGTAATCTGTCCAGTTCAAGAAGGGGAGAAAAATAATAAATATGAAGGAATTTGATAAAAGGAAAAGTATATAATCAGAAATGAATGAAATAGACAACAATAATACATTAGAAAAGACTGACAAAAAGCATGTATATTTAAAAAAAAAATCTGTATCAGACCAGTCAAGAAAGATAGAGAAAGCATAAATTAATAATAGCATGATTAAAAAAGGAACATGCTGATATAAGAGAATAAAAAGACAATATTATAATCACCAATTCTGGGCAAATATACTTGAAAGTTTACATGAAGTGGTTAAATTAATAGAAAAATATAACATCAAAAACGAACCCAAGAATACATAGAAAACCTAAATAATGCTATAATTATTAATGCATTTGAGGCAGTAATTAAAATCTTCCCATAAAGAAAACGCCAAGATAAGACCATTTTGTAAAATCATTTTACTAACTTTTCAAAAAACATGTTATTCCAATCTTCTATAAGCTTTTCTAGAGAACAAACCAGGACTATTTCTCAATTATTCTATGAGTTGAGAACTGAAAAGGAAATTTGCAAGCCCATTTTACTTATACGAATTGGTTAAAAAGAAAATAAAACGCCTAACAAAATAATAGCAATCTGAAATCAGCAGTATGTGTGTGGGGAGAGATGGAGAGTCAGGGGAAGAAGGTTAATAAACCAGGACTAACTTAGTTTATCCCCAGAATGCAAGGGTAGTTTAATTTTAGAAAATCAGTAAATGTTCTTCACCAGATTAACAGATTAAATAATAAAAGAATTTTTTATTAAATGAATGCAAATAATTTAACACCCACATATATATACATATATATTTAAATAAATAAAAATAGAAGGGTAATTCTTTGACCTCATGAGGAATATATAGGACTATCACATGTGGTTTTGCTGATTGTGCACTAAAATTCTCTATGCATACTGCTCTCTGGAATCATGCTTTTGGGGGAAAAAAAACAACTATCACAATGGGCATGTTTTTAGGGGAAATGTTAGAATACAAGTAGGCCAGTTATCATCACTTCTAATACATATTTTGTTATAAAGCCTATTTAGCAAAAGAAAATATAAATAAATTTAAATATAAATGTAATTTCTTGCAGATAATATACTATTTAAACAGAAAATTCAGAAACTTCAGAAATCCTTATACATAATAATATATGTCAGCAAGATTTCTGGAAATAAAATCAACATATAAAGGTCAAGTATATTTTTATACAACAAGAAAAACACACATAATACAATTTAAAATAATGCCACATACATTGTTAACAAAAATAACAAAGTATCAAAGAATATATCTGAAAAAAAGATATTTCTTCACAATCTTGAAGAAAATGATAAATTTTACTAAGAGAAGTTACCTAAGACCTATATAAGTGCAGAGATAATGCATATTCATGCACAGGAAAGTGATATGTAACAGATGTCAATTCTCCCTAGTTGACTCATAAATTTGCTGTAACTGCAATTAAAATTGCAGTAGTAATTTTCATAAAATTTGCTATGTTTCTAAAATTATATGGAAAAGCAAATAGCTAAATATTGCCAATCTATGTTTATTTAAATAAATGAAATAGGGACTTCCTACAATACAGTAAGCCTTATAGTAAAATGATAGTAATTAAGTTATTGTACAATAGATGTAGAGACAGATAAACTTATCAGTGCAAGAGACTAGAGACCCCCAAACAGACCCACATACAAAAGGAATATTAATATTGTCAGAGGTATCATGGTAAATCAATATAGTAAATACAAGCTAGGAAAAGTAGTTAGTGGTAAGGGGGAGCAAATGAGATTATATCCTTACCACACAGCTTACATAAAATTAACTCCAGATGGATAAAAGAGTTAAATACATATCAAAATCAAAACCTTAAAAATTTTTTAAAGAATACACATCAGGTCTTAAATCCAACCTTAAATAAGCTATAAAAATTCATGTAAAATTTCTGAATAAAAATAAAGGCATACCCCGTTTTATTGAATTTCACTTTATTGTGTTTCGCAGATATTATGGCTTTTACAAATTGAAGGTTTATGGCAACCCTGAGTCAAACAAGTCTAACTGCACCATTTTTCTAACAGCATGTGCTCACTCCATGTCTCTGTGTCACATTTTGGTAATTCTCACAATATTTGAATCTTTTTCATTATTATTATATCTGCTATGATGATCTGTGATCAGTAATCTTTGATGTTAACTGTTGTAATGGCTTTGGGACATCATGAACCACGCCCATATAGACAGTGAACTTAACCAATAAATGTTGTTTGTGTCCTAACTGCTCCATCGACTGGCCATTCCTCCATCTCTCTCCCTCTCCTCAGGCCTCCCTATTCCTTGAGACACAACAATATTAAAATTAGGCCAACTAAGAATCCTACAATGGTTTCTAAATGTTCAAATGAAAAGAAGAGTTGCACATCTCTTATTTGAAATCAAAAGCTAGAAATGATAAAACTTAGTAAGGAAGGCATGCCAAAACTGAAACAGGCCAAAAGCTAACTCTTGTGCCAAATAGTTAGCTTGTGAATGCAAAGGAAAAATTCCTGAAGGAAATTAAAAGTGCAACTCCAGTGAACATATAAATGATAAGAAAGCAAAGTAGCCCTATTGCTGAGTTGGAGAAAGTTTTAGTGGCCTGGATAGAAGATCAAACCGGCCACAACATTTCCTTAAGTCAAAACCCAATACAATAAAAATAAAAAAAAATTTAATTCCAAATACAGAGCAAAGCCCCAATTTTGTTCAAGTCTATGAAAGCTGAGATAGGTGACGAAGCTGTGGGAGAATAATCTGAAGCTAGCCGAGGTAGTTGGTTCATGAGGATTAAGGGAAAAAAGCATCTCTATAACATAAAAGTACAAAGTGAAAACAGTAAGTGCTGATGTAGAAGCTGCAGTAAGTTATCCAAAAAAGCTAGCTAAGACAATTGACAGTGGTGGCTACATTAAACAACAGATTTTCAGCGTCAATGAAGCAGCCTTCTATTGGAAGAAGACGCCGTCCAGGACTTTCATAGCTATAGGAGAGAAGACAATACCTGACTTCAAAGCTTCAAAAGACAGACTGACTCTCTTGTTAGGAACTAATGTAGCTGATGATTTTAAGTTGAAGCCCATGTTCATTTACCATTCTAAAAATTCTAAGACCCTTAGGAATTATGCTAAATCTACTCTGCCTGTGTTCTATAAATGGAACAAACAAATCTCAATAACAGCGTATCTGTTTACACCATGGTTTATGAGCTATTTTAAGCCCACTGTTGGCATCTACTGCTAAGAAAAACATATTTTTTCTCAAAATATTACTGCTCATTGACAATGTATCTGGGCACTCGAGAACTCTGAAAGAAATATACAAGGTGATTTATTTTGTTTCCATGCTTGCTAACACAATATTTATTCTGCAGCCCGTGGATCAAGGAATCATTTCAACTTTCAAGTCTTATTAGTTAAGAAATACATTTTGTGTGGCTATGACTGCCATAGATAGTGATTCTTCTGATGCATTTGGACCTGAGCAAAGTACATCGTAAACCTTTTGAAAAGAATTTACCATTCCAGATGCCACTAAGAACATTGTGACTCATGGGAGCAGATCAAAATATCAGCATTAACAGGAGTTTGAAAGACGTTGATTCCAACTCAAATGGATTACTTTGAGGGGTTCAAGATTTTTCATGGAGGAAGTAACTGCAGATATGGTAGAAATAGCAAGAGAACTAGAATTAAAGATCATAATTAAAGACATGCTGCAAGTGTGAAGTGAAATTGAAGACTGAAGATGTGACTGAATTGCTGCAATCTCATGATAAAACTTAAGTGGACGAGGAGTTGCTTCCTATAAATGAGCAAAGAAAGTGATCTCTTGAAATGAAATCTGCTCCTGGTGAAGATGCTGTGAACACTGTTGAAATGACACCTCAAGATTTTTACCTACACTTAATTGATAAGGCAGCCACAGGGCTTGAAAGAATTGACTCCAATTTTGAAAGAAGATCTGCTGTGAGTAAAATGTTTTTAAACATCATCACATGCTACAGAGAAATTTTTCATGAAAGGAAGAGTCACTTGATGCAGCAAACTTCACTGTTGTCTTAATTTAAGCAACTGCCACAGTCACCCCAACCTTCAGCAACCACCACCCTTATCAGTCAACAGCTATCAACATCAAGACAAGACACTCCATTAGCAAAAAGATTATGACTCTCCGAAATCTCAGATGATCATTAGCATGTTTTAGCAATAAAATATTTGGTAATTAACAAAAGCACATTTTTTTAGACATAATGCTATCCACACTTAATAGACTACAAAATAGTGTAAACATAATGTTTAAATGTACTAGGAAATGAAAACATTTATGTAACTCACTTTATTGTGACATTTGCTTTATTGTGGTGGTGTGAAATTGAACCTGCAATATACTTCAAGTACGTCTTTAATGATGGACAAATTAAACTACATGAAAACTAAGAATATCTGTTCAACAAAGGAAATGTTCAAAAAGGCAATAAAACAATAGCTATAATAATTTTGCGATACAAATAACCATCAAAGGATAACTGCTATAGACTATATACTGAATTCCTACAAATGAATAAGAAAAAAGGCAAAAAGAAAAAAAAAGTAGAAGAATGGGAAAGATCGGAATATTTATTCTAAAAGTAAATGCATAGAACCAATATTAGAAATTAAAGAAATTTAAATTTAAGCTTAATGATCTACCATTTAATTGTTAGTATTAATTATATATTATTAGTGTGAGTATAAATTGGTACAACCACTTTGAAAACACGTGTGGCATTATCCTGTAAATTTTAATATTTGCATATTCTCAACCTAGCAGTGCCTGTCCTACTAGGTTTATACCTAGGGAGACATATGTGCACCAGAAGACTGCAAGGATATTTATATCACCATATTAGTAAAACATTAAAACCTGGAAATAACCCAGATATCCATCATTAGAGCGGATAAATAAATTTTAGTATGTTTAGAATTAAATTTTTTCAGAAGTAAAAATGAATGAACTACAGCTATATCCATACATCCATTACTGTAAGATTACACACAATATATTATTTAAACCTCAAAAAGATGTAAGATTTAAGATATTTTATCATATATATGATAAAAACACTTTCTAAAAACAAAATAAATAACATTCGAGGTAGCGATTATTACTCTCGGAGGGGCCCGGTGGCTCAGGCCTGTAATCCCACACTTTGGGAGGCCAAGGCAGGAGGATTGCTTGAGCCCAGGATTTCAAGACCAGCCTGGGCAACACAGTGAGACCTCATCTCTACAAAAACATGTAAAAATTAGCTGAGCCCATGTAGTTATAAATTAGTGGTAACATCCTAGTTCTTAAATTGACTGATAGGCCCCCATATAGTCATTATAGAATCTTAAACTTGTTAAGTAAAAGATGGATTCCTACATGGACCAATGATTATAATGTACTGTAAACTGAGGATTTGCCTAAATTTTATAAAGTTATAAAAGAAGTAGTTTGTTTAGTTAAAAGTGTTCTCATAATTTTGAAATAAACATATGAAAGACTTCTTTCCCTATTATGAGAGATGCCAAAACATAAAAGATATTCATCGCTGTTACTTAGAACATGACCTTTGATGCCACTAAATTCTGTAGGGAGGAGGCAAGGGGTGGAGAAACAGTTAAAAGCTTGGGCTCAGAAATTGGGCTTTCCGCATTTCAATTTCTGATGTCTGTCTCTACATGCTGTATGACTTTGGACACGTTATTCAGTTCTCTGTGAAATAAGAATGACAGTGATCATGGGGTTGTGTTAGGGCTTAAAATGTGTAAAGTGCACCAAAAAATGTTAATCACCAATATTAGTAGTGAAAGTGACTTGGAAGGGCCTAGCTGCCTGGCCAACAGCTGAATGCTGTCACCTCCTCCTTGCCACTCTTGGACTGGGCAGTCAGGACCCCCCATCCTGCTTTCCTGGTATCCAAATTGAGCATGTTAGGGAGTGTCCTGACGTCATTTTGGGGGTTCCTAGATGAGGATGGTGTCTGAGGCCTCTGATCTAAGACTTCTGGTTATTAAGGGGGACAAAATGGCCTCCCCTTACAAGGTAATCTCTTCTCCAAAACTGAAGTCTCTTCATCTGTGGAAGGTAGCTTGGACTACCACTCTTCTCTTTTCAATCGTTAGTGTCAAAACACAAAAGGCTAAGCATCAACAAATACCCACAAATTATCATAGCACTTTATCAATGTAGGAATAAAAATAACCTGTTTGGGGCAAGAGGTACCAGGATGCAATGGCAACACATGACAACTAGGTCATGCCTCAGTCAATCTGAGACTTGACTTGTTGGGGTTCCTAGATGAGGGTTGTGTCTGACAAGTCAAGTCTTGACTCTTCTGAGACTCAGTGCCTTTTGCTGCAAGAAATTCTCCAAGAAGTCAGAATTGTTTTTCCAAGGTCCTTCTGAGCTCCAGAATTTTGAGTCTTTACAAGCAGTAGAAAGTCTTCCCCAGTGGGTATATTTTCACCACAGACATAATCAATTAGCCTTGCGCATTTGCCATTGTCCTCACCGAAGGCTCTGGAAGAGTAATAGCTGGTGACAGGAGAGAGGGAGTTGAGTGGGTTTCACAGCTAGCCAACTGGAGAATATCTTCATTGCACCAGACTATAGCTGGGTTACCCAACAAGATTAGCTGTCCAAGTGTCCAGATTAAATTATTTATTTTTCCATTAGTTATCTGAATACAACTTAAGTTTCTGTGGGTGAATAAAATCACATGACATTAGTGAAGATATGACATTTTAAAAGAAGCTTAGGTACTTCCTTAATAAGCACCCTAAAAATAAACAGAAGAACAGAATGAAGGAAGTCACCCTAATACATTTATAAATGTGTGGTATTTCTCATAGTGAGAATGAAGAGTAAATTCTGTATCAACTTTGCACACAGCCAAATGTGCTATGAAATATTACTGATGTACTTGACAAATTCCCAAGTATAGCATCAGCCTTGCTAAAATACTTGCTGGCACGACATTGCACTTCCAAATTTAGCATTATGGCTGACAGCATTTTTCTTGGTCTCTCAAAAATGACCAGCCAAAATTGTACTGCATACATTTTGAAAGGATCTGATACTTAATTCTCTCTTTTTAGAAACTAAATTGCCTGAGTGTGAAACAGGTAAACCTTCAGATACAACTGTTAACCTTTTCAGGTTTAGGAGAGGAAAAATATGGCTATGGGAGTATTATCAAGTAAGGTATTAAAATAATCATGCCACTTGGAGGGATTAAGCTGAGATGAAGTTTAACTTCAGAAAAATCAAATATGGATATCAAGACTGTAACAGCAAATGAGAAATTAAAATATTTTCTTGAATTTTATGTAATAACAGCTACCATCCTTTTATCTAATAAAAGGTTTTACAATCTCTCCTGTTCTTAAGTGTTTTATGAAGAGGAAGGATGACTGGAGATAAGTACTTGAACAGCATAAAATAAAAGCTACTTTCAAGGATAAAATCATTAGGAGGCAACTGAAATTATAATAAAAGCACTTGTTAATATTCACTGTGATAGAAATTAAATTGATATTGCTTAATGTGATAGCAACCCAGACTTTAAAGTAAATCTTAAAATGCAAATAAATAAATAAACAAGCACATGAAAGATGAGTTAGGGGAATCCATTGACATTTGAATGTCAACCTCTTGGTTCTTCCAGTTGAATCCAAACTTTGTTTTGGCTCTACGTTTCCATTTCATTATCTACACTGTCATGCTCATCTTTAAAAATAGTAACATACTGCTGTGCCAAGAAGCAAGGGCCGTGCCAAACCTAGAAAAATCTATAAAATCAGGTTTAGGAAAGAACTGAATTGCTTATAAATGTCAAAAGCTCTGTAAGGAGTAGTAATTTAAAAAATAATCACAACAAAATCTTCTACTGCTTTGCTCATAAGGCCCAAAATACACTGAAGACAGTGTGGCCAAGAAATGAAAGGTTTATATCTGAAAACAAAACTTCCATCTTCACTCTTATTTATAAGCAAATGCTGCTCTGTGGTTTGAGGTAGTATTTTTGACCTAAGAATGATACTCGTGCCCCTGGTGTATAACCAAGATGATATAAGGTATCATAATCAAAGACCCATCAAAATCACTTGCTCTGTGGTAACCACTGACTGGTACTTTTTTCTCAAGAAGACACCTGGGACTATGTGGGAAACGTGCCCTTTGCCTGTCTCTGTGCCTGAGGCAAGTTACTAAGCTCTTTGAGAGCTTTGGTTATCACCAGAGAGAAAAACATTGACATTGAATTATAACCCCAGTGCAGACCAGGAAAATTTCTACTTGAAAGTAAGAAGCATACAAAACACTTAATGTACCATAGAAGTCTGACAGATGTCCACTTGCTAATGAAGTTAGTTCAATTTTGATATTTACATTGGCATAATAGAAATGATAATTCATAATATTAATTTCCATTTACTGAGTGTATAATGTATGTCAGGCACTGAACACTTAATATAAAGTACTTTATTTCAATCCTTAACTAACCCATAAAGAAGATCTGGGGTTCAAAATGGTTAAGCTGCTTGCCCAAGTCCTTATAGCTAATGAGTGGCAGAACTGGGATTTCAGACTAATTTATTTGGCTCTAAAAAAATTCTGTAAAGTGTCTCCTGTTTTATTTGCCTATGGCATAAAATGAGATGTTTTCTGCTAAGTTTCAATTGGCTTATTTTATTAATTCAGTTAATCTACACAATATTAGCTAGTATTAGTAATTTAATTGGACAATATGAGTGCTCTGTGCATATGACTGATTAATAATTACTAATCAATATTTATCATTTGCTTTGGGTTGAATTCTGTCCCCCCAAAACCCATGTTTTGAAGCTCTAACCTTCAATGAAACTATTTGGAAATAGGGCCTTTTAAAACTTTCATTCTGTTTTTGAGATGGGGTCTTGCTTATTGCCCAGGCCAGTCTCAAATTCCTAGGCTTAAGCAATTTTTCTGCCTCAGTCTCTGGGATTATAGGTGTGCACCACCACAGCCAGGTTAGAGATAAGACCTTTAAAGAGATCATTAAGAGTAAATTAAGTCATAAGAATGGGACTCCGACCAATAGGATCGATGTCCTTCTAAGAAAAAGAAGAGACACCAGATATCTCTCTTTCAGAGACCACAGAGACAAGAAGGCAGCCATCTGCAAGTCAAGAAGAGAGAGCTTACAAGAACCCCGTTGTACTGACACCTTCATCCTGGACTTTTAGCTTCCTAAACTTTGAGAAAGTAAATTTCTGTCATTAAAGCCACCCATTTTGGGTGGCTTTTATTTTGTTATGGCAACCCCAGCTGATTACTACATCCCATCAAGCTAATGGGGACTTGATGACTTCTGAGGACAATGATGTTACATATGCAAAACCAGGAAAAGAAAGCATTGTGTTCATAGGGCAGAGCTTAGAGCCCTCTCAGATGACCTACATCTACCATGCAAATCCCTGATACATGACTGGAAAAGGCTAGTTTCTCTTTGGGATCAATTCAGACCTATTTCTTTCTGGCTTATTTCTCATTTGCTTTGCCTGAGGCTGTCAATAAGATATTTGTGATAAGAAAATATTTCTGGTAGACTCGTTCTTAGAATGGGGAACTGAGTCATAGAAAAACCAGCTGCTGAAAGACTCTGGCCAACAGTATATGCTCATGTTTTGTGCTTCTAGCTGTATGTTGCCTTCCATCTTCAACTCTAGCTCTTTACTTCATTGAGGGCTTGAAAAACTAGGATCCTACGGCAGCAGGTGGGCCGAGAGGAATGCACTATGGGTGAATGTCACTGGCCAGAGCTGTCTTAGCAGGACTCGGAGGACTCAGGCACAGGATTAACTTGGCTTCTTCGAGTAACTGTTTTCACCAGTGGAGTTTTTATGAGAGTCTGAGTATGTTTCGCTGGGACTGTAGTTGTACTTGTTTCTCTATTTGTACCCTACAGTAATGCGAAGGTTCTTAAAAAGAGATGAAGCTGGGTGATTTGCATTTTGAAATATCAGGAGGTTTTTGTTACCTTCTGCACTTCTAAAACATTTGGGATCTCTAAAGTGACCACGTTATTGTTTCCGATGCATCACAAAGTGTGAGAGAAACATTTCTCTTTCCCCATCTTCCATTTCTGGACATCCATCCCTTCAACATCTCTACTTTCTGAAACATTTTTTTCCCTCTCTCTGCCAACTGTAGAAGTCAAGGATAGTACAAAAACATTCAGATTGGGAAGCAGCCAGTGGATTCTGCTGCTAGGGATGTTCTGCCACTTGGGCTGTTTATGGAGTATCACTGTGCCCAGGAGCTGTCACCCCCTTCAGAGGGTGGGGAGAATATTTTGTTATTGTTCACCCGCATGATTCTAATTGCACAAACATAGGGTTCCAAGGTCGGGGACCTTTTTTTCCCTCTGTTCTAATAGCAACAATAAAAAAGAATTTGTATGTTAGCATCCTGATTCTTTGTAGGGGAAAAAAATTGTGCTCTGTTTTGTCACTGATGTTTATCTTTAAAATTAATTTTGTATGCTATGGACCACACCTAATAACTGCTACAGGGCTAATTCAATTTATAGAAATCTTATAGAAATCTTAGATAGATCGATGAATTTACATAAATTCTTCCTCAAAAATCCCATGCTTTACAAAACAGTGTACACAACAATCTTTCTAAAAAGAAATTGGTTTTTAGAATCACATCATGTAAATCCAGGTATAGCATGCCCCTTTGACTCATTTATTAATGCATGTTAATAGAAGATATTCAATAAATATTTGTTGATTACAAGGATAATTTTGAATGAATCCTGTGGCAAAGAAATCCCAGTGAAGTGTGGATATTTCCCAAGACACTACCCATCTGGCTTCAGTTTGAAATAAGCAGTGGTTAGCTTTATTGAAGGGACTAGACAGAGGTCACTAGAGGAGTCAGCCAGAATTTGGAAGTGGAATACTGCTGGCTCCCAGCCCTGTTTCTAGTAACTACTCCACCCTACTGTTCCCAAGAGAACAAATGTGCATTTGATAGCTGAGCAGGTGGCATGGACCACACTAATAAACAGCTCCTTTCCTGTAAGGGAGCACTGGACTAGGTTTATGGATTCATGAACTTTCCTGTGGGGAAGCCATTATGTCTAGTTAAAATTGTAACTGAAAACATCCGTCTCTATCAACTTCTCAGTAATTCTAATCTCGTTTAGTCCAAAGCCCCTCAACACTGCTCCCCTCATTGATTCAGTTGAGGGTATGTACAACCTGCTCCCAGGCTCAAAGACAGCATGAGAGACAACTGGAAATTATTCAGTTCATCTGTTTGTCATGAGGAGTGGCTGTGGATTTAGTCCACCTGCAAATTAATGCTGGGAAAAGGAAGCCACTTGGGGTTCAACAGGTCTCTTTCCCTGTTTTTTTTTTTTTTTTTTTTTTTTTTTTTTTTTTTTTTTTAATGTGTGTACTTCCTCTGCTTCTCTCACGAACTCCATAGCTTAGGAATTCCAAGCCATTAAATGAAATTAAGACACAGGCTTATTATTTATTTAGAGCCAAAAGGTTACAATCAACTCCCCTCCAACAATCAACCAATATCCTTTTGTTTACTGGAAATATAACAGGAAAACACTACCTTATATCTAAATGACTTGGGTGGGGAGGGTGGCATTTTCATAAACGCTTGTTGAATTTTCCTAATTAATCAGAAGCCTTTGGCACAAATCGTCAAACTGTTGAGGCTTGAGACCCAGGGCTGGCAGAAAACTTGTCAGCAGAAACTGTCTTTTGTGCAATCTATGTGCTACCTGGCACAAAAAGTACTTAGTAAATCTTGATTATGATTACATTACAATGGTTAATTAGCAGAGCTTTTCTTTGTCCTTACAAACTTCTTTAGACTCTTTGTCATTAATGAATTGAGGAATGAGAGTTTCCCTGGGTTTGTAGGCAAAGGAAAAAAAAAAAGTGAGAGAGTGAGTTTTTGTTATTTTCCAAAGGATATCCCTTGTGCTGACAGTATTCCATGGCGTGAGCCCCACAGTCCCAAAGCCAACCACTCAAGCTGGCCAAAGAAAACGCTGACCCTACTGGACTTGAGTAGGTCAAGGAGTTTTATGGTGAATGGAGAGTGACTGTAAAGTTAATCTCTTATTTATGTTACACCGTGATAATCCTGCCTAAGAGTAACAACAGCCACAAAAGTCAGGAAGTTAAAAAGAATTAACAGCACAAAAAGAGTCTTAGACCATCTTTTTGTTTTGACAGTTATTGGTGTAAACTTGACGGGAGGTTCAGTTGTTAAAAAAGCATTTTTAAAGTCTAGTTAAATGCTTATATCTTATAATAGCATATATTCTATTTAAAACAATATCAAATACTCTGAACTATAAAACTGTAAAAAGAAAAATAAATTTGTATATGCAAAATTTTTAAAATTAAAGATAAAATGGGCACCTTATTTGGAAAGCATTCAGAGTATCTCAGAAATGATTTAAGACTTTTTTTTTTCCAAGACTGGAGTTGAATTAAAGAAAGTGGGCAAGGAGTAATTTTTTAAAATGGGTTTCCAGTTTACAGTTATTTTATAGACATTTTCAGCAAGGACATAGTAAAAGGAAACATTTAAGCATATTATGAAGTACTGAGGTTAGATGAAAAATAATTTCCTGAAGGGATTTAGTCATTGGAATAAGTCACCAAAAGTAAGCTCTGAAATCTTTTTCTCTAGAGGTCGTTAAAAGCATGATACATTTCATCTCTCAAGGACAGAGTTGTATGTGAAGATGGATAATCACACTAAATAATTTCAATGAGAATATGAATTTTTCTGACTATAAGTAAAGATGTTATTTCTTCAAAAATGCTTAAAATGGAAAAAATTATTAATTAGTTTCCAATAGAGTGACTGGGAAAAGGCAGTTTTATAGGAGCTTCCATTGCTTCACTCAAAAGAAATATCTCTCAGCATATGTGTTGTTGTTGTGGCCCCTATAAAATCATTAACTTCAATTTTGGCTCTCTTTCTATGTGGATATAACAGTCCATGAATTCCTATTTGGAATCCCAAGCAGTTACATAACTTATTATATCTTGCCAAGATCAGTAATGTTTCTTATTGAGTAGTTTGTTTATAAGAAATAGCAATTGTATATCATAGGTGAAAAGAACCCAGAAAATAAGATTAGATATTAAAACTCTCATGGGATCATTTTTAGAGTAATTTCACCCATGAGAACATTGTTCACTAGTGAATGAAGACTGATTTAATTCCAGTGGTGTAATGTTATACTAATCTTAGAGATGCAATACAGCCTTCTGAGGGATTTATGTACCAAGAGCTATGCCACTGTTTCCCAGTAAAATAGATGAAAGCAACTCACAAATACATGGCTCATTCCTCTATACATCTCTGAAATGAATGGATAAGTGTGGCAAAGAAGCTATTGTCAGAAAAATAAAAGGAGAAAGAAAAAAGCTAAAAGCACACATGAGTGTAAGGGAAGCGAAAATAAGGAAATGCCAGGTGAACAGACAAAGAGGAGTGGTCCCAGCAACATAGGAAGAGACAAAATATCATGGTGCCACATGGACCCAGCGAGGAGAAGTTTCAATAAAAACAGGGGTGCACACCTGACTCAAGGGCTAAAAGAAGCCAAAGAGATGAGGACTAAGTATGACCATTTGACCTGACAGGACATTATCAAAAACGTTTGATGGTTAGACACTAAAGTGGGTAGAAGAGGAGAAGGAGGGATGCCAAGTGAGGAAGTAAATATAGAAGTTATCTAAGTATTTTGCTGGATTATCTATAATTGATTATGGACAGTGGAAGCATTCACAAGGAAGAGCGAAACCAGATGAATCAAGGACGTTAATCCCAAAAAGAAAACTCCAGCACTGCACAGTAAAAGTGTGCAAACGGGCTTAGAACAAGTCCTCTTCCTTTTACTCTACCTGAGCTCCAGAGGGCACCGCATATTCATGTTCCTCCTCCTGAAAGTGTTTATGATGTGATTTTTAAATAAAATTGATTTGCATGGTATGATATTTATATTATTTATTATTTTTCTGAATTGAACACAAAAGTTTATAAATTTCCTTATTATGCAACTTTTGCTAGGTTATGCTGAGGTAAGAAATAGCCAATGGCTTCTAACAACAATAAAAGCCAATGGCTTCTAACAACCATGGTTTATTTCTTGTCTACATTGCATGTGATCTCCATGTGTGTTGTTAATTCAGGGGTCCACAGTCATGAATGACCCGTTTCTGGACACACTGAGCTCATAGCAGTTAGAAGAGAAGCAAGAACAGAGCCTCAGGGTGGTTCTTGAGCTTTTACTCAGACATGGCAGAAATCACTTCACTCACAATTGAGCAAAACAAGTCACCTACCTGAGAGATAGAGTGCAAAAGTACAATTATGTGACATGGAGGGCAGAGAACACATGGTAACAATACAATCTATCACAGCTGTTAAAATTTTAGAAGCCATAGCATGCATAGAGAAAAAAATTAAAATTTTTTGCATCTTTCTAATTAGTTTACTGACGAGATCATAATATGAGTTTTCTTTTGATCCTGCTTTTTAATTAATACTACATTGTACATTTTCCTCTATGTCATTTGGTATTCTTTAAAATGTGATTTTAAAGGCTGTACTTTATTCCATTGTCTGGAGGTATATAGGTAATGTGTTTGTATATATACACATACATTATTACATTATCTGGATATATATATTTACTTTCCCTTGACTTTTCTGCTTTGCTGTTGTTGTTGTTGTTGTTAATATATTGTCATCCAGAAGATTAGGACACATTTTCTAAACTATTTTCTAATGCAAGCTTTGAGGAATGTTAATAACCTGAAACAACTGTGACCACACCTTTAATAATGGCTGCCTTATCTCTCCTCCTGAAGCATTAATACTCTATTTACAAAATAAGGTTTTTAGTTTCGGTTGAACACTTGCCTGGAAAGTGAAAGCAATGCTCAGAAGTGCTAATATATTTTTGGTGTTTCACTCCCATGATTTGATTTATTGCAAAATTCTTTGAGTGACCAATGATGCCTTCTTTAAGTCCTAAAACTCCTTTCCAATCATATAGCAAGAAAGTTAGCAGTTCAGGTACTGTCCATCTCAAAATATGTATTAAGAATATACATGAGAAGTTTTAATTTTGAGATTATATGTGTTCCCTATAACAATCTGCTGTCTAAAGAAATAAATCAAATATTTTAATGATGTAGTTGACACTTGTTTGCCTACCCATTATCAATTCCTCCCTTTCTTTTCCTAATAGAATCTTCCCACAGTCATCTGCGTGCTTCCGTGGAGACTGACCACACTCCCTGCTCTAAGAGCAGGAATGACTGTTCTAAGAATGACCCCGACCTCATTGCCAATGACTGATTCAGGAGTGGGCAGTTTGCTCCATTCTGCCAATGAGACAAGAAGAATATCTGACTCCTGAGAAACATTCTTTCTCTGTTAGAAGAGAGTCATGTTAAAAGTCATTCCTTTCCTTCCTCCTGACATTTTCATGTGCATAAGTGATACCTGGAACAGATACAGACAGCTTCCCGGCACTTTAGGAGAAGCTAAAAGTTAGGGTGTCAGACACAAGCAGTGGAAAGAACTTGGGTCTTTAATGACCTTGGGGAGCACTGAATCAACCTGGAAAGGTGCCTGGCCTTTTGAAGTCCTGTTATATAAAAGTTAGTGCATTTCCTTATTGTTTAGCCAATTTAAGTGGACTTCAGGATACTTGAGGAGAAAGCATTCTGGCTGATGCAAGAATTCTAGCTGATGCAAGGCAGAGATGCGAGAATATGCTCAAAACTATCAGTCAATGAATCAAAAGCAACACTGGATATCTAAAACATAATTCCATCTGATACACTGACACTGACATGTACACACAACACAAATCTATATGTATATTTTGTCTCCGACTTAGTTACTGAAAGGTCTGTCATGTTCGCATGTACTGTGATGAATAAAATAGGAGACAAATTGTATATGTAATCTTAAAATGAAGGAAGATGGACAGGATGATTTAATTCCAAAAGTGTAAATTCATGTACTTGAAAACAAATAAAATAAATTCTAGCTCAAACTCTTGCAAATGATATCCCAGAGGTGCCCACGATGCATTCACCACAGATCATAGCTTAAGTAACAAGGATGGTGCAGAGAACTTTAATGTATTTCCCACAGAGCAATTAAATAGAGCTACACATAACAGCCATACAATCAGTTGATATGATATACCAATAATTCCGCTGTGGCTCACGCCTGCAATCCCAGCACTCTGGGTGGCTGAGGCGGGCAGATCACTTGAGATCAGGAGTTTGAGACCAGCTTGGCCAATATGGCAAAACCCCGTCTCTACTAAAAATACAAAAATTAGCCGGGCGTGGTGGCACACGTCTGTAGTCCCAGCTACTTGGGAGGCTGAGGCAGGAGAATCGCTTGAACCTGGGAGGCGAAGGTTGCAGAGAGCACTCCAGCCTGGGCAACAGAGTGAGACTCTGTCAAAAAAAAAAAAAAAAAAGAAAGAAAGAAAGAAAGAAAGAAAGAAAGAAAGAAAGAAAGAAAGAAAGAAAGAAAGAAAGAAAGACATACAAAGAATTCTACATTATTTGTGAAGAAAAAGATGTATGTTGGACTTGGATTGGTGAAAGACACAAGTAATATAAAATCAGATTTCCATCACTGGTTTTCAAGTCTTACCTTCCAAGTCTTTCACCCAAGTTTATGATGGCAAAACTTACTGAATAATATTGAGTTTCATGTTTTTGCTTTCCATTCTGTAAATCTCATGGAGGTACAAATAAAAAGAACTGGCTAAAGTTAAATAAACAGATGTCTATAATTTGATAACCAAATCCTATAGAATTAATCCCTGACTAGAAAGGTTTATAAGCAAATATGAGCTCCCTCAATCGGTTATACAAACAGTCAAAATTTTCTGACTTTCTAACTCATTCAAGCTTTCCTTTTGGCATATGAAACACAAAGAATGCAATCCAGAATCTCATTTGCATGCACATTTCAATTTAAAAATATAAAGGTTTTTATTGTTGTTTTTACCTCTGAACATTACAATGTGGAAATCAGGAGCAGGAATTGAAGAATAAAAAGCATTTTTCCCCAAATTATGTAACTGTGTATTATTTTTCCTTTAAATTAAAAAAGATAGCTGTATCTGCATATAAAAGTAAATTATTCAGAGAATTAGATCAATTTTCAGGGTTTTATTGCTCCTATGGCTTAAGAGGAAAACATCCTCAATAAGGCCTTACAAAAGTCCTACAAGTTAAGATCAAGAAAAATATAAGTTTATTTCAAAATGTTATCACTCAACTGTGGAAGAAAAAAAAAAAGATGGTATCATAGAACTGCAAAGTAAAATAGAGGATACCAGAGGCTGGGAAGGGAATGAGGTAGGGGGATAGGGCGAGATTTGTTAAAGTATACAAAATTATAGCTAGATAGAAGGAATGCATTCTGGTGTTCTATAGTACTATAGGATGACCATAGTAAGCAGTAATATACAGTTTTAAAAAGCATGAAGGAGGTTGTTGAATATTCTGAACATGAGGAAATGATGTTTGAGATGAGAGATATGCTAATTACCCTGATCTGATCACTATATATGTATTCCAATATCATTATGCCCTGTATACACCACATCTATAATTACTATGTGTCAATTAAAAAATTTTTAAAATAGTATTACCAAGCATAAGTAAGTCATAAGAGCAACAACCAGAAGACCCTTAAAGACTGCAGATATTAACATAGTCAGATACAAAATATATAATATCTATGTATTCATTTTTATTGCTGCTGTGACTAACTACCACAAACAGTGGTTTGAAACAACACAAATTTATTATCTTAGAGTTATTGGGGTCACATATCTTAAAATCAGGGCCATGTTCCTTTCTAGAACTTAAGGAATGGGTCTGTTACCTTGCCTTTTCCAGCTTCTTGAGGACACATGTTCCTTGGATCTGACGCCCTTTATTGGTCTTCAAATCTAGCAATGCTGTATCTCCCTGACATGCCTTTTTGTTTTTTGGTCATATCTCTTTCTCTAACCCACTTCTTCTGTCTCCCTTTCCCACTTTTAATGATTCTTGTGATCATATTGGGGCCCACATGGAAAATCCAGGATAATCTTCCTATCTGCTGATTAAAATCGTAATTCCATCTGCAAGCCTAATTCCCCTTTGCCATGTATGCCAACATATGCACAAGTTCTGGGAATTAGGACAGAGATGCCTTTGTGGAGAGCATTATTCTGCCCACTACAAGCTGTATCCTAAATGCTTAAGAAAATAAAATACGGAACCACAAATATGAATAAGTAATACACAACCGTTGGTAATGATCAGAAAGACTTTAAAATTGGATGGAATTTCTTGAAATAAGATATACAACTTTTGAAATAAAAAGTGTCCATAAATGAAGTAGATTTTTAGATATAGTTGAAGAAATAATTAGTGAACTGAATATGCATCTGATGAAATTGTCCAGAATATAATGCAGAGGGACAAAAATAAATAAATAGAAAATATAGAACAGAAGTTAAAACATGTAGAAGATAATGAGTAGTTCTAGGATATGTGTAGTTGAAAGCCAAAAGGAGAAAATAGAGATAATGGAAGGAAGAAAATATGTGAAAAGATAGTGACTGAAAAGTTTAAAAAAAAAAAACTTGAATTCACAGATCCAGGAAGCATAATGAATCTTATGCAGTATAATTTTTTTTAAATAAAGTCCACACTTGGATGTGTTTTGGTAAAATTGGAGAACACCAAAATCAAAGAGAATATTAAAAGCACCAAAAAAAAAAAAAAAACCCCACAAAAAACTATCACCTGATAAAGGCTAAAAATAAGACCAATTGAAGAATTATCAACAGCAAGTGCTGGGCTGATATAACTAAAATTGAACTTTTTTTAACCTGGAAAAATTATTTTTCAAAAGTCAGAGTGAAATGGAGTCATTTTCAGATAAACAAAAATGGAGTTTACCACCAACAATTCTTTACTTCAAGAACTTCTAAAAGATGTATTTCAACAAGGTGGAAAATAATCACAGAAGTATAAACTGAGATACAAAATATAGTGAAAAACAAAATGGTAAATGTACATTTTAATCTAAACAAATATGTCTGCATAAAAAATTGTCTATAGTTTTATTTTAAAAGGCAACTCTAAAATACTGCGCAAAATAGGATGTAAGTCAGAAAGAGAGTTCTGTATTCTAATATTTAGGATACAGATATCTTTAGACATTATAAAGTCCAGATTATGATATAATAACCACTGAATGAAAAGTAATATAGTATAAATGTTAACCTCATAGAAGGAAAAAATGAAATAAACACACAAACCAATTAAATAAAATGGCAAAAAAGAGAAAAGGAGCATCAAAAATAGACCAATTTTTAAAATAAGATGGTAGAGATAAATCAAAATATAACAATAATTTCAATAAACCAATAAAGTCCCCAATTAATAGATTATTGGATTACATGCTTACCTTAAAATAATATCTATCTCTATTTATTGCTGTGTAACAGATTATTTCAAAACTTTGTCTTAAAACAAACATGCATTATGTTTATGAATTGACATAATGTGAACTGAAAATTTCATTATCTGTGAATCGGGAATTAGGAAGAGGCTTAATTGAATGATTCTGACTCAGGGTCTCGCAAGAGATGCCCATGATCTCAAGGCTTGACTGAAGAATCTGTCTACAGGCTTGGTATCCTCAGAACATGGCATCTGGCTTTCCTCAAAGCCAAAAAGCCAAGTTGTCTTATTACCTGAGCCCAAACCCCCGTACTGCCATTTATGCAAAGTTCTATTGATTAGGCAGTCAGCCCTATTCATTGTGGAAGAGGACTATGTAAGGATATGATCACCAGAAGTTGGGGATCACTGCGGGCCATCTTGAAGACTGGCTATGACAAAATACACCAAGGTAATACTATCAAAAGAAAGTTGGGGTAGCTAGGTTAATACCAGGCAAAATTTATTTTAAGACAAAATAATTGTTAAAGATTAGAAAAAAACATCATTAAATAATGATAATAGCTTGAATTCATTAAAAAAACTAACAAATCTAAACTCGGATCTCTGTGGAAAAAATTAGTCTTAAAATATAACAACCAAAAGTATATTGAATACAAAAGGGAAGAACTGACAATCCATCATCCATGGGAGAAATTTAAACATATTTTACTCAATTACTGGCATGTCAAACAACAAAAATTAAAAAAGATAAAGAAGATTTGAACAAGAGGATTAGTAAGTTTGGTTTCCATGTGCAACCATTAGAGAATATACAATGTCTAATGGATACATGAAGCGTTTATAAGAATTAACCAAATGTTAGGCCAACATCAGGTCTCAGGTAGTATAAAAATCATTTTCTGAGACCATGTTCTCCAAGTACTGTGCAATTAAAATGCAATAACAAAAACAACAACAATATATTTTGTAATCTTAAAACACAGTTTTAAATAATTTATGGGTTAAAAAGACAATAATGAGAATTTAAAAATGCTTAGAACTGAATAATTATACAAATACTACAAATTAAATCCTGTGAATTGCTGTGAAAGCAGTACTTTGGAGTATATCTGTATATAGCTGAAAAAGTCATATTCAGAAGAAAATAAAATTAATGAGTTAATTATCTAACATAATAACAGAAGAACAACAGAATAAAACCAAAGAATGTAGAAGTTAGGAGGTAATTTTTTTTTAATGACAGAAATAAGTTACCTACAGAGGATCAACCAAGCCAAAAGACAAACCTCTGAAGAGAGTAAAGAAGAGAAGGCACAACCAGCTATCAAATCATAGACATTAAAGACAACACAAAAATATAACTATAATAAAAAGAAATTTTAAAAATAACAAGATCTTTATGTTATTCACAATATATATAAAATCAGCAAATTCTTAGAAAAATCAGCACTTACAAAACTGATCCAAAAGAGAAGACATACACTAAATATAAACTAATAAGGGAATTAGTAGTTAAAATGTGCATATAATAAACATTAGGCCAAACTAGTTTCATAGACAAATTGGACAAAATTTTCAAAGTACCAATTGTTTTGGTCTTGTATACCTTTTAAAGATAGTTAAAAAGGAGAAAATACTCCCCAACTCTTTCTTTGAAGTTAAGAAATCCTCAATACTAGAAGCAGACAAGGATTATACAAAAAAAGGAAAATTATAGTCCTGTCTCAGTCCTGAATAAACGCAATAGGCCCCAAATGAAAACACCAGGGAATTAAAAGCAAAATTAATGAATGACCAAGGGTTTATCCCAGGAATGCAAGAGTAGTTTAACATTTAAACAACTGTAAATGTCATTCACCACATTAAAGATTAAGTACATGCAAAACAAGAATTTGATAAAATTCAGCACTGTCAATGATAAAATTTTTTAGCAAACAAGTAATAAAAGGAAACTCTTTTAACCTGATAAGGTTTTCACCAAAATTCTAAAGAAAACATCATTGTTAATAATAAAATATTAGAAAAATTCATTTTTAAATCATGAGCACATTGACACATCATATGACTACTCCATTAAACATGGTACTGGAAGTCCTAGCCAGCATAGTAAAGCAAGAAGAAGACATAAAAGTCACATAAACTGAGAAGAAAAAAACAAAACTGTCATTAGTCTCAAATGATGTAATTTGTTTACACACACACACACACAAACTCCCATACGAATATACAGACTATTATAAGAATTGAGTGTTGTGGCTAGTGATATGATTAGCAATAAAATACTCTTTATTTTCTCTATATTAATCTCAGATATCTAATTTTTTTAAAACAGATTTTTAAAATGTTACTATTTATAATAAAAACAAAATATATTGTTCCCTAAGACTTATTCTAGCAAACCTTGTGGAAATCTTTCATGGAGAAAATTATAAAACTTTCTTGAGAGGTTTTAAAGTTGATCTACACAAGTGCGGGAGATAAATTTTATTGTATGGGAACATGGTATCACAGTTTTAATTCTCACTTAAATTTATCTATCCATTTAATGTAATTCTCATCAAAGTCCCTAGAGCTTTTTGTAGACTATAGCAAGTGATTATATAATTTAAGTGAAAAGCAAATAGCCAAGGAAACAAAAAAACATTCCTGAAAGAAGAATAAGGTGGGAGGACCTGCCTTGTAACTATTCTGTTTTACTTAAAGCTCTAGTAAGTTGGAAGCTGTGGGGTGGCACAGTGATAGATAAATTGGTCAGTGAAACAATAGATGACCCAGAATCAGATCCATGATTATTTGGACATGTATTATATGGGATAAGGATACTATTTAATAACTGGAAAGGGAGGCTATTCAGTAAACAGGGACAGTTGAGTGTCCATGTGGAAAAAATAAAATTGGATCCCTATCTCACCACACATGTGAAAATCATTTCCTGATAGATTAAGAATTTGTGAAAATCAAACTTAAAACTTTTAGAGAAAAAAAAAGAAGGAAAACATGGTCGTGGGAAAATCCAGTCTTCTCAGAGTAGTGAAGAATTTCTCAAGAACACAAAAAACCTTACTACAAAAGTAAAGACTGATAATCCACACTATTTTAATACTTTGTATTCACTGAAAGACAGCATAAGTGAAGTGAAAAAACAAGCCACAATCCGTAAGAATTTATTTACAACACACTACCAATAAACAGTATACAGAATATACGAGTAATTTATAAATGTACTGATTTTCTATAAATCAGTAAAATGCAGATAATGCCATAGAAAAAAAAATAGGAAGAAAATAACTACAGGCATTTCCCCAAAGAGGAAACAAGAATAGTGAAAAGGTATCTAACATCATTAATAATCAGGAAAATGCAAATTAATAGCAGAATGATATTTTATTTCATTTCCCTAGACAGACAAAAATCAAGAAGTTTAATAATACCAAGTATTGGTGAAGATATAAAAGCAACAGATTTAGGAAAAAAAAGAGAAGACTTCCCACTAAAATTGAAAGTGTTCAGGCCGGGCACGGTGGCTCACGCCAGTAATCCAGTACTTTGGGAGGCCGAGGCGGGTGGATTACTTGAGGTCAGCAGTTCAAGACCAGCCTGGTCAACAAGCTGGGCGTGGTGGCACAGGCCTGTAGTCCCAGCTACTCAGGAGGCTGAGGCAGGAGAATCGCTTGAACCCTGGCGGCAGAGGCTGCAGTGAGCCGAAACCGCGCCACTCCACTCCAGCCTGGGTGACAGAGCCAGACGCCGTCTCAAAAAAAAAAAAAAAAAAAAAAAAGTGTTGATAAACTATAACTCCACAATTCCTCCAGGGACTTACTTTAGAGACAGTTTTGTATATGTGCATCAGAAATAAAAGATTATTCACATAATCAGTTCAAGTATCAAAAACCTGAGTGATCTCAAATATCTACCAGTAGCAGAATGGATAAATAAATTACGGTATATGCATACAACAAATCATTGTAAGTCAGTTACATACAACAACGATGACTCTCAAAGATATGATGTTGAGTGAAAAAGTAAATTCCAGAAGGCTGTGTAACAACATTTTTAAATAATGGAAGAATACACAATATGGTATTCAGGGCTGTACACACATGTAATACAACTAAAATTGGTAGGGACGATGTCAAACATTCAGAATAATGGCTATACCTAGAAGGTGGGGCAGGGAAAACGGATAGGAACAGAGTGTAGAGTATTGGATATGTGCTGGTTCGTTTTGTCAATATGCCTTGTAAATCAAATCTATTTCACATGTATTTTTTGGACTTACAAAATATTGTGAAAATAATGGAAAAGAAGAAGGCTGGGCATGGTAGGTAGCTCATGCGTGTAATCCCAGTACTTTGGGAGGCCTAGGCTGGAAGATTGCTTGAGACTAGGAGTTTGAGACCAGCCTGGGCAACATAGAGAGATCCCATTTCTCCATTAAAAAAATTTAAAAATTAGCCAGGTGTGATGGGGCACACCTGTAGTCCTAGCTACTCAGGAGGCTGAGATGAGGGGATTGCTCAAGGCTACGGGTTTGAGCCTAGTGAGCTGTGATCACACCACTGCACTCCACCTTGGGAAACAGGGCAAGACCCTATTTCAAAAAAGAAAGAAAGAAAAAAGTTAAAAGACGAAAGTGGTAAGAGCTGATTAAATGGAGCCTAAAGAAGAATTTTAAACTGAGGGAATAAAAATAATGTTGAGTCACTATTTCTCTTTTTTGGGTTTCAAGAATATTTTATGGAATGACAGGGAAGGCAAATCAGATGTCATTATTTCTCCACATTACAACCCAGAATTCCAAAGATTAGATACTTTAAAGTTAAGTTGCATAAAAATTGTATTTATTGTTCATACTGATAACCGTTTTTCTTTACTATATTTATTTATTTATAAATATTAGAGGAAGGCTTTTTTGTGAAAAAATGCAAATAAAGAGTACCTACAAATTAAAAATCTACAAATGTGCATACACACACACAAATTATAAAATATTTATACAAAATATTTTAGAAAAGTTACCTCTTATTATTTTTTTTAAAGAGCTTATGTTTTTAAAGGTGATTTTAGTGTGGAAGATTTGAGGTTTCATTCTTAGATAACTTAGTCTGGGAGTTGATTCTACAGCTGCAGAATCAGTGAATCTTGGTGATCGCTTGTGCAGAGGTCAGGGCCAATTGTCATACCACGCCTCTCCTTCATCAGAAAATTGTTTGGGTTTCCGGAGTCTGATAGCTGACTTCTTTCTGTAGATGGATACAAATACCACCAAGTCCTTTCCTCATTCTTGCTTTCCTTATCACCCATCCACCCTTTTCCTATATATACACAAAACCACCCAGTGAAGATCCTGAGAAGTATTTGCAAGCAATTTGCAGGATTTTTGGTGTTTTGTTGTTGTTGTCCCTGTACGTTGTGACTCCTGTGAAAAAAATTTTTTTCCAGTTTTATTGAAGTATAGTTGACAAATAAAAATGTGTATTTCAAGTGTACAGGGCCAGGTGTGGTGGCTCACGCCTGTAATCCCAGGACTTTGGGAGGCCAAGGCAGTTGAATCACTTGAGGTCAGGAGTTCTAGACCAGCCTGGCCAACATGGTGAAATCTCATCTCCACAAAAAATACAAAAATTAGCCAAGTGTGGTGGTTCACGCCTGTAATCCCAGCTACTCTGGAGGCTGAAGCAAGAGAATCACTTGAATCCAGGAGACAGAGGTTGCAGTGAGCCAAGATCATGCCACTGCACTCCAGCTTGGGAGACAGAGTGACACTCCGTCTCAAAAATTAATAAATAAATAAATGTGTACGATGTAATGATTTGATCTCCATGTACATATATATAGAGAGAGAAATGATTACCACAATAAGTTTTATCACATTCATCACCTCACAGTTACCTGTTGCGTGTGTGAGAATGCTTAAGATCTACTCTCTTAGAAATTTCAAATACTCAGGATAGTAAGTGTAGTCACCATGCTGTAAATTAGATTCCCAGAACT
This sequence comes from Homo sapiens, assembly GCF_000001405.40. Classification (NCBI taxonomy): domain Eukaryota; kingdom Metazoa; phylum Chordata; class Mammalia; order Primates; family Hominidae; genus Homo; species Homo sapiens. Next base: position 165,770,314 of record NC_000004.12, on the reverse strand, counting down.
TGTATTTCTTATAACTGAAAGCTTAAGACAACTGTGTCACCTGCCCAATACTTCCTAAAGTATTTGTTCTGAGGATCTGGGGCAGGTGGTCATTGCAGGATGCTTGCAATATTGCCCCGCTAAATTCCATGATGAACAGTCATTTATTCTGAATTTTCAAGGATATGGTCTATAAATTTTCTGATACAAAATGATACTAAGGATGATACAATTTAAGTTACCAGCCAGCATCTTTTCCATGCCACTTAAGAACCAGCTCAGAGAATGAGGCCTTTTGGCTTGAAATAGATCTAGAGGATGGGGGCCAGATGGAAGGGACAAGTCTAGGAATGGCACCAAGGTCAAGTTTCACCTATGTGGCAATTCTGTGAAAGTTCTCAGTGTTTTTATTCCAAGCTGAATTATTTCATCTCCTATTGTTATAACTGGAAAACAGAAAGGAGTGTATTCAAAAACTACCTCCAAAAGTTAGATTTGTAGATTAGGATGGAAAGTATAAGGTTTCTGAAAAAAAAGTTCCAAGAATTTCATAGGAGGGTCTAGGAGTCTTAGAGGGAAAAGTACTAGAATCAGAATAATAGTACCTTGTTGAGAACTTCCCAAATCAATTAATTGGTTCTAATTACTTCTAAAAATTAGGGAGAACTCCTGCACTACCTTATCTTAACTACTGTGAAGAAAAACAATATAAATGTTTTAAAGGGCACAGTTATTTAAAATGTTATCTTTCTGGTAACAAAAAATAATTGTGATAAGAGACCTAAGTTGTAAACTCAGAGGTTAAGGCCATTTATTTTTTTAATGCGTCAATATTCATTATTTTTATTTGTATTTTCTAAATGAATTCCTAAATATATTTCTAAGTATATTAGGTGATCACAGTCAGACTAAGGTTTTTTTCTTTTTCACTTTTATCTCCAGGAAAAGTCAAATTGTAATTTGAAATAACCATTCAACAGCTTGCTTTTTTTTTTTCAACTTTCTAGCTACAGTACTTGTTTCCAAGTACTAGTTGGTAAAGAGAGGAAAAATTGAAAAAATAAATAAATCCAAACAAGGGGTCTATGTAAAATGTCCTCTCTATATTTTGTTCTGATTTTAATGAGGCAATCATGAATCTGGGAACTTGAGGGGAATGCTGGGAACTTGCTGTAACAAACCAAGGTTAAGAAAATTCTGAGTAGCCAAATCAACATTATGATATAGGCAATTAGAATTTCTCAGCATGAAGTCTTAAAATACAAGACATGAATATGAATCAGAGGAGAAATGCATATTTTCAGAAAAATAGCAACTCCTCTGAAGGGGTAAGGAAATTATGGTAATAGTAAGAGAAAATAAAATGACCATTCATTCATTCACACATTTAACAAATACTAATGAACACATGTTGTTCCAGGCAGGAGATATAAAAATGTCTAAGGCATGACACTTGATTTTGATCTCTAATCTAATATGTGTGAAAATAAGATCAGATAAAATATATGTGGAAATAGTAGAACTAACAAATTGTGGGTGAAACCTGTGTGCCTTGTGTATGAATCTAAGTCCTTATGTACTCATGAGCAGTAAATATCCTTGCAAAGAATGTTACAGAGACAGGATATTTTTTTCTTCATGCTGAAAGTGTAAAATGATCAAAATTGCACATTTTATATTTCATAAAGGACAATATTACTCAACCAGAAAATATAAGCGGATCCTCCTAACCAAAACAAAGGGAGATGTTTAGCCCAAGTCCATCCTTTGATGAAATAATTGGTAATTGGGAATGGGGCAGTGAGTGGTGGCATACATCCCAGCTCTGAGGATTTAGAAACAGCTAGATCTCATGCAAGCTTCCTGGATCTGCCCTTATTTTTGATCATAGACCAATAAGGTAGAGAAAACCAACTGTGAAAAGATGGCCCTCATGTGATCCAGGAACAGGAAATGTCCCTCTTCCACTCTTCTTTCTCCTCACCGCAACCTCAACCTCAGTTGAAAATAAAACTTACAATTTGAAAACGTTATTTATTCATCTATTAAACAAATATTCGTGAAGCACTTAGCAATGGACCAAGAATAATTGTAAGCATTAGAAATATCACCGTGAACAAAATGGTCACAACACTTGCCTTCATGAAGATTACAGTCCAGTGTTGAATGTAATTTATCAAATATTTATTTAATTCTCTTGTGTTTTTTGTTATTTATAGGTTCTGAAAGAAGCATGACACTGTCTCTGTCTTCCAGGAGTTGACAGTTTGCAGAGACATATACATCAAATTTTAAAATGTAAGGCAAATTAAAAAATATAAGTGATTAAAGGCAAAACTAAATAAAATTAGGTGCCTGAATGTACAATTAAATAACAACTGAGCGTTTCTCAGTGATGGCTACTCTACTCAGCATGACACTCAGAGCACCAGCCAGGTAATGTCTTTTGTCAGACAGGTGGTGTCTTCCTCTGCCATCTGTCCCTGGAGTGCATATAACAGAGAGTCAGGGACCCTGGAACTTCCAAAGAGAAAGAAAAATCACACTAGTGTGGATAATTGCAAGAGAATCAGAAATTTCCATCTAGAAGCCAAAAGTAGTTCAACTGACATTCAATCAGTAAGGAAATAGAATAACTTGCTCCATTTAAAACATCAGCCAACCAAACATTAAATAAACAAAAAAGACAAAATAATCATATGAAAACTAATTTGAGGACAACAACGCAACTGATCAATTTTCTCTCCTATCTTAGTCCTGATCGGGGCTTATTCTGAACTCAAACGGAAAGTAGGAAATGTTTTCTTCAGACCGCCACTGCGTGTGAGTTGTTCTCTTTTCTTTTTATATTATAGTACAGTTTCCCTGGGTTAGGCTTGTTCAGAGAGCCCAGCCCAGGCACTGTCTCTCTGTGGAGAGCCCTTTCTTGCACCTGTCAAAATTATGTTAACCTACCCGTGTTCAAATCCAGTACTGTGATTTTGCCTATTGCCAATTAATTTGGAGCTGTTGATTAAGGATATTCTTTACTATGTGACTGCATAAAATGACTGGATCCTTTTTCTAGATTTTGTTTTTTTAATTTTTTGCTGCTATCAGTTGATTTCCTTGCTCATGAGAACAGCTCTCTCCTCGTGGAGCAGGAAACATGGTCTGGAGCTCACTTAAGTGGTAGCAATGACAACACCACAATAACAAAGCTTTTCAGAAATAAGCAGTTACTTATTTCTGCTGCTGCCTACTTCATCCCATTTCCCCCCATGTCGAAGAAGCTTCTACTTCCTTCTGTCATTCCAATCAAAACAGGTTGTATAGTGCTAATTACTGAGAGCTGGTTATCCTACTCCTTCACACCTTGACCGTTAAATAATTCTAATAATGTGATGAGCCTGAAGGGTGAGGATGATCGTCACACTTCCAAGCAGCTGTGCTAACTGTTCTCTCCCGACCTGGGACAGTTAATGTCTTCCTTTCTTGATATTTATGTCTTGGGATTTGTTTACCTTCTTTTATTTATTGATATGCTTATTTTCCCCCAACGTGCTCAAAATAATAACTCAGTTATGTTTTCAAAAATAAAAGACAAATAAGAAAGAAAAAAACAAGCTTATGAACACAAAGTCTGAAAGATATTGCATTATAGTTATAATAAATACACTTTGGACTTAAAAAAAATTAGTCAGTTTCCATTAACTAATCATCACACATAAATTAGTAGCTTTTCATGAGTTATCATATTACAAGGCTCATATTCGAATTTTAGTTGCCTCTACTCTGTGCAGCCTCAAAGACTGTATGCTGGACAGAGCATGCAAATTCTTGAATAAGGCATAACGTGCACAATAAGAAATTAATTTTTTTATTGATAAATCTTTAGACAATGCTATATATTGTTTAAAATGTACCTTGCTGATTTTTAACAAGAAACAAATCACAGAAAAATCTAATGTTGGGTTTAAAAAAAAAAGAAAAAAATAATATTTTGAAACAAAACAAAATAAAAATGACTTTATCTTCCAAAGCCAGAGTGCAGCGCTAGCGGCTGAGTGGCTGACCCTAGTTTTCAGTATATTCTCCGTTCTAAGGACATTGACAGGAAACGGTCAGCCTGGAGATACAATGAAAGGAAACCCAGCAGTGAAGGTTTCACTGATAACATGTGATTTGAAGTCAGTGAACAGACCTAGCGGTCATTCACTTGCTTAGGCCAAAGTGTATAATAATCCAAAGGCTCCATTAAGATCTTGTCACAAAAGCCCACGGAAGATGGTATTTGACTCAGGGGGCAGGGCAGAACATTTTCCTACTAATAAGTGTGTTGCAATAGCTGCTATCAATATGAAGGCATTATTTTACAGCACTGTGTTAATCTAACATATGCTTGACCTAAAAATGCATATGTTGTAAATAAAAGAGGCCTAATTTTTCAGGGGAGCTCCTTTAATAATAAAGCCTTGACTAACCAGAGCAAAACCCTCTTCTTATCTGCTATTACCTCTCTCCATCTATCCCTATTTTCCCCTTTACCTTGGGAGAATAAGCTACTCTTAGTAAACAAAATTACTGAATTTCAATATTTTATTTTCACCACTTTGGATAGAACTCTTCCTCTGATATAATGTCACTATCCTGTTTTGTTAAATGAAGTATGTCCTATGATCAATCACTTAACTCTTTCTAACATCAATGACTATTCTGAACTACATTCAAAAGCCCGCTTGTTCCTGAACTATGCACACTATGCAGGCCCCAACAGCTTAGATTTGTTGTTCTATCTTTCCATAGTATTTGTATTATCTTGTTATCAAGGTTGCCATCTAATAAAATGTGAAGGATTAAGAGTCTGAATCCTCAGATAGAAGTGTGCAAGCTATTGGTCACCTTTCTCAACATTTCTCGTTTCTTTCTTTGACTTTAGAAAGTTAATAAATGAATGTGTTAAATTATGGGTAGAAATAAGAGAAAATGAATGCTGTGGAGACTTGAGGACTCCCATTGAGTAAGTTTTCTTACTCAGATTCTTGTAACAGATTGCTGTTACTCAAATATCTCTTTGGCAGCTTTCCCAGTTTTCAATAGGTGAGTGTGGTGTAAAACAAATTGTAACAAGGTAGGGGTTTTTCCATCTGAGTTAGACCAAAGAGCTGCATTACCCAATGGAAATATAATGTGAGTCAAATATTAACTGTAAATTTTCTCCTAGAAACAATAAAAAGGTCAAAAGAAACAGGCAGAATTAATCTTAATGATATACTTTATTTAACTCAATAAATCCAAAATAGGGCCGGGCGTCATGGCTCACACCTGTAATCCCAGCACTTTGGGAGGCCGAGGCAGGTGGATCATGAGGTCAGGAGATTGAGACCATCCTGGCTAACACGGTGAAACCCCATCTCTACTAAAAATACAAAAAAATTAGCCTGGTGTGGTGGCGGGCGCCTGTAGTCCCAGCTACTTGGGAGGCTGAGGCAGGAGAATGGCGTGAACCCAGGAGGCAGAGCTTGCAGTGAGCCGAGATCTCACCAGTGCACTCCAGCCTTCCAGCCTGGGTGATAGAGCGAGACTCCATCTCAAAAACAAAAAATAAAAAATAAATCCAAAACAGTGTTATTTAAACATATATATTTTAAAATAATGAGACATTATTCATTTTTTTCATAATAAGTCTTTGAAATCTGGTGTATATCTTATAAGTACAGCATATCTCCATTTGGACTAACAACCTTTCAACTGCCCAGTAGTCACAGGTGCTAGTGGCTATTGTATTGGACTGCACAGGTACACAGGATTTTTTCTTTTAATTTTTATGTCCCTATGGATCAAACCAATGGCATTTTAAAAAGTTATATAATGAGGGATTTCATGGAAAGGTCTATTTAAACCGAACTTGTTTGCCGAGAATTTTAGGTGGAAAAATGTGTTCTGTTCACTTGGGGCAATAGAGTGTTGATTTTGCTGTTAAATTATGATCTCCTGAGTTTAGATTTTTCTGTGTGATAGTATCGGAAGTGGCTCTTCAAATTAGCACTTCATGATAATGTCAAAAGTATTCATGTAGAATGGCTGAACTCACTCTTTTTGGATATTAATTATAATTAAAGTGCATTTTCACATACAATTTATCTAACGAATCTTTGTCATTCATTTCCTTTGTGGCAGGCTGAGAGATGAAGAGTTGCAAAAACAGACAGTTTCTGCCCTCAGGGAGAATCCATTCAAATAAATGAGAGCGGTATGAATCAAACAATCAGGTAAATAGATGTAAAATCACAACGGTGAGAAGTACTGCAAAAAACTACACTGTCTCAGGAACATAAAAAGGAGGTTTGACCTAGTAGGCAAGGTCAGGGAAAACTTCCTTGAGGAAATGGTGCTTGAGCTGAGATCTAAGGGATGAATAAGCCTAACCAGGCAGAGAGGAACTGGGAAGGATACACTGTGAAGTTTGATATTAATCTTTAGTTTTGTTTCATGAAGAAACTATGGTTAGGAGAAAACTTTTCACTGTGCCCAAGAGAATAGTTCTCGCCCAGATTGAATTCTTGGCATTTCTTCCTGAGAGTCTCTCATGAGCCCAGCACTGTCTTTTCCTGTAACGTTGGTGCCAAGTTACCCTTGTCTCTGCTTAGACATTGAGTCCACTCCAGGACTGGATATGCCTTTGATTTCTCCTTTAAAATGTAATGTGTGGAATAAACATGAATAGGAATTTCAATATAATTAATTCATCAGCTGGTGTAAAAGCTTTTGAAACATATTAAAAATATTTGAAGATAAAGAACTCTTACAAATCAGGGTTTTTTTTTTGCTGTTTTTTGTTTTTTTTGAGACTGAGTCTCACTCTGTCACCAGGCTGGAGTGCAGTGGCGTGATCTCGGCTCACTGCAACATCTGCCTCCCTGGTTCAAGCGATTCTCCTGCCTCAGCCTCCTGAGCAGCTGGGACTACAGGTGGGCATCACCACACCTAGCTAAGTTTTGTATTTTTAGTAGAGACGGGATTTCACCACACTGACCAGGATGGTCTCGATCTCTTGACCTCGTGATCCATCTGCCTTGGAGTCCCAAAGTGTTGGGATTACAGGCATGAACAAATCAGTTTTTAAAAAAGCAATTCAATAAATAAAATGGGCAAAAGACAAAAACAGGCAATTCACAGAAGATGCACAAATGACAAGAGCACATGAAGCAGTTATCAAAGAAATAAACAATAAAGCTTAAATATTTGTTTAGCTTGACTTACTGACAAAGACAATAAAGAACATTGCATGTCTCTAAGGAAACAGTAACTCTAAGACACTGCTGGTAGAAGAATAATTTGCAGCAACTTTACTGGAGGGCAATTAGTCAATACACATTTAAAAACTCAGAGTTTTAAATGTGACCTAGAAATTCCACTCTTGGAATTTGTCCTGAGAGACTAATAAGAGAAGTGAGAAAAAAATGTATAAATTTAGAGCTATGATAGCTATAAAGTGGAACCCACCTAAATATCCAATAAGAAGGGAATGGTTAAAAAATATATTATGTTAATAACAGTAAATATATTGCAAAATGTGACATACATGTGCATTTATTCATAGTGAAGTATATTCACAGTATTCTTGTAAGTGAAAAGCACAACAGAATAGAAAGCAACATGAAGAATATGATTCCATCTTTTATACAGACTCACACAATTTATGAATATCCTTACATTAGAACAATTTGGAAAATATAGCAGATTTTTAACATGCAATGGTGTAATTAATTATGTATAATTCATTTTATTTTTACTTATCTAAAATTTCTACTTTTTGTAGAAATGTTTTCTTATACTTAAGAAATACATTGTTTTTATAACAATTCTTCCTCTTAAGAAAAATTTTGAATAAAAGACTTTTAAAAAAGAAAAAAATATATATTACCTATTATGTTACCATCCAATGACAACTGCATTAATGGGAAGTATTTCCCTTCAGTATTTTTAAGGATAACCAATTTTTTAAAACATACTTAACTGGGCTTCTGAGACCAGTATTAAGCCTTGCCTGAGGGACAAGGTTTTACAGAGAATTTTCTAGTATCCAATTACAGGGTTTTTCCATAATAGGAGAATAACAGTTTATAATTAGATTGACACTTTAAGCTCTGTCCAGATACCCTTGTGAAAGGAGACACCATCTCTCCTCATTCTTGGCGTGCTCAATTCAATCAGATGTGGTTTTTCTAAGTCAATGATTCTCCTTAGGAATTTTGGCTGAATTGGGTAAAGTGCCCTATTAATAATTACACAAGACAGTCCTGTAAATACCCAGAAGTCTTATAGAATAGTTAGCAATAAGAATATAGTTATTAGTAGTCCTATTAAAGAATCACTGTACCAGTGGCTAAGACTCTGGAGCCAGATTGCTTGGGTTCAAACCCTAGCTCTGACACTTTCTAGCTACGTAATATAAGGTTTTTTTTTTTCTTTTAACTTTCTCTGCCTTAATTTCCTCTTCGGTAAAATTGGAAAAATAAAAGCATTTACTTCATAAATTCTTGGGAGAATTAATTGAGTTAATATAGGTAAAACACTTATAGTGGTGCTAGGCACAAAACAGAAATACCCAAGAAGTGTTAGTTTCTATTATGATTCAGAAATCATACCTACTTGGAAATGATATTGGATGCGCAGTGGTTGAAGGGTGAGGAAATGTGATTTGTGATCTCATCAGTACAATTCATTGAACAAATGTGTGCCCTCCATGAATATAAGATGTTCTGTACATATTATCACACTAATCTTTACAATCACACTCTAAAGTAAATGCTATTTCCAGCTGAAGGCAGTGGCTCACGCCTGAAATCCCAGCACTTTAGGAGGCCGAGGTGGGTGGATCACCTGAGGTCAGGAGTTTGAGACCAGCCTGGCCAACATGGAGAAACCCTGTCTCTACTAAAAATACAAAAATTAGCCAGGCATGGTGGCAGGTGCCTGTAGTTGCAGCTACTCAGGAGGCTGAGACAGGAGGATTGCTTGAACCTGGGCGGTGGAGGTTTCAGTGAGCCGAGATCACGCCACTGCACTCCAGCCTGGGTGACATAGTGAGACTCCATCTCAAAAGAGAAAAAAAAAGTAAATGCTATTTCTGTCTTCAGGATTATAAAACCGGGGTTCCTACAGTTAAGTAACTTGTTGAAGTCACACATAGTTAAGAAAAAGTAGAACAGGAAAGAGGGGAGGCGTTCTCTTGGTTTGCACCTTTCCTTTGTTAGAGGAATTTCTGAATTAGGAAAACTCCAAAGGCAGAAATAAAGATGCCATAATTTTTTTTCACAATTTACCCCTTCCTTCAATAACAGAGAGTTTCTTTTCATTAATTCAGCAATACCTATGGAGCACCTGCCATGGGTCGGGCACTGCTCTAAGAACTGGAGCTACTGTGTCCCTGAAGAGTCTATTTTCTAGCTAGAGACAGGCAATAAGTAAGGCTGTGCCAGTTAAGTTATTGCCTCTCACCTCCAAACCAGCCTTCTATACTCAGTTTTGCTGTGGTGGCTCTGGGACTCTGCAGACCACTGGATCCAGCACAGTTAAAAGTGAGAAAGCCCACTGTTGATGGTAACAATGAGCAGGAGGCCCCCATGGTGGGCAGTGTCTCATCCTGCCTGCAGCAGGCAGTGGCACATGTGGGAAAAGCCCCATAGGCCCTGTGGAGGGCTGGGAACATTCTCCCCCATCCCTACCAGTCTTGGGTATCTGTTCTGTGGGGCACCTTAGCCAAGGTGGCCCTTGCCCACTGAGCAAAGGATAGGCTCCTACTCAGCCCTGCGGAAGCAGGGAGCTCCCCGTCACCCCTAACCCACTCTTGATTTTCCAGAAGCCCTAGGAGCTGACGAAGGAGAAGGTAGGCATCCAGATGGGCCAAGCACAGCCTGAAAAGACCTGCTGTTAAGAGTGCAGGGAGGGGCCAGGAGTTTCTGCTGTGATAGCTGGTTCCCTGTTAGGCTCTGCCTAGAGGAGATGCTTCAGGGAGTGTTGAGCTCTACAGGAAAAGGGAGTGACGGAACTCCTTCCTTTGTGCTTTCTATCTACTTCTTACGTAGCATCCAGAGATGCTTCTTTCACCCTACAAATGGCAGCGCCCTGCCAGAGCAGTGGGTGGATGCAGTTTGCAGTTGTTCCCACGCTTAAGAGAACCAGCTTCAGCACACAACACCTCAGAAACATCAGCCTCAGCCAGGGGGCTGACTTTTCAGAGGTCTGGGCTACGGGTCCACAGGGATCCTCCATGAAGGTGCTAAGTTTCAACTTCAATCTCTTCCTTTTTCTCTCCCAGCTCCAGGAGCTCCCTGCAGTCTGTACCTCTGTGATACCTTAGAGTTCTCTTGTGACCTTTTCTTACATGTTCAGTTACTTGATTAGCAATACTGTTTTCAGTAAGTGAACGTATCACCAGTTACCTAAGTTATTATCCTGTTGTTGAACAGCTAGCTATTTTAAATTTTTTACTTCCAAATCCTGCTGCTGTAAAGATTGTGCATCAAACCTTTTTTTCAGGATTTAGGATCCATCTTTTTCAAAAAGAGTTTCCCAGGAGTAGAATTACCAGGTTAGGGAATGTGGCTGCTTTATTACTTTTTCTATATATTTATATACCACACACATATGCCTAAAATGCATTATTTAGCGTTTCTATATGTTTTTGCCACTCATTTTCTCCAAGTAGTATAAGGGAATGTTTATATGATTTTTCACAATCAGTCGGTTCTTAATAAAACTGTATTTTAAATCCTATCTTGCTTTTGTTTAATTTACTAGCACTGAATTGCTAACGTGCTCTAGCACATTTTTATGTTTATAATGTAAATTTTGAGATTAGGAGTTAATTTGATTTTCAATAATTCACTGTTTTTCTAATGTTCGATGTCAATAGTATAATGATTTTAGACTTTAAGTCATGTTCATGATGGGAATGTGTAAGACTCTGGATGTTTTCATTCCTTCTAGCTCTCAGAACCCCATAGAGCAATAGTCATAATTTAAGCATGCTTCCTTAACAGTCTCAAGATACCTACAGGAAGTGATTCCTGTAGAGGAATAACATAGATTTTTACTAAATTCTAGTTCATTTTTCACTGCTATTATATAGTCTCTGATCTGGGGTGGATACTTTTCGATTTTCAACTGTCACCTTCGCTTTATCTTAATTTTGTTTTTTCCATTACATTTTTATTCAACCAAGGATACTCTTTAAACCATTAGTGGGACTTTTTAAAAAAATATGTGGGGTAATAGTTTGGAGGGTTCAATAGATTCTATTCTTAAAAGTAGAGAAACCCTTTCTGGAAGAGTGACAAAAACAGCAAGTTTTGTTGTCCAATCCATTCATCCTTTCTTTTTCAATAACAAATCCCCAGTCTCAGCCCTGCAATGATGAGCCATCCCGGAATCTACTGTTGCCATGTCCCCTGGAACTAGGATGTCCAGTGAAATGTAGATAGAACAATTATTGGGTGGGACTTCTGAAAAAACCTTTTTGCTTTTCTTTCCTTTTCTTCTGCATCCTAACAGAAAATGATGCAGAAGATGGCTGGAGCTCTGAAAACTACCCTGGGCCCTGAAAATGGAAACCATGTGTGTGCTGGGAATGGCAGAGCAGAAAGGAACGTGTAGTTCCCTAAGAAATAGTATATACACAATATATATAATATATATAGCGTGGTTTCCTCAACCTGAGCTGCCTGCTTTCAGATTTCTTTAACATGAGACAAAGCTACATGTCTCTTGTTTAGGCTATAACTACTGGTAGCCAAATATATTTCTTAACAACATCTCTTCAGTGATGAAAGAGTATTGTCACATGTTTAGACATAAACTAGATTTATTATCATTTTGTCACTCCACTTTAATTGGTTTACAAAAATACAATGGAATAAATTTACCATAAACAAATGTCTGACACTTCATGAAAAAGAACAATTAGATAGACTAAGTTTTTTGAATTTTTAGAGTTTACCGTAACATCTTTGGGTAACATCTGCAAAAGCAATCACCAAATGTTTGTGAAATGGGGATAAGAGAAATACCTACTTTGCCAGATAATATTTATGTAAGCACTCAGTAAACCTGAGAGGAACATATAAGTATTGGCTCTGATCCAACCAGATGGATCACATGAAGCCAAACTTAAATCATAAGGGCTAAAAATAATTACATTAAAGATAAACCAGTGAAAGTCATTCTGAGATTAAAAAGTAAGTATATTCTTACATGTTTCGGCAGCATGGTATTTCAAACAAGTTTCCTTGTTTGAAACTTGTTTGAACTGTTTTGAGCTGTATTTTTTTTTACAACCCTGCTATTAGAAGTGGAGGATTTATTTTCTTCATCAGAGGCATATTTTGTAAAGATTACACTGTCAATACTGACCCATGTTAAGAAAAGTTTGTGTGAAAATAAAGCATATTCAGCCTCATAGAGCTGCATGCTGTGCTGTGAGGACAGCAGGGAAGTTTTACAAAAAGTAACTTCACTCACATTTCTGAATATATTTTAAAAAAAGGTTTGGTTTCACTAACGTCAACCTGTACTCCAGCTGTTTGTGCATATTTTTGTGTGTCTCTACATTTTCCTTGGAGATTAAGATGGCCTCAAAAGGAAATCACCCTTTCCAAAACAGGCAATTTGCTTTTCAATACGTTGCATAACAGATGCTCCAAAGGAAGAAAGGTAGAGAAGCCTGAGCTGGAGGAAAACACAGTCGTGCAATGTTTTAGGACCCCAGACCTGCAAGGGAGAAGCTGAAGGTAGGAAATGAACATGCATGCATTTATATTCAAATGTATTATTTGAAGCAAGACAGTAATTTCTATGTTGTAAAAAAAAAAAATCCAGCCTTGTTTTGAGAATTATCAAAACCCTTCCCTTCAACTTAGCTTGAACCATTACACACATACACACACTCAAATGTCTATGGCTATCAGCCCAATTCATTGTATAGAACACCAAATTTGACATAATTGATAAATCTGGGTGTTCTGGGTGTTCATTCTTTGCATTGAATCTGAAGACTTGCATTTAGCTTTAAAATTTCCATTAATGTGTTGATAGAGTTGCTTCATATATTTTTTCTGTGTCCAATTTTTAAACTAATTATAACAAACAATTTCAGTACCTACCCCATGCAAAGCCTTCTGTGGGGCACAAAGTAAGTAAAACCTTGACCTCCAGGCTGTTACAATTCACTAAGAGAAGGCACACACATCCAACCACTAGCTTGGCATAAGCAAAGCTCAAGCAATACAGTAGTTCAGAGTAAAGAAAAACAACCAGGCAGGCAGGCTCATTTGTTGCCCGGATTCCTGCTGCATCTTATTGTTCCATCAGACTACATCAATCTGTTCATTTCTACAAGTATACAGCTTTTACAGGGAGCAAAGAAATAGGTTTTGGACAGACAAAAAAGGGGACATATTATTCTATTTTGGAGGTAAGACAAGGGTTGATGGAAATTTTGTTAAACAATGATCCCCTTTAGACTTTTAATCTACTATGCAAAATATAAAATATACATCTCTGTTTTACGATTTAGGCAACTTTTGTTTTCATGAATGCTTAAGTGAGATTTTATTATGTCTTATTCCCAAAGAATTTTCCAAAAGAATGAATATTCAATTTATTATAAGCTTTGAAATAAAAACCTAGACTTTAACATATATATCGATTCACAGGCAACATTTTGAAAGCATAACTTTTGTGTTAAGATAGGCATATTTTCATCTTGTGTCTACATACAAAAGATCAGATTTTGAATGATCCACTTGATTTTTATAGTATCAAAGCCAAATTAGGTAATGAGAGACTTTGCAAAGATTTCTTTAAAAGATCACTAAAAACACAAGTCAAGTGAAAAACTGTTGAATAACTGTCATAGGTAGAAATCCTCACTATTAAATGATTAAGGAAACCCTGAATGAATAGAGTTTACTTAAATAAGTCAATATTAGCTATACAGCCATGACTGAGGTGAAGAGGCAGGGACAGAATGTAGTCTAATGTATAATTATTTTATTTAAATTACTATACCAGCAGCATTGCAAATGGATAGGCAGAGACAAGAATGAATTAAGGGAGAGCAGTTAGTAGACTCCTGGATGTGTCCAGGTGAGTGTTGTCTAGGATGAGGGTTGTATTAGTATATTCACTAATTCAAAAAATATTTGTTTAATTTCAAATATTTGCCAGGCACTGTTCTGTCACTGGAATTCCGCCATGAGCAAAACAAATAAAAGTCTCTATCTTGTGGAACTCACATTCTACTGGAGAAGACATACAATAAGATCAATACATAAAATATATAGTATATTGGCCCAGTGCGGTGGCTCATGCCTGTAATCCCAGAACTTTGGTAGGCTGAGGTGGGCAGATTACCTGAGGCCAGGAGTTCGAGACCAGCCTGGCCAACATGGCGAAACCCCATCTCTACCTAAAAATACAAAAATTAGGGCAAGCACGGTGGCTCACACCTGTAATCCCAGCACTTTGGGAGGCCGAGGCGGGCGGATCACCTGAGGTCATGAGTTCAAGATGAGCCTGATGAATATGGTGAAACTCCATCTCTACTAAAAATACAAAAATTAGCCAGCCATGGTGGCGCGCACCTGTAGTCCCAGCTGCTCACGAGGCTGAGACAGGAGAATCGCTTGAAACCAGGAGGTGGAGGTTGCAGTGAGCTGAGATCACACCATCGCACTCCTGCCTGGGCAACAGAGCAAGACTCTGTCTTTAAAAAAGAAAAAAAAATATATATATATATATATATATATAAAATAAAATAAATAAAAATATATGCATATATATAGTATATTATAGGATGATAAGTACATATGGAAAAAAGAAAGCAGGGAAAAGGGAAATAAGATGCCACTGTGAGGTGAAACTGTAGGAGGAAAATCTAAGGAGGGCCTCGCTGAGAGAGTAATGATTGAATGGAAGGAAATGAGGGAGTGAGCCATGAAGATCTCAGGGAAGAGCGTTTCAGGCAGAATGAACACTGAGTGCGAAGGGTGTGAGATGAGAACATGCCTAGTGTGTTCAAGAAGGATCAAGGCGTCTCTATGGCAGGAGCAGGAGGAGTGAGATGAAATTGAGAGTGACAAGGGACTGGGTTATGTAGTAACTATAGATCACTACAGGATTTTAGCTTTTATTCTGGGTGAGATGGCGAGTCTGTGCCAGCTACTGACCTATTAGCTCTTGGTTCCAAAGCACCCTTCAGTACTCTTCTTTATGATGACTCTGTAAACTACATTTTCCCATTAGTCAAATGATTTCCCGTTAAGTTTTGCCGATAGAAGGCAAGGAAAAGAGAGAAGGGACTTACACATTTCTGTTTTTCCTGTATTGGTCAGTAGCAGTTAAAAGCTTCAACCTTCCTTGAGAGCTTCCAGAACCAGTTCTCTGGTGAGATGCCAGGTAGCAGCGATAGCCATTTAGGATCCGTTCTCAGAGGTCTGTGTACCAACTCCATGGTGCTTCTTTGTTAGCCCTCTGGGTTCTGTCCTTGGTCCTAAAGATGTAGAGATGCCAGCCTCTTTAGTTTTTAATATCCAGGTTACTGAAATGTTCCATTTTTGTTCTTTAGCTCTCAAACACCTATGTTACTAATTCTCTGCTTAAATGCCCTTTGTTCCAAATCCTTAAGGTGGTTTCTATTTTCCTGATGGTTACAGTGTCAGGTACTGGGAATGATGCCAGAAAACCCTCAAAGATGGGATTATGGAAATGTTTAAGATACGTCCTTGACCTTGAACTTAATGTTAAGTTCTTGATCAGTAGAAAATGAGGATGCTGACATGGCATGCAATATTTAATTAAATTATTACCTGGGATTGCTTGGGATAAAATGCTTATGTAAATGAGTATCTTGGGGGATAAAATGACTGCTGCAGGTGATAGATATGGTGGTAATAATGACTGTGATGACTTTTGGGTAGAATGCCTATTTCTGACAGTGCTGGAGACTATACAAAAGGAAAATGACTCAAGAATTTAATAATCTCAAAGCTTCTCTTGTGATCCTAGAAGAATCTTTTATTTTGTACAAATGTATTTATTTTAGTTTGTATATAGCAGGGCAAATATGTGTGAAAACCAAATTCAACATTTAACTATTTAGGTCAGTTATGGAATTACAATGAAAGGGGCATTCACAGACTTTGCAAGTGTCCTAAGTGAAAATTAAGACTGATTGGAAAGAAATAGGGATATCTGATGGAACATAAAGTTGAAAACCTTGAATCCACTCTGAGCATTCCTTTCAACGAGATGCTTATTCTCCTCAAGACTTACCACCTCTACTGTGTCTAGGCCTATACCGCTAAAGCAATCTAAGTAACAGGGCCAAGTGAAAAATCCAGTGTAAGAAGAAATAAGTTATACTCCAAAAGAATTGCTGTATTTTTCTAAATCATATTGACATGAACCTAGGGGATATATGTGATTATAGCATATGTATAATAATATCATGTTAGACCAAAAAGAATGGAATGTGACATTGTAGCACATAAAATTTCTCAGGTATACTTCTTTCAGATTTAATATGATAGGTTGAGCAGACTAAAATTGTTCTAACAATTGTTTAATTTACTGGATTCAATGGTGGCCTTCTTGCAGGAAGGTTGGATGAGAATTTTCCTGGCCTGGTGTCAAAAATGGCTTAGGGATGTAGGAATGTTAGAGTGGACTTTACTCGTGAAACTTGCACACCCACCACCCCTCTCTATTTGTTTAGAGGGCCCAGAAGACATCCCTTTTTCTAGAGCGTGTGCCAGTATCTTTGTAAAGCTCAATGGCAGTCATCCTCTGAAGGGTAAAGATGGCAAGGGCAGATGCTATTATTGAAAAAGGATCCCTAATTTCAATGTATATCATGGGATCGCAGAGTAGTGAAGTCAAGAAGTAATACTCACTTCAATAAGTAAGAGTTATGTAATTTCTGTGAAGATAGCGAGGAAGAATTAGAAATCAGAATTGACCTGCAGAGACCTTTGTCTATGCTCACTTAATTCCTTAGAAATGAAATGACTTAGGAGGAAAATAGATAAGCAGATTTCTAAAGTGTTACTTAATCAGCATAATAAGAGAACTCTATGTTTGATGGGCAGAAATCGGACTTGAGTATTCACAATTTCTCATCTACTTCCCGAACCTAAAGGCGTTCACAGACTTGGAGTTCTTTGATCAAAAGGAAGACTGGGTCCTTTTGAGAAAGTACTCTTCAACACTGCCACAACTGAATACTGTAAAAGTTTTCTAGATCTTCCTGAGACATGCCTGCCTGCATTTGATAGGTGACCGTACACTAGACCAAATCAATGCTTCTAGGGACTCAAAAATCATTTTGGATCACTGCTCAAAAAGTGGGTACCTATGGAATCAAGTAAAAATCCATGTCACAGTGGTCAATTGAAGGGTAAAATGTAATGGAAAAAGGAAAGCTATGTATGTCTTCTTTCTTGATTATGTATACATGTAGCATATTGCAAAATAGCAATCTTTGCAGTACCTCCCTTCAAGAGGTGTAATCTATTTTTCAATGTCTTGAATTTGGATGCCTTTGTGATTTGCTTTAGCCAGTAGAATATAAGTGACATTGTGTGCGTTCTAAGCTTGCTTCTCAAGAGACTTTGTATCCTCCTCCTCTCTCTCTTGGAACCCTGCAACTTCCATGGAGAAAAGCCTGTGCCCACCATCTGGAGAAGGAAAAACCATGTGGAATAGAGACAAGCTGTTATAGCCAAGGCCCCAGGCACGTGAGAGGGTCCAAAGACCAGCACAGTCAGCCCAGCAGCTGACCATGGACTCACCAGTGAGTCTAAGTGAAGCCATAGGAATCACGGATTTTTTTCATCCTTTATTTCATCCCTTATTACTTCATGTAAGGATTGTTGATGTGATTGCAACTGAAAAAGAGGATTTATCACCACTCCCAGATGGGGCATAGTAAATGTTAGGACTTTGAGTCTCTTATATGTGGAAGAAAGTACGAATGACTTCATTTATGTAAAAGAGAGTTGCATCCTGCTAGGTGGAAGCATGAAGTTGTTAACTGTTGTTGCATGGAAGTTAAAATACATGGAGAGGAGCGATTAGGAGTGCTGAGAAACCAAAGAAGGTGACTCTGTGATGCTGGGAGGACTCTGAAAATTACATTTTCCAGTTACCCTTGCCAGCAAGCTTCCTTTTAGGTTCCATCTGCAGGATGCATAGAGAGAAGAGCAGAAGGAACTTCCTTCCTGTTTTTCCTGTCTTTGACGGCATTGCTAGATCCAGCCTCCCATGAGTTGTGGCATTTCCAGCACAGCGCTGTGGCACACTCTCGGAGGAATCAGCAGCTCTAGGGCAGTGGCTATTTTCCTAGAAGTATAGAACCAGCTCTGCAGAGCCCCTCTTCTAAGCTCCTAGATTCTGGTAACCCCACCCCTTCCCTTTTGTTTCAACAACCAGCAGTATCAGCTGTTGCCTGAGTTTTTAAATCTCTGTGTTACCCTTTTTCTCTTTCAGGCACCCAACATCTGTGGAAAACACCTCTTAGACTGAGATATCCAGTGTGGCTCCTATTTTCCTGGCTAGACTCTAACTGATACGAAGTCATGGAGGGTTTTGAGATCTCAAAAGATTTGTCTTGCATTCTGATAGCATCAACCTGGCTGTTGTGTCGGAATTGACTGAGGGATCGACCAGCTAGGAGGCTATTTCAATCAAAATAGATGGGGATAAAGAAGTGGTTACATTCTGTATATATTTTGAAGGTATTAATGATGGGATTTGTAGACATTCAGGTGTGAGTTTCAAGGAAAGAATAAAAAAGTATGAACTGTTATCTAGGAGAGTAGGAGACTGATTAGAAGACTCTAGTGTTCATGCTGGGAAACAATTAAGATCAGTGATTATGAATTTAAAAGTTAGACCAATTAGCAGCTGAGTTTGCATAGCTCTACAGTGGTTTTGTTAAGGTAATGCTAGCTGCTGTGACAGATAAATCCTGAAATCTTGTAACCTAATACAACAGAAATTTCTATTCTAGTAACATAAAGCCTAATAGGTAATGGGACATAATGAGGATGAACTCCTAGATTATACAACTGAGTCTTTCAGTGATCTTGGCCAGTAGAAACTCAACACATGTTTTTCAAGTTTGTCCTGGGAATTGATACCCCGTTGGAAAATTGAGGATGGGAGAAAATGCAAGATTTCCATAAATTTTATTTATGCCAGTCCTAGAAGTAGTATGCATCATTTCTACTCACATTGTCTTGGCTAAAATTCAATGTCATGGCTGCACCTTAGGTGAACAGAACCCAGGAAACATCATTTAGCCTTGTACCAAAAAGGAAAGGAAAATACGTTTGGTGAACTGTTTTAGCCAATCTCTGTGAAAAGGAGAGATAATCTGTGTTGATGCAAGCAGAGACTAGGCAAATAATTTAAAAAGGTTGTTGCTTTGCCAAAAGTACCACAAAAGTGAGAGAAAGCAAAGGGGTTCAGAGCAGTTTCAAAGAATAATTAGAAGGACTGCCATGAATTTAAGCTGGGTAAGGAGAAAGGAGAGGACATGAGGAGAGAAAAGAGTTATTAGGATTGATGTGCTGGGGCACCAGATTGGTGAAATAATTGTTAGAGTTCTATTCTAGTAAGCATTGGCAGGCAAAGAGGAGGTGTCAGCTGGAGAATGTGATGCTTGAAACTGAAAATTTGGAGGAACTTCAGGGCTGCCATTGACAAAGATGACAGCATGACCCTGAATGTTAGCGTCTGGGATAGGGTACAAGAAAGATCACTGGGAGACAGACTGCCAAGGAATTTAGAGTCCAAGATATCGACAGATAATCTACACAGATATCACATGTTGAAAAGAGTGATAGTGTTTCAGGTGCTGAAATCTTTGAGGAATGAGGAAATGTGAAAATAAGAACAGTGAATGACTTAGAAAGCTGTTAGTGGGTAAAACAGCAAGACTTGGTGATTGGTTATTGGCAGTGAAGATGAAGGAAGTGACGAGAGTCAATCCCAGTTTTCTCACTTACGTGAATGGGTGGATAGTCTAGCCATTTGTAGGAGAGGAGCACTCTAGGGTGTCCATCTTTAGGAGAGGAATGATGAGTTTATTTTTGGATATATGGATTTTAAAATTTCTCTCTCTCAAATATCCAAATGGAGATTTTGAGAAGATTCTTTGAAATCGAAAGGTCTAGGACTCAGAGAAAAAAAATGGCAGTGAGATATATATATTTAAGGTTATTGGAAAATAAATAGTATATAAAACCAAGTATTGGTAATATTGTCTAGGGTGCTAACAGGAAGCAGGGCTGGACCTTAAGACATGTAGAAAGAAAGAAGTCACAAAGAGAACACTCTTATCTGTCCAACCTACCATATTAAATCTGGAACAAGTGCACCTGCGTTGATTAATTTGGTCTGATCCAATGTTGTGTTTTATGCTCCTTGGTTTAACACCCTACTAATTGATTCCCATGTAGCTCCCCTAGGTTTATGCCAATATAATTTAGAATAATATTGCTATCTTTGGAGTATAACCTGTTTCTTCCTAGCTTGGATTATTCACTTGTCTCTCTTGAAATGGACTCAGATTTCTCTAGCTATAGGTCTAGACACAATAAGGGCGATAGGAATAGGCCTTAAAGAAAATAAGCAGCCCATTGAAAGAATGCTTAAAGTAGATTCACAATTTTCACTTTTATGCATGTGTACCTAAGTATTTCTATCTCTTCATAATCAATGCCCTAATTTTCCACTTAGGAAACTTGGAAAGTCTGTGAATACCTCTTACACGGTAATTCTATACTAACCCAGATACTTAAATGTTGAGTTTAATTTTTAGCCATATCTACCCTGGTGCATACAAACAAAAATAAATTCGTATGTACAAAAGCAAGAGATTTTTTAGGATCACGGAGAGGCTTTCTATTTCAGTTGACATTATTAAACCCCTGAGCATATCATTTTCCTTTTGTATGTTCTCCAGTGCAGTCATAAATAGTCATTCTACCAAAATGAACAGAGTGTGAAGTTTGGGAAACTAAGAATAGAGTTATTCAAGAAGGAGGGAGTGTGTCAATAAAATTAAAGTGACATTATTGAGAATGTAGTAGGTATCAGGCTATGTTCAAAGAACTTCACAAATATTTATTGTATTCTTATGCCAGTCCTAGGAAAAGGTACTATTATTGCAGGTATTTCTCTTTTACGTGGAAGAAAACAGAGGAACAAAGAAATTTTAATTAATTGCTTGAGATCCTAGCTAGTACTGGGCAGATCCAGCAAGCCATCCCAGGCCGTCTGACTCCAGAGTCCAGTTTTAACTACTACTTTATATTAACTTCTAACCCAAAGGGATCAGCACTACTCAGAGAAAACCAGGCCAAGGAATAGAAAACTGCTTTTTGGATTGAGTGGCAGGGAGGTCATTGTTGATGGTAGTAAGAGATTTGTCAGTGGAGCATGTAAGTACATAGTACTTAAGTTCATAAGGCAGACTCGAGTCTGATGAGGAGAGAATGCGGGGTTAAAAAGAGGACAGATGCACTTTGGATACTCAAGAAATTTGACTGTCACAGTCAAGAAACAGAAGATGATAGGGGTAAAATTGGGTTCAAGGAAAGTTGTATTTTTATTGTTTTGTTTTAAAAATGAAAAGAAGTTTTTAAATGTTCACAGAAAGGAGCCATTTGAGAAAGAAGGGGATTAATTACACAGGAGAGAAAAGAGACAATGGACTTTGCATGCTCCCTGGGAGGGTGGGAGGGAATTGAATTTAGGGCAGTTGTGAAAGGACTGATCTTAAAAGGGAGAGGGGACAACGTTTCTCCTCTTTAAACAAGAGAATAACAGGATGAGTGCAAATGCTATCCAATTAAGGGAATTAAGAGTATATCCATATGATACCTTCTATTTTTCTCTTTAGAAAGTGAATTCATCTGGGTCTGAAAAATGATGGGTCTGGCATGGTGTAAATTGAGAGTGAGAAAAAGTTAAGAAAAGTGTGAATAATTGAGGCTAGTGAGTGAGAAATATACTGGGCTATGCAGGCACTGCTAATGACCTAGACGATAATGATAAATTTATAGTGTTACTTTGTCCTACTATTATTTCCTTAAGTGTCATTCTAAAATGCATTCCTTTAGGATTTAGTTTTGCTAAATAAAGGCAATGAAAAGGCAGAGGAAATTGGAGTTCAGAGGGAAGAAAAGAGTAATTGAAAAAAGGGACCGTGGAATCCAAGCTGAAGAGGAGGGCAGTAAAGATAAGAAGCATTATGGTTATGGTTATGGTTATGGTCATGGTTAAAGTTATGGTCATGGTTATCGTATTGGTTATGATCACGGTTATGGTTATGGTTATAGTCAATCATGGTTATGGTCATGATTATGGCCATGGTCATGTACGTTTATTGCAGCACTATTTACAATAGCAAAGACTTGGAACCAAACCAAATGCCCATCAATGATAGGCTGGATAAAGAAAATGTGGCACATAGATTGTATTAATACTATTTTTTTAAAAAGGATGTCACTGAGACTTTGGATATTGGCTGGATTAAACAGGAATTACAGGCCTGAGAACTCAGGAATTTAATCCTACCAGTAGTCTCTTTGAAGGAGGTGGTACTGAAGGACTGGAATGGCAGACAGCTTTTGGCTGACCCAACTTAAGATGATTTGATTTAGTCACAGAAGTTGCAGAGCAGAACACAAGGCTTTGAGTAGCGTAATGACCCTGTCTCTGTGGGCCAGCCTGTTTATTATTTGTCTAAATGTTTATTACTTTGGCTACAGTCTGTTATTACATGTATTGTTCTGTGCTGTATTTGTGTATTTATATATCTCCCCTACTAGACTCTGGGTTCCCAAAGCCAAAGCCTGGGTATCATTTTTTTAACCTTGGCACTTGTGTTAGTGCTTGCCCAATAAATATTTGGTCTAATGACTTTAAACACACTATTTCTATTCCATTGCACTGTCTACTATTTAACATAGCTTATCAATGCCGTGCATTGCTTTGTTAGTTCATGATTTCTTCCAAAAAATGTTAAAGTCTAGATATATAGAAAAGTTGGATACAAACAGGAGGAAGAATGTGGAAGCATTACTTACTGTGTACGGATCAGTGATAAGAGAGAGAGGAAACCAATTAGCATTCTTTTCATTATCAGTTGTTTTCAATTGTGTTATGATGACCTGGATAGAATTTCCCATAAGAACTAAGTAGTAAAAAAACAAATAAATAAAAGAAGAATAAGCTGATTGCTTTATTGCATTTGATACTTAAGTAATCAGTCTGAAAGAATGATTTCAAGAATAAACAGCTTAATGGATTCTAGTTGATTGTTTACAGTTAATGTTTTGCAATAAAACACCTTCTTCCCTCATTTGCCTCATCAGATAATATAGCCAAGCTTTCATAAAATGAGTCCAATTTCATTCGCTATGTCAAAATTGAATCAGACCTTCAATTTTTGAGCATCACTGGTTACAGTTTACATCTTTCCTTTTGAATGAATTTTTTTCTCCTGTAATTTTTTTCTTCTATAATTCTGAGCTTTCTTTACACTAGTTGGATTGTGATTCCTGACCATGGGTTTTATAAGGGATGTTGTAAGTCAGTCGGTCATGTGTGGTTTCATCAAACACTATGAAACATATCTCTTGCCAAATTCCTGTGCTGGAAATTTGTAATAGTTTTATAGGTAGAAGTGAATAACATTTTCACAAGATGAAGTTTAAGCCAGTCTCTAACACAATTATATACTTCTCTTTTTAACCATAGATTTCTCTGTTAAAGTTTATTAATACTAAAATAAACTCACTATAATTACCACCTATCAAGTGCCTACTCTGTATTGAATGCTTGACAGTATCTTATGAAATCTTAAAAACAATTCTAAAAAGTTTTATTTACAGGTCTCAATTATAGTTGATAAAACTTAGGCTCAGAACAGCTGAATTATTTGCAGTCATAGGTTTTTAAGAGAGAACTTAGAATCTGAGACTAACCCCCATCTTCATGCTCTTTGTACTGTATCACATTACCTCCATTTTATAGCATGTCTATCAGAGTTTCCTTAGGACATGGAGGCAGATGTCCATACACACACCTGTGCCTATAAGCACGGCCAGGACATAGAAGTTATCAGGCCCGGTTGAATGAGAACTAAGCAATGATTCCAGTGAAAAATGTAATATTTAAGACTAAAATTTAGTCTTCAGTTCCATGTTAAACTTTTTGATTTTTCATTTTAATGGGAAAACTGTATTTTGTATAAAGAGATCCATCATTTCATATAGTTTTGTGTTATGGGTATACATTTTAAAATGAAAATAAAAGTAAAAGGATGTTTCATTCAAGTCAAAGAAATGTTACTTTATCCTCATTGTAAGTCCACTGAAACCAAAAACTCTGTCTTCGTCTAGGATTAAATTTCCCCGCTCAAAGAATAATGCCATGAATTTAGTGTGAGCCAAGATTCCTATACTTGACAACAGTTCCAGTTCATCACAAGCATGTATATAACCTTGGAACACGGCAAGCATGTTCTCTATTGAACCATTTTAATAATCAATGATAAATTGATTATTTAAAACAGGTCCACATTTCCTTACTTGCAATTCCCAAATCCAAACTGAAGATTTGGGTAACTGTGGTATTAGAACTTATTTGGCTAAAAAACATGCTCTGAACTGACATGAGGCTATAAATAGTCTTAATTTAACTTACTTTGTATGAATTTTCATGTGTTTCACAACAAAAGTATTAATATATTAATTAAGGGTTGCTACAGATGGGGTATAATATATGCACCACATTATTATTCTAAAATCCAAATAATTCTGAATACCAGAGCACATCTAGCCCCAAGAATTTTGGGAAATGAATTTTGGAATGTCTCTCTTTCATTTTCTGCTGTGTTGCAATTAAAGAAAAGCTGCCATGAGTGAATTTTCAGTATGATTCACTTTGAAACGATTGTGATAGTTCACTCAATTGATATATTTCAATTAGTTTGAAATAATAGTATATATTCCATAGTTAACCTATTACTGTAAAAATAAGTAGCCTTCCAGGGAAGGGGGACATTCACCCTTTGTAGAGGTAAATACAATCTTTTCTCTTTTACACTGTGCAGTCATAAGAGTTGAATGATCAGGATACAGCACACCCCCATCACACCAAAAGCTTCTTGAAGCCTTTTTGCAGATAATCCCCTTTCCACCCTCAACGTGGGAACCATTTCTGCCACTATGGAATGGACTCATGCACTGTGGATTTCTTTCAGTCTGGCTTCTTACACTCAGTACAATTTGGAGATTCATTCATCCTGTTGCATGTATAGTAGTAATTTTTTTTATTGTTGAGTAGTACTTCGTTACGTGGTATTTCACAATTTATCATTTACCTAAGAACATTTCAGCTGTTTCCAGGTTGAGTAAGTTTGCTATAAGCATTCATGTATAAATCTTGTTGTGAGTATATGTTTTCATATTTTCTTGAGCAAATACCTAGAAGTGAGCTACTGGGTCCATTTTTAAAAATACATATTTAACTATAAGAAATTGCCTAACCTGTTTTCCAAAGTGGCTTACTATTTTACACCCCACTAATAGTGTATGAGAGTACTATTTGCTGTGTGTATTCAATACAGATGATGCTGTCAAGTTTTTACAAGTTTAGCTAGTCTAGTAGATATGTAGTAGTATCTTGTGGTGGTTTTAATTTGCATTTCCCTGATGGCTAATGAAGTTCAGCATCTGTTTCTAATCTTATTAGCTATTTGTATGTCTTTTTGTGAGGTATTTGTTCAAATATTTTCCTCTTTTTTTTGCCTTTTTATTGTTGAATTATGAGATTTCTTTCTATATTCTAAATTCAATGCCTTTATCAAATATACGTATTGTGAATTATTTTTTCTATGACTTGACTTTTCATTTTCTTAGTAGTGCCTTTTGTAGAGCCAAACTTTTTACTTTTAATTAAGTCCAACTAAAAAAATTTTTATATGGTTTGTGCTTTCATTGTCCTAAGAAATCTTGGCTTATTCTAATGCATCAAAGATTTTCTTCAATTATAATTGTTTAAAAATGAAACCTACTCTCTCATAAAATATTCAGCTCTTTTTGTTTCTTTCTTTATTGAGAGACAAGTTAGGCCAAGTAAATGTTAAATTCCTTCTTAACTAGCATTTTAAAAATTAGTTCCTGAGATTTTCTATTAGAAAGCTGTACTGCCATTTTTCCAAATTTTATTATTTATCTGAGGTTGATATTCCTAGTTCTCAATGAACATACACTATACTAGAAAAAAAAAATGGAAGTATAGTTAGGGGGCAAATGTGTTAAGTGCCTA
Source organism: Homo sapiens (assembly GCF_000001405.40). Taxonomy (NCBI): domain Eukaryota; kingdom Metazoa; phylum Chordata; class Mammalia; order Primates; family Hominidae; genus Homo; species Homo sapiens. The sequence goes on along the minus strand of NC_000004.12, from coordinate 165,743,947 downwards.
CAAACCAATATAGCCTTATTTCCAAAGCTGTTCTGGGCATGGGAAGATTACTCCTGATTGGGCAAGAAAGGCGTTATGACAAAGGCAGCCCTCAAGCTGGGCTATGAATGATGGTAGAATTTTGATAGACAAGAATGAAGAGAAGGCATACCACATAGCATGTCACAAACAGGAGAAAAGAGGCAAATTTTTAAAATATAGTGTGTCAGGCAATAGTGGGCTGTGCCGTTTGGCTGGAGATCACTTCCATTTTAGGGCTAATGAGACCTAGCCCTAGGAAAAGATCTGGAGGAAGGGTGGAAGGAGAGTTCGTATTGTATTAAGTGCTGACTAGATTTTTTTTCTGATACGGCCACCCATTGATTTCAAGTAGGAAAAGAGTAGAGTCACAGAGGTGCTCTAGAAAGGTTATTCATGAAGCCTTGATCAAAGTGGTTCAAGGGGCAAAGATATTAGCTCAAGAGACTCCAATTAAGACTCTTCTGGATGGCATCAGACTTCACTGTCAAGTATTGAATTTCTCCTTTTATTTTATTTTATGTGTGCATGTTTTATCTCTCCTTCATGATTGTGAGTCCTTTTTTTATTTTTATTAATTTTTATTTTTATTTATTTTTTTTTTTTTGAGACAGAGTCTCGCCCTGCCGCGCAGGCTGGAGTGCAGTGGCGTGATCTCAGCTCACTGCAAGCTCCGCCTCCCTGGTTCATGCCATTCTCATGCGTCAGCCTCCCGAGTAGCTGGGACTACAGGCGCCTGCCACTAGGCCCGGCTAATTTTTTTTGTATTTTTAGTAGAGACAGGGTTTCACTGTGTTAGCCAGGATGTTCTTGATCTCCTGACCTCGTGATCCGCCCGCCTCGGCCTCCCAAAGTGCTGGGATTACAGGCGTGAGCCACCGCGCCCGGCCGATTGTGAGTCTTTTATAAAGGTAGGTGTTGGGTCTTATTCCTCTTCTCATAGTCTCCAGCCTCTAGTGTAAACCACACAGCAATGTTGATTGGTACACATGCCATCCAAAGAGAATGTATGAGGAGGCAGAGGGAGAGAACAGAAATTGCAAGTTCCAGGGACTTTAATTAATCCAAGGCTCATGATTAGAATTGGGTTTCAGAACATACAGCATGTTTTATCAGATTCTCGTTGATTAGAGACCAGTTTTATTTTTGACCCTGTGGATGTAGGCAAGTCGCATTGGCTCCAAGTTCTCTCAAGTTCACTTTCATTGGCTCTAAAATCAGAAGTTTAAATGAAATAATTCTAAGGTCCTTTTCATTTTGAATTTCTATACCTTGTTACAGGATCAATATATTATTTCTTTCTTACATATCTTCTAATGTGAGATTGTTTATGTGGGAGTTTTAAAAGTGGTCATTTTAAAAGTGCTCCTAAGGCCAGGCTGTAATCCCAGCATTTTGGGAGGCCTAGACCAGAGGATCACCTGAGGTCAGGACTTTGAAACCAGCCTGACGAACATGGTGAAACCCCGTCTAGTAAAAATATAAAAAAATTAGCTGGGCATGGTGGCACATGTCTGTAATCCCAGCTACTCAGGAGGCTGAGGCAGGAGAATTGTTTGAACCCTGGATGCGGAGGTTGCAGTTAGCTGAGATCGTGCCACTGCACTCCAGCCTGGGGGACAAGAGCGAAATTCTGCCTCAAAAAATAAATGAATTAAAATTAAAATTAAATTTTAAAAAAAGTGCTCCTAAAAAAATGTTATCCCAAGATTAGCATTTAGAATGAGCAACATAAGTCATGAAATGTAGAATTTATAGGGTACTGATTCTCTCTTTGGTGGTGCAGCCCTCAGCTTTTGATTCCTGTAAGTGTTTCTCAGGCTCAATTATATGTTTGCTTCAATGATGTTATTTACTGATGTAATATAATATGGTGATATTGTGACATAGTTTCAAATTCTTTATTTTTCTTTTCCTTTAAGTGCTTAAATCCATGCATCTTGCTTGTGGGTTTAGAAGACAGGGCTTATCACTTATTACTTTTCCTCTGCAATCTCTTACCCACAGACATGAAGGAAGGAAGGGAAAAAGGGAAAGAAGAAGGAAAAAAAATAGACCACTGGTTCATAGGGTGTTTTGGGGTTAGAAGGAGAAATGACTAAAGAGAAGAAAACCTGAATGGGCCCTATGAAAATTAAAAGTGAACTGTGATTTCATTCACTGTCCTCAGTTTGGTTAATAAAATTAGTTTTCTAGAAATTTACATTTCATTTATGATATACATATATGGTGAGATAATTGAAATATAATATCTCATTTGCAAGTTTCTGAATACCATTTCCCAAGGAATTATATTGAAATGTATAAATTTAATGAAAAATCGACAATACATTATATAAAATAATAGGCAAACTAGTTGCTTAATGACTTTAAAAATTAACTTTTATCTTAAACTTGAAAAAATCCTAAACTTTCAATATTTCAAGCAGTTTACTTTGCATTTTAGATAACAATAGAAATAAGAGGTTCTTCAGAAAAAATTTTCGTGTAACCAAAATTGTGCCCCAAAAAGGCTGTGAAACTCAATTGATATTGCTATCTGCTAAGACAGTAAATGAAATTATCATTTCATAAAGCCCAGAGAAAATCTGATGGTCTCAGGTAAAATGAGTGATCTTCGCAAAGGAAAAGTACTTCACAGAAGCCGGAAACTGGGATACCAAAGAGAGGAAACTGGTACTAGAATATTTCACTTAATGACTGCATGACAAGTCCATCAGAGGTCATTATTTATAGGTCATTTTCCTGTCAATTGTAGGAATCCTGGCCTTAATCATTTGTGTCAACACACACTTCCGTATAAAAACTTCCAACATGATACAGATAATTCTGAGAAACACGATATGCGTTCTGACAATTTTGTGCTTTCCTTTGGACTCTGAATTTGCCAAGATATTTCCTGTTAACTCCTTGGCATGAGTATTTTTAAGCGTCTGATATTGATGCCAGCACTGGGTGTCATGCTGGGAAAATCCAGTTTTCGTAAGGAAAATTACAAAGCATTGTGGTCAGCATTAAATTTAAAGGAACAATGTTACTTTTAAAAACATTTCTACAGTTAGATATTTCATTATTTAACATAGGTTTTCTCCTTACTTTTTTTTTCCTTTGGTAGGATGCCTTTTCCCACTCTGCAATTATTTTATGAGTGAAAGTGATAAAATTATTGCACTGTTATGTGCCATGCACTTTCACTATAGGAAGAATAGAGATTTCTCTTTCTCAGTGCAAAAAAAAATAATTCTGTATGATCAAAATTGTTAATATTCTAAAAAGTAAATGCATTCTCAGAAATTATTAGCTGTGATCGATATTCAAAAATACTCCTTAGCTGGTAATAAAGGAAATCCCTTTTTGAGGCATTGGTTTGCTCTACCTCAAAGTTACCTACTTTCAGACAAAACTTAGTCTACAAAGTGCACAAAATTTAATTTTTTAAAATTATGACCACTTGAATAAAAAATCCAATGGGGTAGTAACCTTTACCAGTGAAGCTTTTGGTTTTTATTTTAGATATATATAGGGAAGAAATTAAGAACTCTTTCTGGGCTGGGCGCGGTGGCTCACGCCTGTAATCCCAGCACTTTGGGAGGCCAAGGTGGGCGGATCACGAGGTCAGGAGATGGAGACCATTTTGGCTAACACGGTGAAACCCCGTCTCTACCAAAAATAAAAAAAATAGCTGGGCGTGGTGGTGGGCGCCTGTAGTCCCAGCTACTCGGGAGGCTGATGCAGGAGAATGGCATGAACTTGCTTGGCAGAGCTTGCAGTGAGCCAAGATCGTGCCACTGCACTGCAGCCTAGGCGACAGAGCGAGACTCTGTCTCAAAAAAAAAAGAGAACTCTTTCTGGCCCCTGTTCTTTCTGAACAGGGACATTGAGGGATAGGAGTGGTGGTAGCTAAAGTTAGTAGTTCAGAGAAATTTACAATTCCACGATGAATTAGATTGAAACTCTCAGATCAAAATAATATTTTCTGAAGGAGATATTGGTAACATTGTAAGTGATTACGTCGCTTAAAAGATTCTAGGGTTCAGATTAACATAATAGTTTACAGATAAAATAAGACATAAGTACATTATAGAAAAGAGCCAGCTACAAATCAAGACAGTTAAAATCCAGGCGGGAGAATCCTCACTTGGATGAGGCAAAAGAAAAAAATAGGGAGCAAAGATGTGAAAGAATAAGGGAAGAAATAGTTTCATAATTTAATTTGTTGACTTCTGAAGGCCAAAATGGAAAAAAGCCCTGAGAGGTCAACCAACAAAATAAAACATTAATCTTATGTAACTTATTTCTAAAGGCTCTGTCATTAACATTCTAGAAAAAATAATTTTTAAATAAAACAATCAATGAAGATTTATCAAATAATTGGGAGATAAAAATCGGACACAGGATACAAGTGTGTAGTTTTTAATAGAGCCAAACAATTATTTATTGATCAGCAGTACCAAATGCTTTCATTGGCATCTGCATGGTAAAAATTCTACAATATTTGGCAAAGGATCTTAAAATTATAGATATTCAGCAAAAGATCCTAAAATCCCAGAATGAGAATTCAAATTTATTAAACACATATTGAGCATAAACTAAATCATTATCCCTGTGCTAAGTGTGAATCACATAAATGATTAAGGCATGATCCTAATCACAGAGGAATCAATGGTGTAGTTAAGGAACTAAATAAATGTAATACAATAGGAAACTGTCATAATGATAGTGAAGAGGAAAAATAAAGTATAAGAAGAATTTCCCAGGAAACGTAGACAAGTCTCAGTGCCTCTAAGTCAGCGTTTCTCAATCTTAAATCTCATGATCTGATTTCATTTCATTTGAAACGAAGCCATGCCTTACTCAAACTACACATATAATCCTTGAGATTTTTTCTATGCTTTCATTAGAATTATGCCTTCTGCTCAGAGTTACTACACTAGATTTAGACTAGATTTGAGTAGATACATTAAAAAATTTAAGATGTAAAGTATGCTTAAGCTTAAACTAAACTTACATGCTGAAGAGGATCTGTACTCCCTTGTGTCACTTTGCCTCAAAACCACAGTCTGAAGAGCTTTTCTTATGCCCAAATGTACAGAGTGAGCTTCAGGCAAATATTTAACTAGTGTCTTCACCCAAAATTGTGGTCAAGGTAATGTAGGTGTATTCATTTTCTATTGCTGTTGTAATGAATCATCACAATCCTTGTGGCTTTAACAACAAATTCATTCTCTTACCAGCTCTGGAGATAAGAAGGCCAAAATGAGTCCTATGGAGTATTTGCACAGCCAGTTTCTTCTGGAAGCTTCAAGAGAGAGTCTGTTCCTTGCCTTTTCCAGCTTCTAGAGGCAGCCGACACTCCTTGGCTCATGGCCACATAACTCTGACCTGTGTCTATTGTCACATCACTGACTCTTCTGACCTCCTACCAGGACCCTTGTGATTACATTGGGCCTGCTTGGATAACCCAGGATAGCTTCTCCATCTTAAGGTTGTTAATCACATCTGCAGAATGCCTGTTGCCATATAAGTTAACATATTCACAGGTTCTAGGAAGAAGGACATGGACATCTTCCAGGAAGCATTATTCTGTCTACCACAGCAGGTAAATGCATGTTGTCCCAAGTAGGCTATCTTGAGATAAAATTTAACCAGATACTTCTGTGTCTCAGAGAGGATTTTACCTTTGAGGGAGGGAGGAAGCAGATAAGCCATGCTGTGATTTGGTCCAGGTAACTTCAGTTCTCTTAAAGATAGTACCTCATTTTTCTTTAAAGAGATGGCTCACTATGCCCAAAGATCCCTAACCAAGGGCCCTGCAAGCTAATTTCCAAATTTATTTTTCTAATTATCTCTATTTCTGAATGTTCCTAAGAGATGTCATTTAACATCTAAATTGTAATTTTGTAAGAAGTCAAGCTTGACTCTTACAAAACAAAAATAAAAGAGTTGTCAGGTTGGCTAACTGAACATTTCATCAAATCCTTTTGTTTTTTAAAAAAATATAAATCAATAAGTTCCCCTCCATAAAATGGCAGGACAGTGTCTGTAATTACCTAAAAGGTTACCTTGAAAAATTAGGCTTGAATACTTATGCACCTTACTGTAACAATAGACAAGGGTTTACTTTCTGAAGTGTTTTTGTTTGTACCATTGAGAAAGAGAACAATGACGTCAGTATCCACAAAGAAAAGTCATCCAGTAGGCTCTGAATTATATATTAATGGCTGACTTCAATTTAGAAAGTCACAATTATGTGTTTCAAATAAAAGGAAAAGTTCAAAAGTAGTCATTTAAACTTGTTAATAATAAGAACAAAACTTAAGTTCTGCCTTTCTTGGTATTATCAGAATTTAGATTAACCTCCCCAGAGGAAGTGGTGGAAACAGGTAGGATAAATGTTCCCAAAGAAACAATGACTCATTTGGAAGTTTGTAACTAAAATCTGGCTCAGGCAAATTAAATACTCTTACCAAAGTAAGCTGGAGAGTGGAATTTTTTTCAGGGTAATATACTATATACCCTAGTCATGTAATAACCATAGTTTTAAAAAATATGATAGATATACAGATTTTTCATTCATAATATTCTTAAGAGTGGTCTGTAGTTTGGGCTTATTCTTTAAAAGGAAAAGCAACAAAATCCACTGCAAATGATGGCAACAAATTCACTGAAGGCACTCATTGGTTAATCTTTAATAAACATTATATATGCATCATTCATTAATTCAATAAATAATTACTGAGGAATTAGCACATGGCAGGCATTATTCTTGGTGCTAGAGATATAAAGATAAACATGTAGCTTACACTAAATGAGGGATTCTCACAGTAATACCTAAATAATATTTAATACCTAAATCACATTTTAATAATAAAATAACAATCTCATTAGAAATTGTTACGTGTACAATGAAAAAAATAAAGCCAACTAATCAGTTAGGTTGTAGATGACATAGGGTATTTTAGATATAGTGTCTAGAAAGACCCCTCTGAGGAAGTGACATCTGGGCAGAGACATAAAGGAAGTGACACCACCAGCCGTGTGAAGATCAGGAGAAAGTGCATCCCAGACACAGAAGGGTAGAGAAAGCTCCTGATATGAAAGGAGTTTGGCATACTCATGAGAGTGAAGCCAATATGGCTGGCCCACGTGGGCATGAGGGAGAGCGGTAGGAGACGAGGTCTGTGGAGCAGCCTGGGGCCATGAAGTTCAAGTTGATTTTAAGGGCGTTGGAAAACCATTGGGGGTGTTTTTAGCAGAAAAATAACATGATCTGACTTCTGTTGCTGACAGTTCCCTCTAGCTGTGATGTGGTGGATAATGGCCGGCCTATGAGACAAGACACTGTTTCAGGTGAAAGATGTTAGTGACTTGAATAGCAGGTGGCATTGGAGCCTAAGGAGGGATTGAAGTTCTGAGAGCAGTTCCTCCATGATTCTGATGGAACTCTTTTCCTGAGGAAAACTGATAAAAGGAAAAGGATGGGACAAACTATAGCCCACATTACTGGTCTCAAGGCCACCAACAATACTCATTGTCTTCTTCAGTCCATTCCAGACACTGCTCACCCTCAACTCTCACTTCTGCTGTTCTGTGCAGTTTACCTGGTGGCATGACCTAGACTTTTTTTTTTTTTTTTTTTTTTTATTAGATGGAGTCTTGCTCTGTCGCCCAGGCTGGAGTGCAGTGGCACGATCTCAGCTCACTGCAAGTTCTGCCTCCCGGGTTCACGCCATTCTCTTGCCTCAGCCTCCTGAGTAGCTGGAACTATAGGCGCCCCCCACCAAGCCCAGCTAATTTTTAGTATTTTTAGTAGAAACGGGGTTTCACCGTGTTAGCCGGGATGGTCTTGATCTCCTGACCTCGTGATCCTCCCGCCTCGGCCTCCCAAAGTGCTGGGATTACAGGCGTGAGCCACCGAGCCCGGCCGGCATGACCTAGACTTTCATCCCTGAGTTATGTGAACCTCTTGTCATCATGTTCTTCTCAGGTGGCAGCACACATCCATTTGCCATCAAAATTGGGCAAGGGATGCCCAAATGGATCACCTGCTTGCCAAGCACATTCCTCCCTGCCCCTGTTGTATGTCATCACCTGTGCCTCCCTCTGATGATCATGGTCAGTTATGTCTGCCATGATGGTAACTCTTCATCTTGCCTGCTGGCACCTTGGCCTGAGGATTCTGAAGTGTGTAGGTAGCAGTGTAGCTTTAGGTTCAGTGGGATGCATACTGGGCCACGTGCTAGAAACACTCCCTTTTTGGGAACCAAGACATTTAAATGCACAGAACCCCAGAGATTTGGGGAAGGGAAGCAAACTTTCTCCAAGAGGACGAAAGAATGTTGGTTCTCAAGCCCATTCATTCTATCCCACTAGGGGCACAACATCATAAAGCTATCAATTTAGAGAGTACGCAGCATCCTAAATGATTAGGTTGGTCAGCCCTGCAGCTTCTGGGGCTGTGATATGGGACACTAGCCCTAGATTCCATGGACCTCTGCCCACTGCTTCATTTCCTTCGCTATAAAGTGAGTGTCCTTGATATTATAACAGGAATAAGTGGAGAAAGAGGCACTGGGGCATCAATGATAGGTATCAGGGGGTTTCTAATATCTGGACTACCTGCAGCTTATTTGTGTGTCCCAGCCTTATGTGTGTCTGATTCTGGATGTACCACTCCACAGCCTTGTGATACCTGAGAGCTGTCAGTCGGCAAGCACTTCCAGTAATTAGGAAAACTAGTCCCTCATTCAAACAGGGGAACTGGGAAAAGCACATCATTCCCTACATGTTATAAAGATTTTAGATGCTAAGTAGATGTTCCCTCATTGTTTCTGGCCCAAGGATTAATAAAATTATCCTCTTTCAGAGTAGGAAACTGAGATGCAGAAGAAAGCATCCCCTTTTATGGAATTGTCTAACACATCTCTTTTCTGTATTTTCACAAATGAAGCCACAGAACCCTACAGAATAATGAATCAGTTTTCCATCTGACAACTACTTACTCTAAATCCTTTCTCCATATTCAGTTCTTTCAACTGTATGTTTCCCAGACCATTCATCCTTCCCTGCACAAAGTCAAGTTCATCAACGTTCTTACTGAAATGTGATGTTGTTTATCACGAATATATATAAAGCAAAGACTCTCTAATCCTGTACTTTGCATCTGGCATTTCAAAATGAAGTCTAAAAGTGTACAATTTCTACTCCTATGCAAGTTTCCTCTTCTTAGATTTGACCTCCTATTCTGGACTATGAAGGTATGTAAAAGTCTCTTTTTTTGTGATCCAACCTATTATTTAGCTGAATGGACTATTAAGAGCACTGTGCTAGTGTGAGAAATGCTTCTGGTCTTTACTTTTACCATTCATTAGCTCCTGTACAAGAGGAGATGTATAATATTGTTCAATCACTGGAAATCTATTAGGATTATGGAATTAAAGTCTTTAGCAAACTTAAGTATCATGCTAATTTTAGTTTATGCATACCAAATGTTAGCAACTATCAACAATGCACTTCAGTTTTATTGAGTGACCTCCAATGATACAAGAACATAGAAGTGGTCCAAGAACATTCAGACCACCCACATGTAGGAATGAAGGAAAGGACTTGCATGTTAAGATCCATTTTGAGCCTCCACGGATGAGCCTCACAACTCACTGGTCAGCCTTGAAGTATGTTTTGGGAGATGTCACTTAGCATCTACTTCAATCTATTCATTTGCATGTTTTGAATCTGCTTGACTTGTCATGGAGTCCACGTTTTTTATTTCATTCAAAATGGTATCATAAGACTCTCCTTGCTTCCTTCCACTTCTCTAAGTGGAAAGGGTTGTTCTTAGTTCGTGTATGTATCTGAAAGGCAACTGGAATTGTTGAAGAGAAAGAGAAGACCTAACCTGGGCACCCTAGGAACCTACTGACATCTATAACACCACTGTGTGCTCCCTGCCTGTCCGTCTTAGTAGATCCGATGAATGCCCTAAATTCTGAATATTTACTATCTCAACCACTATCTCTAAAAAATTATGGTAATGACTTACACAATAGACATTATTCCATAAATGTTCTAATGATGCCAAGTATCTGAACAGATTGTACAACAGCAGATTTCTGCTGCAGTCAATCAACTTACCTATCTGTCTACATGTATCTATGCCACCATTTCTCCATAAATCACAGTCTAGTCCATGTTACTTCCTAAATGAGCATTGCCTCAACATAAGCCTTGGTTAGAATGCTTTTCATTGTTGGTCTTGGAGGTATATAGGTGAACCACTTATCCTGAGCCTACAGATTCATTTAATGACATTCGCTCGTTGTATAGATTTAAATAGGCTTGGAAATCTCAGGAAAATTAGCAGCCTCTATAAGCTAAGGTGGATTTTACTGTCCAGAGAACACATCTAAATATGGCAAGGGCTAGACTATGTGTGTGTGTGTGTGTGTATGTGTGTGTGTGTATGTTTTGCACATGTGTGTACAGAAAAAGATATACATAAAATATTTCATACATATATAAAATATTTCAAAGTCCAGACTATTTTGTTTAGACTTCCTTATTTCAGAAGAGGAAATTGATACAAAGGAAAGCAAAGAAGACAGATTTTTCTTGGCCCCTTCACCGCTGATGATAAAATTCCATAAGGAAGGAGGGTGTCAAGGGTTCCCACTGCCCTCTTTTGCTTCCTTGCTCTTCCCTTGAAATAAATCTCAACATACCACCGTGATCTTTGCAATTAAATTACTTTACCCAAAGCAGATGTTCGCTAGGAGCATTTTCCTTCTGCAGCATGGAGAGTCATAGTTTCTCTGCTCATTTGTCTTGTTAACTCATATCTGAGAGAACACATGGAAGTGGCATGGTCAGAAAGAAATTGGATACACAGAGAGAAAGTTTAATTTTTGCTTGTAATACTATGCTAAATTATTAAACTGAAAGTCATATAAAATAGCTAAAAGACTAAAAAAGACATAAATCAGCCACCACCTATGTATTTTATTTCATTACTTTTTTTTGTTCTAGTATTTTTCCCAGTTTGAATATTGAAACAAAATTAATTGGTTTCACTTTTAAAGCAATGTTATTATAGACATGTATTTAACATTCTGAAAAAATATTTTATATATCAAAATATGTATTTTTAAGGCAGCTCTTAATTTAATCCAGGCAGCGAAATCTACTTTCCTGTACAGCTTAATGGTTTTAGTCCATTTTAACTTTCATTAAAATTCTCAGAAATCTTTCTATTAGGTTTTAAAAATGTTTTTCTTTTTAGATTTTAAGGAGCCAAATTGTGACCTAAAATATAATAATATTTTAAATTAAATATCAATTAGTTTAGCATGAGAGTTATATAGAAAAACTAATAATATACATAACCTTAACATATTGTCAAGTTTGGGATATCTGAAATTAATATACTTTGTTCTTAATATTTTGAGAGAAATATTGTTTGAATATGTACATGCAAAAATATGCCTCAGTCATTTAGTTTTATGTAGAAATTTAAACTAAAGGCAATACATAATAAAAATATAAAAAAATTTAAGAACTTACATAAATTAAGGCCATCTTACATTCCTATGCAACTTCCATTAATTGAAGAGAGAGCAGCCTATATTTTGATTCAAACACCACTGAAAGTTTTATGAGTCCCTTGGACTTACTAATGGTGAAAATAGCTTTATTTTTCCTTTGAATCACTTCCAAGTTACTGTTAACTAATATATACATTTTAAAGTTATTGATTTTTATGACAAAGACTTTCTCCATCTGGAAAATAAACTATACATTACTGTCATATTCAAGGACAAATGTACAGGATTTGAGTTTTGCAAAGCAATAACATATGGGATTTTCAGAGGGCTTTGGCACAGGGGTTGGAAGAGAAGAGGAAGGAGTTTACCTAAGTGTGGGAACAATGTACAAGGTCACACGTGATCCGCTTTAAGATGGACTCCTGTGTCCAAACCAATTTTTAATACTACTCTATGCACATGATGCACTAGAGAAGAAAAAGAATCAACTGTCTAATGCCCCGTGAGTGTAGAGGAACCTCAACACACCTCAGAGAGAGGTTGGAACCGAATAGTCTATTCTTTGGAGAGCTTACTCTATAATTCTTTTCCTTACTTATTGACAAAAGTTTATTTGCTTTTTTAAAAATGTATCTAACATTAGCCTTCAAGTGATTTTTCCTTAGAAGTTTAAGGTTTTCATCAAAATACGTATGTTTTTCTGGACAGATGGAGACTCCATAGAGAGAAATTGAAGTAACTGAGAAAACAACACATTGCCAGTTGCTGTGTTCTAAACTAGACTCTCATTTAAGGCTGTATATGCATACTGGATAGTGGGATTTGAATGTGTATCAGTCAAAAGTGGAATGTTCTGCAATGATACCTATATTTTTACTACTACAGAAGATGTTGAATGGTATAATGTGCACAGTGCTGGAATAGAGAGCAGGAGTCCTAGGGAGGAGTTTTAGCTTTGCCATTACCTAGATGTATAATCTTGTAAAAGTGATTGGACCTTTGCAGGCCTCAGTTCCCTCATTTATAAAATGAAGAACACAGACTAGATTATTTCTAATGTCTTTCCCAACTCCAAGAATTAAGGCCCCCTCATTCCACTGTGATTCTTTTTCTTAATTAATTAATTTATTTTTATTTTATTATAAGTACCGGGATACATGTGCAGAATATGCAGGTTTCTTACATAGGTATACATGCACCAAGGTGGTTTGCTGCACCTATCAACCCGTCATCTAGGTTTTAAACCCCACATGCATTAGGTATTTGTCCTAATGTTCTCTCTCCCCTGGCCCCCCATCCACCAACAGGCCCGAGTGTGTGATGTTCTACTCCCTGTCTCCCTGTGTTCTCATTGTTCAACTCCCACTTATGAGTGAGAACATGTGGTGTTTGGTTTTCTGTTCCTGTGTTAGTTTGCTGAGCTTCCAGCTTCACACGTGTCCCTGCAAAAGACATGATCCTATTCTTTTTTCTGGCTGCATAGTATTCCATGGTGTATAAGTGCCACATTTGCTTTATCTAGTCGATCATTGATGGGCATTTGGGTTAGTTCTAAGTGTTTGCTATTGTGAATAGTGCTGCAATAAACATACATGTGCATGTGTCTTTATAGTAGAATGACTTATAATCCTTTGAATATATACCCAGTAATGGGATTGCTGGCAGATGGTATTTCTGGTTCTAGATCCTTGAGGAAAGCCAGAATTGACAAATGGGATCCAAATAAACTAAGGAGCTTCTGCATAGCAAAAGAAACTAGCATCAGGGTAAACAGGCAACCTATAGAATGGGAGAAAATTTTTGCAATCTATCCACCTGACAAAGGGCTAATATCCAGAATCTACAATGAACTTAAAAAAAATTTACAAGAAAAAAACAAACAACCCCATCAAAAAGTGGGCAAAGGATATAAACAGACACATTTCAGAAGAAGACATTCATGCGGCCAATAAACATATGAAAAAAAAGTTCAGCATCACTAGTCATTAGAGAAATGCAAATCAAAACCATGAGATACCATCACACACCAGTTAGAATGGTGATTATTAATAAAAAGTCAGGAAACAACAGATGCCGGCGAGGCTGTGAAGAAATAGGAATGCTTTTTACACTGTTGGTGGAGTGTAAATTAGTCCACTGTGATTCTTAAAGATAGGCTATAAAATTGTTTTATAATCCATTACACAATGGTTTTGAAATAGGGAATGGATTGACCAGCAACTATCCTCATTTTTTATGTGGAAGCTTGTTTGGTAATTACTTCCCAAATATCTTTCTCAGATGATGCTCTCTTTATATGGTGAAAAATAAAATTATAGTACCTTAATACAGGAATTTATTTGGCGCATCCAACTATTTTTATGTTGCATATTTAAGAATCTATTAGATCGTCAATACTCTGAATACTCTGAATTATTAAAGGAAACAGTATTTTTAAGGGAGAGTCTGATAAAGATTTTGAAGAGAGAGAAAAAAAGAGATTTGAAAAAGTATAGAAAATTGGAGAAAACATTTGATAAAGCACAAACCGTATTTGAGAAAACCAGGCCCACAAATAAGATCTGATTATCCTACCACCTGCTTCTTTAATCCTCAGGGTAAAGACTTCACAGGGCTCCATGACTTTACTGGATGCCCTATGTCTTTATTTATCTTTTGCCTTACTACAAACTTACTATGGAAGATTGAAATTCATGAGACTAGTGGTACAAAGACAGGATTTATCCCAAGGCAAAGCAATTTTGGATGTATATGTTTGTTTGAACCCTGACACTTATTTGTATTGAAATCTTTTTGACTATGTTAAGATGGACTACTGTCTTTCCAAGCTTCGCCATAATCATTTGTTGGGCCTAGCTGATAGTTGCTAATAAAACCTTCACAAGATCTCTATCTCCCAATTCGGTAAAAACAGTCTCACCTTGTTTATTTATGGTTTTAGTTGTCTAATAAAATTCAGTTTCCTGTCATGTATTGAAGCATAATTCTATAAAGAAATTATCTGCAATAAGATATGCTCTTACAAATGTATTACATACGATTTTTGAAAATTATTTATTCACTTGATTATATCAAAACTTCAGAGAGAGCTTAAGAACACATAATCGGGTTATGAGAGCTCTTTGAATATATTTCATGCTTTCATAAATTGTCTATTTTTCCCCTTTCAAAACTCAAAATGGAAGGGAGGATTTATCTGCAAGATAAATAAGAATACACTGTAGTATAGAAAGTTATACCTGTACAAAATGCATCAGAAGTGTCCATGACTAACAGCTTTATTTCTTCTCTCTTTGTCTCAAGTATTTTTCTCAGGTATTCTTTCATGTTTTTGTCTTCGTGTGACCAAACACTACAAGTTTTGTTGAGGATTTGTAAATATTCCCCACCCCTGATAAACTCTGATAATTTGTTTTTCCCATACTATTCGAAACATACTTCTGCAATGCCAAATTTGTACAGAAAACCTTTTAACAATACAACAAAATCAATTGTAAGAGAGGTAAATGAGATGTTTTAATGGGTTTATATTAAATCAGAATGAAATTTATTTTCACAAAAGGATCCTTATGTACAATTAGTTTCTTTCACAGTGTATTCCATAGTCTTATGAAAACATATCAGCAATAAAAAACTTCTAAAAATTTCTATCAGGAATGTTTTTTCATGGACAATAAATATAACTTAAGGCACTTTACGTCATATGCTTTTCCAGAGGGTTTGGTTCAACACACACTTGAGAATTATATTCAAAATATTTTCATCCAGACATTGCCAGCCAGAATGTGCCCAATTAGAACTGATGGCCAGTGAAGGCGCCAGGCCCTCGTTCTTCAGTGAGTGGATCTTGGGAGGTGGGATAATGAGGGAGGGACTGAGCAGTGAGGGCAGGGCTGCTGGTGGTGGGGAGTTGTTTTCCAACTTCTTTTAAATTACAATAATTTAACAACTATTCGGCTAACAACAATGTAGCTGGACCATGCATTCTTCACCCTATACTAATTGAGTACCTTTCAATATTATTCATATAGTACACACAATGGAAATTTTTAAAGTTGGGTATTTTGTTTATTAATCCAACAAATATTTATTGAGACCTACTAGGTGCTAGGCACCACACCAGACCCAGAAGAAAAGAAGACTAACAGGGCAACCCTCTGCAGAAGGAATCACACTCATAGGAGAACTCTTATATAGTGTATATTAGATAATTTTCTACCCAACTTTCTTCTGCTCATACTTTGTTTATATTACTCTGCATTTGATTGGAATAAAAAGAGGACTGATCCAACACAGTCAATCTTCTCTATTTAAAATAAAGCCAGTTAAACTCATTTGCATAACTAGAAAAATTGATTTTTCAAGTCTACTACATTGATTCCAGACAGATCTGCTGAGTTTTAGAAAGTGTGACCCATAGTCCTTAGATTCTTGTTCTGTTGTCTCTGTCCTATGGAAGGGCATTCTCCTTTAAAAAATTCAGCTTTTTTTGCTGATGCTCTGTAGGCTGCCTTCTAATGAGGATGGTGTGGGCTGGGTTCAGGTTGTAGGATAAGTTGCAGAAAGCCCTAATGATCTGTCTGGAGCAAATCTTAGCACCTTGGGAAAAATGTGTGGCCCTTTAAATTTATGAAAAATTCTTCTCTGGGAGGGAGTGGGAGTGGGGAGGTGGAATAGAGTAGAGAAACAAAGATAGCCATCTACTTGGAGAAAGGAAGACATTT
Organism: Homo sapiens; assembly: GCF_000001405.40. Lineage (NCBI taxonomy): Eukaryota > Metazoa > Chordata > Mammalia > Primates > Hominidae > Homo > Homo sapiens. The sequence continues at coordinate 165,727,668 of NC_000004.12, read as the reverse complement.
GAAGGAATCTGAATTGCAATCAATGAAAAAGCGTCTGAACTTATCTGAAATATACATTTTAAAATCATAAAGATAAATTACAGAGAGCTTAGGAAATAATTTTGTTTTAGAGAACTGTGTGACTCTGATGGTTAATATTGAGTGTCAACTTGATTGGACTGAAGGATGCAAAGTATTGTTCCTGAGTGTGCCTGTGAGGGTGTTGTCAAAGGAGATTAACATTTGAGTCAGTGGACTGGGAGAGGCAGACCCACCCTCAGTCTGGGTGGGCACCATCTAATCAGCTGCCAGGGCAGCTAGGATAAAAGCAGGCAGAGGAACGTGGAAGGACTACACTGGCTAAGTCTTCTGGCCTCCATCTTTCTCCCGTGCTGGATGCTTCCTGCCCTGGAACATCAGACTCCAAGTTCTTCAGCTTTTGGACTCTTGGACCTACACCAGTGACTTGCTAGGGGCTCTGGGGCCTTTGGCCACAAACTGAAAGCTGCACTATTGGCTTCCCTACTTTTGAGGTTCTGGGACTCAGACTGGCTTCCCAGCTCCTCAGCTTGCAGATGCCTATTGTGGGACTTCACATTGTGATCATGTGAGTCAATTCTCCTAATAAGTTCCCCTTTATATATTCATCTATTCTATTCGTTCTGTTCCTTTAGAGAACCCTGACTCATACAGCGGCTCAAAGGAATCTCAGTAAATCTGAGAAAGAAAAACCACCTCACCAGGCCCTCTATTTAAGGCTGGTAGCCACTGGTGAAAGTGATCATTAAACACTTGGAATGTAGCTGGTCCAAATAGAAATATGCTGTAAGTATATGAATTTCAAATATTTAGTACAAAAACATGTAAGATGTTACATGAATAAGTTTTATATTGATTACATGTTGAAATGATCATGCTTTGGATGTATTTGGATAAATAAATTATATTATTAAAATTAATTTCACCGGTGGGGGGTTGTTTTTCTGTTTTTTTCCTTTGTTTTCAATGTGGCTAGTAGAAAATCTAACATTATATGTATAGTTCACATTTGTGGCTCACATTATACGTCAGTTAGACAACACCAATCTACATTATTAGCTCATTATGGCCCAGAAGGAGTTAACTAATTGACAGCTTTTTACTGAAGAGTGAGTGGTAGTTAATACAATACCTACCAGACTATGTCAAGAGTTTCTAAACAGGCCATAATTTCTTTCTAAATAATAGAGATATTTGCTTTAAATCTTTAGAATTCACTCTGGCTTTTGACCAGACATCAGGGTTAAAAATCAGCACATCTAACTTCTACTAGTCTCTCAGGGCAATCTGAGCTGACAGGTCTGGATAGAGTTGATGGAAGAGATCAAAATCATTCTAACTACTATTCTCGTGAAGAACCAATGCTGATCCTTTAAGAATGAAGATTCCAAACTTAAGCTGTATTTGAGAACAAGGGCAGAGAAAGCTAACATTTCAAGGGAATGAGGAGAGTAGAAGAGATGATTGGATTATAACCAGAGTTGTCAAAGAGAAGCAACTCCTTCTCTAAAGGCTGCCAGCCTCACATGGAGGCGATCAGGGGAGGCTGAACTTGGTGAGTGGGGTGGGGCTTTGGGATTGGTTTAATACTAGGCCAGGAGTGGTCGCTAGTCCCACAACTTTTTCATTCTCCATTTGCTCTCTGATTCCCATTCTGCATCCTTATGAAAGTTTCTTTATAACGGAAGAGAGATTCTTGGCTACTGGCCATAAAGCACAGAGACACATTGCCTCCTAGACTGGAAATAAATTGACTTAAGGGAGGAATTCAAGAATGATACTAAGTTCATACTTCCTTTTTTTTTTTTTTTTTGCATTGTTATAAAGAACAGTGACTTTTCCCTGACCCTGTCCACACTCTCCTCCAGTTGTTTTTAGTTAGCATCACCTGTACTCCTATTGTCAACTTCTACTGGAGTTGACAATAACCAGGGAGAATGAGGAAAGGAAGTTGAGGTTAGGAAAACTAATTGTTCCAAGCCCTTTCCCAACTTTCTGCATCCATGTTCTTCAATTGTGTTGCTTGCCCTAGCTCTCCCCTTTCCCATAGATGCCATGATTAGAAAACACTTGCAGGGACTTTGGACCTTTGGTCTTGCTCCATAGTCTTCATGACTTCTCAGACTTTGTCATTTACCAGGCCATTGCAGCATGAGTGTTCTGATGCTTGCATTTGGTCTGCCCTGCTTTTCTTGGCCTGCCTCTTGACTTTTTTCCCTCAAATCATTGTGACAGACACCACTACACGGTGAGATTAAATTGTTCAACTGATAAAAAATAGGCCCCTTTTCTATTCTGCTAACATAAAAATCAGCCTGCATGTTGAAAATTCAATTTTCACTTCTCCTTGTCAAATAGGTAACATAGATCTTCTACACACCTGTTGTATCTGTACAAACATGTAGCTTATTATTAATTATAGAGCTTAAGACTTTAGCTCATGCTCCAGGACTTCAAAACCAGGATTCCTGCTTCATCTGAAGTTATAAATATTTAAACGTTGGCAATGAATCTTAAAGAAAACATAGAATGATTTATTCTCTAAGAAGGGGCCACTGTTAAGAAGTTTGGCATGAAGCATTTTTCTTAGCATTTGTAAGACAAGCCAACTTTTCAGCTCATGCATATTACTGGGATGAATGACATAGGGCTATTGTGATTCTGCATAAAGATATTACTAACCTCATAGAACTTAGAGAAGCAGGCCTGTGATGGAGCAAAAGAACTATACTAGCAACATCCAAAATTAAAGACAGAGCCTAGAGAAATGTTTCTGCCAACATGTCCTATGAATTATTACTGAAAATCATTTCCAAATCTGAAAAAAATATTTTAAATCTGCACTTGGAGTAAACGGAGGGCCTATTTAAATTGCATAGTTATCATTAGAGTAAATCCATGACATTTTCCTATTTTGAGACTACAATTACAGTGTTACATATATACACTACCATAAAATACAGACTTAAAAATAAAAACGTGGCAACAACGCCACATGGAGATGTGCGTGTGTGCGGTCTGTGAGCCTCACTAACTAGTGAAGTCATTAATGTTCTAACTACCAGTCTCCCACCATGCTTGATCCAATACTTGACCCAGCACAATTATAAATTACTGTATTCCAAGGATCTTTAGAATAACTCACAAGCAATGCTAAAATGTTAACCGCACAATTAAAATTATCATAAAGATAATTTGGCCATTTTTGAAGAATTGCTTCAATATGGGACACAGAAGCAGGCAAAGACTTGGTGTGGGTCAGGGTGGCAGAGAGTCATGTCATCCAGCGCTCTCATCATGTCTTACCAATATCCTTCATGATATCGGTTGAGACCAAGGACCAGGATCTTCTAAGCTAGGGATGTTAGAAGGTGGGCCCCCAGGGCTTATCAGACAATGTTGAATTATTCATTGGTTCTTCTGTTATCATGAGGGCCATTTACTATATGCTCTTGAGTGACAGTCCAGTTAACTTTGGAAATGGATGTCCTAGTAGGACCTTGAGAGACACATATAACTCCTGATGGAGTTCTAGCAATTTCCAGAAATGGATAGAACACAAAAGTAGAAATTTAATTCACAGCAAATTTTCTGCAGAGTTTCAAAATTGCCAAAAAATATTCAACATATCCTGGTTAATTTTAAGTCTTAAGCCTCTATAATGGGGGGATGGGGAGGAAAGAGGTAACAAATTAAAATATCTAAGGGTCCAAAGTAAAACAATACAAGTTAAGGGAAACATGACACAGGAGAACTGAGATTATAAGAAAGCAGCCCCTCATCAGCTCCAAAGGATTATTGCCAAGGGTTGCTCAACCTCCTGAAATCCAGAGAAGTTGGAACTCTAGATATTTTTAATGCAAAATTCCCTATTATAAAAATATTTTGTTTTCAGCAAAACATATCTTTTATCTGTGCGTTATCTCAAGCCGTACAGCCTCAAATTCCTGGTCTGGGGTCTAAAGATTCTTAGAATTACCAATCATCTACTGAGTTTCTCTCCTTAGTGTATTAAAGCATTGAAAGACGGCACTCTCTGAGTCACTGGGAACTCAGACCATGAATAATTGATTCATGAAGAAAACTCACTTTTATATTGTTCCACAAAGGTTACATGCACTCTCATCTGTAGCATTTAAACTTGCAAATTGTGTACTTGAGTGAGTTACAAAACAAGGGGTGGCAAAACCTCATTTAATTAAGAAGGTGTTAATGGAATACTTTCTGTGTGCCAGGCATGAAGCAAGTCTGTATGGAAATAGTAGAAAATGTAATTTGGTTTGCATCTTGAAGGAGCTCACAGTTCATAAAATCATGAAGGAGTTAAAATGTTAGCAGTGTTGTTGTGAAATACATACACTGTAATGCAATTTGTTACAGAAATAGCCAGGTAAACACTGGGTGTTTCCCCACTGACTTGGCAAGCATCCTGACAATTTTATTGAATTTGTGCCTTTTCCCCTCTCAGTTGCCCATTATCTGATAGACATTACACATGAACAGTGGAAAAACCCAAAACCTTTACTGAAAAGTTGAAGAGGAGAGTAAAAGCTTGGGAGAGGTCGGGGGACTGACTAAATACCTCATTTATACACAGAGACTCATTAAGGTCTCATTGCCTTTACTGAAAAATAAAAACAAAGATGTGATTCATTCAGATGTTAAATTTTGCTAATTATTACAGATTAGTATTCAGCACTGAAATAACCGACTCTTCAACTCTATGCTTTGCTTTGAATAAAAGTACCTGCTTTCTTCATTACTTCTTCTGAATAACTCCTGGGAAAATACTGAAATCAAGTCCCTGTTAGCTAATATTTGTCCTAACTATTGGAAACAAAATCAAAGTTTATACTTAATGGACATTTAGCTCTTCAGCTAACTGATGTGTTCTCTGATTAAGACCTAATATAGAAGCTCCCAGATGACTGAGAAATTCATTCAACATTTGTCTAAAGTAACAAGGCACTCTCTGAAACATTTTCAGTGTGTTTAGGTATTTTCCTCATCTATCTCTAGTAGATACCTTAAAGGAATAAGACCTGCACTGTTCCACAGCTCAACATGCTTGGTAATTATTTCCTATTATAATGATGATCATGTAGGGAACTGTTTGGCTTTGATTCAGACAGAGATTTCTAACGTATTCATTACCTCATTAGCATTTCCCTTAAGAATTTTGACAAGAGGCTATAGAGGTAAGAGGTACAAAGTTATCTTCTATCAAGACTCTATTCATCCTTCTATTGAAAGAAAATTTAAGTACAACAGTTAGTGGAATGCAAATTCTATGAGAATTTCAAAAAGAAAAAAACAATAAATTAAGTATAATTATTTCAAAGAAACTACTCATTTAGTAAAAATAAGACTTTTCAGTTATTTGATATAGTAAAATCAATTTGTTTTAGAACTAAAATTGGGGAATCAATGACAGAGAAAGTTTTCACCAAGACATACTGATATTCAACTTATTGCTTTTCCTTCAATGTTAAGACTGAAAGACCTTCATACCATGGGTCAAGTAGTTAGAGTGTTTCACACATCAGTTAGGGAGCAGGGGCAGGGAAGAGGGAAAGGAGGACCTTGGAGCACCTGCCAGTGCTTCTAGTTGTCCCCAGGAGGGCACTCGGCTGGGAGTGGACTCAGGCACTGTGGCACGCAGAACAGGAGAGTGGCAAAGCAGCTCTCACTTAAAGAACGCTGGGCCGAATGATTAACCTGGTGACAGTTAACAAGATTTCCTCTGTGTCTACATAGTTCCAGTCTCCAGGCTTCTTTAACTAAAAAGCCCCATTAGAATTGTTGGCAGTTCCTGAAAAGGTTTCTAAGGCTGGGCCTCTTACACAAGTTTTGCTTAGCCAGAGTGGTTTTCCTCCTTTCTATCACTTGTCTACAGTGATATATGGAAGGACCTGGAGACCTTCTTAAGTTTCTTCTTAGTCCCCTCTGCAAAAGGAGATCAGGGAAAACAAGAGGGCTTAATAATACCCCAAACTCTCAAATTTTGCCTTGAGAACTCTGTTTGAGGTGATAGCAACAAATTCCAAAATGAAGGTGAAAGAAATGTAAAACAATCTCCCACATTTTGATATGATCATCCACAAATGTATGCTATAGACCAAGCCAATTTTCCTCCTCAAATTTTAGTTGCTGTCATTGAAGAACATCCTAATTATGCTCTTTAAAATATCAGTTTCCTCTTTTAAACAGTAGTTGTCCTTTGACATAGAAATGCATGTAACCTGACAGGAACATGAGTCTGCTTTTTTGTTGACAGTCATATAGAGAGCATCCCACACTAAAGTGGTGGTCCTTCAACCTTGGTGTGGATAATATTCACTCATGAACTTGAAAAATGCTGATTATTAGGCCCATCCATAGAAATTGTGACTCAGTAGGTTTGGGCTGCACCTCAGGAATCTTTTTAACAGTGAAACCCAAGTTGTTATAAAGTAGGTGGGCCATGGATCTTACAGAAACACTGGAGTAGAGAACATGTCTTCAGAGGAGAAATGAGCAATTGGAGACCTATCAGTGAATAGCCTTGAAAGATTTTATATGTGTGTGTGTATGCATATATGTGTGTGTGTGTGTGTATATATATATATATATAATGCACATTTATCTATTAAAAATGTGAGTGCTTTGCTTATAAGTCCTCCCAGAGTAACTCCAGTGAGCAAGGGATGGGACAAGAAATAATAATCTATTGGCAAGGTTAAGTTATTTACTCAAGGCAAGTTAACAAATCTGTTTGAACAGCTGTTGGAACTAGAGCTTCCAGCTTCTTGAGTCCTGTACTCTGTGTATATGAGATATGCATTTTCACAGCTATGAAACACATGCTGCATTCCACACTTTCAGTTCCTCTGAAATATTACATGCTACTTCCACTATATCTATTATATGGACATACATATTGCATGCCAAATATCTCAAATGATAGTAGAATTTGGAAATGTTCCTGTTGTCCAGGCCATTGTCCATACTTGCTACAGTGGCTTCAACATCTACTACCTACTCTTCAACTCGCTAAAATTTACACTCTTTCCACCAGTCCATTAAACCTGCTATCGCCAAGGTCACTCACAATTTTCTCTTTGCAAAATCCAGAAGGTGCCATTTGGATCAAGGTTATGGAGCAAACATAATTTTGGATCTCACTTTCTGCAACATAATTCTTGAGATGATATAAAGATTTTTAATAAAGGATAAATCTACAACTTTACTAAGAAATGAGGAAGGCTAAAATCAATATAGCAGAAAATTTGAAAAATTACTAAAACATTAACAGCAAATTGATAGATTGAAAAAGAATAAGAATGGAGAAACTGGGGACCACAATACCACACAGAAGAAAACTACCAAAGTTTTCAGTGATACTTCAAAGTAAAGAATTAAAGATGTTCATAACAGTTTTGTCTCTATTGCTACTCTCCACTCTCCCACTGAGCTGAAAAGCACTATTTTCAAATAGGTCAATAACCTTAAATTGCTCTCTAAAAAAAGGAGGAAATCCTCTTAGGGAAGTCTTCTTTTAAGAACGCTGAGTTCTGTCCTGGTGCCGTGGCTCACGCCTGTAATCCCTGCACTTTGGGAGGCAGAGGCTGGTGGATTATGAGGTCAAGAGATTGAGACCATCCTGGCCAACATGGTGAAACCCCATCTCTACCAAAAATACAAAAATCAGCTGGGTGCAGTGGTGCATGCCCGTAGTCCCAGCTACTCAGGAGGCTGAGGCAGGAGAATCGCTTGAACCCTGGAGGCAGAGGTTGCAGTGAGCCGAGATTGTGCCATTGCACTCCAGCCTGGCAACAGAGTGAGACTCTGTCAAAAAAAAAAAAAAAAGAAAAAGAAAAAAAAGAATGCTGAGTTGTAATTTATGCTATTATGAATATAAAAACATAGTTTACAGGCAGTACTAATATTTATAAAGCAGCTATTATGTGTTGGGCCCTGTTTCAAGCAGTTTCCAAGCACTGATTTATTTAATCTTCATGATAACCCTATAGTGTGGATTCTGCTACTTTCCCCATTTTAATGAGAAACACAGATGTCAAGTGACTTGCCCAAGGTCACACAGCTAATGCACAGTGTAGCTGCGATATATGCTCAGGGAGCTGTGTAGGTCTGTGTTTTTATCCAGTATGCCACTTAGATGTCAATAGCAATCATAGAAAGATGGGGAAAAAAACACAACTGGACCCAGGAGGAAAGTGAATGAAATGCTGTACTGCCTGGACCTTTTTATTTTGGAAATTGGATGAGGTAGTGTTTAGTCCAGTCCTATATTCCAACAACTGGAAAAATCTGTAGTCACTACCTATCCCAGTCAGGCTAGCTTTTCATACAAAGGGACAACAGGTATTTGAGAAAAATCAATCTGGAAGGGGCAAAAACCAAGATTAACAAACAGTATCTGATGATGAGAAAAATAAATTATATAAAGAACATAAGAGAACTTTTAAAATATTCTAAATAGTACCCTCAGGAATAGAAGAGAATATTTAATCCATAAAACAAGAAAACTTTGCAATCAGAGTAGGAGAAAGAGTTCTCTGAAATGAAATGTATAATTACTGAAATAAAAACATCCAAAGATGGACCAAATTCTCAAAAGGACATAGTTGAGGATTAGATTAGTAATTTGGAAAATGAAATTAAGAAAGTCTTTTAAAACACAGAACAAAAACCACAAAAAGCTTGAAAAACTGAGACATGAAGTGTTAGCATAACTTCAACATCTGCGCAGGGCGCAGTGGCTCACACCTGCAATCTCAGTACTTCGTGAGGTTGAGGCAGGCGGTATGACTCGAGGTCAGGAGTTGAAGATCAGCCTGCCCAACATGGTGAAACCCCTGTCTCTAACCAGAATACAAAATTAGCCGGGCACAGTGGCTCGTGCCTGTAGTCCTAGCTATTTGGAAAGCTGAGGCAAGAGAATTGCTTGAACCCGGGAGGCAGAGGTTGCAGTGAGCAGAGATCTTGCCACTGCACTCCAGCCCGGACCACAGAGTGAGACTCTGTCTCAGAAAAAAGAAAAACAAAAAAGGAATTTCAACATCTGTCTAAAAGAAATTTCCAAAAGAGAGAACCAAGACAAAAAAAATAAGGAATAATAAAATAAAATTTCTCTAAATTGAAGAATGACACAAGGCTCAGATTGAAAGGATTCATTGAATTCTGAGCAGTGAAATAAATTCCAGTGATGGCGAAAGAGACAATAACTTTGAGGTACATAAGAATAAATCCACAAATGACTGTGCAAGATATAATAAAATAATATTGAAATATATAATAGAAGCCCCACATACGTAGGAAATTCCACTATTTGAAGGTATTAAGTCTCCTAAAATTGATCTATAGTTCACTGAAATTCCAATAAAAATCTTAGTAAGAAATCTGTAAAACTTCAAAAGATGATGATAGAATTCATATGGAAGAATAAAGAACCAAGAATAATTAAGAGAGTGCTGAAGAAGAATAAGTTAACTATAATATATTCAATCTTGTTATACAATCAGAGTAATTAACACCACGTGGTATTGGTACAGAAGGAGATGAACAGTGGAAAAGAATAGGGAACTCAGAAATTTGGAAATTTAGTACACAACAGGAGTGGAGGAAAATCAGTAGGAAAAGGATGAGCTAGTCAATCAGTTTTGTTAGGACAAATGATTTTGCATGTTATTCATGATTCTTACCTCCCACAAAACAGAAAATTAATTTTAGATGGATTAAAACTCTAACTGTGCAAGGTTGACTCTGAAGCTTTTGGAAGACAACACACTGTAAGATCATGAGAGTAAAGCTGACCTGACAACGATGAGCTTTGACCAAGCAATTTCATTTTTAGGTAAAAAAAACAAAAAACAAAAAAACCCCCAAAAAACTAGAGGAATTTCCACTCTACATATACAAGAAGGTATGTACAAAGAGGCTCTTTTTACAATTTCTTGTGACAGTAAAAAACTAGGAAAAAAGCTAAAATAAAGAAATTGAGGTATATACGTACATATAGTGAAAAGAAAAATAAAATTGAATTATATAAAATTATATACTGTACATATAAATGTTTTTAAAAGCATCATGGGGCCGAGTGTGGTGGTTCACGCCTGTAATCCCAACACTTTGGGAGGCCAACCAAGGCAGGCAGATCATGAGGTCAAGAGAACAATACCATCTGGCCAACATGGTGAAACCCTGTCTCTACTAAAAAATATACAAAAATTAGCTGGGTGTGGTGGCATGCACTTGTAACCCCAGCTACTCGGGAGGCTGAGGCAGGAGAACCGCTTGAACCCAGGAGGCGGAGGTTGCAGTGAGCTGAGATCACGACACTGCACTCCAGCCTGGGCGACAGGGTGAGACTCTGTCTCAAAAAAAAAAAAAAAAAAAAACCATCATGGAAAAAGTGCGGACTGACACATGTTTTAAAAGTGCAGATTTCTCATATATGAAATTTCAAAACATGCATCTTTTCATATTATTTATGGAAATACATGCATATAGTAAAAATACAAATTCATGCATAACAAAGAAACAGTCCAACTTTAGAGGAATGGCTCCTTCTGAGAGAGTGAGAAGTAAACAGTACCAAGAAGAGCTATCCAGGCCTTTCAATTAAATCTGAAATGCTTTATTGTATCTGTAACATTTTATTGTATCTGTAGCATAGTGGATGTTAGTTATATTATATTATCTGTGATTTTCTGTACGTTTTTAACACTTCATGAGAAATTTAGCTTGACAAAAGACACTGGACTTATTAAAGTGAGTAATGTGTTTTCTCATAGCAAATAAGTCAACTTCTCTAGCACCTGGGAATATCTCAGCAGGAAATGTCTAATAGTAATTGCTCACACAAATGCTTTAATATGCCCTGAACAAGAATATAACCTCCTATAATGATTTTGATTGCACACTTTATATTCCAAGGGCCTCTTGGGAGTAACAAAGGAAATTCAAGTGGAAAGCCCCATCCAACTGGCAGCTCCTGGTCCCCTGAGGCAATCTGCTACTCTAAGCAGTAGTGGAGGAACAATTCTCACACTCTCAGGAAGGATTTAGACCATCTTTGGTCCTGTATTTGGATTCATTATTGGGACTGCCTACTGGAAAGCCTACTCTAGGGACCAGGGATAATTGAAAAGAGTGGGAGTGGGAGAAGGCAGTGCACTTCTTCAAAATTTGAAACATTTCTCTTCTAATAATAGTAAGTTTGAGGGAGTTGTTATCATCCACAGACACAGACAATAGTGAGAACACACACAACTAAGGTCCTATATGATGGGTGGACATCACAGGTGAGGTCCTAACACCTAGAAAAGCCCAGGACAGCCCAGGACTGAACTTTGACATCTAGTTACAGTGGTGGAGTTCTGTGCAGCCATGGAAAAAGAATCCCAAGGACCTTATGGTTAGTCATCTTCAGAGCTGACTTTCCCACAGAACAGCTCTGCTCTTGCCAAACAATGAATGATCACACTGTGGGTCCCAGAGAATGCTGAGCCTGGAACTCAGAGATACACTTCTATGGGAGGACATTGGCTGCTGTTCTTTTATATCAGTTTGGGATTAAAATAGGGCTTTGTTCTCTTAATATGTAAACTAGAACCTTTAACTTTTATAAAGCACTTTCAAATACACGATTCATTAAATGCTTACAACCTCCTAGTTTCGCTGATTTTGGATTGTTGGGGAAAGTCACAAAAGTTGATAAGAGGCAGAAATGGGGCATCCTTAGCCTATTTTTGCTGCCGTAACAGAATACCTGAAACTGGGTAATTTAAAAGGAACAGAATTTCATTTTCTCATAGTTCTGGAGGCTGGGAAGTCCAAGATCAAAGTGCTAGCTCCTGGTATGGTTCTTCTTGCGTCCTCACAGGGTGGAAGGAGGAAGGGCAGGAGAGGATATGCTGCGTCCTCACATGGCAGAAGAGCAGAAGAGAGAGAAGTCATTCCTGTAAGCCCTTTCAATAACAGCATTAATTCATTCATGAAGGTGCTGTCCTCATGACCTAGACACTTCTCAAAAGGCTCCACCTCCCAACACTATTGCATTGCGGATTAAGTTTCCAACACATGAATTTTGGGGGACACATTTAGTCCATAGCAGAGGCTCTAGGATAAGGTAGAGAAACAGAATTTTTAGGGAATGGAAAGCTTCACAGGCACATTCCTTGGCTTCAGGTCAAGATCTCAGGACTATCATTCTTTCCCCACAGTCATCCCAGAAAATGGCTTGTCTTGTTTCTTTGACCACAACCAAGTGTTGCTTCAAAACTTAACTCAGGAACTAATTCATCTAGTACAGAAAAAACAGTCTCACAACTTTTTTCTAGCTCTCTAGTAAAAAAAAGCACAAAACCAGCCCATTGAGGTTTTCTAATTGTTTCACATTGAAAGAGTGAGAAAAGGCTTCTATCTCAATTCCTATTCTCAATTCAGCCTTATAGAGCAGTATCTTCCAGGACAGCAGAAGTGCTAGGCTGGCTGTCTCAGGATCATCTATGATGCTTGTTAAAATAAACATGGATGGGTCCTATTGCTAGGGATTTTTTTTTCTTTTCTTTTTGGAGACCAAGTTTCGCTCTTGTTGCCCAGGCTGGAGTACAATGTTGCGATCTCAGCTCACCGCAATCTCCGCCTCCCACGTTCACGTGATTCTCCTGCCTCAGCCTACTGAGTAGCTGGGATTACAGGCGCACGCCACCACGCCAGGCTAATTTGGTATTTTCAGTAGAGACAGGGTTTTGCCACGTTGGTCAAGCTGGTCTGGAACTCCCTACCTCAGGTGATCCGCCTGCTTCGGCCTTCCAAAGTGTTGGAATTACAGGCATGAGCCACCGTGCCCGGCCGGGATTCTTATTTAATAGGTATGAGGTGGGCCCTAACATCTGCATTTTTTCCCAAAGTTTCATATGTAATTCTTAGGAATAGCTAATTTGAGAAATTATGACAGAAGGAAAAGACAAGATCATTGTGAATGCTTTAAGTAGAAGTTTAGGGTGCACATAGGACTGAAGATTTATCTATATTTCAAAGAAGTTCTCATAAAATTTTAGCAAGGGCTTTCAAACGAAGGAACTTGAAAATAATGTAGCCTTCACATATTTTTATTTCGACATTCAATATTACATGATATAATAAGTAATGCACTGGCTCTGGCTTGTAGAGATTGTGAGAGCCAGTTGTTAAATTTTTGGAGATTTTGTCATTCAGTTGTTAAACTATTGGTAGCTTGAAATCAGCTAGGGTGAAAGTATTCACATTATGAAAATCAGGAAATGCTACAAATTAGGGCATTAACGCCCTGGGGAGCTTGTTGTAAATTTACCATCCATCCCACTGACTGTAGAGGATGTAAGGAACAGCATATTATAAACATGAACATTTTACTTAGTACTATTCTGTCACTCCTTTAAATGTATTCAGTTGAAACTAATACCAAAAATATTTGATATCCACCAACCATTATCCACTTGAAAAATGCAGAACAATCTCTTCTTTCATAGATCCAAAATTTACATTATCCCACTTTCTTTCTGAGTTCATATTTCCTTTTGACAATCCGTCATAGGATTTTATTCAGATATAACATTTTAAACTTAAAAGTCTGCTTTTGTTCATCTAATTACATTTCTCTGTAATAGAATAGGTACAAAATTGAAATTAGAGAGTTTTAAAATTTTCTATGATCATAGTGGTCTAAGTTTAAAAAAAATTTTTCCAGATTGAGTTATTAGTACTGTTATTAGACAACTGATCAAACAACATAAATATATTAGTAAGGTAAAAATGATTATTCATTATAAAAAGCATGTTTTAGAAATGCATCTTTGAATACAACGAATGGCCTATTAAAATTATTTATATATTCAAGGATAAATATTATCTATTGCTAGCAAGAGACAGGCTCTACTGAAAAAAAGTTGTTAATAAATAGAAATGAAAATAATTTAGTTATATGAATGCCCCTCAAATCTCGAAAGTCCTTCTTAGTTACAGGCCAAAAATCACATGGTGATTTGGATCTCAAAAACGGTCCTTGATGTGTGAAATGTGTGGAAGCTGCTGCAGATGAAAAACAGGACCTGGTGTCAAACACTCCAATTTTAATCACTCAGCTTCCTGCCTCTGTGACCTTGGATCATTTATGAAGTTTCTGATTCTTTCACGTTACTTATCTGCTAGATAAGTGGATAATATCCCCATCATGTAGGGCTGATATGAGGATGAAATGAAGTAATAAAAAGAAAATGTCCTTGCCTCATTTCACATACCATAACATCCTCTAAGTTCATCTGTGCTGTCACAAATAGCAGGATTTCATTCATTTTTATGTCTGAATAATATTTCACTGTGTGTATGTACCACATTTGCTGTTGAGTCCATATCTTGGCTATTGCGAATAGTGCTGCAATAAACATGGACGTGCAGATATCTCTTTTAACAAATTGATTTCAACTTCCTTGGAGATAAACCCAATAGTGAGGTTGCTGAAACATTTGGTTGTTCAATTTTTAGTTTTCTGAGGAAACTCCATACTGGTTTTCACACAGGCTAATACTGCCTGACCTCATGCATATGTGGAATCTACAAAAGCTGATCAAATGGAAGGAAAGAGTTGAATGGTAGTTAGCAGGGGCTGAAATGATTACGGCTTAGGGAGGATGGGGAGACGTTGGTCAAAGGATACACAACTACAGTTAGATGGGAGGAATAAATTTCAAGAGAAATTTATTTACAGCAAGGTAAAATTTATACCTTACAGCAAGGTGACTATAGTTAATGATAATATAGTGCATTCTTGAAAAATTTAGAGTGGATGTTATGTACTGTCACCACAAAAATGATAACTATGTGAGGTAATTCATTTGCTAATTAGCTAGATTTAATGACTCCACAATGTACATGTACTTTAAAACATCATGTTGTATGTGATGAAAACATAGAGTGTTATTTCTCCATTTAAAATAAGTAAACTTAAAATTTTAATTTTTTTTAAGTGCAGTGAGAAAGTGAGTGTTCAATACATGGTAGCTCTCATTTTTAAAAATTTAATTATTTTAGGAACTTTTTTATTTCATAATGTGAGATACACGAGTAGGCTATTCTTATAAAAGGTCATAAGGAAATATAAGATCTGGGTGTTAAAAAAAAAAAAAAAAAAAAAAAAGGAGGATTTTTAGAGGCTTCCAGGAGGCCCAGGAACTCCTTGGTAGGCCTAGGTATTTAGAATATAGGCTGCTTTTTTTAAAGGATCTTACATTCTTTTTGTGGAACTAAAGCCACAATGGTGAATTTTGGTGGAGAGGAACACATCAGGACTCTTACAGTCTCATGCAGTGGGATGTCTCTGCCAAATTCCTAGAGTATTTAATGGGAAATATTGATATGAATCTTTTTTCAGGTCCATGAGAACAGTTGGCCTCCTAAAAGTCCTCGTCCTTAGGCAATGAGGAGTGGATCTGTTGTCAATTTAGGGTTGTGTAGTCAAGATTATAAACAGGAGTATATTAGAAAATGCTTATTCAGCAGAGCGCAGACTGGCTTTGGTAGAAAAACCTTTTAAGAAAACTTACAAGAGCCTTTGGGTCACTGCTCATCCCCTCCAAGTGACACAATGACTAAATGTTTGTGAACTTAATAACTTGAATCATACCAGACTAGGAAGAAACATGAAGTCTTAGTAAATCTTATTTCTTTTTTTCCCTGAAACCAGTGGAAAAAAAATATATTCACTAAACAGTATTTCTGAAAGTTTGGACCAGTCAAGACTTTAATTAAAAAGCCAAATATCTCTGTTGACGAATTTTAAGCCAATAGGAAATTGAAGATCAAACTTCAAACCTCTCAGGAAAACAGTTTTGAAAGGAAATGCTCACAGACCCACCGCTGGGTGCTGCTATGATAAACAGATGAACCCTTCCATATGTGCCTAAATTCCAGTTACACCCATTGGCCAGAGCCATTATTGGCCAAATCCTGCTGCTAAAACCGCTAGGCACTGATGAGAGATGTGCCAGAAATAATAAGCTGGAGCTTAGGCAAAACCCAAGAGGAAACACTTGATGTCAGATATGAGTTTGCCATTGTTTTGAGGGAACATGGATGGAGGAAAAAGTATATGCCTGTGTGTTTGAGAATCAATGTATATACCTTGACTATCAGAATGGATCTTATTTTCCTTGGCCGTTCAAAACTGACACGAGATCATCTTTTGCTGATATTTACTTTAATGGTGACATTCATTCCCAGGCTGCTATCCAGAGTTATTCTAGTATTGAGAATGCTTTTAAAAATAATAAATATATGAAATAATAAAACATCAAGCAGATGTTTATAAACGTTAGTCAAGTTCAATTAGTGTAATTGTGACACTATATCCACTCAGGGGGAACTGATTTTGCTAGAGGGGACAAACAATCTCCTAGGCCTCCCATGCTTATACTGAGTTTTTATCATTACTAGTATGTGGCAGGGGAGCTGCAAGCGGGAAAATCTCACAAAACACATGCCTACTCTCTTTCCTTATATGCTCCCGTGGCTGTTTCTACCAAGATGCCCCAGAAAAACCATAACTGAATCCTAGATGGACAAACCAGTAGTTCCTTTAAACAACCAAAAGCCACATAGACTTTGAAAGCCGATAAATGTTAAGCTGACCCAGAATCGTGTAGTTTCTGGACTTGGCTCTCCTATTTAACAAGCCACAAGGTAATTTAACTTGCCACTTAGGAGAGTTCAGCGAAGCCACTTCCATCTGAATTGTATAATAACATTTATAATCCCCATAGTACCACTAAGAATCATAGAATTTTAGATCCAAAAGGGACCTGGGAAATGATAATATCCAACAGATAAAATTCAATGACATCCAAAAGTTACTTAGTATATATTATGTGCCAGAATTGTATTGTATTATTGAATGTCTACTAAGTCCCAGATCTTGAAACTACAAAAGTTGACATAATTGGCCCCACCCTTAGAGAGCTCACAGTATAGAAGGAAGAAAAATTCATACAGAACAAAATTAAACTACAATATGACCAAGCTCACTAACAGAGATACAGATACAGGAGCATGAAGGAGTTAATAATTAATGTTTTAAAAGTTAGTGACAGTCTCCTGGAAAATGTAAATTTTTGTTCTGTTGGGAAGGAGAAGGTATATGTCATCCAGCAGAAAGGTGGGGGAGAATGATAGAGGGAAGAAGGCCAGAAGGTAAAGGTATTCCAAGAATAGAAACCAGCAAGAACAAAATAAACAAACAAGCACAGAAGTGTTAGCCTGTGTGCTGTATTTGTGTAACATGAGTAAAGTCTAGAGTGACTGAAGTGTAGGTGAGTGGCAGAAAAATGCTGTTTGACTGCTTTACTAAGAAGCCTAAGCTGATGTTAAATAGGGAGGAACCTCAGATGAGTTTTAGCAACTTAGGGTAGCATAAAGGATGATTGAAAGGAGAAGATTGAGGAAGAGGCTCTGAACATAGTCGGGGGCAAGCAAACTATGCTAGTACTGATGAGTTCTGAATTGGAGCACTGAATGAAATCAGTTAATGAGAGGCCAGTGAAGTCTTAAGTTTCCTTTTCCTTAATCCCAAGATTTTTGTTTTCTGTCTGATTCTACATACTGAGAAAACACTGGGTGAAAAGTTACCCGAGGTTTAAGTAAAAGTGCAGCACGGCACCCTATTTAAGAGCAGAGGTTGCCTCCTCTGACATCCTGGCACTATAGTTATCTGCAGGGTTCGTGTTCAAAGCCTGGCGTCAATTGCAATGTGGGGGATTTAAGGGAAAAATCAGTCATAGAAAACCATAGGAAGATATGATCCTCAGCTGCCTGTGGAAAACTATCCTCAGCAGGACTTTGGTATTGTGAAATATTTTAATAATAATGCAGGCCTATGAATTCCTGGTATTAAACAATGTGCCAAATACCTGGCAGCCAGCACAGCTGGAGCAGCGGTGGGACTGGAGCCCCAGGGTTGCTCCCGCCCTGCTCTTGCGCTCTCTGCTTCCACTTGTGGGTCCCAGCAGAAATGTTCTTCACTGAGGCAAAGGATTGCTTTGCGGCTTAGGGACATCGAGGCAGTCTCCTTGTACCAGTCTCTCATAGTTTTGCTTAGCCACTGCTTGCCTGCCTGACTTCTGCATACTTCTGACCACATTTAACCAAGACCCCTGCTTTGCTCACAGCTGGCTCTGTCATCTGTAATTTCTTAGCCAACACCCCAAATCTAGAGCTCTTCAGGGATCTGGTACAAATAACTAAAATGGCTCTGAGATAAAAAATATACTTGTACAAAGTAAATTTTTAATGGTACGATTTGAATTATGACCACTTAAAGAGAAATATGGTTGGCTTTTACCTTCTTTTTCCTACTCATACTTAGAAATGATTCCAGTTGTTTTGGAATGTTTTGCCAACTATTCTCTGCCTCTGTTTTAATGATATCTGCCTAGATTTTTTTTTCTGTCTTTCAGCTTAATAAAATGAATGAAAAATATTTTCTGAAGTTAATAATAAATATAAAACTATTTAAAAATCTGACAGAATATTAGAATTAGGAGAATGGGGGCTATAAAATATGACCTGTCTCCCAATTTATGAACACCTTCTATGAAATCACGGACAATTTTCACCAGGACACTCTCACTGACAGCTAAACTATAAAAAAAAAAAAATGAACAAACAAAAAATTTTTTTTATCACCTTTTATCCATTTATCACCTTTGACATGTAGATAACCTCAGCTACAGTTGACCCTTGAACAATGCAGGAGTTAAGGGAACTGGCTCCCTGCAATGTTAGAAATACAAGTATAACTTTTGACTCCCTAAAAACTTAACTACTTAATTGCCTTCTGTTAACTGGAAGCCTTGCGGTGACACAAACGGTCAATTGACACATATTCTGTAGATTGCATATATATTATATACTGTATTCTTACAATAAAGGAAGCTAGAGAAAATAAAATGAAGGCCATTATCTTCAGCAGACTAATGCAGGAACAGAAACTCAAATACCACAGATTCTCACTTGTAAGTGGGAGACAAATGGTGAGAACACATGGACACGAAGAGGGGAATAACAGACACTGGGGCCTATCAGAGGGTGGAAGGAGGGAGAGGATCAGGAAAAATACTAATGGGTACCAGGTGATGAAATAATCTGTATAACAAACCCCCATGACACAAGTTCACCTAGATAACAAACCTGCACTTAAAAGTTAAATTTGTATCGCTGAACTTTAAATTTAAAAAATCATAAAGAAGAGAACATGTGTTAATGAATATGTTCATTAAGTGAAAATGGATCATTGGAAAGATCTTCATCCTCTTCGTCTTCACACTGAGTAGGATGAGGAAGAGGAGGGGGAAGAAGTGGGTTGGTCTTGCTGTCTCAGGAGTGGCAGAGGCAGAAGCAAATCTGCATATAAGTGGACCCTCACAGTTAAACCCTTATTCAAAGGTCAACCCTTATTCAAAGGTCAACTGTATATAAAGTTGGAATCCGCTTACCTCTGTCTTCCAACCATTGGTCTTATTTTGCCTGTTGAGACCACATAAAGTAAATCTATGCTCTCATTCATATGATAGAGAGAGATGAAGAAAGAAACTATAATCACCTAGATTTATATTTTTCTGAGCTCCGTATTCCCAGGTCTATCAATCATTACTTGTATGAGTTTTACAAATCCCTCACCCTTTTGGTCACCCCTCCTGTGGAAACTCATTATTTTGTCAAGGTTATTTTTCTATTTCCAGAGTATTGTCAGAACATCTGGAGATGATACTTCTGTTAATGCTATGTAAGATTCCATTTTTTTTCAACATCTGTGTCACCGTTGATTCATTTTAAGCTTAGAGCCAAATGAAATCCTTAGGTCAATTACTTACCAAACTATTTGCTTTTAAACCAAATGCTATTTCTTCTACTAGCAAACAAATAGGGAAGGAGGTGTAAGGACTGAGAAGGAATTAGCTAGTCTAGGCAAGACTCAGAAAATTTTGGAGAAACACATTTCCGTTTGAAATTGTCTGCTTGTAAGGCAATTTTTTTTTCATTTGAAAATGTCATAA
Organism: Homo sapiens; assembly: GCF_000001405.40. NCBI lineage: Eukaryota > Metazoa > Chordata > Mammalia > Primates > Hominidae > Homo > Homo sapiens. The sequence goes on along the minus strand of NC_000004.12, from coordinate 165,707,560 downwards.
AGCTGAGTGATATGGTATTCTCTGGGGTAATTTGAATTCTGTCTGACATTACAGTATGTATGATAAATCAATTGCTAATAGTGCTAGAAATATTTACTTCCTAAATAATCCGTATCAGTAATTTTTTAAAAAGTTACACAAATTTTTACTAAGAGAACTGAAATATATGTGAAGCACTTTGGTATCTTCCATTTACCAATTCAGTGTTTATTTTGCTTGGTTCAACACTGCTATACCAGGACCAGGGCCAAGAATGGACAAGTTGTTGAATAAATCTAAGAGAGTACTTTCTGTCTACTCTGTATTAAAATTCCTTTAGCAATTTCTAATTTCTTTCTTTCTTTCTTTTTTTTTTTTTTTTTTTTTTTTTGAGACGAAGTTTCACTCTGTCGGCCAGGCTGGAGTGCAATGGTGCGATCTTGGCTTGCTGCAACCTCCACCTCCCAGGTTCAAGCAATTTTTTCTGCCTCAGCCTCCTGAGTAGCTGGGATTACAGGTGCGTGCCACCACGCCAGGCTAATTTTTGTGTTTTTAGTAGAGATGAGGTTTCACCATGTTGGCCAGGCTGGTCTCGAACTCCTGACCTCGTGATCCACCTGCCTCGGCCCCCCAAACTGCTGGGATTACAGGTGGGAGCCACCGCGCCCAGCCTCAATCTCTAATTTCTTTTCACTTCATTCCATGTTTGGAGAGTGCTCATTGTGGGGCAATCATACATTTTACCTGTGTTCTGTTTTTTAAATGCAAACACTTCGATAATATGCATGGGAAAAGAATCTTCTTTCTATAATTGGGCCAAAATATTATCTTTTCACAAAGGAGATTTCATATTACGCCTATAAACATAAAAGTATTAGCTCTAAAAGACAGTGCTGTGGTGTCGGAAAACGTCAGTTTTCCAATTTCAGTTTCAAAAATTGTATTGCGTCATTATACATGAAAGACCTGTAGCTACTAAGTGCTGTGGTCTCCATCACAGCAAAGTATCCCATAGTGAAGGAGAGATATATATATATGTATATCTCCAATTCCCATAACATAGGTTTTTAAAAGATCCCTTAATTTAGGTGTTGGGAAAATATTAAATTTACTATTTGGCTTCATAATCTTAGGCACTTTGTTAAAACATTTGGCCTGTTTTTGAAACAAAATTTCTTGAAAAATCTACTTGCTTTCTCCAGGAAAATAAAAAAAAAAAATCCCCTCCCAATATTACATTGCTTTTATTGAAAAAAGTCTTTCCTTTGAGAACTTGAGATCTCTGATGCTCTCATGCCCCTAGTAAGTTCCCTGTCCAATTACCTATCATCGCCCAGCTGTGATTCACACCCTGCACTTAGATTTAATGGTTAAAAAAAAAATTTACATCCAGAACAGTTCACATGAAACAGGTCAAAGGGACATAGCATGGATAATTCTCAGCACACAGATGTTCAACAGAGACAACGCAGAGACCAGCATGGAAATATTACTGCATTTGTAATCCCAGTGTGCTGTGGCCATTAACAAAGAGAAGCAGTGCAACGATGAGGGTTCACCTGTCTACTCTGGCCTGCAACATTTCAGTTGACCATGTCATTGTTTTCCTAACTACACCACAGCTTCCCCAAATCATAACTGCTACAGGTTGCTTTTTAGACACTGAAGATTCAGTCTGGAAAGAAAGTCACTGAAGATTGAATAATAGAATATAATAGTGTTTCCTCTAATAAGTCCTAGTGGTCACTGCTAGCTTACTGTAACACTTTGTAAAAATATGAATGAAAAGACAATGGCCCTTGCAACAAAAGTGATTTGCTTTAGAAGCCAAAGACTCATCACAGTGCTGTGAGTTTTAGAGGCAAAATGGCAAAAGGAGGAAGTAGAACAAAGTAAAGGAAATATTCAAGCTGGTCACAGTGGAAGGCCATGTCAAATGAGTATGAAGTCAGAGTTCACCAAAGCCTCTTGTGGATAGAAATCAAAGGTAACCTTTCCAGGCTGAGGCCATGCATTGTATCTGAGCTCTGGCCACACAGTGGAGACTTTGGGAGACCTCCAACTGACGGTTACCTTTAGAATGTTCACCTCCACAGGAAGACAGACATTTCATGCATCCAGCCAGTATTTATTGTTCAAGCTACTACACTAGGTGCTCTGAGGAATGCCCAAATCAGCCAGGCTTCTGTTCTGAATTCTACCCTCAAAGTGTCTAGAAAAGGATAAGCCAGGTACACAAATAACGGTAATACAGGGTAGAATTTGACAAGAACTATGAGAGTGGCATAAACGGCCATGGGATTGAGAAAAGGAAACAGATCCCGGCAGGAGGCCCAGGGGAGGAAATTCTGGAAGGGTGGGCAGTGGCTTCATGGAGGAGATGGCACTTTTTAAACTGGGTAATTCACTAATTGACCTATTCATAAACCTTTTCACTTTCCTTTCCAGGTCCTTCTGGAGGTTTCCTCATGGAAAGATGGATGAAAACAGAATGTGGCCTCCATCAATATAGTGCAATGTTAGGTAACAGAATCAACGCTACTTGATAGGGGTTGAGTTATGCTTAAGCAGGAAAGCACATGAATCCTTCCTAATCATCTACTGGTGATATCCAATATGGCGGCCACTAGCAGCATATGGCTACTTGTATTCAAAGTAATTAAAATGAAAATAAGTTAAAAATTCAGTGTTTCAGTTGCATTAGCTAAATTTCAAGTGCTCAATAGCCATATATGGCCAATGGCTACCATATTGGACAGAGCAGGTATAGAACATTTATTTCATTGCAGAAAGTTCTACAGGCCAGCACCAAAGGAATTAATATCAAAATTAAGAAGACTGTACTTTGCCACTGTGATTTCCAGGTCCTTCCACATGAGTAATTGTGAACTGTCATAAATTATATTGAAATTAGATATAAATGCCACTGAGAAGATGACAGAGGACTAGAAAAATCTATAATGTGATGCTGATCACATTATAGATACAATTTTAAATGGTTAAAAATGAAATTATTTGAATTTAAAAATGCCTTAGGGTATTTACCTTTGAAAACATTTGGAGAGAGGAAAATCAATTAAACACAGCATTAGTCAAGAAGGAGGAGACACGAGAAGAGATCAGAAATGCTGGAGGCCAGGCACAGTGACTCACGCCTGTAATCCCAGCACTTTGGGAGGCTGAGGCAGGCAGATCTCCTGAGGTCAGGAGTTCCCCGGAGGTCAGGAGTTCCAGACCAGCTTGGCCAACATGGTGAAACTTCGTCTCTACTAAAAATACAAAAAAATTAACCGGGTGAGGTGGCTGGCACCTGTAATCCCAGCTACTCGAGAGGCTGAGGCAGGAGAATCGCTTGAACCTGGGGGTCGGAGATTGCAGTGAGCAATCAAAATTTCACTCAAAGAAATTTTGCTCCACTGCACTCCAGCCTGGGTGACAAAGCAAGATTTCATAGATTTCATTTCAAAAAAAAAAAAAAAGAATGGAAAAAACAAAATGGTTAAGATGTGTAATCTGATTTAGAAATTAGAAGAAAAGAGGCGATGAAAAAATACACTTTAGTCAAGCATCAGGAGTGAATTTTTTTTAAAGTGAAAATGATAGAAAAGGAGAAATACTCTGGGGATATAGAAGACATCTTTTCTGAAGCCATTATCCACATAATCTAATTCTCTGGATTTATCTAAATCATCTACAAGAAGCCCACTTCCCTTACCTAATTTCTTGTATGACAAAGTGCATGTTATAAAGTTGTCTACTTTTTTTAATTAAAAGAACATTTATGTGTAATTTTAATGCCTTATTTGAAATTAGTCTTTCAACCTCAACATTATAAATCAAGTTATAAAGCCCCAGGAGATTAAAATATTATGTCACAGATCAGTGGAAATTTTCTTAATGATTCACAGTGAAATACAACTGCCTGAAACTGAGCAAAAGTTTCCTACTGAGAATTCAAAGAAGACATAATAGTTTGCCTCATTTATATCTCTATCATAATTAAAATAAACTTTGAAGGAACAATCTAAGATTTATATATATGTTAGGTAAACAATACTTACATTTTGCATTTTGACATTTGTGGCACTGAGGAATGTATACTTAAGTATCTTAAGGAAACCAGCAAAATATCTTTCTAAAAAAATGAACTAACTTTCTTCTTATTGTGAAATTGGGATTAAAGAAGAAATGTGTGCATTTAGAAAAGGTAAACCAGCACACAAAAACTCTAATGATGTAGTTAATGTTTTTTAATTAATGGAAGTGAGCCTCTTTAATAACCCAAGTTTATGAAGAAGGTCACAATTTCTAAGCTGCTTGAGTGGAAAGCAAAAACATATTTGATGTAAGCCATCATAAGTAATGAAGAAATTTTATGGCTTTAAATATTATTCAAGGTCATTTGTTACTTAATGTATCTTCTTATTAACAGGATGTTTTTACATGTTAAAGTAGCACCATATGAATAATCAATCAAAAAATAGTGTTTCATGAGAAATTGGAGGTTGGGGAATGCAAAAACCCAACTATTAACACTATTACCTGTTTTATATTTGAACAGTGTTTTCAAGTTGCTTTTAATCCTTACAACAGTAATATCTGAGAAGCATGATTAACTTCTTCCTACAGGTGGAGGAACAGGGCTTAGAGAATCCACATAGACTAGAGGTGTTAAGCCACTTTCAAATCAAAGCAAAACTTTCCCAGTGGGGAGCCAAGTGGATTGAGAGCTAAGAAGTGGAAAATTTGGTATTATGACCTAGTGTTCCAGGTTTTCTGTTCATAATTCAATTGTGGCAGACATTCGTGCCACTAATGGCTATCTCCTTCAGGGACATGGAAAGTTTATACTTCCCATCGCTTTCAAAGCTTGGCATGGCCACGTAACTTGTTTCAGCAACTATATGTCCATGGAAATGATGTCACATCTTAGCAAAAGCGTTTAATTAATGGCGCAAGACTCTCTAGCCTTCCCTTCTCCAGCATATGTTGATATGCATCTGTCCTGGACCCACAGAAAGAACTAAATGTTTGTTTTCTTGAGTCTCTGAGACATTGTAATTGCATATTACGAAGCCAGATCTAACCTATCGTGGCTAAAACATTTTGCACAGTCATGCTGCATAAAGACTTTTCAGTCAATGACAGACCACATATATGACAGTGGTCCCAAAAGCTTATAATACTGTATTTTTACTGTACCTTTTCTGTTTGTAGATATGTTTAGATACACAGCTTCTTATTATTGTGTTACAATTGCCTACAGTATTCAGTATAGTAACATGCTGAACAGGTTTGCAGCTTAGGAGCACTAGGCTATACCAATTAGCGCAGGTGTGTATTACTTACGCAAACCCATCTAGGTTTGTGTAAGTACGCTCTATGATGTTTGCATGATGAAACTGTCTAATGCAACGCAGTTCTCAGAAAGTATCCCCATCGTTAAGGGATGCATGACTGTATTTTAAACCTAACTGGGCCCCAATTCTATCACACACTTAAAATGCAGCCTTTTCTTTTAATTACTATAATATCAAAAATGTTTGATGGGTGCTTTGGTGCACTCAAAACAAATTCCCTGAATCCTTCTCTAATTACATTCCCTGCTACTTTTTATAACAAATCCATTTACCTCCATTTATTTTTAAGAGCCTTCCTCTTAGCACCAAATCTCAAAATAGCAATCTTTTGTCTTTGTGCTGGCAGTCAATGACTGTTCCTGAATTTTCATTCTTTCTCTCTTGCTATAATCTTTCTTCTCTTCTCCAGAACTTACACTTGGCTGTTCTGTAGCTACCAGATACTAACATTAAAAAGTTGCCGCTGCCACTATTCTGTCTAATAGTAGGTATTTTTTAAAGAGAGTACAACTGTAGCTGAGATCATACTGGTCCTTTATGCATCAGGATTCAAACTCAAACTCAAACTCATTTAGACCAAGGGAGGGACTTTACTGGATCACTGAGTTCAAGAAAGAGCTAAAGAATGAGAAGGTGTTTCACCGTGTTGGCCAGGCTGGTCTCAAATTCCTGACCTCAAGTGATCTGCCCACCTCAACCTTCCAAAGTGCTGGGATTACAGGCATGAGCCACCGCACCCCAGAGGCGGAGGTTGCAGTGAGCCAAGATTGTGCCACTGCACTCCAGCCTGGATGACAGAGTGAAACTCCGTCTCAAAAAAGAAAAAAAATGAATAAGAAAGTGGCATGGACAGAGGGAAAACTGTTCATCAGAAAACCTGGAACCAGTGAGAAAATCCTGTTTTATCCTCCTTCCAGTTTGATTCTATTTCTTTCTCTGTTCTAGCTTCATTCTTGAGACCTATAGACAATTGCTGTCACATGACAGTGGCAGCTCACACATTTCATATCTCATAGTCTCTCCACATGATAGATACTAATTCTTTTTCAATTACAGTATGAAGAATCCCAAAGGAGGTCTCAGGTTGGCTCAGTTTGGGTCAGATGTCTGTACTTCAACCAACCAATTAGGACAGAAAGGAGGATATCTTGCTGGCACTTGGGGCAGGTCTTCCTCTAGCCTCCAGGTGGCAGGGCTGGTCCCACAGATGGAAGGACAGAAAGGTGAACAGACAAAACTATAGATGCCCACTATAGACCTACCCCAAAATACTGATGTAGTTTAATCTGGTTTTAGTTCTTATAATTAAGATGTTGAGTATAGTAACTGTAGTATAATTTAATCAAGTAAGTTAGATTACAGTGGGTTTTATACAGCTATACTTCTGCTGTAACTGAAAATCTACTTTTTAAAATTATTATTATTTTTAGAAATAGGGTCTCTTTCTCTGTTGCCCAGGATGGAGTGCAGTGGCATGATTATAGTTCACTGTAACGTCAAACTACTGCTCAAGCGATTCTCTCACCTCAGCCTCCCAAGTAGCTAGGACTGCAGGATCATGCCACAACACCCAAGTGTGTTTTGTGTTTTTTTGTTTGTTTTGTTTTGTTTTTAGTTTTTAGTTTTGAAGAGACAGGGCTTCACTATGGTGCCCAGGTTGGTCTTGATCTCCTGGCCTAAAGCAATCCTTATGCCTTGGCCTCCCAAAGCACTGGGATTACAGGCATGAACCATGCTCAACCTTCTACTTTTATTTGAAGGTAAAACTGGCTTACAATTGCTTTTAAACTAAAAACTAACAGTGAAATCTGGAAACCATGATCCCAACTTTGCACGAAGAGTAAATGAAAAAAGCATAGATCTGAGACAAAAATGCTACTGATCCCACCTGCAGGTCAGCTCTATAGTCAGAGTGTTCTTAATCTCACCTCTTCTTCTGATCATCCTTCCTCTTCTACTTTAATCACTTCTGTATTTCAGTAGGTTGAAATGACCTCTTATTGCACATTGAAAATCACATTTTCAAGATGCTCCTCAATTCATATATGGATAAAAAAGGTATAGAAAAGGGAAATTCACTTGTCCTGCTCTTGTAGAAAAAAAAATAAGCATTCTCATTGAAATAATTTAAGAATAAAATATGAGAACACAAGAATTTCCTTGGTAGAGTCTTTATTTCATAAATTAGTTCCTAAAACTGTAGAAGTGTCTGGGTGAGCTTCTCTAGGGTACTGGGGATGATTTTCATTTGGTGGGAAGAGTTTCAAAAAGCAAATTTCTACATCTTTTAAAATCCTAGCCTGTTTTCAGTACGCTACCATTTAAAAATATTACGCCTACCTGAAAATCAAAAGGTATCTATATATGTAAAAATAGGATGATCTTAGAATTTGTTGCCTAAGCTTGAAGACTTTTGAGATTGAAAGGGGGGCATTATTAAAAATATGGCTGGACAGCAGAGTAAATTGAAACAGTTCTTCCCAAATCAAATCTTAAAATCACTCTACTTAGAAACAACAATTGATCAATTTGGCTTCCCATTATGCTCCATTTCCTACTCATATTGTAAAAGAAAAAAAATCCTTTGCTTTTTTGAAAAATGGGGAACGCTACAATTGACTTATTTTCCATGAAACATTCATGTGTAACTGGCAAATTTTAAAAAAGAAAGCTGATTATGTATACTGTCTTAAATCACAGAGATGCCATTTAGAATCTATAGTTTCCTAGCCCAGCTAGAGTCAGTAAGTCAGGCCGTAACACACTGTTACCATTTGGACTTGGCCAAAAGAAAACGAGGCCTTGAAAATCCTCAACTGTGGTGGACCACAGCCTCACCCCTCTCCCACGGCTCTGGAGATTTCCAATGGGCTGAGGCCTCTCTGTCCAACAGCAGAGATGAAGCCATAAATCAGACTTTCCTTCGAATCATGGGGAGAGGACTGGGGCAGTTACTGGCTATGTTTGTTCTCCACAAAGGCCATTCTATCCCGACTTGTTCAGAGCAGTTACTTTCAGATTTAAACTGAAAGGAATGCATCGATTGAGTACTGCACACACTTAAAGTGTAAAAAGAAAAAAGCAGAAATTATTTTGAAATAATTCTGTTTGCCAGAATTACTTAGGCTTTGAGCTTTTCTTTCAACCCATTTCCAATTTCTAGCATTATGTTGTCATTATTCAGTTATGATATAAAACAATATAGATATTGATACAAGGCATTACTGCAATGCACATTCTGACTGCTGTGTTCTGCCCATTAATTCCTGTACTTCTCTTACTCTCCAAAAACTATGAAATCTCTTAGTATTGGTCATCATTTAAATCCCTCATCGATATTGGAAAATCTCTCCTCTTTCTAAGTGTGCTTTCGTTCTGTGTTTCTCTCATAAGGTTTTCCCACTGCCTATTCATGGAAATATACATTTCATTTACACAATTATAAAGCACATTTTTTTAACTCCATGGCCTGCTTCCCATAATTCTAAGGCACTCAGATATGTCAGATAGACATCTCATTCTCTTCCTAAATGGAAGGTAAGGAAAAGCAGGTGACATTCCAAGAGCCACATTAAAAAAAAAAGTCTCTGGTAACTGTGTTGAGATATTAAGGCCAATGGTCCAATTATACACTATTAAATTCCATGAGTGAGTAGGGATTCGTTCCTTTATTTACAAGGACCACCACAGTGCTGGATGAAGCCACTTAAAAGTGAATTCTGTCAACTTGTGAAGAGCAATTCTCTAGTACCATAAGTCTTTCAAAGTATGATTTATTGCCTCCAATAACACTTAAATATAGGCTGAAATCATTCAATCATTTTTTCACGGATTCAAATAAATTTGTCAGAAAGTTATAAATCATAGCCCAAGGATAGAGAGGGAAGCCTATAATATTCTGCACAGTATCCATTTGGGGTATGAATCAATCAATTGTGCTCATGATAAATTGAACAACTTACGTGCCTCACACTATTAAAAATAATTTTAGTGAATGAGTCACATAATTTTCTTAGTGGTATGCAATAGTCTTTTTTAAGCTTGTGAAATACGTTAAATGTTAAAAGAAGGAAAGGAACACATACCCACATGTATATATAGATATATATGTATACATCTTTATGTGTGGATACATGCATAAACTACACATACACGTGTTCACAGATATAAATCATGATAGAGAGATAGAGGGGGAGAATAGATATACGTGTATAGAATGAATTAATCACAGACAACAAACAGAGATGTTTAGAGTTACAATAGTTATTTACCAATGTGGTGTAGTGTTTGGTGTATGCCAACTGAGTAAATGATCCTTTCTCTCCCACGAGCACAGATCTCCACAGTGCTAAGTTTACGAATTCAGTTTTCTACAGTTGTAAAGACTAAATAGGATATTTCCAGTTCATCATTATGAGCTCCTAATTTTATGAAATGTAAAAGACTCATAGATACCCAAGGTATGCAATGGAAGTCATCTCTTCAAAAATAACAGGCATTAGGATTTAACTTTAGTTTTAAGGCCTTAGGGCTTTTAAGTGTTTAGAAAACTATTCAAATGATAATAAAACTGAGAGCACAGCTGCTTTTGACAGTTTATGTTTCTTCTAAGCATCACGACTAACTGTGACTAATCCCTCCAAATTAACTTAATTTTGTAGAATGAAGCATATCAAAATATTGAACAAAATCCTTCTTGCGAAGATGAGCCAGATTTGCACATTCACCCTTCTTGACTGTTGCAAAGTCACCTGGGGACACTTAACATTCCATAGTTCAACAACCCTGGCCATTTTTTACTTCTAGGGAGTAGTAAACTTTTACTTTCTTATTGGAATATTTTATACCTGAATATAGTTTATGTCCCAGTTTTTACTTTCTTATCTTACTAATAACTCACTTTTAGACAGAAATAAAGGAAGGGGACTTCAGTTGACAATAAGAAAAATGACTTAAGTGAACAACAAAGAAATAGATGCCAAAAAAGCCCTCTTCTTATTTTTGTTTTAAGTATTTATAATTTTTTCATTCGAATAATACCTTTGTAGAATTTGGCGTGTTGGCTAGATGATTTTAAAATGGATGATAATTTATATTCTGAAGCATCCCATGCCCACATAGCAATGGGATTGGAAAATACTTTTGGGCCACTCTCAGCAATGATTGTGATTCTCGGATTCTCAACAATTTACTCTGAGCAGGTAAAATAAATTCTGAGTAGCAAAGAAGAAGGTCATAAATTTTCCATAATGTAATTATTATAATTGGGTTACCTACCTATGGAAAAATGCAAGTTCAAATGCACAACGTTCCAGATGCTGGATTGATAAAAGCCTGAAAATTAGTTTTTAATAAAAACTGTTTGTAATCTAGCCCAAGGTATGTCAACGAACCAAATGTGCATGACTGAAATTTGCAGGAAAATCTCTTGGAAAAGAATAACTCAATTTGTCTAAGTACTTTGCAAACATTTTATGTAAAAGTTTTATAATTTGACTCATTACAGAGGCCCCTCAACTGCCCCCCCGCAAAATTATAGCCAAAACCCAAGAACAAAAGTTAACTTTTTTTAGTTGCCAATGTTGAAATTACTTTTTCTGTTCCAACCTCCTTGTTATCTAAGTGGCTCCTGAGACCAACGTCTGAATGAATGCAGGGAAGTTTCCTTTGAATGTGAGATTACACTGGCCCAAAATAAAAACTTAATTTTTCCCTAGATCTTTTCCTAGGAATCATATTATTTCTTTGTATAATATGTTCAAACTCTGATGGTGTCTATTTCCGCAATCACATCATGGTATCCTAACCCCTTACTTCCCTGAGGTTCACAGTTAAGCTGCCCAGCAATTTCAGAATAGAGCCCATCTATAATCCACTGGATAACGAGCAACCCTCTGCTGAACACTGTGAAACTCCCACCAGTAATGAAATGCATGTTTTGCTAGCAAGTACTATCCAGCTTTAGAGAACATTTTCTTTTTTCAGTTTCCCATGCCATAAAAAACCAGGAGAAAAATATTTCTTTTTTTCTTTATTTTCCCCTTAGCTCAGAAATGTAAATAGTGTTTCTAGATCTCTTGGATGTGCAGAGGAAATTTGGCCCCACTATTTAAAGATGGTGATCATGGTGTACTTAGGACTTTATTATTCAAATTATTTTATTTCTTGGCAGAACATTAGGTCAAAAAATAACCAGAGGCTTTAAAGAATAGGAACAAACAGCTGTTTAGGACTGTTTTCTGGTTTTTAGCATCCTTACAAACATGTCAAAAACCCTATATGGATCTTATAGAAATAAGTAAGAGTATTTTGAGTAAGCCTTTAAAGAACAATACACTACAGACTGTTCTGTAAAGCAAAAGGGAAAAAAGTGTGAATGTTTTTGCATGTGTTTATTAAGAAGGCTGGGCAAATGTACTCATTCAATTAGGAGTCCCAGATAATCAAAAGCCTAGGAATCAAGGCACATCAGGATGGGTTAACAAGCACCATGGTTGAACATCCCCAGTTTTGGGTTTAGCATACCTGTAGTCATGATTGGGGGCACGTAAAGGGCACAAAAAATAAAAGCTGATAGGAGAATTATTCTGAAATAGAATTATCTTTTAGAAGCAAATCAACTTGACCTCTGACTTTGGTTGTAAAAAGAAAACCCTCAGCACATTGATAGGGTAGTTGACAATTGAGAAATTAATTAAATTTTACATCCTAACATAAATCTGGGTTTCCAACAGCGGCCCAAGAGGGAAGGTATTACGAGCAGGAATAGAGAGGACAGAGGGGTGCAGAGGAGGAAAGTTGGGGAGAAGCCAGCCCAGACAGAGCACAAGGGCAGGGGCCTGGGACCTGAGAAAAAAGAACATTAAGAGAGCAGTGCCTGGAAGAAGGAATGACTGGTGGAATCTTAGGAACCAAATGGTTAGTATTTAGTGTAAGATTTTTTAAAATAAGTTTTTTTTTTTCTTCTTAATGTTGGGCTAGGCTGTACGACTTAAACATCTAAGGAGATGATAACTGTTCTTCAATGTAGCTCCCCCAACCTTGTTGAATGAGCTACAGATCATTCTTAATAAACCTATCACTAAAGTATATGAGTGGCATTTGAGGAAATAAAAAAGTGGCTGGATTCCATTGACCTGGAGAAGAACGGAGTCCCCAGTTGGTAGTGGAAAGGCTCAAGAAAAGTAGAAACTTGAATGGAAAAAGGAATTTAGAAGAAAAAGTGACCAGGAGAAAGTGCCACTTATTTTGTGAGGACACGTTGGAACTTCAAGCCATTTTTATTTAAAGATCAAAGGACCATATGCCCTCCACAGGCTGAGACTAGAAGTCCAGGCAGTTGGCAGAGGGTCTACATATAAAGTAACCAGCATGGGTGGTGAGTCTGGTTAGCATTCAGTAAAGTCAAAGGAGAGCCTAGAGTGGGTGCATGGAGCCATTTTTCTGGAGCTACTTTAGTAATGTTCACCTTAAGAGTACAGTCACGTGTCACTTAATGGCGGTGATACTTTTCTGTAAATGTGTTGTTAGGTGATTTCATCATAGAGTGCACATGCACAAACCTAGATGGTATAGCTTACTACACACTCAGGCTCTATGGTATAGCCTATTGCTCCCAGGCTACAAACCTGTGCAGCATGGTACTGTTTTGAATACTATGGGTAACTGTAACACAATGGTATTTGTGTACCTAAATACATCTAAACATAGAAAAGGCACAGTGAAAATGTAGTGAAACTCCACCTCTACTAAAAATACAAACAAATTAGCCAGGCGTGGTGGCAGGCACCTGTAATCCCAGCTACTTGGGAGTCTGAGGCAGGAGAATCGCTTGAACCCAGAAGGCAGAGGTTGCAGTGAGCCGAGATCATGCCACTGCACTATGGCCTGGGCAACAAGAGCGACACTCCATCTCAAAAAATGTATACATAGTATAAAAGATAAAAAATGCTACGCCTATATAGGGCACTAACCATGAACAGAGCTTGCAGGACTGGAAGTTGCTCTGGGTGAGTCAGTGAGTGAGTGATGAGTGAATGTGAAGGCCTAGGACATTGCTGTATACTACTGCAGACTTTATAAACTCTGCACACTTAGGCTACACTAAATTTATTTTTAAAAACTTATCTTTCCTCATTAATAAATTAACCATAGCTTACCATGAACTTTTTACTTTATAAGCTTTTTAATTTCCTAAAACTTTTTGCCTCTTTTGTAATACCATTTAGCTTAAAACACAAACACATTGTACAGCTGTACAAAAATAATTTTTTTTACATTCTTATTCTATAAGCTTTTTTCCTATTTTTAATTTTCTAATTTTTTTTACTTTTTAAATGTGCTTTGTTAAAAACAAAGACACAAATGCACTCATTAGCCTAGGCCTACACAGGGTGAGGATCATCAATATCACTGTCTTCCACCTCCACTTCTTGTCCCATTGGAAGGTCTTTAGGGACAATTACATGCATGGTGCTATCATCTCCTATGATAACGGTGCCTTCTTCTGGAATACTTCCTGAAGGACCTGAGGCTGTTTTACAGTTAATTTTTTTAATTTTATTATTATTATACTTTAAGTTCTAGGGTACATGTGCACAACGTGCAGGTTTGTTGCATATGTATACATGTGCCATGTTGGTGTGCTGCACCCATTAACTCGTCATTTAGCATTAGGTATATCTCCAAATGCTATCCCTCCTCCCTCCCCCCACCCCACAGCAGGCCCCGGTGTGTGTCCATGTGTTCTCATTGTTCCTGTTCATGTTCCTGTTCATGTTCTCATGTCCATGTGTTCCCCTTCCTGTGTCCAAGTGTTCTCATTGTTCAATTCCCACCTGTGAGTGAGAACATGTGGTGTTTGGTTTTTTGTCCTTGCAATAGTTTGCTGAGAATGATGGTTTCCAACTTCATCCATGTCCCTACAAAGGACATGAACTCATCATTTTTTATGGCTGCATACTATTCCATGGTGTATATGTGCCACAATTTCTTAATCCAGTCTATCATTGTTGGACATTTGGGTTGGTTCCAAGTCTTTGCTATTGTGAATAGTGCCTATAAGTAGGAGAAGTACACTCTAAAAGAACAATGAAAGTGTAGTATAGTAAATACATAAACCAGTAACATATTCATTTATTATCAAGTATTATGTACTGTACATAATTTTATATGCTACCCTTTTATATGACTGGCAGCGTAGTAGGTTTGTTTACACCAGTGTCACCACAAACACATGAGTAATAAGTTGCACTAAGATACAACAATGGCTTTGCTGTCATTAGGTGATAGGAATTTTTCAGCTCCCTTATAATAGATGGGACCACTGTTGTATATGTGCTCTGTTGTTGACCGAAATGTCATTATGCAGGGTGTGACTGTATACAGCTACCTCTTCCCTCAGCCCACTTCCAGATAAAAATAAACTCTAAAAGAGCAGCAGGGTCATCTCTAGGAAAATAGAAAATGAATGATCATCTAGGACCCCCACACCCCGTAATCACCTAATTTTGACAAATAATCTAGAAGGCAACATCTCTAAAATCCTTCAGGATACTAGACTGATAATAAACCAGACCCATCAGTTAATTAATAGAGAAGCAATGTTTCTGGCTTATATTTTTAAAAATTGGATATAGCAAAATATGTTATTTACTACAGATATACACCCTCTGCCTACAAGAACTTGAAAATGAGAGAAATAATAGTGTCCTATGGACAATAAGTCTTGAGTTTAAACCATCATGATTTAAAGTGAAAATAGTGTAAAAATCATATTTAAATGCAATAACATATCTAAAGAAAGAAAATAGTAGCCATAAAGCAAAAAAAGAAAAAAAAAAGAGATTTTGAAAGACAAAAATAGTGAGTACTTACTGAAGCATTATGCAATGGAATGCCGCATTTCCTTAAGGTCTCGACCTGTTGAGTCAGTGGGCATGAGGTGCATTTGGTTGAGGTGCCCTTAGTTGACATCTTGAAATACTCAAATCATGAGCCTCACTCCACCATTGCTCACCAAGCAAACTCCTTTTTATGTAGCTTACCTATAAGGAGATAAATACTGATCAGATGTAAACGATACATTGTACATTTGATGTTTTTATGTGCTGCTGTAGGTTAACAAATTGGCCATTCTGATTTACATATCAGGGTTTTGAGCTTGCAGTTTAAATCTTTTTCTAAGAGGAAAAAAAAACTTTTAGGGTGTTAGAAAACCAGGCCACTGAGTCTAGAAGGCTGGAGGTCAAGGTCTGGATCATTACAAATTACCCAGGTAACCCCACCCCACAAGGCATCTATGGAATAGTCAGAGTGGCTTTTTTGGTGCTACCCTGACTGTGCAAAGGACTACCTTGAAATTCAACAGAAAAATATCTCACTAATGTTCATTATTCTCTTAATATATAATGACTCAAACTACTACTATCAAATACACTTGGCCTAAAATAAAGAATAGGAAAATAATGAACCAACTGTATGGAGTTTCACTCAATAAGTTTGTTATTAAAAACAACAGAAACTGAGTAGCTAGATTAAGAACTAAAATATACTTTAAAAGAATAAAACACCCTGCAACTCTTAATTTACCACTGTAGTCCGAAAACTAATATATCTACATCTGTTATTAAGGTAGAATTTCGCTAATTGTAATCTAATGTAGTAACTTTAGGTTCTCTTTTTTTTTTAAATATGTTATTCTCAAAGATCTAGGTGGCATCATTGCGATTTTTTTTTTATTACTTCCCATGTACAGAAAAACTTTGCTATCTGGGAATAACATTATTTTTGGCTTGGACCTTATGTGGAGAATTGTAGTGACACATGCAGCTGTTGAAATGTAAATGAGAAATAGGTTAACCACATATGGAAACTACACTTTTTATTCCACCTCTATGCTCCTTTCTCTTAGTTTAATAAGCCATACTCAACTTCTGCTTAACAGAGAACACTACTAAGTACTGTCTAGGAATTTAGCTTAATTTTTTAGATTTCATATTAATTATACCATTTTCACAGAGACAGAATTTGAAAAGATCAAATAATTAAGCTAAAATATACATTAAATGTATATTAAATGAAAAGATCAAATAATTAAGCTAAAATGTATATTAACTGATAGTCCTTTGAAGCACATCTAAAACACCTTTTATTTCCCTGTCTGGAGAAGTAAAGGGTTTTCTGTGTGTAAAGTGATGTGATGTGTATTCATAAGTAGAGCCCATGTTACATACTGACTAGCAGAATAGAGACAATAGTGATATGGCTTTGAGACCAGAACCCACAGAATCTAGTATATCAAAGTAAAAAGCAGCTTACAAAGTTTTCTTTTTTAATTTTGAAAGCATTTATTAATTCACCTGTTTAATAAATATGTATTGAACATCTTCAATGTGTTAGGCCTTATTTTGGTGCTGCGATACCTAAACTCTGTGTTGCCGTAGATTACGTTCTAGTGTGAGAGATAGACCCTCAACAAGATCAGTTAAAATGAGTTGTCTATTAGACAGTGATAAATGCTAAGGGCCGGGGTGGGGTGGGGTGGAGAAAAAAACAAAAAACATAAAAACAAAGCAGGGAAGAGCTGTTTTGCTGGTGGATTTTGCGATTTTAGATAGTGCAGCCAAGAAAAACTTTACTTGACTCAAAGCCTGAAGGACATTGGTTAAAAACCAGCAAAGAAGTGGAGAAGAAACCACATGGATTTGGGGAACATCACTGTCACAGAGAACAAGGCCAGAGGTGCTGAGTGAGGAGGAAGCATGTTAAGGATGACGCACGCCAGGTGCAATGGCTCACGCCTATAATCCCAGCTTTGGGAGGCTGAGGTGGGTGGATCACGAGGTCAGGAGTTTGAGACCAGACAAGCCTGGCCAATATGGTGAATCCCCGTCTCCACTAAAAAAAAAAAAAAAAATACAAAAATTAGCCGAGTGTGGTGGTGCGCGCCTATAGTTCCAGCTACGTGGGAGGCTGAGGCAGAAGAATCTCTTGAATCCGGGAGGCAGAGCTTTCAGTGAGCCAAGATCACGCCACTGCACTCCAGCCTGGGTGACAGAGCGAGACTCCATCTCAAAAAAAAAAAAAAAAAAAAAAAGTATGACACACAAGTACATGTGGCTGGAGCAGGGTGGAGAAAGGGAGATTAGGAGGAGTTGTGGTGAGAGAGGAAACAGGCCAGGGTGGGAAGAAGGTTCTGTAGGGCCTTGTGGGTCATAAAAAGGACTTTCGGCTTTTACTCTGAGTGACATGAGAGCCATTGATGATTTTGAGCGTAGGCATGCCACGATCTGAATCACTTTTTAAGAGGATTACTCTGAGGCTGGGCGTGATGGCTCATGCTTGTAATCCCAGCACTTTGGGAGGCCGAGGCGGGCGGATCACGAGGTCAGGAGATGGAGACCATCCTGGCTAACACGGTGAAACTCCGTCTCCACTAAAAATAAAAAAAATTAGCCTGGCATGGTGGCGGGTGCCTGTAGTCCCAGCTACCTGGGAGGCGGAGGCAGGAGAACGGCGTGAACCCGGGAGGCGGAGCTTGCAGTGAGCCGAGATCGCGCCACTGCACTCCAGCCTGGGCGACAGAGTGAGACTCCGTCTCAAAAAAAAAAAAAGAGGATTACTCTGGCTGCTGTGTCAGGAAGACAAGGAAGAATCAAGAGAGTCACTGATTGAAAAATGCTGCTATTTGGAAAGCAGCTCATAAAATAGCTGTTAACCAATTGAAGAAAAAGAATTGTTTTTGAGTACCAAGAAGTTTCAATGACAAACAAACAAACAAAAGATAATCAAACATTTCTCCCTCATACGCATGCCGCATATAGAGCAAACAAGGATTCTTAATCTGCATTTTAATGATTGTATCCAATTTAAATACCTACTTTCATGCACATACAGTAATACTTTCTCTTTCAGAACATGCCGTGACCTTATGAGATAAAATAATATTTAAAATGTTTATTATGCCTTCTTTCCAAGTATGATATTATCACTAATTCTGAGAATGATTTCATAAACCTTTTGGCTAGAATGTAACTTGTATGTGGTTTTAATATAAGAACTAAAAATTTGAATCTATCTTTAGTCTTCATTTTGGTGACAATACTCTTTTTTTGTTACTTTTTTTTCTCATTATGAAAACAACTGATTTGTCAGATTTTACTGCGTAATTATGAGAACAACATAAAACCTTCTATGGTTTCCTTTCACTATTTGAAAAAGTTCTGTAACACACAACACACTAAGGACAAGGTTCAAATGGCCCACAGGGCTAATAAAATTTGGTTTTTAAACGTTCATCAACCTGTCTCTGACTCAAGCTTTTGCTTTCTGATTATTCTCATAAATTCATCATACTTACATTTCCACTTGTCCCTGTAGCAAAATATTCATATTGCATAAGCAAACTGAAATCTTCTTTATTCTTAGTACTTAAAAAACTATTTTGTATTTAGCATTTGTACTAATATTTTACTATTATTTTAATGTTTTGGTGAACTGTATTTTGAGTCCTTGATCCACGTTGCGAATTTGGAATATATACAGCACTATGATCACAGCAACAACAAAAATAGGATTACCAGTAAGCAAAAACAATAATACAGAAATATGTAAACATAAATTATTTAGACAAATTAATAAGAGCTTGTAGCACATATACAATCCTTGAAAACATAATTATTCAGAACATAAAGACATTTCTGCAAAAAATCATTATTGTTCTTATACTTCAAATTTAAGAAATGTATGTGAGAAAACATTTCAGTCTAAAATGACTAAAACACCTATGAACCACCCATAGATCATCGGGGGCCACAAGTGTTCCATGGACTATGCTTTGAGAAACTGCCCTAGGGGGTTATTGCCCTAGGTTATTGCCAGAGCTTAGGGATGGAGAAGCTCTCAGAACAGTAAGACATCTCATTTCAACAAGGGGATTTGGCTTTCATCTAATTTACATATTGGGCTTCTGAGGAAAATTTTTACTTCAAAAAATGTTTCTGCCGATTTGAAAAAAAGAAACTTTAAGAAGCATAACCACTAAGTTGGTCTAGAAGCAGAAATGTGAAACAATCAAAGACAAGTTATTTGAAGAGAACAATATCATACCAGCAGCTAGAGGCACAGCTAGAATAAGAACCTAAGGTCCCCTAACATAAGACAGTGGTTTTTTCACGGTATCATGTTCTCCTCTTTATACAAAAGGAAGGAAATCAGGATAGGAGCCTCTTAAAGCAAAAAACTATTAAAACTGTGCAAAGAAGGCCTAAAGGAAATGCCTAAAGTAAATAACATGTCCAGTAAAACTTCTGGCATAGGCAAGATAAAGAGAAGAGAAATATACAGAATAATCTTTATGCTACTTCATGCTCTAAGAAAACAAAACAAAACAAATATTAACAAAATTTCTCATGTTATACTGTTTCAGGACTTAAAACCAAAAACGGATCGGCAGATTTTGGCATACCAAATTGATTGTTCAGTAAAATTAGTGGATCTACCATCTCGTCTGCCCAAATTTTTTGCTACTATTGAAGTTCTTTCTGTGGAAGACTTAGAATTCACTTGTCAGAGTTCCATTCTCTGATCATACCATTTCCCAGCCAGAACTACACTAAAAAACAAGCATCAACTGCTGACCTTTCAAATTCATCACTCTTTGAAACTCCAATCACAGAAAAATACTTAGGAAAATGTGCCTCTTTCATCTCTGTGTGGTGGATACTGAGTTCTTCCTACAGAAGCTGGCAACCCCGGTTCCTTTTCTCACTTGTGAGAAATGCTTTGAAAAAACCATGTCCAGCCAAAGTTCTCAGCCTTCTATTTCCTTCTTTACTTAAAATGAGGAAATGATTTGTAGAAAGGGGAAAAAAAACAATAATAGGATTCATTTATTGTCTACTTAGCTGGTCTGAATTATCTCCTAATCCACATCTTTGCTGACTCTAGGAACTCAAGTCCATTCTCAGCACTTGAAAAAGGCACCTATTTTGCAAATTTTTGTTCTTATACCCAACCTGGGAGTTGGTAAAACATAAATGCTAAACTTTCTTCAACATACACTAGATGCCTAGGTTAAAGTTACTATATATATAATAGAGGGCCAAGGAATAGACAAAAATCAACATTCTGTATGTGTGCACACACGTGGGTAAGCTCAAATATATACATTCAAGACTTCGCAATGCTTCATATTATTTGTTTTCACATCAAATTACTTCTGTATGCATAGTTATTTGAGCTAACACTGAAGTGCCTTTGCACTCCCCAAGTAACCACAGATTAGTAAAAGCTAACATTTATCGAGCACTCACCAGGTACCAGTGGTTTTGCTGGGCATTTCATGTGCCTTGTCTCATTTAATCCTCACCTCATATGAGGTGGACACACTTTACAAATGCTCAACCTGGGACTTCATAAGTTAATTTCCTGAGGTCACATAGCCAGTGATGAAAGTACAGAGCCTGTTCAAATGTAGGCCTAACTAGGTAGCTCCTAAACTGGACCACACTCTCTCCATAAAATGTAAGGCTGCTACAAGGATATTACTCATTAAATCGCAGTTTCCCCTCGATGAGGACTCCTGGGAGAGGCCACTGTCAGTTTCAGTACCAAGAATTATTGGGCTTCTCCTGAGCAAATGATTCCTTTTACCCTTATATTGCTTACTAAAAGTGTAAATGAAATTCATGACCCCCTTTCAGCAGGGAAGAACCCTTAAGCATTTACCTAGCAGCATATTCCTAACTTCATGATTTTGTTCCTATTCTCATTCTGTGAGCCCATTTTCTTTATTCATGTAATTTGGTTTTCATTTAATCTTGTCTTATTTTCTGTATCCATATAAGCCATCTTAACGGTTCTCTAGCACTAAAAGGAGATAAATGTACTAAAGAATAAGCAAAACTGGATGATAAGAGTTTAGAAATGTGAAAGATATTCCAGAAAAGACATCACCCTATGGTGAAAAATTGTGTCAGATAACTCGCATGGTGGTTAAATCACAAGTGTCAAAGTGATAACTTATTCCGAGAGACTGACCTATGACATTGCTGATGTGATGCTTTTCTCAGACAGTAGGATTTTGGTTTTTCACTAAAGAGCTTCATCATATCAGCAACAAGTTGGAAATACCGACTTTAACTTTTCTTCTAAAGTTGTCTGGAAAGCATAAAAATAGAGATCGGTGGTGGGGATTTGGGTAGCTGATAAGAGAACATGTTACTGCTACTATTTTCTGATTTTTTTCTTTCAGTTCATAAAACAGATAAATAATGTATGTTTCTTTTTTCTCTTCTAAAACTTTATATTAGAGTGTATTTTTAGCTAGACATGTAGTTGAATACATGCATTACCTTTCTCTTTAAAAAAATTGCAGAAAACCCCAGAATAAAGATGAAAGAAGCTCTATTTTCTTTCCTTTTTCCTTCAGTAGTCCCTGGCAAATGAGAAGAAAGAAGGATTTCTCCTGTGTAAAAACAACTGATGTACTGGTGTATTCAATAAAAATATATATAATCATTTGATATTTTAAATATTCAATATAATATGAACTTACTTTAATTGTCAATATTCATATTACAACAAGACAACACAAATTACCAATGATTACAGGCTTGTCTTCCATATACACCACAGTACTATTATTAAAATCATGACAGGATAATACATCTGTATGAACCAGTACAGAAATAAACTCCATAATTTACCAGATTTTTCCCTCTTTACTATATTTATTATATTTCTAAAAATAGGTGAAATCACAAAATTGTAATGTTCCATCTTTTTGACAATCACAACTAATATCTTCTCTGTAATTTTAATTTATAAAAAATTGGCATTTTAACGTAGTTGAACAATATATTGTGTCCATCACAACAGTGGGGTTTCTCACTCTATATCCCCTATAAAGAACTCATCCTACTTGTGTTAAAGAATATGAAAGTAATTTTTATTTTTTTAATTATAAATTTTTCTGTGGTTGGATTATGACACGCCCATGGAAAACTTTATAGTTAAAACGCATTTACAAGAACAATAAAAGAGTCCTGAGGTGTGCTATCAGCCTTTGGTTCAGTACAGTGCTTTCTTGGGGTAGTTTGTATCTGGATTCTCCACCTTAATTCCCATCAAATTAAATGTTTTAGCTGAGGCTATTTTGAGAAAATGTAAAACAAAGAAAACATGTGTAAGGATTCCCTGACAGTTTAATTATCCAAGTTCTCCCAAATCCTTGAAATGAAAGTTAATTGCCATAGACCTTACCATCATTTCACTTTTTCTATCAGGACTAATCGATCCTAAGATCCCTGTAAAAAGGAGAAAACTTAGACAGCCCAGATTAAATTGGTCCACTGGAGTACATATTGAAGAGACATGTCGAAATTCAGCCTCTTAAAACACACCCTCTTGAAACCCGCTCTGTAGTCATTCATTTCTAAACTCCCCTTTCTTAAAGATTGACTTACTTTCTTTACTGGGGATCTTGGATGAGAAACTTCTCTGGAGAGAATTCAAGTCTGGGCAGTATGGCTGGCATGGGCCTGCGGAGAGATTACTTCAGTGACCACTGAAACAAACACCACCTGTGAGCTAGCACACGGCAGTTGTTTAATGAAGCACAGCATCACATGCAGAGCAATTTCTGATGGGAAATGAAGATCCCACTGGAAATTGCTAGGGGCATTAGACAAGCAAAATGTAATTATCTGAACTGAAATCCAGCTGACATCTCTGACAACAAATACCAGGGGATCTTTAAGGATCAGATGCTCCATTTTAAGTCAGTGCCTCTGGCTTCAGTGTTCTCTGCTCCCGCTTCGTCCCCCCAAGGAGGAGAGAACACCTCACACTGAGTCACCAGCATGTATTTTGTCTGCCAATTCTTTCTGCTAGCAGAGAGGAGGTCGGGCTTACACTAACAGAGTAATTGAGACACGTATCCAAATATTTTAGGCCAAATGAATTTTGATTCTTTCCAAATTAAAAGAATCATATAATATTTATAGAAACTAGAATTCTGCCTTGCCCACTTTCCTATCCCAGACAGAGCCAGTTTCCCTTGCCTTTTTAAAGTAGACACTTGGAGATAGGGTATCTTGGATTGGCCCTCTGTGGTGCCCAATGAAGACGTTCATTTAAATTGCGTCTTTTGTAAATGAAACTTTTAGGAAAGAACTCTTGGACCTTTCAGCCATGGACTTTGTTGTTGTTGTTGTTGTTGTTGTTTTTAAGACAGAAACTAAGTGAACAGATTAAAACCAGGATATGATCTGAGCTGTGCCAATGTTTGGTCTTGGGATTTTAAGTACCTCAAGTGAGATTAGATACTACAGTCACAAAGAAGGGCTTTTTGCCTTAAGAAAAAAAAAATGAAAACTTTGAAAGTTTTCAAGAATATTAAGAATTAGAGCTAGAAAAAATGTCTTTGTTCAATTATCTTTTAATGGTGAAGGCGTAGTTCTTCTAGTATATGTATCATGGATGTTCTCCATTTTAATTTTTAATATTTCAGTTCACATTAGCTGAAGTGCCTTCCCTTGAGAGGATTTTTATAATCTGTCTTAGCTGTTAGAAAATTGTTGCTGGTACTTTACTTAGCTCAATTTTTCCTCTGTTTAGGTTCATGCTATTAGTCTTAATTACATTCTACTGGACTTCTCTAAATAGTTCTTTCCTTTCCTCCTTGATTTATTTACCTCATCATAGGAAAAATACTGTTTACTTCCTGAACAAATGTATCGTTGTCTCTGTCATTATTTTATTTGCTTTGAGTCCTCTCCTCATTGCCCCTTTAAAAAGAGTGAGTTTTGGTCCTGTTTTGTGCCATTATCTGGCATAATGATTAACACCAGTGAACTGGTTTGAATGATGATGTATATAGTTACCATAAGTGTAAAACACTGATGGGGTTGGTAACTTCCTTTAAAAAAAAATTACAATCTCAGATAATGTACATGAGGAACTCACTCTCACCATTACGTAGAAAGGTTGTGAAACTGAATGTAGGGATTGCCTTTTTCACGCTCTACTTCTCCACGTGCTAACATATTCAGTCTTAATTGTGTAATTATTTGTTTAATATCTGCTCTCCTCTTTAGACTGAAGCTTCATGAGAGCAGGGCCACATTTCTCTACTTTTTCTCCGAATCTTTAAAACCCTGCACAGTGACCGTTACATCATAACATGATTAACAAGTATTTGTTGAGCAAAGAAATAAAAGAAGTTGGATCTCAGAAACTCACAGAGCCTTGTGTAGCCTGTCATCTCCTTTATCTTCTCTATATTACTCCAGTCCTTTCACCACCTCTACCTTTTAGTTTGGTTTTATAAGATTATTTGTTCTCTGACTCATATTTATGGAAATATAGCCGATTACCAACAAATACTATTTCTACTTCCCTGAGCTCCTGAAATTAAACACAAAGGAATTTGTGGTTTTGGATTAATATTTGTCAACTATTCAAAATAATGAACTCATCTAAAAAAACCTAGGTCCTCTTAGCAAAATTGACCTTATTTAAGATGATTAAGCCACCCATTCACATTACAGAATTCTAGATTTTATTCTTTGCCAAATTCCAAAAGGCCTTGCACTTACATTTTTATTTTTATTTTTTAGTTAGAGTCTTGCTCTGTCACCCAGCCCAGGGTGCGATTTCAGCTCACTGCAATGTCCGACTCCTAGGTTCAAGTGATTCTCATACCTCAGCCTCTGGAGTAGCTGGGACTACAGGCCTGTACCACCACACCCGGCTAATTTTTTGTATTTCTAGTAGAGATGGGGTTTCACCATGTTGGATAGGATAGTCTTGAACTCCTGACCTCAAGTGATCCAACCACCTCAGCCTTCCAAAGTGTAGGGATTACAGGCATGAGCCACTGCGCCCAGCCATACATTTATCCACCTCTAATAGCACCTCTGAGTCCTTTTCATGACCCTCTACTGCATCCACCCCAACCTGAGAAGTGTGATGTTACTGTCTTGTCTCGGTACCATGTGCCTTCTCTCCTTTCATTGCCAGGATCTTTGAATAGGTACCCTAACTTTTTTAAATATATTTTTTATTTCAATAGCTTTTGAGGTAAAAGTAGTTTTTGATTACAAGGATGAATTGTTTATTGGTGAAGTCGGAGATTTTAGTATGCCCATCACCTGAGTAGTGCACATTGGACCTAATATGTAGTTTTTCATCCGTCACTCCCACTGCCCACTGTCTGAGTCTACAAAGTCCATTATATTGCTCTGTCTGCCTCCACATACCCCTAACTTAGCTCCCACTTATAAGTGAGAACATATGGTATTTGGTTTTCCATTCCTGAGTTACTTCACTTAGAATAATGGCCTCCAGTTCCACCCAAGTTACTGAAAAGGACATTATTTCATTCTTTTTTAATGGCTGAGTAGAATTCCATGTAGTATATATACCTCATTTTCTTCAGCTACTTGTTGGTTGATGGGTACTTAGATTGGTTCCATATCTTTGAAATTGTGCTGCAATAAACAGATGCATGTAGGTGTCTTTTTGATGTAATGACTTATTTCCCTTTGGGTAGATATCCACTAGTGTGGTTGCTGGATTGAATAGTAGATCTACTTTTAGTTCTTTAAGAAATCTCATGCTGTTTTCCATAGAGGTTAAACTAATTTGCATTTCCACCAGCAGTGTATAAGTGTTCCCTTTTCACCACATAACAGGACTAAATTTTAATTGGAAATTTCCCCAGGAATTGCTGCCACCAGCTTATGCCAATCGTATCCATGCTCATGCTCAATATTCTGGTTGCATTCCTAGCTTTCTTCTCTTGGTTAGTGGTATCATGACAGAATTCTCCCAATCACTAAGACTTGAGACTTTAGGATAGTCTTTGGATTAGCCCTCTCCTTCATCCTCTAGGTCCAACTTTCCAAGCCCTTCATTCTTTTTCTGAATAGTTTCTGATCCATTACTTTGTCTTCATTCTTACTGATGGCACCCCAGGCCTGACCTTCATCTGACATCTGGATACTATGTCATGAGAGTTCCCTAAGAGAAGCCTCACAGACTTTAGTCCAATGTCTCTTCATCATATACAATGCATCATTTTCTGCTTCAATTTCTGTTCCTAGCCTTATTTTCCCTTTTCTTTCTCAGCTGCCCCAGGCTGCCCCTTTGAACTCCTTTCCTCCACACTCCTAGCCTCGTGCCCACTCCAGTCATTCTGATGGAATCCTACCTTGGCGCTTGTGGACTTCCTTTTCCCTCTGCCTGGAATGCACATCCCTTCATCTTCTCTAGCTCACTCCTACAACTTTCAGGTTTCTGCTCACTTAATTAAAAAGACCTCTGTCCTGTCCCGTCCTTCATCACTATCCCCTGACACTGCACGTACTACTTGCCTATGACGTAGTTATTTATTTTCTGTTACTCTCTTGCTAGAATGTAAACTCTGTGAAAAATAGATTTTCTTTCTTTTATTTTTCTTTTCCAGAGCATCTCCAGGAACTACAACAGATAGGAGCTCAATAAATATTTGCTGAATGAATAGCTAAATTATGTTTCATTTTTGTTATTCTGTATCATATATAATATCTAAAAATAAATTAGACCGGGCGTGGTGGCTCACGCCTATAATCCCAGCACTTTGGGAGCCAAGGTGGGTGGATCACCTGAGATCAGGAGTTCAAGACCAGCCTGGCCAACATGGTGAAACCTCGTTGCTACAAAAATACAAAAATTAGCCGAGCATAATGGCGGGTTCCTGTAATCCCAGCTACTTGGGAGGCTGATGCGGGAGAATATCTTGAACCCAGAAGGTGGAGGTTGCACTGAGCTGAGATGGCGCCATTGCACTCCAACCTGGGTGACAGAGGAGGCTCCATTTCAAAATAATAGTAATAATAATAATATCAATGATAAATTATAATATTCACATGTTCTCCAGTATTCTGGGATTATCATTTTCTTTCCCTCACTGCAGTAGAAATATGAGTATCAATGGGTATTTTAATAAAATCCAAAAGGTGAAGGAATGTAAGGAGGAAGGAATTACTTGGCCTCTTTTGTGTTGTTTCTTCGTCTTACACGAACCTGCTGCTCCAGGCTTTCCTTCAGTAATGCCTGCCTATCCTATAGGCCACGGCTCCTGGGCATTCTCATTCTCTGAAATCTGCTTCCTCACCAAAGGTGGACTAGCATCATAGATTTCCTTTGCACGAACAAATTAATATGGCACCCAAATTAGCAAATGAATCTTGCTACCATCTCTGTATATTTTGTGTGTGTGTTTTGTTGTTGTTGTTTTAGAGACAGGGTCTTGTTCTCTCCACCACGTTGGAGTGCAGTGAAGCAGCCATGGCACACTATAACCTCAAACTCCAGTGTTCAAGCGATCCTCTTGCCTCAGCCTCCAGAGTAGCTAGGATGACGGTGTAGGCCACCACACCCAGTCACCCGGTTAATTTTTTATTTTTGTAGGGACTGAGTCCTGCTATGTTGTCCAGAGTGGTCTCAAACTCTTGGCCTCAAGTGATCCCCTCACCTTGTCCTCCCAAAATGCTGGGATTACAGGCATGAGCCACCACGCACAGACCCTGTACATTGTTAAAGTCTGGCATTTTTTCTTTCTGCTACAGTAAGTTATTAAAAACTATTAAATCATAATAGTGATTAACATGAATTATTTACTAATTTCCCAACATGCATTCAATCCTCACAATCACTCAATGAAGTCAGTATTGTTATTAAAATCTCCATTAACAGATGAGGAAAATTTGGCCTAGAAATATAACCAACTATCTTAATGTCATGAAACAAGTTTGTGAGTCAGGAATCAAGCCCAGGTCTGTCTGACTCCAAAGCCCACCATCCTTTACCACTTCCAGCATAAAGTACATTAAATCTCCTTTGGAACCAGGTGGAAAAGTGAATGAATGAACAGATGAATGATTAATTGCACCCATTTTTTTTCATCTTATTAATGGTGTTTAATAACCTAATTTCAAACTAACTCAAAGAAGGGCTGGTTTTTGTCCAGGGAGAGCATTCTGCAAATAGGGGCCATTAAGCAGACAGCCTGAAGGACCACCTGCCAAAGATTGAGCAGAGGATGTTTCTGAGCTGCGTGGGAGGCAGAACTCCATAACCTCCAAGGTCTCTTCAAGGTCAAGTGATGCATTCTATGACTCCAAGAGGTTTTTAAAAAATGGAAAATTTAGAATATATATGGTCTATTTAAATAGAAATAAAATTAATCTAACTTCATCTTTCTTTTCTGCTTTTCCAAAAAAGAAAAAATTATTTTAGGGTGAATCCAGGAGACAATAATCAGAATATCAACATTTTGAACTCTATCAGCTTTAATTCATTTTTCCCTTCGAGTTTATACTTTTGTAGCACTGACTTTTCTCTAGAGTCAAAGAAAATAACAATGGTAAATAACGAGCTCTTCGTGTTCCTGGAACAAACTACTCAGTGCTAGAAATGTCGGCTTCAGCATGTGCTGAGAAAGCATCCAGATGTTAGCCAGCTGAAACAATATATCCTAGTGCATCTAAATAAAAAAATTCATCTTCCTTTAAAAATTGGAAGTCAAAATGGGGTTTAGGATTCCCAATAAGGGTCAAGAAACAGCAAGTATTTATGAATCTCTGAACCTGCCTATTGCCAGAAGGTATCTGTACAGTTCTTAGAACACTGAGAATTAAAAAGTAAATAAAATGCTAGATATAATAGCTAACCTTTCTGATTACCGTAAATTGAGCTAATAATAGCAAAAGTGCCTAGTGTTTATTTGGTTATTACTTGTGAGTTTCACATACCATGGTCATGGGTTGCTCAGAAGAACGAGCTGTAGGAAATGCAAGAGAGAGGAGAGGTGACAGAGGAATTGGAAGTTGTGCAGATCATTGGGAGATCTAGGGACAGGGAGGGGCATTCTCCACCCACTCCCCCTAAACTCTTTAAAAGGGCAAATGAGTAAAACTGTCAAGCAAACAGAACAAAAGGCTAAGGAACCTGGAAAACTTTAGAAATAAACATTGCTTTTCAGAGTCACAGAAGAAGAAAGGTTCGTTCCTATAGAAATGAAATTGAAGAAAAAATGAATTAGAAATTAAGACATAAAACATGGATGCTTTGATTTTTCCTCAGCACTCCTCCCATCAGTTGAGCCAGGATGGACTAAAGTATGTTTCCCAAAGTGCGACCCATCCCCACCCAGCATTAGATTCATGGAGTTGATTTAAAAAAAAAAACCAGAGTGAAAAAAAAGAAACCAATTTCTGAGCCTCACATTAGACTCAATGAATAAATATTCCTGGATAGCGGGCTCAAACAATTCACATTTTACAATACCACCCAAGTGATTCTCATTTACAACATAGTTTGAAATCTTTGGGATGTGAATAGCATTTTGTGGTAACTAATATTTTAGAGAAATGTGAAGTGCAAGGCCATGATTAATTTTGAGCACAAGAATAAAGGAAGAATCAGCTTAACTTTCAGAAAACAGAAGGCAAATTTAGCAAACAAACAAACAAGAACTGTTGAAAAATAAGGAAGCTAAAACGAAGTTTCTCTTTTCTAATGTCCCTTTCTTCATTCTATCTTAGAACAAAAAGGAGAGACAGGAAGTAAAAGAGGTTGACTCGTTTGTTAACAGAACATTATCTCAGTTTACCAAGATTCTTCCACAGCCAAACTCACTTTGCTTATTTGTTCTTTTTCATGTTGGGACAGCTTTAAAACTAACAAGAACCCAGAGCTACTCTTAGGCAAAAGTGTGAAATAACAAGCTTTCCTAAATAAGTAGTGGAGAGGTTGCGTTAGTGTCCTGTGCCTGCCATAACAAATCACCACAAACTGGGTGGCTTAAGACAACAGAACTTCATCATCTCACAGTTCTGAGGCCAGGAGTCCAAAATCACGACGTCGACAGGGCGGTGCCCTCTCCAGAGGCTCTGGGGAAGAATACATTCCATGGCTCTCGCTAGTTCCTGCTGGTTGCCAGTCTTCGCTGGTGTTCTCTGGCTTGAGGATGCACCACTCAATCTCTGCCTCCCTCTTCATGTGGCACTCTCCCGGGTGTGTCTCATCTTCACATGTTGTCCTCCTCTTTCTGTCCAAATTTCCTCCTTCTTATAAGAACATTAGTCACTGGGCCAGGCACAGTGGTGCACACTTGTAATCCCAGCTATTCAGGAGGCTGAGGTGGGAGGATCACTTGAACCCTGGAGGTGGAGGTTGCAGTGAGCCAAGTCTGAGCCATTGCACTCCAGCTTGGATGACAGAGCAAGACTCTGTCTCAAAAAAAAAAAAAAAAAAAAAAAAAGGAACATTAGTCATTGGATTAAGGCCTACCCCAATGCAGTATGACCTCATCTTAACTTGATGACATCTGTAAAAATCCTATCCTACTTCCACATAAGCATAATGTCACATTTACAGGGACTAGGAGTTAGGAATTAAACATGTCTTTTTGGAGTATCCAATTCTACCCAGTACACTGAGTGAATGTTAAACAGATGCTGGGATACAGAACTGAAGCTGTGTTGTTTTTATTTCATATTGCCTTCTACTCTGTGTGTCTATACCGTTTCCTATTCTGTCTCTTACAAGGACACTTGTCATGGGATTTAGGCCTACCCAGATAACCTGGAATAATGACCTCATCTGGAGGTCCTTAATAAGTTTATCTGAAAAGGTTCTTTTTTCAAGTAAGGTAATAGTAACACATTTCAGGGATTAGGACGTGGACATATCCTTTTGAGGGCCACCAGTTAACCCACTACAAGGTGATAAAAACTTTTATTTTTTTATTTTTTTATTTTTGTAGAGATGAGGTCTCCCTATGCTGCACAGGCTCATCTCAAACTTCTGGCCTCAGTTAATCCTACCGCCTTGGCCTCCCAATTTGCTGGAATTAAGAGGTGATGGAATTTAAAAACAGACTGTATCTTCACCTTTTCTGAAAGGGTTTGAGTATATTCTTGCCTAGAGCAGATAAAATTACTCTGCAAGGTCATTCCTAACTTATTTAATTCTCTAATTTTATAATCTTATGAGAATTTGGGTTATCAAGACCTTACTTAAAGCAGAGAAAAAAAATTCTAGGCAAATCTATTATGAGTAAGCCAGACACACAGTATTCTATTTTCAATAAGTTTAAATTCACAAAAATGATTTCTTCAGAAGGAAATGCATATTCATACTTAACTCTGAACAAGGAAGATTTTTTTTAACATTTAGGAACTTATAAAATGATGTAAATCTGAAAGACAGGCCAAGTTATAGCTTGAATAGATATTTATTCAGCATTAATCTCTCAAATCATTTGTGACATATGGGTCAGACCTGGGCAGTGAGAAGATTTAAAAGACACAATATGTGCTAAAACCAAGTCTCGGGGGGGATATTTTGTCCTTTCTATGTCTGTACAAACTCCCTCCCTTATCCCTAACCCAAAATTTGAAAACATCTCACGTGTTCCAAATGACTTAATTCTAGTGAAGATTTGAGGAAAAATAGAAGATGATTGCGATGAAATATATCAATTCCCATCATCATTGTTTTTAAATCTTGAAGTTACTCAGGCATTCTAGGTTTTATATTTTAAGTATAACATAACCTGGAAGGTAAGCTGTGTTTCCAGAATACTCTAATAGGCAGCCAATTAGAGTATTTCTAATCAGTATTGGCCTTCTAATACTGATTGAAGGACTCAACAGTAGTGAGTTTCAAATGGGAAATGCCTATGAGAAGAGGGCTGCCGACATGAAAGAGAAAGAAGTCAATTCCTTCAGACTTCTTAGGACCCAGGCTTAGAACTTGCTTTCTAATATTTGGAGTATTCAGAAATATTTCTGAGGGTGAAATACTCAAAATTTTCCTATACAATTCTCAATTTCAGGATTAAAATCAGGAAAACCAAGAAAAAAAGCACAAATTCATGTAGATACCCACATAGAGTCATGTCCTGTATTGACAAGTCTTTGAAGGCTAATTCCATGAAGTAACCACACTGAGCCCAGAAACCAAGTCAGCCCATCAAAATCTATAATTTTCCTGCCAAAGCAAAGTAAATTTACCATGTTGCCAAAATCCACGTGAAAGTATATAGTATCTATTTCTCTTCTTATTTCGTAGTTGTTCAAATCAGTGGTGTCTAAAACAGAGTATGCATGATCATCTAAAAGGGTGAGAAAGAACATCTGCTTATATTTATGTTTAATCTTAAAACATAAGAAAGAAATCAAGCTTTACTTATATTTAAAATGTCTTTCTATAATTCATAAATTTTAAAATGATTATATTGAGATACATAGCCATAATGTTTTTACTCATTTAGATATGTAATATTTTTACTTACATAGATACATGATTAAAATGAATTGGAGGCTCCTGATTTAACCAAATTGGAAATAATTTAGTCACTTTTTCTTTCCCTGTAAAGCATGGATCTTCATCGTCTTTTGGATTTCTGAATTTTATGAGGATATAAATTATATGATATAAATTATACTCATTTCAATATAAGTATAAATTATATGTAAGGTCTTGAAAATGTTTTTGCATCATTGTAGGCTAAACTGGTCCACATGCTTGTACAAACAGTTCAATAGGATAACATTTGCATAAAAGCATCCAACATATTACATCTCTAGGAAAATCTCTTCTAAAAATATGAAGAAGAACATTAAGAAATTATACCACAGTCATTCTTGTAGTTTAGATAGTATAGAGAAAACAAAAAACAAATGAGGTAAAGTTAGTGATTTCTTCAGTCTTCATAAAAAAATCAGTATTTACTAAAGCTATATTTCTGAGGGTGAGATTTCCTGCAATTTAAATGTTGCAGTCTAAATCTCAGGGATTTTTGGATTCCATTTACTATCTAAATTCTTTTTCTCTCCCTGACATTTTTAAGTCACCGAAGAAGCATATGAACTACTAGAGATTTGTTCTAAGAATTGACCAATGACCTTTATGGGCAGGGACTGTCTCGCCCTTGTTTTAAAGCTCACTAAAATAACTATGCCCGGCTGTCACGTCAAGACAAACTGATATGCCATGGTCACTTACAAGAGGTGCCATGAAGATTTTATTTCTAACAGTAGTTCGAGTACAAAAATTGAAGAAATAATCTGTGCTTTCTGCCTGCCACCATCCCTCCCTGCTCTTCTAGTACAAAATCCTTTTCATCTTGTAAACTCCTCCTGCTTTTTTTGAGTCTGCTGTCAATAAAAGGACTTTCCTCCGCACCTACAGGGGTGGGCATGTGATGCGCTACTTCAGACCCCTAGGCACATTCATCAGTCCAAGGGTGAGAAATTGGCTACACAAGGTCAATTAGAGTCACTTTCAGTATTAAACTAAATGCTGTGATTGGGGGAGTGGGAGGAACTTCTTTTCCTTTTAGATCATTGGTACCAAAGACTGTACAAGCCTGGTGCTACCAGAGACATTTTTTGCCACCAAGTGGAAAAAGCATACTTGAGAATAAAACCAACACGGAGGAAAGAAGAGTTGACAGAGGAAGGGAAATAGAAGCTACTCAGTTTTACGTCTGTGCTTTTCTATTAGGTTTATGCAAAAGTAATTGCGGTTTTTCCATTTTGATGGGAAAACCGCAATTACTTTTGCACCGACTTAATATTATGTGGGGGCAATAAAGTTTCTCTTGGCATTAGGTTTCTACCAGGTGCAACTGAGAAAAGTCCTCTTACCACAGGGATGATATGCTAGAATGCATCCAGGCTACTATTATAATAAAGTCACTCTTACTTTCTAGATATATTTTCTTGAGTGGGCTAAAGGTAAACCTCCAAATAGCCTAAAATCATGGCTGTGGCTATAGTCACTGAGTGTGTCAAACATGTGAACAATATATATTACATGTCTCTTAATTCACACATACATATACGTGCACACATACACACACCTCTGAATATTGCCCTAACATAGCTAACAGAGTACTATGCAGAGTTGTTTATTCAGCAAGCATAACTGATTAACAACAACATAATGTTTGAATTTTCTCTAGTAATACCTATCAACCAAATAACCTATTTATTTCTATTTTGGTAGCATTCTTTTATTTTCTTGCCTTCTAATTTCTTATTGTCTCATATAGTTTCTTTTAGGCCACACAATGTTAAAAAAAAAAAAAAGCAAGTCCGGATTTTTATAATATTTTATGACTTGATAGTTTTTACATGCTGAAGATCATGGAATGGAAATTATCATTGACACCCCCCTGCCCCCACCAAAAAAATTAAACATTTATTCAAGACCTTAGTCAATTTAAAATATTTTGCTAAGTCAACTAAATAAGCACTATTCTTTGAAGAAGGCCAATAAATGATATCACCTTTTCTTAGATTATTATTACTTGTATTTCTTAAAGAATAGGGCCCAAGGGGAGAACTCCTTTAAAAGAAAAATAGAGGAGTAAAATCACTTTCAGATCTTTCTCACTAGGAGAAGTTGATTCTTCTACTAGCTTCTTTCTCTGCTATGATGTATTATTAAAAATGGGAAGACAGTGTTGATGGCATGTGTTGTATAATAGCTTTGTGGGGTACCATTTATTTTACTTTAAGGAGAGTTTATTTCATCTTGGGCCAACTCGGAAAGCTTTTCAGAGGCCATCAGCACACTGGCTTTCTTCATATTAGATAAAAGCAAGGACATTGCTCATACATTGATCTGAAGTTATTCAAAGCCTGAGTTGGGGAAGAGAGAATTTCCTTCCTTGGTACAGAGTAGCTTTCACATCATATCGATGCATTCAAAATCTGAAAACTCTTTTTAAATTGAGAATGTCAGAGGAAAATTTTCACCTTTTTTGAAGTGTAAACTGAAAATGCGGAAATTTTATTAGATCAAAAAAGGAATAAAATTAAAATAAAGTTTAATATCAACTTTAAATGTCAATGTATTCTAAAAGAGTAAATAGTGAAAAACTGGATTTAAACCATACCAGTTATCTGGATATCTTAAATTACTGATTTGTGAATCATAAATTGTAGGTTATCATAAGCTGTTTGCTTGTAGATTGCTGAGCACATGGCTCCCAGAAAATATTTTTCTGGCAAACTTTTTGTTTGAATTGCCAGAAAATAAATGTTTTAGGCTCTGTGGGGTATCTAGTCTCTCCTAAACTCTGCCTTTGTAGCATGAAAGCATCCATAAATGTTACATAAATAAATGTGCATGTTCTGATATAACTTTATTGACAAAATCAAGTGGAGGGTTGGGTTTGGCCTGCTGTGACAGTTTGTCAACCTCTGCTGTATGCCTAACTCTGAATTATCACTTGAGCTGCTAAGAATGGGATGCTGTATGCATTTAATAAATGGAACATTTTCCTGAAAATCAAAAGATGAGTTCTCTTTCTAAATTTACCAATATCATGTTAATCAATTCATTCTAAAGGTGTTCCCTAAGGCCTAGCTTTGTTAGGTGAAGGAGAGAGATTTTTGGAAAAGAAAATGAGGGGGATTGTCAGTGAGGGAGGCTTTAGGCTCATGCTCTGATTGGAGGCAGGCCAACTTTGCATTTGTCTACTTTATAAGTTTGAGCTGTACAAAATCTCGTTGAAAAACTATTCAACTTGGAAGGATTGGGTAACTTCTGTAAGTTATTTCCATAAGCCACATCTAGCCCTAGTTGTCAATTAAGATCCAATTACAGAAAGGGATGCCTCAAATGTAACATGAATCTTGTGTATAGGAAATTCAAGGAGAAAAAAATATATTTTAAATGAAATCAATGTCTTTGTAGAGAATTCTAGAGAGCTGAGGAATGACAACTGGATACAGATATTAGCAATGTCAAGACAAGAACACAGTTACACCAGTGCTTGCAATCGCTGGCTTGTGGGGAGCATCCCACCTTGAGGTTTTCAGAAGCTGCTCCCCACTGACACAGACTTAATAGGCGTCATGAAGAAAAGGATGCAGCTTTTCAGCAGTGCTCAGATCACATGTGACAGCCATAATTGAGTAAGCAAACGGGGTGCTGAGAAGAGGGTAATGGGCCATGCAGACAGAAGAAGAGCTGAGAAGATCCTTAGAGGTGATTCTCACTGACAGCAATGTGAAACTGGTAGGTGTACATTGAGCTCCAAACATTCTCCCAATGCAGAGATGAAAGTTATTATCATCTTGACAGGTCTGCAAACCATGGCCACTGTCCAAATGCCATAACACACAAAGAAATAGAAATTAGATTATAAATTTCCTCTTTTAGGCACACCAAAGGAATTGGAATAGTTGGTAGAACTGGGAGCAAACAAGATACTTTAATTAGATTACAACATGTGAAATTGTTAACTCACTGGCCAGCCCTAGGACTCAGAAATTTTGGAAAAGAATTACAAAATTGATACTCTGAGTAAACACAATTTTGTGATCTCCCTAAATTTCATCCTCTAAGCTCTCTCTTCATCTTTGGTTTTTAGCCCATTAACTTAACTCTTGTCTACTTCACAGAGGCAATAAAGACACGAGATCCCAAGGTAGAGTAGCCCTCAATGGGGCTTACTGAAAACAGGGCATTCTATTCAAATGGGCAAATTTAAGCTTCTTTTAATCTCAAGAACTGGGTGAGAAAATCAGAGGAATGCAGATATGGTTTCACTTCTGAGCCATGATGCTGAGAAATGCTCTACAACCAAAGCACTGGATATAGTATGTACTTTGGCTAAGCTGCCACCAGGTGAATGGTATTACTTATTTAAATTCTTGTAATCTAATCAGAATGACTTCCTATAAACATAATTTATAGATTCAAAGAAAATACAGTCTAATATCCCAAATTACCAATAATGTTTCTATAAAACTATGTATTAGAATAAATACATAAATATTAATTACCACTAACAAAATTTGTTTGCCTACACACACATACACACACAGAGTAAAAGCAAAAGTTCCCAATTTTTTGGTGTATGGTACCCTTATTGTTTCAGTAATTTTTTCACAGCACTCCTAGACCCAAAGAAATGTCTAATAATTATATTTATTAACTAGTTAGAAATCACCAAAAACTCAGCTTTATAAAGACACAATATCAGCAAAAAGAACGTAGCATGATCAGTGAGGAAACTGTGAACTATCTCAAGCTTCATTATGACCAAAAGGTATCGAGGGTTGCTGTGTTTCGCTGGAAAATGTAAAACGTCCCACAGCCCTCCTGTGAGTTTGCTGCAGCATGCCAGGGTGCCTTGGCACACTGTTCAGAAACCACTGGATTAAGACAAATCTGGGAACTATTCTGTGTCTATTCTCCCATCCCAGTTAAGTTACAGAATAGCCAGTATTTTAATGTTTTCATTCTTGGCTCAGTCTAAAATTGATCGTTCTCTTAACTTTAATGAACAAAACAAAACTTGAAATTGATTTTACTTTGAGGCTTCAAAGAGAATCAATGGTTCTCAGTACTATCTGTTTAAGCCTCTTTCTTCTTCAGCGGGAAGGTCTCAATGGCCTTCACACAACTTATCTAGGAAAATGCGCACTTGTCCTTTGTAAGGTCACAATTAATAGTCTTCATTTTTCCCCAGAAGCAAAACTGAAAAAAAACAGATGCAGAATATTTCCTACATTCTGACTAGATTTCTTGACTGAAAAAATCTCATTGACCATCCTTGATTAATCAAGATATTTCTAAATTAATAATCTCTTACCACACAAGAAGCTTGTCATTCACGTGTAGTTTCATCATAGGTTTTAACACATGCTGTAAGATTTCAACTCTCACTTATAGGCGGAGATAATGGTTTCTTGATAGCCTTATGTTCTTCATCAAGTTAGGCCCTTGAAAAAATAATTTAATTAGAATATTTTTATAGGACTATGGTTCTTCACAAACATACAAGAAGTGTCATCTAACTAGAGAAGAATCTTGGATGCCTCGGAAGAAAAGCTAAGAGTGTGTGTCTGTGTGTGTGTGTGTGTATGTTTGTGTGTGCCTGTATGTCTGTCTCTATCATGCACTCATGACAGAGAGAGAGATAAAGAGGAGAAAGATAAAGATTCACATTCCTTAAAGGTATGTGAACATGAACATGTGACAATGTGAATTTGACAGAATGAGTGTAGACAGGCAGGGAGGAAGTGAGTAGGAGTCTACACTGAAAGGGTGGGCTAACCAACTGTGGTAGGCTATAGGGTTTTCTCAGATCACTGGCAGTTTTCAGATAGATCTAAAGCGATTCTATCAAATCATGTTAAACACCAATGATAACCAAGGACAAATTGCCACATTCCAAAAGCAATCAGAGTTGGCCTGCATTATCCTTCCTCCCCACATTCTTTGGAGGCTTATCACAACAGCAACCACATGCATTGTAAACAGTGTTACCCTTCAACTAGGCAA
The DNA here is from genome assembly GCF_000001405.40 of Homo sapiens. Classification (NCBI taxonomy): domain Eukaryota; kingdom Metazoa; phylum Chordata; class Mammalia; order Primates; family Hominidae; genus Homo; species Homo sapiens. Next base: position 165,668,858 of record NC_000004.12, on the reverse strand, counting down.
CTGGCTTCTTCCCCTGCAGTAGTTTAAAACCACCCTCTGCTCCCACAGTCGGTAAGATGTTCTGCATTAACTTTGCACTGATCTCCTCTGAAGGCAAAAACAAGATCCTTTTGCATTAATGATTAGCAAAAATGCCAAAGGCAACAACTTTGACAAGGACCATACTACAAGCATAAGTTTGTGTTGACAGTTTCTCTTCAATGTAGTCACGAGGGCTCTGCCATCATCTATGAAACCTATCAGTGCACATAGACCACCAAATCATGCAACAAATCCTAAGAGTTTATTGGAAATAAATTACTGGATTATGTTTATTTAACCACTAACTTTAAAATCTGAAAAAAAAAAACCTGGGTAAAACTGTTAAATATGATATTCATTACATGCAGAAAGATATTTAAAATTGATGTGAAAACATGACTACATTGCAATTTAAACTTAAATTTCAATAAGTACCTAAATTTAAAAGCCCATAATAATTATAGGATGTGTAGCCTTAAATTAAACAAGACTACTCTTGAATTAAGTAAATGCTAATGTTGTACTATCCGCTAAGTAAATACTAATTAGTTGTCACAGCAATTTTTCTGAACCTTCTCACAGTATAGTAAGATATGTGTAATGTATATTATGTGAAGTAACCAAGGGTGGGGTCTGGAAGATGTAACAAGCAAAAATAAAGCCAGATGTCAGTAAAATGCTCCCTTTTACTATGTTTTGGAGCTCCATATGGGAGGGAATAATTACACTTTGGCAGTAAGAACCACCCAAAAAAACATATTTCTACTTTTTTATCATAATACATTTGGAACTTTCTAGAAATAGTAGCAGAAATATTATAATAAATCCCAGAAGTTTTAACATGTAAGTAGTCATGGCAATCCCCTTTTCCCTCTGGTGAATCTGAAAGATGACTTGAAGACTGGTGATATATCGAAACTTTCTTAAAAATTTTTTTTTCAAGGAATTTTCTAACCAGAGGATTGCAGACTTTAAAACAGTCATTATTGGTAAATATTTCTTTCCTAACCTCTCTGTTTCAATTGTTTCTCTGTAAAATGGACATAATAATAGTGCCAACCTCATAAGGTCCTCGCAAAGGCTAAATGAGTTAGTACACAGCTACAAACTCACATAGACAGAAGTGTCTCAGAATGTGAAGTTATTTCTCTTTTAGAGAGATAATACAGTACATCACCATATTATGTCCATTAAGGATAGTTTTTGCTACCAAGTGAGTTCAGGTCATGTCTGGTCTTGCTGCTAATTGAGCTTAAAACAAACATTTCTTGAATTTTAGAATCATGGATGAGGAATTCTAGTCCTGTATAGGTAGAACACTGAGCACTACATCTGGAATACAGTAAGAATTAAGCTTGTATTTTCTTTCTTTTTTTCTTTTCTTTTTTTTTTTTTTTTTTTTTTTGAGATGGAGTCTCACTCTTTTGCCCAGGCCAGAATGCAGTGGTGTGATCTCGACTTACTGCAACCTCCGCCTGCCAGGTTCAAGTGATTCTCCTGCCTCAGCCTCCCTAGTAGCTGGGATTACAGGCATGAGCCAACACGCCTGGCTAATTTTTGTATTGTTTAATAGAGACAGGGTTTCACCATGTTAGTGAGGCTGGTCATGCACTCCTGACCTCAAGTGATCCACCCGCCTAGGCCTCCCAAAGTGCCGAGATTATAGATGTGAGCCACCACACCTGGCCAGCGTGTATTTTCAATCATTATATTACAGTATTATTATTACCCAATTTGAAATTTGAGAAGATATTTTTCTTCCTTCCTTCCTTCCTTCCTTCCTTCCTGTCTTCCTCCTGCCCTTCCTCCCTCCCTTCCTTCCTCCCTTCTCTTTCTTTCAACAAATAACTAACAAGGGCATTTTATTTATAAAACACAATTCTATGTGACAAGATAATTTGGGTAGCGCTCACGTAAAATACAATCCCTTTTCCTGGTCCAAGGATCAGTAAGATTTCTACAATTATAACTTTTTTGTTGCTACATAAATTGTTTATCACCCCAAGCAAAAATTATAGCCATACTTTCTATAGCCATACTTAGCAGCTATCACACATATGTTTAAAAAGGCAATAATTGAATTAAATTATCAAGTAAATGTCAGCCAGTCTAATTGTGTCACTATAATTGTGGCCATAACTATGACTACCAAGGTTTTCTCTTATTACCACTTATAATAGGAAAAATGAAAAAACTTTAACAAATCTTTCATAAACCACTCTTAAAATGAATAACTAAACAATACACAGTTAAATCTCACTTCGACATTTTCCAAGGATCCCCTCCCCAAGAAAATGAGATTTCCAATGTAATTTCTAATTTAATAGAAGGACTGATAAAAGAAAAAAACGAACTGGGGTAATACCCTATCCTTATTCAAAAGAGTATTGATCAAAGCCAAATTCTTGTTAAATAATGTTTTACACTAAAGAGATGAAACTCTTCAAAGCATTCCCCATGAATTCCCTGAGAAAGTAACTTATGTTTGGTCCAAATCTTACAGGGGGAAAAAAAAAGCTCTTGGAGCAAAATGCTGAGTATTCCTTTCAACATAATGACAATCAATCATATCCCAGGGTCTCTTTAAATCCAATTCTAATGTCTAAATAGGACAGACTCTTCTACTGAAGGTGTTTTCACAGTTTTCCCAGTTGTTCAACTGCTGTATCTACATCCTTAGAATCTAACTAAAAGATGAAACTGAGGCTTTTATGCATTTATAACTAACTTTGCCTACTTTGAATATAATACCATAGAAAGCAGAGATAATATCTCTTACCTCCTAGAGTTATTGTATGAGTCAAATTTAATTTCAACAAACATTTACTTTCAACTTACTACTTGCCCAATAAAGATATATGAAAGGTTGTTGAACCTATGAAACAACATAAAATTATAACATTATTTACTCTTAATCTATTGCAAATCAAGAGAGAAAACAAGAAGTTGATCTAGAAAATCACATTTATACATTTCCTTTAAGTAGTGAACTTTGGTGGATTCATCTTTAAATTGTTTAATGAAAAACTTACAAGAGCCATTTATCAGTCATATTCTAAAAAGCCAGATACAGGCTATTTTGCATGCAATATATATATATTGGCCCTTATGGGATTTACATTATATTCTCTGTGATGGTTAAACCAATGAGACTTTGCTCTTTTCCTTAACCATCTGGGGGAGGCAGGAACAAAGGAGAATATTGATAAACCTGGAAATAGGGCCGGATAGTATCAGAGAAGGAAGCCTTTGGGAAGGTGAAGATGTGGTAGCCAGTACTCATGTTGTAAAAGGATACAACTCCAGCCTCAGAGTCCAGAAACACTCCCACAACCAAGGGCTGCTCACACATATGAAGGGAAGTTAAGGGAGATGTAAGGGCTACATAGCCTTTCTTTTGGCATAGTCCGAGGTTCCAGAATCCAGACTGAGGCTCTTGCTTCATGTCAGTGCACCTCTGCATATTGCCATACAAACTCCTAAATCCCACCTGGTTCGTTTTCCAGCATCCATTTTGAAGGAGCATCTTCCTGAGAGGTGAAGCCCTCACAACCCAGGACACAGGGGAAGGCACTAAATCTCCTGGAAGAAGTGCTGTGATGGTCCTGGGGATATCCACAAGTCACTTTTCTCCAATCCTCATACAGAATTAGTTCACTATGAGCTGTATCTGGATCCAGAGTCATGTTGACTGTAATCCCGGTACTGTAGGAGGCTAAGGCAGGTGGATCACTTGAGTGCGAGAGTTTGAAACCAGCCTGGGCAACATGACAAAACCCCATCTCTTGATGGCTCCTTAACATTTTCTTCACATTACAGGAAATAAAGCTCAAAAATGTTGCACATAGTATGAAGCTCTAAGGAGAAGGCCTCTGATGTTTCCAGCTTCACAGTCCAACTCCTGCCCACAGTATCATTCACATTCTGCAGCAATTTTTGGGCTGAGCCCCGACATTTTTCCTCCAGTTCCAGCATGTGGCTCTTGAATTCAGCCCCAGACTGGTCCCATGGTCCCTCAGTCTATTCAGAGTCTATCGTTCTTCCTTCTCCTGTCTCCAGGGATAAGACTTCTTCTCCTCATGTAGGAAACTCTGGAGATTCTTAAAGTCAAACGATTTTTTTGTCTCTGAATTTGTGTCTTCTCATGAGGAGATATAAAATTGCAATTTCCATTATTGCTGTCTAAATTCATGCAGTGAGAGTGTATAATCTGGGCAACTTAAATCTTTGCTTTTGAGTTGCAGTCCTCAAACTTGGCCGAAATAAACTCTGTACTTATTGTCCATTTAGTTATGTGCATTGCTGTGAACACCTTCTGCTCTGTGCACTCCTCTTCAAGTTGCCTCAATTTTGTCACAGCTTTCTGGAGCTTTTCCTTGTAGCCCTGGCATACGTCTTCAACAAGAGCTGTGGTGTGCCCTTTGTGCTGCGGTGCCCGCTCACAGTGCCAGCAGATGAGCTGCCCCTTGTCTTCACAGAACAGGTGGAGCTGTGCCTGGTATCCCAAGGTATCACTGAAGCAAGCTGCTGTGTTTAGTTCATTACTGAGTTGAATCAGATTTTGTCCTTGGGTTAGACTAGAATCATCCACTCCACTTGGTCTTCCAACTGCACTATTACTGCAACACATTCATACAATGGCATACTATGCTGCAATAGAAATGCACAAAACAAAACAACATGATATGGCACATGTGATAAATCCAACAAAAAATGTTAAACAAAATGGCAAGTTGTAAAATACATTCAGTATATTACATATATGTAGTTTAAAATATGCAGAATAAAGTCTTATGTTTTATATAGAAATACACATGTAGAGTAAAAGTAAAAATATATAAATAGGAATGATCAAGAGCGAATTCAGCAAGGTTACATCTCTGGAAAGGGAGACAGATAAATGACATTAGGGAAGAGACACAGAAGGTTTTAACCAAATCTAAAATAGTTTATTTCTTTAACATGAACAACTGATATGATTATGACAGAATGCTAAGAATTGTTCAAGCTATGTGTGGATGATCATAGACATATATTGTTTTAATTGTTATACTTTATGTTTGAATATTTCATAATTTTAATGCCAAAAAAAAAAAACAAATAGATGTGTGCCTGATAGGTGGAAAAAAGACAAAGAAGAGACCATGCAATATAAGGCTTTTCTCTTGGAAACTGTTCATGTACTACACACCACTCTGATCTTTTGGCAATCTCTCTAGCAGCAAAACAATGCCAAAATTATCTGAAGACTAAAAAAAAATTGTATAACACTGAACACTCAATATGACTCACAGTCTATGCTCTAATGCTCTCTTTTAATCATTTCTAAAATATTGTGTAAAATTACTGCTATTTTGCAGGTAAGGAAATCCAGATGCAAAGTAATCTGCACATGATCATGCAGCTGTGACAGAGCTGAGACTTAAATCCATACAGGTGTGGACCCAAAGCCCATTCTCTTTTGTCAATACTGTATTGGGAAACCATAAAAACCAGACAGAAGAGGAAGGAAGCCACGCGAAGTTCTGTCAGAGAAGCAGTTAGGGACATAGCTGAGGTAGAGTCTGCTAGAAGCCATTATAGGTAGAGAAATTCTTTTAAAATATGAGATCTGAGCCACGCTTCAAATAATATCTTATTACTGACTTAAAAGCAGAAAGTGGAACATGGGTGAGGAAAGTTTAAAAAGGAGTGCGAAATCATGGCAGAAAAGGTCCATTTTCTTGGAGCATGAATGGAGAGTGAGAATTATAAAAAAGAGAAAACAGACAAAAGAGAGAATAGTCCTCATGGAAAATTAAAGGAAAGAGATCCAAATCAGAAATTAAGTGATAGAAAACAGATGAAGACTATTACAATATAAAAATAAGGAGAGCAGAAGAATCAAGCATTAGCTTCTGAAATTCGAATTATTCCAAACTGTTAAGGCAGAAAGAGGAGCTGAATCATCTGATTTCAAAGGTAGGAAAACTGGAACAAATGATTAAATTGAGGGAGAAATGGGGAGCAGAATTGTGGTTTGTTTATTTTTGGAGGTTAAATGGAAGCCTCTTTTGAAATGTTTTAAAAGCATCTGATTCCACATAATGAACTTTGAAAAGTGGAACAGGGAAAAGAATTCTGCTTCTGTTTTCCCTGAGCCTTCTGCAAGTACTTAGGTGGGTGTGTTTGGGTGGAAACATGAGCTTTTTGTTGAACACCCTCTGATTCTCCCCCTCCCACCTGAAATCCTAAAGCTGTGTTTATGACAACACAATCATTTCTACAGTAACTAAAAAGCTGTCAGCAAAAGAGGATTATTGCTTAAGTTGAGAAATAAGCAACTAAAAAACTCTCAAACCACAAAGCACAGGCTCCCATGCCAATATTCAAGTGACAAAGCCAAAGTAATGCAAATACGGAAAATGTTATGTGCTGGACAACCCCAACTGACCTTCTGGAAACTGGTCTTTAAACTTCATGGAACGATTTCAACAGAGTAACCCAATAGTGTCAGACTTTGATATATTTTGCTGACTCCTCGAACACTAATTTTTCAGTGGGTATCTAAACTCAATATATGGCCTCTGGTTTGTAAACCATTCCCACCCCTGTGCCATATTCAGAATTCAAACTGAGCCATTTGGATTCTGTGATAAGAATTATGAATAACTGGTTGGGCGTGGTGGCTCACGCCTGTAATCCCAGCACTTTGGGAGGCCGAGGTGGGTGGATCACCTGATGTCGGGGGTTCAAGACCAGCCTGGCCAATGTGATGAAACCCTGTGTCTACTAAAAATATAAAAATTAGCTGGGTGTGGTGGCACGTGAGTGTAATCCTAGCTATTTGGGAGGCTAAGGCACCTTCCGGGTTCATTCGCTTGAACCCGGGAGGTGGAGGGTGCAGTGATCTGAGATCATGCCACTGCACTCCAGCCTGGGCACAACAGAGTGAGACTCCATCTCAAAAAAAAAGAAAAGAAAACAAAAAAATTACAAATTCCTTGTGAAGGTTTGAAATGGCCCAAACTCCATCAAAAAATACATCTTTATTTTTTGAAAATTGAACTATCCGTTCAATGAATGTTGCCTAAGAGCTCCAGGAAAAAACCATCATGTATTGCCATTGTAGGAAAGATATGAGACCATCTACCAGTGCAGCAGTAGAAAGGCTACCACATGGTCTTCTGCAGTGAGCTCACTTTCCTTCTCTTTGCTAATTTGATTTCAGAGTGCTTCACCCTTCTCTTTTTCCCATGTGTTGCTACCAACAGAGAAGAGTTTTAATATTGTTGACAACAAATTATTTATATGCTTAACAGGTTATAGTATAAGAAAAATATCTTTTCAGTAAGTATGCTAGTACATGTTAAGGAAAAATGTAATTGGAAAAGAAATGTTATCTACCTTAAGCAAATATTCATTCTAAATAAAAGGAAACTATACATTTCCTCCTTTACATTTTTTGCTGCTAAAGCATGTCTTAGACCCTGTATTTCAATCAGCCAGAGAGCAAGTCATAAGTTGATATGGAACAGGACTGGTATCATGAAAGGAACTTACTTTCAACAACTATGTTTCTGGAGAATTAAAATTATCAAGGAACTTTTAAAAGAATTCTTGTGTCATTATTTACATAATTATAAAATAAATATGAAATTTAGGATTTTTCTAATGCTGAATAGATGCAATCATAGTAAAACCTGCAAAATGTTGGCATTTCCCGTTCTTCAAGTTTTGGTAACTTAGAGAACTTTAAGTCTGTTGAGACACTAGTGTGCATTTCATGATGGAGAAGGCTCCTTACTCGTATTAATGAGTTAAGGGGCTTCTTTTGATGCTTCCTTTGAAAGTAGCTACAGAAAGAGGTAGTGTGATTGTTTTAAGAAAAGCTAGAATCTGTTCTAACCCTAGCTATTTTTACAAGCCAGGTGACCTTGGCTAAATGAATCAGTCCTCAGAGTCTTCATCAGCAAAGCAGGAACAACTGTGGAAATCCAATGAAATCCTCAGGCATACCTATCTGCATATGTGTGTATACCTCGCCTCCAAAGCATTGGTGTGTATATGTGTGTGTGGAAAATAAATCTAGAAATTGTGACAATGTGACAGTGCCAAGACAGAAAAAGTCAGAAGGTCGGCACGTGGAAATTTATGCTAAAATGTATGCAAAGCAATGGCTAGAAGGGACAAACAGTAAGATGGTAAGATTCCAAGAAACCAAAGCCAAGACAGAAACAGGAAAAATTGTAGGATTTGTGGTATCTGTAAAAACAAATCACTTACTAAATGGAGACCCAATATTTTCTGATTCTGAAATTTCAGAGAAATTTCTCTAATGGGAGCTCAAAAAAGTGTACTCTGTATAAGTAAAAATTACAATGTCCTTCCAACTATTTCTTTACATCCGTAACACAATGAATTACACATGGCTGTTTATTGTCATGAATCTGACTATCATCTTACATAAGGATTACAAGTCATAGGTTGACAGAAGCAACTTTTTGGTGTATCAGAAAAAAAGTGGCTGGGCACGGTGGCTCACGCCTGTAATCCCAGCACTTTGGGAGGCTGAGGTGGGTGGATCACAAGGTCAGGAGTTTGAGACCAGCCTGGCCAATATGGTGAAACCTGGTCTGTACTAAAAATACAAAAATTATCTGGGCTTGGTGGTGCATGCCTGTAATCCAGCTGCTCAGGAGGCTGAGGCAGAAGAATCGCTTGAATCCAGGAGGCAAGGTTGCAGTGAACCGAGATCATGCCACTGCACTCCAGCCTGGGCAACAGAGTGAGACTCAAAAAAAAGAAAAAGAAAAAAAAGAAAGAAAAAGACACAAGACACTGGCGCGGTGGCTTACGCCTGTAATCCCAGCACTTTGGGAGGCTGAGGCGGGTGTATCACAAGGTCAAGAGATGGAGACCAGCCTGGTGAACTTGGTGAAACCCCGTCTCTACTAAAAATACAAAAATTAGCTGGGCGTGGTGGCAGGCGCCTGTAGTCCCAGCTACTCGGGAGGCTGCGGCAGGAGAATCACTTGAACCTGGGAGGCAGAAGTTGCAGTGCGCCGAGATCGCACCACTGCACTCCAGCCTGGCGACAGAGTGACACTCTGTCTCAAAAAAAAAATAAATAAATAAGGATCAGATATACAGCTCGCTACTGGCTGCAGTGGGCTTATTATAAAGGTGTTTATCTAGAGCAGCAATTCCCACATGTTTTAGTCTCTGGATCCCTTCGCAATCTTAAGACTTATTGTAGACCCAACGGGCCTTTCTCTAGCTGGAATCTGGGTCCCCTTGACCACACTGTCCCAATTTATGCTACTGGGACCAGTCAGCTGTACCAGTGTACCAGTGTACCAGTTAGCTGTACCAGTGTACCAGTATGCAACTGTACACCAGGCAGCTTTAAGGTTCAATGCAAGTCTTCTGTTTTTTTTTTTTGTTTGTTTGTTTGTTTGTTTTTTGAGACAAAGTGTCGTTCTGTCACCCAGGCTGGAGGGCAGTAGTGCGATTTTGGCTCACTACAACCTCTGCTTCCCAGGTTCAAGTGATTATCCTGTCTCAGCCTCCTGAGTAGCTGGGATTTCAGGTGTGTGCCACCACGCCTGGCTAATTTTTTGTATTTTTAGTAGAGACGGGGTTTCACCATGTTGGCCAGGCTGGTCTTGAACTCCTGATCTCAAGTGATCCACCCCCCTCAGCCTCCCAAAGTGCTAGGATTACAGGCATGTGCCAGCACGCCAGCCCAGGTCTTCTTATTCAAAGTTATTATTCATAATTTTTCCAGGGTAATAAGAATTTTGTAATAAGTCTGAATTTGATTGAAACCTGAGTGGCTGCTTTCAAATTTGTATTTCCTAAGACAAAACCAGCAGCCGTCATGTTATCAATCGTTAGGAAAATGAGCTCTACACTTGCCAAATCCAAAGTTGATAATACTATATTGGTTTAAATCTGAGAGCAAGTCTTTGATAAAAAGTCAAGAGAGACTGTTTTTGCCAAACATTGGAGAGAGAGTTCTGAGCTATCCTCACATAGCAATAGATTGCCATTGGGATTCAACTCACCTTTCTTAAGATTCATTCTTTTCAACCCGTCGTATTAGCAAATGTACAGAAGTTATTATAGTTAAGTTATAAATAATTTTTTAACAAAATAAATGTTCATTAGTTATATTAATAGATAATAAAAAACTTAGAAAGAGTATACAAAAATAAAAATTCTGCTGTTTACCTTCAACATTTGGTGTACAGTTGAACCTTGAACAACACAGGTTAGAACTGCTTGGGTCCACTTATACATGGAGTGGTTTAAATAAAAGTTACACTGAGTGTGCCTGCCTCTCCTGCCTCCCCTTCCACCTCCTCCACCTCTTCCTCCTCTGCCACCCCTGAGACAGCAAGAGCAGCACCTCCTCTCCCTCGTCTTAATCTGCTCAACTTGAAGACCACAAGGATGAAGACCTTTATGATGATCCACTTCCACTTAATGAATAGTAAATATATTTTCTTTTCCTTATAATCTTCTTAAGCTTTTCTCTAGCTTAAGTTATTGAAAGAATACAGTATCTAGTATATACCACATACAGAATATATGTTAATTGACTGTTTAAGTCATTGCTAAGGCTTCTGGTCAACAGGAGGCTATTAGTAGTTAAGTTTCTGGGAAGTCAAAAGTTATGTGTGGATTTTTTATCGTACTGGGGCCAGTGATCCTGACCCCTGTGTTATACAAGGGTCAACTGTATAACTTTCTAGACTATATAGATGTATTTGATGTATTTATAGGTAGAGAAATAGATATATATATAAAAACTAAAACAAGATAGTAATAGATATATATACATATATATAATTAGCATCATGCTGCATTTAGAGTTCTGTACTTGTTTTTAATCATAATTTTATGAAAAGCATTTTTTGATCAATTAACATTATTTGAAAATATTTAACCTCATGCATCATAATTTTAAAACTTTTCCCTTGTTGTTAGCTATTTGTGTTATTTGATAATGCTTTGAAAACCATATATTAGGTACAAGCATAGAAATAGAAATTATCACAATAACCACTGTAACAGTAACAGGCAGATTATAATGCAACTTGGGTATCATCCTTTGCTCTAAAAAGATGGCCATATTTTACATTGACATATGAGTAAGTTTCACTGAGTGGAGAGAATAATTTATTTAAAAATAAATGCTTTGACACTTAACAAGTCAGTTGTTTTCTTAAAAGCCTGCTATAGAATAACAGAACGATTGTAGAATAATTACTCGTTTCTTTTCTTACTCAGTGTTATTTCCTAATGAATTTTTCTAAGTGATTTGTCCTGTCTAATTTTATCAGTCTAATAAGAATCCATGCTTCAACTTTCTTACTGCTCTAGGCAGAAATTCCTGTGAACATGTCAAATCCATGGGTGAATGGACAAATTGGCATAGTGGGAGAGCACACACACAAAAGTGAGATGATGGCTGACCGATTTCCCTAATTACTGGAGTTTTAATAAGACAATAAAGCCCTTGCTGAGGATTTCCTAAGTTTTATTGGAAGTCAAGACTCTCCATTTGCAAAATAAGAGGAGCCCAAAGTGATTCACAAAAGGGCAGTGTTACATTCCGTTTACAGTTGAGGGTCACTGTTAGTGCCAAATGAAGCTATAATGCCCAGCATTGCTGAACATGCAAACAAAGCAAAGCTAAACAAACAAAAAAAAATTTTTAAAGAGGAAGTGATCTCAGATGGTAAGCATGGCAAAATAGTGAGGCCCAAATGATTGAATCTCACCCGTCCTTTAAAACTGTAGCCCCAAGTCTCCACTCCTCTGGGCATCTGAACCCATAAAAACAATTGAATCATGTCAATTCTCTTCTTACTCTGCACAGCCCATCTTTCCAACGGTGCATCAGATGCACAGCCCATCTTAAGCAAAGATCTTAAGACTATGTTCTTTTCTCACCTAAACTACTAGGGCTTTACTTAAATTAATCCTGCAGCATGCACTGTTCATCATGCCCATCCTCCACCCTTCTTATTAGTTACTTGAATGTCTACATGTTATCTCTAAACCCTAATTCCTATTATTTCTTTTTTGAAGGTTGCTCTTAGAGAGTTTCACAACCGTGAATAGGTTTCAACTTTTTCTGACATTCTCTATTTTTTTTTTCCAGATCAATGAAACAAGAACAAAGAGGAGAATCAGGAAGTCAGCAGTATGTCTCCTTTATTCCCCCATGCTTTAGAGTAAGTCTTTCTTTGGTAACCCAGGGTATTTACTAGCTTCTTATTAGGTTCAAAAGCCATACAGCAAGGGATTGCAGTCTGCCCTGCACACAAAGTGTAGACAAATGTACCAGCTTAAGAAAAGTCCATAGCTCCAGCCTTGTGTGACTAGAATTTATGATCCTTAGTTTCTGTTGCTTTTATCTACATTTGACAATCAGACCCTAGAAGGAAGGGTCATTTGACATGAAGATGTAGTAAGTGGTTTATATAGTCATTATGCCCAAGGAAAGGAAGCATTATCTTTATCTTCCTAATAAAAAAAAATACACAAAGATTGATTATTCATTTTATTGGATAAATTATTTTTTTAACTTTTACAAGGACATGGTAATTTCCTGTACTTTATAAAAGGTTTAAAGCTTGCCAATACAGATAATATGGTATTTACTGTATCTAATTTTAAAAAGGTATGAAATGCATATTTTACTTTCTAGAACTAACTACCAAAGTATATTGATGTCCATATGCTGACTTGTAGGGTAGGCTCACTCAATGAGTGTTCTTTCTTTCAGAAAAAAAAATCTTTGGAAGTGTCATTGGTGGTCATGTTTGTTCAGATAGCACTAATTAGTCCCCAGAGCTGTAGAAAATTAAGACAGGTGTAAATACCTGACCTCGGTTTGATCACTTAGATTCTTTTCCATAGGAGTTTGGAATTGAAATTAAGGGAAAATAATTTCCTTAGCTTATACTGCAACTGAATCTTTAAACTTGGATGATATGGGACAACCATGTTTTCAGAGAAAATCATGCTACAGGGAGAGAGAGAGTTTGAAGCACATATATAGATGAAAACAGAGACGCAAAGCCCTGTGGTCAGAGTTAGAGGGGCTGAGAGAATAGCTACCTTAACTTCTGTTTTCTTGCTCTTGATTCCAAGGACTTAGTGTTATGAATAACCTCTAAATTTTCATATTTACTTTTCACTTCTATGCTTACTTAGAAGGGATTATGTAATTGTTTATTTATAACCAAAGGGACACCAAGGTTTACAGCTGCAGAAGTGATAGTATTTTTCATTTTGTATTTTGTATTTTTCAATTCAAGGATTTCCGTTTGGTTCTTTTATATGGTTTCCTTTTCTCTGCTGAGATTACCTTTTTGTTCCCTTATTATATTCGTGTTGCCTTTAATTCTTTGAACATATTTACAATAGCTATTCTCTAGTCCTTGTGTGCTAAATCCATCATTTCCATAATGCTGAATCTCTGTTTTTTTACTACTTTTTCTCCTGGCTATGGACCACTTTTTTTTTTCTTTTTCTTCCTCCTCTTCTTTACATATCTAGTAATTTCTATTGTGTGCTGGACATTATGAGTACTGCCTTTTTGCATGTCTGAATTTTGTTGTCTTCCTTAAAACTTTTGTTTTGTTCTGGTAGGCAGTTCATTCATGTGTAGCTCTGCTCAATCCTTTCAAGGCTTGTTTTCAAACATTGTTAGCATGGTCTAGAGTTGCCTTTACTCTAGGGATACGTTAGCCCTATTCCTAAGTGATGGCTGCCTGAAACTTCTACTGAAATCCCAAGTGTCTCCTGATATTCCTCCATCCAGTTAGTTGAAATTAAAGCTTGCAATAGCTTCCAGCCCTTTGCAAGCTATTGAAGTTGCTGTGTTCTTAGCTCTCTGGTAGGTTTTCTATTTATTTATTTATTTATTTATTGCCTATTCCTGTGGAGTCTTGCCCTGAGAATGTGTAATTTAGATTTCAGGAATTCCTTCTTTTTGCAGTGTTCTCCTCTCTGGTAACTTTCTTCATACATCCCAGCTGTTTCACTAGCCCAAACTCTGATCTCTGCACTTCAACTCAGCAAACACTCTGCGCTTTATTTGAGTTCTGCATGCTTGCACAGTAGATTAGAAAGGATCTCCAAACAGAAAGTCAGGGACACCATACAGCTTGCCTCGTATACTGCCCACCACTGGGAATCACTCTCTTACACCTTTAATCACAAGGCTGAAAGCAATAATTTTATATATTTTGTCCTATTTTATAGTCATTTAAGCTGGGTGGCTAGTTTAGGACCAGCTGGCCTATTGCAGAGAGCATCTAAATATACATATTATAAACTTGCTTCTTAAAATTAATTTTATCTACAATGAGTTTATGTGCTTACTACATAATTTGTTTACTATCTTGCTTATTAGTTAAGTTTCTTCATGAATTTTAGAATTCTGTTTATGGGCTTAGTTTGGATCAGAGAATTTCTATAACTTTGATCTTATATGTGTTTCATCTATGCTTCTTCCACCCAACCCAAGGGATGTCTCTCTAGTAGCAGGTCTTGTAGTGGTATTTTGGGTCACCTATCCTACAGCCATTTGTGAGATCTGGACACAGAGCATGTGGGCATCTTTGTTTATTCATGATCACAGGGTCTCTGTGGGTCCTCTAAGTCTATGGCTTACTAAAATCTGTAGCCATAGAAGCTATGAGAAACCGTGATCATTTTCAAAGGCTTCTTTCATACAAGTAGAGCCCTCCTATTTGCAGAATTCTAGCATATAAAGTCCTCATCCCTGTTCACTTTACCCTGTGGGAACAGAGTTCAAAACTACTCCTACAGGTTTGTGTATCCAAAGCCCAATAGGTCAGCCCTCCTATCATTGGTCAATAATAAGATTTATCTGTTTAGTTTTGGGTTAACTCTTTTTAAATTTATCTATCATTGCTATGTGTTTAGAGCAATGCATGAAATTACTGAGCTGTCTTGACCAGAATACATCTCTAACTACAAATCAGATTTCTTTCCCTGAAGTTTCCACAATTTGAATATAAGACAGACCAAATAGTTCTGATTTTATGGAGTAAAAGCATTATATAAGTATGTCAGAAAAAATAATAAAGTGTCAGATGGCATACCCTCATCAGAAAGTAATACCCCGTATTATAGAAGGAACAGAATCATCATATGAATTATAACTAAAATGTTTTTAAAACTCCAACTTGTCTCCTTTTATTGTGTACAGATAATGAACTAATATCAGTTTTAAAATAAAGTGTTAGAACTACTGTTATATTACATATGCTTCAGACATGATTAGCCACAAATTTTTAAATCCCTCCTTGTTTATATATTCCTATGGTATAAAATACTAGAATTTAAGTAGGTACTCTGTAATGTTCCTTCCATCTCTCTTTTATTCTCTATGTAAACTTATTGTCTCAATAGAAAATTGACACAATATTATAGCCTCTTAGTTTATTACTATTAGACAAACTATTCGAGAAAGATTCACTGAACAAGTTAAGACACTCAAATCACAAAGCTTATTGAATCAACTTAAAGCACTTAGGACATCATGCAAGTGGAATATAATGGCCACACTACCTGAGTCCTTGGTCAGGCAATGTTTATGTATCCTGTCTTCTCTCTTTTTCTCTCTCTCTCTTCCTGATCTCTTGCCTCCCTGCAACCTCAGCACACAGCCAGTGTGATTATAAAGGCCATAATTGAGATTGAACAAGTTGGCTTAGCAGATAAGAGGTGCCTGGAGTAAACACTCTTTTTCTATTCAAAAGACACAAGAGCAAGTATACTTGCCATAGCTCAAACTCACCAATAACTAGCTGAGCAGCCATAACTTTGATCCATTTGTTTTGGGAAAGTATATATGGGGCCAGAATGGATGCCACCAACAGGTGCACAAAGTGATAAAACCTGAAAATCATAAATATTCAGTGACTTTATTGGTTCTTCCCTTCTTTGTACCTATCTTCAACACGTATGCTCTCTTTACTAATTCCATTCATTTAATCTATGTCTAGCATGCCTCAGAGTCTATTTTTACTTACAATCAATCCTGAGTATTTTAGTCCATTTGAGCTGCTATAACAGAATACCATAGATTAGGTGGCCTATGAAAAACAGAAATTTATTTTCCACAGTTCTGTATGATGGGAAGTCTAAGATCAAGTCACCAGCAGATTTGGCTCCTGGTGAGGGACTTCTTCCTAGTACATAGAAGGCCATGTCCTCACTATAACCTCACATGGCACACGGGGTGATTGAGCTCCCGCATGCCTCCTTTATAAGGTCCCTGTTCCCATTCATGAGGACTCTGTCCTAATCATCCATGACCTAATCGCCTCCAAAGACCTGACCTTCTAATAGCATCACTTTACTGTCAGGACTTCAACACATGAATTTGGAGGAGGATGAAAATATTCAAATCAAATCACTAAATTTTATTTATCTGTTTATCTTATTGTTTACAGCAAATTTGAATTTTTTTAAATATTCATTAAACATATGTTTTCTAAAGTTGTAACGATATCTAGTAATTTTCTCATACTGATTATGTCAGGCACTTGACTACTTTATCACATACCAATAGAAACCCTTTGTTGCCTGTCTGAGAAGCCAACTTCTTCCATAGAAACAGAAGGTGTTTGAGTATTGGCCCACCATGTACCTTCTGGTGCTGGACTCTGCTCCAGTTATGGGGACAGTATCATGACTAGTTCCAGCTCATTGAGATAATCTCATTCCCCTTGCCAGGGATTGGCATTTGAAACAGTCCTGGACAATGAGACCAGTGGGGACATCTGTTGTGGGGATTCTGGGGAAGGTTTTCCTCACTGATAATAGGAGCTTAGTAAGAAACACTTCTTTTTCAGGACATTTTTCACCTTCATATGCATCTCAGATCTGCAGTAACCTCTTGGTGACAGTCAGTTTTTGAAGAAAAAAAAAAGCCAAAACAATGAGAATGGCAGAGGAGAAAGAGGGAAAGAAGCAGAGGATTTGGTGACGCAGCGAAGCCGCTGAATTAACTCTGGAATGACCCTATGTCCAATATTCTTGTTATGTAAGAGTTTCCTTGATGTTTCAGGCACTCATGGCTGAATTTTCATAATATATTGGTTAAAAAAACTTGACTGATACAGAAAAAGACTGAATTTTAATCAGCTCAATACCCCTAGCATATGAAATTGTAAGTTGTAGAGCTGTGATTCAAATATAGCTTTGTCTGACTCCAACGCCCATTAAAATATCATACGAAATGAGTGGTTAATGATACATTCATACATACAGTTAAAATGTTTTCATCTTCCTTGATTTCTATAAACGGGTTCCTTGACAAGCCCTGGGAGGCCATGCTCTCACCTTTATTTGTATTTCCCAACATCCCAACGTCTTGACCCGGCTCAGGATCTTGTCACCCTTTTTTCCTTTATCTGCCTTTTGTGCCTTCAAATTTTTTTATATTAATGACAGTAGGTAAAATCAGTTGAACTGATAAGTTATACAATATGCAACCATTCTCTATTTTTCCTTATTCACTAATATTTTTCATTTCTTTTTGTCTTAGACAAACCACATCACTGATCCTTAATGACCTCATTAACTAGTAGTTACTGGAACAGCTGCAGCTTTTTATTCAACTAGAACTTTCTTATATGCTAAACATAGCCCAGAAAAAAAAATGTCTCCATAGGAAGGCACTCCCTTAGGAGAAACCGTCTGTGACATTCTTTGCATTGGCACTAGAATCTTTTCTAAGTGACCTTGAGTTTCACTATTTTCTTTTTCTGGGTAAAGCTATCTCATGATAGCTATTATTTTTTTTTTTTTTTGAGACTTACATAAAATTTCTTCAACTTTAAATGTGAGACTCATGATTTTTATCCAGAAGATGAACAATGTTTTTTGTAAACAGTTAGTTGAGCCATGTTGAGACGTCATGTGAACTTCTGGAAGCCCCAGCATGTTTCATGGGGCTCAGAACCCTTGCTCCCTGAGAAACACTAATCTTCAAGATTTCACCAAGACTGTCAGAATGAATTAGCATTAAATGCTATATTCATTATCTCTTCAACTTTAGAGAGGTGAGAGGGAAGGTTCAGTTTCTACGCCAAAGATTCCTCTTTTTATGCGGTGAAATCAACAGAGTAGTCATGTATAGGCCTAAGAGGATATATTTGGAAAATATTACAGCAACACTACATTTATCTGGATATCCCAATCACCTAAGACATAACAAACAATAGGTAAATAACCAAAAAGTTCCCTGAACAAAAGCACCAAGTATCACAATATCAATTTGCTAAAAGTGACATACACCCTTTTTAGAGCAGGCCTTCAAGTTCTTCTCAGAATTATTTTAGGCATTATTGTAATAAATTTGACTACCTTGTTCCTAGAAAAGTCTGTTCAGAAATGTCTGTGAATAATATATTATTCATATTGACTGAACATGAACAAGTTTATTATTCATCTGGCTGCATAACAGAAAGACATTCTTAGGTTTCACAAAGCTTTGAAAAATGTATCAAACAAGTAACTTGTACAAAAATTTTGAATATGCACTCAAGAGAATTAACAATTGAATTTAAGAAAAAAAACACATGTGAAGATAGTACTATTGAAAAGATGTATAATGATCGTTGAATTGATATCAAGTCTTTGCAGAGATGAGAAAACAGACATCAAGAGGAAAATATCATTGTTAATAAATACAATTATCGAAGTTTTTTGCTAAAATGAAGTCATAAAAGAACAGCTGCAGAATATTAAATTACATTTATATATAAAAGAAGAAAAGTCAGGGATAAAATAAATAAATAAAAGAGGAAAAGCCAAATAAAGTACATAATTTCTTATTTTCTATACAGGGTGGGTATTCCTTATCCAAAATGCTTAGGATCAGAAGTGTTTCAGATTTTTAAATTTTTTCAGATTTTGAAATATTTACATATAGATAATGAGATATCTTGGGGAAGAGGCCCAAGTCTAAACACTAAATTCATTTGTTTCATACATACCTTATACATATAGCCTGAAAATAATTTTATACAATACTTTAAAATAATTGTATGCATGAAACATAGTTTATGTACATCAAACGATCAGAAAGCAAAAATGTCTCTATCAGCCACCCGTGTGGACAATCTGTGGTTGTTTGGCATCATCATCATTCCTGAGTCTGAATTTTTATATGCTATTTTTATGTATGTAAAAAAAGAAAGCATTTTTTTACACATATTCACACTTAAGCACTTAACAGTAAAAGAAATTGACATACTATTAATTCAGAGAAAAAATTATGTGTTCAGGTTAACTAAACAGCACAGTATTATCACCAGAATGCCTGTCAGCTATTAATCATAAGAATAATAAAATATATGATGCAAAAACAAACAAGGGCAGGCTTCCAGTCTCTATCTACAATGCTGTATTTTGATTAAAAAGTTACCGTACACTGTATTTTATTTTTTTTTTAGGTGAGAAGAAATACCAGAATCTGGAACCAGGAAGTGAGTCCTCTAGGGATGAGGAGGTATTCAGCTGGATGGCCTTTTAAAACATTTCCTCCAGAGTCTTCTGCCTGATTAAAAACAGTTTTCGTCCTAGAAGCCTCTCTTTGATTTTATAAACTGACATGATCTCTGTTATACATGCATGCTGCTCTAGTCCTTCAATAAGCCCATCTCACATTTTCACCATGTCATATGTAGGTACTTTTTCTGCCATGTTAACAACATCTTCTTTTTCTTCATTAATATGATTACCTTGATTCAGAGCCATTTTGGCTACTTTACTATCCATCAATGAATGAGTAACTAGAACCTCATTTCTTCCAGTTTACTGACAGACTCTCAAGGGATATTTTTTGCACTTGTAAGGAGGTCAAACATCTTTTTTCTCACTTGACTTAAGGAATTCTTCAAAGTCATTACCTTGTGCCTCCTCATCTCTGAACACAGTTACAATCACTCTGTGCCAAGCATTGGCAAAAGCATGTGTGGCATCCTTCATGCTAAACTTCTCTTGAAAACCTTACACACCCAGGCCTCTGTTCACTGCTGCTACCATGCTGGTCAAGAAAGTGTTTTATATTTACCCTTTCTTATTCTAAGAATATTCTGGTCACATGGCTGAGTTAATGAAGTCACATTTGGGGGAAAGTACATGGCACAAACATTATCTTTTATGATGTTTCAGCTGGAAGATGAGCAGAATATTTGTCAAGGATTAACAGAATCTTGCAGTTGGCATCCGGTCCAGCTTCCCTGCAGTGAGCATGTACCACTGGTACAAAATGTTTATGAAACCAATCAGAAAAGAGATCTCTGGTGATCTATACCTTTTTGTTAGCATAATAATGAACTGGTAAAAAAAATTCACTCCCTGAAAAGAGCAAAGACGCAAACTTTTGCCTATCACAGCAAGTTCACACTTACGCATGCCTGCTGCATTAGCACATCCCAGCATAGTTATTCTGTCCTTGGAATCCTTCATTCCTGTAGGAGCTGTCTCATCAGCTGTAGTTAGTGTCTTTCTGGAGTGATAACACCAAAATAGTAATGTTTTATCAGCATTATAGACTTGTTCTGGTGCCAGATTTTCATCAGTGATGATCTTAGTGAACTCATCAATGAATTTCTCCGTTGCTTCATGATCAACAGATGCTTTATCACCACAAATTTTTAAAAATTTAATGCTGTGTTTTTTCTCAAATTTTTGTAACCAGCCTGTTAACATATTCACAGTTCCTTTCAATTTTCAGTTTATCATGATAGATCTTCATTTGTTTCATGATCAACACACCATTAAGTGATGTATGTTCACTGAGACACTATCAGATGCACTCTGCCCCAGCCTACAGCATATAGAATCTGTATATATTTTGATAAATTTATACCTAAGTATTTTTGGTGTTATTGTAAGTTTTAATTACTCATTGTCATTATATTGAAACATAATTTATTTTTGTATAGTGACCATGCAATCCTGCAACCTTCCTAAACTCACTTATTACTTACAGGAGGTTTTTTTTTTATTTTTGTAGATTTCTTAGAATTACATAGATAATTACATAGTATATGTACATAGAGATAATGCTACTTCTCTCTTTTCAATTTGTATGCTGCCTATTTCTTTTTCTTATATTGTTTCACTGCCTAGGACTTTCACTACAATACTAAATAGGAATAGTGAGAGTCTTTACCTTGTTCCCAATCTTAGTAAGAAAGAAATCCATCTCTCACCTTTAAGTATACTATTAGTTTTAGGTTTTTTGTAAATGCCCTTTATCAGATAAAGTAAGTTTCTATTTCTAGTTTGCTGAGAGGTTTCTCATGAATAGTTGTTAAATTTTGTCAAATATTTTCCTGCATTTAAGAAATGATCTTATAATTTTTTCTTTTTTCTTTTCTTGATATACATTTTATTGATGGATTTTTTGAATGTTTAAACAATCCTGTATCTCAACATAAACCTATTGGCCATACTGTATTATCATTATTTTATACTGTTAAATTTGATTTGCTAATATTTTGCTGAAGATTTTTGTTTCTGTGATTATGAAAGATACTGGTCTGTAGTTGTATTTTTCTTATAATGTCTTTGTAAGGTTTTATAACCAGGATAATACTGGCCTCATAAAATGAGTTCGTTCTCTTATGTTTTCTAGAAATGGTTATGTATATGATTGATATTATTTCTTTTTAAATTGTTTGGTAAATTTGCTGTTGAAGCTATCTAGGTCTGAAGCTTTCTTTGTTGGAGATGGTTAACTATGAATTCAATTTCTTCGGTAGATATATAATTCTTCTGATATAACAATGTTTTTTAACTATCATTTTCTACAGAGAGAAGAGAAAGATTATTCAGTTTTTCCTCCAGCATGGTTCACACAAAAAAATTGTTATTTTATTAGAGATAGTTGTGATGCATAAAACATGAACCGAACCTTCACATACTGACATATTCACTGTTTGTAGTATATCTACAGGATTTTATCCTACAACCCAGGAATTCTGATACACTTTGCACAATTTTTGAATAATTCCATCAAAGAAGAAAATGTGTGGTTTTTCAATGAATACTACTTTTTTATGCTTTATTAAAAGTATACCATACATACTTATAAAATATACCTTATTACAACTTACATTTAATTTTTCTTAGACATCAGTGAGACCCTATTTTTCCATTGGCAATTCATGTCATGTTCAGAAGACTCCACAGGCTAGCTTCTGCCTCATAAATTGCACTTTTTCTTTCATACACTTGGAGCTCACCTATTGCAAAATGTCACACATTAGGGAACACATAATGGTTATAACTATAAATTTATAAATTCTAACACTAAAAGTCCCAGGATTTCACGGAGGCTAAAAAACCAAATCCAACAATATTCTGATAAGGCAAAAGCTACAAACAAGAGTTGATGTGAAGCCAAATTGGTCTTGAATAAGAGGAAAGCAGAACTGGCAACAACAATAATAATAGGACCAAAAGTCTTATGGAAGATAGAATCAGGGTATAATTGTAGAAGTATGATAAATAGAAGGCAAATACATGAAAATAATTTATGAAAATAGTGCAGAAAATATATTAATTAAAATCTTTTAGCAATACAAGGGGAAATATACAGAAATGTAATTATAGTTTCGCCCATAACTGACAACCTTACAAATGAAAAAAAGAAAAATTAAAACTATAATTAATAAAATAAAAAATTGCCGTGTATTACATGTCAACTCCAAACAAGAAATATATGTAATTTTCAGTGGTAATATTAATGAAATGACCATTTACTAAGACACACAAAATATCATATATGGACATATTAATTTCTACTTTTAATGTTCTGATAACAATATATTCATTTATACTTATTTATAAATTAAAAGTAAAACACTTGTAAATGTTTTGAAATATTTCCTAATATCATTTTGTGTGATCATAAAAAGGCTGTGATTCTAGGTTATCTTTGGTTAACCTTAAGAAAAATTGACAGTACAGCTAATGTGATAACTTTTGCAAAAAATACACTGCTAATTTGCAGACTATTGTCTAAAGAAGGGATAACCGAAGTACATAAATTTTATAGTACCAGTTGCTATTAAATGAATTATAAAATTTTTGTATTTTTATTTTTTAGAAAAAAGAAACATTTCCTAATAAAGTAACTGAATTGAAAAACTATTTAGAAAAATATTTCTAAAAAATATTTAGAAAAAGTTGAAAATACTGAATATAATTATAATAGGGTACAGCTAAAGCATTTTTACTAAAAATTTTTAAAATGTACATTCTTTTATTATTTAATCGACCAACACAAATAAAATTGGCTACAGTCATAAGAAAATTTTCTGATTTAAAATTTAAACAATACCACACATAAATTTAATAAATTTGAAAATCAAAATAAATATAATGCTTCTGATAAATTTTAATATGAAATGACAAAAGTAAACTAGAAAACCAGAGAACTATCTACATGACAACATGAAAGTCATCCAACAACTGCTGTCAAACACAGTTGGGGAGAAGAGGTCAATTAAACATGACAAGCCCTTTAAAGAAATCTTTCAAGCATTCAAATTGATGATTTCCTGGTAATACATATTTCTAAGACTAGCAAAAAATTATGAAATTATTTCATGAGCCAAATGTGCTTTTTTCCACCCAAATCTGGTTATGTCATGCAAAAACACTCCATCTCACTTATGAATATATGAATATAGGTGTGAAAAATCTTTTTTTTAAAATATAGAATATAGTTATACTTGACAAAATAACCACTGCAACTAAGTTTGGGTCATCTAAGAAATGCAAAAATTTTCCAATATAAAGAGGTCATTTTAAATAACATTTTAGTTAAGTAACGAAAAATGTAATAATCATAGCAGATGCTGAAAAGATTTAGGAACAGATTGTGAGACTTGACTATGCCCCATCCAGAAGCCCTGGAGACCAATAAACTGACGGGAGGGTTCCTAGGGCCATTATAAAGAGGATGCTGAGCTCTGTTTAGTTCTGAACGCATGGAACCAAAGAGAGGCACTTGCCAGAGTCATCAAAAAAGGCAGCTGGTCAGAGCGGGGAGGATGGCCAACCATAGATTGTGCTAAAGGCACTGGGTACCAAAAGGAACCAGAAAATAGGGATTGCTATTTATGAGATGGACAAAACAGAAGCAAGGGAGGGCAAATTGAAAGTTATGAACTTGATCTGTAAACACAGGGCTGGGTCTATAACATGTTCCTTCCTTCTGGTCATGGTAAGGAGTGGATTCCTAAAATGACTGAATTAGGCCGGAAGAGTTACCTAATAAACCCCGATACATTCTTTGCAATATTATTTAATGTGATAAGATAAAGAATACCTATTCTAAATACAGAATCAACATTTTAAAGATATTTCCTTTAAATAAATGCATAAACTCAAAAGTATTCATTTGTTTTGAAAATTCTGCATCTACAATAAATGACAAAAGTATTGGGTTTTTTTTATATACTTTAAGTTCTAGGGTACATTGCACGACATGCAGGTTTGTTACATATGTATACATGTGCCATGTTGGTGTGCTGCACCCATTAACTCGTCATTTAGCATTAGGTGTATCTCCTAATGCTATCCTTCCCCCCTCCCCCTACCCCACAACAGGCCCCAGTATGTGATGTTCCCCTTCCTGTGTCTACATGTTCTCATTGTTCAATTCCCACCTATGTGTGAGAATATGCGGTGTTTGGTTTTTGTCCTTGTGATAGTTTGCTGAGAATGATGGTTTCCAGCTTCATCCATGTCCCTACAAAGGACATGAACTCATCCTTTTTATGGCTGCATAGTATTCCATGGTGTATATGTGCCACATTTTCTTAATCCAGTCTATCATTGTTGGACATTTGGGTTGGTTCCAAGTCTTTGCTATTGTAAATAGTGCCACAATAAACATACGTGTGCATGTGTCTTTATAGCAGCATGATTTATAATCCTTTGGGTATATATCCAGTAATGGGATGACTGGGTCAAATGGTATTTCTAGTTCTAGATCCCTGAGGAATTGCCACACTGACTTCTACAATGGTTGAACTAGTTTACAGTCCCACTAACAGTGTAAATAAAAGTGTTCCTATTTCTCCACATCCTCTCCAGCACCTGTTGTTTCCTGACTTTTTAATGATCGCCATTCTAACTGGTGTGAGATGATATCTTATTGCGGTTTTGATTTGCATTTCTCTGATGGCCAGTGATGATGAGCATTTTTTCATGCGTCTTTTGGCTCCACACATGTCTTCTTTTCAGAAGTGTCTGTTCATATCCTTCACCCACTTGTTGATGGGGCTGTTTGTTTTTTTTTTGTTTTGTTTTTTTTTTATTATACTCTAAGTTTTAGGGCACAAAATTTGTTTGTGTTCATTGTAGATTCTGGATATTAGCCCTTTGTCAGATTTTAGTAGCGACGGGGTTTCACGGTGTTAATCCAGGATGGTCTCGATCTCCTGTCCTTGTGATCCGCCTGCCTCAGCCTCCCAAAGTGTTAGGATTACAGACGTGAGCCACCGCGCCCGGCCTGTTAGTTTTAATAAAAGAAAACAAATATTTTTAATAGATCAAATAATAGGAAAGTTTTTATAAAGGAGGTGGTATGAAGATCAGTCTTCAGGGACTAATGAGTGTGAAAATGGAAAATGCAGAGAATTCCAGGTACACCCGGTTTCTCAGAGAAGCCCGGCATTTATCAGGGTGTTAGTAGAGGAAAAGTGGCCTTGAGTTTCTTAATCAAGTTTATGCACAAGCATTTAAGTTAGCAAATGTTTTCAAAGAGAATAATAACTTGATCTGATGTTAATCTGACGTAAGTCAGAGAAAGATGTCTTTAATTTTGCCTATATAGAGTGTACCTGGGAATTAGAAGTAGAGAGAGAATCACTTTTGAGAAAAACTAAGTTATTGTGAAAATATAGTGAGTGCAACCTCTGTGAGTGAGAAAAAAAATTCAGTCTTGAGGAAAAAATCAGCATTTAAGGAAAAGTTAAAAAAATGATTTGGAGAAGGAAACACAAAAGCATCTCTTGTAAGTGCAAGGAATATATTGCATTCCAGAAAATAAAGGAAAATTTAATATGTTGCTGAGAGGTCAAGGCAGATGAATAGTGAGAAAAAGTATATTGGATTTGGTGTTTAGGATTTATCCACCATTTTAGTAAGTTGGTAGCAAAAGCCGGTTGTAAACTGTTAATACTGTGTAGATGTGAATCAAGGTTAAGAGAGGACTACCTTTTAAGACATTTCATCATCAAGAAGTGTCATTTTTAAGGTAAAGGAACCAAGAGCATTAGGTATAAGGAAATAAATCAGTATCAAGGAACATATTGAAGTTGTAAAGAAGAGAAAGGGAAAAAGCTGGGAAAAAAAAAATCCCAAAGGGGTGTTAGTAGAGAATGCGATTAAAAATGAGTGGAGTGGATTAATTTTGGCAAAGAAAAAAGTCTTTTCCCCCTCAGCATAGAAAAGTATCCAGTAAAACTTTATAGACATAGTAAGGGATAGCAAAGTTGAGGGAGTTTACTACATATGATCCAAATTTGCTTGGTCAGATGGGAAATGGGACATCTGCTTAGAATAAAGATATTGAGTGGGATTGGGTACGTAAGGAAAGTGAAAAGGATTTGTAACAACCATTGTGGAAAAATGATGTAGAGCATTCACAATGATGGATGAAATTGTTTCCAAGTAGCAGTGTTGCCCATCTGATCTTGCAGAACATGGTTTTGCAGTTCCGGATTGGCAGTTTCTCCAGTGGCACTTGGGATTCTGGGACCATGATCAAGAAATAAAATGAATAGGTAGCATGTATGTGGTAATCTATAGTTTATAATATACAGTTACATATTGGAATAAACTGGCAGTTGGAATTAACTAGAATTAGAAATGAACAGGGTGGTAATTATGCTGTACCTTTAGTGGACACCATCTTAAAATTATTGCCTCCAAATGCACAGAGAGGCCAATGAAACCATGCCAAGGGTGTGGGATGAGGAGCTTCAGGGTCAAAATGAAGTTCAAGGGCACATTCTGTAGCAAGTGTGAAGCGTGTGGGAAGTTAGGATTTTGTGGTCAAAGAGAAAAATTGCATTTTGTTTTACAACATATGCTGTGGAAAACAAAAATCCCCAAAACTTTTATCGGGTTATCTCAATTCTTGAAAAAAATTAGCTTTGTTTTCACCATTTATTTCTGCAAATATTTTATCATATATTAAATTATTATATTTAGTTAGGTCTATTGTTAGTCTTTGAAATGTTAAATACTTTACATTAATCATCTGATATTTTTGGCTTCTCTTTGATCAAATAATTATATCTATAGCTATATCTTTGTCCATGTCCATAGTTATCCTGGCAACTATATCTATCTATATATCTATTTTTGATTGGTCTTGCACTAAATCTGTACCATTAGCTTGTGATAATTGATATTTTATTACATATAAAATTTATATTGGAAATATAGTATGCATTCTTTGTTTCTCTAAATAAAAATGCAAAATCCCTTAACATTTTAGGCCATATTAATCATGCTTGATACGTGTATGTTTATTTTATCTTGGACTTTATTAAATTAAAAAATAATTCTAATGGTTTGTCTTAATTGATTTTTTTATTTTATAGATAGAAGTTATAATAAAAATGATTGTTTTTCTCCCATTTCCAATATTATTTATTTTACTTCTTTTACAACCAATACTTTTATCATTTTTTATTGCGTCTATTTGATTCTTCTCTCTTTTCTTCTTTATTAGTCTTGCTAGCCGTCTATCAATTTTGTTGATCATTTCAAAAAACCAGCTCCTGGATTCATTGATTTTTTTGAAGGGTTTTTTATGTCTCTATCTCCTTCAGTTCTGCTCTGATCTTAGTTATTTCTTGCCTTCTGCTAGCTTTTGAATGTGTTTGCTCTTGCTTCTCCAGTTCTTTTAATTGTGATGTTAGGGTGTCAATTTTAGATCTTTCCTGCTTTACTCTTGTGGGCATTTAGTGCTATAAATTTCCCTCTACACGCTGCTTTAAATGTGTCCCAGAGATTCTGGTATATTGCCGATCCCACAGAAATACAAACTACCATTAGAGAATACTATAAACACCTCTATGCAAATAAACTAGAAAATCTAGAAGAAATGGATAAATTCCTCGACACATACACTCTCCCAAGACTAAACCAGGAAGAAGTTGAATCTCTGAATAGACCAATAACAGGCTCTGAAATTGAGGCAATAATTAATAGCTTACCAACCAAAAAAAGTCCAGGACCAGACAGATTCACAACCGAATTCTACATGTGGCTTGCGAATTATCCCAGAACCATTTGCGGAATAGGGTGTCCTTTACCTACTTTGTGTTTTTGTTTGCTTTGTCAAAAATCAGTTGGCTGTAAGTATTTGGCTTTATTTCTGGGATCTCTATTCTGTTTCATTGGGCTATGTGCCTATTTCTATACCAGTATCATGCTGTTTTGGTGACTACAGCCTTACAGTATATATAGTTTGAAGTTGGGTAATGTGATGCCTCCAGAATTTTTTTTTTTACTTAGTCTTGCTTTTGCTATGCAGGCTATTTTCTCGTTCCATATGAATTTTAGGATTGTTTTTTCTAGCTCTGTGAAGAATGATGGTATTTTGATGGGAACTGCATTGAATTTATAGATTGCTTTTGGCAGTATGGTCATTTTCGCAATACTGATTCTACCCATCCATAGGATGTGTTTCCATTTGTTTGTGTCATCTATGATTTCTTTCAACAGTGTTTTGTGGAGGACTTTTACTCCTTGGTTATATATATTCTTAAATTTTTTTTTTCTGTTGCAGCTATTGTAAAAGGGGTTGTGTTTTGATTTGATTCTCAGCTTAGTCGCTGTTGGTGTATAGCAGAGCTACTGATTTGTGAACATTGATTTTGTATCCTGAAACTTCACTGAATTCATTTATTAATTCTAGGAGTTTTCTGAATGAGTCTTTACGAATTTCTAGGTATACAATCACATCATTGGTGAACAGCAACTATTTGGCTTCCTATTTACTGATTTGGATGCTCTTTCTTTCTCTTGTCTGATTGCTCTGGCTAGGACTTCCAGTACTTTGTTGAATAGAAGTGGTGAAAGTGAGCATCCTTGTCTTGTTCCAGTCCTCAGAGGGAATGCTTTCAGCTTTTCTCTGTTCAGTATTATGTTGGCTGTGGGTTTGTCATAGATGGCTTTTATTATCTTTAGGTATGTCCCTTCTATGTCGATTTTGCTGAGGGCTTTAATCGTAAAGTGATGCTGGATTTTGTCAAATGCTTTTTCTGTGTGTATTAAGATGATAATGTGATTTTTTGTTTTTAATTCTGTTTATGTGGTGTGTCACATTTATTGACTTGCATATGTTAAACCGTCCCTGCATCCCTGGTATGAAACCCACTTGATCATGGTACATTATCTTTTTGATATTCTGTTGGATCGGGTTATCTAGTATTTTCTGGAGGACTTTTGCATCTATGTTCATAAGAGATATTGGTCTGTAGTTTTCTTTTTTGACTATATCCTTTCTGGTTTTGGTATTTCCTGGGTTCATAGAATGACTTAGGGAGGATTCCCTCTTTCTATATCTTGTGGAATAGTGTCAGTAGGATTGGTGTCAATTCTTCTTTGAATGTCTGATAGAATTCAGCTGTGAATCTTTCTGGTCCTGGACTTTTTTTGGGGGGGCATTTTTTTTATTACCACTTCAATCTCACTGCTTGTTATTGGTCTGTTGAGAGTGTCTATTTCTTCCTGGTTTAATCTAGGAGGGTAATATATTTCCAGGAATTTGTCCATCACCTCTAGGTTTTCTAGTTTGTGCATGTAAAGGTGTTCATAGTAGCCTTGAATACTCTTTTGCATTTCTGTGGTGTCAGTTGTAATATCTCCCATTTCATTTCTAATTGAACTTATTTGGATCCTCCCTCTTCTTTTCTTGGTTAATCTCACTAATAGTCTGACAATATTGTTTATCTTTTCAAAGAACCAGCTTTTTGTTTCATTTATATTCTGTATCTTTTTGCCATTGTTTCAATTTCATTTAGTTTTGTTCTGATCTTGGTTATTTCTTTTCTTCTGCTGGGTTTGGGTTTGGTTTATTTTTGTTTCTCTAGTTCCTTGAGGTGTGACCTTAGATGTCTATTTGTGCTCTTTCAGATTGTTTGATGTAGGCATTTGATGCTATGAACCTTCTTCTTAGCACTGCTTTTGCTGTATCCCAGAGGTTTTGATAGGTTGTATCACTATTATCATTCAGTTCAAAGAATTTTTTAGTTTTTATCTTGATTTCATTGTTGATGCAACAATCATTCAGAAGCAGGTTATTTAGACCAGGCACAGTGGCTCTTGCCTGTAATCCCAGCTCTTTGGGAGGCTGGGTGGGCAGATCACCTGAGGTCAGGAGTTTGGGACAAGCCTGGCCAACATGGCGAAACCCTGTCTCTACTAAAGGAAATACAAAAATTAGCCAGGCATTCTGCTGCACACCTGTAACCTCAGCTATTCGGAGTACTGAGACAGGAGAATCACTTGAACCCAGGAGGCGGAACTTCCAGTGAGCTGAGATCACACCACTGCACTCTAGCCTGGGAGAGAGAGCGAGACTCCATCTCAAAAAAAAAAAAAAAAAAAAAAAGCAGATTATTTAATTTTCATGTATTGCATGGTTTTGAGGATTCCTTTTGGAATTGATTCCTAATTTTACTCTACTGTGGTTTGAGAGAGTACTTGTTATAATTTCGATTTTCATAAATTTATTGAGACTTGTTTCATGGCCTATGACATGGTCTTCTTGGGGAATGTTCCATGTGCTAATGAATAGAATGTATATTCTGCAGTTGTTGGATAGGATGTTCTGTAAATATCTGTTAAGTCCATTTGTTCAAGGGTATTGTTTAAAGCTCATTTTTTCTTTGTTGACTTTCTGTCTTGATAACCTCTTTAGTGCTGCTAGTGGAATATTTAAGTCCCCCACTATTATTTTGTTGCTATCTATCTCATTTCTTAGGTTTGGTAGCAATTGTTTTATAAATTTGAAAGTTCCAGTGTTAGGTGCATATATATTTAGAATTGTGATATTTTCCTGTTGAACTAGTCCTTTTATCATTATGTAATATCCC
The DNA here is from genome assembly GCF_000001405.40 of Homo sapiens. Classification (NCBI taxonomy): domain Eukaryota; kingdom Metazoa; phylum Chordata; class Mammalia; order Primates; family Hominidae; genus Homo; species Homo sapiens. Next base: position 165,637,653 of record NC_000004.12, on the reverse strand, counting down.
TGTTTGTCTTTTTTAACTTCGATGCTCTAAAGTCTGTTTTGTCTAAGAATAGCTATTCCTGCTTGCTTTTGGTGTCCCTTTGCATAGAATAATTTTTTCTACCCCTTTACCTTAAGTTTATATGAGTCCTCATGTGTCAGGTGAGTCTCCTGAAGACAGCAGATATGTGGTTGGTAAATTCGTATTCATTCTGCAGTTCTGTATCTTTTAAGTGGATCATTTAGGCCATTTACATTCAAAGTTAGTATTGAGATGTGAGGTACTACTCTACTCATCACGCTGTTTGTTGCCTGAATACTTTGTGGGGGTTTTTTAAATTATGTTATTGTTTTATAGGTCCTGTGAGATTTACGCTTTAAGGAGGTTCTATTTTGGTGTATTTTGAGGATTTGTTTCAAGATTTAGAGCTACCTTTCACAGTTCTTGCAGTGTTGGCTTGGTAGTGGCAAATTCTGTCAGCATTTGTTTGTCTGAAAAAAACTGTATCTTTCCTTCATTTATGAAGGTTAGTTTGGCTTGATACAAAACTATTGGCTGATAATTGTTTGGTTTAAGGAGGCTAAAGATAGGACCCCAATCCCTTCTAGCTTGTAGGGTTTCTGCTGAGAAATCTACTATTAGTCTGATAAGCTTTCCTTTATAGGTTACCTGATGCCTTTCCCTCATAGCTCTTAACAGTCTTTCCTTCATCTGGACTTTAGATAACCTGATGACTATGGGCCTATGTGGTGGCTTTTTGTGATGAATTTCCCAGATGTTCTTTGAGCTTCTTGTATTTGGATGTCTAGATCTCTAGCGAAGCCAGGGAAGTTTTCTTCAAATATGTTTTCCAAACTTTTAGATTTCTCTTCTTCCTTGGGAACACCAGTTATTCTTAGGTTTGGTCGTTTAACATATTCCCAAACATCTTAGAGGCTTTGTTCATTTTTTAATTCTTTTTTCTTTGTCTTTGTTGGACTGAGTTATTTAGAAAGCCTTGCCTTTGAGCTCTGAAGTTCTTTCTTCTACGTGTTTGATTCTTTTGCTGAGACTTTCCAGTGTATTTTGCATTTCTCTAATTGTGTCCTTCACTTCCAGAAGTTGTGATTATTTTTATTTATGCTATCTATTTTTCTGGAGATTTTCCCAATCATATTCTGTATCTTTTTTTTATTTCTTTAAGTTGGTATTCACCTTTCTCTGGTGCCTCCTTGAGTAGCTTAATAATTGACTTTCTGAATTCTTTTTCTGGCAGTTCAGAGATTTTGTCTTGGTTTGGATCCATCAGTGGTGAGCTAGTGTGATCTTTCGGGGGACATTAAAGAACCTTGTTTTGTCATATTACCAGAATTGTTTTTTTGGTTCCTTCTCTTTTGGGTAGACTATGTCAGAGGGAAGATCCTGGACTCAAGGACTGCTGCTCAGATTCTTTTGTTCCACATGATGCTCCTTTGATGTGGTGTTCTCCCCCTTCCCCTAGCGATGGGGCCTCCTGAGAGCCGAGCTGCAGTGATTGTTATCACTCTTCTGGATCTAGCCATACAGAAGAGCTATGGGGCTCCAGGCTGGTACTGGGGAATGTCTGCAAAGAGTCCTGTGATATCATCAGGTCTCTCAGCCACATATACCAGCACCTGCTCCATTGGAGGTAGCAGGGGAGTGAAGTGGACTCTGTGAGAGTCCTTGGTTGTAGCTTTATTTAGTGTGCTTGTTTTTTGTTGGTTGGCCTCCAGCCAGGAGGTGGGGCTTTCAAGACAGCATCAGCTGCCATAGTGTAGGGTGGATATAAGCTTGCCCTAGGGTTGCCTGGATAAGTGTTAGGGTTTCTCAGATGGTGGGCAGTGCCATGGAACTCTCAACAGATTATGTCCTTTGTCTTTGGCTGCCAGGGTGGGTAGAAAAAAACATAAGGTGGGGGCAGGGTTAGGCATGTCTGAGCTCAGACTCTCCTTGTGCAGGGCTTGCTGCAGCTGCTGTGGGGGATGAGGGTGTGGCTCTCAGGCCAATGGAGTTATGTTCCCAGGGGGATTATGGCTGCCTTTGTTATGTTGTACATGGCTCCAGGGAAGTTGGGGAAAGCCAGCAGTGACAGGCCTCACCCAGCTTCCACACAGCCAGAAAGGCCAGTCTCAATCCCGCCATGCCTCCACAACAGCACCAAGTTTATTTCCAGGCAGCCAGTGAACAGGGCTGAGAACATGCCCCAGGCTATGAGCCTCCCCACTGAGAAAGCAAGCAGGGCTTTCAGGTTTCATACCTCCCCATCTGCCACAGCTTCTGTGCTTGTATCTGCACTCTCTGTTCGCTGCCTCTCCTGGATTGTGTCAAGGAAAGTTCATGTTTGGTAAAAACTGTTACAAAGTTCAGCTGGAAGTTTCCATCTACCAGTGGTATTTCCAACAAATTGACCCATTTTAAGATAGAACAAGATAATATTGAAAATGAAGCCTGAAACACCAGACCATCCACATTAAATTTGGGAGGAAAAAATTAGTCTTATTTGTCCCCTAATTGAAGAAGACCAACAATTAACAGCACAAACAATACCCAACACTATAGGCATCTCAATTGTTCAGCTTACCCAATTCTGACCAAAAAATTAAATTTGAGCAAACTTTCCAATCAGCAGTTGCCAAAACCATTGCACCCAGAATCAGCTGCCAACAATAGCTGCCATTTCAATGGAAATTTTAAATAAGTGGGATCAACATACTAAAGCATTTCCTCAAATAATTGTAACAGGAGATGACTAATTGCCACATGACTTTACCAGTATGATCCTGAAGACAAAGCACAATCAAAGCAATGGCTACCAAGAGGTGAAAATGGTCCTGTCCAGCCAAAAACAGATCAATCAGGAGCAAAGATAATGGCAACAGCTTTTCAGATACTCAAGGTATTTTGCTTATTGACTTTCCAGAGAGCCAAAAGACAATAACATTTGCTTATTATGAAAGTGTTTTGAGAAAGTTAGTCAAAGCTTTAGCAAAAAAATACCCAGGAAACTTCACCAGGAGTCTTTCTCCACCATGACACTGTTCCTGCTCATTCCCTCATCACACCAAGACAATGTGATGAGAGTTCTGATGACAAATCTTTAAGCATCCACCTTACAATCCTAATTTGGCTTGGCTCCTTCTACCTTTGTTTTCTTAAAACATCTGTAAAAGGTGCCCATTTTTTTTAGTTAATAATATGTGTGTGTGTATATATACACACATATATAAAATATACGTACATGTATATATATGATATACGTGTGTGTGTGTGTATATATATATATATATAAAAAATTTGGTTTATTTAGAAAGCCTTGTCTTTGAGCTCTGAAGTTCTTTCTTCTATCTGTTTATTCTTTTGCTAAGACTTCCCAGTGTATTTTGCATTTCTCTAAGTGTGTCCTTCATTTCCAGAAGTTGTGATTATTTTTCATTTATGCTATCTATTTCTATGAGAGTTCTGACAAGAAATCATTAAGCATCCACCTTACAATCCTGATTTGGTTCTTTCTACCTTTGTTTTCTTTCTTAATTTTAAAATATCTGTAAAAGGTGCCCATTTTTTTCAGTTAATAATAATAATATATTGGGTTATTTAGAAAGCCTGGTCTTTGAGTTCTGAATCTAAATATTGGGTTATTTAGAAAACCTTGTCTTTGAGCTCTGAAATCAGAGCTGTAGACTTTTATATATACATACAAACAAAGGTAGAAGTCATTCATATATGTATATGTATATATATATATATATGACTACATTGACATGGTTAAATTCCCAGGACTCAGTTATTTAGGGATGGAGAAAATGGCTCTTTAACTTGATGAAGCTTATGTTGAGAAACAAAGTTCATATTTTAATTTAATTTAATTTTATTTTATTTTTTAATTCAATTTTCCTTGAATATTTTGAAGCCTCCTCATATAAAATTCAATTTCCTATCATCTCAAGGTTATAGACAAAGGAATTCAAGGTAAAATAATCAAAAGTGTTATGAAAAACTTTCTTAGGTGGGCAGATAAAGGAAAACCTTACTGAGCAGAATATTACAATTTTACAGGAGTTGGCAGATCATATGCTATTTTATAGTTGTTCTTCCTACTTGTCAATATATTCTAATCAGTTTCTTTGGATTTGACCAATAAGTTTAGCCACTTTTTTTCTTTTAAGAGAGAAGAACTAAGAAGGAGTTATAAAGAGATATAACACTGACATAGGCAGAATTATTGCTTCTTCCTGATACATTTATTTTAATTCAAATTCTTTCAACTGTTATTGAAGTTAAATATGTTTCCATATATTTATTGGCCATTATTATTTATGTGTGTGTGTGTTTATATGTGTGTGTGTGAGTGTGTGTGAATTGTCTATCATGAAGTCTTTTTTGATCCCCCACCAAAAGTGATTTAATTTACTTGGAAGTTAAATAGAATTTTTTTTTGTACCTCTTTTGACACTTACTACACTTGACTTACTATTTAAAATATTTTCGTGTTTGTCTTATCTTCAGTGTGTGAATTCTTTGTGGTGTGAAATTATTTCTTTAATCTGCATTCCCTTTTTACCTAAGATAACATAATGTAGCATAAAGTGGAAGCTCATTAAGTATTTCTTGAATTATGCTGAATCATGAGTGGGTAGGGACCTGGTCTCAGATAGCCTCATCTAGTCTTTTCTAAGTCTTTAGGTATTTTTTATTTACTCTGTTTTATGAGTTTAGCAATAGTCCTTGTCCTAAGACAGTATATCGATTAAAGAAAAAATTGTCATATCATTTTTAATTTTTTGATGTTAAGCACAAGTTTATTTCAATATAATACATTATTTTCATTTCTGTCTCTTCATAAATATCTGTGCCCTTGCTATCATCATTTCTCTCTCTCTCTAGATTTGTATTTGTCCTTTATCTACATGTTGATGCTGTCTCTTGTGGCAATGACGGTTGTGTTCACCAACCTGCTTCAAGGGAGGGTCACTGCCAAGCCTTGTCTTCAGCAATTCCAACTTCCTCCAACTGCATACAAAGCCCAAAGGAACCATTAACGAACACAACTAGTTAAATAAAATTATTATATTAGTTTTAATAACATAACAGATAACAGTATTAACCTCAAGCACACAAACTTAAAGTGGAATCAGGTTGCTGACCCTGCCATTATTCTAAGTATATATGAATAAATGTTGTAATCAAGGGAACATGTGACTAAATAAAGCTAAAAATACTATGCTATTAGAAATGGTGAGGTTAGAATCTGTTTGTTTCTCCATGGCTTAACATCATGATGTCTAGAGAATTCAGTTTTGTCATTGCTACTTATAATCCTTTAATACACTGATAATAAAACAGAATGAAATACTGTGCTCGAATGGATATAAACTAGTCCCGTACATCCATGGGTCTGCAACAGCTGAACTTCAGCAGGTAGCAAGCAGACGATATTAACCGGGTTGTGTGAAGTCCTACAAACCCACACAGAGCTGGTTGCCATGGTGGTGGCTAGAACAAAACTAGCAGCCAAAAGCTCCATAGACAGAGAAGGTCAAAGGATGCCAAGTGGTGCAAAAAAAGGCAGCTGAAACAGATCCTTTTCAAGTGGTGAATTGTCTCTGATGATTAGGATCTGGAGTCTGCTATCAGAGATCAGGCAAGCAAATCTCTTGCCAAGAGAATGTAATTTGAACAAGGCCTGTTTCTATTTTTATTACACAAGAGAGCCTGTCATTAAGAAATAATTAGCATTTCTTGCCAGGTGGGCAAATCCATCTCTTTTGATGCAACATAGGTGCTTTAATATTCTAAATGTAGAATATCAGACATGCAGAACCCATCTCTTAAGCCTAGAAGAAACCCAGGGCAGAAATACTTGACTTTCAGAGCAGAAACCTGAAACCCAGAATGTTTATGCATAACTTGTCAGAAATCACAGCTACTAAATAGAAGGATCAGGGCAGTAGCTGCCATAGGTCTTCTAATTGCCTGCCCAGGGCTTTTAGGAGTGTACCTTACCTTGTAAATATACCTTCCTAGAGCCTCTCTGGTAATGGCTATGGGACAAGTTGCCTGGCCCCTGGCTCCCATCATGCCACACCCACACTCACACCTCTACCTCCAAACAATACCCTGACAAGCAAAGCCCCAACCTTTAAAAGACAAAGATTTTGCCATTTGCAAGAAACATAGCTAGCATCTAAGAGTCATCGTGACTCCCCAGTATGTGTAAAAAGTTCTGGCTGCAGCCAGGGAACAACATGATCTGCTACCCTCTAGAAATACCAAGGACTGTGTGTCATGTTCGAGTTTTTGGTGAGTACAAGAGGGCTGTCCTGACAAGCCTCAGTAGCACGAGTGAGCTGCATGTCCCTCAAGTGATCTTTCCCCCAAGAGAGAATGTCAAGAGAAAGTTCATCTGTGGCCAGAAATCACCCAACCCAGATTTTTAGGTGCTCTTTTTGAAAGTCCAAAATATTGTCCTCAAGCTAGACCTAGATTCTAATAACCATACCCCTAAAACAGGGCTCTGAGCAGGCAATTGGCTTTTTCCTTGCTGCTTCAATTTAGGAAACTGACTGAGAGGCTTCCTTTCTCAGAGATTTGAAAATTGTCACTACCCTTTGATGCCTGAGATATATTAGAGGCAGCTGATACACATCCCCTTCAAGTGGTGGATGTTCCCTGATGATAGGAATCTGGATGCTGCTATCAGAGATCTTGAACTGTCTGTCTAAAATACTGTGTCTAATCAGTAGTCCTGAAATTATTCATTCATCAAGTACTAAAAGAAGGCACACTTGGCATAACTTTCTGCTGATGCTAAGCACTGTGCAGACACCAGAATCCAGGCAGGACAGAGAGCTTACCATCTCCTTCTAGTCATAGATATAAGGATAGTTAGCAAAGCACTTTGAAGGTTTTATACAAATTTGTTTTAGGTAGAGGCCTGAGGAAGTCAACATTTAGGAATAATTAATATATTGTATTCTGATCTAAGAGAAATATTCTGACAATCTAAGAAACACAATATAATGATCCATCCTTATGTACATTCTTGCCAAACACAAAAAAACTGTCAATATTCATCAAAATAGAATTTTTAATTTTTTTTGCTTTTTTTTAAATTGAGCAATTATCAATTTTTTAAAGACCATACGGGTCAGTACTAGTTCAATGGAAACAAGCGTGAGCAACAGGTAAGTGAAGAGATAAAAATTATAAATGAATGAAAAAGCAAACCCTCAGATCAGGCATCCTTTACCTAATAAAGGTTCAAATGGCAGGGACAGACTGGCACTGACAAATGACAATGCTGAAATTACCAACAGTCCTCTTTGAAAACCAAACCTATGGCTTTGAACACTGTACATTACATTAGCAATAAAGATTTCTAAATATTTTTTCAAATATCAACATAAGAAAATGTTGACATGATATCAAACTGTAGTAATGAATAAAACATAGTATACATGAACTGTACAAATAGTCTTGTCTACTTTGATAATTGTGTTGAAAACATTCAGGTAGTCCAACATAGATATAAGAAGCAGCTAAAATTCCCACTGGGTAACTCTTTTTATTGTATTTATTTTAATACAGGAAAAGGCTACAAATGCCTGCTTCTAATTCTCCCTAAAATTAAAAATTTATGTGAAGATTCAGCAAAAAAATAGATAGAAAGGAAAATATGTGTACGTGATTTCTTTAGAAACAAATTCTGATCTAATTTTAGAGATCTGGGGTGTGTATTACTTTAGGAAATGTTTGTTTTTAATATTTACACTTTGTAATTTTTTTCCCCAATCACTAGGATCCTTTAAGTATGTTAGGATAAATGTTTATTTAGCAGATACCTAGAGTACTAAAAGTCTAGAGCACTCCAAAAGATTCTCAGTTATCTTTTGATTGATTTAATTTGTAATTACTGTAGTGGGTTGAATAATGTCTCCCCAAAACTTCTGTCTATTGAGAACTTCAGAAAGTAAGCTTATTTGGAAATAGGGTCTTTGCAGATGTAATTAGTTAAGGATTAACATGAGATAATACTAAATTAGAGTGGGCCCCAAGTCCGATGAAGTGTCTTTATAAGAAACAGAAAAAGGACACACAGACAGATCAAGAAGGCCATATGAGGAGGGAGGAAGAGATTGGAGTTATGCTGCCACAAGCCAAAGAACACTAGTAGCCACCAAGAGCTGCAAGAAACAAAGAAGGACTCTTCCCTACAGCTTTCAAAGGGAAAGTGGCTTTCTGGCTTCCAGAACTGAGAGAGAATAAGTTCCTATTGTTTTAAGCCATGGTTATTGCAATTTCTTATGGCAGCCATAGGAAATAAATGCAATGGGCATAATCCATTCCAGTGTCAAAGTCTTTCTTTGATGTAAGTTTAGCCTGTAAGCCGACAAATCTGTTCCCTTTACTATTAGATCTCAATTTAACACATTACTGAATTGGTTGTAAATAATGTGTAACAGTGGTGCTCAAGAATTAATTCTTTTTCCAAAGGTCCTTAAGTTGAGGAAAAGTTAGTTCACTAATAAGATGTATCCTAGATCTTGTTACTTACTGCTATTCTTCATGTTTCCTCCTCTTTAAATACTTTTAAAGTTAATTTTAAAGTTATTTTAAAACTAAAGCTCAAAATTAATTTGCCCAAAATGGCAGGCTTAATGAATTAATATTTTTCAAAATACTATGTTTGTTAATCTCAACTTAGCCTTTACATTTTACAAGATGCAATAATCAAATTTTTTTATGTAAATGATATTTCATCTCTTGAAAACTATCAAAGAATAAAGAGCAAGCTCTACACTTGCCATAGGCAAGGTGATCTCAACTGTCACTTTACAGGTTGTACTTGAGGGGGACTTTATTTAATCCCTCCTAATATTTCCTGTGGTGTGTAAAATGACTCATTCAGGCTTTGCCATTCCAGCGTTCTTTTCTTGCCCAAGAACCCGTAAAGGCTGGCTTTCCAACTGGGCTTCCTCCAGGCCTCTTGCCCCGTCAGAGTGTCAAGGCCAGCAGGAGTTCAGTATCACTTACCCTATATTGGATCTTGTTCCTACCAACTGTATTATTCTTTTATTATTATTTTAGGTTGTCACCTAAAGGGCATGTCACTCTTATAGGTAATTCAATGGTTCTAAGCCGCAGTTGCAGGAGCCTTTACGAGAATATCTCTTTAAAAATCACAGGGCTGGTTGGCCGGGCGCAGTGGCTCACGCCTGTAATCCCAGCACTTTAGGAGGCCAAGGCGGGCAGATCACGAGGTCAGGAGTTCGAGACCAGCCTGACCACCATGGTGAAACCCCGTCTCTACTAAAAATACAAAAATTAGCCGGGCGTGGTGGTGTGTGCCTGTAATCCCAGCTACTCAGGAGGCTGAGGCAGGAGAATCGCTTGAAGCTGGGAGACGGAGGTTGCAGTGAGCCGAAATTGTGCCACTGCACTCCAGCCTAGGTGACAGAGTGAGGCTCCATCTCAAAAAAAAAAAAAAAAAAACATAGGGCTGGTTATAATTTCCTGCCTACAAAAGTCACCAGGCCAGATTACAGGTCCTATGAAAATAAAATCAAAGCAATACTCCTTACCAATCATGTATTAGAATACTTGAAGTCAGACAAATGCTTTGTTCTTTAAAACGGAGATATGTCTAAGTTTTGAGAAGGCACTCATATCATTAGTCTCACATGATGATCTAAAACAGGGAGCTTCTCAGTCATGATTTCTTCAATCTTCTGAGGACATAAAGTGTGATACTCCTTCCAGAGGGGTAGGGTTTCTTCTCAGTTAGCCTCTAAATTCAGGTGGATGAGATCAAATGAATGTGTTGACATGGGCAAGGCCAAGGAAATCCTTAAAAAAAAATAGCAGCCCCTGCCTTGGGCTCCTGAAACATGCAGTGCAGAACAAAAACGAAAGCACAGGACGCCATGCAGAACGAGTGCTCTCTTCCGTACTACAATCATATCTCCCAGAATCTAAGGATCCATTTTATAAGTAAGAACAACAGTTGGTTCCTGTCCCATAATATGTCAAAGTATGTGGCTGGAAAGATGAAATATCAGCAGAATTAAATGGTACCCCGTGGGTTCCTGATAACTAGCATAAAATATATTTGAATCACTTGATTTTCCTTCTTCTGTGACTGGTTAGCAATGTAAATTATAACTACATTTTAGGATGTTTATGAGCTCTACTTTATACTGAGTAGAAGTTTGAACTATAACCAAACTCCTTAACGTGGTGTTTAAGATCTTTCATAATTTGACGACTTCTTACAGCTTTAATTCTTTCCCAGCTCCTCCCCTTGACTCTTGGCTCCAGCAAATCTGAAGCTCTTTCATATTAGGAAGAGCTGTGCTAAGTGTAAGGTTACAGCAGCTGGCCAAACACCATTCTTGCCTTCAAGAAATTAACAAGACTTATAAGTACAGTAACAGTCCCTATACAGGAGCACAGGACACCTAATCTAGTCTTGGAGTAGTAGAAGGCTTTCTAGGGAAAATATCTGTAGCAACATCTGAACAATAACCAAGGGTTAGGCGATTGAGGTTGTGTGGACAAGTATTCTTTACAGAGAAAACAGCCTGTACAAATTCTTGGCCGTCAGAAGTTCCTTATAAACATCACAAACATTCTTTAGTTTATCCACAGTTTAATTTGTCCATGGTTTCTAAGTGCCAGTTATCGTGGGTGAATTTAAAGTGAGCTGTCAATATGAGTGTTCTCCCCTGTATGTTCTCTTAAGTTTGATCAGTTTCCTATGCTCAAACCAGTTCTACAAAAATGAGAAACACACCTACAGATGTAAGACCGGAATGTTGTAGGTACTATTTTGTGAATTGCTATGCCCCAAGTACAGTATTCTTCCCTAAACAATAATGCCTGGCCCCATGTGGCTCTGTTAATTGTTTTATTTCACTCACTTTTCAAATTGTTCTCACTCTTCATTAGATTGAAAGCCTGCGATCTCCATAAATGACAAGTCCTGAAAGCAAACTTAGCTTTGAGCAGCTGTTTCTCTTCTGTAACTTTTTATATTTCATACAGTTCAGCTTCATTGGTCTCCCTGACAATATCCCCATTCAAAATACAGAAGTAAAGCAGAAACAATGTTATCAACCACACGTGCTAAAACCATGATGTTTCTCCACCTCCATATTGGCCTGACCCTTCTCATTTGTCATACCTTGGCCTCGTCTCAACTTCCTCTAGACATCCCCTATGCTATTGGAAAAATATGTTGGAGGAGAACATGGCAAAATACGGCCCTTCTTTGGCTAAATATACATGTGTAATACACATATATGTTCAGAAACTAAGTAGGCAGAACTAATTTCACATATACCACAGTGGCACCATATCTGGTCTCCATAAATGTCAGTTATGCAGAAGAATGAGCTTGGAGTTGGTCCAGAGACTAGAAACTCTTGTATGTTCAATTCTTGGCATTTTCTTTTGACTTGCAACATTATGTTTCACAAACATTTTATCCTTTGTGGCATTCAATTGTCCTCCTCTCTTAAGTGGCAATAATGGCTTCCTGGTGTCCATTCTCACGTTGTGTCTACTTCCCAATTTCTGTGTACAGTTTACACTGATTTTGATACGTGTTCAATTTAGAGAGAGGAAGGAAATATACGTACATGAGGAAAAAGCACAGCTCTTTCTGGTTTGTAAAACTACTTGATTAAAATCAGGATATGAGGTACATATTATATTGTCCATGTAAGCCCATTTTGATTGCCAAAATCTGATGCTGAAATATGCCCACATATTTACCCATCACTCGTGGCATTTACCATATACTCCAAAAGATAAAATACCGTGTTATAATGCTAGAAGTTTTGCTAGGAAGTATCTACATTCTTCAGTTTAAATTTTAAAATAAATTTCCTCTGCTAAGAATAAAGATACAAAAACATAAATCAGTAGACTTTTTTTAGTTCCAACAGTAAATAAATTCTGATTTTAATTACCTTCATTTGATGCCTGTTTTTTTAAAAAGAAAAAAACAATAAAATTAAAACAAAAATCTGTGGCAATGCTTTTCTTCAGAAGAGCTCAAAGAAATCTATAAATACTCCTTCAACCATTTCTGGTATTCTAATTTAAAATGTTCCATCATGCAAGACTTACAAACAATTGTTTCTTACAAAATTACTTCCCGTACAAAGTTTAGTATCAGCTCTTATAAGTCATTTCCTATGATTTCTGAATCATTTGGTGAATAGTTATGCATCTGTGCATAACTGAATGACCTAAATCACTTTAACTTCTGATTCAACATGCCCCTATTTCATTTTTATATTTAGTTCTATTTTCTTCCCAAGTTTCAATGTCAACATAGAGCAAGGATATTCATAAAAAGTCTTTAAACTACGGCTTTATTGTTTACTTCCTCAAATAAATTTTGCATCTTTTCTTCTGCTAAATTTCTGGTTTTTTGTCTTCTAAGCCATCTTAAACCTGCAGAGGAATCTCAAGATAGGTTGACTAGTTTGACCTCCTAACAAATGTAGGGATACCTTTTAAAATTCCTTGGCAGGTAATCCAGACTATGAACAGTTCCAGAACAGAGAACTCACTAAATCACAATCAAGCCAATTTCTTATATTCCAAAATCAAGACATATGTGCAATTCCCTATGCCTAATGAGAACAACCTACTCCAGGTCTCTGCATGGCTTGGTCTCTAGATACATTCAATTATTGGCTTACATGTCACATTGTCAGAGAGACTTGCCAATTATTCTCTATTCTCTTACCCGTCTTTATTTTTCTTTATAATACTATTACCTGACATTATACTCTAGGTCCACTAATCATTATCATATTAATTATATCATGTCATAGTGTATCATATTATTGGCCAATTACTAAAGGCCACAGAGAATATAAGCTGAAGCTCTAAGAGAGCAGGAACTGAGTTCTGTCATCATTGTATCCCCAGCCCCCAGAAATGCCTGGTATATAGGGAATACCAGGAATATTTGCTGACTGATGGAATGTTGAGCTGAAAGGGGCAACCCTATAACTTTCATCCACTGATCCAAGTTCTGCTTTTTTAGAATCACATAAGAGTGAACATTCTTCCACATAACAGCCAACACCCAAATATTTGTAAACAGTTTTCAAACCCTTTTCTTTCAGAACTATCAATCATACATCAGGCAGTAGAGAGCATTTTCAAGAGTATGATATTAAAATACGTTTTTTTCACATCAAAGCAAACAACCAGAGAAGTGAATTTAGGGATTATGAGTAGGGGTTTACGGATATTAGAGAAAGTACTGTGATTTGGGGTTAGAAGATGGAACTGGGCAACAGGGAAGGAATCCAGACTGTTGCTGTTTCTCTTATTTAAAGAATGTTATAAAGTGAAAATGAATTGCTAACCCGATACTACAGTTCTTTGACAGAGTAATATAAATTTCAACATGTTGAAAGAAGAGCCTCAATGTTAATTTTTTCTTGACAAAAGTTTTCCATTTTACATAGGGAATTAACATCTAACCCTAGTTTCTTTATCTGTAAATTGAGGAGATAGACAAGATTATCTTCAAATTTTCTGACAGCTTTGAAATTATCTTTATAACTAAATTCCACCTAGTGAATAAGTAATCCCATAGGGGACACAGTATTCTGCTGAGATTGGAGATGAGGAGCTGGCTGATGATCTGAGGGACATAAAAGCTCTGGAACTGAATGAGGAACTTGAAAGATAATAATAATAATAAAGAAGATATTAAGCATCCGTGGAGAACCTATTTAGAAGTACAGAATTAGAGTAGACCAACATTTCACAGGTTGGGGTGTTTGCTGATGCTATCTGGACCAGGAGGAGAGGGCACAGAGCGTGTCATGCAAGTGACTCGAGCCTGAGGCTGGGCAAAGCAGAGGCCATGAGATTCTAAGGTAACCATGAGAGTGGTATTCTGGTCATGGGTACATCTTGAGAGAGAAAGTACAGCCAGAAAGAGATAAATGAATTGGTCAGATTGAGAGAAATGAGACAGGGAGAGTAAATGAACATTTTCTTTCAACAAGAACATACATGGCAGGAAGCTAGAATATGCCCTCTAACTATTTACTCTGACAGATGACTATGATGTATGTCTGTTCTTTACTCCTTAACTCTTTATAATCAGTGCTGACTCTCAAAGTATCTTAAATACTTGTGTATTATAATTATTTCTAAAATCTCGTTCTTCTTTGAGGCATCTTAACTCTTATTCTGCTTTAAAATAATTCTGTATTTGGAAAATTTTCTCTATTTGTATTCAGGTTTCAATGAATGTCATGAAAATGACTAAAATTGGGTAGTTGCATATTATCCTGTATGCTTAGCATGTATAACTCAGCTTTTTAAACATTTTCATATAGCTTTTTTACTGAAGGAAGTATAGCATATTCTCCATAATCAATGATAATGGAAGAGGAGACTAGTATGGATAAATTAGATACACAAACCTCATTATAGTCAATAGTTTGAAGGTTCTCTTTGACAGATATTTACCAGACTTCCTAGCAGGAGCAAAATTATTTGGTTTTCAGTCTCTTTTGATTCCCAGAAAAGCAGGCAATCAGGGCTAGGTAAGGGCTAAGTGTGGATATTCTGCCACAGAGTCTATCGTATGTTCAGTGACGACATCCACCGGGCTCACCTGTGTGCTGCTCTCTTCCCTCCTGAAAAATCTTAATCCACTTTCTTTTCCTTCGGAATGTTAGCTGGCACTATTAATCAAGCAGCCTTCAGCACACTCATCAAGTTATTTTTATTTACATTCTTAATTTTCTCTTTAAATTATCTCCATCTTCTCTGGTTTTTGTTTAGTTTTGTTTGTTTGTTTTTTGAGATGGGGTTTTGCTCTTTTTGCCCAGGCTGGAGTGTAGTGGCGTGATCTTGGCTCACAGCAACCTCCACCTCCCCTGTTCAAGCGACTCTCCTGCCTCAGCCTCCCGAGTAGCTGGGATTACAGGCATGCGCCACCACGCCAGGCTAATTTTGCATTTTTAGTAGAGACGGGGTTTCACCATGTTGGCCAGGCTGGTCTTGAAATTTTGACCGCAGGTAATCCACCTGCTTCAGCCCCCATAAGTGTTAGGATTACAGGCATGAGCCACCTCGCCCAGCCTCCATCTTCTCTTTGGAAAACTGGTCCAGCACTGGGGTCTCAAATTTAACATAGCACCTTTTTTTTTCCCTCTCGCCTGTTTCTAAACCTCAAATCCTCTTTGCAGATCTCTACTTTTCATTACTATTTTTCTTTTTTCTAAAACAGTGAGCGTTTCTCTAATGACGAGGCTGTGGCCCAGGCTTTGTTACCGTTCCTTACTCACAAACACCCGCATGAGAGCCCTGTCATCCAAATATTTACTGATGGCAGCCACAATTCCTTCCTCTTCAAGTTCCCAGTGAGACTTCTTTTCCCCTGCCAACACTATCTTCCACCAGATAAAGTCATTGTTACCTGGAGGAAACTGGTTTCCTGTCTGCAGTTTGCTGAGTCACATCTAGCCATTACTCTGCTATGATCATCCAACTCTTTTTTTTCCTTTTTGCACCACGTACTACATACAGTGCGTCTCCTCATCCAGTTCTGTAAGGCTTCCTTAGCCAAAAATGAATCTCACCTTTTACATCATGGGTCCTTCTTTCAAATTCCCACTGGCCATTTATCTCATCCACATTCTTTCTCCACCTACTCACTCACTCCTTTCCTATTTTCTCCAATTATCTGGGAGCCACATAAGGAAGCATGACTGTCCCAAACTTGCCAGTTTAAAAAATAGATGCCCTGGGCCTGGCGCGGTGGCTCACTCCTGTAATCCCAGCACTTTGGGAGGCCGAGGCAGGAGGATTACCTGAGGTCAGGAGTTCAAGGCCAGCCTGTCCAACCTGGTGAAACCCTATCTCTACTAAAAATACAAAAATTAGCTGGGCGTGGTGGTGGGTGCCTGTAATCCCAGCTTCTTGGGAGGCTGAGGCAGGAGAGTTGCTCGAACCTGGGAGGCAGAGGTTGCGGAGAGCCAAGATCATGCCACTGCACTCCAGCACTCCATCTTCTGCAACAGAGGGAGACTCCACCAAAAAAAAAAAAAAAAGCCCTGACAAGGTAGTTAAATTATCTAAAATTATAGACCAGTCAAGTGTTCATATACTCTAGGTAGTGGTGACTCCCTGCAGTCATGAAAGTAACATTGATGTTTTGGAAACAAAAACTGTTGGACAACCTCTTGTGAACATGTTTCATTAAGACTTTAGGTGAACAGTGAACACTTGGCTGATTATTTACTATGCCTGCCCCACCTGAGTCCGAAAGTGTAGACAGCATTAGCCCCATTCCAAAGGGTGCAGACCAGAACATAATAAAACTCAATGGCACAATTGCTTGGCTCCTTCAGGCCTTCTCCCCTAGAGCTCAAATATCCAGCCCGCCCCAAGGTCTTGGTGAGTGAGAAGAATCATATTTCTTAGAGCTGCGTGACAGATGCATCTTCCTCATTATTTCATCCTCAACAGGTTTCCTCAGCTTAATGTCCAATTCTCTCTTTTCCAATAAAACATTTTGCAGCAAAGTCAGGAATGAAGCCCAGTATTTCATTTAGAGATATCTCAAATTCTGGCATACCTCAGAGACACTGTGTGTTTGGTTCCAGACCTCTGCAATAAAGTATCACAATAAAAAGAGTCATACAAATATTTTTGTTTCCCAGTGCGTATTAAAGCTATAATTACACTATATTGTATGTATTAAGTGTGCAACAGCATTAGGTCTAAAAAAAGCAATGTATATGCCTTAATTAAAAATTACATCATTGCTAAAAAAAATGCTAAGGATCATGTGAGCCTTCAGAGGTCATAATCTTTTAGTTAGTGGAGGGTCTTGCCTGCCACTGCTGACTGATCAGGGTGGTGGTTGCTGAGGGTTGAGGTGGCTGTGGCAATTTCTTAAAATAAGGCAATAATAAAGTTTGCCACATTGACGGACTTTCCCTTTCTTGAAAGACTTATCTTGTAGCATGTAATGCTGTTTGATAGCATTTTACCCACAGTAGAAGTTTTTTCATTTTTTAATTTAAAGTTCCAGGATACATGTGTAGGATTTGCAGGTTTGTTACATAGGTAAACATGTGCCATGATGGTTTGCTGCACCTATTAACCCATCACCTAGGTTTTAAGCCCCACATGCACTAGTTATTTATCCTCATGCTCTCCTCCTTCCCCTTCCCCACAACAGGCCCTAGTGTGCGTTGTTTCCCTCCCTGTGTCCATGTGTTCTCATTGTTCAGCTCCCACTTATAAGTGAGAACATATGGTGTTTAGTTTCCTGTTCCTGCATTAGATTGCTGAGGATAATGACTTCTAGCTCCATCACATTCATGCAAAGGGCATGATCTTGTTCTTTTTTATGGCTGCATAGTATTCCATGGTATATACATACCACATTTTCTTTATCCAGTCTATCATTGATGGACATTTGGGTTGATTCCATGTCTTTGCTATTGTAAATAGTGCTGTAATAACAATACGTGTGCATGTATCTCTATTAATAGAATGGTTTATATTCCTTTGGGTATATACTCTGTAATGGGAATGTTGGGTCAAATAGTATTTCTGTCACTAGGTCTTTGAAGAATCACCACCTTGTCTTCTGCAATGGTTGAACTAATTTACACTCCCACAAAAGTGTAAAAGTGTTCCTTTTTCTCCACAGCCTCACCAGTATCAGCTGTTTCTTGACTTTTTAATAATCGTCATTTTGACTGGTGTGAGATGGCATCTCACTGTTTTGATTCACATTTCTCTAATGATCAGTGATGTTGAGCCTTTTTTCATATGTTTCTTGGCTGCATGAATGTCTTCTTTTGAGAAGTGTTGTTCATGTCCTTTGCCCACTTTTTAATGTTTCTTTTTCTTGTAAATTTGTTTAAGTTCCTTGTAGATTCTGGATATTAGACCTTCATCAAATGGATAGATTGCAAAATTTTTTTCCCATTCTATAGGTTGTCTGTTCACTCTGATGATAGTTGCTTTTGTTGTACAGAAGCTCTTTAGTTTAATTAGATCCCATTTGTCAATTTTTGCTTTTGTTGCAGTTGTTTTTTTTCAAGAAATCTTTGCCTGTACCTATGTCCTGAATGGTATTGCCTAGATTTTCTTCTAGGGTATTTATAGTTTTGGGTTTTACATTTAAGTCTTTAATCCATCTTAATTCTTGTATAAGGTATAAGGAAGGGGTCTGGTTTCAATTTTCTGCATATGGCTAGCCAGTTTTCCCAGCACTATTTATTAAACAGAGAATCCTTTCCTCATTGCTTGTTTTTGTCAGGTTTGTTGAAGATCAGATGGCTGTAGATGTGTAGTCTTATTTCTGAGATCTCGATTCTGTTCCATTGGTCTATGTGTCTGTTTTTGTACCAGTACTGTATTGTTTTGTTATTGTGCCTTGTAGTATAGTTTGAAGTCAGGTAGCATGATGCTTCCAGCTTTGTTCTTTTTGCTTAGGATTGTCTTGGATATATGGTCTCTTTTTTGGTTCAATTTGAATTTTAAAGTAGTTTTTTCTAATTCTGTGAAGAATGTCCATGGTAGTTTAATGGGAATAGCATTGAATAGTGATATTGATTCTTCCTATCCACAAGCATGGAATGTTTTTCCATTTGTTTGTGTCCTCCCTTATTTCCTTAAGAAGTGGTTTGTAGTTCTCCTTGAAGAGGTCCTTCACTGCCCTTGTTAGCTGTATTCCTAGATATTTTATTCTCTTGGTAGCAATTGTGAATGAGAGCACAATAGAACTTCTTTCAAACTTGAAGTCAATCTTCTCATATCCTGTCATTGCTTTATCAACTAGTTTATGTAATATTCTAAACTCTTTGTTGTCATTTCAACAATGTTGGCAGCATCTTCACAGAGAGTAGTTTCCATCTCAAAAAAAAAAACACTTTCTTTGCTCACCCATAAGAAGCAACTCTTCATTCATTCACTCCACTTCTAATTCTAGCTCTTTTGCTATTAAAACCACATCCACAGTTACTTCATCCACTAGTCTTGAACCCCTTAAAGTCATCGATGGATGATGGGATCAATTTCTCCCAAATTCTAACAGGAATGTTCATATTTTGATCTCCTCCCATGAATATCAATTGTTCTTAAGGACATCTGGAATGGTGAGTTTTTTCCAGAAGGTCGTCAATTTACTTTGCCCAGATTCAACAAAGGAATCACTATCTATGGCAGCTATAGACTTACAAAATGTATTTCTTAACTTATAAGACATGAAATTTGAAATTACTCCTTGATCTGTGGGCTGCAGAATAGATGTTGTGTTAACAAATGTGAAAACAACATTAATCTTTCTGTATATATCCATAAGAGCTCTTGGGTGACCAGGTGCATTGTCAATGAGCAGTAATATTTTGAAAAGAATCTTTGTTTCTAAGCAGTAGGTCTCAAGAGTGGGCTTAAAATATTCAGTGACTATGCTATAAACAGACTTGCTTTCATCCAGGCTTCATTATTTCATTTATAGAGCATAAAGTACTTCGGCATAATTCATTCAACTTGAAGTCACCAGCTGCATTAGCACCTAACAATAGAGTCAACCGGTCCTTTGAAGCTCTGAAGCCAGGTGTTGATTTCTTCTCTCTAGCCATGAAAATCCTAGATGATGTCTTCTTCCAATAGAAGGCCATTTTATCTACATTGAAAATCTGTTGTTTAGTGTAGCCACCTTCATCAATGAGCTTCACTAGATCTTCTAGATAGCTTGCTGCAGCTTCTCCATTAGCACTTGCTGCTTCACTTTGTACTTTTATGTTATGGAGACAGCTTGTTTCCTTAAATCACATGAACCAACTTCTGCTAGCTTCCAACTTTACTTCTGCAACTTCCTCACTTCTCTCAGCCTTCATAGACTTGAAGAGTTAGGGACTTGCTCTGGATTAGGCTTTGGCTTAAGAGAATGTTGTGCTGGCTTGATCTCTCATGCAGAGCCCTGAACTTTTTCCATATCAACAAGAAGCCTTTCTTATTATTTGTGTGTTCTCTAGAGGTGCACTCTTAATTTCCTTCAAGAACGTTTTCTATGCAATCACAGCTTGGCTAACTGTTGGCACAAGAGGCCCAGCTTTCAGCCTATTTCAGCTTTTGACCTTCCTTCCCCATTTAATCATTTCTAGCTTTTGATTTAAAGTGGGAGACATGCAACTCTTCCTTTCACTTGAACACATAGAGGCCATTGCAGGATAATTATTTGGTGTAATTTCAATAATGCTGTGTCTCGGGCAATAGGGAGGCCTGAGTACATGGAAAAAGTTGGCAGAAGGGCTACTTGGTGGAGCAGTCAGAACACACACATACATCAGTTAGGTCTGCCATCTTATATGGGTGTGGTTCATGGCATCCCAGAACAATTAAATAGTAACATCAAAGATCACAGATAGCAGATCACTGTAACATAAAAAATAATAATGAAGAAGTTTGAAGTATTGTGATAATTACCAAGACATGATACAGAGACATGAAGTGAGCACTGCCGTTGGAAAAATTGTGCAGATAGACTTGCTCGACACAGGGTTGACACAAACCTTCAATTTGTAAAAAACACAGTATCTGTGAAGCACAATAAAGTGAGATGTCCCTGTAGGTGGAGAGAGTTTCAGTGTCTTGCCTTGCAAAGCACTGAGCCATGCCTTTTATGGCTCTGCTTTAGATATTCAACTTCACACTCCCTCAGATAAAATGATGAGCGGCAGTCAATGGCATGTTTCTTAAACAAGTCTCAGATATTCTATCTGACAATGCCCCACAATGTCCAGACATAACTTGGGCAAGTTTTAGGACCTGTGATAGAACACAAATTCCTAGGTGAGAACACTTTGATTAGTTTTCTATTGCTGCCCAACAAATTATCACAAACCTAGTAGCTTAAAACAAGACAAATGTATTATATTATCACAGATTCTGTGGGTCAGGATTCCAGCACATTTCTGTTGCATCCTGTACTCACAGTCTCATAAAGCTGCAATCAAAATGTCAGCCAGGACTGCACTTTAAGTTTGGCTTAAAGTTCTAAGGCTTAAGTTCTTCTTCCAGGCTCTTTGGTTGTTGGCAGAATTTGGTTCCTTTGGCTAAAGGACCAAGGTACTCTCTTTCTTGCTGGCATCACCTGGAACCTGCTTTTGGTTTCCTGGAGGCCACTCATGGTTTCCTGCATGGCCTCTACAGCATGGCTCGTTGCTTCTTCAAGGCCAGAAGGGCAGCAACTCTCTTGCTGTCTCTCCATCTATCCTGCTATGATGAGGTCTTCTATACCATAATGTAATCACAGGACTGACAAGTTCATCAGGGGCACAGGTGCCACCAATAATCAAGCAGAGGGGCCTGTACAGGACAGGTACACTTGGTGGGAAGACGTAATGCCTCAGAGATCATCTCAGAATTCTACCTACCTCAATGGAACCATTGAGGGAAGTTTCTTCCAGAAGAGACACAAGTCATCCATTTTTCTAAGGTTATCACAGTGGACAATTAATTAGATTAATCAAATCACAAATGCAGCAATTGCTTTTGTCAGTGCACAATTTTTCAACACTGTGAGCCTCGTGGGATGTTCAAGTTGGGTGTGAGAGGCCTATAGGAACTGTTGTTCATAAATTGAATGCTATTTTGAAAGTCTTCAAGAGAAAGAAAATTCAATAATTTATGCATGGGCACTAAGTATTTTCATTTTTGGCCTAAACCTGATAAGAATTGAAAAAGCAATTGCCTTAAAGTTTTTGGGCAAGGGAGATTCGTTGTGCTGGTAGTTCTAGCTAAGCTTTGAGGAGAAAATTCAAAAGATAATCCTCCAAATAGTCTAGCACTTTTAAGGCTCTTTGAGTTTTGAATTATCAACAGCCTATCATAAAATTTACTAAAATTTTAGGCTAAGCCTGAAAAATTGTGGTGTTTGAAAGAGAGCAAAATCCTAATAGTCCTCCTCACTGGTATTTAAAAGTTTAGGCTAGCAAAGCTTACAACTACTCTATGTATGTGTTGCATACATGGAGAAAAAATGATTAAAATATTCCAGAGAGGCTAGGTGCAGCGGCTCACACCTGTAATCCCAGCACTTTGGGAGGCCAAGATGGGTGGATCACCTGAGGTCAGGAGTTCAAGACCAGCCTGGGCAACATGGTGAAACCCTATCTCTACTAAAACTACAAAAATTAGCCAGGCGTGGTGGTATGTGCCTGTAATCCCAGCTACTCAGGAAGCTGAGGCATGAGAATCCCTTGAACCTGGGAGGCGGAGGTTGCAGTGAGCTGAGATCGCACCACTGCACTCCAGCCTGGGCCACAAAGTGAGACTCTGTCTAAAAAATAAATAAATAAATAAAAGCCAGGGAAACATATCCAATTTGCAGTGCTAGGGTCACATTAAGTAAAATGTAGCATTTTTTTGTTTAATTTTTTTTATGTTATTGGATAAAACTTTCCACAAACTGTACTAGATTAAAAGACATTTTCTTCCCACAATATGTGTGTTTTGAGGTTTCAATATGTGTGATTTAAACAGTGCCAGCTTAATCAATTAAAGCAGCAAGCTAATACCTCCCTAGGTTGTGAGATTGTGTACTGTTAAATGGTCATCAGTCTTCCCCAGAGTACTGATGCAAATTCTCTTTCTACCACTGCCAATCCATTCTTACCATTATTTGCTCAGGGAACTCAGTAGGAGTATGATGATTCAACAAAAACCCACCAAGTACTACCAAGAAATGACTCAATGCATCTAATCAATAGATACTGGAGCAGTAGCTTTATCTTTGAAAATAAAGGCATCACCTTCATATTTCAACCTTAAGTAAAATGCTGCAGGTTTTTATTAGTATTTTCTAGTTTGTGCAGTTTGTACCAATTCAGTTACAGCTGAGAATTCTGGCAGTTTTTCTCCTTGTCTGCTTAGGTTTGGGAGGCTTTTTTGTACCATGGAATCTTTCACCATCAAGCATCTCATTCCATGCAAAGTCTGTAGGGACTCGAGAGCCAGAGATGTTGCTGGCCACAGCTCCATGAAGGACTTGGCTTGCTGGCATTGTTGTTGGCTCTTCAGGAACTTCTCAACAGTGTCCAGGCTTCTCCAGCAGTATCCAGCCTTATCCAGACCTCCTGAGGGTGTATGCAGCCAGTTTGACTGCTCTCGCTTTGTTCTCAGCATTCTTTTATATCTGTAGCTCTTTGGATGGTGGCAGATCCCAAAGTTGAGTTTAGATTGCTCCTGTTGTTTGGTTCTGTGCTAATCCTAAGTACATGTCTTTTATTCTATACCTATACAAATCACAGATTCTGAATCTCTGTCTTGGGATGTGTAATCCATATCCAATGTCAGAGGACATAAAAAATAACATAAGCATATTTTTCTATGCATAAAACTATTCTGGGAAAGCATATTAAAAAACTGCAAATAATTGTTGCCTTTCGAGAGGAACGCCAGAGAATTAAAGATGGAAAAATTATTCTTTTTTATATACTCATTCTATTTGAATGTGTTCTATTCATTTATTTAATGAATATTTGTACATTTAATTTTTTCCATTAAAAAGAAAATGAAATTTAAAAATATTGAATAATCCAAAGGAGTCCAGTGTTGTTTGATTTAAGAGGAAACTAGACAGGTTCACTGATGTACATTTATGACAATTAGGGCCAAAGTGACAAACTACCTCTTCTTCAGCAAGGAGCATTTCTTCATTCAAATAAACTCTTATCAAATACTCTTCTGAGTGCTATGAAGATTCTAATGAAACACTATGTTTCCATTTTGGGCCTCCAGGAAGCAGAGATGTGACAGGCACATGAACAAATGAGTAGAACATAAAGCAGTTAATGGTTAAATACCAGAGTCTCACTTTGGCACTCAGCGCAGAATTGTTAGCATCACATTCTTATGGGTTGAATTGTGTCTACTCCCTCAAAAAAAAAGTTACATTGGAGTCATAACCCCCGGGACCTCAGAATGTGACCTTAATTGGAGATTGTGGCTCTTTACAGAGTAATCAAGCTAAAATGAGGTGATTGGAGGGGGTCCTTATCCAAAATAATTCATGTCTTTATAAAAGGGGGAATGTGGACATAAGACAGACACACATAGAGGGAAGATAATATGAAGACACAGGGAGAACATAATTTACAAGCCAAGGATGCCTGAAGCCACCAGAAGCTGGGGGAGAAACCTGGAGCAGATTCTTTCTCTCAGCTTTCAAAGGAACTAATGCTACAAACACCTTGATTTTGGACTTCTTTCCCCTAGAACTGTGAGTCAATAAATTTCTGTTCTTTAAGTCACCCAAATTGTGGTATTAATACTTCATTCCAGCAGCCTTTGGAAACTAATACACATACATTTATTTACTATAGTTAAAATGAAAGTGAACCTTCTCATTCATCCCTAAACTAGACTAGAAAACAGAAAGCTATGTAGGCAAAACTCAGTTATGCTAATTGTAGTTTCCTTTCTCATCAGTGGTTCTCAGCCAGAGGAGATAGGCCACCCAGGGGATATTTGGCAACGTCTGGAGACATTATTGGTTGTCACAGCAGGGGGAGTTGCTACTAGCAACTGGTGGGTCTACAGGCCAGGGTTGCTGTTACACAACCTACAAGGCACAACTCAGCCCCTCACAGCAAAGTACTCATTGATAAACTCAGTTTCTGATGATATCAGACCAATTTTTTCTTTATACATAATGAACTGCTATTTTCATTCAACAAATAGTTGAGTGCCTACTGTATTTCATGTGTGTGCACATAAAAGGACCTTTGTTAAAATATATATTCACTTAAATGTCATGAACAACAAGTGCAATGTGAGACGCCACATGCTACAAAAAGTGATTCCTCTGCCAGTGTCATGCTCGTTTGCTTACCGCACCATGCTTATTTAACTAATGTGACGTTCATTATTCTGTTACAGTTTTGCAATTTAAAGTAACATATCACTCCTTCCATGAAATACCTTCTAAATCCTCTGTAATAAATTAGCATGTGTCTGAAGAAAGTAACTGTTCAGAAGCTGGTTTGGGATTTCCTGTTATTGTAAACCTTGTGGGAGGTGACCCAGGCTCAGAGAAAAGAAATTAACAGACAAGCTGCCCGCTACATTCTAACGGACTGGATTGAGACCACATATTTGGTGGTCTCTCTCCTGGTCTCCTGTGCAGTCTTCCTCGTATAGTGTATCTGTCTTCCTAGTTCACAAAGGGATTAAAGCTTTTGTTCGTCCTTTTGAAATACTCCACATCCATCTGACATATATTTAAATGTTTTTGCTCTACTGTCAGAAAAAGTTAAATACTGAATCTTTCTTTAGATAACGTGCAAAGTGTTAATAGGGTTTTTTTTTCTTTGATGAGTTTAAATTCAAATTTCAAATTGAGATGACTGGTGAAAAGATGTCATGTGGTTTCATATAAATGCCTGATGGTCTTTTATCCACATTAGCCATTGTGTATTTGAATCTGATGGACAGTTTTTCTTAAAAAGAAAAAAGATTGGGTCCTAAATAACCCACAGATCAGAATAAAATGCATTGGCAAGTTTGCTTCATGCTGTTAGCGTTTACTCATTTATTTACCATCCAAGTTTATAATATATTTGACTAAGAGGAATCTGTCAACAGCTCCTGCTACCTATGAAAGGGGACCATTTTCTTCCACATAAATGTTTTAGAGCCATTGACCTAATTAATAATAACTCTAAGTTGAAGAGTTTAAATATTAAACTCTTCAAGTTTACAGGGTAATGATTTATTGCAGACAAAAGAAGTTGGGTACTTTTCAAAATTGAAGAACAAACACCTATATTATATACAACAAAAGTGTTGCATTAACTCAAGATATTATGACCTCATGTCACATTTTCAGTTGAATATTATGTCTTTGGAAGAATGTTATAAGCCATGTGACAAGCGTAAATGGAATGAAGAAATCTTTCAACTCCCAGAGGTAGGAGGTCCAAGTCTTTTTGTTTTATATGTTTTTTATAGTGCTTTCGCTGCAGCTTTGAAATGCTGTAAATAAAAGAATAAATTTTAAATGCCACCTAGAAAAACGTTTGTATGTGTCTGCTGTTTACTTATTTGTTTGCTTGTCTCTTGGGAGCATGAGCTCCTCAGGACTCCTGTCAAATACCAGTCTTATTCCCAAAAAAAACAGTGTTTCCTCAGGGAAAATAAGTAAATCCTTTCACCATCACAGAATGAGAAATAAACTAAAGGATGACAGAGATGCATGGAGTGTGTAAGCTTTCATATAAATGCTGTCAGCATAAATTAGGTGTGGTGAGGAATAGAGAAATAGCAGTAGCACCAGAAAGAGTTATGTGCAGGCTTAAGCTGAAAAGAGAATGAGAGAATAAAAAGACAACAGTACATAGTGTAAAGCTTGGAAAGGGCAGCCTGCAGGGAAAAGAAATGTGAAAGATTTTATTGTCGTGCAGGACACAGAGCATGAACAGGCTGCAAGAAAAGGAGAGCGCCAAAGAAGAAAGTCAACCAGAAATAAAAAGTACAGGACAAAGGGCTCGTGAATGTCTAAGGATTCACAGCAAAAGCAGCAAAGCCTCGTTAGAGGAACTGGAATTGAATAGAGATTGAATGAACCTGAAAAGGGGTCTGAGCACACTCTCTAACACAGAAAAGACAACAACAATAGGTGAAGATACACAGGTCACAAAAGCAGCTTTGAAATGCTGGCATCACCAACAGGGTTATTCCCTTAATAATAGTAGACACAGAACTACTATAAACTCCCTGATGTGAAGAGCTCAATGATGTAAAATGAAACTGAAACCTCTATAATATACATCTAATGTATTCTTCTATTTAAGTGATGTTCTTATCAGTTTCATTATTGCAGTCAATTTGATTATTGTCAAAGTATCCGTTTTCATTAAAGTTGCCATGTAAATCTCTAATTCGTTTAGCATCTAAGGTAGAAGTACTTGAGTGGACTTCTTTGAATAAGTGATAGCAGTGATGACAGATAATGGTGCTACTTTGATTGCTTTTGTTTACACTCTTAACTACTATTAAAAAGGACAGATTAAATATATAGCACCCCAAAATGGCTACATGAAATTGTTTTTAACTTGATAACCTCCCTTCTATGGAAGGTGATAGGTCCTCAAGCAGTCAGAGAAATTGAACTGATTTACTTATCCTCACATTACCCTGCTCCAGATTTTCCTTATCTTGTTGATTAGAGTCAGAAATTGCTTAGCGGTGGCTGACAATGCGTATATTATTTCTGGCACAACACAGAACAACATGGAAAAGTTCCATTGAGTTCTTTATGGCCAGTGAAAGTATTCTTGGGCAAATATTTTATATTCATGCAGGGCTTGTTTTACAACAGGTATTTATTCAGTCACTCATCTCATATTCATTGAGTTAAAACCTATGATCTGGCAGATACTGAGCAATATTTTCTGCCCACCCAGATCTGGGCTCATATTCTAAATGCAGCTCCTCTAAGGTTCCTAAAACTACAGATTAGCATAATCTATATGCTATTGACATTTAGAGGGAGATGTAATCACTTCTAAATGTGAAGTCCAGTAAGGCATCACGGACGAAACAGAGGTGGAATTGGTTGGAAGTGCCTCAAAAGGCATGTGAAGGAAACTAATGTTTGTGTATTACATGCTGAAATAATGTAATAAACAGAAGTGCAGAATTTAGAAAGAAACTGTTTAGGTAGGAGCCATTCAAGGTTGGCTAGAAAGCAGGATACTGTGGGGAAAGCAGAAGAGATAATGCATGGGGATGGGGGGTGGGGAGTGGTTAACAAAAGAGGCCAAGCCCTCCTCAACAGTTTGAATTGTATTTAGCAGGCGACGAAGAGCCAGTGAAAGCTCCTGAGCAAATGAATGACTTTAGTAGGATACTTTTTAAACAGTATTTTGAATGGACTGGCAAGAATATCTGCAGGTACAAAATCCTACAGACTATTCTAGCAATTCAGATATCAAATTTTATTGGAAACGAGAAGCACACAACTAGTTTAAAAGTTGCTGATGGCAAGAGCATTACTTTTTGTATCCATGGTGCCTAGCATGTTCTGTGAAGACACAATGTTTTGCTAAGTGGTAATCAGAGGATTAGGAGATGGATCAGGAGCATCCACGGAAAAAATGAAAGCCAAAGGATAATCAGCGCCAGGTGCTGTGGCATGGCTAAGAAGAACCAAGCTGGTAGATGGCCAGTGGATTTTATAAGAAGATCACTAGAGACAATGAAGAAAAAAGCAAGGAGTTAGCCAGTGGGTTGAAGGAAGAGGAGAGGCAGAGAGTCTTGACTGCTATTTTAAGAAACTTGAAGGAGAAAGGCAAAGAAAAAAGACACTCTTTGGTATAAGGTAAATAATACATTATTATAAAGAGCTTTGTATTTCAAAAGAGACGTGTACCTGAGAAAGATTTAGATGATGGGAGAAAACCTAGTGTTCAGGGACAATGAAGGCTCCAGCAAGAGAGCAATTAACTAGATAAAATTGAAGAGAAAAAATCCAGTAATGAATGTTTGTTAAGCACTATTATAAACTGGGAAGTATGCTAAGCAATGGAAATAAGAAGATGAAAATAAATAGTTTCTGCCCTCACAGAATTTATAATCACAGGGAGAATCAGATAAGATGAACACACAAATATAACACAATACTGGCTTTATTTAAGGCATGTACCAACTGTAGTAAGAGCAAAGGAAAAACCAAAGAGAGTCTGGGGAAGTTATAGAGGTACCAAGAATTACTTTTTTCCTGCTAATTGAATTATTATATTGTTTTTGCAGAATCATCCCCACTCTACCAAATCTGCATGGTTTGGTACAATTGACCATGATCTCCAGCATCATGATAGGCACCTGGCCCTGGGCCAGCCAATCAGAGTAACACATCCTTCAGGGACGTCCAAGGATGGACATGAGACCCAGGCTAGGCCAAATGAAATCCTCCCCAAAACTTTTAACTCTCAACTATCAGGAAAGAGCCACTCTCTCTTTTAAAGATGATATACCAGAGCCAAGCAAGCCTTGGCTGCTGGAGTCCCTTTGCCAACATAAGGACAGAGCCTGCCTGATAATGAAGTCAACCAAGAGGAATAAAGAGTAGACCAAAGAAGAGGAAGAAATATAATAAAAAGGACAGACTTCCAACAACATTTTTAATATTTCTAAGACCTCCTAAGACTTTGTTCAGTATAATCAGAGGCAACAAGCCCATGCCATTATACTCATTAGTTTGATAAAAATGTGCCAAACACGTGGTCCCTCAGAACCTTGCCTCTTATAAGTATTTGATTAGCAGTACCCAATGGTATTATTTATGTGGTACTATTGCCACATTATGCCATGGAAATCAATGCTCTCTTTCCTACTGGAAATAGAGTCATTGGCACCTTTAGATCTAGTAAAATTAAAGAACCAATTCCAGAAACCCCAGAACCAATCAGGAAAACTTATCCTTAAGATTCTGTTCTGAATAGAGAACCCAAAAATAACACTACACACCTGCAGCCATCTGATCTTAGACAATCTGACAAAAACAAGAAATGGAGAAAGTATTCCCTATTTAACAAATGGTGCAAGAGAACTGGCTAGCCATAAGCAGAAAAACTGAAACTGGACCCCTTCCTTATACCATATACAAAAATTAACTCAAGATAGATTAAAGACTTAAATGTAAAAAACAAAACTATAAAACCCTAGAAGAAAATTCAGGCAATACCATTCAGGACACAGGTGTAGGCAACGGTTTCATTACAAAAACACCAAAAGCAATTGCAACAAAAACAAAAATTGACCAATGGAATCTAATTAAACTAAAGAGCTTCTACACAGCAAAAAAACAAACAAACAAAAAAAAAAACTATCATCAGAGTGAACAGACAACCTACAAAATCGGAGAAAATTTTTGCAATCTATCCATCTGACAAAGGTTTAATATACAGAGTCTACAAGGAACTTGAACAACTTTACAAGAGAAAAACAAACAACCCCATTGAAAAGTGGGCAAAGGACTTGAACAGACACTTCTCAAAAGAAGATATTCATGCAGCCAACAAACATATGAGAAAAAGCTCAACATCACTGATCATTAGAGAAATGCAAATCAAAACCACAACGAGATACCATCTCACGCCAATCAAAATGGCTATTATTATAAAGTCAAAAAACAGCAGATGCTAGCAAGGTTGTGGAGAAAAAGGAACACTTTTACTCTGTTGGTGGGAGTGTAAATTAGTCTAATCATTGTGGAAAACAGTGTGGAAATTCCTCAAAGATCTAGAACCAGAAATACCATTTGACCCAGCAATCCCATCACTAGGTATATACCCAAAGGACTATAAATCATTCTATTACAAAGATACATGAACACGTATGTTCATTGCAGCACTGTTCACAATAGAAAAGACATGGAATTAACCCAAATGCCCATCAATGATAGACCAGATAAAGAAACTATGGAATACTATGCAGCCATAAAAAGGAATGAGATCATGTTCTTTGCAAGGACATGGATGGAGTTGGAGCCATTATTCTCAGGAAACTAACACAGGAACGGAAAAACAAACATTGCATGTTCTCACTTACAAGTGGGAGCTGATTGATGAGCACACATGGGCACATGGCAGGAAACAACACACCCTGGGCACCTGTTGTGGGGGGAGGGTGAAGGGAGGGAGAGCATCAGGAAGAATAGCTCATGAATGCTGGGCTTAACAGCTGGATGATGGGATGATCTGTGCAGTAAACCACCATGGCACATGTTTACCTATTTAACAAAACTGCATGTCCTGCATATGTACCCCTGAACTTAAAAGTTAAAAGAAAAAAAAAGATTCCATTCCTCTAGAACCACTCTCAGTGCCAAAATCTGTATCAGTCAAGGCTCTCCAGAGAAACAGAACAAACAGAAAAGGAGAGAGAGATGTATTTTAAGAAATTGTCTACATAACTGTAGAAGCTGGCAGATCTGCAATCTGCATGGCAGTCTGGCAGGCTGGAAATGCAGGCAAGAGTTGACATTGCAGTCTTTAGTCTGAATTGGGGCAATCTGCTTACTCAAAGTCTACTGATTTAAATGGTAATTACATCTAAAAAACACCTTCACAGCAACATTTAGGCTGCTGTTCGAACATAAACTAGCCAAGTTGGAACAGAAAACTTACCATCACCTCCACACAAAGACTTGAACACAAATGTTTATATCAGCCTTATTCATAATAACCTTACACTGGAAATATCTCAAATGTCCATCTGCAGGTAAATGGATAAACAAATTATGATAGATCCTTACAGTGAAACATGTCTCAGTAATAACAAGGGCAAGCTATTGATACAAGCAACATAGATGGATCTCCAAATTGTTATGCTCAGTGAAAAGCCAAACAAAAAATACGTATTTTTCCATTTAAATGAAATTTGAAAATATTCAAACACATCTATGGTGACAGAAGTAAGCAGAGCAGTGCTTACCAGAAAGAGGAGGTGGAAGGAGGAATGAATTCTAAAGGAACATGAGACAATTTGGGAAGATGATGGTAATGTCAGTTACTTTGATTGTGGTGATGGTGTCATGTACACACGTGTCATAATTCATTGTGGTAGGCAGCCTGTAAAATGACCCCCAGTGATCCCCACTTCCTAGTATTCATGCCCTTGTAGAGTCCCTTTTTTTAAGTACTGGCAGCATTTAGTGACTTCCTTATAGTGAAAAGAATGTAGTAGAAGTAATGATGTCACTTCCAGGATTAGGTAACAGAAATGATGTATGCTTTGATCTTGAATTCATTCTTCTTCTCTCTCTCTTTCTGTCTTCTTCTCTCCTTGACTCCCTTCCTCCTTCTCTGTATTCTGTCTCCTTTTCATGACAATCTTGGTCTTGGGGAAGCAAGCTGTCCTGGAGAGGTTCATATGACAAGGAGGGCCCTAATGAGTGAGCTTGGAAGTGGATCTCTGAGGCCTGCCAACAGCCATGTGAGTGAGTTTTAACGTGGATCCACCCTCAGTTGCACACGGAAGTACTGTGACTCTGGCCAGCACTTTGGCTTCAGCCTTGTGAGAGACCATGAGCCAGAGTACTCAGCTAAGCCCAGATTCCCAATTCACAGACATGGTGAGAGAGAAAAATGTTTGTTGCTTTAAGCCACCAAGTTTCAGACTATTTTTTAAATGAAGCAATAGATAATATACTTACAAAATTTTATCTTTCACATCACTTAAGCATCAATAAAGCTGTAAAGAAAGAAAGAAAATAAAGAAAAGAAGGGAGAGGAGAAGGAGGAAAAGAAAGAGGGAAGGAGATCTGAGGAAAGATAGAGAAAGAGATGAATAGAGGGAAGGAGGGAGACAGACAGAAAAGGAGGATGGACGAAAGAAGAAACTTTAAGGCTAGTTGTAAGAACAATTATTTATGATGATGAAGTCCCCAAGACCATGGAAAGAATAAGGATGGAAAGGAAGAATATGATATGCTTGCTAATGTTCTTGATAAATATGTCATTGTCCAGTTTTTGGAAGGGAAGCTAGAAGGTTATCTAGTTGGAATACTTAAGTCTTAAAGAGGAATAGTTTAGAACAAGAGTCAAGTATAATGGCTTAGAAACAACACTAAGAAGATGCCAACTCCCACTCCTGACCCATGAGGTACTTGAAATAGAGCAGGAGCGTCTTCTATGAAAGATGGCTTCATACAGAAGCCAGGGGTAGGCATCAGTTAAGGCACAGACCTAGACAGAGTGTTTGAAAAGCATATGAACAGGTCAAGGAGCATGAATTCCCACAGGCACAGAGGAAATTGTTAGGTGGAAGAATACCAGTGGAAGATGTATTTAGGGAGAGAATTGCATGGCAATGTTTGAGTTCCATTACAGGAAGAACTGTTAACTAGAAAGGCGTACATTTGGAATACATCCAAGGAATGACAGGATAAAATATCCAAATCAAACACAGGCAAAAGCTGTTATGATTAAGGGTAGCATAGAGGATTTAGTGCTAGGAACATGGGAGAGCCATCTTTTCCTTTAAGACAGGAATGGATTGTATATACAACAAGGTTTATACAAAAAGACATTTTGAATCACTGAGAAGAAACTGAAGACAAGTGGGAATTCAAAAGCTGGAACCTGAGTAACTTAATCTGCTACATGATTTTACCCCTTGTATTCCATGGTCTGGTAGACTCTCTTAATTACCCTCTCAACACCTGTTCTCCCCTTCTTCCTTACAACCAGAACACCAATTTTATTCAGGTTTCTAGCCTTCAGGGAAAGAAATCCTATCCACAAACCACAGGTTAATCCTGGTTAGTCTCCACCAATTGTGGTTATCCTATTATCTTGACAATGGGTGGCTTAGTAACAGGCATGTAACCCAGTTTGGGACAACGAGACAGACATAAGCGAAATCTCAGGAGTAGAAGAAAGCCTGAGAGACATTTTCTCATTCTTAAACTAGCATACAAGAATATAGCATTTCCTCTTTCTGTTCAGTCTTGCTGTGTCAGGGTGCAATGCCTAGAACGAGGACATCTTACGACTTTGAGAGAGGCTAGTCTAAGGACCCAGTTAACTGGGGATGGCAGAATGGAAAAGTAGAAATAGCACAGAATTAACCAAACCTGTAAATGCTTACCTCATAATATTTTGTTATTTTGTTTGTCTTTTAATTTGCAGTTAATGACATACTCATTGACTTTTTAAAAATACCAACTACATAGTAGGTTAAAAAGTGTGACAAGAAAAATAGCTCATGGTCAAAAAGTGTGGAATATCATGTGTAATATACATTTAGACCATTTGGAAATTTGTTATTGGCAAGTAACAGAAATTTAAAAAGGACATTTATTTCCTTCATATTAAATCAAAGAGATAGTTCTGGCTTCAGACATGGCTTAATCCAAGGCTAAAATGATACATAGCCTTTATGTCTCAGCTCTTCTCCATGTTAGCCTCCTCCTCAGGCTCCACATGGTGTCAAGATGGCTGCCAGCAGTTCCAAGGCTACATTTTAGGGGTTGTTTTTCTTAGTAGCTCTGACATAAATCCCTGAATTCACTTTAAGGTCACATACTTGTGCTTGCTCATTCCTGAACTGTGGCTAGAGGAATGGAATTATAGTGCAGCTTGCTTATATTAGGGGTCCTCAGCCCCCAGGCCAGGGACCTGTACCAGTCCATGGCCTGTTAGGAACCTGGCCATACAGCAGGAGGTGAGTGGCGGGTGAGTGAGCAACACCACCTGAGTTCCGCCTCCTGTCAGATCAGCTGCTGCATTAGATTCTCATAGGAGCGTGAACCCTATTGTCAACTGTGCTTGTGAGGGATGTAGGTTGCATGCTCCGTATGAGATTCTAATGTCTGATGATCTGAGGTGGAACAGTTTCATGCCAAAACCATCCTCCCACACCCCCACCCCCCTGTGCATGGAAAAATTGTCTTCCACGAAACCAGTCCCTAGTGCCAAAAGGTTGGGGACCACTGTTTTATGTGACCACCCCTGGAGTCAGGAGTGGAACCACAACTGAATGTAAGGACCAAGATGGAACAGATGGAGGGGCTGCAGGAGTAATTACCTAGAAGAAATGCATGGAACTGTTTACTGAAGAAGGAGGAATGGGTGTCGGGCAGGCAAAAACATGAAATTTTCATTTTGGCTACCCAAAAGCCCACATGTGCTTTCCAGAAGAAGACAATCCAAAGGTCATCAAGTAATTACATTACATTACATTCATGCTCACTCCAGGATCTCTGGGTGGCAAGCATCTTTCCCAGTTTAGTCTGGACATGGATGCTTGTGGTCTAGCCACCTATACCACAAACACAACCACACCCTTTGTTGGATAGTAAGTAAGAACAGGAAGTGCCGAGGAGGACCGGCGAGATAAAGCTATGTTGTCTTTTATTGTATTTCCTATGTTCTCACCAATACTTGCACTAATCTTTCATTGAGAAGAGAATTCAACTTTTCCAACCCTATGACTCCATGTTGTTGGGCTTTCAGCTTATTGGATTAGGAAA
Organism: Homo sapiens; assembly: GCF_000001405.40. Taxonomy (NCBI): domain Eukaryota; kingdom Metazoa; phylum Chordata; class Mammalia; order Primates; family Hominidae; genus Homo; species Homo sapiens. Next base: position 165,602,621 of record NC_000004.12, on the reverse strand, counting down.
AGTAGAAAGAAATTTGTCTTTTAGTAAAAATACATTATTTTGCTATTTTTATTTTGGCCACAGATTCAGACTATCTTGTCTTTTATAGGGGCTTACTGAGGTATATGTGAAATATTTATATAGTTATATAATGTATGTTTTACTTTGCATGAGGTATAACAAAGATATGTAATGTCAACCTTGAGTAGAGCAGTCCTCAGGGAGATTTCACTCAACCCTGGAACTCCATCAATCTCACTATTACTCACTTGTCATCCCTATTCTCGTATCAATTTCTAGATCAATTGGGAATCTTTCTGTTGTGTCAGAAAACCCTACCTAAACTGACCTAGCAAAAACAGAACAGATTGACTCAATAACAGAAAAGTCAAAGGATGTATGGATTTAGAGGAGTTGACCCAGGAGTTCAAGCAATGTTACCAGTATTCAGACCCTCCTCTGCTCTGATTCCCTCCATAATAACTTCCTTGCTCAGGTTCCACAAGACTTCAGGATAGCAACTAGATACCTAAGCCTAGATTAAATGTGGAGGAAAAGAGTGGATTCACTCTCCAACCTGGAATTATATGCCCATGCTTGAACAAAATATTGTCCAGGAAAATGAAATTACAGTACCTGGTCACACTTAAATCATGCAACCACCTTGAATCCACCCCTGTGGCTAGGAATATTCACTAAAATTATGTCAAACAGACAAGACGGGGAGAGGTTTACTCAAAGGAAATTTGAGTACCAGTACCAGAGTGAAGAGTCATGAATATGGACAAAAAAATTAAAGATGTCCACTATGATCTCCTTCCTGGATATTCTGAATGTGCATCAGTATACTGATGTCAAAGACATTTGTTTACCTTTGTTTAGCTCAGCATTTCCCAGTCATATTTGACACCATATTCTGTTTACTCTGGGCAACTCATGGGACTAGTATTTAGTAAACACTCTATCAAATTAAGTAGGAGGCAAAGTTATCTCTTGGAAAAAAATAGGAGAAGGAATATGACAGAGACTTTAGGAGTATGTATAAAGTGTTAATTCATTGTTATAGAAAGTGCAGCATGGAGTTCATGAGACTGAAGAGGGTAGTTCGGGAAGAGTGACAGGCCCATTGAAATTAGGTCATCTGACTCCATTATGAGGTTTGTATGACTCAGCTTAAATGTTTCACAGCTAGGAGTGACAGAATTGAAGATTGGCATAAAAAGCTGAGAGAAAATTCAAGGGGTTAAATGATTCGGGAGGCTAGAAAGAGAAACATCAAGATAACTTGTCAGGAAGCCTGGATGAATAAAGAGGCAAGTGAAGAAAACAGGATAAAGTGATCTGGTTGAATGCAGACGGTAAAAGCTCTGGACTGTCAACTTGAGAAAATATGGGAGAATCAAAGCCATAGACACATAAGGCAAACCACAAGCAGAGGAACTGGAGCCGTGATGGTGCAGATGTTCAAAGAGATAATGGACTAAATTGTGGCTATTCCATGCAGTAGATTAAATTTAGAGAAGAAACTCCAAGATTGAGGTATGATATTATTCATCAATGTAGACATGCAACTCATTGGCTCAGTGAAGGAAAAAAATCAATGTGTTAAGAGAATCTCTTGAAGGTCAGAAGAAAAGAGGGGAATGACTCACATGGTATAGACTGTGCAAAAGAGACTTAGTCAAGAAAATATTTGTTGAGTTCTTATTTAGTGTATCCTTTGCTAGGACTGCCATAATGAAATACCACAGAATGGGTGGCTTAAAAAGCAAATTTATTTTCTCGCAGTTCTGGAAGCTGGAAGTTCAACATCAAGGTGTTGGCAAGGTTGGTTTATATTGAGGACTCTCCTTAACTTGCAGATGGCCATCTTCTTCTGGTGTCTGCACAGGGCCTTCCCTCTTTGTGCACACATGTTGTCCTTCTTACAAGGACAATCGCTATGTTGGATTGTGCCCATCTGTATGACGGCATTCTACTCAATTACCTTTTTAAAGCCACTTGTCCAGATAGTCACATTCTGAGGTACTAGAGTTTAGGATTGCAATGCATGGATTTCAGGGGGACACAATTCAGTCCGAAATGCTTAGTACCTAGCGCTGTGTGAGGCACCAGGGATGGAACAGTACATGAGACAGTCATGGTCCCCACTTCCATGGCACTTACATTCTAGCAGGCAAACAGCAATCACACCTGAATACTTACAAGCACAACTTGAAGAATAAAGGGTAGGAAGAGCATTTAAGAGGGGCACTTAACTCAGTCCAGCGGTTCTCAAGACTGGAGGTAATGTTGCTACAGGAGACACATGGCAATATCTGAAGACATTTTTTATTGTCACGAATTAGAAGTACTGCCAGCATCCGCTAAACATCCTGCAATGCACAGGACAGCTCTCCACAACAGACAACTCTCTGGTCCAAAATGCCGTAGTGCCGCTGTTGAGAAACCCTGACCTGTAAAAACGCTGGTCTGTAGGGTCATGGAAAGATCCCTTGAACCAACTTCTGAGGCATTTGTACTAATTTACTGGGCGAGGCAGAGTAGAAATGGAATTCTACGCAGAGATAACAGCCAGTGTGGAAACCTTGAGTTAGTAAGGAACGTGGCTCACGTGAATGGAAAGAAGGCAGAATGTGAAGCACCAAAAGGGAGGGGGAAGCTGAAATACAAGGAGGTACATGAGCCCAGCTCATGCACACCATAGAGGCCATATCTAGGATGCCAGTCTTTATTCAGATGGTAAAACAAGGGGTATGAAGGAATAAAGAGAAGATGAAACCTCCTCCTTTTGTGATTTAGTGATATGTTTATAGTAAATCTCCAGGAACTGGTGAGAAAAGAGATGTTATTTGTGATGTGCCAAGTTAGTTACAGAAAGGAGAAAAAGAACAAGCAGGGAAATTTTTGAAGTATAGAAGATCAAGAAAGTATGAAATACTGTTTTGCATTTGGAGAATCCAACAATTCTATGGGCATAGAGCAGACATTGCAAAGAAGGAGCGGTGAGGGATGAGGAAGTCTCATGAAAGGATACGTGTTTAGAATTCATACTATAGGCCAACGTTGCTCAGACTCTAGTTTGGGTAAAATCAACTAAAGTATAAATTCCTGGGCCTAGTGTGAATGTGAATTCTCTTGTGAGAATTCTAATTCTCAAATCTGAGTTTAGCTCCAGAAATTTTCACTTAAAAAAAAATTCCAGGTGAGTTTAGTGAAAATATCAATGCTATACTTATAGAAACTCTGCAGAAAAGAAACATGATCTAATTTTCACTATAGAAAGTGTCTGGTGGCAATGTAAAGGTTGATCTTAAGGGAGGGATGCTGAAATTGGAAGCAGATAGACCAGATAAGAGACTGCTACTATAGGTCAGGTGACTGAGAAGAAAACCTGAATTCAATAGCAGCAGTGAAAGTAGAGAAGGGGTGGGAGGAGTCAAGAGAAATGTAAGAGGTGTAACTGACAGAGCTGATTACCTGGTGGACTGTGGTCATAGGTGACTTCCAGGTTTCCAACGCAGATTATGGTATAACAGTGGCACCTTCAATTACAATGGAAATTCAAGGCAGGAATCAGGTTGGAGTGTAGGCAAACAGTGATAAGAAACACTGTAAACAAGTTGCTTTTAGAGTTCCTTAGTCCACCGGATATTTTTCTTAGTCCCATTGATAGAAATGGGGACTAGTGCTTAGAGCAGACATCTATACATTAGATGTAGAATTGCAGTCATTTGTGTGCAGATGATTACATAAGCACCAGGAGTGGCAAGATTGCTCAGAAAGAGTATGTAGACTGAGAAAAAGGGAAAGCCAAAATGGAGTACACCAACAGTTAGACACTGAGCACAGGAGACATTGGTTGAGGAGACACAGACCAATGGGAAGGGACAATCAGGCAGAGAACAAATGAAGGAAGATGGGGAAATTGAGGAAGGAAGGATTTTCATGACTGTTGCCATTTCCAATATGCTGATAAATGAGAAGAGGGTAGAAAGAAATCTAGGAAACACTACAATTATAATTGTGTACATTTTCATATTTACACAATTATAAACAATAGTTGTACCTATATAATGCCTACTATACGCCAGGTACAGTTCTAATATATACCTTATTTAAACTTTACTAAACTCTTATGAAATAAATACTACTTATTACTTTTTACCAATAAGTAAACTGAGACACACAGAGGTTAAGTAACTTGTTCAACATCATACACTAGTGCCATACAGCCTGACTCCGAAGCCCATGCTCTTAACCTTTATGCTATAATCCCTTTCTTTCTCTGTTACAGAACTTACCATACTAAGAAGGATTTGCATTTCTGTGTGTTCCCTTCTGTAACAGCACATACACAATACTTAACATATATAGTAAGTGCAAAGCAGTTATTTGTTGAATTGAATTCTCTGTATAGCTAAAACCATGAAATAAAAGGGAACCTCTTGTAAAAGAACAGAGGGGATAACTTCTATTGAATCCGTAAGTAGATGATGTTTCTGGGCAAGTAAGGTTTGGCGCAAAAAAAGGGGGGAGAAGGAAGGGAGGGAGAGAGAAAGGGAGGGGGAGGCAGGAAGAAAAAAGGGAAGGAAGGAAGGGAGGAAGAGAGGGAGAGAGGGAGGGAAGAAGGAAGGAAGGAAGGAAGGAAGGAAGGAAGGAAGGAAGGAAGGAAGGAAGGAAGAATATCTCAAAGCAAATAGCTACAGTAAATGTACATTTTTTTCTATTCCCACTTTTTTAGAAACTATCATTTTTCACTATCTTTAGCTATAATTTGGTGTCCTGCACTGCTTAGTCTCTGTGATTCAGGAGCCCTGAGGTTTTTTTTCTTTGTTGTTCTGCATTTAATTTATTTTGGAATATTGCAAAATCCATCTGTCTTCTCAGTATCTCTCTGTTTTGCACCAAATAGGGCATTAAATACTGACTGATTGCTAAAATACTTAAGAGATCCTTGGGGTAAAAATATTATCTAACCACAAAAGGATATTTGATTGCTATACTTACAGGCTATTGCTAAAGGAAGATTAAAAAAATATTTTAAACTATAAACTTGCTGTGTGGAAAATAAGCAACACATTTAAATAAAAAATTTTTAGGTCAAGAGAAAATTTTAGACAAGCTAAAGTCTTCCTTAATGAAGATATTCTTCAATCATAAATAAAAATTCAAAATTGCTTTCTTATCCTACAGCACTACTTATACATTATTTATATATTATTTACCTCTTTTGATAATCTAACACTTTGACATTTGTCTTCATGGTTTGACATAGTTGCCCTAAATATTAAACATACCAATATGAGAACAAATGTCAACAGACTAATCAAATGTTGGAATATGTTGGGAGCATTCACTGACCGTTCTATTTGTAAAACTATGGGGAAAAAAACAGGTTCCTGAGTGACTTTGATCATGGCTTGAGCTGGCTAAGGAGGGTATTGCATAGAGGGCTCAAGAAGTGTGCGGAAGTAGAAAGGTAGTTTTTTTGTTCCAGCAGCCCCACATCCAGGAAGGCAGATTTGTTTTCTCTTCCTGTGGCAATTAAAGGAGAAATCAGCTGTCTTCTTTGAGAGTCCACTTCAGTGCTCGTTAACTTTGCTTTTTATGTGTTCAAAGGTATTCATTCTTCTTGCTTACTTTCATCCCTATACTCACTAATGAACATGTAGCACGTTTTCCCTCTTTCTAATCTCACTCCTCAAGTGAGCCCATGCAGACCCACTAACTTAAACACCATCCTTTCACTGAGCCTCGGATGACAGCTCTTCCCTTTCTCTTATGCTCTATCCTTGAATACACAGTATTTGGTATTTCCTTCTGGGTATCTAATACGCATCTCAAACTTAGTGTCCTCAAAAGAGGTCTCTTGTTTTTCTCCTAAAGGAAATCACAGTTCCAGTTGTCACCCAGTGGTTTGACCAGAAAAAAAAAATAGCAATAATAGATTCTCCATTTTTGCCTTCCGCCATACCCAATTCTTTAGCCAGTTCTGTCAGCTTTGTTCTAAAATGTACCCCAAATCTCTCCAGTTTTCAGTACCTCCCACTGTTCCTCTTGTTCCCCAACTCCACTGTAACTCATTCTCCACAGGGCAGGTAGAATACATTTTTTAAAAAAATCAGATCTTGCCATTTCCCTCTTTAAACTTTCCAAAAGCCTTGCATCCAATTAAGTATAAAATCTAAACTCCTTATTCTGACCTTCACGGCAGGCATTAAAATCACTTTCACCACTCTATTTCTAACCAAGTTTCTCTACTTTCCAGCTGGCAATTTTTTGACCCACTATGGTCTACAATCCATAGATCCTACCATCTCTCACTGTCCTTCACCTCCATCACCTCCTCATTCACATCCTTGGAGAGTTTGAAATCCATGTCAATAAGTATAATCAGTCCTATGCATGTATCTTTAAATCCCTTGCTCCTCCCTTACTATTTCATACTTGCTTGGCAAACTTCAAATCTTGGTTAAACCCAATTCAGCTGTGTACCATGCCTGCATCCACATACATGAAAATGGCCAGAGAAAAGCACACACTGATACTGAGGGTTCCTCTAGTATGAAGGGTGCCTTAGTGCTATCTGGGAACCCTTCTGTGTTTCTCTGGCCCATTGCCTTTCCCACTATTCTAATCTCTACAAAGAACCAGCCTTCATATTTCTCTGACAGCATAGAAGCAATTAGAAGAGAATCTTCATAAACTTCCATTATATATACCAAGCAACCTACCTCTGTGCCCATATATCCTGCCTACTCTTGAAACTGTGAATAAGCTGTCCATTATCCTAGCAAAACCCAAACCATTGTATGCATTAGTTCCTACTTTCCCTCTTCTACTTGAAAGCATTTCTTCATCATTCTTCTATTTCATCCCTGTATCATTAAATTTTTCTTCTGCACTAGCCCTTTTCCTATTGCACATAAATATATTATCACTTTCTCATTTTAAACGAAAAATTTTACTTGATCTCACTACTCTACTACTGCTCCATTTCTCTCCTTTTTACAACATGTCTAAAAAGCATTTATTGTCTTCAATATTACTTTTTATTTTCTGGAGCCCACTTTATCAACCTTTTTAACTACCCTTAATGCAAAACTACCCTTACCTATGTCACAAATTACCTCCAAATTATTAAAACCAATGCTCCATTCTCAGTTGTCATTTACTTGACATCAAGTAGTAGTTGAGACAATTTCTTACTCTTTCCTTATTAACATTTTATTTACTTTATGTCCAGCAAACTACTCTCTCCTGCTTTTCCTCTTATCTCAGTAGCCACTCACTTTCAGTCTCCATTACTTGGTCTCCTAATCAACTTGCTAATATTAATGTACTCTGGGGCTGAGTCTTCAGACAATTTCTCTTCTCTTTCTACACTTGCTCCCTCAATGACCTCATTCAGCATCACAGTTTTACGCATCATCGATATGCTGATAACTCCCAAATTAATTATCCTAGCCTGGACATCTCCCCTGAACCACAAGTTCATACACCCAAACACCTACTCTATAACTTCACTTGGATATCTAGTAGGCATTTAAAACTTAACGTGTCCAAACCTGAGCTCTTGATTTTCCCTCTCAATCCTTCTTCTCCTAGTCTTCCCTATTTCAGTACATACCAACTGCATCTTTCCAGAGACCTGGACTGAAATCTCTCTTATCATATCACACATCCAGTCTGTCAGCACACCACACTGCTACTACCCTAGTAAAAACTAGGCTTCCTGTTTCTCTACAAATCACCATCACCTCCCATATTGATTATTGTAATAGCCTGCTAACAGGTCTCCTTGTCTTTATATTTGTCCCTTTATAGTCTTTTCTCAATGCAGCGTCAAAGTAACCCTGTTAAAACGTAAATTATCCTGTTAAAACCCTCTAATAGCATCACCTTTTAGTAATAGAAATAAAAAGCAAACTCCTTAGAATGATCTGCAAGGTCTTACATGATCTGGCCTCCTCTACTGACCTCATATTCTACTACATCCAATCTCCACCTTGTCCACTCCATTCCAATACATGGATCTTACTGCTCCTGGAACACGTCAAGCATATGCCCATCGTAGGACTTCTATACTTGCAATTCCCCTTCCTACATCACACTTTCCCTAACTATTCATATGACTCAATCCTTTGTCTCTTTTAGGAATGTTCTTAAGTGCCACTATTAAAAATTATAAACTCCTTCCCCCCACCAATACTTCCTATACCTTTTTCTGCACTGTTTTTCTTCATAGCACTTATCAACTTCAGTCATTTCAAAATTTACTTCTCTTGAGTTTCTTCAGCCCGTGTGTGTGTGTGTGCATGTGTGTGTTTTAAGGGAGCGGACCATATGAGACCTGGGTATCTAAATCCAGACAGACTAGAGTAGATCTTCTATGGTTTCCTAGGCAATTACATAAATTACAATCTTAGATTATAAGCAATGCCTTAGTAATAATAATTGCTATCACAATTTTTGCAGATGAAAATGTCTCACAGATACTTGCCTAAGGTTATGCAACCAGTAAAAGAGCCTGAGCCAGAATTTAAATCCAGGACCTAATAGCCCCAAAGCTCCTACACGTAGTCACTTTTCTAGACGACTCTGCCCTAAAGCCACGTTAAGTATGTGATATGGCAGTCCACAGAAAGGCACTTTCTTTTGTAATATACTAATTGCTCAAAAGTAACTTTACCTAACACTTCTTAAATACACGTTATAATCTCTTTGTCCTTTTCTCATAATGTGTAATTCTTTGTGATCATAACCTGGAAATTTCATCCATTCTAGAGAGAAAAGATGTTTATATATTCAGTACTACAAATATGTATTTGTCTTAACATCCCACATTACTGTTTTTACTCTGTTTATTATACTGAGGACTAAGCTCTGATTTTTTTTTATCTTGCCCAAATTCCTATCTAAGGGGTCTGGGGAGTCATGCCCTACAAAGCATAAATTCTCATCAGATGGGTTTTATTTAACCCTGTATATCATCACTTCCTTTCCAACCTGTCTCTCGCATAACATTACGAGACAAGGAAGAAAATCAAAACATTGTACCCCCAAACGTGTTTATTTGCCATATCTTGAAATGGCCCTGCAAAGCTGTCCTTTGTGGGGGAAAATTTGTGTCTGTAAAGAATCTCTGTTAACATGACTGGATCTTTTTCTTCCAGGCTCTCCCAATCCTAAAGAAATTAACTAAAAGTCTAGCACATTTTAAAGATCTGAATATGAAACATTTGTCATCTATTGTCTCTAAGGGCGCCACTATAAGACTTCAAAAGAATCTTGGTCTCCACAATCTTTTACCTTAACCTGAACATTTCCTTTCTTTCTATCTATCCCAGGTCTTTAGACAAACTCAACCAATTTTCAACCAGAAAAAGTTTAAATTTACCAACAGTCTGGAAGCCCCATCCCGCACCCCACTTTGAGTTGTCTTGCCTTTCTGGACCAAGCCAATGTATTTCTTAAATGTATTTTATTGGTGCCTCATGTCTCCATAAAATATATAAGACCAAGCTGCACCCCAACCACCTTGGACACATGTTCTCAGGACCTCCTGAGGGCTGTGTCATGGGCCATGGCCACTCATATTTGGCTCAGAATAAATCTCTTTGAATATTTTACAGAGTTTGACTCTTTTCATTGAAAATACTCATAATTTCATTATATTAATTTAGGCTCAAATTTATCTTAGACACAGATTTACACACTATGAGAATGAACTGTGATTCATACCCTCATAAATTTCTCCAGACTTTATTTGGGCAATAGCTAAAGACATCTAAAGATGTGTCCCCAAAATATTTCAATCCCCTCACCTCCCTTTACTCACTGCCAGATTGATGACATTGATGTTTGCTTCTCAGCAGGGGGGCAGCAATAGACAATCTTGCTGACATTCCATCTGGGATGCACTGCAAACCACCATGGTGAAGATCAGGGCCAGTTCTGTCCCTTCTGATCAGATCCTTTCCTTCCCTGCTTCACATTTGGCACCTGTTCCTACAGTTGGCTAACACTGATATACTCCCGAATGCAATTGCCTAGACAAATACTTTCCATTTTCTGGAAAGAGAAAACTTTTCAAATAATGGGGATTCCTGTGGTCTGGCATAGATAACAGTAATTTTGTATTCCCCATTCCAGCATATGCGTTATGTGCTGAACTTTGAGAGAAAAACCACTTCCTAAAATCTTTGTTCTATTGACTGGAAAAGGCTGAAAGTCCACTATTGCCTCCCTTTCTTTGATTTTAGCATTGAGAACTTCCTGGGCTTATGCTAAATGTAAATATTTCTGAGGAAAGTAAAATGTTGTGAATAACACATTATTGCTAGTTTATCAGACATTTTCATGGGCAGAAGGTATAGAGGCTGCATTAGAGTGCCTTATGGGAGAGTACTTTATGATTGAAAGGGACAGTAGAAGTGCTGGCCCAGAAAGGGGAAAAAGGAACTGCAAAAAATAAACCCAGTCTTCCTCCAAAGCCCCCACCACTGGTTAATTCAAGGGAGAGAGGGAGGAGAGAAGGAATGGAGGGATGGAGGGAATGAACAAAGAGAAAGAGGGAGGAAAGAAGGGGAAAAGATCCAATATAATTTCAACTAAATTCAACCTAATAATTGTATTAGACCTTTTGGTAGTTTTCACTGTCTCTTGGGAACACACACACACACACACACACACACACACACACACTCTTTCTCTCTCTCTTAAGTAACCAGTGTCCTTCAGTGTCTTTGGACACTAGCATCCTCTGGCTTCGCTGGTCTCCACAGCAATATTCCCTGGCACCAGCTGGCCTTCAGTCACTGCCATCATGAGAGTCACTCTTTTTGATCATGAACTGCTCTGGAAGAGCTCCTGCACTAACATGCATCTTGGCTTTCGCTCATTTAGGAGAGTCTTCCATTCAGACCAGGCAAGTACAGTCTGCTTTGCAGCCCTAATTTGGAACGACTTCACCCAAGTAGAACAACCTCCCCCCGAAAAGCTCTGCGTCCACACCTTCAGCTACTTCTAAGGGCCATGTATGTCACTCAGGAATCACGATGTAGGTGGATGGATATCCCACAGGAAGCAGTCTCTTCTTCAGAGTCCTCATGAAAGATGACCACAGACACTTCTTTTCCTTTGAATTTCTCATAACATGTGTGATATGGTTTGGCTCAGTGTCCCCACCCAAATCTCATCTTGAATTGTACTCCCATAATTCCCATGTGGTGTGGGAGGGACCTGATGGGAGATAATTTGAATCATGGGGCAATTTCCCCCATACTGTTCTCATGGTAGTGAATAAGTCTCACGAGATCTAGTGGTTTTACCAGGGCTTTCCATGTTTGCCTCTTCCTCATTCTCTCTTTGCCTGCTGCCATCCATGTAAGACAGGACTTGCTCCTCCTTGCCTTCCACCATGATTGTGAGACTTCCCAGCCACGTGGAACTGTAAGTCCAATTAAACCTCTTTCTTTGTAAGTTGCCCAGTCTCAAGTATGTCTTTGTCAGCAACGTGAAAACAGACTAACACAATGCTGTAAACCAAAAATAAAATCCTAAGCCCCACAACCAACTGAATGAACCCCTTCTTGGCCAAGAGGATTCCAAAGCAACCTGAAAAACTGAATTCCCAGCCATCATGGGAAGGGAGGTTAGACATACCTCATTATACCCCTGCCTTTTGGAGTTTAGATACAACTGGCCAGCATTGATGTTAAAATAGAGATCCTAAGACTGACAAAACAGGCTCTTTGTGGCAATAAAATACCAGATTATAAACAAGACTTAAAGCTATGCAAGGCAAGGGTTAAGTCATACCCTATGAACCATAAAATCTGATTAAACAAGTTGTTTTAACCCAGTATAATGTGGCTTACTTTCTAACCTGACTGTGGTTTAGCATCACATGATAGATAGCAGACCCTAAAGGAAATCAAAATATTTTCCTTAAAATGTATTTCCTTGACATATTTTGAAATAATTGCTGCAGGCCCATGGATTGAAATGGCTCTACAAAGTCATCTTTTGTGGGGGAAATTTGCATCTGTAGAAAATCTCTATGAAAGTCACCAAAACTTCTCTTTCTAGGCCTTGGATATGGGAGAGGTTAATTGAGAACCTGACATCTTTAAGGTCTGAAAGAGACATTTACCATTTTACCATCGATTCTCTCAAAGGACTGCTACCTATAAGGCTTCATCTTATGTAACAAAAACTTTAGCTTCCACGACTTCCTTATCTTAACTGAAGCATTCCTTTCTGCTGTTTTCTAGTCTTAAGACAGTAGATAGTAGCTTAACTCTCTCAACCAGTTATCCACTAAATAATCCCTAAAACCTACCTATGACCTGTAAGCCCCCACTTAGATATGTCGCACCTTTTTTGGTCCAATCCAATGTATACCTTCCATGTATTGGTTTATGTCTTTGCCTGTAATTCCTGTCTCCCTAAAATGTATAAAACCAAACTATAACCTCACCCCCTGCAGCACCCTTTCTCAGGACCTCTTGAGACTGTTCCCTGAGCCATTGTCACTCATACTGGCTCGGAATAAACCTTTTAAAAATATTTTCCAGAGTTTGACTTTTCTGTTAACATTGCTAAGCATGGGTAGGAAAATCAAGACACACAAACCTTAAAACTATATATTATTCCTTCCCTCCTACCCTCCTATTTTTATCATGCCCATGGCCTGGAAGAGATGAACTTTCTACTTGTTACATTCTCCTCTTCTTGAATCTAACCTCTTAGCCCAAAGAGGTATTTTCTCTACACAGCTGGAGAACTCTATAAAGTAATTCTTCAAGGACTGGATGTTGATTCTTGAAAAGGAGAAGACAAGGAAGTTCAGAAAATTTTCTCAAGAAAATGATCTAATTGGAAAGAAAATTACCTTACTATAGAATGCTATTTTGCATGTCAAAAGCTTAATGATTTCACATTCTTTCTGTTTACATTCGTTCCATAACAAATCCTAATTTCCACTTAGGAAAATAGCTATTTATGGCAAAAATCATGTCCTCAGACCAGAAAAAAGATAAGCACATTAATAATTTTCAAAATTATTTCCCATATAAATAAACTTTCAGAGATAAGGCAAAAAAACTAATAAATATACCTTATAAATATATCCTCTCAACTCATATAAAAGTTTTAGAAACTGGAAGAAAATTATATAACTTTTTTGAGGAAATACAATGAACCCAAAGACTTTTTTTCTTGAGTCTTCCAAGAGTTAAGTTTCAACAACACTCGACATCACTTTTGTGTCCCATGTTCAACATTTCTTATTTTCTAATTATGGTTTGAATTCAAAATTTCATTTTAAACTTTTCCTGGCCCTTTCTTACCCATCATGCCAACTTAAAAATTCTTGTTCCATCTCTAAGAACTACCCCACCCACCCCATTTCGGATACCTATGATCTGTAAAGTATCAGTTGTCAGTTTCATCCCCATCTCAATGTTTCCAGGACTAAGCTCTACAGAACTACTGGCTCCTTGCCCGAAGACCTAGGGGTAGTCTGCATGCTTTGTGTTTCTCCACTGTGCAAAGGGCACAGCAATGCCTTGAATTCTAGAAACTTAATCTGATTCCCTGACATCGAGGGAATTAACTCAAACAGCTTTGTGGAGGTCACACAAGCCTGATCACTCCCCATGGAATATTGGAAAAGACTTCAACCCATTTTAACCTCTGTTTGCCCAGCTCCTATCAACTCTTTTACTCTCCTTGAAATGGTCTAAGAATTCACAAGCAGTTGGCTGTAAAAAGAAAAGATCCTATATAAATACTCACGTTGTTTTTTCTATTTCCTTCTTCCAAGTACATTGAAAAGGACAGGATTTTACACAGGAAACACTTAGTGATAATATTTGGAGGAAACCTGCTGACTTGGTAAGACACAGTTGGCCAAAATTCAGGTCAGAAATACCCAGGGAAGTCGAAGGCTCCTAGAATTACCGAGATGAGGTTTCTGCAAGCAATGAAGCCCTCTTTAAGGACAAGGGATACTATTGCTTACAAAGGGAAAAATGGAAACATTAGCAAGGCTGCAAGCAACCCAAGGGTGCTGTGCACAGGTGTGCCAAGAAGTAACCGAAGTGTGACTCTGCAATGAATGGAGGGAATACGGGCTCTCATATTTAATGATAATAAGAGACAGGAGGGAAAAATAGAGAGGAAAAAGGGAAAGGAGAAAAAGGTGAAGATAATGCCAAGAAGGGACACCTATCTAGGAAGGAATTCAGCAAAATAAGGTCGACACTCCATCGTTATGTGGATAATTCTCTGAGACATCAATTGAGAGATTTCTAGATGAAAATCCTTTACTAAAGGACTTTTGAGAGCTTTCTTGTAGTAGTCATTAGTATCCTTAATAATTGTAAGCTGCTAATCCCACAGAGTAAAACCATCACTTCTTTTGTTTCCTAAGGGCATAAGTACTAGAGAGAATGTTCATTTATGTCTTCCTAAAGGATTATGAAGAGCGGTGTATTTTTTGCCTATTAAACCTACTGTAGAATAGTTCCGTTTGGCTAATAGCACAGCATATGAAAGGATGTATTAGAAGCTTAGACTATTAGGCTTTTAAAGCCAGAAGGTATCTTAAATATTATTGTAGGTTAATAAACAAAGGATAGATGGCAATGCAAGGTCATAGCTAGTTAGGGAGAGAGGTGACATTTTAATATCCAATTATTGTGAGTTGTGACAGTAGGCCATTTCCAAGTGTGTTAGGGAGGGTAAACAGAGGAAAGCCTGTTATCTTCTCAGCCCCATCTGCAAATGGTGCCAAACACTAGGCTAAGGACTGGGGAGCTTGAGCTGGGAGAGAAGACAAACATGAAACAAGTACTTAAAAGTAACCAAAATCTGTGAAGACATATACATGATGCTATGAGAGCACATAGCTGGGGTCTGTATTCTAGGGGTTTTGGAGAAACATTATGAAGGAATGAGATTCTCAAAGGCAAAGAGGGACATGAGGAATAGAAATGCAATATTAAAAGATCAAAATTTGCCTTCAACTAAACAGAAATAGCTTTTGTCTCCTCAGCTCTTCAAGGAAGGCTGAATAGGAGAACAAGGGGGTGGCCTTTGGATCTGGAATGCCCCTGTCTGGGCCCCGCAGATCTGTGATCCAGCATTTTAAACTGGCACAGAGCCCAGGCTTACAGCTGACAGGTGTGTGTTCAGAAGAACAAGGGGAAGACATGTTCTGCTTGAGATTCACACTTCACTCCTGAAATTCCTTTCCTAATGCAGCTTTCAGGTATCAGTCTCCATTAACTCCTCTTGATCACATAGCCAGCATATGATCTCAAAAGTTTCTGAAAATCAAAGAGAGTCTCTAAAGTCTTCCTTGAACCATTAAAGAGTTTAATGTGTAATAATTTTACTAGTGGGCTTTTGGGCTTTGCCAAGTGGTCAGGTCTTGGGCCTATTCTATTTAGTCCCAAAAGGCACTGAAGGAGGTAAGCCTAAATGAAGAATATTCCTTTATCTTTCTGAAGATGTGTCAAGAGTCTTACATAATATGATTGAGATAGAGCAACTAGAACAGAAATTACCAGTAGACATGAGGCTACTGGGCTTCCCTTAGTTTTGCACAGTAGTCCCCACTTATCTTTGGTTTTGCTTACTGTGGCGTCAGTTACCCACAGTTAACCACAGTCAACTGCAGTAGAAAGCTATTGTAGTATTTTGGGAGGGAGAGAGAGCAAGGGACCACATTCACATAACTTTTATTACAATATGTTGTTATAATTATTTTTATTTTATTATTAATTATTGTTGCTAATTTTTAACTCTTCTTAATTTATAGATTAAGCTTTATCATAGGTATGTATGTATAGGAAAAAACATAGTATTAATATATAGTGGGGTTCAGTACTATCTGTGTTTTCAGGCATCCACTGGGGGTCTTGGGATGTATCATCTGCAGATGTATCCCCTTGTCCTACTGTGGACAAGGAAATCTATTCTTCCTGCAGCTCCATAGTTCTATATATATGTATTACCAAGCACTATGCACTGCATGCTTTGTGGGAACTAGAGTAGGGGTCAGAGCTTGGAGAAAGCAGCGATGCAATGATGTGATCCAGGAAGTAAGAGTCAATGTTTTCTATATAGGGGATGGGAAGAAGGAGATATTGTTTTTCACATGGTTCTATCAGCCATACACTGTGAAATATCACCTGATGATTTCATACCTGGTAATTCTTGCTAATACCTAGTCTCTCAATAGGGCTGGGTCATCCATCCTTTAAGAGGAGGACAGAACCCAGAACCAAAAGAGAAATGTTCATCTTTAAAGTTACAAAACAAGCTCTAAAAGCCCAACTCAGAAACAGACTTTCACTTGGGAGATTCCATCTTTGTTCTGTCTGAAATGAAAGAATTGATGTAGCCTAAGGAGCCAAGGTGAAGAACTAGAACATAGAGACTATAAAAGATAATGAGAGCACACGGTAGAGTGCCAGATAGGACAAAATAGAATTTCACCACCCAGCTGGGAGGAGAAAAAGCCCTTCTTGGATAGGGAAAGATGCTGGGGAGGAGCTAGAAAGGATTGAGACATTAGTACAGAGCCTGTTCCCTTCCTCCAATTCAGGATTAAAATTTCAAAGAATAGATAGAGACTCTTAAATGGGTTTGTGAATCTCATATCAGAAGATTTGAGAGGAAATTGCCCTACATCAATTACCAAGATAGGGTTGGGCCCACAAAGGGGAGGATGGAGACACTAAGAAAAAGTCCTGGTTGCTCCTCCATTTGGACAGAGTTACCTACAGAACATATCATCATTATCATCACCATCATCATCATCATCATCATCATCTTGCTCTGTCTTGTCTTCCTCTGCCTTGCTCTGAAATGTTGGTTATTTCAGGGAAATCACTTGTTCTGGTCTCATTTTTCTATGAAAATGTACTTCACCTAGAGCAATTGTTCCAGTTTCTCTCCAGCTCCTCCTTATTCTCCTCCATGGTAAGAAGTGTGGCTTATTTGACTGAAGAGCTTGAGAGATGGACAAAGCTCTGTACTTCTGGCTTTTCTCTCCAGAAACTCTGCCTATGGACCAACTTATGTGATCTGTGGAAGTGGTGGAGGAGAGAGATGTATGTGCATATGAATATTCTCCCAGGCTTAAGAGCCAGAATCAAGCTCATCATTATCATAATGATAATTAGCATTTTGCTTACAGTGAATCATTTAAGATTTGACGTTGCTATCTCTTAGGGTGTCTTCATATTCAGAAACAATGTAGTTTTGTAAATGTACATATGGTCAAACACTATTGCTTGTTCATGAGGACTATTGCATTTTGGATTGTATTGGATTGTATTGTCTAGTGAGTGAATGCTTAATGATACCATACAATTAATGGCAAATCAAATGTATCTAATAAAAGCTGAGTGCTCTGTTGTGTTTACTTGGCAGCACACAGTGGCAGAAACCACATAAAACAAGTGAACAAGCAGTTTGTAACTTTGGTTTTGTTGCCAGATTTTACTACCATCAGCACTTTTTCAAATACATTTTTGAAAACATAGATTGTATACTATTGCTAGTTTTCTATACAGTCAGAAGCACCTACTGTTTCTGAATTAAAATCTGGCAGGTAAGAAATTTCAAAATTTACAGTTATTTGTACCAAAGATCTTCAGAGACATAGGATGCTGTAAATTACAAATGCTTACAAAACCATTTTTGCTTGTTCTGGGAGACAACAGCCTGCTGTGGTATTCTTAATTTGTTTGTCAAGACACAATTAAGGAGATATATACCATCTTGATATTTCCAACTGAGAATAGCCGAGGAAACTGCAGACAGATGGCCCAGGTGCAGCACCCCAAAGAGCTGTATATGGTGCTTTGCAATTAAGGAAAATATTACCTCATGGAGTACCATTTGGAGCTGTGTTTTTCAATAAGTCAAAAGGTTTAAATATGTTTGCTCTAGCACACATTTCAATGTGAAGATTCTCTGTCTTGCACTGAAGTCATGTAATTTAAGCTGCAGGGTTCCTCGAAACAGATATTTCACAAAAGCAATAGGGATGTCTGACTGATTTCCCATTTTTCACAGCAGAAAGATCCAAGAAACCTAGTTTCTGTGATGGTGTTTTTCCTGGCATCTGTAGTTGACAATGATAGTAAAAATGAAACTCAGAGAGCCTCCAATCCAAGTTCAAAGATTCATGATTGATAGTGTTTTCTAACTATCACTGTAGGATACTATGTGTAGAATATATATGTTTTAGCCCCATTTTGGAAGGAGTGGAGTTAGAAAGTTTAATTTAATTCTTTTTTTTTTCTATTATACTTTAAGTTCTACGGTACATGTGCACAACGTGCAGGTTTGTTACATATGTATACATGTGCCATGTTGGTGTGCTGCACCCATTAACTCGTCATTTACATTAGGTATATCTCCTAATGCTATCCCTCCCCCTTCCCCCACCCCACGACAGGCCCCAGTATGTGATGTTCCCCTTCCTGTGTCCAAGTGTTCTCATTGTTCAATTCCCACCTATGAGTGAGAACATGCGGTGTTTGGTTTTTGGTCCTTGCAATAGTTTGCTGAGAATGATGGTTTCCAGCTTCTTTAAGGCAAGGGCAATACCCAAATCCCAAACTCTTGATATCTA
Source organism: Homo sapiens (assembly GCF_000001405.40). Lineage (NCBI taxonomy): Eukaryota > Metazoa > Chordata > Mammalia > Primates > Hominidae > Homo > Homo sapiens. Next base: position 165,583,978 of record NC_000004.12, on the reverse strand, counting down.
AGGCTCAACTCACATTGGTTGTGCAAAGTGCAATGGAAATATTAAGGTTACATAATTAATTTGGTCTTTGTAGGCAACTAATAATTTTGTTTTTTGCTCATTCAGTCTATTTAACACACCTTATGTTAAATTAATTGAGTGTTAAAGGCTATATCTACACAATAAAAAGCCACTGTACTTAAACCTTAATAATAAAAAACTAAAACATAGAGAAATTTGATTGATTCATGATCTTAAGATGTTTACCTTAATTTTCTATGAATTAATTCAATTAATTATTAATTAAAATAATTTCCATTAATTTGGTCTCCGTGTTAAAATGTTGGGGTAAACAACTGCTTTTCTTTTTCCTTTATACTTTGTGACTCATAGTGTCAACAATATATTAAGTCACAGCACGGAGCTAGAGATCTGTAGTTATATCCTTATTTGTGCTTTGTGTTGACCGGGTGACTCCCTCCTTTCTCAGTCTCATGTCACCTTGCTCTTCTTTGTTATTCTTCTCCTGCTTCTCTGAATATTATTTCTCAAGAGACCAGTTTCTGAACCACACCACTTGTATTCAAATCCTGCTTCTGCCACTTCATGTGCTTCCATTTCCCTACCTATAGTTCATGCTTGCTGTGAGGATTAAAGAGGCCCATGACTGTAAAGGACTGGCAAACATACCTGGCACATGGTAAGTGTTCAGTATGTTAGCAACTTTCATCACAGTCTATATCATCATCATCAAGTTGCTGCTCTGCGTTCTTTTCCTTTGCCCTCCTTTCAAATGTAGGCTATTGGAAGACTATTGATTCTGGCCTCATGTTTCCATGTGAAGGCACTTCACTTAGAGCAACGCTTCTAGTTTCTCTCCCCAGGGAGGGAAGAGTGGTTTATTTCATTGGCAAGCTTGGAAGAGAGAACCTCTTTTTTTCTAAATGGCATGTATGCCAACAGCTTATGCTCTGATTCACTCTCCCTCTAAGCCAGGGGCAAATAAATATGTCTAATTACTGGGTAAAAGGCTAATATTATCTTTTAGCCTCAGAAATAGAGCCATTTTCAAGTCATTTTAGAAGTTCAAAAAGGAAAAAAAAAGAAATACAGCCATGTTTTCCATTTAGCTTTACCAGTAGAAAAAGTAATGTTTCCAACTTTGTCTGACTCTTGTGTCTAGTTCCACACTGGTTACAAACTTTGCAGGGAAAGAGGAGTGTTTTACACTGACTTTCTAGGGCCTCAGCATTCACGTGTACCGCAATACTATCCTTGCTTCTGCATACGCAATCTGCCTCCTCAAATTCCCTCTCTCATTCAATGACACACTTGCATATCCACTTCTAGGGCAGACCTGTCCTGGTATCTCAAACACTGTCCAAAACTGAACGGATATCTTTGTTCCAACTATGATCCTCTTTATTTCCAGCCTCAGTGACTTTGCTGTTCATCTTGTCTCCGAAGCCAAAACCCAAGAGTTTTCCTTGATATATTTCTTTTGCTCAACTCACATGTTCAGTTCTAGCTCCCTTTTATGCCCTGTATTCTTCCTGTTCTTCTCCATTTACCTTTCTGTGTCCTTATTTGTGGTCTCTCCTCAGAGCTCAGGCCTAACAACCTCCTGTACTTTTGCCCTACCACCAGCTTTTCCCCGTCTTCTCATTCTCCAACTGCTATTGGGGTTATCTTTCTAAAACAACAACAACAAAAACCAGTGTCACATCCCTTGTGGGTAAAGTCTGATCTCCTCAGAGTAGCAGCTTCCATTATTTGTGCCCTGTCTAACTCTCCATCCTGATCCTCATGACCAGTCTCCTCCACTACTAGCATGCCCTATGTCTTGGCCACACTACACTCTTACGAGAGTGCTGAGATTCATTCAAGGGGCTTATCTGGAGGTTGAAGCAGAAAAAATAATTTATGTGATCAAGAAAAAATTAATTTTACCATGACTAAAAATTCCATCTTACCTAATGTGAATAAAAACCTTTGAGTACTTCAAATACACATTCAAATAATCTGAATAATTTAAAAGTAACCGTGGCTAAATCAAATGAGCCTGTTGAGCAATACTTTCCTTTGTAGCACATCAATATTAACTTCTCTATTGTCTGTGAAAAGAAGTCCAACGGATCACCTCTCCAGTCTCATGTCACACAATCTTCAATGTGGGGCTCGCTTGGCTCAAAACAATGGCTTGGGCCTCGGATGTTGTATGGCTGTTCCTGTCCCATGAAAGCTTCACCCTCATTGTCCTCTTAACCTGCTGGTCTCAAGTCAGACATCACTTCCTTCAAAGAGCCTTTTCTGACTCTTCCATCCCCCAACACGTCTCCCCACACACTCTACTGGGCTCTATGAGGACATTTCCTGAACCTTCTTTCCCTTGCCTCTTTACCTCACCTGGATGCTCCTTCCAGGCTCATTTAGTCAGGCACTATGTTGTGTTGAGCAGTAAATATCTATTACTTATCATCAGGCTGACCTGTAGTAGGTGTTTAGTAACTGCTTATTAAATAATGGATAAAGTGCTTATGTTATACCACACTTCATTATACAAAAGATAGAAGAATAAGATTGGATAAAGTAAAATGGTACTTTTACAAAGTAAATGGCATTGACTTTTAGAAGCTTATGACATACAGCGAGGAACAAAATTAAGTGGGAAAGATCAGTTATTTTAATGGTTTTTTTCTTAGAAAAATAAATGTCCTTTGGGTATATACCCAGCAATGGGATGGCTGGGTCATGTACCCTATCACTTAAAGTATAATAAAAAAAAAAAGGCAACAATCATTTTTCAAAATACATTTTAATGCAGCAAAAAATTGAACAGTTACATGTATTAATTATAGAGAATTCAAAGGAAAGTCAATTCTTGTGTTTTCGACAGTTCTAAAATTGTTTATTGCCTTTAAGACTCCCAAGCAAGAAAAACTGACCATCCCCTTCCACACTTGTATTTCTCATTTCCTTAATTAAATGTGAGCTGCACAAGCTTGTTAAAGCTAGTTTATGTGCAGTGGGTTTGCATTACATTAACTTGGACAATAGCCGTTAATAATTTTTCCTGTGCTCTTAAAATTTCACTGTTACAAATACCCATAAATAATGTCACCCTGTTTTGGAACAAGAGTTTGTGAAACACGTCATCTTGAAGCTAATCATAGCTCAGGCTGCTGTCACTAATTCCAGGCTTCACTTCTTAACAGCTTGATAAAGCCCTGGCTGTGAGTCTACCTCTGGTTCAGCACATGATTAGGGCAATGTCATTGATTTTATCCACACGAAAAAGTCAGCTTTGAGTCATTTCACTTTTTGAACAGAACATCGTGAGCACTTTCCACCAAAACTTAATTAGTCATATTTTTAATCATTGCCTTGTTTCAACATGCACAGCAGACTGTTCTAGGAAAAACAGTAGGTTAGTCAGATGGCTAATAAAACTCCAGGGGTAAATTGCTGCATTTACTTCTTGCTGCTTGGGCATTACAGTCAGACGTTCCTGGGTCTTCAGACATGACTCAGAGGCTGCAAATGTCCAGGCACATTCATAGACAACTCACCAAGGACCATTGAGACACACACACACACACACACACACACACACACACAAACTTATGGGCTCTAAATGAGCTTTAAGAATTGGGGGAAATCAGTTGCAAAGCCGTTATAACTGATGTCAGCATGATTGCCTTGTGCTGGTTGTGAGTCAGGGAAAAGAAGACCTGCCATATCTACCAAATGTGTGGCCCCTTGAGGTTTGTGCCTGGACTCGCAACCATCACTTTACGGTAATTCATCATGTCTATTTAAGAGTACTAAACATAACCAACTCAGAAAGTGGAAGTCCAAACAACACCTAAATGTTGCTGACCAATAATTTTTTCTTTATAAGCATGTCTCCAATTTGTCAGGGTTGACAGTTGATTTTTTGTCTTCTCACAGCTTCAGTAAAGGCAGCATATCTTTTACAAGATATGTGATGAGATAGTAAAGAAAGAAGAAAATGGGAAGATTCTGAATATTTATTAAACTAACACAATCTGTAAGTTGAAAATGCATATATAGAGCTTATGACAATAATCTCCTTCAAGAAAACTATCGTAGAGCCTAGTAGGCAAACTATTGTATGACAAACAGGTCCTTTGTTATTTAGTAATAACAGTGTTTCTCAAATGTCTCCAAATGTCTGACTTAAATGGTACTGACTTAAATGAGTCTGGAGAGAGCACACTAGCAAGGTAAAAAAGAAACTAAAAGAGAGTGTATCAAGTGTCCTAACAGAGGTAAGTAAAAGGTGCTATGGGAGTTATGGTTAAGAGACAGATAAGTTAGTAAAGGCTATTTAAAGGAAATGGTGTCTAACTCGACTACAAGATAAAGAGGACTGTAAGGGTGAAAATGTCAGGAAAAAGGCCCATGCCATGCCTAGAGCCTAAAAGACTGTGTTTTGAGCCTGATATGCCCAAGTTTCTCAAATAGGGTTGAAAAATGTCCACTAATTATAATGGTCAATTATATAGCAGAGGGAACAGTATGTATAACTGTTATAATTTGGATTTAGTCTGAATGTTCATGGCTAAAATTAACTGCCGGCCAGCCACGGTGGCTCACGCCTATAATCCCAGCATTTTGGGAGGCCGAGGCGGACGGATCACTTGAGGTCAAGAGTTTGAGAGCAGCCTAGCCAACATGGTAAAACCCCACTTCTACTAAAAAAATACAAAAAATTAGCCAGAAGTGGTGGTAGGCACCTGTAATCCCAGCCACTCGGGAGGCTGAGGCAGGAGAATCGCTTGAAACCCGGGAGGTGGAGGTTGCAGTGAGCCAAGATCACATCACTCCAGCCTGGGCGACAGAGTGAAACTGTGTCTTAAAAAAATAAATAAAATAAAGTCAACTGCCATCTACACCCACTCTGGAGCCTTGTTTTGGCATTATCCTGATGCACATCCCCCCGGGCTCCATTGGAGAAATGCGTCTTTTTAATTCTTTGGTGTGTTACATCCCACTGGACAGCAAATAAGGAAACCTTGGTTAAACTGAAATTCAGTTTCTAAAGCAATGCATTATTGGCAGGCTCCAGGATATTGCCTTCCTCTGCCCACCCCCAACCCCCACCCACATGCACAAGATTTTCCAATTTTCCAAAATCCAGTCATTCTAAAGTTTTGCAAAATACTAAACATTTTTTAAATCCTCCATCTTAAGATAAGATCTTGTATAAGTGCTTTTTTCTTTGACATAACTATAAATTGGCATTAGAGAACTAGACGTCTATCTCATTTCTGTCTAACTTTTCAACTAACATTGAAGCACAGTCCCTTTACGGCAGATCTATAATTGCTTATAATTTGATGTATTTGTCTCTCTTCTGTTAGACCATCAGCTCAGTCTTTATATTTCTCATGCACAATAAAATTGCTTACAAACAACAAGCAATAAATGAATTATTGTTGATTGAAAAGACATATGAGATAACCATAATAGGTTTTATTCAGAGCCTAAAGTTGGAAACCGGCTTTCTAGCCAGAAAGGACAGAAAAGCACTGAGAAAAACAGATATCTTTACACCTTCGTTTTGAATCTTGGCATAAAAAGAAAATGGTTCTTAAAGCAAAAGGATGCCAGACTATTTCAAATATTTTAACATTAGACCCCAAAGCAAAACTAAGAAGATTTGTAATGGGGCATAAAGAATCCTGCCAGTGATGCAAACACTATTAAAATTACATCGTAAAAGCGAAAAGTTTGGACATCTGTATTACCTAAGCAAAGATTATTTATGCCAAGAAAATTACAGTATGTTTCTAATAAATACATTTCAGAGTTGCGTGTATGTTTGTGTGAGTATGTGTGATTAGCATTGCTACTTTAAATATATACCTATGTTTCATGAAGACAGAAATCACTATTAAGCTTGAATTAAAAAGTAGCCTGCTAATAACAATCAAAACTTGCATTTATGAGAGAGCTTACAACATACCTGGTAGTATTCTAAAGCTTTACATTTATTAACTCAATGTGCTATAAAAACTGTATGAATTAAGTACCTTTCAAATCTTTACCAATGAAGAAACAAAAGTATAGGAGATGAGGTAGCTTGCTCAAGTCGCACAGCGAATGTGTAACTCAGTGAGAATCTCACCTAGCCGATCTGAGTCCAGTGTTCTCACCCAACCTCTATGTTATAATGCCCTAAAAGAAAAAGAAGTGATTTTTGAGAAAAAGAGTGATTTTTGAAATCAATAGTTTTTAAGTTATCTGTATTATTATGTAATAATTTTGCAGCATTTTAATAGATGGTTGGATGGATGGTGTAATGTTTGATTAATAAGGAGATATATGGGAGAAAATATTGTAAATATGTCCATTTATTTCATTTAAAATAGTTTAAATTGAAATTTAATTTTAAAATTAAACTTAGTAAGATATTTTTTAAAAGAAACCAATTTGGAAAGAAATTTTTCTTTTTTTATATTTTGATATTTAGCAAAACAATAAATAACTATAATTTGAATAATGTTGTAAGAAAACAAGACAATTCTGAGCTGCCTTCTCCTTTCCTACCTCTGAGACCACTCAGGTGACCACCTGAAAATCATTTAATTGTTCTGTTTTTGCACTATTTCTATGTTTCTGATGCTATTTTATTATCTTTTCTATTCCTGACATCATCTACTGATTTTCTACCATGTAAAACACATCTCATGATTTGTGAGCTTTCAATATTGCTATTGAGAAGTTCAATAACATTCTGACTTCTGAGGTTTCATATTTTTCTTTTCTGTATCTCTCTCTCTCTCTCTCTCTCTCTCTCAATCTCTCTCTCTCTCTCTCCCTTGTTCTATGAAAGCTTTTTACAACATTCTTTTTTCCCCAGGATTTTAAAACTTTACGAAGATGTCACCCTGTGTGGGTCTTTTTGAAACGGCACTCCACAGACCATTTCAAAATGAAAAACATGTTCTTCAGTTCTAGGAAGTTTTCTTATAGTATTTCTTTGATAATTTCCTCCTTTCCATTGTGTTCATTCTTTCATTTGAAAGTGCTCCCATTTAAACATTCAGCCTTATAGGCTCATTCTCTAATACTCTTATCTTCCTCCTCCTGTTTTTCAACTCCTTGCCTTTATAGTCTACATTATAGAAGATTTTCTCAATTTTTGCTTTCAGACTTTCTATTCATTGCATTGATGAATGCAATATCTTCTTTTATCGCTTTAAAAATCACTTTTTTTTTTGCTTTCACTTTTAGTTTCATTCTGCTACTTGCATTATCTTTCTTTTTCTTAAGGCTCATCTTTCTGATTGTTCTGATTCCCAGCTTTCCAATAAGAGCCTCTCCTCAGATTCCTGGTGTCATTGACTATTCACAATTTACATTTCATAGTGAGATGCTAAAACTCAATTGGAAGCTCTTTGGCTTGTCAATAAGTAGGTTTCACTAAAGTGTTATCAGATTAAAATCTCACTCTTGGTAGGGACTCCGAAATATCAGTATCATCAAGTCCTTTTCCTTACGTTAATCTAACTCTCCAGAGAAATATTACCCCATCTCCTGCCTAAGGGATGGGATTGGAGTGGGTAAAGGGCTGGTAGGTGGCTCTACCTATTGTTTCTCTAATTCTTTTCTTTTTTTTTCCTGCTGGTCCGGTCCACACTCAGAATTGTCCTCAGCTGTGTCTAGCGTCTCCTCATTCTAGACCCTGTCTTACTCATTATTTTTCTGGAAAATAAATCTCCATTCTCCCGCCAGATAAATATATGTGTATGTGGAAAGGTCAGGGGGCAAGTGGAGGTTAGTTGGGAGTGATCATTGCTGGTTGTGCCAGATACTGGGGAAATTTTTCAGGTTTAGATCTCGTGTACCCCATAGATGTATGCACCTACTATGTACCCACAAAAATTAAAAAGTATTTTTAAAAACCCAGATTTACATGTTCTTTATACAGACTCTTAATCTTCTCATTTTCCTTCTTACCGGTCAAACTCATGCTTTCAGAGGAATCTGGTCCCTGAAATTCCAGAGCTTTTTCTGGGGTCCTGATAGGTAAATCATTCTGTTTCTTGTTGGCTTCCCCAAGCCATTTACCACACAACTTTCTTGGAGGAGGCAGGGCGAATACAGCACACACACAGAAAATTATGGATATAGGAACTATTATTTTTTAAAAAAATAAACATGTACCTGCCTCTCAGCCTAATAAACAGAGCATTACTGATGCTTTTTGAAGCTTTCCTTGGAGAGTCCCTTCCCAGTCACTTCCCCTTCTTCTGTTCTGAGTATAATTATCATGTCAATGGCTTGTGCTCATCATGACCTTGCTTCTTCATATAGTGTCTCTGCATACACTATACATGTTACTGCTAAATAACATACTTTTTAATTCTACTTAATTTTTAACAGTATATATTATATATATTAATATATATTACATATAAACATTATATAGAGTTTATATATAATATTATATATATTGTGTTTATATATATATAATATTATATGTATAGTGTTGGCTGGGCACAGTGGCTCATGCCTGTAATCTCTTGGCACATTGGGAGGCCAAGGCAGTCACCTGAGGTCAAGAGTTCGAGACCAGCCTGGCCAACATGGTGAAACTCCGTCTCTACTAAAATTACAAATATTAGCCAGGCATGGTGGCACATGCCTGTAATCCCAGGTACTAGGTGGGGCTGAGGCAGGAGAATCTCTTGAGCCTAGGAGGCAGAGGTTGCAGTGAGCTGAGATGACACCATTGCACTCCAGCCTGGGTGACAAGAGCGAAACTTTGTCTCAAAAAAAAAAAAGAAGTATGTTATTCATATATATATATATGGAATTATGCCATTTATATTTGGGAGTTCATTTATTTGTTCTTTTGACTGTTGATGCAAAATTGAGTTGATCCAGTATTTGCTGGCATGTCTTCTGGCGCACACTTGCAAGAATTTTTCCGAAGAATTAGACATAATATTATAGGACTGTGTGAATTTGTACCTTCAGCTTTATTAGGCAATTCCAAATTGTTGTCCAGGGGTTGTACCAATTTACATTCCCCCAAAATACATTCACTTCCCAGTGTTCTTCATCCTCTCCAATGGTAATGTTGCCACACTTGCTTTGCAACTTCCTAAATTTGGTTGACATCTCTCATATGTTGTGTGTGGTTCTTTTTTGTCTTTGGTGAATTTCTTTTTTTTTTTTTTTTTTTTTTTTTTTTTTTTTTTGAGACGGAGTCTCGCTGTGTCGCCCAGGCTGGAGTGCAGTGGCGCGATCTCAGCTAACTGCAAGCTCCGCCTCCTGGGTTCATGCCATTCTCCTGCCTCAGCCTCCAGAGTAGCTGGGACTACAGGTGCCCGCCACCACACCCGGCTATTTTTTTTTTGTTTGTTTTAGTATTTTTTGTAGAGACGGGGTTTCACCGTGTTAACCAGGACGGTCTCAATCTCCTAACCTCGTGATCCGCCTGCCTCGGCCTCCCAAAGTGATGAGATTACAAGTGTGAGCCACCGTGCCCAGCCTGGCGAATTTCTACTTTACTTATTTTGCTCTGCTGTCATTTTAATGGGCTTTCAGAAGGAAACAGAGGTAAATGAATGCAAACAACCCATCATATTTAACTGGAAGATCCACATAGGAGTCTTTATTCCTTATTTCAGAAAAGTAAAATAACTTACAAGAAAGGGAAAATAACTTTTTATTTACCTTGTTGCTCTCGAACAAAGATAATTTACAACATTAAGCCTTCGTGGGAGCTATTCAAATCAATAGTTTTAAAGTTATAAACTGATAAAGCCTATTAGGAGTGTTGGTTAGGGGTGGTAATTCAAAGAAGGTAAGAATTACAAAGAATTCTCAGCAGCCCCTTTGAATTGCTGCTGTGCCCAAAATATTGGAAGGAAAACATGTGGGGTTTTTTTTTAAGTTAATAGATAAATAACAGTTTGCTTTCCTCATGTTTGTGCCGTATTGCCTTCTCCTGTTCCGAGGAAAATGTCTCCACAGCTTTTTGCATATTCCTTCCAAATGTTTGAATAGCAGTTTTGTGTCTTCTCTTTTATTACTAACCAAGCTTTTCCTCATTAATATCTATCTCTCTTTTACATCTAGGCTACTCATTTTTACTGCCATATAATTTTCTTTGTATAAATATCTCACAATTTTATTTGTTCTTTCTACTGTTGATAAATAATTGAGATGATCCATTTTTTGCTGGCAAACAACAACTTAAATACTAAAATAGACCCTAGATTTAGGGCCATGATATTCAAATAATAAGAAAAATGTATTAGCTCAAGTAACTAAATACTCCAGATGCAGCTTTGTGTTCTAAGGCTATTCATTTTTATATAGCTTTGAGTCCTAATTCAGTAGTTCAAATCATGTCAGTGGGAACCCAAATTTTCTCCTCTCCATTCTTTTTCTGCCATGTTGGTGTCAACCTCAGGTTTTATCAAATGCTTTTTCTTGCACTCACACCTGGACTGGCTCTTGGGGTAGCACAATAGCTTCCAGTTCCAGAGCTCACATCCTGAAATCAGACCATCCAGGAGAATATTGGTCTTTTCAGCAAACATCTCCTAGTATCTCTTTAGATCTGAATGCATTACAGGTTTATCCCTGAACCAATAAAATTCTATGGTCAGGGGCTACGGGAAATGCTGATTGACTAAAGCTGGTAAGAATCCATTTGAGCTGGGAATGAGTGTCACCCAAACCACAGGAATGAGAATGAGAAAGGTAATTTTCCCAAAGGATATTCAAAATTCTATTAGGAAGAGGAATTCTGGACACGCAAAAAGCAACAAATGTCTATTGACTTTAAATCTTCTCATGTGGATACTTGATATATCAAAATGATGAGCCTTTACTGGATCTTTCCTAAATATTATCTTCCATAAATCTGAATATCAGTGGAACCCTAGAAAGCAAGGACAATGGAAAATTTGAACACACATAGCTAATTTTGAATGCCATCTGACCACTTGTTCTTTAAGTATCTAGAGCCAACTTTATAGCCTTATACTCTCTCTCATCTTTCCAAATAGCATTCATAAACTTCCTTCACACATTTCTAAGATATATGCCAGTGGTGACATCTTTATTAAATAGTTACTTCAATTTGGGGTATCTTTTCATATCATTTAAGTCAATTTTCTCTTCTAGGTTAGTTCACTCCATAAAGAGTTTCATTTAAAAAGAGATTATTTATTATTTGTTCTTAAAAAGGGCATTATGCTCAGTGAAATAAGCCAGTCATAAAAGACAAAAACTGTATGATTCCCTTTATATGAAGTATCTAGAGCAGTCAACTCATAGAAACAGAAAGTTGAATGGTGGTTGCCAGGAATTTGGGGGAGGAAAACTGCTGAGGAATTGTTTAATGGATGGAGTTTTACTTTTACAAAATGGAAAAGTTCTGGTGATTTATTTCACAACAATATGAATATACTTAACACTACTCAACTGTACACTCAAGAATGCTTTTGTTGGTAAACTTTGTTATGTTTATTTTGCTATAATTTTTTTAAAAAGAGATTGTTTCACTAAAAAGAATTAAGCATTGAGAAATTGTGTCCAAAATTAGACAATAAATATATTCTTAAGAAAGTAAAACAATGATTATTCCTTTCTTTGAGCTACTAGAGCAGTGCAACAGACCAAAAAAAAATGGACAAGACAGAAGAATCTTTTTCTTTTTTTACATATGCAGAACATGCAGGTTTGTTACATAGGTATACATGTGCCATGGTGATTTGCTGCACCTATTGACACACCCTCTAAGTTCCCTCCCCTCACCCCCACCCACCACCACCCAACAGGCCCTGGTGTGTGTTGTTCCACTCTCCGGGTCCATGTATTCCAATGTTCAACTCCCACTTATGAGTGAGATCCTGTGGTGTTTGGTTTTCTGTTCTGGTGTTAGTTTGCTGAGGATGATGACTTCCAGATTCATTCATGTCCCTGCAAAGGACGTGAATTCATTTCTTTTTACGGCTGCATAGTATTCCATGGTGTATATGTACCACATTTTCTTTATCCAGTCTGTCACTGATGGTCATTTGGGTTGGTTCCAGGTCTTTGCTATTGTAAATAGTGCTGCAATTAACATACACATGCATGTGTCTTTATAGTAGAATGATTTATATTCCTTTGGGTATATACCCCGTAATGGGATTGCTGGGTCAAATGGTATTTCTGGTTCTAGATCCTTGAGGAATCACCATTCTGTCTTCCACAATGGTTGAACTAATTTGCATTCCCACCAACACTGTAAAAGCATTCTTATTTCTTCACAGCCTTGCCAGCATTTATCATTTCCTGACTTTTTCATAATCACCATTCTGACTGGTGTGAGATGGTATCTCATTGTGGTTTTGATTTGAATTTCTCTGATGATCAGTGATGCTGAGCTTTTTTTCATAAGTTTGTTGGCCACATAAATGTCTTCTTTTGAGAAGTGTCTGTTCATATCCTTTGCTCACTTTTTGATGGGGTTTTTTTTTTTTCTTGTAAATATGTTTAAGTTCCTTGTAAATTCTGGATATTAGACCTTTGTCAGATGGTAGATTGCAAACCTTTTCTTCCATTCTTTAGGTTGCCTGTTCACTCTGATGATAGTTTCTTTTGCTGCGAAGAAGCTCTTTAGTTTAATTAGATCCCATTTGTCAATTTTGGCTTTTGTTGCAATTGTTTTGCAGTTTTTTGTCATGAAGTCTTTGCCCATGCCTATATCCTGAATGGTATTGCCTAAGTTTTCTTCCAGAGTTTTTATGGTTTGGGGTTTTACATTTAAGTCTTTAATCCATCTTGAGTTAATTTTTGTAAAAGTTGTAAGGAAGGGATCCAGTTTCAGTTTTCTGAATATGGCTAGCCGGTTTTCCCAACACCATTTACTGAATAAGAGATCCTTTCTCCATTGTTTGTTTTTGTCAGATTTGCTGAAGACAAGATGGTTATAGATGTGTGGTGGTATTTCTGAGGACTCTGTTCTGCTCCATTGGTCTATATATCTGTTTTGGTACCAGTACCATGCTGTTTTGGTTACTGTACACTTGTAGAATAGTTTGAAGTCAGGTAGCATGATGCCTCCAGCTTTGTTCTTTTTGCTTAGGATTGTCTTGGCTATATAGGGTCTTCTTTGATACGAAATTTAAAATAGTTTTTTCTAATTCTTGAAGAATGTCAAAGGTAGTTTGATGGGAATAGAATTGAATATATAAATTATTTTGGGCAATATGGCCATTTTCATGATATTGATTCTTCCTATCCATGAGCCTGGAAGGCTTTTCTATTTATTTGTGCCCTCTGTTATTTCCTTGAGCAGTGGTTTGTAGCTCTCCTTGAAGAGATCCTTCACATCCCTTGTTAGCTGTATTCCTAGGTATTTTATTCTCTTTGTAGCAATTGTGAATGGGAGTTCATTGATGATTTGGCTCTCTGCTTGACTATTGTTGGTGTAATTTTAAGCAACTTCAGCAAAGTCTCAGGATACAAAATCAATATGAGAAGAATCTTGATTTAAAAGATCTTTTAAAATTGCAAATATTGATTTTCAGGCTCTAAATCTTAGGTGACGTTGGATTCAGACCAGAATCATATACAACTTCATTTGTCATTTGTTCATAGCGTAGACATGTTCAGAGAGAATCATGAAGGCCAGTGTGGAGATTTAGCAGCTGATCGCACCCAGCCGAGTGCTGTGCTCCTATTAAGAACAAAGTAACACCATTTGAAGAGGTGGGGGAAAAGGTGAAGCCAGAATCCAACCACTTCTCACTACCTTCACTGGTACCATCATGATCCAAGCCCCCATCGCATCTCATCTGGATTATTGTAACAATGTGATTGGTCTCCCTGCTTCAGCCTTTGATGCCCTAAAGTGTATTCTGTACAAGGAACCCATGAAAATCCTGGTAAATGTGAATCAGCTCATGTCACTCCTCCCCTCAAAATCCTTCATGGCCTCGCATCTTAGAGTAAAAGCCAGTATCTTATCAGGACCTGCAGATTCCTATAGCATTTAACCCTCACTACCTCCTCAACATCACCTCCTCCTACTACTCTCCCCCTTGTTCATCCCATCCAACCACCCTGGCTTTTTCACTATTTCTTGAATATAACATATGAGCTCATTATATAACTTTGTCATATAAATTAGGGTGCCTTGGTTTATAGTTGATTCCAAGACTGCAGTATAATCAGGTAAGGATAACATTAATGTGTGAGATAAGGCATCTATACAGATAACAATTGATTTGTGAAAATGTAACGCTTTATTTTAGAATAATAATAATTTTTAAGGTTTTTACCTTTGTTTTACAAACTAAATAAACAACATAGAATTAGATTTAAAGATATAAAAATATACCCAGATTTTCCTTAGCAGTTTTGTTTAAGTTTTAAACTTCATGTCTTGAAAAGTAGTGGAGGTAGGGATTGGGAAGGAGGCCTTAACATTTTAGATGTACACTTCTGTATTGTATGAATAAGGGAAAATATTAAAGAAAAATTATAACACTATTGCATTGAATTTGATGGGCTGACCTACACACACACCTGCGTATGCATGCACCCACACATAAACTAAAGTCACTTACTGAATAAACACCGCAGATTAGGACAACTAAGGGGAAAGTCCATTTGAAGTTATGAGAAAAAAACAGACATTTTCAAGCGCTTTTCGTGGTTAGAGACTGCACGGAAATTATTTTGATAAAGGTAAAATTTGAGAAATGGTAATTATTTCCATTTTGGAGATTTACCATGACTCACTCTACACCACAGCTATTCTCAATCATTGCTTAATTTTCCTCTGATTAGTTCACCAATCTAAGAAGTATTGTGTCTTTCTTCTCAAGGTCAGAAAGGACTATAATTTCTGGCTCGAGGAAACCGCATTTTAGCTTGCGATGAAAATGTACTGTATCAGCAGGCTTTTCTGCTTCAGCTTGTTAGAGACCCAAGCAGTATCAAAAGCATTTATATTTATTTGATCTAACTAAAAATAGACATTTACTCTTGGCTCTAATTTTTAATTTGCTTTTACCAGGAGGATTAGGGCTCCTGTTCTGTTGCTCCCCACTGCATGGTTTGAATCATCGACATGGAGTCTACCTGCTCTTCTTTCCAGAAAATTCCACCAATCAAAGTCAGTGCTATATTTCTTTTCTATATGATCTCTTGTCCCAAATTATGGGCATTAGTTTCAGGAATTGTGGTTGCCCATCTCTCCTTCCCTTTTACAGGAAATTGATGTTAAGTTATTTTCACAAAGATAGAAATGGTATTTGTGTTAGCCATAGAGATCCTCTGCTCTGATCTCCTTACCTGTTATGATAGAGGCACTTGGGCAGGCAACTTCCAGGTGCCAGCGATCGAGTACTGGGGCACTACTCAATTCAAGACTCCTCTGACAATTTTTGCTCCCCAACAGCCTAGTCAAGACTTTCTCAGAGCCTCACTGCAGTCTGAAACTCAGCCTACCCAAGCTTCTTTCCTTCCTTCTCTTCTGTCACAGGTGTCACAGCAGCATAATGGTCTGAAGGCTTCCTCTCCTCCTCCTCCTACTCCTCTTCCCTTCATCCTATAGCACTGATCAGCTCATAAGCACTTTGTAAATTGGGCAATGAGGTTGGTTACCTTGACATCGCTTATATGCAGTGATTTATACACTATTTTTTCTAGTAGACTGGATAATCTTCAGTTGGATCCCTCAGCTCTGCTAGTACTCAAAGCCTTTTTCAGCTCTACTTTAAGAAAACTAAAAATGAAATAACTATATGCAAAGTTCCTCCCCAAAGAGGCTCACCCTATCTTTGCCCTCCACATTTGAGGCAGATTTATTCTTCCTCCTGGGTCCACCTATACAGCAAATCCCTTGAACTCCACTTCTATCTCTAATATGTTGGCACCCACAGTTCACATTTACACTCCACTGGTTTTTGCACTTTGAATATCCCTAAAGCAGTTTCCAGCCACACTGAATTGACTTGCTCTGTTCAGGTTGTTTGAGATACCATTTTTTTTTGTTCTATGGTTACAAATTGAATAGGTATGCAGGTTTATTAAGCTATTGTCTTTCAGCTCCAAACTGGCCTGCATTTGTCTCCTAATGCTATGTAACAAATGACCACAAATTCTGTGGCATAAAATGTCATCCTTTGATTATTTCATATTTTCCATGGGTCAGGAGTTTGGACAGGGCTTAGGTGAATCCTTTGCTCAGGGTCTTGCAAGGCTGCAATCTTGGTGTAAGAACACTATGTTTCTTATTTGGAGCTCAAGAGTTCATTCGTGTTGTTGGCAGGTTGCAGCTGTAGAACTGAGGTCTCTAATTTTTTGCTAGCTGTAGGAAGGGACGACTCAGCTCCTGCAGGCTGCCTGCAGTTCCCTGCTATGCGGTCCCTTTAGGCAGTTTGCAACATGGATGCTTGCTTTCTTCCAGGCCAACAGGACAGTGCCTCACTGACTTCCAGTCCCTCTCCTGTTGGCTGTGACTGAGTCTTAGAGAATTGTGATATAACCGCTAGAGTGACTATCCCAGCACTATTTGCTGTATCATGTAACCTAATCAAGGAAGTGGCTGTCCCATCATATTCACAGGTTCCGCCCACACTCAAGGGTAGCAGTTGTCTACAAGGCAGGTACCCCAGGAAGTGAAAATCTCTAAGGTTGTAGAATTCTACCTAACACACTGCCCTCTGGACTCTGCTTTATGATGTTGGGGCTGAAACTCGGCTGACCATGTTTCTTCTTGACCAGCTGGCTTCCTTGGAGGTTCTGCCAATGTTGGGCATAAAGGGTGATGGAAAGACTGGAGAAGAGAAGGGTCATTCCTTCCTGGTTATGCTGTTCCTATCAACACTGCTTCAGCAACAGCCCTTCCCTCTGGTAACAGTGGTTGGTTTCAATCTGTAGTTTTTTGGCAATCCCAGAAACAACCTCATTATGTCCCCTCAAAGGTCTAAAACCGTGTTCTATGAGACATCTCCAAGCACTTCATTCGGTCCCTTCCAGTTTCTAATAACCCCATTTTTGTTCCTTTTTCCCCAAAACCTAGGTTGGGAACAATGTTCTTCTGTTACTCCATGTGGATTATCTCAGTGTTTCTTTTTTACTTTTACAGTAAAATGTACAAGTACTCCAATACTTGTTTAATCAATTGCTTATATTAGTTTCCTTCTGAAAAATAACTGATGTAGTTTCCATATTCATGACTTGACTCTGGTCACTGCAACATATTTTAAATAGTCTGCCCTACTGCCATTTTTTTCCTAAGGTCTCTTATTTTAGTGAAAGATACTGTTGAACACAGATTCTTCAGAAATGCACATATTGCGTTATAACAAAAATGTTCATAATCATCTAAATTTTTAATGACTAAAGCTTCTTCTATCATATGTATGCACCATAATTTATTTATTCAGTCTGCCATTTTGGTTATTTTGAACATTTTGCTATTACATATAATCCCATGATAAACACCCATAGATGTAAATGTTTGCCCACACCACAGCTTCTTCCTTAGAATGAATTCTTAGAAGTGAAATTATGAGGCTAAAAGATAAAAGATTTTTTTTAAGTTTTGGATATCAAATTTTCTTTCTGAGAAGTCATAACAATTTAAACTCCACCAGCCATGAATGAGGATGTCTATTCCTCTATCCTCTATGCTCTCATCAACACATTACTATCTTTATCTGTTAAAAAAGTTGACATTTTGATAGATGAAAAGTAGGATCTCATTTTAACTCATTTTTAATGTTCAGAAATCTTTGTATATGTGTGTTTGACATGTTCATTTCTTCTTTTGTGAATTGACTGTCATTGTGTCTTTTCTAATCACTGCTACCGGAAGTGATATTATGTTCCTTTCAGCGTCAATAATACTTTATTTGCACTTGGCATTTACTATGCTCTGCTACTACTCCACCACAGGTATGGGGACACTTTAGTGTTTCTTTTTTTTCTTTCTTTCTTTTTTTCTTTTTTCTTTTTTTCTTTTTTTGAGACAGAGTCTCGCTCTGTTACCCAGGCTGGAGTGCTGGAGTACAGTAGTGTGATCTTGGCTCACTGCAACCTTTGCCTTCGGGGTTAAAGCAATTCTCACGAGTAGCTGGGACTACAAGCCCATGCCACCACGCCTGGCTAAATTTTTGTATTTTTAGTAGAGATGGGGTTTCAACATGTTGGCCACACTGGTCTCGAACTCCTGACCTCAAGTGATCCACCTGCCTCCATTTTTCTGTTTCTTTTAATCATTATCACAATCTATTACTTTTCTCAAAAGCTTACTCTTCATATTGTTTACTCCATTTTACATCCTGCATAGAAATTCAACATCCTAGCAGAATATGTGCTATACCAGCAAACCCTCCCTATGTCAGGACAAACTTAAAAACTTGCAATGGGAATTAGACTGGAAGATCCCTTAGACTTTCTCCAGCTCTTATATTTTGTGTTTCTCTGGTCATATTTCAGGTCCTTCTCTGGCAAGCTGTATTCTTCAACCCATTTGATAGTTTCTGAATATAAACTATGCATAACTTTTAGAGATCTTCCCATTCCAATGAACTTGAGTGAGTACCTGTAAAACGGAAACACTCAGCCTTATAAATTAACCATTATAGAAGTTTATTTCCATGAGATGACAATATGTCAAATATTTAGTAATAACTCTCTGATGTTAAGATATATTCAAATATAGTATTCTACGAGTTTATTGACTTTAGATAAATTATTTAATATCTCCAAACCTCACATTTTCTGTATGAGAGAGGGGTATAACAATAAATAATTAATTTTAATTGAATAAACAAATAAAGCACTTTTAAGAATATTAAGTGATAAAATATATGTCAAGTCTTTAGCACAGTGTCTGACAGAATTCAACAAATATTTAGGGAGTTCCTATTATGTTTCAGGTACTCTTCTAGGTTATGGGAACATAAAAATCAATAAAGCATAGACTTTCTGCTTGATTACTGCCCTCATTGAGCTTAAATTCTAATCAAAGAGATGAGCAATTAACAAATAAATAATAAAATATGGAATGTATTTAATGGGGGTAAATAAAATGGAGAAAAATAAAGAGGAGGAGTGGGAAGTGCAGCCCAATGCAGTAGGGGAGGAGGAGCGATAATTTTACAAAGGGCCATCTGGAAACACCTAATCTAAAGGGCACATATGAATAGAAATCTGCAGATATTAGCTAGAAAAGCAGAGAGAAATTGGCAAGTACAGTGTTCGGGTAGGGGAGGGCAGAGAAGGGCATACTAACCTTCTGATACAAATGACAGAGACCACAACAAATAAGCAAATAAACAAGCAAACAGAAAAAGACAAGACAAATAGAGACTATGCAAGGAGAATAAAATTTCAAAGACAGAAACCTACCATTAATATTCTCTGAATGCTAACAAAAGAGATATGATAAAAGGGGTCATTCAGAGATTAAAAAGAGAGCTCTTAGATAATGTAACATGATAGACATTTTTAAAAATTAGTAGAAGGTTTGGAAGCTAAAACTGAAGCAATCTTCCAGAAACTGGATGAGAATGAGAGGTAGAGGAGATTGCCAGGGTAAAAACTATGCACCACTCCAGAGGTGATCTGTCCTCATTGACTTCAAAAGACAGAAATGTTGAGGGCTGCCATCCACAAGACGGCCTCTTGTTGAACCTTCTTTAAGTGGACAATAATTAGGTGAGCCTGCCCATTTTTTATCTGCCTATGACTTGCCTGGACCATGTCCTGATGGAAGTTTATGCTCCTCTTTATAAGGTGAGATGTTGATTCAGCTGACCACACTTATTTTATCCAATAGAAATATTCTACTTTGAGCTACTTCTGAGAGCTGAAGGTTGACCAATGTGAACTTAAAAGAGAAACTTCAGAGCAGCCCAGTTCTTTAACTATATTCTTGCTGGATGAACAACACCTGACTCATACCACATCCCTACCAAATGCCCCAGTTTTGGTAAGCCCTATTCCCAAAGCCTTGTTCACTAACTTCCCCAGGAGATATTTTTGCAAGCTCTCCAGGAAACTAAAGTCAATAAATAGTGCAGGAATTTTGTTCCACTAAATCTCTTTGGGGAGTTTTCAATTCACACTAACAATATTGCCTTTTTCCATAACTTGGTTTATGCTTGCTACTTAATTTTTTATTAATCATTCTTCATATGTGATTATATTTAGAGAGTTGTTGATAAATTATAAAATATTTTCAACAACTTTTTTGAAAAAAGTAAAATTGAAACAAAAAATACTATCAAGGAAAAAGCAGATTCAAAAAATGAACCAACTAGAATTTCTAGAAATGAAGAAAAGAAGAGAGTAATTAAAATTAAAATTGGCAACTACATTGATTAACCAGCAGGAAAAAAAAAAGGACTTTTGAGAGTTCTACTTCTAGTATAACTGAATAAACTGTTAATAAATGACCTTCTGCAGATAGCACTTATATATCCTGAACAAAATATAATACCCAATGACCTGGCTGGGTGTGGTGGCTCACTTCTGTAATCCCAGCACTTTGGGAGACTGAGGCGGGCAGATCATGTGAGGCCAGCAATTGAGACCAGCCTGGTCAACATGGTGAAACCCCGTCTCTACTAAAAATACAAAAATTAGCTGGGTGTAGTGGCACATACCTGTAGTCCCAGCTACTCAGGAGCCTGAGGCACTAGAATTGCTTGAACCTGACAGGTGGAGGCTTCAGTAAGCTGAGATTGCACCACTGCACTCCAGCTTGGGCCACAGAGCAAGACTCTGCCAAAAAAAAAAAAAAAAATCAAAACCGATGACCTGAAGTATTTGGAGAATAAACAGAAGCAAGAATATTCTGGAGGAGAGAAGGGATCAGAATAGAATGAGATTACTGATGTATTTTTCTTTCAGCCTGTGGAAAGCTGCCGTCACTGGGCAGCTAAAATGATGAAATCCTACATAATATACAACAGGAAGTTCCAGAAAAAAAGAGTGGAGGGAAACAAAGTCACTGAAAAATAAGTAGAAAGACAGAAAAGATGAAAGCCAAGGGTTAGGAATTCCAAATTCTGTGTATAAACTGTTTTGTTCAAGTATCTGGCTACCCCTTGTACCATGTATGTGTAAGGAAGACTGTGAACATTCCAGATAAGAGGGGAAAAATTAAAATTATATTTTAGCTGCTTCCAAAGAACACAGTATGCAATTTTAGTCTGAACAAATTAATTGCCTACCAAAAAAGTATATATCAACTCTCTTCTTTAAAGGAACATGACAAAAAAAATTAACAATCTTCTCAAATTTTCCAGGATATAATCCAAAATTATTCAAAATATTGTTTTAAAAACAGTAAAATGTGACTCAGTATCAAGGGAAAAGGCAATCAATGGAGACCAATTCTGAGACATAAGATCCAAATATAGGATTTAATAAACAAGTGTTTTAAGCAACTACCATAACTACCTCAATGAGGCAAAAGAAAATGTCCTCATAATGACCCAATTAAACTAAAAAGCTTCTGCCAGCAAAAAATAATAATAATAATAATCAGCAAACAGACAACCCAAGGATGGGACAAAATATTCACAAACTATGCAACCAGCAAAGAACTAATATCCAGAATCTATAAGAAACTCAAACAAATCAGCAAGAAAAAAGCAAACAATCCCATCAAAAAGTGGGCTAAGGACATGAACAGACAATTCTCAAAAGAAGATATACAAACAACCAACAAACATACCAAAAAATGCTCAGCATCACTAATGATCAGGGAAATGCAAATCAAAACCACAATGAGATACCACCTTACTCCTGCAAGGATAGCCATAATTAAATTAAAAAACAATAGATGTTGGCATGGGTATGGTGAAAAGGGAGCACTTTTACACTGCTGGTGGGAATGTAAACTGGTACAACCACTATGGAAAGCAGTGCGGAGACTCCTCAAAGAACTAAAAGAAGATCTACCATTCAATCCAGCAATCCTACTACTGGGTATCCACCCAGAAGAAGAGAAGTCATTATATGAAAAAAACACATGCACACACATGTTTATAGCAGCGCAATTCACAATTGCAAAAGTATGGAACCAACCTAAGTGCCCATCAACCAACAAGTGAATAAAGAAAATGTGGTATATATACACTATGGAATACTACTCAGCCATAAAAAGGAATGAAATAAAGTTTTTTGAAGCAGCTTGAATGGAGCTACAGGCCATTATTCTAAGTGAAGTAATTCAGGAATGGAAAACAAAATCCCATATGTTCGCATTTATAAGTGGAAACTAAGCTATGAGGATGCAAAGGCATAAGAGTGATATAAGGGACTTCAGGGACTTGAGGGGAAAGAGAGGTGAGGGATAAAAGACTACATATTTGGGTATAGTGTACACTGCTCAGGTGTTGAGTGCACCAAAATCCCAGAAATCACCACTAAAACACTTTTCCATGTAACCAAAACCAACTTTATCCCAAAAACTATGGAAATAAAAACTAAAAAAAAAGAAAATATACTCACAATGAAATAAAGGAAATCTCAGTAAAAAACTAGAAAATATAAAAAGGAAACAAATGGAAATAACAGACCTAAATTAAATTTAAAATATCTATATTAAAGCATTCACAAGGTGATCCGAACAGAATAATGAAGAGGATAAACAGCCAAAGAGAAACAGAGGCAAAAAACAAAGCAAACAAATAGGAATAAATAACAAAATGATAGAGCTAAATCAATAGATGAGGCTTCTTCAGTACATTTTTTCAATATAGTTCCTCTGGACCTAAAGACGTGCAAAGTAAAGGGACCAGTTATTCACCACTCCCATCAACCCTTCTCCTTCAGAATGTTTCCCTTGGCTCCGTCCTCTGAGCTAAGTGCTGGGTTCTGCTCTCTGAGTCATCCTTTCTTTTCCATAAGAAATGGCCTGAGGTTGCAACTTAGTAGCCTCTCAGTCTGCTTCGTGCACATAGAAAGTTGGGGAACCAAAGGCCTGTTTTTACTTTGCACTAGCTCTGTCTCTTCTAGTCTTCTTTGTCGGTTCCATCAATATAATCTCCATTAAAAACTTTGTGGATTTTCTATGAATTTCATTGGGATTCACCTATTAGATAAAAGAGCACTCATGATCTTTTTGAGACATGCTACTCTCTATCTTGGGTCAATGCTGTCAAGACAATTAAAAATCCTATTGTTTATCCGAGAGGGTCTATGAGATACACCCAAAAAACTTGAGAATATGAACAGTTCATTCTTTGGTTTACCTCCCTCTTCTCCTACTTCATCAGTGGCAAATAAAAACCCAAGTTGGCACTTTTTATATTTTTCATGCAAATCTCCCCAGAAAGATCTAGGAGATCATTGGGAACTCCTTCTACTTCCATCCTGTGGCAGGTAACAATGTTACCCAACTTTCCACCATTACAAAATAAGACCCCTAGCTTCTCATATTTTTCTCACTGTCCTTAAAGTCCTCACAATAATCTCTTTGAGGGCTTTCTGGTTTTACAGTTTCATGGAAGCTTTTTCCTGCTTTTACTTACTACCTAGATGCAAAGGCCATGCTTTAACTTCTTTTTATGGGGATACCCCCTTCCCATTACCAAATTCTCTGCCAGCTTTTTATTGCTGTATAAACTCCCCCAAAAATTAATGGCTTAATAAACAACCACTTTATTACATCTCACATTTTTATATG
Organism: Homo sapiens; assembly: GCF_000001405.40. Taxonomy (NCBI): domain Eukaryota; kingdom Metazoa; phylum Chordata; class Mammalia; order Primates; family Hominidae; genus Homo; species Homo sapiens. The sequence goes on along the minus strand of NC_000004.12, from coordinate 165,560,301 downwards.
TCAGGAATTCAGACAAAACTCAGCTGTATGGCTCTTCTACTCCATGTAGTGTTGACTGGAGTCACTCAGTGGTTTTCAGCTGGTGATGCCAGTGAGCAGAGCCAGAGGACACAAGGCAGCTTCACTCACTTGGCAGAAATGACCTGGAGGATGGACTCAGCTGGAGCTCTCTTCTCTCCCATGTGGTCTTTCAAGCAGGATATTTGGATTTCTACATAGAAGGCCAAAACTCCAAGGGACCTGGGGGGGATGTTTCCAGCCTTCTTAAAGGCAAAGCTCAGAACCAGCTTTGGGTCACCTTTGTTGTGCTCTGTTGATCAGTCACAGACCAATCCAGATTCTAGGGTAGGAGAAACCGACCCCATCTCTTTGCAGGAGGACTATCAAAGAACTTTCAGCCCTTTTGAATCTGCTATACCAGGATAGAAGAAGATTTTCCTAATAAAAACAACTACAAAAATCCTAAAATCCATAGTGTAAAGCTGAAAACATTTCCTTTAAGGTCACGTAAAGACAAGGATGCCAGCTCTCACCATTCCTATTCATCATTTTACTGGAGTGTTAACCAGTACAGTAAGGCAAGAAAGAGTTCTTAAAAATCTGAACAAAATACTGCCTTTATTTGGAGACAGTATGGAAGAAGACAAAGTAATATTTAATAGATTATTAGAATTTTTTTTAAGTTTACCAGGATTTTAGGATAGAATAACTGGTTTTAATATACTAGCAAAAATTGGTTAGAAAATATAATTTTAATGATATAATTTACAACCACAAGAAAAAATATTAAGTACCGGAAAACAAACCTAACAAAGCACAGATATGCCCATTATAAAGAAAATTAGAAAATGTTGTTGAAAGATATTAAAGAAAACCTAAATATATAGGGAGCAATACAACATTTTTTAATAAGAAGATTCAATATTCGAATAAAGTAAATTTTACCTAAATTCATCTGTAGATTTCATGTGATTCTGATTAAAACCTCGAGAGAGTTTTCCAGGAAGTTAAGCAAGCTGATTCTAAAATTTATCTCAAATAGTAAAGGAACAGGAAAAGCCAAAACACTTGTTAAATAACAAGAAGGTAGGTGGACTTGCCCTGCTAGATATCAAGTTCTGTTATAAAACTGTAATAATTAAGATAGTTCAAGGATAGGCAAACAGCCCAGATTAAAGGAATATGGAAAGCAGAAACAGTCCCATAAAGAGAAATATACTTAATTTATGGAAGATCATGCACTTCCGATCAGTGTAGAGAGGATGGAACATTCAATAAAGGTTCTAGATTAATTGGTTATTACAGAGAAAAGAATAAAATTTAATCTATACTTCCCAACATGTACAGAAGTTAATTTATGGTAGATTAAAATCTTTTATTTGAAAGGTAAAACTATAAAACTTTTAGAAGGTAGTATAGAAAACTATCAGTAGGACCCTAGAGGAGTAAATGATTTCCTAAAGAAGACCAAACAAAGGCTAACTGTATTAGGATTCTCCAGAGAAACAGAAGCAATAGAATGTATGTATATATGGAAGATGATATAAGGAATTGCCTCACACAATTATGGAAACTGAAATATCCCAATATCTGCAATCTACATGCTGAAGTCTCAGAAGAGCTAATGGTGTAGTTTCAGTCCAAATTCCAGCAGGCTTAGAATTCAGAAAGAGCTCATGTTTCAGTTCAAGTCCAGGGAAGGAAAGAGCCAATGTCCCAGCTCAAGGCAGGCAGGCTGGAGGAGTTCTGTCTTATTCAAGGGAGGATCAGCGTTTTAGTTCAATTCAGGCTCTCAACTGACTGGATGAGGCCCATCCACATTAGGGAGGACAATTGTTTTGCTGAGCCTACCAATTCCAATGCTAACCTCATCCAGAAACACCCTCACAGACACACCCGGAATAATACTTGACCAAATGTCTGGGCACTTCATGACCCTCACGTTGACACATAAAATTAGCCATGAAACTTACCGTAAAGGAAACATTTGATAAGTTCAACCACATTGAAATTAAGAACTTCTGTTCATCCAAAGTTACCACTGACAATTTAAAAACAAGCCACAAAGGAGGAATGAACAACTGCAACATAAGTAACTGTCTTAGTCAGTGTGGGATGCTACAGTAGAATACCATACAGTGAGTGGCCTCACCCACAAACATTGATTTCCCACAGTTCCAGATGCTGAGATGCCCAAGAGCAAGGTGCCAGCAGATCCAGTCTCCAATGAGGGCCCCCATCTTGGTTTTCAGACAGGCACCTTATTCTTACTCTTGTATCTGCACATGATGAAGAGAATGTGTTCTAGCCTCTTTCTCTTCCTATAAAGACACTAATCCATGATGGAGGCTTGACTCTCATGGTCTTACCTACACCTAATCACCTCCCAACGGCCCCACTTCCTAACACCATCCCAGTGGCAGCTAGGGCTTCAGCACATAAATTTTCGGGAGACAAAAACATGCAGTTTGTAACAGTAAATCAGAAAGGATTAATATCTAGACTATGTAAACAGCTCCTATAAATCAACCTGACTTGTAATCAAAGAAATAAGATTAAAATAAAAAAGAGATCACATTTCACACCCAAAATGATATAGAAGTTAAGAAGAAATCACTTGGGCATATAGTAAGGGCATGGGAGTCCTTGGTAAGGCTTTTCTCTTTAATGAAAAGCAGCGTTAAATCATTTTCTAACAAAGAGCAGCCTGTAAAGTCGAGCTGCAGACATTGATAAGCAAGCTGGGAGCTTGCACAGGTAAATGCTGGCAGGAACTAGGGACTAGACATATTCAAGATGGCGGCTCCATCTTCCCTTCTCTTTGTAAGCCACCTGTACAGTAAAGAGCAGACAAAATGGCCTGATCCACTGGAAAGCCCATTTGCATAACAAGATTAGGATGAGGCAACCAGCCTTCCCCACGCTTCATGTAAACGTCATACCTGATGGAACCAATCTACATAAATCAGACACTGCCTTCAGCTTGCATATAAAATCTGCTGTGGTCTGCCACCTCCCCCATTTTTCCGACGTCTGTCTCTCTCTCTCTCTCCCTCTCTCTCTCTTTCTATTGCAAGGAGTTGCTCTCCTCTCTCCTTTCTTCTGTCTATTAAACTTTCCATTCCTTAACCCACCCACATGTGTCCATGTCCTAAATTCTTTCTCGGCACGAGACAGCAAACCCCAGGGTATATACACCAGACAAGGTAGCAGTTTCAAAAAGATTAGTAAGACAACATCAAGTGTTGGTGAGACTGTGAAGCAACTTTTCTACATACCAGTGGGGAGATAAATTGGTATAATTGCTTTAGAAAATTATTTGGCACTACCTAGTAAAGAGGAATGTGCATATGTGCCCTAGTAAAGAGGAATGTGCCCAGCAGGTCTACTCTTGGGCATATAACCTAAAATCTTAGAGTAACTCTCATCCTTGTGCAACAAGACCTGTACAAAAATATTCTTACCAGTAATATTTATAATAGCCAAATTCTGGAAACAGTCCAAATGCCCATCAGCATTAAAATGAATACATCAGTTATGGCATATACATATAGTGAAATACTATATGGCAGTGACAAACTATAGCCACATACATCACCATAATATGAGGCATGAGTCACTGAAGAATGTAATCATAATAGTAATAATAATGATAATAGTGAATATGTAAATTGCTTACTATTACCAAGCTCTTGGCTAAGTGCCATATATATAATTTAATCCCACAAGAATGATATGAGCTGTGTACAGTTACTGTTAGCGTTTTATGGATGAGGAAATTATGACTGAACAGAAGAAATAAATTTCCCAAGTTGATATAGCTTCCTACCAAGGTGATGAACTGGGATCTCAAGCCCAGAAAATTTGAATGCAGAGTCCACTGGGTGAAGTGAGGCATATTCAAAAATTGGCATAACCAAGCGCTGTATCTGGGAATACACAAATACATGTTCATTGTGATATGAAGAAAACTATGGGAATTATTTACAGAAAATTACTCCTCTGAGTGTAATTGAGGGGGAGGACAATTTGATAATTTTCAAATTACCAGAAGTATTTTATTTCTCAGACTGAGTGGTGGGCATATGGTTGTTCATTTTATTATAATTATTTAATCTTTACCTATGCACTGCATATATATATATATATATATGTGTGTGTGTGTGTGTATAGTGTGTGAACATACTTCATGCTGTTGTCGTATATGCTTTTCTCTTTATCACCTACTTTGCTCTCAGATTTAAGCAAGATTTGTCCTTAACATAAACGCGCAGTCTATAATAGTAACTAAGAAAGGATTAATAAAATATCTAGACTATGTAAACAATTCCTAAGAATCAACTTCACTTATAATCAAATAAATAAAATTACAATTAAAAATATCACATTTCACACCCACAAGATTGGTAAAACAACACCAAATGTTGGTAAGGGTATGCAGCAACTCTTCTACTCTTTGAAACTCAAAGCCAGGAGGAGACTTCTTTCTTATCACACCCCTTCCCTGTAGAAGTGATTTGGTGTGATCTTGTCCATAAATTAAGATAGGAAAAAACAAAACAAAATATGGAGGGAAGATTAATGAATACTTCTTTTTATTTTCTTTTATTTTTAATTGACAAATAATAATTGTATATACTTATAGGGTACAATGTGATGTTTTGGTACATGTATACATTGTTAAATGATTACACTCCATATGACCTCACATATTTATCATTTCTTTGTGATGAGAACGTTTAAAATCCTCTCTTTTCAAAACACATTATACAATGACAGAGGAAGGAAATATGAGTGAGGAGAAAAAAATTGATAAGGTAAGAGGAAAAGAGTAGAAGTGAAAGATAGAGCTGGAGATATAGTGACACAGGAGAGAGATCAAGGAAAAAAAGATTAGCCCGTGTTTTTCTGAGTACGCTGCATGGTTTATCTATGAAATGCTGAAAGGAATTCACTTTATGGCTCTGGACTCTTGGGTACGGTCCACCGTCATTGCCTGCTGGGAGAGGTCTAATATACATCCAACTATCCAGTGGGCCCAATAAACATTAAATGATTGATTTCTCCCTTAACTTTAGCCATCTCAGTCACTATTCATCAATAATTAAAGAATATATTCATTTGACATCAAATGCAAAAAGAAAATTCAAAGACATTAAGGGATGGGTTTAAACAGATGCATTTACATTGATATTAACTTAAGCAATATCAATCAATCTCACCCTGGAAGGGAGACAGGAATTAGTGTGCGACTAGAAAGCATTTATTTGAACATTTTACATCCTTAAAACTCTGTGCACTGAAAAAAGCTATTCCTTGGACATCAGCAAGTAAGCTTATAAATTATGACACTTCAGGCCCTGATTTATCACTGTATTGGGTATTTTTCAAGATAAAACAATAGAAACCAAAAATCTGCTAAAAATTCCAAACTTACAATAATCAAAGAAATACGGATATAATCAATGAGAGTTCAATACATCATATTCAAGCAGATTATTATAATATCTAATTTTGCAGAGGGTGAGAGGAAATGTGATTCTCACATCATAATGCTTCATAACTTGTATAAGAAGACTTAATGATGTGCCTATTTTTGACATAATAATTTCATATCCAAGAATTTGACCTAAGGAAATTATCATGAATATCTTGAAAGTTTTCACTACAGGAATGTTCATTTCAATGCTATTACAGAAGTGAATAGTGAAAAGTGATGTCCAACCACAAGGGATTACATGAGGGCACATTTATTGAATGAAATAAAACTATTTAAATGATAGTAAAACAAACAGAAAGTAACATCAAAAAAATTAAAATATGTTAAATGGAAAAGTAATTTTTAAAATTCATACATAAAACTCTACTGTTGGCTTGAAATAAAGGTTTCAAAGGAGCGACTGGGAAGGAAAAATGGACGTGAAACCTGCTGGCAAAGAAGAGTGAAAGCCTCCACAATTGCCTAAGTCCATCCTTGTCTAAATATCTCAAAATTAAAACCTAACTTCTTGTTCTGAATCATTTCTTCTGAAAGGTAAGCCATGTGGCTCTAAAAGGCATACTCTTCAGAGAGAAATGATTAAGAATATTAAAATGACCTTGGGTTATTGATAACAGAAAGAGAACAAATGTAATGAGAATGCATTTTGCATACTGTCCCATTAAGACTTTCTGTGCATGGCTGATGCAGGAAACTAAAATGATCAATGGTGTCAAATCCCACAGGAGAGCAAAATCTTGGGCCAGCCAGAGCTCTGTAATCACAGGTGATCGTTCATGAGAATGCCACTAGCCCATCTCCTCAAGTGATGTATTAGCCCTGGGTGATTGATTTAGAGCTTTGCAAGGGCAATTCTAAACACTTACACATTTTTATTTAAAGGAAAGTTTCTTTCACATACTTCCTAATGGAAGTTTACATATTCTTTTCCATGGAAAACAGGGTTAGGGTAAATCCTAATGGTATTCAGGATTGTCTACCCCCTCACATAAGTTTAAAGAGAAAATGATGATGAAGTAAGAAGGCAAAGATTTTTACATCTGAAAGACAGAATAGTTGAAGAGGTATGTGTTAAAGAAGACATAAAAGTGATGAAGATCATGCTTTTGTTGACCATAAACACAGCCACCAAATCCCAAAATACTAAACATGAGCCAGAAAGGAGGTAGTTCTGGAACAACTTTATTAAACATATGGAACTCATTTTCCCCAATAAATTATGTGAGACAAAATTGGAATAGTCCAAGAAGGGGTTGGTCAGGGCTTTCTTGTCTATGGATTTAAAACAGAAAGAGAATAGTAATGTCCATCCATGAAGACCAACCCAGCAAAAATAGCCAAGCGCCTCCAAATACATGTTCTTGTGTCATTGACAGTCAACAAATAGATTCTGTGAAATGGCCTTTCTTGCATTTTTATCTGCATTGGCACCATGCCTGGTACATGGTGGATACTCAAAGCACATTTCTTCAATGACATTGAATACAATGTGCATATCCCAGCTCCCTTCAGACCATCATTAATCTTCAATCTGCTATGTCACTGCTCTTAGGAGAAGGAAAACTGGAAGTCAAAGACGCTTATGAGAATTATAATCCCCCAAATACTTCTCAAACTCAGTAAAAACATAAAAGTCAGATATTCTCCCTTTATAGAAACATTAAAATGATTAAGATAGAGTCACTAATGTATTCTTGAGTTTCTTAAGGACAGAATTTTCTTAATGTCAAGTTATTATATTAAAAGGAAGCACATAGCAGGGATTCAATTAATAAAATCACCTAATATTTGTATCCATAATTTTAATATAAAAACTCCATTTAGCAAAGAATCTTATAGCACCACACCTTCTCCTCTTTCATTCAACAATTGTTTAATAAAATAGTTCCTTACCGATCAGTTTTTTCAAAAGGTATATAACTACAAAGTTATGATTTGAGTTTTTTCTTATCTTTGGAGAAATAAAATTTAAGAGAAGATGATCCTCCCCACCACTACCCCACCCCCCAATTTTTTTCTCTCTACCATCTTGAGATGGTAGAGATGCCCCATGCAGGTAGTTGAAAATGCATGACTACCATGCCGAGACTGCCAAAATCTGTCTTTGAAAGGAGGCGGACAAAATGCTATAAAATGCACTGACATGATGGCTGTAACAGACGTGCATGTAAAAAGTCTCAAGGTATTTCTTTCCTACTTGTTCCAGGGATCTTTCAGTCCTTCTGCTGAGCCACAAGGAATGTACCATGTATTTACCGCATTTCTTCCCTGGCCTTCTGGAACCCGCTCTTGCAGCTGCAGGGAATAACAAGAACCAAGACCTTCACAAGGTCCCTTGCAGTCACTTCACATATTAATCAAAGAAGAGTCCCAAAAGAAAATATGTCCTAGAAATCTAAACTCACTGTCTCTACAACATCCTGATCACCTGCAAAGTAATAGGGTGAGTCTAAGTCTTCAGAACTAAGCTCCATACATAGGACAAAGCTAACAAATCAAAGCAGGGCTTTCATGTCATGAAATAATTACTAAGTGTAGAGGACAACAGGCATAAAAAGTGAAGGGAAAAATATTTTCCCTTGATTCCCATAGATACTATTTTTCTTATTTTGAAAAATTTCAAATCCACACAAAAATTAAAGAAATGTATAGTGAACATTGGTATACCCTTGCCTATACACACCAACTATTAATAATCTTCTTGCTCCTGCTTCATCTCTCTATATAGGTATTGCCATGGTCAGAATGTTAGTGTCCCCCCAGAATTCATATGTTGTAATCCTAACCCCAAGGATGATGATATTAGTAGTTAGGACTTTGGGGAGGTAGAATTCACATGAATGGAATTATTGCCCTTATAAAAAAAAAGTCTGAAAAAGACCCCTCACCTCTTTTACCACATGGGGACACAGTAAAAAGGCGGCATCTATGAACCAGAAAGTAGGTTCTCACCAGACACCAGATCTGCTGATGCCTTGACCTTGGACTGCCCACACTCTTGAACTGTGAGAAATAGATTTCTGTTGTTTATAAGCACTCCAGTCTATGGTATTTTGTTGTAACATCCCGAAAGAACTAAAACTGGAACCTACACACACTTCTTTCTGTCAAGCCATCCTAAAGTACGTTGGCAACAACATGACAGTTTATCCCTAAATATTTTAGCATATAGCTCTCACAAACAAGGACATTCTCTCACACAACCTAACGCCATTACCAGGCCTTTTGTTTATTGTTGTTGTAGTTGTTGTTGTTGTTGTTGTTTTGAGACGGAGTTTCACTCTTATTGCTCATGCTGGAGTGCAGTGGCACGATATTGGCTCACTGCAACCTCCGCCTCCTAGGTTCAAGCAATTCTCCTGCCTCAGCCTCCTGAGTAGCTGGGATTACAGGTGCCCACCACCACGTCTGGCTAATTTTTGTATTTTTAGTAGAAACGGGGCTTCGCCATGTTGGCCAGGCTGCTCTCGAGCTCCTGACCTCAGGTGATCCACCCGCCTCAGCCTCCAAAAGTGCTGGGATTACAGGCGTGAGCCACCACGCCCGGCCTACCAGGCCTTTTAAAAAGTGAATTCAGGGGCTGCAGCAGTGCTGGCTTTAGGTGATGACATGGTGAGGAGTGGGTTTGGGGCATGAGAATCACAAGGCCGTTTCCAAGCCTCTCTCTTTACTTCTCTGGGTCTTCTCAGAGAAGGAAGGCTGAGAAAATTACTTTTCCCACTAAAACACACCACCAGCTTTCATGAAAGTGAAAGAGAAATGAAGCCCCTTTATGTGGATGGTCTTAGCCAGGAAATTTCTGAAACAGTCCTCCAAAATCAGTTCAGCAGATTTGCAGAAGTTTCAGATGTGGAGATCATCACACGGAAAGATGACCATGGAAACCCACAGAAAGTCTTTGCATATATCAGCATCAGTGTAGCAGAAGCAGACCTGAAAAAATGTATATCCGTTTTAAATAAAACAAAATGGAAAGGTAGAACATTACAAATTCAACTAGCAAAAGAAAGCTTTTTGCACAGATTGGCCCAAGAGAAAGAAGAAGCAAAAGCTAAGAAAGGAAAATCAACAACAGGTAACATCAACTTGTTAGAAAAGATAGGAGGAGTGGAATTCCATATGAAAGCTGCGCCAGGGACAGAAGCGCCAGGGTATAAGAATTGGGTTGTGAGCAAATTTGGAAGAGTGTTACTTGTTCTTCACCTTAAAATTTATCATAAATGTAAAATTATAAAATATGATCCCTCAAAATACTGCCACAACCTAAAGAAGATAGGGGAGGATTTCACAAACACCATTCCTATATCCAGCCTGACTTGGGAACTGGAAGGAGGGAATGACCCTATGAGTAAGAAATGGTGAGGAGACTTCTCTGACTTTCATGGCCCTCCCAAGAAGATGATAAAAGTGCAGAGGGATGAGAGTTCCACTGGGTCTCTGGCCATGAGTCCAAGGCCCAGGTGGGTAATAGAGAGACCACCCTTAACACAGCAACAAGCTGCACAGAAAAAGAACTTCTAATTCCACTACTCCTAAATCATCTCCTGTACCTGTTTCTGATACTCAGAAACTTTAAAATCTACCTTTTAGGACTTCTGGATTGGAAACTGCCAAGAAGAGAAGTGGCATTTCTGATGATTATATTGATTCTAAAGATGAATTAAGAATGATGGTTGCAAAAGAGGAAAACTTACAGAGAACTATACAATCCTCAATAAATGAACCTGAAACTGATCCCTTTGAAGTTGTAAGGGATAACTTCAAATCAGGAGTTCACAAATTGCATTCTTCAACAGGTTTAGGTATCAAAAATAGTGCCTCTTGCCATGACAGTGATGATGATATTACGAGAAATGATTGTGAGTATGACTCAGGAGATACAGAAGAAATCATTGCGATGAAAAAAAATGTTGCTAAGGTCAAAAACAGTACAGAATTTTCACAAATGGAAAAATCTACAGACAAGAAAACTTCCTTCAAAAATAGAGAAAACTGTGAGCTTCTGATCACTGTATTAAAGTACAAGAAAGAAAAAGCAATGTAGAGTCAGCCCTCGGTCATGGATTAAAGGCTCTTAATTGCAAATCTCCCTCTCACTCCAATAGCAATGAAGATGCTGATTCTGCATCAGAATTAGCTGACTCTGAAGGAGACAAGGAGTATAATGCCATGACGAAAAACCGCCTTCGTGTGAATCTCACTTTAGCTGATTTGGAACAATTGGCTGGCAGTGAACAGAAGGTTTCCAATGAAGATACTGAGAGTGACGGGCCAGAAACCACCACACAATGCAAGTTTGACAGAGGCTCCAACAGCCCCAAGACTCCCACTGGCCTCCACAGACGCAGACACTGTATTTGTCCTGACGACACTGTGGCTTTCCTGTTAGAAGGAGAGGAGAGCACCTGTGGCAAACAGAAACCAAAGGAAAACAACTGAAAGCCAGAATTCCAGGTTTTCAAGGGAGTAGGCTGTTTATATGAAAAAGGAGTCAATAAAAAAATCCTTGAAAGACAATGTTGCCTCTAACAATATTAATAAAGATCAGAATTCCATGAAACATGTGGATCCCAGGATCATATCCATGGAAGATGGGTCCCCATATGTTAATGGCTCATCGGGTGAACTGACTCTGTGCCAACATGCAAAGAAGGCGAATGGCCCAACTATATTCAGCCTCAAAAAAGATAGAACACTTCTGAGAGCCAGGATTGCAAGGCAATGTCCACTAGCAGTTCTGAAAAGAGAAGTAAGAATTCTATTTCTAGTTTATTGCCATTAAAAGGTAAGAAGTCCTTAAGTCTTAGTGCAAAGACTCACAACATAGGCTTTGACAAAGACAGCTGCCATAGTACCACAAGACAGAAGCTTCAGAGGAAGAGAGGTCTGACTCAAGCAGCCTCACATCTCTTGAGAAATCACCAAAGTTCTCATCCAAGGACACTCAGGAAATCAAAACTGATTTCTCACTTTCTATTAGTAATTCGTCAGATCTGAGTGCTAAGGATAAGCATGCTGAAGACGATGAGAAGCATTTGGTAGCCTTGGAAGTGAGGCAAAAAGCAAAAGAAGTGCAGAAGAAGCTGGTGGATAATGCTCTGGCAAGTTTGGATGGTCATCCAGAGGATAAACTAACGTACATCATCTTCGGTTCTGACAGTGAATGTGAAACAGAGGAGATATCGACTCAGGAGCAGAGACATCCAGGAGAGGAATGGGTGAAATAGTCTATGGGTAAAACATTGGGGAAGCTGCCTGATAGCAGTGATGATGAGGAATCTGATTCTGAAGATGACAGTAACAGGTTCAAAATTAAACCTCAGTTTGAGGGCAGAGCTGGACAGAAGCTCATGGATTTACAGTCGCACTTTGGCACTGATGACAGATTCTGCATGAATTCTCGATTTCTAGAAAGTGACAGTGAAGACGAACAGGAAGAGGTAAATGAAAAGAAACCCGCTAGGAAGAAGAGCTTGCTGAAGAAAAAAAGAAAGCCTGGATGTTGTACAAAGTGTTTTGAAAATCAACTTAAGCAATTCTACAAAGGATCAGTAGCTGCTAAGAAATTTAAGGGCATCGTACATTATGATCCAACAAAGCAAGACCATGCCACTTATGAAAGAAAAATAGATGATAAACCAAAAGAAAGTAAAGAAAAACGAAAAAAGAAAAGGGAGGAAGCTGAAAAGCTACGTGAGATGTCCAAAGAAACGTATTATAACATTGCTATGGATCTGAAAGAAATATTTCAAACTTCAAAATATGCCGGTGAAAAGGAAGAGGACACACCCTGGAATGAGGAGTGTGGTAAAGATAAACCTGAGGAAATCCAGGACCCTGCAGCTGACCAGTGGGGCTGAGCAGCCCAGCAGGTTCACATTCTCCTTTTTTGATTCAGACACTAAAGACGTAAAGGAAGAGACCCACAGAGTTGAAACAGTGAAACCTGGAAAGATTGTCTTTCCAGGTTTCTGGAGACGAGGAAGACCCTCGTTTCCAAGACAGCAGTTCAGAAGAGGAAGATGTTACTGAAGGAACAGATCACAGAAAGTCCAGTCCTGGAGAAGCATCATTACCTGAGAAAGAGACCACTAGATTTTTCTTTTTCTCTAAGAATGATGAAAGACTTCAAGTAGAAGTAGGCTCTGATTTATTCTGGAGAGGAGTGGGGAGTAATATTAGCAGGAACTCTTGGGATGCCAGAACAAACAACCTGCGTGTGGATTGTCAGAAGAAACATAAAGATGCAAAAAGGAAAATGAAACCAAAATAACAAATATCAGCACTGGGTTTGATATTGAATGTGAACAAGGCTCACCTTAAGGAAACTGACCCAGAAAATAGTTTTAGCTGACAAAAAAGAAATTTCAGAGTGGAGGAATTTTAAAAATCTGGCTGGTGGAATATCGTTCTGGTTGTCATCTTTTTCTATGGAACTCCTCTGCATTTCTTCCTAAGTAATTACTTCAAAAAATTAAATTCAACTTCTTAAAAAGGAAAAAAAAGTGAATTCAATAACATCATTAAACATCTTAGCCATACTGAAATTGCCCCACTTGTCCTCAAAATGTCTTTTATAGCTGTTTAAAATTCAGCATCCAGCCAAGCTCACACATTACATTTGGATGCTGTATTTCTTTTTTTTTTTTTTTTTTTTTTTTTTTTTTTTTTTTTTTTTGAGACGGAGTCTCGCTCTGTCGCCCAGGCTGGAGTGCAGTGGCGCGATCTCGGCTCACTGCAAGCTCCGCCTCCCGGGTTCACGCCATTCTCCTGCCTCAGCCTCCCAAGTAGCTGGGACTACAGGCGCCCGCCAGCACGCCCGGCTAATTTTTTGTATTTTTAGTAGAGACGGGGTTTCACCGTTTTAGCCGGGATGGTCTCGATCTCCTGACCTCGTGATCCGCCCGCCTCGGCCTCCCAAAGTGGAATGCTGTATTTCTTTAGTCTTCCACTGTGACCCTCTGCTCTTCCTGACACCGAATCCTTTGACAAGTCCAAGCCAATTGTTCTACAGAATGTTCCATCTCCTGAATTTGTTTGACAGTTTCCTCATGATTGCATTTAGACAAGACATTTCTGGCAAGAACTCCACTTAGGTTATGCTGTGTACCTCCCACTCCATAACATCCGGAGGCACCTAATAGCCTAACCCATAGTTGCAATGGAGAGTTTGACGATTTGGGACAATGGTAACTGCCAGGTCTCTCCATTGCAAAGGCATACTTCATCACATCGTAATTAATAAATAATACATAGTGTGATTTTTCAAAACTGTGTGAATACCCGATCCCTCAACGATCTTGCACCCAATGGTTTTTAGCATTCAGAGATGTTTCTCACCTAAATCAATTATTATACTGGGAAGTTTGCAAAACAGAGATTTTCTAATTCTATAATTCTTTCTGTACTTATTAGCTGGCATTCTGCTTTAAAGAAAAGATTTTCTTTTCTCCTTTTCTCTATCTTCCTGCCTCTCTTTCTTTATTCCTAGTATCACTTTGGAATCAAGAAATGTTTATATTTGGCCGGGTGCTGTGGCTCACGCCTGTAATCCCAGCACTTTGGGAGGCCGAGATGGGCAGATCACGAGGTCAGGAGATCAAGACCATCCTGGCTAACACGGTGAAACCCCGTCTCTACTAAAAAAATACAAAAAAATTAGCTGGGCGTGGTGGCGGGCGCCTGTAGTCCCAGCTACTCTGGAGGCTGAGGTAGGAGAATGGCCTGAACCCAGGAGGCGGAGCTTGCAGTGAGCCCGGATCGCGCCACTGCACTCCAGCCTGGGCAACAGAGTGAGACTCCGTCTCAAAAAAAAAAAAAGAAAAAAGAAAAAAAAGAAATGTTTATATTTGTTATATTTCAGTATAATTACTATTGTTTTTGAAGTTCAAATTATCCCTAATTAGGTTAATAGGAGTCCTTTTCAGTCAGCTCTTTGGCTTTTTGATAACTCTATCATTATTTGAGCATTTGTATAGTTTCCTAGTCAATAAAATATTTCAGGTTAAACCGAGACTTTTCTTCCTCAACACCTGGAATCAGCCATTTCTCCAAACAAGACTAATTCATCTGGGTGGTAATGGGCACTTGATATGCTCACACTTAGAAGGTGTCTAATTTGAACTTAAAACACAAAAGATAATTCTCTCCACCAGCAGATCAAAAAATGTCGAAATTCAAGTAGGTTCTGATTTTTTCTGATTTTTTCTGATTCATTTAAAAGGTGATGAGTGGTCCAGATTTCTGAAGCAATAAAATTAAAATGAATTCTCCCTTTATTTCCACTACTGATGTGTATAATGTGTCTACAACAATACTCAAGACATATGTGTCCAATAACTGAAAACTGTACATTATTCTTGTTAATAAAAAGAAGCATCAATATCAGTGTAAGTTTTATCAGACAAGGACATAGAGTATGTGCTTATATTTTGACACTAACTTTACACCCAGGTTATATTTTGCTTAAGCCCATTGTAAATTAGGCTCCTTCTTGGGGTTCACAAGTGGCAAAGTGTGCCAGGCCCTTATCACGATGTAAGAAAAACCACCTTAAGAGAATATCTTCTGAAAGTAGCTGACAAACGAGTAATCCACACTTCTCTTGCTTCACCCCCTTCTTTGAATTGCTGCAGCCCTAGCTGAGGCACTCATTACCTCTCACTTGATGTTAGCATAACGTTCTAAACTGTTCTTATGTTTAAGATACACATACTGAAGTATTTGGCAGTGACAAGTCATGAAGCCTGAAATTTACTCTCAACTGGCTCAGGAGGTAAAAAAGTATATAAAACAAATATGGCAAAATGTTAACAATTGAATCTAGGTACTGAGTATACAGGTATTCATTGTATTGTTCTTTCAGCTCTTCTGTGAGTTTGAAATTTTTCACAATAAAACAAGGAAAAAGAATTGCCTAATGGAGTCAACCGATTCATCCTCTAAGTTTTTGCAAAGCCATCAACATTGTCTTTCTCAAGCCTAATGATGATCACATTACTCTTCTGTTCAGAAACAGCATTTAGGGAGCTGTGTGTTATATAGATTAAAAAACAGACCTTGCAGTCAGATGACTTGGGTTCAAACCCCAGAGTTCTCACTTATTAGCTTGTGACCCTGGACTCAGGGAGGTTTCTTAGTCCCCCTGCACCTCAGCTTCCACATATGTGAATGAGGATAATAATGGTACCTACTTCACAAAGTGTGGTAAGGATTAAATGAGCAAATAGGCTAGGCGCCGTGGCTCACGCCTATAATCCCAGCACTTTGGGAGGCTGATGCCGGCAGATCACGAAGTCAGGAGATCGAGACCATCCTGGCTAACGTGGTGAAACCCTGTCTCTACTAAAAATACAAAAAATTAGCCAGGCGTGGTGGCAGGCGCCTGTAGTCCCAGCTACTCAGGAGGCTGAGGCAGGAGAATCCCTTGAACACAGGAGGTGGAGGTTGCAGTGAGCTGCGATCATGACACTGCACTCCAGCCTGGGCGACAGAGCAAGACTCCTTCTCAAAAAATAAATAAATAAATAAATAAATAAATAAATAAGCAAATACACGTAACACACATAAAACAGTGTCTAACACATAGTTATGCTACGTAAGTGTTAGCTCTGTGTAGACTCAAAGTACTTCCTTCCATAGTATTATATTTTAAAGAATTCTGTAGTCAGAAGCCTTTAGGAAACGTTGGGTTAAATAAAGAAAGGCAAGAACCGTTTTGTTTGTTTGTTTGTTTGTTTTTGAGATGGAGTCTTGCTCTTTCGCCAGGCTGGAGTACAGTGGCGCCATCTCAGCTCACTGCAACCCCTGCTTCCTGGGTTCAAATGATTCCCCTCTTTCCTCAGCCTCCCAAGTAGCTGGGACTCCAGGCGCGTGCCACCACACCCAGCTAATTTTTGTATTTTTAGTAGACAGGGTTTCACCATGTTGGCCAGGATGGTCTGGATCTCTTGACCTCGTGATCTCCCCTCCTCGGCCTCCCAAAGTGCTGGGATTACAGGCGTGAGCCAGCGCTCCTGGCCAGCAAAAATCTCTACTGCAGGACTGATCAGAGCTTTTAATATTCTAATGTCTATGATGAATCTTCAAGTATGTAGATCTCACATTCAGTGCCTCTCATGGGGCCAGTACTTTGAAGATCAGTCTTAGAGAAATGCTGAGCTAGGGAATGAAAAATCTAAATCTAGACTCCTTCACTTGGTTTTGAAGGGCTTCTACTGCCCACCCATCAGTCTCACAGTCTCCTGCTTTCATTCACTGAAATTTCTTCAGGCAAACTTCAAAC
Organism: Homo sapiens; assembly: GCF_000001405.40. Taxonomy (NCBI): domain Eukaryota; kingdom Metazoa; phylum Chordata; class Mammalia; order Primates; family Hominidae; genus Homo; species Homo sapiens. The sequence continues at coordinate 165,543,517 of NC_000004.12, read as the reverse complement.
GCCGCTACCTCCCAGTTTAACCCTAATATTTCCATGAGCTCTGTGCGATACCCCTGCAGGGATTTTCCTCCCCTCCCCACCCATCAAAACCAGCTCACATGGCACTGCCTCTACAAAGGCCACCCAGGTAGAATTAATTTTCCCATCCCTGCTCCCCTGAGTGTTTTGTTTAAAATTCTATGAAAACACATGACATTCTGTCTTGTGTTATGAGCTTTTATTTCCAGGTTTCAAAAATAACTTACTTGGATTATTTGTAACTACCTAAGATGAAAAGCACATTCAAGTTACAGAGAGTCTCTTGTCCACCACTGATCTTCGTCTCTTCCCTAAAAGCACTGTTTAATTCCTTGTGACACAGAACGTTTTTAACCTATCTGTTTTTCTACAAGACCCTAAATTCCTAGAAGGCAGAATGAAATCTTGTCCATTTTTACATCTCTCATCATAGCTAACAAAGTTCGATAAACATAGTACATGCTAAATAAATGTGGGGGAAGTAATTAACTATACAAGATCTGTGCCCACAGTAGCTTTGATTCAAAATAGAAGAAAAAAAGGAGAAATTTAAAAATAATAGATGTTTTAAAGCTCCAACTGTTTTCTCTTTATTTAAAGATTCCTCCATTTTGAATGGTTTACATTAAAAGAACTTTTGCTGCTTCTCATTTTGAATTACATAAACTAAATGAAGACAGGAATTCAGTAAACAAATTGAACATTTTTATTTCATTTTCATAATTGGCAATAGGCAAGACGCAAGAATCAGAAGTAACTAAGGAGAAAGTAGATGTCATTTGGACAGAAGCTCAGCCCCTAGTTGGCAATAATCCCAATGGGAAATGGTAATTAGATATGTTCAGATTCTGACCATCTGGAACCATAGGAAGCTTCTAAATTTGATTTGTGTTGGAGGAATTGTGGTCAAGAAAGGAACATGCACACGGTGATTTGGATATATTCCAAAATATGGCCTTTTGGGACCCCCAAAACATGTAATTCTACATGAAAAATGTGAACAGAATAATGCCCTCCTTTGCCTAGAGCTGTTTCTTGGAAACCTGTCTGGAGAACACACAAAGCTAACTAAATATCCACCGAGAATTTCTAATCTCACAGTCAATAAACAGTTTGATACTTTGCCTTTACAGTAGAACACCAACATATTCTACCAAAAACTCGGGCCTCTCTAAGCTTTGTAAGCTTCAAGCATTGGGTGCACATCTAAAGCAAAGAGAAACCGCTAAAGAGTATACAGACCACACTTCGCTTCCACGTGGTGGTGACATCAGCAGAGCCTAGCTTATGGCAGTTTCCAGCAATGCCTGGAAGATGTGGCTTTAGGTGACTTTCAGATGGGAGCTAATGACATTTGTGGAAAATGGTAACATAAAAGTCCAATGGAGCTCTATAGATTGGATCCTAAGCCGATTTTTCTGGAAGATAAGGGCATTAAAGGGGTCTTATTGCCGTTATGCAGTGCCTTGTAGCCTAAGGATGACTGAACTGATCGGATACGTGAAGCAGAATAGCAACAACTTGGCTTAGCTTCTCCAGCAATCAGTGGGATAATCAATGGCTACAGCCAAGTTGTGCGTTGTCAGGTAAGCTCACATGTCTTAGAGGTTTGGCCATGTTGAGAAGCCCAGGTGGATATTGCCCAAGCTTCAAAATTTTTATGGGATCCAATACCTGTATGAAAATACAATTACCTTGTTTTCTGCCATATATATATATAATAATTATATTATAACATATTATATATTATAATTATATTACAACATATTATATATTATAATTATATTACAACATATTATATATTATAATTATATTACAACATATTATATATTATAATTATATTACAACATATTATATATTATAATTATATTACAACATATTATATATTATAATTATATTACAACATATTATATATTATAATTATATTACAACATATTATATATTATAATTATATTACAACATATTATATATTATAATTATATTATAACATATATTATAATTATATTATAACATATTATATATTATAATTATATTATAATATAATTATATTATATATTATAATATAATTATAATATAATTATATATTATAATATAATTATAATATAATTACATTATATTATATTCTATATATTATATAGAATATATATATTCTATATATTCTATATATTATATAATATATATTATATAGAATATATATATTCTATATATTCTATATATTATATAAAATATATTATATTATATATTATATATTATATATATTAATAAAATATATTAATATATTTATAATATATATAATATATATATTAGCATTTGAAATAGCAGGGATATTCTCCTGGTTTTCTTCTCCATACTCCTCAAAAGTACATTGCTATATTAAAGGCTTCCATTATAAGCAGTACATTTCAGACGTGACCTGCTAAAATAAATAGGTTCTGTATTAGGAGAAAGTTGGAACATTGGTTTGCAGAACTTGAAAGAGGACAACTTCTTTCAAATCCTGGATCTGCCACTGACTAGCTTTGTACCCTCAGTGAAGACTCCAAGGCTCAGATTCCTGATCTGTGAAACAGGGGAAATTCTACTGGCCATACAGAGTGGTAAAGATACAGTAAGAGAATACATGTACACTGCTTTGCTAGTACTAAGAGGTCCATAAATATCTGTTATTATTTTTCAGTTTTGCTGTTTGAGAGTCTAGATGAAATGATGATAAATGGAAAATCGGTATTTTATTGTCTAATCTGGTCTTTTTTTCTCAACCAGAAATACATCTGACTTCTTTCGTATTCTCAATCTTAAAAACAAAGTCCATGGTGATTCACAGCAATAAAAAGAGTCATGCCTGCTCTTGACTGAAGCCTTCCTATGTTATAAGCAATTTTAGTAAAATCATATCCTTGTTTGTTCCTCGTGGCAAAACTAGTTTTATGCTTATTTTGCTAAGAAAGAAATGGACACACAGAAAGTTTAAACAACCTGCCCAAAGTTACATAGGTGATAAGTGGCAGCCACGGGGCTCAACGCCCTGCCTGACAGCTCTCAGACTCGATTGCGTCCCTGGTCAGCTACCGTGAGGAGCACACACCAAGTTCCCAAAATGCTTCTGCTTCTGCTGAGGGGCACAAGACAGGTATATGCTGTCACCACTTGGTGACAACTGCCCTAAGGCCTCTACTGCTTCAACATACAGGTATCACAAAGTCATTTTCAAAGATAAAAATGACACCTCATATGTATATGAAATTCCTTAGGAACTATCGGGACATACTCCAGGCTGCCACCTACATTGATACTGTATTTGAAAGTTTGTAGAACTTTCAAACTTTCTTATTCTAGGAAAGCTACTTTGTTACTCCAGGAAACTTTCCCAGTACCTAATAAAGAGTCTCTGTGGTTAGACTGCTCCTCTATGCTTCACTGCGTCAGTGGAAAATGGAGCATCTCTTCCTGGTGCCATTGAGAGGAGAGAGATCTTCTTTCACTCTCCACCCAGTGAACTTACTCATCCTTCAGATCCTGCTGGGAGGTCACTTCTGAGAAGACTTCCTGCTCCCCCTCACATACCCCAAAGTCACTCACTTGTCCAGCTTTGTAGTTTTCAATACCATCTAAATGATGCCAATTCCCAAATGGATACTTTCAACCCAGACGTCTCTCCTGCACTTGAAATGAGATCGTTCTGTTTGGACAGATAACACATAATTTTTTTTTTTTTTTGACAGAGTCTCACTCTATCACCCAGGCTGGAGTGCAGTGGCACGATCTCGGCTCACTGCAACCTCTGCCGCCCAGGTTCAAGCAATTCTCCTGCCTCAGCCTCCCTAGTAGCTGGGACTACAGGCGCCTGCCACCGCACTCGGCTATTTTTTTTTTTCTTTTTTTTCTTTTTTTTTTTTTTTTTTTTTAGTAGAGACGGGGTTTCACCATCTTGGTCAGTTTGGTCTCAAACTCCTGACCTTGTGATCCACCCGCCTCAGCCTCCCAAAGTGCTGGGATTACAGGTATGAGCCTGTGCGCCCGGCCTGATAACACATAATTTAAACTTATCATGCCCAACACTGAACTCCTGATTTTTGTCCCAAAAACCTGCTCTACCCTCAGTCTTCTCCATTTCAATTAATGGTTGTTTCACCGTTCCGTTGGTCAGGACAAATGTCTGGCAGTCACTTATGCCTCCTCTCTCTGTCTCCTAAGCCCCATCCAACCCATCAGGAGATCCTTCAGGATGGCTTCAAAAGACATCCTGAATTCTACCACTTCTCAATGCCTCGATAGCTGCCACAAGGTCCAAGCTACTAATCTCTTTCTCCGGGAATCTTGGTCTCCTGGTTTCCCTCTTTGACCCCTAAAATATTTTAAATCACAAGAGTCAGAGTGATTCTGCCATAAATAAAACGGTGTCACATCTCTGCTCTAAACCTTCCATGACTCTGGCTTAGTCCAAGCAGACGTTTCAATGGCCGTAAGGTCCTACATGATCTGCCTCCCATTACCTTGGGGGACACAGACAACCCACAAAATAAGTGCTACGGAAAAATATGAAGAAGGGACATGAGAGAAGTGGCATTGAGAGGAGCCTGTGACTTTGACTAAAATTCTAGGCTCTAAGGGACTTTGGCCAAGTCCCCTAGACCTGTATTCATTCCCTTCCAGTTATGTTAACCTCCTTGAGGTTCCTTGAACTCACCAGATATGTTCCTGCTCTAGGGTCTTTGCATTTGCTATTCTCTAACCAGAGTAGCTCTTCCTCCGATGTCCACATGGCTCTTTCCCTCCTTTATTTAAAGCTTTAAGCCATATGACATCCTCTCAGTGAGACCCTCTGTGACTACACTAGTCAAAGTCACAGGTTCCTCCTCAGTGCCACTTCTCTCACATCCCGTCTTCATATTTTTTCCATAGCACTTATTTTGCGGGTTTTCTGTGTTCCCCAGCTCAAATATATTTCCACATGGACAGGGATCATTATCTGCTTAGCTCACTGATGAATCCCCAGCACCTAGAATAGTACCAAGCACAGAGTAGACAGTTAATAAGTATTTGTTGAGTGAATCAAATCAGACCACCCATTATAAAATCACTTAACATATCTCTTTGTAGCCTTTCTCGTCATTGTAATTGGTCAATTTTGTTAATTATGAGATTACTTAATGTCTCTCTTCTGCTAGATTATAAGTAACAAAGAACTGAGACTGAGTCTTCATACCACTAATCCCCTAGCAACTTGCATAGTGCCTGTATTAGTCTGTTTTCACACCGCTATAAAGACATACCCAAAGCTGGGTAATTTATAAAGAAAATAGGTTTCATTGACTTACAGTTCCACATGGCTTGGGAGGCCTCAGGAAACTTACAATCATGGCATAAGGGGAAGGGGTACGTCTTACATGGCAGCAGGCTGGAAAGACTGTGCGTAGCAAGAGAAGAGGGAAGAGCCCTTTATAAAACCATCAGATCTTGTGAGAACTCACTCACTCTCACAAGAACAGCGTGGGGGAAACTGCCCCCATAATTCAATCACCTCCCACCAGATCTCTCCCACAATACCTGGGGATCACAATTCAAGATGAGATTTGGGTGGAGACACAAAGCCTAACCATGTCAGTGCCATTACTTAGAAGATGCTTACCAATATGTGTTGAATGAATAAACTGCACCAAGAAGCAGTTAGCATTGGATTCTAGTGCAGGCTCCATATTTGTGACAGCATTACAAAGAGATCATCTTCTGGAAAAAGTGCCCTGATGAAGCAATAAAGGGTTGCTAGATACATTAGAAATAGACAGAAAACCTAAATAAGAACCACATAGGTGACAAAGTACTTAAGGCAAATATATAGATGGTTATGCCTGAGTACAATTGAGAAGGGTTGTTTATGCGTAGGCGCGATTTGTGTGGGTTTTGAGGTGTGTTTTTTCTTATCTTTTTTCTTTCGTGTGACTACAATAGTATCATCTTTCTTCACTCACTTGTTTGCATCTGGGAGGTATCAAAACTTCCTCAAGGAATAAGAAAAAAGAATGTTACAAGATTATTTCAGAATATTCCAGATACATAAACAAAGTTACAAATCTGAATTGTCTGAAGGCTAAAAGGGAAGTCAGACAATTTTTCACTCTTAAGAATAATTTGGTTTGATACTTTTAAAAAATAGGTTTATATATTTTTACTCCTAGCATACTCTGGAGAGTCTTTTTAAAACTGCCTTAGCATAAAAATACATTAAACTTGCTTTGAAGTTGGGAAAAATTGGTTTTCCTAGATTTTTCATTGGTGTTATACTGCCATCTAGTGACCACAAAATGTATGACTTACCTACACAGCTGAAAGACGAACACAGGCTGTCCAAGGCAAAATCCCCAAGTAGCTTATCTAGCCTGTCAAGGTCCCTTTCCATCAGTTGAGAGGGGCACCCTAATAGACGAATGTTTGTTCTTGACATGTCCCAGCATGAAAAACTGAATTTTTATGTTTGTCTATCAAACACGCAACTTTTATAAGTAAGTTTTTGTTGATAAATCACTTTAATCAGACTTATGAAGGAAATGCTTTATTGGGAGTTATAAACCGTTAATCTCTCCACTACTTCTGACTTCATAGTAATCAGGGGATTTCTCATGTCAGATGGACCTCAAAAACTTTCCCATTTACTTCAATCCAGAGGAGCTGTGAGAACACTGTAGTAAAAGGGAGGCATAGAGCAACTTCTTTCCATCTAGATGTATGTGAAGAAAAATACTTCTGCTTATTTCCTGACATTGACTATAATCATAAAATGGCTGCATTTTATAAAATTATTTATGTTCTAATAAATATATATGATTACACTCAACTGACCCTCAAGTCCCTGGAAAAGGCTATTTACCTTTTGTGGAAAATGAAAAAAAAATGTCTTCAGGATTACAGTACACTCTAGCACACTCAACAAGCCAGTAAAATCTGAAATGAACTATACCCTTTCTGCCAAACGTTTGTCTAGCTTATTTGCCTTCATTTCTCATCACACTTCATTTGTGATTTTAAAAAAGTAACTTGTCTGGTTGGTTGGTTTTATCTTTTCCTCAATAATTTCCACATTTATTTCTAAGGATAACATAGAAAGAAAAACACCATATGATACAGAAATTGGAATACATTCCCTTACTTGCCTCTTATATAAACACGGAGGAATTGGTGGTGTGCACTTGTAAGATCACCTTGTCTGGCTAACATCTGAAATGGACAGTTCTGAAATACAAGAAGTTCTCTAACTTCCACAGGAAACCTCTTCAGAATGGATGCACATTTACGAGAGCAAAGAGAGAATGGCAGTGCAGGCCTTATCATCTAGAAATCTGTTCCCATCAAAGAAGCAATAACTTCTCTTCTTCTTTTATTCAAGGGCATAAAATGAGTGCTTCTCATGAGTAGGATAACTAGAATTATGAGTAGCGCATGTTCACAGTATAGATTTCTAAGAAGGAACAGTAGGCAAGGTAGGCATAGAAATTCCAAAATCAGAGACTGAACCTTCTCTACTTAGGTAATTCTTTAGTAAGTAACAAGTAATTAACTAATTTTATTTTACTTTGTCTTTGTTGCAAAATTGTAAAATAAAGTTGATCTTAAATGTTTGTTAAGGAGATTATCATTACATGTGTCATTACATACTAATATGTCTTTTTTTTTACAGTGTTTGAGGAAAAGATTGTTTTAAAATGGTTCCCTTTGTGTTTCACCCTGTTCTATGCATAAAGCAATAAGGAGATTTCTAAATACCTACAGCCTTTGTGTGCATTTCAGAGCATCTTTTCTCCATCCGTTTTGTGTCCTTTAACCATAGATTACCTCCTCCGAAAAGACATCCTAATCAGATGGAAGTAACATGAGAGTTTTTTTTTTCCATTTCTATGTATAACTTTAAATATTTTACAATAAAGGAGTAGAAGTTCAAAAGCACAAAATACCAAAAATATATCCACAAAATAATGAAAAACCAGTGTACTAGAATGGAAGGCTTGTATTAAGAAGGAAGGACTGATGGAGATTGTGGTGGACTTTGCAAACCAGGCTAAACAGCAGGGACTTCATGCTCAAAGTGAGTGAAATTCAATTTAACAGCTTAATTGGAGCAAAATATCGTTGTTTTTATTTCTTTTTCTCATGATATTTATTTTGAAATTTCAATTTATAGTAAAGGAAAAGATGCAATTTTTATATTTGTCAAAGAGTACATGATTTTTTAAGTTGAAAAACAGTGCGTACTCAGAAAGAAGCAGCCACTTAAGGTTGAAAAGGGCAGGTCTTAGGAAAATTACTTTGGCAGCAATAAGAAAGACAAGGCTGAAGTCAGGGAGTCTAATTAGGGGGCCACTGACAAAGTTCAGATACAAAAGGCAAAAGGGCCAGGCCTGAGTGGTAGTGGTTAAATGGAAGAAATAGGAGATGTTTTTTAAGAATTGATTTTTTTTTTTTTTTTTTGAGACCGAGTCTTGCTCTGTCGCCAGGCTGGAGTCCAGTGGCACCATCTTAGCTCACTGCAACCTCTGCCTCCCTGGTTCAAGCAATTCTTCTGCTTCAGACTCCGGAGTAGCTGGGATTACAGGCACGCGCCACCACACCTAGCTAATTTTTATATTTGTAGTAGAGACGGGATTTCACCATGTTGGCCAGGATGGTCTTGATCTTCTGACCTCATGATCCATCCACCTTAGCCTCCCAAAGTGGTGGGATTACAGGCATGAGCCACCACACCAGGCCAGAAATGACGTTTTTTAAAGGTGCATTTTCTTGATGAACACTATGTTATATGAGGCGTTTACAGAAGCCAGCATATAGTATCTGTAGTATTAGGTAGATTCCAAAATGACCTCCAATGACTCCCACCTCCTGGTCATCATGCCTTATGTAATCCCGTGTGTGTGTGTGTGTGTGTGTGTGTGTGTGTGTGTTAGGATTGGACCTAGTAACTTGCTTCTCATGAACAGAATGCAGAAAGAGTGATGGGGTCTCACCAATAGCCTGTGAGGAACTGAGACTCTCAACCCACCTCCTGAGCTGAGAAACTAAATCCTGCTAAGAATTACCTGCTCAAGCTCAGAAGCAGATCCTTCCAACTGTGTATTCAGATAAGACCACAGACCTGCTGACGCCTTGACTGCAGCCTTGTAAGAATTCCTGAAGCAGAAGACTCAGGTAAGCTATGGCCAAATTCCTGACCCATAAAAACTATGAGATAGTAAACGTGTGTTGTTTTAAGCCACTAAGCTCAGGTATAATTTATTATCCCACAGTAGATAACTACTATAGTATCCAATAATATCTGTTGCTGAATTAAATACATAATACGCAAAAATGAACCATACTTAGTGTGGAAAACAGCATAAATACCCCTTAAAAGAAATAACTTTAGGAACTGGTAAATCTTCAGAGATAAATTTTGTAACCCTAAAGTTACCAATAACTTATTAGCTATTTCCAAGAACCTTGAATTGAACTGTTTCTCGAAAAGAAGTTTTCCATTTCGTAGGAAAATGGAGTCTTCAAGTTCATTTATCAAAGTGCATATTTAGCTCCTATCACATATTGGTTCTGGAATCTTTGGTAAACATGCTGTGATAGTTGCAAAGATGGCCACATGTACACGCCACATGCACCTGTGCATACACACAATCAGCAGTGTGAATGAGCACATCTGTCTTGACATGTTTGCACACCTAAGTATATGGCCTCTAGTGGTAAAAGATTGATGCTTGGACCCACATGCACACATCCACTAAAGCAACGAAGCACACACCGAATCATCACTACTCAGTATGTGCACCTGGATACACACAGATAGAGACAAACAAAAGGAAGTGTCCCGATCCCAAACGGAAAAGTCAGTTTATTACTCCAGATCAGCACTCCTCAAATGGTGCTGTGGATGTTAATCAGTTAAGCAAAAAAATAGGTACAAGATCAAGTAAGTTTGGGAAACATTGTCTTAAAGTGTTAAATGTCTGTTTTCAATATGCATCTCCCAAAACACTGCTCTACAACTGTTTCCACAGAAACAAAAGAGGATTGTAAAAAGCAAAGATACATTCAAAGATTAAGCATTTCACTTTGTTTCTTCAGGTCCAAATACAAACAAGGATTAATCCCATTATTGCACTGAGCACAATATAGTATAGAGCTTTTTTCTAACCATATCTTCACAGCAATGTTAAAGTTCCCATGGGTATAAAAAGCTAGGATAGATGAGAAGCAAGCAGATGACTAGCTTCCCTACCCATAGAAACATAATCACTTCACCTCCGACAGTGGAGAACATAATAGCTCTGTCTCCACTTTGAAGAATGCAGTGACTGTCCTGCAGCCTGCGCATAATTACTTCCTTTAAGGCTTCTGCTAGTCCCCAGCCTGCTTAACAACCCACTCCTCTGGGCTCCCATAGCACTTTGCACAAATCTCACTTACAGAAACTACTATCTTGTATTATTTGGGACTAGAATTTGGGGCCCGTGTGCCCCACGATCTCCTAGAGAGTCTGTTGCCTAGCACTGTACCTAGCACTGGGTGAATAGCTAATAATTGTTTCTTGTATAAACTACACAGAAGCAGAAAATCAAATATTCATGTCCTCACTTATAAGTGGGAGCTAAATAAATTGTACACATGGACAAAAAGATGGGGAATATAGACTCTGGGAACTCCACACGGAGGAGGGTGGGAGGGGAGTGAGGGTTGAAAACTTACCTACTGGGTACAATGTCCAATATTTGGAGGATGGATACACTAGAATCCCAACCCCCACCATTACTCATGTAATACCCATGTAAAAAACAAGCCCATGTACCGCCGAATCTAAAATCTGAAACCATAAAAAGAGAGAGATTAAAATCAACTGAAGTGACTTAGTTTTTACCTAAAGAGGATCACTCCAAGAAAGAAGACTGTTAAAACAGATATAATGCCAGCCTAGTGAGACAGTGAGTTTGTGATGCGGGAACCCTGAATCGTATAACTGGAAAAGAAACTGATGAAAGACTCCACAGAATGAACCTGAGCCTTCAAATCAATGAGCTTTCGAAGTAAAATGCGTCCGGTCAGGCGCGATGGTTCACGCCTGTAATCCCAGCACTTTGGGAGGCCAAGGCGCGCAGATCACCTGAGGTCGGGAGTTCGAGACCAGCCTGGCCAAAATGGTGAAACCCCATCTCTACTAAAAATACAAAAATTAGCCAGGTGTGGTGGTGCACACCTGTAATCCTAGCTACTCAGAAGGCTGAGATGGGAGAATCGCTTGAACCCAGGAGGCGGAGGTTGCAGTGAGCAGACATCACACCACTGCACTCTAGCCTGGGTGACAGAGCAAGACTCCATCTCAAAAAAAGAAAGAAAAAGAAAAAAGAAAAGAAAAGAAAAGAAATAGAATGCATCAGAAAGTGTGTATGTAATGTTTCATTTCTTCAGAAGTTCCTTCTCTATGTGTATCAAAAATAATGACATAAAAACACCTGAGATGCTGTTATTGTAAGACCTTAGAAATAAGGCTTATAGAAGCATGATTTAACTTGTAGTTGAAGAATGGGTTACTGTTGGGTCCTTTACTGGCTGCTAAATGGTAAGATGTGGTAAGGATTCAGGATAGTAAGACAGACACTTGAAAATATATATTAAGGATGGAATATTAGATACAATCAGAGCCATCATTTCCACCTACAGCTTAGATCACACCCCTCCCTAGCTCCAAACTCTCCCCTCATCTCCTTCTATATCTTTACTCCGCATTATTTTCTTCATATCACCTACACTACCTGCAAAGGTGTATTATATGTTCATTTTTAAATTTTCATTTTTCCCCCTCCAGTATGTGGCCTCAAGAGCTTAGAACGGTGTCTGACAAACCACAAGCTTGTAATAAATAATAATTGAGCCACTAAATGAGGTTGAGGTACAGCTTTGAGCTGGTAAACATTGAGTTACAGCTAGCAGCTACTGTTGCTGATACAGAATAGACGTATATGTGTGTACAGTATAAAGAACCAGCAGTCATTTCAGCCCACGCTATCACCATTGCTACTACTGCCGCAACTACTACTACCTATACTATTACTACTACTCTTACTAATGAGTGCCCATAATAATAGCAAACCTTTAAGCACTTAATATGTGCCAGGTATTGTACTAAGTACTTGATCTGCATTAAATCAGTCAATCCTCACAAGAATTCCACTAGGTAGTGAGCTGACACAAAAGGTCCTGCTATTGAATCAGAATCATGTGACTCAAAGAACTTACCCAATGTCAAACTTAATTAATAATTTCAAGGATACAAGCAATCAAGGGGCACAAGCAAAGCAATGACAGGTACGAGACATCCCACATGTTCTGGCTCTTTCTTTTTCATAGTCGTCTAGACTTTCAGGCCCAGAGTGATAAGTGAGTTCTCTAATGAAGTTTGCAGGTCACCTCACATAGCGGGGAGAATTTAAGCCATGAAACATCTTCATTTTAACCCAGAGTGTTTTTGCAACTTGTGCAACATTATTGAGATAGCTATGCCTCATACATGTATAGATAATATATAAGATTGTTTACCCTAAGCAACCCTAAACCAGAGACATTCTGCTCAATGTGTATCATAGACAAAAGATCTCCCTCTTAGCAAGTATCACTCGTCTATTTGCCTGCTGGTCTGGAGATAGGGAATAAATGTGTGTTCCCCAGATGTATACATTGAAAATCTAAACTTCAATTTGATAGTATCAGGAAATGGAGTCTTTGGGACAAGGTGTCTGGATGTTTCAGTCAGTCTGGGCTGCTATTAATTGAGAAGTAATTAAGTCCTTAAGGTGGAACCCATATGAATAGGATTAGTGCTCTTGTAAAAGACACCTCAGAGAGCTCTCTAGCCCTCTTTCTGCATATAAAGACACAGCAAAAAGATAGCCATCTATGAGACAGAAAGTGGGCCCTCACAGACACTGAATCTTCCTATGCCTAGATTTTGGACTTCCTAGCTTCCAAAACTGATAGATAAAGTTTGTTGCTTAAGCCACCCAGTCTGTGGTAATCTATGACAGCAGCCCAAACTGACTAAAACATCCAAATACCTTGTTTCTTTTCTATTCCTTTTTTTTGAGACAGAGTCTTGCTCGGTCACCCAGGCTGGAGTGCAGTGGCACGATCTTGGCTCACTGCAACCTCTGCCTCTTGGATTCAACTAATTCTCCTGCCTCAGCCTCCCTAGTAGCTGGGATTACACGTGCCCACCGCCATGCCTGGCTAATTTTTGTATTTTTAGTAGAGACAGGGTTTCACTGTGTTGGCCAGGCTGGTCTTGAACTCCTGACCTAAGGTGATCTGCCCGCCTCAGCCTCCCAAAGTGCAGGGATTACAGGCGTGAGCTACCGTGCCAGGCCTCAAATACCTTGTTTCTGAGGAGATGGGACTGGGTGGCCCGCCTTCTCTTGTTTCTCTGGGTGTGTTTCTCTCATAATCAGTAGTAGAAATGGGTTATATGCCAACTGCTCTAACTCTTTGCTCTGCAGGTAACAAATTAGTATTTATGTATCAGGTTTAGAAAAGTAAACACAGTGAATGAAAGATCTGGAACTGATAATAGAGTATCCAAGAAATCTGTGATTTCTTCACCCCTACACTACTCCCTCCAATAGATAATGCCCTCTATAAGCGCTTAAGTAAATCAAACATTTCTTGAGAAACAGCTATGCTAGGCTTTGTCAGTAAAAAAGAATAGGGCATGGTCTCTGCCATCGAGCTTAGACTGGAAATATAAAAATATAAAGAAAAATGTAATGAAGTGTGGTATGTTCAATGAGACAGTTACAAGGTTGTGAGAATACAAAAATTTGGAGTAATTCAGGAAGTAAAGAGGAGGAGAGCAGGGATGGCTTGGAGGAATGGCCTAGCTGTTGGCTATTCATGTGTGTGTGCCTACCCTTGGAAAATACACATCCTTATAAAGACAAATGATGGAGAGCAAGAAAGAATAACAGAATGCAAGTACACCGTCGGACTCAGTTTGCCTTTCAGAAGGAAATCAAAACCTCTTGACACCAACTGAAAGGCCAAGTTGGACAGCAGTTCCTCTGAAAGCTAGGGGAATTCCACAGTGAAGCTCAAGGCAGTGGAAATCTAATGACCATCACTGCATTTATATTAACTTTGAAAGTTTTCAGAGCATATTCGTCTTACTTTTTTACTAAAAAAGCATGCTGCCTTTCATTTTTATCATTTCTAGGTCATGTTTTATTAAGTGAAGTATGAAAAAGGTAAATGAAAGCAGTTTTAAATATGATAATCATTTTAAAAATTTTTACCATGGATTTACACTGTGTGCAGGACAGTGCATTTCCAAAAACATAGACTTGTGTCTTAGTTTGCTCAGGAAGCAATACCATAGACTAGGTGGCTTATAACCAACAGAAATTTACTTCTCAGAGTTCTGAAGGAGGGGAAGTTCAAGGTCAAGGTGCCAAAAGATTCAGTGTCTGGAGAGGGCCCACTTCCTGGTTCATATATGGCCATCTTTTCGCTGTATTCTTACATGGCAGAAAAGGAAAATGAGTTCTCTGTAGTCTCTTTTCAAGACACTAATCACACATATGGGGGCTCTGCCCCCATGACCTAACCACTTACCCATAACTTCATCTCCAAGGGCCGTCACATTGGCGGTTAGGAATTCAACGTATGAATTTGGTGGGGAGGGAGGACACAAACATTCAGTTTATAGCAGCATGGAACTTACAGAAGCCAGACCATGAGTTATGAAGAGATCTCTATTTTAGAAACAGGTTTAACTGGTAAGGAACTCATCATTTATTATCTCTTCAAATTGATAAATCCTTATTTCTCACAAAAAGAAGAGTGCTATGTTTTTTATTTAAAAACTTATACACACAGGGATGTTATTGAAGAGACACATGACACCATTTCATTAAATCTGAGATTGTGCATCAGCCTTTCATGGCCACAAACCTGGGACCTAGAAGTATGATCCAAGTTGCAGAAGTAGGTACCTAAAAGGAAAGGTAAGAACTATATCTGAAGATCATTAGCAGGAAAAAAAGTAATATCTCACAGGAGATAAAGCACAGACCAGAAGCCAATCTTCCAAGAAATCAGTTAAAAATAGTAGACTGGATAAAGAAAATTTGGTACATATACACCATGGAGTACTACGCAGCCATAAAAAAGAACAAGATTGTGTCCTTTGCAGCAACATGGATGGAGCTGGAGGCCATTATCCTAAGCAAACTCACACAGGAACAGAAAACCAAGTATCACATGTTCTCACTTATAAGTAGGAGCAAAACACTGAGTACATATGGACACAAAGAAGGGAACAACAGACACCAATGCCTACCTGAGAGTGGATAGTGGGAGGAGGGTGAGGATCAAAAAACTACCTATTAGGTACTATGCTTACTACCTGGGTGATGAAATAATCTGTACAACAAACCCCTGTGACATGCAATTTGCCTATATAACAAGCCTGTACATGTAGTCCTGAACCTAAAATAAAAGTTTAAAAAGTAAAAATAAAAAAAGAAATTAGTTAAAATCTTAATCTTAAAAATCTTAACCTTGGTTGCCCCAGAAATATGCAAATGTGAATTTGTCTGCATTACGTGGAGTTGAGCCTGTGGTAAAGCAATTTTTCATTTGTCTTCCTTCATGACAGAACTGCCTTGCCCTTCTAAGAAGCACGGAAGACTTTTTTATCCTCATCTACCTAACTTCCCCAGAACAACCAAGCACTACACTTCGAAAAATCTCCCATGTTCCCTACTTCTTCCTAGTCCACAAATCTAATTTTAAAACTACAAAAACATTAAATCAATTATTTTTTGTATTAACTTAAATGTACCCAATATATAATCCAACTTTCAGATGTCCATAAATGAAGAATAATGCCATCCATTCATATGTCTTTGAGTAATTTTCACCCCTTTTAAGTGAAAAGTTGGTTAAGACTCTGCACCCAGCAGCATAGGGCAAGATTAAGATAAACAGAACCATGAGAACTAGAGATGAAATAAACTATAACTATTCTACAAAGACAATCTAGTTGTTAAGAGCTGTGGGGAAGATCTGGATGAATGGTTTGCTTTTCCAAAAGTTTGAAGTCAGCCCACAAATCTTAGTATTTACTTTGAGGAATTCTTGGGAGAGTATGCACAAATTTATGAAAAAACAACAATAATTTGTCACTACAAATTACCCTTATTATCACAAATAAAATCCATCTGCCAATGAAGGAAGGGCACAAAACCCACCTGTCCTACGTACTTCACTGACAGCTGGCAGAAGCCATCTGCTGCTGTTACGGGAGGAATATAGGCAAGAAATCCACTTATCCAAGACTCTGCACTGATACAAGACAGTGTTTCTTTGCCCCTGAGAAGACACAGGAAGCCCAGTTGTATTCCAGACCCTATACCAAGAAGGAAGCAGAGGATGTTTGCTATTGGAGAGAATCAAGAATTTTGAAAAAAGTCCTATCCCTAAGATTTAGGTACATAGGGCCTCCCTAAGACTGAAACCGGGACAGGAAAACCAAGAAATTTTTTCTCTTCACTATAAGTCTTACCCCAAATACCAAAGAACAGACATCTGCTATTAACAGAAGGGCAAGAAGAGAGATCCCCTCCATAGCAGAGTCATACGGGTGCTACTGAAATCTGAGGTAGGACAAAAATACTGAGAGAAATTCTGTTGCTCCATGTCTCATACTAAGCACAGGGCAGTAGCTGTACCCTACTAAAGGAATTTAAAGACTTCATTGCACTAAAGCAACAACAAAGCCCAAACCCAGCTCACCTGCAGTCTAGACAGAATCAACCTCTTCCTCTTCCCCCCAAACACACACACAAACACACACATACATGCACGCACACACGGCTTTATAGGCGAAAAGGCATACTCATTTCTGGACATAAAAATTATTTACCTCCATCTCTGCTGTTCTGTTATACACATGTCCAGCATTTAATCAGAAATTATACAACCTCCAAAAGAGCGAGAAAAAAAATGGACCCATTGTTAAGATATAAAATAATAATAGATAGTCAAAATGTAAAAGAGCCAACAGAATCACACCCAAAAATGGCCTAAGTTGTTGGCATTATCAGACTGAGACTTTAAAATAACTGTGATTAATATGTTAAATGATCTAGTAGAAAAGTTGTACAATATGTGTAAGCAGATGAAGAATTTCAGTAAAGAGATAGAAACTCTTAAGAACCAAAGGAAAATGCAACAAGTGAAAAACACCATACCAAAGATGAAAAATTCCTTTGATGGGCCAGACATAGCAGAGAAAAAAAGAAATGAACTTGAAGATAGGTCATTAAAATTGCATGTACTAAAACACTAAGAGGAGGGAAAAATTAAAATGAAAAGAGTATCTAAGGTCTGCGAAACAATATTAAATATTTTGAAAAAAAAAAACACAGGTAATTGGAGCCCCTGAATAGGAAGAGAGAAAATCAAGGTAGAAGAATTGTTTGAAAAGATAATGATTAATAATTTTTCAATATTAATAAAAACAAACGGGCCACAGAGGAAGCTCAGAGAACTCCATGCAAGATAATACAAAGAAAATATCCATTAAAAAATATAGAAAAGACTTTCTGTCTCTCTCTCTCTCTGTCTCTGTGTGTGTCTGTGTGTATGTGTGTGTGTGTGTGTGTGTGTGTGGTTTGTATTAAAACATAATAATATTTTTAAACATATTCAAAACCTTTTAAATGGCTGTGCATATCATTGGGATTACAACCAAAGCTGACTTTTCATGTGTGGTTACAGACCATTTCAGAATCACTCTGAACATTAGAGTAAGAAAACTAATAATTCAGGAGCCCTATTGTTTACCAGACATTCTGCCACATTCTTCATATACTCACCTCTTTCAACCACCACAAATCATTTATTCATCCTGTCAATATTTATCAAATGCCTACTTTTTGTGCCAGGCATGGCATCTCTGAGAAAGTAACATAAAACTGAAAGCTAGAGGACAAGGAAAAACCACCATGTGAAGACAAAAGTGGCTAATGGGGAAAAGGACAGCCTAGTTTCCAGTCAAAGGAATGAATCCCAAATGTCTTCCAACGAACAGGAGAAAGAATGGCTTCAGTGCAGTAAGCCAGGAGAAGAATGACTGACTAGGAGGCCTGGCCCTGCAGAGGATCACCAGTGCCTTGTAGAACAAAGCACGTTATTAAGCAGCAACTTGAGGACAGATTCTCCTGACTCCCTAGCTTCTGCCCATGTCTCTGGGGTAACTACTGACACTTTTAGAGCTTTACATTCTTCACAGCACTTCCGTATTCCTTACGCATATGAGAGCTCCTAAAAAGAACGGCTGCTTAGCAGAGCTCTAGGCTCTTTCCTCCACTGTGAAATATCATGCGATGCTGCTGAAATATAAGTTCTGACAACAGGAATATGCTGAGAAGCCTCCAAATCTGAGTGAATAAAATGCCCAACTTATTAAGTCATGGGTGGTGGAGACTTTACAGACGCACTCAGCTCCCTGAGCATGATGTCAAGACCTCTACCCCCAACACACCCCTGACCAAAAGTTATGTAACCAGAGGACTCTGCTTCCAATATTGACCACAAATGATGTAATAAAGGTCATCTTTATCTCTCTTTTTCCTGTATTTATCAGTAAAGTGATAATGAAGCCTACAGGGCAAAGACAAGAAGGAGGCTAATGATTGGAGGCAGAAACACATCTACTGAGGGCGTTTATTACCACAAACTCATACTCTTGAGGGAGGAATGCAAGCTGTCATTTAAACATCCTCTGAAGGGCCTTAACTTTAACTCCCTTAACCTATAACCTACTTAGGTAGAGAAAGGGGCAGAAAATACTGTTAAGTACTTTAAGCATTAATGAATACTCCCAAGTATTTGACGCCAAGTAAATGAGATGTCTTTGCAGCCCTGGGTGTTCTGATATACGCGCCTTCACTCTGATACTTTTCTTACCCTTCCTGCCTCCTTGGGCCTTCACTTTAGCCTCCCAGCTAAATTAACTCAACTGAATGTCTATTTGTACTTTTAGTGGGCTACCCATGCTACAGCCTACATTATGAAATCTCATGAATTGACTTCCCATGAGAACCTAGAAATTTGACTCTAGTTCTGACTTTACTGAATTTTGCACTCTATTCAGGAGATATTCCTGTGTGCGGACAGTAGTAGGCATGTGTTTGAGTGGGGACTGGACCTGACTCTCATTTATCCTGCTGTAGCAGCTTGGCAGGTGGGACCTAGGGCCCTGTCCTAATGTCACCTGTCACAGAGATTCTCTCTTCACATTGGCTCTTTTTAATTTTTTTTTTAAGACAGTGTCTTACTCTGTTGCCCAGGCTGGAGTGCAGTGGCACAATGATCTCGGTGCACTGCAAGCTACACCTCCTGTGTTCAAGCGATCCTCCCGCCTCAGCCTCCCAAGTAGGTGGGATTACAGGTGCCTGTCACCATGTCCTTCTAATTTTTTCATTTTTTTATTTTTTATTTTTTGTATTTTTAGTAGAGATGGGGTTTCTCCATGTTGGCCAGACTGGTCTGGGACTCCTGACCTCAAGTGATCTGCCCACCTCGGCCTCCCAAAGTGCTGGGATTACAGACATGAGCCACCACGCTGGGTGCACAATGGCTCTTGATTTTTATTCTCACTGCTACTACCCCAGTACAAATGGTAATCACATTATACATAACTTCCAGCAGACTCCTAACAAGTCTGCCTATTTGTGATATTTCCCTCTTCTTACTTCTTGCTTCCATAAAACCTTTTATTGACTGGGCACAGGGGCTCACACCTGTAATCCTAGCACTTTAGGAGGCCAAGGCAGGTGGATGGCTTAAGCCTGGGAGTTCAAAACCAGCCTGGGCAACATGGAGAAACTTTGTCTCTACAAAAAATACAAAAATTAGCCAGGCTTGATGGCATATACCTGTAGTTCCAGCTACTCGGGAGGCTGAGGCAGGGGAATCACCCAGCATGGACAGCAGAGTGAGGCTCTGTCTCAAAAAAGAAAGTCCTTTTATAAGTCTTTCTTAAACACTGCTTTTCTCATGCCACCTCTTGTGCAAGAATATTTGATAGCCCCCGAAGTCCTACATTCTGATATTGAAGGCACAAATGAAGACAGGCTGATCTGTGAAATAGTACCATAAGACCTAGCAAGATAACTAGCAAGATGGGAAGTCAATGCGCAAGGCCTCCTCAAGTTTCAAGAAACAGGAAAGAATTGCAAGATTGAGGCCCATGGAGTGACATTTGGAAAGTATTGTATGAGAGAACTCCATCAGCCAGGGGCCAGTCAGAAGGCAGGCAGAAACTACACTGCAAGTTGGAGCAGAGATAATTTAACATAAAAAATAGATAGCTAGATATAAAGTTGTTAAATAGATAACAAAAAGAGTAAAAAGGGACATCGTGGAAGAAGCAACCACAGGAAACTGTTACTCTCCCTAAGACTGAGGGAACAAAGGGAAAAGCTGAAATTATTCAAACTTAAAGGAGGGGGCCTAGGTTGATCGTCACAATTTCCTTCTTCCATTTCTCATTCACGATTTTTTTTGTCTTAACCAAGACCTCAGTTGGTTTGTATCTTCATCCGTTTGGGAAGCTATAACAAAATACCATAGTCAGAGTAGCTTATAAACAACAGAAATTTGTTTCCCACAGTTCTGGAGGCTGGGGAGCCCAAGATCAAGGTCCTGGCAGATTCAGTGTCTGCAGGGGGTCTGTGTATTAGTATGTCCCCAACTACTATAAATACCTGAGACTGGCCAGGCATGGTGGCTCACGCCTGTAATCCCAACACTTTGGGAGGCCAAGGCGGGCACATCACCTGAGGTCAGGAGTTCCAGACCAGCCTGACCAACATGGCGAAACCCCATCTCTACTAAAAATACAAAAAAATTAGCCAGACGTGGTGGTGCATGCCTGTAATTCCAGCTACTTAGGAGGCTGAGACAGGAGAATCGCTTGAACCCTGGAGGTGGATGTTGCAGTGAGCCAAGATCACACCATTGCACTCCAGCCTGGGCAGCAGGGTGAGACTATGTCTCAAAAACCAAAATAAAAAACAAACAAATAAATAAATACATACCCAAGACTGCTGAGACTGGATAATTTATAAAGAAAAGAGGTTGAATTGGCTCACAGTTCCAGTAACTGTACAGGAAGCATAGCCACTTCTGCTTCTGGGAAGGTCTCAGGAAACTTCCAATCATGGTGGAAGGTGAATGGGGAAGTGGAACATCACATGGCCAGAGCAGGAGTAAGACAGAGAAGGGGGAGGTGCTACACACTTTCAAACAACCGGATCACTGGAGAACTCACTCACTATCAGGAGAACAGCACCAAGGGGGAAATCTGCCCCCATGATCCAATCACCAGGCCCCACCTCCAACATTGGGGATTACAATTTGTGATGGTTAATACTGAGTGTCAACTTGATTGGACTGAAGGATACAAAATATTGATCCTGGGTGTGTCTGTGAGGGTGTTGCCAAAGGAGATTAACATGTGAGTCAGTGGGCTGGGAAAGGCAGACCCACCCTTAATCTGGGTGGGCACCATCTAATCAGCTGTCAGCACTGCTGGAATATAACCAGGCAGAAAAACGCAAAAAGAGAGACTGGCCTAGCCTCCCAGCCTACATCTTTCTCTGGTGCTGGATGCTTCCTGCCTTCGAACATCAGACTCCAAGTTCTTCAGTTTTGGAACTCAGACTGGCTCTCCTTGCTCCTCAGCCTGCAGATGGCCTATCGTGGAACTTTAATACTTAATAAACTCCCCTTTATATATATACATATATATATGTATATATATGTGTGTGTATATATGTATATATATATTCCATTAGTTCTGTCCTTCTAGAGAATCCTAATACACAATTCAACATGACATTTGGACGGGGACACAAATCCAAACCATATCAACCTGTTTCCTCATTCACAGATGGCACTGCCTTCTTATTATGTCCTTAGGTGGTGGAAGGAGCAAGGCAGCTCTGTGGGGCCTCTTTATAAAGTCACAGGTCCCATTTATAAGGGTTCCACCCCGGCCAGGCACGGTGGCTCATGCCTGTAATCCCAGCACTTTGGGAGGCCAAGGGAGGCAGATCATGAGTCAGGAGTTTGAGACAAGCCTGGCCAATATGGCAAAACCCTGTCTCTACTAAAAATACAAAAATTAGCTGGGCATGGTGGTAGGCACCTGTAATCCTAGCTACTTGGGAGGCTGAGGCAGGAGAATCATTTTAACCTGGGAGGCAGAGATTGCAGGGAGCCGAGATTGTGCCATTGCACTCCAGCCTGGGTGACAAGAGCAACACTCCATCTCAAAAAAATTTTAAAAAAGGGTTCCACTCTCATGATCTAATCACCTCCTAAAGGTCCCACCTCCTAATACCCTTACCTTAGAAGTTCAAATATCAACATATGAATTTGGGGGTGACATAAACATTCAACCTTAGAAGTTTGAGGTAACCGACAGAGTGACCAAACCACCATGCCTGGAGGATTGCAATCCTCAGTATTCTGCTCTAGGTGCTGTAGTGATCCATTCACTTTTACAAACGGATATGGAAATACTAAGAGGCACCACAGAAAGTCCTTACTGACCCCATCACATAGCATCAACCAATTTCTTCTGCCTTTCCATGTGTAAAATTCAGAACGTCTTTCTTCTCATATATATGTCAGCTATGTGTTTTGAGGGTAATGAAAATTATGATTAAGGATCATAATGATGCAAAATATTACCAAACAGACCAAATAGAAACTATGACAGTAATTGTAAATACAGTGAATCTTAAAAAATGAGTAAAAAGAGTGGAAATGGATTTGGTCTCAGTAAGTAAATTATATCATTTCTAAAAATTGGTAACTAGTAATAATTATTACACAGCTTAATTATAAATCATAAACATAATATTTTAATCATAGGTTTCATTTGATGTTCACATTAAACGATACAACTATGTTCAGACCTCATAGCAGTGGTTGTGTTTATTATTTTCCAATAAAACCATTAATTTATGGTGCTAACAAAAAGTAGAGAAGCATGTTGTCAACCCACATGTTACTCAGTGGAAAAAGCAGTAATGTAAGTTGCAAATCCTAGGCTGCAGTTGAAATTCTGGCTTGTTTCACCCACGGCCATTTGATAACTGCGCCAAATTCTCTTTATGTGAACGCCTGTATGAGTAATTCCTGCCTAAGAAATATAGGATATGTTGCCACGCTTCTTTTTTCAATTTATAATTGTTTAGGCAAGTTGAGACAGAGTGATCCTCTAATTAAAACATTTAGAAATAGATCATATGATTGACTATGATCTGCTAAAAACATCTGAACTCAGTAAAGGAACAATGAGAGAGTTTAATACCACTTCAACAAGAGGAAATATACCTATGCTCACTTAATATGTTCCATCAATTGTGCAAATTTGCCAACAGTAATTTTACAGAGTCTGTTTCACATCTTAATAAGATTAGAGATCAGATACTTACAGAGACAAATTGATAGAAATTTGTTGTTGTCCCAAAGGCTTTAAGTTTTCTTTGAAATCTTATAGCTTTGCAAAGATGTGTATCTGGAATCATAAGATCTGCATGCCAAGCAATCTCTGATTATCCAATTCAGTAAAAAGTTAAAGTAGCAGACATGGTTTTTATGCCAAATGCTGACATAACCAGAAAAGAGTTGTTTTCAAAGGGAACCCTCCCTCTGTTCTAAGCAACAGCATCAGGCCTGTCTGACTTGCTCTTTGATTTGAGAACTGTTGATACCTAACTGGCAATGAGTTTAGAAGATCTTAATGTAAACCACAGGGATATATTTTAAATGTATGTAAATCCCATCAGGTTGTCTCTATTTTAGGCTGACAGTGATATTGAAATCTGTCTTTTGTATTCTCCTCTCTTGCCATGTCAAGTTTCAGGAAAGATAGCCCTACATTTCAGGTTTGTATATCAATAGTAATTGCTGTGTTAAAACTATGCACAGTTGTGTGGAGAGGCAGCGAGAGTTTAGAGAACTGAACACCAGTTTAAGAATTAAATTAGGTTGGATTTGAGTTTCTATTCTCTCACTTGTTGGCTATGAGAACTCGAGCAATTATCTTTATCCCAGTGGTATCCACATGAAACATACACAAATTTTAAAAAGGAAAATGAAAAACATTCTTGAAAATGATCTTTAATTTTAGAATGTACAATATGATCATTTAGCTTTCGATATTCCTTTAAAAACTTTTCCCAGAATTCATTATTTGTAAGTTAAATGAATACATCTCACAAGAGGAGATGTGAGATGGATCCTCAGATCTCACACCTCAATCAGAAGGATATATAAATTAATGTTTGTTTAAAAAAAAAAACAAAGACTCCTTATAAATCAATTACACCATGCCCTGGCATACTGTAACATGATAATCAAATTGCCTCATACCCGGCTAAGATGCTCAAGGGTTGGAATTTTGATAAGGAAGCTTCTTGCTAGAACAGAAACTCTCCAAAGACAGGATTTGGGACTGTTTGTTCACTGTTGTATCTTCAGCACCTGGAGCCATTCCTGGGACATGCAGTAGTTGGGTGGCTGAAGTCTCAATCACTTGAGGGAAGGGCAAAGGATAGTATGAAGGTATTAGGCATTAGGTGCCAATTAGGCAAGAGAAAGGGTTAGGTGAGGTTCAGAAACAGAGATTAAAAGGTAAAATCTAACTTGAGGTCTAAGTAGTAGAATTAATTGGTGCCAAATCTAGCATGCCATTCTAGTTGACTAATACACAACCAAACATCATATAGCAGAGACCATTTCAAAGTAAAATATTGAGCATATTATAATATAATGTGTATATATTTAAGAGATAGTATAACACAATTCTGGGTGTAACTGTATAAGAGATAAAGGAAATATGAGTAAACTAATTGATGACTTTCATTGCATTTTATAAATTGGAATCTTTCCTAGAAAAGGAAAAACATATTGATTACAAAAACATTGGTTACAAAATCAGTCTTTCCAGGCCAGGTTCAGTGGCTAATACCTGTAATACCAGTGCTTTGAGAGGCCAAGGTGAGAGAATGGCTTGAAGCCAGGAGTTTGAGACCAGCCTGGGCACCAAAATGAGACTCCATCTCCACACACACACACAAAATAATAATAATTAGCTGGGCATGGTGCTGTGTGCCTGTAGTTGTAGCTACTCGAGAGGCTGTGGTGAAAGGAGCCCTTAAGCCCAAGGGTGCAGTGAGCTGTGATCAGACCATTGTACTCCATCCTGGGCAACAGGGTAAGACCTTGTCACACACACACACACACACACACACACACAAATCAATCTTTTCCCATGAAAAGGAGAATGGTTAGACAAACTATGTTTCATGAACATTTGTTAAACTTATTTGAGTCCTAGCCATTTCAACAAGATCAGGGAAAAATTAACCAATCCATTAGAAAAAATATACACACGCTCCTCACCATAAATCAGAGCTAAAGTGTAGGTCATACCTCAGAATTTCATACTTAGATTCTTAAGTTAACATTCTCCTAGGATAATGTGGTGGTGTAATATATTTCTGAATTATATTTCTTTTTTTTTTTTTTTGAGACAGACTCTTTCTCTGCCACCCAGGCTGGAGTGCAGTGGAGCTATCTCAGCTCACTGCAATCTCTGTCTCCTGGGTTCAAGCAATTCTCCTACCTCAGCCTCCCACGTAGCTAGGATTGCAGGTGCCCGCCACCATGCCCAGCTAATTTTTGCATTTTTAGTAGAGATGGGGTTTCACCATGTTGGCCAAGCTGGTCTTGAACTCCTGACCTTAGGTGATCCACCCATCTCGGCTTCCCGAAGTGCTGGGATTACAGGCATAATCCACCACATCTGGCCTCTGAATTATATTTCTAACAGGTAGATAATGTGGAATACTGGGGAGATCAAGGCTTGGTAGCAGACAAAGCAAAATAAGATGCCATGAGGCTGTCAGTCTGCCTCCTACTACTCATTCTGGCCTTTTGCTGCTAGGAGGCCAATGCAGTGCTCTGTCCAGCCCTTGCTACTAAAATCACAGGCTTCTTATTCACTCAGGATCCTCTGTTCAAGTTACAACTTGCCAATCTTAATGCACTTCTGGAAGCTATTGCTGCCAAGATGGCAGTGAAGAAACGCACAGACAAGATGTCCCTTGGGAACAGACTCTTAATTTTAAAAATATTGGTGAAAATATTGGTGAAATTTAATCTCTGAGGTGTAAAAACTCTTTTATCCTGGTTTCCACTGTCTTTCAGTGATACCCTGATCCTCACTGCAGAATGCAAAGGTTTCAGCTTCTTGCTTTAATAAATTATTGCCCTGCAAAAATAGATACATAGAGAGAGAGACTTGGTAGCAGAAAGGTCTGGGTTTTACTGCTGTCTCTGCCATTTTTACAACCTTGAGAGAATTACTTAATCTCCCTGAGCCTCAGTTTTGTCATCTATAAAATGGGGATTATGCAGTATGTTGTGCAGATTAAATGAAGTAGAAAAAATACCTGGTATATAGTGGGTGCCTAATTATCTACTTTCCTCCATGCTTTCCCCAAGCCCCCTAACCATATACACAGCCAACTTGACAGTTTCAAGATGCCCTTGACCTGATAATGTACCCAAATAACTAATTTCAATTGCTTTTCATAGAGCCAGTCTGCTGGACTAAATTGACTCTTCAAGTGAGTTGAAACAGTTAAACTGACAGTTATGAAAAAGCCTTAAAGTCAAACAGAACATTATAGCAGATTTTACGGGGGATTAAGATTGCTTCTGTTGTTCTCTTTGAAGAGAACGGATGGCGTGACTGAACACAAATCCTCACGGTGCTCCTGGGCACTTTGCAATATGAAACGTGTTGGATGATTGCTTCACTGTGTTATAATACATCTGCCATCAGCTTCAAGGTGAGCACTCTATTATTTTTACAGCTGTACTCCTTTTCCTGGAATTTTGAAATTTCAAGAGGAAAACAACAATTTCAGATCTGTGGAGCAAAGGTAGGTGTGATCTTGTAATCTCTTAGCTCATCCTACTGGGTTGGCATAGGCCAGAAACCTACGGAAATGGGACTGAATCCAAGCTGAAGTCTTGGACTGCCATACATCAGCCTAAGAGCTCTTGGATGAAATGCTAGAGAGAGCCTCATCACCTGTGCTTTTGATGGATGGAAGCACTACTTCAGTAGAGCTGAGGGCTTCCCTGCAGATGTATAAAGGTTACAGATCTTGCTCCCGCCATGTGCCAACTGATCCAATCCCAAGACCTCCCAATTACTCCCACCTGGTCCTGCTGCTTCATCCCACTGGTGGCTCCCTCCGTATTTCCTCCCACTGCGGACATCCCACTTTCCAGATGCTCTGTTTGCCATTGTTTCCACTGAGAGATGCTCCAGCAGGTTGGAGCACTGGTTGGGACATGGCTAGTGAGAGCATTTTGTGTTATAAATGTACTTACATGTATTTGTGTTACAATCATATGAGTTCTATTCTTGGCTCAGGCTCTGGTGATTGTGAACAGGTGACTTACTTACAGTTAGCCAAACTGCAAAGTTGGAGGACATGGTCCTTCAGACTGCCAAGTCCACTCAAGACTTTCTGACACCAACGGCAAGGAGTTACAGCCCAACTACAAAGCTAAAAGGGAAAGTCAACACAAAATCTCCCACACTTCTGACACCAACCGCAAGGTCAAGAGGTTCCCCAAATCACCCTCACATTTGATAATTCACTAAAAGGATGCTCACTGAAGGCTGTTTGTTATACTCATGGGGTTATGGTTTATTATAAGGAAAGCATACAAAGGGCTACACCTGTGAAGCTTCTACTGTCCCCAGAACATGTTACCTTCTCAGCATTGGTGTATGACAACATACATGGAGTACTGCCAACCAGAGAAGCTGACCCAAGTCTCCATGGGCAGAGCTTTTACTAAGGCTTCATTAGGTAGGCGTGACTGATTGCCTCATGGATTGAGCATAGTTGACACTCAGCCTCCAAGTTAACTGCTCCGAAGGCTCAACCCTAAAATCACATGGTTGGTCCTTCTGGTATGACCAGCTCAGACTGTCAGGCACAGTCAGACCCCTCCACAAATACTCTCCTTCCTATTAGGTATGATGTAGATTACCTTCCAGAAGCTGAGGGCCAAGTCCAGCCCTCTCTTTGGACAATGCCAAATTTATCACTACACATTACTTAATTTGTCTGAGCCTCAGGTTTTTCATTGATAAAATAAGGATAATCATACGTGCCCTATGACTCTCAAGCTCATAAAGAGATGCAACAATTCTCTGGATTCAGAAAATTTCAGCTAACAAGAGAAACTTTGAGATTTCTGCTAAAATAGGGTAGTTTCTGTAGTTTCTGTGTCAGACTCAAATATTGTCCAATGGCTCCTGCCTCCAAACCCCACTTTTCAGAGACAATTCTGATTGCACAATGTCCTTAGAAACAGACACATTCTCCCATTTTCAGGGGAAATAGTACACAATGGGGGGAAGTGCACAGGACCAAACACTGGCAGAGGAGCCGGCTTCTAGCACTTATTAGCTGTATGATTCAGAGCAAGACATTAACTTCTTGAAGCACCAATTTCCTCATGGAGATAACATACTTGCCATATACGTTATCATAAGGTTGTTGTAAATTCAAATGAATTTTACTGAATCTTAAAATCAAACTGAATGTATATATTTATATGTATATGAAAATGCTCATTAATCAAACATTATTGAAGATAATGAAATGGTTAAGCTACCAATGCTGTAACTTCTTTTTTTTTTTTTTGGAGACAGAGTCCCTCTCTGTCATGCAGGCTGGAGTACAGTGGCACCATCTTGGCTCACTGCAACCTCTGCCTCCTGGGTTCAAGCTATTCTCATGCCTCAGCCTCCTGAGTAGCTGGGATTATAGGTGTGTGCTACCACACCCGGCTAATTTTTGTTGCTGTTGTTTGTTTTTTTGTTTTTGTTTTTTTTGTAGAGAACGGGTTTCACCATGTTGGCCAGGCTGGTCTTGAACTCCCGACCTCAAGTGATCCGCCTGCCTCGGCCTCTCAAAGTGCTGGGATTGCAGGCATGAGCCACGGCACCCTGCCAGGTGCTGGAACTTCCGTACCCCAGGAGAGTGGACTTCTGTAAAGTGCTAAAGAAAATGGCTGATGTGCCAATAGAAAGTATCCTATAGGTCACATTTAAGTAAATGAAACAGTTTCTAAATGAATCCTATGGTCTGAATGTTTTTGTCCCCCTAAAATTCAGATTTTGAAATCCTAACGCCCAACGTGATCCCATTAAGACATGGGGCCTTTGGGGTGGTGATTAGATCATAAGGGCAGAGCCCTCATGATTGGGATTAGTGACCTCATAAAAGAGGCCCCAGAGAGGCCCTCACCTTTCCACTGAGTGAGGACATGGCAAAGAGGCACTGTGTTTGGGAACACAGGCACTCACCAGACACTGAGTCTACTGGTGCTTTGATCTTGGACTTCTCAGTGCCTAGAATTGTCAGAAATAAATTTCTGTTGTTTATAAGCCACCCAGTCCATGGCATTTTGTTTTAGCAGCCCAAAAGGACTAAGCCAATGGATTATTAAATTCTCTCCTTCATCTCCCCACATACTTTAAAGTGTTTTCCATTTTTTGGTTAAGTAGCACTTAAGGTATTTTCGTCCTGTAGTCTTTCTTTAGCATTTATTCAGTCATCAATACACCCAGTTGGGAGGTGGGGATATCAAGGATTTTTTTAGAATATGCAATACCTTGCTAAGGTTGAGGTTCTAACCTCCCATGTGCCTTTCGTACTCTCAATAACTCAGACGCTTCTTGTTTATGAAGCCTGATGTGGGCCTCCTCTGTCTTTCCTCACTCCCTGAGAGGAACAGCCCAGCTCCAGCCAGTGGGCAGCGCCCTTGGGTGCAGCTTCCCTCCCTGCACTCAGGATCTGTCTTAGCAGAAAGGAAGAAATGATTTCCCTTGAGCTTCACAGCAGCTTCTGCTTCTTTTCCACCAGGCACTAACCACCACCTCACTACCTCCACACAGCCAAACAGACTTGAGAAGGGGGAGATAGGGGAAGGGTGCACTCAAAGGCACCCAGAACCCAAACACTGCCAAAAAGTCTGCAGCCAAAGTTCCAAAAGCCAAAGGAGCCACAGAGACTCCACAAACCCCACCACTTCACCTCCAGTCTCCCAGATCTATAATGTTTCTCTCTTCCTTTGAGAGTTCCTTTCCCCTAGCCCTGTTCTTTACCTTTCAAATTAGGGAAGATAGAGAGGGAAGGAAGGAAGACGAAAGTGAATATTTATTATGTGCTGCCTTTACCATCAATAGAGTTGGCCTTTTTTCATGCTCCCCAGTAGTTCTCCCTGAGATGCTCCAGTGAGTGAGGCCAGATGTAGCCTGGCCCTGGTACTCAAGGAGTCCTTTACATTCTCAGAGGGACAGAGGGAACCTCAGAGCCCTGGTACAAACCTCCAAGACAGCTGCTTAATGGCAACCTAATTTGCTTCAAACTGCTATGGGCCAATCAAGAAATGTAAATTATTTCCATCTTAATGAATGATTTATACTTTCTGAATGGTTTGGCTCCAAATTACAAAGAGGTCAATTTTCCTCACCTGTGCTCCACTGCAGAGGAAGGCAAATGAGATTTCATAAGCAAAAAAGAGCGGACAGATGCAAACGTGGATTTTTCCTGAACAGGAAGGCTGTTCTTCCCAAAGGCCAGTGCTGCTTTACCACGATCAATCCAGAAGACTAAACAGGAGGCTGCGTGTCTTCATCTGATGTGGCCCAGAGCCAACCTGTCAGAAACTTCATCTGCTCATTTAAGAGGCTGGAAAAATATGGCTTTGGAAGAGAGCTTGGGTCTGTAATTTAAAGAGGCAGGCACAGACATTATTTCTAAACAAACTATTGCTGTGTTTAGTATTGTAATCAGTCAGGGCTTGGCAGAGAGCAGAGGGCACCTTCCATCCGGCTAAAGAGGAGAGGGCCACAAAGGGATGGACAGGCCTGAGGGACACCAACAAAGAAAGTGTGGTGCTGAGGCTGGTAACAACAGAGCCTGAACCCAGGCAATACAATACAGCCCATACGACAAAAATTGATCAATTCCAAAATGTCAGTTGGGTCAAGGTTGAAAAACCCTAATCTAAAAGAATACTCCAGCAATGTGGGTTGGGAAAATAATTTGCAATGGTAGAAATAATTAGCAAATTCATATTAATTCTAAAAAAGGTTATTCGTAGAAGGCTCACACAGGCGCATCTCAGAGACACTAGGTGCCTGCTTCTCACAAGGGACTGCAAACTTAGGCCTCATGGTCTGCCTCTCACTAGTTAATTAACAATGTTTTTAAGCATGCTTTGGTCTCCCCAACTTTGGAACAGGGATTAAAAATAGTACGTAGATTTGTTAGGGAGAGTAAATGAAAAAATATAGGAAATGGGCCAGGTGCAGTGGCTCACACCTGTAATTCCAGCACCTTGGGAGGCTGAGGCGGGCAGATCATTTGAGGTCAGGAGTTCAAGACCAGCCTGGCCAACATGGCAAGGTCCCTGTCTCTACTAAAAATACAAAAATGAGCCGAATGTGGGTGGGTGCCTGTAGTCCCATCTACTCGGGAGGCTAAGGCAGGAGAATCACTTGAACCCGGGTGGCAGAGGATGCAGTGAGCCGAGATCGCGCCACTATGCTCCAGCCTGGGCAACAGAGCAAGACTCTTGTCTCAAGTATACCTATGTAACAAAACTGCAAGTTCTGCACATGTGCCCCAGAACTTAAAGTATAATAAAATAAATAAATAAAAGTATAGTTGTGGCAAAAAAGAAAGATAAAAGAAAATATAGGAAATGTACTTAACACATTCCTTCTTGCACAGTAACTTCTCCAGTAATGTTAACTGTTGTTATCCTCACTATTATCATCATAATTATTACTAGATTACTACCAGCTGAGTCTTGGGAGTGGATCGGGGTGGGGGGCAGGATTCATCCCACCACTACTTTGCCTCGAAATAATCTTCTCATCTTATTTCTGAGTTTCTCTGTTTTGACATTACTTGATTCCATGAAACCTCTGGAAAAATGAATTGCTGGTCTTGGACAACAATTCTAAAACTCCCCAAAATCTACTGCTACAAAAGTGTATCAAACTGGAACTAAATGCAAAATGGAAGTCTTATTTTCCTTGAATTACCAAACATTATTACCAGAATGGACAGGCTTCTGTTCTCCATTTCCTAATTTCGTGATGAAAAAGAAAAAAAAAAATAACCCTACCCTATATTTGGTTTCCTCTGGGTTTGGCCAGGACAGTTCTGAAGTTTTCAGTATCCAGCTATGTATCTGAGAAATGTTTCTATTTTATGTAAATTAAGCTGGTTACATGGCTCTGTAAACATATTTAAGTCTGTTTATCTTATTGTAGGTCTTTTTAAAAGGCAAAAGACTGCTTTCCCTAAATCATGAATTTGTCCAGGAAAACGGCACTGGTTGGTGCCTATCTGTAGAGGTTTTGTGTACCTTATCTCAAAGGATTCTCATAACAACCAGGCAAGGAAGGTGTTTTTATTTTTGGCTCGGGGCTATAAAACTGAGTTTCTGAGACATTAACTTGTCAAACTTCACACAGTGTATAAGTGGATTTGAAGCCAGGTATGTCCCACTCCAAAGCCCATGACCTTCCCATGACTCCTTGTGCCACCAGCCAGCAATCTGCCCTCTGGCACCTCACTCTCAGTGTGGAGGGGGGCATCAAGAAACTACTTTAGCGCTCTCTGAAAGGTAATTGTAGTGAACATTACCCATTGCATTGTGCTGTTCTTGCGGGAGTGACTCTGCCTACCACTTCCGTAGCTAAAATCCAACGAAGAGCAGTTGCTTCTCTCACACAAAATCTCTAAGAGCTTTACAAAGAAATTCTGAAATGCCCTAATCCTTGCCCTGGTACCAAATCTAAAATTCTTTTGCCATTTTCTTTCATATGTCATGTGCTTTAATCCCATTACTCTGTCTTAGGACTCAGAGCGCTTAAATGCTTGCTGGGGCCAATGGAAATTGCAAAGGAAACCAAGCCAAACCAAACCCAAGCAGGATGGGAAGAGTTGGGGAATGTCCTCTTCTTTCCCTTCTGCTCTCAGATGGCAGCAACCTGAGTTCCTTCTGTCCCGTCTTAATTCCTTCTAAGCCTTGGATATACAGCCAAAGTTTATTTTCCTACCATTCTGTAATGCTTTCACAGATACAGTACTTCACTGTTAAAAGGATGCCAATGCCTGTAATAAACAAGAGACAGACTTAACAGGTAGCTTTTGTTAAGCATTTACTATGACCCAGGCCCTGTGCTAAGTTCTTTCTGTCCATCAGTATATATACACAAGGAAAGAAAAAGAAGAGTGAAAGAAATTCCTTTTGGAGTCTGACTTTCAGTAAATGTGAAGAGCCAAAAGCTGCCTAACATCAGCAGAGGCCCGCTGTTGGTCGAGGTTTATGTTGGCATCCTGGAATATTTAGTCACTGGCTAACCAGCATCCCTAGGCTGAGTTCTTGTCCCCTAAATGACGGTCTTTTTAAAAAAGGGGGAGAAAAAATTTGCAAGGCCAGGACAAAATCTGACATTCAAAGATTATCAGAAGTTCACATAAATGGCAATATTTCAAAACTAAAAGTTTACATGATCTAAATTCTACAAAGGGTATTTACAATATGAGAAATATTTGTGGCTACATATTAGGACAAAACAGCCTGAGGCAGAGTGGCTTTTCCCTGCTGGGACACTGTTACATACTTGTTTTTGGCATTGGGCAAAACCACCCACTGCAAGAAAATAAAATTATCCTTTTAAAATTCAGGAAAACTTTTTTCCCAAGAAATTATGCACAAGTTTCCCCCAATAGCCTCTTAACTGTTTTGCTATTACTTGGCACACATAAATATACAGAAGTATGCACCGTCATACTCTCATAGATGTCAATGCTGCAGTAGCATTTGCACATACTCTCATTTGTTCTTTGACACTATTCTGATCAGTAAGCAGAAAAACTATTTCAAAATGCCTCCTAAATGGTGGGGAGAAGTTTTGAAGATAGCTTATTCCAGCTCACTCTAAGAACCAGACACTGTTAACATGAGGTTATTAAAAATGAAAAGCAAGTCTGTTCAACATAGATAATGTTAAAAGCAGAGCAGCACCATCTGCCTACCTATCCTCTTCTCTCACACCTCTGATTCCAGGTCCCCTCAGAGTTCTGGTATCCCCCAGCCCCCAGTCGATGTGGTTGCTAGCGAATAAGGTGCTAACAAGTCCTGGGTATAGCTGCATGGATAGATTAGATAGATAGATGATAGATAGATAGATAGATAGATAGATAGATAGATAGATAGATAGATAGATGATAGGTAGATAGAAGATAGATAGATGATAGATAGATAGATAGATAGATAGATAGATAGATAGATAATAGATAGATATGTAGATATAGATTTCAATTTAGGGCTAGACACAGACACAGATGCAGACAAAGACACAGAGATAGATAGATAGATAGATAGATAGATAGATAGATAGATAGATAGATAGATAGATAATAGATGATAGATAGATAGATAATAGATGTAGATATAGATAGCGATAGATATAGATTTAGGGCTAGACACAGACACAGATGCAGACATAGACATAGATAGATATAGACAGATACAGATATAGACATACCTCCTATATCTAAAGGACTCAGGGCGTCACCCCACAGTTTGGATTTGACACCAAGGGCAGCCTGTCACCTCCCTGCCCCCCACTACCTTGCTCCCACCCTCCAATATCAGTGCCAGTTTTCACTGATTCCTCTGCCCATAGCTGTTGCGTCAAACCCAGCGGCATCTTTGCATTTCTAGGATTCACTCTGCAGGAGTGTGGCGGTGGAGCGGACATGTCCAAGGACTTGATTGCTTGTCTTGCTCAAAGAGTCAACATCACTAATATTTAGGAGTCACAGCTCTTTTATGGCCAGGATTTGCTGAGCAGTACAAAGCTATTTCTGAGTCATGACACATTTTAAACAAAACATACTCAATATCACAACATAAAGATTTTAATTTGCCTCCCCTTTTGACTCTCTCTTACATTCCATAGGAAATTTCCTTTGTAGACTTATGAGGTTATCAGGAAAACAACTTTAATCAATATTTGAATAGAAGCTCAACTGTCTTCTAGTTAAATATGAGGAGACTGAGATTCCTATAGGTGCCAAGCTCCTTTATTAGACAAGCTGCAGATCTTCCGAGCCCAGTCCCAGGCTCTTCCGATCCTACCATACTCCTGATCTTCTGAGTTCGAATTAGTTGGTCGAAGTTTCACATATCTGTCAGTGGTGAGGGAAGCAACCTAACTCTTGACTGACTTTCTGTTTCATCCAGGACACCTGATTTCAGACAAGCCAGGGCAGAGCCCAGAGTTAGGACCTGGAATCTTGGGGTCAGGGCTGGGGTTGGGGAGTTATGAAGGCTAGGGCTGTGGAAAAGTTCAAGGGAATTGTCTGGAGAGCAAGCTGCCCAGCAAGAGGATGGAGCTAAAGAAGATCCTCTCCTCTGAAGCCCCCTTCCAGAGAAAGAACCTGTGAGGAGGAGGAAGAGAAAATCTATGCTGTTTGGCCTCAGATGCTTTCCTCGCTAAATGCCTTCCTGACCCAGAGAGGTCCAGAGAGGAAGAGAGAGAGCATGCAAAGACGTACAGACAGGGGAGACAGAAGAGAAGGAAAGAAGACAGGCAAAGGGAAGGTAAGGATGCTTGGGACAGATAAAATGTACCCAAGAGACAGGTGATTAGGAAAACAGAAAGTAAAAATGCAAGTGAAAGGGGCGCCATGCTTACGTTGCAAAAACTCATGAATAATGATACGGGGTTTGAAAGTGATTCCTGGATGGAAAAAAAAGAGACTTTCTCCTTTTCCATCTTTTTATTTAGGTACAACCCTAAAGAATCTGGGATGTCAATACCGGGCACGCGATCCATTCACTCAAGTAAGCCATATCCAGCTTATGCGGATGCCAGCTCCCTGCTGCCCCAGTTAAGAATTGAGAGCCTTGTGCTGAAATTACCAGGAGCTGTATCTTCACTCTGTGTCTGTGAATAAAAGGAAGGAGATGCATAACCAAGTTTGTGCGGGCATGAGCCTGCAGGGCTGTTCACTGCCAAAGGATTCAACTGGAACTCCAGCATCTAATGCTTCTTTTCACATCTTCCTGGCAGCTCAGTGTATTTGTTGGCCCTCCCAAGGCTTGACAAAGAGCACATGTGGCTGTCTGAAGCTTGAGGTGCACACAGAAAGCTGGCACTTTCTTACTTTAATTACACACATACTTGGCTTTGAAATACCTCTGTGTATTTAATGCAGAAGGAGTTGTATTTTAGGTTTTAAGCAAAGAATGCTGCACCACCCACCGCTTTAATCTTCCCTAACCAGACCCCAAATCCCACAGCAGTGGTTCATGTAGTGAGATAAGCCGTGGCAACACATTTATGAAGCCCTGGTTAGACTCAATGCTATTTTTCTCATCATCTTGCTCTTCAAATTTAAGGTTTAAAATAAACACAGGGGAAGCTGCAGCGAAGTTTCTGGAGCAAAGGGTAACTATAGGTGAATGACCATGGCCGGCTGCTTTTAGATAGCTCCACGACAAGGCAGAGAACAGAAGTCAGCCTGGTAGTGTCAGGACTGATTTTTCAGGAATTTCTAGAATAAATATTAGTGTAAATGTGGGTAAGAAGAAAGAGCAGTTTTAGCCAGAGGGTTCACTGGAAAATTGTAAGTCATGTAGTCAGGACTATGCAAACGCTGCATTGTGATGACAGTCAAACTCATGAAACTTGACAAACTCAACCACTGATTCAGCTATTCAAAAAAAAAAAAAAGGCATTGGATCATTTTCCAGTTTACATACTTTGTACATGTATTGAGTTTTGGTTTATGATAATCAACTAGTGATTTCTCAATCATTCATTGCATATCCTATTCCTTAGTCAGTTAGTTCCTAAGTTCATGAAAAGTATTTCAGCCACATCAGTTTCAAGACAAAGTGCTAGGCATTGTTTAATTCTGAAAAATTATATAAAAAAGAAACATGAGGAAAAAACCACATTTCTCCTAGTTTTGTAGCAATTGCAACACAGATATGTTAAGTGAGTATAAAGGAAAACGTTATGGCTATTTCATCAGCAAGTGTTTTTTGCCCAGTAAGTGTCCGATTGCATGCTGCTGATTTTATTTACTGGTGAAAGTTGGGCCATTTTCAAGTATGTGCCACTCACCTTCCACTGTGCCTCCCCTTCTCTTGGCATGCATTTATTCTTTCAACAAATACCTGTGGATATTCACATTCCAGTTACCCAGAACATCTGGACAAAGTTTCTTCATCTTCTATCACTGTCATCTCCACGTGGACCCTTAGGTGATAACATTTCAGAGACACCAACTGTTCCAAGCAGCTTCTAACAATGCAGGGTGGACATTAAGCTCACAATTCTTGAAATATAAATGCATTGTGGTTTTATCTCTCTTTTCTCATCTTATCATTCTGGCCTCAGTATTAAATAGTTGCCAATTAAATAGCAATGAGGAGATAAAATATAAATAATTATTTAATGATTTTAATTTATTCAAATACTGCTATAGTTGATATTAAAACTATTACTAAACGATAGCTTTGGCTGGGTGCAGTGGCCCACGCCTGTAATCCCAGCACTTTGGGAGGCCGAGGTGGGCAGATCACTTGAGGTCAGGAGTTCAAAACCAGCCTGGCCAACATGGTGAAACCCTGTCTCTACTAAAAGTACAAAAAAATTAGCCGGGCGTGATGGCAGGTGCCTGTAATCTCAGCTACTTGGGAGGCTGAGGCAGGAGAATTGCTTGAACCCGGGAGGCGGAGGTTGCAGTGAGCTGAAATAGTGCCACTGTACTCCAGACTGGGCCACAGATCGAGACTCTGTCTCAAAACAAAACAAAATAAAACAAAAAACAAAAGAAAAAATAACATTTTGTATAACGGCAAGCCAGTTACCTTACCTGTTTGCTCCGCACTGAATCCCACCAGCGGGCTCCAGCCAACTTTAGGTCCCTGGACCCATCTTGATCTAGCATAGGGATATTTAACAGCTCTAAGATTCTTATCTACGGCCGGGCGCCGTGGCTCACGCCTGTAATCCCAGCACTTTGGGAGGACGAGGCGGGTGGATCACGAGGTCAGGAGATCAAGAACATCCTGGCTAACACGGTGAAATCCCGTCTCTACTAAAAATACAAAAAATTAGCCTGGCGTGGTGGCGGGCGCCTGTAGTCCCAGCTACTCGCGAGGCTGAGGCAGGAGAATGACTTTAACCCGAGAGGCAGAGCTTGCAGTGAGCTGAGATTGCGCCACTGCACTCCAGCCTGGGCGACAGAGCGAGACTCCATCTCAAAAAAAAAAAAAAAAAAGATTCTTATCTATAACCCAGTATTACACTATCGCTCTTCTGATAACTAGGTTTTCACCTCATGTGGTGAGATGGCCTTACCGGTGGGTCTTTAACCTGGGTTTCTTCCATGATTCTAGTTTCCGAGTACCAAGTCTCACAACTTACCTTGTAATAAGAGCAGTAACAATAAAAATAAAACACATTTTGAGCAACAGTAGTAACCCATCTTTGAGTAATAATAACACATTATTAAGTAATAATAATAGTGATTGCATTTGTTGAGCACTTGCTACGCGCCAGGCAGCTTTCTAAGTGCCTTACATAAATTAATTCATTTAATATGTGCACCACGGGACCCTCCTTGCAGTCTTCCTTCCGGATGTATACTAACAGGGAACCTTTGCCCAGGAGAGGAAGCCTCACAATGCATGCTGAGGGTCTATGTTCGTTTATTTTCAAGTGTTGTCTACATTAATTTTTTTGCTGACTTCAGGGCTCTTGATATTCCATTTTGTACACTCCAACTCCACCCCTGCTGCTGCCTGCCCTGACTATAACTTCAAAACAGACAGAACGTCAGCAACCAAACCCTGCAGCTGCGTGGGCTTTCCAGGAAATCCTTTCCCTCTTAGGGGAGTGGGAGACTAGGAGGCAGTTGTGATGCCAGGAGTCCCTGTCCTCAGCTGCCCTGTTCTGCTGACCACCCTGGCAAATCCTGAAACATGTCTCTCTACTGCATAATGTCAGGATCAAACATAACATCTGTGCCAAACAACACCATGTCTACAGGGAACTTGATCAAACTAATTGGATTTACAGTAATTCCACATGGCAAGAAGCAATAAACAAGAGCTATTGCATTTACTTGAAAAATGTTTAAAATCATCTTTAAAGGGCCTTCTTTCAAAACAGGTAATAAATACTCCCCTGAAGCCCAAAGTATAGCAATCAGCATGTGTGAATAGTCAAAAGAATATAAAACAAAGATACATTTAATGAAGAAGTACACAATTCTTTCCAGGCCATGCTAAAGAAGTGAGGTAAGGTGGAAACAGGATGGACTAGAAGTAAGGCAGACGTAGGCTGTAATCTTGCTCTGCCACATTTCAGCCGTATGAAGTGGGAAATTTAACTTAAATTCTGAATCTCTTTCTTCATCTGTTAAATAGGACAGCTGCATCACTTCTCACCTTAAAATATTGTAGTTGGGTTTCAAAACACTGCATTTCAAGTGTCTAGCGCTGAGTGCAGCATACGACACACACTCAGTCATGGTGAGGATGGTAGTGATGGTGATGATGATTCCAGTGATGGTGGTGGTGACCATAGACCATAGCAAAGTGCTGCTGGAATCCCTGGTAGAGAAGACAGGGTGAGCACTTAGTAATTGCTGAATGAATCTTCAAAAGGAAAGAATGGAGAAAGGAAAAGGAAGGAGGTAGAATACTAAAAGAGCTAAGACAGGATAATGTGTAAGAGGTCTAAGAAACTATGACACCCTCCAAAAGCTTACAGCCTTGTGGCCCCTGACATCATGGAAATTTTCAGTAAGCTTCACGAGGGGGATTTTTCTTTTCTGAGTCATCATTACAGACCATAGTCAATATCAGCTTGGGTCACACTGATGACCCTTAACCCAGCTAAGCCAAATCTTTGAATTGTTTTTAAAAACACTGATCCTCAGGGAATTTTGCAATGATTTAAATTAAAACTAAAATTATGTACTACCCTAGAAATTCAAGTCATGATTGAGTTGATTCACAGGCTGATAGTCTAGGAGAAAAAAATGAAAGAGTAAAGAATCAGACCATTTGTAAGTGCCTAGAAAGATGTTTACTTAAGAACAGCAAAACCAGGATGAGCGTATTTACAAGGTGAGACATAAAAGCTTAGGTATATTCTATCTTGACATTTTTGAGGCAGAAACTCCAAATGCCATCCAGTCCTAACCACAGAAGACAATCGTCATGGGAATTTTGAAAAGACAAGTTGAGCAATATGTTGGAACAAATGATGGTTTTCGGCCTCCCACAACACCAAATCATGGAAAGATTTCAGAAGTTGTCTGTATAAATAAAATATGAATATCAAAGTTCATATTTCCCTTTCTGCAAGTAATGTTTACCTTTGTTTATGTGAAAAATTGGAAATCAAAATGAGTTAAGATTAGCTATTTTTCCATAGTAATGTGTCTGATTTTCATTGTCAATGACAGAGAAAGAAAGCGAAGTTCAAAATATGTTCATTATTTCATTAAAATCAACTACTCAGTCCCCTTCTCTTCTTATTTTTCTTACCTAAAGCAATTTGACCCTCTTGTTCATAATCCAGATCTGTTTAACCTTCAGCTCATGTATCTCCCATATCCTTGACTGCTCTAACCTTCACTTCCAAACCAGATCAAAAAATCTTAGTTCAGATTTTTCATTTATTTTAAGTTTATATGAAACAACAATGTGACTTAACTTCAAATAAATGTCAGTATCATCTTAGACTGAATTAAGAGAAGTATAGGCCGAGTGTGGTGGCTCATGCCTGTAATCCCAGCACTTTGGCAGGCCAAGGCAGATGGATTGTTTGAGCCAAGGAATTTGAGACCAGCCTGTGCAACATGGCAAAACCCTGTCTTTACAAAATATACAAAAATTAGCTGGGTGCAGTGGTGTGTGCCTGTAGTCCTAGCTACAGGAGGCTGAGGTGAAAGGATTGCCTGTGCCTGGGAGGTTAGGGCTACAGTGAGCCATGATGGGGCCACTGAAATTTAGCCTGGACAACAGAGGGAATCCCAAGAAAGAAGAAAAAGAAGACGACGAAGACAAAAATGAAGAGGAGGAGGAGGAGAGGAAGAAGGGAAAGAAGAAGAGGAAGAAGGAGAGTAGTCAAAAGAGAAAGGTGCTGCCTACTTCACTTTTTTTTTTTTTTTTTTTGAGACAGAGTCTCAACTGTCACCCAGGCTGGAGTGCAGGGGCGCAATCTTGGCTCACGGCAACCTCCACCTCCCAAGTTCAAGCAATTCTCCTGCCTCAGCCTCTCAAGTAGCTGGGACTGCAGGCGCCTGCCACCACACCCGGCTAATTTTTGTATTTTTTTAGTAGAGACCGAGTTTCACCATGTTGCCCAGGGTGATCTCAAACTCCTAAGCTCAGGCAATCCATCCTCCTTGGCCTCCCAAAGTGCTGGGATTACAGGCATGAGCCACCGCGCCTGGCCCCACTTTACTTTTACAAAAAAAAAGCCACAAATCTAAAATACTACATATTTATGCCTCTTAAAAATTTTAGGCATTCAGTATAAGTTGCCTATTTCTTCTACTCCTGAGTTCAGAAGCAGTTGAAAAATAAAACACAGATCAATAGACAGACAAGAGTTTAAACTGTCAGCTTTATTATTGATAAACCAATTGGAGAAAATGACATTAGATCTGTGAACCAAAGAGCCTATTAATACTCTGTGACTGCCAACTCTCTCCTGTATCCAAATACACATCCAAAGCCTCCCTCTGCACCCAAAGGAAAGTTTGGAGCTGTCTCTAGGGAGGAAAATGGGAAGTTTACAGTCCTTTGATAGAGTTGTTCTACCCCGTTAGCACCCCATCACCACCTAGCAATTAGGTAATTAATTTCTCTGCTGGAAGGAGTGTGTGAGGAGTGAGACTACAGGCCAAGAGTTGTATTTCAATGGAGGTCCTTCAACACAAAAACATGAGACCAGGGAAAGGACTTTCCCTCCCAACAGTGCTCAATTCTTTTTTTTTTTTTTTTTTTTTTTTTTTTGAGACGGAGTCTTGCTCTGTCACCCAGGTTGGAGTGCAGTGGCACGGTCCCTGCTCACTGCAACCTCCACCTCCTGGGTTCACGCCATTCTCCTGCCTCAGCCTCCCGAGTAGCTGGGACTACAAGCGCCCGCCACCATGCCCGGCTAATTTTTTGTATTTTTAGTAGAGACGGGTTTCACTGTATTAGTCAGGATGGTCTCAATCTCCTGATCTTGTGATCCGCCCGCCTCAGCCTCCCAAAGTGCTGGGATTACAGGCGTGAGCCACCGCACCCGGCCAACAGTGCTCAATTCTATGTCCCCTATGCCATCAGATAAAATTGGAGCATGTTAACAGCATGACCAGGACAGGGAGCTTTGAAGCCCTCTATCAAGAAAAATGGGTGCAAGGACAAGACTACGTGGACCTAACAACTTCCTTCCAACAATCGAATAGGTAGTCCATTTGGTCTATATGGCCCTGTAGTGGAGACATATAACCTGTGTCCTCCCCTACATTTCCTGCATTCTGTTCAGTTAGGCAAAGCCGCCTGACTAGTCCTGGACAACAAAATGTGAGCAGAAGTGACATGTGTCACCTCCAGGCTAAGCCAATGAAGGTCCACTCCTTAGTTCCAGTCTCTCCTCCCCTCCCTCTGCAGTAAGTGGGGAGGTCCCACATTCCAGATGGTACAGCTATGCAAGTCAGGACCTCCACCAACCTAGGTCCCGAGTGAACAGAGAGAAGTTTAAGAGAGCAAAGTTAAGGCCATGGAGAACAATAAGAAAAGAAAGCTATTGGCTGGGCGCGGTGGCTCACGCCTGTAATCCCAGCACTTTGGGAGGCCGAGGCGGGCAGCTCACAAGGTCAGGAGATCGAGACCATCCTGGCTAACACGGTGAAAACCCATCTCTACTAAAAATACAAAAAAATTAGCCGGGCGTGGTGGTGGGGACCTGTAATCCCAGCTACTCGGGAGGCTGAGGCAGGAGAATGGCATGAACCCAGGAGGCAGAGCTTGCAATGAGCTGAGATCACGCCACTGCACTCCAGCCTGGGCGACACAGTGAGACTCCGTCTCAAAAAAAAAAAGAAAAGAAAGAAAGCTCTTGCCAAAGTGTAGAATGAATTCTGAAACCAGAAACATTTTCCACCCCCAAAATAGGAGGCCCATAAAGTATTTGCTCGGCAAGATTTCTGAGTTGCTGCAGGCCTGAATGCTGGGCCCCTCTCATTCCTCACCACTGTGGAAGTGTTTCCTCACATTGTCTTGATCCTGTTCTACCACTGCACACTGCGGGTGAGGGATGCATTTTACCTGTCTTCTTAGTTTACTTGTCCCTGAAACAGGACTGGCCATGTACAGACCTGACATAGAGACTATTGTGAGATCACTCAGAGATCCTGAAATTGAAGCTCAAAGCCATGATTTGATGTGGCTGTAAATCGTCTCCCTTGCAAAGTGAGTCCTACTTTTGGAAACAGGAGAGCAAAGTTGTGTTGGCACCAGAGAGAGGACTACGGCAGTGACAATGCTTACCAAACATTGTGGTTAGGCAAGGCCATGTAACTAGCTCTGACCTGTGGGCTGTGGGCAGTAGTGGCCCCAGTTATCTTCTTCTGCGACCAACACAGGAGACTGAGGAAACCTTGTGCTGAGATGGCAGAACCGCACGTGGAAACATTCTACATAATTGTGTCACAGCATGCAGCGCAAAGTTCCTGGAGAGTTACGTAGACCT
The DNA here is from genome assembly GCF_000001405.40 of Homo sapiens. Classification (NCBI taxonomy): domain Eukaryota; kingdom Metazoa; phylum Chordata; class Mammalia; order Primates; family Hominidae; genus Homo; species Homo sapiens. The sequence continues at coordinate 165,499,494 of NC_000004.12, read as the reverse complement.
ACAGACTTTGCATGAAAAATCAATTACTATTAAGTTAGAACGCTAAGATTTGGAGTTGCTTCTTACGGCAGCATACTCCAGTCTATCCTATCTTATCTAAACCTCAAGAAGCAAAATTTTGAAGCTCTTCAGAGCTCAGTTTCAATCTCATTTTTCTTCTCACTGTGGGCTTCTCTTAGGCAATTGTACATCTGTCCTTCTTCAATCTCCATCAAGCCATGTGTTTCCTACCCCAATGCCTTTGCATCTGCTATTCTGTCCCAAAGTCCACTTCTCCTCACCTACCTGGGTACACTTCTAGACTACCTTTCCCAGACTCCCTTGCAGTTACTGTGGCCAAAGAATGTACAATTCCAGGCAGTGTGATGTGAACAGAAGTAATGTACACCACTCCCAGGCCTGCCCATAAGAACACCCTCTACATTCTCCCCCTTGCTCTTTCCCCTTTCCTATTGGCTGCAATGGAGACGACCACCAATGCGGCAGTGTTGGACGTGTGCAGAAGATGGCAGATCTTCTGTCAGAATGGATCCCAGAACGTGGTCCCAGACTGTGTGAAGAAAAGTCACCCCATCTTTCTGTCTTTTTCCAGTATAGGTACCTGAGCAAAAAATACACTTCCATTGTGTTTAACCCAGGATATATGTGGGGGCCTACTATTATAACAGCACGATTTTAACCAAAACTTACACTTGCAGCATTGATCAACCATACCACCACCACCATGCACACACACACACACACACCCCTGCACTCTGCACTGCTCACACCCACTCAATATTCTAGGTCTGTGCATTAAGATGCATCCCTGACTCTTCTCATCCAGTCTAATTTAAGTTGCTCTGTCATTCTTTCTCTTTCCCTACTCTTTCTTGTCATTTTACTTATCACAATGCATAATTACATATTAACCAGTGTGTTACTGATTTAGAGTTTGTGTCCAAACATTAATTTTTGTGTTATTTATATAAAGGTTGTGCCCAAAATCAGAACCTTTTGCCTGCCACAATAACATACATAGAGGCTATGCAGTGCTTAGCACACAGTAGTTGCTTAACAAATTTTAAAATGTACAGGATGAATATATGAGAAGCCGCCATTAAGAGGATACATGTTTTCATCATAAGACCACAATGCCAGACCAAAAATCTTAGAGAACTGAAATACATGCACTGGGGATTTTTTTTTAACCTTTATTCATTCAGAATGCAATTCTGGGCCACTCTACAACCAAGAGAAAACCCTAAACTTTTAAGTAGTGTTAACGGACTACATAATATAATAGTATTGCTCCTATATGTACAAGCAAGAAGTCAATTTTTATTCTTTTCATAAAACCTCTTTGTAAACATGTACCTTTTCTTCCCATCAAAAATGCATTAACAAGATCATGCTTATAGTTAGTCAGCACAAGAAAAAAACGACAATTTATACTGAACTATTTAAGTCTTGCAGTAGAGTGCTCACAACTCCGAGCTGTATCTGTTAACCTTTTCAATAGCATTCATTATGTGACATTGTCACCAATTACAGTAAAAGAACTTCACTAATTTTTGAAAGCTAGAATTACTCAAAAAATTCTGCATTGTAAATAATACCAGGAATATTGCATTTAAGCCTAGGATGGCAAAATTACTTAAATCTTTTCTATACTTTTTTGTGTAATATAGGTAGGAAAATGAATACTATATAAGAGAATGAAATATATCAAGTTCTTATATTTTTACCTAAGAGGCTATTTATTTTAAGGAAAGTTGATTAATATTTAAATGATTAAAAAATAAATCAATGTTAAGTATTAACTGCACAAAATCTAAAAAAAAGACCACATTACATCATACTACATTATATAGATAGATTTAAAGCAGCTAACTAGAAGCCTTTTTAAAAATTTAAAGTTTCTGACATCATTTTCCACCATTCCATCAATTCTTCCTTCTCCTCTTCTTTCCTTTCAGAAAATGACTCCAGTTCAAAATCAACCTAAAAGAGAAAATCAAGAACATATTATTATCAAACTGCATGTGTTTTTTTAAATTGAAATAAAAAAATAAGAGCAGTTTCAGTATACACTCAATCCAGCCACCTGAATTAAAGTAAATCCTGAAATAAAATCTCTTGCAATAAACAAAAGATATTTTCAGGGGGAAAAAATTCAAAAGCAAAATTCAAAAGCCTTATGTTTGAAATGTCCTTTGATTTAATAGCTTTGAAGACAGATATAATTCAACAAAATTCTTGCCCCAGTCTCTTCTCCTCATAAAAAGATGTAACTGGCCAGGCGCGGTGGCTCACGTCTGTAATCCCAGCACTTTGGGAGGTCGAGGTGGGCAGATCACAAGGTCAAGAATTCGAGGCCCGCCTGACCAACATGGTGAAACCACATCTCTGCTAAAAATACAAAAATTAGCCGGGCACGGTGGCGCACGCTGTAATCCCAGCTACTCAGGAGGCTGAGGCAGGAGAATTTCTTGAACCCGGGAGGCAGAGCTTGCAGTGAGCCAAGATCGTGCCACTGCACTCCAGCCTGGGCGACAGAGCAAGACTCTGTCTCAAAAAAGAAAAGAAAAAAAGAGGATGTAACTTATAGTTAATTTTCTGCCTTTGGTTATTTAGTGAGCACCTCCTGTCAGCCTTGAATCTTTTCCTAATGTGGGAGGGAATGTGGAAGAATACAGTTCAGCATGCTGGTATCCCAAACCACAAGGTTCTGCTATCCAGAATCTTGAATTTGTTAAAGAAACTGACAAAAGCACGTATGTGTCCAAGCCACTCTCTTTGTGAATGGGAATCTTCATCAGGTCTAGGGAGAAGCCACACACTCCGCATAAAAGGCTATTCAAAGTAGGCAGCCCCCAACCCCAATCCCCTCAGGCCCCATCCCAGATGGAACTAAGAGTTTCTTGATTTGGCCACTTAAACGCCTGATTATTTTGGATCGTGATTACACTGACTATATCCTTGCACTAACACATGCCAGAAAGACAAAGGATCAAAATAGTTGAACCTTTACAACTTGTTCCCAGGGCCATTTTTTCCAGGTTTCAGTTACCCAAATATACCTCTTGATTTTAATACATATACAGCCCAATGTAGACATACATGCACACAATCAAAACCATATACCAGTTAAAAACTCAAGATATTTTGTTTGCATAAATCAAGCATTTATACTCCAAGTTTTGGGTACATAAACAAAAATAATAATAAATTCTTTTCAAGTAAGCTTTTTAGACTTTCAAGAAATCCTACAGGTATTCCCACGGTCCCAGGCATATAATACAAAGGTAGTAGTAAAATTCTGCTCTAAGAGAAGTTTTGGTCTTATCACCATCACCTTCCTAACAAACAAATGAGATCTACTTAAATAAGATATGGTTTTTGATACTACTTAGCACAGAGAGCCTTGCACATAAAATATGCTAAATAAGTGTTTGGTTACCACCTAAAATTTTCTTATATGCATCATTTTTTTTTCAAATACTTATTGAGAAAGGCACTGCGCTAGGTGCTAAAGATAAAAAGGCAAATGAAACATAATCCCATTGAGATGGAAATCAAGGTTAGCAAATAAAAATTTAATTTTTTAAAGTTTTATTTCATTTTCTTGTAAATCTCTTCAAAAACTGAGAAATGGTAATAGAGCTTCATATTAACTTTGCTAAGCCTCAGTTTTCTCATCTGTTAAGTTGAGATAACAATGTTGCCTACCTCATAGGGCTAGTACGAAGATTAAATATAAATCACTTCAGTATGCCTGACAATGATAAATGCTTAATTATTATTATAGCGTTTGGCTATTATTATGATTACTTACCCCAGCAGCAGGGCTGTAAGGAACTGCCACTTTCTTTGTTATTGCCAGATAGCCTGGAGCTGAGGCTGTAAGTTTATAGTTTCCAGGTATAAGCAATCTCCAGTAATCACCATCCTTTGCTGTAGGAAGGCAGAATATCAAATCACAAAGCACATGAAATATGCAGAATTACACAATGCATAATTATGCCATCTAAGGAATACCCAGTCTAGCTCAGTTCACCTTTTTTGATTCTCGATTTTTAAAGTAAATATATAGGGAATTTAATGAAATTTTATTGAATAGGGTGTGAAACTCTCTTTACAGGCTTCATTTCTTATAGCTACTTTATAGATATCAATGTTAAATTGTCTAATAAACCTCGTACGATCATAGATCTTCTAATCACATCAGGAGCAACACAGGTAAAAAGACAGATGAATTCCCCAAGCAGCAGGGTCAGAACATACAGCCATCATGTTTTGATTCTTGCCAGGTGAAGACCTGCTGGTCAGAGAATCTTCACAGAGTGTGGGCCAAAGGTAGCCCTTGTAGGATCTCTGAGGTCCTAGTTAGAAATTTAGATTTCTAAAGACTTAGAATACACTGGGCACCCTAGTCCATTCAATCTCCCATTTACCTAAGTCAGTGATTTTCAAACTTGGGTGCAAACCTGGGAACTTGGTAAAATGAAAAATCTGATTCCAGCTCCCAGGTTCTGCATTCCTGACCAGCCCCAGGGCAATGCTAAGGTTGCGAGCAGAGGCCACACTTTGAAGAGCAAGGTTTTCGTAGACACTTCACACCTTCTCCTTTTTCCTAACACCCCTACACATCCTGTTCAACCTCCCAGTTGTTACTTTACATCTTATTTCATTGCAAAAATAGGTACAGTCAAAAAAATTAAGCCCCCATCACCGTATCATCAAATCTACCTCTAAATCTACATCTCCTTGCAGCTAGTGCCTCAATTGTCTTTTTGCTTTATAGCAAAATTTCTGGAAAGGTTTGTTCATGTTCTCAATCTCAGAATGGTTCTTTTCTTATTCTGTCTTGGACCCAGTCCAATCAGGATCCCACCATTCACTCCATTGAACAGATTTTTTCAAGATCCTCTGAACTGCTAAATCCAAGGATTCATTCACAAGGTTCATCTTAATTAACGCTTTTTCACTCCCTTCTTCTTGAAGCACTTCAAAGCCTCCAGGACAACACACTTCATTTTCTACCTTCAGTACAACACACTTCATTTTCTACCGTCAGTTCTATTGCTGGTTCCTTCTTATTATCACCTTGTCCCTGAAAAGCTGGAGTATTCTAGAGCCCCTCCTCTGATTTAATTTCTTCCCACGTGTTTATTCCCTAGGTTAGATTTTCCTAAACATTTCACATCATGGAATGTAGAGAAAATAAAATATTTGTATGACATATTAGGGCTAACAGGTTTCTTGTGGCAGGGATACTAACGCTGGGTTTCACCCTCTCAGCTAAGGGCTAAGGGGCTACATGGGCTGACATCTTGGCACAGATTCTGGCATACTGGCTGGCACCTAGTGGGCTGTTGATACATGAAGAATGAATGGAGTTTTAGAGGACAAATGTTAAAGATTTTTTTTTAATCCAAGCTATAAATGTGAAGGTTAAGAAAGAGTTGATGGTACAGAGTGGTTTGGGACATAAGTTAAAGGTTAATTGTCACAAAGTCTAAAAAAAATTGTAAAGAGTTTACAGCTAAAAAGAAAAAGTTGTCATTATTGAAAAGATCCCAACAAATGACAAACTAAAATGACCTGGATCAATGTTTATTAATGCGAGTAGGTAGACTTGCCAGAAAAATGCATCATTTTCCTCAAACTGGGGAAATGGAAATGGAGCTCAAAACCTGGAAGTCACTAACATCGCACCTCAATCCTATAAACTCTTGTTTAACCTTGAATCCCTGCGGATTTATTATACGGATTAAATGAAAAACTGTGTGAGAATTTTTAGACACACAACCCGCAGCAGTTTTCTTCCTTCCTCCTCTTTCCGCTCCCTCCTTCGGTCTCCCCATTCGCAGCTCGTTAGCACTTCTTAACAGAGACTAGAAAGTCACTGGTATTTTAACTCCAGCAGCTCCTTTTCCTTTGCCTGAAGAACCGCGAAGAATCGGCAGCCTGTGGCACCACCTCCCAGCTCTGGGGCGAGATAGCTGAGGAAAGGGCGCCATCTGCTGCACCCGGATTTCTAACGCAGCAGCCGCCCTGGGCTCCACTCACTCCGCCTGACCTGAGCCCACAAAGGAAACTTCACCAGATCAAAGCTGAGAAACGCTGTAGAGATACGAGCTATTTGTTTTGCTTAGAAGAACATAAGACTTATAATTATGATAATTAGTAATTATGCTCTTGTACATAACGTAGAGCCTCCAATTGTGGCAAAGACCCACCGGATGTAACATCGTGGTCTATTCCTTCCACGGAGATGGTGGCATTCGCAATTGGGTTACCTTGAAGGTCTCGGACAAATCCTTTAACTCCTCGGTGTATCTGTGAAGGTCAAAAATAACCAAAAAATTAATATGACCTATAAATTTATAGAAATGGCCTTAAATATGTTTCATATCAAGCATCTCTTTATTTTCCAGCAAATACCGTAGACCCCCATTGTTTAAGAATCAAGACATGCACAAAAGGCCACTGAATTTTTTGTGCATTTTATTCTGCTTTTCCCTAAATAGATAAGTGAAAATTAATGTCTTGTTTGCTTCCCAAAAAAAAGATTTTAGTACCTTCCAAATCATTTTAAAAAGTGTCATATTAAGGGAGGAGACCACTCCTCATATTGTCTTATGCCCAATTTCTGCCTCCAAAGAAGGAAAAACTAAAAGGCAGAAATGAAATCCACAAGCAGGCAGCCCGGGGCCACACCCTGGGCCTGGTAGTTAAAGATGGACTCCTGACCTAATCGGTTATGTTATCTATAGATTACAGACAGTGTATGGAAAAGCACTGTGAAAATCCCTGTCCTGTTCTGTTCCGTTCTAATTACTGGTGCATGCAGCCCCCAGTCACGTACCCCCTGCTTGCTCAATTGATCACGACCCTCTCATGCGGTCCCCCTTAGAGTTGTAAGCCCTTAAGAAGGACAGGAATTGCTCACTCAGGGAGCTGGGTTTTTGCAACATGAGTCTTGACGATGCTCCCGGCTGAATAATAAAGCCCTTCCTTCTTTAACTCGGTGTCTGAGGGGTTTTGTCTGCAGCTCGTCCTGCTCCAATATGTGTAAAGTTCTAGTCTTAGTGCATTTCATAACTTACTCTCTTTCAATTTTGGTCACCTGTGTATTCATTATATGGCTACTGTCAATTAACAAGGATATCATAATAAAAGCCTGTTAATATTAGCTCATTCTGGATAAAAAGATATATACTGTGACTGCTTTTGCATTAAATCTATTAACATTATTTTGGCTGAAAATAGAGTAGTGAGCCTCATAACAGAAAATAGAATGTTGATTTAGAAAGAAGATGGGAGAGCTGCCATTGAAAATAATCCCCCTAAATTAAGTTGTAGTCATCAACTGGCTATTATTTAATACACTGCAAACTACAAAAACTGCTTTTCTCTTTATTTTGGAAAGACAATTCATCTAAGTCAATATGTGTTTGAAGTGACAGAGTCGCTTCAGGTCTTTAAGAAAGTACTGCATCTAGAATATCAAATCGTAATGCATTAAACTTGATTACTCAACAAAATATGCACCAACCTCCCAAATGCTCAGGTTGTGCCTCACTCAATCGGGCTATAGAAAATAAATTGTCTTTCGCTACTTATGATACTTGACTATTTCCCTACAGAAGACAGATAAGTCTCCTGTAATCCTTTGTCATCAAAGAATAAATTCGGCAGTGGTACACTGTTTTATCAAAAAGATGTGCCTTGTTACCAGCAATATTTTTTGTGTGTGCCATTTTTCTTAAAAAAAAAGAAAACTCTCACACCCTATAAAAATAACATGTAATTTTTTAATGTTGCAAATAGGAAACAGTAATAATGATCATTTTATTGGCAACCAGTATAGTAGAGTAAATATATTTTTAAAAATTTAAGATTTATTCAATTCTAACTTTTCTCCATAACTAATAAGCCAACCAAAATTGAAAAGAGTTTGAAATTCAGCCATTGGAAAACATGAAACATGAAAACTTAACTTTCTGAATTAAAAGATGAAAAATCAGAAAAAGTGTAGAGAAGAAGAAAAGGGCTATATATAGAGACCCAAACTCTAAATTTCTTAAAATGAGGCCCCATTCAATAAAACTTAGAAAGATGCTAGCTGATAAAAGAGGCTTTACCCAAGTACTTTATTCCTCTTGAGGCACTATAATCCTGAAATTATCAATAGCATAAGCCTTAAAGAAAGGTTCTAATTCCCACATCATTGTAAAGTAAGTAAATCAATCACTACAAGAACATATTATTTGCCTGTATTAGGCAGAAATATATTAGGTTAATATTCATGGCTTTACTTTTTTCTGCTTCTGCAATCCAAGACTTATATTGCAATATGTGCAATATGCAGTTTAACAAATAGTTAAAGAAGTAAATGTCTGTCTGTGATATGTCAACTTTTCTGTTTGAAAAATTCCAGTGTAGTAATAAATCTCAGTAGAAGTGTATGGGCTGTGTCAACTCCCCCATGAATTCAGACTGGAAAATTCAGATTGTATGGCTTTTGCAAAAGAAATCACGAAAGTCCAAATTTCACTCATGCCTGGAGAAGCTGTTTTACTACACTTGCGGTGCCTGCAATGATTGCTCCCCAGATTCCAGGACATCTCAGTTTCAGCGAAGGCTGAAAAAGCCTCCAGAAGATTCTCCATTTTTGCTAGGACTGTTTATAGCCCCTAAACCCTCATGTACTTAGTGTCACGCAGATAGCTTGCTGCAAATGAAGATACTTCGGTCCTGCCCTGCAGAGAGTGTGATTCAATGGTAGGAGAGGAAACTCATTTTTAATAAGAACTCTAGGTGATTCTAATGCAGGTGCCCATGAACCATTCTTTTTTTTTTTTTTTTTTTTTTTTTGAGACGGAGTCTCGCTCTGTCGCCCAGGCTGGAGTGTAGTGTGATCTCGGCTCACTGCAAGCTCCGCCTCCCGGGTTCATGCCATTCTCCTGCCTCAGCCTCCGGAGTAGCTGGGACTACAGGCACATGCCACCACGCCCGGCTAATTTTTTGTATTTTTAGTAGAGACAGGGTTTCACCGTGTTAGCCAGGATGGTCTTGATCTCCTGACCTCATGATCTGCCTGCCTCGGCCTCCCAAAGTGCTGGGATTACAGGCGTGAGCCACCACGCCTGGCCCATGAACCATTCTTTAAGAAATTTTTTGAGAATTTTGAGAACTAGACTCTTTCAAAGCTACTGAGTGGAAGGGAGGCTCTTCTCCTTAGCAGACTCTCTACTCTAATTAGCTTTACAATTCTAGTCCCTGCAAACATCTCTTTAAAACTCTGCAAGGGATTTCCTCTCAAACAATTACAGAAATAGATCTCCTAATCACCTATTTTCCATGAGTTGTAAACTAGTCCAAGCTTAGATTTTAGGCCCAGGTGTTCAATTACTAATCACCACCATTGTCAAGACAACAATTACAACACAGAACTTCTGGCAGCCCTCACTGATTTTTCATCAGCCTTTGTTTTCCTAAACTGGAGTGTTCTATGATGCAAGCTAGATGAGCTGGTTATAAATACCACTCACTGCTTAGACACAGTTTGCATCCTAATGACAATGCCATATCAAGGTAGATCACATGGATCTGTGGACAGAGCAAATTCTTATTTTGCGTGGCATAAAATAGGATTGTATAACTTTAACCTTCTTCTTTTTAGCTTATTTATATATAAATTGATATTACTGTCAGATGAATTGGATGCATGCCCACCTGCTACCATAAGTATGACAAATCTCCTTTTTCCTGATGGTAAGAAGACGTGTTTTATTTGTTTTGTATTATTTTTTTTCTCAAGAACTAAGAGATGATTTAAACAGCAGCTAAGCATGTTTTTAAATTGTTGATCACAGTGATGATCTTATTGGCATCAACTTTAGTAAATCTTATAGCCCGGCTCCAAGAAGCCTTTTCCAAACTCCCGTGACTCGGTTAGGTCCCCTTCTGTGTACTGTTATTGCTCCTTGTAGCTAAGCTTTTATTGTTTTTCAGCCAGCTCTCCTCCTCTCTTGTGATTAGGTATTCTTGTTTCTGACAGCACTCGTGTGAAGCCTTCCTGAGGACGGTCACTATCCCCAGTGCCTCACAGAATGCCTGGGATGTGAAACTAGTCAATACATTTTAGTTGAAAAACTATATACATAAAATTAAAAGCACTGTATTAAGGAGTATTAAGACAAATATTATTAAACATTTAAAGATTATTAAATATTTATTAAAATAAAAAGCACTGTATTTGATATGTAAGTGGAGAACACCCCAATCAGTCCCATCTTACTTCCTCTATCCAAAAACATACTTTTCAGTTAACTTTGCTCTCAGAAGATCCATCCAAATACGGCTCTCCTCAAAGGAGACATTCTGTAGGGGTTCCCACCAAAGTTGTTCTAGAGTCATCGTGGACTGCTTATCCTTAGTTTTTGTTGTTGGAAAATACCTTTTTAAGCTAACATGCAGCAGGAATCCATTGATTTAAAAAGAATCCAGTGGAATGAGTGCTCTTTAATCACCATCTGACATCAGTGGATCTATTCCACGACAGTCCCTGGTAAGGTATTACAGTATATGGATATTTGACATGTGTAAAAGAATTCCTATGCTGATTTTGCTTCTTCTTCTTCTTTTTTTTTTTAGAGCAGCCTTTATTCAAAGGAGGCCATAGCAAGCTATAGGGACCACTGCAACAGAGCCTTGCAATGGTGGAGAAAGAAACTGGATTCAACTCCTGGTTTTACTTTAAAAAAAGTGTTGATTTTATATGTATATGTTTATATGTACATATACACATATAAATACTTAAATGTTTATTTAACAGCTTTTTTATGTCAAATTAGTTTAACAGATTGGTCTGGACTATTTGTTGGCACATGAAACTAACATCACTCTACTTGACTTTAGGTGTAAATGGCCACATTCAGGATAAAATTTGAAGACTGGCAAAGAACTGCAGGAATGAACAGAGTCTTAGGTCTTTCCACTGCCACTGCCTCTGGGGCCAGTGTCTACATACTATGCAGGGGGTGGGGTTGGCAGAGGACTGGCCTGAGTAGGTAAAGGATTTTATTCTGGCAGATGGTGAGATCCCCCAAAATTCTATATGGATCACATTGGAATGGCTACATAAATGACTCTCTGGTAAAGATCCAGGCTTCTGTTCTGAAAGTCAGTACAGCATGGTGATTCTGGAAATAGACAGCCTTGATTCAGATTCTAGCTAAGCAACTTCAGGTGAGCTGTCTAGCCTCTCTGTGTCTCTGATTCCTCATCTTTAATTTAGTGATGATTATAATGATGATGATGATAATTTCCCTCATAAGGTTGTTGTGTGGATTAAATGAACTAACTATTACATAAAAGGCATTTAGTATAATGCCTGGGAAATAGTAAATGACAAACATAACTCATTATTATTATTATTACCTGTGATGCAGTTGAGTCTAGGGTGAGAAAGATGAGGCTTGTACAGCTCAAAACTTAAAGAGACACTCACTCTCAAGTGCTAATCCTGTACTTGCATGCCCCTAAGATTAAAATCCTCCTTAAATTTTCCATTCAGGTGCCTCGCTTGCCTTACTTTTGTTCTGGCTCTGCCTGGGATGCCTCACGGTGATCAGGGTGGGAGAGAGTCCTAGGATTGCCCTTGCTTAGAATAATACAAACAGAAACGAGAGTCTACGTCTTTTCTGTATACTCTCCAGTTTAGTCAGTTCTTGGTGAATAGTCCTGAGCCACAAAACCTATGACAAATAAAAGCCTAACTGAAACACTGCTGACACCTGCCTTCCAAATATGGCATCCTCATTCTGCACCAGACGGATTCTCCTGGACTCCTCTTACAAGACCATTGTAGGACAGGTTTGAATGCTTGTAAACCTTGCATTTTTATGCTGGGGACTGTGTTTACCTGCTCAAGGTAGCTAATGAGGGAGTTTTTGTTATCCTCCCAGTAGGTCTTCAGAGTCTCTTCAGGTGGGAACTTCTCACAGCTAAGCTCCACGGTGATCTCAAAACAGTTGCTGCTAAGGTAATTGAAGTCTTGCATCCCTGCCAAAACACCAAATGGAAAGTCAAAATATGCACAAGGAGCCTAAAACTCTACACAGGCTAGTCTTCTGAATCAAGAACCAAGTAAAAGGTACACAAACCAGGGCATTTGGGAAGCCTGTGGGAAAACTTAAGGGAAATCATCTGCTGTAAGGGATTGAACAACATAGGTCGGGGGTTGTTATACCTTAAAAGCACAAACTCTCAGGTTCCTAAGCAAAAGCATTTGCTGCTGCAGAGTGCTAATGCAGACATTACCCACCTTCCACATTGCTGGAGTGGGCTTCGGAGAAGACAACAGGGTAAAAGACTTCATCCCCACTGATCTATTAAAGAAATGCACATCCCTCTAAGTCTACCTTTCTACTGGAGAAGAACTTGGAGCTTCATGTGACATGATCTGACATACTATATTATTCCTTAAGCCCAATCAATATCATAGTGTATTCCTGAGGGATTGGGAGTCTTGGCAATATACTATTGTCAATCAAGGAAAATGATGAGACAAGTCTCAATTGTTTTAGGAGATTTCTTTGCCAAAGTTAAGGATGCGCCCCAGAGACAGGTCTATGCCTCTCTCCGAAGATGATTTTGAGGGCTCCAAATTGAAAGGGGAGAGGGTGGGATATTGATAAGCACAGAGTTTTCACATAAACCAAAGGGGACAGAGGAAAAATGTGGGGAATGTGCATTTTACATAAGATAACGCAGACAAAATGGGGTAGGGGGGCAATCGGATACGCATTTGTGTCTGGTGGGCTGGGGTGCCTGCACCTGTAAAGATAAGCTATCAATTTACATGGCCATGGTGAAGTTTTAACAGCTCACCCAGAATTTCCCTGTGGGCAAAATATGGGGGAGGCGTGTACCCTTTCATCTTGTAATCATCTTATTTAGGAACCAAAATGGGGAGGCAGGTTTGTGTGACCCAGTTCCCAGCTTGACTTTTCCCTTTAGCTAAATGAATTTGGGGTCCTAGAATTTAATTTCCTTTCACACTATATGCTAATTCAACAATCCCTGAGTTGAATTACATACAAGATATAATGATAACAATACTTCAAATAGCACCAAAGAGAATATTCTGCATTCAGAACAATTTTAATTTAAATCTGACTCAAATTAGCAGAGGATGCTGTTAGTGCCCACCAGATTGCTTTTATGGAGGCAGGGCATCCAGACCCAAACTGCTGCAGGTGTTGGCTGTTAGAGCTCACAGCTACCCCCCCACCCCTTTTCCAGAGAATTGCTGATGGGAGCCAGAATCTCCCACCTGGCTTGGGAGTTACATCATGCTATCTCTCACCCCCAATTCCTGCTGGCACCCCACAACCAATGGCTGACAGATATGGAGCCACCAAAGGCTGGTCCCTTTCTCTCAAGGGGAGACAAACCTGCCCCTAATTTATGCTCCAGGCTTCTTCCAATGGCTCAGGCCAAGGCTGGACTTTGCCTGAGACCACAACCCTGTTTAGCTCTATCCCCTTCCTTGCCCTGCTTCCCTCACTTCCCTACAGGGTTTGTCCTAAAAAGTAATCCCTTAATAAATTACAAGTACCCAAATCCCTATCTCAGGCTCTGCTTCTAGAAAACCTGACCTAAGACATGAATGTTATTCACTATATACAGAACTGAAGACTAACGGAGCTTCCTTTGACTGTTTAGTTAAGCGAGACGTAATCGTTAACTAACATTATTACTATTGTTAATAATGTTATTATCAGTATTTAACTGATATAGATTACTTTATATTTTGTTGACAATACACTATTTGTTCAAAAAGGAATTCCAAGAAGTCATTAAAGTTTTTATAAAAACTAAAGTATAAAATTACTTCCCATCTGATGTACTAGACATGCTCTAAATCCTAAATTTGACATAGATCATATTTCTGAAGCTATTGGGGAAAGAGTACTAAGTCTGATCTGGATAAAATGCAAAATATAAATAAAAACAGAATTAACATGTATCAGAAAGAAAAAAATCAGAAAGAATATTTTTCTCAGCACATAATTCAACAAAATTAAGCATATTAAACATACCAATACCCTTCAATTAGCTAATGTTGCTTATTACCCTAACAAATTTTCTTTTTCCAGGTGGGCCATAGAAAATTTTTCTCAGGCAAAGAGAAAAGTAAAAATATATATAAATATCTTCGCATTTCACTCTTCATCCTTGAGTGTTAGTGAAAATACGAGCTCTGTAAAGTCCGCCTTGGGACAAGGAAGGCAAGAGAGCTTCCTTGGCTACCTAGGAAGGGGCTTCCCCCAGCTGCTGTCCCACATGGCAACTGCTTCCTTTTCAGACTAAAAGGCAAAAAGCTACCTGATCTCATAGAGATTATTAGAATAGTGAACATAAACTAAATATTCCATGTCAAATACTCCCCATTATCCCATCATTTAATACAAAAGTACTGTGCACCAGGTTATGCTAAAAGCCAAAACAAGCCCTCTAAAATATATATTTACCTACAGTGAAAGAGCATGACTGGCATAAACTAAGGATGCCATCTTATTCCCTAAGGCTTGAATTTGGAAAGTAGGGTAGTTAACAATATTCAATTTATTATTTTCCAAATGAATGTCTTCAGTTCATTTCCTGTATCTCTTCAATTAGCATCACAATTTTTAAAATCCACAAAAACAAAATTATACATAGTAATCATTCACGCAAAAAGTTGACTTTAATGGAAGAACTATAGATTCAGTCTACTTTTTAATGATGGAGGACGATTGAAGATTCTCTAAATCTAAATCACTCTCTAAACCTAAATGGTCATTGTAAATAAGCTACAATCACATAATCAGAGAGCACAATGGAAACTCACCTCCAGGTACGCTGTACCAAGCACCACCGTTGGTGGTTCCATCTACAAAGCTGCTGTCATCATCATTCTTGCGACATGGTGGCCGATTGGGGTCAGACATGGCCGGGTTGAAAGAAGAGTATGCCCGGGCCAAGCTTTGGAAAATGGCGTCATCTGGGGAGGAGCTGTATTCGTGAGCACTACCTAGAAAACAAATCCACAAGATTAAAGAAACAGACACAGACCAAGCAGCACAGCATGTTTTCTAAAGAGTGATTCAG
Source organism: Homo sapiens (assembly GCF_000001405.40). Lineage (NCBI taxonomy): Eukaryota > Metazoa > Chordata > Mammalia > Primates > Hominidae > Homo > Homo sapiens. The sequence goes on along the minus strand of NC_000004.12, from coordinate 165,484,344 downwards.
TATTGAGTAATTGTATTGTTGATGTATTTTTTTAGCTACATAACTATGGGAAAGAGGTAAAATTTAAATACTAAATAATTACACTTAGTTTTAAGTTACAAAATTTCCATTCCTAATACTACAAAGTAGAAATTGGGTAGAATGTACATTCTACTTATGAGTTGAAAGCTTTGCAGGGAAAGGTAATAAAGTCATAGTAAACTAGGCCTGGGAGAATAGGAGGAAGATTTTTATCATTAAATCTTTAATTTAAAAAATGTACCTATACTAACCTCATACCCACTATGAATCATTCTCATATATACCATTCAATATCTGGTTTTATATTTTTTAAATCTCCTGTATGTATTATAGAAATAAATAACATATTTTGATACACTGTGTTCTTATTCATGCATTATAAATTATGCAGGCCTACAAGTTTCCCAATTATCAACAAACCACAAAGTCTTCAAATTTATTTAACAATGTTATTTCCCCAAAGACGTTCTTCAACACTCAGTTTCCAATATCTAAAATTATCATCCCAACAACCCCATTAAAAAGTGGGCAAAGGACAAGAACAGACTTTTCTCAAAAGAAGACATACAAGCAGTCAAAATAATTGGAAAAATCCTCAACATCACTAATCATCTGAGAAAGGCAAATTAAAACCACAATATCATATTACATGACTTAGAATGGCTATGATTAAAAAGTCAAAAAACAACAGATGTTGTCGTGGATTCCCACCAGTGTTGGTGGAAATGTAAATTAATATAACTTCTATGAGGAACAGTACAGAGATTTCTCAAAGAACTAAAAATAGAACTACCATTCAACCTAGTAATCCCACTACTGAGTATGCATCCAAAGGAAAAGAAATTATTATATAAAGAAGACATGTGCACTCATATGTTTATGGCAGCACTATTCACAAAAGCAGAGTCATGGAATCAACCTAATTGTCCATCAATGGTTGATTAGATAAAGAAAATGTGGTACATATACACTATGCAATACTAAGCAGCCATTAAAAAGAATGAAATCATGTATTTTGCAACGACATGGATGGAGCTAGGAGCCATTATCTGGAGCGAAATAATTCAGAAATCAAATACCACATACTCTCATTTATAAGTGGAAGCTAAACAATGGGTGTACCTGGACATTAAGATGGAAATAATAGACCCTGGGGACTCCAAAAGCGGGGAGGATGGGAGGAGGTGAGGGGTGAAAAATTACCTATTGAGTTCACTCTTTTGGTGATGGGTACCCTAGAAACCCAAACCTCACCATTATGTAATATATCCGTGTAACAAACCTACACAGGTACCCCGAATCTAAAATTAAAAAAAAAAAAACAAACTAATCATCCTGTTTTTACAAAAAGCTAACTCTTCAAAGGCCCCAGAAAATAGATCCAAAGCAGGAAATTCCCTGGAGCAACAAAAAACAATTTGAAAATATCTGTCTGGCTAAAGCTTGCTTTGTCTGAAGCTTAACTAAAACTAGTTAGAGAAAGCCAAAGCACCACTTCCCCTCCCTGACACCACCAGAAACAGTTCCAAATGCAAAACTGTGTCAACACAATAAGACACATGTAGAGATCCACAGGGATCCTGATCAAGCACCAAGAGGCTGCCCCCATGTTTAAGCCATCTTCTACATGAACCTACACAACTTCTGTAATCTCTCCACTTTATCAGTGTCCAAGAGTGACCCAAGTTTATGACGTGTGTTTTCTCCCTTTCTGTTGGCTAGGTACTGTCAAGATCACGTTTCTCTTCACCTAACCTATTGAAAAAGTGAGTCCTTTTCTGCCAAATAGATATGCCAACACCATATGAAATGATTAGGAGAGCTTCCTGTTAAACATAGTTCTTTCTTCAGGCAAAAATCACTTAATGTTCAGTTCCTTAAAAAAAATTACAGAAATCATCTTATAAAACCTTGTACAGTGTTATAAACTTTGAACCAATAAGAGAAGCAGAAAGAATACCTACCACTCCGCGTCTCATCATATGGATAATTGGCCACAAGGTCTCCTCCATGGAGATTGGCAGAAAGCACAAAAGGAATATCCATAATCCAATGAATGACAGCCTTGGTCTCAGGAGCAAGCTGTTCAGATGAGAGATTAAAAGGATTATAAATTTAATAATCATTGGTATGATCACTTGACAGAAAAGACATAGGAAAGGTAAAGGAAAAAACTGAAAGCTGGTCATATTTCAACTATTTTGCTGTTGTCCTCACAGAAAAAATAAAGGTTCCTACAAAAGCAGTATTCCTCATGTCTAACTTTCTCAGATTTTTAATAAAAAATGTTTCAAAAGTGTTTAAATTTCTTTCAAAGTTTTATTTTTGTGGGCTGCCAGTTATCCTCTCTTTGTAACTTGAAAACCAGCATGCAACTCACAAATTTTGGGACATCGCTGTCTGATCTGTAGTGGTTCACACATTGTTATTATGAATAGTTAAGGATAATATGAGGAGAAAAGAAAATAATTGAACTGCAGAACAAGATTTGTCCTCTGTGGTGGTTCAAACATGTGGTAAAGTTTATTTCCAAATTTTGCTTACTATTTTCCCAACTTCCCTCAATTACTTCAAACATTGTTCCTATCAAAGAATATTAGGTTGAGTCTCTTTCAGAGTGGACTGTAAAATATGTTTACTTTGGAATGGTCATCTTAAATTTTAAAATAAAGGCAAGTTTCAAGAATTCATGTTAAGTCTTTAGAATGATTCACTGCCCCTCATATCTTGGAAGCAAAACAAAGGAAAAAAGAAATGTATACCAAAGAAATAATGTGGAGCCAAAAGCTTGATACTTTTATGCAATGAGTTTTTAATAGCAACTAGGAAGACTCTCAAACCCCAAGTGCTTCTCTGATGAAAAGAAAAGATTTTACTGGCAACGTGATCCATGCTGTTCTTTAGGACAGAAAATCTAATGGCATCAGTAGGGTTTGATGGTTATAAGATCTCATATTTGTATAGCTCTGCTCTGTTTATGAATAGTTCTGACATGAACTATTTTACTGCACTTCAACATTCGTATTGGATATGCAAAGATATTCATACCCATTTCACAAGGAGGAATCTGAAAGTTGGGTGTGTTAAATAGCATATCTAAGTTCACACAGCTAAGAGTTCACATCCAGTCAGTGAAACCCTAAGGCTCACGCTGTTTCTAGTGTATCAGCTTTAGTCTATTAAAATTATCCTATTTTCACATAAGCTACTGTTAACTGTGGAAAAGTGTGATTTAGAGTAGGAGGTTGTTTTTATTATTTTTCATTTGGTTGGTAGATCTTATTTTTGCTAAAAAAAAAAAAAAAAATATATATATATATATATATATCCATTGTAGAAAATGTAGAGACAGACAAGAACAAAGAAGAAAATTAAAATTACCCATAATTTTACCACCTAAAGATATCCACTACTAACATTTGTATATATCTCTTTTTCAGTCTTTTCCCAATGTATTTATATAATTTTTAAATGTGATCATTTATATGCCATTTTATATACTGCTTTTTTTGCTTGAAAACAGATAATGAACACCTTTTCATGTTATTAAATACCCTTCTAAAATGATATTTTAATGGCTGAGTGGCAGCCAATGTCTGGATATACCATTCTTAAATACTAATAAAATGATAGCTAATACTTATTAAACACTTTCTGTGTCAGACATTCAATTCTCCCATTTACTCTATGAAATAGGGACTACATTTTCCCCCACCCTACAGATGAGTAAACTGAGATGTAGAGAAGTTAGGGAACAGCATGAGGCCACTCAGCTGGTACTGGCAGAGGCTGGTCTCAAGCCCAGCCAGGCCGGCTACACAGCCACTACACTAGTACTAGTAATCTCCAAGAGGTGATACTGGGATGTTTATATTTTAAAAATTAAAAATACTATGAACACCTTTGTAGCTACCATTTGTCCAAATCTGTACTTTCCTTAGAGAAATCCCTAGAAATTGAATGACTTGACCAAAAGCTAAGCACGTTTTTAGCTAAAAATGTTTTAAGTTAAAATCTATATTAGCTAAAACTGTTTACATTTAAAAATGTATTCCAAACTGCATTCCTGTAAGGTACAGAAATATAACCAGCAACAGTATAATAAACCTTCCATCTCTAATCTTTTTAAGAACAATGGAATTATTATGTGTTTTAAAGTGTGTCACTTTGATTAATGACAATAGAATTTTTAAAGTTTGCATTATTTTAATTAACTAATAAAACTAGAAGTTTTTTATATTTAGAGATTATTTCTATTTATTCTTCTGTGACATATTTATATGGTTTAACTAATTTTTCTATTGAAATGCATAGCTTTTTTTTTTTTTTTTTGAGGCGGAGTCTCACTCTGTCACCCAGGCTAGAGTGCAGTGGAGCGATCTTGGTTCACTGCAAGCTCCGCCTCCCGGGTTCACGCCATTCTCCTGCCTCCGCCTCCCGCGTAGCTGGGACTACAGGTGCCTGCCACCACACCTGGCTAATTTTTTTGTATTTTTAGTAGAGACGAGTTTTCACTGTGTTAGCCAGGATGGTCTCGATCTCCTGACCTCGTGATCCGCCCGCCTCGGCCTCCCAAAGTGCTGGGAGAAATGCATAGCTTTTCTTTTTGACTTGCAAGAGTTGTTTAGTAAAAAAAATTAGCTCTGACCTACACACTATAAATATTTTCTAAGTGTGTCATGTGCCTTTCAAATTTTGTAATTAAAATACAGAGCATTAAGATATTTATGTTAAGTACATAACATCAAACCTATTGATCTTTTCTTTATGGTCTCTTTGCTTTTCCATTTCATTCATTCGTTCAATAAGTATTAAGTGACCACTATGTGCTAGTGTCTATACAAGAAATTTAGAAAGTTCTATCCCCCTCTAAGTATTACATCCTTACGAAAGTTTTCTAGTTTCATACTTTTTAAACTTAAATTGTAGTGTCTAGAATTTATTTTGATCTATGCTGTTATTTATGAGATGGATTTGTCTCAATTCCATGTATTCAATAATGCATTCTTTCCACAGGGATCTGAAATACACTCTTATTATATTTTGATTTAAATCAACCTAAAAATAACTAATATGGGAGATGAAATCAAAATACTCTATAATGCATATGCTTTTTTAAGTGAATTTATGTTTTTTATATCCAATTGCTAACATGACATGAATATTATATGAGATGAGTTTAACACACTCTTCTATAATATTCTATTCAAAAGTTTTTCTTTTACTATTGAATTTATTTTCAGTCCTCCTCTTCTTTGTACATCTCTCATTCCCTCTATTTTCTTTAACCCAATGGCAGATATTGACAAATATTCACATTTCAATAAGTTCAGAAGAGGCAAAATCACCATGGTTTGGAGAATCATTGAGGACTTCAGGAAGGAGGTGGAACTTCACCAAGTCCAGGGACGAATTGGGGTAGGAGAAGAAAAGAGAAAAGAGTAGTAAAAATAAAGAAGTTGGAAGTACCCATGGCCCATCTGTCGGGGGTAAGGAAAATACTCTCTGAGAGGGAGGGTTGGTTTTAGTGGGAGTTAGGAGGCAAAGCCATGCCAAGGCAGACTGTATTCCTGTGTTTGTTATCCACCTAAAAGTGTTCAGAATGGCTTGCACAGTATGCACCATATATTTACAGGTTGATACAGCCATAAAAAATAATTTTGAAAGGTACGTATCAAAATGTTAATGGTGTTCACTGAAGATTGTAGGGTAATGGATTCTTCTTTCTCCTTATTTGCATGTTTTAATTTTTGTAATAAAATATGAATTTTGCAATAAAAAACTTTTAAAAGAAACTGTTCTTGAAACAAATTGAAAGATACAGCCCTAAATACACAAAGTTGTGTGAAGCTATCAGGTTTAGCCTATTACTAGTTCTTACATCATACACAATTGCTTATATGCATGTTACCAGTATGTTCAAAAGCAAGCAAATTCTACAATTTGATAAATTAAACTAAATTTCCCTTTGACTATTAACAGAATCTTTTAGTCTGACTAAATCCTGAGACCCCTGTGTACTATAATTATATATTTAACTGATCCACAGAGAAGACTTTGGAGTACCTTTAAAATTGAGCCTTTAATAGAAACTAGAAACAATTGTGGCCTTTCTTTAAACTTTCCATTTAAAGATTATAAATACAGCTCAAATATGATGTTCTATAATTAGATGTCTTTGGTTCTTAAATTATGTTGAAGCTCTATTTATTCAGTTTTCTTCACAACTCTAGCTATTAAAGTCAGGGTAAACTTAATAAATGGCTGGGTATATTTTAATTGACTCTGCTTTCAGGCCAAGGCTCATGTACTGAGCCCAGATAACAGTGGAGGTGACCAGGCTGAAGAGCTCAAGAGCCGATGACAAACGACTTAGAGAAGGAAGTCTGGGAGAGCAAGAGAGAGCTTTTTATTCAGAGAAGTTCAGAAGAACAAGGAGAGCATGGATCTCGAGCGAGTGGATGTGTCTCAGCTACCTCCAGCATCTGGAGGGCTTTGCAAGAATGAACTTCCTTCCCACCACCCCCTCCTGAAGCACACACACCCCAGGCCTGGATCAGCTTATGTGGGAATATGAATTTCTTTTTTTTTTTTCTCACAGCTATACAAAGGAGGAGGAATCTGCATTTCTATTTTCTATTAATCTGATTTGATTCCCTGTTCCACCAAACAGAAGAATAAATCTTGACATTTAAGAACCTCTATAAGGGATACAAATACAGATATTAGGCTGAGAAGGGGAAGAGGGAAGAGGAATGTATAATAACATTAATGAACTGCCTACTATATATTTTGTACCAAGCTGGGTCAAAACACTGTCTCACACTTACAGACAAAAATGGAAAAAGGTGATGAACCAGACATAGGCAATATCACCCCATGATTATGAAGTAAGTTTACTAAAGATTTAGTGTAAAGTAAACAAATCTTGCTTATGTTCCAAAAAGGGACTAATCTTTCATTTTCATGTATTTTTCTTTAATTTACCTTTATGAAAAGAAGTCACACTGAGTTTGTTTTAAACAAAAGCTCTTATTAAAAAATAGTACCATGAACATGCCTCTTTTAAATAAGTATTGCCTAAGCTAGAAATACAAAAACATCTAATCTAGAGATTATGCAAATATTCAGGTTCAGCTGGAGAAGAAGGTAGTGCTGGCTAGAAATAATGGTGCTTGCACAAAGTTGACAATCAAATATCCTGTCAACCTGAGTTGATTTCACCATTCTTCTATGATAGGTGGAAGGAATTATTTTCTTCATTTCTCAGATTTAACAAAGACAGCACAAGCAAGTCAATGCAAGCAATGGGGAAAGCTTGTAGGCTAATATGGGGACTCCGCTTCCAGAAGTTTTCCATTTCTGTCTCAGCCCTCGTGGTTTACCACACAGGACTGCCCTCTTTCACCTGGGGTTACCCCAGCCTGCCGCCTTTCTGGCTCCCCCTCTCCCATGAAAGATAATTTTCAGGCTGAGACAGTGACGTGTATCCATGACTCAGAAGCAGGAAAGCTTAAGTCACTCACTTATCAGGTTCTGCCAGTGTCCTCAGCCTTTGGTAGCCTTTGTCTCAGACTGTTGCAGTAGGTAGCTAGTCAGACATGAGCAGGGCAGGAGAGGGCCTTCTCCCAACACCAGGAATGTCAGGCAAACATTAGGTGATGGGCGGGAGGTTGTTAAACTGCCTCTCTAAAATAATAATTGGTTGCAGCAGGCGCCAGCGAAAGGCAGTCTCCCAATAGATTAAAAAACCTGAAACTGGTGATCAGCAGCTTCCCAATAAGATCTCAGGAGCTGGGCAAATGGGTTCATACATGCGCACCGAGAGGCAAAATGGCAGAGTTTAACTGGTATATGACCTTCCTCTAGGAACACTGGACTGGTAAGGGACGAACGCCTCAAGTGAGCATGTGCGCAGCTTCAGTAAACACACTGTGCAAGCGCCCCTCCCAAGTGTTGCCAGGCCACTGCACATGCAGACAGCCCACCCCAAGGGAAGAATCAGGGGAAAAGGGACACAACCCCCCAGAAGCATAAGCATACCAACCTATAAAGCCCCAAGTCAAAAGGTCAAACAGGGCACTTGATCTCTCAAGTTGCCCGCTTGGCCTACTTCCAAGTGTACTTTACTTCCTTTTATTCCTGCTCTAAAGCTTTTTAATACACTTTCACTGCTACTCTAAAACCTGCCTCAGTCTCTCGCTCTGCCTTATGTTTCTCAATTTAATTCTTTCTTCTGAGGAAGCAAGAATTGAGGTTGCTGCAAACCCATATGGATTCATCACTGGTAACATACCTTTGTGCCACATGACTTGGATATGTTTCCCAGTGGTAAAGGACCTCTATGCCTCACCTTCTTTGGCTGGAGGTACTCAACCCCTGTATGCAGTTTCCTTCTCTCTTTTTGCTCTCCTGCTTACTGACCAACCACTAGAACAATTCTTCTCAGCCACAATGGCTCTGCTCCCGCTAGCTGATCTTTCAGTTCACTCTAATGGGTGGCTCGGAGGGGTGGAAGGAACTCGGAGTTCACACCGAGTAGAACTCAGACACTAATGGCCCTCCTGGACAGGAGGCTTACAAGAGTGGTAGAACTAAAGCCTAACACTGCAATGTCTGGGGTTTCCTCTGCTTTTTCAACTAAAGTTGGCTATTTCCCCAAAACCACTGCCTATTCTCCTTTTTACTCCACCTATTCACCTCCTATTCTCCTTCGTGTTCTCAAATGGCCTTGTACACCAGCTAGACCATCCGCCTCAGGGGCAAGCCTGCCTCTTGTTTGCTTTCACGTCACATGCCATGTAACTTCTTAAACACACACTCCTTGTTATTTGTGTGCCCATGGCTCTTGCTGCATTTGTGCAGCAGCAAAGACATAGGCTCCCTTGCAAATATCCCCTGAGGTTTATACTTGTTTTTACCCTACCAGCTCAGATGACCTCCAACTCATCCCCTGTCTGGTGGCGCATTGCCAGGATAGATACAAATTGGAATCCCAGCCCTTATGATTTATTGTATACTTTTTGTCCCTGTTACCCTCCAGGGCTGTTTTCCAGTGACTTTTTAAGTACTTTGTGTGTCTGCATAGGTCCTCACTGTGGCCCTTTAAGGATCTCACTTATTTGCTTTTTTTGAGTTAACACTCCTTTGAAAGGAGGGAAAATTCTTCCTTTGCCACTTGTGAGTTCTTACCTCAAGCCTCAAGTCCTCCGGAGGTTACTACTTTATGTTAAGAGGGCAAATAAATGTTGCCGTTTCACTCGCATATGAAAGCTTTCCATGAGTATTTATCTCACTTCCTCCCATAGCCTCCATTTCTCTAATCACTTCCATGCCCTTCTTAACATGCACCAAGACCTTCAAGGTCATATTCGAAGGGAGGGAAATCCAGCCATCTTGTGGCAGTTAGCTGAAAAACAGGCTTCTCATCTACTTAAAGAACATGGGAAGGAAATCTGAAAAAAGAGACAATCATTTTGTTGCTACAATGCTCTGAGTGAGAGTCACCATAATGTCATGGAGACAAGGACATAGGCCAGCCCAAGGTTGCAGTCACAAAAGACCCATATGACAGACATGAAGGTTGGTTCTAGGTTAACAGATTACCATTAAAACAGATGAAGGAAAGGTTAGGGGTATACAGTAAGAACGGTTATTCCAGAGTCCCAAGGATGAACAAGGGTCCCACTGTTTACTCTAGTATCTCTTCTGTTCTCAAGTGGGTAATTGTGATGAGATGGAACCAAGGTAATGGGTACACGGTAAGACTGGTTCATTCCAGAACCCTAAGGATGAATGGGAGATGCTTATCTAGGATAACAGGAAAGTAAGAGGGGATGCCTTTGTTTTCCTTTTTCCTTTTTTTTCTCCTCTGTTCCCTCTTTACAGATGGGTAACCATGTCTCTATACCACAGGATATACTCCTCAGATGCATCCCCAAAAACAGAAACATTTGACTCCCCCAAAGCTTAAAACAAAACAAAACTAGCTTTCCTTTGTAATATCGTTTGGCCTAAAAATGAACTGGGAGAAAATACAAAAGTCAGCCTTGGAACCCATTGCCCTTATGCAGGAAACCCTCAAATCAGCCTCCTCAGTCTTTTATAACTGAGAGCATAATAAGGAGGATAGAGATAAGGAGAAGGAAAAATGCAGAAACAAGAGGAATGCTCAATTATTGGCTGCTTTATAAGCTCTCCAGCCCCCATCCAGGTTTCCCTAAAAACACTCCTTCAGGTAACTGCCATTGGTGTGGGAAGCCAGGCCACTGGAAGGCAAACTGCCCCAATGGGACAAATGAGAGGAAGCCTAGCACAGCTTGCCCCCTCTGCCACAAGCTTAGCTACTGGAAATTGGATGCCCTGAGGGCCAAAGGGCTCTGGGACAGAGTCCCAATGCCTAATGGCCTTGAGCTGAAGGGGCTCTCTGCTCTGGCTGGCTTCCAAGTCATTGACAAGACAAAGCTAAGAGAAACTCCTGGAGGAGTAAAATTATAAATTTCCCTTTGGGATTTAAGAGCTGCCTACTCTGTGCTAATCTCCTTCTCTGAACTCTCCTCCAAATTCTGCCACATAATGGGGCAAATGGCACCTCCTCCTTCCAAAAGAAAAGATTCACACTCTTTTGGGCAAAAATATGCTTTCCAAGATGGGTGCCTGATTAATATTTACCCAGTCTCTAAATTCATCTTTCCCTCTAATAGCTCTATTTCTTCTGGAAAGTTACCTAAATGTTTAACTAATAACTTCAACCTAGTCAGTCCTACCTCAAGGATACAGAAATAGCCCACATTTATTCAGACAAGCCCCAGCAAAAATCTAACTGAGCAATCTCTTGAGGGGGGATAACTTCTGCAGTATGCAGATAACCTCATTCTTCTCTGCTCCCCCTTCACAATCCTCACACAGCAACATGCAGTACAAACCTTAACTTCCTAACAGAAAGAAAATGACTTTAATATAATTCAAAAGCTATAAAGAGAAAGAGGAGGTATTTTTGGTAAGGCAGATTATAAAGAACAGAAGTTTTATATGAGAAAGGATCTTGTATGGTAAATTCTTGTCCTAAATTAAATGACTGGTTGTTTAAAAAGAGGAATGTTTGGGACAAATCAGAAAGTCCAAGCATGTCATAGATGGTCTGTGTAAGTTGTGAAAAGATCTGTGAAAGAGAATTTATTTTTAAAAAGTTATACAGTTTTAAAAGTTATTAGGCTTACTAAATGCTTCATAAACTGCTACTTTGACTCCTAACTGTACAACTTGCTGCCTTTAAAGCTACGTGAGGCCCGGGGACATACAGAGTTACCCATGCCCCCTAGATGCTAGAAAGAGTCAAACCTTTTCTGCATTTCTGTCTAGTGTCCTAAGCTGCAAACCTAGTACATAGTCAGAATCACTTACTTAGCAGGTTTTTCACCAAAAGTAAAAGTTGCTAAGAGTTAACAGTGTAACATGTTCTTGAGACTACTGGAAAACTTTTATATGCAAGGCATGTAAGGAAAGTAGAATGTGGTTTTAGTAAAAGATTATATAAAAAGGCATAAAAATGTGGATTTTTTTGACCTAGTTTAGAGAGTTAAAGGATTTTTTAAAGTTAGATAGGATAAAGCTGAAGGTTTGAGCAAGTTGTGGAAGGTTTGTGAAAGATCAATCTGATAAAAAAAATTCTATGCCTAATCATATTGGCTAAAGTTAAAGAACTATTGTTCAGTTTTTCCACAAATTGAAAAGCACAACAGACTTTTAGTAAAGCATTGATCTACTCTTCATAAATGTGTTATTTGTATGTGTTCCAAAATTATACAAAGCTCCTATAATTCTGATATAACTTAGTATACATTGTCAGTAATAATTATAACTGTTATGCTACATAATTGTGTGCCACAGAAATAACAAATTTTCTTGGCAACTGTGTCTTTGACTGTGGCTGCCCTAAGACTTTTTCTCATTCACAATTGTTGTCTTGTTTTAATCCTCTTTAAAAGGTGGCCTTTATAATCAGCTATAGGACTCTGGCAGGCACTCTTGAATGCAGGTTGCTGATAACTTTAAAGATTGTAACATTAGAATAGAGAAAGAACTTTCAGGACTCTCATGGAGAGCTGAAATGTTCACAAATACCAGGCAGAACAGGAGTTAACTGCATGGACTGAACTAAAAGAAGACTAAAATAATCCTTTTATGACTTTTTGCTTAAAACATTGCTGATCCTTTGTTTTTCAAAGTCAAGAAAACTTTCTTTTGAGCTATTTACAGCTTTTAAAAATAAGTACTCCTGTAAACAAAATTTGGAGCATATTTCTCTCTACCTGATTTCTCCAGAATTTGGAAACTATTTGTGGGTATTCTTAACTAATGGCAATACAGTTATTTGCATAAGTGCAATAGTAATCTGTTTTCTTTTGCAACAAGGCACAATTGGAGAAACTGGTTATTTTACCAAGGGTTTGACTGGAATGGCATGCTCTCCTTTAAGGAATCAAATTTGACTTATAGAGCCAATAAAAACCCCTTGGGAAAACTGGTCTCATACCTTGTCTACACAGTCCCTGTACAGGGTTCCTGATCCATGGGGAGTAAAGAATGTCACTTTCTGACAGGCCTAGGAGCCCCAGGTTATTTAGGACCTCAAGAGGAGAGGAATTTACCCAATTCATACAGGTATTTGATGGCAGAAACCCATGGCTGGGCTCAAGGCATTTAAAACGTCTTATCTGAAATACCTTATGGAATGAAGTTTCATCAAAGCCAATTTAAAAAGGAGCCTATATGGCAAATAATTATTCTTGCTGTGCTTTATGCAAATAACCAGGCCAAGTATGATAGGACTAATGCTTATTTTGCAAACAAATCAGTCCTATCATGATTTGTTTTTAATAAAAATGAGGACTGGAGAGAGAAAAGTTATGTTTCAAGAACATAACAGACTATAATCTAATAACTTGGTATTAGATTCTATTCTCAGCAGTTGTTTTTGAGTTTTTGTCTGCAATTTAGACTAACCCTGTTTATTCCTGTGAACCAACCAGTGATCTCTGGCCACAGCTCAGAAGAAACAAGAGGAATGGGTAATGTAAAAATCTGGATCAATATTCTAATTCTGGGAACACATTGGAATTGGCTTGTAACCCCATCCACACAAGTCTTAGCAGGCACGAAAATAGCCACCAGTTACCTGAGTGTGTTGGCAGCGTCAGGATTTTTTGGAGTTGTCCTCACTCCCTTATTTCATTTTGACATTCTTCTAAATCTAATAAACTAATTCGTCTCCTCTTGCCTTCAGGCCATCAAGCTCCAGATGATCCTCAGTGAGAGACACCATCATGTCAGTATTCAAGAGTCACCCTTCTACAGAGGACCCCTAGACTTCCCATCAACAAGACATGACAGAGGCTTAATTCCACCCCTTTCTCCCTCCAGCCTGGCTGGATACTGTTTTTACCAACCCATGGAGCCATCCTACCCTGACAGCTAGCAAGAGGTGAAGACCCACAAAACAACCACCACCACCCCTCTATCAGTAGGAAGCAGTTACAGAAGACTGACCTTTATCCATTTTTCCCAAAGAATTGAGGTCTTGGATTCTTGAGGGGGGAAATGTTATGGTAGGTAGGTAGTCAGACATGAGCAGGACAAGAGAGGGCCCTCCAACCACCAGGAATGTCAGGCAACCATCAGGTGATGGTCAAGCGGTTGTTAAACTGCCTCTGTAACATAATAATTGGTTGCAGCAAGTGCCAGGGAAAGGCAGTCCCTCAACAGACAGAAAAGCCTAAAACTGGTGATCGGCTTCCTGATAAGACGGCAGGAGTTGGGCAAGTGGGCTTAAGCATACTAAGAGGCAAAATGGCACGGATTAACTGGTATGTGACTTAGTAGGAACACTCAACTGGTAAGGGAAGAACAACTCAAGAGAGCATGCATACAACTTCGATAAACACACTGTGAATACAGTGCCTACCAAGTGCTAGGAGGCTACTGTGCATGTGGACAGCCCACCCCAAGGGAAGAATCAGGGGAAAAGACACACAACCTCCTGCTCCCTTGTAAGCATGCCAACATAGAAAACCCCAAGTCAAAGGTCAAACAGTGCACTTGATCTCTCAAGTTGCCTGCTTGGCCCTCTTCCAAGTGTACTTTACCTCCTTTCATTCATGCTCTAAACTTTTTAATAAACTTTCACTCCTGCTCTAAAACTTGCTTTAGTCTCTCACTCTGCCTTATGCCTCTTGGTCGAATTCTTCTGAGGAGGCAAGAATTGAGGTTGCTGAAGACCTGTATGGATTTGCCACCACTAAGAAGACCAGCCCCCACCTGTAGGCTCAGCCCATGTTTCTGCAATGAATCCCATATATAGGCAGGAGAGTTTTTAAAAGTTTAAACCAATAATCTAAGGCTCCCTGTCTCCTGGATCCTTCATCCAGCATCCCAACCCCATGATGAACACTTGTCTGGATTCCTGTCTGCTTACTTGCAGTGGCCCTCTTTTTCAGATATTGTGATTTGTTTGCTGAGCTGGATTGTGTTTATTCATAACAGGCCCTCAGCCTACTGCCTGTCATAATCAAATATTAATCGTAATTCTTACAATCAAGTGATCAAATTCTAGAATCAAAGGGGAAAACAGGTGTATAAACAAATAACATACATAAAGCTGGATGTAACAGTAAGCCCATACTGGAAGTATAGATGAAGAACATGTGAAAAAAGAATCTGTCTTGAAGAGTAGAGGATGACTTCACAGAGGGAGTGGCATGGAAGGAAAGACAAGAGAATTCTAGACAGTTGGAGCAGCAACTCATCTGAAGACATAAAATTGTTAGAAAATGGTATGTTTAGGAGCACAAAAGAGTTGGTATGAGTTGAGTCTATAGGGTATCGAAGCCAGCTTAAGGAATAAACCAGCCGGCAGCTTCCAGGGGCCAAGAGCTGCTGGAATGACCCAGCAACTAGAATGAAATGGAGAAATGGTACTTTGCGAGCTCTCACTTAGGAAAGACACTACATGTAGGGGACATATGAAAGCAGAAATACCCAGAACAATAGAGAAGGAATAGAGGGCTGCTGACAGCAGTTCTTCACCTTTCCTCCAAGATGGGCTCAATTTGTCCTCCAAGTGACTGATGACAATATTGGTTCAAAGATGCACCAAATGTTTAGTGGATATGTAAATGTGTCCACCTAGCCCTGAGCTACATAACAGAGAGTACCAAAAAATTACACTGAAATGGTAATAAAAGTTCCAGGTCCTGGCTTCAAGTACTTTATATGTATTAACTCATTCAATCCTTATCCTATGAGGTAGATATTATCACTTCCATATTACAGATGAAGAACCTGAAGCACAGAGAGGTCAAATAACTTTACAAAGTTCACACAGCAAGTATGAAGCCATGATTTACACCAAGGTGGTTACCTCTAGAGTCTCCATACTTAACCATCACATTAAGTTTTCACTTTATCTTCTGGGCAGTGGAGAGCTGCTAAGGTTTTTTAAGCAAAAGAGCAATAATTTGTGTGTGAGGTCACTCTGGAAGATTGAGAATTTGAGAAGATAGAATAGAGTTGGGAGAGGCTGGACATGAAACACAAGTAGGAGGCCACTGTGCCAGTTACAGCAGGAGACCGTGGGGATCTCAGCTGAGGCAGGGGAATGAGTTTGCAGAAGAAGGGAAATGGAAGAGGTGTCAGAGAGATCAAATCGCTGAGAGGTGGTAACTGGTGAGCGGTGACAGAGATGGAAAAATCAAAAGCTTTGATGATTGGGATAAATGAAAGAATAGTGGTTCTAAGGGAAAATATTTGTTTCTGGACAACCTGAGCTTGAGATATCAAGTTCCACCAGTTAAAGGAACCCAAGTTAGCTAGTAAAACAGAGACATAAATCTCTGTGGAAGGTCTGGAGTTAGAGGCACGGATCTGGGAGACCTTGTGTAACAGACAACACTGAAAGTACAGGTAAGGAGGGAAGCCCAGGGAAGCAAATAACGGTATCAGATGAGACCCTGAAAATGGCCAGCATTTATGCCCAGGTAGAAGAAACAGGGAAAAAAACTGAGTAGTGATTTGAAAGACAGTAGAAGAGGTAGGAGAAAGTAGAGTTTTGTAAAGCAAGGGAGGAGAAAGTTCTGGAAAAGAGAAAAGGAGCAACAGGGTAATATGGCAGGAGGAGCTGATCAAATGAGCTAATAAAGGGTCTCTGAGAAGGCCATGGTGATTTTCTAAGAAACCTACAACTGGGTTCCTCCCTATATCTGCACCTCCAACTCCTCTCCACCTACGGCCCAATTCTAGGGGCCAGGACAAATTTCATGGCACCAGCCCTTCCAGCCTTGACTTAAAGCCACAGTTAACCACCCCATACAAGCTGTGATGTTACTCCTCTGTCCTTCATGATGATGAAGATATTGGAACATATTTCCTTAGGCTAGAGACGAACCCAAGAAGACTATCCCGTGGTCACTACCTTTGTGTTTTGATCCACAATTTTCTTCATATTTTTCAACAGATGATTATTTGGACCACCTTCTTTCTCATTCACGTACACTATCCTATCCAGGTCTGGAAAGTTCCGGTTCAGATCTATTCCCTGGGCATTGCTTCGACCCACAAACCAGTCCTTGAGTTCACCAGGCTAAAAAAAAAAAAGTCAAAGAGAAAAATCATTAGTTGCTTATTATTATGTCACTTTCTATTTAAGGTCCCTATCAATGCTCTTTAAAATAACTATTAAGATTATTTACTTCAACAATGCCCTCCCATGTCAGCATTTTCACTACTTTACTTATATAAACATGAAGGTATCAGATTTAAAGTACTGTGATGGGCCGCATAATGACATTTCTTACCACGACTGACAGACTATACAGCAGTGATCCCATAAGACTATAATGGAGGTGAAAAATTCCTATTGCCTAGTGACATTTTGATGATCCTGACCCTGTGTAGGCCTAGGCCGATATGTGTGTTTGTGTCTTAGTTTCTTTTTCTTTTTTCTAAGAGACAGGGTCTCACTCTGTTGCCCAGGCTTGGGTGCAGTGGCATAATCACAGCTAACTGTAACCTCAAACTCCTGGGTTCAAGTGATCCTCCCTCCTTGGCCTCCCAAAGCACTGGGACTACACATGTGCACAATCATGCTAGGCTAAGTTTTTTATTTTTGGTAAAGACAGGGTCTCGCTATGTTGCTCAGGCTGGTCTCAAACTCCTGGCCTTAAGCAATCTTCTCCTCTGGGCCTCCCAAAGCACTGGGATTATAGATATAAGCTGCTGCACACAGCCTGTGTCTTATATTTAACAAAACATTTGAAAAACTAAGAAACCATTAAAATGCTTTAAAAAAGTTTTAAAAATAGAAAAAAGCTTGTAGAATAAAGATATAAAGACAGAAAAGATTTTTGGACAGCTGTACAATGTGTTGTGTGTTTCAATCTAAGTGTTATTACAAAGAGTCCAAAAGGTTTTTAAAGTTTAAAAGTTTATAAAGTAAAAAAGTTACAGTAAGGTGGCCAGGTGCAGTGGCTCACGCCTGTAATCCCAGCACTTTGAGAGGCCAAGGTGGGTGGATCATGAGGTCAGGAGATCAAGACCATCCTGGCCAACATGATGAAACCCCGTCTCTAATAAAAATATAAAAAATTAGCTGGGCATGATGGCACGTGCCTGTAATCCCAGCTACTTGGGAGGCTGAGGCAGGAAAATAGCTTGAACCAGGGAGTCGGAGTGTGCAGTGAGCCGAGATCATGCCATTGCACTCCATCCTGGTGACAGAGTGAGACTCCATCTCAAAAAAAAAAGAAAGTTACAGTAAGGTAAGTTTAATTTATTACTGCAGGAAGAAAAATAGTTTTTATAAATTTAGTGTAACCTGAGTGTACAGTGTTTATAAATTCTATAGTAGTGTACAGTAATGTCCTAGGCCTTCACATTCACTCACCACTCACTCATTGACTCACCCAGAGCAACTTCTGGCTCCATTCATGGTAAAAGCCCTGTCCAAAGGTACTGTTTTTATCTTTTATGCTGTATTTTCACTGTACCTTTTCTATGTTTAGATACACAAATAGTTACTAGTGTGTTGCAGTTGCCTACAGTATTCAGTACAGTAACATGCTGTACAGACTTGTAGCCTAGGAACCATGGGCTATATCACATAGCCTAGGTGTGTAGTAGGCTACACCATGCAGGTTTATGTAGGTGCACTCTAGAATGTTCACAAAATGACAAAATCACCCAACATTGCATTTCTCAGAATGCTTCCCCATTATTAAGAGATGCATCACTGTACTTGTCATAAGTATTTTGAAAATATGTTCGATGAATAATATTTTAAATGTTAATAATATAAAGAGATATTTATCAAATTTCACAATATATATTCACTAGTTATAAATGACCTATTTCAAAGCATATCATTCTATAATTAGATTTAAGTAAAATATTCATTGCCTCTGTAAATCACAGCAACCTATTTTTTAAATATTTAGAAGAATAACTAAAGATTAGAAGCTTAAAATGAATTTAACATGCGTTATAGACTAATAACATGTCTCCCTCTTATAGTCTTCATGAAAAAATATGAACCTAGAACAAAAGTTCTAGGGCTTTATGATTTGAGGAATTTCTCTCCCGTTTAAACTCTTCATTTAACTAATGGTACAATCTGGAAAACTAATAAATTTTCGGTATATTTGTTTCATTTTATAATGTGAATTTTCTTGTTTTACTGTTAAATTATATCACATGATATAGATATATTTCCCACATATTTTAAGTCATGGAAGTTTAGATACCTTAGACTGTGAGGGATAAAAATCTATAAGACAGAAAACAGCAATGATAATCTGTTGCCCATGTGTCTAAAAATTCTGAATATTACCTTAAAATATTAAATAATTTAATTTTATATATTACTAGAATTTTTCTCTCATAACTTTAGAAATCGTATCAATTTTATATTTATTTACAGAAATTGGCTGGGTTTCTTACAATGTCAAACTATGTCATTGGATTTTTTAGCTGTAGATAAACATGCTAAATATTAACTTGAATGTGTTCCCATGTTCCCATAGACTAAGAAAATTATTTTAAACTGTAGAAAACAGCAAATATAATGTCCCCCGCCCCGTCCAATAAAATAGGAACACACACCATATATCTTCTCTTAAAAAGGCATTACTTTCCAGTTCATCTAACAGCGAAGATATATTAAATTATTTTTAGTTAAGAGGTAGGGTTTTCGCTTGTTTTTTAACTTTACTCAGCGTATGTAAAAACCAAGTAAACATCAGTAAAACATTATTCCGGCCAAAAGTATTTCTTCCTTAAATTCAGTAGAGGGCGCTGTGACACTGGCTCATCCACATACACCCATGGCGTTACTCTTCAACAAAAGGCAGTAGATATTTTTTATATTTGTAGATTTTTAAAACAAAACTTACCTAGTCACAAAAATGGATGAATAATTTATTGAAAAACATAAAACAGAACACTATTAGAACATTAACTTCTTAACACAATTTCTGATTTGCAGTCTTCACTGGAAAAACTCACCCATAATCCCTTTCATTCTAAACTATTTTCTTACTGGTGAGTTGAATAATGAATGCATCACTTATGCCCTCCACTGCACCATCTGTAAGCTTTGTGCGAGGGCATAATTTTTAGATAAACATGTATGTACAAACATACAGAAAATGAAGAAAGCACGCCTGATCTGAGCTGCCTGGCACTCACCTGAGACGCTGCCTTCTCAAAGCCATCTGGGTTCAGGGAAGGCATGATGTGAATGCGGGTACTGTGGATCAGGTTGACAATTGTCTCGTTCCCCTTCTGGTATTCGTTGCATAGGTACTGGGCCAAGAAAATGAGCAGTTCTCGTCCAACAGCCTCATTCCCATGCATATTCCCAATGTATTTAAATTCAGGCTCACCTAAAAGATTAATAGATAGCATGGAGATGTTTTCTATGACATACAGAGCCAAATATATTGTATACCTACAAATGTATTATGAATATCTGATGGGTTTTTTCCTCCAGCAGCGATGCCTTAAAAAAAAATCTACCGTAGACATTAAAATACCCCTTCTATCCTTCTATTCCTCGCCTCCCAGCTACCCACCTGTTATGGACTGAACTGTATTCACCCAAAATTAGTATGTTGAAGGTCTAACATCCAATGTGACTGTATTAAGGAGGTAATTAGGGTTAAATTAAGTTATAAGTGTGGAGCTCTGATCCAATAGGACTGTCATCTTTATAAAAAGAGGAAGAGACACCAGAGCCCTCTTTCTCTCCTCTGCACAGAGGAAAGACCATGTGAGAGCACAGTGAGAAGGCGGCAGCCAGGAGGAGAGGCCTCACCAGAAACCACCCCTGCTGCCACCTTGATCTTGAACTTCTAGCCTCCAGGCCTGTGAGAAAATTAATTTCTGTTGTTTAAGCCAGCCAGTCTGTGGATATTTTGCTATGGCAGTCTGACAAGACTAATATACCATCTCACCCACAATAACTAATAATAATAACACACTACGTGCCTCCTATTAAACACTGTGCTTTGCATGTTTTCTTATTTAATCCTGACCAAACATCTAAAAATAAGTATTATTATCCAACTTCATTTTGCAGATAAACAAACTGAAATTCAGACTGCTTAAGAAGACTGTCTCCATAGTTACATGGCCTGGGAAGCCAGGATTCAAATGCTAGTCTTCTGGTTTACTTAAACGTCTATGTTTTTGTTTTTTTGTTTTTATTCCTAAATCATAGTGATTGAGAGGGGCCAGACTGCATGGATTCAAATCCTAGCACCAATTCTTACTGTCTAGGCTTGGGCAAGTTACTTCAGTTCTCTGTGGCTCTGTTTTTCCATCTAAAAATTAGAGATAACAATAGATTCTAGCCCATACGGAAGGTTATTATAAGAACTAAATAAAATAATGAATGTAAATGCTTAGAACAGTGCCTGACAAATAGCAAGTGCTATATGTTTCCTATAATTTTCTTTAATATTATTATTACATGACATTATCTTGTCATTGTGAAGTTCCTTGCCATACATAATCTAATTTTCTCTTCACAACAGCCCACTAAAATGTGTAAGGCATGTATTTTTATTATCCTTATGGTATAAATCAGCCCAAAGAGGATATACTTTGCTGAAGGGCTCAGAATACTAACAAAAGTCACTGTTGCCTGTTTGTGAGACTCTCCATTGCGTTTTAGGAGTAGTAATGAAATTGCAGAACGTAGCAGCAAAGTGATCTCAATTAATCCTGTTGTTCTGCTCGTTTCTGCTTCATCCATCCCACGGGCCCAATTTCTGCATTTACAAAATCACTAAGACTGCTGGTTCTTGGTATAAGAAAGCAAATTAGAATTATTTTTCTCCTGGAAATATGTTAACTAAGCATTCTTTGCATGAGATTCCTGAGTTTCTGAATTAAGTGACTATTCACCCCAGAAAACTATGACCTTGTGGTGACCTCTCAGCCTGAGCTTATGCTAATCTTAATCTAAGGATCAGGTGGGAGCAGGATCGGGGCTATTTATACCCCCCTCAGTTTTTACTTTGAGGGAGAGTCTCTAATAAAATTACCCCTAGGGACTTGCCCAGAAAGTAAGAGAAGAGATGAGGAGGTGTGAGAAGAGATGTTTTCTTGGCTTCTGATTTCAAAGGTAATAATAACCTTCTTCCTTTCTGTAAACTCATGCAGTTTATACCCTCATTTATGTGATGTATTCATTTGATTGAGGCACAGGAGAAACTGCTGCAGCCCATTAGAGAGAGAGAGCAAGTAGCCAGGGGAATATTAGAAGCTGGCTTCACAAGTTTTTTTGAAAAAGTTGCACTAAGAAGGCATTTTGGTCCTGCTCCCTTCCCCAAAACAACTTTGAAGCTTCATGTCACTCAATAAAGCTTGGCCCACAACCCCTAATTACACTGAAAATTTTTATAACTTCTCTGTGTTTAAATCTTTTTTTAATCAATTAAAGAAGAAACAACAAACCCATAGTCACTAAGCCACACTTGCCCCCAGATGTCTGGTTTAGCTAGCACAGTATATTTTGTGTTCGAATGTGAATGCTTTGGGAT
Organism: Homo sapiens; assembly: GCF_000001405.40. Classification (NCBI taxonomy): domain Eukaryota; kingdom Metazoa; phylum Chordata; class Mammalia; order Primates; family Hominidae; genus Homo; species Homo sapiens. The sequence goes on along the minus strand of NC_000004.12, from coordinate 165,462,226 downwards.
AGAGCATGCTCCCCCTAGTTCTGCCACAGGCTGCGCCATTCCCTACTGCTGCTTTACTCATTTATGTTTGCAACTCCTGATTTTCAGACTCAGAAAATGTATGACATGGTTTCTCTTCAAATCTGCAGATTTCTCTCAGGAAAAATCTCCCCCAATATATCTATGTATTTGTGAGGCGGTAGTAACACTAATGACAATAACAATGCTTTAGGTTGACATGAAGACAGGACAACAAAGGTCATTATATTGAAGATACTAATGTACGGAAATAAAATGCAAGGCACATATGATAGCAAAAGAAAAGGCAAGTGTATCTCTAACTCCTTCTGTCCTCAGGAATAACTTAGATCACTATATAATGTTATCACTAGAATACAGAAGAGCTATGCTCCTTTAAGCCAACTAACATGACTTGTGAGATGCGGAACAGCCACATTGTTTAAATACAGCATTTGTTGGACATACATGCAAATCCCAGGGTCAGACACTACATGGGATCCAAAAGCAAATATGTCAGCATTCCTAAACTGAAGGAATGTAGAGTCTGGAAGAAGACTCAGACATGCAATGGACAATGTTCAGGAGTGAGGCAACGGTGAAGGAATGTTGGATATGTAACTAAACTGCTTCAAGGTTCCAAACTGGGATATTCCTCCCACCCCTCTGGCCTCTCTCCAGCTCTTTTCCCTCCCAAGGCCAAAGCTTTCTTTTTAAAACGCAACCCTCCTCAGGTCACCTCCACCAAAGAACCCATCAGTAACTTCCCCTTTGCTTTCATGATAAAGACCAAAATTCTCTACGAGATCTTGAACCTCCATGTGGTTTGGCGTGGTGCCTCTCAAGGCACCAGCCTTTCCCTCCTGTGTTTCAGCCATCCTTCTTTCAGCCACGAGGCTCGTCCCTATAATGCTCTCTGCTTCACATATTCACATATTTTATCCGCACAGCCTTCTAAGTATGGCTAAATACAGCTTCCTTGGAGTAGCTTTAGTCTAAGTCCACAGTTCCTTTGTTATTTTTCTTTTCTTTTCTTTCTTTCTTTTTTTTTTTTTTTTTTTTTGAGGCAGAGGCTCACTCTGTCACCCAGGCTAGAGTGCAGTGGCACAATCATGGCTCACTGCAGCCTCGACCTCCCGGGCTCAGGTGATCCTCCCACATCAGCCTTCTGAGTAGCTAGGACTATGGGTGTGCACCACCATGCCCAACTAATTTTTTTGTAGAGATGAGGTTTTGTCATGTTGCCCAGGCTGGGTTTGTTATTTTTAACACCTCAGTTTGAAAATATACATTCATCAATGTAGTTATTTGATTAACTCCTCTGTCACCCAGACTGTAAGGTCTATTAGTCCTGGGATGGGATCTATTTTAGCTCACCAGTGTGTCACCTGTGCCCCCACATAGAGTCTGGAACATAGTAGGGATTTGCATTCTTGTAAGAATACGATAAGAATAAATTCTAAGCTTAAATATCAGTTCAATAAATTTGTGAATGAAAGAGTAAATGAATGGTCTTGCTTTTCAATCCCATCCTTGCAGCAGCGTGGCTGACAGTAGAGCTTGCCCTTGAGACAGAGGTGCAGCTGCAGATGCTTGAAAACCCTTCTGGAGCAGTGAAGGGAATAAAGGAGTAACTGAAGGGGGCTTGAGGCAGCTTCAAGGAGGCTGCACCCGGGTGGAATATCAGGAGGCCTCAATGGCTCATTGCTCTAGCCAACAGGCTCTAGCCATTCCAGGTAGGAATGGAAACTCTTCTTTGGGAATGAAGGCAGCAGTATGGTGAACAGCTGATTTCCCATCAAGAAGATTAATTTCCATAGTCACCACAAAACCTCTCCAGGCAAGCAGCTCCCCAAAGCTATTTTTGTTGTAAAGTCTAAACAACAGATTCTGAAGAAATTTTGCCTTCAGAATCCTTAATACAGAAATAGCAATAAAATTGAAGACTTTAGATTTTGAATGGCCCTCTCTGAGTCAATACGTTCTTTACCTTAGACTTTTTTAAGCAAAGCAGTGACAGTTTTTCATCATCAATTTTCTCTTCTGCGTAAATGGATGACGTTTGCCTTCCTGTTTATAGTGTTTACACAGAAGAAAAAAACACAGGTTTAACAGGTTGCAGCTGCCAGGTATGTGGATCCGGCTGGTATAATGTACACGTCCCTGTGTGTTAACTCATCTCTCTCCTAGCAACGGGGTGGGGGAGCGGGGAAAGCGGCTAGAAGCACTACCCTCAGGACACTGGGGATGGTTGTTTTTACATCATCTTACTTTCTTCACTAATTCATTTTCCTTTTTTTTTTTTTTTTTTTTTTGAGACAGAGTCTCACTCTGTTGCCCAGGCTGGAGTGCAGTGGCACAATCTCGGCTCACTGCAGTCCCGCCTCCTAGGTTCAAGCAATTCTTCTGCCTCAGCCTCCTGAGTAGCTGGGAGTACAGGCGCACGCCACCACACCCAGCTAATTTTTGTATTTTTAGTACAGACAGGGTTTCACCATATTGGCCAAGCTGGTCTCGAACTCCTCCTGACCTCATGATCTGCCCCGCCCCCCCCCACCCAGCCCTCCCAAAGTGCTGGGATTACAGACGTGAGCCACCACGCCCGGCCTTCATTTTCTTTTTTACACAGTAATCCTGAGTTCCTGATCTTGCAATTGAGGAATCATCATATTTGCACAGGTTGCACTTCATAGGCTCAGCAAGCATCTTTTCCCCATTGTGTCAATTTTCCCACAATTTCATGTAACCATCCAGCATTCCAGTTACTTCACATGGCACACAATCATCAATCAAGCCATTATTAAAAGACGATCTTCTCACAAACCAAATCCAGCCTGGCTGGGCCCAGTTTCTATCTTTTTCCATCCGTATCACAGAACATTTAATGTGCCTGGTTGGATTTGCATTCTCGTCAGAATAAGATAAGAATAAATTCTAAGCTTTAAAAATATCCACAGTTTTAATTAAGGCAGAAATAGCTGCATAAATTCCAAACCAGAGCAGGCAAATGATTTTAAGTCCAGACTTGTAACTCTTAATTTGCCCCAATTTGTATTAATATGATTTGAAATAACTAAATCAGTAAAAAAGCAGCTTTAAAGAAAGAAGTCTCTTGCCTCAAAAATAAAATGTTACTCTTTTACACCCCAGAAACTCACATCCATGTGGGTGAAATTTGAAGCTGGAGGCAAGTTAGCAATGTTCCCAAATGGTAAAAGGAATTTATGCCTTAAAGTGACCAGAGAGCCACTGAAACAGAAGTCCACATGTCAGTAGGGTGAGCATGACATAAATGATCAAATAAAAAGACAAAAGTAAAAAATAATATTGTCTTCCACTCCTATGAAAAGAAAATTTACTTTCACTCTGTTATTTGGCCCCATGATCAGTCTGTCTACCTATCTAATATTTTCTTCTCCTTTTGGAAATAAGAGACAGGCTGATCACTAGGCACAGTAATTGAACAGATAATCTGAAGACTCCTTTCAAATCTTAGAGCCAATTATTCAATGGCCTTTCTATAGGAAGAAAACAGCAGAGGGAAAATATCCAACAGGAAATGAAATAACAAATGTGAATGTGGGTTGTAAATTGTGAAATTCTATGTAAGAAGTGGAGCATTCATTATTTAGAGGGAAAAAAAGTAGGTTAAGGGTATTTTAAGAAAGAACTTGATTATAGTAACAGAATTCTCCCATCTTTTATCCTGAAAATAGACAAGAAACTTACTCTGGGATGAATCTATTCTTCCTCCAACAACAAATTTTTGCCAAAATATAGGTGCACTAATTCATTTGGAAGTTATATATTTAACTCACTGATTACATAATTCTTGGAGCTGGTGACAATTTCAAAACACGTGTTCCTGGTACATGTAATAAACTGAACATAATGCTGAAAAACAATAGTGTAATTTCCACAGGTAAAACCCCATTTTTCAAAGATATCATGATGAAATGTGCACAAAAGCAGTGATTTTTAAAAATTGACAAACAAGTGGCTATATAAGCCTCACAATCACCGCACTGATTTGATTTACAAACTGCTATACAAGCAAGTTGGAAACATCTTTGGAACAGATGGGCCTCTTCATCAATGATCCTCCCTCAGTGATAAACCTGGGGTTAAAACATTAGTGCTACTAATTGTTTCCCCTTGTTTGACATTCTAACCTATTATAGACTGTAAATCATTCTTGCAGAAACTGAACCCTACAAGTTTCCTAGACCTCGTCAATAAGAACATCATTAATTGGCTCATATTTTAGCAGCCTAAAAATGCTGGGCATATTCCTAAAGGAAATGCAAGTCACCAGGGGTCCAATAAACAACACGAGGGGGTAGGATGGTTACAAAAACAGATTACTCACTTACAGAAGAAATGAGGAAAAAGTAAAGAAAAAAGTGGAGAAAGGAAACCAAGAAAAGGCAAAGGAACAAAAAATGATTGCAAAAGAAATGACAGCATTATATTCTCTCTTCTTGCTTCTTCCTTCAGAGTGAAATTTAGAAAACAACCAAATCAACATGATATCTTAAAAGTGAAATCTCACTTCATCTGATTTTTAATGGGCAGTCAAGATGGAATATATTACAGAATTATTCTGCAGAGACATATTACAGAATCATTTTGTAATCTTAATTATGCATTTGCTTTTAATATAATTTCAAAGTTGTCTTACATATGACATCTAAAATATCTCTACTAAGATTCTAATTGAAGGAGAGGTGAGCAAAAGAACAGAAGGTATTTCCAGCTTCACAAGTTTATAAAATAATGTCAGAGTTCCAATATTAGCAGCAATGCCTTAACTTTCTGAAATGAAAGTATTTGATGCCTTCACAAAAGAAAGCTACAAACTTTTTACAAATACCCCATACACAGTGGTGTGCTGGTAAATGTTTCACACTCAGCTCTAATTTGTAGCATTGACTATTTCCATGGTGTAAATACTCCCACCCTGGCCAATTTGAAGCTACTAATGTGTGGTCACTTGGCTCACAAATTTCCTGAAAATGAAAATAGGCTCTCATATGCCAGTAAAAGCCTACTCCAACCCACCACTGCATGTGGAAAGCAATTATTTGGGATAGATGGCTTCTGGTTTCTCCAAAGATTCTCCAAAAGGGGAAACTGAGGTCTAAGAAATCTGCAGAATTTTGAAACACAATAAGACATATAATGAGGCTACAGCCTGGAACAGTGGCTCATACCTGTAATCCCAGCACTTTGGGAGGCAGTGGCGGGTGGATCACGAGGTCAGGAGTTCAAGAGCAGCCTGGTCAAGCTGGTGAAACTCCGTCTCTACTAAAAATACAAAGATTAGCCGGGCATGGTGGTGGGTGCCTGTAATCCCAGCTACTCAGGAGGCTGAGGCAGAGAACTGCTTAAACCTGGGAGGTGGAGGTTGCAGTGAGCCAAGATCGTGCCACTATACTCCAGCCTGGGCGACAGAGTGAGACTCCATCTCAAAAAAAAAAAAAAAAAAAATTAGCTGGGCATAGTGGTGCACGCCTGTAGTCCCAGCTACTCCTACTCGGGAGGCTGAGGCAGGAGAATCGCTTGAACCCAGGAGGCGGAGCTTGCAATGAGCCGAGATCGCGCCACTGCACTCCAGCCTGGGCGACAGAGCAAGACTCCGTCGAAACAAAGAAAGAGAGAGAGAGAGAGAGAAAGAGAGAGAGAAACAAAGAAAGAGAGAAACAAAGAGAAACAAAGAAAGAAAGATGAAATTAGCGTCTACCCTATTACTTTTCTTTTTGTTTCATTTCATGCTAGGATAATTAAAAGAAGCTTTTATTTTGTGGGGGCTTTTTTACCTTGTATTAATACAGAGCTGTTTTCCAAAGCACTGCATCATTATGAATTCAACTTAGGGGGAGTGGCGGTAAACGGGCCTAGGGAAAATTTTTTGACTGAATAAGTTATCCTAGCAGTTACTGACTCACGAGAGTATATCACCCTTTGCCCTAAATATTAGCCATAATAAATCAATGAAGAAAATTTACTTTAACCTATTATATAGTTTTTCTAAAATATTTGTCAGCAATAATATCAGATATTCAAAATTCCTTCTGCTCTCTCTATAGTCCTATCCTACAAGACGACCTTCACAATAAAAAGGCAATATAATTTCCATTCCCATTCATATAAATTCATCATTTAAAATTCACAGAAATCAATAATTTAAAATTAGTATCACAAAACACCTTATTATTACCATTCAAGAAGAAGCTACCTATGAAAGCCTTCAGATTCAGAAAAACCTTTGACTTGTGGCCAGGCATGGTGGCTCACGCCTGTAATCCCAGCACTTTGGGAGGCCAAAGCAGGCGGATTACCTGAGGTCAGGAGTTCCACACCAGCCTGGCCAACATGGTGAAACCCTGTCTCTACTAAAAATACAAAAATTAGCTAGATGTGGTGGCGGGCGCCTGTAATTCCAGCTACTCGAGAGGCTGAGGCAGGAGAATCACTTGAACCCAGGAGGCAGAGGTTGCAGTGAGCCGACATCATGCCACTGCACTCTATCCTGGGCAACAGTGCAAGACTCTGTCTCAAAAAAAAAAAAAAATACCTTTGACTTGTTTAAGAACATTGTTAAGTGAGCACAGAGAAGTTTTAATATACAAATCAGATAAGGCAGAGATTGTTTTAATGATTTAGTTTCATGATTTGAAATCTTTCTGTAGATATTAATCACCAAAAAGACCATAATTATTTTTTAAAGTGCTATAATAGTTATCGGCTACATCAAATGCTTATCAAAATGCCTTTGTGCATTTATTTACTGAAGAGGGTTTTTGGACCTTGAAGCATCTTTTAGAATTATTAGCTTCTAGTTATCTTAGATAACTCTCTTAGAAGATTCTGCTGTCTTTCACTAATATTCTTATCAAATAAGATAAATTGGAAAGATAAATTTGTCTAAGAAGTTAAGCACAAAACAGAGGTAAACGAAGTGACACTAGAGGTAATGGAAAGAAAATAGGAATGCACCTGACTTGTGGCAGCAACTATGATTCGAGTGAATCAATTTAGCTGATTCTCTCATTAACATATTTTATTGTGCTTTGTATATCTATTTTGGAAAATAATTTCCATGAGAAGCTCATTTCATAGGTTGAGAAGAAAAGTTTAGGAGGCAGCATCAAGTTTCCAAAGGTCGAAAGTTCTCCAGGTTTTCCAAGATAGTTATGTGGGGAAGGATTTGGTTTGTTCTGCAAAACTCCAGACAAATCTACAGTCAGTAGAAGTCATTAATTCCCACAGAAGCAGAAAGATATCTAAGAGACAAGCTGTGAGGCTGGACTAGATAACCTCTTAAACATCCCCTGATTCTAGAGAAGCAGGCGCTGTATCTTGCTTGACAAACTACTGGTATTCAAGTTTCTAAAACTGTCCTATACAAATCATGGTTGTAAATAAATGTCAGTGACAATTTTGATAGTTCTCTGGAACAAAGAGAAAACTGTACGTCATCATAGTGAACTAAGACATGATTATAAAAATTAATGGAAAAACACTAGTCCATTTCCTCAGTCATTGCTCTTTATGCCCATGAATGAACAGCTCATCCTTTCACAGGTAAATAGACAATGAGTAAAAGTAATGTCATCAGAACCTGTGTGGGTGGAGAATGTCAAACAGTTCTAGCAGACACAGATAAATGAAGGAGAAAAACGTCAATTTACTAACCCACAGATAAAGAGGTAGTAGCATTAACTACCTAAAACAAAATCAACAATATAAAACCTTATTTGAACAATCTCTTCCCAGGAGACCTTTGGAACATTTTATTCTCTCAAAAGGAAAATAATTCAAAAGTCAAATTAATTTGTCAAAACATCTTCAGGATGTTATTTTTTTTCAACATCATCATGAAAGACTTGCGGTGTCGAACATGCACTGGTTTCGGAAGGAGTAGGCCACGCAGTAGAATCTTCTGAAGGAGAATAAAGAAGCAAATGGAGCTCTCTGAATCATTCTGCATGCCTGAGCCTATGGAGAAATCCAGAAGCCATCTCTCCCAGATAATCACTCTCCATATGCAGTGGTGGGATGGAGTAGGCTTGTACTGGCATATGAGAGGCTTTTTTAATTTTCAGGAAATTTGTGAGCCAAGTTGGTAGCTTCAAATTGGCCAGGATGGGAGTATTTACACCATGGAAATAGGCAATGCTACAAATCAGAGCTGATTGTAAAACATTTACCAGCACACCACTGTGTATGGGGTATTTGTAAAAAAAAAAATTCTAGCTTTTGTGAAGGCATCAAATGCTTGCATTTCAAAAAGTGAGGGCATTTCTGTAAATATTGAAACTCTGACATTATTTTTTATAAACTAGTGAAGGTGGAAATACCTTCTTTTCCTTTGCTCACCTCTCTTTCTTTAGTTAGGATCTTACCAGGAAAGCCAGATCTAGATGATGATGAGTCTCTTGTGGGAGGACTGGGCTGCTTTGGGTCTCCCTCCAGGAGATCATTCCACAAGAGGACGTTCATGAAGTATCTCCTTTTGTTCAAAGTTTGTAAAGAAAATTGAAGCTGGGTGTGGTGGCTCATGCCTGTAATCTCAGCACTTTGGGAAACCAAGGCGGGAGGATCACTTGAGCCTAGGAGTTTGAGACCAACCTGGGCAACATGGCAAAACCCTGTCTCTACAAAAAATTTAAAAATTAGCTGGGCATGGTGGTGCAAGCCTGTGGTTCCAGCTACTCAGGAGCCTGAGGTGGGAGGATCACCTGAGCCTGGGAGGTTGAGACTGCAGTGAGCCATGATCATGCTACTGCACTCAGCCTGGGTGACAGAGTGAGACCCTGAAAAAGAAAGAAAGAAAGAGAGAGAGAAAGAAAGAAAGAGAGAGAGAGAGAGAAAGGAAGGAAGGAAGGAAGGAAAGAAGGAAGGAAGGAAGGAAGGAAAAAGAAAGAAAAAGAAGGAAAGAAAATGAGAAAGAAAGAAAATAAGAAAATTGGCCAGGCATGGTGGCTCATGCCTTCATCCTAGCACTTTGGGAGGCCGAGGTGGGCGGATCACGAGGTCAGGAGTTCGAGACCAGCCTGACCAACATGGTAAAACCCCGTCTCTACTAAAATACAAAAAATTAGCCAGGTGTGGTGGCACATGCCTATAGTCCCAGCTACTCAGGAGGCTGAGGCGGGAGAATCACTTGAACCTGTGAGCTGAGATTGCGCCACTGCACTCCAGCCTGGGCGACAGAGTGAGACTCCATCTCAAAAAAAAAAGAAAGAAAGAAAATTGTGCTGACTTATAGCGCTCTGGGTCAGAATCATTTGTGGAGCTTCTTAAACATACAGGTTTCTGAGCCCCATTCCCAAGGTCATCCTTCAGAAGGTTTGAGAAGGGGCCTGAGCAGCTGTATTCTGTACAGGGTCTAGAGGTGATTCTGATGCCAGGGCAGGATTGAGAAGGAATGATCTGGGAAGAAGGCACTGGGAAAATCTAGTAATTGGGAGGGATGCAATGATGCCAGCAGACTGGTGGGAATTTCAACAGCTGAGGGCCATGAAGGTACAGGCTGAGTTAGGGGATGGCTCTTAACAATTTGTGGGTTATGGCCTTTTTTGAAAATTCAATTTAAACAAAACTATGAATGATCTTCCCCCACATTTGCAAAAAAAACCCAAAAAACAAATCACAAAAATGTACAAAGATTTTACAAATTTAAAGAACCTTATTCTAGACATTTATAAGTCAGAATCAGAAAACAGAAATAAGAGTCACAATAAATATCAGCATATGCCTATACACAGGTTTATTTTCTTTTTTTAATGGTATATCATAGTTGTACATAAATATATAATTATACATACATGTGATATTTTGATACATGTATACAATATGCAATGATCGAATTTGGGTAACTAGGATATCCATCACCTCAAACATTTATCTTTTCTTTGTGCTGGAAACATTGCAATTCTTCTCTTCTAGCTATTTTGAAATGCACAATAAATTATTACATATAATTTACCGACGGTAGTGTTGAATATTAGAACTTATTTCTTCTAGCTAACTGTGTCCATTAACTAACTTCTCCTCATTCTCACCTTCCCTTCCCAACCTCTAGTATCTATCATTCTGCCCTCTCCTTCTGTGAGATCCACTTTAGCTCTTGCACACATGTGACAACAAGCCATATTTGTCTCTCTGGGCCTACACAGGCTTGTTTTCTGATCCCAGACAAACAGGGCACTTTTATATGCCCTTCCTTACTGCAAGAGGACCAAAGTGGCATGTAGCAATATAGTATTGTTTAAAAAAAACGAAAAAAAAAACGGGGGTTGGGGGGGCGGTACGTGGCTTAGGGGAGACAAACTTGGGTTTGATTTCAGAACTAACATTGTATATTTAACCTTGAACAATAACCCCTAGCCTCGGTTTTCTTTTCTGTAAATTGTCTTCTTAAAACCTCTTCTGGGCCGAGCACAGTGGCTCACGACTGTAATCCCAGCACTTTGGGAGGCCGAGGCGGGTGGATCACAAGGTCAGGAGTTTGAGACCAGCCTGACCAACATGGTGAAACCCCGTCTGTACTAAAAATTCAAAAATTAGCCAGCCGTGGTGGCATGTGCCTGTAATCCCAGCTACTCAGGAGGCTGAGGCAGGAGAATCACTTGAACCTGGGAGGTGGAGGTTGCAGTGAACAGAGATCGCACCACTGCACTCCAGCCTGGGCAACGGAGCGAGACTCTGTCTCAAGTAAATAAATAAATAAATAAATAAATAATAATAAAACCTCTTCTGCTGAGTTGTTGAGAGGATTACAGGTGAAATACACAGATGAGACATTTTGCATCATGCTCCACTAGTGGGTAGCTAATAAATGGAAATCATATCACCCATTGTTGTTACTCATACTGGTAATAATAATATAGATGATCTTCCCTGTTGGAGACTTAGAAACTTCCAACAGGAATATCAGGCGTCCCTGGGATCATTCAAAAAGCTACAGAACCCAAACAAGTTTGGAAAATTAAGCAATCCTTCCAGGAATATAGACAATAACATCGGCCTGATTCAGACCTATCCCATATGGCAGGGCTCCTCAAATTTGGATGTCACGTGAAGCAACGGAAGATCCTATTAAAATGCAGATTCCAATTCGGCAGATCTGGAGTGGGGCCTGAGAGCCTGTAGCTCTAATAAGCTCCCCTGGGATGCCATGCGGCTTGTCAGTGGACCATGCTATCCTGCAGGCCTAAGAACCACTCTTTGAGTGGAGAAAGGCCATTTGGAACCTCCAAAATCAAGAGTGGGGGAAAGAAAGAGAGATCAAATGAGACTGACTTTTAAAATAATTAAAGACAACAACAACAACAAAAACTTGAGTGCTTTTTCTTACTCCAACCTACTTGAGTGCCCACGCATTCAAAGGCATACAGCATAATTTTCAAGGCTGCTATATGGCTTCAGCTCCAAGATTCATTATAAATGCTAAACTGTATGATCAAAAAGTACCTGCTGTGTGTATTAAATCTGATGTTAGATACAGGAAGATGATGGAATATTATCAGACATGAAATAATCCTATGATACTCCAGAACTGTTCAGATGACAGGAAAGCGTATTGCTTGTCCCAGTTTCAAATTCAATATTTAAATTTTAATTATACATTAAATAATTATGCATGGTTTTACATTTTTAATGTACTTGTGAATAAATTATGAGTAATCATGGATCTTATAGGATATGCACTATCATATTTTGTTTATGGTTCTCTCACTAAAGTACTTTCAAGATTTTTACTGATTGCAACCATTCTAATTTTACCTCCCACTCAATCTCATCCATCTTCTGCTACTCTTTTTTATTTATTTCTTCAGGGACTGAGATAGGACCTTGAGAGGATTTTTTCTTCCCAATGAAGAAGAGTAATGAAATGAAAGACAAAATCGCATATAAGATCAAGTAGATAAACAGATACACAGTAGCCCCCCAAAATCTTGACATTTCTGATTTTGTAACAGTTTTTGTTTGTATTAGTATTTCACCTGTCCCTTCCCTTAGGAATTTTTTAATGTTTATTTAAATATTCTACAAACACTCCAAACTAAAAATAATATTAAGATGTTTTGCTAAATAAAATATAAAACAAAAAAATGAAGAAATAAAGACAGTTACTAAACACTAACGAATCACCTTTAATTTCATGTGTGTCCCAAGTAAACTTTATCTACTATCTCAAAATGTCAACTTAAATGTTATACTGAACTTCATTATTTTTGCTAATAAGTTCATGATTCTTTTAAAGCTATTTAAGATTCTCTATTCAGATGGTTTGAGATATCTTGTCAAAAGCATTATTAAAATATTTCTTTGTGACCAAAATAAACAGCCGTTTTCAAGTTTACTGATAAAAATCATCAAGTGTATCAAAAAAAATCTATTTAAAATAATTTTCTAACTGCTTAACAACTCAGAAAAAGATAAAGCAATGTGCCCCAAACCCAGAAAAAAAAAAGAATTTCTCTTCTGGGAAGATAATTAAATAACAAAAAATTACCAGAAAAATTTTACATGAAATTGCACGAAACCCAAACAAATAAACAAAAACCTAAACAGCTCTATCAACAGATAGATATATTCATCGCATATCTCAGCATCAAGGGTAGGAAATACTGTGGTTTTCTTTACGGGTCTGTTACTCTCTCTTCAACACTCAACCAACCACACTTCTGCCCTCACACTCACCTCTCCTATCTACATATCGCTCATCTCCCCAACATCCAAGACAGGAAAAGACACAGACAACAGAGCAACAAGGACAGTCATGAAAATTAACAGGAGTCACACAAAAAATTAGGCCCCTCCTAAAATAAACCGGGATTCAAGAAAGCAAATTATAATTCAACATTTTTGGTGTCACCCGTGAACATTATTGTGTCACAAACATGTCAGAATTCAAATGGTTATTAACCTCGACCTGATCTTATCCTTCTTTAAACTCATGGTATAAATGCAGGCATTAGCATTATGACATTGGTAATCATAGGCTAATCATGCCAAAAGTAAACTATCTTATTAGACCTAGAATCTGAGGATTGGTCTTGATAATCATAATAATGGCCTTCATGTACTTTTGGGCTTACCCTGTGGTGGGGACTTTTCCAAGGGCTGTGTATTAATTCATTTAATATACACTCAAATACACACAGGTGCATGTGCCTGTGTGCACACAAACACACGCTAAGAAGTAGGAACTCTTTTCATCTGCGTTTTACAGATGAGAAAACCTAGGGCATCAGGAGTTTAAATATCTTCCCCTATACCACAGAGCTTATTCACAGCAGTACTGGAACTCAGCAACCCACGATGTAGCACCACAACCAAAGAACATCACTACCCTCTGACTCTGTCTCCATAATCAAGTTTCAGGTGTTTACCTCTTCCATGCTGGCCTTCCCTGACTGTCCACATTCTAGCTTATGAATATGCAATAATTCACTGGATAGTGGACTGACGATCAAAAATGACACAGTAAGGCAGCCCATTGCTATGGGTGTGGTAGAGTGGAGTGGTCAGTTAGGACTGGTGACAATGCTCGCAATGATAAAAGAAGGGTTTTTTTTTTGCTTTATTCTTTATTAGTTCTCCCCAGGACCAAAACCAGCAGTGGTTGTACATGTTAGGGACCTCCTTCTTATGGCTCCCATGCCCAGAGAGAAGTGGGGCATTTCCTGCTCCCCGTTAGGGCCCACACAGAAGATGATGCAGCCATGGTAGGAACCAGAAGAAAGAGCAAAGACTTTCTCAGCAGATGGGCTAGGGGCTGAATCCTGGCTCCACCACTTGACTGCCAATCTGAGCCTCAGTTCCCCATAGGTAACTGAAGACATTGTTCTTGCATGTTCTTGTGAGAATTATAAATGATATATTTAAATTCCCGCTACACTTGGTCCATCGTAACGGTCAATAAGTGGTAACCATTATTATAATTAATATGAAAAGTAATGCATTCTCCTGTGACAAACAAAATTATCTGAAGTTTTATTTTTGAAAAGTTCATAATCTCCTTTCCTCTCTCTACCCCTCTATAGGTCAACACACTTAGATCTTATTCTTTATAATAGTGGGTAACAATTCCTTTTATAAATACACAATAATTTTTACCTCTCTCCTATTGATGAACCTTCTGAAAAGGCAATAAACATCCTTGTGGATATGTACATATGTATATATACATGCATATATTTAGTAAAATCAATGTACAGTCATAGGCCATATAATGACATTCTAGTCAATGATTAACCCCACATATGACTGCAATCCCATAAGATTATAATGGATCTGAAGATTTCCCATTGCCTAGGGCCTATGTTTTGATGTTCCTGACCCTGTGTAGGCCTAGGTTAATCTGTGTGTTTGTGTCCTTGTTTTTTTAAAAAAAGAATTTAAAAAGTAGAAAAATACAAAAATTTTTAAAATACAAAAAGGCTTATAGAATAGGATATAAGAGAAAGAAAAGATTTTTGTACAGCTATAGAATGCTTCTGTGTTTTAAGCTGTGTGATTACAAAAGAGTCAAAAAATTTTAAATTTATAATGTAAAAAAAGTTACTGTAAGCTAAGGTTAATTTGTTACTGAAAAAATAAAGATATTTCTTTTCTTTTCTTTTCTTTTCTTTTTTTTTTTTTAAAGACAGAGTCTCCCTCTGTCGCCCAGGCTGGAGTGCAGTGGCGTGATCTCAGCTCACCTCAACCTCTGCCTCCTGGATTCAAGTGATTCTCCTGCCTCAGCCTCCCAAGTAGCTGGGATTACAGGCATGCGCCACCACGCCTGGCTAATTTTTGTATTTTTAGTAGAGACGGGGTTTCGCCATGTTGGCCAGGCTGGTCTTGAAATCCTGACCTCAGGTAATCTGCCCGCCTCGGTCTCCCAAAGTGCTGGGATTACAGGTGTGAGCCACCACTCCTGGCCATAAAAATATTTCTTAATAAATTTTGTGTAACCAAAGTATCCAGTGTTAATAAGGTTTACAGTTTTAAATGGTCATGTCCTAGGCCGTCACATTCATTCAGCACTCACTAACTCACCCAGAGCAACTTTCAGTCCTACAGTCATGGTAAGTGCCCTATACAGGTGTACCATTTTTAATCTTTCATGCTGTATTTTTATTGTACCTTTTCTATATTTAGATATACAAATGCTTACCAATGTATGACAGTGTTCAGTACAGTAATATGCCAGACGGGTTTGTAGCCTAGGAGCAATAGGCTATACCACATAACCTACATGTGTAGTAGGCTCTACCATATAGTCTGATGTTCATTCAATGACAAAATCATCTAACAACTAATTTCTCAAAACATATCTCCATTGTTAAGTTTTGCATAATTTGTTTATCAATACATACTTGTGCTTTCATTTCAGTAGGTAAGATTTCTAACAGCAGTGTTGTTGATTTGAGGAGAATATGAATTTTATATTTCAATAGCTTTTCCCAAAACAATTGTAGCAATTCACACCCCCCTTCGTAATGTGTGAAAGGGTTTGTTTACTCATTCTAAGGCCAGCAATAAAAATTATTATTTTTTCCAAACTATTAGAAAATAACTCTAGGCCGGGCGCAGTGGCTCATGCCTGTAATCCCAGCACTTTGGGAGGCTGAGGCAGGTGGATCACTTGAGTTCAGGAGTCGTGATCACGCCACTGCACTCCAACCTGGGTGACAGAGCAAGACCCTGTCTCAAAACAAACAAAACAAAGCAAAACAAAAACTCTAATTTGTATTTCTTTTATTTAAAAAGTTAAACATTTTTCATACATTTATTGGCCATCTGCATTCCATCCAATGTATCTTGCCAAATCTTATGCTTTGCCTGTTGTTTCTATGTTTCTTAATGCTTTATTAAGTCTCATTGTATAAGTACATTACACTTTTGTTTATAATGCAGTATTGGAAATATTTTCTCAGTCTAAACTTGTATTTCTTACTTTATGTTGTGCATTTTTCAACACAGAAATTTATAATTTTGTTAGTGAAAACTATCCAACTCTTCTTAAATGGCTTATGGATTTTTCCTGTTTTTAAAGAAAAACTAAATATAATCAAAATTTTTCTTCTATTATTTTATATTCTGATTTTGACATTTCAGTATTTATTCCACCTCACATGTATATTTTATATATACATGGTGTGAATTTGTGGTTTCATTTTATCTTATTCTACCTAGAAGCCAATTACACCAACATCGTTTTCCCTCTGAATTTAAATTCTACCTTTATCATAAATTAGGTTTCCATCTATACTTTAATCTATTTCTGGACTTTATTCTATTATAATAGCTGCTTTTTTCCAGACTTCATATCAAGCTGTTTTGCTAAAAGAATCTTAGAACCATGTATTAATAGCCAGTAGGACTAGTGCTCCAATATAAGTCTCTTTTCTAACATATTTTCTGGAATTCTAAAACATTTATTATTTCAAATGAACCGAAAATAATATTTTTGCTTAAAAAAATAAAATTCTGGTTGGAATTTTATTAAGTCAAATATTAATTTTGGAAGAACTGTTATTTTCATGATTTTACATCTTCTTGTGAATTTAATTTGTATTTATTCAAGTCCTGTCAATAAGTACATCTTTCTTCATGTGGGAGTTGCACCTTTTTTGTTAAATCTATTCCTGGCTATACAATTGTGAAAAGAACATTTTTCTACTTCTGTATCTAACTTGTTATTGCCATTATTTTTAAAAGCTGTTAACTTTCTTTGTCATTTCTTTCATTTTTTCAAATTCAAAGAAAATACCAAAACCAGCCAAAAGAAGGTAGGAGTAGAAATTTTAAAAGCTAAAAGCGAAATTAGTATTTTAAAAAACAATTAAATATGCGGTATGAAGGATAAATAACACCAATAAAACAAAAAAATACCAATAAAGTAGAATAAATTCTGCTGTGCCTAAAAGAAAAAAAAAACAAAAAAAGGGAAAATAAATTTACATATTTTTAGAAGAAAGAGAATAGCTCACACATGTACACCCAGCACTTTGGGAGTTCGAGGCGGGCAGATCACATGAGGTCATGAGTTCGAGACCAGCCCAGCCAACAGGGCAAAACCTCGTGTCTATAAAAATACAAAAATTAGCCAAGTGTGGTGGTGCATGCCTGTAATCCTAGCTACCTGGGAGGCTGAGGCAGGAGAATGGCTTGAACCCAGGAGGCAGAGGTTGCAGTAAGCCAAGTTCGTGCCACTGCACTCCAGCTTAGGTGACAGAGCAAGACTCCATCTCAAAAAAAATTTAAAAAAATAAAATAAGAAGAAAGAGAATGGAATAATACATATGGAAGAAGTTAAAATAATTTTTATTCTTATTAGTATTACAAAACAAAGTAACTAGAGAGAAAGCTATCCGACTTGCAATGACTAGGGATCTGGCCCTTCAGTTGCTCCGGCCATCCTGTAATTCACACGGTTTGTGCAACTGAAGATTGCCACAGCCCAAGATGAATCTCTCTAACCACCACAAGTTTCACTCCCAGATAAAACTGGGGAAGACGCATTGAGGGCAGGGAGGAAGAATATGGCTGAGCTGGTAGGAACTTTGGAGACAGTGCAGTTGACAAGCATATGAAGAACGGCAGAAGCTGGGGCAGCAATAGCTGTACACAGTCTCCCCACCTGGGGAGGCAGATCACCTCCAATGCTGCAATGATCTACCTCTCATGGTGATATCTTTTTCTTTTCTTTTTTAATTTTTTTTTTTCAGTAGAGATGTGGTTTCATCATGTTGCCCAGGCTGGTCTCGAATGCCTGAGCTCAGGCAATTCGCCTGCCTTGGCCTCCCAAAGTGTTAGGATTACAGGCGTGAGCCACTGCGCCTGGTCAATGATATCTTTTTCTAATTAGTTTCAAACCCAAATGTGTTGCCAATTTAAGAAAATGCAGTACCCCTTCTAATGGTTAAAAATGCAAGCTTTGAAGTCAGACTGGTGAGATGTCTATCTGTGTTACATCATTTACCAGCTGTTAAACTTTGGGCAAGGTTACTCCATGCCTCAGTTTCCTCTACTATAATGTGGGACTAATAATAACACCGACTTTATAGGTGTTACGGGCTAAATCGTGCACCCTCAAAATTCATATGTTGACGCCTGGCTTGGTCCATTCAGGCTGTTACAACAAACACCATAAACTGCGTAACTGATAAATAAGAGAAATGAATTTCTCACAGTTCAGAATGCTAGGATGGCCAAGGTCAAGGCACTGGCAGAGCCGGCGTTTGCTAAAGGCCCCCTTTATGGTTCGTAGATGGTACCTTCTGGCTGTGTCCTCATGTGATGGAAAAGGCAACTCTCTGGGGTCTCATTGTAAGGGCACTAATCCCATTCATAAGGATTCAGCCATCATGTACAAATCACCTCCCAAAGGCCCTTCCCCTCATGCCATCACATTGGCAATTAGGTTTTCAACAAATTACTTTTGGGAGAACACAAACATTCAGACCATAGCAAAGCCTTATCCCCCAGTACCTCAGCATGTGACTGTATTTGAAGATAAGGCCTTTACATAGGCAGTTAAGTTAAAATGAGGCTATTGGGATGCACCTAATCCAACCTGACTGGTGTCCTTATAAGAAGAGAAAATTGGACACAGAAAGAGACACTAGTGATGCAGATACACAGAAAGGGCCATGTGAGGATACAGTGAGGAGGCGGCCATCTGCAAGCCAAGGAGAGAGGCCTCAGGAGAAAACAAACCTGCCTGCCTTTGATCTCAGACTTCCAGTCTCCAGAACTGTGAAAAAATAAATGTTTGTGGTTAAAGCTACCCAGTCTGTGGTATTTTGTTATGGTGGCCTTAGCAAAGCAATACAATAGAATCACTGGGAAGATGAAATAATCTATTAAAGGACCTTAGAATAGTGGCTGGCATTTAATAAATGCTCCACAGAATTAGCAATTTGATAGGATGTTGGAATAGGGAGATGAGAAGGAGAGGAGACAGAGAAGAAAGAGAAGAAAAAGGAGAAGCTACTCAGCAAATGCCATTTGCCCTATGCTGTGCTGTGGCTTCTACAAAGGAGAAATCTCCAATGGCTACTGCCTGCCCCTTCGCATGATTCCCAGGGAACCCTCAAAAATGATCCAAACCCCAAGAGATGCCCGTGTTTTTGTAGTTAGGCCCTTTTAATGGGTCCTTGCTGGGTTCCCTCAACTATTCATTACACAAGTGTTTATTGAAAGTCTACTATGTGCCAGACCCTGGGATTGCAGTGAAAAACAGGGTAAGCTTAGACCTTACTTTCATGAAATCTAAAGTCTCCTAGATCATGGGTTCTGAATTCTGGGACAGCTGCAGCACTGTAAATTTTCACTGTTCTTCCTCAAGGTAATATAGGGATTCTCATAGTGCTCTGACTTAATGGCACAGAATCAGAACTAGGAACGCATGAAAGGTTGGCTCAATTCCATTTTCACCAGAAAATAAAAGGATTGTTTTATATAAGGTCTGCCTGTTCCTACACCATTACTCTCCAGTAGAACTTTCTGCAGTGGTGGCAATTTTCTCTCTCTGTACTGTCCCGGGAAATAACATTTGAGCACTTGAAATGTGGCTAGTGCAACTGAGGAACTGGATTTTTATTTATTCTTAATTTTAATTAATTTAAATTTAAATAGCTATATGTGGGTAGCATATTGAACAGCACAGATCAACCTCTGATGTTTTGATGTTTATGGGGCCTTGTTATAATCTGGAAACTGAATTTAGCACTTTTGTATGAACTTCCTGTATGTTGAGTTTATTCCCATCTCAAGAAGATAAGTTTGAGGAATATCAGAAGGAAATATGGAAGTAGTACTGTGGATACACTAGCACGAGCTGCTGTATATTTTTGGTATAAAAACTCAATGTTTTGCTAGGCTGGGTACAGTGGTTCATGCCTGTAATCCCAACACTTTGAGAGGCTGAGGCAGGAGGATCACTTGAACCGAGGAGTTCAAGACTAGCCTGGGCAACATCGCAAGACTCTGTCTGTACAAAAGAATTACAAAATTAGCTGGGCATGGTAGCATCCACCTGTAGTCCCAGCTACTCAGGAGGCCAAGGTGGGAGGATTGCTTGAGCCCAGAAGTTCAAGGCTGCAGTCAGCCATGATCACACTCCTGCACTCCAGCCTGGGTGACAGAGCTAGACCCTGTCTCAAAAAAAAAAAAACAAAAAAAAAACAAAAAAAAAAAACAAACTCACCGTCTTGCTGTAGGAAGAAACTTTAACTGGAAAAATTTGAAAAGGTTTTGACAAACCCAAAAAGTTATTTAAATAGCAAGAATTTACAAAAAGAACGCTACCTTTCATACAAAATATGAATGCATTCCTACTTCCTCTACCAGCCAAAAAGATAATCAGTCATGATTAGAAGCATTTACCAAAGTCATTTTGACTATATCTGCATTCACAATCTAGAGTAGCAGCAATTGGGCTGGAGCAACAGTGGTCATTTTCATTTGGTCAAAATATGCATAAGTCCTCAACCATAATTCATGCCCTCTATCTTGCTTAGGATGAAAGTTGAACTCAACATTTTGACTCAACTCAGAGCCAAAGGAAAATTTCTTAAAGATCTGTAAAAAGAAAACCCAAATAGGACATAACAAATAATTAGGCGTAATTGGAACCAGGATCTCGTGGAAAATGCCCACCCTGAAAGTTATAATGACTGGTTCTAGAATGCTACTTGTAAAATAAGGTTAGCGAGTCTATGAAGCTGGCTTGAGAGAGCCCCCAAAACCCCAGTACCACAGTGGTCTGCTCCAGAGACAGGCCGTGATGGAAATTCAAATGATGGCTCCACTCTGTAGCAAATGGAGTCACTGGGACGTACTATGTCACAGGAAAGCCAAGGTCCACCAAGTGCTATTAATCTGGCCTGTTAAGGAGTTCAGGATCTATAGGAGCCACTTCCTCAAATTGCTTCATTCTCCAGATACTCTGGGTTTCTTTATGCTATTTGAGCCATTGAAAACACTTTCACTGTTCATCAGATTAACAATCAAATCAAGATTCTTGAGAGTGAACGGGGTCTCGACGATTAATTCTGCCAGGGAAACAGTCATAAATGGGGCCATCCTGAGCAAACCCAAACATGTGGTCACCCCCTGGGAATACTGCTGTAAAGGTCCAGGTGTGCAGTCAAGATCTAACTCAGCACCTGCACGTCTCCGACTTTGCCTCCCTTTGGATGTGCCTTTGTACTGATGCATTTGCCACCCAGTGACATCTGCATTTCCATTGATGCAATAGCGTTTTTATACTTTCATTATTGAGATTAGATTGTCAGAGCTGAATTTTTAAGATTCATACCACACCGGCATTTGCTAATGCTGCACATGAAAGAAGGAGCACACCAGCCTCTCTGGCAACCAACAAGTTCCAGGTCTCGGAGGCAGTTTTCAAGTGCTAATTAGTTAGTGTCTATCAAGGACTCAGAAGTCACTGAGGACAACCCCTCAAGGCAAATATTTCCAAATCGGTGACATAGGGGCAGAGGTGGTATTTTCTGACTCACTCCTTGGAATTCTCCCAGCAATGATGCTAATGTTTATATAGGGCTACAGGAACTCAGTTGGGAAGGTACGAGGAAAAAATCCCACAAAGTGGATAAGACTTAAAGTACCTAAATTATTATAGAAGTTTGCTCTTGTTTATTTCCATGGTGTGCATATGAATCATGAAATCAGTGGCATTTTTCCAAATCCTGCACACCAGACCACTGTTCCAGAAACCACAGCTTGTGTGTGTGGGGGGGGGTGGGGTTGTGAGAGCAGCAGCAGCAGCTAAGGGGATTCTGAAACTTATCTTTGATTAATTTCTCTGCAAATGAATACTTTGGTACACTTCCATATTGCCAACATCTATATTACAAGGGGCTCAGTTCAAACTGATCTAACTTCTAGATAAGTAAAGAGCCAAAGTTATTTTCTATAATAATGAAGATGAACTTTAAAACCACCATTCTTCCTGCCTCCCACTGATATATCCCTGGCAGAAGAACATTAGGAGTTTTTCTGGTTAAAGCCTTCACAGCAGGAGCGGCATGTTGGGAACCTAGAAAGGATACACAGAGAGTAAAAACAGAAAAACACACACACATGCACAATGTTTATAGTAGGAAAAACTGAAGAAGGCAAGAAAGGCTGATATGGATATCTAATGCAAAGCTATGTAACAATATAATTGCACTATGCAAATGATGATCTTTGAGCTAAGGTATTAAAAGCTAAACAAAAAATTATAGAAAACAGAGAAATAAACTTCATAAACAAGGGAATTGCATTTTGTTCATTTAATGGGCTCACGAGCTGATCTGGGGAGTGCTTTAGCCCTCTCATCATGCTATCGGTTCCTTGATTGCCTCAACATGATTTTATCCAGAATGTTGACATTTGCTCTATTTGTTGTAAACTGCTCCCCTCTTCCAATCAGTCTGCTGCCCCTATCTTTTATATATAGAAATGTCTAGCAGCAACCGTAAATATATATTTTCTCATTAGTATCAATATAATTCTTTGATTAGAAGTCTCTCTGGATTTTTTGTAAGAGGAAGAA
The DNA here is from genome assembly GCF_000001405.40 of Homo sapiens. Taxonomy (NCBI): domain Eukaryota; kingdom Metazoa; phylum Chordata; class Mammalia; order Primates; family Hominidae; genus Homo; species Homo sapiens. Next base: position 165,439,656 of record NC_000004.12, on the reverse strand, counting down.
ATGTAACATGAACCTCCTGTCACACTGAGAACTGAGATATAAGTTTGAAAGTAAAGTAAATCTTCAAAGTGACATGAGTCACATTAAAAAAAAAAAAGCTTCAGCCGACTTCTGCCACAACACATTGTTCCTTTTATGTGGAGAAATTGGCAATAGAGAACACAGATGGCTCTTCCATGAATAATTTATTTCTAACAATTTAACTAGGAAATGAATTTCTGTTGACTTATAAATCAGAATGACCAACAATAAAGACACAGTCTACTCTCCTTTCACAGTTAATTCTATTCCCCCTCCCCACCATCTTCTTCTACCTTATCCATTTCTCTTTCACGTGATCTTTTTGCTGCCTTACTAAAATTTTAAAGTTGGCTCAACCCAAGGCCACCTTTTGGGAATTATTAGACAACTGCTTTTTACGTTGTTATTCTTGTTTTGCTATTGTTCTTGTTAACATTGGTTTGGTTGGTTGGTTGGTCGGTTTTTCAAACATGATGCTAGATTATTTATCCAAAAGCATCTTCAATGAACAAGGCAAATGAAGTGTTTCTCATTATTCCCTTTTTTCTAAGTCAGAATTATAAGAGACAGAATCTCTGAAGGTTTAAGCTTCTTCCTGACTGAAAATCAGACACCTTTGGAAACACTTACTCTTTTAAAACACCAGGACAGATATGAAGCTTTGCACCAAATCTGCATTTCTACTGGCCTGCCCAATATTAAAGGGGCCAGCCTTAGAACTAGAGGTGAACTATGCATCTCTACCTCTGATTTTTGCCATCCGTGCACATCCTTTGCGCAAGCACTCTTGAAACTCTACTACAAACTCTACAGTCCATGAGTGCCAAGAAATCCAAAATCAGTCCATATAAAGTATTGCCCCAGTCAAAGAAGCTGGCATTAGCCTTTACAATCCTTACTACCCACTAGCCTGGAAGTCACGATGAACTCTTCCACTGCATTAGATCTGTTTCATCTTTTTAAAACCATGTTAATTTTAGTGACTTTGTAACACTCATCGTGTTTGAAATGACCCATTCAAATTATCCATTTGTCTTTCCCACTAAACTGTAGGACCCAGGAGCAAGGGTTATGATCGCTTTGTTCATAGTTAGAATCTCAGCACAGTGACAATCATATAGGAGATTCTCAATGAATACATGTTGATAAAATACACCAATGGAGGGGGAAATTGTGCCTCAAATAAAGAAGGATAGATGACCAATTGTTTCCCCTACTCTTTCCTCAAAGGCTTTTTTGTACTACCAAATATACCTGTCACTTTCTCTAGACCAAAATGGCCTTCCTAACCTGAGGACTCATATCCAGGAAAGCCCCGTGCTGCAAAACAACTCCCTCACATAACTCCATTTATCAAACTTCGCCAATATTGCTCATACTCATTCCCTTCTGAACATTCTCCCATCCACTACCCTCATCATCTCCCACTGGGTCTGTTAAAATAGTCTCCTAAACTGTCTGTCCTCCCACCTCCAGAACTGATCTTGCCTCCTCCACACAATCGCCAGAGTGATTTTTCTAAAATATTCATCCACAGATATCCTTCCCCTAAGTAAGCGCCTTCAAGATCTCCTTAATTCTCACAGGATAAAGTCTAAATTCATTCATATCTGAACTTAATCTAAACACTAGGCAACTTATGTTGAGTGCCAACATCTAGTCTCTTCCACCCCTCCAGACACTTTCTGATTCACACCTCATCCTGAAGCAATGTTAAATTATCAGCAGCTCGTCACACACCATGCTCTGTCTCCTCTCCATATGTGCGTTCATTCTGTTCCTTCTGCCTAGATGCCTCCCCTTCTACATCCAGAAACTCTTACTCATACTTCAAGATTCAGCTCAGATGTTAGCTCCTCTAGAACACCTTCCCTGAATTCTCTCCACACCCCACACTCTGCTCCCAGATTGCTCCCAGATTGGCTGACTGTCTTTCCTCCCATCATACCCAATGCATGAGGATATCATAGCAAATATTATATTGTCCTGAATTTGCATATTTATATGTCCTCATTTCATTATATCTAATTGAGGTCATTAGATATAATGATCTCAAGAGCCACAACTGTGCCTTCCCTCTTCATCTTTATCTCTTCAGGATCTGGCAGACTGCCTGAGCTGCTGTTTAATAAGTGTTTGACCCAAAGGGTTTCACTTTAATCCCCTTTCAACTTCCATTCCCTTTGACAACAAGAAACTCAGTTGCAGATACAGGATCTGGGACAATGACAGAACAGAGCTGATTTAATACAGGATGCAGGCTCTGAAAAAATATGCTGAAAATATTACTTAAATGGTGTCCAGAGGGGACATGTGAAGCTTTTGCTGGACCAGAATTAATTTCTCCTGCGTTGAGGCACGGCATCATGATTTTCTTCTTCACTCTCAGTCCATCTGACCCAGGGCTTAGAATCACTATTCTTCATCTCTGACCTCAGCAACTGTTTCAGATATGAGCATGTGACCCCAGCCAGACCAATAACACTCAATTAAGGACTTTTGTGGGAATTTATTCTTCTGAGAGAAGGACCTGTCTGAGAAAGGAGACAACATAGAGAACAGCAGTCCTCATGACTAGTTCCCCAGGATCTCACTTTCACACTTCCCTATGAAGAAGGATATATAAGCACCTAGACTTCACTGGGTAATCCTCCAAGTCTCCTGTGCTTATGCACATTAAATAAATTTTGCATGCCTTTTTTTCTTAGTAATCTGCCTTTTGTTCAGTGGTTTTCGGTAAACCTTTAGAGGGCAAAGTAGAAGCTTTTCCTCTTCGACTCTACAAAAGCTTTTTCCTTAAAGAAAAGATTTATTTTAAAACTATTTTTCTTCAGTTAGGCACATTGGCACATGCCTGCAGTCTCAGCTACACAGGAGGCTGGGGCAGGAGGATCACTTGAGCCCAGGAGTTTAAGACAAACCTGGGCAATATAGCAAGAGCCCATCTCTAAATAATTAAAAAGATTTTTCTGTCTAAGATGATCCAGAAATGATTCTTCCAAAAAGTTTTTGGAATAGTCTAGATCATGGTTCAGCAAACTGCAGTGTATGGGCTGGCCACCTGTTTTTTGTAAATAAAGTTTTATTGGAACACAGCCATACAATAGTATGAGTTTTTAATATTTTTTCTAGTTGTAAAGATCAGGAAACAATCATAACTTTCCCCATTGATTACATAGATCATGCTGTATGGTTTCTATGCAATGCACATTTTTACTATCCCACACTGTCATGCCTATATATTTAGGTACCATCAGAATAAATGCAGCATCTAAAGCCATGAGATTATATGAGATCACCTAGAAAAATGTTTTTCCAACTGCAAGTCATGACTCACTAAGTGGGTAGTAAAATCAATTTAGTGGGTATAAAGAGGATTTTTTAATGATATAGAAAAGAGAACTTGGATTCTGTGCACACGTGTGTGTGTGTGTGTGTGTGTGTATGTGTGCTGGGAAATGCTGCAAAATATATTTTTTATATGTAGGGATCAAAATAAGTTTGAAAGTCATAAACCTAATAAATGTATGCAAAGAAGAGAGGAAGGTCAAGAACAGAGTGCTAGGGTTTCTAAATATTTGAGTTTGGGAAGTTGAGGAGAAACTATCAAAGATGGCAAAGAAGAATCAGCCCAGAGGTAGGAAGAGAACCAAGAAACCAAGCCCTGGCAACCAGGTTAAAAAGTGTTCTATGAAGGAAAGCATGGTCCGTAGGGTCAACTGTGTGTCCAATTACTACTGTATTTAGCCAGAAGGTGGCCACTGGTGATCTAAACAGTGATGAAGATTATAGTCTTTAATGGAGTGATAGGGTAAAGCCTTCTTGGAACTGATTCACAACAGGAAGTGAAGAATCAAAGATTTTGCTATAAAATGGCATGGATTGATATTTAAAATGTACAAGAAACATAAAGTAAATAAATGTCAGCACACGTATTATTATATACGATAAACAAAACATGTTCAAATTTATGTGTAATGTTATTTTTTACTTCCCTTCTACATCTTTTATGGAATCACAGAACTACAAAAGCACATAAGAGGTCATAGTCCTCATATCCTGGCTAAGAATTATACTAACTTATTACACAGAAAAAATTCTATTTTACTTTCCAAAACTTTCAGGAATTAATATTTTACATCATATTTATAATTATTTTCCTATGATATAATAACCCATAACATGTTCCACTAATAAATTGGTTACATATCTGCTCTTATAAACACAAACTCAAGCTTTCATCTCTTCTTCTTTTGCTTCTCTGAATTCTTTTCCAAAGTCAGTTTTTCTGTAGCCTGAAAGGCATTAGCATTTCAACTTTCTCAGAAAGCCATTATATGCAAAGTCATGGTCCTTTATCATTTCATTGAGGCTGTATAACTTATTTGAGACTCTTGCTTTTCCATCTTTTTTCCTATAACTTTGGCAAACTAGCTTCAAAGATGTTATCTTAGTCCATTTGTGTTGCTATAAAGGAATACTTGAGGCTGGGTAATTCATAAAGACAAGAGGTTTATTCAGCTCATGGTTTTGCAGGCTGCACAAGAAGCATGCCACCAGCATCTGCTTCTGGTGAGGGCTTCAGGCTGCTTCCACTCATGGCAGAAGGTGAGGGGAGCCAGCATGTGCAGAGATCATATGGTGAGAGAGAAAGCCAGAGCAAAAGAAGGGAGGTGCCAGGCTTTTTTTTAACAACAGGTTTTGAGGGGACTAAGAGCAAAACTCACTCATTACAGTAAGGATGGCACTAAGACATTCACCAGGGATCTGCCCCCATGACATAAACACCTCCCATTAGGCCCCATCTCCAACACTAAGGGTCAAATTTCAACATGAGATTTGGAGGGGTCAAACAAACCAAGCTATGGCAGATGTTGTGTTATCACGCACTCAACTACCAGGTATTGTGGTAGCTCCTCTTCCTGCATATACCCTTCACACTGGCAGCTTCCCTCTTTCTTACTTCCAGAACCTCATATCCATCAAAAGCTTATTAAATACAGTGCTCAATGTGCCAGGTGCCATATTAGTGCTCATCGTTCCACCGAGTTCTTTAGGTGCTGAAAGTAAGATGCCAAAAGAAAAAGAGTATATAATATTTAGTATTACATTAAGGCACATGAAATGACCTTTTCTGTAGGTCAAGAGTAGTCAGATATAGGTAGTTTCATGTGGTTCAACCTAAAAGCTTTTCTTGCAAAATCTGTGTGCTCTCTATAGCTGATAGGTGAACACTATAACATCGCTATTTCACCTTGGCTTGCCAACTTGCACCCATTTCTCCAATATCAATGTTCACATTATAGATGAAAATTATAGATTTAAATGTATTTTTTTTAGCAAATATTTGCTAAGTGCCCACTATACAAAGCACTAGACAAAATGTTGAGAATTCGGAGTTGAAAACTCCCACATGTTCCCTGACCCTGGGAGTTGACAGTTTAGCAAGGAGCTAAATGCTAGACAGTCACACAAAGATTTTTATTTAATTTTAAAAAGTTGAGATAAATGAAAAAAAAGTATGGATCTAGTAGAAAAAAACTAAATCAGTCTGGAAAGACAAGGAAGGTTTCCCTGAGAAGGTAACATTTAAGCTAAAGACAGAAGGTTGAGCAGGGGTTAGGAAAGTCAAGATTTCCAGGGAACCGTAAAACAGCTCGTGCAAAGGTCCTAGCTCAGAAAGGAGCTTTCAAGGATCTGAACGAAAGAAAGCCAAAGAACAGGTACAAAATGAGCAAGAAGGAAGGGGCTCAAAATAAGCAAGGTTAAGAAGCAAGACATTGTGAATGCATGTCCTTGAGCAGCAGCAAGTCAATTAAATAACATTAGGCAGGGGCCTGACAGGATATCCTCTGCATTTAAGAAGGATCCCTAGCTTCAGTGTAGACCAAGGACTCTCAGCAAACAGTGATGAGAACACCAAATCCTGCTGCGGTCTGTTGTGTAAATAAGGTTTTACTTGCATGCCGCCACGCCTGTTTCTTTATGCACTGGCTATGGCTGCTTTCTCCTATAAATGGCAGCATTGAGTAGTTGACACAGACAGAGACCGTATGGCCGGCAGGGCTGAAAATATTTATTTTCTGGCCCTTTGTAGAAAAAGTTTGCCCACACCTGGTGCGGAGAATGAATTGGAGGGGCTGAGAGGATAATAAGGAAAAGAAGTCAGAGGATATTGTGGTAGTCTGTTCAGTAATCACTATAGGAGGCCATTATTTTGGACTAAGTTCCTGCCTTGAGCTCCGAGAGACCAGGCTAAAAATCAAAATGGAGTCACTTGTTCTGAGTTCCATGTCACCAAACTAAAACTAAGTCATCTGACCTTCCGAGAAATCAGGAGAGAGATAAAAGCCAATTTTCCAAACAGGCCAGTAAGTATGAAAATTAAGTTCCTCACTTTTAGTCCTTAACCAATCCATTACCTTTCTATTCCTCTGTCTCCCTGTCTCTGCCTAACAAGGAAAGTAACTTTGAAATAACCAATCCACTTTTGTTCTTTCTTCAGCCCTTTTTCTGTCTCTAGAGCCAACCTCCTCTGCTAGAGTCATTGAAACACTTATTCTATTTTATGGGATGAAGTGTCACCTGATTCTAGAATTGCAATAAAGCCAATGGAGAGCTTTAAACTAAATTTGTTGTAATTTTGTCTTTGGACAAATCCAGGCAAAAGAGGCTGTTGGCTTGGACTAGGTTGGCGGTGGAGGTCGTGGAAAGCAGTGAACAGATTCAAGAACAACGAAGACGTGGAATTGACAGTGCTTGGTGAGGGCTGGAGGAAGGGATAAGGAGGCACCTGGAATAACTCCCAGGTCTCTGGTAGGAGCAGCTGGGGGCGGGTTGCGCTGTTTAGGCCACATGGAAACAAAGATGAACAGAGAGAGTGGGGGCAGATCAGGAATGGGCCCTGAACTTTGAGATGAATATGAATAATCCGTCTGAAACATATAAATTACTGAGGGAAAAGGAGGATACTCACATTCTTACGCTACTCTCTGAAATTGTTGTGACTATTGAAAAGTTTTATTAAAAATTATTTAATTCACCAGGCATGGTGGCTCATGTCTATAATCCCAGCACTTTGGGAGGCCAAGGCAGGAGAATTGCTTGAGCCCAGGAGTTCGAAACCAGCCTGGGCAATAGTGAAACGCCATCTCTACAAAAAAATTAAAAAACTTAGCCAGGCATGGTGGCACACACCTGTAGTCCCAGCTAATGGGGAGGCTGAGGTGGGAGGATTATTTGAGCCTGGGAGGTGGAGGCTACGGTGAGCTGAGATTGTGCCACTGCACTCCAGCCTGGGCAACAGAGCAAGACCCTGTCTCACACACACACACAAAAATGATTTTAAAATCCTGCAATTCTTTTCAGCTCTTTGTGCAGTGTCTTCTTGCCTAGCACATCCGTCATCAGTGCCCGGCACAATGGCAAGAATGTAGCTATGCTCACAAAACATGGTATGAAGAGAGACAAGGGCAAATAGGTCTTGCTTCACCCATCAGCTTTTCATTTTCTGAGTACTTGAAATATGTTTTGGGAGTGTCTTTGTCTTCCCCGACCTTCTTTTTCTCTGGCATCATACTGATAGTCTTAATATTGCTTGTCTTACATGGATTGTTTCATTTGGTGGTGGGTTTTTTTTTTAATTGGGGTGTAGGGTGGGGTAAGAGGAAAAGAAAGAGATGTTTTTGTTTTCCCATCTACTACACTCATCTCTCTTGTCTTGTTACCTATGTTCTCTATTAACACACATAGGAATGTCTGCTTTATTCTGTAAAGCCTTTAATATTCTTCCTTCCCTTCAGATCTTTTCTCATACATTTAGCTATTTTTATTACTCTGTGGCTCCTTATCACACTTTACCATATTTTACTGTCTTCATACTTCAACAAAAATCAAATCAGCTTTCAGATATCTCTGCCAAAAAGTTCCAAAAGTTCTTCAGTACTTAATTTCAATTACCATGATTATATAATATATACAGAAAAAACCAGAATCTGTCCACTGGGGATGTTCCAAACTCATCAGGAAGCAGCAAGTTGTGGTGGAAAATGCCTGGTCTTTTTCAGAAAATCTCCCCCTATTATTAACTATGTGTCCTTACTTAAGGGAGCTATTCACACCTGCTTCCTAGAGAGCTATATAAAGTGAGAGTCTATATGGAAACTACCTGGCCTAGTGCCCTAAACATAGTTTGTGCCCTAAACATAATTTCTGCCCTCTCTCCCTTTCTCCTTTCCTCTCATGTACAAAAGGACGTCAGTTCTGCCGGTCCTTTCGCCTTTTTCGCAAGATCAATTTTGTAGTACTAACACACCTAACCTATAGCTGGAGTGGGAGAAAGCAGATGTAAAAACAAATGCCAGGCTAACCCAGGTGGCATCACGTACGTGTGGACAGTGGAAAACGGAGGTATCACATTAAGACAGGAAGCCTTACCAGCACAGGCAGTGATAGGTGTGAAGGTAACTCAAACCACACAGCTCCTGAACCTTAGTAAAATGCAGCTTATAGGTCAGTATCAGGAGATCTATGATAAGAAAGGCAAAAGGCAGAGGACACATTGGAAAGTCTCTAGGAATGGGGCTCAGGCTGCTGAAGAACTGTCTTAGGTATGATCACAAAGTCTCCATCCAGGTGAGACGAGTTTATTGGAAAAGACAAGAGCAGAAATCTGGTCATGAGCAACCACCGAGGTCAGAGCTTCTCCTGGAAAGGTAAGGTCAGTAATACTGAGGTGGTGGCAGAGGCCTTGTCCAGAGTCCCATTCCATCATTCATTTCCTCTGGACTGTGCCAGCATTCTTCAACCTTGGTGTCTAAATTCAAACATTTAACTTAAATCATTGTCTCATTTTTTTTCTTTTCCTGAAGTACAGCTTTGTCACCCTAAATTTCACTCTCTTTTAGTAGGTCTGAAATGTATATCCTTAAATAATTTTCTTTTTGCATTTCTTTTATGAGGCATATATTAAGTATAATAAAAATTACTTTCATATTGATTTATATTTTTTCAAATTCCAACATGAAGTGCAAACTATATGTTACCACCACACAATTTTAACAATCAATTATATTATAAATTTTTGAAAGTCCTTATTATCTTCTTTTTGGGATTCATGTCAGATATGGTAAAACTCAAATTTTAATTAATAAAACTTTTCATCTATTACCAATAAAATGTCAGTGAAATGGGATCTTGCAGAATATATGTATAAACATCATTCTGAAATCCCACACAAGCACTTACATTTGGAAACTCAACTCAAAAAATTTTATGTTATTTTGTCATATGTTGTTTTGCACTACTTTGAAAATTTTTTGTGCAAATTTCCCAAAGTGACATTTTTCTCAGAGAACAAGAAGGTCCTGTAGTATGTATGACTAAGATTACTTCTTCCAAAAATTGAGTCAACATATGCAATCAATTTGGCTACGTATGGTTACTTACAAGCAATATTTTTTAAAAAATGAAAACTGCCTCTAGGCTATATGATTTCTGCAGCTACTAAAAACTGATTTTCAAAAAGACTACAATCAATTCGTTTTAAAGAGCACAATAATAATAAGGGCATTATTTTTATTTTTATTTTTTGATATTTCCATTCAGCTTTCAAATAATCAGAAATTCTCTAGGTACATGAAAATTACCTGCAGAATTTCTCCCAACATGATTAGGGCTGGCCTCATGCCAAATGAGGTTATGATTTCCTTAGGGATTAGGTATTAAGAATAAGATGTTTCTTACCTGTTAGTCATCTATACAGCATTTTTAAAAACCCAAAAAGCACAAGCACAGCATAAACAATGACATAATTTCTTATAATCAGTCTTGGTTGCTTATTATTGTTTTTACATTATGTGTATGTGTATTTCATCTTTCCTATAAACTTGAAGTGTTTGTAACATGACAGAAGCTTAGTAACTTTTTTTTTTTTTAAACAGGGTCTCACTCTGTCACCCAAGCTGGAGTGCAGAGGCACGATCTCGATTCATTGCATCCTCCACTTCCTGGGCTCAAGCAATTCTCCCACTTCAGCCTCTGGAGTCGCTGGGACTACAGGTGCCCACCACCATGCCTGCCCAATTCTTGTATTTTTGTAGAGACAGGGTTTCACCATGTTGCCCAGGCTGGTCTCAAACTCCTGGGCTCAAGCAATCTACTCGTGTTGGCCTCCCAAAGTGCTGGGATTACAGGTGTGAGCCACCGCACCCAGCAATAATTTTTAAAGTATGTTTAAAAAAGCAAAGAATTTTTCCAATAAGTGGGAATGTTTTTGTATAAACTTGGATTTCCAAAATTATTAAAAATAGGAGACACAGAAAATTGTTAACCTAATTGCCCCCAAAGAATCATAACTCCGAGTCCACATGGCCTGGCTGACAACTAGTACCAACAGTCAGACGTAAGTGAAGCTCCTGCTTGAACCAGGCAGCTTCTAAGTGAATTCAGAAAAGACTTGCTGAAGAACTTTCCAGCTGAGCCCAACCCAAATTGCTGACCAACAGAGTTATGAAAAAAATCAAATGATGATTGTTATTAAGCCACTGAGTTGCAGGGGTGGTTAAATATGTGGCAATAGATAAGTAACACAGGACAGGAGAGTGACACAATTGATTAACAGAAAGAGTAAAGATTAGTGTGGTAGGCTGAAAAAATGGCCTCTCAACAGATATCCATGCCCTAATCCCTGAAACCTGTGAATGTTACCTTATATGGCAGAAACAATAGAATCTTTGCAGATGTGATTAAATGAATGATCTTGCAATAGGGAAGTTATTCTGGATTACCTGGGTGAGCTCTAAATGCAATCACACCTATCCTTGTAAGAGGGAGATTACAAGCACAGAAAAAGAGAATACAATGTGTCCACAAAGGCAGAAATTGGAGTGATGTAGCCACAAGTCAAGGAATGCTGGCACCCACCAGGAGCTGGAAAAGGAAAGGAAGGAATTCTCCCTTAGAGACTCTGATGGAACAGCAGCCCTGACAACTCCTTTATTTCAGTCCAGTGATACTAATTTCAAACTTCCGGTCTCTAGAATTGCAAAGGATAAATTTCCGTTGTTTTAAACAACCAAATTTGTGGTAATTTGTTACAGAATCCACAGGAAACTAATACCATGGGTAATACATGTATATGGGAGACCAAGTTGTCTTTATGCTGTGATGTCAAAGGGAAAATTATCTCCCATTACAGTAAGTCTTTTTTCTTTGAGCAACAATTCAATTATTTGGTTGCTTCTATATTGGAGTACTTAAACCTTGACAAGGAGTTTAAGAAAATACAGGACAGCCAGGCACAATGGCTCATGCCTATAATCCCAACACTTTGGGATGCTGAGGATTGCTTGAGCCCAGGAGTTTGAGATGAGTCAACAAAGTGAGACCCCTACAAAAAATGAAAAAAGTTTAAAAATTAACATTTAAAAAATTAAAATTAGTCAGGCATAGCAGCATGTGTCTATATAGTCCCAGCTACTCAGGAGGCTAAGGCAGGAGGATGTCTTGAGCCTAGAAGTTTGAGGCTGCAGTGAGCTATGCTCTCACAACTCCACTGCAGACTGGGTGACAGAGCAAAAGCTTGTCTATAAAAAAGAAATAAAAGAGGAAAGAAAGAGAGAGAGAGAGAGATGAAAATACAGCATAAAAATGCATAATCTGAAATAGAACTTAAAGATAGTGTCCATTTCACTCATAAGTAATAAACAACATTATTTATACATTACAGAATGCAATACAAATTCACATTTTTTTCAAGAAGAAATTACATCTAAATTAAATATCAAATGTGCAACGTATGGGTGCTTTGGACTACAGCCTGAGATTCACAGAGATTCTAAATCACCCTTCCCTATTGCTAGAGGAGATCCAATGGAAAATATTGAGAAGTATTATATCCACTTTTGTTTTGTGTGAGTGATACAATGGAATACTTCCGTCAGAGCCTTGGGGGATAAACCATCATAGACAGGGAGTTCTGTACTTGCTATGGAAGACAATCTCCTTTAGAGGATCTAATATTCAGGAAAAAAATGCAAAATATGTGTAGGTTCTTACCCAATGCCCATATTAATTTTCTTTTTAATTCAGAAATTATACCCTATAAAGTGATTTAATAAATTATGCCATGTCCATAAAATGGAATATTATACAACCATTGATATTACCTACAAATACCTATAGAAAATGGTTGAGAAAATGTTTATAGAAAATGGTTCAGGAAATGTTTATGACAAAATGTTTAAAAAAAGGTTGGACAAAATTATAATTTATACAAAGACATATGCACAGGAAAAAAAAACAAAAAGGTAATTGCTAAAGTGAGAGAAGAGAAAGGAAGAAACTGATCAGGCAGCCAGTTAGGATGGGTTCTCAGTTGAATTCTTTCAATCAAAAGAACAGCCTGAGAAATCAAGCTGCAGGCACAGATAATTTTGCACAAGGGGCTTGCCTAAGACATGCCTGCAGCCACACATATAAGAAAGGTTACACAGCTGACTTCCCAGATATGCCCACAATGGAAAATTCCGTCCTCTAACACATGCACAGTAAAGGGAACAAAGCAATATGGAGTAACTCAAGCTAAGGGCCTGCATGTGCACTAGTATGATGGGGTGGAGCCACCAGAAATTTGCACCTTATGCAAATGAGACTCCCAGCCCTCACTGGTTTCCTGTAAAAGCCTTTGCATTCAACTATAAAAACAGCAACTCTCTTTCAGGCCCGCTCTCTGCCTCGAAGAGCTTTCTTCTTTCACTTACTAAACTTTTGCTCCAACCTCACCCTTTGTGTCCATGCTCCTTAATTTTCTTGGTTGTGAGACAAAAAACTCTGGCTGATACCTCACGAGAGACTGCTACATTGTAGTGTATTGGTGAGATTGTAACAAAGGGTTAACCGTGTCAAATTATTTGTACTTTTCTGAATTTTCTCAAACCGGTGAGTGTGCATGTGTATTTCTTTAATCCAGAAATAGCCTACTTCAAACAGACACAAAAGACATTTGCCTTTTCCTACTTCTAAAATAATTGGAGGCAGCCTACACAATTTTACATTACATAAAATAGGCCACTGAAAGTAAAGTCAATGCCAAAAGAGGTGCAAAATGAACTTTAATGTGCATATGAATCACCTGGGGACCTTGTTAACAGCAGAGTCTGATGTGATACTGCTCCTGGCAAACAAGTGGGGCACCACACTTTAAGTATTAAATAGCAAGGAAAGAAACAAGAAGTAGATGTCACACAGCAACTGAGATGATTTAATCACCATAGCTGGAGGCTGGACTTAACATTTTTCCTGTTTAAACAGAATAAATCATTATATATAACAAAGGCTAACCTTAAACTATAATTCAGTAAAAATAATTGTTCCAATAATCTAACGTTCAATTTTACTTTTTAGAAATACAGAAATAAAGCTTGCTTCATATCCTTCTTGAAGGAACAGTATTTATAGATATGAAACCACTAAGAATAGAGCTTAAAATTCTAGAGTTGAAAGACATTCCCCTAGAGAATATTTTTCAGTGTGGGAAAATGATCCATTATTTTAATTTGGCTGAAGACTCTTGATCATAGCTTGTGAGAGCCCTGAAATCCAAAACAGAGAGAGCAATACAGAAAACTGTATTGCTGAAGTCTTTAAGTAAGCAATTCATTCAGGCACAATAGGTAGCATGTAAGCTACACAGGTATAACCATGGCATAATTGATATTTGGGACCAGATCATTCTTTGTTGTGAGAGGCTGCCTGGTGCACTGTAGGATATTTAGCAGCATCTATGGCCTCCACCAGATGTCAGGAGCACCCACCTCCTCCCTGCCTTTCCATCCCTACTCTCCCCAGAGTTGTGACAACCAAAAATGTCTCCAGACAAGCCAAATGTCCCCTAGGTAGCAAGATCTCACCCATTTGAGAACTACTTCTAAAACTTCTTCTAGGACTCTATTGGAATTAAGTGTTTTTTTTTTTTTGAGGAAATATTTGCTTTTAAACATTTGATTTTCATCAATCTTTGGATGATTTGACTTTATTGTCAATATCTAGTAAATTTGCCAAAATATTTTTTTTATTCCTTGCTCCTTTTATCCAACTAAAAACTGGGCAGGTAGAATTTTCTGTTTTCCTAAACAGGAAGGAGGCAAAGCTGGTTTCACCTTGTCGTCTAACTGTAAGCACATAAAGGAAATATTGGTCCAAAATATTGCTTGAGCAAAGTTCTATAAATTCATTAGACTCAAGAAATTAATTCAAGAAACTAGAAGATGTAGTGAAGAAGAAATAGTAATTTTTTTTAACAAGATAAAAATATTCTAGCTTAAAAGTCAGAGTAAAAACTTCTAGATACAAAAAACCAACAAATATTAAAATAATATTTACACTTTCATAATAATAAAGAGGTTTTAAGTCTATATTATCTTTATAGTAAGCAACAGTGGAATTAAAAAGAAGTTTCCGCCTGGCACAGTAGCTCACACTGGTAATCTCAGCACTTTGGGAGGTCAAGGCAGGCAGATCACTTGAGGTCAGGAGTTCCAGACCACCCTGACCAACATGATGACACCCCATCTCTACTAAAAATACAAAAATTAGCTGGGCATGGTGGCACACATCTGTAATCCCTCTGGGATTACTCTCTCCTGAGGCGGGAGAATCATTTGAACCAGGGAGGTGTAGGTTGCAGTGAGCCAAGATCGCATCACTGCATGCTAGCCTGGGCGACAAAGCTAGACTCTGTCTCAAAAAAAAAAAAAGTTTCTACTTTTTAAATCATTACAGAAACTCAAAGTAAAAAACATGGGCCGGGCGCGGTGGCTCACGCCTGTAATCCCAGAACTTTGGGAGGCCGAGGCAGGTGGATCACGAGGTCAGGAGATCGAGACCATCCTGGCTAACACGGTGAAACCCCGTCTCTACTAAAAATACAAAAAAATTAGCCGGGCGTGGTGGCGGGCGCCTGTAATCCCAGGTACTCGGGAGGCTGAGGCAGGAGAATGGCGTGAACCCAGGAGGTGGAGCTTGCAGTGAGCCGAGATGGTGCCACTGCACTCCAGCCTGGGCTACAGAGCGAGACTCCATCTCAAAAAAATAAATAAATACAAATACAAATAAATAAAAATTTAAAAACTGGACTTTATTGCAAAATACAGAATAGAAAGCAAACAGTAATAAAAAATAAAGATAAAAATAATAAAATCAAACATGATAATTATGGTAATCAATATAAGTCATTTATATTTTCCTATCAAAAGAAAAAAGCCTAAGACATTATGAGAAAATAACTAATTCTACAACGTCTGATAGATATACATAAAATGACACGGAAAGACTTAAAAAAAAAAACAGAGTATGTACATGCATATCAAACAAACCCCAAAATAAAAAACAAGTAAGGTAAGCTAATTATGCAAAATTGACTTTAATATTTTTTAAGCAGTATTTAGGTGAAAGGACCACTTCATAATTTGAAAAGGCAAAATATCTAGTGAGTAAATAACTAAAAAAAAATGCAGCAAGAAGTTATATATGGCAAAAACCTTTAGAAGTCTAAGTAGGCAATAATCAAACACAATTACAGAAGAAAGCAACCCACCTCCACCTGCTTACAACAGGTCAAGTGGACATAATAAGGACAGTAGGGATTTTTTTAAAAAATGATGAGTTCATGTCCTTTGTAGGGACATGGATGAAATTGGAAATCATCATTCTCAGTAAACTATCGCAAGAACAAAAAACCAAACACCGCATATTCTCACTCATAGGTGGGAATTGAACAATGAGAACATATGGACACAGGAAGGGGAACATCACACTCTGAGGACTGTTGTGGGGTGGGGGGAGGGGGGAGGGATAGCATTGGGAGATATACCTAATGCTAAATGACGAGTTAGTGGGTGCAGCGCACCAGCATGGCACATGTATACATATGTAACTAACCTGCACATTGTGCACATGTACCCTAAAACTTAAAGTATAATAATAAAAAATAAAATAAAATAAAATAAAATGAATCAACATATATTTATCTTGGTAATCTAGCAACAGGGAATTCACCTTCTGGCATATACATGAAATACAATAGCTAATTACATAATTTGTCATAGGGAAATTTTGATAAATTTTAGAAACAAAATTTGTAAATTTTATAAATTTATAAATAAGAAAGACTATAGATCACATTCTCTAATAACCATATGATGAAACTGGAAATTAATAAAACTTTGAAAAGAGGCATAAAACTTTTTTAAAAAATAAATGAGATCAAAGAAGAAAATTAAAAATAGTTTATTTATGAAATAGTGTGAAAGGACCCCAAAATCACTAAGCTAAAAGGAAAAGTCAACCTGGAAACTGCTTAGGGCAAACCTGCCTCCCATTCTATTCCTAAAAACGATAGCTACTAAGATAAAAAAGCTACATACCTCCCTCACAATTTGTCCACAGGGACATTTCTTGAGGACAAAGGACAAACAGAACTCAAAGTCATCCCTCTGCTCACTGAGATAAATGCATATTTGATTGCTTCCTTTGGAAAGACTTACCAGAAACTCAAAAGAATGTTTGTTTGTCTCTTATCTGGAACACCCCTCCCTTCTTCGAGTTGTCCCTCCATTCTGGACCAACCCAGTGTATATCTTTTTTTTTTTTTTTTTTTTTGAGACAGAGTTTCGTTCTGTCGCCCAGGCTGGAGGGCAGTGGCACCATCTCGGCTCACTGCAAGCTCCGCCTCCCGAGTTCACGCCATTCTCCTGCCTCAGCCTCCCGAGTAGCTGGGACTACAGGTGCCCGCCACCACACCCGGCTAATTTTTTGTGTTTTTAATAGAGACGGGGTTTCACCATATTGGCCAGGATGGTCTCTATCTCCTGACCTTGTGATCCACCCGCCTCGGCCTCCCAAAGTGTTGGGATTACAGGCCTGAGCCACCGCACCTGGCCCCAGTGTACATCTTACACATATTGATTGACGTCTCATTTCTTCCTAAAATGTATAAAACCAAGCTGTGCCCTGACCACCTTGTGCAAATGTCATCAGGACCTCCTAAGGCTGTGTCACAGGTACATCCTTAACCTTGGCAAAATAAACTTCCTAAATTGACTGAGACTTATCTCAGATACTCTGGTTTGCAATAGCAATAATGAGATTGCTAAATATAAAAAGCTTTAGGATTGTTCAAAGGGTTACTCAGAGATAATGCCATAACTTTAATTCTTTTCCTGCTTTCCTGCTTAAATATAAAAATAAAGGAACCAAACAATTTTTTATTGTAAAGAGAAGATTCCTTAAATAGATAAAAAATAATTAAAATATATTTAAAAAATAATAAATGAGATGAAAGAACAACGATGAATTGAGTAAGTAATTTCCTAAGCTCTTTATTTAAAGTGATAATGATAATGATGAAATAGACTAGCACTTCTTAAATTGGTGTTAAGAAAAAAATTAAAATCTATTCCAGAGAATTTTAATAACTGTGCCAAGAAAAAGCCTTCCTCTACACAAATAAGTTCTTTATTTTTAAGTTCTTTTAATCATTGAATAAACTTCAAAAGTTTTCCCTGTTATTTTAAAACTTCTCAGATCTTTTCTTATGTTAATATGTACTTTGAATCCTCAAGGAGAGTATTTAGTACAATTTCCCAAGCTTATTTGCCCTTTTTTTAGTATTCTGAGAACAGCTTGCAGAATGCTGACCTAGACTAACTTCTTACAAAACTATTTTAAAAAACAGAAATAATTAATTAGGTTAAAAACAATACAATGGAAACAACAGAGAAAAAGGCATTAAAATGGAATGCTATGCACCATTAACATTAGTTAAAAATGGAAGAACATCATATAAGAGCACAAGCTATCCAGATATGCCTTTCTGTTTATGTAATTTGTGTTCTAAATCATGATATGATATTAAGTAGCATTATAAGATGGATGAAAATGTGAGCACAATGTTTAGCCTAAATCAAACTTTAAGAATTCTATAACTACAACTCCAATTGTCCCTTCCTGGGTGAAAAGGTATACTATGTGAAGGTGGCAAGGAAACTTCAAGGTCCTTACTGTAAGAACAAGAAGGATGCAGGGCTGTGAGGTAAATATGCGGGATTTTTTGGACAACTTGGAGGAGAGCAAGCAATTCACCAATCTAGGAATGAGCCCTATCTCTGTCAGCAAGACACAGAAGACAAAAGTTACAAATGTCAAGTCCAGCAGGTGGAATAGAGGCAGAGGTTATTTGCTGACCAAACATAGAAGAGATACCAACTAAGATTTGGCCCCTTCTCTGCCCACAGGAGGACCAGGAGCTATGGCCAGGCTATGGCCAGGCACGTAGGTCCTAAAAGTATACCTTTCAATACATGTGTTGTTTTTAACCTATAGAGCACAGCAACGAAGACTCCAAATCCTACTACAGAAAATGAGAAATTTACTACTGCACACTCAGTAGGTTTGTGTCTTGCTATTGGATCAGCCTTAGGCAGTTAAAAGGAAGTAACTAATAATCAGGCAGAGCTTTAAGAAGTATAATTTTCCACTACAATGCAGGCCCAAATTGAGCTATTTCTCACGACATTAACAAATATGTAGATCATAATGAAATTATTTCCTGAAAATAAATTACAACTCTAATTCTAAGTGTGATAAAATTTATATAAAATAGAGAAGTACGGGCCAATTTCCTTTATGAATATACATATGAAAACCTAAGTAAAATGTCAGAAAGTAGAAATGTGTGTTTTAAAAATCTGCTCCAAAGTTTACTTTTAGTATCCTATAAATAAAAAATTATCTTAAATCAAAATGACATTTAATAAAAACTAATTATTCCAAATGCTTAAAGTACCTAATCTGCAACTTCAGAAGAATGGTTATTTGAATGCTTGACTATGCATATGAGCACAGAAATGCCATTCCCATTAAAATCAGGGAAAAGACATACTATGTAACAGTATACTAGAAATTCTCTACTATTCAATTATGCATAGGAATAAATTACGATATATAAACTTAAAAATATAAAGTACCAACACTGTATACAATTTATATAGTACACTCAGAAAAAAAACAGAAAAAATAAACTAGACATCACCTGTAAAATGGAGATGATAAAATAAAGAAATAAATAAACAAACTGGACAGCCATTAGAATTCAGAGTTCAGCAAAAAGGCCAAAAACAAAATATTTATATGAAAAATAAATAGTTGTTTTACTCCAACAATAACAAGTTAAAAATATAATGAAATAATTTATCCACAGTAGCAATAAAAATATTGCTAGCATAGGAATGACTACAATGAGAAGTATATCACCAATATTAACATAACTGCTATAATTTTCTGAGAAACAAAAGTTATAAAACATTCACTTTTTCTCAGATTTATACTTTGGTGCATTTTCACTCAGAATAAAAAAGAGAATGTTTATTAAGTGATAACATGATATGAAGACCTTCTAGAAGACAAACTGGTGGGAATAACAAAGCAAAGAAAATAATTAAAGAGATAAAATCTAAGAATAAGGGTGAGGATAGCACTAGCCCTTTGAGATATTAAGACAGTCACACATATAAGGCTACAAAAGTGAAAAAAAAATTAGGTGGGAAGCAATTATGTATGCATATATCACAGAAATAAGCTATTATATCTTTTATTTTCATATTTGAAAAAAAGGCATTCTAAATCTATGTTTAAAAATATTATCCAGTGAAGAAGTTTGGTTCAATTGGCTAGCAACTTGCAGAAAATAGAGTTTAGATTTTTAAATACCACCATACAATAAAGGCTGGGTTGATTGGTTGGTTGATTGATTTTTGAAATGTTTGATGTATTAGTTCCCAACTGGAGATTTGAATCAGAATCTCTTCTGGAGCTTTCTTCACATGCATGTTTGTGCCTGGGGACCACTCTTGGACAAGTGCAAAGGACAAGGAGTCAATGGACAATGGCTTATGTAATCTAATGTGCAAAACCCCTTCTGCCATTGAAAGACACGGAATTGAGTTCAAATCCTGACTCTGCTATTAGGTGTGTGACTTTAGGAAACTGAAACTTGGTTTTGATGATCTTACATTTCCCCAATTATAAAATGAGAATGAAAATAATAACTATTTTAAAACATTATTTTGAGGATTAAATAAAATGACTTACATAAAGTACCTAGATTTCATGCTTCTAATTCATTAAAAAATACACCGATACATGAGTTTGTTTCTCTGTCTGGAAAATCACATCTTTAAAAGTAAAACAAATTTTTATAATAAATTTAATTTTTTGCCTTCAGTTCTCAAGGGAAAAGGAGGAAGCATCACCACACACTCAGCTCCCAGCCTTTTACTTTACACGTCTAAACTTAAAATACAAAACTTAGACTTGAGCAACTGTGGTTAAAAATCTAAGAGAGAAACAATAAAAATAGAGAAGAATCCAACATATTCAGTTAGTATTTCTTCTAAAGAAGGAGAATGAAGCATCTAATATTTCTTATGCATGAAATCAAAGACATATTCAGGCACATAGCAGAAATGCTTTAATGACCTAGAAAAGAGTTGTAAAAACCCTGGCTTATTTGATTCCTCAAGTTGCACACCACCAGAAGACCACGGAGTAAGTAGTACTGAATTAAAATGTAAGCACAGAAAACTAGGTCCCAAACTATCAAAAAATGATTCCCAATTCTAAATGTTCAACCACATCTATCTTAAAATATTTATAATATTTTTTTCAAATTATCTCATACTATTCCAAATGATTAGTTTTCCCTGCTATATTTTCTCAACTTTCAAATTAAAATTCTTTGCTTTAAAGTTAGCATTGTGATTTGTCATTTTCTATATCCCATTCCAAAAAAACTCTCTAATGGAAAAAAATGTTTAGTACATTCCTTCAGTTAGAAAATTATCATTGCTACCTTAGCAATCTATTAACATTCTTGGGAGAATTCTTACTTACATCAAAAATGTGGAAAGAACAGATTTAATACAAGTTCAACTGCTTTTATGCAAAACAAAACACGTTTTATAATTTTGGTCACAATCTCTAAGTAAACAAAACTTCTATTCTAATGGAATAACGCATCTCTCATTTCTATTATCCTGACACAAATACACACTTACTTAATATTCTGTTTGTGTGCTATCACCCTTCCCTGTAATGCTAGCAAAGAGTTTTAATTTTCCCCAAAAACCTCAAACTACAGATGGATAATTTTATAGACTTTGTGATTTTCAGCACAATCACTCCTCACTGAACACTTCCTGTCACCATCTGCCTCTTTTAAGGCCAAATAGGACTTTTCTTGGCTTGTTTATTTTTCTCCACAATCTGTTGTCTGACATTTTTCTCACCACCTTCTGGCCTTCTGTATTTTTGGATAGCTGCTCCAATCTGCACTCTTCCCACTCTTGTGTCTCCTGATTTTTCCAATGGGTCTTGAATGTCAATCAGTGGGCTGTACTCATTCACACAGAATGTGTTTGCTTTACCACTGGTTGGTGATATTTGCGTTTTAAACAACACCCTTATTAAATTCCTGAGTCTATTATTCTGAATAACTACCTACATTGGTGTCATCTGTCTTAGAATGAAGGCTTAGAGGACAAAAAACTCTCAGTCCACCTGTCAGAATTCAATTCCAAGAGTACGACATGAATTTGATCTTGAGGTCCTTCATAAGTTGCACTCAGTGAAATGTGCCCACACAGAACAAAAACAAAAAAGTAAGTCAGACTTTGTTAATACTGAATAGAAAATGACTAATGGTTCTCAATTTTCCCATTCACTACAAATTATTTATTAAGTACCCACCATGTTCCAAGCACGATACCAGGGGCTGGAGATTTAATGTCTTTTTTTTTTTTTTAAGACAGACAAAATATTAAAGTTGTAATAAAAGGAACTGAACTTAAGGCCCTAGACACTTTTGGATGAGTAAAATGGTGAGGCTTCACATTTATACTGATATGATCTAGTTAACTTAGTGCTTTTTTCTACATCACTTTCTCTGGGCTAAAATCATAGTTCTAAATGAAATGCATTTTCTACCATCAAAAAAGACAAAGCTAATGATAAAAAAAAAAAATACTGCCAATAAATATTTGTGGAATGAATGAATGGCTGCCAGTTCTACTGTTTGTAGTTTTACAATCCTAAAGTCAATTAAACTCTCTGAGTCTATTTCTTCATCTGTAAAATAGAAGTATAATTCCTACTTCATTACATTGTTGAATGAAAAGAGATAATCTCTGTGAAGCCCAGGCTCTTAGAAACTGCTCTATAATGAATAGCTCTGTCTCCAAGTCAAAGGCAATTCAATAATACCAAGGGAATTATATTTAACTTAGTCCAAATATTTTCATATGGCTACACTTGACTTCTAGGAAATTTACTCATTTTTTTTAAAGTCTAAACTAAGGAGAATTGGACAGTTTCCCAATTTTTATAACCATCAACATCTTATCTGTTGCCATTCCTCCACCCCACTCACCCATTCCTTCTTCTGCCCCCTAATCCATTCCATATTATTTTCTAGTCTAAGAAAATGGCTCTTTCTTTCTGTCCCCTAAGCCCAGTGGTTTATTTGCATCTTTTGTAAATAAACCTGCCAGCTTTCTAAATAAAACCTAACTCCAGTCCTGCAAGATTACAGTGAAGAAAGCATCTCATAAGATAAAGAGAAGCTGGAGGTCAGAATTCTCTTTTTTACCAAATTCCATTCATTCATGGACTCATTGACACATTCGAAAATATTTTCTGAGTCCCCACTGTGTGCCAGGCACTGTCCAAGCTGATGAGAATACAGTGCTGAGAGAGACAGAGAAGGTCCCTGGTGCCACTGAGCTTATGGCCTAACAGGATAAACAACTGTAAAACAGGTTGATGAGGAGGCATATGTGGGGCCACCGCACTATCTAGGACAAACCTATATAACCCAGGCCGGGGGAATCAAGAAGGCGGAACCCCTACTGTGAAATCTAGTAATTGAGAAGAAGATAGCCAGGCAATGATGGGGAAGACCAGTCCAAGCAGAGGAAACGGCATGTGCAAAGCCTGGCATGAGCAGAGTTTGGGGCCTCTGGAGATCAAGCAAGTTATGTTGAAGAGCCTAAATTGTCTACCGCATATTCTCCCTTTGATGATTTCTACTGTGTTACCCTAAAGCCTCCAGCACCCTTTTGTGTAAGTGCCTCAGCCTGCCATGAGCTACACTACTGGAAATTTAAAACAATATTTTGTGTCTCCCCTAGGGGCCAGAGCATTAAGGGGAGCAGTGCCCCCACCACTAGCTAGCCCAATAGTGGCAGTGGTCACCGCCCAGAGCCCCCAGAGGGGCAGGTGAATGAATGAAGGGTAGGCAGAGTCAGGGCCAGAGGATCGGTGAAGACCCTCCCATGTGCCTTCTCCCTCCATCGCCAAGCTTAGAAGATCGTGTGTAACTTTATTAAGGAAGCCAGAAAGCTTCCCTACACCTTACTTCAGAGCAATGCTTTCGTCTCAGCTACTGTTACGGTTGAGTTGGCGCAGGAGTAGGGAAGTAGCTGAGCTGGCAGGGGAGTGCAGGCGGGAAGATTCCTTGTGTAGTCTGGGCCTTAAGTTTTAAGAAAAACGTTAACGCCATGCCTAGAACTGCAGAACCCAAGGCCAGCTTCTAATTCCCGGTTTTATATTTAGTGTTTACCTCTGGGGGATCTAGATCCTAAAGAAAACTAACTAAACAAACAAAAAAATCTGTGTCATTCTTGGACCGAAAACAAAAACTTACATTCTCCCATGTTACCTAAAAGGAAGACACAGGACTTCTATATATGTGACAAATATATATATATATGCACTATACCTGTGTACTACACAAATATGTACTATATGTATGTATGTAATATATATGTACTGTATATACTATATATGTACTAGACAAACAAATATATGCTATATTTGTGACAAATATAACATGTAACACATCACTATATAAATGTATTTGTATTAATTTTGATCTCTATATTTCTACATCATTTAAATTATACACTTGAGCTACAAAATAATTAGGTGAATAGGTGAAATAATTAGAGAATAAAAGGAAGACATGGAATATATAATAAATGTTTACCAAAAAGCTTTTACTCATAGTGAAAATTTAAGTATTAGTCATTATTAATTGTCCCAAAGCATACTTTAAAGGAAATAATGCTAAGAAAATATTAAAGATTGTGGTGACAGCTCCTCTGAGCAGGAGGAGCTGGTTTCATTTTGCTGTATTTAATCCAAATGATAAAGGAATTTAATAAAATTACCCTCTAGGTAGCAGTAGTTTTAAAAAATAATCCAAATCCGTTCTGACACAATAGCTCTCCAGAGAATAACAGTAGATCCTACAAATGACAGAGGAAGAAACTCACCTCGTCTGCTGCCCCCATGTAGAGAAAAATAGATTAACTCACTGCCATGGAATCCTGTAAAGATCATTCTCCAAAGGTTTTTCCACCAATCAGAAGGTCAGTGATCTAGAGATATTCTGGAGACCGGCACTATTAACATTTTCATTAATTATATCTATTTATGATTTGTCAGCAGCAAGGCTAAGGAGGAGATAAATTAAAGATTCAAAACCAATGCCCTGTTCAAACATATTCATTTGGAATTAATTTGTAATAATGAGGTGATTATGAGACAACTCATTCATCTGGTGCTAATTATATTTTGTTTTTTTTTTTAAATAATGGCTGTTTTTCCAATCTGGCATTTTGTAATGTCACTAAAGTTCACTTCAAAATGCAAATATATCCTAAGACAATAACCAGCTGTCCCTGCGGTCATGTGAGGTGGTACTTTTCAAGCTCAATTTGGTTTCTGGATGCATTCTTCTAAATTATTTTTTATATACACTGTAAATAAGTACATATGTGTATATATGTAAATATGTGTGTGTGTGTATGTGTGTGTGTGTGTATATATATATATTACTTTATCTCTATATCTACGTTATCCAGGATACTTTGGCTCAACATTTCTTAAGTCAAATTTTGCAGACCAGTCAATATTCATCAAACTACTTTAAGATGGAGCCAAGTGGCCTACAAGAGAATACTGCTAAGGCTGTTAACACATATAATTTATGCAGGAGAATATTCCAAGCTTCCTGACTGCATCACACTTTTAACTTTTTCTTACATTCGAAACTACACTTAGAATCATAACAAACTTCATTTTTCAAACGTTTGACTTTGAGGTGTGTACAAGTATACTCTGACTCTATAAACTTACTCTTCTTTAAAGCAGATCATCCTATTTATCATAAGATTATTAAAAATGTATACCTTTGCTTTTATTTGCCATAAAAAAAGCTTTCTTTGGAATAAAATAGATTTTTATCCAAAGATGCAGAACTGTTTTCAAGATAAATCCAATCTGATCAATTTGACAGATTAAGACTCTCTTCAATAGTAATTCCTCAAATTATTTAAATAATTTATGAAACAGTAAAGGCTTAAAATATGAATTACATAGCCTTAAAAGTTCTAGATCCTTCATGGATTTTATTTTTGGTTTATTATTGCAGGAAAATACATACAAATCTTTTGAGAAAAATAACAAAACCAAGACTTTTTTTCCCAGTGTGCTATAAGCGAGCTCAATAAATGTTTCAAAGTGAACGATTTTTCTTGTCCATATCAAAATAGAATACTCGTCAAATGCTATTAATAATTTAACTTAGAATAGAATCATAAATATGCATGAATGGAAGATCACTTCCTGTATCTCCATGCTCAGAAGACCTTTGACTAAACATTTCCAGAAAGATAAACAGCTGCCCAATTTTCAGGTATCTCCAAGCACGTCAATGCCAGAGGCTCTGAGAAAAAGAAAAGGCTTACATGACATCTTCTGTGACCTCTTGAGCTGTGTTGGTTGTCCCCTCCTCTGTGTTCCTGTTCATGCCTGTAACACAACTCCTAGCATGTCCCTTAATTATCTATTTACACATCAATTTCTCACAGGAAAGTTTCCAAAGCATTTTAGTTATCCTTGCTTTTTATTTGAGAAAGTAAGCTCAGAAAAGTTAAGTAACTTGCTTAAAGCCTCAAAGGTAGTACTGATAAAGCCAGAATTCAGCTAAGAGCTATGAGTCCAAAGCCTCTTGAATTCTCCATCATACTATGTTTCTGCCTCAAATATGGCATCACTCCTAATGAAGCTGGTGTTCAAAACATGCCTGCTAATTAATTACATGTACAAATGCCTTACATGTACATGTTCTGGGTCACCATGCTGGGTACTGGAGAGAACTGTGTGAACAAGATTCCCGTTCTCTATCCCCCAATTCTTCACTTTGGACCCAGCATCACATGGTTTCCAGGCCCGTGGACTCAGGAAAAGTGGCGTTGGACATGCAATTACAACACACTATAGAGACATGGCATCAAGGTAGAGATGAAAAGAAGGGACAAGAATAGCCACTTAAGAAGGGTAGAGTAAGAGGGAAGAGGGGAAGAAAAGAATGTTGAGGCCAGGGAACTGGCATATACAACATGTGAGAGACAAGAAAGAGCAAGTTTTGTTAAAATGAGAAAAGCCCTGTAGAGCTAGGGCTCAGAGAGTGCAAGTGTGACACTGCAGAGGTGTGCAGGGACCCAGCCAGAAGAATCTCAAGCGCATGCGAAGAAGTCTGGGTTTGATTCTAGGTGTAACAGTGAGCACCTGCAGGGAATTAAGCAGAGGAACGTTACAGATTTTGGATTCGAGAAAATCACTGGTTATAACGGTGCAAAAAGAAATGGAATACATGGCTGCTTAGAGGCTGGGAAGCCAATGACTGAAGCATTGAAGAGGTGAAGATGATGACTCTAGAACTTCTTCCCAGCATACAGATGTAAATAGATCACTGTTTACTTTTTAAACATGTTCATATTTTTTAAATGTGAAGAAACATACCTTTCTCACCTCCCTCAGAGGGTTGTTTTTAGGATAAAGTGCACAGTGGCAATGCTGCCTGCCTGAGACAGGACTGAGTGGTGCCAAGAGCACAGGATCTGGAATTGGAGTCTGGATTTCAAACCTTACTCCCCAGTTCCTGACTATGAAAACTCTGAGCAAGTAACACAACTCCTCTGTGCCTCAGTTTCCTAATCTGTAAAATCGAGATAATAATAGTAACTGATTCATAGGCTTTATTGAGAGGACTTAATAAAATAATCCCTGTTTTCTTTATTGTCTTATTTCCAGCAACTAGAATTTTTCCTGGTATGTAGTACTTGCTTACTAATGTTAGTATTTATTTGAAAATTATAAAGGATTACGTAATTGTAAGGTGTCAGCATAACTTAAAAAAGATATTTAATGTCTACAATTTTCCCACCACCAAAAAAATCATATTTTTAAAAATCCACAATCTCTCAAGAACATATCTGTTCTTATAAACATAAAGGTAAGTTTGCAACTTTCTCTTTTGTTTCTTCCTCAACTTTTCCATGATGTGCTTTACCCTTTCAAACAAAATCTCTTCTGTTTAACACAGTTGTAAACCCCAACTTTCAGGCTGGCTGGGGCCCAAATGCCTTCTAAAAATCACTGAATCCTGCTCTGCCTGTAGACAGAGGCTGTTCCAGTGTACAAGTTGTTGACACATTTGAAAGACCAAAATAGTTACCAATGATTAGAAAAATTATGGTTCTTTCGTGGAAGGAAAGCACTGTCATTTTAAAGAGATGGTTTCCTCCTCCTGGAGGAACGTAGAGACTCTCTGGCCCCCACTACCCTTCTTCCCATTCCTTCCAGTAAAAGATTTTCGCCTCCATCACCAGCCACAGGTATAGTGCTTCAATGGGTAGAACCAGAATCCACTAAACTACTTACCACACACAGTAACAAGAGCACACTTTTCACTTTGAATTTTTATAATTTTTTATTGCATTAATCACTTGATCAGATAAACCAGATCTGTTTGCCATGTGCCCTACATTCCACAGGTATTGAGGTCTCCATGAGAAAACCCCCTCAAGCGCATCACAAGGTTTCCATGTGAGCTATGACAAATTAGAAATCAACAGGCCATACTCAAAAAGGAGGCAAAGCTGGTTTCCATCTTTATTCAATGGAGAGTGAAAAGGAGAAGAAGCATTCATTGATAAAGGCTATTCCTGGCCAATTATTTAGCAACTGGTATGACACTGATTTACCAACTGTGTAGAATGTCAAGGGTACCTACCAGGTGGTAACTGTGAGCTCTGTGGAATGACATAAACTAAATAAAACAAGGGATCAGGGAAGGAGGAAGGGCAAAAAGTAGGAGGAAGAAAGAAAGGAAGAGGGATGGAGGGAAGAAGGATTGAAAAAGAAAAAGTTGTATAGTTTAGTTTGACCAAAAGTCAATTTTTAAATAAACAAGTACTAATAGCACCTCTCTTAGGCGACTAAAAAACCTCCCTTTCCAACAATGTCTTTTTGTTTTAATTAATAATTTCTTTCCACGGAGGAGAAAAAAAGGAAAAAATATTTCATCTGGAGAGGAGAAAGAGGCCAACTCTCAGAAACAATGAGATTTTTATCTTAAGTCATACTATGCTCAAGATCCTCTAGGTAATTTTGAAATAATCACTTCCCTATTTCCTTTAGCATTGGAAAGACTATGTAAATGTCCTCCATTCAGCATGCTCTCTGGTCTTCGATTTATCTACTAATATAGTCATGAAATTACCTTTGACGTCCCCTGAAACCCAGCTTTCTGCTAGACTGTGATCCTTTATCCTCAGATCCTGAAACATCCATAGAAAGGGAACCCCAAAGTGCAAGTGCACACACACAAACACACACACACACACACACAGTCTTTCTGCCTTCCTAAATCTAAAAGGTATAGTAACACCATAAATTAAAAGAAAATAAAATTAATTTTCAGCAAAATTTTCTCATTCTCTAATATCAGGTTTCAGTTAGATATTAATATTTAAAATATCTTCTAATACATTATTCTACCTTCCATTTGAGGAAAGGAACAAATGTAAACACAGATATGGTCCCCTCCCCTTTGTAACCTTTCTTTTCTTTCCATTTTTTAATAGCTGCAAACTTACAGGACTTCTGCCTCTTAAATCAAGTATTACTAAATTTCTACTTCAGCACCTTCTGGGATGACAAGATTCCAAATATGTAATAAAAATAAATTGCCATTAATAGCTAGGTCTTTGGCAGAGTTACTGGCCTGTTTTGTTTACTTACCCAGTGCCGGTGTGATGTTCTACTTTGGGCACAGCTGTGAACAAGACTATTAATAATCAGGCTGCATCAAAAAGGAGTCAGTTCATAGTTCTGTAATTCAACGATTTTTTTACTCTTTTATAAATTGAAGTTGTTCACATAGTTCAAGATTGACCTGTTAAAATCTCTGATTTTTTTTTTTTTTTTTTTACAGAGTATCCCTCTGTCAGGTTACAGGGCAGTGGCCTAATCTTGGCTCACTGCAAACTCTGCCTCCCAGGTTCAATCGATTCTCCTGCCTCAGCCTCCCAAGTAGCTGGGACTACAGGCGCCCACCACCACACCCAGCTAATTTTTGTATTTTTAGTAAAGAAAGGGGTTTCACCATGTTGGCCAGGCTGGTCTCGAACTCCTGACCTCAGGTGATCCACCCACCTCGGCCTCCCAAAGTGCTGGGATTACAGGCATGAGCCACTGCACCTGGCCTCTGTTTTTTTTGTTTGTTTGTCTGTGTTTTTTGTGTTTTTGAAAAAAACCTGTGTGGTTTATGAATAAAACTACCTTAGAAAGAGGACAACTGGCACACAATCCTGAGAGCCTGTAAACCCCATTAACCTAGGCCTGCAAGGAAATTTTACCAAATTCAACAATATGAAGGGTCCTCCTGAATGATCACAAAGTAAGTATAAATATAGTACAAAATAATCTAATAAAGACTGGCTCATCCTAGTTTGTTCCAGGATAAGATCACCACAGTATTTCACAGTTTCTTAGGAAAGCATTGATATACTGCTATTATTGATATTTTCTTTATCAAGATTTCATTTGTACACTGAAAGATTCAGAGTCAAAAAAAAAGTCATCAAATTAAATCCATTATTTATTTTAGTCTCTCACACAAGTGGCATCGATTCACTGAACCTGACTGTGGGATATAAGCATGAGTGGAGAATGGGTGCAGCGGCTCAGCCTATAATCCCAGCACTTCGGGAGTCTGAGGCGGGCGGATCACTTGAGGCCAGGAGTTCGAGACCAGCTAGGCCAACATGGCGAAACCCTGTCTCTACTAAAAATACAAAGATTAGCCAGGCATGGTAGCACACACCTGTAATCCTAGCTATTGGGGAGGCTGAGACACAAGAATCACTTGAACCCTGGAGGCAGAGGTTGCAGTGAGCCGAGATCACACCATTGCACTCCAGCCTGGGCAACACAGGGAGACTGCGTGGGTGAAAAATTTTAACCAGCCTCACTCCCATCACTTTCCCGTATTCAGTGTCATAATCTGACACTTAAGTGCTCTCTCTGCATTTCCCACGTCAACCATTCCGGAACCACCACCCACTCCGCCATATACTTGCTTATGTGCTCAAGAGCTTAGCTGCTCTAAGCATACTTGTGGCCAAATAAATGTAAGAAGAGACAGTTGCTGTCTGATTTCACCAGGTGGAGGTAAATGCTTGAGATTATCCATAAACCAATCCATTCCATAATGTGTCCTGCAGAAACTTTTTTCAATATTCTAATCAGAATTACTGTTTTCTTCCTCCATGCACACTTAGCCCTTTGTCACTACTATTGTCTTTATATTATTCTCTCTGTGTCTCCCTCCACCCCAACTGAAGGCTCTTCGAGCATCAGGATACACAGGGGAACCATCGCAGTGCATTACAATGGCTCTCAAAGTGTGGCCTCTGAACCAGTGGCATCAGAATCCCTGGGAACTTGACAGAAAAGCAAAATTTCAGGCCCTACCTCAGACCTACTGAATCAAACTCTGGGGGTGGGACCCCAGCAACCAGTGTTTTAACAAGCCCTCCAGGTGATTCTGACGCAGGCTCAAAATTGAGAACCACTGGTATATTGGAATAAGTATGGGTTTTGGAAGCAGATAATCTAAGGCTTTTAAATTCCTACGGTGCCCTTTATTAGCCAATGATATTAATCAAGTTGTTTGCTATCTTTGAGTTGCCTCTACTCACTTATGAAATTCATGACTTGTGAAAATATGCTGAGGGATGGAATTTTTTTTAATAACAGTCTTTTCAATAAGTTGTGCTGGGACAATGGGATATCCATCTGCAAAAGAAGGAAAGTGGACCCTCTACTTATCCGATAAAAAAGTTAACTCAAAATGGATCAAGATTTAAATGCGAGAGTTAAAGCTATAACACTCTTAGAAGAAAACGTAGGTGTAAATCTTTGTGACCTTAGATTACGCAATGGTTTTTTAGATATGACGCAAAGAGGACAAGAAACACAAGAAAAAATACATAAATTGGACCACATCAAAATGTAAAACTTCTGTACTTGAAAGGACACTATCAAGAAAGTAAGGAGACAACACACAGAATGGGAGAAGATTTTTGCAAATTGTATATCTGATAAGGGGCTTGGTTCCAGGATACGTAGGGAGCTCTTACAACTCAACAATAATAAGATAAATTGCCCATTTTAAAATGAATAGACAGCCCCAGGTGCAGTGCCACATGCCTGTTGTCTCAGCTAATTGGGAGGCTGAGGTGAGAGGATCCCCAGAGCCCAGGAGTTTGAGACACAGCGGAACTCCGTCTCTTTAAAAAAAAAAAAAAAGTTGGGTCGGGCGCGGTGGCTCATGCCTATAATCCCAACATTTTGGGAGGCCGAGGCAGGCAGATCACCTGAGGTCAGGAGTTCAAGACCAGCCTGGCCAACATGGCAAAACCCCGTCTCTACTAAAAAATAAAAAAATAAAAAATTAGCCAGGTGTGGTGGTGGATGCCTGTAATCCCAGCTACTCTGGAGGCTGAGGCAGGAGAATTGCTTGAACCTCGGAGGTGGAGGTTGCAGTGAGCCAAGATCACACCACTGCACGCCAGCCTGGGCAACAGAGTGAGACTCCATCTCAAAAAAAAAAAAAGAAAAAATTGAAGCCCGGCATGATGCTTGTAATCCCAGCAATCCACTTGAGTTATTTGGGAGGCTGAAGTGGGAGAATCCCTTGAGCCCAGGAATTTGAAACCAGCCTGGGCAACATAGCCGGACCCCATCTCAAAAAAAAAAAAAGAATGGAAGTTTCTCCAAAGAAGATATACATATGGTCAATAAGCACATGAAAAGATGCTTAATGTCATTAGCCATCAAGGAAATGCAAATCAAAACAACATCAAAATATCACTTCACACCCAGTAGAATGGCTCTAATCAAAACTACAGCAAAAAACAAGTTGGCGAGGATATAGAGAAATTGGAACCTTTGTACACTGCCGATGGGAATGTAAATGGTGTAGTCATTTTGGAAAACAGTCTGGCAGTTCCTGAAAATGTTAAACAAAGAACTGCAATATGACCCAGCAATTCCACTGCTAGGTTCATACCTAAAAGAAATAAACACACATATCCACAAAAAAAACTTGCACATAAGTGCCATAGCAGCAGCCTTGTTCATGATAGACAAAAAATTGAAACAACCCAGATGTCTATCAACTGATGAATGGAAAAACAAAATATGGTAAATCCACATAATGGAGTACTAATACATGCTACAACATGGGTGAACCTTGAAAACATTATGCTAAGTTAAAGGAGTCGGCCACAAAAGACCACATATCACACAATTTGATTTATATGAAATGTCTAGAATAAGCAAATCTACAGAGACAAAAAGTCGATTAGTCTGGTGGCCTAGAGTTGTTGGAGCAGGATTGGGAGGAATTGGGAAAATGAGGAATAACTGCTAATGGGTATGGGGTTCTTTTTGAGGTGATGATATAAATGTTCTAAAATTGTGGTGATGGCTGCACAACACTGTGGATCTACTATAAACCATTGAATTTTACTTTTAATTGTGTGAACTATTTGGTATGTGAATTCTATCTCAATAAAGCTGCAACAAAGTAATAATGACCACAAAGATTTTCAGCCATTAAATATTAAAATATTTAATAAAAGAGACAAGTTTTAGGAGGGAGCTTAAGAACAGTACAATTCTGAAATCTGAGGGAAAAACTGTGAAGTCAGTTCATTTGTATTCTCCTTGGTTATAATACATTTAAAAAGCTAATACAAAAGATAAGAATGAAATTAAAGAGAAGCGCTCTCCACTGCTGTTCTCTTCAGCTCAACATGGTGGTCTACCGGGCGATTGGCAGCCTCAGCCACTTCTCTGCCTTCAGGATCCTCCGCTCCCAAGGTTATATACGCCGCAATTTTACAGGGTCCTTTGCTTTGCTGACCAGAACCCATATTAACTATGGAGTCAAAGGGGATGTGATAGTTATTTAAATTAACTCTCCCCATTCAAAGATAAATACGCTGAATAAACAAACAGCTGCATTCAGAGTTCACGGAAGTTATGAATGAAATCTGGGCTAGTGATCAAATCAGAAGTGCCATCCTTATCTCACCAAAGCCAGGCTGCTTTATTGTAGGTGCTGATATCAACATTTTAGCCACTTGCAAGACCCCTCAAGAAGTAACACAGATACCACAAGAAGCACAGAGAACATTTGAGAAACTTGAAAAGTCCATAAAGCCTGTTGTGACTGCCATCAGTGGATCCTGCCATTTTATGCCAATATAAAATAGCAACAAAAGACAGAAAAACAGTATTCGGTGCTCCTGAAGTCTTGCTGGGGATCTTACCAGGAGCAGGAGGCACACAAAGGCTGCCCAAAATGGTGGGTGTGCCTGCTGCTTTTGACATGATGCTGACTGGCAGAAACATCCGTGCAGACAGGGCAAAGAAAATGGGACTGGTTGACCAATTGGTGGAATCTCTGCGACCAGGACTAAAACTTCCAGAGGAATGGACAATCAAATACCTAGAAGAAGTTGCAATTACTTTCCCAAAGGACTAGCTGATAAGAAGATCTCTCCAAAGAGAGACAAGGGATTAGTGGAAAAATTAACAGCGTATGCCATGACTATTCCATTTGTCAGGCAACAGATTTACAAAAAAGTGGAAGAAAAAGTGTGAAAGCGGACTAAAGGGCTTTCCCTTTATCCCACACCTCTGAAAATAATTGATGTGGTAAAGACTGGAATTGAGCAAGGGAGCGATGCTGGTTATCTCTCTGAATCTCAGAAATTCGGAGAGCTTGCAATGACCAAAGAATCAAAGGCCTTGATGGGACTCTACCATGGTCAGGTCCTGTGCAAGAAGAATACATCTGGAGCTCCACAGAAGGATGTTAAGCATCTGGCTATTCCTGGTGCAGGGATGATGGGAGCAGGCATTGCCCAAGTCTCCGTGGATAAGGGGCGAAAGACTATACTTAAAGATGCCACACTCACTGGGTTAGGCTGAGGACAGCAACAAGTGTTCAAAGGATTGAATGACAAAGTAAAGAAGAAAGCTCTAACGTCATTTGAAAGGGATTCCATCTTCAGCAACTTGACTGGGAAGCTTGATTACCAAGGTTTTGAAAGACAGACATGGTGATGGATGCTGTCCATCCATCACAACTTCCTTAGTTTTAAGCACAGAGTGCTAAAGGAAGTAGAAGCAGTGATTCCAGATCACTACGTCTTTGCTAGTAACACATCTCCTCTCCCAGTCAGTGAAATCGCTGCTGTCAGCAAAAGACCTGAGAAGGTGATTGGCAGGCACTACTTCTCTCCCGCAGACAAGATGCAGCTGCTGGAGATGATCACAACCAAGAAGACTTCCAAAGACACCAGTGCTTCAACTGTAGCAATCGGTCTCAAGCAGGGGAAGGTCATCATTGTGGTTAAGGATGGACCTGGCTTCTATACTACCAGGTGTCTTGCACCCATGATGTCTGAAGTCATCTGAATCCTCCAGGAAGGAGTTGACCCAAAGAAGCTGGATTCCCTGACCACAAGCCTTGGCCTTCCTGTGGGTGCCGCCACACTGGTGGATGAAGTTGGCGTGGATGTAGCGAAACATGTGGCCAAAGATCTGGGCAAAGCCTTTGGGGAGCAGTTTGGAGGTGGAAACCCAGAACTACTGACATAGATGGTGTCCAAGGGCTTCCTAGGTCGCCAGTCTGGGAAGGGCTTTTCCATCTATCAGGAGAGTGTGAAGAATAAGAATTTGAATTCTGACATGAACGGTATTTTAGCAAGTCTGAAGATGCCTCCTAAGTCTGAAGTCTCCTCAGATGAAGACATCCAGTTCCGCCTGCTGACAAGATTTGTGAATGAGGCAGTCACGTGCCCGCAAGAGGGGATCTTGGCCACACCTGCAGAGGGAGACATTGGAGCCGTCTTCGGGCTCAGCTTCCCACCTTGTCTTGGAGGGCCTTTCTGCTTTGTGGATCTGTATGAAGCCCAGAAGATAGTGGACCGGCTCAAGAAGTATGAGGCTGCCTATGGAAAAGAGTTCACCCCAAGCCAGCTGCTAGCTGACCACACTAACAGCCCTAACAAGAAGTTTCATCAGTGAGCAGGCCTCATGCCTCACTCAGTCAGTGCACTAACCCCAGCTGCCGGCAGTGCTGGTTCTCCAACAGAGTGGCATCTAGATTTATCAGAGTAACGAGAAGGAAGACAAACTCCGGCATTGGGTTTGCTCCCTGATTAAAGTGCCTTCAGCCAAGATCATCTCCCCCTCCTGGTGAAATCTGACTGTGAATTAGAGTTTGCGCTATTGGAAGGTGGAACCCACTGTGCTCATTGTATAAGCCCTGAGGCCTAGAGTGGCAGCCAAGAGCCATCTGGAGCCATCTCTTTGCCTGTTCCTGTCAGGAGGCCAGGGTGGCCAGGGGTGGTGAGGGCAATTCTGCACCCAGACAAACACATAACAATAAAAACCAAACTCTGTAAAAAAAAAAAAAAAAAGAATGAAATTAAAAACATGAATTACAAGAGGCTTTCAACATCCTCTTTTCATGTTGTTAGCAAGCCAGAAAACACATTCCCCATGGCATATGTTACAATTTAAATTTCATTCAAAAATTAAATCATTGTCACATTAATAGTGGTAGTAGGATTTTAGAGCTGGGGCCCCAATGATTATTTATTCCAACTTCCAGATTTTACAAAAATAGACTGCTCTAACATTTTCCATACCACTCCACACTGCTTCCCCATCAGTGTGCAGACATTAATTTTTACTTAATGCAATTCTAATAAACTGTTTTCTGGAACATGTGTTTCATGGCCTCAAGAATATGATTTTTTTTTTAATTTCTTACACTGTTTTCTTTTCACATTTAGTTGACATGAGCCTTTCCTGGTTTCAATGACAGGTGGTGATGGTTTCCTTTATGATACACACATCATAAAACAGTCGCCTTCAGCTTTTGTTTTTTAATAGCTTGCTTACATAAGTTTTACAGAGCTATGAAAGAATCAAATAGCAATCAAAATATTCTTCATAATCACCGTTAATTTCTAGTTGATTCCCAGTGTTAACTTTTTCAATCTGAGTTCAAATTTGGTGTGCCTGCATTTTAGTTCAGGATCAGATATTTCCCAGTGTTCGATTGTTTCAAATCCAGAAAAACAGAAGAAGAGTCTGGCATTTTACATTCCAGATTTCAAAAGAACAATCTATTTCCAAAGAAAAAATATCTTAAAAATATTTTTTATAAACAAAGGTAGTTTTCTCATTTCTGTTTTTCCACTTGCCACATTCTTCAGGTTTTTGTATTGACTCCTCTTCGGGGGAGAGTAAGTCTTTTTGTGACATATTTGCAAGTGTATATTTTAATTTACATGGTGCATTAGGCCATTCTTGAATTACTATAAAGAAATACCGGAGACTGAGTAATTTATAAAGAAAAGAAGTTTAATTGGCTCACGGTTCTGCAGGCTGTACAAGCATGGTGCTTGCGTCTACACGGCTTCTGGGGAGGGCTCAGGGAGCTCTCACTCATGGTAGAAGCAGGAGCATGCACGTCACATGGAGAGAAAGGGAGTAAGGTGGGGGAGGTACCATACACTTAATCAGATCTCGCGAGAACTCACCAGGAGATAGTGTCAAGTCATTCAAGAAGAATCTGCCCCTGTGATCCAAACACCTCCCAACAGGCTCCGTCTCCAACACTGGGCATTACATTTCAGCATGAGATTTGGTCAGGGACAGATATCCAAACTGTATCACATGGTGTCATGTAACCGGCCAGAATCACTAGAAACACCAACATCCTTTAATACTGAAGTATGCATCTCAACAATTCTGTGTAACTATGAGAATAATAAAGGTTACAAATGGGACCAGTCATTTATGAAATTCTTTCAAAGATCTGAAGAGGTAAATGATCATCTAAGCAAACTCTGAGAGAATCAGGCTGAAAATGTTGGCCACTATTATTATTAGCACATTTTCCTTCTCTTTCACAAATAAATAGGTACAAAACAGTAGTGGCTTCTTGATCCATAAAGAAGCTTTATTACATTTTTATTAAATATATATTTTTGATGGAAATATCTCACAACCTTCTGAAGAAAGAACTGATATAAAAAATAAAATAATCTGTCCATTTATCACCTTTCCCTAATTATCCTTTCCTCTTCATTCCATTGTCACCACACCTTTCCAGGTCCTCATCAAATTATGCCAGTATTACTCTATCAGCCTTTTGCCCAGCCTCCCGACCCCTACTTTAAACACATCTGGCTTAATATTAAAATAACTAATTTTATTACAACACCACTTTCCACAGAATCATTCTATGCTCACAAGACTGCAGAAGCCCCTGTAACCCACCATTGTGTCTAAATTCCTCTGTCCAGCTTCCAGGGCCTCATATATTGTGGCATCACTCAATCTTTCCAAAAGTATTTCATGTTCCCCCACACATAAACCCTCCTCCACTCAGGAAGGCAGATGTTCCACAAGACAAGAAATAATGAGAGGAGAATACAGTTTGGGAAATAATAATAATTTCTATTATTCATTAAGTGTATGTTGTGTGCCATTAACTGTGCTCAGCACATTACATGTGCTATTTCATTTTACCCGCACATAAATCTTACGTGACAGGTTTCATGATTTTACAGAGTGGAAGCTGAGCCACATAAAGACTTTCTTCTTTAAGGCCATTAAGCTATTAAACGGCAGACCTGGCAGCCTTATGTCTCACTCCAATGCTCAAGTTCTTATCCACATGTTGACTATCACTTATAGTAAAAGTGTACTAGGCAGGTGGATGTGCAAATCCAAAGCTCACTGGGGAGAAACAAGGGTTATATTTTTCCTTCACCGGCTTCTAGTTAACTGCACCTGTTGTTATGAGTGAGCCTGTCTATGGAAAAGGCGTGTAACGAAGAGAAGAAACCAAGAACAGAACTCTAAGCAATGGCACCACTTACAGGGTGTACAGAAGAGAAGGCCGCAGAAAAGACTGAGAAGGTGTCAGGAGAACCAGAAGAGTTATCCAGTACAAATCAAAGAAGTGGGGTTTCAAGTCACACTAAAGGGGAGTAGTCAGCTGTGTAAAGAAAAAAAAAATCAAATAAGGTCAAGTAAGATAAAGATTGAAAACGGCTCATTAGAACTGGTGATGAAGAGCTGGGATAACTCATAATTTATCATCCAAACTAGGACAGTTTTGAGGGTGAAAGAGGGCTCTATTAACAAATACCCCAGGAACACTGAATATGTTGGAAACAAAGACATAAGGTCACCCTATTAAGAAGTCAGTAGTGGCCCTTTGTGAGAACCATATGAAGAGAGTAATGCAGTGACTGCCACAATGATATGAGTTCAGGAATGAATGTGTGTTGAAAATAGTATGTAATCTTTCAAAAAACTTAGTTTATTCCTTCTTTACTCCCACTGCTTCACTTGACTAGCCTTTAAAAAAGAAAGGCTTGGTTTGATGAATGGGTGAGAGAAAAGGTGAGTGTTAGAGGTGAAACTGCCCTTCACTTACTCCTTATCCATTTGTTTGACTTCTTCCTCTTGACTCTACTGAAACTACTTCCCCAAATGTCCCCAGCGACTTCCAACCAGTGCTGGGAGTGAGTGACCTTTACTGTATCCTCTGCTTCATTAACTTCCACAGCACTGGGCATCGTCATATGCCCCCAGTCCTATCTTGAGACTACAGCTCTGAATCATACCTACTGCCTCTTTCTTTGACTACATCTCTCTGCTCTCTTCTTGCTCATTTAATCTTAAAAATGTTGGTGTGTTCTAAGTTTCTGCCTGATACACTTTCTCTCCTTTGCCTATTCTCCCTCCCTCAGTCATCTCATCCATAATCACCATTTTCACCCTCACCAGTCATGCAAGTGATTCCTAAATCTTTTCCTCTGTCCTCAAATTCTGCTATGAAATGAATTTCATTTCAAACTGCTGGCCATATATCTCTCTCCAGGTGGTGGGTCCACAACACCTCCCTAAATATGTCAAAAGCATACAATATCTTTTTCTTAAATTAGCAATGCACAAGTGATCTATTTCTGTTAACTCCCAAACAAATGAAGTCTAAATCCTCAGTCTAGCATTTAAGGATATTCATGATATGGCCAAAGACCTACTTGTAAAGATTTTGCTTCCTCTACATGTACAGTAAGGTCTAAGCACAAAGTGCTCTGTTATTATCCTCTGAACATTATCTTGGAACCCACTCTTAGAGAGGCTGGGATTATAACACTGATGATTGCTTCTGTTTCTCCTAGAATTCTCTTCTCTCCTCTACACTGGTCAAGATTAAGCCAATCAGAAGTCTCGGTGAGTATCCTTATTAAATGTGTCCTCCATTCTTCAATCTCAAACTTCGCTTTGTATTACTCTTAAGGTACTTGTCATTTTCTATCTTATCATAACATATGCATGTGTCTTATCCTCCCTAGTATATAGGGAACTCCTTTAAAAGAGGATATGTGGCCAGGCACGGTGGCTCACACCTGTAATCCCAGCACTTTGGGAGGCCAAGGCATGTGGATCACCTGAGGTCAAGAGTTCAAAACCAGCCTGGCCAACATGGTGAAACCCCATCTCTACTAAAAATACAAAAATTAGCTGGGTGTGTTAGCGTGTGCCTGTAGTCCCAGCTACTCAGGAGGCAGGAGGCCAGGGCAGGAGAATCGCTTGAACTTGGGAGGTGGAGGTTGCAGTGAGCCGAGATCGTGCCACTGCACTCCAGCCTGGGTGACAGAGACTCTTTCTCAAAAAATAAAAAAGAGGGTATGTCTTTTCACAGATGTACAACAGGTATTTATTGTTTAGAATCAACAGTTATAATTAGTAGAATAGATGCATTTGACATCTTAATACATCTTACTTGAAAATCCATTATTTTTATCACCCTCAAAAGTAAAAGAAAAACTGACAGCTGTTTATGCTCTGATATATTAAACATCCTCAGTAAACATTATTTTAAAACTACATCTCTGGTTTATGAACATATAATGTGAGAGAACAGTTTATCAAGTAGATTAATTTTTAGGCACATCAAGATTAATATGATCATTTAGTATAGTACATTTAGGCAATTAAATTTTTATAATATAAGTAAGTACCACAATAAAACCCTTTAATGCCTACTGTCAAAGCCTAGAATAGTGAATTAATTGGTTATAATAGGTTGTGATTTGAAGTGGAACTTCTTAGTCATTGATTGATTAAACCAACTAATGCCTGCAAAACATATTTTTAACACCTCAGTGTATATCACCTGGTATTCTTTGTTTAACAGAACTGTACCTTTAAATACAGCTAATGCCAGATGGTCTCCTCAGAAAAAAAACAGCAGGAGGCAACATATTAATGCCACTCAACAAGCAAGTCTGCAGACAGCCAGCCAATGAAATCTGTCTTCAGTTGCTAAGCCGTTCTGTCACCATGGCAACACCTACTTCAGAAAAAATATTGGATTTTCAAGTCAAGTGAGCCACCCACCTTAAAATTCCAGATCTTCCAAACTATGATCACCAGATACTTTAGTTAAAATAACTGCTTAGATTTTTTCCATTGACCTAAAATCAGGGCTATCTTGAAAAGCCACTTGCCTCTCCATTTTTAAATGTTTATTTACTCTCAGTTTCTAACTTTCCTGATTTCTAGATAAACATACTCCATTTAAATGTGTGTGTATGCATATGTATACACATGCACATTTGTATATATGTACCTATATGTATATATGTACCTATATGTATTCATACACCTATATACATATATGTGTATATGTGTATGCATGTGTATATGTGTGTGTATATATGTGTATATATTAGCAGTTGTAGGCTAATAGTCCTAAACATAAAGAAAAATCTTAATGTCTCAGAAAATTGTCACTGGTACATGCTCTTATCAATCTTTTACTAATATTATATCTGATGTAAATAAGCAATTAATAAAATAAGTTTATGTATTAATTAGAATAATTAATTAATTGAGACCAGAACAATATTCTTTTTGTTACCAGCCTCTAAATTATTTAGTATGAATGTACAAGATAACATTAAAACCTTAGTGGGGTTTTGTTTTTTTTTTTTTTTTTTTTAGAAATGAGGACTTGCTCTGTCGCTCAAGCTGTGTACAGTGATGCAATCATAGCCCACTGCAGCCTCCAAC
The DNA here is from genome assembly GCF_000001405.40 of Homo sapiens. Classification (NCBI taxonomy): domain Eukaryota; kingdom Metazoa; phylum Chordata; class Mammalia; order Primates; family Hominidae; genus Homo; species Homo sapiens. Next base: position 165,397,980 of record NC_000004.12, on the reverse strand, counting down.
TCCTGGGCTCAAGCAATCCTCCCACCTCAGCCTCTGGAGTAGCCAGGACTATAGGCATGTACCACAATGCCTGGCTAATTTTTCTTTCTTTTTTTTTTTTCTGGTAGAGACACGGTCTTGCTATGTCACCCAGACTGGTCTCAAACTTCTGGCCTCAAGCAATCCTCCCACGTTGGCCTCCCAAAGTGCTGAAATTTCAAGCATGAGCCACTATGCCTGGCCAAAAGCTTGTTTTTAATACAGCTCCATTTTTAAGTGGAAATGATTATTTGTCCTATAAAAGGGAGATAATCCTGTTTTATCTGATGAAAATGCAGAGAATCTAAAATAATATTTGGAAATACGTTGTATAATCAAGATAAGATGGTAGAAAGGATGCTTACTTTGAAAGCATGGAAAGAGAGTGTCTAAGAACATGGCAACATCTTCCACTCAAGTCACATGGTAAGAAGGAACATTTCCCCAAGAAGGGAAGAGAGGAGCTAATATCAGAAGGCAGGAAGACAAAATAAATAGGTGTCTAATATACCGAATTGCGTATTTAAGAATGTAGCTATATATACATGTATATTCTAATCTTGGTTTTGCCACTTACAAACCTGTGATGTTAAATAAATCATTTAATCTCTTTGGGCCTCAGTTTCCTAATTTATAGAATGGGGATAATTATAGTACCAAACCCATAAGGGATATGTGGGTAAGTCGTGCCTTTAAACATCACTTGGCATATACCAAGCATTATTTAAGGGTGAGCAATAATATATAGTACATTCATATTCTCTCCACAACATTTAAACATTTTTCCTTGGCCTTTCTATTTCATCTTTAAACTTTATTTTCTAACTTTCTCTGTGTTTTAATACTTTTTGTTTTCAGTTGGCTTCACTTTCTTATTTTTATTTTAATTTTTATTATTTGTTGAGACAAGGTCTCATTCTATCACCCAGGCTGGAGTTCAGTGCTGTGATCATGGCTCACTGCAGCCTCAACCTCCTGGGCTCAAGCCATCCTCCCGCCTCAGCCTCCTGAGTAGCTGGGACTACAGGAGCATACCACCACACCTGGCTAACATTTTGTAATTTTTTTTTTTTTTTGTGGCGACAGGGTTTCGCCATGTTGCTCAGGCTGGTCTCAAGTGAGTCTGAGTGGTCTCAAACTCCCCAGCTCAAGTGATTGTCCTGCCTCAGCCTCCCAAAGTGCTGGGATTACAGGAGTGAGCCACCACACTCAGCCTTCTTCTCTAACCTTAAATATTATATTTCCGTCTATCTTATTGTTTTTAATAATCTCCCTTATCTTTTTTTTTTTTTGAGACAGAATCTGGCTCTGTTGCCCAGGCTGGAGTGCAGTGGCACAATCTCATCTCACTGCAACCTCCACCTCCCAGGTTCAAGCAATTCTCCTGCCTCAGCCTCCAGAGTAGCTGGGATTACAGGCATATGCCACCACACCCTGCTAATTTTTGTATTTTAGTAGAGATGTGGTTTCACCATGTTGGCCAGGCTGGTCTCAAACTCCTGGTCTTGAACTCCTGGTCTCAAGTGACCTGCCTGCCTTGGCCTCCTAAAGTGCTGGGATTACAGGTGTGAGCCACCATGACCAGCCTATCTTAACTTCTTACCTGATATTTCCAACATTTGATAGCTCACTTCTTTAGATCTATCTCAAAGTCAAGTTGTAGGAGTTACAGAGAGAGACAGAGAGAGCATGGTGGGTCATACCAACAGTTCTTACAGCACCCAATAAGTTCCCTAGCCCCGTTAAAGATGACTCCAGGAACAAATTCAGGAATATGATATAAAATATCTCCCAGGGACCAAAGACCTCATTGTGCGAAGAGCAAATCTGGTTATCTAAAAAGTATTTTTAAATGGAAACTTTGCCATATTTTAGATTTCAACACACACATACCTTTTTTCCTTTAGAGGAGGGAGGAAAAAAAAGATCAAAGCAAATGAAACTTCTTTAGGGCAACTCCTTTTTGTGAGAGAAAAAAGTTGCAGTGGTCTTAGAATAACCGATTGGATGAAAGCCAATAGTTTTTGTTTACTTAAGAGAAGGGAGAACTCCTCTTACTATCAGAATTAGCCCAGTCTATACAGGCGAGATTAGGTTCACAAACCTTTCATGACAAGTGTTTTGGGGGTTTTTTGTAATTCTATTTCTGAAATGCTTTGGGCATCTACATGTTATGCATGTGCCTAGTGAGCATTCTCTGAGGGTTGAGAAACATTTCCCAACTATCCTGTACAATTCTCTACATGTGAATTATCATGTAATCCCTTTGAACTACATATCATGCACAGAATTTATGATTTCAAGTTCTATCCTGTGCTATTTAATTTCTAAGCTGAACACATATTTAACAGAAGGCAAGAAAGAAGATGAAATGTGGTTCACACATTTTTCATCATAATCCATTTATATAAGATAACTTGGAAAAGAATCTGTAAGTCATTTTTATTAGTCTGTCAAAGAAATGGCTGCTAATAAAACTGCCGAATCAAATCATTACCAGTACTGTGCATTGACCCTTGGCATAGGTAGAACTTTCTTTCCATCTCTGCTTCCTAATCTCTTACTTGACTAGGCTCTGGACTCCCACTCTCATTAATACCCAAAGGTTAGCTCTATGCACAGGTCAAATGTCAAATGGAGAATTAAAGCAATTGTCTGAATAATTCAGACTTAATACTTTCACCACAAATAATATTATAATAAAAATAAATTTTACCCCAAATTAACCGTGAAATTATCTCCAGTCTTTTCATTGCCTTATTAGCCCATTTCCTGCTCATATGAGAACACACCCTTTCACATAAACATCAGCCAGAAGACTTTGGAATACTTTGCTTGCTAATATCCTGACTATAAATTACCAACAGAATTCATCAACTAATCATTTCGGTAGAGTTTGTCACAGGACAAAAATCAAAACAAAAAAACATCATTCACACGTATATCATATATTCTTAAATTCCTACAGTAATTCATACCACTATTTTCTGTCCAATCATTTAAGGAGGCTCTTCATTCCAGATATAGTTCCTTTATATATTTCTTCTTTTTAATAAAGGCTGTTCATTAAACATGCAATATATTATCAATGATTCTTATAACATTTTAATATGTTTCATAAAACTTTCACAAACCTGGAAATAAAGTCCTTTGAGAAATTGTGTGATGATTGTTGGTTTGGAAAACATTCTCAACAAATATGTGATCCCCTTCAGCACAAGTAACATTTTTCACATAAAAAAAAAATTTTAATAGGGGCAGAATCTTGCTATTTTGCCCAAGCTGGTCTCGAACTACTGGGCCCAAGAAATCCTCCCTACTGAATCACATTGAAATGTAATGTAGACACATGAACAGATCAACACGAGTATGTTTTTTTAACAGGAAACCTCACCCATTTTTAGTTATTTATATTATTCACCCTTAACTTCCAGCGACACAACACATGATTCATTCTGCGTGGTGCACACAACTGAGGGTTGCCCTTGCACACCACAACACCCTTCCCAGAGGCCCACTCCCAATGGTCATGTTCTCTTAGGACCAGGATTCCTAAATGGTCAGTCATGTGGGAGATGCCGGGCTTAAATTCAAAAAATTACTTGAATCTATTCACAGAAGCACTGTGGTATAGTAGGTATCTGATCTTTGCTAATAAGTTTTCATAACTGTATTGTAACTTATATGGAACAGTCCTTCCTTGGGCAATCTTGGATTTTACCAGTCCCTAACTCAAAGCAAAATTAAAGCACTTCATCCCATCTCCCAAAGTAATTTACTCCACAAATCATTATGGAGCACTGTAGATCTGCTGATGTCCCCATCCATTATTTCTGTTTCCCCAAAGTTTCTCTTGAGCCACCAGCCCTTAAGTCTTTCTCTTCTCTCTCTCTGACTCTCTACATACCCTCTGACTCTCTACATACCCTCTCCTTTTTATCCACTTTAGGTCCTCAGCCTTCCTGAAGGCCCAGCCCTCCAAAAAGTTTATCAGAGCAGTCTTCCAACAAAAGCTTGTTTCTTCTTAGAGAGTGGATTCTACTGCCAAGAAAAATAACATTTTCTGTAGGTACTTACAGTGTGCTGGAGTGATTTATTTCAATGCTTTCCTGGTTTTTTGCCACCCTAGGCCCTGTCTATCCGCCTCCGGCACACCCATAGCCATTTACAGCACACAGGTCAAGAAGTTCTGCTCTAAGGATTTGAAAACATAACTGATAAGTTACATTCCAGTAATGCCCTCACAGACTTCAGTTCACATAAACAGCTCATGACCCTCCATGACCAGTAAGAAATAGTTATGTTCATTTCTCCAACTGTGTACATTGTTATGGGAAATACTTTAAGAAGAGTGTCCAACTGTGTATCAGAAAATGAGTTCCAAGCCTCCTGGGCTTCAAAACCTTGGGCAGGTTGTTTAATGTCTCTCTGAAGCTCAACTTAATCATCTATAAAATGAGAGTGCTCCTTCTAGCTAGGAAAAAACTATAATTCTAATGTTTCACAATTCTATGGAACACTAATGAAGATTGGGTTTAACATCAGGAGTAATTCAAAATAAATTTACCCTAATCAAAAACCTATAATTGGAAAAATTAGTTAAATACTAAATATTTCTGCATAGTGAATTTCTCTCCCAAAAGCATCTGACAAACTGCATGATCATTATTCAAGTGTTAGACAAATGCAGCTGGATGAATGCTCTAAAACAGCTGCCAAAGCATGGAGAAAATCTATGGGCTGAATTCTCCTTCAATAACTCAAATGACATTGCTTTTTTTGTTCTTGTTCTTATTTTTGTGAGTTTTTACAAAACATAGTTTTTGAATTACATAGTCAAAACAGAACACTAATTGAACTATACTTAACTGCTGGAAATTAGCCTAACAAAATCAAAATTACATAACATCTTTATATTCCATGGCTTACTAGAGAGTGCTCAATAATAGCTACCTAGGGAGGAAAAGCATTAGTAATCAATTGTTGCTAATTACAATATAATCTAGTATATGCTTAATATAATTCTACTTATAATTATATACTATATAACTGTATTATGTTTGATTTATATATATATTATTTATATATGTGATATATTATAACAGACTATATATGTGCCAGATAATTATGTTCCATTAACATGTAAAATTTTCATCTAGAGAAAATGTTCATTTTAGAGAATGCAGTTTTGGGGTGTTGTCCTTTGAGGCTGATTTCCCTCACCAAGACAATAAAACAATTTGGGATGGAGCTTATACTACGATAAGCTCCATTATGATATGATATATAAATATAATAAAATATGTATAACATTTCATTATATTTATAATATCATTATAATAGTATATTTATACTATAGTAATGGAATAATGTAATATAAATATAATATATAAGTATAAGCTCCATTATAATATATAAATATATATTTAATATAATATATACATATATTATATATTTAATATATCATATATTGTAAATATATGATATATGTATATTACATATTACATATATGCTAGGCTCTGGACTCCCACTCTCATTAATACCCAAAGATTAGCTCCGAATATGTATGCATAATATATACATATATTGTAAATATATGATATATGTATATTACATATTACATATACATATATCATATATTTACAATACATGATATATTATATATATTATAGATACATACTATTATATGTAAATATATAAATATATATTATATACCTATATATACACTATATATTAGTATATATACTAGTATACATATACTATATATATATAAGTATATTATATTTCTATTAGTATATGCTCCATCCCAAATAGTTTTACCGTCTTGATGAGGGAAATCAGCCCCAAAGCACAGCACCCCCAAAACTGCATTCTCTAAACAAAAATTTTCTGTAGATGAAAATTTCACATGTTAATGGAACATAATTATCTGGCACAATGTATCTTGAATGCTTATATGTCACACATTCAGAACAATGAAGAAAAAGACACAAGAAATGTGAATGATTTTTTACTAGCTTAGAATAAAGTCCTCTCTTTGACTTTCCATACCTTATGCATCTTTTAAGTCCTGCTCAAAGCTCCACCTCCTTCTGAAAGCCCTCCACTGTAGACCACTCTCTTATAACTCCCTGAAGAATTAGAGTCAATACCTTCATACAAAGTACTTGGTAAAATACTGTTGTTTCTTGTTCCCTTTTGAAATACCTCTTCAATCTGCAGAATGTCACTCATATAGGAGGCACTTAGTTATTATTGTTAAATAAGTACATTCGCGCTACAAATATAATAACCTATACAGAAATGAAAGATGCAGTATTTCGTTTACAGCCCTCTACTACTCAGAGTTTGATTTCCAAATGTGGCCTGGTTTGAAAGCATTTCTACCTGGAATTTCCAAATGCCTGGTGAATGAATGTCTTTGTTTTTTCTCAGTGATCTGTCCAATTAGGATGATTTACACTGCAAGTTGTTAGTAGGGCCTTTTTGATAATAAAGTATTCTTACTACCTTGGTCTGAGGGCTGAGAATATTATGGAAAATGAAATATGTTCCATGAATGAGAGCCTTCTTGGCCTTTTGGAAATGTTGGCAGAGGTATGAATGTTTTCCCTGTACTACTGTCTTTATGGAGCCCATGAATGCATTAGCTTTGTCCAATGAATTTTTGAAAAAATATTAACAAGTCTCACTCTTCTGTACATTCATTTAAGAAATGCATTCTCATTGATTCACTTTCCCTGTATGCAGAGGTCACAAAATTATAGTATCCAATGAGTTCAGCTTCAATGTTAAAATAATAACAGCAACAAGAATAACAGTTTTAAAACTATTCAGGAAAAATACCTCACACTGAATTGATGTCCCTGAAAATTAGGTGTAATTTTTTAAGATACAGTTTGTGCAAACTGAAATAGACTCAAAGGAGAAGGGAAAATGTTTGTTAAAATAGCATAAGGTGCCCTCACTCTCATCTATCCAGTAATCTGAATCTATATTAAAAAGCATACTCAGAAGTCTCGAAACAATAGAAAAGGATCTCAAAAATATTAAAAATATCACATAGTTCATGTTTCCCACTGCTGGAGAGAAACCTAGAGTTGTCCTCAACATACAACCTAACAATTTAGACACATGAGTAAAATGAATATACTCTTCTAATGAAGTTTCTCATGTTCACTCCATAGTTAACTAGTGGAGAGGAAATTAGAAATTGAAATGGGTTTGACAAGTAGAGTAAAAATGTGTGTTACTCATACATATGAAAATATAAAAATGCTACTAATCCCAATGCTACACTGACCAGTGGAATACTGAAACTAACCCATTATGGACAATGGGGAGACAATTCTAAGTATTTAATAACATTCAACCCAAAAGTTATTCTAATTTGAAGGAGGCTAATTTGAGGAAAGTTTATAGAATTCTTCCTATGCATTAACACATAGAAGCATTTTTATCAGGTATTTTGCACATGTTCAACACCTCTAAAGTTTTCTGCAGCTCATACATTTGGAATCAAGAAATGGCGGCAAAAATTCTTCCAGAGGAGGAAGTCTCCGTATTTTAAGTACTGAGTCTGACCCATTGTATGGAGAAATTAATGTTAAATGCAAGAACAGAATGAGGACCTGCATCTCACTGAGTAGACTGAAGGCAACACAGAACCAGGGCTCAATATAGAAAACACCAGAACAAGAAACACGACCAGCCTAGGGTGGAACATTAACATAAGACCCAGTTGGTGACAAAATATACATGCCAAGCACTGTGGATACAGTAATTAATCTGCCAAAGATAGCCACCTCTCCTCAAGGTCACCATTCTAGAAGGAAGGCAGAATTATGGATTGATATAACTATTTGCCTTGCAGCTGGAGAAGCAGGTGTGCTTGCATGCATGTCAATGGTTTGGCAAAGTGTGTATAACTAGATCTAATATGTGTGTCATTCATTCTGAAGTGTTCACTCACTCACCACTTTCAACAACACATCAAGAACCTACTATAGACCTGCACCAGATGGTTCACTCTGAAATGTGCAGTCACTATCTTGATTCCAGGAGAAGACAGACAAGTTTGAAAAAGACTCCTTAAGAAATGAGAAGACATTTCACTTTATAATTTGGCAACTGTGAAAATAAAGCACTGACAATATAAAATATGTCCTAAATCTAATTGAAATTCTAATTTTCACTAGATGTTTGGACTTGTTCATTTATTATGCTAGTGGCATTTAATAATATTTATTTGCCAAATAATTTTACAGAGCTTAATTTATAAATGGCCGTTAAGTCACCTCAACCTTCTAACAGTTTTAGCATGTTTGGCTATGAAATTAGTTCTCAAGGACTGTTCTCCAGGGAGGAAGACAACTCCAGCACAACCAATACTTGAAGCCATGAAGTTGTAACCTATCTCAGAAGGTATCCGGTTAACATTCTGTTGAAAGCAAAGGCAAAGTTAGCCCAACTGTTTAAAAACCCAGAGAACAATAATAGCCCAAGAAAACTTCCTGAAAAAAACATTCTTGAGAAATCATATTTTTTACAAGAACCAACCTCTCAGATTAAAGAAAAAACTCTCAATTCCTGACAATAGCTATAAGTAGAAGTAAAAACAAGAAAAACAAGGGCTATTTTATAGATAGGAGTGAAATCTATAAATATAAATAGTTAAACTAATTTGAAATTTAAAACAAAGACGACTTCTGCATTCACAATTATCTTGCCATCATCGAACCCTAAATAAAACCTATATGTCTAGATCGTATTTCAGTCTATTTAGCTACATAGTATCATTCATTATATATCTATGTAATAGTATTCACATGAGATTTATCTATCTCTATATTTTTATGGCTTTAGCATTTTCTCAAAACTGAATTTGACTCTTGAGAAAATACATGTAGCAGCTGATTTCTCTTTGTGTGAGCTCTATAAAGGTCTTGTTGATTTTGTGGAGTTAATGCAGTTTCCAAAAGTGCATTAAATTAATTCCCCTGATGCTGGTTATGTTGAAAATCTGGCTTAACATTTACTGAGTTCCCACAATGAATAAGACTGGTTTCCTCTAGTAAACTTAAAGAAAAAAAATCTGTGCTGAACAATGTCAAGATCTGAGACAAATGAAAATGTTTGAATAGGACTGTTGTACTTTAAAATCAGATGTCCAGCACTGCAACTAAAACACAAAAAGGACAAAAAGTATTTCATTTTGCAAATGTCTTTAACATTTTCAGTAGTTTCCCCTACAGATATTGTCTTTGTGTTTGCTACATTAAGAATAAGATAGAGAAGCCTTCAACCCCTGCATCATATGCAGCAGGCATTACGCAGAATCAAGTAATGTATCCACTGGTTATACAGTATGCAATATAAGCTCAACGTGTGTGAAAGAGTGAATCCAAAGCAAAAAAATGAAATAACACATTTCAAGGAACGCAATGGCATTGCCTCAAAGGGTGACCAACAGGTAAAGTAAAATGGCATGGACATAGTAGGTGTTCATTAAATAGTCCCTAAATTACATTGAAATTATTAGTTCTATTTAAAAAAGGCCTATATTTTCATCTTGGAAAGTTAATTTCAGTGTGGAATGCCACACAGTAATATTTTATAATAGCTATGAAGAAAGGTTGTTTTAGAAATTACCACTTGGCTAAAAAAAGAAAAGGAAAAAGGGTATTCAAGACCTGGGTCAGGAAGGTGACAATCTGATCTTTATATTGAAGTTTCACTACCCTGAACTCATGGCTAAAGGTTATGATTTGTGCAAATTTTGAGCAGAGTTCTAGAAATAAGCTATTTCTTGGAGAAAACATTACACAATGGCAGTGACTAGCAGCTGCATAGTGAAGGAAAGATTTTATGATTTTAAATACTTTCGCCTGTATAGGAAGAGAAATTGGATAGGTCCAATCAGTCAGCATCACTTTGGGATCTGAACATATGAGGAGTTGCCTACATTGAGCAAATAAATGCGATAATTATTGTTCCTTCTAATTACCTTGACATGCATAACCACAGCAAGAAATTTTGGGGGGCTGGGCACAGTGGCTCATGCCTGTAATCCCAGCACTTTGGGAGACCGAGGCGGGCAGATCCCCTGAGGTCAGAAGTTCAAGACAAGCCTGACCAACATGGAGGTCTTTTTGTTTTAACAGAGTCTCACTCTGCGCCCAGGCTGGAGTGCAGTGGTGCGATCTCGCTCACCACAACCTCCGCCTCCCAGGTTCAAGCGATTCTCCTGCCTCAGCCTCCTGAGTAGCTGGGATTACAGGCATGTGCCACCACGGCTGGCTAATTTTTGTATTTTTAGTAGAGACGGGGTTTCACCATGTTGGTCAGGCTGGTCTTGAACTCCCGACCTCGTGATCCACCCGCCTTGGCCTCCCAAAGTGCTAGGATTACAGGTGTGAGACACCACGCCCGGCCAGGAAGAGGTTTTTTAGCAACCTGAATTTAAGTTATATTTAGGCTTATTTAGAAAATAAACAATTTGCATCCATTTTAAAATAATGAGCCTTTGTTTGAAATGAAATGTCTTCAAATGAGGGGATTATTATAGAACTATGATGTTTAGCAATGATTTGATAGTAAAGAGATTTCTGTAGAAAACAAAATATTTACCAGTAGTGGAAAGTTGTTCCACGGTGTATTATCATAAGTAATTCATTTATCTTTGCTTAACAGCCATCTCTTTAATACTCCACATGTGCCACCCTACCCTTCAAAGATTACTCATCTAGGGACAGTTAAAGAAGTGGGTAAATCATTTGAAAATCATAAAAGACACTAGTAACACAAACAGGCTCTTCTCTTAGGCCATGTTTTATTAGAAAAAGCTGGCTGTTAGATCACTTACAAAACACCATATCCTGAATGTTCAAAGAAAGAGAAACGTTCACAGAGCAACGGACTCACGGCAATTCCAGTAATTAATGAGAAGGAAACAAAAGGGCAAATTTAAACATGTTTCAAATTTAAGTTCATTTGACCCATCACGTAGCTCGGATAAACCTCCTCCTCTGTGGCATTTCAAAGTGCACGATTTGAATACCATTTCATGAGAAAAAGGAAAATGAAAACCTGGAGATACATATCTTCTGTGTTAAAAACAAGCACACAGTTCTTAGTTTTCAACACTCAGGTCTCATGCAGAGTTTTTAAAGGTCAAAATTTTACTAAATAAATGCTTACCAATTATCTTTAAAATGTTTATTTAACACTTAAAAAGCAGCTTAACTTTCTAAGATGTCTGAAGACTCTTCTCTTCCAAAAGGAAGACAGCCCCTTACTAGTCCAGTTATATGAGACAACAAACACAGCAAGTTCAGCACTGAAACTTGAAAAGACATGTAATTCACATTGGTATATTTCTCCATTATGCAAAACTGGATTCAGTGCACACAAAAAATAAGCATATGCAAAAGAAAAGTACCATCTCTATCCTTTCTTGTTATCACACTACTGGCATGCTAATATGCATGATGTCAACATCGACCAACATGGCTTTGTTTTATGATATGCATTTTTGCCTATTTGAGAAATTTCATTTATTCAAACATATTCACTGAGTGGCCACTATGTCCCAAGCATAATACTAGACATTCAGGATTAAAAAATATATATAAACAAAATACAATCCTAGAGCACAAGAAGCTACAGGAGCTATAGGAGCTTCTTGTTGTCCGGGATTGTATTTTGTCTATAGATTTATCTGTAGACCAACAGTGGGAAATACCATAATGAGGTAATAATAATTGTTGCCACATATTGAATTAAGAACTTTATATTTACCACCTCATTTAATCATCACATTATTGTCATTTCATAGGTGATGAATTTGGGAGATAGAGAGAAGTTAATTGACTTGCCCAGGGACACTCAGCTAAAAATAAGAAGCCTCAGGATTTGAGCTCAAGTCCCCTGACATCAAAGTCCACACTGTAATTCTTTACAGCTCTCCAAAGAAATATGGAAGCATAAAGAAAGAGCCCCAGCAGGGGTAAGAAAGTTAGGGAGCGGGGAGAAAGGAGGTTTCAAAGAGCTTTTGCTTCTGCTGAGACTGTAAAAGACTAAGTTAGTCAGGACTGGAGCAGTTTCATCATAAATTCTTTAGGAAAATAAGTCAGATTGCCAATGAAAATGTTGATATTGCCGTAGATTTATTTGGCTACCTAAAGAAACAACCATAAAGACATTCTCAAATACTGATGCACACTTTGTTCCTATTGAGTGTCCTATTGAGTGACGCTTGCTTGATTCAAGCTTGCTTGATGATTATTGTTCATCATCATGTCAAACTGAAGAAAAGCAAGAATGTCCCACATTTTAAAATTGATAAAAGGCAAACAGGCAGGGTGTGGTGGCTCACATCTGTAGTCCAGCTATTCAAGAGGCTGAGGAGGGAGACACCTTGAGCCCTAGAGTTCAAGGCTGCAATGAGCCATGATCGTGCCACTTCACTCCAGCCTGGGTGACACAGCAAGACCCCATCTCAAAAAAAAAAAAAAAAAAGCAAACATTTGTGAACAAAAATAAAACAGTAAGAAGAGGGAAAAAGTCCTTCAGGGCTATCAACTAAGCCTGTGCAACAGCATCCTAAGAGGAAAGCATTTGGCAGGATTGGTGGAGGCAGATCTCACGTGACGATGCAGCCAAGAGTGCCTACTCTAAATGAGTGTAAAGGCCATGGAGCACAGTTTCCAGACCAACTGAAAGTAAAAAAAGAATATTTACAAATTAGCATTTCTTTTTAATAACCAGATGTAAGCAACTTCATTAAATGTGTTTCTATATACTACACTACTTTGGCCTCACAGCGATCCTGTGAGTTCTGTGTTCTTAACGTATTCCCTTGTCATACACAAGGAAAAGAGGTGAACAAAAGTAAAAAGCATGAAGCTATTTAACAATAAAAGAAGAATTGTGGTGCATTTGTCTAACTTTAATCATTTTCATCAAAATTATGTGTCCTTTTCAGCTCTGTAAGAGAGAGAAAAAAGCAAACAAACAAAATTATTTCTCCTCTGCCTCATTGCCTCAGAATCATGCTCTGATTCTAAGCAAAACTTAAAAGCCTACTCTACATAAACCACTACACTAGCTGTTTATGGAGGGAAAAAATGGAAAACATATGTTCCCTACCCCTGAAGAGCTCCCTGTATGAGGCCCTCTGCTGGAGAATTGCCAACTGAATCATTTTTTTCTTTGTTCTACATCCAGTCTCATGTGACAAATGAATCTTTAATACTATGATAAAGAATGATAATGGGCTAATGGAAGTGTAACACTACTTCCAAGATAAGCTCCCTTTTTTATTGTTGTTGTTGTTATTTTGTTTCTGAGATAGGGTCTCGCTCTGTCGCCCAGGCTGGAGTGCAGTGGTACAATCATGGCTCACTGTAGCCTCAAATTCCTGGGCTCAAGCGCCCTCCTAAGCCCCCCAAGTAGCTGGGACTACAGGCAAATGCTACCATGCCCAGCTAATTTTATTTTTTTGTAGAGACAGGATCTCATGATGTTGCCTAGGCAGATCTCAAACTCCTAGCCTTAAGCACTCCTCCTGCCTCAACCAGGTGTGAGCCACCAGCCAGCGGGAGAGGAGGAAATCCCATGGTAAAAGCCTGGGAAATCTTATACAGTACGAATCTAACTTGGAGATTTGAAACATACATTAGCCTATTAAGAGCTCTGTTAGGTCTTTCAATATACAAACCTGTTTATCTTTGTTTACATAATGCCTATCAAACCATGCTGAATATATGTTCTATGGAATATATTTTGAGAAAAGCTGGGTTAATGTGTCACCCGTTACAAGAGCTATTTTGTATTTCTTAATAATATTTAGAAATAGGATTTCGCCCCGTGGTAAGACGGTAAGGGAGTTACTAGCAAATGAGTCGTCTGCCACCTCTGAAATCAGTTGTCACAGAAAGCTGCCTCTTTTGTCTGAGCAAAGGCTATCATGTAGGGGCAAGCCCAACTTGCCTTCTCTTCCATTAACCAATTACAAGTCAATCAAGAACATCACTTCTGGCAAAAGCTGTGTTGACTCATTCAGGTCTAAAAATAACTCTTGACCATGTGTGGTAGGTCTAGATTCTTCTCTAGGATCTAACATCTATCTTCACGAATTTTAAGTTGTTACTTAGTTGTAACCATTTGCCACTAACACATACTAATCTGCTATAAAAAGACGCCATACAAATAATAAAAATCCCCACTTATTTTTTTCAAGTTGTGTGGAAACTTTGCCAGCATTAAATGTTCCATCACAATATTTGGCAAATTCATACTGGCATTTATACACTTTATATTTTAACAGATTCAGAGAGGAATACGTCCAAAATAATCATTCCAGCCTTTGAGAAAGAAAAATCCTGCTCTAAAGAATGTTTTTGAGATAGCGTTTTAGCTATAAATCAGATTTACTTCCCAAAAGCTATCTTGAACTACGTGTAAAAGAAATAGTGTTTTAAGCAAATTAATCTTAACTCATATTTAACTCCGGGTCGAGTGGTCTGGGAACACAGAATCCATTACTTAGACATAAGTTAATAAAGGTTTCTTTTATGAGTACTGTATTTCGATGATGGATATACATGCCTAGGAAGGCATATGTTTGGGTTTGAATACGTGAGTCCTTAAGCATGGAAATAAGAAAAAAGTATAAAATCTAAGTAAAAGGAAAGAAAAACGGGAAAAATGATCATGCCTAGCAGGTATGATATCTAATGGGGACATATTTGAGCACTTAGAATCAGCCCCTAGCCTAGTCTAAGCCCATTCTTCATCCCAGTTCCAAATGGGCCACAAACACTAACTCCCAGTGTAGAGGAAACCCATCTGGGGTCCAGACTTAACAATGTCTGAAAAGATGAGACCAATGACAGGACCATTTGTGATTCTGCTTATTGAAATTGGCTGCTACTCGCAACTCTCTTTCAATAGATTTTTGCAGACCTCAGAAGTGATACAAAATGATGACTGAGACCCAACATTCAGCTGGTCAACAATCAAGCTGATTCCTAAGATGTCATCACAGAATAGGTTTGGCTATTCCTCAATGACCAATTCAAAATGGAATTTGCTTTGCCTTTTGATGAATTCAAAAGTTGAACATCTTGCAAAGAAAGTCATTTTCAGGAGATAACCTCAACTACACCCCATGTCCTGTACCAAGCATGTATAAAGATCACTTCTTTCTGCTCAGGAAGAGAGCTAATTGTATCAACAAACATCTCTGTCCAAAAACTGCTAGTCTAACAAAGTAAACCTCTAGCTTGCTTATTCTACCACAAGAAAGGGCTTTTTGTGGGTATGTTGTTGTATTTTCTTGGAGTTCTTCTGTTACGACAACTAAATCCTTAGAAATCCACTGTTTTTTTAATGTTCAGGAAAAGAATCTAGATTAAGAAAACTAATCAACAAATCTGACACCTCTCTTGCTGGAAAATAAAACAAAAGTGAGCAATTTCACCTCAAAATTTCAGTCAAGTAAACACATTTCTTAAGTTCAATATTATTTCCTAAAGCTGAATCAGAAAGGTTATTTCAAACCAAAAAATAAGGTACTTAAAAGGTGAAAATAGTAAAGACAATTGGCCCTTTTTCAAAAGCAGGGGTCCTAGTGAAGACAGATATCTATACCAGCTATTTTGGAATTTGTAAATGTCAACAAACTGTACATTTCCTGTCTTTTGTCATCAATTCTTCAATAATCCAGTCTCCCTGACCTGCTGACCTACTGTCTTTTGTCATCAATTCTTCAATAATCCAGTCTCCCTGACCTGCTGACCTACTGTCTTTTGTCATCAATTCTTCAATAATCCAGTCTCCCTGACCTGCTGACCTTACTGTCTTTTTCTCCAGTCCTCCCAAAGCCGATCTTGCAGCCTCACATCCCTTTATGCTGTTCTTCAAGCTCCCAATTCTCTATTGCCCTCAGGGCAAGCGACTATCTTCTGTGTTATCTTCTATGGGTTGTGCAGAGGCACAACTCACAGACGCCTGGTCCACCTTGAGTATACAGGTGCTCAAAAAAAACACTGAATGAGCCCACTTGTACCTCAGAATAAGTATTCCTTTTTACTTCTTAAAATAGTTTAACCTAAAAGAAACTGAAAGGCCATTTAAGAATGGTGAACATTTTCCTTTTTCCAAACTTCCTTAAAGTTAATTCACACAAGCACCATCAAACTTGTATACTGATCAGATCTCTATATTTACTAGTTTCCTGAAGATCTCTAACCTCCTTGACGCTCATAAAAGGTGATGGAGGGGGATATCACCTTGTACTTTTGTTAGTGTTGGTTTATAATAGTTTATTTCTACTTTTAAAAATATAAGGGACACAGACATTTTGTATTCTATTAGTAATACCATAGACTTAGAGTCTCCTTCATTTAAAAAGGAATTGTAAAGTACATATTGTACAACACTTCCGAGTTTGTCTCTGTAAGAGGAATTCAATCAACGTATTTTGAATGTATGAAGAATAAAACATTTTATTTTAATACACTGTGTTATGCAGCTATTGATGGATTCATTTTTTCCACACTGCATATTCAGTATTTTTCCATAATGTAGATTATTTCATAATGTATATTCAAGCCCGCTGTGTGCCAAACATGAGCTGGGTGCTGGAATCAGGGTCCCCACTTCATACAGCTTGCAATCTAAAAGAAGGATTTGCAAACCTTGATGAACTATATATTCCAGATACTTAAGCAAAGAAATCATTGTTTTCATTTTCTAAAGCATATCACATTCTAACTGTAATATCACTTTAAAATTTTATTTCCAAATTTGAAACAACAAAAAGTTAAACATTAGCTTTCATATAATCTCTTGAAGTAACAACGCAAAAAACTCTGGGATCAATCTACAAAATAGAGTAACAAAGGGTTCTCATTAAGTAAGCAGCAGGAGACTCACAAATACTTACATTAGCTTTAACTGTGCCTAGGATATCTTGGCTTTGGTTATTGGATTTAGCTGAAAATCAGTTATCACATTTTAAATTTTTCCCTGTCTTCAGATAACAGTATGAAACTAAGTTTCAAAATGTCCAATCCTACATGCTGAATCCTGGTAGATAAGAGTAGTTAATATTAAATGTTTTCTAGGATCTGATCTTAGAATTTTGACAGCAAACTTACATGAACCTTTTTTTCTTATATTATTTGAAGGTAAGAAATATTTCCTGAAGATTTATTCTTGATCAACCCACCTACTATATATTTGAAGATCAAAATGTCTATTGATCACTTATTTTAATCTCTTCTCAGTTTGGTTCTTACGTATCATTATAAAACTATACTGGCCCTGCACTGAGAATTTTTAGCCTACTTTTCTTGCTTGCTTTGTCATTAAACAAAAATTAAGCATCCATCCCATGCTGATATTATTAGCACAGATTACTTTAGCTGTACCTTGATTATCAGAAGACCAGGCCCAAATTATTTCCTAAGCAGAAACATAACGAAAAAAGTCCCAAGAACATTTTTAAATACCTCTTTATTAATACTAAATGCATCACAATTAACATAAACCAAAAGGTGCTTTAATATACTCCTAGGAAAGACGAATACAGATGGTTATTTGGGAACATCAGTTGGAATAAAGACCCCATCACAAACTATTCATCTCAAATGGTTATAGCAGAGAAAATGGAATACTCCTTTTTCCTTGGAAAGGCCTTGTGCAGTTTCAAAATCTGGTTTCAAAAGTCAGAAACCACTTTTCACCCTGGTAGGAGGAGGGGCACCAACGTATCTTTATACACCACCACCCCAGATTGGCAATATCCCTAAGATTCCCCAAGCATCCACAGCAGCGAGTGTACCTAATACGTATACACACACAGGTAGAGATGGGTACACAGAGCCAATAAACTGGTCCTCTGGAAATTAGAGAAAACATGATAAATGACTCTTTCTCCCTCGTTCTCCTTTCCTCTCAATCACTGCCTTCTGCACCTTATCTTTCTACTCTTGTCAGCAAGGAAGACCAACCCCCCTTGCGGGGGACTCGCAATCATTCCTTTGGGTTTTTCACACAGCAAAGTGAGAGCGACCGCTGGGGTTGCGTGCGTCAGGATTTGTTTTTTCTGTATTGCTATCCCCCCCATCCCCCGCCACCCCAGCCTCCCAAGCCTATACTTACTAGAGGGTGGCCTAAGGTCTGGGGAGATGGGATTGGTGCTGGGGGGATGGGACGGGAAAGCAGAAATTGGGCCACTGGCGCTCTAAGTCGGGTTCTTCCCCATTTCCATCCCTCCCTCCACTTCCCACCTTCCACCTTAGATACCTTTTACCAAGAGGCACCCCTGGGCCCATCCCTCCCTCCTTCCCCCACCGCCACCAGTCCCACCCTCTGCCGCCCCCCTCCGGGATGCCCCCAGGGCTGTCAGGGGGCAGCGCCCTTACCAGGCTCATGGACGCCAGGGTTGTCGGACAGCTCGATGACCAGGAGCTCCCGGCCCTCGAAGCTGCGCCCCACCGTGTAAATCCTGCTGATGGCGGTGCACTGCAGCCACACGGACACGAGCGCCTCGCGCAGCTCGGGGTAGCGGTGGTACTCGAAGGAGATGCCGTCCTCTTGCTGCAGCCGCCGGCGCCGCCTCATGCCCGCCGCGGGCGCCCCGGGCTCCTGGGCTTCGGCGCCCAGGAGCCACCCGCAGGCAGCCAGTGCCCCGCACAGAGCCAGCAGCGCGCTGCCCCCTCGCCCGGCCATCGCTGCGCTCCGCCGCCGCCGGCCGTGCCTTCCTACGCGGGCGGCCTCTTTTGTCTGCCCGGCCCTGGGCTTAGCCCGCCGGCGCTGCTGGGGGCGGCAAGTTCCGCACCAGCCTCTACTCGCCTCACCTTCCCCGGCTGAATGAGTGTCAGCCCGCGCACTGGGGCCACCCAGAGGAGACGGGCAAAGCCGCGGCTCCACGGGCTGCACTACTGGCCGCGGAGCCCAGGGGAGCTGCAGGAGAAACCACTGCGAGGAGGGGGCCGGCGGAGAGACGGGCCGGCGTGGATCTGGGAGGGCTGCTGGCGTTATTTGCTGGCTCGGAACCACGTCAACAGCCAAATGGCGTCCGGGACGACGCAGGTGAAATGACAGCTAAGGTCCGGGGTTCGGGAACGTTACTGTCATTGAGACACCCATGACCCACCCACGTCACTGCGTATGGAAAAAATATTCTTGTATTGTTAGTGGAGCCTTTTAAAGGGACATCTATTCCAAGCCTACCAGTTTCCATCTTGATCCACCAAGAATTAGAGAATATTCCAGAAAAAAGGAAGTACTGGCAGCCACTTGCCATCTCCTGATGCGTCTTTCATAATTGTATCAAGAGTCAAAACACAAACCCAAGGGTTGGGTTTTCATTTATTAGAAGGTCTTGCTGGAAATCAGAACATTAAGTGCTTTGATTTAGAGGTTTAAGAGAATAGAAATGCTTTCTTCCAATTTGTAGATACTGTCCTTAATTGTATTTATGCACATTCCTAGATTCTTCCAGAAAACAAACAGACAAAATAAATAAGGCAATGTCATATGGCTGTGCCTGCACCAGCCCTCCTCTTTAATACTATGGGGAAAATAAGTACAACTCTGCTGATGCTTTAGACAAAGGATTTAGTTTGGCATTAAGATTAAATCCTGTTAAGAAAACTCTGATGATGACATGACACCTCCGTTCCTTTTGCAAAGCTATTGTAAAAATAAAAAATCATTTACAGCTTTAAATATCCACCCCTTAGTCGGGATTTATATTCCTGGAGCAATGTCTGGAGCAGATGTTACTCTAAAGAGGCTGCTGTTTGGATTCAGGGACAGCACAAATCTAAATTAATAAATAATCCATTGGGTATTGCAACCGAGCAGGAAAAGTGGACACCATGCGGGTAATTTTCCATGTTAAGCTTCTTTGTTTTTCTAAACTTGTTCATTCTTCACCTGTTTAACAATGCATTGCACATAATAAAAACTTTTACGTGGAAAAGGAGTTAGATATTTAAGTCATCTTATTGGATCAATAAATAAAAGCACAGACATGGTTGGTAAGGTGCTGCTGGAGGGGCTGGCTTTAAACACCCCTATGTACATATACTACAGCAGCATGGATCTTCTTTTTTTTTTTTTTTTTTTTTTTGCGTTTTCGGGGAGAAACTGTCACTGTAAACACATGGCACTCAAGTTGAATTGATGTGGATCCAGCCATTTTTTTTTTTGTCAATGTAGGCAGAGCTAAAAATTGTATATTTTCCACTATGACCAGTCTGTGCTTGATTACATGGTCCAGAAGTTTGAAATCAAACTTATAATTATATTTCTAAAACCATGCCCAAAACAGCAACCTTGGAAGCCTAGAAAAAAAAATTGAGTAGCTAAAACCAAATAACTTCAGAAGTAGGAGGTTAAGATTTTCATGTTAGCAATTTAGAGTAACCACACTAATTTGTGGCTAGGTGGGGCATACTGACTAGTAACTACACACATAAACAACATATTTTTCATTGAAGTCCTGTGTTGTTCCTTAGCTGTCTCTTTGAACAAAGGATATGCGTTCTATTTTCTCCAAAATAAAAAATTTTGGAATGAAAACTTGGTCTTTGAATTTCTGGGCTATTTTTAGGTGTAGGTCAGCTGTACCAACTTTACTGGCATATGTATTACTTGTTTGTGGCTTCATAGGCAATTATACAAAAGATTATATATCCACCCTGATTGCTGGATTTAAAAAATTTTATTTTGGAGAAAAAAAAATTGTAATGTGTAAAATCATGCCTACTATGTGGTCTCACTTGTTGGGCAGGGGGTTCTCTTTTACAGCTTAGTTGTTTGTTTCCCTAATCTATAAAATAAAAGGTTTGGATTTTTCACTCTCTAACGTTTGCTTGCAACAGAATCATGTAGAGAGTTTATAGAATGTGCAGATTCTTAAGCCCCTATGAATTCATCAGGTCTGGGGTGGGTTTCAGGTATTAACAAGCTTCTAGGTTTTAAAAAGAAGACCAGTCATTTCTGATGTTGATGTTTGATTGACAAAGACATTTTGAGAAATAATGTACTGTAGGTTTCCCACTGTCTCTTTCAGACCTAAAATGCTATGATTCTGGAAATTTTCTTTTTGAAGTGAATTCCTGCTCATTTGATAAATGGTGGCACTCCTCACATATTATTGGTCGTACTACATACACCAAGGCATCAGTTCAAATGAACTAAAATTTGGTCTTTGAATTTCTGAGCTATTTTAGGTATAGGTCAGCTGTATCAACTTTACTGGCGTATGGATTACTTGTTTGTGGCTTCATAGGCAATTATGTAAAAGATTATATACCCATCCTGATTGCTGGATTAAAGAAAAATCTTGTATGCCAAGTCTTTAATGTGTGTACACATAGTTAAATTTAGTATGCAATCTCCATTTCAAATCATGTGCACACATGCACACACAAGAAACAAAAAGAGAAAGAAAGAGCTGCTTTTTCTTCATGTCATTATAGGCATCCATAAGAGCATATTTAAACTCCCTAGGTCTCCCTCCACTTCTTGCTTCACCTCTATTATCTTTAAATTAAGAAACTATCTTTTTCTTTATCAATAATATTTTATTTCCTTCTTTCAAAGCCCTTCCTAAAATTCGTCTACTTCATAAAAATTTTGTGAACACATAGCTCTATATTCATCCTGATGTGTGCTGGTAAATGTCAGCTGTCTGGGGGGAAAAGTCTGACTTAGAATGTTTGCTAATTTCCATGGTTTAAATATTCCCACCATGGCTGATTTCAAACTACCAATGTTGTATCACTGAATACAGTGTTAGGAAGAGATATGCAGTAGCATGACATCATATAGTGTTGTGATGGGACAATTCTTTATACTCCTCCTTTGCAAGTGATGAAACTTAATTTCTTCCATCTGAGTGTAGGCAGGACTTAGTGGTTTTCTCATGAACATAACACAGCAAAAGTAATGAGATGATCTTCCAAAATTAGGTTATTAAAAAGACTGCAGCTCCCATCTTAATTGCTCTCTCATGCTTGTGTGTGCGCTCTCTCCTCCCCCTCTCCCTCTCTCTCTCCCTCCTTTCCTTCCCCCAGTCCCCCATCACTCCATCGCTTGTCTTGGGGAAGTTGTCTGCCATATTGTGGAGAGGCTTATATAGCAAGGAACTGAGGCATCTGGCAAACAGCCTGAGAGAAACTGACATCCTCGGTCTAGCATTCAGTTAAGAACTGAGGTCTGTCAACAACCATGTGGGTGGGCAGGGGCAGATCTCAGCCCCACCTGAGCCTCAAGAGGGCTCCATCTCTGACATCTGAGGTTTACCACAGCCACATTAGAGACTCTGAGCCAGAACCACCACTAATACATACATCTCCCCCATACAGATACAATAGACATAAATAACCTCAAGAACATCAAGGATAGAGTGATGTCAGCAAGATAGCAGAATAGGAAGTTCCAGCCCTCATTTCCCAACAGAAACACAGATTTAACAGTGATATAAGTAACAAATTAGCTTCATAAGAAGTTCAGGATTAAGTTAAGAAATTTCAGTACCCCAGACAAACAAAAAATCACAATCAGCCACACTGAAACAGATAAGAAAAGCTATTTCACTTTACCTGCGAGTACAACTCAGCACCAGAGAGACTACAATCCTTTCCTGGTGTAGGGAGGGCAGGGGATAGAGAGTAGGGTGAGCATCCAACATTTCTGGCCTTTCAGTACACCCCTCAAGGGGCTGGCTTCTGTTGTGCCTCTTACAGAGTGCTTAAAGACATGGCATAGTCCAGATGCCTGGGAAAGCTAGGAGAATGGGCACCTTCCCATGGCTGGCAAGGCTCGGAGAGATCTGTAGAAGGCATAGAACTAAGGCCTCTCCTTCAGGAAAGAAGGAGGAGTGGATCATGACTCTAATGTCCTGAGCCTTTCAGTGAGCTCCCTGAAGAGCTAGTTTCTATCTCATCTCATATGGAGCACAGATGAGACTGACATGGGAACCAGAGGGAGCAAGAGATTGCTAGTGCTGAAAAGAAAAGAAAGGAAAAGAAAAAAGAAAAGAAAAGAAAAAGACTGAACACCTGGATCAGGACCTAGGAACAAGACCCAGAAACTCTATCTGGGCTGTCTTTCCCTATCAAAGCCAGTTCATTAAGAGTGGAGAACATGTCATTAAGACATGGATGTCACATGTAAAGACATCAATGCAAAGCTACAAGTAACATGAAGAAACAGGAAAATAAAACGCAATCAAAAGAACAAAATAAATATACAACAACTGGCCCTAAAAAAATGGAGATCTATGAATTGTCTGACAAAGAATTCAAAATGATCATCTTAAAGTAGCTCAACAAGTTACAAGAGAACCCAGATAGACAACTAAACAAAATGAGGGAAATAACACATTAAATAAATGAGAATATTATGAAGAAATAGAAAAGATAAAGAAGAACCAAATGGAAATTCTGAGGTGAAAGAATGCAATAACTGAAATAAGAAATTCATCATAAGGGTTTAACAGCAGATTTGATCAAACAGAAGAATTAGTCAACTCCAAGACAGGTCATTTGAGATTATCCAGTCAGAGAAGCAAAAAGCAAAGAAAATCAAAAAGAGTGAAGAGAGTCTAAGGGAATTATCAGACACCACCAAGTGAACAAATATATTGATTATGGGTGTCCAGAAGGAGAAGAGAGAGACAAAGAAACATGGAAACCATAAAGAAAATACATACAATAGATAAAGAAAAAGAAATAAATACATACATACAAAAGAAAAAATAAGGGAATCAAAGCATATCACTACAAAAAAATCAGCAAAACACAAAGGAAGACAGCAACAGAGGAAAAGAGAGACAAAAGAACTACAAAACAGAAAATGACAAAATATCAATAGTAAATCCTTACCTATCGATAATGTAAATGTAAACGGATTAAATGCTCCAATAAAAGTACGTAGAATAGCTGAATGGATTAAAAAAATAATTATATGTTGTGAGCAGGAGGCATTCTTTAGAATCAAAGATACACATAGGCTAAAAGTAAAGAGATGAAAAAAGATATTCCATGCAAATGATAACCAAAAGAGATCAAGGATAACTATAATCATATCAAATAAAATAGAATTTAAGTCAGAAACTGGCATAGGAGGTCCCCATTATTTAATGATGAAAGGGATAAATCATCAAGAAGACGTAACAATTAAAAAATGTGGCACATATACACCATGGAATACTATGCGGCCATAAAAAATGATGAGTTCTTGTCCTTTGTAGGGACATGGATGAAGCTGGAAACCATCATTCTCAGCAAACTATCGCAAGGACAAAAAAACCAAACACCGCATGTTCTCACTCATAGGTGGGAATTGAACAATGAGAACACATGGACACAGGAAAGGGAACATCACACACTGGGGCCTGTTGTGGGGTGGGGAGAGAGTGGAGGGATAGCATTTGGAGATATACCTAATGTTAAATGACGAGTTACTGGGTGCAGCACACCAACATGGCAGATGTATACATATGTAAGTAACCTGCACGTTGTGCACATGTACCCTAAAACTTAAAGTATAATAAAAAAAATATATATATGCTCCCAACATTAGAGCACCAAAATATATAAAGCAAACATTGACAGGCTTGAAGGAAAAGTAGAGAGCAACACAATAAAATAGGGGACTTCATACCCTACTTTCGATAATTGATAGAACATTCAGACAGAAAATCAAAAAGGAAACAGCAGACTTGAACAACAGTATAGACCAAATGGACCTAAAAGACATATACATAACATTCCACTCAATAGCAGCAAAATACATTCTTCTCAAGTGCATGCAGAACAGTGTCAAATTCACATGTGATCACATGTTAGGCTATAAAATAAGTCTCAACAAATTTAAGATTGAAATCATACCAAATATCTTTTCTGACCACAATGAAATGAAACTAGAAATCAAAAACAAAAGGAAAACTGGAAAATTCACAAATATGTGGAAATTAAACATCACACTTTTAAATAACCATTGGGCCGAAGAAAAAAATCAAAGGATAAATTAGAAGATATTTCAAGGGGAGGGCACGGTGGCTCATGCCTATAATCCCGGCACTTGGCAAGGCCAAGGTGGGTGGACCACCTGAGGTAAGGAGTTCAAGACCAGCCTGACCAACATGGTAAAAACCCGTCTCTACTAAAAATACAAAATTAGCCAGGCGTGGTGGTGCATGCCTGTAATCCCAATTATTTGGGAGTCTGAGGCAGGAGAATCACTTGAACCTGGGAGGCAGAGGTTGCAGTGAACCGAGATCACACCATTGCACTCCAGCCTAGGCAACAAGAGCAAAACTCTGTCTCAAAAAAAAAAAAAAATTTCAACACAAGTGAATGCACAATATACAAAAATTTATGGGATGCAGCAGAAGCAGTACTAAGAGAGAAGTTTATAGTAATGAACATGTATGGTAAAAAAAGAAAAAAAGGGCTCAGATAAACAGCCTAACATTACATTTCAATAAACTAGAGAAAGAATAACAAACTAAGTTCAAAGCTAGCATAAGGAAAGAAGTAATAAAGATTACAGCAAATATAAATAAAATAGAATATAGAAAAAATCAACAAAACTGAGTTTCTAAGAAAAACAAAATCAGCAAATCTTTACCTAAAATAACTAAGAAAAATGAGGAGAAAATACTCAAATAAATAAAATCATAAATGGAAGCAGAGATATTAAAACAAATGCCACAGAAATAGAGAATCATGAGACTATTATGAACAACAATATGTCAACAAATTGGATAACCTAGAAGAAATGGATAAATTCTTAAAAACATACAACCTACCAAGACTTAATCAAGAGGAGACAAAATGTCTAAACAGACAAATAAAAATAAAGTTCAATAATGTAAAATCTCTCTACACTGAAACAGACAAAATGAGGATCAATAATTTAAAACCTTTCAACAACGAAAAGTAAAGAGCTGCACCAGTGAATTCTACCAAACATTTAAAGAATTAACATCAATCTTTCTTAAACTATTCAAAATAATTAACAGAAGAGATATTTCAAAATTTATCCTATAAGGCCAGCAATACCTTGATACCAAAGCCAGACAAAAAACACTGCAAGAAAAGAAAACTACAGGTCAATATTCTTGATGAATGTATAGGAAAAATTCTCAATAAAGACAATAAAAAGCTTTGACAAAATTCAACACCATTTCATAATAAAAAAAAAACTTCTAACAAACTAGATATAGAAAGAATTTACCTCAACATTAGTAAAGGCCATATATGAAAAGTCTACAGCTAACATAATATTCAATGGTGAAAAACTGAAAGGTTTTCTTCAAAAATCAGGAAGAAAGCAAGGATACCTACTCTCACCACTTGTATTCAACATAGTTCTGGAAGTCTTAGCCACAGCAATTAGGTAAGTGAGAGAAATAAAAGCCATCTAAATTGGAAAGGAAGAAATAAAATTGTCTCTGTGTGCAGATGACATTATCTTATATGTAGAAAATTCTAAAGACTCACAAGAAAAGTGTTAGAACTATAAACAAACATAGTAAAGTTGCAGAATACAAAAATCAAGATACAAAAAAATCAGTTGCATTTCTATATACTAACAATGGACTACCCAAAAAGGAAATTAAGAAAACAGTCCCATTTTGGGAATAAAAATAAGAATAAAATCCTTAGGAATAAAGTCAACCAAGAAGACGAAAAACTTCACAGTGAAACTAAAGAAAAACAAACAAATGCAGAGATATCCTGTTTTAATAGATTGCAAGACAATATATTTTGAATGTCTACACTACCAAAAACAATGTACAAATTCAACGTAATCTCTATCAAAATCTCAACGGCATTTTTGTAGAAATAGAAAAAATTTCTAAAGTTCATATGGAACTACAAAATACCTCAAATAACCAAAGTAATCTTGAGCAAGAAGAACAAAGCTGGAATATTCATACTTCCTAATTTTAAAATATATTATAAAGCTGTAGTAATTAATGCAGTATAGTACTGTCATTAAAACACACACATACATCAATAGATAGAGATCCCAGAAATAAACCCAGGTATATACAGTCAACTAATCAACAAGAATGCCAAGAATACACTGTGGAGAAAAGATAGTCTCTTCAACAAATAATGCTGGGAAAACTAGATATCTGCATGCAAAAGAATGAAATTGGACCCTTGTCTTACACTATACACAAAAGTCAACACAGAGTGAATTGTGTTGTGAACTATAACATTCCTAGAAAGAAACATAGGGGAAAATCTTCATGCTATTGGTCCAGGCAATGATTTCTCGGATATGACAACAAAAGCACCAGCAAAAAAGCAAAATTAGAGAAGTGGGACCACATCAAACTAAAAAGCTTCTGCAGAGCAAAAGATATAATCAACAGAGTGAAATGGCAACCTACAGAATGGAAGAAAATATTTGCAAATCATATGTCTGATAAAATATTCATATCTAAAATATATAAGGAACCCATACAAATCAATAGTGAAAAAACAAATAATCTGATTTAAAATGGGTAAAGGAATTGAATGGACATTCCTTCCAAGATGACATGCAAATAGCCATTGGGTGTATTAAAAAATGCTTAACATCATTAATCATCAGAGAAATGCAAATCAAAACCATAATGAGTTATCATCTCACACATGTTATGATGGCTACTGTAAAAAAAGATTACAATGTTGACCAAGATGTGGAGAATTGGAATCCTTGTACACTGTTGTGGGAATGTGAGATGATGCAGCTGCTAAGGAAAACAGTACGGTAGTTCCTCAAAAAACATAAACACGGAATTAACATATGATACAGTAATCTCACTTCTTGGGTATATATCCAAAAGAATTGAAAGCAGAATCTTAAAGAGATGCATGCAGTCTTCTATTCATTGCAGCATTATTCACAATAACCAAGATATGGAAACAACCTCATATATCCATGGACAGATGAATGGATAAAGCAAATGTGGTACATGCATATAATAGCATATTATTCAGCCTTTAAAAAAGAAAATTTTGCAGTACCTGACATGAATGATCCTAGAGGATCATAGAAAAACATACACTGCATGATTACACTTCTATGAGATATCTAAAATAGACAAACTCATAGGAACAGAGAGCAGGATGTTTGCCAGTGGCTGGGACAAGGAGGAAACCTGGAGTTACTATTCAATGGCATAAAGTTTCAATTACGCAAGATGAGTAAGCTCTAGAGATCTGCTGTCCAACATTGCCCAACATTGTGCTTATGGTTAACAAAACTGTACTATGCACTTAAAATTGTAAAAGAGTAGGTACCAGCCGGGTGCAGTGACTCACGTTTATAATCCCAACACTTTGGGAGGCCAAGGCGGGTGGATCATTTGAGGTCAGGAGATCAAGGCCAGCCTGACCAACGTGGTAAACCCCATCTCTACTAGAAAATACAAGAAAAATTAGCCGGGCGTGGTGGTGGGCACCTGTAGTACCAGCTACTCAGGAGGCTGAGGCAGGAGAATCGCTTGAACCCGGGAGGCAGAGGTTGCAGTGAGCTGAGATCGTGCCACTGCACTCCAGCCTGGACGACAGAGCGAGACTCTATCTCAAAAAAAAAAAAAAAGAAAAAAAGAAAAACAGTAGATCTCATGTTAAGTGCTTATACATTAGTTAATTGATTTAAATGATTTTAATGATAATACTAGGTTGTCACTAGCCTCTTTGACTGTAAAGCTGCTTGTCCTGTAGCACAAATCAAAGCAGGGCATTAACTTGCATCAGTAGTTACTGTTTTCTCCATGGCTCTGTCACCCTAAAAAAAAAATTTTTTAAAAGATAAAAGAGAGTTTCACTTAAAATTTTTCTTGATAAAATATTACAAGTTATTAATTTTATTGAGTCTCTACCCTTGGAGGAAAAAAGAATATAGAAGATAAATACGGCAACATAGAAGTGATAAGTACGTGTGTTTATTACATTTGTTTTTAACATAATCAATTCAATTGCAAGTTTATATCATTTATATTATTTTTTAAATAATGGCTCTGTTCAACAAATGATGCACAAAATTCCTTTAATTTTAACATTTGGCTCTTGCAAGTGGTATGAGCTGGCTTCAGCAGACCACTGCATATCCATCTCTAGTCTTCATTACTCACTCATCAGCACTCCCTCCCTCTCTGGCTGGCCCTCCTCTGTAAAGGTAGTATTGTGTCATCACTCAGTTTTCATGAACTGTCTGCATTAGGATCACCTGGAGAGCATGATCATATTCCAGATCAATTTGATCCATTTTGCAGGGAATGGGGACTTGGAAATCTGCATTGGAGTAAGTGGTTGGGTTGCCCCAAACATACACACTTCCGGTGGTGATTCTCATGCACACAAGATTGCAGGAACAATGGTTCAAGAGAAGTTTGATGGACAGCATTTTTTATTTTTGTTTTTATTTTTGGCCAGAGTTTTTTAATATCAGGCCTACTTGTTTTGGAAGATTACTCAATGACTTCATCTGAACAGGAGGCTACACTGTGAGCACTCCATTGAATGTTTATTCATAAAATAATGCCTGTCAATGGGTAGGCACAGCACCTAACACAGGAGAAGTGCTCACTAAATGGAAACCTGCTGTGCCCCTTCACCCCTTGCTGGGGCAGACTCTCCAATTACACAGCCTCTTACCAGCCACTGCAGTGTCCTGTCCAGGCCTTGCTGTTCCAGAATTTTTTCTTCTACTTTCTGAACTCCAAACACAAATGCCTGCCCCTCCCTGTTAAGCGCCAAAGAAATTCTCTTAGCCAGCCTACACTGAAGCAGCTCCTCACCCACATTCTGAAGCATATTGGTGGTTGTCTAGGTCCCCTGACCATTTCTGGCCAGTGCTCCAGCGGAGATCATGATTCTGTCACCGCTGGATTCTGTGCATAAGGAGAGTCAGGCAGGTATGTCACCAAATATTTATGCCACTTTTACTCGAGCTTGTATAATTAATTAAAAATTAGGTAAATTGGTAAATATGAGAGTAGAAGAAGGTTGAATGCTTTGGAAACACTTCAAGTTTGAAAATGGAATCAGCTATGGATGAGAAAACTGTAGTAGACTAAAGAAAACAAAAATCTCTAAACATTCTGCCCTTAGATTTGTTCAAAAACTTATCACTCCACTTTTAAGAAACTAAAACTAGAAATGACAGAAAATGAATTATGAATGTGATATTTTCAAGAAAAATGAAAGAAACTTCAAGTCAATGGTCCCATATGCATAGAAAAGGCCTTGATCCTATATCCAACAATCAACAGATGAATCAGTATTGCTTATGTTTTAAGTTAAAATAAATTATCAAAATTGTTCTTGTATGCTTCATTTTTTTAAAACAATTATCTTCTTTAACTGATTTTTTTTCCATTAATCAACCCACTATATGTTCCAGTTACATCAGTCAAGAAGGTAGATATGTACCAGACCAAACAGGTAATGTAAGTGACATTCTGAACATGCCACTTGAATCGGTGGAACAGTACTCCATCTACAAGTTGTGACCACCTGAATATTTAATTACCAATTCAAATGTGGTCCAAAGGGCTTATTGCTGCTTTTTAGAATTATTTTTTATTTTTACTGTTGAGCGAGGGGGTGCCTCTATTTTGCACAGGCTGGCCTTA
This sequence comes from Homo sapiens, assembly GCF_000001405.40. Taxonomy (NCBI): domain Eukaryota; kingdom Metazoa; phylum Chordata; class Mammalia; order Primates; family Hominidae; genus Homo; species Homo sapiens. Next base: position 165,367,289 of record NC_000004.12, on the reverse strand, counting down.
AATTGCTAGCCTTGAACTGCTGGTCTCATGCAATCCTCTTGCATCAGCTACTGCTGTGACCGCAGGCATGTGCCACCGCACCCGGCATTGTTTTTCTACAACTCTAACCTGTGCCAATTTCTCTGTATTCCAGTCACCACCCCAGTATCAGCAACCTCCCAGCAGCACTGCCCAACAAAAATACAATATGAACCACATATGTAATTTTAAATTTTATGTTAAATAGTAGCCATGTTAAAAAAAGTAAAAAGGAACAGATAAAATTAATTTTGATAATAAATGTTCATTCAACATATTCCAATTATTATCATTTCTACTTGTAATGAATATAAAATATATTAATGATATACTGTCTTGAAAATCCATTGTGTAATTTACATCATAGCACATCACAGAGAGACTAGCCATATTTCAAGTGCTTAGTAGCAACAATCGGCTAGTGACAACTGTATTGAACACCTGACAAATCTTGCTCTTGTTATAGTCCCATCTTTAATAATTATTGCTTTTGCTTTATCTTCACAGGTAATATCTTGGTGCAGCCTCTGGTTATTTCTTGCCTGGACCATGGTAACATCTTCCTCTTGAGATTACTCCTCTCCCTCACTGGTTAATCTCATTTCTAATCTTGCTGCCAAAATCACATTCTCCACTATTCACCTTGACTGCACTATCTAGGATTCTGTCATGTCATCTTTCAGTGGATCAGAACAAAGCCATGATCTTCTTCCTCAAAGAATTTGATTAGAGAGCCCTAGGCAATCTTACTTTTTATATTTACTCCTGCTTCTTTCATAACCTCATTTTATCTCTCAAGCTATTATTTCAAATTTCTGCAACCACCACGCCCCCTCCAAAGGAAATCACTGGGTAACACGGCATAGTGTATCAGAGCACTCAGGCTTGGAGATCAAGCTGTCCACCTTCAAAACTTGCATCTGTTGCTTGCTACTTCTGTGACTACAGCAATTATTTACATCTTCATGAAGAACCAGGTGGGCTCCAGGGAAACAGATTCAGAAATGGAGGTTTCCATGCAGGAGGTTTACTAGGGAGTGCCCATGAGGTCAAGCCCAGTGGAAAGGAAGGGAAGGAAGCAGGATTGTGCAGAGGGAGAAGTTCAGCTGCCATGCAGTCTCAGGAAAGGCCTCAGTCGAACCCACACTTGTATCTACACCATCCTTACCTCCTAAGCTGGCTTTCTTCACCCCCAGGCCAGCTCTATCCCCAAGACTCTGTTTCTATGATCTTCTTCTCCACCAGGAAGTCTTCCTCTCTCCTATACTTTCAGGTCCTCTTTCTCTCCTTGAACTTTCTCATTACATGAATCTCTCCTATCCTTTATAAAAAAGTGAAATCCTCACTTGAGTCCACTTTCCTCGGGAGCCAAACATCTCAGCTTTCTCAAGTCTCATTCACTCTTTATTCAACGTCTACTCTGTGGGTTCCAGCCATTTAATAAAACTTTATATTCATTGATTATTTACTGTGTGTGAGGTATTACACTAAGCACTCTATGTATAGTATCTTACTAAATCCACATGTGCACATTAGAAAGTGATTGTCCAGGTCTTCCTTCAGGAATTAAGAGCTGTTACTTCAGCAAATGGATGTGCTGTCATCAGAGGGCCTCAGCTGTCCACCTCTTTGGAGGATGGCCTTAGCTGCGGAGAGTCCAAGACCACACTACACTGCCTTCCCAGTTAGCACACATCCAGCAATTGTTCATTTTACAGTATATGTACATTACATGCAGCAGTATAAAGGCCGAATGTCCTCACCCATCATCAGAGCAACTCTCAAGGGTCAACCCAGCTTCAGAGCACCCAATGGGTTCAACTGAGGCCTTTCTTGAGACTGCCTTGCAGCTCAACTTCTCCCTCTGCCCAATCCTGCTTCCTTCCCTTCCTTTCCACTGGTGCTGATCTCATGAGCACTCCCTAGTAAACATCCTGCATGGTAAACTCCATCTCAGAATCCGTTTCACTGGAACCCAGATCGTTCCTTATGACAACATAAATAACTGCTATAGTCACAGAGGTAGGAAGCAACAGATGCCTGTTTTGAACCTGGGCAGTCTGACCCCACAAGCCTGAGTGCTTTGATCCACTATGCGGTGTTACCAAGTGATTTCCTAAAGGGCCACCTATTGAATGCTTTTAAATTCTAATTTTACTGGAGCACTCTGCTGCATTTAATACTAAATGCAGTATTAAATGCTTCTTCCTTCCTTGAAACCTTCTCTTCCCTTGACTTTGGTGTCTGCATAATTTGCTAGCAGGAACTTTATGACCCTCCTGGATTTCCTCAGGGCTCCACACTTGGCCCATTGTATTGCTCCCTCTTCACATACGGAGGGTGACCTCATCCACCCTCATAGTTTCACTTATCACCTCTCTCCTCCCATGTTTATAGCTCCCAGGATTCAGAGTCCTGTGTCTTCTGCTTAGACAGAAACCAGCCTTTCTTAACTAGTGTTTACGCCCAAAGCCCAGCACAGTGAGAATCACAGTCATAGGTGCTCAGTATATGTTTGCAAATGAATGACTGAATTAGAAAATTCACTACCAACTTTCCTCTAGCTACAGCACTCAGACTTCTCCCACTGTTGTGAATGGTCTCCTTACTCAGCAAGCTCTTACACTCCCACACTATCCTACAGGATCCCTTCCTAAGTGTGATGCAATAACTACAGTTTCCTTTTCACTCATCAACCACATTTACCAAGTTGCTTGCATGTAATATACATCATTTACCAATTTTCTCATTCTACCTGTGTAATTATTCAGTGTAATTCCTATTTCTGTCTACATTATTACTTTGTTCATAATATAATTTTAAGTCTACCACACTACAAATGTAATATTCAGAAGAGAAAAGTAGAATTTCTACTATGTTCTTACCTTTGGAAACCAAATTACTGAAATGAAAATCAAGTAGCCAACTTCCATCAGTAAACACCTCAAAGAATGACTGGTTTTCCCTTCAGCTGCTGGAAGCTGACCAACACAATGCACAACAACTTTATAATGTAGATAAACTTGCTCAGGAATATTAAACACCATCCAGGTGTACAAAAAAGTACCAGAATATTTCATTATCAACCATAACCATGCCTTATCTCTTATGTTACTTTTCAATTCATAACATTTCTTAATACCTTTTTTAATCTGAAGAGTCCAAAATAGGAAGCCTTTTTGTTTTATATAACATATGATGTCAGGGTGAAATGGTATCTTATTTAATAAAAGCCGTTCACTCCGCTGCTAGCCTACAACATAATAAGTGTATGTAAACACATGTAGTAGTTATGCATATGTATTATATTGTCTCTTCCCTTGACCAACATTTTGGTAGCTTCTTTGATTCTGGATGGACTGACCATGGTGCTAACGAGATCATTGAGGTTAATCAATGATTTATGTACACAGAGAGAAAAACAAACCTCTTACTCGTTCCCAGAACTGCATCCTTAATTTCAAAATTCTGTGGATACAACAAATTCACCTCACTGAAGAAATGACAGCTTAAAGCAGATGCCTGTGGGTGAGCGAGTGGTCAGTCACATCAACATCATTTGCCACAAAATCATTTAGAAGTAAGTGAAACAGCACATTTATTAAGTGTATGATCAAAGAATATTCACCAATAACAATGGCTTAGTTTTACATGATTATTGCTATTGTGCACCTCAGTGTAGATTCATCAAAGTCCTTGAAGTTAAATCAGGATTCTCCTACACCCCAACCACAATATTTGTATTGCCCCTTTTGTTGAAAAGTAACTCATATCTGGAGTCTTATTCCAAATCAAGGAAAAAGGCAGCATGGTTTGCTCTCCACTTGGTTGCATGGTTTACTACAGCAACATGCATCCTGAATCCATAACCTGGGAGGGGGCAGAATCCAACATACTAGGTAGATGAGGGCCCAAGAGGTATGGAGGGGTAGCTGCTCAGCCAAGTTCTATTGGTGGCTCAGCCTATGTCTTGAGGCTAGATCTGCTCTGTCATGAGTGACTTAATAGATTACCTCTTTCAGAGGGAAACCTGTGGTCAAATGAATAATAGAGTTTAGCTGAGAATCTATATGGAAAGAATGAGGGCTGGGAGAACAGGAGAGGGCAGGGAAGAGGGAGACACAGGGAGTGAAGGAGAGGGACAGGGAGAGGGAGAGACAATGGGAGAAGAAAAGGAGGAAGAAGTAAAAAAGTAAAATGGATACAGAAAGCAAAAGTAAGGTTGTTGAAAAATGAAATCACTAATATCTATCTAGTCAGGGGTCTTAGGAACTTTATGCACTTCACCTATTTCAATGTAGTAAGTGTGGGAAATTTACCTTTCTTATGATTAGTCCTAAATCAAACTGAGACATCTCTGCATCTTACTAAAGATACACAATAGTATAATAATAATTTAAAAATTATGTTACAAAGTACTTCAGTGTTTACAAAGTGTTTCATCTGCGTTTTCTGACTTGATCCTCACAATGACCTCATTTTATTATCTACATTGACTGATAAGCCACTTAAATTTGTAAAGAATACATTTCAAAGCAAGCAAATGCTGGGTCAAAATATACATTATTATTGGCTTAAAAATATACTTTAGAATTACCTTCTATTTAAGTTTTTGGAGCTGAGCCAATTCTATTTTAGAACAACATGCTATAAACCTAAAGGAGCCAAGAACAAATTAACTTTCTATGTTCTCCTCCTGTCTATCTAAAAAGAAATTATTTTTCTTTCCTTTCCTTTTTTTTTTTTTTCTGGAGACAGATCTCACTCTGTTGCCCAGGCTGGAGTGCAGTGGCACCATCACGGCTCACTGCAGCCTTGACCTCCCGGGCTCAAGTGATCCTCCCACCTCAGCCTCCCTAGTAGCTGGGGCTACAGGTACATGCCACCACACCTGGATAATTTTTGTGTTTTTTGTAGAGATGGGGTGTTGCCATATTTCCCAGGCTCCTCTGTAACTCCTGGGCTCAAGCAATCTGCCTGCCTTGGCCTCCCAAAGTGCTGGGATTACAGATATGAGCCACTGTGCCCGGCTAGAAATTAATATTCTTGTATCCTTACCAAAGACATATAAAGTGTGATATGCCTTTATTAGCTCTAAAATGTGTTGGTGGTGTTCATCAGATTTAACTTTAATGGTATACTCTGCTATTTAAAAACAAGATACCAAAAAACTGAATTAAAAAGATGTTACTTAGAATGGTCTACTTACAAAATGTTATGTGAGTCCCTCCACTAATATAATGTTCAGAAAATGCTAAACGTGCATTTTCTCTTAAATACCCTTTGGGAGTGAAGTTGACAAAATGAAAATCACATGGTACCCTCTTTTCAGACAAATGTCACAAAGGATGTTTGATTTGTTCTTTAGCCACAAGATGTGGGTCAGCCTCTTTATTTACAGCATGCATTAAGTTGCTCAGGAATCCACGGTGGTAGCTCTGAAAATGACACAGATGTTCACAGCAGTACACTAATCTTTTATTATAATCTATAATCATATCTTCTTGGATGATATGATTTCCAAACTTGTGACCCTCTCTCCTCCCCCTGCCAAAAAAAAAAAAAAAAAAAACCCACCCTGTTTTCCTCCCAGTCTTTCTTATCTCAGAAATAGCCTCAATATTTGTTAAATGAAATTCATTTGCAATCTTGACCTTTCCCTTTCCCACATCCCACATCAGCAATCTCTATCAATTCTATCTTCATGTTATACATGGAACCCACCCACTCCTCACCACTGCCTTGGCCACTACCCTAAACTAAGCCACCAACTAACTTCTCTCACATGGACCATTTCAGTCACTTCCTAACTGGTCTTCCTGCCTCTGCATCTGCCCACTTAGAATTTGTTACTCAAACAGCGAGCCATTTTCAAAATGTAAATCAGATTGTATAACTTCCCTGCTTAAAAGTTTCCAGCAGCTTTCCAACGTACTTGGGATACGTTCCCAGCTTCTTACCATGGCTTTCACAGTCCTACCGGATCTGTCTCCTGGCTACTTCTCCCTCTCCTTGAGTACAACTGGACTCTCTCAGGCTTTCTTGTGAAGTAGGCGCTCCAGGTACTATTTATCATATCTTCTTGTTTATTTCCTTCATTGCATCATCACAAAATGATGTTGTTTCTTTACTTGCGTTGCTTTCTTTTCCCGATGGAAGGTGACCTATCACCAGAGCCTAGTCTATAAAAGAGATTCAATAAATATTTGTTGAAAGAATGAATAATTCATATGTCCTAACATTTTCATTTAAATCCTCAAGAACTATATGCCAAAGGTTCTAATTTAAACTTTAAACATTTCAAGGAAAGAACCCATCTACCTCTAAAAGAATGTAATTCCTCATAACCTTACTAATAGCTAATGTCTTTAAACCAGACTCTGTGCTAGTCATCGGCTTTAATCTTCCACCTACTTACCATATGCTACAAATAAGAAAAATAGAGTTTAGAAACATTAAATAACCTGTGCAAGTTCATATAAATAGGAAATAGTGAAGACAGGGTGGCAGGAAAACAGCATTATTTCCATGGTGTACTGGAGGGCTTTCCATTCATTCATTCAACAAACTTTTATTTAGGACCTAGTAAATGCCACGGGCTCGGCTTTTACTGAGTAAGATGTGGTCAGAAAGGAATATGAAATTGATTAAGTTGTAGTTCCTACCAGGGAAGTATTCAGACCTCCCTCTCCAGGCTGAAGAAACAAGATTGCCTCATCCAGTGATAAGCACATTCCCTGTCTAGAACCAATCATCATGCAGAGGAGAGTTTATTTCAATTGGGATTTAGCAGAAGTGAGGGCTGGGAAAAACATATGCTTTTAAGAAGTGATTTTTGGAGTATTTTGAACACTCTGAAAACAATACACAGCAGGTCCTTGAATTATGTCATTTTGTTCCAACATTGATGAGAAAGAAAAATGATTTCCAGCTGGAGCCAGCCAACATCTGTGGAGAGTTTGCACGTTCTCCCTGTGTCTACGTGGGTTTTCTCTTGGTAGTCCGGTTTCCTCCCACATCCCAGAGATGTGCATGTTGATTTGATTGATGTGTCTACATTGTCCCGGTCTGAGCCAGTGTGGGTGTGTGTATGAGTGTGCCCTGCCATGGAATGGCATCCTGGCCAGTGGGTTCCCACATTATGTCCTGAGCTGCTGGGACAGCCTCCAGCCACCTATGACCCTGAAGTGAAATAAGCAAGTAAATAATCTTACTTTTTAAAATTAATCTTTCCTAAATGTACATATAGCTCACAATTTTTTCCGTGTTTAATATTAGAAGTGTTTGGGGTCTTTATTTAGAAGCTCGTGGTGGTTTTATGACCAGAAGTATGCTGTAGGAACTTAACTCTTGTTTATATCAATTAGCTTATGGTAAAATTAGTTTCTTTATATGTCATTTTGTTTAAAGTTGCAGTTTCCAAGACCTACTGATGACATTAAATGAGGACTAATTGTATAATGAATGTTCAATAACTAGATTGGTTAAATAATTAATGAATTGACAGATTCAGAACACACCACACCCCAGCTCCTTGGGACACTTATGGCAGGAAGTGTTACCAAACACAATGAGTCATTAATACTGTGTGGTTGGGTAAAAAAATTAGGTTCGGCTGCCACATTGCTTAAAATTGTTTAATAAAGGATTCTTCCAAGCTTCAATTTTTTTAACTTGTTCTTTCTGTTTCCTTGCCTCGGCAAACCAATATTTTGGCTCCTTGAGTTTTCTTATATTTTATTTACTACTTGCAGAAACCCTAACAACCCCACCACCATCCCTACTTGAACTTGGTTTTAGCTCTTCCTGGGAACTAGCTTCTTATCTCCTTAGCTTGTTCAGGCTGACTCCCAATACCTATGCTAGTTCATTAGCGATTTAATAAATCCACTCCTAGGTATCTACCACTAACCCATGCTTGTCCAGACAGCCAACAAGTGCTGTGCCAAAAGCACCATCAAAATAAATGGCACAGGCGAGGCACAGTGGCTCACGCCTGTAATCCCAACACTTCGGGAGGCCGAGGTGGGTGGATCACTTGAGGCCAGGAGTTCGAGGCTAGCCTGGTCAACATGGTGAAACCCCATCTATACCAAAAAATAGAAAAATTAGCCAGGCGTGGTGGTGTGCACCTCTAGCTACTCGGGAGGCTGAGGCACAAGAATCGCTTGAACCCAGGAGGTGGAGGTTGCAGTGACCCGAGATTGCACCACTGCACTCCAGCCTGGGCGACAGAGAGAGACCCTGTCTCAATAAATAAGTAAATAAACAAATAAATGGCACAAATGGTGCCTTGAACTGATAGGATTATGCAGGAGAGGAAATAGAGGACAGGTGAGGGTTAGTCACACAGGTTTGCTGATGGAAACAAGCCACAAAGCTCTATGGTCTTCCTTCCACTTCTCTTGCTTCTTGTGCACAGCATTGCAGCAGGGCAGCCTCCCTTGTCTAAAAAGCTTCAGAAACAAACTCCAAAGCACATAATGACCTAGCTTTGCACATTTCTCCAACTTGTCCCGCCATCTCTGCATCCTCTCCAATCATACAATCTTCTTTCAGTATCTGGTTTATTCTATTCTCTGTCTTGCCAGCAGATCTTAGCATATTTTGTTGCCTTTACTTGAATCACTCTTCCCCTCTGTCCCCCTTCATTTCTGGTTAGCTTTTAGTTGTCCTTCTGGTCTCATGGTACACATTATTTCCTCTGGGAGCTTTGTCCTAACAGCTTCCATTAAGCAAAAAAGATACTGTTGCTATGTGATCTCAGAGTTCCTTAAGCCTCTCTCACGTTTCAGAGGTTTTTAATAATTACTTATTTCATTGTCCATAATCTCCCCTGTACTATAAATTGTGCGAGGGCTGGAATCTTGTCTCTCAAGGCCCCTAGTGTACCCTAGCACCTAGCAGCATTTGACACATAATGGAAAACTAAGTAAATATTATTGATTGAATGAATGAATACATAAATTCTTAGAGATCAAGCTATGCTCCTCAGTTGACATCTGATATGCTGCTATTTAAGTCGAACCTCAACAATTCAAAAATAACTTGCTCAAAATCTACACTCATTAAGCTGCAACTCCTTCCATAATTGCGGGAAACAGTTGATGGTTGTGGCTTAATGCAGGTATGAGAGCAATGTTGCTGGGCTTGATGAAGAACCCATCACCACTACCTACTCCTGCCAGTTTATATGGAGATACAGGTTGTAACCAAAGAAACCTGGAATGCAACAGTACTGACTTCGAAGTCCTGAGTAGATGAATTAGACTTGGTTTATTGCAACTAAACTAAATTTAAATGGCTTAAATAAGAAGGGAAGGGAAGGGAAGGGAAGGGAAGGGAAGGGAAGGGAAGGGAAGGGAAGGGAAGGGAAGGGAAGGCAATGCCTGTAATCCCAGCTACTCGGGAGGCTGAGGCAGAAGAATCACTTGAAACCAAGAGGCAGAGGTTGCAGTGAGCCAAGACCACGCCACTGCACTCCAGCCTGGGTGACAGAGCAAGACTCTCTTTCAAAAAAGGGAAGGGAAGAAGGAGAGAGGCAGGGAGGGAGGGAGGGAGGGAAGGAGATTCACTATTTCAGTAAGACCAAGAAAATGCTTCATGACTTATTTCTAATTGGCTCCTTGTTTCTGAAGGACAACCACTTTCCCCTAACACCCGGTGGCCAGGATTAGATGTTAATCACTGCTGATTTCTTAGTCTGGGACTCTTCAGTAAAGAATGAAAGCTGTAAAGCAGGCATGCTGCCCTATTAAAAAGGAATTTTCTCAATAGCCAGTTCTCAGAATACTGTTGCCATCCTGTTGCTCATCCCCACTGCCCTGAACTAGCACATTCGAGAATAATTCTTAGTCTTCATAGTCTTGTCTGAGGAACGCTTTCTAATATGTGAGTTTTGTGCAGAACCCAGGGATGGCTAGAGAAAACCCTTGATTAAATGGTAAAAATAGACCGGAGATGGTGGCTCAAGCCTGTAATCCCAGAGCTTTGGGAGGCAGAGGCAGGCAGATCACTTGATGTCAGGAATTCGAGATCAGCCTGGCCAATGTGGGGAAACCCTGTCTCTACTAAAAATACAGAAATTATCTGGGTATGGTGGCACATGCTGTAATCCCAGCTACTCAGGAGGCTGAGGCAGAAGAATCACTTGAACCCAAGAGGCAGAGGTTGTAGTGAGCCAAGACCACACCACTGGACTCCAGCCTGGGTGACAGAGTGACACTCTCTCAAAAAAAAAAAAAAAAAAAAAAGGTAAAAATAAACTGGAATAGAATGAAAAAACAAAACCATGAAAAGATCATTCATTTGGGTAACCTAAATTGTCTGGGGGGAAAAGTCAGCTGAACCACTTAGTCCCGGGTTATTTATGCTTTCCATCCAGCACAGCACTCCTCACAGCAGGAAAATCACTCTTGTTTTTGAGGTGTTATAACAGATGTTACATGATAAGAGATTATTCATTTGAATGAAAATCAGAAAAAACTGATAAAATAGCTGATAAAAATCATTTTAATGTAAAATTCCCAAATTGAAAAAATGTAAAAGTTTTTGTTCTTAACACAACCATTAAAAGTTGTATACTGTGAACTAATGGATATTTTAAGTTTAAACATATATTTGGTAGTTATATCAAATTATTTTTATATATTGCATATATCTACCCATCACATTTTACAGGAAAAAAATTGGCAAACCTGTAATAATCAGTGTGTGCATGGGAAAATAATAGTTTCCAGTGAAAAAGATCTGCACTGGTTCTCAGATTTTCCATATTCTTGGGTCCAACTGGCTGGCAGTCTATTTTTAAAATACTAATTAAGTAATTCAGAAAATTAAGCATCATTTGCTTTTTTAAAAATTTGTTGGTTTTTTGTTGCTGTTGTTTCTGATATGAGTTGGGCACTCTGCTGTTTGGTGTGTTTTTCTTTATGGCTGTGTTTCATTCTTAAAAGTTTGCAAGAGGAGCATCATTATTCCCATTTTATGTACAAGGAAACAGAGATTCACTTGAGTGACGTGTCTAAGGGCACACAAGTAAGTCACACAGTAAATGGCAGAGTTTGACTCCACACTGAGGTCTAAGTAGTTCCTGTGCTCAGTCTTCGGGCCTCACAGCTTCAAGCAAAATACTGCCACCAGCTGGTGAGTGAACTATTGCCAAATGCTGAATTTGCTCTCCAGTGGTCTCAGCTCACAGCCCCCTTAAAAAAAAAAAATAGTCTGTCTGTCACAGGAAGGAGATTCAAACTCTGAGTAGATAACTAAACTAAATGACTTTTAAGGTCATTGAGGACACAGAATTATTATGCAATGTCTTTGCCTGTCTCAGAAAATCACATTGCCTTCCAGATAAGTGTTCAAGCTAAGAAGAGATAGAAAAAAAAATCTTCCTTCTGTATTACAGTCTTAGAGAATGGGATGAGCTATTTGTAAGTAAGCATTATTCTAGCATCTCTGATCTTACAATTAAGGAAATCATGTCCATATTGTTTGTTATAGGCTGAATCGTGTCTCCCAAAACGATGTTGAAGTCCTAACTCCAACCCCCACTCTCTGTGAATGTGATCTTATTTGGAAAAGGGACCTTTGCAAATGATCGAGTTAAGATGAGGTAATACGGGTGGGTCAATATGACTGTTGTTTTTATGAAAATGGGAAATCAGGACACAAAGAAAGATAGACATAGAGAGAATACGGTGTGAACATGAAGGCAGAGACCGGGGTAATGCATCTACAAGCCAAGAAATGCAAAAGGCATGCCAGCAAACTATTAGAAGCTAAGAGGGGCCGGGCGCAGTGGCTCATGCCTGTAATCCCAACCCTTTGGGAGGCCAAGGTGGGTGAATCACCTGAAGTCAGGAGTTTGAGACCAGCCTGGCCATCATGATGTAACCCCATCTCTCCTAAAACTATAAAAATTAGCTGGGCATGGTGGCAGGCGCCTGTAATCCCAGCTACTCAGGAGGCTGAGGCAGGAGAATCACTTGAAACCAGGAGGCAGAGATTTCAGTGAACGGAGATCATGCCATTGCACTCCAGCCTGGGCAACAAGAGCAAAACTCTTTCTCAAAAAAAAAAAAAAAAAAAGGAATGGAAAAAGAAATATAGAAGCTAGGAGGGAGGCATGAAAAAGATTTTCCCTCAGAGACTTGAGAAGGAGCTAACCCTGCTGACACCTTGATCTCACTTTTGGCTTCCAGAACTGTGAGACGATACATTTCTCTTGTTTAAGCCATCCAGGTTGTTGCTTATTGTTATGGCAGCCCTAACAAACTAATACACTGCTAACTGTTTGCCTTTTTGTTTTTTAAACAGCTTTATTGAGGAATAATTCATGTACCATGCAATTTGCCCTTTTAAAGTATACAATTCAATGTCTTTTAGTATATTCATAGGGCCATGCCACCATCACCACAATCTAATTTTAGAACATGTTTAGCTCCCCTAAAAGAAACCTGCTAGTGGATAAGCAGTCAGTCCCTATTCTTCCCTCCTAAGCCCCAACCCCCAGCCCTAAGCAACCGCAAATCCACTTTCTGTGCCTATAAATTTATCTCTTTTGAATAATTTATATAAATGGTATCATATATATAATATATGGTCTTTTGTGACTGACTTCTTTCTCATAGTATATTCAAGGGTCATTCGTGCTGTAGCATGAATCAGTACTGTATTCATTTTATGGCTGAATGACATGCCATTGTATGAGTATTCCATATTTTTTAATTCATTCATTAGTTCAAGGGTTCCCAATCCCCGGGCTGTGGACCAGTACCCATCATGGCCTGTTAGGAACCAGGTCACACAGCAGGAGGTGAGTGGTGGGTGAGTGAGCATTACCACCTGCGCTGCACCTCCTGTCAGATCAGTGGTGGCATTAGAGTCTCACAGGAGCGCAAACCCTACTGTGAACTGCACATGCAAGGGATCTAGGTTGTGTGCTCCTTATGAAAATCTAATGTCTGATGATCTGAGGTGGAACAGTTTCATCCCAAAACCACCAACCCCCACCCCGTCTGTGAAAAAATTGTCTGCCATGAAACCGGTCCCTGGGGCCAAAAAGATTGGGGACCACTGGATTAGATGATAGACATTTGGAGTGTTTCCTCTTGTTGCTATTATGAATAATGCTACTATGAACATTCATGTACAATTTTTGTGTTCACATACATTTTCATTTCTCTTGGGTATATACCTAGGAGTGGAATTGCTGGGTCCTATGGTAACTCTATGTTTAATATTTTGATGAACCGCCAAACTCATTTCAAAGCAGCTGCACCATCTAACATTCCCGCCAGCAACATAGAAAGGTTCCAACTTCCCCACATCCTTTCCAACACTTGCTATTGCTTATCTTTTATATTACAGCCATTATCATGGGTGTGAAGTAACATCTCATTGTGGTTTGGGCTTGTGTTTCCCTAAAGAGTAATGATGTTGAGCAACTTTTAATGTACATATTGGCTGTTGGCTGTTTGTATATTTTCTTTTTTTTTTTGAGATGGAGTCTCGCTCTGTTGCCCAGGCTGGAGTGCAGTGGCACAATCTTGGCTTACTGCAATCTCCACCTCCTGGGTTCAAGCAATTCTCCTGCCTCAGCCTCCTGAGTAGCTGGGACTACAGGTGCCTGCCACCACACCCAGCTAACTTTTTGTATTTTTAGTAGAGATGGGGTTTCACCATATTGGCCAGGCTGGTCTCGATCTCCTGACCTTGTGATCCACCTGCCTCAGCCTCCCAAAGTTCTGGGATTATAGGCGTGAGCCACTGTGCCTGGCTGGCTGTTTGTATATTTTCTTTGGAGAAATGTCTATTCAAATCTTTTTTTTTTTTTAAGTTTTACTTTAAGCTCTGAGATACATGTGCAGAATGTGCAGGTTTGTTACATAAGTATATATGCGCCATGGTGGTTTGCTGCACCTATCAACCCATCATCTAGGTTTTAAGCACCGCATGCATTAGGTCTTTGTCCTAATGCTCTCCCTCCCCTTGTTCCCCAACCCCCCAACAGGCCCCAGTGTGTGATGTTCCCCTCTCTGTGTCCATGTTTTCTCATTCTTCAGCTCCCACTTATGAGTGAGAGCATGTGGTGTTTGGTTTTCTGTTCCTGTGTTAGTTTGCTGAGAATTGGGTTATCTCTTGTTGTTATTATTGAGTTTGAGTTCTTTATATATTATGGACACAAATTCTTTATCAGATATAGGATGTGCAAATATTTTCTCCCATTCTGTGTATTGTCTTCAGTTTCTTGATGGTATCATTTGCAGCACAAAATTCTTCACATAGTCCATTGTATTCATCATTTTATTTTGTTGCTTGTATTTTTGGGGTCATAAATAAGGGATCATTGCTAATCCAAGGCAACTCCTTCACTTCCTTCTAAGAGGGTTATCAATTTTGCTTTTACATTTAGTGCTATCATCTGAGTTACTTTTTTGTGTATGGAGTGAGGTAGATCTATAATGTCATCCTTTTGCATGTAGATGTCCAGTTGTTCCTTCACTATTTGTTGAAAATACTGTTCTTTACTCCTTAAATTATCTTGGAACACTGTTAAAATCTATTGCCATCACTATCAGGGTTTACATCTGAAGTTCAAACCTACGCCATTTTTATATGTCTACCCTTATGCCAAAACCACGCTGTCTGCTTACTGTAACTTTGTAGTAAGTTTTGAAATTGGGAAATATGAGTCTTCTAAATTGTTCTTCTTTTTCAAGATTGTTTTGACTATTTTGAGTCTACTGAATTTCCATATATATTTTAAGGTTGGCTTGTAATTTGCTACAAAAAGGCAGCTTGGATTTTGATAGAGATTGCATTGAATTTGCAGATAAATTTGGGAAGTATTGTCATCTTCACAATATTAAGTTTTCTCATCCATAAAAATGTCTTTGCATTTACTTAGATCTGCTTTAATTTCTTTCAACAATATTTGTAGTTTTCATTGTGTAAGACTTTCACTTTCTCTGTTAAATGTATATCAAAAGTATTTTATTGAGTAATAAGAATGTATTAAGATGGTGAATAGGAAGCAGGACTAGCTTGCAGCTCCCGCTTGGATGGACAGAGCAGCCTGTGGAGACGCACATCATGAACTTCTGCTCTGAGAAATACCGCAGGAACATACCTGGAAAGCTGAGAATCCACAGACCCTTTGAAAGAACTGGATCACTGCTGCAGGCTCCCTGAGATGCCGAAAAACTGTAAGTCTGCTTGCTTTATCAACAGAGAGGCTCGTGGTCTGGGGCAAGTTCTCAGCCCTGGTCATCAGCTGCCTGAAAATAGATTTGGTGCTGTTGGGGGGACACAGTGGGAGTGAGATCAGCCTTTAGGACTGTGGGCTGAGTGGGAGTGGGGTGATGCCTGTGACTGCCAGCTGTCCCCCATTTCCCTGCTGAGTCCTGTATGACTCAGCAGAGGCAGCCATAATCCCCCTGGGAATATAACTCCACTGGACTGGGAACCACATCCCCATCCCCCACAGCAGCCACAGCAAGACCTGCCCAAAGAGAGGATGAGCTCAGACACACCTATCCCTACCCCCACTTAGTGGTCTTTCTCTACCCACCCTGGTAGCCAAAGACAAAGGTCATTATCTCTTGGGAGCTCTATGGCCCTGTCCACCACCTGAGAAACCTGAATACTTAAACAGGTGTCCCTAGGGCAAGTTCGTATCCTCCCTATAGGACCACAGCTGATGAGTTCTTGAAAGCGCCACCTCCTGGCTGGAGGCCAACCAACACAAAACCAGCACACTAAACAAAAACACAAGCAAGGACTTTCAACAGAGTCCACTTCACTCCCCTGCTACCTCAACCAGAGCAGGTGCTGGTATCCACGGCTGAAAGACCTGAAGACCAGTCACATCATAGGACTCTGCAGATGCTCCCCAGTACCAGCCCAGAGCCCGGTAGCTCCACTGGGTGGAGGTCACAAACAGTCACCACAGTTCAGCTCTCAGGAAGCTCCATTCCAAGGGGAAGGGGGAGAACACCACATCAAGGGAGCATACTGTGGGACAAAAGAATCTGAACAGCAGCCCTTGAATCTCGGATCCTCCCTCTGACATAGTTTACCCAAATAAGGAATCAGAAAAACAATTCTGGTAATATGACAAAACAAGGGTCTTCCACACCCCCAAAAGATCATACCAGCTCACCAGCAATGGATCCAATCCAAGATTAAATGTCTGAATTGCCAGAAAAGGAATTCAGACGGTCGATTATTAAGCCAATCAAGGAGGCACAAGAGAAAGGTGAAGTCCAACTTAATGAAATCAAAAACGTGATAAAGGATATGAAAGGAAATTTCTCTAATGAAATAGATAGCATAAATAAAAAACAGTCACAACTTCTGGAAATCAAGAACACATTTAGAGAAATGCAAAATGTACCGGAAAGTCTCAGCAATAGAATCAAACAAGCAGAAGAAAGAACTTCAGAGCTCAAAGACAAGGTTTTTGAATTAACCCAATCTGTCAAAGACAAAAGAATTTTTAAAAATGAACAAAGCTTCCGGCTGGGCATGGTGGCTTACTCCTGTAATCTCAACACTTTGGGAGGCTGACCCAGGCAGATCATCTGAGGTCAGGAGCTTGAGACCAGCCTGACCAACATGATGAAACCTCATCTCTACTAAAAATACAAAAAAAATACAAAAACTAGCCAGTTATGGTGGTGCATGCCTGTAGCCCCAGCTACTCGAGAGGCTGAGGCAGGAGGATCGCTTGAACCCAGGTTGCAGTGAGCTGAGATCATGCCACTGTACTCCAGCCTGGGCAACAGAGCGAGACTCCATCTCAAAAAACAAAACAAAACAAAACCTCCCACCACCAACAACAAAAAAAAACCTTGTAAGCTTTACTTAAAAATGTTTGCAACAATAAACTAAAATATCTACATTAGAACCATGGTAGCTGGAAGTATCATTAGAAATAATCCAGTTCAGGCTAGCTGTGGTGGCTCATCCCTGTAATTCCAACACTTTGGAAGGCCAGGATGGAAGGATAGCTTAAGGCCAGGAGTTTGAGACCAGCTTGAACAACATAGCAATACCACATCTCTAAAAAAAAAAAAAAAAAAAAAAAATTTTTTTTTAAATTAGCTGAGCATCTGAGCATGGTGGCACATGCCAGTAGTCCTAGCTACTCAGGAGACTGAGGCAGGAGGATTGTTTGAGCCCAAGAGTTCAAGGCTGCAGCCACCATGATCATGCCACTACACTCCAGCCTGGAGGACAGAGTGAAACCCTGTCTCAAAAAAGAGATATAATCCAGTTCAAATTCATCCTCATTTCATGATAAGTGCTTGAGGTGATGAATATGCTAATTCCCCTGATTTGATCGTACACATTCTATACAACTATATCATGAAATATCATACTGTACCCCATAAATACATATGATTATTATGTATCAATTAAAATTCATTTTTAGGCCCAGTGCAGTGGCTCATGCCTGTAATCCCTGCACTTTGGGAGGCTGAGGCAAGTAGATCACTTGAGGTCAGGAGTTTGAGACCAGCCTGACCAATATGGTGAAACCATTTCTCCACTTAAAAAATACAATAATTAGCCCTGGGAGTGGTGGTGCACGCCTGTGGTCCTAGCTACTCATGAGCCTGAGGTGGGAGAATCTCTTGAACCTGGGAGGAGGAGGTTGCAGTGAGCCAAGATTGTGCCACTGTACTCTGGGCAACATATCGAGACTCTGTTTCAAAATAAATAAAATAATAAAATAAAATTTATTTTTAGAAATTCATCCTCATTTTAAGGATCTCTTTCGTTATATACTGACTAAGAATCCTATAGTTGCTGCCTAAACCATCAATGAAGGGGAAGATAACTAGCTCTAATTTTAAGAAAGTTCTTCCAAAGTTTGAATTTTTAAACAGCAAACACCTAGAACTTTATTTCCTGATACACTTATGCTTTCTGGGGCAATAATGAATGACTCACCCTCTTTTACATAATATCATTTCAGACATTTGAACACACCTTTGATATTTCTATTTAGTCCTCTTTTCTCTGACCAGTTCTGTCTAATGGAACTTTCTGTAATGATGGAAATGTTCTATAATCTGTACTCAGAGATGTCAATGGCCACATCAGCTCATGACTACTGTACTGGACAGAGCTGCTCTAGACTATCCCTCTGTTTCCTTAAATTATCTTGTGTAATTACTGCTAGACCTTAAGCAATTCCTTGCTGGACACAGTGGCTCATGACTGTAATCCCAGCACATTGGAAGGCTAAAGTGGGTGGATCACTTGAGGCCAGGAGTTCAAGACTTGTCTGGACAACATGGCAAAACCCTGTCTCTACTAAAAATACAAAAATTAGCTGAGTGTGAGGGTGTGTGCCTGTAGTCCCAGCTACTTGGGGGACTGAGATATGAAAATCACTGGAACCCAGGAGGTGGAGGTTGCAGTGAGCTGAGATAACACCGCTGCACTCCAGCCTGAGCAATACAGTGAGACTCTGTCTCAGAAACAAAAACAAACACAAAATAACAACAAAAATCCTGATTACTCTCTTGTCTCCTGTGGATGTTAGTCATATATGATGCACTAAGCATAATATGCTTTTCCACCCGTAACCAACCAAAGCAGAATAAAAGGAGATCACTGTCTTCTCTGTAATTTAGGCTTACCTTTAATAATTTAGCGTACGGTTGTCTTAAGTTGTGGGGAAGTGAGCACTTGTAGTCCACTAAAATCCTTACGGCTCTTGGGTATGTATCGCTGTTAATCCTGGTTATGTTTCCTCTCCTCCATTTGTGCAGCTGAACTTTTAAATCAAGGCAAACATTTTGCAGGATCTTGATTCTGTCCTGTAGAACAAAGTGTCAGTTGCTGTTTTTCTTCTGCCTCAGTATTAAATTTGATAAGCTTGGCAGCAGTGGCCTTATCTAGGTCAATGATAAACATGTTTAACAGGACAAGGCTACAGGCAAAGCCTCAAGTCACAACACTAGAAACTCTCCTTGGTCAAGAGAATTTGGATTCACTTGCTGAACCAGGTAAGACTCTAACTACATTTCTGGTCCAAAGTGGACAATTG
This sequence comes from Homo sapiens, assembly GCF_000001405.40. Lineage (NCBI taxonomy): Eukaryota > Metazoa > Chordata > Mammalia > Primates > Hominidae > Homo > Homo sapiens. The sequence continues at coordinate 165,348,205 of NC_000004.12, read as the reverse complement.
ACAAAGGAAGTAGTCACGCTCTTGATTGTGTAGTGATCAAATGGATGTAACCATTCATCAAGCTGTGTGCTTTTCTGGTGTGTTTGTATGGTGTGGTTCCATTAAAAATTAAATACCCTGGTATTGTGTAATACTAAAAGCCAGCATTTCAATTTCACTTCAAAACTCTATTACAAAGCCTTTAGGCCACAGGTCCCTTTTCCAACTCTGTAGAGCCACACTTCCCAAGGGGCAGATTTATTCTTTGGAGAAATGGAACAGAAGAGGCTCAAGACTCTCCTGATGCTGAGGAGGCCTTGGGTGAGCTAGGCAGGTGGCAGAAGAGGGATTCTGTGAAAGGGAACCCACTCAACTGTCAGATCCTGTCTCCTCCCACATATGTGATTCCCAGCATGAAGACATATGAGCAGTTTCTGCCCCAGACAGTGATTAGAAGATTTTTTTGAAGAAACTGAACCAAACCCACAGAAAAATACTTAACAAAGTTGGAAAAGATTGACTGGCTGCCTGATCATCTATGGCTTTACAATCACATTTACAAATTCTTTCTGTCACCTGGAATGCAAGTTATCTGACTTTGGAGACTTAAAAGTTTATTTAAGGACAGGCGCGGTGGCTCACACCTGTAATCCCAGGACTTTGGGAGGCCGAGGTGGGTGGATCACGAGGTCAGGAGATCAAGACCATCCTAGCTAACACGATGAAACCCTATCTCCACTAAAAATACAAAAAATTAGCCAGGCATGGTGGCACACACCTGTAGTCCCAGCTACTCGGGAAGCTGAGGCAGAAGAATTGCTTAAGCCCAGGAGGCGGAGGTTGCAGTGAGCCGAGATAGCGCCACTGCACTCCAGCCTGGGTGACAGAGCGAGACTCCATCTCGAAAAAAAAAAAAAAGTTTATTAAAATGTATGAAACACTTTGCTAAAAATTTCCTCCTCTTTGGGATTTGCTTCCCTTTGAACGGGGCTAGTTTGTTTCCTTTTCCAACTTGAAGATCATTTTCCTGTGACATAGAAATGCAAAAATTAGGTAGCTCAGCCTCCCATTCTAATATGTTAATGGTATATTACCTACTCCTGGGCAGTGACCAATTCCTTATTCTTCTACCTCTATACCATCATGATATTTTATTATTATCAGATGAATTATTTTATAGCAAAAAAAATCTCAGAGAACCTTCATGGAATACAAGAGGTCTGATTGAAATCTGCCAACAGACTAAATAGTTCTAAATTTTCTTTATTAGCTGGACACGAACTCAAACGGACATGAACGTGCTCTGATACATAATTTGTTCCTTCAAAGAGCATATCAAGCTGCATATCCCACAAGAACATGACCAGTGAAATCAAACTTTAAGATGCCAAAGCATTAGAATGTAGCCAGACTTCAACTGAACCCGGCAGCCCCTGCACCTGGTTCTGGCTCTGGCTTGTATTTCAAGAACCCTCTTCTTTCCTTGTCTTCTCCTTCCCCATCATTTGCTGTTAATTACTAAAAACCTTCTGAACTGATTACTAAAATGGCAGCTTAATTGTCACTCCTATATTATGATGTTATTACAATGTCCTCTCTTCGTTTTAATTGACAGATATTTATTGAACTCCTACCATGTTCAAGGCAAGGTGCCAGGTATACATACCAAGGGAGAAAATACACACAGTGGGAAGATCTCAGCTCTGCAGTCAGCTTTGCCATGAACTACCCGCGTGCCTTTGACCATGTTAATAACATTCACTGGCTGAAGGTTAGGCATGAGCAAATGTGCAGAAGAACGAAAGCACACGGTGCAAAAGAGAGATCTTTGGCTAAAAAAGAGGTAGCAATACAATTTGCAAATGTGATTGTAAAACCATTTTAAATAATCAGGCAGCAAGTCAATCTTTTCAAACTTTGGATGTATTTTTCTGTGGGTTGGGTTCAGTTTCTTCAAAAATATCTTCCAATCTCTGTCTGAAGCAGAAAACACAAGGTGGCGTATGCTGAGAGGTGGTAGAGATGAGTGTTACAGAACTCTGAGTGAGGGAGAGTGGGAGAGATTTCTCTAATCTGAAGCAGAAATAAGACCTCAGAAAGAAGAGTGGGGCTGATGGAGTGGTGCGGTGAGTCTTGAACCGGATCTTTAAATAAAGGGAGGGAATTTAAAAAAAATAGCTAACATTCATTACACGCATCGCATACTTCACATGGTGCATCTTACTGAATCCTCACAAACCGCCCATGAAGTATTATTATCCTCATTTCATAGATGAGGAAATAGCTCTCCAGAGAGAGGAGGGGGAAAGGCTTTCCAGGGAGTGAGCCAATCACCAGGAGCCAAGGAGCTTCATAATGCAAGGGAGCAAGACCGGCTGGCAGGGCATACATGGCAATCTCTCCTGTTACTATCCCAGCAGTGCTGGTTTCAGCATCCTATACGCAGCTTGCAGGTTAGTTATCCCATGTTCTCATTCCGTCATGGTCCCTTTCCTTTTGTGAGTGCACAATAAGCAGCCTGTGTCCCTGAGTTGAATTACTTATCTTCCTAATAGTTTGAAAGTAACATTTCCTATCTTAGATTCTAGCCATTCATGTCCTTTTTCTTTAGACTTTTAGAATGCAACAGACCTCTAAGCATATGTACTAAAGACATTTTACCATGGCCCTCTGATGATTTCATGTAAGAATGTCAACATTTGGCAGTCACTTGCAGAGACAGCATTCATTAGACTAATAGCATGCTACTCTTTCTAACATTGGCTGAAAAATTCTATTCTTTTGCAAGAATGGATTAGGAGCTAAACCTTCAGAAACAAGGTGCTCACTCTTCAGGAAGAGCTTAGATACTATCTCTCTCTGTGGAAATACAGAACTTAAATGTGGAATTAAAAAGCCCTACTAGGCCAAGCACGGTGGCTCACGCCTGTAATCCCAGCACTTTGGGAGGCTGAGGCGGGCGGACCACGAGGTCAGGAGTTCAAGACCAGCCTGGCCAACATGGTGAAGCCCCGTCTTTACTAAAAAATACAAAAAATTAGCTGGGCGTGGTGGCGGGCACCTGTAATCCCAGGTACTCAGGAGGCTGAGGCAGGAGAATCGCTTGAACCCGGGAGGTGGAGGTTGCGAGGTTGCAGTAAGCCGAGATTGTGCCACTGCACTCCAGCCTGGGCGACAGAGCAAGACTCTATCTAAAACAAAACAAAACAAAAAAACCTACTAGGTTTTATGTAAGAGCATGAGAATTAGAAGTTGGGGTAAGAGTCTCCACAGAACCAATCTTGTCCAAAGGTCTACATGTCGTTAGCCAAATATGTAGCAAAGAGTAAAATACTAGTTAATTATAATTCTAAGCATACTCTACTACTAATTTTTAAATTATAATATTAACTAAACTTTTAAACAATTAGTAAAAATCCAAATAGATAATCCAAGAAACAAAGGGTATCTCTTGTCAGCTGGGCACGGTGGCTCACGCCTATAATCCTAGCACTATTGGGAGGCTGAAGTGAGAGGATCGCTTGAGCCAGTTCAAGATCAGCCTAGGCAACATAGTGTGGCCCTGTCTCTACAAAAAATAAACTAGCTGCATGTAGCTGCACACGCCTGTGGTCCTAGCTACTCAGGAGACTGAGATGGGAGGATTGCTTGAACCCAGGAGGTGGAGGCTGCAGTGAGCCAAGATGGCACCATTGCACTCCAGTGGGAGACAGAGCAAGACTCTGTCTTAAAAAATAAATAAATAAAAAATAATCTTGTCAATTATTTGCTAGAGTCAGTTATGTACCCCGTTTTGTATTCTAGTCTTCATATTTATTTTTGTCTAATTATCAAATGCCAGTATAGTTAAAAGCTTAATTTAAGTAATTTTAAAAAGAAAGGTTTGGCTGGTAAGTTAGCTTAAAGTCTACTCCATACCAACATACTTGTATGTGTCTTACCACTTCCTGGATGACTACTAGTTTAGAACCTTATTTCTCTTCAAATATCACTTTTAAAAGTATTCCCTACGAGTTTTATAGAAGATGCAACTCTCCAGCATAGTGAACATAGTAGCCACAAGCACAGCTTCGAAAGTCAAAAAGACCAAGCCTGTGACCTGAACCTCTCAATTATCTCATCTATCAAATAGGGACAATAGCATCTATCTCAGAAATCAAATGAGAACGTGCATTAAAATCACAGCACACTAAACATAGCACAATTCAGGACACAAAGTGCTCAATAAATGTGTAGTATGAAGCATGAGTTGGAATTTACCAAGTTGTTTTAAAACGTTTCGCAGCGCTTCCAGCAGCAGGTGTCACTCTCTCCCTAAGTGCTGACAGGGAGTCACCTTTTATTGCTAATTCAGATGCTGGGCATTCCTTGATTAGGGAGTAAAAGGTACGTTGATTCGGTATCTTGGCTATTGTGAAGTGCTACAATAAACTTGAGGGTGCAGATGTCTCGTCCATATACCGATTTCATCTCCTTTGGATAAATGCCCGGTAGTGGGATTTCTGGATCTTATGGTAGCTCTATTTGTAGCACATAGCACAATTTTAATTGCAGCCAGCCCCAAATTTGTTGCTTGAGGATTACAACAAATTTACACACACACACACACGTGGGCATATGAACCACATACAAGGTATAAAGCATGACCTACAAACAAAACATTCTCAGTTTTAAGTATCTGAATCCCTTACACCTGGACATCTTTACCGTGTAAGGTTTCAAAAAAAGAAAAAGAAAAAAAAGGAAGTTACCAGATAATGACTCCGCAGCTTAAAAAAATAAAAATAATTAACACCACATACTAAGAATTCCCAACCCTTGATGAGTTACAAACTAGATAGTTGAGATTTTATCAGCCCTGAAAAGTTTAGCTCTATTCTTCAACTGTACAGAAAACATACATTATCTAAGCAGGGCAAAGAACTGCTTCAGTATGTATTGCTTTATTAGGTCAAGATGATTTCCCACAATACTTAAACCTGAAAAATTCATGTTCAAACAGCCAGGAAACATTTCGGCAAAGGAAGCACTTAAAAAAAAAAAAAAGAAAAGAAACCAATCCTTTTATTGTACAACTTAATAATTTAATGATTTCTGTACTTTCAAGTTTAAGAATAAAAGGTGACAGTTAATGTTTAAAACTGGAAACCAGATAATCACACAAAAATCACATTTATTTCAAGAGCTCAAAGTGCAAATACAGCAAGTCAGTTCACAAAGTTTCAAGATACAGTTTTTAATGACAATGGAAATTTGATATACAAAAATGGAAGGGTAAATAGAAATAAAGCTCCTCAATTTTTAAAAAAATTCAAGTAATTTGAAAAGCCTTTAGACTAAAATACTCCACTTACATCCATTCAGAAATGCCAGTACTGCACTGCAATCAAGAAGGACTCTTCAAAGAGAGAATCAGCTCAAACTGGTCAGCTCTAGATTAGAATGGAAGTTCTTGGTGCCGGCTTTTCTTGATTTGGAAGCTTCAGTCACTCACTGCTATCAATTGATGAGGTTCAATCCATGATATTTTGATCTTTAGGTGAATTCTAAAACATGTTTAAAGTTAAAAAGGCCGGGCGCAGTGGCTTACACCTGTAATCCCAGCACTTTGGGAGGCCAAGGTGGGCAGATCACTTGAGGTCAGAAGTTTGAGACCAGCCTGGCCAACATCGTGAAACCCCATCTCTACAAAAATACAAAAATTAGCTGGGCGTGGTGGCGGGTGCCTGTAATCCCAGCTACTTGGGAGGCTGAGGCAGAAGAATTGCTTGAACTGGGAGGCAGAGGTTGCAGTGAGCTGAGACTGTGCCACCACACTCCAGCCAAGGAGACAGAGTGTGGCTTTGTCTCAAAAAAAAAATAAAAAAAAAGTTAAATATAAGGCCAATACCACTATGAAGAATTTTCTGAAATGACCAGTATATATCTAAAAGATTTAAAGACCCAATGTGAACTTCAGGCCTATGGTTTTACTGGGAGAAAAGCCATAGATTAATACTTCTAGTATCCAAAACCTTCTTGGAAGCTTAGGAACATGGTCTTTTAAAACTTCCTCATGAAAACTGTACTTAAATATATATTTATTCATTTCTACATATATAGAACTTGTAGGTAAAGTAGAAAAAGTTCCCACTAGGAAGGTAATTAAAGGTTGTTAATGTTCTTTTTATCACTTAGTAGCCAGAAGACATGCTTATTTCTGCTCTCCAGAAGCAATGTTAGCTACTAGTTTCTGAATTCAGGAAAACGTTTATCTTTCAGGAAGGTTTACGTGAGATATTTATTCAGTCTTTTTCTCAAACTTCTTCCTCTTTTCATTATAGGCATTATACTGAGAGTCTGTTCCAAAAATTCGATCCCACCATGTAAATGTTGAAGCATAGTTTCCAATGAAGTTCATGTGGTGGAAATCATGATGCCGAGAACCAGCATAGAAAGGGATCAGATTTAAAGGGTTGAGAGGAATATCATAACCACTGAAACAAAAATGATAAAGATTATTAAGGAATAAATACATCTCAAATGATTGTTGTTTTTATTAATAATCATGTGTTCACATTAACCAATTTAGATAACATGCCACTTTGCCTAGACCACTTTATTTCTAAGTGTTCACAAACAGCAAACACAGAAAATGGTGTATATTCTAGAAACCACTCTAAGAAAAAAAATCCTTAAAAAAACTAAGAAAATCATTTATTTTATGATAAAATATATGAATGATGGAAGAGACGGATTATAGTAATGAATCTTTAGACACAGATTTTTAAGAATTAATTTTCTTTTATGTTTTAGAGGAAGCTTTCTCACCATCATGTATAACAGTTGTAAATAAAGCCCAAAATACTAAATATGTTTTTTAGGAAAAGTCACATAAAATTAGTATCAAGTATTAAAAAGGGCAGGCCCATGAATCCCTGTATAGCAACTTCATTTACTTTTTTAGGCAATGACAAGTTGGAATCAAATGTACCACAATTAATCAAAATACCAGTGTACTTTTCTATAGTTGGCAGAAGACAAATGGCTTCAAAAAAGAGTCCCATTTAAAGTATGCTCCTTTATTTCCAACTACATATCTACAATCAGACATCCAGTTATACTTATTTGAATCACTCTAACCCTCTCTTCCTTTGAGGAGCTTAGAGGAAGGAAGGCAGAAAGAAACAATGGATAGAAAAAAAAAAGAAAGAAATGTCAATTACAATTTTTCTACAGAAGAATATTCTCTGCCTAGGACTAGAAGCATTAATTTTGCTACTTTAGCACTTTAAAAATAATTCTTAGAATTTGATATTCTGCATTCATGAGTACAGAAGTATGTCCCAAGTCAAAATGCAATGAACATATAATTAAAAAATAATGAACAATTAGGATAAGCATTTAAGAAGGCATTCAATATAAATAATTTACCACAAAATGTCTTCCAATCAACAGAAAGGATGCATTTGAAATATGTATGTGTTACAAGTAGTAGTTTCATCTTGCAAGTGCCTTTATCAGTGCTGAACAGTAGAGATTAGAAAGTCTTATTCAAGGAAGGCTGAATGCTTTGATATTTTTTTCAAATATGAGTTAAGTTTAGGTTTATTACAGAAGGATAAGGAAATTGCTGGTCCTGAATATATACTTGCCCTAATAACACATTATCACTATAAAAATTATAACAGCATAGGCTAGAATGTAAAAACATCTATTATTTAAACTTTTATCCAACAGTTATGTTTTCTTAATATAACATTAAGAAGATTAACTTCTCCTATTAGTCTCCTTAGAAATATGATAATCTTATGGCCATGAAAATAAATATATTTCATTATGCTTTATACCTGAACAGAAATTAATACTCACCTATGGACATCAATAGTTTCTAATAAACGAATGGTCACCCATGCCCAAAGAAGAATTACATGATCACACAAAAGCACGATTCCAATGAAAAATCCAGTTCCAAGAATTAGAGTCTCCAAAGGATGTGCATATTCAGCTTCCATTCCAAATGGAGCCTAAGACAAACAGATAAGAAATTCTTAATTTCTTAGCTATTGTGATGGTCAATTTTATGTGTCAACTTGGCTAGGCTATGATATCCAACTGTTTGATTAAATACCAGTCTAGATGTTGTTGTGAAGGTATTTTTTAGATGTTGTTAACATTTAAATCAGTAGACTGAGTAAAGGTGATTACCCTTCATAATGAGGGTGGGCTTCATCCAATCATTTGAAGGCCTTCAGGATAAAAGGCTGAGGTTTCCTGAAGAAGGATTCTCGAGACTGCAACACTGAAACCCTGCCTGAGTTTCCAACTTGCTGCTCCATGGAATTTGGACCCAAGGCTGCAACAATTCTTACCTGGATTTCTAGTCTGTAGCCTGCTTTACAGATTTCAGACTTGACAGCCGCACACTTGCATGAGCTGATTCCTTAAAATAAATCTCTCTCTGCATATATATACCCCAATGATTCTGCTTCACTGGAGACTTCACTAATATATATATCCTATTTATGCATAAAGTTTTACAAAGTTATATTGATTCTATATGTAGTGATGATTTATCTAGTCATACACTTATAAATAATACTAGCAATTCTCAATAAAAATACCTTACTCCACATCAAAAGTCTAGGGATATAAAATCTTGCTGTCTTTGATGGTTTAAGATAAAGGCATTAAATAATTGACTTGAACTCTAATTTTGACTTAAGTATTTATATTTGTTCTTCTAATAAAGAGAGGCTTGATTTGGCACACCATGTAATCACGGTCAATGCAAAACATACTCACATAACCAGTTGACAAAGCTACATCAAAGCAATTCTAATTGGCCGGGCATGGTGGCTCACGCCTGTAATCCCAGCACTTTGCGAGTCCAAGGCGGGTGGATCACCTGAGGTCAGGAGTTCGAGACCAGCCTGACCAACATAGTGAAATCCTGTCTCTACTAAAAATACAAAATTAGCCACGCGTGGTGACGCATGCCTGTAATCCCAGCTACCTGAAAGGCTGAGGCAGGAGAATTGCTTGAACCCAGGAGGTGAAGGTTGCAGTGAGCTGAGATCATGCCATTGCAGTCCAGCCTGGGCAACAAGAGCAAAACTCTATCTCAAAAAAAAAAAAAAAAAAAAAAAAAGCAGTGCTCATAGAAGTTACTGTTTTTGTGGGAGTTAGCAATGTGAGGATCTAGCTGTGCCAGTGTAGCACTGTCCACAAGGATGGAAGTCCGAACTTTCATATAATATTTTTCTTTCAGATCTCAATTTACCATGAAATTTAAATAATGAAAACAATGTGTAGAAATGGCTTGTTTGTATGTGTGTGTATTGTTCTTAATAATCATGCCAAAGGAAAAGAAAATAAAAACGTCACCAACAATTTTAGAAAAATGCTCAGGCAATTAAAATAGACATTTTGCCTCTAACAGAAAGAATTAAATATAACTCTCACATACCTGAAACTCATGATGAACTTTATGAATATACTTGTATATTCTTTTGTGGTGTAAGAGTCTATGCAGAAAATAGTGCCAAGTATCTTCAATGACTGCACAACCAAAGCATCTTGCCAAAAGAAAATACCTTTAAGATAAAAATGTTGTAATGTGTAAGAAATAATTTTTACTTAAACTATCCAGACTTTTAGTTGGGATCACTGCTTGAGACATTACATAAAACCACCCACCCACTTACCAGGTTGACCTAATTGGATATATTCATAAATAAATTCTCAAAACCACCAGATACAGCTACATAACTTGATATAAGGTTAAAGAGACTGCCCATTAGACCAATTTCATTTCATTACAATGTTCACACAACTTGCCTCATGACACTTTTCTCAAGAGATATCCGTTAAGTGACGCATGAGTATATATATGTGTGTGTATATATATATGTGTGTATATATATATATATATATATATACACATACATATTTTTGTTCATGTAAACACAATTTCTATAAACCTCATAAATGATTCTCATATATTTCATTCATTTTAAAATTAAAATGTAATATATTTTTGTCAACATAAGCACTTATACATGTATATAAACATACAAAAGACGTTATGGAAACTTCTGATACTAGAAGCTCACCTTCCAATAAAATATTTAAAAGATGTAAAAATGGAAACATTTTAAGATTTTACTGTGGTTTACTTTTCTACTATTTATTTACTTCCAAAGTTTAGAACAAACATTAACTAAAATTAAGAAAACGGGTAAACATTAAGTATAACTTAACTGAATAAGCCACAATTGGGTGTAAAAGCCAAATTTTTATCTACGTACCATCTTGGCATTCTTTCCCAATCATAAGGAATATTGAAATACTCTGTAAAATAATAGGTTCCACAAATCAAAGGCAGCTGGATACAGAAGTGATTAAAGAGAAGAACTTTGAAACACTTCCATTGGTTTTCCCATGTCTCTGGCTTATCCTACGAAGAAAAATCACAATATCTAATATTAGTCTCTGCTATCAGAGTTTAACTTGACCTAATTTGTTCTCTGTTTATGTTGGACCTTAATTCTACGTCAGTTATGTTAACTTTATATAACTAAGACTCAGGAATCTTTGCCTTCTAAATTCTTGACAACTACTATCACTACTTCAGGTGAAGAAACTGTTAACAGATGCGCCTAGCCATGATGATCTCAAACAAACTAAGAAACACTATGGAATGAATAATTCTCCAGTCTTTGCTGCCACAGATCATTCACTTCACTTCTTTTACCAGAAGTTTCAGAGAAGAAGAAATATAATATGCTAAGATTACTGTTGGGTGTCCACAATTGAAGAAGTTGTATACGAAGCATTGGAAGCCTTTTACACAGTAAGTCGATGCTTCCAGGCACTCAGTGGTATTCATTCCAACAAATAAATGCACTTTTGTTCAAATCCAATGACAGAATTATAAACTCTCTGAGTTGAGAAGTACACAGATATGTCCTGATTATGGAGTTCACAGATTCAAGTCAAAATGAGAAAAGTTAGATCAACATGGGATGTTCGTTAAGACCTCATCAGGATACCCATTTGCTTAGCAAGTCATTATAAAAAACAAAGCAAAACAAAACAAACACTAACTAAATGTATTCAATTTATAGGACTGCACTTAAAAAAGTGCTTTGGGCTTAACAAAACGATGGTGACAATAAATATCAGTTATTGCTTTGTTTTAAATGTCACTGCTGAAAAATTCAGGTATCCGCCAACAAAACTCTTTTAATTGAACCACGATATCCAAAGTACGGGAACTACTGCGCATCAGCAGAAGCCCAAAGAGGTCAACCAGCTTGGGCAGGGTCACACACGCAGTTATTAGCAGAAGTTGGACTAACTAAAATCTAGGTCTCCAGATCCAGCTCTGTTCTTGAAATTCTTTAAGGGTTATCTTCCTGACAAAAATAGGAAAAGCACTGAACTAAGAATCAATCCAGAGACTTGTGCTCTAATACCAGGGCTGCTACTCACCAGTTAACTAGCTCTTGTGATGTTTACAACTCAGTTTCTTCAACAATAAAATGGGAGGATCTGACAGCTGCCTTTGTATTTCTAATCTGAGCATTATCTAACCCCACTCCTCTAAACCTCCACTCTGTAATTGGGGACAAAATAAATGAAGGATTCAGGCTTCAGTTGGCAATAGTACTGTCTCCTACAGCAACTATGGTTAATAGACTTAATTTTCCAGGTAGACTGGGATATCGATGCAGTTACAGAAATTACAAAGTTAATCAACTATAATAAAATCACATGCTATACCATTTACAGTATACATAAATTAGTTACAAAGACAGTTAGCAATACAAATTCATACCTAGTGCAATATGAAAGTTTACCATATTTTACTTTCTTTATGCATAACTGTACTTAATATAAAGGAATACCTTTACAAGGGCCACAAACTTCAGAAATAATATTTTTAGTACATTTATCTTTGAGGAAAATTTTTGGAGAATTACTAAGATGTATGTTTTTTTTTTTTTTAAAGAAATAGATCCTGCAAAGTCTGCTTTACTTTTTCATTCCTGTGAAATTTTCGCCTAACTAGCAAGGATGTGCATTAGCTCTCCAGTTGTCTGTTCTGTTTGAAAGCAGAAAGTCTTTAGTACTATTTCATCACCACCACCAACTTCTTCTATTCTTTTCGACAATTTTAAGAATAAAAACATTTATTGCATATGTTAAATATAATTCTCAAATATTTTATCTTAAACAATTGATACCCTCAATGTTAATCAGGGTATCTGCCTTCGAAATGCATAAACCTGTAATTAATTTGTACCAATATTTTGGTTTCTTTTAAAACTCCTTTAACTTGTGAAAACTAGTCCTGGTTTAAAATCACATTTTTTATCAAAAATGCTCAAAGCATGGACTTTAATGGTTATGAAACATAAAGACTTGCTGAGTACAGACTTGAAGTCAAATTATCCAGCCTTACAATCTGTTCATAAACAACTAGCTCTGACCAACTAGACTACAGCTTATTCTTTCCTTTGCCACATTATATTTTAAAGCTGCTCATATACCCTTGCCTGAGAAAGTCCTTTGTCTCTCTGCAAAGGTTACTACTTCTAACCAGTGAGTCAGTTACAAACTGCAGTGAAGGAGAAAAAGGATGCTTTTGCCTGGCCAGCCATACAATGAATTACAATGAATAAGCCCTATAAATAAATCACTGGGTGAAACACGGCAGCCACAATCACCCTAAAGGTGCATTAGAACTTAGACGTCCAAACTTAATTCTGCCTTTCAAAGCAGCTGCTTTCCTAAAAAGCACTTTGGAGCTTCTGTGACCTTAATTGAGGGTCACAGAGTACTCTCCTTTGGCCCTCCTATTTTTTATTTCCTTCGCCTTTACCCTTTGCTCTTTTCTCCTTTGGCCTGGAGTCCACAGTCATCTGACCCCTGCATTATCCCCAGAGAGGACTAATATTAATACCTGCTTAAAGTGAGACTCTGGGAGAGGCTGTGAAACTAACAGAATGATAACAGAGAATGTGTACAGACTGCCATCCAAAATATATACAGTTGTCCTTTGGTATCTTTTGAGGATTGGTTCTGGGACTTTCTGCAAATACCAAGATCTGAAGATGCTCAAGTGCCTGATATAAAATGACATAGTATTTGACATAACCTACACGAATCCTCTCGTATACTTTAAATCATCTCTACAGCACTTATAATACTTAATAAAATGCAAATGCTCTATAAATAGTTGTCATTTTGAATAATGACAAGGAAAAAAAAGACTGTACATGTTCAGTGTAGACACAATTTTTTTCCCCTGAATATTTCTGATCTGCAGTTGGTTGGATCCATGGATACAACAACCCATGGATATGGAGGGCCAATTGTACTAAGTGAATGTAAATTACTTTCCATAGATGAATACTCTCAATGGTCTACTTTCTACCAAGACTGTGTGCCCCTGAGTTTTAGTTTGGAATGACTTTTTATGAAAAGTAAACAGCAAACACTAGAAACTATCATCAGCTTACAAATTCTAACAAATAATTCATCTTTCTAATAAGCTACTCCAAATTCTCACGTCAAGCTCACAGGCTACATATGAGATTTCACCTTGTCATGTACATAGCGACCTCTCAACATTTAGTGCAATGAAGCAAATATCCAGAAACGAGGAGCATCACCTCCTTATTTGGGATGATACGAATGCTGCAGAACTACCTACCATATATTTAGGGAAAAAAAACTTGAATAGCCCTGATCAAGGTCGTAGTGTATTAACAGTCCCTTAGATTTACTGGAACATAGAGTTGGGGTGAACTGCAAAATATGCGCAAATCACCACACCTTTCCTTTCCAGCTAGCTTAAACATTAAAATTCATAAACTTAAGTTAGATAACCATCACATCTACTTAAAGCCCAATTTAACAAAGTATTCTTGAAATGTTATCAATAATGACCTAGGACTGTGTTGCTCAATTCAGGAGCAACTAGTAACATGTGGCTTCCAAACACTTTAAACATGGCTAGTCTAAATTGAGATAGACTAAAATTAATGTAAAATACACACGGAATTGCAAAGACTTATTAAATATCTCATTAAGTATTTTTTAGAATTTGATTACTGATTGAAATAATAATTTACATTTATTTCTTATTTTTTTTGAGACAAGGTCTCACTCTGTCGCCTATGCTAGAGTATAGTGCTGCAATCTTTCTGCTTCAGCCTCATAAGTAGCTAGGACTTACATCACCATGCCTGGGTATTTTTGTATCTTTTTTGTAGAGACAGGGTCTTGCTATGTTTCCCAGGATGGTCTTGAACTCCTGGCCTCAAGCAATCCTCCTGCCTTGGCCTCCCAAAGTGCTGGAATTACAGGCATGGACCCTGCACCCAGCGATAGTTTACATTTATTGAGCTAAATGATACACATTATGAAATTAATTTCCTTATTTCTTTTTACCTTTTCTATGTATTCTACTAGAAAATTTAAAATTACATACGTGGCTTCATATTTCTATTGGATATCACTGCTTTAGCCTCACAAAACAAAGCCCTATGTACTTTTAAAATATTCAGCAACATTAATGATAATATTCTATTTCTAGTCCCTTATACTCACCTTTTGAATTTTGTATTTTTTCATATAAGGTATAAATTGAAATAAAAATCCAGGTAAACAGAATAAGAAATAAAGGGCTTCATGAACTATAAGGGATCCCCATGTTGCAATCTGGAACTTTGTATAATTATTCAACATATAGTTCCAAGCATTTTTAAATGGTTCTTGCAGAGGATTCTCAGGTAAAAGTGAATCTACATATTCCACAGCCAAGGATGCTGAACTAAAGATGCTGACACTTTCATTTGTTGCCATTTTTCAAATCTCTGCAGACAGCCTTATAATTCTGTAGAAATGAATACATATATAATAAGTTAAACAATGAGCTTTCAAAAAATAAAACAGTTAAAAAATGCATCCTCTGATCATTTTAAAAATGATAATTACTAAAGGAGTATAAATTTTTTACCAAAAAATTACTAAAGGAGTACAAATGGTTTTACACCATTTTAAAACATTTGCTGGATATCATCACCATTTCTATTTGTAGATATTCCTTTAAAAAACACATTATTTTCAAGAACAATAGCTAAAAGAACAATAGGGGAAAAATTTTTTCAAGCTATATTTAAAGAAATCGTCAGTGTGGTTCTCATGGAAAAGGTTCTAATTTAAATGAGCAATAGCTGGGTTTAAAAGTATCACTTAAAGCCAAAAGAACCTATAAAGAAAAAGCCTGCCAAATATGAGTATATAAAAATTAAGTACCTCCTACTGGGGAATAGAAAGACAAAGTCAAAGATTAAATGACAAACTGGGAAAAATATTTCCAACATTTTACAACAAAGGGCTACAAAGTGTGCTTTAGAAAAAAGACTAAAAAGACAACAGAAGAACGACAAATGCCATTCACAAGCAGTTCACAGAAAAATAAAGGCAAATGGTCACTAAACAAGGAAGAATCTTCACTTCATTAAATGAGGAAATGCACCCTAAAACAAAGAGACACTTTTAGCCTGAGTAGCAAATCTTTAAAAGCTTATTAATGTCCAGTACTGGTAAGAGGGTGAGAGAACAGGCATGACCACACACTGTGGGCAGGGGGGATACATCAGTGTATCATTGGAGGAAAAATTAGCAACACCTAATTCAAAATGAATACATCCTTTGATCCAGCAACTTTCTCATTCAAGGGTACAAAGACAGATCCGCTAAGATGGAAGGAAGCATTGCTTGTAGCAGCAAAAACAAAGAGGAAAAAATAAAAGCAAAACACAAATAAGCCATCAAC
The DNA here is from genome assembly GCF_000001405.40 of Homo sapiens. Taxonomy (NCBI): domain Eukaryota; kingdom Metazoa; phylum Chordata; class Mammalia; order Primates; family Hominidae; genus Homo; species Homo sapiens. Next base: position 165,332,394 of record NC_000004.12, on the reverse strand, counting down.
AAGGTATGGGTTAAATAAATTAAGTCCTTCCATAGACAATTATACAGCCATTTAAAAGAACAGGGAAGATCTATACGCTCTACATAGAAAGATGTCTAAGATACAGTGTTAATCCAAGTAACAAGTTACAGAACAGTATGCATAGCAAGAGCCCCACTTAAGATTTTTTGAAAAGGATATGTATTTTATCTATGCACTTTTATGCATATGTATATACACAGACACACAGAAACAAAAAATGTACATATGGATAAAGGGAAAAATTCACACTGGTGACTTCTAGGAAAACAGAGTTGTGTGGCAGGGCAGGAGATAGTGTTAATGAAGACAGCGTGGCGGGGTAGGGGAGAGTGTTATGGAAGACAGCTCGGCGGGGTAGGAGACAGTGTGGTGGAGTAGGGGACAGTGTTATGGAAGACAGAGTGGCGACGGGGTAGGGGAGAGTGTTACGGAAGACAGAGCGCGGCGGGGTAGGAAATAGTGTTATGGAAGACAGAAAAAAAAATCTGACATATGTCTTTTGCACAATTTAAACTTTTTAAATGAGCATGTTCTACTTACCTAATAAATAAGCTCAATAGGTCACTAACCAAAAAATAAACTTCTCAAGGGTCACTTTCCTAAAAATGTTCACCACTGCTGCTTCTAATTTATGAATTTTTTGGACCATTTTAAAAATGAGTATTTTAAAGCCTCAGAAGCATTCTAAATAGTGCTTTAAAAGTCCCCTTCCCCAACACTTCTCAAACTGACCTTTTATCCCATTCTACAGAAGGAATATTGAGAACCTAGCCAACTCCTCCAGGCATCTGAATTCACTTCAGGCCGTCCTCCTTCTGTCCTACTCATCTCAAATGACTTACACCACAGTGACTATAGTGTTCCATCCTGTGTCATTACAGGCCTTAAAATTTCTTTGCTCATTCATTCTTTCCTCTAAGACTGACTAGTCTTCCTGTGTTCTTATCTTACCTCAAGAACTTGTCCATCACTTATCCTTTCCCATCTTTCATCCTTCTCCCTTCATGGAATCCATTCCTTCAGGTCTAAAAACACATTCACGTCTTTTCTTTTTTTTTTTCTTTTTTTTTGAGACAGGGTCTCACTCTGTCACCCAAGCTGGAGTGCAGTGGCACAATTATGGCTCATTGCAGCCTCGACCTCCCAGGCTCAAGCAATCCTCCCACCTCAGCCCCTCGTAGCTGGGACCACAGGCACATGCCACCACGCCTGGCTAATTTTTTTAATTTTTTGTGGAGACAGGGGTCACCCTATGTTGCCCAGACTGGTCTTAAACTCCTAGGCTCAAGTAATCCTCCCATCTCAGCCTCCCAAAGTGTGGGGATTATAGGTGTGAGCCACTGCGCCCAGCCTACATCTTCCTTTGTTGATAAACACCTTCCTAGCCTCCATTACCTCTTCCAAGCCACTGTCCCATTTATCTTTCTTTGAACCAACCAACTTCTTTCTCAAAGGAGAGCTCTACATAAAGATTGCTTAACTCAGCTGGGCATGGTGGCTCACGCCTGTAATCCCAGCACCTTGGGGAGGCTGATGCGGGCAGATCACCTAAGGTCAGGAGTTCAGGTGAATCGCTTGAAATGAGGAGGTGGAGGTTTCAGTAAGCTGTGACTGCACTCTAGCCTGGGCACCAACAGCAAAACTCCGTCTCAAAAAAAAAGAATAAAAAAGGTTGCTTAACTCACCCACACAACTCACTGAGCTACTTGCAATCTGGCTCCCCACCTGCACCAAAATGTCTTCAATCATCTTCTAAGTTGTAAAATAAGGCAACCATCCAATCTTAATTTTTCTCAAGGTGATTAGTAAATTTGACAATAATGAACCAAGACCACTTACTAGTCCTGTCCTGTGACCTTGGGCAAATTAGGTAACCTCTCTGTGATGCAGTTTTATCAGCAGCAAAAATTAAAACAGTAGGTCTTCCAATGAGTCCAAGAGACAATGCATATAAAGCGCTTAGTTAGCACAGGACCTGGCATGTAATAGCTACAAGAAACTAACAATTATTGGGCACTTTCTGTGCCAAGAACTGTGTTCAAAGCATGCTACCTGCTCTCTACATTTTCACTTTAATCCTTACCACACCTTCGTGAGGTAGGTATTATTTTATCACCATTTTATAGATAAAATAACTGAGGTTTAGAAAGATTAAGCAACTTGCCCAAAGTCTAATGCTTAATGTTAAGTTAATGCTTAACAAATGCTAAGTGGGGAAGCCCATGCACTCATCCATTATATTACACTATAATTATAAATAAAACCCATAATAAGTATTAGAGTACAAGGAGAATAATTCCTACAGTTTACCTAAGCTCTATGAAAAGGTATTCCACGAGTTGTCTTTATCTTCTTATTTCCTGTTTATATTCTAGCAACTGCAATCTGCATTCTATTGTCATCACTGCACTGAACTTACTCTTACTAAAATCACTAAGGAGGCTGGGTGTGGTGGCTTACGCTGGTAATCCCAGCACTTTGGGAGGCTGAGGTGGGCGGATCACAAGGTCAGGAGTTCCAGACCAGTCTGGCCAATATGGTGAAACATCTCCACCAAAAAAATACAAAAAAATTAGCCGGGTGTGGTGGCGTATGCCTGTAATTCCACCTACTGGGGAGGCTGAGGCAGGAGAATTGCTTGAACCCGGGAGGCTGAGGTTGCAGCGAGCAGAGATCACGACACTGCATTCCAGCCTGGGCGACAGAGTGAGACTCCGTCTCAAAAAAAAAAAAAAAAAAAAAAAAAAATCGCTATGGATCTCCAGCTGCCAAATCCAATAAACCTTTTTTTTTTTTTTTGGAGTTTATTTGACTAATCTGGAAGATTTGATACTTCTCTTCTTGAAATACCGCCTTTCCTTGGTTCTTGGAACTTAAATGCATTCACTCTGACAAGTATTGTGCATTCATTGTGCTAGCTGGTGCCCTTACCCCTGAGTTCATAAAACATAAAATTTAGTGAGGAATAACAACTAGTGTCCAAACCATCAAAAATTATGTGATAAGAACAATAAAGGGGGGAATACACAGTGCTATGAACTTCTAGAGAAAGGTGCTATCTAAACTGAGACCTAGAACAGGAGAAGGAGGTGACAAATTAAAAAATAGAGTGAGGGAGAGAGGGTCAAGGGAGGGGTTTTGCATAGAGAGAACAGCAACTCCAAAGACTCAACCAGGAGATTAGAAAAAATATGAGAATTGAAGCTGGAAAGTTTCCCAATAATGCCTTCCTTACTCCCTTCTAACGATTCCAGATTGTCTTGGGTGATCTTAACTATTTTCTGTTTTAAAAATATGCTGACATCCATCATCTCTATCTCTAGCCCTCTCCCCTAAACTCCAGGATCTAATTATCCAAGTTTACTGGTCATATCCAGTCAGAGAGTTCAGAGGCACATGAACTCACTCAACAGGTCCAAAGGTTCAGTATGTGCTCCTCACAACCCCCGCCCAAATACTAGGCCTCCTTTAATGCCTAATTCTCAGACATAACGTTTTAAGTCTCTCCCATTCTGCTGCCTTAAGTCTTCAAACTCTTACCCAATTTAGAAACACTTGGTTTAGTTAACATTCAGGAATTTACTTTTCACAAAGGAGCGAGGGAATGGATATACTGTTGCTAACCGAACAAGGAATTAAAGAGGAGAGGGGAAACAAGGTCTTGGAAAATTGAATTTCCTTTTCCTTTACTCATTCTTGGGCAACCTAAATGACTGGAAGCCTGTTCTGGAACAGGTTGACTAGATAAATTTAGTTATTTGTGGATTCTCAGAAACCTTGAAGTTTAGCTGTCAGCCAGTCTCTGTCCTTTGGCACTTTAACACGGATTTCACCAGCTCCTTCATTTTCTGGACTTGCCCTGCCTCCAAGCTTGCCCTTCCTAAACCTTATTTCTAAGATGCAATGCCACGATCTATATAAATTTAAACATCAGAGATAACCTCCTTAAAACACTCAAAGTTCAAGGGAGTGCTTGCCCTAAGCATAAAGATCAAGCCCCGCTGTGATTGATGCACACGAGGCCCTTCCAGACTTCTTCACTCTTCATTTCTTACATTCTCGCCATCCTACACTTCACATTTTTGCAGTATCTGATCACTCATGGTTGCTACTGCTTCATTCCTCTCTGCCCACGGAAATATCGTTCCCTTACAGGTGATGTCCTCCCATTCAACTCCTAGTCATCCTTCAGTAACCTCCTCTCGGACGCCCTTCCCAACCCCACTACTCCCAAAGCACACTACATCTTACCTCCTTCTAGTGGTTCCTGCTTTTGTATAACTTTCGCCAGCCTATCACCCTGTGCTGCAACTATCTTCTACGTCCTGTCTCCCGAAGACAACACATTTTAAAGGGCAAGAAACATGCCCTAGCCTAGTTCCATCACTTAAGAATTTCACTCCGTTTTCATCCTTTCTAGCACGTACCTTAGCCTAGGCCCACCTTCACTCCAGTCTCCTTCCGCCCCGTCTCGGGTACCACTGCCAGCGTCCCGCCCAGCGCGTGCATCCGCACCCAGAACCCGCTCCCCTCGATCTCACGGAGCACCGGGTGGGAGCCCGCCTGCTCCCCCTTCCTCGCTCATGAGCCACTCCTCCAACCCCCTCACCTGAACGGCCGCGAGATGACTGCCGGCCACCGACACCGAGGACTCGCCAGGTGTTCCAACCTCGGAACCTGCCTCGCCTGGCTTGGGGGTGGAGCCGGGTGGGCCAGGCGGCCCGTCCTGTCGTTATTGGCCTGCGAGAGCTCCCGCCCCGCCTTCTCGGCGCGGTGATTGGTCTGTGCAGTTGCCGACATCGTGTGACTCGCGCGAACGAGCTCCTGGCGGTCCCAGCCATTGGCTCCGCGGATGGAGTGAGGATAGTGAGACCTGCAGAGCCAGCCAATGGTCGGCACCGCGGAGCGCCCGGAGGCGGGGAAGCGTGAGAGCGCGCCACGGCGTGAGGGGGCGGGCACAGACGGATGGCCGCCTCGCCCTGCAGCGCGGAGTCGCCTTGGCAACTGCGGTCCCGGCAGATTCCCAGTGAGAGCCTGCGCTGTGCGGGGGAGAGTGTCGCGCCGGCCGCCGTCCCAGGACTTTTATTTCAAATGTGACCTGTGTAGCAACCGCAGTTCCCAAACCCGGGAAGAAGAGAGTATAGATGAGTCTTAAAATCTATGTTGACTGTTTTGTGTTTCCAGACACCCTTGCCTTCCTTTTTCTGGTCTACCATTTAGATTTAGATCTTTCGTCTCCCTTGTTTCCCCAGCCTACGTATCCTTTAATAAATTCCTGCATTTTGAAAACGGAGAATTTCAAATGCGATTATCGTCATTTTGCAGATGAGAAATAAAGGCTGGGAAAGATTTAAAAAGATTGAACATCAAGGGAGAGTTCGGCTCCCAGGACCTTGACCTCGCTACATGGGCAGAGAACGCCCAGGTGTTGTTGCAATTGTTGTGCTGGACGATGAGTGCCCGGGGGCGGGGGCGGGGGCGGGGGCTTGACGCAGGTCTTTGCAGCTCTAAAGCTCAGTTTACACCATCTCTCAACATTAAAATATTGTGTACTGGGGTTTAATAATAAAACTGTACAGATGTGATAATATACTAAAACTTTCACTTAACGGAAGAGGTGCCTTTAAAGAAAAAACCGCACAGGGGCATCATTTGGGCTAGTGAAGGCCCTTTTTCCTCCTTCTTTATTAAGGTATAATTGACAAAAATTGTGTTTACGGCGTACACATGTTTTGATTATGTGTATATTGTGTCAAATATATACAGCTTCTGAAAACAGAATACTATTGTTTCATTCCTCCATGCTTTTGCTCAAACTGGCCCTTCTGCCTGGAATAATCAGCCATCTCCATGCCGCCCCATCAATTCAGGTACTATCTCCTTGAGGAAGTTCCCTCTTGAAAAGTGTCTTTTTTAGATTCAGTGTGACCTGTACTTATTCGTCTATCCCTCATGTTTGGCACACACATTCTTTGTAAAGTATCATGACAGCGGTCACGTCAAATGAAAAGAAATGGGATCTGTCCCTTGGTTGTCAGAGTCAGCCCTGTCTTTAGGATGCCTTTACAGTGGTGTCTGAAACCATGCCTATATACTTTATGAAGTTAATCTGGGAAAAAGGGGTGGGGGGAACGAAATTAAACCAAGCTTGCAGCACACTGAGGATTAATAATTAGGTCAGCTTGCTGTCTGACCCCTTCCTCATAATTGTTTGCCTATTGCTTCAGAATCATGTAGACTCTGTTACAAGGTTATAGTTTCCCCTAACTGCTCTATAGACAACAACTTGAACATTATGAAACGTTAAGTTTGTGCTTTGAGATAACCTTTCAGGTCCTTCGTACTGATGAAACTACTGACTCAGCTGGTCTGACAAGGAGCTGACTCACCAAAGAATGCAGTTCCCACATCCTGATGGTTTCATTCCTCCTTACCCCAGCCAATCGAGGACCCTAATTTTCCAGCCCATTGCCCTCCAGGATCCCCTTAAAAGCCCCAGCACAGAACTCCTCAGAGAGATGAATTTGAGGGTTTCCTCCCATCTCCTCTCGGCACCCTGCCATCACTAAACTCTTTCTCTTCTGCAAACCCTGCTGTCTCAGTGTATACTGTGCAGTGGGCATATGAATCTGTTGGTCCTGTAGTGGATGCTGTGGCACACCACCCAGATCCCCCTCTTCAAGACCTAAGCAGGCATTCCTCCAGCTGCTGAGTACTGCCAAAGAGAAGCACCTCTCCCCACGGGTATACCCCCTTTCTAGGCAACAGCTAGTCAAGTAACTGGTTGAAACGGGTATAAAATCCCCTAAACCAATGTAGGGCTACTTTGCTTGGCCATCCCAGCTCCAGAGCTCCCCATCCTATTGGTTGTGTGATGACTGCACTGCCACCCAACTTTTCTCTCTGCCCAAACCTGCCATCCTCTATCAGGTGAGCATCAATAGCACACACTATCGGGCCACACTTACTAGGCTTGGCATTTTATTAGCAGTGGATAAGTTACTTCTCTGTCTTATCTGGTACTTCTGTGAAATAATAATACCTACACCTCGAAGAGTTATTTATGATGATTACATGAGATAACGTATGTAAAGCCCTTTGCACAGTCTCTGGCATACAAGATATGATCAGTAAATGTCAGCAATTATTTCTGATTTGGAATTCTACCACAGTATTACATTTTCTAAATCAGAGCAGGTGTAGGTGTATGGAGGGGTCAGATTATTTTAAACCTTAAAGGCTTAGAGCTGGAAAAAAATGCTGATGCAGCAGCTCAACTCACTTATTTCCCTACAATGAAGATTAACAGGGGGCTCAGGGAACAATAGCTGTAATTTATTGAGGGCCCGCTGGATTTCAAGCATATTAACATGCATCATTTCTTTCAAACGCAACAACCTTGTGACACAGACACTCCTATTGCCATTTTAAAAACAAAATAAGGATTAGAGGTTAAGTAATGTGTTGAAAGTCACAGCTAGCAATTGATAGAGGGAGCTGCAAACCCAGAACCCTTTTGTTTCTATGCCCATGGGCTTTCCAATATACCACATGGCTTTTTTCCTTAAAGCCAGGATTAGAACCCCAGAATCTTGACTCAAAATATAGTTCCATTCTCCAGCGTAGCCTCCTCTCCAAAATGAGACACTGGCAGCCATGGAAGTCAGTAGGAGGCAGTGTGCTTAAGACAAAACTAAACCAAGATGGTGTCAGCACACTGCTATGTAATTTCATGTGACCCTTTTACACCTCATAAAGTTAAGTCTCATAACGCAACAGCAGTTAGGATTACAAATACCTGGGTTCTTATGCTGTAAGGAACGATAAAGAGATAATAAATACCAGGAATCATACACCAGACTCCATAAGAAACAGGGAAAGAACTGATAGTCTTCTGACAGTAAATACACCTTCCGCCTTAACCACAGTCATCACTGCTTTCAGCCAAGGAGGCATAGATCCCAACAAAGCAGGCAGACGAGTTGCTTCACAACGCAGGTATGTGGATCCAGCCTTGAACTCTGCTCAAACGTGGGGCTGCTTCCTTGGCAGGATTTCTAAGACACCTCTCTGCCTTCTTATTTTTCATACAACAATGGAACAGGCTGAGAACACTTCCATATGCCTTTAAAAAAATTTCAAACTGGAAAGACAAAGGTTGGCATGGGGGAAGGAGGTATGTCTAAAGTCTCTGAAATCATAGCTATGAATCCAGCTACTGACAAACCTTGGCAATTATAGTATAGCTATTAAAGCTTCAAAGATTAAGAAAGTAAAGATAGAGGTATTTGACATGCTATGTAGTTAAGTCTTTGTTACTTTAATAGGCTGAGATTATATTTTAAGAAAAGCTTTAAGATTTTTCAGATAAATCTTTAATTGATAGATTCATATAGAACATTAGTGTTTGGAAGTGATCAGGACAGACAGAGACCTCATACATTTTTCTTGGTGCCTCTGTCAGAAACAGCTGACTACTCCAAGTTCATTAGACCTTCAATATGTTTGTTGACAATGATGTGCTGTAAGGCAGAAATTCATGTTTTCATCAACTGAGCATAGGCTTTTTCTGATTAAATTCATTTATAATGGAAAGTTCAACTAAGTATTAAATGTGGTTCCATGTTTAAATTTGAATCGAAATGTTATCATAGCAATCTTTCCTCTTGATTATCAACTGGTCTAGCAACAGCTCATGCCAACTTTTTTAATTCCTGAGGAATGGTCACAATATCCCATCACCTCCTCCTTCCCCCTCTTCCCTTCCTCTGCTGTGTCCAGCACCTCAGCTGCCTACCTGACTCCACTATTCCTATTTCCTCAATTCCTTTTATTTGGTATCAAAACCACAGTTTATTTCTCAGTTACTTTGGAGTAGGTATTTTTTTTCTTTGACTTTCCTTTTGGTCTAATACTACTTGTTTTATCCTTATCTCATGCCCTACCCATATCAGGGACACAAAAATATAAAAGGTTTAAATTTTACCAATCCTTGACAGACCTCTCCTTGATAGTTGAAGTTACTTTTCCTTGGAAACAGAACCATTTTTATTGACTTCGGTTATTCATTTAATAGTTTTGTCTTGTAGGTGAGGTCACTTTGGCAATAAATTAAAAATGCAGATTTGTGAAGTGACAAAATGCAAACTATAAAAGAGCAAAAAAACTAACAGGAAACTTTAACACAAAACTAAATAGATAAAAATCAAGAACACTGTGAAACAAATAATATACAAACTTTTATTCAAAGTTAATTCAAGAAAGACATGTTTTGGTCATTTTTAAAGTGAGATTAATTGAAGATCTCAGAAAAACTGTATCTGATCAACACACATGGCTACTCACAGAAAGTTCTCTCTTCTGTTAATAGCAGCTAAATTTATACACACAGAAAAAATTCCGAAGACCATGCAAATTCAATTGAATTCCATACATTCATTATATTCATCAAAAACCTGCAGTAATGTTCATGCCAAAGTGTTAATTTAAGAAAAAAATTAAAAATACACACCAAAACATGACCAAGATTAAACTAAAGAAAATAATAAATAAGCATAATTTATATTGTATTTTAAAAAGTTTGGCATCACACATATTCAAGTGTGTTACACCAGGTCCATTCCTCAGAAGTGGCATTTAAAGTGTTAAGCATTGTTAAATATCAAAAAATACAACTCTGTTTTACAATGTAGTACTGGCATAATTCAAAGTACTGTGCCAATTATAAATAGTATAATCAAGTTTCAAACATCTTTTCAAACATATTTAAAGGAAAGCATATAGACACACATTTATATGCACATAATTTATTATATTCATGTAATCAAAGTTATTTTATAAAAGCAAACAGTGTATCCCTCAACTAGTTTGTATACTTACGTAGATTTTAATATCTGTTCAAAGATTTTCAGTTCCTGGTATACAGATTTTTAGAAGAAATAAAGATAAAATTTAATTTTACAAGAACACACATTACTTCATCCTCCTTCACAAAATAATCTGTAGTCATTCAAGGTTGATAAGAACTAGTCTTTATGAAAGCAACTGTTGTCTAAAGACTACAGATTAAGTCCTGCAGTCCAAGTTTCTTATGAAAATTCAGTCAGCTGCTGCTCATTGCAGAAAAAGCCTACACGGTGCTTCTACCAAAAATAATCTTCAGTATCTGAGGCCTATAAAGGCAGACGATCGTATCTTCTGCTGAGACTTAAAGTGCAGCTACAAGTGGAGAAGTGCTAGATTCTCAGTCACTTCACAAATACTTGTTGAAGGCTGTTTCTCATGTATAAATATGCTGAAAATGTCCTTCAGGCTCATAATGGTTTATCAATAACTGTGACCCCTGAGCAAAGAAATGAAGAGAGAAAAAAGAAGTCACAGGCAGCACTCTGTATCTCTGAGAAAACACTCAATTCTTCATTATAATACGAAGGCAGGAGGAACTGTACAAATCATGTTTCAGAATCTCTTTCTTAAACTTTAGTAGTATTATCATTTGAATCTAAATGACAGTGAAAACTCTGTTTAGTTATGGGCTAGTTAAATATAAGACTATTTAATCCAGAACTAGTCTTTTCCTCTTTGTAGTTACAATTTGGAAAATATACTCAAAAGGGAACACAGAAACTTTTGAGCATGATGGATATGTTCATTATCTTGATTGTGGTGATGGTTTCATGGGTATATACTCTGTCAAAAGTAATAAAATTATATAGTTTAAATATACAGTTGACCCTTGAACCGACATGGGGGTCAGGGGTGCTGACCCTCCACGCAGTCAAAAACCCATGTATAATTTTTTACTCCCGCATAATTTAATTACTAATAGCTTACAGTTGACCAAACGCCTTACTGATACAGTCAATTAACACATATTTTACATGTAATATATGTTATGTATGTCATAACATGTTATGTGTTATATATTGTATTCTTAAAGTAAGCTACAGAAAAGGAAATGTTATTTAAAAAGTCATAAGGAAGAGGAACTATATTTACTATTCATTAAGGGGAAGTGGATCATCATCAAGGTCTTCATCCTTGTCTCTTCACATTGAGCAGGCTGAGGAGGAGGAGAAAGAGGAGAGGTTGGTCTTGTTGTTTCAGGGGTGGCAGAGGCAGAAGAGGTGGAGGAGGTGGAAGGGAAGGCAGGGGAAACAGGAGAGGCAGACACACTTGGTGCAACTTTAAGGAAATACACTGTTAATTCCTGTCTGACTTTTTTGTTTTTTTCATTTCTCTAAAAATGTTTCCACATAATACCAATCGTCTTTCCACTACTTTCTTCAGTTACAGTGCACATATCATAGAAGGGCCCATTTCATAAAGTAAGTCATAAACAGTCTTGAATAACCAAACCCTTTTGCCAGACTGTCTAATGTCAATTTGTTTTCTGACATTGCTTCTACATCTTCTTCATTGTCTGGCAGTGGTTAAGAAGCACTCATCTCCGTCGAGTCATGTTCTGTTAATTTCTCTGGTTTGGTATCTATTAGCTCTTGAATTTCTCCAAGATCCATACCTTGAAACCCTTCACCATCAACCTTTATAGCCACATCCATGATCTCTTTCATGATTTCTTTGACTGGCTCTGTCATAACTCCTGTGAAGTCATACACAACATCTGAACACAGTTTTTTTCCAGCAGGAATTTATTGTTTTGGGTTTGATGACTTTCATAGCTTTTTCTATAACAATGATATATTCAATGGTGTAATCCATCCAGACTTTCATGTTTTCTCTGTTGAGATTCTCTTCCATAGCACTGGCAATTTTTTCCATAGAGTGCCATGTATAATGAAACTTTAAGGTTCCTATGGTCACTGATCTAGAGGCTGAATTAGATACATTGTGTTTAGGGGCAAGTAGACCACTTCTATGCCTTTGGTGTTGAACTCATGGGGTTCTGGGTGGCCAAGGGCACTGTCCAATATCAAAATAAAAAGCAGTCCCTTACTGGCATGGTACTTCCTGAACCTGAAGCATAGATGGAACCAGTCCGGGAAAAGATTTCTTGTCTAGGCCTTCTTGTTATACAGTCAAAAGACTGGCAGCTGGTATTTATATTTTCCCTTCAAGGATTGGGGGTTAGCAACTTTTTAGATAAGAGCAGTCCAAATCATAAACCCAACTGCATTTGCACAAAATAGTAGAGTTAGCTTATCCCTTTCTGCCTTAAATTCTGGTGCTTGCTTATCTTCCTAATAAATGTCCCTGGTGGCACATTTGTCTGCATTAAAAACTTGTTCAGGCAGATATCCATTCTCCTCAACAACTTTCTTCATGGCATCTGGGAGCTCATCTGCTGGCCCCTTGGTTGACAGAAGTGTTCTCCTGTTATCTTGACATTTTTTGAGCCAAACCCCTTTCCAAAATTATCAAGTCATCCTTTGCTTGAGTAGGCTGAGGAAATTCTCCAGCTTTAGATCCTTCACCTTCCTTTTGCTTCAGGTTGTCACATAATGACTTTCCTTTTTCTCAAATCATATTAGAGTTGACAGGTATGCCTTTCTTACAGCAATCCTGCACCCACCAAAAACCAAAACCAAAAAGTCAAAAATAATAAAAATAATAAAAATTTAAAAATTAGCCAGGTGTGGTGGCACATCCCTGTAATCCCAGCTACTCAGGAAGCTGAGGCATGAGAATCGTTTGAATCTGGGAGGCGGAGGTTGCAGTGATCTGAGATCACGCTGTTGCACTCCAGCCTGGGCGACAAGAGTGAGATTCTGTCTCAAAAACAAAAATCCTGCACCCACATAAAAGCTGCATGTTCAACACAAGATAAAAAGGGATTTCACAAAAAGTGTGAAGTTTTCAAAACTGCTGGGATGGCTGCAGGGACGGCTTCATGAATTTCCTTTTTCCTTTTTACAATGATCCCTACCCTGGATTCATTTATTTTGAAATGGTGGGCAAGTGCAGCAGCAGACCTCAATCCATGGTATATCTCAAGCAATTCAGCTTTTTCTTGTAATGTCATGACTCTTCTCTGCTTCGTTGAAGCACTTCCTAGCACCATCACCGGTGGCACTTTGTATGGGTCCCATGGTATTATTCAAGGTTTATGATATTGCAGTAAACATGATGAAAAATAAGGCAGAACCATGAGAGAGAACTTTTTACTGAGATACGCATCGCTGAAGAGACAAACTGCTCTTTCAAAGGTAATTAGCCCCCCACAGCTTTTTAAGTGGATACTCACAACAGCTGAGCTCACCAATACAGCAACAGGAGACGGCTATAAAATTATTATAGTAGTACAGTAACATACTACAGTTAATTTCATGCAGTTATGATTTAATATTGTATCTTTGTGGTTTGTTCACATTTCTCTGGACTGTGAATGACACCATCTATGGTTTGTGGGTGTTTGTTCCCATAAGAGTTTGTGTGCATATGTTTTGATAAATTTTAACTTTTTGTAACAGATTTGTAGATATTTTGTAGTAAATGATAAAACAGACTAGTATCTACGTATATTTTATGTGTTCATAATCTTAAACTTAATTTTTTCAATATTTCTAGGTTATGCAGTGCATCTGAGTTTTTTCAAACTGTTACCAATCTCCAAAAAAATTTTTCCAACATAATTATTGAAAAAAATCCACATGTAAGTGGACATACACAGTTCAAACCTGTGTTGTCCAAGGGTCAACTGTACGCTATGTATTCTGTCAGTTTATACCTCAATGAAGTTGTTTTAAAAATTCATCTAATATTCACCCATGTTATACTGGAATTCTACTGTACATAGTTCTTCTCAGTACTGTTTTGAATGATACATAAGCAACAGTGATGGTTAATGAGCTTAAACATTTTCTTCCTCCACTATTGGATCAATTTTGTTACAGAAACATTATACTATTAAAAGCAAGATAAATATAATTGAAATAAATAACATAAAGACTCACCATAATATTTATTAAAATTAACATTTATCTTACTAAGAGAATGGACCAAAAAATCACATTTTATAACTCAACCAGTACTATGCTTAAGAAAGAAAAATTATTCCACAGCCTCACTATAATACTATCTCATGGAGCCACACCATGGGGAGATGTAGGAATCCTATCCTATTTCTTGGACATCTCAGGAATTAAAGCCTTGCCACATATGAATTCTTCTCCTCTGCATACAGATTTTAGCTACATTAAATTTTATTATATGATTTTGTATATCAAAGATTTGGGATTTTGAATACAAATGACTGTAGAATGACAAAAGTATACTGGTGCTTTATTTCAGAATATACACAGCCAATGTTAATCATCTTAAGAATAAGATATAAACTATACCTTGAGAAAAGACTTTATTCTTATAACAGAAAAACTTCGTTAATATAACATTCATAATGAGGTCATCTTTTTGTACGGAAATTGACTTTAGAGACAACTGTTACCTGCATAACTTCTCCCTGTGCTCATACACGATGACACAACTGTCCATTTATCGGTTGTTGGGTTATAATATTCTACTGACGCCAAGTTACAGGAACCATCATCCCCTCCAACAACATATAACAGACCATTAACTGCACAAACTCCTTTAAAAAATTACAGAGAGAAAACAATTATTTAAAAAATTGGGATGAATATGAGTATCACTGTACATGTTTAGTGAGGTAATCCAGAGACACTAATTTCTTTGAAAGGAGGCAAGAAGAGAAAATAGTGAGCATGAAAAGAATTCGTTTTATATTAGGATAGCCAGGCACCATGGCTCACGCCTGTAATCCCAGCACTTTGGAAGGCCAAGGTGGGCAGATCACTTGAAGTCAGGAGTTCGAGATGAGCCTGGGCAACATGGCAAAACCCCATCTCTACTAAAAATACAAAAATCAGCCAGGCATGGGGGAGTGTGCCTGTGGTCCCAGCTACTCCAAGAGGCTGAAGCCGGAGAATCACTTGAACCCAGGGAGGCAGAGGCTACAGAGAGCCAAGACCACACCACTGCTCTCCAGCCTGGGCAACAGAGTGAGACTCTGTCTCCAAAAAAAAAAAAAAGAATTCTTTCTATATTAGGAGACCATAATACCACTTCTAAGCTCCTACTGAGTGTCATTTATGCAGTAGTTACTTTATATATGCATTATTCTACCTAATTTTCACAACATTATAGGTTAGAAACTATTTTGACCCTCATTTTTTTTTTTTTAATAAAAAGTCAAAGTCAGCTACTTAGGGAATCTTAAGGAAGAAAATATATGTTAGTAGAAGGTAAAAATATTCTTAATTTTAATTATCACACTGAATGGTTAGCTATTTTATCTCCCTTTAAAGAGAACAATATTATTTATCTATTAAAATAACTCTTTTCTTTGCAAAAATTCAAAACATCTAGAAAAGTATTATAAGAAAAAAAGATGACCTCCAACCTTATGTCTCTTAGAATAATGACCATTAAAATTTTGATCTCTACTCTGGCTAACTTTTCTCCATGCATATATACTCAGACACTTTCTTTTTTAACCCCAAAGTAGCTCACACTACACATGCTACTTTATTAAATAACTTACCCACCCTGGCCAACCAACCTACCTTGGACATTTCCTCAAGTTAATAAATATAAATGTAATTTTTATGTATGACAGTTTATTTAATCATTTTTTTACTGATGGATATTTAAGTAATTTTGATTTTTTTGCTGTTACCAATGATGTTGCAATGAACAAAGATCCCCTGAACAGTGTTTTGAATACTTGAGCAATTTTTCTTAATATAAATTATTAGAAGGAAAACTGCTGAGTCTAATGGTAAATGCTTTTAAAAAGCTATTTCAATGTAATTTTTTAAAAGTACATTTAATTTCTTATAAAAAGTTCAGTGCTACTATGAACTTATACTAGAGGGCATCAAAGAATCCCGAATAATGCTGCCCAAATCTACAAAACTTTGTAGGAAAAAAACTCATACCATTTTAAAGTTGTTCAAATACTTAAAAGCAAGAATCAAATGCTGCTGCCACACAAGCTCCACACAGTAGTTACATGTGTATGCAACACTGTATTTCAGCCTATTGATGGACAACATAGGACTGTGAGAGAAAAAATGATCTCAAAAATGGCCCTGCTATGATGGAAGGCATGAACAAGGAGACTATATTGTTCTAAAGAGTTTTCCCAATCATATCTATGAGGGGCTCACAGATTAAAGAGCATCCCACTGCAGAAAGGGAGGTTGGTCCATACATCCATTTGAATATCTTAGCTATACATTCAGAAGACATCAATTTTACTAACCCACTAACTCACAACACCAGATTCCTTTTAGGCGATAGGAGCCAAATCACTTTGCCAAAAGGATGCACCTTCCTGCAGTGTTTGATGGTTCCAGTTTATTCAGTTTACTTCAACACAATCAAATTCATATTGAGAACCTATTACAGATGTGCTAGGTATTAAAGGTCTATATATAATCATCTAATTCAAATTTATTTCATTTTTACTCCACTCTTGGTGTCATAATTTACCATACTTATGAAAACTTTTGAAATCTGGCTTGTAAGCTGCTTGCTATTTCAAATTTATATGGATGCTTTCACCTCTCCCCGCTTAACATTGAATACATGTCCTCCACTCTTTGCCAGCTTAGTTCTTTCTTTCCAATAATTTAGGTGCTTGGATGAGGTCCTTAGCCTAGGTTATTAAAAAGGAAGAGCTGAACAGATCTTATCAGAAGTTTGTTTCAGATTATCAGGAATATGGAATGAGGGTGAGATTTTAAAATACTCTTATGAACTTAAATAATTTTAAAATATATGCTCAATTGGATTATACTGTATCTTGTAAATTATAGAAGTAAATAATTCAAATTTTGTTATTTGCATAGAAAATAAACATCATTGATTGAGAAGGAAAAACAAACTGAAAAGTAAGCTTTCAGATTTCTCTCTCTTCCTGATTATCAAATAAACTCAAGTAATGTTGTCTAAATCAAAATATGAAACAACTTTTCAACAGAGACTTACGTCTTTTTCCTAAATCCTACCCTTTCCCACACAATTTTTTGAAGAACAGGATAATGGTAGCTCTATATATACAAATTATCTCTTTATTCTTCTACCTAAATGAGTGAATTTTGATATGAAAACAATAAACACATATAGAGAAAAAATAAATTAGTCTAACCTTTAAGAAAATATTCATAAAAAGCTCAAATTGCAACTAAATTTCCTAATCCAGGAAGACACATGCACAAATCACCATGGCTTTTCTAACTTAATGTATACTGGAGTCACTTATTCTACTAAGGACCCATATTTGAGGGTCTTACCATCTAACGAACTGATTACCATATACAACTGACTAGATGACGTGCAAGGCCAAACAGAATTAACTATAAATTCTGGTCTGCTGCCAACAGTATCTGCAGTTCCACATACTTAGTCTCTCTTAGTAATCACCCTTCTTTAAAGAGAAACTAAGATGAGCGCTGATGGAGGGGGGTGTCCAATGGTGTACAGTAAGTTTGAGACTCACCAGGAACTTATTTTACACTATGAGAAATGACATGAAGATAATGGCATTTTGAAGAATCCTAGCATTTCCTGAAAGGCTATGTAGCTATCTTGAGTCTATTTTCCATTTGTATTTCCCTTTCTTGATTCTTCTTTTTAAGTGGTTAGTTCCCTAATCTTGAAGTTCTCTACTTTCTTAAAATTATTTGTTGTTATTGTTGTTGCTTTAGTTTTTCCATTTTTCTGGAAATCCTGAACTGTATTAAGCTAGGGTTACCTTTGCAGACTTCCCCTCTAGATTTAGATAATCAACTAGCTTTTTAACCTAGTATAAATATCTACTCAACTAGACTAAATTTCCTGAGAACTAGGATCTCCAGTGTATGATAGATACATAGTAGGCACTAAATTATATCTGTTGTAAGAATGAATGAATTCAGTATCATTTAAAGGGTCTACACCTAATTTAATTAGTCTCCACATTTATCACCAAAAAGTAGCAGCTAGTAGAAATGATGAGTTTACTGAAGTGTCACAACAACCTGTTATGTTCCAGAGACTATGGCAGGCATTCACTTTATAGGATTATTACATAAGTTTCTGGCTTTAAAGAGTTCAGAGTCTATCAGGGAACCCAGATCAGTAAAAGAACAATGGAAATACCATTGATATTCATTGATAGAGTGATACCAGTGAAACTTAAAATAAAATTCAACATAAGTTTTATAACCTTAAACTGACAGATACCTGCATTTCTTCTGCACATGTTCATATCTGCAACCTGTCTCCATGCGTTAGTGGTGGGATCATATACTTCAACACTTTTTCGTACTAAAGGGCCATCATGACCTCCTACAGCATACAATAAATTGTTTAACACACCAACACCTATAAAACACAACCAGCCAAATAGAGGGGCAAAAAGAACAAGAGATTTATATCATATTAGGTTTATTTAAATGACTTGTAACTAAAACTTTCGAAGTTATAATTCATAATAAAAGCAAGCTGATACTATAGCCTACAATTTAAGAAATGGAAATCAATACAATTGATGATTAAATAAGCATCTCAACAAACTATTATTCTGAAAAAAGAGGCATGTCAAACAGAATAAAAATATTAATAACATGTAGGTGAAACACAGGGAGGGAAAAAGTCCTTTAATGTAATCCTTTTGAAAACAATATCCATAGTAAAATAACCGCATATTAAAGCACAAAATTTTAAGAAATATACATGAAAAGACTTGATTATTAAGCAAGTTCCCCAATAAGCACTAAAAACAAAAAACTAAAAGGAGTGCTAACAACTTGAATATATAAATGAAACAGAAATGTCTATGGCACTTAGACATTAAATTTTAAAGTAAAATTACTTTGTAATTACTCCCATTACCTGCACAATTCAAAAGACATTTAGCAGTGCCACTAAAATCAGCATATCATATATTTTCAGATAATGTAAAGTGATGCCACTGAATCATTTTACTTTAACTATTTTCCATCATTTTTGTGCTTCAGTTGCTAAAACAGGTTCACATGTACCTGCTCCACTCCGCCTGGTGCTCATTTCTGCTATATAGGTCCACTCATTTGTTGTAGCATTATAGCATTCTACTGTGCTAAGACACTGACGTGATGCTCCATCATAACCTCCTACAGCATAGAGCAAACCTACACATAAAATCACATAGAAAGCCAAATTTATTAAAAAACAAACAAACAAAAAACACTAATTTTTCAAGCCAGAAAATATTAATATATTTTCCTTCATGGCAGCAGAGTTTCCCCTTAAAGTGCTGCTGATTTTTATGAAATATATTAGGGTCTTGCCTAATGGTGACAGATGGGGTAATCAAATCATGTTATGAAGATCTGCAGGGTATAGCTGATGATGTTAATTTTATACTTTCATCAATAATCTGATAAAATAGCACACTCATTATATCTTTAGGTAACACTATTTGATAAGTGAACAACATCCTGTAAGACAGAATTAAATACCAAAGTTATCTTAGGAAATCGGAAAAAAGGTTAAATCAAAAATTAATAACAGAATGCAATGCAATATTACTTGGCATTAAAAAGGCATGAAGTACTAATAAATGCCTCAGTATAAATAAACAAATCTTGAAAACATCACCCTAAGCCAAAGAAGTGAGTCACCAAAGATCACATACTGTATGACTAAAATATTCAGAAGAGGCAAATCTCTAAGTGATAGAAAGTAGACTAGCAGTTGCTGAAGGTTGGGTAAGATACGAGTAAGAGCCAAGGGAAGCAGGATTGCTTTTAGAGGATAATAAAAATGTTTTAAAATGAATTGCAGTGATGGATGCACAATGAACTGTATACATGAAATGGGTGAATTGTATGATGTGGATTATATCACAATAAAGCTGTTTTTTTCTAAGTGCACAGATTACACCTACGATGAGGAGGGGGTGGAAACCTGCAAATTTGCCCAAGTCAATTAAAAAAAAATAATAATAATAATACTTAGAGCCTTCCTTAACTTCTGTTGGGAGACAAAGTAGGATATAAATAAATAACTGTGGCAATCCATCCCTTAACAGCCCTTCTCCAGATATAAAATTACACATTTATGTCACCTGAATTGTTCCCCCAAGCAACTGTTAAAATCAGTTGACAGTCTTATACAGCAGCAGTCCCCAAACCGCAGGCCATGGACCGGTACCTGTCTGGAACCTGTTAGGAACCGGGCTGCACAACAGGAGGTGAGCGGCAGGTGAGCAAGTATTACAGCTGAGCTCTACTTCCTGTCAGATCAGCAGCGGCATTAGATTCTCACAGAAGTGTGAACCCTATCTTGAAATGCACATTTGAGGGACCTAGGTTGTGCACTCCTTATGACACTCTAATGCCTGATGATCTGAGGTGGGAACAGTTTCATCCCAAAACCATCCCCCCAACCCACCCCTGTCCATGGAAAAATTGTCTTCCACAAAACCAGTCCCTAGTGCCAAAAAGGTTGGGGACTGCTGTTATATAAGTCAAACACACACGTGTTATATAAGTCAAACACACACAGTTATATAAGTCAAACACACACACACACACACACACACACACACACACACAGAGAGAAAGGAGGAGGGATAAAGGGAGGGGGATAGAGAGGGAGAGAAAAGGCTTTATATAGGTTGATTTATATAGAGAAGCTAATTTTAAAAAGAGGATAACTGAAATTTTACAGTAATTACGACTTTTCTTTTTAAAATGATAATTAGCTTGCCCATTCAGAAAACTAAAGTTGAGATTACTGGAAGAACCACTCTCAAGGATCAAAATGCCACATGTACCTGAAAGAACTGTCAACACCTACCTCCAACAACACCCACACCAACACTGCTCCTCCTTGTATTCATGGGAGCTACATGAAACCACTCATTAGACTTTATGTTGTATGCTTCCACAGATGACAAACCTATAATAAAGCACAATAGTCTTCATTTCCTTCTCTAAAAAATGTCAATAGTTCATATATATGGAAAAATACTTCAGGTATGTTATACTGGGCTAAAATTAAGAGAAGAAAATGGTGGAACATAAACACAGCAATTACATGAAAAACAGGTACAGCTTGTTTTCCAGAAGGCTCCTACCTAAGCTACTGATATTTATAAGCTTTTAAAATTTGATGACTGATACTGATGCATAAGAAAGAAAATTTATATACTCACCACTCATATCATTTAAGGAAATTCTTGATAAAATTTTAAACTTATCTTTAAATACCAGTTAAAACCTCACATGTTGTAATCCCAGCACTTTGGGAGGCCGAGGTGGGCGGATCACAAAGTCAGGAGATTGAGACCATCCTGGCTAACATGGTGAAACCCCGTCTCTACTAAAAAATACAAAAAAAATTAGCCGGGCGTGGTGGCGGGCACCTATAGTCCCAGCTGCTCGGGAGGCTGAGGCAGGAGAATGGCATGAACCCGGCAGGCGGAGCTTGCAGTGAGCCGAGATTGCGCCACTGTACTCCAGCCTGGGCGACGGAGCAAGACTCCATCTCAAAAAAAAAAAAAAAAACACAAAAAACCTCACATGTGCCCTAATGTTGCCACAATTTATTCCATAAACATGACTACTACGTTAATTTTAGCAGCAATGTAGAATAAATGAAAAGGAAATTACCTGTACTCCCATCAAAGCCTCCCACAGCGTATAATAATCCATTTAACACAGCAGCTCCCAAAGTGCTTCTCCGGTCTCTCATGTTAGCAACGCTGGTCCACTGGTCCTTCACAGGGTCGTAGGAATCTACAGTGCGAACTCTTAATGAGCCATTAAAGCCACCAACAGCAAAAACAAGTCCAGCCATGTAGACCATGCCTGCAAAAGGAGTACAGCATTTAATGATCAACATGCAACTCAACTACCACCAATATCCAAAGATTGCTTTCTGATAAATCTATAGCTGTTGTCAGAACATGCTACTCTTAGGAGGAGCCTGATTAAATAAATCCTTGAAAATGCTATTCATTTGCAAGAACATCCAATCACTAAATTGTCTTTCTTTCTAAGGTTATTATTATTATTATTTCTTCCTTTCTTTATTTTGAGACGGAGTCTCACTCTGTCGCCCAGGCTGGAGTGCAGTGGCGCCATCTCAGCTCACTGCAAGCTCAGCCTCCCGTGTTCACACCATTCTCCTGCCTCAGCCTCCTGAGTAGCTGGGACTACAGGCGCCCGCCACCACACCCAACTAATTTTTTGTATTTTTAGTAGAGATGGGGTTTCACTGTGGTCTTGATCTCCTGACCTCGTGATCTGCCCGCCTTGGCCTCCCAAACTGCTGGGATTACAAGCGTGAGCCACTGCACCTGGCCTTCTTTCTAAGGTTATTAAAAAATGCAATGGCATGGGCTAAAGTACCATGTTGACTCTTGGTTTTTTTAAATATCAATTTACAAGCTTAAATAATGAGCCATTATTTTCCAACTACTTGAACCTGTACTCACCTCCCATAGCTTTCAATTTTGGATCTTCTAGTGGATATTCTTAGAATGAAACTCCATACGCTTATAATTTATTTGCATAACGTATTCCTAGTTTATCATGTTAGTGGGCTAAATCAGGGGTCGGCAAATTTACAGCTACAGGCTAAATTTGGTCCAGCGAACTATTTCTGTAGAACCCATAAGCTAAGCATGGTTTTTATATTTTTAAATGGCTGAAAAACAACCAAAAGAGGAATAATATTTCATGACATGTAAAAAGCTATATGAAATTCAAATTTCACCATCCATAAATATAGTTTTATTGGAACACTGCCACACTCATTCATTTACATATGGCTGGTTTTGCACTATAGCAGTAGATAAGAAGCTGTGACAGAGACCATATAACCACAAAGCCTAAAATACTTATTCTCTGGTCCTTCAAGAGAAAGTCTGCTGATCCTTGGGCTAAAGAGATATTACGGAATCAGTGAATGGAGAAACTAGACTGCTAGACTCAGGTTTCAACCATCTTTTCACTTTTCTCAACTTTTTTCATGCTGCTGTCCTAATCGGACAGGCTCCTATCACCATCTACTCTGTTCTCTTTAACTCTGAATCCTCAGTTAAAGTTCCACATTCTCTATGATGCCTTCCCTGTCCACTTTAGCCTAAAAGGGATTATGTCCAGCTCCCGAACCCTATAGCAAATAACATCTATGTTGTGTACTTCAGGTTTAATAAATGTACCGTCTATAATATAATTACTTTAAATTGTTCAAATTTTTATTGTTCTTAGTTCTATAATGTTTATGTCCCTGTGCCAGCCTGAGGGCAGGCAATGTGGCTCACAGTTCTCTGAATCCCTGTAGGGAGAACTGGAATCACCAGATATGTTTGACGAGCTCAATGTTTTGCAGATGTTATCAGGCAAGAGATGTACCTCTGCCCCTTACTGTCTTAACCTCTGGTGCTTTATTCCCCCACCCCTGTAAAAATACACGGAAATGCAGTCCTCCATATGGCAACAAGACCTTTCCAGTTCAGATGAAGTTGCCTGTTTTGGCCCCCTGCTAGCACAGAATTTAACAGACATCCTAAGAGGGCCTGGAGACTCGTGAGCAGCAACATACCAGGCAGCATGTTTCAGCATGAAACAATCCTGTATCCCAAAATCATAACTAACTCCAGGGAATGTTCATTGTGGGAATCTTGCCCATTGCAATTTTCATTTTCCTTTCTCTACCCACAAAATAACACTACAAATATGCCATCTCTTAGAAGTAACATAGTATGCTTACCAAGGTTTAGAGAATTTTAGGTCACAGAGAGGAAGAAAATAAATGAATCAATCTATGAAGTGCCCCCTACCAAAGGCTCTGGGTCTGGAGAAGGGACTGAACTAAAAGAAGTATGATAACCTCCCAAAGTTATCAGGAAACTGAAGTGCCCAGAAGTTTAATTACACAGTTTATTAAAATTTGGCCAAGTTTACACAGTTAAGGACATTGGCTCTAATCTGAAGGAGGGAGAGGAAAGAGGGCATGATGAAGATAAAATTTATTCATAGTTACCCAATAAGTAAAGAATACATTTTGCAATAAAATGAGTCAAATGACTTATGGCCTCAATGAAAAGGGAACTGTATTAGGAATCAGATATGAATTAAGAAACCAGTTAGTAAATGGCATACAAGACTCCATTTCAGATAGTAACGATAAAGATAAAACACCTAAAAATAAACTTGCCAAGAAACACAGAGGACCATTGGAAGAAAATGTTAAAAATCTACTGAAGGATATAAAAGAAGACAGGAGTCCTATCACTAGTTTCATAACATAGTAAAACATATTATAAAGCTCAGTAACTAAAATTGGCTTTGTCTTGATGCATGAATAGGCAAGACAAATCAATGGAAGAGAACAGAAAATTTAGAATAAAACCAAGTAAATGTGGAAATTTAATACATGATAAAGGCAGCATTTCATCAAATGAATGGAGACAGATAAGTCAATAAGGGGTATTTGGACAACTGACTAGCCATTAAAAACCAAAATCTATACCTTACATCTTAGACTAAAATACAGCCCAGATATCTTAGATACATATATTTATAAATAAAACTGTAAAGGTACTAGAACAACAAATGTTTTTAAAATATAATTTTGTCATAGGGTAGAAACCTGGCAGATACCACCTTAACCAAGAGAACAAGGTTACCCTCACAAAAAATAATCATACTAAGTCAATTTAACCATGGAAAAATATCAGACAAATCCAACTTGAGAGACACTCTTCAAAATATCTGACCAGTCCTCCTCAAAGAATCAAGGGCATAAAAGATAAGAAAAGACTCTGGGACTATCTCAGATAAGAAGATATGACAACTAAATGCAAAGCAGGATCCTAGAACAGCATAAGAGAATCAATGGAAAAATGGTAAATATGAAGTCTGTATTTCAGTTAATATTAATATGCCAATGCTAATTTCTAGTTTTGATAACTGTATCACAGTAAGATATTAATATTGGGGAAAGAATATACCAGAATTCTTTGTTCTATCTTTGCAACTCTTCTGTAAGTAAAATTATTTCAACATAAAGTTTTTTTGTTTTTTTGTTTGTTTGTTTGTTTTTTGAGACGGAGTCTCACTCTATTGCCTAGGCTGGAGTGCAGTGGCGAGGTCTTGGCTCACTGCAACCTCCGCCTCCCAGGTTCAAGCGATTCTCCTGCTTCAGCCTCCTGAGTAGCTGGTATTACAGGTGCCTGCCACCATACCCAGCTATCTTTTGTATTTTTAGTAGAGAAGGGGTTTCATCATGTTGGCCAGGCTGGTCTCAAGCTTCTGACCTTGTGATCGGCCCACCTTGGCCTCCCAAAGCGCTGGGATTACAGGCATGACCCACTGCGCCTGGCCCCACATAAAGTTTTTAAAAAATATGTTTGTGTGTGTATACACACACTCACACGCACATATAGATAACTTTGGCATATGGCTTTCTATGCAAGAAACAAAATTTTAAGTCCAGAGACACAAAACTTTGGTATACAGGACTACATTAAAAGATAAAGTTTTTACATGGCAAAAATAGCACAAAGTCAAAAGATAAAAGATTAATACAAATAAGTATTCACACTACATATCACAGACAAAAAGGCTACTTTCCTTAACATAACTGTATCTGTGACATCAATAAAACTATTAAAATGGCAAAAATCATGAACTGACAATTCAGAGAGAAAGATATTTAACTTCCCTCATAATTACATAAGTACAAATTAAGGCATTTTTCACCCACCAGATTGGCAAAGCTCAAAACATTTAATTACAAAGTACTGTCAGGAGTTTAGGGAAACTGGCACCTTCATATTTTACTGTTAGTGGGAGTAATAATTGGCATATCCTTTTAAGACATCCTTTGAATCAGTAAGTCTAGTTTATCCTGCCAAAATATATTAGCATATGTACACAATGATGTATGTATAAGAGATTTGTTGTAGCATTGTTTATAACATTAAGATTAAAAACATTTGTAATGCTCTATTAAAAACTAGTAAAAACTATGTCCAGACCAAAATAAAACACTAGACAGCTCTTATTGAATGAGGTAACTCCAGATATGCTGATATGTAACAATCTCCAAGATGTATTGTTAAAGTACTACCATCATAGAAACGTTCCATTACATACAGAACTCATTTCGCTATGGGAGACAGAAATTATGGATCCAAGTTTAAGTCCCAGGAAAAATTCTGAGTTTGTATAATAACTGCTTCTTTTGATCACAGCTTTGGCTAAATGAAAGTCTATTTCAACAAATGTTTGTAAAACAGATGCCTTGAAGAAGGCAATTATGCCTTATAACTGAGGGACTTAACAGTACCTTATAGCTGAGGGAATCTCCTAGAACTAAGGGTCCCAACCTAAAGAATTCCCCTCTCAACACTTCAGGCAAATGTAACTAGGAAATATCCGGCAAATTACTAGCTCTCCCACCTTACACTAAACAATCAGAAAGATATGTAAAGGTGGAGACAGAGTAGCTATCCCATCAATGTCTTGAGAGGCATATGAGGCCCCTGAATTACTGTTTAACTACATAGCTATTTTACTCAAAGCTTTTTTGATAGAGATTTTTCTAATTAATAAAATAAGACCTGAAAAAGAAGCTCCCAATGACCCAGGAGTAGAGAATTGACCATGATGCATCATGCTTACCTGCCCTGCACCTCCTGGAAGGCAACTCTGCTACTTGGTGCCACCTTTCTTCTTTAAAGTCATAGCATTCCACACTCCGGATAGCCTTTGGTGCTTGGCCCCCAACCACCACCATCAACTACAAGGGCAGAAATGTAAGCACTTGAACAAATGACTATTACATATTCAGGATTTAAAATGTCCTACAAAGACACTGGTGTGGGAAGTGTTAGGATGAAGATGATAGGGTGAGCTGGCGAATACAAACATCTAACCACCTAACCAACATTTCATAAACATCAACCAAGGGGACACACGTTAAAAATACAATTCTATCGTCCAGCACATTTAGTCAAAAATAAGGACTTCAGAAACTAAGTTTCTGATCCTTCAAGCAAAAGCAGTTATTTAAGCAAAAAAACAGCACGCAGTTATTACTGGCAAGGCTGCAGTATGTCATAGGGCTTGCTATAAACTAGATCCTGGTTTTTGCAATGACCAGGCATTAGAACTCCATAATCCAGGAGAGAAGATAGAAATGAAACATATGTTACTGGGTAGGTGAAGTGAAACGGACAGTAAGTATTAAAAGAAAGATGGAAGAAGGAAAAAAAATATTGAAAAAGGAGGAGTAATTGAATTGGAGCTCACAAGAGTACAGATTCCCGAATCTCCAGTAGAGACCTTTCCTGATGCCCCACAAATAAAACAACCTAACAGGACATGTAATGGAGATGCTAGATATCATAATGAACAAATACATAAAAGTCTACTTTTGAGAATAAATGAGGTCTATAAGTTCCCTCAACTCAATCCAACAACTATTTACTAAATGCCTACGGTCTATATGTGTCCAGAACTATGTTAGGTGTTATACATAAGAAATATAAGACATGGTCTCTACCCTTCAAGACTTGATAGATCTCACTAAGGAGACAAGACTTATGAAGTAACTCAAGAAGAGTACACAATTACATATGATCGAAAAATTATGTGATTAGTATAGACGTAACTGCTACTGCTGATCAGAAAATGAAAAGCTGCCGTAATTTAGTGAAAGCTTCCTGGAACCTGATCTATGGTCTTGCTAAATGGATAGAATTTAGAAATCAATGTGTCTGCCTTTTACTGAGTATGCACAGACACTCTCTGGCAACAGTGAAAATAACAGCCATCAAATCAGAATAATGTAAACATTAATGATGTCTCAAATCAAAAACTGTAAAGAATGGCAAGGACCTTCAGGAAAAGAAGAGATAATGATTGGAAAAATAGATGTTAGAAAGAAACAAAAAATAAAAACAAACAGAATATGGAGTAACTCATATACACAAAAAGAGGAGATTTGCAGCCTTGACTAGGCAATGACCTACCTGTACTTAGAATTAAAGAAAGATGGGTACAAAGCAAAAAATGATTCCTGAATCAGAGAGCAAATCCCAAATTTCCAAAAAGAAGCCCATTTTAGTTTTTGGTAACTGGAGAGCAGAATGAATTTTAAAAGTCTTAAAAGAAGACTGAACATAAACCAACTACATAATTTTTTTCAGGCCTGTTATTCTTCTTGGCCAGGTATGGTGGCTCACGTCTGTAATCCCAGCACTTTGGGAGGCTGAAGCGGACAGATCATGAGCTCAGGAGTTCAAGACCAGCCTGGTTAACAGCAAGTCCCCTTTCTCCACAAAAAATAACAAAAATTAAAAATTGGCCAGGCATGGTGGTGCACACCTGTAATCCCAGCTACTGGGGAAGCTGAGGCATGGGAATCACTTGAACCCAGGAGGTGGAAGTTGCAGTGAGCCGAGATTGCACCATTACACTTCAGCCTGGGCAACAGAGTGAGACTCTGTCTCACAAACAAACAAACAGACAACATTTTGGTTGGCCAGGCACGGTGGCTCACTCCTGTAATCCCAGCACTTTGGGAGGCCAGTGCGGTTGGATCGCTTTGAGATCAGGAGTTCGAGACCAGCCTGGCCAAGATGGCGAAACCCCGTCTCTACCAAAAATACAAAAATTAGCCAGGCATGATAGTGCGTGCCTGTAATCCCAGCTACTTGGGAGGCTGAGGCATGAGAATCTCTTGAACCTGGGAGGCAGAGGTTGCAGTGAGCTGAGACTGCACTAATGCACTCCAGCCTGGGCGAAAGAGCGACACTCTATCTCAAAAAATAAATAAATAAAATAAACATAATTAATAAAGAAAATATACAATACCCTCACCTCTGACCACCCAAAAACGGCGGGGGGGGCAAGGTTGTAAAAATTACAGAATTGGGATGCATGTTAAGATAAACCTTGTATTTAGGGTTCTGTTCAAAACTTCAAAACTGCCCAAGAGACAATAGTTGAAAGAGTCTTAGATGATATATCTGATGAAGACCAATTTTTCTAAAATTTCAGAAGGGAACATTTTTTAAATTTTTTGATAAATAACACTGAGTTATAGATTTCATAATCCTCAAAGTTTGAATATAAGATTTCTATTTCCACGCAATAGTTCACTTTTACACATTAAAATGAAGATGAAAAGGAAAACTGTGCTATTACATACAGAGAACAGTAGTAATATTTGTCCTTTACTCACCCAAGAGAGGGAAAATGGGGTAACGATTTGGGTCTCCAGGAATCAGGGATAAAGGAGACAAGGAGAACGTGCAATGGGGGGACAGGAAGGCAGGAATATTTATATAAAACCAAGAGACTGTGTCATAAACCATTGTGTGGCTACCAAAAGAGTTGCTCATAATGCTGACATCCCAGTTATCTGTAAAAGACACAGGTATTTGAGAAACACCATACTAATTATGCTATGAAGGAACAAGAAAAGAAGACCTTTTGTAAGGAAAAGTTAAAAGTAACATATTTGAAGAGGGCAAGGGGTAGGAGGTTAAGCAAATTCACTAATCATCCTGAAATGTACGTCAATTAAACTTTGTTCCTTTTATTTTACCTATTAAATAAATATTAGTTGAAAATTAACTCCTGAAAAATCAAGATTCTAACTGAAAACTTCAATAAATATACTGGGTAAAAATATTTTTAAAATATAATATATACCCAGAAATATGACAGCCCTTATAAAAATACAGATTCCAAAGAGAAAAGCTAACAAAATACAAAAGAAGCAAAACACACACAATTTTTATTATGATGTGCAAATCCAAGGATACCTTATACAATCTGTTTATTGAGAAGCCAAAACTAATGTCTGAGATATGAAAAGAATCATTCATGCAAATTAAAAATCAGAGTGTAATATAAAAAGTACTAATTCACTCTCATGGTAAAATATTATCAAAACCTTGTAATTTCTTCAGCACGACTACCACATTTTGTTCAATTTGACTCATTATTACGATGATAAAAGGCATCATTACTATGAAATAATAAGCATAAGAAATTAATCTTTGCTTCATTCTTACCCAACTCCTTAGACTTAATCTGAACATAACAACTCTAAAATGACAAATGGTGGTGTTGGAAAATTGTTCATCACCAGCACCTTTTCGAAAATATGTGTGGATAAACAAACACACTGAGAAGGGATCATACAAGTAAACATGCAAAGTCAAAGCAACAGGGCTGCTCACTGCTATCCAGCAAGTCTGCTGCCCCACCCACCACCCTGATAGAGCAGAATGAAAGAGAACCTCCAGGGACCCACATACCCAGCACAAAATAACAGCTAGAGAACTGAGAAATCTAAAAGTATAACACAGCTATAGGAGTCCTACTCCAAAACCACAACCAGAGAAGTCCAGGAACAATGTAAACACAACACCACAAAAGAGAAAGTAAGTACTTGATAGGCTTTTACCGAGAACTCTAGGTTTCAAAAATGACATGTTTATTCCAGAAATCAAAAATGAATTCACTTTCACTCTAAAGGTCTCTGCAGCATAGCTAAATATAGGAAAGTCTGAAGATGCTAGAGGAAGGAATATACAAGAAGAAATTCTTTTTTACAAATATGAAGTATTTAAAAAGTATTAAAGATATAGCACATTATTTAGAAGGAAGTTGGAAAGACTTACATAAAATAATAAAATAAAATAAATGGCAACCTTAAACTCACTGCCAAGACTGAACAATTTTTATAAATGGATTATTTTGTAAGAACAAAAACTGACACCAAATAAGATGGACAAATATGAATTAATGAAGACTTAAAAGATGGGTACTTATAAAAGCAGGTGTAAGGGTATTTGAAAAATGTAAACACATATAAAATCAGCAGACCTGGCATGAATACTGAGGTATTAAGGGAACTAGCTAATGTACTTACTGAGCCACTTACAATTATTTCTGAAAAATCTCAGAGAACTGAGGATAGATCAGAAAATTTAAAGAAAGCAAATACCAAATTTTCAAACCAGGATAGGAAGTGAATACCTTGTAAATACACTTTGTTAAGTGATGATAATTCTGAGTAAAAATTTAGAAGATTTTGAGAAAAGCATTTGAACTTCTAGGGGCCAATAAAATACCATGCAGAAGAATGTTTAAAAAGTCATGCCAAATTTGAATCCATTTGATCCTCAACCTCATCAGATGTTATATGCCAAACTACTTATTTTGGCTTAGATAATAATCATATAGAATGAAACTTTCCACAAATAGACTGTGTCAGTGGCTGGCTACTTCTAACAAGGTGCCACCAAGAGAGTTTTGAGATCAATTCTAAATTAAAATATTTGCTAACGATCTAGAAAAATAAGTCAACAGCATCCTGGCAAATCTGCAGTTAGTTATAAATTGAGAACTGTTGTTAGTAATAGGCAAAACAGAAAAACAATACCAATATAGATTTGCAGCAATTAAAAATGTAGACTCCAAAGTAAAACTTAGAAAAATATTAAAGTATTAAAGTGAAAGAATTTAAAAAACAATTCAATGGAAAGGACAGAGTAATAACTGAAGATGATATAAGAAAACGAGAGAACAGATTCTTATTTCTTAATCCAGCATTGCCCGAAACATATACAAGAGTTAAAAATAAATACATAAATAAAGTCTTTATATTATGAGTCATTCTGATTAGACCACGCACAAAATGGTGCTTAAAGTATTGGTCGTACTATAAAGATGTAAACAGAGCAGAAGGAATTGCCAACAGAGACAGAAATGAGGGGTTATTTCATAAGAAAAATTGAATTGGTAAAATATGAATGGCCACAGCTAAAAAGACCAAGGTAGAATATAAACATTCACATAGGAAAATATGAACACGAGACACACGGGAAGACATGGGAATGTATGCTGAAATGGCTACATATGATGTGCAGGGAACCATCAAATGGTATACAGCAGGGAACAGCAATGAGATGAACTGAACAAGCTATTTTTATCATCTGTAGTTCTAATGTGTAATTCTGTGAAACTACTGGGTTTTCAGTTATTAAACAAACACCTAGCTTACAAAATAATTCTTTTTTTTTTTTTTTCTTTTTTTGAGACAGAGCCTGTCACATTGTTGCCCAGACTGGAGTGCAGTGGGCACTCCACTCAGCTCACTGCAACCTCCGCCTCCTGGGTTCAGGTGATTCTCTGCCTCAGCCTCCTGAGTAGCAGAGATTACAGGCACCTGCCACCACACGTGGCTAATTTTTGTATTTTTAGTAGAGACACGGTTTCACGTAGATGGCCAGGCTGGTCTCAAACTCCTGACCTCAGGTGATCCACTGGCCTCAGTCTCACAAAGTGCTGGGATTACAGGCATGAATCACAGCACCCCAGGCCTACAGAGAAATCCTTCTACCTGGTCTGATTTTTTTGGACTATAATTAGAGCTTTCTACTATAATTAGAGCTAATAAAACTCAGAGGGGACAAAAACCAGTTGTCTTCTGTTCCAGAAGAGTGACATCATGCAGTTTATAAAAATTAAACGGACCAAAGAATCCCCACCCTTAACATATAAAATCAATAGAGGTTGAATTACATACACTACAATGCATTCTTAGGCACATTTTCTCTTGAAGGAAAACTAAAACAATAAATCACGGAAATTCAAATGAGCAAAATACTAACAGCTTCACTTATAAGCCTTTTGCATGAGGTAATAACAAGCATGAGAAACAGATCCTACTTTGGGAAGGTTCATGGGTGTCCTCAGCCGGGTCCGGACACTCTTCATTAATATACGCTGCTCTGTTGGCAGCAAATGGTACTTCATTGCTTCAATGAGGTAATCTTTGCAAGCACTGCTATTCTTGACCAATGCTTCCTCTTCAACCCTCTGTAACAAGAAATCAGACACACCCACTGAGGGTAGGGCTATTTCATAATTAAATTGCCAAAGAAAAAGAAGTAAAGGAGAGGAAAAAAGCAGTAACTATATCCTTTAGTTTAGTCTAAAAATAAACGAGGAAAGTTTATAAATACATCTAAGAGAAAAATAAATATAACCAAAAAATGCTCAAGTATCTGGCCTGCAGAGAAAAACATATATAGGTAATAAAAAGAAGAACCACAGTGAAAAATGATAAACTTCAATGTTAGCTATGGAATATGATGAACTCTTCGGATATTATATCCACCTGTGTATCTTTAACCTTTAAGACAAAAAGTAAGCAAAACAAGAAACAAAGTTTAGATAATACATCCTTCAGGTGAAGACAATACTAATAAGTTAATGATACCTTTTTCAAACACAAGTGGGCAAGTAAAATATCCCAAAAAGAGATTAGAAATACCTTAAAGCAACGTACCCATAACACAAATAAATCTTGTACTGCCTAGCCTGACCTCAAACGCAGGACAGGCTTCTGGGTTCGTTTTCTTTTTTCTGGGGGGGGAGGGGGGGCGGGGGGAAGGGAACAGAGTCTCACTCTGTTGCCCGGGCTGGAGTTCAGTGGTACAATCCTGGCAAACTCCACCTGCCGGGTTCCAGCAATTCTCCTCCCTCACCTTCTTGAGTAGCTGGGACTACAGGCACCTGCCACCATGTCTGGCTAATTTTTTGTATTTTTAGTAGAGACGGGGATTCACCACGTTAGCCAGGCTGGTCTCGAACTCCTGGCCTCATGCCTGCCTCCGCCTCCCTAAGTGCTGGGATTATAGACGTGAGCCACTGACCGCACCCACCCTTTTGGATCATCTTCTTAATACCAGAAGACCCATGATTACACAGATCACAAAAAGTAATGAGATTTCAAGAAATCCTAAAATGTTCAAATCTAATTTCTTAATAAATGATTCTTTCAATGGTTTCAATTATTAAAATAATGCTGAAATGTTCCTAGCGGGATTCTAATAAAAAAAACAGTAAATTTAAAATTATTTGGAGACCACTAAAGAATCATTTTTCACATTTATTTCAAATAATGTTTTCCCTCAGCTTAGAAATAAAGACAGAAATCAAATGCATGCCACTATTAAATTACGAAGTAAAATTAAACGGTATTTGGGTCAGACCTCAAAATTCCAGGTCTGCAGGGGAATCAGAAGAGACTATGGAAAGAAAAAAACAGTAAAGAAGATGCAAAGCAGTGACTGCCACAGGGACATTTATTTACATGTATTTAAGTGACCACAAATACTACCTTGATAAGCTCTAGTACTTGCTTACCCAAATCAAAAATAGGGGCAAAAGCAAATTTCTAAGAACGGGGAATGGTGGCTGGGTGTGGTGCCTCACAAGGCCTGTAATCCCAGTAGTTTGGGAGGCCGAGGCGGGTAGATCACTTGAGGTCAGGAGTTCGAGACCAGCCTGGCCAACAGGGCAAAACCCCAACTCTACTGAAAATACAAAAATTAGCTGGGGTTGTAGCATGCACCTGTAGTCCCAGCTACTCAGTAGGCAGAGGTACAAGAATCACTTGAGCCCGGGAGGTGGAGGTTGCGGAGAGCCGAGATGACGCCACTGCACTCCAGCCTGCGGGGTCCTTTACTGTCTTCTGTCCTGTACTCCACAGATCTGCATTCTACAGCTCTTATCACTGCTTGATAGGGATCTACATGCTGTCAGGCCAGTGACACAGTGCTGTGTGGATTCATATGTTTTGCATATGCATTTACCTGAACTAAATATTCCCGAGGAAGCAAAGGTAACCGTACATGTTCCATCAGTCGGGCCATAAACTCTTGCCTCACATCCTTGTCATGGTTCACCCATGCTATTACTGCTTCAAATACCTTGCAGAAAATATAGGAGAAGAAAAAATAAGAAATGAGTTGTGTATCAAGGCATCTGGATAAAATATGAGACTACATTTTATATATAACTCTTGCTAAGACATCCAAGTTTAATTCACAGCTCAAGTGTTTTCAAAATCCTGACTTGCAATGTACTTACAAAGCCATTCACCCCATTTCTTTTCTGTTCTTTTTTTTTTTATTTACCCAAAATAATAAAGCAAAGTGATATTCTGGAATGAAAATCATGTATCCTTATAAACAATTCATGTTTGGCTTTTTCTTCAGGTTTACAAACAAATGTTAGACCATACACATAAATCGAAGGTTTGTACAATAGATCGACTCAGCTCTGTAATAGCAGAATATATTAAAATGTAGTATTTTGAAATTTTTTTTTACAAATTAAAAAATAAGGGCATTATTTTTTACAATACATAATTGTGAGAAAGCTAATAAGCTAATATGAAGACACTGTTTGTCTACATAATTTTCTTCTCAACTGATGAATATATCACTTAATAATCTTTAAAGGTTTGCAGGAAATGTTTGACAATATGCAATTGGATAACTGAGACCAAAAATAGGTTATTTTGATCCAGGAATAAAGCAAGAAACTAATTCTCTCATACTTTGTGGATCAGCTTACATTTTGGCAACCTTTTATTGATTTCTGCAAATAAATAACAAGAATGAACAGAATGGAGGTAGTAAAACATTTTGCAAAGTTTGAAAAAAAAAAGCAAGAAACTAAAAATAATGCACATTAAAATTAACACCCCTCTTTAATTCATTCTGTCAACAAGTATTTATCAAGTGTCTCTACGTGCCAGGTGCCAGAGATTAGGTGAACAAGATAGTCGGCCTTCTGGCAATTCTATCTAATATTTCTCAGTTCTGTCTTCTCTCCCCCCTGCTTCTATCATCCCATATCGGAACCTGCTGCTCACTGGTATGACTTCAACATCCTCTCATCTGGCCCTCACCTCATTTTTGGTCCATACTGCCCACCACCACCAGATAGCTAGTCTCCAAAGATAGCCTCCTAATAAACCACATCTCCCAGATCCATACCCTTATATAGTAACCCTCCACACTGAATCTAAGCTGGCCCTGTTAACCAGTAGAGTGCGGAGGAAGGGACACTGTGCAATTTCTGAAGGTAGGTCTTAAGCAGCCTCACTACTTCTACTCTGCTCTCTTGAAATGCTCATTTGAAGGAAGCCAAATGTCATGTAAGAAGTCTGGCTACTTGAAACCACCACACCATGAGAAACCCATGCAAGTTACAGAGAAGAAAGGAGGGGAGAGGAGGGAGACCTAGAGAGAGACCAATCAACCGGGAGCCCCGGAGCCAGACAAAAGTAGGTGGAGGAGCCACCTTGGACATTACAGACCCATAAGATGCCATGTGCAGAAGAACTGAAGCTCCAGATCTATGGCTCCAGTAGAACCATGCCAGGTATCTCCAGGCATCTGGGTCACCTTAGCCGAGGTCTCAGACACTGTGGAGCAGAGACAAGCTGTCCCTATTGTTCTGCATGAATTCTGACCATAGAATTGTTAGCATAAAATGGTTATTGTTTATGCTTTTACATTTGGCAATGACTTGAGTAGCAGCAGAAAACCAGAACAGCCCTCATGATATTTCTATAATGCAGGTTTTGGCATGGTTTTCTCCTCTGGCTTAAAACCCTTTTAAGGCTCATCACTACAATACAGTTAATTTTCTTTAACATAGCTGAGAAGATATTTTATTATATCATCTTCTAATTTTATCTTCCACCAATGTCTCATATTCTAAACTCCCATCATACTGAACACATTGAATACAATTACTCTTTCATATCTCTTTACATTTGTATATTCTGCTTCTTCTACCTGGAATGCCCTCTGCATTCCCACCCATCCCTATTTCTCTGGCAAACTCAGACTCATTTTTAAAAGACTTGAAATATACATCTGAACCAAGTTGAACTACCATCCCCATACCTATCCCATTCCTGGAAAAGTTAAATGCTCCTAAGGCACCCTTTACAGCATTCTGTAATCAATTATTTACTCTACTGGCTGTCCCACTAGTCTATGAGTAACAAATTCTATTCTGCTAATCTTCTCTTCTCTAGGAGCCCATGGCAGTGTCTGGTACATGGAAGGCACTCAATACATGTCTATTAAGTGTGAAAGTAATGTCATCTTCCTCTGTATTTCTAGGATGCTAAGATTATATATGTCACAAATGCTTTCACATTTTTTAATACTGTAAATATTAGAGTAAATGTGTCTTTAACCCCAGGTGAAATGAATAGCCTTGAGAAAGAGAATCAG
Organism: Homo sapiens; assembly: GCF_000001405.40. Taxonomy (NCBI): domain Eukaryota; kingdom Metazoa; phylum Chordata; class Mammalia; order Primates; family Hominidae; genus Homo; species Homo sapiens. The sequence continues at coordinate 165,295,280 of NC_000004.12, read as the reverse complement.
AATTTACACAACTTGAAATGCTAAGCACACAAAGGAGAAACTCAAGTTTCATTTCCTCTAAGCACAGCTTTTGTGCTCTGATTCCCGTGTGCTACAAAACCCACCCAAGGAAAAACAGCCCACTAAAAGGAGCTTCTCTCTCCAACTATACGAAAAGTGCAGGTGGCTGACAAAGGTAATTCAAAACGTGGAGAGACAAAAGACTACAACCAGAAGCAGTAGCTGCACAGAGAGGGAGGGAGGCAGGGAGGGAGAGAGTCAGGGAGGCAGGCAGGCTGAACGGACTGGCAGGGGTGAGGTATTATGTCACAGGAAATCAATCTAAAGGAAGGTGACAATCAAGAATGTTCAGTCTAGAACTACCAAAACTTCGCCATCCTAGGTAACCTCTTTCAACTCAGAAGACAAGGAAACTAATTTAGTGACAAATATTATGTTCACATCATAATTCCTACAGGCATTGAGTTGTAGGAAGAAACTAGTTTCCAAAAAAGCATTTGTTTCAGATAGTCTAATGTGTGCAAGCTCTTGCTGTGGAGGTCAAGTACAAAACTGTAGTGGCTAAAAATTTAGGGAACCTCCCACAAAGTGAAGACCGGGAGTAATTTACATAGACAATCAACAAGTCCTGAGTTTCTTTTTTTTCTCCTGGAATCCTTTCCTGAAGTAACTAGCTGAGTTTCTTAACTTCCAGTTGAAACATCACTGGCTGTCACTACACATACAGGATCACAAAGCTATAAAAAAAAGTGAAATTAAAAAAAAAAAAAGGGAAACATCATTGCACACTGGGAAAAGAAAAATATCCTTACCTTCTCTTCTGAAGAAATGGTAAGTTTGTCACTTGAGATTAAGCTGCACACTTGTTCGATGCCAAGATTGAGAAATTCTTCACTAAGTACAACATCTGCAAAATGTTGCTCTGTTTGGGAATTAAAAAGAAAATCCACTAACATCAACATTCCATTATCATAGTTTCAAACTGCTTAAAAAAGGTTTTTCTTAATTTAATCTAACTTAAGAATGAGAAAACCAATTGCACACCTCCAGGCAAGAACTAACAAGACAAACCCAAACAAACTCAGAGACACCTGGGGATGTACCTTCAGTGATTTGTTTATACAACAGCACAGTAGCAGTGCAAGGAGGGAAGCTGCCTTAATATACACGCACTTAGTTGAATCATTCTTGTTTTACATGGTGGTATTTTAGGCTTAAAAAAATCTATTCCTTATATGGTATGACACCATCAGTACTTAAATTTGTAAAACCTTTTGATTATATAAATCAGATAAAGAACATGATGTCATATTGTCATATCCTACATGTCATATCATGTGAAACATTAGAGGGTTGTTCCTTATGGAGTAAGGAAAAAAGCCCTGCTTTATTTGGAAACTAAAGAAATCTCAAATGCTAGCCAATCTGAATATATGACCAACATTTTTTTAAAAAGAGAGAATTGGGCCGGGCGCAGTGGCTCATGCCTATAATCCCAGCACTTTGGGAGGCAGAGGCGGGCGGATCACAAGGTCAGGAGATCGAGACCATCCTGGCTAACACAGTGAAACCCCGTCTCTACTAAAAATACAAAAAAAAAAAAAAAAAAATTAGCCAGGCATGGTGATGGACACCTGTAGTCCCAGTTACTCAGGAGGCTGAGGCAGGAGAATGGCAATGAACCTGGGAGGCGAAGCTTGCAGTGAGCTGAGATCGCAGCACTGCACTCCAGCCTGGATGACAGACAGAGCAAGACTCCGTCTCAGAAAAAAAAAAAAAAAGAGAGACAGAATTGGTTTATGATATAGATAGCTCTGAATTCTAAATAAATAGTTTATTTCGGATCAAATTCCAGGATTTTATGCCTCAACCCATTTCCAGAAACTTGTAAAATTAGTAATTCTTAAATACTTAAAAAATTTTTTTCCCTTGATTTCACAAATATGGCCACTCTTCCCAAGGGGAAAAAAGATCGCTTCTTGGCCTTTTGGCTAAGATCAAGTGTAGTATCTGTTCTTATCAGTTTAATATCCGATACGTCCTCCATCCAAGGGGGGAAAAGACTATCAGTGCAATGATTGAAAACCTTACAAAGAACGAATCTTTTGTAAAATAACCTTTCTTGCAAATCTGCCTCACAAGGGAATGTGGTGGTTTGGGCTGCGGATTCAGACATACCAGGGTTGAATCCCAGCTCTGCCATATGCTAGCTTGTACAACCTTGGGCAGTTAACGTAATTTCCCTAAGCCTTGGTTTCCTCATCTGTAAAATGAGGATAATAAAAATAAGATTGCTGTGAGGATTAAATAAGCTAGTGGTTTATAAAGCACCTAGAACTGTGTCTGTAGAGAGTAAGGATTCAATAACTTAGCTCTTGTTAATATTATAAATTCTAAAGTAAAATTTTGCTAGAAAATCTAGGTTAATTTCTAGGTCGTCACAATGAACCATATTTATTTCACCTTATAAAACCCTTATAAATAGAGTTTATAAAACTGTTTTATAAGGTGAAATAAAAGATTCATTTCAAATATGTATTTCAACATACCATAAAAAGGAACAGTTGGCTTCCCCTTCAATGACATTTGAAAAATAAAACCTGCATTTTCATAAATCTCATGAAAAACTATTCAATTTACAAAAGGTTGGCAGGGCATGGTGGCTCACGCCTGTAATCTCAGCACTCTGGGAGGCCAAGGTGGGCGGATGACCTGAGGTCAGGAGTCCAAGACCAGCCTGGACAATATGGCGAAACCCCGTCTCTACAAAAAATACAAAAAGTAGCCAGGCATGGTGGCACACACCTGTACTCCCAGCTACTTGGGAGGCTGAGGAGGCAGGATTGCTTGAACCTGGGAGGAGGAGGTTGCAGTAAGCCGAGATCACGCCACTGCACCCAAGCCTGGGCAACAGAGTAAGATTCTGTCTCAAAAAAAAATAAAAAAGTTCACCCCAAGATAACTATAAAAAAAACAAGCAGCTCTAAAATGTTTGTATTTACAAAATTTTTTGAAACTCAAAAGTTTTTTGACACACAATTGTTTAAAACTCAGACTTGACAAAGCAAGGTATTGCACTGAAATAAATATGAAATTGAAGATGTAAATGACAAATACAGTTGGATCTCCATATCCACAAGTTCTACATCTGCAGATTCAACCAACCGGTGGTTCAACCAACCTCAAATCAAAAATATTGCGAAAAAAATACAATAAAAAACAACTATAGCACATACACTATATTAGGTATTATAAATAATCTAGAGATTATTTAAAGTATATGGGACACCGAGCACAGTGGCTCACACCTGTAATCCCACCATGTTGAGAGGCTGAGGCAGGAGGACTGCCTAAGCAGAGGAGTTTGAGGCTGCAGTGAGCTAGGATCACACCACTGCTCTCCAGCCTGGGCAACTGGGTAACGGCTTGTCTCTTTAAAAAAAAAAATTAAAAATAAAGTATACGGGAGGATGTGAGTAGGCTGTATGCAAATACTACCCCATTTTATATAAGAGACTGGAGAACCCACGGATTTTGGTACCTGTTGGGGGTCCTAGAATCAATACCCCATGGATGTGGATACCAAGGGATGACTGTAGGTCGACACAACAGAATAGAGAGCCCAGAAAGAGACCCCACAAAAACACAGGCAACTGATCTGTGACAAAGAAGCAAAGCCAATTCAATAGAAAAAGAAGAGTCTTTTCAACAAATGATGTTGCAACAACTGAACATCCATATGCAAAACAGTAAATCTAGACACAGACTCCACTTCTCACAAAAATTAACTCAAAATGGATCAGCAACTTAAATGTAAAACACAAAATTTAGCTTCTAGAAGATAACATAGGAGAAAATTTAACTAACCTTGGGTATGGCAATGACTTTTTAGATACAACATCAAAAGTATTATCCATGAAAAAAAAATGGTTAAGTTGGACTTCATTAAAATTAACAACTTCTCTGCTCTGCAAAGGATGCTCTTAAGAAATTAAAAGACAAGCCACAGACTGGGGGAAAATCTTTGCAAAACACATATCTCATAAAGGACTGTTACCTAAAATATAAAAAGAGCACTTAAAGGTCAAGAAGAAAATAAACAACTCAACTAAACAATGGGCAAAAAGATCTAAATGGACACTTCACCAAAGAAGACATATACAAATGGCAAATAAGCACATGGAAAGATGCTCAATATTACATGTCATTAGAGAACTGCATATTAAAACATCAATGAGATACCATTTACGTATCTATCAGAATAGCTAAAATCCAAAACACTGACAACACCAATTCTGACAAGGATGTGGAATGACAGGAACTTTCATTCACTGCTGGTAGGAAATCAGTTTGGCAGTTTCTTCCAAAATCAAACAAACTCCACCCCCTGGGTTCAAGCGATTCTCCTGACTCAGCCTTCTGAGTAGCTGGGATTACAGGCACCTGCCACCTCATCTAGCTAATTTTTGTATTTTTGGTAGAGACGGGGTTTCACCATGTTGGCTAGGCTGGTCTCGAACTCCTGACTCAGGTGAACCTCCAGGCTCAGCCTCCCAAAGTGCTGGGATTACAGGCATGAGCCATCACACCCAGCTGGATTATAGATTTTAAAAAGCCATCATGATTAATTGCAAAAGTACCTTCTATATCTAAAATATAATCCCGCTAATTCCTGACTTTACCAGAAGTTTATATAAAAAAATTATACACTAAGGAAGTTTTCTTTATACACTAAGAAAAAAGGGAAAACTTTTTCAATAGTTGAGTTTGTTTTTTAAAGACTGAACATATTTAAACAAACAAACAAACAAAAAACAAGGTTCTTTATATTAAAAGTTCCAAAGTAGGCCAGGCGCAGTGGCTCACGCCTGTAATCCCAGAATCTTGGGAGGCTGAGGAGGGTGGGTCACTTGAGTCCAGGGGTTCAAGACCAGCCTGGCCAACATAGTAAAACACCATCTCTACAAAAAATTAGCTGGGCATGGTGGTGCATGTTTGTAGTCCCAACTACTTGGGAGACTAAGGTAGGAAGATCACCTGTGCCCAGGAGGTCAAGGCTACAGTGAGCCATGATCGTGCCACTATACTCCTGCCTGACAGAGTGAGACCCTGTCTCAAAAAAAAACAAATAAAAAAAGAGCTCTAAAATATTGAGAAATAAATTCATTTTAATGAAAAGCTGGCAAACAGCATATAAATTTAGAAACATTTATGAATACCAACTTGGAAATTCAAACAGAAAACACAGCAGCCACTGAACAAAAGAGAAGCTAACATAAATCTCTTTCTATCCATTATAAAAATATTTTCACCTTCAAATGTATGTCTACAGTGATTTTGGGTTAAGTTTCTTCTGTATATTTTAAATCTGAATCAAAGCAAGAGATTGCTGGCCGCCTTATGCTTTTCATGAGGGGAAAGAACTCTCCAGTGGTAACAAACATAACTGAGAGAACTTTTCCATACTGTGACTACATGTTATCTTAGTCTCTGCTTCACTGACCAGAAAAAAATGGACTTGCTAAAAAGCCAACTTGGTGGTGATTTTTTAAAAGTCAGCAATTACATAAATGTAGAAGGGCATTAGTAAACTCTATCCAAAACCAAGTCTGGGATCTAAATTCATTGTGTATTCTTTCCTAGTGTATCAAAGAAGGTTAAGAGGGCAAGGAAAATAGTCAACTATTACAACTTTATTGACAAAACCATAACACAGCTGTCACTCAAACACCACCCCTTCACCACTTACCAAAAAAAAAAAAAAAAAAAAACCAAACCAAAAATTAGCCTAAAGGAAAAGTGAAGAAGAAATGTTCAAATTAAAAGTAACTTTCATTGTGTACATATACATGTTTTTAAATAATTCTAATTCTCAAATACTTTTATTTTCTATTGGAACAATCCCTCCTCCTTAGAAAAATTTTTAAGTATTGATATCTAATGTTTACATTCTTATACTGAGCTTTCTTTGGAAAGGATGTGGTTAACATATATGGAGCATTACTAAAATATAGAGGGCACTATTTGGCAACATCTGGAGTAAATTAGTTTACTTTAGGGCCTGCCTTTCTTCTATTTATATTAACTGTATATTTCTTCAAGTGTTCTACAGTATTTACTGATAGGCAATTTAATGAGATTGTTGCTTGTAACACACTTCCTAAGGACCCAACACTTTACACAGTCAGGAAGCACTAGATGACTGGCAAAGTCACTCTAAGGCATGCATGGAAAATTCTATAGGAAGAAAGGCAAGAAGCCTAGTGCAGCTCACCTGTTATTTTATATGTTCTTGATGCCAATCACTATTAGTCTGTCTGGTGCTTAGTTCATGACATTAAATGCTCTTATATTACCACTAGTACTAATAAAAATGATGTAACATGAACATTCCTTCCCTGGCCTCAAGCCACAAAACCATGAGGATCAAAGTTAAAAAAAAAAAAAAAAGCAACAACCCTATTATGAAACAGTATGCTATTTCATACTGCTGGTGGGAGTATAAATCAGCACAATCTTTACAGAGAGCAATTTTGAAATCTCATCCTACAAATATACTTGACCACTCATGAAATGACACACTCTGAGTTATTCACTGTAGCACTGCTTTTAACAACTACAAAAGAGAGTTCATCAGTAGACACTAGTTTAAAACATAGTATATCCATACAATGGAATATTCTGCATCTGTAAAAATGAACAAGGAAGCTCATGATATGAAAAAAGCTTTAGGAAATACTGTCAGCTTAGAAAGGAAGAACGACAGATGTGAGAATGCATTTTTTCAGTGGCTAGATTGTTTGTTCTATGAACCATGTGAATGGATTACTTATCCTCTCCATGCAAGAAAACAAAACAAAACCGAGAAACTAATAATAGTGATTATCTTTAGAGGGGAGAGAAATGAGGAACAAGGGTGAAAGGATGACTCTTTCAATGTATACCGTTCAAATATTTTTAAATCCTCATGTATATGGTAAAATGATCTTTGACAAGAGTGCCAAGACCACTCAATGGGAAAAGAACAATCTCTTCAACAAATTGTGCTAGGAAAACTAGACATCCACATAGAAAAGAATGAAGGTGGATCATATACGCCATACACAAAAATTAATTCAAAATGGACTAAGGATCTAAATGTAAGACTCAAAACTATAAAATTCCTAGAAGTAAACACAGGGGGGAAAGTTTCGTGACACTGGATTTGTCAATAATTTCTTGGAAATGACACCAAAAGCTCAGGCAACGAAGACAAATGGGACTACATCAAAGTTAAAAGTTCAGTGCATCAAAGGACACAATAAAGAAAAAAGGCAACCTGTAGAAGAGAAGAAAATATTTGCAAGTCATGTATCTGACAAAGAGTTAATATCCAGAATATAAAAATATCTCCTACAACTCAACAACAACAAAAATCAAATAACCCAATTTAAAAATGAGCAAAGGACTGGAATAAACGTTTCTCCAAAGACGATATACAAATTGCCAATAAGCGTATGAATAGATGATAGATGTTCAACATAACTAATCATCAGAGAAAATACAACTCAAAACCACAATGAGATATTACCCCACACCCATTAGGGTGGCTACTAGCAAACAAACAAACAAACCAGAAAATAACAATTGTTGGCAAAGATGTTAAGATACTAGAAACCTTGTGCACTGTTGGTAAGATTATAAAATAATGCAACTATTATAAAAAAAAGCATGGAGGTTACTCGAAAAATTAAAAGTAGAACTACCATATGATCCAACAATCCCACTTCTGTGTATATATCCAGAAGAATGGAAAGCAGGGTCTTGAAGACATATTTGTACACCCATGTTCACAGAAGCATGACTCACAATAGCAAGAGGCAGAAGCAGGTATCCACTGATTAATGAATGGATAAATGAAATTGGTATATACATACACTATATATACATACAATTCCTTAAAAAGGAAGGAAATCCTGTCACAATGCAACATGGATGAAGCTTGAGAACATTATGCTAAGTGTAGTGAGCCAGTCACAAAAATAAAAAAATACTGTATGATTCCACTAATATGAGGTATCTAAAGGAGTCAAATTTATAGAAACAGGAAGTATAATAATACTTGCCAGGGACAGCGGAAAGTAGAAAAGACGAGTTGTTTAAAAGGTACAGAGTTTCAGTTTTGCAAAATGAAGACGTTCTAGAGATCTGTTTCACAATAAAGCAAGTACTTATACATGACACTACTGAGTGGAACACTTAAAATGGCTAAGGTGGTAAATTTCATGTTATATGTTCCTTAACACAAATATTTTTAAAAGTTTATAACCATTTGAAAACACTGGTGATGAAAATTAAAAAACAAAAATAAAAACAAAGCAAGCAACTAGATCCAACTACTTTCCTTCCCCAGTGAGAAAGGAAGTGTTGCTATAGACAGTCAATGCATGTCACTGTCTTGACTTCAGTGGACAAATACCTGCTCTGCTAAAAAAGAAAGATCACTGGGTTAACATCCCTATGTTTGGCTGCTGTCCTACCTTGTCAGCCTCCACACCAGACTTCTCAAGAGCAGATCTCAATTCTGAAGCCTCTGCGTGCTGATGCACACTCACATCTTTATGTTATGGCATAGCCTCTGGCTCAATTTTACCTTGAAATAGTTCTTTGGAAGTCTTTTTCTTGGCATTGGTCCTTCTCAACCTCTCTGCTGATTTTAAGCTTAATGGCCTTCTCTACTGGTTAGGATTCTATATATGTTTCTACCTTTCTGACCACTGAATCTGCCTCCTTTACCTCCCTAAAACTAGGTATTACTATGGTCCTGCCTGCCTTCAGCCTCCTTTTGATTCTCCACTTGTTCTGTCTTAACTATCTAATGTATATTACTGTCCACAGTTATCTTTATTACCCTAATATTGTTGCTCCCAGATCCAACCTCTCCCCCCAAACCCCAATGTTTGAATTTCTAGCTGTCTGTTAGTCTCCATATGAATATGATCTAATCATCATGGCTCTTTTAAACAAGACAGAGCCACCCATACACCATGAAACCAGTACCACATACAAGCAGTCCTCTAAAACCTTCAGATTAATTACTACCTTGGGCCACTTACCTTGGCCTGTTTTGAGCTCTGTGGTCTGACTTTTCATCATTGTGCATTTTTCCACTGATGCTATGCTTCACTCTTTGGCCTGATACTTTGATAAAGATTCTCTAATGTCTGTTGATATTCCTCTCAACATAAATCAAGTTCTTCCTCTGGCCAAGCTGTCTTTGGCTACTGTTAAACATCTTGCCCAATCTGAGAACCTTTAAATTGATACTGCACTTCACTGCTGGCTCTCCCTCAAGCAAACAAGATGAGGATATACCTACGTTTCAAACCGTTTCAGTGACCTCCTCCAGACACCTGCTGGACCTCCCGTGTTCCCTTTGTATCCTAATGGCTTCACTCTGATTCCAAGGATGAATGAAGTCTTAGTCACAGTCATTTTTGCCTCCCTCCCTCTATTATGTGATTAAAAACATAAAATTTACCACCGTAACCATTTTTAAGTGTAAAGTTTAACAGTGTTAAGTATATCCACACTGGGCCAGGCATGGCGGCTCATGCCTGTAATCCCAGCACTTTGGGAGGCCGAGGCAGGTGGAACACCTGAGGTCAAAAGTTCGATACCAGCCTGGCCAACATGATGAAACCCCGTCTCTACTAAAAATACAAAAATTAGCCAGGAATGGTGGCGGGAACCTGTAATCCCAGCTACTTGGGAGGCTGAGGCAGGAGAATTGCTTGAACCCAGGAGGCAGAGGTTGCAGTGAGCCTAGATTGCACCACTGCACTCTAGCCTAGGGAACAAGAACGAAACTCCATCTCAAAAAAAGTAGTATATTCACACTGTTATGAAAAAGATCTAACATTTTCATCTTGCAAATATGAAATTCATTAAGTAACTACCCTTTCCCTCATCATCCCACTCTTTTTTAACCCCTAATGTGAATTATTTCATAAACCCTGTTAATTCTTTCTCAGTAATGCCATAAAAATCATAAGATTTAATGGTATAAGAGATCTGAAAGGTCACCTGACACAGCTTCTATAATATGTATTCGTAACCTCAAAAATTTTCACAATAAATGGTTATCTGGCTGTAGTTTACACACATCAACAGATGGCAAGACAGTCATATCATCCTTGAACACTGATAAGGTTTGGCTCTGTGTCCCCATCCAAATCTCATCTTGTAACTCCCATAATTCCCATGTGTTGTGGGAGGGACCTGGTGGGAGATGATTGAATTATGTGGGCAGGTCTTTCTCATGCTGTTCTCATGATAGTGAATGAGTCTCACGAGATCTGACGGTTTTAAAAATGGGAGTTTCCTTGCACAAGCTCTGTTTGCCTGCTGCCATCCATGTAGGATGTGACTTGCTTCTCCTTACATTCCACCATGATTGTGAGGCCTCCCCAGCCATGTGGAACTGTTAAGTCCAATAAACCTTTCTTTTGTAAATTGCCGAGTCTCAGATATGTCTTTATCAGCAGTGTGAAAATGAACCAGTACAGTAAATTGGTACCAGTAAAGTGGGGTGCTGCAGAAAAGATACCCAGAAATGCGGAAGCGACTTTGGAACTGAGTAACAGGCAGAGGTTGGAACAGTTTGGAGAGCTCAGAAGAAGATGACAGAAAAATGTGAGAAAGTTTAGAAGTCCCTAGAGATTTGTTGAATGGCTTTGACAAAAATGCTGATAATGATATGGACAATGAAATCCACGCCGAGATGGTGTCATATGGAGATGAGAAACTTGTTGGGAAATGAAGCAAAGGTGACTCTTGTTATGTTTTAGCAAAGAGACTGGCGGCATTTTGTCCCTGCCCTAGAGAACTGTGGAACTTTGAACTTGAGAGAGATGATTTAGGGTATCTAGTGGAAGAAATTTCTAAGCAAAGCATTCAAGAGGTGACTTGGGTACTGTTAAAGGCATTCAGTTTCGAAAGGGAAACAGAGCATAAAAGTTTGGAAAATTTGCAGCCTGACAATACAATAGAAAAGAAAATCCCATTTTCTCAGGCAAAATTCAAGACAGCTGCAGAAATTTGCATAAGTTACAAGGAACTGACTGTTAATCACCAAGACAATGGGGAAAATGTCTCCAGGGCATGTCAGAGACCTTTGCAGCAGCCCCTTCCATCACAGGCCCAGAGGCCTAGGAGGAAAAAGTGGTTTCATAGGCTGAGCCCAGGGTCCCTGTGCTGTGTGCAGCCTAAGGACACGGTGCCCTGTGTCCCAGCCACTCCAGCCGTGGCTGAAAGGGGCCAACATAGAGCTCAGGCCGTGGCCTCCAAGGGTGCAAGCCTCAAGCCTTGGCAGCTTCCACGTGGTGTTGAGCCTGTGAGTACACAGAAGTCAAGAATTGAGGTTTGGTAACCTCCACCTCGATTTCAGATGTATGAAAATGCCTGTATGCCCAGGCAGAAGTTTGCTGCAGGGGCGGGGTCCTCATGGGGAACCTCTGCTAGGGCAGTGCAGAAGAGAAATGTGGGGTCAGAGTCCCCACACAGAATCCCTACTGGGGTACTGCCTAGTGGAGCTGTGAGAAGAGGGCCACCATCCTCCAGAACCCAGAATGGTATCACTGATAGCCTGCACCATGTGCCTGGAAAAGCCATAGACACTCAACACCAGCCCCTGAAGGCAGCCAGGAGGTAGGAGCTGCCCAAGACTGTGGGAACCTACATCTTGCATCAGTGTCACCTGGATGTGAGACATGCAGTCAAAGGAGATCATTCTGGAGCTTTAAGATTTGACTGCCCCACTGGATTTCAGACTTGCATGGGGCCAGTAGCCCCTTTGTTTTGGCCAATTTCTCCCATTTGGAATGGCTGTATTTACCCAATGCTTGTATCCCCATTGTATCTAAGAAGTAACTAACTTGCCTTTGATTTTACAGGCTCATAGGCGAAAGGGACTTGACTTGTCTGGGATGAGACTTTGGACTGTGCACCTCTGAGTTAATGCTGAAATAAGTTAAGACTTTGGGGGACTGTTGGGAAGGCATAATTGGTTTTGAAATGTGAGGATATGAGATTTGGGAGGGGCCAGAGGTGGAATGATATAGTTTGGTTCTGTGTCTCCACAAAATCTCATCTTGCAGCTCCCATAATTCCCATGTGTTGTGGGAGGGACCCAGTGGAAGACAACTGAATTATGGGGATGGGTCTTTCCCATGCTGTTCTCGTGATAGTGAATAGGTATCATGAGATCTGATGGTTTTAAAAATGGGAGCTTCCTTGTACAAGCTCTCTTTGCCTGCTGCCATCCACATAAGATATGACTTGCTCCTCCTTGCCTTTCACCATGATTGTGAGGTCTCCCCAGCCATGTGGAACTGTTAAGTCCAATAAACCTCTTTCTTTTGTAAATTGCCCAGTCTCGGATATGTCTTTATCAGCAGCATGGAAATGGACTAATACAAACACTTACTATTAGAAGTTCTTCTGTACGTTGCTCTAAAATCTTTTTCACTCTTATTTTGCAACACTGATAATTCTGCCACCACAATAAACTGAACAAGATTAATCTGTCTCTTATGAAATTCCTCAAAATCTTACAGAGAGCATTATATTTTCCCAAATTATCCTTCAATGGTCTGTACAGTCCTATGTCCTTCAACCACTGCTTGCACAACATGATTTGGGGTCTTCATCATCACCCTGACTATAAATTCAGGGCTCTAGTGCATCAGTCTTTCTCAAAACACTGAACCGAAAAATAAACTCAATTTCACAGCTATGGTCTGATCTGGACAGAACAGAACAGGATAATCACCTTACACCTTTCTGGACACGAATACATAATTGGTTCCCACTGAATATACCATCAACTAAAAGCCTAACATCTTTGCATCAGTTTGGTTAATATAAGCCTAACACAACACAGCCAAAGTGAAAAATTCTTCCGTTTCAGTGAATGAATTCTTTTTCATCCTACTGTATCTCAGTAAGGTACAGTAAAAATCAACAGTTACTGCACACTTGCTGTAAATATGCACACACTAAAATGTACCTACAAAGAATTTACCTAAAATGTAATGCTCAAAGGCAGGTCATCTCAGAGTTTAATCTGTTTCCTCTACTTATACTCAGAGTTAGTTCCCATATCTATGATCTTGCTTCATTCACCTCCCCTCTGTGTTCATTGCCCTAGTTCTAACGCTATTACCAACCTCAATTATTGCTTCCAAACCTATCACCCACATACTGACAGGTCATTTTGTTTATGGATCATAGCTTGTGACATTAGTAATTTACCTTCAGTAGTTCACCACTGGCCACTGAATAAAGCCCAACATAGTTATACTGACATTTAATCATCAGTTGCTTATCTCTAAACAAATACCATAACTGCAATAGGGCACAATTCCAAGTAGTAAAGACTATGCCATCAATATGCTATATACGTTAAACACATAAACTACACACACATAATATATAATATACATATGAATCCTTCCATATATGTATGTGGAATATACATTCCATTCCTTCTATAATGAACATATATGCTCATTACTCTCTAAAGCAATTGAACTTTTCTGTTTCCCTCTAGGAAATAAAATAAGCTAATCATGAAATGAAAGACAGTCCCTAGAATTTGCCATACCAGGTCAAGAGAGAGCATCAGGGCTGGGCACGGTGGCTCACGCCTGTAATCCTAGCACTTTGGGAGGCTGAGGCGGGTGGATCACGAGGTCAGGAGATCGAGACCATCCTGGCTAACACAGTGAACCCCTATCTCTACTAAAAATACAAAAAATTAGCCAGGCGAGGTGGCAGGCACCTGTAGTCCCAGCTACTAGGGAGGCTGAGGCAGGAGAATGGCGTGAACCCGGGAGGCAGTGCTCACAGTGAGCCGAGATCGCACCACTGCACTCCAGCCTGGGTGACAGAGCGAGACTCCATCTCAATAAAAAATGAAAAAAAAAAAAAGAGAGAGAGAGAGAGCATCAGGTTAGGACCCTCATCCCAAATAAGTGTAATAAAATCAACAATATAAGTCTCAAGTGTTATTTGTTCTGTTTTGTATCCTGTAATAAGGTACAAAGTACCCTTTGTATTTGATTTCTAAACACCAAGCACCTTTTTGAACAAAATTAAAATGCCATGATGGGTCTCCACAATTCCTCTATACTCAATGCAAAGTCCCATTTGAATAGTGAGGGCAAAAGTATGAATAACAATAGTCTCTGAGATCCACAAGCAGCTCATCCCTAACAGACAAAGTGTTTTTGGGAAAACAGAAATATCTCTGGTCTTCATTTTCCTAATTAATAAAATGAAAGTGTTAGACTAGATAACTGCTAAGATTTCCTATAACATTAATACTCTGTGATTCTTTGACTTTCAACACTATTAATCTTTAGGAGAAAAAAACCATGTATGTCTCCAGAAGTTCTATTAACATAAGGCAGTTTTAATGAAACCTGAAAACAGTTAACTCATGTAAGCTAGAAAAAATTCCTGTCAACAAGGCATAGCAGAGACTGCATGTAGTTTACTAAGGAATAAAGAGGACCATAATGAATGCATGAATATACAAATAATTAACTCTTTTAAGAAGCATCATTTGAGTTGGCATGACTTCAGCTAAAAAGTGCTGTGTATCAAGTGCTTTCACAGTTCTCCAAAGGAAGAATCTTCTGTATCAGTAAATTAACACTGCAATAGACCCTTGAATAATCAGCATCTATTCTTTGGCATGCATATCCCATGGCTAAGGCTAGCAATACGATTATTAAAACCACTCACTCAACACAATTTCTTTCAAGAGGGTGGCATTCAAATCATGAGCTTATTCTAACCGATGTTTATTCCAAGCAGTGATTCCTAGCCTAAATTACAGAAAGGTGGGCAAATGATTGAAGAAATTTTCTGTAGAAGAAACTGTTATAAAAACTGGTCTTACAGAGAATAATGCATATTCCAAATATACTTAATTAGGGTGTGAGTTTATTGTTACTGGACTATAAAGTTAGATTATAAGCAAGGGTTAAATTGTACTGAGCCTATTATCTATCACCCACAACAGTGTGGGCAATGCCAGGCACATAAAGAGGATAGCTTTGAAATGACTGACTACTGGGTCTAGGCTGAACGGCCAAGAGTTGGCTGGAAGAACAAGGGCCAAAGAGCACAGATTTATGAAGAAATACAAGAGAATGAGAAGGCACACATCTAGTCCGAACCAAGGTAGGGACCCCAGAGTTCTAAATACCAGAAAGGTCCAACAGACCCTGGAACTGCAGTCTAAGGTGATGAATGGGTTTGTGGGGGGAAGATGATAGTCACAGGGAGCTATGAAGGAGTCTCACGTGAGCCAACAGTATAGATTCTGAAGGCGTTTATGGCAGGAGAAACAAAATACGCAGGGAAAGATAATCTCAGTGTTAAAGACAGATGTATGCCTGGAGGCCAAGACAGAAAATGAGCTGCAGAGAGAACGCAGTAGCCTGCTAGCCAGCCAGTAAAGAAGTGAGGCTAGTTCAGCGGACTCGCGCGGCCTCGCTCTTTGGACTCGTCACCCTCCCCTCCCCCTCCCGCCGCCGTCACCCAGGAAACCGGCCGCAAACGCGGGCGGACCTGAAGCTGGTTTCATGGCAGCCTCAAAGAAGGCAGTTTTGGGGCCATTGGTGGGGGCAGTGGACCAAGGCACCAGTTCCACGCGCTTTTTGGTTTTCAATTCAAGAACAGCTGAACTACTTAGTCATCATCAAGTGGAAATAAAACAAGAGTTCCCAAGAGAAGGATGGGTGGAACAGGACCCTAAGGAAATTCTACATTCTGTCTATGAGTGTATAGAGAAAACATGTGAGAAACTTGGACAGCTCAATATTGGTATTTCCAACATAAAAGCTATTGGTGTCAGCAACCAGAGGGAAACCACCGTAGTCTGGGACAAGATAACTGGAGAGCCTCTCTACAATGCTGTGGTGTGGCTTGATCTAAGAACACAGTCTACCGTTGAGAGTCTTAGTAAAAGAATTCCAGGAAATAATAACTTTGTCAAGTCCAAGACAGGCCTTCCACTTAGCACTTACTTCAGTGCAGTGAAACTTCGCTGGCTCCTCGACAATGTGAGAAAAGTTCAAAAGGCCGTTGAAGAAAAACGAGCTCTTTTTGGGACTATTGATTCATGGCTTATTTGGAGTTTGACAGGAGGCGTCAATGGAGGTGTCCACTGTACAGATGTAACAAATGCAAGTAGGACTATGCTTTTCAACATTCATTCTTTGGAATGGGATAAACAACTCTGTGAATTTTTTGGAATTCCAATGGAAATTCTTCCACATGTTCGGAGTTCTTCTGAGATCTATGGCCTAATGAAAGCGGGGGCCTTGGAAGGTGTGCCAATATCTGGGTGTTTAGGGGACCAGTCTGCTGCACTGGTGGGACAAATGTGCTTCCAGATTGGACAAGCCAAAAATACGTATGGAACAGGATGTTTCTTACTATGTAATACAGGCCATAAGTGTGTATTTTCTGATCATGGCCTTCTCACCACAGTGGCTTACAAACTTGGCAGAGACAAACCGGTATATTACGCTTTGGAAGGTTCTGTAGCTATAGCTGGTGCTGTTATTCGCTGGCTAAGAGACAATCTTGGAATTATAAAGACCTCAGAAGAAATTGAAAAACTTGCTAAAGAAGTAGGTACTTCTTATGGCTGCTACTTCGTCCCAGCATTTTCGGGGTTATATGCACCTTATTGGGAGCCCAGCGCAAGAGGGATAATCTGTGGACTCACTCAATTCACGAATAAATGCCATATTGCTTTTGCTGCATTAGAAGCTGTTTGTTTCCAAACTCGAGAGATTTTGGATGCCATGAATCGAGACTGTGGAATTCCACTCAGTCATTTGCAGGTTGATGGAGGAATGACCAGCAACAAAATTCTTATGCAGCTACAAGCAGACATTCTGTATATTCCAGTAGTGAAGCCCTTGATGCCCGAAACCACTGCACTGGGTGCTGCCATGGCGGCAGGGGCTGCAGAAGGAGTCGACGTATGGAGTCTTGAACCTGAGGATTTGTCCGCCGTCACGATGGAGCGGTTTGAACCTCAGATTAATGCTGAGGAAAGTGAAATTCGTTATTCTACATGGAAGAAAGCTGTGATGAAGTCAATGGGTTGGGTTACAACTCAATCTCCAGAAGGTGGTGACCCTAGTGTCTTCTGTAGTCTGCCCTTGGGCTTTTTTATAGTGAGTAGCATGGCAATGTTAATCGGAGCAAGGTACATCTCAGGTATTCCATAAAACCTACCAACTCATGGATTCCCAAGATGCGAGCTTTTTACATAATGAAAGAACAACCCAGCAATTGTCTCTTAATGCGATGACACTATTCATAGACTTTGATTTTATTTATAAGCCACTTGCTGCGTGACCCTCCAAGTAGACCTGTGGCTTAAAATAAAGAAAATGCAGCAAAAAGAATGCTATAGAAATATTTGGTGTGTGTGTGTGTGTGTGTGTGTGTGTGTGTGTGTGTTTTTAACATCCACAGTTAAGGTTGGGCCAGCTACCTTTGGGGCTGACCCCCTCCATTGCCATAACATCCTGCTCCATTCCCTCTAAGATGTACGAAGAATTCAGATCCTCACCATTGGAATCTTCCATCAAACATACTCAAACACTACTGGAACAGGACTTGAGTCTTTGCATGACATATACTTGATTAAAAGGTTATTACTAACCTGTTAAAAATGAGCAGCTCTTCGCTTTTAACAGATACCCCAAAAGTCTTCTTTTCTACATAGTAGAAGACGGAAACACCTTTACTGAATGTTTGAATAGAAATATCTACTAAATTATTAAAATAGACATTTAGTGTTCTCATAGCTTGGATATTTTTCTGAAAAGTATTTGCCAAAACTGAAATCCTTCCAATATTTTCCATGGTCCCATTAATTATAATGACTTTCTGTCTAGATCTTATAGGAAAGGATACTTTCTTTTTTCTTCCATCTTTCCTTTTTATATTTTTTACTTTGTATGTATAACATATATGCCTATATATTTTATACACTGAGGGTAGCCCATTTATAAATTAAGAGCACATTATATTCAGAAGGTTCTAACAGGGCTGGTCTTAAGTGAACCACTATGTATATCAATATGTTGGAAAACAGCTGTATACATTTTTGGGCAATGGTTATGCATAATATCTACCAGAATTTTTTTCTTAAACAGCCAACATTTAAAATTTATGTTTTATGTCCATAAAAGAAAATATACTTTATTGTGACTTCAACTATATTTCTTATCCCTTACATTTTTATTTAATTGTCTTAGCCTAAAAAAAGAAGAAACTGTGGAATACTACAGTAAATACTGTTTTCAAACACAAGCAATAATTCAAATAGTTTTCTTTTGAATTAATTTTAGACATATTTTGGATCCTATTGAGGGGATAAGAGGATGTCAAAAAAGTTAAATACCTAAGTAGAAAAAAATATAGAAATAAAGCCAGGAATCTCTTTCAGTTCAAATGTTATCAATTGTGAATAAGAAATTGCTATCTGGGATGACAAAATTATCTCTGCTTAGTATCTTATTATAACTGAAAAAAGGTTTATCATTATAAATGCCTTCCAAGGAAACCAAGAATTTCTCAAAATATTTAATGTCACATATTATAAGAAGTCACCTAATCTAGCTTCTTAACGTCAATCTTTAAAAATATCTTAAAATTACTTTGTTTTGTAATAAACAGTGAAAAAAAAAAAAGTTAGGCTGATGGCAGTGAGAGCAATGGTCTGGAAGTGGTACCCTTCTACCTAGGTTCCCAGTGGGCTGTGGGGAGTGATCCCTTCGAGAAGTCTGCTCACGACATACAGGTTTGGGGGAAACACAAAGTTTCATTTATGACAAAGACAGAGGGGACACACATGAAAATACTTGCGCATATAAAAAAGTTTGATCATTTTATAGGCCTAGTGGAAAGGACAGAAGCTGGACAGTGAGGGGTGCCTGAACAGGCCTGGGTAAAGTAGTTACTACCGCCGGGGCCTGGGATATATAAACTAATAACAGAGTTAAGAGCCAAAGAATGGAAAATAAAATGAAAGCATATCAGTAACTGGAGGACTTCTTTTTTGTTGTTGTTATTGTTGAGATGGAGTCTCTCTGTTGCCCAGGCTACAGTGCAGTGGTGTGATCTCAGCTCATTGCAACCTCTGCCTCCTGAGTTAATGTTATTCGCCTGCCTCAGCCTCCCAAATAGCTGGGACTACAAGCACATGCCACCATGCCTGGCTCTTTTTTTTTTTTGGTATTTTTAGTAGAGACCTGGTTTTACCATGTTGGCCAGGCTGGTCTCAAACTCCAGGCCTCAAGCAATCTGCCCATCTCAGCCTCCCAAAGTGCTGGGATTGCAGGTGTGGGCCACCATGCCCAGCTCTGAAGGAATTCTCCACAGGTAGTCCTGTTACTGAGGAATGCTGAGTGCTTACCAAGCCCAGAATTTCAGCTACAGCTCTAGCTTGAAAATGGTAGTCAGGCTGGGTGTGGTAGCTCATGCCTGTAATCCCGACTCTGGGAAGCCAAGGCAGGAGGACTGCTTAAGGC
The DNA here is from genome assembly GCF_000001405.40 of Homo sapiens. NCBI lineage: Eukaryota > Metazoa > Chordata > Mammalia > Primates > Hominidae > Homo > Homo sapiens. The sequence goes on along the minus strand of NC_000004.12, from coordinate 165,275,670 downwards.
CAGGAGTTCGAGCACAGCCTGGGCAACACAGCAAGAGCCCGTCTCTATTTTAAAAAAGAAAAAGAAAATGATACCACAAACTTCCCCAAAGATCAGTTAGAACTAGTACTAAGTAGTTTCTCAAATTTTCAGTATGGGAAGTGGTGAGGTATAGGAATGACTAAAAATCTGAAACAATTTTTGTCCCCTTAAATGTGCTTGGCTATCAATAAGAAATACTGAATAAAATTCATATTTCAAGTTATAATTAAAATCCAATTTCCAAAGAGTCTTTTGCTAGAACTATTAAAATGCATCTAAACCAATGAGTTCAATTTTTATCTCCTCTATATTTTTGGCCTGCAAAAAATGCTAAAAATAAAGGTGCTAATGATTTGAGAAATGGTTAAAATATAGATACCACCCAACAAACATGAGAAGAGTCCACAAACCAGCACTCTCTGAATAAGTTAGTACACTTGGGGTTAACTGAGAAAAATTTCATTTTTAGACATGATACAAAAAATAATTTCATACAGCTTTTTAAGCTAAAATAAAATAAAATAAAATAAAATAAAATAAAATAAAATAAATCTTTCAGGAGTGTAACGAAGGCTGACCATAGTCCAGAACACCATGCCTCAGCACATAGGCCATTTAACCTGGGCGGTCTGGTCACACTGAGCTGTCACTCCACGCCTTGGAGAAGCAGGGTGGTCAGTGCGACAGGCTGTCACTGCCAGTGCCACGCTGCTGAAGCCACGAGAGCATCTCGGGGTGAGCAGCGTGGATTCCACATCCTCCCCTGCTCTCACTCTCTAACCTACCCATTTGGTTGCTCACATTTTTACTTTCCCTAAAGATACTGATGTTATTAAAAATAAGCAGGAGTTCATGGAAGAGATCTCCATGGAACACTGTTAATTTTTTCATTATACCTGTACAATTTAATTTAATTATAATGTATTCTAGAAAGCTTGTTTCCAATGGGCAAGAGAAAGAAATGAAGCAGTTCTTACGTCCAGAATCTCCAGTGAGTTTTCAAAGGATAGAGAGTGCTCTTCCATTTTTTTTTTTTTTTTTGAGACGTAGTCTCACTCTGTCACCCAGGCTGGAGTGCAGTGGAGAGATCTCTGCTCACTGCAAGCTCCGCCTCCCGGGTTCAGGCCATTCACCTGCCTCAGCCTCCCAAATAGCTGGGACTACAGGCTCCTGCAACCACGCCTGGCTAATTGTTTGTATTTTTAGTAGAGACAGGGTTTCACCATGTTAGCCAGGATGGTCTCGATCTCATGACCTCATGATCTGCCTGCCTCGGCCTCCCAAAGTGCTGGGATTACAGGCATGAGCCACTGCGCCCAGCCCGAGAGTGCTCTTCTTATGTGCAGTCACACCATGGACCAGACAATACCCCGAGGTCCTGCAGGCTTTCTCTCCTTATCCATCCTTTTTTCCCTCAGCTTCTTTCTCCTCCCTTCTGCTTTACATGTATATATGTATGTATGTATTGAGTCATCTATTGCTATTTATTTCTTCCCTTCCTTCTTTTCTTTCCTACCTAGAAAAGCCTGTCACAAGTCCTACTGCCTATGATAGGGAAAAGAAAAAGAAAAAGAAAAAGAAAAAGAAAAATATTAACTTTACTGCCACTGTGTCCTGTCACCCTCTTGGAGTTCTTCACAAGCTATGTGATTTGACTTGAAAGTAATTTGAAGGTTTGGGTAAATTTTCTGGACAAATAGAGTGCTTTAAAGACAAATCACCTAAACAACAATTATTTGTTTATGGTAGAAAAGGAGCTATAGACATCTTACTGCATGGACTCCTTATCTCCCCACTTCCTATTTGCTTAAAATGTCAAGAACAATCAGATAGTTTCACTATGAGGAACAATTGCGTATTAGTCTGTTTTCATGCTGCTGATAAAGACATATGCAAGACTAGGCAATTTACAAAAGGAAGAGGTTTAATGGACTTATAGTTCCACATGGCTGGGGAGGCCTTACAATGATGGTGGAAGGCAAGGAGGAGCAAGTCATGTCTTACACGGATGGCAGCAGGCAAAGAGAGAGAGCTTGTGCAGGGAAACTCCCATTTTTAAAACCATCAGATCTTGTGAGACTTACTATCACAAGAACAGCAAAGGAAAGACCTGCCCCCCATGATTCAACTACTTCCCACTGGGTCCTTCCCACCACACATGGGAATTCAAGATGAGATCTGGGTGGGGACATAGCCAAACCATATCAAACTGTTTTATAGTATTATTCTGGATTATTTTGGAAAGTTTATTACAACTAGTTATCAATACACCAAAGATATGGAAATAACTTCATTATACAAGCATGGTCTTTGTAATGGCATTTGTTTAAAATATAAGGATGAAATACATAGGTAAAGCATGACAATTGCTTCAAGATAATACAAGAGGATGTATAAAATTCCTCAAGCTGTAGACATGATTTGTGTACTTTTCTATACGTACATTAGACTTCAGTAAAATGTTTGCATATAAAAAAAAGGGAAGGGGAGTAACGAAGGTTATAATTAAAACAAAATTGTCCCTGAGTTGACAACTGTTGAAGTTGGATCATGAGTACTATTCTATTCTTGTACATGCTTGCAATTTTTCATAATGAAAGATGTTTTAAAATGTTACCTAAAACCTAAGAAACTCAAGCAAATACAAGATTCAGAAGCATGGTATAAAAGCAGTACATCCTTTAAAGCTAGATTCAGATGCAAAATATAGTGCATTAAAAATGAAGAATCAATGCTTCTTTATAATTTTACTGAAAGTGAATAATTTTTCATGAAAAATTCTTGGCATAATTACAAAGGAGGATTCTACAAACTAAGAAACAGAAGTGTTCTAATTCTGGTGGAAAATTTTTTATATTTTGTAGTATACTAGAATAAATTTAAGATTTTAAATAAGAGAAAGATTTTTAAAAATCTAATGATCTCCTAAAAACACAGTAAATGAGTTGCTTCTGATATAAGCAAAACTAAGAGTTCTAGTACATCATATGAACTATGTTTGGATATCCTGTGCATTAATCCTACTTTATTCATTCTCTCCCCAGGCACTGACCCTCCTCTCCCCATTAGCAGTCAGTAACATTTATCAATCACTATAGAGAAAACTGGCAGCCCAGGAAAGATAAAAGGTTAAATAGTGATTGTTTCATGCAGCAAAAAATATCTAAAAATACAAAAGCTTTCTTGGTTTTCCTAATAGAAGTCACTTATAACAGGTGCATTAAGTCTAGCAGTTAATGGAATCTGAATTTAGAAGTAATATTTTCTACTTAGTTGAACAGAATTGCTTGCATTGGAATACACCAATAAATTCATATTTGTCTTTGGTTTTTCATAAAATGCTTCATTCTATTCAAAAGTGCTGCATGAATAGTGCTACACACTACAGGCATTCCCCAACTTACAGAAGGGTTGTGTTCTAAAAGCTCATCTGTAAATCGGCTTCCTAGAACTCAGATCACATTTTTTCACTGAAATAATTTTCTAAAGGGCAGTTAGGCCATCAGGCCACCCAATAGAAATCAATAAGGTCTAAATTTATTGGACCTACTGTGATTTAGTGAAGCACTGTGGTTTTTGTTTTTTCAACTAACCACTTTGAACCATTATTTATTTGGTAAATGAAATACGGATTCTAGGACTACTACTCTCCAATGCTCTGTGCAGGCAGAGACACACATATATATACACACATGCATTCTCCCTTACCCACATCTATGTACCAAAAGCTTCCTTACTCATCAGAGTAAGCACACTGAAGCAGTTTAGACAAAAGGCTCCTGCATTTGAAATCTGGGGAAGTTACAGTTCTAGAGCCTATTAAAGGAGCAGTGAACACAGAAGCTTCCACAGGAACTATTCCTATTGAGTCTCATAGATGCAAAGCAGAGTCTTGCAGGCAGTTGGTGGATTGTAACTTCTACCAGATTTATCTTCCAGAAATATAGTTTAAAAACAAATTAGCAACTTCCGTAAGTCCCAGACAGAGTAATCAGGCAAAAGAAAGAAATAAAGGGCATCCAAATTGGAAAAGAGAAAGTCAAACTATCTCTGTTTGCTGATGATATGATCTTATACCTAGAAAGCCCTAAAGACTCCTCCAAAAGGCGCCTAGCTTTGATAAATGAATTCAGTAAAGCCTCAGGTTACAAAATCAATGTACATAAATCAGTAGCACTGCTACACACGAACAATGACCAAGCTGAGAATCAAATTAAGAACTCAATCCCTTTTATAATAGCTACAAAATAAAATAAAATACTTAGGAATATATTTAACCAAGGAGGTGAAGAACTCTACAAGGAGAACTACAAAACACTGCTTAAAGAAATCATAGATGATACAAACAAATGGAAATACATCCCATGTTCACAGACTAGAAGAATCAACACCATGAAAATGACCATACTGTCCAAAGCAATCTACAGAGTCAATGCAATTCCTATCAAAATGCCATCACTCTTCACAGAATTATAAAAAAAAAATCCTAAAATGCATATGGAATTTTTTTAAAAAGGCCCAAATAGCCAATGTAATCCTAAGCAAAAAGAACAAATCTAGAGGCATGACATTACCTGACTTCAAATTATACTAATATAAGGGTATCATAACCAGAACAGTATGGCACTGGCATATAAGTAGATATGTAGACCAATGGAACAGAATAGAGAACCCAGAAATAAAGTAAATATTTACAAACAACTGATCTTCGACAAAGCATACAAAAACATAAACTGGGGAGAACAAAAGGCAGCAGACCGCTTCTGCAGACTTAAATGTCCCTGTTTGACATCTCTGAAGAGAGCAGTGGTTCTCTCAGCATGGCGTTTGAGCTCCGAGAAGGGACAAACTGCCTCCTCAAGTGGGTCCCTGACCTCTGTGTAGCCTGACTGGGAGACACCTCCCAGTAGGGGATGACAGACACCTCAAACAGGTGGGTGCCCCTCTGGGATGAAGCTTCCAGAGGGAGGATCAGGCAGCAATATCTGCTGTTCTGCAGCCTCTGCTGGTGATACCCAGGCAAACAGGGTCTGAAGTGGACCTCCAGCAAACTCCAACAGACCTGCAGCTGAGGGGCCTGTTGGAAGAAAAACTAACAAACAGAAAGGAATGGCATCAGCATCAACAAAAAGGACATCCACACCAAAACCCCATCTGCAGGTCCCCAACATCAAAGACAAAAGGTAGTTAAAACCACAAAGATGGGGAGAAACCAGAGCAGAAAAGGTGAAAATTCCAAAAACCAGAGCATCTCTTCTCCTTCAAAGGATCGCAGCTCCTCGGCAGCAAGGGAACAAAACTGGATGGAGAATGAGTTTGCCAAATTGACAGAAGTAGGCTTCAGAAGGCTGGTAATAACAAACTTCTCTGAGCTAAAGGAGCACGTTCTAACCCATCACAAGAAAGCTAAAAACCTTGAAAAAAGGTTAGACGAATGGCTAACTAGAATAAACAGTGTAGAGAAGACCTTAAATGACCTGATGGAGCTGAAAACCACAGCAAGAGAACTTTGTGACTCATGCACAAGCGTCAATAGCCGATTCGACCAAGTGGAAGAAAGGATATCACTGATTGAAGATCAAATTAATGAAATAAAGCAAGAAGACAAGATTAGAGAAAAAAGAGTGAAAAGAAATGAACAAAGCCTCCAAGAAATATGTGATTATGGATAAAGACCAAATATACGTTTGATTGGTGTACCGGAGAGTTATGGGGAGAATGGAACCAAGTTAGAAAACACTCTTCAGGATATTATCCAGGAGAACTTCCCTAACCTAGCAAGGCAGGCCAACATTCAAATTCAGGAAATATAGAGAACACCACAAAGACAAAGATAATCCTCAAGAAGAGCAACCCCAAGACACATAATTGTCAGATTCACCAAGGTTGAAATGAAGGAAAAAATGTTAAGGGCAGCCAGAGAGAAAGGTCGGGTTACCCACAAAGGGAAGCTCATCAGACTAACAGCAGATTTCTTGGCAGAAACCCTACAAGCCAGGAAAGAGTGGAGCCAATATTCGACATTCTTAAAGAAAAGGATTTTCAACCCAGAATTTCATATCCAGCCAAACTCAGCTTCATAAGTAAAGGAGAAATAAAATCCTTTACAGACAAGCAAATGCCGAGAGAATTTGTCACCACCAGGCCTGCCTTACAAGAGAGCTCCTGAAGGAAGCACTAAACATGGAAAGGAATAACCGGTACCAGCCACTGCAAAAACATGCCAAATTGTAAAGACCATGGATGCTATGAAGAAACTGCATCAATTAACAGGCAAAATAACCAGCTAACATCATAATGACAGGATCAAATTCAAACATAACAATATTAACCTTAAATGTAAATGGGCTAAATGCCCCAGTTAAAAGACACAGGCTGGTAAATTGGATAAAGAGTCAAGACCCATCAGTGTGCTGCATTCACGAGACCCATCTCACATGCAAAGACACACACAGGCTCAAAATAAAGGGATGGAGGAAGATCTACCAAGCAAATGGAAAACAAAAAAAAAGCAGGGGTTGCAATCTAGTCTCTGATAAAACAGACTTTAAACCAACAAAGATCAAAAGAGACAAAGAAGGCCATTACATAATGGTAAAGGGATCAATTCAACAAGAATAGCTAACATTCCTAATATGTACCCAATACAGAAGCACCCAGATTCATAAAGCAAGTCCTTAGAGACCTAAAAAGAGACTTAGACTCCCACACAATAATAATGGGAGACTTTAACACCCCACTGTCAATATTAGACAGATCAACGAGACAGAAGGTTAATAACAAGGATATCCAGGACTTGAACTCAGCTCTGGACCAAGCAGACCTAATAGACATCTACAGAACTCTCCACCCCAAATCAACAGAATATACATTCTTCTCAGCACCACATTGCACTTATTCTAAAATTGACCACATAATTGGAAGTAAAGCACTCCTCAGCAAATGTAGAAGAACAGAAATCACAACAAACTGTCTCTCAGACCACAGTGCAATCAAATTAGAACTCAGGATTAAGAAATTCACTCAAAACCACACAGCTACATGGAAACTGAACAACCTGCTCCTGAATGACTACTGGGTACACAACGAAATGAAGGCAGAAATAAAGATGTTCTTTGAAGTCACTGAAAACGAAGACAGAATGTACCAGAATCTCTGGGACACATTTAAAGCAGTGTGTAGCGGGAAATTTACAGTGCTAAATGCCCACAAGAGAAAGCAGAAAAGATCTAAAATCAACACCCTAACATCACAATTAAAAGAACTAGAGAAGCAAGAGCAAACACATTCAAAAGCTAGCAGAAGACAAGAAATAACTAAGATCAGAGCAGAACTGAAGGAGACAGAGACACAAAAAACCCTTCAAAAAATCAATGAATCCAGGAGGTGGTTTTTTAAAAAAATCCACAAAATTGATAGACTGCTAGCAAGACTAATAAAGAAGAAAAGAGAGAAGAATCAAATAGATGCAATAAAAAAATGATAACGGGGATATCACCACCAATCCCACAGCAATACAAACTACCATGAGAGAATACTATAAATTCCTCTATGCAAATAAACTAGAAAATCTAGAAGAAATGGATAAATTCCTGGACACATACACCCTCCCAAGACTAAACCAGGAAGAAGCTGAATCTCTGAATAGACCAGTAACAGGTTCTGAAATTGAGGCAATCATTAATAGCCTATTAACCAAAAAAAGTCCAGGACCAGATGGATTCACAGCCAAATTCTAACAGAGGTACAAAGAGGAGCTGATACCATTCCTTCTGAAACTATTCCAATCAATATAAAAAGAGGGAATCCTCCCTAACTCATTTATGAGGCCAGCATCATACTGATACCAAAGGCTGGCAGAGAAACAACAAAAAAAGAGAATTTTAGGCCAATATCCCTGATGAACATCGATGCAAAAATCCTCAATAAAATACTGACAAACCAAATCCAGCAGCACATCAAAAAGCTTATCCACCATGATCAAGTCAGCTTCATCCCTGGGATGCAAGGCTGGTTCAATGCACGCAAATATATAAACGTAATCCATCACATAAACAGAACCAATGACAAAAACCACATGATTATCCCAATAGATGCAGAAAAGGCCTTTGACAAAATTCAACAGCCCTTCATGCTAAAAACTCTCAATAAACTAGGTATTGATGGAACGTATCTCAAAATACTAAGAGCTATTTATGACAAACCCACAGCCAATATCATACTGAATGGGCAAAAACTGGAAGCGTTCCCTTTGAAAACCAGCACAGGACAAGGATGCCCTCTCTCACCACTCCTATTCCACATAGTGTTGGAAGTTCTGGCTAGGGCAATCAGGCAAGAGACAGAAATAAAGGGTATTCAGTTAGGAAGAGAGGAAGTCAAATTATCTCTGTTTGCAGATAACATGATTGTATATTTAGAAACCCCATTGTCTCAGCCCAAAATATCCTTAAGCTGATAAGCAACTTCAGCAAAGTCTCAGGATACAAAATCAATGTGCAAAAATCACAAGCATTCCTATACACCAATAATAGAGAGCCAAATCATGAGCAAACTCCCATTCACAATTGCTAAAAAGAGAATAAAATACCTAGGAATACAACTTACAAGGGATATGAAGGACCTCTTCAAGGAGAACTACAAACCACTGCTCAAAAAAATAAAAGAGGACACAAACAAATGGAAGAACATTCCATGCTCATGGATAGGAAGAATCAATATCTTGAAAATGGCCATACTGCCCAAGGTAATTTATAGATTCAATGCTATCCCCATCAGGCTACCACTGACTTTCTTCACAGAATTGGAAAAAACTACTTTAAATTTCATATGGAAACAAAAAAGAGCCCACATAGCCAAGACAATCTTAAGCAAAAAGAACAAAGCTGGAGGCATCACGCTACCTGACTTCAAAGTATACTACAAGGCTACAGTAACCAAAACAGCATGGTACTGGTACCAAAACAGAGATATAGACCAATGGAACAGAACAGAGGCCTCAGAAATAACACCACACCTCTAAAACCATCTGATCTTTGACAAACTTGACAAAAACCAGCAATGGGGAAAGGACTCCCTATTTAATAAATGGTGCTGGGAAAACAGGCTAGCCATATGCAGAAAGCTGAAACTGGATCCCTTCCTTACACCATATAAAAAATTAACTCAAGATGAGTTAAAGACTTAAATGTTAGACCTAAAACCATAAAAACCCCAGAAGAAAACCTAGGCAATACCATTCAGGACATAGGCATGGGCAAAGACATCATGACTAAAACACCAAAAGCAATGGCAACAAAAGCCAAAATTGACAAATGGGATCTAATTAAACTAAAGAGCTTCTGCACAGCAAAAGAAACTATCATCAGAGTGAAGAGGCAACTTACAGAATGGGAGAAAATATTTGCAAACTACCCATCTGACAAAGGGCTAATATCCAGACTCTACAAAGAACTTAAACAAATTTACAAGAAAAAAACAAACAACCCCATCAAAAAGTGGACAAAGGATATAAACAGACACTTCTCAAAAGAAGACATTTATGCAGCCAACAGACATATAAAAAATGCTCATGATCACTGGTCATCAGAGAAATGCAAATCAAAACCACAGTGAGATACCATCTCAGGCCAGTTAGAATGGCGATCATTAAAAAGTCAGAAAACAACAGGTGCTGGATAGGATGTGGAGAAATAGGAATGCTTTTACACTGTTGGTGGGAGTGTAAATTAGTTCAACCATCGTGGAAGACAGTGTGGCAATTCCTCAAGGATCTAAAACTACAAATACCATTTGACCCAGCAATCCCATTACTGGGTATATACCCAAAGCATTATATATCATACTACTATAAAGACACACGCACACATGTTTATTGCGACACTATTCACAATAGCAAAGACTTGGAACCTCCCAATGTCCATCAATGATAGACTGGATTAAGAAAATGTGGCACATATACACCATGGAATACTATGTAACCATTAAAAAAGGATGAGTTCGTGTCCTTTGCAGGGACATGGATGAAGCTGGAAACCATCACGTTGTGCTCGTGTACACGTTTTATATATGGTGAGAGATCCCTATCTCTCACCATATATAAAAATTAACCCAAGATGGATTAAAGACTTAAATCTAAGACCTGAAACCATCAAAATTCTAGAAGAAAACTTAGGAAAAACTTCTGGGCATTGGCCGAAACAAAAAATTTATGACAAAGACCCCAAATGCAAATGTGACAAACACAAAAATAAATAAATGGGACCTAATTAAACAAAAAAAACTTCCACAAGACCAAAGAAATAATCACCAGAGTAAACACACAACCTATAGAATGGGAGGAAATATTTGCAAAATATGCCTCTGACAAAGGACTAATATCCAGAATCTAAAAGGAACTCAAACAAGTCAGCAAGAAAAAATCAAATAATCCCATTAAACAGTGGGCAAATGACATGAACAGATATTTCTTAAAAAGAAGATATACAAATGGTCAACAAACATGAAAGAAATGCTGAACATCACTAATCATCAGGAAAATGCAAATTAAAACCTCAGCGAGATACCACCTTGCCCTAACCAGAATAGCTATTATTAAAAGTGAAAAAACAATAGATGTTGGTGTGGATGTGGTGAAACGGGAACGCTTATATGCTGCTGGTGGGAATGTAAATTCGTACAACCTCTATGGAAAACAGTCTGGAGATTCCTCAAAGAAATTAAAATCCAATCCAGCAATTTCACTACCGAGTATCTACCTAAAGGAAAAGAAATCATTAAATCAAAAAGACACCCAGATGTGTATGTTTATCACAGTACAATTCACAATTGCAAAGATATGGAATCAACCTAAGTGCCCATCAGCCAATGAGTGGATAATGTTTTATATATATATATATATATATATATACATATATATATATATATATGTATATATATATATATACACACACACACACACACACACATACATATACGTATGTAGACATATATGTATATACATGTGTGTACATATATACGTGTATATACGTACGTGTGTGTGTGTATATATATATATATATATATGATGGAATACTACTCTGCCATAAAAAAAGAAAGAAATAATGTCTTTTGCAGCAACTTGGATGAAACCGGAGGCCATTATTCTAAGTTAAGTAACTCAGGAATGGAAAACCAAATACTACATATTCACACTTATAAGTGGGAGCTAAGCTATCAGTATGCAAAGGCAGACAGAGTGGTATAATGGACATGGGAGACTCAGAAGTGGGGAGGTTGAGAGGATGGTGATGGATGAAAAACTACCGATTAGAGTACAATGTCTACTACTCAGGTGACGGGTACATTAAAATCCCAGACCTCGTGACTATACAAGTCATTCATGTAACCAAAAACCACTTGTACTCCTAAAGCTATTAGAATAAAAAAAAAAGGATGTAATCATTAAATGAAAGCATAAACTAAAAAAAGAAATTTCCTAATAATCACTTTTAATATATATTTTTGTTTATAAACTCAAATAAAATATAGATTACATTTGTGAACTATGTGTGTGCATTCAAAGCTATAACAATGTCTCCTCCCCAACTGCAGAGATGAGGGGTCTGAAGGGCCTGAAGAGCAGCTAAAGCAAGGGCTCCTTGAAAACAGCAACAGGCCCTCCCTCTGCCACAGGGAAATGCCAGCAGTAGCAGTAGGCCATGGAACCAGCATGCAAGGAGTGGGCTGCTTCTATTGGTCTACTTTTCTACTCCACCAAATGTATCTATATTTCACTGCTTTGAAGATTTTTTTAAGCCACAAAATTGTTTTCATGGATGCAAAAAAAAAAAAAAAAAAAAAAAACAATGTAAAAAATCAGAGCTAAAATAACTTCACATGCATATACTTTCTCATATGCCTATTCATTTAACAATTTGAAAGAAAAATACATACAGCTATTCTTCTTGAACCCTGGAGGCGGAGGTTGCAATGAGCCAAGATTGCACCACCACACCGCAGCCTGGGTGACAGGGCAAGACTCCGTCTCAAAAAAAAAAAAACAAAAAAACCTAGCTATTCCTAGCTATTCTATTATTCAGGCCCAATCCCAATGTATAGTTGCTTGCTTTTTAAGTTCAGAATTTTATGAGTATGCTTCAGTTATGCAGTGTGACCATTATAAGATTTTAAATGTATTTTTATAAAGCCCAGATCCAGAAATATGACATGACTTTCCAGAGACCACTGTGGAATCATATCAAAAACCAAGCAGTTTCCTCCCAAATTCAGCTGAGGTCTACTCCACTTGCCTGCATAGGTGTTGGCCTTGTTCAGAAGGTCGGTACATGCATGCATATCAGCAAAAGCCCGGATTCCTAAGCAGTTGACAGGGTGAAGCTGGGATTCCAAAAATTCACAACAAGTCTTCTTCACATCCTGTAACTGTAAGAGACCAGCTGCTGGGAGAAGTACCTGCAACACACACATCAATATTCTTAGGCACTTGGGTGGAAAAACACTGCCTCTTTGACCACTTCTACATAGGACACAAGATGTTCAGCCATAGTTTATTATCTGCGTCCATACCCCCATATTCCCTAGAAAACAAATATAAAAATTATTTTTAATAACAATGATGACTCTTCACATTCCCCATAATTTCCATGTAATCTTTCAAAGGCCTCTTCTCCTTGGTCAGAAGAATATGAGATATCAGATCTTATAAGATTAATGGTTTGTTTCATAAGCATAAACAAAATGTTATTTTGACTTCTAAAAACACAAATTCTTGGCAGGGCATGGTGACTCACACCTGTAATCCCGGCACTTTGGGAGGCCAAGACAGGAGGATCGCTTGAGTTCAGAAGTTTGAGACCAGGCTGGGCAACATAGCAAGACCTCATCTCTACAAAAAATATAAAAATTAGCCTGGTGTGGTGGCACGCAACTGTAGTGCCAGCTACTCAGGAGGCAGAGGTGGGAGGATCACTTGAGCCTGAGAGGTCGAGGCTGTAGTAATCTGTGATCACCCCACAGCACTCCATCCTGGGTGACAGAGTGAGACCCCATCTCAAAAACAAAACAAAACAACAACAACAAAAGCCCGTAAATTATTAGGATGCTAGGGGGTGCTATGATTCAATGAAAATGGTTTTGTTCTCTTAGTTCAAGCAGTCATGCACTTCAGTTATCTGTGGGGAAGGAGTGGCCCCAGAGTAATCCATATCACAACAAAGCCTCATTTTGCTGAAGGCCTGTTTTTCCACTGTATGAGTATCATAACAACTGCTTTCCTTACGGGGTAGAACAATTTAAAGTTCAACAACAGTCTCTACCTATAAGCAGACAGTTTCTCTAGAATGTAATATATGTGCTAACAAGGAAAATGTAATAGGTGATTATCTAATAACTTTTTAATTTGCATTTTTATTTGAGTAACTCCAAGCAATTTTATATTAATTATAGGTTATTCTGTGGGATTGAACCACTATCTTCACTATGAATACTATATCCAACACTACAAGTGCTTTTCAAATAAGTCAATAATAGAAAAACATTTTTCCTTGTAAGTGAATTATTACAGTGTTATATAAAGGACCATATTTGAAAGTCAAATTAAGGAGAAAAACTTCAAAAAAAGGTTATCGAATTCTGGTGATCCTTTATAAAAGCCAAAGAAACCCCACAAAAAAACCTTCAACTATTCGAACAATGGTAAATTTTAGAAAAGACTACATTAGCATTAAAAAAAGATCTAAGTTCCTTCAGAAATTGACTTTCATATATGCCACACTGCAGCCCAAAGACAGAAAAATAATAGTGGTTTATGACTATATGTTATGACTTTCCTAAATCTATGGAGTAAGTCCTAAACATAGAAAAGAAAGACATCATTCACATCTCTCTGTAACAAACTTCTTACCTTCTTAAAGGAAGCACAGAAGCTTTAACTCCTGAATCTAAAGGCTCAAGAAAAAATAGAAACAGTATCCAGACATAAGGCCTTTTCCTTCTGAGTTTAAGAAAAATAGGTCAGGCGTGGTGGCTCACGCCTGTAATCCCAGCACTTTAGGAGGCCGAGGCAGGTGGATCACTTGAGGTCAGGAGTTTGAGACCACCTGGCCAACATGGTGAAAGCCCAATCTACTCAAAATACAAAAATTAGCTGGGTGTAGTGGCACACACCTGTAGTCTCAGCTACTCAGGAGGCTGAGGAAGGAGCATCACTTGAACCCTGGAGGCAGAGGTTGCAATGAGCCGAGATCACACCACCGCACTCCAGCCTGGGTGACAGAGAGAGACTCCGTCTCAAAAAATAAAAATAAAAATAGAAAATAAAGTATAAATAACGTTACAGCCAAACTTTTTGCATGATATGTATAGTAGGTTTCATTATGTTATGAGAATGAATATCCACAGAAGGCTTTAATTTGTTGATAATTTTCAAATTGCAGGTTTTTCCATGCCAGTGTAATTGCGCTCTGAAGCAACATAAAGTGCGTTCCAAGATGCTTAATAGTACAGCCATTTAATTCAGCAAATTAAATTTCTACATATAGTTTAGAAAGTGGTCTTCAGTGTAAAATTCAATCTCTGTGAAATCTGCACAAATAGTATGATCACTCCTCTAATTAGCATTTTCCTAGAGAAAACAGTATAATACTTAAATTGTTTGGTCACACAGAACGATGAGGAAAAAGTGGTTGGGCAGGAAACAGGCTCACTTACACATTGTTGGTGGGAGCACATATTGGTCCAACCTCCATGAAGAACAATTTGTTTATTTCAAATTCAAAATTACAAATGCACATGTCCTCTGACCCAGCAATTTAACCTATAGATATGCTAACATATGCACAAAATCTCACATGCACAAGATATTCATTACAGCATTATTGTGGCTAATAGAAGTTAGAAAAAAGCCTTTAATGTCCATCATAAGGAGACTGATCAAATAATTGGAATCATCCATTCAATTGCAGTCATTCAAACGAAAGAGGAAACTAATAAATGAGATAATTTCTAAAATATATTCCTGAGTGAAAAAAAAATTAGTCGTTGGTATATTATGCTAACATATACACCCCCCCCACACACACACATATATGTGTGTGTAGCAGGCTTTTAAAATTTCATTTTGCTTTATTGATTTCAACTTAATCATTACCAAGTTCAGATCTACCGTATTAGGAGACCGAAATTCATAAAATTGTAGATTCTCCTATCTGGAAGGGGCATAACAAGTCATCTAGGTAGAAATATAAAGTTATTTCAACAGTGGTCCATGTGGCTAGATTATATTCACATATAATTTTTTTTGATGACAGTGAAACGTGGTTACATGCTTGACAAATATATGCTAAACATAAAATAAATGTAAGTCAAATGTACAAAAAGTTTGTTCATATTTTTCTTTTGTCAGTAAATCTTTTGAAATTGCCTTGGTTTTATGATGTAGTTTTACTAGGACTAAACTTCAATAGCTCATAATTATGTAATTAATTATATACAGCTTCAAAAGCAATTACTAATTGACCCAGCTTGCTAACATGACGCCTGGTGACCATCAGTCACTGATAATGAAAACAGGAAAACAGCTGGGGCCACATCAACTCCTAGCTTATTTTGGGTGCCAAACAGCCACTTAAAACAAAATTTAAAATGCTCTGACTTCAGATGAACCACATCCCATGATCAAAACCACTCAAACAGCTGTCACCCTGCAAGCTGAAAGTTTTGAGATCAAATCAAATCAAACCTTCTAATTTGTGTGATGAAGAAACCACACCCTCGAGGGGTTAAACGGCTTGACCAAGTCATACAGCGAGTCATGGAAAGCTAGGGATATAATCAAATTGGTCAGCTCTTTGGTCTACTGTTCTAATACCTTCAACCCCAAATTTAGGTGCAGAATGGAAGTATTTGTATAATTTCTAAATCTCCAACACTGTCCTTTTCATGAAGAATAATAAAGACAACAACCACTTCAACAATGCATTATTGCAGTTACTTCCATTTACTGAGTAATTACTACATCAGGCACTGTGCTAAGCACTTGCCAGACAATAATATCTCATTATCTCCATCATACACAAGCGAATACAGAGGGTAGGAGAAGTTGGGTAACTTGCTAAAGGTCACACACCTGGTATGGGACAGGCCAAGCCTGCTATGAGAGCGGTACTAACCAAAATGTGCATAATGATTTTAGATGACATACAGATAAACTTCTTGCATTAATAGTTAAGAATATAGGTTCAGGGCAGGCTTGGTGGCTCACACCTGTAATCCCAGCACTTTGGGAGGCTAAGGTGGGCAGAGCATTTGAGGTCAGGAGTAGGAGTTCAAGACCAGCCTGGCCAACATAGCAAAACCTCGTTTCTACTAAAAATACAAAAATTAGCTGGGCATGGTGGTGCACACCTGTAATCCCAGCTACTTGAGAGGCTGAGGAAGGAGAATTGCTTGAACCCAGGAGGCGGAGGTTGCAGTGAGCCAAGATCGGACCACTGTACTCCAGCCTGGGTGACACAGTGAGACTCCATCTCAAAGAAAAAAAAAAAAGAATATAGGTTCATAGTTAGAAATACATTTTTTTAAGTTATTTTCCATTTATTTCAATAATACAATAATATAAACATTCCTTCTCAAGTAAACTTATTTAAGCAAAAATTGACTCACTGTAGAGAAAAACATTAAAAATTTAATAGCATCAGCACTTGTAGAATATAGCAAAATCCTGAAGCTGGCCCACAAATGATTACAAGTGATCAGAATTTGGAAAACCCTGATTTAGGAGATCAGATTTAATATTCTAGTCTTTCAATATCTAATGTAATTCTGATCCTGTGGTTTTACATATCACTGAAAATGAAGAATGTGCTTTAATCTGGAGCTATCATAATCCCTTGGCTTACTTTCTACTGAAGTAGATACATTGTACTATTGGTAACAAATGTGAGAAACACCTAGCAATGTAAAGAGGTGATTTCTTAATTTGCTATTTAGGTCACAAAAATATCTTGGGCATTGTAACTAAAAGGTCCAATGAATAAATTTATGTCTTTGAAACTTATTTTCTGAGCTCTCTGAAGCAAAGGAGCAGTTGAACAGTGCTGCTTCTCATATGAGGTAGAATTACATTGATACAATAAACCCCCAGCCACCATCTAATGGAAATTTCCATCTAGTGCAGAGTTGCACTAGTGTTAACCCTGAGATTGATTAAAAATAACCCCAAGGCACTCTATGATCCTTTTTTTTTTTTTTTTTTGTCATAGTTAAGCACAGACCATCATGCAGTACCTTGGATTTCTATACAGTACTCTTGGTATGATATGAAAAAAAAAATTCTGCCCTAAATTTTGTTATTCTCTGGATTTAAGTATATTCCAAAACATCAAAGATGGAGCAATTATAATTTGATATATATTTTGAATGTTAAAAATATTTTCTAAGAATCTAAGAGTGATTAAATTCCATATAGTGTATGCACTGAGGGAAGGCCACACTCCAAAAGCCAAAATATCTCTCTTGGGTACATCTGCCTCTAGGAAAAATGTAAAGCGGACAGTGAATGTAAAGAGGCCCTCGCCCCTCCTTCCTACATCCTTCTCCTTTAGTTCTATTCCATCAACCGAACCCTGAGTCTCTTCACTCTCAGTTTATCTGTGTGCCATCTAAAATCATGAGAACCCTGGTGTTCTCACCATGGGCTCAGTCCCTTTCAAGTCACTACTAACAGCACTGCTCCATTTCATTTGCTTCACAGCACCTACTGCTGTCAGCACTGATGTTATGTATTTGTTCCCATGTTTACTGTCTTCCTGCAAAGGAATGTAAGCTCTGTGGCAGTAGGATCACGTCTGTTACCCCCTGCCACATCCTCAGGTCTCAGAATGTGTACCTCATAAATGAATCAACCTGAACATAATTTTATGACTCCCATGTGTATTTCTATTTTGAGATACAATTGTGCATGTCCTTTGAGACAAAATTACAAGCTCTGTTTCTAGGAATGTATATGTACCAGACACTTCTTGTAGCCTACCACAAATCTTCTCAGCCTTACTTCTTGCCCAACCCACCACTGCAGCAACCAGGCCCAAGCAGGCTTTGACCACCTTTCTGAAGATGTAACGTAACAGGGCCTCACCCCAGCCCCTGGCCATACCTCTCTCTGGCTTCCTATCCTAGGCCTTCAGTGATGCACTGGGCTCATACCCACACAGTCTGGAAGCATGCAGGAAATAATGCTGTGGGACCACCCTTGACTAGTGGAGAATGCATCAAAGGAAGAGAAATACTTCCCCCTGGTATTCTCCTAGAAGACAGTTCTGAGACATATTTTATAAGGCTTTCAAAGGTCCCGTCACATGTAGCTATGGCCAGATCTGTACTGCACCTATGAACCGGTTTTCCCTCCTTTCCAGCTCAAGTCCTCCATTCACTCACTGTGGCTCCTTGGGATCACTTCCCAAATAAATGAACTGCACATAAGCCTTGCTTGCAGAAGGACCCCAAGCTGTTATATTACACAATGGAACAAACTGCGAATGTGAATATACTTAGCTAAAGAACTATTAATTATAGTGCTGTTTAAATTATAAAAAATTGAGAAGAACTTAAATGTCCAATAACAAGAGAAAAATAAAGTCAATTCTATAATATCAATGAAATTGAATATTTTTCAGCTCTTAAAAGAGATACAGTAGACAAATATTTAATGACTTGGAAAAATGTTTCTAATACATTTAGTATAAAAAGCTAGTTTCTAAAAGAATCTACAGTATGACCCCTTTTTTGGGTAAACACATGTGTACATAACAACAAACAGTATTAGAGGGCTATACCACAATTGTTAATATGTTTTATCTCTGGTTAGGTGTGATATGAACATTTCCTATTTATTTTTACATATTTGTTAAATTTTATGTATTTGTTAAGTGGTGCATTTTCTATGTACCATTTAAATGGTCAAATATTATTTAAAAGAAAGTCAGGGAGAAGCAAGTAAAGAAATTTCTTTCTGGATCTCTACAATGCTAGCAAATATAACAAGGGTTAAGGGGAGCTATATATGGACTGTGGCTTCTCCGGGAAATATTACCCACCACTCACTAGAGATTGCCTCACTTTGGCGTGTTGAAAGGCCTTTGGAGTCTGAAAGGCCTTTGATCATCAAGCCAGTGTTTTGTAGAACAGTAACCAGGCTCTACACGTTACTCTTCCTGTTCGGTGAACAGCAACAGTTTTAAGTGTTTGGAGAAACATGAAGTAGAAGGACATAGCACCTGATTAAATAAATCTAACTTAAAATGTTGTCATTTTGAAAAACGGGGAAAAAAAAGCTTTTTTATTTGTACATGTTGATTTCCAACCAATGGAGACAAATAAAAGGCTGCACATTTTTTACCGTGGAGATGCTTTCTGCAATAAACAAAGAAACGGAGGGGAGAAGCCACCACTGATCAGAGAAGACACTGTAGAGCATGAGAAATGGAAGACACCCAAGCCAAACAATTAGCATCTGTGTGACACTCTCACACCAGCTGCACATTGTAAAGATGCTTTCATCCTACTTCACATTGTTTGACAAGCCAAATTACATAGAAGATGTTTCGCTTAGACAAGTATACTCCTTCTGCTTGGCTATTAGGATCTGTAGTTTATTTTCAGCTTGCATATTTATTCCATAGGGGGAAATAATTTATGTAGTATGTCTTTTAAATCCTGAGCCATTAGCAGTTTGCTTATTAGGAAGAGACTACCAAAGGGTCCGATTGCTCCACATATATATAACTTCTAAATATCTAAGAAAACATGCAAGCATGAAAAGACAGCTTTTGTTGTTGCTGTTGTTTTTGACTCAGCTAGCCATAGCTATCCTGCAAGGTGGAGCTTGGGGAGGAGTGTGGGGAGAAGGTAGGCAAGGGTGATGTGTTTAGAAGATGAAACGCTTAGTGACAAGAAAGGCAGATCTGGGTGGAGAGTCATGGTTGGATGCACATAGCAGAGGGCTGGGTTTTGCGGCCAAGGAGTAGGGTTTTGAGATGTAGAAGTATGAATAAGGAGATGGCAGAGTGCCAAGGACAAACATTTCCTATGTCAAAACTCTGCACCGGGCCAGCCCCCTACATCCCAGAAAGAGGAAGGAAACTTTCTTCCTCCTCCTTTCCTGTACCCCACATGCAACCTCGCCTGCCTCCTCCCAACACTCCACCCCTAGGAATAGGTATGTCCCACAGAGTTTAAAAAAAACAAAAACAACCTCCCCCTCCCCACAAAAAAACTGTCTGATTAGCTCATATTAATGGCTAATAACACAAGATCTTCCAGAATAAATCCCTTCTAGGGGTTTTTAACATTTTAAGAGAGGTTGACTCTTAAGCAGAATACAACTGCAATTGGTGGCATTTCCAATGTTATAATTAATGAAGTAGAAAAGCAAAGGTAGTATGGAGAGGAGAAATTTGGGGGCAAAGCAGCCTCAGGCAGACTGAAAGCCATCTCTCCTACACTATCCTTTTTCCAGTTGCTACTTCTACTACTTTTAACCCAAGGTTTCTCTTAAAAGTCCAACTTATTTGAGAGTGGCTCAAATGGATAATGAAGACACCACCTACCTTTCAGGGTTATTGAAAAATTAAATGTCAGTCAACGATTTAACACAATGCATGGCAATGACCATGTAGCACATCAGCTCTGACTCAGCGCTTTTTTTCTTGGATTGAACATTCTACCTCATGAGAATTGAACACCAAGATTTACTCTCTCCCGCATAAGATGATGTTTTATCCCAGATCATTCACAATATAGGTAGCTTCCTTTTTTGATCAAATATTCTCAACATAAAAGATGTAATCAGGGAAAATTTGCAAAAGAAGAAACATAGCATACAAAAATGATAAATGTATTTGATGCCTCATTAGTTATCAAGCGAATATAGAACCATGAGAGTGCATTTTATAACTACAATACAAAATGTTTTTACTTTTCTTTCTAGCACCTCCCAATTCAAACAACAAAATGTTTCCAGACAATATATATTCAAACTAAAGTACAGTAAGCCTTGGCCCTTAGCATATCTTTGCTGTCACTGTAAACTAATCAACTGTCTTAGAAAACAAATAAGGAACATTGATCAATAGATACCAAAAAATATAAACGTTTAAAACATTTGACCCTAAAATTATGTTTCTGAAAATCTACCTTGAGAAAAAAGTCCAAAAAATGGAATAAGATACGTAAATGACTTTTACTTTAGCATTACTTAGTAGAAAAAAAACCAGAACCAACTAAAGATCTAACAATATGGCAACAATTAAGTAAAATATGATAAATCCACATGATGAAATGTTATAATCAGTAATAATAAAGACTAATAATGGCTTTAAAAATAACTAACATTTCTAAAGTATTTGCTATAACAAACAATCCTATTATAAAATTAAATGGACTTGGCACACAGCTTTAACCTATCATCATATTAGAACAACTTAATGGACAACAAGCTCCTCTGATCTCAGGAAACTTAAATAATAAAACAATGTTGACACAAACAGAACGAACTACTGAACACTTCCACACCAAGTATTTTTAACACATAGTGGACAGAGTAAAGAAAGTGTTCTACTGGCTTTTTTAATGACAGCTTGGCTCCTGCCCTTGCATCCTTCACTCCTACAGCTTGCAGCACTGGATCTGGATCTGGATCCCATCCCGTCTCTAGTCAGAGGAGACACATATCCATTAACATGCTAAACTGTAATAAACCCTTACAATGCAATACTCATCAATAAACAGGGACGACTACTGAAATACACAACAGCATAGATGACTCTCACAAATATGTTATGAGGAAGAAGTCAGCCTTAAAAGAAATACATTCTGTATGATTCTATTTATATGAAGTTCAAGAACAGGGAAAACTAACCTATTATAATAGAAATCACATCAATGGTTGCCTGGAAAGGGAGTGGGAGATTTATTGGGAAGAGACCTGAGGTTATAAATGCTCAATACCTTGATTTGGGTGTGGATTAATAGATGTGTACATTTGTTATAACTTAGCAAACTGTACAGTTAAGATCTACAGTATGTAAATTATATCCCACTAGGGGAAAAACAATCAAGTACAGTGAACCCTCCATGGGATTCAACCAACCTCAGATCAAAAATATTCAGGAAAAATAGTGCATCTGTACTGATTATATACAAACTTTTTTTCCTGTCATTATGCCCTAAACCATACCATATTAATGATTATTTGCACAGCATTTACATTGTATTAGGTATTGTACACAAACTAGAGATGATTTAAAGTATACAGGAGGGGCCAAGCATAGTGCCTCACATCTGTAATCCCAGCACTTTGGGAGGCCGAGGCGGTTGGATCACCTGAGATCAGGAGTTCGAGACCAGCCTGGCCAACATGGTGAAACCTGTCTCTACTAAAAATACAAAAAGTAGTCAGGCATGGTGGTGGGTGCCTGTAATCCCAACTACTCAGGAGGCTGGGGCAAGAGAATCGCCTGAACCCAGGAGGAGGCAGAGGTTGCAGTGAGCCGAGATCGCACCACTGCATTCCAGCCTGGGCAACAGAGCGAGACTCCGTCTCAAAAAAATAAAAAATAAAAAAGTATACAGGAGGATGTGCATGTGTTATATGCCAATATTAATACTATGCCACTTTAAGTCAGGGACCAGAGCATGCTTAGATTTTGGTACCCAAGGGAAGTCATGGAACCAAACTCCCACAGATACTGAGGGACAGCTGTACTTTAAATCCATACTAATAGATTAACCAGAGGTCAACGGACAGCATTTATAAGCCATGAAATAAATTTTCAAATAGAAAATAATAATCCTACCTGATAGAATCCAAAATAAGAGGCAACCCCGCAAAAATGCATTTACATGACCAAATTGCTACACTAGCATTGATAAACTTATTTTAAAACAGTAGCTTGTGCATCCATGTCAGTGATATAGCTATATTCTATTTTCGCAAGAAATAAAGTTTTCAATTAGCAATAATCATGCCTCAGATAAACCTCATTGGCTATGATACTGCCATTGTACAAAGCTAGAAATAAAGTTTTCATAAATTATATAGCCTAAGAAAAGGCATAATACACTTAAGCCAGATTATCAGAAGCACATTAATTTTACTAACCTAACAATGAGATTAAGACATTAAGGTCCAAGAGGTAATAATATTTTTAAGACTATATGTCAATAATGCTAGGGTTTATAAAACCTTTGGCTGGTGTCAAACCAAACATGCCAGAACCACATATAATTTAACAACTCTAGACTGTGACCACCTGGACTGGATTGGAGAGGCGTACCCTGAACACTGGCAACTAGCCTGATACAAATGTGCTATCCCACACACAGGCTCCATACCTAAACAACATCACAAACAAGAAAAAAAAAATCCACTTTGAACTGGATATATTTCTAGTAAGGACTTTGATTTGTTTCTATTTGTCTTGTTCGAGTTCAAATTACAAAGATGCTGTTATAAGATGCTAAATCATAATCAGGATGGAGTCATTTTTTTGTTCATCAAGATAAATGCCTTTTATGTACCACATGAAACTACTTAAAACGTGACTCTCAAAATGATTCAGCCATGGAGACATCTTCAAGGACCATATATTTTAATAATACAAAGCCACAAGTAACTCAATTACTAACGCTTCTAGAGTACCTAGCCTTGCTCCGAACAATAAATTTTTTAAAAACCACTTTGGGGCCGGGCGCGGTGGCTCACGCCTGTAATCCCAGCACTTTGGGAGGCCGAGGCGGGCGGATCACGAGGTCAGGAGATCGAGACCATCCCGGCTAAAACGGTGAAACCCCGTCTCTACTAAAAATACAAAAAATTAGCCGGGCGTAGTGGCGGGCGCCTGTAGTCCCAGCTACTTGGGAGGCTGAGGCAGGAGAATGGCGTGAACCCGGGAGGCGGAGCTTGCAGTGAGCCGAGATCCCGCCACTGCACTCCAGCCTGGGCGACAGAGCGAGACTCCGTCTCAAAAAAAAAAAACAAAAAAAAAAAACCACTTTGGGTTTCGTATCCATCTAGCTTTATAAGATGCTCTTATACTAAGGTTTCTAGGTTTTCTCAAACTAGCTGACCTCAATGGCCATTCCATATTAAATTTTAAATAAGACTTTTTTTATTCTATATTCTTATATTGAATAAAAATAATTTAACTAGAATGGAGAATGGATGTTCTAGTTGGTCTAATATTTTGATTAAAACTATGAGGATTACCAAATTCAGACTTAAAATATAATAAAATACAATTAACATCAAAACTCAAATGGTAAATAATTTAAATTTTTATGCCTCTGGATAATAATAAATTAGTACTAACCAGGTAAAGTGATAAAATATCAAGGTAACTGATTTCTGGGTGCTAGAATGTCAGATAAATTCATTACAATGATATAAGTACCCATGGTTATATCATAAACAACCACTAATCCTGAAGGTTTGATACAGGAATTTATGTATTTTTTTTTTTTAAGTTTTAACCTGTGTTTTCCAAGCACATCATCTGCCAAACCCTTTTTTACTCACAAAGGACTTCTATCCCATAAGAGAAAGAAAACAGAAATGGAAAAGCAATAAGCCTTCCATAGACACTGCTGGGAGATACATAACTTTTTCTCTAACCATTACATGTCAAACCAATGGAACAGGTGATTCTAAATCAAAGATTTAGCATGGTACTACAATCACCCGAGTGTGGTCTCCATGCCAACTCAAATGCACAAGAGGGAGAGAACTCTATAGCAAATTAGGGACATTTTTTATATGACCTGATTCAGAATATAAAGAGGGAAGGAAAAGTCATAGGAGCTATTTTCTACCCAGTGATCCCAAATAATTTTAATGAGTTATTCTTTTTCTTGGTCTTAAGTCTTTTTATTCCTGCCCATCTCTTATTTCTGCTCAACATTTATAGAGCATTTAGATATTTTTGCAAGCTTTAACTGGTATATTTTTACACGATTTCAATGCAGTGGCAAAGCACTGTTGGCCTCATTTAATAGCTGAGAAACAGAAAGGTTAATATCTTACTCAAGGCCCTTCTTGAAGTCAGTAATAAATTCAAGATTTGAGCTCTGAATTTTAATACTATAATTAGCCAAAGTCCACTGGGCCATGAAGTTTACTAGAAAGCCAATCTAAGGGCTCCTTATTATTTTCTGAGTTGTTCCACATTAATGTAAATATGCAGCATTATACGTATAATTCAAATGATTTTACCTTGAGGAGTTGTTAACAACATTTTAAAAAACTGCTCAGTAGATGTTTCTGTTCACCTTGAAGATGAACTTTCTACAGAACTCCTTGCTACTTGGCAACTTCTAGATGTGTGGCTACGAATGAAGCATGGTCATCCACTCAAAATGGGTGGAGGGCAATGTTGGAGGAGCAGATCTGGAATATGACTGTAACAAAGCTCAAAACATAATCAAATATATAGTGATAGTCTCTGTCAGAACAAACTATTTTTTTTTTTTTTGAGACGGAGTCTCACTCTGTTGCCCAGGCTGGAGTGCAGTGGGGTGATCTCGGCTTACTGCAAGCTCCGCCTCCTGGGTTCACACCATTCTCCTGCCTCAGCCTCCCTAGTAGCTGGGACCACAGGCGCCCGCCACCACGCCCAGCTAATTTTTTGTATTTTTAGTAGAGACGGGGTTTCACCGTGTTAGCCAGGATGGTCTCGATCTCCTGACCTCATGATCCACCTGCCTCGGCCTCCCAAAGTGCTGGGATTACAGGCGTGAGCCACCGTACCCGGCCAAAAGAAACTATTTTTAACATGAGGTTTAAAATGGTCCACATTATTAAATCTCCACAAGGAGATAAATAAGAATTAAAAATACCAGGGCACCCTGCCCTCTAGTTGAGAATCTCTGTGTCAATGAACCACTGTGTCTGGTGGAGTTTGGCACATCCTCAAGTGCTTGGGGACAGAAAAAGACAACTACCAGATTACAAAAAAATTCAGAAATGGGTTATCCAAAGAGCAATTATTTGTCAGAGTTTTCCCAGTACCATGAAAGGTAAGGAGACATTGGATTTCACAGTATGTAATCAATACTCAAATCACTAGAAAGGTATATTTTGCAGTGGGATGCCAGTTTGGTAAGACTTTCCATTACCACTTTGAAGTAAATTCCCTTTCCTTGTGATTCCCTGCTCACCAAATGAAGCTCTGATTACTAATTCTATCACTTAGGTATCTAGGTCCTGAGAATGATGCACACCGGATAATGTAAACACAGTCCCTAGAAACACCTGTTACCCACTGAAAATTAGTTTAAGATCATTTTGGTTTATGTATTAGTGTTCTGATTTTGGCTACTCTGAGCTATTTCCCAAAAGTCTGATCAACTCTGAAGGAGCTAACAAAATAGTTTCTAGACCTGCAAAGCCAAGAAATAGATTGGGCAAGCGATGTCTAACCCCCACTGTGACATCACCTTCATTGCTCACCATCTCAAGCAGGTCCATCTGAATCTCTGTGCCCTGTTCCAGGAATTGCACCATGAGCCAGCATAGAAAACAAAGTATACTTTCTGGATTACCACTGAGTACCTATGTCTTCCTGATATCTAAGCAGTCAACATCTATTAGTCATCTGTTGGGTATTTCCATGCTAGAAATGCATGCTGAAGAATACAGTCTAGAAAAATAAAATATATACACAAATAACATAAAAATCACTGTATTTATGCATAAACAATAACATATATTCAGTTACATCTCTACTGTTCATGAAACTTTTCTCTCTCACACTCCAAGTAACTTATAGCTGAATTTTCGAATTCTTTTGACCACACTACATAGTAAGACTTTTTACCTCACAACCTAGAACTCAAAGTTTCACAAAACCTGCAGACTTGCTAGGATCTGCTATTTTCTTCTGAAACAGACTTTAAGCTTGAATAGCATTTCCTACTCTTGTCTCTAATTTTTCTCTTAAATGCTAATAATGACCTACTAAGTTTATTTCTTGACCCACTAGTTGATCACCATCCACACCTGAAAAACAAAAATGCTGCTTTAAGGCCTGGAGATGCAGCTCCCCATTGCTATTTCCTTTCTCCTTTCTCCAAAAACCCCCGCTCCTTGGAAGCACGTGTCTGCTCACCTTCCTCATTGGGACTATCTAACCACAACTCAGTCACTCCTACTCATTTACAGATGACTTTTTTTACTTGGCCAACTTCGTCTAGTATACTAAGATGGAACAGGTGGTTCTAAATCAAAGATTTAGTATGGTACTACAATCACCCCAGAGTGTTGTCATCATGCTAACTCAAACACAAGAGAGAGAACTTTTTAAAACCTAAATCACCATTCTCTCCACCACAACTGCTGACAATTTTTGATGACATAAACATCCAAATAGAACATCTCGGTTTCCTGAGTTCCAACTACCACTTCCTCCTCCACTCTTTCTCAACTACCCACTCATGTAGTCTTGCTCTAGACTTTCTTATTCCAGAATAATTTTTAAAACATGGTGTAGAGCCAATCACCCAGCCAACCTCAGCCTAGATTAGTTGATCCTCAGCCAATCTGCAAATCCGTAAGAATAAATGATTTTTTTATTAAGCCACTGAGCTTTGGCATACTTTGTTCTGTGGCATTTTTGTGGCAATAGCTAACTAACACATTCATCATCTCTATACTAAGTATTAAGTGGTTTAACATGGCTGAAGAAAATCACACAACCATTCTACCTGATATTTATGACTGCGAATCTCAAATGAGCTCCCAATATGGCCTGACAATTCGACTACACTTCACTAGTAAATTCATCTTCATCCTTTGCAAGACAATGATTTATCATGTTTAGTTCAAATCTCCAGCATCCCTCTTCCTCATCTTCCTTTTGGCTAATTACTTGCCACAGCCTTTATAATTATATGCAAGCTGATAAAATACCTACCTTTCCACCATCCAAGCCACTAACTTGTATCTGACAACAACACAGTCTGCCTTCTCTCTGGTTAACAGAGAAGTTTTCCTGCTCCCATCTAAGGTAAACCCCTTCATTTTGTTTTAGATGCCAACCCCTCTCACTTTTGCAATTATACCCTTTGTTTCTTTCTCCCCTTTATCACATCAACTTTCGCTTTTCTACTAGGTTATTCTAATTAACATAAAAAATGCTTTAAAATATTACCCATCAAAAAACAAAACAAAACAAACAAACAAAAACACCCTTAAACTCATCATCCCCTTCAGCCAGCACATTCTCTCCCCTTTCATAGCAAAGGGCATTAAAAGAACTTTCGGTACTCTCTGAGTCCACTTATTCTTAGTCCACTCCAAACCAGTTTTCATTCTCACCATCACCTCTACATAGCTTTTCCCAAGGTCACTAATGACCAGTGTGACCATATAATTTATCATCCACACTGGAACATTTCTGAGTAAAGTAAACACTAATCAGACAAGACACCAGATTAGCAGGCATAAAATAGGACTGTCTCAGGCAAACGAATGTAATGACACCTACACTGATATGGCTCAATTCACTTTCTTGACCTATCAAGAACATCTGACACAGCCAAACACTGTCTCCTTGAAGCACCTTCTTCTCTAGAACTAGCATTCTGTGACACCACATACACCTGCTTTTCCTCCTACATCACCAGTACTCCATCTCCCTCATCTGCTCATCTAAAATCTGGAATGCCCCAGATTATGTCTTTGGCTTGCTTGCTTTCTCTGTCTACACTACCTCTTAAAGTGACCTCATCCACTTCAATATGCCACCAATACACCAAATCTACCTCCCTAACCTGACCCTTCCCATCACAGAACCAACCTATTCAGCATCTCCACTTGTAAGCCCAACTGGTAAAAGTTAACACAACCAAAATAGAACCATTAATTCCCACCACCCCAAAAATATGTCCCCATCCCATGTCTTCACCATCTCAGACAACAGCACTATAATCCACCCAGTTGCTCAGGCCAAAAATGCAGGAGCCATTCTTGATCATTCTCCTTCCTCCATACCGTCATGCAAATCCATTAGTAAATTCCACTGACCCTACCTCCAAATATCTCCCAAATCTATTGTTCACCATCTCACGCCAACAACCCAGGCCCAAGCCACTAGTCTCTCACTTAGCCTACCCCAACAGGTATCTAAAGGGCCTCCAACTTCTTCTACTGCCCCCACAGTCCATCCTCCAGCTAGCAGATGGGAAAGGGGAACAAACTGTCTAAAGCATGAATTCCCTGCCCAAACTACAACTGGAACAAAATCAAACCTCCTTATCATAGTCTACAAACCCACTTTGTCTGGCCCTATTTACCTTTCTAATCTAATCTCATCTTTCTCCACTCTCTCATCATTTACTCTGCTCAAATAATAATCGTCCTTTTCTTTCTGGCCCATAAAACACGCCAAACTTATTCACATCTCAGGTCCTTTGCTCCTGCTGCTTGGAATGTTATCTGCCTTTACTTTTACATCACTCCCTTCTCTTCATTCAAGTCTCTGCTCAAATGACTCCTCCCCAGAGAATAACGTAAAAGTCACCTGTTTCTCTATCTATGGGTATATTATCTGTCTCGTCCCTACCCCTCCTCTACAATGTAAAGCCTTTCAAGACAGGGACCTTATCTATCCTGCTTGACATTGTAACACCAATGGTTGGAACAGTGTCTGGCATAGAATAGATACCCCATAAATATTTAGTAAACTATTGATTGAAAGATGAAATTCATCAGGATCAATACTGGCAGTGAAAAAAAGAGGTAAGCTCAACAGCTTAGATATAGGGAAGGGAAAGGGCAAGCCATGTATAAAAAGCAGTAAAGTGGTTCTTCATCCATACCTGATCTGGCCTGATCCAGCTACAGGTCTTACAAATCTTAGATCTTCAAGTGCAGTTCAATTCGGTCCTAAACTAATCCTGACCAATACCACAAAGCTTATTGGGCACCATATCAGTGTTTACAGTCTGGCGTTAATCTTGCTGCCCTAAATGTGATGTGCCCCCCAAGTACCCTCATGCTTGCCAAGCCACAGCGTGACTCCTAATGCCCCACATAACAAGCCCCAGATCCTGGGT
The DNA here is from genome assembly GCF_000001405.40 of Homo sapiens. Lineage (NCBI taxonomy): Eukaryota > Metazoa > Chordata > Mammalia > Primates > Hominidae > Homo > Homo sapiens. The sequence goes on along the minus strand of NC_000004.12, from coordinate 165,245,541 downwards.
TTGTTGCCCAGCTTCCTACGGGAATGCAGACCCTCCACAATCTCAATATTACTTGGTTGTGGTCATTACAATTGCCCAGCCCTTACCAAGTCTCTTTCTAGACTAGCCAGAAACATAAGAGCTATAGGCTTGAGTGTTCACCCAGGGCAGCTCTTCCTGGATAAAGGCACTGCCATCAGCCTAAGAGTATATGCTACCACCACTACCAACACCACGAAAGTCCTGAGGCCAGGTTCTCTGCAGCATCTCATTCAGACCTGAATCTGTAACTCACCTCTAAACATTTCAGTTTGGACTGCATGCTACCCTCAGTTTTTTTTGTTGTTGTTATTTTGAGATGAAATCTCACTCTGCTGCCCAGGCTGGAGTGCAGTGGTGCGATCTTCGTTTACTGCAACCTCCACCTCCCGGGTTCAAGCGATTCTCCTGCTTCAGCCTCACGAGTAGCTGGGACCACAAGTGTGCACCACCACGCCTGGCTAACTTTTGTAATTTTAGTGGAGATGAGGTTTCACCATGTTGGGCAGGCTGGCCTTGAACTCCTGAGCTCAGGTGATCCGCCTCCCTTGGCATCCCTCCCAAAGTGCTGGGATTACAGGCATGAGCCACTGTGCCCAGCCTACCCTCAGTTTTAAAATTATTTTTTGAAAATGTCAAAAAAAACACACACACAAACACAAACAGAAAAAAAATACTTGTTGAGTGCTTGTTCCATCAGGTCAGTGCTCCTACGCCTAGCCCTATTCATCCCTGGCTCAAGCTCCAATGCCAATCAGAGGTTAAGCAACTTAGGCAAGGTCACATGGCATTTAAACAGCAAAGCCAAGATCCAAACCCAGTCTAAGTATATACTCTATTCATTACGCTTTGTTCCCTGTTCCTTTTTTGTTTGTTTGTTTGTTTGTTTGTTTTTGTAGCACCAGGACCGAGTACTTATCAGATATTCCATCAATGACTGTTTAACTGATAGGGTGTCTTAAATATTTTTAAGACAGATTTTTAAAACAAATCTCCACCTAATGGGAATTTCATTTCAATGTTTACCCACACAATATAGAAATACACAAAGCAAAAGCACTCTTCACCAAAATCTACTTTACCTACTCACCTGATGAACCAATTCTCTCCATGCCCTCAGTAACTACATTCTACTGTGCTTGCACACGTCTGCTCCTCCAGCTGGGATGCATTTTACCAACTCATACATGTTGGATTTGCTCCCACATCTGTTTATGACACTTGCACTTATTGAAATTACACAATTTAAGTAAATGAATTCAATGAAATGTGAATGTAAAAAGAGCTCTTTCTATGAAAACTAAGTTGGCTGCTTTGGAGTGGCTTGATCAACGTGCTACTGGAAAAAAAATAAATGTTTTCAATCCAATTAGACACGGGAGGAATGAAAGAGAAACTGTATAATTCATAGAAGATTTTGCATTGAGATTTCAAGTGTCTCAGTTCTTGCTGCACTTAAAAAAAAAGCCTGGAAATTATAGTTGGTGCATGATTATGGTGTGGTTTGTGCAAAAAAGGACATGTGGCTCTTGAAACAGCTTACCACACTTAGTTTTACAAACAAAGATTGGAATACAATTGTAAACCTACATATTTGAGGTTAAAATATTTAGGGTACACATGTATTCTGTTTTGGTGATTTCCCTACTTTGGCTGGCTTTTTATTGATTAAGCCAACTTAAAGCTTTTTCAACTATGTCAACAGGCCTGGTACCATGTAAGCCCCTCCATGTGATGTCCTCCTTCCGGGAACATGCAGAGTAAAACACTATCTATACAGCATACTCCTAGCAGTTGTGGTTTGAAGTAAAACAACAACAACCTGCCCTATACCACCAATAAAATGGACACACTATGTTGAATTTTCTACTATACTGAGACTGTGTTAAACATTTAGTCTGTTTATTACCAATAATTGATTTTAGATGTCCCTTGAAAAACTCTCATTTAAATTTTGTTTCATTTCTAAAGAGATAGAAAGTGTCCGTCTCAAATAATTCCAATTCATCCAACATATATTTCATGAACTTTTTAAAACCCATCCATTCAAAACTGTCAGATGTTTCTCAAATTCTTCTAGATGATAACAGTTCTAATATGGAAAGAATCTGTAGATGAGTACTCATAATATTAATTTAGGAATAGAAAGCATTTACTTTCATGGGCACTGTTTATTAACAGCATTACCTTTGTTTGTAACACTTACATCAAGTGAAAAACTCTTACCTACTTTTAGGAAGCCAAAACAAATACCCAAAGGCGGAGAAGTCAAACTCATGTAACAAAACTACAAATTTAGCAATGAAGTAAATGCTTTAAGAAGTTCAAGATCCTTTAGGATTCTCCAAAAGTGTTAATTAACACATCTAATGACATAGCATGTATCTTGAATAATTTTTGGATCGTGAAAAAAATTTTCAGTTATAAAGACATTTACATTTTTGAATTTATAAACTCTCTTTGTAAGCAATACTAGTTAATGACGATTTAATAGTTGCTGTGTGATGCTGAGCAAATTATTTAACCTTCTTAAGCCTATTTCTTCAATCACATTGGGGTAACACCTATCTTATATGGAGGCAAAAACATCAAATGAGCTACATATAAAATGCTTAGCATATAACTAGAGATATACTCATGTGAAAATCCTTCATACATGCACATACACACACAGACTCACACACACTTATATATTTATATTTTTTATATCTAAAGCCAAGTATTCTTGGCCAGGAGTGGTAGCTCATGCCTATAATCCCAGCACTTGAGGAGGCCAAGGTTGGCAGACTGCTTGAGGTCAGAAGTTCAAGACCAGCCTGGCCAACATGGTGAAACCCCATCTCTACTAAAAATACAAAAATTAGCCGGGCGTGATGGTGCATGTCTGTAGTCCCAGCTACTTGGAAGGCTGAGGTGGGAGAATTGCTTGAACCTGGGAAGAGAAGGTTGCAACGAGCCAAGATCACACCACTGACCACAGCCTGGGCAACAGAGCAAGACTCTGTCTCAATAAAATAAAAAAATTTAAAAATTTAAAAATAAAGCCAAGTATTCTTAACAGTGGAAGGTGGGGCAAGCAGCAAGGTACATGGATTCTCTGAAAGTGTATTGAAAATGTATGCAAAACTTTGTGCAGATAAGCTAATGTGCCCTTTCCTTAGAAAAGGGTTGACAGTTTTTCATCATATTCTCAAAGGTGTCCATAACCACCAAATGTCAAAGAGCATACTTTTCAATAGCCTTTGACTGTATTTTCTCTATTTCCCAGATTTATGCAGTTCATAAAGTTTGCTTTGAAACTCTAGACACAAGTTAAATTTTAATTCACTCAACAGCAACAACAACAAAAAAGTTGAATTACAAGTGTAGTCATAGGTAAAATATTGGTTCTCCTTTTATCTCCCTTTAAAAAAAAACCTGTAAATTCATTTAGCTCAAATTATCCTCCAATTCTGCCATAAATAAAACCAAATATCCAAACTTAAAGCCAAAGTTTAAAAACCTAAACAAACAAAAAAACAACAGCAGCAACAAACACACAAAAAGCTAGGAAACCTGGAATGGCCAAGAATTAAAGCCCTATTGCTTGTATAAATCAGAAGGGACTATAATAACAATAGTCCCTTCTTTGGAGTTAATTTTTTAAATTACTCATTCCCTCATTCTGACTCCAAGTTAACAACCTTCACTTCAAATAGGTATTATATTGTTTAAAATTAGTGTAATAAGGAGACCATATGGTATCATGGAAGAGACCCTACACTAGTAATCTGGGAAACCAGGGGTATGGCCCTGTTCTGTCGCCAACTGACTGCCAACAGATGGCTGGACCTCAGCATTCTACGGCACAATGATTCTGCATCAAAACATGCAATCCCAAAGATACTTTCTAGCCCAATATTATACTTTACTACTAAAACAGAAACTTTCAAAAGGGAGGTCACCTGGTAAAAGATTTGAGTCTAGGTCCAGTGAGAAAAATATACCACCACCAAGAAACATTTGAATTACAGAAACTTCTGTTCCCACTGTCAGCACCTTCAGGGCATATAAATTCAGAGCATGGCTTCCAGTTAGGGCCACTTAAAACTTCAGCTTAACATTAATAACAACAGACACCTTCTTCTTTAAGGTGGACAGCACTTTACAAGAAAGATTTAACAAAATATAGATTGACAAAAAATATACAAAGCAGGAAATAGGAGTCTGGTGTATCTTTACATGGTATAGTCTTATTTTTTTCATTGAAAAACACATGTTATGGAAAAAGTAGCTACTTTTAATCTAATTTATTTCTCAACTGCCTTTTCCAAAACAAGTATTTTTCAATTGAAAATAAAAGAAAGCTTTACAAATCATGATAGCCCTATGCTGAAGAGATATCCCTCTCCCTCTTAAAAACTTAAAACAAAACAAAACTATACAAATGTTAAGCATTTAATAAGCCTGCCAAATGTAACTCTTAGAATGTATTCCTGCATATTCTAAAAGCTAAGCAATATATACACAAGAGGCAAATTAGGATGGCAAGAGTTTTCTGAAAGGCTGTGATGACTAATATTTCAGGACTGGAACATGATAGTTATTAAAAGAAACATGAGAGGTGTTCTCCTAATTCCTAATAGGCCCATGTCCCCACCACAAGAACTACTACAAACAACATTCAGGGCTGAATTCACACAGTTTAGTCTCTAAGGCCTAAATGAGTTTTCTCAATTTTCTCCCATGTGGCCCATTATGTGAATCAAAGAAATCAGTAATTCATTTGTTGAAGGTCAAATATAAGGACATAATGAGGCCCATGCACTAAAATGAATAAAAAGAATGAACAAAAAGAAACCAAGATAAACTCTTGTTGAAAACAATGCCCCAGAATCTAGCAAATAGTCTAAATGTACCTAAAAGACCAGAACGAGATGACATATTAGTTCAGTGATCTCATGACATATACCAAACACTTTCTTCCATGTTAAAAAAAAAAAAAAAAAGTTCATCTAGCATCTGATGCATACATTTAGAAACAACCCCAATATTGACCAAGGTTTTTCAAATGCCTTACCTCACAACTGGAACTTCTAAGCAAAAGCTAATGAGGCCATCTGGGAAAGATCACCAGGAGGCCTTACTACTGCCAGTATTTCACATGGAACAATCGATAGCATGTCTTAACAAGTGCAAAGATTTCAGTCTCCGAATTCATTCTGTAGCATATTTCAACTAGTTAGCAGGGATAAGGATTGAGCCAACAACTTCCTATTTGTGCAAGTAGAATTTAAAGATTATTTCTTAAGAATTTAGTCCTAGTTATTTTTGTTGTCCTCAAAACACAGTGTCCCTGTTAGAAGGAATATAAATAAACACACATTTTCAGATGGCAATTTGGCATTGCTATCAAAAAATTAATATATGCATGTACTCTTTGATCCACCAATTCCATTTTGAGGAATCCAGCTTATAAAATTTGGGGATGCAAATATAAAAATGTTCACTCATTGCACTGTTTTTATAAAGGTGAAAAATCATACATATATATATATAGCTGATTAACATGAGTTAGACCCATATACACTAATGTGTGAAGACCCCTAAGACACTGTTCAGTTCAAAAAGCAAGTTTCAGAACAAGTATAGTATTTCTTATGTAAAAAAATTGTGTGTACGTTTGTGTGAATAAATGCATGGAAAACAGTCTGAAGGGATTCACAGTATATAACAGAAGCTGCCCTCTAGAGAAGAAGAAGTGAATCAATGTATGTGGACTGGGGTAGGTTCGAAGAGAAGGTCCGTTTTCTAAAGAGGGATTTTCACCTTTTACTCCACACCCATCTGTATTATTTAAACATTTATGTAACACACATAAAACATTTGTTCTTTATAGAAAATAAGATGCAATATCAACTTTTACCTAAACTCCAGAATCACTTAAAGAGGATGCTCAAATAGTAAAACAAAGAATAGGCTGGGCATATGGTGGTTCACACCTATAATCCCAGCACTTTGGGAGGCTGAAGAGGGCGGATCACTTGAGCCCAAGAGTTTGAGATCAGCCTGGGGAACACAGTGAGACCTCTCTACAAAAAAATAAGAAAATTAGCTGGGCATAGTGGCACACGCCTGTAGTCCCAGCCAAGTAGCTGGGAGGCTGCAGCGGGAGGACTCCTTGAGCCTAGGAGGTCGAGGCTGCATGATCCATGATCACACCACCACACACCACCCTGAGAGACAGACCAAGATCGGGTATCAAAAAAAAAAAAAAAAAGACAGAAATAAAAAATATTGGCAGTCAAAAACATACTTTGTAGACTATATCCTTCCAAGGAATAAAGAAAAATTGTGGGCAGCATCAATCAACAGTTATAAATGAATATGACAGTGTTTTCATGAAAGAACAAGCATCATTCAGAGAACTAAAGGATTTGTATCTCAGATCTTAAGGAATATAAAAGATACTGAACTCAGAAACATTACTAAAAAGGTGTAATCATTCCAAATATTTTTTAGAAATACAATTTTCACAATGAATCCTATTATTTTGGTGCAAATTGTATACTGTGTGGGTGTGCTTTTTTTATTAAAAAAACTGTATGCATAAAAAGCTAGATGGTGTGAAGTGTTTACTCTTACCTGTACATTTTCTTCTGTAACCTGAATTTCTGCAGTGTAAACATAATCAATTAGCATCCTCAGGGTCCAGCCATCTACCTCTTTTATTCTAACTCTCTTTGCTCGGCTCTCACTCATCTCACCTAAAACACAAAGGAATAAGAGTGATGTTACAGCAAGACACTGCTGTGGAAGTTCCAATGCCAATGTAGATTGATACATCTTCTTGCCACTCACTGTATTCAACAGGCAGCATAATCAGCCACTTTTTGCAGGCCGAAAATACTCCCCCCTTCCTCTTCCAAAAGCTCACCTGAGCAAATCATAAAATGTACTTTTGTTACCCACTTGCACCTGAAAATCATATCACAACAATGAACGTGCCATATGTCCAGCTGCATGAACTATTCTTGTGGCTATAGGATCAGTAGCTGAGGCTGTCCCTGCTTTTGGGCACTTGTTGTCTTTATGGATTTCCAGTCATGACTAGAAGAGTAACGATGTTACTGCCTTTGGCTAATAGCAATGAACAGCTGCTGAAAAGGACCCACCTGGTTAGCATTACTCCTTCAACAAACACACAAATGCCTGCCGGGGCATGCATAGCCTGCACCAGACACAGAGGCTCCACCCTCAGTGAGAGGTCACAACCCTCATGCCAGAGACAACGAGAAAACAAATTACTTATGATGCTTAGAGAATGCAAGGCATAACAGGGATCACAATAATAACAAAGAGTTAGTCAACAACAAAGCTTGTTACAGAGATCTTCTAGCTCAGATTCAGTTCCTGTTTGTCAACTGCAGCAACTTCACGCTGAAGTCATTTCCATACCAGCTTTATTACTAAAACCAGGTATCCTTCTACAAAACTGCCTGCAAAGAAAACAGTAAAAGACTTTCTTCCTAATACCCACTTGTGGAAAAGAAATAGGGAAGGAGGAAAGAGAAGGGATGGTCCCTAAGCCAAGGAGACTTGGGGAGAGTAGGAGGCAAGTTTAAGCACCGAGGTGTGACAACATAAGTGAACTATGATACATGGAGACACAAGCAATTGAATGCGGGTGGGGAGGGATTCAATTAAAAACTAAAAGGACAGTCCAAGAATAATGCTGAGGGCCATGGGCAAAAAAGATTTGGCTCTAGAATTCACTAAGTTTCAAAGGTAAAAGAAGCATGAGAACGTGCCACTATTCATCACCTTCACTTTAACCCAGCATCTCTTATTAAACCATAACATAGCCTCAAGATTTCTTGAAAGCTCACTTCTTTTTCTGATACAATGCACTGTCAGCGACCATAAACTATCAGAAAAGTCTATGGGAAATCATAATTACACAAAATTCCTTTGTAAACAAAACCCTGGGAGAAGAGAAATAACAATAGTGGTGTACAAAACTGCGTGCTTCCCTGGAGATTATCTTTGACAAGATCTCAGAAAGAAGCTGTTCATCTCAGAGCTAAAATATCCCAAAAAACTACCCTGCTACTTCCCAGGAAGAAAAACATCTCTTTGTATGACAAGGGAAGTAGGAGAGTTAATGAGAAAGATGTACCTATACCTACATAGCAGGATGAAAGGGGACTGAGTTGTATGTCTGGTGCTACGGCAAATGTTTTTCCCCTGCTTACAGAAAGGAGGAAAAAGGAAGGTCAAGGAATACAGAAAAATAAGTCTTCAGCCACATATAAGGCACCTTTCTCTATCCTATTCTTGCTGGATCCTGTGAATAGTTGGGGTATAAACTGATAGTCTGTATAAACTGAAGCCTCTTTTGTGCCAAAAGTTAAGACATTCTGGTGATTCCCACTTGGACTTGAGACAAAGGCCATAACTGATTCACCTACAGAGCCCCAATAATATGCAAAGCCCTTCAGGGCCTGGGGCCACATGAGCACAAAGCCAAACAGCCAGTACTCAGTTAAGCGTGACTTACCTTAGGCAAAACCAAGTGGGACTTTAATTTACATGTATGACTGAAAAATAATTAGTTCTCTGCCAAACAGTTTTTAATATTATAGTTTTTAAGGTATTGCTATAAGATGCATTTTGCTAGTTCAAATATTTGTCATTTTTAAGATTATTTTTCTCCCCAGAGAACTGTATCTGCTTCCAATAAATTCAATTTCAATTATATACTGTTTTGAATATTTTTATATTAATTTACAAAAACAGTAAGAAAAATAAAAAATGTGCCCATGACTGTATTAATGGTTTAAAAATTCTAATTACTATGAATCAAAGCCCATACTAAAGAGTATTGTAAAAGTTATTTATATCTAATTCCAGTTGTTACATTATTACCTTAGTTTTTGCCCTATGCTGTGTTTTCAGAGGAAATCTTTAAACAGTATGGCTTTGTGAGATTTCTGATTGCTAATGCATTTTAAAAACTATGAATGAGAGTCAGGTGCTGTGGCTCACTCCTGTAATCCCAGCTACTAGGGAGACTGAAGCAGGAGAATCACTTGAGCCCAGGAGTTCAAGACTAGCCTGGGCAACACAGCAAGACTCTGTCCTATTTAAAACAAACAGAAAAAAAACTAGGCTACCCAATGATACTGTACATAGTTTATCCTTACCATTTGTAACCTCCCATAGTCTCTATAGAGATTATAGTTTATTGTTTATGTTTTGATCACATAACTCTGAGGTTATATCAGAACTCTGAAGCTACATTATGCTATCCATACAAACACCTATACTAAAAACCTCAGTGAGAGTCATCCTTGATTCTCTCCTCTTCCTTACCCACCAGTCCCACAGTTCACTAAAACTTGCAGAACTAACCTTGGATAGATCTCAAATAAATCTTCTCACCTTCTCACCATTGGGGATCCTATAATCTCTTGCTAACACCAATGTAGCCACCTCCTAATTATTTTCCTGCCTCCAGTACTGACTCCACAAATTTGGGCACGGAGTTCAAAAATCCTTTGGTTTCTCCCAGTCCAAGCACACATGTCCAGCCCCTGATTCATTACCTAGCCTTCTCTCTCTCCTCCCGCTATTTCTAAACTTGAAATACATTATTGAGAAGCTGTTTGTTGTTTTCTACAGACACCAAGCAATGTCTTACCCCTGATGCTCTTGTTGAACATTGTCCTCTCTGTCTCCCCACCCACTCATTTCCCAGGCTAATCTCCACTGGAACCTCTCTAGGTAGCCTTATCTGTTAGTGGCCCATGGCTGGATTAGGTACAGTTGGGTACCTCATGCAAATCCACTCTGTCATAATCAACTCTTTACCTAGTTCTCCTCCTCTGAATTCTTAAGCTCACTGAGAACAGGGATGAAGCCTTTCTTATCTCTGTATAACATGTCTGACATCTAGTAGATACCCAATAAATACTGGTTAGATAAGTAAATGACTAGATGAATAAAAAGTAAAGCAAGTGCCAATTTAAAATGTAGCATTTTGGCTGGGCACAGGGGCTCATGCCTGTAATCCCAGTGCTTTGGGAGGCCAAGGCAGGCGGATCATGTGAGGTCAGGAGTCCAACACCAGCCTGGCCAACATGGCGAAACCCTATCTCTACTAAAAATACAAAAATTAGCCAGGCATGCTGGTACATGCCTGTAATCCCAGCTACGTGAGAGGCTGAGGCAGGAGAATTGCATGAACCCGGGAGGTGGAGGTTACAGTGAGCTAAGACCGCACCACTGCACTCTAGCCTGGGTGACAGAGAAAGACTCTATCTTACCAAATAAATAAATAAGTAAATAAATAAATTAACTGAATAAATACATAAAATATAGCATTTTTACTTAACGTAACTAATGGCACTTTAAAATTAGTCTTAAACACGGATATTCTAGCTATGTAGGATTTCAGTCAACATTTATTGAACATCACTGTACATTACAGAGTGAGCCAAGCACTTTCACTAGCAAATACCACATCATCTCTACCTTTTTTTTTGAGACAGAGTCTCATTCTGTTGCCCAGGATGAAGTGCAATTGCGTAATCACAGCTCACTGCAGCCTTGAACTCATGGCCTCAAATGATTCTTCCGCCTTGGCCTCCCAAAGTACTGGGATTATAGGCATAAGCCACCGTACCCAGTCTCCTATCTACTTTTATTGAGAAAAAAAGGAAGTCCTCCAAATCATGAAAGTGTAAGAACACATATATGGCTAAAAACATTTCCATCTCGCATGCCTATAGTCCCAGCTACTCAGGAGGCTGAGGCAGGAGAATCGCTTGAAACCGGGAGACGGAGGCTGCAGTGAGCTGAGATCATGCCACTGCACTCCAGCCTGGTACAGAGCGAGACTCCATCTCAAAAAAAAAAAAAAAAAAAAATTCCAACTCAAGGATCTTTAATCAGGACTCCTGAAGCCCAACATAAACTGGTAACTTCACTTATCCATTGCAAAATGAATTTATCCAATGTATAAATGAAAAGTGAATAGGTTTAAAAAGATAAACGCTAAAATTCATTTCATTTTAAAAATTCTATGATTCTAATTTCAGTTATTTAGCACACAAAACATCTGAAAAAAAATAAAAGTGTAACACAGAAACTCTGACTATGCTGAAACTCTAAGAAATAAATAACAAATTTATAGCTATGTTTAATAAACAAATCTTATTCCATTACTTTGCAAGTTCCACTTGTCATCTACTCTAATTACTACCACCTTTTTGTTCTTAGGTTACAAAGCAGTTACTGACACACAGGCATTTTCAGTTTGGCAAGCTGATCTGGGTGGCCCACCAGCCACTCTCTGTGATGGTCAGAGTATGTAACTCTCCAGTTCTACAGCAAATCTAAGACCAACATGGTAACTGCATTGCCCTGCCAGTTTTGTTCTGGTTTGGGTAACTTCTGAGAAAGGTTTCTTAGCTCCTAAAAGACAGAGTCCTCCTTCCTTGAGATGTTGGGTCCACTCTTGCAGGCATCTTTCATTTAGGAGAGGAACAAACCTTAGGATATTTTTATTGAGGATAGAAGGGTAGAGAGACAGAAGAAGATTCTTGATGAAATTTTCAAGCTGTAGATCCAATCATGTCTGGTGCCCAGCCTGCTTTCTTAGTATTTAAACCAGTTTGAGTGGCATTTGCTGTTACAGGCAGCCTAAAGCATTCCAACTTAAGTTCTTTGTGCAACATTCTATTTAATTTTTTTCAGAGCCATCATCAATATCAGAAATTATCTTTTGTGTGTTTACTTACTGTCTAACCTTTCTTCTTCTTCCTAACTATAATCATGAGAACAGGAACTTATCTGTTTTATTCATCACTCTAGTCCCCAAAGCCTAGGACAATGCCTAGCAGAGAAGATTCTCAATAAATATTCCTTGATGAATGAAAGCATGAATCTTAGACAAACATAACCATGTATATAGCTTTTTAAAATCTTACTTCTTAGTCACTCAAACAATAATCTGTCTTTTCCTATTCTAATTTATTTTACTGAATCATGTTCAATATGACAAAAGAAATCAAAAAGCACACCAAAAAAAAGGCTAAAAATAAAAATTTAGTATTCAGTACTTCCCACCAGATTTCAGAAATGTTAGCCTGTGGCACAAATAAATCTCAAAGTATGTGTTAAGCAAACAGCTTTCTAAATGCCACATTTGTAACCAAGAAGTAATCTAAAAACACGAGAACCCAATTTGGTATGTTCTTTCTTAAGTAACAGTTAAACAACTTGGCCTTGCTCTAAATAGGCCCATACTTCACAAAGTAAAACCCTGTGACTACTTCACAGAATTACTTTTCACTTCCCTTCTCTACTCAAATACTTGGAACTATGACGAGTAACAGAATTATTTCTTAGGTGACATAATTTAAATGAAAACTTCACCTACAGTTTATGAGATTAAAAGTAAGACCCAACAAAGAACATCTGCATATTCCCCATTTCCTAATAGGTTAGTCACAGGAAAACAAAAGAAGAGTAGGGAAACTCCCTGTCCCTGAGCAAGAGAATGTAAATGTACATGATGTTTGGTGGAATGAAAGCATCCAATGGTCTACTTGTTAACCTCACCATAATTTTTACCAAAAAAAAAAAAAAAAAAAAAAAAAAGCTTAACAGGGTTTCAGACCATGAAAAACAAAGAAACAAAGTACTCATACTCTGGCAAATACTTAAATGAGTCTACATACACTAAATTACCTAGACCCAATCCCCGTGTCTTCTTTTTTTCTTTTTCATTTTTTGAGACAGGGTCATATTCTCACTCTGTTGCCCAGGTGGAGGGCAGTGGCATGATCTCAGCTCAGTGCAACCTCTGCTTCCTAGGCTCAAGCGATCCTCCTGCCTCAGCCTCCCCAGTATCTGGGACTGACTATACAGGCACGTGTGACCATGCTCAGTCAATTTTTTTAAAAATCTTTTTAGAGATGAGATCTCCCTATTTCTCCCAGGCTGGTTTAGAACTTATGGGCTCAAGCAATTCTGCCACCTCGGCCTCCCAAAGTGCTGGGATTACAGGCATGAGCCACTGCGCCCTGCCTTTATCTTTTTTTTTTTTTTTTGAGACAGAGTCTTGCTCTGTCGCCCAGGCTGGATTGCAGTGGTGCTATCTCGGCTCACTGCAAGTTCCACCTCCTGGGTTCACGCCATTCTCCTGCCTCAGCCTCCCGAGTAGGTGGGACTACAGGTGCCCGCCACCACGCCCGGCTAATTTTTTTTTTGTATTTTTAGTAGAGACAGGGTTTCACCATGTTAGCCAGGATGGTCTCAATCTCCTGACCTCGTGATCCACCTGCCTCAGCTTCCCAAAGTGGCCTTTATCTTATCTAATTTCTGCCAAATTGTTGGCTAAACAGTAGATTCAAAAGTAGAAGAAAAAAAACAGTACAAAGATTGCTAAAAAGTCAAATAACATCTACTGCTGAAAAACCATAAAAGTTTAGCCTAAATAATAAGCATATAGAAAGATGCTTGACATCATTGGTTATTAGAAAAATGCAAATTAAAACTACAATACTATGCTACTTCAACACCCACTAGAAGGGCTATAATTTTTTAAAAAGCGGTACCAAGTGTTGGCAAGGATGTGGAGAAATAGGAAGTTTCAAACATTGCTAGTAGGAATGTAAAATGGTACAGTAACTTTGGAAAAACAGCTTAGCAGAATTTTTTAAGTATAAATTTACCATGTGACCCGGCAATTACACTCCTAGATATCTACTCCCAAGAGAAATAAAAATATATGTCCACACAAAGAACTGCACATGAATATTCATAGCAGTATTATTCATAATAGCCAAAAATCGAAACAACACAAAAACATCCATCAACTGGTAAATGGAAAGTCAAAAGCAGTCTATCCACAGAGAATGCTATTTAGCAATAAGAACAGCAAACCTTCCTTTGAAACATTTATGACACGGATGAACCTCAAAAACATTATGTGAGAACAAAAATGTTCTAAAATTGATTTATGGTGATGGCAGTACGACTCAGTAAATTTGCTAAAAATCAGTGAGTTGTGCACTTAATATAGGTAATTTTTTTTTTCTCACTCTGTCACCCAGGCTAGCATGCAATGGCACCATCTTGGTTCACTGCAACCTCTGCCTCCCAGGCTCAAGTGATCCTTCCACCTCAGCCTCCTGAGTAGCTGGGACTATAGACTAGTGCCACCACACTAAGCTGATTTTTTATATTTTGATAGAGATGGGTTTTCACCATGTGGCCAAGGCTGGTCTTGAACCCCTCAAGCAATCCACCTGCCTCAGCCTCCTAAAGTGCTGGAATTACAGGTGTGAGCCATTGCATCCAGCCCTGAAATGAGTAAATTTTATGATATATAAAATATGCCTCAATAAACTAGTAAAAAAAAAGTTAGGTACTCAATTCACATTTTGTATATGTGCCAGAAATTAACATAGTATTCCTATTTTCAAGTACTTTAGCGCATAGCAATCTAAAATTTGGCTAAGCATAAAAGGTATATTCTCAGACAGAAACCAGTTGAACTGCAAAAGCACCTACCTACTAGTTAGTTGTAATACACTATAAATACTTAGAAAATCAGAATGTCTTCAATGCCTCATTCCCTTCATTAGGCAAAGCTCACATATTCATAAACCACGTCAGCTAAATCATGAAGCATAGAGAACCATTAGACAAAAACAGAAGAGGGAAACTGAAATGCAGTTTAGATTATAAAGCAAACAGAAAAGAGAGCTAAAAACATAATAAGCTCTCCTATCTCCACCTAGCATCCATTTCACTGGATGTCTAAGGCTCAGGGAGTTTGGAGACACTAAGTCTCCAAAGCCATTTGAGGGGAAAGAAAACTAACCTTGATCTTACAGGTGTAAGTTAATCACTCTATTTTTGTCACTCTGTGGACAATAAAACATTTATCAAAAAAAAAAAAAGAGCCTAGCTTAAAGCTTTCCAATCTTGTACAGAATATAAAGAAATTTAGGAAGTTAGAGTAAAAAAGAATGGTGATGATGACCATAATAATTACTGTCAAAATTAACTGATCATTTTCTATGCGTCAAGTGCTAAGAAATTCACACATATGATCTCATTTAATCTTTACAAAAACTCTAGGATGTGGGTAATATTATTATTCCCATTTTCCAGATGGGGAAACTGAAGCACAGATTAAGTTTTCCAAAGACCTAGTAGTTCCAACAAGTAAGTGGCAACAGCAGTGTCATCTGAAGGAAGGCCACCAAGGGGACAGCACTTTACAAGGTAATTCCTAAAGTAGCCCAACACATTCCAGATCGAATCCTTCTCTTACAAGCCTTAGAGACTCTCTCTCTCTAGAAAAGTGTCCAGCAGTAATAAATAAGATGTAAATGAAGAGACTAGAGTGAACCCCAAGACATAAAAATCTGACTAGTCTCACTTCACGGGTATTGACTTTTCAGATCAACCTCAGCTCTCAGCTGAAAGGCAACCCTCCCAAACTTGGCTCAGAGCCCACCTGCTATCCTTCTTCATTCCTGATTATTTAACTCTGTTCTGGAAGAGCAAGATCATAAAAGGCTGAAAACTGAGCGGGGCTCTGGTCTCCTCACTACTCCCAAGACACCCAGAAAAGTTTTCACTCAGTCTGTCTTCTCCATCTGACCTTCTACACTCATCTTCATCTGTGTAAACCCCTCAATCCATCAGGTCTGGGGAAATCCTTCTCTCAGTGCTGCCCATCACAGCCGTCAACGTCTGACCACTGCTGTGAGCACTCAGATCTTCCATACACTATTACCTATTAAAGGGTGCACATCCATCTGCCTAGCTACACAGGAAGCTTTTGGGGCAGGAAGCTGTTCACATTGTTTTTGTATGCCTTGAAGTATCTAGTAAAACAGTAGCACCAGAAATACTTAATAGTTTCTAAAGTAAGAAGAGCTTTGTATTTTTGCTTTTTGGTATAACTACATTTCTATTTGTATTTTCTATTTGGCATACCAATACCCTAAGATTATAAACTCATTGATGTAACAGATAAAAACTTCGTTTCTTTGTACAGTATATTTTAAAAAAGAATGAGAGTAAGGGATTCAAGTGTGACAGACATAAATTACTTCTTTTCCAGAAGTACTAAAATCATTCTATATATTTTCACAGTTGCCAAAGTAGAACATGAGCTTGTAGATAAATCGCTTTATTTTCTTATATTTCCAAATGAAGGATATTAAATAAACATCTTTTTGTTCAATGTAACACTGGATGAAACAAATGTAAAAATCATTTTAAAAAATGTAAAGTGGCTTCCTTTTGTCAAAATAATAAAGTGCCAAAAAGCTATTATAAATGGCAGAAACTAATATACATAAGTATAACTTACAGGGAGAAAGTTGAGCATAAAATTGTGAGTGTACCTATGTATAGGCTTACTGACCTCCAACAATGCAAAACAAAGACGAGGAGGAATTTGGAACAAAGCAAGAACATTTTCTTCCACTATAATTCTTCATTTCATAAAAGTAAAATGTCAATAACAAAAGAAAATGTGGTAAGAAAAGCACAGATCTGAATACATTTTTTAAAATGCCTATAACTAAAATATTTCATACCTGTAAACATGGCATGAAAATAAGGACTACAGGCGGCCAGCACCACTCTATGAGCAGAAATTTCCATGTCTTCTGCCACAATTGTGACATCGCACAGCAAATTTTGACTGTGTAAAAAGCAGAGAGAAAAAATTTAAATGATATCAACAACGAATGTATTGAACATCCTATGCAAAAATATTACAGTAAAGCCCACTTTCATCAAGTGGAGACTAACGTAAAAGACAGCCATCCTTTGGGACATGATCCCTAAACATGAAGTACATAGAAAACAGCTGGGATAAAGGTCCAACATGCCTTGGACTCTCACTAAGAATCCTGCCTTTGAAAAACACAGAAATCCTCCCAAACTTGATTACTGATTTCTCAACCTAAAGGCAATTACTGGCAGCAAACCATCAATGGACTGCAAAAGAAGAGGGTGTCTGAATAAGAAGTAGTGGCAGAAGTGGCAGGTGTAGTCTGACATGAAGATGAAGAAAAAACACATACCGAAAACTAAATTGGGTCAAATACCCATCCCCTCTCAAAAAAAAAAAAAATCTTAAAAGACGCTAGTTCATCAAGCAATGGTAAAATTATATTCAGTTACACTTGCTGCTTAAAAGGCTTTGCACATTTGAAGCTTAACTTAATCACAACATTTTACCAATGCAAAATATCTCATCCTTCAAGGCCAGAAAATATTACATCTAAAGTTAAAAAACACTTTGGCCAGGTGCAGTGGCTCATGCCTATAATCCCAACACTTTGGGAGGCCAAGGTAGATGGATGGATCACTTGAAGCCAGAAGTTTGAGACCAGCCTGGCCAACATGGCGAAACCCAGCCTCTATTAAAAATACAAATATTAGCCAGGCATGGTAGACCACACCTATGATCGCAGCTACTGAGGAGGCTGAGACACAAGAATCACTTGAACCTGGGAGGCAGAGGTTGCATTCAGCCAAGATCGCACCACCGCACTCCAGCCTGGGTGACAGAGTGAGACTCTGTTTCAAAAAAAAAAAAAAAGCATTTTGTTACCTCAAAACCATTATTCAGCAACCATAATTATTATATCTCTAATTTTAAAACATCCATTATAATTCACTCAAAAACATGTGGTGAGCATTTTTGACATGCAATGCGTGGTGCCAGATCATACTCTCCAGGTAATTAATAATGTCACAGAATATTTTTAACAGAAAACGTTGCTGATGCTTATTCTAGAACAAGCAAAAAGGCTCCAAAGCCTAAAACCTGCCTTGCTAGTAGTCATACTATGAATGACTGAAACAGGTGTGGTGAAAGCAAATGTCCCTTCCACACCTTACATACCCAAGCACTGAATTTATGTCTATGTGCATAGTGCATGCAGGTCACACTTGGCACCCTCCTCTACTGTTCTATTTCCTAAAAAGGTGGCCTGCCTACTTCTGTAATTTTCTAGTAGCTTACAAGCAACATTTCCCATGAGCTTGACCAAGTCCTTGAAGTTTTCCACCTGTCCATACTGCTTGCAAACTTGTTCCCATAAAGTTCATGCCAAAACTTTTTGGAGAGCCTACTGGTAACTATTCTCCTTCCAGTTTAGGAGAAATGGAAGAAAAAAAGAGTACCCCAGCATCAGTGATGACTGCATCCCAGGGCCTCATTGCTGATGAGACTGCTATGCCATTTAGATTATGGTATGGCTTGTGTGTTACCAGTTTAATGGCTCATGATGCTGTATGAGACATAAAGCAGGTCCCGTATTGGAGTCATAAAAGGTGGCACAGTATCACTAATTTATAATTCCTCCAGATCATTTTAGAGAACTGACAAAGTTTACCATCTGCTCTGAGAATATAAAACCATTCTGCAATTCTATGAATTCTATGGGTTCACATATAACTAGGGTGGAAAAGTCAGTGGTGTCAGCAGTGTTTTCAGGAAGGTACTATGCAAGAGTTTTACCTGCATGTATTATTTCATTTAGTGCCCACCACAATGTTATAAGGTATTATTTTTATCCCCAAATTTATAGCTGGGGAAACCAAGGTTAAAGTCCTCCAACTAGAGGCAGTGCCAGGATTCGAATCCACAGGCTGACTCCAGAGCCTCTTGACCACTACACAAAACCTAAAGCTATACGGTTTTAAGATCTGTTAAAGTTTGAATAAAACAAGAAAGAGAAATAATAAATAAATAATAAATAATTTATTTTTTGACATAATATATACTAGAAAGTATTTTTAAGTTCTATATATAGCTAATAAAAGCTCCAATTTTAGTGGGTTTTAAGCACTACCTCTACAGAATATTTTTAAAAATCAAAGTTTGTTCATTCATTCAACAAAGTACTGCAAGACCATCTCTGCCCTTAAGAAGACGAGCAGAAAAAACTGGCAATGCAAAAATTATAGGATAAAGTGGAAAGCACCGTAATAAAGATGTTATGGAAAGGCTGGGGTGGGGGGCTGCATTTAAATCAGACTGGGGATCAGAAAGGGCTTCCTGCAGCTATTGGCCTTAAGCTGAGTTCTAAAAACAAGTAAGAGTTAGCTGGATCGAGAAGGAGCAAAAGAATCCCAAAGAGAACATGATGTACTATCGCATGGAGACCTGAAGCAGCAAAGCAGAATGCGGAACTGTGGGCCAAGAAGAGTGGGGACAGAGAAGGGTGGGAGCGAAGAAACTCTGGAGGCAGGTAAGCAGGGTCAGCAGAGCATGCATGGTCTCTCTAGAATAAAGCAATCCAGGTTTCTCTTTTGTGACCTGGGGATTTGAACACAACTCAAACATGAGTCAAGTGCATCTTTATGCCTATTTTCCTTTTGTCAGTAATCCTTCCTAGTGCTTTAGTTTCAAGATGGAACACAAGTGGAATTACACCTGAACACCTCAAAAATCACATAACTAATTACATTTGGTTTCAATTACAATTATTCATTGATCCAAACCTTCTAACATAATACCTGCTGGCTGTCACTTACATAATTAACTTGGCCTTACTGACTTATTAGTTGATGTTAGTTAACTAATAAGGTTAAAACACTGCTAAAATATTATGCAGCCACATCCTGGGTTAGGTCTCAGAGACACTTTACAAATTAAGGACATGTTTAGTTTTAGTATTCAATTTTTTATTTGTCTTCAGTAATAACATATTTTAAAACAGCATTCAGAGATGAGAGAGCTAACAAACTCTTACTAGTTTGGGTCACTGAGTATAAAATGAGTGTATATCAGTGTGTGTACACTGAGTCTGGCCCTTACCTCTTTCCAAATTTGCATGCTTACAAGAAGCTGAATGTTTTGAGTGAGACAGCTACGAATGAAAAGTCTGGCACTAAAAATAAGAAAAACTTCTTTTAGCAGCCCATATGCAAAGTCTTCCATGGTGAATTTCTAAGTTTATGTTCCTATTACTTGAAATCTAATGAGGGAATAAACTGTAGGAAAACAACGCCTCCAAAATAATGGTATAAATAAGTTGTTATTTAGCAAAATTTGCATGTATTCATTCACTTATCAAGGACTGTGTGAGCTTACCAAAATAAACAAGATTAACAGCCATGACAGTATGAAGTTTACAGTCATGTGAGGGAGACAGACAAGGAAATAAGTGATTATAAAATGAACCCATGACTTTAAGATGGGGCAAGTGTGGGATATTTGGAAACACACAGGAGAAGCTAGGCCCAACCTTATGGAAAAGCTTCAGAATGAAAGTGGCTTCTAAGCTCAAATCTAAAGGGAAAAGAACAGGAGTTAGATAGGCTTAATATAAAACTCAAATAGCACAGAATAAAGAAAGGCACTCCATCTCCTAAATAAAATTATATCATGAAAATTGGTCCTTCCCAGGAAAAAAAGAAACTGCTTTGAAAAGGTATGAAACATGCCTGAACATACTAAGGCATCCTTGGGTCTTCTGATATAAAATGAATGAATTCCTAAGACTGAGAAAAACCTGTCACTGCTTTTAAAATGCACGGTGTCTATCTTCTTAAAAGTAAAATATGTCTCACAATAGGGTGACTGTAGTCAATAATAATTTAATGATACATTTAAAAATAACTAAAAGATTATAACTGGATTGTTTATAACACCAAGGATAAATGCTTGAGGTCATGGATATCCCATTTACTCTAATGTGATTATTATACATTATAAACCTGTATCAAAATATCTCAGGTATACCTGAAGAAAAAGGGAGACTCACTTAAGTTCACTGTTTAATTCACTTGCCATCTAAGCAACAAAGTATGAATTCATACAACAGCCACAATAACAATTTAGCCAAAATTCAACAGCCACAAATCAAATGTTTTTATGGATGCACATCAGATAATCTAATCCTAGTAGTGATATAGGTCCCATGATGCCTAAAATCCTGGAGGAAAAACACAATAACCATTCCTTTAAGAGGGCAGGTCAGGCTATTTTGCTTAAATATCTTCTGGAATGTTAAGAACTGCTGTTATGAACGAACAACTCAATATTTATGGGTTGTACAGGATATAAAGGTGAACATTTGAATTGCTTCATATGATTCATCCTTACTGAACACTTTCAACTCCTAAATATTAAGGATCAAACTTACATTCCTTGTAAATAAAGCTAATAGGTTGTGCCCCCACCACTAATACTCATTGAAATTGTTAAAGCTCAAGTACAGTCTTATCCTATAGCCTAAAAAACAGTAGGTTTTTTTTTTTTTAATTTATTTTAAACACAAAATGCCACCTTTCAACAGTTGCTCTTTGGTCTTCTCCAAAAGCTAGCAATCTAATTTTGTCAATAAAACTTATTTGGGCCAGCCTAGCCAACATGGCAAAATCCTGTCTCTACTAAAAATATAAAAAATTAGCTGGGTGTGACGGCACGCACCTGTAATCCCAGCTACTCGGGAGGCTGAGGTGGGACAATCGCTTGAACCCAGGAGTCGGAGGTTGCAGTGAGCTGAGATCACGCCACTGCATTCCAGCCTGGGTGGCAGAGTGAGATTGTCTCGAAAAAAAGAAAAAGAAAAAACTTACCTGGGGTACAGTCTGCTTCTCTGTCCCCTCTATAGACCTAATACAGTGTGTTGCACATTATAAGCATTCTGTGAAGATCTATTGGGTTGATTTTGAAAATGTTGGTGTTTTGAAAAATTTCCCCCATCCACACTTGGGAAATTTAGAGTTAAGATCTGAATTTCCCACCAGAGATGCACTGCTGACCTAAAAGCCATCCTTTCACAACTCCAACATCATTAATCTTAGCATGATGCTCCGTTTCTCAAAAGCCTTCACTGAATCCCACTGCCCAGAGGATTAAGTCCGAATTCATCATACTATTCAAGCCTGCCACAATTCTGCTCTTCTCTTGCTTCCTAACCTTTTCTGCACAGACTCCCCAGGATGAACCCTTGATTCACTTTATCCAACAGATGACGTTTATTCCCTCCCTGGCTTGTGCAATTAATCATGCCAGGAAGACCTTCCCACTCCATCCCCTCAGTGAATCCTGCTGCACTCCCATCAAGGCCCAACTGAAGCCCACCTCTGTGGGCTGTGTGAATTTTCCCCATGAGAATTCTTTTGGGCACCCACGATTTGCACACTTTTTCACTGCCTCATCCTCCTCTCTGTATGTGTCCAGCAGCTCTCTAGACACTCAGAGGGCATGGCCTAAGTCTGATACTGTTTTTGGATCCCACACAGCCTTTCAGGCATATTAGCTGATTAGGTGCTCACCAATACTTGTTGAATACATTGTTTACATATGACTGCAGGGTTTTTAAACCAAATAATTTCAAGATATTCAAGCTCTTACCAGGCTGGGATATAAAGCTAGGTCTCTGGGCCTCCTGTCTAAAAACAATTAGTTTAAGAAAACAATAAAATGTCATGTACTTTTTCTATCAAACAATTTTAATTCTGTAACTTAAACCTTACAGAACTCCTGTCTTCCTACCCCCATTCCCACAACCACACCTTACATCAGCCATAATTGAAAGTGACTTTTATTCCTAAAATTTTGCTTCCATTAGCCAAAGGTTCACATTAACATTGTTCGGAGTACAGCTGTTGCTCTACCACTTTGAGGTTAGAGCCCAAGGGCAGAGTGGTGAGAACAAGGAAGTTTTCCCTTCCCAGAAGTCAGGAAACCACTCTCAGCTACCCTTTCTGGGCAAGAGGAAGTTGACGCAAGGACAGGAAATAATTAATGATTTTCAGCTGTATAAGGAATAGGCCTCTTTAGAGATTTTTTTTTAAAGAATTACTCAAAATGGCTATAAGATTTAAGAGTGGAAGGGAATGACATTTTTAAAAAGGTCTGATGAACTCCAACGACAGTCCATTTTTAAAAATACTGTTGTTGTTGGCACTTTCATTAAAACAATCCGGGTTATAGACCTGGCAGCCAACACTCTGGCTATTCAAAGGTCATTCTTTGTTCTGAAAATCAGCATCGACTACCAGCCCAGTGACATACCAGACCCAGCTGCTGAAAGGGTGCCACACAAAGAACAAGAAGGTACTATCTCACAGTTATAGAGTTCACATCCAAAAAGGGGCAAACAGATGAATGAAGACTGGAGCTTATAAATAATCCTAGGGCCAGGCAAGGACACCACAGGGCTTGCAGGTAAGCAGGAAAAACATCTCTAGGCTGAGAATGTCAGAGCAGCACTGAACCTTAGACACCATCCTGTCCATTCCTCTCATTTTAGTCAGGCTCAAACAAGTAAAATAATTGGCTCGAGACCAGAGTCTGTCCCAAAACTCAGGTCATTCACCCCAAGGGAAGGAGCACTTGGTGTTACCTTCCCTGCAGTTTAGTGAGTCATGCCCAGGTCAACAGAGACCCACTCACATTAACACCAGCAGAAAGCCAAGGCTACCCGTGCCCCACCCATAGGAGTGGGGAAAAAGAACATTTGAATAGTCCTATTAAAAGTCAGTCTTTTTAGACTTCTCAAAGAGAAAAAAGAGCCATTAAAGATCCCAGTCTTAAAACAACCAGACTATTTTTCTTACTTTTCTTGCAGTTCCACTTAGTAACCAATGCATTTTACATTCTAATAACTACTGTCAAAACAGGATTAAAATCCTGAAACAGCACCCTCAGACTTGCTGGATTATCCCAGTTATATATTCTCCCAAAGAATAAGTGAAAACCCACATTCTGAAAATGTTGTCAAAGCGGTACTAGAAAGCAAATTAAATGATCCAATATTCAGTTTAACTTTCTCTTATCTCTCTCCAATCCATTCTCCACCCAGCAGCCAGTGTGTTCAAAATATAAATCTGATCAGGTCACATTCCCGCTTAACACTCTCCACTGGCTTTCTCTCAAGGCAACTCTTGATTAAGACCAAAATTTCAGGACCTCAGTCCAATGGCCCCTCCTACCTACTCAGCTGCCTCTCCTGTGTGATTCCACCGCCACGTGCACTGCAGCAACACTGTCAGTTCCTCCGATGAGGCCAGCTCCTTCCTACCCTAAGATGTGGCACAGCATTCCCAATGCCTGGAACACTGTTCTCCCTCTCCTCACTCCCATCCTGACTTTATCCCCTTATCTTCTTTTCCTTCTAGATATCAGCATAATTATTCCTGTCTTCTCAAGAAAGCCTTTCCTGACCACTGTTATCCACCTTTCTAGCACCAGCAGCCCTCCTCTGCAACACTTACTATCATTACAGTAAATTATTTTTGTGATTCTTTGATGAATGCCTGCTTCCTGCAGTCAGCTATGGGCCCACAAGGGTGGCAACCATATTTGTTCTTGCTCACCATTGTACCTACAGTACCTAGCAGATAAATATTTATTGAATCCCTAATTTAATTAAAGAAGAAACAAACAAATGATGGGCCTAAAAGGGAGAGCTTTTAGGCAGCACAGAAAGATTAAGGGAAGGTTTAATCCCTTCTTAGCCAGGCTTTCAGCATTTCAGATAGATATACGTAGAGTACTTTCACAAACGGAATGCTGGGAAAAAGCAGATCTTTCATAAAGTGCTAAGAAAATAAAACCAAGACTCTTAATACATATATTACCCTTTTAATTAAAAAAAAAGCTACTCATTTTTCAATCAACTTTTAATACTACTTAAAAGTTGCAGTGATCCTTAGTACACTTGAGAATTACCTCAGCAACAGGCAGGTCACTGCCCCCCAAAACTACCACCACTCCCACAAAACAATGGTTACATTTTTCTCTAAAAGTTTCTTTCCATACTCTTTGCCACAGTAAGTTAGAAGCCCTAGACCAGCACTGTCCAATATAAACATAATGCAAGTCACAATTTTATAGTAATCACATTAAAAAGGTAAAAAGAAACAAGAGAAATTAATTTCAATAATATATTCTCTTATTTTTAACTTTAACAGAAAGAAAATAGGGACAGAGTCTCACTGTGTTGACCAGGCTGGTCTCAAACTCCTGGCTTCAAGTGATCCTCCTGCCCTGGCCTCTCAAAGTGCTGGGATTATAGGCATGAG
Source organism: Homo sapiens (assembly GCF_000001405.40). Lineage (NCBI taxonomy): Eukaryota > Metazoa > Chordata > Mammalia > Primates > Hominidae > Homo > Homo sapiens. The sequence continues at coordinate 165,220,452 of NC_000004.12, read as the reverse complement.
TCACCGCACCTGGCCTACTGTATTCTTTTTAACTCAAAATATCTAGTATATTATCATTTCTACATGGAATCAATATATTTAAAAGTATTAATAAAATATTTACATTTCTTTTTTTTGCATTTAGAAATCCCCTGTGTATTTTTCACCTCCAAACTATCTCATCAGACTAGCTGTATGTGGCTAAGCGGCTACCACACTAATAGAGGAGCCCCACACCATCCACACTTCTGATAAATTATTTGCTCTTTTCCTTTAAAAAACTTGCAGAAAAAGCTTTTAATGTTCTGTGTACCAGACAAAGCAACAATGGAAGGTTGATTATATATTCACTACAAACAACTGAAAAATAAAGGGACGAAACCAATGGTTGCATGTACATTAGTATAATGATACCTTCTTAATTCGTTCATGACTTTGAAAGCTTTCTTCATATGCCAAGGATTCACTGTCACTGGGCAGTGTTTTTCGGTATTATCATCTTTTGAATCGAGAGGCTTCTGATGACCCTGCTTTGTGCATCTGTACATAAAAGAAAAGAACAAAAACAGAAAAAGATCTTATTAAAGATCATTTAGTTCAGCTTATCAAGCTACAAGAGAGACAATGAATGTCTCCTTCCCCTACTTATTTAGAGGAAGTCTCATGGACAGAATATCCCAATGTAAGGTTAAGACAATTAAGAACAGTTTCTGATGGACACTATGGTTTCAATTAAAAAGTGGGTAATTACCTCCCTGGTGTCCAAGTTCCGTCAAAGATCAACACAGAATATTCAGCAGAAGTGGCTTAGCAGATATCTCCAAATAAAACTGTTGAGAAATGATCTTCTCCATTGGAAATTAACTTGCTTTTACAAACTTCTATAGTCATACGTTATTAACAAACCAAGACAGAGCAGGATCATATTTTACACAAACTTCAGAAACTTAGAATCTGATTTAAATTTTGCTCTCTACCTGCCAGGATATATTAACCCCATATATTTTGACCTATACTAACAAGAGATTAATCGAGATTAATCATGTTAGTTAATAGTTATTGAGTATTTACCATATGGCAGCCCTGTGCTGAGTAGTTTACTTTCATTATTTGGTTAATCCTCACAACAACTCTCTGAGCAAATTACTATTATTATCCCCATTTAACAGATGAAGAGAATAGTTTGAGTAACGGGGTAAATGGTAGGGCTGGGTAAGAGTATGGCCAGTCTGATTCTCCATCTTGTTCTTTTCACTAATATTTCAATACCATTTCCTACACTGAACAGTGAATATTTAAATTTACATTTTTTAAGCACACAAGGCTATACTAGCATTGCTACATGAATTATTCTTTCAAGACTTAGGACATAAAATTAACCAAAAAAATCAGGGTCCCATGAGGAGGGGGGCAAGAATTAACTGCAAATTAATGAACACAAGACAACTTTTTGAAGCAATGGTTATAAAACTTTATAAATTTAATAAAAATCATTAGATTGCACAATTATAATGGGTGGATTTATGGTATGTAAATTATACCTCAATAAAGCTATTACATAAAAAATCAGGGCACCAATTTTTTAACTAGGCTTAAAAAATGAAGTCTAAAAATATCATACTTGTATATATATCAAAGAACAAGCAAACATCATTATTAATTGCTGCACTTCTCTTCCTTTCCTGACCCATTTCTAAAAGGATGATTCATTTTTAAACATTATCGTTCATTAATTCATTCAGCAATTGTTTTTAGTACCAACCATGTACCAATCACTACTCTTAAGGCACTTGGAATATATCAGTGAATAAAACAAAGATCCCTGTCCTCATAGAGCTTGGAGTCTGGTGGGGGGAAAGGGAAAGACAGCACAAGTCAGGGAAGCAACTGGCATGTTGGGAAATGGTGTTATGGAAGTAGAAAAAGCAGGGCAGCGTGAAGAGAGAGAGAAATGTGGGGACGGTGGAGGGGTGTAATCTGCAGTAAATAGGGTGCTCAGGGAAGGCCTAGTTGAGAACTGAGATTTGAACAAAAGACTAGGGGGTGTGGGAACATCCGGATGGAAGTAGTAACTACAGCAAAGGCCAATATGTACCTGGTATGTTCCAGGAACTGTGACCCATGCAGCTTTGGCAAAAGGCTGGGGCTGAGCAGGAGAGGGGAGTGCAGATCACAAAGGGCCTTTTAGGATATCCTAAGGCCTTTCACTTTGAGTGAAATGAGGAGACACTGCAAAAGAGTGATACAATCCGACTTACGTTTTCCAAAGACCACTTTGGCTGCTGGTTGAGAACACTCTACACGGGTCAAAGATGAAAAGGGGGCAACTATTTAGCAGGATATTACAATAATTCACTAAAAAATGACAGTGGCTTAGGGAGGACAGTCGCAGTGGAGGTGATGAAAACTGGCTGGGTTCTGGACATTTTGAAGATACAGCCAACGAGATCTGTTGAAACAACCATATGACATGTCAAAGAAAGTCAGAATGACTCCAAGTCTTTTGGCCTGAACAAGAGAAAGGACTGAGTTTCTGTTCATTGAGATGAAGAAGGCTGCAGGTGGAAACTGTTTGAGATAGGCAGAGATCAAGAGCTGTTTTTATACCTAATGGTTTTAAAACATCAGACATCCAAGTGAAGGCATCAAATCACCAGATAAATATTGGAGTCTAGAGCTGGAGAGAAAAGTTTAGCTGGAGTCAGAAATGTGGGAATCACTGGTTACATGGATGGTACACGAAGCCATGAAACAGGTACTCAACATGAATATAACCTCTAAAATTAAGCAAACCCCAAACCCCAGAATCAGCACTAGTTGAAGCACCTGACTCTCTGAGGGCTTGCCTACTACAAGTGCACATCAGTTCTACTTCCTCACCGCTTGAGAGTTTTTAAGGGGCCTAACAAATGAATTAGCGCAAGGCTTTACCTCCACAGGGAAAGCCTACAGCTGAAGTGGGAGAATAAGGAGGTGCCACTCTACTCCCTATGCCCTCTTGAAGGTGTGTGTGTAGGGAATTAGTTACACCCAGTCTAAGAAAGGAAAAGCACTGATAAGTCTAGAAGCCAAAAAGATGGCAGAACATTCACGTCTGGAGGGAGAGAACTGGAGAAACACTTTATAGTATAAGACAGATATTCTCATTCTACCTGTAAAGGAAACAGTAAGAAACCAGGGAAAGGGGAAAATGCGTAGATATATGCAACCCATGCAAACTTTCTAACCATGTAACACTGCATGTCTATATACGATAGCAAGGTAATACTTATTCTATATTTGCTTCTAGTTTAATAATTTAGAAGGTGCAACAAAGGAAGAATGTTATACTGAGGATTAGCAAAACTATCATAAAAGAATTTTCAATGCTTGAAAGTGGAAGCAAAAGCAACTCTGCCCCAGAAAGAATGTCATGATTTAAGAGTCAGGAGTGTTTATATTTGCTTAAGAACTTAGGAATTAAAATTCCCTGCATTGGAGAATTCACTTTAAGACAGTTGCCATACAACAATCAATGCCCACATTGGTGCTCTCTTAAACCTATTTTCAGCTCCTCCTTTTTCTGATGTACTACAGAAACCCTGCAAAGAAGACTTTATTCAAAGGCTTAAAGGAATAAGTAAGAAAAAACACTGAATTTTGTTAAGTGTTCTCTGTACCGAGAGTCACTTACAAATACATCACCCCTTCTGCAAACGTCCATTTTCAAAACGAATGCCCTTTCCATAAATTTCCATTCCCTGTGTGGCTTTGTGTTAGATGGCTTCTCATTCAGAAGCAGAACAGAAAATGATGCATAATGTCTAAAACTATAGATGTGAGACATATATACATATACATACTAGGAATAACTAGTTAAGTGAGAGGTAAAGGTTTACCCTTTAGGTTGTACCACATTAAATGAAGAATTACACCTTTGCCCTGCTTCTCTTCTGAAGCAAAGTGCTAGCCTTTTCCAGAAAAGCTTCTCATTCTGAGAACTGTCTCCCTTAAAATACCTGAAGAAGATATTTTTCCAAGTTCCTTTCACCTTTAAGTCTTTATGCAACTCTTAGACTCCTCAAGTAGTCTGGCAATTATCCAATAGCCTATTGTTATCAACACATACTCTAAAATAGTTGAGGTTTCCCAGGGTTTGGATCCCAGTGTACTGCTATGTTTTATCATAGATATCCTAAAGCCTTCCTTCAGTGACTGACTTCTGCAAATTCCCAGCTGTGGACACAGGTGGCTTCTCAGATGAGGTGACTTTCTGACTCTGCCTAAGAATACACTATTGATGATAACTGAATTCTCAGACAGGAAGAAAACAAAGACTCTAACAGGGCTGTCTCTCTCAAATAGTCAAGATTTCCAAACCAGGCAAAGGTTTAAACCTGCTGTAACAATTCTGAGAACACCACAGAAATGAAGTAAAACTTCTTTAGATATTTATTATTGGCTTTGAAACAATGGTTTTCAGCAGCGTGAAAGAGAAAGATCAGAATCACCCAAGCAATTTTTTCAAGCCACAAATAACCACCCCTTCTCACATGAAGAGTCACACAAGCCCTTTTTAGAATTAGCTATACATACATGATGGCATCTCCAGGAGTATAGGAGAAAGCCAGCAATGCGTGATTTTTAAAAATAATAATAATAACAAAAGTCATGTAATATGTCCTGCCACCAACTTACCTCCCACCTCAGAATCATCCCAGATTAAAAACAAATGCTTTAGAAAATATGTTGTATTTTTAGAAAAAAAAAATGCAACCATTCATGTGAATGATGCAGCTGCAAAGTTTAACAGGAGATCAAAGACATTTTGACATTTAGGACATAAATACTTGGCCCTTGGGTGGCCACCATCACTGTTCTCCCCTTTGCCTGTTCACCTCAAAAGCTGCAAGACTCCCCTGCTTGCAATGAGTCACCCACCATTACTCACAAATTTCTGCCAAGTTCACGTCAGCAGCTGTTGTTTTCAAAGTCAACATCCATGCTGTAATGTTTTGAGGTTTCTCCATTACTTTATAATATTTCTTCTATTTCTCTGCTGTCTTCCCAGCCAAACTTGCATTCAGAAGCAGGCATCTTACTAGCATTGCTCTCATAAACAAATCCAGGATATCAGAAGTACAGAGTCAACCATAACTAACATTTTAACTAAAATTTGTTATGTCATTCTACAGTTTCTCAACAAAATACTCTCACATCCTTCAAACAAATAACCACTATATTACTTAGAGGCTGTGAAGGTAGAAGACTTTCTCAGTTGGAAACACGTTTGGGTCTATGGTAGGGTTGTGATTTCAATTTTTGCAGTTAGCTAAGGCAAAGAGACACACTGCAAATTTTCTTCACATGTCTGGAATTTAAACTTTTATTAGGTATGGAAACAGTAGACTAATCTACAAACATATGTTCATATTACCAAATAAATAGAGCTTTTTAAAAATGTTAACATTTGCCCTATAGACATGTAAGAACTTGGATTAGGTCTTCAGTATGTAGAACTGAATATGAGGTATCTTGTGAGATAAAAACTTCTATCTCTTTTTTCTTTGTATTACTTACTTCTCCAAGAAAAAAAAAAAACTTCTGATCTTGCATCAAGTCACAGAATGCCTTTCAGACAATATCATAATGCCATTGAATATTTTAAACATATATAGTTAAAAATTATTTTTCCAATTTTCCAGAGCTGAAAAGGAAACATCTAGAAAAGCTTGAATTGCCAAACTTTACTAAAATATATTAGCAGTTAAAAAGCAGAGCCCTGAACTCACTGAAGGGCAGAGGGAGGTATTAAAGAGCACCCTATTCTCTCTGGAGAACTCAGTTGTGCGGCTGTATGTTAAGTGTGTGGGGAAGCATTGGCAGGAGGAGGAGGTTGGGATGTCTGAGGTGGATGGAAGTTGGAGTATAATTGCTCTCTGATAGTAGAACAATGGAGCTGTAAAAAGCTCTGCTTCAGTTCAACTCAGCTTTCTCTCCCTCTTTCCCTCCCACCTACATGACAAACAGAACACAATCAGGCACTTTTTGTCCCTGACAGTGACTATTACCAGGAAAAGGACCACGGTAAAAGCATGTCTTATGCAAGATCAATCTCCTAAGGAATATTTTATAAATAACTAACAAAGCATTGTCAGAGTGGGATATTTGTGAGGTGCTAAAATAGGGAAAAGGAGGTTGATGATCCATTTCAAACATTTCCATTTATTTTATCACTTATATTTCTGACTTTTCCTTTGCCCCTCTTCCTACTATTGCCATCACTTCGTTGGTAAGGGGGCGGCAATACGACTCCGCAATTCAGTTGACTGGGATACATTTTCCAGCACTGAAATGAAAAGGTACTAGATGAGAACCAGAATCAGAAAGAAGCCCAAAATTGTAGTTCTGTCTATGCCAAATACTAACCAAGAGACCCTGGATTAGTCACTTAGCCTCTCTGGGCTTCAGACTACTTATAAAATTTATTTCACAAATATGTCTGATGTGAAATGTAATATGAAAGTCAAAGATAGTAATATCTCACCTACCTATCTCAGGGAGCTGTATAGGCACTAGGCACTATATGAATGTAAACAAAGTTTAGAAGAAAATTGTTGAATTCAGGATCTAAACTGAATATGCAGATATATTTTTATGGATCTTATTGGCCTTCATTTTTAATTGCAACATTCAATTCAAAGTTAATAGCAATATTCAAAATGACCAAAGCCAATAAATTAAGTATTTAAGTGCTGCCTAGATGCCCACTGCATGCCATGTACTAAGAAGGGTAAGAAACATTAGGAAGGCTGAATTGAGATCTTCCTCCATTTACCATCTAAACAGGAAGGTACATGGGAAACCACTAAGGAATGGCACAAGTCAGTACATAGGTGCAGTGACAAACACCATAGGAATGCAACGATGAGCTGGAATGAGTTGGAGTAAAGAGGAAAGACTTGGTGAAGGAGATGGGGCTCCAATGGGGCCTTGGAGGAACTTCAAGTTGTTGTAACAGGGGAGAGAAGAAGAGAAGCATAGGAAAAGGCTGGAGAATCCTGGCTTGTGGACAAGGGAGAGTTTTAAAAGCACATGATGATCTTGGATATATAGGATAAGATAAAATGATGAAAGGCTGTGACTGCCTGAGTCTCTGGTTTTGATAAGTCACTTCACATGACTCTAAGATGTTGGAGGGTTAAAACAGTGTGGGGACTGAAGGATGAGGAGAGAATACACAGAGCTCAATAGAAGACCAGTGAAAAAGTTCAGGTATCAAGTGATGAAATCCATTCATCAGAATAGTAGCAACCAGAATGGACACTTGAAACCAAGACCACAGTTCCTGGGGACTGATAAGATGTGGAGGATGAAGAAAGAGAGAGAAATCAAAGACTATTCCAATGCTTTGGTTATCAGGGACCAGAAGAATGGTTATCCCATTGAATAAGTGGAAATGTTATAAAATGAAGTCAGTTTGTGAACAAACATCAGTTTTGGATATATTGGGTTTAGAGGCATGAGCTAAGAGTAGAGATGTGAGAAGTTCAAAATTCCACACCAAAGCACAGACCTAGAGCCCCGACTTAAGATATAGATGGAGCTAGAGCTCAATGATTAACAGGTGATTGAAAAGAACTGGCCAAGGCCTACTTCCGTGAGGAAATACTGCCCACAAGCAGTGATAGAAGAGAAGTCATGCAAGACAGAAAAAAGTGATACAACAGAGAGATTAGAATCCCACTTTTTCTAATACTTGATAAGCTTGAGAGAGTAACTTAAACTCTACTTCTTCATCTGATAAATAAGACACCTACCACTATAAGGTTGTTGACAAGACTAAGTGAGATTAAGTGATAAAGTATGCAAATCACATTTAGCAACCTAAAAACCAGAGTAGGAAAACAAGAAAAAGAGCTATCATAAAAAGCAGGGGCTTGTTTTTCAAGGTAAAATCAGAGAATGGAACTGGTCAAAGGAATATTTTAGCAAATGCCAATAGTCTGAAATGTAAGAAAGTACAGTGCGTAACACACAAAAAGTTACGGACCCACTCACTGCAGCAATTATCTCATCAGGGGAAGAATTCAAGAATGCCTTTGTGCTTGCTATTCTCTCTCCCTGGAATGCTATTCCCCCTCTGGATTGTGCTAAAATATCACCTCGTCAAAGACACCCTGACCCTATCTGAACTATTATTCTTATTATTCTCTACCCTTTTATCCTGCTTCATTTTTGTTTACTGTAATACTACTAACAATATTACATATTTGTTTGCTATTAGTTTCAATCATAGGAAAAGGAACTTTGTTTTCTGAGATATCCCCAAAATCTGGCCATAGTAGGCACTCAATAAATATAAATTAAAAACTCAAACTACCTCATCATAAAGAGTAAATGCATTTGGATTTGGTAGAACACTACAGAAATGCAACATAAAGTGAATTTCCTTCTCTGGATCACCTTGAAAAAACCTGCCTGATCTTAAGAAAGAAGTTCAGTGGTCTTCATAAGCACTACTAGTGTAAATCCGTAACAGCCATAGATGAGTAAACTTACAGTCACCTTCAGAAAAGCACATTTACTAATAGTTACTGCATGCCTACCATGTACATCAGAAACAAAAGGTTTGGGGCATTTTGCAGGGAGTAGGTGGAGTGATTTCCCAGCATCAGAAATTTTTTAAACTACTACATAAATGCTACCTATTTCCAGAATTCACTTCTCAAGTTCCCAAATGCACCTCAAAGTTGTCTCTATATGTAACACTTCCTTCAACACACATTGATCCACATGTCTTCTTTCACCATTACCTTGTTTGTGGGCCATTATTACTCCTAAATATTTTAAATGTCTTTGTCTATCACTGGGGAGATTCACCTGTGATATGAGAGATGCCCAATGTACATTTAGTTAAACAAAAATAAGAATACACTCCAATGCACTATAACAGACAAACAAATGAATACTGGGTATCCTGTAGCAAGGTTCCAAATTCACAGCAATTGAATCTTAGAAAGAACATTAAAGGTCATCCGGTCCAGCGGACTGCAAATGTCAGGCTTCAGTGAACTTTTTACTGATCTATGTCAAAATGAGGACAATGTAATAAGTTTTCATAAGGCTAAGTTTTTTAAATTTAAAGACAATCCTTTAGTCAGATTATATTCTTCCTTATATTTGAGGAAGGATACTAAAATGTTTTTTTCTTTCATAAAAAGATGGTGATAGTTGATCATTGTTGTTTCATAAATAATTCTTTTACTTAGCAAAACAAAAAACTTAGCAATTGTTAGACTTCAATTGTTTTTTTCTTTTTTTAATTTTACAGGTCAGTTAAATTCAAAAATGTGAGAACCTCTGCTCTAATCCAACCAATTTTCTGCTGCCTAAATGCCTTAGAACATGGTCAACAAGTTGTTTTTCTGCCTATGCATGACCACCTCTGACGACAAGTCTCTAGTAATGTGGAACCATCAACTGAAAAAAGATATGGTTCTATCTGAGGGATGTTTGCTTAGTTTTGTGAAGGAAAAGCAAAAAAATCAAGGCTTACAGAGAGTAAGCCGACTTGTGAAAATGGAGCCAGTAAAAAAACAAGTGCCAAGAAGACTGATCAGTAAGAGAAGATCAGAGGGATGCACTCAGGCCTATACCTCACAGTCTTCCTTCAACTTATTATGAAAATCCTTTATACAAATAACTATAAAAGCCAGACTGTAAAATACATTCCTGAGGTCAGGGCTGGTCAATTTACATTTCCTTTTGCACATCTCAGTTTACCATCTGAAATTCCTTTACTAATCTACATCTAAACTACATCTCTCAATTTACTACCTGAAATTCCTTTACTAAGCTACATCTTTTAGTTACACATCTTTCAGGTTTGATCAGAAGCAAATGTAACACAGTCTCAATATCACCCAGACCCAGAATGCAACAGAATCTAAATGCCACATATACTCAAGTATGCAAAAAACAATAAGCACAAATATATAGTCCAACGACAATTTTTAATTATATGAGAATTAAAAAGGATGAAAGTTGGAGGCAAGGAATAGAAAAAGCACAAAAGATCAAAAGCTAATTTCAAGGAGTCCATCCTGAAGGAACCAGGAATGGTGGGTACAGATGCCTGACCTCCCTCCAAGACAATGTGCCAACAGGCCAGTGGAGAACAAGGTGGGATCTGAGAACAATGTAAATTTGGATGTTAAAAGAGAACACAAGCAAAAGCACCACGCACAGTGCCAGGCAGAGACAGGCATTCAAATATTTGCACATTGAATGAATTAATAAACAGACACTTACACAAAGAGAATCTGGGGCCGTGCTTCCAACCATACCATAAGGCACTTTAAGTCCAGGTCATCTTTCTTTGACTTAAAGCTCAGGCTAAAAATCTAACTTCATGAAAAGCTGAGTCTTCCTAATAGTTTCCACTGGCCTCTGTTCTAGCCCAGCTCTGGCAGTGAGGCCCGGTAAAGTTCCTTCCTAAAGACACTGCCTGCAAGTCTCAAATCCGGCACACGGGATCCATGGTGGAGGGATGTTAATGGGAGTGGAGGCAAACAGGCCAAGGGGTGGCAAGGAAAAAAACTATTTCTGATCCACAGAATGGCAAATAACACCATAACGAGTTCTTGAATTAGGTTTAATCCTGGACAGAACCAAATGAAAATAAAAACCTACTTGTATTTATAATTAAATAGACAGAAACAATGAAAAAGTCTCACCAACTTTAGCCACCCCTGATTGAAAGGAGTTTTAACAATTCTTTCATCCATGCTGGCATTCCAAGTTTTCCATTATATCTCAGCCTCTCATTGTTCCAGCACTATTGATGGAATCTCAATGCCAAAAATGGCGCTGGTCATCAAAATTATGATTAGCTGATCTACCCTAGAGTCAGTTTATCAATGTTTCAATGCATACATCAATTCTATTTTTTATTATTTCAATTTAAATCATCTGTGTCTCTATTCCCTCCCTCCCTCCAGAGGCTGCTTTCCCACACCCTTCTTTTCACCTGCATTCTAAGTATTCCCTTGTTCTTTCCTTTAGCTCCCTCTGTTCCAAAAGTAAAAACGAACTGCAGGAACTTATGTAGAAGGCAGGTTTACTACAGATAGCATACCTACATGTTACATATTATATACCATATGTTGGCTAAATACAGCTAGCATATCCTGCTTTAAGTGCTTCTGAGCCTGGGCAGACCCCCGTGTGCTCATGCTGCTGATGTGAACCATCCACCATCATATTTCCTAGGGGTTCAGGTGCCTTCCTCCAGCCTGCTGAAGAACATGACCAAATCTCAGAGCCCTCAAAGCCACAGCTATCGAGAGGTGACTAAGCCCCTGCTTCTGTCAGCCCAGGAAGGCCAATTCAAGAGTCTTATCTACCCCCTAGATTTCCACGACCTGTTCCACTCAAGCTAAAAATTCTGAAACGCACTTTTAGAAACTGTCGTTCCAGAATCCCATTAGCTCTCCTAAAAGGGCTGAACATCAAAAAATTATTCAACCCAAGCCAAGTATCCTTATTTTGGCTGGAATTCTGCCAAATAACCACAAGAGACTGGTGCGGTACAATCGGCATGGAGTGAAGCTTGCCAAATTTGACCGGAGAACGACAAGCCTCCATGAATAAGCTCTCATGAAAAGGTAAACCATTCTTCAGGATGAGGTTTGTCTGCGATTTGAAAAGTCAGATTCAAAGGACTCTTGTTCCTTCCTAAGAGAAGAGGGAACCAAAATTGAAATTTTCGAAACTCCTGGGTATTTACAGTTCACTTTTACCAAGATGTTTTTAAAACTAAAAACTAAAATTTAAAAAAAAAACCCTTGTTCTGAATAATGCAATAATGTCTTCTACATAATGTTTCAGCTATTATTTCTAGAAAGTAATTCTGTTGCCAGTGATCTTGAATGTACTTGGGTACCAAAGAAAAAAGACACCTGTGCCTGGCAGGTCGATACGCTACTAATTTGCCCGAGGTACGAACGAAACAGAAGATGCTGATTTCTGGATAAAACGTTCTGCAGTGCCAGGTAAAAGAGGTCACATGCCCTGAACGGCCGCCGCTCATTTAGAGTGATGCAAAAGCTCCTCAGATATTAATTTTGTTAGAAATTCGGGGAATCAAGCAACCTAAGATCAATTCATTTAGACAGCGGGTGACTGGTACTTTCCAGTTTCCTTTTTTCAACGGACTCAGTGCATCCTAGCCTGATCTCTTATAAAGGGGTAGGCAAACTCGGCACCAGGTGCCCATGCATTTCAGGGAGGTACACACAGGACCTGCAGGGTCACCCATGCACAGCCCCACCCCGAATCTTCTATCCGCCCGAGATGGGGAAGACCCTTCCCCAGAAATCCTGGGCAGCGTTTTAAGTCACCGCCTGGCCAGGCTGAGTTTCCGTCCGCGTCCGCTCAGGACTGCGGGCACAGCGCCTCGTCACGCCCCGCATCTCCCACCTCCCGCCGGCCCCGGCGGCTGTCCCCAGAGCTGCGCCCGCGGCCGGCGACACGCGCCGCAGCGGCGCGCTTATCCGCAGCGGCGCAGCCCGCCCGCCCGCTCACTCACGCGGGAGGCAGCGGCGGCGTCTCCATTGTGGCTCCTCTCGGGCTTCAGAACGCAGGCACCGACCAACACAGCCAGCACCATTCCAGCCGCGGACGCCGGCACTGCCCGCCCGCCGAGCCGCGTTCCATCCGCCCCGGAGGGGGCGCCGCGCTCTCCTCACCGCGCGCCACCACCTGCGGCGGCGGCCCCCGCGGCCATGGCCCGCTCGGCCGGGCGCGCTCCGTCTACTGCGCGGCTCCCGCGCTCGCCCGAGTGCGGGGCGGCGGCGACGGGACCGGCGGGCGCGCGGGCTCGGCCACTTCCGGGTTCGGCCCCGGCCGGCGCCGACGCTGTGACGGGACTGCGATGCGGCCTCCCGCGGCGGCCGAGTACCCCTCCCTCGGCGCCTCCCCTTCCTCCTGCTGCTGCTGCTGCCGCTGCCGCTGCCGCTTCTGCTTCTGGAGGCGGGCGGGCGGGCGCCAGCCGGGTGCGGGGCGGGCGTGCCCAGACGCTGGCCCGCAGGCCGGGACGCGGGCGGCGGCCGCCCACAGCGGGTCTCTGGATCGCCGGGACGGGGGCGCTGGAAAATGGGAGCGGAGGGGGTTCTCCGTGCAGAAAAAGGGCGGCCGAACGCACGGCGTAATAATGCTCGGTATCCACTTGCTGCTCTGCTTCGCGGGCGTGTACACGTTATTCTTTTCATTTGTGCCTGTACCCAGGGAGATGGGAAGGGTAGGCATAACCAACCAGTGTCCTTACAAAGGGTGGCACTGAGGCAAGAAGAAGTGATTTGCCTGTCCAGTGTCCCAGGCAGGAAGCAGGCTCTCCCTCCTCAGTATGCTAGCCATTCCTTGGACAAGTGAAGTGAGCACCTGCTAAGCAAGGTTTTAGTGCTGCGGCTGTGACAGCAAAACCAAGTCTTTCTGCTTGTGGAGCTGTCCATCTAGACGGGGTGACGGAAACAGTAAGTGATGCTTACCATGAAGAAACATAAATGAGGATGAGGAGAGGGAAAGAGATTTTAGAAAGAGTGGTCAGAGAAGGCCTCTCAAAAGGCATGAGTTAAAGAGATGGAATAACAGGGGCTTTGAGTAATGCAAAGAATGCCTAGGGCAGAGGGAAGAGCAGCGTGGAGACTGCTAAGCAAGATCCTGCCTGCCTTGTTGAGGAACGGGAAGGAGAACAGTGCAGCTGGTGGTTCTCCAAGTATGCCCGCTGGAAGCAGTAGCACCTGCGAACTTGTTAGAGATGCGAATTTTCCAGTCCCACTTTAGCCCTACTGAACCAGAAACTCTGGGGGTGGGGCCCAGCAGCGTGTGCTTTAACAAGCTTTCCAGATGATGCTTGCTGGGGCCGCGAGGGTGGGAGACCCTCTAATGAAGCAGAGTGAGGTCAGGAGGACGGCGGCAGGAATGGGTGTGGCGAGGAGTAATCACAGATCACCCAGGCCTTGCAGGCCGTGATAAAGGACTTGGCTTTTACTGAGATTAGAAGCAATTAGAAAGTGGTGAGTAGCTTGATCTGATCATTAAAAGGATGACTTTTCTGGGATTTGTTTGAAAATATCCCACAAAAAGAAGGACAGAGGTCGGGCGCCGTGGCTCACGCCTGTAATCCCAGCACTTTGGGAGGCCGAGGCGGGCCGATCACCTGAGGTCGGGAGTTCGAGATCCGCCTGACCAACATGGAGAAACCCCGTCTCTACTAAAAATACAAAAAATTAGCCGGGCATGGTGGTGCATGCCTGTAATTCCAGCTACTCGGGAGGCTGAGGCAGGAGAATCGCTTGAACTAGGGAGGCAGAGGTTGCGATGAGCCGAGATCGTGCCATTGCACTCCAGCCCGGTCAACAAGAGCGAAACAAACTCCGTCTCAAAAAAAAAAAAAAAAAGGACAGAGAAGTGAATAGATGAATATTTGCAAAATGTTAATTTTTGAGGCTAAGTGTTGGGTGCATAGGGGTGGTCATCATTTATGTGTGTTTATGTGTATGTTTTAAAAGATAATAATGGGCCGGGCGCGGTGGCTCACGCCTGTAATCCCAGCACTTTTTGGGAGGCCGAGGCGGGCGGATCATCTGAGGTCAGGAGTTCAAGACCAGCCTGTCCAACATGGCGAAATCCCGTCTCTTCTAAAAATAGCCGGGTGTGGTGGTGGGTGCCTGTAATCCCAGCTACTGAGGAGGCTGAGGCAGGAGAATCACTCGAACCCAGGAGGCGGAGGTTGCAGTGAGCCGAGATCGGGCCACTGCACTCCAGCCCAGGCAACAGAGCGAGACTCCGTCTCAAAATTCATAAATAAATAAAAGTTCATAATACAAAGTTTTTTTTAAAAAAAAAGATGACTGATTGCTGTATGGGCAACATGCATAGCGAGGCAAGAGAGCAAGCAAAGAGATTAGCCTAGCTGGGATGAAAGGTAAGGATGGCTTGGATTAGAGTCCGAGTGACTGAGAAAAGTGAACAGGTTCTGAATCTGTTTAGAAGGTAAAGTACTCAGGAACTGCTGACAGATTAGCATATAAAAGAAAGATGATCCTAAGGGTTTTGTTCTGATCTCTGGGGAGAATTGAGTTGCCCTTTACTGGGATTGGGGATATTGAGAAAGAACAAATATTGGAGGGCGGGGTGGAGATTGTATTTGTAAACTCTGATTTAGATATGGTAAGTTTGAGATGTCTGTTAAACATCCATGTGAAGATAGGTGTAGACAATTAGATATATGTATCTGGGGTAGATATAAATTTGGAAGTTGTTAGTATACAGATGGGTATTGAGATCAACTAGATTATGTAGCTAGAGAAAAGAAGTAGACCAAGAAGTAAGCCCTGGGGCACTCCAACATTAAAAAAGAAGAGGAGGAGGACTCAGCAAAGGCGATGGTAAAGGAACAACCAGGGAAGTAGAAGGAGATCCAAGGCAGGTGTCTTGGCAGCCTAGTGAAGGGTTCCAGAAAACAAACAAACAAACAAACAAAAAACCCTTAGTACACTTCAGCATGAGCTAACTTCTCTGTATGATGGTTCTGTTCAGAGCCATAATAAAACTTCCTACTTTACAAGGTTGTTTTAAGAATTAAGTGAAATAATTGATGTAAAGTATATAGCACATAAATGTATAATGGAAGCACTTAATAAATGTTAGTTGCTGCTATTATTTCTGTACACTTCTGTGGCCATCAGTTATACCTTACTCTGCTAGGAACTGGGTTAAGTCCTAGAGCCAGGAGATACTGACTTAGGTTTTACCAAACCTTTGGCCTGACTTCCTTCTGCATGCAAACTCAGTGAGTAGGGCTGACTCATCAGCCATTTCAGGAACTCTTTTGAGGCGGGGGGTGGGAGGTGGACTTTTTCTATTGCTTTTGTATCTTCCCACCCAAAATAGTGTTATGTGTACAAATAAATACTAAAAAATTACGATGTGTCCGTCTGACAGCTAGGCACATAACTTCAAACCATAGCCCCTCTCACATCCTCCTCTGGGTTAGTTTTGTCTATCATAATTCTTTGCTTAAGGGGTTCGACTCATCTAGCATGCTAAATGTCAACCCAAACCTTTCTTTTTTCACAACCACCCCCATTTGTAGGCTTCACAAGTATACTGGGAAAGAGTACATTACCCACATACAATTCAGCCTTACTTGGAGTTAAATGTCACACCAAAACTGGTCCTCAGCCAGATACAGCCTCCACCCTTAACCTGTCTCTCTGCTCACAAGAGAAAGTAAACAAAAATGCTTGACAGGCTGAGCCCAAATCCAACATTACAGTGGGGAAGAAACTTTTTAACACTTCTTCCTTTGACTCTCAGTTTCACTATCTTCTCAAGTGAAGGACACTAAGGATTAGGAGCGGCTACCTAAGACCACCAAGCTCTTCTCTTTTTCATTTCCCTTGACATAAGGTCTGACTGAACATGCAACGGTGTTGACCTCCCCTTGCGTAGGTTATTACCTCCACCCACGTTTTCATCATTCTTTAGCTGAGCCCTTCACACCCTTGGCAGAGGAATGAGATCTTACAAAAGTCCATCTGCCTCCTATGCTGTTAAGATAGAACAATTCCTTAAGCATGTTAGTAACCATAATCTAAAGCTAATGTAAGTAAATGGAATGTATCACTTGTAAAGAAAATGGAACCACTCAGATGAACAAGTCCGTGACAGTGGCTAGTGGCAAAAATCCCTTAGATTGAGCTGAAATCAGATGTTGCAATAGAACTAATGACATGACATGGCAGGCACAAACACATCTCATGGCAAGTATCCGGGAGCTAAGAATTGCTCCTATAAAGAAAAGACTTAACTTCGCTGAAGAATACAAAACCATTAGATGCTATATTTGTAATTCCTTCCAGTGCAAAGATGGCAAGTATGAAAAGATTCACTCATTCAAAATTAGGTACTAAAGAAGATAAAGGCCTTCTAAAAAGTCGCATTTTCTATCCTAAAGACTTAGTTTAAGTTGCTTTACTAATTTTAAATTAGGGATTTTGCTTTTAATATTTTGACTTAGGAGAAACTTAGCAGCATAATATATTAAGAAGCATTTCAAAATGTTCTTTTGATACTTTGCGGTTTAGCAAATGGATTTGTCAATACATTAAGATATGTATTACAAGCTTTATGGTGTCAAATGGGGTGACGTGCGTCTTGTGCTCCAGATCAATAGACAATCCTTAAGTGATGGAGTCCATTGTTTCCATGAATCCAATTTACTCTTCAAATGCTTGCCTCCTTGTTTTTGTAGTCTGTAAGATAGCAACTTTACTTCCGACACAGCATACCTCCCCATTACCCCGTATCTGAGCTTCCTGGAGAAATGAATGCAAATTGTTTGCTGCAAAATTTAATTGAAAATCTGTTGGAATTGGTACAGGAAGTATCCAAAAATAGGTTTCACACTAATGTATATCAGGTAAGCAATTTCTCTGTGTTTTAAGAAAAGGAAATTTACTTAATCTATTTTTACTTATATATAGCTTTATGGTATCTATTTATGTAGTCTGGTGATGTAATCCCTCATAGAATTATCTAGGACTGAACATCTTTCTACACAGTCAGCAGTGCTGGGGGGAAGAAAAAGCAAGTAAAATTTCTTGATAAATTATGCGAAGCATTATTAGGTTGTTGTCATTCATCTGAAATTATGCATCCACACATACACAAAAACTTCTCCCCACAGCTTCTGCCTGTCCATTACAGCTGACTGTTAATAGCACAGGCCCTAAGCAAAATTGTGAAATAAGTTTGCCTTGGCATTCTCATTTTTCCCATTTTCTTCTCTTTTTTCATGTGTCAATACATCTCTCACCTTTGACACCATCTACAGGTCTCCAGTGTCCTCTCTCCATCCCTAATCAAAACTTAGAAATGATCAGACATCAGCCAACAGAATGATTAGTGAACTACACTTTAAAACAAATGGCTTTTAGACATGGGGTAACCTCATACTAGTATCATTTGAGCTGAATAATATCTTTATACCCTACCCCTATTGTCTTTCCTAGAATGCATTCCCATGTCATCTATATTATTTTAATTACAAAATTATTTACAAGTTGTGATGTTTAAATGTGTCTTTCATTAATATAGGTATTACTGAATAACACTGTGAAATGAATGCTTTACTTTGATAAGGGACAATGCAGAGTATAGGAGATAAAAAGTATTCTTCTTAAACTCTAGACCTTTTGAGACCATACCTCAGGGAGTTTGTATTACTTGTTCAAATTGTTCACATGCTAATACAAAAAGATAAGTCTTGAATTTCCACATAAATCCTAAAATTTGAGCTCGGCCCAAGTCTTGGAATTATTTTTGCAAGAAAGAGTCCTTTGCCAAGAAATCCTTTCTAGTTCTTAATCTGGTACTAGTCAGCTTCTGGATGCAGAGAAGCATGTTTAATGCAGGATATAAGTGGTTAGTCAATTCCTGAGGCATCCATATTTCTTCATTTTCCTTGTTAAGATCTTGGTAATAATCCAACCCAAGAAATAGAATTAAATCCAGGCTGCATATGTATGAGAACTATTCTTCATTGAACTAAAAATGAACCTGAGCTGCCATTTTGAAGTCTTTGTTAAAAGCCAACTAAAATTAAATCATGAGAAAAATATTCAAAGTCATATTTTCTGAGGCAAACTGATTCAAGCTGATCTTGATTGTATTATATTTAGATATACGTATCAACTTTTTTTCTATGTCACATACGGAAAATACTGACCACCCTATTTTAAATTGCAACTGGCACTCCCCCTGCACCCTCAACACTCCCTAAACTTATTTTCGGATTTGTTTTTTCCCCAAGCACTTATCACAATTTGACCAACTCTGTGTCTTATTTATTTCACGTATTTTCTGTTCTCTTCTTTGGAATGTAAGCTCTATGAAGGCATGAATTTTAGTCTGTTCAGTCCCAGGGCCTAGCAAAATACCTAACACATATTATACATTCAAGAAATACTGTTGAATGAATGAACTGGCACCAACCAAAATGTTTACCTCCAGGAACATATATTCCAACTCAAAATTCAAGCAATGTGCATTTTAATAGATATATGGCTACATCAATGTATCAAATTTATTCTTTTTTACTTTTGGAAGCATATAAACAATGATACCCAGAAATAAAGAAGGTACAGAGAAATTTTCTTTGATTTCAGTGAGTCAATCAGCCAACAAATTTATTGAATGCCTTCTTTGATGATTACACTGTGATAGGTGAGTCCGTCTGGGGGAGCAGTTAGGAGTAATATGAAACTTAGGACAAGGATTCTCCCCTTAAGATAACTGTAATCAACTTCAGTCATAAAAATAAATCCAAATTTTAAATAAAACTAATTATCTCAGCACTTTGGGAGGCTGAGGTGGGAGGATTGCTTGAGTCCAGGAGTTCAAAACTGTTGTGAGCTATGATTGTGCCACTGCACTCTAGCCTGGGTGACAGAGCCAGACCCTGTCTCTAAAAAATAAAGCTAGGCCAGGCACAGTGGCTCACACCTGTAATTCCAGCACTTTGGGAAGCTGAGGCAGATGGATCACCTGAAGTCAGGAGTTCAAGACTAGCCTGGCCAACATGGTGAAACTCCGTATCTACTAAAAATACAAAAAACTTAGCCAGGCATAGTGGTAGGCTCCTGTAATCCCAGCTACTTGGGAGGCTGAGGCAGAAGAATCACTTGAATCTGGGAATTGGAGGTTGTAGTGAGCCAAGATGGTACCACTGCACTCTAGCCTGGGCGACAGAGTAAGACTGTATCTCAAAAAAAAAAATTTTTTTTTTAAATAAATAAAACTAATTAAACAAAAATACCAGACAACAGAGTCTTCACAAGTAAGATAAACTCTGACTTGAGCACTTAAGAAAGAGAAAAGTGGCCGGGCGCGGTGGCTCACACCTGTAATCCCAGCACTTTGGGAGGCTGAGGTGGGTGGATCACTTAAGGCCAGGAGTTCAAAACCAGCCTGGCCAACATGGCAAAACCCTGTATCTACTAAAAAATACAAAAATTAGCCTGGTGTGGTGGCACACACCTATAATCCCAGCTACTCAGGAGGCTGAAGCATGAGAATCACTTGAGCCTGGAAGGCAGAGGTTGCAGTGAGCTGATATGGTGCCACTGCACTCCAGCCTGAGCAACAGAATGAGACTCCATCTAAAAAAAAAAAAAAAAAAAGTTTATCCATGATAAAAGCATGAAGTAGTGTAGTGTGGCACAAATGAAAAGAAGCAGCCAAATGGCAATGGTGGGATAAACATGACTCAGTGACTAATTGGATATGGGGGGCAAGGAAGATGAAGTAGCCTGAAAATATGATGATAGAGTTGGTAAAAATAAGAAAGTCACATGGGATAGATGATGGTGTGTGGTTTTAGGCCTACAGAGTTTGCAGGAACCTCAAGATATCCCAGTGAAATGTCCAGCGGAAAGTTGTAGATTAGCCAGATCAAGGACACCTGGTACAAAGATAGATTCACTCTCATAAAGTTATTGGCCCCTGAAGAAACTGGTAATGCAGCTTTCTGTGGTCAACTACATTGTTCTTCACATTGCTCTGGGCATTGGCTGGCGTCCCAGGGCTGCTTTCTTGGTTGCTAATTTTTAAAATAATTCAAAGCAAATAATACAGGATTACATCCTTTTTTTTTTCACAAGGCTTTACTGGAAAGAAAATGATTACATTCTTATAGTAGAAATTCAAACCATAAAATGAAAGTTCTCATTGACCTTTCCCTTAATCTCCTCACCAGAAGTAGCACATGTTAACAGTTTTAAGTGTATCTTTTCAAACATTTTTCTGTGTAGTTGCATACATATGTGGTACACATGGAAATAGGTGGGTTTGTATTTGTTTCATGTAAGTGGAATCATGCTGTAGGTACCTTCAGCCCATTAGCAGCTGCTAAGGAAGGCTTACTGCCAATTTGCTGTAACTGTGGGAGACCCAGGCAGGGAGAGCTCAGCTGCCAGTTGCCAGTACATGTACAAGTTAAAATGATGCAAATTTCAGGGAAAAACTTGAATACTAGAAGGTTGACTAATGCATTAGGTTAAAGAGTACCTAGTGCCAGGTGGGTACTACATTGCATCTTAGTACCACAGACAACTTCCTCCTCCATTCTGACCAAAACATACCCACTCTTTTGGAAATCTTATTTTTGCTCTAATCCTTAGGGAGATAGATTCAAAGCCACTACTCCTCCAGTAAAGATTCGTTTTTTTAAAAATTGGATTTTACATTGCCTGAAGTTCTTAATATTTCTAGATTCTCTATTTCTATTTTTCATATCTTTTGTTCCAAATTTTACTTTTTCTCTCTATGATTTTTCATTCCAGTTACCTCATCTAGGAAGACCTGGAATGAGGGATTAGAGAGCAGATTTATGGTGGATATCTATTCATTGTATTTTGGTCAAAAGCTGCAGAAATTTTATTCTTTTGTATTTTAGTTCCCAGTTAAACCTTCCTAAAGCCATAGTAATTACATACCTACTTATAATAATGATTTACTTTAAAGCATATTTAAATATTGCAGCAACATGCATTTTATTTAACACAATTCATCTTTAAAGTTCTAACTGTGGGAAGCTGTATGTGTTCATAATTACAGTTTATTTGAATGTGTAGTATTTTTGGAACAGTGAAGCACCATACTTTGGGGGGTGAAATGAAAATAATTTATGTATTTTTAAATGAATCAAAGTTTTTCTTAATGTTCAGTATCTAGGATAATTTGAAAATTCATTGGTTCAGTTTTGTATCATAAGCTATGAATAAAAATATCTTTATACAATGGAACCTCACTTATGTGGTTTTCAAAATCCATCATGTGACCACCACCAACTACTTTGGTAATTGTGGTGATTAAATCATCTTTGAGAGATTTTTCTCTCATACCTTATTCCACACCAAATAATTTTTATGAGTAAGTGGAGGTATCTTTCACAGGGCCAGCTGAAAATGATTCATACTTCACCAACAACTAATTATAGTTATACTCTTAGAAAAATATGGCTGAAGCCTCTTTGAAAACTCAGTTAGTCCATTTACCTAATTTCAAATGGGAGTATAACCGATTTTAAAGGCATTCAGGGAATATTCAAGAACTTTCTCCAGTAACTCATTGTACAATTTTACAGTCCTTTTCAAGATTCAGAACTTAGCACTGTGTTTGCTGTGGAGGCAGATTCAAAATATAACCTGCCCAGAAACAGCTTGCCCACCCCGAGGAAATTTTAGGATATACATACTAAAATTATAGAGGAATATGATTTATGGGTGCAATGATAATTTGGGGGTGGGATTATTCCAGTAACACTTTCTGGAAGAGGTATAATTTGATCTGGACTTCAGGGGACATATAGGATTTAGATTAGCAGAGAAGAAAAGGGAGCAGCTTCCTCATGTAGGGGAAAAAAAAAATAGAAATGTTGGACCTGGCAGAAATTATAGGTCAGCCCTAACTGGAATTGAAGAGCGGTAAGTGAGATTAAAGAAGTTAAGATGAGATATTTTCCCTGGGCCTCCCCCCACACCCCCAAAGCTTTTAAATTTATCTAATAAGCTAGAAACCACTGAGACTTTTTAACAAGGGAGTACAATATTCAAGTATGATATTTAGTGAGATTTATCTGGCTGAAGTAGTTAGACCTAATTAGGAGTTGGGAGATTTTGGAAGGAAGGATATTGATTAAGGAGTCATTACATGTGCATCAAAATTTTAAAAATAGATGTATCCTGTGATATAGCAATTCCACTTCTAGGAATTTATCCTAAAGACATAATCATATGGCCAGGTGTGGTGGCTGAAGCCTGTAATCCCAGCACTTTGGGAGGCCGAGGCAGGCAGATCACTTGAGGCCGGGAGTTCAAGACCAGCTGGCCAACATGGTGAAACCCAGTCTCTACTAAAAATACAAAAATCAGCCAAGCATGGTGGCACACACCTGTAATCCCAGCTGCTTGGGAGGCAGAGGCAGTAGAATCACTTTAAACTGGGAGGCAGAGGTTGCAGTGAGCTGAGATGGCCCCACTGAATGCTAACCTGGGCAACAGAGAGAGACTCAGTTTCAAAAAAAAAGAAAAGAAATATTCATACATGCACTGAGTCAGCTACAAGAATATTTAGTGCAACTTATTTATATAATAATACACTGGAAAACCAAATTGGCCCACAGGTTACTGGATAAATATTATTATAAAACCACCATATAGTAGACTACTATGGGACCATTAAAATTGACACAGTATAAGAAAACTTAATGTCATAAAAAGATGACATACTGTTGAAAGGAAAAAGTAAGTTAGAAAATACTACCTGCCTGGGCAACATGATGAAACCCTGTATCTATAAAAAAAAAAAAATACAAATATTAGCCAGGCATAGTAGCATGCACCTGTAGTCCCAGCTACTCAGGAGGCTGGTGCGGGAGGATCACCTGAGTCCAAGGAGATCCAGGCTACAATGAGCCATGATCACACCACTGCACTCCAGCCTGGATGGCAGAGTGAGACCCTGTCTCAACAACGACAACAGTAAAAGATACTGTATACAGTATGAGCCTATTTATGTAAAAGAAAAAAAGTGTCTGTGTGTGTGTGGTGTGTGTGCATCTCTGTAACTGGTAAGCTGAATAAATGTGACACATTTTGATTGCATAGAAAAATTCAATATTTGCTTCCATTGTCCCTTTACACATGTATTCATTGGTGTGATCTTTTTCTATCCTAAGATGAAACATTGAACAGGCCCATGACTCTCAGATAATAAAAAGTCCCCCAGCCACTTAGTGCTAAAATGCCACAACTCAGCCTTAAGTAATAGTTAAAATTCCAAATGTAACTTTGTGTTCATTTTTCTGCCCCTCCCAATCATTGACCTACTTCAGTCTAAAATCTTGTACTGAGGAAAGTGAGGAAGGGGGTGAAATCCCTCTGCAATACTCTTTAGACTTAAGGTAGCTAAGGAGGACATGTAAATTCTAGAACCACCACTACACTCCAAATCTGTAAATTAACCACCTCAATTTTTCATTATGTTGTGTAAAAAACGGAGCCAATAATACTTGGCCTACCTACATCTTAGATTTATTGTGAACATCAAATTATATCATAGAAGCAGAATTATTTTGCAGAGTTAAAAATTGTTTTAGTAGTACATTATCAAATACAACGAACTAGACTAGAGATCCACAAACCAAATCCATGCAGGAGGCCAGGAAGGTAGCTAAATAACTAATCAGGCTAGGTGTAAGGTGATAAATAGCAACTGATATCTGACCTTAATGTTGAGAAGCAATACAGAGAAGTAGTGAATATGGTGAATTAGAAATGGAGAGCTCATGCCTCAAATCTGAGCTGCTTATGCTGTGTAAAAATGCAGGCCATTTTGTTACCTCTTTTGATATTTCAAGGGAAGCTAGAAATTCTGATTTCTATGTAAAATATTCTAATATTTCCATTTTTTTTTACATGAAGTTTCCCTCTTGTCACCCAGGCTGGATTGCAATGGTACAATTTCAGCTCAGTGCAACCTCTGTCTCCCAGGTTCAAGCGATTCTCCTGCCTCAGCCTCCCAAGTAGCTGGGATTACAGGCATCCACAACCATGCCCGGCTAATTTTTGTATTTTTAGTAGAGACGGGGTTTCACCATGTTGGCCAGGCTTGTCTCGAACTCCTGAGCTTAGGTGATCCACCTGCCTTCGCCTCCCAAAGTGCTGGGATTATAGGCATGAGCCACCTCACCCGGCCTAATTTTTCAATGTCGACAGCTGATTTAAATATCAAACACTGTGTATACCAATAATTAACTAATAATTAATAAAGGCTTAAGTAATGAGTAATAAACAATAAATAATTGATAGGAATCATTAATAATTGTAATGATTGATAATATATGATAATTAACAATTACTAAAGATTATAAGCAATTTGAAGGCAGTGACATTGATTTTTATTTCTGTGGTCTCAGTACTTTATACAATGTCTGACATATTTAGTGCTTAATAAATGCTGGTAAAATAAATGGAGGCATGTTGCTAAATTGAAAGACTATTTCTATAGGTGGAGATATCACACAAGTCAACACTGCCTTTAGTGTAAGGCTTCTTTTTATAAATTTCATCATAATGCATCCTCCTTTTTATTTTTCCTAATGATTCGAAGTAGAAGAAAGAAGCAGAAGAAAGATAAAGGAATAGATGCAAAATAGGAGGCTAATGGGAGCAAAGAGATAAATAAGTTAAATAAATGAAACCATAAGATGCTTAGTTATTCCTGGTGCTTTACTTAATCTCTTGGAATGAAGTTAAATCAGTCTAATTAAAGTGGATGGATTTAGCTAACTAGGAGGTAGAAAGAAGAGGATTGGCACCTAACTTAGGGTAGGTAGGTGTCTGTTTTGGGGATAGCAGGTAGTCAAAAGACTTCCTGGGGATGTGATGTTTCTATTTAATTCAACAAACATCTATTGAATATTTACTATGAAATGTATCAGCAAACAAAAACATCCCCAATGGTCATGGAAACTTTATTTTAGTGAAGGAGACAGATGATAGACATAAGAAATTAGAAAATTATATAATATATTAGAAGATGTGATGGCCAATTTTATGTGCCAGTTGGCCAGGCTATAGTCCTTAGTTATTCAGTCAAACACCAGTGTAGGTGTTGCTGTGACCATCATCCTAGAAATCCGGATGGGCCTGATTCAGTGAGGTGAAAGACCTTACAAATAGAACTGCAGTTTCCCTAAAAAACAAATAATTCTGCCTATGGACTGAAGCCTTAGCTTGTGCTTGGGAATTCAATCTGTTTTTTCTGACAGCCTGCCCTACAGATCTTGGTTTGCCTAGCCAGCCCCCACAGTTGCATAAGCCAGTTCCTTGCAAGGATATATATATACACACACACACACACACACACACACACACACACATCCTTCTGTGTATATATATTCATATATATATATATATCCTTCTGGTTTTGCTTCTCTGGGGGATTCCTGACTATTATAGAAGGTGATAGAGTAAAAGGGAGAGTGAGAGTGTAGGGTAACATTAGGGAGCAGATTGCAGATTAATACTCAGTTTAGGTTTCATTGAGAAGTATTTGAGCAAGACTTAGAAAAGGTGAAGTAGTTAGGCAAGTCTGTTCTTTCAGGACAAGCATTTCGAGCAGAAATAACAGCTAGAACAAAATCTCTAAGGTAGGATTTTTGGGAAAGAACAAGAAGACCAATGTGGCTGGAGCACAGTGAAGGAAGGAGAGAAAAATCAGAGAGGTAAGGAGCAGGAGTGGAAGACTCAGAACTTGCAGGACTTGTGAACCATTGCAAGGATCTTAGATCTTACTCTGAGTGAACCGAAGAACCATTGCAGCTTTGATTCTCTGCGTGGTGATATGATCTGACTTATATTTTTAAAGGATCATTTCCATTGAAAAATGACAACCATGTTTAGAGCAAACTATGGGGTGAGGATGGAGAGATGTAAGAAAAGAAGCAGAGAAATCTGATGAGGTATTACAATAACTCAGGTGACTGATGATGGTGATGCTTCATCAGTCTTGAAGGCAGACCTGATATTTATTTAGGTGGTACACACCTGATTCTGATTAATGGTGCCCATACCATACTAATTGTCAAATATTTTAAATATCCCCCTTCTTGAGGGACACATAGGAGGTAGGCAGTCAGTGAATGCATTTTTGAAAACTGTAATCATATGCAGAGGCATGGAAGCATAAGAAGGCTCAGCCTATTCAGGAGTTTCCAGGGTGACCCCTACGACTCAAGCTAATGATAAATAATAATAAACAACTACTGACATGCCAAATGTCGGACACTTTTCTAAATACTTTGCATGTACCAAGTAAAAACTCACTTGTCTTTCTATCAGTTAACTATGGCTACATAACAAATCACCCCAAAATTTAGTGACTCCTTCACCATTTATTAGGTTAAGATTCTGTGAGTTGGCAATTTGGGCTAGCACAGTCCATCTTTTTGCTCCATATAATAGCTGGAATTACTCATGTATTTGTAGTCACTTGGCAAGTTAGCTGGGGCTGGCTAGTCCCAGATGTCCCCCCACCCACATGTCTCAGTTGACTTGGGGGATGGAGTCTATTGAGACAAGCATCTCTCAGAATCCAGCAGGCTACCCTAGGCTTTTTCAGGTGGTGGTTGAGTTCCAAAAACCAGCAAGCAAATGAGTACAAAACTCAACGTGCAAGCACATATCAAATATCTGCTTGTGCCATCAGCCAAAGCAGGCCACATGGCCAAACCCAAAATCAATGTCAAAGGGGACTTCGCAAGAGCATGGTTTCAGGCATGATTTGCTGGGTTTGCGATTACTGCAACAGTCCACCCACCGTCTTTATAAAAACCCTGTGATGTAGGTAACTGGACTAAGATCCCCATTTTCCAGATGAGGAAAATGAAGTCCATATGGTGTTAAGTAACCCATAACTTATAAGAAACAAAGCCAAGATTTGGACCCAGACACTGACTCCTGAATCTATGCTCCTAACCACAATGTTACATATGAGAAAGAGCCATGGGAGGTGAGACTGGCTGGGTGAATAGGGGCTGATCATGATGGGCCCTGAACACTCTCAAGGTCCCATACTCCAGATAAGTGCAGACTGCAAGGGCAGGGTACAGGCAGCAGTGGGTGGAAGACTTGTGGGCTGGGATTCCTGGAGAAAGAAAAAGGAAAAGCTTTAGCGGAAAAATGGAGTCAGAGTCATGAGCTAAAAGAAGATGATCCCTGAGTCAAACTGCAGAAGGCAGGTGGAGGCATAAATAGAAGTCAGCATCTCAAGTCAGCCCTGAAGGAGGTCAAGAAAATGAGTAGAAACAGAGTGTTCTACACATTGCTGCTGAAAAACTAGAAGTTAATTTTGTATCTTTGGGGTGAGGTACACCTAGAAAATGATGACTAGTTTTGTAGCAATTTATCTGGAATCATGATCATGATAGCAGAAATAAATTCAGTTTTACTCCTTTTTTGTGAGGGTGCGGGTGTATGTAAAAACCGGGAATAGTGAATGTGCTGAAATAACAGTGAGCAGCTTTGAGCAGCCTCTGAGTATATTTATAGATATCAAGCACACGAAACACGCCCACATCATACACCCTCTCCCCAGGAATCCAGGATGTATGAAGAATAATACAAGGTGTACGTTTGACAGTCTGTACCACACACAGGATGTACTGGGAGTAATAACTTTGAGATCCTTTACAGTACCTGACCAGTGTTTCATCAAAACTGCAAAATAACTATTGCAAGGCATGCAGACAGAATTATTTTGAATGTAAGAGTTTTCTTTTTTCAAACATTGGCAGTGATGTAATCTGTCTGAATCTCTGAAGGTCAGGATTTTATCAGCAATGACCTCTGGTGAAAGGGATCAATGATAGGATGGCAAAAGATTGGAACACTCCTCCTTTTTACTCTATACGGTTGTCTGCAATCACTTTTAACAATAAAATGTATGTTTTTAAGATCAAGAAACTTATTTAAAAAAAAAAGCAATAGGCTCTCTAGGCAGAGCTGTCTGGCTCATTAATGTGAAACGGGCCTATGAGTGGGAACAAGAGGAACAGGTATTTCAGCCAAACGTGGACCTCCTCCCACCCCTGAGACTAGCTCTCTGCACCCCAGAGATTTGGGAATGAAATTATTAAACTCTGAGACCGAATTCCAATCAATAATAGTTGCTAGGCATGAAAAATAGGAGTCCTGGAGGTCTTTTGATGTAGCATCTTTAGAGGCAGTGGAGACATATATCATTTACCAGAAAAGTCATCACTTTTTCACTAGCACACACACACAAAAGGCAAGAAGTAACTGTGAAACCCAGGCTTAGAACAGATAGTACAAAAGACTACGGGCATCTGCTTTTCTGTCACCAATTTGTGAAGTACAAAGAACACAGAAGATTGGCAGAGACTCAGAAAGGCTTGATATGAGAGATAACTAACATAGCACATGGTTGCCTTTGCTATACCAAGTATGGCTCAACGCTTTTAATGCAGCAAACATGTCCCAAGCACCTACTCTGTGCTGCTGAGCGCTAAAGGGAATTCATAGGTAAAATAAAACACAGCTCTGCCCTGAAGGAGTTAAGAATTTGACCAGCTGCTTTGCTTTCCAGAATTTTGCAGAAACCAAAACACACCCTCTCTAGTTCTTGGAATTAGATCAGCTGATGGTTTTATTTTGTTTTGATCTCATCACTGTTCTACCATTAGTTTCTCCAGATATTTGATAGGCAGTGGACTTTATTTTAGATTTTTTAGTCTCTCACATTGGATTTTCTAGGAGAAGAAAAAGATTAACAATATGTTATCTGTTGGGACATTTTCAGTGACTCACTCCTGGGGTTTCTAAATTCACAAGTGCTCACTGAGAGGAAAAAAACATCTTTATTTCTGAGCTGTTAATTCCTCCTTTAGGTATAAACCATCTTTTTTACTTTTAATGTAATTTCATAATGACTTCTCCTTTACCATCATAATAATAGCAAAAGTTTTAAATCCATCCTTTCTTACTTTGAAATGATCAGTTAGCTACCATACATCTGACTAATTTGGTCCTGTGACCCCACACCACACTGGGCTGCATTTGTACTACCTGACTGTCACTCAAAGTAGAAAGCAGAGAAAAGCTGACATTGTCTGGCCTTTGGTCTACCAAAGGTCCCTAGAATTTGTTTATTTACTGGAATCATAACATGGAGGTAATAGAATGCTCTGAGGAGAAACCCTAAAAAACTTACCTTCTGGTTTCATAGGAACAGGGAGAAATAAAACAAATAGAATTCATGAAGGTCATTTATTGAAAAAGAGAAAAAAATGATGAGGTCAGGGTACATTTCATTTTTTCTCCCTGTTCTTTTCTCTCCAGCAAGAGGACACACTACGTTGAAGGCCCTCCCTACCTACATACTCATCAGTGAGCCTCTTTCTTTGAGTTCAAGCAGCCTGCAACAGGAACAGGATAGTAAGCCAGGAAAAACAAAATAAAACTGTTTTGCTTTTAAATTCAGACAGGGCTAAGGAATCTGTCCATTAAATGGTCTTGAAATTTATTTATTTATTTTTGGGACATCTCACTCTGTCACCCAGGCTGGAATGCAGTGGTGCCATCATAGCTCGCTGCAGTCTCTCCTGGATTCAAATGACCCTCCTGCCTCAGTCTCCTGAGTAGCTAGGACTACAGGCACATGCCACCACACCTGGCTAATTTTTTATTATTTGCAGAGACAAGGTCTCACTATATTGCCCAGGCTAGTCTCAAACTCCTGGGCTCAAAAGATCCTCCCGCTTTGGCCTCCCAAAGTGTTGTGATTACAGACATGAGCTACTGTGCCTGGTCCATTCATTTATTCATATCAACAAAAGTTTATGGTTGTCACGTACATGGTGTATACAGTCTGAAGACTATGAAAGTTAAGACATTACATACAAATAACCAAAATATAAGTAGAAATTGTTACATAAACACTACTAAAATCTGCAGAAATTCAGAGGTGAAAGAGATCAGGAGTTAGGAAAAACAGGGAAGTGAGTAACAGAGGGTGGCTTTTGAATTGATCTTTGAAGGATGGGTAGGATTTCCATTGCAGAGATGACAGATAAAGAAAAATAATGACTTACTTCTGCCATCCAGTAAGTTTGTAACTCCATCTCCCTGAGATTCAATTTTCCTCTATAAAATGAAAATTTGAAGCTCTCCTGCCCACACCATCCCCCCCTACCCGCAACTCATCTCTGTTCTAGCATGCAGTATAGACTTCAGTTGAACTCATCTATGTCCTAGCATGCAATACAGACTCCAGTTGAACTTTGGCTGACATTTGCCTGGATCTTGACCAAGATCTTTTCCACCTATCTTGCCTTTATAACACTTCCTTTTGTCTTAATTTCTTCCCATTTATCTTCTTTAAGTTAATAATAAAATGGTCACCACTTATATCTTTGTCAGCCATTGCCATGATTATGCTGCATTTAACTCCTGCCCCCATGGTTTAGTGGCTTTGACAGTACTTCTCACATTCACAGGTTTCTAGGGTATCCAACTGGTATGGTTTGGCTGTGTCCCCACCCAAATCTCATCTTGAAGTCCCACGTGTTGTGGGAGGGACCTGGTGGGAGATAATTGAATCTTGGGGGCAGGTCTTTCCCGTGCTGTTCTTGTGATAGTGGATAAGTCTCACAAGAGCTGATGGTTGTAAAAAGAGGAGTTTCCCTACACGAGCTCTCTTCTCTTGTCTGCTGCCATGTGAGATGTGCCTTTCACCTTCTACCATGATTATGAGGCCTTCTCAGCCATGTGGAACTGTAAGTTCATTAAACATCTTTCTGTTGTAAATTGCCCAGTCTAGGGTATGTCTTTATCAGCAGTGTGAAAATGAGCAAATACAGTAAATTGGTACCAGTAGAGTAGGGTCCTGCTGAAAAGATACCTGAAAATGTGGAAGCAACTTTGGAAGTGGGTAACAGGCAGAGGTTGGAACAGTTTGGAGAGCTCAGAAGAAGACAGAAAAATGTGGGAAAGTTTGGAACTTCCTAGAGAGTTGTTAAATGGCTTTGACGAAAATGCTGATAGTAATGTGAACAATAAGGCCCAGGCTTAGGAGGTCTCAGATGGAGATGAGGAACTTGTTTGGGAACTGGAGCAAAGGTGACTCTTGTTATATCTTAGCAAAGAGATTGGAGGCATTTTCCCCTGCCCCAGAGATTTGTAGAACTTTGAACTTGAGAGAGATGATTTAAGGTATCTGGCAGAAGAAATTTCTAAGCAGCAAACCATTCAAGACGTGACTTGGGTGCTGTTAAAGGCATTCAGTTTTATAAGGGAAGCACAGCATAAAAGTTCAGAAAATTTGCAGCTTGACAATGCAATAGAAAAGAAAAATCCATTTTCTGAGGAGAAATTCAAGCTGACTGCAGAAATTTACATAAGTAACGAGGAGCCAAATGTTAATCACCCAGGCAATGGGGAAAATGTCTCTAGGGCATCTCAGAGGTCTTCATGGCAGCACTTCCCATCACAGGTCTGGAGGTTTAGGAGGAAAAAGTGGTCTTGTGGGCCAGGCTCAGGGTCCCCATGCTGTGTGCAGCCTAGGGACTTGGTGTCCTGCATCCCAGCCACTCCAGCCAAAGCTGAAAGGGGCCAATATAGGGCTCGAGTCGAGGCTTCAGAGGGTGCAAGCGTCAAGCCTTGGCGGCTTCCATGTGATATTGAGCCTGCCAGTGCACAGAAGTCAAGAATTGAGGTTTGGGACCTCTGCCTAGATTTCAGAGGCTGTATGGAAACTCCTGGATGCCCAGGCAGAAGTTTGCTGCAGGGGCAGGGCCCTTATGGAGATCCTCTGCTAGGACAGTGCAGAAGAGAAATGTGGGGTTGAATCCCCCACACAGGGTCTCTACTGGGCGACTGCCTAGTGAAGCTGTGAGAAGAGGGCCACCATCCTCCAGATTTCAGATTAGTAGAACCACCGACAGCTTGCACCATGCACCTGGAAAAGCCACAGACACTCAATGACAACCTGTGAAAGCAGCCAGGAGGAGGGATATACCCTGCAAATCCATATGGGCAGAGCTGCCCAAGGCCATGGGAGCCTACCTCTTGCATCAGCTTGACCTGGATATGAGACATGCAGTCAAAGAAATCATTTTGGAGCTTTAAGATTTGACTTCCCCACTGGATTTTGGACTTGTGTGGGGCCTGTAACCTCTTTGTTTTGGCCAATTTCTCTCATTTGGAATGGCTGTATTTACCCAATGCCTGCATTCCCATTGTATCTAGGAATTAACTAACTTGCTTTTGATTTCACAGGCTCATAGGTGAAAGGGACTTGCCTTGTCTCAGATGAGACTTTGGGCTGTGGACTTTTGAGTTAATGCTGAAATGAGTTATGACTTTGGGAACAGTTGGGAAAGCATGATTGGCTTTGAAATGTGAAGATGTGAGATTTGGGAAGAACCAGGGGTGGAATGATATGGTTTGGCTGTGTCTTCACCCAAGTCTCATCCTGAATTCCCATGTGTTGTGGGAGGGACCTAGGGGGAGGTAATTGAGTCATGGGGACAGGTCTTTCCCATGCTGTTCTCATGACAGTGAATAAGTCTCACAAGATCTGATGGTTGTAAAAAGGGGAGTTTCCCTGCATAAGCTCTCTTCTCTTGTCGACCACCATGTGAGACGTGCCTTTCACCTTCTGCCATGATTGTGGGAGGCCTCCCCAGCCACGTGGAACCGTAAGTCCATTAAACATCTTTCTTTTGTAAATTGCCGAGTCTCAGATATGTCTTTTTCAGCAGTGTGAAAACGAACTAATACACTGACCCAGCCTGGACTTTGCTGGGTGGCCTGCTTCACCCTCCAACCTTAGTATTCTCACTGTCACTTTCAACTGATGATTTGGATCCTTACCTTTGTCTACACCATCTCCCAACATGTTGCTTATGAGGAAAAAGATGCCGACAAATATGCATTAGACAAATCAACACTAAATCCACAAAATTTTCAGAATCCTGTTTAATGTTAAAATAAATGTCCTAGAAATAGCTAAAATCAAACCATAAGGAACTGAGGTCTGGAATGTTTTCCAGAAGGTTTATACACATGACACAATTACCATTCCTGTGTGATAAAACTAACGATGAGGATTCCAGTAAAATCTCATTAAATAAACAGTATTTAAGAAGCTGAGATAATTCTAGCATAGGTAAGATCACGATCTTTGTACTTTTTCTATGAAAGTGTTTGATAAATAAACTATAAATAGAAAAAAATCACGAGGGAACTATTAGCTTTCCTTAGGAAGTCCTTTCAGGCACTCTTGAAATTCTGTAGCAGCATTTATTTGCATATGAATGATGAACTAATTAAAAATGATTTTTACCTGTTTGTTAAAACAGGTCCAAAAGGAACTCTCCTTGAAAATGTCTGAGAATCAGCTCATATTTTGAGAGAACTTAAAAATACATTCGTAGATATCAAAAAGAATTTTATAAATCAGATTTTAATTCACTTAAGCCTTTCAGATAATTATTCTGAATTAGAATTTTCACTGTGTTAAGCTATTTTACCTATGTACTGATAACTTTTAACAAAGTGTTTTGGGAAGGATAGCAAATGGAGAATTACTTTGAATATTTTAACCCAGATAAGTCAGCCCAGACAAACCTAGTTGCATATTATGGGACCAAACTGCAACACATTGCCTGAAAAGAAAGGTCATGAAAAACACAAAAAGATAAGAGCAGTATCCTTCTACAAGTGGCTCTGCTTATGTCTTGAAATAAGTCTTCCTCCGTGGAATACAGGTGGAATGCCCCATTTGTTCTCTCAGGAATGTGTTTCTTCTCGAAGAGTTCAGCATAGCTATTATGAAACAGATGGGTATAAATGTGAAAATGTTTGTATTTCCTATGTTATTTGCTTCCAAATTATATATGCTTTTGATTGTTATTTTGTAATTCCAGTTTCTGGCAGCAATAGACTTGTTATCCTAAAATGTTAAATCCCTGTGCATTGTAGTGAACAGCATTTTCTACTTGTTACCATAGATCCAATTTTATGACGATTTTTAATTTTGATCTTGTGGTTCTTTTTAAACTTAAAAATCAAGTATATTTTTCTTAATTTTCTGTCTCTCTCCAAGTGCTCCCTCCACCACCGTCCTTATTACCAAATCTCCCCGTCTTTACTTTTCTGGTCACCTCCAGCCCCAATCAACAAAACCCGTGAACTTTTGGAATTGCCACTTGGCAAGGGTAATGATTATCTGTTTCAGTTCTGAAATTCAGTGCCAAATATTTCAACTTAACTCGGCCTTTAATCAAGCTAATCAAGTCACAGATTAAGCCATCCAAATTCACAGCTTGCTAATGAACTAGACAAGTATGGAATGGAGGAGGAAACTGGAACAGAACACTCTGGGTACTGTATGATCCTATTCGTCCCTCTGTCACCTCTTTCACCAAGAAAATTTTCTTTTTTTTTTTTCTTTTGAGACAGAGCCTCACTCTGTAGCCAGGCTGTGGTGCAGTGGTGTGATCTCAGCTCACTGCAACCTCCGCCTCCCAGGTTCAAGCGATTCTCCTGCCGCAGCCTCCTGAGTAGCTGGGACTATAGGCGCATGCCACCATGCCCAGCTAATTTTTTGTATTTTTGGTACAGGCGGGGTTTTACCATGTTGGTCAGGCTAGTCTTGGACTCCTGACCTCGTGATCCACCCACCTCCGCCTCCCAAAATGCTGGGATTACAGGCGTAAGCCATCGTGCCCAGCCGAAAATTTTCCTCTGCTTCCATCTAAATGACCAGTTCTTTTACATTCTCCTTCCTTTACAGTAGTTATCAGTATTTGCTAGTGCTTCTCAATCATTTTCAACATATATATGTAGTTTTTCCCTGAAGTTTTGCTTTCTATAGTTTTATTACAAAAATCAAAGTGTTTCCTTCAAAAACATAAAAATATAATGTTGAATTATTTTCCTCTCATCCATCCTGAGGAGTGGAGGGGTTTGACTCTCCATTTTCCAACATGGCCCACTTTGAGAATCACCAGTCCAACTAACTGTACAGTTCTTTGGAGCTTGACTAGTGAACTGTCAAAATTGAGAAAGAAACCCTAAAGAAAAGTTGTGGTTGTTGTAGATATTCTAAATTGCATTAAACCAAGAGTTTGGGCTATAAATAGGGATGTAGCTGGTCCCTGGGGAAAATGTTTAAGTTCTAAGTTGATACTAGAACTTTACAATAATGACTTTAGATTCTAATAAAAACTAGCAGCCCATGGTAATCCTTGTGCTTCCATCCATGCTAAAGAAAATTTAGAGAGCTGTTTGACTAATTGAAACAAATTTTCTGTTTTCAATCTCTTATTCAAAATATGTGGTTCTGCACTGTAGCTTTCGTACTAAATTGGCCTACGCACATTACTGGGAAAAAAAAATAAAAGCCGGAAGTTAGTGACAGCCTAATGGATAAAGCTGAACAAATTGGAACAATGGAGTAAGCTTGACTCTGTTCGCATTTCTCTGACTTTGGGAACTTTGAGCTTTCTAAAACTGAATTTTTTTTTAATCTTCCTTGGCAAGGCACTGAGCTAGGATTCATCTATGAACATGAAATATTGAAAATATTTAAATTTACACATGTTTTTCATTGTGGAACTATATTTTTCCTTTTAGTTATCAATATACAATAAGTTTATTCATAGTATTTTTTTCTTTTTGATCAAAATAAATTATCAATATTATCTCATCATAAACCCTACTGCTCCCTGTGGAGTACAGTAATGTTATCTTTTTAAAAATTTTTTTTAATTTGGCTGACAGAATCTAGAAATAAAGAAGTTTGTTCAAGCTAAACAGTGTTACAGTGCTGCAGGTAGAAATATAATTCAAGATGACAGGGTCTAAAATTTCTCAATCATGTTTTAATACAATAACAAATTTATTGACTGTATATGGTTTCAAGGAAACTTAGTAAAGACAAAATTTTCTTTAGAGGATGTCTGTTGACATCGTTATACAAAAAAAAAAAAACCCTCCTAAGTAAGCATATGTAAAAATTTATAAGAAATATAAAGGACTTCTATTGCATTCAATATTATGGAGATCTTGCCTAATAGATGTTGGCATTCAGACATGCTTCAGGTCAGGGAAAATCAGACGAAATCTACTTCTAAATGTATTCAATTCTCTCTGGAACATAATAACCTCTTGAAATATATTTGGTAGTTCAATTACCAATTCTTGTTTCTTTGCCAGAAATACGTTTCTGGCAATGATGTGCAATGAACTTGGCCTTGCCATAATACTGTTCTTTGGCTTCTGGCTGCAGATATGTTTCTTTCATGGGAGTCAATGATGCTTTACAGTAATGCCTTTTCTGGTCTTGTGATATATTACTTTTTAATATTTCGCCACAAGAATGTCTGCAAATTGAAAAAATTTAAGTTTCTGAACACTGAATGTCACTTTTGAATATAAATGTGATATTTTGGTGGTAGAATGTTTCAAAGGGATACATGAAGCCAGGCATGGTGGCTTATGCCTATAATCCCAGAACTTTGTGAGGTCAAGACAGGAGGATTGCTTGAGGCCAGGAGTGCGAGACTACCCTGACCAGCATGGCAAAACACCATCTCTATTCTAAATAAATAAATAAATAATTTCTAAAAAGGGATACGTGAATGCTACTTGAACTCTTCGAGGCCACATTTTGGGAAATGGAGTTATCTGAGTGTATATGAACCACCTTTTTTTTCCAGTGTACTATGTACCTTCCAGTATTTCCTCTAGCCACCAAGCTGTTTTTACGTATTCCTTTAGGACTAAGTGTGCTTTTAGGGTAGAAATACTGTTGACATGGTCACTGCTCTCATGTCTGTACAAGACTGCTAACACATGCACTGCCATGTTGAAAAGGAGCCACATGTAGGGCAATATATTAAAACCAACTTACTGTTTTTAAATATAATGCGTGCTCAATGTAAACAAAATCTCACATAACAGAAAAGTACAGAAAAGAAAGTAAACATATACCTAAAATTCATCACCATAGAGAAAGCTTGATATCAGTGTGGTGAATATCCTCTAGACATTTCTCTGTGCAAATACACACGTTTATAGACAAACACAGTTTCACATAAATGAAATCATACTGCACTTGCTGTTCTGAAACATGCTTCCTTTCAGTCCACCATTTGTCCCAGACATCTTTCCATACCTATCAGTACAGAGCTACTTTTCTCTTTTACAGGCTGCAGTGTGTTCTACTGAATGCATGTACCATAATTTACTTAATTATCTGGGCTGATTCTGAATTTCTATTATGAACAAAGCCACAGTGAGTATCCTTATGGTTCCAGCTGTTCTCATGTTTTCAGTTATTCCTTTTGTATTAATTCCTATATGTGGCAGTTTGGGTTATTTTTATGCATATTGCCAAACTGTACTCTAGAAGTATTATATTAATTTACATTTACACCAATAGGATATGAGAGTATCCATTTCCTGAAATCATCTCCAACTCTGAATGTTACTATCTTTTAAAATATTTAACAATTGGACAAAAAAAAAAGTATTTCAACGATGGTTTTAATATTGTTTGACTGGTCTTTGGTTTCTAATAAACTAGACCATCTAATATATGTATTGGTCATTTGGATATCTTCTTTTTATAAATTTTCTGTCCATTATCTTTTGTCATTTTTCTTTTGTTTGTTCTTCCTTGTATGTAAGATATATTTTTATTTTCAGCCCTTTGTTATAGATCATGCTGCAAAAACATTTCTCAATTTGTCCTCTCTCTCTTCCTTCTTTATAGTGTGAGTTGTGAGTTTGTTTTTTGTTTGATCGTTTGCAACACAGAACTTTAAAATGTCAAAGTTATCAATTTTATTCTTTTTGGTTCCTGAATTTTTGTAATATTGTTTTAAAAGGCCTGCCATCCCTTAAAGGAAAAATATCCATTATTTTTCTTTTAGCACTTCTGACATTTCATCAGTCACACTTGCATCCATGATCCATCTAGAAGACATTTGTGTGTAAGGAGTTGAAATCTTTTTTTAATTGAGAACTAAATATATATATATTTATGGTGTACAACCTGATGTTGTAAAATATGTATATTTTGTGAAATGGCTTAATCTAGCTAATTAGCATTACCTCACATACTTATCATTATTTTGTGTGTGGTGAGAACACTTAAAATCTACTTTCTTAGCAATTTTCAAGTATATAATACATTGTTATTAACTATAGCTACATATTGTACAATAGAACTCTTGAATTTATTTCTCCAGTCTAACTGAAATTTTGTATCCCTGGACCAAGGGCTCCCCACTCTACCCCACCCCCGGCCCCTGATAACCACAATTCTGCTTGGGAGTTGAAATCTTGATCTGTTTTATTTTTCCCAGATAACTGACCTGTTGTCCAAAACCCTTACGGAGTAATCAATTTTTTACCATGTTTTTTGAAATTTTACCTTTATCATATAAGTGAATATGTATAAATATATCCACAATAGTGATTAATTGTATTTGGAATCAGACGACAGAACTCAGTAAAATTTGATCATTTTCTTTTTTTTTTTTTTTTTTTTTTTTTTGAGATGGAATTTCACTCCCTCACCCAGGCTGGAGTGCAATGGCGCAATCTTGGCTCACTGTAACCTCCGCCTCCTGGGTTCAAGAGATTCTCATGCCTCAGCCTCCTGAGTAGTTGGGACTACAGGCGTGTGCCACCATACCCGGCTAATTTTTGTATTTT
Organism: Homo sapiens; assembly: GCF_000001405.40. Taxonomy (NCBI): domain Eukaryota; kingdom Metazoa; phylum Chordata; class Mammalia; order Primates; family Hominidae; genus Homo; species Homo sapiens. The sequence goes on along the minus strand of NC_000004.12, from coordinate 165,181,114 downwards.
TAGTGGAGACGAGGTTTCATCGTGTTGGCCAGCCTGGTCTTGAACTCCTCACCTCAAGTGATCAACCTGCCTTGACCTCGCACAGTTCTGGGATTATAGGAGTGAGCCACCAGCCCAGCCCTGATCATTTTGTTTACATAACCCTTCTCGTCAAGGTTTTCTGATGTCAGTTACATTTTAGTTCCTATTATAAATTAGTGTGTTTTCTGACAATATGTTTTCTAAACTAGGTAATTTTATTATGTATAATCAGACTATTAATTTTGTATATATAGTTCAAAAATCACCTGAAAAATAAACCTTTTGTGGCCTCCACTCCAGCTCTTAGTTGATTCCTTCACTTAATATATTAGTGGCATCTCTATTTTATTCCTGACGTTAATGAGTTTTAAAAAAACCATTGAACTGGCCAGGCTCGGTGGCTCACGCCTGTAATCCCAGCACCTTGGGAGGCTGAGGTGGGTTGATCACCTAAGGTGAGGAGTTCGAGACCAGCTTGGTCAACATGGTGAACCCTGTCTCTACTAAAAATATAAAATTAGCTGGGTGTGGTGGCGCATGCCTGGAATCCCAGCTGAGGCAGGAGAATCGCTTAAACCCGGGAGGTGGAGGTTACAGTGACCCAAGATCACGCCATTGCACTCCAGCCTCGGTAACAGGAGCGAAACTCTGTCTCAAAAAAAGAAAAAAGAAAGTAAATGAATGCTTGCTATAACCAGTGAGTACCAATTAAAAAAATGAATGCTAAATTTTATTAAATCCATGTTTGGCATCTATTATGATGATCATATGGTTTCTCTCTTTTGACTTATTAATATGGTGAATTATATTCATAGCTTTTTAAAGCTATAAAGCCATATTTACATTCCTGGAATAAATCCTACTTGGCCATGGAGTATCAGTCTTTTAATGTGCTTCTGGTTTCGACTCAAGATACTCAGTATTATTTTTATATTTATAATTCAGTTGTAAACAATGTATCACAACATTTAATTCTTCAGTCCCACAATTTTTTAGTCCAACTTCGAAGAGTAAGTTCGTAGTCAATTAACTGAAAATATTTTATGTATTATAAAATGGAACAACTATCACATATGAATTCACCCTTAGTGAAACAGTCTACATGACGTTGTTAAACAATAGTTTAATTACAATGAAACTTTGAAGTCACAGGTGAATATCCAAGAGAATTGAAAACATGTCCACGTAAAAGCATGTTCACAAATGTTCATAGCATTATTCATAATAGCCAAAAATTGGTAACAACCTAAATGTCTGTCATCTGATGACTACATAAACAAAATGTGGTATATCCAGACAATGGAATATTATTCAGCAATAAAAAGGAATGAAGTACTGACACATGGTACAACATGGATGAAAATCTTGAAAACATATGTTAATGAAAGAAGCCAGTCACAAAAGGCTACACATTCCATTTATATAAAACATCAGAACAGGCAAATCCACAGTCAAAAAGCAGACTAGTGATTGCCAGGGACTGGGGAGAGTGGGAAATAGGGAATGACTGCAGATGGGTATAAGATATCTGTGTGTGTGTGTGTGTGTGTGTGTGTGTGTCAGAGTTTCTCTCTTGTCACCCAGGCTGGAGTGCAGTGGCACGATCTCGGCTCACTGCAACCTCCACCTCCCAGGTTCAAGTGATTCTCCTTCCTCAGCCTCCCAGTAGCTGGGATTACAGGCACCCACTACCACGCCCAGCTAATTTTTGTATTTTTGGTAGAGACGGGGTTTCACCATGTTGGCCAGACCGGTCTCAAACTCCTGACCTCAGGGGATCTGCCCGCCTCGGCCTCCCAAAGTGCTGGGATTGCAGGCATGAACCACCGCACCCAGCCAAGATTACTTTTTAGGTTGATAAAAATGTTCTCATATTAGATAGTGGTGGTGGTTGCACAACTCTGAATATACTAAATATCACTGAATCACCCACTTTAAAAGACTGAATTTCATTATATGTAAATTATATCTCAATAAAACTCTTATTTAAAAAATTATATGAGGGGAAAGGAGTCACAGATGGTGTTTTAGTCAGGATTCTGCAGAGAGACAGAACTGATAGCAGACACATACAGAGAGGTATATGAGAAGGGATTTATTAGGGAATTGGCTCACTTATAGAGGCTGAGAAGTCTCACAACAGGCTGTCTGCAAGCTGGGAAACCAGAGAAGCTGGTATCATGGCTCAGTGTAAGTTGGAAGGCCTTAGGACCAAGAGAGCTGATGTAACTCTCAGTCTGACGCTGAAGGCCTGAGAGGCCGTTAGTTGGAGTCCCAGAGAACTTCGAGTTTGAACATCCAAAGACAGGAAAAGAAGGGCATCCCAACTCTGGAAGAGAGGGAGCAAGAATTCATCCTTCCTCCCCCAACCCCTCTTTTAGAAAGAGATTGGGGTCTTACTATGTTGCCCAGGGTAGCCTCCAACTCCTGGGCTCAAGTAATCCTCCTGCCTCAGCCTCTCACAACATCCAGCCCATTCCTCCACCTTTCTATTCAGCTGGACCACCAGCTGATTGGATGCTGCCTGGTCACATTGAGGGTGGATATTCCCTCATTCAGTCCACTGACTCACAGGCCAGTCTCTTCTGAAAACACCCTCCCAGTCACCCCTGGGGCAGCCTAATCATTCTAATCAAAAGCAAACCTACTTGGGTTTGGCTCTCAGCAGAAGAAAAACAAGCTCAGTGCCTACCGAAGCATTAAGAATCAATAATGCTTTACTAGCTGAGTATCCCATATTCCTGTCAAGTTGACACCCAAAATCAACCATCACAGATGAGAAGTAGTTGCTCCTTTTCCTCCCTCTTTCCAAAGGCTAGCCTAAGAATTTTGAAATCCCCTGTTAAAAACAGAAGTTTTGCTTCAAAAGGAGCAAAAAACACTCTAAACCACTTGTGTTATGCAAACTGAGAACTGTATGGGGGTTTCCAGCCAACAACCATGGCTTAGCACCAGAAAATGACAGACTAATAATATTCTTGATCTGTACAATTTTGCTAACAAAGAGCTTTACATTTTGGAAGACATAAACTTAAAATACATTTGCACAAGTCCAGTGGATTCTGTGTGTCTTTCTGACTACAAAGGTAATGACAAAACTGCTGGCAGTGGGTTGGGAGGTGGATAGGTAGGAAGGATATGCAAAAGGCAAAAGAAGCCGTGTAAGAGAACAGTGACCTGTTTGTCAGGGAAAGGTGTTCTCACCCACGGAAGTGTTGTCCAGGCTTCACACCCTTCTTAAGAAGGCTGCAATGTACCCTAAAACTTAAAGTATAATAATAATTTAAAAAAAGACTGCAGTTCCTGTTGTCAGACTCCAAAACCATCCTGAGACAGTTATTCCTCACTGCAATCCTAAAAAACCACACCAACTCATGCAAGTCACCAGTCAAAACCCAAGTTATCTTTTTGTTGTTGTTGTCTAAAAGATCATGTTGTTTCAGGCAATCAGTCAGAGTCTGGTCTAGGGATCTTTTAGAAAAACATAATCAAGTCTGTGTTTAATACTGAATTCCCAATTCAGTAGGGTGTGTTAATGAACACTGACTAATTTGGAAATTATAATACTGTAGGGCACAGTAGCACTGATTTTAATTCTTACACAGGAAAAATTCTACCTCTGTGTTTGCCCTCACCTGCAATCACTGTGTATGCAGCCATATGTCTTTGAGAAACTTGGATTTAATTTTTGAAATATCATTTTAAGGGGCTTTATGATCTAACTGTTGTGATAGCTCAGTATCTGCCTTACAGGACTGCTTTGAGAAACAATCATCACATGAAGAATGCTTGTTTTTTTTAAAAAACAATCCAGAACTATATTGTCATTACTTTCAGGCTATATTACTGGTAGTAGTAGTAAAATGATACTTATGTAGGGCTAGACATATCCTTATCCAATACCCTTGAAGTCTATAATTCATTACCATAGAATTCCTGGTAATCAATCACACAAAAGGTAGCATTTCTTATAAGAACAAGAATCACAGAGGGGGAAAATTTTATAAAATATGTCCTCAAGGATGAAGATGTCACTATTTATTTACTATTAATAGACGTAAATTTTAAGATTCTTTCCTATAGTAGGGATGAATTTATACTGACTTATGATCCCTTTCTTGCCAAGATTTTCTCATAAGGGAAATATTTGTGTGACAGATGTGACAGCTGAAATATCATGTCTTATTAATCAGAAATGGGTCACATGGACATACGCAGGGTACTGGCTGGGAAGATTGGGGTTGTGCTTTGGGTTGGGTCTGCCAACTAACAGGGATGGGAGCTTCACCATCCCTCCCCTCATCCGTTTCTAACTTCATTGAACTCAGTGAAGCTCAGTAGTAGGGAAAAGAACAGAGATGGTTTGAGGCTCATATATAGAGAAGGGTGCTTATTTCCCAAATTACCTAATAATCAACTTTTACTTACAAAAGCTTAGGTTTGAAGGAGAAAGTGAGAGGGTTTACCCTACCTGCTTTCAAGACTTACTATTAATATTACAGTAATCAAGAGAATGTGATATTGAAATGGGGAGAGACATATAGAGATAGATGAATAGAACAGAATAAAAAGTAAAGAAATACATCCACATGTATACGGTCAATTGATTATCAACAAAAATGCCAAGGCCATTTAGTTGAGAAAACATGGTCTTTTTAACAAACAGCATTGGCATAATTGAATCTCTATATGAAAAAAGACCATATACACCATAAACAAATATTAACTTGAATTAATGTAAAAGCTAAAACTTCCGGAAGAAAATGTAGAAAAAAATATTTATGATCTTAGGTTAGGCAAAGATTTCTTAGAATACTTAGAAGGTGCAAACCAAAACAGAAACAAATTAATAAACTGGAGTTCATCATAATTAAAAACTTCTGATGTTTAAAAGATACAGTCAAGAAAACAAAAAGGCAATACACAGAAACTGTTAGTTTCCTTTCTTGCTGGTGATCTGGAGGCAAGATGACAGATGATGGATGAACAGGCAACAAGGCCGAGAAGAATGAGGTCAGTGAAATGCTGGCCAGCTGCCCAAACCAACTCGAGCTTGACCCGCTTTTGATTTGATGGCATTCCCCACCGTAACAAATTTTATTTTATTTATTTATTTATTTTCGAGACGGAGTTTCACTCTTGTCACCCTGGCTGGAGTGCAATGGCACAATATCAGCTGACTGCAACCTCCGCCTTTTGGTTCAAGCAATTGTACTGCCTCAGCCTTCCGAGTAGCTGAGACTACAGGCACACCATCACATCCAGCTAATTTTTGTATTTTTAGTAGACACAGGGCTTTGCCATGTTGGCCAGGGCTGGTCTCAAACTCCTGACCTCAGGTGATCCTCCCACCTCGGCCTCCCAAACTGCTGGGATTACAGGCGTGAGCCACTGCACCCAGCCCATAACAAATATTTATGAAGTCTCTACTGTGAACCAGGTACTGGCAGGGCACACAGAAGGACAGAAATGGAGCTGAAAGCAAACAGGCAATTGGCTGGCACAAAGAGAGAAAGATGAATGGCTGATTTTGTGAGACTAAATTAGTTCTTGATTTCAAAATGAGGTAAGGAAGATTCAAGGATTTAAAAATTATAGGCCTATTTTGCTTATAAACCTAACTAAAATGTTAGCTATCTAAATCCAACAGTGTATTTAAAAATTAATGATCAGTTGGTACAGTGTACACTGCTCAGGTGATGGGACGAAAATCGCAGAAATCTCCACTAAAGAACTTATCCATGTAACCAAATATGACCTTTTCCCCAAACACTATTGGGAAAAAAAAGATGCTGCAGAAATGAAAAAAAAATTAATGATCAGGCTGAAGTTATCTTAGGAATGCAGGGATAGTTCAACATCAGAAACAAAATGTAGTATAATTTACCACATTAGTAGACTGAAGGAGAATAATTATATACTTAGCTACATTAATGTAGAAAAAGTATTTGATAATGTTCAACAGCAGTTCATGATTTAAACAGCAAAGCAGGGATAGACAAGAATTTCCTTAGGGTTATATGCCAATCTATAGCAGTATTTGGTAGATGCATTGCCTTTGGGTTCAAGAATTAGAAAAGAGGCCATGTATGATGGCTCACACCTGTAATCCCAGAACTTTGAGAGGCTAAGGCAGGAGGATCACTGGAGCCCAGGATTTCAATACCAGCCTGGGCAACATAGTGAGACCCCATCTCTAAAAAAAAAAAAAAAAAATGAGCTGGGCATAGTGGCACATGCTTGTAGTCCCAGTTACTAGGAAGGCTGAGGTGGGCGGATTGTTTGAGCTCGCGAGGTTGAAGCTTCAGTGAGCCGTGATTGTGCCACTGCACTCTAGCAGAGCAGCCTGGGCAACACAATGAGACCCTGTCTCTTAAAAAAAAAAAAAAAAAAGAATTAGAAAAGAATGCTTACTCTTGTTGCTGTTTTGCTGTTTAACAGTCCTGGAAGCCCTGGATAAAGCAAATGGAAACAAAAAGAAGTAAAATGAAACAAAACTGTCATTCTTTTAGGTAATACAAATACTTACAAAAAAACAAAATCGATAAATTATTAGAATTAATAAAATAGATTCAGTATGGTTACTGTACACATAATTTTCTAAAATCAAAATTATTTATCCATATCAAAAAACAATTACAAATATTGGAAAAATTAAGATACCATTCACAACTACAACAAATCTATAAGGCATCTAGGAATTAATTTAACAAAGAACACAAGATCTCTATAGAGAACACTTTTAGACTCTAATTATAAACATAGAAGATGATGGATTAAATGAAGATAAATTCTACATGCTTCACTGGGACAATGTTTTTATACATACATGGATATTTTCCCTAAATAAATCTATATATTTAGGGCAACTGCAGTTAAAATTCTGGCTGGATTTTTTTTTGAGAAATTTAATAAATTTATGCTACCATTTACATGAAAGCATAAAGGTCCAAGGAACAATGGAATACCATACTGCAATGAAAAATTAAAAATTACAGCTACTAAAACAAAATGGATCACTTTAAAAATATAATGTTGAATACATTTATACATTTATATACTGTTAAAAATAGCAGTTCTATTACTTAGGAATTGATATGTGGATAATAAAACTGTAAAGGAAAGCAAAGAAAGTATCACTATTAAAACTATAAGAATGGCTCTTTGAAGGGAGGGAGAAGTTTATATTTGGGAAAGAATACTGGAGAACTAGTGATGATTTCTTTTGACCTAGTTTGGTTACACAGTTGTTTTCCTTATAATAATTTGTGAAACTATATTTTTGTTTTATGTATGTGTGTATTACATTTTAAAATATACTGTTTTAGGCCAGGTGCAGTGGCTCACGCCTGTAATCCCACTACTTTGGGAGCCCAAAGCGGGCAGATCACCCGAGGTCAGGAGTTTGAGACCAGCCAGGCCAACATGGCAAAAGCCCGTCTCTACTAAAAATACAAAAATTAGCCAGGTATGGTGGCAAGTGCCTGTAATCCCAGCTACTAAGGAAGCTGAGGGAGGGGAATCTCTTGAACTTGGGAGGTGGAGGATGCAGTGAGCCAAGATCACGCCACTGCACTCCAGCCTTGGTGACACAGCGAGACTCCATCTCAAAATAAATAAATAAATAAATAAAATAAAAATAATACTGTTTTAATTTTTTGGTAATTTTTCCAGTAATCTGCTTTTTAAAAATAAAGAATAAAAGGGAGCATTTTCCCCACCAGATAACAAAATATACTAGAAAGCTATAGGGGTTTTAAAAAAATTAAAGGAGAGAGACTATTTCTAAATAGCGTTGGAAAATTGCTTTTACAAATGGAGAAATATAAAACTGGATGCTTAGCATTGCATACAAATATGGACTCCAGATGGACTAAAGACCTAAACAGAAAAGGTAAAAACTATAAAGTTAGCAGAAGAAAAACCTATCTTTGTAATCTAAAAATGGGAAAAAATATTCAAATTTTAAAAGCAAGAATTATCAGGCAAAATATTGATAAATTTGATTATGAAAAAAGAAAAGATTTTTACTTTAAAAAAGGACACAATGGGCAGCATTAACAGACACATAGCAGACTGGGAGAAGATAACTGCAATGCTTAATTCAACAGGGTTTAACCTAGAATAATTAACTTAGAATCTTCAAGGAACTCCTGCAAATGAACAGGAGAAAGAATTAATCCCAGTCGAAAAATGGGCAAAGAATAAGAATAGGGAATTTACAACAGAGAAACCCAAGAGGTTAACAAACATATAAAAAAGCTGTTTAAACTCATTAAAAACTAAAGAAATGTAAACTAAAACAACTATGAGGTATCACTTTGCACCCGTTAGACTGGCAAAAATGGGAAAGCTGAATAATATTTTGAAGAGATTATAGGACTATGCACTACGGATGTGAGGTAGGTTCATGTACATTCTGAAGAGGAGTCTGGCAATGCTTAGTCAAATTAAGCACAAGTATAATCTATGGCCTGGCAGTCTCCCTCTTGGGTGTATACCCCAAACACATCCTCACACAGGTCCACGAATGGGCATGTCTCACTCCATTCATTGCAGTACTGATGATGATGGAGGTGGTTGGACGCCATCGGGATATCAAACACTGGGGAAACAGACGAGCAAACTAAGGTAGATGCGTAACTTGAAGTATCACAGTTAGAAGTAAAAAGCCAGATATATGCATAACAACATGGATTATCCCAACAACCTGTGCTGACTGAAAAGAGCAAGAAACAAAATGAGACAAATCACACATAACACTATGTAAATAAAACACACGAACTCATACAAACAAAAGGACATATCTTAAACACATTAGAAAGCTTTCCCAGGTTTTTTTTTTTCTTTTTTTTGAGATGGAGTCTCACTCTGTCTCCCAGGCTAGAGTGCAGTGGTGCAATCTCGGCTCACTGCAAGCTCCACCTCCCGGGTTCACGCCATTCTCCTGCCTCAGCCTCCCAAGTAGCTGGGACTACAGGCCCCCGCCACCACGCCAGGCTAATTTTTTGTATTTTTAGTAGAGACGGGGTTTCACCGTGTTAGCCAGGATGGTCTCAATCTCCTGACCTCGTGATCCACCCGCCTCGGCCTCCCAAAGTGCTAGGATTACAGGCATGAGCCACCGCGCCCAGCCTTTCCCAGGTATTTTTACGCTAAACCTTTGGCTAACTTTCTCAAAACCGCCTCATAATAAGCAGATGCTATCATTCTTTGGCCCTCCAGAAGGTCAACAAGCAAAGTGGCTTGAACATCCAAAAAAAAAACTATTGCCATGATATTTGCTCTTGACCCACCCACTACTGCTTTGACTGGACCACTTCTGCCTCTTGGTAGCCATTGCTTTGACTGTGCTTTGTCTCTAGGATCACACCAGTAAAGTGAAAAATTTCTGATCTACAAAAGACAATGTCAAGAGGACGAGAAGACAAGTCACAGACTGGGAGAAAATATTTGCAAAAGAATAATACGTAACACACAATCTGAGACCTCATAAACATAACGCTGAATTATAAAAGGAAGCTGCAGGACATTATATACAGTGAAATACTAAAAATGTAAACTAAAAAAAAGAAAGCGATACTGTATTTTTGAGGTAATAATAATAAATAAGTAGAGCGTATATAGGGCTTATAGTCTATGTGCCCTCACTATTCTATGTGCCCTTCCAAATAGTCTATTTGTCTAATTCCCTAGCCCTCTGCGGGAGGTACTACTTTTATTCCCTGTTGCAGCCATGAAAATGTGCCACTCAGATCTGCTGAGCATGTAATTAACTGATCACCTAGCTATTGTACGCTGAATCCACCACGTCCTTCACTCTGAGACCATACTTCCCACATGCTGCTTTCGGCCAGTGACTGAAGCAGGGCTCTAAAGGCAAGACTCTTCTGGTGATATGGAGACTCCTCTGATAGGTGACTTTGGTCCAGCAGCCTAGCTAAAATATTATTAAAACTATGCTTCATCCAAATCTGTGCCAATTCAACTCTTCTTCCTTTCCTCTCCCCTTCACAGGGATCAGACATACGTCACTGGCTGTCAGGTCTTCCAAAGTCCCTAGCTCTGTGGCAGGCAGCGTCTGAGACAGCCTCTACCTCCTGGTAAACATATCCTTGTGTAACCCTTTCATTGAGTGTTAGCTGGACCTAGAGACTTGCTACTAATAAATAGAATACAGTGAAGAGGTAGAATGCCACTTCTGAGAGTCAATTTCAAAAACACTGTGGCTTTCATCTTAAATGCACTCACTAGTGCTTAGCTTTCTCCTTAACTGTGAGGTAAGTTGGGCCGGGCACGGTGGCTCATGCCTGAAATCCCAGCACTTTGGGAGGCCAAGGCAAGTGGATCAGTTGAGGTCAGGAGTTCAAGACCAGACTGGCCAAAATGATGAAACCCTGTCTGCACTAAAAATACAAAAATTATCCAGGTGTGGTGGCACGCACCTATAATCCCAGCTACTCAGGAGGCTGAAACAGGAGAATTGCTTGAACCCGGGAGGCAGAAGTTGAAGTAAGCTGAGATCACGCCACTGCACTCCAGCCTGGGCAATGCAGTAAGACTCTGCCTCAAAAAAAAAAAAAAATTGTGAGGGAAGCCAGCTGCCATGCTACAAGCTGCTCTTTGTAGAAAAGGGCAAAAAAATGAGGAAAGACTTTGGACAATAGCTAGTAAGGAACTAAGGCTCTCAGTCCAATAGCCCATGAGGTACTGAATCCAGACAACAACCATGTAAGGGAAATGAGAGGTGGCTCCTCCCCACTCTATGCTTCAGAAGAGACAAGAGCTCTGGCTGACATCTTGATTGCAGCCTTCTGAGGGATCTTGAAGCACAGGCACTCAGCTAGGTCACTCCCAGTTTCCTGACATACAAAACCTCTGAGATAATAAATGTATATTGTGTTAAGCCACTAAATTCCAGGGGGTAATTTGTTACGCAGCAATAGACAATAAACCTTATCCTCTTTTTCTCTCACAAGTGTTCCCCCAGTAAATCCTTTGGGTGTCTAATGTCATTTTAGAATATGCTTTTTGGAGGACTCAATCTAACACATCTCCATTTATAGATACAAAAACTGAGACACAGAGAGGTTCAACAACTTTCCCAAGGTAACACAGCTGGAAAGTGGTAGAGCAAAGACTCATATCTCAGCTTCAGGGCCAGTGTCCTTAATGGTCATGTTATAATTCTGTATGTGCATTACAAATATATAGTAATTAACTGGAAATATACTATATTCATTATAGTAGTTATGTCTGGAAACAGAGGGAAAAAATAGAACTGGAGAGAGGAAGACAGGGGCATTTCAACATCACCTACAAAGTTTATTTCTTAAAAAATTCTAGGCGGGACATGGTGACTCACATCTGTAGTCCCAGCACTTTGGGAGGCCAAGGTGGGTGGATCTCTTGAGTCCATGAGTTCAAGACCAGCCTGGGCAGCATACTGAAACCCCATCTCCACTAAAAATACAAAAGAATTAGCCAGGTGTGGTGACACATGCCTGCAGTCCCAACTACTCAGGAGGCTGAGGTGGAAGAATCACTTAAGCCCAGGAGGCGGAGGTTGCAGTGAGCCAAGATCACTAAACTGCACTCCAGTCTGGGCAACAGAGTGAGACCCTGTCTCAAAAAAATAATTTTTGTTGTTTGTTTGTTTTCATCTAATACAAATAAAACCACCTTGGGTAGCAACAGCCTGGATATTTGCTATTTTACATTGTACAGTTTTGTATTGGTTAGTATGTAAATAATCAAAACGCAGTTCAACATTGTTTTTTCCAATTCACTTTGCTTATTTACTCTGAAGAGCAGTGGTAACTGGGACTGTATCTGTGGATCTATTCTCGGGGCGTTAATAAGAACTCATATTTCCAGTGTGCACTATGTTCCAGACCATGTGCTACATTATTAACATATGTTGGTATAAATATTCTCATTTTAGTTAATAGGAAATTGTTGCTCAGGCAGCAAAAATCCTTCAAACAGGAGAAATCTCACTTAACTCTGAGTTCATCAAATGGCATATTCTGTCTTTCGTAGCTTCTTAGGCATCTTCATTTATTTTAGTTACAGTTGGTTTTCATTATTCATGGTAGTTATGTTCTATAAAGTAGCTAGTGAACATTGAATTAGCAAATATTGAGCCATTGCTCCTAGGGGAAATATATACTGAGCCATTGCTTCTGGGGATTGGAGGTGTGTGTGTGTGTGTGTGTGTGTGTGTGTATCTCACATCATGTATAATCTTAAAACCTGAAAGCAAGGCATTCTGATAGATCCTATTTTCTTTATTTTACAAAAGAGAAAACAACCACTTTGCACTCAATAGGATAGCTGTTATTATTTTTTAAATGGAAAATAGCAAGTGTTTGCAAGTACATGGAGAAATTGGAACACGTGCATTTCTGGTGGAAATGTTTTAATGACGTGGCTGCTGTGGAAAACAGTTCTGCAGCTCCTCAAAAATCTTAAAACACAAAATTACCATATGACCCAGCAATTTCACTCCTAGGTATATACCTAAAAGAATTGAAAAAAAAAATTCAGAGAACGTGTACACCAATACTCATGTCGACACTATTCACTATAGGTGGAAACAATTCAAATGTTCATCAACAGATGGATCCATAAAATGTGGTAATGCATACAGTGGAATCTTATTCATCTGGAAAAAGGAATAAAATTCTGATACATGCTACAACATGGATGAAACTTGAAACATTGTGCTAAGCGAAATAAGCCAGACAATAGACAAGTATTTTCTAATTCCATTTGTATAAGTTTTCTAGACTAGGCAAACTCACAGAAAGTAGAATAGAGGTTACCAGGGGCTACAGGGAGGAGGGGATAGGGAGTTTCTGTTTAATGATACCGAGCTTCTGTTTGGAATGATGAAAAAGTTCTGAAATTGGATAGTGGTCATAGTTGCAGGATTTTGTGAATGTACTTATGCCGCTGAACTGTGCACTTAAAGATAGTTACAATGGTAAATTTTATGTTATGTATATTTGAACAAAGTAAAAGAAAATCATGGGGGATGGGGGAGAAAGAGAGAGAGAATGAGAATGTAGTTCAAAAGTGTTGTGAGGTGCCTGAGGCTGCTTCACGAATAAGCTAACAGATGCGAGTTGGATTTCAAACTGGTTCCATTTGGCCACAGAGCTGCAGCTTTCACACTACCCTGCACTGCCTCGTCCTCTGGCCATCAGCATGAGCTCTGAAATGAGGCAGAGTTGCCTTGTGTGACCTCAGCTGGATATGTTTGCGTTAGGCGACAAATTTTTCCATGCTCTGCATATGTCAGCAAATGACCATGAAAGTGCCATAAGTGTTGATTTAGAGGGATTACAAGTAAATTTTAGCAAGTAGGGGAATGCGCAAATATAGAATCTGTGCATAATGAGGAGGATCAACTGTATTTACTAAATTGTATTTTTAGATTTGGCAAGGTTTGGAAGTGATCCCCCAATAAGATGGGTACACATATGGGTAAGGGGCATAGTATCATTCTGGCTTTGCTTGGATGTACACTTCTTCAGCCTGCTTGGAAAACGTATCAGTGTTCACACTCATTCATGCATATAAGAATTACCTGGGAACCTTGTTCAAATGCAGGTTCTGTGGCTCTGCAAAGGTTCAGATGATCTAGGGTTGAGCCCAGAAATCATTTCTTTATTTTTTATTTTTTTTATTATTATACTTTGAGTTGTGGGGTACATGTGCACAACGTGCAGGTTTGTTACATAGGTATACATGTGCCATGTTGGTTTGCTGCACCCATCCACTTGTCATTTACATTAGGTATTTCTCCTAATGCTATCCCTCCCCCAGCCCTCCACCCCCTCTACAGGCCCCAGTGTGTGATATTCCCCTCTGTGTGTCCATGTGTTCTCATCGTTCAACTCCCACTTATGAGTGAGAACATGTTTGGTGTTTGGTTTTCTCTTTTTCTTGTGTTACTTTGCTGAGAATGATGGTTTCCAGTTTCATCCATGTCCTGGCAAAGGACATGAACTCATCCTTTTTTATGGGTGCATAGTATTCCATGGTGTATGTGTGCCACATTGTGTTTATCCAGTCTATCACTGATGGGCATTTATTATGAACAGTGCTGCAATAAACATACATGTGCATGTGTCTTTATAGTAGAATGATTTATAATCCCTTGGGTATATACCCAGTAATGGGATTGCTGGATCAAATGGTATTTCTAGTTCTTGATCCTTGAGGAGTCACCACACTGTCTTCCACAATGGTTGAACTAATTTACACTCCCGCCAACAGTGTAAAAGCGTTCCTATTTCTCCACTTCCTCTCCAGCATCTGTTGTTTCCTGACTTTTTAATGATTGCATGAGATGGTATATCATTGCAGTTTTGATTTGCATTTCTCTAATGAACAGTGATGATGAGCATTTTTTTCATGTTTGTTGGCTGCATAAATGTCTTCTTTTGAGAAGTGTCTGTTCACATCCTTTGCCCACTTCTTGATGGGGTTGTTTTTTTCTTGTAAATTTGTTTAAGTTGTTTGTAGATTCTGGATATTAGTCCTTTGTCAGATGGATAGATTGCAAAAATTTTCTTCCATTCTGTAGGTTGCCTATTCACTCTGATGATAGTTTCTTTTGCTGTGCAGAAGCTCTTTAGTTTAATTAGATCCCATTTGTCTATTTTGGCTTTTGTTGCCATTGCTTTTGGTGTTCTACTCATGAAGTATTTGCCCATGCCTGTGTCCTGAATGGTATTGTCTAGGTTTTCTTCTAGGGTTTTTATGGTTTTAGATCTTACATTTAAGTCTTTAATCCATCTTGAGTTAATTTTTGTGTAAGGTGTGAGGAAGGGATCCAGTTTCAGCTTTCTGCATATGGTTAGACAGTTTTCCCAGCACCATTTATTAAATAGGGAATCCTTTCCCCATTTCTTGTTTTTGTCAGGTTTATCAAAGATCAGATGGTTGTAGATGTGTGCTGTTATTTCTGAGGCCTCTGTTCTGTTCCACTGGCCTATATCTCTGTTTTGGTGCCAGTATCATGCTGTTTCGGTTACTGTAGCCTTGTAGTATAGTTTGTAGTCAGGTAGCATGATGCCTCCAGCTTTGTTCTTTTGGCTTAGGATTGTCTTGGCTATGTGGGCTCTTTTTTGGTTCCATATGAAATTTAAAGTAGTTTTTTCCAATTCTGTGAAGAAAGTCAGTAGTAGCTTGATGGGGATAGCATTGACTCTATAAATTACTTTGGGCAGTATGGCCATTTTCACAATATTGATTCTTCCTATCCATGAGCATGGAATGTTCTTCCATTTGTTTGTGTCCTCTTTTATTTCCTTGAGCAATGATTTGTAGTTCTCCTTGAAGAGGTCCTTCACATCTCTTGTAAGTTGTATTCCTAGGTATTTTATTCTCTTTGTAGCAATTGTGAATGGGAGTTCACTCATGATTTGGCTGTTTGTCTGTTATTGGTGTGTAGGAATGCTTGTGATTTTCGCACATTGATTTTGTATCCTGAGACTTTGCTGAAGTTGCTTATCAGCTTAAGGAGATTTTGGAGCCCAGAAATCATTTCTAAAAGCAGGTTCCAGTGATTCTGATGCATTTAGAAAAGAAAATACATAGAAATTCTGACATATACAGAAATATATAGAAATCTGGGCCTGCCTTTCATTGATGAGCTGCAGCCAAAGACCACCAGTAACACAACTACAGTCAAACAAATCTGAGTTCATTGGCTTGGCTCATTGCAACCAGGGAGCCCACACACCATGGGGGGAACTTTGACAGTATTGCATTAAGAGTTAGAAAAAACTTTCTCAAGGAATTCAGCTTGTTAGGTATTATGGGGAAGGATTCAAGAGAGTGGGCATTAGCTATGGATTGGGTGCTGTCAGGAAACGAACAATTCCATGATTGGGTATCATGATAATTTTTATCTAGAAGTCAGGAGAAATTAAGAGGGGCTAAATTCAATTGGTAGAAAACTGGCAGTTACTCTTACTGGGTGAATTGGCGTTTTTATGGTTTTACAGTAGCCTTGGTTTTTTCTGTTGCACTCAAACACAGTTACAAAGTGGTCTTGTTTTTGTTTCACTTCATCATGGACACAGAGTGATCTCATCTAATATAGGTGCTCTAGGAGATTGTTTATGTTCAGCAGGGGGAATCCGTGGCTTAGCTGCAAGTGCCATCAGCCCTAAGGCCCAGTTGCTAGTACCAGGTCAGCTCCCAGCTATTAAGAGCTGTGTTTTTCTTTCATTTTTCTTTTCTTTTCTTTTCTTTTTTAAATTAAGATACGGGGTCTTGCTCTGTCACCCAGGCTAAAGTGCAGTGGCGCAAGCATAACTCAAGGGATCCTCTTGCCTCAGCCTTCTGAGTAGCTGGGATTGCAAGCACATGCCACCACATTTAGCTAATTTTTTTTTTTTTTACTTAAAAAAACTGTATTATTATCTCACTTTTTTCTTTTTTTCTTTTTTTTTTTTTAATCTCACTTTTTTCTTTCTCACTCTTGGGCATCAGTTGTTTGTCCTTTTCCTCCTTCTTCCACGGTCCTACCACACCTCCTTTTTCCATTTTTGCCAATGTTTGACCAGTTTCAAGTCACACTGCAAACACTGGGAGGAACAGCCCTTGCTTACCTTTCCTTTCACAATCACCTTGTCTAATACGTGAACAAAATGTCCCATTCTCTGACAGATAGCAGCTCCTGTAGTTACTGCTAATACATATATGTGTGCACATGTGATAGAGAAAAACAGCTCCCAAATAGCCACAATAAGATCAAAGTAAGTTGATACTTTAAGTTACTATTAGGTTGGTGCATTGGTTCTTTTAATGGCAAAAACCACAATTACTTATGCACCAACCTAATATTTCAAGAGAAGAAATTTTGTCTTTTATGTAGTTTTTGGCACATCATAAATGTTTAGTAAATATGAAAGGTGACATTGGTTGTAATCTTGGGGAGTAAAAGAAGGAAGTCATGATATTAAAAGGAATCAGAAGTAGTTTATCTCATTTTAAGTCCTCGGAGAAGCTCTAAACACCTCTAACAAACAGCTCTAAAAGTGTTGCAGTAAAAAAGATGTGGATATAGTGGTCAAAAGGGCATTAAGACAACCAAAACATAGGCTGGGCGTGGTGGTTCACTCTTGTAATCCTAGTACTTTGGGAGGCCGAGGAGGGCGTGATCCTTTGAGGTGATGAGTTTGAGACCAGCCTGGCCAACATAGGTGAAACCCCATCTGTACTAAAAAAATTAGCCAGGCATGGTGGCACATGCCTATAATCCCAGCTACTTGGGAGACTGAGGGAGGAGAATCGCTTGAGCCTGGGAGGTGGGGTTGCAGTGAGCCAAGATGGCGCCACTATACTCAAGCCTGCACCTCAGAATGAGACTCTATCTAAAAAAAAAAAAAAGAAAGAAAAAAAAGAAAACCAAAACATCGTTTAGATATTGATTGTAGAAATATAGAATCTACTACTTTTTAAGAATCTTAGGGTGGCCAAATTAGATTTTCCCTTGCTTCTGAATCTGCCTTGGATGCTGACTAAGACTGACAGGTTTGCAAGGTCAAGCAAATGGTTGGTAAAACTCAGATCTTTGTAAATGGAGTGATGATTACTATAAATATGCTAATTGTCACTAACTAGAAATGCTTAAATTTAAGCATTCTCAATATACTTTTTTTTTTTTTTTCTTGAGACGGCGTCTCACCCACTCTGTCGCCCAGGCTGAGTGCAGCGGCATGATCTCCGCTCACTGCAACCTCCGCCTCCCGGGTTCAAGCTATTCTCTTGCCTCAGCCTCCTGAGTCGCTGGGATTACAGGCTCATGCCACAGCGCCCTACTAATTTTTGTGTTTTTAGTAGAGAAGGGGGTTTCACTATGTTGGTCAGGCTGCTCTCGAACTCCTGGCCTCAAGTGATACCTCCACCTCAGCCTCCTAAAGTGCTGGGATTATAGGCGTGAGCCATTGTGCTCAGTGTCTCAATATACTTTTACTTGCTTAGAATCCAGGAATTAGAGGTGCCAAGTATTTACATAATTAAAAACAAACAAAAAAACAAAAACAAAAACAAAAAACATGATTTACCCATTAAAAATATTTCTGTCCCAGCCCGGCATGGTGGCTCATGCCTATAATCCCAGCACTTTGAGAGACCAAGGCAGGCAGATCACCTGAGTCCAGGAGTTTGAGACTAGCCTGAACAACATGGTGAAAACTGTCTCTACAAAAAATACAAAAACAAATTAGCTGAATATGGTAGTGCTCGCCTGTAGTCCCAGCTACTCGGGAGGCTGATGAGGTGGAAGGATCACTGGAGCCCAGGAGGTTGAGGCTGCAGTGAGCCATGTCATACCACTGCACTCCAGCCTAGGCGACAGAGTGAGATCCTTGCACCACTGCACTACAGCCTGGGTGACAGAGTGAGACCCTGTCTCAAAACAAAGAAAAGAAGAGAAAGGATTTTTGTCCTTATCATATATTTGGGCAATGTTCCCCATTACCCCGTCAACAAATTTTAATTAAAATTTTTGAATTATTATGCCGATAAGCCAAGTCTCTGATAGTTCAAAATAACAAAATGAGTGTCTTAGTGCCTAAACAAGAAGATCTACTGTTACCAAAAAAGGGAAAGTAAAGAATTGGGATGAAATCAGCTCAGGGGAAAAAGAGAAATCACATCAACTTGGCAAATGAATTATTTCTAGATAATGTATTCATAGCAGCTCTTCAAATTCCAGGTGATCTTAGTTCCTTTCTAAAACAATACACTCTTTCAAAACTCTATTTTAAAAGGAAAAAAAAATCACATTGCCAAATGTAGACTACATCATTACCCTTTTACTGTCATTACCTCTTAATTTCTTTACATGTTGTCTGGAAATAGAAAATATGTGGAAAGAGAGATATAAACATATAGATTATACTCTCCTTTTTTTGAGGCCAATTTTATTTCAATCTTGATAGTCATATTGAAGCACATGGTTACTCTGCAAATGATCCAAGTAAAATATATGTTTTAAGATCTTTACTGATGTGTTGACAATATATACCAATAAAACACTTTTATAAAAAGAAGCCCAGTAGTGGGTAAATGTAAGTGTATTTTGGTTTGTATCAAAAACTGAAATAATAAACTTGACTGTTTACAACATTTTAAATTGAAATGTGTACCACATAGTTATTTGCCAACCCTCATTATAAGAGTCGGAAGATGGAAAATATGTTCCTTTCATTCCATTTGCCTTTAGTTCCATTTTAGAGACACACAGGAAAATAAAAAAAGAAAAATAGTCACCAAGCTTACAGTTTAAGAAAAATAAGTTTAAAGAAAATCTAGCTGGATCTAGAAATGAATGTGCACGGCCAGGCACGGTGGCTCACGCCTGTAATCCCAGGCCTTTGGGAGGTCGAGGCAGGTGGATCGCTTGAGCCCAGTAGTTGGAGACCAGCTTGACCAACATGGTGAGGCTCCATCTTTACTAAAAATACAAAAATTAACTGGGCATGGTGGCACGCACCTATAATCCCAGCTACTTGAGAGGCTGAGGTGAGAGAATCTCTTGAACCCGGGAGGTGGAGGCTGCAGTGAGCCAAGGTCGTGCCATTGCCCTCCAGCCTGGGCGAAGAGTGAGACTCCATCACACACACAAACACATACTCACACACACAAAAAAAAAAGGGAGAGAAAGAAAAAAGAAATGAATATTCCTAGAACTAACAAGGCAGAGGTACACAGAGGTAGGATGGATAGAAACATTTGGAAAGCATGGTTTTACCTGCCTCCGTCCAGCTGTCCAACCATACTTAGACTTGGTTTCTCTCTGACCTTTGAAGATCTTGAGCTTCTTAACTTTATACAACAAACTAGAGTTCAAGTACTTTATTGTTAAAATGTAGATGATCATATGACTGATTATAACCCTTATTTTCCTGGCTTTTAAAGCCAGGTGAATTATTTATGTAATAGTTTAAAACAGAAAAATCTCTATGGAGTTTACTCAGTGAACAACAACCAGAATAATACCAAAGAAAAAAAATTCTAGTTAGGAGAAGAATGAAAAGGTGTTTCAATGTCATGAATGTGTTGAATTTATATATACTCGTATGATTTAGGTTTATTTATGAAATTAAACCATCTTCTCTGCGAGACACACATCTGCAAGAACTGTTTAACGTGTGATGAGATCTCACAATCAGGAGAATGGCATTTTAGGTGTGCTCTCTTTTAGGGTGAATGCACTACAGTTTTACTCAGTCTGTTCATGTGTTTAATTGCCTTCTGTTATTATTTTTTATGCAAGAAATCTAGCCAGAGACCAGTGAATCAAAACAATTATGTTTGGCTTGTGTGCCTTCAAATGAGAACAGATCTTACCAATTGCAGCAAAGTTCACCCTTAACCTGAGCGCTTCATCCACACCTGTGCTTTCAATAATCTGTCTCAGATCATCTAGTCAGAATGGAGGGATTAGGGCATTGTTCAGGTAAATCAAGCCCCTAAAAATAACTTGGAGGAAAAAATATATTTTCTAAACTACAATATGGTTACTAATTTACACCAATTGGTTCCAAATATGCATTTTATTCACCAGATAAGCAATTGCTCAACACTTTCTCGTAGCTAGGTAGTTAATATTCATGTAATAATGTGTGTATGATACTACTTACAGATATAAAAACAGTGGTCAGAAGCCAGGCATGGTGGCTCACGCATGTAATCCTAGCTCTTTGTGAGGCCGAGGCAGACAGATCACGAGGTCAAGAGATTGAGACCATCCTGGCCAACATGGTGAAACCCCATCTCTACTAAAAATACAAAAATTAGCTGGGTGTGGTGGCGGGCACCTGTAGTCCCAGCTACTCGGAGGGCTGAGGCAGGAAAATCACTTGAACCCGGGAGGTGGAGGTTGCAGTGAGCCGAGATCATGCCACTGCACTCCAGCCTGGCAACAGAGTGAGACTCCATCTTAAAAAAAAACAAAAAAACAAACAAACAAACAAACAAAAACAGTAGTCAGAACTACACGGAAAAGATTGAAACACATTGAACTGAATCTTAACGTTTGGAGAATCATTGTAATATTGGAGCAGCAAGACCACTATTTTCATATGACCACTGACTAGCATGGAGATGGGGCTAGGCGTCGTGGCTCATGCCTGTCATTCCAGCACTTTGGGAGGCCAAGGCAGGTGGATTGCTTGAGGCCAGGAGTTCAAAAACAGCCTGAGAAACATGGCAAGACCCCATCTCTACCAAAAAAAAAAAAAGCAAAACAAAACAACAATTGAATGGAAATGACAATATAATTCAGCAAACTTTTAAAATGAACATTTTTGTCTTTCTGATATTATCATGTTCACAAAGATGCAGCCATGGTGGGAAAACTAGAATGGAGGTCATTCCCCCAAATCCTTGATAAAACATTATCTTCTCTTTCTGCAGTTTTTAATCTCTGATTGTTCTAAAGCATTGTTGGCTTCTCTTATGCCTCTCCACATTAGGTCCCCTCTGTGATTGGCACAACAGGCTGTCCAGACCAGCTTACCCAGAACTCCAAGAGAGGGATTCCAGACTGGTTTGGCAAATGCATGCAGCTACTCCTGGGCTAGAGTTCCTTCTCTGCAGTGATGCTGGCTTTATTCTTGTTTTTCTCACTGTTTTTCCTCTAAGTACATTTATGTCTAAAATATTACTTGTATTCATATATTTTAATGTCAGTTTTCCCCTTATTATTTAATTCTTTTCTATCATCAGCTCCTAAATTCATTTATTTCACATCATTGTTAAATTTTATCTTCTTATAAGAAAGGATCTACTTGGGATTTATATTACATTAAACTTTTTTTCTTATCTTTTAGTTAATTTACTTTCCCACTCTCCAGTACATTTTTCTGTTTAATAGCATCTTAGCTACAGTTTTCTGTTCAGTTCATCCATTTAGTATCATCCCACTTTCTACAGTATATTCTCACTTTTCATGTGTATCTTTATCCCCTGGAAAAAAAAGGTACATTTGCAGTTTTAACTTAGAGGTTAAAAAACTCACATAACTTGGGTAACTCAATTCTCAACACTTTGTGGGCAATTTTGGAAATAGGAATGAATTACAATGACCTTTTAGCATGGTTTGAGTTATCCTGACCTTTGTACCTATCAACAGATAGTCAAGGTTCTTGTACAAACTTGGACTTGGGAATTGGAATTCAGCATCAAAACTACCTTAAAGCAGATGAATATGCAAAGAGAATATAGGAAAAAGTAGAAGGGAAAATCAGTTTAAGAGAAGAAGACCAGAGAAGTGTTTTTTTTTAAAAAATAAAACTTTCAGAACCAATAATCTACTTATCTGATATTATTATCCTTATTTTATTATGATTTTAATTTTAATAGTTTTTGGGTGTTTCGTTGCATGGAAAAGTTCTTCAGTGGTGATTTCTGAGATTTTGTTGAACCCATCACCGGAACAGTGTATGCTGGACCCAGTGTGTAGTCTTTTATCCCTCACCTGCTCCCACCCTTCCCTCCAAGTCCTCAAAGTCCATTATATCATTCTATGCCTTTGCATTCTCATAGCTTAGCTCCTGCTTATAGGTGAGAACATACGATGCTTGGCTTTCCATTCCTAAGCTACTTCACTTAGAATAATAGTCTCTAACTCCATCCAAGTTGTTGCAAATGCCATTATTTTGTTCTTTTTAATGGCTGAGTAGTATTCCATGGTGTGTATATATGTATACCACATTTTCATTTTTTGTTTTGTTTTGTTTTGTTTGTTTTGAGATAGAGTCTTGCTCGGACACCCAGGCTAGAGTGCAGTGGTGCCATCTTGGCTCACTGCAACCTCTGCCTCCTGGGTTCAATTGATTCTGTGGCCTCAGCCTCCCAAGTAGCTGGGATTACAGGTGCCCGCCACCACACCTGGCTAATTTTTGTATTTTTAGTAGAGATGGGGTTTCACCATCTTGGCCAGGCTGGTCTCAAACTCCTGACTTCATGATCCACCTGCCTTGGCCTCCCAAAGTGCTGGGATTACAGGTGTTAGCCACCACCACTGGCCCCACATTTTCTTTATCCACTTTTTGGTTGATGGGCATTTAGGTTGGCTCCATATTTTTGCGATTGCAAACTGTGCTGCTATAAACATGCATGTGCAAGCATCTTTTTCATGTAATGACTTCTTTTCCTCTGGGTAGATACCCAGTGGTGGGATTGCTGGCAGTTCTACTTTTATTTCTTTGAGGAATCTCCACACTGTTTTCCATAGTGGTTGTACTAGTTTACATTCCCACAAGCAGTGTAACAGTGTTTCCTTTTCACTACATCCATGCCAACATCTGCTATTTTTAAATTTTTTAATTATGGCCATTCTTGCAGGAGTAAGGTGGTATCTTACTGTGGTTTTGATTTGCATTTCCCTGATAATTAATGATGCTATTTTTTCATGTTAGCCATTTGTATATCTTCTTTTGAGAATTGCCTATTCATGTACTTTGCCCATTTTTTGATGGGATTATTCGGTTTTTTTCTTCCTGATTTGTTTGAGTTCCTTGTAAATTCTGGATATTAGTCCTTTGTCAGATGCATAGTTTGTGAGTATCCTCTCCCACTCTGTGGGTTGTCTGTTTACTCTGCTGATTATTTCTTTTGCTGTGCAGAAGCTTTTTCATTTACTTAGGTCCCATCTACTTATCTTTGCTTTCGTTGCATTTGCTTTTGGATACTTAATCGTGAACTCTTTGGCTAAGCCAATGTCAAGAAAAGTTTTCCTGATGCTATCTTTTATAATTTTTATGGTTTCAGGTCTTAGATTTAAGTCTTTGATCCATCTTGAGGTGATTTTCGTATAAGGTGAGAGATGAGGATCCAGCTTCATTCTTCTCCATGTGGCTTGCCAATTATCCCAGGGCCATTTGTTGAATAGTGTGTCCTTCTCCACTTTTATGTTTTTGTTTGCCTTGTCAAAGATCAGTTGGCTGTAAATATTTGGCTCTATTTCTGGGTTCACTATTCTGTTCCATTGGTTTACATGCCTATTTTCATACCAGTACCCATGTACTGTTTTGGTAACTTTAACCTTGTGGTATAGTTTGAAGTCAGGTAATGCGATGCCTTCAGATTTGTTCTTTTTGCTTAGTCTTGCTTTGGCTATGAGGGTTTTTTTTTGTTCCATCTGAACTTTAGGATTGTTTTTTCTGGTTCTGTGAAGAATGATGATGGTATTTTGATGGGAATTGCATTTAATTTGTAGATTGCTTTTGGCAGTATGGTCATTTTCACAATATTGATTCTATCCATCCATGAGTATGTGATGTGTTTTCATTTGTGCTGTCTATGATTTTCAACGGCATTTTGTAGTTTTCCTTGTAGAGATCTTTCCCCTCCTTGGTCACCTATACTCTTAAGTATTTTATTTTATTATCTTTAATTAAGTGTCTATTGATTCCATGTATTCTGTTGGCTGCTTATGTTGTATTTGTGGTTTAGTTGCTGAGGGAGACTTTTCTGGACTGGGAAGTGGTCAACTTGCAGGTTGGTAAAAAAAAAAAAAAAGAATTACCAACAACAGTATAGCTTTGAAAAAAGAAAGTTTATTAGAAAGAAAGAAGAGTGCAGTCTTCTGCAGCTGGGGTGCCTCAGCAAGAGGAGTGAGCACCCCGCAGTGGATTTTTCCTCAGGAGCATTTATGGACCTTAAGGCCAGAGCTCAAGGGTAATTTGAACCATATTAGCCACACCGGTCATGACAAATGATTACATTTGTAGGCATTTTAGTGCCTTAATGTCAGCAAGGGTTGCACAATGAGTTTCAGCACGGAATTCGGAGATGTATAGAAATTCTAGTTACTTATACATTTTTGGGAGGAAAGAAATTTGGAACCAGATGCCTGTTTTAGATAATAGGGAAATCTGAGGCCAGGTGTGGTGGCTCATGCCTGTAATCCCAGCACTTTGGGAAGCCGAGGCGAGTGGATCACCTGAGGTCAGGAGTTTAAGACCAGCCTGGCCAACATGGTGAAAACCTGTCTCTACTAAAAATACAAAAATTAGCTGGGCATGGTGGCAGGTGCCTGTAATCCTAGCTACTCATGAGGCTGAGGCAGAAGAATCGCTTGAACCCAGGAGGCAGAGGTTGCAGTGAGCCGAGATGGCTCCATTGCACTCTAGCCTGGGCAACAAGAGTGAAACTCCATCTCAAAAATAATAATAATAATAATAAGGAAGTCTGATTACTTCCAATTTCCCCACATAAGGAGTTTTGCCTTCAGATGCCTTGGGTTGTTTGTTTGTTTTTGAGACAGAGTCTCCCTCTGTCGCCCAGGCTGGAGTGCAGTGGTGCAATTTCAGCTCACTGTGGCCTCTGCCTCCCGGGTTCAAGTGATTCTCATGCCTTAGCCTCTGTAGGAGCTGGGACTAAGGCACGTGCCATCACACCCAGCTAATGTTTGCATTTTTAGTACAGATGGGGTTTCACCATGTCGACCAGGCTGATCTCGAACTCCTGGTGCCTCGGCCTCCCAAAGTGCTGGGATTACAGGTGTGAGCCACCACGCCTGGCCCAGGTGGCCTGTTTGATGGTTACCAGGTGGTCTTTTCTCACTTCTAAATTTCTCAATAAGGAGTTTTTGTCTCCGGGGCCTGTTCAGTGGTCAACAGGTGATTTTCGCTCTCCTTTCTCCCCAAGTTGTCATTAAGAGTCCTCTCTTCAGGGTGGCCTCTTTACTTCTTAAATACCCAAGTGCTTCCCAAATGGGGCAGGGGAAAAAACAATAGTAAATCAATCAATAAATACTCAGGTGCCTCTGAAAGTATTTTTGCTTTCTGGAAAACAAAATAAAGGTTCCAGGCTCATCTTAATTTTTCCTACCCCAAGACATAGGATCAGATCTTTTGAAAAGCACTTGTTTATTTTAACTGAGAACAATACTGGAGAAAAAAGAAAAAAATCAAATTGAGCACTGGAGTATATGAGATTGTTTTACACAACTGTTGGAAGGAGGCAATCTCATATACATCAGAGAAGATACTACTCATTACTGCAGTAACAGCAATAATGTCCTAAAAAGAACAATGATTTCACATTAATGTTTTCAATTTATCTCTTCTTAACTCCCTTTTGTCTTGCTCTATTAAAAGAAGTTATTTTTCTACTTTCTATTTTACACTAATTTAACATGCTATGTTATAGACTGTCATACTGAACCATGTGTCTTAATTATTGTGTTATACCTTAAAACTACTTAGAATTCTTCTAAAAATTCCTAGAATTCTAATTTTTTAAAATCCTCAACCCAGGTATTCTGAAATTGCCTCCAACATATGCCAGTCCAGGGGGATCTTCCTGTCCCCTTATCAGCATTACCAGAAACTCCATCTATCTTGAAAAGATAAGCAAATCCATCCTCCCTCACAAACACAACCACAAATCCAACCCAGCCTGATAAGCAGAATCAATCAATGGACACTTAAAGAAGATAATAACATCCAATGGGCAAATCATTGGTTCTCCAAGTTTGTTCACTTGTTTTTTTAACAATGCTTCTCTAGCCTTCTCCTTTTGAGTTGATTTTTCCTCTTTTTTTTATGCTTGTGCCAAACAATATGCTCATTTGTTTGCATATTCATTTATTTTAAGGCTGTCTCAGGGCTGAATTCCAATTTTAGAAGTCCTTGGATACCGAACTATTATCTCTTTGTTGCACAAACCCAATTATCCAAACCAGGCAAACTAATCTGAAAATAAAACTAAATTATAGCCAAAATCATTAGAAAACTTTATTAAATGGAATAGTTACATAATTCTATTCCTAGAAAGTTTATTTGGAATAATTGTTTTATTTTTGTTGACTCTGCTGTACTCCATAGAATTACTTCATAAGAGATGAAAGCTCAATTGAATTATATCATACTCCCATATTCAAATTACTGCTAGTTATTCACCTAATAGCATTACATGCAATTCCCAGACACCTTGGCCCATCTACAGGGACTTATAGTCCAATATTTTTTTTTAACTCAGCAAATTATAGCTACAGAAAGTTTTAGTGGAACTTATCCAGATTCTTGATGGATTAAAAGACCCCATGGCTATACACCAATACAGCAGTCTATGATAAGTGCCCAGTTACCAGAGAGATAAAACACAGATTTGTCTATAAAGACCCTAGCCCCATCCCCAAGAATTTGAGTATATTAAAATTATTTTAAAGAAAAAGAAAAAAAAGAAAAAATTATTTCCATTTCCATTATTTCACTGCAATCTCCACCTCCCAGGTTCAAGCGATTCTCTTGCCTCAACCTCCCGAGTAGCAGGGATTACTGGCACCCACCACCATGCCTGGCTAATTTTTGTATTTTCAGTAGAGATGGGGTTTCACCATGTTGACCAGGCTGGTCTTGAATTCCTGAATTCAAGTGATCTTCCCACCTTGGCCTCCCAAAGTGCTGGGATTACAGGCGTGAGCCACCACAACTGGCCCAAAACATATGTGTTTTTAAAATCCCTGCCATCACCAAGTTTATATTCTAATGGATGCATCTAACCTAGCATTTTTGCCTCTAGGAATTTGTTCTACAGATCTATGCTTAAGTGTACATAGGCAAAAGGGTATTTGCTGGAGCAGTTTTCTACACTGAAGAACATCCAACAATAGGCAAGTGATAAAGGAATGATGGCATATTGGTATGTAGAACTATGCAGCCATTAAAAGATTCAGATAGACACATGTATTTTCACATAAAAAGTTCTAGAAGATACATTAATTTTTTTAAAAAAAAAGCACACATCATAGATCCATAGAAGATGTATATGTTCATAATACAGATTTATAGAAAACAAAGTGAAGGTTGTGAATCAAACTGTAACAGTGGTGGTTATCGCTGGTAAGGGAATTAGGAATGGGAGTAGGGTGAACAGAAACCCCGATGTTACTCTATAAATTTTTCTATTGTTTGAACCATTTGCAATGAGAATTTATTTGTGTATCATTTGTGTAATTTTAAAAAGACAGAAAGAAAAAAAATAGCATGGAACTGCTGTGAAACCAGCAAAATTTTGACAGATGGTCTGTCAGAACTAACAAGAAAAAATGCAAGCATTGGGAAAATAACAGAGAAAAAATATCAGGTCAATATCCTCAGTTAATTAAAACTAAGAGAGAAAAGGAAGAGAGAGGTAGAAAAACAATCTAAAAAATGGGAATTTAAAACCAAAGTAGGAGATGAGAGAGACCTTGAGGAGCCATTAACTGTGACCACAGCACATTACATCTGTGATTTATGAAGATTATTTTATCAAAATCAGAGCATCACGAGTCTTCCAGCTCTATTTCAGAGAGGCTGGAAGGCATCGTTTCATTTCAACACTCAAGAGGAAACGATCAAGAGCCAAGAAAGATTTAAATATCTTCAGAGACAAGAGTTTTGCTTGCCAACTTTTAAGCAGCCAAGATTCCTTGTCATGATGAACCAAGACGCTGAGCAGAGAACAGATTCTTAAGAAAAAGGCAGGACCAAGCAGAATGACATCTGCAAGTCTGATGTTTTTTATTCAAGAGTCTTGTCTTTTTTCTTATTAAAAAAAACTGTAGGCCGAGCATGGTGGCTTATGCCTGTAATCCCAGCACTTTGGGAGGCTGGGGCGGGGGGCGGGGGTGCGGATCACGAGGTCAGGAGTTCGAGACCAGCCTGGCCAAAATGGTGAAACCCCATCTCTACTAAAAATACAAAAATTAGTGGGGTGTGGTGGTGGGCATCTCTAATCCCAGCTACTTACTCGGGAGGCTGAGGCAGGAGAATCGCTTGAACCTGGGAGACGGAGGTTGCAGTGAGCTGAGATCATGCCACTGCACACCAGCCTGGGCAACAGAGTGAGACCCCATCTCAAAAAAAAAAAGTAAATTAAAAAAAAATTTGGTAAATGCTGCTCCAGACAAAATATTGCACCCAGCAGCTTTCTGAATATTCAGCTGTCCATTTCACTGACCATACTTAATTTTGCCTATTGCCCAATGGTTTATAAAACACTTTCTCACACATTATCTCAGGCTGTTCTCACAACAACAAACCTGGTCCTGGTACCACTGATCTTATTTTATAAGTGAAGAATCCAAGCTCAAAGAAGTTGCTTCAACAAGGTCACACAAGTGAATGGTATAGCTGGGATGTAAATCTATGTCTGCTGACTCATATGTTCCTCATCAAAATAATTGCCCAGGCAGAGAGAGTTAAGGTATTTGATTTTTCCTTGGATAATCTTTGTGTGTTGGTGCAAGAGAAGGCAAGTAGGAAGTTTTGCATGGAGCAGAAGACCTGGGATAGAAAATAAGCTTGGGGAAGCATGTAGAAAAGGAAGTGAATGAGCAGTCTTAACGTAGTTGGAAGGTTTTTTTATCTGTTATGATTAGGCATACAAAATGCCACTATGGAGCTCTGCAAAGGGAAATGTCATGATGAAAACTGTGTTTAAGATAAATTATTTGAAGAATTCAGCATAAAAGGAAATGAGAAAAAATGGTGTATTAGAAACAAGGAGTCTGGGGCCATACATCAAAAAATGATGAGATTGGAGACATCAAGCGCAGGAAGATTCTCAAGGCCCAGGAAAGAAAAACCATTCAAACTGTAAATGAAGAACGAGTCAAAAGAGGCCGGGCGCGGTGACTCATGCCTGTGATCCCAGCACTTTGGAAGGCAGAGGCGGGTGGATCACTTGAGGTCAGGAGTTTGAGACCAGCCTGTCCACCACGGTGAAACCCCCGACTCTACTAAAAATACAAAAAATTAGCCAGGCGTGGTGGTGGGTGCCTGTAATCCCAGCTACTTGGGAAGCTGAGGCAGGAGAATCACTTGAACCCAGGAGGCTGAGGTTGCAGTGAGCTGAGATCGCGTCACTGCACTCCAGCCTGGGCAACAGAGTGAGACTCAGTCTCCAAAAAAAAACCCAAAAAGCAAAAATAAAACAAGAATGAGTCAAAAGACATACAGGAAGTCTTTATATCAGGTACACCAGATTGACAGTGATGCTAGTAACTGGTAGAGATGTTGAGAGGGTGACTAGAGATGACCCAGCCAATGACTGATAAGTAAAGCTTCAGGTGTCGATAATCGAGACGCCCATAAGAAATTGGTGGCACAAATCTGGAGAAAACTGAGAAATGAGTGCTAGACCTTTATAAACAGTCATTTATTTAGGTGATCATTAGAGAACAGAGGGTTAAAAGAGATGAGAAAACAGAGAATAGAGAGTTGATTTTGTGTAAGAAAAGAGATCTGGACAGGTCCACCCAGATGTAGCCAGAAGTGAACCTCTGGCCAGGCAGGAGGGATCAATCAGAGAGCAAAGGTTTCAGCAAACAGAGCATCAGCCAAAGCAGGAGGGTGAAATAGGGATCGTTAATCTACCCAATAAGTTCTGCGAGTCTACAAACACAGTTTCACGAACCATGGTAAACTCTGATATCACAGCAGAGGTTGTAATCAAACAAATATCCTCTTTGCTTTTGCTACCTTCTTATTCAGTGGAGGCAATCCTATACTTAAAACTACTTATTATGCCGGGCGCGGTGGCTCATGCCTGTAATCCCAACACTTTAGGAGGCTGAGGTGGGTGGATCACCCTGAGGTCAGGAGTTCGACACCAGCCTGGCCAACATGGCAAAACCCTGTCTCTACTAAAAATACAAAAATTAGCCAGGTGTAGTGGTGCACACCTGTGATCCCAGCTACTTGGGAGGCTGAGGCAGGAGAATTTCTTGAACCCAGGAGGCAGAGGTTGCAGTGAGTGGAGATCGCGCCACTGCACTCCACCCTGGGTGAAAGAGCAAGACTCCATCTCAAAAAGAAAAACAAAACAAAATAAACCCTACTTATTATGAGCCAAGTGCAGTAGATCACACCTGTACTCCTAGCACTTTGGGAGGCGGAGGCGGGAGGAACGCTTGAGGCCAGGAGTTTAAGACCAGCCTGGGCAACGTGGCAAGATCCTGTCACTATAAAAATAAAAAACTAGCCAGGTGTGGTGGTGCATGCCTGTATTCCCAGCTACTCGGGAGGCTGAGGTAGGAGGATCACTTGAGCCCAGGAGATTGTGGCTGCAGTGAGCCATGACTGCAGCACTGCACTCAGCCTGGGTGACAGAGTGAGACCATGTCTCAAAATATATATATATATAAAATTCATTATGACTATGAAGAGGTCACTGGAGGAAGGCAGGGTGTTGGAATAACTCATTCTGAAGGTGATTATGAAAGGGATCAGAGCCAAAGACCACGTTTAAGAGACAGCTCACTATTAAAGAACAGGAGAAATTTTAGTGAAGAAGAAAGAGAGAGGAAGAGAAAAGTAGAAGGAAAAGAAAAAATAATAGCATGTTAGAGCTTAGGCTAAGGTAAAGTGAAAAGATAAAAATGTTATTAAAGGTAGCTAAAAGATCAAAAAGGATGAGAACACATAAAAAAAGACTTAAATTATTTAATACTCAGGAAATCACTGGTGATGAGAAAGTGTAATATTAGTGAAGATGTAAAGATAAATGCCAAGTTGCTGGGAAGAAAAGGTGGTTGATGCTGCTCAAAGAAATCAAAGATGACACAAACAAATGAAAAAACACCCATCCTCATGGATAGAAAAAATCGATAGCATTAAAATGGCTATACAGCCCAAAGCAATATTTGGGTTCAAAGCTATTCCTACTAAACTACAATTAAGATTCTTCACAGATCTAGAAAAAAAAATTTAAATTCATATGAAACCAAAAAAGTGCCTGAATAGCCAAGACAATCCTAAGCAAAAAGATCAAAGGTGAAGTCATCGTGCTACCTAACTTCAAACTACTACTATAGGGCTACAGTAATCAAAACAGCATGGTACTGGTACAAAAACAGACCCATACACCAATGGAACAGAATGCAGAACCCAGAAATAAGACTGCACACCTACGACTATCTGATCTTCAACAAACTTGCCAAAAACAAGCAATGGGGAAAGGATTCTCTATTCAATAAATGATGCTGGGATAACTGGCTAGCCATATGTGGAAGATTGAAACTGGACCCCTTCTGAACATCACACACCGGGGCCTGTTGTGGGGTGGGGGGAGGGGGGAAGGATAGCATTAGGAGATATACCTAACGTTAAATGACGAGTTAATGGGTGCAGCACACCAACATGGCACATGTATACATATGTAACAAACCTGCACCTTGTGCACATGTACCCTAAAACTTAAAGTATAGTAATAATTAAAAAAAAAAAAGAAGCTGGACCCCTTCCTTACACCATATGCAAAAGTTAACTCAAGATGGATTAAAGAATTAAATGTTAAACCCAAAACTATTAAAACTCTGGAAGACAACCTACGCAGTACTGCTCAGGACATAGGCACAAGCAAAGATTTCATGATGAAGACACCAAAAGCAATTGCAACCAAAGTAAAAACTGACAAATGGGATCAAATTAACTAAAGAGTTGCTGTAACTCAAGATGGATTAAAGAATTAAATGTTAAACCCAAAACTATTAAAACTCTGGAAGACAACCTAGACAGTACTATTCGGGGCATAGGCATGAGCAAAGATTTCGTGATGAAGACACCAAAGGCAATTGCAATAAAAGTAAAAACTGACAAATGGGATCAAATTAACTAAAGAGTTGCTGTACAGTAAAAGAAACTATCAACAGAGTAAACAGACAACCTACAAAATGGGAGAAAATTTTTGCAAACTATGCATCTGACAAAGGTCTAATATCCAGCGTCTATAAGGAACTTAAACAATTTTACAAGAATAAAACAACCCCATTAAAAAGTGAGCAAAGGACATGAACAGACACTTTTCAAAAGAAGACATACATGTGGCCAACAAACATAGGAAAAAAATGCTCAACATTACTGATCATTAGAGAAATGCAAATTAAAACCACAATGAGATACCATCTCATGCCAGTCAGAATGGCTATTATTAAAAAGTCAAAAAATAACAGATGCCGGCAAGGTTGTGGAGGAAAAAGAATGCTTTTACACTGTTGGTGGGAGCATAAATTAGTTCAGCCTTTGTGGAAGACAGTGTGGCAATTCCTCAAAGACCTAAAGACTGAAATACCATTCAACCCAGCAGTCCCATTACTGGGTATATACCCACAGGAATATAAATCATCCTATTATAAAGACACATGCATGTGTATGTTCATTGCAGTAGTATGCACAATAGCAAAGACACAGAATCAACCTAAATGTTCATCAATGATAGACTGCATAAAGAGAATATGGTACATATACACCACAGAATACTATGCAGCCATAAAAAAGAATGAGATCATGTCCTTTGTAGGGACATGGATGGAGCTGGAGGCCATTATCCTTAGCAAACTAACACAGGAACAGAAAACCAAATACTGCATGCTATCACTTATAAGTGGGAGCTAAATGATGAGAACACATGGATACATAGAGGGGAATAACACTCACTGTGGCCTATCAGAAGGTGTAGGGTGGGAGGAGGGAGAGAATCTGGAAAAATAATTAATGGGTACTAGGCTTAATACCTGAGTGATGGAGTAATTTGTATAGCAAACCCCCATGACAAAAGTTTACCTATGGAACAAACCTGCACATTCGCCCATGAACTTAAAATAAAAGTTAATAAAAAAGGAAAGGCGGTTGATAAGGCTATTGGGATGGCCATAGAGAAGAGTAACCCTGCAAGGTAGTAAAATTATAGATTGACAACTGTTACAGAAAGAAGACTAAATTTAATTGAAGAAACACCTAGTAACTATTTACTATGTGCATGGCACCATGTTAGGTGCAAAAAATAAAATAAAATAGAAATTTTAAGAAAAGAAACTGGCCGGGCGTGGTGGCTCACGCCTGTAATCCCAGAACTTTGGGAGGCCGAGGAGGACGGATCATGAGGTCAGGAGATCGAGACCACGGTGAAACGCCGTCTCTACTAAAAAATACAAAAAAATTAGCCGGGCGCGGTGGCGGGCGCCTGTAGTCCCAGCTACTCGGGAGGCTGAGGCAGGAGAATGGCGTGAACCCGGGAGGCGGAGCTTGCAGTGAGCCGAGATCACGCCACTGCACTCCAGACTGGGCGACAGAGCCAGACTCTGTCTCAAAAAAGAAAAGAAAAGAAAAGAAACGGCCAGCCATGGTGGCGCACAACTGGAATCCCAGCTACCTGGAGGCTGAGGCAGGAGGACTACTTTAAGACCAAGAGTTTGAGACAAGCCTGGGGAGCACAGCAAGACCCTATGTCTAAAAAAATAAGAAAAGAAAAGAAATAGACCAGGTGCAGTGGCTCACACCTGTAATCCCAACAACCTGGGAGGCTGAGGCAGGTGGATCACTTGAGGTCAGGAGTTCGAGACCAGCCTGGCCAACGTGGTGATACCCCATTTCTACTAAAAATACAAAAATTAGTCAGGCATGGTGGCGGGCACCTGTAATCCCAGCTACTTGGGAGGCTGGGGCAGGAGAATCGCTTGAACCCCGGAGGCGGAGGTTGCAGTGAGCCGAGATTGCGCTATTGCACTCCAGCCTGGGGCACAGGAGCGAAACTCCATCTCAAAAAAAGAAAAGAAAAGAAATAGTCAAAGGAAAGTAAGAAAGGGTAGGGAAGAGGACATGAGCAAGACAGTCCCCATAAGGCTGACAGAAAGAACCCAGAAGGAGTGACAAGTGGTCAGCTAGCTGCTCAAGTATGGTGGAGGAAAGGTGGATGGCAAGCTAAGAAACGACCAGCAGGAGCAGAGATAAACTAGGCCTTAAAAGGGGACCAGTAATTACTAATCAAGTATACAAAATTGGCAACTCAGATCAAATTATTTACCAATGTGTGGGTGGGGATTCAGGGAAAATGGATCATATACGAGGGTCTACACAAAGAAAGTGCGAGAAGTGGTCAAATGCTAGAGGCAGATCAGCCCACGTATAGGAGCATGTTGGTTTTGAAGTTAAAACAGATCTGGATTTGAAATATGGTCCTGTCACTCTCTAGTTGTGTGATGTTGGAGAAGTTACTTAACTTTTTGGAGCTCCAGTTTTCTCTCCTATAAATAGCAACCTCATAGTGTTATTCTAAAAATTATGTGAAATAATGCCTGTAAAAGCAAGTGCCTCACATTCAGTTAGTACTTAATAAATAGCCAATATTATTAATATGGAGTTGTATTTATTTATTTATTTATCTGAGACAGAGTCTCACTCTGTCACCCAGGCTGGAGCGCAGGAGTGTGATCTCCGCTGACTGCAACCTCTGCCTACCAGGTTCAAGAGATTTTCGTGCCTCAGCCTCCCAAGTAGCTGGGATTACAGGCATGTGCCACCATGTGCAGCTAATTTCTTTTGTATTTTTAGTAGAGATGGGGTTTCGCCATGTTGTCCAGGCTGGTCTCGAACTCCTGACCTCAAGTGATCTGCCCGCCTCAGCCTCCCAAATTGCTGGGATTATAAGCATGAGCCACAGCACTGGGCAGACACTTTTAAATTTTTTATTGGCCATTTGTTTTTCATGGAAAAAATTTTAACACTTCTTAAGGTAAAATATGAGAAACACGGAAGCCTATTTTTAAGTACCGTTGCTATAACCCCAGAAATAATGCTTTCTGCAAGAGATAGCTTTGTTCTGTTTTCTTGTAACCTTATGGCTGGGTAATGGAGGCATTTGGCTTCAACTCCCAATGGCTCTTCATTATTTAAATGCCGGGATGGAAAACTCTAGTGGATATCTGAGACTGTCAGTAACAGAGCTTTTGTTATCTTCTCCCGATTGCTATTTCCTAGTTAGTTTTCATCACAGTTCATCCAAAGGCTAGTTTGAATAGACTATATATTATATATTTTTTCTACCACATGTGATTAAGCTCCACTGCTTTCTTCCAGTTTGAAAGAAAATATTGGATATGAGAAGTGTAGATGGGAGTTAATTTCTAAACAAGGTAGCCGGTACCTTTCTTTCTTTTTTTTTTTTTTTCCTGGCTAGCGGTGGTTAGAGCAGCAAACTGTAGGAATTTCAAACAGTAACAATATTATTTACATGAATAAGACCACAAAGATCAAAGGTGACTGTAGTGAAAATCTATTTGATTACCCAAATCTCTCTTTCTCTGGGAACTCTTTCCCACTCTTACCCTATCTAAAAAGTCTATCTAAAAAGAATCAGCAATGGATTGGTCCTACTATAGACAACTGTCTCCAAATGGATCAGTCCCAATCCTTGGGAAATGGGAAATGCTGTCACTAGGTGGCTGAAACTGTAAGCTAGTAAAAATTTAGGAAGTTTCGACAGTCAACTTTTCTGCCATGTGCCTTGGGAAACAGAGAAAATTGGTCAGCAAGTGGAGAGAAATGGTTCAGAACCATTTCCTTGCTTACAAGAACAGTTCTTGCCTGACAATGCTGTAGGCTCTCGTTCCAGTCTGTTAGAGGCATGCACCCCTGCATCTCTCTCTCTCTCTCTCTCTCTCTCTCTCTCTCTCTCTCTCTCCTTAGTGCAGTGCGGGCCAGGGTTCATTTCTACTGCTTACAGCCAAGAGAATTTGAAATAAAACATTCAAATCCCTTTTTCTATCATGCTACCTGAAAATAAATAACTTAACTATTTCAAACTGTTGAAGAAAGGACATATTTTCTCCCTTACTGCCATTATCCCATCTGTTCTCTTTTCTTTAGCAGACAGACCAAAATATTTGCAAACCATTTACTATTACTTATATATATAATCACTTTAATCATAAACCTGATCAATTCAATTAGTAAATATAATCAATTTAATTGCAGGAAGATGTTGTTTTGTGATTACCTTGGATACTCCTCTTACCCAAAAGAGTTCTAAAACTTCTAAAGGACATTTTGACCTATTTTTCATAACTAGGCACAATCTTACAGCGTAAGTTTTAAGACATAAATATTTGAAATTTTTTTTTCTAAAAATAGCTGCCTATTTGGGACTATGAAAAGATTTTGGAATTAGTGGTGATAGTTGCACAACTTTGTAAATATACCAAAAAATCACTGAATTTTGACCAAATTCAAGATTTGGTTAAAAATTTAGGGTATTTTAGGGTATGTGAATTCAAAATCAATAAAAATTAATTTTTAAAAAACTAATAAAAACAAAAAACCTGGCCAGAGTAATACATGTTCAAGTTGGTTGTAATAATATTGATGTAATAAAATTAAATTTGATGATCATATAATACAGAAAAGAAAGAAAATCGCTTTCCATCTGGGATGTCAAAATGTCCCTAATTCTATTATTGGAGAAACTGGTCCTTTAATTAAGGCATTGCCACTCCCAGATACCCTGTTAATAAGCAAATACATTTTTGCAAGCTTATCTAAAAAAACAGTATTGGTGGCCGGGTGTGGTGGCTCACGCCTGTAATCCCAGCACTTTGGGAGGCTGAGGTGGGCGGATCACCTGAGGTCAGGAGTTCGAGACCAGCTTGACCAATATGGAGAAACCTTGTCTCTACTAAAAATACAAAATTAGCTGGACGTGGTGGCATGTGCCTGTAATCCCAGCTACTTGAGAGGCTGAGGCAGAAGAATCACTTGAACTTGGGAGGCAGAGGTTGCAGTGAGCCGAGATAGCACCATTGCACTCCAGCCTGGGCAACAAGAGTAAAACTCTACCTCAAAACACAACAAAACAAAACAAAAGAAAACAAAACAAAACGGTATTGGCCATTCACTCCTTTCGCTAACTAGTCTGGTGAGCAGCAGTCACCTGTTAGGGCTTTGAGGAGAGAAAATGTGACAGAAAAGTTCTCCTCAATGTAGGTGGTTGATGGGTGAAGAAATAGTGGTGGGAAGGTAAGCAATGGTCAAGGAATGGGATATGTCATGCTAAGTCCTGGACAACTAGAGGGTAGCATCAGTGCTTGGAGTCTATGATAGAATGGTAAGGGGTCAGATTGTAGAGTAGGGAGAAGAAAGGAGAGGAGAGCAGCTGAGTGTCAAAGAAGGATGGAAGTCCTCAGAGAGTAGAAAAGTACTCACGCCACATTACCTCCCTTGTAACTGCCCTCAAAGTGGATCGAGGCTGTTACCCTCTTTCTAGAATCCTGCACTTTCTCTAAAAATTGATATCAACGACAAATATTAGAACAAAGCTAAATGATTAATGGTCCCTAAAACAAAATGGACCTTTTATCTCTCTGACAACACACTATTCTTCTTTGCTTATTAACTGCTGAACACACAGCTTACATTTCTCTTTGTTCTCCAAGTGGCACATGAAGAACTTTTTGAATTCTTGCCACATTACAGAATGACAGGATGGAGTTTCCTAAGTGCAGTGTGATGGGTAAGTCTGAGTTACACTTCTCAGGCAGCCAAGTACTAAAGTTCTCATTAAGTCAGCCCCTATTCCAGATAAAGAATCTTTTCAGAAAACACAATGAAAATGAATTATTTAGAAATTATATTTACTGGCCAGGTGCAGTGGCTCACACCTGTAATCCCAGCACTTTGGGAGGCTGAGGCAGGTGGATCACCTGAGGTCAGGAATTCAAGACCAGCCTGGGCAACATAGTGAAACCCCATCTCTACTAGAAATACAAACAATAACCGGGCGTGGTGGCGGGTGCCTGTAGTCCCAGCTACTACAGAGGCTGAGGCAGGAGAATCGCTTGAACCCAGGAGGCGGAGGTTGCAGTGAGCCAAGATCACACCACTGCACTCCAGCCTGGGCAACAGAGTGAGACTGTCTCAAAACGAAAACCAAAAGCCAAAACAAAAAAAAAAACAAAAAAAATGTTTTGGGATAAATTTGTCCTAGCCTTTATCTTTGCCCATGTAAATGACTGCCTATGAGCGATGACAGGTAAGTGGAATTAGCTACTATTTGAGTTAAGACCAGTTATGTTACTGAATGAGATGGTTATGGTTAGGTACTAAGATACAGTGCTAATAATATTAGCTGAAATGTACTGAGTGTTTACTGTGTACCAGAACTGGTTCTAAGTGTTTTACATTTATTAACTCATTCAAAGTTTTATAACCCTATGACATAGGTATAATTAATACCTCCATTTACAAAATGAGGAAAGTAAGGTCCTAGCCTGTTAGTGGCAACAGTAAAAAAAAAAAAAACTGCAAGGGGACCCCAAATTTAAAGTAAAATTGATAAAAGCAAGTGGGTTTAGTTACTCACCTCTCCCTAGAGATTCTCCTTTCAGTGTTAAAGTGAAGGTTCTGGGTTTTGTCTCATTTTGTCAACGTTAAGGTATGTTACTATAAATGCCTTGTCCAAAGGCCCCAGGACCATCATAATTCTCTGTGAATTCTGTGGGTGTAGATCTAGAATCTCTCAGACTAATGTAAATTCTGATGTTCTACTCTTGCTACCTAAAAGCCATGATAAGGATTTCTGATGGTATTCAGAGCAAGATGGCAAGCCATTTGAGCACTTTGAACAGAGGAGTGTCCTGACTTGGTTTTCGATTTTCACAGATCACTCTGGCTGATGTGTATAAAATAGACTGGGGCCTTGGCGCGGTGGCTCACATCTGTAATCCCAGCACTTTGGGAAGCCGAGGTGGGCGGATCACTTGAGACCAGCCTGACCAACATAGCGAAATTTAGTCTCTACTAAAAATAAAAAAATTAGCTGGGCGTGGTGGCACACGCCTGTAATCCCAGAGCCTCAGGGGGCTGAGGCATGAGAATCGCTTGAACCTGGGAGGCAGAGGTTGCAGTGAGCTGCATTCGCACCACTGTACTCCAGCCTGGACAACAGAGTGAGACTCCGTCTCAAAATAAATAAATAATTTTTAAAAGCCAGAATGGGATTAAGATAAGGATTGAAATAGAAAAACTAATTAGAAAGCTATTGAAATAGTCCAGGTGAGATGTAGTAATGGTCTAGATTAGAAGAGGTAGTGGGAAACAGATTTTTTTTTTTTTTTTTTTTGAGATGGAATGTCGATCTGTCACCCGGGCTGGAGTGCAGTGGTTTGATCTCGGCTCACTGCAACCTCTGTCTCCAGGTTCAAGTGATTCTCCTGCCTCAGCATCCCGAGTAGCTGGGATCACAGGCGTGTGCCACCATACCTGGCTAATTTTTGTATATTTGATAGAGACAGGGTTTCACCATGTTGGCCAGGCTGATCTCGTGCTCCTGACCTCTAGTGATCCGCCTGCCTCGGCCTCCCAAAGTGCTGGGATTACAGGCGTAAGCCACCACACCTGGGCTGGGAGATAGATTTTTAATACATTTTACAACTAGAGTCAATAGGATTTGCTGTTGACTTTAACATGAGTGACCTCCAAGTTTCTTGGCCTTAGAAACTGGTTGAAAGGTAGGTTTTCTAGCCAATGATAAGGAGTAGTCAATGGAGGAGAAGGATACAAAAAATCAAGAGTTCTGTTTTTGATATTTTAAATTTGACATGCCTGTTAGACATTCTAGCAGCAATATCCTGTAGGCATTTAAATATACAATATTAAATATATATATTCTTTATTTGATTTTATTTTGGTTGCCTTTTTCTACCTATTTTATTTTATTTTGGTTGCCTTTGTCCACACATTCTGAGAACCTGTAATTTGGAGAAGAAGAACCTTCATTTTTGTATCTTCTCCACGCTCTTAAGCAAAGATTTAGTGAACTAATTCACATAAAACTACAAATTGTGATGGAAATTTTAAACATTCTCCTCTTAGAAATAGTTTAATTTCAGTAAGGAACAAAGTGCTATGCCATTTTCTGACAATGAAATTTCAGATATTCATGTCACTCCACTTTGGGATGAATAAAAATGGCATCTCGGTTAGGGACAGAGGCTCATGCCTGTAATCTCAGCACTTTGGGAGGCAGAGGCAGGAGGACTGCTTGACGCCAGGAGGTCAAGACCAGCCTGGGCAACATGGTGAGATTCCATCACTAAAAAAAGGAAAAAGAAAGAAAAAAAAAGGCATCTAAGTACTACTTGAGCCAAACAACATAGGCAGCTACATATAGTACCTGTAAGATCAGTTCTGTGATCATCTCAATGTTAAAGAAGTAGATATACTTACAGAAATGTCAATGAGTGTCTTTTTTTTTTTTTTTTTGTGACAGAGTCTTGCTCTGCCACTCAGGCTAGAGTGCAGTCATGTGATCTTGGCTCACTGCAACCTCCACTTCCAGGGTTCAAGCAATTCTCCTATCTCAGCGTCCAGAGTAGCTGGGGTTACAGGTACACACCACCACACCAGGCTAAATTTTTGGGAGTATTTGTAGTAGAGATGGGGTTTCACCATCTTGGTCAGGCTGGTCTTGAACTCCTGGCCTCAAGTGATCCACTCGCCTCGGCCTCTCAAAGTGCTAGGATTTCAGGTGTGAGTCACCATGCCTGGCAGAGTGTCTTGATCTTTTACTACTTTGCAAAGAGAATTTCTTAGATTAAATATGTTTTAGTTAAACATAGCTGATAAGATTTGTCTTTTTTTTTTCGAGATAGTCTCACTTTGTCGCCCAGGCTGGAGTGCAATGGCACAATCTCTTCTCACTGCAATCTCCACCTCCTGGGTTCAAGTGATTCTCCTGCCTCAGCCTCCCAAGTAGCTGAGATTACAGGCACACGCCACCATGCCTGGCTAATTTTTTGTATTTAGTAGAGATGGGGTTTCACCATGTCGGTCAGGCTGGTCTCAAACTGCTAACCTAACCTTAGGTGATCCACCTGCCTCAGCCTCCCAAAGTGCTGGGATTACAGGCATGGGCCACTGCGTCCAGCCAAGATTTGTTTTAAACTTACTTCCTAATACTCAATGAATGTCATTCATTTTTTAATATGGGTGAGAGAGAGAGAGACAGCTAATATTTCACAGGTGGAACTTTATAAGGAAAGACATAAAGATATGACATCATAGCACCATACCATTATATGTGAGAAAAATATAGTATATAAAAATCATTTTAGATAGGGTGGGGCACACACAAAATTTTTTTTTAGTGTTTTAAAGTCAGACTTTTTTTTTTTGAGGCAAAGTCTCACTCTGCTGCCCAGGCTGGAATGCAATCATGTGATCTTGGCTTACTGCAACCTCTGCCCCTGGGTTCAAGGGATTCTCCTGCCTCAGTCTTCCGAGTAGCTGGGACAACAGGTGCCGGCCACCACACCCAGCTAATTTTTGTGTTTTTAGCAGAGACAGGGTTTCACCATATTGGCCAGGCTGGTCTCAAACTCCTGACCTTTAATGATCTGCCCACTTCGCCCTCCCAAAGTGTTGGGATTACAGACATGAGCCACTGGTGCCTGGCCTAAAGTCAGACTTTATTTATATGCAAAAAAGCCATAAGTTATATTTGTAAACTGTACTTAAAGTTAACTATATTTCTCAATAACTAAATTTCTTTAATTGGATTTGTAGCTGGAAAGAAAGAAAAATTTCACTAAAATAGTCTGACAGAAAACATTGCTGAAAACACTCTTACTTTATTTTTATGTTTTTATTTCCAAATCTTCTTCAAAATAAAAACCCTTATCTTGTTATATCTTGTGCCAAATTTAGAGTGTTATGTTTCACTAACATTTCCAAGACATACTTTACAAAATATACTTACACATACATTATATTTATTTAATTGGTCTCTGCAATCTCTTGGAGCAAGTGTTATTAATGTCCCCCTTTTGCAAGGAGAAAATTTGAGGCTCAAAAAAGTTAAGAAATATGCCTAAGATTATGTAATCAATTAACAGCTTTAAACCAGGTTTTAGGCTGGTTCTTTAGATTCCATATCATGCTGCTTCTTTTCCATTTTTCCTACTCCCAACACAGAACATCCAGTCAAATTTTATTCATTTTTCTCTGCCTTGAAACAGTAACTTTTCTATCAACAGAAGCTTTTTCAAGAAAATACAGACTGCCCTTCCCAAGGTACTTACCCTTGCCACCATGAAAGGACAGTCAAATGCTTGCTGTGGACCTGACAGAGGGAAATGAAGAACTTGTCTGTGTAAGTCAGTTGCCCTTCTTTCTCCCCTGTTTCCCTCTCCTTCTACAAATCCTATCCAGATCTATTATGAGAATATTTTCCTTTATCTCATTGAGCATAGTTACAATAGCTGCTTATATTCTAACATCTGAGTCATCTCATAGTTGACCTCTGCCGATTTTCTTTCCCTCGAGGATGGGCCACATTTTCCTTGTTCTTTATATGTCAAGAAACTTTGGCTGGGCACAGTGGCTCACGCCTGTAATCCTAGCATGTTGGGAGGCCAAGACGGGTGGATCACCTGAGGTCAGGAGTTTGAGGCTATCCTGGCCAACATGGCAAAACCCCATCTCCACTTAAAAATACAAAACTTAGCCAGGTGTGGTGGTGCACACCTGTAGTCCCAGCTACTCAAGAGGCTGAGGTGGGAGGATCACTTGAGCCTGAGAGGTGGAGATTGCAGTGAGACGAGATCACACCACTGCACTCCAGCCTGGACGACAGAGTGAGATTCCATCTCATACACACACAAAAAAAGAAACTTTGGGTTGTATTCTGGACGTTGTGCATGTTATACAGATTCTAGATTCTATTATATTTCTCTCAAGAATGTTGATAGTTTTGTTTTAGCAGACAGTTAATTTGGTTAGAATCAAGCAGCAAACTTTAACTCACCTATGGTGGATGGCAGCTCAAATATTACTTCTGTTCTTTACCTTCAGCTACACTTCAGCTTGGAGTCTGACACCATGCATGGTTCAGGAGTCAGGCCAGATTAGGGTAGGGCAAAGTTTATGTACAAAATTTCTGGCTTCCTTCTCAGTATTTCTGTCTCATGCCTCAATTGTTTGCCATAAGCTTATTCTTCAAACCAGAAATATGGCTGTCTTTTTACTGGAGTTGTAGCTGCTCTGTGCTCTGCTGTGACTGTGCCCTTCACTCAAAACAAAGCTGCAAATAAGAAACCCACCCTGTCATAGTCCCTTCCTCTAAGTTTCAACTCTTCTCCAACAACTTACTGCTTTTTTTCTCTTTTTTCCTCAACAGGCTTCACAGAAAAGTAACAAACGTATTGCTTTTGTTCATTCATCAGAACCCTCAGATAGTTGTTTTTTGTATTATTTCCAGAGTTTATCATTGTTATCTGCAAGAGGTTTGCTCTATTAGCTTATATACTAGAAGATGCTTCTAGTATAATATAGCATCTAGTATATTAGCTTATATACTAGATGCTTCTAGTATATAAGCTAGATCCATCTGGATCTCGGTTCAGTTGCTATTGTAACTAACCACTCAAAACTTGGTAACTTAAAATAACACTATTTATTTGCTTAAAAATCTGTCACTGGGACTGGACTGAGGTAGGTGGTTCTTTTCCTCTTTACACAGTGGCTTGATGTTTCAAAACAAGTGCTCCAAGAGCACAAACCTTGGCGTACAAACACCTAGCCTCTGCTTGCATCACACTGGCTAAC
This sequence comes from Homo sapiens, assembly GCF_000001405.40. Taxonomy (NCBI): domain Eukaryota; kingdom Metazoa; phylum Chordata; class Mammalia; order Primates; family Hominidae; genus Homo; species Homo sapiens. The sequence goes on along the minus strand of NC_000004.12, from coordinate 165,136,691 downwards.
ACACCATTGGCCAAAACAAATCACACATCGAGGCTGTCACTGTGGGAATGGACTACACAAGAGAGACGTGGCTCATTGTGGCCACCAATGTAAAGGTCTACATTCCCCTAGGCTCTCTCCCATGTTCAAGTTATAGGTTGCTTCTCTCTCTTTTTACCTCAAGGATCTTTCTCAATCAGTTATTCCTCAGTCTCCTGCATCCCCAACCTCTTTCTCCCTACTGATCATCAGCATATAGGTGAACTCTGCGTCATCTTCTTTCCTTCTTTTTTTTGAGACAGAGTCACCCATGCTGGAATGCAATGGAGTGATCTCGGCTCACTGCAACCTCTGCCTCCCAGGTTCAAAGGATTCTCTCGCCTCAGCCTCCCAAGTAGCTGGGATTACAGGCACCTGCCACCATGTCCAGCTAATTCTTGTATTTTTGTAGAGACAGGGTTTCACCATGTTGGTCAGGCTAGTCTCAAACTCCTGACCTCAGGTGATCTGCCCGCCTCGGCCTCCCAAAGTGCTGGGATTACAGGCATGAGCCACCGCACCCAGCCTCTTCCTTCTTAAAACAACAACAAAACTTTACTTCAACCTAGTACCCTGTCTATTACCCTTCACAGCCAAACTTCTTAACTGGTTGCGCCACTCCACTGTCTCCAGTTCTCTATCGTATGGTTATTTTCCTCCATCAGTCATATGGCTTTCACTCACACAACTACACTGGATTGCTTTTGTCAACTTCAGTGGCACCTCCTTGTTGCTAAATACAATAGATGTGGCTCGGTTCTTCTAATTAAATTTCAGCAGCTGTGAACAGTGTAGACCAATCATTCCTGAAACTCTTTTTTACCTGGACTCAACTGACCTTACCTTGATTTCCTTGACAGCACAGTTATCTGTTGCTGCTTTTATTCTATGTTCATTTTTTAAATATAATTTTTAATTTTTTGAAATAGAGATGGGGTCTCACTATGTTGCCCGGCCTGGTCTCAAACTCCTGGGCTTATGCAATTCTACTGCCTTGGCCTCCCAAAGTGCTGGAATTACATGTGGGAGCCACCACACCCAGCCTTCATGTCCATTTTTAAAATATTGCCATTCCTAAGGGTTTATCCTCGGCCCTCTTTCGTTTTGGCTCTAAACATCCTCTCTTGTCATCTCATCCTTTCTTTCTTTTTTTTTGAGACAGAGTTTCACTCTTGTTACCCAGGCTGGAGTGCAATGGTGCAATCTTGGCTCACTGCAACCTCCACCTCTTGGGTTCAAGCAATCCTCCTGCCTCAGCCTCCCAAGTAGCTGGGATTACAGGTGCCCGCCATCATGGCCAGATAATTTTTTTGTATATGTAGTAGGATGGTGTTTCACCATGTTGGCCAGGCTGGTCTCGAACTCCTGACCTCAGGTGATCCACCCACCTTGGTCTCCCAAAGTGCTGGGATTACAGGCATGAGCCACCGTGCCTGGCCCATCTGATCGTTTCTAATGGTTTTAGTTGACATCTATAGGCTGATGCCTGCCTAACCTAAATCTCTAGCCCAGATCACTCTTCCTGAGCTCCAGAAGCATATATCCAATGGCTTACTATTCATCTCTTCTTGATTTTCTCACCAGTAACCAAATTCAACAGGTCCAAAACTGAAGTCATTTCCACCCTTCTCAAAACTATTCGTCTTCTTTTGATCTCTTTCTTCATGACTGACACCATCAATGGCTCCAGTCAGATACCTGAATATCCTTTTACCTCCCTTTTACCCATCCCTCCCCCATCCAACCAATGGTACTCATCCCAGTAGGTCAGCCACCACTGTCTCGCATTTGCACTTTGGCCATAGACTTCTATCTGATTTCCCTGAACACACTGTTGTATTTCCTGCCACACCCCACCCATAGCCTACTACCCCATGCACACACATGCAAAGTCTACTCATCAGAGTAAATCCAGAGAGATCTTTCTATATTAAATTTATTCACTTCAGGCCAGGTGTGGTGGCTCATGCCTGTAATTACAGCACTTTGGGAGGCTGAGGCAGAAGGATTACTTGAGGTCAGGAGTTCGAGACCAGTCTGGCCAACATGGCAAAACCCCGTCTCTACTAAAAATACAAAAATTAGCTGGACATGGTGGTGCATGCCTGTAATCCCAGTTACTTGGGAGGCTGAGGCAGGAGAAGCACTTGAACCTAGGGGGTGGAGGTTGCAGTGAGCTGAGATCACATCATTGCACTCCAGCCTGGGTGACAGAGAGCCAGACTCCAACTGAAAAAAAATAGAAATTAAAAATAAATAAATAAATAAATTCACTTCAGTGACTACCCATCACTTATAGGATAAAATCTCAGGTTACAACTTGACAAGGCCCTTCCTGACTACACACTTACCTCTCAAAATTCATTTCTTATCTCTCCTCAACCTTCCTTTCAAACCTTCCTCCTTCACTCCTTTTGTCTTGTTGCCTTCCTAGTTATACACAATCTCACTCACCCTGGCATGGAAATCAAACATGTATTTGTTGAAGTTAGACTAACTGACTGTTCTGTCACACACTTATATGTGAGACCTATGTAACTTCTCTGAGCCTCAGTTTCTTATCTGTAAAATAAGAATAGTAATAGCATCTACTTCATAAAGAATAAACTGAAATAGTCTGGGTGTGGTGTCTCACGCCTGCAATACCAGCACTTTGGGAGGCCGGGGTGGGTGGATCCCTTGAGGTCAGAAGTTTCAGACCAGACTGGACAACATGGTGAAACCCCATCTCTACTAAAAATACTAAACAAAGTTAACCGAGTGTGGTGGTGCGCACCTGTAATCCCAGTTACTTGGGTGGCTGAGGTATGGAAATCACTTGAACCTGGGAAGTGAAGGCTGCAGTGAGCCAAGATCGTGCCACTGCACTCCAGCCTGTGTGATGAAGTAAGAGTGAGACTCTGTTTCAAAAAAAAAAAAAAAAAAAAGCTAAAATGAGGTCTTTAGGGTGTGTCCTAACCCAATATAACTGGCATCCTTATAAGAAGAGAGTGTTTGTGCCCAGACATTTGCAAACACAGATCATGTGAAGACAGAAGACGCCATCTGTAAACCAAGAAAAGAATAAGAAGAAATCAACTCTGCCATCCCCTTGATCTCAAACTTCCAACTTTTAGAACTGTAGAAAAATCCATTTCTGTTGTGTAAGCCACCCAGTCTTTGGTAGTTTCTAATGGCAACCCTAGCAAATGAACATACCAATACACTAGAAGATGTCTAGCATGATGCCTCGCAAACAAGAGGAACTCAAAAATCCTTGATTCATGAAACTGAATCATCCCATGTTCCTCCAATACCATGAGGAAATGTCCTAACGAATTGGAGCAACACTAACTAACTAAGCCTTCCTTCCCCAACTAAAGATACTGCAGAAATGTGAGATTAAACCAAAATCTAAATATAGACACCATGTTTCAAATGCTTGCAAATCATTTCCCTTTCCTTCCCCTTTTAGAAACAGATGGCAGGAAATCTTAAAAGTTGTTTCATAAATAGCTGAAGCAAAATTAGAATATTTACAATACCTATATTCTAAGGGACTTTGTTTCTGGTTGATTTCATCACTGTTATTGAGTTAATAGGAGTAGGTACTTGAAAAGGTCATCTGAATTGCTAGGGATATCTGTAACCAGGCGTTAGATACCCTCAAGTTTGTCAGGTGCCCAAATTTAGCATGAAAATAGTGGAGGAGAAGGAAATATTCCGATAATCAGACAGACTCTCTTGAGGAAACAAGTTTCACTCCCTCCTTAACCTTCTGTTGATAGGCTGAAGAAAACCTAAAGCAGAGAACCAAATGAAATGATTCCTTCACAGTGTAGGTAGGAATTGAGCACAGAATTCTCAGATGTAGCAGTGAAAGGTAGCTCAGAAAATTATTTATTTTCCATATTGGCGAAGCTTAAAATGTTATAGTACTACAAAAACAAATAAAGCAATAACTTTCATTTCAAAAAAAAAAAGAGAAATTATTCTCCTATCTCTATTATGCTGTTATGTAAGCATGTAAAGGTCATTTAATCTCTTTCCTTGGAGCAAAAAACGAAACTCCCTAAAATCTGCAGACTCACTGAATATGATATCTGCTGAAAAATTAGATGAACTGACTCAAACTCTGCAATGAAACAGTTTTATTGTTGCCTCCCATTTAGTTTAAAATTTCCAGTGATCTAACATTTCTATAAAGGCAATATTAAAGGAAATGGTTTTAAAAAGCGTGAACATATAACATCAATTTTTTTGACAACACAGCAATCTTATTTGAGTTTCCCAATCTTGTAATTTTAAAATAATTTCAGAAAACAGAAAAACTATTTCCCACCAGAAACACCTGCTTTCTTGTTGTTGTTGTTGTTTTTGAAACAAAGTCTCACTCTGTTGCCCAGGCTGGAGTGCAATGGCACAATCTCAGCTCACTGCAACCTCCACCTCCCAGGTTCAGGCAATTCTCCTGCGTCAGCCTACCGAGTAGCTGGGATTACAGGCGCCCACCACCATGCCCGGCTAATTTTTGTATTTTTTGGCAGAGACGGGATTTCGCCATTTGGCCGGGCTGATCTCGAACTCCTGACCTCAAGTGATCCACCTGCCTTGGCCTCCCAAAGTGTTGGGATTACAGGCGTGAGCCATTGCTTAATGAGATAACCTTTATAAAGCAGCAGCATAATATCTGATATATGGTGGGCATGTAGGTATTTAATAAATATTAATATCCTTTCCCTGCTCTCCTTCTTGAGAAAGAGAAAATAAAGGCACCTAGAATGTCTCTTTTCAAATTCACAGTTAAAGAATTTTGGTTATGCAATGTGGCTTCATTCTCCTATTCCCTGCCTAAAGAGGACTGTATACAGGTATACAGCAAAAGCTTCATGTTGCACTCAAAGATCTGGCATTAGGGAGGAGAAGGAGGAGGAGGACGACGACGATGATGATGATAGTTGAGGTATATTAGTCGAGGTCTCATATTTTAAATTCAGTCTTTGGATGTTTAGATATATCAACCTCCTAGCACAATACCTGAAACATACTAAGTGCTATTCAAATAATACCTCACTTCGCTTCTTTCGTATCCGCTATAAAGCCTTTTCCAATATGTCACTAAAAGGAAACATGAACATCTATCTCCAAGTGTTTAGCCAGAAACACTAAATATTTGTCCTATTTGATGAGAAAAGGTGACAGTCTGCTGTCTCCCTCTGACAAATAGCTAAAGCAAAAAAAGAGAAACAGCGCTACCCAGTGGGAAGTCTGAGAACTGCACCTCTGAATGCAAACATGGTTTGGGGGACCTCACAATCAAGCTGTTCAGCTAGCATGAGGTAAGTCAGCTCCTAAGGCTTCTAGATAGTTTGCAGCCCCCAAAAGCATAGGGACGGGCATTGCATCCTGCCCAAACCTCATTGCTTACTCTAGGAAGCAGCTGCTAGAGTGGTGCAGGGGATGTGGTGTGGAGCAGAGGAGAAGGAAGGGGCAAAGAGATGGAGAAAGTTTCATGCCACAGAATACTTTCTCCTAGGGACATCTCTGAGCTTGCTTGAAATAAACATTTTGATAATCTACTTGGGGAAAAGGGTATAGGTCGTCCAGGGCCTGCTCAGGTAACAAAAGATAAGCATTAGCCAGACATGGTAGCACACGCCTGTATTCCCAACTACTCGGGAGGCTGAGGTGGGAAGATCGCTTGAACCCAGGAGTTCAAGACCACACTGGGCAACACAGTGAGACTCCCTATAAAAAATTTAAAAATCAGCCATGCATGGTGGTGCATGCCTGTAGTCCCAGCTACTCAGGAGACTGAGGTAGAAAGATGACTTGAGCCCAAGAAGTCAAGATTGCAGTGAGCCAAGATCACTGAAGTCTGGGCAACAGAGTGAGACACTCTCTGTCTCTCTCTCAGAAATAAAAAAAATTAATAAATAAAAAAAGTTAAGCCACCAGGAAAGGCCCAAGTTCTCAGAAAATCCTACAGAATCTACAAATACCTGGTGTAAACTGTTTCCTGTGGAAATTAGGGAAGGGAGAAGGGCGAGAAGATCACAGCTACCATCTTGGTTCCTTCTGAAAGCCTCACCTTCATAGCTGCCCCTCTCTTCCTGTCCTGTGAGGTGGCAGGTGACAGTAATGAGTGACACACTACTTCTTCAGGCTCTCTGACTAACCCCAGCTTCAACACTTCCCTGTTTCTATGTTCCATAACTATGTTATTGACCAAAGGCCCTCAAATTCAAGACATCTGACTGTCCAGAGGCACAGAAGCAGAGCTGTAAGACAGGTGTGAGAATTATCCTCCCAAAATTAGAAAAACAAAAAACTAAAAGAGAGAGGATTATCTTGGGGAAAAATGAATTGAAGCATCGTTATATGATTTGCCAAAACAACACTCTGAATTTAGCATTGGTGCCATCTGAGCCTCTGCCAAGGAAAAACATCTAATCAGAGCGATTGAGCAAGGTGCTTTTTGCCTGCTATGATGCTGCTGAACTTAATCAAAAAGCACTTATCAAGTATTTAATTACATGCAGTGCTGTGGTGGATACCCACAGAGAGAACTGTGTTTGCCCGACCTCTTCTCTTCTGTGGTTTACAATATGCAGAAGTGGGAGGGTTGGAGACAGGAAGGAAGGTAAAATTTCATGAGTTCCTAGAGTAAGGGATTTAATCCTTACCATCACCTTTTGAGATAAGTCTCATTTTGTCCATTGTACAGATAAGGAAAGTGAGGCTCAGAGGAGTAAGTTATAGGAGCTGGGACTCAAGCTAAGTTTTCTGACTCCATGCTGTTTCCCTGATACCACATCGTCTCTGGGAGAAAGAGAGGCCATTATGGGCAAATGTGCTCAGAATAAAAGGACCCCCTAAAATAATAAGTGATGTCCAAGCATTTAGAGATGGAAAGCAGAGATATCTATATCATATAATTTGGGATCAAAGAAAGTATGTTCTGTAGACATTCTGAAAAGGATTTACATTTTTTGTTGTTCTTTTTAAGAGATGAGATCTCACTATGTTGCCTACTCTGGTCTCAAACTCCTGGCCTCAAGTGATTGTCCCGCTTCAGACTCTCAAAGTGCTTGGCCTCTCAAAGCACTGGGATTACAGGTGTGATCCACTGCATCTGGCTTAAAAAGGACTTCTTTATTCGGACCCTAAAATTTGGGGTGAAAACTTTCTGTTTTGCTTATCATCTCAGGCTCGAGGTATACCATCAAGTAGTGGCCTGAGAAGCTGTTTTTCTCTCTTCCCTCTAGATGATTTATGAAATTCGGAGATTGCTGTTGGGATTGAATGCTTGTGCCATGGATGGGAAATCATCCACAGACCCAGGGGTGTTATGGGAGTAAAGTGGCAAGGCTCTGACAAGAACCAGAGCAAACCTGCTCAAATATGAATCCACTGCTATTGGTGCTCTAGTAACATGACAGGAGCCCATCACCCACGTGGCCACATGCTCACCTCCTGGAATCAGCGTGCCACTCACTGTCAGCATGGATGTTTGAGGATGTGGCTTGTCCTCCCCTGCCTTGCCTTGGGCATGCTGCGCTGTTCATTTTCCTACCAGCCCTGTTGGTGTTTCACACAGATCCTCCTGTGGACATATTGATCTAACTCATGAAGACCATGAGTGCTGGCCCTTCACTGCCCCTCAGCCTTCTCCTCACTGTTCCTCCACACCTCTTCTTTCCATCTGTCTCTTTCTTTCTCTCTCTCTCCTATTTATGTATTTATGTATTATTAGAGACAGGGTCTTGCTCTGTCGCCTAGGCTGTAGTGTGGTGACACAATCATAAATCACTGCAAACTTCAGACTCCTAGGCTCAAGAGATCCTCCCACCTCAGCCTCCCGAGTAGCTAGGACTACAGTAACAGCCACCACATCCAACTAACTTTAAAAAATGTTTTGTAGAGACAGAGTCTCACTATGTTGACAAGGCTGGTCTCAAACTCCTGGCCTCAAGCAGTCCTCTTGCCTTGGCCTCCCAAAGCATTGTGATTGCAAGTGTGAGTCACTGCATCTGGCCATATCTCTCTTTCTAAACTATCCTTCTTGCTTTGTTTGATTTCACTTCCTATCTTCCATTAGTATCTTATTTTTACACCTTTTCCCTTGTTTTTCTTTGAGTCCAATTCAACACCATTCGTTGTGTGTTCAATGCTGGGTTGTGCGTGATGGGTTACACCTTAGAGTATCTACAGTTTGGTTGAGGGGGATGAGGCAGAATGATGAAAGTCTTGGTGATTGCAGGAAATAATTATTATTAGGGGCCAGACAGAAAAAATGTTGCAAACTAGGGTTTAAATAGATGAGAAAAACTCTTAAAGTTTTAAAGGTCTTCTTTTAGACCATGTAAACTCTGAATCTCTAGCTTAAACACTGTTGATTTCTCATTAAAAGATAAACATCAGTTAAAAATGTGTAACGTATGAGAAAAAATACTTTCTTATTTTGATACGGAGTTTCACTTGTGTTGCCCAGGCTGGAGTACAATGGCATGATCTCAGCTCACTGCATCCTCTGCCTCCCGGGTTCAAGCAGTTTTCCTGCCTCGGCCTCCTGAGTAGCTGGAATTACAGGCGCCCACCACCACATCTGGCTAATTTTATATTTTTAGTAGAGATGGGGTTTCACCATGTTGGTCGGGCTGTTCTCAAACTCCCGACCTCAGGTGATCCGCCCGCCTCAGCCTCCCAAAGTGCTGGGATTACAGGTGTGAGCCACCATGCCTGACTGAAAAAATGCTTTCAAAGAATTTATGATTGTTACTTCACTAGTCAGTTTCTCCAGAGGAACAGAACTAATAGGCTACATATATATATGAAAGAGAGTTCATTAGGAAGAATTGACTCACTTGATCACAAGGCAAAGTCCCACATTAGGCCACCTGCAAGCTGGGGGAGAAAGCAGCCAGCAGTGGCTCAGTCTGGGTCTGAAAGCCTCAAAAGTAGAGAAGCCAACAGTGCAGCCTTCAGTCTGTGGCCAAAGGCCTGAGAGTCCTTGGCAAACCACTGATGTAAATCCAGGAGTCCAAAAGCTAAAAAACTGGAGTCTGATGTCCAAGGGCAGGTAGCAACCAGCACAGGAGAAAGATGAAAACCAGAAGACTCAGCAAGCCAGCTTATCCCATCTTGTTCCACCTGCTTTGTTCTAGTCGTGCCAGCAGTGGATTGGATGGAGCCCACCCACACTGAGGGTTAGTCTTCCCCTCCCAGTCCACTGACTCAAAAGTTAAGCTCCTCTGGCAACAGCCTCACAGACACACCCAGAAACAATACTTTACCAGCTATCTAGGCATCCTTCAATCCAATCCAGTTGACACCTAATATTAACCATTACAAGTCCACCCCTTGTCAACTTGAACCCATACACATCTCCTGAAATCATACTTAGTCTCCAAATACAGACAATAATAAGGTTGTAATTATGCCTAACGTAATACAGCTATCCTTTGTACAACTGGAAGCACGCTAATGCTTAACCTAAATGCTATTATATAAAGTTAACAACACTTAAATGCTGATATGAAGTCAATAAATCTTATGTAACATGATAAAGGAAAAAGAAAGGAGATAAAATGAAGATATTTCCTTTGTACAAGTGTATGTATGCACAAACATGTTCTTAACAAAATAAGCAGGAGGCCAGGCATGGTGGCTCACACCTGTAATCCCAGCAATTTGGGAGGCCGAGGTGGGCGGTTCAACTGAGGTGGGGAGTTTGATACCAGCCTGACGAACATGAGGAAATTCCGTCTTTACTAAAAATATAAAATTAGCCAGGGGTAGTGGCGCATGCCTGTAATCCCAGCTACTCGGGAGACTGAGGCAGGAGAATCTCTTGAACCAGGGAGGCGGAGGTTGCGGTGAGCTGAGATCGCACCATTGCGCTCCAGCCTGGGCAAAAAGAGCGAAACTTTGTCTCTAAATAAATACATAAATAAGGAGGAAATATGACAATTACAGTCCCTGTTTCTGCAGCTGGTCACGTGGTCGTAGCTGGTATTGATGACTACTTTCCTCTACTGCCCATCATGTACTCCCTTTGTCTTCAGCAAGCACCTGGGCTGGTTGTGTTTTCTTACCTGGTGGAGTGACCCAAACTTTCATTTCTGAAGGGTCTGGGCCATTTGTAGTTCTGCCTTGATTGGGTTGTTGTAGTTTTCCATTGACCTTCATCATGAGAGGTGACAGCGTGCTGGCAGTCCTCACAGCCCTCGCTCACTCTCCGCGCCTCCTCTGCCTGGGCTCCCACTTTGGCGGCACTTGAGGAGCCCTTCAGCCCACCGCTGCACTGTGGGAGCCCCTTCTTGGGTTGGCCAAGGCCGGACCCCGCTCCCTCAGCTTGCAGGGAGGTGTGGAGGGAGAGGCGCAAGCGGGAACCGGTGCTGCGCGCGGCGCTTGCGGGCCAGCTGGAGTTCGGGGTGGGCGTGGGCTTGGCAGGCCCTGCACTCGGAGCAGCCGGCCGGCCCTGCCGGCCCCGGGCAATGAGGGGCTTAGCATTCGGGCCAGCGGCTGCGGATGGTGTACTGGGTCCTCCAGCAGTGCCAGCCCACCGGCACTGAGCTCAATTTCTCGCGGGGCCTTAGCTGCCTTCCTGTGGGGCAGAGCTCGGGACCTGCAGCCCCCCACGCCTGAGCCTCCCCCCAGCCATGGGCTCCTGTGCAGCTGGAGCCTCCCCGACAAGCGCCGCCCCCTGCTCCATGGCACCCACTCCCATTGACCACCCAAGGGCTGAGAGTGCAGGCGCACGGCGCAGGACTGGCAGGCAGCTCCACCTGCAGCCGCCGTGCGGGATCCACTGGGTGAAGCCAGCTGGGCTCCTGAGTCTGGTGGGGACGTGGAGAACCTTTATGTCTAGCTCAGGGATTGTAAATACACCAATCGGCACTCTGTGTCTAGCTCAAGGTTTGTAAACACACCAATCAACACCCTGTGTCTAGCTCAGGGTTTGTAAATGCACCAATGGACACTCTGTATCTAGCTACTCTGGTGGGGCCTTGGAGAACCTTTGTGTCCACACACTGTATCTAGCTGATCTAGTGGGGACTGGAGAACCTTTGTGTCTAGCTCAGGGATTGTAAACGCACCAATCAGCGCCCTGACAAAACAGACCACTCTGCTCTATCAATCAGCAGGATGTGGGTGGGCCCAGATAAGAGAATAAAAGCAGGCTGCCGGAACCTGCAGTGGCAACCCGCTGGGGTCCCCTTCCAGGCTGTGGAAGCTTTGTTCTTTCGCGCTTTGCAACAAATCTTGCTATTGCTCAGTCTTTGGATCCACACTGCTTTTATGAGTTGTAACACTCACCACGAAAGTCTGAAGCTTCATTCCTGAAGCCAGCGAGACCATGCGCCCACCGGGAGGAACGAACAACTCCAGACGCGCTGCCTTAAGAGCTGTAACACTCACCACGAAGGTCTGCAGCTTCACTCCTGAGCCAGTGAGACCACGAACCCACCAGAAGGAAGAAACTCGCAGCCTTAAGAGCTGTAACACTCACTGCAAAGGTCTGCAGCTTCACTCCTGAGCCAGCGAGACCACGAACCCACCAGAAGGAAGAAACTCCGAACACATCCGAACATCAGAAGGAACAAACTCCAGACGCGCCACCTTAAGAGCTGTAACACTCACCGCGAGGGTCCGCGGCTTCATTCTTGAAGTCAGTGAGCCCAAGAACCCACCAATTCCGGACACAATCACAGGGCATGGTAATACCAAGAGACACTCTAAGGAATCTCCTGTATTCCATGCATACTCTTCCTTACCTCCACTGCGGAGTAGTAGACTGATTTCATTTTGATAGATGGGGTCAATCACCTGGACAATCAACACTGTAACTCTGTACAACACTGTAACTCTGTAGTACACTGTAACTCCCTTCTTAGTCTGTTGACGTAAAGGCAGGAGGAGTCTGAAGTGTCCAGTGGCAATCTTGACTTCCTGTATAACGGAATCATTGTTGTGTCTGCTGGTGGCAGCGTTCCTCCCTCTGGACCTAAGACCTCCAGGCAAGCAGAATGTAATGTCACTGGCACAGGAAGCAAAAATTTTGCTAGTGGGTCACTAGGGGTGATAGTGAGTGGTGCCACTTACCCAGTTACTTTCAAGTGCTTGGAGAAAGGTTACCATTAGGACAAAATGGGGAGTCGGCATTTTGCAGCTGCCTGTGAGTGTGTGGACCGGCATGGTTTCTGATGAACAAGTTCGGCCAGTCTCCCTGATCCACGACCTGCTCAAGACTGAGGAAACCTTCACTCTCCAACTCCACTTTGTCTGGGGTCCCTGAGGATTCTGCTCCATATTCCTGTTTATGTTCATTTAATTTATTTCTTCTGTTACAAATCCCCAAGTTTGATTATATATATGTAAAATTCAAAAATTGGCTGGACACGGTGGCTCACGCCTGTAATCCCAGCATTTTGGGAGGCTGAGGCAGACCGATCACATGAGGTCAGGAGTTTGAGACTATCCTGGCCAACATGGTGAAACCTCGTTTCTACTAAAAGTACAAAAATTAGCCAGGTGTGGTGGTGCGTGCCTGCAGTCCCAGCTACTTGGGAGACTGAGGCAGGAGGATCACCTGAGCCCAGAAGGTGAAGGTTGCAGTGAGCTGAGATCATATCACTGCACTCCAGCCTGGGCAACAAAGCAAGACTCTATCTAAAAAATTAAAAAATACCAAGTGTCAGGCACATGGTCTATGGGGTGGATTTTTGTCTTTTTATTTTGTTTTATTTTATTTTCTTTGGCTACTTTCCAATGACATGTAGAGAGACATCTTAATCTTTTAAATATATATTCTATTTATATTTTTGGTTACTTATATCTCAAAGAAATTTTTCTACTAACTTCCCAAAGCATTCTTCTTTTTCAAAGTATTTTTAATTGTAAAATAATATACCTATTCTAGAAAAATACCTCTCCATATGCACGAAGAGGGGTAAGTGTATACAAGGAAGGAAGTAAAAATGCATTCATTTATAGCATTTATTGAAATATCAAGTGGCTGAGCAGCCTAAATATCCATTATTTGAGGACTGATTTAACTATAGTATTCATAATTTAATCACTATTCAGCAGTTTTAAAAAATGAGGTGGATCTATATACATTAGCAAAAAACCAGCTCTACAATATAGGAAAAAATAAGGTTGGGCATGGTGGCTCATGACCATAATCCTAGCACTTTGGGAGGTTGGGGCAGGAAGATCCCTTGAGCCCAGAAGTTGGAGATCAGCCTGGGAAACTTGGTAAAACCTTGGTGCACTCTTGTAGTCTCAGCGACTCAGGAGGCTGAGGTGGGAGGATTGTTTGAACCTGGGAGCTTAAGGCTACAGTGAGCCAAGATCATGCCACTGAACTCCAGCCTGGGTGACGGAGCAAGCCCTTGTCTACAAAAATAAATAAATATATATACATGTGTATATATATATATATATATATGTGTGTGTGTGTATACAAAAACAGCTATGATATAATTTTATTCATGAAAAAATATATGTGTAATAGAAAAATCAAATATTTTAACATGAAACTATATGCTACAAAAGTATACAGAAAAAAGTCTGGAGGAATACACACACCAAACTGCTTACTGTGTAATCGTGATTTATGTGTATAATTAAAATTTTTTAAATAAAGTTTGAAAAGTCACACATGGTAACAATCTCAGAGTGCAGAAAAATTTAAACTGGAATGAAAATATTTTTCTACATTTTTAGTCCTACTCAGTAGAGATAACCTTTAATGGTTTTTATATATTCTTGCAGAAAATTTTCACAAGTATACAAAAGCAAATATATATAACTACAAATTAATTTTTTTAACTTAGCTATATCTTTTTGCAGCATATATAAATCAATGGATATAAATCTATTCCTGTGTTTTCTGTTGTTGTTGTTATTGTTGTTAAAGTCTCACTCTGTCGCCCAGCTGGAGTGCAGTGGCACGATCTTGACTCATTATGGCCTCTGCCTCCAGGGTTCAAGTGATTCTCATGCCTCAGCCTCCCGAGTAGCTGGGATTACAGGTGTGTGCCACCATGCCCAGGTAGTTTTTGTATTTTTAGTAGAGATGGGGTTTCACCATATTAGTCAGGCTGGTTTTGAACTCCTGACCTCAGGTGATCCACACACCTTGGCCTCCCAAAGTGTTGGGATTACAGGCGTGAGCCACTGTGCCTGGCCTATTCCTGTTTTTTTTTTTTTTAATTCCCATGCTTTTTAATGACAAGCTTCATTGTTACTATATACATAGCTTCAAAATATACATATAAATTATATATAATATTGTATATATAATTATATAATATGCAACTTTTTGAGACAGGATCTTACTCTGTCACTCAGGCTGGAGTGCAGTGGTGTAATCATAGCTTATTAGTTTCCATCTGCTGGACTCAAGCAATCCTCCCACTTCAGCCTCCTGAGTAGCTGGGACTACAGGTGTGTACCACCATGACTGGCTAATTAAAAAATTTTTTTTGTAGATAAATAAGTTTTTATAAATTTTTTATTTTTCGATGAGGGTCTCTCTATGTTGACCAGGCTGGTCTTGAACTCCTGGCCTCAAGTGATCCTTCTGCCTCTGAAAATGTTGGGATTACAGGTGTGAGGCACTGTTCCTGGCCTTTTAATTTTAATTAAGTCCAATTTACTTATTTTTTTTTTTTGGTCTGTTCTTTTGGTGTCATATTTAAGAAACTATTGCCAAATCCAAGGTCATGCAGATTTGTCCTTATATTTTCTGCTAACAGCTTTATAGTTTTAGCTCTTAAATTTAGATATCTAATCCAGTTTGAGTCCTTTTTGTATAAAGTATAAGGATAGGGTCCAACTTCATTCTTTTGCCAGTGAATCTCCAGTTTTATCAGCACCATTTCTTTTTTTTTCTTTTTCTTTTTCCTTTCCTTTCCTCTCTTTCTCTCTTTCTCTCTTTCTTTCTTCTTTTCTTTCTTTCTTTTTTTGATGGATTCTAGCTCTGTTGCCCAGGCTGGAGTACAGTGGTGTGATCTCAGCTAACTGCAGCCTCCGTCTCCTGGGTTCAAGCAATTCTCGTGCCTCAGCCTCCTGAGTAGCTGGGACTACAGGCATGCACCACCATGCCCAGCTAATTTTTGTATATATTTTTTAGTAGAGATGGGGTTTCACTATGTTGACCAGGTTGGTCTTGAACTCCTGACCTCAGGTGATCCACCTGCCTTGGCTTCCCAAAGTGCTGGGATTACAGGCATGAGCCGCCATGCCCAGTCCTACTTCTTGAAGACTATTCTTTCTCCGTTGAATGATCTTTGTATCCTTGTTGAAAATCAATTGACCACAGATGAGTGGTTTTATTTCTGTGATTGATTTTATTGTTCTATATGTCTATCTTTACACCAGTACCATACTGTTTTGCTTACTGTAGCTTTGTAGTACGTTTTGAAATCAGGAAGTAGGAGTCTTCCAAGTTTTGTGTTGATTATATATCCTGAAACTTTTCTGAATTGATTGATTAGCTGTAATAGTTTTTTCATGAATTCTTTCAGGTTTTTATTTTCTTAATTTTTAATTTTTATTTTTTTTGAAAAGGAGTCTCTTTCTGTTGTCCAGGTTGGAGTGCAGTGCACAATCTTGGCTTACTGCATCCTCTGCCTCTGCCTCCTGGATTCAAATAATTCTCGTGCCTCAGCCTCCTGAGCAGCTGGAATTACAGGCATGTGCCACCATATCTCGCTGATTTTTGTATTTTTAGTAGAGACGAGGTTATGCCATGTTGCCCAGACTGGTTTCAAACTCCTAGCCTCAAGCAATCCACCCTCCTCAGCCTCTCAAAGTGCTGGGATTACAGGTGTGAGCCAATGTGCCCAGCCAGAGTTTTTTAGATTTAACATTATGTCTTCTATGAATAGAAATAGTTTCACATCTTCCTATTTTGTTTCCTCTGGTCCTTGATTTAGAAGTTTCTTTTTAATTTGAATACCATTTATTTCTTTTTCTTGCTTAATTTTTCTGGCTCTGTAAACTTTCATAGCATACATTTGCCTATGAAAATAGTTGGGTTTTGCATTATATTTGTATTCTTTTTTCATGGATAAAATTATAGCATAGCTATTATTTTGCAACCTGCTTTTGTAACATATTATATTAAAGGCCTATTTATTTTGCCAGTGTATGTAGATCTACCTCATTTTTCAAATGGTTGAATAGTCTTCTAAGTTTAGATATCATAGTTTTTTTATTCATTCCTTAAATAATGGATATTTATGTTGCTTTTAGTTATTTGTCATTTGTATTTTAACTTTATGTTTTCTTTTTTCTTATGCAAAAGTTTCAAACTTTTTATGTAGTCAAATTTCTTGAATCTTTTTCTTTATTGTTTTGTATTCGGGGTAATGCATGGAAAGTATTGTAAGACCACATTAAAATATTTTTTCTAGAAATTCTGTTGGTTTGATTTCACCTTTTTTTCTTTTAATTTTTTTTTTTTTTTTTTTTTGTGAGACAGGGTCTTGCTCTGTCACCCAGGCTGGAGTGCAGTGTTGTAATCATTGCTCACTCCAGCCTTGAACTCCAGGCTCCAGTGATCCTCCTGCCTCAGCCTCCCAAGTGCTGGGATTACAAGCATGAGCTATCACAGCCAACTACTTATTTTTTATGTTTTAGTCTGAATCATTAGTAATTAATTTTGGTTTAAGAAATGAGGAGTAGACTGGGCGCGATGGCTCATACCTGTAATCCCAGCATTTTGGGAGGCCAAGGTGGGCGGATCACTTGAGGTTAGGAGTTTGAGACCAGCCTAGCCAACATGGTGAAACCCGTCTCTACTAAAAATACAAAAATTAGCCAGGCGTGATGGTGCGCAGCTGTAATCCCAGCTACTCTGGAGGCTGAGGCAGGAGAATTGCTTGAATCCGGGAGGCAGAGGTTGCAGTGAGCCAAGATTGCACCACTGCACTCCAGCCTGGGTGACAGAGCGAAACTCTGTCTCAAAAAAAAAGAAAAAGAAAAAAATAAAGAAAAAGAAATGGGGAGTGATTCAGCTTTTTTTTCTTCCAAGTGGCTGGTGGGTTTTCTCAACATCATTATTAAATTATCCATCAGGTCGGGCGCGGTGGCTCACACCTGTAATCCCAGCTCTTTGGGAGACTGAGGCAGTCAGATCACCTGAGGTCAGGAGTTTGAGGTCAGCCTGGCCATCATGGTGAAACTCCATCTCTACTAAAAATACAAAAAAATTAGTTGGGCGTGGTGGCAGGTGCCCATATTCCCAGCGACTTGGAAGGATGAGGCAGGAGAACCGCTTGAACCTGGCAGGCGGAGGTTGCAGTGAGACGAGATCCTGCCATCGGACTCCAGCAACAGAGTGAGACTCCATCTCAAAATAAATAAATAAATAAATAATCCATCAACTGGGGATTACTTTTAAAAGAAATATAAAAGTCAAGTTGGAAAGGAACTAGGCCCCTTTGATTCCTAGAACGGTTGTACAAAGACTGAGACTCAGCAGAGTGAGCTTCCTGAAAGAGGGTAAAGCCTCATATAGTTTGGAACTGAATCAGAGCCAGATTAGGGAGCTACTGCTCAGCTCAGTGTGGAGAATCAAAATAATTATTTTATAAGTTATTTGGGGATACCTTCAAATATTCTTTTAGACCTCAACACACAGCATTATGAATTGTATTGTAAAAGAAAAGTTTTACTTCTTAACTGTCTAGAACTTAATTAAAAGAGATATCACTACAAAGCACTTAAAGCCCCATCTTCTGATTATTTCTGAAATAAGGAGTTCCTCCCATGAGAATGCTGCCGACTGCTTGGGCTGGATGCCTGAGCCTGGTACTTGGCATTAAAGAAGAATCAGGAGTGAGTGGAGATTAGACAAGGTCAGCTCTATAATCACTAAGTAGTAGCCTTGAGTTTCATGAAGGTTACAAAATTCATTTTCACCCTGAGTTTCGGTATGTGTTTTCTAAAACCTTTCAGAGAAATTGTGGTTTTGGTCTGAAACTTCACATATTTGGTGTCTATCCAAACATGAATTACTTTTGGGATTTTTAGCAAACTTTTTTTTCTGCTCCTGAGTCAGTGAAACAAACAAACAAACAAAATTCTGCCTTCAAAAATAAGTGTGCTTTTAAATGCCAGGATTTGAGATCATAAGAACTTTAGGAGAAAACAAACAATAATGAGAGGGCAAGTACTGGATATCAAGCCTGAAACTTTACAAGCCCTGAGACCTCTAACAGAGTCCATTATCACTCAAATGTGGAATGTTTGGTTACAACGGGACTCTATTTGTGGTACAGGTGCTTTGAAAGATACAAACATTTACGAAACAAATAAGTGGAAACTGGAATGTTTCCAATTGCTTACAATATCCTTAAATTTCTTTCTAGAAAAAAAAATTTTTCCAGAAAAAAGTACATAAACTAAATATAATTTGATATGCTAAAATAACTATTGACCTCCTTTTTTTGTCTGTTCATTGAAAGGGAATTTTTCAATGGCATCTCTCTAAGTACCTAAGAGAGATTTAGCTACAAAACATTATCCAAAGACAGAATTTTGGATATCTTCATTTCTGACAATGGTATAGGGCAGCCTAAGAGAATTGTAGAAATATTTAGCTAGGATCAACTTGTTCTAAAATTTTATTTAAAAGGCAAGTTAAGAAAAAAAAAATAAGTATGGGAGGTGGTAAATACATTAATTAGCTTGATTCAATCATTCTGCAATGTATCCATATACCAAAACATCATGTTGAACATCATAAATATATATAACTTTTATTTATTGATTAAAAATAAATTTAGGCTGAGCACAGTGGCTTATGCCTATAATCCCAGCACTTTGGGAGACCGAGGTGGGAGGACTGCTTGAGCCCAGGAGATCAAGACCAGCCTTGGCAACATAGTGAGACCCCATCTTTATTCAATAAATAAATAAATAAATCCATTTCAAAGGCAGATTAAAGTCAATATCAGTAAAGAGATCCTGCTTTAAAATTAACAAAAATATCAATTAAGTACCTATTGTTTGTATGCATGTTACGTTATGCCAGGCTGAATAATAGAAATCATAGTGAATAAAGGACAGATTTTGATGTTGAAAAAAAATCAATGAGATATTATTAACATTTTAATATCTGTGATCAGGAATGAGCACGGTGCCTGGAACAATGCTGATGGTGACAACACAGGAAAGATGGGGCTTCAGTCCAGCATCTTCTAATGGTGAACTGTTTGGTAGCATAGAGGTGGAAAGGTCATGGCTGACACTCCTATAACAAAAGCCAGATTAACAAGAGAAAAGCATAACAGATTTATTTATTTATTTATTTAAGAGGGAGTCTCGCTCTGTCACCCAGGCTGGAGTGCAGTGGCGCGATCTCGGCTCACTGCAACCTCTGCCTCCCGGGTTCAAGCAATTCTCCTGCCTCAGCCTCCTGAGTAGCTGGGATTACAGGTGATCTAATGACAATAGACTGAGTAGGGATAAGAATTTACAAGCATCTACTTTAATGCTTAGTACCAGGGTCAGCAAGGCCTGTTTGTTCAAAAGTCATAGAGAAACTTGGCTTTTGAGGCCTGCCAATGTGTCCTTCACTTCAAGTACTCAGCATGCAAAAGCACTATACTTGTGATATTATCCTCTTCTTTTTTTTTGTTGTTGTTGTTGAGACAGGGTCTTGCTCTGTCACACAGGCTGGAGTGCACTGGCATGATCTCGGCTCACTGCAACCTCTGCCTCCCAGGTTCAAGAAATTCTTGTGCCTCAGCCTCCTGAGTGGCTGAAACTACAGGCACGCACCACCACACCTGGTTAATTTTTGTATTTTTGATAGAGACGGGGTTTCACCATTTTGGCCAGGCTAGTTGCATTTTTAAACTTTTAAATCTGAAAAGTGTCTTGCTCTGTTGCCCAGGCTGGAGTGCAGTGGTGCAATCTCCGCTTCTGGGTTCAAACCATTCTCCTGCCTCAGCCTCCTGAGTAGCTGGGATTACAGGCGCATGCCACCATGCCTGGCTAATTTTTGTATTTTTAGTAGAAATGGGGTTTCGTCTGTTGGCCAGGCTGGTCTTGAAGTCTTAATGTCAGGTGATTCGCCCGCCTTGGCCCCCCAAAGTGCTGGGATTACAGGTGTGAGCCACTGCGCCTAGCCGATATTATCTTCTGAGCCCCAACACTAGGAAAACAGCTTCTCTCCTCCTCTCCTTACTCCTCATAAGTAAATAAACGCAAGAATCTTCACCAAAAGATCTTTAGTCATACAAAAATGAAGTGTCAGATACTTTTTAAATATAACTTATTTACAGGGCTATGCTTATATAAATTGCTTTAACAGTCATTAGAGCATTATATGGGCTGAGAACATATTTTTAATATATTATTAAAACAATGGGTCTGGCATGGTGGCTCTTGCCTGTAATCCCAGCACTTTGGGAAGCCGAGGCAGAAGAATCACTTGAGACCAGGAGTTCAAGACCAGCCTATAGTGAGACTCTGTCTTTACAAACAAAAAACAAACAAAAATGATTATGTATGTTAATAATGCCTTAATAAATCTGATTTAGACAAAAAATGACTAACATTTGCTTAGTGCTTTGTAGAGACAACATTGTATAAAGAGCATTACATGCATTATTTTATTTAATAGAAAATCTCTGGCTGGGCACAGTGGCTCACGCCTGTAATCCCAGCACTTTGGGAGGCTGAGGTGGGCAGATCACTTGAGGTCAGGAGTTCAAGACCAGCCTGGCCAACATGGTGAAACGCTGTCTCTACTAAAAATGCAAAAATTAGCCAGGCATGGTGGCTGACGCCTGTAATCTCAGCTACTTGGGAGGCTGAGGCAGGAGAATGACTTGAATCTGGGAGGCAGAGGTTGCACTGAGCCAAGATCACGCCATTGCACACCAGCCTGAGCGACAAGAGTGAAACTCTATCTCAAAACAAAACAAAACAAAACAAAAGGAAAGAAAATTTCTGTAAAAGGGAAACTAAAACTTCCCCACCTCAGCCTCCAAAGTAGCTGCTACTACAGGTGCACGTCACCACACCTAGCTAATGTTCTAATCTTTTGTAGAGACAGAGACTCACCATGTTGCCCAGGCTAGTCCCGTACTCCAGGCACCAAACAATCCTCCTGCCTTGGTGTCTCAACATGCTAGGGGCCATAGGCATGAGCCACCTTGCCCAGTCAGCTCCTAAGAACTTAAGCTAAGTGCCCAATATCACATGCTTGGTAAGATGCAGAACTCAAACCTCCATGACTAATTCTGGAGCCCTGGTCTTAACCAGTGTGCTGTCCCTGTGAAAGTACATGTCTTGGCTAGGTGCAGTGGCTCACACCTGTAATCCCTGTACTTTGGGAGACTGAGGCGGGAGGGTGGCTTGAGACCAGGAGTTTTGAGACCAGCGTGGGCAACATAACAAAGTCCCATCTTCACAAAAAGAAAAATCTTAAAAATAAGCCTGGTATGGATGTGTGAACATATAGTCCCAGATGCTTGGGAGGCTGAAGAGGGAGGATTGTTTGAGCCCAGGAGGTTGAGGCTGCAGTGAGCTATGATAGCGCCCCTGTGCTCCAGCCTGGTTAACAGAGTGAGATCCTGTGTCGAAAACAACAACAGAAAAGCATGTCTTGACATAATAATGAAATGAAATGTGTGAACCTTGATTGGATTCTGGTTACTGAAAAAGAAAAAACAGCAGCTGGGCCAGGCACAGTGGTGTATGCCTGTTATCCAAGCTACTTGGGAGGCTGAGGTGGGAGGATTGCTTGAACTCAGGAGTGTGAATCCAGCCTGGGCAACATAGCAAGACTCCATCTCAAAAACAAAACAAAACAAAATAAAACAAAAAAAGCAGCTAAAAAAGACATTTTGGAAACAACTTAGAAAATTTTTGCCATAGATTGGTTATTAGTAAACATGGAATTACTATTAGTTGTGTGTAATATTGATATTGTGGTTATGAAAGAAAATATAAAATATCCTTATTTTAGGCAACAAAGTATCTAGGAATGAAGCTTCATATTGTCTTCAATTTACTTTCAAGTAGTTCAGTTAAAAAATGGCCAGGCACGGTGGCTCACACCTGTAATCCCAGCACTTTGGGAGGCCAAGGCAGGCGGATCACAAGGTCAGGAGATCGAGACCATCCTGGCTAACACAGTGAAACCCCGTCTCTACTAAAAATACAAAAATTAGCTGGGTGTGGTGGCGGGCGCCTGTAGTCCCAGACCCTGGGGAGCCTGAGGCAGGAGAATGGCGTGAACCCGGGACGCGGAGCTTGCAGTGAGCCGAGATCGCGCCACTGCACTCCATCCAGCCTGGCGACAGAGCGGGACTCCATCTCAAAAAAAAAAAAAAAAAAAAAAGTATGTGAACACACACACCCACACACAGAGCAACCAAGACAAAAAATGAACAACTAATGAATCAAGTGTGAGGGGTACATGGATGTTCATTGTATTAATCTTTCAACATTTCTGTAGGCTTGAAAATTTTCAAAATAAAATGCAGAGAAGAAAATTTGCACGTCTAGAAAAGGCTTGTGATAAATAATTCATAGAATCTCAGGATTATGAGACCAGCCTGGGCAACATAGTGAGACCTTGTCTCTACGAGAAAAAAAAGAAAAAGAAAAAAGAAGATCACGTGGAGTCTTACACCATCTCTTCCTTCACTAACATTTGCGTAGTTTTATCTCACACATCCTAAACTGGATCACACTATACTCAATGTACAAATAAGCATTAGAATGTATGAAAGTGGGCAAGACGCGGTGGCTAAACTTGTAATCCCAGCACTTTGGGAGGCCGAGGCGGGCGAGTCACCTGACCTCAGGAGTTCCAGACCAGCCTGACCAACATGGCTAAACCCTGTCTCTACTAAAATACAAAAATAGCCAGGCTTGGTGGCACGCGCCTGTAATCCTAGCTACTCAGGGGGCTGAGGCAGGAGAATGGCTTGAACCTGGGAGCCGAGATTGCACCACTGCATTCCAGCCTGGGCGACAGAGCGAGACTCCGTCTCCGCCGCCCCACCAAAAAAATGTATGAGTGTATATATTCTAACTGATATCAAAGTTCTCTCCGGGAGCTGGTAACAGAAAATTTCTTTCCTTGTTTGCTTACATTTTTACAATCATGAGCTTTTTAGAAAATGTCATTGAAGTTTTTTCTCTTTTTGAAATTCAATTTTAAAAGAAACAAGGGCCCAGTGGCTCACGCCTGTAATCTCAGTACTTTGAGAGGCTGAGGTGGGAGAACTGGCCAGGAGGCCAAGAATTCGAGGCTGCAGTGAGCCGAGGTCGTGCTAGGGCACTCCAGCGTGGGCGACAGAGCGAGACTCTGTCTTAATAAACGAACGCCGTAAGCATTCCGAACTGCTTTGTTTCCCATTGGAGAAATCTGTAAATATGTCATGGAAATTGGAATCTTTATTCTGCTCCTGTCCCTCTGCTGGCGGAGTAGGATTTTACCGCTGGTTCTACCTAGGCGTAGAGCTGTGTCTGCAAACAACCAGGCAAGACCGAAAAAAGTTAATGTTCTTAAAATATGCAAGTGGAGCCCGAAAATAGTTAAATTCTTGGACTAGGAAGGCATCCTTAAATGCTCAAGTCTCTGGGTAAGAGCGCACCGAGGGGCTGCGGCCAGAAGCCCCAGGAACCGAGGTGGTTCAGGCGGTAGCCACCGCCCACAGTCCAGGTCTTCTGGGCCGGCACACCCCTCCCACCATCTCAGCCAATCGGAGCTAAGGGGGCGGGGATCGGGCCAGCCGGAGGCGGGGCGGACGCAGGAGGGGGTGTGTCTGGGGAGGGGCCTGGCAGGTCCCAGAAGGTGGCGAGTTTCGCGGCCAGAGGCTTACAGGTCCAGGTGGAGAGGCCGGGCTGGCCAGGGCTTCGGCCTCCGGCGTCGGGAAATGGCGGCGGGGGGCAGGATGGAGGACGTGAGTGCACGGAGGCGGCGGGCGGTTGGCCCCGGAATCCGCTTTTTCTTGTGCCGGGGCGCACGGGGCGGAGACTCAGAGAGGGAAGCCACCCTTGGCGACTGCGGCCGCGGCCGAAGGGGGCGCCGCCTGTGCCCGGGGAGGCCTGGGCGCGGGGCTTTGGGAGGGCTCCAGGCGGCTGTGGGATCCGCGACACGTTGGCTCCGGGCTAATTTTCCCAGTGGAGGCTGGGGTGGGCTCCTGGGCGGTGGGCGCGCGGCCCCCGGGGGTCCCAGGCTGGCGCCCAGCCCACGTGCGGGGTACGTCTTTGATCCCGGAACTGGCAGCTTCACGTGATGCGCGCCTGGCCTGACAGCCCTTCCTCCCCGCGAGTCTCCGGGAGCCGGGCCGATGGGTTCCGCTCGGACGTCCCAGGGGCACAGGGGGCGAATCTCCCTTCCTGGTGAGGTCCCTTGCCTTGGCTCTAGAGGCTGTGGACTTGGAGTGACAACGACGCTCGGGCCGGGCGCCAGCGTCCCGCAGACCTGTCGCTATCATGGCCTGGAAACCCACACGAGAGAAAAAGTGTCATGTGTTGTTTTGAATCTAGCATGGTAGGAATACAAAGGTTTTTAAATCTTTGATAGATTCAAACCAGATTACCAAAACAAAAACAAAAACAAAAAAACAAAAAACCAGTGGCCTAGTTTACAGCGTGTATAGTACAGAATGGTAGCATAATTACAAAAATCTTATTTCTTTGCTTCAGTATCGTAAGGTGTTTTTAGGAGAAACATGTATGTATGCTGAGAGTTAACTGGATTTTCCACTGGCAAGTAATAAAATTTTTGCTCTTGAGAAATGCAAAGTTGACAGTTACTGTAAAGCACTAATTTGGGTTAATAAATTAGTAGGAATATTACTGTGATCCTATCACTGAATGAACTGCATCAGGAAAAGGAAGAGAAACATGAAACAGTTCCAGCATTACGGTAGCTTAGATTCTTGTGCAGTAACCAGTTAAATAATCTTGATGAAATAAAGACCAAACAATTTCTAATGAAACTAAAATTTTCTATTTTTTCCAGTTGAGAAAATGGAAAATTAACTGTAAGACCTGTAAGTAGATTTGAGACTCATATATATTTAAAGCAAAATTCATTGTTTCTGAGTTTTTAAGGCTGAGCTTCATGAGCTGACAATGTACAGAAAAAACCGAATATGTAAGAGGAAAATGAGAGTGTCTTAGAAAAACACATGCAGTAAGTGCTTCTTGGTTGATGCTAAGCTGCTCTGGCGTTCTTGGATCTGTAGCTTTTAGCTTTAGGATGCATATAGTACTAGAAATCTGCTTCCTCAAACACTGGAGCCTGGGGATGGTCTGGGAGGCTCATGCCTGTAATCCCAGCACTTTGGGAGGCCGAGGCAGGCAGATAACCTGAGGTCAGGAGTTTGAGACCAGCCTGGCCAACATGGCAAAACCCCGTCTCCACTAAAAATACAAAAATTAGCCAGGTGGGGTGGTGGGGGCCTGTAATCCCAGATACTGGGGAGGCAGGAGAATCGCTTGAACCCGGAAGGCAGAGGTTGCAGTGAGCCAAGATCGCATCACTGCACTCCAGCCGGGGCAACAGAGCGACAGAGCGAGACTCTGTCTCAAAAATAAAAATAAATAAAAATTAATTAGAGATTAATGTTTTGCTACCAACCACATATTGGAGTCACTTTAGATCTGAGTAAGTTGCCTGCTTTTGGTATTTTGTAAACATGATTCCTAGCCTTCAAGAAAAAGCTAAAAATTTTGGACCATGCCTTAGTTACAGACACTTAAATGAGTTGAGTCAAAGACTTTGTGTTAGTAGGGATTCATTGTTTGCAGGCAGTGAAACCAACTGTGGCTAATTTAAGAAAAGGATGTATTCGAAAGGCTATAGGGTGAGTATATGCCAAGGCCTCTGAAAGGACCCAAACAAGGGCATCTCAAGGCATTGAAGTGACAGGAGTCCTTTCAGGGTCTACCCTGGAATGAATCTGCCTAAATCATGATCTTTCTTCTTTTTTTGTGATGGAGTTTCACCCTTGTTGCCCAGGTTGGAGTGCAATGGTACGATCTCGGCTCACTGCAACCTCCGCCTCCCGGGTTCAAGTGATTCTTCTGCCTCAGCCTCCCAAATAGCTGGGATTACAGGCATGCACCACCACACCTGGCTAATTTTGTATTTTTAGTAGAGACGGGATTTCTCCATTTTGGTCAGGCTGGTCTCAGGTGATCCATCTGCCTTGGCCTCCCAAAGTGTTGGGATTACAGGCGTGAGCCACCGTGCCCGGCCTCATGATCTTTCTTTTACTGCTCATGGAAAGAGTTGGATTCACCCAACTGTTTTTTGTTCCATGACCACTCCTAGAGCAGAGGAGGAGGAAGGGTATTGAAGGATGGTTCCACTAAGACTTAATGCAGAAGTAGACAGTGGGTCCTCAAAGGAAATAGAGTTATTGTCACAGAAGAGAGAAGAGATACCATGTGGGCAAAAACAACAGACATCTTCTACAGGTGGTAATGTAGTTAATAATGGAAATGAAAAAATCATTTGGATTCAGGAGTCCTCTTCCCCTCACCCTTCACTTGCAGATGGTGAGTTAATAGAATGACTGGGTGCTGTTTGTATGGTTACACTGCATATTTCCTATAGGATTCAATGGAAAGTAAATACTCCTGAGTGACATAGAGAAGAACCATATTATAGTCCCCAACTCCTTCAGTGTAGTTAGGAAAAACAAAAGATACACCCATGAAAAGGAAAACAATACAAGGCAGCATAAGAAATATTCCAAATGAATATTATGGGCAATAAGTTTTATAGGATTTTAAAGCAGAAGGAAAACACTTAACAAGGCCAGTTTTATAGAGAACATAAACTTGGTTAGGACCTTGAAAGATGCATAGAATTCTGAAAAAGGTAAGGGAGGATATTTGTAGGGCTCTATAGAAAGCTCATTTAGGCGAGAGAAGAAGGTGCATGAAAGTGACATATTAGGAGATAAAGTAGATTATTGTCTTATAGTGAAGTTTTCAATGCTAGCTTTGTTTAAATGTCCCAGGTCTGGCCAGGTGCGGTGGCTCACGCCTGTAATCCCAGCACTTTGGGAGGCTGAGGCGGGTGGATCACCTGAGGTCAGAAGTTTGAGACCAGCCTGGCCAACATGGCGAAACCCGGTATCTACTAAAAATATAAAAATTACCTGGGCATGGTGGCACATGCCTGTAATCCCAGCCTGTGGTCAGGAGGCTGAGGCAGGAGAATTGCTTGAACCTGGGAGGCAGAGGTTGCAGTGAGCCAAGATCACACCATTGCACTCCAATCTGGGCAACAAGAGCGAAATTCTGTCTCAAAAGTAAATAAATAAATAAATAAATAAAAATTTCCCAGGTCTGAAGCATACAAGAAGTTGAGCAGTCTTTCTTTCTCTCAACACGCATATTGAACACCTTAGCATCTGCTGTGTATCAAGTGTTAAAAGCACAAAGGACATAATATAAAAGAGTCTCTGCCCTTGTAAAGCACATTTTATTCTGACAATTTCAATGCCATGTGCTTAGTATGGTAGGTTATGATACAGATACAGATGTAAGAGAGTTCAGTAGGGACTTCCATTCCCAGCCAACATGGAGTAACTGGGAATAGATATACCATTCTGCCTGAAACAACCAAAAAGCTAGATATAACGTATGATACAACACTTTGTGAGATACCGGACATCAGACAATGAAGGGTAGCAATCTCAGAGATGGGAAACAAATGCTGTGAACCCTATCACTGCTCCGGCTTACTGCCTTGAAAGAGTGTGCAGGCTGTGACAGGGAAGGGGGAAGCCAGGCAGAGCCCAGCAGACTTCTGAGTTGAGGAGATGGAGTTGAGGGTCTAGGAGATCGAGGTAACTGGAGTTCACAAGACAGAGCACCCAGAGAGGAGAGAGCTACAAAGAGGGAGAACTCTGAAGATATGCACGGGGAGCCCCCTGGCCCTGCGCCTACCAGGCATCCAGTAGAGTGCTAATCAGGGCATGAGGAAGCTCTTGGAGGCCTCATAAAGAACCACCTAAAAGGATTGGAAGGAACAGTTTCTCCATACAGGGCCAAGAATACTGCCTATTTCACCCACAAGCCAGACGGAACCCTCATAATTCACAGAGCATGTAGGTAGAGTACTCAGAAAGGTCTTGCCTCAGTAGTGGAGGCCTTAGATTAGCCTTAGATGAAGCCCACCTAATTTCTTAACAGCAAGACTGTTTCCAAGTAACTTGACTGCACTCCAGAACAAAGTTCACGAATATAGGATTACAGAAAATGGCCGGGTGCGGTGGCTCATGCCTGTAATCCCGGCACTTTGAGAGGCTGAGGCGAGCGGATCACGAGGTCAGGAGATCGAGACCATCCTGGTTAACATGGTGGAACCCTGTCTCTACTAAAAGTACAAAAAATTAGCCGGGCGTGGTGCTGGGTGCCTGTATCCCAGCTACTTGGGAGGCTGAGGCAGGAGAATGGTGTGAACGCAGGAGGCAGAGCTTGCAGTGAGCCGAGATCATGCCACTGCACTCCAACCTGGGTGACAGAGCAAGACTACATCTCCAAAAAAAAAAAAAAAAAAAAAAAAAAAGGGAATACAGAAAATACCCAGCACCCACAGAGGTAAAATTTGCAATATCTGGCATCCAATAAAAAATGACAAGGCATGCTAAGAGGCAGGAAAATGTGAGCTGTACTGAGTCCACTGAAACTGATTCAGACATGACATAGGCTAGAAATAGCATGTGAACATTAAACATTATTATAAATGTCTTCTATATATTTAGAAGTTACATAGAGACATGGAAGATACAAAGTAGACCCAGCTCAAACTTGTACAGATGAAAACTACAATGTCAGATTAAGAGTGCAGTAGGAATGATGCTGGGGCTGGGAATGCTAAAAAGGCACCGCAGAGAAGGCGGTTTTGCTGGGACAAGCATTTGACAGGTGGGGAAGAATAAGTAGAGCTGGTGTAGAGATGGAAAGTGTTTCATGAAAGACGGGTATCATAAGCAGACGGCACCAGGAGGGAGGGAAATGGTGAGAGGCAAATCCTTGGCCAGGCGTGGTGGCTTATGCCTGTAATCCCAGCACTTTGGGAGGCCAAGGTGGGTGGATTGCTTGAGTTTTGGAGTTCAAGACCAGCCTGGGCAACATGGTGAAATCTCACCTTTACTAAAAATACAAAAATTAGCCAAGCATAGTGGAGTGTGCCTCTGGTCCCAGCTACTCGTGAGACTGAGGTAGGAGGATTTCTTGAGCCTGGGGAGGGGGGCACGGAGGCTGCAGTGAGCCGAGATCGTGCCACTGTTCTCCAGCCTGGGTGACAGAGTGAGACCCTGTTTTTTTTTTTGTTTTTGTTTTTGTTTTAAAAAAAAAGGTTGGGTACAGTGGTTCACACCTGTAATCCCAGCACTTTGGGAGGCTGAGGGTGGACCACTTGAGGTCAGGAGTTTGAGACCAGCATGGCCAACATGGTGAAACCCCGTCTCTATTAAAAATACAAAAACTAGCTGGACAAGGTGTCGGGCACTTGTAATTCCAGCTACTTGGGAGGCTGAGGCAGGAGAATTGTTTGAACCCAGGAAGCAGAGGTTGCAGTGAGCTGAGATCATGCCATTGCACTCCAGCCTGGGGGACAGAGCAAGACTCTGTCTCAAAAAAAGAAAAAAAAAAGAGAGAAAAAAAATCCTGAGAAGTTACTTGGGGACAGATTGTAAAGCGATAGACTAAGAATTTGGACTTTGTCCTGAGGATTTGGGGATCGTATTAGGATTATCCAGAGGGACAGAACCAATAGGATATATGTATATATAAAAAGGGGGTTTATTAGGGAGAATTAGCTCACAAGATTACACAGTGAAGTCCCATGATAGGCCACCTGCAAGCTGGGGAAAGGGAAGGTGGTAGTGGCTCAGTCCAAGTTCAAAAGCCTCAAAACCAGGGAAGCCAACAGCGCAGCCTTCAGTCGGCAGCCGAAGGCCTGAGAGCCCCAGGCAAGCTGCTGGTGCAGGTTTCAGAGTCCAAAGGCCGAAGAATCTGGAGTCTGATGTCCAAAGGCAGGAATTAAGGAGGCAAGCATCTGACGCAGGAAAGAGAGAGCCAGAAAACTCAGCAAGCTGCTTATACGCCTATTCTGTGCTTTGTTCTAGCTGCATTGGCAGCTGATTGGATGGTGCTTGCCCATATTGAGGGTGGGTCTTCCTCTCCCAGTCCACTGACTCAAATGTTTGGCTCCTCACAGACGATACTTTGCCATCCATTTGACACTTAATATTGACCATCATAGGGAGCTACCCAAAGTTTTTGAGGAGAGAAACACGAATGTTTGTCTTGGAGCAGTGAAAGAGATTGCCAAGACCAGAAGACTGGAAGCTTCTAATAAAAGGCCATGAGAAATGGGAGGGCCTGGACTAAGATAGTGAGAATAGAGAGGAAATAACAGGTTTAGGAGTTAGAATGGTAATGATTTTTTCTCTTTTTATCATGCCCCAGCACTGAGTGGATAGAATGGTAATGATTATAGGGGTAGTGTCTTTGTTTGGGTTGCTATAGTAAAATACAAATAGGGTAATTTACAAATAGAAATGTATTGACCACAGTTCTAGAGGACAGGAAGTCCAAGATTAAGGCAGCCACGGATTCAGGAAGCCCAAGATCAAGGTGCCAAGAGCCCTGGGGAGGGGTTGCTCTCTGCTTCAAAGATGGCGCCTTCTTGCTGCATCCTCACGCAGTGGAAGGTGGAAGGGAGCTCATTCAAGCCTCTTTTATAAGGGCACTGATCTCATTTATGAGGGGGGGAACCCTCATGGCTTAATTACTTCCCAAAGGAAAGCAGGGAACTATTGGGGGACACCAACATTTAGACCATAGCGGGGTGCAAGTCAAAAGTAAGAGTTAATAAAAAGGCCAAGTGTGGTGGCTCACACCTGTAATCCTAGCACACTGGGAGTGCACTTGGGAGGATTGCTTGAGGCTAAGAGTTCAAGACCAACCTGGC
Organism: Homo sapiens; assembly: GCF_000001405.40. Classification (NCBI taxonomy): domain Eukaryota; kingdom Metazoa; phylum Chordata; class Mammalia; order Primates; family Hominidae; genus Homo; species Homo sapiens. The sequence continues at coordinate 165,105,700 of NC_000004.12, read as the reverse complement.
CAACATAGCGAGACCCTGTTGATTTTTATTTTAAAATTTAAAAAATATTAAAAAGAGAAAAGAGTTAATAAAGAAATAATAGTGGCTAATACTTATTGAGTGCTCTCTGTGCGTCAGGCAGTGTCATGAGGACTTGCATGTGTAGTGACTCATTTAGTATTCCTGACAGAGCTACGAAGCAGGTGCTATTATTAGTCTCCTTTTTAGATGTGGAAACTGAGGCATGAGAGATGAAGTAACTTGCTCTCAGCTAGAAAGCGGTAAAACTTGTGCTTGAATCCAGGCAGTTTGCCCTTAGGAGCCTGACCTTAACCACAGCTCTTACTGCCTTTGGTCACAGTTGATCCCCCGTATGTCCTGATAATCTCTTCTAATTAGCCCAGGTCTTTGATGATGCCCATAATTGAATTAGAAAATACTGCAGAAACAGGTTTGGGGCACTCATTCATTCATCTAGCAAATGTTTGCTGAGTGACAACCATGAGATAGTGTTGAGTGCTGGGATTACAAAGACAAGAGGTGTAAAGGTAATGGGTCCAATGACGTCTAGTGGAGAAGAGATAAGTAAGAGACCATCACAGGATAGTTTGATAGAAGAGGCAAGCACAGAATGCTTTGAAAAACATGGAGGGTGGCACAATCCAGATTAGGGGTATCCAGAAAGGCCCTGTGGTGGGAATTGCCCCTTCTGAGCATGAAAGAATGCACAGACATTAGCTAAGGGAAGAGCAGATCTCAAGGCTCCAACATCTGCTGACTGAGAATGAGCTAGAGGCAGAGGGGTCTTGAAGAGAACAGGAGTAATCTGAATTGTACCATGAGTTATGGTAAACTAAACAGGAAGCAATCTAGGCATTGAATAAAAGACTTGGCCAGGCGCGGTGGCTCATGCCTGTAATCCCAGCACTTTGGGAGGCTGAGGCAGGCGGATCACCTGGGGTTGGGAGTTTGAGACCAGTTTGGCTAACATGGCGAAACCCCATCTCTACTAAAAATACAAAAATTAGCCGGGCATAGTGGCGCGTGCCTTTAATCCTAGCTACTCAGGAGGCTGAGACAGGAGAATCGATTGAACCCAGGGGGCAGAAGTTGCAATGAGCCGAGATTGAGCCACTGCACTCCAGCCTCGGCGACAGAGCGAGATTCCATCTCAAAAACAAACAAACAAACAAAACAACAAAAACAGTTGCAGAGCAGTGTTGAATACCTGCTACTGGAAATTGAGGAGCCCACTCCAGAGCTAGGTTACACCCTAGATTACTGTCCTTATCTTTGTAATCTTAGCAATCAACAGCCATCTCTTACATCATTTGTCCTACTACCTACTTCCAAAATAAAGAGCTCTCATTCTGTGTAGCCAAAACCTATTCATGAATCCTTCATTTCTGTCTCATTGTAGTGCAGTTAGCTGACCTAAATTTTTTGGCATTGTCTTCTATGCTTTTCATTTGCTGATTTGTTATGTGCTTCCCATGAACCATATTCTTTTTTTCTTTTTTTTAACATGTGATGAGAACACTTAAGATCTACACTCTTAGCAAATTAAAAGTATATACAATGCAGTATATATCCATATTTTTGAGACGAAGTCTCTCTGTCGCCCAGGCTGGAGTGCAGTGGCGCAATCTCGGCTCACTGCAACCTCCACCTCCTGGGTCCAAGTGATTCTCCTGCCTCAGCCTCCCGAGTAGCTGGAATTGCAGCTTGCGGCCAAGAGTTCAAGACTAGCCTGGGGCCGGGCACTGTGGCTAATGCCTGTAATCCCACCACTTTGGGAGGCCGAGGTGGGTAGATCACCTGAGGTCAGGAGTTTGAGACCAGCATGGCCAACACAGTGAAACCCTCCCTCTACTGAAAATACAAAAATTAGCTGGATGTGTGCCGGGCACGGTGGCTCATGCCTGTAATCCCAGCACTTTGGGAGGCCGAGGCAGGCGGATCACCTGAGGTCAGGAGTTCGCGACCAGCCTGACCAACATAGAGAAACCCCATCTCTACTAAAAATTAAAAATAAAAAATTAGCCGGGTGTGGTGGTGCATGCCTGTAATCCCAGCTACCCCAGGAGGCTGAGGCAGGAGAATTGCTGGAACCCGGGAGGTGGAGGTTTCGGCGAGCCAAGGTTGTGCCAGTGCACTCCAGCCTGGGCAACAAGAGTGAAACTCTATCTCAAAAAAAAAAAAAAAAAAAATTAGCTGGGTGTGGTGGTGCACACCTGTAGTCCCAGCTACTCAGGAGGCTGAGGCAGGAGAATTGCTCGAACCTGGGAGGCAGAGGTTGCAGTGAGCCAAGATTGCGCCGCTGCACTCCAGCCTGGGCAACAGAGCGAGACTGTCTCAAAAACAAAAAACAAAACACAAACAAACAAGACCAGCCTGGGCAACATAGTGAGACCGTGTTGCTACAGTTTTTAAAAAATTAATTAATTTTTTAATTAATTAAATTAAATTAATAATTAATTTTTAAAAAATTGGATTCAGGTAGGCAATGTGTTCTCTTGCCTTTAATTTGTATGTGGTTAAAAAGCTCTGTAGTTTAGTAGATTTGTCTTAGAAACATAATCTAGAAAGTGGTGATTATAGGTTGCTTGTTTTTCTGCACCCCAGGGTTCCTTGGATATCACCCAGAGTATTGAAGACGACCCACTTCTGGATGCCCAGCTTCTCCCACACCACTCATTACAAGCTCACTTTAGACCCCGATTCCATCCTCTTCCTACAGTCATCATAGTGAATCTTCTGTGGTTTATTCATGTAAGTTGGCTGCAAGAAGGGGACCTATCCAGAGGTGATGTTTGTAAAAATTATATAAGTGTTTCAGAGGGCAGTTGTGCTGTATCTATCAACATTTAAAATGTAGGGCACATGTTCTTAGGACATCCTGAGTGCTGTGTCATGGGCAAAAAAAAAAAAAAAAAAGTACGTACACTTTTACTTATATCTTCAAATAATTCATTGTGGATATATTTGCACACATGTAAAGATATTGTTGATAATAGCCATGTTGTCTGTCATATCAAGAGACTACAAACTACCTGGCTACTTGGCATCCAGAAGACACTGTGTGTCCCATTCATATAAGGAAATGCTATGCAACTGTTAAGAATGGGGTGGATAGGTATACAGTATATTAACATAGAATAGCCTTCATGATTACATTGTCGAGTGAAAAAAAATCAAGTTTTCAACCTTGTGTACAGAATGTTCCTATCTGCAGTTTTTAAAAGGGAGTTGAGAGGGCTGTTGTGGACCTGTTTTCCTGTATATAATAGAATATTTCTAGAAGCATTCACAGACCTAGTTGCCTCTGAAATGAGGACTGAGGGTCTTGGTGGAAGAGACACTAATATAATTTACTGTTTACTTTTGAATACTACTTGATTTTTTAACCATGTGCTTGTATTACTTTTTCAGTTACAAAAAAGATGCAGAAAAGTCTACATATGTTGACACAGGAATTTATCAATTTACTTATACCTAGGGAATAATGTTTAGCAGACAAATCAAGTTGCAGTGGAATAATATGTACAATTTTTGTATGATGACAAAATTACAACTATCTGGAGTTTATAAAAACACATGTGCAAAAGGTCTTATCGCAGGCCTCACTGGTGGTGACTCCACTGCCAGTCTGTTTAATCAGTTCCTCCCTTTCGACGATTGCAGTTGGAAGCACTAGGGGTTATAGTTGTTCTCTGCTGCAATGTGAAAAATCAAGAGGGCTCATTCTCACCACTCCTTGAGTATTTACGAGGACTGTGAATGGAGTTGATTGACTTGCTCAGCCTCTGCTCAGCCTCCTACTGATAGGTTTGCCTGTCTGCAGGGACCGTATCCCTCAGCACATTTCCTGGCTTCCCCTGCAGCTGGGATTCCTCTCCAGTGAAGTGCACTGTGGGAGACTTGAGTTCAGAACTGAATCACTGGGGAGAGAGGTGGTATCCCCTTTCCTTGAGGGAACTAGTAGCTGTGGTATGGCTCCACCATGGCTTCCTGATCCCCAGATCCCAGCTGAAGCGCTTTCTTCTTGGTACCACCATGTGCAGGGGTGGCCTTGTGGTTTCCAGATGGTGACCTCTTTTTCTTCTTTCCTTTTACTTTTTGTGTAACATACTCTGTACCAGCCTGGGTGCCATAGCAAGAACCTGTCTCTATAAAAACTTCTTAAAATTGGCCAGGCATGGTGGCACAGGCCTGTAGTTCCAGCTACTCCAGAGACTGAGGTAGGAGGATCGCTTGAGCCCAGGAGGTTGAGGCTGCAGTGAGCAGAGATGGCACCACTGCACTCCAGCCTGGGCAACAGGGCAAGACCGTATCTCACACAGAAAACAAAAATACATTTAAACAAAACAAAACGAAAATACATTTAAAAACTCATTTATAAAAATAGGACAGGGGAAGCTGTAGGTATAAGAATGTATGCTGGGAAGCCGGGTGCGGTGGCTCACACCTGTAATTCCAGCACTTTGGGAGGCTGAGGTGGGTGGATCATGAGGTCAGGAGATCGATATCATCCTGGCTAACATGGTGAAACCCCGTCTCTACTAAAAATGCAAAAAGTTAGCCAGGCGTGGTGGCGGGTGCCTGTAGTCCCAGCTACTCGGGAGGCTGAGGCAGGAGAATGGCGTGAACCCGGGAGGTGGAGCTTGCAGTAAGCCGAGATTGCGCCACTGCACTCCAGCCTGGGCGACAGAGTGAGACTCTGTCTCAGAAAAAAAAAAAAAAAAAAAAAGAATGTATGCTGGGATGGTAGTTATTGCTTCCTAATTACAAATATTGAATATTAATCTTTCTGCTCTCCTTTCCCCCAGCTCGTGTTTGTTGTTTTAGCATTTTTAACAGGTGTGCTTTGTTCTTATCCTAATCCAAATGAGGACAAGTGCCCAGGAAATTACACAAACCCATTGAAAGTTCAGACGGTTATAATCCTTGGGAAAGTTATTTTGTGGATTCTCCATTTACTCCTTGAATGCTACATCCAGTATCACCACAGCAAAATCAGAAACCGAGGCTATAACTTGATCTACCGATCAACAAGGCATCTCAAGAGACTTGCGTTGATGATACAGTCCTCTGGTATGTCCAATTTTCTCTCAGCTACTTGGGTGCTTGAGGGACAAAAATGACAGCAGAAAGAATATATGAAGTTTGATTTTAGAATCAAATATATTCTCTCATTTTTGTAAGGTTGATGTGTGTTCTGACCACTAAAATTTGGATCACCTTAATGTCTTAAAGCTTTTCTTGGCCGGGTGCGGTGGCTCACGCCTATAATCCCAGCACTTTGGAATGCTGAGGTGGGCAGATCACGAGGTCAGGAGATCGAGACCATCCTGGCCAACATGGTGAAACCCCGTCTCTACTAAAAATACAAAAATTAGCTGGGCGTGGTGGTGCATGCCTGTAATCCCAGCTACTCAGGAGGCTGAGGCAGGAGAATTGCTTGAACCAGGGAGTCAGAGGTTGCAGTGAGCTGAGACTGTGCCACTGCACTCCAGCCTGGCAACACAGCGAGACTCCATCTCAAAAAAAAAAAAAAAAGAACTTTTATTATGAAATATATAGCCTTAATTTTCATTTGAAATCTGTTATTTGTTATGAACATGGTGTCCTCATAGCATGTGTGAAGTGTGGAATTATACCCTCTTTTGTTACCAGGTGGTTTACTCATCTCATAAAGATAGAAATGCTGTTGCTATTTGACATTTCTGAGGATAGGGAGAGGGAATTTTTAAATTTTATTTTATTTTCTCTGAGGCAGGGCCTTGCTCTGTCACCCAAGACTGAAAGGCAGTGGGGCCTTCATGGCTCACTGTAGCCTGGAATTCCTGGGCTTAAGCAATCCTCCCACCTCAGCCTCCTGAGTAGCTGAGACTACAGGTGCATGCCACCACACCCGGCTAATTTTTTTAAACATTTTATGTAGAAGCAGGTTCTCACCATGTTGCCCAGGTTGGTCACTGGAACTCCTGGCCTCAAACAACCCTCCTGCCTCAGGCTCCCAAAGCTCTAGGATTACAGGTGTGAGCCAGTCCTGGTGGGAACTTTTTAAAAATGAAGCTCAGTGCTTTTCTTGCAGTAGGAGACAGTAATGGTTAGTTCCTAGGATAGAGGACTGTTAGGCAGTGAGATGCATTATATCAAACAGAAAACTTGGAAAACACACAGGTCCTAATTTATGAAGGCAAGATCAGAAGGTCCACATGAGACTTAGAATGCATGAGTACTTGCTTTTCTTTATCGTTGCAGACATTTTAAAGATTTAATGGAATTAAATTGAACTTCTTTAGGTAAATTTGGCATTAAGTTATAGTAAATGGCCGGGCACAGTAGCTCATGCCTGTAATCCCAGCACTTTGGGAGGCTGAGGTGGGCAGATCCCTTGAGGTCAGGAGTTTGAGACCAGCCTGGGCAACATGGAGAAACCCCTCTCTACTAAAAACACAAAAATTAGCCAAGTGTGGTGGTGTGCCCCTGTGGTCCCAGCTACTCTGGAAGCTGAGGTGGGAGAATTGCTTGAGCCGAGATCATGCCACTGCACTCCAGACTCCAGCCTGGGTGACAGAGTGAGACCCCATCTCAAAAAAAAAAAAAAAAAAAAGAAAGAAAAAAAGTTGTAGTAAATAACTTAGTTTCTACCTTTTAAAAAGATCCTGTTTTTCAATTTGAGTCCAGAATAAATCTTAAAAATTTTTGAATCCAGGCCAGGCTCGGTGGCTCATGCCTGTAATCCCAGCACTTTGGGAGGCCGAAGCGGAAGGATCACCTGACGTCAGGAGTTCGAGACCAGCCTGGCCAACATGGTGAAACCTCATCTCTACTAAAAATACAAACGAAAATTAGCCGGGTGTGGTGGCACGCGCCTGTAGTCCCAGCTACTTGGGAGGCTGAGGCAGGAGAATCGCTTGAACCTGGGAGGCAGAGGTTACAGTGAGCCGAAGTCATGCCGCTGCACTCCAGCCTGGGCAACAAGAGCGGAACACTGCCTCAAAAGAAAAAAAAACTTGAATCCATATGTAGTCTTCCTACTTGGAGGAGGCAGCGAGAAAAAGAAAAAGAAGGAAAAAGAAAAAAAAATTTTTTTTGAATCCAGGCTGGGCATGGTGGCTCATGCCTATAATCACAGAGCTTTGGGAGGCCAAGGTAGGAGGATTGCTTGAGGCCAGGAGTTCGAGACCAGCCTGGGCAACATAGTGAGTTCCCCCATCTCTACCAAAAATGAGAAATTTAGTGCTGTAACAAATGAGCACCAAGTTAAGTTTTAAAAAAAAAAAGAAATTCCTGGGCGTGGTGGCTCACGCCTATAATCCCAGCACTTTGGGAGGCCGAGGCGGGTAGATTCCCTGAGGTCAGGAGTTCGAGACCAGCCTGGCCAACATGGTGAAACCCTGTCTCTACTAAAAATACAAAAATTAGCTGAACGTGGTGGCGGGCAACTGTAATCCCAGCTACTCGGGAGGCTGAGGCAGGAGAATTGCTTGAATCCGGGAGGCAGAGGTTGCAGTGAGCTGCAATCATACCATTGCACTGCAGCCTGGGTGACAAGAGCGAAACTCTGTCTAAAAAAAAAATTAAGGCCGGGCACGGTGGCTCATGCCTGTAATGCTAGCATCTCAGCACTTTGGTAGGCTGAGGCGGGAGGATCACTTGAGGTCAGGAGTTTGAGACCAGCCTGGTCAACATGATGAAACCCCATCTCTACTAAAAATACAAAAATTAGCTGGGTGTGATGGCAGGTGGCTGTAATTCCAGCTACTCAGGAGGCTGAGAATCGCTTGAACCCGGGAGATCAAGATTGCAGTAAGCTGAGATCGTGCCACTCCAACCTGGGTGACAGAGTGAGACTCGATCTCTAAATAAATAAATAAATCTCTATTTCAAAATAAATAAATAAATAAGTAAAATAAAATAAAATAAATAAATTAGTCATGTGTGGTAGCCTGTGCCTGTAGTCCTAGCTACTTGGGAGGCTGAGGTGGGAGGATCCACTTGAGCCCAGGAGTTTGAGGCTGCAGTGAGCTATGATTATGCACCACACTCCAGCCTAGGTGAAAGAGTGACACCCCCCTCTATAAAAAAAGAAAAAAAAATTGGATCAAATTAGAGATTTTTTTCTCCAAAAAAAAAAAAAAAAGGCTCCACAGAATTTAACTTTTATTTTTCTTCTGTTCTGTTAGTGCATTTTCTTTTTTCTTTTTTTTTTTTTTTTTGAGATGGAGTCTCGCTCTGTCACCCAGGCTGGAGTGCAGTGGCGCTATCTCGGCTCACTGCAAGCTCCGCCTCCCGGGTTCAGGCCATTCTCCTGCCTCAGCCTCCCGAGTAGCTGGGACTGCATTCGCCCGCCACCACGCCTGGCTAATTTTTTGTATTTTTAGTAGAGACGGGGTTTCACCGTGTTAGCCAGGATGGTCTCGATCTCCTGACCTTGTGATCCGCCGGCCTCGGCCTCCCAAAGTGCTGGGATTACAGGCATGAGCCACCGCGCCCGGCCTGTTAGTGCATTTTCTTAAAGGGCATGCTGCAAGTTCATCTACTCAGTGAAATTCTCAGTGGAAGCTGAAGGGCTATGCTATATCAGCGTGAAGCAGTTTATAGAGTTGGGTGATCCTGACTGCTCTTGAAGGGGAAGCATTTATTGCTCCCTGCCTCTTGTGAGAATGAGCTTGAGAATGTTCAACTGTTGATGTGCAGCTCTCTCTTTTGGCCAGAAGATGTCAGGGTAACACAAAGATTAAAAAAAAAGAAAAAACTTAATTTTAAACTACAAAAGATCTTATATGATCTGTGACCAAAATAATACTCAGTTTCTCAAGTGATGGTCTGGAAATAGTATTTTGGAAGCTCACAAGGAGATTATTTGATCTTTACCTTTCCAAAATCTGCCTTTCAAATTTTTGTTAAACATGTGAGCCGTAATCATAATCTATTTCTGAACACTTGGACCTTTAGAATCACAGGTGATATCACGTTTATGTGGCTCATGTGAAAACCCAGAAAATCAAACGGAATGGAGCAGGTACTTACCTTATTTCTATTTTTTAAAATATTTTTTCTTATTTGCAAAAAAAAAAAAAGATAAATCTATGGAGATGTAGGATGTAGGACTTACAGATAACAGTACTGATAATATTAACTTCAGCCTGATATATTTTGTTATTTTCCAGAGAAGAAAAAAAATTATTTACCTTTGGGTGGAGATGGGAGAAAGGGCTTTGCTTTCCTACCAAGTGAAAATATTTACCTGATTAATCTGTTCTCCTTCCTTAGATCCAAATACATATATATATATATAATTTTTTTTTTGAGAGTCTTGCTCTGTTGTCCAGGCTGGAGTGCAGTGGTATGAACTCAGCTAACTGCAACCTCTGCCTCCCAGGTTCAACTGATTCTCCTGCCTCAGCCTCTCCAGGCTAGACTACAGGCACGCACCACCACACACAGCTAATTTTTATATTTTTAGTAGAGACGAGGCTTCACCATGTTGGCCAGGCTGGTCTCGAACTCCTAACCTCAGGTGATCCGCTCCCCTTGGCCTCCCATAGTGCTGGCATTACAGGCATGAGCCACTGCGCCCGGCCTAATAATATTTGAGTTCAAAATGTATTTGGGCCAGGTGCAGTGGCTCACGCCTGTAACACCAGCACTTTGGGAGGTCGAGGCAGGCAGATCACCTGATGTCAGGAGTCCAAGACAGGCCTGGCCAACATGGTGAAACCCTGTCTGTACTAAAAATACAAAAAAAAAAAAAAAAAATTAGCTGGGCATGACTGGGGTGGTGGTGGGCGCCTATAATCCCAGCTACTCAGGAGGCTGAGGCAGGAGAATTGCTTGAACCTGGGAGGTGGAGGTTGCAGTGAGCGAAGATGGCGCCACTGCACTCCAGCCTGAGTGACAGAGTGAGACTCCATTTTTAAAAAAAAATTTTTAAAAATCAAGTATTATTAGTTACATAGCCAAGTTGCATATTTGGGGCTTTTTTCACATTGAAATGAAAACTTGGTCCTTCACTGAAAATAGTAATTTTCAACCCATCATGTGGGTCCAGTCAGTCTCTCTGGGGCCTAAAAGTGTAAAGCCAGAGGCTGAGGACATGCAAAAGTGCAGTTCAAGGAAACTGCTCTTGAAGGTAAATTCTGGAAGGAATTCCTGGCAGGAATTGTAGGACCCGAGGGCATAGTGATTGTGTCCTTCCTGCTCACCTCTAGTTCTCATGGCCCACATTCTTTGGGAGGGCCAGAGACTGTCTTAGTTGACTTGTAGAAATGCCTGCTGGAGTCCTCACTGATGTCTGGGCCTGGTGCCCTGGGGTAAGCCAGAGCAGCTGGGTCTCTCCTGTAGCATAGCATCTGACTTCAAGTCCCCTGTGAGTTTTGTTTAGAGGAGGGGCTGCATAGCATGTGCCTGGAATTGAAAATCAGAATTCTTGTTTTAATAATAATAATGATATATGGCATTTACTACATGTCTACTTAGGCATTGTTAGTTCATTTCTTCCTACCAGAACCCTGTGTGATAAGCATTATTTCCCCCATCTTATAGTGTAGGAGTCCAGGTCTGGGTGAGATCATGGGTTTCGTTTCTAGGAGGCATCAGATCCTACACTGGAGCCCAGGCATGGTAGCTCTCAGCCTGTGGTCATTACAGGACCGCCCAGCCCACAGGAACTTATTTCTTCCAAATATTCTTAATGAATAGCAAGCATTAACCTTAGAATCTTTTTTTTTTTTTTGAGACTGAGTTTCACTCTTGTTGCCCAGGCTGGAAAGCAGTGGTGCGATCTTGGCTCACTGCAACCTCCACCTCCTGGGTTCAAGTGATACTACTGCCTCAGCCTCCTGAGTAGCTGGGATTACAGGTGTGCGCTACCATGCCCAGCTAATTTTGTATTTTTAGTAGAGACAGGGTTTCACCGTGTTGGTCAGGCTGGACTTGAACTCCCGACCTCGACTGATCCACCTGCCTTGACCTCCCAAAATGTTGGGATTACAGGCGTGAGCCACTGCACCTGGCCTAGAATGTTCTTTTTTTCCTTTTCTTTTTTTTTTTTGAGACAGAGTCTCGCTCTGTCACCCAGGCTGGAGTGCAATAGCACGATCTCAGCTCACTGCAGCCACCGCCTCCCGGGTTCAAGCGATTCTTCTGCCTCAGCCTCCCGAGTAGCTGGGATTACAGGCATGCACCGCCCCACCCGTCTAATTTTGTTTTTTTAGTAGAGATGGGGTTTCTCCCTGTTGGTCAGGCTGGTCTTGAACTTTCGACCTCAGGAGCCACCGCCAGCCTAGAATCTTTAAAACGGTGAGTGATGTAAAACAAAAAGCACTTAGACTATGTCTATGGTTATAAAATCATTTAAAAAACACCAAACTAGGCCGGGCATGGTGGCTCACACCTGTAATCCCAGCACTTTGGGAGGCTAAGGCAGGCGGGTCACTTGAGGCCAGGAGTTCCAGACCAGCTTGGCCAACATGGTGAAAACCTGTCTCTATTAAAAATACGAAAATTAGGCCAGGTGCTGTGGCTCACGCCTGTAATCCCAGCACTTTGGGAGGCCAAGGCGGGCAGATCACCTGAGGTCAGGAGTTCGAGACCAGCCTGGCCAACATGGTGAAACCCCCTCTCTACTAAAAATACAAAAAATTAGCCAGGCATGGTGGCAGGTGCCTGTAATCCCAGCTACTCAGGAGGCTGAGACAGAAGAATCGCTTGAACCTGGGAGGCGGAGGTTACAGTCAGCCAAGATCATGTCATTGCACTCCCAACTGGGCAACAAGAGCAAAACTCCGACTCAAAAAAACAAAACAAAACAAATACAAAAATTAGCTGGGCATGGTGGCGTGGCGGGTGCCTGTAATTCCAGCTACTAGGGAGGCCAAGAATTGCTTGAACTGGGGAGGCAGAGGTTGCAGTGAGCTGAGATCTCACCAGCCTGGGCAACAGAGTAAGACTGTTTCAAAAAAAAGTCACCATTATTAGACTATTACTGTATAACTGTATAACTGGAGAGTGTATTTGGTTAGCACAAAACTGATAAGGAGGCTGGTGTGGTAACCCAGAGGTGAAGTGACTTTCATCTGAACTAAGATATTGTACAGGGTGGTCTTCTTCAAGGAGGGTACTTGTGTAATGTCCACAGCACATACCATTATAAGGAATGTTTTATTTCAGTATGGCTTTCCCACCAGACTGCAAACTTGCTAGTACATAGGATTTGCCCAGTACCTTGAAAATCCTTTGAAAACTCTTTCATTTCTCTGCAGAAGTTTTTTTTCCTAGCATGTATTTCTTTCCTAAATGTTGTAAAACTGTATTGGCCAGGCGCGGTGGCTCACACCTGTAATCCCAGCACTTTGGGAGGCCGAGGCGGGTGAATCACGAGGTCAGGAGTTCGAGACCAGTCTGGCCAACATGGTGAAACCCCGTCTCTACTAAAAACACAAAAATTAGCCAGGCATGGTGGCGGGCATCTGTAATCCCAGCTACTCAGGAGGCCGCGGCAGGAGAATCACTTGAACCCTGGAGGCAGAGGTTGCCGTGAGCTGAGATCGTGCCACCGCGCTCCAGCCTTGGTGACAGAGCAAAACTCCATCTCAAAAAAAAAAAAAAAAAGAAGAAAAAAAAACCATAAAACTGTATTTATCTTGTTCACAAAACTGATTTACAAAGAATCTGTCAATATGCTAATATACTGTGGCAGGTCATTGGGTGAGTGGGCTTGCTAGAAGGTAGCTTTGTGTTGTTACTTTTTTTTTTAATCCAGTGATATTTTGTCAAAACTTTTTTTATTTATTTTTATTATTTTTTTTTTAAGAGACAAGGTCTCGCTCTGTTGCCTAGGCTGGAGTGCTGTCATAGCTCAGTGTAGCTATGTCATTTGTGCTGTCATAGCTCAGTGTAGCCTCAAACTCCTAGGCTTGTGTAGTTAGTTTGGATGGGGGTTCTTTCAGCAAGGATCTTTGGCTCACAATCATTTCTTTTGTATCAAGCAATAGAAGATAAATGAAAACAGCGTTTTCCCTCTCAGGATCAGACTCACATAAATATGTTAAATAAGCTTTAGAAAAATCTAAGATAAGATGCTACAGAGTCTGCCCCTAAACTTCTCTTTGATATTTGTCAGAATAAAAGTGCAAAAAGAGTTTAAAATGGTCCTCATAAGTAAATAATAGATATGCTGAGTGTGTGGTAGGGGGTGCAAACAGGTAATATTTATTGAATATTTACAGGCCAGGCACTGTTCTAAGTATTTTTTACATACTAACTCACTCCCTAGGACAGCACTGTGGGCCGGGTGCGGTGGCTTACGCCTGTAATCCCAGCACTTTGGGAGGCCGAGGCTCGCGGATCACTTGCGGTCAGAAGTTCAAGATCAGTCTGGCTAACATGGTGAAACCCCGTTTCTACTGAAAATACAAAAATTAGCTGGACATGATGGCACATGCCAGTAATCCCAGCTGCTCAGGAGGCTGAGGCAGGATAATCACTTGAACCCAGGAGGCAGAGGTTGCAGTGAGCTGAGATTGCACCTTTGCACTCCAGCCTGGGCAGCAGAGCAAGACTCCATCTCAAAAAAAAAAAAAAAAAAAAAAAAAAAGAACAGCATTAAGAAAGAACAGCATTGTGAGAAAGGTACTGTTATCCCCATTTTTTAGATGGGGACATGGAAGAGCAGAGATACTAGGTAACTTGTCCTGGATTTTCATCCAGGTAGTCTGGATCATGGGCATACTCTTAATCATTCTTTAGTTCTGCTGTTGCTGTACCAGGTGACCAGAATGGGCTCCTAGGATTCCCACCATGTGGGTCCTGAAGAACTGGTCTAATGGAAACTTTTTGTTTCTTTTTTGTGTCTTAAATGCAAACTTCTAAAAATGGCATCACTTTTTACTTGCACTGGGTACCTAAAGGAAGTAATTGTCAATAATTCTGTAAAGCAAAAAATCATTCCTAAGTTTTTAAGAAAGTCCAGGTTTTTATATAGTTGTATTATGGGCCATTATTAACTCTTAGATGTGTAGATTTTTTTTCCATTTTCCCCAAAATTTAGGAGTATTTTGTTTTTATCCTTTAACTTCCTTTGCTGCTAAGAATAAATAGTTTTGTGTGTGGGTATGCCCTTGTGGGTGTCAGTGCTGAGCTCTAACATGTTGTCTGAAAAAACTGCTTTTCTACGTTCCTACATAGAACACTTCTTACTAAACTAGATGTGTGGAGTTTTCCCTACAACAGTTTAATTCAGTTCTTCAGCAGAAACCATCTGGGTGTCCTTCAACATAATCCAATTATAGCACCATCTATCCTCAGATAGTCTTAGATCCCACAAATGAAAGGGCTCTAGTCTTAGATCCCACAAATTAAAGGGCTCAATCCCACAAGACTCTCCCTATTTCAGATGTCAATTGAAAGACCATGCTTCCCATACTTCTGTATTTTTTTTTTGAAATGGAGTCTCGCTCTGTCACCCAGGCTGGAGTGCAGTGGCGCTATCTCAGCTCACTGCAAGCTCCGCCTCCCGGGTTTCAGGCCATTCTCCTGCCTCAGCCTCCTGAGTAGCTGAGACTACAGGCGCCCGCCACCACGCCTGGCTAATTTTTTTCGTATTTTTAGTAGGGACGGGGTTTCACTGTGTTAGCCAGGATGGTCTCAATCTCCTGGCCTTGTGATCCGCCCGCCTCATCCTCCCAAAGTGCTGGGATTACAGGCTTGAGCCACCGTGCCTGGCCACTATGCTTCCCGTACTTCTGACCTACCAGCTATATACTAGGGTTTCTATGACCTTTTTTTTTTTTTTTTTTTGAGACAGAGTCTCTCTCCGTCGCCCAGTCTGGAGTCTGGAGTGCAGTGGCACGATCTCAGCTCACTGCAACCTCCACCTTCCGGGACCAAGTGATTCTCCTGTGTCAGCCTCCCAAATAGCTGGGATTACAAATGTGCACCACCACACCAGCTAGTTTTTGTATTTTTAGTGGAGACAGGGTTTCGCCATCTTGGCCATGCTGCTCTCGAACTCCTGACCTCAAGTGATCCACCTGCCTCAGCCTCCCAAAGTGTTGGGATTACAAGTGTGAGCCACCACACCTGGCCCCTCTCTTCTTGAGTTCTGTAATTTGCTAGAATGGTTCACAAAACTCAGGGAAACACTTTTATGTTTTATGGTTTGTTGTAAAGGAGATAGATGAACAGCCAGATGAAGAGGTACATTGCGTGAGGTCCAGCAGGGTCCCAAGTACAGGAGCTTCTGTCCACGTGGAGTTGGGGTGCACCACCCTCCTGGCAACCCAGAAGTTCATCAGAACTCATTGTTCAATAGATTTTTTTTTTTTTTGAAATGGAGTCTCGCTCTGTCACCAGGCTGGAGTGCAGTGGTGTGATCTCGGCTCACTGCAAACTCTGCCCCCCGGGTTCAAGCAATTCTACCACCTCAAACTCTCAAGTGACTGGGACTACAGGCGTGTCCTGCCACCATGCATTTTTTTTTTTTTTTTTTTTTTTTCCAAGACGGAGTTTCGCTCTTGTTGCCCAGGCTGGAGTGCAGTGCCACGATCTTGGCTCACCGCAACCTCCACCTCCCGGGTTCAAGTGATTCTCCTGCCTCAGCCTCCCAAGTAGCTAGGATTACAGGCATATGCCAGCACGCCCAGCTAATTTTGTATTTTTAGTAGAGATGGGGTTTCTTCATGTTGGTCAGGCTGGTCTCGAACTCGCAACCTCAGGTGATCTACCCACCTTGGCCTCCCAAAGTGTTGGGATTACAGGCGTGAGCCACCGCGCCTGGCCTAAAAGACACTTCTATCAGGAAATTCCAAGGGTTTTAGGAACTCTATACAAAAACCAAATATACCTGTTGGGATTCAGAACACCATACTCCAAAGTGCAGGGCTTTGGCATGCTGAGTACTCCAAACTAAAGAAGATTGGGAGGGGCTCAGAAGCAAAGTCTCTCTGCCTTCCGGCCCTCCTGTTTCTTGTCCTTCTTTCTCCCCTGGCCAGTCATAGAAACCAGAACTCTTCTTCCCAAAGGCAGGCCATAGAAACTAGACTCCTCTCTCCCAAAGCAGGCCATAAAATCTAGAAAGGTCACTTTCGGCTGGGTGCAATGGCTCACGCCTGTAATCCTAGCACTTTGGGAGGCCGAGGCGGGCCGATCACGAGGTCAGGAGATCAAGACTATCCTGGCTAACACGGTGAAACCCTGTCTCTACTAAAAATATTTTAAAAATTAGCCGGGCGTGGTGGCGGGCGCCTGTAGTCCCAGCTACTCGGGAGGCTGAGGCAGGAGAATGGCGTGAAACCTGGGAGGTGGAGCTTGCAGTGAGCCGAGATAGCGCCACTGCACTCCAGCCTGGGCGACAGAGTGAGACTCCGTCTCCAAAAAAAAAGAGAACCCTTTCTCCCTTTACCCTTTTCCCTTGAAGACCCTTATTTCAGAGGGGTCCTGCCCTATATGGCAGGAGGGTTGGGGGTGAGGAGTCTACACAGAGAGGCCGAGAAGAACCTGAATAGACAGGTCTTGCTGGGTTTGCCCCTTCAGTCTATTCCCAGTAGATCATACTTTGTCCACTCACATTTCTACATGGCTGTCCATTCTTCATCAAACCTAAGCATAAGAATAGTTTTCTCTGGGTCTTTCATTTCTTTTCCTTTTTTTTTTTTTTTTTTTTTTTTTTGCAGTAGGGTCTTGCTCTGTTGCCCAGGCTGGAGTGCAGTGACACGACCTCAGCTCACTGCAGCCTCAACCTCCCAGGCTCAAGCAATCCTCCCACCTTAGCCTCCCAGGTAGCTGGAACTACAGATGTGTGCCACCATGCCTGGCTAATTTTTTATATTTTTTTATAGAGATGGGGTCTTGCTATGTTGCCTAAGCTGGTCTCGACCACCTGGGCTCAAGCAATCCTCTTGTCTTGACTTCCCAAAATGCTGACATTACAGGTGTGAGCCACTGCACCTGGCCTGGGTCTTCATTTCTGAAGGCTCTGATCACTCAGGAAATTACAAGTGTTTTAGGAGCTCTGTGTAAGGAACCAGACAAAGACCAACTATCTATTGGACAAAGACCATATATGTATTTCTCATCACATGCTGTGTTTTATGTTTCTCCTCCTCAGGCAACACAGTGCTTCTCCTCATACTGTGCATGCAGCACTCCTTCCCAGAGCCTGGCAGATTGTATCTTGACCTCATTCTGGCCATCTTGGCACTGGAACTCATCTGTTCCCTGATATGTCTCCTCATTTACACAGGTGAGAATTACAACGAGCCTGTTCTTATAGGAACTTCGAACTGCTTCCTTTCCTCCCAGTTTAAAGTATAGCCCATTAGCGACAAGGAAGTTCTCTGTGTATCTGAGTGGTGACCACATGCAGACTTCTTTAATTTCAAACCAACAGGAAGGTACAGCCACCACCAGTGAGACCCCATTCTTTTAAGATTGTGTCATTAATAAATTTTTGTTAATGCAAGTGAAACTTTTCCATTAAAACAAGACACAAACTTTTTGGGCTGGGAATGGTGGCTCAAGCCTGTAATCCCAGCTCTTTGGGAGGATGAGGCAGAAGGATCACTTGAGCTCTGGAATTCAAGACCAGCCTGGACAACATGATGAAACTCCATCTCTACAAAAAATACAAAAAATTAGCCAGGTATGGTGGTGCACAAATGTGGTCCCAGCCCCTCAGGAGGCTGACGTGGGAGGATCACTAGAGCCTGGGAGACAGAGGTTGCAGTGAGCCAAGATCACATGCCTGCACTCCAGCCTGGGTGACAGAGTAAGACCCTGTCTCCTAAAACAACAACAACAAAAACATCCACAAACTTTTGCTTCTCTGAAGGCAGCTGAAATGTCAGCTTGCATTTAAAATTAAAAATTAAGAAATAGGCCAGGCACAGTGGCTCATGTCTGTAATCCTAGCACTTTAGGAGGCTAGCACTTTAATAGAGATGGGGTTTCGTCATGTTGGCCAGGATGGTCTCTAACTCCTGACCTCAGGTGATCCGCCCGCCTTGGCCTCCCAAAGTGCTGGGATTACAGGCATGACCCACCGCACCCAGCCCCAAATTGTATATATTCATCTGCTTAATGAAGTTTTCATCCACATGTCCCACAGGCACCAACAAGATCAGAAGTGAACAGAACATAATTTTCTTCAAAATTTCCCTCCATCCTAACCGTCCTCTTCTAGCTCAGTTAACAATACCAGCCTGCATCCACTTGATAAATCAGAATCCTAGAAACGTAGGAGTCATCTACCTTCTTCCTTCTACCTCACTCCCCAAGAACTGGATAGGATTGGTGATCAGTCAGTCATCAGTCTTATTCAGTCTACCTGTCTTTCAGCTCTGTCTCTTTTCTTTGGTCCCTGCCACTGCCTTGGTTAGGTACTCATCATCTCTTGCATGGCTACATCCAGGAGACACATAACAGGTCTCTTTCCCTCTGTCCACTGATTCATATTTCTTATTCCTGCCAACATGATCTTGTTTATACTTAACTCTGATTGTTAACAGCTTCCCTGCCCAGAGTTTTCTAATAGCTGAAGGAAAAAAAATCTAACGTTTTCATGTGGCATAAAAGGCATTTTCTTTATTTTTTTTTTGAGTTGGAGTTTCACTCTCGTCACCCAGGCTGGAGTGCAATGGCGTGATCTCAGCTTACTGCAACCTCCGCCTCCTGGGTTTAAGCGATTCTCCTGCCTCAGCCTCCTGAGTGGCTGGGATTATAGGCGCCTACCACCACACCCAGCTAATTTTTGTGTTTTTAGTAAAGACAGCATCTCATCATGTTCGCCAGGCTGGTCTCAAACTCCGGATGTCAGGTCATCTATCCGCCTCGGCCTCCCAAAGTGCTGGGATTACAGACATGAGCCACCATGCCCAGCCTGAAAGGTTCTCCTTGAATGGCCTCTACCTAGCCTGCTCTTCAGGGATGATGGTGAGATCCTTTCAAAGACTGCCAGTTGCTCTGAGGATAAAATCTAAATGTCTTAGGCCGGGCCTGGTGACTCACGCCTGTAATCCCAGCACTTTGGGAGGCCTCAGCGGGTGGATCACTTGAGGCCAGGAGTTTGAGAACAGCCTGGCCAACATGGTGAAACACCGTCTCTACTGAAAATACAAAAAAAATTAGCTGGGTGTGGTGGTGCACGCCTGTAATCCCAGTCGGGAGGCTGAGGTGGGAGAATTGCTTGAACCTAGGAGGCAGAGACAGAGGTTGCAGTGAGCCAAGGTTGTGCCACTGCACTCCAGCCTGAGCGACAGAGCAAGACTCCGTCTCAAAAAAAAAAAAAAAAAAAGTGTAAATGCCTTGCATGACACACCAGCCACTCCTGATGCATTCTCTGCCTATCTTCCCAACCCACCCCTTGTCCATACACCCTCACACCCATACATACGTGTAGCTTCTCAAGACCATAGCATTTGTTCAGACTCCTCCTGCACCTGAAGCACCCTTCTTTATTCTCCTAGTCTGTGTGATTAATTCCTGGGCTCAAACTCTATCCTCTTTTCCCCTCTCTGATACCTCCTGTTGAGTTAGGCACTGCTTTCCAGGCCAAAAAGCAGCTTGACAACTCCTTGTGCAAGCCTCTTGCACAAGCTTCTATTGAAGGTACTTTCCATACTGTCTTAGAATGTAGGATTATTATCTGTATTTTCCCCTGGACCAGAGGAAGTCATGATTTCTGAATTAGATGGCTGGCTGGTTGCTCAACTTCTCTGGGCTTCACTGCGGGGTAATAGGAGCATCCACTTCATGCAGGTGTTTATGAGAACTGAATGAGGGCATCCATGTAAAACATTTAAACTGTGCCTCATGTGTTCTAAGTGCACAATAAATGTCAGCTATTATTGCTATTTCAATACTAATGTAATCCCTATATTCCCAGGGCTTAGAACAGGCCTGGCACATAGTAGAATTTGAAATACTCAAGGACGTTAATAAGAACGGCAAATTAGCATAATTTGAAAAAATGAAACTAGACTTGTCTTTCAGAATTCGATCTAATAATGACTTTATTATTTTAGTGAAAATCCGGAGATTTAATAAAGCTAAACCAGAGCCTGATATACTTGAAGAAGAAAAAATCTATGCTTACCCCAGCAATATTACCTCGGAGACTGGATTCAGGTAAGATTTAGGTGAGAATAAAATAATTGAGTTTTTTCCCCTAGAAAGCTAGAAACCATTCTGATGCTTGGAATTTATGATTGTGTATTTGTACTTTTACATTTGTTTGATTTGTTTATTTCCTTTCAGCTGTGGTGAAATCAAGTCTAAATCAGGATGTGTAAATGTATTAAATAGGCCATATATTTGATGCAAAAAATTAACCACTTAGCCAACCTATTTAACCTCTCAAGAGCTTTTGACATCATTAACTGGTTACTCCCTCCTTGAAGCACCTTTTTTTATAGGTGTCTTTTTTTTTTTTTTTTTTTTGAGATGGAGTTTTGCTCTTGTTGCCCAGGCTGGAGTGCAGTGGCATGATCTTGGCTCACCGTAGTCTCCACCTCCCAGTTTCAAGCGATTCTCCTGCCTCAGCCTCCCAGTAGCTGGGATTACAGGCATGCACCACCACGCTTGGCTAATTTTGTATTTTTAGTAGAGATGGGGTTTCTCCATGTTGGTCAGGCTGGTCTTGAACTCCTGACCTCAGGTGATCCGCCCGCCTCAGCCTCCCAAAGTGCTGGGATCACAGGCGTGAGCCACCTCGCCCGGCCTGTTATTTTCTTTTTAAGGGATAGAGTCTCTCTGTATTGCCCAGGCTGGCCTCAAACTCCTGGGCTCAAGCAATCCTCCCATTTCAGCCTCCCAAACAGCCAGCCCGGTCTGCCCACCCTTGTTTCTATCCAGTCTCTCCCTAAGTGACTTCCATGGTAATTAAAATATCATTCATATCTGTTGGAGATCTTGGGGCTAAAGTAGATGTAAAAAACTATACATGCCCAGCTAATTTTTGTATTTTTAGTAGCGACAAGGTTTCACCATGTTGGCCAGGCTGGTCTCAAACTCCTGACCTCAAGTGATCCATCCACCTCGGCCTCCCAAAGTGCTGGGATTACAGGCATGATTACACCACTCCTGGCCATGTCTGTGGTTCTTCTCATCCTGCTTTTGGATCTATATAATCTGGGACACGAGTTATTCCTTAACATCATCTGAAGTGGATAGCAACAGACATAAGAATATAGTCAGTATATATAAAGAAAGTGTGGGCCAGGTGGGGCAGCTCACGCCTGTAATCCCAGCACTTTCGGAGGCCGAGGTGGGTAGATCACCTGAGGTCAGGAGTTCAAGACCAGCCTGGCCAACATGATGAAACCCCATCTCTACTAAAAATACAAAAACTAGCCAGGCACAGTGGCGCATACCTGTAATCCCAGCTACTTGAGAGGCTGAGGCAGGAGAATCGCTTGAACCCGGGAGACAGAGGTTGCAGTGAGCCAAGATGGCGCCACTGTACTCCAGCCTGGGCAACAGAGCGAGACTCCATCTCAAACAAAAAAAAGAAAGTGTATTACTTAGGGGCTTAAGAAATGGACTCAGTGCCATTACTGATGTACTAGTTAAAAAAAGAAAAAGAAAAAAACATGACTGGGCGCGGTGGCTCATGCCTGTAATCCTAGCACTTTTAAGAGGCTGAGGTGGGCAGATCACGAGGTCAGGAGTTTGAGTCCAGCCTGACCAATATGGTGAAACCCCATCTCTACTAAATATACAAAAATTAGCTGGGCAAAGTGATGCACACCTGTAGTCCCAGCTACTCAGGAGGCTGAGGCAGGAGAATCGCTTGAACCTGTGAGGCGGAGGTTGCAGTGAGCTAAGATTGCGCCACTGCACTCCAGCCTGGATAACAGAGCAAGACTCTGTCTCGAAACAAAACAACAACAACAAAAAACTTTATAGATAAAGGAAAGAGATACTTTTAAAAACAGTTGTTGAAATAAATATAGTTTAATGTATTGGCTTTTAGTAAGGCCAATTTTTGAATTAGTGTCATTTTTAAATTAGCTTTTATAAACTGAACTGTTGTTAGGCACAGGTGTGAAGTGACAACACAGGTGTGACAGTGTTGAATCAGGATGCACATTGCTTTTTATTATAGTGTGGAATATAAATACTTAATGAATAAAAAGAAAAAAGAACAAAAAACAAAAACAAACACTTAATGAGCAGCAAGTCCAAGGTTGTTCTTCTTGGGATCGTTATCTCTGTCCCACAGTGTAAACTGATGATATCTTGATAGTTCTAGAATCCTTTACCCTCGGTTTCTTGAAGCCTGGATTATACTGTCTATAATTCTCAATACGTACAGAACTATGAAAACGGAGGTGTCTTTAGTGAAATAGATTCTTTCCCCTAGAAAATACAACTTTTTTTTGTCACTTTTCACTTACCATGATCTGCCTTCTTATTTTGTTTACTCTTTTTCTTCATTCTAACCTAAATAGAGGAATAACTTTAGTATCAATTGTTGATTATCTCTTTGTTGACTTTTGGGCTTATTAAATTCAGAGACTGTTCTTCCTGACCTTGACCCTTTTCATATTTCATCTTGTTCCCCCTGAGCACTGAAGAGTTTACCTAATATTGCTCTCTTATGACTTAATGGAAAGCTTTTTAAAATGTATTCCCTTCACCTCATGGGGTTAACTTTGGGGCAATGAAATTCAGTTTATGCCGGACGTGGTGGCTCACGCCTGTAATCCCAGTACTTTGTGAGGCCGAGGCGGGTGCATCACCTGAGGTCAGAAGTTCAGACCAGCCTGGTCAGCATGGTGAAACCCTGTCTCTACTGAGTATACAAAAATTAGCCGGGCGTGGTGGTGCGCACCTGTAATCCCAGCTACTCAGGAGGCTGAGGCAGGAGAATCGCTTGGACCCGGGAGGCAGAGGTTGCAGTGAGCCGAGATCACGCCATTGCACTCCAGCCTGGGCAACGAGAGTGAAACTTTGTTCCAAAAAAAAAAAAATTCAGTTTATATTCCTCTTTTACTTTTAAAATTTGTATGGAATGCTTCTTTGAAAATGCATCTCAGTTTGAAAATTTGAATCAACTTCCAATGAAAGAAGGTAAATCTAGCCACACGTTTATCCCTTCACCCTCCCCAGATCCTTCCAAAAGGATAGTGAAGGATTAAAAAAGACCAACCTACCCACACTAGCAGAAAAACTGGAGGAGAAAGGGACCATCGATGGTTGAGTGATTTCTGAAAATGTGTGGGCTACAGAATACAGATGAAGGAGCGGTAGACAATACCACAGGGCAGAGAGGCTACATTTAGAGGACACGGGGAGAAATAAAGCCAAGGAGGCAGCCACTCTTTTTGTGTAGCCCCAGAGAGACTTGGAACTCAGAAATGAACAGGATGCCCAGGAGTGGAACATAGGGCAGGGAACAGGGATGTTAATTGAAAGTCTACTGTATATAGACGATGTCCAGGTCTGGGTGTGGTGGCTTAGGCCTGTATTCCCAGCACGTTGGGAGGCTGAGGCGGGTGGATCACTTGAGGTCAGGAGTTTAAGACCAGCCTGGTCAACGTGCTGAAACCCCATCTCTACTAAAAATATAAAAATTAGCTGGGTGTGGTGGTGCACGCCTGTAGTCCCAGCTACTCGGGAGGGTGAGGCAGGAGAATCGCGGGAACCCTGGAGGCGGAGGTTGCTGTGAGCCGAGATCATGCCACTGCACTCCAGCCTGGGCAATGGAGTGAGACTCTGTGTTGAAAAAAAAAAAAAAAAAGAAGATGGTCAGTCATGGTGGCTCACGCCTGTAATCCCAGCACTATAGGAGGCCAAGGAGGGTGGATCACTTGAGGTCAGCAGTTTGAGACCAGCCTGGTCAACATGGTGAAACCCCGTCTCTACTAAAAATACAAAAATTAGCCGGGCATGGTGGTACATGCCTGTAATCCTAGAGGCTGAGGCAGAAGAATAGCTTGAACCGGGGAGGCAGAGGTTGCAGTGAGCCGAGATTGCGCCATTGCACTCCAGCCTGGGCCACAGAGCAAGACTCGGTCTCTGCCGGACACGGTGGCTCACGCCTGTAATCCCAGCACTTTGGGAGGCCGAGGCGGGTGGATCATGGGGTCAGGATATCGAGACCATCCTGGCTAATATGGTGAAACCCCATCTCTACTGAAAAATACAAAAAAAAAAAAATTAGCCGGGCGTGATGATGGGCGCTTATAGTCCCAGCTACTCAGGAGGCTGAGGCAGGAGAATGGCATGAACCCATGAGGCGGAGTTTGCAGTGAGCTGAGATCGCACCACTGTGCTCCAGCCTGGGCAACAGAGCAAGTTTCCGTCTCAAAAAAAAAAAAATAGAGACTCGGTCTCAAAAAAAAAAAAGTCAGTATATACAAGAGTTGACTCTACTCAGAGCATATCCCTTCTCAGTTCCATCAAGATAACTTGAAAACCTTTATATAAAGAGTATTTTTTCAGTGAATAGCCCAGCTCAGAAAAAAAAAAAAAGAGTGGGAGGTTCCTAGGTGGTTTATACATATTAAGTGCTAAATGTTTGTTGTTGTGTTAACCTCTGAAGACCAGAGAGTTTAGGTAACTTATTAAGTTCACACAGTCTGTGGGTGACAAAGTCAGGATTAGAATTCAGATAGTCTTTTTCCGAATATACTTATAAATAATAGCATATTCAAAGTTTTTTTCATGTTATGCTTATAAATAATGTGGTTATTGGCTGGGCGCGGTGGCTCACACCTGTAATCCCAGCACTTTGGGAAGCTGAGGCGGGCAGATCACCTGAGGTCAGGAGTTTGAAACCAGCCTGGCCAACATGGTAAAACCCTGTCTCTACTAAAAATACAAAAATTAGCTGGGCATGGTGGCAGGCGCCTGTAATCTCAGCTACTTGGGAGGCTGAGGCAGGAGAATCGCTTAAACCCAGGAGGTGCAGGTTGCAGTGAGCAGAGATCATGCCACTGCACTCCAGCCTGGGCAACAGAGCTAGACTCTGTCTCAAAAAATAATAATAATAGTAATGTGGTTACATAGCCCATTCCTGTAACCACATTATTTATAAGCATAACTATTTATTTCTAAGAATAAATCTTTTTTGTTCACATGGGACCATTCCCATGTGATATTTTTCATGCTGAATTTCTCACTTACCATCCCTTGAAATAGTTCCCTTTTAGCACATATAGAATATCTGAGTAAAACACATCCAATAACATTTTATTTCTTGAATAGGCAATTTTTAGTCAACATTAAAATTCATCTGGCATATTATTGTCATTATCATTATCATCATCACTATTCCTAGTACTAATATCTTAAATTAGTGGAAGGAAATTAAAAACACTTTATAGCTATTACTTCTGAGCAGTGAGACCGAAGTGGGTTGGGGCAGTAGTGTAGGAAGGAGTTAGATTTTTTTTGTTTGTTTTATATACTTATATAATATTTTTATTTGTGTCAGGTGCAAAAAGATACATTTTTGTGGTATGGGAGAAAAAAGGAGAAATGCAAAAATAAACAAATGCCATACATTTAAAAAATTGTTTCCCATGGTCAGAGTAGTCTATTTTAATCGTCATCTGATTATTGAATGAATTTTGCCTTTATTTATCTTTAAACGCCATTTAAGTTGATTACTTATACTCAATTATCTTACTCTAACAAATTAGGATCCTTCTTAAATAAAGCAATGATGGCCTTTTTTAAAACATAGAGGTGTGAAAGTTTATAGCATTTTAAATTTATTTCAAGAGTAGAAGTTACTAAAATGATTTATGAAAATAATCTTATTTGGCAATATTACCCTGGCTTCTGACATCTAAGAAAAGGTGGCAAATACAATATGCTTTACTAAAAACTAGTAGGTACTCATTTGCAAAGACACTAATGAGTATTGGTGAATATGTGTAACCCATTTATATCTTGATTACTTGCAGAACTATTTCAAGCCTAGAAGAAATTGTTGAAAAGCAAGGAGACACCATTGAATACCTGAAGCGACACAATGCGCTGCTGAGTAAGCGATTGTTGGCTCTCACTTCCTCAGACCTGGGCTGTCAGCCAAGTAGAACGTGAGAGGCTCACGGTCATGACAGCAATTGCAGAGGAACCCAGAGTAATTGAGACTGACTGACCACCTGACAAGCTGCCACGGGGAACTGCAGCTTTTGCTGAATAGCATTTTACAGTGTTTGTTGGAAACCTGAATTTGGTTCTGACTTCTGTGGCTGTTTAAAATATAGGGCTTGTGGGTCACTTGAAAAGTACCTGTAGAAGCCCGGATAACTTGAGGGGAATGTCTGTTTGTACTTTTGGAAATTATTTAACTGCTTGGTTTATCCTAGGATCAGAGGCTAAACAACTCCATAGTCAACACTTTTCCACCTGACATTAGAACCCTGTAATGATTTCATTATGGATAGGGGAAGTCTAACAAGACAATCGATTTTAAACAGGGTTTTAATCAAATAAGTTCTTCCCACTTTTAAGCTGATGAAAGAAGTCATTATTTCTTGTGAATATTTTTTCCTGGAGAGCCTTATCATGTATTTTATATGCTTATGTGGTGTTGGATGACATCATGGACCATATAGCTTTTATAGAGAATTTTTCTCACCATAGGACTGAGGTCTCACCAGGTGATCTACTATGCAAATTCCTACAGTTTTCTATTCTTAAGAAATAAGGGCTGGGCACGGCGGATCATGAGGTCAGGAAATTGAGACCATCCTGGCTAACACGGTGAAACCCTGTCTCTACTAAAAATACAAAAAAAATTAGCCGAGCATGGTGGCGGGCACCTGTAGTCCCAGCCACCTGGGAGGCTGAGGCAGGAGAATGGTGTGGACCCAGGAGGCGGAGCTTGCAGTGAGCCGAGATCACGCCACTGCACTCCAGCCTGGGCGACAGAGCGAGACTCCGTCTCAAAAAAACAAAAAAGAAAAAGAAAAGAAATAAGATATGATGATTGATTACTTGGACCAGTGTTAGACCGACCTGTGTTAGACGAACCTGTGTTGCCTATTATATTGGCAGCACCTTCCATTAGCAATAGCTGAAAAATTCAGAGAAGAATTTAGAACTTTCACTTTATTTTTGCCATTCTTCAAGAAGTTGCTGTATATTTCAGTCTGGTTATACCTTCAATTGATCAATAACTTCAATTATAGGAAAGGCATCTTCTATAATTTTAAATTACTGTAAAAAAAAGATACCTTTTAAAGCCTTGGATTATACTTAAAAATTGTAATGGAAGAAATGCATATTAAGTTATATGCAGATATTAAACATATCTGATTCTGAAGATAAAACTGAAGTATTTTTCAGAGCAAATGGCATTATTTCTCCATTTTTCCTAGTATGCCCCTTTAATTTGTCAGTTTGCTGTTAGCACTGTTATATGCTGCCTTAGAAAGACTTTTGGTTGAAGGCTGAATATGAGGGGAGGGGATATTTATGACTGTGTTAATCTTTTTTGATCATTAGCTGAATATTCAATATTTGATATGTAACCATATAGGGATGTGTTCGATATAACTATATAGGCAAGGGATATATTGATTTGGCCACATCTATTTGACTTATGGAGGGCAAATACCTGTTTCTTTTAGATACAGCCATTGCCGGGGCATTCTAAAAGTTTTCTACTAAGATAAAGATGATTGTGTATGGCTGGGAGCAGTTGCTCATGCCTGTAATCTTAGTACTTTGGGAGGCTGAGGCAGGAGGATCACTCAAGGCCAGGAGTTTGAGACCAGCCTGGGCAACAATGAGACACTGTCTCTCAAAAAAAAAAAAAAAAGATCGTGTGTCACCTGCACACAACATTCACAAACTAAAGCCAAATTGTATTTTTAAAATTTCCTTTCTCCCTTCCGTTTTTTTTTGTTTTTTGGGGGTTTTTTTTTTTGTTGTTGTTTTTGAGACAGAGTCTCACCCTGTCGCCCAGGCTGGAGTGCAATGGCGCCTTTCTTTCTTTCTTTTTTTTTCAGACGGAGTCTCGCTCTGTTGCCCAGGCTGGAGCGCAGTAGCATGATCTCGGCTCACTGCAACCTCCGCCTCCCGGGATTAAGAAATTCTCCTACCTCAGCCTGCTGAGTAGCTGGGATTACAGGCACATGCCACCATGCCTGGCTAATTTTTGTATTTTTAGTACAGGCGGGGTTTCACCATGCTGGCCAGGCTGGTCTCAAACTCCTGACCTTTTGATCCGCCCTCCTTGGCCTCCCAAAGTGTTGGGATTACAGGCATGAGCCACTGTGCCCGGCCTTCCTTTCTTTTTAATAAGTGTATGTATCTCAAAGCCATTGCCTTCTCTAGAAATCTGTTTCTCTGTTCTGGAAGAGCCTATAAACTTTGCCTTCAGTTGTTTTTCTTTTCAAAAGGGAACACCAGTGGTAGATGATTAACTCTTATTTATTTTTAAAATTTAATTTGGATCTATAGTCAGTATCTGAGATTTATAGGATGAACTTTGGTTTACAAGGAACAGTGTAGTTAAAAAGTTAGGGTGCCTATGTTCTTATGTAATCATCAACATGTTTGTTGTATAATCATCAACATTTTTCTGAATGCAATGATGAACATTTCAAACAATAAATGAAAATGAAACTAAGTATCAGAAGTAGCAAAACAGCTGATGCAGTGGCTTACGCCTGTAATCCCAGCACTTCGGGAGGCTGAGGCAGGTGGATCACCTGAGGTTAGGAGCTCAAGACCAGCCTGGCCAACATAGTAAAACCCCATCTTTACTAAAAATACAAAATAAGCCAGGCATGGTGGCACGCATCTGTAATCCCAGCTACTCAGGAGGCTGAGGCAGGAGAATCGCTTGAACACAGGAGGCAGAGGTTGCAGTGAGCTGAAATTGCACCACTGCATTCCAGCTTGGGCAACAGAGCTAGACTCGATCTCAAAAAAAAAAGAAGTAACAAAACAGAAAAATGAACAAAACAATTTAAATGTTAAACATTCTATTCACCAGGCTGGTAATTGTGCTAGCACTGAGGATACAAAAATTAAAGACTCTGGTTGGCAGCTTACATTCTAAAGAGAGCGAGGAATAGATTTCCAGACTCTGTGCTAAGTGCAGTAATGACAGTAGGCCCAACATGCTGTAGGAGCTCCACGTCAGGGGGTACCCTGGGGGCAGGAGGGTAGAGGGTTTTAAGAATGTCAGACAGAACAATGAGTAAAGTAGGAAGGCAAATAGCTACAAAATATCACAAGCACTGTGTATAGCTGGAACCAAAAGTGTGAGGCAGGACCTGGGTGGAGAGGTAGACAGGGTCAGAGCTTGGAGGGCCTTGATACTATGCTGGAAGACTGCACTTTATCTTGTTGATAATGGGATCCTCTGAAGCATTTCAAGCAAGGAAGTGACAATGTCAGTTTTAGTTTCAGCAGGATCAGATGGTAGTTCAATATGGAGGAAATATGTGTGGCAGAAAGATATGGCCCTGAACTAGGGCAGGTATAGTAAACCTTTTATTATAAGTATGTATGTGTATAGGTATATAGATAGATATAGGTATATATGTATGTATATGTATTCCAAATGACAACAGTATCATGACTTATTATAAAGTTAAAAGCTCATTTTTTAAAAAATGGCAATATGGAAAAATATAAAGCAAAACAATTATTTGAAATCTCACTACCAAGGGATTATACCAATGTACACTTTTTTTGTTTTGTTTTTTTTTTTAGTCTCATCTGTCTCCCAGGCTGGAGTGCAGTGGTGTGATCTGGGCTCACTGCAACCTCCTTCTACCGGGTTCAAGCAATTCTCCTGCCTCAGCCTCCCAAGTAGCTAGTACTACAGATGCATGCCACTATTTTTTAGTACAAAAATATTAAAAATTTGGGTCGGGTGTGGTAGCTTACGCCTGTAATACCAGCACTTTGGGAGGCCAAGGTGGGTGGATCACAAGGTCAGGAGTTAGAGACCAGCCTGGCCAAGATGGTGAAACCCCATCTCTACTAAGAATACAAATATCAGCCAGGTGTGGTGCAGGGTGCCTGTAATCCCAGCTACTCTGGAGGCTAAGGCAGGAGAATTGCTTGAACCCAGCAGGTGGAGGTTGCAGTGAGGCAAGATCACGCCACTGTACTCTAGCCTGGGCCACAGAGCAGGCTCCATCTCAAAAAAAAAAAAAAATACTAAAAATTTTGTATTTCGGCTGGGCACGGTGGCTCACACCTGTAATCTCAGCACTTTGGGAGGCCGAGGCGGACAGATCACGAGGTCAGCAGATCGAGGCCATCCTGGCCAGCATGGTGAAACCCTATCTCTACAAAAAATACAAAAATATTAGCAACATTAGCTGGGTGTGGTGGTGCGCGCCTGTAATCCCAGCTACTCAGGAGGCTGAGGCAGGAGAATTGCTTGAGCCTGGGAGGCAGAGATTGCAGTGAACCAAGATGGTGCCACTGCACTCCAGCCTGGCGACAGAGCAGAGCGAGACTCCATCACAAAAAAAAAAAAAGAAAGAAAAGAAAAAAAATTGTATTTCTAGTAGAGACGGGGATTCACCATGTTGGCCAGGCTGATCTTGAATTCCTTACCTCAGGTGATCCACCTGCTTTGGCCTCCCAAAATGCTGGGATTATAGGCATGAGCCAGCTCACCTGGTCTCCATACCCTTACCAATAGTGGGTGTTACCTTATTTAAGTCTTGACCCATCTGATGAGTGTGTCATTGTTTCAAATTGTATTTCTTTGGATACTAATGAAGTGTTAAACATTTTTTCCAAATTATATGGTCTTTTATAAATCTTTTATGACATGTATATTCAAGTCCTTTGCTTATTATTGTCCCAGGATATTCTTTTTCTTAACAACTAGAATCTTCTGGTTGGGCGTGGTGGCTCCCGCCTGTAATCCCAGCACTTTGGGAGGCCAAGGCAGGCAGATCACTTGAGGTCAGGAGTTCGAGACCAGCCTGACCAACATGGAGAAACCCCATTTCTACTAAAAATACAAAATTAAGGCTGGGCGCAGTGGCTCACACCGGTAATTCCAGCACTTTGGGAGGCCGAGGCAGGCGGATCATGAGGTCAGGAGTTCGAGACCAGCCTGACCAACATGGAGAAACCCCGTCTCTACTAAAAATACAAAATAGCCAGGTGCAGTGAAGTGCACCTGTAATCCCAGCTACTCAGGAGGCTGAGGCAGGAGAATTGCTTGAACCCGGGAGGTGGAGGTTGCAGTGAGCCGAGATCGCACCACTGCACTCCAGCCTGGGTGACAGAGCGAGACTCTGTCTCAATAAATAAATAAATAAATAAATAAATCTTGAATACAAAACTCACATCTGGTAAACTCTTGAGTTCTTGAAGAATCAAACTTTGAATATGTGACAATCACAAATTTGAGATCTCAAAACATTCTCTAGGTTTCCTAAGGAAAATTGTTTCATTCGCAAACCAGGGAAGCCTATCTCTAATTCTTCTCCCTTCCTCTCTATCCAGTCTCACCTTTCACTCTACTACTCTACTGAAACTGTTCTTGGCAAGGTCACCAATAGCTTCCTTCCACATTGCTTAAATTGGAGATGAATGCATACGTCTCCTCTTTTAACTTATCAGCAACACTTGGCTCAGTTGATTGAGGGGGGGTCTGCCCCTCCACACCTGTGGGTATTTCTCGTCAGGTGGGACGAGAGACTGAGAAAAGAAATAAGACACAGAGACAAAGTATAAAGAAAGAACAGTGGGCCCAGGGGACCAGCACACCCAGCATGCGAGGACCTGCACCGGCGCCGGTCTCTTGAGTTCTGTTAGTATTTATTGATCATTATTTTTAATATCTTGACGAGGGGAGTGTAGCGGGGCAACAGGTGGGGAGAAGGTCAGCAGGGAAACGTGAGCAAAGGAATCTGTATCATGAATAAGTTCAAGGAAAGGTACTGTGTCCGGATGTGCATGTAGGCTAGATTTACGTTTCTCTTTACACAAACATTTCAGTGTAGCAAAGAGTAACAGAGCAGTATTGCTGCCAGCATATCTCGCCTCCAGCCACAGGGCAGTTTTCTCCTATCTCAGAATAGAACGAATGGGAATGGTCAGCTTTACACCGAGACATTCCATTCCCAGGGACGAGCAGGAGACAGAAGCCTTCCTCTTATCTCAACTGCAAAGAGGCCTCCCTCTTTCACTACTCCTCCTCAGCACAGACCCTTTACAGGTGTCGGGCTGGGGGATGGTAAGGCCTTTCCTTTCCCACGAGGCCGTATCTCAGGCTGTCTCAGTGGGAGGAAACCTTGGACAATACCCAGGCTTTCTTGGGCAGAGGTCCCTGCGGCTTTCCGCAGTGCATTGTGTCCCTGGTTAATCGAGAATGGAGAAAGGCGATGACTTTTACCAAGCATACCACCTGCAAACATATTGTTAACAAGGCACATCCTGCACAGCCCTAAATCCATTAAACTGATCCAATACAGCACATGTTTCTGTGAGCACAGGGTTGGGGCTAAAGTTATAGGTTAACAGCATCTCAAAGCAGAAACAATTTTTCTTAGTACAGATCAAAATGGAGTTTCTTATGTCTTCTTTTTCTACATAGACACAGTAACAATCTGATCTCTCTCTTTTCCCCACAGTTGATCACTTCCTCCTTGACTCTTTATTTCAGCTTGGCTTCCAGGACACTACATTCTCCTCATTTTCTTCTACTTCACTAGCTTCTTCTTTTGTCTGCTTTGCAAGTTGCTTTTTGTTGGTATTCTCCAGGGCTCAACCCCTGGGCCTCTTGGCTTCTCCATCAGCGTTCACTCTCTTGGTGGTCTCACACAATCTCATGACTTTGATAGAATTTATGAGCTGATAATTTCCAAATGTGAATCTTCAGCCAGGCCTTCCTCCCTGAACTCCAGACTTATGTGTCCAACTGCCCCTTCTAGATCACTACTTGGGTATATAAAAAAACACCTCAAACAGAACATGTCCCCAGCTGAGCTATCTGCCACAGTCTCTTCCACCCCTGTAATGGCAGCTCCTCTTTCTCTCAAACCCTATAGACAGTTAATCAGCAAATCCTGCTGGCTTTTCCTTTAAAACATACCCAGAGTCCAACCAATTCTTGGCACCCCCAATGCTACTTCCCCAGCCACTATAATCTTCACCTGGACTATTATAATAGTCTTTCGGTTTTTTGGTTTTGTTTTTTTTTTTTGGGGGAGGGAGTCTCGCTCTGTTGCCCAGGCTGGAGTGCAGTGGCGCGATCTGGGCTCACTGCAACCTCCGCCTCCCAGGTTCAAGTGATTCTCTTGCTTCAGCCTCCTGAGTAGCTGGGATTACCGGCACATACCACCACACCCAGCTAATTTTTTTATATTTTTAGTAGAAAGGGGGTTTCACCATGTTAGCCAGGCTGGTCTTGAACTCCGGACCTCAGGTCATCCACCCGCCTTGGCCTCCCAAAGTGCTGCAATTACAGGCATGAGTCACTGTGCCTGGCCCTATTATAATAGTGTTTTTCTTTTTCTTTTTCTTTCTTTCTTTTTTCTTGAGATGGAGTCTCACTCGTGTCGCACAGGCTGGAGTGCAGTGGCGCAGTCTCGGCTCACTACAACCTCCGCTGCCCAGGTTCAAGCAATTCTCCTTCCTCAGCCTCCTGAGTAGCTGGGATTATAGGTGTGCTTTTTTTATTTTTAGTAGAGACGAGGTTTCACCATGCTGACTAGGCTGGTCTGGAACTCCTGACCTCATGATCCTCCCTCCTTGGCCTCCCAAAGTACTGGGATTACAGGCATGAGCCACCACACCTGGCCTATAAGAGTCTTTTAAGTGATCTTTCTGCTTCTCACTACCTCTCCACCCTGACCCCCCAGCCCCATGCACACACACAAAAAGCAGCCAACAATATCCTTCTAAAACACTACTCTGATGGTTCCCTTTTTCATTCAGTAAAAGCCAAAGCCTGGACAGTGGCCTTCAGGGACCTAGAAAATCTCCACTTCCCACCCCACCCCACCTCCTCTCTCCTACTCTTCCTTTGTGTACCCTGCGTCGGTCACACTGTGGCTTTTGGATTGCTAAGCACATTCTTACCTGAGGACCTTTGCGGTTGCTGTTCCCTCTGCCTGGAAGGATCAACTCCCATATATCTTTTTCAAGTCTTTGTTCAAATGTCACTTGTGGCCAGGTGTGGTGGCTAACCCCTGTAATCCCAGCACTTTGGGAGGCTGAGGTGGGTGGATCACTTGAGGTCAGGAGTTGGGAGACCGGCCTGGCCAACACGATGAAACCCTGTCTCTACTGAAAATACAAAAATTAGCCAGGCGTGGTGGCACGTGTCTGTAATCCCAGCTATTCAGGAGGCTGAGGCAGGAGAATCACTTGAACCTGGGAGGTGGAGGTTGCAGTGAGCCAAGATCGCACAGCTGTACTCCAGCCTGGGTGACAAGAGTGAGAATCCGTCCCCCCCCCAAAAAAAAAAAATCCTCCCACTTCAGTCAGCCTCCTGAGTAGCTGGGATTATAGATGTGCACCACACCACCACACGTAACTTTTATTATAGTATATTGCTATAATTATTCTATTTTGTTATTAATGTTGTTACTCTCTGTGCCTAATTTATAAATTTAACTTTATTGTAGTTATGTGTGGATAGGAAAAAATATAGTGTTCGTAGGGTTTAGTACTATCTGTGGCTCCAGGCATCACCTGAGGTCTTGCAATGATTCCCCTGCAGACCTGTGGCTCCAGGCATCACCTGAGGTCTTGTAATGTTTCCCCTGTAGATAAGGGGAAAATACTGCATGTAACTTACTTGTTTACTTTGTCTGTGTCTCCTGATAGAATGTAAGCTCTATCTTTTGCTTACTACTGTGTCCTTCATACATAGAACAGTGTCTGGCACAAAGTAGGCACTCAATATACGTTGATGAATTAATGTCACTAACTTCAGTGATTTCACTACTGGAATTGTAGTAGAAAAACTATGCTCACACATGCTCAAAGCCTGTTCCTGTAATCCAGCTGTAACCTGGGCTCTGTTTTCACTTTCTGTTTATGATGTCCTGAACTGAGAGATTATTTTTTTAAGGTCTTGTTTAAAAGTTTATGTCTAGGATACACTAAAAAATAACAACATATCAGAAATAAAAGAGATAAGACTGCTAGTTTTTATAATCACTGCTATTTACTATTGTCCAAAAGTGCCCATCAATACAGTTGGATAAAGGAGCAGGATTAATTTGTGCATGGGATGGTTATATATTAATATCTAGAAAATTTAAGAATTAACCATTAGACATCTAGAGAATTTAAGAAAAACCATTAGAAAGCAAGGGTGGCAGACTGTAAAACATGAAGATAACAATTTTCTTACATACCAAAAAGAACCAGTTTAAAATACAATTGGAAAGGTACCATTGCCGATTGCATATAAACATATATTCAGGAATATTTGTTAACCTTTTAGAGCTCTGCTCCTACTAATCCAGTCCCATATTAATAAATATTTAAGACATTTCTGTTATTATATAGGAACTAGATGTTCAGATAGAAATTTCAAATTGGGGCGGGGCATGGTGGCTCACGTCTGTAATCCCAGCAATTTGGGAGGCCACTGCTGGAGAATCTCTTGAGCCTAGGAGTTGGAGACCAGCCTCCTGTTGAAAAGACCCTCTCTCTGTTGAAAAAAAAAATTTTTTTTTTTTGAGACGGAGTCTCACTCTGTCGCCCAGGCTGGAGTACGGTGGCGCAAACTCTGCTTACTGTAATCTCTGCCTCCCAGGTTCAAGCGATTCTCCTGCCTTAGCCTCCCTAGTGGCTGGGATTACAGGTGCCTGCCACCACGCCCAGCTAATTTTTGTATTTTTAGTAGAGACGGGGTTTCACCAGGTTGGCCAGGCTGGTCTGGAACTCCTGTTAAAGTGCTGAGATTACAGGCGTGAGCCACCACACCCAGCCCACATTTGTAATTTAAATGAATAAGATAAAAATAACCTATTAGAAAACACATGGCCATGGCCGGGCGCGGTGGCTCACGCCTGGAATCCCAGCACTTTGGGAGGACGAGGTGGGTGGATCGCGAGCTCAGATGATCGAGACCATCCTGGCTAACATGGTGAAACCCCGCCTCTACTAAAAATACAAAACATTAGCTGCGCATGGTGGCGGGCGCCTGTAGTCCCAGCAACTCGGGAGGCTGAGGCAGGAGAATGGCGTGAACCCGGGAGGCGGAGCTTGCAGTGAGCTGAGATTGTGCCACTTGCACTCCAGCCTGGGTGACAGAGCAAGACTCCGTCTCAAAAAAAAAAAAAAAAAAAAAAAAGAAAAAAGGAAAAAAAAAAAAAAGAAAACAGATGGCCAGTCATGGTGGCTCATGCCTATAATCCCAGCACTTTGGGAGGACGAGGTATGAGGATTGCTTGAGCCCAGGAGTTTGAGACCAGCCTGGGCACCTTAGTGAGGCCCCATCTCTTTATCTTTTAAAAAATAATATTAAAATAAAATAAAATAAATGGATAAAGTTAGTAGGAAACACCAGACATGTTCATAAAAATATTCACTCATATTATTGCTATTTCTTATTGTTCTGGAAGATCCAACAAAACATTTAGATAAGAAAACGTATATGGAGTTATATAGATTGCATTTTCTTATCAAATAAGGATTGACTACCAGCTAACTCCAAAGAACCTAAGTAGAAAAACTATCACAGGCTGGGTGTGGTGTCTCACGCCTATAATCCCAGCATTTTGGGAGACTGAGAGGGGCGGATCACTTGAGGTCACGATTTCAAGACAAGCCTGGCCAACATAGTGAAATCCCATCTCTACGAGAAATAAAAAAAATTAGCTGGGTGTGTTGGCAGGCACCTGTCATCTCAGCTACTTGGGAGGCTGAGGCAGGAGAATTGCTTGAACCTGGGAGACAGAGGTTGCAGTGAACCGAGATTGTACCACTGCACTCCAGCCTGGGCAACAGAGCGAGACTGTCTCAAAAAAAAAAAAAAGAAAAGAAAAGAAAAGATAAACTATCACAAAAATATATAAATAAGAGTATTCAGTAAGGTTCTGGGTGCGAAATTAATAGGTAAAAATCAGTTGCTTTAATACAAGCAACTACCAGTTAGAAGACACAATTGAAGAAAAGGCCCCATTTACAATAATAACAAAAAAGATGAAGTACCCAGATCTTTTTGAAGAAAACTTTAAAACACCACTGAAGAATAAAAAGAAGACTTGAAATGGTATGCTGTGTCCTTGGATGGAAAGTCTTGACGTCATAAACATGGCAATTCTCTCTCAATCTATGTATGAGAGGATTAATTCTACAAGGTATTAAGTGTATTATAATAATATAATAATTAAAACAGTGTGCTACTGCCCATGAATAATTACATCAATGAAACTAAATAGTAAATTTAGAAATAGACCAAAGTGTATATGAGAATTTAGTATATAAAAGATGTTGTTTCAGGCTGGGCACGGTGGCTCACACCTGTAATCTCAGCCCTGGGAGGCCAAAGTGGGTGGATCACAAGGTCAGGAGTTTGAGACCAGCCTGACCAATATGGTGAAACCCCATCTCTACTAAAAATACAAAAATGAGCCGGGCGTGGTGGTGCGTGCCTGTAGTCCCAGCTAGTCGGGAGGCTGAGGCAGGAGAATCGCTTGAACCCGGGAGGCAGAGGTTACTGTGAGCCAAGATTGCGCCACTGCACTCCAGCCTGGGCGACAGAATGAGACTCTTTCTCAAAAAAAAAAAAAAAAAAAGTCGGATGCGGTGGCTCAAGCCTGTAATCCCAGCACTTTGGGAGGCCGAGGCAGGCAGATCACGAGGTCAGGAGATTGAGACCATCCTGGCTAACACGGTGAAACCCCGTCTCTACTAAAAATACAAAAAATTAGCTGGGTGTGGTGGCAGGCGCCTGTGGTCCCAGCTACTTGGGAGGCTGAGACAGGAGAATGGCATGAACCTGGGAGGCGGATCTTGCAGTGAGCCGAGATCGCGCCACTGCACTCCAGCCTGGGCGACAGAGCGAGACTCTGTCTCAAAAAAAACAAAAACAAAACAAAAAAAGTGGTGTTTTTTGTTTTTTGTTTTTTGGAGAGGGAGTTTGCTCTTGTTGCCCTGGCTGGAGTGCAATGGTGTGATCTCATCTCACCGCAACCTCTGCCTCCGGGGTTCAAGCAATTCTCCTGCCTCAGCCTCCTGACTAGCTGGGATTACAGGCACGTGCCACCATGCCTGGCTCATTTTGTATTTTTAGTAGAGACAGGGTTTCTGTGTGTTGGTCAGGCTGGTCGTGAACTCCCTACCTCTGGAGATCCGCCTGCCTCAGCCTCCCAAGTAGCTGGGATTACAGGTGTGTGCTACCACACCCAGCTCATTTTGTACTTTTAGTAGAGACAGGATTTCACCATGTTGGTCAGGCTGGTCTCGAACTCCCCATCTCAGGTGATCCGCCCACCTCGGCCTCCAAAAATGCTGGGATTACAGTCATGACCCACCTTGCCCGGCCATATTACACCCTCCTTAATATACTTTCTTTATTTGGCTTCCAGGTCAGCACAATCTCTTGGTTTCTTCCCACCTTATTGGTGACTTCTCAGTCTCCTTTGCTGTTTCCTCTTTTTCTATACCCATTTTAATGTTTATATTCAATAAAATTCACTGTTGGTATATAGTTCTATGATTTTTGAAAAATGGTCATAAAGTTGTGTGACCAATATTACAATAGTAACAGGTTGAGACTTTGGAGATGTTGAGTTGAGGTGAAAGTATTTTGCATGTAAGACAGATGTTCATGTTTGGGACCAGAAGATGGACTGTAGTAGACAAAATCATGTCCTGGCCCCAAAGATGTTCATGTCTTAATCCCAAGAACCTATGAATATTTTAATTTACATAGCAAGAGAATTTGCAGTGTGATTAAATTAGGAATCAAGAGAGATAGTGAGATTTTCTTTAATCAGCTCTCTGGGCCCACAGTAATCTAAAAGGTCCTTTTTCTGTTTATTTTTTAAATTTATTTATTTATTTATTGTAGACATGAGGTCTCACTATGTTGTCCAGGCTGGTCTGGAACTCCTGGCCTCAAGTGATCCTCCGGTCTTGGCCTTCCAAAGTGCTGGGATTACGGGCATGAGCCACCATGCCCATCCAAAAGCATGCTTCTAAAAAGCATGAAGATACGAGAAAATATTGGAGACCATTTTTACAATCGTGGTATAGGAAATGACTTTCTATATGACTTGAAACCAGATCCACAATATGTATAATGTTTTGTAGTAATTTACACCAAGAAAAAATTTTTAATTGAAAAAAATTGTGTGTATCAGGATTAAAAATAGAGGTCATGAGGCCGGACGTGGTGGCTCACGCCTGTAATCACAGCACTTTGGGAAGCCGAGGAGGGTGGATCACCTGAGGTCAGGAGTTTGAGACCAGCCTGGCCAACATGGTGAAACCCTGTCTCTACTAAAATAAAAAAATTAGCCAGTCGTGGTGGTGCACACCTGTAACCCCAGCTACTCAGGAGGCTGAGGCAGGAGAATCGCTTGAACCCGGGAGGCAGAGGTTGCAGTGAGCCGAGATCGCACTATTGCACTCCAGCCTGGGCAACAAGAGTGAAACTCTGTCTCAAAAACAAAAAAGAGGTCATGAGATGGGAAATCCCTCAACTTCTCATAAGGAATTTATGAGACCTATATTGATCCCATCCACTCCTCCTTACCTTTTTAAATTTTCTATTATTTATGTTTTTACAATTCCACTGGAACCTTTTTTATTTTATTTTTTATTTTTTTGAGATGGAGTCTTGCTTTGTCACCCAGGCTGGAGTGCAGTGGGGCAACTTCTACCTCCTGGGTTCAAGTGATTCTCCTGCCTCAGCCTCTCCAGTAGCTGGGGACTACACGCCCATGCCACCACGCCCAGCTAAATTTTTTTTTTTTTTTTAAGAGTTTCGCTCTTGTTGCCCAGGCTGGAGTGCAATGGCGCGATCTCGGCTCACTGCAACCTCCACCTCCCAGGTTCAAGTGATTCTCCTGCTTCAGTATCCCAAGTAGCTGGGATTACAGGCATGTGCCACCATACCCGGCTAATTTTTTTGTACTTTTGGTAGAGACAGGGTTTCACCATGTTGGCTAGGCTGCTCTCAAACTCCTGACCTCGTGATCCGCCCACCTCGGCCTCCCAAAGTGTTGGGATTACAGGCGTTAACCACTGTGCCTGGCCTAAGTTTTGTATTTTTAGTAGAGACAGGGTTTCACCATGTTGGCCTGGCTGGTCTTGAACTCATGTCTTCAGGTGATCTGCCCGCCTTGGCCTCCCAAAGTGCTGGGGTTACAGGTGTGAGCCACGGCCCTCAGCCAGGAACAGTTTTTAAAATCAAGGAATTACCTCTCCACATGTCAAAGGTTGAACATTCCTCTTGTGATCTGTATACCATCCTCTCTGCTTCTGGAACTTTAAAGTTGTAGTTTTCACTTTTTTTGTTGTTTTGTTTTGAGACAGCGTCTCACTGTGATGCTCAGGCTGGAGTGCAGTGGCGCAATCTTGGCTCATTGCAACCTTCGCCTCCCGGGTTCAAGTCATTCTCCTGCCCCAGCCTCTTGAGTAGCTACAGGTGCGTGCCACTATGCCTGGCTGATTTTTGTATTTTTAGTAGAGGTGGGGTTTTACCATATTAGCCAGGCTGGTCTTGAACCCCTGACCTTAAGTGATCTGCCTGCCTCGGCCTCCCAAAGTGCTGGGATCACAGGTATGAGCCACAACGCCCAGCCTAGTTTCTATGCAATTACTGCTGACTTCTAAATTTATATATCCAGCTAAGACTAATATTTAGAATTTGAGTGATACAGCCAATGAGACAGGAAAATCTGATTGTATCAGTTCCCTGGTTCAAGCTTCTCGTTGGCTTCCCATTCTTCTTAAGGTCCCAAAATGTACTAACAAATTTATGATCTACTTTCTTCCTATCATTCAAATTCTAATATTGGCCTTATTACAGATTAGTTCATATAAAAAGAAGTTACATAAACTAGTATAT
Source organism: Homo sapiens (assembly GCF_000001405.40). Lineage (NCBI taxonomy): Eukaryota > Metazoa > Chordata > Mammalia > Primates > Hominidae > Homo > Homo sapiens. The sequence goes on along the minus strand of NC_000004.12, from coordinate 165,064,722 downwards.
GTAGGCCAAAGAAATCTCTATAGATATATACCAAAAATGTGTGCACGTGTACGGATAGGTGAGGTTACACTAATAATTTTTATTTATATGCCTATTATTTGATTTTTAGTAAGCACGTAAAATTACTAGTATAATAATAAAAAATAGTTACCCAAATGGAAACCAAAAGTGAAATGTGGCCAGGCACAATGGCTCGTGCCTGTAATCCCAGCACTTTAGGGGCGGGTGGTTCGCTTGAGCTCAGGAGTTCGAGACCACCCTGGGCAGCCTGGGTAGAGACCGTCTCTACTAAAAACCCCAAAAAGTTGCCAGGTGTGGTGGTGCAGGCCTGTGGTTCCAGCTATTTGGGAGGCTGAGGTGGGAGGATCGCTTGAGACTGGTGTGGTAGAGGGGCTCGGAGGTTGCAGTGAGCCGAGATCACGCCACTGCACTTCAGCCTGGGTGACAAAGCAAGACCCTGTTTCAAAAAAAAAGTGAAGTGTAATCCTGAAAAGTTTATAACATAATTTATATAGAAAACTAGGTATTAAACAATAGAAGAGGCTGGCCTGGGCGCGGTGGCTCATGCCTGTAATCCCAGAACTTTAGGAGGCTGAGGTGGGCAGATCACCTAAGGTCAGGAATTCGACACCAGCCTGGCCAACATGGTGAAACCCCGTCTCTACTAAAAATACAAAAATTAGCTGGGCGTGGTGGCAGATGCCTGTAATCCCACTCACTAGGGAGGCTGAGGCAGGAGGAATTGCTTCAACCCAGGAGGCGGAGGTTGCAGTGAGCTGAGATCATGCCATTGTACTCCAGCCTGGATGACAACAGCAGTCTCAAAAAAAAAAAAAAAAAAAAAGAGGCACCATGTTTTTTCTTACACTATCTTATTAAAAGAATATATGATATTCATATATATGGTACCTATATCATATATATATGTATATATATACCTGGTTGCCTAGTGGTTAGAAAAGATTTATATATGGATGGGCGCAGTGGCTCACGCCTGTAATCCTAGAGGCTGAAGTGGATGGATCACAAGGTCAGGAGTTCAAGACCAGCCTGGCCAAGATGGTAAAGCCCCATCTCTACTAAAAATACAAAAATTAGCCAGGTGTGGTGGCAGGCAGCTGTAATCCCAGCTACTTGGGAGGCTGAGGCAGAGGATGCCGTGAGAAGAGATCGCACCACTGCACTCTAGCCTGGGCAACAGAGTGAGACTAAAAAAAGAAAAAAAAAAAAGAAAAAAGTGTATATGTATATATATATATGTGTGTGTGTGTATATACATATATATGTATATACACATGTATATATAGCCAATACAGATCCCATTTGATAACAAATATTTAAAGGTGATCCAGTTTGCACTGGGTCCAATTCTAAGGAAATGGACAGTTATTAATATTTATAGCTCAATAGCTAGTTTCTCAAATCTTAAGAAATTTAAAACTAGTCAAAATACACAATTTCACTGAGTTTTAGACGGGAGAGTAGGGATAAATATGTTCATTCAACTGTAAGTGGGCCCAGTCAAACTTCAGGTAGAAGTGGCAGTCATACAGAAACCTTAACTCAGAACATATGGATAAAGGGAAACATTTTTGCTTGTTCTTTTTATTTAAAGCACAAAGAATAGTACATAAAGTAAAACGTCCATCACCTAGACTTGACAATTATCGACATTTTGTCACATTTGCCTTGTTTCTTTCTTTTTTTTTGGCTGGAGCTCTTTAATAGAAATCATAGAAATACAATTTCACCCCTAAATATTTTACTCTGGATAAGAGCATTTCCTCAATCACAATGCTGTCACACCTAGCAGAATTAACAGCTCCCTGTTTTCACCTAACACCCTGCCATACTCACATTTCCCTCGCTGAGTCAGAAATATCTTTTTTTGGGCTGGGCATAGTGGTTCATGCCTATATTCCTAGCACTCTGTTTGGGAGGCCAAGGCAGGAGGGTCACTTGAGGCCAGGAGTTCAAAATGAGCTTGGTCAACGTAGTGAGACCCAGTCTCTACTAAAAAATAAAATAAAATAATAAATAAATAAAAATTGCCTGGATGGGTCGGGCGTGGTGGCTCATGCTGTAATCCCAGTGCTTTGGGAGGTGGAGGAGGGAGTATCACTTGAGCCTAGGAGTTTGAGCCCAAGCTGAGCAACAAAGTGAGACCCTGTCTCTACAAAAAAATTAAAAAATTTAAAGTTAACTGGGTAGCAGGCGCCTGTAATCCCAGCTACTTGGAAGGCTGAGGCAGGAGAATCGCTTGAACCCGGGAGGCAGAGGTTGCAGTGAGCTGAGATCGCGTCATTGCACTCCAGCCTGGGTGACAGAAGCAAAACTCCGTCTCAAAAAAAAAAAAAAAAAAAAGTTAACCGGGCACGGTGGCATGTACATGCCTGAGGTCCCAGCTACTCAGGAGGCTGAGATGGTAGGATTGCTTGATCCTGGGAGGTTCAGGCTGCAGTGAACATGATCCTGTCACTGCACTCCAGCCTGAGTAACAGAGCGAGACCCTATCTCAAAAAAAAAAAATTGGCTAAGTGCGATGGCATGAGCCCACAATCGAAGCTATTTAGAGGCTGAGGTGAGAAGATCCCTTGAGCCCAGGAGTTCAAGGTTATGGTAAGCTATGATTGTGCCACTGCACTCTAGCCTGGGCAACAGGGTGAGACCTCATCTCTGAAAAAATTGAAAAATAAATAAAATAAAGTAGATAAGGGCTGGGTGCAGTGGTTTACATCAGTAATCCCATCATTTTGGGAGGCTGAGGCAGGTGGAACCACTTGAGCTCAGGCGTTCAAGAACAACCTGGGCAATATAGTGAGTCCCTGTCTCTATTTAAAAAAAAAAAAAAAAAAAAAAAAAATATATATATATATATATATATATATATATATATATATATACACACACACACACATATATATAAATTAACTTTGGCGCATACACACACATATATAACTTCACCTTCATAACTTTCATGCAAAATAAAGTATTATGTCCATTTTACGCCCGCGTTTAAGCCCACTACCAGACATTAGCAGAACCTGGATATAAACCCAGATCCTTCTGGTTATGTTAGTGTAGCATCCTAAGAGTTTATACATGGACCTGTGGACATCTCCTTTTTCATAGTCAGAGGGAAAAATAATACCTTATTACTTTCTGTGTAATAAAGCATTCCATTGACAAACCATTTAAGGGTCTGGTTTGTCAGTGATTGAAGGCACCCCCGGACATCTCTTTACCACTGGCTGAGTCATCTTAACTAGGATACTTTGTCTTGAAACTGTTTTCTTGATTTTAAACTCTTTTTTTTTAACAGCACACTGCCTACGTCTCAGAGTTGTTCTGAAAATACTGCAACTCCTGGGACATAGTTAGGGCTCAATATATGTTAGCTGTCTTTATAAGAAAACATTCTGAGTAAATATAGGTATACCATCCTGCCCAGTGATTCATCTTTTAGTCTCTGACATGGTATCTAACGGTAATGTCCATTAGTAACAAGATTTTCCAGTTCTCTCCAGTGTCATAAGTCACTGTATTCCAAAGTACTATGCACAATAGCAAAGAATACAGGAAGAAATAAAAGTTTTGGGAGCAGAAATCTAATGTAGTGAATGCCACCAGTAGGTGGCTTCTGGGGATAACAGAAAAAACTGTCAAAGCCCCACATGTTAAAGGCTAAAAATGCTTACCCTCTCCCTGTGATGCCCACTCCATCCCCTTAAATTGTGCCCTGTGGTTTAACTAAGGGTTACAACCTGCTCCCTGCTTAGTATGTGTCAGGAATAGCACAATCCAACCTTTATACAGAGGAGACAAAATTGGTAAGTTTGTTCTGCTTCATCCCTTGCAAGCTCCATCTGCAGTTTCTGAAAAACAGAAATAATCACCCTTATACTCAGCAATGTGCCAGGTCCATGCACATGATAGGTAACCCCCACGACATTCCTGGGAGGGAGCCATTCTTAGCACTGTTTTATAGATAGTTGTTAGAGCAACATAAAGTTTTCTTCTTGGAAACTGTAAAAGAAAAAAACTAAAGGGATTATATTCATACATATGTTAATACAATAGCCTCTGCATCTTCCATTAAAAAAAAACAAAAAAACAAAAAAAATGACGACAACAACTAGTAAAATAGTTCAGCCTAACAGGTGGGTTTTCATTCACAAACTGTCCCTGTACAGATTCTGAGAGGTTGTGAATCTGGTCCTACATAGAAATAAGGCCGAAGAGGCCCAGTAAAAGTGTCAGTGAAAGTACAGATGTGAGATTTCTCAGCCATGTTATAGAATGAGATCTCACCCATCTCATAGTCCAGGAAAATGCCAATGGCCCTGGCTTTCACCTCTAACAACAGAGGGGTTGGAAAAGCCCCTGGTGCATGATAGCCATCATCTTGCAGCTCAATTCTCCAACATTCCTGCTGGGCTGATGAGGGTCTCCTCGCCTTTGTGGGAAGAGAATCTTTGCAAATGCCAATAGCCCATTCTGACTTATCCCCCACTTCAATCTCCCAGAAATGCCTGCCAGAATGAAAATACGGAAAACCCAGAACAACTGGCTTGACTGTAAATCTTTTTGGGAAACCAGGAACCTTTTGTTTTCTCTTTGTAAATCTCACACGTTTTTTATCTTCAGATACAATCAGGTTAGGGTGTGCTGTTTCAGGGTCTAGAATTATTTCTACTTTAAATTTCTTTATAATTCTCTGCAGAGCAGAATATTGGGGAGGAAAACTGCAGCCATCTCTCTTTAAATGAATTGAAAAGATCGATGGGCTACTCTCATTTTCAGATTCGTAGAAAATTTTAATTTGTGACAGCAATTCCAGTTCAGACAGCTCACTGAGCTCTACTACCTTACTTAACTGGCTTTTGAGTGTGGCACTGTAGTTTGAAAATGCTGTTATGTTTGCACTGAGTTTCTGTTGATTGTCCTTCTCTTCTTCAGCTAATCTGGAGAGAACTGCCTGTTGCTCACGGTCTAAAAACTGGTTGAGGTGCTCAAATTCAGAGGATAATTCCTGCCTTTGGTTTTCCACCATCTCTCTCAGTTCTAAGGGTTTTTTGCTTTGAGTGCTTATTAATTTTTGGAGGTCTGCCAATTGCTTTTTCAGGGGCTGGATGTAACTGCAGAATCTTTTCCTATAATGAATGGCAGCTTTCTCTATGGGCCTCACATGGTGGCCCTGGTGGTCAGGGGGCTGAGTGCACAGCGGACACAACACCATCAGGTCCTCCTTGCAGAAAACGCTCAGGGGCTGGTTGTGTTTCTCGCACAAGGTGGTCTCTTCCTGCTTCCTTTTATTACTCTTGGTGCTCTGGAGTAGCTTGGCAATTTCAATCATCCTTCCCAGCTGGGTGTTGCTCCTGAAGTGCCCCTCTTGACACTGGTGACGACAGACAGGGCAAGGGAACAATTCCTGTAGATCCAGCCAGGACTGTTGGATGCAGGAACGACAGAAGTTGTGCCCACATTCGATGGTGACGGGGTCACTCAGGTAATCCAGACAGATGGAGCACTTAGCTTCTGCTTGGAGTCCGGTCAGAGCTGCTGCCACTGCCATTGGGCTGTCGGTGAAGGTCTCGACCAAGGTGGGCTTTCTTCAAGAGGTTGAGTTCTGTGGGTACTCTTCAGTGAGAAGCAGATATGCTCTTAGATCTCACTGTCCTTCCTGGAGGCAGCTGATGACCTCACTACAGTCCCACTGATTTCTCACATTGGTGGCAGCCCTTGAAGTCCTTTGAATCTTCGGACCCTTTAATTCCAACTGCCAAAAGGAGTCCCACACACAGCCTGCCGGCAGTCACAGCTCAGCCAGACAACTGCTCTTCCAGCCTTTGGCTGCTCAGAGAAAATGATGCCAAGCTAAGCAGCTGTTAGGAAAACAGCTGTTGCCTCAAATCATTGGTTGCTGTGGGTGAGAAGATATTTCTTTCTTAAGAACAAAACAAGATGAAACAAACCTGAATTTATTTCAGGTGGTCCTAACCTCCACCACATTCTAGCCAAACACAAATTATCCTCCCCTAGTCCCAGTCTTTTATTTCCATGCCTTTATTATTGTGCCCTAGCTATTCCACATAGTTGGAACCACAATCCCCACATCCCATCTACTTACCAGTCATCCTAACTGGGGTTGTGGGAACAGCTTAGGCCCTGAGGCATAGAGACCACCCAAATTAAAATACAGCCTTTGTTACCTATATCTGTAACTTGGAGAAATTTGCTTTACATCCCAAATTCTTGGAATCAGGTAAATAATGACAATCTCCCTTTAAACTTTTGTCTTGGTAAGTTATTTCTAGCCTGGGCAATGTAGACTGAGCCCATCTCTACAAAAAATAAAAATAAAAAAATAAAAAAATAAAAAAAAAATTAGTTGGGCATGATGGTGCGCACCTGTAGTCCCAGCCTACTTGGGAGGTTGAGGCAGGAGGAATCCTTGAGCCACAGAGGTCAAGGCTCCAGTGAGCTGTCACTGTGGCACTGCACTCCAGCCTGGGTGACAGAGTGAGACCTTGTCTCTAATTAGAAAAAAACAAAAAGTATTTCTGATGGCTCAAAATCACATCTACCAAATTTACCTTGCTCTTACATCCTTGCTTCTCTACAGTTGAATAGGCCACAGAAGACCTATCTATTTGTGAAATGAAACCCAACGAGATAACACATTGAATATAAACAAAATTTGCGAAAATATTTTCAGTATTTACTACTAAAATGTCATTATGTCTAAATGCAAAATACCTACAAGATAAGAAAATAAAAAGACAAAAACTGAACATATTCCCAATGTATGGGAACATGCTCTCCAAACGAGCATAGAAGCAACAGTTATGTAGACATTCCAACACTGTAGACTGTGAAGTAGAAACAAAGGCTGAGCTTGGTGGCTCAGCCTGTAATCCCAGCACTTTGGGAGGCCGAGGTGGGAGGATCAGTTGAGTTCAGGAGTTTGAGACCAGCCTGGCCAACATGGCAAAACCTTGTCGCTACTAAAAATACAAAAAAAATTAGCCTGGCATGGGGGCACATGCCTGTAATAGCTACTTGGGAGGCTAAGACATGAGAATCGCTTGAACCCAGGAGGCGGCGGTTGCAGTGAGCTGAGATCGCACCACTGCACTCCAGCCTGGGTGACTAGACTGCTATCTCAAAAGCACACAAACAAAAAACAAAAAACAAAAAAATACTTAAAAAGTTTTTCCTTTGACATTGTAATTTGACAATGCTAATCCTATAAAAATGCAGATGACTTGAACAAATATTCAAACATATATACAAATATTTTTGTTGTTGAGACAGGTTCTCTTTTGGTCACTCAGTGCATGATCATGGCTCACTGAAGTCTAATTTCTTGTTATTTTTTCTAGAGGTCTTGCCATGTCACTCAGTCTGATCTCAAACTCCTGAATTCAAGAAATCCTCCTGTCTCACCCTCCCAAAATGCGAGGATTACAGGTGTGAGCCACTGCACCAGGCTGAAAATGTGATTTTCAGTACTAGTTTGAACTTCAAAAAAGAGGAAGCATTGGAAAATGTCTAGTCAGTATTGGCAGAATAAACTATATTACATGTGTGTAACATACATTCTATACAAGGCAGTATCAAGCAGATTTTAAAGCAAAATAATAGCACCAAATATATTGATGCACACAGTATATCCTAGGATAAAAAAAAGCGGGCATCTTCCTACTCCTTCCACCTATTTTTCACTCTGTTCACAGCTATCATCTCTTTCCCTTGGACCAAGGGGCCATCACATTCAGAATTTTGTATTTTAGAAAATGGATTGGCCGGGCGCAGTGGCTCACGCCTATAATCCCAGCACTTTGGGAGGCCAAGGCGGGCAGATGACCTGAGGTCAGGAGTTTGAGACCAGCCTGCCCCAAATGGTGAAACCCCGTCTGTACTAAAAATACAAAAAAATTAGCCGGGCATGGTGGTGGGCACCTATAATCCCAGCTACTTGGGAGGCTGAGGCAAGAGAATGGCTTGAACCTGGGAGGCGGAGGTTGTGGTGAGTCGAGATCACACCATTGCACACCAGCCTGGGCAACAGAGCGAGACTCTGTCTCAAAAAAAAAAAAAAAAAAAAAAAAAAAAAAGAGACAGAGACAGAGAAAGAAAAAGAAAAAGGACATGGTACATAGATTGTCTATTATGTGAGCATGCCCAGAAAGGTTTCGGAAACACTCTATTATCAATCCCTGTGGTCCAAGGCCTCAGTAATAAAAACACACTTTTATCAGACAGCATAGTCCATGGCATCAGAAATTACTCCCAGGATCTAGTGAAGGGACAGTCCTGAAGACAGACCTTTCTTTGGAAAATGCAGGGATCCCTCAGCTCAAGTCTGCTGATTTCACCCTTACTGGAGGGTCTCAGGAATCACTTCTTTAAAAAAAAAAAATCATTTTTATTAACTTATTTATTTTTAATAGAGATGGGATCTTGCTGTATTGCCCAGGCTGATCTTGAACTCCTGGCCTCTCAAAGTGTTGGGATTACAGGTGTGAGCCACCTCGCCAAGCTGAAAATATATATATTTTAAAGAGATGGGGTCTCCCAGCCTGGCCAACATGGTGGAACCCTGTCTCTACTAAAAATACAAAAATTAACTGGGTGTTGATGGGTGTAGATAACTGATGCCTGTAGTCCCAGCTACTCCAGAGGCTGAGGTGGGAAAGTCGCTTGAACCCAGGAGGCAGAGGTTGCAGTGAGCTGAGATCGCACCACTTCATTCCAGCCTGAGCAATACAGTGAGACTCAAAAAAAAAAAAAAAAGGGAGAGAGAGACAGCGTCTCATGTGTTGCCCAGGCTTGTGTTGAACTCTTGGGCTCACGTGATCCACCTGCATCGGCCTCCCAAAGTGCTGAGATTACAGGCGTGAACCACCACGCCTAGCATACTTCTTGATCAAGCATAAATTTCTGGAGCAGAGTGCATTCTCTCGCCCTGAGGCATCTCTGGACAGCTGATCCAGAGTCCTGCAAAGCTCAGGTCCTGCCACTATTTTCTTTCCTTAGCTCCTTCTCTTTGTTCAGATTTCAGGCTTCCCCTCTGGCCTCATCTTCCAGCGTCAAGACTCAGTATCAAACGCCTCTCCTTTGTAAAATGTAGTTATCGCCGGGCACAGTGGCTCACACCTGTAATCCCAGCACTTTGGGAGGCCAAGGTGGGTGGATCACCTGAGGTCGGGAGCTGAGACCAGCCTAACCAACGTGGAGAAACCCTGTCTCTACTAAAAATACAAAACTAGCCCGGCATGGTGGTACATGCCTGTAATCCCAGCTACTCGGGAGGCTGAGGCAGGGGAATCACTTGAACCTGGGACATGGAGGTTGCGGTGAGCCAGGATCGTGCCACTGCACTCCAGCCTGGGCAACAAGAGTGAAACTCCATCGCAAAAAAAAAAAAAAAAAAGTAGTTATCTTACCAGGCACAGTGGCTCACGCGTGTAACATTAGTGCTTTGGGAGGCAGAACTGGGAGGATCGCTTGAGCCCAAGGAATTCAAGACCAGATCTGGGCAGAGTGAGACCCCATTTCTACAAAAAAAAATTTTTTTTTAATGGTTGAGTTTGATTCCTGGTGTTCCCTTATTAACTGTGTGGCCTTGGGGGAGCTACTTAACCCCTCCTGGCCTTAGTCTGTCCTTTGTAAGCAAGCAATAGTGGTTAAATAAAGGGAGATCAAGTCCATAAACAGCCTGATGGGGACCTCAGGGCCTCGGATCAGGGCTCTAACCCTCCACCCCACCCCCAACTCTATACACAAACCATCCCTCACTGCTACATCCTGGAAGGTAATTCCACACTCGCCATCAGACCAGCATTTCTGGGAATGTTCCCAGACAGATATCAGTCACCTCATTTTCTGACTCCTTAGGACAGGGTGGGCTCTCAGCTTAACTTTTTTTAGTAAGCATTTCGGTGACTTAGGACAAAACTAGTAAATAAATCAGGAACCATAATAAATAAATGGCGTGCGTTTTAAAATAACCTTATGCCGCAGGCGCGGTAGTTCATGCCTGCAATCCCAGCACTTTGGGAGGCCGAGGCAGGCGGAACACTTGAGATCAGGGGTTCGAGACCAACCTGGCCAACACGGTGAGACTAAAAATACAAAAATACTAAAAATGGGCCAGGCACGGTGGCTCACACCTATAATCCCAGCACTTTGGGAGGCCACGGCGGGTGGATCACGAGGTCAGAAGATCGAGACCATACTGGCCAACATGGTGAAACCCTGTTTCTACTGAAAATACAAAAAATTAGCTGGGCATGGTGGCACATGCCTGTAGTCCCAGCTACTGGGGAGGCTGAGGCAGGAGAATCACTTGAACCTGGGAGGCGGAGGTTGCAATGAGTCAAGATAGCCACTGCACTCCAGCCTGGGCAACAGAGCAAGACTCTGTCTCAAAAAAAAAAAAAAAAAAAAATACACAAATTATCCTGACTGGTGGAGAGTGCCTGTAATTCCAGCTACTTGGAAGGCACAGGCAGGAGAATTGCTTGACCCCAGGAGGCAGAGGTTGTAGTTAGCCAAGATCACCCCAGTGCACTCCAGCCTGGGTCACAGAGCGTGATTGCGTCTCAAAAAAATAAATGAAAATAAAAACATTAAATAACCTGATGCCGAATTCAGGTTCCCTTGTGAGGTGCAAGCTCCCTCTAGGCACAGAGCAGGTGCTCAAGAGGTCACGGGTTTCACTACACTCCAGCCTCCCGCACCCACGGAATGTCACTTCCCAGCTTACCTGGAGCAGGGGGAGCTCTGCGGCGGTCCTTTATCCGTGCAAAAGGCCACACACTAGATACTAACTAAACACACATGGAAAGTGCAGCTGTGAGGACTCCACCCAGCTAAGACCAGCTTCCACCTGGAAGTGGGAGGGGTAGGGGCAAGAGAGGGTGGGGGAGGCTTCCTCCCTGTAAGCACTTAAGTGTCCTTGGCCTTGATCTAAGAACTTTGGAGTCTTTTTTGTAATAACTGAATAGGGCAGGTTTGCATTTGCTCATGCAAATAACCAGAGCCCACCTTATTTAGATGAGTGAAAAGGAACAGAGAAGTTGAGAAAGACTAAAGGAGATTTCAACCCAGAGCCTGCAACTGGGCTACCTGCTGAAAGATATCCCTTACAAGCCTGAGCAACATGGTGAAACCCTGTCTCTGTGGAAAATACAAAAAATTAGCTGGGTGTGGCGGCAGGCACCTGTAATCCCAGTTATTTGGGAGGCTGAGGCAGGGAGAATTGCTTGAACCCAGGAGGCAGAGGTTGCAGTGAGCCGAGATGGCGCCACTGCACTCCAGCCTGGGCGACAGAGTGAGACTGTCTCAAAAGCAAAACAAAACAAAACAAAACAGGAATCTTGATTTCTCCTGAACTCTGAAGCCAGAAACCTGGCCGTCTCCCAGTCTTCTCCACCTCAATCAATGGAATCTTTGTTCACCTAATATTTGAAGCAGAAAATCAAGAAGACATCTCTGATTTCCCTCATTTCTTTTGCTCCCTACAAATCCACCATCAAGTCCTGGTGTCCTGCCCCACACTGTGTCCCTGAGCTCTGACACACCCTCCTTGGGGACACCTGGGAACCCTCACCTGGTTAGCTGACCCTGGCTGTCCTCCCTCATCCCCCGCCCCTCAGAATCCAGTGCTGTCACCTGGGATGCTAATCTGGGGGCTGTGTTTGGCTTCATGTGTGTCCTGTGAAAGCAGAAGACAGATTGACAACACTGGCCATACACAGATCCTCAAGAAGCCATGAGTCCTAAGGGGCAGGCAGAGAAAGAGTCATCTGTCCAAGAGACCAAAGAGACTGAGGGGCAGCTGTCCGGGGCCCACAGCAGGGTCCCGCTCCTAGGGGATCAGGACAACTGTAAAGGGACTGATAAAAATGCGTGGGAGCATTTCAGAGGAGTATCAGGGGCAAAGGCCAGAGTGGCTCTAATGGGAGACAAGAGATAAACACTCATTATAATTCCCAAAGGTAATCAGCCCAGAGCCTGAAGTCAAAGTAAAAGAACAGATTATTTGGATTAATTTACATTTCTGAGGGTAAGTGATCCTTTCTCAATTCTGTCCCTCCCACCCATTAGCTGATTCCATTTGGTTTTGGCCCCACCATATGATTATAAAGGAAATAATCAAAATATAGCAATTTTTCCTCCAAAGGAGTTTTAATGCCAAAATGAGTGAGAGTTCTGTCTTAAAAATGAAACTGAGTGGCCAGGCATGGTGGCTAACGCCTGTAATCCCAGCACTTTGGGAGGCTGAGGGGGGGCGGATTGCCTGAGCTCAGGAGTTCAAGACCAGCCTGGGCAACACAGCGAAACCCCGTCTCTACTAAAAATACAGAAAATTAGCTGGGCATGGTGGTGCACGCCCATAATCCCAGCTACTCAGGAGGCTGAGACAGGAGAATCCTGGGAGGCGGAGGTTGCAGTGAGCTGAGATCATGCCACTGCACTCCAGCCTGGGCGACAGAGTGAGACTCTATCTCAAAAACAAACAAACAAAAAAGTGAAACTGAATGTTTTCAATCCTCTAAACTATAATAGAGTTTTAATATAGTATATTTTAAATGTTTAATATTTTCTGGGAAAAGAACAAATAAATAGAGATGAAGACCATCAGAGGATTGTAGAGTGCTGTCTTCTGGTTGTCTCTTGACATACTCCCTGTGTGCTCTCAGACACACCCCGGGGACTTACACTACCATTTGTCTGTAGAGGAGACCCAAGCCTATATCTCATCAATAGATTACTAATATCTTTCCCAATTCTAAATGATTTCAGTCATGCTGTGCCATTTATTAGCTCCTCAACCTTGAACAAGTAATTTATAATCTCCTTGAATTTTATTTTTCTCACCTGTAATATGAGGACGTGTGTGCATATATATTTGATCACAGTTGGCCCCTGGCATTGCTTATTAGTATTAAGAAAAGAATACATTGATCTGTAGATCTTGTTTGGAGCCTGAATTAAACAAACTAACTCTAAAACACACAAATTTTGAGACAGCCTGCGGAATTTGAAAGGAGAAAAGATATTTAATGATACTTAAATTACATTTAATTTTTAAAGGGTGATTATGATATTACTGTTACTTTTTTTTTTTTTTTAACTTGAGATGGGGTCTCAGTATATCGCCCAGGCTGGTCTTGAACTCCTGCCTCAAGTGATCCTCCTGTTACTGGAGTGGGTCTCGATCCAGATCCCGAGAGAGGGTTCTTGGATCTTGTGCAAGAAAGAATTCAGGGCGAGTCCATAGAGTAAAGTAAAAGCAAGTTCATTAAGAAAGTAAAGGAATAAAAAATGGCTACTCCATAGACAGAGCACCCCGAGGGCTGCTGGCTGCCCATTTTTATGGTTATTTCTTGATGATATGCTAAACAAGGGGTGGATTATTCATGTCTCCCCTTTTTAGACCATATAGGGTAACTTCCTGATGTTGCCATGGAATTTGTAAACTGTCATGGCACTAATGGGAGTGTAGCAGTGAGGACGACCAGAGGTCACTCTCATCGCCATCTTGGTTTTGGTGGGTTTTGGCCGGCTTCTTTACTGCAAGCTGTTTTATCAGGAACGTCTTTATGACCTCTATCTTGTGCCGACCTCCTATCTCATCCTGTGACTTAGAACAAGTAAGTGTCTGGGAATGCAGCCCTGTAGACTTCAGCCTTATTTTACTCAGCCCCTACTCAAGATGGAGTTGCTCTGGTTCAGACACCTCTGACGCTCCCACCTCAACCTCCCAAAGTGCTGGGATTACAGGCATGAGCCACCACATCTAGCCTATTACTGTTATTTTATTTTATTTCATTTTTTGAGACAGGGTCTCACTTTTGCCAACGAGGCTGGATGTGGTGGTACAAACACCGTTTGCTGCAGCCTCGACTTCCCAGGCTCAAGTGATCCTCCCATTTCAGCCCCCAAAGCAGCTGGGACTACAGGCTATATTACCATTATTTTTAAAAAGATTCTTTATCCTTTAGAGATATATGCTGAAGTATCTTTGGATCAAATGATATGATGTCTTCAAATGATATGATTAGCTTTAAAAGAGTCTAAGTATAGGAGGTCAGGACCAGCATGTATAGATAAAACAAGATTGGCCACATGTACATGACTGTTGAAATTGAGTGATTCAAGAGATCTTTGCTATTCTTTTTATTTGTGCATATTATTGAAATTTCTTTTTATAAAATTGGATTTATGTACTTGGTTTTATCGACAGGACCTCGCTCTGTCACCCAGGCTGGAGTGCAGTGGTGTGATCATGACTCACTGCAGTCTCTACCTCCTGGGCTCAAGTGATCCTCCTGCCTCAGCCACCTGAGTAGCTGGGACTACAGGTGCACACCACCACACCAGGCTAATTTTTTTTCATTTTTCCTAGAGACAGGGGTCTCAGTATACTGCCCAGGCTGGTCTGGAAGTCCTGGTCTCAAGTGAACCTCCTGCCTCAGCCTCCGAATGCTCTGGGATTACAGGCATGAGCCACTCTGCCTGGCTTTGACATTTCTTATAATTAAAAAAAAAAAAAGCAAGTACAATACAAAATAAGAATATATGTAAATATATGGAATATATGGAATTAATATCTATATTATTTTTACACAAACATCATAGTATAAAAATATCTAAACACACAGAATATGAAATCATAATACTATCACCCAAAAATACAGTCAGCCCTCAGTATCTGCCAAGTTCTGCATCCCGGGATTCTTCCCTTTTCTTTTTTCTACACCATCGGGAAATCAAAGTCTGCATCCCAGGATTCAACAATCACTAGTGGAATATTTTCCATCAGCTGAGGCAGAATCCACCCATATTGAGGCAAACTGTAAGGGATTTGAGAATCCGTCTGAATTTTGTTATCCAAGGGAGTCCTGGAGCCAATCCTCTGCAGATACCGAAGGATGATTGTAATCATATTCTAAAGTATGTATATTGAGACATTCTTTTTTTTTTTTTTTTTTTTTTTAGAGAGGGAGTGTCGCTGTGTCACCCAGGCTAGGGTGCAGTGGTGCTATCATTGCTCACTGCAGCCTCAAGCTCTTGGGTTCAAGCAATCCTCCCTCTTCAGCCTCCCAAGTAGCTGGTATTACAGGCATGGACCACCATTCTGGCTAATTTTTTTTAATTATAGAGACAGTCTTGCTAAGTTTTCCAGGCTGGTCTTGAACTCCTGGGCTCAAGAGATCCTCCAGCCTCAGCAGCAGTATATTTTTTCAAAAAGTATATTATAAACCTCTTTCTAGAGAATACATTTAGTACTTTCTCTATATATATTATATATATATAAAATACTCTATTTAGTACCTCTTAGGGTCATACAGCATCATGTAAGTACAGTATAATTTATTAAATTACTCTCAATATTTAGGCTGTTTTAAAATTTTGGGAAAAGTTCCTTGCAACTTCAGCAAGGATTTCCTTCCTTCCTTCCTTTTTCTTTCTTTCTTTCTTTTTTTTTTTTTTTTGAGTTGGAGTTTCATTCTCGTTGCCCAGGCTGGAGTGCAGTGGCGATTCTCCTGCCTCAGCCTCCCAAGTAGCTGGGATTACAGGCATGCACCACCACGGCCGGCTAATTTTTGTATTTTTAGTAGAAACGAGGTTTCTCCATGTTGGTCAGGCTGGTCTTGAACTCTTGAGCTCAGGCAATGTGCCCACCTCGGCCTCCTGAAGTGCTAGGATTACAGGCGTGAGCCACCGCGCCTGGCGTGAGCTACAGTCTCGACACCGCACTCCAGCCTGTGCAACAGAGACCTGTCTCTAAGTTTTATATATAAATAGAATTTACATATAAGGAAGAGACTTCCAAGGCAGCCTTGTTTACCTATGGTCCATTATGCACAACATTCAGTATAATCAGCAGCCCGAAAACCAAACAGACCCAAGGATAAAAAATGCAAATCAATGTTTGGAAGATCTTGAATTTTTGTGTCCAAAGAAATCTGTGTTATTTAATACCAAAATATCCCATTAGCTTTCTACATTCTTCCTGTGTTTCCAAAAAGGCAGGGAGGTGATGGGTGTTTTCCTTGTGTCCTGAATCCTTGTCAGTTAAATGATTTCTCTCAACCAGCTTACACCTGTAGGAAGTAAGCAGTAAGTCTAGATTCCAACCCATGTAATCCAAATAGTTGAATCTAAATAGTTTGCTGTTTTTACAGCTCCAGTCTGCCCAAGTAGAGCGATTTGGGGTGCCCAGCGTGTGAGAGGGAGGAAAAGAGAAAATGGGGCCTGGAGGGATGGGTGGTCATTAAGTGTGGGAGGGAAAAAATGCAGTTAACTTGATAGGAAGAGGGGCCTTCGGGGGCGGGGAGCCAGCAGAGGGCCGGACATGCCATCTTCTCACCTACAGAAATGAAATAGGGCCAGCTAGGCAGCCAGTCTTCCCACTCCCTCTGAGTGTCCTATTTGTATCTTTTCCCCTCCAGGGTCAAAGATCTTTACTTTAAAACACAACACTTTCTTCAGTGCCCTGGGCTGTGTCCTGTGGCATTCCTTTCATTAGTTTCAATTGTTTATAAACAATTACAAGATACTATGTTTCAATTGTTTATAAACAATTACAATTTCAATTAGTTTCAATTGTTTATAAACAATTACAAGATACTATGTTGAGTACAAGATAATATGCTAACT
This sequence comes from Homo sapiens, assembly GCF_000001405.40. Classification (NCBI taxonomy): domain Eukaryota; kingdom Metazoa; phylum Chordata; class Mammalia; order Primates; family Hominidae; genus Homo; species Homo sapiens. Next base: position 165,048,042 of record NC_000004.12, on the reverse strand, counting down.
AAGGCTTTGGTCAAACGATTGGATAGCTTCGGCCTCTGCTTTCACTGAGGAGGGCATTTATAAATCTAGTCACAGGACAGACACTGCAAGAGCCATTTTACTAGGTGTCCTGAGTGTTTTTTTTGTTGTTGTTTGTTTGTTTGTTTTCAGACAGGGTCTCACTCTATTGCCTCACCTGCGTGCTGGAATACGGTGGCACAATTAGGGCTCATTGCAGCCTCTTCCAAATCCCAGTCTCAAGTGATCCCCCGACCTCAGCCTCCTGAGTAGCTGAGACTACAGGCATGGGCCACCATGCCTGGCTAATTTTTTCCATGTTTTTGTAGAGGCAGGGGTCTCACTATGCTGCCCAGGGTGATCTCTCTAACTCCTGGGCTCAAGAGATTTCCCTGTGGCCTCCTAAAGTGTTGAGATTATAGGCATGAACCGTTGCACCCCGCAGTCCTGGGTGTTCTGATACCGCAGAACAGTGGACTACAGGAGCAGATGACAGGCTTACCTCCCCTAGTGTGACCCAGCTTCCTGGGGAAATGGCTAAGATCAAGCTAAGGCCTCACTCTAAGTCAGCGGTAACCAATCTTTTGGCTTCCCTGGGCCACATTGGAAGAATTGTCGTGGGCCACACATAAAATACATTAACACTAACAAACAGCTGATGACCTTAAAAAAAATGCAAAAATGGGCCGGGCACGGTGGCTCACGCCTGTAATCCCAGCACTTTGGGAGGCTGAGGCAGGCAGATCACAAGGTCATGAGTTCAAGACCACCATGACCAACGTGGTGAAACCCCATCTCTACTAAAAATACAAAAATTAGCCGGGTGTGGTGGCAGCATGCCTGTAATCCCAGCCACTCAGGAGGCTGAGGTAGGAGAATCGCTTGAACCTGGGAGGTGGAGGTTGCAGTAAGCAAAGACGCAGAGGACACGGAGGTTGCAGTGAGCTGAGACTGCGCCACTGAACTCCAGCCTGGGTGACAGAGCTAGACTCTCTCAAAAAATAAATAAATAAATGAATGCAAAAAATCTCATGTTTTAAGAAAGTTTACAAATTTATGTTGGGCTGCACTCAAAGCTGTTTTGGGACGCATGCAGCCTGTGGATTGCGGGTTGGACAAGCTTGATCTAAGTAGTGATCATCTGGGTAAAGGAGACTAGAGTTGTACAGCACGTATAACGGTAACTTTGTGCCGTTTTACCAGCATCTCCCCACTCTCCCGCCTCCCAGCCCCTAGTGACTACCATTCTCCCTGCTTCTATGTATTCAATCTTCTTAGATTTCACATATATGTGAGATCACACCATAGTTTTATTTATTTATTTTTTGTTTTGCTTTTGAGACGGAGTCTCGCTCTGTCACTCAGGCTGGAGTGCAGTGGCGTGGTCTCGGCTCACTGCAACCTCTGCCTCCCAGGTTCAAGCGATTCTCCTGCCTCAGTCTCCGGAGTAGCTGGGTCTACAGGCGCATACCACCACGCCTGGCTAATTTTTGTATTTTTAGTAGAGACGGGGTTTCACCATGTTGGCCAGGATGGTCTCGATCTCTTGATCTCGTGATCCACCCTCCTCAGCCTCCCCAAGTGCAGGGATTACAGGCGTGAGGCACCACGCCCAGCCACCATAGTTTTATTTCTGTGTCTGGCTTATTTCATTCAGCCTAATGTCCTCCAGGTCCACCCATGTTGTCACAAATGACAATATCTCCTTTTTTTTTTTTTTTTTTTGGCTGTAAGTTTATTCAGTGCAAAATAATCTTCTCCAATTTTACTGAGGTGGCTGACCACGTCCACGACCAAATCCGCCTCTAAACTGGAATTCGGTTGCTGACCCAGCCCCAGCCTCAGCTTTCTTGTTGGCACCAGGGGGCACAGCACTCCGTCGGTAGGTATCTCTGTCGGCTTCCCCTCTTGTGAGTCTTGCAGGTCTCTCACCCTACAGATCTTTAGGCCGAGGCCTGCCGCTCTCTGGACGGCTGCGGCGTAGAGTGGCAGGCCCAATCTCTTGGGGGTAGATGAAGGTAATCATGGAGATACCTTACCTCATTGGTAAGGTACCAGTAGAAATGTCTCCAGGCCTGGTGGCTCATGCCTGTAATCCCAACATTTTGGGAGGCTGAGGTGGGCAGATCACCTAAGATTGGGAGTTCGAGACCAGCCTGACCAACATGGAGAAACCCCGTCTCTACTAAAAATACAAAATCAGCCGGGCTTGGCGGCCAATGTCTGTAATCCCAGCTACTCCGGAGGCTGAGGCAGGAGAATCGCTTGAACCTGGGAGGTGGAGGTTGTGATGAGCCGAGATCGCGCCACTGCACTCCAGCCTGGGCAACAGAGTGAGACTCCATCTCAAAATAAAGAAATAAATAAAATAAAAATAAATAAATACATAATTTAAAAATCCCATATTTCCATCAATCAGCATTCAACATTCATCAGGATTTCACTAATTCCTGTTTTCTCCTCCCTTTAATTGCTGTCAATGGGGGGAAGTACCCACTCCAACAAATATGGGTATAATCTTAAATAAACTTTATTATATTTAACAAAACAAGCAATGCTTCCTCCTTGGTATCATTTTATACTTAATATGTATTGAAAATTCCCCAAGTGCCTCATAAAATGTCTTTTTGGCTGGGCGCCGTGGCTTATGCCTGTAATCCCAGCACTTTGGGAGGCTGAGTTGGGTGGATCACCTGAGGTCAGGAGTTCAAGACCAGGCTGGGCAACATGGTGAAACCCCATCTCTACTAAAAATACAAAAATTAGCTGGGCGTGGTGGCACGTGCCTGTAATCTCAGCTACTTGGGAGGCTGAGGCAGGAGAATCGCTTGAGCCTGGGAGGCAGAGGTTGCAGTGAGCCTAGATTGTGCCATTGCACTCCAGCCTAGGTGACAGAGCAAGACTCCATCTCAAAATAAAATAAAATAAAAAAATAAAATAAAATAAAATAAAATGTCTTTTTAAAGTTGGTTTGTTCAAATCTGGATTGAAAGAAGTTTTATGTTTTACATTTAGAAATTTTATTGGTTTCAACTAAAAATATATCATTGCCTTGTTGAGGAGAGTAGGTAACTGTCCTGTATTATTTCACACATTTATGTGTCATTTCCTGGGTCACTTAACTTATTCCTTGACCCCCATATTTTCTGTAAACTGAGAGCTAGTTACAAAGGCTTGCTAAATTCAGATTCAACTTTTTTTTTTTTTTTTTTTTTTTTTTGAGAGGGAGTCTCGCTCTGTCACCCAGGCTGGAGTGCAGTGGCGCGATCTCGGCTCACTGCAAGCTCCGCCCCTCGGGTTCACGCCATTCTCCTGCCTCAGCCTCCTGAGTAGCTGGGACTACAGGCGCCCGCCACCACGCCCGGCTAATTTTTTATTGTATTTTTTTAGTAGAGATGGGGTTTCACCGTGTTAGCCAGGATGGTCTCGATCTCCTGACCTCGTGATCAACCCGCCTCAGCCTCCCAAAGTGCTGGGATTACAGGCGTGAGCCACCGCAACAAGAATAATTCATAGATGATGTAGTGTGTAGTTGACTCTTGAACAACATGGGTACAAGCTGAGCAGATCCACTTACACAGATTTTATTCTGCGTCTGCTACCTGAGACCAACTTCTCCTTTTCTTCCTCAGCCTACTCAACGTGAACATGATGAGGATGAAGACCTTTATGATCTACTTCCACTTAATGAATAGTAAATATATTTTTCCTATGATTTCTTTCCTTTTTTCTTTTTTGAGACAAGGTTTCACTCTCTCACCCAGACTGGAGTGCAGTGGCGCAATTATAGTTCACTGCAGCGTTGGCCTCCTGGGCTCAAGTGATCCTCCTGCCTCAGCCTCCCAAGTAGTTGGGACGACAGGTGCTCACCACCATGCCTGGCTAATTTTTAAAATTTTTTGTAGAGGTAGCATCCCACTATGTTGTTCAGGTTGGTCTCAAATTCCTGGGCTCAAGTGACCTCCCATAGTGCTGGGATTACAGGTGTGAGCCTCTGTGTCCAGCCTTCAGCATTTTTTTTTTTTAATTTTTTGCCTTCCTGAGCTGTAAACATCCATTTTTAATAAGGGTTTAACTCTCTCATACCATAAGCAGGGCTTGGTTGCCCTTAATACTGTTACCAGTTTTCTACTTCTGTTCCTCAGTGTATTTGATCCAGGTATCTGCCTTATACAACAGCCTCCTGGTGACCACCTCCCTAATGGGACATGTAGATAAAACCTACTTGACTCACTCCACTGACCTGCACAACCCACAGGGACTGTACACATTTGCTGCAAGGACTACCTCTCATACAGTGTGACCCCACAGAACTCATGTCTGCTTATCCCAAATCCACCAACTAGAATGTCCCTTGGGAAATGCACTGGACCGCAGTAAAGGCCTTGGCCCATTGGTCTCTCTCTCTCTCTGGCTCCTCAACTGCTAGGTGAGCAGCACTGCCCCTGCAGCCTTCTCATCAGCCCTCAACAGTACCATCTTCTCTCATGGACCTGTAATAAAACTGTTTCTGTTATTTAACGTGTTTTTGTTGCGTTGCCTCCTCTGTGTCAAACTCTACCAACACATGGACTTAACTTTTCTCCTGGTCAGGGCTCTCCTACAGAGTGGAGAATAAGACTACAGAGTCTTGGCATGAATAAGCTGGAAATAGGTCCGACAAGAGCCACAAGGGTGTTTGCCAGTATAAACAAGTTTCCTATGAGAGGGACTCCTGGTCACAGATTGGACACTTAGGCATTAGGCCATCCACCAGGATAAAGAAATATCCCATCAAAGGCACCCTGTAAATATCCACTACCAAATCCCCTGGAGTTGAGGTAGGACAGGGCTGGAGCATATAGCCACTCTCTGGAGAAACCCCAAGATCAAATTAGAGGAAATATACTTACTCTCTGAACTTACTCCAGTATTTTTCTTCACTCACTACTTGTCACTGGCTTCCTTGCAATTACAGCTTGACAGTCCCTTCCCCATACACTTTCTCAAGCCATTCACTCTGAAATGAAATTTGATGAGGATGCTATTTCCAAGCCTACTCCCTCAACTGTTTGCTCAGATTCCACATTCTCCAAGATACCTACCCTGACCACCCACTTCACATAGCTAACTCTCCTTCATGCACAGCACTCTCATACAGGTGACATTGACCTACTTTTCCCTGTCACCACAGTATCTGATCAGCATCTAACACACTATAGCAATTCTTTGTGTTTATTATTTTATTGTTTCCTTTCTCCCCTCCAGGAAGTATGCCGCTTAAGGATGGAAACCTTTGTTTCGCTCATCTAATACAATTCCAAATTGAAGGCAGACGTTGAGCATCCCTAATCAAAAAACATGAAATCCAAAATGCTCCATAATCTGAAACATTGAGCGCTGCCATGACACCCAAGTGGAAAATTCCACACCCGACACCTTTGCTTTCTGAGGGTTCAATGTACACAAACTTTGTTTCATGCATATTATTAAAATAATTACCTGCAAGCTATGTGTATAAAATGAATTTTTTGTTTCAAATTGGGTCCCATCCCCAAGATATCTCATTGTGCATAAGCAAATATTCCAAAATCCCCCCCAAAATCAGAAAGCTGAAACACTTCTGGTTCCAAGCATTTTGGATAAGGGATACTAAACTAAGCTTTGATTACTCAGTAAAATAAACAAAGTTCAAACACTAGGGCTATAAAAGATCATAATCCTTTGATTATGAAAAACAGTGGTATCCAAGCATCAAGAATCAGACTGATATCAGACTTGTCAAAACCATCAAGTTTTAAAAATTAAAATGATTCCAAATATTCTCTTTAACTGTCACCTAAATATGAGAAAAGTCATTTGCAAACTAGTTGTCTGCTAAACTTTATAACGCTGCAACATTTGGGTTGATGGCACCCCAAAATGAAAAGATAAAGAGGAAAACAGAGGCTTAAACCAAGAAATAATCCAAGAGCAGAGGTCAATTCCTAGAATGGTAGTGACTGGAAGTGTACTGGCCTAGTGTAGTTGGTCTAGATTGGCAGGTGATATACAGAAAGAAAAAAATTGCTGTTAGAGATTATTTATGGATTGTGCATAGGTAAGTATATGTGCGGAAAGGATTTAAACAAAGTGAAATCCTCATTACCCATAAAAATAAGTCAATTGTTTCAACTGAGACACACGAAAGAACAGAAACAAATTATGAGAAATATGGAGGTAAACAGAAGAATCCACTAAAAAGAAAGGTATGTGGCAAGCATGATATTCAAATAATGTATGCAACTTTAAATAATTTGCTTAACTAAAAAAAAAAATTATAGGCAATTTGAAAACATTTTATTGGACATGTTAAGTAACATAATTCTAAAATATTTTATCTTAGAAATCAAAGCACCTGACAATTGATATTCATAGAATATATGAAAGTGGCATTATGAACATCTTATAGTTGCCAAAAATTTAGGAGAAAAATCGACTCTGGTTTTCAGTGGTAAAACTTAAAGAGTCCAGAAATGAGATTAAATTTACTGGCTAAGTTACCTACAAAAACTGAAACAGACCCATTTACCAGTTCCTTATCTTTCAGAATCTGATACTGAGCAGATTTTAAGAGGTTCGGAATCTGTTCCAGTATAGAAATAAGGCCAAACGGCTTCTGTGAAACAATCGTTAAAAGTATAGAGAATAGACCTATCATTCATATTATAAAAGGAAAGATCACCCAATTCATAGTCCAGAAAAATACCAATTTTACTGGGTTTTACTACTGGCAGAAGCTGGGTTGTCTTAGGACCTGACGCAACATAACCACTCTTCATGTATCGCCCAATTGCCCAGAATCCGCCCAGAACTGATGGCTGATCCTGCCAGTTCCTAAGAAGACAGTCTTGACACACACCCAATATCCATTTAGGTTTGTTTCCCACTTCTACTTCCCAGTAATGTCGGCCAGAACTAAATCTCTGAGAGCCTAGGACAGCAGGGCAGACATAAAATCTCCTTGGGTCATAACAAATGTTTCGTTTTTTTCTTTCATATCGCACAGCTTTTCTATCCTCAGAGACAAGAAGTTGAGGATGTGCTGTGTTGAGATCTAGAATCACATCTACTTGAAATGGCTTGATAATTCTGTCCAAGCCAGAATATTGAGGAGGAAGACTGAAACCATATTTTGTTAATCTAAATGAAAAGAGTTCAGGGCATTTTAGGTTTTGATACTTGTGGTGCATACTCTTAGCTTGTGTCAGTAATTCCAGGTTTGACTGCACAGACTTGCCCTCTACCTCCCTCAGTAGATGTTTTAATGTGGAAACATAATCTGAAAGTTCTACAAGGTTTTCATTTAGTTTTGCTAAAATGTTCATCTCTTCATCTTGTATCTGCCTAAGAATCATCTCTTGTTCATTCTGTAAAAACAATCTTATTTGCTCAAACTCAGAATTTATTTCTTCCCTCTTATATTCTACCTTCTTTTTCAGCTCCACTGATTTGCTGCCTTGCAGAATTATCACTTTTTCAACTCGTTCTATATTATTCCTCAAGGGCTCAAGGCTACCTTCTAGAATTTCTCTGTGATAAGAGGCAGCTTTCTTAATAGGGCAAATGTAGTGCTTCTGGTGTTTAGTGGAGAAACTGCACTGTGTACATAAGATCTCTAGATCTTTAACACAGAAGAGGGTCAGAAACTGGTTGTGTTTTTCACACATGGCATTCTCTTTCTGCCTCTTTCTCTTGCTCCTCCTAATCTGGAGTTGTTTAGCAATTTCAGTCAAATTACGGAGCTGGGGGTTCCTCCTGAAGCTCTTGTATGGAAAGCAAAAACGGCAGACAGGACAGGGAAAGGTATCATCTAGATCCTTCCAGGATACACTGAGGCAGGAGCGACAGAAGTTGTGCCCACAGTTGATGGTCACTGGGTCTTTCAAGTACTCCAGACAGATGGGACAGCTAGACTCCTCTTGGAGGTTCACCAGGGCTGTCACAAACTCCATCGAGCTGCGAACAAAGGTAATGCATAAGGTAACCTCCCTTTGATCAGTCCTGCCTCCGTAGAGCGCAAACCCAGTGAGAAGTGGATACCCCTCCCAGACCTTGTAGATTGATCAGGTTTAGGTTTCACTAGCCTAGCATGCTGGTGGCACCCACTGAAGTCTTGTTTAGTCCACTGCTCCTTAGCTTGGAGGATAATAATATAATAATTCAAAGCTTACAGCTCTATTATACATGAGCCCGTCTGAATCTTTTTTTTTTTTTTTTTTTGAGACGGAGTCTCGCTCTGTCGCCCAGGCCGGACTGCGGACTGCAGTGGCGCAATCTCGGCTCACTGCAAGCTCCGCTTCCCGGGTTCACGCCATTCTCCTGCCTCAGCCTCCCGAGTAGCTGGGACTACAGGCGCCCGCCACCGCGCCCGGCTAATTTTTTGTATTTTTAGTAGAGACGGGGTTTCACCTTGTTAGCCAGGATGGTCTCGATCTCCTGACCTCATGATCCACCCGCCTCGGCCTCCCAAAGTGCTGGGATTACAGGCGTGAGCCACCGCGCCCGGCCGAGCCCGTCTGAATCTAAGTGTAATGATTTTCTTCTTCAATAAACTAGCCACAGGTTATAATACAGCGGTCATCCCTGTGGATGAGAAAAGATTTTTAATTTCAAAATCTCCTGGATTTGGAATCACAATATAATAACTGGTTCAGGCAAGAATCATCACTAACTGTAAAAACTACTGGGTAAAATTTTATGGGGGAATGATATTCACATTCTCAAAATTTTACTCTAGGATTATATTTTAATTACAAAGAGAAAAATAAGTACCTTTATAATGTAGAGAATACCACCTTAACCAATGATGGGGCAAACTGATGACCTGCAATGGGGAGCAAAGCATTACCATCTATAGAGAACTTTTGCAGAATATATATATAAAATAAATAAAATTCTACTATATGTAATTGTGTATTATATATAAAATTCTATTATATATAACATACAATTGCTATTATTTTTTGAGATGGAGTTTCGCTGCCACCCAGGCTGGAGTGCAATGGCACGATCTTGGCTCACTGCAACCTCTGCCTGCCAGGTTCAAGTGATTCTCCAGCCTCAGCCTCCCAAGAAGCTGGGATTAAGGCGCCTACCACCACGCCTGGCTAATTTTCATAGTTTTGGTAGAGACGGGGTTTCATGCTGGCCTCAGACTCCTGACCTCATGTGATCTGCCCTCCTTGGCCTCCCCAAAGTGCTGGAATTACAGGTGTGAGCCACCGCACCTGGCCTATAATATAAAACTATATATAAAAATGTATGTATGTATATATAACAATGAAGAAATCCAAATCATACAAGATTCAACACGAAAATGGTTCTCAACAGCACAAATGACAACAGTGCTGGGAAAAAAAGCAGGCTTTTTTTTTTTTTTTTTTTGAGACAGGGTCTTTCTGTGTCACCCAAGCTAGAGTGCAGTGGTATGACCATGGTTCTTTGCAGCCTCAGCCTGCAGAGTAACCACGACCACAGGCTTGTGCCACCAGGCCCAGCTAATTTTTAAAATATTTTGTAGAGATGGGGGTCTGTGTTGGCCAGGGTGGTTTTGAACAATCCTCCCACCTTGGCCTCCCAAAGTGCTGGGATTATAGGTGTGAGCCACTATGCCCAGCCTGTTTCCTTACATATGAGGGGAAAAAAAATGTAATTCATTCTCTTAGCTTGAATTCTAGACTGGGAAAAAAAAGTTGCAATAAAGTAGATAGTATAGGACAAATTGAAAAAATGGAGTATGTACTATTTATTAGATATTAGTAATACATCAAAGTTAGGCTTCCTGAATTTCCTAACTGCACCATAGCTGCAAAAGAAAATGTCCTCATTCTTAGGAAATACATGCTTAAATATATACTGGTGAAGGGGTCATGATCTTTATAAACACCTCTCTTTTCCTTCGGGTCACCTCACAAATCCTATCTGCTGCTCATCAATCTGACTGCCTCCCACCCCACCCTCTAGTCTCTCACTATCCCATCTCTTTACTTTCATAGAACTCAATCATAATCTGAGATTCTTTTCTTCAGGTATTTGTCTTTTGGCCTTAGCTGGTGAATGAGATAGACTGGAAGTAGGTACTTAGTCTACCTTATTCATAGGGAGGTAGTAGAAAATCAGTAAAGATCTTCAAGAAAGTGAATCATGAACAAGTGGATACATGAATGAATAAAATCCAAAAATAATACAAATAGAGAATAATGTCAATGTTACAAAAGATAAAATTTAGGTTGGGAAACTGTTCAAAATTAAAAGAGAGCTCCACTGCACTCAGCCCATTTCAGAATTATTCTAATATGAATAGAATCATTCATCTTAGATTTAATGAAACAGGAGCTAGGCACATTGGCTCACACCTGTAATCCCAGCACTTTGGGAGGCTGAGGCAAGAAAATTGCTTGAGCCCAGGAGGTGGTGGCTCATGCCTGTAATCTCAGCAATTTGTGAGGCCAAGGCAGGCAGATCACGAGATCAAGAGACGGAGACCATCCTGGCCAACATGGTGAATCCCCATCTCTACTAAAAAATATAAAAACTAGCTGGGCATGGTGGCACATGCCTGTAGTCCCAGCTACTCAGGAGACTGAGGCAGGAGAATTGCTTGAACCCGGGAGGCAGAGGTTGCAGTGAGCCAAGATCCCGCCACTGCACTCCAGCCTGGCAACAAAGCGAGACTTAGCAAAAACAAAACAAAACAAAACAAAAAAAGTATAATGATTTGATAGGCGTATCCAAAGTCCTAATACTAACTGGTGTGACTACTGGTGTGATACTAAATCACTAAGCACGCTATCCGTTTTTTTGTTTGTTTGTTTTGTTTCGTTTTGAGACAGTTTTGCTCTCGTTGCCCAGGCTGGAGTGCAATGGTGCAGTCTCGGCTCACTGCAACCTCCGCCTCCTGGGTTCAAGCGATTCTCCTGACTCAGCCTCAAGTAGCTGGGACTACAGGCACACACCACCACGCCTGGCTAATTTTTGTATTTTTAGTAGAGATGGGGTCTCACCATGTTGGCCAGGCTGGTCTCGAACTCCTGACCTCAGGTGATCCACCCACCTCAGCCTCCCAAAGTGCTGGGAACTGGGATTACAGGCGTAAGCCACTGTGCCCAGTCTTTTTTTTTCTTTTTTCTTTTTTTTTTTTTTTGAGACAGAGTCTCACTCTTGTCTCCCAGGCTGGAATGCGATGGCACGATCTCGGCTCACTGCAACCTCTGCCTCCCAGGTTCAAGCGATTCCCCTGCCTCAGCCTCCCCAGTACCTGGAATTACAGGTGCCTGCCACCATGACCGGCTAATTTTTGTATTTTTAGTAGAGACGGGGTTTCGCCATGTTGGCTGGGCTGGTCTTGAACTCCTGACCTCAAGTGCTCTGCCTGCCTCAGTGTCTCAAAGTGAGACAGATGAGAAAGTCTCTACAGATGTGAGCCACCACGCCCGGCCTAAGCACACCATCTTTTCTTCTATTCACATTAGTGCATAGCCTTGAAAACCTTTATGAAAGTGCTTCATATAGTGTTCTGTTTAACCCACCTGGATGGACATCCACAATTTGTCACTATATCAAATAATCTAATGAGGGGGAAATTAAGATTTTTTAAACTTAAAAAAACAAGCAAACATGTAAGATGATGTAAACAGATATCACACAAATTATTAGGTAGCGGTCTCTAATGAGATGGGTGTTTCACTCCAACATTCACTTACCTACATCTATATGTCATTGATCAACTAACTTAATTTCTCTGAGTTTGTTTCTATTTCAGAAAGCTGAAAGCATTAAATGAAAAAAAAATGTAAGGATGTTACAGTGCCTGACCCAGAACAGATGCTCACCAAGTGGTATTGTGCGGAAGAATGAGCACAGCAGGCCTAAGACTGCCACCCTTAGAAGGTTGCTTGCAAGGCTGCTACTTGGCTCTTGTCTGGCAACTTTGATTTCCAGAATTTATAAGGAACTTATGAGGAAATGGATCCTGCCATTCCCTTATAAGAAGGGCTCACTATTGGTCGGGTGCATGGCTCACACCTGTAATCCCAGTACTTTGGGAGGCCAAGGCGGGCAGATCACCTGAGGTCAGGAGTTCAAGACCAGCCTAGCCAACATGATGAAACCCTGTCTCTACTAAAAATACAAAAACTAGCTGGGTGTGGTGGCACATGCCTGTAATCTCAGCTACTTGGGAGGCTAAGGCAGGAAAATCGCTTGAACCCAGGAGGCGGAGGTTGCAGTGAGCCAAGATAGTACCATTGCACTCCAGTCTGGGCAACAGGAGCAAAACTCTGTCTAAAAAAAAAAAAGAAAGAAAAAAAGAAAAAAGAGTGGCTTACTACACCTACAGTGTTTATACAAACAATGAGGTTTATGATGAATAGCTGCTTTCCTTCTGAGAAACTAGAATTTTGATATAAGCTAGGAAGGAGCCTGCATGATCTCTTCCCAATAAAAATTCCGGAAAGACAAATCTTCAATGAGCATCTTTGGTATGTAACAGTTCACTCATTTATCACTTTGTCTTCAGAGAAACTAAGCAGGTCCTGTGTGACATCACGCAGAGCGGACTTTTGGAAGCTTACGCTTGGTTTCATCCAGACTTCATCCCACACACCATTTTCCTTTGCTGATTTTGCTTTGTATCCTTTCACTATAATAAACCATAATTGTTGGCCAGGCACGGTGGTTCGCATCTGTAATCCCAGCACTTTGGGAGGCTGAGGCAAGAGATCAATTGAGGCCAGACACTCAAGACCAGTCTGGGCAACAGAGCAAGACCTCATCTCTACAAAATTTTATGAAAATCAGCCAGGCATGGTGGCATGTCCCTATAGTGCCAGCACTGAGAAGGCTGGGGTGAGAGGATTCCTTGAGCCCAGGAGTTCAAGGCTTCAGTGAGTCATGATTGTGCCATTATACTCCAGTCTGGGTGACAGAGAGAGATACCTCAAAAAAATTAAGTTATAACCTCAAATAATACTATGCTGACTCCTGTGGTCATTTTAGCAAATCACCAAACCTAGGGGTGGTCTTGGGGATACTAATACAGGTATTATTACAAAATCTTATAAAATTTCCAAGTGAAAAGTGCATTTAGAAATCTAGCCAAACTGCCTACATTTATGTCATTAACTGTCGTAGTATGTATAGTATAGTACTATTTTGGTCTAAAAGCTACTATATCTCTCACTGCTCCTAATTAGAAAAGGTGTTAACTGTTCATAGCAGTAGTCGGGCAGAAAATGTCATGTACATTCCAATTTTGAAGGGACAGTAAGGTATTATTACATCTTAAAAATTATAATATTTTTCAATCATAAGGAATTAAAATAAAATAATAATGTGTCCTTTAACTCTTCCCACCTTCCAATTTAACATTTTCATAAATAACAATGTCATTGCAAAAGCTCCTAATCCTTGTTTTAACACACCATGTTTAATGGATGCTTTGGGGCTGAGTAAATTTGAAAAGGAAGTTTTAAGCATTCTGAACAAAGCTGTACAGCCAATACATTGCAAAATATGACTGGAATTTTTTAAATTATAAGAAAGAACCACATTGCTGTAAAAAAGGGTATTTCATGGACGGGCGCAGTGGCTCACGCCTGTAATCCCAGCACTTTGGGAGGCCGAGGTGGGTGGATCATGAGGTCTGGAGTTCGAGACCAGCCTGACTAACATGGTGAAACCCCGTCTCTACTAACAATACAAAAATTAGCCAGGTGTAGTGGCGTGCGCCTGTAATCCCAGCTCCTCAGAAAGGCTGGGGCAGGAGAATTGCTTGAACCCAGGAGGTGGAGGTTGCAGTGAGCCGAGATCACGCCACTGCACTCCATCCTGGGCGACAGAGTGAGAGTCATCTTAAAAAAAAAAAAAAAGTGTATTTCATTTAAAATAAAAAGGTGCAGGGAACATTCCTGCATAGATCCTGGAACTCAATGGTTCGTCCTTCCCCACACACTCCAGCTTCCCCTAACCCATCTTCCAGACTCAGGCAATGAAGTTTAAAGAACAGCATTATAAGCCACTCTTCTCAGTCCAAGCTATAAACATTAGCCTACTATAGTAACTATCTTCTGATACCTGAAGACAAGGCCCCTGTCTCCCAGCATCTATGGGAGAGTTGGGGCCTGACTTCCTTAAGTGCCAGTGAGCAAACCTGGGTGTGTTTCACATGACCCAACCACCCCTTTCCCACTTTTTGTAATTTTTCACTTCCCTGACTCTACTGAGCGCCAACTCACTACCTTCATTCCCCAGTTCCCCTTTGAAGCACTTGGTCACCTCTGTACAAATCACAGTTGAGTTCTGTTCATGCTGAATTCTCCCTATTGCAATAGTACAGTACTGATTAAAATCTGTCCTTATGACTACCCAGTGTCTGGCTTTATTTTTGACATGCTCTATCCCGTCAATCAATTCCATAACTCTATAGTTTCCAAACACAGATCTAATCCTATAACCTTCCGATTTCCAATGGAATGGCTTTTCTTACTCTTAAGTATTACAAGACTCACCAACATCTGGACTTTACTCTTTTCCTGACTCCACATATCTATCATACTGCAGATTACAGTTGAGATTTTTACATTTATTTTTGTCAACCTTTGGTTAAGGACACTGGAGAGTACAGTTCACGGTCTGAATTCTTCCTTATTTTCCTCACAACTGAATTACCAACTCTGATTCTTATGCTGGTGTACAACGTGTGTTCAATAATTATTAGGCTAATAAATCAAACCTGCAGTAGATTCCCTACTCTCAAAATTCAACCTCTACTGCTTGAGATCTTGTCACATTAAAAAAGAAAAATTCAACCTCTATTACCTTATTTATTTTACTTTTTGAGACAGGATCTCACTCTGTCGCCAAGGCTGGAGTGCAGTGGCGCGATCTCCATTCACTGCAACCTCTGCCTCCAGGCTCAAGCGATCCTCGCACCTCAGCCTCCCGAGTAGCTGGGACCACAGGCACGCCCCACCATGCCCGGATTTTTTTTTTTTTTTTTGTAGAGACAGGGGTCTCACTATGTTGCCCAGGCACGAGCGTGAGCTAGAACTCCTGGGTTCAAGCGATCCTCCCGCATCGGCCTCCTCATGGGGTTACAGGTGTGAGCCACCGCGCCTGGCTCCTACTCTGATTCTTGTGCTGGTTCATAGTGTGGGCTCAGTGAATATAAATCAAACCTGTGGGAGATTCCCAGATCTCAAGATTCAACCTCTATTACTTTAGATGATACGAAACGTAAGTGAGCCTAAACTTTCTCATCCGTAGCAGTTTCCTGACAGCCAGATCCTTGTGAGGACGGAAGGAGACAAAATCCGCCAGAGAAGTGCTGGCGCTGTAGGGTGGGAGGTCCTTCCTTAACGCTCCCACCATAATTTTTGGAGATCACGTGGCCACTTCCCAAACTGGTGTTCAGATCAGAATCTTCTTTAAAGTTCAATCATCGGGGTCCCACTGCCTCCGCGGCGAAAACAGAATCCGGCCGAGCACGGTGGCTCACGCCTGTAACCCCAGCACTTTGGAAGGCCGAGGCGGGCGGACCACCTGAGGTCGGAAGTTCGACACCAGCCTGGCCAACATGGAGAAACCTCGTCTCTACTAAAAATACAAAAATTAGCTGGGTGTGGTGGCGAGCGCCTGTAATCCCAGCTACTCAGGAGGCTGAGACAGGAGAATCGCTTGAATCCGGGAGGCGGAGGTTGCAGTGAGGCGAGATTGCGCCACTGCACTCCAGCGTGGGTGACAGAGCGAGACTCCGTCTCAGAAACAAAAAAAAGGATCCACAGTCTGAGCTCAGTCGTGGACAGGTCGCGACCCCGAGGTTTGGGCACAGCTGATACTCAGGAAGCCCCTGCCCAGTTAAGTAAGCCTCCCGCCAGGCCCTACTGCGCCTTTCCTGCGGCCCTCCCAGCTTACCTGGAGCAGTTGGACCGGCGGCTCAGGCCTGATGCTGTGCAGGACCCATGGAACCCCGCGGGGCGCAGAGCGGAAACCCTCACACAACCCTGGGCGCCTTGGTTTTCGAGTTTTAGGCATACAATTGACCAGCGCGGTGGTTGGCTGCTCCACCGGAAGTGGGCGGGAAAGGCCTGAGCATGCTCAATGCCGCAGGGTGCAGGGAGCGTGAGAAGATTCTGAGGAGAGCCTAGGGCGGTTCCCTCCGTGGTGGGGTCCCTGATGGCTTCAGTGGGTCATTTAAATCACAATGGCAATCTTTTCAGATTTTTCATTCCTATGAGCAACTTTTTTTTTTTCTTTTTTTTTGAGACAGGGTCTGGTGCGGTCTCGGCTCACTGTAGTCTCGACCATCCGGGCTCAAACGATCCTCCCACTTCACAGGCGCGCGCCACCACGCCCAGCTGATTGTTGTATTTTTTGGTGGAGACTGGGTTTCGCCACGTTCCCCGGGCTGGTCTCGAACTCATGGGCTCAAGCGATCCGCCTGCCTCGCTGTGAGCCACCGCGCCCGGCCAGGGTGGTTAGTTTTAAAATGCAAGAGGAATAATCAGCTCTTTGGATCAGTTTGCGTCTCTGGTTGAGAGGCTGCGTAGTTACCACCCTGGAGATTAGGCCCCACCCTACCAACTAAGACTCACCAAGGTCTCGTCTGAGGAATTGATATTTAAAGTAGATTTTAAGGGACGAGTATGAGTTTGTTGGACAAACTTGACGGTAAAATCTTCAAGGCTGAAGGATTAGTCCTTGTGAGGAGCCTCTTAAGTCTTATAACTTGGTAAATGAGACAGTGAAAGAGGCTAATATTTGCAGAAGAAGTCATAGAATCGGCATAGCACTTTTTTATTTATTTATTTATTTTTGAGACGGAGTCTCGCTGTGTTGCCCAGGCTGGAGTGCAGTGGCACGATCTCGGCTCACTGCAAGCTCTGCCTCCCGGGTTCACGCTGTTCTCCTGCCTCAGCCCCCCGAGTGGCTAGGACTACAGGCGCCCGACACCACGCCCAGCTAATTTTTTCTATTTTTTAGTAGAGACGGGGTTTCACTCTGTTAGCCAGGATGGTCTCGATCTCCTGACCTCGTGATCCACCCGTCTCGGCCTCCCAAAGTGCTGGGATTACAGGCGTGAGCCATCGCGCCTGGCCGGCGCACTTTTCTGTTTAAAATGTAGGGCTACTTGGCCAGGCGCGGTGGTTCACACATGCAATCCCAGCACTTTGGGAGGCCAAGGCGGGCGGATCAGCTGAGGTCGGGAGTTCGAGACCAACCTGGCTAAAGTGGCAAAACCCCGTCTCTCTAAAAATACAAAAAATTAGCCGGGCATGGTGGTGCATGCCTGTAATCCCAGCTACTCGGGAGGCTGAGGCAGGAGAAGAGCTTGGACCCGGGAGGCGGAGGTTGCAGTGAGCCAAGATCGGGTCACTGCACTCCAGCCTGGGCAATAGAGTGAGACTCAGTCTCAAAATAAAAATAAAAAATAAATAAATAAAATAACTTAGAGCTACCTTCCCAGAAAAATACCCTCTTGTGATGAAGTCTGAGATTTGATGGAAGAGTGGGAAGTAGGAACAGGGAACAATAAGTGAAATCTTCAAATCTTCACACCTTAGTGCAGAAGATGCAAACAGAGAGGATGATAAAGGCTGTGGTTGGGAGGACACTGATCTGGAGTCTGACCAATGGGATGAAGGAAAGGAAACTCTAAAGGCTTAAGGCTGAATGGGGCCAGATTCCACCATAAAATTAAACCAAAGGCTGGGCGGGTGGCTCACGCCTGTAATCCCAGCACTTTGGAAGACCAAATGGAGAGGATTGCTTGAGGCCCGGAGTTCAAGACCAGCCTGAGTGACAGAGCGAGACTGACTCAAAACAGAAACAGAAAAGATGGATTGTATTGTGCTCCTGCTCTGGATGGAGGACCACGAATCTGTTCTGCAAGGACATAAGGAGCTCATGGTCCTCTGTGTACCCCTGACTAGTGCACACAGGGCATCTCTGAGCCTCTGCTGGGAACAGAATATCTCAGTGAGAATCACCTTAGGGGTACAGGTGAGGGAGACTCAGTAAAAGGCATGGAGCCTTCAGCAGGACCTAAGCTGGGGGTAGCCACATGGGAAAGAACCTTGCTGACTCATGTATTTTAATTTTTAGCAATACTTATGTACTTTAGAAACACATATATTTTAATATATATTTAAAATTTCATATAATTATAAATATTTTTATTGTATTATAGTAGCATGATATGTATATATTATATGTAAATATTTTACATGATATGTATATATTACCTATAAAAATTACGTATTTTATTTAATGAAAATTAAAATTTTTCTTATGGTATTATGTTAACATATGTATGTACACATAAACATGTGCAGTTCACTTTTTAACTCTTAAATCTTCAATGAGGAAGTTCTTTTATCATATGGGAATTGAAGAATTATACTTCTTGGAAGGAGCTTCACGCCAATTTACTTGTGGTCCCTCTAATTTTGTCAAAGGTGCTCTCTGTAAACAGAATATCTATCATTACAGTCAGCAGAAACATGAGAAACAAAAAAAATCTTTGGAATATCTTGAATTTGTGCCACATAAAACTCCTATTAAAAAATCTATATTCGTATTTATCCTTACATTAAATTAAAAGACATTGAGAGGCACTATTAGCAATCATTTTTGTATAATCATCAGACATCTACCTTTCCAAATTGAATTATAATATTTGATAAAAATATGTGCTTGAAATTAGAACCTAGTTAGGTGACTATTTTGTATTTGATTAGTTTGACTTTTAAATCTACATAGATCCCCAAGTTTCTCCTGCACGTTTTTATTTTCTTGCTTTTCTTGGTTGAAGAAACATGGTGGATATTCCTGTAGTTGCCAAGAGTTTGGATTTTACTAATTGATCTCTTTTTTTTTTTTTTTTTGAGACAGAGTTTCATTCTTGTTGCCCAGGCTGGAGTGCAATCGGCTCACTGCAAACTCCACCTTCTGGGTTCAAGCAATTCTTCTGCCTCAGCCTCCTGAGTAGCTGGGATTACAGGTATGCACCAGCACGCCTGGCTAATATTTTTTGTTTGTTTGTTTGTTTTAGTAGAGAAGGGGTTTCTCCATGTTGGTCAGGCTGGTCTCGAACTCCCGACCTCAGGTGATCCGCCCGCCTTGGCCTCCCAAAGTGCTGGGATTACAGGCATGAGCCACTGCACCCGGCCTGGCTTTTACTAATTGACTGCTGAGATGGTCCTTAGTAGTTTTCTCTGTCCCTGCATATCTTCTAATAGGTTATTTGACAGAGAGGCTTCTTTACATTTGAGTTCAGTTTTTTTTGGTGAAACTATTTCTCAGTGTTGTGTTCTTTCTTCAGGAGGACTATAATGTCTGTTTTACTCACTTTTTATGATGTTAGTTAACACGGTGATTTGCCTAAATCTATTAATAAATTTGGGGTTGCAAAGTTGTGATGGTTTTGTCTTCTAAATCATTTTCATTATTAGTGAAATATAGCTTTAGTAGTAACTTTTCTTATCTTTTGAAAAACCTGAAGTACTGTTCACGTCAGGAAGGAAAAAAATCTGCTTGATTGAACATCCTTTTAAACTGGGACTATCGTCTTGTCCACAGAAACAATAAAGTACCTTGCTCTTGGAGCTCTTTTCTTACCTAAAGTACTCCACAGTCAACCTTCAACTGGGGCGGACTGCTGAATACAGGAGGAGAGGGTGACAGGATGATCAATAATTGGTTGGGGTCAGTGGCTCTTGAAGCTTCTTCAGAGCCTGCAGGGAAGGAGGCAAGAGTAATCTTGAGGAGGCAGTGTCTTTAGATACCTCTAAAGATACTCCCCATCTGCCATTTCATCCATTTCACTTTCCATGATTTCAGTTACATGAGGTCAACCATGGTCTGAAAATATTAAATAGAAAGTTCCTAAATATAAGTTTTAAGTGGCTTGTCTTTTTTTTTTTGTATTTTTAGTAGAGACAGGGTTTCACTATGTTGGCCACACTGGTCTCAAACTCCCAACCTCAGGTGATTCGCCTGCTTTGGCCTCCGAAAGTGCTGGGATTACAGATATGAGCCACCGTGCCCGGCCGGCTTGTCACTTTTGAGTAGCATGATGAAATTTCCTGCCATCCTGCTCCATGCTGCCCAGGACAAAATCACCCCTTCATTCAGTGTATCCATGCTGCAGATGTTCCCCACCCATGAGTCACTTCCTGGCTATCTCAACCTAACCGTCACAATATCACAGTACTTGGATTCAAGTAACCCTTATCTTATTTAATAATGGCCCCAGTGTGCAAAAGTAGTGATGCTGGCAATTGATATATGCCAAAGAGAAGCCTTAAAGTGCTTCCTTTAAATGAAAAGATGAAAGTTCTCCATTTAATAAATGAAGAAAAAATCAAATGCCGAAGTTGCTAAGATTTGCAGTACAATGAGAGATTTGGAGAGAAAGACCACATTCACATAACTTTTATTGAATGTATTGTTATATTGTTCTATTTTATTATTATTGTTGCTAAGCTCTTACTGTGTCCAATTTATAAATTGAACTTTTTTTCTTTCTTTTTGTTTTTTGTTTTTTTGAGTCTCACTCTGTCGCCCAGGCTGGAGTGCAATGGCGCGATCACAGCTTACCGCAACCTCCGCCTCCCAGATCCAAGCGATTCTCCTGCCTCAGCCTCCTGAGTAGCTGGGTTTACAGGTGCCTGCCACCACACCCAACTAATTTTTGTGTTTTTAGTAGAGACGAGGTTTCCCCATGTTGGCCTCAAACTCTGGTCTCAAACTCTGACCTCAGGTGATCCACCTGCCTTGGCCTCCCAAAGTGCTGGGATTACAGGCATGAGCCACCGCGCCCAGCCAAATTTTTTCATAGGTAAGTATGAATAGGGAAAAACATAGTGTGCATATATAGGATTTGATACTATCCTCAGTTTGGGTGTCTTGAGACATATCCTCTGTGGCTAAATGGGGGCTACTGGCTTTCAGGAAGAAGAAGGAGAATTGAGGAGTCATCAGCTTCTAATTTTTTTTGGCTCCTAGAGAACAAGCCTTTCTAAGGGAGATTCCTAAGGCAGAAACTCTCATGGCACAATGGCCTTTGCAGCCTCCCTGGCTGCCCCATCTGCCTGGATTATCTTACAGACCCAGTCTCCACTCACTGTGGGCACCACTTCTGTGGCTCCTGCATCCACCAGGGCTGCAAAGACCTACAGGACGTCCTCCCTTGTCCTGTCTGCCTCCACCACTGCCCTGACAGGAACCTCAAGAGCAACATGCAATTGCACCACATGACTGATATTGTCCAGCAGCTTCCCACCATGAGGAACAAGAGGAAAGGGCAGGAAGAGGAGCCCCTGTCTGAGAAACACAGTCAGGGTCTGGCCCTGTTCCTTGAGAAGGGCCTGGAGCCTTTCTGTCCTTGGTGCAGGGTCTCTGACCACCAGGATCAGCCCCTGATGCCCACTGAGGAAGCTGCAGCTATGCATGGGAGGAAGTTCAAAAGCTACCTTGAGCCTCTGAAAAAGCAAGCTGAAGTTGCTGAAATGGGGTGTGAAATGCACATTTCAGAAACTTTTGAAGTGATGGGGAAGGCGGAAAAGTGGAGGAGGGACATATTCTTTGAATTTGAACAATTAAAGTATTTCTTGAGAAAAGAGCACATTGTAAGTTGTGCCAGGCTTCTTATTGAAGAGAAGGATGTTGGGAAAAACAAAACAGGCCTGGCGTCTGTAATCCCAGCACTTTGGGAGGCCGAGGCGGGCGGATCACCTGAGGTTGGGAGTTCGAGACCAGCCTGACCAACATGGAAAAACCCCGTCTCTACTAAAAATACAAAATTAGCAGGGTGTGGTGGTGCATGCCTGTAATCCCACTGTAATCCCAGCTACTCGGGAGGCCAAGGCAGGAGAATCGCTTGAACCCGGGAGGCGGAGGTTGCAGTGAGCCGAGATCATGCCGTTGCACTCCAGCCTGGGCAAGAAGAGCGAAACTCTGTCTCAAAAAACAAAACAAAACAAAACAAAAAACCCCAACCAACTGAAAACAAAAGCCAAGTTTCAGACCATATTTTCACAGTAAAAAATATGCTTTGTGTCTGGGCAGGATGTTGGGTGACCATAGTCCCAGCTACTCAGAAGGCTGAGGCGGGAGGGTCATTTGAGCACAGGAATTAGAGCCCAGCCTAGGCAATTTAGAAAGACCCTGTCCCCCACCCTCCAAAAATGCTTTATGAAATAACAGGGAAGTATTTGCAAGCTTACCCAGGGTTTCTGAGAGGTACTGAAAGTATCCATAGTAGGTATGAAAATCTGAAGACCCCTGCAGTGTTGTTCTATGACATAATGAATGAGCCGGGCATGGTGGCTCACACCTGTAATCTCAGCACTTTGGGAGGCCGAGGCGGGTGGATCACGTGAGGTCAGGAGTTCAAGACCAGCCTGGCCAACATGGCGAAACCCCGTCTCTACTAAAAATACAAAAAATTAGCCAGGCATGGTGGGGGACACTTGTAGCCCCAGCTACTTGGGAGGCTGAGGCAGGAGAATCGCTTGAACCTGGGAGGCGGAGGTTGCAGTGAGCTGAGATTGCACCATTGCACTCCAGCCTGGGTGACAGAGTGAGACGCTGTTTCAAATAAATAAATAAATAAACAAAATTTACATCTGAGCAAAGACTTGAAGAAAAAGTGAGAGGATTCTAGGCAAAAACTTGAGAGAAACATGGTCCACCCAGAGGGAGCAACGAAGAGCAAAGCTCTTCAGACTGAAGCCTGTGTGGCCTATTAGAGACCTGGGAAGGAGACCTCAAGGCTATTGAAGAGCAATCGAGGGAAAGAGACACAGCTGAGCTGAAGAGGTAGTGGGGACCAAATTGTACTGCCTGGGAGACTGCTGTAGTGAGGTGGACATTTGTTCTGATCCTCTTTTTCTCTTGCATAAATTATACATGTGCTACTTTTATAATTACTAAATCATTGTCATTGTTTACAATCTTTTCATAAGCTAGCACTTATCAAAAATGAACTGTGGGCCGGGCGCGGTTGCTCACGCCTGTAATCCCAGCACTTTGGGAGGCCGAGGCGGGCAGATCATGAGGTCAGAGATGGAGACCATCCTAGCTAACACGGCGAAACCCTGTCTCTACTAAAAATACAAAAAAATTAGACGGGGGTGGTGGCAGATGCCTGTAGTCCCAGCTACTCTGGAGGCTGAGGAAGGAGAATGGAGAATGGCGTGAATCCGGGAAGCGGAGCTTGCAGTGAGCCGAGATCGCG
Source organism: Homo sapiens (assembly GCF_000001405.40). NCBI lineage: Eukaryota > Metazoa > Chordata > Mammalia > Primates > Hominidae > Homo > Homo sapiens. Next base: position 165,024,785 of record NC_000004.12, on the reverse strand, counting down.
CCACTGCACTCCAGCCTGGGTGACAGAGCTGCACTCCAGCCTGGGTGACAGAGCTACACTCCGTCTCAAAAAAAAAAAAAAAAAAAAAAAAAAAGAACTGTATAATTTAGAAGAGAGGTAAGGTAGGAAAAATTAACATGGCGCAGATGAAAGTTTCCAAGACAACTGTGGTGGTGAACTCCTTTGATGTGTCTTTCCTGATGATAACTGATTTTAAGGATACATTCTCAAAATGATGAAATGTTTAGAGTACCTAAAAATTTACCTTATGCCTTGAATCCCTTCCCACCCCTTTTAGATGTGTGTGGACAAAAAGTGTTGTAACCTGTACTTACCCCATGGGACATGTTCTCTAGACTGTCAGTCATCCTAGAGACCTGCACAGCTACTTACTCACACAGCTACTTTGCTCTAAAAAGAGAAGTCAATGGCAGAGCTCCCAATCATATATACTTGTGGGTTTGAATCTACTACCTGCTAGGTTGATCTCACGCCTGGCTGGAAATGACTAAAATATTAACACTGTGAAGATTAGTGAGCCAATACAGAGTAAGTACTTAAAACAGTGCCTGCCCCAAAGTAAGAACAAAATATATGTTATCGAAACATTTTATTTGTTGGTGTGTGTGTGTGTGGGTGTGTGTGTGTGTGTGTAGAGACAGGGTCTTGCCATCTTGCCTAGGTTGGTCTTGCCATCAGGCGATCCTCCTGACATCAGGCGATCCTCACGCTTCAGCTTCCCAAAGTGTTGGGATTACAGGCATGAGCCATTGCTCCCAGCCCAAAATACACATTAGTTATCACTTTTTTTTTTTTTTTTTTTTGAGACGGAGTCTCACTCTGTCATCCAGGCTGGAGTGCAGTGGTGTGATCTTGGCTCATTGCAGCCTCCGCCTCCTGGGTTCAAGCAATTCTCCTGCCACAGCCTCTTGAGTAGCTGGGATTACAGGCGCCTACCACCACACCCGGCTAATTTTTGCATGTTAGTAGAGATGGGGTTTCATCATGTTGGCCGAGCTGGTCTCAAACTCCTGGCCTCAAGTGATCTGCCTGCCTTGGTCTCGCAAAATCCTGGGATCATAAGTGTGAGCCACTGTGCCCAGCCAAGTTACTACTATTTTGAATGCTGAAAATTTCCTTCGCTTCTATTGTGGCACAGAAAGTAAATCATACAGAAACCTGATTATACTACCCATAACAGTGTGTTAACAAACAAACAAACTTTGTTTGTTAACAAAGAAAAAACAAAAAGTAAGACCACAGTTACTTCCAGATTAAATATATCTTCTGGTCCAAGAAAACGAAATTATTGCCTCTTTCTCCGTCCCTCTCAAAAAGAGATGATTTGTCATTTTCTTCTATCACTGATCTAAAACTATTTTCTACTTTTATAATGATCTGGTGTCCAAGGGCATTGAAACAGTTTGTCTAAATTTAGTTTTCTTGATCTCTCAGCAATTTGATATTGCTGACTGGTCTCAGACTGTACCTTGTCGGTTTGTTTAAGATATTACTACTTTTTCCCCATTCAGTATCCTTAGATGGGAGTGATTCCCAGGTTTCTTTCTCTGGCTCTCCTTTCAGGTGACATCATTGGCTCTTTGTCCTAGACAGAACAGGCTCCACCAGATAGTTCACGCTTCATGACACTGCGCTGATATTCAAGGGAGACTTTGCTGGGGGGAACTCATTTAGGCTTTCCCATGAGTTTAGAGTCCCTGCTATCAGAAAACTGCACCCTGGTGCAATGGCTCATGTCTGTAATCCCAGCACTTTTGGGAGGCCAAGGTGGGAGGATCACTTGAACCCAGGAATTTGAGACCAGCCTGGACAACATGGCCAGACCCCATTTCTACCAAAAATGCAAAAATTAGCCTGATGTGGGGCCGGGCACGGTGGCTCACGCCTGTAATCCCAGCACTTTGGGAGGCCGAGGCAGGCAGATCACGAGATCAGGAGATTGAGACCATCCTGGCTAACACGGTGAAACCTCGTCTCTACTAAAAATACAGAAAAAAATTAGCCGGGCATGGTGGCGGGCACCTGTAGTCCCAGTTACTTGGGAGGCTGAGGCAGGAGAATGGCGTGAACCCAGGAGGTGAAGCTTGCAGTGAGCCAAGATTGTGCCACCGCACTCCAGCCTGGGCAACAGAGCGAGACTCCGTCTCAAAAAAAAAAAAAAAAAAGAAAAGAAAATTAGCCTCGTGTGATCCTGCATGCCTGCAGTCCCAGCTATTTGGGAGGCTGAGATGGGAGGATCACTTGGGCCCAGGAGGTGGAGGTTGCAGTGAGCAGAGATGGTGCTACTGCACTCCAGCCTGGGTGACAGAGTGAGACCTTGTCTCAAAAATAATAATAATAATAATAATAAAGAGAAAACTGACAGTCCAGAGAATAGAGGTAGCAAACTCTATGGTTTTTTGACTAACTACAGGTGTTATATCTGTCCTATAAGGGAGTAGGAAAAAGGTTTTCATCTGGTCAACAACACTAAAATTGGGGTTCTAATGAATATCATCTCATAGAAGTAGAATGGATCCCCATCCAAAATTTGGTTCAGATATTGAGACTGATGATGCCACACACACCCCAAAAGAGTATGTAAAAAAATCTAACTGTCTGATTAGGCTTTTAGGGAGGAGTAGGACAGGTTTTTCTATCTGGCTTGAAATGGCTTGCGAGCAGGGAAACCAGCTGGTGGTTTTTATTTTATTTACAGGGTGGGGGTGAAACTGAGTGTTTCCATGTGTGTGAAGGGGCTTGTGTGGATTGACTGCTCACCTTCACCAAGAGAGAGCACCTGAGTTTTCCTATTATGGTGCTCAGATGTGGGGCAGAAGGGAAAAGACAAAGAGTGGTAAAATTTAAAAGCTGGCAGCAGTCACACATCATAGGATGTATTCAGATTCTTTTTTTTTTTTTGAGACTGAGTCTTGCTCTATCGCCCAGGCTAGAGTGCAGTGGCGCAATCAGTGAATCCTCTGTCTCCTGAGTTCTGATTCTCCTGCCTCAGCCTCCCGAGTAGCTGGGACTACAGGCATGTGCCGCCATGCCTGGCTAATTTTTTTATTTTTAGTAGAGACGGGGTTTCACCACGTTGGCCAGGCTGGTCTCGAACTATTGACCTCAGGTGATCCACCTGCCCCCATCTCTCAATCTGCTGGGATTACAGGCATGAGCCACTGTGCCTGGCTGGGGTTCTCTATTCTAATCATAGAAATGTGTTTGTTGAGACACTAAAACATTATGATATAGATGAACTTGATATAATACACAGTGTCACCATAGGATACTGTGAAAAGCAAATTGCCCTCTCATCCCACACCCAGGTTTCTCTCCAGAGTTGCCATTCATAAGTTTCTTCCATATCATTCCGGGAAAATCTTATGGATATATCAGTATACAAGCAAAGAAACCCTTTTCAGTTTGTTTTCACACCAATGGGAGCAAGTTATATTCAGCGTTCTGCATTTTATTTTACTTCCCACCTGTGCCAGAGGGAGGAATCCTGGCTTATCAGCCAGCCTGGATGTGGAGCAGAAGAAGAGAGAGGGGTGAGGATTAAAAGTTGTCAGCAAACATCAAAAATGGAGTCACACTCTTTATTAGAAGTACCCGCCAAGAATAAAGCAAGAGAATATATCATACTCTACAGTCTTTCAGGTACGATACCATTGATCTTTGACTATTTTGATTGTAAGAGATGTTGAAAAAGGTTGAAAGCAGAAATAAAGCATACATTTTTCTATCAACATGTCAGTCAGTGAAAACAAGTATGATCCATTATTCAAATTAGAAAATAAACTACAAAATGAACCCTCTACTCTCCCTCTCCCTCTCCCGCTCCCCATGGTCTCCCTCTGATGCCGAGCCGAAGCTGGACTGTACTGCTGCCATATCGGCTCACTGCAACCTCCCTGCCTGATTCTCCTGCCTCAGCCTGCCGAGTGCCTGCGACTGCAGGCGCGCGCCGCCACGCCTGACTGGTTTTCGTATTTTTTTGGTGGAGACGAGGTTTCGCTGTGTTGGCCGGGCTGGTCTCCAGCTCCTAACCGCCAGTGATCCGCCAGCCTCGGCCTCCCGAGGTGCCGGGATTGCAGACGGAGTCTCGTTCACGCAGTGCTCAATGGTGCCCAGGCTGGAGTGCAGTGGCGTGATCTCGGCTCGCTACAACCTCCACCTCCCAGCCGCCTGCCTTGGTCTCCCAAAGTGCCGAGATTGCAGCCTCTGCCCGGCCGCTACCCCGTCTGGGAAGTGAGGAGCGTCTCTGCCTGGCCGCCCATCGTCTGGGACGTGAGGAGCCCCTCTGCCTGGCTGCCCAGTCTGGAAAGTGAGTAGCGTCTCTGCCCGGCCGCCATCCCATCTAGGAAGTGAGGAGCGCCTCTTCCCGGCAGCCATCCCATCTAGGAAGTGAGGAGCGCCTCTTCCCGGCCGCCATCCCATCTAGGAAGTGAGGAGTGTCTCTGCCCGGCCGCCCATCGTCTGAGATGTGGGGAGCGCCTCTGCCCCGCCGCCCCGGCTGGGATGTGAGGAGCGCCTCTACCCGGCTGCGACCCCGTCTGGGAGGTGAGGAGCGTCTCTGCCCGGCCGCCCCGTCTGAGAAGAGAGGAGACCCTCCGCCTGGCAGCCACCCCGTCTGGGAAGTGAGGAGTGTCTCCGCCCGGCAGCCACCCCGTCCGGGAGGGAGGTGGGGGTCAGCCCCCGCCAGGCCAGCCGCCCTGTCCGGGAGGTGAGGGGCGCCTCTGCCCGGCAGCCCCTACTGGGAAGTGAGGAGCCCCTCTGCCCGGCCAGCCGCCCCGTCCGGGAGGGAGGTGGGGGTCAGCCCCCGCCAGGCCAGCCGCCCTGTCCGGGAGGTGAGGGGCGCCTCTGCCCGGCAGCCCCTACTGGGAAGTGAGGAGCCCCCCGCCCGGCCAGCCGCCCCGTCCGGGAGGGAGGTGGGGGGGTCAGCCCCCCGCCCGGCCAGCCGCCCCGCCCGGGAGGTGAGGGGCGCCTCTGCCCGGCCGCCCCTACTGGGAAGTGAGGAGCCCCTCTGCCCGGCCACCACCCCGTCTGGGAGGTGTGCCCAGCGGCTCATTGAGAACGGGCCATGATGACAATGGCGGTTTTGTGGAGTAGAAAGGGGGGAAAGGTGGGGAAAAGATTGAGAAATCGGATGGTTGCCGTGTCTGTGTAGAGAGAGGTAGACATGGGAGACTTTTCATTTTGCTCTCTACTAAGAAAAATCTTTATCCTGTTGATCTGTGACCTTACCCCCAACCCTGTGCTCTCTGAAACATGTGCTGTGTCCACTCAGGGTTAAATGGATTAAGGGCGATGCAAGATGTGCTTTGTTAAACAGATGCTTAAAGGCAGCATGCTCGTTAAGAGTCATCACCACTCCCTAATCTCAAGTACCCAGGGACACAAACACTGCGGAAGGCCGCAGGGTCCTCTGCCTAGGAAAACCAGAGACCTTTGTTCACTTGTTTATCTGCTGACCTTCCCCCCACTATTGTCCTATGACCCTGCCAAATCCCCCTCTGCGAGAAACACCCAAGAATGAACAATAAAAAAAAAAAAAAAAAAAAAAAGTTAAAACAGAGGATACTAGAGGCTGGAAAGTATAAGAGGAAGGGAGGGATAGGGAGAGATTTGTTAAAAGATTGAAAATTAAAGCTAGATAGGAGGAATAAGTTCTAATGCTCTATACCATTATGGTATGACAATAGTTAATAATATATAGCTTCAAATAGTTAGCAAAGGATATTGAATGTTCCCAAAACAAAGAAATGATAAATGTTTGCAATGATGGATATGCTAATTACCATCACCTCATCAGGGTAATTAAATATATACACTATGAGTATTGAAACATCACTATGTACCCATAAATATGCACAATTATTATGTGCCAATTAAAAAATAAAATAAAACAAAATTATGATAATAAAAGCTTCATATTTGTGGTGTAGAAAAAAAAAATGAACCCTCTACCAACTCATTGGTCAGAGAAAGCCCAATCTGTTTGCCTGGGGCTAGATCCCATATGCTGCTTGTTTCAGTAAGTTGCTGGAATTGCCAACATCCATTCTTTTTTTTTGTTTTTTTGAGACGGAGTTTCGCTCTTGTTGCCAAGGCTGGAGTGCAGTGGTATGATCTCAGCTCACTGCAACCTCTGTCTCCTGGGTTCAAGCCATTCTCCTGCCTCAGCCTCCCAAGTAGCTGGGACTACAGGCACGCACCACCATGCCTGGCTAATTTTTGTGTTTTTATTAGAGATGGGGTTTTACCATGTTGGTCAGGCCGGTCTGGAACTCCTGACCTCAAAGTGATCCACCCGCCTCAGCCTCCCACGGTGCTGGGATTACAGGTGTGAGCCACTGCACCTGGCGCCAACATCCAATCTTGGTGATGGTGCTGTGTGAGCCTTTCTGAATAAAGACTCTTTACACACACCAAAGGATCATACAGCTGTGCCTCTTTATTCTACCTGCCAGAATTCCTGCCAGTATTAAATCCCTCAGACCCAAGACTGTGGAGAGTAAATAGCTTTGAAATTATTAGTACAGTTAAGATTCCTTGCTGCAGATGTCACACTTTCTCTATTTTCAAGAATAATAAATTTAGGGTGGGCTGGGCATGGTGGCTCATGCCAGTAGTCCCAGCACTTTGAGAGGCTGAGGCAGGAGGAATACTTGAGGCCACGAGTTTGAGACTAACCTGAGCAATGTGGCAAAACCTTATCTCTACGAAGATACATGCACGTGTATATTCACTGCAGCACTATTCACAATAGCAAAGACATGGAACCAACCCAAATGCCCATCCATGGTAGACTGGAGAAAGAAAATGTGGTACATATACACCATGGAATACTATGCAGCCATAAAAAGAACGAGATCATGTTCTTTGCAGGGACATGGATGGAGCAGGAAGCCATTATCCTGAGCAAACCAATGCAGGAACAGAAAACCAAACACCTCATGTTCTCACTTATAAGGGGGAACTGAACAATGAGAACACAGGGACACAGGGAGGGGAACAATACACACTGGGGCCTGGAAGCCAGTGGGGTAGGGAAAGGAAGAGCATTAGGACAAATAGCTAATGCATGCTGGGCTTAATACCTAGGTGATGGGTTGATAGGTGCAGCAAACCACCATGGCACATGTTTACCTATGTAGCAAACCTGCACATTCTGCACATGTACCCTGGAACTTAAAAATAAAAATAAACACTTCTCAGTATTTTTCATAAAGCACATCTTTTCATGAGAAAATGTGGTCTGAAATTTGGCTTTTGTTTTTAATTTTTCTTCAACATCCTCCTCTTCAATAAGAATTGAACTGGCACGAAGTGCAACTTGTTTCTTTGACAAGAAACACTTCACTTGTTCAAATTCAGAGAATACATCCTTGTTTCACTCTTCCCCTTTAACTTCAAGACTCTGAAGTGTGCATTTCACACCCCGTTTTAGCACCTTCGACTTACTTGTTCAGGGATGAATGTAGCTTTCGAGCTTCCTCCTGTGCCTGGCTGCCGCTTGCTCAATGGGCAAGAGAAAGTAACCCCCATAGCCAGAGCTGACTGACACACAGCTCCAGATCCTTCTCACAGAACAGGGCCAGACTCTGACTGTGCTTCCCACACAGGGGCTACTCTTCCTGCCCTTCCCTCTTGCTCCTCATGGGGGCGGAAACTGCTGGACAATATCAGTCATGTGGCACAATTGGGTGTTGCTCCTGAGGTTCTGGTCAGGGAAGTAGTGAGGACAGATGGGACAGGGGAAGATGTCCTGTAAGTCCTCCCAGCACTGTGGATGCAGAAGTGACAGGAGTGACAGAAGCTCTGCCCACAGAGTGGTCACTGTGTCTGTCAGGTAATCCAGGCAGATGTAGCAGCTGACCTTGGCTTGGAGTCGGCCCCAGGACACTGTAGAGACCCCTGTGCTGGGAAGGATGTGTCTGAGGTTTCTTTCTTAAGGAAAGCCTTGTTTTCTTCATGTAAGGAACTTGAGAAACTGATAACTCAACTTTCTCCTTTCTGGAAGTCAGTACCTATGGAGCTGGACCTTCTGAAGGGTCCTTCTGCCTCCTTTCCTTCAATTCCAGAGACAACTTCTAAGAAGAGCCCCTCTGTAGCCAGTTAGTAACTGTCTTCCGCTGTGTTCACTGGTCCTCAGGAATTGAAGGTCCACTGTGAGTCCTCTTGCTCAGGAAAGAGTCACCACTGAAAGTCCTCTATTGCTTATGGGGAGAAGATGATTCTCATTTTAAAAGGATGTTCAATCAGGCGTGTATTCTTCCTTCTAAGTTCTAAGCCTGGCTCCTGAGCTTATAACCCTGTGGAGAGTTTTCTTTCTACTTTCCAACTGGACAGACTCCAGATGCAATTAGTCTCTGGCCAATCACAGGGTCAGATGAGCATTTTCCACCTTCCTCTCTGATTCCATTTTCGGCCTGGGAAAAGGAGTGGGCAGGGCGTGAGGGGATTAGGAGTTGAAGACTGGATTTTTCTCTCATTACTCCGTTGAAACTCCTCTAAGTTAATCAGTGATTTTGTACTGGGTTAATTGAATATTGGGAAAGTTCTCATCATGGTTTTTTTTTTTTTAATTTATTTTATATTTTCAGGGAGGTAGATGCAAAATTTCTTGGCTAGTGTTGGCTTCTTTCTTCTCAGCCATTTTAATTCTTTTTTGCCCCTTGAAAGAAGTATTTTCTTTTTCTTTTTTTTTTGAGACGGAGTCTTGCTCTGTCGCCCAGGCTGGAGTGCAGTGGCGCGATCTCGGCTCACTGCAAGCTCCGCCTCCTGGGTTCACGCCATTCTCCTGCCTCAGCCTCCCAAGTAGCTGGGACTACAGGCACCCGCCACCACGCCCGGCTAATTTTTTTGTATTTTTAGTAGAGACGGGGTTTCACCTTGTCAGCCAGGATGGTCTCGATCTCTTGACTTCGTGATCTGCCCGCCGCGGCCTGTCAAAGTGCTGGGATTGCAGGCGGGAGCCACGGCGCCCGGCCAAAAGAAGTGTTTTCAGAATCAGTCCTTGCCTCTGTTTTGTGGATTCTCAAACTCATTCCAGTAGTTTTCAGCCTCCACAGCCACAGACACATGAACAACCTGCCAGTAGAGACATTTATACTTTATCTGCTCATTCTGTAGGTAGTTGCTTTGTAGAAGTGTGGAGAAAAGATAGGCTATGCCCGGGCAGCGCCAGGCAGGTGTAGGAGCAGGCTTCCCTAGGTGAGATGATTCCAAAGTTACCTTTCAGGTATCTGGGCTGTAGTTTAAAGAAGTCTCCACTGGTGACTCCGGCAGGTTGTGAGATCCTTAGCAAAATCATTCATAGCCCATGGTTTCAGCTACTAGGGACAATGTCCACCTCAGATCCCATCGCAGTCAGGACCTTTACGTTAATACGTACACTGTCTACCTGTTGTCCCATTCCTTGAGAGCTCATTCACTCCTATATCTCTGCAAGAGATTATTTGACTGCCAGCTGTCTGTGGGCTCTGACTACAAGCCTAGAACACAAAGATAACTGCACATTTCTCACCAGCAGGGAGCTGCAGTGCAGGGCAAAGAGAGAAGAGCAATGAAATAAAAGTTTGGCCCCCCCTTCATGAGAAGAGTATCTACTCAGAGAAGAGAATAAGAAAACATATATATATATATATATATATATATATATATATATATATATATAGACACACACATATATATTTGGAATTAAAGTAAAATTATTTAAAGAATAATTAAATAAATAATAAAATTGTTTAAAGAATTAAAATATATATATATATATATATATATATATATTTGTTAGGAACACAAATACCAATCTTTCCACTGCGGAAGGCTCCACTGTAAAAGGTTTCAAGGAGTAAATTTGTGTGCTGTATAGCAGAGAATACCCTACTTGGCACAAAAGTTACACAGTGACCTGCTGTCATCCATTTACCTTCCAAAAGTTAATTGCTGTTATTGGCTTCCTGTAAATGCTCCCAAATGGAGTATGCATGTACAAGGAAACATTTATATGAGTCTCAGGATTATGTACAGAAGAGTCTGCTTTTTAAAAATCTCCAAATAGGAGCTACCTGCATGTTCTTTAACTGCCTATTTATTATTTATTTTGTCCTATGTTAATATATATAAGTATACTTCAGGCTATTTTAAAATGGATTACAAAATTTGAAGAAACTCTTCTATGGGGAATACTATATGTGAGATGGATGGGTCCTGAACATACTGTAGGATATCTTGTCTTCCAGATTAGTGTTTCCCACAGTGTAGTCAGCCCTGTGGTTTTTTCCCATAGAAGAGCTAGCATTTACTGATTTACTAACCATGATACATGCATTGGGCCGAGTGCTTCACCTAAACATTCACTGGAACCGACACATCAGAACTGAAAGGTAGTTATGAGTGTCTCTTCATAAGGAAGAAGAAAGTGAGGCCTAGAATGGGTAATTCATCCAATGTCGCAGATTCTTCTATCATTTCTCCATCTTCCCATAGCACCCTCAATATTTTTTTATGTCACCATCAAATAACTTCTCACATCGTTCATCCTATTAGCCACTGACTCCACAGTTCTTATTTGAGATTACATCTTCAGTTAATATTATAAATCTGGTAGATTTTCTCATGCAATTTCTGGCTTTTGAACATTAGGAAACAAATATAGGCCGGGCATGGTGGCTCATGCCTGTAATCCCAGCACTGTGGGAGGCCAAGGCAGGCAAATCACCTGAGCTCAGAAGTGAGACCAGCTAGGGCAGCATGGTGAAACCTAAAGAAATACAAGAAATTAGCCAGGTGTGTCAGTGTACTTGGGAAACTGAGGTGTACCACATCTCTGTCTCATGAGCCTGCATCATCCACTATCCACTCTGCTGGCCTCAAATCTGCCTCCCAAACCAAACCATTTTCATCCTCATGGACTGTTGTGAGGCACCCTTGCAGGATCACTCCACAGGCCCACTGGTCTGGTGAGGTCACCTCCCACCCCCCAAACCCCACCTAAGGTTCCTGCCCCTTCCCTGAGTCCAGGCTCATCTCTACTCCAGGGGGACCTTGTTATTGATGACCCAGCCCTATATTTCTATGAGATTTACCTCTCAGAAACTCTATCAGGTTCTCGCAGTGAATATCAGAAAAACATCCTTTGTGCTTCTCACAGAGGCAAGTAGAAGTACCCTTTTTACAGCCGGGCGCGGTGGCTCACGCCTGTAATCCCAGCACTTTGGGAGGCCGAGGCGGGTGGATCACGAGGTCAGGAGATCGAGACCATCCTGGCTAACACGGTGAAACCCCGTCTCTACTAAAAATACAAAAAATGAGCCGGGCGTCGTGGCGGGCGCCTGTAGTCCCAGCTACTCCGGAGGCTGAGGCAGGAGAATGGCGTGAACCAAGGAGGCGGAGGTTGCAGTGAGCAGAGATTGCACCACTGCACTCCAGCCTGGGCGACAGAGCGAGACTCCGTCTCAAAGAAAAAAAAGTACCCTTTTTACTTTTTCTTGTATTTTCCATAAATTTTATTTTAAGATAAATTTTAGATGCACAGCAAAATTGGGCAGAATGTACAGATATAGCCCACATGTGCCCTTCCCCTACATAAGCACAGCCTCTGCCACTAACAGCATCCCATCCAGAGTGGCATACTTCTTACAACTGATGAATCTACATTGAATCATCATTATCACACAAGGTCCATAGTTTACACAGGATTTCACTTTTACATTTTGTGGCAGATGAAAAATGTATGGTGTGTATTCACTATCATAGCACCACACAGAGTAATTCACTGCATTTAGCATATCTCTGTGCTCTTCCTGTTCATCTCTCGCACCCTCCAACCCCGTCAACCACTAATTCTTTTACTGTCTTCATAGTTTTTCCATTTTAAGAATTTTATGCCTTTCGGCCAGAGCCACCATCTTCCAGTAATTCACCAAAATGATGAACACAAAGGGAAAGAGGAGAGGCGCCCGATATATGTTCTCTAGGCCCTTTAGAAAACATGGACTTGTTCCTTTGGCCACGTATATGCGAATCTATAAGAAAGATGATATTGTAGACACCAAGGGAATGGGTACTGTTCAAAAGGAATGCCCCACAAGTGTTAGCATGGCAAAACTGGAAGAGTCTACAATGTTACCCAGCATGCTGTTGGCATTGTTGTAAACAAACAAGTTAAGGGCAAGATTCTTGCCAAGAGAATTAATGTGCGTATTGAGCACATTAAACACTGTGAGCCGAGATAGCTTCCTGAAACACATGAAGGAAAATGATCAGAAAAAGAAAGAAGCCAAAGAGAAAGGTACCTGGGTTCAACTAAAGCGCCAGCCTGCTCCACCCAGAGAAGCACACTTTGTGAGAACCAATGGGAAGGAGTCTGAGCTGCTGGAACCTATTCCCTATGAATTCATGGCATAATAGGTGTTAAAACAAAAAATAAATAAAAGACCTCTGGGCTGTAAAAAAAAAAAAAAAGAATGTTACGTTGTAGGAATCATACAATATTAGCCTTTTCATAACATCTACCCACAAAAACCTCTTTGAATACATAGTCTGGAGCAATGAGTGCATTGCTCTCAACACATGCAGAAATGGGAGAGACCTTTAGAGAACTGTCTCCCACAGTCATGTCTTCTCTGCCACCTGAAATTTGTATGATACAGAAAATATTTTATTGTATGCAAAATTGATTAGACTAAAGGGATCACAATTTCATACACTCTAGTTTTAGATTTCCAGAACACTTAATAGTTTATCCTCACATCTGTTAATTTCTACAATATCTCTTGCTATTGAAACAAAATAATTTTTGAAAATAAGATAAAACAAAATGAGAAGACTAAACTTATAAAAGTACTTTATAAAACTTATGGATGCTAAATTCAGTGACAACTGTATAAATTACAGGAAGAAAATGAAGCAATGTCACAGTTCAGCCATCATAATCTGTCATTATGCAGATTCTAAGAGGTTTTGAATCATGCCCCATACAGAAATAAGGCTTCAGTACTTCTGAAAATGTATCAGTGAAGGAATGGATGTGAGACCTGTCATTCAAATTGTAAAAGGAGATCTCGCCCAACTTGTAGTCCAGATAAATGCCAATTCCTCTGGGCTTCTCCTTTAGCGGAAGGATGACAGGAACAGCGCCTCAGGCCACACACTCACCATTCTGCAGCTGGATAGCCCAGCACATGCTCTGTCCTGACAGGGGCCACTTTCCCTTCCTGGGCAGGGATTCCTTACACACCCCCACGGTCCACATTGGCTTGTCATCCACTTGCACCTCCCAGTAATGCCGGCCACACTCAAATCCCTCAGAACCCAGGACCACTGGATGGGACAACAATCTCTTTGGATTCCAGTGAACTCTCTGACTTTCCTTCACAAATGTCACACATTTCTTATCCTCAGAGACACGCAGATGAGGATGTGCACTTTCAGGATCCAGAGTAACTTCTCTAAACTTCTGTATGATTTTCTGAAGAGCCGAGTACTGCAGGGGAAGCCTGTTTCCTTCCTTCTGGAGCTGCATAGAGTGGACAGCTGGGGCCTGCAGGCCTTACACCTGTGCAGGACGGTCCTTACATCCATCAGCAGTTTCACATCTGCCATCACACTCATCTCGGCCACCTGCGTAAGCAGACCTTTCAGGGTGGAAATGTGTTCTGAAAATGCCCTTATGTTTGCACCGAGTTTCTTCTGAATGTCCGTCTTTTCCTCAGCTAATCTACAGAAAGCTGCCTGCTTTTCATGGTCAACAAACTTCGTTAGGTGCTTCAACTGAGAGGATAATTCCTGCCTTTGGCTTTCTGTCTTCTCTCTGAGCTCCAACAACTTTCTGTCCTGGGTGGCTCACAGCTTCCTAACTTCAGGGTCTCAAGGTAACTGTGGAGCCTTTCCCTGTGATGGGAGGCAGCCTCCTCTATGGGGCTCACATGGTGGCCTTGGTGGTCATGGGTCTGAGTGCACAGGGGACACAACACCACCAGGTCCTCCTTGCAGAAAACACTCAGGGGCTGGTTGTGCTTCTCCCACAGGGGCATCTTGTCCTGCCTGACGTCATTGCCTCTGGCTCTCTGGAGTAGCTTGGCAATGTCAATCATCCTTCCCAGCTGGGTGTTGCTCCTGAAGTTTCCCTCTGGGCATTGGTGACTACAGACAGGGCAAGAGAACAATTCCTGTAGATCCAGCCAAGACTGTTGGATGCAGGAATGACAGAAGTTGTGTTCACATTCAATGGGAACGGGATTGCTCAGGTAATCCAGACAGATGGAGCACTTGGCCTCTTCCTGGAGTCCTGCCAGGGCTGCTGCCTCCGCCATCAGGCTGTGAATGAAGGTCTGGACAGAGAAGCTACTCTGCCCTCAGATCTCCCTGACCTTCCTGTCCTGAAGGTCTCCCTGTCTGTTGAAGTCAGTCGTTGACGTCCTCTGGGGTCACCAGCCTCAGCTTCTGAGAGCAGCTCTGCCTTCACCTGTGGCAGGTCATAGAGCAGTTGGGCAAGTAGCTGCGAAGCAATTCTCTTGTTCAGAAAGCAAACACGACTCTAAAGTGCCTGTGAGGTCCTGGGGATGAGAAAATATTTCTTCATTTACAAAAGGCTGCCATTTTCCTGGTACCCACAGAGCCCAACCTGCTGAAGAGGGCCCACCTTAGAGTAGAACTTCCTTCTTTTTGTGCTCTGCTCAATACCACATTTGAGGCAACCACTGATTCTTCCCTTCACTCTCAGCCATCTACCCACATCCAAATAAACCACACAGGGTTGCATGGTTTTGTGGAAATGACATCATATTGTGAACTAGATGCTGTGTCCTTGGGTTAGATTCTAGTCTTAGTCACATCCTCCATGAGGTACCTGAGAAAGTAACTTAACGTATTGGACTCAAGCAGAATCAACTACAGAAGGATAAAAATGCCAACTTCAATCATTGAAATCCTGTGAAAAACCTACAATAGCATCTGGGACTTTTAGGGTTAAACCACAGATATTTCTGATAGTACTAGATTCATAATAGCCCAATGTTTACTTGGTCCATCTGAGCTTTTCATTTGCTGTATATATCAATTGTGCACATATACGGCTAGAAGTTTGGTGAGATTTGACTAACTCTGATGGGTGTCAAGTAAGAAAACTGTGATTTTTCACATAACGCTCAGAATGAAATTGGAAGTCAGGATTTCAGTGTGAAGTAGGATGGGAAACACACATTTAAAGACACACGACTTGTCTTTAAAATAATGTGTGAACTACCGTCTAGTAAAGCATTTGTACAAATGAGACCTTGAGAAGGACTGGCACTTACTCTTAGAAGCAGGTACTGATTCTGAAATGGAAGCTGAGAGCCTGAGAGGCTTACTAGAGCTTTCAGCGGACTGTCAGTGTAGAGGAAAATTCAGAGCACCCCACAGAGAACATGTTATGGTTAAATCCCGATATTTAAATTGGAATGAGTGAACAGCTACATATTAGAAGGAAGAATGAATCAAAATAATGCCAGCACTTAAATACTGTTGATTCAATTATCTCAAAACCCTTGGAGGCATAAGGGCATTCTGGGTTTGACAGCTGGAGGCCAAAAACTAAAGGTGCAGTGTGTCAGGAAGGTTCATACAGAGCTGCTGAGAATGTACATCAGCTGGGCTTGGGCGCTCATGCCTGTAATTCCACCGTTTTGAAAGGCCAAGAAGGACAGATCGCTTGAGCTCAGGAGTTCGAGACTAACCAGGTCAACATAACAAATCCCCGTCTGTATAAAAAATACAAAAGTTGTCTGGGGACCATGACTCAAGCCTGCAATCCCAGCACTTTCAGAGGCTGAGGCGGGTGGATCACCTCAGGTCAGGAGGTCAAGACCAGCATGGCAAACATGGTGAAACCCCGTCTCCACTCAAAATACAACAATTAGCAGGGCATGGTGGTGGGTGCCTGTAATCCCAACTGCTCGGGAGGCTGAGGCAGGAGAATCACTTGGACCTGGGAAGTGGAGGTTGCAGTGAGCCGAGATCGCGCCACTGCACTCCAGCCTGTGTGACAGAGCAAGACTCCGTCTCAAAAAAATAAATAAATAAATAAATAAAAAATAAATAAATAAATAAATTAGCCAGGTGTGGTGGGAAGGCAGAGGTTGCACTGAGTGGAGATCATGCCACTGCACTTCAGCCTGGGCAACAGAGGAAGATTCATTAAAAATAAAAAAATGTAAATCCTAGAAACCAGTACACAATTGGAAAAATAAAGCAGATCATTTTACATAACCCGGACACATCAGAGTGGAGAACAGCAGAGATTTTTCTTTGTGCCTCATCGGATTGGCAAGGTTAAAATGATTGCAGACTCAGGGCAGTGAAGCAGGAAGGAGAGGAAGCCTGGTGGGGTGAGAGCAGAGGCTGAGCTAGGCTTCCTGGGCCAAAATCCTAGCTCCTTTGTTTGTGGCTATGTGATACTTGACTAGCCAGGAAGGATTAATTCAGGAGAGAAGATGTTCCTTGCAGTAGAAAGGTACTCAGTGGTGTCTAATATCATACCCCGGGATGTCCACACTCAGGATCCCACTGACATGGAGCCCACCTTCGGTCATCCCCAATACCACCCTTCACAAACTACCAACTTGTCCCTCGGGATGCCTACACCTGCCCCTGACTGCCCACCCCACCTGCCCCCACTGGGGCTGCCTCTGATCCACTGTCCAGGCACAAGGCTCTGCTCATGCCCCTCTCCCACAGATCTGCTGCTCCCATCTGAGGACAGTGTGCCCCCACCTACGTCTCCTGGCCCCCGCTCTCTGCAGCTCCCACCTTCCCTAACGTTCTCCCAGCAGCTTTGTACAAGCAGATCTCCTGTGCTGTCGCCAGCTCTCAGCTCATCTGTCACTTCCTCCTGACCCAAACATCCCCTGCTCTCCATGAGAACTCACCTCCCTGACACAGTGTTATAGAGCAGCGGGGAGAGTGCCATGAGCTCTCCTACTAACCCTGCGACTGTAGTAAATGTGACCGTTTGGATATCTGCAGTCCCAGTAACTGCGACCTCCATCTTCTCCCGGTCCCGATTCTGTAGTGTCAATCCTTGGGAACCATAATAAACGGCATCTATTTTAAAATAGCCAGATGCCAGTTTGGATTCCTTCACAAGTTGCCGGCTCTCGTTAGGCAGAGCGGGCACCCAGGGAGTCAGGGGTCTTTCTAGGCTCCATCTTCCCCAGGTACTGAGTCCTACTCCCGGCTTACCTGGAGCAGATGATTCAGAATGGTCTTGGACACGGACCTCCAAGAGCGTCGACCGAGGACACTCTTGCACCAGACTGAGGTCAGCGCTGAGACCCAGATTTATATGCACCAGCAGCAAGGTCGCACTTAGGGCCCCGTCCACCGAGGACTTGCGGCCCTGCCCCTGAGGAGCCTGGGCAGGGCCAGGCTGTAAATGAGCTCCTGATGGGTGAGTGGGAATCTGTTGTGATTAAATTTCGGCAGGTAGATGCGGGTGGCGCGAATATACATGATCTAATTTACGCCTTGTTAATCCTCCTTAATTCGCTCAAAGCACTTTAATGCCATCTTTGCAGATTCGGACCCAGGACCTCTGAAAGGCTCAGTGGGGCCTCTCCAAGTGCCACCCAGCTGTGTGCAGGTTTGGAGCACAGCAGTTTCACCCTGTCTCCCTGATGCAATTTCTAGCGCTGCAGGACGAGGAATGAACTTTGGCCTTCAGTTCTGAAGGCCTGGACTGAGTCCACCTCCTGCTCCCTGCCCCTCACAACAAGCTGAACCTACTCCAGTGGCTGCAGAATTCCCCAACTAGCAGGGGGAGATATAGAGAGACCAACTCAGGGCCCTCCTGTATCTAGAAAGAGTAACTGAAAAGCCCCAAGCCAAGGAGTTATGCAGCTGTTGACGGTTTCCGTTCCGGGAATCACTGTCTCCAAGAAATGACCTGGGCACAAGGAAGCCTTGGGAGAAAAAGAGACCCCAGAACACCCGCAATGAAGCAGGAAGTCCCAGGGCCAGGAGGCAGCAGGGCCCGATGCGGAGGCCTGGCCTGACCTGGTAGGTGCGGCCGCCATTAGAATGACCTGCACTCTTTCCCATGCTCCGCCCCACCCCCATCCTGAGGCAGATCCCAGGTCCCATTTGAGTCAATTTTCCACATGACCGTCTCCACCCACCTGCACTGCATGGCCCCTTCAGGGATTTGCTCCACTTCACTCTACCTCACGCCTTTCCACTCCCTGCACGTGATGGTTTCAAATTGCAATTTTAATCATGCTCCTTCATACACTGGAGCAGCTTTTACAGCTCTTGGAAAGAATCAAGCTCTTTACCATGTCCCCAAAGGACCTAACAGTCTGGTACCCCCTAATCTCCATCTCACCCTTCACCTCTATTTCCACACTCAGCACAGGGAACTCTCCTGCCACGGGACCTTTGCATGGGGAGCTTTTGTCCATGAGAATTCTCATGCCCCAAACATTGTTTACTCCCTTATTTCCACCCACTCTTTCTTTATATCCCAACCTAATGTTACTTTCTCTGGAAAGCATTCTCTGCACTCTGAAATCTGTGACATCTTACAGTTTATTTCTGGCAGAATTTTATTAAACAAATTTGGATTCTTAAATGGTTGCTTTTTAGCAATGATTTAGCAATCATTCACACACAACCTTGTAAAAACGAATATTTAATTTTATGCTACAAATGTATAAAAAAGATTAATCTTATATAATATAAATATTTAAATATCAGGTGGGCAGATTACTCAGACTGAGTAAACATCTTGAGCTTGACAAATCTGTAAATGGCTCAATTTTTGTATGGGGCTTCACAAATCTCTCTGCTTTCAACTTTCACTGAGCAGTGAAAATGGTTTGGAAAATCTTTGAAAAGTAAATTTCATTTTTATAAAATAAACCTTCTCACTGGAGTGTAAGAAGATTTTTTTGAATATATTTTGGCTGAGATATGGAGCATTCTACAGGCAGAAGTTTGCAGATCTGCAGCTTCCTAAGAGACTCACATGGCTGAGCATGTCGGATGGAAGCCCACATTGCTGAATCTGGTGTCTTTATAGGTGTTGCTGTAGCCAGAAAGCCAGGCCCATCTGTCCTGTCTGTAAATCCCTATGTGATCAGAGTCAAGAGTTAGGCCCTCAATAAAACACGTACTTACTTTGCCCGATGCTGCATTCTGAGGTCCGGCTCTTCTACTCAACACTCCCCAGCCCATGCCCAGCCTGTTCATGTTAGAGATTCCTGGCAAGGAGAAGTCCTTAAGGTCACAAATCTCAATGAGTGGTGGATGGAAGGTGGCCAGACATGAACTATCTTAGGGGCTTTATCCACACAGTGACGGTTCTTCCCATAGTGAACCTAGAGTGAGAGGCAGGGAGAAAACCTGTTCTGGAAGTCGAGGGTGTTGAAGGAGGCTCATTCAGCGCATGAGATGAATAAGATGTGTGCTCTGCACAGAACTACACATGCTGCTTCATTGCACGCACCCTCACAGCAGTTATGGTTCCAATTCAGAGATGAGAAAATTGATGGCTAGAGATGTTAAGGGATGGAGAGTGAGATTGCAACCTCTTCAAATCCTACTTAGTTCCCAAAAACACAGTCACACTGTGTCCTGCCTCCAGTTCAGGCGCAATGAAGAACTCTGTGGTGGGGCTCTCTCGGAGCACATTGTTTCTGTGAGCAGGAGCCTGAGGTCACGTCCTGCACTCTACCTCTTCTACTTCTTCCAGAACCTGTGATCTTTTTTTTTTTTTTTTTTTGAGACGGAGTCTCCCTGTCGCCCAGGCTGGAGTGCAGTGGCACGATCTCGGCTCACTGCAGGCTCCGCCCCCCGGGGTTCACGCCATTCTCCTGCCTCAGCCTCCTGAGTAGCTGGGACTACAGGCGCCCGCCACCTCGCCCGGCTAATTTTTTGTATTTTTAGTAGGGACGGGGTTTCACTGTGTTAGCCAGGATGGTCTGGATCTCCTGACCTCGTGATCCGCCCACCTCGGCCTCCCAAAGTGTTGGGATTACAGGCGTGAGCCACCGCGCCCGGCACCTGTGATCTTTTGTAGGTCCACACTTGTCCCCATCACTACCTTCACAGGTAGCCCATGTTAAGAGATGGAGAGTGACATTGCAACCTACACAAATCCTACTCAGCTCTCAAAAGTGCAGCCAGAATATTTTCGGCCTCTCACTCAAGGGCAATGAAGAGCTCTGTGATGGGGCTTTCTGGGAGCACCTCTTTTCTGTGAGCAGGAGGCTGAGGTTACATACTGTACCCTCTTCTCCAGAAACTTGTAAATTCTTGCAGTTCCACTTGACTTGCCCCCATCACTACCCACCCAATAGCCTACAATATAAACCTAAAAATGTGTGACAGCTCAGAACACTATTTTCTGGAGAAGACTAGGGCACCTTCTGATCCTCCATCCACAAGGAGGCTGAGAAAAACAATATTTGGTTTTACTAGTCTGCCTTCTATTTTCGTGAAGAAAGGAACCATGGTTTTTATGTTCTTGTTCCAAAGAACTGGTCACAAGCTTAATATCTTGAATTAATAGAAGGTGGTTTAAAATAGTTTTGTATATAAAGTAGATCATTTTCTTCATGTAAACAAAGCGTTCTGTGTAATAGAAACCAGCAGGAATTTAAGAGTTGTTTTAGGCAGTGTTCTGCTGCTACACCAAACAAAAAACATCAAACAACTAAAATGCAATATATTGTTATTGGACAATACTGGCATATTGTAGACAAGCAAAAACAAATAATTTCTGGTCAATCACTTCTAATATACTAGATGTTTAGTACTATAAATGAAAACAACAGTCCTGTCTTTCAGGAATTTAAAAACAATTCTTAACGTGTACTTAAATTATTCACAGATGACATATTGATAAGCCACATAAAGTGGTAAAAAGTGGAGCCATCAAGCACCCATCATGACAGAGAGTAATACTTTATATTTTGCAAGGCTACATACATATTTCATAATTTGTCAAGTACCTTAGTGTGACTACCTGGATAAAACAGAATGGGAGTAAAGAATGCAGATTAAAGGGAAAACTCGAAGTCCAGAAATTAAAGTTGCATAAGCTAATAATAAAAATGGGCCAAGCAAAGTGACCCGTACCTGTAATCCCAGCACTTTGAGAGGCCAAGGCAGGAGGATCATGCTTGAGCCCAGGAGTTCAAGACCAGCCTGGGTAACACAGTGAATCTATCTGTCTATTTATCTATCATCTAATATCTATATATCTGTATGTCTATAAAATATATGGCAGTGCACCATACATTTTCTTTTCATATATAAAATGTTAACATATGGTAAACTGCCAAAGTCGCCAAAACAATCAACCTAGTAAAAATAAACCATGCCAATAAACAAAACCAGTGTGAGTAACTTTTCTGTGAATAGCCACCATGGATATAATATCACATATTGTATGGGAAGTTAGTTTGATAACCTAACATCTTAATTGGTGGTTTACCTACAGATTGCACATTTTAAATGAGTATTTTAAAACTCTGATGATACAGGTATGTACATATGATCAGTTTTTTCTCTATCTCATCCCTGCCTCAGGCAATACCGTTCCTTAAAATTCAATTGCATCACCCTGCCCAGTGTGAACTTTTTAATGTATGTTTCCGAATTATTTCTTAGTTTTTATTTAGAGACACATATAATCTCTTTATATATCTAAGTGAGATAAAATTATTAGCTATATTGTAGGGCAATATAACAATGTGTCAAAATATTCAAAATATATTGCTTTAAAAGAAAAAAAAGAAAAGAAAATATATTGTCTTTAACCCAACAATTACTCATCCAGAAATTCATTATGGAACAAAAATGTATACATAAAATGAAGGGGTGGGTTGCCCCTCCACACCTGTGGGTGTTTCCCGTTAGGTGGAATGAGAGACTTGAAAAAGAAAAAGACACATAGACAAAGTATAGAGAAAGAAATAAGGGGGCCCAGGGGACCAGCATTCAGCAAATAGAGGATCCCACCTCGGCCTCTGAGTTCCCTTAGTATTTATTGATCATTATTGGGTGTTTCTCGGAGAGGGGGATGTGGCAGGGTCATAGGATAATAGTGGTGAGGTCAGCAGATAAACACGTGAACAAAGGTCTCTGCATCATAGACAAGGTAAAGAATTAAGTGCTGTGCTTTAGATATGCATACACATAAACATCTCAATGCCTTACAGAGCAGTATTGCTGCCTGCATGTCCCACCTCCAGCCCTAAGGCAGTTTTCCCCTATCTCAGTAGATGGAACATACAATCGGGTTTTATACCGAGACATTCCATTGCCCAGGGATGGGCAGGAGACAGATGCCTTCCTCTTGTCCCAACTGCAAAGAGGCATTCCTTCCTCTTATACTAATCCTCCTCAGCACAGACCCTTTATGGGTGTCGGGCTGGGGGACGGTCAGGTCTTTCCCTTCCCACGAGGCCATATTTCAGACTATCACATGGGGAGAAACCTTGGACAATACCTGGTTTTCCTAGGCAGAGGTCCCTGCGGCCTTCTGCAGTGTTTTGTGTCCCTGGGTACTTGAGATTAGGGAGTGGTGATGACTCCTAAGGAGCATGCTGCCTTCAAGCATGTTTAACAAAGCACATCTTGCACCGCCCTTAATCCATTTAACCCTGAGTTGACACAGCATGTGTTTCAGAGAGCACAGGGTTGGGGGTAAGGTTACAGATTAACAGCATCTCAAGGCAGAAGAATTTTTCTTAGTACAGAACAAAATGGAGTCTCCTATGTCTACTTCTTTCTACACAGACACAGTAACAATCTGATCTCTTTCTTTTCCCCACATTTCCCCCTTCTCTTTTCAACAAAACCGCCATCATCATCATGGCCCGTTCTCGATGGTCGCTGTCTCTTCGGAGCTGTTGGGTACACCTGCAGACTAACAAGACAAAACAGGCACAAGGATTAATATGAAATTTATAATCGTAGTACATCCGATGGTCTTAACCCAAGTGACAGGGTTAGGATTTGCGAGGCCATCAGCAACTCCTGGGATTGCCTCAGTTCCTGGCACCAAATTTAAATAGGCTTTTGATGTTTCGAAAATTTGTTCTTTTAATTTGGAAATGTCTAAAGTGAGATTATTTTCTCTCCCCTGTAGATGGCGTCTAACCATGTCCCAGTGATGCTCTAACCATGTCCCAGTGATGCTCAGACTCATTATAAATTTGGGGTGTAATACAAAACTCTGACATATTCCAGTCACATTGTAACTGGAAACGATGTTCTAAGCTCATGAGCCTGTCTCCCATCCAAATGACAGTTTGTCTAAGATCATTAATTTGATTTGCCAATTTTTGATCAATACCAGATTGTGAATTCCACAATCTTGTAGAATTTTTTGCCAATCATGAACAAAGTTTACTGACTGAACAGAAGAGTGCAATGCAACTCCTGCCACAGCAGCCGTAGCTGTGACTGCAATTAATCCCATAATCACTGTAATTAAAGTAAAAGTGAATATTTTAGATCTATTTAAAAACACATTTTAATACTTCAGTCAAAATATGGACGGATGGTGAGGCCTCTCACGGTAGGTCCATGGACACAGGGATCCACACGCCTTCTCTTGCTCTCATCAGCAGAATATGGTGCTGCCAATTAAAAGTCAAATCAATGCAAGTAAACAATCTGCAATTTTCAGAGGTTATAGTTTGAGTCTGGTTTAATAACTATATTTCCTACAACTAGCATATAAGGGGGCTTTACACAACTTTGTAAAGGAACTGTTAGACTGGAATTTAGGTCGATAGTATAAAATGGCTTACAATCTCGTTTCTAAAGTTTGATTTCCAGACCAAATTCTATGAGGTATGAGGCCACAGTAAGCCTCCCTAATTCTGGATGTTCAGGACCAGAAACAGGACTTATTATTTTTGGTCTTGGGGTAGAGATTCCTTCTTCTCCCCATTCCCAAGGGTAGAAAGACTGTTATTTTTTATGCTTATGTTTGTCTAAACTTTCTGTTAAGTCGCTGTCAACAGCTGGACTCAACTTGTGCACTTGGACACGACTGAGTTTGTCCTGTGCAATTGTGGTAGAATTGACCTCGAGGTGCCCAATCTATAATAGTTCCGAATTCATTGTTTTGTAATATCACGGCACTATTGGCCACACATTCTTCCCAAACTAAAACTTCTGTGTCTTTTGATCCTTTGGGAATTTCCTTGCGGCAAGGTTTCCCTTTAGGTCTAAATTTTAATGATCTTTGATAAGAAAAGTCTTGTAAATAATTTACCTGAGTGGCATCCCGCTTACCATGTGTTAAGTGAATCTACTGACGGGACTGACAGTAGGTACTTCTACCAACCAACTTTGGACTGCAGGCATTAAACATCCTGGTGCTCTCCCTAGGCAAATATAGGAGAATAACGATACCCAGTGGAAATATTTATCATCATCCCTTCTTCCTCAGGTTTGGCAGGGCAACAATCATCTGTGGGGCCAGGTACCCATACTCTATCATTAACATATACTTCAATAGGATTATCCATCCATGTGGCTGGTGTTTCCATCTCCGTGGAGGCGATTTTCTTTGCATCTCTGATGGGTTCATTGTAGAACTTCAAATGTCTAGTGGGTATCCAAACAGGAAGCTGATTTTCTCCTGGTGAAATACAAGCAAAACCTCTCCCCCACATCACCACCTTCCCTATTTCCCATGTCTTATGTTTATTATCTTTCCACCAAATCAGTTTTTCTTCATGTGGGCTGTTCTTTTTACCAGTAAGATGTTGTCCTGCAGAAGTAGTAGTCTGATTTCTATAAATGTTTAAAAAATTTAAAGTATAGAGTGCTAGATTAAGTTGCATCTGAGGAGTGGTACATTCCTTACTGTCTCCCCCTTCTTTTTGTTTAACTAATTGAGTTTTGAGTGTTCTATTAGTTCTTTCAACTATGGGCTGTCCTTGGGAATTATAGAGAATTCTTGTTGTATGTGAAATTTTCCACTGATTTAAGAATTTTTGGAAAGCTTTACTACAATATCCTGGTCCATTGTCAGTTTTTTTTTTTTTTTTTTTTTTTTTTTTTGAGATGGAGTTTCGCTCTTGTTGCCCAGGCTGGAGTGCAATGGCGCGAGCTTGGCTCACTGCAACCTCCACCTCCCAGGTTCAAGCAATTCTCCTGCCTCAGCCTCCTGAGTAGCTAGGATTACAGGCATGCACCACCATGCCTGTCTAATTTTGTATTTTTAGTAGAGACGGGGTTTCTCCACGTTGAGGCTGGTCTCGAACTCCTGACCTCAGGTGATCTGCCTGCCTCAGCCTCCCAAAGTGCTGGGATTACAGGCGTGAGCCACCACACCCGGCCATTGTCAGTTTTGATTTTTTCTGGAACTCCCATTACAGCGAGACAAGATAATAAATGTTTTTTTAACATGTGAAGTACTTTCTTGATTATCTGGCCCTGAACAATGTAAAATCATAGTACTGTGATACACTTCTGAGGCTGTGCCTATGCTGACAAGTCCTGTAACAGCCTTTTGTTTAGGCCAATTTTTTGGCCACTGATTTAAAGCAATGATGGAGACATCTGCTCCAGTGTTTACTAACCCTTCAAACTGTTTTCCTTGAATAATGGCCTTACGCACAGGTCTGTTCTCTGAGACCCGACTTGCCCAATATGCAGCCTTTCCTGTCAGATCTGTGTTTCCAAACCCTGCTGTTCTTTTTATCTCACTATTTCCAACCTTAACATAAGGCAGGAGTAATAAATGAGCATTCCTGTCTCCTGGACTAGCACTCCAAGGAATTGA
Organism: Homo sapiens; assembly: GCF_000001405.40. Lineage (NCBI taxonomy): Eukaryota > Metazoa > Chordata > Mammalia > Primates > Hominidae > Homo > Homo sapiens. Next base: position 164,998,981 of record NC_000004.12, on the reverse strand, counting down.
AGAGCTAATAACCAATTGAATTTTGCCTTTATAGTCTGAATCAACCATACCAGTATGAATTTGAATGCCCTTTAGATTTAGACTTGATCTTCCTAAGATTAGTCCTATAGTCCCCTCAGGCAGTGGGCCATATACCCCTGTGGGGATTTTTTGTGGGGGCTACCCTGGAAACAGACAAACTGCTTGCATAGTACATAAATCTACTGCTGCACTGCTGCTTGTGGCAGGGGACAATTGTTGTATTGTGGTAACTGGCTTATTTCCTGAGGTGCTTGGGACAGTGGGTGTTGTTGTCCCTGAAAACCCTGAGGAACAAAGGGCTGAATTGGGAATGCCCCAGTTTGTTGCAGGGCCTGAGGCTGGCCCCTTTGCTCGTGCCCATTTCTATCAAATTTAGAACGACATTGACTAGCCCAGTGTTTTCCTTTTTTACATCTTGGACATAAGTCAGGTGGCTCTTTACCTGTTGTTGTAGTAGCTTGAATAGTTATATTCTGTTTATTTGAGACTGGGCAATTCTTTTTTAAATGGCCAATTTGACCACAATTATAACATTTCCCTCCAAATGTTCTAACTTGCCCTCCTAAAGCAACTCCCGCTATTGCTTGAGCCATAAGCATAGCTTTATGCATAGCTCCTCCAATTCCATGACAGACTTTTACATAGTCTGAGATTACATCTGATTCGGCGGGAAACTTTCCTTTTAATGGCTTAATGGCTGATTGACACTCAGGATTGGCGTTTTCGTATGCCATCAATTCCACTATGACTTTTTGGGCATTTTCATCGGCAATTGACTTTTGAGCAGCATCTTGGAGCCTTGCCACAAATCAGGGTAGGGCTCTTTAGAGCCTTGTCTTATTGTATTAAATGAGGGGTAGGCGGTTCCTGGGTCTTGGAATTTTTCCCAGTCTCTAAGGCAAATAGCTCTAACTTGCTCAATGGCCTCATTTTGCATTACTGCTTGTTGATTAACAGTGCTCCAATTGTGACCTGTTCCTAATAGTTGATCTGCATCTATGTTAACTGGAGGATTGGCAGCCCTATTTCTTCGGACCTGTTCTTGTGTCCTATCAATCCACCAAGTCTTAAATTGTACAAATTGAGAGGGTGAGAAAGACGATTTTGCCAGAATCTCCCAATCATAAGGAATGAGTCTATGTCCATGAGCAATGGAATCTAATAATGTCCTCATGTAAGGGGAGTTGGGTCCATACTGTTTGACTCCGTCTTTCCTATCTTTTAGCATTTTTATAGAAAAAGACTTGTATCTGGCCTCAACTGTGGGAGGCTCTCCCTCTTGGGCCCCTTCTCCAGGTGGCATCAGTTCCAACATTACTGGGAATTGCCACACCTCAGTATCTCCTTGCTTTCTTGACTATAATTTTCTTGACAATAATTTTATGTAATGCACTACCCTGTCTACTAGGTGGTGCCATAGGATTAAGTCTCAAAGTGGGCGGCTGAGGGTGTGGCACCCTATTCTGTAGTGCTGGCAGCATTCCTGGATGTCCATACTGACTTTCTGGGGGTGGCTGATACTGAAGTTCAGCCAGTGGCCAGTATTGATAAGCTACTGGTGGTTGGGTCTTATTTTCTCTAACCTGCGTTTGAGGTTGTAATGTTATGGGCATCTGACCTGCTAGAAAAGGACTTGGCTCTCGTGGTTTGGACTCTGATGGCCTCACTAATTCTGGACCTTTTTCTTCTAATTTTAACGTTTCAGGATATATCACCTCCTGTAATTGTTTATAGTCAACATTTTGCATTGACTGAGCCATTACCGGCTCTGCTACATATTCGCACAATGTAAACTTTCCATTTTTTTCTGGGATTTTCTCCCTGTCTCTTCTTTACAATCTATTACACCACTTCCAGGGGCATCAGAAACTGAAATGCTATCTTCTTCTGTTTGAAATGGTTCTAAAAATGCTTTAATAATGGCCCAATCATTCCATAATGTAAGTGGGATGATTTTACCCTCCCTACCTGCTCGTTTTAGTTCTTTGCCAATTTTTTTCCAGTCTTTTAGATCTAAAGTTCCTTGTTCTGGAAACCATGGGCAAAATTGTTCTATTGTTTGAAATAGCTTGATTAGATTTTTTGTAGATACTCTAACTCCCCCTCTTTTTAAAAGAATTTTAATAAAGCTGGGATAAGAGGCATATTTACTTTTAGTTTGCCCCATTGTTACCCTGGCTTCTTCCGAGTGCACAAGCTTACCGTAAGGCTGACTGTAGACGTACTCAGGATCTCTTCGTCGACTTGTCCTCAATGACCACACTCGAGCGTACCTTCACCCTAGAGAAAAGCCTTGGGCACCAGATGAAGGGGTAGGTTGCCCCTCCACACCTGTGGGTGTTTCTCGTTAGGTGGAATGAGAGACTTGAAAAAGAAAAAGACACATAGACAAAGTATAGAGAAAGAAATAAGGGGGCCCAGGGGACCAGCATTCAGCATATAGAGGATCCCACCTCGGCCTCTGAGTTCCGTTAGTATTTATTGATCATTCTTGGGTGTTTCTCGGAGAGGGTGATGTGGCAGGGTCATAGGATAATAGTGGAGAGAAGGTCAGCAGATAAACACATGAACAAAGGTCTCTGCATCTTGAACAAGGTAAAGAATTAAGTGCTGTGCTTTAGATATGTATACACATAAACATCTCAATGCCTTAAAGAGTAGTATTGCTGCCCGCATGTCCCACCTCCAGCCCTAAGGCAGTTTCCCCCTATCTCAGTAGATGGAACATACAATCGGGTTTTATACCGAGACATTCCATTGCCCAGGGATGGGCAGGAGACAGATGCCTTCCTCTTGTCTCAACTGCAAAGAGGCATTCCTTCCTCTTTTACTAATCCTCCTCAGCACAGACCCTTTACGGGTGTCGGACTGGGGGATGGTCAGGTCTTTCCCTTCCCAGAGGCCATATTTCAGACTATCTCATGGGGAGAAACCTTGGACAATACCTGGCTTTCCTAGGCAGAGGTCCCTGCGGCCTTCCGCAGTGTTTTGTGTCCCTGGGTACTTGAGAGTAGGGAGTGGTGATGACTCTTAAGGAGCATGCTGCCCTCAAGCAGCTGTTTAACAAAGCACATCTTGCACCGCCCTTGATCCATTTAACCCTGAGTTGACACAGCACATGTTTCAGAGAGCAAGGGGTTGGGGGTAAGGTTACAGATTAACAGCATCTCAAGGCAGAAGAGTTTCTCTTAGTACAGAACAAAATGGAGTCTCCTATGTCTACTTCTTTCTACACAGACACAGTAACAATCTGATCTCTTTCTTTTCCCCACAAGAAAGCCCTACCTGGCACAACAGTTACAAAGTAACTTGCTGTCACTCATTTTCCTTCTAAAGGATAATTGCTGTTAATGGCTTTTTGTAAGTATTCCCAAATGGTCTATGCATATACAAAAATAAAACATTTATATGAATATAGGTTATGTATAGAATGGTCCCCTTTGTTTATCTCCAAATGGGAGCTACTTGCATATGCTGCAACTGCCTACTTATCATTTATTTTTGTCCTATATCACTATATATACTTCAGGCTCTTTTTTTTTTTTTTTTTTTTTTTTTTAGACGGAATCTTGCTCTGTCACCCAGGCTGGAGTGCAGTGGCGCAATCTCGGCTCACTGCAACCTCTTCCTCCTGGGTTCAAGCAATTCTCCTACCTCAGCCACTCCAGTAGCTGAGATTACAGGTGCCCACCAGGCCAGGCCAATTTTTGTATTTTTAGTAGAGACGAAGTTTCACCATGTTGGCCAGGCTGGTCTTGAACTCCTGACCTCAGGTGATCCGCCTACCTCGGCCTGTCAAAGTGCTGGTATTACAAGTGTGAGCCACCGCGCCCAGCCTTCGGGCTATTTTTTAATGGATTACCCAATTTGAGAAAAATTCTCTCTGGGAAATACTATAAATGAAATAGATGTGTTCTGAACAATCTGTAGGGTATCCAGTCTTCTAGATTAATGTTTCTCGCAATGTACTTGGCCCTCCGGTTTGTTCCCAGAGAACAGCTAGCATTTACTGAGTTATTCATCATGATACATGCACTGGATTGAGTGCTTCACCCAAACTTTCAATGGAATCTGTGTATCAGAACTGACAGGTAGTGACGATTGCATTCTCTACAAAGAAGAGGAAAGTGAGTCCTAGAATGGGTAATTCATCCAAAGTCGTAGCTTCCGCTAGCACCTTTCCATCCTCTCATAGCATCCTCTGTACCCTTTTATATCACCATCAAATCACTTTTGACATCTTTCATCCTATTAGCCACTGACTCCACAATTCTTATTTAAGATTACATCTTCGGGCCAGGCGCGGTGGCTCACGCCTGTAATCCCAGCACTTTGGGAGGCCAAGGCGGGTGGATCACGAGGTCAGGAGATCGAGACCATCCTGGCTAACACAGTGAAACCCCGTCTGTACTAAAAATACAAAAAATTAGCTGGGCGTGGTGGCGGGCGCCTGTAGTCCTGGTTACTCCGGAGGCTGAGGCAGGAGAATGGCGTGAACCCAGGAGGCAGAGGTTGCAGTGAGCCGAGATCGCGCCACTGCACTCCAGCCTGGGCAACAGAGCGAGACTGTCTCAAAAAAAATAAATAAATAAAAAAGATTACATCTTTGGTTAACGTTGTAAATCTGCTAGACTTTCTCATGCAATACTTGACTTCCAAATATTATAAAGCAAACAAACAGAACTAAGAAACTAGTTGAAGGTATATTTAAATTTTAATTTCAAAAGGGTCCCACCAAATGTCCAATTATATAGCTGCTGTGGTATTTTGGCAGTTCTTCAAACATAATCAGGTTGCATTAAATTCAGCAATTTTACTCCTTGATATGTATTTTTAAAAATTGAAAACATAGGTCAACAAAAAAACTTGTGCACAAATGTTCATAGTATAATAGCATTATTCATAATAGCCAAATAATGGAAACAAATCCAAATTTTCATTAATCTATGAATGAATAAACAAAGTAGTATAACAATACTGTGCAACATTAGTCACCCAAAAAAGGAACAAAATACTGACCCATGCTTCAACATTAGATGAACATTGCAGACAATATGCTTACTGAAAGAAACCAGATACAAAAGGCTACCATTGCATGGTTTCATTTATGTTAGTTAACCAAAATAGTTTATACAGTCAGAAAGGGGATGGATGCTTGGTTTCAAGGCCCAGAGGAAGGAGACCTCTCACTAGGCAAAGAATTCCCTTTGGGCTCATGAAAATGTTCTGGAATTGCCGGGCGCGGTGGCTCAAGCCTGTAATCCCAGCACTTTGGGAGGCTGAGGCGGGCAGATCACGAGGCCAGGAGATGGAGACCATCCTGGTTAACACAGTGAAACCCCATCTCTGGCCGGGCATGGTGGCTCACGCCTGTAATCCCAGCACTTTGGGAGGCTGGGGCGGGCGGATCACCTGACGTCGGGAGTTCGAGACCAGCCTGACCAACATGGAGAAACCCTGTCTCTACTAAAAGTACAATATTAGCCGGGCATGGTGGCGCATGCCTGTAATCCCAGCTACTTGGGAGGCTGAGGCAGGAGAATCCCTTGAACCCAGGAGGCGCAGGTTGCAGTGAGCCGAGATGGCGCCATTGCACTCCAGCCTGGGCAACAAGAGCGAAACTCTGTCTCAAAAAAAAAAAAAAAGAAAAAAAGAAACCCCGTCTCTACTAAAAATACAAAAAATTAGCTGGGCATGGTGGCAGGCGCCTGTAGTCCCAGCTACTCGGGAGGCTGAGGCAGGAGAATGGCGTGAACCCGGGAGGTGGAGCTTGCAGTGAGCCGAGATCAAGCCACTGCACTCCAGCCTGGGCGACAGAGTGAGACTCCTTCTCAAAAAAAAAAAAAAAGAAAATGTTCTGGAATTAGAAAGTGATGCTGGGCTGGCCTCAGTGGCTCATGCCTGTAATCCCAACACTTTGGGAGGATGAGGTGGGAAGATCACTTGAGGTTGGGAGTTGGAGACCAGCCTGGCAAACATGGTGAAACCTTGTCTCTACTAAAAATACAAAAATTATCCAAGTATGGTGGTGCACTCCTTTAATCCAAGCTAGTTAGGAGGCTAAGGCTGGAGTATTGCTTGAATCTGGGAGGCAGAGGTTGCAGTGCACTGAGATCATACCACTGCACTCCAGCCTGGGTGACAGAGTGAGGCTCTGTCTCAAAAGAGAAAAATGTAAACTACAATATTTGGGTTAGATTAATTTTTTTTTTTTTTTTTTTTGAGGTGGAGTCTCACTCTGTTGCCAAGGCTGGAGTGCAGTGGTGAGATCTCGGCTCACTGCAAGCTCCACCTCCTGGGTTCAAGCGATTCTTCTGCCTCAGCCTCCTGAGTAGCTGGGAATACAGGCGCACCACTACCATGCCCGGCTAATTCTTATGTTTTTTCTAGAGACTGGGTTTCACTATGTTGGCCAGGCTGACCTCAAGTGATTCACTTACCTCAGCTTCCCAAACTGCTGGGATTACAGGTGTGAGACACCGTGCCCTGCCATAATTCTTTTTTTGTTTGCTTTTTTGTTTTTGAAATGGAATTCCCTCTTGTTGCCGAGGCTAGAGTGCAATGGCACAATCTTGGCTTACTGTAACCTCCGACCCCTGGGTTCAAGAGATTCTCCTACCTCAGCCACCCGAATAGATGGAATTACAGGTGCTCGCCACCATGCCCGGCTAATTTTTTTTTTCTTTTGAGATGGAGTTTCACTCTTGGTGCCCAGGCTGGAGTACAATGGCGTGATCTCGGCTCACCTCAACCTCCGCCTCCCGGGTTCAAACGATTCTCCTGCCTCAGCCTCCTGAGTAGCTGGGATTACAGGCATGTGCCAACACGCCCAGCTAATTTTGTATTTTTAGTAAAGATGAGATTTCTCCATAATGGTCAGGCTAGTTTCAAACTCCCGAACTCAGGTGATCTGCTCTCCTCGGCCTCCCAAAGTGCTGGGATTACAGGGGCGAGCCACCACGCTCGGACAATTTTTGTATTTGTAGTAGAGTCGGGGTTTTGCCATGTTGGCCAGGCTGATCTCAAACTCCTGACCTCAGGTGATACACCAGCCTCAGCCTCCCAAAGTGCTGGGATTACAGCCCTAAGCGACTGCACCCGGCCTTGTCCTAATTCCTAAGGTGATATTTAAAGCAGTCTGAGGGCAGAATAGCAAGGTAACCTCAAGGGAACCAAAAAGAGGTTGGAGTTTGAGGGTCCCCGGCAAAGCTTCACTCAACAATGGTGCTATCAAATAATACAAAATACACAGCAAATGCTCTATTTCTGAAGTTGGGAGCAGTGCTCCATTGCCACAGGTGCTACAGCTTAGAGGAGAAGGCACCAGGTGCTCCTCCCACTCAGAGGCGGCATAGCCCTGGGACTCACCTAACCTCCCGCACCAAGTTTCCTGAACTGTGCAGTATGAATTAGAACAGGATTCATCTCACACCAAATTTAAATAAGATCCAGTCAATTAAAACAGCAACTGAAACAGTGTTGTCTGATTTTAATTTCCTAAATTTGGAGAGCAGCACTTTCCAGTGGCTTGTGTGGCATCTCCAGGAGCTATGTGGACATTTCAGAGATACCATATTGTTTTAAAGGAGTGCTGTCATGTACTTCCATTCTGAAGGGGGGGGTTGCCCCTCCACACCTGTGGGTGTTACTCCTTAGGTGGAACGAGAGACTTGGAAAATAAAAAGACACAGAGACAAAGTATAGAGAGAGAAATAAGGGGGCCCAGGGGACCAGCGTTCAGCAGATGGAGGATCCCGCCAGCCTCTGAGTTCCCTTAGTATTTATTGATCATTCTTGCATGTTTCTCGGAGAGGCAGATGTGGCAGGGTCATAGGATAATAGTGGAGAGAAGGTCAGCAGATAAACACGTGAACAAAGGTCTCTGCATCATAGACAAGGTAAAGAATTAAGTGCTGTGCTTTAGATATATATACACGTAAACATCTCAATGCCTTAAAGAGCAGTATTGCTGCCCGCATGTCGCACCTCCAGCCTTAAGGCAGTTTTCCCCTATCTCAGTAGATGGAACATACAATCGGGTTTTATACCGAGACATTCCATTGCCCAGGGATGGGCAGGAGACAGATGCCTTCCTCTTGTCTCAACTGCAAAGAGGCGGTTCCTTCCTCTTTTACTAATCCTCCTCAGCACAGACCCTTTACGGGTGTCGGGCTGGAGGACGGTCGGTCTTTCCCTTCCCATGAGGCCATATCTCAGACTATCACATGGGGAGAAACCTTGGACAATACCTGGCTTTCCTAGGCAGAGGTCCCTGCGGCCTTCTGCAGTGTTTGTGTCCCTGGGTACTTGAGAGTAGGGAGTGGTGATGACTCTTAATGAGCATGCTGCCTTCAAGCATCTGTTTAACAAAGCACATCTTGCACCGCCCTTAATCCATTTAACCCTGAGTTGACACAGCACATGTTTCAGAGAGCAAGGGGTTGGGGGTAAGGTTACAGATTAACAGCATCTCAAGGCAGAAGAATTTTTCTTAGTACAGAACAAAATGGAGTCTCCTATGTCTACTTCTTTCTACACAGACACAGTAACAATCTGATCTCTCTTGCTTTTCCCCACACCATTCCTGTGGAAATATATGGTTGTTAGAGAGGGGAAAACATCAATATAGATATATTTAAATTAACACAGCTAAGGAAACTCCGAGAATACAAGTGAGCTTTCCAGAAGTAGAAGTGATCAGACAGGAGTTTCATGAAGCTGGTGCTCAATATTCAACCCAGCCTGCTCCTCAAGCGCGGTGAGGTTTGGGACATTGGACGGTGGAGTCTGAGTTGGGAGGGAGCTGTGCTGAGCTAACAACATTCCCTTGTTATTGACTTAAAATCAAGAAATAAGATTCACCCTCAGTCTAAGTTACTTACCTTCAATAGGATCTTGAGTTTGAGGGTCTCAGTTCTCTCCAGTTAATATATAAATTTCATGTGTTTTCAAGCAAATGTTTACAAGAACTCTGGTGATGTGTATCTGGTGATAGTAAAATTCCTATGCCAAAGTAATTGTCCAGGAGGCATCGAAGCCATTCTAAATAAGGAAGTACATACAGAGAAGATGTATTTTCCTAGTTGCTATCAAGATTTATTATACCATCCTACTATTGGACCAGGAATACAGAAATAAGTCTTTGAAAACATAGAGCTCAAAGCCCCCATCTGTGCTTATACATTTTCTAAAATACAACGTGCTAAAAGTTGTGGACCGGTAGTTCAGGCAAATGAGGTAATAACTCACCCAGAGTGAATAATGGGTGAAGACTGGGAAGGTAATTTAATACCAGTGATTTTTGAGGTAGCAGCTGCTAGATCACAAGCTTTTTGCTAATATTTTTTACCCAGTGTCTTACTCAGCTTGGGCTGCTATAAAAAACTACAATAGACTTGGTGGTTTAAACAAGAGACATTTAATTATGACAATTCCAGGGGTGGACAATCCCAAGATCAGGGTGTCAGCCTGGTGGGCTTCTGGTGAGGGCCCTCTTCTGGCCTGCAGGCTGCCTTAGTGCTATAACCTTACAAGGCAGAGTGAGGTACCTGGGAATTCTTTTCCTTTTCTCAAAAAGATATTAATCCCATTATGGGGGCTCCTCCTTTAGGACCTCATCGAAACCTAATTACCTGATAAAGATTTCATCTCCTAATACAATTGCATCGAGAGTCAGGGTTTGGACATGTGAATTTTAGGGGGATGCAAACATCTAGTCCATGACTCCCAGTAATACTTTTGTTTTCAAGTAATACATATTTTTTAAAATTTACAAAATCCTACTCTTCACACTCACTGGCTGTGCTTGAGAACATTCCAAATGCACTATAGTACTTTCTCCCATTTGCACTAAGGAGCCCGGCTCCTAGAAACAGTGCTGGCCTCACAGTTGAATTAGAATTTAATGAGAAAGCAAAGACTTAGCAAATAGTAAACAGTCACAGTAGGGGTTTGGATAATATTTTTGTTAATTGACTGTGACCCAGAACTAGTAAAGTGAAAGGAAAAAGTAAAAATCACCCATCCATGATTCCACACAGATTTAGATTTATTTTGAAATCATTCTTCCATCACACAGACTTTTTCATGTATGGGTGTGTATTCACACAGTAGTATTACTACATATCCTAGACTAGCTTATATTTTTTCTCTTCACTTACATGTTACGGAAGAAGACAACTAGAGCTTATGCCTGCTGTCTCCTGGACCCTGCCCTATGTACATTTTTTCATTATTAATTTTAATCTACAGCCTTTCACCACAATAAATTGGGACTCAGAATGTACCAGTGTTTCCAAGTTCATTGAGTCCTTCTAGCATTTCACTGATTCTGAGATTAGTGTTAGAAAGCCCCCAACACAGAAATCAATTAACTTACCTTTCTGCAACAGCACAGGAGGTACAAGACTTCTCCACATATACAGATCCTGAAACTCCTACCAAGCATTAATTTCTTAAGAAGCTTCTTCTGAAGCTTCTTACATACATAACATATAGGACACATGACAATACAAAATTAGTAAACATGGTGAAATACATTTATTGGCACTGAGAATACAAAATTGGCAAGAAAAAGTTATATTTCTAGAGTCTTCCCTTTTGGAATTGCTAAACCATTTTGTAACTGATTCCCACATAATTTCTGTGAAGTAGAATATTCTGATTAGAATATTCTAATTATATTATAATTCATATATTATAACTAGTTTTTGGAACCAATGAAAAAAATAATTTTCATCTGCTTATTGACAAAAAAACACCCTAACTCTTGTAACATAATTAATCCTAACAATTAACTGAGGTTAAACAATGTCCGGAAATACTTTCAGGAACATGGAAAAAATATTAAAGAAGGCCGGGCGCGGTGGCTCACGCCTGTAATCCCAACACTTTGGGAGGCCGAGGCGGGGGGATCATGAGGTCAGGAGATCAAGACCATCCTGGCTAACACGGTGAAACCCCGTCTCTACTAAAAATACAAAAAATTAGCCGGGCAAGGTGGTGGGAGCCTGTAGTCCCAGCTACTTGGGAGGCTGAGGCAGGAGAATGGCGTGAACCTGGGAGGCGGAGCTTGCAGTGAGCCGAGATTGCGCCACTGCACTCCAGCCTGGGCAACAGTGAGACTCCGTCTCAAAAAAAAAAAAATTAAACAAGATGTGAATAGCCTTCCAGGTCATTCATCATTCATCTTAGATTCCACAGACTGTAAAATATTTGAAGTAGGTGTAGTAGTGATATAAGGCCAAAGGTTTTCTGTAAAAGTATCAGGGAAGGTATACATTTGGAGTCTATTGTTATTATTGTAGAATGAAACCTTTCCAAACGCAAAATCCAGAAAAAATGTCAACGTGCGCCAGTCCTCCCGTGTCCCTTGTGCCACATGGACTAATCTAGAGCTGAACTTGCCACTAGCCCTCACTGAGTGATGCTGATGTCAGAGCATCGCTGAAGAGACTCCCTGCACACTCCTGTAGCCCGGTGTCCTGTGTTTCTTACTTCTTCCTGCCAGTGATGCCTGCCAGCATCAAATCCTCCAGCGCTCAGGATAGTGAGGTGAGAAGAAAATCAGTATAGGTTGTAAGAAAAGTTTGGTTTCATTCTCCCATACGTCATATATTTCTCTCTTCTAATATGATAAAATTGGGGTGGGCAGTTTCAGGATCTAGTGTGAAATCTGCCTTCAATATGTTGATCATTTATGCAGGCCAACACATTGTGGAGAAAGACATCAACTCTCTTTAATTTCTTTAAAAACACTGCTGGAATTTTTAGGTTTTCGTATCTGTTGCGGATATTCTCAACACTTCTCAGGAACTCTACTTTGGACTAAACTTACTTGTCTCTTACTTAACTTAGAAGACTTTTCAGCATAAAAATATGGTGAAAAAGTAGGATGCTGCTTTCACTTGGTTTTTCTTTAACCTCCTTTCTCTTTCATAAGTAAAGTTTTTAAAATTGCACCTTACTCCATTGCCAGTAACCACCTAGTTTGTTTCAACTGAGAGTGGAATTCTAAGCTAAACTAAAACGGTCAGAAGACTTTAATAGACATCTAGCCCTAAGGAAAAATACACCCATAGCCAACAGGCATATGAAGAAAGCTAAAAATTACTGATCTTCAGGAAACATGCATATCAAAAAGATGAGGTATTACCTCACACCTGTCAGGATGGCTATCAAATAAAAAACAAAAGACAGGCTGGGAGCGGTGACTCACGCCTGTAATCCCAGCACTTTGGGAGGCCGAGGCGGGTGGATCACCTGAGGTCGCAAGTTCGAGACCAGCCTGACCAACATGGAGAAACCCTGTCTTTACCAAAAATACAAAAAATTAGCCAGGCATGGTGGTGCATGCCTGTAATCCCAGCTACTCGGGAGGCTGAGGCAGGAGAATTGCTTGAACCTGGGAGGCGGAGGTTGCGGTGAGCCGAGATCGCGCCATTGCACCCCAGCCTGGGCAACAAGAGTGAAACTCTGTCTCAAAAAAAAAAAAAAAGACAACTGTTGGTAATAATGTGGAGACATTATAACCCTTACACACTTTTTTTTTTTTTTTTTTGAGAAGAAGTCTCGCTCTGTCGCCCAGGCTGGAGTACAGTGGCATGATCTTGTCTCACTGAAACCTCCACCCCCTGGGTTCAAGCAATTCTCTTGCTTCAGCCTCCTGAGTAGCTGGGACTACAGGTGTCTGCCAACACGCCCGACTAATTTTTGTACTTTTAGTAGAGACGGGGTTTCACCATATTGGCCAGGCTGGTCTCGAACTCCTGACCTTGTGATCTGCCCACCTCAGCCTCCCAAAGTGCTGGGATTACAGGCATGAACCACTGCGCCCAGCCACCCTTACACACCTTTAATGGGAAAGAAAAATGGTGTAGCTGCTATGAAAACAATGTGGAAGTTCCTAAAAAAATCAAAATAGAATTACCATATGATCCAGCAATCTCACTTTTGAGGATTTACTCAAAAAAATTAAAATTAGGATCTGGAAGAGATACCGGGACTCCCAATGTTTACTGCAACAGTTGTCACAATACCTAAGAGGTGCGAACAACCTAAATTTCTATTGACAGATGAATGGATAAAGAAAATGTGACAGATGCATACAATGGAATGGAATACTATTCAGCCTTAAAATAGAAGAAAACTGTGTTCTATGTGAGAACATGGATGAACCTTAAGGTCATTATAATAAGGGAAATAAGTCAGTCACAAAAAAGAAATACTGCATGCTTCCACTTGTATGGGATATCTAAAATAGTTAAATTCATAAAATCTGAGGGGAATGGTGTTTGCCAAGGGTTGGGAGTAGGGGAAATGGAAAGTTACTAATCAACAGACATTCAATTTTAGGTAAACAAGATAAATAAGCTCTACAGACCTGCTGTAAGACCTTGATCTAGATCATGATCAAGAAGAGTGTATTATACACTTGAAACCTGGTTGAGTGGGTAGGTCTCATGATAAGGGTTGTTATGAAAAATATAATTTAAAAATGTATATGTGCCACATTTCACCATAATGTTACACACAATAGCAAAAAACCTGTAAATTTATTAACAATCCAACAATTGAAGTAATTTACTTTACATCCACTCTTAGAATATTATAGAAACTGTATAATCTCTTCTGCACACTCTCAGACTAGTGTTATAGAGAACAAAATCTTTTTTTTTTTTGAGTTGGAGTAGTCTGGCTCTGTCGCACAGGCTGAAGTGCAGTGGTGCAATCTCAGCTCACTGCAACCTCTGTTTCCTGGGTTCAAGCAATTCTCCTGCCTCAGCCTCCCTAGTAGCTAGGATTACAGGTGCTTGCCACCGCAACTGGCTAAGTTTTGTATTTTTAGTAGAGATGGGGTTTCACCATTTTGGTCAGGCTGGTCTTGAACTCCTCACCTCAGGTCATCTGCCCTCCTCAGCCTCCCAAAGTGCTGGGATTATGTGTGAGCCACCGCCCCCAGCCTAGAAAAAAGTCTTTCTAATCACCACTACAAGTTCAGGAGGTCCTCAAGACCACACTCAGGTTCAATAATTCACTATAAAAGCTCACAAAATTCAGCAAAGCTGATATATCATGATTTAGTCTGCTTTGGCTACCATAACAAAACACCATCATTGGGTGACCTAAAAAATAGAAATTTATTTCTCCATACTGTGGACACTGGGAAGTCCAAGATCAAAGTGCCAGCAAGACAGGTTTCATTCTGATGCCTTTTCTCTCTTGTGTGCACAGAAAGAGCTTGGTTCTCTCTTCCTCTTCTGATAAGGCCACTAATCCCATCATGGGGACCCCACCCTCATGAACTCATCTAAACCTAATGACTTTCCCAAAGGCACCGCCTTCATATTTTTTCACTGTACAAAATATAAAAGTGGCCACTTTGGGAAGTCATTAAGTTCAGATTAGGGCTTAAACATATGAATTTTGAATTTAAGAATGTAAAGACATTTTGAATTTAAGAAAATGTTGAATTAAAAAAAATTTTAATCCCAGCACTTTAGGAGGCTGAGGCAGGTGGATCTCCTGAGGTCAGGAGTTCGAGACCAGCCTGGCCAACATGGTGAAACTCCATCTCTACTAAAAATAGAAAAAAATTAGTTGGGTGTGGTGGTGCACACCTGTAATCCCATGTAATCCCAGCTACTCGGGAGGCTCAGGCCAGAGAACTGCTTGAACCTGGGTGATGGAGGTTGCAGTGAGCCGGGACCGCGCCTTTGCACACTGGCTTGGGCAACAAGAATGAAACTGTCTCAAAAGGAAAAAAAAAAAAATTTGAATGTAAGAATGTAAGCCCTAAGAATTAAGGCTTAAACATATGAATTTTGGTGAAACACACATATTCAGTGCATAACAACTCATGAGTACAGTTTAATAGAAGAAAAGAACACACTGAAATAAGCAACAGGGAAGAATTGTTGGAAGATAGAGAAGTAGGAAACATCAAGAATCTTTTTTCCTACCTAGCCAGCAATTGCGCTAACAAAATCTCTCTGATGAAACTATTGTGGAACTCTCTGGAGTCTTTTTTTTTTTTTTTTTTTTTTTTGAGATGGAGTTTCACTCTGTCACCCAGGCTGGAGGGCAGTGGCGCAATCTCAGCTCACTCCAACCTCTGCCTCCTGGGTTCAGGCAATTCTCCTGCCTCAGCTTCCCAAGTAGCTGGGATTACAGGCGTGTGCCACCACACCTGGCTAAGTTTTTTGTATTTTTAGTAGAGACGGGGTTTTACCATATTGGCTAGGCTGGTCTCAAACTCCTGATATTTTGATCCACCCACCTCAGCCTCCCAAAGTGCTGGGATTACAGGCATGACCCACCGCACGCAGCCTCTGCAGTCTTTTTTCACGCTTGGAAATTCCAGGGAAAGTCTTGGAAGATAAACTGCCATTAATGTCAGTCCATTTTAGCTTTTATCTTAGCATCAGCTCTGCATGGAAATAATGAAACAAAAATACTATACAGAATGTAGAAAACAAATAGCAAAATGACAAAAGTAAATCCCTTCTTATCAGTTATTATTTTAAATGTAAATGAATTAAATTTTTAATCAAAGACAGAATGGCAGAATTAAGTCTAAAATGATCCACATATATATAGTCTAAAGGATATTCAAAGTGAATATCCTTTAGACACAAACAGGTTGAAAGTGAATGAATGAAAAAGGTATTCCATGCAAACAGAAACTAAAAGAGAGCAGTGGTCATCATACTTGTATCAGACAAAACAGACATTAAATCAAAAAGATTCTAAGAGACAAAGAAAGGAATTATATGTTAATACAAGATTCAAAACAGAAGATGTAACAATTATAAACATTTACACACCTAATAACAAATGATCTGGTCGGGTGTGGTGGCTCACGCCTGTAATCCCAGCACTTGCAGGGGGCCGAGGCAGGAAGATCACAAGGTCACGAGTTCCAGACCAGCCTGGCCAACATGGCGAAACTCTGTCTCTACTAAAAATACAAAAATTAGCTGGGCTTGGGGGCAGGCACCTGTAATCCCAGTTACCTGGGAGGCTGAGGCAGGAGAATCACTTGAACCCAGGAGGCAGAGGTTGCCATGAGCCGAGACCACACCATTACACCCCAGCCTGGATGACAAGAATAAAACTCTGTCTCAAAAAAAAAAAAATCAAAATTTATGAATCAAAATTTGACAAAATAGAAGAGAGAAATAGACAATAACAGATGGATTTTTTTTTTTTTTTGAGACAGAGTTTTGCTCTTGTTGCCCAGGCTAGAGTGCAGTGGCATAATCTCAGCTCAATGCAATCTCCGCCTCCCGGGTTGAAGTGATTCTCCAAACTCAGCCTCCCAAGTAGCTGGGATTACAGGCACCCACCATCACGCCTGGCTAATTTTTGTATTTTTAGAAGAGATGGGGTTTTGCCATGTTGTCCAGGCTGATCTCAAACTCCTGGCCTCAGGTGATCCACCCACCTCGGCATCCCAAAGTGCTGGGATTACAGGCTTGAGCCACCGCGCCTGACCACCTCCCTCTATAATCTTACTTCTGCCCTCAGATAGAAACAGAAAAAAAAATTTCAGATTAGTTTATAGATAATCAGTATGTATTTATGTTAACAAAATATGTTTTATATGTATTTTACACTACATTTACCATACCAGACACTGTTCAAAGTGCTTTAACTCATGAAAACTCATTTAGTCTTCACAAATCTAAAAAGTAAGTTGAACTATTATTGCCCCATCCCTCCTTTTTTTAACCAGATGAGAAAGGCAGAAAAAGATAACTGCTAAGGTTACACAAGATAGAGGAGGACAGAGCATGGATATGAACTCCTGGAAACCTGGTTCTAAAGTCAAGTCTTCACCACTGCTCTTTATTTTCTTCCTCTAACCTGCAGAAGTACACAGACACACATGTGTATGCACACACATATACACATACATACACATATCAAACTACCTGTAAAAAGTCTGTTATGCGTCCTTACAGGCCTTTACATATTTTTATGGACAGGAAGAGGGAGAGTAGTCTGCTAAATCCAGATGGAATAGACATAGAGCAAAGCTACAAAGCATCTTAGAATGTAACAGGCATGAAAAATATTCTTTAGCTGAAAAACTAGATCACTGATAAACTTGGAACAGTCTCAGTGGAGGAGTAAAGATGAAAGCCCGATTGCTTCTGAACTCTTCTTTTTTTTTTTTTTTTTTTGAGACGACGGAGTTTCACTCTGTCGCCAAGGCTGGAGTGCAGTGGCACAGTGTCAGCTCACTGCAACCTCTGTCTCCTGGGTTCAAGCAATTCTCCTGCCTCACCCTCCTGAGTAGCTGGGATTACAGGAGCCCACCACCATGTCTGGCCAGTTTTTATATTTTTAGTAGACATGGGGTTTCACCATGTTGGCCGGGCTGGTCTCAAACTCCTGACCTCAGATGATCCACCCACCTCGGCCACCCAAAGTGCTGGGATTACAGGCATGAGCCACCGCACCCAGCCCTGAACTCTTGTTGTAGGGAAGAACAAAATTCTTAGGGCAACTGGTCTAGAAGAGTAATTACATCACATCTCTTTAGGTTAATTAGCATCTAGCAGGTGGGCCCCATCCAGTTAAATTATGCTGTATCCTATGAGGTATAGTCAGCCTTGCAGGATTCAGTGCCATATTGATGGGGTTCCCATATTAAGTATTTATTTGTTTATTTATTTATTTATTCACTTACTCATTTATTTTTGGGACAGAGTCTCGCTCTGTCGCCCAGGCTGGAGTGCAGTGGCGCCATCTTGGTTCACTGCAACCTCTGCCTCCCAGGTTTAAGCAATTCTCTTGCTTCAGCCTCCTGAATAGCTGGTATTACAGGCGCCCATCACCAGGCCTAGCTAATTTTTGTATTTTTAGTAGAGACAGAGTTTCACCATGTTGGCCAGGCTGGTCTCGAACTTCAGACCTCAAGTAATCACCTGCCTCGGCCTCTCAAAGTTTTGGGACTATAGTCGTTGAGCCACCATGCCTGGTCTCTTAAGTTATTTTTCTTTTTTAAAATTTTACTTTAAGTTCCGGGATACATGTGCAGAATGTGCAGGTTTGTTACATAGGTATACATGTGCCATGGTGGTCTGCTGCACCTATCAACCTGTTATCTAGGTTTTAAGCCCCGCATGCATTAGGTATTTGTCCTAATACTCTCGTCCCCTTGCCCTCCCACCCCCCAACAGGCCCTCATGTTTTGTTGCTCCCTGTGTCCATGTGTTCTCATTGTTCAACTGCCACTTTTGAGTAAGAACATGAGGTGTTTGATTTTCTGTTTCTGTGTTAATTTGCTGAGAATGATGGCTTTCAGCTTCAACTATGTCCCTGCAAAGTACTATGTCCCTCAACTATTTCCCTCATTTTTTTATGGCTGCAGAATATTCCATGGTGTATGTGTTCCACATTTTCATTTTTTTTTTTCTTTTTGAGTTGAAGTCTCGCTCTTGTCCTCCAGGCTTGAGTGCAATGGCGCCATCTCGGCTCACTACAACCTCCAGCTCCCGGGTTCAAGCGACTCTCCTGCCACAGCCTCCCGTGTAGCTGGGATTACAGGTGCTTGCCACCATGCCCGGCTAATTTTTGTATTTTTAGTAGAGACAGGGTTTCACCATGTTGGCCAGGCTGGTCTCGAACTCCTGACCTCAGGTGATCCACCTGCCTCAGCCTCCCAAAGTGCTGGGATTACAGGCGTCAGCCACCACGCCCGGCTATGTTCACATTTTCTTTATCCATTCTATCACTGATGGGCATTTGGATTGGTTCCAAATCTTTGTTATTGTAAATAGTGCTGCAATAAACATACGTGTGCATGTGTCTTTATAGTAGAATGATTTATAGTCCTTTGGGTATCTTAAATAATTTTTTTTTTGGTGACAAAGTCTCCCTCTGTCGCCCAGACGGGAGTGCAGTGGCGCGATCTCGGCCCACTACAACTTCTGCCTCACGGGTTCAAGCAGTTCCTCCCCTGAGTAGCTGGGATTACAGGCAGGCGCCACCACGCCGGCTAATTTTTGTATTTTTAGTAGAGATGGGGTTTCACCATGTTGGTCAGGCTGGTCTCGAACTCCTGACCTTGTTATCCGCCCACCTCGGCCTCCCAAAGTGCTGGGATTACAAGCGTGATTTTTAATGCCACGTACTGTGACAGGGAAAGAAACCACCCTGCTGGCTGCATAGTTTGTTTAAATAGCATAATATACAGGGTGGGTGCAGTGGCTCACACCTTTAAGTAATCCCAGCATTTTGGGAGCCCGAGGCGGGTGGATCGCTTAAGCCCAGGAGTTTGAGATCAGCCGGGCCAACACAGTGAAACCCCCGTCTGTACTGAAAGCACAAAAACTTAGCCGGGCGTGGGTGGCACGCGCCTGTAATCCCAGCTACTCTGTAGGCTGAGGCAGGAGAACTGTTTGAACCAGGGAGGCTGAACCCGCGAGGCGGAGCTTGCAGTGAGCCAAAATGGCGCCATTGTACTCCAGCCTGGGCGAAAATAACAAATAAATACCATGCACTCACCTCACTGCAAAGTAATATGGGGGAAGCTGCTGCCACTGGTATTTCTTTTCCTTTCTTTTTCAGGAGACTCTGGAATTTCAAAAGGTTTACGAACAAGGACTTTGCTTTATCGGTTGATTTGTCTAGGTCACACCTCTATTCAACTGTCCACCATACACCCTTTCTAGGATATATTAAAGGCATCGACGGGTCTTTATTCCACAATTCAAATCTTAGTACTTCATGTTTAAAATGCTTCACTGGCTTTTCTTTGCATTTGATAAAAACCAATATCCTCAATTTTGCCTAAAGGGCCTTGCAGCATTCATTCTCGCCTATCTCATCAGCCTCACAAAGCCATTTTCCATATTTTATACTTCTTGCAATTTCCCACGTTGTAGTGCCAACCAAATGACCTCTTTCAGTTCCTTTTGTACCAAGTTTTTAAAAATTATCATCTCTAGGCAGGGCGCGGTGGCTCACGCCTGTACTCCTAGCACTTTGGGAGGCCGAGGCGGGCGGATCACGAGGTCAGGAAATCGACACCATCCTGGCTAACACGGTGAAACCCCGTCTCCACTAAAAATACAAAAAATTAGCTGGGCGTGGTGGCAGGCACCTGTAGTCCCAGCTACTCTGGAGGCTGAGGCAGGAGAATGGCGTGAACCCGGGAGGCGGAGCTTGCAGTGAGCCGAGATCACGCAACTGCACTCCAGCCTGGGCCACAGAGCGAGACTCCGTCTCAAAAAAAAAATAAAAATAAAAATAAAATTATCATTTCTGGCTGGGTGAGGTGGCTCACGCCTGTAATCCTGGCACTTTTGGGAGGCCGAGGCGGGCGGATTGCCTGATCTCAGGAGTTCGAATCCAGCCTGGGCAACACGATGAAACCCCGTCTCTACTAAAAATACAACAACAAAAAATTAGCCAGGCGTGGCGGCGTGCGCCTATAGACCCAGCTACTCGGGAGACAGAGGCAGGAGAATTGCTTGAAACTGGGAGGCAGAGGTTGCAGAGAGCCAAGATCGCGCCACTGCACTCCAGCCTGGGCGAAAGAGAGATTCCGTCTCTTATTAAAAGAAAAAAAAATCATTTCTAAAATATTTTGTAGACGCAGGGTCTGGCAATGTTACCTAGGCTTGTCCTGAACTCCTGGCCTCAAGCGATCCTCCCACCTCTGCCTCTGAAAGTGCTTGGATTACAGGTGTGAGCCACTATGCCCGGCCTGTACTAAATTCTTTAAAGTTGAGAGGCTCCACATTGGCTCTTCTTCCAGCCTTGAAGACTTTGACCGTGGAATTGATCCAACGAATGCCTCTTCATCCCTCAAATTCCGCCTGAAATGTCACTTCCTCAGGTAAACCTGAGTTCATAGGGTAGGGCACAATCCCACAGGGTGGGAGAGATCCACCCACTCACCCACTGAGATGCAAACTAATCCAAAGGGGCTTCTATTCCTCTTTCAAGCATAGGGAGTGCTCAACGACTCCACCCTGCGACCCCAGGCTACGGGAAGCAGTTGACCCTGCAAAGCTCTCCACTCCCTCACCATCTGGGAGGGGACGCTGTGCTGGTGAAGCTTTTAAAACCAACTTGCAGACTTACTTGGACCCTCAAGTTTACTCATATACATAAAAAGTGATAAGAATCCGAAAAGACAGCCAGGGGAATTAAATGCCAGTTGGGGCCAACGGGGCCCTGATCACGGAAGAGGGCGCCCCCAGCTCTCAATCTTCACACAATCCCTGCACCCAGGGTCACAGAGCATGCGCAGGTCCTTCCCGCCCACTTCCGGGGCAACTGCCAACCACCGCGCAGGCTGAGCCCCAGGCAGGAAGCAGCCCACTTGGTGGGGTTGGGGTATGAGTCCTTCCTCGCGGGGGCTCGGTGGGTCCTGAGTATTCTTTGGCCGGATTTGCTGATCCGTCTGCTCCAGGTGAGCTGGGAAGGCCGCAGGAAAGGCCCAGAAGGGCCTCGCCAGGAGGCTTAACTGGACAGGGGCTTCTTGAACATTCTCTGTGCCTAAACCTCCGGGTCGCTGCCTGCCCACGACTGGATCTCCTTAGTGTCTGGCGTAGCTCTTGTGAAAAATTCAGGATTGTAGAGTTAGAATGGGGGTGTTGAGCCTGTATCAATTAAGCTTTAAATGTTATGATCTGAATTAGGGTTTATGAAGTGGCTATGTTATCTTCAAAGAGTTAATGTACGTGTTTGGGAGTGGGGGTTGGGGAGTTAAGGGAGCGAAGTGGTAGCTGCCAGTTGAGAACCCACCAGCCTACGTCGTCTGCACCCTCGACCTATGTAAGCATCCTGTAATCCTCACAAGGGTCTTACAGGTACGAATTATCATTTCAACTTTGTAGATGAGGCGCTTTAGGTGCAGGCATGTTAAGAATCAGCCAGTATGATGATGGTTGAAACTGAGAGCTTGGAATCTACCACAGGTTTTATTTATTCCTCAAACAAGCTAGAGACGTATTGCCACCAAGAAGCTTGCTGCCTGGTGAGGGGTTTTTACAGTTAGGTAAAGAATTGCAGAGTAGCTGTAAAATCACATAACTGTGATATGTGACATGATGGGAGCTAGGCAAAAAACTTGGACTAGATCTTAATGGATCTTTTTGCTTTGTTTTCCTTAAAGCATAGGTTCACAAAGTACAGTCCGCAGGCCAGCAGCATCATCTGGGAACTTAGGAAAAAACCAGCCCTACTGAGTCAGAAACTGGGGATGTGGCCCAGGCAATCTTTTACCAAGACCTCCAGGTGATTATAATGCAAGGTAAGATTTGAGAATTGCTTCCATAAAGTAATAAAGGACCAGTGGAATGTTTTCAGTTGAAATATGAAAGGATTCTGTTTGTATTTGAAAAGGTCAGTTTAGCTACAGACTTCAGAAATTGGAGGCACCATTGTGTATCTAGGAGAGAGACATAAGTGGTTTAAACTAGGGTGGTGACTGTGCCTACAGAGCTGTTCTGTTCACTTAATGTCCTGATTTTAAATAGTAGAGAAGACTGCTTTGGGTGTATGCTTGGGGAAAGGAGGGCACAATGATACCTGGAGTGAGTCCTCTTGTGTCCTTTATGAAGGGGTGGCCTGCCCCTCCACACCTGTGGGTATTTCTAGTCGGGTGGGACGAGAGACTGAGAAAAGAAATAAGACAGAGACAAAGTATAGAGAAACAACAGTGGGCCCAGGGGACCGGCGCTCAGCATACCAAGGACCTGCACCGGCACCGGCCTCTGAGTTCCCTCAGTTTTTATTGATTATTATTTTCATTATTTCAGCAAAAAGGAATGTAGTAGGAGAGCAGGGTTATAATAAGGAGAAGGTCAGCAACAAACATGTGAGCAATAGAATCTATGTCATAATTAAGTTCAAGGGAAAGTACTATGACTGGACGTGCACGTAAGCCAGATTTATGTTTCTCTCCACCCAAACATCTCAGCGGAGTAAAGAATAACAAGTCAGCATTACTGCAAACATGTCTCGCCTCCCACCATAGGGCGGTTTTTCTCCTATTTCAGAATTGAACAAAGGTACAATCAGGTTTTATACCAAGACATTCAGTTCCCAGGGGCAGGCAGCAGACCGTGGCCTTCCTCCATCTCAACTGCAAGAGGCTTTCCTCTTTTACTAATTCACCTCAGCACAGACCCTTTACGGGTGTCAGGCTGGGGACAGTCAGGTCTTTCTCATCCCACGAGGCCATATTTCAGACTATCACATGGGGAGAAACCTTGGACAATACCCCGCTTTCAAGGGCAGAGGTCCCTGTGGCTTTCCGCAGTGCATTGTGCCCCTGGTTTATTGAGACTAGAGAATGGCGATGACTTTTACCAAGCATACTGCTTGTAAACATTTTGTTAACAAGGCACGTCCTGCACAGCCCTAGATCCCTTAAACCTTGATTTTATACAACACATGTTTTTGTGAGCTCCAGGTTGAGTCAAAGTGGCTGGGGCAAAGCTACAAATTAACAACATCTCAGCAAAGCAATTGTTTAAAGTACAGGTCTTTTTCAAAATAGAGTCTCTTACGTCTTCCCTTTCTGCATAGACACACAGTGACAGTCTGATCTCTTTCTTTTCCCTGCACTTTGCACTGTGCTAGAGTCCTTTTTTGTATATGTTTTCTTAAAAGTACATTTTTTCTTCTGATTTTACCATTTTTTGCAATGATGCTCTGCAGTTTACTAACTATGTGACATTGGGCAAGATTCTTTTTTTTTTTTTTAAGATGGAGTTTTCCTCTTTTCACCCAGGCTGGAGTGCAATGGCGCCATCTCAGCTCACTGCAACCTCTGCCCCCTGGTTTGAGCCATTCTCCTGCCTTAGCTTCCCAAGTAGCTGGGACTACAGGCGCGCCACCATGCCCGGCTAATTTTTGCATTTTTAGTAGAGACAGGGTTTCACCATGTTGTCCAGGCTGGTCTCGAACACTTGACCTAAGGTAATCTGCCTGCCTTGGCCTCCCAAAGTGCTGGGATTACAAGTGTGAGCCACCGTGCGTGGCTGGGCAAGATTCTTAAAACTTTTTCAGGCTCAATTTTTCCAATCTCTGAGCACCCTATGCAACCTCACTCCCATTCCCATGCACTTTCTAACTTTCTTGTTCTGCTCAACAGTACCCATTTGAAAGTATTAAGCAAGTATTGGGAGTCACCATAGCCACGCTTAGTGTGGGCAGGTGGGAAGAGTGGTTTGTAAGAGACAGTATTCTTTTTATTTCTTTTCTTTCTTTTCCTTTTGTAGAGATGGGATTTTGCCATGTTGCTCAGGCTGGTCTTGAACTCTTGGGCTCAAGCGATCCACCCAGCTTGGCCTCCCAAAGTTCTGGGATTACAGCCCTGAAGCCACGACTCCCGGCCATTATTCTATGTTTTCTGTAGTGTTGTGTTAGAATTTTTCACAAGTTAAATGTACTCTCATCCCTGGATATACAATATACACAGGGCATTGGTTCCAGGGCACCCGAAGATACCAAAATCCATGAATGCTCAAGACCAGTGGATGCAGGTTCTGCATCCCAGGAATACTGTATTTTCGATTCTATCTGAAGTTAATTGTGTTAGTGGATGCTGAACTTGCCAATATGGAGGGCTATTTAAAATAAAGGATGTATTTTAAAATTCTAAAACTTCTGTCTTACTCCAAAATTAGTATAGGAAAATTCTCTGAAGCACACCACTACTACAGTGAGCCCTTGGAAGTTACTGCCTTTACTAATCATTTCAGGACTAGCAACCTTATAAGCCATAACAGCTTTTAGGTGAAATGTCAATGTGCTGCTTTTTTGAGACAGAGCCTTGCTCTGTTGCTCAGGCTGGAGTGCAGTGGCACGATCTCTACTCACTGCAACCTCTGCCTCCAGGGTTCAAGCAATTCTCCCGCTGCAGCCTTCCAAGTAGCTGGAATTACTGGCATGCGCCACCACTGCCAGCTAATTTTTGTATTTTCAGGAGAGACAAGGTTTTACCATGTTGGCCAGGCTGGTTCTCGAACTGCTGACCTCAAGTGATCCACTGCCTTGGCCTCCCAAAGTGCTGGGATTACAGGTGTGAGCCACCACGCCTGGCCCAATGTGTTTTATATGTAAGTAAATATAGGTTATCTCTATATATGTATGTATTACATATAATACATCAACTATAATATGCTATAATAGAAGTATGTGGATTCAGCTAAATTTGTATGACCTCTTGAGAGATTTTCTGAGATAGTCCTACAATATTTTTTATTGTACATGGGTTAAATGCCAAGGACTGTGACAGGTGTCTTAGATAATTTATTCATTTATGCTTAAAACCTGAGACAGTATTATTTCCTACTTTCTGAAAAGTGAAACTCAGAGAAATTAACTTGACCAAGTACATGTAGCTAGCTAAGTGTTAGAGTTGGATGAAAACCCAATTCTGTTAGGTATTGTTAGCTCTCAGTTTGTATTTTATCTCTTTTCTCCATTGTAGTGTTGGATCAGTAAGCCCATTTTTCCCTTTTAAAATATTTGGGATACATTATTAAATATGAACAACTGAACATATCAAATATGAAAAATCTAAGTTGATTTGATATATAGAGGGCTGCATAGGATGCCGTGCGAGTGTAAAGA
Organism: Homo sapiens; assembly: GCF_000001405.40. Lineage (NCBI taxonomy): Eukaryota > Metazoa > Chordata > Mammalia > Primates > Hominidae > Homo > Homo sapiens. Next base: position 164,973,355 of record NC_000004.12, on the reverse strand, counting down.
AGGAGCAGTACAACTTAGTGATTATCATGCCAGTGGTTATGCCAATTAGCGTAATGTTGGATAAGCATGTTCAAATTCTTGTAGACTCCGCTTTTACAGCTCTAGGCTTTTATAGCTCTAATTGAGGATAATAGCTCCTAACTTACGGAGTTGTTCTGATGGTTTAATTGAACCTGTGACTATATGGAAGATCCTTAGCATAGTGCCTGACATATAATAAATTATCCTTGAGAACATGTGTCTTGGGCTGAGTCTCTAGAAGGACCAAAACTTAGTCCTAGGGAAGAAGTGAGGGTAGGGTAATCTAAGCAGAAAGTGGTTTGTGCAGAAGAGGGAAAGCATGATACCTGTGTTTGTTTGTTTGTTTTCGTTAAGTACTTTAGGAGACTGTAGCCAGATGAAGATAATGAAATACGAAGGGTTCTGAATGGCGAGCTAAGGGTGAAAAACTTTGTCCTGACTTGTGGGGAGTTATAAACAGATTGTTATGAGGGGAAACAACATTTAATTTGTTTAAAAAGTGAAGGCCTGAGGGACAAGTTAAATGATATCAAGAAGCAATAGACATGTCAGGTGCGGTGGCTAATGCCTGTAATCCCAGCACTTTGGGAGGCCAAGGTGGGCCGATCACTTGGAGTCCAGAGTTCAAGACCAGCCTGGACAACATGGCGAAACCCTGTCTCCACTAAAGTTACAAACCTTAGCCGGGTGTGGTGGCGCACGCCTGTAGGCCCAGCTACTCAAGAGGCTGAGGCAGGAGAATCACTTGAACCCGGGAGGTGGAGGCTGCAGTGAGCCAAGATTGTGCCACTGCACTCAAGCCTGGGCCACAGAACAAGGCTCCACACACACACACAAAGCAATAGGCAAATCTTGAATTTGGGGTAGTCTAGGACAAAGGTGGAGGCAGGGAACATTATTCTAGATTGAAAAAGATTTAAAAGAACTAATAAGCAAATGCAATACATGGCTCTTGTTTGGATCCAGATTCTAATACATCTAACAGAAAGCTCCTTTGGTCGAGAAGAATTAGCTACAACTTACATGATATTCTTATAAGAAAAAGAGGTTGTTATACTTCCCATTTTACAGGTCAAAGAAATGCGATTCAAAAAAAGACACATCGATTTTCTAAAGATACACAGTCAATAGCTGAGCCAGGATTCAAACCTGGTGTCCTCTCAATAATGTTAGTGCTTACATTGTGAAATACTGCCTCCTGTAGCATGTTGCTGTGATAGCTTTTGCTTGTGCAGTCCTAGGACACTGAATTAAAACTTTAAGTTTGGGAATAATGGATAAATGGTGACTTTCTAGGGCTACTGCATATTTTCCTATTCTGCTAGTCTAAAGAGAATGTATAGTAAAAGAACTTGCTAGGTCACCAAGACAGAGCCAGTTTCACATGTCAAAACCATGCACATACTATTACTGTCACTGTCGTTGGGTTATGAGGAAAGTGAGAGGAAGAAGAAGAGTTAAGAAAGTGTCTAGGGAAAGGAGGTGAAGGGGAAAAAATACTGTATTGATGGTTAGGTGGCTTTCAAGCTTTGATGGAGGAATTTGACTTGCTTAAAATCGGGTACCTGTGGGTGTCTTGAAAGCAAGCCAGGAAGTTTTTCTGCCTCACTTTTGTTTTGAAAGTGTCAAACTTACAGAAAGATTGAAAGGGTATGCATCCTTATACTTTTTCCCTGGATTCACCCCTGTTGTTAACTTTTGCTACATTCATGTTTTCTCTATTTACACTTTTTTTTTTTTTTTTGAGACAGAGTTTCCCTCTGTCACCCAGGCTGGAGTGCGATGGTACGATCTCCACTCACCACAACCTCCTCCTCTCGGGTTCAAGCAATTCTCCTGCCTCAGCCTCCTGAGTAGCTGGGATTATAGGCATGTGCCACCACACCCAGCTAATTCTGTGTTTTTAGTAGAGACGGGGTTTCTCCATGTTATTCAGGCTGGTCTAGAACACCTGACCTCAGGTGATCTGCCCACCTTGGCCTCCCAAAGTGCTGGGATTACAGGCGTGAGCCACCGCACTCGGCTACACATTTTTTTAATTGTTGAACCTTCTGAAAGTTTCAGATGGCTTCCCGCTGTGCATCAGTATATAGATATATCTCCTAACAACAAGGGCATTTTACTTCTTACTGTGATAATTTTATTGTGCTCAATTTAACTGGTACAACATTATGTGATACACAGTCCATACTAAGAATCTCATATTTATTTGTTCCCCATTTTTTTTGAGGGGGGAGATAGAGTTTCACTCTGTCGCTGGGGCTGGAGTGCCGTGCTGCAATCTCAGCTCACTGCCACATCTGCCTCCCGGGTTCCAGTGGTTCTCCTGCCTCAGCCTCCCAAGCAGCTGGGATTACAGGCACATGCCACCATGCCCAGCTAATTTTTTGTATCTTTAGTAGAGATAGGGTATCACCATATTGGCCAGGCTGGTCTTGAACTCCCGGCCTCAAGGGAGCTGAGCGCCTTGGCCCCCCAAAATGCTGGGATTATAGGTGTGAGCCACCACACCCAGCCTGTTCCCAGCATTTTTTTGTTTTGTTTTGTTTTGATTTCAAGATCTCAGATTCAATCAGGGGTCACACGTTGTATTTATCATGTTTGTTTCCTCTCCTTAAATGTAGAAACCTTTTTTTTTAATGCTTGTTTTTCCTGACATTGACATTTTTGAAGAATGCATACCAGTTGTCTTGTAAGAATGCTCCACAATCTGAATTAATTTTCTCTAATGGCAATATTTTTGGAAAGAATATTATATAGGCAATGTTGTATACTTGCCATAGCATCCTATCAGGAAGCACATAAGTTTGTCCCATATTTTTTAGTTTTTTTTTTTTTAATAAGTAATGTATGGCGTGAATCTCTGCAATATGAGAATCTTGTTTTTCCAAGAACTTCCACCCCATGATTTTAGCATTCATTGATGATTCTTGTGTGAACGTTTAATACATTTGTGATTATGGAATTTTAACGTGGTGTCTTTTCTTACTCATAGGAAGGATTCCCTATCTTGGACCTGAGGCTGCTTTCTTGAAGAAAACTTGACTTTATTTCATTTAGTGGGAAGAGCAGCAGCCCAGCTATTAAGTTCTAATATGCAATAGGCTGCAGGCTGTGAAGTGTTCGTGGCAGTAGACTCTGAAGCTAAGGAGCTGAGGGCTTAACAAGTTTCTAGAAGCTGCCATCAACATGCCAAGTCAGTAAAACTGATAGTTGATCAGATTTCAAGGTCTGGGGAGTATATCCACTGTGTACTGGGTCTTGAGCTCTAGAGAGCTAGGCCTTGCTAAAATAAAAGAATTACCTTACCTACCATCTTTGTTCAAGTCTCAATGGAATTTGTTACGGCCCTGGCTGACCTCCGAGCAGAGGCTAGCTGTCCCATCTGTCTGGACTACTTGAAAGACCCAGTGACCATCAGCTGTGGGCATAACTTCTGTCTCTCCTGCATCATTATGTCCTGGAAGGATCTACATGATAGTTTCCCCTGCCCCTTTTGCCACTTTTGCTGTCCAGAAAGGAAATTTATAAGCAATCCCCAGCTGGGTAGTTTGACTGAAATTGCTAAGCAACTCCAGATAAGAAGCAAGAAGAGGAAGAGGCAGGAAGAGAAGCATGTGTGTAAGAAGCATAATCAGGTTTTGACTTTCTTCTGTCAGAAAGACCTAGAGCTTTTATGTCCAAGGTGCAGTTTGTCCACTGATCACCAGCATCACTGTGTTTGGCCCATAAAGAAGGCTGCCTCCTATCATAGGAAAAAACTGGAGGAATACAATGCACCGTGGAAGGAGAGAGTGGAACTAATTGAAAAAGTCATAACTATGCAAACCAGGAAATCACTGGAACTGAAGAAAAAGGTAAAACATAGGGCAGAAGAAGTCAAGTCTGAATTTGAGCAACTTAGGTTATTTCTCCAAAATGAGCAAGAGACTGTTCTTAGGCAATTACAAGATGAAGAGATGGATATTTTAGCACAACTAAATGAAAGCCTAACAAAATTTTCAGATTATACCTCCTCATTAAAATATCTACTAAAGGAGATAGAGAGCATATATGTGAAGTCAGAACTGGAATTACTGGCAAATGTTAAGGATATCTATCACAGATATGAGAATTTAAAATTCCCTGAGCTGTTTTTATTCAAATTAAAAAAATATGGTTACCATCTGCCTCCACAATATTCTGGCCTAGACAAAATTATCAAGCGATTTCAAGTAGATGTAATTCTAGATCCTGAAACAGCACATCGTAAACTTATAGTCTCAGAAGATAGAAAAACTGTGCGCTATGGAAATACAACACAAAATGTACCTCATAACCCAAGAAGATTTTATCTCCTCCCAGCTGTTCTGGGTTCTAAGGGATATAGTTGTGGCAGGCAGTACTGGGAAGTAGAAGTGAAAGACAAGCCTGAATGGATTCTTGGTGTCTGTAATGACTGTCTTCCCAGAAGGAGGAAGAGTCAACCAATTTTAGTACAGGATGGATTATGGGGAATTTGGCGATCTAGTCAGAATAATTATATTGTATTGGGCCACAGGGAAATTATTCTGCTGCCACAAGTAATTCCTAGTAAGATTGGCATTTTTTTAGACTATGAAATGAATGAAGTTTCCTTTTATAATTTGAATGATAGATCTCTTCTCTATACTTTTAATGATAATTTTACAGGAGCACTTTGGCCTTATTTTTATACTGGAACTGACTCAAAACCTCTTAAAATTTCTACAGTAACAGATTCTGAATGAATTATTAGAAGACTCAGTTTCTTTCACCTAGTAGACATAACTGAGCCAGTGAATCTAGTTTTGGCTATTCTGTATTTTGTCCAGTTTTTCCCATAAGAAAGCAATATTTTTTTATCTCAGTTTCAGCAACTTCCAAAAAATGTGATTATGGGACCTACTTTATATTAAATTATGGGGTCAGTGACAAGGTACTTTAGAAATTCTACAGTAAAATACTTGAAACATATATTACTGAAGAAATGTATTATGTAAGAAAATCTATTACTTTTGTAATTGCCAATAAAAGCCCAGTAATTTTTTTCTGTATTTCTTATATACTTTTCCTTTAAGAAAGATTAAGTCTTTATTAAAGGCATTCATCATTACTCTTGGACTACTGCTATGTAAATACAGCCTCTTTTCTTTTTCTTTTCTTTTCTTTTTCCTCTTCTCCCCTCCCCTCCCCTTTTTTCGTTGCCCAGGCTGGAGTGCAATGGCCAGGATCTCGGCTCACTGCAACCTCCGTCTCCCAGGTTCAAGCTATTCTTCAGCCTCAGCCTCCCAAGTAGCTGGGATTACAGGTGTGTACCACCACACCCAGCTAATTTTTGTATTTTTAATAGAGACGGGGTTTCACCATGTTGGTCAGGCTGGTGTCGAACTCCTGACCTCCAGTGATTCACCTGCCTCGGCCTCCCAAAGTGCTGGGATTACAGGTGTGAGCCACCACGCCCAGCCAGGTAGCTACTTTCAGCCTTTTTTTTTTTTTAACTAAAGTTTTTATTTTTCTATTTTGCCCAGCGTGGTGTTGAACTTGTGGCCTCAAGCAATTCTCCTGCCTTAGCCTCCCAAAGCACTGGGGTTACAGGCATGAACCACCATGCCCAGTGCCACTTTCACCTTTCCTCTGTTTACCTCCATATTTCTAAGTAACTTACTTTATTTTTTATTGTGTGTGCCTTTGTTAGTATTGCCTTAGTCCTATAGAAAATGAGATGGCATTCTTACATCCTCCTCTGCCACACACACACATACTGTACATACACAACCGGTAGATAACCTGTTCTGTTCCCACTGGACAGAGTACCCTCTAGTCCTGTTCAGCTACTGTCCTTCACTTCACTTTGGGAACTGATCTCTAGTCTCAGAATCCATCTTAACTTAGTTCCATCTTTTCCTCCTTAGGTTTATTCTGTTAATTCAGGAATTAACATCTTTCAATAGATCACAGATGGGTGACATTTGGAAAACTTGTGTCAACAAAAAAGACGAGCTTTTGATGGGATTATGTTGTATCTTTTTAGATTAATACGGAGAAAATTGACAACATGTCAGTAGACATAACAGTGAATCTATTCAATGAATTTTTATGTAATTGTCTCTGAAATTTGTAGTTTTTAGTGTACGTGTTATTTAACATGTTTTGTCAGATTTGTCCTTAAGTATTTAATTTTTTATGTTGATTATTTCAATTCTAGTTGTTCATTACTAGTATACAGAAAACTAATTTTTGAATATTAATCTTATTGCCTATAGCTGGCTAAACTCATTTTTAGTAGCTCTTGTTTAGATTCCATTGGAGTTTCCGTAGAGATAGTCATGTCATGGGCAGGTAAAGACATCTGTATCTCTTCCTGTGTAATACAGATCATTTTTCTCTTTTTATTTTTTTTTTATTTTTGACATAGAGTCTCGCTCTGTCACCCACACTGTAGTGCAATGGCATTATCTCGTCTCACTGCAACCTCCGCCTCCTGGGTCCAAGCAGTTCTGGAGCCTCAGCACCGCACCCTCTCCACCCAAAGTAGCTGGGATTACAGGTGCCTGCCACCATGCCCAGCTAATTTTTGTATTTTTAGTAGAGATGGGGTTTCATCATGTTGGCCAGGCTGGTCTGGATCTCCTGACCTCAGGTGATCCACCCACTCCGGCCTCCCAAAGTGCTGGAATTACAGACATGAACCACTGCACCCAGCCCCAAAGTACAATTTTTAAAAATCTAGGTTTAATGTTTGAGTTATTGTTCACAAGATTTATTTGAATTACAACTATTGCTTTATAACCACTTTTGCCAGCTTTTTAGAGGCAGTCACTTTGAACTCCTCAGCTCTTTTGGTATTTACTTTTATAGTCACTAAATCACATTCCAATAATACCTCTGGATTTTTCAGTTTGAAGTATTATGATGTCCCACTTTGGGAGACAAGAATTTGGAACAGCCTTCACCTTGTGGCCCTCTTCTAATAGAATTTCTCATTTTTGTTTTAGAATATTTTCTCACATTTATTTTGATTATTTCAATACCATTCATTTCTGAGCCATGTATTGTCAAGTGATTGCCTTTTTGCTTTTTCTATAACAGTTTCCTGTAGTTAATACTGACCTTCAGTATGCTTTGTATTCCATGTTCTTTCCTTAATTCATTCCCAAACTGTCCCCTGCAGTTGTCTAGTTTTCTGAATTCATTTTAAGGCATCTGGCTTTATACCATTTTCATCTTGCAGAATACTCTCAAGGAGCCTTCTCATCTGCAACACAGGCACATTTGTTCACTAAGCCAGTGGCTCAGGTATCTTGGGGATATTCTTGGCATCTCTTGCATTGTTTTACCTGTCTTTATGTTTTTCCATTTCGAACTTGGTTTCTTGTTTAATTTGAGCACATCCTTCAGTAGCTTTCTAGTAAGGTTCATGGGAAATAAAGTTTTTGAGACCTTTGTATCTGAAAATGTCTTTAGTCTATCCTGATATTTAACCAGAAGTTTATCAGGGCCTGGAATTATAGTTTTAAAACAATTCACTCTTATGTATTTTTAACCTTTTAAATTGGGAAATACATTGTTATGATATTTACAATGTGTAATGAAATACATTAAGGCCGGGCACAGTGTCTCATGCCTGTAATCCCAACACTTTGGGAGGCTGAGGCAGGCAGATCATGAGGCCAGGAGTTTGAGACCATCCTGGCTAACACAGTGAAACCCCATCTCTACTAAAAATTCAAAAAATTAGCCAGGCTTGGTGGCATGCACCTGTAGTCCCAGCTACTCGGGAGGCTGAGGCAGGAGAATCACTTGAACCCAGGAGGCAGAAGGTGCAGTGAGCCGAGATCGCGCCACTGCACTCCAGCCTGGGTATCATCTCAAAAAAAAAAAAAAAAAAGCATAGGCAGAATTCTATAAGCATGAGATTTAATCAATACATTACATAGATTTGGTCATGAACTCGCACCCAAGGTCAGCTGGCGTTATAATGGATAAATTCAAGCTCCAGGTGCTATTGTAAAGCTTCAATTTAAGTTTTTTGTTTTTGTCTTTTTTTGAGATGGAGGCTCACTCTGTTGTCCAGGCTGGAGTGCAGTGGTGCAATCTCAGCTCACTGCAGCCTCCCTCTCCCGGATTCAAGCGACTCTCACGCCTTAGCCTCTGGAATAGCTGGAATTACAGACTCGCGTCACCGTGCCCGGTCAATTTTTGTATTTTTAGTAGAGACGGGGTTTCACCATGTTGGCCAGGCTGGTCTCAAACTTCTGATCTCAAGTGATCCACCCGCCTCAGCCTCCCAATGTGCTGGGATTCCAGGTGTGAGCCACTGCGCCCAGCCAGTTATTTTACACCAATTCAGAGAACATTACACATCTGGTTAAATTACAATAATTAGTAGACATCAAAAATAGGATGACGTTGGTGAAATAAGTGTTATTAGAGATACATGGATCAACTGATATATTCGAGGATCTATAAACTCAGTGGCTTCTGTGGACAAGAAAACAGTCATAGTTTAAAGACAGAATCATTTCTGTAAGTGATAAGGGTTTTGTAAATGAAAAATATATACTGATGTATTTCCAGCATCCCTACTCTGCACTCCCCTTGCCAGTTTCTGGCTACTATTTAATATTCCACCACCAACCTTATGTCCCAAAAAATCACTATAATATTCTTTTCCCCTACATAATCAGTCTTCTTCCTAATTGTTCCATCCCTTATTCATCACCCAAACTAAGGCACTGAGATAGTGGAAAGAGCATGCATTTGAAATCCCATACTAACTTGGGCAGTTCGTGGCAGTTAACAATTTATTGCCTCCATTTTTATCTTTTCAAAGAATCAGCTTTGGTTTTGTTGATTTTTCTCTCGTTTCCAATTTTCAATTTTATTGAGTTCTGCTTCAATTTTTATTTTTGTCATTCTTCTTGCTTTACATTTAAAAGCTCTCCATCTCCTTTTTTTCTCTAGTTTCTTTTCTTTTTTTTTTTTTTGAGACAGAGTCTCGCTCTGTCACCCAGGCTGGAGTGCAGTGGCAGGATCTCGGCTCACTGCAAGCTTCGCCTCCCGGGTTCATGCCATTCTCTTGCCTCAGCCTCCCAAGTAGCTGGGACTACATGCGCCCACCACCAAGCCCGGCGAATTTTTGTATTTTTAATAGAGATGGGGTTTCACTGTGTTAGCCAGGATGGTCTCGATTTCCTGACCTCGTGATCAGCCCGCCTCGGCCTCCCAAAGTGCTGAGATTACAGGCATGAGCCACCGCGCCCGGCCATTTTTCTCTAGTTTCTTAAGGTAAAGGGTTAAGTTACTGATTTTAGATTTTTTTCTAATATATTATAAATTTAATTCTATAAATTTCACTCTAAATACTGCTTTAGCTATGTTACACAAATATTGAAATATTGCATTTTTATTTTTATTTTGCTCAAAATATTTAATTTCCCTGAGACTCACTCTTTGACCCAAGAGGTATTTAGAAGTGTACTAGTTTTCACATTTTTTGTGGATTTCCCAGATATTTTTCTGTAATATCTATTATAATTTTGTATAGTCTGATAATGTAGTTTGTGTGATTTCTTTTTTTTTTTTTTTTTGAAACAGAGTTTCACTCTTGTTGCCCAGGCTGGAGTGCAATGGCACAATCTCGGCTTACTACAACCCCTGCCTACTGGGTTCAAGCGATTCTCCCATCTCAGCCTCCCAAATAGCTGGGATTACAGGTGCACACCACCACGCCTAGCTAATTTTTGTATTTTTAGTAGATACGAGGTTTCTCCATGTTGGCCAGGCTGGTCTCGAACTCCTGACCTCAGGTGATCTGCGTGCCTTGGCAGTGCTGGGATTACAGGCGTGAGCCACCGTGCCCTGTCATTTGTGTGATTTCTATTCTTTAAATGTGTGAAGGAATGTTCCATAGCCCATGATATGGTTTATCTTGGTGAGTGTCCCATAGGAGCTTGAAAAGAATGCTTATTTTGCGTTCTCTGTTTTTTGTTTTCACTGGAGACAAGATGTCACTAATGTTACCCAGGTTGGTCTCAAACTCCTGGCCCCAAGTGATCCACCCACCATGGACTTCAAAACTGCTAGGATTAAAACAGGGTCTGACTATATTGCCCAGGCTGGCATTCAGTAGCTATTCATAGGCAGAATCACAGCCCACGGCAGCCCCAAACTCCTACTCTCTGCCTCAGCCTCCTGAATAGCTGGGACTACAGGTGCACTCCACCATGCCTGGCTTCTCTGGGTTTAGTTAAGCATGTTTTATGATTACATTTTAATTTTTTCTATTAACTTATTTTATACATCTTTTAAAAACATTTTAATGGTTCTCCTAGGGTTTATAGTATATATTTTTAAATAATTTGGGGCCTCCTTTAAATGAAATTATACTGTTTCCCTTTCAGTATAAGAACCTTGTAATAGTATATTCCCAATTCTCACTGATCCTTTGTGGTCTTGTATTCATATATGGACTACTTTTACATATGCTGGAAAAACACTATATATTATTGTTTTAAACTGCTAGTTATCTTTTACAGCAATTACCTTTATTTTATTTTTATGCACTTTATTTCTTTGTGTAAACACAAGTTTCTGACATATATAATATTCCTTTGGCCCAAAGTACTTTTTTTTTTTTTTTAACATTTCTTGTAGTGTCCACTTGATGGCAATGAATTCCCTCCATTTTATTTTTTCTAAGCATTTCGACATTGATTTTGATAAATATGCTAATTGGTTATAGAATTGTGAGTTGGCAGCATTTTTTTATTTACAGAAGTAACTATTGTCAGGCCGGGCGCAGTGGCTCACGCCTGTAATCCCAGCACTTTGGGAGGCCGAGGTGGGCAGATCACGAGGTCAGGAGATCGAGACCATCCTGGCTTACACGGTGAAACCCCGTCTCTAATAAAAATACACACACACACACACACACACACACACAAATTAGCCAGGCATGGTGGCAGGCGCCTGTAGTCCCAGCTACTCGGGAGGCTGAGGCAGGAGAATGGCGTGAACCCGGGAGGCGGAGCTTGCAGTGAGCCAAGATCGCACCACTGCACTCCAGCCTGGGTGACAGAGCAACACTGTCTCAAAAAAAAAAAAAAAAAAAGAAGTAACTATTGTGTCCTTGATTTCACATTTTCTGATGAGAGGTCTGTTGTAATTCTTATCCTCCTTCCTTATCCTCCTTCTTATCCTCCTTCATGCACTGCAAAACAGTGTTTCACCCACTGACCACATACAGTACAGTGGTCCTATAAGATAATAAAACTATTTTTACGGAACTTTTTCTATGCTTGCCATTGTATTACAGTTGTCTATAGTATTCAGTACAGTAACGTGCTGTACAGGTTTATAGCCTAGAAGCATTCAGCTGTACTATGTAGCTTACAGGTACAATAAGCTACACAACTGCAATCTAGGTTCATGTAAGCATACTCTATGATGTTCACAGAATGATGAAATCATCCTATGATGTACTTCTCAGACCATATTCCTATAGTTAACGTATGCATGGCAGTCATGTATTTTTTTACTTGGACTGCCTTCAAAACTGTTTTTGATTTTAATTTTCAGCAGTTTGAATTTGATTGATATACCTATATTTGGGGATTTGCTATCATTTTTCTTGTTTTGGGGTTTTTTTGGTGTGTGTTTTTTGATATTCATCATGCTTGGTGGGCTTCTTGGTTCTGGAGTTTTCATGTCTGTAACTAAATTCTTGGCCATTTTTTTTTCAAATATTTCTTCTGCTCTTTTTTTATTTTTTAATTTTTATTTATTTTTGCCATCATTTCCTAGTGATGAGATTTCTTCTGAGATTCCAAGTATCCACAAATGACACCATTTGATACTGTCCCACAGTTCTAAGGCTCTCTTTTTTATTCTTTTCACTTTATATTTCAGTTTGGGTAATTTGTTTATATTCAAGTTCACTGATTATTTCCCTAAGTGTGTTAAGGGTACTAATGAGCCCATTGAAGGCATCTTCATCTCTTTTCTGTGGTTTTCATTGCTAGCATTTCCATTTGATTTTATAGTTTCCAACTCTCTGATAAAATTATCTATCTGACTCTGCATGTTGTCTTTATTTTCTGCCAAAGCCTTTAACATATCAATTATTGTTATTTTTCTTTCTTTTTTTTTTTTTTTTTTTTTTTTTTTTTTTTTTTTTTTTGCCTGAGAGTTCTTATTTTCTGTCATAGCTTAGTCTGGTTCTGATGTTTTGTCTCTTCAGAGTGTGGTTTATTGTCCTCTTACATTGTCTTTTTGTGTGCCTTATATTTTGATTTTTGTTTTTTGTTTCTTTTGTAAAAACCAGACATGTGTAGGAAAATATATACTGAGGTAAATATATGTATATATGTATACATTTTTTTTGAGATAGAGTCTTACTCTGCCACCCAGGTTTGAGTGCAGTGGCACCATCTTGGCTCACTACGACCTCCGCTTCCTGGTTTCAAGTGATTTTCCTGCCACAGCCTCCCAAATAGCTGGTATTATAGGCATGTGTCACCACGCCCAGCTAATTTTTGTATATTCAGTAGAGATGGGTTTTCACCACGTTGGTTAGGCTGGTCTTGAATTCCTGACCTCAGGTGATCTGCCTGCCTCAGCCTCCCAAAGTGATGGGATTATGGGCATGACCCACCACACCCAGCTGGTAAATATTTTTATACTTGTAGATTATATTAGTTTTATAGGGAATACCCTAATATGGTATCACAAACTGGGTAGTTTACATAACAGGAAATTTTTTTTCCTTTTTTTTTTTTTGAGACAGAGTCTTACTCTGTCGCCCGGATTGGAGTGCAGTGGTGCCATCTCGGCTCACTGCAACCTCCACTCCTTGGGTTCAAGCAAATCTCCTGCCTCAGCTTCCCAAGTAGCTGGGATTACAGGAGCCTGCCACCATGCCTACCTATTTTTTTTTCTTTTTTTTGTATTTTTAATAGAGATGGAGTTTCATCATCTTGGCAAGGCTGGTCTTGAACTCCTGACCTCGTGATCCACCCGCCTCGGCCTCGAAAAGTGATGGGATTACAAGCATGAACCATCGTGTCCAGCCCATAACAGGAAATTTATTGTCTCACAGTTCTGGAGGCTGGGTCCAAATTATGAGTGTTGGCAGGATTGGTTTGTTCTGAGGGCTGTGATATAGAATTTCTTCCATGCCTCCAGGTTCTGTTGTGTTGCTGCCAATCTTTGGCATTCCTTGGCTAGTAGATGCATCACTCCAATGGCATTCCCCCGTGTTTCCTCATATAATCTTCCTCTGTGCATATCTTTGTGTCAAAATTTCATCTTTTTATAAGGACTGCAGTGATACTGGATTAAGGCCCACCCTAATGACCTCATTTTGACCAATTACCTTCTAAAGACCTAATTTCCAAATAAGGTCACATCTGAAGTACTGGAGTTAGCCCTTCAACATACTTTTTCGGGAGAACACAATTCAACCAATAGCAGAGATGAACTTGTTTCCCTTCTGCTAGGCCCGTAGTGAGGGTGTGTTTGTATTAATCGAGCCAGGAGTTAGGCAGAGTTTGAAGTTTGTTATTGCTATCGTTACCATTAATACATTAAAGACTTCACACTCCCCTAGTGATATGTCTCTTTAATTTCTCAAACTGGATTCTACTGTTATTTTTACTCAACTCCTCTTAGTGTGGTTTTGGGAGTTGGGGAAGCCTGTGTTCTCTGATGTTCTGATTGAGCATGAGTCATGGGCAAGCACTCTGAACTTTGGTCTCAGGCATGTGTGGCCTTCACAAATGTTCTTCACCCTCCTCCAGATGTAATGCTGGGCCTAGCACACATTCCCACATCTCACAGCACAAGGAAAATGACTGGCACATCTTCCAAGTCCCCTTTTTCAGGGAACTACCTGGTGATACGCTCACCAAAAGAAGGGAAGAAAACTAAGAAGGAAAACAAGGGACTCAGACAACAATAGACTTAAAACCTCTGGACATAAGACAGAAGATAAAAGATAATTCTTAGGGTAAGGGAAACATGAAAGGCCTCAGAGGACAGCTGTGCATCATATCACCAAATTTCAGTTCATGCTAAGATGACAGAGGGCTTCAGGAGATTGAGCACTATAAAGAAAATGAATATAATCAACAAATTACATGTCGAGTTTAGAAAGGAACTTTAGAGATGAGCAGATATGGGGCTGAAAGAGATAAACAGAAAATGCAGCAAGTAAGAAATCAGGCAATTTTAATCACAATAAAACAAAATTTGTGTATCAAAGAAATTATAATTATAGCACCTAAGTGGCTCAGCTGTGAACAATTATATAGTCATATGAACGTATTAATCCAATTATATTACCATATTTGGATATTTGTGGGGAAAGATAGAGTATGTGCCTGGGTGGTGCGAGAGACCTAAATTCTCAGTTTATCTAATAGAATGTTAATTTAAAATGTCTAACATTAGACATATTACAGTTATGAAGAAATAGCAAGGTCACTGGAATAAATCATGCCTCTGTTTAACAGGAATTTGGTGTAGGATGGCATGACCCAGGAGGTTTTTGTTTTTATATAAGCCTGTTTTGTTGCTGGAATGAACTAATAGCTCTCTACATAATTTTGATAAAATTCATAATGTGGGAAGCATTGAATTATTGACTGTGTAATACCATCTTTCATCTTAGAATATCAAAAGTACTTTACAATTTATTCCCATTACATCTCTGAAGAGTAGGCATTTCTAATACTGTTTTATTGATAGTTGCTAAAATAATGAAAGAAAAAAACTTTCTTCTGCTTGTAAGTGGCAGACAATTCAGAATTGAAGAGCTCCTCTCCTAAATAATACAAAATAGCTTTCAAATAATTCATCCTTCATAATCTATTACTGTACAGGTTATAAGAGGTTAGAAATCATACCCAGTGTGAAACACAGCCTAAGTAGTTTCATAAAAATATCACTTGAAGAAAAGATTTCAGACCTGGCATTCAAGTCATAAGATTAAACCTCATCCCCTTCATTGTCCAGAACAAATCCTAACATTACTGGGTCTTACTTTTAATAGAACGATTGCCACTCTATGTAGTGTAATTACTTTGGCAAAGTTATTACATTTCTATAGCTGAAAACTAAAGCATGAATCCTATTGTGATGGCGTCTTTTTCCATCTCCTGGGAAGACAATTCTAACAAACAACTCTATTATATCTATCCAGTTTGATTTTGTCCTCTTTCTCTTCCTCCTGGTAATAACAGCCTTAATCTTTTTTGGATCATGAGTTTTTGTGGTGTCTTTCCAAATCGCACTGTATTCTATCTTTAGAGATACAAGATTATGACTTGCTGTTTCAGAATCTAGAGTCAGATCTATGTAAAATGAATTAAGAATGTTTTGTCGACCATAATGTTGTGGCAGAAGTCTAGAATCATCATCCCTTGTTAAAATGGAAAAGCTCATAAAGTTTTTGTCTTAATACCTGTTATTGATACATACCCTTATATCAGTTACTAATTATTTGAGTGAATAGTTTACTCTGCTATCTCACTTATTAGAGCTTTAAATAAGAAAATATGGTCTGAAAGTTTTGTTTTCATCTAGTGTGCGTATCATATCCTATTCTTTATATTTTCAGGTTTTCAGAACTGCATCTTATTCATTTTCCGAATAAAGCACAAAGTGCTCAAAATCAGAGTTTAATCTCTTCCTCTAATATTCGACTATCTTCGGTAGCATTCATGTATTTTTAGTTAACATAACGATTGGTTTAGTTTTGGCTTATTTAAAGCATTTTACACTTGCTGTTTCAGATGTCAGATGTCCCCTGTGAGCTTCTTCCTTGAGGCAGCCTGCTCTATAGGACAGGTGAGCCCAGCGGGAGCCAGCCCACTGCAGACCCAAACCCTCTAGTCCTTGTCACAAAAAGAGGCTGGGACCTGATGGTGGTTCTCTTCCTGACTTTTCCTGGTGGTCCTTCTGACTTGGAGTGGCCTGGCAATTTCGGTGGCGTGACAGCCGGAATGCTGCCACTAAAATTCCTCTCTGGGCACCATGAGCGGCTGACAGGGCACGCGGAGAAAACGATTCGCTTCTCCCAGGATTGGTGGAGCGACCGCTGTTGGACGAATGTGGTCGTCCCTGGATGTCTGAGCAAAGAGACACTGCCATGGCGGCCGCCGGTCAGCGTATAAGGTCTGTTAGGGAGACCCGAAGCCCTGCACCAGGAACGCAGTTTGGCTCGCCCAGCCCACCCTGCAGGGCTGGCTCTCCAGGCGCTGGGTCCGGGGAGAAGAGGACAGCTGCCCCGCCGCACCGCGCATCCTTCCATCCACTGTGGTACATGGCGCTGCCCCGGTCTCCAACGTCGCGCCACACCTTCACGGTCTCACCCGGAAGTCGAAGCCCAGAGACGGTGCCGGCCGCACCCAATCACTGCTCTGCCGCTCCGACTTCCGCTACGGACTCGCCCAGCCTCCTGGGAGAAACGCTGCAGTGCTTGGGGTGCTGAAGCCCCTTGAGAGCCTTGTGTTCTGTGAGAAAGTTGCATTCTGAAGGAACCTCAGCTGTTTGCTTTGCTCTTCTGCCACCCAACCCTACCTGTGCCAGACTGAGGGCTCTCCCTGCCCCGCCTTAACAGAAGAGAATTCCAGTTGCTGTTTTAATTTATTGAATCTTATTTATAACTGGTTGGAGAAAAATATGGTTATAATTCCCACTGAACAGCTTATTAAAAGTTACAGTAACACTATGATAATTGAGATATTGTCTTTTAGGGAATAAATAATGAAATTATAAGATGAAATATACAGATGAAATTATAAGATGTCTGGGAATTTACTCCATTGGCAGGAGAAGTTGCTGGGGTTATAAAGATTGTTAATTCAAATGATAGAAATTGGTTTCTTTTTATGTGTACGTTCTTCATAATGTTCTCTCTACTATTATGGATGTATGAAATACTCCACAATTTAAAAGCTTCCTTTTATACCCGGCATGGAAGCTCATGCCTGTAATCCCAGCACTTTGGTAGGCTGAGGTGGGCGGATCACATGAGCTCTGGAGTTTGAGACCAGCCAGGCCAACATGGTGAAACCCTGTCTGTACAAAAAATACAAAAATTAGCCGGACATGTTGGCCCGCCCCTGTGGTCCCAGCTACTCCGGAGGCTGAGGTGGGAGAATCGCTTGAACCTGGGGAGTTGAGGTTGCAGTGAGCCAGGATGGCGCCACTGCACCTCAGTCTGGACGACAGAACGAGAGCTTGTCTCAAAAAAATAAATAAACGAAAGATTTATTTCAAAAGGCTAATCATGTTTCAGCGTTATCAATGCCTCGTTCCAGAAAAGCTCATTTCTCTTACTCTTTTCTTTGAGCCGCCTCCCCGTTTTCAGTCCGCCTCAGGGCTCTCAGATTCTGTCTCCTTTGTCTTCCTCCTCACAGTTGTCCCTAATCTTAATCGATTTTCCATCCTCTACCAATTTCCTGTCTACACCCTCTTTAATCTCATAAAACTGCCAAATTAGTTTAAATCGGGATTGAGGAAAGAGCGAGACTAGGCATTGTGCTTCCATCTGGGTGTGTGTGTCTTGTGTGTGGATCCCAGGCCTGGTCTCAGATTACCTGAGTCATCTGGGGCTGGTCCCTGATATCCTCTCTTCATCCTTTTGTGGTCACATGAAGACAAGGAAAATCAACCTCAATTTCCCTTTAAGTTTTCTGTAAATATAAACACCAATAAAGACATATCTTCTGGAAAACTTGTTTTTTTTTTTTTTTTTTTTTTGAGACTGAATCTCTCTTAGTCACCCAGGCTGGACTGCAGTGGCAAGTTCGTAGCTCACTGTAGCCTCAAACTCTTGACCTCAAGCAATCTTCCTGCCTGGGCCTCCCACACTACTCGGGTTGCAGTCTTGAGCCATTGAGCTCAGCCTGGAAAAAATTTTTTAAAACATAGGATTTGGTGTGGCACAGAACTCAATATATTCCAAGAATGGTTTGTGTTTCTGATTCTTCTGTTGACTGTTTAATGGTAGATATGCTGATTATGCAGAACAGTTCAGACATAATTAGATGTAATTAGGGCAAACCAGCATGAGGCCCCTTATGAGAAGTCCAAATCTGTGATTGTCATACAACATACAAAAGAACTGTCTCATATACGATGTCAGAGTAAAGAGTGAACCAAATAGGTTATGTGTAGGACATGTGTATACTACTATAATACCATAATAATTTTTTTTTTTTTTTTTTTTGAGATGGAGTCTCCTTCTGTCACCAGGCTGGAGTGCAGTTGCACGATCTCGGCTCACTTCAACCTCCGCCTCCCGGGATCAAGCGATTCTTCTGCCTCTGGCTCCTGAGTAGCTGGGACTACAGGTGCCCTCCACCATGCCCAGCTAACTTCTGTATTTCTAGTAGAGACAGGGTTTCATCATGTTGGCCAGATGGTCTCGATCTCTTGACCTTGTGATCTGCCTGCCTTGGCCTCCCAAAGTGCTGGGATTACAGGCATGAGCCACTGTGCTGGGCCAATAAAATTTTAAGTAAATATAAAACAGCATATTTATATTTTATTTTTTGTAGAGATGGTTGCCCAGGCTGGTCTGGAACTCCTGACCTCAAGCGATCTTCCTGCCTTGACCTCCCAAAGTGCTGGGATTATAGCCATGCTGCCAACCATGTGTAGGGTATGTATATGTTCCTATACCATAATAAAATTTTAATTACATTTGTAAGGTATGTAATTATATGTATTTCTGTATAATATGTACATATAAATATGCTAATTAATACAAGAACATATTGAATTATAATCAATATATATAATTTTAGATGTATATTGGAATGTTTATCTTTCTAATAATACAAAACTGATGGTTAAAAAATAAAATGCACAAACTCCCCAAGGTTCCTTCCTATGTGGCTACTTTCCCCAGCTTAGGTCCAGCCAAAGGCTGCACGCCCTTTACTGAGTGTAGCTCACCTGTGCCTCCTGGTGCAATCCTCACTCAGATATTCTGCTCCCAGTAGAGGGTTAGTGTAGGGTGCGGAGCCTACCTGTATTCACTTGTCAGCAGTTCACTGGGGATTGTCAGCTTTTTCCATCCTTGCAGAGCTGTTTCTTCGTCGATCCAGGTCAGAAGACGCAACACAGTCCCTACTTCTTGTTCACCAAAATGGTGACCTCAGAACGAATTCAGTCTTAAACCCTGTAGGGAGTTTTTTTTTCCTTATGCAGTCAGCATGGGGGAAGTGACAGGTCCCAGAGGGCAGTTCTCTCTTGTTCTCTGATTGCTCCTGCAGGGTCCTGGGTTGGTGAAGGGGACAGGGGTAGGGACCTGCAGAATGGTTGTGATGGGGTGGGAGCTGCGGAAGTAACACATCATGCACTGAGTGGAGCATAAGGGCAAGTGCTGGGTTTTTTTGTTTCACTTTTTTTTGGACACAGGATGTTGCTCTGTCACCCTGTTGTGCAGTGATGCAGTCATGGTTCACTGTAACCTGGAACTCCTGGGCTCAAGCAATCCTCCAGCCTCAACCTTCCAAATAGCTAGGACTGCAGGCACACATCACCATGCCCAGCTAATTTTTAAAAATTATTCTTTTTGAAGAAACGGTGTCTCACTATGTAGGCCAGGCTAGTTTGGAACTCCTGGCCTTATCCTCCTTTCTTGACCTCCCAAAGTGCTGGCATTACAGCCATGGCTCCCAGCCAGTCTTTTGTTATTCATAATGAGCCCCTTTGGATCAACTGGATTTATGCTAATGAGGTGGGTTGGGTTGGGGCCCCAGGGTAGCCTCAGGATAGGGCTACTCACAGAAGACCAAGTGATTAGAACTTTCAGTAGGATGGTGGGGGGACCTGGAAAATAAACTTTATACAAATTCTTGAAGAAAGTAATATGAGGAGCTTTGAGATTTGTGAACACCTTGAGGTGCGGGGAGGGTGGACCACCCAGAGAGGGAATGAAACTATATTTAAATATTAAATGTGATACCTATACTGCACTTACACTTTTAAAATCGTTCTTTTAGTGATTTATTTTAAGATATAGATAAAATGATATGATGTATGAATACTGCATTAAAATGATTTGGGGAAGGTAGAGCATGATCTTGATAAAATAAAATTGACCATAATAATTATTGAAATTGTGTAATGGATCTATGGGGGTTGGGGTGATCTATTGTACAATTATGTCTCTCTTTCTGCATGTTGGGACTTTTCCATAATATCCCAATAATTAAACTGAGATCATACAGCATCCTAATTATTGTTGTGTCAACCCCACATGGGAAAAATTGAACACCCATCAAATTTAGTCCAGATATAAAGACTGATTATGCCACACACCCACACACACACTAGAAGGATAGGAACAGGTTTGTTTCTCACATGCTGGGGTGTTGAAGGAGAGCAGCACAGGCCTGTAGGTGGTCTGTAAATGGACTGTGAGAGCAGAGAAAGAAGACGGGCTTGGTGTTTTTCTTCAGGTTAAGGTGTGGGCAGGGTGAGGGATCACTCATTCACAATGAAAGTTGCCTGGTTTGAATCTCTTTCCTGCCCTGAAGGAGGGAGCACCTGGGCTTTCTTGGCAGGTTGCCCAAATGTGCGGCCAAAGAAAAAAATGGAGGAGTGACGATTAAAAGTTATCAAGGGTGAAAAACTGTAAAAATGGATTTGAACTATTTTGTAGGATTCCCCCACACCCTGATGTTTAACTGTTGATTAGATGCACCATGTTTCATTTCATTGAATTTGAACTTGTTTGAGTAAGCCTTTATGGTGCTTAATGAAGCTGACAGCTTAATCTAGTAAGGGAAGTTACAATTCCATTGAATGCCTTCTTCAGGACCCCAGCATTGCATATTCTGGGAAGTGAAATGAGTCTTTGGTCCCTCTCAGTAATGTCTGGAACTCCAAAGGAGTTCCAGATCCTGTTGAGGTTTCGTATTGTGGCCTTAGTGTATATAGAGAAATGTGTGACCTTGAGTTAGATTTTGGATATTTGTGAGGCAAGAATTCTTTACTCTGAAGCAGGTAACTCCAAGGCTATGGCTCCATAGTTAGTAAAACTGCATATTGGGCTGATCATTGGTCAGGGGCTCCAATTCTGAGAAGATGGCCTGAAGTTCCATCCATTGACTGACCTTGGAGTCCTTTTGCTTGTTAAGAATGTCCTGATTAATAAATGAAAAGTAGTAAATCCCTACTGAGCTCATCATGCATGGCAATGGTTATGCCATCCTTACAGTGTATAAACCCCCACTGCTGTTTATCATTTGATCCCGGAGGTGTGAGGGGGAGGTCTCTCAGGTAGCCAAAGGACCTAAGAGAGGAGCCATCTCCTAAACCCAGTGGCATGTGGCAGGGACTAAGGACAAGGTAGGCAGGCTACCCCTTCCTGTGGATGAAATATGGCAGAGGGCCTGCGTCTGGCTCTATGATGTAACAAGGATTCCTCCTATACCTGTGCTGAACTAGCAGGGTGCTGCTTCTAGAATCCAAGGCATGCTGAGCAACTGAGTATGAAGAGTTAGAGGCTCAGTGCCTGTGAGAGCTTAATGTACTACAATTTAGAGTCTGTAGGCCTTTCGTGGAGGGGGCCCCATTAAAGATGGGTGGATTTGGAAGTAACAGCATAAGTGACCTTAAGCAAAATTTATAAATGATGAGTATGTTTCCTCCAGAATCCAAAAAGTGTTAAAGATACTGGGCTTGTTTTCACATTGTGGGCATTGAAAGGTTTTATAGCTGTTTCTCCACAGTGTCAGAGATGGAGTTGCTTTCAGTTTACCAAATAATTTTCAGGCAATTAATCGAATAAGAGGCTTGCACTGTATGGGGGAAATGACCCATTCCCTTTGTGTAAACTCTTTTGTGAGTATTTTCATGGCTTGAATGAGTGTTTCAAATGGATCACCATGGAGGAGAATGTCATCCATGTAAATCATACCTGCTGTTCTGGAAGAAGTTGAATGAAGTTGGAATCTTCCCTACAAGGTCTGTGTGCAAAGGCAAGACTGCTGAGGTGCCCACGATTAGTGGGTAGAGATGCATAAAATTCCTTTGAGGTAAAGGGAAAGCATGGCCAGGAAGCTGTAGAAATAGGCCTGAAAAAAACTAGCCAAATCTTTAGTAGCCAGATATTTACCACTTGCTGATTGGATGGAGTAAATCATGTCAATAACATTGGGAGAGATCATCCGATTAAAGCTGTTATCAATTCACTCTGAGATGTCATACTTGTTTCAAAGTGTAACAACACACAAAATTGGGGTTGAACCCAGAAACAGTGAGATAATCACTCCTAGGTCTTGTATCATGGGTTTCAATTCTTGAGTATCCTATTTTAGCTAATATTTAGTCATATTATCTTTTTTTCACTGGGGTCAGGAACATCCTTTGGATCCCATTTTGTAAAGCTAGTTTGAAAATTCAGAAGACTTAATGTAATTGCATTTATTACTTATCCTATCTCTTTTTTTCTCTTTGATATATCATCCCAGTGTGTGCTCTGATCATGGAAAATTTAGGGAAACCAGTGATTCTCATAGTTAAGGGATACCTCTTTTATCTCCATTTTATGTTCAGTAACATCACTAAGGTAATAGAGGCTTCATCATTTAAAATCAGAGGGATCCCTGGTTAACTAATTAGAGGCAAAGGATTACATCTATGAGTTTTCCAACTGATTCATTTCAACAGATGCTGAGGTTCAATCACCATCCAAGTTATAGAGAAGGAAAAGTCAACCAGCACCATTAAATCTTCTGTGTTGTGCAGATTCTTTTGATAAATTTTGCATATTCAACTGGAAATTGCAAATTAGGAACTTCTGTTCCAGTTTTTTTTTTTTTTTTTTGATCCTCTCCTTGAATCTATAGTTTGGTTTTATCTTTCTTTCTCTTTATTCCTGATTTCTCTGACTTTCATGTCCATTATTTTTTATTCTTTTTTTGTAGACATGCAATACACTTTATGGGTTGTTCCTTTTAATGTGATTATGCTTTGACAATACATAATAATCATTTAACGTGATTATTGTCCATGACAATACCGATTGTAACAGCTTGTGAAGAAGTTTCAATAGATAAATAACTTTTCTGTAAACATATCAGTGAAAGTATACACACAGAATTTGTTTTTTAAATTATAAAAGACACAGCAATATGTCTGGACTGAGATGCATGACTCAGGGAGACATTAAAAGGGATCTGAGTCCATATTCCTGTTCTTAAATACCAAAATATTATCTAAATTACTGACCTAGGTCAGAGAAATCTCTCAAAGAGCCTCAGCCGAACTCAATAAAAGCAGCACAAAGCAGCTGAGCTGAAAGTTCAGGCTTGTCATGGGGCACAGAGCCAGTGAGCAAAGCAAAGCTAAAACAGCAATTCCCTGAAGGTGGCAGCCAACATCTGGATAATCCTGCTCACAATGCCCATTGTAGGGGTCAGTTTGCATACAATTTGGTTCAGTGTTGAGACTGCTAATGCTAATGCCACACCTCCAAGATTGTGTGAAATGGATTCTTACTCATGTAATGAGGTTTATGGGGAGAGCAGGGTGTCTACACAGTTGGTCCAAAAATGACTTGAGAAAGCAGGGAAAGGAGACAGGTTTGGGGTTGTGATGGTGGTCATGGGTGGGGCTACTGAGAGGGTCCTTCACTACCAGGGGCTTGCTAGGTCTGAACTTCCCACCTGCACCAACAGAGGGAGCACCCAAGGCTTTCTCATCAGCTTGCCCAGGGTGGGCAGAAGGGAAGAGAGAAGAGTGAGTCCCCCCAAAAATACCAGCAGTCAAACATACACATAGAATAAGAAGCTTCATTTACAAATGCCCTCTAAGAACACAGGAAGAAAAGATAGCCACATACAAAGGGTGCTCTAAGTAGTTCATCATTAGCCTATGACAATATGATTATAACAGCTTGTGAAAAAGGTGCAATAGAGAAATAAAGCATAAGCTTTTCTGTAAACGTAGTGAAAGTGTAAACATATGATCTGGTTTTTAAATTATAAAATGAAACTTCTCCCAATTCATAGTCCAGAAAAACGCCAATTTGCAGGACTTCCGTATTCCTTGTACTACATGAACTACAGAATGGTCAAATTTGCCAGCACCCCATCTGTGGAGTTGGTGATGTAAGACCATCTCTGGGAAATGTTTCTTTACACCCACCAAGGGAGCATGCACCTGTGCCTCTCACTTCTACTTGCCAAAAGTGTCTCCCAGCATCAAAGCCCTCACAGCTCCAGACAGCTGGGTAAAAACTAAATGACGGAGGATTATCAGTAAAGTGTGGCTTCCTCATCCTAAATATCACATTTTTTCTATCTCTTGAGATAATAAGACTAGGGTGGGCTGTTTCTGGATCTAGCATCAAATCTTCTTGAAATGTGCTTATAATTCTTTGCAGGCCAAAATAATGTGGAGGGAAACTCAAACTCTCCTTCTTTAATTTGTATGAGAAGACTGCAGGGGTTTTCAGGTTGTCATATGTGTTGTAGGTGTTCTCAACACCTGTCAGCACATCCAGGTCTGCCCGAAAACACTTCTCTGTTACTTCATTTAAGAGATTCTGTAGTGTGGATAAGTGGTCTGAAATTTGTCTTCGGTTTTCAGTGAGTTTTTCTTTATCATCCTTCTCTTCAGTAAGTAATCTTGCATGAACTGCAGCTTGTTTCTTTACCAAGAAATATTTAATTTCTTTAAATTCAGATTGTAATTCCTTCCTCCATGTTGCCATCTTCCTTTTCACATTAAGAGAACTCAAAATTGGGACTTCACACCGCATCTTGGCATGTTCAGTTTCCTTCTTTAGTGGCTTAATGTAGCTTTCGAGCTTTCTCCTGTTTCTGGCTGCAGCTTGCTCAATGGGCATCAGGCGGTGATACTGGTGGTCAGAGGAGACCCTGCACTGGGGACACAACAGCTCCAGGCCCTTCTCACAGAACAGAGCCAGACGCTGACTGTGCTTCCCACACAGGGGCTCCTCTTCCTGCCATTTCCTCTTGCTTCTCATGGTAAGAAGCTGCTGAACCATATCAGTCATGTGGCACAACTGGGTGTTGCTCCTGAGGTTCTCATCAGGGCAGTGACGGAGGCAGACAGGACAGGGGAGGACATC
Organism: Homo sapiens; assembly: GCF_000001405.40. NCBI lineage: Eukaryota > Metazoa > Chordata > Mammalia > Primates > Hominidae > Homo > Homo sapiens. Next base: position 164,948,214 of record NC_000004.12, on the reverse strand, counting down.
TTGTAGGTCTTCCCAGCACTTGTGGATGCAGGAGCGACAGAAGTTGTGCCCACAATGAGTGGTCCTTCATGTAATCCAGGCAGATGGGGCAGCTGGCCTCTGCTTGGAGCTCAGCCAGAGAGGCTGCAAAGGCCATGGTGCAGGGAGGGATCTGTGTGGGGAGACTCCCTGCAGAAGGTGTGATTCTCCAGGAAGGAGGGAAAGTGAGAAGCTGGTGCCTCCTCAGCGTTCTGTCTCCTGCAAGCACTTCACAAGCCTGTGTCTGCTTCTTTCCCTTTGGCTCTAGAAGCAGCTCCAGGGGGAGGCAGGTCACAGGGCACCTGCCGACCCCTTGGCACCAGATCCTCCTTTACTCAAATTCAAGCTGGACTCTTTCTTTGTCTTTCTCAGCAAGGGCCACAATTACAAGAGGTGATGGAAACTAATGACCATGTAAAATACTCCCAACTGAGACTTTCAACAGAACAATAAAGCAGTTTTCTTCAACTTCAAAAGGAGAAAAAAGAATAAGATACTAAAGCACTGAAGAGCATGTATATCAATGAAAATAACTACCTAATAATTTTCCTTATTTCTATATAAACACTTCTAAAAATAAAGTCCATTGAGATAGAGGCAATCTCGTAAGTATTCACTAGTTATGATTTCTGATAATGATATTATGAGCTTAATATTTGAAAGAGGCTCTATATTTCAGACACTCGTAGTACAGTATTTACCCATAAGATTATATGTGATCCTGGGTTTGCTTCAAACTATTGCAAAGTATAGGGATTGGGATATAAATTTATAAGTGGATACACAGTGTTTGTTGCACTAATTTTGCTACTATTTTATATACTTTAGATGTTCTCCAGTAGAAAACGATATTGAAAAGGCTGATAGCCTGGACAAAATGGCGACACTCCATGTCTATGAAAAAAAAAAAAATTAGCCAGGCATAGTGGCACACACCTGTAGTCCAAGCTACTAGGGAGGCTCTGGTAGGAGGATCAATTGAGACCGTGAGGTTGAGGCTGCAGTGAGCGGTTAGTGTGCCACTGGACTCTAGCCTTGACAACAGAGCATGATCCTGTCTAAAATAGAATGAAATAAAATAAAATAAAATAAAACAAAAAGCTGAGTCTTATTGTCTCTCTGTCATTGTCCCCAAGCCAGACCAGCTTCTCTCTTACTCTCATTTTTGAACCTCATCTTTCACTTCTGCTATATCTAGAAACTCTAAAATCCCTTGTGGGCAGGGCACAGTGGCTCACGCCTGTAATCCCAGAACTTGGCAGGCCGAGGTGGGAAGATCACCTGAGGTCGGAAGTTTGAGACCAGCCTGGCCAACATGGTGAAACCGGGTCTCTACTAAAAATACAAAAATTAGCTAGGAGTGGTGGCAGGCACCTGTAATCCCATCTACTTGGGAGGCTGAGGCAGGAGGATCACTTGAACCTGGGAAGCAGAGCTTGCAGTGAGCTGAGAGGCTGCCATTGTGCTACAGCCTGGGCAACAAGAGTGAAACTGCATTTATTTATAAATAAATAAATAAAATCCCTTGTGTCCTCCTCTTTCTTCTTCACACTTCACACAAATCTCCCCCACATTCTTTTTCTACTCCAACTCCATCTGGCTTCCAGGCCTGACTCCTCTATGGCCACACAAATCTCCCAAGTTCAGACGAACTAAATTAGTGGCAAGAGCAAGGCCAGGCATTATGGTTTCAAGTTCTAATATTTTGGGGTCGCTGACCACAAGCACAACTGGTCCTTCCCCCTCGCTCTCAACTATTGCATCCTCCTCTGACCTCGCCTACCTTATCTACTCCACTGGCTAGGTCTCTGCAAAGTGAATTTCCTAAGCACTTCCTCAATATAGCCTCCTATTCCACCCTGGTGTGTCGGAGTGTCGCCATTTTGTCCAGGGTGTCCAATGTAGCCTCCTATTCCACCCATTTTCGTCCTCATGGACTGTGAGGAGAAGTCCTCGCAGGATTGCTCCATGCGCAGCCTGAGCCTCCGAGGTCTTCCCCAACGCATAACGTGGCCCACGGCGCCTGCTCCTTCCCCGAGTCTCTGCTCACCTGCACCTGTGGTCGGAGGGGCGCTTTCCTGATATCAAATCCCCACTTGGGTCCAGACTCTGTGAGTATTCAGGAGCAGCCCTTAAATTTCCAGATGTTGGGGTGATTCTCTCAGCACCACTGCCAACTAAGAATGGCTGCTCCTGTCTTGCAGGTCAGTCGTGTCCGTCTTGGTCCAGGTCAGAACAGCAACACAGCACAGCCTCTCCATCCACCCGAGAGTTCTGAATCTGGCGCCTTCAGAGCTTATAAGCCTGTGGAGAGTTTCCTTTCTGTTCCCTTATTGGACAGACTCTGGATGCAATTAGCGTCTGGCCAACGACCGGCTCTGATGAACATTTCCCACCTTCTTCTCTGATTGCATTTTCAGCCTGGGAGATGTGGTGAGTGAGGAGAACGTGAGGAGACTAAAAGTGGAAGATTGGATTTCCTTGTCTCTCAGTAGTCCATTGAAACTCCTCTAACTTAATCAGTGATTTGGTCCTGGGTTAATTGAATATTGGAAATATTTTCGTCTTGTTTTTCTCAGGCAGGCAGATGTAGGATTTGTTGGCTAACGTTGGCCTTTTCCTTCTCAGGCAGTTTTAATTCTCTTTGTCCCTTGAAGGAAGTGCTTCCAGAGTCGGTCCTTGCCTCTTTGTTTTCTGTATTCCCAAACTCATTCCAGCATTTTCAGCCTCCACAGTCTCAGACATAGCAGACAAACTGCTGGCAGAGACATTTATATGCTATCTGCTCATTCTGTAGGTGGGGGCTTTGTAGGAGTGTGGAGAGTGGAGGCGCTATGTCTGGGCAGTGCCGGGCAGCTGTAGAGTAGGCTTCCCTAGGTGGGATGATTCAGACGTTTCCTGTGCGGTACCTGGGTTATAGTTAAAAGAAATCTCCCTGGTGACTCTGGCAGTTTGTGAGATCCTTGGCAATGTCATCCATAGCAAATGGTTTCAGCTACTATCTGCATGGGGACAATGTCCAAGTCAGACCCCATCTGAGTTAGGATCTTTGTATTAATATACACAGTGTCTGCCTGTCATCCCATTCACTGACAGATATTTGCTCACATATTCTTCGAGTGCTAGCTGTCTATGGACTCTGACGGAAAGCCTGGCACACAGGGATATGGTACCCTCCTCAGCGGCAGGAAGCTGCAGTGCAGAGGAAAGAGAGAAAAGCAATGCAATGATGGCGTGGCCTCCTCTTCATGGGACTCCATTTACTAAAAGGAGAGAATACGAATATTCTTTTGTCAGGAGCACAAACACATACACTGCAGAAGGATTTGATGGAAATATTTTAAAGAGTAAATATGTGTGCTGTATAGGAGAGAACACCCTACTTGGCAAAATAGTTACACAGTGCCTTGCTGTCATCTATTTGCCTTCCAAATGATAATTGCTCTCAATGGCTTCTTGTAAATGTTCCCAAATGGTCTAGGCATATACAACCCCTCCCCCACCCCGCCGGGCATTTATATGAGTAGGGGTTATGTATAGAACACTCCTTGTTAACCTACAAATAGAAGCTACTTGCATATTCTACAGCTGCCCGCCATTCGTTTTTGTCCTATATCACTATATATACTTCAGGCTACTTTAAAATGGATTACCAAATTTAAGGAAAATCTTCTACAGGAAGTACTATAAATGAAATGGATGTTCTGAACCACCTGTAGGGCATCCAGTCTTCTAGGTTGTTTCCCACAATATACTTGGCCCTCTGGTTTGTTCCTAGAGAACAGCTAGCATTACTTCATTATTAACCATGATTCATGCACTACTTCACCTAAACATTCAATGGAACCTATGCATTAGAACTGAGAAGTAGTGATAATTGCCTCCTATACAAAGCAGAAGAAAGTGAGTCCTAGAATGGGTAATTCATCCAAAGTTGTTGACTCTTCTATCACTTCTCCATCCTCCCATAGCATCCTGTATACCCTTTTGTGTCACCATCAAAACACTTCTGATAACTTTCTTTCTTTCTTTTCTTTAATTTTATTTTACTTTAAGTTCCGGGTTACAAGTGCAAAATATGCAGGTTTGTTACATAGGTGTACACGTGCTATGGTGGTTTCCTACACCTATCAACCCATCATCTAGGTTTTTTTTTTCCAACAAGAAGCCATAACTTTATTTATGATAGAAACAGTACAAATTTCAAACCAAGCTGCAGTTACTCCTTTGAGACACCAAGAAAAGTTGCTTTCAGATGGTTACATTGTTAATTCCATAATGGCACTTACAATATCATTACTGTTGTTCTTCAGGGCATGGACTGCCTTTGCTCTCCACACATTTGCTTGTGACATGACCAATTCTATGTCCTTAACTTCTACACCTGTTTCATCGACCTCTTCTTCTTCACTCTCCTTTTGTACAGTTGGAGTTTGTGTGTTTTCTTGAATGTTTGAGACAGCTTCACCTTGAACATTGAATTTCTCAGCAGCTGCTAGTTGTGCTTGCTCAGATAAATCTTCGATCTTGGCTTCCCCAGAAACTATGTAGGTATCCAAAGCAGGGCTCTTGCAGACATTTGGTTTTGTGATGACAAAAAGGATATTCTTAGATTTCCGGATAGCGACTCTAGTGACTCCTGTAACCTGTCGAAGACCCAGTTTGGACATAGCCTTCTGTGCCTTCTTTTCACTCCAAATCTGTTTTGCTTTACTGACTGGCTCTTCATCAATTTCAGCTGCTGCCACCAGCTGGGCTTCTTGTGTGGACGTCTGGGTGGAATCCTGTTCTTCAGGCTCTGGTACTGATTCATCACTGTCAGATTCTGTTCCAGACCCTGTCTCAGCCTGCGGCTGCGGCAACTCCTGCTCTGTAGCAGGGACGGTTTCTGTGGCTTCACAGGGCATTTTGTGCAGGGAACGAGGAACCAAGATGGTGGCAGAAAGAGAGTGAGCCAATCATCTAGGTTTTAAGCCCCGTATGAATTAGGTATTTGTCCTAATGTTCTCCCTTTGCTTGCCCCTCACCCCCTGACTGGCCCTGATGTGTGTTGTTCCCCTCCTGTGTCCATGTGTTCTCATTGTTCAACTCCCACTTTTGATTGAGAATATGTGGTGTTTGGTTTTCTGTTCCTGTGTTAGTTTGCTGAGGATGATGGCTTCTAGCTTCATCCATGTCCCTGCAAAGGACATGATCCCATTCCTTTTAATGGCTGCATAGTATTCCATTGTGTATATGTAGCGCATTTTCTTTCTTTTCTTTTTTTATTTTTTTTTACGGATTTTCACTCTTTCGCCCAGGCTGGAGTGCAGTGTCGTGATTTCTGCTCACTGCAAACTCTGCATTCTGGGTTCAAGCGATTCTCCTGCCTCAGCCTTCAGAGTAGCTGGGATTACGGGCACCCGCCACCACACCTGGCTAATTTTTGTACTTTTAGCAGAGACGTGGTTTCACCATGTTGGCCAGGCTGGTCTCGAACTCCTCACCTCATGATCCACCCACCTCGGCCTCCCGAAGTGCTAGTATTATAGGTGTGAGCCACCGCACCCAGCAATATACCACATTTTCTTTGTCCAGTCTATCATTGATGGGTATTTGGGTTGGTTCCATGTCTTTGCTATTGTAAATAGTGCTGCAATAAACATATGCGTGCATGTATCTTTATAATAGAATGATTTCTATTTTTCTGGGTATATGCCCACTAATGGGATTGATGAGTCAAATGGTATTTCTAGTACTAGATCCTTGAAGATCTAGTCTACACTGTCTTCCACAATGGTTGAACTAATTTACATTCCAACCAACAGTGTAAAAGCATTCCTATTTCTCCATAGCCTTGCCAGCATCTATTATTTCTTTTTAAATGGGCCATTCTGACTGGTGTGAGATGGTATCTCATTGTGGTTTTGATTTGGATTTCTCTAATGACCAGTGATGTTGAGCTTTTTTTCATATGTTTGTTGGTGGCATAAATGTCTTCTTTTGAGAAGTGTCTATTCATATTCTTCGCCCAATTTTTGATGGGGTTGTGTTTTTCTTGTAAATTTGTTTAAGTTCCTCATAGATTCTGGATATTAGACCTTTGTCAGTGGGTAGATTGCAGAAATTTTCTCCCATTCTGTAGGTCATCTGTTCGCTCTGATAATAGTTTTTGTTGTTGTTGTTTATTCTGTGCAGAAGCTCTTTAGTTTAATTAGATCCCATTTGTCAATTTTGGCTTTTGTTGCAATTGCTTTTGGCATTTTTGTCATGAAGTCTTTGTCCGTGCCTATGTTCTGAATGTTATTGCTTAGGTTTTTTTTTTTTTTAAGGGTTTTTATAGTTTGGGGTGTCACATTTAAGCCTTTAACCCATCTTGAGTTAATTTTTGTATAAGGTATAAGAAAGGGGTCCAGTTTCAGTTTTCTGCATATGGTTAGCCAGTTTTCCCAGCACCATTTATTTTTATTTTTATTTTTGAGATGGAGTTTCACTCTTGTTGCTGAGACTGGAGTGCAGTGGCACGATCTCGGCTCACTGCAAACTTCATCTCCCAGTTTCAAGCGATTCTCCTGCCTCAGCCTCCCAAGTACCTGGGACTACAGGCACGCACCCCCATGCCTGGCTAATTTTTGTATTTTTAGTAGAGACGGAATTTCACCGTGTTGGCCAGGCTGGTCTCGAACTCCTGACCTCAGGTGATCCACCCACCTTGGCCTCCCAAAGTACTGGGATTACAGGCATGAGCCACTGTGCCCAGCCACCATTTATTAAATAGAGGATCCTTTTCCCGTTGCTTGTTTTTGTCAGGTTTGTCAAAGATCAGATGGTTGTAGATTTGTGGTATTATTTCTGAGGTCTCTGTCCTGTTCCATTGGTCTATATGTCTGTTTTGGTACCAGTACCGTGCTATTTTGATTACTGTAGGCCTCCTGGGTTCAAGCGATCCTCCTGCTTCAGCCTCCCAAGTAGATGGGATTACAGGCGCCCACCACCATGTCCAGCTAATTTTTGTATTTTTAGTAGACTGGGTTTCACCATGTTGGCCAGGCTGGCCTCAAGCTTCTGACTTCAGGTGATCCACTCACCTCGGCCTGCCAAAGTGCTGGCATTAGAGGCGTGAGCCACCATGCCCTGCCCACAAGGGATTTTAGAGCTTTGAGATGTAGCAGAAGTGAAAGATGAGGCTCAGAAAAGAGAGTAAGAGAGAAGAGGGTCTGGCTTGAAGACAGTGACACAGAGACAATAAGGCTCAGCTTTTTATTTCATTTCATTTCATTTTAGACAGAATCTTGCTCTGTTGCCTAGGCTAGAGTCCAGTGGCACACGAACTGCTCATTTCTGCCTCAACCTCACAGGGTCAATTGATCCTCCTACCAGAGCCTCCCCAGTAGCTTGGACCACAGGTGTGTGCCACTATGCCTGGCTACTTTTTGCATTATTTTCATAGAGATAGCATGTCACCATGTTGTCCAGGCTGTCAGCCTTTTCAATAATGTTTTCTACTTGAGAACATCTAAAGTGTATAGAATAGTAGCAAAATTAGTACAACAAACCCTGTGTATCCACTTACAGATTTATATCCTTATCCCTATACTTTGCAATACTTTGAAGCAAACACAGGATCACATATAATCTTATGGGTAAATACTGCACTATGAATGTCTAAAATATAGAGCCTCTTTTAAATAGTAAGCTCATAATATCATTATCAGAAATCATAACTAGTGAATACTTATGAGATTTCTTCTAGTTCAATGGACTTTATTTTTAGAAGTGTTTATGTAGAAGTAAGGAAAATTATTAGGCAGTTATTTTCATTGATATACATGCTCTTCAGTGCTTTAGTATCTTATTCTTTTTTCTCCTTTTGTAGTTGAAGAAACTGCCTTACTGTTCTGTTGAAAGTCTCACAGTCTGGAGTATTTTACATGGTCATTAGTTCCCATCACCTCTTGTAATTGTGGCCCTTCCTGAGAAACACGACAAAAGAGCGTAGCTTGAATTTGAGTAAAGGAGGATCCAGGGTCACGGGATCAGCCAGTGCCCTGGGACCTGCCTCCCCCTGGAGCTGCTTCTGGAGCCAAAGGGAAAGAAGCAGACACAAGCTTGTGAAGTGCTTGCAGGAGACAGAACGCTGAGGAGGCACCAGCTTCTCACTTTCCCTCCTTCCTGGAGAATCACACCTTCTGCAGGGAGTCTCCCCACACAGATCCCTCCCTGCACCATGGCCTTTGCAGCCTCTCTGGCTGAGCTCCAAGCAGAGGCCAGCTGCCCCATGTGCCTGGATTACATGAAGGACCCAGTCACCACTCACTGTGGGCACAACTTCTGTCGCTCCTGCATCCACCAGTGCTGGGAAGACTTACAGGATGTCCTCCCCTGTCCTGTCTGCCTCCGTCACTGCCCTGATGAGAACCTCAGGAGCAAACACCCAGTTGCGCCACATGACTGATATGGTTCAGCAGCTTCTCACCGTGACGAGCAAGAGGGAATGGCAGGAAGAGGAGCCCCTCTGTGAGAAGCACAGTCAGGGTCTAGTCCTGCTCTGTGAGAAGGACCTGGAGCTATTGTGTCCCCAGTGCAAGGTCTCCTCTGACCATCAGGATCATCCCTTGTTGCCCATTGAGCAAGCTGCAGCTACACACAGAAGGAAGCTCAAAAGCTACATTAAGCCACTAAAGAAGGAAACTGAACATGCCAAGATGCGGTGTGAAGTCCCAATTTTGAGATCACTTAATGTGAAAAGGAAGATGGCAACATGGAGGAAGGAATTACAATTTGAATTTAAAGAAATTAAGTCTTTCTTGGTAAAGGAACGAGCTGTAATTCATGCCAGGCTACTTATTGAAGAGAAGGATGCTAAAGAAAAACTCACTGAAAACCAAAGACAAATTTCAGGCCACTTATCCACACTACAGAATCTGTTTTTTTTTTTTTTTTTTTTTTTGAGACGGAGTCTCGCTATGTCGCCCAGGCTGGAGTGCAGTGGCTCAATCTTGGCTCACTGCAAGCTCCGCCTCCAGGGTTCACGCCATTCTCCTGCCTCAGCCTCCCGAGTAGCTGGGACTATAGGCGCCCGCCACCCTGCCCGGCTAATTTTTGGTATTTTTAGTAGAGACGGGGTTTCACTGTGTTAGCCAGGCTGGTCTCGATCTCCTGACCTCATGATCTGCCCGCCTCTGCCTCCCAAAGTGCTTGGATTACAGGCGTGAGCCACCGCGCCCAGCCTACAGAATCTCTTAAATGAAGTAACAGAGAAGAGTTTTCAGGCAGACCTGGATATGCTGACAGGTATTGAGAACAGCTACAACACATATGACCACCTGAAAACCCCTGCAGTCTTCTCATAGGAATCAAGGAAGGAGAGTTTGAGTCTCTCTCCACCTTATTTTGGCCTGAAAAAAATGATGAGCCCATTTCAGGAAGATTTGACACTAGATCCAGAAACAGCCCACCCTAGTCTTATTATCTCAAGAGACAGAAAGTGTGATATTTAGAATGATGAACCCACACTTTACTGATAATCTTCAGTCATTTAGTTTTTACCCAGCTGTCTGAAGCTGTGAGGGATTTGATGCTGGGAGACACTTTTGGCAAGTAGAAGTGAGAGCAAAGGTACATGGTTCCTTGGTGTGTGTAAAGAAATGTTTCCCAGAGATGGTCTTACATCACCAACTCCACAGATGGGGTGCTGGCAAATTCAGCCATTCCGTAGTTCATGCAGTACAAGGAACACAGAAGTCCTGCAAGTTGGCATTTTTCTGGACTATGAGTTGGGAGAAGTTTCCTTTTATAATTTAAATACCAGATCATATGTGTATACTTTCACTGGTAAGTTTACAGAAAAGCTTATGCCTTATTTCTCTATTGCACCTTCTTCACAAGCTGTTACAATCACATTGTCATAGACCAATGATGAACTACTTAGAGCACCCTTTGTATGTAGCTATATTTTCTTCCTGTGTTCTTGGAGGGCATTTGTAATAAAAGTTCTGATTCCATGTTTATGTTTGACTGCTGATATTATTGGGGGACTCACTCTTCTCTCTTCCCTTCTGCCCTCCCTGGACAAGCTGATGAGAAAGCCTGGGTGCTCCCTCTGTTGGTGTAGGTGGGAGGTTCAGACCTAGCAAGCCTCTGGTAGTGCAGGACCCTTTCAGCAGCCCCACCCATGACCACCATCACAACCCCAAACCAGTCTCCTTTCCCTGCTTTCTCAAGTCACTTTTGCATCAACTCTGTAGACACCCTTCTCTCCTCATAAACCTCATTACAGGAGTAGGAGTCCATTTCATACAATCTTGGATTGTGTGGCATCAGCAGTCTCAACACTGAACCAGTTGTCAGGGAGGGTGCAAACTGACCCCTTCAATGCAAACTATCTATGCAAACTGACCCCTTCAAAGGCCATTGTGAGCAGGATTATCCAGATGTTGGCTGCCACCTTCAGGGAATTGCTGTTCTAGCTTTGCTTTGCTCACTGGCTCTGTGCCACATGATGAGCCTGCACTTTCAGCTCAGCTGCTTTGTGCTGCTTTTACTGAGTTTGGCTGAGACTCTTTGAGAGAATTCTCTGACCTAGGTCAGTAATTTAGATAATATTTTGTTAGTTAAGTATAGGAACATGGACTCAGGTCCCTTTTACTGTCTCCTTGAGTGGTGCATCTCCGTCCAGACATATTGCTGTGTCTTTTATAATTTAAAAAACAGATCCTCTGTGTATAATTCCACTGATAAGTTTACAGAAAAGTTTATGCCTTATTTCTCTATTGAACCTTCTTCACAAGCTGTTACAATCAGTATTGTCCTAGACAATAATCACGTTAAATTATTATGTATTGTCAAAGCATAATCACATTAAAAGGAATAACCCCTAAAATGTATTGAATGTCTCCAAAAAAAAAAAAAAAAGAATAAAAAACAATGGACATGAACGTCAGAGAGACAGGGAATAAAAAGAAAAATAAAACCAAATCACAGATTCAAGGAGAGGAACAACAACAAAAACTGCAACAGAAATTCCTAATTTGCAATTACCAGTTGAATATGCAAAATTCACCAAAAGAATCTGTACAACACAAAAGCTTAAAAGGTGCTAATTGACTTTTCTGTTTCTGTAACCTGGATGGTGACTGAACTTCAACATCTGTTGAAATGCATCAATTGGAAAACCTTCGCAGACTTAATCCTTTGCCTCCAATTAGGTAACCAGGGATCCCTCTGATTTTAAATGAAGAGCCCTCTATTACCTTAGTGACATTACTAATCATAAAATGAAGGTAAAAGAGGTATCCCTTATCTTAACTATAAGAATCACTGCCTTTCCTAAATTTTCCATGGTGTGTTTCTAGATTCTAACATAAGCTGTGACTGATGTAAGTTCAGGGGGAACTCTAATTTGTGACCAATTGTTCGTGTGTCTCACCTCCAAACTGGTGCCTGTTCTATAGAGCACATAGGGGAAAAATTGTATCCTGTGCCATATACGGGCTCATTTGGTGGTCACTTGTGTGAAGCAAGAAGTCACTATTTGGAGATTGAGCATTAGTTGAAAATTACAATTACTTATGTTAATCCATTTTGTTCTGATTTGAGAGAATGCCTGAGATTTGGTAATCTATAAAGAAGAGAAATTAATTTCTCACCGTTCTGGAAGTTGGGAAGCTCAAGATCAAGGCAGTGACAGGTTTGGTGTCAGGTGAGTGCCTGGTCTCTGCTTCCAAGATGGTGCCTTCAATGCTGCAGCCTCTGGAGGGAGAAACGCTGTTCCTGACATGGCTAAAGAGCAGAGGTGGAGCTGCTGAGTGCAGTGGCTCATGCCTGTAATCTCAGCACTTTGGGAGGCCTAGGCAGGCAGATCACTTGAGGCCAGGAGTTGAAGACCAGCTTGGCCAAAATGGCAATTAGGGAAGAGAGAGACCCTCTCATATTGTTTTATATTGTTTTATACTCAGTACCTGTTTTAAGAAAAAACAACAAGGAAGTAAAACCAAAGACAGGCAACCCGAGGCCAGGCCCAAAACCAGGCCTGGGCCTGCCTGGCCTAAACCCAGTAGTTAAAAATCAACTCATAACTTAGAAACTGATGTTATTTATAGATTCCAGACATTGTATAGAAGAACGTTGTGAAACTCCCTGCCCTGTTCTGGTTCTCTCTGACCACCGGTGCATGCAGCCCCTGTCACGTACTGCCTTGCTTGCTCAAATCAATCACGACCCTTTCATGTGAAATCTTTAGTGTGGTGAGCCCTTAAAAGGGATAGAAATTGGGCATTTGGGGAGCTCGGATTTTAAGGCAGTAGCTTGCTGATGCTCCCAGCTGAATAAAGCCCTTCCTTCTACAACTCGGTGTCTGAGAGGTTTTGTCTGTGGCTCGTCCTGCTACAGCAAAACCCTATCTCGACTAAAAGTACAAAACTTAGCTGGGCATGATGGCATGCAGCTGTAGTCTCACCTACTCGGGAGGCTGAAGTGGGAGGATCATTTGAACTCCAGAGGCAGAGATGGCAGAGCCAAGATTGTGTCATTGCACTCCAGCCTGGGTGACAGAGCAAGACTCCATCTCAAAGAAAAGAAAAAGAGAGCAGAGTGGGTGTATATACCCTGGAAAGCTCTTTTTTAGCATGGCATGAATCCATGAGGGGGAGCCCTTGAGACCTAAACCCCTCTCATTAGGTTCCACCTCTCAGTGGAATCACATGGGTGATTGTTTATAATACAAGAGGTTTGTGGAGACAAACATTTAAACAATAGCTATTGAGGCTCACACTCATAAGAGCAGATGGCTAATTAGGACCCTAGAAATATCTTTGCTTTCTGCTGCTGTCTAGGCCTTTGTTACAACAAAGATTCTGATCTTCAGAATTATAGGGAGATAGCTGGGAACAGTATCTCACACCTGTAATGATCGCTTGAGCTCAGGAGCTTGACAACAGCCTGGGCAACATAATGTGACTTTGTTTCAAAAAAAAAAAAAAAAAAAAAAGAGAAAGAAAGAAAAGAAAAAGAAAAAGAAAAAGAATTATGGGGAGAAACCAGTGACCCCTGTGGCTCACCGAAGTGGTCAATTTCAACCAAACTTACAACCAGGGTTCCTAAACTCTGTAACCCTCCAGTGCCCATAGAACTGTGATGGTACTAATAGAAGGTTTTCTGGAGTCAGAAACTTCAAAACATAATAACATGAAAAGGAACAGCCCCTAAAGTATATTGCACGTTTACCAAAAAAAAAAAAGAATAAAAAACAATAGACATGAAAAGTCAGGGAGATGGGGAAGAAAGAGAAAGAAAAATAACACCAAATTCTAGATTCAAGGAGAGGACAAAAAAAAAAGCACCAAAACAAAACAAAACAAAAAAACTGGAGGAAGCTTCCTAATTTGCAATTTCAAGTTGAAAATGCAAAATTTACCAAAAGAATCTAAACAACACAAAAGATTAAAAGGTACTGGTTGACTTTTCTGTCTCTGTAACCTAGATGATGATTGAACCTAAGCATCTGTTGAAATGCATCATTGGAAAACCTTTATAGACTTTATTATTTCCCTCTAATTAGTTTACCAGGGATCCCTCTGATTTTAAATGAAGAATCCTCTATTACCTTAGTGATGTTACTGAACATAAAATGGAGGCAAAGAGGTATTCTTTACCTTAACTATGAGAATCACTGGCTTCCCTAAATTTTCCAGGGTGAGAACACACACTGGGATGAAATATTAAAGAGAAAAGAGAAATACAATAAGTAATAAATACAAAATTAAATTACGTCTTCTGCATTTTCAAATTAGCTTTACAAAATGGGATCCATGGATGTTCCTGACCCCAGTGAGAAAAGATAATATGATTAAATATTAGTTAAAATAGATACTCAAGATTTGAAACCCATGATGCAAGACCTAGGCGTGATTATCTCACCGTTTCTGGGTTCAACCCCAATTTTGTGTGTTCTTATACTTTGAAAGAAGTATGACATCTCAGAGGGAACTGATGACAGCTTTAATGGGATGATCTCTCCCAATGTTATTGACATGACTTACTCCATCCAATCAGGAAATGGTAAATAACTGGCTGCTACAGATTTGACTAGGTTTTTTCAGGCTTATTTCGACAGCTTCCTGGCCATGCTTTCCCTTTGCCTCAAAGGAATGTTATGCATCTCTACCCACCAATCATGGTAATTTGAAAAAATTAGCTGGGCATGGTGACGTGTGCCTGCAATCCTGGCTATTTGGAAGGTTGAGGCTGGAGGATCCCTTGAGCTCAGGCGTTCCAGGTTACAGTGAACCATGACTGCCCACTGCACTACACGGTGACAGAGCAACATCCTGAGTCCAAAAAAATATATGAAATTAAAAAACCCAGCCCGCCAGGCTCGGTAGCTCATGCTTGTAATCCCAGCACTTTGGGAGGCCAAGGTGGGCAGATCACCTGAGGTCGGGAGTTCGAGACCAGCCTGGCCAACACGGTGAAACCGCGTCTCTACTAAAAATACAAAAATTAGCTGGGCGTGGTGCCGGGCGCCTGTAATCTCAGCTACTCCGGAAGCAGAGGCAGAAGAATGGCTTGAACCCGGGAGGCAGAGGTTACAGCGAGTGGAGATCTTGCTATTCCACTCCAGCCTGGGGTACAAGAGCGAAACTCCATCTCTCCATCTCAAATGAACAAACAAACACAACCCAGCCCTTGCCCTTATGTTCCACCCAGCACATGATGTGTCACTTCCGCAGTTCCCACCCCACCATGACCATCCTGCACGAACCCGGTAACCTGGCAGAGCTCAGGTTCTGAGATCTTCACTTTCGACCTCTCCCGGAGCCCACAGAGGGCCCAGCCTCACCCCAGCGCCTCTCATGGGCACCGAATGTGGAGCCGCAGAGTCCTCCACCCTCCAGGGGCGAGTGCCAGCTGCCAGTCAAGGAACTGAACCCTGCTAAAGAGGCTTCTCTTTCCCTGCTCACTTCATCTTCTGCCAGATTCCGATGGCTGAAGAGGGTGTGCCGGCGCCCCTGCCTCTGCAGGACACCCCCATCTCTGCGCCCCCGTCCTCAAGCCCTTAATCTGACTTGGGAGCCCTGGGACTCTGCGCTGGACCTCAGAACTTTTTTCCAGCACCACCAGGCCGACTTCTAACCCTGACTCCCGCAATCCCCCAAAAAGAATCAGAAAAACCAAAGAAAACACCGGGCGTATCTGGTGCTGGAGAGCGTATTTCAAACTGGGACTTCCCAGGGAACTCAGACTCAGAACATTACAGCAGAAAGGCCAGCTGGTGCTTGTGGGGAGACCGAATAACAGAAGACTGAGGCACAGACACCGCAGGGCTACGCCCGGTGGGAAAAACCCGGAGAGCGTCATTAATTTATTTCTCATTGCTCCTAATTAATATTTACTTGTATTCCCATATGTCCACCTAGGTGATGGAGGAGTGTGCGTAATATTTGTTTTAACTTATACAAGGGTGTGAGATGTCCCCCCTGCTATAAATGGAGACCTCTCAGTATTTGAGTTTTGTGGGACTGGTGGAGGGGGGACACTTGGAACTACAGCAGAGTAGGAGAAGAAAAGGGGAGGACTCCAGTTAGGGAGGCCTTCCTGGCTGGAATCAAGTCTGGTGGTGGTGAGGCAGGAAAATAGAGTCTGGAGGCAGAGAACATAAGGCCAATTCACACTTCAGCTATAACAGGAAATATCCTCTCCACAAGGCATAGGCTGTAAATGACTTTGTCATTTTACTTCATTCCCTCCATTTACATAGGGTGTACCCCCAAGTAACCAATGGAATCCTCTAGGGGCTATTTAAACTCCCAACAATTCTGTTAACGGGGCCTTTGAGCCCCTATGCTCAGGCCTGCTCCCACACTGCAGAGGGTACTTTCATTTTCAAGAAAACCCTTCCTTCCTTCCTTCCTTGCTTTGTTTGTGCACTTTGTCCAATTCTTCATTCAAGAAGGCAAGAACCTGGACACCCTCCACCGTTAACAGTGGGTTGTAGGTCTAGGGATGATGTTCCATCCTCCAGCATCTCAGCTCTGTCCACTGTATGAGGCATCTGCGGACCTCAGGAATGATCTTCTGGATCTTCTGGAATTTGCCCTTTATGGGAGCAGCTGCAGGGTTAGGGGTTGGAGGGCTGTCACCTGGCAGCTGTCAAGATCGCCTGGTATGTTCTGTGAATACAAATAAACTTGAAATGCTGTACAAAAATTAAAAAATAAATAAAATAAACCAAAAATACAACTGGGGACATTTCAAGGGACTTGAGGAGCTCCACAAAAGGAAAAGGAACAAAGACCAAATGTATTTCTTATATCCCACACAGAGACTGACAACATATCAGATTCACCACAGGGACTTATTTAAACTACATGCCCATGTTCCCCCAAAGCAAAGTTCTGATACATTCCTCCCGGGTGAGCTGGCTACAATAGGAGCTTTGACGCTGCTCATAGCCCCATTCTCTCTACCACAACTACAGAGCTACCACCTCCAGAAGGAGCAGGGAGGAGCCAGTGAGTTTTTTCCTGGGAGGCTGTCTGCTGCATGAGACTGCCCAGTTGGAGAGCTGCCTGAGAGTGTGAGAATCCAGAAAACACAGTTGAGGACTCTAGAAATAAGCCTCTTAGGGGGCAGACAATATTACAACAGGCTCTTGCAGAAAGAGCCTGGCAAGATTTCTTAGTACAGGGGTCCCCAAACCCTGGCCGCAGACTGGGACCTGATGGTGGCCTGTTAAGAGCTGGGCTACACAGCAGGAGGTGAGCCTAGAGAGTGAGCATTACCACCAGAGCTCCACCTCCTGTAAGATCAGCAATGGTATTAGATTCTCATAGGAGCTCCAACCCTGTTTTGTTTTTTTGGTTTTCTTTTCTTTTCATTGTTTATTTAGTTCTTTGTCTTCAATTGGTTGATCTAAGTTAAAAGGAAGCTTTTAAATTGTAGAGTATTTCATACATCCATAAGAGTAGAGAGAACAGTATGAAGAACCTACGCATAAAAAGAAACCAATTTCTATCATTTGAATTAACAATCTTTGTAACCCCACCAGCTTCTCCTGCCAATGGAGCAAATTCCCAGACATCGTACAATTTCATCTGTATATTTCATCTGTACATTATATTTCATCTTATAATTTCATTATTTATTTCCTAAAATACAATATTTCAATTATAGTGTTACTGTGACTTTTAATAAGCTCTACAGTGTGAATTATAACCACATTTTTCTCCCACCAGTTACAAATAACATTCAGTAAATTAAAACAGCAACTGGAATCCTGTTCTGTTAGGGTGGGGCAGGGAGTGCCCTCAATCTGGCACAGGTAGAGGTGGGTGGCAGAAGAGCAAACCAAACAGCTGAGGTTCCTTGAGAATGCAAACTTCTCACAGAATACAAAGTTCTCAGGAGGCCTAGGTGTCCTGCAGGGCTTCCTGCAGGTGGCTGGGCGACACCTCCAGCAAGTCTGTACAGAAGTCGGGGCAGCTGAGCAGTGATTGTGCATGGCCGGCACCGCCTCTGGACTTCAACTTCTGGGTGAGACCATGGAGGTCGATGATGTTGGAGACCAGGGGCAGCGCCAGGTACCACAGTGGATGGAAGGATGTGCCGTGTGGCAGGGCAGCTGTCCTCTTGAGAGGTGAAGCCAACTGAACTTCCTGGGTCCAGTCGGGACTTGGAGAACTTTTCTGTCTAGCTGAAGGATTGTAAACACACCAATCAGCACTCTGTAAAAACACACCAATCAGCACTCTGTGTCTAGCTAAAGGTTTGTAAACGGACCAATCAGCGCTCTGTAAAATGGACCAGTCAGTAGGATGTGGGCAGGGCCAAATAAGGGAATAAAAGCTGGCCACCCTAGCCAGTAGCGGCAACCACTCGGGTCCCCTTCCACACTGTGGGAGCTTTGTTCTTTTGCTCTTCACAGTAAATCTTGCTGTGCTCACTCTGGGTCCGCACTACCTTTATGAGCTGTAACACTCACCACAAGGATCTGCAGCTTCATTCTTGAAGTCAGCAAGACCACGAACCCACCGGGAGGAACAAACAACTCTGAACGTGCCACCTTTAAGAGCTGTAACACTCACTGCGAAAGTCTGCAGCTTCACTCCTGAAGTCAGCGAGACCATGAACCCACCAGAAGGAAGAAACTCCGGACACATCTGAACATTGCAAGGAACACACTCCGGACACACCATCTTTAAGAACTATAACACTCACCGCGAAGAAGGTCCGTGACTTCATTCTTGAAGTCAGCGAGACCAAGAACCCACCGGAAGGAACCAATTCCGGACACGCTTTTCTCACTGGACCCAGCGCCTGGAAAGCCATCCCTGCAGGGTGGGCTAAGCGAGCACTGCGTTCCTGGCACAGGGCTTCAGGTCTCCCTAACAGACCTTACGCTGAACCGCAGCCGCTTCGACAGTCTCTTTGCAGAGATCCAGCGACGACTATACTTGTCCAACAGCGGTGGCTTCACCAATCCTGGGAGAAGCTAATCGTTTTCTCCCCGTGCCCTGTCAGCCGCTCATGCAGCCCAGGGAGGAATTTTAGTAGCAACACTCCGGTTGTCACACCACTGAAATTACCAAGCAACTCCAACTCAGAAGGACCACCAGGAAAAGGCAGGAAGATAATCACCATCAGGTCCCAGCCCCTTTTTGTGACAAGGACTAGAGGGTTTGGCTCTGCAGTGGGCTGGCTCCCGCTGGGCTCACCTGTCCTATAGAGCAGGCTGCTTCAAGGAAGAAGCTCACAGGGGATGTCTGACCTCTGAAAAAGCAAGTATAAAATGTTTTAAATAAGCCAAAACTAAACTAATAGTTATGTTAACTAAAAATACATGAATGCTACCGAAGATAGTTGAATGCTACCGAAGATAGTTGAATATTAGAGGAAGAGATTAAACTCTGATTTTGAGCACTTTATACTCTATTTGGAAAATGAATAAGATGCAGTTCTGAAACCCGAAAATACAAAGGATAGGATATGATACACACATTAGATGAAAACAAAACTTTCAGACCATATTTTCTTATTAAAAGCTCTAATAAGTGGGATAGCAAACTCTTCACTCAAATAGACAACCAGTAACTGATATAAGTGTATGTATCAATAACATGTTTTAAGATAAAACCTTCATGAGCTTTTGCATTTTAACTACGGAATGATGATTCTAGACTTCTGCCACAACATTATAGTCGACAAAAGATTCTTCATTTTACATAGATTTCGCTCTAGATCCTGAAACAGCATGTCATAATCTTGTATATCTGAAGACAGAATACAGTGAGATTTGGAAAGATACCACAAAAACTCATGATCCAAAAAGATTAAGACTGGTATTACTAGGAGGAAGGGAAAGAAGACAAAATCAAACGGGATAGATAGAACAGTGTTGTTTGTTAGAATTGTATTCTGAGGAGATGGAAAAAGACACCATCACAATAGGATTCATGCTTTAGTATTCAGCTACAGAAATGTAATAACTTTGCTGAAGTCATTACAGTAGGTAGAGTGGCAATCGTTCTGCTATTAAAAGTAAAACCCAGTAATATTAGGATTTTTCTGGACAATGAAGTGGGTGACGTTTAATCTTATAACTTGAATGCCAGATCTCATATTTTTTCTTCAAGTGATATTTTTATGAAACTACTTAGGCTGTGTTTCACACTGGGTATGATTTCTAACCTCTTATAATCTGTACAGTGATAGATTATGAAGGATGAATTATTTGAAAATGATTTTGTATTTTTATTTAGGAGAGGAGCTCCACAATTCTGAATTCTGTGTTTACCTCTTATAAGCAGAGGAAAGGTTTTTTTCTTCCATTATTTTAGCAGCTGTCAATAAAATAGTATTAGAAATGCATACTCTTCAGAGATGTAATGGGAGTAAATTGTAAAGTATTTTTGATATTCTAAGATGAAAGATGGTATTACTTGTATAGTCATTAATTCAATGCGTTCCACATTATGAATTAAAATTCCACATTATGAATTTTATAAAAATTATGTCAAAAGAAAAAAATTATATAGAAAGTTATTAGTTCAGTCCAGCAACAAAAGTCTTTTATAAAAACGAAAATCTCCTGGGTCATGCCATCCTATGTGAAATTCCTGTTAAACAGAGGCATGATTTATTCTAGTGACCTTGCTATTTCTCCATTACTGTAATATGTCTAATATTAGACATTTCAAATTAAAATTCTATTAGGTAAACTGAGAATTTAGGTCTCTCGCACCACCCAGGCACATACTCTCTTTCCCCACAAATATCCAAATATGGTAATGTAATTGGATTAATATGTTCATACGACTATATAATTGTTCACAGCTGAGCCACTTAGGTGCTATAATTTGATACACAAATTTTGTTTTATTGTGATTAAAATTGCCTGATATCTTACTTGCTGCACTTTCTGTTTCTCTTTCAGCCCCATATCTGCTAATCTCTAAAGTTCCTCTCTAAACTCGACATGTAATTTGTTGATTATATTCATTTTCTTTGTAGTGCTCGATCTCCTGAAGCCCTCTGTCATCTTAGCATGAACTGAAATTTGGTGATATGATGCACAGCTGTCCTCTGAGGCCTTTCATGTTTCCCTTACCCTAAGAATTATCTTTTATCTTCTGTCTTATGTCCAGAGGTTTTAAGTCTATTGTTGTCTGAGTCCCTTGTTTTCCTTCTTAGTTTTCTTCCCTTCTTTTGGTGAGCGTATCACCAGGTAGTTCCCTGAAAAAGGGGACTTGGAAGATGTGCCAGTCATTTTCCTTGTGCTGTGAGATGTGGGAATGTGTGCTAGGCCCAGCATTACATCTGGAGGAGGGTGAAGAACATTTGTGAAGGCCACACATACCTGAGACCAGAGTTCAGAGTGCCTGCCCATGACTCATGCTCAATCAGAATATTGGAAAACATGGGCTTCCCCAACTCCCAAAACCACACTAAGAGGAGTTGAGTAAAAATAACAGTAGAATCCAGTTTGAGAAATGAAAGACAGCACTAGGGGAGTGTGAAGCCTTTAATGCACTAAGGCTAACCATAGCAATAACAAACTTCAAACTCTGCCTAACTCCTGGCTCGATTAATACAAACACACCCTCACTACGGGCCTAGCAGAAGGGAAACAAGTTCATCTCTGCTATTGGTTGAATTGTGTTCTGCCAAAAACATCTATTGAAGTGCTAACCCCAGTACTTCAGATGTGACCTCATTTGGAAATTAGGTCTTTACCAAGGTAATCTGTTAAGGCTGGGGGCGGTGGCTCACGCCTGTAATTCCAGCACTTTGGGAGGCTGAGGCAGGTGGATCACCAGAGGTCAGGAAATTGAGACCAACCTGGCCAACATGGTGAAACCCCACCTCTAGTAAAAATACACAGATTAGCTGGGCATGGTGGTGGGCGCCTGCAATCCCAGCTACTCGGGAGGCTGAGGCAGGAGAATCGTTTGAACTTGGGAGGCGGAGGTTGCAGTGAGCCGAGATTGTGCCATTGTACTCCAGCCTGGGCAACAACAGTGAAACTCCATCTCAAAAAAAAAACAAAAAGGTAATCAGTTCAAATGAGGCCATTAGGGTGGGCCTTAATCCAATATGACTGCTGTCCTTATAAAAAGACGAAATTTTTTGACACAAAGATATGCACAGAGGAAGGTTATGTGAGGAAACATGGGGAGAATGCCACTGGAGTGATGCATCTACTAGCCAAGGAATGACAAATTGGCAGCAACCCACCAGAGCCTGGAGGCATGGAAGAAATTTTGTGTCACAGCCCTCAGAAAGAACCAATCCTGCCAACACCCATATTTTGGACTCGGCCTCCAGAACTGTGAGACAATAAATTTCCTGTTATGTAAACCATCCAGTTTGTGATACCTTATTAGGGTATTCCCTCCAAAACTAATATAATCTACAAGTATAAAAATGTTTACCTTAGTATGTATTTTTCTATATATGTCTGGTTTTTACCAAAAACAAAAAAAAACAAGGCATACAAAAAAAAATGTAAAAGGAAAATAAACCACACTCTGAAGAGACAAAATGAACATCGGAACCATACTAAGCTATGACACACATGTAGGAACTCTCATGCAAAAAAATGAAAATAATTGTAATTGATATGTTAAAGGCTTTAGTGGAAAATAAAGACAACATGCGGGATCAGATAGATAATTTTATCAGAGTTGGAAACTATAAAATCAAATGGAAAAGCTGGGCACGGTGGCTCACGCCTGTAATCCTAGCACTTTGGGAGGCTGAGGCAGGCAGATCACTTGAGGTCAGGAGTTCCAAACTAGGCTGACCAACATGGTGAAACCCTGTCTGTACTAAAAATACAAAAAAAAATTTGCCCGGTGTGGTGGCGGGTGCCTGTAATCCCAGCTACTCTGGAGGCTGAGGGAGGAGAATTACTTGAACCCGAGAGGTGGAGGTTGCAGTGAGCTGAGATCGTGCCACTGCATTCCAGCCTCGGTGAGCAAGTGAGACTCTGTCTCAAAAAAAAAAAAAAAAAAAATCAAATGGAAATGCTAGCAATGAAAACCACAGAAAAGAGTTGAAGATGCCTTCAATGGGCTCATTAGTACCCTCAACACACTGAGGGAAATAATCAGTGAACTTGAAGATAGATAAACAAACTACCCAAACTGAAATATAAAGTGAAAAGAACAAAAAACAAAAACTAAGAACTGTGGGACAGTATCAAACAGTGTCATTTATGGATACTTGGAATCTCAGAAAGAAGAAATCTCATCACTAGGAAATGAAGGCAAAAATAAATAAAAATTTAAAAAGAAAAACCGAGGAGATATTCAAAAAAATCATGGCCAAGAATTTAGTTACAGACACTAAAACTCCAGAACCAAGAAGCCCAGAGCATACCAAGCATGATGACTATCAAAACACACAAACCAAAACAAGAAAAAAATGACAACATATCTCCAAACATATCAATATATCAATCAAATTCAAACTGCTGAAAATTAAAATCAAAAACACAATTTTGAAGGCAGCCCAAGTAAAAAACTACATTACTGCCTTGCATACATTAACTATGGGAATATGTTCTGAGAAGTACATCATGGGATGATTTCATCATTCTGTGAACATCATAGAGTATGTGTACACAAACCTAGATAGTAATTTTGTAGCTTATTATGCCTGTAAGCTATATGGTACAGCCGAATGCTCCTAGGCTAGTAAACCTGTACAGCAAGTTACTGTGCTGAATACTATAGAAATTGTAACACAAAGGCAACTATTTTTGTATCTAGGTATACGTAACCACAGAAAATTTCCATAAAAATGCAGGTTTATAATCTTATAGGACCACTGTCATGTATGTGGTCAGTGGTTGAAACACTGTTATGCAGTGCATGACCACTGACAAAGGAAGGAGGATAAGAATTACAACAGACCTCTCATCAGAAAATGTGAAATCCAGGACACAATAGTTACTTCTGTAAATAAAAAAAATCTTGCCAACTCACAATTCTATAACCGATTAGCACATTTCTCAAAAGCAATGGAGAAATACTTAGAAAAATAAAATGGAGGGAATTTGTTGCCATCAAGCAGACACTAAGAGGAATGTTAAAGTACTTCAGGCCAAAGGAATATTATAGATGTCAGAAACTTGTGTTTACACAAAGAAATAAAGTGCATAAAATAAAGGTAATTGCTCTAAAAGATAACTAGCTGTTTAAAACAATAATAAGTGTTTTTCCAGCATATGTAAAAGTATTGTATGAATACAAGACCACAAAGAATCAGTGAGAATTGGGAATACACTATTACAAGGTTCTTATACTGAAAAGGAAACAGTATAATTTCATTTAAAGGAGGCCTCAAATTTTTTTAAAATGTATACTGTAAACCCCTGGGAGAACCACTAAAAAATGTTTTTAAAAGATGTATACAATAAGGCCAGGCACGGTGGCTCATGCCTATAATCCCAGCACTTTGGGAGGCTGAGGTGGGTGGATGACGAGGTCAAGAGCGAGATCATCCTGGCCAACATGGTGAAACCCAGTTTCTATTAAAAGTACAAAAATTAGGCTGGATGTGGTGACTCATGCCTGTAATCCCAGCACTTTGGGCAGCCGAGGCAGACAGATCATGAGGTCAAGAGATCAAGACCATCCTGGCCAACATGGTGAAACCTCGTCTCTACTAAAAATACAAAAATTAGCTGGGCATGGTGGCATGCGCCTGTAGTCCCAGCTACTTGGGAGGCTGAGGCAGGAGAATCGTTTGAACCTGGGAGGTGGAGGTTGCAGCGAGCCGAGATTGCACCACTGCACTCCAGCCTGGTGACAGAGCGAGACTCCAACTCAAAAAAAAAAAAAAAAAAAAAAAAATTAGCCGGGCATGGTGGCATGTGCCTGTAGTCCCAGCTACTCAGGAGGCTGAGGCAGGAGAATCGCTTGAACTCGGGAGGCGGAAGTTGCAATGAGTCGATATTGTGCTACTGCACTCCAGCCTGGTGACACAGTGAGACTCTGTCTCAAAAAATAAATAAATAAAATAAAAAGTTAATAGAAGAGATTAAAATGTAATCATAAAACATGCTTGATGAAACCCAGAGAAGCAAGGCATGGTGATGTGCACCTGTGGTCCCAGCTGTCCTGGAGGCTGAGGCAGGAGGATCTCCTGAGCCCAGGAGTTTGGGGATGCAGTGGGCTATGATTGTGCCTGTGAATAGCTATTGAATGCTAGCCTGGACAATATAGCCAGACCCTGTCTTAATCCTAGCACTTTTGAAGTCCAAGGTGGGCGGATCACTTGGGGCCAGGAGTTTTGAATCCAACCTGGGCAACATTAGTTAAGATCTTGTCTCCAATAAAAACAAAAAACAGAGAAGTCAAAATCAGCCTTCTTTTCAAGTTTCTGAGTCACTCACCAAGATAAACCACATCATAGGCTATGAAACATACCTTCACACATTTAAAGAATAGAAATAATACAAAATTAAAGTTGATATTGTAGAAAAATCTCTGAGAAATCCACAAACATGTGAAAATTAGTACCCTTCTAAATACCCCTTAGGTCAAAGAGTAAGTCTCAGGAAAATTAAATATTTGGAGCAAAATACAAATACAAATACAAATACAATATTTCAATGTTGGTGTAACATAGCTAAAGCAGTATTTACAGGGAAATTTATAGCATTAAATTTATAACATATTAGAAAAGAAGATCTAAAATCAGCAACTTAACCCTTTACCTTAAGAAACTAGACAGAACAAAAGCAAATGTAAAGCTTTTCAATGTAAAGCATGCAGAAGGACAAAAATAAAAATTAGAGCAGAAATCAATAAAATTGAAATTGGAAACAAGACAGAAAATCAACAAAACCAAAGCTGATTCTTTGAAAAGATAAAGTTAGAGGCAATATATTGATAACTGCCACAAACTGTCCAACCTAGTATGGGATTTCAAATGCATGCTCTTTTCAGTATCTCAGTGCCTTAGTTTCGGCAATGAGTAAGGGATAGAACAATTAGGAAGAAGGCTGATTATGTAGGGGAAATGGGGAAAAGAATATTATAGTGATGATTTCTTGGGGCATAAGGTTGGTAGTGGAATATTAAGTAGCCAGAAACTGGCAAGCGGAGTGCAGAGTAGGGATGCTGGAAATACACAATTATATTTTTCGTTTATGAAACTCTTATCACTTACAAGAACGATTCTGTCTTTAAACTATGATTGTTTTCTTGTCCAAGGAAGCCACTGTATTTACAGATCCTCAAATATTTCAGTCAATCCATGTATCTCTAATAGCACATTTCACCCCAATGTCATCCTATTTTTGATGTCTACTATAATTCATTATTGTAATTTAACGAGATGTGTAATTTTCTCTGGATTGGTGTAAGATTAAGATAACTGGCCAGGTGTGGTGGCTCACGGCTATAATTCCAGCAATTTGGAGGCTGAGGCAGGTGGATCACTTGAGGTCAGGAGTTCAAGACCAGCCTGACCAACATGGTGAAACCCTGTCTCTACTAAAAAATACAAAAGTTGACCATGTGTGGTGGCATGCGTCTGTAATTCCAGCTACTTGGGAGGCTGAGGTGCGAGAATTGCTTGAACCCAGGAGGCAGAGGCTGCAGTTAGCAGAGATCACGCCACTGCACTCCAGC
This sequence comes from Homo sapiens, assembly GCF_000001405.40. NCBI lineage: Eukaryota > Metazoa > Chordata > Mammalia > Primates > Hominidae > Homo > Homo sapiens. The sequence goes on along the minus strand of NC_000004.12, from coordinate 164,922,076 downwards.
CTGGGCGACAGAGCTAGACTCCATCTCAAAAAAATAAAAATAACTGAAGCATTACAATAGTACTTGGAGCTTAAATTTATCCATTATAATGCCAGCTGACCTTGGGTACGAGTTCCTGACCAAATTTGTGTAGCTGACTAAATGTCATGCTTATAGAACATTTGTTTATGTTAATGTATTTCATAATACATTGTAGATATCATAACTATATATTTCTCAATTTAAAAGATTAAAATACGTAAGAGTAAATTGTTTCAAAACTATAATTTCAGACCCTGAAAAACTTCTGATTAAATATCAGGATAGACTAAAGACATTTTCAGAGGTCAGGTGTGGTGGCTCATGCCTGTAATCCCAGCACTTTGGGAAGCTGAGGCGGGTGGATCACAAGGTCAGGAGATCGAGACCATCCTGGCTAACATGATGAAACCCTGACTCTACTGAAAATACAAAAAAATTAGCCAGGTGTGGTGGTGGGCACCTGTAGTCCCAGCTACTCGGGAGGCTGAGGCAGGAGAATGGCGTGAACCTGGGAGCCAGAGCTTGCAGTGAGCCAAGATCACGCCACTGCACTCGAGCCTGGGCGACAGAGCAAGACTCTGTCTCAAAAAAAAAAAAAAAAAAAAAAGACATTTTCAGATACAAAGGTATCAAAAGGTATCAAAAACTTTATTTCCCATGAACCTTACTAGAAAGCTACTGAAGGATGTGCTCCAATTAAACAAGAAACCAACTTCCAAATGGAAAAACATAAAAACAGGTAAAACAATTCAAGAGATGCTAAGAATATCTCCAAGATACCTGAGCAGCTGGCTTAGTGAACAAATGTGCCTGTGTTGCAGATTAGAGGGCTCCTTGAGAGTATTCTGCAAGATGAAAATGGCATAAAGCCAGATGCCTTAAAATGAATTCAGGCAATCAGACAAGTGCAGGGGACAGTTTGGAAATGAATTAAGAGTAAGAACATGGAGCTCTTTCCTTTTGCAGCCATCACTGAAGTGGGAGCAGCCAAAATGAAGTTCAATCCCTTTGTGACTTCTGACAGAAGCAAGAACCACAAAAGTCATTTCAGTGCACCTTCCCACATTCGCAGGAAGATTTTGTCTTCCTCTCTTTCCAAAGAGCTGAGACAGAAGTACGAAGTACGACGTTTGATCCATGCCCATCCAAAAGGATGATGAAGTTCAGGTTGTACGAGGACACTATAAAGGTCAGCAACTTGGCAAAGTAGTTCAGGTTTACAGGAAAGAAATATGTCATCTACATTGAACAGGTGCAGTGGGAAAAGGCTAATGGCACAACTGTCCATGTAGGCATTCACCCCAATAAGGTAGTTATCACTAGGCTAAAACTGGACAAAGACTGCAAAAAGATCCTTGAAAAGGAAGCCAAATCTCGCCAAGTAGGAAAAGAAAAGGGCAAATACAAGGAAGAAACAATTGAGAAGATGCAGGAATAAAGTAATCTTATATACAAGCTTTGGTTAAAACTTGAAAAAAAAAAGAATAAGAACATGGAAAACAAAGCATATTGAAAATGAGATTATTTACTACAGGAAACGTTTATAGAAAAAACAAAATGGCAGCCGGGCACGGTGGCTCACGCCTGTAATCCCAGCACTTTGGGAGGCCAAGGCAGGCGGATCATGAGGTCAGGAGATCGAGACCATCCTGGCTAACACGGTGAAACCCTGTCTCTACTAAAAATACAAAAAATTAGCCGGGCGTGGTGGCGGCCGCCTGTAATCCCAGCTATTCGGGAGGCTGAGGCAGGAGAATGGCGTGAACCTGGGAGGCGGAGCTGGTAGTGAGCCGGGGTGGAGCCACTGCATTCCAGCCTGGGCGACAGAGCGTTAAAAAAAACCACAAAAAAACAGAAAACAAAATGGCAATTACTATACAATACACGGCTCAGAAATGAATGTTACTGAAATAGTCAAATAAATGTGAGAAAATATTCTAAAACAAAAATGGTAAATTCTATTCTATTTCAATGGTATTGAAATAATCAAAATAAATGTGAGAAAATATCCTAAAACAAAAATGATAAATTCTATTAGAAGGGCCACTGGGTGAAGGCTGTTCCAAATTCTTATCTTCCAAAGTGGGATATGATAATACTTCAAACTAAAAAATCCAAAAGTATTATTAGAATGTGATTTCGTGACTATAAAAGAGCTGAAAAGTTCAAAGTGGCTGCCTCTGAAAAGCTGGCAGGGGTAGTCATAAAGGAATATTTGTAAATTAATTTTATAAACAAATAATTGAAACTTTAAACCTAGATTTTTAAAAATTGTGCTTTTGGGCTGGGTGCAGTGACTCACATCTGTAATCCCAGCACTTTGGGAGGCCGAGGTGGGCAGAACACCCGAGGTCGGGAGTTCGAGACCAGATTGGCCAACATGGTGAAACTCCGTCTCTACTAAAAACACAAAAATTAGCCAGGTGTGGTGGTGGGAGACTATAATCCTGGCTACACGGGAGGCTGAAGCACGAGAATCGCTTCAACCCAGGAGGCAGAGTTTGCAGTGAGCCAAGATTGCGCCATTGTACTCCAGCCTGGGCAACAGAGTGAGACTCCATCTCAAAAAAAAAAGAAGATAGAAAAATGATCTAGCTTACACAGGAAGAAATACCGATGTCTCTACTTGCCCATGACATGACTATCTCTGCAGAAAATCCAATGGAATCTACATAAAAGCTCCTAGAAGTAAGTTTAGCAAGCTTATAGGAAATAAGATTAATACACGAAAATCAATTTTCCATATTCTAGTAATGAAGAATTAGAATTGAAATAATCAACATAAAAATATCAAATGCTTAAGGACAAATCTGACAAAAGATGTTAAACACATGTACATTGAAAACTACAAATTTCCGACAAGTTAATGACATAAAAATTGATGGAACAGACTAGATTCACTGTCTCAGTTATGTCTACTGGCTGACATGTTAAGATGTCAGTTTTCTCCACATTAATCTAAAAAGATACAACATAATCCCATCAAAAGCTCACCAGTCTTTTTTGTTGACACAAGTTTTTCCAAATGTTACATATCTGTGATCTACTGAACGATATTAATCTCTGAATTAACAGAATAAACCTAAAGAGGAAAACATGGAACTAAGTTAATAAGGATTCTGAGCCTAGAGATCAGTTCCCAAAGTGAAGTGAAGGACAGTAGCTGAACAGCACTAGAGGGTACTCTGTGGGAACAGAACAGATTATCTACTGGTGGTGTGTATACGTGTCTGTGGTAGAGGAGGATGTAAGAGTGCCATCTCATTTTCTTTCCTTTCTTTTTGTTTTTGAGATGGAGTTTCGCTCGTCATCCAGGCTAGAGTGCAATGGCCCAATCTCAGCTCACTGCAACCTCCGCCTCCCGGGTTCAAGAGATTCTCCTGCCTCAGCCTCCTGAGTAGCTGGGATTACAGGCATGTGCCACTATGTGTGGTTTTTTTTTTTCAGACGGAGTCTCACTCTGTTGCCCAGGCTGGAGTGCAGTGGCGCGATCTCGGCTTACTGCAAACTCCACCTCCCGGGTTCACGCCATTCTCCTGCCTCAGCCTCCCAAGTAGCTGGGACTACAGGTGCCCAACACCACACCCGACTAATTTTTGTTGTATTTTTAGTAGAGACAGGGTTTCACTGTTAGCCAGGATGGTCTTGATCTCCTGACCTCATGATCCGCCTGCCTCGGCCTCTCAACAATTTTTTCGTATTTTTAGTAGAGACAGGTTTCACCATTTTGGCCAGTCTGGTCTCGAACTCCTGACCTCAGGTTATCTGCCCACCTCGGCCTCCCAAAGTGCTAGGATTACAGGCGTGAACCAACGCACCCAACCGACATCTCATTTTCTATAGGACTAAGGCAGTACTGACAAAGATGCACAGAATAAAAAATAAAGTTACTTAGGAATACTGAGGTAAACAGATGAAAGGGAAAAGTGGCACTGGGCATGGTGGTTAATGCCTGTAATCCCAGTGCTTTGGGAGGCTGAAGCAGGAGAACTGCTGGAGGCCACAAGTTCAAGACCAGCCTGGGCAAAACAGAAAAAAAAAAATTGATAGTGGCTATCTTTACCTACCAGGTAGTCCAAGAGTAATGATGAATGCCTTTAATAAAGACTTAATCTTGGCCGAGTGCAGTGGCTCACGCCTGTAATCCCAGCACTTTGGGAGGCCAAGGCAGGCGGATCACCTGAGGTTGGGAGTTCGAGACCAGCCTGACCAACATGGAGAAACCACGTCTCTACTAAAAATACAAAATTAGTCAGGCATGGTGGTGCATGCCTATAATCCCAGCTACTCGGGAGGCTGAGGCAGGAGAATCACTTGAACCCAAGGGGCAGAGGTTCTATTGAGCTGAGATTGCACCACTGCACTCCAGCTGGGTGACAGAGCGAGACTCCATCTTAAAAAAAAGACTTAATCTTTCTTAAAGGAAAAATATATAGGCAACACAGAAAAAACATTATTGGGCTTCTATTGGCAATTACAGGAGTAATACACTTTTCTTACATAATACATTCCTTCAGTAATGTATTTTTCAGGTATTTTGTCTTAGAATTTCTAAGGTAGTTTGTCATTGACCCCATAATTTTTTTTTTTTTTTTCTTGAAAGGGAGTTTCACTCTTGTTGCCCAGGCTGCAGGCTGGAGTGCAATGGCGCAGTCTTGGTTCACTGCAACCTCTGTCTCCCAGGTTCAAGTGATTCTCCTGCCTCAGTCTCCCAAGTAGCTGGCATTACAGGTATGCACCACCACGACTGGCCAATTTAGTATTTTTAGTAGAGGCGGGTTTTTTCCATATTGATCAGGCTGGTCTCGAACTCCCAACCTCAGGTGATCCACCCGCCTCGGCCTCCCAAAGTGCTGGGATTACAGGCGTGAACCACCATGCCTGGCTGACCCCATAATTTATTATAAAGTAGGTCCTATAATCACATTTTTTAGAAGTTGCTGAAACTGAGATATAAACTATTCTTTTTTTTTGTGGGGAAAACTAGACAAATTACAGAATTATCAAAACTATATTCACTGGCTCAGTTATGTCTAATAGTTGAAAGAAAATGACAGTTTTTTAACAGTTCTTCATTCAGAATCTGTTACTGTAGAAATTTTAAGAGGTTTTGAGTCAGTTCCAGTATAAAAATAAGGCCAAAGTGCTCCTGTAAAGTTATCATTAAAAGTATAGAGAAGAGATCTATCATTCAAATTATAAAAGGAAACTTCATTCATTTCATAGTCTAAAAAAATGCCAATCTTACTAGGAATTACTTGTGGCAGCAGAATAATTTCCTTGTGGCCCAATACAATATAATTATTCTGACTAGATCTCCAAATTCCCCATAATCCATCCTGTACTAATATTGGTTGACTCTTCCTCCTTCTGGGAAGACAGTCATTACAGACACCAAGAATCCATTCAGGCTTGTCTTTCACTTCTACTTCCCAGTACTGCCTGCCACAACTATATCCCTTAGAATCCAGAACAGCTGGGAAGAGATAAAATCTTCTTGGGTTATGAGGTACATTTTGTGTTGTATTTTCATATTGCACAGTTTTTCTATCTTCTGAGACTATAAGTTCAGGATGTGCTGTTTCAGGATCTAGTATTACATCTATACTTGAAATTGCTTGATAATTTTGTCTAGGCCAGAATATTGTGGAGGCAGATGGTAACCATATTCTTTTAATTTGAATGAAAAAGGTTCAGGGAATTTTAAATTTTTATATCTGTGACAGATATCCTTAACATTTGCCAGTGATTCCAGTTCTGACTTTACATACATGCTCTCTACCTCCTTTAGTAGATATTTTAATGAGGAGGTATAATCTGAAAATTTTGTTAGGCTTTCATTTAGTTGTGCTAAAATATCCATCTCTTCATCTTGTAATTACCTAAGAACAGTCTCTTGCTCATTTTGGAGAAATAACCTAAGTTGCTCAAATTCAGACTTGACTTCTTCTGCCCTATGTTTTACCTTTTTCTTCAGTTCCAGTGATTTCCTGGTTTGCATAGTTATGACTTTTTCAATTAGTTCCACTCTCTCCTTCCACGGTGCATTGTATTCCTCCAGTTTTTTCCTATGATAGGAGGCAGCCTTCTTTATGGGCCAAACACAGTGATGCTGGTGATCAGTGGACAAACTGCACCTTGGACATAAAAGCTCTAGGTCTTTCTGACAGAAGAAAGTCAAAACCTGATTATGCTTCTTACACACATGCTTCTCTTCCTGCCTCTTCCTCTTCTTGCTTCTTATCTGGAGTTGCTTAGCAATTTCAGTCAAACTACCCAGCTGGGGATTGCTTATAAATTTCCTTTCTGGACAGCAAAAGTGGCAAAAAGGGCAGGGGAAACTATCATGTAGATCCTTCCAGGACATAATGATGCAGGAGAGACAGAAGTTATGCCCACAGCTGATGGTCACTGGGTCTTTCAAGTAGTCCAGACAGATGGGACAGCTAGCCTCTGCTCGGAGGTCAGCCAGGGCCGTAACAAATTCCACTGAGACTTGAACAAAGATGGTAGGTAAGGTAATTCTTTTATTTTAGCAAGGCCTAGCTCTCTAGAGCTCAAGACCCAGTACACAGTGGATATACTCCCCAGACCTTGAAATCTGATCAACTATCAGTTTTACTGACTTGGCATGTTGATGGCAGCTTCTAGAAACTTGTTAAGCCCTCAGCTCCTTAGCTTCAGAGTCTACTGCCACGAACACTTCACAGCCTGCAGCCTATTGCATATTAGAACTTAATAGCTGGGCTGCTGCTCTTCCCACTAAATGAAATAAAGTCAAGTTTTCTTCAAGAAAGCAGCCTCAGGTCCAAGATAGGGAATCCTTCCTATGAGTAAGAAAAGACACCACGTTAAAATTCCATAATCACAAATGTATTAAACGTTCACACAAGAATCATCAATGAATGCTAAAATCACGGGGTGGAAGTTCTTGGAAAAACAAGATATTCATATTGCAGCGATTCACCCCATACATTACTTATTTAAAAAAAAAAAACTAAAAAATATGGGACAAACTTATGTGCTTCCTGATAGGATGCTATGGCAAGTATACAACATTGCCTATATAATATTCTTTCCAAAAATATTGCCATTCAAGCTAACCATTAGAGAAAATTACTCTAATTCAGATTGTGGAGCATTCTTACAAGACAACTGGTATGCATTCTTCAAAAATGTCAATGTCAGGAAAAACAAGCATAAAAAAAAGGTTTTGATTTAAGGAGAGGAAAGAAACATGATAAATACAATGTGTGATCCCTGATTGAATCTGAGATCTTGAAATTAAAAAACAAAGAAACAAAAAAACTAAAAAATGCTGGGAACAGGCTAGGTGTGGTGGCTCACACCTGTAATCCTAGCACTTTGCGGGGCCAAGGCATGTGGCTCCCTTGAGTCCAGGAGTTCGAGACCAGCCTAGCCAACGTGGCAAAACCCCATCTCTACTAAAAACATAAAAAATTATCTGGGCATGGTGGCATGCGCCTGTAATCCCAGCTGCTTGGGAAGCTGAGGCAGGAGAATCGCTGGAACCCGGGTGGGGGAGGTTGCAGTGAGCCAAGATTGTTCGACAGAGCAAAACTCCGTCTTAAAAAAAAACAAAAACAAACAAACAAAAAAACACGTTGGCAACAAATAAATGTGAGAATCTTAGTATGGACTGTATATCACATACTGTTGTACCAATGTTAAATTGGGCACAATAAAATTATCATAGTAAGTAAAATGTGCTTGTTCTTAGGAGATATATATTGATGCACGGGGGAAGCCATTTGGAAGCCTGAAGCTTTCAGAAGGTTCAACAATTTAAAAAAATGTAAACAGAGAAAATGTGAACGTAGCAGAAAGGTAACAACTGGAGTGAGTCCAGAGAAAAGGTATAATCATGCATACCCTTTCAGTCTTTTTTTTTAAGTTTGACACTTTCAAAACAAAAGTGAGGCAGAAAAACTTCCTGGCTTGCTTTCAAGACACCCACAGGTACCTGATTTTAAGCAAGTCAAATTCCTCCATCAAAGCTTGCAAGCCACCTAACCATCAATATAGTATTTTTTCCCCTTCGCCTTCTTTCCCTAGACACTTTCTCAACTCTTCTTCTTCCTCTCGCTTTCCTCATAACCCAACAACAGTGAGAGTAATACTATGCGCATGGCTTTGATATGTGAAATTGGCTCTGTCTTGGTGACCTAGCAAGTTCTTTTACTATACAGAAATTCTCTTTAGACTAGCAGAATAGGAAAATATGCAGTAGCCCTAGAAAGTCACCATTTATCCATTGTTCCCAAACTTAAAGTTTTAACTCAGTGTCCTAGGACTGCACAAGCAAAAGCTATCACAGCAACATGCTACAGGAGGCAGTATTTCACAATGTAAGCACTAACATTACTGAGAGGACACCAGGTTTGAATCCTGGCTCAGCTATGTGCTGTGTATCTTTAGAAAACTGATGTGTTTTGAGGCACGCAGTCATTACTACTGCCATATTATGGCTGTCTTTTATTATTATTATTATTATTATTATTATTATACTTTAAGTTCTAGGGTACGTGTGCACAACATGCAGGTTTGTTACATATGTATACATGTGCCATGTACCATGTTGGTGGCTGCATCCATTAACTAGTCATTTAGCATTAGGTATATCTCCTAATGCTATCCCTCCCCCTCCCCCACCCCACAACAGGCCCCGGTGTGTGATGTTCCCCTTCCTGTGTCCAAGTGTTCTCATTGTTCAATTCCCACCTATGGGTGAGAACATGCGGTGTTTGGTTTTTTGCGCCTCATAGCCTGCTATGAATTAAAAAAAAAAAAGAAGGAAACTATATACTCAGACCTATGAACATGATTTTTCTATTTTACCTCTAAATGAATCATTTCAAGTTGAGGAATAGGAGGTAGGAAAAGTGATAAGGGCGTAGAAGAGTCTAAGCTTTTTACAAAGCATTTGGGCAATACATTTTATAAAGCATTTATAGTACTTTTTGTAAAGCATTTAGGAAAGCAATTCTTCTTATCCTTCAGGTCTTATTTGAAATGTCATCTTCTGAGGAAGTATTCCCTGATCATTTAAACCAAGTAACTCACCTGTCAGTCATACTCACTGTAAACTTCACTTTTATGTGTTTTATTACAATTGTAATAAAATTACTTTGTGAAAAAAAATTGATGTGTTTTTTTTTAAATCTCATTTCTTTGACCTGTAAAATGGGAAGTATAACAACCTCTTTTTATTATAAGAATATCATGTAAATGGTAGCTAATATGTGCCCATTCTTCTTCGCCAAAGGAGCTTTCTGTTAGATGTATTGGAATCTGGATCCAAACGAGAGCCACGTATTGGCATTTGCTTATTAGTTCTTTTAAATTTTTTTCAATCTAGAATAATGTTCCCTGCTTCCACTTTTGTCCATGTTGAACAGGCTGGACTTGAACTCCTGACCTCAGGTGATCTGCCCACCTTGGCTTCCCAAAGTGCTGGGGTTACAGGCGTGAGACTTCATGCCAGGCATGCTTATTGCTTCTTAATATCGTTTAACTTGTCCTTCAGGCCTTCACTTTTTTAACGAATTAAATATTTCCCCTCATTACAATCTGTTTATAACTCTGCATAAGTCAGGACAACATTTTTCACCCTTAGCTCACCCTTCAGAGCCCTTCATATTTCATTTTCTTCATCTGGCTACAGTCCCCTTAAAGTACTTGGCCAAAACAAACAAATCAACCAACCAACGTAGGTGCCATGCTTTCCCTCTTCACAAACCACTTGCTGCATAGATTACCCTGCCCTTACTTCTTTCCTAGGAATAAGTTTTGGTCCTTCTAGAGACTCAGCCCAAGAGAAATGTTCTCTAAGGTAATTTATTATATATCAGGCACTATGCTAAGGCTCTTCCACATAGTCACAGGTTCAACTAAACCATCAGAACAACTCCATAAGTTAGGAGCTATTATCCTCAATTAGAGCTATAAAAGCCTAGAGCTGTAAAAGCAGAGTCTACAAGAACCTGAACATACTTATCCAACGTTATGCTAATTGGCATAACTACTGGCATGATACTCAATTACTAAGTTGTACTGCTCCTTCTTTATACTCCCACATCATCCTGTGCATCCCTCTATATATCAAATCACCTTACATTTTTCATATTTGATATGTTCAGTTGTTCATATTTAATAACTTATCCCAATTTTTTTTCTGAGCTGGAGTTTCGCTCTTGTCACCCAGGCTGGAGTGCAATGGCTCAATCTTGGCAGAGTGTAGCCTCCGCCTCCGAGGTACAAACAATTCTCCTGCCTCAGCCTCCCAAGTAGCTGGGATTACAGGCATGCACCACCGTGCTTGGCTAATTTTTTCTATTTAGTAGAGATGGGGTTTCACCATGTTGGTCAGGCTGGTCTCAAACTCCTGATCTCAGGTGATCCACCCACCTTGGCCTCCCAAAGTGCTGGGATTACAGGCATGAGCCACCGCACCTGGCCAACATATCCCAAATATTTTAACAGGTTAAAATGGGCTTATTGATCCAACACTACAAAGGTGAAAAAAGAAAAAATACAAATTGAGAGATAGCAATACCTAACAGAATTGGGTATTCATCCAATGCTAACACTTAACTAGTTACATGCACTTAGTCAAGTTAATTTTGCTGAGTTTCACTTCTCAGAAAGTAGGAAAAAATACTGTTTTATGTTTTAAGCATAAATGAATAAATTAAGACACCTGCCACAGTCCTTGGCATTTAATACATATACAGTAAAAAGTATTATAGGCTGGGCACGGTGGCTCACACCTGTAATCCCAGCACTTTGGGAGGCCCAGGCAGGTGGATCACCTGAGGTCAATAGTTTGAGACCAGCCTGGCCAACATACTGAAACCCCGACTCTACTAAAAATACAAAAATTAGCTGAGCATGGTGGCAGGTGCCTGTAATCCCAGCTACTGAGGAGGCTGAGGCAGGAGAATCACTTCAACCTGGGAGGCGGAGGTTGCAGTGAGCTGAGATCATGCCATTGCACTCCAGCCTGGGTGACAAGAGCAAAACTGTCTCAAAAATAAAAATAAATAAAAAGTATTATAAGACTATCTCAGAAAATCTCAAGAGCTCATACAAATTTAGCTGAATCCATATACTTCTATTATCCCATGTTTTATTTTATTAAATGCAATATATACATATATCGAGATATGTATATTTACTTGCATATAAAGCACATTTGGCCAGGCGTGTGGTGCACACCTGTAATCCCAGCACTTTTGGAGGCCAAGGTAGCGGATCACTTGAGGTCAGGAGTTTGAGACCAGCCTGGCCTCATGGTAAAACCCTGTCTCTACTGAAAATACAAAAATTAGCTGGGTGTGGTGGCATACACCTATAATCCCAACTACTTGGAAGTCTGAGACAGGAGAATCACTTGAACCTGGGAGTTGGAGGTTGCAGTGAGCCGAGATTGTGTCACTGCACTCCAACCTGGGCAACAGAGCGAGACTCTGTTTCAAAAAAAAAAAAAAAAAAAAAAACCAGGCCAGGCACAGTGGCTCACGCCTGTAATCCCAGCACTTTGGGAGGCCAAGGCGGGTGGATCACGAGGTCAGGAGATCGAGACCATCCTGGCTAACACAGTGAAACCCTATCTCTACTAAAAATACAAAAACAAAATTAGCTGGGCGTGGTGGCGGGTGCCTGTAGTCCCAGCTACTAGGGAGGCTGAGGCGGGAGAATGGCGTGAACCTGGGAGGTGGAGCTTGCAGTGAGCCGAGATCGCGCCACTGCACTCCAGCCTGGGCAACAGAGCAAGACTCTGTCTCAAAAAAAAAAAAAAAAAAAAGATACATGCTCACGTATGTTTATTGCAGTATTGCAGCACTATTTACAATAGCAAAGACTTAGAACCAACCCAAATGCCAATCAATGATAGACTAGATAAAGAAAATCTGGCACATATACACCATGGAATACTATGCAGCCATAAAAAAGAATGAGATCATGTCCTTTGCAGGGACATGGATGAAGCTGGAAGCCATCATTCTCAGCAAACTAACACAGGAACAGAAAACCAAACGCTGTGTGTGTTCTCACTCATAAGTGGGAGTTGAACAGTGAGAACACATAGACACAGGGAGGGAAACAACATATACCAGGGCCTGTTGGGGGGCAGGGGGTGATGGGAGGGATAGTATTAGGTCAAATACCTAATGCATGCCTGTCTTAAAACCTAGATGACAGGTTGATAGGTGCAGCAAACCGCCATGGCACATGCATACCTATGTAACAAACCTGTACATTCTGCTCATGTATCCTGGAACATAAAGTAAAACTAAAAAAAAAACAAACAAAAACATCACTCAACAGGCCAGGCATGGTGGCTCACGCCTGTAATCCCAGCACTTTGGGAGGGCAAATCACTTGAGGTCAGAAGTTCCAGACCAGCCTGGCCAACATGGTGAAACCCTGTCTCTACTAAAAATACAAAAATTAGCCAGGCCTGGTGGTCGGTGCCTGTAATCCCAGCTACTCAGGAGGCTGAAGCAAGAGAATCACTTGAACCCAGGAGACAGAGGTTGCAGTGAGCTGCTATGGCGCCACTGCACTCCAGCCTGGGTGACAGAGAGACACTGTCTCAAAAAAAAAAAATATATATATACTTAAGATAGAAACCCTATCAGCCAGGCGTGGTGACTCATGCCTGTAACCCTGGCACTTGGGAGGCCGAGGCAGGCAGATCACCTGAGGTCAGGAGTTCGAGACCAGCCTGGCCGACATGATGAAACCCCGTTTCTACTAAAAATACAAAAATTAGCCGAGCGTGGTGGTGGGCGCCTGTACTCCCAGCTACTGGGGAGCCTGAGGCAGGAGAATCGCCTGAATCCGGGAGGCGGAGGTTGCAGTGAGCCTAGATGGCACCACTGCTTTTGTTTTTTTTGTTGTTGTTGTTTTTGTTTTGTTTTGGTTTTTTTTTTGAGACGGAGTCTTGCCCTGTTGCCCAGGCTGGAGTGCAATGGCACAATCTCGGCTCACTGCAACCTCTGCCTCCTGGGTTCAAACGATTCTCCTGCCTCAGCCTCGTGAGTAGCTGGGATTACAGGCACACGCTACCATGCCCAGTTTGCTTTTTTTATTTTATTTTTAGTAGAGACGGGGTTTTACCATGTTGGCCAGGCTGGTCTCGAACTCCTGACCTCGTGATCCACCCTCCTCGGACTCCCAAAGTGCTGGGATTACAGGCGTGAGCCACCGCACCCGGCCAAGATGGCGCCATTGCACTCCAGCCTGGGCGACAGAGCGAGACTTCGTCTCAAAAAAAAAAAAAAAAGATGAGAACCCCATCAATAGGAGTTCAACATACGCCAGGGCCTGTTGGCCTGTCGCCCAGAGCAAGACCTAATGCTATCCCTCCCATCACCCCCTGCCCCCCAACAGGCCCTGGTGTATGTCAGGAGGCACTGAATCCTCCTGCAAGGCTGAGCATACCTCATAGGGTACAGTGTAATTTAACAGGATGGAGCCCACCTGCTAGATGCTAATTAAATACCTGAAGCAATGTGATTCATTTAATTATTCTTCTGTACCAGTTGCTCTTAAGAATTATGTTCTTCCCTACAAAAAGAGGTCAGAAGCAATCTGGCTTTCTTTCTTTTTTTTTTTTTTTTTGAGACGGAGTCTCGCTCTGTCGCCCAGGCTGGAGTGCAGTGGTGCGATCTTGGCTCACTGCAAGCTCCACCTCCCAGGTTCACGCCATTCTCTTGCCTCAGCCTCTCGAGTAGCTGGGACTACAGGCACCCGCCACCACGCCTGGCTAATTTTTTTGTATTTTTAGTAGAGACGAGGTTTCACCGTGTTAGCCAGGATGGTCTCGATCTCCTGACCTCGTGATCCGCCCGCCTCAGCCTCCCAAAGTGCTGGGATTACAGGCGTGAGCCACCGCGCCCGGCCTGCAATTTGGCTTTCACCCTTACTCCTCCGCTGAGACTGTTCCAAGTTTATCAATGATCTAGTTTTTCAGCCAAGGAATATTTTTCATGCCTGTTAACATTCTAAGATGCTTTGTAGCCTTGCTCTGTGTCTGTTCAATCTGGATTTAGCAGATTACTCTCCCTCTTCTTGTCCATATGTATATGTAAAGGTCTGCAGGGACACATGACAGACTTTTTACAGGTAGTCTGAAATATATATGTATGTGTATATTAGTGTGCATACACATATGTGTGTCTGTACTTCTGCATGTTAGAGGAAGAAAATAGAGGTGGTGAAGGCTGAACTTTAAACGAGGCTTCTAGGAGTTCAAATCCATGCTCTGTCCTCTTCTACCTTGTGTGACCTTAGCAGGTTATCTTTTTCTGCCTTTCTCATCTAGTTAAAAAAAAAGAAGGGATGGGGCAAAAATAGTTCAACTTACTTCTTAGATTTGTTGAGTACTAAATGAGTTTTCATGAGTTAAAGCATTTTGAACAGTGACTGGCGTGGTAAATGTAGTGTAAAATATTCATAAAACATATTTTGTTAACATGAATACATACCAATTATCTATAAATTCTAAAGATTTTTTTTTCTGTTTCTGTCTGAGGGCAGAAGAAAGATTATAGAGGGAGGATGTTTGTGTACCATTTTGCTCTGTATCATTTTGAAGATTTTTTAAAGTATCAAAATGTGTGTATTTTCGTTTCTATTTGAAAATAATTTTTGAAAAAAAGTCAAGCTTTTTTGATGCAATTATTTCTAGAATAGATTGAAATATTCTGCTTAAATATGGTGCTAAACAAAAGGAAAAGGAAGAGCTGTGTCTGTGTGTGTGTGTGTGTGTATGTGTGTGTGTGTGTGTTTAATTGAGATGGAGTCTCACCCTGTCGCCCAGGCTGGAGTGCAACGGTGTGATCTCGGCTCACTACAACCTCCGCCTCCCGGGTTCAGGCGATTCTCCTGCCTCAGCCTCCTGAGTAGCTGGGATTACAGATGCGTGCCACCAAGCCCGGCTAATTTTTTGTATCTTTAGTAGAGATGAGGTTTTACCATGTTGGCCAGGCTGGTCTTGAACTCCTGACCTTGTGATCCACCCGCCTTGGCTCCCAAAGTGCTGGGATTACAGGTGTGAGCCACCAGTCCTGGCCAGAAGAGCTGTTTTTAGCAGATACTTCTTCTTTTTAAAAAGCAGTCAAAGCTACTAGGTGAGATGGCTCATGCCTGTAATCCCACATTTTGGGAGGCCAAAGCGGGAGGATTGCTTGAGCTCAGGGTTTTGAGATCAGCCTGGGCAACATCTCGAAACCTCATTTTGTATATATATATATATATATATATATATATATATATATATATATATAATATATATTTAAATAAACAAAAAATTTTTAAAAAAGAAAAAAATTGTTAAAACAAACAATAATGTTTACGTTTCCTTAAAAGGGAGAGAAGGAAAGTTGAAAGGGATTGAATCCAAACTTTGTTGAATTAAGTGTGAGTCATAGACAGAGAGATACACAGGTATCTGGCTAAACTATAGTGATCACTACACTGATGTGCCTCGTAGAGAAGTTATAAGTCTGTGTCCCAGAAAATAGCCTCCATTTTTTTAGTTGTGCGGGGAAAAGCAAGAGAGATCAGATTGTTACTGTGTCTGTGTAGAAAGAAGTAGACATAGGAGACTCCATTTTGTTCTGTATTAAGACAAATTCTTCTGCCTTGAGATTCTGTTAATCTATGACCTTACCCCCAACCCTGTGCTCTCTGAAACATGTGCTGTGTCAAACTCAGGGTTAAATGGATTAAGGGTTGTGCAAGATGTGCTTTGTTAAACAGATGCTTGAAGGCAGCATGCTCCTTAAGAGTCATCACCACTCCCTAATCTCAAGTACCCAGGGACACAAAACACTGCGGAAGGCCGCAGGGACCTCTGCCTAGGAAAGCCAGGTGTTGTCCAAGGTTTCTCCCCATGTGATAGTCTGAAATATGGCCTCGTGGGAAGGGAAAGACCTGACCGTCCCCCAGCCCGACACCCGTAAAGGGTCTGTGCTGAGGAGGATTAGTAAAAGAGGAAGGAATGCCTCTTTGCAGTTGAGACAAGGGAAGGCATCTGTCTCCTGCCCATCCCTGGGCAATGGAATGTCTCGGTATAAAACCCGATTGTACGTTCCATCTACTGAGATAGGGAAAAACCACCTTAGGGCTGGAGGTGGGACATGCGGGCAGCAATACTGCTTTGTAAAGCATTGAGATGTTTATGTGTATGCATATCTAAAAGCACAGCACTTCATTCTTTACCTTGTCTATGATGCAAAGACCTTTGTTCACGTGTTTGTCTGCTGACCCTCTCCCTACTATTGTCTTGTGACCCTGACACATCCCCCTCTCAGAGAAACACCCACGAATGATCAGTAAATACTAAGGGAACTCAGAGGCTGGCGGGATCCTCCACATGCTGAACGCTGGTTCCCCGGGTCCCCTTATTTCTTTCTCTATACTTTGTCTCTGTGTCCTTTTCTTTTCCAAGTCTCTCGTTCCACCTTACGAGAAACACCCACAGGTGTGGAGGGGCAACCCACCCCTTCAAGTTGCAGGTCACAAGACTATTTTTGTTTCATTACAAAATATGTGGCTTTAATAAATAATTTAAAACTCCCTCTTATATCTTAGAGCTTAAGCCCACAACCTGGCAGCCACTTGGGTTAGTATTCCAATTCTACCAGTATACTAACGTGTGATTTTAGGTTACCTCTTTTTTTTTTTTAAATTTCACTTATTTATTTATGTATTTATTTATTTTTTAAGAGACAGGGTCTCATTCTCATGTCTAGGCTGGAGTGCAGTTGCACAATCATAGCTCACTGCAGCCTGAATAACTACGTTCAGACCATCCTCCTTCCTTAACCTCCTGGACAGCTAGGACTGTAGGCACAGGCCAGCATGCCTGGCTAATTTTTTTTCCTTTTGTAGAGATAGGGGGCATCTCGCTATGTTGCCTAGACTGGTTTTGAACTCCTGGCCTTGAGCAATCCTCTCACCTTGGCCTCCTAAATTTCTGGGAATACAAGCATAAGCCACTGTGCCTGGCCACTTTTGTTTTCTAAGTTTCTATTTCTTCATCTAAAATGAGCAAAATAAGTCTTAATCTCACAGTTATTGCAAAACAGCTTTGCAGAGACTGAAGCCCTTCCTTCCTCCTTCCGTCTTTTTTTTCCTTCCTAACAAGTGCAATGACTTTTTTAATTAAACAAAATATCTTAAAATTTTTCCTAAAGGGCATAGACACTCTAAGAACCTAACTCCAAAAATTCTAATATGGAGAACAAAAACTATCTTCTACAATCCCATCATCTGGAAGAGCTTCTTAACAGAAAACATCATTTTTACTTTTTCCTTTTTCTTTGGGAGAGAGAGAGTCTCACTCTGTCGCCCAGCCTTCAGTGTAGTGGTGTGATCTTAGCACACTATAGCTTCGACCTCCCAGGCTCAAGTGATTCTCCCACCTCTGCCTCCCAAGTAGCAGGGACCACAGGAATGTGCCACCATGTCTGGCAATTTTTCTTTCTTTTTTTTTTGTAGAGACAGGCTTTTGCCATGTTGCCCAGGCTGGTCTCGAACTCCTGTGTTCAAGTGATCCACCCGCCTTGGCCTCCCACAGTGCTGGAATTACAGGCATGCACCACGGTGCCCAGCCTTAACACAAAACATCCTGATTTTCTGTGAAATTGCAAGTTAATCTTCAGAGGTAGCTACAGTAGGGAAAATAAAAAAGAAAAAAGTTTTTGTCTGGGCACGGTGGCTCATGCCTGTAATCTCAGCACTTTGGGAGGCCGAGTCAGGTGGATCACCTGAGGTCAGGAGTTTGAGATCAGCCTGGCCAGTGAAACCTTGTTTATACTGAAAATACAAAACTTAGCTTGGCCTGGTGGTGCGTGCCTGTAGTCCCAGCTACTCGGGAGGCTGAGGCAGGAGAATGGCTCAAACCCGGGGGCAGAGGTTGCAGTATGCCACTGCACTCCAGCCTGGATGACAGAGACTCCATCCCAAGAAAAGAAAAAAAGTTTTATTAAAGTTTTAAAAAGTTACAAGTTTAGAACTTTTTTCATTTTTCAAAGCTAATATTGTTAAAAGATTTTACCAAATGCTAAATAATTAGAAATATTTTTGCTTTTGATTTACTTGTAGTATTTGAACTCTTCATAACATTTATTATTCAGTTTATACAAGTCATATTTATGTATGCATAACTATTTGAGTTATGAAACACAAATGTTTTAGCCACCAAGTGGTATGTCAGTAAATTAAAAAAACAAAAAACAAACAATACAAACTCTTTGTTTACATCACATTGTAAGAGAAGAGAATAGTGCCGAAATAGACATAGTAACATAGCCTCCCAGGAAATGTTACATTAAAAATAGGAAAACTGAGAAATGGAGCTGGATTTGAACCTGGGCAATGGACTCAAATCCCATACTTCTAACACCAAGTTATGTCACTTCCCTTCTGGACATGAAAATAGTTGTGAACCACTCTACAAATAAGAAACACATTGGCCGGGCATGGTGGCTCACACCTGTAATCCTAGCACTTTCGGAGGCCGAGGCGGACGGATCACCTGAGGTCAGGAGTTCGAGACCAGCCTGGCTAACATGGTGAAACCCCATTTCTACAAAACATTAGCCAGGCATGGTGGCGCGCACCTGTAGTCCCAGCTACTTGGGAGGCTGAGGCAGGAGAATTGCTTGAACCCGGGAGGTGGAGGTTGCAGTGAGCCGAGATTGCATCATTGCACTCCAGCTAGGGCAAGAAGAATGAAACTCTAAAAAAAGAAAAAAAGAAAGAAACACAACAATTAGCAGTCATTGATAAGTACTATTTATTAATCAATAGTAAGACAAAAAAGTAGCAGGCAGAGTCCCTAACCCCACTCAGTGAGGCTGGGAAAGGTCCCTGTGGTGAATTTGGGAGGAGGAGGCAAGTGGGTGGAAAGGACATAGGAAGAGGTCTGTCTGGGGCAGAGAAGCAGGGGCAGCTGGCCAGTTCACTCCCCCACCACTTGACATTCCCATTTCTTGTCATGGCCCTTAAGAGGGGGAGCACCTGGACCCCACGAGACCACAGTTCCAGGGCAGGTGGGTACCTCGGGCTAGGCCAGTGAGTGGCCCTGCTCCCCAAAAATCCCTCCTGACCCTGTTCCCACTGCAGGAGGTATCATTGCACTAAATAACACCATGCCCTGCTGTCACCTCCTGCAGACAACCGATCAAGAGGATAGCACTGTAGGGTGTGCAGAGACCCCCTCTGGGGGGAAGGACTTACACTGGGTTCAGGTGATCTCCGACAGCAGAGAGAGACACCATCCATTGCTGAGCCAAGGCAGTGTGTGAGCAGTCTTCACGCATCAGCTCATTAATGCTCCCTAATGTCCCATGGGTTCCATGCTGTCTGACCCTGTTCATGGATGGGAACACTGAAATGGAGGCTCTGTGCCTTGCCTAAGATTTGAGCTGAGGTTTGAACCCGGGTGGACATCCTGAGCTGGGGCATCAGCTGTGGCATCCCTAACAAGCCAGGTCATCCACTTGCCGGTCTCTGCCGATGAAGCCCGGATTCAGGACGATGCACAGAGGACATCACCATTTGGACGAGGACCCCCTCCTGTTCCCAAATCTCTCCACTCCATCTTCACCTGCCTCATCTGAGGGATGAGGGGCACCTGCTGAGCTGCCTCTAGGAACTTCTTGGTCCTCACTATCCACACCCTCCCCTTGTTCCCTTCCTTAGAAGCACAGAATCTAAAGCTGCCACCTCTGTACCTAAAGACACTGAGATTAAGAAGGAAACAGCCTGGCCAAGACATCTTCCCACCAGTTACCTGTCCACTGCCTCAAGACTCCAGGCATGGAGCGGCGAGAGAGGCTCAGCAGGGGCTGGGATTGTTCATGGCCCTGGGAGCCAGGAGGGAGCAAGGGCTGCCCTGGGGTCAGGGGTAGGGGCTGCACTGAGGCACAGTGAGAGAAGTCACATGAGGGGCAGGGACTTTAGAAGACTCCTGAGGAGCCAAAGCTACATGGCAGAAGTAATAATAACTATAGTTATACCTTAGAAAACACCTATTGGGTGCTAACACTTGGTGGGGCTCTACACACTTTTTTTTTTTTTTTTTTTTTGGAGATGGAATTTCACTCTTGTTGCCCAGACTGGAGTGCAATGGCGTTAGCTTGGCTCACTGCAACCTCTGCCTCCTGGGTTCAAGCGATTCTCCTGCCTCAGCCTCCCAAGTAGCTGGGATTACAGGCATGCGCAACCATGCCCAGCTAATTTTGTATTTTTTGTAGAGATGGGATTTCACTACATGTCGGCCAGGCTGGTCTCAAACTCCTGACCTCAGGTGATCCACCCACCTCGGCCTCCCAAAGTGCTGGGATTATAGGAGTGAGCCACCGCACCCGACCTCTACACACTTTACAAACTGTTCATATCCCAGTTTAAAGAGGAGAAAACTGGGCCTTGATGAGGTTAGCAGCCCAAAGCCACAGAGTCAGCAGCAGAGCCCAGAACTGCTCAGTTGGCCACCAGGGCCATGTAGAGCCCAGGCAACAGCAGTAGCGTCAGATTCTGCCCACTCTCAACAATCCTGAAAGAACAGCCCCAGGCCTGCAGAGCTGTTAGGTGACCAGAGCAACACACTGGCTTGTCTCTAAGTGTGCCTCCTCAGACACATGCCCTTCAACAACCAAGTGTAGGCTGTCTGGCCCTGCTTGGTGTGACTGTAATTTGAGGCGTCACCAAAATTACAATCTAACACCACCAAAGAAGGACAGTTTTGGTGGATGGAGCAGCCAACCAAGGAAATCAAGTCTACAGGCCCTTCCAGAGCAAGAATGCAGCTAGTCAGGAAGGCAGATGGGTACCCAAGGCTCCTGGGGCAAGGGGACTACCGCTTTTCTTTTCCTGGTGGATGCCATCCCCAGCCTCGACCAGGCCTCCTCTTTCATCCCAGGAAGTTCACTCACCCTAAGTTCCACTCCCTAAGCCCAACAGCAGCTTCTAGGACTCCTTACTGGCCATAAAGCCTCTCTGAACTGGATTCAACAAGGCTTATACCCACTCCTGAGGTGTGGAAAGAGGAACATTTTTCCAATAGAGTGGCCAGAGATCAAAATTTCCAATCTTCCCAAAACGTCTGCCAATATAGACCTGCCCCACAAGCCCCTTTACAACGCAGCCCAGGGCTTTCTGAGATGCCCCGTGGCCGAGACGCACATTATTCATTCACCCACCCCGGAATGTAGAGTCCTCTATTCTCGCTATGAGCCCCAAGATCCCCAAAAGAAAGCTGTGCTTGTGCCCAGGGCCCACTGGACTACATCAACATGGGGACCTCGCCTTTGCCACTCCCAAGATGGCACCACCACCTCTCATGTCCCCCTATGAGCTTAGTCACTCCCACATCAGCACGACCCACAATATTCTTTTACTCTCACCTATTGAAGACTTTTTGTTTGTTTGTTTGAGACAAGGTGTTGCTCTGTCTCTCAGGCTGGAGCGCAGTGGCACAATTATGGCTCACTGCAGCCTCGAACTCCAGTAGCTTGGGACCATGGGTGTGTGTCACCACACCTGGCTAATTTTTTCTATTTTTCTACAGAGATAAGGTATTGCTATGTTGCCCAGGCTGGTCTTGAACTCCTGGACTCAAGTGATCCTCCTGCATCAGCCTCTCAAAGTGCTGGATTACAGGCACGAGCCACTGTGCCCAGCCTGAAGACTAGTATAAAGTTACTTACATGGTAAGTGCCACAAAACCAAGCTGATATGAGGTATTAAGAGAACACTTACAAAAATAGGGAGTGTTGTAGTAATTCTAAAAGTGTTCAGAATCAGGAGATGGTGTGGATAGTCCTTGTGAATTCCTAGTGTACAATCAGATGGCCGACTTCCAGATGGGATTAATAATACTTTTCTGCAGAGCAGTTGACAGGGGCCAGAGCCTCAAATCATCAACCTCACTTGACCTGTCTTACTCCTTGGAATCCAATAATATGATTTATAGTGAAATGAGAGTTTAGATATAAAAGAAGCCAGGGCTAGAATCTGGTCTTCTTTCCATGAACACTTTGGCAAGTGGAAGCCAAGAGTGGAAAATCATTTACAGACATGGAGTTTGGGGAGTGAGGTCATTTTGGGAAGTGAGAATGAAGGGAGGAAACAGAGGGCTGAAACTCGGGCCCAATATGCCTAGACAAGGCTCTTGTTACTGATGGGATTCAAATTAGTGATTTTTCCTTTTGCCAAAGACTCTAACATGGTTTAACTATTTTTCTTTTCTTTCCCTCTTCCTTTCCTTCTTTTTCTTTCTTTCTTTCTTTCTCTTTCTTTCTTTCTTTTCTTTCTTTCTTTCTTTTTCTTTCTTTCTTTCTTTTCTCTCTCTCTCTCTCTCTCTCTCTCTCTCTCTCTCTCTCCCTCCCTCCCTCCCTCTCTCTTTCTTTCTTTCTTTCTCTTTCTTGACAGAGTCTTGCTTTGTTGCCCAGGCCAGAGTGCAGTAGTGCAATCTTGGCTCACTGCAACCTCATCCTCCTGGGTTCAAGAGATTCTCCTGCCTCAGCCTCCTGAGTAGCTGGGACTGCAGGCACGCACCATCACGCCTGGCTAATTTTTGTGTTTTCAGTAGAAACGGAGTTTCACCATGTTGGCCAGACTGGTCTCGAATGCCTGATCTCAAGTGATCTACCTGCCTCGGCCTCCCAAAGTGCTGGGATTACAGGTGTGAGCCACTGCACCTGGTCCTCTCTCTTCCTTTCAACAGGGTCTTCCTGTTGCCCAGGCTAGAATGCAGTGGTGATCATAACTGACTGTAGCCTTCAACTCCTAGGCTCAAGTGATTCTCCCACTTCAACCTCCCTGGTAGCTTAGACTACAGGCATGCGCCACCATGCCTGGCTAATTATTTTGTTTTAGAGACGAAGACTTGCTATGTTGCAGAGGCTGGTCTGTAACTCTTTGCTTCAAGCAATCCTCCTGTCTTAGATTCCCAAAGTGCTGGGATTACACTTTGGGTGAGTGAGCCACCACACTCACTCCTGATATCCTGTGTTTATCTAAAATTTTGATGTTTTATTCATCATGTATTTTTCGTGGGTGTTAGTTTTTATTTTTTTCAAAAATGGAGTTCAAATGTTATCTTGATTGCTGAGATTTTCGGCACACTCTTCAGTTTTGTGCTCACTCGTTCTAGACCTGTCCCTAAACAGAGGGTAAAAATGATTCAGGACGGGACCGAAGACTTCACTGACTTCACTAATTTCAGTTTTTCTTTTTTCTTCTGATCAAATGTACAGCAAACAATGATTTTCATTCCTCAAAGGAAGCTGTAAGAAGGGCAAAACATGAAAGAAGGGATCAGCCTTTACAATTTGCTTTGGTCCACCACCCTCCATCTGGTCTATTCACTGACTCAACCCTGGGATCCAAATTGGGGTGGCACCATTACTACTGATCCCCTTAACCATCTTGATCAAGCTCTGTAAAGTCTTTTCCTTTGTGTTCTGAAAATGTTAGAAATTACAAATAACCTTTTTTTTTTTTTTTTTTGAGGCAGAGTTTTGCTCTTGTTGCCCAGGCTGGAGTGCAATGGCGTGATCTTGACTCACTGCAACCTCTTCCTCCCAGGTTCAAGCAATTCTCCTGCCTCAGCCTCCCGAGTAGCTGGGATTACAGGCACCCGACACCACGCCCAGCTAATTTTTGTATTTTTAGTAGAGATGGGGTTTCTCCATGTTGGTCAGGCTGGTCTCGAACTCCTGACCTCAGGTGATCCACCATCCTCGGCCTCCCAAAGTGCTGGGATTACAGGTGTGAGCCACCACGCCCGGCCACAAAGAACTTTTAATACAAAAATAATTAGGCTGGGTGCAGTGGCTCACGCCTGTAATCCCAGCATTTTGGGAGGCCGAGGCTGGCAAATCACTTGAGGTCAGGAGTTCGGGACCGGCCTGGCCAACGTGGTGAACCCCCGTCTCTAATAAAAATACAAAAATTAGCTGGACATGGTGGTGGGTGCCTGTAATCCCAGCTGCTCGGGAGGCTGAAGCACCAGAATCGCTTGAACCTGGGAGATGGAGTTTGCAGTGAGCTGGAAGCACGCCACTGAGCTCCTGCCTGGGCAACAGAGTGAGACTCTATCTCCAAGAAAGATAATTAAAAGAATACCAACCCATAAAAATTGTTGAGTTTAAAGAACACAGATTTGGCACCCCTCTGGTCTCATTTACCTCCCGGTGAATAAAAGATAGCTGTATGTCAAGGACCTGTTCTGGTAGGTCAACAAGCATATGTGCCACTGGTTATTGTGTTTTGGTAGACTTTGAGAGAATCTTTGCCCTTGCTCTGATCATCATGAATTATGTAAAAGATCTGCAGTGGTAAGGGCTGTATCGAGGCTGTTCAGTCTTAAATGCCTCAATTAATAGGAACAAACACTGGAAACAGAGACGGGCATCAGGAACATTTCTACCATGCTATACTCAACACTGAACATTTCTTATACAAAGTAAGGACAGCCAGACATGCAAATCATTGAGTGTTTTATTGAACAATTAAGAAATGTATAACCATTTCATTACTTTACAATAGTAAAACTGATTTGTAACTTTTTCTGTGAATATGCGAATTTGTATTTGAAAGAGTTTAGACTTGTATTGAATGAGATGTATCTTGACTATAAAGTGTTTTCTTTTTCAGTACAAAATATACAAACCAGTACATGTTTTAAACATAAATATAACTGAGAATAGGTTATGCTTCTACTCAAATGCACTTGTGGAAAGTACCATTCATCCGCAAAGACACTTTTAATAAGCTTTGACAGGAAGACAAACTCGACAGTGTTGTCAGATTTTCTATTTAAAATTACATTTATATTAACCCCAACCTTTCATTTTAGCAAAATGGTTTATGGTTTCTTCTACTTTATAATATTTACAAAGTAAAACTTCTACTCCAGATATGAACTTGTGGCCCAGCATGGTGGCACATGCCTGTAATCCCAGTATTTTGGGAGGCCAAGGAGGCGGATCACTTGAGCTCACCAGCCTGAGTTTGAGACCAACCTGGGCAACATGGCGATACTCCATCTCTACAAAAAAATACAAAAATTAGTCAGGTGTGGCCGTGAGTGCCTGTAGTCCCAGGTACTTGGGAGGCTGAGGTGGAAGGATCGCTTGAGCCAGGGAGTTAGCCTAGATCATGCCACTGCACTTTAGCCTGGGTGATAGAGCCAGATCTCATCTTAAAAAAAAGAAAAAAAAAGATATAAACTTGTAAATTTCTTATCTGGAATTAACATAAAGTAAGAAAAATTTTGTGGCACTAAGCTAACAATCCTTCAATAAATACAAATTAAGAACATCTTAGCATCTGGGGAACACCTAGTTATCAACACAATTCAAATTTAGACAGGATAGTTTCTTTTTTGAGTAATCATATCCCTAAATTCCTTCTGATTTTTTATTTCCATGTCTCAGCATCTCAGGATGAACACCACCAAGACAAAGCCTAATAGGATGATGAGCACTCATCTTTTAGATACAGATATCACCCTGAGTGGGACTTCATTGGCATAACTGTATTTTAGATGTCAACTTTAAGTAAGACTTTTAAAGAAATTATCCATACAAAATAATAAAGGACATAACAAAACTTCAAAGGAAATCAAACGTTGGGTTCCTATAATTACATGATGAGAAAGGTTAAAAAATGAATGGTTCCAGCCTGAGTTCAAGACCAGCCTGGGCAACAGGGTAAAACCTCATCTCTACAAAAAATACAAGAATTAGCTGGGTGTAGTGGTGCACACCTGTAATCCCAGCCTATAATTGGGAGGTTGAGGCACGAGAATCACTTGAACTCGGGAGGTGGAGGTTGCAGTGAGACAAAAGCGTGCCACTTCTCTCCACCTTGGGCAACAGAGTGAGACTCTGTTTCAAAACAAAAACAAAAACAATGGTTTCATTTGAACATAAAATGAACTACAATTAGGATTTCATGTTTTCTTTCAACTTCAAATGGACATTACTCATTAAATAAAAAAACATACTTTCATAAACCTTAAAGCTTATCATAAAATTGGTAGCAATTAATAGCTTTTCTTAGTCTTTCTCTCTATATAATCAATGAACCAATTATTTTCTCCCTATTGTGCGAAGCCAAATGGTCAATGCAATTGATTTCAGGTTGAGCAGTTTTTAGAAAATCACTCAAACATATACGAATTTAATACTTTTGGAGAATTATAGGAATATGAAAGCAACATTTTAAATTCTTGCACTTTTTACCATGAGAGAGTTCTAAAACACTAAAAGGTATTTTTCTTTTTAACCCATAAAAGAATAATAATGTGCAGGAAAAGATGAGATATTTTTGTTATGTAGGCAAACGATTTGGGCTTCAGATTGGAATCCTTTTGAATTTATGTTATTTTCCCTCCAAATAGAAGCCAAGAAGAATAAAATCCTGTGAAGCTAATAAACCATTCCAGGTGCTTTCAAATGATCCTTTTTTTGTGTAGGAACTTCTAAGCAATCACGCTGTTGGCATCATGAAGTTCTTTTGTGTGGCTGGGTGTCTTTCCTTCACTCCTCTTCTTCTTCTGATAGATCCAGTAAAGTTAGCTAGAGAGATCTATATTTGAGAGGCAAGGGAGAAACAAATACATCAAAGAAATACTATCCAGCACACCAATAAACACATGCCTAATTTTTTTTTTAATAATGAGTTATGGAAGTTTATCAGTGTTTATCAGTGCTGAAAGCAACTTTATATATTCTTACCTTCCAATAGAAATGCAGCACCTATGTGTCTTTAAAAGGCTGAATTTAAACTTTTATTTTATTTACTTTTTGAGACAGTCTCACTCTGTTGCCCAGGCTGGAGTGCAGTGGCACGGTCTCAGCTCACTGCAACCTCTGCCTCTGAGTTCAAGTGATTCTCATGCCCCAGCCTCCTGAATAGCTAGGATTACAGGTGTGCGCCACTGGTGTCAATGTTTCCCTAGGTAGTTTCTTTTGGGACCCCTCCTGAAGACATGAAGGCTGCTTCTTGCTTCATTTCTGGAAGCTTCCACCTCCTTCACATTTCACTTTCACTTCACATCTCACAGTCATAGTGGGGTGTTAACTATGACTAATTTAGCAATACAAATATAGAGATACCTCTTCTGGAATCATTTCTCTCAACTCGGATTGCCTAAATTTGAACATAAAAATGAAATGGGGCCAGGCATGATGGCTCACACCTACTGGGGAGGCTGAGGTGAGAGGAAGGCTTCAGCACAGAAGTTTAAAAACAGCCTGGAAAACATAGCAAGAGCTCATCTCGAAAAAATATATGTGTGGCTGGGTATGGTGGCTCACGCCTATAATCCTGGCACTTTGGGAAGCCGAGGCAGGTGGATTGCTTAAGCCCAGGAGTTTGAGACCAGCCTGGCCAACATGGTGAAACCCTGTCTCTACCAAAAATACAAAATTTAGCTGGGCATGGTGGTGCATGCCTATATTCCCCGCTGAGGCACGAGAATTGCTTGAACCTGGAAGAAAGAGGTTGCAGTGACCCCAGATCAAGCCACTGCACTCCAGCCTGGGTGACAGAGCAAGACTCTCTCAAAAAAATAAAAAAATAAAAAAATAAAGAAGAAAAGAAAAGAAAAAATATATATGTGTGTGTTTTGTAAAAAATAGATGAAAATGAGATGGATTTTTTTTGCTTATCAAACTTACAATATATACATGTTTGTCGCCCAGGTTGAAGCACAGTGGCACGATCTTGGCTCACCACAACCTTCACTTCCTGGGTTCAAATGATTCTCCTGCCTCAGCCTCCCAAGTAGCTGGGATTACAGGCGTGCGCCACGACACCTGGCTAATTTTTTTGTATTTTTAGTAGAGACAGGGTTTTGCCATGTTGGCCAGGCTAGTCTTGAACTCCTGATCTCAAGTGATCTGCCTGCCTCGGCCTCCCAAAGTGCTGAGATTATAGGTGTGAGCCACCACGCCCGGCCAAAAAATTGTTAAATAAATTAAAATGTTATACTGCACAATATTCTTATTTTTTCTTTCCTTTTATTATTTTTTTTTTCGGTGACCAAAATACAAACCCAAGAAAATATTCATTTAATGCAAAGAAAGCAGTAGAAGAGGAAGAGAGGAACAAAAAAAGACATGGGACATATAGAAAAGAAAAAATAAAATTGCGTAAGTTCAACCATATAAATAATAAAATTAAACATGAACTTACTAAATAATCCATTCAAAAGGCAGATTGTGTCAGACGGGGTAAAAAAACAAACAAACAAAAAACATGATTAACCATAGGTTCTTTGCAAAGGCATATTTCTGATTCAAAGCCAAAAATAGATTGAAAGTCAAAGGATGGAAAAAGAGATATCATGCAAGCAGCAAGTATAAGAGAGCTGAAGCGAATATACTAATAATGTCATAGTTTTAAAAATTAAGACAAAAATTATTACTAGAGACAAAGAATGACATTTATAATGCTAAAAGGGTCAACTGAGGAAGATAGAACAATTATGAAGATATATATACTTAGAGCCCTAAAATACATGAAGCAAAATCTGGCAGAATTGAAAGGAAAAATAGATGATTCAACAATGGAATCAAATTAGAAATCAATAACAAAAGAAATTTGAGAAATTCTCAAATATATGGAAATTAACAACACACTCCTAAACAACCAGTAACTCAAAGAAGACTCAGAAGGGAAATAAGAGAGTATTTTGAGATGACTGACAATGAATATTTAGGGAATACAGCTAAAGTAGCACTTGAAGAGAAATTTATACCTATAAACATCTATAGTAAAAGAGAAGAAAGATCCCAATTGAATACCTAACATTTCACTTAAGACCCTAAACATGGAAGAGCAAACAAAACCTAAATCAGGCAGAAGCAAGGAAATAATAATGATTACAGCAGAAACAAATGAACTGGAGAATGGAAAAACCATAGCAAAAATCAACAAAACCAAAGTTGTTTCTTTGGAAATAGCAACAAAATTGATGAACTTTATTTAGACTGACCAAGAATAAAAGAGAAAAGACTCAAACTACTACTCTGAAATGAAAGAGGGAACATCACTACTAACCTTACAGAAACAAAAAATAACTATAAGAAAATAGTATAAACAACTGTGTGCCAACAAATTTGATAACTTAGATAAAATAGACAAATTCCTAGAAAGACACAAATTACCAAAACTGACTCAAAAAGAAATAAAAATCTGAAATGGATATATAGCAAGAAAAAAGATCGAATTAGCAATTAAGAAACTTTCCAAAAAGAACCACATGGCTTCACTGGTGAATCCTATAAATGAATTAAAGAATAATTAGTATCAATTTTCCCCAAACTTTTCCAAAATTTAGAAGAGGAGAAAACACTTCCCACGTCATTTTATGGTTACCCAATACCAAAATCAGAAAAAGACATCATAAGAAAAGTGCAGACCAATATTTCTTATGAATGTAGCTGTAAAAATCCTCAGCAAAATACTAGCAATCTAAATTCAGCAACATATGAAGAACATTATGATTTAGTGGGATTTACCTCGGAAATACAATGTTAATTTAACATCTGAAAATCATTTAATGTGATGCATAGTATCAATAGAATAAGAGACAAAACACATAACACATGATAATATATATACATATATATGTGTGTGTGAATATATATTTGGTTTTCTGTATGTTTTTTTCTTTTGAGACAGGGTCACACTCCATTGCTCAGGCTAGAATGCAGTGGTTTGATCACAGCTCACTCAGCCTTGACTTCCTTGGCCTGGGATCAGGCGATTCTTTCACTTCAGCTTCCTGAGTAGCTGGGACCGTAGGTGCATGCCACCACACCTGCTTGGCTAATTATTTGTAATTTTTGCAGAGATGGGGTTTTGCTATATTGCCCAGGCTGGCCTCAAACTCCCTGACTCAAGCAATCTGCCCCCCTCAGCCTCCCGAAGTGCTGGAATTACAGGCATGAGCCACCACATCTGGCCACACATGATAATTTAGATACAGAAAAAGAAGGTGACCAAAACAAACATCCTCCCTTCATAATAACAACATTCATCAATCTTGCAATAGAAAAAGAACTTTCTCAATCTGATAAAGGTCATCTACAAAGACCCATAACTAACATAATACTTAATAGATGAAAGACTAAATCTGGGACCAAGAATAAGACAAACATGTTTGCTTGAACTACTTTGGAGGTTCTTATCAGGGCACTTAGGCAAGAAAAGAAAAAAGAAACCCAGATTAGAAAGGAAGAAGAAAC
The DNA here is from genome assembly GCF_000001405.40 of Homo sapiens. NCBI lineage: Eukaryota > Metazoa > Chordata > Mammalia > Primates > Hominidae > Homo > Homo sapiens. Next base: position 164,891,747 of record NC_000004.12, on the reverse strand, counting down.
TATCTCAATTTGCAGGTGATCTTGTACGTGAGCTTGTGCACAGCAAATCCTAAGGAACCTTCTGAAAAACCTATGAGAATGAATCAATAATTTTATTAAGATTTCAGGATATAAGATCAATAAAAAATCAATCATATGCCTATACATTAGCAATGGACAATTCAAAAATGAAATTAAGAAAATTCCGTTTGCAATAGCATCAAAAGAATAAAATACTTAGAATAAATTTAACAAAGGAAGTACAAACTTGTACTCTGAATACTACAAAAGCAATTAAAGTAGACCTGAACAAAGAGAAATACATTCCATTTCATGTATTGGAAGACTTAATTTTGTCAAAATGGCAATACTTGTTACATTGATCTATAGATTTAAAACTATCCCTATCCAAATACCAAATGGCTCTTTGCAGAAATTGACAAAGTAGATGTAAATCTTTGTGACCTTCGATTATTTTTTAAATATATAATATCTAAAGAACAAGCTACCAAAGAAAACATAGACTAATTTGATGTCAATAAAATTAAAAACTTTTTTGCTCCAAGGACAACACCAAAAAAAGACATCCACAGAATGGAAGAAAATATTTGCACATCATATTTCAGATAAGGGCCCTGTATTCAGAATATATACACACACATATATATATATCTTACAGCTCAACGATATAAAGACAAATAATCCAACTGAAAAATGGGCAAAGGATTTGAATAGCCATTTCTCCAAAGAGACACAAATATCCAATAAGCACATGAAAAGATGCTCAACATTTTAGTCATTATGGAAATGCAAATCAAAACCACAATAAGTTGTCACTTCACACCCTCTAGGACAGCTATAACAACAAGTGTTAGCAAGCATGTGGAGAAATTAAAACCCACGTATACTGCTGGTGGGAATGTGAAATGATGCCACTACTGTGAAAAACAGTTTGGCAGTTCCTCAATGAGTTACACATAGCATAACCATATGACCCAACAATTCCTCTCTTTTAATTCCCAGAGAACTGAAAACATATGTTCCAACAAAAACTTATACACTAATGTTCACAGCAGAATGATTCATATTAGCCAAACAGCCGGAATAACCCAAATGTTCATCAATAGGTGACTGGACAAACAAAATGTGATTTTTCCATATCATGGAATTGTATTCAGTCGTAAATTAGAGTGGAGTACTGATACATGCTACTACAGGGATGGGCCCTGAAAACATTAAGTGAAAAAAGCTAATTACAAAGACCACATATCACAAGAATTCATTTATATGGAATATCTAGAATAGGGAAATCTATAGAGACAGAAAGTAGGTTAGTGGCTGTCCAGGACTGAACAGCTGGGGAGAAATGGGGAGTGCCTGCTAATGAGAATGGGGTTTCTTTATGGGATGATGAAAATGTTCTAAAATTGATCATGGTGATGGTTGCACAACTTAGGAATATAGTAAAAGCCATTAAATTGTACACCTTAAATGGGTGAATTGTCGGGTGTATAAATGATAACTGAAAAAAATTAAACATGCATATCCTCATAATTCCACTTCTAGGAGTATTTTGCAAGAAAATAAGTGTACATATGTTCAAATACGTATGCATGCCATTCACTGCAGCGTTGTTCAAAATAGCATAAATAAATATTACAAAACATAAATATTGATCAATAAAGTCAAGATAAATAAATTAAGGCTATCCATACAGTGAAATGCAATCATCCCTCAGTATCCCTGGGAACTGGTTCTAGGATTTCCCTTGGATACCAAAATCCATGGATGCTGAAGTCCCTTATATAAAATGGTGTAGTATTTGCATATAAATTACACTTAGCCTTCCGTATACTTTAAATTGTTTGCAGATTACTTATAATACCTAATACAATATAAATGGTATGTAAATAGTTGTTATACTGTATTGTTTAGGGAATAAAGACAAGGAAAAAAGTTTGAACATGTTCAGTACAGATACTGCCATTCTGTTTTTTTTCCTGAATATTTTCAATCTGCCATTGGCTGATTTAATGAAAAACCCACAGATATGGAGGGCCGACTGGACTACAGTGTCATTCAAAGTGACCGTCTCTTAATGCCTAGGTGACGGTTGATAGGTGCAAGAAACCACCATGGCACACGTTTACCTATGTAACAAACCTGTGCGTTCTACACATGTATTCTGAAACTTAAAGTAAAATAAAAATAAAAATAACTTACTGTTTTCATATGTACAAATAAATACATCTAAGTAAAAGATAAACGTAGTAAATGGATTTCATATGTGTTTAAATAATGTGTATATATGTCATATTTATACAATATTAAAGTAAATTAGATTAAATGTCACTTAGATGCTAAGTAAAAGACAAAGCAGTAAATGGATTTCATATGTTTAAATAATGTGTATATATGTCATATTTATACACATATAATTTTCGTATATATAAAAATGTTGCTATTAGAAAAAAATGTGAAGACTAAGTATAAAATTGAACTAAACTCCAGCACAATTTTGACATAAATGAAATGTGATACCTAAAGAACTCCAAGCCCCCACATATCCCCCACCCTCATCCCCACTCCCACCCCACCCTCACCGAGGTTACTTTGGCCAGTGTAATAAAAGAAGTTATTGGGGGGCTGAGGCAGGAGAATCGCTTGAACCCGGGAGGCGGATCTAGCAGTGAGGCGAGATCACGTCATTGCACTCCAGCCTGGGCAACAAGAGCAAAACTCTGTCTCAAAAAAAAAGAAGTTATATATGGTACACACACACATACACACACACACTCTCAAGAGAAGTGACATTTAATCAAAATTTTCATTGAGTAGGAAAAAGGTGAAGAGTAGGAAAAAAGCACGTCTAGGCGGAGGAAATAATGTGTAAAAGCCCTGAAGTGGTAAGGAACATGACATATTTGACAAACTTACAGAGAAGTGCTTTTGTGGTTTACATTCAGAATTTTATTTCAATTGTAAGAGTAATGAGAAATCACTAAAGGACCTTAAGAAGTATAGAAGCCATAATACGAAGAATGGATAAAAGAGAAGCAAAAGTGGAGGTGTGAAGGTTGCTGCAAGGTAAACAGTCGTTGAGCTTGTGTAATGTGAACTGGTGACAAATTGGGAACTGGGAGACTGAATATGTACAAGTGTACAATGGCCAGCTCCTATATTAATGCTTTGACCCACAAACTGCAGCAACCAGCCCAGGAAGCCAAATCACAACCTCTGCAGCAGCTGGTCCCAGATGGTTAAGAACTACCAGTTTCCTTTTTATCCCTCCTCCCCTGATTCTAGCTTAGGACTAACTGAAGAAAACCACATATACTCCCCAAATTAAATAGGATATCATGCTTCTAGATAGCCTGCCTTCAGCTTTCCCATGCCAACAATCTCCAGTCACATCATACCTAAAGCCTTCTCTGTTTCTCACAATGAAGCTTTCCTGATTCTCTGCCTGTCTTGGTCCTCTGCCAAACTCAAGAGATGCTGGCTGACTCCCTTGCTATGTAAACTCTGAATAAATAGCCCTGGCTTGATTCATTTGAGTGGTTATCTTCTTTTTTTCTTTTTTTCCTCAGGAGTATGATACTTAAGGGTAAAGAGGTAATTGAGGCTAAAGGAATGGATAAAACAGAGCAGGAGAGAGTAGAGATACATTTTATTATACCTTGCAGGGTACAACAGCCTGTTTAGGAGGCAGAGGGTTGGCTGAGAACTTAGTGGAAATAAGTATGGTGCCCTGGAATTGAAGGGAAGGGACTTTTGCAGGCCAAGTAGCCAGCTGCTAAATTCTGCTGTGAAATCAGGAAGAAGACTAAAATTTGTCAATTAATTTAGAAAGATCAGACTGGGCACGGTGGCTCAAGCCTGTAATCCCAGTACTTTGGGAGGCCGAGGCAGATGGATCACCTGAGGTCAGGAGTTCGAGACCAGCCTGGCCAACATGGTGAAACCCTGTCTCTACTAAAAATACAAAAATTAGCTGGGCATGGTGGCGCATGCTTGTAATCCCAGCTACTCAGGAGGCTGAGGCAGGAGAATCGCTTAAACCCAGGAGGCAGAGGTTGCAGTGAGCTGAGATGGAACCATTGCAATCCAGCCTGGGTGACAAGAGAGAAACTCCATCTCAAAAAAAAAAAATTTAGTAAGATAAGGATAATTCTAATGGAGATGTAAGCAGATTAAAGTGGATTTAGATGTGAATACAAAATAATGAATCAGGGACAATGAGTACAGAAAAATCATGAGAGCATTGACTGAGGGGTATGTGGATGTGTATATGTGTGTTTTTTTTGTTTTAGGATATAGGCTTATCACCATTTAAACTTTCAAGTTGACACGATGATCCAGAGAGGTAAAGGTATAAGTACAGCTTGAAATTCCTAAGAAATCTTAGGGAGAGAAGGGGACCCACAGCACATATGAAGGATTGGCCATGTCTTCCGTAATACCAAGAAGGAAGAGGAAGATGGGGGTGGGTAAGGAGGGGAATGGATTAGATGGGATTTATGCTAAAAAGAAATTTTAGATTCCTGAACAACATGGTAGAGAGCAGCTAGTTTAGCTATCTATGGAAAGAATTATTACACATTTTGTAAGGAGAAATCAGTTTTTAAAATGAAGAAAACTGGCCGGGCGCAGTGGCTCATGCCTGTAATCCCAGCACTTTATGAGGCTGAGGTGGGAAGATCACCTGAGGTCAAGAGTTTGAGACCCGCTTGGCCAACATGGTGAAACCCCGTCTCTACTAAAAATACAAAAAAATTAGCCAGGCCTGGTGGCAGGTGCCTGTAATCCCAGCTACTTGGGAGGCTGAGCCAGGAGAACTGCTTGAACCTGGGAGGTGGAGGGTGCAGTGAGCCGAGATTGTGCCACTGCACTACACTCCAGCCTAGGCAACAAGAGTGGAACTCTGTCCCAAAAAAAAAAGAAAAGAAAAGAAAAGAAAACTTTGAAACTCTAGAACATTGTATACATACTTTGTTCAGAGGAATATACAATTATTGTAATAAATGTTTATAATATAAACATCACTATATTTATGCATTGATATATAAGTGTATAAGTAAATATATTCATCATTAAGGCATCATAATCTTTTTCTTTTTTTTTAGACGGAGTCTCACTCTGTCTCTCAGGCTGGAGTGCAGTGGTATGATCACAGCTCACTATAGCCTCAACCCCTCGGCTCAAGCAATCCTCCCACCTCAGCCTCCTGAGTAGCTGGAACTATAGGTATACACCATCATGCCAGCTAATGTATTTTTTGTAGAGACAGTGTCTTGCTGTGTTGCCCAGGCTGATCTCAAACTCCTGGTCTTAAAAGATCCTCCCACCTCAGGCTCCCAAAGTGCTGGGTTTACAAGTGTGAGCCACTGTGGCTGGCTGGCATCATAATCTTTACAGAAAAGTTTTATCTCATCAGTAAATTAGGGACATTAGGGATTTCCTCCAAGCATGACTTTTGGACACTGGGCTGTGATTAATTTAGAAAAGAGTAATTTTCAATATTTCATTTAGCTTTATGCAATATGTCCTGCAGATATTTCAGCCCACACAGGAATGCCCCATATTTAAGGCAGTTCTTGGGCCATTCACATTAAGCTTTAGGGGCTAAATCTTGTCTTCAAGGAGCTCATATTTCAATACTGATAAAAATCTAAAGAAACAAAGTCAAATGTGATAGATGGCTTTAAAAGCCTACTACTAAAAGTGCTGTGATTGTTAGGAGGATGAAGTTTATTTTAAACTAACTGAATTAGGGTGGTCGTCATGAGGAAAATAGGATTTATGAGAATTCTCAAGGAGGGAGAGAGTTTGGACTTGATGAGAGAAGAAATTCCTAGAAGAGGAAATATCTCCACCACAGAGATAGAAAATGATAGTTCCATCCTAGAAATATTAGAAAATAAATCTGAAAATGTGTGTGTGTCTAGTGAGAACAAGTCTTAAATTTATGATCTTAAATTGAAAGATAATGAATAAAAGCTTCATTTCATTTCATCTTTTTTTTTTTGAGACATGGTCTCACTCTGTCACCCAGGCTGGAGTGCAATGGCGTGATCTTGGCTCTCTGCAACCTCCGCCTCCTGGGTTCAAGTGATTCTCCTGCCTCAGCTTCCTGAGCAGCTGGGATTACAGGTGCCCACCATGAGACCTGGCTAATTTTTGTATTTTCAGTAGAGATGGCATTTCACTGTGTTGGTCAGGCTGGTCTCGAACTCCTGACCTCAAGCGATCTGCCCACCTTGACCTCCCAAAGTGCTGGGATTATAGGTGTGAGCCACCACGCCCAGCCTATTTTACATCTTTTAGCAACATTATGAGGCTGGGCACGATGGATCACACCTGTAACCCTAGCACTTTGGGAGGCCGAGGGGGGCAGATCACTTGAAGTCAGGAGTTCGAGACCAACCTGGCCAACATGGTGAAACCCCGTTTCTACTAAAAATACCCAAATTAGCTGAGTGTGGTGGCACAAACCTGTAATGCCAGCTACTTGAGAGGCTGAGGCAGGAGAATTGCTTGAGCCCAAAAGGCGGAGGCTGCAGTGAGCTGAGATCACACCACTGCACTCCAGCCTGGGCGACAGAGCAAGACTCTGTCTCAAAAACAAAACAAAACAAACAAACAAGCAAAAACACTTAGGCACTTTTTTTTTGGCTGAAAATACAAAGATAAATAAAACCTACCCTCGGCCTTCAGGGAATTTACAGCATGCAGAGGGAAGAGGGGAAGACTATAGTCAGTTAACACTTTCTAATGCCAGGCGTTAAGGACTTTAACAGAAGTATGTAACTAGTGCTCTGAGAGCAAAAGTGGGTATATCTATTGTAACTAATAGGGGTAATAAAATCAGAGAAGGTTTCCTAAAGGATGAATGATACTGAGAAAAAAAGTGAAAAAATTTGAGGCAAAAGCATAGCTTGAAGAACAGTTAAGAGGTGAAGAATGGACTGATTTTAAAGTAATAATAAGTCTAACTACTATTTATTTAGCACTTACTGTGTGCCAAGTATTGTTATGATAGGATAAGGGCCATAACAATTTCCATCTTACAGATCTGGAAGTGGAGGGAAGCTCAGAGAGAATAAATGACTTACCAACAATGATCACCAGAGAGTGAGCTGTGTGGCCAGAGCTTGAATCTAGTAGGTCCAAACACAGTCTTAACTCTTATCTCCTCTGGGACAGGCAAGGGGGAAAGAATAAGGTAACAGATGAAACTGGAAAGGTATATATTGTAAGGTGTTGTTTGTCAAATTATTGTTATTATTTTGTGTTCCATTTGACCTACAGCGGGATAACTGAGATCAGGACTGAAACACATTCACTGGATTCAGAAGAAGGAAGTCATAATGGACCTTCCGCAGAAGGAAAAGGGGAACAATGTGTTGAAAATAGTTGGGAGGAAAGAAAACAGCTGCCTTTTCAAAAAGTGTGGCTTTGAAGAGATGAAGAGAACATGGGCTGGTCGCTAGAGAGCACTATGGAGTCAATGGTGGAACTCTTCTTTCTTTCCTTCTCTTCCTTCCTCTTTTTCTTTCTTCTTTCCCTCTCTCTTTGTTTCTTTCTTCTCTCCTTTCTTTCTCTTCTCCTTTCTTTCTTTCTTTCTTTCTTTCTTTCTTTCTTTCTCTTTCTTTCTTTCTTTCATTCTTTCTTTCTTTTTTTCCTTCTTTCTTTCTCTCCTTCTTTCCCTGTTTCTTTCTTTCCTTTTTTCTTCCCTTCTCTTTCTTCTCTTCCTCTCTTTCTGTCTTCTTTCTCTCTTCTTTTTATTTCTTCTCCTCCTCTTTCTTTCTGTCTTTGTCTCTTTCGTCTTTCTGTCTTTTTTTTTTTTTTTAAGACAAAATAGATCAGTGTTGACATATTGAACATTCTGGGGGAGCAAGAGAGTATAATTGCTAGATCAAGGTCCTTGAGGTGTAGGGAGATTACCCATACTTGAGAGGTATTTTTTATTGAAAGACTAGGGGCCACACACAGTGGCTCATGCCTGTAATCCCAGCACTTTGGGAGGCCAAGGTAAGAGGATTGCTTGAGCCCAGAAGGTCAAGACCAGCCTGGAAACAAAGTTAGACCCTGTCTCTACAAAAAATCTTAAAATTAGCCAAGCACGTTGGCACACACCGGTACTGTCAGATACTTGGAAGGCTGAGGCAGGAGGATAACTTGAGCCTGAGACTTTGAGGCTACAGTGAACTATGATCATGCCATGGCACCCAGCCTGGGTGACAGAATGAGATCCTGTCTCAAAAAAAAAAAAAAAGAAAAAGAAAGACTAGAAAGGGAACATAAAAGAAGCATTGTAGATGTAGATGTCTGTAGTTTGAGGGCGAGGTTGGATTTTGAGGCTTAATGACCTCCTATTTCACTTGAAGTAAGAGGAGTTATCTTTTGCTGTGAGTTGGAAGAGGAGATTAAGAAGTGTAAAGAAACTAGAGGTTATTAGTTTGAAATAATAGTTGAATAGGAATATGAAGTGCAGAAGAGTTCTTCCCAGAGAGCCCAGCTAAAGTTGGAGATGAAGTGCTCCATGAAAGTAGAGATTCTATGCTGAAAGCAGAATTGGGTTTCACTTAAACCCAAGAGGTGGAGAGAATGGAGTGAGAAGGATGAAGATGCTAGGACAATTGCAGGAAGAGTTGGGAAGCAGGGCAGGTTTGGTTAAGGGGGTCAGATGCCCATGACTGCAAGGGGGTAAGAATAAGACAGAAAATAGGAAACTAGAAGCAAAGCTTGAATACCAAGTGAGGGTGACAAGAGAGTATCAGTTGGACTCAATTAAAAATAATGTATTAACACCATGGAATACCATGCAGCCATAAAAAATGATGAGTTCATGTCCTTTGTAGGGACATGGATGAAGCTGGAAACCATCATTCTCAGCAAACTATCGCAAGGGCAAAAAACCAAACACCGCATGTTCTCACAGGTGGGAATTGAACAATGAGAACCCATGGACACAGGAAGGGGAACATCACACACCAGGGACTGTTGTGGGGTGGGGGGAGTGGGGAGGGATAGCGTTAGGAGATATACCTAATGCTAAATGATGAGTTAATGGGTGCAGCACACTAACATAGCACATGTATACATATGTAACAAACCTGCACGTTGTGCACATGTACCCTAAAACTTTAAGTATAATAATAATGAAATTAATAATAATAATAATAATGTATTAAAAGACACTTTTTCCAAAAATATATTCATAGTCATTACCTCTGGAACATGAATATGGGCAATAGGGTAGGATGGGGAACTTGTACTTTTGACTTTACATTCTTCCATACTGTTAGAAATATATTCTACACCATGAAGATGTATTACAATTGTTATTAAAAAGCTAGCTAGACCAGGCGCAGTGGCTCATGCCTGTAATCCCAGCACTTTGGGAGTCTGAGGGGGGGCAGATCACCTGAGGTCGGGAGTTCGAGACCAACCTGACCAACATGGAGAAACCCTGTCTCTACTAAAAATACAAAATTAGCCGAGTATGGTGGTGCATGCCTGTAATCCCAGCTACTCGGGAGGCTGAGGCAGGAGAATCGCTAGAACCTGGAAGGTGGAGGCTCCGGTGAGCCGAGATGGCACCATTGCACTCCAGCCTGGGCAACATGAGTGAAAACTCTGTCTCAAAAAATAAAAATAAATTAAAAAAAAAAGCTAGTAGAGTATGTATTGACGGAGTATGTAGTTATCTAGAGTACATATTAAGTAAGTAATGTTTTAGAGACAGAGTCTAGGCTGGAGTGCATAATCATAGCTCACTGCAGCCTCAAACTCCTGGGCTCAAATGATCCTCCCTGGAGGCCTCAGCCCCCCAAATAGCTAGGACTAGAGGCACACGCCACCATGCCTGGCTAACTTTTTTTTTTTTTTTTGGTAGAGACAAGGTTAAATCATGTTGTCCAGGCTGGTCTTGAACTCCTGCACTCAAGCAATCCACCTACCTCTGCCTCCCAAAGTGCTGGGATTATAGGCATGAGCCACTGGACCTGGCCTTAGAGTACATACTTATAAATAAAAGCATTGATGTGCTGAGATTTTACTGTTGGAAGGGAGAAGTCATTCCAGCCTTAAGTCGCGACCTCATTTTCCACTCTAGGGCCCTCACATTAACCTGTAGACTTGCATTTCCTGACACCCCTTCCCTTGCTCTCCTTCACTCTAAATCACTTAGGACTGAAGGTGGTGCCAAAATATTTCTGAGAAAAAAAAATCAAGGAAATGAACGGCATACAGCATGTAATTTTCTGTGTAATTAATTCAGTTGCATAGGCTGGGATCATTGAGGATGACCCTAGGAGCTGGAAAAATTGACAGAGTAAAGATAATATGACATTTCTATTAAAAGAGCTAAAGGTCTGAACACTCTAATAAAGGGTTAATCTGGAAAACTTTCAAAGTCAATTGTTTACCTTACCTATCCTTTTACAAAGTCTTACTTGATCCTAACTGATCAAATAACCACATGTGATTTTATCTAAAGCATCCAAAAAATTAGAGGGGAAGAAGTGAAAGGGGTGTTTTGCCTTAGAGTCCACTACCTAGGTTTACAGTACATTTACCCAGTTATCAAAGTGCCTTTGTTGCAAAACATATAAAAAATGGGAAAGTATTTAGGACAGTGAGAATTATGTTATCAGATCTGAAGGTAGCACTTGTTATTATAGTGCTGGTTGAGCAAGGTCTTGAAAAATTTTCTAATGTTTATCTTACATTAACTCTTACAGTAGATTCCAACAGGTGACTTTTAAACATTCTTCAAAGAACAGTAGCTGAAATGTAGAACGAGTCTAAAACTGAGAAAATGGATGCTGTCACCCAAGCAGTTTTATAAGCTCTCAGCCAACTTTTGTAAAGAGTTGCTATTATTAAGTAGTTTGCATAGCTTTAATTAAATTTCCCTTTGGTTTACAAACTTGATTTGTAAGTCAAAATTCCCCTCAACTTTAAAAATTCAAATTTCACTATTCATGCTTACTTGTAACACTGGTTTTTATGGTATGTGATTTGAGGATAATATGTGGCTATCTAAAGACTTGTGTTTATATTTTGCAAGGTATCTTTCTTTGTATATGCAGGAATTCTCTTGCTATTGTGAAATGTGTCCTCTCCTCTTTGTTATTTATGAAGGAGTGCTGGAAAAATCTGGGGTGTCTCTATTCCTCTTAAGCACAGATTTTTACCATTATTTCATACATGACACTGAAATGCTCTGCTGGAAGCATTATCAACACACACCAAAGGATATTTTAACACAGAAAATCTTTTTAAAGCATGTTTCAATCACCATTAATTGGCTTCTCAGAAACCTCCTACTGTATCTTTCTGGATTCCTCCACCAAAGCTATTTTTCATATTTTGATAACAAAGATTAATTTGTTACAGATATAGACATAGAGAACTTGACATTTTTGTCTCAATCCTTTTGATAAATGTTTATTATGAAATTGCTCCTCCTTCATTTAATTTTCTACTACAGGGCTTTCCCCGGGTTTGGAAAGCATGCATTAAACAATAGATACAGCAACTGTTCTTTCCACTGAATGAATGGAACCGTAAAAGCTACTCTACAGGCCAACTGAATAAGCTAATTTTGCCATTGCCTGTGTATGTTAACCAGATGAGGGATATTTCTGTGGCATTTTTTAAGGAAGCTATATCTTAAATGAATTAATGAGCTTGAAATACTTACAATGGAATGCCAAACTGTGTATTTTTTAGTATGAAGTGACTTAAACTTGGACAGTGTTTGAAGTTAACTGATTCAAGCAGTATTACCAGTAATTGTGGTGGTCTAACATTATTTAACAAGTGTAAAAACAAGAAAAGGGAGGAGCAAAACTCTACCAGAATTTATCCTTAAGATGTGACTATCAAGATCACTACTATTGGTGAGGCTGGAAAGCTGCCATTTTATTAGTGTTAACTTTACTTTATCTATTAAAAGAAATATTTTCAGAAAAAATAAATAAACCCTGAGGGCAAATAATAGTTGAATAGGAATATGAAGTGTGGTGGCTTACATCTGAAATTCCAGCACTTTGGAAGGCCAAGGCGGGTGGATCACTTGAGGCTAGGAGTTCGAGACCAGCCTGCGCAAAATGGGGAACCCTCATCTCTACAAAAAATACAAAAATTACCCAGGAGTGGTGGCGCATGCCTGTAGTCCCAGCTACTTGGGGGGCTGAGGTGGGAGGATCACTTGAGCCCGGGAGGTTGAGGCTGCAATGAGCTGGGATCACATCATTACACTCCAGCCTGGGTGACAGAGCAAGACCCTGGGGGAGAGGGGAGAGGTAAGAGGAGAGAGGAGGAGAGGAGGAGAGGAGGAGAAGAAAAGAAACCCCGAAGTATTGATGGTAGTTCATTGCTGGTATGGGGCTGTTGGGTGAATACATCCAAATGCTTTCATACACACTGGTCTTAATAGGGGAATCGGCTCGTTCTGCATAACATCCGCAATAATATTAGCCCCCAAATAGCTGTTACTCAGATTCAACAGTTATCAAGATTTTCCTACATTGTCCTCATCTGTCTAATTTTCTTCCTTAACTATTAAAGCAATTCTCAAAAGTCATGTCATTCATTTAACTCTTTCATTTATTGGTATGCATCTCTTAAGTCTTGACATTGCCATAAGCCATTATCACATATTACAAACTGTGAAGAAACATTTCCTGGTATATCTAATTTGGAACACTGCCTAAATGTAGCGAATCTATTTTCTGTCAGAAATACCTCAGGGAAAGGGTACTCGTGAATGGAGAGGCATACATCTCCTCTGAAGGCAATTGTGTTTGCGCAGTTTTCTTCTCATGGTCAAATTAACTGAAGGAAAAAGAGAGAAGTATTAGGAGCATTTTTCAGAGGCTTAATTGTTGTTTAATCTAGACAATGCAAACATATTTTGGAGCCAAACTAGATTGTGGTTATTTGCCATTTGTTCAAATGTGATTATAAAATTAAAAACCAATGTGATGCATATACACAAGGGGTGTTCCTAACAGTTAATGTTAATAGCAAGATCTTCTTTTACTCCTATTTTTTTAACTCCATCGTTGAGCAACATAGCAACATCTTAATAGTAATATCCTCCTCCTTTTGAATGATTTTTTCCTAAATGCTCCTAGACCTTTTATTTTATGTAGTAAATTAATCACAAATATTTTGTAAGAACATTGTCAAAGCTACTGTGTATTTCTGAAAAGTATAAATGGTTTGAATAGTGACTGCTGTAAACAATGAGAAGGGATCAAGCTGCTTTCTCAGAGTTGCTGAATTGGAACTTTTTTCTTACTTATGTAAAAGCACAGACCAGGGGACATCATTCGAAATAAACTCACAGTGATCAAACTTCTAATTCACTAAAAAGCAAAGTCTGAATTTTTAACAAGTGATGCATCGTTTTCTGTTCTAACTGAAGAAGTATATTATCAAGTGAATAATTTAACATATTTGGATGTAAATATTACCACCTTTTTATTTAAAGTTGGGTTTGTGGTTCAGAAAACTTTAACTTTCTAATTTCTTTCTTTCTTTCTTTCTTTCTTTTTTCTGTTTCTTTCTTTCTTTCTTTCTCTCTTCTTTTCTCTCTTTTCTTTCTTTTTTTTTTCAAACTTACTGGTTCTTTGAAATCTTAGCTGTTTGGTTTTGAAGTAAAAGTACATTAGAATACTTTTGTGTACTAAATTTCTGTTGGTTAAGTACAATATACTTGATATCATCTTTGAAAACATGTCAAGTAAATTAATATTATGTATCTTTATCATACATATTTTTGATGCTTTTTAGCTGTATAAGCATAATAATAAAAACTGCACTTATTTGTTTTAAGTGACATGCCTAGTTACATAATTAGAAATGACAGCTATTGACCTGTTTTAAGATTTAATCTGCATTTTGTTGCATTATGCTTTTTGTATGTTAATTCAGCCCCTACTCTGGGCAGCAACATACTTTTTAAATAAACTGCTTTGGAGTTTGCATTTTACCTAAAAATCTATACATTTATTTACCTTTATAATGAATAGACGAACACTTCTGTTTCATTTTACTTGTAAAGACAACATAATCTGCAATAGCTTAGAGATCTATTTTCTTGGCATTTAGGAAAAATAGTGGTAAAATACTTATCATTTCAAAGTCCAGATGTTTTTAAAATATTGAAATAATAGACCCAACAGGATAGATAGCATACTTTCAAAATCCTACACATTTATCCCCAATACTACTAACTGCAAGCACACCTAAGTGGTTTTCAGATAAACACAATCATGCTCAGAGACCCAGGGATGCAAACAGGCAAAACAAGTTACTTGTACAAATGTATCAAAGGCCTACCTGGTCTCTGTCCGCTGATAAGGAGAAGACTCATAATAAAAATAAAAAATGCAAAAAGGAATTGCTGAAATCTCATTTTCCTACCGCACAAAAGTAGAGCAATGACTCTCAATGTAAACCAAACGATCTGTAAATAGTCTGTGCAATATCTGTGTGGCTGTCTTCACATTCTAGTGACAAACCTCAGAGAACTGCCAGCTGTGTTTTGCAGGAAGGTTAATGATCACATTAGACAAAGTTGCCGGTGCTCTGTGCTGTGGTCAGAGCCTCCCTCAGCCTCAAACCCCTCCTCCACTCCTCTTCTCCTTTCTCCTCGGCCACTCCCCTTTATTTCCATAAGCAAATATTGGTGAAATAAACCATTCAAGCATGCTATAACTTTAGTGGAAGTGTACTCCAAAAGCTCCAAGAAGAGAATGACTTAAATTCAATCTGGATATGAAGAAATACGTAAAACAAGACGTGACACTGCCTCCTCCCCTTACCATTTGCATCTGTTTAAACTTTGCCCATATTGGTCCCACATGCAGAAACCAGTGGAAATGACAGGAAGTCTCTCTTTTGTCTTTTTCAGAAGGAATTCTGAAGCTCTAACATAAGAGTCCCAAATGCTTTGTGGCAGAACATGTGCTGAAATGCTTTATCTTTACCAAACTTACTGCAAAGTAGTGCCTGTTTACACGAACTCTCCAAATTGCCTAATTCACTGGGTTTGTAACAGTAAAGATTTTTGGAATTTAGAATGTTTTGAAATAAATCTGCAAAACATATACATTTATATTAATATTTTGTAAAGTGCAGTTTTAAAAGTAACAGATTATTTTCATCTGCAAATGTCCAGGATTTTAAAAAAGGAAGTTCAGGCAAGCCACAAACTCATGAAATCTGTGTTCGGTTAAAAATTTATATGTGGTGGAATACCAGGCTAACATACCACAGTCACAGAAATTGGAGATGGAGAAAACAAGTCTTAGTTCATCTCCCAGTGAATTCAGAAAACACAAAAACAGTCTAGCCTTGTCTTTTACACACATGCACCAAGATCTCTTTTTGTTTCAAGTGCTCCCTTATATATCAGATACAGCTGTTATAAATGGAAATGACTATACTTATTATGTAAGTATAATAAATTCCATTTATAACATCCATATCGAACATATTTTAGGTAAAATGCAAAATGCCAAAAGAATAGTATAGGTATGCCTTGAAACACAAGTACAGCCAAAGTACTAGCTCTAAAGCATGTGTAATTTGTTTTGAACCATTAGGAATTTTGTTGTATTTGGCTTCTTTAGACTCAGGTAGTTGGTACATAACCTTGGGGCTTCCTGAGGTTTGAATTTAATGCACAATTTGTCTTGATTTTATAAGTCAATCTGTAAATTTCCCTGCCTGTCTAGTTAGGCATGAAGTTTATAATAGGCGATGGCATACAAAAATTCTTAAATTCACTTTATTGAAGTCTTGAGAATATATTGACCTGTTTGGGGACTGCAAGCATAGTGTTAAAGGGTCCTACTTTACCATGCTGTCCATTGCTTCATAAAATCAATGGAATACAATAGAGTTTGAACTCATGATATACAAGTGACTTAAGAATGGCAAAGAGTTTATTCAGATTTTTAAATCCCTCCCCATTTCCCGCCCCAGTCTTCTTAGTACAGCATTCAGGAAAACAGCATGCTAACAAAGTTGAATGTTAAATCAATAAGAGATCAATATAGATTTTGGCACTATATTTTCAGGCCAAGTTTTAAGTCTATTCAAAGGTTTAGTAGTGAGTCTTTATAGATAAGATAGAGACCTACCACAGAGAGCAAATATTGACTAAAATTTTTATATTTCATTACCAGGTGATCAACAATGAATTCCTAGAATATCACTAATATGCACCAGTGCTGTGGAAGATACATATCTCCACTGATCAGGACAGAGCAAACTGTTATATTTAAGTCATCTAACCACATAGAACATTATTTTTCTCATTAAAAGAAAAAAGATGTGATAAAATACCTGGTTTTCTACCTGAAAGAGTGATTATGTATTAAACTCATGAAAATTTACACATGATTTATTTACATGTTTTAAAATTAGTCTTTCAAAAAGACAAACAAAAAGATGTTGTTTAAATAGTTGACTTTTGGAGTATAGTAATAAAGTGATTATACAGTCAATGAGCAACTGAAATGTTAGACATGGAGGTACAATGAAAAGTGATCCAGCATTTCTGTGGAATGTGAGTCAACAATAGCAATAAATCATTCATCTTAGTACTGAATAACTAGGTATGGAGAAATATTGGTAGGAAAGTGTCAGAACAATGCAACTGGCTCTGCAAACAGCACTTTCAGCCTGCAAGTATAAGAGAACAAGGCATCTTCTTTGTTTACAGGAACACAAACCTAGACTTCTATCCTACAGACAGCCTTTGTGAGGGAGGCAAGGGCTGTGCCCCGGGCCAAATCCTATGTTAAGTGTGTTGCATATGTTACTTCGCATAATCCTCCCCAAAACACTCTGAAGTATCATGACTCCCTGTTTACCAGATGAGAAAACTGACAGCTAAAGAGGTGTAGCCTCCAAGGGCTAGATGACCGGAAGAGGAATAGATGGGATCCAAATTCCATAATCTCAGCCCTCAAACATTTCGCTATCCTCCCTTTTAAGGCCCCAATCCCAGTTCTTAAAAAAGAAAAAAAAAAAAAAAAAAAAAGCCTATTGAAGCTATTATAAAACAAAAGATAAGTTAGCAATATATTTCTTGTACGAGGTTGAATATTGTGCCCCATAAAATTTATGTCCATCTGGAACCCAGAATGTGGCCTTATTTTGAAATAGGGTCATTGCAAATGTAATCAGTTAAGATTGAGGTCATACTGGAGTAGGGTGGGTCCTAAATCCAATATGGCGGCTGTCCTTATAGCAAAAAGAAGAGACAGAGACACACAGGGACAGGTGGGGAGGAGCTCTGTGATGATAGAGGCAAAGATGAGAGTTATGCTACCGTGAACCAAGGAACCAATGCCAAAGATAGCCAGCAACCACCAGAAGTTAGGGGAGAGACATGGAACAAAATCATTCTCTGAGTTTCCAAAAATCAACACTACTGACACTTTGATTTTGGACTTCTAGCCTCCTGAATTTGAAAGAACAAATTTATGTTATTTTAAGCCACCCAGTCTGTGGCACTTTGTTATAACAGCCCTAGGAAATCAATACATTTCTGTACCTACATATATTCTATAAGGATATAAATATTCTCTGTATAATCCAATAAATATATACTTATTTTATAGTAGTATACTATATATGCCAGGTATTTAACAAATGTTATTTTGTTTACACATCATAATCTTATGATGTAAGCTCTATCTTCATTTTACAGAAAAGGCAACAAACTCAGAGGATTAAGTGATTTGCCCCAGATAAAATAGCTCATAGCAAAGTTAATATGAGGCCTGTGTCTCTCAGTCCTGGGCCTCTTATCTCTTTGATTTGGATCTTGTGCCCTAACTTTTCCTAGGATATCCTTCCCAATTGATTTCATCGTTGCCACTTGCATCTTCAGTCTTTCCTTCTTTTTTATTTTTTATTTTTTTGAGACAGAGTCTCACCCTGTCGCCCAGGCTGGAGTGCAGTGGCGCAATCTCGGCTCACTGCAAGCTCCGCCTCCCGGGTTCACGCCATTCTCCTGCCTCAGCCTCCTGAGTAGCTGGGACTACTCGCCACCGCGCCAGGCTAATTTTTTGTATTTTTGTAGAAACGGGGTTTCACCATGTTAACCAGGATGGTCTCGATCTCCTGACCTCGTGATCCACTCGCCTTGGCCTCCCAAAGTGCTGGGATTATAGGCGTGAGCCACCGCACCTGGCTTCAGTCTTTCCTTCTTTACTGCATCCCTCTCTCCCTATAAAAGTACTCTTTCCAACCTAAAATTTCTCTCCCTTTGCCCATTATCATTCAGCTAGATGTCTGAAATAGAGTCCAAGCATTAAACTAACCTCCCTTCCTTCCTTCCTTCCTTCCTTCCTTCCTTCCTTCCTTCCTTCCTTCCTTCCTTCCTTCTTCCTTCCTTTCTCCCTCCCTCCCTCCCTCTCTCCCTCCCTTCCTTCCTTCCTAGCCAGGCTGGTCTCGAACCCTTGACCTCAGGTGATCTACCCGCCTTGGCCCCCCAAAGTGCTAGGATTACAGGCATGAGCCACCATGCCTGGCCTAAACTTTCAAATGTGACTTTTTCTGTGGACACTGCACTGCATCCAAATTAGGCTACACTCCGCTCACCTTTTTCGCTTTTCTTGTTTTTGTCATGCTTTGTGTTTCTTTTCTCTTTTTCTTTTTTTTTTTGAGACGGAGTCTGGTTCTGTCACCCAGGCTGGAGTGCAGGGGCACAATCTTGGCTCACTGTAACCTCCGTCTCCTGGGTTCAAGCAATTCTCCTGCCTCAGCCTCCCGAGTAGCTGGGATTACAGGCATGTGCCGTCATGCCCAGCTAATTTTTCTGTTTTTAGTAGAGATGGGGGTTTCACCATGTTGGCCAGGCTGGTCTTGAACTCCTGACCTCAGGTGATCCACCCGTCTCAGCCTCCCAAAGTGCTGGGATTACAAATGGGAGCGACGGTGCCTGGCCTTGTGTTTCTTTTCTTTAGAAAAAAAATCTGCTGGGTTTGTTCCAATTTTCCTTAATTGAAGTCCTACAAGTTCTTCAGGGTTTAATCAATCATTCCAGATCAGTTCAACAAATATTTGTAGAGTACTTAAACTACTTTTGTGTCCCAGGCTTTGTTGTGCATACTAGGGATAAAATCAGGAACCAGACATGTCACTATATGATGAATATAATGCTCATTCATTAAATTTAATTAATTAAATTTTCTTATAAATTAATTGAATTTTCTCTATAAGCATTTCCTGATTCCTACCAACTGAAGTGATTTTAGTCATGTTTCAGGGATCTGGAAATTTTCCTGTTATCATAGCCTTTTCATCACCATAGCATTTAATGCGTCCCTCGTGGGCCATAATACATTCATCCTGGTCTGACAGTTTCTTGAGCACGTATGGAATCCTGCAGAAATAAAAACTCCTTGAATGAACAAACTTGTTCTTTCCCATTTTGGTGTCTTCTCCAGAGTCTAGAAATATTGAATCATATTCAATCGAGTATGAAAATCATGAGATATTAAAAAGAATGCATGGGTGAGAACTTAAAACCAGTATGGCTCCAGAAACGAAAGTTGTAATGAAGAAAAAGAATATGTGAAAAATATTTACCTGGAAAAGTGAAAAAGATAAAAAATGAGGTGAATTCAGGAATTAATTACAGCAAGTACTAAGATGGCCGTTTATGGAATTTATGGAACTTGACCTAAGTTAAGGGTAGAAACTAGGTTACCTTTCAAGTCTGAAAATCTGTGTCTTGTAACTACACTCTCTAACCTGGGATTTGTCTAACTCTATAGAATGTAAACTTCATGAGGGTAGGAAGTTTTAACTGCTTTCTTCACTGCTATATTTTCAATGTCGTACTTGATGAATCAGCAAAATTCCACGCTAACCACGCTAGTGTAGTAAAGAAGATCTTAATCTTATGAGGATCAGCTCATGATTCCTGGTTAGCACACCTGTCTCTATTTGTGGTGGGATTAGCTCCTGCCCTCAGATGGAAGCATTTAAAGCTAATCCTGGTGGAGACAGAATGTGGCTCAATTTAGAGTGTATCTTCTCAAGTGTGTTTCCTATTTGATTACTGATTGTTTGGATGGTGTTCACTACCCCTTGCCAATACTTTGTTTTAACCTCAGGTATCTGCCTGTGGCCTTCTTTCTTTCTGGCTTCCTATTTCTTCCATTTCTCTGCTTTCTGACCCTCGCTGGATTTCAGACCACTATGTTTTTCTGCTTTCTGACTCTTGCTGGACTGACCTGGTTTTGGTATGTATTTTTCTTTTGATCCTTTGTTCCATTTTGACCACTTCTTGGTATAGACCAATGTAATGCTTTTTAGTTTTCATTCTCTACATTAGTTCTTTTAGGCCTTCCTTAATTCTCCAATTAATTAACTAAGCATTTACTTAATTTTATTATTTAATTAATTCTTAATTAGTTCTCCTAGGCCTACCTAATCTACTGCCATTCTTGGAAGTGAAATAGCACCAAGTGGAAAGCTAACAGCCAAAGTTATAGAAAATAGCATCATAGTAAATCAAAAAATTGTTAGTTTTGAAAACTTGTGTGAGCAAAATTGGCATTCTCCTTGCTTAGAGGAAATGATGGATTAGATGTGTCGGACATATCAAATGTATAAAATTCAAATATTGAGTGTGGTAAAACATTTATTCAGTACAATGCTCATTCAAAAATTTTCCCAGGATCTCCTTGGGCACATGTGCTGGTTGAAAAAACATTACTGATCATAAATGCTGCATCAGCCTAATATCTGAGCCAAAACATATATTTTTGCAAGAACCCATAAGTCCAAAAAAGGCATACACTTTTGAGAGTATGAATACCTTCCTAACCCTCATATGTCTGGCAAACCTGAGAAAAATAACATAGGAGTACGAGTAATAGATTCTTTATATTGTGTACAAAAATAACAGAGGTAGCAACATATGCGGAATATTCAGACATCCCTATATTGTGGTGATTCTTACCCAGGCTACTTGACTGAAGTGATTGGCCAAATGGCATGAAGAAGACCTTCTGGTATTGTGAGAAATTAAAAGAGATAATGGTGATCTTTAGATGGTTTTCTAATGAAGAACAAATTATATATAAATAATTCAAGTGAATAAAAGAGATCCTATCTAGTAATACTTCTCTTTAAATAAAAAATGTGAGACACATTTGGGTTCATCCTCTCCATCCCCACTTTCAACATTGTTTAGGTGCTTATTTAGTCAAAAACAGTCTCAGGAATTTTCATAATAAACCCAAGTGATTCCTAAGCAACAATTATTGTTTACTGGATAAATTATATAAAATATAAAACTGCTAGTAAACTCTGGGCTGGAATTCTTTAAGTGCATATTTAAGACTTTGAAATACATGAAATTTTGAATCTTTTTTGAACTACACTGCTTGAATGGCCTAGTGTTTAGCATTAAACAAATAAATCAGAAATTTTGTATTTGAAATTAGGCTTGGTGATTTTGTTCATGAACAAAAGTGAAGGTAGTTTAGTATAATGGAAATAGGATGACTTGACTTTACAGGTAACACAACTTGAGTGTTTAGTCCTGGCTTCTGTCACTAAATCATTTGGCTTTGGTCAAATTATTTTATCAGATTCTTTATTTAAAAAGTGAGGCATTTAGACTTTAACTTTACAGATTTTTTTTTTTTTTTGAGACAGACTGTTACTCTGTTGCCCAGGCTGGAGTGCAGTGGTATGGTCTTGGTTCAATGCAACCTCTGCCTCCCAGGTTCAAGCGATTCTCCTTCCTCAGCCTCCCAAGTAGCTGGGATTACAGGCACTTGCCACCACACCTGGCTAATTTTTGTATATTTTTTGTAGAGATGGGGTTTCTCCATGTTGGCCAGGCTGGTCTCAAACTCCTGACCTCAGGTGATCCACCTACCTCAGCCTCCGAAAGTGCTGGAATTACAGGCATGAGCCACTGCAACAGGCTTTTTTTTTTTTTTTTTTTGAGACGGAGTCCCACTCTGTCATCCATACTAAAGTGCAGTGGTGTGATCTCTGCTCACTGCAACCTCCAACTCCCAGGTTCAAGCAATTCTCTTGCCTCAGCCTCCTACATAGCTGGGATTACAGGCGTCCACCACCACACCCAGCTAATTTTTTGTATGTTTTTAGTAGAGATGGGGTTTCTCCATCTTGGCCAGGCTGGTCTCGAACTCCTGACCTCAGGTGATCTGCCTGCCTTGGCCTCCCAAAGTGCTGGGATTACAGGCGTGAGCCACTGTGCCTGGCCTTGGCTGACTATTTAAGAGGGCTCATAAATTTATTTAATCAAAATGAAATGAATACTTAGTATATGCAGGGATTTTGTTGCACTTTATGAAAAAGAAAAATATAATACCAAAACATTATGTCCCAAACACATGAGGGTAATAGCATGCCAATTAATGTGTGATTAACAAAGTACAGAAAACCTTGTTGATCAGTATTCGAGACTTTCATTCTTTCTTTTTGGACCTTGATTTCACTCTCTAGTGAGATGCTGCAAAAATATCATTTCTCTTTTCCAGAGAATCTAGTCCAATTAATGTTATCCTGGGATACTCAGCCTGGTTGTCTAGCACTGCCATGCTTTGCCTGACTTTCATCCCGATAACTAGTCAAGAACGATTGCCAACTCTCTCCTTTTTTACAGTGAGTACCCACACAGGCTATTTTATAAGAATGTTGGATACAGTTCTCTGTTGTGCCTCCTGACCTGGCTAGAAGGTGTATTTTATTATTATTCATTATCCTATTACCTCTGCATTCCCCAAACTTGGTACCTAAACAAGAAATGTTTGTGATTAGTTACTCAATGACTATGAGGATTTTAGATTTGTTAAGCCCATATCACACACAACAATATTTAAACTATCTTGTGTACTTTTGAAGTCCAGTAAGGTCATAGAAAATATATATTATATATATGTATATATTATATATGTGTGTATATTATACATGTATTCTATCTATCTATCTATCTATCTATCTATCTATCTATCTATCTATCTATCTCTAGGAAGAATGTTAAAAATGAAGTCCAGGCCAGGCATGGTGGCTCAAGCCTGTAATCCTAGCACTTTGGGAGGACAAGGCAGATGGATCACTTGAGGTCAGGAGTTTGAAACCAGCCTGGCCAACATGGTGAAACCCTGTCTCTACTAAAAATACAAAAAAGTTAGCTGGGTGTGGTGGTGGGCACCTGTAATCCCAGGTACTTGGGAGGCTGAGGCAGGAGAATAGCTTGACCCCAGGAGGTGGAGGTCAAGTGAGCAGAGATCACGCCACTGCACTCCAGCCTGGGTTACAGAGGGAGACTTCATCTCAAAAAAAAAAAAAAAAAAAAAAAAATGAAGTCCAATCCGCATCCATTTTACAAATGAGAAAACTGGCATTAAGTGACTTATTGAAGTCCAAAGCAAGTTAGTGATAGAACAAAATGTGCCCCAGTAATAGGTTTTGTTAAAAGCAACCTTAATATGAAAGATCATCTCTATATCACCTGTTATGTACCAGGAATTGTTGTAGGAACTTTATTTGAATTATCTCATTTAATCCTCATAATATCCTCTTGTGCGTATTTTACAAATTAGGAAACTGGAGTATAGAGAAGAGAGATTTATCCAAGGTTACATATCTAGGAAACAACAGAGCTAGGATTTGAAACCAGTGAGACCCTAGAGTTCTTGTTGTTAGTTGCTTGCTACCTCTTCGCTGCTGCAGATATAAAACAATCCTTATTATACTTTAAGCCTTGTGTCGTTTCCTTTAATATTTATAGTGAAAATTATTTTATATTTTTATTGAAGCTTTATTTAAATTTTAAATTGTGTTCGTAGTTTTGTCTTCAAATATACATATCACATTGGATTTCTGACTCGGCTGAACTCCTAGTCAAATCCTATTTTGCAGAATATAGTAGTTATAGAGTTATAAAATATGTATGTACTAAATGAAAATTATCTAGGTTAGAATACTACTTTCTTGTAAATAGCTTTAAAACATGCAATTACTCTATAACACAAGTACAAACATCTATGGATACAAAATCTCCATTAAAGATTGGAGTACTTGTTCTGTGAGTTACTAGGAAAAAACTGAAAAAAAAAAGTGGTATACTAACTTGCCAAGAAGTAAATTAGATAAATAATTGTAGGTGTGTGCTTTTACATCTGCACCCTTTCTTACTAAAATCAGAGCTACGCGTTGAAGTTACTTCCTTTTTAAAAGCGTGTAAACCAGCACATATGGATCCAATTACTTCATTTTCTGTAGCGTTCTAATGACAGTTACTTCTACCAATTTCAGCCAGTCTGCCAGATCTTTGTATGCAAACTGAAGGATGGCTTCTCTAACTGACCCTTTGTCCTTTCAGAAGCAGCCAATCAGTAGCAGATGCAGTGGGGTGAGTGGTGCATGATGTGTGTGTGTGTGTCTTGTGTGTGCGTGTGAAGAAAAATGTCTATGGTAATCAACTCATTTGAAAAGTAAAAGAATAGAGTGGGAAGTAAAAAAAGGAAAAATGGGAAGATGTAGAAAGAGAATGAGAACTAGAGGGAGCAAGACAAAGGGAAAGCTATAAAGAGGGAGCTTGGGTGTGAAGGAATTTCAATGACTTCTTTTATTTGTTTACTTTTGGGAAGATCTGTTTTGCAAATTTAATTCCCACACAACAAAATTGCTCCTGGTAAAATGTAACACTAAAGTAATACCAATTTAAATGCATTTAAGGAAGTTGTAATGCTAGAATGACAATCTCATGGGAATAATTGAAATTTTGAAAATACTTTGCTAGTCATTTCATCACACCTCAGCATGAGAGGCAAAGAAGATAGTTAACATATCAATGTTTCTTCATGATTATAGCAAAGGACAACGGAATGTTATTTTTCTTTAAATCTCACCTTAAAGTTGACAAAGGAGATCAACCTCTTCCCTTGATGTTTTCTATTGAATCTCTGCT
Organism: Homo sapiens; assembly: GCF_000001405.40. Lineage (NCBI taxonomy): Eukaryota > Metazoa > Chordata > Mammalia > Primates > Hominidae > Homo > Homo sapiens. The sequence goes on along the minus strand of NC_000004.12, from coordinate 164,866,762 downwards.
CTCTTTCGGATTCTTTTTTAGTCTCATTTATTTTTTTCATCTGATGCAGCATAATTTATATTAGAAAAGAGAATGGAAGGAAAACTTCAACACAAAGCTACTAAGGAGATGGCTGTATCCTCTACCCCTTTGGAGACGATATTCTTTTACTTTTGATAATTTTTCAATGCTACGTACAGGTTGAAGAAACTTTTCCTAAATTAGCAATGAAGCTCTATAACAACATAATTGTAATCAGAGAGGAGGTGCCCAAAGAAAAATAATGTGTACTCTACCTTAAGAATAAGATCAGAGGGAACCACATACTTATATTCTCTGAGGAGCATTTTTATGAGTTAAACAAGCACTAGAATTTTATAGTTGAAACCTGCAACATCGTAACATTATCCCAACAGATTGTCTATAACCTCGAAGTGTTTAGTTTGTATATATTCTTACAGGAAGTTATATGACATAATGGGTGCATTTGATTATAGGAATAGGACAAACTATTTTTATAGAGGCAAGTCTAGTAAGTAGAGTCCGCATTTAACAGAAGTAGTTTTATTACACATATTTAAAATTCAAGCATAAAATCCTTTCCACAGTCATAAGCATCTTTTCAACACTTGACTGTTTCCTGTGAAATGTATTTACCCTCATAATAGTTCTAGTAAACAGACCCTGTGATTTGGGTGGCTTGAGCCCATCCTGGCTCTTCAGCCAAGATGACAAATTTATAAATCCATTTTAATCACATCATCATTTAGCAAATGTTTTATTTCTGTATCTAAATTTACATGTCTACCTGAATCTAAGATTTTATGCTTATCACGGTTATGGAGAGAACATCTCTTCCTAAATTGTGAGCAAGTGATCCTAGAAGAATAAAGTGCTTGCTAAGGACCAGCCATGACTTACACTTCTGATGAGAGTAAAAGAGCTGATTTGGTTCCAAGTTATTCACTAAGGTGGCATTTTTATTTTAGGTATTCACCTTTGTTTACCTTAATACATTTAATGTATGGCGCACATAGTGGGTTTATAATTTAGTCTCTTTTTTGGAATGGATCAGACATAGTTTTTTGTTTTTTTTTTTTTTGTTTTTGAGATGGAGTAAGCCTGTTGCCCAGGCTGAGGTGCAGTGGTATGAACTTGGCTCACTGCAACTTCCACCTCCAGGGTTCAAGCAATTCTCCTGCCTCAGCCTCCCAAGTGACTGGGATTACAGGTGCCTACCACCGCGCCTCACTAATTTTTGTATTTTTCGTAAAGACAAGGTTTCACCATGTTGGCCAGACTAGTCTTGAACTCCTGACCTCAAGGGATCCATCCGCCTCGGCCTCCCAAAGTGCTAGGATTGCAGGGATGAGACACTGCATTGGGCCTAGACATAGTTCTTAATGTTCCATGTAACACCCCTTTAACCTTGAAAGAATCTTGGCCAGGTGCAGTGGTTCATGCCTGTAATCTCAGCACTTTGGGAGGCCGAGATGGGAGAATCACTTGAGTTCAAGAGGTTGAAACCAGCCTAGGCAACATGTTGAGACCTTATCTCTATTTAGATTAAAATAAAATTAAAAGAGAGCGAGAGAGAGAAAGAGACCTCATCTCTACAAAAAAATAAAAAAAATAAAAAATAGCCAAGAGTTGTGCCTTGTGCTTGTAGTCCCGGCTACTCAGGAGGCTGAGGCAGGAGGATGGCTTGAGCCCAGGAGGCAGAGGTTGCAGTGAGCCATGAACACACCACTGCACCACAGCCTGGGTGACAGAGCAAGACCCTGTCTCCAAAAAAAAAAAAAGTTTTCATTCTTGCTGTATACATTGTGATGAATACCACAAACATTAAAGAGCACTTTTTGTTCTTCATTGTTGTGGTTATTGTTTTTGGTGTGCTCCAAGTTATTTTTGGTGGCTTCATCCAAAAGTGGATGAAGATTCTTAGATAGATCTTTTTTTTCTCTCACAACTCTATTTCAGGCTTAAATTGTTCATTTCGGTGTCAAGTATAAGTCACTAATGAGGGAGGGAAAGTGATTGAAATTTGGATTGCTCTAAAAGAATGTTATTTAAATAATTTTAAACACTTTCTTTCATACATATTCAAGTGATTTATTTTAAAAAATAGGTAATCTTTTCAAGACCACTTTGCTTCAAACATTTCATAACCATCATAATATTTACCTTTTCTGCCATTTTACCGCCTTGCTTTATTTTTTCCCCTCTTACTTGAACTACCCTCTAAGTAGCATGGTAAATACTATACTTTCCATTCTTCTTCTTCTTCTTCTTCTTCTTCTTCTTCTTCTTCTTCTTCCTCTTCCTCTTCCTCTTCCTCTTCCTCCTCCTCCTCCTCCTCCTCCTCCTCCTCTTCTTCTTCTTCTTCCTCTTCCTCTTCCTCTTCCTCTTCTTCTTCTTCTTCTTCTTCTTCTTCTTCTTCTTCTTCGTCTTCTTCTTCTTCTTCTTCTTCTTTTCTTTGAGATAGAGTCTTGCTCTGTTGCCCAGGCTGGAGTGCAGTGGCACCATCTCAGCTCACTGCAACCTCCACCTCCCAGGTTCAAGCGATTCTTCTACTTCAGCCTCCCAAGTAACTGGGACTACAGCCGTGTGCCACCAAGCCTTGCTAATTTTGGTATTTTTAGTACAGACAGGGTTTCACCATATTGGCCAGGCTGGTCTTGAACTCCTGACCTTGTGATCCTCCAGCCTTGGCCTCCCAAAGTGCTGGGATTACAGGCATGGAATTACAGGTATTACCACCATACCTGGTCATATATTCCATTTTTCTTTTTTTTTTATACTTTAAGTTTTAGGGTAAATGTGCACAACATGCAGGTTTGTTACATAAGTATACATGTACCATGTTGGTGTGCTGCACCCATTAACTCGTCATTTAACATTAGGTATATCTCCTAATGCTATCCCTCCCCCCTCCCCCCACCCCACAACAGTCCCTGGTGTGTGATGTTCCCCTTCCTGTGTCCATGTGTTCTCATTGTTCAATTCCCACCTATGAGTGAGAACATGCGGTGTTTGTTTTTTTTGTCCTTGCGATAGTTTGCTGAGAATGATGGTTTCCAGCTTCGTCCATGTCCCTACAAAGGACATGAACTCGTCACTTTTTATGGCTGCATAGTATTCCATGGTGTATATGTGCCACATTTTCTTAATACAATCTATCATTGTTGGACATTTGGGTTGATTCCAAGTCTTTGCTATTGTGAATAGTGCTGCAATAAACATACGTGTGCAAGTGTCTTCATAGCAGCATGTTTTATAATCCTTTGGGTATATACCCAGTAATGGGATGGCTGGGTCAAATGGTATTTCTATTTCCAGATCCCTGAGGAATCGCCACACTGACTTCCACAATGGTTGAACTAGTTTACAGTCCCACCAACAGTGGAAAAGTGTTCCTATTTCTCCACATCCTCTCCAGCACCTGTTGTTTCCTGACTTTTTAATGATTGCTATTCTAACTGGTGGGATATGGTATCTCATTGTGGTTTTGATTTGCATTTCTCTGATGGCCAGTGATGATGAGCATTTTTTCATGTGTCTTTTGGCTGCATAAATGTCTTCTTTTGATAAGTGTCTGTTCGTATCCTTTGCCCACTTGTTGATGGGGTAGTTTGTTTTTTTCTTGTAAATTTGCTTGAGTTCATTGTAGTTTCTGGATATTAGCCCTTTGTCAGATGAGTAGATTGCAAAAATTTTCTCCCATTCTGTAGGTTGCCTGTTCACTCTGATGGTAGTTTCTTTTGCTGTGCAGAAGCTCTTTAGTTTAATTAGATCCCATTTGTCACTTTTGGCTTTTGTTGCCATTGCTTTTGGTGTTTTAGACATGAAGTCCTTGCCCATGCCTATGTCCTGAATGGTATTGCCTAGGTTTTCTTCTAGGGTTTTTATGGTTTTAGGTCTAACATTTAAGTCTTTAATCCATCTTGAATTAATTTTTGTATAAGGTGTAAGGAAGGGATCCAGTTTCAGCTTTCTGCATATGGCTAGACCGTTTTCCCAGCACCATTTATTAAATAGGGAATCCTTTCCCCATTTCTTATTTTTGTCAGGTTTGTCAAAGATCAGATAGTTGTAGATATGTGGTATTATTTCTGAGTGCTCTGTTCTGTTCCATAGGTCTATATCTCTGTTTTGGTACCAGTACCATGCTGCTTTGCTTACTGTAGCCTTGTAGTATAGTTTGAAGTCAGGTAGCATGATGCCTCCAGCTTTGTTCTTTTGGCTTTGGATTGACTTGGCAATGTGGGCTCTTTTTTGGTTCCATATGAAAACTTTAAAGTAGTTTTTTCCAATTCTGTGAAGAAAGTCATTGGTAGCTTGATGGGGATGGCATTGAATCTATAAATTACCTTGGGCAGTATGGCCATTTTCACAATATTGATTCTTCCTACCCATGAGCATGGAATGTTCTTCCATTTGTTTGTATCCTCTTTTATTTCATTGAGCAGTGGTTTGTAGTTCTCCTTGAAGAGGTCCTTCACATCCCTTGTAAGTTGGGTTCTGAGGTATTTTATTCTCTTTGAAGCAATTGTGAATGGGAGTTCACTCATGATTTGGCTCTCTGTTTGTCTGTTATTGGTGTATAAGAATGCTTGTGATTTTTGCACATTGATTTTGTATCCTGAGACATTGCTGAAGTTGCTTATCAGCTTAAGGAAATTTTGGGCTGAGACGATGGGGTTTTCTAAATATACAATCATGTCATCTGCAAACAGGGACAATTTGACTTCCTCTTTTCCTAATTGAATACCCTTTATTTCCTTCTCCTGCCTGATTGCCCTGGCCAGAACTTCCAACACTATGTTGAATAGGAGTGGTGAGAGAGGGCATCCCTGTCTTGTGCCAGTTTTCAAAGGGAATGCTTCCAGTTTTTGCCCATTCAGTATGATGTTGGCCGTGGGTTTGTCATAGATAGCTCTTATTATTTTGAGATACATCCCATCAATACCTAATTTATTGAGAGTTTTTAGCATGAAGGATTGTTGAATTTTGTCAAAGGCCTTTTCTGCATCTATTGAGATAATCATGTGGTTTTTGTCGTTGGTTCTGTTTATATGCTGGATTACGTTTATTGATTTTCCTATGTTGAACCAGCCTTGCATCCCAGGGATGAAGCCCACTTGATCATGGTGGATAAGCTTTTTGATGTGCTGCTGGATTCGGTTTGCCAGTATTTTATTGAGGATTTTTGCATTGATGTTTATCAGGGATATTGGTCTAAAATTCTTTTTTTTTGTTGTGACTCTGCCAGGCTGTGGTATCAGGATGATGCTGGCCCCATAAAATGAGTTAGGGAGGATTCCCTCTTTTTCTATTGATTGGAATAGTTTCAGAAGGAATGGTAACAGCTCCTCCTTGTCTCTGGTAGAATTCGGCTGTGAATCCATATGGTCCTGGACTTTTTTTGGTTGGTAAGCTATTAATTATTGCCTCAATTTCAGAGCCTGTCATACATTCCATTTTTCTAACTGGTGGTTAATATTAGGTCTCCCTGGCCGGGCACAGTGGCTCACGCCTGTAATCCCAGCACTTTGGGAGGCTGAGGCGGGCAGATCACCTGAGGTCAGGAGTTCAAGGTCATTCTGAACAGCATGGTGAAACCCCGTCTCTACTAAAGATACAAAGTTAGCCGGGCGTGGTGGCACATGCCTCTAATCCCAGCTACTCCGGAGGCTGAGGCAGGAGAATCGCTTGAACCTGGGAGGTGTAGGTTGCGGTGAGCTGAGATCGTGCCATTGCACTCCAGCCTGGGCAACAAGAGCAAAACTCCGTCTCAAAAAAAAAAAAAAAAAAAAAAAAAAAGATTAGGTTTCCCTAATGCCAAACATATGGATGAACACTGGAATTTTAATTTAAAAACAACCGGACATTTTATAGCTCTTAAAAGAACAGGGCAAACCTACTTCCTCTGTGAATCTAGATACTTGCTTTTGCATTGTTTCAGACCATGGCTGGCCTCATTAGTTTCTTTTGGTAGAATGATATAGAACTGCAGAATATTCTGCCACCTTTATTTTTATTTATTTATTATTATTTTTTCTTATTTATTTATTTATTTATTTATTTATTTTGAGACGGAGTCTCGCTCTGTCACCCAGGCTGGAGCGCAGTGGCGTGATCTCAGCTCACTGCAACCTCCGACTCCCTGGTTCAAGTGATTCTCCTGCCTCAGCCTCCCAAGCAGCCTGGACTACAGGCATACACCACCACGCCCAGTTAATTTTTGTATTTTTAGTAGAGACAGGGTTTCACCATGTTGGCCAGGATGATCTCAATCACCTGACCTCGTGATCCGCCCCCCTCGGCCTCCCAAAGTGCTGGGATTACAGGCGTGAGCCACCGCGCCCGGCCTATTTATTTATTTCTGAGGTAGAGTTTCACTCTTGTTGCCCAGGCTGGAGTGCAATGTCACGACCTCAGCTCACTGCAACCTCCACCTCCCTGGTTGAAGCGACTCTCCTGCCTCAGCCTCCTGGAGTAGCTGGGATTACAGGCGCCTGCCTCTATTCCCAATAATTTTGTATTTTCAGTATAGACGGGGTTTCACCAAGTTGGTCAGTCTGGTCTTTAACTCTTTCTTTTTCTTTTTTTTTTGTTTGAGACAGAGTCTCCCTCTGTCATCCAGGCTGGAGTGCAGTGGCAGATCTCGGCTCACTGCAACCTCCGCCCCTCAGGTGCAAGCGATTCTCCTGCTTCAGCCTCCCAAGTAGCTGGGGTTACAAGTGTTCACCACCACACCCAGCTAATTTTTTTTGTATTTTTAGTAGTGACGGGGTTTCACCATGTTGGCCAGGCTGATCTTGAACTCCTGACCTCAGGTGATCCACCCGCCTCGGCCTCCCAAAGTGCTGGGATTACAGGCTTCAGCCACTGTGCTCGGCCAGTCTTGAACTCTTGACCTCAGGTGATCAGCCCGCCTCGGCCCCCTGAAATGCTGGGATTACAGGCATGAGTCACTGCACCCGGCCTATTCTGCCACCTTTAGAGCCTCTTCCTCCTTAACAGTTCAGAAAATGAAGAGACAAGTTTTTTGAAGGGCGGTGGGCATTAAGATTGAGTGTAGTATATTCATATTCACAATGTTAATTTTACACATACCTTATGCTTCTTTATAATAAGGAGATTTTAGACATTCTGTTTGCAATCTTTGCTTTTGTTTTTATGGATTAACATATTTTATATCTTAAAAATTTTGAACTTGGTCTATCATGTGAAATTCTAGTCTCTGCTTTCAGAAGACTGTATGTTTAAAGTGACATGAAAAATTGCTAGTGAAAAAGTGGGCACTCTATCATTTAACATGATAACATTTAGAATTTTTTTTGTTGAGACAGGGTATCTCCTTGTCACCCAGGCTGGAATGCAATGGCATGATCATGGCTCACTGAAGCCTAGACCTCCTGGGTTCAAGCAATCCTCCTGCCTCAGCCTCTGGAGTAGCTAGGACGACAGGTACACACCACCACACACCTAAATAATTTTTATTTTATTTTATTTTATTTTTTTGAGACGGAGTCTCCCTTTGTCACCCAGGCTGGAGTGCAGTGGCACGATCTCGGCTCACTGCAATCTCCACCTCCCGGGTTCACGCCATCCTCCAGACTCAGCCTCCTGAGTAGCTGGGACTACAGGTGCCTGCCACCATGCCCGGCTCATTTTTTTGTATTTTTAGTAGAGATGAGGTTTCACCATGTTAGCCAGGATGGTCTCTATCTCCTGACATTGTGATCCGCCCGCCTCGGCCTCCCAAAGTGCTGGGATTACAGGCATGAGCCACCGCACCCGGCCACACCTAGCTAATTTTTAAATTTTTTGTAGAAATGAGGTTTCACTACACTGCCTAGGCTGATCTTGAACTCCTTAGCTCAAGTGATCCTCCTGCCTCTGCCTCCCAAAGTGCTGGGATCACAGGCATGAACCACTGCGCCTGGCCTCTTGCTTTATATTAATGAAATATTTTGCATCACTAAGGTTATCTAAACTAACTCAAAGTTGAATATATTACTTTCTAAAATAATTTTCTTATTAGTGATCATATTCTAACAGTATTTTTATATTACAAATAGTGGAATCGTATTAAAACATTCAGAAGAAGGCCATGAAAAACTTTTAATACTGTTAGAGAATTGTAAAATTTTGAAGTCTAAAGATTGATAGGGACCTGACAGGTTTCTAGATAAACATTCTTCTGATACTTGCATCTCATTACTAAGTAGTTTCGAAAACTGAACTCTTGCTATTCTACATAGAATGTTACACACATTGAGATTGGTTGTAAAACCTTTTAACCACTTGAAATTATAAAAGTCTAAATTTTTTTTATTTATGATTTTTACAAAGCTAAAACATGGTCTTATTTGTATCATGAATACTCAAATGTTTTATTGCAATTATAAGTCTAATTACATTTAAATTAATATATTATTTAAAAGCAAATTTAATTTCTATCAGTCTATCAGAATTTCAGTTTCAGATTTAGTCAATATTTATCCAATGAACAGAGATAATACTTTCATACTGATGATTTTTAAATTTCTGTAAATATTTCTATTGATAAATTTAGTTTACTTTTTTTTTTTTTTTTTTGAGACGGAGTCTCACTCTGTTGCCCAGGCTGGAGTGCAGTGGCACAGTTTCAGCTCACTGCAAACTCCACCTCCTGGGTTCCAGCCATTCTCCTGCCTCAGCCCCCTGAGTAGCTGGTATTACCAGAGCCCGCCACCATACTTGGCTAGTTTCTTTTGTATTTTTAGTAGAGACGGGGTTTCACCATGTTGGCCAGGCTGGTCTTGAACTCCTGACCTAAAGTGATCCGCCTGCCTCGGCCTCCCAAAGTGCTGGGATTACACGTGTGAGCCACCTCTCCCGGCCTAGTTTACCTATCTGCTTTAAAGAGTAGCTCAAGGATAGCTAGTTTGCACAAGAACTACTGTCTACCCCTACAGAGCCAAATAGGAAGGGAAAAAAGCTACTAAGTAGTTTACGAATAACTGTTGCCTGACTACTTGTACTACTAATACAGTTTGCAAAAATCACTATTCTGCATTCCTTCCCCAAATTATATATATATGTGTGTGTGTATATATATAGTTTGTATGTTTTTGAGATGGAGTTTTGCTCTAGTTGCCCAGGCTAGAGAGCAATGGCACCATCTCGTCTCACTGCAACCTCTGCCTCCCAGGTTCAAGTGATTCTCGGCTGCCTCAGCCTCCTGAGTAGCTGGGGTTACAGGCATGTGCCACCACACCCGGCTAATTTTTTTACTTTTAGTAGAGACGGGGTTTCTCCATGTTGGTCAGGCTGGTCTTGAACTCCTGACCTCAGGTGATCTGCCCACCTTGGCCTCCCAAAGTGCTGGGATTACAGGTGTGAGCAACAGTGCCTGGCCTCCCCAATATATTTAAGTGGACTTGTGCTAATATAATTAGTAATGTGCCAAGAACAGCGCATTGTCTCAGGTTAGGAGTGAAGCTCAGATGATTGCTAGGTATGGCCCAGATGACTGTTTCCCAAGTTCTCATATAGGTGGGTGGTAGCAAGATTCTTTCTGCTCTCAAATGCCCACAACTGTTGATTAATGAAAGGTGATAACTTTTTTTTATCTCCACACCAATGATTTTTCCATCTCCTTTCTGGGAGTGGGAATTGATCAAATACTAAGTAGTCCCTCTTGAACACAGATTAAGACCTAATATTTTCAACATCAATATACTATTAGTAAGTGCTGCTCTTCAAGTGGGATATTCCATGGGATACATTGATTGATAAATAAGAATGCCAACATGACATCATGGACTGACAGCAACCAAGGGCTTAACAAGCAAATGTACTTTCCTAATTATACAATTATAAGACAATGACTTACCAAAGATGCCACAGCTTTGTGGGCAGTTAAAGCAATGTCCCAGATATTATTTGGAGGGAAAATACACTTCATTGTTAACAAACATTTTAATTTAAAACATGGCAACCATTTACCAGGTCCATGGTATGTGAGAACACCTTGAAGGCATACATTCTTCTACAATATCCACCACATTAGGAGGTAGAAACTATTGTTGCTCCATTTTACTGGAGGAACAGTGCAATTGAACCACAGAAAGGTTAATAACTTGGCTGTCCTCAGAGGGATGAGTCAGAGTCAGAATTAGAACCTGGATTCCACATTGCTATCCACTGTACTAGCCTGCAGTTCCCAACTATGTAGGTGGTTTACCATAGGAACATTATTCTCAGCACACTTCCGCTATGCTAGACATGTACAAACAATGAATAAACATTAGAAATATCAAAATTTTAAAAAAAATGTGTCATGAGCTCAGATAAAATGGGGAATTCCTCAGGAGGTAGAAGGGTAAAGAAGAAAAAATGGCTTAAAGATTGCCTAAGCAAGGTGAAAAAACGGCACACACAGCATGAACTCAATTTGGTAACAAAAACAAGAAACAGACAAACGAAAACTCTCTCTCTATGTATTTATATACATTTTTGTTGTTGTTGTTTTGAGATGGAGTCACCTCACCTGGCCCTATATATTCTTAAAAATTGGAAGGAGATGTACCATTTTATTGTCATTATCAGTGGTTATCTCTATGTAGTAGAATTATAAGTGCTGTTTCTTCTTCGAGATTTTTGTGTTACCTGCAGACAGCATGTATTGCTTTTGTGATTTAAAATAATTAGTGGAGACTGGGCGCAGTGGCTCATGCCTGTAATCCCAGCATTTCAGGAGGCCAAGGTGGGCGGATCACCTGAGGTCAGGAGTTCGAGACCAGCTTGACCAACATGGTGAAATCCTGTTTCTACCAACAATACAAAAATTAGCTGGGTGTGGTAGTGGGCACCTGTAATCCCAGCTACTTGGGAGCTGAGGCAGGAGGATCGCTTGAACCCGGGAGGCAGATGTTGCAGTGAGCCAAGATTATGCCACTGCACTCCAGCCTGGGCGATAGAGCGAGACTTTGTCTCAAAAAAAAAAAAAAAAAAAAAATAGTGTATCATTGTTGAAACTTGGGATTTATTATACTAAATTTTGTTTGTTTATTTCAAAAACACTTATTAGTTTTGAAATAATTTTAGATAATACAAATTATTTGAAACACAGACCAAAACTATGGCTGGGGCTTGTTGGGGTATAAGTGTGGCTGAGTGAGCAGCAGGAATATGCTTATAGAAAAGAGTCTCTTCTCGAGAAAAGATTCTGTTGAGTCCCAGAAGCAAAGTCTTAAATGATGAGAAGTATTTTGGATAGATTTCCCACTCAAAGTCAAATATGGCACAAATTCCTTCTGAGTCCTTTGTAGTCTGTCTTTTGCCTATCTGTCTGTTGTAACCTCCTACTCCTCCTCTTCCTTTGCTATGTTCCAGTCTTGTGAAACCCACACATACAGTATTTGCACCTGTTCTTCCCACTTCATGGGATTATCTTCCCCAAATCTTCACATGGACAGATTTTCTTTCTGGTCTCAGCCACTCTCTCTTGTTAAATTCTCTCATATTATTGTTTTCTTCTTCTTCTTCCTTCTTCTTCTTCTCCTTCTCCTTCTTCTTCCTCTATTTTGAGACGGAGTTTCACTCTTCTTGCCCAGGCTGGAGTACAATGGTGCAATCTCAGCTCACTGCAACCTCTGTCTCCTGGGTTCAAGCGATTCTCCTGCCTCAGCCTCCCAAGTAGCTGGGACTACAGGCATGTGCCACCACGCCTGGCTAATTTTGTATTTTTAGTAGAGACGGGGTTTCTCCATGTTGGTCAGGCTGGTCTCGAACTCCCGACCAATGGTAATCCGCCCGCCTCAGCCTCCCAAAGTGCTGGGACTACAGGCGTAAGCCACCGCACCCAGCTGTTATTACTGTTTTCTTATCTTGGGAACATTTAATAAAGGTTACAATTCTTTGTATGTATTTGTTTAATGTTGGTGGTCTCTCTCCATTAGAATATAAACTCTGTGAAAGTGGAGATGTTGGCCAGGCATGGTGGCTCACACCTCTAATCCCAGCATTTTGGGAGGCTGAGGCGGGCGGATCATCTGAGGTCAGGAGTTGGAGACCAGCCTGGCCAACATGGTGAAAACTCGTTTCTACTAAAAATACAAAAATTAGCCCCATGTGGTGGCGGGCGCCTGTAACCCCAGCTGCTCGGAAGGCTGAGGCAGGAGAATCGTTTGAACCTGGGAGGCGGAGGTTGCAGTGAGCCAAGATAGCACTATTGCATTCCAGCCTGGGTGTTGCAGCAAGTCTCTTTCTCAAAAAAAAAAAAAAAAAAAAAAAAATGGAGATGTTGTCTCTTGTGCTCATCACTCTGTCCATAGACTCTAGAATACTGCCTGATACATAGCAAGCAGTCAAGAAATACTTGATGAATAATTGAATGAATGTAAAGATGGCCTCTGAATGAGCTGGACTTCAAAATGCATCTGGGTGTGAAGAAATGGGTTTGAAGACTTAGCTATCACTCAGGAAACCCTCCTACTTTTGCTATAATATTGAATGATAATACTTTACCCTTTGCTCATAAATACTAACCTTTGTAAGTTCAAAAAGCCTAACTCCAAATAACAAAATATAAATAAGTTATAGATGCATATGAAGGAACTAATGAACTTATAGTAGTCATAAGGCAAAGAAATGTTGAAGGGCAAAGAACAAATGGAAGATAATTTAACATTTCTGCAAAAACAGCTAATGTTTGGGAGCCTTTACCGTACTAGAAAATGATATTTTCCAGAATAACTTCAATCTGACTTGTATCTGCTTCTATATTTTGACTACCCATGCTACAAACCATTTTTATGGCTCAACTACATTAAGTTCAGGGGTGTTTATATTGTTATGTGGTTGAGAAGTTATTTTTCTTATTTGATGAAATAATCTAATTTGCACAGCCTCCAGACAAAGGTTAAGAGTTAAAATCCAAGAGGACACTGTCACTGTCCACACAGAACAGAAAATGTAGCCCAGGGCTGACTGGTAGGAAAGACCTGCCTGGTGGGTCACAAAATGCCACACAGATTGAACCATTCAAATGTCTTGTCCGCTCCCTTTATGTCCAGAGAACCAGAAAACAACCACCAACTGGCAAAGTTCACCTCAAGATTAATGACTGGTAGATTTAATTTATGCAAATGTATAAGCTTCAATCCATGTGCTTTACAAATTAGATTAATAGTATCTATTTTGGAGATTTTATAAACTCTGGGAAATTAAAACACCTTGGTCTGAAGGCATCAATTATTACTTTGAGTTAAAAACTATATCCAGGTTTTCAAGATAATAAACTCACAGAAGGGGTATTGAAAAGGCCAGCTCTTACATATTATTTTTATTTTCTTTGAAGTCTTAAACAGGAGGAAGGGTTTTAATTCAATTGCAGTTGGCCTTTAGAATCCCTGGGTTTCACATCCCCAGTTCAACCAATGGAAATATTTGGGAAAAAATTACAAAATAACAATAAAAATGATAATAATAATACAATGTAACTAATTTACATAGACTTTACATTGTGTTAGGTATTATAAGTAATCTAGAGATGATGTAAAGCATACAGGGGGGTGTGCATAGGTTATATAAAAATACTACATCATTTTTTCTATATTGCCCAGGTTGAACTTGAACTCCTGGGCTCAGCAATCCTCTCTCCTCAGCCTTCCAAATATCTGGAACTATGGGCCTGGCCCACCATGCCCAGCTTACTACCTCATTTTATATAAGAAACTTGAGGATCCACAGATTTTGGTATCCATGGGGGTCCTGGAACCGATTCCCCATGGATACCAAGAGACCATTGTATTACTGTGTCATGTTGGCAAAACTGCCTGTATTATCTTTCATGAAAGTTGCCTGAACCAAAAGAATAGTCAAATATGTGATGTATGACAGTTATTTACCTTAATAGTTTGGCACTACCACCCCCAACCAAGATCATTTGAGTCTTCTTTCAGATCTGGAAATTTTAAACCATAGATCCTTCCTTTCCTCTTTCCTTCCCTCCCTCCCTCCCTCTCTCCCTCCCTCTCTCCCTTCCTTCCTTTCCTCTTTCCTTCCTTTCTTCCTTCCTTCCCTCCTTCCTTCTTTCCTTTTTTTCCTTCCTTCATCCCTTCCTTCCTTCCTTTTATCCTTCCTTCCTTTTTTCCTTCCTTCCTTCCTTCCTTCCTTCCTTCCTTCCTTCCTTCCTTCCATTTTTTCAAGATAGGATCTCACTCTGTTGCCCAGGCTGGAGTGCAGTGGTGTTATCTTGGCTCACTGTGACCTCTGTCTCCCAGGCTCAAGTGATCCTCCCACCTGAGCCTCCCAAGTAGCTGGAACTACAGGTGTGCACCACCACACCCAACTAATTTTTGTATTTTTTTTTTTTTTTTTTTTTTTTGTAGAGATGGGGTTTCATTATGTTTCCCAGGCTGGTCCTGAACTCCTGGGCTCAAGTGATTCACCCGTCTTGGCTTCCTAAAGTGCTGGGATTACAGGTGTGAGCCACCACACCTAGCCAACCATAGATCTTTCTGCACCCACTCCAAATTTAAGTCTCATGTAGAAGAAGTATGAGGAAGAAGAAAAAGTGACTCATAATCCCACCACTTAAAGACAGCCACTGTAATTTTTTTTTTTTTGAGACAAAGTTTTGCTCTTGTTGCCCAGGCTGGAGCACAATGGCTCGATCTCTGCTCACTGCAACTTCCGCCTCCCAGATTCAAGCCATTCTCCTGTCTCAGCCTCCCAAGTAGCTGGGATTACAGGTGCCTGCCACCACACCTGGCTAATTTTTGTATTTTAGTAGAGATGGGTTTCATCATGTTGGTCAGGCTGGTCTCAAACTCCTGACCTCAGGTGATCTGCCTGCCTCGGCCTCCCAAAATGCTGGGATTACAGGTGTGAGCCACTGCGCCCAGACATGAATATCTATTGACTATCCCTTCTCTTCTTTAAAAATATTTTCTCCTATTCTTCTCATCCTAATGTTGCCCTTTATCTTCTAATAAAAATATCTCACTACACACTTTATGATTGATGTGTTAATCTATCATTTTATACACTAGAAAGGTGTCAGGCATAAGAATGTAGACATGAGACTCGGTTTCATCGGGGGGTGGGGAAGACTGGAAAATAAAGTGAAAGTAAGAAAATAACAACTAAATACAAGTGGAAAAAAGAATTAGGGATGTACCACTAATAAAAATATTTAAAAAAAATTGTGCCAAGCTTCTGGATGCTTCTCTTTTTTTAAATCATCAGTCAGAATTAATTTATAAAGTAAATATTCTTCTATGAAATTGTATACTCCAAATTAGGGCAACATGTCATATTCCTCTCTAGAGAGAGACACAAAAACTTGGGAAAGGTAAAAATATTCCCCCTAATTAATGGACTTGTTTTGGGAAGTAATCCACGTTTTGTGCACACTCTATGGTAAAGGAATTAAGAAAGGACATTTAATGGTTTCCAGCTAATCAAAAGTGGCACTTAGATTTATTATAGAGGACCAGTGTTCAACTTCTTACCAATTTTCACTTGTGTATAAAAATAGAAGCTGCAGCTGGGTGCAGTTGCTCACGCCTGTAATCCCAGCACTTTGGGAGACCGAGGATGGCGGATCACCTGAGGTCAGGAGTTTGAGATCAGCCTGGCCAACATGGTGAAACCCCATATCTACTAAAAATACAAAAATTAGCTGGGCTTGGTGGTGCGTGCCTGTAATCCCAGCTACTCAGGAGGCTGAGACAAGAGAATTGCTTGAACACGGGAGGCGGAGGTTGCAGTGAGCCAAGATAGAGCCACTGCACTCCAGCCTGGGCGACAGAGCGAGATTCCGTCTCAAAAAAAAAAAAAAAAAAAAAAAAAAAAAAAAAATATATATATATATATATATATATATATATATATATATATATATATATGTAAGTTGTGAATGAAACCTTACATCATGGAACATGAGTCTATGAGATTTGCCTTACTTAGCTCCACATCTTGTTTGATTGCAAAGCTGTTTCTAGTTTTCTTTGTCCTATCATATCCTAAGATAATCTAAGTGGCTTTTGGTGGTGTTGGTGTTCGTTTCATCCCTTGTCAAAGAAAAATTTTGAACCTGATCTTTTATCAGAATATGTTGACTACCCAGTGAGAATGGACAAGTCAATAGGGCTTAGGCAGTGTGTGTGTGTATGAATGTGTGTATGAATTTGTGTGTACAAGTATGTTTGTGTGAGTGTGCATGTGATTGTGTGTGAGTTTTGTGTGTGTGTGTGCTGTGAATGGGTATGGCAGGGGACAAATTAAGATTTCACAGAATTGTAGGCCTCCTTCTTTGACCATCACCCTCCTCAGCCATTTCCCAATATGGAGTTCACATATGAAATATTGAGTTAATTTGTAATTTAGATAATTTAAAAATTATAAGGTACTTATTTTTTAGGACTAAGGTAGATTTCTAGAGATGTAAGAAAAAGAAGAACCAATATCATCACTGAAAAAGAAGAACCAATATCTGTATGTTAAGGGACAAAGAAATGACAATGAAATGAAATGGTTCCACCATCACCTCTTGAATTACTATGGGGAAGGAGACGTAGTCAAGACCTGTATTGGAGAAGGGAAGTTTATTCCCCACTGTCATTCACCCCAGAGAATGTTAAAATTACATATCAGGCAAAGATCTGTTTTTAAAGGTGTTTTCATATTGAAGTCCTTATGACTATTTCAGTGTTTTCATGGCTGTACTTAAACTTATAGATTTGTAATTTCTCTTTTTTTGTTCCTTTTCTTTTTTTTTTTTGAGACAGAGTCTCACTCTATCTCTCAGGCTGGAGTGCAGTGGTGTGATTTCAGCTCACTGCAATCTCCGCCTCCCTGGTTCAAGCAATTCTCCTGCCTCAGGTTACTGAGTAGCTGGGATTACAGGCGCACGCCACCACACCTGGCTAATTTTTGTATTTTTAGTAGAGACAGGGTTTTGCCATGTTGGCCAGGCTGGTCTCGAACTCCTGACCTCAAGCAATCCACCCACCTCGGCCTCCCAAAGTGCTGGGATTACAGTCGTGAGCCGCCATGCCTGGGCTAATTTCTCTTTTAAAAGGCTTTTTAAATGAAATTGAGTAAAACATTTGAAATAGACTTAGCTATTGTCAGAGTAGCCAACAAACATACTGACTTTAAAAATAATTCAACAAATAACTTTATACATCTCTTAATTACTAAAATGCTTATTAAGGCCACCAACACTGTTTTGGCATCAGATGCTTTCAGGAAGCTCAACTCTTCTAAAAGCATTAGCATTTCATGACTTAGAATAATCCACACAAATTTAGCCATCCATTTGTGATTTTATTTCCAAAAGTTTTCCGTTTGATCAAATAGGCTTTAACAATCAATCTAGAAGTAGCTAATTGCACAATGGTAGTGGTCAAATTAAAGATTAGACATAAAACCACCTTTACTTTTGCAGACAATAAGGCCTTCTCTTTCTCTCTCTGCCATAGAATCAAATTATTCTTGCCAAAGAAGACTCTTATGCCCCATAAGTATTCTTCAAACAGTAGCGCTTTTCAGCTTTGGAATGTAGCTAATAATATATACTGATTTTCTCCCAAGAGGACGAAGCCCATACCTCTTTATTCCTTCTATGTACATTACATATTTTAACTCCTGCCACTAAATCAAGAAGAATTAAAACATTGCAATTTGCAGTGACATGACAGATATTTATTTTACCATGGATATCAGGTCAGAGGAGAGCACTAAAGACTCTCCATCCTCTCCAAACTATCTGTGTTAGCTGGTCCCAGGCACACACCCCATTTACCCAACTGCGCAGCATGCATGCCGTACAGAAAATGCTTTATTGATGTTATTTACAGTGACATTTTGAATGTGTCACAGGAAACATCATCTCCATGTTTCACATGGGAATGGAATTTGCCTTTTTGAAGGAATTTGGAGAACATAGCCTCATGCATTTCTTTCCTTTTTGATTTCCCTTTCTTTTCATTTATTTCAATTTTTAGGCATCTCATTTTATTTCAATAAAGACAGTATAATGTAGTAGTTAAGAGCCCTATATTCTGGGATCAGAAAGATCTGGGTGCAAATTTTAGCTCTACTACATGTTGACTGTGTCCTTTAATTTCTTCTCTGTAAATGGGAATAAAGTCTGATTGGAGAAGGATGAGGAATGAGTGAGAATGCATGTGCTGGGCCTGTGAGCAAAACGCTTGCTTTGATTATCAATGGCAGCCCTATTGCACTTAGAGTCACATTCAGGTTGAGACAACAATAGCAGGTGAATGACATACTCAGTGGAGGGTGATCATGCAGCATATCCAGTTTCTTTATTTTTAATAACGTGGCTCATTAGTCTCATTTCCTGCTGCCTGCTTCACCTGTCCTGCTGTAGGGTGTGTGGGGAAGAACAGAAGATTTGACTACAAGAAAAGGGAACAGAACAGTGGAATTTTTATTTGGTGGCAGAAGTTAGAGAGGCATCACATCACACATTGAATTGGGTACCTTTAAGTTTTTCATGATTTATGGGGTCCTTAACAATCTTAGTGCTTTGACTGTGTATATTAATGATTACCTTTGAAAGCTCTGACTTCAGTCCTCTACCAGAAATGCAGTGTGTTGGAGCATAGTGAAATCTCTGAAACTCAGTAGTGTGACTTCTGTTTCCTCAATCTTCTGTTCTCACAAACACTCAGGTTCTCTTGCTGCTTCCTAAAGTGATGGATTTTAATGTCTACCTTCACCATTTAGCAGGGATTTGACTTTGCAACAGCAAGCAGCATCTTAGCTCCTACATTTATTTTTTTACTTAAAATAATTTTTTTAAGTTAAAAAATTTATTTTTTGGAAACGGTCTCACTCTAACACCTAGGCTGGAGTGTAATGACACCATCGTAGCTTACTCTTGCCTTGAGCTTCTGGGCTCAAGTAATCCTTCCACTTCAGCCTCTTGAGCAGCTAGGACTATAGGTGCTGGCCATCACATCCACCTAAGGTTTAATTTTTTTTGTACAGATGGAGTCTTGCTATGTTGCCCAGGCTTGTCTATGACCTCCTGGCCTCTAGCAATCCACCTGCCTCAGCCTCCCAAAAGGCTGGGATTACAGGCATGAGCCACTGCACCCAGCCTACTTTTTTGATGAATCAGTAAAATGTGGAGAAGTCTTAAATGCAAGGAAAGAGTGTGGGTGAATGTAAGAGAATACACTCACCTACATCTCCTGTTGTATTTTAACATGCCTGGCTGGCTGGATTAAGCTGTCATGAATGCCTCATTGGATGAAAGGCAGTTATGGACTCCTGCCTCTCTCTCTGCTGTTACAACCAAACCTCTTGGTTCCAACAACTTGCTGATGATATAAATTCCAGGGCACAAAACCCCACAGTTTTTATAATGGGTTTCAGGCCCATTACTGGTAATAATTTTAAATTGTTTGAATTCGTGGCCCAAGAGAGAACTTTCTGCTTTTCATTAAATGTTGCTGAACAGGTGCTGAGCTCTGCAGAGTCTTTAATGTCTTCCAGTCTCTGCTAAGTCACACTTAAAAATAAAATATTTGAGTTTCTTCCAAATTTCAATAGTCACACTAGTGAAAGAGTTCAGACGAGCACACATTTTGCAACCTCTATTTTGCGTCATTTGGTTTGGATTTGAAGGACAAAATTATCTTCTGATGGAATAGTGAATGGAGATAAAAGGTTGGAAAAAATTACAAATTTGTCTGTATTACATATTTGGTTACACAAAATTTCTGGGAACACCATCTTTTCTTTCTTTCTTTTCTTTTTTTTCTTTCCTTTTTTTTAAAACTGCACCAAGATGTATTGAAAGGAAAGCTGCTCTGCTGGGAAATGTTTGAAGTAGATAAATTTGTGCCTAGGAGATGGGAGGTAATTACAAGACAAATGACTCGCACATCCGGTAGATTCATGGAGGGTTAAACTAAATATTTCAAGCTGTTATTTGGTCTGTTTACTCATGTTTATATGAGGCTAACAACTTCCACTACAGCCTTTCAGGCAGTTGTTCCCAGGTGTCTCCTGTTTAGCTGTTGGGTTCATTTGAATTACTTTATGAGGAATATTTAGAATAGAGAGAGACGGGATGATCAAGGGTGACGAGAGCTTCTCACCACCTAGGGAGAATTCCCTGGTTCTACTGATCTTCACTGCAGCTGTGGTGTGAAGTGGGGAGAATAAGACTGCCAGTGGCAAAAGTAAATTTCTTTTTTTAATGATTTCTATAGATTGTTACAGGCTTGCTAGAAAATTTAAATGAAGAATTGAGTCACTGAAAGCCATCTTCTTTGATTTTGGATACTAACAGACTTATTTATTTTAATGTTTTTATTGGTACATAATATTTGTTCATATTTGTGGGGTACATGTAATATTTTATTACACACATAGAATGTGTAAAGATGAAATCAAGGCACTTAGCATATCCATCACCATGAGCATGTATCGTTTCTATGTGTTGAGAACATTGCAAGTCCTTACTTCTAGCAATTTTTAAATGTACAATATATTATAGTTAACTATAGTCACCCTACTCTACTATCAAATATTAGAATGTATTCCTTCTATCTAGCTGTATGTTTTTACCCATCTAAATGCTTTAGATGGGTGCAAAGTTTTTAGTGAGACAACTAAAAACTTCTCTACATTCGTGGTAGATGATATTTGGGCAGGTGATGATTTTGTAGATATGTATGAGAATGTCTCGATCTTAGGAGATGCAGGTTGAGTGGCATGATGTCTAAAACATATTTTGAAAAGTTCCAGCCAAAAATATGGAGATAAAGGAAATAGGATAAATTGCTAAAATGTTGTTAAATCTAATTGTTTGATAAGTGTGTGTTCCATGTACTTTTCTTTAAACTTTTCTGTATTTGTAAATTTTTTTCTTTTTTGAGATAGAGTTTCACTCTTGTTGCCCAGGCTGGAGTGCAATGGCATGATCTCGGCTCACCACAACCTCTGCCTCCTGGGTTCAAGCTATTTTCCTGCCTCAGCCTCCCAAGTAGCTGGGATTATAGGCATGCGCCACCATGCCCAGCTAATTTTTATATTTTTAGTAGAGACAGGGTTTCTTCATGTTAGTTAGGCTGGTCTCAAACCCCCAACCTCAGGTGATCTGCCCACCTCGGCCTCCCAAAGTGTTGTGATTACAGGCATGAGCCACCACGCCTGGCTATAAATTTTTGTAATAAAAAGTTGAAAATAGGCCAGGTGTGGTGGCTCATGCCTGTAATCCTAGCACTTTGGGAGGCTGAAGCAGGTAGATCACTTGAGGCCAGGAGTTTTTTTTTTTTGAGATGGAGTCTGGCTCTGTCACCAGGCTGTAGTGCAGTGGTGAGATCCCGGCTCACTGCAACCTCCGCCTCCTTGGTTCAAGAGATTCTCCTGCCTCAGCCTCCTGAGTAGCTGGGACACAGGCATGTGCCACCACGCCCAGCTAATTTTTGTATTTTGAGTAGAGACAGGGTTTCACCGTGTTGGCCAGGATGGTCTCAATCTCTTGACCTCGTGATCTGCCTGCCTCGACCTCCCAAAGTGCTGGGATTACATGCGTGAGCCACCACACCCGGCTGAGGCCAGGAGTTTCAGACCAGCCTGGGCAACATGGCAAAACCCCATCTCTACTAAAAATACAAAAAATAACTGGGTGTGATAGCACACGCCTGTAATCCTAGCTACTCAGGAGGCTGAGGCAGGAGGATTGTTTGAGCCCGGGAGGTGGAGGTTGCAGTGACCCATGATTTTACCACTGCACTCCAACCTGGGTGACAGAGCGAGACTCTGTCTCAAAAATAAATAAATAAATAAACTTAACGTTATAGACATATGCTCAAGTCTTTTTCTCTCTTAAAAAAAAAAAAACTGAAACCAAACAACCAGAAAAACTCTAGCAAAAATTTTCTCTGTATTCTGTTTCCTCCTTCAACAAATCGTTTACCTTTTCTTTTTAAAATAGTTAAGTCAATTCCTACCAACTTTAGGTCCTTCTCTCCTGTTTGCTCTTCAATCTCCTGCAATATCATTTCTGTTTGAAATCAACCTGGCAAAGCTCTCTTATTCACAAATCGAATGGCCTTTTCTGACTTTTTCACTTATATCCCTTTTTAACTCAGTTAACTGACGTAGTCGAGTAAGACATCCTTGAGCTTTTTCCTTCCGTAGCCTCTACCATTTTTTTTCTGATTCCATTTATTACCCCTCCATTTCAGTTTTCTTTGTTGCTCTGTGTGGTGAGCTGATAATGGCCCTCAGATATATTCACATCCTAATCCCCAGAACCCGTGAATGTTACTTTCTATGGCAAAAGAAACTTTGCAGATGTGATTAAATTAACGCTCTTCAGAGGGGGAGATTAGTTTGGATTAACCAGTAGACAAGTTGCAATCACAGTGTTCTTTATAAAAGGGCTGCAGCCGTCATCAGAGTTGGAGTAGGAGAGGGCAATGTGACAGCATAGGCAGAAACTGGAGTAGGTGCTTTGAAGTTGAAGGCGGGGCCTCAAACTGAGGAATACAGGTATAGCCACCAGAAGCTGGAAAGGGCAAAGACGTGACTGTCTATTCAGAACCTCCAGAAGGAACAGGCTTTTTCCATACCTTGACTTTAGCCCAGTAATGCTCATTTTGGACTTCTGACCTACAGAACAGTAAGATAATACATATTTATTTTTTATTATTTATTTATTTGTTTTTTTTAAATTTTATTATTATTATACTTTAAGTTTTAGGGTACATGAAGTCTCACTCTGTTGCCCAGGCTAGAGTGCAGTGGCACAATCTCAGCTCACTGCAACCTCTGCCTCCCAGGTTCAAGTGATTCTCCTGCTTCAGCCTCCCGAGTAGCTGGGATTACAGGAGTGCACCACCACGCCTGGCTAATTTTTGTATTTTCAGTAGAGATGGGATTTCACCATGTTGGCCAGTTTGGTCTCAAACTCCTAGCCTCAGATGATCCACCCGTCTCGGTCTCCCAAAATGCTGGGATTACAGGGATGAGCCACCATGCCTGGCTGATATTTATTATTTTTAGCTACTTAATTTGTGTAATTTGTAACAGCAGCAGTAGGAAACTAACATACTGTACCTTTATCAGTTCTATCCTAAACCCTTGTGTTACCCCAGAGCTCCACATGGGACCCTCTTTTCTCCTTTCTCTACATTTTCTCACTTGGAGATTTCACCTTCTCTCAAGGTTTCAACCATGACCAATGATTCCCCGGGCTATCTTTCACAATCTACAGACTCACAACTTCAACTCTCCACATTACATTCTCCTTTGGTGTCTTGCAAGCAACTCAAACTCATTATCCCATATGTTATGCAAAGGAGGAGTCACCAGGAAGCTGATGAAGCTTAGTTAGGCTTCAGGTTTCTTCACTTGCACAGGTCTCTTTTAAGATTCTGGGAGGGTCCTAGAAATTTGCATTTGTAATTTTTAAATTATTTTTCTTTTCTTTTTTTCTTTTTTGAGACGGAGTCCCACTACTGCCCAGGCTGGATTGCAGTGGCGCGATCTCAGCTCACTGCAGCCTCCGCCTCCTGGGTTCAAGCGATTCTCTTGCCTCAGCCTCCCAAATAGCTGGGATTACAGGCATATGCCACCATGCCTGGCTAATTGTTTTGTATTTTTCATAGAGATGGGATTTTGTCATGTTGCCAGGCTGGTTTTGAACTCCTGACCTCAGGTGATCCACTTTCCTTGGCTTCCCAAAGTGTTGGGATTACAGGCATGAGCCATTGCACCTGCCCTTAAAATTATTTTTCATGGTAAAATTGGCCATGGTCATAAAGGCAGTAAGGTGCATTTTACTCCGTAATCCCAGAGACAAAACCAGCATTTGGGTATCCTAAAGTTTGTACAATTGCATGTACCTGACATGCAGTAGGTTGTCAACAAATCCTAGTAATGTTATCTTCAGATGCTGCATTTGGTTAATAGCATCACAATCTTGCCTTACAAAAGCTAGTGACCTCATAGTAATCCTTGATACTTCCCATATCCATTTCCTACATCCAAGCCAGAAAGTCCTATTGACTTTACCTTTCTCAATTTCCTTAATTTTGGTGTCACCATATCTTGTCACTTCAATCTTTGACTTTATTCAGGTTTTCATCATTTCTTGATGTATTCTAATAGTCATCTCTTTTGTTTCTGTGCTCCTCTACTTCATCCAGTGTAATCTGTTTGCTGCTGACAAATAGATCTTCCTAAAGCCAAAAAGGAATCAGACCTCAACAGCTTAGTGCTTTGCAATGTGGAATCTATTGTCCAATATAATTGACAATTAAGTCTCTAGAGATTAGCGAACTAACAAGCATGATAGTCACTGATTATTAGTGCTTCTGTTCCAGGCATTATGTTTTGCCTAGAGTGTACTTTCTCAATTTAAATTTTATTCCTTCAGATAAGAGTTTTCCTGATGCCACCAACCAAAACAGGCAGCCCCAATTATTGTCATATCACCTATGTTATACACATCATTGCTTATATCTCAATCTCTACTTATCCTGGTTATTGGTTAGTTTCTTAGTTTACTTGTTTATAATCTGTGTCCCAACTGGAATGTAGCTCTGTGAAGAGAAGGACCTTTTTTTTTTTTCTTTTTCCAACTCTTGTTCACTGATGTATCTCCAGTGCCTAGCACTGTACCTGGTAAAAAAGCAGAAGCTCACTGACTATTTGCTGAGTAAAAGTACTAGGCTGGGATATTAAAAACAAACAAACCAATCCATAACACTATTATTATTATATTTATTTAATAAAATAAGTGATATTATAATACCAACAATAGGAAGATCTTGATTGCACAGTAAATAACATTAAAAATTGAGTCAAATTTACTTTATTAAAAAATTCTGGTCAGGCACAGTGGCTCATGCCTGTGATCCCAGCACTTTGGGAGGCAAAGGCGAGCAGATCATTGGAGCTCAGGAGTTCGAGATCAGCCTGGGCAACATAGTGAGACCCTCATCTCTACTCAAAATACAAAAAAATAGCCAGGCGTGGTGGTGCATGCCTATGGTCCCAGCTACTTGGGAGGCTGAGGCAGGAGGATTGCTTGAGCCTGGTGGGTGGAGGTTGCAGTGAGCCGAGATTGCACCACAGCATTCCATCCTGGGTGCTTGGTGGCAGAGGAAGATCCTGTCTCCAAAAAATAAATAAATAAATAATAAAAATAAATAAATAAGATAAAATAAAATTTCTACATTGTTCTTATTTTTGAGCTTCACCTTTGATGAAAACATTTCACATTTGACAAAAACACTTCCTCATATCTAGCCCCATGGCTGTCATCAAGAAGAGCTTTTGAAAGTCCAGGACAGAACCCTTTGCTCTTTCCTGACAGTGTCATGTGCTAAAATAATTCTAGTAAGTGGCTGGTACAGAGGACACAGTAGGCCCATAATACGTGTTCACCGTTGCATTTATTTTACACATTTCTTTGCACTTGAGCACAAGCTTTGCCTCTCCACCTCTCTCCTCCAGCCTGCCTCAAAATTTGATTTTCAGCTCACATATCAGTTGCTCTACTAGGCTTTCCTGTGTATCCTTGGGTAACATGAGTCTATGACATGTTATTAATACCCTTGGTTTTTTGTCTTTTTTCAGAGACAGGGTCTAGCTCTGTTACCTTGTTGTCTAGGCTAGGGAGCAGTGGTGTGATCATAGCTCATTGCAGCCTTGAACTCCTGGGCTCAACCGATCCTTTTGCCTCAGCCTCCTGATTAGGTAGGACTACAGGTGTGTGCCGCCTCACCCCCTACTTTTTTATTTTTATATTTTTGTAGAGACGAGTCTTGCTATGTTGCTAAGGCTGGTCTCCAGCTGCTGGCCTCAAGCAGTCCTCCTGCCTTGACCTTACAAAGTGCTGGGATTACAGGTGTGAGCCATTGTGCTCCACAATACCCTTATTTTTACACTTACTGTGTTGAATTATTATTTGTATTTTAAAAATTTATTTCCCTAAATTGAGCGTTCTATTATAGGAGGAGAGTGTTTAAGTATTAGGAGTTCTGTCAATATTTGAGGAATGGACACCCCAAGCCACAAATTTAATCTGACTTTGTTTAGTTAAGAGATTTGACTAATCTGCATTGAGGAGTGTGTAATAACAACAGCTATATACCAGTTCTACTGTAAACAGTATATGCCAATTCTTTTTTTGCTCTGTCACCCAGGCTGGAGTGCAGTGGCGCAATCTTGGCTCACTGCAACCTCCACCTCCTGGGTTCAAGTGAATCTCCTGCCTCAGCCTCCCATGTAGCTGGGATTACAGGCGCCCACCACCACGCCTGGCTAATTTTTGTATTTTTAGTAAAGACGGGGGTTTCACCATGTTGGCCAGGCTGGTCTCGAACTCCTGACCTCAAGATCTGCCCACTTCAGCCTCCCAAAGTGCTGGGATTACAGGTGTGAGCCACCACGCCTGGCCAGTATATGTCAATTCTACTGTAAACACTTTATATACTTAATCTCATATAACACTCAATTCTGTAAGACTAGATACTGTTTTACTCACATATTAGAGTTGAAGATAAAAATGACTCGAAGTTTAAATTTAATTTGAATGAAGTCAAATCAGTGGCAAAGATGAGTTTAGAAACCAAATCTTTCTGACTCTTGCTTAGACACCATGATATAATATTGTGTAGACCTGCACTGTCTTAGCCAGACAACAGCTACTAGCCACATGTGCCTGTTCAGCACTTGAAATATGGCTACTTCCAACTGAGATATGCCATAAATATAAAATACATGCTAAATTTTGAAGATTGCATATTTTAAAAAGAATGTAAAATTCTCATATTTATTACTAGACAATTTTTCAATTTGATTACATGTTGAAATGATAATGCTTAGAATATATTACATTAATAAAATGTATTATTAAAGTTAATTTATTTTTTTTACTTTTTTAATGCAGATACTAGACAATTTTAAATTGCACATGTGGCTTGCATCATATTACTGTTGGGCAGCAGTGGCATAGACTGCTGCTTTTTAAACTGTGAGTTGGAACCCATTAGGAAATCTAAAATCAATATAATGCGCCACAATCAGAGGTTTAAAACTGGATGGATTAGAATAGAACAGAATGGACTAGAATAGAAAACTGAGTGTATCATGTGTAGTAAGGTAAGTACTATTTGGTGAAACTTGTTTCAGTGGTTGGGCATGGTGGCTCCTACCTGTAATCCCAACACTTTGGGAGGCAGAGGCAGGAAGATAACTTGAGCCCAGGGTTTTGAGACCAGTCTGGGCAATATAGCAAGACCCCATCTCCACCAAAACAAAAAAACAAAAAAACAAAAAAACACAACTTGTTTTCATTATAGACATGTATTTGTAATAGCCATAATGCAAAATGTATTTCTAACCTTCTCTCCTTTCATAAAACACTATGTGAAATGTATTTCTTAGTGTGAATCTCTGTCATGAAAGTTGGAAAATAACTGGTATAGATAGCCATAGTCTGTTTTGTTCATATATAGAGTCCTCTTCCATTAGAAAAAATTTTCAATTTTCTCAAAATTATTTATTTTCTTTTTCAGAATCACTCTAGGATTCTGGATGGAATAGGTCCCTGTGGTTTTGCTGTCAATCCTTCAGCCTCCATCATAGTTTTTACAGACTGTCACTCATCATTTTTTTACTTTCCTTCTTATGCAGCTGATATTCCATGGTTCATCACTTTAATAGCTCCTTTGCACACAGTCCATTGCCTCTCTTGCTTTGACATATAGCCCTGGCAAAACACTAACTCCAGTTAAAGCCTCTCATCTACTCATGCAGCTGCATGTCATTGGAGACGAACACAACTTTGTTGCATGGTCTCACTTGCTCTTCACACTCCTCTGCAATTCTACTGTGTCTCCCTATCCAGTGGCTGTCTAACATGCATCAGAATCTCGTGTGTTTTATACAGATTGCTGGACTCTACCTTGAGTTTCTGATTCAGTAGGCATATTGGCTATCTAGTACTGTGTAATAAATTAACTGAAAACTTAGCACTTTACAATGAACTTTAAAAAGAAAAATCTCACCATTTCTGAGGGTCAAGAATCTGGGAGAAACTCACCCTGGTAGTTGTGGCTTAGGATACCTGGTGAAGTAGCAGTGAAGATGTTGGCTGGGGCTGTAGTCATCAAAAGGCCTGGGGATGCACTCCAAGGCTCACAGGAATGGCTGTTGGCCAAAGGCTACAGTTCCTTGCCACGTGGGCCTCTCTAGGCCAGCTGGTTTTGTATAGAACAAGTGATAAGAGAGAGAAACATACAGAGAGAAAGAGGTGTAAAGGCAGAGGCCTCAAGCTTTTTTTTTTTTTTTTTTTTTTTTTTTTTTTTTTTGAGACGGAGTTTCGCTCTGTCGCCCAGGCTGGAGTGCAGTGGCGCGATCTCGACTCACTGCAAGCTCCGCCTCCCGGGTTCACGCCATTCTCCTGCCTCAGCCTCCCGTGTAGCTGGGACTACAGGCGCGCGCCACCATGCCCGGCTAAGTTTTGTATTTTTAGTAGAGACGGGGTTTCACCGTGTTAGCCAGGATGGTCTCGATCTCCTGACCTCGTGATCCGCCCGTCTCGGCCTCCCAAAGTGCTGGGATTACAGGCGTGAGCCACCGCGCCCGGCCACAAGCTTTTAAACCTCTGTCTTACTCTGTTGGTTACACAGACCAACCCTGGTACGATGCAGGATGGGACTACACAAGGGTGTGAATACCAGGAGGCAGGGACCATTAGGGACCATCCACCACAGCAGTCTAAGGTGGGGACTGAGAACTTGCATTTTTTAGCAAGTTTCGAGGGGATGCTGATGCAGTTGGTCTAGGGATCACACTTTGAGATTTACTAACCTAGTCCATTCACTCTCCTACTCTAAAGACTGATGGTTTCAAACTGCTATCCATTAAGACTTGGAAGCTTGAGTTTCCATATCCTCAATTTCTATATTTTATATCTATATACACACACACATATATACATATATTTGCACACACACATGTACATATATTTGCACACACACATATATACACATACATATGCGCGCACACACACACATATATATACATATCTTTCCTAAAATCCATCTGCTTCAGAATGTTCCTGTGCAAGAGGAATGACAGTCCCCTTTTCCTGCTTTTTTTTTCCAGATT
This sequence comes from Homo sapiens, assembly GCF_000001405.40. Classification (NCBI taxonomy): domain Eukaryota; kingdom Metazoa; phylum Chordata; class Mammalia; order Primates; family Hominidae; genus Homo; species Homo sapiens. The sequence goes on along the minus strand of NC_000004.12, from coordinate 164,837,605 downwards.
TTACGTTGTTTTTATTCATTGTGTACTGATAATAGTTAGCAAACTTAATATAGAAGAATAGTTTTTTTTAAACTTATGAGCCTATGACCAGAAAATAATCTGATTTAAATACCAGTTATTATTGCAGAGAATAATGGAATGATCAATAAAAGACAGTCAAACATAAAAATATATAAAATTATTTGTTTAGAGACAGGGTCTTTTTCCTGTTGGCCAGGCTGGAGTGCAGTGGCATGATCGTGGCTCACTGTATCCTCGAATTCCCGTGCTCTGGTAATCCTCCCACCTCAGCCTCCACAGTAGCTGGGACTATAGGCATGTGCTACTATGCCCGGCTAATTTTTTTGGTATTTTTTGTAGAGATGGAGTTTCGCTCTATTGCCCAGGCTAGTCTTGAACTCCTTAGCTCAAACAATCTGTCCATCTCGGCCTCCCTTGGGATTACAGGTATGAGCCACTGTCCTGGGATTACAGGTATGAGCCACTGTGCCTTGGCAAAAATATGCTAAATTAAAATAAATTCTTTGGTGAAGGTGAATAGAAATACCATTTCAAGTAGAAAAAGGAATAATGTAAATTATTCTGTTGATGAGTCTTGTATTTTCTGTATTTTCTTTTGATGAGTCTTGTATTTTCTTGTATTATTCTGTTGATGAGCCTTGTATTCTTAAAATGAATGATTCTGGGTGTCAGATTATTATGCTGTTTTGATTTGCTAAGAAATAAAATATGTAAAATGTGAACAGGTAGAAGAATGATCACTTTTTTTTTTTAACTTTTTTTTTAAACAGAGTCTTGGTCTGTCACCCAGGCTGGAGTGCAGTGGTGTGACCTCGGCTCACTGCAACTCTGCCTCCTGGGTTCAAGGGATTCTCCTGCCTCAGCCTGCCAAGTAGCTGGGATTACAGGCGTGCACCACCACACCCAGCTAATTTTTTTCTTGTTTTTTTTTTTTTAGTAGAGATGGGGTTTCACCATGTTGTCCAGGCTAGTCTCAAACTTCTGACCTCAAGTGAGCTGCCCACCTCAGCTTCCCAAAGTGCTGGGATTACAGGCATGAGCTACCGTGCCCGGCTGATCACATGGTTTTTTAATATATTGGAACATTTTCTAACAGACTTACACATGAATTATCTAATTTTCTGGGGATACATACCTCTTTTAACTTACTATTTCCTATTGATCAAATATATATATATACATATACATATATTTATGTATATATATATATACACATATACATATATTTATGTATATATATACAAATATATATACACATATATATTTTTTTATGTGTGTGTGTATATATATATATTTTTTTTTTTTTTTTTTTTTTTTTTTGAGACGGAGTTTCACTCTTGTTGCCCGGGCTGGAGTGCAACAGCACGATCTCAGCTCGCTGCAACCTCCTCCTCCTGGGTTCAAGTGATTCTCCTGCCTCAGCCTCCTGAGTAGCTGGGATTACAGGCATGTGCCACCATGCCCAGCTAATTTTGTATTTTTAGTAGACACAGTTTTCTCCATGCTGGTCAGGCTGGTCTCGAACTCCTGACCTCAGGTGATCCACCTGCCTTGGCCTCCGAAAGTGCTGTGATTACAGATGTGAGCCACTGCACCCGCCCAAAATATTTTATAATTTAAAAAATTTACCAATTCTCTAAGGGTAGATGCAGAATTTTAAAAGACTAATAGCACTATAAAGATTCTTGTCCAATACAATTTTGTCCAGTAGATATGTGAATGATTTCTGTCCTATAGAAAAAATAACTCAAAGGTTGCATGTGTATTGCCCTGTAGGGCATTAACTCATTTTATATCTAATTTAGCGGTTTTATTCATCACACTTCCTTTCAGGAGCTATACACATGGCCTCTCCTATCACCCTTTGGGTTTGCTTTACCACCTTGCTAATTCCCGCATTAATGGTTTCCTCTTTAAATACATCTTTGGCACCTGCTCACTTTATATTTGTATGAGCCATATTTTTAGTTTTTGTAAAGTAGACTTTGTCAAATTCCAATGACTACCCTTTTAAAAGTCTTATTTAAAATATCTATATTTAGAATATACCAGGCGTTACATCCTTAGCAACTTTAAGAAGTCACAATGAAACATTTTAAATGTCAATTGAAAAATGTGTAGGCCGGGCATGGTGGCTCACGCCTGTAATCCCAGCACTTTCGGAGGCCAAGGCAGGCAATCACTTGAGATCCTTTGGGAGGCTGAGGCAGGTGGATCACTTGGGCAGGCTAGGAGTTGAAGACTAGCCTGGCCAACATGGCAAAACCCTGTCTCTACAAAAAATATAAAAAATTAACTGGACAGGGTGGTGCGTGCCTGTAGTCCCAGCTACTCGGGAGGCTGAGACACGAGAATTGCTTGATCCAGGGAGGTGGAGGTTTCAGTGAGCTAAGATCATGCCACAGCACTGCAGCCTGTGTGACAGAGCGAGACCTTGTCTCAAAAAAAAAAAAAAAAGTAAAGACATAATTTAAAAAAATTATCTTAGAGTGTATTTTAGGAAAAAAAAATGTCCTGGGTGATTATTTCATTACTTCTTATGCCTTAAGCTTTCAACACCTTCTTCCCTTCCTCTTAATCATTCTCAGTTTTGACTTTGCTTCTTTATTATTTCACTGATTAAAATGGGAGCACTCACAGAGAAAATCTGCCACATCTCTTCGCCGTCCACCTCAGTCTGTGTAGACTGTTCTTTTCTGATGCTCCTAGCCTGTTGCTACGCTCCCGCCTGTCAGTCTGGTGCTGTTCATTATTGTGTTCACGCAATGATGGTCTTCCGAATCTAGAGCCAACACTTTCCGTGTCTGTCTACTGTAGCTTTCATAGTTAAAATTTTCATTTATGTAACAATCCTCATTTATTAACATATCTTCATAATATTAACATTTTTAGAGATGACAAATAAAAGGTCATGAGTTGAAAGAATCAGAGTGTATGTGTGTTTGTGTGTATTTGTGTATATATGTGTGAAAAAGAGATTTTGCTAGGGAAAGAGCAAATGACAGAAAATATTTATTCATTTCTTAATTATTATTTTATTTTTATTATTTTTTAATTTTTTGTTTGCTTGTTTTATGAGACAGTGTCTCACTCTGTCACCCAGGCTGAAGTGCAGTGGCATGATCTTAGCTCACTGCAACCTCCGCCTCCTGGGTTCAGGAGATCCTCCTGCCTCAGCCTCCTGAGTAGCTGGGACTACAGGTGCACGCCACCATGCCTGGCTAATTTTTGTATATATTTTTTTGGTAGAGATGGGGTTTTGCCAGGTTGTCCAGGAGGGTCTCCAACTCCTGGGCTCAAGCAATCCACCTGCCTCCACCTCCCAACGTGCTGGGATTACAGGCGTGAGACACTGCACCAGGCCAGTATTTATTCATTTCCGAAGATTGGGACAGAGACATAGAAGTCAACTTTTATTTCAGATTTCACTCTTTCTACTAAATGTTTATATTCTAATTATAAAAGCAAATTGAAAGGAAAATTGGCATAAATAAATAAATTTTCCCATCATCCTTTGTACCCCGACCCCATTCTGCCCTTAGGTCCATCAGACTATGAAATTCCCTCGCCAGGTACCTTGTCTTATTACTCTTGCTCTATTGCTCAGGCTGGAATCTTGCCTTGTCACCCAGGCTGGAGTGCAGTGGTGTGATCTTGGCTCACTCCTGGGTTCAAGCAATTCTCCTGTCTCAGGATCCCGAGTAGCTGGGATTACAAGCCCGCACCATCACGTCCAGCTAATTTTTGTTTTAGTAGAGACGGGGTTTCACCATGTTGGCCAGGCTGGTCTCGAACTCCTGACCTCAGGTGATCCACTCACCTCGGCCTTCCAAAGTGCTGGGATTACAGGCGTGAGCCACTGTGCCCAGCCTCCTTGTCTTATTACTCTTGGTGTCTGCCCAGTTTCTGTGCCTAACACACAGTTGTTGTTCAGAAAATATTTGCTAAATGAATAAATGTATTAACTTATTTCAATCACTTTTTATACATTATCTTGTAAAGTGAGGAAATTTGTATTTTTAAAATTTATTCAACACATTTATTATATTTTTACTATATTTTAGCCATTTGGATAGATCCTGGGATTGGATTCAATGGTGAACAAAGACAAACATGGCTTAGTAATGGTCTGCATATTCAGGGCTCATAAATTCCAAGATACAGGCTAGATGAATTATTTTATGCTGTAACTCAATAGACGTGATGAAAACTCACAGCTGGAAGGAAGTTTAGGTAGAATCTAATCTAATGGGCTTATTTCATAGATGAGGTAACTGAAGTCAAGAAAGTTTAAGTGATTTGCTCTTATATCATACAATTGCAGCTCATATCATAGCTGTGAACTCCCTTCCATGGCTTTATCCACCAACATTCATCTTGTTGCCAAGCATTCGAATATGTAGGCAAGCTTTTTGTTGTTGTTAATAAATGGATTCTTGTGAATTGTGAATTGTTTGCATCTGAATTTAATACAACCTTTAACTTTCAGGTTCACGTGGTCATCTGTTCTTTGCAACTTGTCATTTATAGAGTATTTATGATAATATCTTCATTTGGGAAATTAGATGAGCTGTGTTCCTTGGAAGTGCTTCAGAAATGCTGATTCATTTCAAAAAGAAACACTTGATTAATCTGTTGCAGCAGCAGTGGGCAAACTATAGACCACAGGCCAAATCTGGCCTGATACTTATTTTTGTACAATTCAAGAGCTAAGAATGATTTTTATGTTTTTGAATAGTTAAACATGAAAAGAAGAGTAGTATTTTCTGACATTTGAAAATAACATGAAATGCAAATTTTAGAATCCATTATTACAGTTTTATCAGAATGCAGCCATGTGCATCTGTTTAAGTGTTGTCTATGGCTGCCTTCTGAGTACAACAGCAAAGTGAAATAGTTGCAACAGAAACTATATGGCACTCAAAGCTTAAAATATTTATCATGGTGGGCGCACTGGCTCACGCCTGTAATCCCAGCACTCTGGGAGGCCGAGGTGGGCAGATCACTGAGGCCAGGAATTTGAGACCAGCCTGGCCAACATGGCAAAACCCTGTCTCTACTAAGAATACAAAAATTAGCTGGGTGTGGTGGCACATGCCTGTGGTCTCAGTTACTCGGGAGGCTGAGGTAGGAGAATCGCTTGAATTCAGGAGGTGGAGGTTGCAGTGAGCCAAGATGACACTACTGCACTCCAGCCTGGGCAACAGAGCCAGACTCTGTCTCAAAAAAAAAAAAAAAAATAGCCAGGTGCAGTGGCTCACGCCTCTAATCCCAGCACTTTGGGAAGCTGAAGTGGGCAGATCACCTGAGGTCTGAAGTTTGAGAGCAGCCTGACCAACATGGAGAAACCCCGTCTCTACTAAAAACACAAAATTAGCCAGGCGTGGTGGTACATGCCTGTAATCCCAGCTACTCAGGAGGCTGAGTCAGGAGAATTGCTTGAACCCAGGAGGTGGAGGTTGTGTGAGCTGAGATCGCGCCATTGCACTCCAGCCTGGGCAACAAGAACAAAACTTGGTCTCAAAAAAAAAACATATATATATATACACACACACACACACACACACATATATATGTGTGTATATATACATATATATGTGTGTGTATATGTACATATATGTGTGTGTATATGTACATATATGTGTGTATGTGTGTATATGTGTGTGTGTGTATATATATATATATAGACCTTTACTGAAAAAGTTTTCTCACCCCTGCATTACAGCAACAAATACCATACTATACTTCCCACTCACTCCCAATGCTTAAGAGACATTTAGACAGATATTTAATAGGAACCAGTGATTTCCATATCTTTGAGGAGTAATCCAAAGGTTTATCCCTAAATTGCAAGTAACCCAAAATTAGTCTAGATTTATTTTTACTTTCTCTTCTTCCTTAATACTGTGCGTAATGTCTGTGTTTCTTTTCCTTGAAAAATTAAAGCTTACAAGCAATGTTTACATCTATCTGTCAGACATAAAAAGCTTTCTGCAGCATACCAACAGAAGGTATGTATTGATGTAATCTGTAAAAAGACAGCAAAGAACAGACTTGCCATGGGATGTGACTGTGTTGTCTGCAATAGGTATGTTTCTTTGTGATTACTGTGTCTCCAGCTTCTTACACTCAATGCCTAGAAAGTTAAAACTAAATATTTCACATGGGTTTAAAAGCTTAAGGTTCTTTGAGAAAGGAGTTCTGGGCTGATAATAGAAACAGCCAGATACAGTTTCTTCTTAGACTTACAGAGACTTCTTCTGTTACTAACACACACTGAACAACAACTTCACCTTAGAAACTTCACCAATAAAGTTTACTAACAGTCCAAATACTGAAAGTGAATATACATATGGAAGTGTTTACCCTCATTGGATGTTAAATAAAAGCAATCTAAAACAGTGATGAGATACCAGTTTTTATATATTGAATTACAAAGAATAGGAGATTATACTTTCTTTTTTAAGATAGGTTTTCACCGTGTTGCCGAGGCTGGTCTCTAATTCCTGGGCTCAAGTGATCCTCCTGCCTTGGCCTCCCAAAGTGGGGATTATAGGTGTGAGCTACCACACCTGGCCAAAGATTACACTTTCTGATATTGGCTGTTATATAGTGACATCATGAATGTTGATATTCTTTTCTGAGACAAAGTTTACTTTTTGACACTCAAAGGATTTCCAAAAAAGATGTAAAATGCCATCAAAATAATTCACTCGAACACTGAAGGTTTTGGTACAATAAACAAATACCAGGCCAGGGGCAGTGGTGCACACCTGTAGTCCTAGTCACTCAGGAGGGCCAGGTGGAAGGATTGCGTGAACCCAGGAGGTTGAGGTCAGCCTGGGCAACATAGTGAAATCACATCTCTAAAAAAAAAAAAAAAACAGCGACAACAACAAAAAATCAAGAGTAGATGGAAATTCACAGTCTAACTTAAATCCCATTTTGGATATGCTGTCGTTTAATCAAAACACAAATCTACCATGCCACTCGTCTGCTTAAAATTCTTTGAAGGTTTCCAGTAACCGGTTGAGTAAATCCAGTTTCTCTATAGAGGGATTTAAAGTCTCTGTCATATTGTCCTGGACCTCTCTCCTCTTATGTCTTGCCATTCTACCTGCCCAATAAATTCTCTTCCCTCTTACCTGTGTAAACTCATCACTGCAGCAATTGTACCCCCAATCACTTCTGCATTTTTCTTTAAATTGTTTCCTGGATCACTTGCAAATGCTGTACTTTCTCCTATCTTAAAACCAAATTCTCTCTGGATAGTCTCCAGCTATCATCCTATTTCTCACCTTTAAAAAAAAAATAATCTTTTGAAAAAGTTGACTATACATTTTGATGATTTGTCTCCAATTTTACTCCTCTCATTTTCTCTTTAGCCCACTCATTTTTTATTGTTTATTATAGAAAAATTTAAGCATAAGCAAAAAAAGAGAGACAATTTGTAAAATGAATACTCCAACACCCATCAATTAGCCTCTACCAGCTTATTTCAAAGCCAATCACAAATATGTGAACACATTTAAACAAAATTTCAGACTCATCACCCTACCAAACTGTTCTTGTCGAAGTTAAAAATGACCTTCATATCATTTACTTGATGGAGTAAAATGCACACGTATATAGTGTTCTGTAAAGCAATAGTTTGGATTAAAAATATACATATTTATTAAAAATAGAAAATACAGAAATTCTATCACTTAGAGATAATTGACTGAGATTTTGTAATGCAAATTCACATGTATTTAAAAGATAAGATTATACTGTTTGTATCTTAAAAAAATTTTTTTTGAGACGGAGTCTTGTTCTGTCGCCCAGGCTGGAGTGCAGCGGCACAATCTTGGCTCACTGCAATCTCTGCCCCCTGAGTTCAAGCGATTCTCCTGCCTCATCCTCCTGAGTAGCTGGGAGTACAGGCATCTGCCACTGCACCCAGCTAATTTTTGTACTTTTAGTAGACACAGGGTTTCACTATGTTGGTCAGGGTGGTCTTAAACTCCTGACCTCAAGTGATCTGCCCACCTCGGCCTCCCAAAGTGCTGGGATTACAGGCGTGAGCCACTACATCCAGCATTAAATGTACCTTTTATCTTTTAATGTTCAATGTTACAAGTCTAAATAGTCATTTTGCAGAGCTGTTTAGCACTCCATCACTTTTATGTTGCAAATAATCTTCTCCATTTGTACATTTTGTGTTTCCAATTTTAACTTTCATAAATATTACATGCATATCAACCTTTTAAAGATCTGTATGCACATGTGCTCTATTTCTTCAGGATAAATTTCTGTAATAGAAGTGGAATTTTGAGTAATGCATATTTTTAAAGCTATAAGGCAGTATTTTTTCAAAACTATACACATTTAATCCACAATGTACTAGCCAGCTGGCAAAAGAAGTGTTCTTACTGGTAACAGTTGGTCATGGGGAAAATAAAAAAAACAGATGTGAAAATGGCGTGATTCTTTCAGTGTCATGCCGTTTACCAAGAAGGCTCTGTGGTGCCTGGGTGATGAGCCTGAGTTAGAGGGTTTCTCTAAGCCCATACAAGTCTAACAGAGTTGAAGTTTCATTTATAAGCAGCCTCAGATCTTCCATCTAATAACGGTGGGTCATGGAAACTAACCGGCTCTTTGCTCAACATGTATACTCGACTTTGATAGAAATGGATTATCAGCAACAAAAACTGAGAACTCTTATAGAATGAGCTAGTTTAGGAATAAAATCTTCAGTCCATTTTTTCAAATTAATTTCATTAGCCATAATTTATTTTATTCATGGTCTATATTTAAGACCCTTTATATATAGTCTAGCTCAGAAAATGGCTAAAGAAGATTTGAGAAAATATCAACAGTATCTTCTAATAAAAGCCCTACTCTCTAACATGATAAAGATCAAATAGAAAGGAAGGCCACACCTACTATGTACCCACAAAATGTAAAAAAAAACAAAAACAAAAACAAAAACAAACAAATACAGAAAAAATAAAGAAAGGAAGAGCAAAGAGCAAAAGATTTGTCACCAAAAAACACTCCCCAAAGAGGCTGTGGTATAGGTAACCAATTCCCCGTAGATGCTATCTAAGGAACTTCTCTTTGTAGGCAAAAACAAACAAAACCCCTGAAACTAATTTTACTCATGTAAAGGAGGCTGGATCTCATTCAAAAGCTCCAAGGCCAGCATGCTTTATGTGTAAAAAATACTTAAAGAAAGACATACACTTCTATTTTTGAGGAAATAAACAGTCATGGTGGAGACTGTTCATTCCTCTCACAAACTCTCAAATAACCCTTAATTCTGAACTTGTGGAAAGGGGCCTCAGTATTGTCTCTATGTTTGGTTCTCTACCCAGTATTTTCAAGACGTAGAGAGAAGCCTAATAAATGAAATTTTGTCCAGAGTTTACATAACCATTTTCATCAGCTTTTAGAGAATGCTCTTGAAGTGGAGAAAGCCAAATTAGGCTTGACATTGATTAGCATAGTTTGAATGATAACAGAAACTTAAAAACAAATCAGTTAACAGTAAGTCTGCCTTTTACTTCTCTCACTGCAATTTTAATGCCCAAGCAACATTTTAAAAATGAGACAGGCTATTTATTTATTATTACATTGTATCATAAGGGAGGTAGGAATTGATGGGTCTGGATTCTGTGTCACAAAATTGCTTTCAATTAATTTCTTTAATTCAGGATACAATGTAAGTTTCAATTCCCTGGGATTGGTGAATTCTGAGTTCAGTCTGTGGTTTAGATAAGAGGCTCAGTGAAGTCTGGAATGTTCAGTTTCACATGAGCTGAAAAATTGGTCTGACATCCTAGAAAATACTTTCTGGGGAGAGTGATGAGGTGTTTCCTAAAGTAGATATTATCAGGTCCCATCAGCCTTAAGATTTTCCCAGTACATGTCCAAACTTCATCGTTAGATGAGAAGGTGAATGACTTTGACGAGAAATGGAAAGTCAAAGTTGACCTGTCATCTTATCATTGCAACTTTCTCAGGGGTTTAATGAGACCTAAGTCATAACTTTTCACAGAGTTATAGGGCTAGAAAATACTTCAGAGTTATTTATTCTTGTGTTCCAACTAGTGGAATAAATTATTTTATAATATCCTAGAGAGATGATCATTCTCAACCCTTCCAATTATAAATTAATTAATTTTTAACATATTTACTTTTTTAGTTATGAGGAAGACCATTTGGAGTGATTTACATTTTTAATTTTTTTAAAATTTTTAATGATATTATTTTCTTTCTTTTTTTTTTTTTTTTTTTGTTTTGGGACGGAGTCTCGCTCTGTCATCCAGGCTGGAGTGCAGTGGCGCGACCTTGGCTCACTGCAAGCTCCGCCTCCCTGGTTCACAATAAAATTATTTTCTAAGATAATAAATTATATCTTTCTGAAATATCTAGCCATCGTTTCTAGTTCTGAACTCTATAGTATTTTATAATAAATCTATAATAGTTCCTATTTATTATTTATTTTGCCTACCTTTCCCCTGCAGTATCTATTTATTTATTTTTACAGACAAGGCCTTTCTCTGTTGCCCTGGCTGGAGTGCTGCAGCACCATCATAGCTCACTGTCACCTCAAACTGGTAGACTCAAAGAATCCTTCTGCCTCAGCGTCCTGAGTAGCTGGGACTGCAGGTGCATGCCACCATCCTCAGCTATTTCTTTAAATAATTTTTTTTTTTTTTGAAGAGATACGGGTCTCATTATGTTGCCCAGGTTGGTTTCCAATATCTGACCTCAAGTGATCCTCCTGCATCAGCCTCTCAAAGCACTGGAATTACAGGTGTCAGTCACTGTGCTGGTCCCTAGTTAGTCTTTTAAAATAATATTTTAAGAAAAATATCCCTCTTTCTTTGCCCTTCCTTCCTTCCTTCCTTCCTTCCTTCCTTCCTTCCTTCCTTCCTTCCTACCTTCCTTCCTTCCTTCTTCCCTCCCTCCCTCCCTCCTTCCTTCCTTCCTCTCTCTCCCTTCCTTCTTCTCTTCTCTTCTCTGCTTTCTCTCTCTCTTTCTTTTTCATTCTTTCTCTCTGTCTCCCTCCCTCGCTCCTTCCGTTGCTCCTTCCCTCCCTTACTCCTTCCTTCCTTCCTTCCCTCCCTCCCTCCCTTCCTTCCTCTCTCTCCCCCCCACTCGCTTACTCCTTCCTTCCTTCCTTCCTTCCTTCCTTCCTTCCTTCCTTCCTTCCTTCCTTCCTTCTTTCATCTCTTCCTCTCTTTCTTTCTTTCTTTCTTTCTTTCTTTCTTTCTTTCTTTCTTTCTTTCTTTCTTTCTTTCTTTCTTTCTTTCTTTCTTTCTTTCTTTTTGTTTCCTTCATTTGTTCTTTCTGACAATGACTTGCTCTGTCATCCAGGCTGGAGTGCAGTGGTATAATCACCATTCACTACAGCCTTGACCTCCCACACTCCAAGGCATCCTCCCACCTCAGCTCAGCACCCCAAGTACCTGGGACTACAGGCATGCAGTACCACTCCTGGCTGGTTTTTTGTTTGGTTTTTTAAATTTTTCACAGAGACGGAGGGGTCTCACTGTGTTGCCTAGGCTGGTCTCAAACTCCCAGGATCAGGTGATCCTCCCACCTTGGCATCCCAAAATTCTGGGATTACAGGAATGAGTCATAGAACCTGCCCAAAAATATCTTTCAGCATTTGGAGAGAAACTTCATGCCTCTCCCTGAGCTTCCTCTTCTTCTGAGTGTACATCTCTAGTTTCCTCAGGAAATCTTTATGTGACAATGGTATATTTATTTATCCTTTGCCATTCTGAGGGGGTCCTAGTTTGTTCCTGGACCTTTTTATATGTAATGTCAAACATCAGAAAACAAGGCTTTTGCCTTAGATATGAATTCTGTCAGGACCACTGTGAATATTTGTTGCCATAATATATGCGTGTCAGTGTATGCTGCAAATGCACTTGTTAGTAGTTTATCTTTTAATAGAGCCAAGTACTTGTTTTTATTCCCACTGATTTCACTAACAAGTAAATGACTTTGTTTTTTTCTGACAAGAGGCATTGATGTAGTTGATTTTTAGAAAGATCATCATTTTTTTCTGATTAAAAAAAGCACATGTGGTCAAATATTATGGTGGTGCAAAAGTAATTGCTGTTTTTATCATTTTTTTAAAATATAAAAATAATGGCAAAAACCACAAGTACTTTTGCACAAACCTAATATTAAAGAAATGTTGACTTAGAATATGAACTTTTCTGTAATCTCTCTCCTCCTCACATATGAATGTAAATAATAGGTAAATAATTTATAGATTCCCCCTACCTCCCACATATTTCTATGTAGTAGTGCACACTTTGAAGTCTGATTGTCTTAAATTCTGACTCTGCCACTCATTAGCCAATGCAGTTTTCTCATTTTTTAAAGTGATTATGATGTACCTACCTGATCAAGATGTTGTGACTATTCAGTGAGATAACATTTAAAATGCTCCATACACATGGCATAATATTAAGTCTTCACTTAAAGTAGCCATTTTTATGTCTCTGTAATACATATTATGTATCAATTTTAGTGACATGGGCATCACACAGAATTTTATTTTTACTTAATAATATATGCCTTGAAGCTCTTTTCATATTATAGAAATGTAATTGTTAATTTCAATTACATTTTTTAATGGCTGCACAATATAGCAGGTAGTATTGCAATATTATGTAAATGTGTCTAGGTTTGTTTAAATAATGCTTATCTGATAAATGTTAAGTGTAGCCTCAGTGGTATGCCGGAAGTTGTTTGTACCCCCTCATAAGAGATGATTGTCATACCTCTTCACACGTTCAGATGACGTCACACGAGTAGCTTGAGATCAGCTAGTAGTAGTATTATTTACACTATGGAAATTGGCAAATGCTAGATCAGGAGTTTAGGACATACTACCCCAAAGTACAGCATCTTAGCATATTTAATATTTTAAGCTGATGGAATTGGAGAAACAGCATGTGCAGGAATTTATAATCTTTTCCTGAAGCAGGTTGTAAGACTCCTCATGAAATGTGCCCTCCCTATACCCAAAGAAAAGGAATATCCTTATCTCTGAAGACACAGGAACACCAAGGGGAATCTGAATAAACAGATCGGCTGTTTTCACACTTAGGAATTTTTTGTCTATTGCGTTTCTCCATGACTCTACTCTTCACCAAACCAAGCATAAAAATACTCAGGTTTAACTGCCTCTTTGGGTCTTCCTTGTCTAATGAAGGCTCCTGTACAACAGAAAATGTAGTATTAAATAAATTTCGGTGCTTTCCTTTTGTTATTTTGGCTTTTGTTACATGGGCCTCCCCTAATGAAACTAAGATGGGTAGAAGGAAAAGATGTTTCCTTCCCTACAATCACCACCCTCACATACATCATTTTCCAGCACATGGTTAATGAAAAAATTACTATTTTTTAATAGATAGTACTTTTAGCCTTTGTTTTTTATTTTTTATTTTTTTCTAGAGATGGTGTCTTGTTATGTTGCTCAGGCTGGTATTGAACTCTAGGTCTCAAGTGATCCTCCTACTTCACCCTCCCAAAGTATTGGAATTACAGGCATGAGCAACCACAGCCAGACTAAAAATTTATTTTATAGAATGCTTTTTCTGTGTCTGTTGAGATGATCATATCGTTATTGTCCTTCATTCTGTGGATGTGATGTATCACATTTATGGATTTGTGTATATTGAACCATTCTTGCATTCCTGGTATAAATCCCACCTGCTTGTGGTGCATTATCTTTTTGATGTGCTGTTGGATTTGGTTTCCTAGCATTTTCTTAAGGATTTTTGCATCTTTTTTTAATTTAAGGATTTTTGCATCTATCTGATTTTGCATTAGGAATATTGATCTGTAGTTTTCTTTTTTTGTTGTTGTGCCCGTGTCTGGTTTTGGTATCAGGGTAATGTTGACCTCATACAATATGTTAGGGAGAATTCTCTCCTTTTCAGTCTTTTTGGAATAGTTTCAAGAGGATTAGTATTAGTTCTTTGAATGAAAAAAAATATTCATGACACTTGTTGAAGGCAGTAAGAAAGACTTTATTCAAAGAGAGACTATTGAGATAGGTGTACAGAGCTCTTCTGGGGTCTTGCAGTGGGGTGAAAGATTGAGCTCAACCATTAATACAACAGGAAAAAGTGAGAATTTATAATCAAAGAGCTGGGTAGGATTCAGTGGGTGGAAACTAAGCAAGAACATCAAGGGTAAGGGGGGATTCTGGGTAAACCAACTTAACAGGATTCTTGCTGAAGACAGGCCTGGGTGATCAGACATCACCTGGGGGCTGGTGGAGGATAAGAAACCTAATTCGGTGCGTAGAGTGATCAGATATTGAAGGTGGGAAGTTCTGGTTAAACTGACTAATGAGAATTTCTGCTAAAACTGGACAATGAAGAGGCCAACACTGCAGGGTCACTCTCTGGGTTGCCTTAGACTGACCCGGCTTTCACCCTCGTTCTTACCTGCAGTTCTCAAGCATAACTGCAGAATGCACTGGGAGTGCAACATCCTGAGATAAGGAGGAGGTGGCTGGAAGAGCCCAGGCTCTGTTCCAGGCCCTCCAGAGCAAGCTGTCCTTTAATGCATTAGCCTAGTATATCAAGAGACCCTGGAATGTAAAACCCAGGGTGGGTGGCTTTGCAGGGTTTCAGCTGTGGTGGAAGTGGGGTAGGCACAAACAAGACTCCATCTACCCAAGGGAGATTTCCACAGCCTTGGAGGACTCATAGCCTTCTGCATTTCCTTGCTGCCTATCTGTAAGTAATATAGCCACTTCATGTAACTGTGGAGTGCGTGGGTGTTCTGTTGTACTGGACTCAGACAGGTTGGCAACCAATGCACCATGAACCTGCTTCACAAACACGGAAGCCCCCAAATCAGGGCCTAGTGAAAAAGAGCTCAGAAGAGCGTGAATGGAGTTTGGCCCAGGAGAGACTCTTTGTCAACACCATTGTGTAGTTTCCTTTTTTTGATTTGGACATGTAATTATTGTTCTGAAACATTTAAGTTTGCACATTAGTGAGGGTATTTCCAAAGCAATATCCTCAAAGTAAAAAGAAGAAACAAAACAACAGAAAACCCACATAAAACTTGATTTGCTCCCTACAGTAATTCTTTCCTTCCCCTCTACTGGTAGTGAACCAGAAAGTGAAGGAAAGTAGTTTGACTTCTGTGTAGGGTGTTTTTCCCTTCACCTGCTAGATCTCACCAGTGCTGGTCCTCGTTTCAAGGAATTATGGTGACTTATCATTAATATTGTCACTGCTTTCAATTAATATAACATCCTGTGTGCACAAAAAAGCTTGATTGAAATCTTTTGGCTTTAGAAATAACTATCAGATGGTCACTGGGGGTGAAGAGATGCTTTTCCAGATATATCTTCTTCCAGTTTTTTTTTTTTTTTTGAAGTAGATGGATCACAGAGAAGGTGAAAGGAGATGTAAATTTGACCCCTAACTAGATTCCATCCCTATTCTCATTACAATGAGAAAGTTTCTGTCACATCACAAAAAAACCTTCTTTTTACTTATTCTCTGAACAAGAACTGGGCTTGTAAAACGCAGATTAGTTTTTAAAGGTACACAGAGATATACAATAGAGAAGATCTATCAAGGAAACATCAGGAGGGCCCATAAAAGATGAACACAGAAGAAAGTAAGCTAATCCTCTGTGTTCATTGCTGTTATTCCTCCCATTCTCTCACCCCCATCCAGGAAGGTATTGTAAAAGCAGTAGAGAGCTGAATGAGAAACAAATGGCTAGTTTGTGCTGAAAGGTTTTGTGCTATTCATACTTGCCCTACTTATTGTGAAAAAACCCGGATAATTTATTTGACAGTTTTAGATAGGGTTGTCGCTTGGCGGTAAAAAGAAGGAAGAAGAAAAAACCCAGAATCTAGGCTCTGGTCTGAAGGGTAAGGGGGCCAGACATTGAAACCTCATTTGCACACCACAGCTGCAACGGTACAATTGATTTAGCTACAATCTAAAGTGCACAGCAGCAGTCTTAATATGAAAATAGTTATATATTTTGTTTATAGTGAAATTTCAAACAAAAATTCCAAATTTTAGAGAACAAAAATGTCAAAGTGACCGTGTGTACACAACGTATTCTTCTAGGTAAATATTAGAGCAACCAGTGTGATTTTTACTCTCATAAAGCAGAAACCACAGACTGCTAAAAATTTATGATTTTTGTTTCTAATTGCTTTATAATATGAATAATGTATGTTTTATATAATATTAATAAGATAATATGTTTTATGATATGAATAAAATAATGTATTTGCTCTGGGCTGGCAAATGTTGATAAAAGGAAATTGCTAGAAAGTTTAAAGAAATTGGAAAATTTATAAACATTAAATTGTATTTATCTTTAGGGAATGCTAATCAGGACTTGACTACATATCAAATTTTTGGGAAAAAAAGGTGGACCTAAAATGCTACTTACAAATAATTTGAAGAAAGCTTGAATATAAATGAAGTACCTTTCTTTCCCCTTGTAAATTTTCCTTTGGGTTCCAGTCCATGAGGTCTCATCCTCATGACCCTTTATGAAGCTGAGTGACCTCCAACAAAACTTAGGCAAGATTAACATTTAATTAAGCAAGAGGGGATTCACAGAGAATATTTATAGAGCTTAGGACTGGAGTTTTCTATCTGAAGTTACATATTATCATTTATCTTCATATAAATAAGTGTAAAAGTGTTCATTTGTCCATCAACCCAACGATTGGCTATAGCTGGTTTGGGTGGGGCCATCTAATAACTTGCCAGGTAGACTTGGGGATAAAGGCAATTCTTATAAAATCAAAGATTCCTTCCCTTCCATTAAAAAAAAAAAAGCGTGATGCCCAAAATAATTGTAGAAAGCCAAATCAAATCAACTGATTTCATTCAATGTTACTAAGTTTTCCATCATCAGCCTGTGACAGTGAAAATTCCTGAATGTTCTCAGCGGTCTTATATTTTAGAATGGTTACGTCATGTAATTCGTATGTATTTCTTTTAAAAAGGGGCTGCTTCATCTGGTTTCTCGCTAATGTGCATTGTAGGTACTTTTTTTTTTCTTCTAAATCCCTTTGGCGTAGTTTTCTCTGACTCTGAGACACATTTATTTTTAATATGAATAACAGTCAGTATTCATGATGACAAAAAAACTGTTGGGAAGGCATGAAAACCCCCAAAAGTAAACATACCTGTGGCCATCTCCTGTGGAATGATCACAGCTTCCATAAAAACACATTCCTAGGGTTTAGCCTGGGAAGTTTGCAAACTAGTTAAAAAGGCACATTGTCCCTTTCTCTTCCTGTCATGTAATCTACAATATAGCTGTCTAAAAGGCACTGAGCACCCTAGTCCTTGGAACAGGATGGAATTGTCTTCTTCTAAATAAAGTGCAGCTCTATGTCAACTCTTCTGACTGGTTTTCTTGCCCACTGAACAGAATTGAATGTGGTTGAGATTAATACTTGTGCTCGGGTCTGTTGCCTCCATGGTTCATTTCCACATGCTTTTCAGCTGTTTTTGTATTTCCCGTTCTTAGTAGTAATATTACTTATAAAAGGTAAAGTAAAAGCTTTATTCACTGCCCACAATGTCTGGGAATGGGAAAAGGAGTTCAAATTCTTTGACATTTTGAATTATCCTCAGAAGTCCTTTTGTGTATTTACTACACATAAAAATGGGTAAAGGCATATTTGGAAGAACATTTGTTCAATATTGGAATGAAGAAACAGTTTCAAAGAAGAAAAAGCAATCATGAATTGGAGAATTAAAATGGTAACACAAACAAAATTGCCTTGGAGACAAAATTTAAACAATAGGGCTTGGAAAAACTATCAAGATATTTTATAGGATGGTTACTGCTAATGGCTGCCATTTACTGATTTTTTTTTTCTTATGGGCTAGTCACTGTGCTTTATATACACTATAGCTTTTAAACTTCCCAAAAGTAATGTTAGGAGTAGGAGCTGGTTGTGAATTGAGACCATTATATTTCCCATGATGAAACAAAGATGGGCTGAGAGATGTTGAATAACTTGTCCATGGTCTTAAAGACAGTAACAAAGCTAGGATTGTCTCAAGATGCTTAACTACATACTATACTGTTGATCTCCTTTGATGATTGTCTTATAAAATATCAGAGGAAAAAAGGTTATAAATAGCTTTATTAGTTCAAATGAGATTTTATTATCACATTTGGCAAGGTTTTCGTACCTTATGAATGCAGAGGAAACTTTTGATTTTCAATTTTTGGATTTTGGAATTATGATAAGGGATATGAACCTGAACTTAGTCTTTAAAATGCAGTATTAAAAAATGGTCTTGAGAATGTTACCATTTTGGAAAGGAACATGCTTTCCCAGAAAGACAAAAGCAGTCTCTGAAGCCCCGTGTGCAACCTCGTATTTGGAAAAGTAGTCCCTTTTACACAAGAAGTGTTTTATATCTGTAGTTCATCATCTATAGAAGTCTTTCCTTGATAGAAAATAAAGCTGTTAAATGCATCAGGTTATTTCTTATTTTCTCACTTTTTGAGGGGACAGTTTGAGGTTTCATATATATTAATCAGTACATCATCTTCTGGAATCCATTTTAACTCTACTCTAGAGCCAATTCTGCCTCAAAAACAGTATTTCCTCTTTTGAAACATTCAGCTTAATTTAAATTTAAATTGGGAAATTTTACCTTATCCCTTTAGTTACTTGTACTAGATTTGGTATATCACTAATGTAACTCCTCTCCCCAAACCTAACTCAAACAGATTTACTCATACACTGGAGAAATAGCAGAGAAAAGCTGAGAGGTCTTTTAGTACATTTTATGGAGCCTGTACAAATATTGGGAAATTGCAGATTTTTAACTTTTTTTCATGAATGTGCACTGAATTCATGTCAGAATTGTTGCTATATAGGTTTCAAGTATGAACCATGTTCTTTATGAGCTTAAAGCACAATATGAGGTGATATATGCAGTGGTTACCTGATATTAGGCATCTATCATGAGACAGAATAAAGTGACTGGAAAGTGATTAGCTCTACTAGAACACACTGGAGCCGAGCGCGGTGGCTCACGCCTGTAATCCCAGCACTTTGGGAGGCTGAGACGAGCAGATCACTTAAGGTCAGGAGTTCAAGACCAGCCTGGCCAACATGGCAAAACCCTGTCTCTACTAAAAATACAAAAATTAGCCGGATGTGGTGGCGTGCTTCTGTAATCCCAGCTACTTGACAGACTGAGGCAGAATTGCTTGAACCCAGGAGGCAGAGGCTGTAGTGAGCTGAGATCACACCACTGCACTCCAGCCTGGGCAGCAGAGTGAGACTGTCTCAAAACAAAAAGCAAAAAACAAAAAACAAAAACACTGGAAACCAGGAATTATGGTTTGTTTGTAAAGTGCTTATGGACAAAACTCTTCCTGGTTGATGTTTATATGTGTTCATTTACATTTTATTGAATAAATTAAAATAATGTTTATATTATTTTATTTATTTATTTCTTAGAGACAGGGTCTTGCTCTGTTGCCCAGGATATAGTGCAAATGGCATGAACATAGCTCACTGCGGCCTCGAACTCCTGGGCTCAAGCAATCATTTCACTTAGGCCTCCCAAAGTATTGGGATTATAGGTGGGAGACACTCTACTCAGCCAATAGAAGTTTTTAAAGTACCAAACCAGAAAATATTTTGGCAATTGACATACAGGTTAAGTTACATGTATGTATGTATCATCTATTATTTTATGATTCATATCTTTTAAAAATTATGTTTTTATTTAATAAAAATTACTACACAGCCAAATAAAATATAGAGAATATTTTAATTTTTTACTTTTTCCCAAAAGGCATCATATATAAATAATATGAAGTCTTCTCCCTTCACGGAGCCATGACACAATTCCACATCACATATAAGATGTTTTCCTGGTTGGGCGCGGTGGCTCACGCCTGTAATCCCAGCACTCTGGGAGGCCGAGGCGGGCAGATCACAAGGTCAGGAGATCGAGACCATCCTGGCTAACATGGTGAAACCCCGTCTCTACTAAAAATATAAGAATTAGCCGGGCGTGGTGGCAGGTGCCTGTAGTCCCAGCTACTCGGGAGGCTGAGGCAGGAGAATGGCGTGAACCCGGGAGGCGGAGCTTGCAGTGAGCCGAGATTGCGCCACTGCACTCCAGCCTGGGCGACAGAGCGAGACTCCGTCTCAAAAAAAAAAAAAGAAAAGAAAAAGATATTTTCCTGTCTGTCACTTTAAGGCCTTGCAAAATGAAATAGTAAAATGACAGTATGGTTTATCATGTAGTAGCCTGAAATGGTAGGTAAAATAGTTAATCCTGGACTTATTAGAAATGATTAATTTGTTGATATTAGAAAAATTTTTAATTTATGTGTATCTCAAAGTCATTATAAAAAATGTCTTTGGAATTACTTGGTAATTGCGGTGCATAATAGTAACAACCACATTTTAATAGAGCTTTCCTTTATGTTACTGAAAACTCAGGCCAGGTGCAGTGGCTCACGCCTGTAATCCCAGAATTTTGGGAGGCTGAGGCAGGTGGATCACTTGAGGTCAGGAGTTTGAGACCAGCCTGGTCAACATGGTGAAGCCCCCATCTCTACTAAAAATAAAACAGTAGCTAGTGTGGAGGCACGTGTCTATAATCCCAACTACTTGGGAGGCTGAGGCAGGAGAATTGCTTGAACCCAAAAGGCAGAGATTGGAGCGAGCCAAGATCACACTACTGCACTCCAGCCTAGGTAACAGAATGAGGCTCTGTCTCAAAAAAAATAAAAAAAAAAAAACCACAAATGGTTACAAGCTGAGCCGAGCTATATGTAGCTCAGTTTAAGACCTAATTGCATGTGTGGTTTCATCTGTTATGTCTGAATGCTATGCTATTATTTTCATTAACTGTGCGACATTTTATTCCAGGGGTCGTTGATTTTAGTTATTTGGGTATCATTTATCAAACTTAACTTTACAACCTTTTATTTTTGTTCATACATTTGTACAAATCTACTTTAAAATGAAAATTTTTCATATTAAAAGAGAGCACAATGGTTTATTTGGTAAATCATCAAAGCCTGGAAATTAAAAAGAAATTTAGATTTTTCTGAGTAAGCTACCTGATATTCTAGTTTTGTGTGTTATTAGATTATGTGTATAATCTGGTGACGTTTACCGTGCATCGTCTGATCCTGACAGAATAAACCTTTGATTTTGTGCTAAAGTTAAAACAGAATGTGTTCCTAGGTCCAGATAAACCCAGCTTTTAATATTTTGTTTAAGTTATATTTATCATTATGCTTTCAAAGAAGAAATAAATCATCACCATTCTTCCATACAAATCAAACAAATGAATGTGAAAATGTCACTACCAGTTTCATGATTTGATCTATTTCAAGATATGATCGCAAAACAGTACCCAGAAGTACTCAATGCCTTTACCCATCAATTTACTTCTGGTCTCTATAGATACTTTAAACGGTCTTTCTTAAATCACTGAGGAAAAATGTAGATTCTATTGATCTACATTCCCAGACCCTTTGCCACTCACTTAAGAGACACTAAAACAATGATATGGAGTTTATCTAACTACTGTCCCCTGCCACCATCATTAACTAACAAAGACAAGTAAACACTGATAAGTCATCAGAGGGCCTTTTAGGAATGTGATCACTCTTGGAAAACTTCAGGACCTCATTCCTCAGATTTGGTAGAAGAGAAAGAACTTCTTCCACCTTGCTGTTGGTGAGCACACCTGACTTTCAAGATTCAGGTTAATGGTGGACTTGCTTTCTTTACATGTACTTCCAATTCAAGAGATTAAATAGTGTGAGATCCATTTCCTAATTGGGCCCATTTCCTAATTGGTGTCCATTTAACTGTGGTGAAGGGAAATGACAGATTTCACAAGACTGCTCAGATAAGCCTTCACACACTTGCAGGTTATCCACATTTCTTTATTCCGGCATATGAGTGGCAGATTTTTTCCCCATCTGAGTCTCACTTTGCATTCGTGTTCCTGCTCCTTTATGGAACACAGAGGTTCAGGTGTATTACAAGTTAAAAACATATGGCATGTGAACACTAGCTTTACTTTTATTTTTATCCAGAGGGAGTCTCATCTCATTTCTTCAAAATCAGAATTTAAAAAAAGTATTTTGAATGCAATCGTGTTTCATACCAACATGAAAGTACCATTATAGTTAGTGGAACAGAAGTGAAGTGTTCATTAAGACAAATCAATCAAGAAGACATCCCAATAGCATCCACTAGAGATTTATTCAAAACACAGAGCATTGACATCTGTGGAAAAGTGCCACAAAAGATAAGTCAGCCTGACGGAGGGAGGAAAGAGCATTTTAGGCACAAAGAAGTGTAGGCGGAAAGGTGAAAGAGCCTAGAGAATGCCAGGAACTTAATAAAGATGATCAATGGGACCAAGATTGGGAGTGAAGGCGGGCACAGTCTGAGATGCGGGCAGGAGCCCTCACAGACACCAGATTTTGCACAGCTGTCTGGAGAAATTAAGGAGTTTTAACTTCATCATAACTACAGTGGAAAGACTGGAGAGTTTTAGGGTGTGTCTGTTGTGGGATAGGGAAGGTTGGGAGGTAGATGGGATGACTGGGAGTCCTGTGAGTAATGAGCGAATTTTTGAACAGTACACTAGCTCCATGGTGGAGAACACGTGGAGGAGAGCCAGTGAGACTGGGAGGCTGCTTCCCACATGTTAGTGAGTGATTATTGTCGCCGGGGCTCAGGCGGTGGTGGTACAGGGAAGAAACACAGATGCTTCAGGTCTCCAAGGTTCTTTGTATACAGTTTCATGAAAAGACAAAGGATGGCCAGGCGCAGTGGCTCACGTCTGTAATCTCAGCACTTTGGGAGGCCAAGGCAGGTGGATCACCTGAGGTCAGGAGTTCGAGACCAGCTTGACCAATATGGTGAAACCCTGTCTCCACTAAAAATACAAAAATTAGCCAGGTGTGGTGGTGTGTGCCTGTAATCCCAGCTACTAAGGAGTCTGACACGGGAGAATCGCTTGAACCCGGGAGGTGGATGTTGCAGTGAGCTGAGATTGTGCCACTGCACTCCAGCCTGGGCCACAGAGCAAGACACCATCTCAAAAAAAAAAAAAAAAAAGAAAAGGCAAAGGAAAGTAATTTGATGAGTAATGGAGGAAATACTGAAGATAAAGTGGGAATATTGATGCTTTCTTTTGGTATATGGAATGAAGCCCAGTTTTTAATACTGTTTCTCATCTCTAATGTACAAAGGGTAAAATGTTATAATTCGTTTTAGGAAAACTGAAAAAAAAATCCAACTGAAATCATTTAATATCCAACAACATACACTGCAAAATGAAGATGAATGAAGACTTTCTTTTTAGACATTTAATTTTAAGTTTCTTAAGTGATTAGGCCAGGGAAGATATATTTTGGTATGCATAGCAAGAGACTTAATTGGATACCTAATCAAAATTACAGATTTTTTTTCCCCTGAATTCTTTCCTTACATGATGATGCTATGATGTAATTGGTGAAATTACTCCTAGTTGACCCACAGAACTAATGAAAGCTCAAAGCTGAGAAGCCTGTATAATTTGATCTACAGGTTTCTGAAATGTGTTCTCCATATGGTCTAAACTATTTAGAGTTACATTATTTAAACTGCAACAAGAGTGCAATGACAGCAAAGTACTTTTGTTTTTGTATTTTTTCCTAAGCGCAAAGGATTTTTTTTCTTGATAAAAAATGTTTGCTGTGGCCGGCAACTCTTTCAGTACAGGCATTGTGTTTCTAAGAAGAGCTTTGAGTTTCCTACACAGAACTAATTCCAGGACTTAGACTGACAAAGGGACAAGTAAACATGTTCTCTTTCCAGAAAACTCCAAGGTCATTCTGTCTTTTCCAGGCTTTTATTTAAAATATATCTGTTCAAAATGTAATCTTTTCTTTTCTTTTTTTTTTTTTTTTAATATAGAGATGGGGTTTCACCCTGTTGCCCAGGCTGGTCTTGAATTTCTGGGCTCCAGCAATCCTCAGGCCTCAGCCTCCCAAAGTGATGGGATTATAGGAGTGAGCCACCGTACCTGGCCTGGAATGCACATAATTTTATTCCCTCTTCTCTCCCTGTTTGTTGCAGAAAATCACACAAGTCTGAGGACCTGTAAGGCAAATGATAGGAGCAATCTTGAGTTCTTTTTTAAAAAAGATGTTGTTTTATTCTTCACAGCAGCCACCCTGGGGCCTGTATGTACAGGGGCCCCACCTTTGCCTGTGACCCCCAAGGAGTAATTTTTATCTCTTGTGCCATATGTTAGATGAGTTGTTAATTCTTTCATTGAGCCTGGATATTATTATGAGATACTCATTCAAGTTCCCAGACCCCTCAAAAAACTTTGCAACTGCATAAGGTCCTAAAATCACTCATGGAACATTTCCAGTGAAGTGAGGAGGAGGCAGAAAATCCCCAAGGCTAAACCCCTGAGGTTAAAATTTTCAATGCCTCTCTTATAAACACAAATTTGTGGTCTGAGATCTACGGACTGAAATCCACACCTATAAATTTATCTTATTTATGATTTTCTGAGCCTGTTTCTATCTCTCTTTTTGGAGAATGCCTTTCTTCTCACTGAGAGGTAATTTGAAATCTTAGATGTGGGTAGAAAGGTTTTTCTTACTTCAACCTGAATGGTTTGATTACTTTACCTATAAAGGTCAGTTTTTTAAATGTTTGATTTCTGAATGTAATTTTTAAAATCTTATGTAATCTGAGCTCTAACTTGCTTCTCCTTTTTGAAGTCTCGTATGAGCAATGTTGTGCTCCTACAAATGTTGTCTTGCATTGATGTTTCAAGGAGGGCGAGTAGTATAAAGCAGTGCTTCCTAAATTTGGCAGCGTGGCAACCTCCTGGACTTTTCAGAAATATAAATTTCCAGGTTCTGCTTTAGACCTACTAAATCATACCACTGGGGAGCAAGACTCTGGAGTTTATGTTTTATAAAGGCTTCCCAAATGATTCTGATGTAACCATCGACTCATTTACAGATTGCCTTTAAGAGCTCTCTAAGCATTTTCTTGGACAGAGTTAATTTACTTAGAAGACCTCTGTATTTGGATGTGAAACAATTTTAGGAGGTCTTTTGCCATTAGGAAGGGTCGTATGACAGGGCAAATACAGATTTTCATTTTGGTGGTGACCACAGTGTTAATTTTTATAAAAGTTTAAAAAATCTAACCACCAGAAATTAAATCTATTCCTGATATTCAGTTCTCAGGCATTTAGTTATGACACGATGGGATTAAACATTTTAAAAACATGCATGGAAGCCTATAAGGTCAGAACTCTTTTTTTTTTTTTTTTTTTTTTTTTGAGACAGAGTCTCACTTTGTTACTCAGGCTGGAGTGCAGCGGTGCAATCTTGGCTCACTGCAACCTCCACCTTCCGGGTTCAAGCAATCCTCCTGCCTCAGCCTCCTGAGTAGTTGGGACTACAGGTGCGCGTCACCACACCCAGCTAATTTTTGTATTTTTTAATAGGACAGGATTTCACCATGTTGGCCAGGCTAGTCTTGAACTCCTGATCTCAAATGATCCACCCACCTTGGCCTCCCAAAGTGCTGGGATTACAGGCATGAGCTACTGCACCTAGCCCAAAACTCATTTTGACCTTACATTTGCAAATCTATTTTTAATGATTCACCATATAAGCTTAAACAATTAAATGTGCTTTGATAATTCAGACAGTCACATATTGAAGGCATAACTATATAAAGTTCCTAGTATTAAGGTTCATTGATTACTGGATTTAAAATGAATATAGTAGTCCAATTCTTGATTAAGCTGAACAACAAAAAACATATCACAAGCTACAAACAAATAATGGGTATATACAAAAGTACTCATTTTGTCAGCAGAGTCTACAGTCTTGCTAGAAGGTGAGAGAAGACTAAACGTATTTCTTTTTTTCTTTTTTTTTTGAGACAGAGTCGCCCAGGCTGGAGTGCAGTGGCGCGATCTTGGCTCACTGCAACCTCCACCTCCGTTCAAGTGATTCTCCTGCCTCAGCCTCCCAAGTAGCTGGGATTACAGGCACCTGCTACCACACCTTGCTAATTTTTGTATTTTTAGTGGAGACAGGGTTTCACCAAGTTGGCCAAGCTGGTCTTGAACTCCTGACCTCAGGTAATTTGCCTGCATTGGCCTCCCAAAGTGCTGGGATTACAGGCGTGAGCCACAGCGCGTGGCGAAGAGTAAATA
The DNA here is from genome assembly GCF_000001405.40 of Homo sapiens. Classification (NCBI taxonomy): domain Eukaryota; kingdom Metazoa; phylum Chordata; class Mammalia; order Primates; family Hominidae; genus Homo; species Homo sapiens. The sequence goes on along the minus strand of NC_000004.12, from coordinate 164,811,311 downwards.
TATCTCTTGCATATGATGTTAGGTTCCTTGAAAAGAAATGGGATAGGCTTTGTAATGATAATGGCCTGAGACCTAATTCAACCCAATATCATGTGGTAGGACGTTGTTAATTATTTCAAGCAAAACTTTTGCAGGATCTCCTTCTCCCTCTCCCTCTCCCTCCCCCTCCCCCTCCCCCCTCCTCCACTTCTTCTTCTTCTTCTTCCTCTTCTTCTTCTTCTTCTCCTTCCTTCCTTCCTTCCTTCCTTCCTTCCCTCCTTCCTTCTTTTTAGACAGGCTTTCACTCCCATTGCCCAGGCAGTAGTGCAGTGACACATCACTGCTCACTGTAGCCTCAACTTTCCAGGCTCAGATGACTCTCCCACCTCAGACTCCTGAGTAGCTGGGACTACAGGCATGTGCCACCACACCCAGCTAATTTTTTGTATTTTTAGTAGAGACAGGTTTTCACCATGTTGCCCAAGCTAGTCTTGAACTCCTAGACTCAAGTGATCCTCCTGCCTTGACCTCTCAAAGTGCTGGGATTATAGGCATCAACCACCATGCCTGGCCTCTTCCTTTTATATCCTCTTCTAGGTATTTCCAGATTCACAATACTGTTGATATCACACACATTTATTACAATAAATATTTGTTTACTAAATCAATGTGTAACTGAAACAAATGTAATTTAATTTCCCTCATAATTTATGCGCTAAAAATAAATATTGAAGTGCAACCTAAGGTCTCTTGAGGACGAAAAGTTCTATCTTAGTTAATCCTAGCAACACTGATACTATACAAAGAACTATTGGAGGATAAAAGCAAACATTATGTTTTTTGCAAGACACTCACAATTTCATTTAAAAAATAAGGCACACTTACACAAAGTTAACTCAGAATAATATATGAAGGTTTACATATGAATGAACATTATGCACTTTTTTTATAATTACACTTTAACAAATTGATGCAAATGTTACTAAATTTTAAAACAGTTTATACTTGCTTATCTATTTCTTGAGTCCATATTTGTCCGCTATAAATGTAAAAAGGTAAGCTCAGGAATCAACCTGAGAGGTATTTGAGAATCCATACAAGTTAAATGTTTCTTTAAAAAAAGCAAATTCTTGGCTGGGTGCGGTGGCTCACGCCTGTAATCCCAGCACTTTGGGAGGCTGAGGCGGGCGGATCACCTGAGGTCGAGAGTTCTAGACCAGCCTGACCAACATGGAGAAACCACATTTCTACTAAAAATACAAAATGAACAGGGCATGGTGGTGCATGCCTGTAATCCCAGCTACTCGGGAGACTGAGGCAGGAGAATCAGTTGAACCTGGGAGGTGGAGGTTGTTGTAAACCGAGATCGTGCTATTGCACTCCAGCCTGGGCAACAAGAGTGAAACTCTATCTAAAAAAAAAACAAAAAAAAAAACAAAAAAAACAAAACAAACAAAAAAACTTAGTGAACGCTGTGAGTTAAAATTTCTTATCTGCATTAATTTCCAGTAAGATCATGTGAGTATTCTGATGACAATAATAATCTATGGAAGATCATTTTGAATTTGGCAGTGTTAAGTAAAATCCATTATTGAAATGTATTTAAGTTGTGTGTTTTCTTGATTTCTCAACCGGACAAAGACAATGCTATGTGTTCATCAAACCATTTTATTTTTGTCCTGAGCACATTGGAAGATGCATTTCCCAGTTTTCTTGCAGCTAGGTAGGATATCATATCACTAATTCTGGCCAATGGGATATTGGTGGCAACGATGTATGTATTTTCAGATCTGGTTCATAAAAATCTCTCACTTACACTTCTCTCCCTTTCTTATGGATGACGTGTTGAAGTGGCAACATCACAATGGAAGTAGTCTTGGTCTCTAAGTTCCCACTTGGACGTAAGTAACCCGACCACAAAACCAAATTGTCAACCATATTCAACATGAGAAATAATATATGCTCTCAGATGCTGAGATTTTTCTTTTTCTCCCCTTTTTAAATTTTTGTAAAAACAGTATAGCATAGCTTCCCCTGACTAATTCCCACTTCAGCCTGTGTGCTAAGGATAAGCAGGTTTTGTCCTCATATTGCTCAGCATTTTCATATACTCTGAAACACTCTCAGGTTGGAATAATATCTTCTCAAACTTTAACATCTTTATTAATCCTTATAAAATTGGCTGTATACTTTATTTTCCATGTGTTGTTGAGAAATTTGTGACTTACAGAATGTTAAGTGAAAATTGTAAGTAGTTAAAAGAAAAGATAAATTATACAAAAATAGACTTAAGACTGCCAAAGATTTGAAGAGAATTACAAGAGAAAGCAAGTGGCAAATTCCAAGGGAGTAAAAGTTTATATTCGATAACTGAAATTGGATTTCTTTTATATTAGAAGGGGATGAACTTGAAAAAAAGAACTACCAACAGACACTTTTTGGGAGTTAATCCAATCTTTTGTCCATTTTTTCCTTTAATTATTTTAAAACGGCTAGTTAATGGATACGTAATTCATACAAATCATACAGCATATTTTACTTTTTTAAATTTTAAGGATTTAATTTAATTAAAATTAATTTGTTGAATTATATATTATATCACATGGTTTGAAGTTCAAAAGATACTATATATGTATATCTATGTATATATCTATCTCTCTATGTATCTATCTGTATATTTTTTGTTTTGTTTTGTTTTGTTTTGAGATGGAGTTTCACTCTTGTTGCCCAGGCTGGAGTGCAGTGTCGCAATCTCAGCTCACTGCAACCTCCGCCTTCCGGGTTCAAGCGATTCCCCTGCCTCAGCCTACCAAGTAGGTGGGATTACAGTCGCCCGCAACCGCATCCGGCTAATTTTTGTATTTTTAGTAGAGACAGGGTTTCACCACCTTGGTCAGGCTGGTCTTGAACTCCTGAAATCAGGTAATCCACCCGCCTGGGCCTCCCAAAGTGCTGAGATTACAGGCGTAAGCCACTGCGCCCAGCTCTATCTCTATATATTTTTTACATACACAAAACAGATTTAATGAATCGGTATTCCAAGAAATGCCAAAGTGAGGTACCAAGACACCGGGGAAATTCCTTAAACACTCTATGCCCCAATTTCCTCTGTGAAGCAGAGGCAGCTATGGAGTCTTCAGGAGGATGGCATCGTGGGAGAACTCCATGAGGCCAGGTAAGGCAAGCACTTAGTCTTGCTCACAATAAATACTTAGGAGTAAAATCTACCCAAATGCAAAGACAGGATGCCAATGTAGTTCTTCCAGTATCAAATGAAGGTAATGGTGGCATTTCAAAAATCTAACCAAAGACATCTGCTTAGGGAATAAGAGGCTCAGGGTAAGATCTAAGGAATTCTAGCAAAACAAAAAACAAAAAAGCAAAAAAAAAAAAAAAAAAAACAAAAAAAACCGATAGGACTGATCCCAACACGAAGAGAAAACAATACAAATCCCAGGGAGGGAAATTCCAAAGTCCGCTAACATGAAAGGAATGCCTTCGTCCTCAAGTGTGTGGCGTCCACGCTGGGCTTTGTCCAAGCACACAAACCTCTTAGGCTGAACGCTTCTGTAGAGCTTCAAACAGGCTGACCATGAAAAATCCCGGCCTGCTAGAGGAAGCTCGCGGAGACAGAGATGGCATTTTCTTTGCCTATGTAGTTATTCTTCCACTTCCGCGAGCTCTGAAGATTTGCATTTTTGAGCAAAGGTATCTACCCCTCAGATCCAAGTTAGTCCTGGCAGATGAACCTCTGGAATTTGCTTCTCAGTAATAAAGAGGAGTTTTCTAACTACGTTCTCATGCCAACTAAGCTTCAGGTGGCTTAAGGCTGCAAAGATGCTGGTTCTCATCCAGAAAGGACCGATTTCTATTACTCCAGAGAAGAAGGTCTAATCATTTCATCTATGAACTAAGACTTTTCCTTGTTTATAATTTTTATTTTATTTTATTTTATTTTTTGAGAAGGGTCTCACTCGGTCACCCAGGCTGGAGTGCAGTGGAGCAAGATCATGGCTCACTGCAACCTCCACCTTCTGAGCTCAAGCAATCCTCCCACCTCAGCACTGCCCCCCACCTCCCTACTAGCAGCCGGGACCACAGGTGCAAATCACCGGCTAACTTTTTTATTTTTCATAGAGTTTCTACAGGCTGCCCAGGCCGGTCTCCTGGACTCAAGTGATCCACCCGTCTGGGCCTCCCAAGTGCTGGGCCCATGGTCGTGAGTCACTGCTGCCGGCTATAATTTTTTAAAGGAATCAATTTTGTTCCATTTAACATACATTCAACCAAGACAAATTATTAATATTTTCCTTTATGAAGAGACTTGGGGTTGGGCATGGTTGCTTATGCCCAAAGGCTGTATATGGAAAGGTCTCCTTCCCGCAATTGTTCACAGACCCTTAGTTCTCCTCATTAGGAACAAATAATGCTACCAATTTCTTGTTTACTCTTCCAAAGTTTATATGCAATTGTAAGCAATGACATATCTGTATCTACTCAGTTCTACCATTATAGCTTCAAAACAGTCATAGTCAATACAAAAAATGAATGAGCATGACTGTGTTACCAAAAAACCATATTTACAAAAATGGGGCCGGGTGCGGTGGCTCACACCTGTAATCCCAGCACTTTGGGAGGCCGAAGTGGGTGGATTACTTGAGGTCAGGTGTTCAAGACCAGCCTGGCCAACATGGTGAAACTTCGCCTCTACAAAAAATACAAAAACTAGCCACGTGTGGTGGTGCACGCTTGCAATCCCAGCTACTTGGGAGGCTGAGGTGAGAGGATTGCTTGAACCCATGAGGCAGAGGTTGCAGTGAGCCAAGATTGTGCCACTGCACTCCATCCTGGGCAAAAGAGCGAGACTCCACTCAAAATAAAATAAATAAACAAATAAAAATACAAAAAAAATTTTACAAAAACGGGTGGGCAGCTATGTTCTTAGTTTGTCAACACCTACCCTAAGGCATTAATGTTATGAGTTAATTTCTCTCCTGTGCAATTAGAATAGTACTAGTTATGCACAACCCTTCAGAAAATTGAAAAAACAGTCACTCAAATAATTTTTTGTATGGCTAATTCTCTTGTAAACTGTTGTTGAGAAAGGCTGTGGGATCTAGAAAACCATCTTGCAATTGATGTCAACTAGTCCCTTTGGAACCTGAGAGCTGTGTCTCTGGAAATGGTAGGCTGTGATACATGTGAGACCAGCCCCTTTCATTCCTGTTTAGTATCTTCAGTTTGTGATCTCTGTAATTTCACCTTGTCCCAGCCCCTGAAGTTGGGTTGGAAGCACTCACTGCTGCCTTCTCTGTTCTCCTTCTAATTCCCTAATGTACCCCACTTAATTGATGTAAACTGTATTTTTAAACAAACCTAACCTCATGAATAGTTGTTGTAACCTTTATTCAGTGGATGGGAAATTAATGGATAGAGCACTGAAGATATTTATTGATGGAGGAAGCTCATGTAATTTTTGAGAGAAAAATCGGTGGCCAGAAGATTAATGACTCAAGCTCAGTAGCAGAGCATGTGGGGTCCAGGCTACATACACAGGTTGCGCCTTCACAGTCACTTCTGGGTTACACAGAGCGGGATAAATTCTGAGACTGCGGAAAAACGCAGTTTACTTGTCTCTCCACATTTTTCTCTTCATGTTTTTACTTCCTGCAAGACTTATGGTCTTTTCCTTGTACTTTAATATCTTTTTCCACAAGGACTTAGAGCTGAAAGAAGAAAAAGTTAAAACTTCAGCTGATTGGTTTAGTTTCTGGTTAACTCTTCAAATAATAGATTAAGCTTGAGAGAAGCTTGAAACCACTGAATGAAGTCAGCTTTTGTATTATTTGTGAACCTTAGTTATTCTTTCTCTACTTCCAGGTAGCACAAATAACGGATTGTTGGTTTTACTTTTAGAAACATTTACATCTATTTTCCAGTCATTAGATAATAATCATTTTATTTGGATTGATAAATGCAGAGGTAACATTTTGAACCCATCTGTGTATTTCATCACTGTTATGAGTGCCTGAAATACAAAGGTCTTCTTAAGAATAAGTGCTTCTGAAGTCCTGTCCTTTCTTCCCAAATCAGAGCAAAAAGAAATAAAGTACTTCAGTCTTTTATCAGTTAAAATACTAACAGATAGAAAATAACAAAGAATAGACTGTTTTCCTGCCTATTGTAAGACAAAATGAAATGTTTACTGTTGGAAACACTATACCTTTTTTTAGCCTCTCTCCCCTATCTTCTTATTTTCCTTGATGGACTCTTTCTCTTATCTGAGCAAACTTTTTGTTTGTTTGTTTGACTCAGTCTCTCAGTGAACAGTATAGCGACCCATTAGCTCCAGCGTTGGACTCTGACTGTGTCAAGAGTAGAAGTTTGAAGTGCAATTCTTATCCATCATATTTCTCCAATTATTAACTCTCCTTTACTGCCTTTTAAATACTTCACAAAATGGAAACCCCTTTTGAATAAGAACAGCCGATTTTCTGGGAGATGGACAAGGAAAAGCTATGGAGAGATGCTGGGTTTCTTAGTTTAGCATGTGGCTGCTTGAAAGTTGCTATTAGATCCAGAGAACTTTTTTGTTAAGTGTGATTAGAGTTCAAAGAAAATGTTTATTTCTTAGATACTTCTATTGAAAGAAACATAAGGTGTCTATATCTGTATATCTATAATAAAATTCAGAAGGCAAGTATATATTTAAATCTATATTAACTGCACACATAAAAACAGAAGGTATTTGTGATGGGTAAATTTCAAAAGGTCTGAGAGTCGTAATAAACACTCCAAACTTCATATACTTATCCGAACTCCTTCATCAAGAAACGGGATGGGTTGCTATGAGAACAGGATTTCTTAAGAAAATTCCTACACCTTCTAGTTTCTGTAAAACTCAGAACTTTCTCACTCAATTTACTATTGCTCTGATTGCAAATCAAAAATAATAGAACACTTAAAGTAAAAGATGGTAAGTTTGTTACTACATTGAAAAAAGTATTTTATGCTGGATGAGAATACCGTTGAATAAATATCTCAGTTACTTATCTGAGATAGTTTGTCTATCCTTATAGGCAGACAAGAATGGCAGAAATCCTATGTTCAGTATGTCTCTGTTATACGGTTGCTTTTGAAGCACTTTTTTTTTTTTTTAGACAGAGTCTCGCTGTGTTGCCCAGGCTGGAGTACAGTGGCACAATGTCTGCTCACTGCAAGCTCTGCCTCCTGGCTTCAAGCAATTCTTGTGCCTCAGTCATCCAAGTAGCTGGGACTACAGGCACGGGCTACTACGCCCAGCTAATTTTTGTATTTTTAGAGACAGAGTTTCACCATGTTGGCCAGGCTAGTCTTGAATTTCTGGCCTCAAGTGACCCACCTGACTCGGCCTCCCTAAGTGCTGGGATTATAGGCGTGAGTCACTGCGCCCGGCCTTCTGAAGCATTTTGGATGGCTTTGGTAGATTGGTTATGCTTTGGGTAACAAAATAATAGCCTGGGGTTTTGGCAGTTATTTCTTTTCTTTTCTTTTTTTTGAAATGGAGTTTTGCATTTGCTCCCCAGGCTGGAGAGCAATGGCGCAATCTTGGCTCACTACAACCTCCGCCTCCCAGGTTCAAGTGATTCTCCTGCCTCAGCCTCCTGAGTAGCTAGGATTACAGGCATGGACCACCACGCCTGGCTAATTTTTGTATTTTTAGTAGAGAGGAGGTTTCACCATCTTGGCCAGGCTGGTCTCTAACTCTTGACCTCAGGTGATCCACCCACCTCGGCTTCACAAAGTGCTGGGATTTCAGACGTGAGCCACCACGCTCAGCCTTTTGCAGCTATTTCATAAACATGTTAGGGAGATTTTATTTTACATGTCCTCTTTAACATCTAACTTGACAGGTTTTTAAAATTTTTTATTTTTTGAGATAGGGTCTTCTCTTTCACCCAGGCTGGAGCTCACTGCAGCCTCAAACTCCCAGGCTCAAGCGATCCTCCTGCCTCAGCCTTGTGAGTAGCTTGGACTATAAGCATGCCCACGGCGCCTGGCTGACCTGACAATATTCCTAATTGTGAAGTGCCTCCCATTTCCAGTCAATGCAGTAATATATGTAAGATGGGCTAAGGGAGTGAATGGAGCCTCATCCAAGTATTTGAAACCATGTTGTTGATTTTTCTGCTTTTCTGAAAAAACGTATCAGTAAACTTAAAAGTCCAAATGTCCCAAAATGCTTTCCAATAATAATAGGTAGCGTTATTCAGCAACGATCCTAGGCACTGAGTTACACATTTTACTTATACTATCTCTCATCCATTTGTCAGCCCAGCAAAGATTTTTTAAAATGCTCATTTTTTCAGAGAGAACACCAAGGCTCAGAGAAATTAAGTACTTTGCCCAAGGTCATATAATAAGGAAAGGTTGGAGCAGACTCAAACCCAGATCTGCTCATCTCCAAAGCCCATTCTCTGTCCTCTCTAACTTAGTGAGCCCTTTTAAATGTTTAGTACTCTGACCTGGGTGACTACTTGGTTAACTTTGTAAGCATTCTGTTTACACTAGTATGCCTATCTCTGTATGGCAGAAAGCCATCTTTATTGAATCTTTCTTGAAAGTGAGCAGTAAGGGGTAAGTACAGATAAAGGGAGTCTCTCACATGACTGAAACTCTGTGGCAATGGAGACCTGAGCTATGATTCTTATGAGATGCAGGTAGGTATCTTTGGTTGTATTGTGGATTCCTTCCTGCCACGATAATGCTGCCAGCATTGATTGTGATGGTTTAATGTTTGTAAGAGTTATAAATAACAGGCCAGGCATGGTGGCTCATGCGTGTAATCCCAGTGCTTTGGGAGGCTAAGGCAGAGGATCGCTTGAGTCCAGGATTTGGAGACCAGCCTAGGCAACATAGAGAGGCCTTGGTTCTACAAACAATTACAAAAATTAGCTGGCTGTGATGACACATGCTTGTAGTCACAGTTACTTGGGAGGCTGAAGCAAGAGGATCACCTGAGCCCAGGAACTTAAGGTTGCAGTGAGCTATGATTACACCACTGCACTCCAGCCTCGGTGACAAAGCGAGACCCTCTCTCTCTCTTTGTTTTTTTTCTTTTGAGACAGAGTCTTGCTCTGTCGCCCAGGCTGGAGTGCAGTGGCATGATCTCAGCTCATTGCAACCTCCGCCTCCCGGGTTCACACCATTCTCCTGCCTCAGCTTCCCGAGAAGATGGGACTATAGGCGCCCGCCACCACGCTCGGCTAATTTTTTGTATTTTTAGTAGAGACGGGGTTTCACTGTGTTAGCTAGGATGGTCTCAATCTCCTGACCTCGTGATCTGCCCACCTCGGCCTCCCAAAGTGCTGGGATTACAGGCGTGAGCCACTGCACCCAGCCTCTCTCTCAAATTAAAAAAAAAAAAATATAAATAACAGAAAACTTTCAACTTTTAGGATGAATAAAGGACACAGAATGACAAATTTTCCTGGATGCTTACACATTAAGGATTTACATAGTATTGGGACGAGAGATTTACAAACACTCATGTCTCTGTAAACCATATTGCTTCAGAAAACGTAGACATTTGTGTTTTAAAGCTTACTGAGGCAATGCTAATATTTCCATTGAATGTAAACCTTTCAAAATTTCTTCTGTAAAGCTGAAAAAATATATAGTGTTTTTTCCCTCTTTCACCTATTTCAGATACGGAAGCAATAACACAGTTACTTATAGCTTTTCATTATCATTTGTTAGGAGAATTAAGACAAAAATTATCATGTGTGTCGCAGGACCAAAAAAAGTGATTAAATTTTTTGTTTGTTTGTTTATCTTACCAAATTGTAACACATGTAGTTTTCTTCTTTCTCTGTGTTCTATTTTATTATTGTAACCACTTTGGTCTTTTTTTTTTTGTATAATCAATTGCAGCTAGAATGGTGTATGGCTCTTAATAGATATTTTGGATAATGCTGAGTCCCAGAAATGTGAAGCCTTTCCCGAGTATTGAGTTCATTAATGGTTATTATCATCGTGTTTAATCAGTAAGTGATTTTAACTTTCTTCATTATCCCCTCCTCTTGTGTAACTGTGGATAAGTAGTTCCCATGGATTGCTTCCTCTGTCTTCTTAGCGAGAAATATCGGTGGCTATGAGATCATAGCTCAACAGCTTCAATTCTGTGCTCTTCCTCTGAGCAATTTTTCTTCTTTTCAGACTTTTTCCTTTTCTTTTCCCTTCCCTTTTTTTCATGTTCTTCCTCTGCAATAAGAAAGAATTTAGAAAAAGGAATGTAAATACACCATTTGGAAAAAGTAGAAATTAACTTCGGTTATAAGAAGACTTGGGTGCTCACTAATGTAACTTTTCCTGTTGGCTAGGAAAGGGATTACACCTAGCGAAAGGAGACAGAGCAAGGATGAGAGGACATTTGCCCACTGAGAAGAGACTAGTGAACACTCGTTTCTTCCTAGGTAATGTTTTGGTTCAGTATCGCAAAGGCTAATGACATCTTTTGTAAGGTGTGAACTGCCTCTGAACTAAGAGGCATTAAGATGATGAGCAGAAAGAGCACTAAGATTGATGTTAAAATTAATGGCACGTGAGAAACATGTCACATATAAAGACAGAGAAAGCTGTAGAGGGCTGGGTGCTCAAGACAACTTGTGATAGATTTTGGGAGGCCACTGTCCACAGACTGGGATCCATAAGCCTGAGGGGCATTGTCACTTGGTCTGGTAACCCATCTCAGTCTGTTCTGGGGTCCCTGGACCTACTGTGTGAGATATCAACATACCATTTCTTAGGCACTAGTTAATATTTCCTGAAATAAATATGTTAAACAGTCCAGGTGCAATGGATCATGCCTGTAATTCCAGCACTTTGGGAGGCTGAGGTGGGCAGATTACTTGAACCCAGGAGTTCAAAACCAGCCCGGCCAACAGGGCGAAATCCCATCTCTACTAAAAATTAAAAAATTAGTCAGGCATGGTGGCGCGTCTGTAATACCAGCTACTCAGGGGGCTGAGGCAGGATAATTGCTTGAAACTGGGAGGTGGAGATTGCAGAGAGCTGAGATAGCACCACTGTACTCCAGCCTCGACAAAGAGAGACTTTGTCAAAAAAAAAAAGAAAAAGAAAAACATAAGTTAAACACCCTTTAAATGTAATTGTGACTGTCCTCTGGAACCTCAAGAAATCTAGGCTAAAGCATTCCCTAGGCAAGAGAAGTAGTGAAGAGCTGAGGAAAACTACTAAATTAAAAGGCTCAGATTTTCTTTACTCTTTGCCACTAGTTTGCAGAATGATCTCTCATAAACATTTGATTTCTCTGGTTCTGTTTTCTAAATGTTTTAAAGGGGTTGTGTTGGGTGAGCCTTAAAGCACCTTATGGCTTTGAAATTTTACTTCTATCTACTTTGATTGCACATACTGTCCATTTATATCATTAGTCCTGATGTCAATTAGCACCACTTATCTTCAATCATTCATTCACTCATTCATTCAGCAATTCTTACTGAGCACACACCATGCTTCAGACTGTGTTTTAAATGCTTGGGATACATCAGTGAATAAAACTGACAAAGATCACTGCGTTTTGTGATGGTTAATTTTTTGTGTCAACTTGAGTGGGCCATGGGTGCCCAGATTAAACATTGTTTCTGGGTGTATCTGTCAGGGTGTTTCTGGGTGAGATTAGCATTTGAATTGGTGGACTCAGTAAAGCAGATGGCCTTCCCCATGTGAATGGGTTTCATTCAACCTGTTGAGGGCCTGAATAGAACAAAAGGTTAAGGAAGGAGGAATTCCTCCTGTTTTTCCTGCCTCACTACTTGAGCTGGGGATCTCATCTCAGATATTCTTCTGCCCTGTATTAGGCTGTTCTTTCCATCGCTGTTAAAAAAAAATCCCTCAGACTGGCTCATTTATGTTTATGTTTATTTTATTTATTTATTTATTATTTTTTTGAGACAGGGGCTTGCTCTGTTGCCCAGGCTGGAGTGCAGTGGCGTGATCTTGGCTCACTGCAGCCTTGAACTCCTGGACTCAAGCGATCCTCCCACCTCAGCCTCTTAAGTAGCTGGGATTACGGGTATGTGCCACCATACCCAGCTAGTTTTTGTAGTTTTGGAGGGATGGGGTTTTGTTATGTTGCCCAGGCTGGTCTTGAACTCCCGAGTTCAAGGGATCCACCCTCTTTGGCCTCCTAAAGTTCTGGGATTATAGACGTGAGCCACCATGCCCAGAGACTGGGTAATTTATAAAGAAAAGAGGTTTAAGTAGCTCATGCTTCTGCAGGCTGCCCAAGCGTGGCACCGGCATCTGCTCAGCTTCCAGGGAGGCCTCAGGGAGCTTTTACTCATGGCAGAAGGTGAAATGGGAGCAGACACTTCACATGGTGAAAGCAGGAACAAGAGGGTGAGGGGTAAGATGCCACACACTTTAAACAGTCGGACTTCATGAGAACCTCCTCCCTATCACAAGGACAGCACCGAGGGGATGGTGTTAAACCATTCATGAGAAATTCACCCCCATGATCCAATCACCCCCAACCGGGCCCCACCTTCAACAACGGGGATTACAATTCAACATGAGATTTAGAGGGGACAACATCCAAACAATATCATGCCCTCAGACTGCAGTTTACATCACTGACTCTCCTGGTTCTCCGGTCTTCGGACTTAAATGGAATTATACCATCAGCTTTTGTGGATCTCCAGCTTGCAGATAGTAGATCATGGAATTTCTCAGTCTCCATAATCCCCTAACTCAATTTCTCATAGTAAGTCTCCTTTAAAAATCATTATATCAGGCCAGGTGTGGTGGCTCATGCCTGTAATCCCAGCACTTTGGGAGGCCGAGGTGGGCGGATCACGAGGTCAGGAGATCAAGACCATCCTGGTTAACATGGTGAAACCCCGTCTCTACTAAAAAAAAAAAAATACAAAATATTAACTGGGCATGGTGGTGGGCGCCTGTAGTCCCAGCTACTCAGGAGGCTGAGGCAGGAGAATGGCGTGAACCCAGGAGGCGGAGCTTGCAGTGACCTGAGATCGAGCCATTGCACTCCAGACTGGGCGACAGAGCGAGACTCCGTCTCAAAAAAAATAAAAAAAAAAAATAAAAATCATTATATCAAAAAGATACCTATACTCATATGTTTATCGCAACAATGATCACAATAGCAAAGATATGGAATTAAACCTAAGTGTCCATCAATGGATAATTGGATAAAGAAAATGTGGTATGTATACACCATGGATTACTTAGCCCATAAAAAAGAATGAAATCATGTCTTTTGCAGCAACATGGATGGAACTGGAGGCCATTATCCTAGGTGAACTAACTGACAAACAGAAAGACAAATACTGTATGTTCTCACTTATAGGTGAGAGATAATCAATAGGTACAAATGAACATTCAGAGTGGAGTAATAGACATTAGGGACAACAAAAGGTGGGAGGGTGGGAGAGTAGTGAGGGTTGAAAATTACCTATTGGGTATAATGTTGACTATTTGGGTAATGGGTACACTAAAAGCCCAGATTTCACCACTGTGCAGTATATGCATGTAAGAAATTTGCACTTTAGGCCAGGCGCGGTGGCTCACACCTGTAATCCCAGCACTTTGGGGGCCTAGGCGGGCTGATCACCTGAGGTCAGGAGTTCAAGACTAGCCTGGCCAAAATGGTGAAACCTCTTCTCTACTAAAAATACAAAAATTGGCCGGGCATGGTGGCACGCACCTGTAGTTCCAGCCACTCAGGAGGCTGAGGCAGGAGAATCGCTTGAACCTGGGAGACCGATGTTTCAGTGAGCCAAGATCACGCCACTGCATTCCAGCCTGGCTGACAGAGTGAGACTCTGTCTCAAAAAAAAAAAAAAAAGAAAAGAAATCTGCACTTTACTCTCTAAATACATACATACATATATATATACATGTCCTTTTGTATCTGTGTTTATATCTATATTCTATTGGTCTGTGTTTCTGTAAACCTTGACTAATATACTCTTTCTTCCCATATCCCCAAGTTTACCTTCTTGCAGACAGAGATAGACAATAAATAACAAAATATAATAAAGAAGAAAATGTATGGCATGTTAGCATGCATGATATAAAAAAATAAAACTTTGCAAGGAGGATCAGGAATACTGAGGTAAAGAGGAGATTGAAATTTAAATGATGTGGTGAGCGTAAAGCTTATTAAGAAGGCGACATTGAGTAAGTACTTGAGGGAGATGAGGAGTGATGTATGTGAATATTATTAACTAAAAGAGTCGTCCAAGCAATGACAGCAGCCAGTAGAACAACCTAAAGCAGGAACCCCTCTGTGTATTTCAGAAACAGCTGGAAGAACAGTGTAGTCAAGGGCCTTAGAGACAGATACGGAAAAGAAGATCAAGAGGCTGGGTGAAAGACGTTTGGCTCTGTTAGTCATTGTAGGAATTTTGGCTATTGGTCTAAATGAAATAGCATCATTACAAGATTTTGAGCCAATGAATGATATGATCAATTATTGCCATACTCTGGGGTGAGAGATGATGGTGGCTTGGATCAGGGTGGTGGCAGTGGAAGTTTAAGGAATGTAATCAAATTCTGGGTGTATTTTGAAGCTACAGCCAACAAGATTTGCTGACAGTTTGGATATGGGTTATGAGAGAAAGAGGTTTTTCTTGAGCCACTGGAAAGATGGAGTTGCCAACAACTTTGAAGGGAAGGTGGTGGGTGGATGAGGTTTTGGAAGCAAGATCAGGAATTAAGTTTAGATTTGACTTTGAAGTAGGCATGCTGAGCAGAAAAGAGGTCTAGGCTAGAGATACAAATTTGTGACTCATCAGTTTACAGATGTTGTTTAAAGCCAAAGTAACAAGGTAAAAGCGATCCCCAAGGGAATGTGTACCGATAGAGAGGAGGTGGAAGGACTGAGTCCCAGGCGCTCCAGCATTAGGGGGAACCTGCAAAGGAGGCACACAAGGACTGATAGGGGAGGTAGAGGGGGAACCAAGAGGTGTATATCTACTCATTTCTCATTATTGAAGGAATTCAGATTTAAAATCATCACCGCAGTAACATTTTCGGCAGTTGTGAATAAATTAAGTTTGCAAACTGAAGAAAAAGAACAGAATGAGAAGTGATGCTACAGAATTTATTTTACACATGGTGGTTTGAACACCACCCGGCCAATAGAAATAGTGCATCTCCTGATGGGCTAGTTGAGGATTTTTCAGAGGAAATGATTCAAGTTCGCTTATATTTTGGGTAAGCAAATTCAAGCATTAAGTAGTTCTAAGCCCACTGAGAATTAGCCCATAAGCTGGATACTTCTGTAAATTTATGATAACAGAGTTGCCACCCTCTCAGAGTCTTTTGAGGATGTCAGCAAGGAGTGAAGGTGGGGGTTTCTCTGTAGTGTCTGGTGACCTGTGATCAGAAGCCGAATGGAGGGAACTGAGATATTGCACCTCACTAGACTGTGCTTTCTTGGAGGGCAGAGGTTGTGCTTTAGTCACCTTTATACTATGCAGCCCCGGCATATTGTAAGCAATTAGTAAACAGTTATTAAATGCATTATTAACTGATTATAATTAATACTTGATTTCTTACAACATGGCAGGCCTTAGAAATATGAAAATGACTAAAAAAATACAATCTTTATTTATTTATTAAACATTTGCTCTTCCCAACAACTCTGTGAAGTAGGGTTATATTCAATTATCTTATATTTGCTTATATTCAATTATCTTACTCTAACAAATTAGGATTCTTCTTTTTTTTTTTTTTTTTTTTTTTTTTGAGATGGAGTATCTCTCTGTCACCAGGCTGGAGTGCAGTGGCGTGATCTCGCCTCACTGCAACCTCTCCGCCTCCCAGGTTCAAGTGATTCTTCTGCCTCAGCCTCCAGAGTAGCTGGGATTACAGGCGACCACCACCACACCTGGCTAATTTTTGTATTTTTAATAGACACAGGGTTTTGCCATGTTGGCCAGGCTGGCCTCGAACTCCTGACCTCAGGTGATCCACCAGCCTTGGCCTCCCAAAGTGCTGGGATTACAGGTGTAAGTCATGGCGCCTGGCTCCTGCGAAGTAGCTCTTATTAACCCTTTGTTATAGGTGGACAAAACTGAGGCTCAGTGATATTAAGCTAATTTATCCAAGGAGTCAGAAGCAAATTTGAGATTTGAATGCAGAACTTTCTGATTCAAAGTCATGATACAATGTTGCCTTCATTAAAATTAAATTTTGTACAATTATGTAGCCAAATTTAGAACTTGCAGTGTAAAAATAGAGATTTATTAGTATTGAGTGAGAGTACAATTTTATTTTCTCATTGCAAAGTATGTAAAGTAAGAAGTGAAAGTTATTCTTTTCTAATTCCACTCATTAGAGTTCATGTTAAGAGGCAATAGTTCATTATATATATATTTCCAGATTAAAAAAATATTTTTTTAAAAAATATTTTTATACTTTCTCTTCCTCTCTGTGTATCTCTATAAGATATATTCATTTATTTTAGTTTTTTAAAATTATTATTATTATTATTATTTTTTGAGACGGAGTCTTGCTCTGTTGCCAGGCTGGAGTGCAGTGGCCTGATCTCAGCTCACTGCAACCTCCACTTCCTGGGTTCAAGCGACTCTCCTGCCTCAGCCTCCTGAGGAGCTGGGACTACAGGCGCACGCCACCATGCCCAGCTAATTTTTGTATTTTTAGTAGAGTCAGGGTTTCACCATGTTGGCCAGGATGGTCTTGATCTCTTGACCTTGTGATCCACCCGCCTTGGCCTCCCAAAGTGCTGGGATTACAGGTGTGAGCCACTGCGTCTGGCCCTATTTTAGTTTTTAAACAAAAATGTGGTTGTACTATACATATTGTTCTATATGTTGTTTTTTTACACTAAAGATTGTGGAAATTTCCCCACATATACATCTACTTTTCTTCCTCTTTCTTCTTCTTCTTCTTTTTTCTTCTGAGACAGGGTCTCATTCTGTCACCCAGACTGGAGTGCAGTGGCACAATCATTCATGGCTCACTGAAGGCTCAACCTCCTGGGCTGAAGTGATCCTCCCACTTCAGCCTCCCAAATAGCTGGAACTACAGGCGTGCACCACTGCTACCAACTAAATTTTTAAAATTTTTTGTAGAGATGGGGTTTCCTTATGTTGCCCAGGCTGGTCTGGAACTCCTGGGCTCAAATGATCCACCTGCCTTGGCCTCCCAAAATGCTGGGGTTACAGACGTGAGCCACTGTGCCTGGCAGGTTGCCTTTTCAACCTGTTGATTGTGGCTTTCAATGCACAAGTCTTTAAGTTTGATGTAGTTTATATCATTTATTTATAAGTATTTATATTTACTTTTGTTTGTTCTTACTTTTGGTTGCATATGCTTTTGGTGTCATAGCCAAGAAATCATTGCCAAGTCAAATGCTACGATGCTTTTCTCATGTTTTGTTCCAGAAGTTTTATATTTTTGAGTCTTACGTTTAGATCTTTAACCCATTTTGAGTTAATTTATATATATGATGTGTTATAGACTGAATGTTTCTGTCCCACTTAGCCCCAAATTCAGATGCTGAAGCCCTAACCCCTAGTGTGTGTGTTTTGAGATAGAACCTCTAAGGAAGTCATTGAGGTTCAATGAGGTCATAAGGATGGGGCTCAGGTCTAATAGAATTAGTATCCTTATAAGGTGAGACACCAGAGATCTTGCTCTTTTTCCCTGCATTCACACAAAGAAGAAATCATGTAAGCAAACAGCGATATAGTGGCTGCCTACAAGCCAAGAGAAGCAGTCTCAGAATAAAACCTACTTGACCAGTACCTTGATCTTGGACTTCCCAGCCTCCAGAACTGTAAAAAATAAATTTTTATTGTATAAGCCATCCAGTCTAAGGTATTTTATTATGGCAGACTAATACCTGGTGTAAGATGAAGGTCCAACTTCATTCTTTTGTATGTGGATATCTAGTTTTTTTGTTTCATAATTTCAACTTTTATTTTAGATTCAGGGGTTACAAACACAGGTTTGTTACCTGAGTTATTGTGGGATACCGAGGTTTGGAATACAAATGATTCCGTCACCCAGATAGTGAGCCTCGTGCTCAATAATTAGTTTTTCAACCCTTCTTTTCTCCCTCCTCACTCCGTTAGTCTCCAGTATCTATTGTTGTCCATGTTTATATTCATGAGTACCCAATATTTAGCTTCAGCTTATAAGAGAGAACATAATGGCATTTTATTTCCTGTTCCTGTGTATATTTGCTTAATGTAATGACCTCCAGTATCAGCCATATTGCTGCAAAGAACATGATTTTGTTCTTTTTTTATGGCTGCATAGTATTCCACGGTATTCAGTTTTCTCAACACCTGTTGTTGAAGAGGAGACCCTTTTGAAATTGAATGAGCTCTTTATTCTAATCCATTGGTATGTTTTTTTCTGTTTTTATGCCAGTGCTACACTGTATTGATTACTGTGGCTTTGTAATGTTTTGAAATCAGGAAATATGAGTCTTCCAACTTTGCTCTTATTTTTCAAAATTGTTTTGACTAGGGTGCCTTGAGATTCTATATGAATTTTATGATAAATTTTTTTATTTCTGCAAAAAAAGTTATTGAATTTTGGTAGCAACTTTGGTGAATCTGTAGAAAACTTTGAATAGTATTTGGATTTTTATGTGTACTGAAGTGGTCTTCCATAGTAGTAATCACAGTTCAGATGCTGAATTCACCAATTAATAATGTTAAACAAAAAATTAAAAAGACAAAACCTTTTGAAACAAATTCAGTACTTTGAAATGCTATAAAATTTAGACAAATTTTGGCAAATTTCTCTTTTAGGAATTATAGACTGCATCTTCATGTTCTTCCTTTCCTCAAATCTCATGTAGAAAACCTTAATTAAATAAACTGTGAAAAAAAATTATTGCTAATGATTTATTGGCAAAATTTACATCAAGACAAACTAAGTTTCCCAAAGGGTGGAGAAATTTGCCAAAATATTGCCTAGATATTATATTACTTCAGAACACTCCTTTTGTCAATGAGTTCCTACACATCTTTAAAAAATATATTTTCAATTATCTCCCCCTTTTTAGACAGCTTTCAAGAAACCGCTTTGAAAAAGGTTAATGATAATCTAAAATGTTGCTACTTAAAGTGTAGTCTGTGGCCTAGCACCATGATGTCACTTGAGAGCATTCTGAAACAATGCAGAATCTCAGATCTACTAAATTAGAAGTTGCATTTTAACAAGATCTTCAAGGGAATCAAATGCACATTAAAGTTTTGAGACGCACTGATTAATGAATAGCTAATTCAATGGAACTTTGTGTAGCAAGGATCTAAAGCATCAGCTTGCCCAGAAAATCTTGTGCAGCTGACAATAATATTGAATAGAAAACCAGATACCACATGTTCTCACCTATAAGTGCGAGCTGAGCTGTAGATACGCAAAGGCATACGAAGTGGTATAAACAGACATTGGAGACTCAGAAGTGGGGAGTGTGGGAGGGGTTGAAGGATGAAAAATTACCTGTTGGGTACCATGTACACCATTAAGGTAATGGGTACACTTAAAGCCCAGACTTCACCACTCCACAATAAATTCAAGTAACTAAAAACCACTTGTACCTTAAATCTATTGAAATAAAATTAAATAATAATAATAGTAATATTATTGACAACAAAATGTCTGAGAACCATTGCTATAGATGATTACTGTAGACATTATAACTACTTTGTTAGAAATGAGTAAACTTTTGGAAGGCTAAGGCAAGTGGATTGCTTGAGCCTAGGAGTTCGACACCAGCCTGGGCAAGGTAGTGAAAACCCCATCTCCACCTAAAAATTACAAAAATTAGCTGGGTGTGGTGGTGTGTGCCAGTAGTCCCAGCTACTCAGGATGCTGAGGTGGGAGGATGGCTTGAGCTTGAAAGGCAGAAGTTGCAGTAAGCTGAGATCGCACCACTGCAGTCCAGCCTAGGCAACAGAGCCAGACCCTGTCTCAAAAACTAAAAAATGACTAAAACTACCAAATGTATTATAATTTTTAAAACAGTGATACATCATGTCTTCTTTCATAGCAGGCAAATAAATTTGTATGTCTAACAGATTTAAATATTTTAATGATAATTAAGAAAACATTAATCTACTCAATGTAATACATTTATTGAGAATAAGAAAAAAACAGTCCAAGATAACATTAGAAGTAGCTATAAATTAACAACAAAAGAGGATAGAAGTTATATCTGTGATCTGGAAAAAAAATCTTGAAAGTGACTATTCTTGGATATTTTTCCTTATACACATAACAAGGATTAAAGAATAATTTAATTATTATATGGAGTTTTTCAGCTTCAGTGCTAGCCTCTGAATGTTTGCAGATTCCACAGATCTGCAAATAATTAGCTGACAATGCTGGAATGCAGAAACAGGTCTATAATCTATTTGTTGATTGACCATACGTATTTTTCTTTGAATATATATTTTTCTAAAAATTGTTAAGGTCTTTTATTTTGATTTCTTAAGATAACCTCTGGAGCATTTGTTTCTTACATTAAAGTTACACATTCTTTTCACCAGAAAATCTAGAGGTGAAACTAGATCAACAGGTGAATATACCCAAAAAGTATACTTTTTACTAATGAAAAGTATTTATTATTTGACTGAAAAATATTAACCTTAAATATTGTAAAGGTTTGGTAAAGTAAAAATACAAAACTTTATTTTATTTTTTTGTCCAAATTTAGTCACTTTGAGGTTTTCTGTGTTTTGTTTTTCAGAAGCCTTTGTTACTGGAAACATGAGAATGAAAACTAAGCCTAATTTATTTCTAGTCATAAGAGTTTATTGCCACTCCCACTGCTTCACTGGACTAATAAAAAATGGAATTTATAAGTGTCATGTGATGTCACTTAAAGTGAATTACTTGCATGTTGAAATTTATTAGATAACCTTATTAGTGATTTTGCAATCTGTAACATATGTAGATAATTTAGTTTTCAGAGCTTGTTTTAATACTTGAATACTAATTCATTTAAAAGGATTTTTTTTAAAAAAATACAGTATCATTCAAATCAGTGACAGCAGGTGAAGTAATTATTTAGCTTATAAGTTTTCAAATTTCCTGTTTAGGTGTTTTAGTCATCATAGCATTTCATGTATAGTTTTTAAAGTTAGGATTTTGCTTAGTAAAATGTGCCTAGAAAGTAAAATGTGCCTAGAAGAATTCTGATGCTGTGTGTGGCCTATTAAAAACTAGGGAATCATGTGTTCCTTGCTTATCTGGTTCCCTTGAATATATCGTGAGACAGAAGTAGGCATAACCTGAAGAAAGGAAAGCTGAATGAAGTCTCCAAATGAATAAATGTGTATTTTAGGGTCTCAAGTCCTCTTCTACGTATAACTAGATTTCCAGTCCTTTGTTACATAAAAACAGACATTCTACATAACAGTTTTAGGCTTGTTTGACGTATCCTGGAAATAACTAAGAGATCTAAGAGAACAGGGACTCAGAGAGAGAAACATTAACTTCAGTTTTCGTCAGAGAAGGATAAAGAATGAAACAGAACTTATTCTCAAGAATAAGTACCATCTTCCAACATTACTTATCTCTTGAGTTGCAGAAATGCACTGTGGTAATGCAAACACATTTGTGACAAAGCGTCAGATTAATAAAATTT
Organism: Homo sapiens; assembly: GCF_000001405.40. Lineage (NCBI taxonomy): Eukaryota > Metazoa > Chordata > Mammalia > Primates > Hominidae > Homo > Homo sapiens. The sequence goes on along the minus strand of NC_000004.12, from coordinate 164,789,674 downwards.
AGTTAAACCCTTACATCTCTGTAATGACTATGGGGTAAAATTCATTTGAATTTTACTCTTTTCCACTTATAAATCTTCTATATAGGTAGGAGCAAGATTCCAAAAGCTAAATTACTAAAAATTATGCATTGAGAATATTCTGCCTCTACCCAGTGAATTTTCTCTTAGAGTGGACAAATATTTTGGTAGTCATGAAAATGCAATCATTTAAAACGTTCAGGTTAAATGACAAGATGACTTTTATGTAAGTACAAGATTCTTAAGTTATTCCTTAATTCAGTCCATATAGATATTTGAGAAACTTTTTTGACATTACCTATGGAGTGTAGATAAAGGAGAGACTGAGGTCTTTGCCTGAGTGAGTTCATTTGTACCTCTGCTGGCCTTTGATTCTCCCTCAGTGCTTAACACCAATGCTGCTGACAGACCTGTTTCTGCATTCCAGCATTGTCAGCTAATTATTTGCAGATCTATGGAATCCGCAAACATTCAGAGGCTAGCCTTGAAGCTGAAAAACTCCATATAATAATTATTCTTTAAACCTTGTTATGTGTGTAAGGAAAAATATCCAACAATAGTCACTTTTGAGATTTTTTTTTTCCCAGATCACAATTTTCAAGTAAGCATTAGCCTTGCACACAAATCAGTATCTTGTTTTTATTGCTTTTTAAATCTAAAGTTCCATTAATGTCTCAGAACTCAATTTTCCAGTTAAAACATAAAATCAACACATTTTTCTTTCGGGAGTGATAAATTATATACTGAAATAGCATATAGAATACCAAAGATTGCCATTTGAAAATGTTTAAAATTTCTAAAGGAGATATAAAATATAGCACATGTTTTTCAATCTAGCTCAAAAAGTGCTCTTAAAAAATTAGAAGAAAAGGGCCGGGCGTGGTGGCTCACGCCTGTAATCCCAGCACTTTGAGAGGCCGAGGCGGGCGGATCACCTGAGGTCAGGAGTTCGATACCAGCCTCAACATGGAGAAACCCTGTCTCTACTAAAAATACAAAATTAGCCGGGCGTGGTGGTGCATGCCTGTAATCCCAGCTACTCGAGAGGCTGAGGTGGGAGAATTGCTTGAACCAGGGAGGCGGAAGTTGCTGTGAGCCGAGATTGCGCCATTGCACTCCAGTCTGGGCAACCAGAGCGAAACTCCGTCTCAAAAAAAAAAAAAAAAAAAAAAAAAAAAGAAAAATTAGAAGAAAGAAATTTTATAGATTCGGATTGGCCACGAGTAGTTAGTTTATTTGAAATATTTTTCCATCAGTACTACCCCAGGGCATTAAGTTTGGTGATTCTGTTTCCCCTTTTATAAAATGAAAATTCTAATATCTCTCACAGTTTTACCACACAGGACAACAGGACAACAAAGTGCATATATCCCTGTAAATAGTGTTATTGATCAGAAGAATTGGCACTAGCGAGTCTCAAGGGTTAGAGGGAGCAATTATCCTCAGCTCTCTACTTTTCTGAAACGTAATTATTACATAGCATTAAAAACATTCTTCCAAACAGGGACCAGTGGGTTCAATGGATTGCTGACGATATTTATTTTCCAATAAAAGCAAGTTATTGAAAATACATCTGAGAAACATTTCTGCAGTCTTCCTAATATATATTGTGTAAAACTGAGGATGGTGGGGAGAATCTTTGAAAAGTACTGAACCGAAGAGCTGAGTGTAGAACCTAGGCAGGAAATGGTATTATAATTCTGAAAAATTGACGATAATATGTGCCCCAACGTATTAGTACATCTATATATAAGTAGATTGCCAAAGATGTTAAAAGAACAAATACGTGTCTAAATCAGAAAGCGATGCTATGTTCAAAGACTTTCTCTTAAATGGCTGACGTAAAGCACTAAAAAGACTTGAAGAGAACAGGATGAAAAATAGGCCTATATCCTTGGGCACATGAGAGTGTGCATATGTTTATATAAAACACATTTTTTTCAAAGAGGTAGGGATTTGGAGGCCGGGATTAAAAGATCTAGAATTTCCATTATCCAAGTAAAGTGAGTTCTAGTTCATGACATTTGAGATTCAACTGTCATGGAAGAGAGAAGACGGAGAACAGCGGGCCTACTCTGACTGTATCCACTAGTTTTAGCTTTAAAAAAAAAAAGCCCAAATGTTTATTTTTAACTTTGAAAAAAAGAATAGAGAAAAGAAGGAAAAAAAGGAGAGAGAAAAGAAGGAAATAAATTAAAATATAAGAGCAACACTGTGTTTGTCCTCTGGAAACTATGAATTTCTTTTTTTCTTTTTTCTTTTTTTAATTGAACACTTCATGAATTTGCATGTCATCCTTGCACAGGGACAATGCTAATCTTCTCTGTGTCGTTCCAATTTTAGTGCATGTGTTGCCAAAGTGAACACCATTTCTTTCTCTAAACATCTTATAGTAGTTTAAAAAAATCTTGGCACACCATTTAGTATCTCTCCAAATGCTGTCCAGAAAGTAGTAACTAATCCCAATTTACCACAAATGCCAATATCCCATTGTTAAGTAGTTTTAAGAATTATTTAATAAAAACTCGGAGATATAAAAAAGGAGATTGAAAATTATTAACATACAATTCTATCCCTGAGGGTAGGACTTAATGTCACTTCTCTTCCTTAAGTTGCTGTCCTTAAACATTTCTGCGAAGTGTTCTTTAGTTTATGCAAAGAATTACTGGTGCCACCTGTAGCCTCATGGTTCTATTAGCAATTCCAAGAATAAAGTTTGAGCTATGATTCCTATTGGTTTATGTGTGCTTATCTAAGCTCAAACAATTTTTTAATTAAATGTTTTTGCATCCTATACCTACCCATTTATGTTTAAAATGGTCCATCTGGATGAAATCAAGCAGGCTGTAAGCCTTTTGACCCAATGTAAAGTGTCCAAATGTTCAAACAAGGCAGTGACAACGTCCTTTGGGATAAGGGAAAATTTAATCCGGCTTCATTGGCTTGGATCTATACCTATAAAGCCTTGCCACTAGCATTTAGGCATTTAGGCACACAAAAAAGAGGGATTTTAGTAGCTGAAGTGTGAATAAATTTTCTGGATAACTAGTTTCTGACTCAATAATGGTAGAAAAGAGCACTAGAATTCTAGCACAAAATATACATAAAAGCTAAAATATGTTTTCAAAAGTGAGCAAATATTAATCTCTCTTTTTTTTATTTTTGTTATCCATAAATCCTAGGGTTTCTGGCAATAATTCAGATTATCCATAGCAGAATTTTAACTATCCCTAAGGAAATGTAGTTATCATCATTTCTGGAAAGATGTCTTTGATGTACTCTTTCACCTGGAACACAGACTAGGCCCTGGGAACAGCTTTCAGGTAGCTCCTGAATGGCATTTTCAGTAGCTGCTAGGGTAGTTTAAATATAACTTGTTACATAAAACTGGAGCCACAAAGGCTGTAACTGCTGGCTGGTGGGAATTGTTTTACTGAGCAAATAGTATAACAAACATCCATCCTTAGCAAACATCCTTCAACCAAGATTAAGTTCCTGGGAAATTGTGTCACAAAAATAAGTTTTATTATTTTTTTAAAATCTGTGAAGTTGATTTTTCCTTAGGGTTATAATATTTAGATTTAAATTTGATAATGGTTTATTTTACATGCTTTCTTAAAAGTGCTGGAAGTCTTGGTCATTTCCTATAGGAAACCATAGTTTATGTGGTCTTTAGGGACAACCACCATCCCTCATAATATGTGATTTTTACTAGCTACAAATTGAAGTTTGGGATGGGATTTAGGGAGCTCCGAGGATCTGGGCTATTTGTAGCCATGACATTTAATAACCTATTCCAAATGATATTCTACTTCTTCCATTATAAGAAACTGATTCTTAAAAATTCTCAAAAAATAGGTTTCCTTTTGTTAAAGATATATGTATATATGTGTATATATATATATATGTGCATACACACACAAGAAGCTTAAAGATTATGTAAATATATGCATTGCATAGCTGAACACTGAATAAGATTAAGGTTAAAGATATATATATATATATACACACACACACACAATAAGTTTAAAGATTATGTAAATATATGCATTGCATAGCTGAACATTGGATCTGTATCTCAAATTCATTTCAATAACAAAGAAAATATATTTGGTACCTACATAAATAATTCCTTAAATATGGTTACTATTTTATAGTTTCCATACCATTTGATTCTCACAAAAACCTTGATACGTGTTGTTATCTCCATTATATAGAGCAGGAGATTGAATCTTACTAATGTTTGATGATGGACTTTGAACTTTGGAGTTAGTTAATAAAATTTTGAAAAACAAAGTGTAAACAAACAAGCAAAAAAATAGTTAAAGAAACCCATTTTGGAGTGTTTTTAATTGCTCTTGTCATGAAGAAATCATTCTTCTTTTAGTAAATGTTACAAGATTTTTTTTTTATTTTTTATTTATTTATTTTTTTGAGATAGTCTTGCTCTGTCGCCAGGCTGGAGTGCAGTGACATGATCTCTGCTTACCGCAACCTCCGCCTCCTGGGTTCAAGTGATTCTCCTGCCTCAGCCTCCTGAGTAGCTGGGATTACAGGTGCATGCCACCACACCCGGCTAACTTTTTTGTATTTTTAGTAGAGACAAGGTTTTGCCACGTTGCCCAAGCTGGTTTCGAACTCCTGAGCTCAGGCAATCCGCCCGCCTCGGCCTCCCAAAGTGCTGGGATTACAGGCGTGAGCCACCGCGCCCGGCTTTACAAGATTATTTTTACAACTCACGGAATTAAAAAAAAAAACCCAAACAAATAAACAAACAAAACCTTGGGGAGCGGCTGATGATAGCAAAGATCATTTGATTTTGTGTATGGCTACTAATTTCTTCTTTTCCAAACACAGCACTCCAAAAGCATCCTATTTATATAATTAGTCCAATGAGCCCAGCTATGGCACAACTCCTTGAGATGATTCTGTATTGATTCTTGTGATTCTCAGGCTCATAAGTAGGACCCAGGATTCCCAAACCTAGGCCTTTCTTATTTCCATTTCAGCACTGTAGGAAGCAAACTGTTAGTAAGTCTTATTTCTCCCAGCATCTTTGTAGTCCCTTCAACAGGAATCAACAAACCATATTCTTCAATTTACTGGCTTAGTGCTGAATTTCCTTTCATACAAAATTCATTATATACTATCTGATTCTACCTGTTTGTGGTTGTTCTGCCATCTTTTTAGAAAGTTTTCTTATACTCATCAAATGACTTTTTCTGTATTAGGAAAAATACGTTATCCAAAACGTGACATATAATACTATCAAGAACCAACGGCGTCTAGCAGTTACATTTACCCACCACAAATAAAACTCCTGTTTGTTTCAGGGTTCAGTTAGAGAGCTAGCCAAACTGCGGTCATTAGTCTATAATAACTCAAAGGCGAGCAGTCTTGGGAGTCAAGCTTGGAACGTCTTTTGTCCCCTTAATCATATATTTTACATCTCCCTGGGGAGTGGTGAGAAAGTCTTGATGTGCAGTTACCACTCCCACAGTATTAGTCTCAACTCCCAGCTGGGCCCTCGCCCCCAACTTTCTTCATCGTTAGTTGTACTTTTAATTTTTATTTTTAGGGCCACCATTCTTCCAGCCAATGATGTGTAAGCAGGGGAATTTATTATGCTCTGGTGAGGGAAAATAATGCCTGGAATTCTTGTCATTTCCAAGTTACTAAAGCAGTACTTTGAGAGTTAATTTTTAAAATGTTATGTCATGAAGAAAACTGCTTCTTTTTTTCACATTTTCTGAGGTTTTTCTGTATAAGTAGTTACAGGAAAATTCATATAAATGAAGTGAAAATGTCAGTACAGGCAAAAAATTAATTATTTTATTTTAGCAAGATATATCACATATTTTTCTTTTTATGTGTGTATGTATTTATTTTTTCAGAGATGGAGGTGGGGGATGTGGTCTCGCTGTGTTGCTCAGGCTGGTCTCAAACTCCTGGCCTCAAGTAATCCTCCCACCTTAGCCTGCTAAGTAGCTGGGATTACAGGCATGATCCATTACACCCAGTTTATGGATCACATGTTTTTCTAAGAAGCATGAAGAAAACACTGTTTTCTGAAATTTCATTTCCATTTAGAAATGGAATGGAAATTCCTTTTTTTTTTTTTTTTTCTTTTTTTGAGACAGAATCTTGCTCTGGCACCCAGGCTGAAGTGTAGCGGCTCAACAGGGGCTCACTGTAACCTTCGCTTCCTGTGTTCAAGCGAGTCTCCTGCCTCAGCCTCCCGAGAAGCTGGGTTTAGAGGCTCCTGCCACCATGCCTGGCAAATTTTTGTGTTTTTGGTAGAGATGGGGTTTCACCATGTTGGCCAGGCTGGTCTTGAATTCCTGACCTCAAGTGATTCACCCTCCTTAGCCTCCCAAAGTGCTGGGATTACAGGTGTGAGCCACAGCACCCGGCCAGAAATTCCTTTTTTTTTTTTTTTGAGACAGAGTCTTGCTATGTTGCCCAGGCTGGAGTGCAGTGGCCTGATCTCGGCTCACCACAACCTCCACCTCCCGGGTTCAAGCAATTCTCCTGCCTCAGGTTCCGGAGTAGCTGGGACTACAAGCGTGTGCCAACGTGCCTGGCTAATTTTTGTATTTTTAGTAGAGATGGGGTTTCACTGTGTCGGCCAGGCTGGTCTCGAACTCCTGACCTCGTGATCCGCCCACCTCGGCCACCCAACGTGCTGGGATTACATGTGTGAGCCACCACACCTGGCCTGGAAATTCCATTTTTATTTAGAAATTAATTTAAGAGATCCAATAAATTCAGTTTTTTGAAATAATTACTGTAAGTAAACTATTATAAAGTCTTTAAAAACTATCCTGTATGTACAGATATCCAGTTATTCATAGACAGAGAACTTTAGTTAAACCTTGCAGTACTGTTTACATATTTTATCATCATTTCTATATTAATTTATTTGATGTGAAAATTCAGAACTTTGTTATTCAATGCTGAATTAAGTAGCATTCTTTTTAAATTTAGGAATCTCTCCTATGATGTTTATATCACTTAAGAGACAAAGTAGTGTTGGGGCCGGGCGCAGTGGCTCACGAGACCATCCTGGCTAACACGGTGAAAACCCGTCTCTATTAAAAATACAAGAAAATTAGCCGGGCGTGGTGGGGGGCGCCTGTAGTCCCAGCTACTCGGGAGGCTGAGGCAGGAGAATGGCGTGAACCTGGGAAGCGGAGCTTGCAGTGAGCCGAGATCGTACCACTGCACTCCAGCCTGGGCCACAGAGCAAGACTCCGTCTCAAAAAAAAAAAAAAAAAAATAAAAGAAAGAGATAAAGTAGTGTTTTATAGGTTTGTAAAAATTCATTTTTAAAATGTATGTAGGGTAAAATTCACTTTTTTTTTTGTGAGACGGAGTTTCACTCTGGTTGCCCAGGTGGAGTGCAATGGCGCGGTCTCGGCTCACTGCAACCTCTGCCTTCCAGGTTCAAGCGATTCTCCTGCCTCAGCCTCCCCAGCAGCTGGGATTACAGGCAAGTGCCACCACCCCCGACTAATTCTGTATTTTTGGTAGAGATGGGGTTTCTCCATTTTGGTCAGGCTGGTCTCGAACTCCCGACCTCAGGTGATCCACCCGCCTCAACCTCCCAAAGTGCTGGGATTACAGGAGTGAGCCACCATGCCCGGCCCAAAATTCACTTTTTAAGGTAGATAGGCCCATGAGTTTTGATAAATGCACAGACAAATGTATCACGCATCATCAAGATGTGGAACAAGATTCTGGCTTGTGCAATTCCCCGTGCTACTCCTTTGTAGTCAAATCTTCTTCCTGGCCTTAATGCCTGGCAGCCACTGTGCTGTTTTCTGTTTCTGCGGTTTGGCCTTTTCCACAATGTTACATAGGTGGAAGCATCCACTATGTAATCTTATGAAGTTGGCTCTTTTTGCTTGGCACAGTGGGTCTCACCTGGGAAAAACCTTGGCCTCTCCAGGGGACATTTGGCAGTCTCTGGAGACATTATCGGTTGCCACAACGAGGTGGGTTGGGGAAGTGCAACATGGATCTAGTGGGAAGAGGCAAGGAGGCTGCTAAAAGTCCTCCTATGCTTAGGACAGCCCCCTACAACAAAGAATGATCTGGCCTAAAACAATAATGAGGTTGAGAAACACTAACTTAGCAAAACACATTTGAGATTCATTCATATTGTTGCATGTATCAATAGTTTGTTTCTTTTTTATTGCTTAATAATATTCTGGTTTATAAATGTATTAGAGTCTGTTTATTCATTTACCTGCTAAAGGACATTTGGGCTGTTCTCATTTTTTGGCAATTGTGAATAATGGTATAAACATTTGTGTAAATGTTCTTGAGTGAAGGTAAGTACTGGGAGTAGGATTGTTTGGTCCTTTGGTAAGCATATGTTTTATCTTTGTAAGAAATTCCAAACTGCTTTCCAAACTGGCTGTACCATTTTGCGTTCCCACCAGCAACATATGAGAATTCCAGTAGTTCTTCATCTTCAGCAGTACTTGGTATTGTGTGTGTGTGTGTGTGTGTGTGTGTGTGTATGTAAATGTAGTATATGTAGGGCCAGGAATGGTGGCTCACACCTGTAATCCCAGCACTTTGAGAGGTGGAGGTGGGACAATTGCTTGAGGCCAGGAGTTTGCGACCTGCCTGGGCAACATAGCAAGACCCCTGTCTGTACCAAAATTAAAAAATAGCCGGGTGTGGTTGCATGTGCCTCTAGTCCTAGCTACTAGTAGGCAGAAATAAGAGGACTGCTTTAGCCCAGGAGTTTGAGGCTTCAGTGAGCTATGATTGTGCCACTTTACCTAGCCTGGGTGACACAGCAAGTCACTGTCTTTAAGAAAAATAAAAATTAAAAAAAGTAGTATATATATTTAAATTTTAGTCATTCTAATAGATGTGTAGTAGTATCCCATTATGGTTTTAGGTTTGTCTGGTTTTGGCTAATTTTTAGAATTTTAGAATTTAATGCACATTTTCTGAGATTTCAAAAATAGTATTATAAAAACAGTGTTTGATAATACACACAGTTATTAATGCCTTTGTAGGCATTCATTCTGTTCTTCCTCATTGTAGAGCTACTGATCCTTTTACAGCTTCTATTTTAAAATAATCCAGTTTACCAGTATTAGGATTCATTGATCTACAAAGGCCTTCAGGACACACCTGGCCTAGGCCCCTGCCTACTACATGGATTTTGAGAAAAAGAGAAGAAGCTATTCGTTTTTTGTTTGTTTTTTGAGATGGAGTCTCGCTCTGTCACCCAGGCTGGAGTGCAGTGGCGCAATCTCGGCTCACTGCAACCTCCACCTCCCGAGTTCAAGCAGTTCTCCTGCCTCAGCCTCCCGAGTAGCTGGGACTACAGGCATGCGCCACCACGCCTGGCTAATTTTTTGTATTTTTAGTAGAGACGGGGTTTCACCATGTTGGCCAGGCTGGTCTTGATCTCCTGACCTTGTGATCCACCCGCCTTGGCCTCCCAAAGTGCTGGGATTATAGGTGTGAGCCACCGCGCCCGGCCACTATTCCTATTTTTAAATATGATTAAGGGATTATCTGGAAGAGTTGCATGCATTGCTCACAGTTCACTGGGGAAAAAGACAAAGCTTTGGCATTCCCAGTGTTTAGCATGGTGGCTGGTGTGAAATTAGTTTTACACAGGCAGCACCGGGACACAACAGAGCAAAATTATTTTTCTTGGATTCGGGTGTTTGTCAAACATTGCCGTCTACTGGCTGGCTGCTGCAATTACTTCTAAGACATGCCAAAAAACCAGTTTGTTGCCTGTTCTCAAAATTTGCTGTCTCCACCTCTAACAATCCATATTAAATAGATTAATAATCCTTCTTTTAAAGCATAACTTTATTGATTCCTCTATATCCCTAAATATGTGTGTCAGGAACATTGATGCAGAGAGGATATTTTGATTTCATTTAAAACAAGCCTGAAATTTGCCCTGGTAAATAATGAACAGTCTCATTCCATGCAAGTTTGTGGCTTTCAGTTGAGATAAATAGGAAGACCTCAGTCTCACTTATGGCCATGTCTTCTTAATTTTGGACAATTTGGTTTATAAAGGCAGAAGAGTCATTGTATTCAGAGATAACAGAAAAATTGCAAAAAAAAATTGCTGACTTTTCCATGACAAAAATTTGCAGAAAAATAACTTTAAAACTATGTGAAATAATAGAAAGTCTACAGATTGGCCACTAATCTCAGTTTGGTCTTTTGCTAATAGGGGCTTTCCTCACTTTTACGAAGAAGAAGCAGAAGCTTCCAATTCAGGATCCAGACATTTTGGCATTTTTTTCCTAACAATTTAACTGGAAACCTTGGTGCCTGTGGCCTTTGGCACCCGCAGAACTATGTTGTGAAGTATTAGCTCAGCATGCCCAATAGTTTAGCCACACGCTACGGAAATAGCTGCGGTGACCAAAATGTAAACCCACCTCTAATTACTGAAGAATTAGAAATGAACACAGTCTTCATGACATTCTCTAAGACTACAGTGTTTTAGGCATACATACCCGAATGTTGAACTTCTCTGCGACCAAAAGACATTTAATTTATGTTCAATCAAACCTAGTTAATTACAAACACAACTTTAAGGTAGTTAAAGAAACCCTCAGTTGAAAAAGATGTAGCTGATGCGCTGGAGTTTTTTTTTTTTTTCCTGTTTAGTGGATTCCATTCTCAATATTATTTTACATTTTTTCCAGGTTGAGAGGCCATTTTTAATTCACAAAGAGTTTATGGTTATAGTAAACATGGCGGATCATCAGTATCTGTCTATGTTTGTTCAAGGATACCTGAATTTAGATATGAGGGTTAACTTGGCAACTTGCCCATGATCACACAGTTAATTCTGAGTCAGTTCCCATCTTCACACTCACCCCTGTCTTAGGCATGTGGATGGAGAACCTGAGCCATGATCATGCTCACCGAGCTCTTCCTGCCTCTTCCTCTCCTTGGGCACATTGCTTCTGGGAATTTCATTTTCCTTATCTCCAAAGTAGACATAGCATTACTTCCCTGCTTTACAATGTGGTCATAGGGATGAAAGGAGGCTTAAATATGTTAAGTGCTTGGCAGACAGTGAACACTCAAAATATTATTTTTGTGCTATAGATATCGTCAGTTCTTATTTTGCAGACAACCCAAATTGTGTACCAAGGGAATAAATTTTTCATCGAGTCATCACATATAACTCCCTAAATGTGTGCTGGTACTATCAAATCATTTTGTATATTATTAGAGGTGTGTATTAAACTTTTGTTTTGTGCTTAATGTTGATTTTGGAGAAGAATGAGGTGGCATTGCAAAATAAAATTTTTTTTTTTAATCTGTTTACCTGGGTACAAATTTGTAGCTTCCCTACTTGATTTTGCCTCACTACTCTTGAGTGCTGAAAGGTTTATGTTTATTTATTTATTTATTTTTAAATAGAGATGAGGTCTCACTATGTTGCCCAGGCTGATCTCAAACTTCTGGGCTCAAGCCATCCTCCTGCCTTGGCCTCCCAAAGTGCTGGGATCACAGGCGTAAGCCACTGCATGTGGCCAGGTTTATGACTTTGACTCTGGTTTGTGAGGCCAGCTTTGAAAAAACGGTAGGGATCTTCTTAAACAACAAACATGCTTATTGCTGTCTGATTAATATAGAATCACAGCAGTGGCAATTTTTCTTTATGAACCGATATCTTTCTGTGCTGTAGTGCTGTAGGGCCTTTGGCCACATTGACACAGTTGGACAACAGCAATATATGTAATATCTAAATGAATTCTTAACAGACATCAAGTTTTAAAACCTAAGACTTTCTAAAATTATAAAGTCGATTCTAACCTGGACTGGGGATCTGCCAGCCTTGGGCTTACTTTCTCTAAAACTCTGTGCATCATGGACGAAGTCACCAAGACTGTTCACCTGGCAGTTACAGCTATTCTGGAAGGGAGTGTCTGGCATGGGGATGCTGGATAGCTACTGCTTGTCAAGAGGCTGGACACACCTTTGATGAAGGATCATTACCTTCCCAGAACATCCTTATAATTCCCTGATGGGTCACTTACATTTTATCACTTCCTACTGGTCATTACACCAGACAACTTTCAAAGACAGGGCCTAGTGTGCAGGTGGACAGCAATATGATTCAGGCAGGAAAGAGCAGCTACTGCCGCGTCACTATGTGCTACCTCTAGAGATATAAAGAGACTGTTATACTAATCTCTTCTAAACTGATACTGCAGCTTCACAGTGGTGAATTTAAAAACTAAAGAACAACGAAATAGGTGCAAAATGATTCTATATAATTTAAGAAAATACAAGGAAGCAGTGGTCTGGGTAACACAAAAAATGGAAATATACCACGCCATTTATATTTGACTTTGGCATGCAGAATATAATTTCTTCTGCCCTGAGGGCATGCCTATCCTGGTCATGTTTTGTTTGACAGACATTAAAATCTGTTTTCAATTCATGAATATATCAAACCTGAACATTACAGAAAGTTGATCAAATATACATTGAAGACCATCATGAAAAGCCTGTCTACATTGATTTGTGTTATTCTGAATTAATTTGTGCTTCATGTCACTGAGTTTTCAAGAAGGAGGTTTATGAATAGCCCATATATCATCTTTTTGCGTAAATCAGCCTGTGATTCTGCTCATATACAAGTCCATGAGATCCTAATGAGTATTTCTGAGGATTTTAGATTTAGTGTAGCATTATAACAATACCTGCCTCATAGGCCTAATCTTAGGATTAAATTATTAATATAGATAAAGCAACATGAACTATTATTAGGTAAAAAGTGGTAGGAAGAGCTATAGAATGAGTAAGATGATGTATAATGCTCATGAAATGTGAAACTCATATGTTGAGCTTCTCTAAAGAAATAAGCTCTAGGTATTTATTAATTTATCCAGTAATGAGTTACTGAAAACCACCTATTTCCCAAATAGTGTTCTAGGTGCTGGGATGAGCAGTGGTTAAACAGACCAAATCTGCATTATGGAGCTTACATTCTAGATGACATGCAAAGAGTGATTTCTTATTATCTTTAAAACATGCTTTTGTTAGTTTGCTATTTTATTTTCAGCCATTCAAGGAAAGGCTTCACACAGGGATGAAGAATTGTATTTTTATGTGAATAGGAATTACCATCCTGTACTTTCCTACCTGTATTACCTCTCCTCTGAGACTCTAAACTTTAAGGGCAAGACTGGTAATTGGCTAATTTTTCATCTGTGCCCATGCCTCTACAGTGCCTTCTTGCAAACAGCATGTAAAAAAGTATACTTGCTGAATGGTCAACCAAGTCAGGTAACAAATCATGGAACTCTAGTTCATTATTTTATAGTCTATTTTCCTACTCATATAAACATAACCAATAGTACAAGGTGATGAAGATAAGCACCAAATTAGTGAAATATTAAAATGCTCTATGAAAGTTCCACAGAGAGGGAGTTCATTTTGGGTTAGACTGATTAAAGAAGAGAGAAAATGACTTATTTGAAGAATAAGTAAGATTCAAGTAGAGGGGGAGGAGGGGATTATTGGTGGACAGGTGGACATTTTCTACTTGGAACAATAAGAATGCTCAAAAGCCTTGGAAATTTTCATTTTATTCTGCAGGCAATGGCCAATTAGTGAAGGTTTCTGCCTGGGAGATTGACATGTAGTTTAGGTGAATTGCCACCAGCCTTGCAAAAAAGAACAAAACAGAATGCAAAGTATTGGAGTATATCACCTGTAGAGAGGCTGAGTTTATGAAACTTTCCTTTCAGCTGCACACACATGGGTAAATGTGTTGTAGGTGAGGGAGCAGATCTGGAAAAGGGTTTTACTGGAAAAAGTTCCAACATCCCTGAGCTAGAGCCCCTAATGAGATTCTTTTCTAGTGAGCCATTGTCTCTTTTCTCCATGCCAGAAATAGCTGTAATCCTACTAAGCAACTATATTACTTTTTATCCTATCCACACCAGTTTGTCATATATAGGGACCAGACTGTGTTTTGTCAAAGACACACACACAAACGTGTGCGCACAAGTAAGCAGATTGATTTTATTCAAGCTATTACTATAGGGAGAGCACCTCAAATCCAGAGATCAAAGTAGCTTGGCAGGGTAGTTTTACTGCAGAATTTTATAGGGAGGAGTAGAAAAGTTATAGGTAAGATGATTTATAGTTGGGATTGTTTTGCTATCAGGAGAAGTCTCAAATAGCTGTAATGCAAATGTTTAGCTCTATCTATCTGGCTAGTTTCAGAAGGACAAACAGTTCAAATCTCAGCTAAATCATTCATGAGACAAAGAACAAGGAGTTGAAAGGTCTGTGTCTGTTCTTGTCTGCAGCTTCAGGCAAAAGAGGAAAGGTCTGTATTTGTCCAAGGCTCAGGTAAACAAGGGAGTCTTCATGGGTCTTAGGGAAGTCAGGAGAAAGAGTGGACAGTGAGTCTTATCTATGTCATAAGGGGAAAGGTAGTTCTTTTCCTTAAGCCATTTCCTGGAAAATAAGAGTGGGGAGATTTCAGAAAATAAAAGGTTGGTGGAATTTCTGGACTATACCTGCTTTCCAGAAGCACAGAGCTCAGATAAAGTTCGATGTTGTCAGTTTTCTCCTCTTGGCTGGATTTAAAGAAAGAAAAGACCCAAATGTCTGGCCCATTTCCTACAAGTAAGTAGATTTAAGAGCATGCCTCCAGCTAGTTCCTTGGATGATAACTGATGTTGGCTAACACTGTTGAGGATATCATTCTGTAACAGGTAATTTCTTTTTAATCTGAGAATAAATGGTACTGGAATGGATCAACTAAAGTGAATTTACTTGAGCCAGGGCAAAATTTAATATAAAATAGCAAAACAAAAACAAAAAACCACTTTGAATGAAACTTTATATTGAAACTTGAAACTAAAAATAATGAAAATAAAATTATGTTACTCATTTAATAAAATGCAGTTTGTAATTGCAACTCAAAGTTAATTTTAGACAAATAATGGATGAGATGTTGATGTGGGTGGGTTGGGGAGCATCACTTTTCTGACACATTTGCATCATAGCTCCATACAATACTCTCCTTGTTACTTGTGATTTTCATAGCACAATTCTATAGAGGATAACATTAGCAAAAAATATTCAAAGCATCATTAATTTTCTGAGATGTCTTTCACTTCTTTGGCATTCACTTCACACTATTTTGGGGTGCTTATGTACCCATCTCTTCTTTATTGGATAGGTGGTCTAATTCTATTAAGCACTCATTTGTCAGTGGCTTTGCCTGAGGGATTCCAGTGGCCATAACTTTACCTTCCCTTACATCAGATTTTTATCTTTTGTGACATGTGTGATGTCACCTTGCAATTGATTTGTGTGGAATGTATTGTATTGCCAGATATTTAAAACAAAGACATTGACCCAGTGTGTGGATTAAGTGAATACAAGTTGTATTGGTTTTGTAATAAATATTTTTCATGATGATGAACCTTTTTTTTTTTTTTTTTCTTGAGACAGAGTCTCGCTCTGTTGCCCAGGCTGGAGTGCAGTGGCACAATCTCAGCTCACGGCATGCTCCACCTCCCGGGTTCATGCCATTCTCCTGCCTCAGCCTCCCGAGTAGCTGGGACTGCAGGGGCCCGCCACCACGCCTGGCTAATTTTTTGTGTTTTTAGTAGAGACGGGGTTTCACCATGTTATCCAGGATGGTCTCGATCTCCTGACCTTGTGATCCGCCCGCCTCGGCCTCCCAAAGTGCTGGGATTACAGGCGTGAGCCACCGCACCCAGCCAGATGATGAATCTTATTGCTCTATCTAAATTTCTAATCACGAAGACTCCCAAGAAGAAGACTCCACTAACAGTCACCCTTTGGCATTTTATATGATTTATTTTATTTAATTCTCACTTCAACTCTGCAGGGAAGGTACTATTATTATCCCCAAAACATGGATGAGGGAATGGAGGCTGATAAGGTTTGGCTGTGTCCCCATCCACCCAAATCTCATCTTGAATTACAGTGCTCATAATCCCCACGTGTTGTGGGAGGGACAAGGTGGAGGTAATAGAATCATGGGGGCAGTTACCTCCATGCTTTTCACCTGATAGTGAGTGAGTTCTCACAAGATCTGATGGTTTTATAAGGGCCTTTCCCCCAGTTTCGCTCATTCTTCTTCTTCTGGCCACTAAATGAAGAAGGACATGTTTGCTTCCCCTTCCACCACGATTGTAAGTTTCCTGAGGCCTCCCCAGCCATGCTGAACTGTGAGTCAATTAGACCTCTTTCCTTTATAAATTACCCAGTTTTGGGTATGTTCTTATTAGCAGCATGAGAACAGACTAACACAGAGGCTTTGAGAATTTGTATGATTTTTCGAAAGGCAGAATTACCCAATGGCAGAGCCAGGACATGAATCCAGGAGTGACTAATCACAAATTTGTGCTCTGTGCTGAAATAGTATGCCAGCCTCCTTCTCCCTACCAAGTTCACCCATTTTTTCCTACCCTAATTTTTCCTTTTGCCTGGATGTCCTTATCTACTTATTAAAAATTAAGTTGTATCTTGTTATATCTTTTTAGCCAATTTAAGCCCTTTGCAGAAAGAAAGAGAAGTATATATGCTTTTTTTTTTTTTTTTTTTTTTTTTTAAAGCCAAGTGTCTTTTTCAAGGTTATCTGAAGAGAAAGTGTGCTGGTTATGCACACTCCAGATTCTGGAGTCCTATAAGCTGGAGATTAACTTCTGGCTCTCTGTCGTATTAGCTGAGTGATCTATGGTAAAGTTTAAAACTTCAATGTCCGGCCGGGCGCGGTGGCTCACGCCTGTAATCCCAGCACTTTGGGAGGCCGAGGCGGGCGGATCACGAGGTCAGGAGATCGAGACCATCCCGGCTAACACGGTGAAACCCCGTCTCTACTAAAAATACAAAAAATTAGCCGGGCGTGGTGGCGGGCGCCTGTAGTCCCAGCTACACGGGAGGCTGAGGCAGGAGAATGGCGTGAACCCGGGAGGCGGAGCTTGCAGTGAGTCGAGATCGCGCCACTGCACTCCAGCCTGGGCGACAGAGCGAGACTCCGTCTCAAAAAAAAAAATAAAATAAAAATAAAAAAAATAAAACTTCAGTGTCCTTGCTTGTGAAATAGTGAGGTTATTATTACTCATCTCATGGGATTGTTTTAAGATTAAACACAATAATGCCTCTAAAGTGCTTCGCGTTCTGCCCTTTTCATGGAAGGCTCCTGATAACGGTTTGGATCTGTGCTCCCTCCCGAATCTCATGTTGAAATGTAATACCCAGTGTTGAAGGTGGGGCCTGGTGAGAGGTGATTGGATCGTGGGGGCAGTTTCTCATGATTTAACACCATGTCCCTTGGTGCTATCGTCATGGCAGTGAGTTCTCATGAATCTGGGTGTTTAAAAGTGTCTAGCACCTCCCCTCCCCCTTCTCCCTCTTCCTGCTGCTTTGGCCGTGTGAGATGCCTCACTACCCCTTTCCCTTCCACCATGATTGGAGGCTTTCTGAGGCTTTCACAGAAGCAGAAGCCACTAGGCTTCCTATACAGCCTGCAGAACTATAAACAAATTAAAATTCTTTTCTTTATAAATTACCCAGTCTCAGGTATTTCTTTATAGCAGTGCAAGAATGAATTAATATAGCTCCTGATAAAAATTTCCGTTGTTTTTTATGCTTACAGGCAAACAAGATAGTCAGTAAACAGTGTACTAAACTGGGAAAATCAGCCCTGCTTCATTCTAATTTCCACTATAGCTAAGTAATTTCATTTTAATCAATTTTTAAGGCACCAAAATGAGACAACCATTTTTCCAGGTTGAGTGGATTCTTTTTTAATTTTTAATTTTTGTTTTTTGAGACAGAGTCTTTCTCTGTCACTCAGGCTGGAGTGCAGTGGCGCAATCTCAGATTACTGCAACCTCCGCCTCCTGTGTTCAACTGATTCTCCTGCCTCAGCCTCCTGAGTGGCTGGAGCTACAGGTGCGTGCTACCAAGCCCAGCTAATTTTTTTTTTTTTTGTATTTTTAGTAGAGACGGGGTTTCACTGTGTTAGCCAGGATGGTCTTGATCTCCTGACCTCGTGATCCGCCTGCCTCGGCCTCCCAAAGTGCTGGGATTATAGGCGTGAGTCACCGCGCCCAGCAAGTGGATTCTTTAAAATTTATGTCGAAGATGGAAAGAACCAAGGTAGAAGTAACCTGGGTTCCAAGATTTTATTAAGTGCCACGTCAGCCTTGAACTCACTACCTCCGGGCTTCCTGTCCTGGTGAGGGAAATACATTATTATGTAGTTAAAGTAACTGCTATTTTGGTTTTACTCTTTCTTTTAGCCAAACCCATTTTAAACTAACACAGTGGAAACAATTGTGAGCAGGAAAAAGATTTTATGGATTCCAATTATGTTTCGCAATCTGCAAGTCAGCATGAACTGGAATGTCTATTTACTGCGGCTTTTTGTTTCCTAGTTATGATAGTGTTGTATGTCTATCGGATAGAATAGTCTTTTAATTCACAGACAGCACTTATTTTATAGTCAAGAATTGATGGGATTGGGGATAAGCTAGGAAGCACAAATGCAATTTGCTTTTTATGATTTTATCTTATTTTCTATGAATATACATAATTTCCTAATTGTATATTTACACACACATATACACAAATAAATATAAATTTTTGGTTCCCAAATGTATCATTTCCCCAGTTATCAATTTCGTCTGAAATGTGGTGGGCCCTGAACTATGGTAACTATGGTTACCATGTGGTAACCATGTGGTGGGCACAATCCTTTAAATTATACACTTCTCTTATTAACAATTGTTTTTACTGGCAATGAGGAAAAAAATGTGGTACTGGGTTTTTAAAAGACTTCTACAGAATTTTTTTAAATGTTTGGGCTTTACCAAGAACTCATTAAAAAATTGTAATCCTTTTCCTTTCTATATATAGTTGAATGAACACACATACACACACACATGCCACAAAACAAAAACAAAGTTATCCTCACACACAGGATAGAAACCAAACCAAATCCCAACACATGGCAAGATGATAGGCAGGGAAAAGGACACAGTAGCCACAAAGAGCTTTGTTCTTTTTGTCTTCTTTTACCTTCATTACTGTCATCCGGAGTAGTGTAGATGGAAGCCAGGGTAAATAAGGAAAAGATAACAAAAGCCAATAAAATGAATGCCATTTCCAAGTTGGTGTAGGGAAGCTCCATGAACCACCACCGAAAACTTCTTCACCTACAATAGGAATAAAACATGGGCTCAGCATACTCTAATCCAGAGAGAGCTTGCTCAGCAATGATTTATTTTAGAATTCAACATGTGTGAGATTTGCTAAAGCTTGTTAAAATACTTCTGTGTACCTGGAACAATGTATTTGGCAGTGGCAAGAATGGACTGTGCTCTTGTTGTTTTGAAATTTGGCATACAATTTCACTGTGTAGATTGGAAGAGAGCCTAGAAATCTGAATGGTAGAGTCAGTTTACCTTTACACAGCTTTGTGAGTTTTTTGACACAACTCTGGGAATAAAGACAAGGTATGCTGACGTGCAATGAGCACTTAAACGGGGCCAGGCACTTGAAAAAGCTTGAGCTATTACCTCCTTTAATCCTCATAATAACTCTGTAAGTGAGGTACCAGTATTGTCTCCATTTCATAAATGAAGAAACTGAAGCACTAAGATGTAACTTACCTTAAGTTATAAATCTAGTATATGGTAGAGGTGAAATGCCAACTCTGGCAATCTGGTTATAGAATCCTCACTCTTAATCAATATACTATACTGACACTCGACTAACCAACTAACCAACCAACCAACCAGCCAATCAATCCCAAACCCACCATAATGGTTAGGATCATGTTTTGCAAAAGCATTATGTGGATTGATTGGAGAGGAGTTTTTTTTTTTTTTTATACTTTAAGTTTTAGGGTACATGTGCACAACGTGCAGGTTTGTTACGTATGTATACATGTGCCATGTTGGTGTGCTGAACCCATTAACTCATAATTTAACATTAGGTATATCTCCTAATGCTATCCCTCCCCCCTCCCCCCACCCCACAACAGGCCCCGGTGTGTGATGTGCCCCTTCCTGTGTCCATGTGTTCTCATTGTTCAATTCCCACCTATGGGTGAGAACATGCGGTGTTTGGTTTTTTTGTCCTTGCGATAGTTTGCTGAGAATGATGGTTTCCAGCTTCATCCATGTCCCTACAAAGGACATGAACTCATCATTTTTTATGGGAGAGGAGTTTTTATGTTAGGTGGTAGAAGATACAATGGGTTAAGCAAAGGATAATAGAAAGAATTTAATGTCAAGATGAGAGCTTAGTCTTTTTTCAAATGATATTAGAAGATGAATATAAGGTCCTTAGTAGTACGGAGACGTGATGAAGCAGTATTTTGCGAATATTAATGGCATCTCCATGTACAGGAGAGAATGAAGGAAGAGAATGGTAACTGGAAAAAACTCAGAGTGAGTTTTAGCTCTGTGTCAGGATTTTAGCAGGAAGGATAGAGAGGAAGGGATAAAACTCAGAGCCGATTTGATGGAAGGGCAGAAGGATCTTGGTAGCTTGTTGGCCATATGGGGTGCAGAGGGTGCCCCAACATTAAAATGAAGTTCAGGGAGAAAGAGGGGAGACAAAGATCACTGGGAAAAAGAGGCTCCCAGAATCATGTGTGAAATCGGTGGTAGAGAATATTAATTCCTCAAACTTCATTGTGGTTAGTAGAGATGCTGATGCACTCTGACATATTCGGCCATTCATCAATATTTGGAAAATGAATTGATCAAGCTTCTGCTTCTTCAGAGAATATGAAGACTATTAACTCTGCTAAAGCAGCTCAGAGAATACCGTTATTTTTACCGTCAGTTTTCTGTGAGGACTCTTTCTTGAAGAAAAAATAAAAATAAAAACAGAAAAATTTGTGCCATCTAGTGGTTTTTAAGTGCTATAGGTCGGAGAAAGAAGGATGAATTACCCACACTCTCTAAAGATGTTTCATTATACATATGTAGTACCCTGTGCTCATGCAAAATGGTTTCTCCTATTCTCCAGTTTTGTCCTACGCCTAGAATATCAACAGATTTTAAGGTAGTTGTCTTTGAGAGGAGGCAGCTGTTAATGTTTTCTGGACACATAGCTCATGTGTGGTGAGTTCCTGCCTCCTTCCCTTCCTCTGGCAACCTGGTTACAGAATCCTCATTCTTTTTTTTTTTTTTTTGAGATGTACTGTTGCTCGTCACCCAGGCTGGAGTGCAGTGGTGTGATTTCGGCTCACTGCAACCTCTGCCTCACGGGTTCAAGCAGTTCTCTGCCTCAGCTTCCTGAGTAGCTCCTTCCTTCCTCTCTCTCTCTCTTTCCCTCTCTTTCTTTCTCTTCTTTCTCTTTTCTTTTCTTTTCTTTTTTTTTTTTTGTGACAAAGTCTTGCTCTGTTGCCCAGGCTGGAGAGCAATGGCATGATAACAGTTCACTGCAGCCTCGGCCTTTTGGGCTCAAGCAATCCTCTCATTTCAGCCTCCAGAATAGCTGGGGGCTACAGGCATGCACTGTTACGCCCAGCGAATTTTTTGATTTTTTTTGTAGAGACAAGGTCTCATTATGTTGCCCAGGCTGGTCTCAAACTCCTGGGTTCAAGCAATCACCCACCTTGCCTCCCAAAATGCTGAGATTACAGGCATAGCTACCGCCTCTGGCCCTGTGATGAGTTATTTCTAGCTCACTACCCTAGATGCTGCCATTCTAGACAAATAAACGCAAAATAATGGTCTTTGAATTGTCAGTAGAAATTGAAAGCTGGGGGAAAAGACATAGTGGGATAATAGATATTGTCAGACATCTATGATTATGGAACTTGGAACCCGACTACCTTCTTGTCAAATGCTCAGGGCACAGAGCCCTTGACCAGGAGCTCTCCACAACTATGCCCTAAATTCAAGAAGAGGTGATTTCTGCATAAATAAACCAGCCAAGAGTTATTTTCTAAATGCAAAGATGATGCTTCTGATGCCTACACTGTTCCCATTCTTGCATATCCTTGATGGAGCATCTGAAGAACAGTTGGTTGTACAGCCTGCATTTCTTCCTGGGTTGTGTATCTGTAGTCTGTTCTCTGGACATTTTCTCCATCTCAGCTTACTTGGTGCAAAAATGTATCACTTGTTCCCCACAGCTTCTCTAAGGGTTAGGACCAACTGAAATTATTATCTAGTAACAGATAGTAGGTAAATCATATTATTTTTGTATGATAAAAATTAACGTAACTCCTTTTATCATATATTCTATCACATTTAAGCTTATCTAAGCTTAGTTAAGTTAAATCATTTACTAGTGACTAAAGCCTGGTTACCTTGATATGTCATTATTTCTTAGATAATTTAGGAAACAGATTAAATTCAGATGGTCATTAGACTATCCCGACCCTACCATTCTGTATTCCTACTATCCTTTAGCATCACGAAGGGAATGATCTTTATAAATGTAAATCAGATCCACTCCTCTTCTACTTAACTAGCCAATGGCTTCCCTTGGAGTAAAATTCAAACTCCCAGTTCTTCCCTACTAGGCCCCCATCACCTACCCCACATCCCGTCTGATGGTAGCATGTGTGACAGTTTGCATGCTCCTGCACTGACCTTGCTTGTGTTCCTTGCCCTGCTAAGCTCATCCTGTCTTCCTCCTGCCTGAGAATCTCCTCTACATTCTCATTGTCTACTTTCTCTGTGTCTTCTCTTCAGTTCAAGCACCACCTCCCCACAGAGGCATTTCTTGACTTCTAATCTAAGCCAAGTTCTCAGCAGTTTTATTTTCATCACAGCTATTCTCCATTGCATTTTTCTTCTTTTTTTTTTTTTTGAGATGGAGTCTCACTCTGTCACCAGGCTGGAGTGCAGTGGCACGATCTCAGCTCACTACAACCTCCGCTTCCCGGGTTCAAGCGATTCTCCTGCCTCAGTCCCCCGAGTAGCTGGGACTACAGGTGTGTGCCACCACGCCTGGCTAATTTTTTGTATTTTTAGTAGAGATGGGGTTTCACCATGTTGGCCAGGATGATCTCAATTTCCTGACCTCGTGATCCGCCTGCCTCAGCCTCCCAAAGTGCTGGGATTACAGACGTGAGCCACCGTGCCTGGCTACATTTTTTTGTTATTGTTTGTCTGTCTTTCCCCATTAAAGTTCTATGAAAGCAGTCTGCTTTGTTTATCTCCGTACCTATAGGGCTTAGAAAAATGACGGGCATATAGTACATTTTCCCATAAGTATTCACTGAGTGACCATAAACGAGTGGATGCAAGCAGCACCGAAGAAGGCAAGTTGATGCAAAACTCTGAATTTCACAGCTGTGAATGGAAACTCTGGATTGAAGATGTATTTGGAAATCTCAGCGGCATCAAGCACTCTATTACTTGAGAAAATCCCACCCAGAGGACAAGAAGTATATTTTGAAAATGGCTTTAAGGTTTCCATAAAACAGGCAGCATGGTTGGGATTGATGGTTTTTCTTGCTGCTGTTATTGCCCTCACGGGGGAGATGTGTTTCTTTTCCTTTGTTACTTTATTTTTCTGTCTCATGGCTGCTGACAGAGCTCACTGCTCTCTTTGTGCACCATCCGTTCATTCTCTCGCGGCTCCCTTGAGTGCTGTTATGATTGCTCGGGGACAGCATGGAACATGCTCTTCTTATTGAGTCTCCTTCCTATTGTAGATGCTGTGTGCATGCATCAAGGGCCAAGGGGACTAGGTAAAATGACTGCCTTCATCTAAAGAAAAATCTGCCAGAGTAAAAATAAAGGGCTTATTTACAGGAAGTAAATGCACTTTTCTGGGCAGTGGGAATTTAGTGTTTTGAATTCTTATAGCCTGCTACATTAGAAAACTATGGGCTGAAAAAAATCTGTGAGATACTGCAGTGCCCACTCCCCCCTTGCCTTCAAAGGCCTTGTGGAAAAAGTCTAAAGGCTACTAACCAACGTGCATGCCACTTCTGTTGCTTCCTGGATTTATCTGCCTTTTTTTTTTTTTTTTTTCTGAGACAAAGTATCCCTTCCTTCTTTAAAAATTCTGAACAAGACTCACCTGCTGCATTGAATGCTTATCTAATTTAAATAATCTGAAACCAGTGGCACTTTTTTCCGTTTTATCTGTAGGAGGGTGGTTCTGTCATGGTGTAAATCCTGTCTACTAAACAAAGCCTTGAATTATCCCGTCCATCTGTGAAATGCCAACAACGCTCATTAGTCTCTGCATATGGTTTCTGAATTATGTATTCACCTTGAAGGCTCATACAGGCAGAAAACTGTTTTTCTTATTTACTCCCTGACACCAAGTACTTGGCAAATCACGCTTGCTGAATGACAAATGATGTGTCCCAGCTCCTGTCAATGCTGTTCCTACTTGACATTTCAACCTGCTACATGTCTCTTTGATTTTCTCAATCTTTCTTTTTGGATGGATCCTCTATCATGTTGCCTTCCTCTGTTTCTTTGGGCAACTCCATGTCTCAAGTCTTCTTCTGGTCAAACTCTGAACAAAAAGCCATCTTGTCCTTGAGAACTTTCCTCCAAATAAAATTTCAGGTTTGGAAAGAAAATCAAAAATCACCTTGTCCAGACACCATACAATGATTGAATTTTCCCTAAACTGTTTTGGTGAAATAGATGGCCAGCCTGAATTCCTCTAGTGATGAGGAACTCACTGTCATTGGAGGCAATCTGTTTAATCTCTGGATAACCCTGCTCTTTAGAAAACTCTATATCAGCTAAAATTCTGTTCTTTTTAACTATTACCATGTGATTCCTAAATACAGAACTAAAAAGTTCTCCTTTTATGAGAGGGATCCTCAAATATTTGAAGACCAGGAATTTGTCATGTTGCCTGGGCTTTCTTTCCTTTGTCTAGACAAATATTCTTCTTATGACATAATTCTGTGTCCTTTGTCCCTTTTGATTTCTCTCCTTTACTTCCAAATCCCTCTAAAGTGGAGTAACCAAGCTGAAGGCAATATTTTGAATTAGGTTGACTGGATTCCAGTAAGGCAACAACAGCACCCACCACATTTTTTTCTATTTTTTTCTTTTTTTTTTTTTGAGATGGAGTCTCGCTCTGTCGCCAGGCTGTAGTGCAGTGGCGCGATCTTGGCTCACTGCAACCTCCGCCTCCCAGGTTCGAGCAATTCTCCTGCCTCAGCCTCCCGAGTAGCTGGGACTACAGGCACACGCCACCACGCTCAGCTAATTTTTGTATTTTTAGTAGAGACAGGATTTCACCATGTTGGCCAGGATGGTCTTGATCTCTTGACCTCATGATCTGCCCGCCTCGGCCTCCCAAAGTGCTGAGGTTACAGGTGTGAGCTACTGTGCCCTGCCACACCCACCACATTTTAACTCAATGGTCTGCCAATGGTCTGGTTGCCGGTCAGGCCTCATTTAAAAAAACATATAGGGCAATCCATGCCTCCAATGATAGTGAGTTCCTCATCACTAGAGGAATTCAGGCTGGACAGCTATTTGACCAAAACAGCTTAGGGAAAATTCAACAATTGTTAGTTTTCAATTTATTTAATATCACTTTCTGAGTTTCTAAAGGATGATTTAAAAATTACAGTTATTAATTTTTGTGATTATAAATATACTATTATAAATAATATGTTGAAGAATTTTGGAAACTAAAGATAGATATAGCACTTCCTATCTACCGTTATTTTTCTTATCTCACAGAATGTTTGAAGATTCCTTTGGCTTTATGTCAACCACAAGGTTTTTTCCTCCCAATTTTATTGAGGTATAATTGGCAAATAAAAATTGTATACAGTTAGGGTGTACAACTTGATTTTTTCATATATACACACACCCACTAGGTTAATAAGCAGGTATTCTATGCCTTCTTTTAAATCTTTGGCAAAAACATTGCCTGAAACAAGGTTATCTTTTCCATAAGAACAAGCTAAATGTACTGTGATTGTTGAATTTGCTTAATCTGTAAGCTTAGGAGACTGATTTTCAGAGTTTTAGGGAGGATCACATGTGAAATAAAGAACTTTGAACAGTGTCTGGCATTTGGTGAATGCTCAATCATACAGTCATTGAGATTCATCCCCTTTTCTGTGTCACTAGAAATTCTGAAGTTTAATTCACTATTGCAGATTTATTCTTTAAAAAGTTTTTTTCTTTAATTTTAGCCTGAATTTCTATTTGGTTCATTTTTAAAAATTCCGAGATGTAAAATGTCTTTTAAAAGACATTCTCATCCTTCCTGATGTACACTTTAGTTTTCAATTTATTTAATAACAATTTCTGAGTTTCTAAAGGATGATTTAAAAATTCCAGTTATTTTTGTGATTATAGATAATATAACATGTTGAAGAATTTTGGAAACTAAAGAGAATAGGAAATAGGAAATAAAATCAGGGAAGGGTTTGTGTTTTTATTTTGATATTCTCATTTAATGAATTGAATTATTGAGGCAATGGGCATTTATAAGGTTGAAAGAAGCATTGCCAAATTTACAAGTCTCTAAAGTATAGGTTTACTAAAGTTCTTTTCCCCTTCATAAGGGTATATACACTGTATATAATGTTGTGAATAACTTTCATTTTTTTCTTTATGTCTTTTGTCTTTAACTAGATATTCATCCCCTAAGCAAAACAATCAGAATTCTTTTGTGCTTGAAAAATATTAGATCTCCAAAGTCACTTTAACTTGGAGTCATTAGAGCTTTATTTTTGCCCAAGGAGAGCATGAATTCAGGTATCTTTAGGTTTTCCCCTTTGCATGTTCTTCAAAGCGTTTCATTCTTCTAGGCAGAGTGGAATCACATAAACTCACCCACAACTGTGTAGCTCCGATGCTTTCAATATGATAGATGAAGTGTGCACTGAATATAAGCAAGTGTTCTGTACATTGTTTTATAGCAGCATTGTGCGCTCTGATTAGATACTGAACACTTTCTTTCTTTTTCTTTTTCTTTTTCTTTTTTTTTTTTTTTTTTTTTGAGACAGAGTCTTACTCTGTTGCCCAGACTGGAGTGCAGTGGTGCGATCTTGGTTCACCGCAACCTCTGCTTCCTGGGTTCAAAATATATATATATTTTAGTATTTTTAGTAGAGATGGGGTTTCACCCTGTTGCCCAGGCTGGTCTTAAACTCTTGACCTCAAGTAATCTGCCTGCCTCGGCTTCCCGAAGTGCTGGGATTATAGGTGTGAGCCACCACGCCTGGCCAGATATTGAATACTTTCAATCATTTGATTGAATTAAACATTTATTCAGTCATCTTGGTTGAATTAGGTATTTGTTAAAATAGAAGAAGGCTTTACTTAGAACATTATACCTTATTCCCAATTCCTTGACTTTCTGTTGATGTTAGGTATATCTCCAGTCTTTAGAATCCCTAAAATTTTGCAGAGATTATTCTGTTTTTGCCCATGCTTGTTATCCATTTAAAGGAAGATATATTTATAGTCCCCTTTCAGTCATAAGCTTCACACCCCAAAGTTCCTATTTAAAGTTGCAAGCAGTTTCCCATTTCACAACCACTAGACCCTGTAGAGTGAGCTCTGTGTGAGCTTTGGGGGTGGTGGCATGTGGAGAGGTGAGGTGACTCTTTCACGTTTCTCCTCCCTCCTGCCGACATTGGCTGAGCTAGCAGGAGCTCTGGAAGTGGGAGGCAACGCAAAGCATCAGAGACCTGATTATTTATTTATTTATTTATTTATTTATTTATTTATTTATTTGAGGTGGAGTCTTGCTCTGTCGCCCAGGCTAGAGTGCAGTGGCAGGATCTCGGCTCACTTCAACCTCCCCTTCCCGGGTTCAAGCACTTCTCTGTCTCAGCCTCCTGAGTAGATGGGATTACAGGCACTAGCCACCACACCTGGCTAATTTTTTTTTTTTGTATTTTTAGTAGAGATGGGGTTTCACCATCTTGGCCAGGCTGGTCTTGAACTCCTGACCTCGTGAGACACCCTCTTTGGCCTCCCAAAGTGCTGGGATTGCAGGCGTGAGCCACAGTGCCCAGCCAGAGACCTTATTAAACTGAGTCTTATGAACAGGGTGGAGATTACCTGTTGCAATCCAGGTATAACTATGATGGTGGGCCACTGGGCTGCTGGACAGTAGAATTGACCCAACTCTTTGCAACTACAGACTCTACTGTAGGCATGAGGAATTGACTATGGCTTCTTTTATAATGTGAAACAGTGTTGTAATTTCTATTTTGCTAGGTTTCAAAGGGCAGAAACTGTAACTACCTCGCCAAGGTTCAAAGGTGATTTATGAATTTTTTTAAGATAAGGATGAATGACTCAGTAATAGAATTAAGATGATTATGTAAAGAATAAAAATCAATTCAAGAAAATTGTTCTATTTGTTTCCTAGAATTCTTAAATTGTTGATTTACTTCTTCATAGTAGAAAGACTATTTCCCTGATAAAGTTATGCTATGGCATAAAGATAAATTATTAGTAAATCCTGTGATTTTCTTTTAAATGAAAAATTCACACTCAAATACTACTATATTTGAAAATATGGTTGGTTTCAAAATGGGAAGAATAACCAAAGCATTTAATTCTTTGGCTTAGAATGGCAATAAAATATTTATCATAGATGGGCAATTGGCTTTGAGAAAATATGTAATATTTCTAAACTTCAAGAAACTTAAGAGATTTCACTGGACAAAGATCTCATGCATCCTTGGACTTGTACATACTATTTCTCAAACTTAATGTGTTTAAAACAGAATTCCTTCTTTGTCTCACCCCCTTTATTTCCCTTTTCATTGACAGTAGCTCCATGTTTCTAGTTGTTCAGGATAAAATCCTCAAAGTCATCCTTGACTCCTATCTTTCTTTCACAGTTCATATCCTCTTCTTTCAAGAAATCCTATTGGCTTTATCTTTTTTTTTTTTTTTTTTTTTTTAGGTGGAGTCTCACTCTTCTGTCCAGGCTGGAGCATAGTGGCGTTATCTCAGCTCACTGCAACCTCCACTTTCCAGGTTCCAGTGATCCTCCCACCTCAGCCTCCTGAATAGCTAGGATTACAGGCGCCCACCACCACACCTGGCTCATGTTTGTATTTTTTTTTTTTTTAGTAGAGTTGGGGTTTCACCATGTTGGCCAGGCTGGTCTTGAACTCCTGACCTCAAGTGATCCACCCGCCTTGGCCTCCCAAAGTGCTGGGATTACAAGCATGAGCCACCAGGCCTGGCCCCTATTGGCTTTATCTTCAACATACATTCAGAATCCCACCACTTCCATTGCAACCACCCTGATTTGAAGCACTACTACTCACAAGGTTTAATGAAATAGGGTCTTAACTGATCTCTCAATGTCTCCCTTTGCTTTTCTTTCTACCCTTAAGACAGCATTTTAAGATTGTAAGGCATACTACATTGCCTATCTAGTCAACACTCTATTATGGCTCCTATTTCACTCAGATTAAAAGCCAGTATCCTTGCAAATGTCCTGTTGGAAGACCCTAAATTATCTGGTCCTGCTTTGTCTCTGACTTTCTCTCCTACTTTCCTCCCCGTCATTTCCTCCATTCTAGGTGCACTATCCTCCTGGCTTTTGCTCCTTCACTCCAGGCATATTTCCACCAGAGGGCCTTTGTACTGGCTATTCTCTTTACCTGGAATGCGCTTCTCTGGAGACCTGAATGGCTTACCCTCTTACCTCCTTCAAGCCTTTGCTCAGAGGTGTTACTTTCTCAGTGTGGTCTACTCTCACCCTCATATTAAAAGTTGGAACTCCCCGCAGTCTCCTTAGCCTGCTTTGTTATATTTTTGCAAAGCAATTATTACCTTCTAATCTTTACTTATTTATTGTATTTATTGTTTAGTATAATAGAATTTAAGCTTCATGAGGGCGAGGATTTTTGTGTGTTTTGTTTGCTGAGCCTAGAACAGTGCTTGGAATAGTACCTGGCTAGATATTTAGCCAGGAGGAGCTCAATTAGTATTTACCAATATGATTCAGTGAATGAATGAATGAATGAATGAAGATCTAATGAAGTGGATACAGATTTGCCTGGTGGAATGATACCTCATTGATAGGGATATCTTTAGGTCACTATAAAAATAAATTTGATAGGGAGTTTAGTTAAATGGAAAAAGCTTACCCATTCGAGTCATACCTGATTCTAGCCCCTGGCACTTACAGATATAGTTTTTGTATTTTTGACATAAGAATAATATCTATTCTCAGGGTTGTTGTGAGGATTAAATTAACATATGTAACATACCAAATAAAGTAACTGATACATTGTAGGACCTCACAAAATGATAGCTATTATTATTAGCAGTCTCCTTTTCCATGGAAAGATTGTGAGGAGCTCTCACAAGATGAGTGCATTCTATCAAACACTTAAGGAAAAAAAAGTTTACATAAAATCAGAAAATAGAGGCAGAGGAAATAATTCCTAATCATTTTATGAGGCCTGGATTAGTTCTGATATCCAAAACTGGCAGACATTACAAAAACAATAACAAAAGTAAATTGCGGACTAATATTCTTAATGTACATAAACACAAAAATCCTAATAAGATGATAGCAAATGAAATCCAGCAATGTACATAAAAGGATACTATAATGAGTAAGCAGGGTTTATCCCAGGGTCGGCTTAACATTTGGAATTCAATCACTGTAATGTTCTCTATTAACAGAATAAAGCAGAAAAACTACATATATGAGGCAGGGCGCGGTGGCTCATGCCTGTAATCCTAGCACTTTGGGAGGCTGAGGCGGGCAGATCACGAGGTCAGGAGATCGAGACCATCCTGGCTAACACGGTGAAACCCAGTCTCTACTAAAAATACAAAAAAAAAAAAAAAAAAAAAAAAAAAAAAAAAAAAAAAATTTGGCCGGGCGTGGTGGCGGGCGCCTGTAGTCCCAGCTATGCTGGAGGCTGAGGCAGGAGAATGGCGTGAACCCGGGAGGCGGAGCTTGCAGTCAGCCGAGATCACGTCACTGCAGTCTAGCCTGGGGGACAGAGCGAGACTCCGTCTCAAAAAAAAAAAAAAAAAAAAACAAAAAAAGGAAAACTACATATATGGTCATTTCCATAAATACTGACAAGGCATTTGAAAAAAATTAACACTCTTCATGATAAAAATGCCCAGAAAGGTGGGAATGATCTTCCTCAATTTAATAAAGGACATGTATGAAAAACTTAGAGCTAACACCATACTTAAAGGTGGACTATTGAATCCTTTGCCCCGAAGCAACAATATTTACTTCAGTCATTTCTATCCAACTTACACTGAAGGCTTTAGCCAATGCAATAAAGTTAGAAATAAAAATTTAAAAGCCTAAAGAGCACAACTTAATAAGTAAAACAAACTCTATTTTTAGATGATATGATTGTTTATGTAAAAAATCCTAAGAATTTTACAAGGTAACTACTAGAATTTAGTAACATCTTAGGATACAAAGTCAATATTGAAAAACCAATTGCGTTTCTATATATTGGCCTCAATAATTGTAAAATAAAACATAATAATTATATTTTAAATAGAATTCAACAATTTAAAAATAAATTAACAAAAATAGAGAAGATATATACACTTAAAACTACAAAACACTTCTGAGAGAAATAAAATATCTAAATAAATTGAGAGATATACGATATTTTATGGATTGGAAGACTCAATATTGTTAAGCTTCCCAGATTAACCTATAAATCCAAGGCAATTATAGTCATAATCTTATCATGCTTTTTTGTAGAAATTGATAAGCTGATCCTAAACTTTCTAAGGAAATGCAAAGGCTGCACCTAAACTTTTGAGAAAGAACAAAGTAGGAGGACTCATACTACCTGACTTCAAGACTTACTATAAACTTTAGTAATCAAAAGAGTGTAGTATTTGTGTAAGTGGTGACAAATAGATTAGTAGCACTAAATAAAGGGTTCAAAATTAAGATCGACCCTTTATGACATTTGATTTCCTACAAAGCTCCAAAGCAATTCAGTAATGAAAAGAAAATGTTTTTTTGAAAACAGTGGTGGAACGATGAGACATTTATAGGAAAAAAAAAAGGAACTTCTATTTCTGCTTCAGCAACATATGAAAAATAAATTCAACATAGTCTTAGAACTGAATGTAAAAGCTAAAACAGTAAGACTTCTAAAAAAAAAAGCATAGTGGAGTGTCTTTACAACTTAATGGTAAAAAAAAGACTTTTTAAGATAGGACATGGAAATTAATAGCCAAACAAAAATTTGTAATTAGACTTTTCATCATAATTTAAAGGTAGTGCTCATCAAAATGCATCATTAACAAAATGAGTAGGCAAGGCTCAGATTGGGGAGAATATTAACAAAATGCATATTTGACGAAGAACTTGTATCAGCAATACATACTTATGAAAACTCCAACTCAATAACAAAAAGACAATCCAAGTTTTAAAAAAATGGCCCAAATATTTGAATGGACATTTCACAAAGGAACATATGCAAATGACCAATAAACCTAAGAGAAAATGCTTAACGACATTCATCATCAGATACACGCAAATAAAATCACAATAAGATAGCATTGCCTAACCACTAACATAGCTAAAATCAAAGCCAAAACCCTAAGAGTGGCAAAGATGTGTAGTAACTGAAATGCTCATACAATGTTAGGGTGTTAAAATGATACAATTCCTTTGAAAAAAATCTCTGGAAGTCTTTTATAAAATAAACTATAACTACAGTATGACCTAGAAGTTCCACTTCTGGGTATTTACACAACAGACTGAAAACATATGTTCAGAGAAACACTTATCTCCCATAGCAGGCTTATTCATACTAGCCAAGAATTGGACAAAACTCAGGCGTCCATTGACAAGAGAATGGATACACAAATTACATATTTACATAATGGAATCCTACTCAACATTAAAAAGAACGATTTTGTGATACATACAAGACAAATGAATCTGAAGAAAACATTGAACATACATACTATGTAGAGAGGAAGATTGTTTACATCTGGAGGCAGGGGTAGAACTTGATTAGGTAAAAGGAAAGAGCATTCTAGATCTGGAGCCATATTGATGTTCTCTATATCTTTTTATTTGTTTATATTATTATTATTTTTTTTTTGAGACAGAGTCTCGCTCTGTCCCCCAGTCTCGAGTGCAGTGACGTGATCTCGCCTCACTGCAAGCTCCGCCTCCCAGGTTCATGCCATTCTCCTACCTCAGCCTCCTGAGTAGCTGGAACTACAGGCGCCCACCACCACACCTGGCTAATTTTTTTTGTATTTTTAGTAGAGACAGTGTTTCACCATGTTAGCCAGGATGGTCTTGATCTCCTGACCTTGTGATCCGCCTGCCCCAGCCTCCCAAAGTGCTGGGATTACAGGCGTGAGCCACCGCACCCGGCCTATTATTACTTTTTAAAGTTTCCTTTTTAAAGAAATTTTACTTTAAGTTCTGGGATACATGTGCAGAGATGTTCTCTATATCTTGACGGGGGTTTGGATTACATAGATGTACATATCCATTAAAATTCATTGAATCATAACACTAATGATTTGTGCATTTCACTCTAATTGAATTTTATCTCAAGAAAATAGTTAAACAAATATTGACTTCTAGTTAGTGATATACTTTCCTAAATGTTTAGGGGTAAAGTTTACTGAGGTCTTCAACTTTAAAAGGTATCATAAAAATAAAGAAGGTGAATCAGTGGACGTACAGAGAGATGATAATATGTAAAGAAGCCAATATAGCAAAATGCTAATTGTACAATCTACATGGAAGGCATTTGGATGTTCATGATACAATTATTTCAATTTTTCTCTATGTTTGAACAATTTTCATAACAACGTGTTGGGAACTAAAAGGCTTTGCTACTACTGCATTCCAAAGAATTTTTTAAATTGTTGATGATGTAATTGCTAGTCTCTGTCCCACCAGAGACTGGTGTGAAACTGGGTGTGTTTTTTATATTTTATCACATGGGACAAAAGGCAAATCAATAACATCAGTTTCATTCAATTTCAATTTTCAAGGCATATCCCATAATACTTCAGCTCAGATTTGCAGGTTGAATATCTAGAACAACACAATGCTGGCCACAGATTTCCCTCCCCTCCCCTCCCCTCCCCTCCCCTCCCCTCCCCTCCCCTCCTCTCCTCTCCCTCCCTTCCCCTCTCCTCCCCCCTCCTTTCCTCTCCTTTCCTTTCTGTTTGAGACAGAGTCTCCCTCTGTAGCCCAGGCTGGAGTGCAGTGGCGTGGTCTCAGTTCATGGTAACCTCCGCCTCCTGGGCTCAAGTGATTCTCCTGCCTCAGCCTCCCGAGTAGCTGGGATTACAGGCACACACCACCGTGTCCAGCTAATTTTTGCATTTTTAGTAGAGACAGGGTTTCACCGTTTTGGCCAGGCTGGTCTTAAACTCCTGACCTCAAGTGATCTTCCTGCCTTGGCCTCCCAAAGTACTGGGATTACAGGCATGAGCCACCGTGCCTGGCTGTGGCTGTGGATGATAGAAAAATATTTCTAATTAAATTAAATCATACGACTTCACTCAGTTCTTATACTTTTCTACTGCTGAAAATATGATACCATATTTTGGTGAAAGCAAGAAATAATTTCAAAGGAAATATTTTTAAGGGATGTAGTTAAATAATTATTTATTTTAAGTTTAAGGCTAAAAGCAGATAAATGACAGTATTTCCTCCTGAGTATTTCTAAAGGCTTTTAATAACATAAATCTGATGATAGAAAAATATTTCTATCATACTCAGGAGGAAATACCGTCATTTATCTGCTTTTAACCTTAAACTTAAATAATTATTTAACTACATCCCTTAAAAATATTTCCTTTGAAATTATTTCTTGCTTTCACCAAAATATGGTACCATACTTTCAGCATAGAAAAGTATAAGAACTGAGTGAAATCGTATGATTTAATTTAATTTGGTTAATTCTACCTTGGAATTAAATACAAATACATATCTTCTGGCTTTGGAAAAAAACAAAACTAGGACAAATAAACCAAACATAGCAAAAGAGAAGAAAAATATTCTGAGGGGGAGTTGTTCTACAAAACAGAAAATTTTCCTTCCCTCTTTAGCCATTTTTTTTAACAGCAAAAAAAAAAAAAAAAAAAAAAAAATACCTCCAGGAAAGAACAATAAGTAAAATTTCTTAGCTGTGGCAGTTAAATATTACATTTCTAGTCCATATGAATTAGTTAAAAAAAAAAAAGAGAGAGAGTTTTGAGGTAAATAAAATAGGGGATTTATAAAAACTTACCAGAAGCATTCCTGTCCCTGAGAGTGGCTAGGAAGGAACCCGTGAGTCTGATTCAAACAGAGTCTTCAGTGTCTTGGGATTCGGGACTGAATGGCCTGTGTCTGTTAATGAACATTTTCACTGAACGCTACCAGGCCATGAAAATGTAGGCACTTCCTGATGCCACTTCACTAACCAAGGCTTACTAATGTCTTAGCTGGAGTTTTAATCAGGACTTGACTAAGAGGAATCTGTACCTCTAAAAAAGAAAATCTTCCCTTGTGAAGGATCAAGAAGGAAACAGGAAACTGTAATGAAACGTAGTTATTTACTTTTTCTGTCACCCAACCATCTGTAAATACCACTACTATACACAGTTCTGAGCAAACAAAGATTGTGCTTTGGCTGACAGTCAAGAAATTCAACAGGTGGTTTATAGGAGTGACGTGTCTGAACATAGGTCAATTTCTATAGTATTCTTTAATGTCTTTAGTGATAACAGGCAAGCCGAACACGAGAGTTTGATAAACAATTTTCAACCATAGTTTATCTTGGGACTTCACAGCTACTTGTCAGCTTTTGTCTTCGGTTTTTTTTTTTGAGACGGACCCTCGCTCTGTCACCCAGGATGGAGTGCAGTGGTGTGATCTCAGCTCACTGCAACCTCTGCCTCCCAGGTTCACGCCATTCTCCTGCCTCAGCCTCCTGAGTAGCTGGGACTACAGGGGCCTGCCACCATGCCTGGCTAATTTTTTGTATTTTCAGTAGAGACAGGGTTTCACCATGATAGCCAGGACAGTCTCAACCTCCTGACCTCATGATCCACCCACCTCAGCCTCCCAAAGTGCTGGGATTACAGGTGTGAGCCACTGTGCCTGGCCTTGTCTTGGTTTTTATTGTTGCCTATTAAGTGGCCCTTTTGCTGTTTACAATAAGGAGATCTTATTTCTTTGCTTATTTTTACTCATTATTTTTATTTTTAGTTTCTACTTTTAGTTCAGCTGGGAAAAATAAAAAGGGAAGAAGTGAACTATCAGTAATGGTAAAGATGAAGGCTGAGGATAAATTCCACTTGGATCACTTGACCACTTGTTGCAGCACTGATGTCCAACTTTTGTCATTTTTTTTTTTTTTTTTTTTTGAGACAGACTCTCACTCTGTTGCCCAGGCTGGAGTGTAGTGGTATCAGGGGAACCCACCCCCAACATTTCAACGTAGGTTCTTTCTATTTTCCATAAGTGTTGGCCAGCTAAGAAATAAAGAGAAAGAGTACAAAGAGTGGAATTTTACAGCTGGGCCACTGGGGGTGACATCACATATCGGTAGGACCATGATGCCCACCTGAGCCTCAAACCAGCTAGTTTTTATCAAGGGTTTCAAAAGGGGAGGGGGTGTGAGAACAGAGAGTAGGTGAAAAGATCACATGCTTCAAAGGGCAAAAAGCAGAACAAAGATCACATGCTTATGAGGGAACAGGACAAAAGGCAAAAACAGAACTACTGATAAGGGTCTATGTTCAGTGATACACTATTGTCTTGATAAACATCTTAAACAACAGAAAACAGGGTTCGAGAGCAGAGAACTGGTCTGACCATAAATTTACCAGGGCAGAGTTTTTCCCCACCTTAATAAGCCTGAGGGTACTGCAGGAGACCAGGGCGTGTTCCTTATCTCAACCGCGTAAGACAGACATTCCCAAAGCAGCCGTTTATAGACCTCCCCCAAGGAATGCATTCCTTTCCCAGGGTATTGATATTAATATTTCTTGCTAGGAAAAGAATTTAGTGATATCTCTCCTACTTGCACATCCATTTATAGGCTCTCTGCAAGAAGAAAAATATGGCTCTTTTTGCCCGACCCCGCAGGCAGTCAGACCTTATGGTTGTCTTCCCTTGTTCCCTAAAAATCGCTGTTATTCTGTTCTTTTTCAAGGTGCACTGATTTAATATTGTTCAAACATAGATGTTTTACAATCAATTTGTACAGTTAACATAATTATCACAGTGGTCCTGAGGTGATGTACAGCCTCAGCTTATGAAGATAACAGGATTAAGAAACTAAAGACAGGCATAAGAAATTATAAAAGTATTATTTGGGAACTGATAAATGTCCATGAAATCTTCACAATTTATGTTCCTCTGCCGCGGGTCCAGCCAGTCCCTCCATTTGGGGTCCCTGACTTCACACATCTCTCCCTTTCTTTTTATATAAATGTGCCATGGCGATGAAGTCTTGTTTGTTCTCTCGGTTTTGACACAGGATTCTTTGACTGGTCCGCACACTAAAAATAAGCCGATTAAACAGAGAAGCATGATTCCAAAATTTGCTACAGTGGAGCCCCCAGTAGACTTAATCCAAGTCATGGAGTTTAGTCCAGAAAGACTTTCTGCCACCTGATCTAATGCCTCAGCTCCAGGCACAATGGATAAATGAGCTTGAGAGGCTTCAAAAATTTGTTTCTTTAATTTAGTTATGTCCAAGGATAAATTATCTTCCCTACCCAGCAGGTGTCCTTTGACCATTGCCCATGAATGATCAGTGTTGTTGTAGGAATATGGTGTGAAACAGAAATCAGAAGTATTCCAATTGCACTGCATTTGCATGCAATGTTTGAGACTCATTTGTTGATCTCCAAGCCAAAGAACAGACTGTCTTAAATCATTAATTTGATTAGCTAATTTTTGATCAATGCCCTGTTGAGAATTCCACATTTGGGTGGAATTGGCTTGCCAATCATTAACAAAATGAGCCATTTGAATAGATTGGTGTAATGCCATTCCGGCAGTGGTGGCCAGTGCAGTGACTGTAATTAGGCCCATGATCACAGTGATTAAAGTGAAAACAAATCTCTTAGATCTTCTGAGAATTCATTGTAACACTTCATTAATTAAATGTACTGAGGGGGAAGATTCCCAAGGTCTGGGTAAAGTTACCAGTATCCAGATTCCTTCTCGAGCTCGAACCAACATTACACTTTTCCTGAAGTCAAAATGGGAGTTAACACAAGTGTATAAATGATAATTAATGCATAGGACAGTTTGGTTGTTTGTCTAAATTTTGATATTTCCCACTAACAGCATGTAAGGAGGCTTAACACAACTCTGTATAGGAATAGTCAGGTTGGAGGTTAACAAAGCAGAATGTTTGAATCTACGTTGATACTGAGGGAGAGGAGCGGCAGTGGCAATGCGCGATATTCTCCGCCGTAAAGGAGCAATCCGAGGTACCCGGGAACACCGAAGAGGTAGAGGGGCATACCTGGGTCGAGAAGAATTATCATTATGCCAATTGGAGTCCCATAAAGGGGGATCTGCATCAAAAAGAGGAAAAGGGTTCAAAGGGGATTTATCATAGCGTTCAGAATCACGATTGCGAGAGGCGGTAGTGGGGACAACAGACAGAAAATTTCCCCTTCCCATACTCGCAGTCCAGACATGGCAATAGCCAGTTTCCGAAGTTCTGGGTGTTCTGGGCTCAGAATGGGGAATATCATACGAGGCCTTGGGTGGGTAATGCCCTTATCTTCCCATTTTAAGTGAAAGAACAAGCTGAACCTTCTATGCAAAGTAGGATGATGATCCTTGTCCTCCCAATAAGAAATAAAATAAGTAGCCTCCAGGCATTCCCTTCTGCCAGAGGAGCAATTGTTTTTTAAATAGCCCTTTGGTGCCCAGTCTATTACTAAACCATATGAGTCATTTTTTAATACTGCTCCATGTGAGTTAACACAGTCTTCCCAAATTAAAGTTTTAGATGGGCTCTCAAAATTTTTAGGACATGGTTTTCCTACAGGTTTATATTGAAAGTATGGGCTATCTCCTATTACTCCCCTTTTCATTTGTCTTAAGGGAGAAAGGGAGAGGCTGGAGACCAAGTGTCCCTGTTCTCCTGTGGCTAATCTCTCTGGAAGATAAGCAGCCCAGACTTGAGTTACTAGATGGATACAACCAGGTGCATGTCTGAGGCACAGAGGAGGGTATTTATAACCTATAGTAACATCAAATGCAGTGCCTTCTTCTCCTGGATGAGAGGGCAACAGTCATCTGTAGCTCCAGGCATCCACACACTATCATTAGTGTAGATTTCTGCAGGAGCATCCATCCAGGTGAGAGGTCGAATAAGTGGAGGAAAGGCACATAAGCCCAATAAGAATAATTTTGTGTAGCAGGTAAATCAGTTTGAGGGGAAACTGGTGAGACAGTATAAGGAGGAGAATTATTAAATAAAACCTATTGTGAGCGAGATCCAGTGCTGAAGGAGGAAGAGAAGAACAGGGGGATATTATTTTCAGGCTAATAGAAATGGTGAGATTTTTAGGTTCATAAGGAGAAAAAGAAAGGTAATTAGGGGAAGTGGGATTAGTTAGAGGGGTCTCCATTGCCATTAGGGAGGATTGAACCAGACCCATTTTGATTTGGCGTGCCAGTTTCTGAGGATCTCACCACGTATGAGGGTGGTCTCTGACGTGGACATCTTTTCTCTGTGGTTTTTATTGTCAGCATTCACACGAAGTTTCAGGCTTCTAGTGGGCACCCAGACAGGGGATTGATGATCTCCTGGTGAAACACAAGCATACCCTCTTCCCCACATTATAATTGTTCCAGGTTCCCAGGTGTTGGTTTGGGAGTTTTAAGAGTTATGTGAAATATTAATTTCAGCCCCCCATTGTGCCAGCAAATCTCTACCCAAAGATTAATGGGGATTGGTGTGATATACGGCTGAATTGTACCCTTTTGACCATCAGGGCCAGTGCAAGGCAAGATAAATGTGCTCCGGTGAACTTCATCAGTTTTTCCAATCCCTGCTAGTCCCATGTTAGTGGGATGTTTAAGCCAGGAGGAAGGCCATAAATTAGAGGAAATAATAGAAACATCAGCCCCAGTATCTACTAGACTCTCATACTTTTTTCCTTGAATGTGTATGATGCAGGTGGGCCATTGTTTAGAAATTACATTAATCCAATAAGTGGCTTTTTTTTTTTTTTTTTTTTTTTTGCCACCGGAGCCCATCCCAGGGCCCCATGTCTTATCTCCTTTGTTTAAAACAATATTAGGTAGTAAAAGTAATTGAGCTTACTGGCCAGAATGGAAACAGGAATCTTGGCAGACACCGTAAGTTTAATCTCATCAGAGGAATCAGAATTAATGAGACCAGTATGAACTATGATACCTTTAGCGGAGGTGGATGCCCTACCTAACATCAGGCCCACCGAACCTTGAGGTAAAGGGCCAGTGACCCCCGTGGGGACAATTAAAGGCAAAGAATTAGGTAGTAAATTTAGAGGAATGGTATACAGAGGTCGACCGCCCCGCGCCCTACTGTGGAGGTGGACAAGCATTGTACTGAGACAGAAGAAGAGGCTGGGACCCATCTGGGTTGGCTGTAGGTAAATTTGTTTGTGCTGGGGGCTGCGTTGGGACCCCTTGAAGCGGAAACGCAACACTGGTCTGAGTCTGAGGTGTCCCGTTTGATATTGGGGCCAGGGATTGGCCCTGCTTCCTGTTTCCCTGGTTCTGTGGCAGGGGGTTTCCATCTATATCAGACTTAGAGTGGCCAGTGTTTACCTTTATGCATGTATAATCTAATATGTAAAAATATTCTGCTTTTTTTAGCCGAGTATTTTTTAGCACAAATAGTAGATTATCACATTTTTTTTGTATTTGATTTTTGCGTTTGATACATCTTGGAGATCGTTCTAAGACATAAAGCCTATAAATAATTATGAGTGCTTGTTCTTTCAAATGCCATAGTAAAATGTTTTTCCCTGTGCTGTAGTTGCTTGCTTTTATTTTAATAGGAAAATATTATTAAATATCACATTAAAGTCAAAAATATTCTAAAAGTTGTTAACATAGACCACTAGATGGTGCTGTCATCACAAAGAAATAAAACGTGCATTGTTTTAAAAACAATTTGGCCATCTAAGGAAAAAAATCCAACTACTATAGAATTGTATAAAACAAAAAGTAAC
The DNA here is from genome assembly GCF_000001405.40 of Homo sapiens. NCBI lineage: Eukaryota > Metazoa > Chordata > Mammalia > Primates > Hominidae > Homo > Homo sapiens. The sequence goes on along the minus strand of NC_000004.12, from coordinate 164,748,461 downwards.
AGCTGGGTTTCTAAGTTCTGTGTCCCAAAAATAGTCACTAATAATTGAGATTTTTCTCTTCCCACTTATTTTATCTATACTGTTTGTGTGTGTGTGTGTTTATGCTCTTTTATAAAATGTATCTAATACTGTACATTGCTATTTTGAAACTTGTTTTTCTAGAAACCTAATATATGATGGAGTTCTTTCCATGTCAGTACATACACATTGATTTCATTCTCCAATGAAATTTGGTAAATAAATTATTTTAAATTATCTGAATGTTATAAAATGTGCTATAATTTCTTTCATCTCTAACATTAGGTATTTAGGTTGTATATGGGTTTTTGCTTGTACAAACAATGATGCAGAAACCATCCTTGTACATTTATTATGGTGCACTGGCTATAGACATCTCTGTTGGACATGATTTTCTTTCAGAACTTTAAAGGCATGATCTTCTATTGATTAAAGCTGCAGCATTGCTGTGGAGTAAATATGCCATTTGGATTTCTGATTCCATTCAAATTCTTTGAATTTGATATGTTCACTTTCTATTTACACTCCTCCTCTCCTTCTCCACTTTAATAATTGTTTATTCACTCCTACAGCTCTTAACACTCTTGAGGAAAGTCCCCATTGCCATTCCTTTTTCCCAAACACTGTTTGGACCTCCAGCGAGCCCTTTTCATCTGAAAACTTAGGTCCTTCCAGTTTGGAAAATGTCCTTGTATTGGTTCTTTGATAGCTTCTTCCCTTCTATATTCGATTTCCTCTTTCAAGAACTCCTATTATCCATATGATCTACCTCCTAGAGTCTCTGTTTTCAAAAAACATTTTTTCCCTTTTATTTTTTCTTTGTCTTTTCATTCTATTCCTGCATTTTATCCTCAATTTTATTTGTCAACCCTTCAAATGGCTTCTTATTTCTTCTTAAGTCATGTCCTTAATTTATTAAAGCATTCCCACTTTCTGCCCGGCCGCCCCTACTGGGAAGTGAGGAGCCCCTCTGCCCGGCCAGCCGCCCCATCCGGGAGGGAGGTGGGGGGGTCAGCCCCCCGCCTGGCCAGCCGCCCCGTCTTGGAGGGAGGTGGGGGGGTCAGCCCCCCGCCCGGCCAGCCGCCCCGTCCGGGAGGTGAGGGGCGCCTCTGCCCGGCCGACCCTACTGGGAAGTGAGGAGCCCCTCTGCCCAGCCACCACCCCGTCTGGGAGGTGTGACCAACAGCTCATTGAGAACGGGCCAGGATGACAATGGCGGCTTTGTGGAATAGAAAGGCGGGAAAGGTGGGGAAAAGATTGAGAAATCGGATGGTTGCCGTGTCTGTGTAGAAAGAAGTAGACATGGGAGACTTTTCATTTTGTTCTGTACTAAGAAAACTTCTTCTGCCTTGGGATCCTGTTGATCTGTGACCTTACCCCCAACCCTGTGCTCTCTGAAACATGTGCTGTGACCACTCAGGGTTAAATGGATTAAGGGCGGTGCAAGATGTGCTTTGTTAAACAGATGCTCGTTAAGAGTCATCACCACTCCCTAATCTCAAGTACCCAGGGACACAAACACTGCGGAAGGCCGCAGGGTCCTCTGCCTAGGAAAACCAGAGACCTTTGTTCACTTGTTTATCTGCTGACCTTCCCTCCACTATTGTCCTATGACCCTGCCAAATCCCCCTCTGTGAGAAACACCCAAGAATTATCAATAAAAAATAAATAAATTAAAAAAAAAAAAAAAAGCATTCCCACTTTTCAGCAGGGTCACCAGCTCTCCTGGTTTGCCTGGGACTAAGGGTTTTCCTGGAATATGGGACTCTCAGCTAAAACTGAGATAGTTCTGGGCAAACGGGGATGGTTGGCCACTCTACCCCTGGATATTCTTTGTTGGTAGCAACTTTTCCTTTTTTCTTGCTTGAAATATTGTTTTATCCTCAAGCTTGTTAACTATAGGTTTTTTAACAGTCTTTGTTTTTTCTCAGTATCATGCAATACGTTGACTCTGCTTTCTTTGAGTTCTTTTGATTTACTTAGTCTCTCCTTTCATGCTGGAGACTGTACAAATGTCTTGTGATTTGTAACTGGCTAATCATATTTAAGAGTGCTGACTGGAGGCACTTCAAGAGTAGCAGGGCTCATCAGCTGCTGGGTTTTACTCTAGGGGGATTTGAGAGGAACCTAGGCATAAGATTGTGAGATTACCAAATGTTAATCTAGAGCTCTTTTTTCTTGGACTCATCGATTTCCAGTTTCCCCATAGAGAAAGCCTCCAATTTCTTGCTGGGCAGGCATCATTCTCGGGGGTGGTGGTTGGAGTAAGTGGTAAAAAGGGACTGGAGTGGCCTTTTTCTCAATATGGCACCTCATTCCATCCATTGTACTTGATGTCTCTGGGACTATGAGAGGTAATAATAAATTGTTGCCTTAAACATCTAAGTTTGGGTTGATTTGTTACACAGTATTAGATGCATGCAACAAAAATTGTTATTGAAACTGGGATGCTGCTGTAATAAAGACTTAAAACTTGTGGCATTGGCTTTGGGACTAGGCAGCAGGCAAGGGGCAAAAGGGCCTTGAGGAGACTGTTAGTGACAACCTGCGGGACAGTGAGGAATTACCAGTGGAAGCTGGAGAAAAGCAGAGCCTTGTTATACAATGTTAGAAAGTTTGGTAACAAAGTTGCCAGAAGAAATGTGGAAAGTAGAAATGAACTAATGGGTTTGGCTAAGGAGGGGTCCACATAGAATACTGAAAGTGCCACCTTCTTTCTTTTAGCCTCATATGCTAAAGTAATGGCTAGAGAGAGATGAACTTTTAAAAAGGTGGGGGGAGGGAGAGGGTACTGTTACTGTTAAGTTTTGAACCGTTTCCAGACAGTAAAATTTTCTCAAGAAAAGGCAGGCCAGGCGCAGTGGCTCATGCCCGTAAGCCCAACACTTCAGGAGGCTGAGGTGGGCGGATCACCTGAGGTCAGGAGTTCGAGACCAGCCTAGCTAACATGGTGAAACCCCGTCTTGACTAAAATACAAAAATTATCCAGGCATGGTGGTGGGTGCCTGTAATCCCACCTACTCATAAAACCGAGGCAGGAGAATCGCTTGATCCTGGGAGGTGGAGTTTGCAGTGAGCCGAGATTGCACCACTGCACGCCAGCCTGGGCGACAGAGCAAGACTCCGTCTCAAAAAAGAAAAGAAAAGAAGAAAAAAAAAAAGAAAGGGCTTCTGAGCAAAGATCAAATCTAGGGTAACCAGTAACACTGATGTGATGTCAGGGTGAAAATAGAGTTAAGCATGCATCTGTAACCACCTATTGAGTTTTCAGAAAGACTCAAGGGGGTGCCTTGTAGATCCTCTCAGGTGAACAAAGTCCTAAGGGCATTTCACCCACAGAACTGTGACTCTTGGGCCATAGTAGTGAAGAAGGCCTGTCTTAAAGAGACTGTGTGTGTGGCTTTTGTATAAAGGAGTGAACCCCAGTAAGATTAGTAGGGAACTTGTTAAGTTTTTAAGAGGGTTGTACCATTAGAAGTACAATGTGCTTGGATTGAAAGGACAGAACTAGTTCAGAAAGAAAAAAGTTTTTAGAGTTCCCAAACTTCTCTAGTTAGGAAGCAATTTGGGAAAGCTATGAAACTGTAAAACATTAATCATTTCTTAAAAAGAAAGAAGATTGATTCAAAATGAAGAGCTGAAAGTCCAGAGGGTAGAACCAAGAGCCACAGGAATCACTCCCTTATGAAGAAACTAGTGACATATGCCTGCCAGGACTTAAGAATTGCTATAAATCAGGGACAGCTGTGTGTCTTCTGACCAGTCTCTTTGCCCCCCTATCCCGTTGTTTTTGAGGAAAATTGTTGTGTTTATTATATTTCTGCACTATCATTGCATGTAGTGTGTAGGCACTTAGTTCACAGTTCTTCAGACTGAGAAGAGCCATATTGAAGAGTTACACCCAATGAACTGCACCTGCAGCTGTACCTGGCTCTGATTTAAATGAGTAGATCCTAGACTTTGAGCTGATGCCATGGTGATATATCATCATAGGGGTCTTGGGAATGGTGACAAGCCTATTTTGCTAATGGGAAAAATGTAAATTGTGGTGACCAGAAGGTGAACCTTGGTAGCTAGTATCCAAAGATGTCCACCATCAATTGCTTTCCTCCCTGTGTACATATGCTGTATCTTGTATCAAGAAGTAGGGTCAAATTACCCTCTTCTTGAATCTGGGCTAGACTTAGTGACCTGCTAGACCAATAGAATGTGGAGAGAAGAGATGTTCTGGAACATCGGAAGCTAGGCCATATGATGTCTTACAGCTTTTGCCTGAGTTTCTTAGGACAATCATTCTTGGAATGCTTCCATGTAGAACCTAGTGGTCATCCTATGAAAAACCCAAGCCACATGGGGAGGCCTTGTATGGGTGTTCCAGTTTACAGTCCCAGCTAATACTAGCATCAGCTGCCAACCATGTGAGTCAGCCATCTTGGACATCCATCCCAGATGAGCCTTTGGATGATTCTAGCTCCAGCCATCATTGGACTGCAATCACATGAAAAACTCTAAACAAGAACTACCCAGCTGAGCTCAGTCAAGTCATAAAACCATTAGAGATAATATATATTTTTAAGCCACTACGTTTTGTGGTTGTTTGTTGTGTAGTAATAGAAAACTGGAACACTCATGGAAATCTTGCTAGTTTTAGCATGTCTGTTTATTTTTGTGCCAGCACTAAACTGTTCACCACTGTAGTATTTTAATACATTTTAGGGCGGGTTTCCTATTGTTACTGAGCCAATATACCATATAGGTTTGATGTACAGGCTCTGGAGTCAGATTATGTAGATTTAGATTTTATCTCAACCACTTGTAAATGTATCCTTGTATGTTAACTATTCTGTGCCTCAGTTTTCTCATTTATAGAGTAAGTATGATAGAAATACCTACTTCACATTGTAGTTTAGAGGAATTAATGAAATAATGTAGATAAATGTTAATTAATAGAGTGTCTAGCAATTTATCAGGGCTCAATAAATGTTAGCTATGATTATTACTCTTTCAGATTTTTCTTAGTTCTTAATAAAGACATCTAATCTTATTGAGATTGTTATTTTATTAAAACATCCCCTCTAAGAAGTTAATTAATATTTTTCTATCTCATTACTTGGTAAAATGCCTTTAGAGTGCTTTAATGATTGAAATTATTTAGACTGAATATATGAAATGAAATGTTAGTTTTGATCTACAATTCTGTAGTTTTGTTTTGAGACAGAGTCTTGCTCTGTTGCCAGGCTAGAGTGCAGTGACATGATCGTGGCTCACTGCAGCCTTGACCTCCTGGCCTCAAGCCATCCTCCCACCTCACTCTCCTGAGTAGCTGGGACTACAGGGATGTGCCACCATGTCTGGCTAAATGTTTTGGTATTTCTCATAGAGATGGCATTTTGGCATGTTGCACTGGATGTATCTACAATCCTTTATAGGAAACTTATAGGTCTAGATGTGCTTTATATTCAGATATTTCTGTTTTAGACAGTTTAAATGATATATAACCCTACATTATGTAAAACTCTCAAAGGAGGATTAGGAGAGCACCTGGTTATCAAACACAGTAACAGTTCTACAGTTAACCCTATGATTCCTTAAGAGGAAAAAATAGTAATTTAAAGCAGCCTTACATCAATACAGGTCAAGTTTTATTACCAAGTGAATTCAGATTAAGTCATTTTTGAATGCAAAATAAGTTATGGAAAAACATTCATATTTTAGCACTTTTAAATTTTGGAATTGCAAAAAAGAGATTATGGACGAGCATACTTTCTTTCTGTGTGAGTTCTGGGGATACAGACTAGGAGGTTAATGGTGTGACCATAGTAGCTGAAGTGCAGAAGCAAATGGACTTGCCCAAGAAGGTAGGAAAGGTAACTGGGAAACATCAGCATGAGTTTCTTGCTGGGTTTCTAAGAACATTCATTCTTAGAAACCACATGCTTGTCCTTTTTTCTCAATTTTTTTTTATTCCTTGTGAGGTTTTTTTTTTTTTTTTTTTTTTTTTTTTTTTTTTTTTTTTTTTTTTTTTTTTTTTCTGTAAGAGCAAACTAATAGCTAGGACAAATTCCTGAAGTTCTCTCTTGCAAAACAATATAAATACTGTCCAACTTAGAATCAGAGGTAGTAGGATATAAATCAAATCACTTGAACCTAATATTCATCCCTGAAAGGTCTGAGAGAAACAAAAGAACATAACATGATAAAACCGGGGAAAAATCTGATTAAAAATACTATCTATCAGGGGAACCCACCCCCAATATTTCAATGTAGGTTCTTTCTATTTTCCATAAGTGTCGGCTGGCTGAGAAATAAAGAGAGACAGTATAAAGAGGAATTTTTTTTAAATTATACTTTAAATTTTAGGGTACATGTGTACAACATGCAGGTTTATTACATATGTATACATGTGCCATGTTGGTGTGCTGCACCCATTAACTCATCATTTACATTAGGTATATCTCCTAATGCTATCCCTCCCCCCTCCCCCGACCCCACAACAGGCCCCGGTGTGTGATGTTCCCCTTCCTCTGTCCATGTGTTCTCATTGTTCAATTCCCACCTATGAGTGAGAACATGCAGTGTTTTGTTTTTTGTCCTTGCGATAGTTTGCTGAGAATGATGGTTTCCAGCTTCATCCATGTCCCTATAAAGGACATGAACTCATCACTTTTTATGGCTGCATAGTATTCCATGGTGTATATGTGCCACATTTTCTTAATCCAGTCTATCATTGTTGGACATTTGGGTTGGTTCCAAGTCTTTGCTATTGTGAATAGTGCCGCAATAAACATATGTGTGCATGTGTCTTTATAGCAGCATGATTTATAATCCTTTGGATATATACCCAGTAATGGGATGGCTGGGTCAAATGGTATTTCTAGTTCTAGATCCCTCAGGAATTGCCACGCTGACTTCCACAATGGTTGAACTAGTTTACAGTCCCACCAACAGTGTAAAAGTGTTCCTATTTCTCCACATCCTCTCCAGCACCTGTTGTTTCCTGACTTTTTAATGATTGCCATTCTAACTGGTGTGAGATGGTATCTCATTGTGGTTTTGATTTGCATTTCTCTGATGGCCAGTGATGATGAGCATTTTTTCATGTGTCTTTTGGCTGCATAAATGTCTTATAAAGAGGAATTTTACAGCTGGGCTGCCGGGGGTGACATCACATATTGGTAGGACTGTGATGCCCACCTGAGCCTCAAACCAGCAAGTTTTTTATTAAGGGTTTCAAAAGGGGAGGGGGCGTAAGAACAGGGAGTAGGTACAAATATCACATGCTTCAAAGGGCAAAAAGCAGAACTACTGATAAGGGTCCAACAAAGATCACAAGGCAAAGGGCAAAAGCAGAACTACTGATAAGTGTCTGTGTTCAGCAGTGTACGTATTGTCTTGATAAACAACTTAAACCACAGAAAACAGGGTTCGAGAGCAGAGAATGGGTCTCGCCACAAATTTACCAGGGCAGGATTCTTCCCTACACTAGTAAGCCTGAGGGTACTGCAGGAGATCAGGGTGTATCTCAGTCCTTATCTCAACCGCATAGGACAGACACTCCCAGAATGGCCATTTATAGACCTCCCCCCAGGAATGCATTCCTTTCCCAGGGTATTAATATTAATATTCCTTGCTAGGAAAAGAATTCAGTGACATCTTCCCTACTTGCACGCCCATTTATAGGCTCTCTGCAAGAAGAAAAATATGGCTCTCTTTGCCTGGCCCCGCAGGCAGTCAGACCTTATGGTTGTCTTCCCTTGTTCCCTAAAAATCGCTGTTATTCTGTTCTTTTTCAAGGTGCACTGATTTAATATTGTTCAAACACACATGTTTTACAATCAATTTGTACAGTTAACATAATTATCACAGTGGTCCTGAGGTGATGTACAGCCTCAGTTTACGAAGATAACGGGATTAAGAGATTAAAGTAAGACAGGTGTAAGAAATTATAAAAGTATTATTTGGGAATGGATAAATGTCCATATTAAAATGAAATCTTCACAATTTATGTTCCTCTGCCGCGGGTCCAGCCAGTCCCTCCATTCAGGGTCCCTGACTTCCCAAAACAACTATCCTAAACCTCTTGGGAAAATAAAACACACGGAAAAACTGGCAAAAACGTTAATTTGATAATTTTTAAGTAGAACTAAATGTTAACAAAATATAGTACCATGTAGTATTGGGTAGGAGGAAATAGCATCCAGGAATATTCTTCCTCAAATACCCAGATTTAAAGACAGGGTCCTGGACTTGTGAATACTCTTTGGGCATTATTAAAAGGACAGCTAGAGCCTTCTATTCACATGTGACCCTGTGGCTCTAGGGAGAAGCTGGCAAGTATAATCTGTATTTCTGGATGTGAACGAGGTAAGGGAGGATGAAGAGAAAATAAATGGTCAGAGATGTAGAAATGTGATCTATATGCTTTCAGTGAATCCACAGAGCTAGGAAAAATGTTAAACTTACTTTGCAACAACAAGAGTAATTGTGATTCTTAAACTATTTATCTCAGAATTGATAGAAACTATAGATCCTCTCCTTTTTTTTTTTTTCTTTTGAGGCAGAGTGCAGTGGCGCGATCTCAGCTCACTGCCACCTCCACTTCCCGGGTTCAGGTGATTCTCCTGCCTCAGCCTCCCGAGTAGCTGGGACTACAGGTGCGTGTCACCACACCCAGCTAATTTTTTGTATTTTTAGTATGGATGGGGTTTAACCATGTTAGCCAGGATGGTCTTGATCTCCTGACCTCGTGATCCACCCGCCTCAGCCTCCCAAAGTGCTGGGATGATGGGCATGAGCCACTGTGCCCCACCGATCCTCTCTTCTCTAAGATGCACTGATGCATGTTCACCAAGTTTTGCACAGCATTTTAGATAATTTACATATACATTAACTAATCCACAGACTCTGGGCTCCCGGCTTAAGTAAAATCTGATTCTTATCCAAGCTGGGATAAAAATATTTGCTCTCTCAGCTCCAACTTTAGAATAGAAAAAGGAAAAAGATGTAAAATAAATAAGGAAATGTTTATAGCATTTAGTGATGATGTTTATTGTGGTTTATTTTTAGAATATTAGGATATCCTGGCTGTGTTCAGCTATTGGGAAGGAATTAAGAGAATCATTTTTTGAAATTATTTATTTTTATTAAGTAACAGAAGTAATATGATGTTATAGCTAATTTAAGAGGTTAGACAATTATTTAATGGAATTACTATGCATATTTTGGTACATTTCCCTTTAGTCTTTTTTTTCCCAAGTTAAAAGTAAAAATGTCAAAATATTTAAAAGAATATTGTGACGAATTTCAAATACTCATCACCTCGTGTGGCAATATTATTTTTCAAAGACGGCTGGGGTTGGGCGCCGTGGCTCACACCTGTAATCCCAGCACTTTGGGAGGCTGAGGCGGGTGGATCACTCCAGGTCAGGAGTTCGAGACCAGCCTGGCCAACATGGTGAAACCCCGTCTCTACTAACAATACAAAAATTAGCTGGGTGTGGTGGCTGTGCGCCTGTGATTCCAGCTACTTGAGATGCTGAGGCAGGAGAATCGCTTGAATACGGGAGGCGGAGGTTGCAGTGTGCTGAGATCGTGCTACTGCACTCCAGCTTGGATGACAAAGGGAGACTCTGTATCACAACAAAACAAACAAAGATGGCTGGAACAGTAACTTTCGCCTCACACGCTATTCTTTCAATGCGACCTTGCCACGCCCTCATCAAAAGGTGGATCCCTCCACTTGACCTGGGTGGACTTTTGTGTCTGGAGTAAAACTGAAGTGATGCTACATAACTTCAAAAAATAGCTTAAAAATAACACATAATTTCTGCTGGTTTATTTTGGAACACTTACTCTGGGATCCTTTAGTTACAATATAAGAAGTTTGTTTTCCCTGAGGCGACAAAGTGGAGAAACCATTTGGGGGTGAGGGGGAGAGAGAAGGCAGGAGAAGAGGAGGAGGGAAGGGACACACTTGAAGAGTTTCAGCTCTTGCAGCTCCTATTTGTTTGAGTGAAGAAGGACCCAGTTCCAGTACTGTCTCCAGTACTGCAGGAGAGACCCTGAGAGAGACCTGCCTAACTGATTTGAGTCAACTTCCAAATTATTGAGCAAAATAAGGATCATTACTGTCTTAAGACCCTGTTTCTGGATAGTTTGTTAAAAAGCAATAGAAAACTGGAATACCTAAATTGAACAACTACTAACAGATTTCCTTAACTGTTCATCTAATTTTTTTCTTTGCAGGAGAATTTTAAAACAAATCTCAGATAACATGATATTTCGCTTCTAGTTCATTTTACATTTCTAAAAATTAATAACTTTTTTTGTAACATAGAATGTAAAATACATTTACATAATATAGTAGCCAGTTCATATTCAAAATTCATTTATTGCTCTCCAAATATATTATTTACATTTATTTTGTTTAAATTAGATTTCAAACAGGGTCCACACCTTATATATAATTATTATGTCTCTTACATCTTTTTTTGTATTGAATAACTTCAATTTTTTAAAACGCCACTGTTTTGTAGATAAGAATATCATATTTATATTTCTTAAATGCTTTGAACTATAGTGTCCACAAATTTATGCCAAGCACTTTAGCAACATTTCTATAGTGCTATAGCTCCATAACTCTATCTGTTAATAAATACAGTATATATCATTGGGTTGCTACATGTGGGTTTGCTCACTCATTCCCCTAGTGTTGAATATTTTAAGAACCAATTACCTGTTCCCATTCCTTTGCTATTTTATTCACTACCATCAAATTCATAAATAAATCTTTTTACTTGACTCCAAATTATTTCCTTAAGACAAACTTCCAGAGATAAAAATTTTTAGTCAAAACTTGTTTAGTATTTTTTGGACTTGCCAAAGAGAAATTGCAACAGACATTTTTTAAAAATGGCAAGATAGGTTTTATTCTGTCAAGTTACTGCAGTACAGGAGAGAGACTTCAGTACAAAACTGTATTCTAAATACAGCCAAGACACCCTGGGATTGATGGCCACTAGGCAGGGTGGGATCAGTGAGTGAAAAATTACTGAGGAACTTGATTAGATATCAACAGCTGGGGAAAATGAGGAACTTGATCAATGATAGAGGAATTCTTGCTAAACTGGCTTCTTAGGACTCTTGCTAAAACTGGACTCAGTTGGCCAAGGATGAGGCCTGGTCAAGAAGAGTGCTTAGAGGAGCCTGACTAGTATCCAGTTAAGGAGGAAGTCCTTGTCAGACTCTAGGTACATGTTACCAAATTCCTTTGTAAAACCAGGATACTAGTAATATAGAGAGGAACACTTCACCAACATCACATCATGAAATTTCAAGAATAATCTATTAGATAAAAATGATACCAGCCGGCTGCGGTGGCTCACGCCTGTAATCCCAGCACTTTGGGAGGCTGAGGCAGGTGGATCACGAGGTCAGGAGATCGAGACCATACTGGTCAACATGGTGAAACCTCGTTTCTACTAAAATACAAAAAATTAGCTGGGCATGGTGGTGCATGCCTGTAGTCCCAGCTACTCGAGAGGCTAAGGCAGGGGAATTGCTTGAACCCAGGAGGTGGAGGTTGCAGTGAGCCGAGATCATGCCACTGCACTCCAGCCTGGTGACAGGGCAAGACTCTGTCTCAAAAAAAAAAAAAAAAAAAGGTACCATTGAAAGTACTGAATATTTGCTACAACATGAACAAACCTTGAAAATGTTGCTAAATGAAATAAGCCAGTCACAAAAACCATCTACTGTGTGATTCTTTCTATATGAAATGACCAGAAAAGACAAATCTGCAGAGGTAGAAAACATATTAGTGGTGGCCTATGGCAGGGCGGTTTGTGGGGAAATATGGGGTTTATTTTTGGGGTGATGAAAATATTCTAAAATTGTGGTAATAGTTGTACAATTTTGTGAATATATTAAAATCCATTCAATTATATACTTTAAATGACACATTGTATGACATGTGAATTAGATCTCAGTAAAGCAATTATATTAAACACAGTACCATGTTCTTGAGTGTTTTTGAATTTTATTAATAATATTTAAAACATTTCTATATATTTGCTTGCTAGCTATAGTTTCTCTTTTAAAAGTTTAAATTAATTTAAACAACATATTTTAAAAAGTTTTTTTGTTTAAAACATTACGTGTATTTTTTAACCAATGAAAATAGTAGGCAAAAGAATAATATATTTTCCCAGAAAACATATGTTGTTGAAGAATAAAGCACTCATTTCAATCCTTGGGAAAACTGAGCAAATTATTATGATGCAATATTGAAGCAGTTTTGCATGAAAAAATACAACAGATTAAAGAGGCGACATCTAATATGCCAGAACAATAGAAATTACAACCAAATACAGAATACTGTAACTTAGAGATGATCTATTCACTGCCATATCCATTCAAATTTCTTTTTTTTTTCTTGTTTTTGAGATGAAGTTGCCCAGGCTGGAGTGCATTGGCACAATTTCAGCTCACCGCAACCTCTGCCTCCCAGGTTCAAGCGATTCTCCTGCCTCAGCCTCCCAAGTAGCTGGGATTACAGGTGTGAGCCACTAAAGCCGGCTAATTTTTTTTTTGTTTTTAGTAGAGACAGAGTTTCACCATGTTGGTCAGGCAGGTCACACCTAGCCAATGGGTAGCTTTTTAAAAGGGGTCTGTTATGCGTTTATTGAGTTTCGGATTTTGTAGATGCACATGTTCAGAAATATCAGTGAATGAAAATCACAGGCTGGGTGCAGTGGCTCACGCCAGTAATTCCAGCATTTTGGGAGTCCGAGGAGGGTGAATTACCCGAGGTCAGGAGTTCAGGACCAGCCTAGCCAACATGGTGAAACCCATCTTTACCAAAAAATACAAAAAAAAAAAAAAAAAAAAAAAAAAAAATTAGCCAAGGGTGGTGGCGTGTGCCTGTAATCCTAGCTACTTGGGAGGCTGAGAGAGGAGAATTGCTTGAACCCAGGAAGCAGAGATTGCAGTGAGCCGAGATCGCACCATTGCACTCCAGCCTGGGTGACAAGAGTGAAACTCTGTCTCAAAAAAAAAAAAATTACAAACAGAAACTGAGACTCATGAAGGGAGTGGTCTCATGGTGTAGAAGCTTAGTCTCAGGGCTCTGGTGGGTGCCTTAAGGAAACTAAAACAAAAGTATTTCTTTTACCTGCTTTGCAGGCTTATCAAATGGTGCCATATGAGGACTCTGGGAATGACGTTTATCCAGTAATCAGATAATCAGATATTTAACTGCTCTTTGAGATACCGTTTGGAAATTGGTAACAACTCAATCTCCTGCTTTGTTAGACTCAAGCCCCAGGTGACAACCCATCTCAAGCAAATCTCTTTCAGTCCTTCTAGGATATTTTAAACTTCATTTAATTCAGAGCAATCAGAAAAAGTAGAGAATGTATACTTGCCAACACAGGAATGAGACATTTCAGCAGCGGTTTATCTAGGAAAATTTACTATTTGCCATTAGTGTTAGAATTAAAATCCCAAGAGAGATTTGCCATTCTCAGCCTAGAATTCCCTCCCCAACCAAGTTCTGAGCAGCTGCTATGCAGGCAGATTCTCAACAGCCTCCGAGACTTCTCACCGCGGTACACATCCTGAATAATCCCTGGGACTGAGAATAGGATGGATTTTATTCTCGTGATTAGATGATGAAAATCAAGTGGGCTGGCCTGACCTAATCACATGAGCACTTTAAAGACACTTTCCTCCAGCTTGTCACAGTAAGGAAGTTAGAAACCGGAAGTGTGAGGAGGATGTGAGACATCATTGCTGGCTTAAAGATGGAGGGAATCATGTGGCACAGAACTGAGGGTGACCTCTAGGAGCCGAGTGACCCCCGGCTGAAAGCCAGCAAGGAAATGGGAACCTCAATCCTACAACTGCAAGGAACTGAACTCTGTCAACACCAGGAATCAATCTGGAATTGGATTTTCTCCCAGAGCCCCCAAATGAGAACTCAGTCCAGCTGATACCTTATTTCTGCCTTGGGATACCCTGAGTAGAGAACCCAGTCATGTTGTCCTAAAATTCTAACACATTAACGTGAGCCACTAAATCAGTTTTATTTTAAGCCTCCATGCTTCTAGTAATTTTTACCCAGCAATAGAAAACTAATGCAAATGTGTAGCCATTTTTACCTTATTAAAAGTATCTGTCACTAAGAAAAACGTTTCAGCAGTTTGACTCTCAGGCCACCTAACACATTTCCCCTCAGGAAGCAGGAATAAATTGAGGAGAGATACCGCCTCCAGCTGTGAATAACCAGGCCACGTAGCAGAACCTCACGCCAGGCATAAAATCGCACAGAGCTTCCAATGTCAAAAAGCAGGTTTTAGACACCTTGCAGGCAGTCCTGCCCTCATTAGTGACTTAAATGATTATACACTTAGCACATGCATGTTTTCAGATTCCGTGTTTTAGGTGTAATTCAACATCAGGGATGGCTTGGCAGTTTGATTTCTATCCTGAAAATATAAATATTGTTTTTTTTGGATAAATTTCCAGTGGGTCTGCATTTTTCGATTAGATGTTATCAGGCATGTATTTAAGATTTAAAGAATGCTTGAAAGTTGTGACTAGGTAATATATTCTGGAAAATCTCTGAAAAAGAAAAAAATTATGTGAAAGTGACTTTTTTTTTAAAACCAAAACAGCTATATTAACATAAGCTGTTGGTGTTTTTGAGGTTGCCACCAAAAGCCTAGCCTCACATTAACAGATTTTTAATAATTTACTTAGATACTTTCTCAAATTGGATAATGAAGGACCTCTTGTTTACTAATGAATGTCTAAGTTTGAGACATTATTTTTTAGGCAGATATACTCCAGGTATTCAATGTTGCTCTTATTGTTAGGGAGAGAGACAAATACAAACATATTCTAAGTTTTTCTTGTTGTGATATCTCATTTGATCATTGAAAAATATTTCTTCTTCTTTGACATTTATTTGCTATGATTCATTTATTCTCTTTTATTAATTACCTAAAAAATTTTACCTGGGACAATACTAGTGTGTAGAAGCGTGGGATTTGGAGTCTGGGGGAAGCTGCTAGCCTATTCATTTATTCTCTTCCTTTTTCTTCTTCCTACTTTTTAATTGTACACATTGCAGCATACAATAAAAGACAGTTCTAGCCACCCCTGCAACTGGGTATAGCCATATATCTGTACTTTAGCCAACAATATGACAGTGGATGTACTGCTTGCAACTCAGGAGAAGACATTGAAATGGTTGTAGACTTGGTGTTGGAGGGTGTTCTTTTTGTGCCTCTTTCCTTTCCTCCTCCTTAGGACTGAACAGGGGAGGTGAAGGTTGGAGCTCCATACCTTTCAGGAGCCCTTAGACTTGAAGTCTTAAATGTGGATAGTGCGATAGAAAGATAGGAGGCTGGTTCCTAACAACACCACAGATCTTCCAGAACAGCCATAGATTATCCATCACTGGATTTCTCTCAGAGAGAAACAAATTTTGATCCTTTAGAAAAGACTCATATTTTCGTTTATTAGATGGGCCTGCACCTCATCGTACTAATCACAGAATAGAACAGATCTGGGCTTTAGCCTGAGAAAGGAGCAACCTACCTTCTTCCTACTTTACCCGCAGAACTCCTCCTCATCCTTCCTATCTGAACTCAGGTGTCATCTCTAGCAAGAAGCCATCCCTGGTTTCCTCAGTCTGGGTCAAGTGCTTCCAAAGTACCTTATACACATCAATAAACATGATGTGCTGGGATTTTTAATTTACTATCACTTTTTAGATGACAAATTTTTTGAGGACTATCTATATAGTAGATACACATATACATATTTATATATATTTTTTATTGCTTTAATTAACAGGACTCAAAGATTTATTGATTTCCAGCTTTGTCACTTACTATTACATGAATTTGAATAACCTCTTTGAATTTCAGTTTCTTTTTAAGTGAAACGGGAAGTTAATATCTAATAGATATAACAAATTATATTTTTAAAAACTTATATGAAGTCCATTGCTTTGTACTTGGTGGACAAGTAATAGTTATTAGTGCCTATTATTCCCTCTAACATGTAGACAAGTGAGGATTCATATATATGTATTTATTAAAGTTAATTGAAATTCAAATTGAAATATAATTTTAAAAACTTCGTTTCCTGGCAACCAATTACAGACACAGTCGAGTACAAAGAAAACTCCAGAAATACTATAATAAAAGTCCACTTCTAATTGCATTGTTGTCTAAGTTAAGAGAATTGTGGTCAACATCTGCCATACCTGGGAGCTTCTTACATTTATAAAGAGCCACAGAATTCATCTACATCAAATTAGTGCTGAGAATATCCCCCTCTAAAAACACATCGCCTCCATTCGTCTGTGAGGTGCATTGACAGAACATCCTCGCAAGGGGGCACCATTGCAATTCCAATTCCTAGCACCTGGGTGACAGCACAGAACTTTATTTGCAGTGTTAGTTATTTTTAATCTTTTAGTAAGCTGCACTAGCTCCCAGCCTCTGAAGGGAAGACTTTTTAGGAAAATAATCAAAATACTAGATGTAAAGTCAGTATTAAGAGATAACAAGGGGAAGCTAAAAAAGTGACCATTTGAAAGAATGGTTCAATGTAAAAACAACTTTCTTGGTAATATTTTCTTATCAAACACCCATAAAAAGCCTCTGTTTTAGTTCAACAATAAAAGTAGTATTAATAAACCAAAGGGAAGCTGACAAAAGGTTGGCTTGAACACAAAGTAGATTCAACATATGTCATTTGTTATCTCCAGAAAATGAAATGACAATCAAAATATGAAAAATGTCATATGCTTTTATAAAGTACTTTACATATTAGCTCCCACAGTTCTAAGAGGTAGATTATTCAGCTATTATTTAACCCCTATTTTATGGAAAGGTTAATTAGTTTATCCAAGAACTGATAGCAAGTTCGCAGCAGAATTATAGTCTTGAACCCAAGTAGAGTAAGTTGTTTGTTCGTATCTATTAAACAAAGCTATTTGGTGCTTCCTCCTTATGCAAGATGTGCTTCATTCTTAAACTCAAGGAGGCTTTTAAAATTTATTTTTCCAGAATGGTAGGATAGTTTATTTTAGGATTCTAGAAGAAGGTGTTATTATTATTTAAGTATCTAAGAATCAAGTTTGGGAGTAGGCAATGAAGACTGATCTAAGGGGTTTTAGAATTCTGTAAACTGGTCTGTGCCACATAGAGAGGTGACATTTCTTACAGGTTCACAAGTCCTATAGTTACTAAAATAAGCATGACCTAATTTTAGCTCACTGTTACTGCTTCCTTATTTACCCCAGCAAGCAAAAGTTTAACGTGCATTCATCATTGATATAATCAGAAAAACATCAATATATATAATTTTATTATGAATAAACTACCAGCTTAAACAAGGATGTAAAAATGGTTGGCAATGGCATCAAGGAAAATGCTGAATGAAGAACAGAACTTGACCTCAAGACCACTGTATTCTTCTGAGAGAGAACCATCTGCTGCTGAGGTTCTGGGCAATGAAACTCAAAGCTGAATATCACGACAGTAACTCAAACAACTCTTGAAACTATGTCAGAGGTCACAATGTCGAACGCCTTTAGAAGCTAGACTGGCAACACAACAAAGATGTTAGATAAGTATAAGAATTTTTTTTTCTAGTCTTGGTAGTTTTAATTTTCCCACTTTTGATAGATGTGATAGAGAAAGATTTCATTTTTCTTAGCTCTCCTCTAAGAATAACCACACAAACAGGATGGCAATGGTACCTGGAACCCTTGGCATGGGGAAAACAACATGAAATGAAGCTTCTATGGTGACTGAGGGGACATTTCCATGTAAGGGGACATTTCCATGTAAGGGGACAGCCACTTCTCAGCTCTCGCTCTTCGCTAGCTTGAGGGAAGGTAGGTATAACTTTACTAGATCTTCAGCTTTTTAAAGAGAAGCTGAAAATCTGGATTTTTATGTGAAGACTTCTTGCTTGTTAAAGTTTTCAAGTGACACAAAAATTTAAATATGTTGTGCTGGCTAGACAAGCCTGTGACCTAGCAGTCTGCAACCATGGAACTATGCCTTAATTTCTGGTTGCCACCTCTCTCCTAAGCTCCTGACCTGAGTAATCAATTAGCTAATAGACATCTCTATTGGGTTCAAAGTTCTCATAAGTTCAACACATATCTAAAGCCAAACCAACATTCTTTCCTGTAGAACCCACGCTTTTTCTGCTACGAATGCCTTTAATCAACAGCTCCAACATCCACTCTGCTGTTCCAGCTCCAAACTGGTGGTTGCTCTACACTTCTCTCTCTGCCTTGCCACCCACACTTAATTAAGAACCACAGTTTATCAATTTTTCTCCTAAAACATTTATTCTACATATACTTAAGACCTGTCATGTCTCAGGTAGTATTCTAGGTACTAAGGAAATACACAGATTCCATGATCTTTGTGCCCAGGGTTGTCATTCATGACTGGGAAAAAAGAAGGAATTTTCTCCATGACCAACATTTCCATCGTTATCAGTGATTTTCTTTCTTACTTCCTTAGTAATGTCGGAAAATGCAACAGTGAGTGAGTCTTCTGGGTTTTATTTTGGTTTTAGAAATATAGTTTCCTAATTACAAAGATTCGATGAACATATTGTTCAGGTTTTATAAAATGGCCTCAACTTGCCAAAGGTTACTGGTTGGCTAATTGAATAAATAAAATATTAAGTCTTTGAGTGTCATCTGGGTGGAGAAGCCTCAAGACATTATTGTGATACAGCCACTGGTATTTGGTTTATTCCTAGAACATGCACCAAACTTCTTGACTTCCATCTCTTTTTCAGCTCTATAATCCATATGTAAATTCTATGCCTCACCTTGTAACTCATCATCTCTTTCTTTTTATTTCTAATGTGAGCTTCTTCTTTTTTTCTTTTTTTTTTTTTTTGAGTCTGAGTTTTGCTCTTGTTATCCATGCTGGAGTGCAATGGCACAATCTCTGCTCACTGCAACCTCCACATTCCAGGTTCAAGTGATTCTCCTGCCTTAGCCTCCCAAGTAGCTGGGATTACAGGCATGCGCCACGATGCCTGGCTAATTTTTTGTATTTAGTAGAGACAGGATTTCACCATGTTGATCAGGCTGGTCTCGAACTCCTGACCTCAGATGATCCACCTGCCTTGGCTTTCAAAGTGCTTGTATTATAGGCATGAGCCACCGTGCCCAGCCTAACGTGAGATTTTTAAGCAATTTGTTTGCTATGCCTAGTATTGGAAAGACAGAGACAGGTGCTGGGAGGATCAGGATGATCATGAGCATTTAAAGTAGAGAGAGAGATAGACAGGGAAAAGGGATGCAAAGTGTTAAAAGGTATGGAGAAAGGAGGAAAGGTGATTAGATGCATTGGAGGAGAATGAAGCCTGTGAATTCAGCCTGGTCCCTAAAAGATCTATAGGATTTCAACAGATGATAAAGAAGACAAAGAGAATGTAGTCGGATGGGATATTCAGAGCAAAAGTTGAAAGATGTGAAGGTACATTCTGCATTCAGGAGATAGTGTCCCCTGGAGAGGCTCCCACAAGGCATAGTGAGGGCAGTGGGAGGAGTGAGGCAATGGGGGAATCTAGGCTCTAGGCTCGGGAGGGCTGAGATCATGTTACTCAGAGGCTTTAGAAGGAGGCCTTAACAAGGAGCGAGAACAGTAGGCACAAGTTTGGGGTTCCTGAGTAGAAAACGTCAAGCGGTTCAAAGCAGCTTTTTCATGTCTGTAAGACCAAAGCCTCCAACACCTTGCCTGGAACTGTGGTTCTTAGATGTGCAGTTTTTCTTTCTGAGCTACAGCACTGCGCCAAGTGTGAATCCAGGTAGAAAAACAGAAATACCACTCTGCTGTCTTGAATTACAGGACAATTTTCACACATGCTCTATGGGGAGTATCCCATTGGTCAGACTGGCTGAAGGACTAAGCAGAGAAAGAAGGGAAAAAAAGTTAATTTGTTGTTAGAGGATTCTAGAAGCATAGGCTTTGGCAGGTTTTAAAAGGAAAATTTACAGCTTTAATAAAACTGATAAAGCCATCCTAACTTTTATGTGGTGAATATGATTTGATATTCACTGAAGATAAATTAGACATGGTGAGTTTCCCCAGGGCTCCTGCTGGAGACTAAAATGGTATTGTCTGAAATGAACTCAAAGAATCATCTTTGGAGTTAGATGCGGGCAAATTTGAAGAGATAAGGACCAGGCTAAGAGTTCAAGCATGACGTGAACAAATATGAAATAGAATTTAAGTCAAACGGTGTTCAGTGTTTTTTAGGTATCATTGTGCATACAAAAATCCAGAGGAAAGCAGGAGCAGGCTCAGAGGGGCCTTAGCTGGCTTACTTCCAGAATCACAGGCTCCATTGAGTCCCATGATGTCTGACCCCTATTCTTATTGGGCCATACGTTCGTTTAGTTAAAACAGGATATAGAACCATGTGCAATTGCATCTTATTTATCTCTCCAGATCCAGCAAGAAGATAATTTGCACATAATGACAGATTGGCTCAGGTATCTAGCCCCAAATAGAGGGTCTGGTTGTGATCCATCATCATGACATTTCAGCTTTAACAAATATGGCTGCTCACAGAGGACACAATACATGAGTGAAAGTGGAGGGACAGAATTTTTTGGAGCCATCCATCAATAAGAAAAAGGATGGAGGGTTTTTATGGAATACGACCTTCATCAGTTAGCAGTGGCATGAGTTTTACCTCAAACCCTATTAAAATCCTTTTTTAAAAAACAATTAAGCTATTTTATTGAATATATCATAGTTGTCATAAAGTTCATACATTTCACTTTTTGATACCCTAATGTATTTCCATGAACCTTTAAGTCTACAATTTTATAGATATAGTTTTCCATCCAATAAGCCAGAGGTAGATAATTTTTTTTACATGTAACTAATTAAAGGCTTTACAAGAGGTTAGGCTGTAAAAAGTTACAGTTTTGCCATAACACCACCGAAAGACACTTAATTAGGAAAGAGTTTTTTTCTACATTATTTCTTAGTCTTATAAAATGGTAAATTTTAACCAAATTGATACCTTTGTACTCTTATTTGTTTCCTATACTCTTAAATCATACTGCTTGGCAAGCGATATAAGTATTGATATAATTTTTAAATTCAATTAGTTGTAAACAAACTCTGATTTGTTAATAAGTGCATGTATTTCCCTTTAACCACCTACTATACTACCTCAGAATTAATCCTCCTATAAAAACCCTCCCACATAGAAAAAATAATGCAGAGCTTCATCTCTTCCTCAGAGATTTTCATATATTATAGGAATACAAATCCATAAAAAAGGATTAAAAATTGACATTTCATCTTGCCTTACTAATTATGAGATAATAGAGATGTGACAAAAACAAATGTTCCTTAATGT
The DNA here is from genome assembly GCF_000001405.40 of Homo sapiens. Classification (NCBI taxonomy): domain Eukaryota; kingdom Metazoa; phylum Chordata; class Mammalia; order Primates; family Hominidae; genus Homo; species Homo sapiens. The sequence goes on along the minus strand of NC_000004.12, from coordinate 164,727,011 downwards.
TTTTCTGCCTAACATAATATTATACTAAGAAATACTGCAATTATGTTGGTGAGCTATTTTCCAGCTTCTCCAAGTATAGGACACAACTATGGTTCTATCAGCGAGGAGAAATGAATAATCTATCTTACATAACTCAAAAGAACGATGGGAGGCACAAAAAGGTGAACTGACTTTGGCTTTTAAGAACCTGATGTTGATCCTGAAATGCCAGATTCAACAACACAACAAAACAAAAGATTACAGCAGCAAGATACCACTTTGCCACACATTATTAAGAATTCTGAAATAAGCAATAGCTCAGTCACTCAATCTGTTGTATCTTCTGTTTGTTTTTCTTGCCTTTTGGTTGCAGGCAATTCAAGGTGTGCCTATTGCATAGGACCAGCTATTCTTACTGTGCTCTCTGTCTGCATTGCAGTCATAGCTACCTAACTTCACTTTTCAACAATCACAATCCATAATTTTGCATTTTGATGAAATTTCTTCTCTTCTTCAAATACAATGCGTTGGTTTTGTTGTTGATGTTGTTGTTGAGACAGAGTCTTGCTCTGTTGCCCAGGCTGGAGTACAGTGGTGCAACCTCGGTTACTGCAACCTCTGCTTCCCAGGTTCAAGTGATTCTCATGCCTCAGACTCCCAATCAGCTGGGATTACAGGCATGTACCACTACACCTGGCTAACTTTTGTATTTTAGTAGAGACGGGTTTCGTCATGTCGGCCAGGCTGGACTTGAACTCCTAGGCTCAAGTGATCCACTGGCCTTGGCCTCCCAAAGTGCTGGGATCATAGGCATGAGCCACCATGCAATGAGCCACATTCAAATGCAGTGTACGCATTTAATAATGTACTATTTGCTTCTACTCAACTAAGTTCTGGAAGTGAGTTTTTAGCATCTATGGAAATTGTGACCTCTTGCCTGATGCCAGGCATGTCTACATGGAATAACTTTGTTCCCAGCATTTTTTTTCCATGGTCTACGTGTGTTTCCTTTTTGCACAGCCCTCTTGGGCTAAGAACATACTAAAATCAGAAGTTTCTTTTATTTTCAATAGTTTCAGAGTTTCATCTCCTCCTGGAAAAGAGGTGCTCCAGAATGATAGACACAGGCTTTCTCTAGATTCTATGCACCCTGAGGTGTCTTTGAACACCCTCCATTTTCACATGAGGTCCCAATCTTGATTTCTTCACTGTCTCTTTCTTATCTTATTCATTCCCTTACGACAGTTTATCAAATGCTTGTTTTAGGCAGGCAGATACTTTTTAGTTCCAAATTTGTCATTGGTTTACCTGGACTTGGCCTTTTTATTGATTCTGCTGGGTTAGAGGCTTGAATGATGTGCTCCTGAAATTTGGGTTTTGATTCAAATAGTTCTTTCTTCTCTGTAGCCTTGACTTCAGGTTTGACTGGCTCAGGTGACGTCTCACTATTCTGTTTAGTGAATAGTGTTGTCCAGCCTGTTGTCCAGCCTGCAATGCATACATCTCACTATTCTGTTTAGTGAATAGTGTTGTCCAGCCTGTTGTCCAGCCTGCAATGCATAAGGAATCAGAAACATCAGTTGTGCTTCTCTTACAGTTAGACCAACCCTCTAATGCATCACAAAGACTGGAATACTTAGGTGGGATGAACAAACGTCATTGGAATTGGCCTCTAGATTGAAGCACTGACTGCAGCCCGGTTACTGCTAGGCAATGACATTTTCTTTTCCCACCATTACAGGCAAGGTCCAAACACCAGGAACCACAAGACACTGTGTTTACCACTTCCTGTAGCAAGCAGAGGTCTGACGGCTGAGGTGACTGCTGACTTCTGGAAATGGCTCCTAATTCTTTTACATTGTATTTTTTCCTTTTAGAGTGAATATCCAAAGATCATATATTTTTGTTACTTGGGAGCTACATGGAGACTCTCAAATCAGTTGTAATCTAAGTTTGCGGCTCTTTTACCAAGATTGCTAAATCCTCCTTGAAAGATAAATCAGAGAAAGGGAACTTAATTTTGATTGGTTGATTATGAAGTCAAACGGAGTCTCATTTTTTTGTATGGGATTCTTTGGATTTTTATAAGGGGTTGGATTATCATTCAATCAAATTTGGAGAGAGACCATGCAAGGAGCATTAGTTGTGGTGTACCCCAATTTTATTTTCAGACAGTCAAGATGGAAATATTACAAAAGCTTACTCTTTAAGAGAAAGTGAAGGGATTTAAGAATTAGGCCATCTGTAAAATGTTTCTAAATAAATATACACTTATTAAGAATTAAGCCTTTATGGTTCAAAATTAGAAAATAGATGCATCAACAACATAAGAGAGAAGAAAGTGACTGGTGAAAGAACTTAAAATAGGCTATTTACTCTAGCTGGCACCATGATTGCCAAGTTAGTTGAGCCTGTGGATATGTAATTACTTGGGTCTCTAATACTCAACATCCCAATCTAGGTTCAATCACCCAAGTCTTTAGCTTGAGTTGCTCAGATAATCCATGAACCCTCTAGGATTCTTTCCACAGAGTTAGAGGAGACAGAGTCCAGTTGGAATCCAGTACTAGTGGGAGTTGTCCCCCTAGGTTAAAGAGCTACTGAGAGGCGTTCTAGTTACAGTACTCATTAGTGTGCATAGGAGAATACTGTGCCACAGCGTGTTGGGGATGCTCACTACGCTTCTTCAAGACACTGCATGCTGATTGGTTAGTTGTTCTCCCCATAGCTCTGGGAAGAAATTAAATGCAGTCTCTCATTTTGCTAAGTAAAAAAAGAGGCAGAGACAGTAAGAAACTTACTTCATGCCATAAATGAAGACCACATTAACATGAGCGCTGTGACTTTTTCTGACTTTAGACAAATGTTTTAAAAAAAAACACCTAAAACGATTTGTTCTAATAGAAACTTAATTTGAACTAACTTGAATTAAATGGGAAGGACACTAGGATCTCCTGGGACTCTAAGAGCAGGGGCTCTTCATAGTCTCCAGAGGGCAATCAGGAACTAGAGTGCTGTGGAGATGCAGGAAGTCCCCTCAGTGAATCTGTTTTACTCTTCTTTTCTTACTGCAGATCACTTTTCTGTATTTCCCAGTTCAAATGGTAGTTTTGAACATATTAATGAAGGCCTAAGAGTAAAATGCAAGGAATGGGTTGGAGAAAGCCAGTATAAAATCCAGAAAGGTGAGGGAGGGTTCTGGAGGTGAGTGGACAGAGAAACCATGATGGAAGAGGTTGGTGTAAATTCGTAATGGAAACCTAAAAGTAAACAGCAACAAGTAGAAAAGCCAGGAATGACTAAAGGAAGGTGATGGCTTGGCTATATTTCGGCACCAACATGTATGTGAATCTATTTTACTTTTATTGTTTAATGCATTGGGGTGTGTCCACTCTTGCTGGAAAAGTTTGAGGGGGATATTGTGTCTTCATGAAATAATAAGACTTTATGGTAAGGAAGCAGAATGATTGATCTTTGGAGGAGTGTTGTTCATAATTCTGTAATGGAAGGATTAGCAAAGAGGCAGGGTGGTGTTTGCATAAGAAGGCGAATGAACAAAAGAGACATCTATTGATGACTGAACTTTCTTTCCCATCAATCTCTTTCTTTCTTTTTTCTTTCGTTTGGCTGAATTTTATTATTAGAAGTGAGAAAATGACAATTAGAATTTTATTTCTACAATTGATCATTAATAATGAGAGCCCTAAAGAGTTTGGAAATTTTCAACTTTAATAGAATTTCCTGTGTTCAACAGAAGAACCTTTCCATTTGGCCACATTATTTTTTAATTTCAATGGATTCTTTCATCCAGAGACATTGTTGAGTAGTCCATATTGTATTGTATGATACTGTGCTAGACAGCACAAGGTTAGGCACTGCTCAGTGTCCACACTGTTCTAAGCGCTTCATCCATATTAACTCACATATCCATATGTGCATCCAGTGACACAGACACTGTTATTTTCTTATTTTTCTGGTGAGGAAACTGAGGCACAGAGAATTAAACAACTAGCCCTGGGTCACACAGGTAGGAAGTAGAATATGGTGACAGCATGCAGACTCCACAGCTTTTCCCTTAACTCAGCTATCTTCTCAAGAGGCTACAAATAAAAATGTCTACAACAAATGGCAACTTATGGTGTGCACTAAGAGGAGTTTTCCAGAAGCAGAGAAGGCATGACTGATTCCCAGCTGTTTGATCTGTCTCTCAAAAAAGGTTTAATGACGGAGGACTGTGAATGTTGAACTTAACTGGTAGGCAACGGGGACCCATTAGAGGATTAGAGATTTTGGAGAAGGACAATTACCATGGTGATGCTTTAGTTGGGAAGATCATTTGGCAACTCCTGTGAAGAATGGTTTGGTGTGGGAGAATACGGTGATGAGAATTAGGGTCTTAGGATCAGGATAGGAGGCCAGCTAGGAGCAATCTTGCAATTGGCCTAGGTGGGAAGTGATTTGTGTTTGATAACATGATTTTGGGAGACATGGAGAATATTTAAAAAGATATACCTTAATAGCTTCCTCTTTTCTCAGCTTTCCTTCTTTACAACAAGCACACTTACTTTTTCTGGTTCCTTTCCCTGCGAGAGTTTTGCAACGCAACAAAACAATCATGTTTGTGCCTTTGATATTTGAGTGCTAGTCAGGGTACATTTTGCTGTTTATGATTTGAAAGGTAGCCATTTGGAACAAATGAAAGCATGATCGTCTGTCTATGTTCTTGTTTAGGGTGGACCTTCTGCAGTAGCTTCAATGGCTTTGGTGAGGTCTGACATATTCTAGATGTTTAAACATAAGCAAAGCCTTTTGAAGGCCTTGCCTGATGTTGATTAGTCTCCAGAAAATGACAAGCTGTGACACCAGCTCCCAAGGAATCACATACCAGGGGAAGATGTATCTTCAGCTCTTTCCATTTCTGCCCTTTATTTGAGAGTATTTCCTTCTTGAGGAAAGCCTTAATGTCTTTATATCCCTCAGTGCTTTACATTTAGTGCTTTACATTTGTATTATTTGGCTTTTTACTAGTAATTCTAACTAGGGCCTGTTATAATATGTGGCTGTTTATTTTCTTTCATGGACCTTAAGTAATTTCTTTTAAAAATGACTTGTCCTGAAAGTATTATGGTAAGTGAAATAAGCCAGACACAGAAGTGCAAACATTGTATAAATCCACTTACATGAAGTACCTACAATTCTGAATTCTGTCAAATTCATAGAAACAGAAAGTAGAATGGTGGCTGCCAGCTCCTGGGAGGAGAGAGGAAAGGAGAGTTAGTGTTTCATGGGTACAGAGTTTCAGATTGGAATAATGAAAGAGTTCTGGAGATGGATTCTTGCAATAGTTGCACAAAAATGTGAATCTATTTAATGCTACCAAACTGTACTCTTAAAAATGGTTAAAATGACAAATTTTATCTTACGTATATTTTATCACAATAAAAAATTGAGTGGTAATAACTTATCCTACTTTCCCCTTGCAGGAATGATTTGTTGGTGGCTTGGTTTCAAGGCTCTCACATTAATGATTCTACATTGCTTAAAATTCCTTTTATTTTTTTCAATGGGCAACCTACAAACATTTATTAAACATGAGCCAGACCCTGTCACTCACATCCAGGTAAATTATTGATCCTCTTTGCCCAGAGCCGCATTTTACAAGCCATATTGTTACAGTCTTGCCAACGCACCACAATGTAGCAGTCCCTCATTGTGAGGTGAATTTCACCCAGAGTTTTTTGTCTTATGACCAAGAGAATTAAGGAGCTTGTAGACAAAGGGTAAGTTGGAGCGACAGTTTAATAAGTAAATGAAGAAAGCTCTCTACTGTGAGAGGGGACCTGGAAGAGGGTTGTCACTGCCATTTTTACGGTTGAATGCAAGGCTTTTATAAAAAACCAATGAGGGCTGGGCATCTCATTTGCATAAGGTGCGAACTGTGTAGCTCCACTCTGTCCTCCTAGTGCACATGCAGACCCTTAGCTTGAGTTACTCCATTATTCCTTTGTTCCCCTTACTGCACATGTGTTAAGGGATAGAATTTTCCATTGTGGACATGTCTGAGCAGGTTACCCATGTAGACTTTCTTATCTGTGTAGCCGTGGGCATGTGTTAGGCAAGCCCACCTATGCAAGTTCCCTTATCTGTGCACGAAGCTTGATTTTTCAGGCTGTTGTTTTGTTTGAAAAAATTCAACCAAGGAATCACCCTAACAGCCTGCCTGACGGGTTTCTTCATATCTCCTTTCTCAATATTCTCCTGAAGACCTAATCTACAAGGCATTAAAGATGTCATCAAAGAAGGAGAAAATAATTGCAGGAATCATAGAGCTTGAGAAATTGAGAGTTAAATACGTTACTCTACCACTGGACTTTTCAGAGACTTTACTGTACTAACGTGCATAAAACGTTCTCAAGAAGGGAGCATAGTATGCCCATTTCCCCAAAATTTCTCACCACACAACTGTTAAATAAAAAATAGTCTCTTGAAACTAGAATTTATTGGAAAATAGTTTAGGGAATAGTGGCCAACAGAATAAAGTCCACTATTCAGTATGACCCCCAACATCTCCTGTGATGACTCCAATTAAACTTTCAGGCATGTATTACATTTTCCTGCACTTGCATAGTACACAGCCATATATCTTGATATTTCCTGACGGAAATTTGCACTCTTGGCATTTCATGTGTTTGTTCAGGCTTGGTCTGATGCTCTCTCCTCTCATTTTGTCCTCCTAAAACATTTCACCTTGTTCACTTCAAAGTTTTACCTGTTCTTTTAAGTGTAAATGAATTACTCTTCTTTTGTAATCACCGTAGCAAACTTTTTTTTGTTGTTGTTGTTTTTAGAATTAGTGCATAGATTAGCTAATTACATGAGCAATGACGGCATCCTACCATCTATTCTTGTTAACTGTTCGCAAGTCACTCTTACCTATTAAATATTAAGTTTCAGGAATGTGAGGTAAGGCATTATGTCTTATTTATCTTTGCATTTTCCAGCCTGTTGTCATTCACATTAAATAGGTGCTCATGTGTATATAATTATAAAGTTGAATTTAATAACTAAGCAGCATCCAAGATGTACAGAGCTCTGAGCCAGGTTTAATTGATTGCATTAAAAATATTAGTCACAGCTTCTGTTCTAAGAGACAGAAAACCAACATATGCAGATCTGATTTAATTTTCAAAAAATTATAAAGTAAAATAGCTGGTACAAATGGTGGAATAGAAATAGAATACATGAATACTGAGGCAATGAACAATTAAAGAATAATCTAAGTTGGTTAGGTTTAGGTATATTGTTTGAGGTGAGTTTTTAAATTTTTTTTTATGGAGTCTTGCTGTTGTCAGCCTGGGCTGGAGTGCAATGGTATGATCTTGGCTCACCGCAAACTCTGCCTCCCAGGTTCCAGCAATTCTCCTGCCTCAGCCTCCTGAGTAGCTGAGATTACAGGCACCCACCACCATGCTCGGCTAATTTTTGTATGTTTAGTAGAGACAGGGTTTCACCACGTTGGGCAGGCTGGTCTCAAACTCCTGACCTCAGGTGATCCACCTGCCTCCACCTCCCAAAGCGCTGGGATTACAGGCATGAGCCACCGCGCCCATCCTTGAAGTGAGTTTTAAAGGAAGTAGTGGGGCTGGTTTAGTGAAGAGGAACAGAAATGCTGTGTTTTCCTTTGCTATCATTTTGCTTTATATCCTCGTCATCTTTTTCCTCATCAGTTACCATTCCTATCACCAGTTATTATCTAAGATCTGTACATGAACTGTGCTATATGTTAAACTTTACTCATCTACCTCATGTTATTGGGGCTTCCAGGGCTCAATAAGATGATGTCTGTAGAAATGCTGTAATCCAGCATCTCTTACTTGGTGTGATTTTCTTCGTTGATCCTGGAGATGGTAAAATAACACAGGGAAAATAATGGAGGTGTTTTTATACTCCAGTAAGTCTTGGCATATCAGCCACATAGTTGTGCTGTAAACTATTGTTCAGCAATCATTAGCTGAACAATAGTTCAACCATTATTGTTGAACAATCATTATTGAGCAATCATTATTGTTCAGCAAGAATCATTAGCTTGACCTGAAGCTTGATTCCATGTTGACACCATATTCTGACAAAAAGATTTACAGGCTTTTTTTTTTCTACTTTAGTATTATTTGCTTAAATAATTTAGATTTTTAAGACTCCGGGAAAGTTTTCACAAGTCTAGCTTTATGGAAGCCTATGGAAGTGGACACTGCCTAAATGACTGCGGGTCCTCCCAAATTACTTGTTGATTACTTGGCTTTTGCAGGTATGACGGACATTCCTGCCACTGCTGGCAAATGGGATGGGTAGGTCTTGATGTTCAGTGTGCCACATGCTGTGTCACCCATAGGAGCAACTCCACTGGTGAAACTTGAATAGGAAAAATTGTTGAAAAAATTAAGGTGCCCAGTTGGGTGAATGACATCACAGAAATAATGGGAATATTTGGGCTAGATAAAAGGGATGCCTAGAGACATGATTGCATGTAAAGGACTGGCTACATTATTCTGCAAACCTCCCACAGCCAACTTTCCCAAGCTGGGCATGTGGCTTATTTACTGGGTGAAAGGTCAGGTGTATTCGCTCTTGTGAGCATTCAATATAAGAGAGAAGGTCAGCTTTCCCTAACAAGTACAAGCCACCAACATTTTTTTTTCCATTGGAATACTTCTTTTGAATGAGATATTGAGCTATTATTGTGTTTAACGAAATATTGTATAGGAAGATGACTTGTAAGCAGTAGAGTAATTCCCAACAGCAGTGAACAATATTTTATGCATTATGACATACTTCCAACACTCCATTATATACATGAACGCTCTTCACATGTATAATGTGAATTTAATTATTTGAGATAATTTTGTCTATTGGAATTTAGAACTTGCCTGTGTTTGGTTTATAAAGCAGATTTTCTATTATTTGATACAGATGTGGGAGATGGAAGAAACTTTGGGCAGTGGTGGTGTGTATTGTGATCAGAGTGGAGGTAAGGATATGATATTGTCTTTCAATTGCTAGAGTTTCTACTACCACAGAGCAAATTCCAAAACCTTCATTTCAGAGCACTTTTGGAATGCATGAGTGTACGAATGATGGGAGAGATTTTTTAAAAAGGGAACTGCAAGGGAGCAGCTACAAGCAAAATGTATATAATTGAGTGAATCTGACACTTTTGTTTTTCTTGCCCATATAAATAAGATTAGAATTAACTCTAGCCTCAGAAACTTACATTTCAGCCTATTTTATATAGTTACAAACTGAGATGATATCTTGAGACATTATTTGTTGAGCCCTTCTTTTTCCCAATTTATTTTCCCCGAGGCCATCAGACGCATCCCTGCTACTCCAAAAAGAAGTGGGAATGTCATAAAGGCAACTAAAAGAAAAGGGTGGACACAGTAGCTTGTTCCTGTAATCCTAGCACTTTGGGAGGCTGAGGTAGGAGGATTGCCTGAGGCCAGGAGTTGGAGACCCAGTTTGGGCAACATAGAGAGACCTTGTTCCTACAAAAATTAAAAAAAAAAAAAAAAAAAAAAGCCAGGCATGGTGGTGTGTGCCTATAGTCCCAGGTAGTCAGGGGGCTGAGATGGGAGGATTGCTGGAGCACAGGAGGTTGAGGCTACAATGAGCTGTGAACATGCCACTGCACTCCAGCCTGGGCAACAGAGTGAGACTCTGTCTCTTAAAAAAAATAACTAAAAGAAGAAAGAGTCTGTGTTTCATTTTCTTGATTTCCAAAACAGAGTTTTGAGATTCAAAAGAGAAAGACTGAAAAATGTAGGAAGCAAACACAATTTATACCATAGAAATAGCCGAAGGAGACTAGACAAACTTATGCTAGAGCAGTGTTGCCTCTACCCTGACCCCTGGCTGACAGATAGAAGAACGCACAAGGTCAGTTTCACAAGACTTCACACATTAAGGGTTGGCCCATACTGGAAACCCAGCCAATGTTCTGAAGAGCACTGACTGCCACTGAGAGACACTGTATGCTGCCTGGGTGAAGAAGCTGTGACAATGGTCTATCTAGTCCCCGAGAGTCCTTTTATGAGCAGCTGTATGCACATGGATCACTTTTCATTTTGCAGAATGATGTCGGGCTCTAGTTAAACTTACCAACGTGGATATCATCCTGTTTGCCTTTTAATGGCCTACTACAAACTCCAGTGTTGAGTAATTTTCCTTAGGTAATTAAGCCAGTCTTTCACTAGGATTTACCTCCAGTGTACAGATAGGATTCAAATCCAGACAGTCTACCCGGGCATAGAGCCTTTACCCTCTAAGAAGTACAGAGAGATCTAAGAAATTGAATCATGGGAACTGTCGTCAGTAGATGCTGAAAGCTGTGACAGTCTTTACTCTGAACTGAACAGCCTGCTACTTAGAAAGGATACTTTCTATTAGTCATGATCTTGTGAAAAATGAAAAATCTTTTAGTTGTATTTGAAATGACTGCCTTTATAGATGTTGGTGATAATCTGCTCATGCCTTATTCGTAGTCTATCTTAAGAAATTATTATCAATCTTCTATTTTTTGCCCTTCTCTGAGACTTGGGTTTTCCACCTGTAAAATAAAAGTGAAACACCCACCCTACAGGGTTATGAAGACTAAATTGGATAACACGTCAAATGTGAAAGCACTTAACAGAGTACCTGGGATGCACAACACCTAGAAAATTTTAGTTATCTTCTCAGGAAAAAAATGTTTCTAAGGCTATTTAACATGTATTAACTACAATAAAAGGTTAGATATCAGAATAAAATATATACCATGTCTAGTTAATGGTCAGACATCTTTATTTACCTTGGAAATCTACCCAAAAGCACTTTTTCTAACATTCCGATTCTGTTGAGGTCCTCAGAAGGGGTTTCAGTTATTTCACAGATGGGAATGAAATAAGAGGTAGGGCAAAGCTCATCTACATGATCCTTCATGGACCTCACTCTAGGCAATCTAGAGTATAAGTGTGCCATCCAGCCCTCACCATAGCCTCCAATCTCTGACTCAAAAACTGCCAGAACCATCAGTCAATCTGCAACCCAATGTGTGTTTTTGAGGTGATTTTATGAGTTAGAGACCCATTCCCAAGCCCACATATTTGATTTCTCTGAAATTGATGTGCCTTTATACAATCTTTCTTCTTAAATGTCCACTTCTTATCATTAGGGAATTTTATCTTCACTTATATCTTTCTTTGGTTGCAAAATTGAAGAGACTAATCAGGGAGAAACTATTATTTGATGTTATATAGAGAATTAAGCAGAGTTCTTGCTTTTTCAGAAGGTAGCATAGAAATCACATGAGGATTTTAGTGCTACGCATCAGGGCATTTCAGGAGTAAAGAAGACCATTGTGTGTGCTTTTATTTTTTTTTTCTGCTTAATTAGGATAATTATTTTTCATCACCTGCTATTTAATTCAATGTTTCTAAAATTCAAAGCCCCATTAATCTCATTTAACACAATAGCTACCTTTATTAGAAAACATTTCTTACTTAGTCTTGACAATTTATTTTTTTGCAATTGTCATATTATGGATAATGTAGTAGGAATAATTTTGTCTTAAAGACCAGACCTTGAGTCTCATCATTTTTGTTGTTATTGGTGATGACAATAAACTGCTGTTAAATTCCAATATTCTAAAAGATCACTAAAATGACTGAGCATCTGTTAGTTTGACTGATTTTTCCCTAGGGCATCAATTTGAGTGCAAAATTTTTGTAAGCTAAATTGTGTTTGGTGTCTTTGTTTTGTGCTGCTGTAACAGAATACCTGAGACTGGGAAATTTATAAAGAAGATAAATTTATTTCCTCCCAATTTCTGGAGGCTAGGAAGTCCAAAATTACAGGGTCAGCATCTTGTGAGGGCCTTCCTGCTGCTTAATAACGTGGTGGAAGGCATAACGTGGGGCTAGGGGAGAGGGAAGGAGAGAGAGAGCGAGCAGAGGAGGAGGTTGAACTCACCCTTTTATAACAAACCCACTTCCTCCATAACAGCACTAATCCATTCATGAGGGCAGAACCCTCAGAACCTAATCATCTCTTAAAAGTCCCATCCCCAAACATTGCTGGGTTGGGGATCAAATTTCCAACATGTGAACTTTGGGAGATATATTAAACCATAGTACTTGGATACCTGTGTTTGTTGAGGAAGGAGTATTTAAATCCTGATGCATTTTTTTTTACGTGAAGAAATTCCTAGAAATTACAGTCTCTCTCCCACCTTGGGTCTGCCCTGCTTCAGGCACCTACAAGGATGTTGGTGAGGGAAACCAGAATCTTCTTTACTTTATTTGAATGGAAAGAGACAAATCTTCTGAGGGAGGACAAAGCCTGGCATTAATAGTATTTTCCTAGTCTTTTGCTTTAAGCCTTTCCAAAAATAAGGAATTCAAGCCATTAAAAATATATCAAAGCATAATGTCAACCCAAGGTAAAGAAGGGTGTGTCTGGTGTCTGTGCTGCCAATAGCTAATCACAAATTTGCTTATCATGAACGTACTAATGTAGGAAATCAGAACTTGGTCTGTTCAAATCTTGCAAAGCATATAAGAACTAGTTCACATCTTGGAATAAAAACCCAGTCTACCTTGATAAGATTGTAGAGACAAATGTGAAATAGATCTATCTTTTAAATAAAAGTATAAATGTTGTAAAAACTTCAGTTACATCGCTGATGTGTTTCTAGACTTTTCTATCAGTAGTATCATTAGAATTAATTGCTTACATACTGCTGTACTGCTATCCTCACCTGCCCATATGTTAAAATCACCTGTCTTAACAGCAACAAGCTGTTGTTTTAGTATTGCTTGCTGTACCAGTGCTTAGGACAGCAGGTCTACCAATTACTAAATATATGCCAGAACATTTTCTTCATCTTTGAATGCAGAGGAAGCTATAATTATATTTTCTTTTTTTTCCCAGAGTGTCACAAAAATGAAACGGCTTATCTTCCTACAACCTACCTTCTCGTTTCTTTTTGGAGGCAAATTTATAATGTGGAGGAATTCATAATGCCTTGGACAAAATGTGCAGCTATTGTTTTTACTGAGAAGTTTGCAAGTACCTGTTTTATCCACGTAGATATCCAAGTGCTATGGTTTAATATATCTCCCAAATTTCACAAGTTGGAAATTTGAGTCCCAACACAGCAATGTTGGGGAGGGTGGGACTTTTAAGAGGTGATTAGGTTATGAGGGCTCCGTCCTCATGAATGGATTAGTGCTGTTACAGAGGGAGTAGGTTTGTTATAAAAGGATGATTAGTTTAACCTCCTCCTCTGCAGTTTATTTAGAGATCGATTTTATTTTGTATGGAGGAAAAGGGAGTGGATTGGGGCACTGGAAAAATAATAAAAATAATTGTGATTACTCTCTTCTCAAACATTGAATGTTTACTACAAATTTTCATTGGTCTGTACATTCCAAATGTTTCACTGTCATTTATATATCTTTGACACTCTTAAAAGTTAAGCTGAGGCCCTCCTCATGCAAATGAAGGCCCCAAGGAGTAGAAACGCTAACTAGCCCAGGGCCAGAGACTGAGAGGTGGGAATTAGTTTAGGTCTTTACATTTCCTCATATTGAACTTTACTACGTGGGCGATGCTGACCCTTGCTCTTATTAATTCACTGACCCCATATTATCTCATAAAAATTACTTAAGGAAATTCTTATTTGACAATTTGAGGATGTTTTTTGACTCTCAGTAGCAAGCCATACCATGTTTCTTTCTCTAACATTTATGCTTCCTTGAAGTTTTAAACTTTTGTCAGTCAGCAAACTGTTCACTAAATTCTTCCTGTGGGTAGGAAGCTCCTAGGATTTAAAGGAAAATAAAGATGCATGAAATATTATTTTTACTTGGGAGGTACATTTTTGGGGAGGTAAGGGAGCTACTCTAAAACCTTAAACAGTCACTCAGCTACTATGTGATTCAATACGATGTCAGTAACATAGAGACTTCATGCTATTGGTGAATCTTCAGAAGGAGGGTTGTCCACAGGCAAACCCTAAAACTGTTGGGATGTAGGATCTGTGCTTGGATTTAGAAGCAGCGAAATATAGGTAATGAAAATTAAAATGGAGCTGAGGACATCTTGGTTCTCACTCTAGACTTGACCTTGGGTGAGTAAAGGAATTGCTTGAGTCACAGTTTCCTCATCTGTAAACTGAAGCACTTGGGTATAGTTTTAGAGTCAGATGGATCTAAATGTAATAATTTGGGCAAGAAGGACTCCTTGTGGTAGGCAGTCTCTATGATAGGTGCCAATGATTCCTGCCTCTGCTATTCATGGCAACATTGAGGGAATGTCACTTCCATAATTAGGTTATAAAATATTGGTACTTTTTTCTTGCTAGCAGATGCTCTCTGTTGCTTTCTTGGCTCGCACACTTTGATAAAGCGTGATGTTATGTTGTAGGGGCCCCCAAGCAAGGAACCGAGAGCTGCCTTTAGAAAAGAACTAGTAAAGAATTAAAACCATCAGTCCAGCAGCCTACAAAGAGATGAATGCTGCCAACAGCCACTGAGTGACCAGGAAGCACCTCCTTCCCTAGTTGAGACTGCAGATGAGACCACAACCCCTGGTCCCACACTTTGATTACAGCCTTGTGAGAGACCATGAACCAGGGGACCCAGAGAAGTCATGACCAGATTCCTGCCCTACAGAAATTATGAGATAATAAATAAGTATTGTTTTAACCTACTCTGTTTTAGACTAATTTTATACTCAGCAACAGATAATGAATACATTCCTTTAATTAAAAATATAGCTTAATATCACAAAATGCTGCTTATTTATTATGGAACTAAAATAATATAGATAAGAAAAGGGGGAGGTCTCTATTATGCTTGCTTCCTGGAAATAATCCCTATTCGACCTTGATTAATCTGTTAACCCTTTTTAAATCTGTTAAATCATCTTCAGTGTGCACATGGGGCATGGTTTTGTTTCTCCATGCATTTGATGTCAATCTAATTGTTCTCAGGAATTTCTTAAAATTATGGTTCTACTGATAGTCCTTTTACAAAGTTGTTATTTTATGTCATTTCTTGGGATTTGGAGCCAATTGGAAGGCAGATCCTTGTGATTATGCCTTTTTTAAAATTTTAATAGAGACGAGGGCTCACTATGTTGCCCAGGCTGGTCTCCAACTCTTGAGCTGAAGCAAGCTTCTTGCCTCAGCCTCCCAAAGTGCTGGAATTTCAGGTGTGAGCCACGGCGCCTGGCCTAGTTCTTCTTTCTTAATTGGTGCTTTCTCTTTCTAACTTTTTTTTCTCCCTTAGTTTCAATGGCAATTGCATTGAACTTTTCTCCTGCCACTTTAGAGTCTCCTTCTCAGTTCAGACCAGGTGTGGTGTCCTAGACTCCTTCGCTAGCTCTTCTTTTTATGCTCACCTCTTAAGTATGAGGATTCTGTTTTGGGGCTTTTCCTGATCTAAACTTGTGCTTTCTGAGGGTTTATCTAGCCTGCAGATATAGTTGAAGCTCATATTTCTTGAAGTGCAGAGTATGAACCATGGCTGGAATGGCAAGGGATTTGAGGGGGTTCATACTGATGTGATGAACTAATACCAAATCCCATGGTGAGAACTTCATATCTCATTTCACTGTTTTTCCTATTCAGATTACATCATTACGTGTGAAACTTGAACACCTCTGCCATATAGGTGTTCTGACCAGCTCCCACTTAGTCTTCAAGGCTTTACCCTCCATTCTTTCCCAATGGTAAGAAAATTATAACTGTGATTTATAAGGCTATATGTTATAGTAAATTTTTGAAATCATAGTCCAGGCACAGTGGCTCATACCTGTAATCCCACACTTTTGGAGGCCGAGGTGGGTGGTCACTTAAGGCTAGGAGTTCAAGACCAGCCTGGCCAACATGGCGAAACCCCGTCTCTACTAAAAATACAAAAATTAGCCCAGTGTGGTGGTACATGCCTGTAGTCCTACTACTTGGGAGGCTTAGGTATGAGAATCACTTGAGTCTGGGAGGTGGAGGTTACAGTGAGCCTAGATTGCACCACTGCACTGCAGCCTGGGCGACAGAGTGGGACTCTGTCTCAAAAAAAAAAAAAAAAGAAAAGAAAAAATTTTTTTGAAACCTTAAAGGGTTTGATTGCAAAATTTTTCAATAATACAAACATGTAAAGAAAGTCTTCCTTCCTACCTTTCCCTAGCCCTACTCTTCCCCTTAGAGGTAACCACTATTAATAGTTTAGTGTGGTTTCGGCTGGGTGTGGTGGCTCACGCCTGTAATCCCAGCACTTTGGGAGGCCGAGACAGGTGGATCATGAGGTCAGAAGATCGAGACCATCCTGGCTAACATGGTGAAACCCTGTCTCTACTAAAAATACAAAAAAAATTAGATGGGTGTGGTGGCGGGCACCTGTAGTCCCAGTTACTCGGGAGGCTGAGGCAGGAGAATGGCGTGAACCCGTGAGGCGGAGCTTGCAGTGAGCCGAGATTGCACCACTGCACTCCAGCCTGGGCCACAGAGCGAGACTCCGTCTCAAAAAAAAAAAAAAAAAAAAGAAGAAGTTTAGTGTGGTTTCTAGATCTTTTTGTCTGCATTTACAAACTACATATAAATAATAGAATCTATATATGAATATGGTTCAGCAGTTAGCTTTCTCATTTCATATCTCATGGGCATCTGAGCACGCCAGGGCTTAAAAATCTACCACTTTTTTTTTTTTTTTTAGCAGTTGCTTTTTTTTTTTTTTATAAAGGAGAGATCAAGGAAAGAAACTGACTTTCATGTCTCCAGGGTTCTTCAGAAACACGTTTGAGAAACTGTTTAATGCAGCAACTTGTCTTATTTTTAATCCTTATTTTATAATATGTCCTTGAATACAATATCTACACTGTTTTTTCAGGAGTAATTTCAGGCAGAACTTCAGTAACTGACATTTCTTATATTATGTATTTATGTATTCATTTACTTATATCAACGCTCCTATCCCATCTTAATACATGTTAGTTTTTTGTGCTTATGACCCTCTGCCACCCACCTCTAGGACCCATTTATTAATTTGTTACATTTGAATAAAACATTAAAATTTTTCAACCATATTATTGAATTCAATTCTCATAGTGAATCTATGAGCTAAAAAAAATAATTATTTCTAATTTACAAAGGAGGAAGTTGAGGCTTAGAGAACAGTTCCTAACTACCAGCAGAGTCATATTACATTGCCTGTGTTCATGCCCTCCTACCCTGTCTCCTGTGAGCTTAAGATTTACCAGGGTAGGCTGGGCGTGTGGCTCACGCCTGTAATCCCAGCACTTCGGGAGGCTGAGATGGGCAGATCATCTAAGGTCAGGATTCCGAGACCAGCCTAGCCAACATTGCAAAACCCAGTCTCTACTAAAAATACAAAAATTAGCCAGGCCTGGTGGTGCGCACCTGTAATTCCAGCTACTCAGGAGGCTGAGACAAGAGAATTGCTTGAACCTAGGAGACAGAGGTTGCAGTGAGGCAAGATCATGATGCTGCACTCCAGCCTGGGCAACAAAGCAAGACTCCATCTCAAAAAAACAAACAAAAAAATTTATCAGGGTATCCTGCCAGATATGCTCAGAATCTCTGTATCCCCCTCCTTTGACATAAAAACAGTTAGTCTATTTCATTTTCTTTGGATAAATTAATTCACACTGATATATTCCACAGGTAATGACTCATTATGTTACCTCTCCCAGAGTTACTACTACAGGAGTTGGTGAATTAACCTAAACAAATGAGAACCATAGTAGCAATTGCTGTAGAAAATAATTTTAACTTGAATAGACTTTAGTGTATCTTATTTTATTTTTTGAGACAGGGCCTCACTGTGTCACCCAGGCTGGAGTGGAGTGGCTCAATCTCAGCTCATGGCAGCCTCGACCTACTGGGCTCAAGCAGTCCTCCCATCTCAGCCTCCCAAGTAGCTAGGACCAAAGGTGCACAACACCACGCCTGGCTAAGTTTTGTATTTTTTGTGGAGATGGGGTTTTGCCGCGTTGCCCAGGCTGGTCTTGAACTTCTGGGCTCAAGTGATCTGCCCACCTTGGCTTCCCAAAGTACTGGGATTACAGGTTTGAGCCACTGTGCCCAGACACTTTTGGTGTATCTTAAACAATTTTACACAGAGTAGCCTTTTAATCCATGTCTCTGAAGTAGGCCATACTTATACACAACTACCTCTATTATATATGTGTGTGTGTGTATGTATGTTTGTGTATATGTATGTTTTTGTATTGTTGGTATTTATTTTTCAAAAAGCCCTTCATGAAAATGACCATGATATTTTTGGAAAACCAGTCCACTGGGACTTGTTCACTATACAAGTTCCATATGACTCTTGGGATTGCATTTTAATTTTTTGAATCTGAAATTTTTCATTGTTAAAATGGTGATTGAAAAATTAATAACAATTTCCTCGGGGTCTTTGAGTTCTTCAGGAACCATTTATTGTTTCAGCAAGATATTCTCCTCCTAGTAGATGCAAATGACTGTTAAAGTATAATAATATATATATATATATAAAGAAACAATGGGAACCCAAAGAAGAATAAGACTTGCCCCTTGCAAAGAGTTTGCCTTCTCTTTCTTATATATGAATGAAAACATGATTTTTTTTTCAAGAAGAATATTACTAGTAAAATCTCTCATCTTTATTCAGAAAGGTGACTTGTTTTTGAACAAATGACTAGCCTGCATTTTTATCAGTCTGATTTTTTTCACACCTGTGATGTTTCTGAATATATGTGGAAAGGTGATGAGTGACTGGGTAGTAGGAAGTGCATAAAGGTAGGCCAACAACATCTGTCCTCTGAATAGGGAAAAAGAGATAGGGAGATGAAAGAAAGGCCTAGATGAACTAATTAATACATCAGAAGACTCGGGAAATAGTTTCTCTGGTTTGCTTTAAATGAGATTTAACGAACTTTAGAAAACAAGCAAAAAAAAAAAAAAAGAATCTTAGAATTCCTTACAGATAGATCTTCCAGTTTCTCCTGCAATCTAAGTTTGTGAGCGAATCCCTCTTTAAATAATTTGTTTTGTAATGATAATACTATTAATAATGGTAGGGGTAATCATTTAAAGAATATTCACCATAAGCCAGGCTCTGTGCTGCATGCTGCAAACAGATAATGTTCAATCCTTCACATACCCTTTGAGGCAGGTACCATGGTCCTCACTTTACAGATGTGAACACCTAGTCTCAAAGCATTAACAATCGGCTCGAGGATGAAGAGCTAGAAAGGGTGAGAGTGAGAGCCACACCAGTGGGGTGGGGTGGGGGTGTTTGACTCTATGGCCCTCTTAACCATTTATGCCTGTTGGCTTTTCCAAACCTGTGGGCAGAGCTGTTATGTTTTGAATGTGACATCTGAGTGATAGAAAACCAAAAATACAAATGAAGGCACTCCTTGGATTGTGGGGCCTGAACAGTCTTTGTAGCATTAACAACACTCATAATAAAGTAAATATTACCAGGGAAAATAGTTTGATATTTTAATATATTCTTTATGCTAATGATCATTTAGTCAACCAAACTTAAGGAACATTCACTTTGTGAAACCCAGCTAAATATTATGTGTACTTACAAAAGTACTTACAAAAGAAATAAAGGATTTCTGCCTAAGCTCTGCAAAGCACTATTGAGATGTTGACCCTGCGGAGATGGGAAGAGGATGAAAAGATATAGGAAGCTGGGATGCGTGTTTATTGTCACATTTATGTTGTTGATGATTTGAGTATTCTGAAATTGATTAGCATTGTAAACAAACATGTGCAATTGTTCAGTTGATTTCAACAAGATTAGCACATTAACCAAAAAATTCAGATCAAAAAGATTACTTTGCAATCTGAACTATTCTGTGCAGCTTCCTAATCATTTTCCCCTGCACATCCTCCCCAGCTCCCACTCCATTTGCTTCCCTATTCCCTGCATTTATTTGCCCTGGTGGAAAGAACATTGAACTGAAAGGAGCCATAAGCTGTGGTCCCAATGCCACACACTAACTGTGTGACCCTAGTAAAGTTTCTCTAGGGCTGTGTTGGGTTGCAAGGATGGCCGTGGATTCATCACATTCTGCAGCCACATTCCTTGGTAGTCCCCTGCTGCCCTGATTCTGGGCTAAATCACGTGCTTTGCTTTGAACAATGGACTTTAGCAAATGTGATGTAAGCAGAGCCTTCAAACATGCTTGCTCATTTTGAAGCAGGATATTTCCCTGACCCCATTGTGGGCAAGAACTGGAGCGCACAGGTGCTAGAACTAGCTGGCTGCTTCAGTGCTGTCAGGGCTGGACTCCACTCACTTGCGCTGTCCCACTGCGTTCCACCCCTCTCAGGAGGGGGAGCACAGGTGAGTGGGCACAGGAGCCAGGGCGAATGCTTTTGGATGCCAGCAGGAGCAAAACTCCATGTCGGCCCCGTAGCAGCATCTAGGGGGGTTGCCCATGACCTCTGAAGCCGCCGAAGGAGTGATACAGTGCTCTTTTAGCTTTGCCATCTGCAGATGGCTTAAGTATTAGCAGCTCAGTGGAGGGTCAATGTGACAGACTTTTGCACCCACACTCATGGCACCCAAGTTCTTGTCCAGCCAGGAGAAATGAATTCACACAAACAAATTGAGGACAGTAATGTGGGGGATTTTATTGCCAATGAAAGTGGCTCTCAGCAGGAAGGAGAGCTAAAAAGGGCACAGAGTGGGAAGGTTATCTTCTGTTGAAGTCTGACCGTTCCCAGCCAGACTCTTCTCTGAAGCTACATTGTCAAGCTGTCCCTCTGAAGTCAAACCACTTCTCTCTGACATCCAACCATAGTCTCCAATGTCCAGCTGCTTCTCTTCTCTCTGCCGGCTAATCCTGGGGTTTTTATGGGCACAGGATGGGTGGTGGGGCTGGCCATGGGTGGTTTTGGAAAAGGCAACATTCAAGCAAGAAAATAGGTATGTAAGTTCTCACTTTGGGTCATGGTATCAGGCTTTTCAGCTTGAGGATGTGGCCCTCACCAGGGACCTGCTCTCCCAGAATTTCTCTGCCTCCTGTCTCTATCAGTTTGGCTTGCCCTTTGGCTGCTCTTGGAACTCTGCCAGGTGAAGAAGCCCAGGTGAGCCTACAGTATGATGAGATACATGTGACCCATTTTCCCTATCATCCTGGCCAGGCATATAAGCAAGGCCATCCTAAGTCAGCTAGGTGCTAGCTGCATCACTAAAGAGCCTGGCCAATATGAGCACAGCTAGACCAGATCAGAGGAGACTGCTTAGCTGATTTACAAAATTGGAGCTGGAAAAAAAAAATGCTGCTTTAAGCCCCTAAGTTTCGGGGTAGGTTGTTTACAGCAAAAGACAACTGATACAAAGTCTAATTTTAGTAATAATAAAAATAACCACTTATCCATTGCCTCCCCCATCACATTGCTGGAAGAGTCCATGAAAGAATGCAGTGGCTGTGCATGACAAGTGACTTCTTGTAGAGCTGTGCCCAGCACAGTACCTGTGTCTCACTAGCAACTCAATGTTGTACACTGAACAAGTGAATAATAATAAGCTATACAAGTACAAGGTAACAGTAGTTGGAGCAATAGAATAGCCAAATATGTAAAATTCCCCAAGTAAGATATTTCATTTTCTCTTTAAACATTATAATAGCTGTGCCAGAGAAAATTGAAAAGAACAAAATGAAGCAGGTGATCTGAGTCACCTGGGTTAGTAACAGCTGGGAAACAGGACCAGTGGTTTCTCTGAAGCTCTCATCCCAGCCAGGGCGGCAGCCTGCACTTGTCTGGGGTTTCCCACTATGATCAGAAAGATATTGCCAATTGCATTCTCTCTCCTTGAGTTTGAAAATTCAAGTGATCAGACTTTTCTCACTTATTTGATTTTCATCCATCTTTTTTTAAATACTTAGGATATGTGGGTTCGATCTAAATATCATTTTCAGTGGGGATGGTCATAGAGTCCATAATAAAAAATTGTTGAGAACCAAATCTGGAGATACGGAAGAAGCCTTCACAACCCACAAAAGCAGCAGACACAGTCCATGACAACAGGGACTGTAAGGTCGCAAATGACTACTAAAAATGGTACAAATATTTCCTTAACTGAAAACACACTTGACCCAACTGGGCCTATTAAAAATAGGTATATATATATTTATTTTTATTTTTTTGAGACAGAGTCTTGCTCTGTGCCCAGGCTGGAGTGCAGTGGAGCAATCTTAACTCACTGCAACTTCTGCTTCCCAGGTTCAAGTGATTCTCCTGCCTTGGCCTCTCAAGTAGTTGAGACTACAGGTGCCTGCCACCACACTGGCTAATTTTTGGATTTTTAGTAGAGATGGGGTTTCACCATGATGGCCAGGCTGGTCTCGAATTGTTGACCTCAGGTGATCCACCTGCCTTGGCCTCCCAAAGTGCTGGGATTACAGGCGTGAGCCACCGTGCCCAGCTAGGTTTATATATTTCTATTCACATTTGTCTACTAGACAAATTTTTAAAAATTTGGTTATACTCTATTGTAGTCTAGCACATATAGAGAAAAGTTCACAAAACATAAAGGTACTGTTTATTTAAGAATTATGAAACAGATACCCATATATCCACCACCCATGTCAGAGACAGGATGTTGCCTGCATGCCAGAAGTTCCTTCCTCTTCATACCCTCCCCTCTAAGCCTAATGCAAACTACAATCCTGACCTTATGATGATGATCAAGTCCTTGATTAGCTCTATTGTTTTACCACCTCTGCAGAGGTGTGTACCTCTAAACACTATCATTTAGTTTCGCCTGTTTTTGAACTTTATGTAAATGAAGTCATTCCATATTTGTCCTTTTGTGTCTTGCTTCTTTTGATTAATGCTGTTACTTGCTTTGGATAGCTATAGTTGATTCATTTTCATTGACAGGTAGGTTTCCATTTTATAAGTACAGTATTTATACAATTTACTATTGGTACATGTATCAGTAGAAACTCAAGTTTCTCTAGAAACACAAATTTTCAGGGTCATAAAATAAACATATCCTCAAATTAAGTGAAAGAGACCCAAATTATTTTCGAAAGTGCCAGGAACCATTTCACCCTGACACAAGCTGTATTTGAGTGTTCCTGATGCTCCATATCCTTGCTAGCACTAGTTATTGTCAGACTTTTAATTTTTGCCAATCTGTGGGTGTGTGACAGAATCTCCTTATGATTTTAATTTCCATTTTCTGATTACTAATGAGGTATTTATAATCATACATATGATTCTATAATAAATATCATAATCTATGCATTATATATAATATGTAACACATTTTCATATTTTTTAGCTATTGGATTTCTTTTTTATGAAGTGCCTGTTCAAGTCTTCTGTCCTTTTTTTTAATTAAAAAAATTGTGTATGTCTTTTCTTATTGCTTTGTAGAAGATTTTACATACTTTGGACCTGAATGTTGGCTGGTTTTATGGGCTGCAATAGATTTCCCCACTCTTGGGTGTTTTTAAACTTTATTAATATGTACTTTTTGATGAGTTATTAATTTTAATAAACTAAGATATGTCTAATTTCTGCTTTTGATGACTTACTAAAGAAAGCTTTTCTTATCCTAAGGCCTTGAAGATAGTTTCCCATATCCCCCTGAAAGCTTTACAGATTTGTCTTTTACATTAAGTGTATAACACATCAGGTGTTGAGTCTTTAATGTGAGGTGAAGATGCAATTTCATTATTTTCAAAATGAATACATACTTATTCCAGAATCATTAACTGCAAACAACTTTAGAGGCAATATGGAAGAATAGATCAGAGGGGAAGCAGAAAGACAAGTCTGGAATCTACTGGAGTCATTCAAGCAAAAGAAGATAAGAGCTTGTATTAGGATCATGATAATAGCAATGTTGGGGGTGGGGGTTGAAGAGGAGTTTAAGGTAGTTGGAAAGAATGCCAAATCTTTGCTTCAAAATGATGTAAGGAAATAGGCTTTGGGGGAGAAAGATTACATGAATATACCAAAGAGAGGATAGCGAATGGAAAGAAACTTCTTCAAAACAGGCTACCTACAGGCTATATTGAAACTTACAACAGTAAAGTTTCAGAAAGTTAAAAATATCAGAAGTATAGAGACCTTTGAAAGAATAGAAGATTTGCAGTTGATCTGAAACTGGTGATTGATGATAAATGTATTAACATAGGAATTAGGCATGGCTCCACTTTGTTTAATATTATTTTTCAGTTTTTGACATTCTTAGCAATAAGTTTTTCAACTTTTACATCTGATGCATTTCAAGTAACTTGATGTCATTTTGTAATATCGTTAAGTCTTGCCGAAAATGCATTCAGATATTTTCAATTGATAGTATCTTCCAAGGTTTGACTCAGCCAGTGTTTTCTAACAAAGTCTCATATCATTTTTTCTCATATGTTGATTTTTTTTTCTTTAGTAAGTTAAGGAAAAGCAGATCAGACAATAACTGCTAGTATGGTTCAAATTTATATTTTGTCTCATTCCTGTTAAGAGATTAATAAGATACATGCTAGTTTGTGACTGCAAGTTGATTATGAGAGAAATTTCATTTGCTCTGAAACGCATGAATATTTAATGTAGTAATTGCACAGATATTTCACATTCAAGATCACACCTTCTACTGCCATTTCTTGGCCTTCTGAGTTCTGCACTTTTGAAAGAGATGAGCCCTCCAGAACATGACAAATTTGAATTAAAGGTATTTGCAACAGGATGTTATTTTACCTGTCAAAAGCTGATATAACCCATAGATTCTCTTTTCTTAGTTTGGGACTCATGGGCTTGAGAACTACTAATGTAAATTCTACTCTTAGGTATGTGACATGACAAATAGAAAAAAAGAAAACTCAAATAATGGCTCACAAGATATGGATTAAGAAGGCTGCAAGATCCATAATTAAGACTTTTTAAAAATATAGTAAATTATAACCTGGTTTTTCAAAAGCAGTGGTGGCATTTACAAATAAGAAGAAAAAAATGAAATGATAGGAGATAGGAATAAATGCAACTCAGAAGTCAGATATACCAAAACTTTTTTCTGTGTGTGTGTGTGGTCATGGTGTGGGTAGGGAAAACCCTTTTAACTGTTTAGTGGTTAACTTTCACAGTGAAACATTACATCTCTGAAGCAGTAGGGCAGGATGTCTAGAGAAGAAACAGATCTTGAGTGTTCCTTTAGAACGTGCTGCATGTTAATAAACAGACCTTCACGTGATGTAGCTGGTGTTATCTAGGCCCAGGACGAGTGAAAAATCACGAGATCTAGACTGAAGCTCACCCTCAATTACATTTTTGGATATGTCATTTCATCTCCATGTCTTGCCTCCCACAGAACATGTTTCCCCATAGATCTATAACTATTTTTCAACTGTTTACTCAGCAGTGGATTAAAGGAAAAAAAATTTTTTTTTTGAGACGGAGTCTCACTCACTCTGTTGCCCAGGCTGGAGTGCAGTGGCGCAATCTCAGCTCATTGCAACCTCCGCCTCCTGGGTTCAAGTGATTCTCCTGCCTCAGCCTCCCAAGTAGCTGGGACTACAGGTACCTGCTACCATGCCCAGCTAATTTTTGTATTTTTTGGTTGAGATGGGGTTTCACCCTGTTGGCCAGGCTAGTCTCGAACTCCTGGCCTCAAGTGATCCACCTGCCTTGGCCTCTCAAAGTGCTGGCATTACAGATGTGAGCCACCACATCCGGCCTAAAGGGAATTCTTTAGTCATCGAAGATCTGGTTTTGGATCGACTGCAGACTCCTGTGGCTCGATGTAAGTTATTTTATCTGCTCATTTTTCAGTATTCACAAAATGGATGTTTCCAAGTGAGTGAGTCAGTTACACCTTTGCACAAGAAACAGTATTAGGTGTGGAGTTTGGTATAGAAAATTACATCAGAGCCTGTAGCAATCTGGGCTCTAGAGAAACCACATAGTAGGTTTAACAGGGAAAGTTTAGTATAATAATTTCAAACTCTAATAAAAAAGTAACCATAGATCTAAGAAAATTACTGGTAGTAGCCTAGGGCTGAGGGAGGAAACATTTGGAAGGTGTTCAGAGCTCTTGGATGAGGTTTGCCTTGGCCATTCGGTAGCAGAGAAAGTTAGCTGGTATGGAGTTGTGTGCAAACACTAGGCAACCCTCGGGATTGCAGCTGGGAACAGGTGAACAGCAACTGGTGCAATGGGGGTGCCGTGCTACGTGGCTGCAGGACAAGAGGGCCTTCAGAGTGCATGGGATGCGCTGGGGCAGGGGTCTGAGGAAAGCTGCTCAGGGCTGAGGACAGGTTATCCCCGGGCAAGGCTGCAAGGTTGCCGAGGGATTGTGTCCTGGTCCTGTGGTTTGGTCAGGCTCCAGCATGGCTGACACTCAACTCCTCTGCCTGTGCCGCAAATCATGAAAGCCTCTTTTTCTTGGACTCTTCCTCCAGCGCCCTCTACTGACACAGTTTAACATCACGCTCACTTAAAAGGAGAAAGGCTTAAAGGAATTGGTGGTTGGTCACAACGCACTGTATTGAAGGGTGTGTTTGCACCCGTATGACAATACATTGATACCTGACCCAGGGTCCAAAAGCAGTGAAGAAGGCCAATAACAGCATCGCAAAAAAGCCTGGAAGCTATTTTCAGTCTATGAAAAGAGGACCTTTAAAAGGATGCTGACAATCAACCTTTTTTTTTTTTCAGTTGACCAAAGACCAACATTCTTTGATATTTCTTAAATGTATTATGATGTATTCATTCATACATTTCTAAATAAATTACAGCAGTTTCTTAACTGTGTATTTAAAGATAAATGAAAACCTTACGGAGTCCTATTCATCTAAGCATATCCAAATAACCAAAAGTAATGAAAACATTCAGTCTCTGGAAAACAATAAAGGGAATGCAATTCATAAACCCAGGGAATATTTCTCATGCTCCTTTTCCCGCTTCTTCTCAATTCCCTTTCATATCATTTTTGTTTGAGCCTCTCATCTGTGTGTGACCCTCCACCCTCAACACACAAGCAGAAGCTCACAAAATAAATCCTCTTATCATTTTGAATCCCACAGCGTACTTTCTTCTCTCGGTTTCTTTCTCTTTCTCCATTAACTGGCCTCTCTTTTTGTTTTGTTCTCTTCTACTTACTTTTCCATTTCTCCTTAGGCATCCCTCTCTTTTCTTTCATATTTTTAGGTTCAGTTGTTTTCTGCCCATTTTCTTTTTCAGATTGCAAGAGTCCTTGAACTAGTTGGTCAGAGACAGAATCTCCTCCGAAGGCAGAGGTGGGAGGAGCAGTAAATGGGGCCCCTTGTTCTCTTCATGGGGGTAGGCGGGTCGGCTCAGAACATTAACTCATTAGAAATGCTGTCCCCTTCGCACTTTCTCCTCATAAATCTTTGTTGGTTCTTGCAAAGAGATCAGATATTCAATATTTAAATCTTTCAGAAGTTCTGAAATTTACAACCTAAGACCACCTTATTCTTCTTTCTCTTTACTGGGTTATACCCAATTTCTCTTGGTTCCTTGGGAAGTGCCGCCAGGTGAAGTGTAAGCAGACACACACACACACACACACACACACACACACACACACACACACACATCATTCTCCCATTTGGAAAACATTGACATCTGCCTTATTGTTAAATCTTTGCCATCTAGTATCTCTGCTCCTTATAACTTGCAAAAAGTTATGTCCCCTAAGTACAGTGTTCGCAGTTCTGTGTTCCTTTTAGGTGTTCTGCAAACAACTGCAATATTTCCAGTGAGCTGTACCTGGGTGGGTGCAGAGATCCTGCTTGGGCTCAGTCTGTCACCTTGGAGGCACACCAGAAGGTACATGATTTTATCCTGAACCATAAAGCTCCTTTTACTTACCTACGAACCAGGAAAATGAAGTTGGCAGTGTTCAAATACATATTTTTAGTACATTATTCTTCTAGGAATTATATAGGATTTTATAGTTTGAATGGTAATCAGCAAGAATTTACTTTCTAAATGTGGTAGTCATTATGAAATATTTTACCTACCTTTTTCTTCTGGGCAGATTGTAAGATTGGGCTTCCTGTGGATCAGGTGACTGGCATCTAATTGCTGGTGCAAGAGTCTTCAGAGCTGTCTTTCCACTTTGACTCAAGGACTGGATGTATAGGAGATGGTGGCTGCTCTATCAACAAGGTCTTAGAATGGGATGCTATAAAGCAGAAACTTCAGCCACTCTGGGAAAGACATAGCATATAGGTGAGAAATAAGCCTCTGTCGTTCTAAGCCACTGAGATTTGGGGTTGTTTGTTCCTTAGTGTAACTTAGCTCATTCTAGCCAGTTCCCTAAATATGAACATTTCTCTTTGCTCTAATGATAATTGTTTTTGCCTTGGATAAATATCTTTACTTACACAGTGTCAGTGCAATTGTGCAAAATTCCCCATTTTGTGATGTTTCTGCCATCATCTTTTTGAAGAAACATTTGTTGAATAATGTAAGTGAAATTATTTTTAAGGCAAGGATCCCCATCTGTAGTCCTAGATGGGATCTTTGATATAAATATATTACTAGAGTGTTAAAAGCAATTTAACACTTTAATATGTTAAAATTATTGCAAATGTAGAGCTTTCTATTAATGTGTATCTTATTTAATTTTCTGCAGGTGATTTTATGCATTTGTTCTTCATTCATTCATGTATTCATTAATTTATGATTTTGCTCAGTGAAGTATTATTGAATATCAGGGCCTGGACTAGGCTGGAGATATCAGTATGAATAAGATGTAGTACCTATCATCTTTGTAATGAAGTTATTAATCCATTTCTTGCTTACAAAGACCAGTAATGGTTAAAAGTACAGTAAAACAGAAGGTCATTTCTAAATAATTTGCATTTAAAAATATGTCATATCTTGGGCATTATAAACTGGTTTTCAGCTGATTGAAGTAATTTTAAAATGTCGTATGTTAGAGTTAAGAAGCTTCTTGCCGTTTCTACCTACCTTTGTCCGTTACAAATTTAAGACAGCAAACTCGAAGTGCTGTCAATATGTAATACCAGTCTTTATGGATATTTGGTTATAATTGAAAGAACTGATCTGGAGATACAACAGTAAATTGATGAATTGAGGAGGTGGATAACTTTGTATTGTAAATTTGTTTCATTTGTGGATGCCAAATGACCTGATGTTGCATATTTTCCCATACATAAAGTTACTTAAAAAAATGTTTCCTCTGGGCGCGGTGGCTCACACCTGTAATCCCAGCACTTTGAGAGGCCAAGGTGGGCGGATCACGAGGTCAGGAGATCGAGACCATCCTAGCTAATACGGTGAAACCCCGTCTCTACTAAAAATAGAAAAAATTAGCCGGGGTGGTGGCGGGCGCCTGTAGTCCCAGCTACTCGGGAGGCTGAGGCAGGAGAATGGCATGAACCTGGGAGGCGGAGCTTGCAGTGAGCCGAGATCGTGCCACTGCACTCCAGCCTGGACGACAGAGCAAGACTCCGTCTCAAAAAAAAAAAAAAAAAAGCTTCCACACTTAAGTGGAGCAATGGCGACCTTGAGTGGGTGAACTTATTCATTTTAGGGCTTCTTTGCTCATGAGATGTCTTACTGATGTCTACTGTGTTTTGTTTCTGGGTGGCTTCCCACCATTGGTTTTAAAAAACTGCAGATGAGGGCTATCAAGATAAAAATACGAATTATGGAAAAGCAACACAAAAAGAACAGAGCCCTCACAGGTTGGGCCCTCCTAGGGAAGAATATAGACAAGAAAATTCAACAGAAAATGTTTGCCATGTAGGTGATGAGTTTTCAAAGTAAGAAATGAAGTGGTTGGGTCAAGGATATGATAATGAGAAGCCTCTCATAAACATCCTTCCTAGGCTGCTTGTCAGGTAAGTGCTTCTTTTTAGACCAACTTACTCATCATATCTTCTATGAGACTATCTATATAGTCTCTTCCCCCACCCACATACATCTCAGTGATAATCCTAAAAAATTTTGAAGTGTGACAAAATGTATTCCACAATGTATGCATACCTGAATGTAAAATTAATATTTGGGAAGAGAGTACCATTCTGTCATATACACTGAAACATTTAAATATAAAATAAATACTGATTACTCCTCTCCTTTATTTGACACCAGGGATGTTCTTGTTTTTTTCCATTGAGGTTTTTATCCCAATTTTTTGCCAGGACTTCACATAAAAGTTTGGTAGCTCATGAGATCAGAAATATAGTAGGCTGAACTAGGTTCAACGGGATATAGTGATAAAATACAGTCTATTGTGTTGATGTTAATCCTGTCCTCAATACTAGCACTAGAAAAGCATTATACTATAGTAAATTTGACTCATACCAATAGGCACAGGTGGGAAAGGAGGTGTACAGGTCATGCTGTTTTCCTACCTATATTTTTTGCCTAATAAATCTTCAGAAAAGCACTGTTGATCATGGATAGTGAGAGGAATGGGAAGAAGAAGACGAGAGAGCATGCTAGGTGTCATTCTTTTGCTGGATGGCACTTTGTGGAAGCCAAGTAGAATGGATAATATTTCAATATAAGTAATATTTACCATGTATAAAAAGTAGAATTAAAAAGTATTAGAGAAATTACAAACTAGCTGAGAGATCAGAGACTTCTTTCAGGAACTATGGATGCACATGAGTAGTGCTATCTACCAACAGCCACAGATAAATAAAAGAATTCCATTCAGTTTCTGGCTTACTTTTAGGGAAAGCCATTTGAGCCTATATATAACACACACTAACAAATCCATTAACCATCTGCTCTAAAATCAAGGAGCATAAACATACAAGCCTTTATCCAATAAATGCAATAAGTGCTCAAAAGCACATTAAAAAAATTTAGGTTCTGAGGTACATGTGCAGGTCTGTTACATGGATATATTGCATAATGATGAGGTTTGGGCTTCTAATGTGCACATCACCCAAATAGTGAACACAGTACCCAGTAGGTAGTTTTTCAACCTTCACTCCCTTCCCCAGCTCTCCCCTTTTGGCTTTCCCAATATCTATCTCCATCCCATGTTCATGTGTACCCATTGTTTAGCTTCCACTTATAAGTGGGAACATGTGGTATTTGGTTTTCTGTTTCTAAGTTATTTCACTTATACTAATGTCCTCCAGCTCTATCCATGTTGCTGTGAAGGACATGACGTCATTCTTTCCGATGGCTGCATAGTATTCTATGGTGTATACATACCACATTTTTCCTTCTCCAGTCCACCACTGATAGACACCTAGGTCGATTCCATGACTTTTCAATTGGGAATAGTGCCAAAAGCATATTCCATTCCTCTGTGGATCCTGCCAAAGGTGAGAGATGGCATCAGAAAGGAAGAGCAGGCACAATGTTTGCAGTAGTCCATGAGCAATGCTTTCATTCCAGGTGGTTGGCTTGGAACTTGAGCATTACCTAGCACCAGTGCAGATAGAAACTTTGGCTGTCTCATTAAACTATGCTCATAGTTCTTTAACTAATGTTATCCTTAACTTGAATGCTAGTTTGAAGAGAATAGCTCCAGTCGGCCATCACTCATGGAAAGCCTCTGTTGGATACAGTGATTTTAATATAGCAATACTACCTCACTGGACGCATGCTAAGGGTAGTGGAATTCAAGATGAAGGCTGGAATATGGATGCTCCAAAAAATCCCTCCTAACCCAATTCCAGACTGACTGCTTGCTCCAGTCCCACCTGGGCTACCCAGTGGAAGACTTTTTTTTCTTTTTTTTTTTTTTTTTTGAGACGAGTCTCGCTCTGTTGCCCGGGCTAGAGTGCCGTGGTGCGATCTCGGCTCACTGCCGCTCCGCCTCCCGGGTTCAAGCAATTCTCCTGTCTCAGCCTTCCGAGAGAGCGGTGGGACTACAGGCGCAGGCCACCATGCCCAACTAATTTTTGTATTTTTTGTGGAAACGGGGTTTCACCATGCTGGTCAGGCTGGTCTCCAGTTCCTGACCTCAGGTGATTCACCAGCCTCGGCCTCCCAAAGTACTGGGATTACAGGCTTGAGCCACCACACCCAGCGGAAGACTTGTAATAATTTTAACTTAAGAATGAAAAGTCTGGCTGTGTCCACATTCTCACAATGTCACCACCATTCTTGAGGATGAGCTGGTCTACGTTTGCTGGAGAACATATGGAAGTTAGTAACGGTGCACTTTGTGGCTTACTGTGTCATGTTAAAGCACTCAGAGTAGCTTCAAGAAGTCTTTAAGTTGCAGGGCTATTCCAACATCAATATTATCTGCATTCATTATTCACCATTTAACAATCCACAAATATTTACTGAGTGCCAACTGTGTGCCAGGCCTTATGTTAGGTATTCTGATAAATTAGTGAGCAAACACAGACATGTACATTTCCACCTCGCACCCTTCCTTGTGCTGGAAAGCCTTCCATTTTTCTTATATTTATTCTACCAAAACTGCAAGGCCAAGCTCAAGTCCACCTCTTCCTTATGAATCTTTTATTTACTACTGCTTCTTAGAAGGTTTTCTTTAACACATATTAGGCATTTAATTATATCTTATCTATGCTTCCTGTGTCTCTCCTACTTCATCCATGGCCATGTAAATTTCTTGATAACTGCTGCTAATGCATTGCTTTCTTCTCTACATCAAGTTATTATGTAGACAAAGGGGACAATTAAAAAAAGATGCTTTGGGCACATACCACTGGAAAAAAAAAGGCAGTTAAAATTTTGACATCTGGTAAGAATATTTTGATCTCTCACAGGAAAGAAAAAAAATGGCTCACCCGTCGAAGCAAAGTAACAAAGGTTCGGTAAGCTCTACAGTTTTGTAAGAAAGATAATGACCTTCCCTAATTTGATTAAAAAATTCTATATTTGTATCTGAACTGTATTTAGTTTATTTGCAGCATCTGTATTTGAAAGTTGACAGTATCTCTCAGTCTTACCCTTTGTTTTTGACTCTTTTACTATATGCCTGCTGCATACAAATAAGTTTTCTGTGTCCGAAGCAATAACAAGATATTTAAAAGAAGGATACCCCATGCCAAAAGAATTCTGGTTGGCAGTCTATCACATAAATTTATTCCTCTGGAAAAAAGGGCTATTTTTCTCATTCGCTTTAGTGGT
Source organism: Homo sapiens (assembly GCF_000001405.40). Classification (NCBI taxonomy): domain Eukaryota; kingdom Metazoa; phylum Chordata; class Mammalia; order Primates; family Hominidae; genus Homo; species Homo sapiens. The sequence goes on along the minus strand of NC_000004.12, from coordinate 164,693,899 downwards.
GCTCAGAGCAGGTAGCTGTAATTTTTTTTTGGGAGGTGGGATGGGTCTTATGCTTATCAGCCCTCTTAGTGCTTATTTTGTTATGGACCATTAAAGAGTGAGGTTGATAATGTTCCATCATTATGCAATCATGCAGAGAATGAATTTCTCCTCTAGACAAATGGAGTCAAAAGACTATTACGTTTTCTTTATTTTTCCAAACTAATGGATCACTTAAGAGCCATTGGGCTAGAGTATCTTAAAAAACTTCAAGAAACAGTTTCAGCAGCCCGAGTATCTTCTTATCTAATTTGTAACCAAAATAAAGTAAAAGATAAAAGATTTGGTGAGAAAATTTATCAGTCAGTCATTCCTTCTTTGCTTCTTCACAGAGTATAGTTTGGCCACAGCATTTAATAGCATCTACACAGGAACTCAATTCCAGTTTTTGGATAAGACTATTGCAGTATTCTGATTGGACATTATAATAATTAAATCCATAGAGATAAACCAAACTACCTGGATGGGGATGAATAAGTTACTGCAATTGTCAGCGTTGTCCATTTGTATTTAAACCAACTAGATAGTAGTGAGTTAACAGAAGTATAAAATGCTAAAACTGAGAAAGATGATGTGGTCATTTCAATATTTTCTAAATGAAATAAATCCCTTTAAAAACAATACATATCATTTATATTCGATGGTTTTGAACTTTGTGTATTTTAACAAAAGTTAAAAATAGCATTTTCATAATGCCTTGTGCATATCACATATTAGGTGCTTTATGTTTTACAGAAAAATAGCACGTATTTTTCTAACTCATAAATATTTTCACTGATGAACACATGGCTTGTCAGAGAGCCGGTAAACATAGTGAAGTGATTGAGAGCATGTACCCTGGGGTGAGACACCTAGAATTTGACCCTTAGTATCTGTGTGGATTTGAGGATGTTGTTCAACCTCTGTAATGGGTTGAAAGGTGGCCTCCAACAAGGTATGTCCATGCCTGTACACCCAGAATCTATGAACATGACCTTAGATGGAAAATAGTCTTTGTGGACATAATTAAGTAAAAGATCTCATGATAAAATTATCCTGATGTTTGCATGGGCCCTAAATCCAATGACAAGTGTTTTTATAAGAGAATGGCCAAGGGAGATTTGAGAGAGACACCCAAAGGAGAAGACAATGTGAAGACAAGGCAGAGATTGGAGTTATGCATACACAGGCCAGGAAATACCCAGAATCAGCAGAAGCTGGAAGAGGCAAGTAAGAATCCATCCTAGAGTCTCTGCAGGGAGCAGGGCCTTGCCAACACCTTGATTTTGAACTTCTGCCTACGGATCTGTAAGACAATACATTTCTGTTATTTTAAGCCATATCGAGGGCTCAGTGTTGGTCTCTGCTGCTGGCAAATTGGGCACTCAGCAGTGGCTGTAGCCAGGTCTTCCCTGGTGAGTGGAAATCCATGTTGCTGAGCCCATGCATAACCTCCATCCCTGCCACCATGGCCACTTTGTTCTTGGGCCCATTGGGCAATGACAGGGGTGGCTGGGGAAAGAGGCAGAGTGGTGTCCACAGAACAGGTCATCCTATCCACTTGATTATTAAACTCCTCCTCTACTGAGGTCACCCATTGGTGAGCACTCACATGGGGCACAAATATCTTCACAGTTTTTGACCACTCAGAGAGGTCCTTCCACATACCTCTTCCCCAAATTTCTTTGTCACCGATTTTCCAATCATGCTTCTTCCAAGTCCCTGACCATCCAGCCAAACCATTGGCTACATCCCATGAACCATATATAATCGCACATCTGGCTATTTCTCCTTCCATGCAAAGTGCACAACCAGGTGCACTGCTGGAAGTTCTGCCCACTGGGAAGATTTCCCTTCTCTGCTGTCCTTCACGGATGTCCTAGAAAGGAGCTGTAGCACTGCAGCTATTCACTTTCAGGTGGTGCCTGCATATCGTGCAGATCTATCTGTGAACCAGGCCCTAGTCTTCCCTTCCTCTGTCAACTGATCACAGGGAACTCCCCATGAGGCCATCAGTGCAGGCTGGGGGAGAGATTGTAGGGTGGCAGAAGTGGAGACCATGGGCATTTGAGCTACTTCCTCATGTAACTTACTTGTGCCTTCAGGATCTGCTGGAGCCCAATCACATATATACCACTTCCATTTGATGATGGAATGCTGCTGTGCATGACCACTTTATGGCCAGATGGGTCAGAAAGCAGCCAGTTCATGATAGGCAGGTCAGGTTGCATGATGACTTGATGACCCATAGTCAAACGTTCAGTTTCCACCAAAGCCTAGTACGAGGCCAAGAGCTGTCTCTCGAAAGGAGAGTAGTTATCTGCAGAAGATGGCAGGGCCTTGCTCTAAAATCCTAGAGACCTCCACTGTGATTCACCTATGAAGACCTACCAAAGGCTCCAAACAACATCCCTATTTCCCACTGACACCTCAAGCACCACTGGATCTCCTGGGTCATACGGCCCAAGTGGCAGAGCAGCTTGCACAGCAGTCTGGACCTGTTGCAGAGCCTTCTCCTGTTCTGGACCCAACTCAAAACTGGCAGCTTTTTGGGTCACTGGATAAATGGGCCAGAGTAACACACCCAAATGAGGAATGTGTTGCCTCCAAAATAAAAGTAGGCCCACTAGGCATTGTGCCTTTTTCTTGGTTGTAGGAGGTACAAAATGCAGCAACTTATCCTTCACCCTAGAAGGAATATCTTGACAGGCCCCCCACCACTGGACCCCTAGAAATTTTACTAAGGTAAAAGGTCCCTGAATTTTAGTCAGGTTTATTTACCATCCTCTGGCATGCAAATATCTCACCAATAAGTGTGTTTGCTACTTCTTGCTCACTGGATCCAATTAGCATAATGTCATCAATGTAATAATGGGCCAGAGAGATATCTTGCAGAAGTGAAAAGCGATCAGTGTCTCTCCAAATAAGATTATGACACAAAGCCGGAGAGTAGACATACCCCTGAGGTAAAACAGTAAAGGTATATTGCTGGCCTTGCCAGCTGAAGGAAAATTGCTTCTGGGGGCCTTATGGACAGGAATGGAGAAAAACGCATTTGCCACGTCAATGGCTGCATACGAGGTACCAGAAGATGTGTTAATTTGCTCAAGCAATGAAACCACATCTGGTACAGTAGCTGCAATTGGAGTCACCACTTGGTCAAGCCTACAATAATCTACCGTAATTCTCCAAGATCCATCTGTCTTCTGCATAGGCCAAATGAAAGAGTTGAATGGGGATGTGGTGGGAATCACCACCCCTGCATCTTTCAAGTCCTTGATGGTGGCACTAATCTCCTCAATACCTTCAGGGATGCAATATTGTTTTTGATTTACTATTTTTCTAGGTAGAGGCAGCTCTAATGGCTTCCATTTGGCCTTTCCCACCATAATAGCCCTCACCCTACCAGTCAGGGAGCCAATGTGGGGGTTCTGCCAGCTGCTAAGCATGTCTATGCCAATTATGCATTCTGGCACTGGGAAAATGACAACAGGATGAGTCCAGGGACACACTGGACCCACTGTAAGTCAGACCTGAGCTAAAACTCCATTAATTAGCTGGCTTTCATAAGCCCCTACTTTAATTGGAGGATCAAAATGACGTTTTGGGTCCCCTGGAATCAATGTCAGTTCAGAGCCAGTGTCCAGTAGTTTCTGAAATGTCTGATCATTTCCTTTTCTCCATTACACAGTTACCCAGGTGAAAGGCCAAAGGTCTCCTTGGGGAAGGATGGCAGAAAGATTCACTGCATAAATTGTTGGTACTGTAGTGGGGTCCTTCCTCAAGGGGACCCAGCCTCTGCTTCATTCAAGGGGTTCTGGGTCTGTAAACTGGCTCAATTCTGGAATTTGGTTGATGGGCCATGATTCTCTGTTTTTATAATTCAAATTAGTCTTCTGTCCATTTGACCTAGAAGTTTTCTGCTTGTATAAATTAAGTAGGAATGTACTAGGCTTCCTATCATTTTCAGTTCTAGGAACACTGTGATTAATTAGCCAATGCCAGAGCTCTACACGAGTCAGACTATTCTGATTGCCACTTTGCCTCCACCGTCCATTACGGTAGTTATGCCCACCTTGCCTTTGATGGTTGAGTACTACCAGTTGGCCCCTGTTGAGTGACTGTTGTTCCCACTGTTAAATCTGACATACTGAGAAGAGCAATTACAGAGAAGGGCTCTTCGAAGATGCAGGTGCTGCCCTCACAAATCTATTTTGCAAGGCTTTGGTCAAGGGTTTATCTTCTGGACACTCCCAGCTGGAATAAGTAGGTCTAAAGTGACTAACCACTCCACCATCCCAATCCCCCTAAGCCTTTGGATCCCTTCCTCTACATTAAACCAAGGGAGATGAGGCATTTCCAGCTCACTCACAGTGGGCCAACTTTTAATCCATAGTTCAGCTAACCAAGCAAATAAACTATTAGAACCTTTTTTAACTTCCCGAGCTGAAACATTAAATGCAGAGTCCCTACTTAGTGGGCCCAAATCAATAAATTCAGCCTGATCCAACTCTATGTTCTGTCCACCATTATCTCACATCTTTAATATTCATTCCCATGCCTGTTCTCCAGATTTCTGTTTATATAAATTAGAAAACCCAAGCAGTTCTTTTCGAGTATAGTGAACCTCCTCGTGGGTCACACTGTCAAACTCACCTCAGATTTAGTCTAGTTATAGTTCTAGAAACAAACAGGGGTGCTGGGGGTAGTTCCTAGGGAGAATCAACATTATTTTGCCTGGCAACTGCCTCAGGGGAGGCCATCACTGTTGCTTCAGGCAGCCCAGGGTTTATCTCCTCAGACAAAAGTGCAAAGGCTGATGGCAGCGTGGGTCGGGGAAGGGATATTGCCACTAATAGGAATGAGGATGTTGTTTCTTCTGGCAAAAAAGATTCATTAGAGTTTACAAACTCAGTGTCCCCAGCTTCATCAGGGTCCTCCCACACATCCCCATTTCAAGTTGCAGGGTCCCATTCTTTCCAATCAATGCCCTCACTTTAACAGTAGACACCTGGCGAGGCTGTGCATGTACCTTTCATTGCAGGTCAGCTACTCGTATGATAAGAGCTTCTGCCTGTTTTTCCACAATTTCAACTTTTTCTCTACAGATGATAAGACTCACACTCAGAGCAATCTTGGCAGATTTAAGGCTCAGTATCTACTTCTGAAGCTGGGAGACAGAATCCCTGAGTTCATCATTTTCTTTCATCACTTTGTCCAGTGAACTTAGGAGCAACCAACCAGTTTCATTATGTTCCTTGGTTCTCCACATATGGTCAAATTTATTATGTATAGAGTCACTAAACTCCTTGCCTCTCACAAGTGGTGAATCAGGAGGGTCAAATGCATTTATTTTGCATAACTCTCTAAACAGTTCATGCCAAGGGCTACCATTGTTCTCCATACTATTAGAAATACACTCCTTAGCATTTTTGAGTCTAATCACATTAAGCAGCCAACTCCAGAATCCTCAAAATCACCGAAAGAACTCCATCTTTAATATTCTGTTCCTCTGGAACCCGGGGGAATGAAGATAATTTGGCTAATGGGTACAAAAATACAACTAGATAGATGGAATAAGTTCTAGTGTTTAATAGTATGGTAAGGTAACTATAGTAATAATAACTTGTTGTATATTTCAGAATATCTAGAAGAGAAGATTTCTAATGTTTGCAACACAGAGTGATTAATATTTGAGGTGATGGATATCTTAGTTACCTTGATTTGATCATTACTTGTTGTATGCATGTATAAAAATATGTGTCTCATAAATGTGTATAATTATTATGTATCAATAAATTTTTTTTTAAAAAAGAATAGATTAGTGGTGTACACAACAACTTGGATGAATCTCCAGGGAATTTTGTTGAGTAAAAATGTCAACTACCAAAGTCACATACTATAGGATTCTATTTGTATAAAATTCTTGAAATGACAAAATTATAGAAATGGAGAACAAATTGGTAGCTATCGGGCTTAAGGAGAGGACGGGAGTGGAAGAGGAGTGGGTGTGGCTATGAAAGGGAACATAAGGGGTCCCTGTGGAGATGGAAATGTTCCGGGTCTTCCTATACCAATGTCAATATCCTGGTTGTGACATTGTACTATGATTTTGCAACATGTTATTGTTGGGGAAAATTGGGTAAAGGTTACATGGGATCTCTCTGTATTATTTCTTACAAATTATGTAAGAAATGACCTCAAAATAAAATGTTTAATTAATAATATTGGGAGAATGTGAAGAAAGAGGAAATGTCACCAAGTAGAGTGAGTTGCTTGAAGATGGTCCCATACTTTTTGGCTATAAATAGAGGGAGCAATTGTGTTAAATGTTGCCTACAGTTAAAGCAATGTGTATGAGAAAATATAGGATGGGAAACTCAGGCATTTAACAATATTGATTCTGGTGGAGACAGTAGCTTTATATACATGATTTCATCTGTAGCTAAACCCTAGCATGGTTAAATAACATGTTATCATGCCTTATTTCTAAATTAGAGGTACTTTCAGTTGGATAATACTCTGTCATTTTTATTATTCACTTTATATAGATCAACAACACTAGTAGTGTTATTGTATGCGAGAAAATCTTATTTTAAGATATATTTATAAGAGTGTTAAGACACAAATTTGAATGATGCAAAACTGAGAGTTATTTCTAAGAGACTGCTTTAAAATAGAGGGAAAATGTAGTTCTAGCATTATATTTATTCCAAAATCAAAGTGATATAGAGTGATTTGAATGAAGAAGGTGGACAACAACCTATGTAAATTTTAGTCACAATACGGTACACAAATATGCACTCGACATAGAAACATCCAACCTTACAAAACTCTTAGATCAGGAAGAGGTTTTTTTGTATTTATAAAGTAGTTTTATTTTTCTGAAAAATCCTTTTGATTTGATTGCTTATGATGTAGCACATGCAAATGTAAGAACGTATCAATGCCTGAACTAGGAAATACATTTTCCTAGATTTCTGCAGCGCTTGTACTCATTTTTGTTTCTTTTTAGTAGGTAAACAATTAGCTTGTGCTTCTTTCTGGTGAGAATTTTATGTGTCACATATGTTCTACTCAACTGCATAGAGAAATCAAACCAAAATAACAGGTCAAAATAGCAGGGCATATTTATGGCCAGGCACTGTGCTTAGCATTTATGTAGACTATCTCATTTAACCCTTACAATTACCCTATGAAGAAGACATTCTTATTATCCTGGCTTTGCAGATAAATAAATGATGGTGCTTTTGGCTTTGGTAGCTTGAACAAAGCCACACAGCCCCTTTGCCTATCAATTTGATGTGTGACTTCAGTGGCAATTTATTTTCTTTATACTTATTTCTTCATTTATAAAAAAGGGTATATATTTATTGTCATCTGTGGTAATCCTGAGGGTTACAGAGCTGTATTAGAACCCAATCAGATCAGCTATAGTTATCCTCTGCTTTGGACAGTGCCCCTTCAAAGGTGAAAAGGGTCATGGAATAATCAGTTAACAAGAAACAGTGTGACTCAGGTATCTAAGAACCCCACCTGTGGTGATATTCAAGTAGGAAATCACATTCTGGGGAGAAACTGGTGAATAGTTTTTACTTTATTCTTACGAAGGAAATCTTTGAAATCTTATGAAAAAATGATTCAGAAATCACAAATTATGATTTCACTATTATAAACAATGAAATATGTGATTATGGGAGAGTTATTTAATAACCTAGCTCTTCAGTTTCCTAAAAGTTGTAAAAGCAAGGACTACCAACTGAATTTTTCTGACTACAGTTTGGTGTTCAGGTCAGCTGTTTTGGGTCACCTTGGAACATTTCTGACTGCGTTTGTGGCTCTCTTACTGACAGCTCACACTCATTCAAGTCCAAGTTTCCTCATCTCCCAAGACACACTCTCCTGACACCGAATGTAGACTTATATTAGTGAGTCATTGTTGCCTTCTCTTTGGAAGAGGCACTGGGATTTTCACCTCTTGTTAATATCTGTGCTTCATATGCCCTGAAAATAGCCCACTCTCTCAACTGACTTTCTGTTAAAATCCTGCCATCTGAAATGTGGACTCTTCCATTAACACTTTCAACACTTTAGACTCATGTCTTCTTCCTCCAGTGCAAGTACCTCATAGTCCTGCGAATAAGTGCTGCTCTGCTGTTGCATACTACGCTACAAGGTTTCCGACTTCCACACTGTTCTTTACGCAGTTCCCTCCACACTTCTTAAAATTATACCCATTTAAAAAAATTTTATTTTATTTTACTTTAAGTTCAGGGATACATGTGCAGAACGTGCAGGTTTTTTACATGGGTATACATGTGCCATGGTGGTTTGCTGCACCTATCAACCTGTCCTCTAGGTTTTAAGCCCTGCATGCATTAGGTATTTGTTCTAATGCTCTCCCTCCCTTTGCTCCCCATCCAATGATGCTGATTTTTAAGAGACTAATTCCAAATGCCACATTTTGTTTTCCCAAACATTTTCTAATCCTCTAAATTACATGCAATGTCTTTTCCTAGGAAACACCATAGTGCTTAAATTGAGTAACTCTAATTATAGTAATAGCTGACATGAATTCAGTGTTTCTCATGTACTAGTCATCATATTAAGAACTTGCCTGTATTCACTCATTTAATCCTCAGACAAAACCTGTGTTCTACTAACTATTGTTGTCCTATTTCCAGATGAAGACAAGGAGACATTGCCAGATTCCATAACCCGCCCAAGATTATAGGGTTAGTGAATTGCAGATCAGGAACGAGAACATCTGGCAGCTGGACTCTAGGGACACTTTCCTCTGCCTACCTTGTAGTATGATGACTCTTCAACACTCCTCACCTCCTTGTTGATTACAAACTCTTTGACAAATAAACGTCCCTTACCCATCTCTGTACCCTGTGGTGCTTAATATACTAAGGAATGAACATATCAAATTAAATTGAACTTCTTTCAATGGCAATTGTAATAACTCTGTGCATGTAGAACAAATAAAAAAATCCAAGTATTTGTAACAAGCAAAAATTTGTCTGGAAACACATAATTCCATATTGTACAAAAAGAATTATTTCTTCCATACAATGCTCTTATCTTTTCTGTCACTGTCCCCTCCCAATATAGATACAGATAAAGGCCACATTCATCTTTGGAAGAATGAGTGACCTCCTACATATTGGAATGAAGTGAAATAGCAATATGAGAGGTAATGTTGTCTAGTCTTCCTTCATGGTACATTGTTTTCTTTTAAAGCTGAAGCAGCTACCTAGCTTTGGTCCTCCCCAGTTTCTCATGTGATTGTCCTTATCAAACATGACTGTGTTTTGTGTAAAAGAAAGTCAAAGAGTTGTTTCTTATGCTTATGTAATAAGCAGTCTTGATCTTTGGCAGGTGTTTCCCTCCCTCCCAAATTTTGAATGCTCATTTAATAAGGGGAGGGATGAGCTTAGCTGCCTTAAATTCTCTGTGGGTCCTCACCATCTGGCACATTTTCTTGGAGCTTGTGACATAAATTTTTGAAGGTCAGAGTAGCAAAACTTTTTGCTAGAGAGGCACTTTAGATGTCAATCATCGTCAAAATAAAGATCTCGAGTGACTTAAATCAATTCCCAGTAGTGGAAGAACTCCTGCCAATCAGTGGTGGAGTGTGCTATTGGTATAGTGAAAGGCAGTGACATCTTATGATGCTAGTCCACCTTCGTAGGCATTAGTACCTGTCAGACTCTCATTTTCTCTGTGACCTTTAACTTTGGACTTGTGCCATTTAAGAAGTCTTATTAAGTTCCGGTGTTGGAAAACTGTTTATAATTCATAGTTAAATTTCCAGTGCTGCTGCTATTATCAGAGAAATAGTTCAAACACATAGCATATCTAAAAGTCTATAACAGTGTTTTGATTCCAGCAATTTTCCAACCAAAGCCCAATCATGAAAGAAATCATTTTCATATCTAATGGAGTGTGATTAAAGGATATGCTCAAGGAGTAGCTCCAATCCTCCTTCTTACTTCTTATGGAGAAACTCCTAAATGCAAGACTCTTCACTCAATGGCACAAGAGGCCATCCATCAACACAATTCATGCAGGGGTTCTGCCCTCCAGCAAATATAATCTTGTTGAGGAGTTAAGATGCATGTGGGAAGACACCTATAGTACAAGGCCGAGTGATAGTATGATAATTTTGGAAGTTTGATGTGATAGATTTTTTTTTTGATTTGCAAATTTTTTTGACTCTCCTTCACTTATTGGGGCAAAATTCTTTATGGCTCACCTAGAGCACTGATTGCCGCTTTCCAAAAGAAAGAGAAATGTTAAAAAACAAATAAAACAAGAAAGAACTAGGTAAAAACTTTTCATACCAAAATATGTAAATTATTCATTATTATTTATATTTAAGAGAAAATAAGTTTATGCCTTTACATTTTAAAAAACAGTTCTATATAAAACAAAAAATGACAAGGGTTTTATTGAATTCCATTTGGTAACATGTTACAAATTATTACATAGTACAAATTCACAGACCACATTTATGATAATATCAGTGTACAAGCAAATGTTAAGGGGATCATAAAATCATCTGTTTAACAGTGGTGTCATGGATGATTAATAATACAGGTCTTAAATTCCAGTAAGTAGGCAATGAAAGACCAAACTATGCAAATATGCGTTACTAGAGACCATTGACTTAACCAAATAGTCTCACAAAACTAAGTTGAAATAATAACTAACGGTTATTAAGAAACCATTATGTTCCACCCACTACTCTAAGTGCCTGATATGTACTTGCTTTGATTCTATGAGAGATAACCCTGCAAGGAAACTGGGAAATAAAAATGTTGAGCAAGTTGGCCAGGGGCACAGGAGAAGGTCGTCTGACTCTGGAGCCAATACTCTAGCCTCTGTTGCTAACATCCAGAGATGATAAAGAGTTCATAAGTGGAAATAACAGCAGCTAGGCATCATGATCATATGAAAACTACGCAGATGATTTGCCAATAAACCAATAACATAAAATGGTCGGAATTCTCCCTATTTTTATGTGGGCGTGCATGACGGAGCTTGGTATACTAGTTCACCTTTAGTAGAACACTGAATTAGAGCTCTCTGCAAACTGTAGTAATGCATTCACTTTAATTTATAAACACTAAATTTTAGTAAACTTAACAATTCAGGAAGTCCTTGTACTTTACTTGTGTATAAAAATTAAAGAAGTCTTTTGGAGAAAGGCCTTACGCTTTTGGACCAGTCAGTGTGTTACAGGTAGGTAGACAGGCATGAGCGAGATAGGAGAAGGTGCTTTTCCCCGACTCAGTAGGAATGCCAGGTGATGGTTTGACAATTACCACATTGCCAGTAGCTGGAGCTAGGGAGAGACAAGCTCCTGATGATCCACAGCTGTTAACATTAAAGTGTTAATTGAATGCAGGCACCAAGGAGGAGCAACTTCCTGGGCATGCGTGTTAAGAGACAAAATCGTGGAGTATGGCCTTCTGGGGGCACATTGCCGGGTGAGGGAAGAAAGCCTCAGATGGGAATGGATATAACTTCCTAAACACACCGTGCATGCTCACTTCCTAAAGGTAAGGAGGGCACTGGATATGTGGGCTGCCCACCCTAAGGGAAGAATCATGGGAAAAGGGCGTAAGATGGCAGCGTATAAAGTCCTAGGATCACGGTTACACACCGCACTTGTTCTCCAAGTCACCCACTTGGATCTCTTCCATGTGTTCTTTCCTTTCTTTCTTGTTCTAAAGCCTTTTTAATAAGCTTCCATTCCTGCTCTGGAGCTTGCCTCGGTCTCCTTTTCTGCCCTATGCTTCTCAGCTGAATTCTTTCTTCTGAGGAGGCAAGAATTGAGGTTACTGCAGACCCGTACGGGTACGTTGCCAGTAACTCAGATACCTGCCATTGGTAACAAGTGGTGCAGCAGAAGAGTTTGTCAGTAGCTGTGGACATTAAAAACATTTTTTTTTGTTTTAGTTTAGAGGAAAGGGATTACATTTTGCTTTGAGACAGAGCTGGATTCTAATAGGAATTATGCCGTTTACAAGGTGTATTGCTTTGAGAAGTTACTATATTCTCTTAATTTCTGTTCTTAGTTCCTCTTCTGTAATATGGGAGTAATAATATTTGACTTACAGGATTCTTATAAGAATTAAGTGAAAGAGCACACGAAATTCACCTAGAAAGATTGTAGACATGGGGCTCAATAAATACTAGTTTTCTTTTTTTATATACTAGTTTTCCTTACTGCTTATATTTTATGAGAAAAATCTGTAATGATTCACAAATAGTTACATAATTTGCAACATAATTCTTTGGTAGGCTATTTTTTCCCACACATTCTCAAATGAGACACAGCTAGGCAGACTGGGAGGCCACTATATTACGAGTCAAGAGATCTTATTCAGGCACTGAAATGAAAAATACTATGTGCTCTGGGGCAAGAAACTCTGCCTCTCAGCTGTCTTCGTTTGTAAAAAGAAGGTTGTAGGCCTATTAGTCTGTAGGCCTTTCTGGCATTAACAGCCCATTGAGGGGATGCGATTTGGATGTCTTCCATTAATGGCAACAAAAAAGAATTGTGTGCTTGAAAATTGAATATCATTCTCAGCAAACTATCGCAAGGACAAAAAACCAAACACCGCATATTCTCACTCACAGGTGGGAATTGAACAATGAGAACACATGGACACAGGAAGGGGAACATCACACACCGGGGCCTGTTGTGGGGTGGGGGGAGGGGAGAGGGATAGCATTAGGAGATATACCTAATGTTAAATGACGAGTTAATGGGTGCAGCACACCAACATGGCACATGTATACATATGTAAGAAACCTGCACGTTGTGCACATGTACCCTAAAACTTAAAGTATAACAAAAAAAAATTGAATGTCAGTACTGCTTCTAGGAAAAGACTTATTTGGATTTATGAAGTTTTCAACAAATAAAGAGTTGCAACACTCCAAGGATATTGCATTTACGTAATAAATGATCAGTGTTTTTTTTTTTTTTGAATATGAGACCAAAAGCACAGGCAAGATAAGCAAAAGTAGACAAATGAGATTGCATCAAACTAAAAATCTTCAGCACAGCAAAGGTAACAATCTATAGAGTGAAAAGGCAATCTGCAGAATAGAAGGCAATATTTGCAAACCATATATCAGACAAAAGGTTAGTATCCAAAATAAATAAGAAACTTATATAACTCAATAGAAAAAAACCAACCCAATTAAAAAATGGATAAAAGATCTGAGTAGACATTTTTTCAAAGAAGACATACAAATGGCCAACAGGCATATGAAAAGGTGCTCCACATCACCAATTATCAGGAAAATGCAAATCAAAACCATATAAGATATAACTTCGCATCTGTTAGGATGGCTATTATAAAAAACAAAAGACATACCAAGCGTTGGCAAGGGTGTAGAAAAAAGGGAACCCTTGTACATTACTGATGGGAATTTAAGCTGATAAAATTTTTATGGAAAACATTATGAAGGTTTCTCAAAAAATTAAAACTAGAACTACCTGATGATCTAGAAATTCCAATTCTGGGTATATATCCAAAGAAAATGAAATCAGGATCTTGAAGAAATATCTGCACTCCTATGTTCATTGCAGCATTATTTACAATAGCCAAGATATGGAAACAAAAATGTAAGTGTATATATATATATATATATATATATATATATATATATATATATATATATATGATCAGGGAGACATTATGCTAAGAAAAATAAACCAGATGCAGAAAGACAAATACTGCATGGCTTCACTTAAATGTGGAATTGAAAATAATCAGTTTTTCAGAAGGAGAAGTCTAAAGATGAGTAGGAAATAATTTTGGAAAAAAGGCTGGAAAGAGTGTTTCTGTTGGAGAGATTGGTACAAATGAAGGGCCAAAGGTGTTATATTAGGAATGGCAGGTTTGAGGATTTGAAAGCCATGGGTGGAAGGGAGGGCTGTGCAGTGAGCCTGGGAAAGGAGATGTCTCCAGATCCCTGTGGGGAGCAGGTGGGAGTGGGGTCTCATAAGCCACCTGCAGGAATGTGTCCTGCAAAAGCCACTAAATCAGGACGATTTGGAATATCAGCAAAGTTGGAAGCAAGAAGACTAGATAGAATGCTTTTGTGAGAAAATGGTGATCTAGGATAGGACAGCCGCAGTGAAGCAGGGGAGGGAGGGAAGGGGAGAAGGAGAGAGGTTACTGGAAGTGAGGCAGTAAGGGAAAGAGAGACATCATAAAGGAGAGGTGGCTAGCATAAACATCTGAACCTGGTAGAGCCATTTGCTGAGAGAGCACTGGAGGAGGAGAAGATTGAGAGCAGGGGAGGCTGGGGGTGGGGATCAAGTTTTCATATTTAAACATGGTAACAAATGTTAAGTATGTATGAGTTGAAAGTTCGCCCCCCAAAAGATACATCCACATCCTAATCCCTAGAATCTGTGAATGTGACCTCATTTGGAGAAAGGGTCTTTGCAGATGTAATTAACTTTGGGATCTTGAGAAGCCAAAAGCCTGGATTATCTCGGCAGGCCCTAAATCCAATGACGAGTGTTCTTATAAAAGGACGGAAGAGGAGAAGACACAGAAACAGAAGAGAAGGTGATGTGCAGATGGAGGCAGAGACTGAAGTTTTGCAGACACAAGCCAGGGAATACCTGGAGTCACCAGAAACTAGAAAAGGCAAAGAATGGATTTTCTGCTGAGCTCCAGAGAGAGTGCAGCCTGACAAATTCTTGATTTTGGACTTTTGGCTTCCAGAACTGTGAGAGAGGAAATTTCTGTTGCTTTAAGCCACTCATTTTGTGGTAATTGGTTATGGAAGTGACAGGACACCAATACAGGAGAGGGCATCCAAATTGAGATGGGAGGTTGGCGGCAGAGATATAGATCTGGAGCTCAGAAGAGAAATCAGATATATATTTTAAAGTATCAGCGTTTAGGTAGTATGTAAACCATGATAATGGAAGAAAGAACATAAAGAATAAAGAGGAAGATCCTCTGTCTGGAACGCTCTTCTCCTTGGTCTCCATGTCTCCTAGGTCTCCACTCCTCATAACTTCCAGGGCTTTGCTCAATTATTTCTCAATGGACCTTCCTGGAACACCCCATTTAAAACTGTGCTCTCTCATACCATTCCTTTTCTCCTACTGCTACTTAATTTTTAAACACAGTACTATTATCTGCTAGTCCATATGATTGTTGGCTTTTTTTTTGAGACGGAGTCTCACTCTGTCACCCACGCTGGAATTCAGTGGCACAATCTTGGCTCACCGCAACCTCTGCCTCCCAGGTTCAAGAGATTCCCCTGCCTCAGCTTCTGAGTAGCTGGGATTACAGGGATGCACCACCACACCCGGCTAATTTTTTACATTTTTGGTAGAGAGGGGATTGCACCATGTTGGCCAGGCTGGTCTCAAACTCCTGACCTCAAGTGATCTGCCCGCCTTGGCCTCCCAAAGTGCTGGGATTACAGGTGTGAGGCACCTTGCCTGGCCTGTTTGCTTATTTTATTCAAGCCATATGTCTTCCCCTTTTAAGATATAAACTCTATGAGGATAGGGTTTTGTCTGTTTGGGTCACTGGTGTCTGGTATATCATAGTTGGCTCAGTAAATATTTATTGAACGAATGAATTATTGAGTGAGAATGACATGGACAAAGGGACACTTTTATGAAAAAAGCTAGAAGAGACTAGAACCAGCCTGAATGCTAATGAGGAGGATACAGTAAGATTCAATAGAGGTCAAAGATAGAGGGTGGAAAGAAAAAGTGCAATGACCTGAGCTCTGTAAGGAGGCAGGTGGGGATGGGATCTGAGCACAGAGGAAGGGGATGATCCTGGTAAAGTGGTGACTTGCCCTTCGTTGAAACTAATGAAAGAAGAAAATATGCTCATTAGTTGATGCAGTTTCTTCCTAGCATTGATGGTCTTTACAATTTGGCATGTTTTTGCAGTGGCTGGTACTGGTTGTACCTTTCCATGTTTAGTGCTTCCTTCAGGAGCTCTTGTAAGGCAGGCCTGGTTGTGACAAAATCTCTCAGCATTTGCTTGCCTGTAAAGGATTTTATTTCTCCTTCACTTATGAAGCTTAGTTTGGCTGGATATGAAATTCTGTGTTGAAAATTCTTTTCTTTAAGAATGTTGAATATGAGCCCCCGCTCTCTTCTGGCTTGTAGAGTTTCTGCCGAGAGATCTGCTGTTAGTCTGATGGGCTTCCCTTTGTGGGTAACCCAACCTTTCTCTCTGGCTGCCCTTAGCATTTTTTCCTTCATTTCAACTTTGGTGAATCTGACAATTATGTGTCTTAGAGTTGCTCTTCTTGAGGAGTATCTTTGTGGCGTTCTCTGTATTTCCTGAATTTGACTGTTGACCTGCCTTGGTAGGTTGGGGAAGTTCTCCTGTATAATATCCTGCAGAGTGTTTTCCAACTTGGCTCCATTCTCCCAGTCACTTTCTGGTACACCAATCAGATGTAGATTTGGTCTTTTCACATAGTCCCGTATTTCTTGGAGGCTTTGTTCATTTCTTTTTACTCTTTTTTCTCTAAACTTCTTTTGTCGCTTCCTTTCATTCATTTGATCTTCAATCACTGATACTCTTTCTTCCACTTGATCAAATCAGCTACTGAAGCTTGTGCATGCGTCATGTATTTCTCGTGCCATGGTTTTCAGCTTCCATCAGGTCATTTAAGGACTTCTCTACACTGTTTATTCTAGTTAGCCAGTCATCTAATCTTTTCCCAAGGTTTTTAGCTTCTTTGCGATGGGTTCGAACATCCTCCTTTAGCTTGGAGAAGTTTGTTATTACTGATCATCTGAAGCCTTCTTCTCTCAACTCGTCAAAGTCATTCTCCGTCCAGCTTTGTTCCATTGCTGGCGAGTAGCAGCATTCCTTTGGAGGAGAAGAGGCGCTCTGATTTTTAGAATTTTCAGCTTTTCTGCTCTGGTTTCTCCCCATCTTTGTGGTTTTATCCACCTTTGGTCTTTGATGATGGTGATGTACCGATGGGGTTTTGGTGTGGATGTCCTTTCTGTTTGTTAGTTTTCCTTCTAACAGTCAGGACCCTCAGCTGCAGGTCTGTTGGAGTTTGCTGGAGGTCCACTCCAGACCCTGTTTGCCTGGGTATCACCAGCAGAGGATGCAGAACAGCAAATATTGCAGAACGGCAGATGTTGCTGTCTGATCCTTCCTCTGGAAGCTTTGTCTCAGAGGGGCACCTGACTATATGAGGTGTCAGTCTGCCCCTACTGGGAGGTGTCTCCCAGTTAGGCTACTCAGGGGTCAGGGACCCACTTGAGGAGGCAGTCTGTGGGTTCTCAGATCTGAAACTCCATGCTGGGAGAAACACTGTTCTCTTCAAAGCTGTCAGACAGGGACGTTTAAGTCTGCAGAAGTTTCTGCTGCCTTTTGTTCAGCTATGCCCTGCCCCCAGAGGTGGAGTCTACAGAGGCAGGCAGGCCTCCTTGAGTTGTGGTGGGCTCCACCCATTTCGAGCTTCCTGGCTGCTTTGTGTATCTACTCAAGCCTCAGCAATGGCAGATGCCCCTCCCCCAGCTTCACTGCCGCCTTGCAGTTCCATCTCAGACTGCTGTGCTAGCAGTGAGCAAGGCTCCATGGGTGTGGGACCCTCCGAGCCAGGTCGTGGGATATAATCTCCTGGTGTGCCGTTTGCTAAGGCCGTTGGAAAAGCGCAGTACTAGGGTGGGAGTTTCCCGATTTTCCAGGTACCGTCTGTCACAGCTTCCCTTTGCTAGAAAGGGAATTCCCCGACCCCTTGTGCTTCCCAGGTAAGGCGATGCCCCGCCCTGCTCCGTGGGCTGCACCCACTGTCTGACAAGCCCCAGTGAGATGAACCTGGTAGGTTGGTTGGAAATGCAGAAATCATCCATCTTCTGCGTCGCTCATGCTGGGAGCTGTAGACTGGAGCTGTTCCTATCTAGCCATCTTGGAACCTCCCCCACTAATTTTTCTATTTTTTGTAAAGACAGACTTTGACCATGTTGATCAGGCCTGTCTCGAACTCCTGGCCTCAAGTGATCTGCCCACCTTGGCCTCCCAAAGTGCTGTGATTACAAGCATGAGCCACCACACCCAACCTCATGAAACTTCTGTCAGCACTAACATTCTTCCTTGAGTGAGTTTCTTAATCTTGGGTTCTAATTTGATTGCACTGTGGTCTGAGACACTGTTTGTTATGATTTCCATTCTTCTGCATTTGCTGAGGAGTGTTTTACTTCCAATTATGTGGTCAATTTTAGAATAAGTGTGGTGTGGTGCTGAGGAGAACATATATTCTGTTGATTTATGGTGGAGAGTTCTGTAGATATCTATTAGGTCCACTTGGTCCAGAGCTGAGTTCAAGTCCTGAATATCTTTGTTAATTTTCTGTCTCATTGATCTGTATAATATTGACAGTGGGGTGTTAAAGTCTCCCACTATTATTGTGTGGGAGTCCAAGTCTCTTTGTAGGTCTCTAAGAACTTGCTTTATGAATCTGGGTGCTCCTGTATTGGGTGCATATATATTTAGGATAGTTAGCTCTTCTTGTTGCATTGATCCCTTTACCATTATGTAATGCCCTTCTTCGTCTTTTTTTGATCTTTGTTGGTTTAAAGTCTCTTTTATCAGAGACTAGGATTGCAACCCCTGCTTTTTTTTTTTTTTTTTTTTGCTTTACAATTGCTTGGCAAATCTTCCTCCATCCCTTTATTTTGAGCTTTTGTGTGTCTTCCTCCATGAGATGGGTCTCCTCTGAATACAGCACACTGATGGGTCTTGACTCATTATCCAATTTGCCAGTCTGTGACTTTTAATTGGGGCATTTAGCCCATTTACATTTAAGGTTAATATTGTTATGTATGAATTTGATTCTGTCATTATAATGCTAACTGGTTATTTTGCCCATTAGTTGATGCAGTTCTTTATAGTGTCAATGGTCTTCACATTTTTGTTTGTTTTAGCAGGGGCTGGTACCAGTTTTTCCTTTCCATATTTAATGCTTCCTTCAGGAGCTCTTGTAAGGCATGCCTGGTGGTGACAAAATCCTTCAGCCTTTGCTTTTCTGTAAAGGATTTTATTTCTCCTTCACATATGAAGCTTAGTTTGGCAGGATGACAATTTTCAATAATACTTTCTGCTTTAATAAAGCACAATAAATAGAGATGAATCCTGGGTTTACTTTTTTCTGTATCTATCATCATTATTTGATAAATTCCCATTTCTAGAGGAGAATTTAAGATACTTGCATCCATGTGCTACAGATAAATCCTAATGTTTCAAAGCTTCATGCAAAATATTTATTTAACTTCTAATTGAGTGAAGTACCATGCTGGGTGTAATGTCAAGAAAAGAAAAAGGGTATAGCATAGGAGAATAATTGTGGGAACAATTTTGCAGTTATTTTTATAATATAATCTTACCCCAGTTTTTAAATATGCTTTAGGGTTTTAAAATATGGAACATTTGTTGCTTGGTTTTTAATAAAGGCAGAGCTTAAGAAATTCAATTTTTAAAAAGTCATCACTTTAATACATCTTGTGTACCATCCTCTTGAAGACATCTTAGTATGTTAATAAGTAACATAAATAAAAAAAGCAAAAGATGCATATTATATGCACATAAGTGTGAGTTTATTTATTATAATAGAATATAATATTCCAGAGAAAGCAGATCTGTTAATATTTTTTATGTTCTTTATGTGCATCATCTGAGTGGCAATATTTCTTACTATTAAGTATTAGTAGTTGCTTTGTATAAATAAGTTATTTAATTTTCTTTCAAGTTTGGCTTTGAAGTTGTTACATAAATATTCAACGGTGTTAATGTGAAAATATTTCATGTTTTATTTTATTAATTTATTTACTTTGAGACAGAGTCTCACTCTGTAGCCTAGGCGGGAGTGCAGGGGCACAATCTCAGCTCACTGCAGCCTCAACCTCATAGACTCAGGTGATCCTCCCACCTCAACATCCCAAATAGCTGGGACAGCAGGTATGTGCCACCAGGCCCAGGTACATTAATTAATTAATTTTTTTAGAGATGATGTCTCTCTATGTTGCCCAGTCTGGTCTCAAACTCCTGGGCCCAAGGGATCCACCTGCCTTGGCCTCCCAAAGTGCTGGGATTACAGGCGTGAGCCACTATGCCGGGCCAGTACTTCATGTTGTAAAGTTGTATCCCATTTTCCCTTAGTTTTCTATTTTTCCAGCCTAAACATTGCCAGGTCTTCCAACTGTCTCTTTATATGTCACAGTTTTGAGCATCTTGATTGTCTTTGAAGAAATTTTCTTGTTAACACTCAGACTCATGTATAATACTCTTAATAGGGCCTGATTAATGAAGCGGAGAGATTTTACTTTCTACCTTTGTTTTACCCTACTGCTATTACACTCTACTATAGTAGTTTAATTTATATTAGTTGGTTTATTTTGTCATGTTATCACTTATTTTTATGTTGTTTACTGTCAACTAGCACTCTTAGGTTTTCTAAACTTATGATAAAAAGAAACAATCATAACATTTATAGCTAATGGAATGCTTAACAGCTGCCATGCTCTGCTTCACGTACTTTGCATCATTAACTCTTTTAGCCTTTATGAATTAAGAATGTTATTCGTTCTTAAAGATGAGTACATTTAGACATGGCTTAAGATCGTGAAGTCAGCAGGTGGCAGAACGGGGATTCAAAGTTGGAAGTTTGGATTCAGATTCATGCTCTTATCTTGTAGTTACCCTTTTAATGTGGCCTGATTTATATACTCAGCAATTGTAGATGCAATTACTGATATTTTTAATTAAACATTTAAGAATAGTTTTAGATTTGCTGGAAACTTACAAAGAAGTACAAAGATTTCTCATATGCTCCACATCCCTGTTTCCCCTGTTTTATCATCCTACGTAACCATTTGCAAAAACTAGAAACCAACATTGGTGCATCACTATTAACTAAATTCCAGGCTTTATTTGGATTTTACTAGTTTTTCTCTGTGTTTTTTTCTGTGCCAGGATACCATCCATGATGCCACCTTACATTTAGTCAGCCTATCTCCTTAGTCTCCCTCTATCTGTGACAGTACTACAGAGTACTACAGAGGTGAAGAGTACTACAGAGGTGAAGTGTTCTCATCATCTCATACCAGGGGTCCATGATAGCAACCTGACTTATTACTGACATTATTAACCTGGATCACCTGGCCGAGGTTTCTCTACTGTAAAGGTACTTTCCTCCCACTTTCCGTGTTATGTTCCCTGGAAGCAAGTCACTAAGCCTAATCTATGCTCCAGAGGGTAGTAATGAAATTATTTTTCATTTACAATTTTTAGATTATAAGCTTTTTTCCCAAAATAATTTCATATATCCACCAAGAGTACCAGTGACTTGAAGTCAAAGGGAGGTGTGATTATTATGCCTTTTATGGATGACAAAAAATGATAGGGATGAGAGATGTATGATGAAGAGGAAAAGGTTTACTTAGTTTTCTATACAGAGCTATTTCAACCTGTAGTTTTTAAGTTAGAGATTCTGATCCAGTGTTTCCCAAAGTGTGTTATACAAAATACTAGCTTTATGGGAAGTCAACTGTTATTACTTGAAATAAGGAAATTATTATTATTTTTATTATTATTTTTTATATACTTTAAGTTCTAGGGTGCATGTGCAAAATGTGCAGGTTTGTTACATATGTATACGTGTGCCATGTTGGTATGCCTCACCCATTAACTCGTCATTTACGTTAGGTATATCTCCTAATGCTAGCCCTCCCCTCTCCCCTACCCCACAACAGGCCCCGGTGTGTGATGTTCCCCACCCTGTGTCCAAGGGTTCTCATTGTTCAATTCCCATCTATGAGCGAGAATATGCGGTGTTTGGTTTTCTGTCCTTGCGATAATTTGCTCAGGATCATGGTTTCCAGCTTCATCCATGTCCCTACAAAGGACATGAACCCATCATTTTTTATGCCTGCATAGTATTCCATGGTGTATATGTGCCACATTTTCTTAATCCAGTCTATCATTGTTGGACATTTGGGTTGGTTCCAAGTCTTTGCTATTGTGAATAGTGCCGCAATGAACATACGTGTGCATGTGTCTTTATAGCAACATGATTTATAATCCTTTGGGTATATAGCCAGTAGTGGGATGGCTGGGTCAAATGGTATTTCTAGTTCTAGATCCTTGAGGAATTGCCACACTGTCTTTCACAGTGGTTAAACTAGTTTACAGTCCCACCAACAGTGTAAAAGTGTTCCTATTTCTCCACATCCTCTCCAGCACCTGTTGTTTCCTGACTTTTTAATGATCACCATTCTAAGTGGTGTGAGATGGTATCTCATTGTGGTTTTGATTTGCATTTCTCTGATAGCCAGTGATGATGAGTATTTTTTCATGTGTCTGTTGGCTGCGGAAATGTCTTCTTTTGAGAAGTGTCTGTTCATATCCTTCGCCCACTTGTTGATGGGGTTGTTTGTTTTTTTCTTGTAAATTTGTTTGAGTTCTTTGTAGATTCTGGATATTAGCCCTTTGTCAGATGAGTAGATTGCAAAATTTTTGTCCCATTCTGTAGGTTGCCTGTTCACTCCGATGGTAGTTTCTTTTGCTGTGCAGAAGCTCTTTAGTTTAATTAGATCCCATTTGTCAATTTTGGCTTTTGTTGCCATTGCTTTTGGTGTTTTAGACATGAAGTCCTTGCCCATGCCTATGTCCTGAATGGTACTGCCTAGGTTTTCTTCTATGGTTTTAGGTCTAACATGTAAGTCTTTAATCCATCTTGAATTAATTTTTGTATAAGGTGTAGGGAAGGGATCCAGTTTCAGCTTTCTACATATGGCTAGGCAGTTTTCCCAGCACCATTTATTAAACAGGGAATCCTTTCCCCATTTCTTGTTTTTGTCAGGTTTGTCAAAGATCAGATGGTTGTAAATGTGTGGTATTAATTCTAAGGGCTGTGTTCTGTTCCATTGGTTTATATCTCTGTTTTGGTACCAGTACCATGCTGTTTTGGTTATTGTAGCCTTGTAGTATAGTTTGAAGTCAGGTAACGTGATGCCTCCAGCTTTGTTCTTTTGGGTTAGGATTGTCTTGGCAATGTGGGCTCTTTTTTTGGTTCCACTTGAACTTTAAAGTAGTTATTTCCAATTCTGTGAAGAAAGTCATTGGTAGCTTGATGGGGATGGCACTGAATCTATAAATTACCTTGGGCAGTATGGCCATTTTCACAATATTGATTCTTCCTATCCATGAGCATTAATGTTCTTCCATTAGTTTGTGTCCTCTTTTATTTCGTTGAGCAGTGGTTTGTAGTTCTCCTTGAAGAGGTCCTTCACACCCCTTGTAAGTTGGATTCCTGGGTATTTTATTTATTGGTGTATAGGAATGCTTGTGATTTTTGCACACTGATTTTGTATCCTGAGACTTTGCTGAAGTTGCTTATCAGCTTAAGGAGATTTTGGGCTGAGACAAGGGGGTTTTCTAAATATACAATCGTGTCATCTGTAAACAGGGACAATTTGACTTCCTCTTTTCCTAATTGAATACGCTTTATTTCTTTCTCTTGCCTGATTGTCCTGGCCAGAACTTCCAACACTATGTTGAATAGGAGTGGTGAGAGAGGGCATCCCTGTCTTATGGCAGTTTTCGAAGGGAATGCTCCCAGTTTTTGCCCATTCAGTATGAAATTGGCTGTGGGTTTGTCATAAATAGCTCTTATTATTTTGAGATACATCCCATGAATACCTAGTTTATTGAGTGTTTTTAGCATGAAGGGCTGTTGAATTTTGTCAAAGGCCTTTTCTGCATCTCTTGAGATAATCATGTGGTTTTTGTCTTTGGTTTTGTTTACATGATGGATTATGTTTATTGATTTGTGTATGTTGAACCAGCCTTGCATCCCAGGGATGAAGCCCACTTGATCATGGTGGATAAGCTTTTTCATGAGCTGCTGGATTCAGTTTTCCAGTATTTTATTGAGGATTTTTGCATCGATGTTCATCAGGGATATTGGTCTAAAATTCTCTTTTTTGTGTGTGTGTCTCTGCCTGGCTTTGGTATCAGGATGATGCTGGCCTCATAAAATGAGTTAGGGAGCATTCTTACTTTTTCTATTGATTGGAATAGTTTCAGAAGGAATGGTGCCAGCTGCTGTTTGTAGCTCTGGTAGAATTCGGCTGTGAATCCATCTGGTCCTGGACTTTTTTTTTGGTAGGCTATTAATTATTGCCTCAATTTCAAAGCCTGTTATTGGTCTATTCAGAGATTCAGCTTCCTCCTGGTTTAGTCTTGGGAGGGGGTATGTGTCCAGGAATTTATCCATGTCTGTGTCTTTTAACTGGAGCATTTAGCCCATTTACATTTGAAGTTGATATTGTTATATGTGAATTTGATCCTGTCATTATGATGTTAGCTGGTTATTTTGCTCATTAATTGATGCAGTTTCTTCCTACCATTGATGGTCTTTACAATTTGGCATGTTTTTGCAGTGGCTGGTACTGGTTATTCCTTTCCATGTTTAGTGCTTCCTTTAGGAACTCTTGTAAGGCAGGCCTGGTGGTGACAAAATCTCTCAGCATTTGTTTGTCTGTAAAGGATTTTATTTCTCTTTCACTTATGAAGCTTAGTTTGGCTGGATATGAAATTCTGGGTTGAATATTCTTTTCTTTAAGAATGCTGAATATTGGCCCTCACTCTCTTCTGGCTTGTAGAGTTTCTGCCGAGAGATCCACTGTTAGTCTGATGGGCTTCCCTTTGTGGGTAACCCGACCTTTCTCTCTGGCTGCCCTTAGCATTTTTTCCTTCATTTCAACTTTGGTGAATCTGACAATTATGTGTCTTGGAGTTGTTCTTCTCGAGGAGTATCTTTGTGGCATTCTCTGTATTTCCTGAATTTGATTGTTGGCCTGTCTTGGTAGGTTGGGGAAGTTCTCTTGCATAATATCC
Source organism: Homo sapiens (assembly GCF_000001405.40). Taxonomy (NCBI): domain Eukaryota; kingdom Metazoa; phylum Chordata; class Mammalia; order Primates; family Hominidae; genus Homo; species Homo sapiens. The sequence continues at coordinate 164,668,943 of NC_000004.12, read as the reverse complement.
TGCAGAGTGTTTTCCAACTTGTTTCCATTCTCCCAGTCACTTTCAGGTACACCAATCAGATGTAGATTTGGTCTTTTCACATAGTACCATATTTCTTGGAGGCTTTGTTCATTTCTTTTTACTCTTTTTTCTCTAAACTTCTCTTGTCGCTTCCTTTCATTCATTTGATCTTCAATCATGGATACTGTTTCTTCCACTTGATCAAATCGGCTACTGAAGCTTGTGCATGCATCACGTAGTTCTCGTGCCATGGTTTTCAGCTCCATCAGGTCATTTAAGGACTTCTCTACACTGTTTATTCTAGTTAGCCATTCATCTAATCTTTTTTCGAGGGTTTTAGCTTCTTTGCGATGGGTTTGAACATCCTCCTTTAGCTCGGAGAAGTTTGTTATTACTGATCATCTGAAGCCTTCTTCTCTCAGTTTGTCAAAGTCATTCTCCGCCCAGCTTTTTTCCATTGCTGGTGAGGAGCTGTGTTCCTTTGGAGGAGGAGAGGTGCTCTGATTTTTAGAATTTTCAGTTTTTCTGCTCTGATTTCTCCTCATATTTGTGGTTTTATCTACCTTTGGTCTTTGATGATGGTGACGTACAGATGGTTTTGGTGTGGATGTCCTTTCTGTTTGTTAGTTTTCCTTCTAACAGTCAGGACCCTCAGCTGCAGGTCTGTTGGAGTTTGCTGGAGGTCCACTCCAGATCCTGTTTGCCTGGGTATCAGCAGTGGAGGCTGCTGAACAGCAAATATTGCAGAATGGCAGATGTCGCTGTCTGATCCTTCCTCTGGAAGCTTTGTCTCAGAGGGGCACCTGCCAGTATGAGTGTCAGTCTGCCCCTACTGGGAGGTGTCTCCCAGTTAGTCTACTCAGGGGTCAGGGACCCACTTGAAGAGGCAGTCTGTCCATTCTCAGATCTGAAACTCTGTGCTGGGAGAACCACTGCTCTCTTCAAAGCTGTCAGACAGGGACGTTTAAGTCTGCAGAAGTTTCTGCTGCCTTTTGTTCAGCTATGCCCTGCCCCCAGAGGTGGAGTCTACAGAGGCAGGCAGGCCTCCTTGAGCTGTGGTGGGCTCTACCCAGTTCGAGCTTCCTCACCACTTTGGTTACCTACTTAAGCCTCAGCAATGGCAGATGCCCCTCCTCCAGCTTTGCTACCACCTTGCTGTTTGATCTCAGACCACTGTGCTAGCAGTGAGTGAGGCTCTGTGGGCGTGGGACCCTCTGAGCCCAGTGTGGGATATAATCTCCTGGTGTGCCATTTGCTAAGATTGTTGGAGATGTGCAGTATTAGGGTGGGAGTGTCCCAATTTTCCAGGTACCATCTGTCACGGCTTCCCTTTGCTAGGAAAGGGAATTTCCCAACCCACTGTGCTTCCCGGGTGAGGCAATGCCCCACTCTGCCCTGTGGGCTGCACCCACTGTCTGACAAGTCCCAGTGAGATGAACCTGGTACCTCAGTTGGAAATGCAGAAATCACCCATCTTCTGCGTTGCACACACTGGGAGCTGTAGACTGGAGCTGTTCCTATTTGGCCATCTTGGAGAAAATCGTCGAATTAAGGAAATTATTACCAAATAAATCTGTAAAATATTAGTGAAACAAAGATAGCAGTGTTCTTTATTGCAGTACTTCCCAGAGCCTTTAGAAATGCCTATATGCGTTGTATTTCTTCAAGAGGAGAACATAATAGGCAGTGTTTCCAAATTTTATATGCTGTCACAATGCTTATAGCATTATAGCATCTCAAGGAACTAGCATTCTGTTATAGAAATTTAGGAATAGCTGCTCTATTTTGCATTCTATGATGCCTTATGTTTCCATATGCAACTCATTGGTACCTTAGAAGACAGTATGACAGAGAATCACCAGTAGAAAGCCAATCTAATAAGTATAATTTATTTTACTATTGTTTAATAAGTCATTCAAGGTGTTTAAAAGATGTAATATGACTATTTTAGTAACTATTATTTTTATTAACAGCCCTGTTGGGTGCATTTTTCTCCAAAGTTGTATTCTTTGTTTTTTTTTTTGAGACAGAGTCTTGCTCTGTCCACCCAGGCTGGAGTTCAATGGCATGATTTCAGCTCACTGCAACCTCCGCCTTCTGGGTTCAAGAGATTCTTCTGCCCTAGACTCCTGAGTAGCTGGGATTACAGGCACCTGCTATCATGCCCAGCTAATTTTTGTAGAGATGGGGTTTCATCATTTTGGCCAGGCTGGTCTTGAACTCCTGACCTCAGGTGATCTGCTCGCCTCAGCCTCCCAAAGTGCTGGGATTACAGGCATGAGCCACTGCAACTGGCCTAAAGTTGTATTCTTTATAGGCTGTATAATATTAGAATAGTGTAGTCACTTTTATCTTTATTTTTAAATTATTATTATTTTTTTTATGAAACAGGGTCTTGCTCTATTGTCCAGGCTGCTGTGCAGTGGTGCAATCATGGCTTACTGCAGCCTGGACTTCCCAAGCCCAAGTGATCCTCCCACCTCAGCCTCCCAAGCAGCTAGGACTACAGGTGTGCACCACCATGCCTGGCCATGTTGTCATTATTTAAAATATTTTTTGGAACTATTATTTTGAGTTGTTGTGAAAGGTTGCAAAATACTTGTAGTCAACTAACTGGTGGTAAATTTTTATTTGTTTTGTAAACAGCAAGAAAGATGAACAAAGTCAGTGATCAATCTAGGTAATACAAACATAGAAAAAAGATGTGACTTTAAAGTAAAAAATGATTATTTCTTGTGACTCATAAGTTATTTTTGATGGTTATTTCAGAAAGGGATGTCCAAACAAATTTTGGCAGTATTATAGAAGTAGTATCATGACCCCTTAGGTTTGAGAAGTCTTTGAATTGGCATTTGAATGATGCCATGATAAACATAGTCATTTCAGGTCAGACAGGGATTTTATCCAACAGGTGAAGGATAAGCCATAGAGCAGCTACCAGTTTTAAATCCAGTCATCAGACATTGTCTTGGCCTGGGCCTGGTAATACCCAGAGCTTTGCCATACTGCAATCTTTCCTGGTATCTCTGGATGGTTTGCACTCTTACTCTTTTATTTTACGTTTGCCTCAGTCCCTTTCTTTGAATAAATGACTCCTAGAAGCCATGCCAATTAGGATACATAAGTATTAGTGAATGTGTGTGTGTGTGTGTATGTGTGCACATGTATATATGTTATGTCTTAATTGCAATATCTGACTGTAAAGTCTTCTGAACAACTAAGATAAAAGAACAATCCCAATGTATTCAATATACCTTTTAAAAAACAAAACAATAAAACATCAATATTCTTCATTCAGGGAACCCAAAATAATCAGTGTTGAAGTTAGTGATCCTAAATCATGAGGCATCTCCTTGCAGATCCAGGGGAATAGGTCATTTGTCACACTTGTTGGCTGATCAACACTGTTGATTAAAGGGAGGGCATTTTTATTACTGTCTTATTTTAAACTGATAAAGAATCAAGGACTTAGATAATGATGCATTCCCTCTGAAGAACCCAATGATAATGAGAACTCACAGGATGGGAATACAAATGATTCTCCAGTAGGGTGATGCTTTGAATGTTAATAACAATAATGATGATGATTGGCTGGGTATGATGGCACATGCTTGGAATCCCAGCACTTTGGGAGGCTAAGGCAGGAGGATCACATGAGTCCAGGAGTTCCAGGCTGCAGTGTGCTATGATCATGCCACTTGCACTCCAGTCTGGGTGATAGAGCTACAGTCTATCTCTAAAAAAAAAAAATTGAGGAAGAATAACAATGATAAACATCTTCTGAGCACTTACTATGTGCTAGACATTAGGCTGAATGTATCATCTTTAATTCGCAGCCCAACATTGAGAATTGAATATTAGCTGATACTATTATAAAGTCATTTGATTTCATTTTTCCACCTTTACTTCTAAATTTTATTTACATAAGTTTAAATAATGCATATATAAATAAGGAAGTGAAGTCTCTACTTTCTGCCACATAGTGTTAGTAACTGTTCACAGTTTCATACTTGAACTACTAGACAATTGTCTGTGCTTATACAAATACACATACATAGGTAGTTTGAAAAACTGGTACTATATTAAATAAATTATTTTGCAACTTTTTTCTACTTAATACATTGTGTGTGTAATTCATTGTCTGTATACACATAGATTTTAAATGCTGTATAATATTCTACTTTATGTACAACACAATTGATATATCCATTTTTATACTGATGACAATGTACGTGTATCATCTTTTTTTGCAACAATGCATTTTGAAACAATGCTGTATTGAACACCATTGTTCTATACTTCCACTGATAAAAATTCACTATGTATCATCTTTTTTGCAATAGTGCATTTTAAAGAGTGCTGCATTAAATACCTTTGTTCATTACCTCCATTCCTCTATTTTTATGGATGATAAAGCTGAAACTTGGATTGGGTGGGCAACTTGTCCAAAGTCATACATCTAGTAAAGGGCAGTGCTCCAATCTGACTAGGTCTGATTCATGTCAGCTCCTCTATTCTACTGAATAATCTTATGTATCACTAGTATGATGTCTTCTTTTGGCCAACCATGGTATCTAGAGTAGGGGCATCCTTCCTCTCCAGCTAATTCTCAACACCCTCACTTTATAAACTAGCTCTGTGGTAGCTGAAAAGCCAAGCAGACAATGGAATTGTAGTCAGAAGTTAGCCTGTGAGAGAGAAGTTAGGTGTGGGGCTAGGATTGTGCTGAGAGTGAAGGTTGAGGAAATTGAACCATTTTCTTGTGCATCTGGGAGAGCATTGCTGGAGTTATGAGATTCTTAATTTCTTCTGCTTTCTTCTATAAATTATTTTTATCTGGTTGTTCTGAACATTTAGTTCAAGTGATTACAGAGGCTTTCTAAGAAAAGCAGCAACTAGACTTCACTAATTTTTAGTTATTATCTTCAAATTATTAAGTAAGCTCAATAAACACAGATTACTTCTTACTTTGCCTTTACTTTTAATATTTTCTTTGTCTACTGAGCAAGTTAGCATGGCTACAAGCAATGCTGTGAAATCCACTGAAATGACATAATCTTAGTGAAACCAATGTGATTTCATTCAAAGTAAGTTCTTTCTGGCAGAGAAAATTGCATTTTCCTCACAGTTTCTTTTCCCTTCTTAAGGCATTCCTTTGCCTCTGATGTAAAGTAGTTTCTTAATTTCTTTGCCAGAGTTCACCTTTTAAAGGCTCTTTTCTTCCATAGCCTACTTTTATCCTTCTCTTTTGTATTTTTATATTATAGCACTGTTCCACATCTGAAATTATTTTAAAAAATAAGTCCATTTAATTTAATATGACTTCTCGGAAATATTTTTCCTTCAGTCTTATTTTGGATTCTTCCTTTTGAATCATTAGGATGGATAAAGCAACTTGGAACCAATTAAAAATAGCTGGGTCTGGTGTCAGGCGACGTGGATCACATCATTTCACCTGTCTCAGCCTCAGTAATCACTTAGAGATCCCATAGCTAAAGGTAAGGTGTTGTTTTAGATTATATTCACAACACACCCCACAGATTCAGAAGAGATGTTTATGATTTCAGGAATTATAGCCATGAAAATTAGAAATAATTTTAAACAAATATTTCTTTGTTAACAATAAAAAGTTTCTTTTTAAACAGGATGTAATTATGTGTTGACTGGATGTAAACAGGATGTAATTGTGTGCTAATCAAATATATTTTCTTACATTAGTAGAGCTATGAACTTCATTGATGGACTATCACAGTCTAGGTAATTTATAATGATGAGAAATTTATTGGCTCATAGTCCTGGTGGCTGGGAAGTCCAATATCAAGGTGTTGGCATCTGGTGTGGGCCTTCTTGCTGCATCATTACATGATGGAAGGCATTACATAGCAGAAGGGCATTTTGGTTGTACTTCACTATTTTTGAATAAGGTTTCCTAAGGGAGCTGGGAGGATTCTGTTGGGGTGATCAGACCCAACACCAGGTCGTGGGGGTGACAAAGTCTGGTGGAGTCAAAGGATTGAGAAAAAGACAGTTTGAGAGAGAAAGGTGGGAAATCAGGGGGCCATCGCTAGTGTACAGAGGTGGTGAGAGTGTGGAGGTCAAAAGGACATGTTACATGAAGCACATGATTTACAGCTGTGATGGTTTAGCATTTATAAGGAACATGTTCTGCTACTTGAGATAATGGGAATAGGAGCCTAGGAAGGCAAGAAGCAAGGAGCCGGCAAGTCTAGACACATTCCAGAGGACATTATGCAGGCCCTGCCTCAGTTTCCCTCCCAACACTCAGCTTTTTCCCAACAGATTCCTGACCACTAGTGAATAAATTCCATTGCAGACCCTGTTTGCAACATGAAGTTAATTGTGGGGGCGGGGTGTGGGGAGAGAAATACTGTTTAATGGATTATGGAGAATTGAGTTATAATTGAGCTAAAGTTTATATACTTTCTAGGCTCTATAAAAAGCAAGAAAATAAAAAAATTGCATTTTTACCTGTTTGCGTGTATGTGGGCACATTTTAGTTAAAGTTGGACTTATCCAGCTAAGCAGAATCAGGTTGCCTAGTTTTCCCCTAAATCATCTTTCACAATGGACAGTGGTATTTCCAATGGCTCTTTGGACTCTTTGTCTTGTCTCTCATTACCCATCTCCATCTTTATAGGTCTCCCTCAACTCCCTTCAATAGCCCAGTGATCAGCTATGTGTCAGGATTTCACATCATGAATTAATTTCCAATGTAGAGAAGTTTAGTAACCAATGTTACAAAGATGTGATTGGTTTTACTCTTCACTCTATCTCACTTGTCTAACACACTAATAGTAAAAAAGAAGCCAGTGTCTTTCTTGTTCTACATAGGAAATACCCTGGCTTTGTAATAACACTAAAAACTTGTTGAGTCTGGAAGAGATAAAAGGATAATTCATGTGGAATATTATGGATCAAGTGATACCTTAGTATTAGGTTTTAAGATTTTGTACATTTACCAGCATCAGTAGACAGGAGCCAAATTTCTATTTTATGTAAGCATTCACAGTTACACACATTAATTTATTATCTTACTGAGTATCAAGATTTGGCTAGTAGTACCCCATCTAATCTTCATTTTTATATTGTAGTTTTTTAAATGTAAATAATTAAAAAATTGCATTTAATTTTTTTAAAGGGGGTTGAGATTTCTGGAAATTTCAAGTTGAGATATATGCAACCTAAGTAAACACTGGTACTTTGTAAGTAGGAAAGCAAAATCCAAACTCAAGCCTTTGGATTTCAAGTCCAGTATTCTTTGCCACTCTCCAGGATCATTGATGTCCAGCAATAAATGCAGATTTGCAAACACCAAGGAGAAAACTTCATTTTATGTACTTTCTCCCTGGAGACCAAGCCCACTAGTGAGGAATATCTTCAAGCGAGGGTGGAATTGTGCATGAGTAGAGAACACTCTCCATTTCTTCTCATATCACACAGCTCTCCAGTTGATATAATCTACAACTATATTTACATAAATGGAAAAATGATTCTATATTTATATAGAACTCTCCATAATGTGTCAAGTGTCCTCACACTATCCTATGCAGTGGGTACAATCATCTGCACATTTTTTAAAATGGGAAAATTGAGGCTTTGAGTGGTTAAGTAATTTTCCCAAGATAATAGTTACTAAAAGGAAGAAATAAGATTTTTACATGTTTGTCTGTGTCTACTTTCATAGCTCCTCCTGATTTTATTTGTAGCTCTGCCACCATAATATGCACAGAATGAGACAAAACCATAAATGATCTTTTGCTACCATCAAGTAAAACCAAAAATTAAAAATCAAGCAAACCAAAGCAAAGTCTTGTATCTATTAGCATCTTCTCCACTCACTAGCTTTCAAAACCACTTGAGCATACTTAAAGGAATGCAGTGTCAATATTTATAAATAATTTTGAAATTTTAATTGTAATTCTTTACCCTGTATTTGTACAACACAAAGATCCATTGACTGAATTACAGGTGTTTCTCATAGATTATACCTTCCGGGAACTGAAATGTAACATTGAAAGAATTTTGTTTTTATCTCCTTTTGCACTTTTAAAATACAAGTTGAGGGGAAAAAAGGATCTGGTTTGAATTACTGAGTCATGGGAGGTCAGTATTCCCAAGGTCTATTCTTGCCTCACATTAATTCATATTTTCACTGGGGACTGAAAGCTCTCATCAGGTTGGCTGAACACAATATAGCTATTAATTCTTTCTCTCTTTTCATAGCTTGATTCTTCTTTGAGATGGTAGCTTAGATCAGATGCAGGAGGGTAGCTTTCTCTGGAAAAAGTAGAGTGTTTTTATTTATTCTAACTCTGGTACTCTGAAGTCTGTCATATCTGGAGCATTAAAATATTGTGTGCTTGACCAACCAAGAATGGCAAATGTTCAGCTACACAGAAAGTCTGTATGAAAAAAGCCTCCTCCCTGTGGTTTTTGTAAAGCACACAAAGTGTAGTCAATATGACTACGGTTCAATATGATATTTGTTTTATGTAATCAAATGAATAGCACATTTATCCAGAGTGCTAATGTAATAGTAAGATTATCAGCAAAGCAGAAGACTCTAGTGTGGAGAAAATACTTTTATATCCATGCTATAATGTAATGTATGTGAAATTTCTATAATGGCTTTCTCTTTCGGGAAAGGGTGGTCATTAATTGGGTTGGTTTCCCATCAGAGAGTGGTAATCATCCCTGTTTTACAATGGAGTTGATTTTTATATGAATACAAAATGCCCATCTATATCATTCTTAATGACATTTTCAGTAATAAGAGGGGTATTAATTCAAGTACCTTTTTCATTTCCCAGATCTTTATATTTACTACATAGTCAGCCTATTTCTGCTCTAAAGGAATATGTGAGGTTCTCGAGGGAGACAGATGTAAGACAGACAATGCCCTGGAGGAATTTACAGTCTCTCAAAGGAGACAGATGTGTCACTAGATGAATGAAATAACATGAATTAGGTGTTGTCTGTGCTTCTCACCTCCTTGATCTCTCAATCAACACTGTCATCTTATCCAAGCCACCAATAATCACCCTAAAGCTAAATGTAATTCATTTTTTGTCTTAGTGTCTGTCTTCCTTGGTGCATTTTTCATTGTGAACCATTCCCACTTTCTTGAACATCTCTTGGCTCTTGGTTTTGATGACATCACTTAATCCTGCTTTTTTTTCTCTTCTTACATCTACAACTACTACTTTTCATTCATTTTAAAGGGCTCTTCTGACTATTTTTTAGTGGTTTCCAGACCTTACTTTCATTTTACTCTGCACATTCACCATGATTTCAGTTGTCATCTTGGACAAGTGTCAAAAATCTGAACAGTCAAGGTTGTACCAGTAGAAGGAGCCATGGGAAAGGCAGCCCAAGGCACAAGTGAAGAAGTAGAAGTCAGGAGAGACATTGGCTAGAGCCAATGTGCTCTTAGGAAGAAAAGATTCTTATCGAGAGCCTCAGTCTGTGATGCCGTTGACCCTATTTTAGAGTCAAAGATCAGAAAGCTGCCTCCATGTTGTTTCCCCAGATGTGCTTAGATACTAGTATTTTGTCTGATAGAAACTAGGAATCTTTTCCTCAAAAACTTTCTTTTATTCATTAATGCTGCTCTACAATGTAAGGATTCACAGTTCCTCTTTCCTCTTCCTATCATAAACACAGTAAAGCTATTTATTTTGAAAGGAGAGAGATCTCAACAAAAATTTTTCTCTTTCAGTTGAAACATGAGCAAAAAATTTCCCATTAATTTGCTATAGAATCAGCGACCGTTGGAGGGGAGATGGCCATAGAAGTGAGCAGAGCAGTGAAACAGGCAAGGCAGGCAACTCTCACCATGGCTAAGTGGTCTGCAACAGGATGGGCCTGTTTGTGTGCATGTGTGTATGTGTGTGTGAGTGAGTGTGAGTGGGAGAGAGAGAGAACAAATCACAAGTCGGAGGGTGCTGCAATCCTATTTAGGCATCTCTAATGAGAGAAGAAAGGAGTAAACATGTAACAGAGGGAATCCATAGCATTGTGCTCTTCCCACATGCCCAGGTGAAAGTTTAAAACATCTTTGAAAGAACATGTTTTATTTTGAAAAAAGAAAAACAAGATATTGATATTGAAAATATCTCACTTCCTATTATAGCCATGCTTGCTTTTATGTAAAAAAAATTTCAAGTGGCATGCCAGGAAGATGCTATTGCATTACATCTAACAATTTTAGAAAATGGTGCTGAATTGAATAAAAGCAATTTTGCCCAATAGGTTCAGAGTCCTGGTAATTTTGAGAATATAGTTTCGCATGAGCATAAGCCGACCAAAGAAAAGAGTAATAAAATTTCTTTTAAAGCTTTGTTCACTCGGGAGAGATGTTCTGACGCTGCCAAAAAGGCAGCAGAATACAATGTTTTCCGCCCCTTTTGGTGGAATTTTTGACAAGTTTATCTTGCTTGTGTCATTTGGTAGGTTAAAAAAGTCTTTGATCAGAGTCTTTTATTGCCCTAGAGAAATCACATATTCATTCACCCCAACAAATATTTTCTCCATTTCTACTATGTCTGTCTGAAACCATCTATGATCTTGGTAATGAATTTTTACAAGGAAGACCAATAACTAAAGATATTATTGGTTATTATTTTAATACTGCTGCTATAATTTGTGATCACATGTAATTGACAAGGAAAATGATTATAATTTCCACAATAAATCTTTTTATCTTATATTTAAACTTATTGTTGTTAGAGTGATTGTGTCCTGTGTATTAAAAGCATTCTTTTTTTTTTTTGCAGTTGCAAGATTTAATAGAAAACAGAGCTCCCATACAAAGAGAGGAGACCCAAAGAGGGTAGCTGTTGCCTGCTCAAATGCCTGAGTTTATATCCCAATCATTGTCCCTCCTGCTGTGCTCTCAGGCAATAGATGATTGGCTATTTCTTTACCTTCTCTTTTTGCCTAATTAGCATTTTAGTGAGCTTTCTTTACTACCTGATTGGTCGATTGTAAGCTAAGTTGGAAGCTCCGTGTTTAAAGATGGATGCAATCACCTTCCCAGGGATTCTTAATTGGCCTAGGAAATCCAGCTAGTCCTGTCTCTCAGTGCCCCCTCTCAACAGGAAAACCCAAGTGCTGTTGGGAAGGTTGGCTGATGACCACTCTAACTGCTTCCTGCTGAACTGGGGCATGCCAGGGGTTGTACATTTGAGATTTCCTAGGGAGGGGTGCCTTTGATGTCATTAACATTGGAGCATGGGCTAGCAGGCCAGTCCAGGGGTCCGTGGTAGATCTTAATCACGGACTGCCTCTGGGACTCCATTTGAGGAACCATTTGTAGCTTTACAGCTTCGATTCTGGAAGAGACAAACTTAACAAGGAGGTTAAAGATACAGGATCCAAAGAGGAGTAACAATATTATAGCTGCTAGAGGTCCTAAGAAGGAGAGAATCCAGGGCATCCATTGGCTGAGGAGGCCCCAGGGTCTGGTGTTTTGAAGCTCCTGTGCTCTATGTTGTGTTTGATCTAGAATTTCTTTAACTTTCTCGGTGACGATTCTGGATTGATTAACATAACAACAGAATTCTTCCCCTAAAAATAAACAGGTTCCCCCTGTTTCGGCAGTTAGCAAGTCTAAAGCTCTTCGATTTTGAAGGACTACTGCTGCTAGGGAGTTAAGTTGATCTTGCAAGGTGACCAGTGAGTCGGTGACCCATTCCATGTCACCATTTATTTTGAGATAGTTTGTAGTAGAACTGAGTAGAGGTTGTGATACTGCCAATGCCAGTACCTAGTCTGCCTAGCACTCCTGCTCCAATAACAAAAGAAAGAATGGGTACTGTTTTGTTGCAGGGCTTAGGTATGACATAATTGTATAAATCTTGTTCAGTGTAGATGATCATAGGGGGCACTAAGAATGAGAGGAAGCACATAGATTCTGAAGAGCCATTCAAACAATGATAGGCTGAGGTAGGCAATATTCCTGAGGGTACGCAGACTATGCGTGTGGGAGGAGTTACCCACCTGATGCATTGGGAGTTGGTTGTGTCTATAGTATTGCTAAATTTTACACAGGTGAGGCTTGAGATATGGGTTATTTCCAGATTGGAAACAAGAGGTCCTACTAAAACGGAAGTGGTGTTTATTTCTGTGCTGAAGTTGTTCCATTGTTCAGGTACAGGGATTGAAGTGTGTGGCCTGAAGTGCAGGGGGAGGCACATCCAACAGTAGGGTTTTGGGCCAAGGCCTCAGGGATCCCAGTGAGGGTGGTATTAAATAGGCTTACCAGGTGAGTAGGGGTATGGAGGGTTTCATGTAGTTTTGAGAGATCTAGTCCTTTGTAGGGGCTAGAGGTGCTATGTACCTGGGTCAGTTGGGAGATCACTTCCCTTAGATGTTTTTCTCTTGCCTGATCTTGAACTCCACCCCCATCAGACATACTGGTATGGGTGAAGTAAGTCCAACAGACAGTGGCTCCAAGTCCTCCAGGACAAGTAGGATTAATCATCTTCCCTGTTCAATAATGAGTATTTGCATGCATGCAAAGAGTGGCAGAGGTATAGCAGTTGCGGGGCATATGGGTGTGGGTGGTGAAGGTGGGGTTTCCCTTAGAAAAACTCCTATTTGATGGGGCATTAATATTTCCGAGAAGCCGTATTCTCCATAGAAACTCTTGGTAAGGGGAGCTACTGGTTGTACAGTGTCATGGAGGGTGTGTAGTGAGAATGAGAGGGAGTAAGAAAACAGTAAAGAAAAAAATATGATAAGGGAGGGCCATGGGGATTTACAATTTTAGTTACTTTCCTCATGGTTGTCGCTTGAAGACCAGGTGCAGATCCTCTAGAGGTTCACAGGAATAGCTAGCGTTGTCTCCTGGGTTTTCGGGTTCCTTTGGCAGTATCCAGGGTTTGACCCGAGTGTGATGTATCCAAGACTCCACTCCAGTCACTTTAACCATGGTTGGGGTAGATAAAATGACTGGGAAGGGTCCTTCCCAGGATGTATGTAGGGATGGGGAGTTAGAGGGAAGGGACTTGACTAATACCATGTAACCAGGGTGGAATAATTCCTTTCCGTCCTCTCGGGAACAGACTCCTTGTAATGGTTTTAAGAACTTGTTGATATTTGGCTAATGAGGTGATGTCTGCAACTAAGTTGGTCGTCTCTCGGTCAAGCACAAGGTCAGTGGTTAGGAAGGGCCGTCCATACAGCATTTCGTATGGGCTAAGTCCTGCTTTCTGGGGAGAGTTTCGGATTCTTAGTAAGGTTATAAGCAACAGAGCAGGCCATGCGAGGTGGATTTCCTGGGTTAGCTAAAAGCATTCATTTATTCTTCGCAGTCCTGGACCGAGATGTTTAGTTTTAAAATAATATCCAATAAATAAGTAAATTTTGAGAGTCGTTATTTATCACAAGGTAAATTGTGGTTTTATTTTTCATATTGAGATTTACAGCTACAGGTCAAGATCAGACCATCACCTTTCCCAAGACACTCCAGTGCACATTTCTGTGATAGAGCAAATTTTCAAAATCACTTCCTTTTCACTGTAAATTTGAACAAAGGCAAGAGGTGTACTCTTTGTGGTGACATATTCCTGGTGAATGATGCAATGTCTCTCTGTTTGAATCTTCAGAGCCTCTTGATAAGGCCACTACTCCCTTGTTTTGTCATTATGTTTACACCAAACTGTGATCAAATCCATGTACATTTTCTTTTTTTATATACATATTTTTATTATACTTTAAGTTCTACAGTACATGTGCACAACGTGCAGGTTTGTTACGTATGTATACATGCGCCATGTGGGTGCGCTGCACCCATTAACTCGTCCTTTTCTTTAGGTATATCTCCTAATGCTATCCCTACCCCCTTGCCCCACCCCACAACAGGCCCCGGTGTGTGATGTTCCCCTTCCTGTGTCCATGTGTTCTCATTGTTCAATTCTCACCTATGAGTGGGAACATGCAGTGTTTGGTTTTTTGTCCTTGCGATAGTTTGCTGAGAATGATGGTTTCCAGCTTCATCCATGTCCCTACAAAGGACATGAACTCATCATTTTTTATGGCTGCATAGTATTCCATGGTGTATATGTGCCACATTTTGTTAATCCAGTCTATCATTGTTGGACATTTGAGTTGGTTCCAAGTCTTTGCTATCGTGAATAATGCCACAATAAACATATGTGTGCATGTGTCCTTATAGCAGCATGATTTATAATCCTTTGGGTATATACCCAGTAATGGGATGGCTGGGTCAAATGGTATTTCTAGTTCTAGATCCCTGAGGAATCGCCACAATGTCTTCCACAATGGTTGAACTAGTTTACAGTCCCACCAACAGTGTAAAAGTGTTCCTATTTCTCCACATCCTCTCCAGCACCTGTTGTTTCCTGACTTTTTAATGATCACCATTCTAACTGGTGTGAGATGGTATCTCATTGTGGTTTTGATTTACATTTCTCTGATGGCCAGTGATGATGAGCATTTTTTCAAGTGTCTGTTGGCTGCATAAATGTCTTCTTTTGAGAAGTGTCTGTTCATATCCTTCACCCATTTGTTGATGGGTTGTTCGTTGTTTTCTCATAAATTTGAGTTCTTTGTAGATTCTGGATATTAGCTCTTTGTCAGATGAGTAGATTCCAAAAATTTTTTCCCATTCTGTAGGTTGCCTATTCACTCTGATGGCAGTTTCTTTTGCTGTGCAGAAGCTCTTTAGTTTAATTAGATCCCATTTGTCAATTTTGGCTTTTGTTGCCATTGCTTTTGGTGTTTTAGACAGGAAGTCCTTTCCCATGCCTATGTCCTGAAAGGTATTGCCTAGGTTTTCTTCTAGGGTTTTTATGGTTTTAGGTCTAACATTTAAGTCTTTAATCCATCTTGAATTAATTTTTGTATAAGGTGTAAGGAAGAGATCCAGTTTCAGCTTTCTACATATGGCTAGCCAGTTTTCCCAGCACCATATGTTGAACAGGGAGTCCTTTCCCCGTTTATTGTTTTTGTCAGGTTTGTCAAAGATCAGATAGTTGTAGATATACGGCATTATTTCTGAGGGCTCTGTTCTGTTCCATTGATCTATATCTCTGTTTTGGTACCAGTACCATGCTGTTTTGGTTACTGTAGCCTTGTAGTATAGTTTGAAGTCAGGTAGCATGATGCCTCCAGCTTTGTTCTTTTGGCTTAGGATTGACTTGGCAATGCAGGCTCTTTTTTGGTTCCATATGAACTTTAAAGTAGTTTTTTCCAATTCGATGCAGAAAGTCATTGGTAGCTTGATGGGGATGGCATTGAATCTATAAATTACCTTGGGCAGTATGGCCATTTTCAAGATATTGATTCTTCCTCTCCACGAGCATGGAATGTTCTTCCATTTGTTTGTTTCCTCTTTTATTTCATTGAGCAGTGGTTTGTAGTTCTCCTTGAAGAGGTCCTTCACATCCCTTGTAAGTTGGATTCCTAGGTATTTTATTCTCTTTGAAGCAATTGTGAATGGGAGTTCACTCGTGATTTGGCTCTGTGTTTGTCTGTTATTGGTATATAAGAATGCTTGTGATTTTTGCACATTGATTTTGTATCCTGAGACTTTGCTGAAGTTGCTTATCAGCTTAAGGAGATTTTGGGCTGAAACGATGGGGTTTTCTAGACATACAATCATGTCATCTGCAAACAGGGACAATTTGACTTCCTCTTTTCCTAATTGAATACCCTTTATTTCTTTCTTCTGCCTGATTGCCCTGGCCAGAACTTCCAACACTATGTTGAATAGGAGTGGTGAGAGAGGGCATCCCTGTCTTGTGCCAGTTTTCAAAGGGAATGCTTCTAGTTTTTGCCCATTCAGTATGATATTGGCTGTGGGTTTGTCATAGATAGCTCTTATTATTTTGAGATACGTACCATCAATACCTAATTTCAATACCTAATTTATTGAGAGTTTTTAGCATGAAGGATTGTTGAATTTTGTCAAAGGCCTTTTCTGCATCTATTGAGATAATCATGTGGTTTTTGTCGTTGGTTCTCTTTATATGCTGGATTACATTTATTGATTTGTGTATGTTGAACCAGCCTTGCATCCCAGGGATGAAGCCAACTTGATCATGGTGGATAAGCTTTTTGATGTGCTGCTGGATTCGGTTTACCAGTATTTTATTGAGGATTTTTGCATCGATGTTCATCAGGGTTATTGGTCTAAAATTCTCTTTTTTTTGTTGTGTCTCTGCCAGGCTTTGATATCAGGATGATGCTGGCCTCATAAAATGAGTTAGGGAGGATTCCCTCTTTTTCTATTGATTGGAATAGTTTCAGAAGGAATGGTACCAGCTCCTGTTTGTAGCTCTGATAGAATTTGGATGTGAATCCTTCTGGTCCTGAACTTTTTTTGTTGGTAGGCTATTAATTATTGCCTCAATTTCAAAGCCTGTTATTGGTCTATTCGGGGATTCAGCTTCTTCCTGGTTTAGACTTGGTAGGGTGTATGTGTCGAGGAATTTATCCATTTCTTGTAGATTTTCTAGTTTATTTGCATAGAGGTGTTTATATTATTCTCTTATGGTAGTTTGTATTTCTGTGGGATCAATGTTGATATCCCCTTTATCTTTTTTTATTGCATCTATTTGATTCTTCTCTCTTTTCTTCTTTATTATTCTTGATAGGGGTCTATCAATTTTGTTGATCTTTTCAAAAAACCAGCTCCTGGATTCATTGATTTTTTGAAGGGTTTTTTGTGTCTCTATCTCCTTCAGTTCTGCTCTGATCTTAGTTATTTCTTGCCTTCTGCTAGCTTTTGAATGTGTTTCCTCTTGCTTCTCTAGTTCTTTTAATTGTGATGTTAGGGTATCAATTTTAGATCTTTCCTGCTTCCTCTTGTGGGCATTGAGTGCTATAAATTTCCCTCTCCACACTGCTTTAAATGTGTCCCAGAGATTCTGGTATGTTGTGTCTTTGTTCTCATTGGTTTCAAAGAACATCTTTATTTCTGCCTTCATTTCGTTATGTACCCAGTAGTCATTCAGGAGCAGGTGTCCAGTTTCCATGTAATTGAGCAGTTTTGAGTGAGTTTCTTAATCCTGAGTTCTAGTTTGATTGCACTGTGGTCTGAGAAACAGTTTGTTATAATTTCTGTTCTTTTACATTTGCTGAGGAGTGCTTTACTTCCAACTATGTTGTCAATTTTGGAATAGGTGTGGTGTGGTGCTGAGAAGAATGTATATTCTGTTGATTTGGGCTGGAGAGTTCCGTAGATGTCTATTAGGTCCACTTGGTGCAGAGCTGAGTTCAATTCCTTGATATCCTTGTTAACTTTCTGTCTCGTTGATCTGTATAATATTGATAGTGGGGTGTTAAACTCTCCCATTATTATTGTGTGGGAGTCTAAGTCTCTTTATAGATCTCTAAGGACTTGCTTTATGAATCTGGGTGCTCCTGTATTGGGTTCATATATATTTAGGATAGTTAGCTCTTCTTGTTGAATTGATCCCTTTACGATTATGTAATGGCCTTCTTTGTCTCTTTTGATCTTTGTTGGTTTAAAGTCCATTTTATTCGAGACTAGGATTGCAACCCCTGTCTTTTTTTGTTTTCCATTTGCTTGGTAGATCTTCCTCCATCCCTTTATTTTGAGCCTATGTGTGTCTCTGCACGTGAGATGGGTTTCCTGAATACAGCACACTGATGGATCTTGACTCTTTATCCAATTTGCCAGTCTGTGTCTTTTTATTGGAGCATTTAGCCCATTTACAATTAAGGTTAATATTGTTATGTGTGAATTTGATCCTGTCATTATGATGTTAGCTGGTTATTTTGCTCGTTAGTTGACGCAGTTTCTCCCTAGCATCAATGGTCTTTACAATTTGGCATGTTTTTGCAGTGGCTGGTACCGGTTGTTCCTTTCCATGTTTAGTGCTTCCTTCAGGAGCTCTTTTAGGGCAGGCCTGGTGGTGACAAAATCTCTCAGCATTTGCTTGTCTGTAAAGGATTTTATTTCTCCTTCACTTATGAAGCTTAGTTTGGCTGGATATGAAATTCTGGGTTGAAAATTCTTTTCTTTAAGAATGTTGAATATTGGCCCCCACTCTCTTCTGGCTTGTAGAGTTTCTGCTGAGAGATCCGCTGTTAGTCTGATGAGCTTCCCTTTGTGGGTAACCCGACCTTTCTTTCTGGCTGCTGTTAACATTTTTTCCTTCATTTCAACTTTGTTGAATCTAACAATTATGTGTCTTGGAGTTGCTCTTCTGAAGGAGTATCTTTATGGTGTTCTCTGTGTTTCCTGAATTTGAATGTTGGCCTGCCTTGCTAGGTTGGGGAAGTTCTCCTGGATAATATCCTGCAGAGTGTTTTCCAACGTGGTTCCTTTCTCCCTGTCACTTTCAGGTACACCAATCAATCAGATGTAGATTTGGTCTTTTCACATAGTCCCATATTTGTTGGAGGCTTGTTTGTTTGTTTCTTTTTATTCTTTTTTCTCTAAACTTCCCTTCTCGCTTCATTTCATTCATTTCATCTTCCATCACTGACACCCTTTCTTCCAGTTGATCGCATCGGCTACTAAGGCTTCTGCATTCGTCACGTAGCTCTCGTGCCTTTGTTTTCAGCTCCATCAGGTCCTTTAAGGACTCCTCTGCATTGGTTATTCCAGTTATCCATTCATCTAATTTTTTTTCAAAGCTTTTAACTTCTTTGCCATTGGTTCGAATTTCCTCCTGTAGCTCGGAGTAGTTTGATCGTCTGAAGCCTTCTTCTCTCAACTCGTCAAAGTCACTCTCCGTCCAGCTTTGTCCCATTGCTGGTGAGGAGCTGTGTTCCTTCGGAGGAGGAGAGGCGCTCTGATTTTTAGAGTTTCCAGTTTTTCTGCTCTGTTTTTTTCCCATCTTTGTGGTTTTATCTACCTTTGGTCTTTGATGATGGTTACGTACAGATGGGTTTTTGGTGTGGATGTCCTTTCTGTTTGTTAGTTTTCCTTCTAACAGACAGGACCCTCAGCTGCAGGTCTGTTGGAGTTTGCTAGAGGTCCACTCCAGACCCTGTTTCCCTGGGTATCTGCAGCGGTGGCTGCAGAACAGCGGATATTGGTGAACCACAGATGCTGCTGCCTGATCGTTCCTCTGGAAGTTTTGTCTCCAAGGAGTACCTGGCCATGTGAGGTGTCAGTCTGCCCCTACTGGGGGGTGCCTGCTAGTTAGGCTACTCGGGGGTCAGGGACCCACTTGAGGAGGCAGTCTGCCTGATCTCAGATCTCCAGCTGCGTGCTGGGAGAACCACTACTCTCTTCAAAGCTCAGTTGGAAATGCAGAAATCACCCGTCTTCTGCATCGCTCACGCTGGGAGCTGTAGACCGGAGCTGTTCCTATTCAGCCATCCCACATTACTTTTATAATGACATATGATTCTCAATATAAAGTGCTTAGCACACTGTTCAGCACATAGAACACACACACTACTTTTATGATTATAAAATAATTAGCTTTTTCCTTGTTCACATAAACTGTGCATTACAATTTGTCATAACTTTTCCCTGAATATTGCTTTCCAAATTCCTCTTTCTCCTTTAAAAAATGTTTCAGCCCCCCATTTTGCCTATTTAGAGTTAATATTTGAATAAGTAGCCTATATATGAGACCACCAAGTAAGACCTAACAAGTGTATTTTAAAGCTTAGTGCCAGGACAGAGCTTAATGCTAAGCCCAGTTCTGGAATTTTTAATTCAAGGAGGTTTTAAAAGTGTGTCTGAGTTGATAAAAGAAAAACATCAGCCTAATTACATTTAAAGGAGTTTAATTGAGCAATGAACAATTTGCAAGTCAGGCAGGCTTTTGAGCCAGGAGAGGCTCAGAGACTCCAGTGCAGCCAATGCAGCCACGTGGTGGCGGAAGATTTATGAACAGGAAAAGGAAAGTGATGTACAGAACATGGAAGTGAGGTACAGAAACAGTTACATTACAGCTGGCATTTGCCTTATTTGAACACAGTTCCAACAGCTGGCTATATTTGATTGGCCAAAATTCTGTGATTGGCATAAGTAGAGGCTACGGTCTGTTTACACCTCCACTTATTATATTCACGTTGTGTGGAAAAACCTTTAGGCCAAACTTAAAATGTGTAAAGGGACATCTTTAGGCTGAACTTGGTTTAACAGAGTTATTTGTTCCAACTCAACATTTGCTAGGCTATGAGCTAGGTGCTAGGCATCCACTCTCTTGTTTATTTCTCTGAACATCTTGTCAGGTACATTTTATTATTTT
This sequence comes from Homo sapiens, assembly GCF_000001405.40. Taxonomy (NCBI): domain Eukaryota; kingdom Metazoa; phylum Chordata; class Mammalia; order Primates; family Hominidae; genus Homo; species Homo sapiens. Next base: position 164,648,715 of record NC_000004.12, on the reverse strand, counting down.
TATTTTACAGATAAAAGCAAAAACCACAACATCCTAACCTTGGAGAGGTTAAGTGGCTTATCAAGAGCTCACATTTAATCACTTGTGTACAAAGTGAGTCAGAATCAGGATTTTCTGATTCAAAATTCCAGGAAGAAATTTTATTAAACCAGAGCAGAGAAATTAATATTTTGACAGATTCCAGTCATGAACTTGACGAATTTGTCCTGGCTTATTGTACTTAAAAAGTTATCTTTTTGAGAACTTGTAAGAATCAAGGGGAAAAAACAATAAAGACTTCTATGTAAGCCCTCTGATTTGAATGAGCTCTGACTAAGGAAAACATAGCTTGCCAGACATCATCTGGGGAGGATCTGGTTTGGAAAGAGTTAGATCACAGTAGATTGATTCATTCAACTGAGTCATTCATTTAAGGTCTGAGCCATTTTTACTGGATTGGTCATGTAGATTGTGGCTCTTGCCCAAGTTGTCTTGATGAATCTACCTGCCACCTCACAAAATGTTCCATATTTAATTTTAAAAATAGCATTCATACATTTTTTTTCATTTACTTTCTTTTTTTTTTATTATACTTTAAGTTTTAGGGTACATGTGCACAATGTGCAGGTTTGTCACTTATGTATACGTGTGCCATGTTGGTGTGCTGCACCCATTAACTCGTCATTTAACATTAGGTATATCTCCTAAGCATTCATACTTTTAATCTATAAAATAATGTCTTCATTGTAGCAAGTTCTAAAAAGAAATAGAGATTGATTTTAAAAGAGCTGTATATAAATCATACTATTCAGAGATATTTTCTTCTAGATTTTTCCATACCTATATAACTTTTACAAAATTCAAATCACCATATGCTTTTTTCATGTGACCATTATGCCATATACATTTTCAATGTCAAAGATTTTTTAATATAATATGTTTCAGTTTATCTTAAAATAATATTATTTTTCTAATTATGTAACCAATACACATGTATTGCAGACAACTTGGAAAACCCTAAAAAGCAAATAAAAATCACTGGTGCTCATACCACACCAAGATAATCACAGCGAATATCTTTCCTTACGGTTTTTTCCATGCATTTATGTGTTTTGTAAGTAATAATAACTATCACTTTTGGAATGTGTCCTATGTACCAAACGCTATTCTGAAAACTTTTAGTCCTCCGAACAACCATATGAAGTGGATATTATTATAATCTCTGTTTACTTTGGGGAAACTGAGGGACATTTGGTTAAGAAACTTGCCCTAGATCACACAACTATTAATGGTAGAGGTGAGATTGGAACACAGACAATCTGTTCCATGGACTACACTCTTATTCCTGACACAAGACTGCCTCTCTCTGAGCCAAAAGAGACCATTTTAATTTAGAAACATATATTTAAAATTTAACACCACCATATTTCATTTAATCTGACACCATCTATTGCAAGTCGCACCATCATTTTATGGATCACTAAGGAAGAAAAAAAAGCTGCCAATTATAATTGTAAGATGCCATTGAATTTAATATATATCTCAATTTCAGAGATGTTAAGATGTGAAAAATGTGCTTTTAAGAAAATACGAAATCCCATATGTGATGAATATTCTGTCATTGTTTTACAATACCATTTAAAAGCTCCATATAGTATTGCAGCATGTACCTACACCCCGATTTGGTACAGTCCCTTATTTTTCCCCGTTTTTTTCTAAACCAAAAATAATAATTAGGAATAATACTTTGTGGACCTAAATACTTCTGTACATCTCCAATTAATTCCTTAGAATAAATTCCTGTTGTATAATTGCTGTCAAAAAGTGTAGATGTTTTTACTGTTTTTCATGTTGTGGATTTGGCGGAGGACATTTTACTGGTTACCGTTCTTACTTTCAATATATATGTACCCATTTTACCTTACTCTTATGAGTAAGAACTTATTTTGAACTTTTTTCTCTTCTGATAAACTCAATTGTCCCCCACCCCAAGTGCCTTAAAATGAAAGCATTCTAGAGTTTACATTTGTATCTAATAAAGAAATGCCTTAAATAAACTTTTGAAAAGCAATTTTCAAAATAGTTATAGGTTATATTTGTTGGGAAAAAAAGACATTTTAATTGAAACTATAGGACCAATTTTCAAACTTTATCATGCCTTACAATGTTTTATTCCTGTGACTCCCTTTTTCACTGCCCCATCCAACCTCCATCCCATTGTTTATTTATTTCAGTTATTGTACTTTTTGGTTCTGGAATTTCTCTTTGGTTCTTTTTATAATTTACATTTCTCTGTCGAGGTTCCCTATCTGTTCACTCATTAAGTGTCTTAGTCCATTTGGGCTGCTGTAACAGAATACCACAGATTAGGTGGCTTATAATAACAGAGATTTATTGCTCAGAGTTCTGGGAGGCTGGGAAGCCTGGAAGCAAGGCACCAGCAGATTTAATGTCTGGTAAGGGCCTGCTTCTTGGTTCAAAATGTCCATCTTCTCCTCATATGGTTACAGGAAAGAGTATTTCTCTGGGGTCTCTTTTATAAGGGCATTACTCCTATGTGTGAGGGCTCTACCTTTATGACCTAATCACCTCCCACAGACCCTACCTCCTAATACCATCACCATGGGGATTAGATGCCAACATACACATTTTGGGGAGACAAACATCCAGTCCATATGATTAAATAAGATCTCCTTTTCCTTTACATCTTTGATGATGTTTTCTTTGCATTCTTTGGACATGTTTAAAATAACTGACTTAGAATCTTTTAAATCAAAAATCTGGGCCATCGTATGTTTGACTTCTATTGACTGGTTAAAAAAATTTTTTTTATACTGTGGATCACATTTTTCTTTTCTTTTAATTAATTTATTTTGAGACAGTGTCATGCTCTGTCATCCAGGCTAGAGTGCAGTGACATGATCACAGCTCACTGCATCCTTGAGACCCTGGGCTCAAACAGTCTTCCTGCCTCAGTCTCTTGAGGAGCTAAGACTGCAGGTGCAGGCGTGTGCCATCACGCCTGGCTTTTTTTTTTTTTTTAATTTCTATGCCAGAGATTTTTGAATTGAATGTTAAATATATGGGAAATATGTCATTCTGATTCTAGATTCTGTTGTATTCCGAAAAGTGTTGATTCTTGTTGTAGAAGACAATTCACTTGCTGAATCCTTTAAACTTGCCTAGACTTTATTTTATGCTTTGCTAGTGCATATTTGTTGAAAATCCAAGTTATTTCCTAAGCCTCTGTAGCTTTGAAAGATTCAACCTCCAAAATTTGTGTCTTTTGCAGATCATGTTGGGACTTAGTTTCAGGTTGTCTTAACATGTGTCTAGAGTGTGTTTGATGAGAGAATGATCCTTTCTTTTGAGGCATCGTCTTTTTGGTGTATCAGACACCTATCAGGACTGTTAGCAAATGCTTTCCACTCTGGCAGTCCAAACTCCAGTAGTTCATGGAGCTGCTCTGTCTCTCCAGCTCTGCTTCACATCTAGTAACTCTATTCTATCCTGAAGCACAAAGCAACCTAATCTGCTGTGCCATTGCCATCTTGAAAGCTGGCTTTTAGCCAGGACTCACAGGAGAATATATGTATCAATAAATACAGCATGGTTTTCTGCTGTGGACTCAGAGGAGTGTCCCACAACTTGGACTTCTATGGCCCCTTCTGCACAGCCTCTTCATGTTTCACACCCTATCCTGCAGATTCTAGGCATTTTATTTGCTCTGAGTTATGATCTCTGCCTGCACAATTCAGCTGGAGCATCATGCTTTGCTTGGACTCCAGGTCTTTATTCTATGGGTGGGAAATTTTTCCCAGGCAGCAGGTGGGAGCAACAGCAATGATTGCCTTGTGAGTTTTGCCTCTTTTGTGATTGCAGCCTCGTATTGTCTCTGGCTGTTGCCTGAAAACAGTTGCTTCATGTATTTTGTCTAGCTCTATAGTTGCTTACTGTGGGAAGTTTAGTTCAGTACCAGTTATTTACTTCATCATCTGGAGAAATGTGTTTTACATGGTCTGAATTTGCATTGTTGAAAACTTACCCTGTGGTCTCATACCTTAGAATTATGCTCAGTGCCACTGTGGTTTTATTAACTCATTAAATGATCTTAAAATCTCTATGAGGTAGGTATATTTTTATCTCCATTTGATATATGAGGAACCTGAGGCACAGAGAGGTTAAGAAACCTGCCCACAGCCACACAGCTAGAGAATGAACATTTCTGGGCTATATATAGACTAAGAAGTAATGTATATTCAGAGTGGCTTTCTTTTTTATTATCTGTTTTGCTGGGTGAAAATCTAATTTCTTTTTGCTCTTTTGATAGCTTTTGAGTAGCTCAATATATGATAGCTAACTCTTACTCTTCATTATTGAAATATAAAATTCCATCATTATCCCATTCAAAATTACTTATGGAGAGTAGAACCAATTACAATTTGGGACCAGAAACCACTTTGAGGGATTATAATTCTTTCACTGAATGTACAGTCCAGGAGGGCACTTAGCTGTTCACCTGTTTTAAACACTACTATTTCCTCCTGCTTAGAAGACTGCCTGCAAAGAAATGTGCATTTAATAAATATTTGCTGAAGAAGTGAATAAACAACATTCTAATATTTTGTTTAAGTTCATTAATACATAAGGACACATAAGGACCACATTTTAAACCTCCATTACTTAAAAGCTAATTATGCTTCTCTCACGAATGTAAAGGATAACTTCTCTGTATTTCATATTTTTCACCTGCTATAAATTCTTGTTTTTTATTTAATTCTTTTTGATACCTTTATCTTTGGCTTTACACAAATATTACTTCTCATGTTAGAAAGTGCTAATAACAAGCCTTATTTTAAGGATAATCTGAGATTGGTATCATATTAGAGACTTCTCACTGCTTTGCCTTAAATAATAATACAGATACAAAAATAAGTGCATTTGGACTTATCCAGATAAGTCCAAAGATAAGATAAGTGCAGCATAGTTACAAAATGCATGCTGGCTTTAACAATTTATCCCATCTGACAGCTTTGAATTGCAAAGGCAGAGAATGCCTTTAATATTATTTGTATTTTTGACCAAAGAACTACTACACTTGTGTAAGTTTTTCTCCTATGTGCCTTATCTTTTCAATAGTTTCTAAATATTGCCACTGTTCCATGGTGCTGGCTACTGAGACTTTTTAATGAAATCTTAGTTTCAAAGCATGAAATCCCAAAGGCCCCATTGTCTAGGGAGGAAGGAAACCCAGCACATAGTTTGTGTAGTCACAGAAGGGAAAGCTCTGAAATATGGTCATGTACTTTTGTATTTGGGAAAATGGTCAAACCAGCCTGGGCCCGCATAAGACTGGCAACTAAAGGCAGACAGCGTGAGTCTGTGTACATGTGTCCCTGCAAGAGTGGGGAATCCTTTGCAAAAAGATCCTCACATCTTGGACTACCAGTTTTGGAAGCTATCATCCTGTTAGTTTTTCTTTAACTTTCTGTCTTGTTGGAGGAAATGTTATTTTGTTTATTAATTGGGAAGAGGCTGTTTGGGTTACTAATAGCCAAAGAGTAAGCAACAAATGCTTAGTCAATAAGAAAATGGCATAAAACTAGATACACATTTACTTAGCAGCAGATGCATCTAACAAGATTATTTAGATAGAATTTGTAACACTCAGGATATTTTAGAAAAAAATTATGGAAAATGATACAGAACTTTGTGACATTTTTTGCATAAGGTAAATAAGAAGACATGATAAAGAAATAAACATGAAAGAAAATTCAAATGAAACAGAGGCCTTATTAAAAGGAAACTGGCAATATGTAGACAAAATCAAATCAAATCAAAGTAACGGGAATTATCCATCTTCCTGAGGACAAACAGCCCACACTAATCTTTGTACAAAGTAAGCCTTTGGACAGCTAGCATTCTATTATTATCATTCTTTTCCACTTTGCATTTATCATGTACAAGCCACATGAAGATGGTGGGTGAGAAAGTTTCCAAGTTTTGGATGAGTTTTGGAATCATCTTTGGCTCTTCTCCCTCACAGTCCATATCCAGCCCACCAGGAAGTCCCATGGGCATTATTCAAATTAAATCACTGGCCAGGCACTGTGGCTCACGCCTGTAATCCTGGCACTTTGGGAGTCTGAGGCGGGTGGATCACCTGAGGTCATGAGTTCGAGAGCAGCCTGGCCAACATGGCAAAACCCTGTCTTTACTAAAAATACAAATATTAGCTGGGCCTGGTGGCTCATGCCTGTAATCCCAGCTACTCGGGAGGCTGAGGCAGGGGAATCACTTGAACCTGGGAGACGGAAGTTGCAGTGAGCCAAGATTGTGCCACTGCAATCCAGCCTGGGCGACGGAGCAAGACTCTGTCTCAAACAAACAAATTTGATCACTTCTCACCATCACCGCCATGGCTGCTGTTAGGAGCTCCATCATCTCTCACCTGAGTTATGCAGTAGTTGCTTTCAAGGTCTCTCTGCATTTACCCTTTCCCTTACCAACTATTTATTAAATATTTAATTTTTTTTTGAGACAAAGTCTCACTCTGCTCCCCAAGCTGGAGTGCAGTGACATGATCTCGGCTCACTGCCACCTCCACCTCCCAGGTTAAAGTGATTCTCCTGCCTCAGTCTCCCGAGCAGCTGGGACTACAGGCATGTGCCATTATGCCCCACTAATTTTTGTATTTTTAGTAGAGACGGGGTTTCACTATGTTGGCCAGGCTTGTCTTGAACGCCTCACCTCGTGATCTGCCTGCCTTGGCCTCCCAAAGTGCTGGGATTACAGGCATGAGTCACTGCACCCGGCCCCTTAAATGTTTAAAATTTGTAATATTTGTGGGTACATTGTAGGTGTATATACTTCTGGGGTACATGCGATGTTTTGATACCATCTATTTTTTTTTTCTTTTTTTTGAGACAGAGTCTCGCTCCGTCGCCCAGGCTGGAGTGCAGTGGTGCCATCTCGGCTTACTGCAAGCTCCGCCTCCCAGGTTCACACCATTCTCCTGCCTCAGCCTCCCGAGTAGCTGGGACTACAGGCGCCCGCCACCACGCCTGGCTAATTTTTTGTGTTTTTAGTAGAGACGGGGTTTCACTGTGATAGCCAGGATGGTCTCGATCTCCTGACCTTGTGATCCGCCCGCCTTGGCCTCCCAAAGATACCATATATTTTTTAATGCAGCTTTTGGAGTGATCCTTGGAAAAGTAAGCCAAATTATGTCACGCCTCTGCTCAAACTCTACAATAGCCATTTGGAAGCATTATATACATATGTCTATAATTATTTTATGTACAAGTATAAACATAATATGGTAATACTTTGCAATGAACTTTTTCTTATTTGATGGATATCTTTCCAATCAATACATATAATGTTGCTTTTTTTTTAAGGCCACACAACAGAATATATACCATACTTTATTTAAACTATTTTGTGCTGATGGAAGTTTAAAATGTTTCAAGGTGTTTTTATTGCAAATCATGATGAAATGAATGCCTTTGTATATGCATCTTTAATTGATCTGTTATTCCGTAGTGCTAGTACATTTCAAAAAGAATTATGAGATCAAAAGACACGCATCTAAAATTTCGAATGCTCCTTTCAAGTTACCCTCTAAAAGGGTTGAATCCTATTCTTTAAATTAGATATTTTGCTTCTCTACATACTGTCATTCTTTATCACTATTTGTTTTGTTTGCAGAGTCAGTATTTGTTCAACTGATGTGGAATGGTGTGTGTTCTAATGGGATGTGACTTTGGGAAAATAAACAACCTTTTCACTGCCATTGGGGATTCTCCACAATTTTGAGACTTTCACAAAATGCCATGTTTAGCAAACTCGGTGTATTTCAGATATCCGGAGAGGCCTGCATTACAACTGGCTGCCTAGGAGAAAGTGACAGCATTGCGCTTATGCTATTGAAGTTAACAGAGAACTTTGTTACTTTAAAGATTTTGTACTCATAGGTTACTCTCCTACGGAAATTCTTTCTCATAGGTATCCTTAAATTCTTCATTGTGACTCAGAGTTGCTATTATAGTAAATGAGTTGTCATGAATTTTGCATTATTGTGATCATTCTTAAGCATCTTTGCATGCTGCCTAAGCTCAGGAGACAGAATTATTTACATATATTTTCAATCTATTTTAGAAAGATATATACACGGCAGCCCAACAACTCATTTATTCTGTGGCCATGATAGGAAAGCCAGGCAAATGTAATGCTATAGTTTCCTTGTTTATTGTAGGTATTCAATGGAATAAACCATAAAATAAATTACTATTTATAAAGGTTTAAAAGTTGGCAGGCGCAAAACTCAATCGAGTTGTTGTTTTGTTTTCTCAGAGGTGAGCAAACTATTTATTTAGTGTCTGTGCTGATGTATTTTATTTGTCAAATGAGTTTCCTTTGTTTAGTTTGGAAATTGTTTTCTTCCACCATTTTATAAGGAATAGCTATTTAAAGCATCCTGGTTTGTATCTTCTACACTCATAGGTACTGCTCCTGACAACTTAACAGGGCAGTTAGTTATTTCAATATGAGCCCAGAGAATGGAGAGTATAAGCAATTATAAAATATAACCATGTCGTTATGCTAAAGATTGGGCAGCAATAAGATAGAACCAGCCAGAAAGAGTGTATACCTGAGATTCTGCTAAATAAGAGGAATCTGGAAAAAACTAATGTTCCAAGAAGGATGGAAGTCAAGAACAGATGAGATGAGATAGGAGGACCTATGGCATAAATCTAAATTAGTGTTTTCCAAGTTTAAGTGATCACAAAATTATATGATGGCATTTGTTAAAAAACATAGTCCAGAATCATACTTTGAGACTCCAATTAAGATGGCCTGGGGAACCTAGGAATCTGTGTTTCGGCAAATGATCTTGCTGCAGATAGTCTAGCTATTGCATGTTGAGAGATACTCAACATCTGAAGAATTCTCTCGTCTATGGGTCAGAGGTTCAACCAGACATCACTATAAGCAGGGCTGTTTCACTCCAAATCTAGACAGAGGATGTTTCTTACATCTAGTTTAACCTGCTGGAAGATTTGAATTATTCTTGCACATGAATCTGAACTGTCATGCAGAGATAGATCTAAATATTAGGACACCCCACATCTTATACCAAGCAAAGTTAAGATCAAATTAATAATTTTAGTTGTGTTGCTTGCCTTTGATATTTGTGACTTGGATACAGGTTTAACATTTAGCAGTTGGTGTAGTGTTCACGTTTACTCAGTTGTTCTTATTTAAGAAGCTATGTTGGTTTTTGGTTTTAAGTCTAAATTCTCCCTACCCAAACATTTATTTGAGATGCTTCCATGTGTATTTCTTTCTTAGACTTACCACATTGTCTTCCAACTGACAGCTTGTTTTCTCAGTAGGAATAGAAAATGATTTTAAGTCAGACAAACTAAAGGACTGGTAGTTGCATGATTGATTGTAAGCAGGGGTTCCAAGCTCAAATGCCTTCAGAAGATGTGTTGGAAGAGGGTGTGTGGAGAACATGAGTGTGAATCAGAAGGGAGTGGCAGAATGTAAAAACTGGCAAGTGGACAACCTGCCTAAAACCATTAAAAAATCAAATGAAGCATCATGTTGCTAAAACAAGGCAGGTCTTCAGAGTACATTCTGCCTGCTGGCCTTCTGTCTATGTCCTTGATTTGAAGTCTTACTTGGTCAAATAGTAGCCTCATCTGAGTTTGTTATAATTTCATGGTGACACTATTCTAACACTGCAGTAGAATGTGGTATGCACATTAGGACAAAAATGACACAACTCAGAAGCTTTGGAGGTATATTGAGAAGAACGAGAATGGGAGGAAGGAACAGAGAGGTAGAGAGAGAAGGGGCAGAGAGGCAGAGAGAGAGAATATGCAATTCATACCCAGTGCTTATTACCTACATGACTTTGAATAAGCTACAATTATTTTTCTTTGATCCTCTGTTTCATGCGTAAAATGGGAATAAAATATCATCTCAGGTAACTGCCTTAAATTTTAAATGAAATAATATTTGTAAAATTTTATACAGTGCTTGATATATAGTAGACACTAAATAAAGTTTGAAAATTGATTTCATGTGGCAGAATGTACTGGGAATGTTCTGAAAAAGATATAATTTCCTCACTGCTGTTACATGTACTTGGTGATGTAAAATGTGATGGAGAGGTGTCTTTTCCTCTGCTTTTGACACAGCTAATGATTAGCAACTTGTCCAAGGCTAAGTTGGAAGTGTCAAAAGGAGATTTCTCACAGCTGAGAATAAAAGTAGATTACATTCTTTGGCTGCCAAATTCAAAGTCACACTCTTTCTGTTTCCCCCCGATCACGCCCTTCTCCCTCTCTTTTTGTAAAATCCAGGGAAGAAACTCACCTCTTTTCCTGAATGACAACTCCACCCAGAAGCTATGGAGTGAACTGCTGCTCTGGGGTCCAGTATAGGGTTGGTGGACACAGTGGGGTCTCTATAAACCAACAGCAGGAGGCTTTAAGAAGGGTGCAGATCCTCTATTGTGCCACATAAAATTGTCAGCATCAGCTTCCTCTGAAAGAGCAAAGTTTGAGTTCCTTCAGCCTTGAAATATTCCTGCAGCCTTGGAGTGGCTGCTTATTTAAATGAGGAATGAACAGATCAATCCCCCCAGCCCAATCTTTTTTTTTTTTTTTTAAACTAATGCCCTATCCCCTCTCTCTTATACATGAGCTCTATGAAAGAATTGGTCACTAATGACAAGGCAAAGGGAGCTGTGAAAAAGGTTGCTGACTTATGATAGAGAGATTTGAATTTGATTATTTTTAGGAGACAAAATTTTAAAAAATATTTTAATTTTAAAATATTTATTCATTTACTTAAATTGACAGAGAAGAAATGTATATATTTATGGAATACAACATAATATTTTGATATATGTTTATATTGTGGAATGGCTAAATCAAGCTAATTAACATATCCATTCCTCACATACTTAGCATTTTTGTGTGGTGAGAATACTTAATATCTACTATCAGCAATTTTCCAATATATAGTCTATTTTTAACTGTAGTCACTATGATATGCAATAGATCCCTTAAACTTATTCCTCCTATATAACTCAAATTTTGGGTCTTTTGACTACTTTCTTTCCAATCCCCCATCCTCCAGCCACTGGCAATTACTATTTTACTCTCTATATGACTTGGAACTTTTTTACACTCCACATGTAAGTGAGATCATATGGTGTTTGTCTTTCTATAATGTTCTCCAGGTTAATCCATGTCATTGTAAATGACAGCACTTTCTTTTTTGTTCATTCGTCTGTTAACAAATACTTAATTCCCTATCTTGTGGATAATGTAATGAAATGAACATGGGAAGGCAGATACCTCTTCAACACACCAATTTCATTTGCTTCAGGTATATATCCAGTAGTGGAATTGCTGGATCATATGGTAGTTCTATTTTTAATTTTTTGAGGAACCTTCATACTGTTTTCCAGGATGTACTAATTCACATTCCCACTAGCAATGTACAAAGATTCCCTTTTCTCCACATCCTCACCAACAAGTGTTAGCGTTCAACTTTTTGGTAGTTGCCATGCTAACAGGTATGAGATATCTCACTGTGGATTTAATTTGCATTTCCCTGATGATTAGGGATGTCAAGCATTTTTTTCAAATACTTATTGACCATTTATATATATTTTGAGAAATGTCTATTCAGGTCTTTAGCCCATTTTCTAATCAGGTTATTTGTTTTTTTATTATTGGGTTGTTTGAGTTCCTTATATACTGTGGATGCTACAATGCCAAGAACACACAATGGTGAAAGGATAGTCTCTTCAATAACGGGTATTGAGAAAACTGAATATCCGCATGTAGAAAAATGAAGTTAGACTCTCTTATCACATCATATACAAAAATCCACTCAAATGGACTGTGTAAGACCTGAAATTGTAGAACTATTATAAAAAACATAAGGGGAAAGCTCCATGGCATTGGTGTGAACAAAGATTTCCTTTGGCTAGGACTGCAAAAGCACAGGCAGCAAAGAATAAGTTCTTTTTTTTTTAATTATTATTATACTTTAAGTTCTTGGATACATGTGCAGAACATGCAGGTTTGTTACATAAGTATACACAGGCCATGGTGGTTTGTTGCACCCATCAACTCGTCATCTACATTAGGTATTTCTCCAAATGCTATCCCTCCCCATGCTATCCCTCCCCTTGCCCCCCACCCCCCAACAGGCCTCGGTGTGTGATGTTCCCCTCTCTGTGCCCATATGTTCTTATTGTTTAACTCCCACTTATGAGTGAGAACATGCAGTGTTTAGTTTTCTGTTCCTGTGTTAGTTTGCTGAGAATGATCATTTCCAGCTTCATCCATGTCCCTGCAAAGGACATGAACTAATTTTTTTATAGCTGCATAGTATTCCATGATATATATGTGCCACAATTTCTTTATCCAGCCTAACATTGATGGACATTTGGGTTGGTTCCAAGTCTTTGCTATTGTCAATAGTGCTGCAATAAACATACGTGTGCATGTGTCATTAGAGTAGAATGATTTATAATCCTTTGATGTGTGGGTATATAATCCCATATACCCAGTAATGGGATTGCTGTGTCAAATGGTATTTCTAGTTCTAGATCCTTGAGGAATCACCACACTGTCTTCCACAATGGTTGAACTAATTTACACTTCCACCAACAGTGTAAAAGCATTCCTATTTCCCCACATCCTCTCCAGCATCTGTTGTTTCCTGACTTTGTAATGATCCCCATTCTAACTGGTGTGAGATGGTATCTCACTGTGGTTTTGATCAGCATTTCTCTAATGACCAGTGATGATGAGCTTTTTTTCATAAGTTTGTTGGCTGCATAAATGTCTTCTTTTGAAAAGTGTCTGTTCATATCCTTTGCCCACTTTTTGATAGGGTTGTTTGCTTTATTCTTAAATTACTCATAGATTCTGGATATTAGCCCTTTGTCAGATGGGTAGATTACAAAAATTTTCTCCCATTCTGTAGGTTGCCTGTTCACTCTGATGATAGTTTCTTTTGCTGTGCAGAAGCTCTTTAGTTTAATTAGATCCCATTTGTCAATTTTGGCTTTTGTTGCCATTGCTTTTGGTGTTTCAGTCATGAAGTCTTTGCCCATGCCTATGTCCTGAGTGGTATTGCCTAGGTTTTCTTCTAGGGTTTTTATGGCTTTAGGTCTTACATTTAAATCTTTAATCCATCTTGAATTAATTTTTGTATAAGGTGTAAGGAAGGGATCCAGTTTCAGCTTTCTGCATTTAGTTAGCCAGTTTTCCTAACACATTTATTAAATAGGGAATCCTTTCCCCATTGCTTTTTTTTGGTCAGGTTTGTCAAAGATGTATGTTGTCATTTCAGAGGCCCATGTTTTGTTCCATTGGTCTATATATCTGTTTTGGTACAAGTACCATGCTGTTTTGGTTACTGTAGCCTTGTATTGTATCATGTATTATATCATGTATTCCTAGGTATTCTCTTTGTAGCAATTGTATTCTCTTTGTAGCAACTTGTTTGAAGTCAGGTAGCATGATGCCTACAGCTTTGTTCTTTTGGGTTAGTATTGTCTTGGCTATTTGGGCTCATTTTGGTTCCATATGAAATTTAAAGTAGTTTTTTCTAATTGTGTGAAAAAAGTCAATGGTAGCTTGATGGGGATAGCATTGAATCTATAAATTACTTTGGGCAGTATGGCCATTTTCACAATATTAATTCTTCCTAGCCACGAGCATGGAAAATTTTTCCATTTGTTTGTGTCCTCTCTTATTTCCTTGAGCAGTGGTTTGTAGTTCTCCTTGAAGAGGTCCTTCACATCCCTTGTAAGTTGTATTACTAGGTATTTTATTCTATTTGTAGCAATTGTGAATGGGAGTTTGCTCATGATTTGGCTCTCTGTTTGTCTATTATTGATGTATAGGAATGCTTGTGATTTTTGTACATTGATTTTGTATACAGAGACTTTGCTGAGTTGCTTACAAGCTTAAGGAGTTTTTGGGCTGAGACGATGGGGTTTTCTAAATATACGGTCATGTCATCTGCAAACACAGATAATTTGACTTCCTTTCTTCCTATTTGAATATCCATTATTTCTTTCTCTTTCCTGATTGCCCTGGCCAGAGCCTCCAATAAATACTATGTTGAATAGAAATGGTGAGAGAGGGCATCCTTGTCTTGTGCCGGTTTTCAAAGGGAATGCTTCCAGCTTTTGCCCATTCAGTATGATATTGGCTGTAGGTTTGTCATGAATAGCTCTTATTATTTTGAGATACATTCTATCAATACCTAGTTTATTGAGAGTTTTTAGCATGAAGGGTCATTGAATTTTATTGAAGGCCTTTTCTGTATCTCTTGAGATAATCATGTAGTTGTCATTGGTTCTATTTATGTGATGGATTATGTTTATTGATTTGTGTATGTTGAACCAGTCTCGCATCCCAGAGATGAAGCCAACTTGATCATGGTGGATAAGCTTTTTGATGTCCTGCTGGATTTGGTTTGCCAGTATTTTATCGAGGATTTTCGCATTGATGTTCATCAGGGATATTGGCCTGAAATTTTCCTTTTTGTTGTGTCTTTGCCAGGTTTTGGTACCAGGATGATGCTGGCCTCATAAAATGAGTTCAGGAGGAGTCCCTCTTTTTCTATGGATTGGAATAGTCTCAGAAAGAACATTACCAGCTCCTCTTTGTACCTCTGGTAGAATTTGGCTGTGAATCCTTTTGGTCCTTGGATTTTTTTTTTTTTTTGGTTGGTAGGCTATTACTGCCTCAATTTCAGAACTTATTACTAGTCTATTAAGGGATTCGACTTCGTCCTGGTTTGGTCTTGGGAAGGTGTATGTGTCCAGGAATTTATCCATTTCTTCTAGATTTTCTAGTTTATTTGCACAGAGGTGTTTATAGTATTCTCTGATGGTAGTTTACATTTCTGTGGAATCAGTGGTGATCTCCTCTCTATCATTTTTTATTGTGTCTATTTGAGTCTTCTCTCTTTTTTTCTTTATTAGTATTGCTAGCGGTCTATCAATTTTGTTGATCTTTTCAAAAAACCAGCTCCTGGATTCATTGATTTTTTGAAGGGTTTTTTCGTGTCTCTATCTCCTTCAATTCTACTCTGATCTTAGTTATTTCTTGTCTTCCGCTAGCTTTTGAATTTGTTTGTCCTTGCTTCTCAGGTTCTTTTAATTGTGATGTTTGGGTGTCAATTTTAGATCTTTCCTGCTTTCTCTTGTGGGCATTTAGTGCTATAAATTTCCCTCTTAACACTGCTTTAGCAGTGTCCCAGAGATTCTGGTTTCTCTGTCTTTGTTCCCATTAGTTTCAAAGAACTTACTTATTTCTGCCTTCATTTTGTTATGTACCCAGTAGTCATTCAGGAGCAGATTGTTCAGTTTCCATGTAGTTGTGTGGTTTTGAGTGAGTTTTTTAGTCCTGAGTTCTGATTTGATTGCATTGTGGTCTGAGACACTGTTTTTTATGATTTCTGTTCTTTTGCATTTGCTGAGTAGTGTTTTACTTGCAATCATGTGGGCGATTTTAGAATAAGTGTGATGTGGTGCTGAGAAGAATGTATATTCTGTTGATTTGGGGTGGAGAGTTCTGTAGATGTCTATTAGGTCCACTTGGTCCAGAGTTGAGTTCGAGTTGTGAATATCCTTGTTAATTTTCTGTCTTGTTGATCTGCCTAATATTGACAGTGGCATGTTAAAGTCTCCCATTACTATTGTGTGGGAGTCTACGTCTCTTTGTAGTTCTCTAAGAACTTGCTTTATGAATCTGGGTGCTCCTGTATTGGGTGCATATATATTTAGGATATTTAGCTCTTCTTGTTGCATTGATCCCTTTACCATTATGTAATACCTTTCTTTGTCTTTTTTGATCTTTCTTGGTTTAAAGTCTCTTTTATCAGAGACGAGGATTGCAACCCCTGCTTTTATTTTTTGCTTTCCGTTTGCTTGGCAAGTCTTCCTCCATCTTTTTATTTTGAGCCTATGTGTGTCTTTCCCCATGAGATGGGTCTCCTGAATACAGCACACTGATGAGTCTTGATTCTTTTTCCAATTTCCCAGTCTGTGCCTTTTAATTGGGACATTTAGCCCATTTACATTTAAGGTTAATATTGTTATGTGTGAATTTGATCCTGTCATTATGATGCTAGCTGGTTATTTTGCCCATTAGTTGATGCAGTTTCTTCATAGTGTTGATGGTCTTTACATTTTGGTTTGTTTTTGCAGTGACTGGTACTGGTTTTCCTTTCCGTATTTAGTGCTTCTTTCAAGAGCTCTTGTAAGGCAGGCCTGGTGGTGACCAAATCTGTCAGCCTTTGCTTTTCTCCTGTAAAGGATTTTATTTCTCCTTTACTTATGAAGCTTAGTTTGGCTGGATAGGAAATTCTGGTTGAAAATTCTGATCTTTAAGCATGCTGAATATTGGCTCCCACTCTCTTCTGGCTTGTAGGATTTCTGCAGAGAGATCTGCTGTTAGTCTGATTGACTTCCCCTTGTGGGTAACTCAACCTTTCTCTGGCTGCCCTTAACATTTTTTCCTTCATTTCTACCTTGGTGAATCTGACGATTATGTGTCTTGGGGTTGCTCTTCTTGAGGAGTATCTTTGTGGTGTTCTCTGTATTTCCTGAATTTAAATTTTGGCCTGTCTTGCTATGTTGGGGAAGTTCTCCTGAATAATATCCTGAAGAGTGTTTTTCAACTTGTTTCCATTCTCCCTGTCACTTTCCAGTACACCAATCAAATTCAGGTTTGGTCTTTTCACATAGCCCCATATTTCTTGGAGGCTTTGTTCATTCCTTTTCATTTTTTTTTCTAATCTTGTCTTCACACTTTATTTAATTAAGTTGATCTTCAATCTCTCATATCCTTTATTCTGCTTGATTGTTTCTGCTATTGATACTTGTGTATGCTTCATGAAGTTCTTGAGCTGTGTTTTTCAGCTCCATCAGGTCATTTATGTTTTTCTCTAAACTGGTTATTCTAGTTAGCAGTTCCTCTCACCTTTTATCAAGGTTGTTAGCTTCCTTGCCTTGAGTTAGAACATGCTCCTTTATCTCAGAGGATTTTGTTACTACCCACCTTCTGAAGCCTATTTCTGTCAATTCATCAAACTCATTCTCCATCCAGTTTTGGCAAGGAGTTGTGATCCTTTGAAGGAGAAGAGGCATTCTGGTTTTTAGAATTTTCAGGCTTTTTGTGATTGATTTTCCTCATCTTCGTGGATTTATCTACCTTTGGTCTTTGTTGTTGGTGACCTTCAGGTGGAGTTATTGCACAGTCATCCTTTTTGTTTATGTTGATGCTATTGCTTTCTGTTTGTTAGTTTTCCTTCTAACAGTCAGGCCCCTCTTCTGCAGGTCTGCTGGAGTTTGCTGGGGGTCCACTCTAGACCCTGTCTGCCTGCCTGGGTATTACTAGCAGAAGCTGCAGAACAGCAAAGATTGCTGCCTGTTTCTTCTTCTGGAAGCTTCGTCCCAGAGGGACACCCACCAGATGCCAGCCAGGGCTCTCCTCTATGAGGTGTCTGTCCACCCCTACTGGGAGGTGTCTCCCTATCAGGAGGCACGGGGGTCAGGGACCCACTTGAGGAGGAAGTCTGTCCCTCAGCAGAGCTTGAGCACTGTGCTGGGAGATCTGCTGTTCTCTTCAGAGCTGGCAGTTAGGAATGTTTAAGTCTGCTTAATTTATGCCCACAGCCACCCCTTCCCCCAGGTGCTCTGTCCCAGAGAGATGGTAGTTTTATCTGTAAGCCTCTGACTGGGGCTGCTGCCTTTTTTTCAGAGACGCCCTGCCCAGAGAGGAGGAAGCTAGAGAGGCAGTCTGGCTACAGTGGCTTTGTGGTGCTGTGGTGGGCTCTGCCCAGTCTCAACTTCCTGGTGGCTTTGTTTACACTATGAGGGAAAAACCATCTACTCAAGCCTCAGTAATGGCAGATGTCCCTCCACCTACCAACCTTGAGCATCTCAGGTCAACTTCAGACTGCTGTGCTGGTGGTGAGAATTTCAAGCCAGTGGATCTTAGCTTGCTGGGCTCTGTGGGGGTGGGACCCACTGAACAAGACCACTTGGCTCCCTGGCTTTAGCCCCTTTTCCAGGAGAGTGAATGGTTCTTTCTCGCTGGTGTTCCAGGTGCCACTGGGGTATGAAAAAAAAAAAAACTCCTGCAGCTAGCTTGGTGTCTGCCCAAACAGCCTCCCAGTTTTGTGCTTGAATCCCAGGGCCCTGGTGGTGTAGGCACATGAGGGAATCTCCTGGTCTGTGGGTTGTGAACACCATGAGAAAAGCATAGTATCTGGGCCAGATAGCACTGTCCGTCATGGCACGGTCCCTCACGGCTCCCCTTAGCTAGGGGAGGGAGTTCCTTGGCCCCTTGTGCTTCCTGGGTGAGACAATGCCCCACTCTGCTTCTGCTAGCCCTCCGTGGGCTGCACCCACTGTTTAACCAGTCCCGGTGAGATGAACCAGGTACCTCAGTTGGACCTGCCTTCTGAGTTGGTCTCACTGTGATTTGCAGACCGGAGCTGTTCCTTTTCATCCATCTTGCCTGGGAATGCTTTTTTCAAGATCTTAGAGGTCATTTCTAAGGAAAAGTTATCTTTATATTCACCAAAATGCAAATGAGAGTATCAATAACTAGAGATGTTCTCACAACACTAGCCAAATCCTAAATTAATGAGCTGGATAATTCATTACATTTAGTAGACTTCCATACTGTCGTGATCTAAATTGATCACTTCTAGCTTTTGGCATTGACAAATCAGTTCCATTTATTTTGTAATATCTGCAAGGGTTATTCTTAGACTCCCTTATAATTTGTTAAATGAAAAGAATAATGGTAGATTTGTTTTTCCTTTGGTTCACACCAAGTAACCTTAATATATCTCCGTATATACCATAAATTGAAATAAACTTACAAATAGCTGTTTTTACAAAACTCATTCTATGGAATCCTTCTCCCAAGAGTCCAGCAAAATGACTTTTAAAGCTTAGGATTTCTTTAAACCTTATTTTTTCAAGTCATATAATTTACTATCACCTAGAGTTTGCCTAATCACAGTGTGAAGACCAAATCCAGCTCGCCACATGATTTTGTAAATAAAGTCATAATGGACAGCTGTGCTCATTTGTCTACCTATTGTCAGTGGCTATTTCTGCACTACAGCAACAGAGTTGAGTGGTTATGACAGAAACGACATGGCCTGGAAAGCTTAAATTATTTACTACCTAGCCCTTCAAGAAAAAGTACTCCAACACTGACAAATCACAAAAACAAGCAAGGAGAATTACTTATTTATTTACACAAATTTATAGGATACATATGAAATGTTGTTACATATATGAAATACATAGTGATCAAGCCAAGGTATTAAGGATGTTTGTCACCTGAGTACAATGCATTTTTGTTAACTATAGTCACCCTACTGTGCTATCAGACATTAAACTTATTCCTTCTATCAAACTGTATATTTGTACCTTTTAACACCTTTGCCTTCATCCTCCCTTCTCCCCCCACTCACCTTTCATAGTTTTTGTTATCTATCTTTCCTCTCTCTACCTTTGTGTTACCAAGTTTTTTAGCTCCCACATGTAAGTGGGAACATGTGATATTTGTCTTTTTGGGCCTGACTTATTTCACTTAAGATAATAACCTCCAGTTCCATCCATGTTGCCACCAATTACATGACTCCATTCTTTTTTATGGCTGAATACTATTCCATTGTATGCATATATATATCACATTTAAAAAATCTATTCTTCCATTGTTGAACACTTTGGTTGATTCCATGTTTTTGCTGTTGTGAATAGTGCTGCAATAAACATGCAAGTGCAGGATATCCCTTTGGTATATTAATTTCTTTTTTGGGAGGTAGATGTCCAGCAGTGAGATTGCTGGATTAAGTGGCAATTCTATTTTTAGATTTGTGAGGAACTTTCCCACTGTTTTCCCTAGTGGCTATACTAGTTAACATTCCCACCAACAGTGTATAAGAGACGCCTTTTCTCTGCATCCTTGCCAACGTTCATTATTTTTTGTAATTTTTTATGTATTTGTATATTTTTGTATATTTTGTATATTTTTTGTATTCTTTAAAATAGCCATTCTGACTGGAATATGATTATCTCTCTTGTGGTTTTGATTTGCATTTTTGTGGTGATTAGTGACACTGAACATTTCTTCATATGCCTGTTGGCCATTTGTATGTCTTCTTTTGCAAAATGTCTACTCATATCTTTGTCTACTTTTAATGGGTTTATTTGCTATTTTTCCTGCAGAGTGGTTTGAGTTCCTTGTATATTCTGAATATTGGTCACCTGTCAGATGAATAGTTTGCAAATATTTTCTTCCTTTCAACAGGTTGCCTTTTCACTCTATCAATTATTTCTTTGGCTGTGCAGGAACTTTTTGGTTTAATTAAGTCCTATTTGTTTATTTTTTTTGTTGTTGCCTGTGCTTCTGAGGTCCTAGTTATAAACTCTGCCTAGACCAATGTCCAGGAGAGCTTTCCCTAGGTTTTCTTCAAGAATTTTTATAGTTTGAGGTCTAACCTTTAAGTCTTTAATCTCTCTTAACTTTTGTATATGGTGAGTCATAGTGGTCCAGTTTCATTCTTCTTCATGCAACTATCAAATTTTACCAGCACTGTTTATTAAAAAGGGTGTCCTTTCCCCAGTATAAGTTCCCATCAGTTTTGTTGAAGATGAGTTGGTTGTAAATAAGTTGCTTTACTTCTCGGTTCTCTATTCTGTGCAATTGGTCTATGTGTCTATTTTTATACCAATACCATGCAATTTTGGTTACTATAGCCTTGTACTGTATTTTGAAGTCAGGTAATGTGATGCCTACAGTTTGTTTCTTTTTGCTATTAAGGCTCTTTTTTGGTTCCATATGAATTTTAGAATTGTTTTTCTTACCTTGTAAAGAATGTCATTGGTATTTTGATAGGGATTATATTGAATCTGTAGATTCCTTTGTGCAATATGAGCATTAATTATATTTAACAAAATTAATTCTTCTGATGAGCATGGCCTCTTTCACCTCCTTGGTTAGATTTATTTCTAGGACTTTAAATTTTTTAGATATTTCTTTCTTGGCTAGACCATTATTGCTGTATAGAATCACTACTGATTTTTGTACACTGATTTTATATCCTACGACTTTACTGAATTCATTTATCAAATCTAGGAGTTTTGGGTGGAGATGCTAGGTTTTTCTGATGCAAAATCATATCATAAACAAAGAGGGACAGTTTGACTTCTTCTTTTCCGATTTGGATGCCTGTTATTTCTTTCTCTTATCTGATTCCTCTAGCCGGAACTTTCAGTACTATGTGGAATAGGGGTGGTGAAAGTGGGCATTCTTGTTTTGTTCTGGTTCTTAGAGAAAAAGGCTTCAACTGTTCCCCATTCAGTATGATGTTAGATATGGGTTTGTCATATAAGCCTATTTATTATTTTGAGGTATGATCCTTCTGTGCCTAGTTTGTTGAGAGTTTTGTCATGAAGGAATGTTGAGTTTTCTCAAACACTCTGCATCTATTGAGGTGATCATATAGTTTTTGTTCTTCATTTGTTGATGTGGTGAATCACATTTATTGATTTGCATGTGTTGATCCATCCTTGCATCCCTAAGATGAAACTCACTTGATTGCAGTAAATTAACTTTTTGATGTGCGGCTGGATTCAGTTTGCTAGCATTTTGGTAAGGATTTTTATGTCCTTGTTCATCAGGGATGGCCTGTAGGGTGTATGTGTGAGTGTATAGGTGTCCTGGTCAGGCTTTGGTATCAGGTTGATGCTGGCCTTGTAGTATGAGTTAGGGGGAATTCTTTCCTCTTCAATTTTTTGGAATAGTTTCAGAATGACTGGTATTAGTTCTTCTTTGTACATTTGATAGAATTTGCTGTGAATTCATCTGGGCCTGGGTTTTTCTTTGTTGGGAGACTTTTACTACTGATTCAATCTTGTTGCTCATTATTGGTCTGTACAGGTTTTCTATTTCTTCCTGATTCAATGTTGGTAGGTTTTGTGTCTTCAGAAATTTATCAATTTCCTCTAGGTTTCCAGTTTGTCAGCAAATAGATGTTCATGGCATATAGTTGTAATATCTTCTTTTTTATTTTTGATTTTTTTTGAGTTTTCTTTCTTCTTAGACTAGCTAGTGTTTGATCAATCTTGTTTACTTTTCCAAAGAAAAAACTTCTCATCATTGATCCTTTGTATTTTTAAAGTCTCTATTTCATTTAATTCTGTTGTTATCTTTATTTTTTTTATTCTGCTAATTTGGAGTTTGATTTGTTCTTGCTTTTCTAGTTCCATGAGGTGCATTGTTAGATCATTAATTTGTAATCTTTCTATTTTTTGAGGTATGCATTTACTGCTATAAACTTCCCTCTTAGCTTGTGCTGTATCCCACAGGTTTTGGTATGTTATGCTTCCATTTTCATTTGTTTTAAGAATTTTTGATTTCCATCTTAATTTCTTCATTGACTCAATGGTCATTCAGGAACGTGTTGCTTAATTTCCATGTATAGTTCCAAAGTTTCTCTTGGTGTTAATTTTTAGTTTTATTTCACTCTGGTCTGAAAAAAATATTTAATATTATTCCAATTAAAAATTTTTTTTGAGAGTTGTTTTTTGACCTAACCTATGGTCTAATCTGGAGAATGTCCATGTGCCGATGAAAAGAATACATCTTCTGCAGTTGTTGGATAGAATGTTCTGTAAACGTCTGTTCAGTTCATTTGGTGTAAAGTCCAGTTTAAATCCACTTTTTCTTTGTTTTCTGTTTAGATAATGGCTGACTCTGAGAAAGGGATGGTGAAGTTCCTCACTATTATCATATTGCAATTTATCTCTCGTTACATCTAGTAACATTTATTTTATAAATCTGAGTACTCCTGTGTTGGGTGCATATATATTTGAAATTGTTATGCACTTCTGCTGGATTGATCCCTTTATCATTACTAGTGACCTTCTTTTTCTTTTCTTTTTTTTACTAGTTTTGATTTAAAGTCTATTTTATCTGACATAAGTGTAGCTACTCCTGCTTGTTTTTGGTTTCCATTTGCATAGAATATCTTGTTCTATCACTTTACTTTCAGTCTACATGTGTCTTTACTGGTAAGGTGAGTTTCTTATAAGGAGTATATACTTGGATAAGTTTTAGAATTCATTCATCTATTCTATCTTTTAAGTAGAAAATTTAATCCATTTATATTCAAGGTTATTGATATGTGAGACTCTGTTCCTGTCATATTGTCCATGTTTTCTGGTTATTTTTTGCATTCTTTGTTCCTTTTTTCCCCTTTTATTGCTTATTGTTGTGGTCTGGTGGACTTCTGTAGTAGAACCATTTGAGTACCTTTTTTCTCCTCTCTGTGATTGCTTTAGCAGTGAGGTTCATACTTTCATGTGTTTTTGTGATGGTAAATGTCATCCTTTTACTTCCAGGTTTAGGATTCCTTGAGCATTTCTTGTTGGACCAGTATAGTGATAATCAATTCCCTCAGCATTTGCTTGTCTGGAAAAGAACCTTACTTTTTCTTCAATTAGGAAGGATAGTTTTGCTGGATATAGTATTCGTAACTATCAGTCTTTTTTTTTTTTCTTTCAGCACTGAATATATCATCCCATTCTCTTCTGGTCTATACAGTTTCTGCTGCGAAATCCACTGTTACCTGATGTAGTTTCCTTTATAAATGACTAGATGCTTTTTACTTGCTGTTTTTAGGATTCACTCTTTATCTTTTGACTTTAGAAAGTCTAATCATGATGTGGCATGGAGAAGTCCTTTTTGCATTTTACCTGCCTGGGGAATCTCTGAATTTCCTGTATCCAAATGTCTAAATGTCTTGTTTGACTTGGAAAGTTTTCATCTATTAATTTACTAAATAACTTTTATAATACTTTCATTTTCTCTTTGCTCTCATGGATACCAATAATTCAGATATTCTTTTGCTTATGTTATCCTAAATGTCATGAAGATTTTGCTCATTCTTTTGTCTTTTTTCTTGATTTTTTTCTAGATAGGTGATTTCCAAAAACCCTGTCTTCAAGTTCTGAGGTCCTTTCTTCTGCTTAATCTAGTCTATCATTGAAGTTTTCATGTGTTTTGTTTTTTTAATGAATTCTTTAGTTCCAGAATTTCCATTTGATTCTTTTTAAAAAATATCTATGTCTTTGCTAAATTTCTCATTCATATTCTGAATTGTTTTCTTGATTTACCTGTATTTTTTCTGAATTACTTTGTATCTCACCGATCTTATTTTAAGTCAATATTTTGAATTATTTATCTTGAAGATAAATAATAAATTCTTAACCAGAATTTCTTTCTGGTTGAGATCTATTGCTGGAGAATTATTGTGTTCCTTTGGAGGTGTCATATTTTCTTGCTTCTTTGTGTTTCCTGTGTCCTTACATTGATGTTTGTGCATCTGCTGTAACAGTCACTTTTTCCTATTTTTGAATTTATGTTCATAGGGGAAGTCCTTTTCCTGAAGATATGGATATGATATTGGTTGGCCAGGGCACTTTCACTTTGATTCTGGGTATGTGCAGTAGTATAGAGTATAATCTCTGTAGGATTTTGGGGAGGCATAAACAGCATCAGTGGTGTCTGTGATTTCCTTAGTGGGTTAGGGTGTGGTTACTAGCAGAGACTATGGTGAGGTTGTGCTGAGGACAGAAATGCCACGTGGGCCAGTCTTTAGTCCCCAGTGGTGATAACAGTGGACTAAGCATGCCTGTCCTTGTGCCTCATGGGAGTTTCCACTGGTCACATTGTTAGTAGTTACCAGTGGGCAGATTCTTGGGTCTCCAGATGGCTTGCTCAGATGCCAATTATAGCGGCCATGGACCAGGTGGGTGGGTGAGTTCCCTGGCCTTAGGAAGCCAGTGTGGTGTGGGCAATGACAGTAGCAGTGGCAGGATAATTCTCTGGGTCCCAAGTGATGTACAATGATGTTGGCAGTGACTGCAGTTAGCTGGGTGGGCGAGTCTCCAGGCCCATGGGTGTTGCTTGCAGGTAGTTATCAGCTGAGACGGTAATAGCTGGGAGTTTAGGCCCAGCCTCAGGCCCCTGGGAAGAGTGCTCAAGTGTCCAACATGGTGGATTGAGTTGGGCAATCCCTAGGAGCCCAGGCTATGTGCTCTATCTAAGAGGAGAATAAAGCTGGGTTTTGCAGGTTTATGCTCAGAACCACCCCCTCCCCGTAGTGAGATTAGGTACCAGCCATGGTTGGCAGTGATAGGGTAATACCCAGGTCACAAGCAGAGTGCTCAAGTGAGGGGCAATAGCAGCTGTGCTGAGGCCCTGCCATTGGGGAGAGTGGGGCTGGCCTCAATGGCCATAGCCCAGGCTGGCAAGTGGGGAATGCCTATCTCTCTCATGTTCTAGTGCCAGTGGGGCTTGCCCCCTAGCCCTGGTGGTGATAACCTGTGCATAGCTTGTGCCTCAGCCCCAGCTGCTAGAGCCCTTGCCTAGCTTACAACTAAGTTCCAGTGGCAACTTGCACTGGCATCACAGTCTCAGTCCCAGTAATGCTTGCTTCCCATCACCAGCAGCTGTAGCCCACATCTCACTTGCTTCTCAGCCCCAGCTGCATGACTGCTCCAAGGTTATGCCCCAGTTTCAGCAGCAATAGCCCAAATTTCTGTAATACCTCAATTCCCACACTGCTGTGCCCCAGTGCAGTCTGCCAAAGGCTAGGTTTGAAAATGGTGCCCTGCTGTGGCCACATTAGGTCTAAGAAAGGTCTTAGAAAGGGTGTGGGACTCAGCCTGAGCTCCCTCCCTGGAGCAGTTCTGTCCCATAGCCTCCTAGAAGCTCCCTGTGTTAGTTTCATGGGTTGGGAGGCTTGGGGGAGGGGCTCTCCCATGGCCAGGATTTCATGATTCTATGGTGGGAATGTGGGCCCCTGGGATGTCTCTCACTTACCCTTTCCCCACTTTGTGAAGTCACTCCAGAGAATTGTTATTCCGTCAAAATGAGACAGCGAACTTCAAATTTGAGGTAATCTCCTTGTATTAAACTAGGTGGCAAAATCAAGGTGACCAAATTGAGAAGAAAATGTCCCTTCCATCAAACTCTACTCATTTTTAAAAAGCCTTGTTTTTCAGATTTAAAAGCCACAAATATTGTGTCATAGATATGATCAGCAGGTAACAGAAAAAACACAGCAACAACGACCAAAGACATTTGAGTAGTCAAATGTTTGGAGCTTTGAAGATTTCCAAACCCCTAGCTTTGCAAGTTGTTTTCCTTGACTCTATATTACTTCAGTCCCCATGCACCTAACTGCAATCAGAGTCATATTGAATGAGGACGTAGAGATGCATAGTTACTTGGCATGCAAAGGCTAGAATTGAGCAAGTTTGAGTCAGATGGTAGCTGGAATTTGCAGCTAAAACAACTTGGCCTGAGGCTGTCAGGGCCAAACAGTACAGTTCTTAAAATGTAATTCCTGAAAGAACTTACTCTTTATCAAGAAGTCAAAGTAGAAATTAGGCTAACCACTCTTCTGTTCCATCTAGTGATTCTACCCAGTATCATTTCTTGCAAACCATGTGCCAGATTGTCTATCTGCCAAGGCACACTTGAACTCACGTTCTAGCTCTCAAATGAGTTTGTGATTTCAGGACAAAATACAGGCTGGAATTCTTGGCATTGGCACTATCCACTTAGCTCCAAGTGACCATGGGCTATTACATAATTTTAATGTGTATTTGCACACTCTTCGAAGTGCATTCAAAACTCACTGGAACTGGCATTGTTATTAAAACAATGCACTGAAGAGACAGAGTTCTAACCAAATGTATTTTTTGTTTCATTTCAAATACACTAACCTTCCTTAGTAAAAAATGTTCAAATCACTGCTTAATCTTCTTGGTGGCTTCAGGGTCAGTTTTAAAGTGTTTCGGTATAGCGTAGCATCTGCAAGAATGTGAAAGATTCAAACTTTGAAAATAAGGAACCAATTACATCCAAGAGGAGAAAATAGAGCCAAACCTTGGCGGTAGTTCCGTTTATCACTTCCCTAATAAGACTTTTAAAACTATTTCATGCTTTTTGTTTTTTTTTTTAATGGAGATACTGACAGCTCGTGTACTTTTGTTTGGCACTTATAGTGGGAGCAAGGAGAATTTATTAAAGAATAAAGATGTTTTTCATTTACTTAAAAGGAGCAGGTGTTAACTTAGGCTTCCAAAATTCTTTGGAAAAGGGAAATATCCTATGGAAATTCACAGAGTCCTGAAAATCAAAATATAATCATTTTATATCTACTTGACACGATTTTTGAAAATTCTAATGCCTTGGAGGTGCACTGTAAATGCACTGGGCTAGGAACCAGGAAATTGTCAGTTTTGCTTCAGGTCCCACACTATCTGTCTTTATGACTTGAGACAAATAGCTTTGCCCCTTTGAATCTCAGATCTATCATTTGTTGATTGCAAAGTTCCCTTTCAATTGCAAAGTGTTTCATCTGAATTTATATTTATGTGAAATAATTGTGGGATTTGAAAAATACAAGTCTGGTGTCATCTCTGCACATCTTCCACAATGCAAAACAAGGCAGAGACAATAAATCTGTAATTATATTAATCTACTGGTTAATGACTAATCATATAAAATTATTGGGCCAATGAAAAAGATTAGTAAAGTCTCTAATCTGATATTAGAAACTTCTCCACAATTTAATTAATTAATTTTTAATTTTATGGGTACATAGTATATATAATTATGGGGTATATGTGATAGTTTAATACAAGCATGTGTAATAATCACTTCAGGGTGAATGAGTGATTCAGGAATGGAGTGTCCATCACCTAAAGCATTTATCCTCTGTGTCACAAACAATTCGATAAAAATATAGAACAGTTCACAATGTGCATGTCATCTTTTGCACAGGGACCATGCCAATCTTCTCTGTATGTTTCAGTTTTAGTGTAAGTGCTGCTGAAGTGAAGACTCCACTTTTTAATTGTTCATTTCTATTGAAAATATTTTCAAGGCAACTGCATAGGCAGCAGTGTGGAGGAGATCAGGAATAGACATTATTATTAACCATTAGAATAGGCTGGCTAAGAACCTTGATTGATGAATCTTATTTCTATGTCTTAGCATAGCTAAATCTGCAGCTCATGCCAACGGCTTGATACCTGCTTCAAGGTAATTAAATGATTTCCAAATAATCTAATGATTGTTTCAACTGCCAACCATTTTTGAAAAGAAGAAATATGCTTCTGTGCAAACTAGCATTAAACTTATTTTGGTTTAAAGATACATTTTTCTCAAACTGAGCAAATTTTTAAAAATCAAGAATTGTCTTTTCTAGTTTATGAAACCACTTCTCCCAAGTGTAACATCGGCTGTGAATCTATCTAAAATAGTGAGCTGATAGTCTTAAATAAGTTTCTTGGGTCAATTTACCACTGCAAGCCACTATACTGTTACATTCAGGCAGAACAGGCTAACTACAGTTAAGTGTTTCCAATTATTCTTGTTCTTCCTGCCCATTTCATTTACCTTTTGATGCCTTTTATCTCCCAGCAACATGCAAACCTATAAGGCAGAGGATGTGGTAAATATTTCTTGAGTAGCTTGTCAGGTTCACTTTTGAAGAAGACCTTAAAAACAACTATGCCTTATTGGTATGCAACTATGTCAAACTGAGTGGTTTTAATTTTTTTCTTTTACTACTGAATACCAACAAAAGTGTCTGGTGCTATTAGCAACAAATTATGCTGCCTATAACTTATAATTAGAAGAATATTAGCATTTTCACTCCTTGCTTCTAACCAAAATATTTGATTCCTAAGTTATTAGTATAATAATATTGAAAATTAGTATGGTATAATTGGAGTACAGTGACGTGTTCACATTTTAAAAATCCTCATCCTTTATATATTCCCTAGATAAAATTTTCTGCAGAGTCTCCAGTAATTCATGCATATGACCCCATGTAAAATTTCCTTGGCAGGGAAATTCAGAGTTTAAAATGGCTTTTTCCTATAGAAAGGTATAAATTTAAACCTTGTTGTCCTGTTGAAGTTGAATGATAATTAGAAATCTAATTAGTACAGTCTTTTCTTGGTATAATACACATGGCTATGACAAAATAGTGATGCAAACCACTGTTTTTAATATTACTTGTTGACTTTTATCTTGAAATAAAAATGCATTTTTACTGATATTTATTTGTATGTGATTCTCAGCATAAGATCAGTTTTAAATATGACTGCAATCATTTGAGATTTTTCCTACAGGGAGCTTAACAGCTTGAATTAACAAGCTTTAATGTAAGCACCACAATAATGAATAAAATATAGTCCCATCCAGACTCACAGAGCAAATATGTATATACATATATATAATTTATGAAATATATATATATTTGTGAAATATATATATTTGAAATATAGATATTTTTGAAATATATATATTTGTGAAATATATATATTTGTGAAATATATATATGTGAAATATATATTTGTGAAATATATATATTTGTGAAATATATATATAATTGTGAAATATATATATTTGTGAAATATATATATATTTGTGAAATATATATATATATTTGTGAAATATATATATGTGAAAGGGATATCTGAGACAATTAGAACTATAATAATGATCCTTTTATTAGTTAATAATCGGTAGCTCACTTGAGTGCTAACTCTCTACAATGAACTGATTGCTCAGCAGATGGGTTTTGGATGACTTGGATTCATGAGTCCTTGCCTGTCTCCCCAGCTCCTTCCTGGTCATGGGCCTTTTGAAGGAGTGGGTGGAAACAACCTTGAATAGCTTCTTACCTAGGGAGAAAAGACATAAAATCCACTTTGGGTATTTGTCCAACAACAATTAAGAGCAGAAGAATCAGTGGTATATAGACTATACAGAAAAGCCAACCCAAAATAACATTTTCCTCAATTTCCGGATGTCTTTTCAGTTTTTAACTTTAAGTGATGCCCTCCACAGTTCCAGCAGGTTTTCAGGAGGCTAAACAGGATTCATGTCCCCATTCAAACATCACTCTTAACAGTATTTCTCCAGGTCAGAAAATTCGAGTTTGCTTATCTCCTCCTTTCATCCTGTGTCTCCTCCACACTTTCACAAACAAAAATCCCTGAAGAGATTCTAAATAGAATTTCCTCGGGAGACGGCGGTGGTTTGGCCAAGCAGATTGGAAGCCTGTGCTCAGTGACCTGCTCACCAGGGCACTTGAAGAGAAAGCATCCTACTGTGTGACAAAGAAAAAGACTTGGAGCTAAAGGGACTGTGAAGGCGGTCTTTAGAGTCAAACTGTATCAACTCATTTTAGCTAAAATTTCAGACACCAGAAAATAGAACGGCCTTTTTAAAACTAAGAATTGAACGACAGTATCTGTATAAAAATGTGATCATTTAAGCAATGGTACAAGGAGTCTGGTGATGTACTAAGTGTGAGTATTAAAAAAAAAAATTTCTGAAACTCTTTCTTGACTTAGTGCCCAGGCGCAATGTGGACAGAAGGGAGAGATCCCATAGCCTCTTAGCCATGCCATATTGGCATGGGTTTTTGCTAGTTTGCCCAGTCTTCCTTCAGCTTCTCATGTTTTGTTCAGACCCAAAGGTTCTGCTGACTTCAAAGGGAGTTTCATATGAAGCAAGACAAAAACGGCAGGGGTGGGGGTTACTGTGAATTTCGAATTGAACTGTGGAGAATAAAATATTTTTAGCAAGACACAAGATAATGGATTTTTTTTTCATTTGAGAAGAATGATATTTTTCTTCTTTGTTTATTCTTACCAACATAAAGCACAGTCTCTGTTCCTACAGTGAAGAGTCTTGAATATGTCTTTTTTTCTAAATAAGCATAGTGAAAGGTTGTGGTTTCCCTAGCAACAGATGACTTCTTTCTATATTTTTCTCTTTGGGGAAAAAACATACTTTGGCTTTATAAAGAGCCTTTCATTCTGGGTATCAAAGCATTTTATGGCCAAATTGTCACCCTGCCCCAGCAAAGCAGATGAATAACAACCTCCCCACTTTATAGATGGGGGAGGAAAATGGCAGCTGGAAGTAACAGCTGCAGTGAGAATCATCTGCAGCTCTGTGAGATCTTTGCCAAGGGAGTATGGCAGAAACACCCTAAAGTGACTCAAAATAATTCATGCCCCTGAATGATTCCCTCCCCTTGAGTGTAGGTGGGACCTGTGACTTGCTTCTAACAAATAGAATATAGCAAAGGTGGTAAAATGTCATGCCTTTGCTTAGGTTACATTACATAAAACTCCATCATAGCACATTGGAGACGGGGGACTACTGCTGCCCTTCAAGAAGCCAATAGCCATGTTGTGAACACCTATGAAAAGGGCCATGCGAAGTCCTTTTGGAGATGAGAGCAACTTTCAGCCAACAGCCAGTAAAAAGCTGGGACTCTCAGCCCTACAGGTGCAAGGAAATTAGTTTCTCCTACAGCTTGGGAGAGGACACCAAGCTCCAGAAAGGAACAAAGGCCAGCTGACACCCTGATTGCAGATTTTAAGACTCTGAGCAATGGTGCCAGATAAGCCATAGCAAGTCTCCTGACCAGTGGAAACTGTGAGATAATAAATGTTTTAAGCCACTAAGGTTGTTATGCAGCAATAGATAACTAGTAGAGGGGGCTATGCAAATGGATAGTTGTTAAGCTGATTAGTGAGAAGTTAGAAGACAATAAAAAGGAGGGTAATAGGATAAAGACTTGGAAGACAGATCCACATAGGATTATATTCAGATTTGGCACTTAATATCTTACCCTTTTTAAACCACAATTCCTTCATTTGCAGAATGGATAATACCTACCTCTGCAAGCTATGATAAGGATGAAAAATTATGACTCCAAAAGTATCTGGCATTGTGCCTGTCACATAGTATGTGTGCAATAAATGATAGCTGGCAGTAGATATAGTTATAACATGAAAAGAATTTTGGCCCTGTTTCTAGAGCTCTAGTAATTGCTACGTGAACAGAGCGTATTTTTAAAGCTAGTATTCCCCTCATAAGAAACATCAGTTGATGGGATGGGGTCAATTGAGCAGTTCAAGAAAGCATCTCACCTTTTATCCCATTGGGAGCTCACAGTACCTGGAGCAAAGGTGGCAGAATTGACAGGCTTAATCTATTTGGAATCTTGGCAGTAGAAAGCCTCCTGCTTGTATGGTGGCTTCTCTTGTGTTCTGTTTATTTTATTCTATTTTAAGGGATACATTGAGGACATTGCCTAGGATCACAATATTGTGAGGCATTTGGATGCTGAAGAATGAGCCATTGCTGGCCACTTATCCTTGGATATACCCAAATAGATTATCCATCCACAGAAGTTCCTGTGAGGAGACAGGGGAGAGGAATGAATGGAGGAGGAGCAGAGATGAGTGCAGAATCATAGAAGATGCAGAATGAGAACAAGGAAGATGTTACTTTTATGGCTAGAGTGTGCTTTGCATGGGCAAATAGCTGCCTAAAACATGAGATATGAGCATAGACAGGTATGACTCTGGGTTGTAAAAAACAAGAGGTATGACTCAAGTAAGGGGGTTACCTAAATGTGAACAGTTCTGTGGTTAATCAGAAGCCTGCTGCCAAGGTTTTGGGTTTTCTCTGCCTCTAATATAGGTTTCAAGAAAGGATGCCCAGTAAGATAAGCTCATGGTTCTGACTGGATCCTGGAAGTAGCCTGACCTCCTTTAATATGTAGAAAATATGAGAGTCTCCCTCACCTCCCTCCCTGAACTAGAGTTTGCTCCTAGCGTGGCCAAGTGCAAGATGCCTTCAGTAGACAAAGAATTGTCACCTAGCAACAATTTATCACATCACTTCTTTGGGAAGATTCATTTGTAGTTATGAGATTTGCATAGTTAAATTTGTAAACTTTGTGATTTATATATGTTTTTTCATCCATGAATTCACAGAGGCATACATCTTTAAATAAATGGCAAACAAATTGGCGTATGCAATAAATACCCTTTTCTACTAACAGTGCTTAAGACATGTAATGTAACTAAGCACTCAAGAGATTAGGTGCCCTGCCCAAAGCCATTTAAAATATAAAAACAATGTGAACCTCTAAAAAAAAAAAAGAAAAATTCTAATTTTTCTCCATGACCAGTGCTTAAATGCTATTTTTTCTTGATTTGCAATATCAAATTTTGCAAAAATTTCCCCCTCCTCTCCTTTAGGTCCCATGCTTTGCCAGTTCCCTAAGCTTAGCTCAGGATCTTACATGCCCTAGAAGCTGAGACTAAGAATGCACTCTGTGCAAGTGATTTCAAGACAGCTCTTCTAGGAGGAACCTGTAAGGAAGGGAAGGAAGCAGAGTAGGGGTCCGGGAAGAAGAGAGACAAAGAGAGACAAGGATGCAAGTTCAGCTGGACACTAGCTTCAGGCTGAGCCTGTGAGGGATTCTGGGGCCTGAATGGTAGCCCACAGACATTCCAGCTCTAGGTGAGGCAGCTGGAATTTCGTTCTGCATATCAGCCATTGGCTGCAGTTGTGGGCTGCTCCTGAGTCAGGAATAACCATCCAAGAATGTTTAAGCTAAGTGGTTCCCACTGGTGAATAAGAGATCTCCAGAGATGAGTACCGCTCACAGCCATAAGTCCTTACCAGTCAACACTGTAAGCAACTGGAGGATGGATATACCAGTCCAGGAAGGGCGAATTGGGGTAGGAAACCAGGAGCTCTCATTACATTCAGCATGCTTAGTGGGGATTCAGCACTATCTACTTCATAGTGAGACCTTCTTTAAAGACTCCCAGACAAATAGAGTACATAATTAATTTACATCATGTGGTTTAAAAGGCACACTATCCATCTCAGGAGGCTGGATATTCCACAACTTGTGTTTCTTTGGGTTAAATATTGCTCTCTTCAAATAACCCTCACACATAATGGAAATTAAGAGGTAACATGAGATCCTCCAGAATGAGAATTAGCTTCTCAGAGACAGAAAGGTCTTACAGCAGTGGAAGAGCATTGGCTGGGGGGGATGAACAAGAGAGAAGCACAGCATCAAGGTTGGGGGTATGGGCACCCAAGATACTCTCACTTCATTTTTCCAATTTGCTCAAGGCTGGTACTGACTACATCAGCTACTCCACCCTCAACACTGGCAGACTCAGTGGGTAGCTTACACCACTACCTACCCAGGCTGACTACAGCTGCAATGTGAGCAGAGCCCTTCATAAAATTAATCACATCAGCGAGGCTGAGAAACAAAGAACATGGGACAAAAGAGAAGCAACAGAATACAGCTGTTTCATACCTTAAGATGCAAAACTGCCTGTACCTGGAACAAACTCCCAGAGGACTCACAGGGAAAGGAAACGATTCAAAGTCTTGGCTGGGGGAGCTGGGGAAGTGGGGGAAAGAGAGCCGAGGATATTGATAATGAAAGTAATTTCAGACTATTTCAAAATAAATGGGAAGTCAGCTTTGTTTTGGGGAAAGGATTTATTCAGGAATCACAGAGTTTCTTACAAATTATGATTTTAAAAAAACAAGCTTTGAGAAAATTCACAATTAATGAAGAAAGGGAGAACATTGCACTGTCAGAGTGGCAAACTACTGCTCTCTGAACTTTGAGCTTCAGCTGTTAGATCAGTTTGCAAGTAGCAAAAGCCAGCTGGTTAAGAATCCTACAGTGAAATAGGTGCAGAGAGGGAAAGCAAGGCTATAACCTTGCACATTCATGAATGATTTATTTGGTGGAAAGCCAAGTCCACTTGGGAACTGCATGTATTTCATAACTTTGCTGGTGGTAATGAAGTTCTCCATTTAAACTAAGTGTGAATAATGCAACCATGCTGCTGCCTAAGGTTTTATGAGATAGGCCTTTATTTTATCCTGATTTCTCAGCAGTCACAAAAAAGAAAAGAGAGAAAGATAAAGAACAAACTTCTCTTTAACAGGAAGCAAGCCACTTTTCCTGATCAGATTTGAAGAACTGACCTTTTTCTAACTATTGAAAAGGAAAGAGTTGTATCTGTAGAAGTGCCAAGGAAAGCAATGTAAAAGAATTTTTTTTTCAGTGTACTTGCATTGGTATAGATACATAAATGTATTTCTCTACACAAAGTTTCAATTTGAATGAGAACATCTAATAATTTACTAAAAAGCTCTTTTCTACATCATGTTTGCTGTTTTTCATGATCACTCAAAATGTCTCCTATTATCTGAACAGTAGAAGTATTTCTAATACAAGCTACAAAACAGTAGTTATTTTCTTCAACACCACAGTAGTTGCTTGAATAACAAGAACAAGAGTTAACATTTGGTGAATATTATGTGCCAGAAAATGTCCTAAGTGGTTTGCACGTATTAAATCATTTAATTCTCAGGACATTCTTTTGAGATGGTATTATGGTTAATTTTGTATGTCAACTTGGCCATAGTGTCCAGATATTTGGTCCAACATTATTCTGGATGTTTCTATAAGGGTGTTTTGGCTGAGATTAACATTTAAATTGTTCGACTTTGAGTAAAACAGATTACCCTCCATAATGTGGTGAACCTCATTCAATCGCTGTTGAAGGCCTTAGTAGAAAAAGACTGACATTCCCCAGGCAAAAAGGAATTCTGCCAACAGACTGCCTTTGCATTCAAAGAGCAACTCTTCCCTTTTTCTCCAGCTTACCAGCCTACATCATTGGCTTTGGGGCTCATCAAACTTCCACAATCACAGAAGCGAATTCCTTAAAATAAATTTGTGCTGTCTCTTTTTCTCTCTCACACTCTCGCACTCTATGATTATATCACATACCCCTTCTTGGTTCTGGAAGACCCTGACTAATACAGATAGGTATTATTTATTTATTTATAGATGAGAAAACTGAGAATTTTAGTCAAATTTGTCTTGAATAACTTGGAATCTCTGACTCTTTTTTTTTTTTTTTTTTTAGTATTTCTTAAATTCCTTCTTTACTGTTCAAAGCAACTGAACTACAAGATCCATAGAGAATCAGACACACCATATAGTTGAGGGCACCCATATAAACATGACTTTATTTATTCCACAGACAAGAAATTACTAAGAGTAATTGTAAACAAAAGCAGTCTGTTAGTGTTATTCTATGTCATCATGAAAACCAAGATCTGCAATACTTTTTACCTCTTTCACCAAGGTTGTCTTTCCTAAAATTTTTCCCTCTCAAGTCTGCCAAGATCAAAACATCTCATTATTTGAATTAAGCAACCCAAATTGTATGATTTTGAAAAAAGTTGTGTTTTTGGTTTCCCCCCAGAGTCAGATATTAGGTATATTAAACAGTAAATTAAATTTTATTTACATGAAAATTTTTAAAAATCCAAGTGCTAACCAAGACTTTGGTTTTACCAAAATTTATATTAATGTTTTTTCTACCTGTATGTTTACAGATTATTTCCCACTGCCATTCTGTAAGTAAAACAAAAAGAGTGAAAGAAAGAAAAAGAAAGAAAAAAACAATCCAGACCAGCCTGGTCAACATGGCGAAAACTTGTCTCTACAAAAAAATACAAAAAGTTAGCCAGGCATGGTGGCACATACCTGTAGGCCCACCTACTAGGGACGCTGAGGCAGGAGGATCATCTGAGTCTAGGAGGTCGAGGCTACAGTGAGCTGGGATTGTACCACTGCACTCCGGCCTGGGCAACAGAGTGAGACCCTGTCTCTAAAAGAAGAAGAGAAGAGTAGAAAAGAGAAGGAAAAAAAAAAAGGGAGAAAGCTTAGACAGATGAAGTTCTCAGAATCAGCTAGCCCATCCAAATATAAAGGCAGGTTGTATTAATAGGTTTTGGAAAGTACATTTTCTTTTCTCCTCTTAGGGACTCAGGTTGGCTCAGATATTACTTGATCATTAGTAATAGCATTTCCAAAAAGAAGATAAAATATGCTCATATAGCAATTTTGTCAAAAGAGAAAATAATATTGCTAAAGTACAATGTCTGAATAAAGACTCCAGGAAAACAACCCAGGATGCTGGTGCACTGGTGCCTCTTTGAGACTGTTGTCTTTGAGCACACCTTCCAAGCTACTAAATGCCACTGGGTGACTAGGCAAGTGGTCCTCCTGCTCTAGGTGAATGTGGCCCCACCCAAGGGAATACAGCTGGAAGCCCATCTTGGCTTTGAAGTCAATAGGGACCAATGTGTGATCATGGGCGAATCACCTTTTTAGAGCTTCAATCTGTTTACCTATAGCACGAGTATATCAATATCTGCCTTGTTCTTTTTGTCATCCATTCTCCCTTGTCCGTTGTTCCTGCTTCAGAAACCCCCATTGTTTCTCTCAATATTCTCTTAACTTTCCTTCCCACTCTAGTTTTTACCCCTATAATTCTTCCTCCATTCTATTCCAGGGTGATTTTTTCTTTAATTAAAAAAAAAAAAAGAAAACCTTAAGGGAGACCAGTCTGCCTCCATTGAACCCATTAATAGCTTTCCATTGGTTTTTATTGTTTGAGCTCCACGTTGTGCACTGGCTTTGACTTGATACCCCATATGCTAACTCAGGTCTGCTCAGCTGTTCTGACCTCCCTCCAGCTCTTCTATTTTCTAAATTCCTCACCTGCTGACCCCTCCCACACACTCTCTATACCTTGAACCAGGACACCTAAACTGCCTGCCATTTCACAAACACACCAAGGGATTGTTTTTGTTTTTGTTTGAGACAGGGTGTCATTCTGTCACCCATGCTGGAGTGCAGTGGCAGGATCATGTCTCACTGCAGCCTCAACCTCCCAGGCCCAAGCAAACCTCCCACCTCAGCCTCCCAAGTAGCTTGGGACCACAGCCATGTGCCACCACAATGTGGTCTTTTTTTTTTTTTTTTTTTTTTTTGTAGAGATAGATCTCTCCATGTTGCCCAGGCTGTTCTCAAACTTCTGGGCTCAAGTGATCCTCCAGCCTCAGCCTCTCAAAGAACTGGGATTACAGGCATGAGCCACCACACCTGGCCTACACCATTTTTTTTTTATTCCTCGCTAGTTCTATATATGTATCTGTTTTTATTTGAGTTGATCTCTTTCATTCATTTATATCAGATTTTTCTAACCTCCCCACATACACGCATGTGCAGACACACACACATGCACACACACATGCACACACACACCTTACTCTTTCTCATCAAAATCAGTCAAATATCTTCCTTTTTGGAAATCAACCCTGGCTATGACTTCTCTGGTCCCTTTTAAAGTATCATCACCAAACCTTTTGCACACACTTCTATGAAAGTACATATTTGCAGTCTTTTGCAGTTCTCTTCATATATATTTGTTTCTTTATTACATTGTTGCTTGGGGGCAACAGTTATGCTCTATGTATCTTTAAATTCTCATTGGCTATCACAGAAAGTATGCAACACATGTTTGTTGTTTGGAAAAACCCACATAATCACTAAGTCACTATGTCACTAAGTCACATAATCACTACTAAATCACTAAGTCACTATGTCAATAAGCACTGACTTCCCCTCCATCTTATGAAAAGAAAGCCAGTGTGAAATAGTAAAAACCTACCAGTAGGAGGGATTGGGAACACCTGAGTCTTAAATCTTGCTCTTATAGAAAAGCTGCTGGTTTGCCCTTGGGTTTCTCCCTTACTTCTCTGTGCCCATGTTTCTTTAACCGTCATACAAAGAGAGTAAACCAGCTTTTTGAGGATTTTACTTAAATGCTTAACTATATTCATGCTTAGTTGGTTTATGGCTGTTTGGATGTTTCCACACGATGCCAAATAAATGAATGAAAAATAAAAACTCAATTGCCTAGAGCTCTAATACCTGATGCCAGAAAATTCCAATGGGGACATGATAATGTGTGAAATGTATATGTAAAATATCTTGTTTTGCATAGTTTATAAAATTAATAGTTTTAACACATTGCCAGATGCATTGTTTCATTTTAATTATCACAATATTCTTGAATTATTATTTTCTTCCTATAGATGAGGTATGAGTCTTAGAGATGTTAATAAATTTGCTCAAGATTACAAAGGTAATGAAAAATTGCTAGAATGAAAGCAGAATCTTCTAAAAAGATTATATTTTCAGAGGCATCAGTTATAATCAAGATATTCAATCAAGAGATTAATTTTTTTCCTTTTTAGGAGTAATATGGAATCAAAATAGTAAGAACTATAGTCTTCATCATAGTCAGCCTCATCAGGATATTACTTTTGAATGTTTAAAATGAAGAAGGAAAGGATAGGCAGAGAGACAGAGGAAGAAACGGAATATTTTAAATTATTAGGTAAAACATAGTTGAGTACATATTAGAGTAAAACATTATTTTTTAGAAAATTAAAATGTTATTTTTTCTGAAATTCACATCTAGGCAGCTTGTTCAAAACTTAAATGTCAAAAATTTTATTTTTTATTCATACATAAATTGTGCATGCCAAAGTTCTCCTACATTATTTTCTAGTCCATTGGCAATTGCTCCTCTTCCAAGTGGTCAAGTTCATTTATTTTTGGTTATCACAATCTGTTCATATTTTTCTAATTCATCCTTTTATTAAATGAGAAAAGCTATCAAATAAATCTATTTGGAAATGAGCAGCTAGTCCAAAAAAAAAAAAGCATCTGTAATGCTTCATAATACTCTTTAAAAGTGTTTTTATGGCCTGCTGTTCATCAAAGTGCTGTTTCAGTTTACTAATTTGAACATAAGACAATACATCACTTTTATCAATTTTAAAACATGTATTTTTGGGAGGCTGAGGCAGGAGAATCGCTTGAACTCGGGAAGTGGAGGTTGCAGTGAGCCAAGATCACGCCACTGTACTCCAGCCCAGGCGACAGAGTGAGACTCCGTCTCAAAAAAAAAAAAAAAAAAATACCCACCAAAACCCATGTATTTTCATAATGCAAATATCATTCTTCTGATTAGTTCTGGGAAAGAAAATATCACCTTTTGGGGAAAAAGAAGTGAAGAGAATCCAAAATGACTATTTAATAAATCAATGTCTACAAACTTTTAAATGTCTTTCACTGCGGTTCCCTCTTGCCATTTAGCACTCATTTAATTTTCCTTTGTTTCCCTGGTTTCTGTTTATGAATTTATTTTTGCAATTGTTTTCTGTAGGTATTTGGGGACCTAAATTATATGAATAGAACTTCTTTAAGTAAATGTAATCTTTCCATACTTAAAATCTTAGGTAATACCACCATGGCACATGTATACCTATGTAACAAACCTGTACGTTTTCACTTGTGTCCCAGAACTTAAAGAAAAATTAAAACTCGTAGATTATAAAATACAATTCCTTGAAGATATATGGTCCTTTACAGAAAAAAAATGGACATTTACACAGGTTCTCTGTTTGATCTCACTTGGAAATTAGTATTTATTGCCGTTACTTTACAGATAAAAAGAATCTAAGAAGGTAAATGAGTCAAAGAGCTTGAGGATACAGTAAACGAGAAAAAGTACCGGAGAGATGCCTAAGGGCACAGCACCAAGTTCGTAAGCGGAGGGAGGAGGGATCTGCCATCCTCTGAGCCTAGAGGGAAAAGGAAAGGATAGGTGCAGATGCAGGTGAGTGAGGTAACTCCCATCTGGTGTCCTCCCATGGAAAGATCATCTGACAAGTATGAGAAAGAGTGGGCTTGACAGAGATCAGGGAGAAGGGTGGCGAAGGCACTGAATAGCTACTATTGGAAATCAGAGGAGAACTGCCAAGCAAACTGTCAGTAAAGCATTTATTCATTTCACTTATCCCTGCCCTATAACCAACCAATACATTGTTACTATTATTACTTTAAACAAGTTATCTTTTACATCAATTAAAAATACAAAAAATAAAAATATTTATTTTACCTTAAAAAACAGTTAGATCGGCCCATTCACTTGCTGCAACAGGATTTGATCTGTATTTTAAAAATACAATGAGAGCTTCCACCACCCAGGTTTTCTTCATTAGAGAGGCAAGCCTGAAACAGGTGCCCACTGAAAAAAAGTGAAGAAGCTTAAATAGTTTTTACAGTAATGTGTGATACATCAAATATTTTAACTCACCTCTCCAAGTTTCTTATTTTTAGGACTAATTCTTTTATTTCTACTTTGTATTATGAAATATTTCAATCATATAGAAAACTATAAAATAATAGATGCAAATTCAACAACAGCTTTGTCAACCTTCATATTTTACCGTATTTGCCTCAGAGTCTTTTTAAGAAATTAGATGGGCTGAGTGCAGTGGCTCACACCTGTAATCCCAGCACTTTGGGAGGCCGAGGCGGGTGGATCACGAGGTCAGGAGATCGAGACCATCCTGGCTAACACGGTGAAACCCCGTCTCTACTAAAAATACAAAAAATTAGCCCGGCGTGGTGGTGAGCACCTGTAGTCCCAGCTACTTGGGAGGCTGAGGCAGGAGAATGGTGTGAACCCGGGAGGCGGAGCTTGCAGTGAGCCGAGGTCGTGCCACTGCACTCCATCCTGGGTGACAGAGCGAGACTCCATCTCAAAAAAAAAAAAAAAAAAAAAAAAAGAGAAAAAAAGAAATTAGATGTATCGGATACAATTAAACCCCATGTATATCTGTATTCCATTCCCTTCTTTTCCTGCTCAGACAAAACTTCTATTCTG
The DNA here is from genome assembly GCF_000001405.40 of Homo sapiens. NCBI lineage: Eukaryota > Metazoa > Chordata > Mammalia > Primates > Hominidae > Homo > Homo sapiens. The sequence goes on along the minus strand of NC_000004.12, from coordinate 164,607,101 downwards.
AATTTGGTATTTATCATTCGTGCACATAATTTTACGGTTGTGTTACATATATGCATATCAATAAACTATTTTGTTTTGCTAGGCATGTCTTTCAATTCTATAATGGCATCAAACTGTACCTATTATTCTTCAACTTGCATTCTTCTCTATATTCTTTATGAGCATCGTCCATATTGATGTATGTGATACTATCCATTCACTTTAACTGCTAAATAGAATTCTACTGTATGAAAATACTACAATTTATCTATTATTTAGTTGATGAATAAGTTGCTTCCAGTCTTTCTCACTTAAAACCAGTGCTTCAATGAAAATTATTGCCATGTATTTCCTTATGCATATGTACCTAGAAGTAAAATTTCTGGGTCAAAGTCTTGAGCATCTTGAAAATATGGTCAAATTATTTTTCAAAATGATTGTACTAAGTTTCACTTCCACTTTCAATGCTATGTATGAGAGTTCCTATTCCACCACATCTTTAAAAGCAATTAGTATTTGCAGACTAAAAAAAAAATCCAAACTGATGTGTGTGACATGATATTTGTGTTTTAATTTGTATTTTCCTAATAATGATATAATTTAGATTTTTATTGCCAATTTGAACTTACTCATCTATGAGTTATAAGCTAATTTCACATATTTTATTTTTCTTAACATATAATTCTTTATACATTCTAGATACAAATCCTTTTATGGAAATATTTTTTCCCAAGATATAACTCATTTTTGATTATAGTATCTTCTGAAATGCAGAAATTTATAATTTTAATGTAAACCTAATTATCAGTTCATTTAACCTTTGGTTTGTGCTTTTTGCATCTTATTTAAGAGAGGTTACCTTATGTTGAAATCATAATGATTTTCTTCAATATTTTTGCTAAATAGTTTAAAGGGCTGCTTTTTCACATTTAGGTCTTTAATCTACCTGAAATGAATTTATGTGTACTATGAGATAGGGATTTAATTTTATTGTCCCAATTGTACCAGCACCATGTGTTTCATAGGCCATTTGTCCTCCATGGATTTGTAATAACACCTCTATAATTTATGAAGCTTCTTCAAAAGATGGTGTCTCAGCCGGATGCGGTGGCTCATGCCTGTAATACCAGCACTGTGGGAAGCCAAGGCGGGCGGATCACCTGAGGTCAGGAGTTCAAGACAAGCCTGGCCAACATGGTGAAATCCCATCTCTACTAAAAATACAAAAATTAGTTGGGTGTGGTGGTGGTGCCTGTAATCCTGGCTACTCGGGAGGCTGAGGTAGGAGGATTGCTCGAACCCAGGAGATGGAGGTTGCAGTGAGCCAAGATCATGCCACTGTACTCCAGTCTGGGAGACAGAGCAAGATTCCAAGTCAAACAAAAAAAAAAAAAAAAAAAAAAAGAAAGAATGTGTCTCATTCTTAGCTATCAGTTGCATGCCTTTAGTTTGGTATTCACACTCTGTATCAATTTGTCCCTTTTTATATTTTTACAACTTTATCAGAAGTCTTCATATCTGCTAAGGTGAATTTATACCATTTGTAATCCTTAAATTTTTATGGTTATTCTTAATCCTTTAATGACACGTGAGAATTTTTGAATCAGCTTTTCAATTTCAATTTGGTAATAAAATTACCAAACTATTGAGATTTTAAGTCAGATTGTATTAAAACTTAAGATTAATTAACAGCTAAGTTACATATTTGTTATTTTCAAGTTTCCAATTTAAAACTACATATTTCCCTTTTTATAATCTAAAACATCGTTTGTTGGATTTTAGCTTGGTGTCTACTTTTCTGTCTTTTAAATACTACGTTTAAAAACTATATTTTAAACTGTTGCCAATGTATAAAATTGCAATTAACATTTGTGTATTTACTGTGCTATTGTCTTAGGTAGTTTTAATACTTTGCCTGTACATTCTCTTGGATTTTCTACGTAGACCATCTTTTTATCTGTAAGTAGAGAGCTATATTTACTTTTTAAAAGAAAATTACACCTTTTATTTCTTGTTCCTAACTGACTGAGCTGGTTAAAACTTCCAGCACAATTTGATTAGAGGCACCCTTTTTTGATTCTTGACATGAATTGGAATATTCCTAATGATAAATATCAAGTTTAGTCTTGATATTTGGTAGAAATACAGGTTATTCCTATTTTTAGTTTGAGTTTTCTATGAGTTTACATTTTGAATTGCAATAGAAAATTTAACAGATGCCTCTTTGGTCTTATATAGTTTTTTTTTCTTTGTGTCTTTTGGTTAATTATATTAACAGATTTTCTAATGTTAAAAATATCTTATTTTCCTGGTATAAATCCAGTTTGCTAAAGATACTTATGGTCTTTAATACAAACACTGTAATATAAAATAAGTTGCTTGATTTTGTTTCCTAATATTTGTGAGAAAATAAAATGCAGTTTCTCATAAATATTTTTCTTGTATTCTTTCTGATTTTTTTGTATCAAAATTATATTCTCTCATAAAATGAGTTGAGAATAATTCTTTCATTTTTTAGTCTCAGGAAGAGTTTCCTAAAGATAATCTGCTCCTTCAATGTCATTTACTAAAACATCTAGATCTGACTTTTGCTTAAAGAAGATGGGTTGGAGATGCATATTTGCCTCTGTGCCTTCCCAAAATGACGGGATTTATAAAGCTGAAAAATAGTTGGACAAGTGATAATTGTCAGACGGATTGAGTAACCTGAATCCTAAACAGGCTGCAAAAGAAGCCAAGAAGAAACACAATTACCACCTCAGAAGGCAAAACTTTCAGAAAGGGGTGTAACAGGTATATCTAGAATCAGGTGTGAAGGTAGAACTGATAGGTGAAAACACAGAGCTAAAAATAGCTATGAAATCTAAAAGTTGATTAAGAAAAACTAAACTGCAAAATGGTTTCCCATGCCAGCAGAAGACTGGAAATTTATTATTTAAAGAGAATAAAACCAAAGGTGGGAAACTATGTAAAAAATGGAGGCATTTAACTGAAAAGTTATGTAAGAAATATGGTAGCCACAGTATTTTGCATGAATCACTCTGTGAATTTTGGCACTAAGGATTCTACACTCCAGGAAGGGAATTGAATACAAGAGGCTTGTCTATAGCATTGCCAAATAAAATAAGAATTTCATATATAGAATAAATACTTTTTAGTATAAGTATGTCCCCATTTAATAATTGGATCACACTCATCCTAAAATTCTCTTTGTTTTTCTGAAAATATAGTTTAATTGGGCATCCTTATATTTTTATTTGCTACATCTGGCAACCCTACTTGTTTGGAGAATCTGACCAACCTATGAAAAAGTACCCAAAGATACTGACGTTAGGTGTCCCACAAACTATCTTTAAAATGCCCCATATATGTGCAAAGAGCTTCCCATCAGCTTTTTAATGTCCCACTTTCTTTTTTATCAGCATTCAATAAATAAGAGTCTCTTTATTCACCAAAGAAACTATTAATACTTTGATTAATGCAGCACAAGTTTCACTTGGTGGTTAGTGTACACCATATAGAGCCCATGTCTGTAAATATCAATGCCTTGAGCTCTTGTTTCTCCAGCATGAAAATTTAGTATTTTCTTTTTTTATTCTCCAAGTTACACTTAAATTACCTACTTTACTTTTTATTTAGTTTTTCAACTGTTTAGAAAGTGTGCAGGTTTGTTACAAAGGAAGATTGTGTCATGTTGAGGTTTGGAATACAAATGAACTCATCACCCAGGTAGTGAGCTTAGTACGCAATAGGTGGTTTCTTTCAACCCTTGCCTGCTCCCCTTTTGTACTCCCCAGTGTCTACTGCTCCTATTTTTATGACTATGTGTACCCAATATTTAGCTCACACTTGTAAGTGAGAACATGTGGCACTTGGTTTTCTGTTTTGGTGTTAGTTTGCTTAGGATAATGGTGTCCAGCTACATCCATGTTACCATAAAAGACACAATTTCATTCTGTTTCATAGCTGTATAATATTCCATGGTGTATATGTACCACATTTTATTTATCCAATCCTCTTTAGACAGGCACCTTGGTTGATTCCATGTCTCCACTATTGTGAAGAGTGCTGCGATGAACATACAAGTGCATGTGTCTTTTTGGTAGAACAATTTATTTTTCTTTGGGTATATACCCAGTAGTGGGATGACTGAATCAAGTGGTAGTCCAATTCTGTTTTTTTTGGAAATCTCTAAACTGCTCTACACAGTGGCTGAACTAATTTACACCAATGGTATATAAGTGTTTCTTTTTCTCTGCAGCCTCACCAACATCTGTTATATTTTGATTTTTTAACAAAACCTTCTCAGATTGGTGTGAGGTGATATATCATGGATTTGATTTGCATCTCTCTGATGATTAATGATGTTGAGTAGTCTTTTTTTTTTTTTTTTTTTTTTGAGACGGAGTCTCACTCTGTCGCCCAGGCTGGAGTGCAGTGGCATGATCTCAGCTCACTGCAAGCTCCGCCTCCTGGGTTCACGCCATTCTCCTGCTTCAGCCTCCCGAGCAGCTGGGACTACAGGCGCCTGCCACCACACCTGGCTAATTTTTTGTGTTTTTAGTAGAGATGGGGTTTCACGTGTTAGCCAGGATGGTCTCCATCTCCTGACCTCGTGGATCCGCCCTCCTTGGCCTCCCAAAGTGCTGGGATTACAGGCGTGAGCCACCACGCCCAGCTGTATGTCTTCTTTTGAGAAGTATCTGTTCATGTCCTTTGCCCATTTTTTAATAAGGTTATTTGCATTTTGCTTGTTGATTTAAGTTCCTTACAGATTGTGCATATTAGACCTTTATTGGATGCCTAGTTTGTGAATATTTCTCCCATTCTGTAGGCTGTTTACTCTGTTGATAGTTTCTTTTGCTGTGCAGAAGCTCTTTAGTTTAATTAGGTCCCCCTTATCAATTTTTGGTTGCAATTGCTTTTGAGGACTTAGCCATAAATTTTTTGCCAAGGCCTATATCAAGAAGAGTATTTCTTAGATTTCCTTCTAGGATTTGTATGGTCTGAAGTCTTACATTTAAGTCTTTAATTCATCTTGAGTTAATTTTTTTAATATGGTGATAGATAGGAGTCCAGTTCATTTTTTCTGTATATGGCCAGCCAGTTATCCCAGCACCACTTATTGAACAGGAAGTCCTTTCCCCATTGCTTATTTTTGTAAAGTTTGTCAAAGATTTCAGTTGGTTATAGGCGGGTAGCTTTATTTCTGAATCTTCTATTCTGTTCCATTGGTCTATGAGTCTCTTTTGTACCAATACCATGCTGTTTGGGTTATGGTAGCTTTGTAGTATAGTTTGAAGTCTGAGAGTGTGAAGTCTCTGGCTTTGTTTTTTGTTTTTTTTGTTTGTTTTTGTTTTTTATTTTTTGGCTTAGGATTGCTTTGGCTATTCAGGTTCTCTTTAGGTTCCACATGAATTTTAGAATGATTTTTTAATTCTGTGAAAAATGATGTTGGTAGTTTGATAGGAATGGTGTTGAATCTGTAAATTGCTTTGGGCAGTATGGCCATTTTAATGATGTTGATTATTCTCATCTATGAGCATGAGATGTTTTTTCATTTATTTGTGTCACCTCTAATTTCTTTCAGCAGTTTTTTTTTTTTTTTTTTTGGTAAATCTCTTTGTAGAGATCTTTCACCTCCTTCATTAACTGTGTTCTAGGTATTTTATTCTTTTTGTGGCTATTATAAATGGGACTGAATTCTTGGGAAGTCCACTATTTTCCACAATATATATATTTTAATCTAAAAAACAAGAACTGCTAGGGAGTGATGTCATGCTACTCTGATTTTATTATTATTTTGCTCTTTATGGGTTGCTGCCAATCCTGCTGCTAATCATCTCTTCTTTTCATTTATTTTCAAGTAAAATTCACATAACAACGTTAACCATTGTAAAGTAAACAGCTCGATGTCATTTAATGCATTCACAATGTTGTGCAACTATTATCTCTGTCTAATTCTAACTTTGAGTTATAATATAATCCAATGTCATCTTAATAATTAATTAGTTAATTAATTATGTTGCCCTAATTGTTCCAGCTTTGGCTGCTAGGAGCTCTTTTTTTGGCCTCTGGGCTCCATTGACATACCTCTATCAATGTGGCTTCTTTTCAGTTCTACTTCTGATTGACGTTGGTGTTGTTCTTCGTTATTATTATTATGAATAGTGCTGCTAGGAATATTTTTGCAGAACACAAAAATGCAAAAACATGGCACTAGATACACCATGTTAAAGACACTTGTTTGCAATATGGGAGCTCAACCCAGAAGGCAGAGCACTGCCTTGTTCAGCCTCATCTGGGAACATGTGCACCAAGCAGTTCAACTTCTTGCCACCCTGCATTTGGCTGAAAATAACCTTCTTTGCAAGTGCAAAGAAGTGACTTTGTAAATACAGAATCTGCAAATAATGAGGATCTACTGTACTTGATCTTCCTCTATTAAACTATAAAATTAACAAAAATAATGAACTACTTCCTTTGTATCCTTACTATTTAGCACAGAGTATATAGTAGGTAGGTTTTCAATAAAAGTTTAACAAATGAATTAAATCTCAATAAAAATTCGTTAAGCAAATTGTACCTTAGTGCAATTCCTACGCAAGAAATTTAAATATCTAAAAAACAAATTCTAAGTGAGGCATCGAGTCATGTATTTATCTGTTTTTTTAAAAAAGCATATTTATTTTAATATTTAGTTTTATTTTAAAATTAGAGCTATTGGACAATTTTTTTGTTACTTAACACTTACTATAAGAGGTGAGACAAATATGAATTATGTATTAAATACTGACAGTGAGTAAAATTATTGTACCATGCATTTATAAAAGCCATGGGTTTTAAAATTATTTATCTTTTTATTTGACATGTAATTATACATACTTATGGAATACAATTTGTTTCCATACATATCTATGTCATATAATGATCATATCAGGGTAGTTAGCATATCCCTTGCCTCATGCATTTATCATTTTCTTGTGATAGGAATATTCCAAAGCCCTTCTTCTCACTATTTTGTAATATACAATATTTTACAGTTAACCATAGTCACACTACTGTTCAATAGAAATTTAGAATTTATTCCTCCTATCTAATCATCACTTTGTACCCATTAACCACCCTCTCCCTATCCTCCTCTTGCCTCTCTCCAGTCTCTGATAATCATTGTTTTACTCTCTGCTTCTATGATATCAATTTTTTGTTTAGATTCTATGAGTGATATCATGAGGTATCTGTCTTTCTATGTCTAGTTTACTTCAGTTAACATGATATCCTCAAATATATTAAAAAGGAAAGAAAAAAATTTCCTTGAAACAAACAAGAATGAAACACATCATACCAAAACCTACAGGATACAGCAAAAGCATTTCCAAGAGAAAAGTTTACAGCAATAAATGCCTACATGAGAAAAGAAGAAAGATTTTTAAATAAATAACCTAACAATTCATCTTAATGAACTAGAAAAACGAGAACAAACTAAACCCAAAATTGGTAGAAAGAAACAAATATTAAAGCTCAGAACAGAAATAAACAAAATAGAGACTAAAAAACAACACAAAACAAAACAACAATTCAAGACTGGCAAAAAGAGAAGTTAGTTTTTAAAAAAGATAACCAAATTTTTTTTAAAAAAAACCTTTAGCTAAACTACAAAAAAAAAGAAAAGACTCAAAATCAGAGGTGTAGAAAGAGACATTAAAACTGATACCACAGATATACAAGGGATCATAAGAGACTACTATGAACAGCTATATAACAAAGAAATTGATAACATGAAAGAAATTGATAAGCTCCTGGACACATACAACCTATCAAGATTAAATTATGAAGAAATAGAAAATTTGAGCAGACCAATAATAAGTGAGGAAATTGAGTCAGTAATAAAAGTCTTCCATCAAAGAAAAACTCAGGAATGGCTTCACTGCTGAACTCTACCAAACATTTAAAAAGAAGAACTAATACCAAGTCTCCTCAAAGTACTCCATAAAAATAAAAGAAAACAGAATATTTCTAAACTATTTTTACTGAGCCAGCATAAAAGCTGTGTTTAATAGTAAAAAGTTCTAGTTATACAACTTAACTGAATAGGAAAACATTCCACTTATACTACTTACTTCTAGTTAAAACACATTCTAATTTTGACATAATTTATCTTTCTCACTCAATTACTACTATCCACAACACATTTTTTCTTTTTTTCAAATTGTAAGACTTTATCACTTTGGAAGTATGACTTAACTGTACTCTTTAAGAGTTTCTTAAATGTAATTTAAATTTAAATTTTCACCTTGTTCAATTTTAAAATGTGATATAATTACCACATGAGTTAAAACAAATAATGGAATTTTTAAGTGGTAATAGAAATAAAGAGAAATTTTAATTATTTTATATTTCCACTAAGCATAAATAAGAATAAACTGGTTCTAAAATACTACAATGTTTGGCATCTTTACTGCCTTCTTTAATCCTAGTTTTACTCTTCTTAACAAGTCTAAGAGAATGGCAGTGTTCATAAGTACAGAAATGGCTATATGCAGTAGGTGGTATTCTACATAGTCAAAAGAACTCTTTATAATATTAGGTTAAAATGCAGAATGTTGGATAATTACTAGCATCTTAAAAGCTAAAATCAGAAAAGTGCAGAAAATAGAAGTGGTTAATATTATTTTGCTTTGAGAAAGCCAGAAATAATTCTATTATAAGAAATAAGCAATAACGGTAAAAGATGTGACTAATACACTGTACTTCTTTGAGCTAAAGGACAATTTTCACCTCAGAGGAGATAATTCTGACTTTTACATTCTCAAATTTCCTTTGTCTAGAATAGGATCTTATTTTAAGCCATTATTTAAATAGAGTTAATAATCCAAACTCATATTTCTCCACAGGAAGTTTTCATTTTAATGCATATACTGCAAAATGGCAAATGACTACTTCATTTATAAAAAACTGATAGCATAATAAATGCTAATTTAAAATAACTGTCAACAGACATCAATAAACTTTTCTACTGCAAAGACTGGAAGTTAATACAATACTGAGGTAAGAACTAGCATGATTCTTCATTATGGTTAGACTGCTTTTATTAAATAATACTGTCATAATATCCAAGGAAGAAGCTTTAGTGGGTCCTTCTAAAGCTACATAATTTTACACAGCCTGTTCATTCCTTTAATCCTTTTTTCGGTTGTTTCCCTTATGTAATATATATTTTCTCAACGTTTTTTCTTCTTTTGTTCCTTTCCTCTGGCCTCAATCATCCTGGCCAATTTCCAGGACAGTATGGACTTGTTTGAGCAGTAGTAGAACAAGGGCCAAAGAATTACTATAAAGAAGCCACAGGGGTCCCTTGCAGTTCATTCCACAACATTCTCAACCCAAGCCTTTATATCAAACATCTTTGTAGCAGTCTTAGGAAAGCTTATGCTTGAGTAGTGATAACTTCGTCCTGGATTTATTAGTGAGCCATCACTATTTCACATGACCTTTGGTTGTCTTCTTTTTTAGTTCTACCGTACATTTTGTCTTTTTTTTCTGATTTTTTTATTGACAAAAATCATATATCACATATACTTATAGGATACAGTGTGATGTTTTGATATATGCGTATATTGTGGAATGGCTAAACCAAGCAGTTAACATATTCATTACCACACCTACTTATGTTTTGTGTTGAGAACATTTAAAATCTACTCTCAGCAATTTTCAAGTATACAAGGCATTGTTATTAGGTATGATCATCATTTTGTAAATAGATCTCATGAGCTTATTCCTCCAATCTAGCTGAAACTTCCTGTCCTTTTGTTACCTGAATGCCAGGTGTTCCATCTAGGTTCAGTTGCTCATGGCACAGAAAGCCAGTCACTGAGAAGAGCATTGCCAAGGAAGAAGGCTTTTTTTATTCAGGTGCTGTCAGCCAGGGATGTATCTATCTCTGCCAACTGACTCAAATTGGGGGTTTCTATAGCACGGGAGGAATGCACCTATGTGTGGGAAAACAGGAAGTAGGAAGGGGTAAGGAAGCAATCATAACACATGAGAGGTCTGGAGTCTCACTGTCTGAATGTGATTTTCTGGTGAGTTTCAGTTCCTTGCCAGAGGGTGGATTTCCTTAGGAAGGAATTCAGGTAAGACAAATGTTAAGCTTCAAGTTCTGAATCCAGGGAGGGTTAATTTCTCTGTTTATTCAAAAAACCCCAAACGTCAGTTCTATGGGACAATTGGGCTGGTTTCACCCTTCCACTCTGCTTCTGTGAGTTCTGCTTTTTTAGATTTCACATGTAAGTGAGATCCTGCGGTATTTTTCTTTCGGTACATGGCTTATTTCACTTGGCATAATCGCCTGAGACGTTTCCTTCCCAAGGGTCCCCCAGGCTTGATTCCCCAACCAGACCGGCCCGGCGCGGGAAGCTGCAGCTGATGGCCCCATCCGCACTTCCTTTTTTGTCTTTCCCTCCTTTCTTATGTGTTTCCCCCTTGCTCACTCTTCTTTCCTTACCCTAGAGTCCAGCCCACGGGAGCCACATTAACTCCTGAACCTCAGCCTGGGCAAGCGCTGGTGTGTCCTGCCGCTGGGGCGCAGAGGGGAGGGTGCCTGGGAATCCTGGGTTGTTCCCACCACGCTTTGCACCGCCTTTATTGGGTCTGGTCAAACCACTGCCATGGCCACTACCAGCCTCCCCTACATCATGCCCTTAAGGAGGGCGCAGACCCCCACTCCCAACTCACAGAGACATTATTTCTTATTCCAGCTACTGTAGTCCGGAGATATTTAATAATGAGAGACTAAAATTTCTTTTGTTGGCTTCTTTAAAATCCTAAAACAAACAGTTCCTTAAAGAATTTGTCCAGAAAAGACTGACCATGTCATTTTCAGGTAAGATTCTAGACCCCAGATTGGGCAGTCCCAGGACAAACTCATTATTATAATATGTTCCAATAGGATTATGTTCTCTTTGGGCCAACAAGTATTAAGCACTGAATTAGCCATGATTTCTATGATCCAGGTATTTACTAAGCTGTATTAGAAAGCAGAGACTGATACAATTTCCTTGTTGCAAGCATCAGGCAATTTAAATTCATTCCAGAAATCTTGAAGCTGTGTCAGATAGTTGGTGTTGAAAATATGTGTGTTGTCCATGACGGTGGTGATGTTTCTTACAGTGAAAAACATTTTTCAGATGTTAATCGCTGGCCCTACGTTCTCTTCAATCTCTCTTAGCATCTCAGTTTACTCACAGCTACAAGTGCAGTTTCTCACTATCTGAGGAAAACAGCGGCACCAGGACCCAGAGTCCATATTAAATCACCTTTTCTTGTCCTTGGAGGCCAGTGGGATTTTCTCAGTACTGTTCTTCCAAAAACATTTTGATTGTATCATCAAGCATTTACTATAGAAAATGCTCTTTGCAAAAACCAAACCCCGAACCACAAGTCCTGCTTCTGTCTGCCTGTTCTACCCAGTTCTCCCTAAGTTTGGCATTCCTATGCCATCTTTTATGCGGTAATCCCCTAGTTTTAAATAAACAATAATCGAAGATGTTTTATTTCAGTGTGAGTGTATTGAGTGAAAGACAAAGCAGCAAGACAACATAGCTCTTACTGCATTTGGTATTTATCTGGGCACTTCGTTGTGAAGACTTTTAAATAATTACCAGGACATTGGTACAATGTGATTTTTACTCATCCCTCTTCTCTGCCCCATAATTGGCAGTTGTTAACTTTTCTTCTTTCTACCACAAAAATCTCTTCCCTGATCTGGACCCACTCTCCATTAATACTGCCAAGAACCTACTTCATACCTCAACCACTGGTCTCAACTCTTTTGAACATAAGGAACTTTTTAAATGTTAATAAAATTGTTTATTTCCTCCTACAAAAAGGGACTGATATTTTTAGTGTCTGATGTTTGAGAAATTCTATAATGACAAAATGTCATTGTATGAATGACAACCTATATTGACAAAATAAGTAGTAGTTATTGATTTTTAACACATTTTAATAAACTCATACTTTATCAATCACAACAATATCTAAATTCATTTCCCAGTGCGCATGTGTGTGCGTGTATAAGATTTTTGCCTGCTTTGTACCTCTCCTTTCTTTGGGACACAGGCTACCCTCTTCTGATTTAGTTGTGTTGCCTTTGCCACAATACTTGGTCTTGGGTTTTAGGGTAATCATGTCACACATTTGCTAATATCACTGCTTATGTCAGGGATTGGTCCAGAGCTTTGGCAAGTGACACAAACTACGATCATCGGAGTTCCTCTGTGACTTGGAAGAAGAGCCCTTTTTTTGCCTAGTGGGAAAGCCATTAAGATGTAAGCCTAAATGCTGCAACAGCTGACTCCTTCACAACATTATAAAGGTTAGAATGAAGCCAAAACACAGAGAGCTGCGTAAATGAAAGATAAAAAAATTAGACAATATCTCCTGGTTTTTGTGTAAGCTGGTTCAGGTTGACTTTCTGTTGTTTTAAACCTCCCACGCTCAGGTGCAGTGTTGAGAAAGCAAGGCCTGAGAAATCAAGATGACCTTTCAAAAAATCAAGTTCATTTTTTAAATTATAAATGTAAACATCAACATCGGTAAAAAAAATCAAACATTACATAAGAATATATACTTAAAAGTGAAAATTTTCCCACCCAAATCTACAACCCAACTTTTCATCAGAGATTTCTAGATTTCCTCCTAGAAAAATGTTAGTATACACAAAGATAAATGTCATATAAAGGAGAGTCTTTTTAAACTTTGTTTAAACCATTAGTATCATATAATGCATGTTAATCTACCTTTTGCTTTCATACTGGAAATATAGATCTACTCCATTAGTTTTAATAAGCTACAGAGCATTCCATTGCAACGATATGCCATTATTTGTTTTACCAGTGCTTTATCAGTAATTAGGAAAAGAAATAGAATGTTAAGACATTCACTTCAATGAAGAAGCAAGCTATTTTTTCACATTGTTTAGATGTTAAAAGATAAGAGTTTGTATTTATTTCACATATACTTACAATTACAATGGGAATGATAATTCCCATTTGAGTGATGGAGTTGACTATCTTAGCTATGCGGCTTTAACTAAGATAATTCAAAAATAAATAGTTGAGAAGAATTGTCTTTAATTTTGTACCTTTAAAAAATATCTGCTGGCCGGGTGTGGTGGCTCATCCTGTAATCCTAGCACTTTGGGAGGCTGAGGTGGGCGGATTGCCTGAGCTCAGGAGTTTGAGACCAGCCTGGGCAACAGGTGAAACCCCATCTCTATTAAAATACAAAAAAAAAAAAAAAAAATTAGCCAGGCGTGGCAGCGTGCGCCTGTAGTCCCAGGTACTCGGGAGGCTGAGGCAGGAGAATTGCTTGAACCCAGGAGGCGGAGGTTGCAGTGAGCTGAGATTGTGCCACTGCACTCCAGCCTGGGTGACAGAGCAAGACTCCGTCTCTAAAAACGAAAAAAAGAAAAAAAGAAAAAAAAATCTGCTAAGGGCTGGGCACAGTGGCTTATGCCTGTAATCCCAGCACTTTGGGAGGCCAAGGCAGGTGTATCACTTGAGGTCAGGAGTTCGAGACCAGCTGGGAAACATGGCAAAACCCCATCTCTAATAAAAAAAATAATAAAAAAATCTGCTAAGTATTTGAGCAGAGTAAATCTTTGCAAGTATGACTCAAAATTGGACCTATGTATTTAAAAAATTTCTTTCCTCATCATAGATGAATACACTATAATTTCTGAAGACAAGAAGTATCACACAAAGAAATTCAAAGTATTTTCTGAACCCTATGGCAGAACTATCTTTAATCAGCTTATAGTTTGGATACATTTAAGAAGTATGCCCATGTTTCCTTTTTTCTAGTTTATTTTTTCTTATTTATTTGGGGTTTTACATTTAGTTCTTCAATTTCTTTCATATGCTCAAAATCAATGCTATTTTTTTCCATTAAGTATGATGCTATAATTCCTGGATTTTGTTTGATTTCCCCCACTGCTGTTAGCCCTATGTGCATTGTATCCTGTCCCTGCTGTGTACAATTGGATAAATATATATTCTTAATACTTAGTCTGACTATAAAGCAACAACTTTGAAACACGTATTTATGTACCTGAATTACCTTTTGCAGTCTGATCAAGTTGGCCTCAATAAGCTATATCTTATCTCCCTTATCTGAAATATATCATTTTACCAAGTAATATGAGAAAAAATATTTGATGATATGCATTACAAAAGCTGGGATCTATGACCTCTGAGAAAGTAGTCATTGAAGACAGTTTGTTAAATATACTTCTATTAAACATCAAATCAACAATACCTCAGCAAGTTTAATTTTCTGTGATTGTTCCATAAGATACTCCTGTAGTGTGGCAGAAATAAAACTTAGATTTATGAAATATTTAGGACGCAGAGAGAGAGATATCTGCCATTGTGAAAGGTTAACATGAGTCTTGCAAAAAAAGTAATTATGTAAATTTAAGTGAAGACTACCAATCATTTGAAATTCTATGAAATAGCTAAATGTGAACTTCTTAATAGATAATAGTGGACATTCCCTGCAACAGAACCATGACAACCAAAGAAAAAGATTTAAATATTCCCATGATAATGACTATTTCACATTTACATTGTGTCTTCCCAGAAGAACTCTGAAGACTTTATGAACATTCTTTTTCTTAGTAGCTGGGTTTTAGTGCAGACTGAAGACAGCTTCTGAAAAAGAAGAGGGCCCTACCTAAAAACTTATTTCATATATGAGCCATATAAAATATAAGGGATGAGACAAAACTCTTCAAAATGATAAATATATTCCAAAAATGTAGGTTAATGGAAGTGGTCTAGGATTTAGTAAGTTTTCACTGGAAAACCAGTTCCAAAAAATTTTCTTTATGAGAAACCACTGTCCTCTATAGGACAGTGTCCTGTTAATTGCCAATGTCCTCTATAGCCCATTAGGTATACTTAAATAAATAATAAATATAACTCAGTCTGGTTATTTTATTCCCCTCTATAGAAAAAAACAAAATAGTTCAAAAGTCAGGACAGCATGTATTTTCTTGGTTCAATTTAGATGCTTCATATCGCTGCAGAATGTGCTGTTATTAGACAGTAGTGATAGTAGCACATTTAGGAACATTAACAAGTAATAGTTCTGGAGACAAGCCAATTGGCAAAAGTTGCTACCATATCAAACAAAATTAGCAAGCTCTTATATTCCCTCCGGCGCTGGAAGTGGAAATATCTTTACAATCACAATTATATGACATTGCATATGATTACATTATTTTCAATGTTTATATGCACAAAGTGTGTGCATTTATAAAATACAATCGTTTTTAGTTAACGTTCAGAAAGTGCTTTGAGACACTAATGGCTTGATAATTGCTATGTACCATGTGGTTGTCCACATGTAGAATTAAAGAAGTTTTTCTGAAACATATGGTCTCGCCAAAAATGCAACGCAAACCAAGTTGTCCTCATACTGAGCAACTGGGGCTCCTTATAGTCTCATGAAAGAAGATCCTGTTCTCTGGAAAGCTAATACTTTTCTTAATCAATATTCTTGACATTTTTACATAAAAGTGCAGAGTTAAACATTTCAAAGATGATCTTTCTTGTGATATCAATGGTTCTATTCATTTAAAAAAAGAACAAATATTGGGTTGGCATATGGCTTATCAGATATTCACCTCTTTTTCCAACTTTCTTGTTCCTATATAAACCACCCTACCATACCATATAAATTTAGTTTCCTGAGATGTTCACCTGGGAAAGGTGTGTTATTTGGCATAAGTTTATAGTGATCAACTTAAACCAAACTTAATAATAATAAAATTATAAATACTATTCATATAATTTATTGAGTGTCTATAATATGGTAGGTACTGTACCAGGTACCTTACGAGGCTCTACATTGTAGGCATTCTCAGGGGGTAATATTCAAAATATTAACAACATCATAGCATATGCTGATTTATCAGTATAGACACAGGTCATAGCTCCAACATATCCTGGAGGCTACTTACCAGCTGAATATCAGCTGCTCATTGGTTTTATTAGTTTGCTAGGGCTGCTCTAACAAAGTTCTCAGACTGTGTGGCTTAAGCAGAAATTTACTTTCTCACAGTTCTGAAGGTTAGACATTCAAGATCAAGGCGTCAGCAGGGCTGGTTTCTTCTGAGGGCTGTGAAAGAAGCATTTATTCCCGCATTCTCTCTTGGCTTGTAGATCACCACCTCCTTCTTGTGTCTTCACATGATCATCCCTCTGTCCATGTCTGTGTCCAAATTTCCTCTTTTTATAAAGACTGCAATCATATTAGAGAAGGGTCTGTAACTAAGCAGTTTAGCTTCAAAATGCATTTTAAAACTTTTTTTCCTTTTTCTCTTTTCTCCATAGTCTCAAATGTAACCTCGAAGCAAACTGCAGAAACCTTTTATTCATCCTTAGTCTTGAAATACAGCCTTGAAATGTACAGCCTTGAAACTCTTTGTTTCCCTCCCTTTCCCACCAGAAACTCCCATGCACAGTGCTCGCTTATGTAATTATGAGCTTGCTTAGAAATTCCAGGAGCTAATCTTGAGAAAAATCAGGCATGGAGACCCAGCTGCAAAGTTCTAGAGATAACCTCAAGGCAGTTAGTCTACAACCTGACCATTGTTGAGATAATGTCAGCCCATCCATGCTCCAAGTGGACCATGACTCAAGATAGCCACTGGAACAAGATACACAGACCTTGTGCCCGGTACAACTCCTGCATGCCTCCCATTCCAAGTTCCCCTTTCTAACCTCCTCTCCCCAGCCTAAAGTTTGGAATAAAGTCACTTTCCTTTCACAGTATCTCATCTTTGTTCATTTGGCTTTACAAACTGGGAGCAGCCTAGCTAGCATTTGGTTGCAAGCCTGCCCTAATTACTTCATTTTAACCTCATTACCTCTTTAAGGATCCTATCTCCAAATATAGTCATATTCTGAAATTAGGACTTAAAAATATAAATTTTGGGGAGAGGGTTATACACAATTCAACCCATAACACCTGATTATATTATCTCCATTTTAAGATAAGGAACTGAACCCTAGTTTAACTATCTTAAGGTCATATAAAAAACAAACTAAAACTAGAATTCAAATTCAAGTATGTGAGAGTTCAGTGCAAATGTCACAATTATTAAAACCTTTAAACAATTAATCTTTAATTACTTGATTCAATTTTCTTCCTTAAAACACTTTATAAAAATTTGCATTAAGCTAATAATAGACACGTTTTAGCTAAAAGCCAAGTTCATCAAGTTAGCATTATAAACTTCTAATTATATGGTATTTGATATAATATGTGGGTTTTATTTGTTAATTTTTTAATACCCATCTATCTTTCACAACAGATTTAAAGAAGTTTATGTAAAAAGACATGCCTAAAGCAAAAGCATAAAATAAAGAAAGCAAAATTAAGAGCCAACAAAGAACGATACTGGATTAAAGCAAAGAAACACAGATGAAAACACTAATAATAATATTTCTAAATGCAAACTATTTCTGAGCATCCTTACTTATATGTGTGGGGATCCAGGGAGAGAATCAAAGCCCTGTTATGGTATATCTGCATTTGGGAAAATGATCCACAACTTGGAAGTAAGGCAAGAATATTATAGCAAGCTCTTTCAAACTCATGCTAGCACATTGTATAACAAGCTCACCTGTGGGACAGCTGCCTCCCTAAGTGTTATTTGACTCTCTAGAAACTGGAACATTGAGAATTTACAAGTTATTAGGACTCAGATCTTGAAAAATTCGATGTTGCTTGCAGAAAGTGGAGAAGCTGCAAATATTTTTGTTTAAAAAAGATGGAGCCCGGGTGTGGTGACTGATGCCTGTAATCCCAACATTTTGGTAGGCCGAAACAGGATGATTGTTTGAACCCGGAAGTGCAAGACAAGCCTAGGCAACATTGTAAGACCCTACAAAAAAAAAATTAGCCCAGCATGGTGGTGCATGCCTGTAGTCCCAGCTACTTGGAAGGCAGAGGTGGGAGGATCTTGTGAGCCCAGGAGGTCAAGGGTGCAGTGAGCTGTGATTGCACCACTGTACTCCAGCCTGTCTTACTGAATAATTTTTTTAATTATTATTATACTTTAAGTTCTAGGGTAAATATGCACAACGTGCAGGTTTGTTACATATGTATACATGTGCCATGTTGGTGTGCTGCACGCATTAACTCGTCATTGACATAGGTATAGCTCCTAATGCTTTCCCTCCCCACTCCCCCAACCCCACAACAGGCCCCAGTGTGTGATGTTCTCCTTCCTGTGTCCAAGTGTTCTCATTGTTCAATACCCACCTATGAGTGAGAACATGCAGTGTTTGGTTTTTTGTTCTTGCGATAGTTTGCTACGAATGATGGTCTCCAGCTTCATCATTGTCCCTATGAAGGACATGAACTCATCCTTTTTTATGGCTGCATAGTATTCCATGGTGTATATGTGCCACATTTTCTTAATCCAGTCTATCATTGTTGGACATTTGGGTTGGTTCCAAGTCTTTGCTATTGTGAATAGTGCCGCAATGAACATACGTGTGCATGTGTCTTTATAGCAGCATGACTTATAATCCTTTGGGTATATACCCAGTAATGGGATGGCTGGGTCAATTGGTATTTCTAGTTCTAGATCTTTGAGGAATCGCCACAATGTCTTCCACAATGGTTGAACTAGTTTACAGTCCCACCAACAGTGTAAAAGTGTTCCTATTTCTCCACATCCTCTCCAACACCTGTTGTTTCCTGACTTTTTAATGATCGGCATTCTAGCTGGTGTGAGATGGTATCTCATTGTGGTTTTGATTTGCATTTCTCTGATGGCCAGTGATGATGAGCATTTTTTCATGTGTCTTTTGGCTGCATAAATGTCTTCTTTTGAGAAGCATCTGTTCATATCCTTCACCCACTTTTTGATGGGGTTGTTTGTTTTTTTCTTGTAAATTTGTTTGAGTTCATTGTAGATTCTGGATATTAGCCCTTTGTCAGATGAGTAGATTGCAAAAATTTTCTCCCATTCTGTTCACTCTGATGGTAGTTTCTTTTGCTGTGCAGAAGCTCTTTAGTTTAATTAGATCCCATTTGTCAATTTTGGCTTCTGTTGCCATTGTTTTTGGTGTTTTAGACATGAAGTCCTTTCCCATGCCTATGTCCTGAATGGTATTGCCTAGGTTTTCTTCTAGGGTTTTTATGGTTTTAGGTCTAACATTTAAGTCTTTAATCCATCTTGAATTAATTTTTGTATAAGGTGTAAGGAAGGGATCCAGTTTCAGCTTTCTACATATGGCTAGCCAGTTTTCCCAGCACCATTGATTAAATAGGGAATCCTTTCCCCATTTGTTTTTGTCAGGTTTGTCAAAGATCAGATAGTTGTAGATGTGTGGTATTATTTCTGAGGGCTCTGTCCTGTTCCATTGGTCTATATCTCTGTTTTGGTACCAGTACCATGCTGTTTTGGTTACTGTAGACTTGTATTATAGTTTGAAGTCAGGTAGCATGATGCCTCCAGCTTTGTTCTTTTGGCTTAGGATTGACTTGGCATCCTAAGCATTTTATTCTCCTTATTATTAGGATTGTATTTCTCCTTCACTTATGAAGCTTAGTTTGGCTGGATATGAAATTCTGTATTAAAAATTCTTCTCTTTAAGAATGTTGAATATTGGCCCCCACTCTCTTCTGGCTTGTAGAGTTTCTGCCGAGAGATGCGCTGTTAGTCTGATGGGCTTCCCTTTGTGGGTAACCCGACCTTTCTCTCTGGCTGCTGTTAACATTTTTTCCTTCATTTCAACTTTGGTGAATCTGACAATTATGTGTCTTGGAGTTGCTCTTCTTGAGGAATATCTTTGTGGCATTCTCTGTATTTCCTGAATTTGAATATTGGCCTGCCTTGCTAAGCTGGGGAAGTTCTCCTGGATAATATCCTGCAGAGTGTTTTCCAACTTTGTTCCTTTCTCCCCATTACTTTCAGGTACTCCAATCAGATGTAGATTTGGTCTTTTCACATAGTCCCATATTTCACGGAGGCTTTGTTCATTTCTTTTTACTCTTTTTTCTCTAAACTTCTCTTCTCACTTCATTTCATTCATTTGATCTTTAATCACTGATATCCTTTCTTCCAGTTGATTGAATTGGCTACTGAAGCATGTGCATTTGTCACGTAGTTCTCGTGCCATGGTTTTCAGCTCCATCAGATCATTTAAGGACTTCTCTACACGTTTATTCCAGTTAGCCATTTGTCTAATCTTTTTTCAAGGTTTTTAGCTTCTTTGCATTGGGTTCAAACTTCCTCCTTTAGCTTCGAGATATATGATCATCTGAAGCCTTCTCTCAACTCATCAGTCTTTCTCCATCTAGCTTTGTTCCGTTGCTGGCGTGGAGCTGTGTTCCTTTGGAGGGGGATAGGTGCTCTGATTTTTAGAATTTTCAGCTTTTCTGCCCTGTTTTTTCCCCATCTGTGTGGTTTTATCTACCTTTGGTCTTCGATAATGGTGATGTACAGATGGAGTTTTGGTGTGGATGTCCTTTCTGTTTGTTACTTTTCCTTCTAACAGTCAGGACCCTCAGCTACAGGTCTGTTGGAGTTTGCTGGAGGTCCACTGCGACCCTGTTTGCCTGGTATCAGCAGCAGAGGTTGCAGAACAGCGAATATTGCTGAACAGCAAATGTTGCTTCCTGATCATTCCTCTGGAAGCTTTATCTCAGAGGGGTACCCAGCCGTGTGCAGTGTCAGTCTGTCCCTACTAGGGGGTGCCTCCCAGTTAGGCTACTCGGGGGTCAGGGACCCACTTGAGGAAGTCTGTCCATTCTCAGATCTCAAACTCCATGTTGGGAGAACCACTGCTCTCTTCAAAGCTGTCAGACAGGGACATTTTAGTCTGCAGAGGTTTCTGCTGCCTTTTGTTCTGCTATGCTGTGTCCTGAGAGGTGGAGTCTACAGAGGCAGGCAGGCCTCCTTGTGCTGAGTAGGGATCTACCCAGTTAGAGCTTCCAGGCCCCTTTGTTTACCTACTCAAGCCTCAGCAATGGTGGGTGCCCCTCCCCCAGCCTCACTCCTGCCTTGCAGTTCAATCTCAGACTGCTGTGCTAGCAATGAGTGAGGCTCCATGGGCGTGGGACCCTCTGAGCCATGTGCGGGATATAATCTCCTGGTGTGCTGTTTGCTAAGACCATTGGAAAAGTGCAGTATTGGGTGGGAGTGACCCGATTTTCCAGGTGCCGTCTGTCAACCCTTTCCTTGGCTAGGAAAGGGAATTCCCCAACCCCTCGTGCTTCCAAGGTGATGCGATGCATCGCCCTGCTTCGGCTCACACTCGGTGGGCTGCACGCCCTTTCCTGCCCCCACTGTCCAATGAGCCCCAGTGAGATGAAGCTGGTACCTCAGTTGGAAATGCAGAAATTACCTGTCTTCTGTGTCACTCACACTGGGAGCTGTAGACTGGAGTTGTTCCTATTTGGCCATCTTGGAACCTGATCCCTGAACAATTTCTATTAGAAAAGATAACTCAAGATTTATCACTGGGATCCGGATCATCATGGCGAATGGGAGGCAGGACTAGGTTGCAGCTCCAGACAGAGCAGCGTGTGGAGGCTCACATAGTGAATTTTAGGTCTAGATTGACTGCAACAACAAACCAGCAATCCAGAGAGGAACTTTGAAGGAAGTGGACTACTCCTGCAGGACCTGGGAGACACTCCAAATACTGCACTGGTATCCACAGCTGAGAGTCCCATAGATGGTTCACATCACAAGACTCTGCAGACAACCACCAGTACCAGCCTGGAGCCAGGTAGACTCACTGGATGGCTAGACCCAGAAGAGAGACAACAATCACTGCAGTTTGGCTTACATGAAGCCACATCCATAGGAAAGGGAGGGAGAGTACTACATCAAGGGAATACCCCCGGGACAAAATAATCTGAATAACAGCCTTCAGCCCTAGACCTTCCCTCTGACAGAGCCTACCCAAATGAGAAGGAACCAGAAAACCAATTCTGGTAATATGACAAAACAAGGCTATTTAACACACCCAATAAGTCACGCTAGTTCACCAGCAATGGCTCCAAACCAAAAAGAAATCCCTGATTTGCCTAAAAAGAAATCAGAAGGTTATTTACTAAGTTAATCAGGGAGGCACCAGAGAAAGGCAAAGACCAATGCAAAGAAATCCAAAAAATGATACAAGAAGCGAAGGGAGAAATATTCAAGGAAATAGGTAGCTGAAAGGAAAAACAAAAAAATTCAGGAAACTTTGCACACACTTTTAGAAATGTGAAATGCTCTGGAAAGTCTCAGCAATAGACTTGAACAAGTAGAAAAAAGAAATTCAGAGCTCAAAGACAAGGTCTTTGAATTAACCCAATCCAACAAATACAAAGAAAAAAGAGTAAGTAAATATGAACAAAGCCTCCAAGAAGTCTGGGATTCTGTTAAATGACCAAACCTAAGAATAATGACGTTCCTGAGGAAGAAGAGAATTCTAAAGGCTTGGAAAATGTATATGGGGGGATAATCAAGGACAACTTCTTTGGCCTTGGTAGCAACCTAGACATCCAAATACAAGAAGCACAAAGAACATCTGAGAAATTCATCACAAAAAGATTATCACCTAGGCACATTGTCATAGGGTTATCAAAAGTTAAGACAAAGGAAAGACTTACGAGCTATGAGACAGAAGCACCAGGTAAACTATAAAGGAAAACCTATCAGATTAACAGCAGATTTCTCAGCAGAAACCCTAAAGCCAGATGGGATTGGGATCCTATCTTCAGCCTCCTCAAACAAAGCAATTATCTCAGCCAAGAATTTTGTATCCAGTGAAACTAAGCATCATATATGAAGGAAAGATACAGTTTTTTTCAGACAAACAAATGCTGTGAGAATTCACCATTACTAAGCCACTACTATAAGAACTGCTAAAAGGAGCTCTAAATCTTGAAACAAATCCTGGAAACACATCGAAACAGAACCTCTTTAAAGCATAAATCACACAGGACCTATAAAACAAAAATACAAATTAAAAAGCAAAAGCAAAAAACAAAAAAAATCAAAGTATACAAGGCAACAAAGAGCATGATGAATGCAACAGTACCTCACACTTCAATACTAACATTGAATGTAAATGGCCTAAATGTTCAACTTAAAAGATACAAAACCACAGAATGGATAAGAACTCACCAATCAACTACCTGCTACCTTCAATAGACTTAACTAACACATAAGGACTCACACAAACTTAAAAGTAATGGGGTGGAAAAAGGCATTTCATGCAAATGGGCAACAGAACCCAGCAGGGTAGCTATTCTTATATCAGACAAAACAAACTTTAAAGCAATGACAGTTAAAAAAGAAAAGAGGGACATTATATAATGGTAAAGGCCTTGTCCAACAAGAAAATATCACAATCCTAAACATATATGCGCCTAACACTGGAGCTCCCAAATTTGTAAAACTAAATTACTAATTACTAAAATTACTAACAGACCTAAGAAATGAAATAGACAAAAACACAATAAAAGTAGGGGACTTCAATACTCCACTGACAGCACTAGACAGGTCATCAAGACAGAAAGTCAACAAAGAAACAATGGATTCAACCTATACCTTGGAACAAATGCACTTAACAGATATATACAGAACATTTCATCCAACAACTGCAGAATACACATTCTATTCGACAGCACATGGAACTTTCTCCAAGATAGACCATATGATAGGTCATGAAACTAGCCTCCATACATTTAAGAAAATAGAAATTATATCAAGCAGTTTCTCAGACCACAGAATAAAACTGGAAATCAACACCAAAAGGAACCTTCAAAACCATACAAATACATGGAAATGAAATAACCTGCTCCTGAATGAGCATTGAGTCAAAAATGAAATCAAGATGAAAATTTAGAATTTTTTTGAACTGAATGACAATAAAGACACAGCCTACCAAAATCTCTGGGATACAGCAAAGGCAGTGCTAAGAGGAAAGTTGATAGCCCTAAATGCCTACATCAAAAAGACGGAAAGAGCACAAACTTGACACTCGAAGGTCACACCTCAAGGAACTAAAGAAACAAGAACAAACTAAACCTAAACCCAGAAGAAAGGAAATAACCAAGATCAGATGAGAACTAAATGAAATGGAAGCAAAAATATATACACAAAAGATAAATGAAACAAAAAGCCATTTTTTTGAAAAGATAAATAAACTTGATAGACCATTGGCAAGAATAACCAAGAAGAGAGGAAATCCATATATCCTCACTAAGAAATAAAACAGGTGATATTACAACTGACACCACTGAAATACAAAAGATCATTCAAGATACTATAAACACCTTTAGACACATAAACTAGAAAACCTAGAAGAGATGGATAAGTTCCTGGGAAAACACAACCCTCCTAGCTTAAATTATGAAGAATTAGATACCTGAACAGACCAATAACAAGCCACAAGATTGAAATGGTAATTTAAAAATTACCGATAAAAAAGTCCAGGACCAGATGGATTTACAGCAGAATTCTACCAGATATTAAAAGAATTGGTATCAATTCTTTTGACACTATTCTGAAAGATAGAGAAAGAAGGAATCCTCCCTAATTTATTCTATGAAGCCAGCATCATCCTAATACCCAAACCAGGAAAAGACATAACGAAAAAGAAAACCACAACCGATATTCTTGATGAACATAGATGCTAAAATCCTTAACAAAATACTAGTTAACTGAATCCAACAACGTATCAAAAAGATAATCCACCATGATCAAGTGGGTTTCATCCTAGGGATGCAGGGATGGTTTAACATACACAAGTCAATAAATGTGACACACCATGTAAACAGACTTAAAAATCACATGATCATCTCAATAGATGCAAAAAAAAGCATTTGACAAAGTCCAGCACGCCTTTATGATTAAAACTCTCAGCAAAATTGGCATACAAGGGACATTCCTTAATGTAATAAAAGCCATCTCTGACAAACCTGCAGCAAGCGTAATACTGAATGGGGAAAAGTTGAAATCATTCCCTCTGAGAACCGGAACAAGACAAGGATGCCCACTGTCACCACTCCTCTTCAACATAGTACTGGAAGTTCTATCCAGAGCTATCAGACAGGAGAAAGAAATAAAGGGCATCCAAATCGGTAAAGAGGAAGTCAAACTGTCACTGTTTGCTGACGATATGATTATTTATCTTGAAAACCCTAACGACTCCCCCAGAAGTCTCTTAGAACTGATAAAAGAGGTCGCAAAGTTTCCAGATACAAGATTAATGAACACAAATTAGTAGCTCTTCTGTACACCAACAGCGACCAAGCAGAGAATCAAATCAAGAACTCAACAACTTTTACAATAGCTGAAAACAAAAACAAAAACAAAAACAAACTTAGGAATATACCCAACCAAGGAGTTGAAAGACCTCTACAAGGAAAACTACAAAATACTGCTGAAAGAAATCATAGACAGAAATGAAAACGCATCCCATGCTCATGGATGGGTAGAATCAATATTGTAAAAATGACCATACTGCTAAAAGTGATCTACAAATTCAGTGCAATCCCCATCAAAATACCACCATCATTCCTCATAGAATTAGAAAAAACAATTCTAAAATTCATATGGAACCAAAAAAGAGCCTGCATAGCCAAAGCAAGACTAAGCAAAAAGAACAAATCTTGAGGCATCACGCTACCTGATTTCAAACTATACTATAAGGCCATAGTCACCAAAACAGCATGGTACTGGTATAAAAATAGGCACATAGACCAATGGAACAGAATAGAGAACCCAGAAATAAACCCAAATACTTAGAGCCAGCTGAACTTTGACAAAGCAAACAAAAACATAAAGTGGGGAAAGGACACCCTTTTCAACAAATGGTGCTGGGATAATTGGCTAGCCACATGTAGGAGAATGAAACTGGATCTTCATCTCTCACCTTATATAAAAATCAACTCAAGATGGATCAAGCACTTAAACCTAAGACCTTAAACTATAAAAATTCTAGAAGATAACATTGGAAAAACCCTTCTAGACATTGGCTTAGGCAAGGATTTCATGACTAAGAACCCAAAAGCAAATGAAATAAAAACAAAGATAAATAGCTGGGACCTAATTAAACTAAAGAGCTTTTGCACAGCAAAAGGGACAGTCAGCAGAGTAAACAGACAACCTACAGATTGGGAGAAAATCTTCATAATCTATACATTTGACAAAGGACTAATATCTAGAATCTGCAACAAACTCAAATCAATAAGAAAAAAAAACAATCCCATCTAAAAGTGGGCTAAGGACATGAATAGACAGCTCTCAAAAGAAGATATACAAAAGGCCAACAAACATATGAAAAAATGCTCAACATCACTAATGATCAGGGAAATGCAAATCAAAACCACAATGTGATACCACCTTACTCCTGCAAGAATGGCCATAATCAACAAATCAAAAAACAGTAGATGTTGGTGTGGCTTCGGTGATCAGGGAACACTTCTACACTGCTGGTAGGAATGTAAACTAGTACAGCCACTATGGAAAACAGTGTGGAGATTCCTTAAAGAACTAAAAGTAGGGCTACCATTTGATCCAGCAATCCCACTGAATATCTACCCAGAGGAAAAGAAGTCATTATATGAAAAAGATACTTGCACACACGTTTATAGCAGCACAATTCACAATTACAAAATCGTGGAACCAACCCAAATGCCCATCAATGAATGAGTGGGTAAACTGTGGTATATATGTACAATGGAATACTACTCAGCCATAAAAGGGAATGAATTAACAGCATTTGCATTGACCTGGATGAGACTGGAGACTATTATTCTAAGAAAAGTAACTCAGGAATGAAAAACTAAACATCATATGTTCTCACTGATATGTGGGAGTTAAGCTATGAGGACACAAGGAATTAAGAATGGACTTTGGGGACTTGGGGGGAAGAGTGGGAGGGAGGCGAGGGATAAAAGACTACAAATATGGTGCTGTGTATACCGCTTGGGTGATGGGTGCACCAAATTTCGCAAGTCACCACTAAAGAACTTACTTATGTAACCAAATACCACCTGTACCCCAATAACTTATGGAAAAGAAAAAAAAGATTTATCATTGTACTTCACTGTATGATATTACCCAGTTTCGACTCTAAATTAACACCCTTATTCCAGCAATCATTTTCCACACACCTCTTTCTCCCTCCGTCTCTGTCTGTCTCCTCCCCTTATATGTGTGTATGTGTGTAATCTGCTTTGTCATTCCATATCATTTATAAGTTAAAAAGATCTCTCGATGTTAAACAGATTCTCACTAAGAGACTTACCTACTTTTTTGAAAATTATATCTTTGCATTTAACAAATTGATGAGTCAGTGATCTTCCAGGCAACTGTTTAATTAATTAATTTATATGTGCAGGGCAAATATTAACTTTCATATTTTACGTTTATATGCCTGGGCCAAATCTGAAGAGGGACAAGAGAACACAGACAATCTGTTTTTGCCCTGGGCCCCACTCCAAGGATTAGATGTAATCCACTATGACCAAGGTGTGCACACAGCAGACCTGTGTTGAGGAAGCTCACACTCAATCGGTGCTGCCTCTGAGCCCACCCCTGAGAGAAAGGTGCAACGCCACATACCCAAATGAGGGGCGGTAGGTAGCAGGGCCCTCGAGGCAGAGAGGACCTTTACCCTGCAGAGAGGGTCACCAGGGAAGCAGCCAGGTGCTGGCCATTAGCGTTTGGCAGCCAGATACCACTTTATAATGGCTTGTGAGCAAAGGAACTTAATCAGAAGTCCACAGCAGAAGGATATGTAGGGGCTTATTTCTCAGGTCATAGGAGATACCCATTAAAATTCACAAAAAGTGACTGAAGGGGAAATGGTACTTTGCTTTCAAGGTAAAGAACATGGAATGAGAGTGAGGCCTTAGCAAAATTCAGATGTTCGTGTTGACGTTACTTTATTTAAATATAGACCAAAGAGAATTGGAGATATTTTATTCATTCATGACTTAGTATTTCAACAGACCTTATTCTATTTAGGTAGCCAACCTTAAGGAGTCCAAGAGTCATCCTTATATAATATTTTACAACACTAAAAAACATATTCTTAGTAGTAGGTGATACTATCCCATTCATATTAGTATAAGAAAAAATAATTAGTTGTGATTGTCAAACTTTTGAGTTTTTTTTTTTTTCAGCCAGCATGCTGGAAACATTAGATAAGTGATGCCAGACATGAGAATTGTTTTATCTTTGAAAAATTTTGTAAACAGAGAGCCCTTATTTCTATCAAAATATCATTTTTTAGAAACTAAATTAATAAGAGATTATTAGTAGAGGAACAAGGAGGAACAGTAGAGCATCAAGAAGATAAAATAACTTACATTCAACCAGGATGCTTTTAAGAGTAAAAGGAGAAGCTATTAATAATTATGCTGGGAATACAAGTATAAACCAGGACTGTATTGAGCAAATTGGGATTTAAGGTCCCTCTAAGAAAGAGCAGGAGTAGCAGAATAAACTTTAAATCTTTTCTAGAAATTTTCAGAAAATAGAAATGTATTTGTTATAGGCACAGGGATGCACTGTGCAGATGAGATTCCCCTTAAGAAAGTTCCCTTGTACTTGGGAGTAGTGTCAATAGGCAGACTTTACTGCCAGGCCCTGCAGATACAGAGCACACCCTGCCCAAGATCATGCCCTTCCTGAGGCAGCTCTGGCCCATTCAATCCAACACAGGACAACTCCCTCATGCCATTTCACTCCAGAGCTCCCAATGGGTTGATTTCTGTCTTCCCAGTCCTGCTTCCATTCCCACAAGTGTTGATCTCAGGAGTATGTCCCAAGTGCCCTGGTACCTGGGAATGGTTACAATAGGCAGGCTTTGTTGTCGGGCCCTGCAGATAGAGTCCTGCCTTACATCTTACATACTGCACCCCATCTCAGAGTCTGCTTCCCACAATCCCAACCAGGGACGGTGCTTGACATTGGCATGGTAAATAGAACTGTAATAGGCCACATGCAAAGCGGATATAACCGCAGGCTCCAGAACACACACAGACTGCTTGGTTAGAAGCTGGGCCCCACCACGTACTAGCTATATGGCTGTGGGCAAGTTACTTGGTCTTAATTTCTTTTTCTGTAAAATGTATATGAAGATAGAACCCACCTCAAAAGGTTGCTGTGAGATTTAAATGAACTGGTACCTACAAAACAGGTAGATCAGTGCTTAGAACATAGAAAATTCTCAATAAGTCTTTGCTGCTATGATTAGTATCAGTGACATTATTTTTAGTCTGTCAGCCAGAATTGGAAATAATCCAGCATCTTCAGGGCATAGAAAATCCATAACAACTTTGGATTGACTGAGTTCCCTAGGACGAGGCCCTTTCTCACATTTCAGTGCAGCGTGGGCTTCCTGACCAAGACACAGGTCTTCAGTGACTTGACTCTTTCATTACCCGGATTCCAGCACTGCCCTTTCAATGACGAAATTCCCTGCCTGCCATACAAATTTACACAAACTCTAGATTTCTGCTAGCTATATCCCAATATTCATTCCCACAACCAGGTCCCTGATAGTTGCTCCTGGACCTCCTCAATATCCTGTTATCTGTTTACCTGAACCTCCAACCATTATCTGAGTGAGCAGGTCTCTGAGACTCCCCTCAGTTTGATCTTTTGCCAACAGCATGCTCATCCTGCCTTTCCTTTCTCTCTAGATCAATTTCCCAAGTTGAAACATAGCTTTAATTCCCACCCAAACAATCATGTCCCATGTTTTCTCCTAGGTTTACATACCCCACCCTTTCAAGCTGCAGAGACCTCAGGCCTCTTGTTCTATAATCTGGCCTCTGCTGATGCGACCAACATTTTGGTCCCAATCAGCGTGATAAAAAGGAAATCTCTCATGGCAACTAGCCACAAGTGGCACAGGGATGTTGTAAATATGGCTCCGTAATATTATACCAACCACAGTGAATGTCAAGAGACTGATGAGGGTTTAACAAATATCTCCCCAAGTGACCTACACTGGAGTTCTCGGCACATCAGTTGCTATTGAAGTGAAAATCTAGCTTGTGATAGCAGTAACTGCTTCTACAGTTAGAAAATGAATATTTCTTTGTGAGATATTATTCATTCATTCTGATAAAAGGAACTATTTGTGAGGGAAGAAAGAATATGTTGTATCGACTTTTGTCTTTAAATAAGGCAGGAAGAATGAAGCTAAATTGTCTGCAGAATCCCCTGCTCCAACATATTGACCAATTTATTTTTATTAATAAATTTACAACTAAAGTTGTAAATTTACTTACAACTAAAGTAATTTAAACTTTTAAACAAAATTTGATTTTATAAAATAAACATTTTTTATTGCTAAAGAAAAATATTTAGAAGAAAGCATTTTTAGTCATATGTTAGTTTTTGTGATAGGCTGTTTGCCCTGATGTTTTAAAATACATCATGAATAAAATAAATCTTAACAATTCAAATTGCCATACTTCTAAATAATTTCACAAATCTCTCCTTCAATTATTTTGATAAATAAAACAACTAAACATTGTTTTCTGATGTTGATTTAAACTGCTTGGGGGAAAAAGTATCAGAGCAAATCCCTGCTTCAAACCAGACTGTGTGAACCTTCTACAATGAAGCTTCTGGTCACCATAGAGTGTGGGGCCTGTAGTGAGGCCATTTCAATAAACAAGGAGGCACTTAAGGTTAACATTTGAGTTGTGATTTCAAGGGGATGGCAGGAAATTGTTTGATTTAAATCATATATATCAAAAATAATATATATTCAAGGCTTAAATACTTTGAAGTCCCAATTACTCATGACACAGATTAAAATCATTTTACAACTTCGACTATTCCTTTGCTGGTAGAAATCTACCATGGAGGTGCCGAGTTGTTAGACAATGAAGCTATAGATTCATCTGTCTTTTAGTTTTCTACTCATGCTCCTGGTGTGCATTTTCAGGCTTTCCTAAAAACATCTCTGCCCTGTCTATCGGCTTTCCCTCAGGAGAGCAGTTAGCACTGCGGGAGACCAAGCACTCCTCACTGGTCCTAGAATACAGGCAACTACTGATGTTTAAAGATCCCGATGTTGACACATCCTATTATGATCCTGAATGTGGTTTCTCATATGTCCATATTTCACCAGCATACTACATTTTTGCTGTAACTATTTTATCCCTAATCATAGACAGATAGGTCCCTAAAGAAAAAAAATTTTTTTAAAGACAGAGGATCCTATCTCACTGTACTCTACTGACATCTGAGGGAGATTCAGACACTTCCACAAGAGTGTTTAACTCCCACGCACCAAATCCTGTTTTGACATGCATAGTTTATCAATTATACTGGTTTTCTTTCAGCCACTGGACAAATTATCTTTAAGAATTGATGCTAGAAAACATGTGTTCACAACCAAAATAAGAAGAAAAACCTGCACTGAAATTTGTACCAACCATTCTTCAAATTATTCCAAATTTCCAAATTATTATGAATTTTGCAGCTGGAGAAAAAATATTCATAGCATATTTTGGGTCAACTCATTTCAGGTAAAAGAATGCAGAGTAAAGTTAATTCCACTAGCTTTAATTCACAAATACTCAGTAGACATCCTTGCCTCTTATATCCTTGCATTTGACACCATCCCAGAGCTCTGAGGTAATATGTAAACATCATTGGATAAACATTTTTTTTCTTTTTCAAATTTTATTTTAGATTCAGGGCATACATGTGCAAGCTTAATACCTGGGTATATTGCCTGATGATGATGTTTGGGTTCCAGATGAGTCTATTACCCAGGTACTGAGCATAGTAACCAACAGTTAGTTTTTCAACCTTGGCACCCTTCCACCCTCCCCTCTCTAGTAGTCCCCAGCGTCTATTGTTGCCATTGTAATGTCCATGACTACCCAATGTTTAGCTTCCACTTATAAGTAAGAACATATGATATTTGGTTTTCTGTTCCTGCATTAATTTGCTTAGGAATGCAACCTCCAGCTCCATTCATGTTGCTGCAAAGGGCACAATTTTGTTCTTTTTTATGGCTGCATTAGTATTCCACAGTGTATATGTACCACATTTTTTAAATTCAGTCCACCACTCATAGACATCTAGGTTGATTCTATGTCTTTGCTATTGTGAATAGTGCCATGATGAACATGCAAATGCCCGTGTCTTTTTGGTAGAACAATTTGATTTCTTTTGGATATATATCCAGTAATGAGATTGCTGGGTTGAATGGTAGGCCTGCTTTTAAGTTCTTTGAGATATCTCCAAACTGCTTTCCACAGGGGCTGAACTAATTTACATTCCCACCAACAGTGTGTAATGTCTCCTTTTCTCCACAGCCTCACCAACATCTGTTGTTATTTGACTTTTTAATAATAGCCATTCTGAGTGGTATGAGATGGTGTCTCATTGTGGTTTTGATTTGCATTTCTCTGATAATTAGTGATGAGGAACAGTTTTTCATATGTTTCTTGGCCACTTGTATGTCTTCTTTTGAGAAGTGTCTGTTTGTGTCCTTTACCCACTTTTTAGTGGTGTCTTTTTTCTTGTTGATTTATTTAGGTTCCTTATAGATTTTGGATATTAGTCTTTTGTCAGATGCATAGATTAAGAATATTTTCTCCCATTCTGTAGGTTTTCTTTTTACTTGATAGTTCATTTTGCTGTGCAGAAGCTCTTTAGTTTAATTAAGTCTCAATTGTCAATTTTTGTTTTTGTTGCAATTGCTTTTGAGGACTTAGTCTTAAATTCTTTTCCAGGGCTTATATCCAGAATGGTGTTTCCTTGGTTTATTCTTCTAGGATTCTTATAGTTTGAGGTCTTACATTTAAACTTTTAATCCATCTTGAGTTAATTTTTGTATATGGTGAAAGGTAAGGGTCCAGTTTTGTTCTTCTGCATATGGCTAGGCTAGCCAGGTATTCTATCACTATTTATTGAATAAAGAGTCCTTTCCCCATTGCTTATTTTTGTCAATTTTGTCAAAGATTAGATGGCTGTAAGTGTGTAACTTTATTTCTCAGTTCTCGCTTCTGTTCCATTTTCTCTGTTTCATTACTTAGGAGAATGGGGCTTCTGTCCCCTGACTACATTTGACATCCAAGAAAAAGACTCTAAGTGCCCTAGTTTGTGCCATGCTCTCACTCCTGTGACCAAGAGGATAGAATAAAATAATTATCTGAGGTGGAGGGAAATGCAGCTCCTCAAAAGAAAAGGGAAACTGTCCCCTGACAGAAGGAAAAAATAACAGCTGTCCATTTTGAAAAACACCAAGGTCTTCAGCTTTGACTTTCAGCAAGTTACTGCTTGTTTCAATGCCTAGAATACATTTTTTATAATTGCTATTTCAGGCATCATTGAAACTGAAACCTTTTATTCATGACCAAGCTCTATTTAGATGTCCCAAGTCTTGAGCCCCAAAAGTCTGACATCCTTATCCACACCAACCCAGAACAGTGTCCCTTTGAACTAAAAGCAGACAATGACACTCTTGGCTCACTCTTTAACAGAGAGCTCAATTAAATAAGAGACGTAGTTCCCTTATTGGGTTCACTTATCCTTGATATTGAAATAATCTTGAGAAATACAATAGTTTTCCCTAAGAACTCCAGGATTTTCAATTATAACACAAATATATGCCCAGTCCATAACTTTGACATGGTTCTTATGCTCTCCAGTGTGGTTCCAAGAATTGGGAATAGACTGCTAAGGGCAAGAGAAAGACCAAAAAAAGACAAAATTTTCATTAAAATATACAATTACTGTAAATGTCAGGTGACTTGCCTACAAGACAAAGAGAATGACACAAGGGTAAGAAAGATTTGAGTCCTTTCCATTTTAAAAGCAATGAGTCATTGGCTATTATTCCACATGGTGGCCTAACAATACTGGAGAGATTTATAAGAAAAATTAAAAAGCAATCCAGGCTGTGCACCAGAGGCACCATTCTTTGGGCATATCCTGCTAATTGTTCTTTCTATTAGCTTTCCAGATGAATACCATTCTGGCAACA
The DNA here is from genome assembly GCF_000001405.40 of Homo sapiens. Lineage (NCBI taxonomy): Eukaryota > Metazoa > Chordata > Mammalia > Primates > Hominidae > Homo > Homo sapiens. The sequence continues at coordinate 164,573,064 of NC_000004.12, read as the reverse complement.
GCAAAAAAAAAAAAAAAAAAGATTCCTGAGATTATAGCCCATTTCATTTCTAAAATAGTCACATTCCTACTAAGATGATAAATCAGTGTTTCAAAAGAAATGTGACTCATTCACTGTCTGGCAGGTGAATCATTACTGGATTAAGAGTTCCTAACAATATTCTAGATGTAATAATGTATTATAGCTCTTTTAAATAGTAGGTCAAGAATTATGAACCTTGCCTTTTAATCCATATTGCTTTAAAAAGCTATTATAACTAAGCACATAAAAATTAAATACACTTTTCCAGGAGATGATAAAGAGAATGTATTATTAAATTTGGTGCCAGAAATATGGCTATAATGGTAACTAAAAACAGAACAAAACAAACAAAACCTATCAGGATCAATAACCACTCAAAAGGAAAAAAAAGGAGTTTGAATTATAATACTCTCAAATCAAAGGCTCTCATTAATTTAAATTTTTTTCAATAATCCAGAAAATCAGTTATTGATACCTGACAAATAGGGAGTGGACTACATAAAAATCTCATTAAAATCCATACCATTTACCTTTGATGCCATACACAAAATAGAGCAAAATAATATAGATCTATTTTACTTAATGCGATGAAGTGTATTCAACTTTTAGAGTGCAATGACTCTCTCAAACAATTGGGTTTTTTTCTCAGTGATGAATTGGTGGATTTATTACTGGGTTGTTAGATTTGGTGGCGATAATCTGAGCCAACCTTGAAATGTTAGTCTGTCCAGGGTCTGCTCATCAGTGGCTGTCTCTATCATGGTTCATTATGTTTTTCATCAGCCAGTGATTTCACTTACCAAAATGAGGTCAATAGCTATGCCAGCTCACTCCACTTCCTTTTAAATAGCTCAGATGTTTTATAAACCAAGAAAATAGAAGCTGCTAGAGATTAAATCAAACCAAGGTTCAAGGCTCATGGTGAAGAGAAACAGATTTCAGTACATATTGGGAAGAACTGATAAAGGTGGAGAGTTTTGTTTCCATCTCGAGGACAGCTGAGAGATTGTTCTACTGCAGGTGATATGTCTGCATGTTACTTACTCATCACACCTGCCAACCTTGAGAGGGTCTCTTTGTCATTACTTATAACTGCCAATTTACAAGATGGCCCAGTAGGGAATGAAAGAACCAACTGGAACAAATAGAGGTTTTACCACAGCTGCTGTCTGCCTGCTCGAGTCAGCACAAGCAGTGAATCTTAAATAGGAAGGAGCAACCCAAATACTTTTCCTTTCGGGTCACCAGACACCACAGGCCTGCGTGATGGGTCCTGGCCTCAGCAGCTGACATTCTTGGAATGCTGTGGACCAGGTGTTAGGTTCATAGCTGAAAGGGCTTGATTTGGCCACATAAAGACTTTCTTTCCGTATTAACTGGTTCAGGAGATAACTAGAATTTTTCCTAGTAACGTTACCTTGGGTTCAAATTCCAAGGAAGATGCAACCAATTAAGCAGAAGCATCAGTGAAAAGACTCATTGCAGCAACAGGGGACCCACCCAAGGAAAACCATGACAGTTAGATGAAATGGAAATGAGATCTGCTGAAATTGAAAAAAATAAAAAAGACTTTGGACTGCCTACAACATTTTGGCTGTGCTGTTGATCACCCTCTGGTCATGCTTGTGTGTTTAGGCATTTCAGGCTAGAGGATGTTCTGGGCACATTATAGGCTCCTCTGTTCACCCTGATCTTACTTTGATTTGACCTTTTAGTTAAATTGGCATTTTGAAGGTGTTTGGAAACATGCCTTAGGGAAGGAGTTTGCAGTGGTGAGCAGAGAGAGTACTGATGCAAATGAACACAATTTATAACCATTTTGGTAGCCTGTTGACGGTGGAAGGTCATGAGACAGTGTTTTGAATATATTTCTGGGGACTATGTCAACCCCCTAAGGTGGCTGCAGGTTAAAATTTCATTTGGATGTGGCTTTAAAGCATAATAGAATGGCCTAGGGAGCTTTTAAAGGTACCCATTCCTGGACCTCATCCCTGGGCATTCTGATTTAATTGGACTCGAATAGAGCCCAATCATCAGAGTTCTTTAAAAAGCTCCACTATATTTCTAACATGCAGCCATGGCATAGACGTCCTGCTTTATTTCAAGAAAAGCGGGAGAAAAGCCATATACAGAGACATGGTGAGCTCTGTTCTCTGAAGGCATGTCTGCTGCTTTCCTAATGGCACTGGCTCTGTCATTTGATGAGATGCCTCAGTCTCAGAGATGCTTGCTTCTATGTTTCTTCACCAACTATTTCATGTATCAGAAACATTTGCACAAAATTATGCAGGTTGGGATCTTGTTACCTCCCCTCCTCCTTCAATAGTCATGATATATATGTAGTGCTTGGCATGCAGGTGGTATGTATACCAGTTAATGTCTTAAAATAATTGTGGTATCTGGCGAAACTTGATTTTAAGGAACTCCTGCTGAAAGAATGCCACAGTGATCATTACAATATTAATGTCCTTTCAAAAGTATAAATCTTCTCTCATTTGGCCTTAAATTTTCTTTTAAGTTGGCATTAAAGAGATCTTTCTGTATCTAAAATTTGATATTCAACCACAGTAAGGAAGGCTGCAGTTTTTAAATTGACACAATTTCTTTGATAAAGTAAAGGCTGTCAAAATTATATGTAGAAGCCCTAAGGCAGGAGGAAAGATACTTTCCATCTTGGTGGTAAATAAAGTTCTTGACAGTCAGTGTCTGAGTGAAGGAGAAGAGTGGTCCAGCTGGCACTCTCCTGATAGTCATTCTTTGGTATGATGGAAGGAGGATTAAGGAAGGGGGACATAATTAGCTTTCATCAAAATATCATGACAGAATCCTCTGTGGGACTAGCCTTATGGAAAAGATTATTATACCCAATGCCATTCTATAAATCGGTTGCGCTATGCAGCCTATGATAAAAAATGTTTGACATTCCATGAAGCCTAAATGAAGAAAGCACAGCACATGAATTATGATTTAAGTGGGAAAGCAACCTCATGGGAAGAGAGCAGTTTAGTCTATGACAAGCAATTTGGGCTTTGCAATTCCTCTGTGTTCCAAGTTTCAATGGGCTGATAAATAAGAAGTGGTGAATGATTTACTTTGTTGCAGGGTATGCAATATTATGTGAGAATTAGAATGGATATTGCATATCGGCTCATTAGTCCCAAAAATGTATTTGGCTTTTAATTTTGTAGAGCAAGCACAGAACTTGGCATTAGGAGTCTGGGTTCTGACCCCATATTTTCAAATAAGTAATGGTGAACAACTAAATATCTCTGGATCTTTTTTAAAAATCACCTGTAAACAATAGAATTCTATTCACTCATTTGTTGGTTTATTCAAGAAATATTCCTGGTTGCCTATTATATGCTTAAGCACCTTGCCAGGCACTGAGGATACAGAAGTGAAAACATGGGCCTTGTCCACAGTTTATAGCCCAAAGTAAATATTGATTGTGCAGTGCTGTCAATACAATAGTAGATACATATAGAAATAAACAAGAAAGTAATTAACTTGGTTGGGGAAGAGAGTTGGGAATCTCAGTGTAGACTTCAAAGCACAAGAACTTCTTGAGCAAGGTTATGAACATAGAGGTCCACATTAGTTTAATATTCTGTGATCTTAAAATTATAAATAAATAGTTTAATAATAAATGGATCTATATGGGCCAATTGCTGTCTCCTCTGTGTGTAAGTTGAAAGAGTTTGTCCATCAGTTCTGTGGACCTGTGAATCCTTTAGAGCACTGGCAGCATCATAGAATAATATCTATTAAGCATTTTATTTTATTTTTTTAATTTATTTTTTTATTATACTTTAAGTTTTAGGGCATATGCACAACGTGCAGGTTAGTTACATATGTATAAATGTGCCATGTTGGTGTGCTGCACCCATTAACTCGTCATTTAACATTAGGTATATCTCCTAATGCTATCCCTCGCCCCTCCCCCCACCCCACAACAGTCCCCGGTATGTGATGTTCCCCTTCCTGTGTCCATGTGTTCTCATTGTTCAATTCCCACCTATGAGTGAGAACATGCGGTGTTTGTTTTTTTGTCCTTGTGATGATAGTTTGCTGAGAATGATGGTTTCCAGCTTCATCCATGTCCCTACAAAGGACATTAACTCATCCTTTTTTATGGCTGCATAGTACTCCATGGTGTATATTTGCCACATTTTCTTAATCCAGTCTATCATTTTTGGACATTTGGGTTGGTTCCAAGTCTTTGCTATTGTGAATAGTGCCGCCATAAACATACGTGTGCATGTGTCTTTATAGCAGCATGTTTTATAATCCTTTGGGTATATACCCAGTAATGGGATGGCTGAGTCAAATGGTATTTCTAGTTCCAGATCCCTGAGGAATTGCCACACTGACTTGCACAATGGTTGAACTAGTTTACAGTCCCACCAACAGTGCAAAAGTATTCCTATTTCTCCACATCCTCTCCAGCACCTGTTGTTTCCTGACTTTTTAATGATCGCCACTCTAACTTGTGTGAGATGGTATCTCATTGTGGTTTTGATTTGCATTTCTCTGATGGCCAGTGATGATGACCATTTTTTCATGTGTCTTTTGGCTGCATAAATGTCTTCTTTTGAATAGTGTCTGTTCATATCCTTCACCCACTTTTTGATAGGGTTGTTTGTTTTTTTCTTGTAAATTTGTTTGAGTTCTTTGTAGATTCTGGATATTAGCCCTTTGTCAGATGAGTAGATTCCAAAAATTTTCTCCCATTCTGTAGGTTGCCTGTTCACTCTGGTGGTGGTTTCTTTTGCTGTGCAGAAGCTCTTTAGTTTAATTAGATCCCATTTGTCAATTTTGGCTTTGTTGCCATTGTTTTTGGTGGTTTAGACGTGAAGTTCTTGCCCATGCCTATGTCCTGAAAGGTATTGCCTAGGTTTTCTTCTTGGGTTTTTATGGTTTTAGGTCTAACATTTAAGTCTTTAATCCATCTTGAATTAATTTTTGTATAAGGTGTAAGGAAGGGATCCAGTTTCAGCTTTCTACATATGGCTAGCCAGTTTTCCCAGCACCATTTATTAAATAGGGAATCCTTTCCCCATTGCTTGTTTTTCTCAGGTTTGTCAAAGATCAGATGGTTGTAGATATGCGGCATTATTTCTGAGGGCTCTGTTCTGTTCCATTGGTCTATATCTCTGTTTGGTTACCAGTACCATGCTGTTTTGGTTACTGTAGCCTTGTATTATAGTTTGAAGTCAGGTAGTGCGATGCCTCCAGCTTTGTTCTTTTGGCTTAGGATTGACTTGGCAATGCAGGCTCTTTTTTGGTTCCATATGAATTTTAAAGTAGTTTTTTTCCAATTCTGTGAAGAAAGCCATTGGTAGCTTGATGGGGATGGCATTGAATCTATCAATTACCTTGGGCAGTATGGCCATTTTCACAATATTGATTCTTCCTACCCATGAACATGGAATGTTCTTCTATTTGTTTGTATCCTCTTTTATTTCCTTGAGCAGTGGTTTGTAGTTCTCCTTGAAGAGGTCCTTCACATCCCTTGTAAGTTGGATTCCTAGGTATTTTATTCTCTTTGAAGCAATTGTGAATGGGAGTTCACTCTTGATTTGGCTCTCTGTCTGTTATTGGTGTATAAGAATGCTTGTGATTTTTGCACATTGATTTTGTATCTTGAGACTTTGCTGAAGTTGCTTATCCGCTTAAGGAGATTTTGGGCTGAGATGATGCGGTTTTCTAGATATACAATCATGTCATCTGCAAAGAGGGACAATTTGACTTCCTCTTTTCCTAATTGAATACCCTTTATTTCCTTCTCCTGCCTGATTGTCCTGGCCAGAACTTCCAACACTATGTTGAATAAGAGTGGTGAGAGAGGGCATCCCTGTCTTGTGCCAGTTTTCAAAGGGAATGCTTCCAGTTTTTGTCCATTCCGTATGATATTGGCTATGGGTTTGCCATTGATAGCTCTTATTATTTTGAGATATGTCCCATCGATACCTAATTTATTGAGAGTTTTTAGCATGAAGCGTTGTTGAATTTTGTCAGAGGTCTTTTCTGCATCTATTGAAATAATTATGTGGTTTTTGTCTTTGATTCTGTTTATGTGCTGGATTACATTTATTGATTTGCATATGTTGAACCAGCCTTGCATCGTAGGGATGAAGCCCACTTGATCATGGTGGATAAGCTTTTTGATGTGCTGCTGGATTCGGTTTACCAGTATTTTATTGAGGATTTTTGCACTGATGTTCATCAGGGATATTGGTCTAAAATTCTCTTTTTTTGTTGTGTCTCTGCCAGGCTTTGGTATCAGGATGATGCTGGCCTCATAAAATGAGTTAGGGAGGATTCCTACTTTTTCTATTGATTGGAATAGTTTCAGAAGGAATGGTACCAGTTCCTCCTTGTACCTCTGGTAGAAATTGGCTGTGAATCCGTCTGGTCCTGGACTTTTTTTGGTTGGTAAGCTATTAATTATTGCCTCAATTTCAGAGCCTGTTATTGGTCTATTCAGAGATTCAACTTCTTCCTGGTTTAGTCTTGGGAGGGTGTATGTGTCGAGGAATTTATCCATTTCTTCTAGATTTTCTAGTTTATTTGTGTAGAGGTGTTTATAGTATTCTCTGATGGTAGTTTGTATTTCTGTGGGATCGGTGGTGATATCCCCTTTATCATTTTTTGTTGTGTCTATTTGATTCTTCTCTCTTTTCTTCTTTATTAGTCTTGCTAGCAGTCTATCAATTTTGTTGATCTTTTCAAAAAACGAGCTCCTGGATTCATTGAGTTTTTGAAGGGTTTTTTATGTCTCTATTTCCTTCAGTTCTGCTCTGATCTTAGTTATTTCTTGCCTTCTGCTAGCTTTTGAATGTGCTTGCTCTTGCTTCTCTAGTTCTTTTAATTGTGATGTTAGGGTGTCAATTTTAGATCTTTCCTGCTTTCTCTTGTGAGCATTTAGTGCTATAAATTTCCCTCTACACACTGCCTTGAACGTGTCCCAGAGATTCTGGTATGTTGTGTCTTTGTTCTCATTGGTTTCAGAGAACATTGTTATTTCTGCCTTCATTTTGTTATGTACCCAGTAGTCATTCAGGGGCAGGTTGTTCAGTTTCCATGTAGTTGAGCCGTTTTGAGTGAGTTTCTTAATCCTGAGTTCTAGTTTGTTTGCACTGTGGTCTGAGAGACAGTTTGATATAATTTCTGTTCTTTTACATTTACTAAGGAGTGCTTTACTTTCAACTATGTGGTCAATTTTGGAATAGGTGTGGTGTGGTGCTGAAAAGAATGTATATTCTGTTGATTTGGGGTGGAGAGTTCTGTAGATGTCTATTAGGTCTGCTTGGTGCAGAGTTGAGTTCAATTCCTGGATATCCTTGTTAACTTTCTGTCTCGTTGATCTGTCTAATGTTGACAGTGGGCTGTTAAAGTCTCCATTATTATTGTGTGGGAGTCTAAGTCTCTTTTTAGGTCTCTAAGGATTGCTTTATGAATCTGGGTGCTCCTGTATCGGGTGCATATATATTTAGGATAGTTAGCTCTTCTTGTTGAATTGATCCCTTTACGATTATGTAATGGCCTTCTTTGTCTCTTTTGAGCTTTGTTGGTTTAAAGTCTGTGTTATCAGAGACTAGGATTGCAACCCCTGCCTTTTTTTGTTTTCCATTTGCTTGGTAGATCTTCCTCCATTTCTTTATTTTGAGCCTATGTGTGTCTCTGCCTGTGAGATGGGTTTCCTGAATACAGCACCCTGATGGGTCTTGACTCTTTATCCAGTTTGCCAGTCTGTGTCTTTTAATTGGAGCATTTAGCCCATTTACATTTAAGGTTAATATTGTTATGTGTGAATTTGATCCTGTCATTGTGATTTTAGCTGGTTATTTTGCTTATTAGTTGATGCAGTTTCTTCCTAGCCTTGATGGTCTTTACAATTTCGCATGTTTTTGCAGTGGCTGGTAATGGTTGTTCCTTTCCATGTTTAGTGCTTCCTTCAGGAGCTCTTTTAGGGCAAGCCTGGTGGTGACAAAATCTCTCAGCATTTGCTTGTCTGTAAAGGATTTTATTTCTCCTTCACTTATGAAGCTTGTTTTGGCTGGATATGAAATTCTGGGTTGAAATTTCATTTCTTTAAGAATGTTGAATATTGGCCCCCACCCTCTTCTGGCTTGCAGAGTTTCTGCCGAGAGATCTGCTGTTAGTCTGATGGGCTTCCCTTTGTGGGTAACCCGAGCTTTCTCTCTGGCTGCCCTTAACATTTTTTCCTTCATTTCAACTTTGGTGAATGTGACAATTATGTGTCTTGGAGTTGCTCTTCTTGAGGAGTATCTTTGTGGCATTCTCTGTATTTCCTGAATTTGAATGTTGGCTTGCCTTGGTAGGTTGGGGAAGTTCTCCTGGATAATATCCTGCAGAGTGTTTTCCAACTTGGTTCTATTCTCCCCATCACTTTCAGGTACACCAAGCAGATGTAGATTTGGTCTTTTCACATAGTCCCCTATTTCTTGGAGGCTTTGTTTTTTTCTTTTTATTCTTTTTTCTCTAAACTTCTCTTCTTGCTTTATTTCATTCATTTCATCTTCCATCACTGATACCCCTTCTTCTAGTTGATCGAATCAGCTACTAAGGCTTGTGCATTCATCACATAGTTCTTGTGCCATGGTTTTCAGCTCCATCAGGTCCTTTAAGGACTTCTCTGCATTGGTTATTCTGTTAGCCATTTGTCTAATCTTTTTTTTAAGGTTTTTAACTTCTTTGCCATCGGTTTGAGCTTCTTCCTTTAGCTCGGAGTAGTTTGATTGTCTGAAGCCTTCTTCTCTCAACTTGTCAAAGTCATTCTCTGTCCAGCTTTGTTCCGTTGCTGGTGAGGAGCTGCGTTCCTTTGGAGGAGGAGAGCTGCTCTGATTTTTAGAGTTTCCAGTTTTTCTGCTCTGTTTTTTCTGCTGGTGAGGTACAGATGGGGTTTTGTTGTGGATGTCCTTTCTGTTTGTTAGTTTTCCTTCTAACAGTCAGAACACTCAGCTGCAGGTCTGTTGGAGTTTGCTGGAGGTCTATTCCAGACCCTGTTTGCCTGGGTATCAGCAGCAGAGGCTGCAGAACAGCGGATATTGGTGAACAGCAAATGTTGCTGCCTGATCGTTCGTCTGGAAGTTTTGTCTCCGAGGAGTACCCAGCCGTGTGAGGTGTCAGTCTGCCCCTACTGGTGGGTGCGTCCCAGTTAGGCTACTCGGGGGTCAGGGACCCACTTGAGGAGGCAGTCTGTCCATTCTCAGAACTCCAGCTGCATGCTGGGAGAACCATTACTCTCTTCAAAGCTGTCAGACAGGGACATTTAAGTCTGCAGAGGTTTCTGCTGCCTTTTGTTTGGCTATGCCCTTCCCCCAGAGGTGGAGTCTACAGAGGCAGGCAGGCCTCCTTGAGCTGCGGTGGGCTCCACCAAATTCGGACTTCCTGGCTGCTTTATTTACCTACTCAGGCCTTGGCAATGGTGGGCTCCCCTCCCCCAGCCTCACTGCCGTCTTGCAGTTCGATCTCAGACTAATGTGCTAGCAATAAGTCTAGCGTAGTTATCCATGGGCGTAGGACCCTCGGAGCCAGGCACGGGATATAATCTCCTGGTGTGCCGTTTGCTAAGACTATTGGAAAAGTGCAGTATTAGGGTGGGAGTGCCCCAATTTTCCAGGTGCTGTCTGTCACCCCTTTCTTTGACTTGGAAAGGGAATTCCCTGACCCCTTGTGCTTCCCAGGTGAGGCGATGCCTTGCCCTAGTTTAGCTCACGCTCGGTGCTCTGCACCCACTGTCCTGCACCCACTTTCCAACACTCACCAGTGAGATGAACCCAGTACCTCAGTTGGAAATGCAGAAATCACCTGTCTTCTGTGTCACTCATGCTGGCAGCTGTAGACTGGAGCTGTTCCTATTCGGCCATCTTGGCTCCACCGATCAAGCATTTTATCACTCTTTCATAGTGCTGTACCAGGCCCCATCCTGGAAAGCATCATGGTGCCACAGTCCCTCAATTCAGTTATTATGGGTGTCTACCATATGCGTGGCTTTGTACCACACACTGGGATGATGAGAAAGATCAAGATATGATTCTGCTTTTAATGAGTTTAGAGGCAGCTAAAGAAAAAAGATTTACAAATGAATCAAAGCGTTATAGAGTAATGAACACTGTAATACTGATAGGTAAAAGAAGCTTTGGAAACACACAAAAAGAGGGTGCTTAGTTTTGACTGGGAATAGAGGTATTAGAATAATAATAACACCCTTGTTCATGTATTGAGCTCTTATATCATGCTGCCATTTTCCATGATTGTCTCATTTAATTATTATTATAATTCTGTAAGGTAAACATTATGACTCCTTCTAACAGATGAAAAGGAAAACTGAAGCCTAGAGAGGTTAGTAATCTAACCCCAAATCAGTTATTTTTTAATAAAGTGAGTTTCATATGCAACTCTGCCTGAGGCCAGAACCCTCATGTGTTAGCCATAATTTGACACTCCTTCCCAAAAGGGAGTTTCCTAAGGAAGTGGTTATATTAATTTCCTAGGCTGCCATAATACATTACCACAAACTGAGTGGCTTAAAACAACAGAAATTTATTCTCTTACAGCTCTGGAAGCCGTAAGTCTAAAAACAAGTGTCAAATAAAGATAATTAAAAACAAAAGCCATATGATCATCTCAATAAAACCCAATATTCCTTCACGATAAAAACCCTCAACACACTAGGCATCAAAGGAACGTACCTCAAAATAATAAGAGCCATCTATGTCAAACTCACGGTCAACCTCATAGTGAATGAGCAAAAACTGGAATTATTTTCTTTGAGAACTGGAACAATCAAGGATGCCAACTCCTACCACTCCTATTCAATATATACTGGAAGTCCTAGTCAGAGTAATCAGATAAGAGAAAGAAATAAAATGCATCCAAGTAGGAAGTCAAATTATCTCTCTTCACTGACAATATAATTTTATACCTATAAAACCCTAAAGAGTCCACCAAAAGACTCCTAGACCTGATGAATGATTCCAGCAATGTCTCAGCATACAAAATCAGCATACAAAAATCAGTAGCACTTCCATACACCAATAATATTCAAAATGGGAGCCAAATGAAGAACACAGTCTCTTCTCAATAGCCACACACACAAAATATACCTAGAAATACATCTAACCGAGGAGGTGAAATTTCTACAAGGAGAACTACAAAACACTATTTAAAGAAATCATAGATAACACAAACAAATGGAAAAGCATCCTATGCTCATATATCAAAAGGATCAATATCATTAAAATGGCCATATGGCCCAAAGCTATCTATAGATTCAATGATATTCCTATCAAATTATCAATGTCTTTTTTCACAGAATTAGAAAAAACTATTCTAAAATTCATATGGAATCCAAAAAGAGCCAAGACAATCTTAAGCAAAAAGAACAAAGCAGGAAGCATTGCATTACACAACTTAAAATTACACTACAAGGCTACAGTAATGCAAACAGTGTGGTACTGGTACAAAAATAGACACATAGACCAGTGGAACAGAATAGAGATCCCTGAAATAAAGCCACACACCTACAACCAACTGAGCTTTGACAAAGTCAACAAAAATAAACACTGAGGAAAGGATATTCTATTCAATAAATGCTGCTGGGAAAACTGACTATCTATATGTGGAGGAATGAAACTGGACCCCTAGCTCTCATTATGTACAAAAATTACTCAAGATGGATTGAAAACTTAAGTGTAAGACCTCAAACTATAAAAATCCTAGAAAAAAAACTAGAAAATACCCTTTCCAACATTTACCTAGGCAAATAACTTATGATTAAATCCTCAAAAGGAAATGCAACAAAAATAAAAATTGACAGTTGGGACCTCATTAAACTAAAGAGCTCTGCACAGCAAAATAAACTATCAATAGAGTAAACAGAATACCTACAGAAAGGGAGAAAATATTCTCAAACTATGCATCCAACAAAGGATAATATTCAGAATCTATAAGGAACTTAAATAAATCAACAATAAAAAAACAAATAACCCCACTAAAAAGTGGGCCAAGGACATAAACAGACACTTCTCAATAGAAGACATACCCTGCACATGTATCCCAGAACTTAAATTAACAAAAAAAGACAAGCATCCAACAAACATTAAAAAATGCTCATCATCAGAGAAATGCAAATCAAAGCCACAATGAGATACCATCTCATACCAGTCAGAATGGTGATTATTAAAAAGTCAAAAAATAGCAGACATTGGCGAATCTGTGGAGAAAAGGGAACTCTTATACACTGTTGGTGGGAATGCAAATTTTAGTTCAGCCCCTGTGGAAAGCAGTTTGGAGATATCTCAAAGAACTAAAAGTAGAATTAGCATTCAATCCAGCAATCCCATTACTAGGCATATACTCACGCAAATAAATTGTTCTACCAAAAAGTCATCTGCACTCATATGTTTATAGCAGAACTATTCACAATAGCAAAGACATGGAATCAACCCAGGTGCCCATCAATGATGGATTGGATAAAGAATATGTGACATACACACAACATGAAATACTACACAGCCATAAAAAATGAACAAACAAAATCATGCCTTTGCAGCCACATGGAAGCAGCTGGAGACCATTATTCTAAGCAAATTAACACAGAAACAGAAAACTAAATACTGTGTTTTTTTTCCCTTATAAGTGGACACTAAACATTGGGTACAAATGGACATAGAGATGGGATCAATAAATACTGGAGATTCCAAAAGGGCGAGGAGGGAGAGGGACCAGAGTTGAAAATTACCTATTGGGTACTATGTTCACTACATTGGTAATGAGATCATGAGAAGATCAAACCTCAGCATCATGCAATATAGCCATGTAACAAACCTACACATGTACCCCCTGAATCTAAAATGTAAAATAATAACAATAAAGTAAAGTCAAGGTGTTGGCAAATCCATGCTTTCTTTGAAAGCTCTAGGGGAGAATCCTTTTTTGCCTCTTACAGCTTTTGGTCCCTGTAGGCATTTCCTGGCTTGTGGCAGCATAATGCCAATCTCTGCCTCCTTTTTCACATGGCCTTCTCCTCTGTGTCTCAGTCCCTTCTCCTTTCTGTCTCTTATAAGAACACTGGTAATTAGATGTAGGGCCCACCATAATACAGAATGATCTCATCTCAAGATCTTTACCTCACTGATATTGGCAAACACTTTTTTTTTTCAAATAAGTTTCCATCCACAGGTACCAGAGGAGTTTTGGAGGACCACAAATTGACCCACTAGAATGGTACTTTAGTGGGGTTTTCAGGACAGGTTAAAGTTAGTTGGAATGGGAGACAGCAGAGGTAGCAGTTGGTTCAAAGACCAGACATTTAAGAATATGCCATATGAAACAAATCCTGCATGATCTCACTCATGTGGAATCTAAAAAAGTTGATTTTCTAGAAGGAGAGAGTAGAATAGTGGTGACAGAGGCTGGGAAGGGTAGCAGGAAGAGGGGGCCTGGGAGAGGTTGGTCAACAGACACAAAGTTACAGTTGTATAAGAAGAATAGGGGGAGGAGCCAAGATGGCCGAATAGGAACAGCTCCGGTCTACAGCTCCCAGCGTAAGCGACGCAGAAGACGGGTGATTTCTGCATTTCCATCTGAGGTACCAGGTTCATCTCACTAGGGAGTGCCAGACAGTGGGCGCAGGCCAGTGGGTGTGTGCACCGTGCACGAGCCGAAGCAGGGCGAGGCATTGCCTCACCTGGGAAGCGCAAGGGGTCAGGGAGTTCCCTTTCCGAGTCAAAGAAAGGGGTGACGGACGCACCTGGAAAATCGGGTCACTCCCACCCGAATACTGCGCTTTTCAGACCAGCTTAAAAAATGGCGCACCACGAGACTATATCCCACACCTGGCTCGGAGGGTCCTACGCCCACGGAATCTCGCTGATTACTAGCACAGCAGTCTGAGATCAAACTGCAAGGCGGCAGCGAGGCTGGGGGAGGGGCGCCCGCCATTGCCCAGGCTTGCTTAGGTAAACAAAGCAGCTGGGAAGCTCGAACTGGGTGAAGCCCACCACAGCTCAAGGAGGCCTGCCTGCCTCTGTAGGCTCCACCTCTGGGGGCAGGGCACAGGCAAACAAAAAGACAGCAGTAACCTCTGCAGACTTAAATGTCCCTGTCTGACAGCTTTGAAGAGAGCAGTGGTTCTCCCAGCACACAGCTGGAGATCTCAGAACAGGCAGACTACCTCCTCAAGTGGGTCCCTGACCCCTGACCCCCGAGCAGCCTAACTGGGAGGCACCCCCCAGCAGGGGCACACTGACACCTCACACGGCAGGTTATTCCAACAGACCTGCAGCTGAGGGTCCTTTCTGTTAGAAGGAAAACTAACAAACAGAAAGGACATCCACACCGAAAACCCATCTGTACATCACCATCATCAAAGACCAAAAGTAGATAAAACCACAAAGATGGGGAAAAAACAGAACAGAAAAACTAGAAACTCTAAAACACAGAGCGCCTCTCCTCCTCCAAAGGAACGCAGTTCCTCACCAGCAATGGAACAAAGCTGGATGGAGAATGACTTTGACGAGCTGAGAGAAGAAGGTTTCAGACGATCAAATTACTCTGAGCTACGGGAGGACATTCAAACCAAAGGCAAATAAGTTGAAAACTTTGAAAAAAACTTAGAAGAATGTATAACTAGAATAACCAATACAGAGAAGTGCTTAAAGGAGCTGATGGAGCTGAAAACAAAGGCTCGAGAACTACGTGAAGAATGCAGAAGCCTCAGGAGCCGATGTGATCAACTGGAAGAAAGGGTATCAGCAATGGAAGATGAAATGAATGAAATGAAGCAAGAAGGGAAGTTTAGAGAAAAAAGAATAAAAAGAAATGAGCAAAGCCTCCAAGAAATATGGGACTATGTGAAAAGACCAAATCTACGTCTGATTGGTGTACCTGAAAGTGATGCGGAGAATGGAACCAAGTTGGAAAACACCCTGCAGGATATTATCCAGGAGAACTTCCCTAATCTAGCAAGGCAGGCCAATGTTCAGATTCAGGAAATACAGAGAACGCCACAAAGATACTCCTCGAGAAGAGCAACTCCAAGACACATAATTGTCAGATTCACCAAAGTTGAAATGAAGGAAAAAATGTTAAGGGCAGCCAGAGAGAAAGGTCGGGTTACCCTCAAAGGGAAACCCATCAGACTAACAGCGGATCTCTCGGCAGAAACCCTACAAGCCAGAAGAGAGTGGGGGCCAATATTCAACATTCTTAAAGAAAAGAATTTTCAACCCAGAATTTCATATCCAGCCAAACTAAGCTTCATAAGTGAAGGAGAAATAAAATACTTTACAGACAAGCAAATGCTGAGAGATTTTGTCACCACTAGGCCTGCCCTAAAAGAGCTCCTGAAGGAAGCACTAAACATGGAAAGGAACAACTGGTACCAGCCGCTGCAAAATCATGCCAAAATGTAAAGACCATCGAGACTAGGAAGAAACTGCATCAACTAACGAGCAAAATCACCAGCTAACATCATAATGACAGGATCAAATTCACACATAACAATATTAACTTTAAATGTCAATGGACTAAATGCTCCAATTAAAAGACACAGACTGGCAAATTGGATAAAGAGTCAAGACCCATCAGTGTGCTGTATTCAGGAAACCCATCTCATGTGCAGAGACACACATAGGCTGAAAATAAAAGGATGGAGGAAGATCTACCAAGCAAATGGAAAACAAAAAAAGGCAGGGGTTGCAATCCTAGTCTCTGATAAAACAGACTTTAAACCAACAAAGATCAAAAGAGACAAAGAAGGCCATTACATAATGGTAAAGGGATCAATTCAACAAGAGGAGCTAACTATCCTAAATATATATGCACCCAATACAGGAGCACCCAGATTCATAAAGCAAGTCCTGAGTGACCTACAAAGAGACTTAGACTCCCACACATTAATAATGGGAGACTTTAACACCCCACTGTCAACATTAGACAGATCAACGAGACAGAAAGTCAACAAGGATACCCAGGAATTGAATTCAGCTCTGCACCAAGCGGACCTGATAGACATCTACAGAACTCTCCACCCCAAATCAACAGAATATACATTTTTTTCAGCACCACACCACACCTATTCCAAAATTGACCATATACTGGGAAGTAAAGCTCTCCTCAGCAAATGTAAAAGAACAGAAATTATAACAAACTATCTCTCAGACCACAGTGCAATCAAACTAGAACTCAGGATTAAGAATCTCACTCAAAACTGCGCAACTACATGGAAACTGAACAATCTGCTCCTGAATGACTACTGGGTACATAACAAAATGAAGGCAGAAATAAAGATGTTCTTTGAAACCAACGCGAACAAAGACACAACATACCAGAATCTCTGGGACGCATTCAAAGCAGTGTGTAGAGGGAAATTTATAGCACTAAATGCCCACAAGAGAAAGCAGGAAAGATCCAAAATTGACACCCTAACATCACAATTGAAAGAACTAGAAAAGCAAGAGCAAACACATTCAAAAGCTAGCAGAAGGCAAGAAATAACTAAAATCAGAGCAGAACTGAAGGAAATAGAGACACAAAAAACCCTTCAAAAAATCAATGAATCCAGGAGCTGGTTTTTTGAAAGGATCAACAAAATTGATAGACCGCTAGCAAGACTAATAAAGAAAAAAAGAGAGGAGAATCAAATAGACACAATAAAAAATGATAAAGGGGATATCACCACCGATCCCACAGAAATACAAACTACCATCAGGGAATACTACAAACACCTCTATGCAAATCAACTAGAAAATCTAGAAGAAATGGATACATTCCTTGACACATACACTCTCCCAAGTCTAAACCAGGAAGAAGTTGAATCTCTGAATAGACCAATAACAGGAGCTGAAATTGTGGCAATAATCAATAGTTTACCAACCAAAAAGAGTCCAGGACCAGATGGATTCACAGCCAAATTCTACCAGAGGTACAAGGAGGAGCTGGTACCATTCCTTCTGAAACTATTCCAATCAATAGAAAAAGAGGGAATCCTCCCTAACTCATTTTATGAGGCCAGCATCATTCTGATACCAAAGCCGGGCAGAGACACAACCAAAAAAGAGAATTTTAGACCAATATCCTTGATGAACATTGATGCAAAAATCCTCAATAAAATACTGGCAAACCGAATCCAGCAGCACATCAAAAAGCTTATCCACCATGATCAAGTGGGCTTCATCCCTGGGATGCAAGGCTGGTTCAATATACGCAAATCAATAAATGTAATCCAGCATATAAACAGAGCCAAAGACAAAAACCACATGATTATCTCAATAGATGCAGAAAAAGCCTTTGACAAAATTCAACAACCCTTCATGCTAAAAACTCTCAATAAATTAGGTATTCATGGGACATATTTCAAAATAATAAGAGCTATCTATGACAAACCCACAGCCAATATCATACTGAATGGACAAAAACTGGAAGCATTCCCTTTGAAAACTGGCACAAGACAGGGATGCCCTCTCTCACCGCTCCTATTCAACATAGTGTTGGAAGTTCTGGCCAGGGCAATCAGGCAGGAGAAGGAAATAAAGGGTATTCAATTAGGAAAAGAGGAAGTCAAATTGTCCCTGTTTGCAGACGACATGATTGTTTATCTAGAAAACCCCATCGTCTCAGCCCAAAATCTCCTTAAGCTGATAAGCAACTTCAGCAAAGTCTCAGGATACAAAATCAATGTACAAAAATCACAAGCATTCTTATACACCAACAACAGACAAACAGAGAGCCAAATCATGAGTGAACTCCCATTCACAATTGCTTCAAAGAGAATAAAATACCTAGGAATCCAACTTACAAGAGATGTGAAGGACCTCTTCAAGGAGAACTACAAACCACTGCTCAAGGAAATAAAAGAGGATACAAACAAATGGAAGAACATTCCATGTTCATGGGTAGGAAGAATCAATATCGTGAAAATGGCCATACTGCCCAAGGTAATTTACAGATTCAATGCCATCCCCATCAAGCTACCAATGACTTTCTTCACAGAATTGGAAAAAACTACTTTAAAGTTCACATGGAACCAAAAAAGAGCCCGCATCGCCAAGTCAATCCTAAGCCAAAAGAACAAAGCTGGAGGCATCACACTACCTGACTTCAAACTATACTACAAGGCTACAGTAACCAAAACAGCATGGTACTGGTACCAAAACAGAGATATAGATCAATGGAACAGAACAGAGCCCTCAGAAATAACGCCGCATATCTACAACTATCTGATCTTTGACAAACCTGAGAAAAACAAGCAATGGGGAAAGGATTCCCTATTTAATAAATGGTGCTGGGAAAACTGGCTAGCCATATGTAGAAAGCTGAAACTGGATCCCTTCCTTACACCTTATACAAAAATCAATTCAAGATGGATTAAAGATTTAAACGTTAGACCTAAAACCATAAAAACCCTAGAAGAAAACCTAGGCATTACCATTCAGGAGATAGGCATGGGCAAGGACTTCATGTCCAAAACACCAAAAGCAATGGCAACAAAAGCCAAAATTGACAAATGGGATCTAACTAAACTAAAGAGCTTCTGCACAGCAAAAGAAACTACCATCAGAGTGAACAGGCAACCTACAACATGGGAGAAAATTTTCGCAACCTACTCATCTGACAAAGGGCTAATATCCAGAATCTACAATGAACTCAAACAAATTTACAAGGAAAAAACAAACAACCCCATCAAAAAGTGGGCGAAGGACATGAACAGACACTTCTCAAAAGAAGACATTTATGCAGCCAAAAAATACATGAAAAAATGCTCATCATCACTGGCCATCAGAGAAATGCAAATCAAAACCACTATGAGATACCATCTCACACCAGTTAGAATGGCAATCGTTAAAAAGTCAGGAAACAACAGGTGCTGGAGAGGATGTGGAGAAATAGGAACACTTTTACACTGTTGGTGGGACTGTAAACTAGTTCAACCATTGTGGAAGTCAGTGTGGCGATTCCTCAGGGATCTAGAACTAGAAATACCATTTGACCCAGCCATCCCATTACTGGGTATATACCCAAGTGACTATAAATCATGCTGCTATAAAGACACATGCACACGTATGTTTATTGCAGCATTATTCACAATAGCAAAGACTTGGAACCAACCCAAATGTCCAACAATGATAGACTGGATTAAGAAAATGTGGCACATATACACCATGGAATACTATGCAGCCATAAAAAATGATGAGTTAATGTCCTTTTTAGGGACATGGATGAAATTGGAAACCATCATTCTCAGTAAACTATCACAAGAACAAAAAACCCAACACCGCATATTCTCACTCATAGGTGGGAATTGAACAATGAGATCACATGGTCACAGGAAGGGGAATATCACACTCTGGGGACTGTGGTGGGGTGGGGGGAGGGGGGGAGGGGTAGCATTGGGAGATATACCTAATGCTAGATGACGAGTTAGTGGGTGCAGCACACCAGCATGGCACATGTATACATATGTAACTAAGCTGCACAATGTGCACATGTACCCTAAAACTTAAAGTATAATAAAAAAAAAAAAAGAAGAAATTCTGGTGTTCTGTTATACAGTAGGATTGCTATAGCAAATAACAATGTAGTGTATATTTCAAGATAGCTAAAAGAAAATTTTGAATGTTGTCACCACAAATAAATTAGCTTAAAACAATGAATGTGATAATTACCCCAATTTGATCATTATAAAATGTATGCATACATTAAAATATCACAGTGTTCCCCATAAATATGTACAATTATCATGTGTCCACTATAAATAAAAAAGTTTTTAAAAAGAGACAATGCCATCCTAGGAAACTACATGTACTTTGTTATACTGGGAATGCTAATAAAAATATAAACAACAAACAATATGCTGAGAAATGAGGTTCAAAAACTAGAGAATAACAGGATAATAGAGAGTCTTGTCCACTAAGCTAAGTGGTTAGGCTATATTCAAACTTGAGAGTCATTCAAAAATCTTTATGTAAGGAAAATATAACTAATTATGCATATGATAAAAGTCACTCTAATGCTAGTGGAGGAAGCGGTATAGGATGTGAGTGTGTGGGCAGGGAAATTCATTAGGAGGCATTTGATAAAGCCCAGATGAATGAGAATGGATCAAAGACCATTAAAAGGGAAAGGAATTATGAAATCAAGTGACTATAAGTGATAGATTTGACCAGACTTGATAATCATTTGGACACATAGAACTAAAGAAAAAAAAGCTGAAAATGAGTTGGAGGTTTTGGCATGGACCACTGGGTTAACAGTGCCATTCACCAAAAAAGAAAACCAAGAACAGGTGCAGTTTCATGAGGAAGGAGAACTAATTTTGCTGTAGACCTGTTGACCTTGAGGACCTCAAAGATATACAAATGGACTAGACAGTTGAACATAGAGAGCTACTGATTAGTTTTGAGTAATGCAATTCTGCCACTTCCTCTAGAACGTGACTCTTCACAGAACCCACGTTTTATTCATATTTACATTCCTAACAGCACACCTGGTGATAGTGACAGGAGGCATAAAAATTCTAGGCAGATGGGGCAGATCCCTGTCAAAACCCCACCTTCAAGCTGAAAAGCCTGAAACCCGCAGCCCAAAGTGAGAACTTCCATCCCTATGTGCCTGCTCTCTCCCAATTGGTTCTTTCTAAATAATGTCTTTTTACCAATTGAATGTTGCCTTTTCCAAAACTACCTCTGACCCACCCCCCGCATCCTGTGCCTATAAAGACCCCAGACTCAGCCAGCAGAGACAAGTGGTTGGACATCAGGAAAAAGTGGTTGGATGCTGGGGAGAGGTGACTTTGAAACGGTGGCTGAATGAGGTAACTTGACTTCAGAAGAGAGAGGCAGAGAGGTGGCTTGACTTCAGAGGAGAGCAACCTGCCCTACCCATCCCCTTTCCAGCTCCCCTCTCCACTGAGAGCTGCTTTCATCACTCAACAAAATTCTCCACATTCACCATCCTTCAATTCATCCACATGACCTCATTCCACCTGGGCTCCAGACAGGAATTCAGGATGCACAGGGTGTGGGTACCGAAAAAGGTTGTCACACTGGCCCTTTTCCCTAGCTGGCAGAAGGTAGCCACCCCACAGGATGAGGCAAAGGGCACTGAACTGGTAACACACTGCTGTCTGCAGACAGCAGAGCTAAGAGAGCACTGTAACACGCCCTCTGGGGCCTTGGGGTCACAGGCACCCGACCTGGATGCTGCTGCAGGGCCTGCATGGAGTTTTCTCCTGCCAGCGCCAAAGCAGCCAGTTCCTGCACTCACTCATTCTGGTTCCTGCACTCACTAGCTTGCTTGTTCCCTCCTGTGAGGAGTGGAGTCCAGTGGACCTGAGTAAGTGGAGTTTGCTCCTGCTGCTGCCAAAGCAGCCAGTTCCTGCACTTGTTTGCCCCAGTTCCTGTGCTCATTCGCTTGCACACTCCCT
Organism: Homo sapiens; assembly: GCF_000001405.40. Classification (NCBI taxonomy): domain Eukaryota; kingdom Metazoa; phylum Chordata; class Mammalia; order Primates; family Hominidae; genus Homo; species Homo sapiens. The sequence continues at coordinate 164,551,589 of NC_000004.12, read as the reverse complement.
CCTGTGAGGGGTTGAGCAGGGCAGGCTGAGTAAATGAGGCACTCCTGTTGCAAGGCCCGAGAAGGGGTCAAGAAAGTATTCTGTATCACTGGCTCTGAGTAGGAGTTATAATGTCTGCTGAATTAATTTCAAAGTCATTATTATTAACTTGATGTCAATGAAACTATAATTCATAAATCATCATGTATTGATTTTTTAGATATGTGTGTTGTATTAAGCAGGTTTCTTTCCATATACATCTTTTATTAGAATGCCTCCATTCTGTGAGAAGGAGAAATAACTTTCTAACTGCTGAGTTTAGACAAGGAGCTGGGCCTGCACAGTTTACTAACTCGCTCTTCCTGTGAATGCCTCCCCTGCTGAGGGCACACATCTGCTCTGTTTCTCCTCACCACATTGGGACAGAGCCTGAGGCGGATGCCTGGTGCCACCTGAAACAGACAAGACTGTCTGAGGCTGAGGATCAGAACTCACTGCTTCTGCACCTAAGCCCTGGTCTGAAAGTCCCGTCAATAGTAATGCTGAGTTTGTTAGAGCCATCCTCCTGACTCTTGCATAAATTATTGATTCCTAAAATCCCAACAGACCTCTTTGTGGGCCTAATTTCTCTCACTAAAGCAAAATTGACTTGTTCCTTATACAAATCTTTCAAGAGTTCCTCTTTAAATAGAAAAGATTTTAAATTAATTTTTATTTTATCCATCTGTGGGAGAAAAATTATCTCCATTTATTTTGTTTTATATATGTCTAAACAGGACAGTCTTTATTTTACCTAATTTAAAACATTATTTGAACTACTAAATTAATATATATTTATTATAAAAACATTGAAATTATGATCAAATGAAATTGTTTCTTTAAAAGAAATAATCTAGAATTTACCAGAAGGAAAAAACATTACAATTTTTGGTGACTATCCTTCTAATCATTTTGCTTTGCAGACATATATATTGTTTGTTTCTTTATGTACAAAAAAGTCATACCATCAGTCTATTTTATGAAAAGCTCTGATGAAATGCAATTCCATGTCACAAGATTTACTTTAATGTCATTTTATATGACTTAATGTTACTTCCTTGTATTGATAAACTAGAGTTTACTTAATCAATTTCTTGCTTTTAGGCATTTAGATTATTTTTATTTTGATAGTACTATAAACACTTTTGAAGAACATTCTTGCAGCTTAGTCTTCGTGAATATTTATGGCATTTTCGTATAATACATTCTTAAAATTGAGATTTTTAAGGTATTGAGACATTTTGCCAGAATTTTTACCAACTACATAAATGAACAAGTTCATTGTCATTATTTAAAACATTTGATGATATCGTAGGTGTACTGGTATTTCCAGTGGTCCTGGCAGATACACAACGCTACCTATTTCTACCCTGTTCTATGTTCCAGGAGGCTGACACCTAAAGATCAGGTACTAATTTACTTGTCTCTGGATTCTGGTGAGGTTCGGCTCCAGGAAGGCAGCAGCAGGATGTTGGAATGCTAGTGGAAAGAGAATGTGTTTATTCTCATGGCCCTCTCTAGGCCAGCATGATTAGCAGTAGCTACAATTATCTTCTGCTGGGTATCCCTTTTTATAAGCTGCAAACCAAAGAGTATCTGAGACAGGCATCAGTCAACTTAGAACTTTATTTTGCCAAGTTTAAGAACATGCCCAGAAGAAAAGAACATGGAATCACACTAACAGCCCTTGGTTTGTGCTTTTCTCCAAAGGTGATTCTCAGGGCTTCAATATTTAAAGGGGAAAAGTGGGCTGGAGGGGAAAGAGGGAGGGTATGGTAATCACAAGTTGTCAGAGAAAAGGAGCAGCTAGAGGAAAAGTCAATTATGTACTCACCTTGCACTCAGTATATCAGCGCCGTACATAAGATAAGGTGAATATAGAGTAGCTACCTGTGGAGATATTTAAACTTTTATCTGTAGCTATCTGCTTAGGAACAAAAGGAAAGGCAGTTTCTTCCATGACTCAGCTTTCAGCTTAATTTTTTCCTTTTGGCATAGTGAATTGGGGTTTTTATTTTCTTTTCTCAAAACAAAGCTCTCCCAGGATCCTAATAAATACTGCCTTCCCTTGCCCCATCGGGCCAATAATGGTGATGGTTTTCCATGATTACTATTAGCAGAGTGCTTCACCATTCCTTATTAAGGTATCTCCAATGTTAAAACAGACCCCTCTTTATTTTGTGTTATTTTTTTAAAATTTTATTATTATTTTACTTTAAGTTTTAGGGTACATGTGCACAACGGGCAGGTTTGTTACATATGTATACATGTGACATGCTGGTGCGTGGCACCCATTAACTCATCATTTAGCATTAGGTATATCTCCTAATGCTATCCCCCCCTCCCCCCACCCCACAACAGTCCCCAGTGTGTGATGTTCCCCTTCCTGTGTCCATGTGTTCTCATTGTTCAATTCCCACCTATGAGTGAGAACATGTGGTGTTTGGTTTTTTGTCCTTGCAATAGTTTGCTCAGAATCATGGTTTCCAGCTTCCTCCATGTCCCTACAAAGGACATGAACTCATCATTTTTTATGACTGCATAGTATTCCATGGTGTATATGTGCCACATTTTCTTAATCCAGTCTATCATTGTTGGACATTTGGGTTGGTTCCAAGTCTTTGCTATTGTGAATAGTGCCACAATAAACATACACGTACATGTGTCTTTATAGCAGCATGATTTATAATCCTTTGGGTATATACCCAGTAATGGGATGGCTGGGTCAAATGGTATTTCTAGTTCTAGATCCCTGAGGAATCGCTACACTGACTTCCACAATGGTTGAACTAGTTTACAGTCCCACCAACAGTGCAAAAGTGTTCCTAATTCTCCATATCCTCTCCAGCACCTGTTGTTTCCTGACTTTTTAATGATCACCATTCTAACTTGTGTGAGATGGTATCTCATTGTGGTTTTGATTTGCATTTCTCTGATGGCCAGTGATGGAGAGCATTTTTTCATGTGTTTTTTGGCTGCATAAATGTCTTCTTTTGAGAAGTGTCTGTTCATATCCTTTGCCCACTTTTTGATGGGGTTGTTTGTTTTTTCTTGTAAATTTGTTTGAGTTCATTGTAGATTCTGGATATTAGCCCTTTGTCAGATGAGTAGGTTGCAAACATTTTCTCCCATGTTGTAGGTTGCCTGTTCACTCTGATGGTAGTTTCTTTTGCTGTGCAGAAGCTCTTTAGTTTAATTAGATCCCATTTGTCAATTTTGGCTTTTGTTGCCATTGTTTTTGGTGGTTTAGACATGAAGTCCTTGTCCATGCCTATGTCCTGAATGGTATTGCCTAGGTTTTCTTCTTGGGATTTTATGGTATTAGGTCTAACATGTAAGTCTTTAATCCATCTTGAATTAATTTTTGTATAAGGTGTAAGGAAGGGATCCAGTTTCAGCTTTCTACATATGGCTAGCCAGTTTTCCCAGCACCATTTATTAAATAGGGAATCCTTTCCCCATTGCTTGTTTTTGTCAGGTTTGTCAAAGATCAGATGGTTGTAGATATGTGGCATTATTTCTGAGGGCTCTGTTCTGTTCCATTGGTCTATATCTCTGTTTTGGTACCAGTACCATGCTGTTTTGGTTACTGTAGCCTTGTAGTATAGTTTGAAGTCAGGTAGTGTGATGCCTCCAGCTTTGTTCTTTTGGCTTAGGATTGACTTGGCAATGCAGGCTCTTTTTTGGTTCCATATGAACTTTAAAGTAGTTTTTTCCAATTCTGTGAAGAAAGTCATTGGTAGCTTGATGGGGATGGCATTGAATCTGTAAATTACCTTGGGCAGTATGGCCATTTTCACGATATTGATTCTTCCTATCCATGAGCATGGAATGTTCTTCCATTTGTTCGTATCCTCTTTTATTCCCTTGAGCAGTGGTTTGTAGTTCTCCTTGAAGAGGTCCTTCACATCCCTTGTAAGTTGGATTCCTAGGTATTTTATTGTCTTTGAAGTAATTGTGAATGGGAGTTCACTCATGATTTGGCTCTCTGTTTGCCTGTTATTAGTGTATAAGAATGCTTGTGATTTTTGCACATTGATTTTGTATCCTGAGACTTTGCTGAAGTTGCTTATCAGCTTAAGGAGATTTTGGGCTGAGACGATGGGGTTTTCTAGATATATAATCATGTCATCTGCAAAGAGGGACAATTTGACTTCCTCTTTTCCTAATTGAATACCCTTTATTTCCTTCTCCTGCCTGATTGCCCTGGCCAGAACTTCCAACACTATGTTGAATAAGAGTGGTGAGGGAGGGCATCCCTGTCTTGTGCCAGTTTTCAAAGGGAATGCTTCCAGTTTTTGTCCATTCAGTATGATATTGGCTGTGGGTTTGTCGTAGATAGCTCTTATTATTTTGAGATATGTCCCATCAATACCTAATTTATTGAGAGTTTTTAGCATGAAGCATCGTTGAATTTTGTCAGAGGCCTTTTCTGCATCTATTGAGATAATCATGTGGTTTTTGTCTTTGGTTATGTTTATGTGCTGGATTACGTTTATTGGTTTGCTTATGTTGAACCAGCCTTGCATCCCAGGGATGAAGCCCACTTGATCATGGTGGATAAGCTTTTTGATGTGCTGCTGGATTCGGTTTGCCAGTATTTTATTGAGGATTTTTGCATCAATGTTCATCAAGGATATTGGTCTAAAATTCTCTTTTTTTGTTGTGTCTCTGCCAGGCTTTGGTATCAGGATGATGCTGGCCTCATAAAATGAGTTAGGGAGAATTCCCTCTTTTTCTATTGATTGGAATAGTTTCAGAAGGAATGGTACCAGCTCCTCCTTGTACCTCTGGTAGAATTTGGCTGTGAATCCATCTGGTCCTGGACTTTTTTTGGTTGGTAAGCTATTAATTATTGCCTCAATTTCAGAGCCTGTTATTGGTCTATTTAGAGATTCAACTTCTTCCTGGTTTAGTCTTGGGAGGGTGTATGTGTCGAGGAATTTATCCATTTCTTCTAGATTTTCTAGTTTATTTGCGTAGAGGTGTTTATAGTATTCTCTGATGACAGTTTGTATTTCGGTGGGATCAGTGGTGATATCCCCTTTATCATTTTTTATTGCATCTATTTGATTCTTCTCTCCTTTTTTCTTTATTAGTCTTGCTAGCAGTCTATCAGTTTTGGTGATCTTTTCAAAAAACCAGCTCCTGGATTCATTGATTTTTTGAAGGGTTTTTTGTGTCTCTATCTCCTTCAGTTCTGCTCTGATCTTAGTTATTTCTTGCCTTCTGCTAGCTTTTGAATGTGTTTCCTCTTGCTTCTCTAGTTCTTTTAATTGTGATGTTAGGGCGTCAATTTTAGATCTTTCCTGCTTTCTCTTGTGGGCATTTAGTGCTATAAATTTCCCTCTCCACACTGCTTTAAATGTGTCCCAGAGATTCTGGTATGTTGTGTCTTTGTTCTCATTGGTTTCAAAGAACATCTTTATTTCTGCCTTCATTTCGTTATGTACCCAGTAGTCATTCAGGAGCAGGTTGTCCAGTTTCCATGTAGTTGAGCAGATTTGAGTGAGTTTCTTAATCCTGAGTTCTAGTTTGATTGCACTGTGGTCTGAGAGACAGTTTGTTATAATTTCTGTTCTTTTACATTTGCTGAGGAGTGCTTTACTTTCAACTATGTGGTCAATTTTGGAATAGGTGTGGTGTGGTGCTGAAAAGAATGTATATTCTGTTGATTTGGGGTGGAGAGTTCTGTAGATGTCTATTAGGTCTGCTTGGTGCAGAGCTGAGTTGAATTCCTTGATATCCTTGTTAACTTTCTGTCTCGTTGATCTGTCTAATGTTGACAGTGGGGTGTTAAAGCCTCCCATTATTATTGTGTGGGAGTCTAAGTCTCTTTGTAGGTCACTCAGGACTTGCTTTATGAATCTAGGTGCTCCTGTGTTGGGTGCATGTAGTAGCTCTTCTTGTTGAATTGATCCCTTCGCCATTATGTAATGGCCTTCTTTGTCTCTTTTGATCTTTGTTGGTTTAAAGTCCATTTTATCCGAGACTAGGATTGCAACCCCTGCCTTTTTTTGTTTTCCATTTGCTTGGTAGATCTTCCTCCTTCCCTTTATTTTGAGCCTATGTGTGTCTCAGCACGTGAGATGGGTTTCCTGAATACAGCACACTGATGGGTCTTGACTCTTTATCCAATTTGCCCGTCTGTGACTTTTAGTTGGAGAATTTAGCCCATTTACATTTAAGATTAATATTTTTATGTGTGAATTTGATCCTGTCATTATGATGTTAGCTGGTGATTTTGCTCGTTAGTTGATGCAGTTTCTTCCTAGCCTTGATGTTGTTTACAATTTCTCATGTTTTTGCAGTGGCTGGTAATGGTTGTACCTTTCCATGTTTAGTGCTTCCTTCAGGAGCTCTTTTAGGGCAAGCCTGGTGGTGACAAAATCTCTCAGCATTTGCTTGTCTGTAAAGGATTTTATTTCTCCCTCACTTATGAAGCTTAGTTTGGCTGGATATGAAATTCTGGGTTGAAATTTCATTGCTTTAAGAATGTTGAATATTGGCCCCCACCCTCTTCTGGCTTGTAGAGTTTTTGCCGAGAGATCTGCTGGTAGTCTGATGGGCTTCCCTTTGTGGGTAACCCGAGCTTTCTCTCTGGCTGCCCTTAACATTTTTTCCTTCATTTCAACTTTGGTGAATGTGACAATTATGTGTCTTGGAGTTGCTCTTCTTGAGGAGTATCTTTGTGGCATTCTCTGTATTTCCTGAATTTGAATGTTGGCTTGCCTTGGTAGGTTGGGGAAGTTCTCCTGGATAATATCCTGCAGAGTGTTTTCCAACTTGGTTCTATTCTCCCCATCACTTTCAGGTACACCAAGCAGATGTAGATTTGGTCTTTTCACATAGTCCCCTATTTCTTGGAGGCTTTGTTTTTTTCTTTTTATTCTTTTTTCTCTGAACTTTTTTCTCTAGCACATTGCTTACAAAGTCTGCATATTGAGAGATGTTCCAGACTTTGCAGTCTCTTTAATTTTCTGGCTCCATCTCATATTTTTCTGCTAAGATTTTGCTAAGATAAAGCACCTTGCCAATGTCAGTAATCTATTGCCTTTTTTAAACATAGTCTCCTCTGGTAATCTCTACTCACTGATTCTTCACCTAGGAGCCACTTCTCATGTTAACAATCAAGAAACAATGTCATCAGTGATGCTCAGCATCATCTTGAACCTTCTGCACACTATAGCACCACATGGCTGTGAGTGAGTGATGCCAACTCTATGGTACCTGGCATGGTGCTGAGATGACTGTTACATTGTGCTGAGATGCTCAGCTTGGCTACTGGACTATATCCCTGCAGGAAGTCTTAGAAACATTTCTCATGCAGCTCAAGACATATTATTCTAAATTTTTTTCTCAATTTAGTATGTGTTTATTTTAAAAGTCACTAATTTTGCTACTATATTCCAACAAAGAGTAAAGTCATAACAGAAATGGAGAGCAAGATGTATCGTACTTACAAAAAGCCTGTTATGACAACACCTCAAAGCTGCAATGGGTTGGCAAATACACATGTTCTAATATCATCGGGAATAGATATAAACACCTTTTCCTCAGTGGTAACATACAGATATATAGATATAGATTAGATATAGATATATAGATTCAGATATAGATATAGATGGATAGATAAATATAGATATTTGCTATCAAGTTGCAGTTCAGAGAATTTCCCATCCTAAAAAATGTTATCTAGTGTATGACTAAAAATAAAAAAGTTTTTGCCAGGCACAGTGACTGACACCTGTAATCCCAGCACTTTGGGAGGCTGAAGCAGGTGGATCACCTGAGGTCAGGAGTTCAAGACCAGCCTGGCCAACATGCTGAAACCCTGTCCCTAGCAAAAATACAAAAATTATCTGGGCATGGTTGCACGCACCTGTAATCCTAGCTACTGGGAAGACTGAGGCAGGAGAATGGCTTGAACCCAGGAAGCAGAGGTTGCAGTGAGTCGAGACTGCACCACTGCACTCCAGCCTGGGAGACAGAGTGAGACTCCATCTCAGAAAATAAAAATAAAAATAATATGAAAGATTTTTTCCCTGTTTTCTCTTAAAATTACTTAATTGTTCTATATAGCCCTGAAAGACTTAACAAAAGTGGCAAAATAAGCCTGTAATCTCACGGCACTTTGGGAAGCCAAGGTGGGTGGATCAATTGAGGTCAGAAGTTTGAGACCAGCCTCACCAACATGGGGAAACCCTGTCTACTAAAAATACAAAAATTAGCTGGGTGTGGTGATGCAGGCCTGTAATCCCAGCTACATGGGAGTCTGAGGCAGGAGAATCGCTGGAACCTGGGAAGCAGAGGTTGCAGTGAGCTGAGGTTGTGCCACTGCACTCCAGCCTGGGCAACAGAATAGACTCCATATAAAACCAAAAGTGGTGAAACAAGATATCATCTATGAGAAGTTGAGGAAGTTAATTATTTGGTATAATTATTAGTCTGTTGTTGTTGAGCCTTTACAGGTGTAAGACAGTAGACCATATTAGATATTTAAGAGTTCATATGTAAAGTTTAAATTGTGATTTTTAAACTGCCAAAATAATATTTTGATTAGTAATTTTGAACTTACAGTAATTCCAGTTTATGTTTCTGCTTGAAACTTCATTGTAGTTCCTGAATTTTTTTTAAATATGCCAGCCTGAGAGAACTAGACATAATTGAAGAGCCCATTGAACAGTTAGCAAATACTTGTCCTATGTATCCTTAATAAAGTATCATAGCCCCCTAGATTAATTTTTTGTTCAATTCAGTTTGAAATGCTACTATCCTTGAGTCAAGTTTCAGTGTAGCTATAAAGCATTGTAATTCATGGGTGTCAGTTTAGTCTCTGGAGTACTTGAAATGCCAGAAGAGAACACTGAGAATTAAAATAACAAACAATTAAATATAAAAAGGCTACTGGGTATAATCTCCATTCTCTAGTTCTTCCCAGACCAAATGTATACAAAATTACATGAAAATGAGCTCTACTTATCATCTTCAACAAAACAGTGTTTAACTAGTTTTGCACAATGCCAAGTAGTTTGGAGTGCTACACGTAATTAAATGCTGCAGAAGGCTAATTCCTTTGATGACAAAGAGAATTTAAAGTAGAGGGAATTTCAGGCAAAAATATTACCCTTCCCCATGAGCTTTAACCCACTTCCTTTTAACATTAGAAATGGATCATATTCAATAGACATCAGTATTTCAAATTCTACTTGAAATTTGCAAGTGCTAAATCATCAGCAATGACACCCTGTATTCCCTAGGTGAAAATAAAACAAGTGGAAATCTAGAAGAAATTAAAATGGCCTATGATATGTTTTGGTTCTGTGTCCCCACCCAAATCTTATTGCAAATTGTAATCCCCACATGTTGAGAGAGGGATTTGGTGGGTGGTGATTGGATCATGGAGGTGGGGAGGAGGTTTCTCCCACGCTATTCTCTTGATAGTGAGTGAGTTCTCATGAGACCTGGTGGTTTCAAAGTATGTGGCAGTTCCTCCCTCTCGCTCTGTCTTTCTGACACCATGGTAAGAAGTGCTTGCTTCCTTTTTACCTTCTACTATGATTGTAAGTTTTCTGAGGCCTCCCAGTCATACTTCCTGTTAAGCCTGCAAAACTGGGAACCATTACCCAGTCTCAGGTAGTTCTTTATATCAGTGTGAAAACTGACTAGTACAGAAAATTGGCACCAAGAGAGTGGGGCACTGCTATAAAAATACCTGAAAATGTGGAAGCGACTTTGGAACTGGGTAACAGGCAGAGGTTGGAACAGTTTAGAGGGCTCAGAAGAAGACAGGAAGATGTGGTAAAGTTTATAACTTCCTAGGGACTTTTTGAATGGTTTTGACCAAAATGCTGATAGTGATGTGAAGTCCAGGCTGAGGTGGTCTCAGATGGAGATGAGGAATTATTGAGAACTGGAGCAGAGATCACCCTTGCTATGCTGTTTGTTTGTTTGAGATGGAGTCTCGCTTTTTTGCCCAGGCTGGAGTGAAGTTGCACGATCTTGGCTCACTGCAACCTCTGCCTTCTGGGTTCAAGAGATTTTCCTGCCTCAGCCACTCAATCAGCTGGGATTACAGGCATGCACCACGACAACCAGCTATTTTTTGTATTTTTAGTAGAGATAGGGTTTCATCATGTTGGCCAGGCTGGTCTCCAACTCCTGACCTCAGGTGATCCACCCGCCTCGACTTCCCAAAGTGCTGGGATTACAGGCCTGAGCCACCATGCCTGGCTTTAGCAAAGAGACTGGTGTCATTTTATCCCTGCCCTAAAGCTCTGTGGAACTTTGAACTTGAGAGAGATGATTTAGGGTATCTGGCAGAAGAAATTTCTAAGCAGCAAAGCATTCAAGAGGTGACCTGGCTGTTTCTCAAAGCATACAGTCATAGGCATTCCAAAGAGATGGCCTGAAATTGAAACTTATATTTAAAAGGAAAGTAGAGCATAAAAGTTTGGAAAATCTGGAGCCTGACCATATCGTAAAAAAGAAAACCCCATTTTCTGGGGAGAAAGTCAAGCCACCAGCTGCAGAAATTCACATAAGTTAAGAGAAGCCAAATGTTAATAGCCAAGACAATGGGGAAAACGTCTCTAGGGCATTTCAGAGATGGTCACAGCATCCCCTCCCATCACAGGCCCAGAGGCCTAGGAGGGAAAAATGTTTTTTTGGGTGGTGCCTAGGGCCCTGCTACTCTGTGCAGCCTTGAGACATGCGCCCTGCATCTCAGCAACTCCAGCTCCAGCTGTGGCTAAAAGGCCCCAGTGTACAACTCAAGACATTGCTTCAGAGGGTGCAAGCCCCAAGCTGTGGTAGCTTCCATGTGGTGTTGGGCCTGCAGGTACACAGAAGGCAAGAGTTGAGCTTTGGGAGCCTCCACTTAGATTTCAGAGAATGTATGAAAATGCCTGGATGCTCAGGTAGAAGTCTACTGCAGGGGTGGAGCCTTCATGGAGAACATCTACTAGGGCAATGCAGTGGGGAAATGTGGGAATGGAGACCCCACACAGAGTCCCCACTGGGGAACTGCTTAGTAGAGCTGTGAAAAGTGGGTCACTGTCCTTCAGACCCTAGACTGGTAAATCCACTGACAGCTTACATCATGCTCCTGGAAAAGCCACAGGCACTCAATGCCAGCTCATGAAGGCATTCATGTGGGGGCTGTACCCTGCAGAGCCACAGGGGCAGAGCTGCCCAAGGCTGTGGGAGCCTGCCCTTTGCATCAGCATATCCTGGATGTGAGACATGGAGGGAAACAAAATTATTTTGGAGCTTTAAGATTTAATGGCTGCCCTGTAGAGTTTTGGACTTACAGAAGGCCTGTAGACCCTTTGTTTTGGCCAGTTTCTCCCATTTGGAATGCAGCATTTACCCAAGGTCTATACCCCCATTATATCTAAAAAATATTCCTAGCTTTCTTTTTATTTTACAGGCTTATAGGCAGAATGGACTTGCCTTGTCTCAGATGAGACTTTGGACTTGGAATTTTGGGTTAATGCTGGAATGAGAAGACTTTGGGAGACTGTCGGAAAGGTATGGTTGTGTTTTTAAATGTGAGAAGGACATGGGATTTGGGAGGGGTCAGGGATGGTTGATATGGTTTGGCTCTGTGTCGCCACCCATCTCATCTCGAATTGTAATCCCCATGTGTCAAGGGAGGGACCTGGTGGAAGGTGATTGGTTCATGGAGGCAGTTTCCACCATGCTGTTGTCATGATAGTGAGTGAGTTCCCAAGAAATCTGATGGTTTAAAAGGATGTGACAGTTTCCCCCAACCCCTGCCTCTCTCTCTCCCTCTCCCGCTCCCATGGTAAGACCTACTTGCTTCCCCTTCGCCTTCTGCCATGATTGTAAGTTTTCTGAAGCCTCCCAGTAATGCCTTCTATTAAGCCTGAGGAATTGCGAGTCAATTAAACCTCTTTTCTTCATAAATTACCCAGTCTCAGGTAGTTCTTTATAGCAGTGTGAAAACCGATTAATGCAGCCAATTAGCAAGAGTCCAACTCAATTCAATAAATTTTAACGAGATTCTACATGCAAGACAAAGATAAAATATAACCTTGACTTTATGTTACTTACAACATAATTAGAAGATAATATAAATTTATAAATAATAATAAAGTTAGAATAAATAAAGACAAAAAAGAAAAATAGAGATAATTACCATGAGACATGCAAAGGAAAGAAAATATCCCTCCTTAAGGAAATCAGAAAACTTCATGAAAAAAATCACTTTTGAGATGACAGTTCACAATTACACATAGGGAAGATAGGAATTTCAGTAGACAGTAAAACCATGGACAAAAACAGAAAAAAATACATTGCACACAGAAAAAATGCTTGTTCCACTGCAGAATAGTTGAATATATCAGATCAATAATTAAAAGATTGTGTTGGGTTAAGACTTTCAGATTTCACTCTGTAGGCAATAAAGAGGCATAAAAAGTATATGTGCAGGGAAAATCTCATGGGTAAAGTTGTGATTTATATCTCAGCAATGAGTAGGAATAATTGGTGTGGGGAGTTGTAAGAATTGAGAAGATCAGTTAATCAATCTCAATAGTTCAGGTGAGAGATAATAATTAAACTCAATACTTCAGACAAGATTGTGGTAACAATTTTTGAAGAATTTTGCTGCTCTACCTGAAGTCACCAGATTTAATCCTGTGAAAACAAGTCTTTTGTTACAGCACAGTAGTATGTAGTCAACGTGCTATAATACACTTACAAACAGAATCGGGCAGTTATGTCAACATAGCTTACTATAATAATATTAAAATAGTAAAGTTCAATTATCTTCAGGAGGCTGACCTCAAGGAATCCAGCATCCCTATGCATAGGTGTTTTTGACATCTCTTTTTGTTTATATGTGTTCTGGATAGAAACATTAAACTGAGTGACTAGGACTTGGGCCAAAGCACTGGTGCTCTATATTGGCAGCTGAAACCAAAAACACTGTCGTAACTCTTAACCCTATATTTATGCTTTCAGTGTTTTTTAAATTTGTTTGGTTTGGTTTTTGTTTATGCAAAAAAAGGATGCAGTGATAACTGATGTCATGTTGGTGGAATCTTCCTTATTTTCCGAAGTTGGCTCTTTCTGCTGACATGAATGCCTTTCTTCAGCAAATAGCCTGAATATAAATAAGATAAATAGGTGTCCTCTGGGGTTTACAGCAGAAAAGCCTCTGGGCATTACTGAATACACTCAATTAGGAAGTGTCATTCCCAGGTGGTGACAGTGACAAGAAACTAAATCCTAAGAAAGTGCAATCTGGGCACTTGAATTTCAGGTGACTAATTTGGTTGACTCCGCGTGCAAGGTCTGACCTGCCACCACAGGTGAAAGGATTTGATTGAGCATAGATCAAAAATCTTCCAGGAGCTGAGTGACCTTGTTAAGCAACTTTGCTGCATCTTTTATGCAGTGAGTTACGCTCAGCAAAGCATGGATATTTTCCATTAACCTCTGAGACAACAACAAATTTAGCCATTTCCTTTCCCTGCTTACTCATCTCACTCAAATCCTTCATCAAAATGTCCTTTGTTTCCCCCATTTGCCACTTTGTCATGTGGGCCATGTGAACTGTGTCCCCACGTAAGATCTGCTGTCCAGATCTATGGGGCTCTTAAGTTTTAAACTGAGTTCCTGAAATTCTGATTTCTGTAAAAGAATTCCAAATATAATTTTAAAGTGCCTGGAGAAACAGATGGAAACTTCGTGTCTTCCATAATCTTATAAACAGACTAATTGGATATCTTTGTTAAGCTTCATCAAATCAGTCCAAAGATATTTATTACAAGCTTAAAGTGTCCGGCCCTATGTTAGGCATTTGGTATACAATGACAAGTCATGATTCCTGGGAAAATAGAGAATGCCACTTATAGAACAGGTTTACATCCCGGTAGACCTGTGTTCACATCCCACCTCTAACTTTTTCTGTGGTTTTGATAAAATAGTCAATTTCTCTGAGCCTCAGTTTCTGCATCTGCAAAATGGGGATAATAGTATTGTCTCATAGGATTTGTAAGCATTGGATGCTGTAGTTGTAAGCATTGTATACTATAGAAATGCTTAGTTGAGTTTTTGCAAATAGGGAGGATATCTAAATGTCAGCTGTTTGTTGTTTTTGTTGCAGGAGATTGTTTTGTTTTGATTTTTTAGAAGATTGTTGTCTAGAGGAAGGAATCAAATTAAGCAAATACGGTAACATCCAGATGATCACACCAATGGGCAGCTCTCCTTCATCTGCAGTAGATCTTTAATTATTTATGGGACTGCCATTTTTTCACAACCCTTCAAATTAAATGAAATGTAGAGGCCACATTTATCTCAATATCATAAGGTATATTTCATGTATATGGACATAAATCATAATAAGAACCCTTAAATACACTTCTCATCTTAAGGCAGCAACAGAGGAATGCTTTAAAGCAGGGCGTAGTTGCCCTGCATGTTATTCACATTTTCCCCAGCATACTTGGGCAAGGCCAGGCCTTAGTCACACTCTGGCTCAGCCTCTCCTGCTTTATAGGAAAGCAGTGTACATGCTGTTTTGCTGAACCTGCTGAGGAACAGTCATGCCTGGACTTGTTGCTATGCTACTGAAAGGACAGCAAGCTCATGACATTCCCACAGCAACTATGTAACATGCACAGAAATCTGTTGGGATTTCTAGCAGAACTCCGAACAGCCAAATGGCCACTTTAAAAATGTCTGATTCTTTTTATAACCTAGATCTTGAAACACACATGATCAACAAATGGCAAACTTAATTAGAAATTGCAGGAAACATTTTTAAATGTTGAAGATCTTGTTGGATCTAATCCCTTTAGTTATTTTTATTCGCATTGGTCTTCCATGCCGTGTCACATCATCAAAGGCTCAAATCATGCAAAGTAAGAGTTGAATAATAAGGTGGACAGAGACCGTTAGAGACACAAAAGAAGACAGTGACCTAAAAAATTTACAACTGCTATAGACTTAAGATATCCTAAGTGCCCAGTTATTCTGCTGGCTTTGCTCACAAAAATACTCATACTTGTGTAGTAAATACCACATAGGGGATTCTGCTCCAAACCATCCTTCCATCCACAAACCCAGCACCCATGTCCACCTACAAAAGGCTTCCTAGGAGGCCTGCCCCATGACATGCCACAGGATCACAAAAATCTAGTTTAACATAAATGAAAAAAGAAAAGGGGTTTGACACTGTTGGATGTCTAGATTTTTAGGATATTCTGAATGCAAAATTGGAGTTAGCAATATTTATCAGGAGGTATTTCTCTTTAACTTAGATTCAACTTTTAATTCTCTCTCCCTTAATCTCATAGATGGTCTGGAAGGCATTATGCCTCCTGGGTTTATCCCAGATGGGCTTCTAGATCTAGCTCGTGTGATTTCTGTTACTTGCTGCTTTTATTTTCTCTTACTGTGCATTTTCCACTGACTTTAATTAAGCTTCTTTTACTGTTATGAGGTTCTCAGTATCTGATCTAAAGCCTTTCATACCTACAAAAATAAAAAAACCAAGTTAGAAAGAGAGCAGTGCAGCCATAAAAGAGTTGTGGAATCTGTTTAAGTTTCTGTATTATAAAAGGTCAGCCCTTTAAATGGTCAAGTCAAATAGGTTGAAATTTGGGCTGAAATGTCCCTCTGTGAGAGCCACGATCTCATCCGCAGGCATGCTACTGCCCGAGGAGGAACTGCAAAGCTTCCTTTCTCTTTGTGGTGTAAGTTACATTTTAGTAGTTGAAGCCTGCTTTGGAAGTGAATGGTACTGAGGCTCTCATAGCCAACAGAAAGTCATATAGAACCCAAACAAAACCTCCTTTTAGAAATTAAAGAGCTGATAGTTTATAGTGATTGTTAGAATCAAGAACACAAGACTTTAGAAAGGCATTTAAATACTGATAACCTTGTTTCCTTATAGCAAATTTTGACTTTTTGGTTGCTGTTTTGTTTTTTAGCGTAACATGCCAGTTCAACAAGGTTAAGTAAGGGTCTTCTAGGATAATGACACACTCAGAGGCACTCAAGAAATTTTATTGTACTGCTGTCTACAACATACAGTTTCTTTTCTTTCTTTCTTTTTTCTTTCATTTTTTTGGTCGGGGGGGGGATGGAGTCTCCCTCTGTCGCCCAGGGTGGAGTACAGTGGCATGATCTCAGCTCACTGCAACCTCCACCTCCCAGGTTCAAGCGATTCTCCTGTCTCAGCCTCCCAAGTAACTGGGATTACAGGCACCTGCCACCATGCCCAGCTAATTTTTGTATTTTTAGTAGAGACGGGGTTTCACCATGTTGGTCATGTTGGTCTTGAACTCCTGACCTCGTGATCCACCCGTCTCGGCCTCCCAAAGTGCTGGAATTACAGGCATGAGCCACGGAGCCCAGCCCACATTTTCTTTCTGTAGCACTGTTGGTTAATGATGTCTCCCAGGACATGGTAACAGAATCCTAACTTCACCAATTCCACCATGCTATCTTCCATGTGTTAGCCATGCTAGTTAATTCCTCAAGGGGCATGTACAGCAAAGATGATATAAAGGCAAATGACTCTTTTATTACTAACTAGAATCTGCTCCCTGAACCTCATAAAGGCCACAAGGACCCTATCTGCTTTTTTTTCACTTCTACCTGATTATCAGGTAGAGGACTTGCCGTAGATGAAAAGCCCACCTAGACACTGCTTCCTGCCTTCATTCTCCTGAGCCCTGGTCTTATTTTAGTGTCTGCTTACAAGCTGGAGAACACCTGGTCCCGTTTTAATACGCCAATCCCATAGGGAAAGACCGTAAAAAAGAAAAGATCCACAAGAGAGAAATAACCTAAAGAAAGATCTTCTTACACAAAGATAAAAGTTTCTGTCTCTTTACAACACATATTAAAATCTGTACTGTTTGGCTATCTGACCCATCAGGTAACTTCAGGGCTTCCCTCATCTTTCTGTAAGGGTCCTATGAGGGAGGTTATAATGTGCTATTAATTAGGATTCCTACACAGTGCTCTGTGGAAGAATCACCTGGGAAATAGGGTAAGACCAGGAACACACACACACATGCACACAAATGCACATGAGGGAGGGAGAATACATATATTAAGTGTCTCTATAATTTCTTTCTTTTCCATCTCACTGCTTCAATAGATATATAATTTCTGATATCATCTCTCAGGGATATCATATTTGGGAACCATTGCTTGCAACAAAACACAATGCCATCTCAATAACTGACTTAAAGAACAGGAAAGAGGTGTTTTTTTAACCACAGAAATAGAATAGTCAATAATATTATGAGAAATTTGATGGCAGATAACATAAAGAGGGGTTCAAGTGTCTGCATACATGATTGTCTCAAAGGACCACAGGAATTTCTAGTTTTCCCCCAAATATGATGAAAATCAAATAATTTTTCCCACCCACAACCTCTCCACTTCTACCTTGGCTGGAGACAGAGAAAGCTCTCATATTCATTGTTTTATAACACAAGTGTTTTCTAGAACACTTAAATTCTAGGAATCATTGAAATTGTCTTTCATTGCCCCATGTACCAGCTGCCTAACTGCAAATTTAACACAAAAACCTCACTGTAGTATGCGAATGAATGTGTTGCTTTAGCCCTTAGAAATTTCTCAAATTCTGAAAGGCAAAAAAATGTCTAAACCGACCACTAATAACATGAATTATTATTTGCCTGTTAAAAAGAAGAGCTGTAAACAAGCCAGGCCTTCCTAATCAGCATGTAAGAGTTTGAAACCAAAATATCCAAGTTATTTTTTAAAAGTAACTTAACACATAGCCAGCCTATACTCTAATGGTGAGAAATAACCCAAAAGGCATATATAGAAAGCACCATCCTCAGCAAAAAGCTAGTAATTAATTTTTAGTGAGACCTGTATAGTAAATAATTTATATAAAGAATCAAAAAATCACTGTAAATATTGCAGATATCCTTTAATATATCAAATACCTATCATTTTCAGCACAGCTTTAGGATAACTGTTTTGTTAGTATGAGTACTGCACATTACTTGATAAAAATTTGCCTTCCAGTTAGCTGGTTTACTAAGAAACAGCAATGCAGGTCTTACCCACTTAACAGACATGTTGCTAGGGAATTGTAACCGTAACTCAATTTTAGTAAATCAAATAGAAACTTGCAAATGCTTTTCAGTATACATTTTAAAGATGCAGTCAATTGATAGTTCACAATGTAAAATCTCCGTCTTCTCTATTTCCTTTATTCTGGTCCTTTAAACAGAGTAAATTAGAGGCATTATATGGGAGTAAATTCAAAGACATTCATTTAGCAGTGTCTAGGGTCTGAGAAAAATGAAGAGTCAGGAAAAAGAATGAATCAAAGAAATGAGCAATTGAAGGAGTAGTAGACCTCAGAATGCACAAATAAGCACATCTAGAAAACCTTATGTGTGTGTACTACGGAGGAGACACTAATAGAAGACTTCTTAAGACTTTGATAGACCCACAAACCTGTGAGTGAGGGAGTAAAGATGTGGCCAGTGGTCATATTCAAAATCTCTATTACCTAATTTTCATACCATAATCAAATTAACTACTATCACTTCTGTTTCTTAATATGCTTGGAATCCAGTTCTCTCATACAATTTTTTTTCTCAGTTTAATGCTTTTTTATGATTTAAAGGTCATCGATTTGATATCAATCAGAAGTCATAGCAGTAAGTAAAATAGAGCATTAACTAACAAAGACACACAACTAGGTAGAAGGTGTGGCCTCAAATCCCCCTCCTGGTTAGCCCCTGAGCCAAGCAACTTTCCTTACCTACAAGCTAAAATAATATATTTTTTTATGAAAATTGTTTTTTATAAGTAATAATAAGAGTCTGGTTGTAATTGTTTGCAATGATGGTCAGACAGTGAAAACAAAATAGGCAGGCATATTTTGACTGATGTTTCTGTAAG
Source organism: Homo sapiens (assembly GCF_000001405.40). Classification (NCBI taxonomy): domain Eukaryota; kingdom Metazoa; phylum Chordata; class Mammalia; order Primates; family Hominidae; genus Homo; species Homo sapiens. Next base: position 164,532,632 of record NC_000004.12, on the reverse strand, counting down.
AGCCAAGTAAAATAGGAGGAGCATTGCAATGGTAGAAGTGGTGACTTGCCTTTTGTTTATTCACCATCATGGTGATACACCAAGATTCATTATAGTGCATGAACTATATTCTTGGCCTTAAGGTAAGCACCCACTAGCATAAGCTTTTTTCTCAATTTTTCACAGCAAATAAGTCATGATAAAATGTCATTTCTATGTAAAATATGTGAAACCTAAGTCTATTTCTCCAGGAATAAAAAATGCGAGCACTTTTTCTCTGTGCTCTTTGATATCTTAGTTTCTTTGGGAAGTTTTCAAATTAGCTGAATTAATCATGAGACATCTACAAAGGTATCCTTACCTGAATCTTTCATGGACTAAAAAATTATGTTTATGTTTAAGAGCCCCTATGTTCCTGTAACTTAAAAAAAAATTCTCTGATTGTATTGAGGAATTAGGTAAACAGGTGAATGCAAGATGTCACTGATAGAAAAGATACTATTGAAAACAGTAGACCAGTGAGGGAACCACAGCAGTAATTCAAGCTTCTTGGTCTAAGGTGATAGTGGTAATGATTGAGAGTATTAGACAGAAAAACAAAAATACTGTGATGGGTGTACTGGATATGGAGAATGAAGAAATGAGATGAATTAAGTATACGTAAGTAATTTGAAAGATTGTAGTTCTGTATACTGGATGAGACCAGAGAAAGAACGGGAAGAAAAAAATGGGAGTTTGAGATATTTATTAGACATCTAAATGACACGTTAAGTAGGTGAGTGGATTCTGGAGCAAAGTTGGGCTAGAGCTATTTGGGAGTTATTTCAGTATTGGGCATATTCAAAGCCATGAAGTTGACTAACAGGTGTATAAATGGAAAAGCCCACAGGCAGCTCAACATCTAAAGATCAAATGAAGAAGGCAAAAGAGAAAGGGAATGAGTGACAATCAGGCCGGAAAAAAACAAGAGATGATGATGTCTTGGGAGCTAAGAGAAGAAAATTCTTCAAAAAGAAGTAGCCAAATGCCATTGACAAGTCAGTGTCTGCAGGGTAAACACACCTGATGGCAATAGCTTAAGCACACCCTTAGAATGACTCATAGGGCAGATGCACCTTAATGTGTGTTCTGAGCTAGGGAATCCAGGCATGGCCAACCGGGAGATTCATTTCTTATCTGTGAGAAACATCTGAGCCTCCATCCCGTCCTGTGAAACATGGGGCATACAGGGGATTGAGGACCTCAGTTATGGGTTAAATGAAAGTGGCTGGATGGCGGTCATTAAAGGCAGGGTGTTAAGTGAAAATGCAGTTTGTGAGTGGTTGCAGTTTTCCTGCCTAGCTCACAGCCACTAGACTGTAGGAAGGCAGATATGTTGTGCAGCCTGCTGCCACTGGACCGTTTTGTATGTAAAGTGCTTCTCCTGTCTAGTCTGCCACCACTGCACTTTCTCCACTGCATGTAAGCCCCCCAAAAACCCCACATCTCATTTGCTGGCCTGTGGTCTCTTCTTTGGCCTCTTGAACCCAGTGCCTTCCATATTAAGGTTCATAGGGGCTCAGCACAACAGTGTCAGAGGGTGTGATGACTGGATTTGGGGAATGGACTTCATTGGTCATGCTGTCAAGTACAGTCTCAGTGAATTGGTGGGAACACAAGTCTGATGGGCGTGGGTTGAGAAGAAAATGGGTAGTGACAAAATAGAGTCCGTTGCTACAGAAAATTCAACAAGTTTTGCAGTGAAGAGGACAATTTGAAGGTCCATAGCTGAAGGTAAATGAGGACTACAGAGAGAGCTGTTTCTTTTAAGAGGGAAAGTGCAAGCCTGTCCATACACTAGTAAGAACAATTCAGTAAAAAGGAAGACACTTTCAGTAAAAAGATCCAGTAAAAAGGAAGGTGATGCAGGAGAGAAATGGGACAAAGAAAGGAGGAAAATCGTTGAAGGGTTCTTGGGATCCAGAAAACAAATGGAAGGGGTGTCCTTGATAAGGGCGAATCATTTTATCCTTTTGATTCAGGTGCAGGAAGGGAGATAGGGCTCACAATGGGAAGGTGAGAAAGTTGCAATGGTACGTATTTTCTGAAAGAAAATGAGGCTACATTATCAGCTGAGTCAGAGGATTTGATATGACAAGAAGGTGGACAAAAAGAGAAGAGAACAGAGTATAAATAAAATTGTCATTTTGGAGAGGGAAGCAAACTACAGAAATATGGTAGGTTGGCCAGAGTTGATTGCCATCTGGACATTTGTGGCCGTGGTTGCGTTATGGTTTGTTACGATTAGTTGGGATTAACATAAGCCTAATCTTACAAGTGAAAACATATCAATAATACAATCAACAAATAAAATCAGGATATGATTTCAAACATAGCTTTAATAACTGTTTAAAACCTGTTCCCCAAATAGTTGGGTCCTTTACAGAGTGGTGGAGTAGTAGTTATTAAATACATAGAAGAGTATAATGTTTACAAGCACGGATTTTGGAGTCACACGGCTTTGTCCCTAGGTAGCCATATGATCTCAGCCTCTATAAATCTCAGTTTTCGCATCTATAAAACAGGGATTATGTCTAACTCATAGCATCGCTGGGAAGATTGAATGTGTGCTAATGCAGCTTAAGTGCATAGTACAGAGATTAACACATTATATTTAACGAATAAACGGTAGCAATTTCTATTACTTGCGTTATCAGTGATGGAGGTTACAATAATGTTTAACTTGTGAATGTTGATTTAACTTACTTGTTTTTAATTTGTAAACTGGCCAGAAACAGAATTAAAGGAAACAAAGTGCATTTACCTGGATAATCGTCTAATACATCATTAAGGATTAACTATTCTTCTTTATTTATTATCTCTCATTTGATTTACTTGCTTTAATCCTCATTCCTATGATTTTAACTTTCCAGCTCAAAAGATAACGGGGGCGGGTCATGGTAGCTTATGCCTGCAATCCCAGTGCTATGGGAGGCTGAGGCTGGAGGATCGCTTGAACCCAGGAATTTGAGCTGCAGTGAGCTATGATTGCGCCACTGCACTCCAGCCTGAGCAACAGAGAGAAACTCTGTCTCTTAAAGAGCAAACAACAACAACAACAAATCATAATGGAAATGTCTCATCCTTTTTTAGATCAAATTATATCTCTGTTAAAACAATTTATTGTCACTAATCCTCTGAAGTCTTCTCTCTTCCTTTCTAAAAAAGCAAGGATCCACATTTGATTTAAGGCAAAAAAGAAAAGATACGAAAATGAAAAAAGTTATTCAAATGCAATTAGCATTCAACTATGCTAATGAAGAAATAACCATATGAACTCTAGTATTTCCATAAGAAAATAAATGGATGGGGTCATGCAGGAAAGCCAGCTCCTAAGCATCAGAGCAATGGAGAAAGCACAAAGAATACACAGTGCAGAAGAAAAAGAGGCAGCCAGAGAGCCCAAGGGCGTGTCTAAAAATCAAAGGGCAGGCAGTTCACATCTAAGAACTGGGAAAGGATTGTGTTTCTAACTACTGAAATTAATATTTTTTTTCTATATCTCACTGGGAAATGTCAAGAGACCTAAAAGTTAAGAAAAAAATTTCACAGCAACTTAATCATTCCATCATTTTTTGGTAGTAATGTAGATGAGTATCTGCTGTATGCCAACATATATGACTGGGCCCTGAAGATACAGAGAACGTTGGGTTTCCTGCTCACAAATCCTTCCCTATTGAAACAATTAACCCATGTGGGATACAGGGGCAATAGGAGCCTAGGAAAGAAAGCACCCATACATGCCTTTGAAGCAAGTAATTTTATTTATTTATTTATTTATTTATTTATTCATTCATTCATTTATTTATTTATTTATTTTGAGACAGAGTCTCACCTCTGTAGCCCAGGCTGGAGTGCAGTGGTGTAATCATAGCTCACTGCAGCCCATATTCCTGGGCTCAAGCGACTCTCCAGCCTCCGCCTCCCATAGCACTGGGATTGCAGGCATAAGCTACCATGACCCGCCCCCATTACCTTCTGCAGTGGTGCGATCTCGGATCACTGCAACCTCTGCCTACTGGGTTCAAGCAATTCTTCTGTCTCAGCTCCCCGAGTAGCCGGGGCTACAGGTGCGCGCCAACACGTCCAGCTAATTTTTTATATTTTTAGTAGAGACGGGGTTTCACTTGTTGGCCCAACTGGTCTTGAACTGCTGACCTCAGGTGATCCACCCACTTGGGCCTCCCAAAGTGCTGGGATTACAGGTGTGAGCCACCACGCCCAGCTGAAGCAAGTAACTTTTGAATGTTCACAGAAAGCTGTAAATACATATTTTCCTATTTGCTTGATTTACTTGGAGCATGCTCTGTGAAGTGATTTTAGTGCCTGGCCCAAGCATTCCAATATGAACTGCTACTGTGACTGAACAGCTTTTGCAACATCATATTTTTTTTATTCTTGGTAAAATTTTTTAAAAAGACAATAGACAACTTACCTCCATTATTTAGCCACGTATATAGTCTTGTTTATTTTATTATAGTTTTTAAGAATTAAATGTATGGGCTGGGAGTGGTAGCTCACACCTGTAATCCCAACACTTTGGGAGGCCAAGGTGAGCAGATCACGTGAAGCCAGGTGTTCGAGACCAGCATGGCCAATATGGCAAAACCCTGTCTGTACTAAAAGCACAAAAACTAGCCATGCGTGCTGGTGCATGTCTGTAGTCCTAGCTACTCAGGAGGCTAAGGCAGGAGAAATGCTTGAACCTGCTAGGCAAAGGCTGCAGTGAGCTGAGGTCCGGCCACCACACTCCAGCCTGGGTGACAGAGTGAGACTCTGTCTGAAAAGAAAAAAATAATAAATCTATCATTAAAATTATTTTCCACTAATTGTTAGCAAGAGCAAAAGTACCAAGATTGCTGTCTCTTATGGGACAATTTAGATCGGAAAATAAATGAGGAACACCTCTCACTCCACTGTAAATGAACTTCATTGTAATTTGTTTGTTACCAAGTACTCTGCTGTGACAAAGATACGTGCACCTGCAAAATTTTTATAGTAATGCATTTTAGATAGTGAGGGATACCAAACCCACAAGACAATCTTTGAGAGAGAAAAATTTCGTTTTATAGTTTATTATTTTTGAAGCTTTCAAAAATGTCATAAAAGAAGTCAGAAGGAAAAAGAAATATCCCACACATTGCTGCTAAATCACCATAATCTCTGAATACAGTAGGTGTGCCTGGCTCTTCTTTGAAAGAAAGGTATTACAGCTTCCTTTAATAAATCTAAGTGCCCTGCAACTAGATTAAACTAGATAGAGTTATTCTGTCAGACCTTAATAAATGGGCTTATAACAGAAAATCTATGCATTTTCTAATTTATGACTTCATGCTTAGTATTTAAAAGAAAGGAAGAAAACCGGGTTGGACTATTTCAAAAGGCTAACCCTGTGCCTCAGTCACATTATAACTACAGAGAGATTCCCCTTGTTTAGAAGTTACTTAGCTCAAGACAAAGAAAATGAAAAGCAGCTATAAAAAGCTTAGCTTGGGTTTACAACAAATGGAGGTGTGTTTGCTACTTAAGCTCTTTTTTATCCTTCCTGCTAGTGACTTTGTCAAAGGAGATGCATTCATTGTAAGCCATGAAAAGACTCTTTCTGAGGATTTGGGGAACCCTTTGTTACTCAGCAATTAATCATGATGGAAAACAGTTCAAGGTACGCTCTCGCATGTTACTGTGAAGGAAAAAAACTAGTTCAAGACTTTAAAATTCATTGTATATATATTCTGGGATACACACACACACACACACACACACACATATATATTTAGAACATAGGCATGTGTACACACATGCATGCACACACATGCATATACGTATATAATAGTCAAGCTGCCTCTTTCTGTTCCTTCTTTCCGAGTCAGGTAGAAGATTTAAAAGCATACCACAGCTGCCTGTTTCAGAATACTAAATCACTTTAGAAGGAACAAATCAAGGTCTTTTGACTAAAGTCCATCTTGTCCATTTAAAAATGATCATCACACCTTATGTCAAAATAGAGCCAACTTCTTCCTCCAGAAATGCCAAAAATCAATAACATGTAACTCAACTTGAAAGAATTTCTTTGATATGGTTACAAAAGATAGTTTTTAAAATACTAAAATGGCAGTTTCAGCCTGGGCTAGAACAGTGAAATCATGCCAGAGAGGTATTGGTTTTCAGTGAAGGTAGGACCAGATTAGGATTATATAACTTTAGCCTTAATTTGTTTTTCCAAACATAAAGCTCTGAACTGCAGAGAAATGCATGAAAAATGCAAATACCTTACTAACACCAGTATCTGTGTGAGGAGTCATTCCTTGGCAATGAATTATGCCCAAGTGACGATGATACACTTTGTGAAAGAATTGGATTCTCCCTATAAAAAGAAAATTTAGATTCTTGTTGAAATCTCTTAAAGGGAGGTTAATAACTATTTTACCTTTCATATGTAATATCACTTTCCTGTAAAACCATTCACAATGATTTTTTCCTACTATAAAGTAATAATGTGCCATTGTTAAAAATGTGTACACTTCCAGCTTCAAATAAGCCTTGTTAAGGCCATAGTCCTCAAAGGGTATGTCTTGCAGCATGAAGGTCTATGCAAACCTATCCCTAAAGTCCGAGGAAGTTGAGAGGCCAAAGAAAGAGGCAGGCAAACTGAGTTTCTTAGAAAGAAACATTTAATAGGGACTGACAAAAAGAAGCCATGTCTGTGTCTTGAGTGGTGGCAAGACAAGATGGTGGATCCCTGTGCCATTACCCCTCAGACCCCTTAGACTGAGGGCTTGTGTACCATAGGGAAGGGGTGGTTCAGAAGGGAGGTGTGGGACAATTGAAGTATGATAACATCAAGGTTGTTTTACTTAGGGGCAGGATTTACAGTAAGTACCTGCTTTACACAAGGAACAGTAGACAAACTGGAAATCTTAGAGGCCTTCCCAGAACAGGGGTTAATCAGAAGCCAACGTGGTGGATTACCTTGCAAGATGGAGTTGCTTTGGCCTCCACATGGTATAACAGGTGGCCTGATCTGTTATCAGATAAGTCACTGCTATCCAGACAGAATAATCAGGTAAATCTGCTTCTACTATTTCTCAATGACATGGTCTTAGAGTAGTTTATCAATAAATACAGTAAAAGGATTAATAGAGAATTAATGGATAAATGATTTTATAAAATGGCAACAATATATAGTGTACAATACACTAAACTCAAGTGTACACATGCACAAAGGATATGAAGAATTCTAATTCCTTAAGACTGTAAGCTCTTTGAGGTCATAGACTGTATTTTAATTCATCTCTGGCTTTCCAGCATATAGAAGAAAGTCTAGTACCTAGGTGGAACATCTTGTCTAAATATCTGATCCCTGGCAACTGCTAAAAAAAACTTTAGTGAGGTATGGTCAAATAAATGATTTTTTTCTAGGCTAATCTAGAATTCTCCTCACTGATACTGATTATTTTATTTTGGAGGTCCTGTAGTTTTCTTTTACAATGGCAATCTGCACTTTCCAGATTGTCGATAGTTGCCTAGTGTTAATAGTACAATGAAATCCTCACGAACTGATTTCTAAGAAATTCAGTCTTTATTCAGTCGCATCTGTTGAACTGTCAGATTGACATAAACCCAGGAATGACTTCCTGTTGAGTTCTGTGTTCCCATGATTTTCTCTCCTTTTGTTCTATTGGTGGTTTGTTCCCTTAATAGCAATGGGAAGAGGGTTTTGTTTTGCTTGTTTTGTTTCTGAAAATACTTCTAGGTTAGAGTTTAAGCTAAAAATCAATCCTAGCACTGCCTGGAAGGAGAGACATTACGAAACTTCTTAAATAATACTGTTAAATCTATTCCCTGGATGGCATTATTAAAAATAAACAAGAAATATAAGGAAGCCTTCTTTTCTTGCTAATTGCCTGCTGCCTTAATTTAAATCACAACCAGACTTTTTCTCTTTCTAGTGGTTCAGCATTAGAGCTATAACCACTTAATAAACTGAAAAATAATTACCTAGGATTCTCTAGGAAGGCACTCCCTCCTCTCAACTATTTTTTTTTAAAGCTGTGAAAATTAAAACCTACTTCTGACCATTATCCAAATGACCACTTTTAAAATTTGAGAAGAAAAAGTATTAAATGTGCTTCATCCTTCTCTGCAATTATGTTGTATATCAACCAAAACGTGCTTTCTATCTTCACCAGGACCTAATGCCTGAAACAGTAATTTCTTCAAACACAAACACAAAACTGCACTGATTTGCTATAGGGACACTGAACATTTACAAATTTTACCTACCATTTCTTTTCTTCTCACTTCAGGTCTTCTTGTCATGCTCCTATGAGATTTAATCACACACAACAAAAACTTGATGTTCTTCTTCTACTTCCTTGGAGCTATAATTTTAGTTTCTTTGTTATCTGCAGAGTTTATCTTTTCTAGCCCATCAAATTCAGTCAAAATGATTTCTTTTTGCTCTTTAGGAAGTTATAGTTTCCTTTATAATCATGTCTTGGTGTAAAGCAATGGAAAGTTGGAATTACTCTGCCGTGTTTCTGAAACAAATTTTATTCCGTTTTCTCTCAGGCTGCTGATTTCTTGTGGGATCCTGTTTGTACTCCATGTATAAGGTATCGGTGATGATTGGATTGGGTCAGAGGGCCTACTTACAAAATATTTTCTCAAATATTGGATCTTGGGGCTTCCCAGCAGTTTTCTGAGATGTAGCTGCAAAAATTAAGCACAATAATATCCTCTTTCATAGGGCTCAACATAATCATAGCTATAACTTATCAGGCACCCTATATGTGCCCTTTATACGAATTTTCTCTATTCATGACCATGATCCTACAGTAGTACTCTTATTTACATTTTACAGGAAGAAAGACAGATAATCAGGATATTTAAATGACTTGCCCTACGTATCAGCTAGTCAAATCCTGGATTGTTGCTATAAAGCCCACTTTACTGTCACACCACCCTGCCTATCTAATTAACCACAAATATCCCCTGGTCGTTTTCCCCCTTCCTTCTCATAGCAGTCAGTCACATTTATCAACTTTGAAACCATAGTGAAATCTGTATTCTAGACTAATGGTTTCAAAGTTGAGTAGGTCAGAATTACCTGGGCTGCCGATTAAGAATGCAGATTCTTAAGCCCTCTCTCCCAGAATCTCTGACTTAGCATTTTAGCATTTCACAGTGGGCCTTATTCATCGGTAATTTAACAAGTGCATCATGTGATTATAGTAGAGGTGGTCTGCAGATCATACTTTGAGAAATGCTGGCCTGGTTTCCAATTATATCTCATGGGACCAGAGCTCAGTTGGCCTCACCTTAAAATACCTCCCTTTTTTCATTAATTTAAGCTATAGATTTTGAATTTTCTTCTGTTTTGCTTGATGGAAGACATACATTATTTATTGGAACTTAAATGACATATCACAATATGCATCAAAATCAAGATATTTAGCCTAATGTGTTAGTCCATTCTTGCACTGCTGTGAAGAAATACCTGAGATTGGGTAATTCATAATGAAAAGAAGCTTAATTGGCTCATGGCTCTGCAGGCTTTACAGGAAACATGGGGGCATCTGCTTCTGGGGAGTCCCCACTCAGGAAGCTTCCAATCATGGTGAAAGGTGAAGGGGAGCAGCATGTCACATAGTGGAAGCAAGAGCAAGAGAACAAGGAGGGAGGTGCTGCACACTTTTAAACAACCATATTTCACAAGAACTCACTATTGTGAAGACAGTACCAAGGGAGCTGGTGCTAAACCATTCATGAGAAATCCACCCCCATGATTCAATCACTCTCACCAGGCCCCATCTCCAACACTGGGGATTACACTTCAATATGAGATTGGGGCAGGGACACACATCCAAACTATGTCACCTAATAATTTATGTAATCTACTATATAGATTTTGAGTATCCAACATCCTTTTATTTCTACCAATTCCTGAATCCCACTTTTCCAACTCTCTTGTCAATGCCTTTGTTCCTTTTATATTGGTACTTACTCATTTTACCACATATATACATAGAAATTCTATCCAAAAAATTAGAGGTAGAGAAGGGAGTTTGCTTAGAGGTGAGTCCACTTTCAAAAATAGTTAAAGCCTAGAGCCTGACAGAGCCAGGCATGGTGGTTCACTCCTGTAATCCCAGCACTTTGGGAGGCTGAGATGGACAGAGCGCTTGAGCTCAGGAATTTGAGACCAGCTTGGGCAACATGGCAAAACTCCATCTCTACAAAAAATACAAAAATTAACCAGGCATGGTGGCATGCACCTATAGTCCCAGCTACTCCAGAGACTGAGCCCAGGAGATCGAGGCTGCAGTGAGCCATTATTGTACTACTGCACTCCAGTCTGGGTGACAGAGTAAGACCCTGTATTAAGAAAAAGAAGAAGAAGAAAAAAAGCTTGACAGCAAGGAAGTCTGAAAACACAGCAAGCAAGCTCTGGCCATGAAGTGTCAAAAGGCCATACACCTCCTTGTGTTACACTGTATTACCACTTCAGAGCCTAATATGGTTTTTTAATTTTTAATTGTTGTTTTGTTTGTTTTTAAGACAGGGTCTCGCTTTGTCACCCAGGTTTGAGTGTAATGGCACAAACAAGACTCACTGCAGCCCTAACCTCTGGGCTCAAGACATCCTCCCACCTCAGCCTTCCGAGAAGCTAAGACCACAAGTGTGCCACCATGCCTAGCTAATTTTTATATTTTTTTGTAGAGACAGGTTGTCGCCATGTTGCCCAGGCTGGTCTCAAACTCCAGGGCTCAAGCAATCCTCCTCCCACCTCAGCCTCCGAAAGCACTGGGATTACAGGCAGGAGCCACTGTGCCCGGCCTTATCAATTAATCTTCATAATACTAATTCTGAATCCACAAAATGTTAAATTATATTTAGCATCTTCATTTTAAGAAAATAATTACATGTACAATATATGAGAAATATAAAGCAGTTCTTATACTCACAAAGGTAAGCCCGCAACTATTTGAGAAACTGCTACCTAAAATAGGAAATAGCTTCACCTTTAAGAATTTTGAAAAGTGATAGTAATATATATATAGAAGGTAAGAAAACATAGTTTAAGAATGTCTCTGATGAATCAATAAATGCATATAAATACATAGAAAATGTATTGATCGGAGGGGCCAAGATGGTTGAATAGAAACAGCTCCAGTCTGCAGCTCCCAATGAGACCAATACAGAAGGTAGGTGATTTCTGCATTTCCCACTAAGTTACCTAGTTCATCTCACTGGGACAAGCTAGGCAGTGGGTGTGACCAATGGGAAGAGCGATCAGAAGCCGGGTGAGGCATCACTTCACCCGGGGAAGTGCACGGAGCAGGGGTACCTCCCTCCCCCAGCCAAGGGAAGTGGTGAGGGACTGTGCTAGGGGTACTATGCTTTTTCTATGGAATTTTGCAATCCGTGGATCACGAGATTCCCTCATGAGCCTACACCACCAGGGCCCTGGATTTCAAGCACAAAACTGGGCAGCTGTTTGGGCAGACATTGAGTTGTGGAAGTTTTTACATACTCCAGCAGTACCTGGAACTCCAGTGAGACAGAAGAATTGTCCACTCTGCTGGAAAGGGGGCTGAAGCCAGGAGCCAAGCAGTTTGGCTCAGCAAGTCCCAATCCCATGGAGCCCAGCAAGCTAAGAACCACTGGCTTGAAATTCCCAATGCCAGCACAGCAGTCTGGAGTCTGTCTGAGTCTGATGGGGTAGGGACAACTGCCATTACTGTGGCTTTAGTAGACGGTTTTCCCCTGACAGTGCTAAGGGGACTAGGAGGTTTGGAGGGGATGGGATTCACCACAATGCAGCAAAGCAGCTGTGGCCAGACTCCTTCTCTAGATTCCTCAAAGGCAGGAGATCTCTGCAGGAAATCTACCAGCTCCACTCAGGAGCTTACAGACAAAACTCTCATCATCCTGGGACAGAGCACCTGAGGGGAGGGTTGGCCACAGTCTCAGGTTCAGTGGACTTAATCCTTCCTGCCTGCCAGCTCTAGAATGGCTGATCATAACGGGGGGGATTCCCCAAGCACAGCTCACCAGCTATGCTAAGAGACAGACTGCCTCCTGAAGTGGGTCTCTGACACCGTGCCTCCTGACTGGGTGAGACCTCCCAACAGGGGTTGACAGACACCTCACACAAGAGAGTTCCAGCTGACATCAGGTAGGCACCCCTCTGGGATGAAGCTTCCAGAGGAAGGAGCAGGCAGAAACCTTTGCTGTTTTGAAGCCTTCACTGGTGATACACAGGTGAATAGGGTCTGATGTGGACCCCTAGCAAACTGCAGCAGACCTGCAGAAGAGGGGCCTGACTGTTAGAAGGAAAACAAACAAACAGAAAGCAACAACAACAACATCAACAAAAAAGACCCCACAAAAACCCCATCCAAAAATCATCAGCCTCAAAGATCAAAGGTAGATAAATCCACGAAGATGAGGAAAAACCTATGCAAAAATGTTAGAAATCCCAAAAGTCAGCATGCCTCTTTTCCTTCAAATAATCACAACACTTCTCCAGCAAGGGCACAGAACTGGGCTGAAGATGAGATAGATGAACTGACAGAAGTAGGCCTCAGAAAGTGGGTAATAATGAATTTTGCTGAGCTAAAGGATTATGGTCTAACCCAATGCAAAGAAGCTAAGAACCATGATAAAAGATTACATGAGCTGTGAACTAGAATAACCAGTTTCGAGAGGAATATAAATGACCTGATGGAGCTGAAAAACACAGCATGAGAACTTCATGACCCAAACACAAGTATTAATAGCCAAATCAACCAAACGGAAGAGAGAATATCAGAGCTTGAAGACTATCTCACTGAAATAAGGCAGGCAAACAAGATTAGAGAAAAAAGAATGAAAAGGAATGAACGAAACCTCCAAGAACTATGAGACTGTGTAAAAAGACCAAACCTACGACTGACTGGAGTACCTGAAAGAGATGGGGAGAATGGAACCAAGTTGGAAAACACACTGCAGGATATCATCCAGAAGAACTTCCCTAACCTAGCAAGACAGGCCAATATTCAAATTCAGGAAATTCAGAGAACCCTAACAAGATACTCCACGAAAGCATCTACCCCAAGACACATAATCATCAGATTCTTCAAGGTCGAAATGAAAGAAAAAATGTTAAAGGAAGCCAGAGAGAGAGGTCAGGTCACACACAAAGGGAAGCCCATCAGACTAACAGCAGACTTCTCAGCGGAAACCCCATAAGCCAGAAGAGATTGGGGGTCAATATTCAACATTCTTAAAGAAAAGAAATTCCAACCCAGAATTTCATATCTGGCCAAACTAAGCTTCACAAGTGAAGGAGAAATAAATTTTTTTTCAGACAAGCAAATACTGAGATTTTGTCACCACCAGGCCTGCCTTGCAAGAGCTCCTGAAAGAAGCACTAAATGTGGACAGGAAAAACCATTACCAGACACTACAAAAACACACCGAAGTACCCAGACCGATGACACTATGAAGCAACTACATCAACAAGTCTGCAAAATTAACCAGCCAGCGTCATGATGACAGGATCAAATTCACACATAACAATATTAACAATAAATGTAAATGGGCTAAATGCCCCAATTAAAACACACGAAATGTCAAGCTGCATACAAACGCAAGACTCATTAGTGTTCTGTATTCAAGAGACACATCTCATATGCAAAGACGCACATAAGCTCAAAATAAAGGGATGGAGGAAAATTTACCAAGCAAATGGAAAGCAGGAAACTGCAGGGGTTGCAATCCTAGTTTCTGACAAAATAGACTTTAAACCAACAAAGGTCAAAAAAGACAAACAAGGGCATTACTTAATGTTAAAGGGTTCAATTCAGTGAGAAGAGCTAACTATCCTAAATATATATGCACCCAATACAGGAGCACCCAGATTCATAAAACAAATTCTTAGAGACCTACAAAGAGAGTTAGACCCCCTACACAATAGTAGTGGGAGGCTTTAATACCCCACTGTCAGTATCAGACAGATCATTGAGACAGAAAATTAACAAAGATATTCAGGACTTGAACTCAGCTCTAGACCAAGTGGACCTGATAGATATCTACAGAGCTCTCCACCCAAAAACAACATAATTTTTTTTCAGTGCCACATGGGACTTAATCTAAAATTGATCACATAATTGGAAGTGAAACACTCCTCAGCAAATGCAAAAAAAACAAAAACAAAACTGAAATCATAACAGTCTCTCAGATAGTGCAACTAAATTAGAACTCAAGACTAAAAAGCCCACTCAAAACCACACAACTACATGAAGATTGAACAACCTGCTCCTGAATGACTCCTGGGTAAATAATGAAATTAAGGCAGAAATCAAGAAGTTCTCTGAAACCAATGAGAACAAAGAGAAAATGTACCAGAATCTCTGGGATACAGTTAAAGCAGTGTTAAGAGGGAAGTTTATAGCACTAAATGCCCACATCAAAAAGCTAGAAAGATCTCAAATTGACACCCTAACATCACAGCTAAAAGAACTAGAGAACCAAGAGCAAACAAACCTCAGAGCTAGCAGAAGACAAGAAATAACCAAGCTCAGGGAGGAACTGAAGGAGATAGAGACATGAAAAATCCTTCAAAAAAATCAATGAATCCAGGATCTGGTTTTGAGAAAAATCTATAAAATAGACCACTAATGAGACTAATAAAGAAGAAAAGAGAAGATTCAAATAAACACAATCAGAAACAATAAAGGGGATACCACACTGACCCCACAGAGATGCAAATAACCATCAGAGAATACTATAAACACCTCTACACAAATAAACTGGAAAATATAGAAGAAATGGAAACTAAGAAATGGGAAAACTAAGTATTAAAGGAACATACCTCAAAATAATTAGAGCTATTTATGACAAATCCACAGCCAATATCATACTGAATGGGCAAAAGCTGGAAGCATTCCCCTTGAAAACTGGCACAAGACAAGGATGCCCTCTCTCACTACTCTTATTCAACATAGTGTTGGAAGTTCTGGCCAGGGCAATCAGGCAAGAGAAAATAATAAAGGTATTCAAATAGGAAGAAAGGAAGTCAAATTGTTTTTGTTTGCAGATGACATGATCCTATATCTAGAAATCCCTATCGTCTCATCCCAAAAGCTTTTTAAGCTGATAAGTAACTTTAGCAGTCTCAGGATACAAAATCAATGTTTAAAAATCACAAGCATTCCTATACACCAACAACAGACAAGCAGAAATCCAAATCAAAAATGAACTCCCATTCACAATTGCCACAAAGAGAATGAAATAGGAATACAGCTAACAAGAGAAGTGAAGGACCCTTTCAAGGAGAATTACAAACCACTGCTCAAGGAATCAAAGAGGACACAAGCAGATAGAAAAGCACTCCATGCTTATAGATAGGAAGAGTTAATATCATAAAAATGGCCATACTGCTCAAAGCAATTTAAAGATTCAATGCTATTCCCATTAAACTACCATTTACATTCTTCATAGAATAACAAAAAATTTTTTTAAAAATTCATATGAAACCAAGAAAGAACTTGCATAGCCAAGACAATCCTAAGCAAAAAGAACAAGGCTGGAAGCATCACACTACCTGACTTCAAACTATACTACAAGGCCACAGTAACCAAAACAGCATGGTACTGGTACAAAACCAGGCACGTAGGCCAATGGAACAGAATAGGGAACTCAGAAATAAGACCGCATGTCTACAACCATCTGATCTTTGACAAACCCAACAAAAACAAGCAATGGGGAAAGGATTTCCTATTTAATAAATGGTGCTATGAGAATGGCTAGCCATTTCCAGAAAATTGAAACTGGATCCCTTCCTTACACCTTATACAAAAATTAACTCAAGATGGATTAAAGATTTAAATGTAAAACCCAACACTATAAAAACCCTAGAAGAAAATCTAGGCAATACCATCCAGGACATAGGCATGGGCAAAGACTTTATGATGAAATCACCAAAAGCAATTGCAACGAAAGCAAAAATTAACAAGTGAGATCTAATTAAACTAAAGAGCTTCTGCACAGCAAGTGAAACCATCACCAGAGCAACTAGACAACCAACAGATTTTTGCAATCTATCCATCTGACAAAGGTCTAATATCTAAAATCTGCAAGGAACTTAAGAAACTTACAAGAAAAAAACAACCCCCTTAAAAACTGAGCAAAGGATATGAACAGACACTTCGCAAAAGAAGACATTTACGTGGTCAACCAACATATGAAAAATAGCTCAACATCACTGATCATTAGATAAATGCAAATCAAAACCACAGTGAATACCATCTCACACCAGTCAGAATGGCGATTATTAAAAAGTCAAGAAACAACAGTTGCTGGCAAGGTTGCAGAGAAACGGAAACACTCTTTACTGTTGGTGGGAATGTAAGTTCAACCACTGTGGAAGACAGTGTGGCAATTCTTCAAAGGTTTAGACCTAGAAATACCATTTGACCCAGCAATCCCATTACTGGGTATATACTCAGAGGAATCATTCTATTATAAAGATACATGTGCCAGTATATTCATTGTAGCACTATTCACAGTAGCAAAGACATGGAATCAACTCAAATGCCTATCAGTGATAGACTGGATAAAGAAAACGTGGAACATATACACCATGGAATACTATGCAGCCAAAAAAAGCATGAGATTTTGTCCTTTGCAGAGACATGGATGAATCTGGAAGCCATTCTCAGCAAACTAATGCAGGAACAGAAAATTAAACACTGCATGTTCTCACTTATAAGTGAGAGCTAAACAATGAGAACACGTAGACACAGGGAGGGAAACAACACTTACTGGGGTCTGTTGGGGAAGGGTGGGTGCGGAGAGAGCATTAGGGAAAGGAGCTAATGCATGATGGGCTAAATACCTAGGGGATGGGTTGATAGATGCAACAAACCACCATGGTACACATTTACCTATGTAACAAACCTGCACATCCTGCACACGTACCCTGGAACTTAAACAAAAACAAGAACAAAAACAAAAACAAAAAAAACAATAGCCGGGCTTGGTGGCTCCTGCCTGTAATCCCAGCACTTTGGGAGGCTGAGGCGGGCAGATCACGAGGTCAAGAGATAGAGACCATCCTGGCTAACATGGTGGAACCCCGTCTCTACTAAAAATACAAAAATTAGCTAGGCGTGGTGGTATGCACCTGTAATCCCAGGTACTAGGGAGGCTGAGGTAGGAGAATCACTTGAACCCGGGAGGCGGAGGTTGCAGTGAGCCAAGATTGCACCACTGCACTCCAGCCTGGCAACAGAGCGAGACTCCGTCTCAAAAACAAACAAACAAACAAACAAACAAGCAGTTTTTTAAAAAAGAAAATGCATTGATCCCTGTTGCTGTGCCCTTCTCATTACTATTATTTATTTTATGAATGTAATTTTTGTCCTAATATAAAATTGTAACGTATAAAAAATTTGGTTCATCTTATGAAATCATCTCTTTTCTCTATTTACTCCTTGTTTGCCAAGCCAATCTTTATTGGTTACATTTTCAGATGGACTTAGGGAATGCTGATATAGGATGGCAGTTGTCAGACAAATTAGCAAACCCCTTATGTAAATACACATGTCTATTTTCTGACATTCTGACAAGCAGTGGCTGTGTCATCCACCTGTGGATTGGCACATGCTAGTAATAGAAGGGTTGGCTGGAGCAACCTATATGACAGGAACCTGACAAAGACTAAGACTAGTCTGGGAAAGCTTCCAGTGAGGAAGTAGGTTAAAATGAATGAGAAAATAGAGCATTTTAGTCAACTGGGTATGGTGTGTGCAAAATGGAAGGGAGGTGAGAGAGAAAGAGTTTCTTGGTAACACAAGAGATAGCACATAAGACAAGAAGAGAAATATAAAGCAAATCTAGAGGGCTGTAATCCAGAGTTTTAATTTAATTCAAATTACAATTTTCATCCATTATAAACAAAAGATAATTTAATGGAGTCTCATGTTATAAAAGGCTCTAAAGCACTTAAATGATGTGTGAGTCTCCTCTACAGAACTGTGATAGGTGGCTATTCAGAGTGGCTATTCAGATTATTCTTTAATGTGTCTCAGGGTAATACATTTCTTCCTTACTTAAAAAAATTCCTATTTTAGGAAGGTCTTAATTATGAGAATACACCCTTTCGGTAATATCTACTCACCATTTATAGTTGTGACATGTGGCACCACACAGAAGAACAACCTATATGCCACCTGTTTGACCTTAGAGTGAGAAGGGAAAAATAGAAAAAAGCCCCACAAGCTCTTACTCTAGGACTGTCAATACTCTCACCCTTTCATCATCTTGGCTGTGCTGAAATCTGAAAATGTCTATGCTTTTTTTCTTCTTTTCCTCACTTTTCATTTATCCCTCAATATGATAAAATCTGATTACTGATCATTTTTTTCTTACCAAACTTTTAGCTACCTGCCTACCATTGGAATTGTACTAAAAAAAAAAAAAAAAAGACATTAAGACAGGCAAATTTTCCAAACAATGGACAAGACTAAATTCTTACATTATAAATTTTTTACATTTATGACCCTTTGACTCTCCTTCAGTAGCTTCTCTCAGTTCTCCTCTGCCTCTCGAGGATGCTATGTTTCACTCTCTTCTTTTTTCACTCTTTATCTCTTCAAAGGCAACTTCATTTGTTCTCATGGTTTTAGTTACCCTTCTTAGACTAAGAAACTATAATTATTTATTACTCACACAGACAACTTTCCTTTTTTTAATTATTATTATACTTTAAGTTTTAGGGTACATGTGCACAATGTGCAGGTTAGACAACTTTCCTAATCTCTGTAAATCTTACTGTGTATCTCCACCTAGATGTTCCAGAGGCTCTTCCAAACTGAAAAGTCTAAAGCTGAACTTGAACCCTCTCCAGGCCTGTGCCTTACTTAATACTCACAATGTCATTGGTGGTACCACCATCCAACCAGCCACACAGGCCGGAAGCCTGGGAGTCACCTTTCAGACTTTGTCCTCACTCTCCCCTACCTCTACCTTCCATCAGTCACAAGCCTCCTTGATTCCACCTGCTCTACATGCGTTGAATCAATCCTTTCCTCTGCATTCCCACCCCTATGTGCTAGCTCAGTACTTCTTAGGTCTTGCTTAAACCCTTAACTGATCTCCCTCTTCTAAGACTCAGTCCTTCCAGGCAATGTTCCATATCACCACCAGAGTAATTGTGCTAAAAGGCGAATTAGACCACGTCATTCCAACTGCTTAAAACTCTTCACCTGTTCTGTATCACCATGCAAGAAACTCAAATACCTCAGCGTGGATAAAAGGCCTTTTGCACTCAGGCTCTTGGCTGTGTTTTCCTTCTTTTCTCCTGTCACCCTTCCTCCTGCTCCCTGGGCCTCAGCAGTGTTCATAGTTCCATCTGCTTATAAAGTGCTGCTCCCACTCACCTGGCTGGCACCACTTTCTCATTCCCTGGTAAACAATTCACCATTCAAAACTCATTTCAAAATTTACCCTCACCAGAAAGCACCCCCTGACTAATCCACACTTTTCTGTGTTAACTTCTGCATACTTACATTGTGGATCTATTGGATTCTGAGCTCCTAGGGGGAAAAAAAGATTGTTTCTTTTCAATATTCAACCTCTTTCTCCCTCCTTCTTGTGCATAGTAATTCACAGACAGGCACATAACATTTCAATATTTATTGAATAAACAAATGTAGTCATTAAACCACATAAATTAACATTAAAATTGTCAGTCTAATGAGGAGAACATATTTAAAAACCATTAAAATATAACACGTCTTTTTTTTTTTTTTTTTTTTTTTTTTTTTTTTTTTTTTTTGAGACAGTGTCTCACTCTGTCACCCAGGCTGGAGTTCAGTGGCATGATCTCGGCTCACTGCAACCTCCACCTCCTGGGTTCAAGGGATTCTCCTGCCTCAGCCTCCCGAGTAGCTGGGACTACAGGTGCATACCACCACACCTGGCTAACTTTTGTATTTTTTTTTTTTTTTTTTTTTTTTTAGTAGAGATGGGGTTTCACCATGTTGGCTAGGCTGGTCTTAAACTCCTGACCTCAGGTGATCCGCCAGCCTTGGCCTCCCAAAGTGCTGGGGTTGCAGGCATGAGCCACTGAGCCGGCCAAAATATAACACATCTTTAGACATCTTATATCCCATGTCTATGTGGGTATTGCAATAACACAGGCTGCACAGACTGCTTCTGCTCTGCCTAAATGTGGGCCCTAATGGATGTCATCTCTAGGCTTAACATGTTCATCAGTCCATGAACTGAAGCTATTAGAGTCTCAGAAAATACTGGTAACTCCTACTTCCTCATCTTGAGATACAAAGAGAAACAAAGAGAAAGTCGACAGAAACAGAAGTCTTATAGAAGGAGGAAAGAGGTGCAAGAGGAGGAAGGGAATTGTGGAAGTGGTTGAGAGCCTGGCACACATTGGCATTAACAAATATTTCTGCATAAATAAATGCATAAATGAGTGATGATGGATAAGATAGAAGTATAGAAGTAAAAGGGGAAGTCTAATAATACAAAAACGTTGTGATTTTAACTACTAACTTTCTCTTAGGTGTGATTAAGCTACCACTGAGTGGATCTTTCTTGATCTGGCTCAGTGATATACATTGGTTCACTCCCTGCTGTCTTAAAACTTTAAGTAAGGTTTGAACCACATGCTCAAGGCTATGGACTATGATGAGAGGGAAGTAACCTATTTTTAAGAAGTTTAGGAAGAACACAGGAGGAAGGGATGCTCTAGTATATAGAGCTCAATAAATATCTAATTGTTGATTGAGTCCACTATCAATTCATAATCAGTCTCAAATAAGCCCACAATCTTGACCATCAGTTTCTCTAAGATTCACTGACTAACTCATCCACCCATATCCACAATGATGTTCTCAAGCCTTCACCTTCTTCAAACCCCTGGTATTCCTTCCTCAGAGTCTGACTTCACCTCTGCTTCTCAGAAAAAATAGAGGCTGATAGATGAGAATTCCCACACCTTCTTTACAAAATATATGTACTCATCTCAGGCTCTATCCTTTTTATCATCTCTGTTGTTACTGCAGACGAATTGTCTCTTTTCTTCTCTAAGGTCTATTCTTCCATCTGAGTGCAGGAGCCTATTTCGCTTGGCCCAGATCTATTTTGTGGGGTTGACCCTTCTCTCATAACTAAATCATTTGGATTTGGTTAAAATTCCTTAAATCTTGAGTTGCCTACATATTCGCTCCAGCTCTCAGGTTTCTTTTCTCCTTTCCTTCCCTGTCAAGCTTTTAAAAAAAATTGCTGCCATTTACATTTTCTAGCTCCATTTTCTCTTCTCCTGCTCCTCCATCCACTCTCATGTGGTCTGTACCCTCATCAGTCCACCAGAATATCACTTGCTAAGGTCGACAATGAACTCCATCCCCCCCAAATTTAGAAGATACTTTTCATTCTCCACCTTACCGAACTTCACATCAGTGTTTGACACTGTTGACTATTCCCTCCTTTTTGAAACAATCTTTCTCCTTAGTTTCTATGACACACACACACACACACACACACACACACACACCCCGTGGTATTTCTCCTATAATTCTCCTTCTCCTTTGTAAACTCATTGAATGTGAGAAACTCTTAAAGCATGGCATGAAATTCTATTTTCTTCTCACACCATAATCTTTTCTAAAGTAATCATAACTGCAACTATAGAAATGAAAAAACAACTATATGGATAAACAAATGTGACCTACCCACACAGTGGAATATTATTCAGACATAAAAAAATGAAGTTATACATGTTCCAGTGTGGATGAACCTTGAAGATATTACTAAGTGATACACTTATTATTATACTCAGTGATACAAAAAGCCACATATTGTATGAGTGCATTCATAGGAAATGCTCAGAACAGATAAATCTGTAGGAAATAGGAAATAGTGCTTGCCTAGGACTTGGGGTAGAAGAAGGTCAGATCAGTGAGGGTGTGGGGGAGGTGATAGCTAAAGTGCATAGGGTTTCTTTAGGGAGTGATGAAAATGTTCTAAAAGTAACTGTGATAGTGGTTAATTTTATCTGTATATCTGTAATATACCAAAAACTAATGAGTTGTGTACTCTAAATGGGTGAATTGTATCCTTGGTAAACTGTATCTCAATAAAGCTATTTTTTAAAGATAGCAACAACAACAGCAGTAACAACAACAACAAAGCAACTTTATGGAAATGACCCCACATTTTATCTCCAACTTACACCTCTTCTTTGACCTACAGACCTATGTAGCCAACCTCCACTTATATTTCTCAAATGCATCCCTAGATCAGCATATTAAACAACAACAACAATTTCTGGCCCACTCCACACAGCCTCTCTCTCCATATCTGATCCACTTGTCTCGATCTCAGTGGACAATGCCACCTTCTTTCATCCTGTTATGCGATCTTCAGTTTATGAGTCACCTCTAAAACCTTCCTTCCTTTCAATATCAAACCCAAGTGAACTCTCACACCCTTCCATCTCCTTACCAACACCCTAATCCAAGCTCTAATTATGTCTTAATTGGACTAGTTCTGCATGTTTCCATCCACTTCAATCCATTCTCTAATTCTTTTCAGAGCTATTGCTTCAAAATACAAATGTGAGCACGTGACATTCCTCTTCTCCCTGCCTTGTCTCAACTTGAAGCCCTTCAAAGAACTTAAAGACCAAAATCTTTAATATGGTCTAAAAAGACCTGCTGGCACAGACCCCTTACCCTTCTTCCTGAGTAATCTCATCATTTACCCCAGCATTTGTCTAAATCTTGCTCCTCTCTCAAGCTCAGCTTCTCCGAGAAGGCTGCCCTAAGCTCCCTATGTTTTTAAGGTACAATATTATTCTCTCCACCCTCATTCCTATCCCCATTAGAGTTATACACATAATTGTGTCTCCTCTTGATTAAGACCATCCTTCCCACTAGACCGCGATTTCTATAAGGACACAGATCTTGCTATTATTTTTCTTGTATTTTTGTTTGTTGTTGTTTGCCATCTTTATATTATCTGAAGTGCCTCACAGAGATAATCTGGACTACAATAGTAGATTCTTAATATTTGTTTTTAATTAAGCATTACTTAGAGGAGAAAAATCTGATTTTACTTAGGAAACTTTCAGGGCTCCCTTCTTAACCTCGTGAAGGTGGGATTTGCCAGGGTGAGAGAAGGGGTGGTTGGATTCCTAAGGCAGGCTTCTATAGTCAAAGAATTGCTTCCTGAAGACAAGGTTTGGCTAAATAGGGAATGCAGAAGGACTTGGTTGGACATAGAAGATTCGGAAGGTGTAGGTATGACTGAGAGTGCTGAGGAGTTGTAGGAGGAGAGACAGGAAAGAAGGGAAGCAGCTGAGAATGGAGAGATAGCTGGGGCAGAGAACATCTAATGGAAATTTTTGCTAACGTGTAGTCCTATAGTGTCCCATGTAAATACTTTTTTCCCCATTAAACTTTAAGTAACACGTAACTAACTTGCTAATGAGCAATGGCATATCTGGTTTGGTCAGGGGCAGCAGGAAAAGGATGAAGCAAGTTGCTGATTCCTGCTGCAATGTGGATGCAGGAAGAGATTGTTGTAATCACTGTGATTACAACACATCTAGAAACTCTAGTAAGAGTCTGAACAATTTCATTTCTCACTCAGTTATTTTGGAGATTTTAAAGATAGTCCTGTTTGGCTTTCCAGTTACTTCTTGTTATCATAAATTGGTACTCTGATAGACCATAAGTGAGGTATTTCAAATGTAGTAACTTGACCATGTAAATACAATTTTGTTTTTCTCCCTATAATAAGAGAGCATTTCCAAGAATGTTCTTTAAACACCACTCAGCTTGGAGTTTTGTTTTTATCTCTATAGCAGTGAGTAATTAGAACTATGGGTTTGTGAATTCTTTAGGTTTAGGAAAATGTTAAGCAGTACAATTTACAAATGTACAATGAAGATATGACTGATTACTATTGATTCTTAAGAATCTGAGTGAAATATTTCAGTATGAAAGAGCATTTTGATGAAATAAATGAGCAAGAAAATTATATCTGCTTACTTTGATCTAAAGCTACATTGCATGGTTTAGATTCATGAATACATTAATCCCAGAGGCTATGCTTGGGAGGTAGAATTATAACACTGTTGTATAGCACTTATGATGCTTTTGTGATTTTTATAAACAGAAATTCTTTTTATTGGTTATATCTCACCATAGTCTTATGAGTCAATCTCCTTATCTTGACAGCGTATTTGAGTCCACTGACAAACAAAGAGGTAAAATAAACTGCTAGCATCACTAACAAGTGAGTGAGAGAACTGGAATAAGTGCTTTTGTGTCTGGGTTACCAGACAGCTTCAATTTTTTTCCAATGCATCACGTGGGTTTCTTAGGTCACAAGAGCACTGACTCTCCGTGTGAATGTCTTCAAATTTAAAGGCAATCTTGATTTATGCATTGGGAAAGATCTGTACACTGCAGAACATCTTTCATGGATAATCTTATGTTTACATTCAAAATCTGCAAATTAAGGCATATATACCTTCCAGTTTCACCAATGATGGAAACGAGACCCAGAGAAGTGAAATGATGCTCAGGAACATGCAGCTGAAGGACCTAAGGCTAGAATTACACTATCCAGGGTCACTGAATTATAGTTTTCATATATTTTTACACTAAAGATTATGTGTTTCTAAAGCCAACACAAGCTCCACAGCATGACTTTTAAAGACACAAAATTGCACACACTGAAAATAAATTAAATTGGGTTTCCTGGTCTTGGTAATAAAAACAGGGTTTTTTCTTCTACAGAAATAGTACCATTTTTATAACATATAACTATAGATTGGAAACAAAAGAAAAAAATGACTTACAGAGTGTTACCAATTTTTGTAATACCCAATTGTATAATAGAAACAAGAGAAAACAGAAACTATAAAGTTTTTAAATACAGTGCACCCAAAAAAGAATTAAATAGATCACTTTTACATACCATTATCTGTAAATACATATTTAGTGAGCTACCTTAACATGCTTTGGATTTTTTAAGTGCAGTAAAAAAATATAAAAGACAAGGAGAAAGGAAATGAACCAGTTCAAAAAACTGTAAAAAAAATATGTTCTCAAACACAGAATCTATCAGCTCAATAAAAAACATTTACTTAAAATAAAAAGAAAGAAACTTTTGGAAAGAATCACATAGCCTAAAGGAGAGGACATTTTTTTTTCAGGGAAGCAAAAATAAATGTTTCAACAAATATTTAGCAAAACAACAGCATACTTGTCTTAAATACTCCAAATGTTTGCCTTTTTAATTGTGGGGGAAAAACATATCCACTGGGAAATACATCTAATCAGTTTCAAAACATTAAATTTTTCTTCTTTCACTCTCAATTAAAGATTGATTGTGCATATTATAGCGTATTTACAGAGACAAAACTGCTGCCTCTTTCTTTCCCTGTATAACATAACAGTGGTTTCAGAGCCAGTTGAAGATTTTCATCAGGACTGTTCTCAAAGCTTCCGACTCCATTAAAATGAAAAATGACATTAAAATGGATAGTTCCTGACACTGAAAATGTTTTACAGTTATCACCCATCCAAATAGATGCCAGGCAGAATTGTTTAAAGGAACCGTAGAGTTACTTTTTGGATAAAGCAGAGTGACAGGTGATACAAATAGCTTCATTATTTACATACTTCTTCTACACTGCTCTGGAAATGAACAAGTAAGAATTTCGTGTTGTTTTCTTTGTTCCCTCCCCCGACCCCCCCCCCCCCCCATTAGAGGCTTTTCACTAGCCTTCTTTAGGTCTTTCACCTAAGGAATGAATTCACATCCAAAATCAATGAGTAGGTAAATCTTCAGCAATGTAATTGAAATTACATTCAAACTTTTGATTGAGAACAATGTCCCCAGGTCAATACAGTGTCATAGAATCCTGTGGCAATTCCTGAGACACAGAGCATTTTAAAGGAGAGAGGAAAACTGACTCTAAATAAATAAAAACAGTTCTTAGAGAAACAGGTTAGAAAAGAGGTAAGATTAGTTTGGAGCAAAATTTATTGTGGTTTTTGCCATGAAAAGTAACGTCAAAAACCACAACTACTTAATTTTTTTAATTATAATTTAAGTTCTGGGATACATGTGCAGAACATGCAGGTTTGTTACATAGGTATACATGTGCCATGGTGAAAAACCACAATTACTTTTGCACCAATCTAATAGAACAGGTAAGAACAGATAATGAAAAGTTTATTGGACTGAAAAGGAGAGAGAGATACAATGCTGTGGGGTAGGATTGTGAAGAGAGCAATATACTAAGTGGAAATAAGTAGAATATAGTATTGTTCTTCTCATTCTATAACAGTGCTACAAAGAATATATATTTTCTTGACTAGATTTGCTCCTATCAGCAATTTTATTGTATTGAATTGTGTACAGTGGGATGCCTTACAAGATTAACATGCACAAAAGAACAAGTCTTATGCAGTGAGCATTCCATAAAGGAAGTTACTTACCTGTGACCTTATTCTGGATATAAGAAACTTGACTACCTTGGCCAAAAAATTCAACCTCTCTCCTTGAAAACACTGTATAGGAATTTTTAAATCAGGGCTTTCAAAAGGCCCCCAAAATGTGGGAAGTTATGTGGAGTTTAGTTGGGATGATATTGTCATATGACCTCAGAACTACACTCAGCTCCCTTAAGCATAGAGAATGATGCTCTGCCTGCATGTTTTTTTCTATTTGCTAAAACACCACGATGGCAAATGTTCAAAGTGTGGTTTATTTCCAATCATGGAGTCCTACCTGCCTATGCCTACTAGGAAATGCTTTCTTCTTATTCTTTTTTTTCTCCTTTTCCTTTGAAAGAAATACTACAACTTGGGGTAACCTCATATCAGAAAGTCAACTACTGCTTTCAAATACCTTTTATTGGATATGTAATAGAAACTACAGAGGTATAAAAGATATGAGAAGAACTATAAATAATAATTCACCATTGCCCTCCCCTTTCAAATGTATGCAGTCATGTCCCAAATCAATGAGTGTTTCTGAGCAGTCTGATTAGTCATTTAAGAATATTTTACTTCACAAACCTTAGGGAATTTGGTCCTCTGACACTTATTTGACAGTTTCTTCATATGAAAGTAACAAAAGAAGTACTGTTTCCAAACTGGAAAGCCTCTTACTCTGCTCAGGCTAGAGTTCCCCTAACTTAAGCAGAGAGAGAACCTATCTAGGCCCATCATTGCTCTGTTGACAGGGCTAACTCCTTCCCATCCATACCACTTTACTTTCCTGCCAGTCGACATTGGAACAAATGCACAAAAAGAGAGAGCTCCATCCTTATTGGCAAAACTTAATTCCTTTAGGTCAACTCCTTAAACAAACCTGCTCATGGTCAAGACAACTTAAGACTCTACAGATTATCTGGAACCTGTCAGGCCCCGTCTGTTAACTTGGTTGATTTAGATCTCTGGTTCACATATGGTTATTTCCTGTGTTCCATTATTTAAGGTAGTCTCTCACAGGCCAAAGGCCACACCAACAGCTCTGGTTAAAAAATTCTAACGTATTCGGTAGATTTTTGTTTTGATATTTAATTCTCATTACATTTAAGCAATATATAAGCATAATTAGTGAACGAACATCAGGTAAATAAAAAACTTGAAGTATTTGTATCAGATCATAAATCCTTCTCATCTTTCAAGTTTCCATCTCCTTCATGAAGCATTCCATGATTTTTACATTAAGCTGTTTATTCTAATTTCTACAAATCAAAGAACCTATAAATCAACAAAACATGCCAGATGCTCCAATATCTCTACTTCTAAAGTGTGCTTCCAGAATATGTCTTATACTTTGAAATAGCACAATTTTCTATAATGTTCAACTTCGCTCATTATAAGAGAAATAAAAATTAAAACAAGATGTCCTCATTGGCCCATGAAAGTAGCCAAAAACTTGAAGTTAGTTAATTATAAATTAATAAGTTGTAATTTAGAATACCAAAACTAGTGAGTAAATGGTGAAATGTGTTCTCATTGGTCTCATTCTCCAATAAAATGGAATCTATTCAAAAAGGATGGGCCTCCTTTCTTTCAATGCCCACTTATCCTAATTAAAATTAATTCCTGTTAACTCATTTGCTCCTGTCCTCTCAAATAGTATGGGTTGATTACCTTTAGTAGTTACCAAAAACAAAAGTCAAGTACTCAACTTTCTTGTTTTTTAAGAAAGCAGAAGTGTGTTAAATTTCCATTCAACAAAGAGGGGGGAAAAAGCCCATTAAATAGAACACCTTGTACTTGTTGATGACAAGCAACATGTAATTTCTAAGTTTCTAGTTGGCAGCATGGGCCTTTCTAAACTATTTTTTTTTAACTTTCATCAATGTAGAGTTGCCCATGATTACAAACATAGAGATCTTAGTATCCTAACTTAACGACACATGGAAGAGATGACACCTTGTTTTTCAAAGGTACTTCTGCCTCCAATTTATTGACCCTTCTGGGCAGGTGACGTAATCCCTCTTTTAATCTGAGCGAGCAAAAAAAGTCAATCAAGTTCACTGCAGTAAGGAATACAGAAACCATGAAAATTGGACTATAGGACTGAAAACTGCTAAAACATGACAGCAAAGGAATGAACAAATGAACAGAGCAGATATAAAAGTATCTGTAGTCTCTTACTGTCAAAACTTTATCATGCAGATTTGAAAACATTCAGCAAGAAGAGGAAGCATCTGGCAAAGAGATTATACATTAAATAAAAATGAGATTTCAAATAATGAATCTTTGCCTTTATCTTTGCACAGAAAAATCTCTCCCCTATCGCCAAAGTTGGCTTTCCTTGGCTATGAGAGAAAGGAAGGGGAAAATGGTTTTAGCAATTACTAAATGAGTGAAATACAAAAAAAAAAAAAAATGGAATGAAGACAATTGATCTACATTATATTGAAGTTCCAGAAAAAGAGGAGAAAATAGAGCAGAGAAAATATTTGAAGGAATAATTGTTGAGAAATATTCAGAACTAATTAAACACTCCAAGCCACAGATCCTAGAAACTGAATGAACACTTAGGAGAACATTAAAAAAAAAATCATAGTATAAAGACACATAACAAAACACAAAGAAGATCTTATGTAAGAGATTGCTTACATTGGAGAAAGAATTTGACTGGCATCTCACGTCTCCATAATAACAACACAATCTAGAAGACAGTCAAATTGTATTTTCAAAACGCTGATAGAAAATAACTCACTATCTAGAATTTTATGAACAGCAAAACTGCTTTTCAAAAAGAATAAAATTATGCCTTTTCAGACAAAAATATGACACCTTACAAATATCACAGCCCCACAAAATTTTGAATGATATGTTTCAGGATAAAAAACATGGTCACAGGAGAAATAAGTAAAATAATAAAAAAAAGAAAAGTAAACAATGTAAATGTAATAAAGAACATGGTTACAGGAGAAATAAGTGAAATGTTAAAAAGAAAAAGTAAACAATGTGAACATAATAAAATCTAAATAAAAATTGCTGAAATAAAATATCAGTTGGACTTAGAGCATTTAGAAGGACTTTGTATTGTTTGAAAAGAAGATAAAGCTACTACTAATAAAATTTAAACTTTGTTGTGCTTAATATAAATGTTAAAATTTTTAGAGTACAGAGTTTATCATTTTCAAACCAATAGAGGAGAAAAATGGAACCAAAACAAAACCTAAAAGTAAAACTTAATCCAAGAAAAGGCAAAAGAGAGAGAGAGAAAGAAAATGTAGAATAAATAGGAAAAGATAGCTCTAAGCAAAATAAAAATAAAAAAAGTCTAAGCAAAAGAATAGTAATTGTATATACTTAAACTACTTAGTTAAAACACAAGACTGACTAAATTTTCAAAATCAACTGCACACTGTTTACAAAAGATGCATTAAGATAAAGAATAAAGAAAGTGAGAGAGGGAAAAGAATAATACATACCATTCAAGAGAAATCTGATGTGGCTATATCACTGCAGCAAAATTTACTTTGGGACAAACAAATTAACAGAGATACAGAAAATCACTTACTAATAAAAGATTCCATTTCCTAGGACATTAAAACAATACTAAGCTTATATGCACCAAATAAGATTGCTTCAAATTATATTAAGCAAGTTTTTAAAAAATGATTGCACCTCAAGAAGAAACTGACAAATCTAGTAGACTAAGAGATTTTACTACAGCTTTTTCAGTAATTTATACTAATTTCTTTAAATAAATGCTTCATTTTTAAATTTTAAAATGTAAAACGTTTTTAATATAATTTATGGTTTCCTAGCTAAAAATTAGTTAGCTAAGTGTCACACTTAATCACTTTAAAAAGAAGCAGAATTAAACCCAAATAAATTAAGAATAAAATAATAAAGTTAAAACTTAAATTAAACAGTAAATAATCAAATAAAGAATCAAAGCCAAAAGCTGGTTCTTAGAAAACATAAATATAGTTGACAATTATAATTGGTGAGACTAATAAAGAAAACAAAACACAAATACAAAGCATTGAGAATGAAAAAGAAACATAACTGCAGATGTAATAGATTTTTAAAATTAAGAGATGTTGAAAAACTTTGCCAATATATTTTAATATTTACACAAAATAGAAAAAATCCTAGAATAACATAATTCACCAAAATTGACTAAAGAAGAAATAGATAATCTGATTTGTTATATATTCATTGAATAAATTAAATCTGTTTTTAAAAACCTTCCACCAAACTAAATGTCAGTTTAGATGATTTTATAGGCAAGTTCTGTGATACATTCAAGGAATAGATGAATT
Source organism: Homo sapiens (assembly GCF_000001405.40). Lineage (NCBI taxonomy): Eukaryota > Metazoa > Chordata > Mammalia > Primates > Hominidae > Homo > Homo sapiens. The sequence continues at coordinate 164,501,773 of NC_000004.12, read as the reverse complement.
CAATCTTAACCAATTTCTTCTAGAGAATAGAAAAAAATGAAGTACCCTCTGTATCAGTTAGGATAATTATTGTGTGTTTTATCAGAGAGTCAATACTAATTTTAGTATCCTAAAGAAGGCTGAGGTTTATTTTTTCATTATACAACAATCCAAGGTTTCAGATCAGAGAGTGGTTACCATTCAGGACCTTAATCTTGTTTCTCTGCTGTCTCTCTCAGTTCTTGGTTTGGGGAAATTTGAGGGGGCTTTTTTGTTGTTTTTGCTTTTGTGTTTTTAATTTTGGTCTGCCTGATTGAAACTACAGTGCAGGCACACCCACATTCTGGTTCAGAGTAGGTAGACAGAGAGCATATGAAGGATGGATGCCCTAATATTTTAAGTCTCTGATTTGAAAATGGTGTGTATCACTTCAGATCACATTCCACTGGTATAAACTTAGCAAGCTGTAAATATCCCTTGGAAATTGGAAGTCTGGGAAAACTATCACTACTCTACACAAGTATGTTTGAACAAGCATCAACTCACTTCTGGCATCTCAAGTATGTAAGTAACAGATGAATAATCACCCATTAGAGCTGCTGTAAAAATTCATGTAACAGAATAAAGATTTCTCATGTTCCAATCTAAGAGTCTTTTATGCTCTAAGATTCTGTGAATCTATAACATAGACTTCTCAAAAAGCAAACAAATAAAGAAAACAGAACAAGAAAATGGGTGCAAAGTAAGAAGGCTGACGGTGCCAAAACAAGCAATTCACTTCAAAATTTGCCCAAAATTTGCTGAAAAATTATGTCATATTGGCTGTAAGATTGCAGTCCAAGGAAGAGTGATTCAAATCCCTTTTGCCTGAAATCCATGCATTAGAATAAATTTCTCAATCAAGGGCCATTTATATATTTTATATATAATTACCATCATATGATCATTTAATTGGTCCATTAGTAAAGAAAAGGAACACAAATTTTATATAGAATCTATTATACTAGGTGTTCATGCATAACATTTATTTAATCTTTATTTTTACAGGTAAACAATTTAGAATTAAAGAGATTAAATCAGTAGCCTGAGGTCACATAGGTTTCCATACCCCTTTACTTGATTTATACATTGATTTCTTTTCATTCAGCACTAACAGCCCAGTTATTTGGAGGGTTTAGCATCATTATACCACACTGAAGAACAACAGTATTAATTCACTGTAAATATAGTTTCATTTTAAAAAAGTAAGGATAATTTTATATAGAAATTGATATATACAATTATATTTGGAAGAAATATATGGAAATTAACAATTGTAAAATAAGTTAGCTTATTGATGAATAGTGTCAGAAATGGCATGACAATTGCATAAATTATTAAAATTTGTACAACTCTTAAAAAGATATCAATCAGAACATCAAAACTTTTTACCTCTTCAAATTGGAAAGGCCATATTTCTAGTTTATTATTCCCCTAATAGAATACATTGAGTTAGTTCCCTCATTTTTAATTAAATTTTAGCTCACTGATAGGCCATTACTGACAAAATGGGTATAATTTATTGTTTTATAGGGAAGAATAAAATATTCAAGTTTGTCTTCAATGATAATATATTCTATTTAGTATTTGGGTATTATCTCATTTTTCAGTGATAATTTCTCATAGACGTTTAGAGCCTAGTTCACCAAGAAACTCAGCTGTGAGGGAAAATGTCATTTTCTCTTTTTCTAAAGCCTCCCTAACTTATGTGGTAAATATATTATCATTTTTTTAGCCATTTCATGATAATCCAGGAACATCTCAGCTTATTTCAAAAATAAAGAACATTTATTTAGGATCACCAAGACATTTTAAAAATGGCCTAGAAGTGGTAATGCTTGCTGTCTCCTGCGCATGTCTTTTCTTGATTCACACATTTCCCTGTGGCTTTAACTCCAGCTTTCTCTAGTCCATAAGTGGCTTACACTTTTTAAATTGAGTCCTTATGATAATAACAACAACAACAAAGAAACCCACATTTTTCTTGTAATTTTTATTTCTTTTTTTCTAAACTGACTTTGCTTATCTCTAGGGTGCTTCAAATTTAATTGTGTGGAAATGAGCTGGATGGCTGATTTAATAGTCACTTTTGATATTATCCAAAACCTCTTAATGAGAGTTGAAAAACATTCCCGTTTTATAAATACAATTTTTTGAAGTTACAGTGCTATGAACTAGAATCTAAAATACTAACCACCATTTCATAATTCTAGCAAACAGACAATGGTATGATGTGGCATGAGTGAGATATAAAAAATGAAAAGGGAAGGATAGACAATTCCAGATTTCTGTATCACGAAAGAAGTGTAGTAACATTACTTTTGAAAGCAGCACAGATTATTTTACAGGCTTAAACTGAAGGCACTCTTAGAATGAAAAAAAAAAAAAAACGCTTCAAGCACTGCATCTTTATTTTGTTGTTAAGTTCCGGGGTACACGTGCAGGATGTGCAGGTTTATTATATATATAAACAAAGCACTGCATCTTAAAAGGCATATCATCATGTATGGTACATCATACTACAGGATAATTGCTGAGTGTACTTGGCATTATAAATATGGAGACAAAGTTTTTGGTTTTGTACATTACCATTGTGCAAACAAGATGATAAAGCCATAGTTAGATCAACTGATGTTTTCCCTGCATAGCAGCAATGATCTTTTCAAACTGTTAGTTCTATGCTCAAACCCTTTGTGTGTTCCCATCTCGGTGGAATAATATCCAAAATCCTCACTAGAGCCTAGGATGATTGATCATTATCTGGCCCCTGAGAACATCTCTGACCTCATCCACTTCCACTACCACTAGCTTCTTCATCCTGCATCACATGAGTCTCCTTGCTGCTCCTCATGTGTGCTAGATAGTCTCTTACCCCAAGGTCATTATAAAACTTACCTCTGCCATGACCATTCAGGTGGAAATCAACTTGGCTCCTTTCATTTCAGGTCTTTGCTCAGATACCACCTCCCTTGTCCAATCACAACCCTGTCCCTACTTTTCTTTTCTCCATCATAGACATAAAAGATAGATAACTGATTTTTTTTTTGGCCTGCATTCCTCCACTGAAATGTAAACCATATAAGAATAGGGCTTTTGTTTTTTTCAAATATGTATTCCTGTTGCCTAGAATAGGATCTGGCAAAAGTTGGCCACTCAGTAAATATTACTTTTGAACAAAGAAATGAAAAAGTTAATGCAGTATAATAGTTGGCTCATGTTACTTTTTCAGACAATATTTTGACACCCAATTTAATGAGACAAAGTTTGCTAATGTGATAACCCTAGAAATTAAATAGTTCCAAGCAGAAACTGAATGCTGTATCCCAGCCCCACACTGGTGTCCCCTGGTTATAACCTGTATACATCTACTCAGAAGGGTATTGGGACAATAAAGAGTAAAGAGATTAAACACAAAACATAACAGGAAAAATAGCTCACAGACTATGTATGATGCTTATGAATTGAATAGTAAAGCATCAGATCTGTGATACATGAAGCTCCCTATATTTTTAGAATTGCATGTGTTACTTCACCACCCCAACCTTATCCAGACCATAAAACTTATTCTGGGGTGCCGGGCAGGATGGCTGAATAGGAACAGCTCTGGTTTGCAGCTCCCAGCAAGACCAACAGAGAAGGTGGGTTATTTCTGCATTTCCAACTGAGGCACCCAGTTCATCTCACTGGGACTCATTAGGCAGTGGGTGCAGCCCACAGAGGGTGAGCGAAAGCAGGGTGGGGCATCACCTCACCTGGGAAGCACAAGGGGTAGGGAGCTACCTCCCCTAGCCAAGGGAAGCTGTGAGGGACTGTGCCATGAGGGATGGTGCTATCTGTCTCAGATACTATGATTTTCTCACAGTCTTTGCAACCCACAGACCAGGAGATTCCCTTGGGTGCCTATACCACAAGGGCCCTGGGTTTCAGGCACAAAACTGGGAGGTTGTTTGAGCAGACATGGAGCTAGCTGCAGGAGTTTTTTTTTTTTTTCATACCTCAGTGGTGCCTGGAACACCAGTGAGTCAGAACTGTTCACTCCCCTGGAAAGGGGACTGAAGCCAGGGAGCCAAGTGGTCTAGCTCAGCAGATCCTACCCCCATGGAGCCCAGCAAGCTAACATCCACTGGCTTGAAATTCTCGTTGTCAGCACAAGAGTCTGAAGTCAACCTGGGATGCTTGAGCTTGGTCGGGGTAGGGGTGTCCAGTATTACTGAGGCTTGAGTAGGCAGTTTTTCTCTCACAGTGTAAACAAAGCCACTAGGAAGTTCAAACTGCGTGGAGACCACCACAGTGCCTCAAAGCCACTGTAGCCAGACTGCCTCTCTAGATTCCTCCTCTCTGGGCAGGGCATATCTGATAGAAAGACAGCAGCCGCTGTCAGGGGCTTAAAGATAAAACTCCTATCTCCCTGGGACACAGCACCTGTGCAGGGAGGGGCGACTGTGGGCACAGCTTCACCAGACTTAAACGTTCCTGCCTGCCAGCTCTGAGGAGAGCAGTGGATCTCCCAGCACAGTGCTCGGACTCCGCTAAGGGACAGACTGCCTCCTCAAGTGGGTACCTGACCCCTGTGCCTCCTGACAGGGAGACACATCATACAGGAGATCTTTGACTGGCATCTGGCAGGTGCCCCTCTGCCAGAAGCTTCCAGAGGAAGGAGCAGGTAGCAATCTTTGCTGTTCTGCAGCCGCCGCTAGTGATACCCAGGTAAACAGGGTCTGGAGGGGATCCCCAGCAAACTCCAGCAGACCTGCAGAAGAGGGGCCTGACTGTTAGAAGGAAAACTAACAAATAGAAAGGAATAGCATCAACGTCAACAAGAAGGATGATCACACAAAAACTCCATCCTAAGGTCATCAGCAGCAAAGACCAAAGATAGATAAATCCACAAAAATGAGAAAAAAACAGTACAAAAAGGCTGAAAATTCCAAAAACCAGAATACCTCTTCTCCTCATAAGGATCACAACTCCTTGCCCACAAGGGAACATAACTGGACAGAGAAGGAATTTGATGAATTGACAGAAGTAAGCTTCAGAAGCCCATCGCTGTAGAGTCAGGCTGCAGGCCTGTCCGCATGGATCCAGTCAAAAGGTCCACCTCAGTGGATGCCATCTCCAGGCTAGACCCCAGGGATGCAGGATCCAGGCTACCCCTGAGGACCCAAGCTCCAGACCTGCTCCTGAAGACACAGTGCCAGACCCACCCATATGGACAAAAGCTCCAGACCTTCTCCAGTGAACACAGACAATAGGCTAGTCCCTGGGTACTCAGGTGCTACATGAAGACACAAGGGAAATGCATGCGTACCCCCACAGTTGTCTCTGTAGCTTTCTCCTTTCCAGGTAGCTGCCTTAATAATTCCAGCTATCTTGGTCTTCCTGAACTGCCTCCTTGACTCAAGAAAACTACCAGTCTTTGTTTGGGTCTCTCTTTCCTGCATTGCAGGCCAAAAACCCTCTTCAGGCCATAAACTGGGGCATTCTTAGATCTCACCTTATTTCTTTCCTTTACCTTAACACTGCCTGTTGTGCTATGTCTGAAAACTGTTGTTTCATGTATTTTGTTCACTCTTATAGTTATTTCAGTGAGGGGGGATGCGTATCTAATTCCTGTTACTGTTACTTCTTTTGTTTTTTTTTTTTTTTGGAGACGGAGTCTTGCTCTGTCGCCCAGGCTGGAGTGCAGTGGTGCGATCTCAGCTCACTGCAACCTCTGCCTCCCCGGTTCAAGCGATTCTCCTGCCTCAGCCTCCTGAGTAGCTGGGGCTACAGGTGCACACTGACACTCCCGGCTAATTTTTTTTGGATTTTAGTAGAGATGGGGTTTCACCATGTTGCCCAGGCTGGTCTCGAACTCCTGAGCTCAGGCAATCTGCCCACCTTGGCCTCCCAAAGTGCTAGGATTACAGGTGTGAGCCACTGCACCCAGTCCCTGTTTCTTCTTAATGGATACAAATGAAAGTTATGGGACAGAAGTTTTGATGGGATGTGGGAGGAGGCTTGTGATATTATGTTATTAATATATCTAGAACATGAGGTAAGCTTATACTGTAATATAATTTTCTTTAAAAGTAAAATCCATTTTAAATGTTTTTCCAAACATATTGATTCTTGACTTTTAAGTGAACTATAGGATGATTACAATTGATAACTATTTATATCATTAAATAACTTTTTATTTTATCATTTTCATATAGTATTAATTAAAATAATATATTGGATATTTTTGTTTCATTTCTTTAGTCATGTATTTTAAGAACTCCACAAATTAAAAATGTTTGAAATACTTGTACTTTTTTCTATTAGAAACATTTCCTTTAGGTATAAATATATTCCATATATTTTAAACTACTAAAACTATTGAGGTATGATCTAACTGACAGTATATAGTTATATAATCTAAACAAGGTGCCTAGATCGATTGTGTATTACCATATATAAACCCAAAATTCTCCAGGAAATACTAGCTTTGAGGCACAAGTGAAATCATGTATTTTTATACCGCAATTCTGATTTTTCAACAACACCCTTCTTGTTTAAGCAATGCCTCAAGATATTTCTCGGCTATTTCTAGGAATCCGTAAAGATGTATCTCATGCATGACTGTAAACCAACCTTATTCCAGTAAATGATCTGCAGTCCCTCATATAGCATCTACCGTTTTTGACATCCATAGTGCATAAAGTCACTCTGCTGACATGGCTGATGACATCTATAGTGGAAATAACACAGTCCTTGCTAAGGGCATTGTCTTGTGATTCGTAGAGTGATAGCATGGTGCTGGTTTCTGTGCAGAGGCAGGGAGAATGTGCTTGGAGTTTTTCTCAAACTTTTTCTTAAAATACAGCACTTTCTGGCATTTATTCTCCTAGAATCTTGTCAAGTATTTATGAAAATAGTCCTATCAGCTTCTAGCCTTTACTTTGTAATTAATGTGGTTCAAACTGGTCCAAGGAAGCCTGATGGGTAATAGACGTAAGTTCTCTTAATAATCCTTTTTCTTTCTCCTCAGGGACCCTTGGCCTAACCAAAGTAATGCCACTTTCTGCAGTTATAAAATAACCTCCTCCGTGTGTATTTAAGTACACAAATTATGTACTGAAAGAGGATGGTGCTATTCCTACCAAGAAGTGAAATTGCCAAGATACTTTTAGAAAATAGAAACCAGAGAACGTTTGAACATTATAACATTTCTAGTCACTGATAAAACATAGATAATTGAACTCTGTCTTTGAAAAATAACATATATCAATGAATGGGTCATTTTCTACATCTAGATTGTGTAGTTTGCTAACTTTCCTAATAAATAATGATCCACTGTCATAAACGCATTATAGGTATTAACCTACTTAATCCTCACAACAAGCTTATGCATTGTGCACATTATATTTCCGTCTCACAACTTGCCTAAGTTTCCGTAGCTAGGAAGTAGAAGAGCCAGGATTACAACCATGTTTTTCTTGCCATATTTTGCCACTTTAAGGTGGGAGTTAACACTTGCAAGGTTTAAGCTGATTATAATTTTCACTCCACTTTGAACACTTACATTCAATGTATTTTATATTTTGTCCCATACATACAAAAATATACATACATATATACACATATATATAATGCTGGATATTTGAATATTAATCTATTACACTTGAAAATTATACAAGGATATATTAAAATATCATTGGCATATGTTGTGTGTGTGTGTATTTAGTTTACTGGTATCTGTTTTTCTCAAAGTGGCATAGACACACGTCTGCTTAAATTAAGTTCATTCCAATGTACCTAATTCTAGACTAGAATAATGAGCCATGCAAATGTTTTCTCAAACACATTACTAATTTATATGAGTAGATCCTTTTTTTTTTTTTTTTGACACGGAGTCTCTCACTGTCGCCCAGGCTGGAGTGCAGTGGTGCGATCTCAGCTCACTGCAAGCTCCGCCTCCCGGGTTCACGCCATTCTCCTGCCTCAGCCTCCGGAGTCGCTGGGACTACAGGCGCCTGCCACCACGCCTGGCTAATTTTTTTGTATTTTTAGTAGAGACGGGGTTTCACCGTGTTAACCAGGATGGTTTCGATCTCCTGACTTCGTGATCCGCCCGCCTCGGCCTTCCAAAGTGCTGGGATTACAGCGTGAGCCACCGCGCCCGGCCAAGCAGATCCTTTTGTTTAAACAATTGATCTACCTAATTGAGTCATTCTAATTCTAAATGTTAGAACTAAAAGGGTAGAACAGGAAGAGTTGTGTGGCATTTTGCACTTTATTGAGATATGAGTAGCATTGGTGCCCTGGTGTCAAAGCCAACTGTAAATAGATAATTTTTTGCACTATTCTATAAACTTACCTGAGAAGTGTACTCTTAGTGGGAGAATATTGCCTAAGACCATCCTATGATATCTTCAGTGTATGATATCCTTACCACTCTGTAATTATAATTGAAGAGGCTCTTTTAACCTGGATTCTTCCACCATTTAACAACTACTTGTTTCCTTGTGTTAATGCGCTGGTGTTCAGTTAGTGTGCCAGGTTATGGAAAGATTTGTAAAGAGTTTTGCTAAGGGAAGGGTAAACTATTCATACTTGAGTAGGGTGTTGTAGTGTGTAATGTGAAGGCTTTGAGTGTCCAGGGTGGTAGGATGGTCAAAAGAAGGGATAAAGATGAGGAACAAAGAGGGAAGCATGGATGATACTTGTTTCAATATTTTATCATATTTGGATAAACTGTTCACAGCTGCATTCTGGAGTGTCTGTGTTTCATTTTTAACTCCCTTTACTTATTGTTACATATTTTAATCCCAAACAGTATTTCACTTGCCCCTAAATGTCCCTGATAGTCATTTACTTTTTTGCTACCCTCTTTAGTTCTTTGTTAATTTAGACTTAGATTTTAAATTTTTTCTCAGCTTCCCAGTAAGATGTTCAATGAGGATTCATTTTAAATATCATTGATATTAAAATTTCATTTCAAGTCAATTCATTAAGTAGCCACCAAGTATTAATAATTAAGTTATTTTATTCTTTTAAAATTTTGAATATTGTATAAACAGACTATACTGAAGCAGATGAGAAATGACTCCTATACAGTCCTTTGCAATAAACAATGACCAATCACAGAGTAATCTTTGTGTCAGAGGATGGTTTCAGGAAGTGACATAGTCTTGTCTTGTGTATGGAACAGAGCCATCTATACAGTGTGTGACCAGGCTAAATGCCACCACTGCAGTGGGACTTTCAGAAGGTTCAACTTTCCTGCCTGGTAAGGCTTTTAACTGTGTGATTCTCTAGATAGGCCTAATTCCAACTTGGTCTATAATTTATTCAGTATATTTAGACATACTTCTGAATACATACATTCTAGTCCCTTTTCTCTGTGATGTTTTTATTCCTAAGCAATTTGACATATTCAGGGTAAGGTACATGTTACTGTGGATTTATGATCATAAAAAATTGATTAAATGACTTCTTGTGATGAACTGGATGAACATTTGTCTTTCTTCAACTTATGGTCACTTTTGCCCTTATACGAGGGGTCTTCAAAAAGTTCATGGAAAGTTCACATTATAAAACAACTATGTATGGAATTCACATTTTTTTTATGCCAAAATAAACTCATACTGCCTGTTACAACATGTCTGAACAGGATCTAGTTTAAGGCACCAAGAAGGATACAACATCAGTTTGAGAAGAGCCCCTTTCAGGACAACATGAATTCTGCTCAAATTTAAGCAAGAACAAACATCAAATTTGTGTTGAAGCTTGGGTGGAAGAATGGTGAAATCATTAATACTTTATAAAAAATTTATAGGGACAATGTTCCAAAAAGGGTAGCAGTTTACAAATAAATAACTGATCTTAAGAAGGGGTGTGATGATGTCGGAGAAGAAGCCTGTAGCAGCAGACCATCCACATCAATTTGTCATGGAAAAATTAATCTTGTTCATTCCCTAATTGAAGAGGACTGATGATTTACAACAGAAAAGCCAACACTGTAGACATCTCAGTTGGTTCAGCTTACAAAATTCTGCCTAAAAAGTTAAAGGTGAGCAAACTTTCCACTTTATGGGTGCTCCAACTATTGCACCCAGGTCAGCTGCAGACAAGAGCAGAAATTTTATTGGAATTTTGAACAAGTGGGATCAAGATCCTGGAGCATTTCTTTGAAGGATTATAACAGGAAATGAAACATTGCTTCTAAACTTCTAAGCTTTACCAGTAAGATCCTGAAGACAAAGCACAATCAAAGCAATGGCTACTAAGAGATGAAAATGGACCAGTCAAGGCGAAGGTAAACCAGTTAGAGCAAAGGTCATGGCAGCAGTTTTTTGGGATGCTCAAGGCATTTTGTTGTTGACTTTCTGGAGGGCCAAAGAACAATACCATCTGCTTATTATGAGTGTTTTGAGAATAAGAGTCAAAGCTTTAGCAGAAAAATACCCAAGAAAGCTTAATCATAAAGTCCTTCTCCACCATGACAATGCTCCTGCTCATTCCTCTCATCCACAAGGGTAATTTTGAGAGAGTTTCAATGAGAAATGATTAGGAATCTGTCTTACAGTCCTTATTTGGCTTCTCCTGACTTCTTTTTGTTTCTTAATTTTTAAAAATCTTTAAAGGACACCCATTTTTCTTCAGTTAACAGTGTAAGAAAGACTGCATTGACATGGTGAAATTACCAGGATGCTTGGTTCTTTAGGGATGAACTAAATGGCTGTTATCATCACTTACAAAAGTATCCTAAACTTGATGGGGCTTATATTGCAAAATAAAGTTTACGTTTTTATCTTGTAATTCCATGTTTTCCACAAACTTTTTGAAGCCCCCTCATATATTACACAGAACAAATGTACAACCAAAATCAATATAACAGCCATATCCACAAGGTAACCAATAGGAATTTACCATGTGTGGAAGACACAGAGATGAGCCACACAGGTCCCCATTCAAGGAGGGTGGCCAGCTGACAGGTCTTACCCTCTTCAAGTCTGTCTCAGCTTTTGAGTTAAGGTCATTCTATTCTTGAAGTAAGCCCAGCCAATGATTGAGCAAGACTGTGGAACAAGGACCTAACCATTTCCACCTAAATGTGATTTCTTTAATGGATGGATTTTGCTCCTGATGCCTCATGGCTACCCTTGCTTGATCCTGCTTCCTACCTTTTACCTTCACTACCAATAAATCTTTTATATGTCTAACTCAGTCTCAGCATCTGCTTCCTGAAGTCAGGAACCAATTGCCATGATAAGATTATATAGTTCACCTTAAGCTTTGGTTTTTCATTGTTTTCCAATTTCCTGCTAGAAATGTAGGAATTGAAGGGAAAAAGTAGAATAATTCAATCTTCTTAGAGGACTGCTATTATGGTACCTCCTCCCTGGGACTCTGGTTGTATGAAGGGAGTGAAACCGGTTTCCAGAAATACACCTATCCTTTCTTGGGCTAAACTTCAGTGCTACAAAATGAGGGTGGAAATTTGCAGGCCATTAAACTTAAATTTAAGCACCATCTTTTCCCTTTCATTAAAATAGAAAAACCAAGCCTGTGTTTCCAGCTTGATAAAATAGGCTGCTGCTAATTGGTCATTTTCATAAAAGAAAGTGACTTGTAATCATATAAGCTTCAGCTGTTAAAAATGTTGCTTCACTAACCATTATACATTCCTGCTTTAATGAACTCTTCTACTTCTCGATGTGCTAGAAGATTCATTTGGGTCATTTAAAGTCAATTCTATGAACCTTTAAACATGCAAAATGATGTTAGTACCCTATCCTGTGGCTTCTAAACTTTAAACTAGGGCTGAAATGTTTTTTATTAGGTTAATTGGCTTAAATATGAAATTTCTAATTACCAAGTGCACGTAGTATAGAGGGAAAAAAAAAGATAAAATGCTGCTTTTGTGGAATAAGATAAAGCTATTTACAGTTTCAGCTGGCTAACTGTTGAGAAATTCAATAATATAACAGGAAGAGACTCAGGAGATGCTCTTCTCCCTGGAGCATTTTCCTTCTCTAGTTTTTTTTTTTTTTTTTTTGGAGACAGAGTTTTACTCTTGTTGCCCAGGCTGAAGTGCAGTGGTGCGATCTCAGCTCACTGCAACCTCCGCCTCCTGGGTTCAAGTGATTGTGCTGCCTCAGCCTCCCAGGTAGCTGGGATTACAGGTGCACACCACCACACCCAGCTAACTTTTTTGTATTTTTAGCAGAGACGGGGTTTCATCATGTTGGCCAGGCTGGTCTCAAACTCCAGACCTCAGGTGATCCATCTGCCTTGGCGTCCCAAAGTGCAGGGATTACAGGCGTGAGCCACCGCACCTGGCCTCATTCTCTAGTTTTCTAAAACCATTATGGAATTTCCCCCATAACAGAATTTAAAAAGGCTAGATTGAAGTCAACCTATCTAGATTCATGTCACAACTCTGCTCCCCACCTGTTATGCAAAGATGGACCCATTTAAATTTCTGGTCTATGATAAAGAGGTAATAGAGAACCTGATTTCTTCAGAAGGTGGCTGTGATCACCAAATGGTAAGATACGCATGAAAATACTTTTTAATCTCAACACATTTTACAGTGGTAGAAAAATGTTATTATTTTGTCTATATTATCAAATCGACAAAACAGAACTGACGTTATTTTGAGAAAACTTATTAGATATTCTGCAAGGAAAACAAGGCAAACATTTACTATCAAGACCTAATCATAATTGTAATCACAAACAAAAGGATAGCTTGGAAGGGTATAGAGTGACTGTGACTAAAATGTATCAATTTATGTACATTTGAGTTTTGTCTGTAGGACATGCAGACACTCGTTTTTGTGACATATTCATTTGATAAATGACTATGCATCTCTAAATTTTATACACATACATTTTTATGTATTTAAGAACTTTTTATTTTTTACATAATATACTCTTGCTCACATACTTACATACAATCATGCATCACTTAATGACAAGAACATGTTCTGAGACATGCATCACTGGGCTATTTTATTGTTGTGAAAACATCATAGTGTATACTTACACAAACCTAGATGATATAGCCTACTGCACACCTAGGCTGTATGGTATTGCCTATTGCTCCTAGGCTACAAACCTATATAACATATTACTGTACTGAATACTGCAGGCAATTGCAACACAATGGTAAATGTTTACATATCTAAACATAGGAAAGGTACAGTAATAGTATGGTATTATAATCTTATGGGATGACCCTCCTGTATGCAGTTCATCGTTGACCAAAACATTGTTATGTGTGGCATGATTGTATATGCAAATTATATTTTTCCTTCTTATTTTCTTCTCCTCTACCCCTTCACTTTTCTCTTTGTTTTGCTTCTTATTTTTGGTTAAGAAATACTACTTGAGTCATGTGTGGCCACATGTGTCAAATTACACAGTGAGAAGGCCCTTTCATGCCCTAACTTGTGCCAGCTTCGTTTTCCTTCAGGGCTGTCTTTCCTGCGAACAACCCCTCTTCTGCCCCCTGGAACTCATTTTTCTTGCTGTGGTGTTCTGTTGCAAAGTAAGTCTGAAGTTATTAAGAAAGGCAATGACAAAATGCCAACAGGAACATCGTATATTACATGCAGGGCCTACTATAAACAAATCACTGGAAATGCTGCACAGGTACAAGTCACTACATTAAAACAACATATTTTTGTTTGATCGAGAAATACTTTTTGAGCATCTATTTTGTGCCAGAACTGTTAGTATCCCATTGTAGCTACCCAACAAAGGGAAGCAAAAATAAGAGATAATCATCATCCCCTCACTAATACTTTTGATTTTCTCTGTTTCAAGTAAAATGAACATACTCACTTCATTAAAATTTCAAACATTATACAAGATTGACATAAAATGAAATAAAAAGATCTTATCCTTCTTTCCAAAATTTTCATTAACATTCCTCAGAAGTAAAGAGTCTTAACAGTTTACTGTACATCCTTTCAGAATATTTATATATTTATCTACCATATAAATCTCCTTGGGATGCTATAAGAAAATGCCATAGACTTAAAAACAGATTATTTGTTTCTCACAGTTTTGAAGGCTGGGAAGCCTATCTATCAAGTCCTATCCATCAAGGTCCTATCAAGGTCCTGGAAAATTTGATTTCTGGTAAGGGCCCGCTTTCTGGCCTGCAGATGGCTGCCTTCTTGCTTCTCACATGGTAGAGAGAAAGTAATTTCTTTTAAAAAATTTTATCATATTTTAAGTTTCAGGATCCATGTGAAGGATGTGCAGGTTTGTTTAATAGGTAAATGTGTGCCGTGGTAGTTTGCTGCACCTATCAACCCATCACCTAGGTATTAAGCTCAGCATGCATTAGCTATTTATCCTGATGCTCTTCCTCTCTCTGCCCCCTGCAACAGGCCCCAGGCCCCAGTGTGTACTGTTCCCTTCCCTATGTCCATCTGTTCTCATTGTTCAGCTCCCACTTATAAGTGAGAACATTTGGTGTTTGGTTTTCCGTTCCTGCATTAGTTTGTTGAGGATAATGGCTTCCAACTCCATCCATGTTCCTGCAAGGGGCATGATCTCATTCCTCTTTATGGCTGCATAGTATTCCATGGTGTATATGTACCACATTTTCTTTGTCTAGTCTATCATTGATGGGCATTTGGGTTGATTCCATGTCTTTGCTATTGTGAATAGTTCTACAATGAACATATGCAAACATGTATCTTTGTAATAGAATGATTGCTATTCCTTTGGGTATATACCCAGTAATGGGATTGCTGGGTCAAATGGTATTTCTGGTTCTAGGTCTTTGAGGAATCACCATACTGTCTTCCACAGTGGTTGAACTAATTTACATTCCCACCAAGTGTAAAAGCATTCCTGTTTCTCTATAGCTTTGCCAGCATCTGTTGTCTCCTGACTTTTTAGTAATTGCCATTCTGATTGTCATGAGATGGTATCTCATTGCGGTTTTGATTTGCATTTCTCTAATGATCAGTGATGTTGAACTTTTTTTTATATGTTTGTTGGCTGCATAAATGTCTTCTTTTGAGGAGTACCTGTTCATGTCCTTTGCCCACTTTTTAATGGCTTTTTTTCTTGTAAATTTGCTTAAGTTCCTTGTAGATTCTGGATATTAGATCTTTGTCAGATGGATAGATTGCAAATTTTTTCTCCCATTCTGTAGGCTGTCTGTTCAGAGAAAGTTACTTGTTTCTCTCTTTCTCTGCTCCCCTCACTTCTTATAAAGCCACTAGTCCCATCAAGAGGGTCCCATCCTCATGACCTCATCTAATCCTAATTACCTTCCAAAGTTCCCATCTTTAAATACCATCACAATAGGGAACAAAGCCATATATGAATTCGGTGGGGGACATAATTCAGTTGGGTGTGTATATATACATACATGTGTATGCAAATATGTGTGTATATATAATAATTTGAATCATATAAAAATTGTTAACCAATGTGATTTTTTACTTTAGCAATTTTAACTTGAGTAATTTTCATTGCATAAACAATGCAATAACAACATTAAGGGAAATTTGAAAAAACTAAAATAACGTTACCCATATAGTTTTCTTTATTAATATTCTTTTTCATTTTTCCACATAAATGTCTCTTTTGCACAGTTATAATTGTAGTGAACAAATCCTTTTAAATTCCATGTTTAAAAATTGACATTGGTGTAAATATTTTTCCTGTGATTATTTGATGTTAATAATTGTCATAAATTGCAAGTATGTACAGTATTTTTTATTCACTCCTGTTGATAGTGGATTGTTTTCTTACTTATGACTGGAAATTTGGTTATAAAATTCGTTACTTACTAGTTAAATTAGTATGAAAATATGCATATATCACCACAAGTATTCTGTTACTAGCTATATGACTTAGAATAAGTTTAGAACTGAACTATGCCTCATTTTTCTCATTTGTACAGTGAGTCCAAATAATACTTATCTCTTTCCCAAAGTTTAATGAGAGTTATACCTCATAATACATTTTAAGCGCTTAGACTATTCTTTAGCATACAGCATATGTTCAACAAGTGATTATTTATTAATTAAAACATTAACAAATGTGCTTTTACAATGATTTAACATATTTAAAATGTTTGACATATGGTTAAATCAAAATCAGATGATTGGTGGCCCACAAACCTAATTATCAACCAAAATATAACTATAATACTTTCTGCAAAAAATCCAATTTATTAAAGTTGTTTCTCTTTTTGATAGCACTACAGTAAAAGATGAATAGGCTAGGCATGGCTCACTCAACTTTTCCCATTAATCAGAAACTTGCATTGACTCAGGTGATTGCTGACAGCTATTTTCTGAATATTTACAGAAGGCAGTGAATGGATGACCTACTGAAAATATCATTCGTGAGAAGACAACATTTAATGCACTGGACCATGAAGAGTTTGCTATACTTAGCAAAAAAAAAAATAACACTCCCAGGGCTGTATCCTTACTGATGATGAAAAGGCAAGTCTGTATGCTGAAAATGCTGACATTCCAGACAGATGGATGTCTTATTTCAAAGTTCTCCTGAACAAGCCATGAAGAACAGCATTAGCTGACCCTCAGGGTGTGATTGACTTTGCTACACAGAGCAGCAAGAGTGACCTCAATTCCATATCCATCAGTGAGATTTATGACTCAATTGTAAAAAGCAAAAAATGCATTAAATGCTAATGGAATATACAATGAAAATCTTATAAGAAATATACACATGCATGATGCATGCACACATGTATGTACATGGATATATTCGATTGTAGCTTTGCCAGGAAGAAGAGCCACTGGTGTATGAATCTTCCTGATCCAGAAGTGTTTGAAAATTATGAGGAAAAATGTATTTTAAAATCATGGCCTCATCTTCCTTTTGATGCTTGTAATGATCTTGAAAAATTCTCTTAATGTTTTTTGTTGAGGAGTAAGTCTGAGTAGGTTGGATTTATGCATAATCATTTTATGGTTGAGCAAAGTTTTATGTTCCTCTACAGCCATCCAAGAGAGACTGGGATTTCTTCCAGGGCTATCCCAGGCTTCATTAATTTTAAGGCCACCTTCAAATACACAGATCATAGTTACTTAAGAAGAATTCTTATACCATAAGGACAAATAAATTTTCTATTGGATATTCATGCATTTGATTCTATTCCAAAAAATATTGGGTATATTTTCTGAAATTCTGGGGACCGATGCCAAATTGAACACATTCAAAGATGGGATAATCTAGCTTAGGAATAGTTTATGCAAAAAACATTTGAGTTTATTCTTCATCATTTTTTTCCTATTGGAGTTAAAATAATAACAGAAGACTTGAATAATGCCATTTGCAGCTTAAAGTCAGAAGTAGAAATTGGGGTTAGAATCAGGTATCTAATAGTCTAAAACCTCTGGTCTTATATCCACAGAACTCGGAAAAAAAAGATAAAGAAAATTTATTTTTTCTTGACAAAGAATTTTGGTTTATAGAATGTTAGGCTTTCATGGAGCCTGAAAATCACCAGCTCCCACCTCACCCCATCTCCCATATCTCTCATGGTATTTTTGTCATATGATCATTCATCCAACCTCTGCCTTATATCCTAGGCAGTTCCACAGTTGGAAAGATCTAGTGGCTGAAATTGTTGATATGGAGACAAAACTTCCTCCCCAAAGTGCTTATTAATTGTTTCTGGATCTATCTCTGAATAGGAGAGAAGATTTGTTCCTCTTGTTGACTGACTGTTTTTATCCATTTTAGGAAAGCGATTGTGCTCTTCCCCGGTCTTGTTCAGGCTAAGCAGAGTTAAACCCACAAACTTTGGAGTCCAATAGAGATAAGATTCCTCCTTGCCCTTCCTATTTTTGTGATCTTATTGAACCATTCTTAGTTTCCCTTTCTGTAAAATAGCGATGAAGCAACTGACCTTCCGTAGCTCTGA
Organism: Homo sapiens; assembly: GCF_000001405.40. NCBI lineage: Eukaryota > Metazoa > Chordata > Mammalia > Primates > Hominidae > Homo > Homo sapiens. The sequence goes on along the minus strand of NC_000004.12, from coordinate 164,483,854 downwards.
GGATTAAATAACAATGCAGGCTCTTGACAGATGTTAGCTACTATTTTTATTTTTTTCAACTATTCTTATGTAACATAAATCCTTAAGAGCTAGAATAGATACAGATAAATTTGATTTGAATCCATTTTTTTTAAAGCAAATACGTAATTCCCGGAAATTTCTGGAAGTGTGTGTGTGTCTGTGTCTGGGTCTGCATCTGTGTGGGGTGCAGTTGTGTTTCTCTGGCATCTCTGGCTCTGGCATTTTGTCTCCACTTAAGTTTTGCTTTTTGTTTTGTCTTTATTCCTAGATAGTCAATCTAAACATGAAGTTTAACCTCTTTGATCTGATGCACACCCACACGCAGGCACGTGCAGGCATGTGCGCACACACACACACACACATCCACACACACACACACCCATGTCAAGTCTCTGAACATGCAACAACTTTGATAAAGGGTTGGGAGATTAAGAGAACTTTATTTTGCAGCACATGAAAACTGAAAATTCAATATCTGACATTTTTATTCTAAAACATTTTCTTGCATCAGCTACGTGTCTTTTTGCCAACTCTCTTTTTTCCTCTTCTTGCTCTCCAGACCAAAACTACCAAAATTCCTCTGAGAATATCTTCCCTAATTAAAATAATCAAATTTGTAAGACTTAATTGGTTAAAATCTAAGAATAGTAGTGATCAGTTTGTCTCTAATTAATACATTCCTTTTGGGGTGGATCTTATTCCTTCATAAAGATTCCATAACAAAATAATGTTATTCTGTAGAGAGCTTTCTGCACTGCCAATTTGAGAAGGCAATGCAGCTATTCACAGAAGATCTTTAAACAAGAGCAGTTTTTATTACTTTGAAATCACTTGCAGATGTTATTCACTATCTTTGCAGTTGCCATAAGATCAAACTCAGATATGGCACTTGTTACAGCCATCTGTTTAATGCTTCATTGAGAAACTTCATCATTCCAGCTTTTTCAGGATTATTTTTGTGAGCCCAAATCTCTGCAAAGGTGAATGTTTAAAACCTAAGTACTTACTTTTGGAGTTTAAAGTCTGTCTTCACTGCTAGATGAGACAGTAAGCTATGTGAGGGCAGGCATCCTGGCTGTGTTGTTTCCTGCTGTTTGCACATCCCTTGGCACAATGTATGCCACATGATAGAGTTTCAATCAATGTTGGTTGAATGAATGAATGCATGAACACATTTTTAAGATATGGTACATAATAAAAATGCAAAAAGGACCCTTAATTTATTTTTAGATAAGGAAGCCAGGGCCTTAATAACTGTTTAAAGTGCCCAGCTTTTAGAAATCAAGACCAAAATTTTAATGATTATAAGAAATTATTTTGGAAATGGTTGAGATCTTTCTACTACTCATGTCAGAATAATAACTTGGTGAACAATAGTACTGGAGTAACCTGTTATTATTTGAATAAATGTAGATAGAATTTTTACAAGACCTTTCTGTTAGATTTAAACACACAGCTGCCCCTCCCCACCCTCCCTCTGACTCCCTGTCAAAGGTCAAAGGCAGATTAGCATAGAGGTCTTGGGGGGAACTCTGAATTCAGGCGGTCTGAGCTCAAATCTTTACTCTGTACATCCCGAATCATGTATTCCTGGCAATCTGAATAACTCTGCTTCAGTTCCTCACTTGGAAAATAGAGGTTGTAATGTACCCGCATCCTAGTGTTACTTTATATTTCTATTCAACAGTGCCCTTTCTTTCCCTGCCCGCTTTGCTTTGCTTGCCTGCCTGCCTGCCTGCCTGCCTGCCTTCCTTCCTTCCTTCCTTCCTTCCTTCCTTCCTTCCTTCCTTCTTCCTTCCTTCCTTCCTCTCTTTCTTTCTCTCTCTCTTTCTCTGTTTAGCTTTCTTGCTTGCCAAAGTGGCATCCCCTTAATTGCTTCCTTTTTTCTATAATAATATCCTAATCTACTTTATATGAAGTTGAAACAAAATTGATTCAACTTTTTCTTGGCCTTCAAATGGGTGTTTCTAGCCCCCTCAAAGAAAATGTAGTAAATTTAAATGAGCAGGGAAATATAATGTTTAAACTATGATTTGGATTATCCTTTGTTTTCTATATGGAGCCCTTTTTCCCCCAAGCTGAGCAGCACTATGGTAGCTATCACATTGTTATCGCTACTGCTTTGTTTTATTCATTTTAAGACACATATGTTTTTCACATTTCAACATCTCTGAAACTGGGATGCATTGTAAAATCTACAGAGCCTTGTAGCTACTGTCAGTCATGCATCAAAGAGACTTTGTCATTCTTTGTGTGTGCATGAATTAAGTCCTGGCTGTACATATTGTCCTTTCACTGTACTTCTGTGCATTGCCAATACTACACATTGTTTAATCGTGATTTAAAATGTCTAAGCCTGGCACAATGGCTCACGCCTATAATAACAATGACTTGAGAGGCTGAGAAAGGAGATTGTTTGAGGGTAGGACTTTGAGAGCAGCGTGAGCAACATAGCAAGACTCCATCTCTAAAAATATTTTTGAAACATTAGCTGGTGTGGTGGTGCATGCCTGTAGTCCTAGCTGCTCAAGAGGCTGAGGTGGGGGATCACTTGAGCCCAGAAGTTCAATGCTGCAGTGAGCCATGATGGTATCACTACACTCCAGCCTGGATAGACAGAGTGAGACCCCAATATTTAAAACTTTAAAATATATTAATCTATGATTTGGCATTACAATTAAAAGTTATGTAGAAAAGCAAAGAAACTGCAGTAAGACTTTTTTTTTTTTGAGACGGAGTCTCACTCTGTCACCCAGGCTGGAGTGCAATGCCGTGATTTCAGCTCACTGCAACCTCCACCTCCCAGGTTCAAGCGATTCTCATGCCTCAGCCTCCTGAGTAGCTGGGATTGTAGGCACCTGCCACCATGCCTGACTAATTTTTGTATTTTTAGTAGAGATGGGATTTCACCATGTTGGTTAGGCTGGTCTTGAACTCCTGACCTCAGGTTATATATCCACCTCGGCCTCCCAAAGCGTTCAGATTACAGGAACGAGCCACTGCATCTGACCATAAGACTCTTAATGAAACAAATATTCATTATTGCATGAATAACCACAATTCCATTCTTTTATTTGAAAACAAATTCAAGTGTTTTGTGGAAACTGATGGAGTTCAGAAAATATATAAAATAATGCTGTATCATATAACTGGTGTCATCTTATATTCATTGAAATAAAGTAAATTTTTAGAGGGCCCAAAATTGCAATACATTTTAAAGGTATATTACTTAAGTGCTTCCCATGTATAACACAACAAATATGCTGGATGTTGTATGAGTCTCCTAAGGCTGCCACAAAATCACCACAAACTAGGTCACTTAAAATAACGGAAATTTATTGTCTTAACAGTTCTGGAGGCTAAATGATCAAAATCAATGTGTCAGCAGGGCCCTGCTCCCTCTAAAACCTGTAGGGGAAAATCTTTCCTTGCTTGTTCCTAGATTCTCATGGTTACCATCAATTGTTGGCATTCTTCAGTTTACAACTGCATCACTCTAATCTCTGCTTCTGTTGTCTCATGGCATTCTGCCTGTGTGTCTGTATTTTGACGTCTTCTTTACCTCTTGTAAAGACCCCAGTTATATTGAATTTGGGTCTAATCCAATGACTTTATCTTAATTTAATTACTTCTGTAAAACTAAACTTTCCAAATAAGATCACATTCACAAGTACCATAAGTTAGGAGTTCAACATGGTTTTTTTTTGACAGACACAATTCAACCTCTTAACGGATGCTATTTTGGAAGAGAAAAGATGACATAAGTATATGTTCAGCCCAAAAATTTATTTCATTCTGGTAGAAGAGAATACACACACACACACACTCACACACACACACACAACCACGTGCATGCATACACAAACACACAACAGGACAAGCTGTAAAGAAATAGCTATCATAAGAAAACGTAGGCAAAAAGCCAGAAGAGTTAAAAGGAAGAAAATATTACTTTAATAGTACTTGTCTTCTAGTAACTTCCATTCCAAACAATGCATAGAACCATAAACATGTTGGGACTTTGTCTACTAGCACAGCAGTGTTCATTAAATAATTAACTAATTCCATTTCTTGATGTTTAATATGTAATAGTGCTATGTTCTCCTCTATAGATAACCTAAGAACTTATATCTAGATTTATTTACAACTTCCAATAATGATCACCGCTTCCCATTTAACCTGTGAGGTTAGTCATAAAAAGATTATTTTTAGTATTTAATATAGAAATGTTAAATATAAAGTATGTAAGAATAAAACAATTCTATTTTTTAATATTAACTTTACTCCAGGGACTTGAAATAAATAATATATTTTCCTTTTTTAAAGGAAATCAGTTACCTTTTTTAAAATCAAGAATTTACTTAGATGTATGTTGGAAGTACCTAATTCAACAATGAAAATAAAGTTGGCTTTTTCTAAAGTTCTGGGGTTTTTTGTTTTAATTGGATGCTGTGAGTCCAATTAAAACATCTCTATAATATGTGTTTTATGTTGATTTTCTTGGAAAGATCGAAGAATCACTCAGGCTCAGTTTAGCCCTACATAAAATTTATGTGGTGGGCAGATTTAAGGTGGTCCTTAAATCTCATCCATGTCCTTGTATAAATAATCCCCTCTTTTGAGTGTGGGTGGAACGTATTACTTTCTTCTAGCCAGTAGAATATGGCAAAAGTGATCAGATGTCATTACCGTGATTATTACGATTTATACAAGATTTTGTCTTGAAAGTGGACATACTAGTGAGACCCTCCCCCAACCCTTTGTGAGTTTTGAAGAAGCAAGCTGTCCTGAATAACTTGCCGTATTGGAGTTCACATGGCAAAAAACTGTGGATGACCCTTAGGAACTAAGAGCTGTTTCCAGAAATAAACTGAAGCCCTCAGTTCTGCAGCCACAAGGAAATCAATTCTGCCAAAACCCAAGGGAACTTGGAAGTGTATCCTTCTCCAGCCAAGCTTCTATGGAGACTACAGCCACAGACAGAACTTAAACTGCAGGCTAGTAAAACCCTAAAGAAGAGAACCAGCTAAGTTGTGCCCAGATTTTCAACCCACAGAAATTATAAAATAATAAATGCATGTTTTTTTAAGTGGCTAAACTTGTGACCACTTGTTACATGGCAATATAAAGCAAATACAAAGTAGAACATTATGAAATCCCAGGATGATTGGAAGCAGTAAATAAGGGAAGGGACAGAGCAAGGTGGCTGAATAGATGGCTTCATCGATCATTCCCCCAACAAAGACACCATTTTAACAACTATCTACACAAAAAACATCTTCATAAGAAGCAAAAATGAGGTGAGGACCCACAGTACCTGGTTTTAAGCTCATACAGCTAAAAGAAGCACTGAAGCGGGCAGAAAAAGTATTGAATTGCCAATGACACTCCTGTCCTATCCCCCAGTAGAGGCTGCATGGTGCAGAGAGAGAATTTGTGTGCTTGGGAGAGGGAGAATGCAGCAATTGTGAGACATTGCATTACACTCAGTGCTGCCCTGCCAGAGTAGAAAGCAAAACCAGGCTGAACTCAGCTGATGCCCACCATGGAGGGAGTATTTAAACCACCTCTAGCCAGAGGGGAATCACCCATCCCAGCAGTTCAAACTTGAGTTCTGGCAAGACTCCCCTCCATAGGCTAAAATGCTCTGGAGAACTAAATAAACGTGAAAGTCAGTCTAGGCCACAAGAAATGAAACTCTTAGACAAGTCCTAGTGCTCAACTCAGCTCAGAGCTAATGCACTTGGGGTCCATAAGACCTACAGAGACACCAGCAGGGTGGCTAATGGAGTGCTTGTACCACCCATCCTTCAACCCCAAGATGCACAGCTCTCTGCTCCAAAATGAACTTCTTCCTTCCACTTGAGAAGAGGAGAAAAAAAAGTAAAGAGGACTTACTCTTGCATCTTGGATAGCAGCTCAGCCAAAGTAGTATAGGGCACCAGGAAGAGTCATGAGGCCCCTTTTCTCCCAGATGACATTTCTAGACACACCCTGGGAAGGAAAAGAACCTGCTGCCTTGAAGGGAAGGATCCAGTCCTGGCAGGACCAAATACCTGCTAACTAAAGAGCCCTGGGGCACTGAATAACCAGAAGCAATGCCCAGGTAGTATGCCGAGGGCTTTGGGTGAGACTCTGAGACTTGCTGGCTTCAGATAAGAGTCAGCAAATTCTCAACTGTGGTGGCTACAGGGAAACAATCCCTCTGCTTGAGAAAAGCAGAGAGAAAAGTAAAGCGGACTTTGTCTTGCACCTTAGGTACCAGCCCAGCCACAGGGTGGGTAGAGCATCAAGTGGGCTGTTGGAGTCTCTGATTGTAGGCCATGGTTTTTACATGGCATTTCTGGACCTTCCCTGGGGAGAGGGAGCCCACTGCCATGAAGGGTGAGTCCCAGCCCAGGCAACATTCACCACAAGCTGACTGAAGAGCCCTTGGGCCTTAAGATAACATTGGCAGTAGCATAGCAGTACTCCCTGTGGGCCTGCTGTGGTGGTGGTCATGGGGTGAGGCTCCTCTGTCTGTGGAAAAAGGAGGGTAGAGTGGGAAGACTACATCTCATGGTTTGAGTGCCAGCTCAGCCACAGTACAATAGAATAGTAGGTAGACTTCTAAGATTTTTGACTCTAGTCCCTGGCTCCTGGACAGTAGCTCTGGACCCATCTGGGAAGGACACAGGCCTGGCTGGTTTTGCCATCTATTGATCATAGAGCCCTAGGGCCTTGAGCATATATAGGTGGTAGCCAGGTAGTGGTTACAGTGGACCTCAGGCAAAACCCAGTGCCACGCTGGCTTCAGGTCTGAGCCAGCACAGTCCCAATGGTGGTGGCAACAGGGGTGCTTGTGTCACCTCCAGCTCCAGGAGGCTCACAACAGAGAGAGAGAGACTCTGTTTGGGAGGAAGTAAGGAAAAAGGATAAGAGTCTCTTCTCTGCCTAGTAATCCAGAGAATTCTTCTGGATCTTATCCAAGACCATCAAGGTGGTACCTCTATGAGTCTGCAAGAACCACAGCATTATTGGGTTTAGGGTGCCCCATAATGCAGATATGTCTTAGATTACAACACCCAAATTTTTTTGAATATCTGGAAAGCCTTCTCAAAAAGAATGGGTACAAACAATCCCAGACTGGAAATACTACCATAAATATCTTACTCTTCAATGCCCAGATACTGACACATCCACAAACACCAAGACCATCCAGGAAAATATGACTTCACCAAATAAACTAAATAAGGCACCAGAGACCAATGCTGGAGAAACAGAGATATGTGACCTTTCAGACAGAGAATTCAAAACAGCTGTGTTGTGGAAACTCTAAGAAATTCTAGATAACACAGAGAAGCATTCTACCAGAAAAATTTAATAAAGAAATTAAAATAATTAGAAAAAAATCAAGCAGAAACTCTGGAGTTGAAAAACGCAACTGACATACTGAAGAGTGCACCAGAGTCTTTTAAAAACATTAATCAAACAGAAGAAATAGTTAGTGAGCTTCAAGACAAGCTATTTGACAGTACACAGTCAGAGGAGACCAAAGAAAAGCAAATAAAAAACAATGAAGCACATCTGCAGAATGCAGCAAATAGCCTCAACAGGGCAAATCTATGAGTTATTGGCCTTAAAGAGGAGGTAGAGAAAGAGATAGGGGTAGAAAGTTTATTTAGAAAGATAGCAAGAGAGAACATCTCAAACCTAGGGAAAGACATCAATATCCAAGTACAACAAGGTTATAGAACACCAAGTAGATTTAATCCAAAGAAGACCACCTCAAGGCATTTAATAATCAAGCTCCCAAATATCAAGGATAAAGAAAGGATTCTAAAAGCAGCAAGAGAAAAGAAATAAGTAACATAAAATGGAGCTCCAATGCATCTGGCAGCAGACTTTTCAGTGCCAGAAGAGAGTGGTGTGACATATTTGAAGTGCTAAAGGAAAAAAACTTTTACCCTAGAATAGTATATCTGGCAAGAATATCCTGCAAACATGAAGGAAAATTAAAGACTTTCCCAGACAAACAAAAGCTGAGGGATTTCATCAACACCAGACCTGACCTACCAGAAATTGTAAAGGCAGTTCTTCAGTCAGAAAAGAAAAGGACATTAATGAGCAATGAGCAATCATCTGAAGGTACAAAACTCACTGTTAATAGTAAATACACAGAAAACACAGAATATTATAACATCATCACTGTGATGTGTAATCTATCTTAAATAGATTAAAAGATGAATCAATCAAAAATGATAACTATAAAAACTTTCCAAGACATAGTACAATAAGATATAAATAGAAACAACAAAAAGTTAAAAAGCAGGTGTGTAGTTTTTATTAGTTTTATTTTTTTCTTGTTTGTTTATGCAAACAGTGTTAAGTTGCCATCAGCATAAAGTAATGGGTTATAAGATAATATTTGCAAGCCTCATGGTAACCTCAAACCAAAAAGTCTACAACAGAGATATGAAAATTAAAAAGCAATAAATTAAATCATAATACCAGAGAAAATCACCTTCACTTAAAGGGAAACGGGAAAGAAGAAAAAGAAGACCACAAAACAACCAAAAAACAAATAATGAAAAGGCAGGGGTAAGTTCTAATTTATCATTAATTAAATGTAAATGGAATAAACTCTCCAAAAGACACAGAGTGGCTGAAGGGATTAAAAAAACAAGACCCAGTGACCTGTTGCATGCAAGAAACACACTTCACCTACAAAGACACACATAGACTGAAAGTAACGGGATGGAAAAAGATATTCAACACCAATAGAAACCAAAAAAAAAAAGAGCAAGAGTAGCTATACTTATATCAGACAAAATAGATTTTAAGAGAAAATTTAAAAGAGAGGACAAAGAAGGTCACTATATAATGATAAAGGGCCCAGTTCAGCAAGAGGATATAACAATTATAAATAGATATGCACCCAATACTAGAGCACCCAGATATATTAAGTAAATATTATTAGAGCTAAAGAGAGAGATAGACCCCAATACAATAATAGGTGGAGACTTCAACACCCCACTTTCAGCATTGGACAGTAAATCAACAAATAAATATTGCAGGTAATCTGCACCATACAGCAAATGGACCTACCAGATATTTACAGAGCATTTTATCCAATGTCTGCAGAATTTTCCTCAGCACATGAATTATATTCAAGGAGAGACCACATGTTAGGTTACAAACAAGTCTTAAAACATTAAAAAAATTGAAATAATATCAAGCATCTTCACTGACCACAATGGAATAAAACTAGAAATCAATAACAAGAGGAATTTTGGAAACTATACATACACATGAAAATTACACAATATACTCCTGACTGACCAGTGGGTCAATAAAGAATTTAAGAAAGAAATTGAAAAATTTCTTGAAACAAATGATAATGGAAATACAACATACCAAAACCTATGGGATACAGCAGAAGCAGTACCAAGAGGGAAATCTATAGCTCTACATGCCTACATAAAAAAATAAAGAACTTCAAATAAGCCACCTAATGATGCATCTTAAAGAATAAGAATAGCAAGGGCAAACCAAACCCAAAATTGATACAACCAAAGAAATAATAAAGATCAGAGCATAAACAAGCTAAATGACGAGTTAATGGGTGCAGCACACCAGCATGGCACATGTATACATATGTAACTAACCTGCACATTGTGCACATGTACCCTAAAACTTAAAGTATAATAATAATAAAATTAAAAAAAAGAAAAAAAGATACAAAACATCAACAAAGCAAAACATTGGTTTTTCTTTGAAAATATAAACAAAATTGACAAAACTTTAGCCAGACTAATAGAGAAAAAGAGAGAAGACCCAAATAAAATCAGAGATGAAACAGGAGACATTACAACTGGTACCACAGAAATTCAAAGCATCATTAGTGGCCTGTATGAGCAACCTTGGGCCAACAAATTGGAAAACCTAGAAGAAATGGATAATTTCTTAGACACAAACAACCTTCCAAGATTGAACCATGAAAAAATCCGAACAGATCAGTAACATGTAATGAGCTTGAAGCCAAAAAGTCTCCCAGCAAAGAAAAGCCTGGGACCTGATGAATTCACTGCTGAATTCTACCAAACATTTACAGAGAACTAATTGCAATCTTACTCAAGAAAAAGTAGAGGAGGAGGGAGTATTTACAAATTCATTCTACAAGGCCAGTGTTACCCTAATACCAAAACCAGACAAAGGCATGCCAAAAAAAGAAAACCACAGGCCAGTATCTCTGATGAACATTGATGGAAAAATCTTCAACAAAATGCTAGCAAACTGAATTTAACTATACATTAAAAATCATTCATCATGACCAAGTGAAATTACAAGGAGAGTTCGACATACACAAATCAATCAATGTAATACATCATATCAATAAAATAAAGTAAAAAAATCCATAAGATCATTTAAATTCATACTGAAAAAGCATTTTATAAAATTAAACATCACTTCATAAAAATCCTCAAAAAACTTGATATAGAAGGAACATACCTCAACATAATAAAAGCCTTATATAACAAACCTACAGCTAGTATCATACAGAATGGGGAAAAACTGAAAGCCTTTCCTCTAAAATCTAGAACATGACAAGGATGCCCACTGTCACCACTGTTATTCAACATTGTGCTGGAGGTCCTAGCTAGAGCAATTAGACAGCAGAAAAAAAATAAAGAGCATCCAAACTGGAAAAGAAAAAGTCAAATCCTTCTTGTTTATAGATAACATAATCTTATATTTGGAAAAATCTAGACTCCATAAAAATATTAGAATTGATAAATTCAGTAAAGTCGCAAGATACAAAATCAACATACAAAAATCTCTGACCACAATGGAATAAAAGTAGAAAACTGACTTTCCTCTAAGAAAATCATTTCTATATGCCAACAGCTAACAATCTGAAATTAAGAAAGTGATTCTGTTTATAATCGCTACAAATAAAATTAAATACCTAAAAATTAGCTAAAGTGGTGAAAGTTTTCTGCAATAAAAGGTATAAAACATTGATGCAAGAAATTAAAGAGGACACCAAAAAATGGGAAGAGATTCCATGTTCATGGATTGGAAGAAACAATATTGTTAAAATGGCCATATTACTCAAAGCAATCCATAGATTTAATGTAAATCTCTATCAAAATACCAAAGATATTTTTTTCACAGAAATAGAAAAAAACCCTAAAATGTATATGGAACCACAAAAGGCCTAGGATAGCTAAAGCTATACTAGGCAAAAATAACTAAACTGGAAGAATCGCATTATCTGACTTTATACTACAGTGTTATAATAACAAATATGGCATGGTACTGGCATAAAAACAGACACATAGATCAGTGGAACAGAATGGAGAACCCAGAGATAAATCTACACATATACAATAAGCTGCTTTTAGGCAAAGGTGCCAAGAACACACATTGGGAAAAGGACAGTCTCTTCAATAAATGATGCTGGAAAAACTGGATATTCATATGCAAAAGAATGAAACTAGACTCTTATTTCTCGTCATATATAAAAATCAAATCAAAGTTGATTAAGACTTAAATAGAAGACCTCAAACTATGAAACTGCTAAAAGAAAACATTGGGGAAACTCTCCAGGACATCAGGGCAGACAAAGATTTCTTGAATAATACTCCACAAGCACAAGCAACCAAAGCAAAAATGGGTGAATGGGATCATGTCAAGTTAAAAAACTTCTTCAAAACAAATGAAACAATCAGCAAAGTGAAGAGACAACCAACAGAATGGGAGAAAATATTTGCAGACTACCCATCTGAAAAGGGACTCATAACCAGAATATGTAAGTAGCTCAAACAACTCTATAAAAAAATCCCCACAGCTCTATAGGATTAAAAAAGTGGGCAAAAGATCCTAACAGACATTTCTCAAAAGAAGATATCCAAATGGCACACAGGCGTGTAAAAAGGTGCTCAACATCACTGATCCTCAGAGAAATGCAAATTAAAGCTACAATAATTGAGGAAATAACAAATGCTGGTAAAATGGAGGAAAGGGAACCGTCATACACTGTAGGTGGGAATGTAAATTAGCACAATCACTAAAAAGAAGAGTTTGGAAGTTCCTCAAAAAACTAAAAATGGAGCTACCATATGATCCAGCAGTCTCACTCCTAGGTATTTGCCCCAAATTAAGGGAATCAGTATATCAAAGACATATCTGCACTCCCATGTTTATTGCAGCACTATTCACAATAGCCAAGATTTGGAAGCAATCTGAGTGTCCATCAACAGGTAAGTGGACAAAGAAAATATGGTACATATACACAATGGAGTACTATTCATAAAAAAAGAATGAGATCCTGTCATTTGCAACAACATGGATGGAACTGGAGATGGTAATGTTAAGTGAAATAAGTCAGGCACAGAAAGACATACTGCATGTTCTCATTTATTTGTGGGAACTAAAAATTAAAATAATTGAACTTACAGAGATAGCAGAAAGATGGTTACCAAAGGCTGGGAAGTAGTGGAACTGGGGATGGTTAATGAGTACAAAAAAAAATAGTTAGAAAAAAACAAATAAGACTTAGTATTTGCTAGCATATCAGGGTGACTGTAGTAAAAAATAACTTAATTGTACATTTTAAAATAACTAGGGGAGTATAATTGAATTTTTGTAGCACAAAGGATAAGTGCTTGAGATGATGGATATCCTATTTACCCTGATGTGATTATTACACATGGCATGGCTGTATCGAAATATCTCATGTAATCTATAAATATATATACTTACTATGTATCCACAAAAGTTTTTTTGCAAAAGAAGTAAATAAGTGATGCAAGTGACTCAGCAGAGATTCTGGCATATTCTATGTTCTAGTCATATTTTAGTTCCCATGAATTTTCTTTGCATTCAGAATATCTTATGAAGTTCTAGTTATTGCAACTTAAAACTAAGCAGAAACAGACAGTGCATCAACCTTTATAAATATTAATTAAGTGTATTAACACTTGGGTAGTTTTGGTAGCAGTAAAAAGACAATCAATCATTAAAAAGTCAGGAAACAACAGATGTTGGAGAGGATGTGGAGAAATAGGAACACTTTTACACTGTTGGTGGGACTGTAAACTAGTTCAACCATTGTGGAAGTCAGTGTGGCGATTCCTCAGGGATCTAGAACTGGAAATACTATTTGACCCAGCCATCCCATTACTGGGTATATACCCAAAGGACTATAAATCATGCTGCTATAAAGACACATGCACACGTATGTTTATTGTGGCATTATTCACAATAGCAAAGACTTGGAACCAACCCAAATGTCCAACAAGGATAGACTGGATTAAGAAAATGTGGCACATATACACCATGGAATACTATGCAGCCATAAAAAATGATGAGTTCATGTCCTTTGTAGGGACATGGATGAAATTGGAAATCATCATTCTCAGTAAACTATCGCAAGAACAAAAAACCAAACACCGCATATTCTCACTCATAGGTGGGAACTGAACAATGAGATCACATGGACACAAGAAGGGGAATATCACACTCTGGGGACTGTTGTGGGGTGGGGGGAGGGGGGAGGGATAGCATCGGGAGATATACCTAATGCTAGATGACGACTTAGTGGGTGCAGCGCACCAGCATGGCACATGTATACATATGTAACTAACCTGCACAATGTGCACATGTACCCTAAAACTTAAAGTATAATAAAAAATATATATATATATATATAAAAAAAGACAACTGAACGAGCAATGAGGAGTTGATCAATATTTATTTATTGCCAGGAAAATTTTTCTGGTTTAAAGTTCCTATGCCAAAGACCTTCAAATTTGGTAAGCACCAAAGCAACATTGAACCACTTTCCCTCCTGGTGAACTTAACAGTTCCCAGTATGAAATATAGATGATGTTTGAAGCTTCACTGGAAATCTGTCTAAAACTGTTCTTTTGATTCTCTGCTTGTGTGTGTCTGTCAAGATATAAATAATTAATGGGAAATAGTTCCCAGAAACGTTGTACCTTTTAATAGAACTTAAATTCTAATACTGACTTTGATTATCTTAACTTCAAAGTATACGTGTGATATAAGTTGGATTTATTGTGTGCCTTTTTTCATTTTACTTTTGATGATAATGAGATCTGAAGTGATTTCAACAGCAAACTCAGACATTATGTCTTCACTTATTGGGGCTCTGTCTCCCTAAGTATTCAGCATTATTCAAAGTCAGGCCTACAGTTGTTACTGAACAAATTCATAAAATGTTTTAAATATAGTGCTACATAATAATTTTTCTCTTCTTTTTAATCTGTTCTTCTACAAATAGCAACTCTGTTATGCCACTGGATGTGTTGATTACATAACACAAAGCAACTGGCTTTTTACAAGATTTGAATGCAATAATGTGTACAATGGGCATTATGAAATCAATTTTGTCACAAATCTAAAACCATTAATGACATACAATCACTACTATTTCAGAAATCCTGTAACCTAGTCTTTCCTAAACTGCATTTCATAAAATTTCCCATCATAGAGCTCCATATACCAAATAAGTAAGGGAAATTTTGGGTGCAACATTGAGAATTTTGATATGTTAATGTACACTCCAAGGAAGGTAAATATTATGCAGATTTTCAAGAGTTTTGATAACAGATTTCCCTTTTCGAGGATCACCTATTAACATATGCTGGGACTAGAATTTATCAGAATCCATTTTCAAAAATTCTTTTTTGACTTTTGATGTTACAAAGTGTTGACACCTGTTCAGGGAGAATAAAACTCTGTATTGTTGTTTCTATCGGAATGGAATCCAGTTGCACTCACTGCTGAGGATTGAACACTGTTCTTATATGTTTTGTGTTTTTCTAGTCTAAAAACATCACAATTCATTGATTCAGAGATAATGAAAGAAATGGCAATACTTTGGCCATTATAGGGGAAATTATACAGAATTCCTAACCTAATGCAAGAGTTTACCCTCAAAATCTAAAAAATAATAATAGCAAAGTAAACATGCCCATGGCTAAAAATCAAATAAGGGAAGGGATAATAATGAACAGTCACATTGGCCTGTATCACCCCTCCAACCTCTCCAGTTTGCTTCTCTTGAGTCAACCTCTGTTTTAGTTTTTTGTCATGGTTGCCACATGGCTCTAAATAATATGTGCTTATGTTTTATCAAATTTAGATACTATAGCTTGACTTTCTGTAATAAAAGGTGAGGCTTTGCTCATGTATACAAACCTTCACCTGCCTTACCTCTCCTCTGCCAATAGCTATATCACTGTCCTCAGGGACTTTGCCGGCCACCTTGCAAACTCAAACTGCCTAAATCTCTGCTCCTTGTTACATCAGTTCTAGAAAGCTCTTCTCTCCCCTTGAGGCTTCTCAACCTCTGTCAGATGCATCTTTACTTTTATACTGAGAACACAGATAATTATATTCCCTCCTGTATGAATAGTCTTCTGTGATTTGATTATAAAGGTAGAAATGAGTAAACATCATTTGCATATTCATTAGCTTTAAAGCCAAGCCATGCACAAGCTTTCTGTTTCTTTTCCTTTGGGTCCAATGCCCTGTGCCTTTCCAAGAAGAATCCTTATAGTGTCTACTCTATTTCCAATATATTTTCCTTACCGCACTTCATCAGTTACTTTTACAATGTGCTCAAGTTTTGGTAAGTTCTCAATTACAGTATCTATTTTTCCATCCTTCATCTCTTTTTTCAAATGTTTATTTTATTTTATTTATTTTTATATATTTGCTTTTAATTGAAAAATAAAAATTGTATCTATGGTGTACAACATGTTTCGATATATGTATACATTGTGGAGTGGCTAAATCAAGCTAATTAATATATCAATTACCTCACATCTCATTTTTTGTGATGAGAACACTTAAAATCTAACTCTTAGCTATTTTTAGGTATACAGTAGCTCTTGTTTATCTGCAGTTTTACTTTCTGCAGTTTCAGTTACCCATGGACAACGGCTGTCCAAAAATATTAAATGGGGAATTACAGAAATAATTCATAAGTTTTAAATTGCACCCTTTCTGAGTAGCATGATGAAATCTTGCTCCATTCTACTTCACCTGCCTGGATGTTGAATCATATCTTTGTCCAGCTTATCCATACTGTACACACAATACACTGGTTAGTCATCAACGTCATCTGCATCAGATGTCCAATCATGGACATCATCATGGTTCAATGATGCAGAATTACCTGGAGCAGGTGATTTTTCTTCTCCTTGGGTCACGGGGGCATATCCCTCATGAATGACTAGCTCCATCCCCTTGGTGATGAGTGAGTTCTTGCCTGAGTTCACATGAGATCTGATTGTTTAAAAGAGTATGGCACCTCCCCCACATCTCTCTTTCTCCCACTTTCCCCATGTGACACCACCAACTCTCCTTTCCTTTCCACCATGTCTGTAGCTTCTGAGGCCCTCAGAATAAGCAGGTGCTGCTTCCATGCTTGTACAGCCTGCAGAACCATGAGCCAACTAAACCCCTTTTCTTTATAAATTACCTAGCCTCAAGTATTCCTCTATAGCAACCTAAAATGGCCTAACACAATTGGCTCCATTTTCTTTTAACATTTATTGTTGACAAAAAGTCTTACGTTAGTCTAGTTCTTGTTCCTTTGTAAATAATCTTTTACTTCCTCTGTGGGAATGTTTCAAATCTTCTTTTCATTATTGCTGTTCTGAAATTTTACAATCATGTGTTTTCTACTTGGTTATTTGTTTGCATGTTTGCTTATCTTGTTGGCTTTTTGGTAGGCCTTTAAATAAGAAAGCTTGGGTCTTTTAATTCTAGGAAATACTCGTATTATTTCTTTTATAATTTTCTTATCCACATTTCTTTATTCTCTCTCTCTAGAATTTTTAGACTCAGAAGGCAGAGAACTTTATTTCTATGTGAATTTTATCTTACCTCGTATCATTTTTGAATTTTGGTAAATCAAGAAATATACAGGCATAATTATTGTGGCCACTTGCACACTGTATTTCTTCTTTATCCTGAATCTATTTATTTTTATTTCCAGAATAAGTATTTTAAGTTCACAATTATTTTCTTGTTCACTGAACAGCCATGCTATTCTTGTTCTATGTATGTACTTAAGTTGTTAAGTGACTCTGAGGTACTAATTTTTTAAAGGTCTCTTCTTTCTCCTGAATTATTCCTATTTGAATCTTTTTTAAGTTTGATTTTTTTCTTTTATATTCAAGGCATTTCTTAAACATTTGATAATTTGCGTTTGTCTAAGAAGGACTGAGACAAAACAAAAAGTTGATTTGGAGCTGATGTATTGGGCTGGTCTTTTGATAGCTAGGCATCACTTTGAGCTGTTTGGTTGGTAAGCTAATGTGATGAGAAACCTCCTTGTGACTGACAATGTCAGGGCCATATTGCCCAGTTCAGGAGTCCAGAATCCAGAAAGCTTATTCAATTTTGTTTCATTTAGAGAAAAATCCTCAGGTTTTTGTGCTTTGGCTTCTTCATTTGGGACAGGGAGTTAAACACTTTGGGAGGCCATTGGAAAAGGAGTGTTTGTGTGTGTGAGTATGTGTGTTATAAATATACATACATTTGTATATACTTAAAATATTTGTACTGATGAGGATACAAAATCAAAAAAGATTTTTAGGTCATTTTTGAAAACAATATATCTAGTTCAGGAATGAAAATGATGAAATCATTCCATTTATATAATATTAAATGGCCTTGTACATCACATTAAATGAACATTTAAATTAACTTTATTATCTATGTAATTTAGATGTGGACAAGTGAGACATTTAGATGAGAAAAAGTGAGATTAAATGAAAATTTATTTTCCTACTAAAACAGATGACTGTGTGCTAGTGCATTAACATAAAATGATTATTGTTATATTAAATCACTCTAAACAGAGTGTTCTTATTTAATATATTTACATCTTAAGCTCCTTTCTTAGGAGAATAACTTAAACTTCCAAAGTACAGGAGAGTTAATACCAGAGTGCCCTATCCGAAATGCAAATCAGCAAAATTCTGTGGAAGTTCTAACCATGATAGAGCACCAAGACACAAATGAGTAATCTGGCTACTTCCTCAGGGGATTGTAAGAAAGATCTTTTCTTACAGACATTATCTAGTTTCTGTCTTCTCGTTACTCAGCAAACACTTCATGCAGACACTCTACAAGGCAATCTGGGAGTAATAACACAAATGACCAATCTTTATGTGTTATAAAAATTTAATAAAGTATCTGCTTTTCAGAAACTTCTGTAAATTCATTTTAATGAAGCCTAATTTACTGTGCAAAGGATTTTCCCGATTTATTTTGTTAGACAAAAAAACTAAAATATTCTGAAAAACCCACTGAACCTGTGTCATCTGCCTCACTCCCCAACTCCTTCTATTTATTTGCTCTTATCCCTAAGAGAATTGTCTGAAGTGAAGGAGAGCAAGGGCTTTGTAATCAGAAAGCCTTTCTTTTTAACATTTTCTAGTTGTGATCTTGAGCAAGTTAGTTGATTTCTCAGTCTTGTTTTGTCATCTGAGTAAGGATAGTAACAGTGAACTCACTGGGTTGTTAAGTATTAAATAAAATGATATTTGTGCCAGCGCCCAGCATTTCGCTAGGTATACAGTATGGTCTTGAAAATGCAATTCCCTTTTCAGTCTAATATTTACTCACCCTGTCCAGGTTTCCTGTATTTCAGCTGACATTTAGTTAAGTCCCTCGCAATGTTTTTATTTCTAGCCTTCTATACAATTTCTTTCACACCTGAATCCTTACGTTATTTAGATACTTCAGAAAATCTAGCCCTCGAGTGCTAAGATCTCATAAGCATGCTATACTCAGCCATTCTTCTATGGACAATTTTCATTTGTAAGAGCAGCCAAATCAAAGTTGCATGAACATGAGTTTTCTGTGGCAGGAAGTTTAAGACATTTTTAATATTTTCCAATAAGTTTTTTTAAAAAGTATTTTTGGAGATAATTTTCATCATTTTAAGGCATCACTAACACACTCTTGATTTTTCTGGGAATGATTTTTTTAGTTTGTAGATTATCCTTGCCCTTTATTTCTCCTCCCTATTTTGTCTGCCTCTGGGCTATTTTTACAGCTCATTAGTGTTTCCATAAGAAGATGGGAAATGGAAATAAAAGAAGATGACGCTCAAATTCAGGCACTACCTATGCAACATAAAATGGACCTTCAGGGATGAAAGAAAATCCATCTGGTTGGCTGTGGAGATGTTAATGACTGAATTATACTCACAGTTTGATTTCAGACTGTTATCCACACACAGTGCTTGTCAGCTACTTAAACTCAATTTTCTTCTTGAAATGGCTGATTGGTACTCATTACTATGGTGATATCCATCAATCACCCAGACCATCATGCATGCTGAGTTATTATCTTGATCTTTGGGTGTTGGAAAAGATGTCTCCACATAGCTTTCAGCATTACCCTGTTCTGTTTGCTGATTCACTTACCTCTTCTCATTCTTCACCTGCCTATCAGGGCCTGGCATCTACCAGCAACTTCATATTTGGTGGAAAACTGTCCGTTACACTGATATCCTAGGAGCCAGTATAGCTAGTAACTTCAAGGACATTAGGAGCTCTGACTCCACTCAGTTTTTTGGCCAGAAAAAGGTAGAATCAGTTTACATACTTGAATAATCTATTCTGTCTAAGGTTTGGCCATCAATAGTTTTCCGTTTTGTTTTCTGGAAGTTTTTTTTTTTTTAAATAAAAATGCCGTAGTCTTTGCAAAAACATATAACCTCAACAAAAAATAATTTGCT
Source organism: Homo sapiens (assembly GCF_000001405.40). NCBI lineage: Eukaryota > Metazoa > Chordata > Mammalia > Primates > Hominidae > Homo > Homo sapiens. Next base: position 164,464,059 of record NC_000004.12, on the reverse strand, counting down.
TTTTAAAACATCAAAATTCAGTTTATTATAACCAGTTATATTATCTATAGTTAGCTTAGTATCATATTTTGTTAACAGCTTTTATTCACAGATTTGGTTATGGAACTGTGGGTGGCCATGGAGTTCAAGTAATTTTGCTTTAAATTCCTAGTAACATGAGAATTAAGAGTGGAATATAGGCAGCTGAATGTGTGTACATAAGTTATTGTTTAAAAGCAGCACTAAACTCTTGGCCAGAGTGCTTTTCCAATATTTAACAATATATACTTTAATAAGACTTCTGAAACACCTATGTATTAAATGTTTCTTTTAATTTAGTGTCTTTGTGTGAGTCTCTTTTTCAGTAGAAATAGAATAGAAAGAAGCCATGGGAAACTCCTAGTCAAAAACTCCTTGGATATTTCATTGCCTGTTGTTGGCTTAATATTGTTCATTTCAGTTTGCAGATGTTATGCAGGTTCCAAAAATACTGCACCTGAAAATTGCAATATTAAATATTGTAATGTCTCCCTCCACTCTGAATTAGCTAAAATTGCCATAATTGCCATCTAAATTGTGGAATGACCCTAGCAAGGAAAAGTTAAGCTTGATGGAGCAACTGTGACGGAAGTCTTTTTTGGCCAGGCTCATTTTTGCAGTGGTTAGACTGAAAACACTTATGACAGGACATGCTGATGAGGCAAAGAAAAATGGGGCTACAAAGAAAAAGGAGGAACAGAAAATGAATGGGGAATTTATGTGAAAAGCAAGGAACAATAGAGCTGGAAGTTTCCTAAATTTAGAGCTGTATGAATATGCTCCCTATACTGAGGTATGAGAGAGAGATAAAGTAATGACTGAAAAGTCTGATGTTGGAATACCACTTTGTTATTATAATAATTTAAAAATTATTATTAGAATGAAAAGAAAATGTGTGAGGCAGGTTGGCATAGTATAAAATTTATTTCACACCCATTGATGGATTTCAAGAAACTGGCTCAAAGATGTGAACGGGCAAGTCATTGTATGTTTGAGGAGTAATGTCCTGGTCTTCAGGACACTGTGATGGCAAACAAAAATCCCACTGTGAAAACTTACAACAGTAGTGGAAATTAATTAGCTCTCCTCCAACCATATGGGGATATCATAAGTTAGAACTCAGAAGCACCCAGGAAGGGATTATGGGCTTCAGAAGGGAACAAGAAAGGGAAAGTACTGCTATCACCAAATTGTCATGTTCACATCACAAAGAAAATGGATGAAAACAACAAAAACTGGTACTTTTTCACATCTTGAGCATTTAATTGAGATCTCAGGTTGCTTTTAAAATTGAAATATGGGGTAATTAACTCTCTTATCAGACAACAGCCAGACTGCAATGATTATTTAGAAGAGTTAGGGAGTGTGCTCTCTAGTCAACATGACCTTTATCATTTATTAGGCTATTTACCTGGCTGCTTTAAAGGTTTTTTAAGAAACTTTTCTTTTTAACTACATGGGTAAATATCTTTGTAATCTTTATTAATTGACTGTTAAAATCACACTCAGAGTTCTATGCCTTGCATTTGCAAAGGTCAGAAATGTTTTGTGCATAAATGGCATGGGGGGATTCTATAAATAATATTTCTGATTTCAAAAGGTCACATGGAAAGGAAAAAATTATCTTTGTACTGCATGTGTTTCGTGGCACATTGTGTACTTTTGTAAATGAATCTTTGCCAACATACCATATAATATGCTCTTCTTAACACTGACATTCCCCTCTCTTTAATCTGGATTTTACTGTAACTGGGTAAGAAGGAAAGCGTACACTTCATAGGCTCAGCAATCAATGCATATCTGATTAGAGGAATCATGAGAACCAAGAGACTTTTAAAGTTGAGAGAAATGTTAAAGATTAGCTCAAAAGCCTTCTTTCACTAAAGAATACAGGAAGACCAGACATGTCACATGACTAGTTCCAGTAAGAGAACTAGTTATGTCAGAGTGGACCTAGGACCCAGGTACCTTTATTCCCAATTCTGTGCTCTTTGGTAATGTAATCTCAACGAACTACTGGACACACTTCTTTCAGGGAAAGGTCTTCACAAAGCTAATTCTCAAAAACAGAGTCCTAACTAGAATTGCTTATTTTTATTCACATTTTATTTAAAATAATAAAACCTTTAATAATAAAACCTAAATACATTTTATTCATTAAAATAAGTTTAACATTTATTTACTATAGAAATAAACCTTACTTCTTTTTCTGTAGTAAATAAATGTAGAAATAAATAATACATGTATAGCTTATATATATGAATTATCACAAAGTAAGCATATTCATGCAACCAATACACAAATAAAGAAATAGAATATTACCTGTAGCCCAGAAACCTCTCTCTGGGTCCTTTTCTAGTCACTACCCTTACCTTCTCCCCAAAGGCAACCATGATCTTGATTTCTGTCACCACATACTGGTTTTTGCCTGTTTTTGAATTTCATATATAAATATATTGTTTTGCATCTGACAAAATTTGTTAAATTTATCAATGTTGTTTCACATAACGTGTTTCCTTGAAATGATATGTGGTCTTCCTTTGTTTGAATATGCCACCATTTATTTATCTGCTCCAACATTAAAGAACTGTTGGGTTGCTTCTAATTTTGGACTACAGGTTGATTATTCTTTATACAAAATGCTTGGGAACAGAAGTGTTTTGGATTTTGAATTTTTCAGATTTTGGAATATTTGCATATATATAATGTGATATCTTGTGGATGGGACCCAGGTCTAAACATGAAATTCATTTATGTTTCATGTATATCTTATATGCATGGGCTGAAGGTAATTTTATACAATATTTTTAATTTTGTGCATGAAACAAAGTTTTGACTGTGACTCACCACATACGGTCATATTTGGAATTTTCCACTTCTGGCTCAAAAAGTTTGGGATGTTGGAGCATTTTTAATTTTAAATTTTGAGATCAGGGATGCTCAATCTATATTGCAAACAATACTTCCCTAAACATTATTGTTCATGTTTTTGGATGTATATATATATCATACCTCTTAGAAGAGTCCTGGAAGTGGAATAAAATAATGAAATAATTAATAATAAAATATAGGTTTGATAGACACTATCAGCTTTCCAAAGTGGTTATGCCACTTTACACTCCCAACAGCAGTGTATACCTCACTCCACATTCAGACCAAAGCTTCTGTATTCATTTGTTTTCATGCTGCTAATAAAGACATACCTGAGACTGGGTGATTTATAAAGGAAAAGAGGTTTAATGGACTCACAGACTCACAGTTCCATGTGGCTGGGGAGGCCTCACAATCATAGCAGAAGGCAAGGAGGAGCAAGTCACATCTTACACGGTGGCAGGGAAGACAGCGTTTGTGCAGGGGAACTCCTCTTTATAAAACCGTCATATCTCGTGAGACTTATTCACTATCATGAGAACAGCATGAGAAAGACCTGTCTTTATGATTCAGTTACCTCCCACTGGGTCCCTCTCATGGCACGTGGGAATTGCAGGAGCTACAATTCAAGATGAGATTTGGGTGGGGACACAGCCAAACCATATAGTTCTGCCCCTGGCCCCTCCCAAATCTCATGTCCTCACATTTCAAAACCAATCATACCTTCCTAACATTCCCCCGAAGTCTTCACTCATTTCAGAATTAACTCAAAAGTCCACAGTCCAAAATTCCATCTGACACATGGCAAATCCCTTCTGCCTATGAGCCTGTAAATTTGAAAGCAAGTTAGTTCCTAGATACCATCAGGGTACAAACATTGGGTAAATACAGCTATTCCAAATGAAAGAAATTGGCCAAAATGTAGGGACTACAGGCCTCATGCAAGTCCAAAGTCCAGTGGGGCAGTCAAATCTTAAAGCTCTAAACTGATCTCCTTTGACTCCATATCTCACATCCAGGTTGCACTGATGCAAAAGGTAGGCTACCATGGCCTTGGGCAGCTCCACCCATGTAGATTTGAAGGGTATAGCCCTGCTCCTGGCTGCCTTTGCAGGCTGTCATTGAGTGTCTGTGGCTCTTCCAGGTGCATTTCCAGATTCTGAAATCTGAAAAAGTCCAAAATCCAAAACACGTCTCTTCCCAAGCATTTTGTATACAGAATACTCAACCTATAGTCCAAAATTGGAAGCAGCCCAATAGTGCAAGCTGTTGGTAGATCTATCATTCTGTGGTCTAGAGGACAGTGGCTCTCTTATCACAGGTCTACTAGGCGTTGCCCCAGTAGGGACTCTGTGTAAGGGCTCTGATCCCACATTTCCCTTCTGCGCTCTTCTAGAAGAGGTTCTCCATGAGGGTCCTGCCCCTGCAGCAAACTTCTGCCTGGGTATCCAGGCATTTCCATACACACTCTGAAATCTACACAGAGATTCCCAAACCTCAATTCTTGACTTCTCTGCACTTGCCGGCCCAAAACCATGTGGAAGCTGCCAAGGCTTGGGGCTTGCACCCTAAGAAGCCACCACCTGAATTGTTGCTTGGCCCATTTTAGCCATGGCTGGAGCAGCTGGCATACAGGGCACCAAGTTTCTAGGCTGCCAGAGCAGAGAAGCCCTGGGCCCAGCCCACAGAACCACTTTTTTCTCCTAGGCCTCTGGACCTGTGATGGGAGGCGCTGCTGCAAGGTCTCTGACATGTCCTGGAGACATTTTTCCCATTGTCTTGGTGATTAACATTTGGTTCCTTGTTACTTATGCAAATTTCTGCTCAGAAAATTAGTTTCTCCTCAGAAAATGAGTTTTTATCTTCTATTGCATTGTCAGGCTGCAAATTTTCTGAACTTTTATGCTGTTTCCCCTTTAAAACTGAATGCTTTTAACAGCATCCAAGTCATATCTTGAATGCTTTGCTGCTTAGAAATTTCTTCTGCAGATATCCTAAATTATCTTTCTCAAGTTCAAAGTTTCACAAGTCTCTAGGGCAGGGGCAAAATGCCACCAGTTTCTTTGCTAAAACATAGCAAGAGCCACCTTTACTCCAGTTCCCAACAAGTTCCTTATCTCCATCTGAGACCACTTCAGCCTGGACTTCATTGTCCACATGATTAGCAGCATTTTGGTCAAAGCCATTCAACAAGTCAGCCTGGACTTCATTGACCACATGATTATCAGCATTTTGGTCAAAGCCATTCAACAAGTCATCCTGGACTTCACTGACCACATGATTATCAGCATTTTGGTCAAAGCCATTCAACAAGTCATCCTGGACTTCACTGACCACATGATTATCAGCATTTTGGTCAAAGCCATTCAACAAGTCTCTAGGAAGTTCCAAACATTCCCACATGAGCCCTCCAAACTGTTCCAAACTCTGCCTCTTACCCAGTTCCAAAGTTGCTTCCGTATTTTCAAGTATTTTTACAGAAGTGCCCCACTCTACTGGTAGCAATTTACTGTATTAGTCTATTTTCATGCTGCTAATAAATACACACCCAAGACTGGGTGATTTATAAAGAAAAAGAGGTTTAATGGACTCACAGTTCCATGTGGCTGGGGAGGCCACACAATCATGGTGAAAGGCAAGGAGGAGCAACTCACATTTTACATGGTAGCAGGGAAGAGAGAGCTTGTGCAAGGAAACTCCTCTTTACGAAACCATGAGATCGCATGAGACTTACTCACTCTCACGAGAACAGCATGGGAAAGACTTGCCCCCATGATTCAATTACCTCCTACTGGGTCCCTTCCATGACATCTGAGAATTGTGGGAGCTACAATACAAGATAATATTTGGGTGGGGACACAGCCAAACCATATCAGCTTTACATTACCATACTTTTTAAAAATTTTATTTTTAATTGACACATAATACTTACACATATTCGTGTGGTACAAAGCGTTATTTCAATAGATGCGTACAATCTGTAATGACTAAATCAGGGTAATTATCACATCCATCACCTCAAACGTTGAGCATTTCTTCGTGTTGGGAACACTCAAAATCCTCTCTTCTAGCTATTTGAAAATATACAATAAATTATTGTTAACCATAACCACCCCACAGTGCTATAGAATGCCAGGACTTATTCCTCCCATCTAGCTATGATTTTGTATCTGTTAAGCAAGCCCTTTCTATCCCCCTTCCTGCCACTCTTCCCAGCCTCTAGTAACCACCATTCTATTATATTGTATGAGCTCAAATTTTATAGCATCAATGTGTGAGATGTAGTACTTATCTTTCTGTGCCTGACTTATTCCACTCCACATAATATCCCATGTTGTTGTAAATGATAGGATTTCATTATTTTTGTGGTAGAATATTATTTCATTCTGTACATATACCACATTTTCTTTATTCATTCATTTGTGAATGGACACTTGGGTTAATTCCATATCTTGGCTATTGTGAATAGGGCTGCAGTAAACATAAGGGTACAGATATCTCTTTGATATACTGATTTCCTTTCCTTTGGATAAATATCCAGAAGTAGTATTGCTAGATTATATAATAGTTATAATTTTAGTTTTTTGAGAACTTTTCATAATGGCTATACTAATTTACATTACTGTCAACATTGTATAAGAGTGTCTTTTTCTCTGCATCATTACCAGAATTTGTTATTTTTATATTTTTGATAATAGCTATTCTGAAGTGAGATGCTATCTTATTGTGGTTTTGATTTGTATTTCTCTGATGATTAGTGATGTCAAGCATTTTTCCATATACGTGTTGGCCATTTGTATGTCTTCTTTTGAGAAATGTCTGTTCAGCTAATTTGTCAATTTTTAATCCAATTATTATTATTATTATTTTTACTGTTGCATTGTTCGAGTTCCTTGTATATACTGGATATTAATCCCTTGTCAGATGAATAGTTTGCAGTTATTTCCTCCCCTTTTTTTCAGTTATCTCTTCACTCACTTGATTGTCTACTTTGCTGTGCAGAAGCTTTTTCACTTAATATAATCTCATTTGTCTATTTTGTTTCTGTTTCTTGTGTTTTTGGAGTCCTATCCATAAAATATTTGCCCAGATCAATATTTTGAAGCATTTTTCTTGTGTTTTCTTTTACTAGTTTTTTAAGACTTTCATTCATTTGGTATTGATTTTTGTATATGGTGAGAGATAAAGATCTAGTTTTAGTTTTTCTGCACATTGATATCAAGTTTTCCCAGCACCATCCTTTCTCCAATGTATGTTCATGGTGTCTTTGTCAAGATTCAGTTGGTTGTAAATATGTGGACTTATTTCTGGGTTCTGCATTCTGTTTCATTGGTCTACATGTCTGTTTTTAATACCAGTAACATGCTGTTTTGGTTACTATAGCTTTGTAGTGTAATCTCAGGTAGTGTGATGCTCCCAGCTTTGTTCCTTTGTATCAGGATCGCTTTGGGTATTCAGGGTCCTTTTTGGTTCCATATGAAGCCAAGATTTTTTTTTTTTTCTATTTCTGTGAAGAATGTCATTGATATTTTGATTGGAATTACATTGAATCTTCAGATGGCTTTGGGTAGTATCATCATTTTCACAATATTAATTTTTCTCAGCTATGAACATGGGATGTCTTTTCATTTTTTTCTTTTCTCTTCAATTTCTTCATTAATGATTTATAGTTTTCCTTGTGAAGACCTTTCACCTTTTTGCTTAATTCCTGGATATTTTAATTTTTTATAACTATTGTAAATGAATCAGTTTCATAATTTCTTTTTCAGTTAGCTTGTTACTAGTGTCTAGAAATGCTACTCATTTTTGTATGTTTGTTTTGTATTCCATAACTTCATTGAATTCATTCATTAGCTCTGAAGTTTTTTTGGTAGAGTCTTTAGGTTTTTCTAAATGTAAGCTATGTCATTTGCAACAGAGATAATTTGACTTCTTTTCAAATTTTGAGGCCATTTATTTCTATTGCTTAGCCTAATTGCTCTGGCTAGGATTCCAGTATTATGTTGAATAAAAGTGGCAAAAGTGGGTATCCTTCTCTTGTATGTGTATAATATGTGTATTCCACAGCTGTTGGATGAAATGTTCTGTAAAGTTCTTAAAGGAAAAGCTTTAAATTTTTCCCTGTTTGGTATGATGTTAGCTGTGGTTTTGTCATACGTGACTTTTACTTTGTTGATATACATTCCTTTTATACCTATTTTTTGAGAGTTGTTAGCATAAGGAGATGTGAAATTTTATCAAATGCATTTTCTGCATCTATTGAGATGATCGTGATTTTCCTCCTTCATTATATTGATATGAGGTATCACATTTATTGATTTGCATTTGTTGAACTATCCTTGCATCCTTTTGATAAATACCACTTTGTCATGGTGTATAATCTTTTTGACATGCTGCTGGATTTATTTGCTAGTATTATTTTGAGTATTTTCGCATCTATATTCATCTGGGATATTGGTCTGCAGTTTCCCTTTTATAATGTGTCCTTGTGCTACTTTTATATCAATGTAATGCTGGCCTTGTAGAATGAATTTGGAAGAATTTCCTGCCTTCAATTTTTTGGAATAGTTTGTGAAGAATTGGTATTTGTTTCTCTTTAAAACTTTTGTAGAATTCAGCAATTAATTTTTCCATTCCTGGGCTTTTCTTTGTTGCAAGACTTTTTATTACTGATTCAATCTCATTACTTGTTATTGATTTGTTCAAGGCTTTTATTTCTTCATAGTTCCATCTTGGTAGATTGTATGTATTCAGAAATTTATCCATTTTCTCCAGATTTTCCAACTTGTTAGCACATGGTTGTTCATAATAGTGTTGAACTACTCTTGTATTTTTCTGGTATCAGTTGTAATGTCTCCTTTTCCATTTCTAATTTTATTTATTTGGATTATTTCTCTTTTTTCCAGTTAGTTTAGCTAATGGTTTGCCAGTTTGGTTTATTGTCTTAAAAAACTTTTTCATTTCATTGATATTTTGAATTTTTTTTAGTCTCTATTTCATTCAGCTCTGCTTTGATCTCTATTATTTATTTCCTTCAACTAATCTTGGATTTGGTTTTTCTTGGTTTTCTATGTTCTTGAAGTACAACATTATATCATTTATTTAAAATATTTCTTCCTTTTTGTTGTAGGCATTTATTGCTATAAACTTTCCATTTATGATTGCTTTTGCTGTATCCCATAGGTTTTCTTATGTTGTGTTTCTATTTGCATTTGTTTTATAAATTTTTAAAAAGAATGCTTTTAAAAGGATCTTTATTGTTTCATTGGTCATTCAGAGGCATGTTGTTTAATTTCCATGCATTTGTAAAATTTCCAAAGTTGTTCTTGTTATTGATTTTTAGTTTTATTCCATTCTGGTCTGAAAATATATTTGACATGGTTTTGAGTTTTAAAAATTTGTTGATACTTGTTTTGTCGCCCAACATATGGTCTATCTTGGAGAAAGTTCCACATGCTGATTAAAAGAAGGTGTATTCTACAGCTGTTGGATAAAATGTTCTGTAAATGTCATTTAGGCCCATTTGGTCTATAGTGCAGTTAAAATCCGATTCTTTGTTGATTTTCTTTGTCGATCTGTCCAATGCTGAGGGCTGGGTGGTAAGGTTCCCAACCTCTCCTATTAGCTTTAATAATATTTTCTTTATATATCTGGGTGCTCTGGAGTTGTGTACATATATATTTACTATTGTTATATTTTCTTGTGAAATTGATCCCTTTCTAATTATATAACTACCTTTTTGTCTGTCTTTATAGTTTTTGACTTAAATTCTATTTTATCCTATGTAAGTAAAGCTACTCCTGCTCTAAACTTTTGTTTTCCATTTGTGTGGAATATCTTTCTTTTATCCTTTTGCTTTTAGTCTTTACAGGTGAAGTGAGATTTTTTGGGGTAGCATATAGTTAGGTCTTGATTGTTTATTTATTAAGCCAGTCTATATCTCTTAATTGGGGGATATAAACTGTTTACGTTAAAGGTTCTTAGTGATAGGTACAGACTTAACTCCTGTCATTTTGTTGATTATTTCTGATTGTTTTGTGCATCATTTGTTTCTTTATTTCTCTCTTATTATTTATCTTTGTGGGTTTTTTGGTAGTAATATAATTTGATTTATTTCTTTCTCATTTGTATACCTGCTCTGTCAGTGAGTTTTATATTTTACTGTATTATCATAATAGTAGTTCTTGTACTTTCACTTGTAGAGGTAGGACTCTCTTTAGGCATTTCTTGCAGAACCAACCTAGTGGTGATGATTTCCTTCAGTTTTTTCTCGTCTGGAAGAGACTTTATTTCTCTTTCATTTCTGAAGGATAGCTTTGCTGGGTATATTAGTCTTCACTGGAAGTTATTTTCTTTCAGCACTTTGAGTATATAATCTCATTATATCCTGGCCTGTAAGAGGGAAATCTGAGAAATCTGCTGTAAGTCTGATAGATATTTTGTTATTTTTGACTTAACACTTTTCACTTGCTCTTTCTAAAATTCTTTGTCTTTGCTTTTTGCCAGTTTCACTGTACTGTGTCTCAGAGAGAACATTTTTTAGGGTTGAATCAATTTGGGGATCTGGATGTCCACATCTCTTTATAGACTTATAACATTTTCAGCTATTATTTCATTAAATAGGTTTTCTATACTTTTTTCTATTCCTTCATCTGAAACTTCCAAATGCAAGAATGTGTTTTCTTAGTGGTGTTCCATAAGTCTTGCAGGCTTTCCTTATTCTTTTCTATTCTTCTGTCGTTTTTTGGTCTGACTGAGTTATTTCAAAAGACTTCTGTTTTCAAGTTCAGAAATTCTTTCTTTATCTTGATCTAGCTATTATTGAAGCTCTTGATTGTGTTTTTGTATTTTATTCATTAAATTCTTTAGTACCGATATTCTGTTTGTTTTTTTCATGATACCTATCTCTTTGTTGAATTTCTCATTTAGATCATGAATTGTTTTCCTGATTTATTTGTGTTGTCCATCTGTGTTCTCTTGTATTCCACTGAGAGTTTTCTATCATTATTTTGAAATCCTTCTCAGGCATCTAATAGATTTACTTTTTTGAGGACTCTGTTACTGGAGAATAATTGTGATCCCTTAGCAACGTCCTTTTTTTTTTTTTTTAATGTTTCTGAACAGTAATGTCTTCTAGTTTTTAGAAAGCCCTTCTGACTTTTGTATGGAAAGACTTTTTTTTCCTGTGGATTTTTCTCATAATGTCAGTTGGTTAGGGTGCTTTGGCTTTGGTTTTTGTTGGGCACAATAGTGCAGTCTCCATATGACATCTTTGGCTGTAATCTATGTCAGCAGTGTTTGTGAGTGCATAAGTGGCGTAGATTGAGTGTGTTTATGGAGACCGCGTCATGGCTTTGGTGGCAGTGGCAGAGGGTGTCTACCAGGTGGGCCTAGTCTTAGGCCCTGGAAAGGCGCATGACAGCTCTTCTGGTCAAAAGTGCAGAGTTACCATTAGCAATGGTCCCAAGTGGGCCAGTCTTTGGGACTTACAAGAGTGGGCACAGGGCATGGCAATTTTGTCTTTGGAGGGGGCAAGATTGCCAGCAAAGGTGGACCCCAGGTGAGCAGGTTCTCAAGTCCTTAAGTAGGGTACATGGCAGTTCCATTGCTGGAGTGAGTAAGGTTGCCACTGCAGTGAGCCTTTGTGTGATTGGAGGGTACACAGTTGCATGGCATCTGTATCACTGAAGTGGGAAGGGTCACTGGTGAGAGCAGGCCCTTGGTGGGAAATGCTTGGCCCCCTGGTGAGATTTGAAGATGCTCAGCAGCTCTGCTACTGGAGTAGATGGAGTTGCTGATGGAAGCAGGCCCAAGCAGACCTAGGTGAGCCAGTCCTTGGGTTCTAGTGATGGCACCTCACTCTTCTACAGCTAGAGTAGTTGTGGTCACTTGTGGCAGCAGGCCTCAGGTGGTTCAGTTCTCAGCATCCTTGAGAGGGTTCATAGGCAGATGATGATTCAGCTGTTAAAGTAGAAGGGGTCACAGGTGGTGGCAGGCTGGGTGGTCTGGGAAGGACACATGTGGCTCACTCTCTATTTTGGGTGACCTCCCTGCTGCACCGTACCACCTGTTCCCGAGCATGTAGGGTGCTGCCTGGGTTCAGGTGCCTGGTTCACAGATGCACCATTGGATCTAGCTCAGGCCATGGCCCTGCAGCCTTCTGGTGTGGGTATGGTGGGATGAGTGAAGTGCCGCAGAGATGTGGAGATGTAGGGGCAATTGGGCTTTTGTGGAGGATGCACTCTGGCAGTGGTTCTTACTTCAAAACAGTACCATGTTGCAGTAGCCTGGATCCTGGGGAGTGTGGGGGGAACACTGTGAGTTTTCCTCCCTGGAGTAATGCAGTCACAAGGACTCTAGACAGCTCCCTACACTGGTTGAGACTGTGAGTACTGTGGGGCTCTCCTGTAACTAGGATTGCAGGAATTTGTGGTGGGAATGAGACTCCTAGGGATCTCCACTTACCTGTTATCTGGGTTCCAAGCTGATCTTGGCTGGGTGCTTCACTTCCTTCTCTTTGTTTCCATCCTGAGTTATGCTTCTATCCTGAGTTTGTATACTTCAGGGTGTCTTAGTTACTTTCTTGCTGTATTCCAGTATTTTTTCCTAGACACTATTTGACATGTGGTTTTCTAGTTGTTTTGATCCTTCTTTGTGGAGGAGGCAAGTACCGGGTATCTCTGCTCAACCATCTTGATGATATCTTCCTTACCAGAATCTTGTTTTATTTTACTTATTTTTTATTTTATTTTATTTTTTGAGAAAGGGTCTCACTCTGTTGCCCTGGCTGGAGTGCAGTGGTGCAATCACCACTCACTGCAGCCTTGACCTCCTGGGCTCAAGTGATCCTCCAACCTCAGCCTCCCCTGAGTAGGTGGAACTATAGGTTTATGCCACCATGCCCAGCTAATTTTTTTTTTTTTTTTTTGTAGAGACAGGGTTTCACCATGTTGCCTAGGCTAGTATTGAACTCCTGGGCTCAAGTGATCCACTCATCTAGGTCTTCCAAAGTGCTGGCATTACACGTGTCAGCCATTGCACCCAGCCCCAGAATTGTAAATGTTATCTAATCTAGTACATATGTAGTGGGGTCTCACTGTGGTTATGATTTGCATTTTCCTAGTGATTAATTAATTTGAACACTTTACAAATGTTGTGTTTTTTAATATTTTCCCTTTTTGAAGTCTTCTGCACATTTTTCTCTTGGCTTGTCTGCCTTTTTCTTACTTATTGATATCTTGGTCTGTTCTATCTGCTTTAACAAAATATCATAAACTGGGTAGGTTATAAGCCACAGAAATTTATTTCTTATTGTTCTGGAAGCTGGAAAGTCCTTGAACAACACACCAGCAATTTCATTGTCAAAAGAGGGCTTGCTTTCTGGCTCATGGATAGCACCTTCTCTCTGTTAGAAGGGGCGAAGATCTCCAGGGTCTCCTGTATAAGGACACTAATTATATTTATGAGGGCTTTACTCTCAGTATCTAATCACTTCCCAAAGGCCCTACTGTCTAAATCTTTACCTTTGGGATAAGGATTTCAGCATGAATTTTGGGAGTACACAAACATTCAGACCATAACAATTGGTAAGAGTTCTTTATGCGTTCTAAATGAATTATTTGCCAGCTAAATACATTATAAGTGTGTTCTAGACAATGGCTTGCTTTTGTATGATCTTAATAATGTGTTTCAATTAAAATAAGCTCTTAATTTTATTGTAGTTCAATTTATCAATGTTTTTCTTTATGGTTAGTGTTTTTTGTGCTCTCTATAAAAATATTTGCTAACTCTCAAAGTCTTGAAGATATTCTCCCATGTTGTCTTTTAGTTGATTTATTGTTATGCCTTTTATATTACATTTAATTCATTTTTGTCATAAATCATGTGTTCATATGTATATGTATTTCAGGACTTCCTCTTTGGCCTGTTTGTTTTTCTATGTGTTAACACCATATTGATTTAATTTCCTTTTGTTCTAATTCTTTGAAACTGCTGTTAGTTGTAGTTTCATCCTCTTTCATCCTCTTTCTCTCTATTTCTCCATGGAGCATTCTGAGTTATTTTCTCAGATTTCTTTTTAGGTTATTAGTTTCCTCTATGACATATCTAATTTGCTACTAAATCATTCACTGAATATTAAATTATTGTTTTGAATTTCTTTTGAAGTCTTATTCTGTTCCTAAGATTGTGTTTACTTTCTTATGTCTTTAAAAATGTTTACATTTTTTCAGATCATGAAAAATGATGTTTATACTTATTCAGATCATGTTTCATAAAAAACCAATATTACATGGTTTATTTTTATAACATTACTGTTTATTGCTTGATGACTCTCACTTATAATTTTGTTTTTAAGTGTTGATTATACATTCATCTTTAGTGAAGACTTTTTTTTCTGTGATAATTTCTCATGACAAGACAACATTCTTCCAGGGAGGTTTAGAGTTTGCATCTGCTGGATATTTTATGCATCTCATTGGTCTAGAGCCCATTTTATGTTAGATCTTCTCTGTTTTTTGGACCACGTATCAAAGCAAACCCCAAATCTGTGTGTTTCAGACCCAAAATTTCTCACTGGTTTTGGTTGTACCCAGAAACCTCACAGGCATAGATTTTGTCATTCCTTAAAGAGAGTAGAATGAAGGTAATGGGTATTTCTGGTGATAATATGTGTGAAATATTCCAAAAAGAAAAAAATGCAGCACAAATGTAAAATGTTCTCGTTATTTTTTATTTTAGGTAAAGCTTCTATTTGCGTATGTTCAGTACAAAGAAACTTTACTTACTAGAATTTATTATTCTATTAAATAACAATAAATTGAAGATCTAATTTCAAAACTACAAGGGGAAATCTTTTTTTCCTTTCTATGGTGGTCTGCCTACATATTATTGGTACTGAAAAAAAACCCATATTTTGCTTTTACTTTTCTATTGTTTGCATGTCGCCTCTAAAACTCATGTTGAAACTGAATCCCCAATGTAGCAGTATTGAGAGGTGTTGCCTTTAAGAGGTTATGGGATCATAAGGGCTCTGCCCTCATAAATGGATTAATGGGTTAATAAATAAATGAATTATCATGGGAGAGAAACCTGTGGCTCTGTAAGAAGAAGAGGAGAGACCTGAGCTAGCACATCACCGCACTCAGTCCCCTCACCATGTAATGTCCTACATGTAATGCCTCAGGACTTTGTGCAGGGTTTCCACCAGCAAGAAGGCTCTCACTGAATGTGACACTTCAAGCTTGGACTTCTCAGCCTCTGTAAGTATTAGAAATAAATTCCTTTTCTTTAGAAATTACCCAGTTTCAGGTATTCTGTTATCAGCAACAGAAAAGAGACTAAAACAGAAAATTGGTACTAAGAATGTGGCGTTGCTGATAACAAATACCTGATAATGTGAAAGCAGCTTTGAAACTGGGTAGTGAGCAGAGGCTGGAAGAAATTGAAGGACTGGGTTAGAGAAAGCCTAGCTTCTGGTGAGGGCTTAGATGACAAGAAGAGTGGGGAAGGTTTGGAACTTCTAAAAGGTTGGTTAAGTGAGATGACCAGAATGTTAATGGAAATATAGACAGTAAAGGCCATTCTAATGAGGTTTCAGATGGAACTGAGGAATAAGGTATTGGAAACTAGAGGAAAGGTCATTCTTCTTATCAATTGGAAAAGAACTTGACTGAACTGTGCCCATTCCTGAGGCCTTGTAGAAGGCCAGACATGAGTGTCATAAACTGGGATGTCGGGAAGAAGACATTTCTAAGTAAAATACAGAAGGAGTTGCATGGTTATTTGTAGCCACTTGCAGTGAGATGCAGAAGCAAAAGAATAATTTAAAGATAGAATTATAATTCAAAGGGAAAGAGTGGAAAGATTTGGAAAATTCTCAGTCTGGCCACTTAATATGTTGCAAAAGTGAATATGTTGCAAAAGTGAAGAAGTATGTCCAGGAGAGAAAAACAAAGGTGTAGCTCAGTGACCATTTGCTAAAGAGATTAACACAGATAGAGGGAAGCCAGGTGCTGTTTTTCAAGACAGTGAAAGAAAGACCCTGAAGGCACTTCAGAGATCTTCAAGGATGCCCCTCCCATCACAGGCCCATAGACCTAGGAGGGCAGATTGATTTCAGGGGACAGGCCCAGGGTGCTCTCCATAGGCTCACTGCCCAGGATTTCCTTGGGACTCTATTCCCCATACCCCCAGTGCAGTGCCTCATGTATGTAAACCTTGGCAGTGTTCACATGGTACTAATTCTGCAGGCTTGCTGAAAGCAAGAACCTTCACCCAGATTTCAAAATACGTCACTGAAAACCTGAAGGCCCAGACAAAGACTTGTCACAGGGATGGAGCCACCACAGAGAGCCCCCATTAGAGCAATGCCTGCAGAAATGTGGGGCTGGAGCTGTTGCAGAGTGGGCAACATCAGCTTGGGAGAGCTGGGTGGGCTAAGCCCAGTCAAGCCAGAGTCCAGGGCTGCCCAAGGCCTTGGGGACTTAACTCCCACACCAGTATGCAGAAGAGGTCAGACATGGAGTCAGAGATTATTCTGGAGTTTTAGAACCCAATGTCTACTCTCTTGAGTTTTGGAATTTCATAGGTCTTGTTACCATTTTTTGCCTATTTCTCTCTTTCGGAGCAGGAATCTGTATCCTATGCTTCTCTCACCCTTGTATCTTACAAGAAAATAACTTGTTTTGATTTCACAGGCTCACAGATGACACTTTGGGCTTTGAACTTTTGAGTTAATACTGAAACAAGTTAAGACTTTGGGCTATGGGGATGGAATGAATGTATTTGTATGTGAGAAAAACTCAAGTTTTCGGAGGCAAGGGTGAGAATGCTATGGAGTGAATGTCCCTTCCAAAACTCAAGTTGAAATTTAATCTCCAATGTGGCAGTATTGAGAGGTGTGACCTTTAAGAGGCTCTGCCCTCCTGAATAGATTAATCCATTTGTGAATTAATGGATTAATAGCTTAATGGATTAATGGGTTATCATGGGAGAGGAGCTGGTGGCTTCCTAAGACGAGGAAGAGAGCTAGCACATTAGCAAACTCAGCCCATTCAGCATGTGATATCCTGAACCACCTTGAGACTTTGAAGGGTCTCCACCAGCAAGAAGGCTGTGATGATATGGGGCTCTTTCACCGTGGACTTTTCAGCCTCTATAACTGTAAATATCTTTTCTTTATTAATTACCCAATTTCAGGTATTCTGTTATAAGTAACAGAAAACAGATGAGGATATACCCTATTTACATTTTACATTACACTTTTATCCCCTCCCTCTGATTCCTTCTTATTAACAGAATGGAGATTCCACCAGGCCTGACAGCCTGATGTACAAGAAAATGCACAAACTTAAGCTAGTGCTTCAGTGACTGTGTGTAGAGCAGACTAGATAAGCCACAGAGGGTTTCATCCTGCTGCCCCACCACAAGCTGCTCCAGGATCTAAGTCTCATTATGTATACTTAAAGGCAAATGTACAGTACTTCATGACTCATAGACTGTCCTTCAGGTTAGTGGTCAGAAAGAGTCTAGGCTCAGCAAAGAAGCAGCTAATGAGAGAAAAAATCAAGGAGAACAGTGTTGGAGTTAATTCATCTTTGTTAAGACACTTCATTGCAGAAATATTGGCAGCACCAGTTGTGAGATTCTAGCTGAGGATGAAAGGAAGAAACTCCTATTTTCTTTCTCCTGGGGAAATAAGGGCTAAAAATGAATTGGACCAAAAAAAAAAAAAAAAGGCAGGCAGAACATTCTCATCTGACTGATCAGATTTCTTCATAAAGCTGCATATGTAAGATTTTCAACTTGCTCCTGAAAAGAATTGGAAACATGGAGCGATGTAAATTATAGGTGTAGGAAGAATAAAAATAAATCCAACAAAAAGCTCCTCTCCTCTTTCATGTTAGTAAAATATCTCTGCATTTCTTAGCTTTTAGATTAGTTTCTATATTTATTTTATTTCATGGACTTATTAGGTTGGACTGTAATGACCTCAACATTGACCCTTCATCCATGCTAATGTGTCAAATGGGAATCTTATTTTTTTGTATTATTTGGATTTAAATATTCCCTTAGTTGTAAGTTGTCTTAAAAATGGAATCAACCTTTTGAGAATTGAGAATACTTTTGCATTAAAATGCTAATTTTATTAAATTTATTAAAATCTGAGAATTTCAATAATAGATTAATGTTTAAAATGACAAAATAGAATTTGTACTAATTAGGTTTCTCCTAGCTCTAAGTGGGTTTTATGTGGAATTAGCTATGACTAATATTGGCTTATATATTATATAAGAAGGACATATAGAATTGACTTATTTATTATAGGTATTGGTATTTGTGCTAGTGAAATGTCACAAGACAACTGTAAGAAGACTACATTCTAAACCATGTCCCCTTTTGTCTATTTCAAAACACTAGCTCCAGGTCAGCTGCAAAATGCTCTTTTTTTTTTTTTTTTTTGGCTCACTGCAAGGTCCACCTCCTGGGTTCACGCCATTCTCCTGCCTCAGCTTCCCGAGTAGCTGGAACTACAGGCGCCCGCCACCATGCCTGGCTAATTTTTTGTATTTTAAGTAGAGATGGGGTTTCACCGTGTTAGCCAGGATGGTCTCGCTCTCCTGACCTTGTGATCCGCTCGCCTCGGCCTCCCAAAGGGCTGGGATTACAGGCGTGAGCCACCACGCCCGGCTGCAAAATGCTCTTGTCATTGTTTTCTTTTCCTTATCAATCCTTATCAATAGGAAAAAATTTAATCTTGCTGGAGATAGAGGTTATCTATTTAATGCATCAAAAAAATTAGATCAGGATATATGGAAGTAACCCAGAACTCTCCAGACATTGCTAGTTGTTCTTAGTTTGACCAAATGTAAAGTTTGACCTACAAGTATATAATCCTGCAGATGTAATAACAAATTCAAATATTTAAGATCAGATATACAGCTGTATGGGGACAAAAATATGTATATGTCTATGTATATCTATATGTATATCTGTATCTATATTTTTCTATATCTGCTTATCAACTTAGATTTATCAAGTAAAATTTGGTTGTTTGCCCAATAACAATAATACTAGAAGTATGACTAGAATTTGCCTACTTATGACTTAACTTTCTATTTTTCTTTAGCTCCAGCAAAAATAAATGTGTCCTTACCTTAATGCCATCTATGAATAACATCTAACAGCTAAGGATTTCTGAGCACCCACTTTATTTGGAGCTTTGCAAGCACTGTCTTTTTAAAATTCATGTAAATGTTTGAGGTCAGTTCTATTTTTATCATGTTTATTTGACATAAGAGGAAACTGAGGCTTCGTAGTAGTAGAGCTAAGGTTTGAAACTGGGCTTTTCAAAACCCAGAAGAAACCAATACAAGCAGATAGCCAGTAGATAATTAATATAGCTGTGAATATAATATATAGTGAATATTAATATAGCCATGTTGCCAACACAGTATATACATACAATTGGTTCTCAAAGAAATGTACAGAAATTATGAGTGTACTTGCTCATAATTTCTGCTGTAAGCAGATGTTCATATCCTACCTACAAATTTAGACACTGTGTTTTTTATTTTTTGTTTACAGCAAAGAAACATGGTTAACTTTGGTTAACTTTCTCAAGTTTCTTTATGTGTTTTGTTAACATTAAATTACATAGTATCAGCTAGATACAAGAGTTGTCTTCCAAGAGAGAGAAAACACTTAAATTGGCTAAAGCAGAAAGAGCAGTACAAAAGTATTGGTTTATGTAACTAAAAAGTCCAGAGATAGACTGAGAGTTAGCTTGATTCTGACTCTAGTGATGTCATCAGGGCCTTATTTCTCTCTAAGCAGTGGTAACTGACTACCAGCAGTATCAGGTTTTCATATTCCAAGGACAAGTATAAACAAAGTAAAATAAAATAAAAGCCTTGGGGAAGATCCACCTGCATCCCAGAATTAATTCTATTGAATCTGATTTTATCACGTAGCTTAACCTAATCGTTGTGACTAGGGAAATGCAATACTTGTCCAAGTCTGGGTCATGTATCCTCTCCTGAATGAGGGTGAAGGGGAAGGGAATTTCCATTCAGTTATGTGGACTAATGATGGGCATTAGCAGATCTTCAAATACGATTCAGCAAATTATCATAAGAACTAGGAATGTATGCTCCATGGCAAAAATAATACAGTTACATGACAATTCTTCAAGTACTTCTAACACTTTACAAGGGATACTGAATCCCTTCATGGGGAGATAGAGGTTTTAGGGCAGAACCAATGGGAAAAAAATGCATGTCAGATACTGAGTTTTATAGTAAAGCATTTAAAAATGCTGACTTTTTACTAAATACTGGAATATAACTTTTGTGAGGTAGCTGTATAAGCATGATGGTTGATAAAAATGCGATCATGAATAATTGTAATTGCTGACTACAAAAATAAATACTGGAACTTACAATACGGGAGTATAAGAAATTCTGCATTGAACTACGGATCTGGTCTATGCTGTAGTCCAGAATTTTCCCTCTGTCAGTTAATGTGGAGGGTCTTATTTTTTAATTTTTATTTAAAACCCACAGCTAATACCATAAGAGTGTCTTTCCAAGTGTTTACAAATATTGCACCTGATTCTGTCCTTGTCAGGCATTAAGGTTTTGCTTTATGTTTTGTTTTGTTTTGTTTTGACATTTTATGGCTGTTAACAATGAAACAGATTTAAACTAAGGCCTGATGTGGCAAACTTTGAAAAGCAACTCATTCACTGTTGAAAATGCTACCAGAGGTTAAGCAATGAATGGGACACTCAACTTGGAGTTCACTGTACCTGTGTGAGCATGGGACTATCAGTACTGATGCTTTCTTTTGAGGCATAAGAGTGTAAGATTTTTCCTTATTTTTTTAAAAAAAGAAATGGATTATGTTTGTATTTTCATTGGGTGTACATTTTACCACACAGTTGAAATGAATGAAAGACTTTTTCTCCATGACTGTAGGGCTTTAGTTTTCTGTCTTTTTTTGGTTGATAATGGTTACATTCTTATGTACCAATAATAATATGAGACACAATAATATTATTAATATATGTAGCTGACACTTCCTGAATGTTCATTATGTGCTAGGAATTCGGCTAAGCCCTTTTTAAGAATTTTCTTGCAGCCCAGACTCCCGAACAGAGACACAAACCTGGATATCAAACTGCCTACTGAACATCTCCTTTTGGGTGCTTTGAAAGCATCTTACTTATATCCTTAGTTTCAAACTTTCTGTTCTTCTGTGCTTTCTAGGTTAATAAACACACCATCCACTCAGCTCCCCAGTGCTGGGTCTGGGCATCACATTTGACATGTTGTTCTTTCTCCCCATCCTGATTGATCAAACATCAAGCCCTAGTGTACAGAACTGACAACTCTAGCCTACAAACAGCTCGCTCAGTGTTCCACCTTTCTTCATCTCTGTAGCTGTCACCTGATGCACACCTCACCTGTTTCATTGCAAGAAGCTCTTAATGGATCTTTAAAGATATGAATGATCTTATCATTTCCTTATGAAACACTTATCTATAGAATAAACATCTACCTTTCTGTTCTGCCTCATCTGCTGCTACCACTGTCCCCATACTTTAGCTTTTCTGAACATTCAGATCTTAGTTTAGAAGACACTAAGGAGAATTTCCTTGATTCCTTACACATGTTTTAATATCTCTACCACAGTCCACAGTTCGTTTTGCTTTTCTTTTCAAGATTATGTGCATTCTGTCTTCCTCACCAGACATAGACTACAGGAAGGCAGGAATACATGAGTCATGTTCACCATAATATTTACATTGTCTAGCATAATGCAGCTCCTGCATAAACATGATTTAAATGAGTGAATGAATGTGCAAAACCTACACAGGTCCTCCTTTCCAAACCCTGGTTCCTTAAACTGTGTCATTCTGCTTTGAGACACATTTTGATTCCGTTTTCACTTCTTGAACGTTCAATCTTTGCCTCAGGGGCCCAGTGGGAATACCTAATATATTCAATATAGACATTTACATTTTGTTTTCTATTTGGGAAATATATCCGTTTTTCTTAGTAATAAAATTTTCATGCTCTTTTTGAAATACTTAGTAAAAAGATCAGGGAGGAAAAGACGTTCTGGAGTGAAAGTGATTAAAGTACATTTTAAACAGTGCTGGATTATCCAAAGGCAAATTTAAAATGCGCTTCAGGCACAAGATTTTGAATATTGACATTTCCCAAAAAGAATCAAAGTAATACTGATGGAAAAAAGTCAGAAAGTCTTTAAATGTCCTAAAACTCATCTTGATATTTATTATTGATTTTACTTTTAATTATACAAGAGGCACAATAATATTAGGATCACAAAAAGCCTCAATAGAACCTACCTTAGAATACTAGTGTTAGAGTTGTATAATTTTCTACATTTTCTAAACCAGTGCTCTTTCATTTTTTTAATAATAATAAGCATACATTATTATATATCAGATACTGTGGTAGGTATTTTACATTCATTCTCTTTAATTCATGTTACCTTGAAAGTTAGATGTTTCCCTCCCAGTTTTAGAGATGAGAAAAGTAAGAGTTAGAATGACCAGGTAAGTAGCAAGGTCTGCTTGGCTTTCCAGCCCATATTTTTTCTGGCAGGTCATACTAGCTTTCTCTGAGCAAATGGGGTCATAACTTCTTCCCCATCATATTCATCCTGGTAAGACAATTCCAATGCTGACTATGCAGCGGGATTGCATATATTGCTCCAATCTGCTTAAATTGGCTACTGTGCAAAACTGAAGCAAAGCCCTAGCAGCTCAATAGAAAATCTATATGTTCCAGCAGGATGCCCACAGGGAAGCAGCAGATCTCTAATTTGGAACAATTCAGCACAGCATGGAGTGTGGCAGGGCTGCTTTGTAGAAATATACAAGAGTTTCAGTCATTGTAGTTGACAGAAGAACTAAGATTTATTGTAGAAACTAAGCATTTTCTTTAGAATCAGTCATTGCATGGATCTGAAGTCAGCAGTTAAATTTCTTCTATTCAGGGCCTGGTTATGTGTCCCTAACTGGCTAAATGATGTTATTTAAATACAGATCAGTACTTAGTATGCATAAATGTATGGAGAAAATTTGAGTAAATAAAACAGTGTCCATGGTAAAACCGGTCTGATCCAATAAAACATTTAAAATAAATACAATTTTTCTAAAAAAGTTTGAAAGTAGCTACAAAGAACAGGGGAAATGCTATGGCTATAATTTGTGGCAGATACTTCTTGGAGAAGTAGTCCTCCTTAACTTTTTGGAATGTTTTTGCCTCTGTTTCCCGAGGTAGGCCCTTGAGATGCCATGGGTCTGTGCCAGCTGCTCTCCTTACAAGAAAGCTGGTGCTGAACTAGATCTGCTTCCAGTCTTCAGGAGAACCAAATGTGCATATGTTTGTAGAAATTTCTGAAGAAATGTTGTATAGGAAAAGTGGTAAGAAAAGTTAATAAATCAGATGTGATTTAGTCAATGTAAATTGAATACTTAACAACCAGTGAACCACATTTACCTCAAAGGTAGCACAGTAACATTTTCCTTAGTTTTAATCTACTAGCAAATATCTTCTCTTTATTTCTTTTTTTTTCAAGCCTCCTTTATACAGTGTGAATCTAAGGCAGCCCTCTTCTTTCTAAGCCTTGCCCCATCCCCCAGGCTGACTTTTTACCCCTACACTGCTTTCCTGACACATGATCTTCCCTTGAGATATTGCTTGCCTGACTAACTTTCCACACAATATCTTTGTGCTTTTCATGTGAATTTCAATGAGTCACAGTGACTGTACCTGTTATAACAGTTCAACATGCAGCTGGTTCCATAGTGATAAAGGCACCAATTTTCCACATATCATGTAACGTAATGGTTAGAATGTGGTGTTAATAAGGCTGAGTGTGCTTATCTACTTATAGATCAATTAGCATTGCTTGGAGAGCTTATCCATATTAAGGGTACTGTTAGGGATTATATATCTGACCCCAGGGATCAAGCATGCCATTGCACATAAGGTGAGGCAAAGACTGTCACTTTTTCCTTAATATCTATTCTCTGTTTCCTCCACAGTTAGAGGCTATGGACTCTGTGAATGAACATTAAGGAAAAAGTGTAAGACAGTGTTTCCCAGCATCCCCTCCTGCAAAGTGCAGTTATGTAACCAAAGCTGTACTGTAGAGATGAGAGTGATGAGCTGGTAGAACCTTGGGATCCTAAAGCCTCCAAGCAGGAGAACTCATCCCTGCGCTGCCCCTCTCCAGACTTCTCTGTGAGAAAGATTTTAACTCTTGTCTTATTTAAACCACTGTTATTCTGGGCCTTGGTTACTCAGCAGTAAAGCAATCCTAACTGATGTATAAGGCAAAGAGTGCGGATGTCCCAATGAACATTTAGAACTTAGATCTTCAGAATACTAGTAAAATGATAAAAAGAGTTGAGCATAGTACTTAATAAGTGAATATTCAGGATTATTTTTTGCATTAACAAAATTTAACAAATAATTTTTCAGTGTTGTTCTATTATATTAATTAAATGAGAACACATATAGTTCACCTGATTAAGTACCATATGCATATCCAGTGCTCAATAATGATCATATTCTCCTTCTAAATAAAACACTATGTTTCCTTGATAAAGCACTTTCTATTTATTTTTTATTGTAAATATCATTACGAAGTATTAAAATAGAGGATTTCTGTGACCTGAAAAAAATCCTATAAAAGCATTCATAAAGTTGTTACTCCTTTCAAATAATGTTGTGTTAACACATGAATTGTTTTGTTTCAAAGTAGCGGTCTTTTCCCATTATGGAGCATGGTTACACTAGTGACCCTCAATGAACCATGCCTCCTAGTAGCAGTGGGTTTGGGTGGTGGTAGTCCCCTCCCACATTGACACTAGGCTTCTTCATGTGACCTGCTTTGACCAATAGGACCTCAGCAAACGTGTGGCAAGTAGAAGCTTAATATGCGGTTATACATTGAAGCATGCCCTTTTGGAATGCTGCTGCCACTATTCGAGAAGGCTTGGACTAGCTGCCCTAAGGATGAAAGATCACACAGAGAGGAGAAACCAGCTGTCTCAGGTGTCTCAGCTAAACTCAGCTGCTAGTTAACTTTCCAGATGAAGATGGTCATAAAAGTGATCTCCAGGTGAGATCAGCAAAAAGCCACCCAGAGTTATGAGAAATAATAAATCGTTGTTTTACACCAGTAAGTTTTGGGGTGATTTGTTATTCAGCCATAGATAGCAGACATTCACACACACAAAGTACTTTTATGTATACAAAGTATATATACATTTTTCATAGTAAGGAATAGAATACAAAGATAGCTAAGCTTTGCTTTTCTCCTTATACTGTACATAACCATAGCAAAAATTTTACTTCATTTTTTATGTGTTTGACAGCTACAAATTAAACTATCAATTATTAAATTTGTGCATTGTGCAAGCTTTAACCAGAGACTGACACTTTGGTTAGCTACAAATAATAATATTTTTAAAATTATAGAAAAATATATGACAATCAATGGTAAGTATTTTTACTTATTTATTTATTTTAGTGGTTTATTTTGTTTTAGAGACAGGGTTTTGACCTGTTGCTCAGGCTGGAGTGCAGTGCCGTGGTCATGACTCATTACAGCCTGAAATTCCTGGGCTCAAGTGATACTCCTCCCTCAGCCTCCCAAGCAGCTGAGACTACAGGCATATGCCGCCATACCCAGCTAATTTTTAATACTTTTTATAGAGATGGGACCTCACTAGGTTGCCCAGGCTGTTCTTGAAATTCTGGGCTCAAGAGATCCTCCCACCTTGGCCTTCCGAAGTGCTAGGATTACAGGCATGGGTCACTGTGCCCAGCCCAGTATTTTTATTTAAATTGTAGGACTTCAAAGGCAGATAAAACTCAAGATGGAAGACAAGAATAAAAGAGAGAAGAGAGAGAGAATGAGATTGTTGCTCTGACTATATTTTTAAGAGTTAAATAACTGAGGAACCAATCATACAACATACCAGGCTATTTACCTGTTTTCCAAGAGTTCTTTCTATGTGTTTATCCCATTAGTGAAAGACAGTGGTTGGAGGCAACTAGATGTTTCCAGCAGATGGAATCAATTTGCAAACCAGACAGAATCACGTTCCCCATTTGCTGTTTTTATTATGGTAATCTGCTTCCTACACCAGTGTTTTCTAAATGTTATGTCTTGAAATATCTTTTAGGGCATCTAAAACCAAAATATAAACATCAGATTTTTAGCGGTATTAGTTCCATAATTTCCAAATACCCATGCTAGCTATGAACTGTTCTCACCTTCAGAACAAGATAAATCTCTCCTAATTAATGTATTTACTCTTGATTCAGGCTAATGACTGTAACATTGTTATATAGGGAAGTGTATTTTTATTACAATTTTGTTACTTGGTTAGTTTACTTTTCTCATGGGTATTCCAAGGATCTTTTTTACATACTGTGTTAGGTCTTTCTTGTGTTGCTCTAAAGGAATACATGAGGCTGGGTAATTTATAAAGAACTGAAATTTAATTGGTGCATGGTTTTGCAGGCTGTACAAATTGGCACCAACATCTGCTCAGCTTCTGGTAAGGGCCTCAGGAAGCTTACAATTATGGTGGAATGTGAAGTGGGAGCAGGAATTTCACATGGTGAGATTGGGAGCAAGTAGGGGGAAGGTGCCACACACTTTTAAACAACCATATCTCACATGAACTCACTCATCACCGAGGGGATGGCTCTAAGCCATTCAAGAGGGATATACCCCTGTGATCCCACCTTCCACCAGGGAATTGGTAATATAATATAATTCTCTACATTACATGTAATCAACTTATAATATAATTACATGTTGAAACGTTATCTCTGCCTCCAACACTGGGGGTTACATTTCAGCATGAGATTTGGAGACAAGTATCTGAACCATATCATGTGCATAATATTATGGGTATATACTGAGCCCAAAAGCCAGAATACCTGAAGTCTAGACCCAGATGCAACATTACCTAGTCACATGACTTATAAGTAATTTAATTTCGCTTCATTTTCAAATTAAAACATAGGGTTAGTAGTATCTTCTCTGTTTTCCTCACAAGATTTCTGCAGAGGGAAGCAAAGTCATGTATGTGAACAAATTATTCGATATTAATAATATCTTACTATTTAAACAATAAGATATTTTGAATGGTAACTGAAAGGTTTATGCTTAAAATCTTCTCAATAATTCTTTAACATTTGTACATTATAAATTTTTGACACTGTACATTGAAGTTAGTCTTGTGGATATAAACTAAGGTATCATTTTGGTCTCTCAATGTATTTGGAAGAAAATTATTGAGGTGCAAACAAAAACCTTGAATTACTTCCGGAAAAGAGGCATGTTTCAGTGACACATTATTATAAAAAATCATGTGCCCAGTTTGGGACTTTTCTATGGTCACAAAAGAATTATTTGGTTTTTCACAAATGTTGGTTAAAAATGATGTGAACCTTTTTAAGGTGACACATGACCTACTTTGCCACATTCCAATTATAAGCAATTTTCTTGATAATATATCTTGACATTTGCTAGATAAACTGTTTATTATTTCTGCTGAGTACTTTGTTAGTAGCAAACACTTTGAAAAAAAATTGAAATATATAGAAAAATATGTTGCAGACAATATTATTTGCATACTATCAATCTTATGCTTGACTTCAAAAATATTATTTGAATCATTTGCATGAAAATGAGATCTTTGTCTTTTGAGAGTTTATATTCTCCTGTTGCTATATATGTTATACTGGATTATTACTTCAAGTGAGGAATAAACAGCAGGAACAGATGAACTTTTAAAAATAAAGATCTCCTTTTTATGCAAATACATCTAATAATTAACACAGATAAATAGGAAAGTTATACACAATTTCTCTGACAGTATCCAATAGAGTTTTTCAAAAATAAAAAAAGGCTTTCATGTTTTGATTTAACATCTGAAGTCAGTGGAGTTTGCATATGTTACTTTGATCTTCAAAACCCTATGTGGTCTCGGTGCTAGTGACTTTCAGTGATGCCTCTTAGTTTCCTGGTGGTTCTTTTTCTCAAAAGGGCTAAGGAGAACATAAACATAATTGTTTTCTCTCAAAGTGTAGTTTGCAAACATGTTTTATGTTTGAAAATGATGCTGATAATAATTACAATATATGTATATAGCTGTACTTATATGCGTGTGTTTATGTGTACATATATATGTAGTGCTTTTAGTACTTTATAACGTACTTGATTAGCTATATAAATTAAAATGTATTTCTCTGACAAAAACTCAGTAGTTTTCAGCCTTTTCAAACATAGGAATAAATTCTCGTTATTAAATAATTGTAAATCCCCTCTCTGCATAATAAATGTTACATTTTTATTTATTCCAACTTCAGACAGTGCTTATTGTACAATCTTTTCTAATAGCTGTACTTTCCCCTGCTCCTCTTTCTAAAATAGCCAACTCAACATATCTTTGACTTGGTTATTGAATATGCATCTCTGCTTGGGGCAGCTTGACTAGGACTGGTGGTAGCTATCTGCTATCATACCTTTTAATTTTTTATTTGTATATATTCATGGGGTACAACTGCAATTTTGCTACATTGACATATTGCACTGTGGTGAAGTGAGAGCCTTCAGTGCCTCCATCACTGGAGCAATGTGCATTGTAGCCACCAAGCAACCTCCCATCATTCACCCCTTCCCACCACCTCACCCCTCTGGGTCTCCATTGTGTATCATTCCACACTCTGCTTCCATGTGTATGCATTATTTAGCTCCTGCTTAAAAGTGAGAACATATGGTATTTGTCTTTCTGTGCCACACCCTTTTAAATAGCAGGAGGCCATACCTAAGGATACAAAAAATGAGCTCAAATTAAGACTACTGGATCTAGTATTCTAATGAATGGAATGTTGCTATTTTCTAGATAGGAGGACTTATGACTGACTTGTTAAACAGTGATTTTGTGGCTTAAATATGCTATGGCTTGTGTGTATAGTGGTCACTATTTCAGAAGACAGCATCACTTGGATATATAAATGACATTTGAGATGGAGGTAAACATTTGTAAATAGCCCCTACTCCATTTCCAGGACTTGCTTGGAGCCTCCCACTTTAATACACAATATCTCTTTCTTCTGGTCATCTCAGACTTAATATAAAGTCTCCAAACTGGCCTCCTTCTCTTCTGCTTTAACCCAGAGTTTTTGATGTTTGAGATATGTTTGTGTGTGTGTGTGTGTGTGTGTCTGTATGTATATATATATATATATATATATATATATATATATATATATATTCAATGTGACTTAGGCTTATTCATGATTAGATGCAGGCGATCAAGGAGAAAAACTCAGTATTTATAAAAATGACAATTACACCCTGAACTTTAAGTTTAGTTTTCTATAAAGATTGTACCTTCCTCGGAAAAAGAAGCAACTAGCCATAACAATCCTGAAGATATTATGCTGCTCAATTATATAGGACTAAAAACAATTTTCTAAAAATGACCTGTTCATATTTAGCCAGTCAGTTTTAGTTGTTCCTGTCATGTTTGTTTTATGATAATGAAGTATGCAAAAGCAAGTTGATTTTTAATTGTCTCTTTGTCTCTAATTCTCACAGTCGAGCCATTCACTTTTTTAATTTGTAAATTTTGACCTAAATACAGGAATATAGAAAAACACAACACACATATTTTTGTGATATTCTAGTGGGTCTGCATAATCATAGCACAATTGGATGTTATCCTAAGAATATGGGTGCAGCCTTCCATGACCAGTAAAAACTGTAAATGGTACAGACTGTGCTTTCAGACTGGCCCTGTCAGTCTGATCCAAGGAACATTTTATTTGATTTTTCTATTCTAGGGCATTACTTCAATGCATTATCAATTACTTTAGAGTAAGAAATGTATTGTTTTTAGATTGAACCAGTTTTTATTGTGAATTACTCAAAAAATATTAAGAAGAAAAGAATATATTAGTGAGGGGGCTAGATTTGCTAACTTTTTGGGAATGACCCTTCCTTCTAAGCTTGCTTCTTCCTAATAATGTCCTCCTTTGTTCTTTGTGGATGTACCAGTTCTCCTTCCCTCTCAGGTTCTACTCTTTTCATAGTTTGGGCAAACTATGTTTGCCTAAACTTTTTTACTACTGGCACAACTTTAGATAATCATCGTAACTTTACTAACCTAACACCTTCTATGATCTGACTCCTAAAATGAAGGAATTTTAATTAGTGTGTCTTTTGGTGCTATAGAATTGGCTACAGCAAGTAGAAAAAGCATTTCTTTTTCTAAAAACCTTTATTAAATGAGCTACCTGACTGACCACTGGATGTTAAAAAAGTCCTGAAATGTGAGACACCCAATTTGAGAGTAGTAATCATGAAAAGGTGAAGAAAAAAAAGGCTGCCTGTGTCAAGTACAAAAATAAGATAAAAATATTTCTTCTAAGTTTTTATTATTTTATTAACACTATCTTTCCCTAATGGAAAATTTCTACTGGATTTGAAAGAATAGTGAAGACTGAAGGGAATGTGTGATTATAGAATTAATCTCAGTTGAAAATCTGCAAAAAGTTTCCAGAAGGAAGTACCTGTTCCCTCCTTACAAAACATTCTCATTATGTGCCAGGCCATAATCTGGTCACTTAACCCCGTCTATGCCATCATCCCCTAAAGGGCTAACCCATAGCTAAATAGGTTCAAAATATGCATGAAAGATACTTGCTTCTTTCCATCTTTCACTCCTAGATAACTTTCCCCTTCCAATATAGTAGCTCAGTCAGCAAAGTGTTCTACAGCGGTGTGATGGTTAATTTTATGTGTCAACTTGGCTGGGCCATGAGGCGCCCAGATATTTGGTCAAACATTATTCTGTGTGTTTCTATAAGGATGTTTTTGGATGAGGTTAACGTATAAATTGGTGGACTTTTAGTAAAGCAGACTGTTCTCCATAATGTAGGTGGGCCTCATCCAATCCACTGGAGGCTGAATAAAACAAAAAACCCAGCCTCCCTCAAGCAAGAGTGGTTTCTCCAGCAGACTGTCTTGGAATGTTATCTGTGACATTGCCTTCAGATCTACAGATGGCCTTTGGACCAAGACTGGAACATTGGCTCTCCTGGGTCTCCAGCCTGCTAGCCCACCTTGCAGATTCTGGACTAGTCAACTTTCATAATCACATGAGCCAATTCCTGTAATAAATCTCTTTCTGTATATACACATCTTGTTGGTTCTGTTTCTCTGAACCACAACTAATGCAAGAGGGTTTTATTGAAATCTCAACCATTAGATTGCTCCATTAGCAACTAGCAATCATTTATATTTTGTCTTAATACATTTAATTCCTGTTGAATATCTTTCTAAAGAGTAAAAATATTTTACTCTTTCTAAAAATATTGGTACATGGAGTAAAATATTTACATACTTCACTCAGATGTGCAGTTTTTTTTAAAATTATGAAGTTCCTCTTGTTAATGAGCCACCACTACACTAATGGAGTTGGGCTAGAGGTAGAAGAGCTAAACCTTGCCAGTTAAATTTACCTCAAACGCTTCAAGTTTAGACTAGCTTCTTTAAGGTCTTCTCCATTTGTTTTGGATAATAATAAAATTCAAGCTTTAACAACCAGTCCTTTTTCTCTCTAAATTTTTTACCTTTTCTCCTCCTCTTACGAGAGACAATATTTAGATGTAGGAGAAATCTTATGGTAATGGATTAAAGGAAATTAGAAAAGCTAGTTTGTGTGCCAGTCTTTGTGAACTTTTCACGGGCTTCTGTGAAATGTCCTAGTCCATCCTGGTCACTAGGCATGCTGATGGAATCTGCCGTAGATGTATATCACTAATAAAAATCATGACCTGTCCTTTCTGAATTGGCAAAAGTCTTGGGAAATTTGGTTCTGGCTGGCACTAAAGATCCATCTGGTCCTGACTATAACCTTCATTGAGTCCTGAACTTGGAGTTTCACCCACTGGTTTTTGAGTCCTGGACTTGGAAGTTCACCCACTGGTTTTTGGTACAGGAGCATCTTACCTGATTACTGCTACTCTCACCCATTAACAAGTTTGCTTGCTAAATATCTCTGCTTTCTTCTAGAGTTCCACCTAGAGCACATGGAATTCCGGATACTTTTTGTGAACCTAGTAAGATTTGGAATGCTACCTTCAGCCCAGCCTGTGCCTAAATATGCCATACCATTCCTTTTACATTACTGCCTCTGTTGGTGTGGAGAACCATTTAAAGAGGTGGCTTTTATGAGATGGGAGCAGGGTATAGGAGCCCTCTGAATCAGACATTCACTGAAGTGTCTAACTTCTCAACATAAGCCAGGGGTGAGGGGATGCTAAAGATCTTCCTTTTAGTCTTACCTCCAAATACTTCTCTCTTTCAGATTTTCCACCTACTCTTGAGAACTTCTTCTCTAGGTTATTTTACTTTCTTCTTTACCTACACTACATGCTGGGACCTATGTAAACTCCCCTCATACTTTTTGTAGGTAATAACCTTCATGGTGTCAGAAATGGTTATAAGGGAAAGAACTGGATTATAATAGAAGAAAATACATGGGTTTGATATTTTTAAAGCATGATTCCTGCTGGCCATTATGATTTTTTTTGGTATATTTACATCTCGAGCATTTCTACTAAAAGGAACCAACTTTTTTCATCTTTGGGTTTTACTGAGAGTTGAAACTCAGTAAATAAGTAAAACAAGATTCTATAGATTCTACTATGTGAGATGTAAAGGTGTGGGGTGCTCTAAAAAGTGGTTGTAAATCTCTACAAAACAAAGAACTGTATAAACCTTTTTTTTAGGAGTATGGTTCCTTACTGCAATATTACCTTCAAAATAATTACACAATCCAAGTTATTTGGGGGCAGTGTCATGGTCAATTGCAATAACCAAATCATGCCAATGGCTCTTTGAGCTGAATATAGTACATTCTTTAATTTCTATCGCTGTATTATTTGCTTGCACATAATGATGCATATTATTTTTAAAAATCTTAGAAAATGAAATAAATCCTGCCATGACAATCTTAGAATTTTTTACAACATGGACTAAATAGGGTTTATGATGAGAATGGGATTTTCCCTGAGGAATACTCAGACCTCAGCTGAAGGGACTGCTGGGGAAAATAAAGAGCCTTGATTTAATAGCTAGCATTACATGGATCAAAGGCTTCTTACTTGGTGCATTGGGTGCTGCATTAGTATAGAGTGGGCCACATCTGAAGTGAGGTGGGTGGCTGAATTAAGATTGGGGGAAATTAGAGAAAAGTAATCATAGAGTATTGGATTCTGTGTCTTAGGTAGAGGATTATTGACAGCTAGACATGATGTAAAGTCCTGATCAATTACATTGGGTCAGACAGGGCTATAATCCCAGTGGGTGACTAAGAAATTTACAGGTAGTTTTTACTACAGCTGAGATAATGTGCTAAGGATTAAATAAAAGCTGTGGCTTGAGGGAAGCCATTGGAAGGTTTTGAGCAGTAGTGAGACAGTCTGAATAATGTTACTAAAATGTCATCCTTTTAGGGGAAGAAGTTATTAAAACAGGGAAGATCGTTTGCCCCATTTCTCTACTGTAAAGTTACTATTTTCCCTCTTTCTATGCATAAGTCTTTGTAAGTGGGTCACACAGTCCAGCTCACATTCACGGGAAGGGAGAGCGTCTATCTATCTATCTATCTATCTATCTATCTATCTATCTATCTATCTCATTTGGAATTATTTGGGCACTGTTTAAAAAATTTTATTGTTAGTATAGTTTAGAAACGAGATTTCACTATGTTGTTCAGGCTAGAGTACAGTGGCTGTTCCATAGGCACAATTCCATTACTTATGAGCACAGGAGTTTTGAGGGCACTGTTTTAAAATGCTTTATGCATGTTATATATTTAAAACTTATTACAACTCTATGGACTATGTGTGTTGCTATCCTTACCTTAAATTTACAGATTAGAAAAATTAAGGCATAGAAAGGTCATGTATCTTTCTTAAGGTTGCACAGCTAGATTTGATACAGAGCATCTGGCTACATAAGGTATTTTGTTAACCGCAACTACTGCTACTGTTCCCTGCAGAGCATGGTTAATGAAAACAACCTGGAAAACCAGTTGACAAGAAAAGAGTGTAGACTTATGGTTTCTGTCTTAGTCCATTCAGCCTGCTATAACAGAATTACATGAATTGGGTGGCATGTAAACAGGAGAAATCTAGTTCTCAGTTCTGGAGCCTGGAAAATTCAAGATCTACGCACCAGCAGATTCCGTGAGAACCCAAGGAGAACCTAATTTCTGTCAGTGAGAACCCAAGTCCTCACTGTGTCTTCACACAGTGGGAAGGGAGAACTCTGGTCTCTTCAGCCCCTCATAAGGGTACTAATACCACTGGTGAGGCCTCATCTTCATGACCTAATAATCATCTCCCAAGGGCCCTACCTCCCAATACCATTACATTGGTTATTAGGTTTCAACACATAAGTTTTGGTGGGCCACAAATATTCGGTCCATAGCAGTTTTTCATCCAATACCGTTATGTCAATCAACAGATTAATGGATAAAAAACGATGTGGCATATATACTCAATGGACTACTAGTTAGCCACAAAAGAAGAAAACTTTGTTATCTGCAATAACATGGATAAACCTGGAGGACATTATGTTGAGTGACATAAACCTGACACAGAAAGACAAATATTCCATGATCTCATTCATATAGAATCTTAAAATGTTGATCTCACAGAAGTAGGGAGTAGAATGGTAGTTACCAGAGGCTGGAGTGGTTAAGGAGGAAGGGAGTTTGGAGAGATTGTGGTCAAAAGATAGATATTTACAGTTAGGAGGAATAGGTTCAAGAGAAGTATGTACAGTATGATGACTACAGTTAGTGACAATATATTGTATCTTTCAAAATGCCAAGAGAGTGCATGTTAAGTATTCTTACTATAAAAATGATAACTATATGAGGTAATGCATATGTTAATTGGCTGGATTTAGCTATTCTACAGGGTGTATGTACATCAAAACATAATGTACATAATAAATACGTAAACTTCATGTCATTTACAAAATAAATTTGAAAAAATAAGAAATAATCCTATTTCTTGATGTTTCTTGAAATTTTTGAATGTCTGAACACTATTTCTGTATGATAATCATATATTTACTGAAGTTTAAAAAAGGAAAATCCTTAATGTAAATTGGATCACTAACAACCTCAAAGAATTAGAAGAAAATAAAGAAGAGATATTGCAGTTTGTAGTTTCTTCTTAAAGTGGTGAAAATATTCTAAAATTGAGGTGACAGTGGTTGTGCAACTCTGTAAATACCGTTGAATCATATCCTTTAAATGAGTGAATTATGTGGTATGTAAATTACACCTCAGTAAAGCTGTTAAAAATATTAATTCTGTCACAATAATGACCAGTGTGTAAACATTTTTGCCTTGGAGTCGCATACTCTAAAGAAGAATGTGTATACTTTCTAGATTGTACCTTCTTCTTTGCCCTTTGACATCAGTATGCAGTTTTGGCTGTGAGAACCTGAATGGTGGTAATGGCTACTAGATACAGGGCTCCAACATACCAGGCCCTGTGCTGACCATTTTGTAGACATTATTTTATTTAATTCACTAAGATATGTTGGCGTTAGTGTCTCCATTTTATGGAAGAGAAGACTGAAGCTGAGGATAGGTAATATTTTGGGCTGAATGTTTTTGCCCCTTCAAAATTCCTATGTTAAAGCCTGATCCCTAATGTGATAGTATTTGGAGATGGGGCCTTTGGGAGGCAATTACGGCATGAGGGTGGAGCTCTCATGAAAGCAATTAGTCCTCTTATAAAAGAGTCCCCAGTGAATGCTCTCACTCTCTTTTCACATACAGGAATACAAAGAGAAGTCAACCACTTACAAACCAGGAAGAGAGCCTCACCAGAAACTGACTTTGCTGGTACCCTGATCTTAGACTTCCCAGCCTCCAGAACTGTAAAAAATAAATTCCTTTGTTTAAGCTACTCAGTCTGTGGTATTCTGTTATAGCAGCCCGGACTAAGACAACTAAGTAATTTGACTTCATTCACACAGGTAGTTAAGTAGTAGAACCAGGAAGTGAACCAGATCTGCCTGATGTCAAATACTATAAATTCTTGTTTTCTAATGTGGTCCCCTCTTGCTGAGATATTCCCTTGCATTGAGATGGGAAACAGATTTAAATGATTGAAAAGTTTCCCTTGAAGGTGTTTTTCCTTGGGTAGTCTTCTCCTCCTCTTTCTCCTGCCCCTTGTACTATTCCTCTTCCTCTTTCCCCTCCTCCTCCTCAGCTCCCTCTTCCTTCTCCTTGTCTTCCTCATTCCCCTCCTTTTTTCTCTCCGTCCTCTTCATCCCCCTCCTCCTATTCCACTTCTTCCTCATTGTTCACCTCCTCCTCCTCTTTCTCCTTTCCCTCTTCCACTCTTACTCCTCACCCTTTCCTCCTTGTATTCCTTTTCCTCCTTCTTCTCTTCATCTTCCTTTATTTTTTGCTAAAAACAAAAAGATAACAGAGAACGTTGGAAATAATAGAAACAGAATATATAATTCAGAAATAATGGCAGTTTAATTAAATTCTGGCTCCTTTCTGCAAGTTTTATAGAGGAAAAATATATGGTCTTGGACTTTATTGTGCTATAAAATCTTGATTTTAATTCCTAAGAATAGACTTCCTTTTTAAGGTTACCATCTGCCTGAAACTGGTTGAGAGTAGCCATAGATTATTGTATATTCTGGAATGGGAACTGGAGCAGGGAAGTCATTGTTACCTTGTTCATGGGTGGGGCAGACTGTCTATTTTTTTTCCCCTAGCAATATTGTTCTCCTTAGTAACTATAAAGGCACTGTGGCATTTCTTTGTCACTTGAGGCTTTCTGAATTAATAAAATAATACACCAAATATTCATTAAGTGCCTCCTATATACATAGCACTATTGCTCAGTATTGGGGCCAAGGGGTAATTGAGGATCTGTATCAACCCAAAGTTTTATCGCCTCTCCACTACCATAAATCCCCCAAAGAAACAAGTAAACTAAGTAAAAACTGTTGCTTTGAAAATGAAGTTTTAAGACAAATCCCCTAGACTACCCTTGCCTTCCCCTTCAACAACAGGTGCTGCTAATCCTATCTATTGGTAAATTTTGGAACTACTATTGCTGTGGTGGGTATTTTGGGAGAACCCAAGCTTTATAAAGTCCGGTCTTTTCCCTCAATGAGATTATAACCTAATTGGAGGGTAAATTTATAAACTTGTGAAAAAGTAAATAGCAATATTCACTGAGAAAAAAGCAGAAGAGGTGTCAGAAAGACAATATGAGTTTTGGAAGCATTCACAAGAGGAGCAGAGGTCAAGAACCAGCCCCTGCTGTTCAAGGCCTAGATTTCAACCCTG
Source organism: Homo sapiens (assembly GCF_000001405.40). Classification (NCBI taxonomy): domain Eukaryota; kingdom Metazoa; phylum Chordata; class Mammalia; order Primates; family Hominidae; genus Homo; species Homo sapiens. The sequence goes on along the minus strand of NC_000004.12, from coordinate 164,426,696 downwards.
GTTTCACCACTTGCTATATATGTGACCCCAGGCTTTAGCTTTCTCATTCTTCATAGGATATTGCGAGGAGTAAATACATTAATACACCTAAAATGTGTAGAACACTTCCTTGCAAATTAGAACAATGTGTTAACTGCTATTATTGTTTCCAGAAGGAGGGGCAACCTCATATTTGGGTGCTCAGGGGAGCTGCCAGCAAAAGGAAATCATTTGCACTGCATTTGCACAAAAGGTTAGAATTTTGATGAGAAGAACATCTTGAATCAAGAGATTCAAACACTGAGTATAGAAAAAGTACATGCTCTTTGTTATTGTAATGCTGCAATGAATTTTTTGCTCTTTTGTGTCTCTTTTTACCAGGGTTCCAGGTAAAAACTATTAACAACTACTATTAATTTATAATAATGGGAGAGAATTAGAGACTCATTGCAGCCAAGTTTTTTCATGGTGATTTTAAAATAATGATGAGATTAAATTTAACAGCAAACACAGAGCACTTACAATGGGCCAGACGTTGCTTTTTGGGCTTTATGTAAATGGATGATCTCACTTTATCTCAACAGTCTTAAAGGATGGTTTTATTTATTTTTTAATAGATAGTTAATTGAGCGGCACAAGGAGCTTAAGGAACTTATCTATGACTACTCAGCTATAAAGTAGTGGACACTGGATTTGAAGACATGAAGTCAAGCTCTAGAGCCCTCATTGAATTTAACCTATTAATAGGATGAGAAAATACACTTCAAATTATGTAGCATGAAAAAGATATTTTAAGATACGCAGTATTAGGCCAGGCACAGTGGCTCACACCTGTAATCCCCACACTTTGGGAGGCTGAGGTGGGTGGATCACGAGGTCAGGAGATCGAGACCATCCTGGACAACATGGTGAAACCTCATGTCTACTAAAAAATACAAAAATTAGCTGGGCGTGGTGGTGCATGCCTGTAGTCCCAGCTACTCAGGAGGCTGAGGCAGGAGAATCGCTTGAATCCGGGAGATGGAGGTTGCAGTGAGCTGAGATTGTGCCATTGCACTCCAGCCTGGCAACAGAGTGAGACTCCGTCTCAAAAAAAAAAAAAAAAAAAAAAAAAAAAAAAAGATACACAGAATTTAGTGCCTTTAAAATCATACTACTTAGGCTACATATTGCTGTGTTCCTGGGTAAGCAGAGCTCTGGTGTTGATAAGCTAGGAAACAGAATAGACTAACCAATCTGATGACTCCAAGCCACTGAATGAAGTGTATATATTTACAAAATTAGTAATATCCAGGAGTAATTTCTCTATACTATGAAAAGGCTCTTGAATAGGTTATCGTTGATTTAAAAACATGATATTTTTTATTGCATTTTACATGCCACATTCACACACACACACACACACACACACATACACACACTCATTTTTCCATATGTAGTCTCAAAAATTTTCTTTTTTAGCTGGATATAAGGTCTAGCCTGTATTCAGGAGCATGAACTAGATACCTGAGGACCTTTCCAGAGCTCTGATTCTTAGGATATATAGCAACCTGAGATAAGGAGAAGTAACTCTTGAATCATTTTCTGTAAACTTACACTCCATTTGTCATTTTGTGTTCTTGACCCAGAAAGAGGAGTTATTTAGAGGCAGTGGCTGAAGCGTTCACTAAGTAAACAAATAGAGTTAATGGAGCACAGTACGTGGCTCCACATGTGTATCTTTCCATTACAATGTCATATGTCATGAACGATACAGGGAGCTCTAAGCAAGATGTAGCAAATAGCAAAGCATTTTGTAATGCAAAAATATAGCTTTTTCCAGCGAACAGCACTTTTGATTGGCTAGAAATGATGATCTTTAGGAATTTATAATGATAATGTTAGATTATAAAGACTATCTACTTGAATAATAAGTAAGATACTGTCAATACTTGCCAAGAGTGACATTTATTTACTCTTTTCTACATAGGTATTAGCATACACTGTAAAAAAAATCAGAACCTAGACATATGGCCAAAATAAAGAGACTTCAGACTTTAGAAGATGCAAATAAGTGTGTACCATTTCTCACAGTTTAGTCTTGCTATTTTAATTCTAAAGAAATTTATTGCCAGTTATTTTAAATATGCTTCTTCGCGTTTATTAAAAGGTCTAGGATAGTATTGCCCCTCGATGGCTAATCATCAGAATTATCTAAAAAGATTTTTGCATATAATTTTGGAACAATTTAGTAGATTTGTGTTGTGGCCCAGAAATCTCAATCTAGATTATTTCATGATTATTAAACCAAGCATGATTTCTAGATTATTACTTCTGTAAATGATCAAAAAAGATTTCCATAAACTATGACTTTTGTTTTATCTTCTCAAGTCACATTGGCACACTTACAGAGAAGGAAGCATATTATTTTAGCAAAGATGAACTATGTGCCAACCAATTTACTTATATTTTAAATAATTTAACTAGTGGTCAAAGAGAGTAAGTAAACAGCATATGTTCACACAGTTGGTAGATACTGGAGTTAGGATTCTGATCCTTTCTACTATGTCATGCTTCTTCTCTGAGGCAATTGTTTTGGATTTATAGAGAGATGATAACTGCAGGCATACCTTGGAGGTACTGTGGATTTGGTTCCAGACCACCTTAATAATGCAAATTTCACAATAAAGTGAGTCACTACAAATTATTGGTTACCCAGTGCAAATAAAAGTTATATTTACACTATACTGTGTCTATTAAGTGTACAGTAGCATTATGTCTGAAAAAACAATGTGCATGCCTTATTTTAATAATACTTTATGACTAAAATATGCTGACAATCATCTGAGCCTTCAGTGAGTCATAATCTTGTTGCTGGTCGAGGGTCTTGCCTCAATGTCAATGGTTGCTAACTGATAAGGGTAGTGGTTGCATAAGGTAGGGTGGTTGTGGCAACTTCTTAAAACAGGACAACAATGGAGTTTGCTACATCAATTGACCCTTCCTTTCATGAAGGAGTTACCCGTAGCATGCAATGCTGTTTGAGAGCATTTTACCCACAGCAAAATTTCTTTCAAAGTTAGAGTCAATTTTCTCAAACCTTGCTGCTGCTCTACCAACTAAGTTTATGTAATAGTCTAAATCCTTTGCTGTCATTTAAACAATATTCACAGCATCTTCATCAGAAGGAGATTCCATCTGAAGAAACCACTGTCTTTGCTTATCCATAAGAAACAACTACTCATTTGATAAGGTTTAATAATCAGATGGCAGCAATTCAGTTACATCTTTAGGTTGCACTTCTAATTCTAGTTCCCCTGGTATTTCCACCACCTACACAATTATTTCCACCACTGAAGACTTGAACCCCTCAAAGTCATCTATGTGGGTAGAAATCAACTCCTTCCAAAACTCCTGTTAATGTTGACATTTTGGCCTTCTCCCATGAATCACAAATGTTCTTAATGACAACTTGAATGGCAATTTCTTTCCAGAAGGTTTTCATTTACATTGCCCAGATCCAGCATAGGAATCACTATCTATGGCTCCTGTAGTCTTTCGAAATGTATGTTTTTACGTTTTTGCTTTTATTTTATTTTTATTGCTGTATCATTTTTGTGCTGCAAGAAACATGGGAGTTGTATATATCTTTTGAGCACATATGATATTTTGATATATGTAATGATCAAATCAGGGAAATTGGGATATCCATCACTTTAAACATTTATCTTTGTTTTAGAGACATTATAATTCTTCTCTTCTAGCTAATTTGAAATATACAATAAGTTCTTATTAACTGTAATTTTCCTACTGTACTGTCAAATAGTAGAACCTATTTCTTTTATGTATCTTTGTGCCCATTAACAAACTTCTCTTTATTCCTCCTCTTCCCTTCCCAGCCACTGGTGACTACCATTCTACTCTCTCCATGATATCCATGTTTTTAGCTCCCACATATGACTGAGAATATGTAATAGTTGTTGTTCTGGGCCTGGCTTCTTCATTAACATAATGACTGCCAGCTCCATCCAGGTTGTTGCAAATGATATGATTTCTTTCTTTTTCATGGCTGAATAATATTCTAATGTGTATATGTATCACATTTAAAAAATCTATTCATCTATTGATAGACACTTAGGTTAATAGCACATCTTGGATACTATAAATTGTGCTGCAATAAACATGAGAGTGCAGCTATTTCTTTGATATACTGATTGTTTTCTTCTTTTGCATGTATTCTAGCAATTGGAGATTGCTGAATCATATGGCAGTTGATCATATGATCCAGCAATCTTATTGCTGGGATATATCCTACTTTTAGTTTTGTGGCCCAACATATGGTCTATGGTCTATGCTGGGCAATGTTCTATTTGCTGATGAGAAGAATGTGTAATCTGTTGCAGCTGGATAAAATGTTCTGTAAATATGTGTTAGGTCCACTTGGTCTAGAATATCATTTGCCTCCAATTATTTTGTTGATTTTTGCCTAGATGATCTATCCATTGTTGATTTTTGCCTAGATGATGTATCCATTGTCAAAAGTGGACTATTTAAGTCCCTTACTATTATTGTGTATTGTAGTCTATCTTTCCCTTTAGATCTGTTAAACTTGTTTTAGATATTTGGTGCATACATATTTACTATTGTTATATCGTCTTGCTGAATTTACCCCTTTATAATTATATAAAGACCTTCTTTGTCTCTTTTTATAGTTTTTTACTTAAAGAATATTTTATCTGATGTAAGTATAGCTACTTCTGCTTTTTTTTTTGGTTTGCATTTGCAAGGGATATCTTTTTCCATTCCTTTACTTTCAGTTTATGTATGTCTTTGCAAGTAAAGTGAGTTTCTCGTAAGCATCATATAGCTGGGTCATTTTTAAAAATTTATTGAGCTGGTTTATGTCTTTTAATTGGGGATTTGAGACTGTTTACCCTCCAGGTTTGTATTGATAGATATGGACTCACTCCTGGCATTTTGTTGGTTGTTTTCTGATGCTTTGAATTCAGGCATTGACTTATCCTTTCTAGCTATAAAAGTTCTAGATGACATTTTCTTTCAATATAAAACTATTTTTCTATATTGAAAATATGTTATTTAGTGTAGCCACCTTCATCAGTTATCTTAGATAGATCTTCTGGATAATTTGCTGCAGCTTCTATGTCAGCATTTATTGCCTCACCTTGTGCTTTTATGTTTTAGAGATAGCTTCTTTCCTTAAAATTCATGGATCAAACTCTGCTAGCTTCAAACTTTTCTTCTGCAACTTTATCACTTCCTTTAGCCTTTATGAGTTGAAGAGAGTTAGGGCCATGCTCTGGATTAAGTTTTGGCTTAAAGGAATATTGTGACTGGTTTGATCTTTTACTCAGACCAGTAAAGCATTTTCCATGTCAGAAATAAGCTCTTTAGCTTCTCATCTCTTGTATGTTCACTGGAGTAGCAATTTTCACTTTCTTCAAGAACATTTTCTTTGCATTCACAATTTGGTAAACTATCTGGCACAGGGGTCCTAGCTTTCAGTGTATTTCAGCTTTTAACGTGCCTTTCTAACTAAGCTGGATCATTTGTAGCTTTTGTTTTTAAGTAAGACATGTAAATTCTTCCTTTTACTTGAATACTTGAAGGCCATTATAGAGTTATTAATAGGCCTAATAATAACACTGTTGTGTCTCTGAGAATAGCAGGGCCTGAGGAGAGGGAGAGAGATAAGGGAAACAGCCAGTGGAGCAGGCGGAACATACACAACATTTGTCAGTTAAATTAGCCATCTTACATGGGAGCAATTTGTGTTGCCCCAAAACAACTGCAATAGTAACATTGAAGATCTCTAATTATAGATCACCATAACAGGTACAGTAGTAATGAAAAAGTCTGAAATATTGGGAGGATAACCAAACTGTGACACAGAGACTTGAAGTGAGCACATGCTGTTGGAAAAATGCTGTCAGTAGACTTGCTTGACCAAGGGTTGCCAGAAATCTTTAATTTGTAAAATATGCAATACCTGTGAAACACAATAATGCACAAAGCAGTAAAATGAGGTGTGTCTGTAATTGAGTAAATGCTTTCTTTGTCAAGCATTAGTTTCCATGTTTATATAGTTAAAAAGTAAATACCTTTCTCCATCATTGAAACTCTATGTTTAGATCGGATAAAACATTTGCAAGATTCTGACATAAGACATGAAAAATATTTTAATAGTCAATAATTATAGACAGATTTGATTAAGCAGTCTAAAATACTAATATTCTATTGTAGTAAAATAATTAAATAATTTTTCCTTCATATATATATATATTTTTAACTTTTTTTTAGAATCACGGGTACATGTATAGGTTTGTTACAAAAGTAGATTGTATGATGCTGAGGTTTGGGGTGTGACTGAACCTATCACCCTGGTAGTGAGCATAGCACCCAACAGGTAGTTTTTCAGCCCTTGTCTCCCTCTAGTAGTCCTCTCTCCTATCTAGTGGTCCTCAGTGTCTACTGTTCTCATCTTTATATCCATATGTACCCAATATTTAGCTCTCACTTACAAGTGAGAACATGCAGTATTTGGTTTTCAGTTCCTGCATTAGTTTGCCTAGGAGAATGGCCTCCAGTGACACCCATGTTGCTGCAGAAGACATAAATTCATTTTATTTTATGGCTGTGTAGTATTCCATGGTGGATATATACCACACACATTTTCTTTCTCCAACCTGTCATTGATGGACACTTACGTTTTTGTTTGTTTGTTTGTTTGTTTGTTTGTTTTGACAGTCTCGCTCTGTGGCCTAGGCTGGAGTGCAGTGGCATGATTAGGGCTCCCTGCAACTTCCGCCTCATGGATTCAAGCGACTCTCCTGCCTTAGCCTCCCGAGTAGCTGGGACTGCAGGTGTGTGCCACTATGCCTGGCTAATTTTTGTACTTTTAGTAGAGACGGGGTTTCACTGTGTTGGCCAGGCTGGTCTCGAGCTCCTGACCTCAGGTGATCCACCCACCTCAGCCTCCCAAAGTTCTGGATTTACAGGCATGAGCCACTGCACCCAACCAACACTTACATTGATATCCAGTCTTTGCTATTGTGATTAGTGCTGTGATGAACATAGAAATGCAAGTCTCCTTTAAGTAGAATTTTCTTTTGGTATATACCCAGTAGTGGGACTTCTGGGTCAAATGGTAGTGAAGCTTTTAATTCTTTAAGAAATTGCCAAACTACTGTCCAAGGTGTCTGAGCTAATTTACATTCCTACTGACAGTGTATATGTGTCCCCTTTTCTCTGCAGCCTCACCAAAAACTGTTATTTTTTGACTTTTTAATAATATCCACTCTGACTGGTGTGAGATGGTATCTCATTGTGGTTTTGATTCATATTTTCTGATGATTTCAGTGATGGGGAGGATTTTTTCATGTTTGTTGGCTGTATGTAAGAAGTGTTTGTTCATGTGCTTTGACTGCTTTTTAATGGGATTATTCATTTATTGCTTGTTGATTTGTTTTGTTTCTTATAAATTCTTGATATTAGATGCTAGTTAGATGCCAGTTTGTGAATATTTTCTCCAACTGTATAGGTTATGTGTTTACTTCATTGATAGTTTCTCTTACTGTGCAAAGCTCTTTCATTTAATTAGGGCCCCTTATCAATTTTGTTTTTGTTACAATTGCTTTTGGGAACTTAGCCATAAGTTTTTTGCCAAGGCCTACATGGAAAATAATATTTCCTAGGTTTTCATCTAAGATTTTTATAGTTTGATGTCCAACATTTAAGTCTTTAATTCATCTTAAGTTAATTTTTGTATATGATGATAGGTAGTGGTCCAGTTTCATTCTTCTGTAAATGGATAGCCAGTTATTCCAGCATCATCTATTGAATAGGGAATCTTTTCCCCATTGCATATTTTTGTCAAGTTTGTTGAAGATCAGATAATGCAGCTTTATTTCTGGGTTCTCTGTTCCATTCTATTGGTCCGTGTGTCTGTTTTTGTACCAGTACCATGCTGTTTTGGTTACTGTAGCCTTATAGTATAGTTTTAAGTCAGGTAATGTGATGCCTCTGGCTTTGTTCCTTTTGCTTAAGATGGATTTGGCTATTTGAGTCCTTTTGGGTTCCTTATGAATTTTAGAACAGTTTTGTCTAATTCTGTGAAAATTGATCTTGGTAGTTTGATATGAATAACAGTAAATCTATGAATTACTTTGGGAACTATGGCAATTTTAATGATACTGAGTTTTCCAATTCATGAGCATGGGATGTTTTTTCATTTATTTGTGTCATCTCTAATTTCTCTCAGCAGTGATTTTTTAGTTATCCTTGTAGAGATCTTTCACTTTCTTTAGATGTATACTAGGTTTTTAATTTTGGGGTATGTGGCTATTATAAATGAGTTCATGTTCTTGATTTGGCTGTCAGAATGTTATTGAAGTAAGAAGTGCTATTAATTTTTGTATGTTGATTTTTGTATCCTGAAACTTTGCTGACGTTGGTTATCAGTTCCAGGAGCCTTTTGGCAGAGTCTTTAGGATTTACTAGATATAGAATCATATTGTCAATTAAGAGAGATACTTTGACTTCTTCATTTCCTATTTGGATGCGTTTCATTTCTTTCTCTTGCCTTTTTGCTCTGGCTAGGACGTCCAGCAGTATGTTGAATACGAATGGTGAGAATGGGCATCTTTATCTTGTTGCAGTTCTCAAGAGGAATGGTTCCAACTTTTGCCTGTTCAGTATGATGTTGGCTGTGGGTTTGTCATAGATGGTTCTTATTATTTTGAGATGTATTCCTTTGATGCTTTGTTCATTGAAGGTTTTTATCATGAAGAGATGTTAAATTTTATCAAAGCTTTTTCTGCGTCTATTGCAATGATTGCATTGTTTTGTTTTTAATTCTGTTTATGTGATGAATCACATTTATTGATTTGCTTATGTTGAACTGAGCTTGCATCCTAAGAATAAAGCCTGCTTGATCATGGTGAATTAACTTTTTGATGTTCTTATTTTTTAGTTATTTTGAAACCTTTACTAAAAGCTTTTAGACATTTTTGTTCTGCTATTTCCTGATATATAAAATAAGTGATAGTTTATTACACATGATTAAATTGAGCCATTTATCTAAATTTACAGTATCAGTATACATTACTCAGACATATGCTAATGGAATTTGCAGTTTTTCCAATATCTAAATTCACTGATTAATACCCCAACAATGCTATATACAGTTAAACCTGTGATTTTTTTGTCATTTGGATTTATTTTAATCTTAAGATATTTCTAGACAGTCTTAACAAAGCTTATTCTTTAAATTCAAAACATTATCAGCACTGGGAATGTTTCTTTTGTTAAGATAACATCATTTAGGAGGATATAAACTTTGCATTTGGAAGGGAATGGGTTTTGGACCTTTAAAAAATAGTCAGGTGGGGCCTCGAGTTCCTTAGCAACACAAAGTCCCCGAGACTGCTCACATGAGCAGCATGTTTATAGTAGTAAATGCCAAACTTTAGCTTGTAGTTTGGGGATCCCTCTTTGACATGCAGCATCTTTCTTTTCTAAAATTGTAGATTTTCCTTTAATTCCCATGTCCTGCTAAACTTTTATCATTCAGATTTAAACAGTTTTAAAATTTGCATTTATATATGTAATTACATGAGTAATAAGTATCAGAACAATTGAAATAAGATGAAAGCACATGGAAAAAGCACATGTCTTCTTTAATCACATTTCTTTCTTCTTACTCCATTCATAAATTTGGGGTGGAGGTTTAGTTTTCTTGTTTACATATATGGGAACATTTTATTCATAGTCTAATATAGTTTGAATATATGTCCCCAACTAATCTCATATTGAATTGTAATCCCCAGTGTTGGAGGAGGGGCCTTGTGGGAGGCATTTGTGTCATGGGAGTGGAGCTCATGGCTTGGTGCTGTCCTCACAATAGCAAGTGAGTTCTCGAGAGACCTGGTCATTTGAAAGTGTGTGGCACTTCCCTCCCAGTCTCTCTCTCTAGCTCCTGCTTTAGCCATGTGACATGTTTGCTCTTGCTTTGCCTTCCACCATGAATAAAAGCTCCTTGAGGCCTCCCCAGTAGCCAACCACATGCTGGCTTCATACTCGTATAGCTTGCAGAACCGTGTTCCAATTAAATCTCTTTATAAATTACCCAGTTTCAGGTGTTTCTTTATAGCAATGCAAGAACAGCCTAATACATATTCTGTTGACTTGATTTTTTTTTTGTACTTGTTTATTTTCTTCACATTTTTGGAAATTTTTACAAATCTCGATTATAAATAGAATTTCAATCTTTATTAAGATTGTTATGAACAATGATGCAATAGATGTCCCTATACATATATTTGTGTACATGGGTGATACTGTTTGTAAAATGTATTCCTAGAAGTAAAATTGCTGGGCCAAAAAGTATGTACATTCTAAGTATTAAAAGATGTTGCCAGATCACTTTCACATAATTCCATCGATACCTATTCTAAAACAAAATTTTATCAATTTTTTTAAAATTGTGCAATCTAATACCCCAAAGCTTGATATCTTATATATATATATAGAATTTCTTCTTTTAAATTTTAAGTATATTTGTATATTTTAAGTATATTTGTCTATTTTTAAATTTATAGTTTATTTGTATTTTTTTCTGATAAACCTTTGTTTGGAAATTTTCCCCATTTGTATTGGATTTATAAGAGCTCTTTACATATTATAGAAATATGTCATTTATTTGTTACAACAAGCCATATATATGTTAAAAATAATTTTTCAAAATTTGTTGCTGATACTTTCCCATGCCATTCACTGGAAAGAAGTTTTAAATTTGTATATAATGAAATCAGCTACTTTTTTCTTATGACTGTTGAAAGTTATTGGAAGAGCTCTTCCAACACAGAATTATATTTTAAATTATTTTTCTTGTTCAACTCCCACTTATGAGTGAGAACATGCAGTGTTTTGTTTTCTGTTCCTGTGTTAGTTTGCTGAGAATGATGGCTTCCAGCTTCATCCATGTCACTGCAGATGCATGAACTCATTCTTTTGTTTATGGTTGCATAGTATTCCATGGTATATATGTGCCACATTTTCTTTATCCAGTCTATCTGGACACAGGGAGGGGAACATCACACACCAAGGCCTGTCGGGGGTTGAGGGCAAGGGGAGGGAGAGGATTAGGACAAATACCTAATGCATGTGGAGCTTAAAACCTAGATGATGGGTTGATAGGTGCGGCAAACAACCATGGCACATGTATGCCTATGTAACAAACCTGCATATTCTGCACATGTATCCCAGAACTGAAAATTAAAAAATAAAATTAAAAAAATTTCCTGTATTGCTTCTAGTTACTTTTTTAGATTTGTTTTTGATATCTAGATATTTAATCTATTTGGAATTTGTTTCTGAAAATTATGTGAAGTAATATCTAACTTAGTTTTTTCCAAATATACAGCTGATTGCCTCAACATCTCTAATTTCTCCTGTTTTAAAAAATGCTAAGCATATAGTTATATTTACATATCTTTACATATGTGTACTATATAGTTTTATATATGTATTAAACATATGTCAAATAAATATCCATGCTTACCTGTATATATAGCATATGTTTATATAACATACAGATGTGTATTTATATTTTGTTTCATTGATATATTGTACTTTTTATGCCACTAATACATTATTTTAATTATTATATTCTAGAGTATAGTTTAATATAATAAAAAGTCTCTATTTATTATCCTTTTCTGATATTTTTATACATTTAATTTTCCACATGCAGAATTGCAAGTTTTTAATGGATCATATTAAAAAATAGATCTTATTAAGATTCATTAAGAAATCTAATTGAGATTTTTGTTTGCATTGAATTTACAGGTCAATTTTGGAAGAATTTATGTCTTTGTAATATTGAGTCTTCTCAATGAGAAAATCAAAAGGTAAAAAACAACAGATGTTGGCAAGGCTGCGAAGAAAAGTGAATGCTTATACACTGTTGGTAGGCATGTAAATTAGTTCAGCCACTGTGGAAAGCAGTTTGGAGATTTCTCGAAGAACTTAAGCAGAAGTACCATTTGGCCCAGAAATTACTGGGTATATGTCCAAAGGAAAATAAATCATTCTACTAAAAAGACACATGCACTCTATGCTCATTGCAGCACTATTCACAGTAGCAAAGACATGGTATCAACCTAAGTGCCCATCAGTGGTGGATTGGATAAGGAAAATGTGGTTCATATACAGCATAGAACACTACACAGCCATAAAAATGAATGAAATCATGTCCTTTTGCAGCAACATGGTTGCAGCTGGAGTCTATTATCCTAAGCCAACTAATGCAGGAACAGAAAACCAAATACTGCAAGCTCTCACTTATAAGTGGGAGCTAAATATTGGGTATTCATGGACATAAAAATGGAACAATAGATACAGGGGACACACTTTATTAGTAAAGGGGAAGGGAGTAGGACAAGGTTTGAAAAACTACCTGTTAGGTAATATGCTTACTATCTGGGTGGCAAGATCATTCACATCCCAAACCTCAGGATTAAGCAATATACCCATGTAACAAACCTGCACATGTAGTCCCTAAACCTAACATAAAAGTTGAAATTATTTTAAAAAATCAGCATGATTCTCTACTGACTCAAATATTCATGTATGTCCATCATTTCTTATTAATTTTATTCTTAGGTATATTGCCTAGAACTAGGTTGGCAGAAAGCAAAAGAAAATCAAAATGGCAGTCACTCAAACATGAAAGACATTTAGTTCTCTCTCACATGACAGTATCTCACAAACAGCTAGTATGATAGTTCTGTCACACAGTCTTCAGGGCCCCAGGTGCCTTCTGTATTTTCTTACCGCCTCTTAAGATGTCAATTCTGGTAATTAAGATTTGATATAACTGCAAGAGTGGCGGCTCTCATATCCCCATAAACAAGAAGGAGGCAAGGAGAACATCCAGGTGTCTTACAAGGAAAGCTTTTAGAATTGAATACAGAATTATTCCACTTATATCTTTCTTATATCCCTTTGGCCAGAATAAGGTGCCACATGGCCATACCTAGTAGCAAGAGAACCTGAGAAATATTACCTTTATTTTGGGAAGCTACGAGTCAGCAAAAAATGTCTAATATTCTATTAGTATGGGAGAAGACAAAAATGGACATTAGGGCACAGCTAGCATCTTCACCACAGTAGACATTTTTTAGTTTTTGTTGCTATTACTAACACATTATTTTTCACATATATTTTTCTCCCATACCTTCCCTTGTAATTATATAAATAAAGTACAACTCTTCCATAACTTGAGAAATAATGCCCTCCAAATTTCCAAAAAGTAGGATTGTGTCATTGTGAAAAATGACCAAGATGACCAAGGTGAGCCTGTATAGAAGCTAACTGAGCTTTGGAGTCAGACCATATGATTCAAATCCACCTTGGTGCTGTCTGGGAACAGTTCTGCCTTCTGTGCCTGGTTGGGTTTTCCAGAATGTCTGAAACATTTTCAGGAATATTCAGGTAAAATGGAAGCCCCCCCCCTTTTTTTTTGGTCTGATCAGGGAAAATTAGGCTGCCCGAATCCTGAGAACAGAGGAACCCATCTTTACCCTCTCCTGCTCCAAAAGTTTGTTGCCTGAAGGAGCCTATTTAGCATCATTCTTTTTTCCTCTTAATTCTCGCCCACAGCTAGAACTTCTGCCTACCTCTCATTTAGAACTGGGGCTCTGAACATGAAGGGAATTATTTGTGTTAGGTAAATTCCCATCAATAGTAGGTATATTATAGTGGAGTTTTTGGTAACAAATACATATTGTAATAAAAGCATGTAAAAAGATAAATATAAAAAGTAAGGCTACATCACATATAACTCCCTATGTTGAAATAAGTATTATTTTTTTCTCCCCATATCCCTTTTTTTATTTCTTACGTTTTCTTTTTCTGTGAACTCACAAGATGACTGTGAGATGTGAGGTAGATTGATTTGCTCAGCTTTGCTGTTAAATCACCCGTTCTCCTACCTGGAGTGTTCAAACCCTTCCCATATCATTAATCTCAACTGCTGAGCTGATGGGAATTGAGCTCTACAAACAGGTTGTTGGCCAAAGGAGATGTTCCCAGGCAAATATTTATGGATTTTTACCTAGTAAACCATGTTTTCTTTTTTAAGAAAACCAAATCAAAATAAAAACAACAATCTGTTTTCCCCATAGATGGATAAAATGACTAAAAATATGTTGAAATTGAAATGGAAATGAATCACCTTTGGACACCTTCAGGACTTGCAACATCTAAACTAATAACTAAGGAAAAATGTATGAAGTAGTAGATAAAAGACTCAATTATACCTGTGGCATGTGAATATTTCTGCCTGGAGTTAGACAAAACAATTTGTGCCACAGTCCTCAGAATTGTCTTCAACTAAGGCAGTGTAACATAGTGGTCAAAATGATGGGCTCAGTGTCACACAGACTTGGTTTGTAGTCTCACCTTTGCCCGTTACAATCGTGGCTGTGTTATTTCTTCCTGCTAAGGTTCAGCTTTCTTATCTTTTGACTGAAAACAACACTTTCCTGTGAGTCTTGTTGTAAGTATTAAGTGAAATAATTTAGACAAAGATTTTAGACTATAGTGAAATAATAAATATTAGCTACAACTACTACTGGTACTAGTATTACTACTATATTTGTATTATTACTATTAATATTTGCACTCATACTATGTAAAGATGCTCATCTAAATGCTGTGGGCCCCAAGGTGTGGAGGGTAGGATGTTAACCCTTAATATGTTTACAGTCTAGTTTGGAAGAATACACTTAAAAAGTCATAATTATGTTTTATGGATAAAAGTACGATAGTTCTTATTAAGACAGAAATCATTTTGTTTTTCTAATAATGACCTCCAATAAATTATACTGCCTTGATTCATTTGCAGTGTGATGCTGCCATTTATCCCATAATAAGTGATATCTATTCCCATAGTCCTTGAATCTGAGTGGCCTTGAGACTTGCTTTGGCAAAATGATGTTGTGTGACTTGCAAGGCTAGGCCTTAAGACTTTTTGTTGCTTCCACTTTCATTCTCTTGGAACATTGCTAAAATTACATGAAGAACCTTTTCTAGCTTCCTGGAGGATGAGAAACCATATGGAAGAGAACCAAAACATTCATTCAGGCAACGTGATCTTAGGAGAAATCAGCAGAGAAGCCACTCAGCAGAGCAGCCACTCAGCAGAGCTGAAGTCCGATGCTTATGTAAATGGTTCTTGTTTTGGGGTGGTTTGTTATGCAGCAATAGCTAACTGATCCAGTTTTATACATGATTTTCCTCTACAAATGTCTTTCACTTAAACAGCTTGAAGACCCAGAGTTGTGCACATTTCTTTAAAGCACATATGCTGGATCCAGGAACTAAACATTTCAGCTTATGCTTGCTAAGTTGACATTCAAATAGAGAGGTTTTTTTTTTTTAAATTTTTGAAAAAAAAGGGAAATGGTAGCATGCAGACAGTAAACAATATGATCTAAGAAAGAAAAAAGCAAAGTTATATTTTCTGTAGTTTTCTTCTTGAAATCCAATGAGAAAAATACATTGATACGTAAAAGTAAATTAGAAACTGTGGTAAAATTTTATTAATTAAAATTCTGAAAGGCATTTTCCCTCAGCATGGCACCTGAAACATTTGAGGTGTCAGGAGAAATTGTAATCTGAGCAAAGAATGCCTTTACCATGATTGGTCTTGGGGAATGTCAACCACCTCTGCTCTGCAAATGACATGAAATCAAAAGTAAGCCCAAGGTAAATTCAGGAACTTAGGGAACAGCCCAGTGAAAATCCATGTTCTTGAAAACAAGAATGCAAGCAAACAAGAAAGATGAAAGTGTAGGAATTTTAAGAGGTCAAGAATTTTTAGAAAGAGTAAAAGTGGGTGTTTAAAATAATTGTGGTTTAGCCTGAAGCTGGAAGGGAGGAAGGAAGGAAGGAAGGAAGGAAGGAAGGAAGGAAGGAAGGAAGGAAAGAAGGAAGGAGGGAGGGAGAGAAGGAAGCAAGGAAGGGAGGGAGGGAGGGAAGGAGGGATGGAGAAGGAAGAAAGGAACGAAAAAAAGAGAAAGTTCCTGGGGTCAAACTGGGACTGTTCCAAAAGTCTGAACCAGAACCTACAAAGGCCGTGTTAACTGAGTAATTAAACTTTCTTACAGTCCACGATAAGGAAAGTCCTTGAGAGAAAAACAGGAAGGGGTTTCTTCCAGATCCAAGAATCCTTGGATGTGGTCTCACAGATGGTGTACTATGCCGTTTATGCCATTGGACACTTGAATGAGCCATTCTAGAAGGTGAGGATTTCTCTTGTTAACCACATCTATGCTGGCTTTGTGATGGTATACTCCAAGAATTAATATTATGTTTAGTAGTTCTTAACATTTTATCCATTTTCTTTCAGTGATAAGATGATTTTGCTACTTCTCAGGTAATTAAATAGAATGTACTAACTGGGGTCATTTAAAATCTTTTTATAAATAATTCAAGATTGGAAGAACACTTATATACACTCATTTTATAAAAACATTTAAAAAGAATATTAGCATTGAAAGTGATTGAGAAATTAAATCAGTCTTGATACTTATGTTTGAGTTGCAATTATTTTCTTTCTTTTTATTTTTAATCTATCATTGATTTATCGTGTAACTTATACAAATTGAAAGGCATTAACTGGACTATAAATAATGAAATACGTGAAACAAGAATAATTTGCTTACTAGTTTGGAATTAGCCTGATGTAACTGCTACATGAATATCAGAATTTTAAAACTACTCCAAGAAAAGTTTTATGCCAATAAATAACCATATAGATTTATTTATTATAACAGCTTATATGCTTTGAATATGAAACAGTTCTTTCTTTTTAAAATTATTTCTTTCCTATATTGTAGTAAAGAACTTGATGAATATATTAACCCTTCCAGAATTCTATAGTGTTATATTGTAGTGAAGTGACTGATATATGACCTGTGCCTAAATAGTTGTTGCCAGTTGTATGTCATTATTTGTACCCAACAAACATGGCATCAAATTTGTCAAGATTCATCTTAGGTTACTAGTAGCTTTCTAGTTTTCAGACAATTTTTATGTGTATATTTTTTCTTTTTTAACAATGAAGTCATTGAGGATATAGCATTGAATAAGTCACTCACGGTCACAGACACTATAAATGGTATTTGGACCCCACATATTTTTCTGTAACACCCATCTCAAGAGCAAAAGGATATGAACATTTTGATATACTGTCCAAATTGTTTATGAGTTCAATCATAAAATGCAAGAATTTCCAACAAATAGTCTCCAGATAACATCAGTGGGGTGAGTATATTTGGAATGAGGTATTCAGCATCTGAGAATACTGTTAGTTATATGTTAACATATGTGAGAGGCACACCATTGTTCTCTCTGACAATTATCTCCCAGCTTCCCAGGTAACACTACTGTGAGTTTTACATACTGTACTTTAGAACATTTTCACCTAATGTCTTCTACAGAGAGTTTTGAGGTGATGTTAAATATATTCTATGTCTGAAGGCATCTTGAAGGAAGTGACATTTGAATTGAGGTCTGAATAAAGTCAAGGAGAAGATACCTGAAGAGAGAACATTCCAGGAAGAGGAAACCTCCAGTGCAAAGGCTTTGAGATAAGGGCATGCTTGGTTGATGAGAGAAATAGCCAGAGGCCAAGGTAGCTGGAATTAGTGAATCAGAGTGAGGGCGATAAGTGATGTGGATGGAGAGTTAGTCTGGGCTAGCCCAAGTAATTGCAGAACTCTGTACATTTAGAAAAAAGACTTTGGATATTTTTCTAAGTGCTATAGGAAGATCCAGAAGGGTATTAAGCAAAGAATAATTATCTTTAATGTCTTAAAGGGATTGCTATGGTTGCTCCATGAAGAAATGACCAGAGTACAAGCAGGGAACAATTTAGGGTGCTATGACCACGTTCTAGGGAATGATGATGGTGTGGAATGGGGCAATAACAGAAGAGGAAACCAGAAGTGGTAGAATTTATGTGCTGCTTTAACAAAACTTATTTTTTCTTTTTAATTTTTGTGGGTTAATGGGTACAAAGAAATAAAAAGAATGAATAATACCCACTATTTGATAAGAAACTTGATAGACTTAACATGGGATGTGATATATAGCGAGACACTAAGAACAATGTGCACACATGCCAATGCTCTTTACTAAAATGGGTAAAGGGGTAAGCCTAAGGGAGAAATGTTTGTAATGATTTTGTTTAAAGAAGCTTACTCAAGTGAAGACCTTTGCATATAGGTCTAAAGTTTATGGGAGAAGTTGAGTCTGAAGTAAAATTTTAGTCTTCAGCATAAAGATTGTATTTAAAGCCAATGAAACTGCATGGGGTCATCTAAGGAGTTAATAGAGATAAAGACAAATTACTAGGAGTAAGTCCCAGGGCCCTTCCATATTTATACATTAGGGAAGCAATGGCATTCATCACAGGAGATAGAGAATGGTCGGGTATGAGAAAAACTAGGGAAGTGTGGTGCTCCAGAAGCCAAGTGACCAACTGAGGCAATACAAGAAAAAACAAGTGAATGTCTAAAATGTTCCCAGGAAGTCAAATAAGATGAAGACATGGAAAATGAAACATTAGAAGTAATGAGGAGGTCATTGATTAACTCGACAAGAGCTGTTTTAGTAAAGTGGCTGAGATGAAATCCTGGATAGAAGCGAGTTCCAGACTCACTATTTGGAGACAAATCACACAGTGAGTGTGAAAATAGAATCAGTGAGTGTGGGAAACTGAAGTTTTTCTTTAAAAGAGAGTAGAAAAATAAGGAAATGATCTCAAGAGAATATTTTTTAAGATGGAAGAAGCAACAGCACATTTGTATGCTTACAACAAGATCCAGTAAAGAGAGAATACTTGAAGAGGGAATGCCCTTGGCAGACGAGAAGAAATGGGATCTAAGGTGTAAGTGGAGATGATATCTTAGTAAAAATAGGTTTATTTTTTCTGTTGTATAGATGATATATTTTGTGAGTTTGAAGAAGCTATCTAATGAGAATGTCTTCATCTGCATGGGAAGGGGGAGAGGATATTGAGTGGTTCAGGAGAGAATAGAAGATGGGAAATAATTGCCCAAGGAAGTCAGAGAATGAATTGACTAAGGAAATGTACTAGGATTATAGGCAGTAATAAAAATTCACTTGGATTGGAATGGCCTGCGAAAGAAATGACAAATAATACACTTGAGCCTAATTTGGGTAAACGTCAATAAACGAGGATATTCAGTATAGCAGGTGAGGAATCTGGCAGCTGTGGTGTCTTAGTGGCAATCATATTTAAGCTTGAGTAAATAGCTACATTAGTTTCCCCAATAATTTTCTGATTTGGAGGACACCAGTCATCACATCGGGATACAGACCTCAGAATCTTCCTTGTATGAACATAGATTGTCTATTACACTTGTTATCAGAATTCTAACAAAGTCAGTTGTGTCTAGAGTAGGACTCCATCTTAAGAAAGGAACATGGTATGCTTATTTTGACACTTAGGCAAAAACACGGTTTTCCAGACTGGATTCACAATAAGAAAAAATGATGAAGAGGAGAAGCCTGCTGTAAGTGGGGATCCAGATATCCATGTTCTATCCCAGCTCACAGAATACTGCATCATCTTGTCTCAGACCAGGAATTCTCATTAGGTGAGGCTTCCCAATGTATTCATTCTCCTGGTCACTTTAGGCTCAATGTCTGTATGGAATTGGCCTCCAAATGAAAGGCAAAGAGAATGGCAGATAAACGGAGCAGAAGCAGCCAGGATTGAAAATAGAGTTTTAAGGAAGTTTACTGATTTAAAAAGAGTTCAAAACTGTCTATTGAAAGTACACATTTAGGAGAAAAAGTGAAATGTTTTCAGGACCAGAATTGAATTACAGTGTTTGGTGAGTAATTTGATGCTGTGTTTTCATTTGGCTAAGATTTAAAAAGAAAAAAAAAATAAAGAAACACGGCCTTCATCTCCTGACAACTGAAAGTATGCACATCTATCTACAAAGATGATTTTGTTGTTGTTGAACTAAACTAAAGCACAAATTGAACATGTGTGTCCTTGGATAGAGGACATTAAGCAACAGCAGGTACAGTATCTTTAAGCACAATTTTACAATCAGTAAGGAAAGCCTGTACAATTCATTTTTGTAATTAATCCTCCATAAAAATAGAGAGTTTGACATTGAATTAAAACTAATCAAAGGTAGTTCTGTGAGAAGCGGAGATAAAGTTGTACAGAAACTTTTTTCCTGATGGTCAAGCTCAAAGCAATGTCAGAACATGGCACCTTTCTATTAAGTAAGTAATAAACACAATCATTATGAAACAGCTTTCAAATATCAAGTACCTTAAATGAGTTTTGTACAGATGTTGGAGCTCATTCAATTTCTGTTCAAATCCTATGGGAGCTACTGAGTACAGATATTTTACACTCTTGATTACATCAAAGCCTGATGTTTTAGATGACTAACAGGACAGAAGCCCAACATGATCCTGTCATCATATGATACCAGTCATGTCATGACACTCCCCAGCCATGCAAGTTATTGGGCATTGCCATAGCTTTACCATGTTTCTTTATTTAGTCTAAGAGGTTGAGGTCCCCTTGATGCTGCTCACACCAGTTCCTCAAAGGGGATAATAGAACTCATATAGTTTCCTATTTCTTTGTCAATAAATGTAGTGCTGAATGCTGAGCTCCCTACATAGTAGAATTTGATGATAAATTTCAACTCAGTATTTTATGACCTCTTAGATCAACATCATAAAATTGATTCACATTTTATGAATTTCTCCTAAGAGAGTTTTTCCTATTTATTCTATACCAAGGAATAAAAGGTGAAAACAAATTTCTTTTCCCCCTGAAGTGTATTATTCAGTCTTTATCCTGTGTAATATACTACATAGAATGCCCAATTCCTATTTTAGTGCCATTGAACTCAAATCTTATTAATATTATAACTACTTTTATTAAATCATCTACTATCCTTCTTTTTCCACCAACATGATTTTGTGGCAAATTAATGGTGATTATCTAAAAGAAGAAAAAATTTACTCTATCGAAAGCATTGAACAGATACAGAGTCAGGTTAAGAAATGAGAATTTGGCCTTAGAAATCTAGTAGCTTAAAATATAGTCACATTTTAAATTGTAAAGTACCATGTTTAAAAGTTATTTTGATGAGTGTAGTATAGTTTTCATTTCACAGAAACCTTAGGTTGACTCAGATTTTTTTCTTTTTAAAATTATTATACTTTAAGTTCTGGAGTACATGTGCAGAATGTGCAGGTTTGTTACATAGGCGTACATGTGCCATGGTGGTTTGATGCACCCATCAACCCGTCATTTACACCAGGTATTTCTCCTAATGCTCTCCCTCCCCTAGCCCTGCACCCCCACGACAGGCCCCATCGTGTGATACTCCCCTGCCTGTGTCCATGTGTTCTCATTGTTCAGCTCCCACTTATGAGTGAGAACATGCAGTGTTTGGTTTTCTGTTCTTGTGCTAGTTTGCTGAGAATGGTGGTTTCCAGCTTCATCCATGTCCCTGCAAAAGTCAAGAACTCATCCTTTTTTATGGCTGCATTGCATTTCAAAAGAAAAAAAATATATAAATTTGGTGTATACCAAATTGTAAAGACTCAGATATTTTACAGAATACACAGACAGACACATAATTGATACTTTCTGGAGGTCTTGGAATCCGTTGTTAGATAATTTTCATTAATTCTCTTTTAGAATTAGTATTTGAATTAAAAGTAAATTCAAATATTTTAGGCACTGTTTAATCCATTGCATATACTGCATACTTATTTTTAAAATTGTGGGGGTTTTTTATACATCGTGGAATTAATTCATATTTAATGCTCAATGGTACACCATTTGACTAATTATAGGTATATTTGTTTTCATTTATTAGTTTTGAAGAAAAACTTCTTTTTATTCATTAATCACTACAGTATATATTCTCTCTAATATGTAAAATGAAGATGGTTTCTTTGTAAAGGTTTTAAAAATTCATTATTTGATAATGTGACTGTAAGTTAAAGTTACAATCCTGCCAATGGTTAACTATAGAATCTTATAAGAGCAACATAAGTTTTCTTGGCCTTGGTTTCTTTAATCCAGACATGGTTGAAATGATTTCTAAGATCCTTTTGAGTTTAATATCCTAAAATTCTATAAAATTATCAAATCATGTCCAAAATTTTTTATAAAAATAGATAACAAGGTTATTACAGTTTTATACAGGTTGTGTTGTTAATAGCTGTAATAATAAAGTATAAACATTTATCAGCTGAGATTTGTTTAATAACTGATGTGTTGACCACTAAAAAGTTAGTATTATATATTCTCTTAAGATGATTTAGATTATTTAATTTTTAAAATAAACCCTCTCATCACTTTTAAATCTACAGGTGGGATACCTTGCTATAAAGGGAGATCTGCAATAAGTGTGCTTCCAGGAGATATGTTTACCTTTACAATTAAATACATAATCCAAATATCAGATGAAACATTCTTCCACTAGAAAATGACTTGTTTTGGAAAGAAAAGTGTATATAGAAACTATGACTACCTGATATAAATACTCAATATAAACAGATTGTTAATGACAAAACTAGCTATTGACACTTTCAGAGGCTTTTCATATGCACTTACTCATTTGATCTTCGCAGTTTAAGAGTGAGGAAAATGGTGCAGATATTACCATTCTATTTTACAGATGAGAAAATGAGAGTGAGAGTTGAAGTGCATTTTTTTTAAGGCTCTACAAGTAATGCAGATGTATTAGTTCTCCCTCTCTTGCTCCAATCCTCTAGTGTGTACATGGGCTCTATGTGTGTGAGGGGGAATGTTAAAAGCAGGAGATTCAGTCTTGGCATCACTGAAGCTATGTCAGTCATGTGTAGGTCTACAGTAGTCTGCAGTTGCTGGTCAGTGATGGTAGCTTCATTCACTATCCTCAAAGATGGAGTTGAAGGGCTTAGAGGTCTTTCAGTATCATCTTGCTTAAAAACTTGCAAGAGGGGCCAGGTGTGGTGGCTGACACCTGTAATCCCAGCACTTTGGGAATCCAAGGCGGGTGGATCACCTGCGATCAGGAGTTTGAGACCAGCCTGGCCAACATGGTGAAACCCCATCTCTACTAAAAATACAAAAATTAGCTTGGCATGGTGGCAGGCTCCTGTAATCCCAGCTGCTCATGAGGCTGAGGCAGGAGAATCAATTGAACCCGGGAGGCAGAGGTTGCATTGAGCCAGGCCACAGGGTGAGACTTCATGTAAAAAAAAAAAAAAAAAGAAAGAAAGAAAGAAAGAAAAAAAAGAGGATCAGTGATCAAATACTATCTTTTTTGAGGACAGCTTTCCTGAGAATAAAACAGACAGTTCTTTTCTCGAAGGACCAGATTTATGTTATACAAAAACATAAACTAAGTATGTGGACTGTATTAATAATTTTCCCTGTTTTCTACAAGTGGAAAATTTCTTGTAATTAAAAGGCAAACATCCCTCTTACCTCTCCATCTTTTCCCTGGAAGAAAGGTGCCCTTTTGAGTCTTGTTAACTCAAGCATTTCAGCCTCAATCTGGAGGCTGAGTGGAGCTTTTTTGATCACTCGTTCCTGGTACTTAGGAAAGCAGGGTGGATTCTTTTTTTAGAGCTGGTGGGCATTCTCATGCTAGCTCAGTATCCCGCACTCCCTCAGCAAGTGCTGCTGCTGCCCTCCTCACAAGTTTCCTAAAATCATGATGTCTTGCCAAGGTGATTATTAATTTTCTTTCAAAGTCTGCATAGGGTAGTATTGCATGGGGAAAACATTTATATATTAATGTTACTTGGACTGTTCTATCTTGGAATGAATCATCTTGACCTCTTTGTTCCAAGGAGCATTTGACAAATTACAGAGCCTGTTGATATTACAAGGACAAGTTGTATGTTTACATTACAACGACCAACTATGAATGAGTCTGAACAACCTAGTAAGGGAGGAGCCATTCTAATAATACCAGTTCTTTTGATTCCAAACTTTCTGCTGATTAGGAATGTAGTTGTATTCAGTTCATCCTGATGATTTATGTACATATATATATATATGTGTACATTTATACACACACACATATAAATATAGGTTTCACTCTTCAATGTTAACTCTGAATTTGGTGAGGTTCTGCTGCTTTCATGTTAATAGCTACTGTGGAAGACTTTACCGGTGCTTTCCAAACTTCCAGTTTTCCTTTCTTTCTTGCTACATACCTCCTTGAAACTATGTGTGGCAAAGTGACTGGCTTTGGGCAATAAAATGTGAATGAAGCCCTTCTGGATGGAAACACATAAAAACTAGTGCAGTTTCCTCATTCACTTATCTCTTGCCATGATAAACCATAAAACCTTGTACTGCAATGGTGGCATTATTATAATATAATATGCCCATTGCTGAACCTGTGTTGAACATAAAGAATACATGAGAAATGAGCCTTTGTAATTTTAAGGTTGAGATTTTGAGGGTTCTATAAAGACAACATAACTTAGCCTATTCAGACCATTACAGCAAATACATTTATCTCCGAATTTATTGAACTTTCTTGTCTGTATAACCCCAATCCCTTCAAATGCTAGTTCATTCAATTGAAAGAATTTTTATCTTTTACTAATATGGCTTACTGCAAGCCATATATATATCCTGCCACATATGCTAACTTTTCTATTTTACTTTCCTCTGAATGTTTTAAATGTGTCATACATTTTGAATGTAGTGACACAATTTTAATATTGCTACAAAGGTTTTGTTATAAATGATTTTAAAATATTTGAGTGTACAATAGAAGGGTAATATATAGGCAAAACTCATAATATGTGTTAAGTATATATACAGTAGAAACAAAAAGCTTGTAAGATATAGAGAGAATCCATAAGATGCTAAGTAAAGATACTGAGGTAGTCAGCAGAGTATAAGTTGAACATAGCTATAAAAAGATAGAGACATCAAGACACCTAATAGTCATGAAACACTGAATATATATGAAACACATACTACACATACTACTCATGAAGTACTAAATATATATAAGCCATTAGGTGTTTCTAAAGTTTTCATGTAGTTACTCACTGGTAGCATTAATTCTGGCCCCATATGTCTCCTACTGAAGAAATACAAATAAAATTTATAGCTTCCCACAGGGCTAATTGGTGAGTACAGCAATTGATCTATTTGCCTTGCATCTCTCTGGTAAAGCAATTGTATGTGCTTGTCCCAGGTCTCTTGTACTGTTGGGGTTATTTACTGAAACATCAATTCTGGTGCTTGCAGCCATACCGTTAGTAAGATAGTATGGTTCAGAAGAGAAAGAGGGAGATCAAGGTGGAGATGGAGATGGAGAGAAAGATGGAGGGAGAGAGGAGAGATATGAACATGAGCATTGCACAGTCTGGAAGTTAGGTAGTATGGTTTTCCACTCCACTCGCACAATATCTCAAGTGTGCCAACTATGTCATCTTATCCCACTTGTAGCTCACTGTACATTTTAATTAATTATATACACCAATTAATTGAATATCTTAGTTTGCTCTGTGAGCCTTTTTGCTCTGTGGCATTTGGCACTTTGCCTGCCAGTGTATTCGGAGGATATTATTGCATCAAAGTATTTATCTTATGACAGGTTTCTTAATAATGGGAAATGTTTTAAAGCAAGACTAATGGACATAGCAAAACTAGTTGAGCTGTTATATTTGATGATTATTAATCCTGCTACCCAGACTGTGGAATGTACAAACAAGAAAATGCTGCTTTCTGCAAGTTTTAGAAATTTATCTCTATGATCAATACTTTTTTTTGTGGTAAGACTGTACCTGGAACAGAAGTATCTACTTTTTTTGCATTTTTCCCCGGCATAGTTTGGTATAGCTCAAAAAATTATCATTCTTATCTCTTTAGTCTAATTTAATGAGAACAATTTTACATCTCAGCATAGTCAAAAAAGTGGGTAAGTGTACACAGAAAAAGGTTAATGTAAAAAAGAGATCTGTTAGTCATAAAAAATACTAATTAGAATCCATTGAGGAGTGCAGTTGTACCTGTTTTCTTGATAACTCTGAAAATCCAGCTAGTCTGAATAAAATCCTAGTGGAGGGAGCTCAGTGATACTGATTCTTTTTAAATTAGTCCTATAAGATCTCAGAAAACTGTCACCCTGTAGTGTTATGTTGATAGTGCACTCATGTGATAAATAAACTTAAGTGACTATTGCTGCCTCAACAGAGAATTCAACTACTGCTCTTTAATTCATCAGAGTGGGCAAACATCTACTAAAAGAACACATGCTAAAGATAGGCTTATGGACATCTGACTATGGTGAACAATGTGACTATTGTCCTTGAAGGTAAAATTCATATTTCTATATGCCAAATATTTCCACATATTTCATGGTATTTTTTTCCTAAGCTGATAAAAGTCCTTCTGTTCTGCCTTTTGAGCTTTTTTGCAAATTATTTGTAAAATTCATCATTATCTTATTTTTCTTAAAACTTATCAAAAGAAGAATGTTCTGCATACCACAAAGCACCCTCCAGTCCATGCTCCTTTAAACAAGTTGATATCCAAAATATTTGAAAATTCTTTCGTAAATTTTCTTTAAGGGTCTGTCATGTGTAACATGTTAAATGATGTTAAAATTACAAATGTGAAGAAGTTGTAATCTTTGTCTTCAAGTAGCTGATGTGTAATAGAGTAAGGAATGTTCATATGTGGTACAAAAAATGTAAAAGTTAAAAAAAGGCAGCAATACTGTGCTATAGGAATCTAGAGGAGGGATCAAAGAGAGGAAGAGATGGCAATTAGAAAAAAAGGAATTTTAACACCACATAGTCAAAGAAATTAGCAAAAAGAATAAAGTTAGAGCCATCACACTATCTTGTTTTAAGCGACACTGCACAGCTATAGTAATTAAAACAGCATATGAATAGCATAAAAATAAACACATTGACCAATGAAACCAAACAGCCAAGCCCCAAATAACCCACATATTTATGGTCTATTGATTTTTGATAAAGGTGCTAAGAACACAAAATGGGAAAAGGAAGTTCTCTTTAATGAAAAGTGTTAGGAAAACTGGATATCCACATGCAGAAGAATGAAACTGGTATGATGGCCCGTGCCTGTAATTCCAGCTACTCGGGAGGCTGAGGCAGGAGAATTGCTTGAACCCAGGAGGTGGAGGTTGCAGTGAGCCAAGATTGTGCCATTGCACTCCAGCCTGGGTGACAGGGCGAGACTCCATCTCAAATAAATAAATAAATAAATAAATAAATAAATAAATAAATAAATGAAACTGGGTCCTTAACTCACACTACATATAAGAGTCAACCCAAAATGGATTAAAGGCTTAAATGTAAAGATGTGAAACTGTAAAACCACTAGAGGAAAACAGGAGAAAAAGCTTCATGACATTTGTCTTGGCAGTGAGTTTTTGGATTTGACCTTTATAGCTCAGGCAACAAAAACAAAAATAGACAAATGGGATTACTTCAAACTAAAAACTTCTGCACAGAAAAGGAAACAATTAACAGAGTAATATGGACAACCTGTGGATTGGGAAAAAATATTTGCAAACCATACATCTGATGATAAGGGGTTTGTATCCAAAATATGTAAGGAATTCAAACAACTCAATAGTAAGAAAACAAATAACCCAATTAAAAAATAGCAAAGGACCCAAAAAGATATTTCTTAAAAGGAGACATACAAATGGCCAAGAGATACATGAAAAATGGTCAATGTCACTAATCATTGGAAAAGTGAAAATTAAAATCACAATGAGATATCACCTCACACCTGTCAGGATGGCTATCATAAAAAATGGAGGATAATGGTTGGTGATGATGTGGAGGAAAAGGAATCCTTGTGCACTGTTGATAGGAATGTCAATTAATACAGCCATTATGGAAAACTTCATGGAGGTTTCTCAAAAACTAGAACTACCACATGATCGAGCAATTCTGCTTCGATATCTTAAGGATATAAAATTAGTATGTCAAGAAAATATTTGCACTACATGTTTATTGTAGCACTATTCACAATAGCCAAGGTACGGAATCAACCTAAGTGTACATCAACAGATGAATGAATGAAGAAAATGTGGTGTGTACACAAAGTAAAATACTATTCAGCCTTTAAGAAGAGGGCTAATCTGTCATTCGCAATGACATGGATGAACCTGGAGGATATTGTACCAAGTGAAATAAACCAGGCACAGAAAGACAAATATCTCACGTTCTCGCTTATAAGTAAAATCTAAAACATTCAGACTCACAGAAGCAGAGAATAGAATGATTGTTATCAGACGCTGGGGGACGGTGGTTAGAATATAAATGTATTGGTCATAGGGTACAATGTTTCAGGTATACAAAAGAAATAAAAGATAAATATTTGAAAAAAAAATAGGTTTCTTCCAGGCAACAGTTTACCATAGAAAGAGAAACTAAAATTTAGGGCTTGGAATGGGTTGTGTGAACCTGATAGAGCCTGACTCTTCCTTGTTTCATCAAGCACAGGGCAATCAATGGTCCTTCAGAAGGTTTGAGTTACCGTTAGTGGAAAGGAAACATCTTTATACAATTCTAGGAGGGTCTACTTCCTCTTCTCTTTCCATGAGCCAACCACTTAACAATATTTTTATTTTCTTGGAATCTTTTTCTTGAAAATCTACATCTTTTTCTGTAAAATGCATTCCTAAAAAATCTGAAAATACCTGTCCTAATCAAGTAACTTAAAAATAAACAGTATTTTTAAAGCTAAAACAATAAAATAAGTTTTTTTCTTAATTTTTGGATTTTTAATTTTTATTTTACTTTAAGTTCTGGGATACATGTGCTGAATGTGCACGTTTGTTACATAGGTATACATGTGTCATGGTGGTTTGCTGCACCTATCGACCTGTCATCTAGGTTTTAAGCCCCACATGCATTAGATATTTGTCCTAATGCTCTCCCTCCCTTTCCGCCCTACCACCCGACAGGCCCTGGTGTGTGATGTTCCCCTCCCTGTGTCCATGTGTTCTCACTGTTCACCTCCCACTTATGAGTGAGAACATGTGTTGTTCAGTTTTCTGTTCATGTGTTAGTTTGCTGAGGATGATGGTTTCCAGCTTCATCCATGACCCTGCAAAAGACATGAACTCATTCATTTTTATGGCTGCATAGTATTCTATGGTGAATAAGTTTTGTATGAGACAACTACTAACAAAAAAAAGGAAAAGAAAAAAGGAATTTGGAAGGGCTTAATCAATTTAGAACTGGAAGACAAGTGTGAAGATAAAAATTTTGCCAAGGAAAGCCAACTGCCTGCTATGGAAACTTAGTGCCTTGAAGAGAAGTTACTAAGTATTAAGGTCAATTCAGACGTTAATTTGCCTTATTTTTAACTGCAGGGAAACAGAATTAAACTTAATTCTGTCACTATAGTAGAAGCACACTGAGAATTTATAATTCTATGGTAAAATATTGAAAAACATAGTACTAATATGTTTTGAGAAGAAGGTATATATTGACACTGGAATGATCCTCCAGGGAGAAAAACCACTTATGTATTCTTAAAATATTTTATTTAAGTACCATTCCCTTGCAGCGCATAAATTGCTATTAAATAAAATAGGACTTATAAACATCATTGCCAACATTTACCAATCTTATAAATTCCAACACTTTAGGTCCAATAAGCTTCAATTTAATAAAAATAAATTAATTAATGATTTAGAAAAATTAGGAAAATAACAATATGCATTATTTTGGAGTAAGAAGGACAGAAACAATATAGCCTTGATGAAATTTTAGCTATTCTTTTTCTCTACTTTGCTTGGCATATTTAGCTACCAGAATAATCTTGATTTTTCACGAATAGAATAATTAAGTTCTTCTATGAATGTAAGATATAAATTGAGTTACATACACACATGTGTATATTTATTCCAATTTCTAAATAATGCCAGGTCCCAACGTATCTGTTTACACAGCCTGCTCCTGCTTCTTCTATCTGATTATTGATGGGCAAAGTGCTGTCCAGGGTGCTAACTCAAGCTTACTGACCCAAGTCCACAGCATAACCACTAATCCAATAAAACACTCTTTCCTGCCGAGTACTTATGTGATCTCAAGAATCTCAACTGCTTACCCAAGCAACCACTATCAATTTCTTACAGATGGTTCTCAAATTAAAACCTATTAGTGAACGCAAGTCTAATGATGTGTCTCAACCTTACATGGGCTTCAGAACCTGTAAAAGAGAATTCCTATGAATAAAGGACACAATAGACTAATCTATATATTGGAATAATAGCTTATTCATTTCCACATAATGCTACCTAATGAATTATCACCAAACATTTACATAATCTACTTTTAGTAAGAAAATAGTAATAACTAGCAACTAAGTCTGTGCCAGGCACTGTTGAAAGTACCTCATATGTATTAAGTAATGCGATCATCACATCAACCCTATACAATCAATACTCTTATTGACCTAATTTTCTAGGTGAGGAAATTGAAATAAAGAACTAGAAAATGGTGGAACCAAAATTCGAACTCAGGCGAACTGGCTCTAGTAAGTATGCTTTCAATTACTACAATATACTCCTGTTACATGGGAAATCAAATTATATGCAGAGGTTGCCTTGTAAGGGTAAAGAAAAATTACTGATATGATTTTATGCTTAATGGCAATTAATTATGACGGTTCATTGAGCTCATTTTTACTAGTCAGGGCAAGAAAATGGGCAAAGGGACTCCCTGATTTCTAATGCAATTTTCTTGTATTCCATAATAATAATTCAATTAGCAATTGTTTAATAAAGGTAGCATTGCATAGTAATTAAGCAGTCTTAGAGGTAAGCTACCTGAGTTCTAAATACCACTTGGGACATCATTAGTTGCATAACCTTTGCAAGTTGCTTTTCTTTGTTTCACTTCAGTTTTTGTACCTATAAAATGAGGAAAATAACAATGTCTGTTGCACATAGTTGTGAGGATTAAATGAGTTAATGCATGTAAATCACTCAGACAATGCCTTGCATTTAACAAACCCCAATAAATATTAGTTATCATTATTGCATGTTTTCATGGAATTAATTGGATTGCAATTCGATTTCTCATAAACTTTATCTTTCACAAAATATTTTGTGGCTAAACAACGTTTAAATATTTATTTTTTCTTATGTATTGATTTTATGGTTGAAATATAAAGGTTTGACTGCTTTTCCATTTCCTATATGTATCTTCTAAATTTGGTCTATATAATTGAGTAAATTAGAAACAACAAACATTACAAATGAAGACATCAAGGTAAACAGTGTTTTTCCCTGTGCAGATAATTTACAATGTATAATATTGGCGACAAAAAAATAACTACTATCAGCACTCATATATGTAAGAAGTCAGTTAAAGTTAACAGAATAATTGGCATTTCTTAACACATATGGTCAATTAATCATTATTGGGTAACTTAATAAAGAAACAAGAATAAAGTACACAGTTGTCACAATGGGATGGTCAGATGCCACACTATGTGCACATCAATCTGGTATTGAATCAAGGATATAAACTAAATGGGCACTTTTGGAAATGTTGCAATGCAATAACTCCTAAAAGACATTGCTTCATTTTAATATTAAAGTAGTATGATTCCTTTATAAAGCACTAATACTATTGATAAATTATTGTATATTTGATACTCAGTTATGCTGTCAAGTTCTGGAAGCAAAGTAAAACAAAAGATGAACAAACAAAATGCAAGAAAAAGTTTTCATCTTTAAAGATCTCATAGCATAGTGGGAAAGATAAGCAAACACATCATGGCAGTATAGTATGAGAAAATATGTACAAAGTGGCATGGAAATTAAAATGAGAATGGCCATGTAAGAGAGTTTTTAGAGTATGTAATTTTTTTATCTTCTGGATTAGCATCTTATTGGAAAATACATTTTACATTTTAAGGTGTAGATGTGAAATCAGGTCTGATTTCAAGTCTTAATTTTACACTTTATGATTTGTAAACCTGTACAAACCTCTTAAACTTCACCTCAGTAATTATAATGAGTATTAAATGAGACAATGCACATAAAATACTTAAATAAAAATTTAGTCTATTGACATTCAATGTAATATTTCTATTAAAAATATGGGAAGAATTTGCCATGAAAGGGTTATTGGGTATGGAAGAGTACCTTTCAGAAATAGGAAAAACATTACCTAAAGTGAAGATGCAGAGAGAATGTGGCACTTAAATAAAATGTAAGTGCATGTGGGTGAATAATAGAAGAATAAACTGGAAAATTAGCATCTAGATTTTATATTTGAATGTAAAGATTATTTTGACATATACAATGGAATGTTTGATTATTTGCAGAAACATGTAATGATAAAGTCAGTATGAAGCATGTCATGTTTTAAACGAGCAGGCATTTAATTAATCACAGTAGCATAGTTCTTAAAAATAGTAGTATATGCATATACAAGACTTTGATTATTTCGTGGAAAATGCTTGGGTGATAAGGATTTTTAGCAACAACTCTCTGGTTGGAAACTACTTCCAATGACAATGGGGAATACTGATGAGTGTGCTGAGGATAGAATGGCACTATCAGGTTTGCATTTGAGAAAGGATACTCTGTCAATGGCTGAAGGATGTTTTGCACAGAAAGTGTGGTGAGGGTAAGACTATAGGCATGAAATCAATAGAGGCCATTTCAGCGATAGGGAAAAGGAGTGTGTACCACTCTTGTGTCTTAACAGGAAAGAGATAGCACAATATACTGGGATTTCTTTTTTAAATTTATTTTTATTTTTTTCTTATACTTTCTAGGGTACATGTGCACAACGTGCAGGTTTGTTACATATGTATACACTTGCCATGTTGGTGTGCTGCACCCATTAACTCGTCATTTACATTAGGTATATCTCCTAATTCTATTCCTCCCCCTTCCCCCCATGCCATGTCAGGCCCTGGTGTGTGATGTTCCCCATCCTGTGTCCAAGTGTTCTCATTGTTCAATTCCCACCTGTGAGTGAGAACATGCCGTGTTTGGTTTTCTGTCCTTGCGATAGTTTGCTCAGAATGATGGTTTCCAGCTTCATCCATGTCCCTACAAAGGACATTAACTCATCGTTTTTTATGGCTGCATAGTATTCCATGGTGTATGTGTGCCACATTTTCTTAATCCAGCCTATCATTGGTGGACATTTGGGTTGGTTCCAAGTCTTTGCTATTGTGAATAGTGCCGCAATAAACATACGTGTGCATGTGTCTTTATAGCAGCATGATTTATAATCCTTTGGGTATATACCCAGTAATGGGATGGCTGGGTCAAATGGTATTTCTAGTTCTAGATCCTTGAGGAATTTCCACACTGACTTCCACAATGGTTGAACTAGTTTACATTCCCACCAACAGTGTAAAAGTGTTCCTATTTCTCCACATCCTCTCCAACACCTGTTGTTTCCTGACTTTTTAATGATGTACATTTTAGTAAAGAAAATACTTCTATGTGAGTAGGGTTAAAAAAAAAACAGGTTAGAACTATCAAGACTGGGAAGCCATGGTTACCCTTAAGCCTACTAACCTTAAGGTATCAAGAAAGCCTGGCTGATGGCTGGAAACATGGGAGAATCTATCATGATGAAGCAAAGTAGCATATTTTAGAACCACACTGAAGCATGGAGGAAATGGGGGAAATACAAACCCACCTCTCCTTCTTTCCACCCTCTAAATCCTTCTGGTGTCTCCAAACAGAACCCAACCAGAAGCCGAAGGGCAAGGAAAATGCCAAAGAGGATGGTTCTTTAGGGCATAGAGAAAGAGAAGGAAGGGTGTAAGGGTAAATTTAAGGTGGCTAAAGATAACAGGCCAGCACAAGGTGAAAGGTTCTAAATGAGTACAATTGCAAAGAATATGGAAAAGGGGAACAACTCAAGAGATTTTTATGCAAAGGTCTTGGTGACAATGTCACCACCAAAATGATGCCACTCATTTTTTTTTTTAAAAGTAATGTTTAATCAAAATAAAATAATTAGAAATAGTTGTATGTAGAATAGTAGTATATAGTAGTAGTATATAAAATATTGATTATTCCAATGGGGTGCAAGTGAGAGGAAATATCTTCCAGTAATATTTAGATTCCTTGTTTGGAAACCTGAATGGCTGCTGGAACTATTTACCAAGAAAATTATTACAAAACAGAGAGCACGGAGGAAGAAGAGCTGGAGCTGGAATTAAGAAAAAGAAGTCAATACATTGCATGAGGTTCACTTTTAATGGCTAAAATTGCTATTTTATTTGACTCTAGTTGGGTTAATCTGGTTCCCAGAGGCTTAAAAATTAATACTGCCCTAAAGTTATAGTATTAACAACTGATTCAGAGAAAGGGACAGCATACAGGTCCACAGTGGAGCGTAACAATTTCACAAGTTGTCATCACTCACTGTGGAAAAAATATCTTTGCAGTGAAAATCACCCTCTTACCTGGATGAGGACAACTGTACAGAAACTCTCTTACCTATATATATGGCTTCAGGGTCTCAGGTTCCCTGGCGACAACTCTCTAGAGGACTTGTTAATGTGCCATTGGGAAACTAAACTATGAATTTACGACATCACCTATTCTGTTCGGCTCAGCAATGTGTTGAAAAGTGGTGTATTGGTCAGTTCAAACAATATTTCCCTCTTCATTTATTTGAAGTTGTTTTATATACATCTGTCCTTGAAAGCACTGGTTTCCTTTTACAAATAATATTATGAATTACTCTCTGCTGAAACATGTTTGTGGATAAACATATTTTCCCTGTATCTCTGGTTATTTCTCTATAGCAGAACCTAAAGAAATTTAATCACTACCTCAAAGGCTATAGGAAGTCTTAAAGCATTTGGCATTTGCTGCCAATGTTTTCTAGAAAGCTTGAACGAACATATGTTTATATCTACAATATATACAACTCTTCCTTTGCCCGAAGAAAGTATTACAAGTTATGAAAATCTTTACTTGATACTTGAAAAATTGTGTCTCAGATTTTTTAAACTTGAATTTTAAACTTCAATGTTAGTTCTTTTCTGCAAGTAGTTCTTTTTTGTGTGATTTCTTTATATCTTTTTAAGAAATCTACTGAGGTCTTAGTATTTTATTGATTTCTATATATATTGAATATACCAAATATATCTGTTGCAAAAATTTATTCTAGTTTATTAAACTTTAAATTTGTATGTAGTATTTTTGGTGTTCTGAAATTTTATATAATATTTAATAAAATGTTACTATTTTATCTATAATTTATTTCATTGCTTGTAATTTAGATATTCCTTTCTTTCTGTCATAAATGTCTATTTTTATGTTCTTCCTAATTATTTTTAGTTATTTTTAGTTTTATAATGTTTAACACAAATCTTTCTAGACTCATTTTGCTTTACTTTATAACCCAAATAAAGCAAGGGTTTAACCTTTCTGAGCATGTTTTCTCTCCTATAATATAAAATGGAAATAAGATTACCTACCTTAGAACATTGCATGAGGCTTAAATTAATACATGTAAAGTGCTTAGAACAGTGCCTGACATATAGTAGATATTCAATAAATGTTAATTCTTATTCTAATGTCTAGAAATATCTAAAAAATAAAAAAATTTTCACAACTCATTTGGCAGAGAACTGACATGAAATGATATGAGGCTCATTTTATCACACTCAGCATGAATCTTTATATATTTCACTGCAGACATATCACTATGTTTGATTTTATGGCGCTGCCCCAAACAACAGTGGGATACTACACAAAATGCAGTATATAACTTATATTCCCTTTTTAAAAAAAACAAAGGATAAAAACCTTTGGAATGCAATTTGCCCCGAATCCAGGATTTCAAGTTATATTAGTTATTGATCAGCTGCTAATTGATAGGTATTATCTTAGGTGTCTTAGTCTATTCAGGCTACTCTGACAAAATACTATAAAGTGAGTGGCTTATAAACAATGTTAACATATTTCTCACAGTTTTGAAGCTTGGGAAGTGTAAAATCAAGATGCTGGCAAATTTAGAGTCTGGTGAAGGCCTACTTCTTGATTCATAGATTGAAACTTCTTGCTGTGTTCTCGTGTGGTGGAAGAGGCAAGGAAGCTCTCTTAGGCTTCTTTTAAAAGGACACTAATCACATTCATGAAGGCTCTGCTCTCATGATTTAATCACTGTCAAAGGCCCTTAGCTCCTAATACCATAAATTTTATGATTAGGTTTCAGCTTGCAAATTTTGCAGGGACATAAATATTTACACCATAGCACTAGATGTTGTCTATATTCCATTATTTTACTGAATCATCACAGTGATCCAATCATACATTCATTTATTCAACCAATATTTTCCAGGAACCATTTAGAGTGTCTTGGTTATATTATTAACAAAACAGATTAATTTCTCCTTCCTTCTTTGAGATAGCATCTTATTTCCTTAAGTCTACATTACTACTCCTTGTTACAACTAATAAAATAACTTTTGCAGAGGTGAAAATTAGTACTACCTTAAAAGCACACTGTGGATGAACAAATATCTTGATTTTCAAAAAATTAAACTGAGGAAAAATTAACTGTATTTTAGAGGAGCAAGTGGGGTTCAGAGACATTAAAATATATTAATTAAGTTATAGTAAATGGTAAGCTGGGGTTCAAAACTTTTCAAAGGCCACACTTCCACTGTTCCATAT
Organism: Homo sapiens; assembly: GCF_000001405.40. Lineage (NCBI taxonomy): Eukaryota > Metazoa > Chordata > Mammalia > Primates > Hominidae > Homo > Homo sapiens. The sequence goes on along the minus strand of NC_000004.12, from coordinate 164,389,950 downwards.
TTATGTCTAAAGGAATAAAAAATAAAAAAGACCCCCAACAGAATAGATCTTTTTTTTCCACTCCTGTTCTTTCTCTTCCCTTCTTGTTATAGCCACCACTATCAGCTATACATAATTGAGTGTCCTGTACCACTGAACGGGATGTAGCTCAGGAGGCTCCCTTTAGATCTGTAGAACTATTACACTCCCTTTGTATCATACTTCCACTCTACTTTCTTTTCTCATAGAACTCTCTGAAGTGAGCGATATATAAGGCAGATGTTATTAATTTCCTTTTCCAAATGAAGAAGATAAGGTGGCTAGGTGAAATGAATTACGTAAGTCATAAAAGACATCATTAAGAGAACTAGATTCAGAAGCAAGGTTATAGTACTCTGAGCTCTTCCATTCGACTCTCAGGGTACTTCAGAAATTAAAGTTGACTTGGAAAATCAGGAATGTCTATTAGAAGACTCTAATATTATATATATGTTTTTTCCTCAGAAAATATATTTGTCAGGGTTTTTCCCCATGATAGCTAAGAAGATATAGCTGTGGGAAAAACATCTGCTATAAAGATTAAGGACTATGACTAAAAGATCAGCAAATTATCTTTCTTTGGGCGTATTTGGATCTGTGTTATCTTTAATCCCATGCCTATAAATGGGATCAACCAAGGTAATTGAAGCAATTTGAGGAAATATATATGGCCACAGGATCAGGGTGGAAATAATGAAAGCAGATCACTAATACTACTGTTACAGCTGAATAATATGAGCACTTTCTCAAGAAAAATCTCAGTCTAAGAGGATAAATCAGCATCTTTACTTCTCAAATACCTTTATTTTAGGAGAAAATTGTATATATACATGTTCCTTCATAGCATTAGGCTGTGAAGGAATGTGTATATATACAATGAGATTCCTTTGCTTTCCACAAGCAGTATGTCCATTCTGCAATAAGTTCTTCCTTCTAAAAAAAATTTCCTCAATCTTTCCTGTACCTTTAAACAAAAGCAATTCATATAAGACCTCTTCTATGTCATGTTAGTGCCAATGACCAGCATAAGTGACAAAGCAGCTGGAGAATTAACTAAAGCCACGGGATGGGTCCCCGTCCTGTCAAATAAAGATATTTAATGATAGAAGAATGTACTGGAACCAAAGTCAAAATAACACTAATATTTAGATCCCAAGTATGCAATAAATAAATTTGTACCTGCTAACATATCTTATGAGTACCAAGATAGCCCTTGTTTGTTTAAATGGTTTATATCATAAATGAGCAATTAATTCAAAAAGCCAAGTTAGCAGCATACTTTGAAAAAAATGATAATTTGTTATGTGTACCTTTTAACCATTTCACACATTCTCTCAAATAACCCTTATTAACAGAGTTGCCAAACATCAGCAATTATGAAACAAGATAAAATAAAAAAAAGACTTTGAAAAAGTCTACACTAAACCTTTCTGTTTAAAGAAGCTTTGGTTATATATCTGTGCCCAGGGAATATTACTTTCTATGATAAAAAACATACTGGGTCTTTCAGGTCCAATATGTAAAGTGATCTATTTTCCTTGTTAATATTCACAGTAGGAAGAAAAGCCTTCATTTGGATGGGTGATGTAGTTTTCTCTCCCAGGGCTACTGATGGATTAACTGTACAGAGAAAATAGTTGCTGAGGTAGTCTTTATCTTTATTCAAATGAATGGTTTATGGCTCTTTTTCTTTTTTATTTCATTTTGCAATGATCTGTCTTCAAGTTCAAAAATCACTGTACCTTGCTTTATGTCTGAAACTGTTTAAGAATAGATCCAAAACCAAAATTTATTTGGTAGCCTGAGATTCTTTTTCTTCATAAATAACTTTGAAAGCATTTCATTTGCAGGGATAATGGAAATAAAATTAGTGATGAATTTGTTAACTGATGGAAAAGTTCACAAAATCATATTATTTACTTCATCAAATAGAATATATATATGTGTGTATATATATGTATATATAATGTATGCATGTATATAACATTTTATTTTTTCATATTTCATTTTTTTCAGTGGAAAAAATACCTAAAATTTGCAAGTATGCTGTTATGAGGACACACTTTATATGTTTAGGCTGATATACTCAAATTTTAATTTGATTTGTTACTAGTTTAGTTGCCTGGACGATTTTTGTAACCTCTGTATGTCTCTGTTTCCTCATCTTCAAGAGAGGTTAATACACTTGTATCATGGGGTGATTTGAAGAGCAGATGGAGTAACATATAATAACTTAGCACAGTATTTGGCACATGATAAGGACTTACTGATATTATTTCTGTGTATTATGTATCAACAATTAACAAATTTGTATGTAGGAAAACTTGTTTTTAAAAGTCAAGGTTGGGCACAGTGGCTCAGGCCTGTAATCCCAGCACTCTGGGAGGCCAAGGTGGGCGGATCACCTGAGGTCAGGAGTTTGAAACCAGACTGGCCGACATGGTGAAACCCTGTCTCTACTAAAAATACAAAAAAAAAAAAAAAAAAAAAATTAGCTGGGTGTGGTGGCGCATGCCTGTGATCCCAGCTACTCGGGAGGCTGAGGCAGGAGAATTGCTTGAACCCAGGAGGCAGAGGTTGCGGTGAGCTGAGATCACACCACTGCACTCCATCCTGGGTGACAGAGCAAGACTCTGTCTCAATAAATAAATAAATAACAAATAAGAATAAAAATAAAAGTCAGTAGCTATAAATGAGTCTATCAATTTAAATGAAACCAGAGTATAAAAAGTTTATATTCTGTGGAATTCACAAATAAAAAATGTTAAAATATGTCTATTTTTCCCACCAAAGCACTTGCTGCTTTTGTGAAGAGACTCATGTATCAGTATGAAAATGGTACAGTAGAGCATCAATAATTGAGGCAGAAATAATATATCTACTCTAAATCTTCAATTCCAAGGTTTAATATATTCACCATTTAAATGTGATTCAAATGTAAGTTAGGTTTGCAAAATATGATTTCAGACTTTTTTTTGGCTAAGACTTACGATACTTTTACATTTTCTCATGTAACAATTAGATGTTTTAGTTATTTATAGCATCCATTTGGATAAAAATATTTCAAAATATTCAAACACCACGTTTTAAGAATTACAAATAAAAAAGCATGCAGTAGTAGTGGAAAATGTCAGTGGCACAGGCAAAGGTGTTAGTAGGTTGGGACACATTAGGAAAGAAGTTATTGTAGAGATACAGTAAATTCACTTTGCTAAGTTCAGGGTCCTGAGTGATTGCCACAGCACAGTATTTTCAATTCCCAAAAAAGTCCCAAATCACATACTGAAGATATTTTCACAGAAATAAATACATTATCATGTAAGAATGCATTTTTTCTTTAAAGTAAGAGATTTAGGTTTTGCTTTAATTCCTTAGAGCAGTGATGAAAAAGAAAAAAAGCTGAAGGATGCATTTTCCGATCTTTATGGCTACTATTATAAATTCCCCAGATCTGCTAACTATGACCTTCTTCTTGTCTCCATTCTTATGAATTAGTCCAGAGAATGCTGAAGAACTGGAAGATAAACAGAGGCAAAGAAGATAGATAGGGCATTAAAGAACCAATCTCCTAGGGAAGGTTTACAACTTGACCTTCTGATGCACTTAGAACAGTGTCATTAGCAGTACTAATTACTTTTTTCAAGCCATTAGATTGTTTTCCTATTCTCAAAGACTGCCATTACTTACATTTCCAAATTTTTACCTTTTCTCCTGGTTTACTTCCCATTTGGCCCCGATTGAAAAAAATCTTTATTATTTTGGTATTTAAAAATATTTGTTTCTAACATTTGTTCAATCATTTGATATGTTATTTTTTACTTATTATATAATGATATAAATACTAGTGATCCCTAAAATATTTTAATTTGAAAATAAAAGTGAACACATAGATTTCACAAAGTACATGCATCACAATTTTTTTATACTCTATTAGTTTTTAATTTTTATAGGTACATAGTGGGTATATATATTTATAGGATACATGAAATATTTTGATACAGGCATACCGTGTGTAATATTCACATCAGGGAAAATGGGGTATCATTGCCTCAAGAATTTATCATTTCTTTGTGTTATAAGCATTTCAATTATACTTTCAGTTATTTGAAAATATACAATAAATTGTTGTTGACTGTAGTCACTGTTGTGCTATCAAATACTAGATCTTCTTCATTCTATCTATCTATATTTTTGTACAGCCTCTGGTAACCATCACTTGAATCGCTATCTCTGTGAGTTCAGGTGTTTTAATTTTTAGCTCCCACAAATGAGTGAGAACATGCAAAGTCGGTCTTTTTTGTGCTCAGCTTATTTCACTTAAGGTAATGACCTCCAGTTCCTTCATGTTGTTGCAAATGACAGGATCTTATTCTCTTTTATGGCTGAATATTACTCCATTGTGTATATGTGCCATTATTTTCTTTATCCATTACACTGATAGTTTATTTTTTAAAATAATTTCTGATGCTGCTTTTTCATACTTATTACTTTTTCCTCAGAAAAGTCCCATTGGATTTCACAATTTCACAATGCAATAAGAAGCCTATCTGATAGTGAGTAGCCTTTAAATTGTTGTTGTTATTATTTTATTGAGTCCTCTTTGTATTTACAAAGATTAAGGAGTTTCTAACCGTATCTACACTTGTAATAAATGTTATTCTTAGTCTTCACACTTGTAAAGGATAATGGTGATGAATGCAGCGGCAGAGGCTGCACGTTCCCACCCAGCACTCTCACTGAAGACTGCCTAATCAGCACTGGCTGCTGGTACTTTTCTCTGCAAGCTTAGTCTCTTCCAGGAATGACAGGTGGTAGGTAATCCTGGGAACTCAAGAGCCTCCTTGAAGCTTGGACTGATTAGAGCACAAACCATGAGCTGTTGAAATCTGGTCCCTGAACAGGAGAGTTTTTGACATGAAGCTGCTCTAGATTGCTGTAGGGCTGGGTCTCAGATCTGGTGTATCTGCCTGTTTCCATGAAAAGAGCGGAATCTTCAAAAATACTCAGGCTGTTTGTCTATTCCTCTAATAAAACTTCTATTGATGTTATATAGAATCTTGAGCAAAAGATTTGGCATCGCACCTTTTATGAGTTTCAATAAACCTTGTGATTTAAATAGTTTCATCATTGATGACAGTCTTTGGGTGAGGCCACAAGAGAGTCGCTTCTCGAGTGTCCATTAGTATATGGTGGGAAGACAGGAGGTCAATACTAAGGCTAGGAGTGAATTGCTACTGGTGCCTTCTTGCCTCAGACCAGCGGTCTTTTCGGTGTTCATGTCATAGATTGTTGAGGTCCCCTCGTTGTTTAATGTTTTGCCTCAGACTCCCGCCTGTAAACAGTACACATCTTTCTCCCTCACTTTAGCTGCTCATCATTTAAGCTGTCATTGGTCAGACATCCTAAACTTTCTCATTGTGACTAGGGCTCTGAGGGTTCCAGGGGTTCTAATTATTATCGTGGCTGCAGTGTAGGTGTCCATCACCGAGATGGGGCACCTGAGCTACTGAGCAGCCAGAAAAAAACTTTCTCCTTATCCTTGGCATCTGCCATCAGTTTAAGTACTGATTTAGGAATCTTTACGGCAAAGAAGAGGCTCTTCATCCCCGGCCCCATCCCCACCGCGCCCACCCGGCCCACATACACCCTCGGAGCCTGCTTTCCGCAGACTCCCCTATGTCCTGTCCTTGACTCCAGTTAACCTGGAGATGCTAGTTCTGGGAACTCCTAGAGGCTCTGTTGCCTCCTCCGCCTGCTCTGCGTTCCCCGCGTGAGCGCTGGATTATTCCAGTCTTTGAGCATGGCAGATTTCCACTGGATGACATCATGGGAGCCCAGTGAATGCCGGCTCAGAGAGGGGGACGGAGAAGGGGAGGGGGAGCAGAGGAGGGGAGAGGACTGGGGAGCCGAGCCAGAGCCGGGCTGCCTGCCACCCGGCTGCTCGTCCGCTAGCTGGGGAGGAGCGCTCCACCCGCAACTGACAAAGGATGGGAGAATGCCCGCGCCCCGGGATGCCGGCCGCACGCAGCCTGGCGGCCGCCTGAGCTACTTCACCCTCCGCCGGTAAGTGACTGCAAACATCATTCATTCAATCAGCCTCACTGGGAGCCCCTTCTCTCCGGCTGGTAGTCCTGGGCGGCTTGTCCCTGATCCCGAGCGGGGCTTGGCACAGCATCAGCCCTGGAGGGCAGGCAGCAGGTGCCTTTGCCTGGTGGGTCCACTGGGGAGCGTGGCTGGGGTTCGCGGCGGGTGCTGCCACCCAACCTGCGGGCGGCGGGCTCGCCCAGTAGGCGCCTCTCTGGTGAGAGGAGGCGGCTCCAGCCCGCAGCCTGGGGTAGTTGCTACTATTGGCCCCCAGCGCCCGCTCTGCGCGCGCGCCGTTTCTGGCGGATCCCCAGTGCGCGGCGCGCTGTTTACACCGGCGTGGTACTAGTCACGGAGCCGCACCCCTCGGAAAGCGCGGAGTCGATGACAGCCACTTCACAGGCTCACGCGCTCCTAGTGTGGGCTTGAAGGGGACGGGGACCGATTACCAAAGGAGAGCGCTGAGTACGGAAGACACAGGGCAGCCTTTGTCTTGGGTTTAGCGCTGATGCGCTCAACCCTGAGTCGGGTTCACTGCAACTGTTGTGTCCGATTTCGGTTCCCTGCAACCGCCCTCCTGGGCGAGAGATGTCATTGTGTTCCTGCGGCCAGCGGGACTGAGAGCTGGGACTTAAGACGCCAGGAGGGTCCTGCGCTCACGGGTGAGTGTCGCAGTTATCCAGGTGCTGAGGGAGTTTCTGGAGCTCCAGGAAGTGGAGTGACCAGTCGAGGCAGAGAGACGCCCAAGTTTTATCCCCAAATGGTGTGAGGGAAATGGCAAAGTTAAGGGAGACTCACTCTCGCTCTTTTCTCTGGTTTCTGAAGCGCTGATTTTGGAGATTTGTGACAGGTGAATGGAATCAGAGGCATGGCCAATATGTAGTTAGAGAGCCTCACGTTTTCCTGGCAATTCTTATTGTTATTCAGTAGTTCCAGAAAAGATTTGCTTGCTAAACATTTTTGAGATCAAAATGTTTTCTATTATAGAGCTCTGTGGGTTTGACGAAAAAAGATTCTGAACCTGCTCAGGTACCTTAGTTTAGAGTTGTCTCGCCTATAAGTGCTATATAGCCAACATGCCAACACCCAACCCCCTGGCTTTTTGCTTGGCGGACACAGGTTTTATTGATGAATTCCTTGTTTAGGAGGTTCAATTTTCAGATCACAAGGAAGCGGTGGTACCTATCAGAACATCTGTTTCTAATGTCAATGTGTTTACAAAAGGAATATCTCGTGAAAAAGATGGAAAGAAGTGAAAGTTTGCTACTTTGGGGGTTCAGTGACTTTTTCTGTTTTCATCCACTACAATCGAAAATATTTAAACTTTAAATAGTAATTTTGTATGTATGAATTTAATGTATATTAAATGTAAATAATCCTTGAACATTAAGGAGATTCTTGGTATACCAGTTTGGTATCCCAGCATCTAACATAATGCTATGGTATAAGAAAGCAACAATCACAATAATAATTCAAAGGGTTATTTTATTTTTCTTGAAAGAGGCTAATTTTTCTTCAGATGATTTTTTTTCTTTAAAGATAGATGATTCTAATGAAGCTTTTCTGAAACAGGATTGAAATAATTTTTCTTAGTGATTGCTCTTTTGATAAAGTTTGAGTCTTTTCAGAACAGATTTGATAGAAAATTATTGGAATAATCAATGTGGTGGAAGTTAAAAAGAAACTGGGTGAGATAATACAGGGAGGCTTTACTAAATATGAATGGTGGGACTATCAGAAGGTGCTGTGTCAGTTTTGATTTTGGAAAAGCTCATTGTAGCTTTTACATGCGTATCTCTACTGGGAAGTGCATAATTATATGTCTGATTATGTCACGCTATGTTGAGAGACCAATGTTATGAGCAAAGAGCTTGTTTTAATCCAGGACTTATGGGGTTGTCAGCAACGTTTTCTTCTGTGATACAGTTTTTTTTATTTCATTGTTTCTTGACTAATTGTCACAATAGGCTCCACCTGTTTTATCTGAAGTCGTCTTTCTAACTTTGTTGTACTATGTTTTTATGATAATGGGGTTTTACTTTAAGGTTCTTAGAGAACCTGTTGCTCATGTTGACTACTTTCCTCAAGTATTGTAATAGCAAAAACTCTTTTTGAAATAGACTTATGAACGTACGAGCTTCTGACGTGCTTACATGATGGGGTGTACACTATATAAAAATCTACATTTACATACAATATGTGTATAACTCTGATCAGATAATCAGCTAGCAATGATCAACAGGAGGTACTGTGGTGTTTGGCTCATGGTTTTTGGCATATGATATTACCTTTAGCGATAAGATGTTTTACCTCCTTAACATGGTAAATAAAAATGTATATTGAGAAGAACAGATTACATTTTATGTATGAAATCTTTAATTTTATTTCAAAAATATTTTATCCAAGAAGGTCAAAAGTACATAGATTCTTCACATTCCACTAGAATACTGAGAAAATTTCTCAGAAAGTATAAGCATATTATAAATAGATATAATTTGACTTATTTGATAGCTAGTACAATATTATTTTTAAAACCACATGGAGTAAAATAGTGTCCTTGAACTAGAGAGTATTCTCATAATGTTCTTTAATGTATTTCACACATACTTTGCCTATTTTGTTGCACAAGGGCTCTTAACTGGGCAAGGTGAGAAAAAGGAGGAAGTTGCATTATAGGGCAAAAATAAAGCCATAGCACAAAGCCCAGGGCAGGCAATAGTGATGTTCCAAGGTCACCGAAAAACATGATGTCAGGACACTGGGAAGTATCCATGGAAAGATCCTGTATGAAGAATAAGTTTATGCTGTTTGACGACCTCTTGCTTTCATTGTTCCAGTTGTGTGATTTAACAGATACTTTAGGACCTCTATGATAGAGCGAAACGTCCTTTACCCACCTTGAGGCAAAATTGTGTCTTAAACTCAATGAAGAGGTTGTCTTCTGGGCTTTTTCATGGTGTAATTCAAATTCTAGCTTAAGGATGTTTTATGGATCACAAAACATTGTAGCTTTCACTTTCCTGTAGGCCTTTGATAGGGAAATTGGTCAGTAAAACCTTGGCTGAAAGGTTTTTGCATCCTAACTTTTTCTGGAAATACAACAGTGAAAGTCAACGGTTATAGTGTTGCTGAAAATATTTAGGAGTGTGATGATCTAATATTTAGAGGGTTAAAATAATGCTGTTAATGTAGCTTTAAAAATAAAATAAAAATATTTGAGACAAATTCTCTGAAGCCACGATTATCCCTTTGCTATATATTGGGTTCATTTTGCAATTTATGACTCCCCTATGATACTATTAATTCATTTCTACCTCCTAGTGTTTCAGTGATGAACAGTGGTAGGAAATATGTGTTCTACTTTTGACTTTGTCATGTACTTGAGGACAAGGGTCGGAGTCTGTAAACATTAGTTTCATTTTACATAAAATAAAGATGATAATATCTGCCTTGCCTTTCTCATGGGGGACAGTGCATAGCAAATGAACTAGTGTACAAAAATGATTTGGAAAATTCAGGAGGAACTGTGACAAATATTATATATTAGTGAACTTAATCACTTTAAATTTCTAATTAGTTTCAGTTAAAGAAGTAAATTGATAGAGGTGAACCTAATGTGTGAATTCTATTTTATTAGGTTGGTGCAAAAGTAATTGTGGTTTTAGAATATCTGGTATGTTAAATTTGTGGCATTCTTGTCAATGCACTTATAATTTATTCATAAAAATTATGAAGTAAGTGGTTATGTATTTTTATTGCAAGTGTGCTGGCAACAAATTCACTCAGTTTTTGTATGTCTGAAAATATTTTTAAATAGATGTAATTTTTAAAGCTAAGTATAGCATTTTTGTTTGGCAGTTTTTTTTTTTTCAACATGTTGTTATTTTTATTTATTTATTTTTGAGACAGAGCCTCACTCTGTCACCCAGGTGGAATGCAGTGGCGCAATCACTGCTTACTGAAACCTCTGCCTCAAGTGGTTCTCGTCCCTCAGCCTCCTGACTAGCACCATGCCTGGCTAATTTTTGTATTTTTAGCATAGATGGGGTTTCACCATCTATGCTAAAACTCCTGGACTCAAGCAATCTGCCTGCCTCAGCCTCCCAAAGTGCTGAGATTACAGGCATAAGCCACTGTGCCCGGCCAACATTTGTTATTCTTTTGACTTCTCACTTCCATCAAACCTGTCAGTCATATTGTTGCTATGAGGGTAAATGTGTCTTTGTCTCTGGGTGATTTTATGATTTTTCATTTGCCATTATTTTCTTTAGTTTTCTATATATTGCTAGGTATAAGTTTTTTGGATTTATCCTCCAAGTTTGCAGAGCTTCTTGAATTTGTGGATTGTTATCTTTCATCAGGTGAAATTCATTGGTGAATTCTTGACTATTATCTTCTCATAGATAGCTCTACTTCATTGTGTCTGTTTTCCTGAGATCTGAGTTACATGTTTAATAGATGGTTTCACTGTACCCAACATGCTCCCTGTACTTGTTTTACTATTTTCTACTTTTTTTTTCTCTCTGTGCTTGTTTGAGTATTCTTTTGACCTTCTCTTCAGTTTACTAACCTTCTACACCATGCCTGTTATACTGCTCATCCACAGGTTATTACTGTAATTATTGTATTTTTTTAAATTTCCAAGTGTACATTTGATTTTTTCTATAGATTCCAATTTATCTGTTTTCTCCATCTTTTCTTCTATGACTTGGAGCATATTAATCAAACTTATTCTAAGGTTTTAGTCTGCTAATGTCAGCTGTATTGCCGTGAGCCTCTTTTCAGCATATCTTTACTCTTAATTTTAGTTATTGTATATAAAAATTATAAAGACTCAGCCAGGTGCAGTGGCTCATGCCTGTAATCCCAGCACTTTGGGAGGCCTAGGCAGGTGGATCACCTGAGGTCAGGAGTTCGAGACCAGCCTGGCCAACATGGTGAAACCCCATCTCTACTAAAAATACAAAAAATTAGCCAGGCATGGTGGCAGGTGCCTGTAATCCCAGCTACTTGGGAGGCTGAGGCAGGAGAATCACTAGAACCTGGGAGGCAGAGGTTGCAGCAAGCCAAGATCGTGCCATTGCACTCCAGCCTCGGTGACAGAGTGAGACTCTGTCTCAAAAAACAAAAAACAAACTTATAAAGGCTCCAGATGATCTATACATCCCCAAAGAAGTATCAACATTTCCTCTGCTAGACAGATACGGTGGGATGGTAGCCCATAGTTGTAATCCACCCAGTGACTGAGCTGACTCACAAGTTGTTAGACTTCTGGGCTCCCAGATGCCAAGGCGTAGCCACCGCACCCAGCCCAGATGTCTTGAACTTCTACTGGTGCATTCACAGGCCCTCAACACAAGCCAGGACAAGACTCCTGAGAATCCGCTCTTCTTTCCAGAAGCTTCCTTCTCAGTGTCTTAGCCTCCACTCATATGTGTAACTTCAGGCTTTAGCAAATCTCATGTAGGTAAAATCAAGTATGTGTCAAGCTGAGCGCTACACCTTTTACTTCTCACTGAGCTCTTGGCCCCTCATAGCTAATTTTGTCTCTCCAGTCCCTCAAGACTGCCAAAATCTCTGCTAGATTCTTTGTCTCACATCAGTGGTCCTCTGCTCAGGCAAAGCCCGTATTCTTAGTCTCTCACTGTCTTTCCAGATTGGCAATTGCCCCCACTCTTCATCCCGGGGAAAAAACATATTGTGAAAAGTCACATTACCTCCTTGGTACTTCTTCCATCTGTAATCTTGAAGCTTCTAGTCTTGACCTCTTCTGAAACTCTCCACCAGGTTTTATCAGAATACTGTCCTTATATCTGGCTTTTCTAGTTATTGTTGACCAAAACCATCAGCTGAAATGTGTCATTATTTTTAACTGATAATAAACATAGATGTACAGTGATCAAAGATCATTTCTTGATGGTAAAACTGGAGTTAGTAGTCCCATCCCACAGCCTCCTACGCAATACAGCTAACTCCAAACGTATTTTTAGAAGTGGTATAAAACGAAGGCAGGTTCTATCAAACAGCCATTAATATACTATGTGCCATTTTATATTGAGACTGTTTGTCTGTTTTTTAAATTTTGAGGTAAATCTTTGTGACAGTGAAGACCAGTAATTCAAATAGCCAATAGATTAAAGTTATTGGTAACTAAACATAATAAATTGGTAAAACTTTTGTTTCTTTTAGGACTAATACACACCCAAAAATACAGACACAGACACATGTGTGTATGTGTGTGTGTGTGTGTGTGTGTGCATAAAAAGTAAGGCTCCTTTCTGAACACAAGAACTCCATGGTTAACGAATCATTCTAACTTACAAATAAGCGCTACATTTATGGAGTGAAAAATGTGTGAAGTCTGGAGTCTCCCTCTTCTTAGAAACAACTGTCCTATTTTTCCAACTGTTGGCTCTGAAAAGCAACTGATACAGACTGATTTCTTGTGAAATACATACAATAGTGTTAACAAGCTAGTACTATGTTTATCTCTTTTCTTATTGGTATATGGATAAAACTCAGAACGTATTTCTAGACCAATTCACGGAAATATAGTTAATTCAGGTTATACCTGAAGTAGATTGTTAGAGATATATGATTTAAATTAACTGTGCTTTTATGGATTGACCTAGAATTTTTGTTAAGTCTGCCTGGTGACGGATGGATTGAACTATTACATGTAATGTTATTTTTGAGTGACTTGTATGTTGCAGGTAACATATTCCAGATAACATATTCCAGAAATCACTGACTATTTGGGACACAATGATTGGAAGTCGGAGAATGCCTGGAATAGATTCTTGTGCCTGCCTTCAATTCAGTGTCCTGAGGCACATCAGGAGATAAATGGAAGCTTGGTGAGAGTGATAAATTAGGTACTGACATTGAGGCTCATTGGGGCTGACTGTGGTGAGCAATGATCTGATTCTCATGAAGTATATCACATGCTTTTTGGACCCTGCCGGATGTCCTGTCAATCTCACATCTGTTTCTGGCTCTGGCTCGGGCAATCATTGTAGGCAGCCTTTGACTCAGTTGTGCTATTTCCCATCTCAAGCTTGCGCTGAGTATCTTTCACTTTCTTTTCTGTGACTTTACTAGCATGTCTTATCTTTCCCCCTGCTTCTGACCGTGGTCCATGCAGCCTGGAAGTGAGGAGGAGCTAACACCACCATGGAGCCTCGCAGTCAGTGGGAATGGGTGGATAGTTCCGAGACGCACTCTGCAGCTCCTCATAAGGTCCAAGTGAGAAGGAGCCTCAACCGGCCATGGAAGTGACCCAACTGCATGCACCTGTATTAGCCTTTACTCTCTCCCTGGTTCACTTTACCCGGTGCCTCACTCCTACTCTCCGGGATCACCTTGTATTATTTGCACATAATTTTTTAGTTCAGACTCTGCTTTTGAAGAGAGCCTGGCCTAAGATTTATGACTTTCCTTCTCTAGAGAAAAATGAATAAGAGAAAGAAAAGCAGGACTAAATCATAAGCTACATCCATTACAATGAGAGAAAAAAAGAAAGAAGATAAAACATGTATTTTCAGAGATACTTTCTTTACAAATCTGTCATCTTTCAGATCACCAAGTGAGACCATTTAAATAATTTTTCTAGTAACTGTGAGGTCATCTGTTGACATAATGATTAATTTGCATCTCTTCCTTCTTTTTTACTATACTTTAATATGTAGTTATTGGCAGTCTACTCTATGCTCAACACTCAGCTAGGTCCTGGTAATGTAATGATGAGTGAAAGATGTGGCATGATTCCTGCCTCTTTGGAGCTTTTTATTTCTGTGAAATTAATTAAATAATCACACAAGCCAGTGCACATACGCAAAAGTGAGTATAATGAAGGCCAGATGCACAGTAATGGGGAAGCCTATTAGAGGGGAGTTTGACTCAGCCAGGGAGGTCTGGGGAAGCCTCCTTGAGGAGGTGACATTTTACCTGACATCTGAAGGAAGGGTTAATGAGGTGGAGAAAAAAGATAAAAATTTTCTAACAGAGGGAGAAATGAAGTGTGCTCAAGGTCCTACTGTTGGGGGAAGTTTGAAAGACTCACAGTCAGAGGGAGTGTGATGTAGGCTGAAGAGAGGTACTAAACATAAGGGACTGTCACAAAATATTTGCCATAGTAAGGAATTAATTGTACATGTGTGTGTGCATGTGTATGTGCATGTAGTAGGGGAGCAGTAAAAAGGTGCTAACAAATACAGACCATCTATTTGCAAAAAAGAAATGTATGAATCTGGGAAGAATGTTGTATCGAATATGCAGCCTAGCAAATATTAAGAGTTATGAACATTTGAATCAAATAAAAGTTGTAGGAGTTATCATTTAAAGTTAGAGAACTTCTAAAGAAATAGAGTTGAAAGAAAGGAGAATGAACTATTTATTTATTTATTACTCAATGTATTTGTTCCAGCTCATGGTGATGATACCTTAAGGACTACCTACAAGGCTTTTAAGTTCCATATAACTAAGTAGTTTTTACATAGTTATAAAATTTATATATTTTTGCTAGTTATCTATTAATTTTTAGAGTGGTAGAATTATGGGTAGATATTTTCTTTTAAAAGTACAACATTTCAATTAAAATTTTACTTGATTTATTTTAATAGTGTAACACACAAAGGTCTATTAGATGTTACTGAAGCATAGCACATAGCCACATTTAATTATTCATTCTGGAATCAGCTTTTGTATTTAGGTTTTAATGAAGTTAAATTGCCTCTATACTCACATGAGTTTGGATTTTGGTTCTGCTAAATTCTCCCAAATTTGAAATTCGATCAATTAGAGACAAATTATTTTCCACTTAGAGCTATATTTCCTTTAACATTTCTTAGCAATTTTGTTTTCATGGAACCCAAAGTCAGGTCCCAGGCACCCTGTGAAATGACCCTTTAATATTTAGCATAATATATACAATAAGTTCTTGCCAGCTCTCTTTCCTTTTTAATAAGATAACTTGGTTTATTTATAGCTTATGTTTAAACTTAATCTTTTATGAAATCTTTTAACCTCATGAGTATGTCTTATTTTAGAAACCTTTACTAAATAAATGGATAAACAAGTATTTATTAAGTAACTACTACATGAAAGAAAGATTCTGTGCCATTAACAATAGCAGAGAATTAAAGAGATGGGGGAATCAATTTGACGCATTATTAAGATATTAAGTGACAAGTATAATATAGAAGGAAAAGTCTGATACTTTTTGGTTTGTTCCTTATGACATTCATGGTAGAGAAGATGAGTCTTAAGAAGTGATAATAGATGCTATTTCTATAGCTTTTGTTATGAGGATAAGCCATAGTTGTCAATTTTCAAAAATTGTTAAAAATGAGGCAGAAGGCTTTAATTTTTTGAAACATACATTACCCAGTAATGTCAAAAATAAAGGAAATGTTTATTTTACAAATAGGAAGTATTTTCAACTGTTAATAGTTGTCATAGGACTATCGTTAGCTTTTTGTCCCACTTTTTAAATTTCCCAAATACTTTTAGTAATAATAAGACTGAATTATTATCATAATAACAATTTAAATTAATAATTATTGGATTAAAAGATGAATATTAAAGCAAAACTTAAAAAAATGTTGACGTCTGTTAAATCTAATTAGTTTTCTTGTGGATTTTAAAAATACTTTTCTGAGTGTATAATTGTAATAAATTATATGTAGAGGAAAAAATGATGCGAAAATAATCCTCTGTTTCATGCTAATTTCTATTCTGTGGCAACACATCTAATGTGAACATTTATTTGAAAAATTTCCCTCAAAACAGTGTAAGAGAGAACTTATGCTGATAAATTGTTTTAAAGAAATTGTTGGTTATCAACTATTAGAACTAAATTCTTTTTATAAACAATGGAGAGAGCAGTTTCATGGTTCATATAGCCAAATTTTACTTCTGTGTGTTTTCATGGTGATAAATGAGTAATCTACATTTTTACCTCCCATTTTTTTCATGGTGGGAACAGTTCAGTAGATTATGGACTGTGAACTGACAAGCCACTCATTCTCTCTTGGGCTCCTATTCACTTAGCAGTGAGTGGGGTGTAATCACCACATGGCTACTGGGAGATGTATGCCTTTAGAGGCAGAATATTTTTATAGTGGATCTTTCTGGATGCCAGAAAATTATCATAATTTCCTTAGGAAATTTTTTTGTTATATAAAGTGGTTTTTGGGCTGGGCACGGTGACTCACGCCTGTAATCTTAGCACTTTGGGAGGCCAAAGCAGGCAGGCCACTGGAGGTCAGAAGTTCAAGACCAGCCTGGCCAACATGGTGAAACCCCATCTCTACTAAAAATACAAAAATTAGCTGGGCATGGTGGCTCACACCTGTAATCCTAGCTACTGGGGAGGCTGAGGCAGGAGAATCACTTGAACCTGGGAGGTGGAGATAGCAGTGAGCCAAGATTGTGCCATTGTATTCTAGCCTGGGTGAGAGTGAGACTCATCTCAAAAAAAAAAAAAAAAAAAAAAAGTAGTTTTTCACATTAATTTTTAATGGGAAGATTCAGTTTCTCTGCAGGAAGAATGAGAGACAAATGGTAGTTGGAGAAGCTCAAATTCCAGGCCATATTCAGCTGTGTTGAAATCTCCACTCACTAGTGAGATGGCACTGGTCAAATTGCTTAACGTTAGTGTTAGAATGTTGGTTTCCTTATCTGCAAAATGCAGATGATAGTATTTTCTCAGTAGCAAGGTTGTTTTGAGGATTAAAGGTAGTAAGAAAATTCCCTAATAAATAGTAAGGGTTCATACCATCATTAAAGCAAATATAAATATTCTTTAAATTCTCAGGCATGGTTTCATTTTTATAAGATATATGCTATACATTTTAAGATTTTAGTTATCTTGCTACTTTTTAGACATGAAGGAAATGCGAAGATTTATTTGCTTGAGAAACTAAAGAAAGGTGGCCACCACTATCACTACTACCAACTGAATAAATAAATAAATGAATTGATTAATGAATAAATAATATTTATGACTGGTATCATTTTGTAGTGAGTGTTTTATTTTTCCTTTTTCTCTTCCTATATTTTTAAAATTTTCAGTACTGAGACCCTATCACTTTAATAATGGTAATATAAAGGAAACTTTATTTCAAAAATAAGTTAATTGTATAATTATTAGTTTATGAAACATGTACAACACAAACATTCAATCTCATATCTGAGGGTGTTTTTACCATATTATAGTAGGATAATAAACACAACACAGGATAAAATAACAAATGTGGATTTTTTTCAATGGTTTATAGCTGTAAAACTGAGGTAAAATATGTTTATTATAAAAAAATTATAGAAATATTAAGACTGAAAAGTGGATGCTCCCCTTCAATTCTCTCCCAGTTAAAAAATATTGACTTCTTTCCAGAAATGTATCCAAAATATATATTTATGCTAATATATATTAGACTATGACATTTCAATAAATATGTAATATGCTGTGTGTTAACTTGTTAGAGTCTCTGTTATCTTTTTCATGTCAATACAGTCCACTTACTGTGCAGTATTACATTTCTGGAGGCGATCAGCAATTCACTTCTAGAAAGAGTTTTTGTATGTAGACCCAAAGAGACATGTATTTATGGCAGTGTCATTTGCATTGACTTAAAGATTCTAGGTAATCATTAATCACGATATTTTGATGCAATTGAATACTATACAGAAATTAAAATGAACTAAAATTCACATGTCAACATTGATCATCATTTGAGTGAAATATAATTTCATTTTTTAAATTTATTTTTCTTGAGAAAGGGCCTCCCTCTGTCACCCAGGCTGGAATGCCGTGGCGCCATCACTGGCAGCCTTGACCTCCTGGCTCAAGTGATCCTCCTGGCACAGCCTGCAGGAGGAGGCTTTAAAATATAATTTGAGTGAAAAAAGTTACAAAAGATAATTGTAATGTATAAATGATACGTTACTTTTATAAATATTATAAACAAAAAGTAATTCTCTAAATTAGTTATAGGTACTTAAATAAGAATAAAATTGTGAAAATGTTGTAGTGGGATTAAGAGAGCAGTTTCTATCTTCAACAAATCTTTAGAGATCTATCTTTCCATATTGGTTTTAGCAACTTACATGTCCGTCAGCAATGTATAACGTATTATCAAACTTTTTGGTTTTGCATGCATATGTTTAAATGTCTTATTGATTGTTTTCCCTCATTGGTGCTATTGAGCATCTTTTCATGTATATAAGACTTCACTTAAGTCTTCTCTTTTGCAGATTGTCTTAAGTTTTGTTATTTTTTCCTTATTGGTTTGAATTTTTAAAATGAATTTTTAAGAATTTTTGTATACTCTAAGTACTAACTTTTTGTCATTTACATGCATTGAAATATTTGCTTGCATTCTGTCCCTTGTTTTTAAGTTGTGTTACTATGTCTTTTTGTATAGAGATTTTGAAATTTTGTTATGCTCAGTTTTATCATTCTTTTCCTTTACAAATTTAGTATTTCTTGTTTAAGTAGTATTTTCTTACTTAGAGATTGTAAAAATATTCACTCAGTTTTCTACTAAAGCTTTAACATGTTTAGCATTATGGTCTTTGGCCCAGTTGGAATTAATTTTTGTAGTTGTTTTGGAAATAGGGATTAACCCATCCCCCCACCACAAAAGGTACAGCCAATTGTTCGAGTTTAGTTTTTCCTACTGATTTGTGAGGCTAACTCTGGCATATCTAGGTGCCATATATTTATATCTGTTCTTGGTTCTCTATTATGTTCCATTGGTTTGTCTAATCCTTTGCCAATTTAATACTTGATTCTTTAATCCTTTTAACATTATACAGCAACTTTATTAAGATGAATTCTCCTCATTCTCATTCTTTAAAATTTTCTTGGCTGTTCTCACAAACTTTGCCATATTAGAGTCTGCTTTTTATATTTATATTTATATTATTTATTTATTTTTGAGATGGAGTCTCACACTGTTGCCCAGGCTAGAGGGTGGTGGCAAGATCTCGGCTCAATGCAACCTCCGCCTCCCGGGCTCAAGAGATTCTCCTGTCTCAGCCTCCCAAGTAGCTGGGACTACAGGGGCACGCTATCACGCCCAGCTAATTTTTGTATTTTAGTAGAGATCGAGTTTCGCCGTGTTGGTGAGGCTGGTCTCCAACTCCTGACCTCAGGTGATCTGCCCGCCTGGGCTTCCCAAAGTGCTGGGATTACAGGCATGAGCCACTGTGCCCAGCCATAATTTGCTTTTTTAAATTCCATGAAATAGTCTATGTGGTAAATATTCCTTGGTTGCTTATTTAGAGCCTTTCTCCATGGAGCTGCAACTCCTGCACTTCTTTGGCTTCTAACTTCTAGTTAGGTGTGGCTAATGTGAGACACTACCAGGAGACTGGTGAGAGAGTATGGTAAGGGAATTAATTCCTCTGGTCCCTCTCTGCCTCTTAGCAGGTGTAGAAGTGAATGCATACAATGATGGCCACCGCTCCTCTATTTCAAGGTTCCAGTTCTATTTGGATTTCTATAATACTGTTTCTTCCCTTTCCCCCAGCAGGCCTGAGAGGTTGTGGTGGTTGTAGTAGGGGTGGTAGAGATAACTACTTTCTTCTTTTCACCCTCACCATATTTCTGTCTTAGTCCTTTTGGATGTGATATCTTTCTTCCAGGGCTTCTGACATACACTCTGTTGAGATTGGAAGGCATTAGGTTTATAATTCAATTTGAGACAGCTGTCATTTTTATGATAGAGCTTTCCTGTCCATATATTTGTTACATAACTCCATTTATCTAACTCTTCTTGAATGTGCTGCAATGATGGTATAATTAACGTCTTCTGTGAAGATCTTGCTTAGGTTTTTGCAATTTATTCCCAGGATTATTATGGTTTTTGTTGTAATAATGAATAATATATTTAAAAAGATACATGTTCTAAATGTTTATTGGTGATGCATGTTGATTTTTACATGTTGATTTTTCATCCAGCAACCTTACTAAACTATTTGATTTATTCTCATAGTTTGCTTTTGAGGTTCTATTGTGTAGGCTAGATAGATGTTCGTGTTGTGTGTGTATAATATTTAGAACTTACTTTTTGAAAGACATGCTTTAAATAGGGTAGTTTATTTAATCTTCAAATCAATCTTATGGTAGAGGTACTATTATAGTACATAAGTACATTATAGAACGTTAGTACATTATAGGTACATTATAGTACGTAAGTACATATATAATTACATACATTAGTATATAAGTACATATGTACATATGTATATATGTACTTTTTTTTCGAAGAAGGGTTCCCAGAGGTTCAGTGATTATAACAACTTGATAAAGGCAATACAGCATGCAGTTGGCAGTTATTACTATTTCATATTCTGTATAAGAAAATCTAACCACAGAAATATGAACCAATCTGACTAAAACCATAGAGCTAGTAAGTGGCAGGTGCAGGATTGGAACTCATGTGTTCACTTTGATGCTCTTGAAATCATGGTGTCCAATTTTCAAATTGTCTTATCGTCTTTTCAAATCTTTATGCCTATTTTCCAGTCCATAGCACGGTAGTGAGAACTCATATAAAAGTTGTAGTAAAGGGATTAATGTAGACACAGAGAAGAACCACCCAGTCCCCCTTCAAGGATTGTTGCCCAGCTAAAGGGAATGCTTTCAGTGGGAAGCGTCTGGCCGTGAGCCTGTCTGGGTCTGTCTCAGCTGCCAAGAGCCACCTAGACCCGGGTTAAACCACCACCCTCATCCCCGGAGCAGCCCACTTACCTGAGAGAGGGAGCTGATATAAACGTTCAGTCATAGGACAACTCTGATGGACCCTTGCTCTGGATGGAAGGAGTGAGACTTTGCTGGCCTGCAGCACAGTTCAGCTTCTCCCTCTGTCCAGTCAGAACTCCTGTTCTTTCTAAAGTTTCCGTGTCTAATAGACATTTTGTACCATGACTGTTCACAGCACCAGCTTGTAGAGACCCCAACCTGCAGTAAGGTTGAAAGCTGGTATCATAGCCTTTTCCTTGGTTTAAAGTAAACAACTTCTAATATTTCACAATTTAAATAGGTTTCTTTTTCTCCTTACTGTGGAAGTCATATTTATTTTCTTGTGAATGGATGTTCAAGTGTTACAAATATAATTTTTTGGCTTCTAATCTGTTCATATGGTGAATTTCTAATAATACACAGTCCCTGCATATTTAGGATAAATCCTGGTTGGTCATTATGTGCACATATTGCTGAATTTGGTTTGAAATGTATTTTTTAGGATTGTTGTAGCTATATCAAGAAATGAAATCTTGTATTTTTCCTTTTTTGTGTTGTTGTCTAGCTTTGATAATAAGGTTATATTAGCCATAAAAGTGAATTTTTCTATGGAAAAGCTTGTATGATTGGAGATACCTTTTTCTTGAATGTTCAGCAAAACTTCCCTATAAAACCTTCTAGTATTGGTGTATTTTAAGTTACTAATTCAAGATAATAATCATTATAAGTGTCTTGATGTTTTCTACTTATTTTTAAATTATATTTATGTTTTTCTAGAAAATTATTTTCTTTTTCATTTGTTCTTAAATTATTCAACATAATATATCTTTATGATTTTAAAAAAATCTCTACTTCATCTAGAATTATATGATATTATTTTTATTACCAAAGATTTTTTTTTTTCACCTAGGATTTGGCTATTTTTTAAACATATATAAGAAAAATCAGTTTTTTAAAGAAAACCATTTCTTTGTGGTTTTTTTTTTCTAGTTCATTCAGTGATATTTTTCTATTTTCTGATTTCTTGGGTTTAATCTTTTATTGTCTTTTTTTAAATCTTTTTTTTGTGTTGAATTCTTAGCTCATTAACATTTTTATCTTTTCTGATGTGTACTTCAAGGGGTGTATTTTCACACTATATACTACTTTAGCACTATTGCCAAATTTTGATATACATATAGTGTTTGAATATTGGACTTAAGAGATGATGGAGATACAAAAGATACTAAACAAAAGAAGCAAAAAGACTCTAAGAAGGTTAATTTACACCTTCCTGCACTGGACTCATGCAATTTCACAGGTGAATTTATTTAAAACTTTAAAAAAAGATAATTAAATTTCAATTTAAATTGTTTTAGAATACTGAAAAATAAAAACAACCTAATTTTTAAGAAATATGCATAATGTAAACAAACGTTGTAGAAAATTGGAAAAAGAAAATAAAGGTAAAAAAGAAGGGGAAAAGGAAGAACTTTAAATCTAAGTCATTCCTACCAAGTGAATATTGGTGTCAAAATTCAGGAAAAAAAATCAAGAAAAGGAATATGGAGATATATTAAAACAATAAAGTATAAAAACGAAGTTATTTCTAGGAATAACTTTTTAACTTTAGAAGACCTATTAATATATTTCATCCAATTAACATTTTAAGGGTAAATATTACTAGATATTTTCAATAGATGTTCAAGTGATTTTTGATAATATACAAATACATTTCTGATTTAAACACATTAGTAAAGCAATAGAAGGAATTTTCCTTAGTATGGATAAATACATATTTAACCTGATGCTTAGAGTAACAATTTCAGTATGCTGTCTGTATAAAATTAGGAATAATAGAAGACTCTCCATGATCACCATTACCATTTAGTATTTTTTCTGGAAGTGCCAGTCACAAGCTAAGAAAATGTAATAAGGAGAAATTTGGACATGAGTAGGCAAGTCTGTCTATATTTGAAATATGACTATACTTGTATGGCAATGGTTTCTGTGAAAAAAATTCCCTCTCTCCGGTGCTTGGGCCCTCTGAACACATGTCACTTTTGTAACAAGATTTTCTCCGTTTGGTAACTAGACTGTACCTAAAAGAATGGAAGAAACTTAGGCCTTGTGTTAGGAACTAAATGACACAAATTTGCAATATTGCAGTGGTTTGAATTAAGGTAAAAATGCTGTGAGGTTGGTGCTTAGTAATGACATAAATAATGAGTAAATTATTTTGAATTAAACTGTTCTGAAACACTTAGAAATAAGAAAATTACCCTAATTTTTACTGTAAATGTAGGTGACAGGTACATATAAATAAACATGTATAAAACTTTTATAATATAAGAAGATATAATGGTATAAAATAAAAATTTAATATGCTGAAACATACTAAAATGCATATACAATAAATAAAATTATATAGCTAACTGGAAAAAATGAGGCAAAAATGCAACAGTTTTGTCAAAATGATAAAATTATGCTGATATTTTTCCTTTATCAAAAATATATTTAATATTTTTCAATCATATTTTCAATAAAATGCTTTAAAATTATAGTATTTGTTGTATGTCTATGTAGAAGGGTCAGGTCCTTAACCTGTCAGTATAAGACAAACTGCTTCCTCCTAGGAACTTGAATGTATGCAACACAGAAAAAGAAAAAAATACAATATTAAGTTATATTTATGTTATTCTTTAATTTTATAAAAGATTATATGCACATCCATTTTTCAGTTCAGTTATCACTACAGTCTTTTCTATGCTGGCCCTTCTCCTGGAGTGTAAACTTTATAAGAGCCAGGACTATGTTTGTATCTGCATAGCCTAGCCACAATTCATTACTATGTATATGTCTATTGGACTGTTTATTGGAATGGACAAGCCCTATGAAATATGCAGAAGTATTATTTATATGCCCTTGAATGCGAAACTTGTATTGGAAGGTTAATGATTGTGCCCCATTAAATATTGTCAGGATTTTAACACAACTTTTCTGATTTTATATTCATAGTTCTATTTATGATATCATCCTTTTTTTCTGGTAATAATTAGCCAAATTACTATAACAATAGAAAATACACAGAGAGTCTTGCAACTTCTTGTTCAAAACAAATGTATGCAATGTGTGCGTTTCAGAGGGGAGAGAGATGATCAAAACTTGAGGAGCCTGGGAAGGCATCATGATGAAGTGAAGGATAGGAGGAGGGGGAGATTAAGGTTAGATGCCTTATATTTTTCTTCTCAAGGGCTTTCATAATTTTCATACAAAATAATGTTAGCATATATACTTGTTTATATAGAAAGGTTTTCCCTAGTTAATGAGACCTGTCAAAATGTGATGATTTGATGCACCAACTGAAATCAACAAACAGGAGTTCAAATCTAGTTCAACTTTTCATTGGCCTCTGACATTGGGGACATAGCTTAATTCTTCTAATCCTCAAATTTCTCATTGGTAAAGTATGAATGATAACATCTAAGTAAATGAGATTGCTATATTAAATAAAGTAGTGCTTACAAAGGCCTTATACATAAATATTTAGTCATTGTTAACTGCTCTTATTATAATTATCATTTATTTTCCTTTACATCTGTGCTAAATTTTGTTTTTCAGAGATGAAGTAGAAGCTTGGTTTTTCTTAACACAATCTACAGTTATGTTTATTTTCTGTTACCTTACGATTTTTCTCTGTCTTATGAAACAAGAAAGATCTAGCCAACACATATCAATTTCTACTTAAGAAAGCAAAGTCTTGTTAATGCCAAATAAAATTTAAAACAGTCGAATGGAAGTAGAATGGAAATGACGCATTGTGAAAACCAACCTGAATCAACCTTTTTTCACTAAATATTTGCATTTTTCTCGAATTCACTTTTTATGTGAGTCCAGATAGATATTTCTCATGTAAGTATTTCTAAGGCATTTCTTTTTTTAAAGGTGCATTTATTTTATACATTTAGGAAGTGTCACTGATTGCATTCAGTCCAAGAATCTGTTACTCTATTCGTGGCAGGGAATGATGAAGACATAGTAATCAGCCTGGTTAACTGGATGTCAACTCCACTTCCTTTTAAATAATAATTCCATAATTATCAATTTTGAGGGATAAAAAATATTTCAAATGGTCTAAATTTTGTGGTATGAATCTTCAGTTTTATTGAGTTTCATTAACTGAATGATTTTATTGAATATTTTGTGTGTTACTCTACCCTGAGGAACAGCTGTGAAAAGATGAATAGATCAGATAATCTACAGGTTATAGAATTACAAAAATAAAAAATGGCTAGAAAAGATAAAGGAAAAAATGGTGAGGGAAATATGTGAAAGAAAAACCTCAAATGGGTTAAACTACCTTCATCAAATGGTGAATAAAAGGATTAAGAGAAAAGAAGGAATTGTCTTTTTATTTAAAAAAAAAAAGGAAAATTGTTCAAGAGAAGGTTACAGAGGCATTACAAAAAATTTGAGATTGAAAAATTTAACTCTAAGAATAAATGGGAAACCTCTGAAGGAAACATTAAAATGAAGAAAAATCAGAACAAGGGGTGGCAAATTGAATATGGAGAGTTGTAAAATGTATGTTCAACGTTAAATATGAGCACAAAAATAAATGAGTAGATTTGTCATTAAAATGCAGAGTTAAACAATTTCCTTTGTGATAGATAGTGGTTTTTATTCATATTTTGGTTCAGATGCTTACTTTATTTACCACTACAACTCACAAAATGAATGTATTTTTAAGATTTGCTAAATTCAAAAGTGATCTCTAAATTTCAGAAAGAAATCAGATATTCAAGGGCTCTGGTAGGAGCCTTTAGTCCTTTACTCACGTTTTTACTGACTATATGAACTTGCACATAATCTGTCTGTAATCCAAATGAAATGGTCTAATGCACAAACATATTGTTTTCAAGAAATACCAGAACTTTTCTCTGACTGACTAAAGGTTATTAAAAATGTTTGTTCTAAAATCATTTCTAATTTTTGATTTAAGATGTCTGGTCTCTCCCTTCCCTTCTTTGATAAATAAGGCTGCTACATTTCCTAATTTTTCTAGATGTTTACGCAATATAATAATGATAAAATCTAAATAATGGACGACAAAAAATTAATGTTACAAAAGGAAAATATTCATTCTTTTTTGTATATTTTTATGATGATTAGGGTTTCTAATACAAAGGAAAGCATTCTTTTGTATTTGAAACCCTATCATTGTGCTTGCTGAATTGAACATTGCTGATAACACCAGAAGACCCCTACATTCTCTACTCAATAGGAGAGCTAATGAGGTGGCATGTGATGTAGATCCATAGTATGTAAGAACACAGACACACACACACACACACGGCTTATTAATAATGTAATGTTAAATAATACAATGCAGGGCATTTACATTGAATGACGGTTTTGTTTACAGCAGATTTGCTGGTTCAGAAGGGACCAGTTGATCCACTTAAACTATTTTACTTCTTGAGTAGCCCTATTTCTGTTTTGTCCTTTTTCCCCCCAAAAATTTATGGCCAGGAGCTACCTGGATGAACTTTGTTGGCTTTTCTACTCGTAGGGTCCTGTGGATGCCTTTTCGTCAATCGACACTATCCACATCTCTAGTGGCCTCTGTTCTATTTCTAGCTATCCAGAGAAAATCTGCCAGTTATAGTTTTGGTGCCCTGGAATTCTCTCACAAAGATAAGAAGTAGTTTATAGTTTGGTTTCAACTGTTTGTTAAATATTTAAATATTCACATTTTCTTCTTAGGAGAAAGAGTTATCTCAGAAAGATAAGAAGTAGTTTATAGTTTTGTTTAAACTGTTAAATATTGAAATATTCACATTTTCCTACTTCTTCAGAGAAAGAAAATTGGCCTTTCTTAGTCTACCCAGTTTCTGCTGTTATTTTTTTCCCCAGGTTCAGTCTGTAATTACACATTTTTATTTTATATCATCTGGATATATCTTTTCTTATACCATTTATTGATTCTATAAAAGTCTGCCGTGTTTAACTTTGAAACAGAATAGAACATATGTATATTTTATGTATACTAAATTGTTTTCTTGTGGGTTTATTGTTAATAAGCCTTTTACCTTCTGGGTTGTTGGACTGTTGCAGACTACAGCAATTATGTATGCAACAAGAGCTTATGTATTCTAATTAGTATTTTTTTAGACATTGTGAGAAATGATCTTAACAATTATATATTGCAGAGAAACAGTTTTCCAGAAAAACAATTGAAAGACAAATAAGGCAGTTTAGGAGGATCATCATAAAATAAAATATCAAAATGAGAAATTGGAACAGAGGAACATCTATTTATAGATGATACTATTTGTAAATGAGTTTCTAGCCATGGCAAAAATTTATGTTTTTGTCTCTCACTAAATTATGTTTAAAATTGTTATGCAAATTCCCTGTGATTTTGTATCTGTTATTTTCTTTGCTTGTCTAAGTCAGAGATCACTATTTAAGTTTTAACTAGTAACAAAAGTGTGCACCATTTGAACCTCAGTTATTAGTTTGGTTTATGCGAGAAAATTTCTGACCACTTCTTGGTAGTAAAACGTGGCTGGTTTCTAGTCCAATTAGCCTTGGGCATCTATGTGTCAATAAATGTGGGTACAAGGCCCCTGGTGGAGGCAGAGCTTCCTCTAGCTCCCTGTATGGCCCTGATCTTCACCCACATAATCATGTACCCCCTGGACTCATGTCTCCCAGACATTTTCACTAATAAAAATGATTGTTGATCATCTAGATTTTTCTGGTTTGGGGTACATCACTATTTTCCTCTAACAGTACAAGTAATAGAAAGTTGGACATTTTAAAACAAAATAGAATTATTCACAAGTTTGAAAGATTAATTTTTTTAAAAGTATGTATCTCTGTCTTAGATATAATCACACACAAATGTCTGTAGGTTTTAGATATTAATCATTGTAGAAAAGGTTTTCTATACAAGCCAGTTTCTTTATTTGTTCACTTACTACATCTCTTACCTCCATACCCCAGTCATACTTAAATTTAAACTACATTTTTTGTGATAAAACCATTTGGTGTTTACTGAGGGAAAAATATGAATGAAGAGTCAACCTTGAAATCTACAAGTGCATAATTTACCCATGAGCTTAAGTGTATCCCCAAATGCATAATTTACCCATGAGCAAAGTATTACTCTGAATTTGTAATACTTGGGCCAACTAGATAGAAATACATGATTAAAATTGTTGGCATTCATTTCTGTAAATGAGATGTAAATTAAATCATGTGCTCTATGGCCATTATGGTACAGTGTTGTGAATGTAATTTCAAAATCCATTCCAGAAGTTTGTATACTTACCCATTTATTAAGTCCTTCCTTAGTAAGTTATCATTTAAAATTGTACATGTTTAAAATGAAAACCTCAGAAAAGCATGTAATATATTGATTACGCTACAATAAATTCTCATGGTGAAGGATTCTTTTGGCATACGTTATCACTCATATCAAAAACAGCTTTCTACAGTGGTAGTAAGAGACAGGCGAAGCTCAGAGTTGCATGAATATATACAAAAATGAGAGAAAAATCACAGAGGCAGAGTCTAGATGAGAAGGTGGGGGCCAGGAAACTGTTCTGTTTCTAGATAAACAGCAGTTTCAGTAGATACTGCAGATCTTTGGTAAGGCCCATAATGGAATGACATCCAATTTCTTTATAGATTTATATTGTACTGATTCATATATTAGCAAATTAGGAAGTGTGACAACGGTTGCAGTTGTAGGAGGATGGTGGTTGCTGAAGGGTCTAATTTAATTTGAGCTTCGAATAACTGTGGGCAAAAAGAATAAGGATTCTTGTAATTAATATAAAAGTTTGATAAAAGGAAATGTCCATTTTTAAATGCAAGTGTGAAACTTAAAAGATAGCAGGGCAGAGGAGAGAATTAACTAATAAAGCATCAGAAGAGGAAAAGAGTAGAGTCGGGATTAAAACTGATATGCTTTGGTCATGTTTAGCCAAGTGTTTCACCAGTCCTTTATGTGGATGAACTATCATCAAGACCAGTGTTATGATACACAGCACTGTACCATAATGACCCTAGACCATCAAGTGCTCTAGACCATCAGGTGCTCTAGGGTCATTATGGTACAGTGTTGTGTATGTAATTTTAAAATTCTGCATACAGAACCCATGCATATCAGTAGGTTCATTTTATGTGTATTTGCCTAAGATAATTTAGAAATAGTATAGAAATAGTACCTATAGTTTACTACCAATTATGGGTTCAGGTATTCTCCACTAATTATTTCTTTTACTATAGAATTCCAAGTTAGAGAATCTTTTAGCTATTATTATAAATTGATATATGAAAATGACAATTGCAATAGAAGTTTTGGAGACCGTAGCAGAGAGAACAGTGCTGCAGGCCACTTACTGTAGTGTTTCTCCAAGCATATCCATGGATCACCTGAGTAAGAATCTTTTAGAAGGGCTATGAAAATTTGGAGCCCCATCTCAGTAGAACTCTTTGGGTGGGGCTGAAAAATCGACACTTAAACAACTCTTTGGGTGATGCCTATGTACACTGAACTACAACTTCATAAAACACTGTTGGAATAAAACATATTCCTGTTCGAATATGAACACATACCATCACCATGCAGTAGGAATTGTTTTTTATTGTCTTAGTTTTCTCCCAACCACTTCTCCCTCCAACTATTTTAAAGCGAAGAAAATAATAGAGACATAAGAATCTACAAATAGCAGGAATTCCTGTTATGGATTTTTTGGAGACCTAGAATTCCCCTTCTTCACTCAACAGGGAGTCAGATGCCTAAGAGACCACTGTACCTGGGAAACCTCGCAAGATAGCCACCTGCAGTATCAAATATTTTGCAAAATCTGGATTTTTTTTTCTTTTTTGCCAGTGGATACAGCTGGAAGCTTTTATCTTGCAGACAAACCTGGTAGGAGAAAAGCCCAGTGGCTCTGCTGGGTCACAAAATTTTTGTGATGCTCTTGTTAACGATTACACAAGGACAATGAATGAGATAAGCTGGGGCAAGTGTTGCTATAATAGGTGTGCAATACCTGCCCGCATACTGATTGCGCGGAGTGTTCTGGGGGGTGGGGTTCACACGGCCTACTAGAATATGACACTCTCTGGAATAATGTCATTTTTTAATTTAAAAAGTCTCTATCTGTGGTTCTCAGATTTTTGTGTGAATCACAGTCCCCTTTAGAACTGCTAAAAACCAGATTTCTGGGCCCTACTCCCAGAGGTTCTGACAGTTTAAATGAGAACACAGCCTGTCATTTTCCTAGAGGCTTGTGTTTACTGGAGAGATGGACTTACAGGTGGTAGCTAAAATGTAAGCACATATGTTACAGCACTGTCAGTATTTATAAGGACATTAAAAAATAGACATTGTTACAGCAGAGAACTTACTATAATAACAATAAATAGTTAAGCTCTGGAGAATTCCTTAGTTACTTTATTAAAGCTCCCACATTGAGATGGCAGCATAAAAACAATTTGAATATTCTGTTGTAGTTGATTAAAATGTATATTCACTTTCCTATATAGAGTATGGATGATGAAATGATGAAATTCCATAATGTACATACAGCGTATCAGAAGTAAGGACTTCAGATGAGCTTGACTAAGCATCATACCATAGGAAATGTCTCTCTTCTCAACAGAGGAAGCAGTTCAGGGATTTATCTTGAAGTGTAGCAGAAATAGTAGCTTGATGGAAGGATCTCACTTCAGACAGATCTGCTGAAGTTTGTTCAGAACTTTTAAATGCATTAGACAACAATGCTGAAAACAGTGGCAAACGAGAGAAAGAACAAATTCTTCCCCAAACATTCTTTCATGAATAGAGAACTATCTCTCAGAACTACCACACACATGCAATGACACACATCACTGGAGTTAATAGAGTGCTTAAAGCACGATGTGAATGGCCACATCTTCCGAATATTCTCTAACTGCTTGGTGCAAAGCAACAGAATTGCTTTCCTATTACATATATCTATCGCACTAGAAATGTTTACTCTGAATCCCCAGAATAAAACAAAAATTTTTGTTTTTGTAATTTGTCAGTTTTTTCAGAGTAATAAGAGAAAGATCTTTCTTAAATGGATTGATATAATGTATTATCATATTTTCCTCCATATATTTTAAAGAAAAACATCATTGCTATAAAAATACATGAAAAAATGACCTTTGGAGCGTCTTTTAACATTTTTATGTTTTCATTTTTTAAAAATCCAATTGCTCGATGTCCAATATTATCAGTAGTCAGAAAAAGCTGGTTCTTAAAATAATAAATGTTACTCTATAACATTTCTATTCCATGAACTATTCTGAACTTGGTTTAATAGAAACCACATTTCATTTTCTTGGGATACTATTGATAATATTAATCCAATTACAACCTCATGATTTTATTCACTGACTTCCTTCTTTAAAGATAGCTACTTAAATGATAAACTACTGAAGTGAACCAGGTCTACCAACTACCATTTACCCAGTAATATCTCCTTTCACTTTCTCTTCATTCTGTGTATGTCACCAAAGCAAAATTCATGTTGAAAATGTCATTTATTTCTGTAAAACTAATTTCAGATATCCTGTTTAGTACGTTTCATTTTGAAATTCTTGCAATTCTGTTTCTTATCAGTTTTCTTCTCAAACTGAGCCATAGTTTCTTCTATCTTATAATTCTTTCTCTGGTGCAAAGAAAACTTCCTTGGATAGCTCATATTCAAAATAAGTTGACTAGTGACTTTCTTTATAGCATTTATGTCCCCCAGTGACATTGGCAAGTTCAAGGCTTCCCCTTTATGACCTGTATCTATTTCTAGGCATTCCAAGAGGATGCTGTGGCCTCCTGGTACACATCTAAATCTTCATTAACACGTGGGGTCAGTCTGAGAAGCAAACCTTACCTAGCAGAAGAGGCTTTACAAAGTCTCCTCTGACTCACCCTGGGCTCTAGTTGCATAATGTGGACTGATTAATGTAAGCTCTAAGTTTTTGTGGAGGGAATTTTCTCACCTTCCTCAAGAGTGATTCATCTTGTATTTATTAGGAAAAAATAGCCCCAGTGTGTAATTTCTACAGCCTTTACTTCTCTTATGTTTCTCACCTTGTCATCTGTCACCTGATCACCGAAAATCTACAGCTCTGTGGGAGAATCTGAAACTCTTTCTGATGATGTTTCTTTCTAGAAAATGATTGTTTTCCTTTTCTTCTGAGGTTTTAGGGAAAAATTATTTCTTAAAAATCTATTTTGTACAGACTGAATACCTAGCTAAAGGTTTTATGCTGTTGGTATTGGGGAGGACAGAAAGAAGCTGTTTTAGTTGTTATCAATTGACACTTCAGTACCCATTGTAAAATAATATTCATTTTTACAATGCCTTCATCATTATAAGATTCTGATTTTCTTCTACCTTGAAAATTGGCTATACTCAGAATTATTCTCTTAAGTGTATTTAATTGCATTACAATTTTTCAAAATTAGCATCTCTTATTATCTTACATGGGTGTGGTAGACTGAATTACACCCTCCTAATTCAAAACCTTCATCTCATATGCGCTGAACCTGTGCATGTTACTTTATTTAACTAAAGTGACTTTGCAGATATGATTAAATTAAGGATCTTGAGATGGGGAGATGATTCTGGGTGTGGCAAACTGTAATCACAAAGATCTTTATAAGAGGGAATCCAGAGGAACCTGACTCAGAAAAAGAGATGTGATGGCAGAAAGACAATGAAGTGATGAGCTTTGGAGATGGAGGAAGGAGCCACAAACCAAGAAATCTAAGTGGCCGCTAGAAGCTGAAAAGACAAAGATACAGATTCTCCCCTCACAGTCGCGAAAAATGAATGAGCCCTGGTCATGTTTAACTTGCTGAAACTGATTTGGGACTTCTGAACCCCTAGAATTGTAAGATAATGCATTTGTGTTGTTTTAAACCACTAAATTTTTATTTATTTTTTTTTTTCTTAAAAAAAAACTTAAGTTCAGGGGTGCATATGCAGATTTGTTATATAGGTAAACTTGTGGGGGTTTGTTGTACAGATTATCTTGTCACCCAGGTATTAAGCCTACCCACTAGTTATCTTTCCTGATCCCCTCCTGCCTCCTACCCTCCACCCACTGGGGCCCAGACAAGTAGGCCCCAGTGTCTGTTGTTCTCCTCTATGTGTCCATGTGTTCTCAACATTTAGCTCCCACTTGTAAGTGAGAGCATGATAAACCACTAATATTTTTCTGATTTGTGCAGTAATAGAGAACTAATACAATGGACAAAAGTGTTAACAATACTATTTTTTTTTTTTTTGCTTTTCTTTTTTTTTTATTATACTTTAAGTTTTAGGGTACATGTGCACAATGTGCAGGTTAGTTACATATGTATACATGTGCCATGCTGGTGCGCTGCACCCACTAACTCGTCATCTAGCCTTAGGTATATCTCCCAATGCTAACCCTCCCCACTCCCCCCACCCCACCACAGTCCCCAGAGTGTGATCCCCTTCATGTGTCCATGTGATCTCATTGTTCAATTCCCACCTATGAGTGAGAATATGCGGTGTTTGGTTTTTTGTTCTTGAGATAGTTTACTGAGAATGATGATTTCCAATTTCATCCATGTCCCTACAAAGGACATGAACTCATCATTTTTTATGGCTGCATAGTATTCCATGGTGTATATGTGCCACATTTTCTTAATCCAGTCTATCATTGTTGGACATTTGGGTTGGTTCCAAGTCTTTTCTATTGTGAATAATGCCACAATAAACATACCTGTTCATGTGTCTTTATAGCAGCATGATTTATAGTCATTTGGGTATATACCCAGTAATGGGATGGCTGGGTCAAATGGTATTTCTAGTTCTAGATCCCTGAGGAATCGCCACACTGACTTCCACAATGGTTGAACTAGTTTACAGTCCCACCAACAGTGCAAAAGTGTTCCTATTTCTCCACATCCTCTCCAGCACCTGTTGTTTCCTGACTTTTTAATGATTGCCATTCTAACTGGTGTGAGATGATGTCTCATAGTGGCTTTGATTTGCATTTCTCTGATGGCCAGTGATGGTGAGCATTTTTTCATGTGTTTTTTGGCTGCATAAATGTCTTCTTTTGAGAAGTGTCTGTTCATGTCCTTCGCCCACTTTTTGATGGGGTTGTTTGTTTTTTTCTTGTAAATTTGTTAGAGTTCATTGTAGATTCTGGATATTAGCCCTTTGTCAGATGAGTAGGTTGTGAAAATTTTCTCCCATGTTGTAGGTTGCCTGTTCACTCTGATGGTAGTTTCTTTTGCTGTGCAGAAGCTCTTTAGTTTAACTAGATCCCATTTGTCAATTTTGGCTTTTGTTGCCAGTGCTTTTGGTGTTTTGGACATGAAGTCCTTGCCCATGCCTATGTCCTGAATGGTAATGCCTAGGTTTTCTTCTAGGGTTTTTATGGTTTTAGGTCTAACGTTTAAATCTTTAATCCATCTTGAATTGATTTTTGTATAAGGTGTAAGGAAGGGATCCAGTTTCAGCTTTCTACATATGGCTAGCCAGTTTTCCCAGCACCATTTATTAAATAGGGAATCCTTTCCCCATTGCTTGTTTTTCTCAGGTTTGTCAAAGATCAGATACTTGTAGGTATGCGGCGTTATTTCTGAGGGCTCTGTTCTGTTCCATTGATCTATATCTCTGTTTTGGTACCAGTACCATGTTGTTTTGGTTACTGTAGCCTTGTAGTATAGTTTGAAGTCAGGTAGTGTGATGCCTCCAGCTTTGTTCTTTTGGCTTAGGATTGACTTGGCGATGCAGGCTCTTTTTTGGTTCCATATGAACTTTAAAGTAGTTTTTTCCAATTCTGTGAAGAAAGTCATTGGTAGCTTGATGGGGATGGCATTGAATCTGTAAATTACCTTGGGCAGTATGGCCATTTTCACGATATTGGTTCTTCCTACCCATGAGCATGGAATGTTCTTCCATTTGTTTGTATCCTCTTTTATTTCCTTGAGCAGTGGTTTGTAGTTCTCCTTGAAGAGGTCCTTCACATCCCTTGTAAGTTGGATTCCTAGGTATTTTATTCTTTTTGAAGCAATTGTGAATGGGAGTTCACTCATGATTTGGCTCTCTGTTTGTCTGTTGTTGGTGTATAAGAATGCTTGTGATTTTTGTACATTGATTTTATATCCTGAGACTTTGCTGAAGTTGCTTATCAGCTTAAGGAGATTTTGGGCTGAGACAATGGGGTTTTCTAGATAAACAATCATGTCGTCTGCAAACAGGGACAATTTGACTTCCTCTTTTCCTAATTGAATACCCTTTATTTCCTTCTCCTGCCTGATTGCCCTGGCCAGAACTTCCAACACTATGTTGAATAGGAGTGGTGAGAGAGGGCATCCCTGTCTTGTGCCAGTTTTCAAAGGGAATGCTTCCAGTTTTTGCCCATTCAGTATGATATTGGCTGTGGGTCTGTCATAGACAGCTCTTATTATTTTGAAATACGTCCCATCAATACCTAATTTATTGAGAGTTTTTAGCATGAAGGGTTGTTGAATTTTGTCAAAGGCTTTTTCTGCATCTATTGAGATAATCATGTGGTTTTTGTCTTTGGCTCTGTTTATATGCTGGATTACATTTGTTGATTTGCGTATATTGAACCAGCCTTGCATCCCAGGGATGAAGCCCACTTGATCATGGTGGATAAGCTTTTTGATGTGCTGCTGGATTCGGTTTTCCAGTATTTTATTGAGGATTTTTGCATCAATGTTCATCAAGGATATTGGTCTAAAATTCTCTTTTTTGGTTGTGTCTCTGCCCGGCTTTGGTATCAGAATAATGCTGGCCTCATAAAATGAGTTAGGGAGGGTTCCCTCTCTTTCTATTGATTGGAATAGTTTCAGAACGAATGGTACCAGTTCCTCCTTGTACCTCTGGTAGAATTCGGCTGTGAATCCATCTGGTCCTGGACTCTTTTTGGTTGGTAAACTATTGATTATTGCCCCAATTTCAGCTCCTGTTATTCGTCTATTCAGAGATTCAACTTCTTCCTGGTTTAGTCTTGGGAGAGCGTATGTGTCGAGGAATGTATCCATTTCTTCTAGATTTTCTAGTTTATTTGCGTAGAGGTGTTTGTAGTATTCTCTGATGGTAGTTTGTATTTCTGTGGGATCAGTGGTGATATCCCCTTTATCATTTTTTATTGTGTCTATTTGATTCTTCTCTCTTTTTTTCTTTATTAGTCTTGCTAGCAGTCTATCAATTTTGTTGATCCTTTCAAAAAACCAGTTCCTGGATTCATTGATTTTTTGAAGGGTTTTTTGTGTCTCTATTTCCTTCAGTTCTGCTCTGATTTTAGTTATTTCTTGCCTTCTGCTAGCTTTTGAATGTGTTTGCTCTTGCTTTTCTAGTTCTTTTAATTGTGATGTTAGGGTGTCAATTTTGGATCTTTCCTGCTTTCTCTTGTGGGCATTTAGTGCTATAAATTTCCCTCTACACACTGCTTTGAATGCGTCCCAGAGATTCTGGTATGTTGTGTCTTTGTTCTCGTTGGTTTCAAAGAACATCTTTATTTCTGCCTTCATTTCGTTATGTACCCAGTAGTCATTCAGGAGCAGGTTGTTCAGTTTCCATGTAGTTGAGCGGTTTTGAGTGAGATTCTTAATCCTGAGTTCTAGTTTGATTGCACTGTGGTCTGAGAGATAGTTTGTTATAATTTCTGTTCTTTTACATTTGCTGAGGAGAGCTTTACTTCCAACTATGTGGTCAATTTTGGAATAGGTGTGGTGTGGTGCTGAAAAAAATGTATATTCTGTTGATTTGGGGTGGAGAGTTCTGTAGATGTCTATTAGGTCCGCTTGGTACAGAGCTGAGTTCAATTCCTGGGTATCCTTGTTGACTTTCTGTCTCGTTGATCTGTCTAATGTTGACAGTGGGGTGTTAAAGTCTCCCATTATTAATGTGTGGGAGTCTAAGTCTCTTTGTAGGTCACTCAGGACTTGCTTTATGAATCTGGGTGCTCCTGTATTGGGTGCATATATATTTAGGATAGTTAGCTCCTCTTGTTGAATTGATCCCTTTACCATTATGTAATGGCCTTCTTTGTCTCTTTTGATCTTTGTTGGTTTAAAGTCTGTTTTATCAGAGACTAGGATTGCAACCCCTGCCTTTTTTTGTTTTCCATTTGCTTGGTAGATCTTCCTCCATCCTTTTATTTTGAGCCTATGTGCGTCTCTGCACGTGAGATGGGTTTCCTGAATACAGCACACTGATGGGTCTTGACTCTTTATCCAACTTGCCAGTCTGTGTCTTTTAATTGGAGCATTTAGTCCATTTACATTTAAAGTTAATATTGTTATGTGTGAATTTGATCCTGTCATTATGATGTTAGCTGGTTATTTTGCTCGTTAGTTGATGCAGTTTCTTCCTAGCCTCGATGGTCTTTACATTTTGGCATGATTTTGCAGCGGCTGGTACCGGTTGTTCCTTTCCATGTTTAGCGCTTCCTTCAGGAACTCTTTTAGGGCAGGCCTGGTGGTGACAAAATCTCTCAGCATTTGCTTGTCTGTAAAGTATTTTATTTCTCCTTCACTTATGAAGCTTAGTTTGGCTGGATATGAAATTCTGGGTTGAAAATTCTTTTCTTTAAGAATGTTGAATATTGGCCCCCACTCTCTTCTGGCTTGTAGGGTTTCTGTCGAGAGATCCGCTGTTAGTCTGATGGGCTTCCCTTTGAGGGTAACCCGACCTTTCTCTCTGGCTGCCCTTAACATTTTTTCCTTCATTTCAACTTTGGTGAATCTGACAATTATGTGTCTTGGAGTTGCTCTTCTCGAGGAGTATCTTTGTGGCGTTCTCTGTATTTCCTGAATCTGAACATTGGCCTGCCTTGCTAGATTGGGGAAGTTCTCCTGGATAATATCCTGCAGAGTGTTTTCCAACTTGGTTCCATTCTCCGCATCACTTTCAGGTACATCAATCAGACGTAGATTTGGTCTTTTCACATAGTCCCATATTTCTTGGAGGCTTTGCTCATTTCTTTTTATTCTTTTTTCTCTAAACTTCCCTTCTCGCTTCATTTCATTCATTTCATCTTCCATTGCTGATACCCTTTCTTCCAGTTGATCGCATCAGCTCCTGAGGCTTCTGCATTCTTCACGTAGTTCTCGAGCCTTGGTTTTCAGCTCCATCAGCTCCTTTAAGCACTTGTCTGTATTGGTTCTTCTAGTTATACATTCTTCTAAATTTTTTTCAAAGTTTTCAACTTCTTTGCCTTTGGTTTGAATGTCCTCCCGTAGCTCAGAGTAATTTGATCGTCTGAAGCCTTCTTCTCTCAGCTCATCAAAGTCATTCTCCATCCAGCTTTGTTCCGCTGCTGGTGAGAAACTGCGTTCCTTTGGAGGCGGAGAGGCGCTCTGCTTTTTAGAGTTTCCAGTTTTTCTGTTCTGTTTTTTCCCCATCTTTGTGGTTTTATCTACTTTTGGTCTTGATGATGGTGATGTACAGATGGGTTTTTGGTGTGGATGTCCTTTCTGTTTGTTAGTTTTCCTTCTAACAGACAGGACTGTCAGCTGCAGGTCTGTTGGAATACCCTGCCGTGTGAGGTGTCAGTGTGCCCCTGCTGGGGGGTGCCTCCCAGTTAGGCTGCTCGGGGGTCAGGGGTCAGGGACCCACTTGAGGAGGCAGTCTGCCCATTCTCAGATCTCCAGCTGCCTGCTGGGAGAACCACTGCTCTCTTCAAAGCTGTCAGACAGGGACATTTAAGTCTGCAGAGGTTACTGCTGTCTTTTTGTTTGACTGTGCCCTGCCCCCAGAGGTGGAGCCTACAGAGGCAGGCAGGCCTCCTTGAGCTGTCGTGGGCTCCACCCAGTTGGAGCTTCCAGGCTGCTTTGTTTACCTAAGCAAGCCTGGGCAATGGCGGGCGCCCCTACCCCAGCCTCGCTGCCGCCTTGCAGTTTGATCTCAGGCTGCTGTGCTAGCAATCAGCGAGATTCCGTGGGGTAGGACCCTCCGAGCCAGGTGAGGGATATAATCTTGTGGTGCGCCGTTTTTTAAGCTGGTCTGAAAAGCGCAGTATTCGGGTGGGAGTAACCCGATTTTCCAGGTGCGTCCGTCACCCCTTTCTTTGACTCGGAAAGGGAACTCCCTGACCCCTTGCGCTTCCCAGGTGAGGCAATGCCTCGCCCTGCTTCGGCTCGCGCCCGGTGCACGCACCCACTCGCCTGCGCCCACTGTCTGGCACTCCCTAGTGAGATGAATGCGGTACCTCAGATGGAAATGCAGAAATCACCCATCTTCTGCGTCGCTCACGCTGGGAGCTGTAGACCGGAGCTGTTCCTATTCGGCCATCTTGGCTCCTCCTCCCAACAATACTATTGAACTGGCTTCTCCTAAATAAGGAAAGGTAACATTGTACTATGCTTTGGTATATGAGGCTAGATTGGCACACATTGTTTTTTCTTTTTCTTTTAGTTGACAAGAAATAATTGTACATATTTATGGGACACAGAGTGATATTTTGATACGTGTATATAGCGTGTAGAGATCAAATCAGTAATTAGCTTATCCATCACCTCAAACATTTATTATTTCTTTGAGTTGGGAAGATTCAAAATCCTCTCTTTTAGCTTTTTGGAAATATACAATAAATTATTAAATATATTCATCCTATGGTGTCATAGAACACTAGAACTTATTCCTCTTATCTAGCTGTGATTTTCTATCCATTAACAAACCTCTCCCTATCCTCCCTTCCCCCCAACCCTTCCCACTTTACTAACCTCAATTCTACTCTGAACTTGAATGAACTCAGTTTTCTTTGGCTCTTACATATGAGTAAGAATGTGCAGTATTTATTTTTCTGATGGCACACCTGATTTTAAACATAGACTTTTTGCACAGTGAGTCAGCATACACATACATATACATACACATCAGTATACAATACCATGACTATGAGAGTAAAGCATCTTTTTCTTTTCTTGGATTATTAAAATATGTATATATTTGTTTAAATAGATGTTCTTATTCACTTGAATATGTTTTACATGCATTGTGAACATTGCAATTTAATCTCAGAACTATGCAAAATATGTTCTATGACCTCAATTTTGTAATGAAGAAACTGAAGCTTGGTTGACCAAAATCATACAATCATAAGTGATAGAGTTGAAATTCCAGCTTTCATGTTTCTGACTTCAAAAGGTAAGTTTTTTAACCACTATGTTACATTGTCTTCTGTATGTTTGAAATCTCTTGACAACTTTTGAACAATTTGAGTGGATAAGTTTAAATACCATCATTACATGTGACTTTCCTGTTTTACCTCAAGTGCTGAAGAAATATTTTTCCATCTTCCTCCTTATTTCTTTCTTTATATTACATTCTTTTATAGGTAACTGCTATGTGCTGATAAATATCCTTGTAAGTATAGTGATTTTGATTATGATATTCAAGTCCTATAAATTATAGAGTACTTGAAGTCTTATGAAAACTTTTACTCTCTAAAATTGTACTAATTCCAGAAGCATTCCCATAAAAGGACATGAAAACTATAATATTGGACAAATACTAGAAAATAAGTACTGTACTTTGAAAAGGATATATATTAGAAAAAAGTACCACCAGCCTTTCTTATATAAAGATTGATAGTTCTGAATGGGATTGTTATCAAAAAAAGAATACTTCAAAATTGAAAGATGTTGAGTAGATGATGGTTTCATATTATTATGTCTTATTTTAACAATACTGTTGGAGATGAGAGGAATAAAAATGCAGAGGTATTGTAACTTTTCTCAGATTTAACTTCTACCCAGGAGATAGAGCAGAAAACATTCTTGGAGTTCATAGCACTTTGAGAAGTAGAATTAACTTTCAATTCATTTGTGTCGTTTTAAGAGGATATACATTACATACCATGAAGCTAAACATGAACTTATGAGTCAGGGCAGATCTATTTTGGTAACTGAAAGGTTGATAGAATGGATTCCACAGATCTGGTAGGGAGAGGGACTAATTTTCCCTCCTCCACCGTTACCCGACCCTGTTCTGTGTGCATCAGTACCATTTCCATCTGGTGGGAAAAGTAAAGCCTTCCCAGATAGAGGAGATTCTTTGGGTATAATAAAGCATTGCTTACCCTTAGATCCTCAAAGCAGGTTTTGTTGATTATGAATTAACTGTCTTCACTAGAGTATGAGACACTCTAAATCAGGGAGCTTATCTGGCTAATTCTTTGTGGTATCTTCTGTATCTGGAAGAGTGCAAGCAATATAGTAGTATTTCAATAAATAATCTTGAGTGTGTATGGATGAACTGACCAAACACCCCCTGCCATGGTCACTTAATGACTGAAGACCAGGAGACCATGTTTCTAGGCGAGAATAGTGTCTCCTGTTTCCTTTGCTGTTTTTCCATAATGCTTACTTGTTATTATTAATTCATTCTCTGTCCATAGTTTTATTTCTATTTAGAAATGATACTGATATTAACTTCTCATGGACTTTGGAGCCCTGTGTTTCTCAAGATCTGTCTCTAAGCCTTCTTAGAAAGAATATCAGTATGTTCTCTGCCATTTGGATTCTTCATGTAGCACCAAGGAGAGCAACATCTACTTACAAATAAGCTACGTCATATCTATGTCTTTGGCACTTCCAGGTCAAGGGAACAAACCATGAGAGTCAAAAGAAGTTTGGATTAGATAAATTCCAACATTCATGTAGAAGTGAAAGAATTGTGTTCATAAAAATTAAATAAATATTGTATCTCTATTCCTCATTTTGTTTTGAAGCAAGTCAGGATGAATCTTTCTTCTTCCTTTCTTCCTTCCTCCCAAAAGAAAGTTTATAAATCAATATTGGCTAAAATGCACTATGGGCTGCTGAGTGAACTCCATGCTTTTAAGTAAGTCTGATCTTCTACAAAAAAAAAGAAGCATACTCTTTTGATGCCAATTATTGAGAAACATGTCTGGATTTTATCTCTCTCTTTTTCATCTGCTTCTAGAAAATTGCAAAAATGTCAGATTGCCACCACCTCCCACAGGCAAGTGTTCAATTCTTTTTCATTTAATTTATGCTTATCATTTAATTCTGCCTGCCCTCCCTT
Source organism: Homo sapiens (assembly GCF_000001405.40). NCBI lineage: Eukaryota > Metazoa > Chordata > Mammalia > Primates > Hominidae > Homo > Homo sapiens. The sequence goes on along the minus strand of NC_000004.12, from coordinate 164,348,007 downwards.
CTCAACTAAATTTTTAAAGTCTGATAGGATTAGGAAAAGGTCAACTTCTTAAATGCTAAGTACTGATACACTTCTTAAATGCTATATACTGACAAAATGAAAATATATAATAAATGGCATTAAACACCATGAACATAAACATTTTCTATTCATTTTAAATAGCTCTAAAATAGATATTTTTCATTTTGTTTCTTTGAGCATCTTGGTTTTTGTTTCCAGTTTACCCTACAATCCCTAAATTAATGTCCATGAAGTACAAAACCTTCTAGTAACTGCAGAACTCACAAATAACAATTTTTCCTCAGTACTGTTCTCCACTAAAAAGCTATTAAGAGTTGTAACTGATGTCTTATTTTGAGAACTAAGATTAGGAATGTTTTGATTATTCTAAAAAATGGCAGCACGGTGGATATCTTAGAACTAAATAATTAGCCCACTTTGGAAAACGGAACAAGTTGCCTTTTAGCAATATGATAAATTAAAAGAAAATAAAAATAGGTAAGAACAGTCAAAGGAAATAAACATTGAATTTGACATGATGCAGAGGGTATGTCAAGCCCCTTGGCTGAGTGGGATAATAGAGGAAAACACCTGGCCCCTTTACCTAAAAGAGATACTTGTTTCTGGCAAAGAAAAGAATTTACCTGATTCTTCAGCCATACAAGTCACCAGAGGCAGTCCTAGTTCAGCAGCATTTGGAAGGACACATAGAAATAAAATCTGGCACCTCTGACAATGAAAAATGATGGATTAAATAAAAATAAGGATATTCAAAAGAGGTGTTCTAGAATAGCACATCACTTCTTCATTTAGCTTAGTGCAAATTCAAGTTGTTCCTCACAATTTTTTTTTCACATGTTCTTTATTTATTTGGCAAATGTGGAGTACCAACTATGGCCGGATTCAGTTCAATGTGTTTGGGAAACATCAGTATATAAGCAAGGGTCCATGTCTTCCCAGCAAACACTCAGTTGGAGGGGAGTCCCAGTTGTGAATGCCAGGATAAAATGAATTTTAAAAATCTAGTCTGGAAATATGAGTCTTAAAAAACAGGGAGTTTTCTAAATTAAAGAATTAAAATATTTTGTATTTACATTTACATTTTTCCTAAAGATGTTTAAAGAGGGATACTCCTGACTCTTTTAGGTATGATGAAAATCGCTATAAAGTATATGGTTCTCTGCAAATCTGCATTCATTCATTCAAAAAATTATAACTGTACTACCTGATACTCATGCTAGGTGCTGCACAATAAAGCCATTGTTTAATTCCATACCATCTCTGAAATGAAAAGAATAAGCATTTTTCATGCTTTAGTGCTTATAAAAGCATATGGACATATATATATATATATATATATATATATATATATATATATATATATATATATATATATATATATACATACATACATACAGGTTTGAGGACATCAGCATTTGTCAGGTCCATTCATTACTGGGTTTGGTACTACAGATACCAAGAGGCAAAAGATGAAGACCTGGCCTCCAGGGCCTTTCAGTCTAGCAATTGTGATGTATTCTTTAAAGACTAAGTATATGCAATCAGTGCAACTCAGATTTATCTGCTCTTCAATAAACAGTGGATTGTAGAAAATTATAAAATCACAGTTTCTCAAAGCATACGAGTTTTTCTTTTTACCATGTCAGTGGTTCTACCTATTTAATAACATTTGACTTCTGCACATTTATAGAACGTAAAATTCTAGTTATGCCAGTATGTCCTTTGTCTCTTTATTACTTGAGCTCAACTCCTAAGAGACTCATTTTCTATATCCTGATATACCTAGGGCATTATCTGTTTAGTTCTGTTTAACTCATTTACTCAGAGCTAATGAGAACAAAGTCTCAGTTCTGATACCCAAAGAAATAATGTGGTCATAAGCTGCACATTTGCCATGTCAGCTCTTAACCAGAGTGGTGAATTTGTTTTAGTACCAATCAAACCATTGGCCTGAAAAACATTCATTTTATTGTTAAAAATGAACTTTATGTAAAAGCCTGATCTTGTTTATTTATTCAATTACTAATAAAGGCATCATGAATGATTTTATTGTGAGTCATTAAAATGGGCTTTAGTATATCTCTTATTAAATTCTTCAGAAAGCTTCCAATATTTACAATGCATTATGAAGTTATGGAATTCAGGAGTGCTTAAGTGTTGGAAAAAATTAGAAAAAAATAAACAACTTTGAAAACAAAAAACCAGCAGCAGATGATAAAATACCACAACAATATCTAGTAGGGAAGCCAAGGTCCAATAACAATATTTAACATTGACAAGAGTTCACAGTAAGGTATTAAGCAAAGTCAAATTTGCGTGATGTGTTAGCTACAGGAAAACTTTAAAGTTTTAAATTTTATGCTTTTAAATTTATTATTATTATTATTATTATTATTATTATTATTATTATTATGTTTGAGACAGATTCTTGCTCAGTTGCCCAGGCTGGAGTGCAGTGGCACCATCTTGGCTCACTGCAGCCTCTACCTCTGGGTTGAAGTGATTTTAATGTCTAGCCTCCCAAGTAGCTGGGATTACAAGCATGCGCCACTACACCCAGGTAATTTTTGCATTTTTAGTAGAGATAGGACAGGGATTCACCATGTTCCCCAGGCTGGTCTTGAACTGCTGGACTCAAGTGATCCTTTGGCCTTGATGTTCCACAGTACAAGGATTACAGGCCTGAACCACTGTGCCCAGCCATACATTTTATTTTTTTAATTGACAAACAATAGTTGTACATATTCATGGAGTACATCGTAATGTTTTAAGACACATAATGTATGGTGAACAGATCAGGGTATTAACATAGCCATCATATCAACATTTATTATTTGTGTTAGGAATTTTTAATATTCTCCTTCTAGCTATTTGAAAATATATATTATTGATAACTACAGTTATCCTACAATGGTATAGAGCACTAGCACTTATTTTTCCTGTTTAGCTGTAACGTTTTGGCCTACTAATTATAGATTTAGTGACAAGCATAGTGGCTTAGCATGTGTGAAATATTTAATTACAATTTGCCAAAGAGAAAACTTCATTAATGAGCCTATGAATGAATTGATTTTGGTTATGAAGAACAAGACTTTTTAGATACAAAGAGCAAAGGACTTCTTTAGTCTAATCTTCAGTTTCTTTAATTTGTAATGCTGGGTAGGTTGCTTCAGGACAGGGGCGTTGCTTGCTATTTTTAGTTTTATTTCTTTGTATGTTGATGGATGGGCAGAGAGGTTAGGTTTTGCCAAAGTTAATAGTTAAGTAGCATAACAGGGCAAAAAGTAGTTCACAAACTCCAAATTAATTTCTGAATGCTAGTCCTTTAAGGATAGTTGCCTTTCTAGATCCTTAGTAAATTTAAATTTTTATCACTTGGTTTCACTTACCCAACTAACACAGCAGAGTGTTGACACAGAAAATTAAATATACAAAAAAATCAAATTTTATCAGTGCAGATAAAGTCTTCACTTTAGTTTTCAAAAGTGCTGACCAAAACACACACACACACACACACACACACACACAAACACGTGCATGTGCACAAACACACATATTCTTATTTTCTGAAGGAAATACTGATCAATAAACAGACTTATTTTTTAACTTTTATTTTAGGTTCAGGGGTACACATCGAGGTTTGTTACATAAGTAAACCTGTGTCAAAGGAGTTTAGTGTACAGATTATTTTTTCACTCCAGTAATAAACATAGTACCAGATACATTGTTTTCCGATCTTCTCCCTCCTCCTTCCCTCCACCCTCAAGTAGGTCCTGGTGTCTGCTGTTCCCTTCTTTGTGTGCATATGTACTTAGTGCTTAGCTCCCACTTATAAGTGAGAACATGTGGTATTTGGTTTTCTGTTCTTGTGTTTGTTTGCTTAGGATTGTGGCCTCCAGCACCATCCATGCTGTGCAAAGGACATGCTCTTGTTCTTTCTTATGGCTGCATAGTAGTCCATGATATATATGTACTACATTTTCTTTATCTAGTTTACTGTTGATAGGCATTTAGGTTGATTCCATGACTTTGTGATTGTGAATAATGCTGTGATGAAGATATGTGTGTATGTGTCTTTATGGTAGAACTGTTTATATTCCTTTGAGTATATACCCAATAATGAGACTGTTGGGTCAAACAGTAACTGTTTTGAGTTCTTTGAGAAATCACCACGCTGCTTTCCACAATCACTGAACTAATTTACATTTCCATCAGCAATGTATAAGTGTTTCCATTTCTCGGCAACCTCATCAGCATCTGTTATTTTTTGACTTTTTAATAATAGCCATTCTGACTGGTGAGAGATGGTATCTCATTGTGGTTTTTATTTGCATTTCTCTAATGATTAGTGATACTGAGCAATTTTTCATATGGTTGTTAGCTGCTTGTATGTTTCCTTTTGAAAAGGAGACGTGAAAAGTCTATTCATGTCCTTTTCCCACTTTTTGATGGAGTTATTAATTTTTTGCTTGTTAATTTGTTTAAGTTCCTTACAGATTCTCAATACTAGACCTTTGTTGAATGCATAGTTTGCAAATATTTTCTCCCATTCTGTAGGTTGTCTGTTGATAGTTTACTCTGTTGACAGTTTCTTTTACCCTGCAGAAACTCTTTAACTGAGTCCCATTTGTCAATTTTTATTTTTGTTGCAATTGCTTTTGGTGAACAGACTATTTAAAAAAATTTCCTCAGCTTTGTGGAGGTATGATTGACAAGTAAAAATTGTATATATTTAAGGTGTACAAGGTAATGTTTTGATATATGTATACATTGTGAAATGATTACCACAATTAAGCCAATTAACATTCATCACAGCACATAGTTACCACTTTTTTCAATGTGTGTACTGAGAATACATAAGAGCTACTCTCTTAGCAAATTGCAAGTAAAAAATACATTATTATTAACTATAAACATCAAGCTGTACGTTAGATCTCCAGGAATTATTTATTTTATAACTGAAAATTTATATACTTTGATCAGCCTCTCCCTCTTTATCCCCATCTCCAATCCTTGATAACCACCCTTCTCTATTTCTGTGAATTTGACTTTTTTAGATTCCACGTATAAGTAAGATCATGCATCATTTGTCTTTCTGTTCCTGGCTTATTTCACTTAGCATAATTTCCTCCAGATTCATCCATGTTGTCACACATTGCAACATTTCCTTCTTTGTTAAGGCTAAATAACATTCCATTGTGTGTTTTTGTGTGTGTGTGTTTGCGTATATACACATACCGTATTTTCTTTGTCCATTCATCAATAGACACTTTGTTTTTTTCCCATATCTTGGCAATTAGGAATAACGCTGCAATGAACATAGGAGTTCAGATATCTCTTCAAGATAGTGATCTTACTTCCTGTAGATATATACCCAGAAGTAGAAATGATGGATTATATTGTAGTTTTATTTATTTTATTTTATTTTTTAACCTATTAAATATTTTTTTATTATTATTATTATTATACTTTAAGTTTTAGGGTACATGTGCATAACGTGCAGGTTTGTTACATATGTATACATGTGCCATGTTGGTAATGACGAGTTAATGGGTGTAGTTTTATTTTTAATTAGTTGAGGAACCTCCATAATGTTTTCCATGAGAGCTGTATGAACTTATACATTTCTACCAATAATGTGTAAGAGTTTCCTTTTCTCCAGACCCTAACCCATGCTTGTTATCTTTTGACTTTTTAATGAAAGCCGTCTTAACAGGTGTGAGGTGATACATATAATTGTTGTTCTGATTTACATTTCCTTGATGATTAGTGATGTTGAACATCTTTTAATTTACTTGTTGGCTATTCATATGTCTTCTTTGGGAAAATGTTTATTCTCGTCTTTTGTCCATTTTCTGATCTGGTTATATGTCTTTTTTTGCTTTGAATTTTGTGATTTTCTTATATATTGTAGATGTTAAAGTTTTAGTGGATACGGGGTTTGCAAACATTTTCAATACACAAATCTTTTACCTCCTTGGTTAAATTCTTGTTTTATTCTTTTTGATGGTAATGTAAATGTGACTGTTTCCTTAATTTCTTTTTGGGACATTAGTGTATAGAATGCAACAAATTTTTTGAATGTTGATTTTGTGGACTTCAACTTTACTTAATTTGTTTCAGAGTTTACTTTATGTGAGATTATGTCATTTGCAAACAGGTGCTATAGTCTGAATGTTTATGTTCCCTCATAACATATATTGAAATCCTCACCTCAGCATGATGGTATGTATTAGGATGTGGGCCTTAAAGGACTAATTAGGTCATGGGGACAGAGCCCTCACTAATGGCATTAGTACCCTTATTAAAGAGGCCCTAAAGAGACCCTTCACCCCTTCCACCACATGATGACACAGCAACCTGATGCCATTTATGGGGAAGCTGACTCTCATGAGTGACAAAAATCTGCCTTGATCTTGGACTTTCCAGTTTCCATAACTATGTAAAATAAACTTCTACTGTTTTTAAGCTACCCAGTTTATAGTATTTTGTTTTAACAACCCAAATGGACTAACATGCAGAGACAATTTTACTTATTTTTTTTATTTTGTTGGCTTTTGTTTATTTTTCTTGTCTAATTGCTCTGGCTAGGACTTCTAGTGCCATGTTGAATAGAAGTGGTAGAGGGGACATTCTTGTCTCATTCCTGATCTTAGAAGAAAGGCTTTCAGCTTTTTACTCTTGAGTATGCTGGGGTTTTTTTTTTTGTTTTTGCTTTTGATGTAAGCTGGTGGTTTGTTATATATGGCATTTCTTGTGCTGAGGTATGTTACTTCTATTCCTAATTGGTTGAGTTTGTATTATGAAAAAATGTTGAATTTTGTCAAATACTTTCTCTGCATCTTTTGAGATGATCAAATGATTTTTATTATTCATTCTTTTAATGTGGTGTGTCACATTTAGAGATGTACAAATGTACCATCCTTGCATCCCAGGGATAAATTCTACTTGCTGAAGGTATATTATGCTTACATTGTGCTGTTGCATTCAGTTTGCCAGTATTCTATAGAGGAGTTTTGCATCTAGATTCATCAGTGATATTGACCTGTAACTTTTTTTTTTTTTTTTTTGTAGTGCCCTCAGCTGTCTTTGGTATCAAGGTAATGTTGGCCTTAGAAAAATGAATTTGGGCCCAGCACAGTGGCTCACACCTGTAATCGTAGTACTTTGGGAAGTCAAGGCAGGCAGATTGCTTGAGCCCAGGAGTTTGAGGCCACCCTGGGCAACATGGTGAAACCTGTCTCTATTAAAAATATGAAAAAATGGCCAGGCATGCTGGCTTATGCCTGTAATGCCAGCACTTTGAAAGGCCAAGGTGGGCAGATTGCCTGAGGTCAGGAGTTTGAGACCAGCCTGGCCAATGTGGTGAAACCCTGTCTCTACTAAAAATACAAAAATAGGCAGGCATGGTGTGGGGCGGTCCCAGCTACTTGAGAGGCTGAGGCAGGAGAATCGCTGGAACTCAGGAGGTGGAGGTTGCAGTGAGCCAAGATTGCACTGCTGCATTCCATCCTGGGCAATAGAGAGAAACTCAGTCTCAAACAAACAAACTATATATATATATATATATATCTATATATAAATCAAGGCCTGGTGGCATGTGCTGTAGTCTCAGCTACTCGGGGGGCTGAGTGAGGTGGGAGGATTGCTTCAGCCCAGGAGGCAGAGGTTGCAGCAAGCTGAGATCACGCCACTGCACTCCAGCCTGGGTGACAGAACGAGACCCTGTCTCAAAGAAAAAAAAAAAAGAAAAATGAGTTTGGAAGTATTCCCTCCTCTTTGGTTGTTTAGAAGAGCTGGAGAATGATTGATGTTAATTCTTCTTTAAATATTTTGTAGACTTTACCAGTGAAGCTATCGGATCCTGGCTTTTTCTTTTTTGGGAGGTTTTTGATTACTGATTCAATCTCCTTACTCATTATTGGTTTGCTTATTCAGTCTCCTTACTCATTATTGGTTTGCTCAGTTTTCCTATTCATGATTTAGTCTTGGTAGATTGTGTATATCTAGGAAGTTATCCATTTCCTCTAGCTTATCCAATTTGTTGGCATGTTATTGTTAATAATATTCGGATTATTTGTATTTCTGTGGTACCAGTTGTAATGTTACATCTTTGAGTTCTGATTTTATCCTTTATTTGAGTCTTATCTCCTATTTTCTTAGTCTGGCTAAATGTTTGTTGATTTTGTTTATTTTTTCAAAAAACCAACCTCAGTTTCATTGATCTTTTTTATTGTTCTCTAGTGTCTATTTATTTCTCTTCTGATCTGTGCTATTTCCTTCTTTATACAAACTCTATGCTTAGTTTATTTACTTTTTAAAAAATTCCTGAAGGTGTGAAGTTAGGTTGTTTATTTGAGATCTTTCTTTTTTATTCATGTAGGCATTTATCCCTGTAAACTTCCCTCTTATAACTGCTTTTGCTGTATCTCATAAGTTTTGATATGTTGTTTTAAATTTTTTTTGCCTCAAGACATTTTAACATTTTTTAAAATTTAGTTTTGGATCATTGGTTGTTCAGGGGTATGTTGATTAATTTCTACATATTTGTGAGTTTTCCAGTTTTCTTCTTGGTATTGATTTCTAGTTTCATATTATTGTGGTTGGAAAAGATAATTATTATTCTAACCTTCTTAAATTTGTTAAGGCTTGTTTTGTGGCCCAACATATATTATCTGTCTTTGAGAATGTTTAGCATGTGCTTGAAAACAAGGTGTATTCTGCTGCTGTTGGATGGAATATTCTGTATGTGTCTGTGAGGTCCACTTGGTTTAAAGTGTAGTTCAAGTCTAATGTTTCCTTATTGATTTTTCTGTCTGGATGATCTATCCGTTGTTGAAAGTGAGGAATTAACGTTTCCTACTAATATTGCATTGCTGTTCATTTCTCCCTTCAGTTTTGTTGATATTTGATTTATATATTTAGGTGCTATAATATTGGGTGCATATATATATTTACAATGCTTTATCCTATTGATGAATTTACTTATTTTATTTTATTTATTTATTTTTTTTGAGATGGAGTTTTGCTCTTGTTGCTCAGGCTGTAGTGCAATGGTGCGATCTTGGCTCACTGCAATCTCCGCCTCCCAGGTTCAAGCGATTCTCCTGCCTCAGCCTCCCAAGTAGCTGGGATTACAGGCACGTACCACCAAGCCTGGCTAATTTTGTATTTTTATTAGAGATGGGGTTTCTCCATGGTGGTAAGGCTGGTCTCAAACTCCCAACCTCAGGTGATCCACCTACCTTGGCTTCCCAAAGTGCTGGGATTACAGGCATGAGCCACCGCACCCAACCTGAATTTACTTCTTTATCCTTATATAATGACCTTCTTTATCACTTGTTACAGTTTCTGACTTAAAGTCTGTTTTGTCTTATATAATTACCCCTGCTCTTTTTTTGTTTCCATTTGTGTGAAATTTCATTGCTTCACTTTATGTTTTCTTAAAGCTGAAGTAGTATCTTGTAGGCAACATATAGTTGTTTCTTTTTTAAAAAATCCATTATGCCACCCTGTCTTTTGAGAATTTGATCCAATTACATTCGTGGTAATCATTGATGGGCAAGGACTTACTATAATCATTTTATTGATTATTTTTATGGTTGAGTTACATATTCTTTGTTTTCTTTTAAACCATTTTTGCTGCCTTCCTTTGTGATTTTATAATTTTCTGTAATGGTATGCTTTGATTCTTTCCTCTTTATCTTAGTGTATCTATGATAATTTTTTGCTTTGTAATTTCCATGAGGATTTTGTAAAATACTTTATCATTATAATAGTCTATAAGTTATAAGAGTCTTACAGTTTTAGGTGATAACAGAATTTTAATTGCATATGAAACTGCACTTTTAAGCTCCCTTCCTCAGTTTAGATTTTTTAATGTCAAAATTTATATCCCTTAATATCATGAATTTTTTAACAAATTATTATGCCTACAGTTATTTTTAAATACTTTTGTTTTTATCCTTCATATTAGAGTTCTGTGAGAGCAACATATTAATTAGTCAGCCAGGATAGGAATTCTGAGATACTTAGGCATTTTCTATGAAAGTGCCTCTTGTGCCTTCTTTAGACAGGGGGAGAATTGTTAAGATTCTGTGCCTTTTCTTGATCCAAGAAGGCCAAGCCAAGTGCTGATAGTCTTTCATTTTTTTTTCCCCCAGGGTGATGCATTGGCATGCTTGAGTTTGTATGCCTTCTCCTGATTCCACAGAGTTAAGCCAGCTGGCTGCATGTGGTCATAAACTGTCTGCAAAACTCATACTCACCACCTGGGTGTTGTGTGGAAAGCAGGCTATGAGTTAGGGGTGTAAGGTGTGTGGACCATTGAGGGTGTCTGTAGGCTAGTTAGGAGGTGTACACATGCCAGATATCCCAAGTGGTTTTGGGTGGTTGTCCACAGATTGGTTACTAAGGAATATGACCTCTTTTCCCTGCTCCCAGACTCTCTTAGCCATTTACTCATCCATGCTGATCATCTTAGTATTTTGGGTGAGAAAGATAATGGATCTCTTGGGCAGTGTTCTGCATAGCTGAGGGAACCAGGTGCTCACTCATCACACTGTCACTTCTCCCTGTGGGCAGAGCCCAGGGGAGGTTCTCTTGGCATTGAGCCATGCTGCCTTGGGGTAAGGTGCTGCAGGTGAAATGAATTATTTTTTAGCTTTTTTAAATGCATCTATTTTCAGATTTTTGTGATCCAACAGTCTGGTGGAACTTCTTTGGGGGACACCCAAATCCCACAGTTACTGACATCCACAGGTGGTAGTCAAAATTGATACTTTTGCAGGGTGATGATGGCAGAAAACTCCCATTTTACCATCTTGTTAATTCCACTCAATAGCTTACTACTAATATATTCAGTATCAAGTACTCCAAAACTTACACTTTCACAGGTTTACTTTTTTCCTTTCTTTCCTGCCTTTCCTTTCTCTCCTCCCTTTCCTTTCTCTTCTCACCCTCCTTTCCCCTCTCCCTCCTTCCCTCCTCTCTTCCTTCCTTTCTTTCTTTTCTTCTTTCCTTCCTTTTAGATACAGCTAATTCCTGTTGGAAGTTAGAAGATTATTTTATCCTCACTAGGTTTTGAAAGATTGATGGATAAAATTTTCCAGAGCCATTAAAATGCCAGTGTGTATAAATTTGTTGCTAACTTGTAGGAGAGAAAGGTTTTTGTACATGCCAGCCCTATTGGTGCTTCTTTCATGTGATGAGACAGATCTTTTTCAGTTAATACTAACAAGAACTAAAGAACAAGGATTTACAACCTGGTAGTAACCTTTGAATTGTTGCCTGCCACACCTACAAAATAGGGTGAGAATAAAAGCAGTGCTTATACAGATAATATTCGTGATTTTTATTCTTAAAGAAAATTTATCCTCAACATAAGTATAAGCAACTCCTACTGTGAAAGAAGGTATTCTTTCAATATACTGGTTACTGATTCCAAGATGCATTATTTTAAAATATGAATATTTGCTTCAATAGAAAAAGCGTATAACTTTTGCAATGTATTATAAAATAAATGGAGCAAAGAAACTGATTTGCATAAAATGATGCTAGGGACCTCTGAGTTCTTTGAGGCTGGTAAATCCTTCTTCAATGGATATTACATATCCTGTACATAGTCCAAAAGGCAAAATTCTATCTGGTTAGTATTTCCTTTATTCCTTTTTTTGTCTTAACCAAATACCAATGTTACTTTACCACCATAACACCACTTCTTAATGTTTACTAAGGATGTTTATCTGACATGGGCTGTCTTTCAGGAATATTGGCAGTGTTCAGAATAGCCAATTTGGTTGTTTCATCTCTCATCTATCAAGAAGCAGCAATTTTTCCCCCTTGGTGGTCTGGTTAGAAAGGTTTCCTTTTCACAGCTGTGAACCTTCTGCTTCAGCATGTTATATTCATGGGTTTGATACTAATGTTGTCTCTTGGTACAGCAAATGCAAGTTCATTAACTCCTATCAAACAATTCTGTTCTTTCCACAGCTACTTATTTTTGGTGAAAAAAGAGAAATATTTCTGTTGAAAATACTAGATAGCATACTAAGCTTGCCTGATTGATTACTGGAAGAATACATATATTCAGGTTTGTTCTATAGCACTGTATTAAAGCAAATATCCCAATAAAGTGAGTCACACAAGTTTTTTGGCATCCCAGGGCATACAAAAGTTATGTTTATACTATATTTATAGCATTATGTCCAAAAATGTACCTATTTTAATTTAAAACTACTTTACTGCTAAAAAATGCTCATGATCATCTGGGCCTCCAGAGCAAGTCATAATTCTCTTTGTGGCTGGAGGGTCCTGCTTCGATGTTGATGGCTGCTGACCGATCAGGGTGTTGGTTGCTGAAAGTTGGAGTGGCTGAAGCAAATTCTCTTTTTTTTTTTTTTTTTTGAGATGGAGTCTCGCTTTGTTGCTCAGGCTGGAGTGCAGTGGCACAATCTCGGCTCACTGCAAGCTCCGCCTCCCGGGTTCACGCCATTCTCCTGCCTCAGCCTCCTGAGTAGCTGGGACTATAGGCGCAAGCCACCACGCCCAGTTAATTTTTCGTATTTTTGGTAGAGACAGGGTTTCACCATATTAGCCAGGACGGTCTTGATCTCTGGACCTCATGATCCGCCCACCTCAGCCTCCCAAAGTGCTGGGATTACAGGCGTGAGCCACCGGGCTGAGGCAAATTCTTAAATACGACAATGAATTTTTTTCTCATAAATTGACTCTTCCTTTTGTGAAAGATTTCTCTGCAGCATGTGTTGCTTTTTGATAGCTTTTAACCAAATTAAAACTTTCAAAATTGAAGTCAACCCTCTCAAACCCTGCCACTGCCTTTTCATTTAAGTTTGTGTAATACTCTAAATACTTTGCTGTCATTTCAACAATGTTCACAGCATCTTCACCAGGAATAGATTTTACTTCAAGAAACCACTTTCTTTGCTCATCAATGAGAAGTAAATTTTCATTTGTTTAAAGTTTTATCATCAGATTGCGGTAATTCAGTTGTGTCTTCAGACTCCACTTCTAGTTCTCTATTTCTACCACCTCTGCAGTTACTTGCTCCTCTGAGGTCTTGATCTCAGCAAAATAGTCCATGAAGGTTGGAATAAACTTCTCCCAAACTCCTGTTAATGTTGATATTTTGACCTCCTCCCATAAATCACAAATGTTCTTAATGGCATATAGAATGACAAATCCTTTCCAGAAAGTTTTCAATTTACTTTGCCCAGATCCATCAAAGGAATCACCATTTATGGAAGCTATAGCCTAAAGAAATGTATTTTTTAAATAATAAGACTTGAAATCAAAATTATTCCTTGATCTATGGATTGTAGAATGGATATTGTCTTAGCAGATATGAAAACAACATCAATCTCCTTGTACATCTCCATCAGAGTTCTTGGTGATCGGGTGCATTGTCAATGAGCAGCAACTTTTGAAAGGATTTTTTTTTTTCTGAGCAGTAGGTCTCAACAGTGGGTTTAAAATATTTAGTAAACCATTCTGTAAACAGATGTGCTGTCATTCTGGCTTTTTTGGTTCCATTTATAGAGCATAGGAAGATTAGATTTAGTATAATTCTTAAGGGCCCTCGATTTTTAGAATGGTAAATGAGTGTTCGCTTCCACATAATGTCAAAGCTGCATTAGCCCCTAACAAAAGAGTCAGCCTGTCCTTTGAAGCTTTGAAGCCAGGCATTGACTTCTCTCTCTATCTATGAAACTCCTAATGGCGTTTCCTTCCAATACACGTCAGTTTCATCTGCATTGAGAATCTGTTGTTTAGTGCAGCTACCTTCATCAATTACCTTAGCTAGATATTCTGGATTACCTGCTGCAGCTTCCATATCAGTACTTGGTGCTTCACCTTGCACTTTTATGCCATGGAGATGGCTTCTTTCCTTAAGCCTCATGAACCCACCTCTGCTAGCTTCCAACTTTTCTTCTGCAGCTTTCTCATGCTTCTCAACCTTCATGAATTGGAGAGAATCAGGGCCATTCTCTGGATTACGCTTTGGCTTAAAGGAATATTGTGGCTGGTTTGATCTTCTATTCAGACCACTCAGATAAGACTGTTTTACCTTCTTATCATTCATGTGTTCACTGGAGTAGCACTTTTAATTTCCTTCAAGAACTTTTCCTTTGCATTCGCAACTTGTTTAGCTGTTTGGCACAATACACCTAGCGTTTGGCCTCTTGGCTTTCAACATGCCTTTCTCACTAAGTTTAATCATTTGTAGCTTTTGATTTCAAGTGAGAGACAGTGACCCTTTCTCTTAAACACTTAGAGGCCATTGTAGGCTTATTAATTGGACTAATTTCAGTATTGTTGTGGCTCGGGAAATAGGGAAGTCCGAGGAGAGGGACGGAGTTGGAGGAATAGTCAGAGTAATCAGAATAGACATGTCCTTCATTGATTAAGTTCACCATCTTATGTGGGCACAGTTCATGGTGCCCCCAAATGACTACAATTATTACATCAAAAATTTCTAGACACAGATCACCATAATAGATATAATAATAATGAAATCATTTAAAATATTGTGAGAATTAGCATAATGTGGTAAAGAGATACAAAGTGAGTACATGCTTTTTGAAAAATGGTGCTGATAGACTTGCTCAACACAGGGCTGCCACAGACTTTTAATCTGTAAAAAACAGTTTCTGTAAAGTGCAATAAAGTGAAGTATAATAAAATGAGTTACATCTGTGTACATAAGGAAAATATATACATATTTATATACATATACACAATTTTGTAATCTATTATTTATATTACATCTTTATTATGTAAAGTCTGAAACACATGTGGAGAGGACAATGAAATGAATTCCCATGTTTCTGTCACTCAGCTTTGACAATGACCAACTCATGGCATTCTTATTTCTTTTTTTTCACACTCCTCTCATTGTCTCTGATTATATTGAAGTAAATCCCAGACATTTCACATCATTCATAAATCTTTGAGTATATATTGTTAAATACAAGAACAATTGAACAATACCATAATATTCCCTAAAATTTAGCAATAATGAAAGTATATTTGTATACTTTCATTATACTTTACTATATACTTTCATTATACTATACTATATACTTTCATGTATAGCAATAATGAAAGTATATAGGCAGCTTATATAACATAAACATCTAATTATGTTAATGTGTTTTTTTCTAAGTCATCTTGCAGAACTTTTCACCCACAATTATAATCTTATGTTGCTGATTTGGCATTCAGACTATATCACAGATGCCCGGTTAATCATGATGCAGTTAAGGTTTAACACCAGTTGCATTGAGTTCTAGGTGCTTAAATCAGGGCTCTCCTTTTCTCTGTTCAAGGCCAGCCCTAAAGTAAATTTGAAATGCAGTAAAACTGATCTTTTCTGCACCCTGTTCTCAGGAACCCAGCTGTCTCACGAATGTTGCCCCTAGAACTCACAAGAGGGCATAGAACCCAGCATCTTCCCCTGCTCCACAGTACTGCCTGCTATCACACCATCTAGTTTTAATCCCCACTGCCATCAGCAATACAATATTCTATTCTCTCAGAGATCCATTTCCTGAGCTAAATTTAAGTAGAGCAACTCATACTAATTAATGTTTGTGAATATTATGTCTAATATCTGTGAATCTGAAATACTCATTTTTGTAAAAGCAACCATGGCATTATTATTTTTAATAACAGGCTCTGGCAGGTAAAACAGGAATGTCAGAGGAGAAGAAAGCTGGAACAACAGTCACTTGTGTGTCTAGGTGATATGTAAGCTCTGGGTGTGCTGAAAGTGACAAATAAAAAAGACCTGACGGAGGCAGGTTCTAGCCCATTATTCTGTCTTTTTCTCTTTCTGTTTGCATACTTATTATTATTTTCTGGTCTTAACTTTAATAGGAACAGACAGAATAAGAGAAAGGCTAAGTTGTAAGGGAAGAATATAAGGTAGAAAGAAAGATAGAGGTAAGAGGGAAACCAGAAGGGAGATGAATGCTCTGTGGAGCATTGAACTATGTGGGATCCTGACATATTTCTAATGAACAAAACCGTTGGGACTAGGACTATACATGTAGTTATTAAAATGATTTCTAAACGATAAGCACATGGAAGTTCTTTTATTTTCTTCTCTGTTATTGTATATATTTGAAATTTTACACAAAGACAAAGATAAGCTAGACTGTAAATTAAGAGATGAAAATGAGCTTCTTAAGACTGAGCAGTATTCAGAGATTTTCTTTTTATCAGCATACTTAAAATTTGTCTTGAGAATTATTATAGATATGTAGATGTATTTATATACACATACACTCTACTATATATAAATGTGACCAAAAGGAAGGAAAATGGGATAAATTAAAGCATTCTTATAAATATTTTATAAAACAACGTGTTAAGACACACAATTTTAAAGAGAAAGAAGTGAACTCTGCTAGCATTTTAATAGCCTTATATTATTACCCAAAATGTACATGCATATATGCATACAAACATGAAAGGCTGAACAAGCAAAATTAAAGTGCCAACATTTAATTGTATGATTGAGGAGTCTAGAATCAAAGAAGTACAATTACATTATTTCTCTTCAAAATATTCTGTCTTAACAGCTTGCTTTGTAAAGCATTTGAAAGAATACTTTAACTCGCCACCATTTTTCTTTTCTTTCTTATACAGGACCTTAGCTATTCAGCATCATAATTAATTCTTGCATTTCATACTTTTTTTTAATGTAACTTATTTTGAATGAGCCACTGTTTACTTTTCTATTTCCTCTGTCTCGGCCTTTAATAAAGCTCTAAGATTATAAAAGGTAATGCTATTCACTTAGGAGAGAAAGTCTCATTATTATTATTTTTAAATAAAAGGAGATAAGAGAAATATTGACTAATGATATAAAAAGGATTAATGAAATTACTTGAAAACTTTTCATCAGAATGGTGTTAATGGCTAAATATTTCAGGCTTTCAAGCAACTTAATTATCTACTGACACAAAAAAATGTAAAGCTTTAATTCAGGAATGGATGTGCTTTTCTGTATTTGTAGGTACCATTCAAAATCACTTTTACAGAACTGGAGCGTCATTATATCTAGGGCTACCACTGAAAAATCTGTGATTTATATTTTTCAATAAATTTAGGTGTAGCATGAATGGTTAACAGCTTCGTTTCAAAAAATGTGGTAAAATCCCCAGTGCTGTTCTATAATCTTTAATATAAGAAATTTGGTGCTGAGTATGATTTTGGTATTTTGCACAATATAATCCTATCCTGTATCAGTTAGCCTTGCATTTTCAAAGGACCCCTACTGCCTTCATGCAGAGGACCAGCTATGTGCATGTTCCTCGGCATGTTCTTGCAGCAGCTTTAGTACATCATCATGTTTGGCTTTTTCTGTTTATGTATTTTCAAGGGAAATTATAATAATCTGTTTTATTTTCAAATGACACACTTAATAATCCCAAAGTTTGCAACTTGCACAGTTTGAAGCATATGGAGCTTTCATTTTGTGGCTACGGGTGGGTTTTATGGACATATGTCTGTCTGTGTGCACCAGGCTCTTGGCAGCAGAGGCAGCTTCAAGAGATCAAGTGATGGAGGGGAAGACATGACAAACTTCGGAATTTCTTCCTAACTCCATCCTGTACATGAGGTTTGGTTGCCTATAGGAAGGGAGTAGTGAGACAGCAACCTAATAAACTGGTTTTCTGTAAAGAATGTGTAGGCTCTGAGCAGACACAACACTGCTGTGTTGTCTAGGTGACAAGGTTTGCAGGTGAAAAGGCCTTTTCTTTTGTTTTTGTTTTTTTTTTTTTTTAACCTTCCTTCACAGAAGCTGAATTTGGTCAGGTGGCTTTAGAAGCAGAAGGCGAGAATGCCCTTGGCATGGACTTGGCATTCTTACAAAGAGTATTTTGCTGTGGTCACCCAAAGGGACATACTGGAACAAAAGAGGAAAAGTGAACAGATGCTATCTGGTAACTTGTAGCTGGCAGATTGGTTGGTGAGCAAAATGAGACATCCCTGTGAGGGCTTCAAGAAACACAGAGACCCTCTGATATGGTTTGTATGTCCTGTCATGTTAAATTGTAATCCCTATTGTTGGAGGTGGGGCCTGGTAGGAGGTGTTTAGATCATGAGGGTGGATCCCTGGTGAATGGCTTGGGCCATCTCCTTGGTGTTAGGTGAACTCTCACTCTGAGTTCTGGTGAGATCTGGTCATTTAAAAGTGTGTGGCACCTCCCTGTCCACTCTCTCCCTGTCTTGCTCCTTCTTTTGCCGTGTGACGTGCCTGCTCTTATTTTGCCTTCTGTCATGATTGGAAGCTTCCTGAGACCTCCCCATAAGCAGATGCTGCTGTGCTTCCTGTATAGCTTGTAAAACTGTGAGCCAATTAAACGTCTTTTCTTATAAATTACCCAGTCTCAGGTATTTATAGCAATGCAAGAATGGCCTAATATACCCTCTGAATAAGTGATGGAAATACAATCAGTAGATGGGGCTCAGCCCTTGTAATTTGAGCATTGATATAAGCATGACCTTTTTTTTCCGTCTTTTCATTTATTCATTCTTTCTCCTTTTTCTTTCTTCCTTTTTTCTTTATTTCTCCCTTTTTATTTTTAAATCACATGCTGGTGAAATGTGGAGCACATTGACTACTTTCTTGTATTGTAATATAAATACATATTATTCTAACACTTTAAGCAGAAGAGGGTTATGAATTATAAAAGAACCAGATGTCACAGTTTCCATAAGTAAAAGGTTGTCGTGGAGGTCAAGGGACAGTTTACTTTTGCCAAAGTGCATCTGTTAGTTTCTGATGATAATGTGGATTTTGTTTGTTTCTGGCAGTTTTTAATCTTCTTCCAAGGATCAAATGATTGAATATTGTTTGGGGTGAAAAGTTCCTTCTCCAGTAACGAGATGTAGAATATTGAGGGAATCATTAAAGGATATTTATACAATGCATTACATGTATACTTAGGTTGGTGATCTATTTGGAATATATTAGTGGTTCTCCCAGGAAAAAAATCTTAACTGAAAGTTTATTCTGTGGTGGGAATGCTTAAACTAGGAATCTTTTGTAATTTAGTATGCCTCCACCCATTTTATCCTGTGAAATATATAAAGCCACATTTAATTTGTTTAAAAATATTTCATGTGGCCGGGTGTGGTGGCTCCTGCCTGTAATCCCAGCACTTTAGGGGGCTGAGGTGGGCTGATCACCTGAGGTCAGGAGTTCAAGACCAGCCTGGGCAACATGGTGAAACCCCGTCTTTACTAAAAATACAAAAATTAGCTGAGCGTGCTGGTGCATGCCTGTAGTCCCAGCTGCTGGGGAGGCTGAGGCAGGAGAATTGCTTGAACCCAGGAGGCAGAGGTTGCAGTGAGCCTAGATTGCACCATTGCACTCCAGCCTGGGCAACAAGAGCAAAACTCCATCTCAAAAAAAAAAAAAATTTCATATGACTCGATACACTGATTCAACTGTCCACTTGGTCTTTGCTCTTCAGTTGCACATTATCTTTAGTATTTGACTGATTTAAGAAATACATACTGACACCGAAACACAGTTTTCATATTTGAATTGGTGAATACATTCTTGCTTTAATTGTTTTAAGATTTTATATAATCTCCTTATTTTTGATATACAGTTGTAGAACTGTATAAATAAAATCATAAATCTAAAGATTACTCTTTGCTGTTTGTGTGTCAAAAAGTAAATATTTGCCATGTTAATGTTTTAGCATCTTTCAGAACGCACCTAATTTGATGCACTAATGCTTTTCTTTACTTATTTAGATATGAGAAAATATGTGCTAAAATATTGGTCTAAAACTAATTTTAGAATTTTCTCCACGGATATTTTTAAAGTAAAAAAAAATTCAAGATCCACAGTTAGCCTTCTGCTCTTCTGATTTTGTGTACTCTCCCTGAGGGTATAGGATAATATATAGCCCAGGTTCTGATGGCACACGGTTTTGTATCTCCAGCCCAAATATCTCTCCTGGGACTCAGGTGCGAAGCCTAGCTGCATACTAAAAATGGTTTCTTGGATGTCCCACAGACAACCCACATATGACATACCTCATGCTGGACTTTCCTGCCAATCTGTTCTTGTTTCTATTTTAAAGAATAGCTGCACCAGCTTTCCAGCTGCAGGGGCTGGAAACTACACGAGCTGGAAAGTTATTGTAAATTCCTTTGTTTCCCCAAATTCCTACACGAAATTAGAAACCAAGTATTAAAGATCAATTTCCTTTATTGTTGTATGTTTTTCCTTCCCCTTCCTGACATTGCTTTAGAATGTTCTTCCTGAATTACTGTGATGGCATCCAAACTGGCCTCTCAGCCTCCAGTGTCACTCTCCACAGGCCAACCTGGACTTGGAGTACAGGGGTGACTGAGCATGTCATTCCCTTACTTAAAAGCCTTTTAGGGTCATGTTCAAATTCCCAAGCATACTATTTTTTTCCTCTCTTTCCTGTGTCATTTCACTGACCTGACAACAACCACCTCACCACATTCCTCTCCCTTGCCCCGACTTTAGCTCCACCTGTTGCAAAAAGGAGTTGTAATTCTCCTTGTAACATATTAAGGCTTCATTCTCTCATCACTTTCACAAGCTGTACTCTTCACTTTTCCTCCATTCTTTAAGACTCGTCTCAACAGTCATATCTAGAATTGGGTTTCTGTTGACTTTTTAGTTTCATTGAGCGATGCTCCTACCTTTGTTTCCTCAGGAGACTGCATATATCTAATAGGAGCTGTTTTACAATGACTTGCAATTGTTGGTAACTTGTTCATCTCCTTATTGAACTATTTGAAGTTAAGACTATATTTCTGATTACTATTTTTATTCTAGGTGCTAATATAGCATCCAGAGTATAGTAGACACTCAATAAATATATTTTGCTGACTGAATAGAAGATAATCATAATAGCTAACACCTACTAGTACTTACATGTTGCCAGTGATTGTTCTAAGTCATACACACACACACACACACACACACACACACACACACACACACAATCCTTACAACAAACCTATGAGGTAGGTACTATTATTAACCCCCTATTGAACCGATAAGAAAAGTGAGGCATAATGAAGTTAAGAAAAATACCTAGGGTCACAACAAATAAGCAGAAAATCTGAAATTAGACTACAGGAAGCCTTTAGTTTGGCTCCAGAATCTATACTTTTAGCTCCTATCTGTGAATAAGTAAGGTTTGTGGTTTAATTGAAAATGTGTTAGTTGCCTCAGAACATTTTTAGTTATCTTATTGCTAAATCTAGTTTATATAAATACAACTTCATAAACAGCACTTTGAATTTGTCAGATAGATATAGTTCTGCTCTACATAGTAGCAAATACTTGCTCCCTATAGTGACTTTGCTATATTACTGATTTCATTTCTGTCTACCAACTTACTGGTCCTTGTCCATTTCCCTTGTACTATGTTCTTCACTGTCCAGTAGCCACAATTTTGCTAGCAACTATCTTTAGAGTCATGTGTTCTCTTCCTGTTTTGATGATTACCTGTATCTCTCTTGGTATCCAATTAATCCTTATTTTTGGAAGAATATCTTTGATATAACAACTTTTCGGTCATGAAAATTTAATTTCCTTTTGAATATGATGTAGACCACTGGCTGGATGCCTAGATCAGAAGATGATGTGGATCATAAAAACTAGTCATTTTGCATCTCATTGTCTGGCAACTGGGACCACACCCATGCTGCTTTTACATTGCATTTAACCCCATTTGATAACTTGCTATTTTGATCATTATGTCCTCAGTGGAGAGCTGCAATTCTAGTAAAGGCAAGAATTTTTTAAAAAGGAAGGAAAATTGAAATAATAACAAGGTTTCTTTACTGCTTGATGAGACAATATGCTACTGGTTTGGGAGTTTAGAATGAAAAATATAAAGAATATTTTAGTATTAAGAAATGTTTTCAAGCACTTATTAAAATTGAAAGTTTTGGAATCGACATAAAAATGTACAATAGTGAACTGCAGCTTGAGTGCCTGTTATAGCCACTGCTCCATGTATTATGTTTTTAATGCAAAATGTTATTTTAAATTTATTTTCGTTTTTATTTTTATTTTTCCCCTTGCCTCTGGGCATCAATTATTTCATGTATGGTATCTTTGCCATATTATAAAATTTTAACATGGTGAAATGTTTCTATCATATTTCTATACAATTTAGGTTTTCTTTCTTGAGCACTGAGGTCTTTTTTATTTTTATTTTTTTGAGAGTGAGTCTCGCTCTTGTCACCCAGGCTGGAGTACAGTGGCGATCTTGGCTCACTGCAACTTCCACCTCCTGGGTTCAAGCGATTCTCCTGCCTCAGCCTCTCGAATCACTAAGGTCTTATTTGTATTTGTAATCTCAGGTTTTGGAATGAGTCTTCTTGTGTTGGTTTTATAAGTTTTGTTTTACCTTTTCTTTAAATAAGTGTGTTTAAATCATCTGAAACTAATGTTTGTATATGACGTAAGAAAGGGTTCCAACTTAATACTTTTAGGTATGTAGCAAGTTATTTCAGTATTATTTCTAAACAATCCATCTTTTAAAAAGCTGTATTGGACTATCATGTAGTTTTCTCACAAATGTCTGTGCAAATATATATATATATATATATATAATTTCTGTCTACCAACTCACTGGTCCTTGTCCATTTCTCTTGTATGATGTTCTTCACTGTCCAGTAGCCACAATTTTGCTAGCAACTCTCTTTAGAGTCATGTGTTCTCTTATTGTTTTGATTATTACCTGCATCTTTCATTATTACCTGTATCTTTGATTATTACCTATACATATAGTATGCACACATATACATTTAATATAGACTTATTTATTTCCACTGATCTATTTGTCTACTATTCCTATGCTAATAAAATATCGATATGATTACTTATCTTGTAATATCTTATAAGGCAAATAAATGTTGTCCACTCTCGATATTCTTTTTTTCCTTTATTGTGCTATTCTTGGTTATTCTTGGAAATTTATTTTTTTCATATGAACTTCCGTATCATTTTATTAAATTAAAATTATTGGCATTTTAGTTATAATTGCATTTATTGTTAAATTTTTAAGACTTTCTATTTTGGTTATATAAATCACTCAAGAAAATAGAATGTATTCCCTTTCATTACAACTTCTTTTGATCTCTTCCTCAATCATTTGTTTTCTTTATATAGATGTAAAACTTTCTTGTTAAATTTATTTCTAAAGATTTTATATTTTTGTTGCTCTTGCAAATACCTTTTGTTATTTTCTTTTCAAATTACTTATTGCTAACACAGATAATAAACATTTATTTCTTCCTTATTATAAGCAGAAGTTTTTCACTCTTTGCTAAAATGGAGGATAAATACTGATTTCTTCTAGCTTCTTTCATTCAGAACTTTATTGAATTATTACATTGAGTATAGAGATTTTTAAACTTAGAGTCTCTTGGGTTTTCAAAGTCTAAAATTGTATAATAGGTTCATCAAAGTTTTATATATTCTTTTTCGTGATTTATACAGACAATTTTATTTTTTTCTTTGATTATATTTACTAGAATCTTCACATCAATGTTCAATAATAGTGTGTTTCCCTGTGCAATTTCCAATTATAATTGTAATTGTTTTTGGGTTTTAATATTTGGGTTAATATTAGTTGATTTTTAAATAGTTGCCAATATATGTCAGCAGTGTTTTATGTTTTCTATTTTATTCAGAATTTCCTTTAGGAATGTATGAAATGTGTCAAATGCCTTTCCTACTTCTAATGTTATAATTGTATGATTTTCTTCCTCTGTTTGTTTGTGTAATTGATTATGTTAGGTTTCCTGAAATAGACTTGGGTCATGGGGTATTAATCTTATTACACAGAACTAGGTTCTATGTATTCATATTTTACTTTAAAGTTTTCATTGAAATAATTAAAATTAGTCTTTATTTTTGTTTGATCTTTATTAGGTTTTGGCATGAAAGTTATGCTGTCTTTCTAAAATCAACTGAAGAATTTTCCATGTCCTTTTAGCTTTTACATTGTTGAATATTTTAAATAACTTTGAAAATAGGCTAGACAGAATTTGCTCTGAATCCCCCTAATTCAGGTTATTTTTCAAATAGTATGTCTTTCATCACATTTCCGATCTCTTTATAGCTAATTGATATACTACTAATTTTCCACGTCTTAGGTCCAGCTTGGTAATTCAGATGTTGCTAAGAAGTATGTTATTTCCTGTCACTTTGAAATTTACTGCCGTAATTTCAATTATAATTTTTCCATTTCAAACATAATTTTTTAAATTTAATGTCTTCTATAAATGATGTGTCCCTGTTCTCAGTACTCATGCTGCTTTTTTTTTTTTTTTTTTTTTTTTTTGCTACTCATCCTCTCCTTAATCAGTGGCTTATTTGCTTCATTGGTATCTTCATAGAAGTTTTGAACTTATATTCATTAATTTTATATAATTTCTGCTTTGATATTTTACATTAATTTCATCTTCCAATTTTTAAAATAAGTGTAATTAACATTTCTGTTTTCTTATGAGGACTATTTTAAAAGATATGCATTAATCTTTAATATTATAGGCACTA
The DNA here is from genome assembly GCF_000001405.40 of Homo sapiens. Classification (NCBI taxonomy): domain Eukaryota; kingdom Metazoa; phylum Chordata; class Mammalia; order Primates; family Hominidae; genus Homo; species Homo sapiens. Next base: position 164,323,382 of record NC_000004.12, on the reverse strand, counting down.
CAGACTGTATATTTTCCTAAGTACAGCTTTTGCCATGTCTCAATTATTCTCAGATAGTGTTTTCTTATATATGCTTTTTATATAGCTTATATTTCAGTTTTGCTTTCCTCTTTGATCCAGGGGTTATTTTAAAAGTATGTTTATTAATTTGAAATAGGCTACCATTATCAAACATTCACTAAATTTATTATAATATGATCAGCATAGCTAACCTGTAAGAACTTAGAAAGAACAGCACAATGTTTCTTAGAGGGAAAGTATATGATTTATTTTTGTTGGTGTTCCATAAAAGTACTAAAAGGTGTAAATTTTCTAATGGAGAAAAGTGAAGTTCTATATATAGCTATTAATTTGATTTTTAAAGTGAAATTCTATGTATCTTTGACAGCCATTTATAATTTATTCTATTTTTTAAATTGTCAGCTTCTGCTTTGATTTCTAACAGTTTTTACTTTACATATTTAGCAATCATATTTAGGTATCTTCAAGTTTATGGACATGATGTCTACTCTTAAATTATAATTACCTAATATTACTTTACCTGTGTAGGTAAACTTAAAGTTCCACTTGAGCTGACAATATTATTGATATTCTTGCATTCTTTCTGTCTTCATTTATACACTTTGCTTTGCTAATCCTTTTGTGTTGTCTTTTTTATTTATTTTATTTTTGTGAATACATAGTAGGTGTATATACTTATGGGATGCATGAGATGTTTTGATACAGGCATGCAATGTAAAACAAGAACATCATGAAGAATGGAGTATCCATCCCTTCAAGCATTTATCCTTTGAGTTACAAACAATTCAGTTACATTATTTATTTAAAAATGTACAATTAAGTCATTATTACTGACCATAGTCACCCTGCTGTGCTATCAAATAGTAGGTCTTATTTATTCTTTCCAGTTTTTGAGTACCAATTAACCACCCCCACCTCCCCCCAACCTCCCACTACTTTCCTCAAAAAACTAAATATTGAGCTACCATGTGATCCAGCAATCACACTGTTGGGTATATATCCAAAAGAAAGGAAATTAGTATATATTGTCTTTCTTTATCACTTTGATTTCAGTGAGTTTCTTAAATAGCCTGTAGCTGAGTTTTTTGCTTGTTCGTTTTGTATTTTTACCCAACACTACTCCTTGGCTACAGTTTTGGTTTTTAATTCAGTTTTTATCATCTAATCAATAATTTAGTAAATGATTAATATATTCAATTTTATTGCTTTCATAGATAACCATTTTCTCTAAAAGAAACTGTTCTTCCTTAAATGTTTCTCCTCACCCCTACAACACTCATCTGAAAGAAATTTACAATATTTATACTTCTCTTTGTATTCCTGGGCTGAGACATTTGACTCTATATTTCCTTCGCTCAAAACTTTGAGTTTTGAAGTCACTGTAATAATAGCTATGACTTTCTCATGAGGATTAAATGAAAAATGCTTAAAGCATTACTTGATATATAAGCAGTCAGTAGGCACATAGAATCCACAGTAGGTATTAATTTCTATGATTATTATAATTAATTATATTAGATTACACTAGTACATTTATCTATTAGTAAATACAAGAGCCATTGATTGCCATTATTTATTTTCCTCTTTATCTTCCCTGTCTTTAGATCTTTTGTGCTATCGTTTGAAAAGTTGGGTACATGGGTAATATACCCTCAGACTCTTTGCATGTTCTCAAAATTCTTCCTTTAACACTAAAAGATGAATGACACCTTATCATGGTTCTAGGTTCTTGGGTTGCAGTCCTTGAATTTCAGGGGTCTTCTAGATGTTTTTCCATTAAATTCTTTCATCTGATGTTGCAGGTGAGAAATTTTGTGTAAGTCTGATAACTTTTTCATTTAATGTATTCTCTGTATATGGAATAGTTTTTTTTTTTATCCTTGGTGTTCAGGCATGTTGCCAGGATGTATTATGTTTATTATCTCCTTGTATCTTTTCTCCATTATGAAAATATTTCTTCTACTTGATTTTTCAATCTACTATAGGAGGTCTCAACAGAATCCAAGCACTCTTTAAATTCATCCACTGCGTCATTTACTTTGCAAATCCTAATTTTTAAAATTACTTTGTTTAATGCTGTTTACTCCAGAAAGTCCTTTCTTTGTGTTGGACTTGTAATTGCTTCAGGTATTCTCACAGTATATTTTTATTTAAATCATCAGCTGTCTTCTACAGAGGTTTTCTATCACCAGCATGTGTTTATTTGTTTTGACTTTCTCTCTCTCTGTCAGTTATTGGACTGTTTTAGATATACTCTTATATTACTTTAAAAATCCTCGCTGTTGGAGTAGCCTGTCGCCCTAGTGGCCGTTGTGTCACATGTATCAGATCCCCTGTATTCACCAAATCACTCTTTGATGCTTGTCCCAGGCTCTCACTCCATCTGTAACTGAGAAAAGCTGTATAAGATCTCTATTCCGAGACTCTAGCCAACGCTTTGCTGACACTTATCTGGCCTTTGACTTGGGAAAGACAGAGAGATGGTAGCTGGGAACAGCGGAGCAGAGGTCACCTCCCCAGAACTTTCAGTTCCCAACCTACAACCCCCCAGCCCCACTCCCCCCACACACATTTCTATCACATTTTAAGGACATATCCATACTTAAAGGAAGCTTTTGTTTTGGAGGGGTCACCAGTTCCAAGCACCTGGATTCTTTTAAGGATACGAATTCCTAGGTCATTCCCATGTTGTAGTAAATTGACCGGTTTTCTGTTTTCAGTCTTCTCTGTGTGTTTGCTTGTAAGTATAATGTATATGTTTATCTGGGATGGCAAAGGCTATACATTCGTAGGTGTGGTAAAAAGAAACACACAGTAGAGAGGAAGCATGTGTTTTCTTGCTGTGTCTCTCAGCTTGTGTGTGGAGACTGGCAAGTGAGAAACGGTTGTCCCTTTCCTTCCAGAGCTGCCACTTCTGTGACTTTAGTCGCCTTGCCCACGATTTCTCATCATTTGAGGAGCAGTAATTCCTTAGTTCTCCTACTTCTCCTACTTGTGGTGTTTTGCAAGGGCTCCCCTCTCATTAAAGATTTTGGATAATAATGTTTACCTTGGGAACCATCACCTGGCAGAGGATTTTGGACTTAATTCCCTAATGAATGAATTCTACCTTATTAGAAAATTTTCATGATTACTGGGCAAACTAAGTAGAATGCTTAATACCAGGAAGATAGAAATATCGTTTTGGTTTCCATCATTTCTCCAGCACCTAAAATAGTGTCTGGCACATAGCAGATGCTGGCAAATGTTTTTTGAATAGAAAATTGGACTTAATAATACAATTAGACTCATGGATGTGTGAAAAACATATGATAGAGATTGTTCTTGTCTGCATAAAGCATAAAATTGTGTTTATATTATCCCTCTTACAGTAAAAAAAATTATACATATGTTAATCTTAAAATGTCTAGAGAAATGTACCATAAACTGCTTGGGCTTAGGGGTTTATTATGTTGCTCATTTTACATTTGTTCTCTGCCATTCTCTGTGGTTATTTTAAAACTATGCATACATTTTTGCATATTGCTTTGCTGTTCTCATTCTAGGATATAAATATGTCCAGCAAGGCCCCCAGCTATGTATAAGTCATTCACAAAGACCACTACCTCAAATACATCTTTGTTTCCCCCTTTAAAATAAAGGATCTATCTGATTATCTGAACTAAATTAAACTGAACCGACTAAATAAATTATCTGAACTAAAGAGGAAAAGTAATTCTTTCAAACATGAGATACAGTATTAGGGGTCTGACATTTTTCACATTCTTTCCTTATCAATGATAATTTTAAAGACCTTTTTACCTCACATGGGCTTATTAAAATAGGACATTTTTAATTAAAATATTGTTCTTGCTTCTTCATCGAAGAAATATTACATGCAGCACAGTTTGGGGTGAATTAGTCAGGTAAAGGCAACATTCTGCTTGGGATGCTGCTCATCTTGCTTGCCATGGGTACCAGGTCAGTGTACAGTCATTCCTTGGTATCCATGGGGAATTGGTTCCAGGACCCCTGTGGATACCAAAATCCATGAATGCTTATGTTCCTTATATAAAATGGTGTAGTATTTGTAAATAAACTATATACATCCTCCTGTATACATTAAATGATCTCTAGATTACTTATAATACCTAGTATAAGTTAAATGCTATGTAAAGATTTGCTGTGTTATATGGTTTAGGGAATAATGACAAGAAAATGTCCGTACATGTTCAATACAGGCACAACCATCCATTTCCTTTCTAATATTTTCAATATGTGGTTGATTGAATCCATGGATGTGGAACTCATGGATACAGAGAGCCAACTGTGATTATCTTTGGGGTCCACCCAATTCAGATATCCAGAACAAAACCTGAAGAGGTTCTTTAACTCTGTATTTTATAATGTCAAGCAGATAAGTTGAGTATTATCAAGTCACAGAATGAATTGAAAATTTCATGATTAATTTAAATAGAAATATATGTGTGTTTTATATATAAACATATTACAAATGATATAGATTAGTATTCTCATATTAAATTCAATTTTTTTATAACAAGTACTTTTGTGACTTAGTGAAATGTAAGTCTAGTCTTTCATAATCCAGGTCAGGGTTGATGAACCTTGTCTTTGTCCTACATTACACACATTTCATGCTGCTTCAAGGCATTTAACAATAGCCACATAGAATCCACAGTCTGTGAAAGTACTCAAGAGTTACACTTTAGACAGTCATCATTCACATTCATTTCTATAGGCCAATTATCCTTGTTTTTCATTGTATGAAACTCAAAGCAATTGCTTCTGTATTTACCAATTCTTAAAACACCTGCCACCTCTTTGGTGCTGTAATGTTTTCTCTCTCTTTGTAGGATGCTTTTACTCTCTGACATCTTAATCTGTGTTCTTCTCCATTATAGTCAATAACTTTCACTTGACCATTTCTGAATTATGTGTGGCAGTATGAACGTTTTACAGAACTTCACTCCACAGAAGGGAGAATTGATTCCAAATCTAGTATAACAAAACCAACCCCCTTACTTCCCACGTTAACATCAAACATTGCCTTGCACTGTGGATTTTACTTTTTGGCTATCACCTGCATGATTGCAGGCTGTAGTCCACTGTCTTTTTCTAGAGCACAAGTCTGCAGTTGATAACAGCTAACATTTTTTGAACAATTACTGTGTGCAAAGACTTGTTATAAATGCTTTACCTCTATCAATTCATGTAATCCTTACACCAACTCCATGAAGTAGATTTTGTTATTTTCCTCATTTTTATAGATGAGGAGCCTGAGGTAGACAAAAATTAAACAATTTGTCCAATGCATACATTTAGTTAAAAGAGTAACCAGGATTGAGATCCAAGCAATCAGGATCTCAAGTCTGCACTGGTTACCAAATCCTGAAAATCATTTTTAGCCTGGATAAAAGTGCCTCACCAGGAAGGAACAAATAAACAGAGGAATGAAACACAGTTGACCTAATTCACATTGAGTATGACAAATATGTGGGCTGGTATCTCCACATGTTTAGTAGGCCCTCAGCCTGTACAAAGCTACTCCTCCATTGATCCACAGTTTACCCACCAACTCACAGCCAATACAACAAAAAACTTGCCCACTCGCAACAGGCTATTCTACTCTATTCTATTCTTTGATTTCTTTTTCAGGCACAGATGGCTAGTTGTCTCCCAATACTCACTCCGTTTTCTTGAGTAAGAGTGCTGTTCAGCCAATGTAGTTTTCAGCCTCTCTCCCTCTTAGGAATGACCCAGTGACTGAGTTCCTGTCAATGAGACAAGGGCAGACGTGTATGGGGTATTTAGGGAATCTCTTTTGAAAAGGGGGCTAGTCTCCTTTTTCACCCTCTTGCTTAGGTAGTGGATGCGATGATACAGTTGTATGTGTAGGCACCAGCACAGACCGTGAAGAAAGCAATTGTCCTCCAGGAACAGCTGTGAGGTGAGCTGCACAGAACCTGAATCTGGTACAACTTTGAGGTGCTACTCTACCAGCTTACTTCCAGGCTTCTTTTAAATGTAAGAGAATTAAACTTCTGTCTTGTTTAAGCAACGGTTATTTTAGATGTTGTATTATACAGCTGAAGTTAACTGACACGTACTCTAAGTAGAAGAGTTTTGAACTAAAGGACAATACCAAATCAGGTAAACTGGTTACTAATAATTTGCACATAATATAATTTAGAGTACAGTTAGTTGCTTATTTTGAAATACAAATGTATTTACTTATGTCACTTTTCACATCTTCAAAACATTAGCTACTAGAAAGTATAATGATCAAGGCAATAATAGAATAACTTTTTGTATTAGTTCATTCTCACACTGCTATAAAGAACTACTTGAGACTCGGCAATTTATAAAGGAAAGAGGCTTAATTGGCTCATGGTTTTGCAGGCTATACAGGCATCTGCTTCTGGGGAGGACTCAGGAAACTTAGTCATTGCAGTAAGGGAAATAGGCACATCTTACATGGCTGGAGTAGGAGGAAGAGAGCAAAGGGGAAGGTGCTATATACTTTTAAACAACCAGATCATGTGAGAACTCACTCACTACCAGGAGAATAGCAAGGGGGAATCCACCCCCCATGTTCCAATCTCCTTCCACCCAGCCTCTTCTCCAACACTGGGGATTACAATTCGACATGGGATTTGTGAGGGGACACAAATCCAAACCATATCACTCTTAGCATAAAAGTATTTTTTAAACAAAAATATATTCTTTGGTTCTCTTAAAAATTGGTACCTCACTCTTTTAGGAGTGTTGTCATTTCTGCTTCAGTGGATAAGTATAGGATTTGGATGTTTAAAAATATTTTAGGCAGACTTTTGTTATTGTGTCTTTTTACTCATCTTTTTTCTTATCCTTTTTATAGGAAGCACAATGTTAGCACTGATATCTAAACAAAACTTTCCTTTCTACCCTTTACCATCTACCCTAATGAATTTGTTGCCCTCTTAAAATGAGTCAACTGAGATCTGAATACTAACTAGCTGGTGAGCAGAATCTGCCTTTCATTGCTCTAAAAAGTAGTTGCTAGTATGACTTATTCGTGCTTATTTTTATCAAATCCCTCTCCTCAAAACAAAGAAGTCATTGCTACTTTTGACATGTCATGCTAGGTTTGGAAGGTTAGTTTGTTTGGGAGTGGGTAAACCTGACTTCCAGTTCTGATTCTGTTACCAATGAGCTGAATAACCTTGAGTAATAATAGACACTAACATTTTTCACTCCTCACTATATGGCAGACACTTGTCTTATCACTTTATATATATTAGCTCATTTTGTCAGCGCAATAACCCATTGAGAGGAGTATTCATTATCACTTCCAGTTTACAAATTAGGAATTTTAGATAGAGATTAAGTAATTTGCACAAGGTATTACAGTTAAGCTAGACTTAAAACTCAGCCTATCTACCTACAGATCCTGCACTCATAACCTCTACTCTGTATCTCAAGTTATATAACCATTATAATACCAATTATCTCTAAAATCAGGTTGATGTTTAGCCAATTCTTTTGATATCTTATATTTAAAAGCGTCTATGATTAACGTAGTGTAAATAGATTATTATTATATATGACCTAGTTATGATCCATAGGGATCTCATATAACTAACAGTCTCCCAATACCTCTCAATGCTCTAGCCAGATGCTTTGTGAAAAACAGAATTTCTTGAGGTGACTGAAGCCTTCAGCTTTCTGATAGAGGTCATCAGCTGGCCTGGGGCAGCTAAAGTAAGTTCTAAATCATTCATAAAATGGACTATTAATTTAGACAGTAGACAACTTTGTCTCCATATGTTTTCTTTCTTGCTTCCATCTGACAGTGATACGGGGTACATCTACCTCCCTTTCCTATGATACTGTAGTTGGCTGGATCCTTACAATATGGAATATAGTCTGCATATTGAAGTGCTTTTTACCTTGTAGAATTAGAAAACTTTGATACAAACATTGCCCATTGGTGTATTAAGTTCTCATCGATCTGCCGTGTTTCCATAGTGGTTTGCTAACTATTGCATCAAGATGCTTATGAGTCTTTTCATTGCTTCTGCATTTTCTACAAGATGGCATTGTAATTGAAAGTTAAGGGTCTGTGGAATTCTTTTTTTTTTTTTTTTTTTTGTTAAATTAACCCAATACAGAAGAAAGCTAAAGTTGGCCTTAGCTACTCTTATTTGCATTGTTCACTTGGTTTTAATGAGATCCGAAGTGTTTTATGGAGCATAAACAAGTTTGGTGCTTCATGCATAAAATGTAGCTTGGTCATCTCCCTTAGTATTCTGCCATACTCCAGTAAACTGTGGCATAACTCTTCTCTGTTTTGCTAATGTACTCTGTTTGACATTTACCTGGCAAGTGGCTTTAAAAATCATTTCGGAATGTTGTTGGATTGTCACTATTACAGATAAGAGTTTTTAGCGAACGTAATCAAATGATATACATTTTCTGATATTTTCTTGGTTGAACAAGAAGAATAGGACCTGGGAGGTTTTATTTTACTTAATATAGTAACATAAAAGTCATCACATTATAAACTTAGTGAACATAGTATCTGACGTACAGTAGAGATTTGATACATGTTAAATATACAACTAAGAAATAATAGGAAGTAGTGGTGATGAAAGGCAAGAGCCACATTAATAAATTCCTAACAAATATTTATTTAAAATTTTATATGACTGAGAAATGGTTTATTTTGTATTCTCCAGGATATGGTAAATTTTCTAACATATCTGAGTATTTTATTTTGGTTTTGGTTGAGTTTGGATTTTTCCAGGGTTAAAATTTGGCTCACTTTCAAGTGTATGCCTGCGTGAGTACTGACCAGTAAAACTCACATTGCCTGTGGTAAAGGTGATATTTGTAAGTGTAACAGGAGGAATTATTAAGAGTCAATGACTTATGTACAGTTGAGAAAATTTTTAAGATAAAGTTAACAGTGAAACCCTTCACATTGGACCTTGGGTGGTAAGAGAGAGCAGCTATTCCCAGGTGTCTTTCCCTAGAGAAGTGTGATGCACAAGATTCATTTAATTGTTTGCAGCATTATATGGCTCTCTCTTGCTAGCAATTAAGATAAAAGATAAGTAACAAGCTGTGACGAACACTCCATCTTAAAGTCTGAACTTGAGTAATTAAATATAGACAAAGTGTACTTTCTCTAGTCTTTACAGAAGTCATGATGAAAGAAACGATCCATTCTGACACAAAGCAGAGAAGACAATCAGCAGAACATGCTGAATGGGCATAAATGAAAGGGCTTCTGCAAAAGCTGAAGGAATTTAGCTCTACCTTCGAAACAAAGGATTTTAAGCAGGAGAGTATCAGAATGTGATTTATGTTTTGGAGCACTCCTTCTGGCATCTGAATAGAAATGGAGTAAAAGAGATGCAGCTGAAGCTGGGAGACTGTTTTCTTTTAGGCAGATAATGAAGATAGGAACTAGAGCAGATTAGCTGGGATATAGAAGTCATGGATTTGAGAACTATTTATGAGAAAAATCCCATCAGGGCTTGGTAATGGATTGAATGTGGGAAAGGAAGGAGGCTCAGACTGACCCTCAGGTTGCTAGTTTGGGTGACTGGGTAGATTTAATTTTCATCCACTGAGTTAGGAAATCTAGGGAGAGGGGTATTTTGGGAAGATGATGCATTCTGTTATTTGGATATTTTTTTTTCTTTTAAAATGCTTTAAGCTTTAGTAACTATTTAAAACTGCTAATATTGTTATTTAGGGAGGAAGAAAGAAGAGAAAGAGGAAGCTGGAGCCCTGGCAGAGACCATACCCACTTCACTACTCTGCCTGGCATGTCTCAGGCTTTGTTCCTTTATTTCTAAAATATATCTAAGCAGTGTATCTTTACCCTGCAGAGGATCTAGGCTTTGGCCCAGCTCTATCAATAAGCTTAGATATTGGGAGGTCATCATGGAAAGTTCTGTTTTTTAAGGAGTCAGATGATCCGAAGAGGATCACTGCAAATCTACACTTTTTTTTTTTTTTTTTTTGAGACAGAGTCTTGCTCTGCCACCCAGGCTGGAGTGCAGTGGCACGATCTGGGCTCACTTGATGCTCTGCCTCCCAGGTTCACGCCATTCTCCTGCCTCAGCTTCCTGAGTAGTTGGGACTACAGGCACCCGCCACCACCCCTGGCTGATTTTTTTTTTTTTTTTTGTATTTTTAGTAGAGACGGGGTTTCACTGAATTAGCCAGGATGGTCTCGATCTCCTGACCTCGTAATGTGCCCACCTTGGCTTCCCAAAGTGCTGGGATTACAGGCGTGAGCCACCACCGCTCCCAGCCTACACGTTTTTAAAGAAATATTTTTATTGATTTTTTTCAGAGAAAGACAAGGCATCCTTAATGCCAACATCCTTAGCATTGAGAGTGAGTACTGACTTTCAGAGAAGTCCTGGCTTGTTCTACAGTTGCTTTACTGTTCTAATGCAAACTTAGAAGTTTGTGGATTGGTAGTGCCGGCACAGGGCTCATGCAGGCTGACGCCATATGTCAATTACTACTTTTCTTGTGTAAAACATCTTCCTCTTTAACATGCATCTTGAATTCAATTTGAAAAAGGTTATTAAAATCTGTTGATATGTATATATATATATTTCCTTCCACATGAAGAAACACTGTGAGCGATATGAGACTAAGAACTTCTGTGGGTTTTATGTAAATCGTAGATTCTTTCTCCAATTTTAGATAGTTAAGATTAGTGTAAAGAAAATAATTCGGCCGGGTGCGGTGGCTCACCCTGTAATCCCAGCACTTTCGGAGGCTGAGGCGGGCAGATCACGAGGTCAGGAGATCGAGACCATCCTGGCTAACATGGTGAAACCCTGTCTCTACTAAATATACAAAAAATTAGCTGGGCGTAGTGGCGGGCGCCTGTAGTCCCAGCTACTCGGGAGGCTGAGGCAGGAGAATGGCGTGAACCCGGGAGGCGGAGCTTGCAGTGAGCTGAGATTGCGCCACTGCCCTCCAGCCTGGGCGATAGAGCCAGACTGCGTCTCAAAAAAAAAAAAAAAAAAAAAGAAAAAGAAAATAATTCACAGGTGCTTCATTTGCTTTTAGTATCTAAAATACAGTTGCTTTACGTGCAATTCTAGCAAAACATCCCAAATGTGACCTATTCATTGTCATGAAGCTTCTGGGATATCTGTTCTCTGTAATTTGAATTTGCTGTTTCTGGAGGATTGAGAATACATGAGAATTCTTGGAAGATACGAGAGCTGATTCATCTGAGTCTGCGGTAACAAGAAAATTAATGCCATCTTCTGTTCTGGCAAAGGTAGTGCCACATATAAAAATGGACTTTTTGACATGCATAGAGAATTATCAGTAATATGTGGTGATTATGGGTCTTCTTTGAAACTTGGGGATCAAAGGGAAGCAAAATGAAAAAGAAAATTAGCCCAAATTTAAGAGAAGAGAGAGAATCGTTCAAAACATTAAATAGAAAGCCATAAATCTTTCCTCCATCCCAGGAAGAACTTTATGGCATAAGTAATAAGATTAGTATCTTTATTATTTGGTGCATATGCAATGTTACAACCTAATTTTTGGTCTCCATGCAAATAATTAAGTCTTATGTGAAACACACCTGACACCAATAATACTTTTGAGTAGAATAATTTAATGGGCTTTCAAATTCTTCACAAATACTATCTAATTTGATTATGGAAAAAATGTTCAAACAAAAAAGATAATCACCAAGATTAATAGGACTCAAGATGATATTTAGAACCATATTTTTTTTCTTAGTTTCATAGCAACCAGAAACTAACTACACAGATTTCTTTTTAAATGTCGTATTGCTTTTCAGAACTTCAACACACAGTTTGGACAGATGGTCATTGGAAAGGTTTCTTATAGAATTGTTCAGTGAATAGTAATCTTTAAGAAAATGTATGTTTCCTTAAAATTTGCATAGCAGAGGCATCAGCTAATTGTATCTCTCATTTTGGAACTAAACCCAGTATGTTTAACTTTAGTTATTTTCATGGTAACTCATAAAACTAAAGAAGATGTTTCTGTAACTGAGCTTCATAGTTATTTTCCTTTTTTTTCCCAGTATTACCCTGGAGAACAACTGAGAGTTATTTAAGAAAACCTCGGGTATTATGAGTAGTAATCATCCTAACAATAGATCAGTACATATCTATCCGCAATTCAGTATAGAGGACGGTTAACTAAAAAGAATACTATTTCAAGAGCACTCACCTGTTAGCATACTAAATAAACCTTAAAAAGCAACTACTTTATTTCTGGAGGCAAATTCAGCATTTAGAGTGCTATTAGAATGGTTCCACTTTTTATTTTCCTTGGAATTCTTTACGATGAATTCTAAGAGCATCATAAGAAGGAAAGTGTTTTTAGTGGCAAGTTGGAGCACACAATCTTAGAAGTAGGTTCTCTAAATTGAGTTTGTTTCAGTTTTTAATATTGACCCACTAATCACTAAATGGAGAAGAAAAATCAATATTTATCTTCTATCATTATTAGAAAAAATTCTAAACTGTGTATGATAAATTATGTTTTTATATTTTCCAGTTACCTTATTTGATCTCTCAGTTTCCTTATGAAGCTATATTTCTGTTGTTTTTTAATAACTTAAATTAAGGAGCTATGAGTAGTGGCTTTAAGCAGCTATGTAATTTCTCCCAGAGCAAATCGTTATGCATAGCAAAGGATGAAACACTGTGAAATAATAAATATTATTATTCACTACTAGAAATAAATTTCAACTTTTTGTTGAACATAAAAACACATTTTCATAGACAGAATGGTTTTAATAGTTTCTTGAATCTACACGTCCTGTATAAAAATGATTTTTTTCTCCTAGTAGTTCAATAAAACTCAAATACCATTTTTCCTAATGATTTGGAAAATAAAAGGAACATTATTTTATGTGTTTGTTTCTTTGAATAAAAATGTGATTATTTCACACTGAATGCCTCCATCAAAACATCTCATGTGGCCAGGCGTGGTGGCTCACGCCTGTAATCTCAGCCCTTTGGGAATACAAGGTAGGCGGATCATGAGGTCAAGAGATCAAGACCATCCTGGCCAACATGGTGAAACCCTGTCTCTACTAAAAATACAAAAATTAGCTGGGCGTGGTGGTGCGCACCTGTGATCCCAGCTACTCGGGAGGCTGAAGCAGGATAATCAGTTGAACCTGGGAGGTGGAGGTTGCAGTGAGCCGAGATGGCGCCACTGCACACCAGCCTGGCGACAGAGCGAGACTCTGTCTCAAAAAATAAATAAATAAAAATTAAAAAAATAAAAAGAATTAAAAAATCTCATGTACCCCATAAATATATACACTTTCTATGTACCTACAGATTTTTTTTTAATTAAAAAAAAGGAACATGATTTGTTGTGAAAGACAATTCCTGCATTACGTGGGCTTGGTTTCACACATCATTCTTGATAGAGGAACTCTGAGGCATCAGAAAAAGAACATGTAATATAACTGCTATTTCTGACATAATATTAAGTTATTAAAAAATATAGCATTACTACTACTTGGTAATTGCCTAGCAATTCCAATTGTCTAGTTTAGTCCTTTTGCCCTTAATGTTTTTGGATATTAATCTTAGATTAAAATGTCTTATTCTATTGACCTTGATTCAATTCCACAACTAATTATTTGTTGGTTACTATGTTCTTGAACTGTGATAAACAGAACATAGAAATAGAAGAAAACAGAAAGGCGTGAATTGCCCCTGTACTTAGGACATTTATAATTGAAGGTAGAAGTCATCTTTCAGTGATTAATAAAAATCATGATGCCACCACAGCCACTTCTTCTAATCTAAATAATACTGCCTTGCACTCAGCCCCCTGACTGAGGATGCTGTGCTAGTTGTACTAGATCTAGAGATGAGCATTTGACCAGCAATATTCCATCTGTGGTCTTGCCAGCAACTCTGGAGGGATTCACAGGAAGGGTTCTGTCAGTGGGGCATCATTATCATTGCCTCTTCCTGAAATGTGGCAGGGAGCGCAAAGCAGACATGCAGACAAAAGCAGAAAGCCACAATAACACACAGACACACACGCGCACACACACACACACACACACACACACACAGGTTAGAAATTAACCAGCACTTGGGAGTTGCCTGGAGTTATAATGCCTTTTTTTTTCTTTTTGGCCACGTACACAAATGGTAAAATAGACTTTATTTTTAAATGTCCAGAGCAAGTAATTCTATATTTTTATACTGTTTGCATATTTAGTTATTCTTGCAGCTCAATTTTTCTCCATACCTATCAATCATCTATCTACTCTACCTACCTACCTATCATCTATTTTTACCGATGCAAAATTTTATGTAACCCTGAGCTATATCCTCCTTTCTCTTTCTTTTTTTTTTTTTTTAACTTTTATTTTAGGTTCAGGAGTACATGGGCAGGCTTGTTATTTAGGTAAACTTGTGTCACAGGGTTTTGTTGTACAGATTATTTCATCAACCAGGCACTAAGCCTTGTACTCAATAGTTATTTTTTTCTGCTTTTCTCCCTCCTCCCACCCTCCACCCTCAAGTGGGTTTGAGTATCTGTCGTTCCCCTCTTGTGTCCATGAATTCTCATCATTTAGCTCCCACTTATAAGTGAGAGTATGCATATACCCTCATTTTTCTCTAACATTGTTTCTTATCCTGTGTGATTATTTTAAGAGGTTTTCAAGTTCTAATTTTTAAAAGTTTTTAATTCTATAAATTATTTTTAATTTTGATATTTTTTACAAAAAGCATTTGTAATTATCTCCCACAATTAGTTGTGGTGTTCTGGAGCTTAAGTAAGCAGAGAACTGCAAGGAGTGCAAGGTGAGCTGATTTTCTAAGAAAATTATCTTACTGATGGAAAAAAAAAGGAAAATGATCTTGCTTACAGATCATAACTCCAGGGAGTGTGATTTAAAATCAATAGATCCCAACAACAATATGATTATTATCAGTTAATGATTTCTTTGTCCTAAAATCCAGAGAAGAAAATAGCAAATAGGTTATTTCCTACAAATGTTTGTTTTTAGTTCAATATAAGTATAATTTCTAAGGTAATGTTTGCTGGTATGTCTCACATTCAATGCTAGGTTTTAATGAAATATCAAGACCCTCTGAATTATGTACAAATCATAAATATTGTGATTTTTTTCCTAATTAGAATGAAACATATTACATCAACTTTAGTGGTTTTTGAAAGAATGCTTGATCTCATGGCTCTGGGTAAAAAGGCAAATTTTCTAGTTTTTCATTCCAGCCTCTCCCATACACTGGTCTATATTCATTAGTGTATAGTTAAGCCATCTGGCAGATATGAAAGATTCAGCGTAACTATAAGACAACTTTAAGATTTGGCGTGTTTAGTAGGCTCAAGGGGTAAATCATGTGAATGAAGACACATGATTTGAAAGCATTTACAGCACCACAGTTTTGAACACTTAAACATTAAGCTCATTATTCTTCTGGAAAGGAGGCAAAATAGGGGACTACAGCCATCTTATGGCTTACCTGGTCTTGTTA
Source organism: Homo sapiens (assembly GCF_000001405.40). Classification (NCBI taxonomy): domain Eukaryota; kingdom Metazoa; phylum Chordata; class Mammalia; order Primates; family Hominidae; genus Homo; species Homo sapiens. The sequence continues at coordinate 164,307,819 of NC_000004.12, read as the reverse complement.
CATTGTACAACTTGCATTATATATTTGTTTAATTTTGTTGTGCCTGTACTCTGTCTCCTAACTAACTGTAACACGAATTTAAGGCAGAAATTATTCCTTAAATTTATCTGTATCTTTAGCATTTGGCCCAGTCTCTTATGTAGAGGGTGACAATCCACAAGAGGAGCATTTTTGTTGTTGTTGAATTATTTGTAATTGGGATCTCTGTTCTTTGGCATGGCAAAAATGAAATGGCATTGAATTCAGGATTTCTCTTCCTTTTGCCCAGGGGGCTGGGGTGTGAGAGGTAAGCTGAGATAGCACAAGGATTACACAGGGTTGGGAAGAGACGAGCTTTGGGTTTTACTGGCCACTGGCCACATCTCCACCTATCAGCTATTGACACATCCATTGTTTTATTTCAGCCTCAGAAGAGTAAACAGGTTGCTGCTGTTTGGTCCCTCATTCTTGTGCTCAGAGTTCCAGCAGCTCCATCCTCTTTAATGCATCAGAAATGATTTGGCTACTCCCTTACTATGCTAGGCTGTAAGAAGCTCTGTAAAGCTTTGTAGGTAAATACTGAGGTTTTCCAAATTCCTTAGCACAAGTCTGTTTTCCCCTATTCTTTAGATTTATATATGTATCTGAGGGTCCTGTCCTTTGTACAGAAAATCTGTATCTAGTTGGGCAAGAAATGAGGTGTGGGTGGCAAGGAAGTGTAGTTTCTGCATCTCCTGTGTTCCCCCAATCTTAGATCTTTTGTTCAAGCAAGAGTTATATTTTTCCAGGCCTAGTGTTAAAGGTTTAAAGTAAATTTTAACTTTATATAGCTAAAAAATGAGAAGAAAATCATTACAGGCTAGAGGGCCACAGTGTAGGAAATATAGAAAATATGCATGTAATATTTCCAAATACATACTTAAGCATTTAAAATGAAATATGTAAGGAAGAGATGTCATTGATGATGATTAGTTTATGGCATGTTGAATATCTACCTTTTAATTAATATCTTTTGTATAAGAGGCTAAATTTATATCGTCTTTTTGATTTATTAATTATGGGCTCTCTTTTCCAGATCAGTGATAAATAAACACAAAAGAGCCAGTTTTTTAAAAATTTGCAACCTTTCTGTATGTGCGCTGAATCACATTAGGACCCTCATTTATCTTTTCTCCATCTTGTTTGTTTATCTTAGTTTTAGAAGGAATATCTCGCATTTTGTTACAGCAGATATAGATTATGATCTAAGATCAAGGAATTTCAGGGGAGGGCCTAAGAGGTAGGCTGAACTCACGTGACTACTAATAATTTTTTGAAACAAATCGTTTTACTGCAGTGAGGAAAAAATGATTCGAAGTTGAATTTTGAGCAAGAGGTTGATGATTATGATATGGCAAATATAGGGAAGAGTTTAGCAACAACAAAACAAGCCTTGACTTGTTTCTAACTTGGAGTGTGACCTTGATAGAAATGAGGTTGGTTGATTTTAGTGGATATTTTCTGAAGATTTCATAGAATTATATAATTCTAATAAAAGGTAAAGAATTTCAGCCAAGAAAAATGCTATTGATATTGATAAGTTGACTTACTTTTTAATGATTATAATTTTCCTGACATGTTAAGGAAAGGTGAACAAATCTGTGAACTATCATCCTTGAGAATGAGAGGTTTCCTGACGATGACAAATTCTGGGGAATTAACATTCCTAGCTATTTTTTTTCCATTTTATTCACAGATTTATTTCATGTATAAAGACAATATAATTTCACTTTAATATAGCTATTTGTAAATAAGACATATGTGCATTAGTGAGAATTATTCGTAACAATCAGTGACAACATCTTAAAAGTTCAAGGTGGTATCAATTATTTGAAGAGACTTTATTATTTAACATGCTGCGGTACTATTCTTTTGTGTGACTTTTCCCTTTAATTTTTAGTTGACATATAATAATTTTACATATTTTGGGGACACAGAGTGATATGTCAATACATGCGTACAATGTGTAATGACCAAATCAAGCTAATTAGCATATTCTTCGTCTGGAACATTTGTCATTTCTTTATGTTGTGATCATTCAAAATCTTCTCTTCTAGCTTTTTGAAAATACTGTGTGTTACTATAAAATTCTAGCTGCATGTGTAAAATATGCAGAAGTTTTCACTATTAGTCATTGGTAAGTAAAAATATTAAATGCAGTCTTTACAAAATAAACACTTCAAATAAATATTTTATTTTTTCTTAAAAAACACCAATTTACCAATCTTTGAAGAAAAGAATACTTACAAAAACTTAAGAGTTTTAGAATGAGACAGTGCCTCACTCTCAATCTCCTTATTTGGTCATGCTGTTAATTAGGACTCTGGTGTTCTGATTTCTAAAATAGCACTTTGCTGATTACATAATTCACTCCAGTTCATCTTTCAATTCTCTCCTGCATCTAATCTTTTACCCCACTCCTACTTCTTTAGAAGTTAGATTTAAGCTTAAATGCCCTTTATCTTGAACTCACTACTCAACAGTTAATCTTTCTCAAAATATTCTGCACTTTTATTTTATAGTACTTAGTAATTTGTAATTTCATATCTATACGTATGTTGCATTTATTTGGTTAGTATTTGTCTTTACAACTAGGATGCAATGCATTATAGGGTGGGGATTTTGCCATTTTGGGGGTCACTTTCCCATTTCACAGTACTAGTATGGTGTCTGACACATGGTACAATGCATTTATTTGCAATGAGTAAATAAAGGTGTGACTAGATGACTGAGTGGGTCCAGTATGGCCAAAGCAATGTGTTTGTGGTTTTTACAAATGATGTCAGAAACTTAGACTATGCCTTGCTCATGAATTTATTTGATGAAAACATTCAGATTCATCAAATATCTGAAAATCTAAAAGCAATTGTTCTAAAAAATAAATAAAACTTGAATGGTTTATTTACTATACTTCGCTTCCTTCTTCCCACAAGCAAAATAAGACCAAACAAACAAACGTAAAACCTCCTGTGGACTCTGTAGTGAAAAACACAGCCCTGGTATTTATGGGCATTTATAAAACTGTAGCATGTGAACACAATGGATACATCAGTAATGCAAAATTTTCATGTAGATATTTAAGTTACCAGAAAGCATTGAGAGGTTAAGGATCAAAGGTGTTTTCAGTGTTATTTGGGGAAATAACTTATTTCTTGTTACATGTCCTGCCACAATCTATTTCAAAATAAGGTATTTCTGCCAGAGCAACTCAACACTTGAAATTCGGGCTAGGTACCTCTAAGAATTTATATACTGTACATTCTTAGAAATGATCATTAAAGAATTCTGTGCCAGATCTGACCACTGCTGTAGTGCTATATTCTGACTCTAAATAGTTTCAAAATGAGTGCAGATATGAAGGAGTGGGAGGGAAATACACCAGGGGCTGTACATGACTTCTCATTTATTGCAAAATGCACTTGTAGTGAATGTAAAAGCTCTTAGCTTACTAGTTAGTAATATCCCGTTTACATTATTGGATTGATTTGCCTCTTTAGCATTTAATAGACTGTTGCTAGAGGCCTCACAGTTTGTGTTTTTCCCCTGTAACTTGTTCTGTGTTCATGGATTATCTTCAGGGACATATATACTTGTTTTTCTCCCTTTGGTTATAGCTAATCATGTAACATAGTTTCTGGCATCTCTTTGGCAATCTCCTGCTTATGATCTTAATTGCAAGCTTCTGTACTATTTCATGGCTTACAATCTTCCAATCTTTAAGGATTAATTTATAATTTGATTGTTTTCAAGAATGTGTTTTAGAAAGAAATAGCTTGCAGTAGTCTGTTTGGAAGGTATTGCATAGAGTATCAGCTTGATATCTTAAATGCATGCGGTAAATAGGGATAGGAAAGCTTTTATTTGGATTCATCACTCGGAGTGTCGATTACCCAATAATGCCCATAGGGGCTATAACTTCTCTTTCCTAATAGCAAATAAGAAAATAAAATGTCTCTTTATTTTGTTTCTCATGAAGTTTCACTTAAGATCCCTGAGCTGAAAGGTGTGTGTACGTGTGTTTGTGTGTGCACGCATGTGTGTATGTGTTGGGGAGGCGATGGGTGATTGGGGTGTGTGGGTGCAGTGGCTGTGGTAGGAAAGGTGTGGTTGAATAAGTTAAACCCCATGAGCTATATGACTAGTTAATATTAGTCCTTACAAAGTGACACAATAATGGCATGAGTATAATTTCATATAGAAATGAATGGTAATTTATTAACTCTGTAATTTATTTACTCTGTGCCAGGCACAGTGATAGTCTATGCACACAATCTCATTCATTCCTTATTTAATCCTGTGAAAGGATTATTTAATCCTATCAAAGGCTAGGGATAGGAAACTAAGCTCCGAAAAGTTAAATCACTTGTCCAAGCTAGTCCAATAGTTTAGCTTCCTTTCCTTTTGGTGCTTTTGCTAAGTGTTCTTCCCCACCACAAATGAGTTTTTCATTTCTTGAAAGGGAAATATGCACTCTTATGAGAAAAATCAATTTTCTTGCCTTTATTGCACTGGAATAAATCATAAAGTTTGGTCACAAATTATAAAGCAGAAAGAAGCCTTCCATGTTCCATAGGTCATAAGATTGGAAGAAGGAAAACAAAACCGAGCTGAGTAGCAGAAACTGTGGATGTTCACATATTGGCATGACTTATTCCAAACTAGAGGGAAACCGTGAACCATCCCAAGGAGCAGAAATAAAATTACAGACCCCAGTGTGAGCCTGTGGAAGTAATGGTGTCCAACCACTCCAGAAAGATGAACATCTATTAGTGATTTTTAAGTATCTGTTTTGGAAGTCTTATAATTGTAAACATGAAAATATACTTGTAATTATGTCTATCTGAACTCCCTCATCCTGCAGATAGAGTTTATTCTTTCTTCAGGCTTTAATAGCATGCGAAATAGAATATCTTTTTTTTTTTTTTTTTTTTTTAAGACAGTCTCTCACTCTGTCACCCAGGCTGGAGTGCAGTGACATGATCTCGGTTCACTGCAACCTCCACCTCCCAGGTTCAAGTGATTCTCATGCCTCAGCCTCCCGAGTAGCTGGGATTACAGGCATGGGCCACCATGCCCAGCTAATTTTTGTAGAGATGGGGTTTTGCCATGTTTGCCAGGTTTATCTTGAACTCCTGGCCTCAAGTTATCCACCTACCTCAGCCTCACAACATGCTGGGATTACAGGTGTTAGCCACAGTGCCCAACTGAAATTATTCTTTATAATATAATTTACAAACATTTAAAAAGTATTATTAGGCATTTTTCCCAGGCTTATGTTCTGTAACTGAAATTCTCAACCTTTCTCAACCTTTTAGTCATGACCCCGGGGTTAGTAAAGATTACCCTTTTCTTAAAAAAGAGGTTTGGAAAATTAAAATTTGTTTTAAGATTTTTAAACTACTAAATTATATTTTTAAATCAAGACATGTTAAAATTCCAATATACCACTTATAAATTTTACTTGTCATGTGTTGGAACAATGGAACAGTGTATTTATGTAGAAGTGTTTTATGAATCAGGTATAAAAAATAGCCCATAAGAAGCCCAATGTTTTGGGGTTCCCAGAGTGTCTTTGATAAGCTCTTTAGAAAGGGAGAAGAGGAGTTTTCTATTCTGCAGTGCTCAATTGGAAGTATCATCAGTCTCAATTATATATGTGACTTGAGGCTGGATTTTCCGTCACTACTTTCCAAAAGAGCCATTTAGGTTCTGAATGCCCATTGGTCAAACAGGATGTGCTCCTGCATATGTCAGCAATATGTCTCCTAATTCAGAGACTGATACGTCCATACTCCTCTCCTGGACTAACCTGTCCTCAGTGCCCTCTGCTCTTATCTCCTCCACAGTCCTAGCCAATCATTTGTCTTCTCTCTTAGGGCACCCTATGTCTTTCCCCCTTCTTCACAGCATTCCTCTGGCAATTAACTTTTCTCTTCCATACTTTGCTTTAATTCCTCTGTCAAAGTCAGCCAAATTCATGACCATTTCCAGCATTCGATCCTTTTAGAATGGTTTTCCATCCACTTTGATACACTCTTATTCCATTTGCTGTATATGATATGAACCATTGACATTCTTTTTTATTTTTCTGTCAGTTTTATTTTTTGACACTTTATCTGCTCACTCCCTAAATATATGAATTCAATAAATTTCTGACCTTGGCCTTTTTTATTGACTCAGCATTTTCTTCTTGGGTAATTTTGCCCACTCCCAAGGTTTAGCTAACAGTTTTGTGCTCATGATTCCCTAATGTACAAACCGAGCCCTATCCGCTCTCCTGAGCACCATAGTGAACTTTTTCTATTTGGTTGACATTTTAACTTCTTTTTCTTCCTGTAAAATTCAGTGTGTTTAGATCCAGACCTGCCTTCTTAAGACAGCCTTACAATTAGCCCGTGTTCCTTGTGTAAACTGATGGCTTCTTTAACCCAGGTTAGAAAACAAATAGGTAGGACCTCATTTCATTTTCTTCATTTGTCAATTTCTAGCAATCATATCTTCAAAACAGTTTATTTTTCCATCTCTACCTTTCAGTTTCTACTTAGCCATTGCCATAGCTTCTGCTATCATATCTGGTACTCCAATCTCTAATGCATTTTCTTCTTTAGAATTTTTTCACATAGTCATGGTAGCTATTACTCCTCTGTGAAACTTAAATGTCTCTCGTTTTCACCATATTAAATATATTAATTATGCATAAGGGCACTTTAAGATCTGGTGTTATCTTAATTTATAGTGTCTTTAAAAAAAATAGCATCTTTCCGAAGATCTTATGCTAGGCAACTAAACATGCTGTGTGTTTGTGTTTATGTGTTTCAGCATTTTCGTCTCTTCCCCCATCTACTCAGATCTTCCTTATCCTGTAATGATCAGTTTAAGTGTCGCCTCCTTTTTTGGTGCCACCCTGAATGAGACTGGGCAAATGGGTAAATTCTCCCGCTTTACCATTTGCATGTATTTGGTGCATTGACGTACTTGTTGCCTTCAAACTAGTATTACTTGGGAGGCTGAGGCAAACAGATCACTTTAGCTCAGGCATTCCAAACCAGCCTGGACAACATGGCACAACCCTGTCTCTAGATAAAATACAAAAATTAGCTGGATGTAGTGGCACACACATGTAGGCCCAGCTAGTCGGAGGGTGAGGTGGGAGAATTGCTTGAGCCCAGGAGGTCACGGCTTCAGTGAGCTGAGATCACTCCCCTATAGCTTGGGTGACAGAGTGAGATCATCTGAAACAAACAAACAAACAACTAACTAGTATTACTGTTGATTTCATGCATGTCTTCCTTCATCAGTTGCAAAATATGAATTCAAGGGTAGAAATTGTTCAAAATGTTGGAAAGGGCCTATAGGGGAGATTTAGTGTTCAGTTTTGGAATTTTATGTTATATTGAGATAGTCATGGCTAGATCGGAAACCTAGGCATAGGTTTTGGGATCTTTGGGTATCTTAAAAGCTCACTGTGGCCAGAAATAAACTCCCATAAGTATATACCAATCGGCTCTAGTCAGCCACGTGTATGATTTATTGTCTGAGAAATTGCTTCAGCTGGGGTATTTATTGTGGCAGAGAGCTAAGAGTGGTCATTAGTCTCGGCAATAATGATGATAATGATGTTCTACAGTGATGGAAGTAGGGAGGAAGGAGAGGAAGAGACTTTAGAATTGAATTGAGTGCCTATTGTTTTAGAAGTGTTCTGGTTCTAGAAAAGGTTTAGATGTCTTAAATTTTGACTTTGGTTACTGTTATTTACAGGTCCCAGGGCTCTTTGTGGGGTTTATATTTGTTTGATTCATGTAATTTTCTTCTAACTGAACACATTTGCTAATAGAATTCTGCTAGATAATTAGTGAATTCTACCACAAATTGAAATATTTCATATGGAACAAGTATACTTAGGTCTTAAAAGTGTAATTTAATTTATAGAAAAGAATCCATAATCATGCTTACCTTTGTTTTAGAAAACTAAGTAACATAAAAGTTACCTGTTTTTATATTAGTGCCACCTCTCTATTTTCCTCTGTAAGAGTTGAATATAGCATTGCACAGAGTCAGAGCCCAGTCAGAACCCACTCCATTCAACTGTTGACAGACTTTAGAACATCATGGAACATAGGTTGAAACAATATTGATGGTCTGTGTTGTTTCAGTTTCACCAAATGGAATAACTCTACTCTGTGCAGCTAAGGTCTGTGCAGCTTCAACTGGATTGCTTTGGCCAAATTTGTCAGATTTAATTTGGTGGGCAAAAATCCAACTTCCTTAACCTTCAAAAATTATGCCTTATGTACTTTTGATTACTTGATTCATTTTCCTTAAATGAATCAAATACCCCATTTCAAGAATAAAGGCAATCTCTCAATTTCCATCTTATTCTTAAAGGCCTGCTGCTTTTGGATTCAATGATTTCCTTCCATTACAGTAATTCTAAGATTTCCATTTAATGTGTCAAAGTTGTCAGGACTTTTAGTGCTAGGGTTTTTTTTCTCCTCCATTAAAACACAGATTTTTAGAAGTACAAATTATTGTGGACATTTAAGAGATTAAGTCTAGGAGGCCATTTTAATGGAGAGAAGAAAGCTCTAATGGAAGGAACATAATACTACCTCCTTGCACAAAGCCCAGAACATAGTGGGCACCTGATAAATACTTGTCAGATGAATAAGAGTTTAATGTTTTCTAAAATTTTAATTTTGAGCAAGTATTTGATTAGTATGTGTATATGAGGAGAATATGTTTTGAGATAGTATGACTGCATACTTTAAAATGTATTTTGTTTGAAATATAATGGTTTTTAAAGAAAATACACTGGAAACTACTTTTTATACACCTGTATTTTATTTAGACCTTTTGTTGTCCTGAAAAATAATTAATCATACTACCCTATAGAGTACACATGAAAAGGAAGTGAATTATCTTCTATTTATCCCTTGATTCCCTTTAACCATATCAGAGTACCTCACTTTGCATCAACCTTTGTGTTAGATTAACTTGTAGAATAATAAAATATAACCTTCTTTCTAGAGACACTCTCAGAAGAGCAATTCTTTCCAATAACCAGAGTGCCATTTGTCCATGGAAGCGGTATATATTATCCATAACCTTAGAGTTATATCATACTAAAAGAAAACCTTATTTTAATCTCTGGTAGGAGTTGAGTGTAGTCTTGTAGAAAACAAATCTGAAAGGCCCATAGAAAGACCAACTCTTGATATTAAAAAGATAACTAAATCCGTGTAAAGGTATTGCATCACATTATGTGATGCAAAATATGAAAATTGTTTAAAATATATAAAAGGGAATTGTCCACGTTCTGGGCTACAAATTAGGTTGTAATGGGTTACTTTAAATGGGTATTCCCTGCTCAGACTTTGTAGAAGGTACCCGTTACGGAAAGATTTCAGACCATAGGTTTTTTTTTTGTTGTAACCTACATCCCAGGAAGAGAAGTGCTACTTAAGGTTAATTAATTTGTTCAATATATTTATTCTCTTTTTAGCATTGTAGAACAGTTATGCAGGAGGCTTTATTTTAATCTATTTTAGTTTTGAAAACTCTTTTTATGTACTTGTTCCACATTTGAATTTGCTATAAAAATACTATTTAGTAGTGGGCAGTTTGTAAAGAAAAAGTACATTTCTGCTGAAATATCCAAATGCTTTTCCTTATGAGTAAAAATTGCAATGAAGCTCAGGGTCTTTTAAAACTCTATTTGGGTCTTGTGTTTTTGTTTTTTTTCTTTCACCCTGAACATTTGGTATTGTGTTGAGACATATAACTAGATTAGATAGGTGTGGATTAAGATCTGACTTGTCTTATGAAGTTATATCAGAATAAAAAATCATAAGGTTTTAAATTGAGGAGATTCATGATATCTATTTAATACTTAAGTAAGTCTACTTCAGGTAAATTGAGTCTCATGGCTTTTACATTTGTTGACTTTCTTCTGCCCCTTACCTTCCAACTTTTAAAACACTTTATTTTTGAATAGTTTTAAATTTAGATTTATAGAAAAATTGCAACGGTAGTACAATTCCTGTATTGTATTCATTCACTGATAACCATGGGTATATTTATCAAAACTAAGAAACCATTAATTCTTGCTGCATTACTACTAGTTAAACTGCAGGCTTTGTTCATAGTTCACTACTTTTTTCACTAATACCCTTTTTCTAATCCACAATCCCACCTAGAATATTATGCCATGTCTAGTCATCGTTTTCCTTAGTTTCCTGTGGTTTGTGAATTTCTCACTCTTTCCTTGCTTTTCACAACCTTTACAGCTTTGAGGAGTACTGATCAGCTATTCATAGCATGTCTCCCATTTTGGGTTTGCCTGATGTTTTCCTCATGATTAGACAAGGAAGAATATTAGAGACTGACTTGCCCTTCTCATAGCCTCACATCAGGGGTCCATGCTCTCAACATGACTTATTGCCAATAAGGTTAATCTCAATCACTTAGACAGTGTACTCTTTGCCAGATTTCTCCACTATGAAGTTACCTTTCTCAGACCTTCTCATACTCTATTCTTTGAAAATGAGTCATTAAGTCCCGCTGACCATTCGAGGCTCCATCTCCATTTTTAATGACTTAGGAAATATGTGGATAAATTTTCCTTATTGTTTGCATTGAGAATTTTAATAGTACCTACCATTTTTACATATTTTCTATAGTCAATACACTGTACTAAACATGATATATCAATCATTTTTCTTAATACGATAAGTCTTTGAGATAGAAATTATTATTTTATTTTAACGGTATGGAAACTCTGTCAGAGATTAAGCAACTTGACCATTGTCACACAGAGCAAGGGCATGAATCCAAGTCTGCTGGGTGCTAGAGCACTTGCTTTTAGCTATTAGGCTCTACCACCTCCTTGATAGATATCCCAAACCTTATCAAATTTGGTGGTGAGAAATTTTCACATACTCTTTTTCCTGGCTTCTTGGTTCCATCTTAATTAAAAGGTGCATGTTTGGGCCATGAACATAAGTAACCTGAAAATTCACCTTTTCTAGAAACCATATTACAAGTGATGTGCATTCATATATAAGGTAGATGTGGGATCTGAGGATGACAGAGTAACTGTGTACAAGGGCATCAATATTAAATTAAAGAGTTTGGGCCAGACATGGTGGCTCATGCCTGTAATCCCAGCACTTTGGGAGGCCAAGGGGGGCAGATCACTTGAGGTCAGGAGTTCAAGACCAGCCTGGCCAACATGGTGAAACACTGTCTCTACTAAAAATATAAAAATTAGCTGGGCATGGTGGGATCTGCCTGTAATCCCACCTACTCGGGAAGCTGAGGCAGAATTGCTTGAAACTGGGAGGTGGAGGTTGCAGTGAGTCAAGATCATGCCACTGCACTCCAGCCTGGGTGACAGAGCGAGACTCGCTCTCCAGAAAAATTAATTAATTAAATAAGTTGAGCACTTCTAACAGTTAAAACTTCTTTGATTGTCAATGGAATATTTATCCCATGAGTTAAAAAAATTAACAGCTATCACAGATGTAGGAGAAATATGACTCATCTTCACAAAGCCAATGGCCCTCAGCCTGTTGGGTGAACTAACATATGATTGTTTGATTGATTTGGTGACACTGGTTTTGAGCCATAGAAAAAATAAACTAGTGTTATTACTAATTACTTTTTAAGTTAAGGTAAATTTTTTTTTATTTGAAAATTTCAAAATTATTCTTGAGACAATTATTGAGAATCTATACAGAAATAAGGCTGGGAATTTCCGTTTAAGAGACTCCTATTTTGTTTTGAAATGCCAGACAAATTTCTCTTCTTTAATTGATGGTTTGCGTGTGTGTGTATTATTGTTGTTTTTGCTTTTAGATTCACCATTAATTCCTCTTTATACTCTCATACTCTATGTACTAAATTAACAAGTCTTATTAGTGTAACTAACTCTCAAGTATAACCACCTTCCTTCACCCCTCTTGCTTTAGTTTAGGTTATCTTCTTCCATTTCTTTAACAAATGCAGCAGTTTACCTGGTCTTCTTACTTTTATTCTTTTTCTCTTTTCTCCTAGGAGAAATACCATCATGATGTGACATTTATGCTTACAAATTCCAGTGCCATCTCATAGGCAGAATTGAGAGGCAAAGAAAGATATATGCCCAAGTTGCTTAAAAATTTGAAGCCTATTTAATAGTTCTACTTTAATTGCAGCCATTTCCCTCCTGAATATTATGCTCCCACATTAAACTTACTTCAGTTCAAACAAAATCTTGTGATTTAATTCTTCCATGACTTTTCACATATAGTTTCCTTGTGGGAAATGGCTTACTTCTGTAGTCAGAGTGTATGTTGTGTGTGTGTGTGTGTGTGTTTGTGTGTATGTGTGTGTGTTTTGAAGTTCAGAACACATCACCCCAAAATGTATCACTTTAGTGTAAGAATTATTTTGAGCTAAAAGCCCTTGAAAAACAGCAGATGCAAGAAGGGCATTCTAATCTCCCCTTTTCTTTCTGAAAACAGGAGATAAAAACTCCCAAGTGAAAGATACCCTTCCTGTGCCAGGAGAAAAACATTATTCTACAGGGAGTCATAGCCAAGAGAATTGTACACAAACAGATTTTGTTAAGATGATTCTTATCTTCCTTTATTCTCCCCCATAGTTTAGTTATTTTTCTACAATTGCGTCTCTTTGTTCAACCTAGTATAAAGCACATTTAGGTTTTGCCAATTCTTTGGATATTTATTTCATTATGAGGGCTCCCATGTTATGTAAAACTTACGTAAATGTGTGTGTGTGTGTTTCTCCTGTTAATCTACCTATGCCAAATTAATTCTCAGGCCCAGCCAGAGACCCTAGGTAGAAGTAAAGTTGCACCCATTAAAATACTGGTAAGTTTGGAGAAGCATTTTCTTTTAACTAGACTGAGGTTTAGTGTCCTCTGTATGGTCACAATAGGGTATATTTAAGAAGTGACACCTATAAATAGATTACAATATATTGCAATTACTTATAGTCATTAATGCCTTCCCTACTTGTTTGTAATTTTTTGAGGCCAAGAAGCATTGCAATATTTTATTTATATTCACAGTTTCTAAGACAGTGCTGTGCATGTTAAGTAAAAGTTCAATAAACATTAAATTATGATGTATAATATGTGCAATGTTTATATCTTAATTGACGATAAGAATATGGCAAAAATATTCTTGATTGACAAGATTTCATAGAGGCAGGAGAAAAAGAAAATGGTTGTAAACGAGTGAAAGAGAGAAATGTAGAAAACGTTAGGAAGCAGTTGTTTTTTGCAGCATGTGAAAAAGTATATTCCAGAGTTGGGATAGCAAATGGGTTTTACTTGTAGCATAAACTCCAGTCCGTTGGTGTGGCTGGAGCTATGTGTGAGAAGTCCCTGAATCCATGGCTGGACTCAGAAGGAAAGAGAGCTACAATTGATTTGTGTATTATTCAGGGTTCTCTAGAGGTATAAGATAAATGTATATTTGAAGGGGAGTTTATTAAGGGGTATTGACTCACATGATTACAAGGTGAAGTGCCACAGTGGGCTGTCTGCAAGCTGAGGAGCAAGAAAGCCAGTCCGAGTCCCAAAACCTCAAATTAGGGAAGCCGAGAGTGCAGCCTTCAGTCTGTGGCCGAAGGCCTAAGGGCCCCTGGCAAACCACTGGTGTGTAAGTCCAAGAGTCCAAAAGCTGAAGAAATTGGAGTCCAATGTCGAGGGTAGGAAGTATACAGTGTAGGAGAAAAATGAAGCTTGGAAGACTCAGCAAGTTTGCTCTTTCCACCTTCCTCTGCCTGCTTTATTCTAACCGCACTGGCAGCTGATTAGATGGTGACCACCCAGATTAAGGGTGGGTCTGCCTCTCCCAGTCCACTGACTGAAATGTTAATCTCCTTTGGCAGCACTCTCACAGACACACCCAGGAATGAAACTTTGCATCCTTCAATCCAATCAAGTTGACACTCAATATTAACTACCACAATTTGTAATGCTGCATAGGCACAGGGCAGAGGAACTAATGCATGGGAGCCTTCATGCCTACAGGCACAGCACATGTAGTCTTTTTATTTTATAACAAAGAGTCACTCGATTCTATGTGCTAGCAATTTTAAGTGTATATACTAGCTATTGCGATTCTTAATCAGAAAAAAATCTAAATTTATTACATGCATAGTAGTTACTTGTTAGTACAGACTTTCTCAGTCAATGAACACTAAAATATCATTGTATTAAAAGAAAAACTTTAGACAAATTACATTTAGCAGAGTTTATTTGAGCAAGAATGATTCATGAATCAGGCTGTACTCCGAGCCAGGAGAGCTTTCGAAAGTTTTATCCAGCAACATGGGGAGGCAGTATTTATCGACAGAAAAAGAAAGTGTTGTACAGAAACAGCTTAATTTGTTATACCCTGGCATTTGCCTTATTTGGGAATGGGTTTGTGAGGCATTTGCCTTATACGGAGATGGTCTGAATAGCTGGCAACTTGTGATTGACTGAAGCTTGGCTGCTTGTGATTGGCTGACACTCTGCTATTTGTTGCAAGAATATATACTTAGGTTGCAGGGATTTTTTTTTTTCCACATGCTAAGTTAGGTTGCAGTTTGCTATGCAGAAATTCAAGATATAGGCTATGCAGGAATTCAAGTTTTAGGCTAAATTTAATTTAACAATTACTATTATATAGAAATTTATGATTTTGTTTTTCATGTTCAAATAATTTCTTATACTCAGAAACAATAAAAATCATTGGTAAGAAGAGCAAGAAGACACTTCATGAACCAACGTGACTTTCATGGGTGTTGTTAAAGAAAAATGACTGGAGAGTCAAATGATTGGTTAGAAGAAGGAAGTAGTATATAGTATCCTGAAATTTATAGCATTAGTAGAAGATTTTAGGGAGGAATCACGTTGATATACCAACCTGTAGGGAAGGCAATCTTGTCAAGGAAATTTTAAATAATTACAAAATTCACATAATCTTGATTTTATGATTTAACAACATATATTAAAATAAAAGTCAGTTACTAATATTAATGTGAATTTATGGCTACTGTTTTTCATTGATTGTAAGATGCACTTATTTTATACATTTTAACGTTTCTGAAATTGATATGCAATTTGCAGATGGTGGTAAATTATGTTTGCTATTGTCCAGGTGGTAGTTGAGACACTATGTATTGCATTCACATGAATAGATTTTGTTGTTAATCCTTGTGGCATGACAGTAAACCTGCAACACTATGGTAGTTCTGTAAACAAACCATGTGAAAACCACGGAAGGGGGAATATGATTTTTACATGTTATCTGAAAACTGTTTATTAACATCTGTGAGATCGAGAAAGCATCAGCCTCAAAACCTGCAGTATAGGTATGAGAAGCTTGGAGTCAATAGTAGAACTCTCTTTTAAGAAATGCTGCTTCACCAATTTGCTTGGTGGCCTGGAAGAAAATTCTGTATGAAAAAAAACGCATAACCATTTATCACTTTGAATTGCAAAGTGTTTCATAGAAGTTAGACTTTAATTATGAGAAACGTTTTAGCAATACACAATCTATTTTGCATAAATTTTTCAAGATGAGTTGGTAAAAATCTATGTATAAATAAATCTAAAAGAGCCCTTTTTATAGATATAGGTGTTCTAAGTGGTAAGAAATCACAGTGTAAAAGTTTTAAATAGCAAATGTGTTGTTTTCCTTTAGTGGCACATAAAATAATGGAACATTTATAATTGATAGCATTGTATATTCAATAAAGTATGAAAAAATCTCTATTGGTTGACAACATGTAAACTAAAATTAATTAATTGTGACTTTAGCAAAATGTATGACAACATCAATAATATTTGTTGAATGAATGAATGAGTTATATTATAGTAACTATAAATAACATTAGAATTCCTGAGAGAATATAACACTTCAAAAGCACCTCTGAGTCATTAAGGAAATAAAGTCATGGCCCACATAATGATGCTTCCAACAACAACCAACTCCATATTCAGGGGTGGTCCCATAAGATTATAATACCACATTTTTACTATACCTTTTCTATATTTAGATATGCAAATTCCTACTACTGTGTTACAATTGTCTGTGTCTACAATACATGTCAACTGTATTCAGTACAGAAATATGCTGTACAGGTTTGTAGCCTAGGAGCAATAGGCTATACCATATATCCTGGGTATGGAGTAGGCTATACCATCCAGGTTTGTGGAAGTGCACATACTCTTTGATGGTTGTACAATGATGAAATAATCAAATGGCACATTTCTCAGAACATATCCTCATCATTAAGTGACATATGACTGTACTGAATAAAGTTCAAATAAATGATAATTATGTCTTATGGCATGTAAAATGTTAGTCCAGACATCACTCTCTACAAATGAGATAATTTTGTTACTAAAGTAGCCATTCTGCAAACTGTTAGTTTAAAGAAAGTTTATTGCATTTAAATTCATAGCACTAGAAATGACATGCAAAAAATGATTTTAATTGCATGTAGCTAAAAATCAATCACATTATGTCCTTTCCAAAAAAGACTCCTATTACTCAATCCAAATTTGTTTGAGTAATCAAAAATGCTGCTTTATAATGTCAAATTATAAAATCAGGATAGAAAAACTGTACCCAAATTTTCAAAAATTATCAAGTATTTTAAATTTGTAATCTGATCATATGCTTTGTCATCTACAGAGTTTGACCTTTAATCGTAGTCTCTGGAGTAGTCTGAAGTTTTTTTGAAATTTCAACTTAAAGATAATAAACAATTGTAATACTACGGATAAGCATCATAATTTAAAAAACATGTTTACTTTAAAATGAATAAATTAAGAAAAGTTAAAAAATTAAAAGATTTTAAATAAGATACTAGTAGTATATTTGTAACTATAGTTACTTGGATTTTCTTTGTCCTTGCTTGGAGAAATGTGTCTATTTCTAGAAGTTAAACACAAATAGATTTCAAGGATAGTTTTTCATGATCTTTCCTTCACAGGCTATTTATATGACAGTTTGAAGTATTTAGCATAAAATAAATTCTTATCTTTCATTAAAGTGAAGTATGAATACTTTTCAAATGATTTTTACTATTTGAAAGTATTTCCCTCTTTGAATTAAGTATGAATTAAATATTCATTTATTTTATCTTTAAACCACATAATTGAAATTCCCACTTAATGCATTATTAGCAAAAATGAATTAGGTAAGTAATTAAGAATATTTGGAAGGGAATGTTCTTCTGTGCTTAATTTCTTCTGAAACAATTTTTTTCTCTTTTTTTCCATTTATGATTCTCATTTAGTGACATCACCAAAGTTGTGAAATGGAGGGCATCGGTTTTTGAACTTTAGGAATGCTTCTGAATACAAGTGCCTGCCCTTCACAAAGCAATAAGTTAGTAAACCTCAACTGTTTATATAACATTCTTATAATGAAATGTCTTTTTGTTTGTTTCAATTGATGAAATTTCAAATAATGTTATAATTAACTAACAGGTCTCTCTGATTTTTTAATATAATTATGGAGACATCACTAATCATCCATTCATCAAACTTGTACTGAGTTACTGGCAAGCTCTGGGGACTATCCAAGGTGCCAAGGATACAAGATGAATAAGATACAGCCTCTGACTGGAAAGAGTACATTTCTAGTGGTAAAATAGATATGAAGATAAATAACTACAACTCAATGTTGAATGCTATTATAGAGACATATATGAGATGCGTCAGGGCACAGGAAAAGAAATTGTGTGTCTGTGTGTGTGTATGTGTGTGTGTTGGAGGATTTAAAAACAATTTCAGAGAAGGAGGTGAAGTAGGAGAAGCCTTAGGGGAATACATGAAGACATAGAATAATTAAGAAACAAGTAACAGACATGGCTGAAGTGTAGACAGAAGTAGGACTGATGTGGTAGAGATGAAGCTTGAAAGATGGGCTGGGATTAGAGCATAAAGAGCTGAATATTTTGATCTTTGATCAAAGCCACTGAACCACTTTGATAAGTCACTGAAGAAACCAATGTATGGTATGATCAGATTTTTTAAAAGTCATTGATTGAAGGTGGGATGGTAAGACTAGAGACTTGTATACTCATAGCCTGTGAGGGTTTGATTAGATAGATGTGAGGGAAGGTTGCTGGAGCAGCCAAGTATAACCGCTGTTGCTTAAATCTGGGGAACGATGGTTTGAACAGGTTTTTTTTTTTTTTTTTTTTCCATCTAAGTATTTCTAGCAGCTCATTCACTCCTACCTGCTGTGACAACTCACCTCCTTTAATTCACAGAAAAGTGGCTGCATCAATAAAATATATTTGCAAGTCAACTTCAACTTTAAAAAATCTGTTTCATAATGATTATGAAAGTCCATATAGTGATTAATGTATTTCAGGTTTAGTTTCATTACCTTCAAAATCCAGATATCAACAAAATCTAAAACCATCTATAAAATCACGGAATACTAAACTACACTAGAAGTTATTGCTAAGACTATGTCAGTGATCAAAGCCACACACAGTGGTTCACAATCTTCCTAGGATTGATATCACACAGCATCAAGAGTGGATGCCACTTTTCATTTATCATTAGACTCTAATACATAAGACCACAGACACTAGTGTTTGTTTTATAATGAACATTTCTACACCCAGCCAGAAAATATATATGGTAAACTAATGAGAACACCAGCTTTATTAGGATGATTTGAAACTTACTAATTTGTTGAGGGAAAAATGAGTGTAGCAAATACCAGGAAAAGAGAAAATATTTTATCTGAAACGTTCCAAAGCTCAGGCATTCAAGATTGAAGGATTTTTTACATAGTCAATTCTAGCAACTATAATTAGACCATTTGGATAGACAAGGAATAAAAGAGAATTCCTAATAATGGAATTTGTTTACAGGTTTTAATTGATTGAGAAACTAAACGTATATACCTTGCTGAGAGTCAATAACAAATGCCAAAGATTTCTGAGATTAAAGTCGGAAAACTCTCACCTCGGAATTTTTTTCCCCGTGTTTCAAAAGGACTCCCACTCATGTGTCGAGTAGGTCTCTAGAAATGTGATGAAAGATGAACATTTGGCTGGCATTTACATAATAATATATAACCATGGGGAGATAATTACAGTTTTTGGATTTGAGGGAAATCTATTATTTATTATATTATCTTCTAGTATGGCATTTAATCTAGCTTGATGACTTTCTATTTTTCCCATTTTCTCTCACAATTAGTTTTTCTTTAGTTTTGCTTTCATACCTATTAATAGAAATTCTCATACTGCTGATTTCCTTTTTTCAGTTTTTGTTCATTTAGCTATTCTTTCCCTATGAATACAACACAATAACAGAATTGAATCTCCATCATTTAGATAAATCTTTGCAATTCATGTGTCTATCACGAATAGCCCCAGCCACCATTCCTTTCTTTTTTCACTTCATTCTTGCAATTAATTTCAATGGATTCCCTTTTCTAACCCTTAATAAGAATATTAATTTCAAGATCACAATTCTGACTTTTAATGTACTTTAAAGTTTTCCAAGTGGCTCTAGCTTTTGCGGTAAGATTTTTTTCTTCTACTTTTTTCTCAATCCTTTGCACAGTATCACTGGCTATTTCTAAACCCTATGAATACCCAGACCTCAGCGTTAATTCTCTTACCTTGAGAATTGCATCCTAGGATTTTGAACCATGTGGATCATGGATGTAATCTGCCTGTAACATTTTTGTGTGCTCCCCACACCCACAAAACATTTCCTTTTTAAATACTCATAAGCTACTCACAGCAGCCTTAGTTTAAATTGTATGTTTATGTTTCTGGGCCAGTTTATGTTAACCTAAGTCATATAATTCATTTCAGTATGTTGTGATTCTCTGAGAAATAAATTAATGTAACCTAATGGTTTTCTAAATGAATATCTAAGACATTTTATTTCCACTTGCAAAACTTTATGTAATTATGTGATCAAGCATTAGCTATTCTAAAGAGTAGATATTCTATTCTAAAGAATAACTATTCGATTCTAAAGAATATTCTATTCTAAATAACTAGTCTATTCTAAATTATTCCTCCAGAATCTCTTATGAAGACAAAGATATTAGTTTTCATGTCATCCCAGCACTGCTTCTACCACAATGATGAAACAGATGATTTTCTTTTGCACCTCCTGAAGTGAGAGATACTGTGAAGATCTCAGTCTGACGGAAGGGTTACTTTTCATTTAAATCCTACTAGGGTTGCACACAAAGTAATTAGGAAGAGCGATAAAGTCTTGGTGACTTTTAAAAAATTCAGCTTAGTGATTGTAAGGAATGCCTTGTAGTACAGCTTTCTAATCAGGATGTTCCACGACATCTTCACTGTTGTGAAACTGAGCGATGTCTTACGACACGGCAACTGTTTTAAACTGTATTGCCATTAACTTATCCTGGAGGCTGTCCTTTGGAGTGACAGGCAAGGAACGTAATAGCAAAAACAATGACAGGCAGTCCTTGACAAGTTCACCTTCTCTAAGGATGAGTTGTTTTCCTCTTTTTTCCACTCCCATGAAAACCCTAATTTGACTATTAATGACAATGGACTTTGTAGAAGCCTTGACCTGAGAGACAAATGACCTTTAATTCAGACTTCATTTATTATATATATATATAAAACATAAAATTCTATAGTTATATATAAATGTTTACATATTTATATAATATAAATTATATTATTTTTAAAAATTAATACTATAAAATTATTTTTTTCTTCTGCTTTTTTCTCAATCCTTTGCACCTCCTGAAGTATCACTGGCTGCATCTGAACCCCAGGAATACTCAGACCTCAACCTTGAGTCTCTTTCCTTGAGAACTGAAACCCAGGATTTTCCACCACATGCAGCATGGATGTAATCTTTGCCTGTAACATTTCTGTTTGCTCCCCACACCCACAAAAAATTTCCTTTTTAAATACTCATAAGCTTCCCACAGTAGCCTTAGTTTAAATCATGTGTATGTTTCTGGGACAGTTTATGTTAACCTAAGTCATAAAAATTATTTCAGTATGTTCTGATTCTCTGCTTATAGATTTATTATATAAAAATATAAAATATATATATAATAGTTTGAACAAGAAAGTCTTTTTTTCCTAAGCACTTCCAGAAGCTCCTTCACCTGCTATATATACACAGTACATATTTTGAGCACATATTCCCATGGCTTCTAAGAGAATATGTGTTTTCTCAGCACACATTCCCATGTTTTTGTAGTACCAAGGAAACTGAGTCAATTTTCTGTTTGCTCCTATAACTTTATATTTTTTTCTGAAGAAACATATTATTTTGTGAAAATAATTAGAATGAATGATTCAGTAATTATACATTAATTAGCACTAAACATTGCCAAAATATGTTAATAGATTTATGAGTAGTTTAAAAATAGATTTATAGTTATTTTTAAAAATGTTGAGAATTGATTTAAAAATATGATGCAATTCATTGATTGTTGTATTCAATTTTTCAATCCTCATACAGAGCAGGAAACATTTGACTTTAAAAACAGGTATATGGAATGTTGTATACTGATCTCCTGTGTAAGGTTGCCAGTCTAAACACAAGTTTCATAAAAATCCCTCCACCACAGTATGTAACTAAAATTTCCATTTATCTTTTGAGAGTTTAGTACAGGTAGACTACTATGCTAAGTACTAAAAGATGTTCTATAGCCATTTTGTTGGAGCTATTTTGGTTTATGGAGTGTTTTCTTTATTGATCCTGTCAGGGAAATCTTGATTTTTCTGTTGCTATGTCATTATTTTACCTATGTGCTTACTCCTTACTCACTCCCAGTCATGCTGAAGGGGTAAGATGAGACCCGAGGTAGTCCAGATCATAATTTTTTTATGAGAAGTTCTGCTGGGAGAAATATATATGGCATTAGTTATCATTAATTTTTATTTCATACAATTTGTGGCTTCAGTTTGGCCTTTTTTTTTTTTTTTTTTTTTTAAAGAACTACAGAGAAGGTGGAGCAATATTAGGATATTCAACTTAAAAAATAAAATTAATGCCGGTCGCGGTGGCTCACGCCTGTAATCCCAGCACTTTGGGAGGCTGAGGCGGGCGGATTACGAGGTCGCTGGTGGATCACGAGGTCAGGAGATCGAGACTGTCCTGGCTAACACGGTGAAACCCCGTCTCTACTAAAAATACAAAAATTTAGCCGGGCGTGGTTGCAGGCGCCTAGAGTCCTAGCTACTCGTGAGGCTGAGGCAGGAAAATGGCGTGAACTCGGGAGGCGGAGCTTGCCGTGAGCCGAGATCGCGCCACTGCACTCCAGCCTGGGCGACAGAGCGAAACTCCGTCTCAAAAATAAATAAATAAATTAATTAAATTAAACATTTTTGTTTTATTTTATTTTTAGAGATGGGGTCTTCCTATGTTGCCCAGGCTGGAGTGCAGTGGCTATTTGCAGGCAGAATCATAATGCACTGCAGCCTTGAACCCTTGGGCTCAAGCAATCATCTTGCCTCAGCCTTCTAAGTAGTGGGGCCACAGACATGGTACCACTGCTTCAGGCCAAATATCTTCAGTAGTAAATTGTAATTTAATTTTTAGTCTCTTTGGTTATATTGAAAATAACAGTGTCCAGTGACATGTCTTATTATGATTGTTCTAAAGTGATCACAATTTTTAAAATTTATAATAATAGATAGGTATGTAATTGTTCAGCAGAGTCAGGTAGTTTCTTATTATAAAATATTTCTACACTTAACACCTACAGTAGTCAACCTACTTTTGTAAAATAAACACTTGCTGAAAAGGCTGACATTTAATGTATTATGATGTGATCAGTTCATGAAAGAAAAACAAAATCAGCCATTATAAAGGCATGTGTACTTTAGCTGAGTTTCCTGGGAGAAACCTAATTCTTTGGAAGTAAAAAGCTCAACCATATTTGGGTTATTTTGTATCTAATTTTTTCATGTTGTATCGAAAATATGTGCTAAACATATACGATATTGAACTGCTTGCTACTTCTCAATGTGTGTCAAAAAGAGATAGTTGTGATGGAGAAATACCTTTGTGATTTTGAACCAGTTGTCTTTCAACATATAAGGTAAATTCTGGTAGCTAATTAGGCATCTGTGAGGGGAAGAGACTAGAAATAAAGAACAACCTAGAAATCAAGACTAAGACCAGTCTCTTCTTAGTTTTGTGTCTTTATAAGACTGTAGGAGCTATTTAAAACTAATTAAAAGTGTTTATGCAAAGTAGTTTTTCAGCTTTTTCAAGTTGATTGCTTCTTTAAAGATATGTAGCTAGAACCTGAATATTCAAATCCTTACTTACCTAATTGCCATAATATGTTATAAAGGCATATGTGCACCAAAACACTATAGGGCGTCCTATTTCCTGTACAATTTTTCTACTCTGGAGAACTGAGCCAGACCAGCTTGTTCTTGCTCTCTCTCTCTCTCTCTCTCTCTCTCTGTCTCTCTCTCTCTCACTTTCTTTAGCTTAAGGACTGCATTAAAAACAAGTTGAGCCTCCTCCTAAATATCTTTTCATTTGGCCTATACTTACATATCCAAGGAATACTCAAATTAATACATTATCAAAAACAATCCAGTATCACATTCAAACTAAAAATATGTATTTTCTCCCTACCCATTAAGTGATTTGAATAGCGAACCTTAGCATCTCAGGACCTAAGCTTTCTCAGTTTCAGTACCTTTTATCTTCAATTCATTGCTTAAATTGCTCCAATGGAATTGACCTCAAAATGTCAGAAATTAACCTTGATTGTTAAATACAGTTGTCTTTTTAAAATCAGTCATTCTCTTAGTTAACCACAAGTACCATTTGACATTTAATAATTCTCTTTGAACTGAAAGTGCTTATTGATGTTTCTAATGATAATAACCTCATGTGGATAAATAGAATACATTAGATCAAATCAGAAATGAAAATTCCTCTGCCGTTGGTTTCCATGATATCCCCTTCTTCATGACCCTCTGTATACACTCCCTCCTGCATTTTCTTCCATCTTCTTTCTACTATCTTGGTTTTTCTTTGGCGAGATTGTTTAATGACTCTGTTGGTAATTTTGGACTCCATTTTGCTATTTTCTTATTGTATACAATCTCTTTGGTTGATCTAACTGGCAACCACAGTGCCTTTAATGAGTACACGCATTCTGATGAGTTTCCAGGACTTTCCTGAGCTTCTGGCACTGCCAGAAATTCTCACTTGGATATCAAAATGTCTCAAAGGGGATTCATCATGGTTGTTCCCCAGACCTCCCTCTTGTCCTTTTCCGGTGTTCTATTTGTTAGTGAGTATTACTGTCTTTTTTTCAGTTTTTCCAGGCATCTTTCTTGAGGCAGGCTAGGAACACATATATTTTGTGATGAACAGGTAAGCAATTCCTCTACAGCAGCTTATATATGCTGTGAATGTGGTAGGGAAGGTGTGTTTAATATTGAGGAGGGAGGAAAAGAATGACATACTGAACCTAGGGAGTGGGTGAATAAAATTACTAAAGAGGAGAAGTAGGCTTGTTGGACAACAGTGAATATCCATTTGAATTTTTGTGTTGCTGATTTTAAATGGAAATCACTAAGCGAGGTTAAGCGATTTTCCTCTCTAACTTCAGAAGCTTGTGTACAAACATGAATAAGATTTGTATTTGGTGGGGATGTAGTAAGGATTGGTATTTTTGCTCTTTGAAAACTACACTATCATGTGAATCTGGTGGAGCTATCAAGTTAATACTGTTGCCTCATTTCTTTCACCATAGGTGAAGTCTTGAATCTTAAAAAGGGAAACAAGTTTACCCCATTTCTATGTCCACAGTGATGGATGCAGAGGCAGGTATATAATGCAAGTAGGGTCAGAGTCATTTATAAGTGCTTGATAGATATACTGGATCTCCTTTCTTCTAATGTCATTGGTTTCAAAGATTACTTAAGTCTATTATTAGGGAGTCATCGTACCTGGCTAGAAATAATTATCACATGGAAGGAAATAGAACAAAGAGATGGACAGGCAGAGCCTGTTGATCATGTTTGAACCCTGGATACAGATGTTCTGGTCTCTCAGATTTCCAAATTATGAGGCACAAGAAAAGTTTCCTTTTTGTTCAAGTGGGTAAAATTGTGTTCCTTCCACCTGGAACAAAAAGCATTCTGGCCAAAAGACCAATTGAGTATTTTTGAGTGAAATAGGGGCAAGGGAGTTGAGAGTGTGTGGTAAGGGAGTGTTTATAATGGGAAGTGAAGCAAGACGGTGGTGATGAATGGTGGGAAAGTAGTATAGGTAAATTTATTGGAACGGTGGATGAGGTGGCAATACTGAGGTATTGGAGATGGTGCAACTGTTGGTGATGATAAGGTTGCTGGTTTGATCATGCCAGTGGGTGGCTGAGGTGGATACAGGTAAGGTGTTCAAGGAACTGAGACTCCAAGTGTAGGTTGATAAAGTTGAAAGTTTTGAGCAAAGTCACAGTTGTTTGTAAATCAAAAATCTGGAGATAATATTGGTGAAGGCAGTGGTAAAATTAGATGGTTTGAGTGTTGGAGATGATAGGGCTTGTAGGAGTCAAATGATACAGAAAGGAGTCAAATGATACAGAAGTAGTAGTTGAGGGCAGGGAATATCCTGCCATGAGATGTGTGATGTGAGGGAGAAGAAACAAACTCCATGTAAATGGGATTCAGTTAATATAAAAAAGCAAGCATCATATTCAGAGGAAATAATGATTTATGCAAGTTTATAAATTGGGTACTAGAGGTCTATAGGGTAGAGTGAAACGATGAATGGAATGAAGCCTAAACATGACATTTGGCCAGATGAGGGATGCATGTGACTGGTGTGGGGATTGAAAGCCAGAAAATCCTAGACTAATGGATATGACTGAGTTTTGCAAAGGGACATTTTATAATGAGTTCAAGTCATTTGTTAGAAGAAGGACACGCTGACTGGCTCTGCAGCCTGCAGTAAGGTGTGTGTGATGTGCAGCCTGAATGGTAGACACTGGTGCTCTCTTTTATAGGTGATGGCTCCACAATGGTCTCAAGTCAACTGCTTCATATTACCCTGATGATAAAGCTTTGAATTTAATGTGTTATTCAGGTTCTTCAAGACCCAGACCCTTTAGCTTTCTTGCTTGCCACTTCTCACCATTGCAGCCCTACGAAGCCACTCTTAGTTCCCCTATAATTCTCCATAGTCTCTCTTGCCTCTGGTCTGTACACATGTTTTTCTCCTACTTGATAATGTCTTTTCTTCTCGTTCCAGCCACCTCTGTTTTTGGGTAACACTTAGACTTATCTCTCATGATTCAACTTTAACTAACATCAGCCCCCCTAGGAAAGCATTTTACTCATCAGTATTGTTATCAATGCTCCCCATCCACAGGTGCTCAGGCAGTGTGTTTTATTCCTATCAGAGTGCCTAATATACTACATTCTCTTTGACTTTTGATGTAAGCCCTTTGATGGAAGGCAGTATGATTTGTATATCCAACCCTAGAAGAGAGGTGTTTGATAGTTATTCAGTATGTATTTGTAGCATGAATGAACTGAACAAATTAAAACGTTCATGACACAATCAAGCTTTTGCTTGAATTTTGCTTGAATGATCACACTATTCTATGCCATGAATCTAATTTTGCAGAACAATAAATGATGCCTATGTACCTGAAGATCATGCACTCTAACAGATATAAGAATACAACTGAAACACTGAGAAATATTTGAATCAAATTTTTTGAGTGTTCAGGTTTATTATAAACAATGTGGGATTTTTTCCATATTTTATGGAGGAAATTAGAAGACATTCCATTCAGTCCTCTCTTCATTCCCTAAAGTATTGTACAATTGCTCAGTCATTCTCTTTGTAACCAGAAATGTTTGTTCTAATAGAATCAGGCAAATTTTTAGAACTATAAAATTACAACTAATATCTACCTACCTGGAAAGAGTGAGGTCAGGAATAGGAAAATAGAAATGTATGTTCTAGTTTTATCCAGTGGCATTCTCACTATATAGCCACTTAATATAAAATGTCTAATAATATTAGAAAAAAGAATTTCCCAAAATTTGAAGTGGAAAATGGAAGTTTCCATTTTTAAAGTGCCTCATATTTGTTCTCGAAATGTACCTAAGTTTGTGAAAACCAACCAGCCTTCTATTTTCTGGGTTTAGTTGACATGTGGAATAAATTTGGTTTCAATATTTGAACATAAATCTATAATCCATCTGGAGTTTATTTTGGTTTATGTCACAAGGTAGGAATCAATGTTATCCTTTTTCCAAATGGTTAGCCAGTTGTTTCAACACCTTTTCTTGAATAATTCATTTCTTTCCACTAATTTAAAATGCCACCATTATGTTATACCATTGTAGTTTATTTAACTAGGTCTATTGCTACTCTTTCTCTCTTTCTATGCAATTCCATTGATTTTTCTATTATTGTGTTGGAATATGCAATTTGTTGTTAAGAGTTCACCGTTTGAAGATGTACAGACTTAGGTTGACATTTCAGTTCTGCTTTATGCTATATTCACGACTTTGAGGAAAGATCTATGTAAACTTATTACTAAAATAGGAACAATAATAAATTAAAGTTGACAATATATCCTTTTCAGGATTATGAAGAGTATTAACTGAAATAATTTGTATAAAATATCTCACTTAATATAACCAGTAGAGGTTTTTAACCTCTATAAAACAGGGTAAGAATTTGAAAGTTAATCAAATATGCTCTTGCCACATATTGAAAAAAATATATAATTCTACCCTTTAAGTTTTTGATGTGATAAAATATTTTAATCAATTCTCTAAAAATGAAGTTTTTAAAAAATTTCCAGAATAATACATACTTAGTTGGGTATTTCATTCATGTTATGTAAAGCTGGTCTTAATTTGATAATATTCTATTTATAATTTTGATTTGTATCTTTTGCCATATTTAGTATTAAGGTAATTGTAATTACACATAATGATTAGGAAGAGGTTTCATATTCTTCTAGTTAGAAATAGTTAAACAATATAGCAGTTACTTTTTTACATTTTACACATACATTTCACAGTTACAGTTTCAGAGAAAGTTTGATACTTATCTAAAAATTTTCAATTTATGAAATTTTTACATTTGACAAATAATTGTACATATTCGTGGGATACAGAGTGATATTTTGATACATGTATACAATGTCCAATGATCAAATCAGGATAATTAGCATATCCATCACCTCAAATATTTGTCATTTATTTGTATTGTGAACAGTCAACATTTTCTTCTAGTTTTTTAGATTTATAAACATTTAAATTTTATTACAGAAATTTAAATTTTTTGATTCTGAAAAATGTCATATATGTAGGCAACATCTTTATCATTTATATATATATTTATGCATCTTTCCTTTTAGTTTTGACAGAGATTTTCTATTTTATCATTATTTCAAAAGAACTCTTACCTTATTTATCAATTATATTTCCCTTGTTTTTTCCTAGTATATTAATTTATTTACTTATCTTCTAAAAATCCTCCATATAATCTGTTTATTTTGTTTCCTTTCTATAATTTCTTCAATGATTAGTTCTGTTCTGTTTTCCATTAAAATATTTAAATCTTGTATGAATTTTTGTCAGATTAGAAATTTAGGGCATTTCTTAATTTCTCTATATTCTAGCTTTTGGCTTTTTTTTTTCTGACCTAAGAGGTATTTAGAGCACATTTTAGATTTTTTATTTTGACTAATCATTTAAAATGTATACTAATCTTCAATTTAAATAAAATACTGGTCTATAGTGACAAAAACTACAAATGAGCCTAACTAATAAATTATCAGCTGTGTGTATATGTATAGGCATGCACAGATTTTGGTAAATATGTACATAGTATATTGGTGAGCTTATTTTTATCATTCTTAACTCATTGTGTAGTCTAAACGCTGGGGAAAAAATAAAATACAATAATCAGATGGTGTGAATGAGAAAATTGTTCTAATGTTTGTAAACCAAAAACGGTTTTAACCGCTCCCCTCTTCCTGATTGACTTCTAAAAGGAATTAATCCATATTGGGTCCTATCATATATGTCACAATATAACATCCCCAGCTAT
Source organism: Homo sapiens (assembly GCF_000001405.40). Classification (NCBI taxonomy): domain Eukaryota; kingdom Metazoa; phylum Chordata; class Mammalia; order Primates; family Hominidae; genus Homo; species Homo sapiens. The sequence continues at coordinate 164,278,697 of NC_000004.12, read as the reverse complement.
AAAATGGAAATTTGAGAATAACTTTGCTGCTACTCAGATACATTTTATTTCAAAAACATACACTAAGGAGTTGCTGTTGGATCTTTACAAAAACATATTCACACAGAACTTTCAATCACACTGAGCCATATTTGAACAATCTTTCAAGGTCAGCTCTGGCATAAGCTAACATTATACCATTTAACTTAGAAATTACTTTAGTATTTGATTAATGGGTTTATGTTTGATATGTAATGTAATTTTCTAATGCTAAATCAAGTTGTAATTTTGTTAGTCAAGTTGATTTAGTGACTTGGGAAGAAAGCTTTTAATGTTCCCCTAATTTTTCTTATCTTTGACAGGATACTTCACATGTCTTATTTTGCTTAGTGATTTTTCTTTTGTTTTTGAGACAGGGTCTTACTCTATTACCCAGGCTTGAGTGCAGTGGTGCGATCACAGCTCATTGCAGCCTTGACCTCTCAGACTCAAGCTATTCTTCCACCTCAGCCTCCCAAGTAGCTGGTACTACAGGCACATGCCACCAAACTTGGCTAATTTTTGTATTTTTTGTAGAGACAGACTTTTGCCAGGTTCTCAGGCTGGTCTGGAATTTCTGGGCTCAAGTAATCCTGCCTTGGCCTCCCAACATGCTGATATTACAGACATAAGCCACAGTACCTGGCCAGTTTTCTTTTTTTAAAAAATCTATTGGTTATTAGTTTGAAGCCTTCCTTTTCATAGCTGTGCTCCTTAATTGGGAGCAAACATGAATGGACCACCACTTAGCCAATTTTCTATATACAATCTTTGCCATCCTAATTTAAAGGAATATTAATTCTTTCTTTTCCTCTTTCGTTCCACAAACCTGTATTGACTACATCTAAGTTCTAAATGGTGCACTGGATGTTGAAAAAATTGATGATGAGCAAGAACAAAAATTCCTCCTTTCAGGAGACTTACAGTTCAATATGGGAAATATAATTTGTTAAAATATAAAAGTGCAGTTGTGTTGCATGCTGTATGAAGTACATGTTGACATGTGAGCATATAATAAATGGGCTGGAGGCCAGAGGATTGCAAAAGAGAATGGGCCTCCTGCTGAGATTAAAAGTTGAGCAGGGATTAGTTGGCAAAAGTGGAAAGACGATCCTTTCTAGGCAGGAGGAAGAACATGTACAGAATCTCTGAGGTGTGATGCAACGAAGTCTATATAAAAAACTGAAGAAAGGTATAATGTGGCTTAAATACAGAAGCTAGTAGGAGAGGAGTTGAAAAGAGGCTGGAGAAGTAGAAAGTGTCTGCATTCTGCAGGAACTTATATTGTAGAATTTCTCTTTAAGTGCAATGTGAAGCCAATGAAGGGCTTTAAACAGGTGATGTGATTTGATTGAATTTATTACTTCACTTAACAAATATTCATTACATGCCCACTGTTTGTCAGATATTGCTGTAGCCCCTGGTGATACAGTAGGGAATAAAACAGGCAAAAATCCCTGTCCTCTTGCAGCTTATAATGGACTGCAATGTTTACTTTTAATATGTCAGAGGAGGTCCACAGAGGAGTGACTTCTAAGCAAGAATCTGAAAAAAATGATGATATCTAAGGAGGGAACAAATGGTTCAAAAGCCCTATAACTGCAAACAGGCATGATGAAGCAATTGTAGTTCTCCTGACTCTCAACACCGTGGAACTCAAAGGAGATGGAAAGATTCTTTCTCTCCCTCATATATTTTCTCTCTCTCTCTGTCTCTCTCTCTCTCTCTCTCTATATATATATATAGAATATGAGACATTTCCCTAATCATTATGTGTAATTACCATTACATATATATATATATGTATGTAATATATAAACATATAGACATGTAATTGTAATTACACATAATGATTAGGGAAATGTCTCATATTCTTCTACTCAGAAATAAACAATATAGCAATTACTGTTTTTTACATTTTACAGTTACAGTTTCAGAGAAAGTTTGATATTTATCTAAAATTTTTCAATGTATGAACTTTTTCATTTGAAAAACCATAATTGTATACATTCTTGGGATACAGAGTGATATTTCTTTACATGTATACAATGTGCAGTGATCAAATCAGGGTAATTTCCACTAATTTAAAATGTCACCTTTATGTTATATCATTGTAATTTATATATATACTATATATATACACACACACGTATATATACATGTCCACATATAGTGTGTGTGCACATGTACACACATGCATATGTGTATATAATGCCCAGTAATCTAAGAAATGTGCACAAATAAAATTAGTAACAGAGATAGTATAGAGTGAGAGGAGAGGCAGATTAATCTTTGAGGAAAAGCACAATTTTGTGGCTGAATGGAGAAAGCTGAGGTGGTTTCTAAGATGGAGAATAAGACGAAAAATATAAGTACGTTGTTTGACTGAATTCAAGAAAGAAGAGTAAAAGAGAAGAAGGTAGTGGTCTTATCATTAAATGCCACTGAGAGGTAAAGATAAAAACTTCAACATATTATTTTGGGTTTAGTAATTTAAGGGTTACCAAATTCCATTTTGGAGGAGGAACAGATTCCATGTCCTCTAGAATGGAATGAACAAGAAATGGAGGAGGAAAATAGGTAGTTTTTCAAAAGTTTTCAAAAATATGAAAAGAAGAAATGAAATAGTACTTAGATTGTTGAAATGGGACAGACTATGGTGGCATGTTTAGAAGCAGTTGAGATAGATCCAGTTGAGATAGAGATATTGACTATATAAACAAAAGAATGACAAATTAATAGTGTAATGGATAACTTGACTTTGGCAAATATTGTGAATTTTTGTGAAAGTCCAACTAAAAGGCAATGTCACTCCAATAATCACCAGAGTAATCAATTTGCTTATTGCTGTCCCTTTAAATAGAGTCCTCTGGTATCAACTAACATATTTTTAACTAATGATGCTTCTCAAGGAAAAGGGAAAAGGCCTTTTTCTTTCTTTCAGTCTTCAATGATTCACTGCTTCATCTCGCTCCACCAAAGAGAAATGAAATCTACATCTCTTATACATTAACAATGCATGACAATTTATAAATAGCTAAATTTTTGGAGCTAACTTTTAAGTACCTGAATGGAATTTAATCAACCCACTAATCTCCTTCTCACTTCTCAGTTATTTATCAAGTTTATGTCAAGGGACAAGGAAAAATTATCCAAACGTTGTTTAGAACAATCATCATTAATTAGTAACACTTATCCAGAGGGGTTTTTAACCTTTCCCCCACTCAAGGATTATTCTAATGTCAGAGTAGAATAAAAAATAAGTGCAGCAATGTTGACTCTTCCAAGCTTAACATTTCTCAGAAGTCAATTAGCTTTGTACTGGGAGGAGGGCGTGAAGGGCTGTTTGCGGTAGTAGTCTGTGTAGCAGCAGCACAATGGCCGCAGACGAGGAAAACAGTTTCTAGGAAAATCATTCTCAATTCCTCGTATATAATTTTATATTTTTGACAAGATTAATGACCCATGCTCCCTTCCTCTCCATTTCTTTTTTTGGAATTCTGTGTTGGTATGTAGTTACTATATTTTATTAAAGGAAATTAGCCTTATCTCTTATTATATTTTATTAAAGAAAATTATTATATTATTCCTTTATATTTTTATTAAAGGAATTTATTGTTATTATTATTAAAGGAAATTAGCCTTGTTTCTTATTATATTTTTTATGATCTTCAAAGTAGTGTCTCTGCTTAAAAGTGTACCCTGGCCGGGCGTGGTGGCTTACGCCTGTAATTCCAGCACTTTGGGAGGCCGAGGCGGGTGGATCACGAGGTCAGGAGATCGAGACCATCCTGGCTAACACGGTGAAACCCCGTCTCTACTAAAAATACAAAAAATTAGCAGGGCATAGTGGCGGGCGCCTGTAGTCCCAGCTACTCGGGAGGCTGAGGCAGGAGAATGGTGTGAACTCGGGAGACGGAGCTTGCAGTGAGCTGAGATCGCACCGCTGCACTCCAGCCTGGGAGACAGAGCGAGACTCCGTCTAAAAAAAAAAAAAAAAAAAAAAAAAAAAAAAAAAAAGTGTACCCTGAAGCACACATCAAGCGACAGGTAGAGTTCATAAATTCCGGCCAAATGGTCATACCTCAAACCTAATCAGCACTAAGTCTCTTTACTTGCACTGACAAATATGAACACTGGGGAATTTGGAAATGATCTCACATCTAAAATATAATAACTTTCCAGGTGATTTTCCTCTTAATAATTTTTTTTCTAGCTAATCCATATGAATTCCTCTTATTAAGAAAAATAAAGCATCCAGGATTCAATGAAGAACTGACTATCACCTTGTTAATCATTCAGAAACATGTTGCAGGCTTAAGCCATTTTTGATATAGATATTGAAACAATTACTTGCTAAGAGCAAACTTGAAGGTATGGATAAGGCCCTGAGTCATCTTTCTGAGCTGAATGATAGTTAAGCTGAATGTACGTATAAAATACGATTTTCTATCCACTTACTCGCCAACAAGGAAAACTTTTACGTAGAGCAGAACCTGAATAGACAAGACATTTCTTTCTTTTGGTAGAAAATGATTTACCATCACTGTCTAGTTAATTGTAGACTAGGTAATTTTAACTTTGTGATTTATTGCCGGAGACATTTTCTTCTGTACTGTAAAGTGTGTGTCAAAAAAAAAAATAGTGATTTTGGAGGATTAGGGGACTTTGATAAATTGCCTGCAATTCTGGCAGTATGAACTGCATATTAATTTCTCTCTTTCAAGAACATTTTTATTTATTAATTCCTTACAAAAACTCCCCAAACTTTGGAACAGCTCTCAATTGCCTGTATTCTTTTTTTTCTTATTATGGTACTCTTCTAGAGATTTGGTTTGCATCTATGAATAAGCCAGGACATCTTCAGAAATTGTCTGATTAAAAACACCACCAATGGAGTTTCATTAAATTTGTATTGCTCTAACTAGTGAAACACACACATCTATGTTGCTGAGGATATTTTATTGCAGTTTGAGTTGTAATAATAGCTCTGTTTAAGATCCGTCAGTCACTTGAATCTTCTCTAAGGCTTTGTATGTTAGAAGTTAATTTGCTTTCTTACAAGGCCACGTTCTATCTTGTAACTAAACAACTGAATTTTATGTCTTAGCGTAGATGGTTTATTACTTTCTGGTTTTTCTTTAGTAAAAATCCTATAAAAATACTAGTATTTTTCTCTGAGTTTAAAATTCAACACATGCCTACTGATATGGTTAGGCTTTGTATCCCCACCTAAATCTCATCTTGAATTGTAATCCCCATAGCCCCCATAATCCCCACATGTCAAGGGAGAGACCAGGTGGAGGTAATTGAATCATGGGGGCAGTTTCCCCCGTGCTCTTCTTGTGATAGTGAGTTCTCACAAGATTTGATGGTTTTATAAGGGATTATTTCCCCTTTGCTCGGCACTTCTCCTTCATGCTGCCTTGTGAAGAAGCTGCCTTGCTTCCCCTTTGTCTTCCGCCATGATTGTAGATTTCCTGTGGCCTCCCAAGCTGTACTGAACTGTGAGCCAATTAAACTTCTTTCCTTTATAAATTACCCAGTCTTGGGCAGTTCTTTATAGCAGTATGAAAACAGACAAATACACCTACTATATAAAACTTAAAATACAAAAAAAAAAAATTATCTTACTAACATAGGAGCTAATATTTTGGTGTACTTTGCTTAGTATTTTATATTAAAAATATGTACATATATTTATAATTAAGAACATGTATGTACAATCGTGCATACATCATGTACATACATCTACTTAAGAAAATAGCTATGTAATATACCATTACTCAACTAGGTTATAATTTTTTCTCTATTTCTTTATTGTATGTTATTTATCATTTTCTACTTTTTTATTTTCTCATTTTTATTGCATAATATTTAATTATGCAAAAAATACATTCAATACATAGAAAATATATAATGTAGCTATAAGAATAAAGAGCGATGGTAAAATAAATGCTAATACTCACTACCTGACTTAAAGAATATGATACTATTTTTTTTCCAATTGAAATCCCCTCAACTACTCAGAATTACTTCTATCCCTTTTATCCTTTCATTAATTTTCTTCTAGTTTTCTCACATGTGAATCTATTTCTAAATACATTTCTTTATTTTGGAAGTTTTTGGACTTCATATAAATGTAACCATATTGTATATATTCTTCTTCAGCTTCTTACTTTTTCACTAAACAATATGTTTTGCTGACACTTACATTCATATGTACAGTAATAGTTGATTTATTTTAACGGCTATATATTATTCCATTGTTAGAATACACCAGGATTTATTTTTACTTATTTTTTTGCTGGAAAATTGGGTGTCTTTTATTTTTTGATATAACAAACAATGTTGTAATCGTTTTGTATTTACTTCCTAGTCCACTCCTGTAAGTTTCTCTTGAGTACATACTAGCAATGAAGATGCTGAGTCACTGCATATACATACTCACAACTTTATTCTATAATGTAATATTCTATAAAGTAGCTGTATCAGTTTATACTTTAACCAGTAATGGACGAGATTTTCTGTTACTTCCCGTCTCTGTTAATTATTACTTTTAGACTCTAACTTTTATCAGGCTCATGGATGTAAAAAGCATCTCAGGGTGGTTTTAATTTGCATTTATCTGCTCATCTATGAAGATGAGCTTCTTTTCATATAATTATGAGTCATTATTTTTGTTTTGCCTTCTTTTGTTTATGCATTTTGCTTGTTCTATGTCTTATTTTTCCGTTGATTTTTGGGAGTTCATATATATTCTAAATGTATATTTATTCACTCATATATATGTTGCAAGTATTACAGTTTATGATTTGTCACCTTATGATATCATCCAAATAGAGAAGCTTTATATTTCGATGTAGTCATATTTTCACTTTTCTTCCTTAATGTTTGTTTTTCTTGGTTCTATGACCTACCAAAAGTAACAAAAATTCTCATTTATTTTTAATCTAAATGTTTTAAGTATTTTCCTGGAATTCACCTCGAACTGATTTCTATTGGAGATAGGTATCCAATCTAATTTGCCTCATATGGATAACCACTTGTTCTATTACTGCTGTAACAAATTTCTACAAACTAAGTGACCTAAAATAACACAAACTTATCATCTTACAGTCCACACAAGTCAGAAATCAGGCATGAATTTTAGTGAACTAAAATCAAGTTGTTGACAGGCATGTTTCTTTCTGGCGGCTAGGGTAGAATCCATATCCTGGCCTTTTCTACCTTCTAGAGAACATCAGCATTCCTTTTCTCATTGCCTCTCCTCTCTCTTTTTAAAGCTGGCAATGTCACATTTCTGTGACCATTCTTTCATTGTCACATCTCTCTCTAGACTCAGCTAAAAAAGGTTCTCCATTTTTAAGAACTCATGTGATTAGACTGGGCCCATCTGGATAACCCAGGAAGATCTCTCCATCTCAGTCTGCATCCTTAATCACATCTGATAAGCCTTTCTTGCCATTCAGTGTAACATATTCACAGGTTCCAGGGTTAGGCATGGGCATCTTTGAGGGCCATTATTCTCCCTGCCACATTATTTGCCTAGCATCTTTCATTACATTGTCCATCTATTTACTTACTGATTTCTAATGACATCCAAATCAGTTACAACATTTTATGTAAGCATTGTTTTTATTTTTATTTTATTCCACTAGTCTATTTTTCTACTCATGAATTATGGTACATGAGTTTATTTTTGCAACTTTAAGCTCAATAACATGTTTTAAGATTTCCTCAACTTTCTTTTTCTACTTCTTCAGAAGTTGACTATTTTGGCCCTTTGGTCTTCTATACACATTTTAGAAATGCTTTGTTGAGGACTAAGAGGAACGCTAAGATTTTGATAGGAATTTCATTGAATTTTGGGTATATTGGCATGCTACAATGGTTAGTGTTTTATACATGAAAATAATATATCCCTTCCTCTTTTCCTAGTATCATGAGATGTTTGTTAGGCATGCACGAATATTGAGTTGTATCAAATGTGTTTTTCTGCCATTATTGTGGTGGTGATGTGATTTAGCTCCTTGAATTAGTTAATGTAATGAATTACATTTGTAGATTGCTCTAACTATTGAAACAAGCTTGAATTTCTGGGATAAGCCCAATGTGATATTTATTCAACAAATATTCATTGAGCACACCTAGTATGTAACATGCTTTAAGAATACACCAGTGAACCAAACAGAAATATCTGACATTACAGAACTTAACACTCCAGTATTTGGAGACAGACGATAAAAAGGTGAACATGTATATTTACAGTTTGTCAAGGAATGATAAATGAAGACTCTTAAAGTAGGTGGGGAATTGGGAGTGAAGTCTGTAATTTAAATAGGGTGGGCAGGAAAGCTTCACAGAGAATGGGACATTTAAGAATAGACTTGAAGGACATGCAAGAGCAATCTCTATGTTTATATGGGAGAAAAGGTTCCAGGCAGATGCAGTAACAATGGCAAATATCCTGAAGTAGGATAATGCTGGAGTTTTTGTGGAGCAACAAGGAGGCTAGTGTGACTGCCACAGAATCAGCCAAGGGAAGATGAGAAGATCAGACCAGACCAGCACTTGGGCATCTAATGGGAAAAGTTTCTCAAGCCATCATAAAGATTTCACTTTTACTATAAATACTATGAGAAACCATGGGATGTTTTACAGTAAGAAAGGTGGCATAATATGTTACATGTTTTAAACAAACTCTATAGCTTCTGAGTTGAAATAGATTGCAGGGGCTCATGGCAGAAGCAGAGGGAACATTTAGGAGGCTACTGTAAAGAATATCATGAAAAGAACAAACAAATAACGCTATGTAACATGCTTAAATGGAGTGAAGAAGATGTAGAAAATCAAAATGATGTTACCTTCACACCTTGAATCAGTACGATAAACCCCCCTCCCCAGTCACAAAAGAAAAACTAAACACAAAAACCAGGCTTTGGTTGCTCAGACAATTTTACAGGTGAGTTCTAGCAAACATGCAAAGAACGTTTAATTGCACTGTTACAGAAATTCTTCTGGAGACAAGAAAATAAGACACATCACCCAACTAATTTCATGATAACAATGTCAATGTATAATAACAGAAAAAGTGGATCTCCAAAGAAATAAATTTATTTAGAAATAAGTAAGGATTATAATCTGAGATATTTGTGCTATGATGAATCATAAGTGCATCCCAAGAGGTTGAGGTAAGGAAAATATTTAAAGACAAAAAGAAGTCTATGCAAGCTGTTTTGAAACAAACATCATTGGTCACAAGGCCTGATGCAGGAGCTGGTGTTAACTTACTGGCAGAAACAGCCATTGCTAGGCAAGTGTTCTTGTGAGGGTGGCTTATCTGAAATGCTGCAGTCTTGAGGAATTTTTATGATAGGTCCTATTATAGAGACACCTACAGGATAAGCTGGACAAACAGAGTGTGCTGGGTGGGCAGAAATTTCTTGTGAGTTTATAGAAAGTCCTTGTGATAGTGCTTATCGTGGACACACACCCAAGATCCCCTTTTTCATGACCCGGCTCCACTTTGCTTTGGGTCTGATGTAAGTGACTTTGCCTTGTCATTGGCAACTTTCACTGTAGTATAATCTGCACATTAAAGTTACCTAACAATAGTGCAAAGAAAGAAAATTAAAGGTATATCTCTTTCAAAAATATAAACCCCAAAATTGTTAGGAAATTGTAGTGAGTATAAAAGATAATTCATTATAATAGACATCTCAAGCTTCTCAGAATTCTGACCTTTGCTACACTCTCATCCACAATCTTTTCTCCTAGTAAATGGCAGCTCCTTCCGTTAAGTTGCTGAGGCTTCTTATTGCTTTTTTCTTCAAATAACAGTGAGAACTGAACAACTGTAATCATCCTAGTCCATAAAATTGTTATATTTTCATTTAAAGAAGATCAATGTGTGATTCTTTTTTTATATCTTTCTGGACAATTCTTTATATTTTAATAGTAGTCAGAATTTGATCAGGAAAACAGAAGACATCCTATGTATTATAATGATAAAGGTTTAATATTAATTAGGGCCTTATGCTATTATTGGAAGAGCTTGGTGAATAGATATTAGAAAAGCAGCTAGACAAAATCAGAAGAGGTCTGTTTTATATCAGAGATCTTAGCCTGACAGTCTAGAGTGTGGGCACAGAACCCAAGCTTATAGGAATTTCTGAAGGGTCTGTAAATCTTATCCAGATGGACAGTGGGAGCTCATAAAGAATTCTGCAAGCCATCACATCTGTCAAACCTGCTATGTCTAATCCTTAAGCCTGCTTTATATAAAGACCTCCTCTTCACTCCTCATTTCCAGCTCTCATGAGTTTCTTTCATAGGCAAACCCAAACCTGGAACAATGTGCCTGAAGACTTCGGGTGACACAGTACCCAGATTTAAATAGGAGGGGAGCCATGGTGGAAGTGGCCATCCAGCACAATTGTCTTGGTCTTTACTCATAGTTTTGATTCCTTAAAAAAATTAACCACATTAAAATATGTGTTTCATAATCTACATCTAATAATAAAAATATTTAAAGTCTTTTCAAATTTGAATATGCTACCCATGTTGCTGCTACCCCCATTTTGTGTGTGTGATTTTTGTGTGTGTGTTAGAAGCTCATGACCTTTGAAACCTGATCTTATGAGCTTGCTTTGATGATTTATTTGTCCAGAGAGGATTTTTTTTTCCTACCTGGCATTTTGGACTGCTATCAACCTGAGACCACTTTGAATTAAATTCTCAGCTTGCAGATTTGGAAGCCACACAGATTGTGTGAGTTCAGGCTGAAACCTGTTTGAGAGCTGGATTCTGGCTATAAACTCTACAGGGAACATTTTCTCTGTCCACTCAGAGCTGAGACCGTAGGGAAATTTATTTGCTGGCTCTCTTTGCAGGTTTATTTTATTTATTTTTTTAATTTCTAGTACACATGCTCACTGAAGGTGTAGTACTTATGTGAGAATCTCAAAATCAGTTGTGTTCTTTGTATGACCCTGGCTTTGTTTCCTCCTGCTCTCTTACTTTCAGTGTGTCTCAATATGTCTGCTGATGCTATGGTCATCTTAAATTTTGACTGAGGGTGGATCTTCTTCCCAGCTCACTCACATGGTTCTTAGTTAGATTCAGTTTCTCTCAGTTTGTAGGACTGAGGACCTCAGTTCTTCACTTAGGGTTGGCTACAGGCAATCATCAATTTCTTGTAACAGGACTTACACTGGGCCACTGACAGCACGCCAGTTGGCTTCATTCAAGTGAGAGGGCAAAAGAAAGAGAGACAGGGAGAGGGCACAAGATGAAATTCACAGTATCTTATAATCTAATCTCAGAAGTGGCATCTCATTACTTTTGTTCTATTCTATTCAATAGAAACAAGTACCTGGGACCAGCTTATATTATAGGGAAGAGATTATATAAGGGTATAAATACCAAGAGGTAGAGATCATCAAGAGTCATTCTGGTAGCAGCCACAATATCTTATCCAGAATATTTCTTATTCAGGCCTTCAAATGTGCTATCTTTTCTGGTCTAATGGAAATGAACCTTCCTTCCATACAATTTCTTCTCCTAAATTGTACTCTGGCTCTCTTATCACATACAAATGTCTATGTTAGGTATTTGTGTCTGTCTTGATTCTTGGTAGGCTTCTAAACTCTGTGAATGTTGGACTGTGATGTAGACATCATGTCACCCCACACTCTGTAACCACCAAACCTTAGCAGCTTATTCAGTAAGCACATACTTGGCTTTTAATGAGTATTGCTTAAATTGATGAGTTGAATTAGTATTTTACCTTCTCTGTTGCTTAGCTAAGCAGAAGAATTTGTCATTTTCTAAATTTAGTGACTGGTTCTATTAAAAGTTACCTTTGTCTATATCATTTTGTTATACTAAAGCACAAATGTATAAGGTCAAAAAACATTCTCAAGATTTTGTTTAAACCACAGCCCTCAGTTGTGTATATTTATCTCTTGTTTTCATATGCAAGATTTCTCCTGAAATGGGCAACAATTACAGGAGTTTTGTTTCCTCTTCTGAACTAAGAAAATAAATATTTAATTCACAAATTTAGAAAAGTGAACCTGAAAAATCACAGGGCTAGGTGGATTATGAGGCCCACTGGTACATGATAGTGTTGAATGTGGATTAGAATGAACTCTGTGGATTAGAATCTCAGAGACCATAGGCAAACATTTACTTGTTTTAGAATAAGCACATTTGAGTCTACAATAAGTATTACTATTTTTAAGTTGAAAATGTAATTGGTTTCTAATAATAACCATATTGGCTAGCATTATTTCAATCGTGTTTAATGTTTTCCAATGTCATTTCATGTCAGATATCTCTCTTGATTCTTAGTAACAATTTGGACAAGAGAGCAAATGCTATTGTCCAAGTTTTCTAAAGAAGAATCTGAAGTGAAATGACATCAAGAGACCTATCAAGACCTGTATCCAGGAAAAGGTAAACCTGAGATGAAATTGTATCCCTTGTAAATTACCTACGTGACATACCAGATAGTGTTCATGATCCATTTAGTACTCTATTCTAAAAATGAGACAATATCCATTTATTCACTTGTTCATTTATTTAGTGTGTGTTCAGCCCTTACTGCATATTCCAGGCACTATTCTGACTGTGGCAGGAGCGAACAAACAGGCATGGTTCTTACTTGCATGTAATTACAGTCTTATAGTGAAAACAAGTGTTAAACAACAAAATCTCCCAATTATTTTAAAATTATAAATTTGATTCGATACTATGTGGCCATATAATTGTTCCTAATTTGGTTGGAGAAGGGAGGCAGTTAGGGAAGCCTTCCTCGAGTCAGTGCCATTTAACCTGAATTATGATAGATGATAAGTAATTTGTCAGGGGAAAAATACTCCAGGAATAAAGAACAGGTACAAAGGTCAGGTTCTGGGAAGAGCTTGTCTTGGTCCAGGAACTAAAAAATGTCAGAGTGGCTGGATCTGGGAAAGAGACAAAGAGTTATTAAATGAGGCAGCAGGCTTCAGCAGGTGCCGCATTGCTCAGGGCCTTGTAGGCCATGCTAAGGATTTGGGATGTTAATGTCAGTACAAACAATTGAGTCATAAGCAGAAAGTAAAAGCATGATTCCATCAAATGTTTATCTCTAAACAGTAATTTTATAAATACAGGTTAAATGTGTGTGGTCCCAGCTACTCAGTATTCCTTTTCAACAAATATTAGGTGCCTACTATTAGCCAGGTACAGCCCTTAGCTACTTTGAATGAAGCATATATTCCAAACTGGCAGAATTTCTTAAACAAAGAATCTAAAGATTGTTTATACACCATAATCTCAGTATTTTATAAATTTATTGAAATTATTTTTATTTACACTGCTTTGCAGAATTTTAATTGGCTTTGAATCCTCCATGTCACTAGTTTTAAATTTTCCCAATACCTACTAAGACATTACTTAATATACAGACTTATTGTCAATAGTTTGTATCAAATTGTGATAACATTTGAAATTAATATTTCAAATTAAAGCAAAATCACAAATTTATACTTTATATTATGAATGAGATTCACAAAAGGAGCATGATAATATATTCTGTTGTCATTGCATACAAAATAATAACATATAGAGTATGAATCAATAATTTTTCAAATACAAAGCTATTACAATTAGGAATACAAAGAAATCATAATTAGGAATACTTCTACAATTTAACGCACAACAATGGTAATACTTGCAAAATGATGGTGGTGTTTTTTTTGTTTTTTTTTTTTCGACAGAGTCTTGCTCTTGTTGCCCAGGCTGGAGTGCAATGGCGTGATTTTGGCTCACTGTAAACTCCACCTCCTGGGTTCAAGGGATTCTCCTACCTCAGCCTCCCTAGTAGCTGATATTACAGGTGCCTGCCACCACATCCAGCTAATTTTTGTATTTTTAGTAGAGATGGGGTTTCACCATGTTGGCCAGCCTGGTCCCGGACTCCTGACCTTAGGTGATCCACCAGCATCGGCCTCCCAAAGTGCTGGGATTACAGGTGTGAGCCACTGCGTCCAGCCAGTGGTGGGTCTCATATCTCAATGTGGACTTTTACTAACTCCCAATGCCTCAGTTTCCTCATCAGTTGAAAGGAATGAATGAAAGATATGTGTTTTTCATATTACATATTACCAGGTAGATGATAAGGAGATTTTAATTTTCTTTTTTTTTTTTAACTTTTATTTTAAGTTTAGGGGCATTTGTTACATAGGTAAACTGCTGTCACAGGGGGTTACTCTACAGATTATTTCATCGCCCAGGTATTAAACCTAGTACCCAATAGTTATCTTTTCTGCTTCTCTTCCTTTTCTCACACTCCACCCTCATGTAGACCCCAGTGTCTGTTTTATTCGTTGTGTTCATGAGTTCTCATCATTTAGCTCCCGCTGATAACTGAGAGTATGCTGTATTTGGTTTTCTGTTCCTGCATTAGTTTGCTAAGGATGATAGAGGGTCCATCCATATTCCAGCAAAAGACATGATATCATTTTTTAATGGCGGCGTAGTATTCCATGGTGTATATGTACCACATTTTCTTTATCCAATCTGTCATTGATGGGCATTTAGATTGATCCTATACTTTTGCTATTGTGAACAGTGCTGCAATGAACATTTGTATGCATGTGTCTTTATGGTAGAATTATTTATATTCATCTGGGTATATACCCAGTAGTCGGATTACTGGGTCGAATGGTAACTCTGCTTTTAGCTCTTTGAGGAATCACTGTTCTTTGCACAATGATTGAACTGATTTGCACACCCACCAACAGTGTATAAGCATTCCCTTTTCTCCATAACCTCACTAGCATCGGTTATTTTTTGGCTTTTTAATGATAGCCATTCTGACTGGTGTGAGATGGTATCTCATTATGGTTTTGATATGCATTTCTCTAATGATCAGTGATGTTGAACTTTTTTGTGTGTGTTTGTTGGCTGCATGCATGTATTCTTTTGAAAAGTGTCTGTTCGTTCCCTTTGCCCAATTTTAATGGGGTTGATTGTTTTTCTTTTGTAAATTTCTTTACATTCGAAATGTTTTTATTATTAAGTTGAGCTGCCTCATTCTTAGTATGGTTTTTCACTTTAAAAAGCATAAGGGTGGACATGGTGGCATATGCTAGTAATCCCAACTACTGGGGAGACTAATACAAGAGGATTGCTTGAGCCCAGGAGTTCAAGGCTGTAATGTGCTATGATCATGACTGTGAACAACCACTGTACTGCAGCCTGGGCAGAGTGACATAGCAAAACCACATCTCTAAAAAAAGAGAAAATGTAATTTAAATCTTTAAATACATATGTATATGTGTGTATATATGTATATATATTGCAGATATCAAAAATGGTTTGTAGTTTCCATTCACAGCACATAGTAAAATGTCTTAAACTCCTCCCTCCTCCCTATGTGTGTTTTTCTAAGTGTGTGTCTTTTTTACCTTAATTTTTCTCTTAGTGTTTCATAGTCTTCCTAGGTCTACCTCTTTCTTCTGTCTTTCATACACACACACACACACACACGCACGCGTACACACATGTACCTTGAAAAATAGCTTTTCTTTTTCTTAAAACTTCCCAAAGCTTTCATAAAATTAGCCCTCAGGCACTCTTACGTATCTCATCCACTCTTCTTCCTCTCTCCCCTTCCTGAAGCCATTTGTAACTTACTTATTACACTAGGAAGGGGAAGCAAATATTCATATTATTTTCTTGTTATATCCTTAGCATTACTAGACCTTTGTGGTTTCTATGGATGAGGGACATAATATTTACTAATTTATTCTAAACTTCAATCACTCATAATATATCCTTTTATTCCTCCTCCTTCTGTGATATTGGGAGTGTATAGTTGTCATTGTGACAAACCCTTTGGTGTCAATATCTAAAGTGGATGGGGAGAAAAGGAGGGCTTTGCCAATCATCGTCTCCAGTGCATTTCCCACTGTCAGCATCATTGTCTAATGCTGTTTGCATCCACACAGCTTAAGGGAACCATTTAAGTGAGTGACTCCCTCCCTTCACTTCAGCCCATCACTTGAGCATTTCTCTCCCTTGAAAAAAGACAAGTGGTGCTTCTAAGACTTGAGTAATTCTGAATATAATTGAGGACTAGATGTTCCTGTTTTATATCCTACAGGGCTGGCATCTCTAATGCTCAAAGTACAACAAAGTGCAGTGGTAGTCACTGACTGTTCAGCCATTCTGGGTCATCAAAATAAAAGGAGACTGTCTTCCCATTCCTATCAATGACCTCATCTCTACTAGATGTATAACTGGAAAAACAATGCATTTGCTTAAACATGCAAAGTGAGCCACACTTGTTTGGTGTTGTGGGGAAATGATGGAGAAGCATCCCTGTTTATTAAGGATCCAATTTTGATAGGTTGAGGCATATTTTTCCTCCCAAGTCTGCACATAGTCATGCATTAAATATTAATAAGCATCTTCTCCCTATCAGGCTTTGAGGGGATATGTTCACCTCTTGGGAGGTGAACATGATAAATAAGATCCTTTCTCTCAGCATTCTCTCTATTCTTTTTTTTTTTTTTTTTTCTTAAGATAGGGACTAGCTCTGTCACCCAGGCTAGAGTGCAGTGGTGCAGACATGACTCACTGCAGCCTTGACCTCATGGACTCAAGCGATCCTCTTGCCTCTGCCTCCTGAGTAGCTGGGACCACACACACACACACCCACAACATCCACCTAACTTTTTAAAAATTTTTTGAAGAGAAGAGGTTTTGCCATGTTGCCTCAGCCTCCTGAAGTGGTGGGATTACAGGTGTGAGCCACTGCATCCGGCCACACTTTCTTTCCATTCTTATGGAAGGGAGTAGTCATCAAAACAGTTAATCAACTGAGAATATATTAGGTTGTTATAGGAACCATGAAAAAATAAAATACAGTGTGTAAAGAAGGCTTGATGGCCAGGAAGCTTTTACAGGGAAGTGACATTTGAACTGAGACCAAATACTTAAAGGAGCCAGTTCTTTGAAGAGCTGATGGGAAAGCATTCCAAGAAGTGGGAATGGCAAGGGGAAAGGATTTAAGATGTAACCTCAGGATGATTAAGGAGGAGCATGGTACAAGAGGATGTCAGAAACATAGCCAGGAAAGAGACCATTTAGAGCTATGCTTAAGTGTTAGGATTTTATTCTTTGCAAAGGAAAAGCCCATTGAAGCTTTAAAGCAAGGACCTAAGAGTTACCATAATTTTTTTAAGGTACCTTAAAAATTTTGCTGAATGAAGAATTCATTGAAGTGAGTCAGGAATGTATGATTTTGGACAACTGACACAATGTGTGAGGCATAGTTTCTTCATATGGAAATTGGAGACAATGATCATATCTACCTTAGCAGATTATATAATGAATTATTTTCCTAGGGCTCCTGTAATAAAGTACCACAAACTGGGTAACTTAAGCAACAGAAATTTATTGCCTCACAATTCTAGAGGTGAGAAGTCCAGATCAAGAAGCTGGTAGGGCTGGGCTGCCTGAGAAGGTGCTAAGGAAGGAACTGTTCCAGTCCTCTTTCTCTGCTTCCAGTAGTTCCTTGGCTTGTGACAGCACAGTGTCAATTCTCATATGGCATCCTCCCCGTGTGCCTTTCTCTATGTCCAAATCTCTCTTTTATTTAAGGACACAGTCACAGTGGATTAGAACACCCCCATAACATGAAGATTGCATGAGATTATATACATAAATAATTCAACAACATAGCTTCCAAATAGAAAACACTCAGCCTATGTCATCTCATCATTATTTGTTTACACCTTTGTATTATTGGTATAGCTCTAGTCTTTTGAAAGGTGCAGTTACTCATCTTTGTGTTTTCCACTCCTTTATAGCTAAGTGTAAAGTGCTTTTGCAAAATCCAGTACTGCATATTTGAGAAATGCTTTTTACTCCTACACATACTGCATATACTGTTATACAATTCGATTTTGTAGGTCTAATGAAGTTGGTCTTTCTATGAGTTCCTATAGCTAAAAATAGTCACAATTGTGTACTCCAGTAAATTGTTGGAATGACAGAAAATAGTTCAAGTGAAATTATCAATCTGGTTTTTCTGACTTCAGCTGTGTGTCATGTTTGGTTAGTCAAGAGAAACATCTAATGTGAGGCCCCTGGAGGACAGCTGATAAGTAAGCATACCAAGTAGAATGGCTACTGGAAAAAGTGTGCCAGCTAGAGAGACAGAAAAGAGAGAGTTAATTTACCATTTGCTCAAGTAAGGAATGATCCACAAATTCAACAAAATCTAAGTAGTCTTAAAGGACATGTCATTGACAGATTTATCTTCTAGTCTCCCACTTTGTCTAACACTGCTTCAAAACAAAGCAATTTACTGAACCCAGTGGTCTCATTATTCTGGAGGTTTATAAGGTTAAAAATACCTGGGGTTTTGGGAGCAGCAATAGCACTGAAGTGGGATATTAGTAGTGATGCATGTGTTTACAGCACCTATGAACACACACAGACTGAAGCTTGAAGGCTGATGACCCTGAGTTAGGAGAAAAGATAAAACTTTTTAGATTTTTTTTAATGTCAAGAAGAAAATTATTTATCTCCACATTTCTTGAATATTATCTTCTTACAACTAGGTCAGTGATTCTCACCCCGGTTATATGTTAAAATCACCTGGAGATATATGAAAACTATCAATGTTCTACCCTCCTACAGATTAAATCATCATCACTGAGGGTGGCCCTCCAGCAACCAGGTTTAAGAACCACTTTAGACCAGAATTTTTCTCTGTGCCATGCAGTAATGACAATGATAGGTGTAGGATATGCAAATTGCAGAAAGACAACTGCAAATGGTTTAGCTTATCCCCAAAGAGCTGAGCTATCTTAAGCCTCATGGCTACTTTAGAGTGACCAAATCCATGTAGATGCCAGAAGTTGTGTCATACACCTATTTCAAGGGACACATAGAATTTACCTATATATACCTACCTCAAGGGTCATATCGGTTTACCATTCCCCTAAACAACAGCTTAATAGTATAAACTGCTGAACTGCTGTCTGCCTAATATTTATTGTGGCTATACTTCTTCTTTTCTTTTTTTTTTCTTTTTTCTTTTTCTTTTTTCTTTTTTTTTTTTTTTTTTTTTGAGACACGGTCCCACTTTGTTGCCCACACTGGAGTGCAGTAGCCGTGATCTCAGCTCACCGCAACCTCTGCCTCCCAGGCTCAAATGATTCTCCTGCCTCAGCCTCCTGGATAGCTGGGATTACAGGTGCACACCACTACCTCCCAGCTAATTTTTGTATTTTTAGTACAGATGGGGTTTCACCATGTTGGCCAGGCTGGTCTTGAACTCCCGACCTTAAATGATCCACCCGCCTCGGCCTCCTAAAGTATTGGGATTACAGGAGTGAGCCACCACGCCCGGCCCAGTTGTGGCTATACTTCTGAATTAATCATAACAGAATAACCGTATTGATGGATAGGTGATGTGCAGGGATGGAATGAATTTCGGAGGAGTATGATCTGCCTCTACAGCATAGAAAATGAGGTTCAGTGAATTCAGTGTAATATGGATTTATTGTTTACTGCTAAATCTTTTACTGAAAAAATACTCGTTTTACCTCTAAATATCATAAACATCATGCCTATAATAAAATAGATTCTCAGAAGTTTTTATATGTTTTTTAAAATGAATTAGCCAATTGATATAAACTATGAACAGACTTTCAATTACTATAATATATGTTTGATTTTATAATCTCATTTTGTTGATACATAAGTACTGAATGTGGTTCCCAAAAGTATTTATTTCTATAATTCTGACATGTCATTGTTTTTCATCATTAAAACATACCTTAGACTCTAAAGATAACAATTCCTCAGAATAATCAAACCAGAGCTACTAAAGTGAGCAATAAGAATGATAAAAAATAAATTCAAATATTCTTTGAATACATATGTATAATCAAAGAGATACACTTTATTTTGATACCCAAAATGGAAATGTATTATAAAATGTCTGTATAAAATGATCAAAACATGAACCTTGAAGTACATTTATTTGATATTGTGATTCTTTACACATGGCAGAAGCTAATTTTAACAATTACATTTACTGGGAAAAGAACTCCAAGACACAACGGTAAAATGACCTACAAACCATAAGATAGAAAATAAGAAAGGCTCTGAATTAGGAAGAGGGTGCCACACCCATAATTAAATGTGAAACAGAAACTAGGACACAGATTTTTTTCTATTGTTTTGTCCTTTATTATTATTATTATTATTATTATTATACTTTAAGTTCTGGGATATATGTGCAGAATATGAAGGTTTGTTACATAGGTATACACGTGCCATGGTGGTTTGCTGCACCCATCAACCAGTCATCTACATTAGGTATTTCTCCTAATACTATTTCTCTCTTATTCCCCCACCCTGCTACAGGCCCTGTGTGTGATGTTCCCCTCCCTGTGTCCACGTGTTCTCATTGTTCAACTCCCACTTATGAGTGAGAACATGCGGGGTTTGGTTTTCTGTTCCCGTGTTTGCTGAGAATGATGGTTTCCAGCTCCATCCATGTCCCTGCAAAGGACATGAACTCATCCTTTCTTATGGCTGCATAGTATTCCATGGTGTATATGTACCACATTTTCTTTATCCAGTCTATCATTGATGGGCATTTGGGTTGGTTCCAAGTCTTTGCTATTGTGAACAGTGCTGCAATAAACATACGTGTGCATGTGTCTTTATAATAGAATGACTTATATTCCTTTGGGTATATACCCAGTAATGGGTTCAAGCAATTTTCCTGCCTCAGCCCCCAGAGTAGCTGGGACTACAGGCACCTGCCACCATGCCCCACTAATATTTTGTATTTTTAGTAGAGACAGGGTTTTGCCATATTGGCCAAGCTGGTCATGAACTTCTGACCTCAAGTGATCCCCCCACCTCGGCTTCCCAATGTGCTTGGATTACAGGCGTGAGCTGCCATGCCTGGCCACACAATTGATTTTATTATGTTTTTTATTTCTATGTTTTATTAAACATTAAAAAATATACATGATATATATC
This sequence comes from Homo sapiens, assembly GCF_000001405.40. NCBI lineage: Eukaryota > Metazoa > Chordata > Mammalia > Primates > Hominidae > Homo > Homo sapiens. Next base: position 164,257,613 of record NC_000004.12, on the reverse strand, counting down.
ATATGTTATATATTTTACATTTTTCAAATATATATATATTTTATCACTATCCCATGGTTTTTCAAAGAAATTTATCTTATAGCTAGTTAATAGATAAGAATGTAATTTAGCCTAAATATAAAACAAATGTGTTAGAAAAAAAGAATGAAACAAAACTGACGATTTATCATACTACCTAATCTATTATTTTTTATATGGTTTGGCCTCCAATATATCTCTAAGGTTTTAGAGCCACACTAAAAAGAAAAATCTAACTTACAACATGTATTGTATTCATAAGAGAAACAAGAAAAATTATCCAATTATTTTAAAAAAAATTAAGATAAAATTAAAGGTAAAACAGATACATAGATGAACCTAGGTGTAGATATGTTTGTGTTTACATTCTGAATAGGCACCTTTAGCTTCTGCATCACATTTTAAAGTTTTACTGAGTAACTGCATTTTAATTTTAAGTATTAACTAACCATCAATTTTAATGTTTCCAATTTTGTATATATTATGTGATGAACAGTTTATTTATAGCTTTTCTTTCTCTTTGACTTCTTCATAAGGATAAATTCCATGCTTATGGAAAGATTTGATTCTTGAAATGTATCATCAAATTACTATCTATAGAATTGTGACAATTATACTACTATAATTTGTTCATGAGTATAACAGCTTCCCCACAGCCTCACCATCTTAGAGTATTATTTCCTTTTTAAATAAAGTACTCTTGGAAATAGAATTAATCAGTGATATGGTATTACATTAAAAAATGACCAAATACACACCAAATGGACTGTACCAGTTTATGTTCCCGGCTGTAAGTATATGCCGTTGGGCATAGCTACTGAAGCCTTCTTTTGATTTATTTTATAGCAGTTGGTCTAGTCATGTTTTCAACTTACTCTTGTACACATTCTTAAGCTGTTCATAGAAACTAAACTGTCAAAATTATTTTTATAATATTTTTCTTGATATTCTCCCATGATGCTTAAAAGTTTTCTCAGTCTGTGTTCATGTCTCCTTTTCACTGATAATACTTTGCTTATTTTTCCCTTCTTTTTTTAAAAAAATTCTTGTCTATTCAATTAATTCTTTGGAAAAAGCCAATGCCTTTTATTTTGTTAGTCAATTCACTATCTTCATTATAATCTTTCTTTTTCTTTTCTTTTCTTTCTTTTTTTTTTTTTTTTAAGCTTCTTGTGCTACAAGTTAGTTCACATTTTTAGTTTTTTTTGTTTTCACCCAAATACATTTAGGGCTATAAATTTTATTCTGAGCACCACTTTGGAGATTTCCTGAGGTTTGGAAAACAGTGATATCATTTCCATTCAGTTCTAAGTAGTTTGCAGTTCTCTTTTATTTAATATCTAATATATAAGATTTTCAGATACTTAGATTTTTGACTTGTTGTTTTCTAATTTTATTGTATTGTGATCAGTGATTAGTGACTTTTATGATACAATTTAAACGTATTTTTCTTTTATTTTTATTTTTTATTTTTGTAGGGTACCACTATGTTGACCAGGCTGGTCACCAATTTCTAGCCTCATGCAATCCTCCCACCTTGGCCTCCCAAAGCTCTAGGATGACAGGTGTGAGCCACCATGCCAGGCCAACATTTTTTTCTTGTGAATGTCTTTGTGATCTACTAGATGGTCAGGTTTTATAAATATTCCTTCAATGTTTGATTAGAAGGTTTATTCTTTATTTGAGTCAAAGCAATTAAGTTTATTATGTCATTCATAACCTCAATACATTTCTCATTTTTTAGGTATTTGGTCTATTAATTTCTTAGAGTTATATCAAAGTATCAAATATGATTTATAATTTGTTGGCTTTTTCTTGAAATTATATCACTTTTTCTTTATATATTTTAGGCTATTCTACAAGGTACATAAAAACTCCCAATTGTTATATCATTTGACTTTTTTTGTCCATTTGAAAACTTTCTCTTTTTTATTTTAAAAATTCAACAACTATTATATTTTGTCTGATATTACTTTTTCCATTTTTTTGTTCTTTTCAACATGATTGTGCCACTTGATTTTAGGTGGATCTGTTGTAAAGCATAAGCTGGATCTTGTTATCTCTGATATTCTCCATCTTTTAAATTGGTAAGTATATCCCATTTTCATGCGTGGCGTTGTTGAAGAATTTGGACCTATCCTTACCATATTACTTTTTTCTTTTCTACTTTTTTTTTTGTTTGTTCATTGATTTTTTTTTTTTTTTATCTTTCTTGCCTTTTCATTGATCATTGTATTTTGCCCTTCACTGGTGTGGCAGTTATAATTTCTATTATTTTAGGGGCAATTCTTTATTTTTTGTTTCTGATTTTTATTTTTTAAACTTCATATATTGAAATAATTATAGACTTGTGGAAGCTGCAATACAAGAACGGAGATATTTATGTATCTATCATCCAGCTTTCCCTGATGGCAACATTTACATAACTACACCACATTATCAAAAACCCTCAAATTGGTATTGTTATATAGAATTAGATAGGCTACAGATTTCACCAGTTTTGGCATGACTCATTTACATATGTGTATGTGTATAGTTCTATAACATTCATGGCTGGGCGTGGGGGCTCACGCCTGTAATCCCACCACTTTGGGAGACTGAGGTGAGTGGATAACCTGAGGTCAGGAGTTTGAGATTGTGATGGTTAATACTGTCAACTTGATTGGATTTAGGGGATACAAAGTATTAATCCTGGGTGTGTCTGTGTGGGCGTTGCCAAAAGAGACTAACATTTGAGTCAGTGGGCTGGGGAAGGCAAATCCACCCTTAATCTGGTGGGCACAACCTAATCAGCTTCCAGCGAATATAAAGCAGGCAGAAAAACATGAAAGGGAGAGGCTGGGCCTACCAGCCTCCCAGCCTACACCTTTCTGCCATGCTGGATGCTTCCTGCCCTTGAATATCGGACTCCAAATTTTTCAGTTTTGTGCTTTGGACTGGCTCTCCTTGCTCCTCAGCTTGCAGACAGCCTATTGTAGGACCTTGTAATCATACAACTTAATACTTAATAAACTCCCCTTTATAGATATATATTAAGTTAATACTTAATAAACTTCATACATATGGGAGTTTATTAAGTATTAACTATATATGTATACACATATATATACACACTATGTGTGTGTAAACTATCATATATAATTAAGTATTAACCTTATATATTGATACATATATATAGGAGTTTATTAAGTATTAACTTTATAAGTTTGTTAAGTATTAACTTTATATAAAGGGGAGTTTATATATATAATATCCTCTATATATAGGATATATATATATGTATACTATTAGTTCTGTCCCTTTAAGAGAAACCTGACGAATACAGAGACCAACCTGGCCAGCATAGAGAAATCCCATCTCTACTAAAAATACAAAAATTAGCCAGGCATGGTGGCACACACCTGTAACCCCAGCTACTCAGAGCCGAGATCACGCCACTGCACTCTAGCCTGGGCAACAGAATGAGACTCTCTCAAAAAAAATTCATAACAAATATAGACTTGTATGATCAACACTGCAGTCAAGATAGAGAACTGCTCTGTCCACAAAGGAACTCATTCATATTATCTCTTTTCAGTAGCACCACCTTCCATACCTTCCAAGACAACTATTAATCTGATTTCTATCTCTATAGTAATGTTACTACAAAAATGTTATATAGATAGAATCATGCACTATGCAAACTTTTGAGATTGCTTTTTTTCCCCTTGGCATCTAAATTGTGTGTGTTCTGTAATTTGTTTCATTTTAATGCTGAGTAGTATTTCATTATATGGATGTGTCAGATTTTCTTTATCCATTTATTTCTTGAAAGACATTTGGGTTGTTTCCAGTTTCAGGCTATTACAAATAAAGCAGTTATAAACATTTGTGTATATATTTTCATGTGAATGTAAGTTTTCATTTCTCTAGAATCAATGTCCACGTATATGCTTAACATTTTAACACAAAATTAAATAAACAAATATAGGAAAATATAGATATATACACAAAGCTTAGCTTCAATCAATATTTTTCCCCCAAACAAACCAATAAACTGAGTATACTAAACAGACTGTATTTTTGCTGTAATCCACTGCTACCATCCTACTGTCTGTTATTTTAGTTCTGACTTGTTATTAAAAGCATTTTAAAATCATTACTTATTTAAGTGTTACAATAAATTTTATTAATTCATTGAGCTTACTTTATTTTACAGCTTATTTCCTTCTGAAGGTTTTCTACTCAGTGGAATATAGTTTTACTTCAAAAAGGTTGAGTAGTCCACTTTCTAAGTCCTCAAATGTCTGAAAATGCCTTTATTGAGCTCATCTCTTTTGAGTGGAAGTTGAACTATTTCAAGATTTCTCAATTTAAATTCTTCTCCCACAGTATTTACAAGACATTTTTACAATCATTTTTGAATTTCATTTTGCAAATCACAAGATTGAAGTATTGTATTTCCTTTATTTTGGGGTAATCTATCATTTCTATTTGAATGTTTTTGGATGTTTCTTCATGTCTATTATTTTTAAGTTTTATTTTTAATTTATTGTTATACCACTGTTGTTTTATTTTAATCCTTTTCATGATACACTGGACTTTTTCAGCTGGAGAATTTGGCTGTCCTCTCTTCACCCACTCCTGGCTTCGGAAAATTCTCAGGCTTATTTCTTCAAATATAGATTAATTTACATTATCACTGACATTATCTCTTTTGTCCACTCTAGGACTGCTAAGAAATAGATCTTAGAACTTCCGAATCTATATTCCTCATCACTGTCCACTGCCACTTTTTGAGTTTATCTGATAATAATTACATTTTTATTTATAATCATGTTTATTATTGTTAGATTTTTATATTACCATTTACACTTATTTCAGATTGATAATATTTTCCTCTTATCTCTGAGGATATTAACTTGTTAAAGTAAATAATTGATTGATTGATTCATCTTACCATGTCTAAGGGTTTTACTATGTAAAATTCATTGATTCTTTTTGATGGTATTAGTCTTTCTCAGCTTTTGGCTTCCCAAATGGCTTTGTTCTGAGGCTGAACTCCATGAGCTGTGGCTGCTTTTTGTTGCTGATGAGGGTGCTGAGCATGACGCACAGCTGTGGGGAGGGAGGAGCCTTTAGAAAGAGGCTATATTGGGAAGCAGCTTCCAGGGCTTCCTGCCTTGGTTGAAGCTTTCTGTGTGTCTTCTCTCATTCCTTGGGATTAGCTCAAGTGATTTCTTTCTTTCTGCTTTTTGCTTTGTTTTGTTTTGTTTTGTTTTGTTTTTTTGATGGTGGAGAGAGACATATAGTTACACATTTTTAAAAATATCTGTTCTACCTATTCTACAGATTTGATGCAGGAGGGGAAGATTTGAGCATATGCCTCATTTTTTAAATAAGCCAAATATTTAGATATATTCACAGTAACACTGGCTTAAGCCATACTTGGTGATATACTAAACTCTCCTTTTAATTGTATGGCTTAAGTAATAGAGGCTAATCATCTCTTTTTAGGATTTTTTAAATACTCATATGTAGGCAGATTTTTAAAAATTCTAATGCATTTTAGTTTAGTAATATTATTTCTGAAAGTAATTTCAGAGATTTTCTCCCTTAGCCTTTATTTTGTGATGATTTATCTAAGATGAAAATTATTAATTTCTTAAATAATCAAATAAAAATAATTTTTAAAATCTATTGGTGCTATGTGCTTTTCGTATACAATTACTTAATTATTTTTTGCACTTTTCACTTAATCTTTCTTAAATTTGAATTGTCAGTTATCCTTTTTGTTTCTAGTTTTATTTCCACCCATTGAGATTTTAATTTATTAGCATGCAGCTATGATGTGATGTCTTCTCTGTGTTGGGAATTCTGCTGGAAGGGTTAATAAGGCAATGAAGAAATAGTTCCCCTTAAGCCAGGCCTTGAATTTTCAAAATCACTGTGAATTATAAAGGAGGCAGCAATAAAAAGTTTTATCAATACACGAAGTAATTTGCCTTTATCATCATCCTAGTACCTAGAGTGCAAAACCGCATTCGTTTACATACTTTGTAAAAACAAAATTTTAAAGTATTAAAGGGATCATTGTTTCCATGTGAATTTCTGTTTGGCCTGAGGCTAAAATTTGGCATCTGTGGGGCTGTGCAGGATTTGACTAGAAGCGCCAAAGAAGAAAGGCTGCCATGGCAAACATTATATTTCATTACACGCAAGCATTGTCAAATGTTCTCAACCTCATGGCTTACACTGTATCTTTTTCTTACTTACCGTCTCGTGAAATAAAAGTAAAACAATGTGACTTTGAATCTGCTCAGCATAATTATATGTTCTGTGTATAAAATGGTATTATGCCTTTGAACGTTAGAAAAAGTGACTTTTAATGCCATGTTAAGGAAAGAGCAAATTCAAAGAGGTTTTGTTAGGGAAATATATTTCAGAAATGAATAACTCAGAGGAGAGAAGAACATAAAGTTTATACTAAATATTTAATTTTACATAATGGCTAGCACATTGGTGATGATCATGTATGTTAAATCATTATGCTAATAATAATTGTTCATAGAAATATGTTTCTTGATCATTGTTGTGGATCTATTAAATGTCAGGAAGAAAGGACATTACTCAAGTATTTTCAATACTGCCTGACCCAAATGAAAACAAAACCAACATCAAAAACCAAAAAGAGGTAGGGAGTAATTTAGTCCAATTTGAAAGTAGTAACAAGAGCATATATTCAGATATTTCTCGTTGATAGATTTGAAGGGTTTGATGGAGTCTTCCTCTTCTTGATTTCCATTTTCCATTATATTTTTCTCCTTTTCTTGTTCTAGGCAATGTTGTTAAAATATCTTATCATCTTATTTTTATAGCTTCTAGTAATTTAAGAAAATTTAAATTGCTTTAGTTGTAACAGATCCAAGCTCAAATTTATCATGTTTTATGAGATTTATGATCAATTATCAATAATTTATTTAATCAACCTGGGATGAGAAATAATTTCCCAAAATATAATTAAAATGCCACATCATTTATTATATAAGTGATGTTAACTTTATTAATTAAGAAATCTTGAAGTGGAAAATTAAAAGAGTTTTAATTTTCCCCTAGTTATATCACCCAGTTTACACAATAAGATCAAAATAGTACTGAAAGTATTTGGCCTATACCATGCAATTTCAAGGTTTATATTTCACAGTGTCCACATTCAGAGCATCTTCTATATTGGCTTTCTGGGGGAACATTCTAAAATCTGGTAACAAATGAAAATCCTTGAGATGTAACAGTTAATTTGAATATCTACACTGAAAAATTGTTGCCTTCTATTTTCTTTGACCATCTCTCCTGCCTCTTTGTTTTAATGCTATATTCTCTCCATTGACATTCTAAAACATAATGACTTTAACCATGCACATAACTCACCCCAAATCTATCTTGGATCTGCTCTGTTTATGGAGCTCCAATCAGTGCTACATGTCATCACCTAAGTTTTCCACCTCTTCCTCTAATTTAGCATGACACAAACTGAACTGATTGTCTTCTCTAGACCTGCTACTATCTGTGCTCCTGGGCAGATAACTTCAACTACCTCGGTTTCACCATCTATCATGAGGTTAAATAGGATAAAACCAGTAATATGCATAGAAATGTATATGGAGTTGCTCAGTAATTGTTTGCTCTTCCAACTCTTCTGTCCCTGAATACCTCTCTCAAAGTTTTCTATTGTATTTTCCATTTCTGTCAATGGAAGCGCTATCTAATCATCAAATAATCATTTTTCAGTTTGTTCTTTTCCTTGCTTCCCTCATCAAATGCATGAACTCTCATAAGACTTTTTTTTTTTTTTAATCCTAACCGTCTGTATTCTAGGTCAGAATCTAACTGCATGGGTCATTTTTTTTTAACTGGTTTTTACTGTTCTCCCCGACCCCTAGCACTTTCTTCCTTAATTCATTCTTATAGATTGGTAGAAAAAACTTCTTGAAATATAGTCCTGTTGTGTTCTTCCTCTACTAATAAATTTTCAAGGGATTCCCTGATATCTACAAAATAAAATTCAATTTACAATGTTTTAGATTTAGGACAGTTAGTAATGGGGTATCTAGGCATCTCTCTTTTTCTTTCTTGCCTACTCTTTGGAAACCTCCCCTGCTGCCTACATTAAGCTGCTTTGATTTCACATATACATCACATATTTTCATTTCTCAGTCTTTATTTATGCTCCTCTCTGCCTCAGGGCCTCAGAATGTCTTCTTCATTCCCATACATCAAAAATCAAACCTATATTTTGAAGGTACAGCTCAGAGCCTTCCTTTCTTCTAGTGACTTCAAGTCACTTCAAGTGATGCAATCATCTCTTCACCCAACTTCACGCTTCACTTGTATGTTTCACTACCTTCTGCCTTAATTACATGTCTTCTTCCTCTGTTAATCTTTAAGAGCCTTGATGGCAGAATCTGTATCTTCTTCATGTTGGTATCTACCCCGGGATTGTAAATAAATATTTTCATTTAGAACTTTATAACTATTTGTTGAATAAATAAATAGATATGAATGAAATGCCAGCAACACTTGGGGAAAAGTTTTGGTAAACAGAAATTGTAGCAACACTTGGTAAATATAAAGCATCTCTTTAGAGGTTCATGTTTGGTTTATTTACATATTCCAATGAATTATGAATTTTTAAATTTCATAATTTATGAATTATGTGAATGAATTATGAAATTTAAAATTTCCTAGCCCTTATATGAAACAGTATAGTGTTTTTTTGATCTTTTCTGTCTTGAATCCTTCTGATTATAGGAAGAAATACATGTAAAGAACTGAGAAATAATTAAGGATGAGATGTTGCCAGTAATATATATATTTTTTTAACAATTGTTTTCCTAATTTTACATGGTCAGTGCTAAACATTGAACAACTTATCCCTAGAACACAATGGAGAATATATTACTGAACTTCTTTAAAACATTATTCATTTATTCTCATCCTGTTAACATTCCTGTGAACATACAAAAGAATTCTTGTGGATATGAAAATTTAGGTTGCGTTTCAGAAGCTGCTTGAGAATATGTCAAAACCTTTGATAACATGGAGGAAAACTCCATGTTTTGTGAGAGATACAAAAGTAAATTTCTAAGAGAATCATAATACTAATAATCCTTTTTTCTCCAAGAATCACTGTCACCATCACCATTATAATAATCTTGTAGCCCTTACTAGGCAGATATCTAAAAGGCTTTAACAATGGGACATTTACTCTCACAATGCACCTTGGGATTGGTGCATATATTTTGATTTTTTAATTAAATTCAACTGCTAAAAGACTTACCCAAAGTCACAAATTAATAACAGAGTTACAGAAAGAACTCATGAAACCACATAACCAGCTCGAGAATATTGGTCACTAAATAACTTTATTGTTGTGTCAGTGTTTAATTAAAAAGTTGTATGTTGCAATTTGATACATGGAGGAGTACTTCAGGTATAATATAGGTCCTAATTTTCTCTAGGTCCTGACTTGTGTGTGGTTGTAAGAAAATAACTTCAATTTTATAATCTTTAAGAATGTGATATTATTCCCCAATGGCTTCCCATGTTTACTAAGTGTGGAGTATTATGAGACAGTGTGGTAGATTGTATTTTCCAATGTGGCTGTAAAAACATCTCACATTCCCAAGCTCTTAAGCAATGCAACTTGACCAATTCCTTGTCAAAAAGGGAAGCCTAATTCTGCTCCCTTGAAATTTGGACTGGCAGATGATAGATACAAATACCTCCTTTCCCATACTAGATGGAATGTTCTAGGGTGAAATTTATCTGGCTATGCAGAAGACAGTTGGATAAGATCTCAGTTACCTTTAGCCATGACCATTTTGAAAAAACAGCGACATAATATCTCTGCTGCCCTATTTCATTCCCCTTGTCCTTCATTCCCATTGCCTGGGATTACATTTTTTTTTTTTTTACTTTCTTTTTTTCTTTTAACTTTTTTTTTTTTATTATTATACTTTAAGTTTTAGGGTACATGTGCACATTGTGCATGTTAGTTACATATGTATACATGTGCCATGCTGGTGCACTGCACCCACTAACTCGTCATCTAGCATTAGGTATATCTCCCAATGCTATCCCTCCCCTCTCCCCGCACCCCACAACAGTCACCAGAGTGTGATATTCCCCTTCCTGTGTCCATGTGATCTCATTGTTCAATTCCCACCTATGAGTGAGAATATGCGGTGTTTGGTTTTTTGTTCTTGTGATAGTTTACTGAGAATGATGATTTCCAATTTCATCCATGTCCCTACAAAGGAAATGAACTCATCATTTTTTATGGCTGCATAGTATTCCATGGTGTATATGTGCCACATTTTCTTAATCCAGTCTATCATTGTTGGACATTTGGGTTGGTTCCAAGTCTTTGCTATTGTGAATAACGCCACAATAAACATACGTGTGCATGTGTCTTTATAGCAGCATGATTTATAGTCCTTTGGGTATATACCCAGTAATGGGATGGCTGGGTCAAATGGTATTTCCAGTTCTAGATCCCTGAGGAATCGCCACACTGACTTCCACAATGGTTGAACTAGTTTACAGTCCCACCAACAGTGTAAAAGTGTTCCTATTTCTCCACATCCTCTCCAGCACCTGTTGTTTCCTGACTTTTTAATGATTGCCATTCTAACTGGTGTGAGATGGTATCTCATTGTGGTTTTGATTTGCATTTCTCTGATGGCCAGGATGATGAGCATTTTTTCATGTGTTTTTTGGCTGCATAAATGTCTTCTTTTGAGAAGTGTCTGTTCATGTCCTTTGCCCACTTTTTGATGGGGTTGTTTGTTTTTTTCTTGTAAATTTGTTAGAGTTCATTGTAGATTCTGGATATTAGCCCTTTGTCAGATGAGTAGGTTGTGAAAATTTTCTCCCATTTTGTAGGTTGCCTGTTCACTCTGATGGTAGTTTATTTTGCTGTGCAGAAGCTCTTTAATTTAATTAGATCCCATTTGTCAATTTTGTCTTTTGTTGCCATTGCCATTGCTTTTGGTGTTTTAGACATGAAGTCCTTGCCCATGCCTATGTCCTGAATGGTAATGCCTAGGTTTTCTTCTAGGGTTTTTATGGTTTTAGGTCTAACGTTTAAGTCTTTAATCCATCTTGAACTGATTTTTGTATAAGGTATAAGGAAGGGATCCAGTTTCAGCTTTCTACATATGGCTAGCCAGTTTTCCCAGCACCATTTATTAAATAGGGAATCCTTTCCCCATTGCTTGTTTTTGTCAGGTTTGTCAAAGATCAGATAGTTGTAGATATGCGGCGTTATTTCTGAGGGCTCTGTTCTGTTCCATTGATCTATATCTCTGTTTTGGTACCAGTACCATGTTGTTTTGGTTACTGTAGCCTTGTAGTATAGTTTGAAGTCAGGTAGTGTGATGCCTCCAGCTTTGTTCTTTTGGCTTAGGATTGACTTGGCGATGCGAGCTCTTTTTTGGTTCCATATGAACTTTAAAGTAGTTTTTTCCAATTCTGTGAAGAAAGTCATTGGTAGCTTGATGGGGATGGCATTGAATCTGTAAATTACCTTGGCCAGTATGGCCATTTTCACGATATTGATTCTTCCTACCCATGAGCATGGAATGTTCTTCCATTTGTTTGTATCCTCTTTTATTTCCTTGAGCAGTGGTTTGTAGTTCTCCTTGAAGAGGTCCTTCACATCCCTTGTAAGTTGGATTCCTAGGTATTTTATTCTCTTTGAAGCAATTGTGAATGGGAGTTCACTCATGATTTGGCTCTCTGTTTGTCTGTTGTTGGTGTATAAGAATGCTTGTGATTTTTGTACATTGATTTTGTATCCTGAGACTTTGCTGAAGTTGCTTATCAGCTTAAGGAGATTTTGGGCTGAGACGATGGGGTTTTCTAGATATATAATCATGTCATCTGCAAAGAGGGACAATTTGACTTCCTCTTTTCCTAATTGAATACCCTTTATTTCCTTCTCCTGCCTGATTGCCCTGGCCAGAACTTCCAACACTATGTTGAATAAGAGTGCTAAGAGAGGGCATCCCTGTCTTGTGCCAGTTTTCAAAGGGAATGCTTCCAGTTTTTGTCCATTCAGTATGATATTGGCTGTGGGTTTGTCATAGATAGCTCTTATTATTTTGAGATATGTCCCATCAATACCTAATTTATTGAGAGTTTTTAGCATGAAGCATCGTTGAATTTTGTCAGAGGCCTTTTCTGCATCTATTGAGATAATCATGTGGTTTTTGTCTTTGGTTCTGTTTATATGCTGGATTACGTTTATTGGTTTGAACCAGCCTTGCATCCCAGGGATGAAGCCCACTTGATCATGGTGGATAAGCTTTTTGATGTGCTGCTGGATTCATTTTGCCAGTATTTTATTGGGGATTTTTGCATCAATGTTCATCAAGGATATTGGTCTAAAATTCTCTTTTTTTGTTGTGTCTCTGCCTGGCTTTGGTATCAGAATGATGCTGGCCTCATAAAATGAGTTAGGGAGGGTTCCCTCTTTTTCTATTGATTGGAATAGTTTCAGAAGGAATGGTACCAGTTCCTCCTTGTACCTCTGGTAGAATTCGGCTGTGTATCCATCTGGTCCTGGACTCTTTTTGGCTGGTAAGCTATTGATTATTGCCACAATTTCAGCTCCTGTTATTGGTCTATTCAGAGATTCAACTTCTTCCTGGTTTAGTCTTGGGAGAGTGTATGTGTCAAGGAATTTATCCATTTCTTCTAGATTTTCTAGTTTATTTGCGTAGAGGTGTTTGTAGTATTCTCTGATGGTACTTTGTATTTCTGTGGGATTGGTGGTGATATCCCCTTTATCATTTTTTATTGCATCTATTTGATTCTTCTCTCTTTTTTTCTTTATTTGTCTTGCTAGCAGTCTATCAATTTTGTTGATCCTTTCAAAAAACCAGCTCCTGGATTCATTAATTTTTTGAAGGGTTTTTTGTGTCTCTATTTCCTTCAGTTCTGCTCTGATTTTAGTTATTTCTTGCCTTCTGCTAGCTTTTGAATGTGTTTGCTCTTGCTTTTCTAGTTCTTTCAATTGTGATGTTAGGGTGTCAATTTTGGATCTTTCCTGCTTTCTCTTGTGGGCATTTAGTGCTATAAATTTCCCTCTACACACTGCTTTGAATGCGTCCCAGAGATTCTGGTATGTTGTGTCTTTGTTCTCGTTGGTTTCAGAGAACATCTTTATTTCTGCCTTCATTTCGTTATGTACCCAGTAGTCATTCAGGAGCAGGTTGTTCAGTTTCCATGTAGTTGCGCAGTTTTGAGTGAGATTCTTAATCCTGAGTTCTAGTTTGATTGCACTGTGGTCTGAGAGATAGTTTGTTATAATTTCTGTTCTTTTACATTTGCTGAGGAGAGCTTTACTTCCCAGTATATGGTCAATTTTGGAATAGGTGTGGTGTGGTGCTGAAAAAAATGTATATTCTGTTGATTTGGGGTGGAGAGTTCTGTAGATGTCTATCAGGTCCGCTTGGTGCAGAGCTGAGTTCAATTCCTGGATATCCTTGTTAACTTTCTGTCTCGTTGATCTGTCTAATGTTGACAGTGGGGTGTTAAAGTCTCCCATTATTAATGTGTGGGAGTCTAAGTCTCTTTGTAGGTCACTCAGACTTGCTTTATGAATCTGGGTGCTCCTGTATTGGGTGCATATATATTTAGGATAGTTAGCTCTTCTTGTTGAATTGATCCCTTTACCATTATGTAATGGCCTTCTTTGTCTCTTTTGATCTTTGTTGGTTTAAAGTCTGTTTTATCAGAGACTAGGATTGCAACCCCTGCCTTTTTTTGTTTTCCATTGGCTTGGTGGATCTTCCTCCATCCTTTTATTTTGAGGCTATGTATGTCTCTGCCCGTGAGATGGGTTTCCTGAATACAGCACACTGATGGGTCTTGACTCTTTATCCAATTTGCCAGTCTGTGTCTTTTAATTGGAGCATTTAGTCCATTGACATTTAAAGTTAATATTGGTATGTGTGAATTTGATCCTGTCATGATGATGTTAGCTGGTTATTTTGCTCGTTAGTTGATGCAGTTTCTTCCTAGTCTCGATGGTCTTTACATTTTGGCATGATTTTGCAGCGGCTGGTACTGGTTGTTCCTTTCCATGTTTAGTGCTTCCTTCCTGGTGGTGACAAAATCTCTCAGCATTTGCTTGTCTGTAAAGGATTTTATTTCTCCTTCACTTATGAAGCTTAGTTTGGCTGGATATGAAATTCTGGGTTGAAAATTCTTTTCTTTAAGAATGTTGAATATTGGCCCCCACTCTCTTCTGGCTTGTAGGGTTTCTGCCGAGAGATCCGCTGTTAGTCTGATGGGCTTCCCTTTGAGGGTAACCCGACCTTTCTCTCTGGCTGCCCTTAGCATTTTTTCCTTCATTTCAACTTTGGTGAATCTGACAATTATGTGTCTTGGAGTTGCTCTTCTCGAGGAGTATCTTTGTGGCGTTCTCTGTATTTCCTGAATCTGAACGTTGGCCTGCCTTGCTAGATTGGGGAAGTTCTCCTGGATAATATCCTGCAGAGTGTTTTCCAACTTGGTTCCATTCTCCCCATCACTTTCAGGTACATCAATCAGACGTAGATTTGGTCTTTTCACATAGTCCCATATTTCTTGGAGGCTTTGCTCATTTCTTTTTATTCTTTTTTCTCTAAACTTCCCTTCTCGCTTCATTTCATTCATTTCATCTTCCATTGCTGATACCCTTTCTTCCAGTTGATCGCATCGGCTCCTGAGGCTTCTGCATTCTTCACGTAGTTCTCGAGCCTTGGTTTTCAGCTCTATCAACTCCTTTAAGCACTTGTCTGTATTGGTTATTCTAGTTATACATTCTTCTAAATTTTTTTCAAAGTTTTCAACTTATTTGCCTTTGGTTTGAATGTCCTCCCGTAGCTCAGAGTAATTTGATCATCTGAAACCTTCTTCTCACAGCTCATCAAAGTCATTCTCCATCCAGCTTTGTTCCATTGCTGGTGAGGAACTGCATTCCTTTGGAGGAGGAGAGGCGCTCTGCTTTTTAGAGTTTCCAGTTTTTCTGTTCTGTTTTTTCCCCATCTTTGTGGTTTTATCTACTTTTGGTCTTTGATGATGGTGATGTACAGATGGGTTTTTGGTGTGGATGTCCTTTCTGTTTGTTAGTTTTCCTTCTAACAGACAGGACCCTCAGCTGCAGGTCTGTTGGAATACCCTGCCGTGTGAGGTGTCAGTGTGCCCCTGCTGGGGGTTGCCTCCCAGTTAGGCTGCTCGGGGGTCAGGGGTCAGGGACCCACTTGAGGAGGCAGTCTGCCCGTTCTCAGATCTCCAGCTGCGTGCTGGGAGAACCACTGCTCTCTTCAAAGCTGTCAGACAGGGACATTTAAGTCTGCGGAGGTTACTGCTGTCTTTTTGTTTGTCTGTGCCCTGCCCCCAGAGGTGGAGCCTACAGAGGCAGGCAGGCCTCCTTGAGCTGTGGTGGGCTCCACCCAGTTCGAGCTTCCAGGCTGCTTTGTTTACCTAATCAAGGCTGGGCAATGGCGGGCGCCCCTCCCCCTGCCTCGCTGCCGCCTTGCAGTTTGATCTCAGACTGCCGTGCTAGCAATCAGTGAGTCTCCGTGGGCATAGGACCCTCCGAGCCAGGTGTGGGATATAATCTCGTGGTGCACCGTTTTTTAAGCCCGTTGGAAAAGCGCAGTATTCGGGTGGGAGTGACCTGATTTTCCAGGTGCCATCCGTCACCCCTTTCTTTGGCTCAGAAAGGGAACTCCCTGACCTCTTGTGCTTCCCAAGTGAGGCAATGCCTCGCCCTGCTTCGGCTCGCGCACTGTGCGCGCACCCACTGACCTGTGCCCACTGTCTGGCACTCCCTAGGGAGATGAACCCGGTACCTCAGATGGAAATGCAGAAATCACCCGTCTTCTGCGTAGCTCACGCTGGGAGCTGTAGACCGGAGCTGTTCCTATTGGGCCATCTTGGCTCCTCCCCCATTTCTTTATATAATAGTATATGTCTCTGTTCTGCTTTCTGGGAAGTCCATTTTAATATACACAGAAAAGAGAAATTTCTTGATTTTAGGCCTCTTGACAAAACCACAAACACTTATCATTGTATACTGGGAAGGGAAGGCAAACTATTGTCAAAAAAGATGAAAATATTAATCAATCTAGGGTGTGAACTCAGGACAATTATGTGTGCTGAGTGATCGCTGGGCCAAAGGAGCACAACAGCAATGATGTTGCAGCAAAGAAAGAGCTTAATTATCGCAGGGCAGCTGAGTGGAAGGACTGGAGGTATTTCTCAAATCCCCTTCCTCAAGAGTTCTGAGGCTAGGGTTTTTGAAAATAATCTAAGGTCCTAGGGAATAGATACTGCTGATTGGTTGGGGATGAAATTATGGGACTGTCCAAATGGTCTTCGAAGGCTGAGTCAGTTTCTGGGTGAGGGGGTCACAGGGCGAGTTGAGTCAGTTCCTTGGTACGATTCATGGGTCTCAGTGATGTCAGATGGTTGCCTTAATGCAAAAGTCTAAAAAAAATCTCTGAAAGACCAATCTTAGGTTTTACGATAGTGGTCTTACCTATAGGAGTAATTGGGAAAAAGTCCCCAGTCGTGTGACCTCTGGCTACATGACTCCTGAGCAGTAAGCAAGCTAGGGAAGAACGGCTGGTTATTGCCTAAAAATGCATAGGCCTTAGCAGAATCCAGCCCTCTCTCATAATTCTAACCCTGTGGCTTTTTATTAGTTTTACAATGGTGGTTTCAGTCCCCAAACAAGGAATGGAGGTAGTTTCCCCCAACAAAGAATGTCATGATAGCTACTATCATCCTTGCTTTAAGTTTAAACTGTAAACTAAATTTTTCCCATAGTCAGTTTGTCCCATGCCCAGGAATGAGCCAGGGCAGTTAGCTTGTGAGGTTAGAAGCAAGATGGAGTCAGTTATGTCTGAATTCTCTCACTGTTACAATTTTTGCAAAGGCAGTTTCAGTTGGTGGGACCTAAGATAAGAATGCCTGAGGACTTATTTTCAAAGGACTTAAGGGACAAGCAGAGGAAGAAGAGACAGCTTTTTTGGTAAAGGAGTAGTTAGAATGGTGGGAGACAGCCAGGTGGGAGTAACAATCTGGGAGCAGAGGTCCAATGATGCAGACATAAAGCAAGATGAGGAATGAGGAGTCTCCATTGGAATTGGTCCTGGAAACTTATCCAGACACCAATATACATTGCAGAAAGCAATCTCTAAAAGATGGCTAAGGTTATTCCAAAGTAAAGCCAAATAAAACATAGTCAAGCTACTCCCACGTGCTGGTACTTTGTGATCACCTCTAATGGATTGTTTGTTACTAATAGGCTTATAGAAAAATTCGAGAATTTGTGAACTGAAAGTGAACTTGAAGAGGCTTATTGACAAAACAAGAGTAAAGGAACATTCCAGTCTCGTGGCTCATTAGAACTGGAATCCAGGTCTCCTGGTTCTTATTTACATGTCCCTTGAAGTCATACAGATCTTGAGATGAACAATCTATTTCATTTGTCCAGTTTATGTCAATGCTTAGCACCTAGAAAATGTGTAATGACTATTTATTGAATTATTAAATAGCTGTGACAACACTGAATGTTTAGAGCAAGATGCTCTCTTACTCTACTTAAGCATGTACTTATCAATGCAAGAAATAGAAGAACATATTTTCTATAAAATAATCATAGTATTAAGAATGGTTTCTTGCTGTCAAAGATTTTCATAAATATAAAATCAACACTATGTTCTGTAAAATTGCTGAGGAAGTCAAAGAAATGAAAAGAAGAATATGACATATACATACACTCTTAAAAATTATTTTGTGAGTGTTCAAGTTTTTGAGAGATGATCAAGTTTAACATTAATGCTTACTTAAGGTGTCATGGTGTCATTACTGGAAATGTTGATGGGTCCATCATTTAGATGGGTAAGCAGACATTTTCAAATTTTGTCAAAACACTTATGCTCAAAGTATGTTTGAATTACTCATACTGTAGTGCACCCTGACAAAGCAATCTGAATACTGTATAATCCAGCAGGAAAATCAAAGTTGTCAAGGACTATCTGACTATAATCATGTCAAACCACATGATTAGGAAGATCTCTAGGGATACTAAAGTTTTAAAAAAGTTATCAAATACTAAAAGTCTCTGAATAAATATAATCTATAGGTAAATTATTAAAAACAATTTTTAAACTATAACAGTAGTTCAAGTGTCTGCCATACAGGTAGGAACTATCAAATAAGTAAACTTAGACCTTTATCCAACCATAGTGGATGCTCCAGAGTTCTTGTAAAGTGAATATACTATACTTTGATCATGACACATCCATTTTGTCCCTCACTCAGAGATTATTCACTTTTCTTTGATACACAATTTAAATGGGACCAAAGTCCACCAATTATGAAGGATGCAGGAAAGATTTACTTTATGTATATATCTATACATGAATGAATGAAGTGATTAAATAATAGATGAAATGTAACCCATGAAGAAGCTGAGAAGAAATACCCCTATAATCAACAAATATATAACCTGAAAAACAATGGTGATCCATAGGTATTCACTATACAGATGAAAAGCCCAAAGAAACTGTGAACCTTGAGATCCTAACTCTAGTAAAACAGAATATCAGGTTTCCTTATCAGGGTCTCCAATTATCCAAATAAAGTCAAGTATATTATTTCTATTCATAAGAAATTATAGAAATACATAAGACATTTTAAAAATAGTTTCATCCAAAATGACCTGATTAAAAGAGAGTTTTAATATTCATAGAAAATCTATTTAACAAGAAAAATAAGTGGCAAAATTGACAAGAGTTTGGTTAATTAGGGTTTTGTTTCATATATTTATAAATACTATTCATTAAACATAATTTCTTCTATTGTAGGAAACTCAGTAACTTTTTTCTGGATTCAATGTTAATATAGCTACTATACAAATATCTTAACCATATTTTATTAAAAACATAAAATGGAATAATGGATTTTTTTATCTCTTACTTTTTAGATAATATTTAACTTAAAATCTACCCTCCAAGGAAGGTTAAAGGCATAAATAAATATAAATTTACTACATTAGTGATTAAAATATAAGGCTATCAAGGGATGTAGAGTTATGGAGGACTCAGTTCTTTCCTTGTAAAGTCATGCAAATTGAACTTTGCAGAATATTTGGTATGCAAAATCTGGAAAATGTCAGTATGAATAAGCCTGGTCAACTGTTGATTCAACTTTCTAATGGATTTACTATTGTTTTTTCTCTGTAGACTCTCTTTGTCTATTCTAATATTTACTTCACCACTGGAGTAGAGAGGAATGGGTTCCCAAGTGCCCAGGTTTTCTGAGTTTGCTTTTGAACTAAACCGACAGTTATGCGCTCAGTGGAAATAACTTTCAAGAAAAGGTTATGAAAGCTCTAGTCTAAAAATTGGGAAATTACCAGTGTTTACATAATTTAAAATAAATCTATTCTATATGAATTTCTACTTAAAGCTTATAATGGAGTATTTCCTTTTAGTGGTTTTCCAGAATCATTGAATTATATTAGTTTAATTGTTTTTAATTTTAAAGTAGAAATAACAGCTTCCCATGTATAGATAAATCAATAATTTTAAAATTTCTTGAATATTCATCAAAATATGTCACATGGATCAGTTGTTCTTTGATATTTTCCCCAATTTTTTTTAGCATTTTGTTAATACAGATAGTAGGTTGTATCCAGTCTTTTTAAGAATGCATATTCTTAATTTCCTCATTTTAATGTTGATAAAAATTTCATGCCTGAAATTTATGTTTTCATGTCATAGTTTGTCAACTTTAAAACCTCTCTCTAGGTCAAACACAAAACACTACGCTGCATTTTGGGGGGATCGTTTAAGTGCAGAAAGAAGCACTTTCTGAGCAGCATGAATATTAAAAAAGAAACTGAATAGAATAAAAAGCAATATCAGAGTGTTTTGCAATTAATAAAGATAATTATAAAATTTTATTTCTGATATGATCATATTTCTGTCTTGTGTGTGTGCATATGTGCATGTACTGAGTCATAATATAAAATGTATTTCTTATTATGGGTTGTGGTCCAGGTGTTTGAATGTTCCTAGTCTTTAAAAACACCTACAGATAATAGGTAAGTAGAGAAAGGATTGTGTTAGCAGAGAGAAAGAAGCAGCAGCATAGAGCAATGCCAAGCAAACAAAAGCATGATACACAGAATGGGCAAAAATATCAAACAAAATAGCAGTAAGTGCTTCATGTTTAACTGAGATCTTAGACAAAGCCATCAGGCTTGACAGAAAAAAGGTTTCTGGTGTTAGTGAAGCATGTAATTTTACTTGGGTGTTCTATGTAATAGCCAGATTTTTTAAAGAATTGGGGCTGATAGGGAAATAAAATTATGTCATCAGGTGTAAATGATGTATTCAAAGATTTCCAAATAAAACAGAAAGAAAATGAATGATACTTAAAGACATGGCATGGTCAAGGAAAAGTGTGCAAAATGGTGGAAAGTTGAGTTTATTTGAAAGAGGTGGTTGGATTTGAAAATCTGAAGAACCAAATGATAGATATAAACGTGGAGTAGAGTCCTGTATTGCTGAAAGCAAAGGTGGATTTTACTGTTGTGCAATTACAAGAGATAGACAATGACCAGAGAAGTGGAAGAAGGCTCAAATTGGAGGAAGCATTGTTAGGAATATATAAAATTCACAGTTTTTAGGGGTCAGAGAGAAATTATAGTTTTTACATTTCAAAGCTGCTACTTGAAAGGTGTTCCAAATAGAGCATATTAATCATTTGGGTTATAAATAATCAGTCTTCATTATTCTCAGTTCTTTATTTGTGAATTTGACTACTTACTAAATTTGTTTGTAACCCCAAAATCAATACCCTTGGCACTTGTGTGGTCATTTGCAGACATGTGCAGTGTGGCAAAAACTTTGAGATGTTCAATGCACATGTTCCCAGCTTAGGTTAAACAAGACAATGCTTTGCCCTCTTATTTCAGATCTCATGCCGTGAACAAGCATGTTTTTGGCAGTCTATTTAGTGGCATGTTTTTTCCCATTTTAGTGCTTTTTGTTGGTGATTTCACTGTTTAAAATGGCCCCATCGTAGTGCCAAAGTGCTGTCTAGTTTTCCTAAGCACAAGAAGGCTGCTATGTGTCTTGCAGAAAAAATATTTGTGTTGGACAAGCATGAGTCCTGCTGGCTATGAGTTCAGTGTTAATCAGTCAGCAGCATATTTTAAATAAGGTGTGTTTCAAGAAAAACATGAATAAAACAAGGTTATATATTGATTTATTAATGGAAATGTTTCAACCAGCTGCTGTGGAAACCTAACCCAGTATTTCCCTTAGAAGCAATGGTTCAATATTTGCTAATTTAGTGTTCAAGAGGCTTTATAGAGCATAAACTAGTGGGACTGACAAAATTTGTGTCTTTTGTTGTTCATTGTGATTTGTGAAGTGTGATTAAAATAAGCTTGGTACTAAAAAATTAGAATCCTTAGGACATCAGGAAGATTCTATTGAGAGTATTGCTTCCTACGTATCAGGAGACAATACATACATTAAAAATAGCACGCAAACACCTAAGCAATGCGGCCTCTCCTTGTGTAAAAGGCAAGGATGTGAACTAGGGGAGAGGAGGCCAAAAGAACTTGCATGGTTTTTATTATTTTTTATTTCAATAGCTTTTAAGGCACAAGTTGTTTTTTGTTACATAGATGAATTATTTAGTGGTGAATTCTGAGATTGTAGTACACCCATCACCCGAGTAGTATACATTGTACCTAATGTGTACTGGTTTTTTTTATCCCCAGGGCCCCTCCCACTCTTCCCCTTCTGAGTCTCTAAAGTCCACTGTATCACTCTGTATGCCTTTGCATACTCATAGCTTAGCTCCCACTTATAAGTGAGCACATACAGTCTTTGGTTTTCCACTCCTGTGTTACTTCACTTAGAATAATGGTCTCCAGCTCCATCCAAGTTGCTGCCATGCCAGTTTCTGCATATAACCGGCCTCTTCACTAATAGTTCCTGTATTTTTTAGAGAAAGAAGAGTAGAAGAGAAATTAAACTAGAACTTAAGAAGTAAACGACAACTTTAACTTTATCTGAGAAGGTTCTGAATCCTCAGCACTTACAGAAAGGGGAAAACAACAGGACTCAATTTCAGTTTGGGTTCAATAATTTTCTGAAACATATTTATTTTTATAATGGATCTAATACTTCAGATCCAACGTGAAGAAAACATTTAATATTCTAAAGAATAAGTAGATAATTTTGTATATTTTTGTTATTTAGGGCCATTTAGAATTTGAAATATGAGATACAGGGAAATGGGGACTATTCCCATAGTCCTTGTGTGTAACTACAGAAACTAAGCTGGATAAAATCGAGAATGTTTTCTTGAAAAGTTTATAATTACATATGAGAAGTGAATGATTTGGTAGAAAGAAAGAAGAGGCCTGGGGGAACGTTTAGAGAACACCCTTCTTTAATGAGTGTGAGGAGAAAGAGATGTAAAGGAAGGGAAATTGGAACTAAATTGTAGCGGGAAAAACATAAAAAGGGTGACAAAAGTATGGATACCTTAGCCTGATTGAAGCTGTGATAAAACTTATTTGGGTATGAAATCACTTGTTTTCTTTTCATCAGGCCTCAACAAAGACTATCAGAATCTGTGTAAATCAATAGCACCGCTGAGTAGAAATTCAGTTGCTGAAGTAAATATGGATTCTGGTAAGGGTAGTTTAACTGGAACCCTTTTTTGTCTTATCTGCTGAGACTGAAAATCTTTTTAAAAGTTTTATATCTGCCTTTGATTTAAGATCTTAAGATGCCTCAAAATCACATCATTTTCATTGTACATTTCTGTGGATTTAAGAGATTAAGGCAAATTAGTTCTGATAACAGGGCATAACTTGAAAAAGCTTGAAAAAGGATCCCAAGTCAATCCATTATAAGATTTCATCCCATTTATCTTTCACTGTTTCCTTTAGAAATGCATTACAGTAATGCATTTTATAAAGAAAAAAGGGAACAAGTAGGCTGAAACCCTGTATTGGTCATTTATTCTATCATAGGAGTGTCAATAAATTAATTTCACTGAATAAAACAAGGTCTTATATTAAAGGTTTTATGGTTGTTTTTATGGCCATGTCTTATTTTAAAAATGTTTAAATTTTCTGGCAAAATAAATCGTAGATAAGTAGGCATTGCATTATATCTTTCCAGCCATGACCATAAGTAGTTATTGTATAGTAATTATTCAGCATATCATACATAAGTCTATAAGCCTTTTTGAAAGAGTTTTCAGAAGATTGTCAGATTAAATATTTTTCAATTGTTTACCTAGATATTAATAACTGTAGCTTGTTAAATCATTCTATTGCATCCAGAAGGTAATTATCCTTCATAGTAATTTTAGATAGGTAGCAATTCCATTGTGACTTTCCCAGAGGTTCTCTATTTCATCTTAATTCAAAATGTCAAAATAGACCTCAATTGATAGAGACAATTCAGAAGTAACTGATGGATAAACATAAATTCTTATTGAAAAATGCTTCAGAAATAATTTGCTATTTGATTTGAACTTTAATTGATAATACTCATGTGGCATCTAAATTGTAAGAAAAACTTGGTTTTCTTGTAAATTGAAATATTTTTAAATGACCTTATAGAAATACATTTAGATTTTATGTCACCATTTTCTTTCTTGGTAGTGATGGTGGTATTGGTATATCCTTTAAATTTTGCCAAAATATTTACATGGTTCAGTTTCCAAACATGAGAGAGACCTTCATTTTTTAACAGTTTGCACTGACCATAAAAGTAATAAGTCATTGATCATCCTTGTTGCCTGGGCTAGGTGCAGAAAAAATGGGCCATCTTGGAGGATAGGACCTACACTTGGAGGATTAGAACCTAGTGGGGAGACAATCTACTCAAGCCATGGTTTTAAAGGCATGGACATCATCCGCAGCCACCAGTCCTGTCCCGTGGTTGGCCTAGAGTAGTTCAGTCCAGGATAATGGTATGTCATGAGAGGTAAACAGACCAAGGCTCTGAGGGGTGTAAGAGGGGAGATGAATAGGAAAGTCAAGCAGCCAGCCATGAAGACAAATTTTAGTCAGTGGCAATATCTTAGACCCTAAATTTTAACTAAAGCCAAGCTCTGGGGATTCAGGGCATTGAGAAAAATGGCAGGGCCTTATACTCAAAACAATGATGTCATTGGGCAGGTTAATAAGACAGAAATTCCAGAAGAGTAAATAAGACCAGGGTCTGATTATCAGTAACTTTGAACAGCAGAGTAATGTGTTTTTTTTTTGAAATAAACAGAAACCCAGTTATGAGAGTTGGACTACAAAGTAAGAGTTAAGAGAGTAAACCTGCTGATAGGATTTATTTATTTATTCAACAAACACATATAGGGGTACTATTAATTACCAAATCCTGTGTTATAATTCTGAGTCCAAAAGTATTACTTTAGATGCTTAAAAGCCTCTTGTATGGCACTGAAATTACTTCTAAAACAGAGCTGAGCCTGCAGATGGGTGTCCAGGGGAAGTTTTGCACAGGTAAGCGTTGTAGCTAGTTTTGTGTAGGCAGTTTTATACAGGTAGTTATAGTGTTGAGAAAAACTCATGTTCACTGTTGAAGAAGTTTTATAAAATGGACAAAAATACAGCACGTGTCTATAGGTTTCTGTGTGTGGCATTTGTAGTTGTGTAACTACTATTGCATCTTACACTGAAATTGAAGATATAGAGTTGTGTGTATATACAATTTCTCTAACTTAAATACTCTTTAACCAGCCAAGCAAAGAATAATTTATTTTACTGTCACAATTCAATATAACATAAAGCATTTTTGATATGATACCATACAAGGTATGGAGTTTTAATGTATGACATTAAGCAATTATTTATGATTAAAAGGAATAACCACATGTGAAATACATTATTACCAAAGAAGCTATAAATCAGTTGGTGGCTGCATATCGGCCAAGGGTGAGTTTATGGTTTAGAAATAGTAGTTCTAACCTTCAGGGTATGAGAGACAGGGATTTGCATTTTTGGCTATTGGCTATCATTCATTGCTATTAGTGTTCACTGTCTTATATACTTAACATAAGGCATTCTATGCTCCTTTGACTTCATGTACTCTTTGGTCATTATGTCTATCTGTGTGTGTGATACAACTTTATAAACACAAAGACACCTAAGAACATCCAGTTACAGTCGCAGGAATAATATTTATTCATTGTGAGGGATTTGCAGTGTTTTCTAGTAATGGGCATAAATGTCGTGTGATAACTGTATTAACCTTCAAAAAGTAGCAATCCCTTTTGTTTGGCATTCAAGTGATGGCAGTGATTAGAAAAAAAATGATGAATGAAAATGATGTTGCTTGATTAAAATTAGGTTTTACTAAAATTAGTACTGACTTTGTTCTTTGTGAACTAATCAAGCTTGTCATGTGAGTGGCTGCCTTCTTTTCTTTAGAAAAGATTGTATGCAAATGAAATAATACAGTGGCTTAATTGTAAATTTCTTACTGGTCAGTCACCCTATTAAACATTTTATAATAGGTGTTAAACTCAAGGAATTTGTTTATGATATGACTAGGGGTAATTCAATCATTTTAATTGCAATTATAGTGTCAAAGCATATAGTTGTCCGTAATTAGTAATTAGGGCCTGAAAGTAGAAATGGTTATAGATTTAAGAACTTATTTTTCTGTCAGAATTTATTACTTACCATTATGAGTCTTTCTTATGATAGTAGAGGTTCAGGGAAAAGTATATAGAGAGAATGCATTCTTTGGATACTTTAATGTTGGTTATTTATGTATAATTTGGGCTGAAAGACTAGAGCAAAAGATAGGACCCTATGTTCTAAAGCCATGAGTTTTGATTCTGAGCTCTTAGTTCTCCATGGCGTATCAAAATGTCTATACTCATTTCTAACTCCTTCATTCTGTTTTCTCACTTAGTAATGTGTGTGTCAAGCACTTCTGAGTGTTCTTTTCACACATCTCTGCTAAAATTAAAAGATGTCATGTTAACCGTTTCAAAATATGAACAATTTACACACTAGATTTGTTCTGTTTTGATCCAGACTGCAGAAATATGTCCAAGGGGAAAAGATTATAACCTATCAAGAATATAACAATTGGCATTTCTAAATTTTAGCATGCCATAAAAAAATAAATTGGCCATTTCTCTATCAATAGAAATATGAAAGAAGCCATATTTTGATTGTCAGGAATAAATACTGTGAAAGAAATTTGTGTGGGAGGTCAGATGGGGTGACATGTACTTTTATTTCACCTCAAAACATTTTACTATTATATTTTTATTCTTTGTTAAAATATTTTTATCCTTTTCTTTCTTCATCAAAACAACATAGAGTTATTGGTAGAGACAGAATTTGGACAGAATTGGATGAACTGAAGAAAATACATCAGTTCTTTTCGCTCCTCACTTTAAGTCCTGGACCTTTATATCCATCCACATCCTATTTAATAAGAGAGGATCCTGCTAGTTGTAAGGTGAAAGGATTTCTTGAGCATTTGTGTTCTATTTTTACATATCTATTGTTCCCAGAATTTCTAGGCAGCAATGCTTTCAGAACAGGAACATTTTGACATCCTGGGGATTATGAAATTTCAATTATTGTCTCAGAAAACAGTATACTGCACAATAAAAGCAAATACACATCCTAACTCTTTACCAAGAATAATAATAATAATAGTAACATGTAGTAGTTATTCATTGCTGCATAACAAATTCCTTCTGAATTTAGTAACTCAAAACAACTCAGGAGTGGCTTAACTGGGTGGTTCTGGCTAAGGGCCTCTAAAGCAATTGTAGTCCAGATGTCAGCCTGGAGGTAGATAGTAGAATGGTGATTACCAGAGGCTTAGATAGAAGAAATAAGTTTTAGTATTTGGTAGTATAGTAGGGAGATTATAGGTAATAATAATTTATTATATATGTAAAAATAGCTAGTAAAGAACTGTAATGTTCTCAACACAAAGAAAAGGTAAATAATTGAGGTGATGGTTATCTCAATTACTCTGATTTGATCATCACATATTATATACATCTATCAAAATGTTACATGTTCCCCTCAAATATATATAACTATTTTATATCTTTTTTTTTTTTTTGAGATGGAGTTTTGCTCTCGTTGCCCAGGCTGGAGTGCAATGGCGCCACCTTGGCTCACTGCAACCTCCTCCTCCTGGGTTCAAGTGATTCTCCTGTGTCAGCCTCCTGAGTAGCTGGGATTATGGGCGCATGTACTACACTCAGCTAATTTTTGTATTTTTAGTAGAGATGGGGTTTCATCATATTGGTCAGGCTGGTCTCAAACTCCTGACCTCAGGTGATCCACCTGCCTCAGCCTCCCAAAGTGCTGGGATTACAGGCATGAGGCACCGTGCCCAGCCTTATATCAATGTTTTTAAAAGGATGCTTAACTGGGGACTGGGAGCAGTGGCACACACCTGTAGTCCCAGCTACTCCAGAGGCTGAAGTAGGAAGATTGCTTGAGCCCAGAAAGTCAAGGCAGGTGGTACGGTTTGGATCTGTGTCCCTGCACAAATCTCATGTAGAGCTGTAATCTCCAATGTTGGAGGTGGGGTTTAGTGCGGGGTGATTGGATCATGGAGGTGTTTCTTATGAATGGTTTAGCATCATCACCTTGGTGCTGTTCTCCCAAGAGTGAGTGAGTTCTCATGATATCTGCTTGTTTGAAAGTGTGTAGCACCTACCCTCTTGTTCTCTTTCTTGCTCTTACTCGGGCCATGTGAAGTCTGTACTCCCCCTTCGCCTTCTGCCATGATTTTATGTTTCCTGAGGCCTCCCCAGAAACCAACCAGATGACAGTATCATGCTTCCTATACAACCTGCAGAACCATCAGCCAATTAAACCTCTTTTCTTTATAAATTACTCATTCTCAGATGTTTCTTTATAGCTATGTGGGAAAGGACTAACTCACCTGCAGTGGCCATAATTGTGTCACTGCACTCCAGCCTGAGTGACAGACTGAAACCCTGTTTCAAACTCTGTCTGGGAGTTCCTTTTTCAAGAAACACCACTCTCATGACTATTGGCCAAAGGCCTCAGTCCCCCATTGGCTATTGGCAGCTGGCCTCAAGCCCTGGTCTCTCAGGCCTTTCCACAGTGTTGCTTATGAGAGGGCAGTTAACTTTCCCTAGAATGAGTGATCCAAAGAGAGAGCACACAAAGGAAGGTACAAAGCTGCTTTTATAACCTCGCGTCTGAAATTGCAACCAGCATTTCCACCTTATCCTATTCATCGTTAAAAACAATTACACTGAGTCTAGTCCACATGCAAAAGGAGGGTAATCAGGCTTTGCTTCTTGAAGGCAGATGTGTCAAAGAATTTGTTGACATTGAAAACTACAAGGTAATACTTCCGTTGATAAAAGCTGCCATGTAGTGACAGCTTTCTATATATTTGAGATCCTTCTTTTTGAGCACAAAGTCATATCTATGGAACTTCTCTTTTAACATCCAATTTTCGCTAATACAGACGCCCCTGCCTTAGCATGTACTCACAAAGCTATGCTTTCCCCTTTCCCTTTGTTTCTTTTACAGTCCTGATTTAAATACCAAATTTTCTTTATCTGTTGATTTCATTATGGACTACAATGTGATCATTATCTGGGCATTACTTTGTCTTCCTCTCCTCCCTCTATTAAGACTAGGATTTGGTCCACTGGTCCTAGAAACATTTGTTTGTTTTCTCTTATCGAGAAAGCCAATAGATTTTCACCCATTTGTTCACATGAGCTAAACTTTGTCAAGAAATCCTGAACAAAGGGGTTAGAAAATAAAAATGTACCACCCTTCAATTTAATATTTGAGGGTAAATAAATTGTAAAGGGCCATGAATTCCCTCATATATTCTTATTTTCATGATTACCAAAATTTTAAAAAGTCAAATATCCAGTTGGGTTTATCCTTAATTAAGAAAAACATGTTTTTCTCAACATTATACGTTTGACCATCATTAATTCTTATGCTGTTTTGGAGGAACCTCCATGGTACACCAAAGGGTTCCACATGCAGATTAACTACTATAAAGAACTTTTCAAAGTAAAGGTTTTTAACCATAATAATCAACCAAGAATAAAGCTACTTATTATAACCTTCCATTTAATTCAATTAGGTCAACTCATGTGTTTAATTCAGTCTATAGCTGTTCTCTAATAGACTTAGGAATTTTTAAGTTAATGGGACAGATAAATAAATTTTAGTGATAGCAAAGCAAATTTAACCCGCTGTCATCAAGGGGAAAGTTTGTACCTCTAACCTTAGCTGGAAACTTTGTAGTATCTTGACTACATAATTTAGTAAACTGAGGGGGTGCTTCCCCCCAGGTGCTTATGTTGCCACCAACATCGTCAGTATCATCATCGTCATCAGTTCACATTTATTGAGAACTTATTAGATGTGTAATACCTTGCTTACATTCTGTAATTTAACCATAAAATATCTGTTGAATAATTCCTCTTAATATTTCAATTTTGTAAATGAGATTCTTGGGTCATAGATTATGTGACTTGTTGTCCAAGGTTACATTTCTGGGAAGCAATAAAGGGAAATAAAATATAGAATTTTCTATGTTATTAATCACCAGCCTGTATCATCCTCTGATTATATTACAGTGCTTCCCCCATGTATGACATTGACTTTACTAGCTGTACTGCCTCTACAATTCATCACAATGTAATGAAATATTTCTCTTCTTCTCAGACCTTTGGCAAAGGGAGTCCTAAAATAGTTGAGTGTAAACATATAGTTTTTTTTTAAATTAACAACATTGAGTAGGTACAAGAAGCACATGGCGCGAAATATGTGAGATTGCGAGAGTGCTCCTCTTGTCCTCCTCTCCCACACTATTTTTTAAAATTTTTGATAAAATATCACTGAGGTAAATAGAAAGACTTTGGCTAGTTTCAAGATATTTGTCAACATTCCTGCCTTTGTCTCCACCCCCAAACTTTAGCATAGTCTATATGATGAGTGCCTCTGTCACCCAATATCAGCAAATGCCATATTCTTCAAATCCTTTAATGTCATGGCCTTTGATATGGTTTGGCTCTGTGTCCCCACCCAAATCTCACCTTGATTTGTGATCCCTATGATCCCCATGTGTCAAGGGTGGGACCAGGTGGAGGTAATTGAATTGTAGGGGTGGTTTCCCCCATGCTGTTCTTGTGATAATGAGTGGGCTTCATGAGATATGATGGTTTTATAAATGTCTGGCATTTCCTCTGCTTGAACTCATTCTTTCTCCTGCTGCCCTGTGAAGAGGTGTCTTCCACCATGATTGTAAGTTTCCTAAGGCTTCCCCAGCCATGTGGAATTGTGAGTCAATTAAATGTCTTTTCTTTATAAATTACTCAGACTCTGGTATTTCTTCATAGCAGTGTGAAACTAGACTAATTCAACCTTCTTGGCCATAGTTTTTGGATCACTATTAACAAATTTATTATTCAGTGCTCCTCAGTTGTAATATGCCTGTAAAAATGTGGAATGGAATAAAAAACCACCCTCAAATCTCTATTTGCTGATAATCTAATTACTTTTAGTTTAATCCACCAATAATTGGGGGACATGGTATTGCAATAAAACCTGCATTTTGGTATTTTCATCACTAGATCTCCTTGGCTGTTTGGTTACACTTTCATTCAGCTGTTATGGGTAAAAAATTTCACTAGGAAGCAAGTTAATGAGAGAGATGGGGATGAGCTGTGGGAAGGGAAGAATGTACAGTCATTTGAAATGGGCCATGGCTGTTTGCAATGTATCTGTACTCTCTATACATTTAGTACAAAGTTTTATATATATTTTATATATATACACACACACATACACACAAATATTTATGCATAAACATACACATATAAACATGTATATAAATGGATATAAATATTACATATCTTTTATTACACATATTTTACAAAGTTTCCTATGCTGTTTTCTATGTGTTGTATCTATTTTCTCCCACTTTTCATTTATTTGTGTGTTTATTTTTCCTGCATTTTGGGAGGCTTCCTTGTGTCAGTCTTTCATCTCACTACTTGTGACTTTCAGTTGTCTTTGGTCTACTCCCCAATCTATTTTGTTTGTTCATTTACTTATTTTTATCTGTGTAAACAATCCCCTCCAACGACTCTAATAGCTTATTTTCCCCCCATAATAATTTATTGCTGATTTACAGAGGTGATACCCCTTGGAATATCTCTGAGAATATCTATTACATTTATTTATTTTCTGCTTCATTTATTCACTTTATTTCTCAGTAATTAATTAGTC
This sequence comes from Homo sapiens, assembly GCF_000001405.40. Taxonomy (NCBI): domain Eukaryota; kingdom Metazoa; phylum Chordata; class Mammalia; order Primates; family Hominidae; genus Homo; species Homo sapiens. The sequence continues at coordinate 164,226,211 of NC_000004.12, read as the reverse complement.
TGTTTGAAATTTGGCTATTTGTGTAAATGGGTTAGTGGGGCTTCTTTTATTCTTAATGTTAATTTTCATCAACTTTTTGGTGATTGAGAACATCCAATCAGATGTTCTCCAAGGAGAATACGAGAAAAAAAGAAAATAAATGGAAGATCATAAATGGTGAAGGCGAGTTGATTGTGTAAAATTCTTCCTGCAGTAGTTGATTGTGTAATCCTGCAGTTGCCATTTCTTGATATACTAGTAATATTGCCATCAGTCACTTCTCTGCAAATTGGAATGACTGAAATTTGCATAGGTTAAGAAAACATTTAAAATAGAAAACAATAGTTGTGATTTACATTTATGAAATGCATTAAAACAAGTAGGAAATCTTTTAAATGAGTACTTATGCCTGGTAAACTTAGTGAATAATTTGATGTTTAATTAAAAAGAAACTGCCAAACTGTTTTTCAACATGGTTGTACCATTTTGCATTCCCATTAATAATATATGAGAGTTTCAGGTATTTCACGTTCTCATTAGCACTTCGTTTGTCAGCTTTTAATTTTTTAAATTTTCAGCCATTCTAGTATGATTGTAGTGGAAAGTACAAGAATGTGAATAACTCACAAAAAGTGAGTTATTCAGTTAAGGTGCACTTTGCCATTTGGTCTTTAATACACTGTAGGATGACCTAAAAGGAATAATTAGATCAAAATTATTACAGTGCATTTTTCCAAGTTTTTTCCATGTTTACTATCTTCAATTTCAGTTATCTCCCCTCAACCCCATCCCCCAAAAAATAATCCTTTAGAAGACAGCAGTCTTGTCACAGGACATCAGGTTATTTGGACATCATGGGCAAATAGAAATAGGCAGTTAGAGGAGTTACTTGAATTTGTGTAATTATACACCATTTTATTGTATAAAGTTTTTTTATAAAAAACATTAGGCAAAAGACGATATACTTGAGACAAAAAATCTATTCATTGCACAAATGTTTCCTAAATGTCTGCTTCATAAAATACATTCTGTTAAGCACTGATGCAGACACAAAATAGAATGTAATTTGGTATGTGCAGGGTAAGGCAATTATACAATTATCTCTGGTCCAGAGTAGATTGTGAAATGTACCATGGGAGACTTACACCATAGAGCCCTGGAGTTGGGAAGCAGAAGCAATGACATCTGTTAGGGGGATTAGGGAAGTCTTAGTGACAACAAAGAAACCAATCCAGCCCTGAAGAATGCATGCATGTCTGTCTATTTGTTTTGTTTTGATTTTTGGTCATAAAATTAATGTTTTAAAAATCCAGATGCTTAAAAAAACCCTAAACTTTTACCACACAAAGAAAAACTCAGCATCAAAGCGTGTTTCTCTTTCTCCTTTTTTTGTATTGCTTCACATATTTGAGAAAATAGTATGCATATAACTTTATATGTTGCTTTCTAAAGTTAATATGATATTTAAATAAATGACTAAGAATTGCACTATATTAAAATATTTATAAACTTAATTGTTGTTTATTCTAGCATTCTACATACTGTCAATGCTGAGCCAGCTCTCTTATATAAAGCATTAAGGTAATGTCTTAGGTTTTGCTATTATAAGTTACAAATAGAAAATGCTTTCATGTAAAAGCACTTTTCTATAATTTAGATTCTTTTAGAATAGATTATTAGGACATAGACTACTAGATCAGAGGTTGTGAACATTTTTCATGCTAGCGAGATGTAGGTAGATGGATGAAAGACAAGGTAGGAGTTTGGGTAGAGATTTTTTAAAAAAGAGAAGATTTAAATTCAAATAGCAAGAGAGGTAAGAAATCTAGGACACACATGGAGAGTATATAAAACTCCATTTTGATGTCAGGGATGTCCAATTTTTTGGCTTCCCTTGGCCACATTGGAAGACGAAGAATTGTCTTGGGTCACACATAAAATACACTAATGCTAATGGTAGATGATGAGCTAAAAATCGCAAAAAAAAAAACTCATAATATTTTAAATGTCTACTTTATAAAATACATTCTGGTAAATACTGCTGCAGACACAAAATAGAATTGTGTAAAATATGAATGCGGCCTAATACGAATTTGTGTTGGACCTCATTCAAAGCTGTCCTGGGCCACATGTGGCCTGTGGGCCATGGTTAGACAAGCTTGGACTAGAGGATAGTGTATATGGAAAGATGCTGTAAAAGAGAATGCTAGAAATGTAAGGAGGCAAGACTAAAATTTCCTGAACTGGAATATTAGTTTCTTTGGGTTCTATCAGGTCATACTAGATGGTGCCCTGGATATAAATAAATTTAAAAATGTAACAATTGCACAAATTAATTTAAATAGGTTTTTAGAAGAATTTTCAAAGCTGTTAATATGTTAATGTGAATGACTATTGTCTAAGAAGATACTATAATATGTAGGGTTTCCTATGTGTATTTTAATAAGGAACACTTTTTTAAAGAGCAGCATTAGTATTTCAGGAAACACACTTTGAAAACTGGTAGCAAAGACAGTAAGGATTTGATTACTAAGGAATTTGAATTCAGTTTGATGGGCATGAAAATCACTGGTGAGAACATTAGTTGTTTATATCCAATAGCGCATGAAGGCATTGTGAAATGAGAACCTATCTGCCAAGATTTACAATAAATACTGACATTTTTTCTCTTTGGATCTTCTGACTAAAACACTGGATTTAGAACACATAAATATCTATTGCTTGAAGAATGAAGGCAATCAATATTTTTCACTTGCTTCTCCACTAAGTTTGTTATTGCACCCATTATTCAAACTTTCAAATTCCTTGTTGAAAAAATGCTCATCTTCAAAATTTACTATTAACAGCCACAATTGTCACCATATATATATATTTGCATGACAGCTTCTAGTTTCTCCCCTCACAATTTTGGTTAATTCAGAATAAAACAATAAAATTATATATGATCTTTTGCTGTCAGTTTAAGTTTCTAAAACTTCATTATTGGTTCAACTCTACAACATTTCATTTGAAGTTTTCCTTCAAATATTCTCACTGATATGGTTTGGCTGTGTCCCTACCCAAATCTCACCTTGAATTGTAATAATCCCCAGGTGTTAAGGGTGGGGCCAGGATAAGATAATTGAATCATGGGGGCTATGTCCCCTATACTGTTCTTGTGGTAGTGAATAAGTCTCACAAGAATCTGATGGTTTTATAAATGGTAGTTCCCCTGCACAAGCTCCCTTCCCTGCTGCCGTTTAAGAAGTCCCTTTTCTCTTCCTTCATCTTCTGCCATGATTGTGAGGCCTCCCCAGCCATGTGGAACTGTGAGTCAATTAAACTTCTTTACTTTATAAATTACCCAGTCTTGGGTATGTCTTTATTAGCAGAGTGAGAACAGACTAATATACTGACATTCTTTATTATTCCTTCTGTGTTATCAGATACATAGTTCATGTCTTCTATCAAATAATACATGTCATAAACACTGAGAAATCATTACTCATTATTTCTAAAACTACCATCAAAATATATAATCTATCCTTACTGTTTTTGAATAGTCTTAGACATTTGTTATAAATGAGCTCTTTCTCTCTCTCTCTCTTCCTGGTTCCCTCTCTCCATCCTTCTCTTTTTCTCTCTGCCTTCCTTTCTCTTTCCATTTTCACTATTTGCCTGACTCTGTAGAACTGCCTATGGAAAACATAGGGCAAAATGATGTATCTTGCTAGCATGTTTCAACAGGGCTTATCATTTTTACAAGTCTACACTAATAAGCCATTTTTCCCTTTACAAAATTATTTTACTTAGATCCAGGCTGCTTTTCTTTCTAATATACACAAAATATATTTCTTTCATATAGATGAAATCACCATTTCTGTGATGTCTTTTTGAAATATTTCCCATAAATTAATTTCCTTATATGCCTAAAACATAAGAAACAATCAAAATGAACAGGAAAGCAGAAGGATAAAAAAGACACATGTTGATCCTAAAAATATCAATTGTTATTCTAAAAAAAAAAAAAGGTGTTGACAGGTGGTGTTATATGTTTTTATACTAAAATGACAGCAAAACAGTTTAAGTTTATGCTTCTAAGGAAAGCGTACCCACCTAGTAGATTGAATTAATTTGAAAGGCACTTAGAAAAAATTTCCATTCTTCTTTCTTATTAAATTATAGGGTTAATTTCTGAAGGACATTTTTGGCAGGCACCAGATGTAACCTTCCCATCATCTTGTCACACCAGGTCCAATTTTTTCTTCACTACCTGAACCCTGATTTCTTTAGGTACTGGCAGTTATCTCTTGAACTTAAGAAAAGTGGTTCAGGAAATGACTATAACTGATCCAAACTAGGCATGGTAAGCTCACTCTACTGGGCGAGTGATTAGTCTGGAGTGGACATATGACTCATTTCTGACTAACAGAATGTAACCAGTCAGCTGGCTATCATAACCCTTTACCTTTTCTTCCTTCCACTTGGAACACTGGTGTTTCAAGGTGCAGCAGCAGCTGTCTTGTGACCATGAGGCAACAGGGAAGAGTATAAAAATCATCAAAATATTGATGGTGGAGGAGAGAAGAAAAAGATCCTATATTTCTGAAGGCATTACTGAATTTCTAGCTCCAAATGTCTATGTAAAAAAAAAGAAACTTATTTGTTTAATTCACTACAGTTAGGTTTATTTTTAACTTTTAGCTAAAATAATTTCTAATGAATGCAAAGTTGATGCTATATTTTTTATTTATCTTTTATGTGGATGTAGGGAATTCGTTAATTTTTTAATGAATTTTATTTTCTACTCTTTCTTTAGATCTCAGTTACTTTTTCTGAGTATTTAGTTCTTCCACTATTGTAGTATGTATTTCTCCTTATACATTTTGTAATTTTTATTTTATTTGTGTAATTTCTTATTTAATGTCTGGTTTATCCACTAGATACCTGATCTCCCTAATGTTTTGAACACTGGGACACTATCCCATAATGTTTGCTTTAACTTATACATTTGAAACAATAGTACACAGATTACTTCCCACATGTTCTCAAGAATGGTTTCACTGTAGAAGTGATGCCCTTATTGTCAACAATTCTTCAGCAAATTCATAGACTATTTTTAAACAGCCTTAAATTTAGTGCACAAAATGTGACAATGCCCATTACTGTGTATAAACATTATGGGATACATATTTTGAAGGTTAAAATCAATTCTGAAAGGAATGGGAGGTTATGTCCTTCTTTGTTTTCCACGTTTTTCAGACTTCACTAGGATGAAGATCAGAACAAACAAAAATGATTTGAGGCATTTTTGCTTAAAGTGCCTGTAAAATACATTATTCAATGTCTACTACTGTCTACTACTGTTTTGTTTTTTTAAATAAATGTATTTTATTTATGATAACTGATGTGTAGGAATGACAAAGTACAATTTTCTAAAAGTTTTTAATACTTTTCAGAAAGTATTATTTCCAAAAAAAAATATATCATATATATTACATATATAGCATATATATTACATATATACATATATCATATATATTACATATATACATATATAGCATATATATTACATATATACATATAGCATATATATTACATATATGCATATATAGCATATATATTACATATATGCATATATAGCATATATATTACATATATACATATATCATATGTATTACATATATAGATATATATCATATATAGTACATATATAGATATATATCATATATATTACATATATATGCCATTCCCATATGTGTATATGCTCCCATATATATTCCATACCTATATATAGGAATTAATGGAATTCTTATATATATAGGAATTTTATACATATATATATAAAATGGAATTCCTATATACATAGGAATGGAATATATATGGGAATATGTATATAGGGATTCATATATATAATGGAATTCCTATATATATATGAATTCCTATATATATTCATATATATATATGAATTCCATTATATACATATGTATGTGTATATATACGTATGTGTGTATATATATGTATGTGTGTATATATATATAGGAATATATACACATATATGGAAATATATATATGTAAATCTCACACAAATATGATAGCTATTTCATTCAAATGTTTAATTAGGTAGAGACAGATAAATGTGATTTCAAGTGCATTTCGGAAGGAGGGATTTAGATAGTCCATTTGTAAAGGCTTTAAAAATGTTAGAATAAGATTGCTAGTTTAGATACATACAAAGTGACCTATTGTCTTACAAGGCAATAAAACTATAAACTTTGGGGATATATTATCTACGGGATAGAAATCTGTAAATTGATATGTAACTTCACCGTGTCTGGGTCCAGGGCTATAAATAAACAGTAAATGACAAAATCAAACACATGTATGTTCTCTTAGAGACAAGTAATTCTGGCATGGATTTGTTAAATAATGTCCTAGTGTAGCATTGAAAAGACATATTGCCCATCATTTTTTCGTCCTTTTTATAAGTTTTAAGTTTTAAGAGAGCTGATCCGAGTCATTGGACTTTTAATAACTTTAGAAATGTATAGAGGAATGGACTTTTTAAATCGCTCCCTTCCAGGCTTGACAGCTCTTGTTTTTAAAATCATTTTAGTGTTATGAAGGCATAACTAGATACACTCTTCTACTTTGTGTTAACATTTCATCAGTGAGATTGGTTTGAAATATTGAAGGATTCATATCTCTGAAGTTCACAAAGAGAAAAACTGGATTGACATAAATGTAAAACACACTGGAATTTCAAGTTTTATAATTGATTCTTCATTGTTATGATTCAAATGATGTATGTTCTCTATATCATATATCACTACTTTGAAGAAAAGTTCATTTGAAGATCATTGGTTTTAGATGAGATGAAAAATAACATCTGAACTTTAAAACTGATTTTTGAAAATTGGATAAGAAGCAACTAGTGAGTGTGGAAAGCAGATACATTTTGTTTATTAATGAATCTGTTGTTTTTGAAAAATCATGTTCGTTAGTTAATAGTGATAACTATATAAATATTTAATTTTAATATGTCTTCCACATGATTAATAATAACAATATTCTTCAGCACCACTATAATCTTCCTTGATGAATGCCCAAACCGAGACAGCTGCTAGGAACACTCATGTGCAGACTTCTTCACAAAAATGCACAACTCTTGCAAAACAAAGCTAAGTTTGTATTTCTCGAGGAAGAACTCAGTCATAGGAAATAATGGAATAAAGTAATTGTTGTAGTAACAGACATCAATACTGTTTACATATCCTTGGGTATTTCAGCCTCCTGGGGATACTTTTTACATTAATTGCTATATAAAATGGTTCATGCCCAATTTTCTTGCAAGGAGTTCCCAAAGGCTCGTTATCTACTGTTACTTCTTTTTTTTTTTTTTTAATTATACTTTAAGTTTTCGGGTACATGTGCACAACATGCAGGTTTGTTACATATGTATACATGTCCCATGTTGGTGTGTTGCACCCATTAACTCGTCATTTAACATTAGATATATCTCCTAATGCTATCCCTCCCCCTCCCCCCACCCCACAACAGGCCCCGGTGTGTGATGTTCCCCTTCCTGTGTCCATGTGTTTCCATTGTTCAATTCCCACCTATGAGTGAGAAAATGTGGTGTTTGGTTTTTTGTCCTTGGGATAGTTTGCTGAGAATGATGGTTTCCAGCTTCATCCATGCCACTACAAAGGACATGAATTCATCATTTTTTATGGCTGCATAGTATTCTATGGTGTATATGTGACACATTTTCTTCCTATTCCTTTCTCTGGCTCATTGCTTCATTTCCTGTGGTTACTGCCCTGTCACCACCTCCCCTTCTTTTATTCTCTAACCTCATTAATGCAACACTATGAATGTAATACTATTCCTGAAAGTTTAGGAGTAAGACCATTTACATGATGAAAAAGAACAAAAATGCCACTTAAGTTTCAATACTCAACGCTACAATTCTTACACTTTTATGTCCCCTCCTTGTTATAGAAAAGTAATTTTCTGCTAGCTATTTCCATAAGGTCTCTCCATTACCTCCTGATACTTCTCTATAATTTTATTTTATTTTAATACCAAATACTTATTTCCCTGTTTCTGACCTCCTCTCCCAAGAGTTATAGTTTTACCTTATTATGCAGGGAAATTTAGCACGTTGTCTAAATGTTTCTCATAGTCTTGATCTAGTGAGCCTTGCCTGTTTAAATGAAAAACTCCTTAAAAATATTTTAAAGAATGTCTAAGACCTTTATGATGAAATACTTCCCTTTCACAAAATAGCAGAAGTTAGGCCATCTTTTTTTGAAATTGTTTGTTTTTCCCCTCTCTCTCTCTTTTTGTTATAATAATACCTCCACTAAAAACCCTTCTTACACTCAGGGCGAGGGCAATTCCCCAGCCTATTCTGTAAATGTTTTCTTACCATATAGGCAAAAAGAACAGGGAGACCGATGAGTGGGGAGCACCTTTTAGGCTTCAGTTTGGCTTTCTGGGGATGCCCCTGTTCTGGAGCACAGGAGTCTGCCCTTCCCTCTTGAGTTCTATTTTAACAGACCTTATAAATGGTTGGGGGCAGAATGTGCTCCTGGGACAGGATTAGCCCATCAGTGCTAGCATCTGGCAAAGAGTCTTTATCATCCAAGGTGTCATAACATAAGTCATTTGTGGGAGCATGGCCTTTATTTATGTCATTGTGATTAAAATGACTGGTTTTGGGGGAAAAATTATCTTCCCTCCCTAATTGGCCATCCTCAATCATTAATAATACTAACAGGTACATTTCCCAAAGGCTTATATAGAATTTTTAGCTTTTGATGAATGAATGAATGAATGAATACACAGAATCATTTTGTTTTCTTTGTTTAACAATGTCTCAAAACTTTTACCTTTAATTGAAGTCTTATTTTACCCCAGGCTAAATCAATTTAAGCCTACATAAGTATCCTATCCAGTTGGATATAGCCATATGACACTTGTTTCAAAATTGTTTGGGGAAGTTGTTTGGTCTGGCTGAATGAAAATGTCTAGAAAAATGGGTTAATCATAAGTGAATGGTAATTTAGTAATAACACTTAGTCCAAGAGAGCTGCATCATGTTCAACAGCAGGATAAAATCATTGGCAAGCAGCTGAAACATTGACAAATTATCATCTCTAGTAAATAAGAGTGAAAGGTGATTGCTCTATAGGTTTTTAAATTTTTTTTCCTAATAGTTCTAATTCTACATTTGTACTCCAGCTATATTTGTTTTCATGCTATTGGTTAAGGTAAAAATATCCTACTTTCCCGGATTATTTACATCAGTAAATTTGGTCATTGTAATCAGATGTATTTAAAATTTAATAGTTAAAGTATTCTTGGGTTATAGTACATATTGACCTTTGCAGACAACAGAGAACGATGGAAATGTTATTATGTTTGTAAAGTCAGGAATTTTCCCTGCAGTAACAAAGACTCCAGTAGAGCCCTGCTCTCACATGGTTTTCTCAAGGAATGAGACAGCTGTAGGCCATAGATAACTCCTTTATTTTTCAAATTGGTAAAAACACAGAGTATGAGCTCTGTGTTCTATCATGAGGCTCAGGATAATGAAACTTTAAATATTTTTCTTCATCAGTAATTAATCTAATCCAAGAAATGACTTTGCTTTATTAATAGAAAAATTAACTAAACTTAATTATTTCTTTGTTTGCCCCTGGGTTCCAACTAATTAAATTTTCACATAGAACTATTTTTTCAATCTACTGCTATTCCTTGTAAAGCATATTTTTTTCTTTTCTTTCCTTATTAGCACACATACCCTTTCACCTTAAATTCAGAGATTTAATGAAGTACTGATGAGACTTGCAGATTTAAAAGAATGTTTAACAATATTATTTTCCAAGACATTTAGAATAAAGAGCTGTAACTGCACATTATTTATACTTTGACTACCTGACAGTTTCTCCTAAAAGACATTTTTATTTCTAAACAAATGAATCAACTGCCAGCACTTATACTCATGGTGTTTTCTTGGATAAAGGTTGAGGGCAAATAAATGGCCAAACCGTAAAGGGAAGTACATTCATGAGTTCAAATGTTGGTATCATTATAGACAGATTTTTTTGTTTGTTTGTTTCACAGAGACTTTCAATGCAGTTTAGGTTTGTTCTATTATTGGGAAACATTTCCTATGTCTCTGACTCTAAGCAAAACTGAGGGCCAGGTGGCCTCAAGAATTATATAGGCATTATGTGAGAACCTAATTAAATACAGAAATAATATTTTTCCTACTTTTTTCATTGTATATTCTTTGATCGCTTCTGATTACATTTCAACAATTTTATCTTTTTAAATAAAATAAAAAGTTCCGAATTTTCTCTAGCATGGTTAATGGAAAATTGTTTTTACTGTTGTTGATATAGAAAAGTGTATTTCACCTTCACAACTCATCACTGGGAATGTAATATAGTTCTTTAGGACTGTTGTCAACCTGCTTGGCTTTTGTCCTTGTGCTCTGGCTATTCTACCTCAGCCTCATCTCTCCCTCCTAAATCTTTTAAATTTCAAATTCTTTCTCAACCTTACTTAATTTTGTTGTTTGAAGTTCTTAAAGCAATGACGTGATTTTGATACGGAACGGATGTGCTGGGAAGGGAAGGGCATGGTCCCTTTAAATGATATGGAAGGGAGAAGGGCGTGGTCCCTGGCTAGGGCTCCACCCCTGGGCCTGTGCCCACAGACCTAGGTGAAGACAAGAATTTTTGTTTTCCTGCCCAAATGTTGCATTTCCCAAGACTACTCTGGCCTGTCACACCCCCATCCTGTGCCTATAAAAACCCCAAGACCCTAGCAGGCAGACACACAAGCAGTTGGACATGGAGAGGAATGCATCGGTGGAAGAAAACAAGCAGCTGGACGTCAAGGGGAGCAGGCCAGCAGAAGAGCACGTGACAGACGCCAGAACGCTGGCAGGCTATCTACCGAAGGAAGGAGGCGGGGTTTGGCGAATGCTCCAGGGGAAAACCATCTCTCTTCTGGCTCCCCCATCTGCTGAGAACTACTTCCACACAGTAAAACCTTGCACTCATTCTCCAAGCCCACATGTCATCCAATTCTTCCGGTAAACCAAGGAAAGAACCCCAGGATACAGAAAGCCCTCTGTGATAAGGAAGGGTCTAATTGAGCTGATGAACACAAGCCGACTACGGACGGCTAAACTAAAACATGCCTGTAACAGATGCCCACTGGGGCTTCAGCTGTATACATTCACCCCTAGACACTGCCGTGGGGTCAGAGCCCCACAGCCTGCCCATCTGAGGTTTGAGCGGCGGGGGCACTGAGGAAGCGAGCCACAGCCCCATCGCACGCCCTGCAAGGGGGACAAGGGAACTTTTCCCGTTTCAATTTCAAGTGTCAGATGGAAATGGGGATGTGATAAGAAGTTAAGACAGGAGGGAAATGGTGGGGATTGTGGTAAACCATAAAATATGTGCCCCACATTATAGGCATTATTGAGTTATAATTTAAAAGGCATTATAATTTTTTAAATATACTAAAATATTTTGCTTACCAAAGACCCTTGACCACAGTTATCTAAAAATCCACCAATTTGTGAGCTGGCTTCTAAACTGACAAAGATTCTAAAGATCAGAATTTTATGTACCTTGTTCAATGACACATTGCTATGATAAGCTATGACTTGGATCTATGTCTACCATTTACACAATCTTTGATCTTAGCCTAATAATATATTATCATGTCATATTAGACATTTAAAAAGTGGAGGGTTTTTTTTTAGAATAATGGGGATTCAATGAAGTTATATAAACTTTGTTACATAAACAAAGATGTGTTTTAGAACCAATCTTCATTTATAGTGACAAATGGATTGTAGACTTGCAAGTACAACATGGTTTCATGTTAACCAGATAGGAAGCAGTTAGGAATTTATATAACAAATTATCATAAATGTAGTAACTTAATCCATTTACTGTCTCACAGTTCGGTAGGTCAGAAATCTGAGTGACCACCACTCAAAAATATATGAAGACAACATAAAATACCCAATTCTTTTTTTAATATACAATTTTTTTTACTTTTTCATTGTTTATTTACTTAAAATATTGTTGTATGTGTCACGAATACAGAAATATATATATTTACATGGACGTTTTAAAATTTTTATGGGTACATAGTAGGTGTATATATTTACCCATAAACATATACAGGAGTTATTTTTATATAAACATACAATGCATCACAATTACATCAGAGCAAATGGTGTAACTATCACCTCAAGCATTTATCTTTTCTTTGTTTACAAACAATCCAGTTATGCTCTTTTAACTGTTTTAAAATGTATAATATAATTTCTTATTAAGATGAAGATTATTTACATTTTGCCTGAAGTTTCAAACTCCAAAACCCCAAATTAGATTTTAATTAATAAGATTTTTATTGTTCATTTATATATTTAAATTTCTAAATGTACTTTCATTTATACAATAGACAAAAAATAACATTTGAAGATATTATAATTTATTATGTCATCTAAAGGACATCTCATTTATAATAGATACATTTTAAATTTGTTAAATTCGTTTTGGTTTTAATTTTTTAAAAATATTGATAACCTAATTTTATTAGCATATACCTATCTTATTAATATTCCTGTTTTGTTGTCTGTAGTCAATGTGTTACGTAGAATTTTTAAAAGTGAAAGCCCAGGCCAGGCGTGATGGCTCACGCCTGTAATCCCAGCACTTTGGGAGGCCGAGGCAGGCGAATCATGAGGTCAGGAGATTGAGACCATCCTGGCTAACACGGTGAAACCCCGTCTCTACTAAAAAAATACAAAAATTTAGCCGGGCATGGTGGCAGGCACCTGTAGTCCCAGCTACTTGGGAGGCTGAGGCAGGAAAATGACGTGAACCTGGGAGGCGGAGCTTTCAGTGAGCAGAGCTTGCGCCACTGCACTCCAGCCTGGGCCACAGAGTGAGACTCCATCTCAAATAATAATAATAATAATAATAATAATAATAATAATAATAATAATAAAAGTAAAAGCCCAGAGAAAAGTAATTAAAGGCATTATTGAAAATTTATCTAAGAAACGAATTACTTACAATAGGCACTGTTATGTGAAATAGAAATACATATATGACATAAGCACACACACACACATATATAATATATATGCAGTAATATATATGCAGGCTTGTCATTTACCCATTTGCTTTAGTTACATTTTTGCCCTTTGCTGTTATGTCCTTTCTTTCAAAACACTGATTTAAAAATATGTGTATACAGTCAAACCTTTCATGCCCTGGAGGCCCTGAAGACAGAAACACTGGCACTTTCAAAGTCTGACTCATAACATATTGGTTGGATGATTGCATAAACACAATACCTTGGTGGGCCTCGTTTTTCACTCTTGTAAAATGGGGAGAATAATGGCACCTCATATGGCTAGCATGATGATTAAATGGGAGAATTCTTAGCATCTTGGATTCAACCAACCTTGGAGGAAATTTCAAGGGATACCGAACCCATGGATACATAAGACTGAAGGGACTTGAACATCAGTGGATCTTGCTATCTGATCTTCTAAAGACCTGGAACCAATCTCCCATGGATATTGAAGGCTGATCATATACATACATATATTTTTTCTGAGTAAAAAATAATACATGGAGTATGAAATAAAATGTTGAAACAAACACATCTTTGCTTCTCTCCTACTCCCAAACCCATGAAAAAACAGAAAATATACTTTAAAAAATTTTAAGTCTGTTAACATCCATAGAAAGATATCAAAATAGAAAAATGTCTTTAAATAATTCAGAGCCTAAGCTCTGAAGACAGAAACACTGGCACCTTGAAAGTCTGACTCATCGCTTACTGGCTGGATGATTGCATAAACAAGATACCTTGATGTGCCTCATTTTTCTCTCTTGAAAAATGGGGAAAATAATGTCATCTCATATGGCTATCATGATGATTAAATGAGAGAAATGTGTGCCAGAGCTTTGTGTAATCCTTAGGACAGAGCAAATATTTAATGAATGTTGATGGTTGTATTAAATAGTTGTTATTGTTTTTGTTGTTGTTTCTATTCTTTCTCTTTCTCCTCCTCTTCCTTCTTTTCTTCCTCATCCTCCTCTTCCATTTTTTATCATCATCATCATCATCACTTTGAGAGCAAATTATTAGTTGCTTTCAAAGGAAGTAATATGCTACATGACCCCATAATAATATTCTTTCTTCTCTGGGACTTTGTTCCATGACTTTTCACACTGTTTTCTTTATCTCTCCCTTTTCAATAATTCTTTCCTATAAGCATTCAAACATGTTGGAGCATCCTCCATATTTTAAAAATATTCATTTAAATTTACTTCTCCCTCTGGCTACTGCTCTATCACTGTAAGTTTCAAAGCGAACTCTCTCAAAATAGTTGTCTAAACGTGTCATCTCTGCTTGCTTCTTTTCACTTCAACTCATTCCCAGATGGCATCCGTACCTACTACTTTACCACACTGATTCTTCTAAGTTCTTTAACCATTGTCAAGTTTCTATAAGGCCAATATAAGAACATGAGGGCAAAGAGTTTTTGTTTCCTTCTACAGTTCTAGTACCCAGGATATGCCTTGTATTGGCAAACACTCTATACATATTTGTTGAATGAATGGATACAATTTTCTGTCTTTTTCTCATAAGAACTTCTAGGATTATTTCCTATTTTTAAAACAGTCTCTTAACTGGGCCTTTGACTTTTGCCAAACCACATTTGATGTTCTTTTTATGTTATTTTTACTGAGAAATAATAATTGCATGCATTTATGCAATTGGTATATATATATATATGTGTGTGTGTATATATATACAAATATGCAGGTTGCAATGTGGTATATATATATATATATATATATACATACATACATACACATATGCAGGTTGCAATGTGGTATATATATATATATATACATAAAGATTAAATCAAGCTTATTAACATATCTACCACCTCAACTACTTATTATTTTGGGAGTAAGAATCTTTAAAATCTAATATTTTAGCAATTTTTGAAATACACAGTGCATTATTACTATGATCATCATTCTCTGTGATAAATCACTAAAACTTTCTCTCTTGTCTAAGAGGAACTTTGTACCCTTTGACCAACCTCTCCCCTTTCCCCATACTCCCCATGTTCCTAGTCTCTGGTAACTACTGTTCTACTCTCTGCTTTTATGAATTTTACTCTTTTTAGATTCCACATATAAATGAGATCTTGCAGTAATTGTCTTTCTATACCTGGCTTATTTTACTTAGCATAATGTCCTCCAGATTCATTCAGGTTGTTATAAATGATAGTATTTCTTTCTTTATAAAGGCAGAATAGTTTTCTTTATAAAGGCAGTATATTTGCCACATTTTCTTTATCCATTGTCCTTTGATGGACGCTTAGGTTGCTTCCTTGTCTTGGCTATTGTCAATAATGTAGAAATGAACATGGGAGTCAGATTCCTCCTGCCTTTCTGATTGCATCTCAGTCAACTTTGCTGGCTCCAATTCTTAATATAACTCCTACATATTGAGGTCCTTAACTGAACTTATCCACTCATTTCTTATCTTTATTCATATAATAACATAACATGAAACACTATCTATATACCAAGGAATGCCAATATTTATACATCCAGATGACTCAGATCTTCAGAGCTCCAGCCCATATCTATGACAGTTTTCTTGACTTACCCAACTGGGTAACATACAGGCATCTCAAATTCAATATGCCTCAAACTGAACTCCTGATCTTTCTTCCATATCTATTTATATTCTAATTTTCCCTCTGTTGGTTAATTGAATTTTCATTCGAGTTGCTCATGCTAGACACTGAGTAATTATCTTTGATATCTCTGTTCTGCATCTTCTCTATATAATCTGCCATGAAGCTGTGTCAATTTTACCTCTAAAATGTTCTTCAGCTTTAAGCCATCAGCTTTTTCTCATCTTCGCAGATGCTGATAAATGATCCGAAGTCTCTCATACTTAGGAAAATGTCACAGTTTTCTTATCAATCAGTTTAATCACACTTTTGCCTCTTTCCAGTGAATATTCCGTACTATAATCAGAGTGATGTTTGTTTGTGTTTAAATGCTTTTTTATTTATAACTGAAAACTAGAATAATATAGCAGAGCTTTCTTTTGTACTGTTCAATAAGAATAATTTCATAAAAAATGTAGAAAACATTTAATTATATGTAACTGCCTAGCCAAGATGTTTATTCAAATAACTCATTAGCCAATAAGGCCTAATTATTTATCCCTTTTCACTGCATTAAAATTTTTTTTCTTCTTTTAATGGTTGGACCTTTTCTCATCATTAATTATAAATTACACATGATTTCCATGAAATCTAAATTTTCTTCTAGAGGCCACTTAGTAAAATTAATTGAGAGATTTTTATCCTATTAGTAAAATATTCCAATTATACAAATGCATGTTAAATGAAGAGAACTAATTTTATGAGAAAAGCCAGTGATTCAAGTAAGGGAAAGGCAATTTGTAACACTATTTTATACAATGAGGACAACATTATTTAATATATAAAAGCATAATATTAATATTTCTTGTTTTGTTTTGCTTTTTGGCTATTCCTTTTTCTCCATAAGTCTGGATCTCTCTGCTATCATGGTATTTGCTTTGTACTGCAGGATTTTCAAACACATATGTCATATGGAACCTTATAGTTTCAGAGACTACCTAGCTTCTAATCAATCCATCTCCTCCTCTTGTTGGGTGCTCCAGATTGCGTTGTAGTTAAGTATGACTAAGTTCTGGCCAGTGTACTATGAGAAGATTCCAGCCCTGGGCCATAAGAACCTCCCTGGGATGAAGCTCATGCTCCTCCCAAAGTTGGATACAGTATAGATGAGTATGGAGATCTTGGAAGATATATTGTCCAAGTGGTAGAGCTATAAATTGGAAGAAATCATTCCTGAATTACTATTTGGAGGAGATTCTTCTGATCAGGCATCATATTTTTTTCTTGATTGAGCAGAGAAACTAATATGTTAAGCCACAGAGATTTTTCCTCTTTATGTGTCAAGAGCATTGTTTTAACTAATGTTAATGCAAAAAAATTGCAACCAGTTTCACTTTTTCAATTAATGTTTAGAATACAAGGCAACTTTTATTTTATACACACACACAAACATTTTATATATAATATATATAATAAATATGTATGTGTGTATATATATTATATATAGAGAGAGAAAGTGAGAGAGAGAGAGAGACAGACAGACAGAGACAGAGAAACAGGGTATTACTCTGTTGCCTAAACTAGAGTAGTATGATCTCAGCTCACTGCAACCTGAACCTCCTGGGGGTCAAGTGTTTCTTCCACCTCAGCCTCCCAACAAGCTGGGACTTACAGGCTCACGCCACCACACCCAGCTAATTCTTTTCGTATTTTTTTAGAGATGGGATTTCACCATGTTGCCCAGGCTGTTCTTGAACTCCAGAGCTTAACCAATTTCCCACAAGGCAGCTTTTAAATGCCCATTTCAATACCCAGAACTCTCACTCATTTTCTTCTCTTGAAATAGCACTGTCCTTGTCTGCCATTACTTTTAAAGAATCATCTTTTCTCTCTTGCTTGATCATTTATCCATGTTGAGAAGAATGGCACTTATTCCTCCTATAGGCAAATCCAAGTAAGGAGGCAAAGATTACTACTTCTTTTTGGGAAATAACTTCAGATAACATCTGGGAAGACTCAGGAAAATGTTAAATTTCTGCAGTTTGTCTACAAATACTCAGCTTTGGGTTAAACTCACTTTAGATGCTTACGGCTGTGCATTAAATAAAGCTCATACTTCCCAGTTTGCAAGGGAGGTAGGGGAGGCAGGAAGAAAGAATCCAGCCCTTGTGTGTCAGCAGAGAGGATCTTTTCTAGATGCAATTTAAATTCTGTCAGTCCCTTCCATCAAACCCTTCAAATACCTTTCCATTTCACCTGAGTTACTTTCCACAGTCTTGATATGACCTAGCAGGCCTGGGCCCCTCCCTGCCTCTCCAGTCCCTTCTCAAGCTTCCTTTATTTTGTTCCAGAGACACTGATGAGTTAATCCCTTGACACAGAGCTCCTTGACATCAGGGATTCATACACAATCCCCCTTGCCTAGAAAGCTCCTCTCTGAAACCTTTGCCTGGCAATTCCTATCATGAAAGCTCTACTTAAATATCCCTCATTCAGTGAGGTTTTTTGGTTTTTTTTCAACTTTTATTTTAAGTTCAGGGGTACATGTGCAGGTTTGTTACATAGGTAAACTTGTGCCACAGAGGTTTGTTGTACAGATTATTTCATCACAAGGTTATTAAGCCTAGTATCCATTAGTTATTTTTCCTGATCCTCTCCCTCCTCCCACTCTCCACCCTCCGAAAGGCCCCAGTGTGTGTTGATCCCCCTCTCCGTGACCATGTGTTCTCATCATTTAGCTCCCATACCTGGTCCCAAACCAACTCCAGTGCAACAGTGCACACAGTCTTCAGCAGGGAACCCCCGTTCCCCCTACAACTGCCTTGGCTTCGCTGCTGTGGTGAACACCAGCAGGGAGGCAGGCAGCCCTTCATCTGCTAGCTCTAGGCTGCAGCTGCCTCACCTCAGTCCCCCCAGCACAGTAGACTCCAAACCTTCAGTGAGGTTTTATCTCTTTCCGGCCCAGTCAAAACTGGTTTCTCTTTAATGTTTTCCTAATAAAATATGCTTTCCCTTTATTGAAACTATCACAATTTATATTTATACATTTATTGTTGTGGTGATTGGTTTAATACTGCCTGTTTTCTTCCCATCTGGATTCACTGCCGGTGCCTGTAACACAGTAGGCCTCCAAGAAATACTTGTCAAATGAATAAATGAATAAACTTAAAATGAAAAATTGAAAAAAGCTATTGAATGTATTGGCCCACAATGGATTAAACATTTCCAAATTGGCAGTGCTGTAACCAGGAGATCATGTTATACAGATGTATTAGGAAATAATGTTTTTATGCATTGTAAAACACAAAATAATGATGACTTATCTTGGTATATATTACTACTCTTCACTTCTTAATAATGGCTTCTATTACCCCTTCCTCACCTGCAAAAATATCAATGAGGAAAAGAACTTTCTATTGTTAAAAGAGTTTATACAATAAATGCTTAGAGCAGTGCCTACATCGTAGTAAATTCTCAGTCAATATCCCCTGTTACTATTATATCATCACTTTTATTTAGTATTTATGGTAAATTTTAATGATAAAATTAATACAATTTTTTTAGTATTATCATACTTGTTAATTATAATTTAAAACTTGGTTTTTCTCTACTGTTTACAGAGTTTTTTCCTTTGTTATTGATTTACAATTATTAAATAAAATTATTAAGTATAGTGACTAATTCCCAATATATATTTGAATATCTTATAGTTACGTAATAAGGAATCTTCAAAGGAGTGAGACCCCAATTCAAAGTTAGGTTTATAGTCTTTGAAAATAAAATATTCTTCCTTTTTTACTTGAAACAAAGGTGAATGTAGAGACTGTATTACAGTAAGTCAATGGACTGAAATTTTTTCCTCTTACCTTTTTAATTCTTAGTTTGATGTCTGATGTAACAAAGCACTTCCAAATTTTAGAAACTGAAGCTTCTTTTAATTTGTGTTTTAATGAACAAGTTTTTTGGAACAACTTTGGCCCATTCAATAAAAAAATTAAAAAATAGTAAAAAGCTTTAGTTTGGTTTGTGTATTATGAAATAAAATTTATTTATTTATTTATGACTGAGTTTTGCTGTTGTTGCCCAGGCTGGAGTACAATGGCATGACCTTGGCTCACTGCAACCTCCACCTCCTGGGTTCAAGAGATTCTCCTGCCTCAGCCTCCCGAGTAGCTGGGATTACGGGCAACTGCTATCGTGCCCGGCTAATTTTTGTATTTTTAGTAGAGACGGGATTTCGCCATGTTGGCCAGGCTGGTCTCGAACTCCTGACCTCAGGTGATCTGCCTGCCTGAGCCTCCCAAAGTGCTGGGATTGCAAGCATGAGCCACCGCGCCTGGCCAAAATAAAATTTATTATTTTTCATTTTCACTTTTTAACAAAGATAACTCGGGGATGGGATGTCATGTTACTTTTAGTCTTCAGAAGTAGAAATCTAAGAATACCAAATAGAATAGAATAGATTAATAGAGTGGGTCATTTACAATTTCAGGTATTTTTTGAATGTAGTTTTTGTTTCATATTATTAAAGCTGAGCCTATTATTAATGGTCATTGTTAATGCAGTTTGAGTTTAATTGTATACTGCTCAGAAGATATTACTGTGACGTATATCATTCTGAAAAATTTTATCAAATTGTTTAGTTCAGTTAGATTTTCCTTTCTTTGGCTACCTTACAAATTATTTTTCACTATTTTTTATGGTTGTAGAGATATAGTACTCTAGGTTAAATTAAATTCAAGAATAGTTAGAGAAATTTTTTTTTTTTAAATAGACAACTGTGGCTCAACCTTGGGTAGTAAGAGCAAAGAAATAACAAATATTTCAAATTTCTAGCAAGTATTTCAAAGAAAACAAACAGAAATTACATCTTCATACTATCACTAAATTGATAGAACCTATGTTGATTACTCATTTAGAACAATTTTGGTTATTTTAAATTAAATAGGAAACTTTAAAATCTTTCTTTTTCTTAGGCAATCAATTGAGGATGATGGACATGCCTGTTTCCTGTTAGTTTATTCCCCAGCAAAACTGTTTATAGTAGCGAGTTTGCGCTGGAGTTTCCAGAGTTCAAGCCCAGGTTCCACTATATGACTCTGGGCAACTTATCCTACATAAGCCTTATTTTAGTTTTTCAAATACAAGTGTCAATAGTGCCTATACTATTATGTTTTATAAACAGCAAATAAAATAAGTAAAGTTCTTTGCACAGTTTGAGGACATATTGACTGCTCAGTAAATACAAGCTCTCATCATTACTTAGTGGCAGAATGTGATCATTATACATAGATTGTTTTCTTTTCTGTCAATTACTAACAATGAAATGAATTCTTAGGTATCAGTCTTTTCTATGGGATTAAGAATAAAGTGTTTATATAGGATTAAAATAAGAATAGTAGATTTAAACTCAGTAAATCAAAGGAATGGATACAGTAAAACACTATATAAGAATTAAGACATTCTCTCAAAGAAAATGTTCACTGCATTTGGATCATTTTAGTTTAAAAATAATTGAATACTATTTTATTTAACTGTTTATACTAAAAGAAATTAGGTTTTTTGATTGTACAGAGACATCAAAATGCTGAAATGGCAAGAGAATTTAATGTTGTAATTGTAAAATTAAATATTTAATGCTCCCATTTAAGTTTACAAGGCCTTGAAGAAATTACCTTCTGATGAAGCTGAATAAGGCTGGAAGTGTCACTGCTGAGAAAATTCTCAGTACTTGGCTCTGAATTGTCTTTTGACACCTTCAGCATTACCTTTGACATTCTTTTCACAGCCTCAACCATTACCAGCTTCCTGATGCCTGTCATAGTATGCATTTTCAGGATTCCAGGGTTTCTGAATCAGAGGAGCTTCTTGCATATTTCATTAGGCACAAAGTTTTTCACACAAAATGGTTAGCTATAACTGGGTCATTGCTACTGAACAAAGAATGACACATTTAATGTCATTTTTCACTGGCAAAATATGTTCTGTACTTACAGTAAAATGTGACTCACACAATGTAAAAAGCTCATATTATTTTCCCTTTGCCTGGCTGTCTCAAAGAGCAAAAACTAAAGTCGTGATTTTTTAAAAATGGATTCTTTTGTGGAGGTACGTGTCCAAAATCTGAAGGAAAACATTACTCATCCAAAACAATTTTTGTAAGTGAAAAACAGTTTTTTTATTTGACTGCTCTTATATGTTGATTTCTAATATTTGTTCTACTTTTAACCATGTTCAAAATGGTGAACTATCAGTTTGTTGTTTTTTACTTTGATGAAATGACGTTAAATCTGAGAATTTTTGACGTTTGATGAGACTTCACGCCACGTACTTCAATTTAGCACCTATCTATCAACTATGCTTAGACAGAGAAACATAATCAAGCCTGTTTCTCATATATAGTAGGGAAAAAAGAAATCACATCCAAACATTTCTAATAGAGGGACTGGGTACTAGTAGAGTGATGCCCAGAACACTACAGTGAAGTCATAATTTTAGAATTACAAATGTAAATCAGATGTGTGAATACATATTTTTATTCCTTATAATTAAAGTTAACTTTTCTGTAGATCTGTTTTTAAACATGATAGTAGAATAAAACACATTTTACAATTGTAACCCAGTTACTTCCCATTTTTAGTTCAGTCTCAGCTTTTTTGTTTCTTTTACTTTCTTCTCAAGGTTACTTCACAATGATGTCTACTCTCAAGCGAGGGTGTTTTCCGTAGAGTCCAGATTGAAGGTCAGGCAAATCTCTACTATTTTCAAAGTCCTTCAGTGACGGATATATTATATGTCAACTTGGCTGGGGCATTGTGCCCATATTTGGTCAAACATTATTCTGGATGTTTCTATGAAGGTTTGTTTTGTTTTGTTTTTTTGGCACAGGGTGAGGGTAGTAAAATTAACATTGAAACAGCTGGACTTTGAGTAAAGCAGATTACCCTCCTTAATGTAGGTGGGTTTCATTCAATCATTTCAAGACTGCAATCGAACAAAAGACTATCTTCCATGGAGTAAGAAGGAACAAGACCAATAGACAGCCTTTAGACTTGAACTGCAACTCTTTGCTGAGTCTCCAGGCTGCCAGGCTACCCCATTAGATTTTCGATTTACCAATCCTCCACAATAGAATGAGCCAAATTAACAAAATAAGTTTCTCCCTCTCTCTATCTCTCTCTCTCTTTCTCCTACACAGCCACACACCCCTATCCCTCTCTTTCCTTCTTTCTCTTACCTGAATGTCCAATAAAATTGCTTCATTATTATACATCCTTCCTTCCCTGTGGTTAATATAAGCTGTTTGAGTCTGCCAATGTTTAAAATGTGATTTTTACAATAAAGCTCTAAAAATCCCATAAAACCTCAATGGGTGTCTGATTCTAGGCACTGAAATCCAGGGCTTTCATTACTATTGTCTATATCAAGGAGAGAGAGGGGGCGAACAGCTCCAAAATCAGAAACTCAATCTACTCTGTTATTTCTCTCTCTCTCTCTCTCTCTTTCTCCCTTTCTCTGTGCTTGTACATATGTGTGTGTACATTTGTATGTGTTTCACCATTTTGGTTTAATGGTGGATGGATATAGGTCAAAAGGAACTAAGAGAGTAAACATTACATTGACTACCTCAAAATATTGTCCCACTACAGGGGTTACTATAGTTTGATAAGAAAATTCATGTTCCCAGTATCTTGAAGGATGCTTTTATGTTTTATGAAATGGCGTAAGCAAATAGTAGGAAATATTCGAGAACTATGACTACCATTGTGTAGATACAGCAGAAAGAACTAGCAAATTATAAAGCAGCAAGGCGTAGTGGGAAATCATGGACTTTAATCAAATCAAATTTGATTTAAATCCTGGTTTGAGTACTAGCTATGCCTTGAACAGGTTTCTGAAACAGCCTAAGCTTTGATTTTCTAACATATATAATGGGGATAATAACAAAATCTGCCTGATAAGGGTTTTTTTGAAAATTAACTTTTTACACATTCTAGTCTTTTAAAAATACAAATTATTTTATACCACTCTTCTGCTTTAAGTGTTTTATTTCCTTACCAACATACTCCATAACTTCTTCCTGCCTCTGCAACCATATTTCACGCCACTTTTGCCCCTTACACTCTAAGATACAGTCATATGGAACATTTTATGGTTCATAATATCTACTGCATTCTCTCACTTTTGGGTTTTGGTATAGATTATGTCCTCTGACTGGAACTCTCCCTCCACCATCTCCTTAGCTTAGACAATGCCTGTTCATCCTTCGAATCATCTAAATGTAATGACAGTTTCTTGGGCAAGCTTTCCTGATCTCTAAATCAAGGTCAGCTCCCTAAGCTCTTGGCTCCCGTACTGAAACTTTTTCTTATGTAACTCTCATAAACACATAGCATAATGTTTTGCATGTTTTTCTTCCCTATCAGTTGCAAGTTCCAGCAGAGCTGATATATTTTCATTTCATTCGCTACTATAGCCCTAGAGCCTGACATAGTTTCTGGCTGTGAATGCTCAATAAATATTTGTTTAATTGAGTAGAAACATAAAGTATCTATTTCATTGAAGGAAAGAATAATTAGCTACATTTTTCTTTTTCTTGCCTTAATATTTGAGGAATTTGCTTATATGTCATAATAAAAAAGTTAAAGCCTTATACATTATACTAAGGAATTTGGACATTAAATTCAAGCTAGCCTTTCTATAAACAAAATACTGAATTTCTGTCCCTAAATTTGTTCCTTCCCTATTCTTCCCCATTGAGATGACACCAAATCCCTCTAGCTGCTCAAACCAAGTACCCGTATGTTATTCTTAATTATCTCTTTACCTTGCTTCTCATATGCAATTTGTTAACAAGTCATCTTCAGTCTGTATCCATTATTCTCCCTTTCCAGACCACCAACATGTCTTGACTATACTGCTACAATAGCCTCCCAACTCTTGTCCTACTTAAAATTCATTGTAAAAAATCAGTCTTGGCCGGGCACGGTGGCTCACACCTATAATCCCAGCACTTTGGGAGTCCCAGGCGGGCGGGTCACGAGGTCAAGAGATGGAGACCATCATGGCCAACATGGTGAAACCCTGTCTCTACTATAAATACAAAAAAATTATCTGGGTGTGGTGGCACGTGCCTGTAGTCCCAACTACTAGGGAGGCTGAGGCAGGAGAATCGCTTGAACCTGGGAGGCGGAGGTTGCAGTGAGCCGAGATCGCACCATTGCACTCCAGCCTGGCAACAGAGCGAGACTCCATCCCAAAACAAAACAAAACAAAACAAAACAAAACCATGTAAAACATGTCTGTAAAACATGTCAGATTTCGTGTTCAGAAGTCTTACATGTCTTTTCATTATGCTAAGATAAAACCCAAATGCATTTTCTTGGTTTCTAAAGCCAAGAAAATAAGAGTTGCTTTCAGCAACCTTGTTTCTTCCGCCATGCTTTTCCCTAGCTCACTCTTTTTAGGCAAGTCGACCTGATTTTCTTTCTGTTAGTCTGTTTCTGCCTCGTGGTCTGGCTTTCTTTCTGTTAGTCTGTTTCCACCTCGTGGTCTTGGTCCTGGCTCTTCATTCTGCCTGGAATGCTCTCCACTCCAGATCCTTACTAGATCTTAGCTCAGTCATCACCCTCGCAGGAAGATCTTCCAACCATTCACCTGCATACACCTATGGCTGCTCCCT
The DNA here is from genome assembly GCF_000001405.40 of Homo sapiens. NCBI lineage: Eukaryota > Metazoa > Chordata > Mammalia > Primates > Hominidae > Homo > Homo sapiens. The sequence continues at coordinate 164,200,814 of NC_000004.12, read as the reverse complement.
AGAGAACATCATTCTGTTTTCTTCACTTCCTAGCACTTATTGCTTTCTGAAATTATCTACTTTGATTGTTTATTTCTTTCTTTACTCTTACTAGGATACCTGGGTCATTAAAGGAGGGATATTTCTCTCTTATTTACTGTTATAAACTTAATGCTTAGGCTGTAGAAGTTATACAATATTTGAAGAATAAATCGTTAAATGTATAACATTTTTGAAGAAAGATAATTGTGGGATCCATTTAGTTTGCAAACATTTGATCTGTGTGTTAGACAGAAGGCCATGGTAAAGGACAAAGACATATTTTATAGGACTGTACCCTGAAAAATAAATAAACTTGAACCAGTTATACAAGACTTATGTGCAGGAAACAGGTACCAGTTATATTTAGAAATGGTAAATCACCTTCTAAGCATAACTCAGAGCACAATATATTAGAGGGTAGAGAGAGAAGTGCGTCTTAGATATTGGTAATCATATTAGGACTGACGCCATCCTTGATTTTTCTTCTGGGAAACAGCTCAAAATGACTATTTAATGTTTACAATGATATCTTGCATCTTGCCAGTAAATAATATAATAGACACTAGGAATCCAAATTGTAAGATGAACAAGTCTTTATAGAGGGAGAGCCAAATACACAATAAATAACACAAGGTGGTAAATGCAGTAATACAAACATACATACCATGCATAGGAGTGCAGAGAAGGTGTGCTTCTCCGAATGCAGTCACCCAGAAAGTCCTTCTGTAGAAAGGGATATCTTAAATGGTGCTTAAAGGAAAAGTAACCAAAGGCAACTAAAGATTGCAAGGAGGTCCCAGGAAAAAGCAAAAGAACCAAAGGTACATAGGCACAAAAGTAGCCTGCCTTCCTGGGAACTTCCAATAGTTTGCTGGAGCACACAGTTAGAAGTACTGTGCCATGGGAGCAAAGACTGAAGACATATGCAGGTTCAAGGGCACAGAGCCCCATATATGTCATGATAAGATATTGGGAAGCCACTGGGGAGCTACTGAAACTTTAAGCAGGGAAATAAAATTGTCATATCTACACCTTAGAAATTTGATTTTTTTCTCTTCTTTTATCTTCTCTTCTCCTCTCTTCTCTCTCTCTCTCTCTCTCTCTCTCTCTCTGTGTGTGTGTGTGTGTGTGTGTGTGTGTGTGTGTGTGTGTGTGTGTGTGACAGAGTCCTGCTCTGTCACCCAGGCTGGAGTGTAGTGGAGTGATCTCCGCTTACTGCAGTCTCTGCCTCTCAAGCGATTCCCTGCCTCAGCCTCCCGAGTAGCTGGGATTACAGGCGGGCTCTACAACAGCTGGCTAACTTTTGTATTTTTTGGTAACAACCAGGTTTTACCATGTTGGCCAGGCTGGTCTTGAACTCCTGACCTCAGGTGATCTGCCTGCCTTGGCTTTCCAAAGTGCTGGGATTACAGGCGTGAGCCACCCTGCCTGGTGTAGAAGTTTGATTTTGATGTCAGTGTGGTAGATGAATTTGTGGGAAGCAAAACAAGATAGAGTTCAATGACAGTGAAAAGTTTATTGTATAAGCTATATAAAAGAAAATGTTGAAGGTTTGAAATCCATTAGTGGCAGTAAGGGTGTACAGAACGAAACTATTTGAGAAGTACACAAGGCAAGTCTTACTTTCAAGGCAGTTTATGTAAGCTCATTCAATTGTCTCAGTGTTCTTGCTATGTGTGGGTTATAGGATTTGGAACATGTGATCAATCTGAGCACACATCAGTAAACTGAATAGGATTATTAAAATCCACAAGCATTTTACTAGTGGAATCTGTGATATTTTCTAGCTACTCTTGCTTGTTTTATTTGAATCTTTTGCTCATATCCTATAGTAAAGATTTCAGGAAATATATTTTTATTTGCCTAGAATTTTAGCCTTTTAGTTTTTTGAATCTATTGCTCATATTCTTATAGTAAGAGTTTCAGGGAATGTATTTCTATTTGTCTGGAATTTTAGCCTTTCAGGTTTTTGAGCCCCTCTTTTGCTTATGGGACATAGTATGAGACAAGATGAAATGATACTTCTATTCCCAATTCACTGATGGGGAAAATGAAGCAAAAAATGTTATTCACTCAAGGCTTCTGCCATGTTTCCTGGTGGAATTACGGCTCAGACACAAATTTCCTAATGCCTGTGCTGCTAACTTCTCAATAGAACACTATATTAATTTATCTTCTTCCTGAGTGTTTTTCCACAAATCCCATAGCCTGTGAAAAGATTGTTTTAGGGAAATATTATTTTTAATATAGCATATTTTGTCAATGTGGGACATAGGACTAGTACCTGCTGAAAACCATCTCATGATCCTTGTGTAAGAACTAATTCACACTAGAAATACTATTTTCCTTGCTCATTAAAAACATAAATGTCTCAGAAAGTAAAAAATTATTCCTCTCTAAATAAACATACATGCCACTCAAATTTTATTCCTCTACCACTTGCCGTATCTAAACCTAGTTAGATACTTTGGTTTTAGGTATAATCTGACAGAACAGATACAACCAAGATCACATTGTGAGTCAGAAGTGGAAAATTCATAATTCATGATGATACCAATAAAAGATAGATTTAGCTTTTTACAGGATGTTTTTGGCATTTTATTCTTTCATTTGAGGGGAGATCTCACCAAAATATGTCTTTCATGGTTCATTGTGTTATTTAATTTCTGTGATGCATATTCTCAGGTTACTTTAAACCTAGTCTATAGATTCAAAGATATCCCGTGTCAGGTCTCTAAAAGTAAAAAGAAAAATGGGTACTTGTGAAGGCTGATTCACAGTAAGTAGTGTAGAGGGGAGTGCCTTGTGTATTCACAAATTATCAACGTGAGCATCAGATAAGATTTTCTTTAGTCACACACACCTACCTTCTTACTAGGAAGATCCATATACTTGAATAATTGTTCTGCTTGACCCAGGTTACTTATCAGTCCCTTTATTATAATATTTGTAAATATTGGGGCTCGAGAACCGAGCGGAGCTGGTTGAGTCTTCAAAGTCCTAAAACGTGCGGCCGTGGGTTCGAGGTTTATTGATTGAATTCGGCTGGCACGAGAGCCTCTGCAGACAGAGAGCGCGAGAGATGGAGATGGGCAGACGGATTCATTCAGAGCTGCGGAACAGGGCGCCCTCTGATGTGAAAGAACTTGCCCTGGACAACAGTCGGTCGAATGAAGGCAAACTCGAAGCCCTCACAGATGAATTTGAAGAACTGGAATTCTTAAGTAAAATCAACGGAGGCCTCACCTCAATCTCAGACTTACCAAAGTTAAAGTTGAGAAAGCTTGAACTAAGAGTCTCAGGGGGCCTGGAAGTATTGGCAGAAAAGTGTCCAAACCTCACGCATCTATATTTAAGTGGCAACAAAATTAAAGACCTCAGCACAATAGAGCCACTGAAACAGTTAGAAAACCTCAAGAGCTTAGACCTTTTCAATTGCGAGGTAACCAACCTGAACGACTACGGAGAAAACGTGTTCAAGCTTCTCCTGCAACTCACATATCTCGACAGCTGTTACTGGGACCACAAGGAGGCCCCTTACTCAGATATTGAGGACCACGTGGAGGGCCTGGATGACGAGGAGGAGGGTGAGCATGAGGAGGAGTATGATGAAGATGCTCAGGTAGTGGAAGATGAGGAGGGCGAGGAGGAGGAGGAGGAAGGTGAAGAGGAGGACGTGAGTGGAGGGGACGAGGAGGATGAAGAAGGTTATAACGATGGAGAGGTAGATGGCGAGGAAGATGAAGAAGAGCTTGGTGAAGAAGAAAGGGGTCAGAAGCGAAAATGAGAACCTGAAGATGAGGGAGAAGATGATGACTAAGTAGAATAACCTATTTTGAAAAATTCCTATTGTGATTTGACTGTTTTTACCCATATCCCCTCCCCCCTCCAATCCTGCCCCCTGAAACTTACTTTTTTCTGATTGTAACATTGCTGTGGGAATGAGACGGGAAAAGTGTACTGGGGGTTGTGGAGGGAGGGAGGGCAGGAGGCGGTGGACTAAAATACTATTTTTACTGCCAAATAAAATAATATTTGTAAATATTAACTGGGATACTAGCTTTGTAGAATGATTACTATTAATTATTCTCTCTCTCTTTTTATTTTTTTACACATTCTATTCTTTTAAGTATAGTCCTTTTAGTCCAAGGAAAAGGCACTACAATCCACTTATTAATGCTTGCTACTGTGTTCAAGTAAAATAAGCTCCAGGATTTAACAAAAAGAGGAAAGAAAATATTTACAATGAAAATGTTGCTAAAAATTTAAAACAAATTACAGTAAATGTATTGTTAAAGCAAATTCTATTTTTAAAATTTATTAATAAGGAAATAATTTGCTAAAGCAAATTTTTGGAAAAATAATAATGCACTTTATACTTGATTTTATTTATTAAAACAATGATTTATAAGCTTCAAATATCTCAGAATTTTATTTTAATAGCATGTTGCAAATTATTTAAATCATGCAAAATCATTGCAAAGAAATAATAAAGCATACCTGGGGACATTATGAATATAGTTATTTTAGCAAAAACAGTGTGGAAAATATATATTGTACCTTAGAGACTGTGCATCTATACATTTTTTATTTAAAAGCTGAGCAAAAATGCATTGAGACAAATAACTATCATTGTACATTGAAAGATACAACCAGCAACAAGTCAAATAACATGAATGAAACTAATAGTAACATAATTAAAAACTAATGAAGACTAGTAATTAAATGCTCTCATCAATAATACCTTTATCAGTCAAGGCATTCATGAATATAATGATTGCTGGAAAATTGCAGCATTTCAACTATATTTATGTTGATTTTTCTGCATTAATTTTTGTTTTTAGCATAGAATTGGAGACCTCAATAAATTCTAGTAATAAAGCAGTTATTAGTATCATTTTTTAAGTCCCAATAACTCACTTAACTAATATCATGTATAAAAATAAAAGCATATAGAATTTCAGTAAAGACTCAAAAAATGATTTATAATTTTAGATTAATTCAAAACCCAGTAAGAGTAAACTCTAAGGTGTCCAACAAGCTAGGGACCATATGTGAAGTGTCATTGGCTTATCTTTGTAGAACTTTATTGCTGGTCTGTATAATCTTCCTGGTCTGTTTTAGTTAGAAATTCCCTTATTTTATAGATCATGAAAGTGAGACTATCCGGGTTTAAATTCTAGATCCCAAGCACAAGTCAGGGAGTCATAGAGCTAGAATGAGGGCACAGATAGTAATCCAGGGTCCCTTCTAATGCACAACGTGAGAATAACTTTCTATTTTCATTTGTCTGAGAAATTGTGGGGATAAAAAAAGATCCTAGAGAACGTGAGGTATATATCTTACTTAGTTTGATTATATTTTACCCAATAGCTTTGTTTAAAATATTTATAATATCTGAATATCACATTTCCCATTAACGTAAAAAGTAAATTTTCTCTTTTTAATCCTTTTTTATAGTAGCATCAGAATTCTGAGATCTTACGTGTAAAATTGCATTTGGAAAAATATTTTCTTTTTGTTTATTTGGTAAACATATGAGTGCTGATTACAAGAAAAAAAACAATTTTCTAGGTCTTGTAGAGAGAATACAAAGATTTAGTAAAGAATAAATCATGACCTCAAAGAACTTAGAGCTAATGAGTGACTTTAAAAAAAAAATAAAAGACATGGATGATGCTGGAAACCATCATTCTCAGCAAACTAACACAAGGGCAGAAAACTAAACACATCACATGTTCTCACTCATGAGTGCGAGTTGAAAAATGAGAACATACGGATACAGGGCGGGGAACATCACACACTGGGGCCTGTCAGGGGGTGGGGGTCTAGGGGAGGGATAGCTAATGTAGGAGCTATTTCTCCTATTAGGAGAAATACCTAACGTAGATGACGGGTTGATGGGTGCAGCAAACCTCCATGGCACATATATATCTATGTAACAAACCTGCATGTTCTGTACATGCACCCCAGAACTTAAAGTATAAGAAAAATAATAATTTTACTTATTATTTAATTAGTATAACACAATTTACTTTAGAATTTCTGAAATATTAAAATTTTGAATGTCATTATTTGATATCAAATAGTTAAAACCATGCTTTTCTCCCTTTTGAAAATCCATTAAATGCGTCATAGAACTTGACCTTAACATTTGATATTAGTCAGTGCTATCCTGCTAAATTTTATTATAAGATGACAGCATACAATCAAGAGATGCAGGCTGTGAGTGTGAGAAGTTAATTAACTGCAAGATTTTGACAGACACCAGGTATTAAACACTAAAATGAAAATAGGTTTTTGAAAAAAAATTAACTATGTTTTATTTTATATTACGATGGTAGGAAATGTGAAATGGGATGTTTTCCATTAGCTGGATTTGTTCATCCATCATGATGGTTCTCACATTATGCTCCCAGTGAAGTCATCATGCCTTTCCCACCTGCAGTGCCCTTAATCTGTTTCTTAAAGTAATTTTAGAAATTAGAATACTGCTGTGGCTTTAAAGTTTAATACTTTGTTGGCGCTATAGGCAGAAAAAGCTAAAAGAAAAAAATCCACACAATTAAAATTAAAATTATGTTTCTTTTTCTCTTTTCACAGAAAAAAATGGAGCTTGTGTGTAATGTAGTCATGAGAACAAACATTTTAATCTATGATTCACTATAATGCAGTGGGAGTGTTATACCTTATTGTGTCTCTACCTCAGTTTCCTGATATTTTTATGTGGTGATGATTCTGGTTGACATTACCCACTTTTGAGAGAGAGAGTTCATTCTTCCTAATCTTGAACCATAGTCATCAAGACCTTTAAAATGAGTTTTAGACTAGAATGTGCTAAAAGCCCTAGAACATTAAAGCTGCTTACTAATAACTTCTAACCACAGAAATGAAATTTCTTAGGGTAAGTGAACAAAAGCCAGTTGCTTCTTAGAGACAGCTTGTTTATTACAAGAGTCTTTGGAAATTATCTGACAAACATTGGACTATTGGTCTGAAATTTACAGATCTTTGTGCATTCTTGTTGACAGATGCAGGGTGATTTTGGACAGCATTTGTTCATTTACCCACTCATTTTTTAAATGTTTCTTATGTCATAATAATTATTCTAGCACTGAAGATGAAATAATGAGCAGACTAGGAAACTGCCCTCATAGAACATCCATTGGATTGTCAATGCCCAGGCGGCCAGCAGCCACATTGACACATGAAATGTATTCCATTTACTCAATTGAACAAATCCAAGTGAAAGAGGCATTCTTACTGGAGGTCCTCATTATTCCAAAAGAAGATCTTTCCTGTTCTGTGTCATGAAGCCAATAGACAAAACCAAAAGTGAGAGTTAAGCAGTGCAGGCTTTATTCCAATGGCCGTGGAATTGGATAACTGGGAGCATAGCTCGCAAATCAACTTCTCGGCTCCTGAGAACTGGGAAGTTACAGATATAGGGTATCTTTAATGAAGGTATGGGGCATTAAGAACAAGCAGAAGAATAGTCATGCTTTTTCTTGGAAAGGGACGGAGATTTTCTTGGAATCAAGGAGAGTCCTCTTTTTTGTTCTTTTTTGGCATCTTCCGAAAAAGGTGATTCACGGTGATTGTCAAGTGTCATGGCACCAGTGGGAGTGTCATTTAGTGTGAAAATTGGATAATAATGAAGCTAGAGGTCCTTCAGAGGTCAAATAAGCTGCCTAAGAGGTAACCTCTGACCACAGACATCCTGTTTCCTAAAAATAAGCAGAGTTAGAGCTGAGTAAGAATTTAGCTATATCACACAGGTGTAGGCATTTGGCAACAAGAGCCGGGTAGGGATACAGATAAGTCACACAGGCACTGCAGTCGGTAACAGTGTCCTCCCTCTAACCATTTTCAGAAACTCAAATTGTGCCTAGAACTTTTCATAAGGAATGCTTCTTCCGAAAAGTGCCTAGCAGAAGACAAAGGTCATTGGCATAGCAGCTGCAAGTTCCTAGTATAGTGGTTTGAATAATTTCTTAAGGGGAAGAGGACTTTCTGGCATGCCTAACTTGAATGCACCTCTAAAAATTTTATAAATGTTTCATACTTTTAACTTTTATGATTTATTGTTTTGTTATCTTGTTTGGGGGAAGAAATCCAATATTACTACAGAAATAGCCCCAGGTGCTTCAAGAGTGACTGAAGTGTTTTTTAATTCCTTGTATATTCCAAAATTATAACTTGTAACTTGCCACTTGAAACATTTGGACAAGAGGAGCCCACTTTATTCTATAGTGTCCAAAAAGTCTCAGTTAATACTTGTTGAATGATGGAAACAAGAAGGTCAGAGATCACTAACTTTTTACTTTGCTGGTATTGGCTGCCTGAATGATTGACTCTCTTATGAGGGCTCATGATAGAAGAGTTTGCATCATAATGTTTACTTTGAAGCTGAGCATAATTAATCAGTTTGTGGCTTTAAAAACTAAATTCTCCTAAACTTATATAAGTAAATAGTAAATCCTAAGGTGAAAGTAAAGCAATGATGTATGAATTTAAAAGAATATTGTTTTAAAATATAATCAACAAATTCCTGGTTACAGACACTATGAACTTTTAGAGTAAACTATGAATAAATATAATCGTATACTTAGCTATTTACAAATTAAGATAATCTTTATAGAAATTCTGTTCTGTTTTTAGTAATAATTATGCTCTTAATTCTTGGGAATGCACTGCAATGTCAGTTTTCTACCTAATATTTACTTAGTGAGGTACAATCGTTCTTGAGATTATTCTTGTCGTTGGTTTGTTTTATGTAGGCTTATTAAATTTTAAGTTGTCATATTTTACCATTGGTCGTGTTCTAGTACTAGTTTCCCCAGATAAACTAATGTCCCAAAAGCAATTCCTGAGTCATAATTACAATGATAAGAATAGAAACACAATGTTACAACACATATGATATACTAAATATTTATCATGAATAGGATTTGAGTAAAAATATAGGATGTGAATATGTATCTGTCAGCAAGTGTGATTGTAGAGATTTCAAAGAAATCCATTTAAAAATGGGACAAGTAAGAAGTATGACTCTCAGAAAACTAGACTATATTGGATTCCAACAATCCATTTGCCTCGAGTTTTTAACATATTACTTATAAAACTTTGCCAAATTGTGATTTTTCAGAACAAGTGCAAAATTACATTTCCCTGTACAAACTTGATTAACGCCATAATTGTTTGTAGAGAAGACACACAACTTTAGAGCCATCATTCAAACTTGCATTCCTCAAAGCAAAAAGAAGAATAAATGATACTATTTCCAAAAAATTTGTAGAGACAATTGCAAAGATAATTACAAATATTATACTCAGAGAGAAAACAAAATGAGTTATTGGCAACATTTCTTTGTTAAATAACAATGCGTGATGACACACTAAATTAATGACATATTCTGTAAAAGCAATTACTTTCTAATATGTATTCTAACAGATACTGTATTTTATAGCTGTAGTAATCAATTAATATGCAGAGTATGAATTTGCTCTTGGCATTTGTGCAAACACAGCATAAGGGAGGTATGCAATGGTGATTCAACTTCAGCTATATGAGGATTAAGAAAGAACATGCTTACTTTAATTAATAAAGAATTTTGCATCGACGTTCAATCCATACTCCGAATCTTGTTTACATTGCATGTTGAAGAAAATGGTGAAAATTATTATTATGATCCAATCACTGTCAGACAATGACATTCTTTTCAGTATGCAAAGAGATTTGCACAATTCTGTGGATCTATCCTGAGGTCAGCTGACCATTGAGGGAAAGATAATTTCCCGAGTGTTTGCAATGAAACAAACACACAACAATAACAACAGAGAAACAACAATAAAAACAATTGCTTCTTGATACTAAAAGTACAAAAAGGGGTACCATGATTTCAAGAGACATGCCCAGGTGGCTAGCTCAGTAATGTGTCCTCTGCCCTAAAAAGTCTGAACCTGTTGCTTCAAGACTGAAGGAGAAAGACTTCCTATCATGCAAATATAAAAGGATTTCATATGAAGATGAAACTCAACAGTCAAAAGTTGGACATTCTCAGATAGTCTCTCTAAAAATTTTTCCTTTGGGAAAGTATTCTTTTTAGACCAGTGCAAATAACTAACATTTATTGGCATCACTTATGGCAGAAAAAACTTCCTACACCAGATGAACATGACCCAGTTGTTAAATAGAACATTTTGAAGGTGAACACACACCCTAACCCAGGTTTTTTACCCACTTTTTAAGATGGCCAATTCTTCTGCCCCCTACCTGAAGACATGTGAGCAACTGCTAATGAAAAGCCGTAAACAGCCACTTGGGCTATAGCATTTTCAACTCCACTCTGAGGTGACAATTCCAATTACATTTAAGACTTGACTTCTCTCATTTTTTTTCTAAGGAAAGTTCCTGAGTCCAGTATTTACAATATTACAGCAGTAGCAGATCTGTGTCTACAACTCATCTTTTTCTGCCGTATCCTCTTCGTGGCTGGGAGAGGGCTTGCACTTCCATAGAGTTTGCTGATAAGTGGCTGAACAATTTCTTCCAGTTCCTTCTTGTTAGCTTCGAAGTCTTCAATGTCAGCAGCTTGGTGGCTTTCCAGCCATTCAATCTTTTCTTCTACAGCTTTTTCCATGGTCTCCTTATCTTCAGAGGAAAGTTTACCTCCCAGCTTTTCTTTATCTCCAATCTGATTCTTTAGAGAATAGCCATAGCTTTCCAGCTCATTTGTAGTATCAATGCACTCCTTGAGCTTTGTGTCTTCCTCAGCAAACTTCTCAGCATCATTAACCATCCTTTTGATTTCTTCAGGTGTCAGGTGATTCTGGTCATTGGTAATTGTGATCTTATTTTTGTTCCCTGTACCCTTGTCTTCAGCTGTCACTCGAAGAATACCATTCACATCTATCTCAAAGGTGACTTCAATCTGTGGGACCCCACGAGGAGCAGGAGGAATTCCAGTCAGATCAAATGTACCCAGAAGATGAATGTCTTTTGTCAGGGGTCATTCATCCTCATAGACCTTGATTATGACAGTTGGTTGATTATCAGAAGCTATAGAAAAGATATGGACTTCTTGGTAGGTACCACTGTGTTCCTTGGAATCAGTTTGATCATGACACCTCCCACAGTTTCAATACCAAATGTAAGGGGACATACATCAAGCACTACCAGGTCACCTGTATCTTGATCACCAGAGAGCACTCCAGCCTGGACAGCAGCACCATGCACTACAGCTTCATCTGGGTTTATGCCATGGGAGGACTCCTTGCCATTGAAGGACTTTTTAACCAGTTGCTGAATCTTTGGAATTCGAGTAGAGCCACCAAGAACAACATCATCAATATCAGAATTCTTCAAATCAGAATTTTCCAACACTTTCTGGACAGGCCTCATAGTAGACCAGAACAGATCCATGTTTAGCTCTTAAAATTTGGCCTGAGTCAGGGTCTCAGAAAAGTCTTCTCCTTCATAGAAGGACTCAATTTCAATTCTTGCTTGATGTTGAGGAGACAGGGCCCATCTGGCCTTTTCTACCTCTAGCTGGAGTTTCTGCACAGCCCTATCGTCTTTCCTGACATCTTTGTCAGTCTTCTTTTTGTACAACTTGATGAAATGTTCCATGACACGCTAGTCATAGTCTTCTGCACGCAGATGAGTATCTCCATTAGTGGCCACGACTCCGAAGACACCATTGTCAATGGTGAGAGGAGACGCATTGAAGGTTCTGCCACCCAGGTGGAACAACAGGATGTCTTCTCCCCCTCCCTCTTATCCAGGCCATAACCAATAGCAGCTGCCATAGGCTCGTTAATGATCCTCATAACATTTAGCTCAGCAATAGTTCCAATATCTTTGGTTGCTTCGCATTGGGCATCATTGAAATAGGCTGGTAAGGTAAAAACTGCATGGGTAAACTTCTTTCTCAAATAAGCCTCAGCGGTTTATTGCATTTTAGTGAGAACCATGGCAGAAATTTCTTCAGGAGCAAATGTCTTTGTTTGCCCACCTCCAATATCAACTTGAACGTATGGTTTAGTTTTCTTTTCAACTACCTTGAACCGCAAGAACTTGATGTCCTGCTGCATAGACAGGTCGTTCCACGTGCGGCCGATGAGCCACTTGGCGTCAAAGACCGTGTTCTTGGGATTGGAGGTGAGCTGGTTCGTGGCGGCATCGCCGATCAGATATTCCCCTTCAAGAGTGAAGGGCACATAGGACCGCGTGATGCGTTTGCTCTGATTGTTGGCGGTGATCTCCACGCAGCCGGTCTTGAACACACAGACGCAGCAGTAGGTGGTCCCCAGGTCGACGCAGACCACCGTGCCCACGTCCTCCTCCTTGTCCTCGAACCACGCCTCACCGAGTAGCAGCAGCATCGCCGCCACCAGGGAGAGCTTCATCTTGCCAGCCAGTCGGGCAGCAGAGGCAGGGCGTCGCAGGCAATGAAGCCACCGGCCGCAGCACAGGAGCGCAGCGCGGTTACCCGCCTCTCACAATTGCGAAACACCCCAGTCGGTCGGTCGGTCTGTCTGTGCTGTCTCGGCCGGCATCGAGAAAGTATTTGTGTATATATACTTGATCGTATGTAAAAAACACAACCAAACGTGGCAAAAGCAGAGAGAAATAATTTCTGGGACTGTAGGCATTCAAAAATCAGATGTGGATTCTCTATGTCGCCCTCGGCTTTCGAGTTTTAATTGCCCTGCTCGCTGACTTGGCATTTGAAGGAGTGCTAGAAATGGCCCTTAATGGAAAATTATAAGAAAACACTCAGAATTTCTGAGCCCATGTTCAATCTGAGTATTCTGAAGGGCTTCACAGTGTTAGAAATAATTGCCATTTACAATAATTTATAGGTTTACTAGATTTTCCAATTTGAGATTTAAAGAGTCAAAAAAAGATGGGGAAAGTGACATGCAAAACAAGCTGTCTGCCATCAAGGCTGAATAGACCTATGTTGATGAAAATAGTTATAAATAATATAATTCCTATCATTACATGAAACAATTGTGACTAGTCACTTTTAAAGGCTATGCTTTATTTTTATTACTAAAAACGTTGTATTGATTTCTCTTTATTTACCTACAACTGGGATCCGTGTTGTCAAGTGCTCAAGCAGAACCTAAGCAGCAGCAAATATTGCAGCTGCCAGTTGCCCTTGCCAGGCTTCCATAGATTCAGTCAGTGAGGAGACAACACACCCGAATGATGTAGCTGTTTATTACTCACAGCACAGCAGACAGCATGAGCTTCAAGTTCACATCAAATCCCCATCCCCCCAGGTCCTATGGGGGCGATGTGGAGGAAGCCTGGGTAGATACTATACACATGGCGGGTCTGTGCCACAACTGAGGAGCGTTGGAAATCCAGACTTATAAGGGGACTTCAAGCAAACCTGCTCATCCTCCACTTTAGAGAAAGACATTATTCATATTTTCTTGGTCAGGAAACCAATCTGCCTCTGATCCAGAGGGAGACCCTTTCTCTATCACCCTGGAACATCTCCAGGAGGGGGGCAGACCTAGTTTTATGACCCTGGTGCATAAGCAAATCTACTCCCTGTCCCCACAACAGCTTTGTAGATTTCCTCGAACAAAGCTGTCAATGCCTTTTTCTTAGAGGATGAGCAGAAATACCAAATTCTTGGAGACTATCTCCCTAACACACAAGTGCACCCGGTGCCCATAAAAGGTGTGCAGATGTTGAGGGTTGAGCAAGATCAGAAGATTATGTGCATTTCATGCAAAAAAAAAAAAAGATTGCTTCAGCCATAGTTGAAGGCAATTGATACCATCTCAAGTCATATTGCTTTTAATAGTAATAATACTTATAAATAATTGATTCACAAACATGGAAACTACTTTCGACACCTTAGACATCCTTGCTCTAACCTAGAGTCTTTGGTTACATTCCTCTCTAATTTTGGGATTTAGTCACACACCTTCAATGCCCTGTCCACAGGTAGCGTACTTAAGAATAACCATTATATTACAAAGAACCTGATAATATCTAGCTAATTAAATGGTAGGAGATAAGAATGAACTCTTCAGAGGTCTTTAGCTCAAAACTTAGAGTTCTTAAATAGCTCAACATTGCCCTGAGGCTTTTATTCATGTGAGCTTCTGTCACTAAGAAAGTACAGAAAGACAGATCTGAGCAAAATCTGAGTTTTTAACTGGGAGTGGGAGAGCTTTTCCTCTTCACCTCAGATCATACTGTTTCTGCTTTTAAGAATGGAACAGTAGGGTCAGATAACACAAAAGTCACCCTTCCAAATAGAAGCCAAAAAGATTGCACTGGCTCATAGAGTGCATTGCTGCTTGAATAAAAGTAAGTAGTAGAAAGTTGGAAGTGAGCAGTGTATTGGTTCTCAATTTTTTACAAAATAGAATCACATAGAGCATGGCTAAATGATATCAATTCTTTGAGGATGACAGGTTTTTTAAAAAAGAGAGCCATTCACCAAAGTAATGATTAGTTGACACAATTTTTCTACCCTCAAGGAGATCCTGAATTTAACACGTTATTCACGTTGGTGATTATGGGGCTTCAGGATTACTGCATTTTCAACGATTATTAAAACCAGAAATTGGCTGGGCACAGTGGCTCATGTCTGTAATTCCAGCACTTTGGGAGGCTGAGGCGGGCAGATCATCTGATGTCAGAAGTTCGAGACCAGCCTGGCCAACATGGCAAAACCCCGTCTCTACTAAAAATACAAAAATTAGCTGGTTGTGGTGGCAGGCGCCTGTAGTCCCTGCTACTCTGGAGGCTGAGGCAGGAGAATCACTTGAACCCAGAGGCAGAGATTGCAGTGAGCCGAGGTCACGCCACTGCACTCCAGCCTGGGTAACAAGAGCGAGATTCCATCTCAAAACCAAACCAGAAATTGGCATTTGTCTTATTAAACCCTCAATAAAATCATAGACTCTTGCTAAGAACTTTAAATATTGTCTTGAAATGTTTTTTTTTTTGTGTGTGTGTGTGTGTGTGTGACTAGTTTTAATATCTTCTACAATTTAGAAGCAATTTTAGTGTTTACTTTTTCTGAAAATAAGTAATTTATTTTGTATAGATCATATAGGTATCTTCTTATCTCAATGGGAAAAAAAGTCTACTTTCAAACTCTCCAGAGTTTGTAGCAAATATTTGAGTTAATAGCTCTTCCTTTAGATAAGTGAGCCTCAGATGTCATGAAAACAAACATGAAATTTAATCGTAGAAATATATTGCTCTTCAACAATCCTTATGTCTCTCAGTACTTAATGTTGTCTGGCAGTATATATTACTTTATAATAAAACCTGTTTTGCTAGTATATGGTAACATATTAGATAAAACTTATTTGACATGTGCAGGACTCAAGACTGGTTAAGTGTGGAAAGAAATTTTCCAAATGAAGTTATTGGATATAGTGATGGCAATATTTTTGTCTTTTAAATAAAAGACAAATTCAATCAAAAATAACCATTCACTCAGATGCCTTATGTGTGTTACAATGTTTATCTGAAAATATTAGTATTAGAGTCTTAGCTAAAACTAATGTAGTATGCTAATGCAACATACAGCAAATACAAACACAAATCACCATCAGAGTTGAGGTTTACTGATATTTTTGCCCATTCCCAACACACATCCTGGGCATCAAAATATAATTCTTAAAGAATTTTGTGAGGAAAATAAAATGAGTTTGTCTAGAATGACATATTTATATTGTTAATGCACATTTTTAAAATTTTGTTTTGATTTTTAAATCCTTATGTCTCATTAAAATTGTGATAAGATACAAACAATATGAAATTTACCATCTTAATCATTTTTAATTTTATAGTTCAGTGACATTAAGTACATTCACTTAGTTGTGCCACTGTCACTACCAGCCATCCAAAGAGCTCTTTTTATTTTGCTGTACCAATATTTTTAGACAACATACTCTATGTAGGTTTGGGTATTAGGATCCATTTATAATCACTCAGAATCTTGGAATTACATTTAGGCATTATGGCTAGCTGAGACTACAAGGACAGGTCTGATGAGGCTTGGGCCTTTCCTGTGTATCTCAAATGGTCAGGTCAACATTGGGAGTTGATCATTACTTGACGGGCCATACCACCAAGGGAATTCATGTTTGATTATGTTATTGTTTAAGCATATTATTCTGTATGAGTCTTTATCAACTAATTTCTATGGAGGTTTGTTTTCTATCAATAGGTTAGGCAGACTTCTTGCTACTATTTAACTGGTATAACCCTTTTTATTTCAGACACAATCCACGTCCATCAGTGCAGAGTGTATCCTTTTGTGTTTTGTGTATGTAACAATGGACATGTAACTCTTTTGGTAGAAAGAATTACTTTCTCTTCAATGTGGAAGCTAAAAGTGGATAACTATTCACCAAATAGGTGATATGGAAAGATTGAAAAAGAGGTATGTGGCAAAAGCATATAGATAATATTTGAGGGAGATACTGTTTTCTCAGTTTATTTCAAATCAAATCTTGCAAATTTGTACCTATAATCAATGGGGTGAGTGAAGGGATAGAAACTGTAAATGGAAAACTGAAGAATTATATCGGGAAAAAGTTGTAAAATCTCATATTGTGGTGTTGAGCAAACCAGCTTTACACTTTATGAGTTTCTGCCACTGTTGTATCGAGCAATACCTATATCTGAACCTCAGGGTTTTTAAAAAATTTCTTATGTTTTCCCATTATTGCCTCCCTCCCACCAAGGAATTATAGATTTCATACAAGACTTTGAAGATTGTACTCCAAGAGGCTGGAATGTTCTAAAGCGAACCTCTTCCTGGAGCACTTTCATTCTTCTTGCCTCTTTCCTCTGCTTCCTCCTTCAGTGGACTAAGGACCAGTAGTTTTCTTTCCTACCTCTTCCTAAATGTCACTTTCCCATGATGATTATTTTCTTTTCTTCTCTCCTAGACTTGATTAAATGTCCCTGTTATATGCTCCCATACAATCCTGACCTTTATGTCTCATGAATTCCATTGCACTTTATTTGAATCCGGGTTATGGTTGGCTTCTTCCTCTGCTGTATTTTACATTCCATGATGGTGGTTACCTGCTTATCTTGTCAATGCTGCATCACCCAGCACTATGTGTGGTATATGGCATCAGCCTGGAATAATTTTGGCTCCAAAAGTTAAAAATGTACATTTAAACAAAGCAACAAAACTTCTGGAAGAAAACGTAGGGTATTTATTTATAACCACAGAGTGAGAAGGCTTTTCTGGAATTCAAAATTAAGAAAATTGAAAGAAAAGATTGATGCTTTTGACCACATAAAAATTAGAAGCTTTTACATAGCAACAGATCTCACAAAGTCAAAAGGTAAATGAAAAAATGGGGAAAAGATTTTCTACTCTTATCACAAACAAAAGATTATAAAGAAATAGACCAAATACTCAGTGGATCAAAAAGTAAAGATTTGAACAGATAATTCTCAAATACCACTTTTTATGCATTACATTGGGAAAGTTAAAAGATAAATCATACATTCATTTGGCAATAATAAGTATGATTATGTAGAGTGAATTGAATTAGATTGGGTAGATGGGAATAGAGATTTGAGGTGAGTTTTTAATGTGTATTGCTTTTTAACATTTTACTTTTTGAATCCTGAAGTCATATAACCTGTTAAAATTTAGTGATCAAACAATTAGAGAATGGAAAAAGTTAACAGTTGTAAAAATATAAAATAAGAGGAAAGTATAAGAACTAGAACTTTTTAATATTAGGCTGAGGGAAGTTAAGGCTAAATTGGTAATAGTCTTTAAGTTTAAATGCTTCAGCTTAAAAATAAGGGATTTACACTTTGATCTCTTGGTCACTTCAAATTCTGAGACTCTATCATTTGACATGAATGGTTTTTCTTTAAAATAAGAAGTCTTATGTCTAGATATTTTATATCTCCATTAAGTATAGCACAAAAATGTGAACTTAAATTTTCAGAGGAAAAATATGAGGTTGGAAAAGTATAAAGAATATCAAATTACTAATTTCTAATAACAGGAGTCTTGCATATATTGAGCATCACTGTGTAGCTGACTTGGGAAGCTTCTTCTTTTTTTAATTTAGAATCATTTATTTAATTTAAAATATATGATTGTAAAATCTGTGTAACAGTATTGTAACTGGTTTTTCTTGCACATACATCAGACGCTTTTATAAATGTACATGTAAACACTAACAATGTGTATATATTATATGTTATGGATACATGTATAGAAGGAAGGAAGGATGGAAGGAAGGAAGGAAGGAGAGAGATGATATTCTTTGAGAAAAATGAACTTATATTTCTTTGCAAGTTGCTTTTTTTACTTACTAATATGCCTTGTTTTCTCTGATACCTATATACCTACCTTAGAAAATGCATTCTGTACAATTCTTGCTTTTTGACCTTAACAAGGTCAATTTTGTTTTTGAAAATATTTTATAGAAATATTTAAAAATTGCTATATATTTATTAGTCAAGTTTAGTGATTATATTTTTAAATCTTTTCTAAATTATTCTATCTTTATTCACTGTATTGACCTATGTCAGGCTCCGATTACACTATGTGGTCTAGAGAAGAGCACAGAGATCTAGAGGGAGCCACATTATGTCTACATATTAATGTCTTTAGGAAAAACCTATTAGTGTTTCATAGCTTTTAATTATTTGTCAATGTAATGTTTATCTGTGAATTTCATTCATTAGTTTATGTTAATGAATTTCAGAGAAAAAGAAGAGAAAAAATTACCTTTTACCTGAAGTTCTAATTGTACAGCATGAATTGTCTATTATAGGTTGTATGCATGATTGAGTCCCAAGAGAAAAAGCTGACACTGGCAAATGATTTAATTTTGTCTATATTCAGAGAATTTATAATGTGATACTAAAAATAGAATTTCAAGAACCTGTGGCATAGTCCTTAGCTAAAATACATTAACTTGAAACCAAATTTAAAAATAACAGTAGTTCATGGACTGTGTTGCCACAATATAAAAAGAAGATCATAAATCTAAGGAAGAATAATTTTATTTATAGAAAATCTTTGAGCTAGGACTATATTGTCAAGTTCTAAGCAGCGCTTATCACATCTATTTCATCGTACTAAAAATATAATCACCTTCCCGAAGAAGCATCATAATTTAGCACTGCTCATTATAGAAAAGTTATCAAAAAACTGTCATGGAAATAAATAACTTGGAATGGTACTATTTCAGGGGGTTTTATTTTGTAAGATTTTAGAATTTTATTAGAATGCCACTTTTGTGTCTTCAAATTGAAGTCTTTTCTTTGTCTATTCCCTAGCGTGAAATTAGTTGTAGTTCTTGAACATAGTTAATATAACTTATTATGCCTTAGTGTGTGCTAAAAATTAGACATACATAGTGTACAAATATAATGCGCTTGTGTGTGTATACATATATATGATTGTGTGTGTCTTGTGTATATGATACAAAAAGATACACAAGACCATGAAAGCCTTAAAAAGAAAATTTTTACCTAATTTGGGAGCTAACATTGAAGGGAGAGTGGGAGTTAATTAGTCAAAGGAGGCCAATGTATTTAGGCAGAGGACGTGTTCACACAAATGTTTTGTGGAGGGAGAAGGTTGGTGGGTATGAGGAGCTAAAGAAGGCTTAGGTGGCTAAAGTGGGAGAGGCAATGGGGACCCCACACTGTGGGAGCTTGCAAGACCTACTAAGATTTTGTTTTCATCCTATGAGCAGTGGGACTCCAGTAAAATAGGATTTTAAATAAGGAAATGAGATGATGAGAATTTTACTTTGAGAAGATTTCTCTGGTTGCAGAATTGAAAACAAGTTTTAGGAAGGTAAATGTTGTCTAGAATGGATATTAAGTAGCCTAGTGAGAAGGCTGTTGCATGGTTCAGGTGAGAGATGGCAGGTTGGACTAGAGCAATGGAGATAAAGATGGCAAGCGGATGTAGCAGTTCTAATGGCATTTTCTCCTTAAACACTAAATTCTACATTGGTCTAAATTGTATTACTTATTACTTACTAAATCTTACAAAATAGTAAGAGTTAGAGTGCCTTGCAAGAGATTATTAACATAAATGTCTCTGAGGATTAGGGTGAATTTTGGATGCCCAGACTCATATTCAGCTGTCTTGACCTAAATAAAACATTATCTGCTTAAAGATGATATATCACTGTCTCCTCTGCTGCATAATCCCTCCCTTGGTAAAAAGTAAAGGAGCACCATGCCAATTCTTGTATTTTAATAAAACTTCAGCCTTGAAATATTTTATCATTACCAAGCTCCATATAATTTTCAGTCAATGCAACTCTGAAACATAATTTTAAAATTATTAGATGAACATTAAATGGACAGCTAGAATACTATTAGGTAGCAATTTTTTATAATTGACCTTCTTGAAAGGTTAGTTGCACTAATCTTCCATCTTAGGCAAGAGTATTTTACAAACACTTATGTAAAAGTTCAAGTGACATAAAATTCTTTAAATTCAGCACATGTTGAATTTATCTAATAACTCTATATTTATTACATCCAATAAAATTATCAGTGCAGAAGCCATAATTCAATATAAATTCCTGCGTTAAAAAATGTATAACCCTGTGCCTAATCATGAAATTTTTTCACAATTAAACATTGGGAAAATTTTATTTGTCTTTTTAATTCAGTGCTTTCACTACTAAAGGATATGACCTTTATTAAAGTCTTGTAATTTCAATCAAGAAAATCAGCATTTGCAAAGTACAAAGATAAGTCACTGCTACAGAGTCAGTGGTGAATGAACCCAAATGTCCAACATCAGAAGTTTTACCATCTAGTATGGAGTTAATTTTTTCCTAGTATATCCTTGCCATAAACATTTAGCCAGTATTCAAATTCTCCCTCTGGAAATTATTAACATATTCTTAGACTGAGCAAAATTTTCTTCTCAGTATTTTTCCTGACTTGCTTATTATTACTGTAGGTTATAGATCATCTAATTGTTTTTATGCAAATCAAAATTTTCTTTTTTAAAAAAGAGATATTGCCAGATGGAGAGTAATTAACTACAAATGAGAAGACATATTAATGGTATCTTATAAAAAGGATATTTGTTATATTAGCCTATAGGAAAGGATGAATGTGCAAAGTTTTTTCATTAAGGTGCCCTTTACAGCCTCTATATGTATGTGTGTGTATGTATTTTAAATCCAAGTAATTAATTTTTTGAAGGGAGGTTTATTACATCAACTGACATTAATTAGGCAAATTGTATTTTCAGTGGTTTCTGTACCGCTTTAGGAGCATATTGTGTTTTTGAAACTATTCAATATTATTGTATTAGTGTATTATTTACTAATCCATATAAACTTACTACTATTTTCTTTTGTTTGTTCAAGTATTACATACTTTGTCATAAGAATATGGCTATAAGAAATTAATGCTAAATGAAATCACAATACAGAGCTAGTGACAAATGGTGTCTATTATTTTTTAATAATTTTAGCTTAATAAGAGTTTACTATGTGCAGAATCCTGTACTGGTGTAGAGAGGAAACCACAGCCTTTCCTTTACAGAGTTCCATTAAAAAGGTGGAAAAATATAATCTCCCTCTATCTCATCACCAGCTCCTTCTGCTCCCTGGGATTATGCCCCTGGCAAACTCAGTGCTCATTGATAAACCACTTATAGAAACAGAAAACTGTCAGCAACAGTATGAGGAGGAGAACGTAGTCTCATCCCACAACCACACTGCCCGCCAACACAGGGAGAGTCTGCGTGCCACATGGTGTTCTCTATAAACTGCAGCCCTGAACTTTTTCTCCAGGTAGTATCATTTCATCTCGGGGTTGGGGTGGTTCTAGGGGAAGAAAGACCAACAACTATGATGCAAGGTTTGTCAACTCATAGGAGAAAGACTTCTCCTGTTTTGGTAATTTTCATTTTCCCTAGGCCTTTGTATGATTATCTTCTCCTTATATTTTTATTTTTAAGCTCAAGCCATATTTTTAATTTAATTACTATAGTTAAATATACCAGTATTTTTGAAATAAGTCAAAATTTTATTATTATTAGACATTAAGCTGCATTTTAAGAGAGAAAACACGAACCCATCCAAATATGGCATAGTAATTAACACTGTAGTGATATTTAAGTATTCATATACCAAACAGTACCATCAGTACTCAGTGATTTAATCTAGGAACTTGAGCTCCTTAGATCTGATGGAAAGTACAGACCCAATTATAATTGTTTCTCTGTTACATCATTAATTAAAATTGTTAAGGGAGGTAAGGAAACCTCACATACATTATATCCATCTTGCACTCTTTCCTGCAACCAGCCTGACTTTTCCATATTCCTGCAGAGAGCCCAGATCTTTACTGGACACATAATTTTGCTCCTGCACTTTCTCCTTGTGTTTATGTATCCCTCAGTCAGGCCTCTGTTTAAGAGTCACCTCTGTCCAGAGGCTTTTCTGTCTACTCTGGATGTATCAAGGTTGAGCAGGTGGATAGTTAGGCATCTCCAAACTAAAGTTACTTGGTACAAAGACTTTACCCCTTTCCTAACAAGACAGTACACAGTAGTTGACACCACTAGGTCCAAAGTTACAAACAAGATGATGTAACTTGATTATATTGAAGTTATTTGAATTTAGATATATGTACTGTTTTTTGAATTAGGAATGTGATTGGGTTCAAGGATGCATTTTCAGAAAACTGAGGTCTTATGTGTAAAATAAGACCATTGCTGCACATCAGTACTCTGTTATAGATCAATAAAAGAGCATATTTCAGTGACATTCTGTCTAGGACGGATTGTCAAATTGTTGTACCTCAGGTTCATGATGGTGGAATTACTGTCTCTCTCAGACCAAAGCAGATGCAGTGCTTCTTGTGATCTGACACATGCAGAAGTACACTTTTAGCCACATTCTTTCTCTGTCTCTGTCTTTCTTTGTCTCTCTGTGTGTGTGTGTGTGTGTGTGTGTGTCTCTTTCATACACACACTGAGATTGAGAGAGAGAGAGATGAGAGAGAGAAATCTGCATGCATGTTTGCATGGCATTTTACCTGAAATTATGAAAGGTGTAACCCTTTGTTTTCCCTGGGTTTGGGACCATCCATTTTTCTTCTTAAGTATGTCACTTACTGCTATCAATATTAAAGTTTGCTTTTGTTTAACTCATATCCAGTAAGTCTGCATTCTCCATTAAAAAACCTACCTTGTTAGAG
The DNA here is from genome assembly GCF_000001405.40 of Homo sapiens. Taxonomy (NCBI): domain Eukaryota; kingdom Metazoa; phylum Chordata; class Mammalia; order Primates; family Hominidae; genus Homo; species Homo sapiens. Next base: position 164,177,564 of record NC_000004.12, on the reverse strand, counting down.
GAAAAAGAACTTGTCCTTAGTTTTATCTTAAAAGCAGAAAAAAAAAAATCTATATTGAGTCTCTGAAAGAGTAGATGACATTGACTTCATTCCACAATAATCTCCTTTGTCATTCACAAGCCATGCAATTCTCCGTGCATGGTAATTGCAGCAGCTGAGGAATCAAAGAACCTCGATTCTGTGTTCAGTTCTGTCCCTTATTTATTGTGTGATTTTGGTAAATTACTTCTTTACATCTTGGTCTTATTATTTACAAAAGGATTTCTCTTTTGGCCATAGGAAAGTTACTTGTATAAAATAGTGTATGTGAGATTATTCATTGATCAAATCACTTGGTCAGGATTTATGAGCCGTTTCTATGTGCCAGTATTGTTCCAGATGCCAGAGGTACAGCACAAAAGAACACAAATGTCCTACTCCTGTCTAGCTTCACTGCAGTACGATTGAAACTATTAAGGGCTATATGAAGGAATATATCAGAAAAGACTGCATAAATCATTTAATTAAGCTGTCGTTTCCATGGGGATAGGAAACATGCCTAATTCTATCATTTGTATATATATATATATATATATATATATATAGAGAGAGAGAGAGAGAGAGAGAGAGAGAGAGAGAGAGAGCGCACAAGGTACTCAGATAAATAACAAATTGAATTTAAGAAAAAAATCAAGAAAAATCTAAGAATAAAATTAAGGAATCAGAAGGCCTGATGGTTATTCACAGAGTGAGTTGTTTCAGACACTCAGTGTGTTTCCTGAGAAACCTATTGCTTGGTTATTTAGTGTCATAGAAGGACTATAAAATTAAAGCCCCTGCTAGTGGATCTAATGATGATATTTCCATGAGGCAGCTGTGTGAAAAAAAATAAAATTAGCAACACAAAAATGGACTATCTCTATCCCTCTCAGAAAAGCTGCATCTTAGATTCCCAAATTCTTAGGGTAGGAGCATATTAATTCTGATAATTATTTGGTTCTCTGATTTCATAATTCTGTACTCCTGTATCGTTTTTGTCACTAGGGAGTTAATTTTAGGCCAATTAAATATTAGGATTGCTAAGGGGTTTGGTGTTACCTGAAGTCATTTAAAAATGGGATGACTATTTTTTTCCCTTGTGATATGCATCAGTCTGAACAGAAAAAAACATCCATAGCAAATATGTTTGATCTATTTGATACCTTTTGTTAGTGCTGTATGATACTAAATATTTGACACTATTTTGCTTCTATGTCTGTGCGTGTGGCAAGCACCAATGACTATATTGTAATTAACACTACATCAGTGAAGACCAAGTATAAAATGATTACATCTGTTGCATGCGACCCTTGGCATTTCTGTCACAGTGACTGTATTTAGTCAGGCTTGCCTTAGTAACTGTAAAGGTTTGAGGTAAGTGAGATGTTATGAGGGATTTTCAGGCCATACTAATAATACCTTTTGATATTCAAAGGTCTTTGGAAACGTTTAGGTGTTGAGTTTATTTCTTTATTTCTTATCAATAGATTGATATTTAAAATCATTTTTATCCCCATATTCCAGCAAATGTAGGTTGCTTTTTTGATGATTGACTTGATGAGGACTGATTGCTAAATTTAGGAATAGTGCTAGGTTATTGAGGTCCAAATAGAAACAATTTAGAAAAGATTACAGGGGTGTATTAGGGTTCTCCAGAGAAACGGAACCAAGATAATGCATATGTGTTGGGGAGTGGGGGGATGAAAGAGAGAGAGAAAGATTGTAAGGAATTGGCTCACATGATTACTGGGGCTAAGAAGCCCCAAGCTGCAGGGCAGCGTGGTGGGCTGGAAGTTCTGGCAGGAGTCAGTGCTGCGGTCTTCAGTCTGAAGACAGACTGGAAGCAGAATTCCTTTATCATCTAGGGACCTCAGTCTTTTCTCCTAAGGCCTTCAATCGATTAGATTAAGTCTACTTACATTACAGAGGGTAATCTGCTTTACTTTAGAGTCTTCTGATTTAAATGTCAATCACATCTACAAAGTACCTTCACAGCAACAGCTGACTGGGATTTGACGGAACAACTGAGTACCATGGCCTAGCCAAGTTGATACATAGAATTAACTATCATAATGGAATCTTATCATAGATTAATTTTATATAGAAATTATATTGCCTTGGGAAAAAAAGTAAAGGAAATAGTATTGAGAAGACCTCAATTTTACCATTAGAACAAATGTGACCACTTATGGGAAGATAGGGGGCAAGGTTGTGGATATTTATGTCTAGATTTATACCCTGAAGGCTTAAATTTTCTTAGCTTTTTAGATGCATAAATCAATTGTGGATAATTCAATTGTGGATAATTTTGTAATAAAAAGTCATAATTGCAGTGAATTAATTACTAGCCATTATATCAAGTAATCCACATTTGTTATTTCATTTGCACAAATCTAGACATATATTATCTTTACTATAAAGATGAGAAAATTAAGGCTTAAATAGGTTGAGGTTTGTGTAGGGTGACAATGATAGTAAGAAGTAGAACTAGGATAATTACAGTATGTATTAAGGATTTTCTGCTCTGCTCACAGTTCAAAACATATCCTAAATAGAAGGCTTTACAGTTTTTGTCCTTACATACACCATCTGGATGAACCCAAGATATCTCATAGCCAATTTTTATGAAAAACAAAACAAAACAAAAAAAACTCTCTTCCCCAAATGATGAACAATTAGCTAATTAGTAATGGCTTATAAAAAGCATGACTCTTTTATCTTAATAATTTACCAGAATTCGTTTTTGTGGTATTTTTAAAGAGGTTTATGTAGGTATTAGGCACAGCTATACAACTATCTACTACTGTTAAATAATGCATCTATTTTAAAACAAATATATTAGAACAACATAAGATTACGTTCCCTTGCACCTTTAACCCAATAGAAAAAATGAATCCCTATAAGCTTAATCAAAACACTGACTACTGAAGTTTTCTAGCACCTGGAGAGAGAAAACTGGGAGAAACAATCTCAGTAGATACAACCATCAGGTTGAACTGCTCCTCCAGCCTTCCTAATCTCGTACCACTCCTCACTTGTACTCCACAATCACCCTGCAGTCCTTTCTGTTTTCTGAGCAACATCACAGTCATATTTCTAATGCCGAATGACACATCTGGTGCGCAGTGCTTAATAAATAATTTTAGAAAGGGCAGAAGGAAGGAAACTAGGAAGGAAACAATATTTTCTAGAAATGCTCACTTTTAAGCCCTGTATTTACTTCACTTCAATCAACCCCATTACTTACATAACACTCTTTTACTTGTGTAATTGGCAACCAAGAAGCTGAGAGGTTATAGTGAAATTTGTCAGTTTTGATGCAGGTGATTTTTCTTTATTGTTTTTTCCCACCTCTCACTATGGACTAGTCACACATAAAGCTCAAGATTGCACATTGAATCTCAGCATGTGGTGAGCCATGAAGAATACCCTTATTATCTTTGAAATTTCTTATTTTAATTCAGAAGGAAGTATTGACTAGTGTTTTCTAATGGACACGTTTTAGAAAGTTTGTTGACCTTATAGTGTGAGACGATTTCTACAGAGTAATTACCTTTTGTTTTTTAACCTCCCTGGCTATTCTTTCTAACAATAGAATGGCACTTATAAAATTGGGAAACATGTTTTAAGAATCGGAAAGGAAAGGAATTGTGTGTTAGTCTGCTCTTGCCATGCTCTAAAGAAATACCTGAGGCTGAGTAATCTATAAAGCAAAGAGGTTTATTTTGGCTCACGATTCTGCAGGCTGTACAGAAAGTGTGGCTCTGGCATCTTCTAGTGAGGACCTCAGGAAGCTTCCACTCAGGTCAGAAGGCAAAGTGGGAGCAGACATGTCACATGGCAAGAGAGGGAGCAAGAGAAAGGGGAGGACATGCAAGGTTCATTTAAACAACCGGCTCTCACATGATCTTATAAATCAAGAACTCATACATTACTGTGAGGATGGTGCCAAGCCATTTATGAGTCATTTACCCCCATGACCCAAACACCTCCCACCAGGCCCCACCTCTAACACTGAAGATTACATTTCAACATGGGATTTGGAGGGGAAACACATCCAAACAATATTGAATTGCGTCTGCCATTATTATTTTAATCTAACAATTTGTCTGATTTGCTATTGTAAAAGTAATCTGTACTTATGACATTCAGTACAAGTAGTCAACCTCACTCATCTTTGGTTTGAAAGTAATAACTGGAAAAAACAGTCATAATAATATGCATTTTGGAGCAAATAAAATCGGGTTGCCCAAATTATAACCAATTGTTAATTTTATTGATCATCTTTTAAATAAATTATATTTGCCATCAGCGTTCTTACTATAGACTTCAAGAATAAATTATTTTCCGGGACAAAATATTAATCTGTTCTGGAATGTGTGTTTAATGGTTCCAGAAAGTCTAAGTGTTGATTTAAATGCAAAACTTAAATATTTGGAAATACGTATTTGGTTTCTTTTGTACTCAAAACTTGCAAATTGTAGTTTAACAAATTTTTACTCCATTAGATTTCAGTTTTAAGAATTCTGTGAAGTAACTATTACAGTGACTTTTTTTTTTTTTTTTGAGACGGAGTCTCGCTCTGTAGCCCAGGCTGGAGTGCAGTGGCGTGATCTCGGCTCACTGCAAGCTCCGCCTTGCGGGTTCACGCCATTCTCCTGCCTCAGCCTCCTGAGTAGCTGGGACTACAGGCCCCCGCCACCACGTGGGCCCGGCTAATTTTTTGTATTTTTAGTACAGACGGGGTTTCACCGTGTTAGCCAGGATGGTCTCGGTCTCCTGACCTCTTGGTTTGCCCGCCTCAGCCTCCCAAAGTGCTGGGATTACAGGCGTGAGCCACCGCGCCCAGCCTGTAGTGACTTTTTTAAAGTGTCCTTTTATAATAATCTGACACAAAAAAATAATTCTTTTAAACTTCCTAAAATTACTTTAAGATATTTATTTACATATATTTTTACCTTGATTTTTATCCTTTAATTTTCTTTAAAAGAATTCTTGTGTGGGGATCAAGATAATGAATTTGTGCATCTCTGTGTATGTAACTAAGAAGGGGAGACGTACATAACTTGTAACTTGCAAAGATCTTTCTGTCTATAATTTAATATTTTATAACATCGTCTAGGGGCTTCATTCTTTCCCTAGTGCTTAGAACAAAGAAGGTAAGATAAGTAAGATAAGTAAATTCAGTTAATAAAATAAAATTGAAGCTTATCAACAAATTCCTGTTTATGAGAAAAGGTATACCTTGTTTACCACCTATAAAGTGATTATAATCTCATAAACAAGAATTTAATTTGTTTATAGGTTTTCATTTTATTTTATTAAACACATTCACTCATCTTCTTTGTTCTAGGCACTGGGGAAATAATGAAGTCACATAGATGATGTCATAGTTTCTGCTCTTATAGACTAGAGAAAATGAGGGGTAGCCAAGAAAGGAGGATCTGAGGATGGGTAAATAGACATGATTAGTGTAAAGACTCCATATTGAGCCACAGAGGTTGTGGTTTGACATCTTAATTCTACCCCATGTTGGAGAGACGGGCTATGACGTAGTGACCTGGGTGCCAGCCAGAAGGACAGCGCTCAACTATACATTTTACCCAACAGAATGGAATAAACTTGGTCAAATCAAAATGTCATTCTTAATAGAATAATTGAAAAATGAAAGAAATATTGGATTTCCTGTATTACTATTGTTTCCTTAACCTTAGATTTCAATATTTGTTGAGAAATCTTCTGAACCAAAGTTTAAAAGGCTGAATGCCTTTTCTTCCTCAGCCCAGTTTCCAATGAGATGAGGCATTTGGATGACAGAAAAAGTCAGTATACTGAGGACCTTGATGATAAGTTTTATTTTTTAGTTTATTATTCCTTAAAAGTGTACTTAAATTCATTTAAGGCTTGGTACTCTAGTAATTTGTGTGCCTTCCTTAATAACCTTTGGAAAAAATAATGTATTCCTACTTTTTTCTTTTAATGGTGCAATAACTTTGATTTTAAAAGTTTTAACTATTATTTGAGAATCATTACTATAATCTTCTAATCACTTATTTCACTTAATATTACGTAGTATGATAAACATTTGATAATTCAATGGCACCAAGCCATACACTTTCAAATCAAGTGGGTAGACATAAACAAATATGTATTATATTACTACTCTATATTATTCTTGTTAATGTTGCTTAATTATATAGTCATTTTTCCAAGTTAACAGTAACTTATAGTAATGGAAACACTCAAGCTCATGAATAATCACATGCTCTTTGTATCACTTATGATGATGGAATTTACAAGTTTTTCAGTATTCACACTGAAAAGGAATTATTGGAATAAATAATAAAATAAAGATGTTCATAAAAGGACAAAAGTACTATTAAGTGCAAATACATGCATAAGACATTTTTCTGGTAGTCTATACTTAGCATTCAATTAATTGCAATATTTATTGAATGATAAAAAATGAATATTTAAATATGTTGGTTACTATAAAATGAAAAACATGTTTTTGTCCAATTTGGGGTCTCCATAAGTAACCAACAATAACTAATTATTCCATTTTAAATTAATTTTGTCAGATTTTCTTTGATGCCTTTGTTAACATACATAGGAGCCGTCATAATTACTCATGAATATTTGTGACCTGTGAACATGAGTAACATGCCAACCAGGATATTGTAATGGCTTTCTCTCCAGTGTTCTGATCACATTTCTTCTCACCTCCACAGTGATTTCGTCCATTAGTTTTGAATAAATTTTTTCCTACTATTTAACTTTTATATGTCCTTCGAAATTTATTTGAAGTATAATTTCTTCTAATCAGATTTAAATGACTCTGCCCTTCCCTACTCCCATAGCGTCATTGGGAAGGCTTCTCCCACCAAAATCATAGAAATATCTCACTATGGTCAAGAATTTATTGGGCAACCCTAACAGACTCTTGGCTTTTTGAGGGAAGGAACCATAAGTAAGCTAATGTTTAGTAAACATTTATTAAGTGCCTGGCGTTGTCACATATATTATCTCATTTAATCTTTACAACCATGGTGATTGTAAAAGATAATGCTATCTCATTATATTGATGCAGGCTCAATAAACACTTATTGATAATATTATTGATGGCAATAATAATGTCCCTTATAAGTCTGAGAGTATATAAGCTAAAACAGGTTTTGAAGTCTACCACCCATTTATCACAAACTCTAAAGATATTTTCATTAAAAGCAGTTAATACCTGTTAAGCTTCATGAAAAAGTAGACCTTTGCAAAATATGCTAAAGCTCTGTGTCCATGACAGTGTAGTTCAACTCTTAGAATGGCATACTAAATTTTTTTGAGATGTGTTTACTATTTTCATCAAATTTATGGAAAATTTAAATTTTAATTCTAAGAGCTGGCTCATATTCATAGGACCTAAGGTGTTATCCTTTCATTTTTTCTTTTTGGTGGTTTCCCTGTACATCTGCCTTTGTGGGAAGATAGCTGAGAATTTTGGCTTTCAAAATACACCTGAGTCCAATTAAGCAGGCTGGAAGTACAGAGAGCAGTAAGAGTAAGAAAAACTGGCCAGAAAATGGCATGAGTTACTGTTGTTAAATGAAGGGTAAATGGATATTTTGCAAAAGTGATAGATTTTTAATTCACCAAGTGGATTTAAATCTCTTGGTTGTGTTTTCTGGCTGAAGATGATATATAAGGTATAAAGTGAGTGAGTCATTCTCTCAAGTAAAGATGTTAACCATGAAAGGTCAAGTTACTCATGGTTCAGCAATGTGGCACCAGTGTCCACAGTCCTGAGTGGTCATGATTTTGTATAATTTTCAACTTTAAATGATTTAAAACCATTAAATTATAGAGAGCTTTTAATATGTTGAAAGCTCTCTGCTTCTGTAACTATTTAATGTTACATACTTTAAAAAACATATATTTCTCTTTTGGGGGTTTATGAATTGCCATTATCCCAAAAGAACACATTTTAAAATAAGACCATGTTTAGAAACTAGTTATTTTCTTGGTAATCTATGGTCTGTCTTTTGAAAACCCTCAGCATTTTGATGTAAGATTTTTTGGATAACTTGATTATATAAGTGAGGAAATGATGAAAAGCCTTTAACTGGCTTCACACTTCATTTGGACTGTGATGGAGTTGGAGTTTTATTAGACTGAACAAGCTCACCTAACATGCCTACATATTTATCATCTTGTGCATGAAATAAGGGTGTCAGGAGAAATACAGGAAGAGACAAAAGGAGCACCTCAAAGGCAAGGGTCTTGAGTAGGCTGATGGAAGTCTATCCCCAGGTTGATGTTTTAAGTTTACTTTAATTTTTTAAAGAAATTGTATTGTGTATGGTTGAGGTTTACAATATGATGATATGGGATAGTAAAATGGTTATTATGAAGCAGATGAACATATCTATTATCTCACATAGTTACTTTTTTTGTGACAAGGGCAGCTAAAATCTACGTATCCAGCAAAAATCCTTAATACAAAACAGTTTTATTAACTTCATCTTCATTTTGTACATTAGATCTCTAAACTGGCTCATCCTACATAGCTGCTACTTTTTATCCTTTGACCTATGTCTGTCAACCATGCCTCCCCACCCTGTGGTAATGGTAGCCACTGTTAAATTTTCTATCTCTTTGTATTTAAGTTCTTTGTACAGTACATATAACATAAAAAAGATGTCATAATCAACTTTATATTATTGGATTCCAGTTAACAGTAGGCTATCAGTAGTAAAGTTTTCAGGAAGTAAAAAGTTATACACAGATTTTCAACTGTGGATAAGGTTGGCACCCCTAACCCTCACATTGCTCAAGGGTCAACTGTAGGAGTGTCTATGTGTTTGTGTGTGTGTGTGTGTGTGTGTGTGTATTCCACATAAAAGTGAGATCATGCAAGATTTCTATTTCTGTGTCTGGCTTGCTTCACTTAGCGTAATGTTCTGCAGGTCCATCATTGATGTGGCAAATAGCATAACATTTTATTGTGTGTGTGTATACACAGACTGTATATATATGTACACACACAGATATATGACATTAAAATTTTTTCCAGATCTTGGCTATTGTGAATATGCTTTAATGAATATGAGAGTGCAGATATATTTACAAGGTGGTGATTGCATCTCCTTTGGACATATACACAGAAAAATTATTACTGGGTTGTATGGTAGCTCTGTTTTTAATTAATGGCTGTACCAATCTACATTCCTACCAACAATACACTAAGGTTCTGTTTTCTCCACACCCACACCAACATTTGCTATCTCTTATCTTTTTTATAACAGCTGTTCTTACAGGTGTGAGGTGATATCTCATAGTGGTTTTAACTTGTATTTCCTTGGTTATTAGTCACGTTCAGTACATTTTCATTTTCATATACACGTTGGCTATGTTTATGTCTTCTTTGGAGAAATGGCTGTTCAGATCCTTTGCCCATTTTTCAATCAGTTTGGTTTTTTGCTATCGAGTTGTAAAAGTACTTTATAAATTTTAAATATTAACCCCTTACCAGATGTTTGTTTTACAAATATGTTTTCCGAGTACCTAGATTGGCTTTTCATTTTTTGAGTATTTCCTTTGCTGTACAAAAGCTTTTTAGTTTGACGTAGTTCCATTTATTTATTTTTGCTTTTGTAGCCTGAGCTTTTAATGTGACATCCAGAAAATCATTGTCAAGGCCAATGTCAAGAAGCTCTTCTATGTTCTCTTCTAGGAGTTTAATAATTTCAGTCTTATATTTATGTCTTTTATCAATTTTGCATTGATTTTTGTGTGGTATAAGCTAAGGGTTCTATTTTATTCTTTTGCAGGTGGAAATTCAGTTTTCTAAGACCATTTATTGAAGAGATTATTGTTCCCCACTATGTCCTCCTGGTGACATTATTGAAAATTAATTGCCCTTATATGTTTGAATCTATTTCTAGACTTTTTATTCTGTTCTATTGGCCTTTGTGTCTTTTTTTTACAATACTATACTTTTTAAATTACTATAGCTTTGTAATATAATTTGGAATCAGGAAGTTGATGTCTCCAACTTTGCTTTTCTTTCTCAGTATTGGTTTGTCTATTTCAGGTTTTTGTGGTTTCATATGAATTTTAGGATTTGTTTTTCTATTTTTGTGAAGGACATCATTAGAATTTTGATAGGAATTGTGTTAATTCTGCATGTTGCTTTGGGTAGGGAGGACATTTTAACAATATTAATAATTCTTCCCATCCACAAATATAATATACCCTTCCATTTATTTGTATCTTCTTCAATTTCTTTCATCAATATCTCACTATGGTCAAGAATTTATTGGGCAACCCTAACAGACTGTTTGCTTTTTGAGGGAAGGAACCATAAGTAAGCTAATGTTTAGTAAACATTTATTAAGTGCCTGGCATTGTCACATATATTGTCTCATTTAATCTTTACAACCATGGTGATTGTAAAAGATAATGCTATCTCATTATATTGATGCAGGCTCAGAAAACACTTATTGATAATATTGATGACAATAATAATGTCCCTCATGAGTCTGAGAGTATATAAGCTTTATAAATTTAAAGATTTATAAAATTTAAAAATTTATAAATATAAAGATTTATAAATCTTTCACATTTTTGACTAAATTTATTCATTGTTTTTTTATTTTTACCAAAAATAGTATTTTTTCTTGATTTCTTTATCAGTTGGATCATTATTTGTGTATAGAAATACTACTGATTTTTGTAGGTTGATGTATCCTGAAAATTCACTGAATTTGTTTATTGCATCTAACAGCTTTTGGTAGATCTTTGGGGTTTTCTACATATAGGATCATGTCATCTGTAAATAGAAATAATTTTACTTCTTCCATTCTTATTTGAATGCTTTTTATTTCTTTTTCTTGTCTGATTGCTCCTGCTAGTACTTCCAGTACTATGCTAAATAGAAGTGGTCAGAGTGGACATCCCTGTCTTGTACTACATCTTAGTGGAAAAGCTTTCCATTGTTCTCCACTGATTATAATGTTAATTGTGGGATTTTAATAAATAAACTTTAATATGTTGGGATGTTTTCCTTCTAGAGCTAAAGTGTTAAGAGTTTTTATCAAGAAAGGATGCTGCACTTTGTCAAATACAAAGTCTTCTAAAAACCCTCAGCATTTTAATGTAAGATTTTTTTGGATAACTTCATTATGTAAGTGAAGAAATAATGAAAAGCCTTTAACTAGCTTCACACTTCATTTGGACTTTGATGGAATTTTATTAGACTGAACAAGGTCACTGAACATGCCTATATATTTATCATCTCATGCATGAAATAGGGATGCCAGTGGAAAAGGCATGAAGAAACAAAAGGAGCACTTCAAAGGCAAGAATCCTGATTAGGCTGATGGAATTCTATCCCCAGGTTGATTTTTGATAGGCATAAAGTTATTTGAATTTCTTATCCCAAATTCCAGTGGGAGTGTGTCTTGTTAAAAGCTGAGTCTATCAGTCTCTTCCTGGCATAAATTAATTTTTAAAAGTTTTCTGAAAATGAGTTGCTACATCATTTGCTGAGCATATTCAGCCTCTATACTTTTATATGAGATTAAAGCAAACATGAAATGAAAAAAAGCAACTGAAATGGCATTTCACTCCTCTTTCATTTTGCTCTCCACTGTCCACAATTACTCTGGTGACCCACTGACTACTTGTTGTATCGGAGTAGGAAAGGCAAGAGAAAGAAGATAATTAACAGGGAGAAACACAGCAGCTTAAATTATAATCTTAAAAAATGATGGAAGCAGAATTTAAGGTCATCAGCAAGTTCAATGCACATCCTCTCAATGCCCACCCCAGTATTAATCTAAAATGCAGGGCCTTTCAGTTCATGTACATTTTGTGTTTTTGCTCTACAAGAGGCCTTCAATATGTAATCTACCTTCACCAGGCACCAACTACTTAATAGAATGAAAATTAAAACTAGATATCTTAGTCAGCTCAAATGGCCATAACAAAATGCTGTAGATTGGGCGGCTTAAACAACAGAAATTTATTTACTCATAATTTTGGAGGGTAGAATTGTGAGATCAAGGTGCCAGCACGGCTTGGTTGTGTTGAGGGCTCTCTTCCTGTCTTGCAGAAGGTTATCTTCTCATTGTATCCTCATGTGGTAGAGAGAGACAGAGACAGAGGCAGAGAGAGAGAGAGAGAGAGACAGAGAGAAAACGTGCTTGTGTTTCTTCCTATAAAAACATTAATTTTTATCAAATTAGGACCCCACCCTCATGACCTCATTCAAACTTATTTATTTCTATAAAGGCCCTATCTCCAAATATAGTCACATTGGGGGTTGGGACTTCAACTTATGTTACAAATATTCAGTCCACAACAATAGATATAATATTGTCTCTGGGTCAGAGCTTTTACTAGAAAAATGGGCAGAACCACAGCTCAAAGATTCTATCTCTCTTATTCACAGAACCATTGGGCTATCTGACATGCGCTCTTTAAACTTATGGGTATCTGATCCCCTTCTGTAGGTAATTTTCTGCCTTCTCCACATTGCACTGACATAGGTGAATCCAATTCTTGCTGAAGTTGAGCTTCTTTTTCTTATGCTGATTATTTTATGATTCTAGATGCTTTCCTCTAGTGGTTGAATGGGTCAGGGAGAGAAGGAATTGAGGAGGGTCTTACTTGGCCCATTGTTGTTTTCTTATTTCATTTTATTTTATAAAACCACCATGATAGATTTACCTATACATGAGGCTAATAACTTCCGGATATGTATGTATGTGGAGTTGTTATTCAAACTCATGTTCATATGCGTTCAAAGCCTTGATTGTTGTCACAATCCATGAAGGTTCTCTACCACCAAATTAAAGAGTCATTGAAACACTATTTTCTTCCACCACCATAATGGCACATACTCAAAACAAATTATTTGCATAGACATTGTAACATGTACAACTCACCAATTACAGTCACCTAATTGTGAACATTCAGCATTTCTTTGTTATGTAGCTAACTTATTTATATCATTTCTGAATACGGCTAGAAGTTTTCAGGGTTTTCTTTTACTTGCTGGGTCTGAATGTTTATTTATTCATAATATCTTAATAGATTTCATAATGTTCATAAAATTCTCATCTTTTTAATATATGTAGTGTCTTATGCCATTTTGTCATTCCTGATGTTGGTACATGTGTCTTCTCTCAATTTTTTTTTCTGAACAAGCTGGACAAAGGTTTATCTATATTGTTGATATTTTCAAAGCACTAACTTTTGGTCTATGGCTTTTCATGAATTTTAAATCAATTATCTATTTCATTGATTTCTCCTCTAATATTTATTATTACTTTTATTCTGCTTACATTGGGCTTCATTTGCCCTTATTTTTCTAATATCTTAAGGAAGAAGTTGAAGTATTTTACTTGAGATCTTTTCCCCTTTTCCTAATATAGATGTTTAGTGCTATTAATCTTTCTTAAGAACTGCTTTAGTAGGATTCTCCAAAATTTTGTAATGTTTTGTTTTCATTTTCTTTTAGTTGAACATATATTCAATTTTCCCTTTTGACTTTCTTCTTTGACCCATGGGTTATTTAGAAATCTGTCATTTAGTTTCCAAATGTTTGTGATTTTTAGACATCTTTGTACTATTGATTTTTAATATAATTTCATCATAGTCTGAGAACATACTTTCTATTACTGTTAATCTTTTAAGATTTGTTTTGTGACCCAGAATAGAGTCTGTCTTGGTAAATGTTACACATTCCCTTGAAAGAAATGTATAGTTTGGTATTAATTAGTGGAATACTCTATAAATGTCAATTACTTTAAGTAGGTTGATACTGTTGCTTATGTGTTCCACTAATTTTCTGATTATTCATTCTCTCATTCATTCAAATAAGGTATTAACATCCTTAACTTTAATTCTAGATTTCTCTTTATTTTTCCAGTTGTATGTTTTGCTTTATGTATTTTGAAACTTTCAAAATTTGTCCTGTCTTTTTTATATTAATTGTCTCTTGCTTTCTTACTTTTTTTGTATTAATTGATTGGTTTTCTATTCTGGTATTTTCCTCTACTAGTTTGAAAGTTATACACCCTGGTACCATTATTTTAGCATTTACTCTAAATGTTTAATACATCAAATTTAAACTCAAATATCAAGAGCAAGTTCTTCAGGGTTTCAACCTTCCTTCCAAACAATACAGTGAAATTTCAATCACTTTATCTCCAATTATTTTGTATCTTACTTGTATGCTGTCTTTATTTTGTATTTTAGTTTTATCTTAGCTTTTAATTCCAGAAATAGTATTATAATAATTTTTATAGAGTCTTATTTTTATTGAAATATCACCAAATATATAACATTTTGCTTGCATTTTAGTTCTTCCTGTATTTAGGATCTTCTAGGTGGGATAATTTTATTTTTTGCCTGAAGTGCATTCTTTACTATTTTAATTGAGTAATTCTATTGATGACAAAATATTTGTCTTTTTCTGAAATGTTCTTAATTTGTCTTCTTCATGTATGATATTTTCACTGAGTGTAGAATTCCAGGCTGACTTTTATTTTATTGCAGGAGACAGAAGATTGTGTTCCATCATTTTCTGGCTTCCACTGTTGCTCTTGAGAAGTTAGCTGTCAGTAAAACTGTTGCTTATTTAAAGATGATGTATTTTCCTGGCTAGCTTCCCTTTAATCATATTTGTTTTCATATACGTCCTGCTCTTTTTTCATAATTTCGCTAAATACTGTTTTCTTCTTATTTAGCCTGCTTTGAATTTCCTGAGCTCTTGTATTAGATAATTGAGTCTTTCATCTATTTTGAAAAATTCTCAGTCATTCTCTCTTTAAATTTTTCCCCCACTTCATTGTCTTCCTTATTTTCTTCTGGAACCTCAGTTGTGTATTTTTCTGGATAATGTTTTTTGAATCCTCTTCATTTACTCTTTCCCTAAAAGGATGACATGTAGGGACTGTGTCAATGACCTCTGTTGTCCTCTGGTTTCCAAATATGTTCAAATAATATGAGACAGTGAGTTTGGGCACTGATTTCCATTAGTCCCTCTTTGCCAGGCTGATTGGTCATTTACTGAAGGTCACGGCTCCTGTCAGGCAGCTCTTTCCTCACAGCTGCCCTCTCTGGATTCGGTCATATTCCCTTTCCTATTCTTCCTAGGCCTATAAACCTTCTCACTGGATCTTCTATGACACTTAACCTGCCTTTCATATTTGGTGTCTCCATGTCCACCTGTGTTATATTCTATGTAATATCTTCCAGTTCAGAATTTCTTTCTATAGTTGTAATGATTGGTTTTGCATTTCTAGATTCTAGAAGTTCTATTTGGCTCTTTATCAAATCTATTTGGTAATTTATTTTACTCTGTGTTTTTATTTTATATTTTATCTGCTTATTTTGTGTCTTTAAACATACAAAACATGTTTCTTTTATATGCTGTCTGATAGCAGTTGTATCTGAAGTCTTCATGTGTCTGATCTGCAGATAGCTGTTTTCGTTGTCTTTCTTTTCTATTTCTTTTAGTGTTCTGTGCTTTTATGAATGTGAGATTATATGCCTTGGAGCTTCATTTATGGGAATTTTCTAAATCCTGGAATAAACATGGGTTTCTCCAAATGATTGGGTTTTCCTCTGCCAGGTCCCTCAGTGAACTATGTGTCAAGGATCGCTGTAAATAACAACATATCATTGGAATTTGGACCATATAACGGGTGGCTAAGAATTATTACTGTTTCATAGCAGCAAGGTGGCTGTATCTAATTCATATTTACAGTATGTTTAGACAGTTGGGAGCCAAGAGTTGCAAGATGGATTTCTTCTGGAAGAAGACTCCTGATTTTGCCTTGTATCATTTAAGTTACACAAGACTATGAAGACATAAATTTAAGTTTATGAGGTTTAACAATTACCCTAAAGATGAAAGTTGTCATCAATGCTCCCTTCTTGGTTTCCAACTTCACTTAGGTTTTGGCCTGCTGCTGCTGCTGCTGCTGCTGCTGCTGATGATGATGATGATGATGATTTTGATATCACATGGAAAGATTTAAAAATATGCTTTCCTAAATTGTATCCAACATGGCATATTAGTCTGTCCTCACATTGCTATTAAAAATACTTGAGGCTGGGTACTTTATAAAGAAAAGAGGTTTGATTGGCTCATGGCTCTGCAGGCAGCATAGGAAGCATGATGCTGGCATCTATTTGGCTTCTGGGGAGGCCTCATGAAACTTACAATCATGGCAGAAGGTGAAGGGGGAGCAGGCACACCCCATGGCTGGAGCACACAATAGAGTGAGCAGAGAGGTTTTACATATTTTTAAACAACCAGATCGCAGAACAACTCACTCCCTATCACGAGGACAGAACCAAGGGTGATGATGCTAAGCCATTAATGAGAAATCTGCCCCCATGATTCCATCATGTCCCACCAGGCCTCACCTCTAACACTGAGGTTTATATTTCAACATGAGATTTGGAGGGGACACACATCCAAACTATATCAATTGGTAAGTGGTTTCGGTTAAATAATCACTTAATATACCTTGTCAGCCAAAGTGCTGGTATCAAAAACTATCATGTTATTCTTAGATTTTTGTCATTTTTTTTGTATTAGGTATGTCTTTTGTAAAGAGCATAGAGTTAAGTTTACTCTTATTGAATCTGAGATTTCATGTCTTCTAATTGTGTGGTCTGTCTTCTGTTATCTTATTACACACTTTCTGATCTTTAAAATTTTTTACTTGGCTTAATCTTTAAAAGCTTCATGGAGAAGTTATATCTTAAGCTGAGTTGTGATGAAAGTGTACCTGTCAGTTGGAGTTTTGTAATGAGAGAAAGAGAAAGCACTCACTGTCAGTGGTTGAATTCATACATTAATATTGTATCATGCTGTACCTCTTATTTTAAAAGCAGCACATAAAAATTATATCCAAAGTTATTTTCTGATAATGGATATTTTATGGAGTTTTAAATGCAAAACATTTTATAACGTCGGTATTCACACCAGAAATCTAAAGTCATATTATAATAGTGCAATTTTAGCATACAGTCATGTGCCACGTGATGACCTATGGTCAGCAACATACCACATATGCGACTGTGGTCCAGTAAAATTATAATACCATATTTTTACTTTACCCTATCTATGTTTAGATATGCTTAAATACACAGAGACCATTGTGTTCCAGTTGCCTATAGCATTCAGTAGAGTCACATGCTATACAGGTTTGTAACCTAGGAGGAATAGGCTATACCATTTAGCCTAGGTGTGTAGTAGATTATGCCACCTAGGTTTGCAGAAGTGCAGTCTAATATTCACAAGATGAGGAAATCACCCAAGGATGCATTTCTCAGAACATATCCCCATCGTTAAGTGACACATGACTGTATTTCTAATAAAAATATCGAATTTGAAAAGTAATAAAACCATTATACTTTATCCATAATTAGGGCAGCTAATAAAATTAACACTTTGTAACATCTAACAATAATAAAAAAAATAGAGTCTGTCTGAAGTACAATATTTTAAAAAATGCTAAAGCTAGGTCCTGGTTCAGAAGGAAGGGTGTTAAAAGGCATAAGTGGTGGTTTCTAAAGACATTTTATAGGTCAGAACACTGAATGTCATATATTTGCCATGGTGATTAAATTCAGTGTTACAGATGAAGAATGAGGTCCAGAGAAGAGGTACCATTTACTGGAGTCAGGCAGCTTTTAAGTGGCGGTTTAGCTCCAATGCTGAGTCTAAATTCATTTCTCTTTCCACTATACTCTATTTCCTGCTAGCTTACATTCTTTCCATCGCTGATAACTTTCCCCAGAAATGCTTCATAAATATTTCCTTTATAGCTCCTTTACACTGATATTAAAAACGTTTCTGCACAAATTTACAAGTATCACCTGGACTAACACAGAAGCTCATATTGAGAACGTGCTGTAATGATCTGCTACATGAGGAAACTCCCTATTAACATTACTTTCCTCATCATTTCCAACACTTAAAAAAACCTATTGTCAAGTAAAGTACAGTAACAGAATTCTAGTGAATTCATTCATTTTTTTGGTTCTTCCTCCATTGTGTCTTTTACCCATTGGTTTATTAAAAAGGAGAGAAACATTTATTCAATGAATAAATGAAAATAAGTTAAATTTGTAATTTTTTAACATGGACGTTTTGTGGTAAAGAAAATTATATATGATATTAATAGTTTGTGCAATTATTTAACAGAGATTAAATAAATATTAGGTTGGTGCAAAAGCAAAATCCACGATTACTTTTGCACCAACCTAATATTTGTATGAATGTATATGCCCAACAGTTTCAAGTTAGCACGTTTTAGCATCAACAGCATGTGCAGTATTTGTTAGATTAGCCTTAAAACATTAATTACTTTATTATCTCCATTTTGTATAAGAGCAAACAAACTTGAAGAGATTAAGTAATTTGGCCATTGCCACACAAGTCAATCATGAAATAGAAAAGTTTGTCTAATTGCAGAGCCTGTGTTCTTAACCACAGTGCTGTTACTGGAATCTCAAGCACACTAAACCTTGGCATGAAGAAGCATAAATATTTCCAGAAATCTACATGTACCATTTCTGAGTACTGTGACTATTATTGTGGTGCAGGTTTAGGAGGAGGATGATTCTCGAAGTAGACATGTTCATGCTGAAGATGTCATTTAAACTGCGCCTTGAAGAAAAGGAAGAATAGAGGGAATGGAGGCTAAAAAGTACATTTTTGGCGGAGCATAGTTGGAAAGAAATGTGGTAATAGGAATAGCAATTATGGCAACACATAGGTCAGTCTGGCTGGGGAGAGGATGCATGTGGAACAGTTAAATGAGATGATTAGAATTAAAGCCTTCTTTCACTGTTTATTTATTTTTAATTTATTATTATTATTTTGAGATGGAGTCTCACTCTGTCACCCAGCCTGGAGTGCAGTGGCATGATCTCAGCTCACTGCAACCTCTGCCTCCCTGGTTCAAGTGATTTGCCTGTCTTAGCCTCCTAAGTAGCTGGGATTATAGGCGCCCGTCACCACACTTGGCTGACTTTTGTATTTTTAGTAGAGACAGAGTTTCATCGTATTGGTCAGGCTGGTCTCGAACTCCTGACCTCAGGTGATCCACCTGCCTTGGCCTCCCAAAGTGCTGAGATACAGGCATGAGCCACCACACCTGACCTTTTATCACTCTCCATATTCACATATTTGGTTCAAATTTCTTTTATAAAAGGAAAAATACATAGGCATTATCACTTTAAAAATGAATTTGTCCTCATGAAAATTGTACTTATAGTTCTTGGCCACTTATTTGATTAGGTGTTGAAATATAATAGGAAGAGTCTTTTTTAGCTAATTAAAACATTGACTTATCTCTAAGTATGCCACTGATTAAACAGAAGTTTTTTTAAAAAAATATAAGAACTTGTCATTTCTGTTGGATTTCAAATATAGCATCAAGTGCATGCAAATACTTGCCCTGTGTGCTGCTAATGAATTTAGTCAAGTGAAAGTAGAAGCAATTACTAAGAATAGTAATGACTAAAACATGTTTCTCAAGAATCATCAAAAATGGCATTGGAAAACCATCGCTGGAATTGCCATTGGAGTTGCTGTTGTTGCAGTTGTTTTTTCATGTGTATTTTGGGTTGACTTGTAATCCCTCCCTCACAAAAGAAAAATATATGTTGTAATCATAACTCCAAGTACCTCAGAATGTGTCCCTATTTGGAACTTTGTAATTAGTTAAGATGAGGTCATAGTGGAATAGAGTGGGCTCCTAATCCAGTATACTGGTGTCTTTTTGAGAAGATGATCATGGGAACACACAAACACACACAAGGAGAGCACCACACCGGGATGAAGGCAGAGACTGGACTTGCACAGATCCAAGTCAAGAATTACCCAGATGCTAGACAGAGACAAAGTAGGACTCCCCTACAGGTTTCAGAGCGAGCGTGGCCCTGCTGACATCTTGATTTCAAGCTTCCAGAACTGCAAAACAGCATGTTTCTGTTGTTCTAATCTACTCAGTTTGTGGTGTTTTGTTATTGTAGCCCTAGGAAACTAATACAATATGCAAAGTAATAAACAAGATGTAAGGAACAGTTTTTGAACACAGAGCAATATGCATTATTTTCACAAACTGTGAAGCCTCCTTTTATTTTTTAAGGAAAAATATTTTGTTTAATCGTGAATAATGTTATGCTCAGAAGTTGTCTTGTAAAGATGTTAATATAGTTATCTTAACATCAGTTTAAAGAACTATACTTTCCAATGTGCTAATTTTAGGTTTATTGAAACTATAAGTATGAATTATATATATTAATATAAGAGAACATGTTAATATATACCATAATATCTTTTAATATTGTAAATATTTAAATTTATAAATTATAGTTCTTAAGATTTTCCATCTATGGAGAAATAAATACATTTAAATGTGCATATATATCAGAGATACAAAAAGCAATTTATAAGAGTGAGAGAAGTAGCAAAGTTAGAGGAAAAATACTTAAACTGAAGTTCAAATATAATTGATGTCTAGTCTTAGCATCATTGTTTAGGTGCAGAATGTAATCAAGTTCTTTAACGCATGAACAAATCTCAATTATTTCATTTGAAAAAACTAGTATGGGGTGAGATGCTTTGAAGATCAAATGAGAAGCATGTCTCCAGCTGGTGGAGTTTTTGCATATCATAGGTACTCAAAATGGGCCTATAAACAGATACATGGGCATAGTCTGGAGGATTCCTGAATTAGGATGGGATATATGTGACATTATTCATCTCCTATAAAATGACAAGAATTAAGGGCGGGCATGGTGACTAACGCCTGTAATCCCAGCACTTTGGGAGCCTGTAATCCAAGGTGAGTGGATTGCTTGAGCTCAGGAGTTTGAGACCGACCTGGGCAACATGGTGAAACTCCTTCTCTAAAAAATACAAAAATTAGCCAGATGTGGTGGTGTGTGCCTGTAGTCCCAGCTACACAGGAGGCTGAGATAGGAGGATGGCTTGAGCCCAGAAGGCAGAGGTTGCAGTGAGCAGAGATGGTGCCACTGCACTCCAGCCTGAGCAACAGAGTGAGACCCTGTCTCCAAAAATAAAAATTAAAAAAACACAAGAATTTGAGTTTTCTCTTCCCCATTTCTCTATGGACTCCATTCCTCCCCCATTTTCCTACTGAAGTCAGAGTTAATTTTGTTTAATTAATTAAATACTAGTTTGGGACTATATACTAGACATTTTTAAATGAACAATGAATATCTAAGACAAACATGCTGTCACTGTCTTCAAAAACTTCAATAGTTTTGTGCGAGAAAAATTTTTTGGAGTTCTTGTTAAAAATGTAGAACTGGGGGCCTCACCTCTAAAAGTTAAGTTCAGTAGGATTACAATTGAACCCAGATTTCCCATTTCAACAAGAGCCCTAGGTAATTCTGGAGTAAATAGTCTATAAACCATCTTTGAAGAAACCTCTGGTTTTAATGACCTAAAGCTGATTGAAACAGTCCATTAAGTCTTTTGATAGTTTTTCATTACAGAAGTAGATACTTCCCCCGAAAATTATGATTTATTACCACTAATATATGCTACTTTGTATCACAACTGAAAGATGAAAATCATTTTGAGGGAGAAAGTAAGATGAGGAGAAACAGAGGGGAGCTCTTAGTATCTTGTGGATACTAAGATTTGCTTTACACAAAAATCTCTTTAAAAATTTATTGCATCAATTTAAGGGGTACAAGTTCAGTTTTGTTACATGAATACATTGTATAGTGGTGAAGTCTGTAACCACCACCTGAATAGTGTATTATTAATGGGTATTATACCCATTAAGTAATTTCTCATCCCTTCCCCCCACCAAGTCTCCACATCTATTATTCCATCCTCTATGTCAATGTATACATTATTTAGCTCCCACTTGTAAGTGAGAACATGTGGTATTCGACTTGCTTTGAAAAAAATCTTTTAATAGAAATTCCTAAATCCATAGCCCTAACAAGAACTGTTAAGTGTGTAGAGAACCAAGACTAGAGAACATATATTTTGCTGCATCAAAATCTTTCTTTGAACTCAGGAAATTAAATCACATTATTAGCTCTTCAGTAAAGTTAGTGGAATTTTAATAAATTACTGGTATTCTTGAAATGTTGAGTAATGCTAACTATATGAAAAATTAAAAATGCATTTCTTTTTTTTTTGAAAGTTTAGTTTGATAAATTATAACGAACAGGTAAGAGATTTCCAATTGATATGGACAGGAGACAGGGAAATACTAGGTAGAAGAGAGTGGTTCCCTGGCAAAGGCCCCACCCTTAAGCCTGGATACCCACAGACCCAAGTAAGAACAGGCATTTCTATTTTCGCAGCCAAAAAGTTGCCTTTTGGCCCACCATGCCCCCTATCTTATGCCCATATAAATCCCAAACCCCAGGCTCCAGAAGCAGATGAGGAGACGAACAGACAAACAACAGAATGGTGTGGCAGAGAGGATGAGAAGAAAAGGAATGTTAGGAGGAGTTTGGCTGGGGACAGTCGGAGAATTAGCTGCTGGATGGCCAAACTCCAGGGGAAGATCATTTTCCCACTCCATTCCCTGTCCAGCTCCCCATCCAGCCTGCTGAGAGCCACCTCCACCACTCAATAAAACCCCCATATTCATCCTTCAAGTCCGTGTGTGACCTGAGTCTTCTGGGATGCTGGACAAGATCTTGGGATACAGAAAGCTGGCACAATCGTCCCCTGCCCTTGCAAAAAGGCAGAGGGTCCACTGAGCTGGTTAACCCTTAAGCCATCCATGGATGGCAAGGCTAAAAGAGTGCACTGTAACACACACCCACTTGGGCTTTGGGAGTCTCAGACTCCTACCCTTAGATGCTGCTGTGGGGCCAGAGCCCAAAAGAGCTCCCCTCATTTCCTGCACCTGCCCATCTGCGTGCTTCCCGTCCCGTAAGGGGTTTGAGCTTGTGGTGGCTGAACAGAGAGCCACACCCCTGTTGCATGTTCTGCAAGTGGGGGTCAGGGAACTCTCCTGTTTCACAATGAGTACAGCAAAATATGATGAAGTTGGAAAAGACCCAGGCTCAGAGTTTGGGTCATGAAGTTAATCACATGATGTCACTAATTACTTGAATTACTTGAATCAAAACCCTTAACATATCTGTAAACCAGTTTCCTCATCTATAACGTGTGGATAGAGGCTAAATGATTTTTAGACTTTGTTCCATTTCTAAAAGATCTAATTCTACCTTAGGTATTTTCAAGGCATCCATCCCAAATTTTACAGCATGACTAGAAACTTTTTCTTTTTCTTTTAAATGGCCTAATGGCAAATGGCAAGATATTTTTTACATTTAAATAGCTAGCTATGAAGCCTATTATTGCTAATATTTACTTCATAAAACACACAGAAGTACATGTAAACAATTTTATTGTCTTTTGAAAGAATATTTGTTTAAAAATATTTCACATATATAACCCAAAATATGTGCAATGTACCCAGTTTACATTTAGGCTAGCTCTTGAGTGGCAGAAAAGACAATATAGAACAGGTTAATAGAGCAATGACACTTCTCTGGCTGTTTATAGTTTAGAAAGCTATTTCTGAATCTGTCATTAACAGTAAACTTAAGACTTCAAAGAAAAGTCATTAATATTTTAGTGTATCATACTTTGTATACATTGTTATATATGTATATATCATACATGTTGTTTTTTATGACTTTTGTTAATAGCATATTTGTTTTAAAAGCATAAATTTAGATTTAAAAAATCAAATTATATTTTAAATGCACAAGAAGAGATAGCTTTTTAATCTGTGATGAATTTTTCTTTTCAATTTTTAGTTTTGGTTGTTTGTATGATGTATAAAATCAGCATATTTTGTCTATGGAGAATGCTTTTGCATAAAAGTGTCATTTATTCATAAATGCTAATTTGTAAAAAGTTAATCCATTTTTAATCAAAGTTGGCCAAATTGCTTTTCCCATGTGGGTGGACTTTCTTTATTAAATTATTAAATTATTATTATATTCTTATACAGGTGCTATTGTGTGAGTGACAGTCTGGCTAATTTTCAATATTTCAAACTTAATTTAACAACTTGTGTTTATATATTTTGATTTTATTTCAATGGTTATTTTTCCACTGGATGGGTACTTGAGTTTGAGTTATTCCTTCTATAAGATGTGTTACAAAGTTTTCTTGTTTAAAAGGGTAGGGATGGTTTTTAAGTCGATAAAAAGAGAATAGGTGTAATAAAAATTAACAGAATTGTAAAATCTAAGGTAGTGTAAGTGACTGCTTTAGTGGTTGATGGTTAGTGAAGATTTGTGTGTTTCTGTTTGTGTGCATTAGTATATGCAATCTAATCATTATTTTCACCTAAAATGCCAGTTTATATATATATATTCTCTGTTGATGAAAAGAGTCAATCTCTATAAAATATTTGAAAAGATTTATTCTGCACTAAATATGAGTGATCATGGCTCATGACACAGCTTTCGGGAGGTTCTGAGAACATGTGCCCAAAGTGTAGGGTACAGCTTGATTTTATATATTTTAGGAAGGCAAGAGACATCAATAAAATACTATTAAGAAATCCATTGGTTTGGTTTGGGAAGGCGGAACGACTCAAACTGGGGTGGGTGGGGGGTGGACTTCCAGGCTATAGGTAAATTTAAACATTTTCTGGTTGACAATTGGTTGAGTTTGTCTAAAGGCCTAGGATTGATAGAAAGGAATGTTCAGGGTAAACATAAAGGATTGTGGAGACCAAGTTTCATTGTGCAGATAAGCTTTTAGATAGCAGACTTTAGAGAAGAGCAGGTTGTAAATTGTTTTTTATCGAACTTGAAAGGGTGCCTGGCTCTTAGTTGATTGTCTCCTGGATCTGGGAAGGAAAGAAGGAAAACAAAGGGGGAAGGGGATTCTCTATAGAATATGGACTTTTCCCCCAAGAGACTTTGCAGGGCAATTTCAAGGTATGTCAAGGAAATGTATTTTGGGGTTAAATATTTTTTTCCTTGTTTCATAATGTTATGCCAGAGTCAGATTGAAAAGTATGTCACAATATATAGGATCAAATAAAACCCATCTGATGAGAATTCCTGGTTTATAGAGCATGACTCCCTAGACCCCTTAGGTAGGAATTTGGGTAAGATAAAAAATCGGAGCTTAGTCCTCATTTCTAATTATCTGGAAATATGGGACAGCAGAAAGTAAGAAATGATGAAATACAATATATATTTTAAAAATTCAGAATAATTATGATACCATCTTAGCTAAAGTAATCTCCTCTACATCACTCTGGTTCCCATGGTTTGATTTCACTTACACCAAGTATCACCACCTGAAATCACAATCCTTTATGTATGTATATATGTAGGTACATGTTTATTTGTTTATTTTCTATCGTCCCCCATTTCCATTAGAACATAAACATTTCATAAGGGCAAGGATTTTATCATTCTTATTCATATTGCAACTGCAGGACTCAGAATAATGCTTGGCAAA
Organism: Homo sapiens; assembly: GCF_000001405.40. Taxonomy (NCBI): domain Eukaryota; kingdom Metazoa; phylum Chordata; class Mammalia; order Primates; family Hominidae; genus Homo; species Homo sapiens. Next base: position 164,152,021 of record NC_000004.12, on the reverse strand, counting down.
CAGTAGGCACTAAATATATAGAATAAATGAGTGTATAGATATGGTTAGAATTATAGAAGCTAACAACAGCTGCCCAACCAAGAAATTCTTGGTAAGATTGTGAAGGGCAAAGGTCAATAAAAACTGAATAATTGGAAAGGTCAAGAAAGCTGCAGTTCTATAAACACATGAAGTAGAAGCTTAAGGTGGTTAGAGGCTAGGGAATTAGGACGTTGGCCAATATATTTTTTTGGGGGGGGCGTGGGCTGAGTTAGAAAGAAATACTTTTAATTTTATTTTACTATTTTAAATAAAATCATAACATGAAATAACCTGAAAAGCATTTAGGCTAGCAGTCAGTGCCTTCTTTGCATGTAGTGGCTCCAGTGGAATAGGAGAGGCTTGGTTGAGCCCTTGGGGAAGATGATGGAGCTGTTTTCAGAGTCAAATCCTGTGAGCATAGCAAGCTCAGAAATGGAGATAAAGAATATGCCCAATTCTGAGCACAATTTCTTTAGTCTGAGACAAGTACAACATAGGAAGTATTGCTCCAGGCAAAGGACTATTGTTTGTAACATTAAAAAGCACCTCTATTTTCAATCTTTCAGTTTACAAAATTTCATAGATAAGAATAAAGTTCTGTCTGAGAACAAAGGATATCACCCCTGTCACCACTCAACTGATGGCACTGGTGGTAGTTTCCGTAATTTTGAACTTAATGAACAAATGGACTTGCAACCAATCTTTCAAAATTCAAATAGAGGAGCTTCTGTAATGTTTTTTCTCCTTAGAACTGTCTTAGCTCTCCTATTCATCACTGTCTTCGTTTCTATTGCTGTTACTACAAATTATTGCATACATTGTCTTAAAACAATTCACATTTATTTTCTTAGAGTTCTGGAGCCCAAAGTGGATCTCCTTGGGCTCAAATCAAATGTCAGCATCATGTTCTTTCTGGAGGCTCTAGGAAGAATCTATCTCCTTTCCTTTTCCAGTTTTGAAAGGTCCTTGACTGTGATTTTCTTTCATCTTCCAAGCCAGCAATGGCCAGTCGAGACTTTCTCACATCACAGCACTCCACCACTGACACTTTTGCCCTCCTATTCCCATTCAAGGACACTTGTGATTACTTTGGGCCCACTCAGATGGTCCAGGATACCAGCTGATTAACAACCATAATTCTATTTGCTACCCTAATTCTCCTTTGCTATGTAACATATTTCTAGATTCTGGACATTAGTACGTGAACATCTTTCGGAGACAATTATTTGTCTACAGATATATTTTCTTTATGAAAATGTGTGGTTTTAATAAATAAATGTATTTCAAGAAATGAACTATTCTATTTTCATGTCTTGTTGAAATGGTCCAAGTCTAGAGTAGAAGAGAATCGACACTTTGTTTACTCCTGGTCAGTTTATTCCTCAAAAAGAACCAAGGTCAAGGTATACCCAGAGCAGAGCCAAGCTTAAACAGGACCAAGCTCAAGACCACCAGAGTAGGGCAAGGTCAGAACAATCACAGCTGAAATTTATTTTTTCCAATTAGACTTTGCTGCTTTTTTAAAGAATACCTGTTCTCCATGAGAGGAAACCAATGACGTTGCTTGTTATATGTAACGACCTATTTGCAGACACACAAGTCTCAAAGAGGGGTTTATATGCAGTGACTTTTGGTACAATCCCTGTGGTTAGTGGAAGCATTTATACCCTGGGAAAGACTTGAAATTAGTGCTTTACTTTTGCAAAGCACACAACACTTGAGCACTCCCAAAGTTTTTAAAAATAAAGTTTGTAACAAATTACTTGAAATTCATTATTATCTCTCCAGGTAAACTCTAAGAATAAAATTTATGTATTTGACCTCTGTGACAGATTCTAAATAGGAATTAATCTCTGTAATTAACTTGTAATGGAATCACTTTCTAATTGTGTGCACATAAAACCTAACAGTTGCTTATTTTATGCTGTTTTTGGCAGTAACTGTTCCATCACATCGTTTTATGAGACAATAATATAGTGTCTAAATAGAAACACTCAGAGCACAAATAATTTATCCTATTGAGTAACAAAGAGATTTTCATCAGTAAATCAGGAAATCAGATTACTTTTCATGTGGGCCAGCCCTGAATGAGACACTAATGGCTGCAATAAATGTCATGATTAATGACGTTTGAATGTCAGAAGTTTGAAAATTCAACATAAATTTATGAAATATCCAGACATTCACAAGTTAATCCACACCTCAAACCATTTAAATTTCTTTACATCATTCATCCAAAATGTATGCTCTAGAATCTTCTCATTTATCTCACTTTAAGTATATCCAAAACTGTGTGGATTCATGGTATTCTTGACCAAAACCAGGAATTTTTACTACTGACCCGAATCTAAAAATGGCTGTTTTTACTGAAGGAGTCCTTGAAGCTGTTGCTAAGGAACCAGCTTTGGAAAACAAAGACAACGTTTAATAAAAAATGTATTGATTAAAAAGAAGAAAAGCTCTGAAAAGCAGTCATTTCTCGAGAAAGCCGATATGTTATGATAAACTTTTCTAGGCTTTGTCTATTCCCTGGTTGTTGTGCCATTTAAACGTCTTCTTACTCCACTCTCTGAACAATATATTCCATGTTCTGATAATTTCTGAAGTGTTATCTGTTGGATTTAATAAGAATTTACATTTCAAATGCAAAGATCTTAGAGAAGAGCTAGAGTCCATAGGCCATACTAAATATATCTGAGTTAGTCCATTTTGCATTGCTATAAAGGAATGACTGACTGAGTAACCCAAAGAGGTTTATTTGGCTGACAGTTCTGCAGGATGTACAAACATGGCACCAGCATCTGCTCAGCTTCTGATGAGGCATCAGGAAATTTATGGTCATTGCAAAAGGCAAAAGGGGAGCTGGCATATCACATGACAAGAGGGAGCAAGGGAGATGCCAAGTTCTTTAAACAATCAGATTTTACATGAACTCATAGGGTAAAAACTCACTCATTACCACAGTAGCAGTACCAACCCATCCATGAAAGACCTGCCCCCCATGACCCAAACACCTGCCATTAGGCCCACCTCCAACATTGGAGGTTATCTTTCAACATGAGATTTGGAGGGGACAGAGCATCCAAACTATAATAATATCCTTGCCTACAGGAAATTAAATATCGTGTTAGGAGACAGCACTTGTGAGACATGTTAGTGTCTTTGTCCATATTAATTGTTATGGGTGGTTGAAGGCAGAATAAGCAATATTTGCTAGAACCTTCTAGAATTACTTATAGGAATTAATCTTTTAAAAAAGTAATATTTATAATGGCACAGTGGTCAATTAGCTAGAATTTTCTAAAGGACTTGGCACATGCTTAACAATAGCTTGATAAACAGAATTTTTCTTATAACAATAAATTTTATTTTTATTTGAGGATCTTCATTGCTATAGGAACTTCAGCTTCAGTCAATGGCTCAAACAGAAGGAAAACAGAAGAAACTGTGCTCACCTAAAGATTTTTACAGACTGAAAACATAGGGAAAGCAAAGTATGAATAAAGAAATTAGGAAAAGGATAAAGAAATGGTAGAATGGGATAAAGATTAATTAAGAGAACATGGAAAAAAAAATTAAGAGAACATGGCTGGCCATCATTAGCAGTAAAGGATTACTTAACCAAGATCTATGGGGTATGACATTTTCTTCAAGAGTCTGAATTATCTGCTGTCATTTGTGTTCATTTTGATATTGATTGATTTTGGAATTGTATTCAAGAAATGAGCAAAATCTTGTGAACTGGCATCATTTCAACATCCCCTACTAGTAGTTGTAGTTCCAATATCTTTTTCGTCCTCTGTTACATAGTTTCTTGGTTGAATTCGTGAGTGTGTGTGTGTGTGTGTGTGTGTGTGTTATTTTTTTAAACCACGGTTCATGATCATCACAACTGGAGAGCTATTACCATAATGTACTTTTGGAAATATGAAATGAAAAGGACTGAGTACTAGACTCCTTCTAATATCTAAATTTGGGTATTAAAATAAAATATGAATGTATTTTGTTTTATCAAATTTTCAGCAAATTTGAATATTCTATAGATTATACTTTGCTATATTTATCTAAAATCCAGAAATACTTTTAATGGAAAGGCTAAATCAAGCTGAATAACATATGTAATTTTTTTTTTGCCATAAGAGAAATGGAATTTATTTTTTTTATTGACTTTTTTTATTATTATACTTTAAGTTTTAGGGTACATGTGCACAATGTGCAGGTTAGTTACATTTGTATACATGTGCCATGCTGGTGCGCTGCACCCACTAACTCGTCATCTAGCATTAGGTATATCTCCCAATGCTATCCCTCCCCCCTCCCCCCACCCCATAACAGGCCCCAGAGTGTGATGTTCCCCTTCCTGTGTCCATGTGTTCTCATTGTTCAGTTCCCACCTATGAGTGAGAATATGCGTGTTTGGTTTTTGGTTCTTGTGATAGTTTACTGAGAATGATGATTTCCAATTTCATCCATGTCCCTACAAAGGACATGAACTCATCATTTTTTATGGCTGCATAGTATTCCATGGTGTATATCTGCCACATTTTCTTAATCCAGTCTATCATTGTTGGACATTTGGGTTAGTTCCAAGTCTTTGCTATTGTGAATAATGCTGCAATAAACATACGTGCGCATGTGTCTTTATAGCAGCATGATTTATAGTCCTTTGGGTATATACCCAGTAATGGGATGGCTGGGTCAAATGGTATTTCCAGTTCTAGATCCCTGAGGAATCGCCACACTGACTTCCACAATGGTTGAACTAGTTTACAGTCCCACCAACAGTGTAAAAGTGTTCCTATTTCTCCACATCCTCTCCAGCACCTGTTGTTTCCTGACTTTTAATGATTGTCATTCTAACTGGTGTGAGATGGTATCTCATAGTGGTTTTGATTTGCATTTCTCTGATGGCCAGTGATGGTGAGCATTTTTTCATGTGTTTTTTGGCTGCATAAATGTCTTCTTTTGAGAAGTGTCTGTTCATGTCCTTTGCCCACTTTTTGAGGGGGTTGTTTGTTTTTTTCTTGTAAATTTGTTTGAGTTCATTGTAGATTCTGGATATTAGCCCTTTGTCAGAGGAGTAGGTTGCAAAAATTTTCTCCCATTTTGTAGGTTGCCTGTTCACTCTGATGGTAGTTTCTTTTGCTGTGCAGAAGCTCTTTAGTTTAATTAGATCCCATTTGTCAATTTTGGCTTCTGTTGCCATTGCTTTTGGTGTTTTAGACATGAAGTTCTTGCCCATGCCTATGTCCTGAATGGTAAAGCCTAGGTTTTCTTCTAGGGTTTTTATAGTTTTAGGTCTAATGTTTAAGTCTTTAATCCATCTTGAATTGATTTTTGTATAAGGTGTAAGGAAGGGATCCAGTTTCAGCTTTCTACATATGGCTAGCCAGTTTTCCCAGTACCATTTATTAAATAGGGAATCCTTTCCCCATTGCTTGTTTTTCTCAGGTTTGTCAAAGATCAGATACTTGTAGATATGCAGCGTTATTTCTGAGGGCTCTGTTCTGATCCATTGATCTATATCTCTGTTTTGGTACCAGTACCATGCTGTTTTGGTTACTATAGCCTTGTAGTATAGTTTGAAGTCAGGTAGTGTGATGCCTCCAGCTTTGTTCTTTTGGTTCAGGATTGACTTGGCGATGCAGGCTCTTTTTTGGTTCCATATGAACTTTAAAGTAGTTTTTTCCAATTCTGTGAAGAAAGTCATTGGTAGCTTGATGGGGATGGCATGGAATCTGTAAATTACCTTGGGCAGTATGGCCATTTTCACGATATTGATTCTTCCTACCCATGAGCATGGAATGTTCTTCCATTTGTTTGTATCCTCTTTTATTTTCTTGAGCAGTGGTTTGTAGTTCTCCTTGAAGAGGTCCTTCACATCCCTTGTAAGTTGGATTCCTAGGTATTTTATTCTCTTTGAAGCAATTGTGAATGGGAGTTCACTCATGATTTGGCTCTCTGTTTGTCTGTTGTTGGTGTATAAGAATGCTTGTGATTTTTGTACATTGATTTTGTATCCTGAGACTTTGCTGAAGTTGCTTATCAGCTTAAGGAGATTTTGGGCTGAGACAATGGGGTTTTCTAGATATACAATCATGTCGTCTGCAAACAGGGACAATTTGACTTCCTCTTTTCCTAATTGAATACCCTTTATTTCCTTCTCCTGCCTGATTGCCCTGGCCAGAACTTCCAACACTATGTTGAATAGGAGTGGTGAGAGAGGCCATCCCTGTCTTGTGCCAGTTTTCAAAGGGAATGCTTCCAGTTTTTGCCCATTCAGTATGATATTGGCTGTGGGTTTATCATAGATAGCTCTTATTATTTTGAGATATGTCCCATCAATACCTAATTTATTGAGAGTTTTTGGCATGAAGGTTGTTGAATTTTGTCGAAGGCCTTTTCTGAATCTATTGAGGTAATCATGTGGTTTTTGTCTTTGCTTCTGTTTATATGCTGGATTACATTTATTGATTTGTGTATATTGAACCAGCCTTGCATCCCAGGGATGAAGCCCACTTGATCATGGTGGATAAGCTTTTTGATGTGCTGCTGGATTCGTTTTGCCAGTATTATACTGAGGATTTTTGCATCAATGTTCATCAAGGATATTGGTCTAAAATTCTCTTTTTTGGTTGTGTCTCTGCCCGGCTTTGGTATCAGGATGATGCTGGCCTCATAAAATGAGTTAGGGAGGATTCCCTCTTTTTCTATTGATTGGAATAGTTTCAGAAGGAATGGTACCAGTTCTTCCTTTTACCTCTGGTAAAATTCGGCTGTGAATCCATCTGGTCCTGGACTCTTTTTGGTTGGTAAGCTATTGATTATTGCCACAATTTCAGCTCCTGTTATTGGTCTATTCAGAGATTCAACTTCTTCCTGGTTTAGTCTTGGGAGAGTGTATGTGTCGAGGAATGTATCCATTTCTTCTAGATTTTCTAGTTTATTTGCGTAGAGGTGTTTGTAGTATTCTCTGACGGTAGTTCGTATTTCTGTGGGATCGGTGGTGATATCCCCTTTATCATTTTTTATTGCATCTATTTGATTCTTCTCTCTTTTTTTCTTTATTAGTCTTGCTAGCAGTCTATCAATTTTGTTGATCCTTTCAAAAAACCAGCTCCTGGATTCATTAATTTTTTGAAGGGTTTTTTGTGTCTCTATTTCCTTCAGTTCTGCTCTGATTTTAGTTATTTCTTGCCTTCTGCTAGCTTTTGAATGTGTTTGCTCTTGCTTTTCTAGTTCTTTTAATTGTGATGTTAGGGTGTCAATTTTGGATCTTTCCTGCTTTCTCTTGTGGGCATGTAGTGCTATAAATTTCCCTCTACACACTGCTTTGAATGCGTCCCAGAGATTCTGGTATGTTGTGTCTTTGTTCTCGTTGGTTTCAAAGAACATCTTTATTTCTGCCTTCATTTCGTTATGTACCCAGTAGTCATTCAGGAGCAGGTTGTTCAGTTTCTGTGTAGTTGCGCAGTTTTGAGTGAGATTCTTAATCCTGAGTTCTAGTTTGATTGCACTGTGGTCTGAGAGATCGTTTGTTATAATTTCTGTTCTTTTACATTTGCTGAGGAGAGCTTTACTTCCAAGTATGTGGTCAATTTTGGAATAGGTGTGGTGTGGTGCTGAAAAAAATATATATTCTGTTGATTTGGGGTGGAGAGTTCTGTAGATGTCTATTAGGTCCCCTTGGTGCAGAGCTGAGTTCAATTCCTGGGTATCCTTGTTGACTTTCTGTCTCATTGATCTGTCTAATGTTGACAGTGGGGTGTTAAAGTCTCCCATTATTAATGTGTGGGAGTCTAAGTCTCTTTGTAGGTCAGTCAGGACTTGCTTTATGAATCTGGGTGCTCCTGTATTGGGTGCATATATATTTAGGATAGTTAGCTCTTCTTGTTGAATTGATCCCTTTACCATTATGTAATGGCCTCCTTTGTCTCTTTTGATCTTTGTTGGTTTAAAGCCTGTTTTATCAGAGACTAGGATTGCAACCCCTGCCTTTTTGTTTTCCATTTGCTTGGTAGATCTTCTTCCATCCTTTTATTTTGAGCCTATGTGTGTCTCTGCACGTGAGATGGGTTTCATGAATACAGCACACTGATGGGTCTTGACTCTTTATCCAATTTGCCAGTCTGTGTCTTTTAATTGGAGCATTTAGTCCATTGACATTTAAAGTCAATATTGTTATGTGTGAATTTGATCCTGTCATTATGATGTTAGCTGGTTATTTTGCTCATTAGTTGATGCAGTTTCTTCCTAGTCTCTATGGTCTTTACATTTTGGCATGATTTTGCAGCGGCTGGTATCGGTTGTTCCTTTCCATGTTTAGCGCTTCTTTCAGGAGCTCTTTTAGGGCAGGCCTGGTGGTGACAGAATCTCTCAGCATTTGCTTGTCTGTAAAGGATTTTATTTCTCCTTCACTTATGAAGCTTAGTTTGGCTGGATATGAAATTCTGGGTTGAAAATTCTTTTCTTTAAGAATGTTGAATATTGGCCCCCACTCTCTTCTGGCTTGTAGAGTTTCTGCCGAGAGATCTGCTGTTAGTCTGATGGGCTTCCCTTTGAGGGTAACCCGACCTTTCTCTCTGGCTGCCCTTAACATTTTTTCCTTCATTTCAACTTTGGTGAATCTGACAATTATGTGTCTTGGAGTTGCTCTTCTCGAGGAGTATCTTTGTGGCGTTCTCTGTATTTCCTGAATCTGAACGTTGGCCTGCCTTGCTAGATTGGGGAAGTTCTCCTGGATAATATCCTGCAGAGTGTTTTCCAACTTGGTTCCATTCTCCCAGTCACTTTCAGGTACAGCAATCAGACGTAGATTTGGTCTTTTCACATAGTCCCATATTTCTTGGAGGCTTTGCTCATTTCTTTTTATTCTTTTTTCTCTAAACTTCCCTTCTCGCTTCATTTCATTCATTTCATCTTCCATTGCTGATACCCTTTCTTCCAGTTGATCGCATCAGCTCCTGAGGCTTCTGCATTCTTCACTTAGTTCTCGAGCCTTGGTTTTCAGCTCCATCAGCTCCGTTAAGCTCTTCTCTGTTTTGGTTATTCTAGTTATACATTCTTCTAAATTTTTTTCAAAGTTTTCAATTTCTTTGCCTTTGGTTTGAATGTCCTCCCGTAGCTCAGAGTAATTTGATCGTCTGAAGCCTTCTTCTCTCAGCTCGTCAAAGTCATTCTCCGTCCAGCTTTGTTCCATTGCTGGTGAGGAACTGCGTTCCTTTGGAGGAGGAGAGTTGCTCTCCTTTTTAGAGTTTCCAGTTTTTCTGCTGTGTTTTTTCCCCATTTTTGTGGTTTTATCTACTTTTGGTCTTTGATGATGGTGATGTACAGATGGGTTTTTGGTGTGGATGTCCTTTCTGTTTGTTAGTTTTCCTTCTAACAGACAGGACCCTCAGCTGCAGGTCTGTTGGAGTACCTGGCTGTGTGAGGTGTCAGTGTGCCCCTGCTGGGGGGTGCCTCCCAGTTAGGCTGCTGGGGGGTCAGGGGTCAGGGACCCACTTGAGGAGGCTGTCTGCTGGTTCTCAGATCTCCAGCTGCGTGCTGGGAGAACCACTGCTCTCTTCAAAGCTGTCAGACAGGGACATTTAAGTCTGCAGAGGTTACTGCTGTCTTTTTGTTTGTCTGTGCCCTGCCCCCAGAGGTGGAGCCTACAGAGGCAGGCAGGCCTCCTTGAGCTGTGGTGGGCTCCACCCAGTTTGAGCTTCCAGGCTGCTTTGTTTACCTAAGCAAGCCTGGGCAATAGCGGGTGCCCCTCCCCAAGCCTGGCTGCGGCCTTGCAGTTTGATCTCAGACTGCTGTGCTAGCAATCAGCGAGTCTCCGTGGGCATAGGACCCTCCGAGGCAGGTGCAGGATATATTCTCCAGGTGCGCTGTGTTTTAAGCCCGTTGGAAAAGCACAGTATTCGGGTGGGAGTGACACGATTTTCCAGGTGCCGTCTGTCACCCCTTTCTTTGACTGGGAAAGGGAACTCCCTGACCCCTTGTGCTTCCTGAGTGAGGCAATGCCTCGCCCTACTTTGGCTCGCTCACGGTGCGCCCACCCACTGACCTGCGCCCACTGTCTGGCACTCCCTAGTGAGATGAACCCGGTACCTCAGATGGAAATGCAGAAATCACCGGTCTTCTGCGTTGCTCACGCTGGGAGCTGTAGACTGGAGCTGTTCCTATTCGGCCATCTTGGCTCCTCCCCCCAACATATGTAATTTTTAACTGACTTTTAAAATATAGATTGCACTCTGAGTAATTATTTGGGGCACCAGGGTTATTTATAAAGGTGATTTTCAACAGTTATTTCTGCACAGTACCTTTAAGAGGGTATGTGAAGAATTTGTACTTTTACCAAGTTGCCATTTTCCCCAAAGCTTGCGCACCGCCAGGTGAAATCATGGGCTCTATGTTGCGACTTGTAGGGGTGAATGTCTTCTTTTTTCCGTAAGAGAGCTAATCTTGTTGTAAGGTGCAGGTTATAAAAATATGACCAAAGATAGACCAAGGAATAGCTAGGAGCCTGATTTGGTATGGCACAGACTTGTTAATTTTAGTAGAAATGATGGGGGGACATTGTCTATAAATAGGTTTTAGTATGTGACTCTTCTTTGTAAGTAGTTGTCTAAAGACAGCTAAAAAGAAACTTGCTGGGGCTGGTTTTTAGATGAAGCAAATAAAAGTCAACATTGGTTGATCACATTAAAAAGAAAGCAACATCTATGTCAGAGACCCATGATGATCTTAAAATATTAGCTGACAGGAAAAGTTCTAGAAGCCCCCATCCTTAGAAAGTATCAGTAGTGGCATACATTTGCCACAAAGGAAGGATAAGGAAATCATTGATGCCTGTTGCTACAACCAGGAGAAGTGCTGCTGATTAGTTCTCCCCAGTTTTCTCTTTCCACTTAAAGATAAAGTCAGCAAGTGATCTACTGTTAGAAGTCAATTTCAGAAGCTGCCATTGAGAATATACTATCAGGTTATAGGAAAATAGGGTGCTATTATTCAGAGAACCTCTCAACACGTGGGGTAGCAAATAGGTTTCCAGTCTTATGCTAACCCTCATGGATTGTTAGAGACCTCCTGCAGCACTGTCTTGAGAAAATTTAGGAGGTCATGTTCAGGTTAGTTGAGTAAGGATGTTATGATTAGTTAGAGATGTACTTTGTGGATAAGAGTATAGGCATCTAGGTGTAGCATGAGTCACTCTTGACAACTGAGTTCAGTGTGTGTGTGTGTATGTATGTATGTATGTGTGTGTGTATGTTACCAAAACACTGGGGGTTCCATCAAGGTCCTGCTGCTTGCTGCACAGAAAGGAAATGATGGCGACAGGTATTGCCAAGGAAGAAGACTTTAGTTGGGTGCTGTAGCCGAGGAGCTGGCAGATCAGTCTGAAATCCATCTCTCTGACTGACTACAATTAGGAGTTTATATAGAAGAAATATACCTACATGCAGAGAAACAGGAATTAGTGAGGGGTAAGGAAGAGGAGTTAGTCAACAGGAAGCAGGTAGTTCTTTAGGTAATCTGTGGGTGAGGGGTCTGGCATCTCATTGTCCAAATGCAGTGATCCGGTCAGTTTCAGCTCCTTGATACTATCTGGGAGGCCTATTGGTTGGTTTCCTGAGAAAGAAACTCAAGTAAGACAAATGTAAATTTCTCAAGTTCAAGGCTTTGAGGGTTGATTTTTTTGTTTATTCAAAAGAAATGATAAACATCAATTCTATAGGACAATTGGGTCAGTTTCATTTATATATATATATATATAGTGTGTGTGTATGTGTATATATAGTGTGTGTGTATATATGTGTGTGTATGTGTATATGTGTGTGTGTGCATGAGTGTGTGTGTGCCTATGTATCTTTAATATCTAAGGGTATGTTTTACCTCGTATATAGAGAGAAATATTGGTGCTATTAGAAGTCCAAAAACCTGGTAAAAAGTTTAATCCAGAAATGGAGGTCTTAATTTGTTAACTGGTCCTTAGATTTATGATATAGGTTATACCTGAAAAAACAGATCAATTAACAAGCCTTTATTATTGGGGGTTGGGGGAGAAAAATGAAGTGAAAGATGTCATCAATTCCCAGAAATTTGAATGAGTCAAATTTGAAGTCAAATTTTTGTTTGTTTAATATCTCTATTTTCCTAATGGTTGACATGGTTCGTGATATAAACAGTATTAAACATTATTTTTAGCATTTATAATAGCCATTAAATATACATGTTTTATATAGCATTCTTTAAATTTTAGTTCTTTAACATTGGTTTTCCATTCCGCTTAAAGTATCTTCGAATTTTCAAACTAAAGACATTTTCTACTCCTGCGCTGAGTAAGCAACTCTTACAGCAGGGATGAGCAGCTCCTCCTCTAATATCTGGGTTTCTCTCATATAAATACCACAGGTCATTTCTGGCAGTCTACCACATAACTGTACTTTCCCAGCCCCTTTGTGACAGAAGGTTGTCCTTTCTCTTTCTCCCTCTTTCTCCTTTCCTTCTTTTTTTTTTTTTTGACTTTAGATAGCTCAGCTGTTGCTGCCAATCAGCATTTGATGGTTTTGTTTGTTTGTTTCTTTTGATACAGGAAGTCACTAGCTGTTAGATTGTCAACATTTCTTACATGAAAAGGACTGGTTTAATGAATATGAGATTTTCAAAACCTTTTAAAGATCAGTGCTTTCTACTTAAGTTTGGGCACTGAAAGATGGAATATTGCCGTTTTGTGAAGCCACTTTACTGGTGTCCTTCAAGATTTTTTTTTAAAGTAAAGAACACTGCATTTCCTCTGGTACATGGTGTTCATGTGTGTTTATTATTACATATTATCAGGTTCTCTGAGATTTTCTGTGTTATTAACCAGCTAAGTTTCCTAATTTTGCAAAATATTGTACTCATCTTACCACAAAACTTTATACTTTCACAGAACTCTTATGTTTCATGTACTAGACCAAAATAAAATCATTGCTTTAATATACATTTTACATATGCAGAATTCAATTTCAAAGAAGCCAAGTGAGTAGTTAGAATGAGATAACTAAAATTTAAATCCTGGCTTATTTTTGTTATAATAATTTTGTGGTGGCTGTGTCCATGCCTTACCAACTCAGTATTTCAGAATACTTTTTTTTCAAAATCAAATTGTTAGCCATGATAGCTTTCAAATACCTACATGCCTACACAAAAATTTAATCTCTCTAAGATAGCCTTACTTATTGCTGGAAACTTCTCCCAGCAAGGAGCTATCACTTAATATCACTCTGGACAAGCCTCCACATGAGGTGATGAATCTCCCTCTTCAGTTCTTAGCCCTCATGAGATCACCAAGGCAAGTAGAGGAGTGATAATGACTGACACTTGCTTCTGCTGGCACTAACACTCTGCACTGTTCTGCCCATACCGCTTCAACTGAGTTGTGGCCATACCCGTTCCTTAATTTGCTCCTAGCATATCCCCATTTGGTAAGTGCCCAAAACCTGCTACTAATGCAAGTCCTCCAAGAACACCTATATCTCAAAGTCCAGGCCCTACTTCTTGGAAGTGATCTCAAACTCCAAGGTCAGGCCTAGCTCCCTTGCTCCTACTTCTGGTCACAGGATCTCACTCTTCTTTGGCTCACTGACTCTTGAAATCCTTTATCTCCCCTATAAGATTTAGTTTTGTGGTATGTATACTGCCAAACTTAAGTAGTCCACAGAATAAGCTGACGCAGGCTTAGAAGTGTTCTATTTTCCAGGATTAAAAAAAAAAAGAAACTTAACGTTACAATTGCAAAAGAAAAAAAAAACCTAGGTAATGCCAGAGATCAGTAAAAAATAAACCAGATGAAAAAGAACTTAATAAATGAAAATGTCTTATTTGGCCCAATAAGTCCTGTTATAAACATAAATACTCTCACTCCTCCCAACAGCTCACTGGCTGCTGGGGTCCACTGTGATAATTTGACCCTAAACAGCTTTCCTTGGCTTTGTCATTACTACAGTGAGAAACACCTGGAAGAACCTATGAGCCAAGGAGTAAAGCAATGAATAAATTTCAGAAATTACCACCAGGGAAAAATGTGGTTTCATGCCCCTTACTTTGTGCTCATTTCAGGTCAACTTGCTCAAAGAACCTCACAATAAATCTGCTGCTATCAGTTCTTCTTACCAACTTTTTATCATTTCTATGTGTATTTTATTTTATTTTTCTTGCTTTGGTGGCTTAAAGATTTTAGTTCTATCATAACAAGGGAAAATATTCTCCCAAAATCTGGAAACTCTATAATGATATAATACTGGAATTTACTGTTTTATTAATGGTGTACTTTATTAAATGTAATTCCCCAAATTAAGAGGTTAATGTGTTTCTTTTTTATATATGACATGTTTTATTAGGAAAATATATTCTCATATAACCTGAAAAAGCATACAGAGCTTTTATTATTAGATGTTAACCCAATAAACCTAATCCATAGCATTTGGCTGAAAAATCTGAAACGCATTTTCCGCTAATATCGTGAAAACAGGTTGATAGCTGAATTTTCCTTACTGCTATTTAAAAAAATCACTCTGTTGATGTTGCATGAAATATGTTACCATACATTTTATCATCAAGTTTTGTCTGTCATGTTCTATTATCCTACTATCATAGAAATATATTATCATAATTATTTTACTAAGATTAGTTCTCCTTTTGACATATTCTGGAGTTTCAGTCTAGTAAGTAACAAGGCTGTCTGTTAAGGAGAAGAAAAGTCTTTAGGAAAATCCTGACAATTTTAAAGTTAGAAAATGTTTCAGAATTAACATAAGATAGATACCAATGACAAAAAAATACAATAATTATTAGGCAAATAATAAGAGCTGTGAATGTGAATTGACAACATTAAAATAGCAATATTTTTGACTAAGGTAAAGCTTGGCATGTTCAAATTTCAAAATACTGGTTTTTTCCCTTTAGATATGAACAAATTGTTTAGACAATTCGTTTCTTTCAATCCTTTGGGGCCTAACAAAACTTTAACATATCCTTCTTTCATACATGGGAAATTGATGTGTCAAAAGTCTGCATCTGTGTTCCTAAGCTTTGAAATGGTGTAATTTTTTTGATATATCTACCCCCATGTCACAAAACCGCATTCTTCCTACCCCTCTTCTCTTCCATACTACATTGATTCTTTCTTTGGGAATAATTATAGTCAGGGAAACACATAACTTTAACCGTCCCAGGTAACATGAGTTGGTGGACTGCTCATGCTCTGTCTGCCCACTCTCAACTTCACATTCCAGGTGTGTTCATGGGAAGCCAGCCTTGGGGGGCATCAGGTGACATGGAGCATTGCAGCCTCTGGTGGGCCAGCTGAAAGGCTCCGTGGTTGAGGCGTCCCAAGCAGCCTTCTGATGAGTTCCTGAATTGCTGAGTAAGATACACAGCTCTTTGTTAAGTTCCAGGAGGCCTAATTGCTTTCAGTACTCCACTCTCTTCCCTGCTCCCAGCCAATCGGCTCTGCTGAGCCCCTGAGTATTCTGGTGGGGCAAGAAAGAGGTGGCTCTTGAGCAGTGTTATACATATCTGGGGAAGCTGGGTTACTCACTCACTCTCCTCTAACTTTCCCTTGTGGAAGGAGTTTCAGTCCAAGGGATATCTGTTGGCACTTAGCTGGGCCCCTCTGCAGGAAGGATGATGCAAGTAAAGTGAAACTGTTTTTCTTACCTCTTCAATGCATCTATTCTTGGCTTTTTTTTTTTTTTTTTCCACTTCAACTGTTTGCTGGAACTTACTGATTGGACTCCTAGACTCCTACAAAGGCACTCTTGCTGTGGGTTTTTGTCCAAATCGGTGCACTGTGAGAAGAACATAGTAGAAACTATTCTGCCATCATGTCAACGTCACTCTCCCAGTGAGGATATATTTAAACTGATGCTGATCTGCACAGGAAAAAAAAAAATGGAAATTTGATCATTGAAAAAAATATGTGTATAACTGTATCTTTTCTCTGTATCTTTTCATTTTTCTACCTAGAAATCGATGTAGTCTTTCTTACCTAAAGTTTCTAAAGTTATTATTCTAGGGCTTAAGTATAAAAAATATTTACCTTTGGGCCTTTAGAAGAATCTAGATCCCCCTGAAGTGGACCCCTGAACATTCTCATTTATTGAGTTGAGGAAAAACGTAAGTTTCTGCATTTTCACAAGGAATTCCAATAATCCTGGTGTGGATATTTCTTAGACCACATCTTTGAATATTTTAAATAATTATCTCCATCAGTATCAAATGCAGTTATGCATTAAGTAACTTATTTTTGTTGATGGCTGATATAGTCTAGCTCTATGTCCCCAGCCAATTCTCATCTTGAATTGTAATCCCTACAGGTTGGGGGAAGGACCTTGTGGGAGGTGATTGAATCATGGGGGCCTTTCCCCCATGTTCTCATGAGAGTGAGTGAGTTCTCACGAGATCTGGTGGTTTTGTGACAGGCTTTTCCACCCTTCTCTGCACTTCTCTCATTCTTCTTCTCCTTCTTGTTGCCATGTGAAGAAGGATGTGTTTGCTTCCCCTTCCACCATGATTGTGAATTTTCTGAGGCCTCCCCAACCCTGTGGAACTGTGAGTTAATTAAACCTCTTTTCTTTATAAATTACCCAGTCTTGGGTATTTCTTCGTATCAGCATAAGAATGGACTAATACAATGGCTTTAAAAATTTAAGCAGATCCTTCACTGAATTATTGATTGGCTCTCATGGTAAAACAGTGTCAAATATTTTTAAAAGGCAGTGTTCTCTAATTCTGTATATAATGTACTTTATTGCTGTGGGTTGTGTTTCCAAATGGAAGAACTCTATAGTTTTAACTGAACCGTAGTGTGTCTCCAGTATTTCTAATTTACATGGAGCTAAGGAAGCTCTACATAAAATAGAAGTAAGAAAGAAGACACAAGGTGTACTAATAACCAACCAGGAGGACTATGTCTTTTTATTTAAATAAGAGGATCTTAAAGACAATGATCAAAGCAAATTCTTCAAAGGACAAAATAAAATGTGAAGGAAGTATCATGGATACCCATTATCCTGCCTAATTTTGACGATATTGTCCAGATGCAGGTCAACTTGCTCCACACTTTACTTGTTTAGAGATATAGTTGCTCAATTAAACTTAAGCAATTTTTTTTTTTTTTTACTAAGACTGATTCTCTGACAGACTCCATAATACTTGTTTTTGTGCTTTGAATCTCGTATTTTTTTAAGTTGGTAACATATGCTAAAAGAAGCTCAAGGAGTTAAAAAAAGGAGAGAAAAGACAAAAGTAATTCTCTCTTTTATACCAGTATACAGTCCTCAGGTCTCCTCCTTGGAAGCAAATGTTATCAGTCATGTCTATTTCTTAAGTTTATTTCCAGAGTATATTGAATATTGTGGAGTGAGGGCGAGTGTGACGTCAGAAGGAATATAAATAAATGCCAGTCAGGAAATGCCCTTGGTTTCAAATTAGCAGGAGACATGCACTAAAGAATGTCTTAGTAACCTAAATGAGTTAATATTACTAAGCAGCATTTTTACCACCAGATAATGACTTAGATA
Organism: Homo sapiens; assembly: GCF_000001405.40. Taxonomy (NCBI): domain Eukaryota; kingdom Metazoa; phylum Chordata; class Mammalia; order Primates; family Hominidae; genus Homo; species Homo sapiens. The sequence continues at coordinate 164,134,448 of NC_000004.12, read as the reverse complement.
GCAGAGAAAATGTAATGTATTCTTCAAGGATGCATGTATTCTCTCAGGAAAAGTAAATGAAATTTCTCTTAACAAGTACTGCTTTCAGCAGCCAACAGAAATTTAAATGAGAATGCATTTTAGCATAATGAAAATTACCTGAGTTTTAAAATAACCCTTGGGATTGTAGAAACACTGGCAACCAATCAATTGTTCTTGCAGAGCAAGATCAATGACCACCCTCTTGTAGTAATGTGTTTGGAAAACAATTTGGAGGTAAATGGAGAAATTGCTTTCTGTGACCTATTTATGAACTTTCTTTGTAATATCTGACTAAAAAGATTTTTAGAAAGATTAAAAAATATATAATGGCACCAAAAAGGCAAAAGTTGTAACTAATTATTAAGTGAGAATGACTTTGAAAACAAAACTTTAATTGAATACCTACTACTTATAAGTTACTATGCTAGGGTTATAAAATAACTTTGAGAAATTTTCAATATAATTAAGAAAGTGACATATATGCGAAGAGTATAATCTTTATCTAATACAGTATCTATTTAGAAAATGAGACAGAATTAAGTGGACTCTGTAAATCAGATTCTCTTCAGACCTATGCTACTCTTGGTGTCTTTTTTGCAAAGTGCAGTAGGTCATCTGGGTTAATGGGACCACTAGCAGTTAGCAGGTAGATGGGCAGTGCCCACTGCTGAGATCAGCCAGATGCTCTGCTAACACATACCAAATTTTAAGAGTTTTAGTTCTTTTTTTGGGCTATGTTTCTATCAGAACTTACCGACAGCCTAGGTTAAAAATTTATTTTTGGTAAAGTTACCAATAACTAATCTTTGGTCATTAGAATTCATGTAGGTGCAAATGTATCATTTCTCTTTAGGCAAGATTTCATTCTCTGTTGCACCGTAGATTTGTGTTTATATTTGTGCTTATATTTTAATGTGATGAGACTTTTCTTCAAATAAATTTTATAATGGTTTTGAATTCAATAATATGATAACCCATTTTTCTTGTGCAAGTTCACAACCAATTCAGAGAGAGAGGGAATCACAATGACAGTAGATAAAAATGTCAGTTTTATTCTTGATAAAAGCTAGATTGGAGTACATGGATTCATTGCGCAGTAATAATGGACATGTCCTCCAGTTTTAAACTAGGCAGACTTTTCCACTCAGTCTTTAGAGCAGCTGGGCAACCACAGGTTTTCCCCACTGGGGCAGGTCCTTTACCACCTGTATGGGAGCACCCTAGAATATACGCATTCTGCCGAGTTATCCTTATAAAGGAGTCAGAGCCCTAAAGAGACTGAGCCACATTTTGTCTGTTCTTTCTCCCAAATACACCAGTCAGATAATTTACTCCCTTTCCTCCTTAGAAAGTTGATTTCAGTTGTGGGGCAACTATAGTACAAATTGTGTCTGGGATACTTTATTCCGTCAGAAAGCAAGGAAGCTAAAGACTAATGGAATCTCACGTCAAAAGGAAAAATAACCCAGCTTGAAGATGTTCTTGCTGGATAAATTTATGACACAGTGAGCATGAAAATAAAATACTATGTAAAATTGATTATAATATATATTTTTAAAGAATCCATGGACCCTAATGATAATTTATAAATAAATATACATACACATACATACATATATACATACACAAATATGAAAATGAGAAAGAAGAAAAATACTTATGCAAGATGCACTAGATTATAAAGCTATATGGAATGATAAAACTGGAGATTTAACATTTATAATTAATTCAGGTAAGTGTCATCAGTAAACACTAAAGCCATTATGTCGATGGTCAGTGGAGAACAGGATATTCAAATGTTGGCAAAGGAATCCAACACAGATTGCAGGGGGAAAAATGTGCGCTTAAAATAGCCAGAACTTGCAGTCGCCATCTTAACTAAATAACTGCATTTATAGTTGATGATCACTAATAGTGGGTCAAGGTGGTAAATTTTTACTTTTTGAGGTAATGCAATATGAAGAAAATCACCTCTAATGTATTCTTGCCAACAATGTCAACCATGATCTAATCAAACATCTACATTTAATTAAAGAGAATATAGAAGACAGAGGAAAGGTTAAATGATCCCAAGTGCTAAAAATCACAAATTTGGAATAGCAGGCATTCTACAAAAAGACAGGACTCTTTTGTCAAAAAAAGTGATTGTTTAAAAAAATTAAGGTGAAGAGGCTAAAAGCAAACAAATGCAAAGTATAAGCCTTGATAAGATCCTCGTGAAACGAAGAAAGAGGAAGGAAGACGGGGAGGGAGAAAGGGAGCAAAGAAAGGATTATTTTATCATTACTACAATAATTTGTCTCTCTTGAAGTGTGAAACATTTTTATTACTAGCTAACAGGCAGCTACAGGTTTTTGTTTATTTTGCTTTATGTTGTTCCATTGGCTGTTCTGTGACTAATTTCTTACTGTTAAGAATCAATACTTTTCAAGTAGTAATTCAAGTTTTTATTTATACGTAGAATTTATACATTAATATTCTCAAGTAATTTCTGGAGAGGACTAGTATGTCAATGCATTTCTGTAAAATACATTTGCCTTTTTAATAGAAATTTACATGACATGTATAACATGTATTCAATACACAGACTTCATGTAAGAAATTACATTTTTATGTAAAGCTAATTAATTCACTGAAAACTTCTCAGGCGTTAAACTAATTAATATGGTGGCTGTTTCATAGTATATCCATAAGTTACTTAGAGTAGCAGGCAAAAGAAACAAGTTTGCAAAAAGGGCCATCAGCACAAGAATTTTCAAAGATTTGCTCTTCTCCTTAATAAAACTTTAGATCCTGGGATAGTCACAAATTGTTTCCTATTTCTGTTTGCCTATAATCATACAAAATAAGAGGTATACATTTATATTACCTAAATATGATATTAATTTGTTTTTCTCAATAGCTCTTAAAAACTATTACCTTGAAGTGCATTACAATGCTGTTATAAAAACTGCTCTCTCAAGTTTTAAAACAAATTAGGTCTACAATTATGGGATTGTATTTCCAAATGCCAAACGTAATTTGCTCTGACAGAAAGAATTTTTTCACATAGACAAACATTTCAAGTTGTTCTGTTGTTTATGGAAAATTAAACAGAAAACTTCTCATTTCATACCTGCATATACTTTATTTAGCTTCCTTCCTTCTGCTCTGCAAATGCTTTTATGAAACTGTATCCCATGGCAACCCCCAGTGGCATTCTAGCTCCATGTCTCCCAGTTGAGTTCATCTCTCCCAGGGAAACTACCTTAGCACCTCAAGTAAAGCTTGTTTTCATTAATTTGGAGGGAGTTTGGTTTGGTAGAATTCTCTACACAATTTCTATGATAGGATATATACGTTACATACACATTTATTGATACTTCCAAGAAAATACTTGATTTTCACATGGTTTATGAATCATGTTTAAATCCCAAAGAGGGGAATGAGTCAGGTTATTTTACAAAATCACAAAGAAATGGCAGATAATCATTTTTATCAATGTAAAAGATGTCTCGTATCCTAGAAAGTTACTTAAAATAAAGCTTATAACATTTAAACATGTAATGGGAAGAGAAAAATTCAGGTCCATGTAATTCAGATTTGTAACATATAACGACATCAATCAATGTATTAATTTATGCTGGGGAAAATGTGATATACTGGACAAAACAGTGAACCAAAACCAGCAGAGCTGGGATCTGTTCACAAGGTGTGGCCACTCACAGCCTTAGTATTTAGAGAAGTCATTTAATTTCTGTAAGCCCCAATTTTCCAGATCAGAAACTGAGTGAAACCTCCCAGGGTGTTGTGAAGATAATATGAGAGTCTTATAAAAACTCTTTGTTAAGGACAAAGCATTGTTTAGCGCAGGGTTTATTATTATACTCTTAGGGAAATTGGTATTTTATTGCGAGTGTCATCTATACACAATGAAAACATAATGATATTGCAGCTTTAAGTACATTTATTTGAAACAATAAAATGAAATGAAATTGTTAGAATCTTGAGGAGTGAAAAAGGGAACAGTAAACTGCTTTCTGAATAATCTGTCCTTTCTTCAGAAATCAAAGCACTCTATTCCATAACATTCAGTATCTGAATTTAAAATTGCTTTTATACCTTTTAATACACATCCACATTTTTAAAACCATTTTCAAAGCATAATTATTTTGAAAAATGTGTTAACATTATGTTATAATAAACCACTATGAGGAAACTAAAATCCACATGTGCTTATGTATATTTTTAAAATATTTTATTCCATTTCTCTTTCTGGATATAATCATTGTTTCTTAAGTTTAGAATAATAATGTTTATAAAGTAGTGTGATTTTTTTTATACATTCTAAGGAATTTTATTCAAACCATTTTATTTTATTGCAGATGCTTTTACAAAATCTGAGTCATAAATTACAGATATTCTTGATGAAAATTCAGAACATAGGATTTATTTTCAAAAAGTAAGTGTGATTGTTTAGGACAATTTTCTTTTCTTGTTTTCAAATTTTAAGTTCTGGTTTATATGCGTAGGATGTGCAGGTTTGTTACATAGGTAAATGTGTTCCATGGTGGTTTGCTGCACAGGTCAACCCATTCCCTAGGTTATTAAGCCCAGGATCCATTAGCTATTCTTCCTTATGCTCTCCCTCCCCCAACCACAATAGGTCCCAGTGTATGTTGTTCCCTGGCATGTGTCCATATTGTTCAGCAAAATTTATTTAGAACAATATTACTAAAAAAATTCCACACTTGATTGTACTCACTGCTATGGAATAAACTATGGGAAACAATCTACACTGAGGCAATACTTTCTGTTTTACATGAGAAAATCATATAATCAACTAATTCAAAAAATAATATATATAGCTTGAAATGCTTAGCAATATACTTCAATGATTAATTCTCTGAGACTATGCCATCCCTTTTGATAATTTATTCTCAAATAATTCACTCCAGCATTAAAATTGGAAGGAAGGTCTCAAATTTCTGTTTTTGCTTAACTGTAGCCACATAGAATAGGAAAATACAAATTTACATTAATAAAATATTATGTTAATTCAATTTTCTTAATCAGTTCTTCAAATTAAACATTTTCTTAAAGATTATTACCAAGCCACTATAAAATTGCCTTAATAAGTTCTAAAATAAATTAGAGTTATAATTATGAGATCATATTTCCGAACGACAAATCGCATTTGAGGTGATGAAAATTCCTTCTTCCTCCTTCTTAATCATTATTCTACAACAGGAGAAAAGCCACACAAAAATCCACAGTTCTAGATGAACTTATCTTTTGCTAAAATAACACTTTCAGCTTCTCCATCATTTCTCCAAGGAGAGGTATTCACAAATCAAAACCTGTACTGTTTATCTTCTTCCTTGACTTCACTTTCATAAGCAATCTGATTCAGAAGCCATTAGGTGGGATGAACCAGGTAGGCACTTGTATGGGTGGTAGGGAAGGGAGTTGGAGCTGCTGGACAACAGAACAGTTGTTAAATAGAGCTCAAGAAGAGTAAAGAGGGAGCCTACCTCTTGGGGTGTTGGCTTAGTAGGAGGTATTGGAGTCTGAGTGAGATGACCAGTGTGGCTTTGTAATGCAGATAATCCAATGCTGGCTTTTGGTGCCCAGTAGAATGAGAAGACCACAGGGAGAAGCAGATTATAGCAGATTGTTCATGTTATTTCATGTTTGCAGAAGGACATCTTCAGCATAGAGTGGGAGTGCTGAGTCAATGGGTAAATCCATTAATAATTTTGGAGTTTCTCACCAGCAATATATGTGTATATAAACATTGTTTCCTTACAACATAAAACTTGCCAATATTTCTTCTCAATATTTAAAAAAATTTTGCCAACCTGATAGATGAGAAATAGTATCTCAAGGTATTGTTACTTTTTTTTCATTATGAGTTCATGAGCATCATTTCATAAGTATAAGGGTCATTTGTGTATCTTCTTTTATGAATTCTCTGTTCATATATTTGGCCATTTCTGTGGGATTTTAAGTCTTTTTTCTTCTTAATTTTTAAGAGCATTGTGAATATTAATAACTGTTTTCTGAGAGCTTTTCAGTTTTATCTTTTGAATTTGCATGTTGAATTTTTGTCATTTTAAAAATATGTTATAAAATCTGTATTTTAAATATACAGGTGATTATGTGTGCATTTTCTTTTATTGCTACTGGATTTTCTGTCATTAAAAAATACCTCCATATTATAAGGAATTAATCCATGTTTTCTTCTTGTGTATTCATTCTCTTATTTTTTAGATTTGATGTCTGATGTTCTTAAAGTAATTCTGGTCTGTGGTGTTAGACATAGATCCAATTTTAATTGATTTCCAAATAGCTACACATTTATCCTCACATTTTTGTTTTAAAAATTCATATTCTTCAGAATTATATTGATGAGTCTAATTCTTGAATTTCTACTCTATGTCTATTCATGAGCCAGTACTATCCTATTTTATCTACAGAGGCATTATATTATGTTTTACTGTTTGCTGGGGCTAAGCCCCCTTCATTTTTTTTTCTTTTTCAGGAGGTGCTCACTAATTCTCCATTGTTGTGTCTGCCACTTGTACTTTAGTATCAACCTGTTAGAGTTTAGAAGGAAAATACTTTAGCATGTTGGGGGAATAATTTAAAATTTCTGTCTTACCTTGGATTAAAATTATTGTTTTATGTTTATTGTTTACTTTGCATCTTTCATAAATATTTTGAAGCTTTCTTCACATAATTTTTTGATAAATTTATTCCTAATTCTTTGATCATTTTATTGTTCTCATCACTTCTATAATAAGTGAGTTATTCCCTCTCATGATATATCTTCAATTCTTGAATGTCAGTTTTTTATTTTTCTAGTTTACTACATTTTTTGGTTTAACATTTGGTTCCGCATTGTTTCAGCTCTTGAATATGCCATGTAATACATTTTATCATCTGGAAATATAATTTTCCCCTTTTTTCAATGCTCATATATCTAATTCTTTTATGTGACTGCTTTGGCTAATAAATCTAACACAAGTGAACATAGTGAGCACCATTGTGTTGCTCTTATCTCTTTCAACATGGACAGGCTGAGCATTTTCTAAAATTCTAAGTTCTTCTCTTTTAATAAAAAACTCTAAGTTGTTTCTCTCTTCTTGCATTTTACTTTAAGCTTTTAAGAGAAGACAAGCCACACCTTCAAAACTTTGCTTAGATGCAGCTTCAGGTAAATATCAGCTGGATACTAATTTCATCACTCACAAGTTCTACCTTCCACAAAACACGAGGACAGAAACTCAATTCAGCCATGTTTTTGGCTGCTTTATAACAAGGATCACTGTTTCTCCAGTTCAGTTTCCAATAACATATTCCTCTTTGTTTTGTTTTGTTTTGTTTTGTTTTGAGACGGAGTTTCACTCTGTCGCCCAGGGTAGAGTGCAATGGCACAATCTCTGCTCACTGCAACCTCCGTCACCTGGGTTCAAGCGATTCTCCCACCTCAGCCTCCAGATTAGCTGGGATTACAGGCACCCACCAACATGGTGGGCTAATTTTTGTATTTTGTAGAGCTGGGGTTTCACCATATTGGTCAGGCTGGTCTTGAGCTCCTGACCTCAAGTGATGCGCCTGCCTCGGCCTCCCAAATGTTGGGATTACAGGCATGAGCCACTGCGCAGTCCTCATTTCCTTCTGAGATCTCGTTAGAATGGCATTTACCATCCACATTTCTACCAACATTTTGTTCAGTATTACTCAAGCCTTTTTCCAGAAGACCGAAGCCTTCTCTACAGAAATCCTCTTCTTCTGAGCCCTCACCAGTATCACCCTTAATCTATTCAGAGCAAGGTAGGGTTTTTCTACAACGTATTTCAAAACTCTTCTCATTTCTACCCATTAGCCAATTCCAAAGCCACTTCCACATTTTCAGCCATTTGTTACAGCAGCACCGCCACTTCTCCATACCAATTTTTCTATTTCTGTTCATTTGGGTTGTTTTAACTAAATACCATAAAGTGAGTGACTTATCAACAAAAGGAATTTCTTTTCCTCACAGTTCTGGAGACTGGGACATCCAATATTGAGCACTGGAAGATTCGGTGTCTGATGAGGACCTACTTTCTGGTTCATAAATGTCTCTCTCTCACGGTGTCCTGACATGGTGGAAGGGAAGACATAACTCCCTTGGGTCTATTTTATAACATCATTAATCTCATTCATGAGGGCTCTGCCCTCAGGATCCAATAACCTCCTAAATGTCTCACTCTCTGATACCATCACATTGGTAATTAGATTTCAATGTACGAATTTTGGAAGGACAAAAGCATCCAGACCTTAGCATTATTAACTATGATACTGCTTACAATTAAAGGATGAAGACTGGAACCTTAGTCGTTTGACCCCAGGAATGACTGAGACTTGATCTTCTTCAAACTTACAACATTAACTCAGGGAACATAGGTGTATAACACAGTGGTCTTCAAACTTTTTGACACCAGGGACCAGTCCCGTGGAAGACAGTTTTTCCACAGAATGGGGCAGGGATGGTTTTGGGATGAAACTGTTTCACCTCAGATCACCAGGTATTAGATTCTCATAAGGACTGCACAACCTAGATCCCTTGCATATGCAGTTCACAACAGGGTTTGTGCTCCTATAAGAATCTAATGCCCTGCTGATCTGACAGGAGGCGGAGCTCAGACAGTAATGCTGACTTGTCTGCTGCTCACTTCCTGCTGTGCAGCTCAGTTCTTAAAGGCCACAGGCTGGTACTGGTCCACAGCTGAGGGGTTGGGAATCCCTGGTATAGCAGATCCAACGCAAATGTGAGCTTATCATAAGGTTACTATGTACTGAGTTGAACACTTTGTACCAGGCAGTTGGAATTGTATATATGTAAATAATAATCATTTCAGGAGTGATTTTGGATACCAGAAGTTGTGGCCTGGAATTCATAAGATCTCTTGATGTACATTTTGGATTTCCTATTTTACATTCTTTCTTAACTTAAACTTGGTCCTCAATGAAGTATATTGTGTCTCATGTGCTTGATTGCTATTCTAAACTTCCAATGCAGAGTGGGAGGTGCAATGACTTTTGGGTGAAATGTATATATTTTATTATGTTAAGTATTTATTCATTGAGTCCTATTCATAATGTTTTTATTAAGAATGAATGTTAAATGACAAAAATTTTCAGAACTTATGGAGATGATCATGAAAGTTTTCTCCATAAGTATATTTACCTAATAAATTTTGTAGTCAATTTCCTGATATTGAGGCATTCTCTCACTTTACTGGAATAAACTCCCACCTTTGTAATGATGTTTTAAGTTTTTTATCATTCAGTTGAATTCTATTTTAAAATTTATTTTTATTTTTAATTTTTGTGGGTGAGTACATAGTAGGTCTATATATTTATGGGGCACATGTAATACAGGCATGCAATACGAAATAAGCACATCATGGAGAATGGGGTCTCCATCCCCTCAAGCATTTGTCCTTTGAGTTACAAACAATCCGATTATACTCTAAGTTATTTTAAAATATATAATTATGTTATTGACTATAGTTACCCTATTGTGCTATCAAATAGTAGGTCTTATTCATTCTTTGTATATATTCTTTTTTTAAAGTGCACACTAACTGTCCCCACTTACCCTCCACCCTCCACTATCCTTCCTGGCATTGGTAACAATCCTTCTACTCTCTGTGTCCATGGGTTCAATTGTTTTGATTTTTAGATCCCACAAACAAGTGAGAACATGCAATGTTTGCCTTTTTGTGCCTGGCTTATTTCACTTAAGATAATGATCTCCATTTCCAACCATGTTGTTGTAAATGACTGGATCTCATTATTTTTATGGCAGAATAGTACTCCGTTGTGTATATGTAACACATTTTCTTTATCCATTTGTCTGTCGATGGACACTTATGTTGCTTCAGAATCTTAGCTATTATAAACACTGCTGCAGCAAACATGAGTGCAGATATCTCTTCCACATGCTGATTTTCTTTCTTTTGGGTGTATACCCAGCAGTGGGATTGCTGGATCCTATAGCAGCTCAATTTTTAGTTTTTTGAGGAATATCCAAAGTGTTCTCCATAGTGGTTGTACTAATTTACATTCCCACCAACAGTGTGCCAAGGTTCCCTTTTCTCCACATCCTCACCAGCATTTGTTATTGACTGTCTTTGAATATAAGCCATTTTAAGTGGCTTATATTTAAATTATATTTCATTGTAATTAAATTATATTTCATTGTAATTTTGATTTGCACTTCACTTATGATCAGTGATGTTGAGCGCTTTTTCATATGCCTGTTTGTCATCTGTATGTCTTCTTTTGAGAAATATCTATTCAAATCTTTTGCCCATTTTTGATCAGATTATTACAATTTTTTTCCTGTAGAGTTGATTGAGTTCCTTGTATATTCTGTTATTAATCCTTTGTCAGATGCATAGTTTGCAAATATTTCCTTCCATTCTATGGATTGTCTCTTCACTTTGTTGATTGTTTCCTTTGCTGTGTGGAAGCTTTTTAACTTGATGTGACCCCATTTGTCCATTTTTGCTTTGTTTGCCTATGCTAGTGAGGTATTTCTCAAGAAATCTCTGCCCAGATCAATGTCCTGGAGATTTTCCCCAATATGAAACTATGATTTGATTTTTATATATGGCAAAAGCTAGGGGTCTAGTTTTCTTCTTCTGCATATGAATATCCAGTTTTTCCAGAACCACTTATTGAAGAGACTGTCTTTTCCCCAGTGTATGTTCTTGGCATCTTTGTCAAAAATGAGTTCACTGTGGTGTGTAGATTTGTTTCTGCATACTCGATTCTGTTCCATTGGTCTATATGTCTGTTTTTATGCTAGCACCATGCTGCTTGGTTACTATAGCTTTGCAGTACAATTTCAAATCAGGTAATGTGATTAAACCAGTTTTGTTCTTTTTGCTTAGGATAGCTTTGGGTATTCTGGGTCTTTTATGGTTCCATATAAATTTTAGGATTTTAAATTTTTATTTCTGTGAAGAATGTCAGTGGTAGAGATTGCATTGAATCTATAGATTGCTTTCGGTAGTATGGGTATTTTAACAATATTTATTTTTCTAATCCTTAAACGTGGAGTATTTTTCCATCTTTTGGGGTCCTCTTCAACTGCTTTCATCAGTGTTTTACAGTTTTCATTATAGAGGTCTTTTACTTATTTGGTTAATTCCTAGGTACTTAATTTTGTGTGTGGCTATTGTAAATTGGATTACTTTTTAAAATTTCATTTTCACATTATTCACTGTTGGCATATAGAAAGGCTACTGGTTTTTCTATGTTCATTTTGTATCCTACAACTTTAATGAATTTGCTTACGAGTTCTAATAGTTTTCTTGTGGAGTCTTAAGGTTTTCCCAAATATAAGATCATATCATCTGAAAACAAGGATAATTTGACTTCTTCCTTTCCAGTTTGGATGCCCTTTATTTCTTTCTTGAAATTCTTGAATTTCTTGAATTGCTTTCTTGTCTGATTACTCTAGCTAACACTTCCAGTACTTTGATGAATAACGGTGGTGATAGTGGGCATCCTTGTCGTGTTCCAGATGTTAGAGGAAAGGCTTTCAGTTTTTCACTACTCAGTACGATACTTGCTGTAGGTCTGTTGAAGAGGCTATGTTGTCTGGGGTATATGGCCTGGGGTTCATCATCTTGAGCCAGGAAAATTTAGGACACGAAAACACACAAGAAGTTTAGGGGCAGAGATTAAACAGGCAGAAGTGAAGAGAAAGAGAAACAGCTCTCTCTAGAGAGAGAGAGGGGTCTCCCAGCAGAAAAGACTGGTGGGCAGTGGATGCGACAGGTTTTGTAGTCAGGTTTGAGGAAGCAGTGTCTGATTTATATAGGGCTCATAGATTGGTTCTATCAGGTATGATGTTTACATAGCATGCGGGAAGGCTGGCCTCCCCACCCTAATCTTATTATACAAATGGGCTTTCCAGTTGATCAGCACTATCTTATATGCTCCTTACTGTACATGCGGCTGACAAAGAGAAGGAAAGATGGAGCCGCCATCTTGAACATTATTGGCACAAATGCCAATATCTATGTCTGCAGCTTGAATTTACAGGCTACTCTTAGTTAGAAAGGAAAATAAGTTGGGGTTGCTTTTCATTAAAAGGAAAATCTTACTGAGGACTTCCGTATCCTCACTATCTGGCTAAGTAAATGTTTCTTAACTCTTGTATCACTGTCATAAATAGCTTTCATTATGTTGAGGCATGTTCCTTTTATCCCCAGTTTTTTTAGGGTTCTTATTATGGAGGGATGTTGAATTTTATTAAATGCTTTTTCAGCATTGATTAAAATGGTCATATGGTTTTTGTCCTTCATTCTGTTGGCATGGTGTATCACATTGATTGATTTGTGTATGTTGAACCATACTTGCATCCCTGGGATAAATCCCACTTGGTCATGATGAATATCTTCCTAATGTATTGGTGATTTCAGTTTGCTAGTATTTTGTTAATGATTTTTGCATCAATATTCATCAGAGATATTGGCCTGTAGTTTCATTTTTTTTAATATGTCTTTGTCTAGTTTTGATATCAGGATAATACTGATGTTGTAGAGTGAATTTGGAAGTAATCTCTCCTTCTCTAGTTTTTGAATAGCTGGAGTGGGGTTGATATTAGTTCTTCTTTGAATTTTTGATGGAATTCAACAGTGAGGCCAACAGATCCTGCGCTTTTCTTTCTAGGAGACTTTTTACTAGAGTTTTGATCTTGTTACTGGTTACTGGTTTGATATGGTTTGGCTGTGGCCCCACCCAAATCTCATCTTTAATTGTGCTTCCCATAATCCTCACATGTCATGGGAGGGAGCTGGTGGGAGGTAATTGAATCATGGGGGTGGATTCCCCCATGCTGTTCTCATGACAGTGAGTGAGTTCTCATGAGATCTGATGGTTTTGTAAGGGCTTTTTCCCCCTTTGCTCAGCACATCTCTCTCTTGCTGCCTTGTGAAGAAGGACGTGTTTTCTTCCCCTTCCACCATGATTGTAAGTTTCCTGAGTCCTCTTCAGCCATGCAGAACTATCAGTCAATTAAACCTCTTTCCTTTATAAATTACCCAGTCTTGGGCAGTTCTTTATAGCAGCGTGAGAATGGAGAATACAGGTCTGTTCAGGTTTTGGATTTTTTCCTGGTTCAATCTTGGTAGGTTGTATGCATCTAGAAATTTGTCCATTTCTTCTAGATTTTCCAATTTTTGGCAGATAATTGCTCATAGTAGCCACAAACGATCCTTTCAGCTTCTGAAGTATCACTTGTAATATCTCCTTTTTTATTTCTGATTTTATTTCAATCTTATCTCTTTTTTCTTCAACTGGCTAAAGGTTTGTAAATTTCTTTTAACTTTTCAAAAAAACAACTTTTTGTTTCCTTGATATTTTTTATTTCCTTTATTTCAAATTTATTTATTTCTGTTCTGATCTTTATTATTTCTTTTCTTCTACTAATTTTGGGTTTGGTTTGCTCTTGTTTTCTAGTTATTCAAAATGCATCATTAGATTATTTAAAGTTTTTTTCTCTTTTTTGATCTAGGCACTTATAGCTATCAACTTCCCTCTTAGTACTGCTTTTGCTATATCTCATAGGTTTTGGTATGTTGTGTTTTCATCATCACTTGTTTTAAGAAAATGTTTTATTTCCTTCTTAATATCTTTATTGACCCACTGGTCATTCGGGAGCATATTGTTTAATTTCCATGTATTTGCATCATTTTCTAAATTCCTCCTGTTATTAATTTCTAGTTTTATTCAGTTGTGGTAAGAGAGGATGCTTGATATTATTTCCATTTTTTGGTATGTTTTGACTCATTTTGTGACTTAATGTATAGTCAGTCCTTAAGAATGATCCACGTGCTGAGGAAAAGAATGTGTATTCTGCAGTTCTTGGATGAAATGTTCTGTAAATATCTATTAGATCCATTTAGTCTATAGTGCAGATTAAATCTGATATTTCTCTGTTGATTTTCTACCTGGAAGATCCGGTCAGTGCAGAAAGTGGGTTGTTGAAGTTGCCAGCTATTAATGTATTGGGCCCTATCTCTCTCTTTAGCTCTAATAATACTTCCTTTATGTATCTGGGTGCTCCGGTGTTGGGTGCATGTATATTGAAAATTGTTAGATTATCTTGCTGAGTTGGACACTTTGTCATTATATAGTGACCTCTTTTTGTCTCTTCTTACAGTTTTGCCTTGAAGTCTGTTTTGTCTAAGTGTAGCGACTCCTGCTCTCTTTTGGTTTCCATTGGCATAGAATATCTGTATCTATCCCTTGATTTTCAGCTTTGTGTGAGTTAAGTTCTATTTGATAATATTTTATTTATGATTTTTTATAACTAAATATATCAGGTTGATCTGTAGTTTTTTTAATAGTGCAGTTTAATCAAATTTAGTTATCTGTTATATATTCACTTCATAAAAATAATGTATAAGTGATCTTTTATGTGTTATCAGGAACAATTTAAATACTATTGGCATTATTAGGTCTATGAATGATTGATTTCATTTGTGAAAAAATCTGATTCTTGTTCTTTTGTGCATGGTATTTATTTTATAACTTTTTATATTTTCTTTTTGAAAATTGATCCATTTTAAGCTTTTTTCTCTGCTGTGGACAACTTTTGTAAATTGTATTTTTCTATAAAATTACCTGCTTTAGCCTTAGTTTCAAATTTATTTGCATAAACTTGTGCAAAAAGCCTTAGGATTTTTAAAACATTATTAGTTTCAACTATTCAAAAGTTATTCCACTTTTGTTAATTCTCAGTTGGTGTCATTTTGATTTATTTATTTTATGTATTAGTTTGGCTCATGTTTTTATTAATTGTCACCAAACATAATTATTAATCTTTAAAATTTTTAACCTCAATTTTTGTGTTATCTTTACTTTTTATTTCTTTTGCTTTCTTTTGGTTTACTTTATCTCCTAGCTTTTTGATTTAATATTTGACTCATTTATTTTTATTTTTTTCATTTATATTGACCTTTGTATTTATTATTTGTATTTCTTTATTTGTATTTATTATTTGTATTTCTTTTGATTATTGCTTATACTATATAATCCTATAGATTCTGACAGTCTAAGTTTTCATTATCATTATTTTTTGAGATATTTTAATTTTGATTTTAATTATCCCTTCAAATCTAGAATTGTACAAAAGAAATTTTTAAAATTTGAGGAAGAAAGAAACTTTAATAAGCTTTGTATTAAGTTTTAGTTTTATTGCATTGTGACTGGGGAATACTGTGTTTCATTCATACTTTAGGATATTTACTAAGGGTTTTTTAGGGTCTAATGTGTAGTCAATTCTCACTTATTTGAAGAAGATGTGCCTTCCATTTTTGGTATGCAAAAACCCTTAATGTATTATGTTGTTTAGGTTATCTTTATCCTTATATATTTTAATAAATTTTTCCCACTTGTTTCTTGGTGGGAGAGTCCCGTATTATATTTTTTTCATTCAATTTATTCTCATATCTACTTGAGTTTGTAATTTTTAATGGTAGTTGTGGTGTTATATTATTTGGATACTTATAACTCTTATATCTTTATTGTGACTTTTTCTTTCAGCTTTATAAATTGTTGTTACCTGTTTTAGTGTTTTTGGACCTGAATTTTACTTTCTTATTTCAGAATTGAAAGCTACTATGTTTGTTTAGCATTTAATTTGATTTGCATTTACTGTAATACCTTCACACATATTTATATTTTGCTTTTCTTAATCAATATTGTTTAGCTATGGCTCCTGTATTGAGAACAGAATTGAATTTTATTTTGTGAAAAAAGATATATTAAACTGGACATTTATCTGACTGATATCATATATTTGGTCTGAGCTTTGTCTTATAAGCTTAAATGGGTGTATTATATTATATATTACTGTTTTCTATATTAGATTTTCTCCTTGTTCTATTTTGTATTTCTTTTGATATTTATCAAACTTTGCAGTTTATTTATATGTTTATACAAATAATATCTTTATAAATATATATTTATATCTTTTTCCACTTTCTTTTAACTTTGTATGTTTCTATTAGGAAATCTGTGGTCAGTTTTAATTTTTTTGTTAATAATTTCTTTTTGCTGTATGCCCATAAGATTTTTTGTAATCCCCAAAATCTAATAGTTTTAATAGAATATTAAGTTCTGTCTTGGGGTTTACTGTTTTCCAAAGTACAAGTTAATGTTTTCCATATAAAAATATTTGTTTTTAGTTTCTGGAATATTTGACTGAAGTATTTATTTAAAATATTATGTCTTTTCCATTTTATGTTTTTTTGTTAGTGACTTTTTGAGTGACTTCAATTATATGCATTTTGGGTTGTTTGTTCCTTTTTATCTCTTTGCTTAAACTTTCTTTTTCTATACTTACAATTATGAGCACTAATTGATGTTATCTGTATTCTATCATTAATAAAAATCACTTCACTGATCTCACTCATGTGTTTTTTAATTTACCTCTGAATAGATTTATAACTATCAGTGCTGATTTTTGTTGTTGTTTTGAGATGGAGTCTTGCTCTGTCACCCAGGCTGGAGTGCAGTGGTGGATCTCGGCTCACTGCAACCTCCACCTCCCAGGTTGAGGTAATTCTCCGGCCTCAGCCTCCTGAGTAGCTGAGATTACAGGTGCCCACCATCATGCCCACCTAATTTTTGTATTTTTAGGAGAGATGGAGTTTCTCCACATTGGCCAGGCTAGTCTTGAACTCCTGACCTCAAGTGATCTGCCTGCCTTGGCCTCCCAAAGTGCTGGGATTACAGATGTGAGCCACCGTGCCCAGCTTCAGTGTTGATTTTAAGTGTTTATTTACATGTTCATTACATGTTATTGAATGTTTTATAATTATCTCACAATTGTGCTATGGAATATGGGTAGTTGTATTTTATATTCTTATTGATCTTTATTCATTGGAAAGAGATTCAGGTTTAAGTACTTACTAGAAATGCAGAATTTACAGCCCAATTCAGATCTAATGAAGCCAAATCCACCTTTTAAAATGTTCCTAGGTAACTTGTATTTCCATTAAAAAGGGATAAGCCTTGACCTAAAATAAGAAGAAAGTTATCTTTTGTTATTACAAAAATTTATATTCAAGCAGAAATTATTCTATTGTTTATTTATTTATTTATTTTTTATTTTTTTGAGACTGCATATCACTCTATCACCCAGGCTGGAATGCAGTGGTGCGATCTCGGCTCACCGCAACCTCTGCCATCCAGCTTCAAGCGATTCTCCTGTCTCAGCCTCCCAAGTAGCTGGGATTACAGGCATGCACAACCACGTCTGGCTAATTTTTGTATTTTTAGTAGAGACGAGGTTTCACCATGTTGGCCAGGCTGGTTTCAAACTCCTGACCTCAAATGATCTACCCGCCTTGGCCTCCCAAAGTGCTGGCATTACAGGCGTGAGTCAGCACGCCCAGCCTATTCTATTATTTAAAAGAGACATTGATTTGGCATATTTATGTGGATTTTAACTTTGTATAAAAGATGGGCTAACAATAGAATTCATAGTCAATTATGTCTTCTTAGTTTTGGAATTTTCTACTTGGGATAAGTTAGCATCAATGTTAAGAGATCTAGCCATTCTTTTATTTTTCCTAATTTAAATGGTATGCATACACACACACACATTTGTTTCTTGTGTATTTTTTTCTCTACAACAGTGTTGTCTGATAGCACTTTCTGGAAATGCTTTCTATGTATGGTGTTCAGGATGATAGTTACTAGCAACATGTGACTGAGTAATTGTAATTATTAAGAAGCTGAGAATTTAAAATTTGATTTAATTTTAACTACTTAAATTTAAATTTACACGTGGCTAGTGGCTACTGTATTAGACAACAAAACTCTTGGAACAGAAACTAGAGACTGTGGCCTGCTTTTGTATGGCCCTTGAGCTAACAATGCTTTTTCTGTTTTTAAAGGATTGTAAACACACACACAAGCACACACTTGTGCACATAAATACATGCAAATGAAGAAGAATATTCAGTGCAATGGAGTGGCCTGCAAATCCTAAGATAGTTAGTTATTTGCCCTTTATGAAAAAAGTTTGCAGACTCCTGCCCTAAAATGTTAATTTTATTTAGTACAGCATGCATAGTTAGGAAATAAATTTAAAAGCAGATATTTTGGAAAGTATGCTATTTTCTAGCATTCTAGAATTTATATATTTATTATGATGATATGTTACTATTAAGAAATCTGTAAATGTTTTGCATGACAGTTTTGAGATTTTAGTGATATGAAGGCCTTAATTTAACTTTCCCATTAACTATTGATAATGCTTTATTTCATGTTTATGGTTGATAAATTATCAATATCATCTAAAGTTTGATGAAGTAAAGATAAGTTATTTAGATTTTAAACCTTACAAAAAAAGATCAATGATAGCCAAAGAAAGTTTTTCTCTATTCTAAAGTATTCATAATTAGAGATAGGAGAGCAAATTTTAAAATTTGGAATTCCTTAGAATTGTCTTTTATGTACCTTCTACTGAAATGTGTTGCTTTCTGTGTATATCTGTGGGAACTATGACATCTTCCAAATCTTTGAATTATTTTCTTTCTAGATTTTGAATTTTAAGAATCCATCAAAATTGTATCTTATTGTTTCATCTCCTGGAAAATTTTCTCAGAAATATTTATTTTAAGGTATTGAAACATTTGAATTATCAGATTCATAATATTTATAATTTGTTATACCAAACTTACACCATAAGCTGTATCCAAAATAATTTGAATAACATTTAGCATTTCTTTTATTCAAAATGACTTGACTCATTTCTGCAATGTCTCTTCAGTTTTGTATATAGTTTCTTAAATGATGTGTCACATTACTTGATGCCAATGTTTGTAGTCTGAATAAATATTCTTTCACAATATTATCAAGTTTTACTATGGTCTCTGCCAAATGCAGAAAATTTCCATTATCGCTCTCATAAACTTTCTTGGATGATCTTCTGAACACATTTGCCTTGCCAAAATCAAAATTATGTATATTATGTGTTCAACAACAACATGCCATATCTTCATTTAGTCTCTATTCTTCAACAAAAGTAGTTACTGGTTTTTCCAAATCAGACTTTAATTATAAATATCTAACACTGTGATTGCTGTCCAGTTTATTTTATTCACGTTTCCTCATTGCTCATGACTGATTATTGCTCATTCTTAAGTAATGGTTTATGTTTTTTATCCCTGAAGAAATTGAAAACAAATATAAGACCCTTTGTATGCGGAGAACATATGAGTTTTTTCATCTGAAAAATATCAGAATAAAATAACCACCCTCAAACTTCCTTCCTTGTCTGTCTTTTGTAAATTTAAACTTTCTTATATAAGATGCAAAATTTTCAGCAGAGTGGCTCATTGCTGAATATTTAAAAATACGTCCACCTTCTGAGATTGTAAGGGAACACATTTCATTTGATGATTCTTCAGAACTTGTTTTGTCTGCTAGATTTTCTTGAAGGTCAGTAGTCATTGACATGGAAGTGGGAGATAATTTCATGTGCCATTCCATCAGTGACGATTTGTACTATATTCTGCTAAAATTAATAGCTCTGAAGTGTTTTCCTCTGCCTTTTTTTTTTTTGGTAATTCACTCTGAATTCTCCAAAATTTTTGCAATGTTCCAAACATTGTATTGTGTGTGTGTAGTTTCCCATTTTTTTCTTGTCTCAATACTATTTATCGTAATAAAATAAGCTGTTTCAATAGTTATCTTCTGATTATTTCATTGTAAATCTTATTGCATTTATTGTACTTAGGAAAAATAGCAAAATATAACATAATATAATATAATACTTATATACTGGGAAAAAGCAAATTTTAACACAGCATTTAATTTTATACTGATTAAATTTCTGCACTAAATATTAACAATTCCTGTCATTTAAAGAATGGGTCATTATATAAAAATCGTTAAGCCTTCATTAATACTTATTTTTGAATTATTAATGGGTAAATGCTAATTGTGTTTATGTAATTCATATCATACTGGAAGCATCTTTTACTTAAACAGGGAACTCAGAAAAACCTTAATGTTACAATAAACAATAAGAAAATAATGTGAATGGCAATAAAAATATATTAAATATAACCAGTGCATTAAGTCAATGAGATATGTTTTTATTTTTATGAATATACATATATGTATACATACATATAACAATAGATTAGTTGATTGGTTAATCATTTCATTTATTGATATATGGATAGATAAATCGACTGATAGGTAGATAAACGTATGTTTTGAAGCTCAGCTACTTGTTCAGAAGCACAGGTTATCATATATGTTATTAAATCGACACTGATTTTCGATTCACAAATCTTTAGTTTACCAACTTGTCCCTCCTTTATAAGTCCCAGTGGAATGATGTTTTTTGACCCTATTATAATGGAATCCTTTATCCCCTCTACTGGAAGTTTGCTTTAATAAATATGCAAGTCTCCTATTTTGGGGTTAAACAGTTATCGTTTTATATAAAAATTAAAATGATGTTTAAAATGAGTGGGTCACCCTGAGAAGTGTTGTGCTCAATTTGAATAACCAAAGCAGTCCAGTATTTCACTTTTTACTTACATCCTTGTTCTTTCCAAAATAATATGCAATGAGTCAAGGGAGATTGTGTTGAAAGATAAATCTCATGTCTAATGGTTATGCACCATCTGTTGCTTAAATTTTGACATCCCCCCTACCCCTCCCTGAATAATTTATTTATCAGATAGACGTACCTATACAATTATTTATTAGATTTTTCTCACGATTCACCTAAGTCATTCATACAAAGAGATTTTTGGCACCCACCTCACCAAATGCCCAAATATGTAAGAACGCCGGTGCTGACCACAGTTTAGAGCTCCCTCCTTTCCCCAGATACATAAATATGCATCTTTCTTTCCTCTTTTTCTTTATCTTTCCCTCCCTCTCTCTTTTCCTTTCTTTCTCCCTTTCTGTATTGTCTTTCATGCCATATGACACAAAAGGATGTAAATGTTAGAAAGGTATGTATATAGAGAGAAAGCATCAAACTATTAAGCTTTCAAAAGGCCATGTGGGGAACCTAAAATCATGAAGCAGTAGAATACATAATCCTAATCTCTTTCATCCAACCAATAACAACATATGTTTGGAGTTTCTTGTTCCTGTTTGTTTTCATTATGCTAATGCACCCAATGATATTTCATAATACCTTGTATTTGGAACTTGGATTTTAATATACCAATTTCATTAAACTACATAATATGTGAAAATAAAGTCCATTGAAATAGAGAATGTTCCAAGTTATTCAACTTAAATAAGCAAAACTGCAGGTAGCCACAGTTAAAGCTGGAAGACAGTGTCCTCACTATCCTGAGCCAAGGAAAGATATCATTCTTTAATTTGTCAAATTTATTTGCAATTTTTTAATGGGTATTTGATTGGTAATATCTTATTTTCAGAATTTGAAAATACATAATTTATTTAAAAATTGTAATACATAATTTATTAAAAAACAGCGAAAGTGGAAATAATAACAATGACCTATTTTAAAAATTGTGTTGATAAACATTTAAAAATTAATGGAAATTTTCATGGTTCTATGCAATATATTCTTTTCTTGTAGAAATATTTTGTTGTTGTTTTTGTTGTTTCTCTAACTGATCTGATTTTTCATTTGTTGTATATAGTGTGAATTTAGTTTTCTCACCTTATGTGGTTACAATGTGTTCCCAGTGTCAGCGGTTGACTTTTATATGTCAACTTATTAATTCTATAAGCAAACTCATTTTATATAACTATTATACAATTTCTGCTTTAGCTCTATGTACATTGACTTCATAAACAGATACAACTCTGATATGAAAATGTCATGTTTTCTCTGCAACTACAGTGCTACTGTATACATTCTTTGAAAAAATGATCAATAATATCCCCTATTACTTTAGTTTGTTAAGATACTTTCTTGTGATCATTCTACATGCAGAAAAAGAATATGGAGAGATTATAAGATATGGATGCCAGCTCATTATACACACAATTGTATCCTTAGCCCTTTCAACTAAACAAAGGCAATTTAGTATTGTAGCCATGTATGTCTTCTATTGAGTGGATCCTAAAACAAGAGATAAAATAGTTGGTGTTGTTTTATACAAAGGGATAATAGAGGTAGTGAAGTACATGGCTTGTGGATATTTCCTC
The DNA here is from genome assembly GCF_000001405.40 of Homo sapiens. Taxonomy (NCBI): domain Eukaryota; kingdom Metazoa; phylum Chordata; class Mammalia; order Primates; family Hominidae; genus Homo; species Homo sapiens. The sequence continues at coordinate 164,112,212 of NC_000004.12, read as the reverse complement.
CTGATGTGCTGCTTAGATTACATAAGGATCCAAAAGTGAAGCTGTTGCTTATCCTTCAATCACCGCATCCTTTTACTCATCCTCATTATGTTCAAAACTTTGAGGCAAATTCAGACTGTATTTTTATCAAACAACTAGATCAAATTGAAACCAGATATTCTAGTTTGACTTTTAAAATTTTGCCTCTGTCTTTGGAGAGGTTCCTGAGTGTCTTACATTGTTTGGCAGTACATAAATGGCTCAAATAACCCTTCTTATCTTATGCCAGAAGAGATTATTTTGAAATTCTCTATTAGAAAATAAAACTTCAGTTTATTTCTTATTATGAAATATGTAGATATTTTGCAACCATACAGAAATTTATATAAATTATTTCACATGATCTGAATATTGGCAGAAATGAAATTAAGAACAGTATTATATTTTAAAGACTACTTACATAGGCCCAAAATTTCTACAACATTTGTGTGGTCTTTCCATTATACAAACCATAGTTTCCTTATGGTCATTTTTAAGCTTGGCCTTAACATTAATTTAATTTTCGTTTCAGGAAATGTACCCCAAAAGAACTCTGAGAGAATATACTCAACTGTCCTGCTGTGATTAAACAAGACTGCTGTATTTTGTAAGTTCATCTATTTTTATCTTTATTCTTTAAATAAAGAAGACTTTCCATGGCAGAAAATCCCTTTTCTCATTTGGAATTAGAGTTTAATTTTGTTTTAATGGAAGGCTTAATTGATTTTATTTTTTTCAAACTTTGTTTTACCTTAATTTTATTTGGTCTCAATGAATAATGAAAAGGCATTTCTTTCTTAGATTAACTCTGTTTCCTTGTATCTACTGGGCAATATTTTAACGACTTGTGATAAGAATCTTATTATTTGGTAAAAGGGCAGTGCTATCAGTAATGCTGGCTTGACCTTGGCAAATATATAGGTAATTATAGTACCTCCGTTTCAGTGAACAAATACATTTGATTTTACCTGTGGAAACTGGCTTTATGAAGGTAGCTAAATATGGACCATCTTTAGGATACAGAGTAATTTTATCTTGTTACTAATACTTGGATTATACATTCAAGGATTATCATATTCATCATGATGAGATATGCACTATATGAGTTTGATATATTAGGATATAACATTTATTTTGCTCTATATGATTTAGATGGATTAGAATATAACACTTATTTATTTCACATGACCCAGAGCAACCAAAGGCTATTGTGTAGAAAATCAAGAACGACATTAAATTGAATGTTTCCTGAACCTTCAAATTTATGACCCTTCTCAGTATCTCAAAGTTGAAATTTTGCTATGTCAGTTTCTGAAACGCAATATAAAGCAAATGGATTTTCCCCTCCTTTACAAACTGCTTTCTGATATTGAGATAAAATAGTCCCTTTGCCCATAAGTAGTTTCCTATGACAGACACAGTAGGTTAAGAGAATGTAATACAGGTAATTTATTTTGACACTTGCAGCTTTTTTTTTTTTGGCTTTTCATTGAAGCAGACTTTTTTTCACAAGAGAAAAAAAATATGATTGTATCGCCTCATAGTAAATGAATGGAGGGATCGACTAGATGAAAAAAAGGATCTAAATTTCTGAATTTAGTGGCATAATAGTCATTACAAGTGCCCTTCATCAGAGTATTTTTATTACCCCAGTATTTTGAACAACTTAAGTGCTGAGTATGGTAACATAAAGAACACACTTAAGAGTTAGAATAGATTTTAGAAATTTTTCCAGTAATTCTAAGGGCATAAATTAGTTCAAAAAAATCTTGAAATTGGCGAAGAATCACATAAAAAGGGGAAACTTTAGAAAGACAAATTTTAACATATATTGTGAAGCAGAAATAAAGATTATATAAGAGATTTACAAAAAATAATTATCTTAAAGGGTGCCCCAGTGGTTTCATTTTGTTTCAAATTCTATCCATTTACATGATTATTTTTCCCCAAGGAAATAATCGAGTTTTTCCCCTAAAAAAACCTCATTCAATAAGAATCAATTCTCAATTTGTTAAATAAGTAATCATTTAGCTACCTGTGTGTGTGTGTGTGTGTGTGTGTGTGTGTGTGTATCTCCAATTCCAATGGGTTTTTTAAAATTTTCAAATAACAACAACATTAAAACTTAAAAATTTTACATTAATAGGAAACTTCTGTTGAATGTTTCCATATATCAGCTCCTAAGTGTGAACAATGGCAAAGAGATCTGGTGTTGCATATGACCTGTGCAGTTCTATCAGTGGTGAATTTACATTTTCTTTTTTTTTTTTTTTTTTTTTTTTACTTTTATTTTAGGTTCAGGGGTATGTGTGAAGGTTTGTCACATAGGTAAACTCTTGTCCCGGGGGTTTGTTGTACAGATCATTAGGATTTCACAACAAGTCTGTTTCCTCTTTGCTACATTCACTCTCTACAGGTCTGAGAAACCCAAGTTGGGTATCATGTAGGAGTTATTAGAGCTTAGATTAGTAAAATCCAGGAACGATTTTTAAAAGTCAAGAAGAAATGTTATCTTGCTTTGGTCACGCGCTTCTTGATTACTCTGAATGTTTGTGGTTGAGTCAGCTAATGAAGAATCTGGAATATGTGGGAAAGGTGCAAGGAGAAATAAAAATTATGATGAAGAATTTTCAGTAATCATGTCTCTGAAAAAAAATTAAGGAAATAGAATACTTGCATTTGAAAAAGAAGACATAGTGAGATAATTATTCTTCTTCATGTACTGTATATGAAGAGACCTTATAGAAAAGGTGGCCAATTCTTTGTTTTGTAATGATTTTTTAAAAAGTATAATAAACCTGGACTGTTATTAGTGTAGATTTTCAAGCTGTGAGAGTTTTTAAGCACAGGAATAACTGAAGATAGCACTTTGAAAATCCCTTCTTTTGAGAGACCTTGAAAGTAAAACAGATCTTATCTTGGACTGTCTGGGGGATGAAAGTGCTTATTAATCCAACATGAAATCTTTTAAACCTAGGATTATATGATCATAAATTAGTTACTATTTTACATTCTGTAAATAGGTCATTAGCTTTATCACTTCAATCAACAGTGGCTTTGCTTTTCTGGAACCATACAGAGGAGAGAGTAACAGGTTTCACAAAGCATCTCACGCTCAACAATGGTCCCAGTCGAATAATTGTCCAGTTTTCAATGGAGAATTAGTACAGTTCTTTCTAAAGGTTTAAGAGATGATTAAAATAGACCCCTTGCTTTTGGAATGGGAATTGCCCTGGGAGCTGAACTAATTTCCTCTGGTTATAATAGATTTAAACAAATGTTTTAATAAGCACTTTTAAAAATCACAGCTATCTTATGCTGCCCACTATTGCCATTCTCTTAAGAGAGGATTATGCTTCATAAGGTAATACCTATAAAAAGAGACTATTTTTCTTGTATTTTAAATTAGCAATTTTAGCTTAGAAATAACTCTACTTTCTGGTTATAATGCTAGTTATTTTATAGACTTTCTTTTTCCAGAAACTTTGTAGAGATAAAATTAACATTATATTTTTCCAAGTTTTTTTTAATTTAAGAAATTCAATCAAATGAATATTTCTGCCAAAAACTGTGAGGAATAGAAGTGCCAAATATGACCACTGCTTCTAAATTGCTATAATCTCATTGTGGAGAAAATTCATTTATATAAAAATTAAATGTGGGATTCCAGTTAGTTAAAAGTGCAGACTATGTTATAAGTCTTTGCTCTTTCACAACACCTTAAACTGATCCTTTGCATGTCATGTGTGTATTCAAAGGGATGCAGAAAAAAAAACAATGAATGAATGAATGAATTCTGCAGTCATTCAGAGAATAATGTAATTAAATTTTGAACACAAAATACAGGTAAAACTTAGTAAAAAATCGTTATTACAGATAGAATAAAATAAAAACAGCAGGCTTGACTCAGGAACTTACTTAGTATATAATGTTACATATATGCTTTAAAGGTATTGAAATCCTCATCAGAGAGAATTTTATTAATAGTGGGGAGCAATGCTAAGGAGATAAAGTTGCTTTAAGCCACGAAAGGTCTTGATTCCATGTTAGGCAGCCTATACTTTGTTCAGAGATAGTCACAAAAGACAGTTCAATGAAATGCTATTCTATCACTTTCTGATAAATTGATATAAGAAAAAAAAGGTAGGACAAATCAAAGATTATGTCAAATTTCAGACTCTGAATAACTGGAAAGACATGTAGTGAACTGATGAATGGAAATATAAAACTTAAGAAAGAGGATGGAGGAGGTGGAGGGGGTAGTTTATGTGAATGATTCATGGAGTGAGATTTTCCAATTTTTGAAATATCCTGAACTTATTTTCCAAGGCTTCCCTTTTTCCAACTTTTAATCTCAAACCTATTCTCTTTTTTTTTGTATTATCGACATTTTGATAGTAAAATAAATAGTTCATTTGTATTCTTTTTCATTTTATACTGTTACTGCACTTCTAGATTATCTAAAAGTGAATTTTTAAGTGAGTAAACACTTACTCACTTAAATGTTGAGAGAAATAGAAATTAATATCTCAGGCCAGGCATGGTGGCTCATGCCTATAATCCCAGAACTTTGAGGGGCAGAAGTGGGTGGATTACTTGAGCCCAGCAGTTCCATACCAGACTGGGCAACATGGTGAAACCCTGTTTCTACTAAAAATACAAAAATAAGCAGAGCGTGGTGGTACTTGCCTGTAGTTTCAGCTGCTTGGGATGCTGAGTGGGGAGAGGACTGCTTGAGCCCAAGAGGCAGAGTTTGCAGTGAGACAGGATTACACCACTGCACTCTAATCTGAACAACAGAGTGAGATTCTGTCTTAAAAGTTAATAAGAAAAGAAATTAATATCCCCTAACCTATTTTAGATCTATTTTACCATTATGTCTTCTCAATATATCATTATATGTGCTTAATGTTGTTAAATATTATCCAATTTAAAAATTGTGACTGATAAGAAAAATGTATACTGTGAGTCAAAAACCACTGATATATGACAAATGGCACTAACTAGGGAAGTACAAAATTAGATAATTTTTTTATCAAAATAAAACGTGTTGGAGAGAGTTATAGCATTTTAGCACATAGCTTTGTATTTATTATACTCTCCTTGTCTAAAAGAAAGGATAGCAGTTCATCAAGAGAAATATTTTTCTCCTTTAGGTTTTATGAAGATGCTGATGCATTTAAACAACATAATAGCCTGTATCCTCAATACGACTTTGTAAACTATAGCAAAGATCTTCTGCATATGGTTGTTTCTTGTATCAGCCTTTGATAGATACCTTGGACAAAATTTAAATGCAATTACTCCAGGAACCAAAGTGATTATGACAGCATTCTGATTATCTGGAAACACAGGGAAAAAGTCTGAAGAGTCTTAAGGAGTAAATGGCTGGCAGCTTATTCCTTTTTTTTTTTTATTTTTTATTTTTATTATACTTCAAGTTTTAGGGTACATGTGCACATTGTGCAGGTTAGTTACATATGTATACATGTGCCATGCTGGTGCGCTGCACCCACTAACTCGTCATCTAGCATTAGGTATATCTCCCGATGTTATCCCTCCCCCCTCCCCCTACCCCACAACAGTCCCCAGAGTGTGATATTCCCCTTCCTGTGTCCATGTGATCTCATTGTTCAATTCCCACCTATGAGTGAGAATATGCGGTGTTTGGTTTTTTGTTCTTGCGATAGTTTACTGAGAATGATGATTTCCAATTTCATCCATGTCCCTACAAAGGACATGAACTCATCATTTTTTATGGCTGCATAGTATTCCATGGTGTATATGTGCCACATTTTCTTAATCCAGTCTATCATTGTTGGACATTTGGGTTGGTTCCAAGTCTTTGCTATTGTGAATAATGCCGCAATAACCATACGTGTGCATGTGTCTTTATAGCAGCATGATTTATAGTCCTTTGGGTATATACCCAGTAATGGGATGGCTGGGTCAAATGGTATTTCCAGTTCTAGATCCCTGAGGAATCGCCACACTGACTTCCACAATGGTTGAACTAGTTTACATTCCCACCAACAGTGTAAAAGTGTTCCTATTTCTCCACATCCTCTCCAGCACCTGTTGTTTCCTGACTTCTTAATGATCGCCATTCTAACTGGTGTGAGATGGTATCTCATTGTGGTTTTGATTTGCATATCTCTGATGGCCAGTGATGATGAGCATTTTTTCATGTGTCTTTTGGCTGCATAAATGTCTTCTTTTGAGAAGTGTCTGTTCATGTCCTTCGCCCACTTTTTGATGGGGTTGTTTGTTTTTTTCTTGTAAATTTGTTTGAGTTCATTGTAGATTCTAGATATTAGCCCTTTGTCAGATGAGTAGGTTGCGAAAATTTTCTCCCATATTGTAGGTTACCTGTTCACTCTGATGGTAGTTTCTTTTGCTGTGCAGAAGCTCTTTAGTTTAATTAGATCCCATTTGTCAATTTTGGCTTCTGTTGCCATTGCTTTTGGTGTTTTAGACATGAAGTCCTTGCCCATGCGTATGTCCTGAATGGTAATGCCTAGGTTTTCTTCTACGGTTTTTATGGTTTTAGGTCTAACGTTTAAGTCTTTAATCCATCTTGAATTGATTTTTGTATAAGGTGTAAGGAAGGGATCCAGTTTCAGCTTTCTACATATGGCTAGCCAGTTTTCCCAGCACCATTTATTAAATAGGGAATCCTTTCCCCATTGCTTGTTTTTCTCAGGTTTGTCAAAGATCAGATAGTTGTAGATATGCAGCGTTATTTCTGAGGGCTCTGTTCTGTTCCATTGATCTATATCTCTGTTTTGGTACCAGTACCATGCTGTTTTGTTACTGCAGCCTTGTAGTATAGTTTGAAGTCAGGTAGTGTGATGCCTCCAGCTTTGTTCTTTTGGCTTAGGATTGACTTGGCAATGCAGGCTCTTTTTTGGTTCCATATGAACTTTAAAGTAGTTTTTTCCAATTCTGTGAAGAAAGTCATTGGTAGCTTGATGGGGATGGCATTGAATCTGTAAATTACCTTGGGCAGTATGGCCATTTTCACGATATTGATTCTTCCTACCCATGAACATGGAATGTTCTTCCATTTGTTTGTATCCTCTTTTATTTCCTTGAGCAGTGGTTTGTAGTTCTCCTTGAAGAGGTCCTTCACATCCCTTGTAAGTTGGATTCCTAGGTATTTTATTCTCTTTGAAGCAATTGTGAATGGGAGTTCACTCATGATTTGGCTCTCTGTTTGTCTGTTGTTGGTGTATAAGAATGCTTGTGATTTTTGTACATTGATTTTATATCTGAGACTTTGCTGAAGTTGCTTATCAGCTTAAGGAGATTTTGGGCTGAGATAATGGGGTTTTCTAGATATACAATCATGTCATCTGCAAACAGGGACAATTTGACTTCCTCTTTTCCTAATTGAATACCCTTTATTTCCTTCTCCTGCCTAATTGCCCTGGCCAGAACTTCCAACACTATGTTGAATAGGAGTGGTGAGAGAGGGCATCCCTGTCTTGTGCCAGTTTTCAAAGGGAATGCTTCCAGTTTTTGCCCATTCAGTATGATATTGGCTGTGGGTTTGTCATAGATAGCTCTTATTATTTTGAAATATGTCCCATCAATACCTAATTTATTGAGAGTTTTTAGCATGAAGGGTTGTTGAATTTTGTCAAAGGCTTTTTCTGCATCTATTGAGATAATCATGTGGTTTTTGTCTTTGGCTCTGTTTATATGCTGGATTACATTTATTGATTTGCGTATATTGAACTAGCCTTGCATCCCAGGGATGAAGCCCACTTGATCATGGTGGATAAGCTTTTTGATGTGCTGCTGGATTTGGTTTGCCAGTATTTTATTGAGGATTTTTGCATCAATGTTCATCAAGGATATTGGTCTAAAATTCTCTTTTTTGGTTGTGTCTCTGCCCGGCTTTGGTATCAGAATGATGCTGGCCTCATAAAATGAGTTAGGGAGGATTCCCTCTTTTTCTATTGATTGGAATAGTTTCAGAAGGAATGGTATCAGTTCCTCCTTGTACCTCTGGTAGAATTCGGCTGTGAATCCATCTGGTCCTGGACTCTTTTTGGTTGGTAAGCTATTGATTATTGCCACAATTTCAGCTCCTGTTATTGGTCTATTCAGAGATTCAACTTCTTCCTGGTTTAGTCTTGGGAGAGTGCATGTGTCCAGGAATTTATCCATTTCTTCTAGATTTTCTAGTTTATTTGCGTAGAGGTGTTTGTAGTATTCCCTGATGGTAGTTTGTATTTCTGTGGGATTGGTGGTGATATCCCCTTTATCATTTTTTATTGCGTCTATTGATTCTTCTCTCTTTTTTTCTTTATTAGTCTTGCTAGCAGTCTATCAATTTTGTTGATCCTTTCAAAAAACCAGCTCCTGGATTCATTAATTTTTTGAAGGGTTTTTTGTGTCTCTATTTCCTTCAGTTCTGCTCTGATTTTAGTTATTTCTTGCCTTCTGCTAGCTTTTGAATGTGTTTGCTCTTGCTTTTCTAGTTCTTTCAATTGTGATGTTAGGGTGTCAATTTTGGATCTTTCCTGCTTTCTCTTGTGGGCATTTAGTGCTATAAATTTCCCTCTACACACTGCTTTGAATGCGTCCCAGAGATTCTGGTATGTTGTGTCTTTGTTCTCGTTGGTTTCAAAGAACATCTTTATTTCTGCCTTCATTTTGTTATGTACCCAGTAGTCATTCAGGAGCAGGTTGTTCAGTTTCCATGTAGTTGCGCAGTTTTGAGTGAGATTCTTAATCCTGAGTTCTAGTTTGATTGCACTGTGGTCTGAGAGACAGTTTGTTATAATTTCTGTTCTTTTACATTTGCTGAGGAGAGCTTTACTTCCAATTATGTGGTCAATTTTGGAATAGGTGTGGTGTGGTGCTGAAAAAAATGTATATTCTGTTGATTTGGGGTGGAGAGTTCTGTAGATGTCTATTAGGTCCACCTGGTGCAGAGCTGAGTTCAATTCCTGGGTATCCTTGTTGACTTTCTGTCTCGTTGATCTGTCTAATGTTGACAGTGGGGTGTTAAAGTCTCCCATTATTAATGTGTGGGAGTCTAAGTCTCTTTGTAGGTCACTCAGGACTTGCTTTATGAATCTGGGTGCTCCTGTATTGGGTGCATATATATTTAGGATAGTTAGCTCCTCTTGTTGAATTGATCCCTTTACCATTATGTAATGGCCTTCTTTGTCTCTTTTGATCTTTGTTGGTTTAAAGTCTGTTTTATCAGAGACTAGGTTTGCAACCCCTGCCTTTTTTTGTTTTCCATTGGCTTGGTAGATCTTCCTCCATCCTTTTATTTTGAGCCTACGTGTGTCTCCGCACGTGAGATGGGTTTCCTGAATACAGCACACTAATGGGTCTTGACTCTTTATCCAATTTGCCAGTCTGTGTCTTTTAATTGGAGCATTTAGTCCATTGACATTTAAAGTTAATATTGTTATGTGTGAATTTAATCCTGTCATTATGATGTTAGCTGGTTATTTTGCTCATTAGTTGATGCAGTTTCTTCCTAGTCTCGATGGTCTTTACATTTTGGCATGATTTTGCAGCGGCTGGTGCCGGTTGTTCCTTTCCATGTTTAGTGCTTCCTTCAGGAGCTCTTGTAAGGCAGGCCTGGTGGTGACAAAATCTCTCAGCATTTGCTTGTCTGTAAAGGATTTTATTTCTCCTTCACTTATGAAGCTTAGTTTGGCTGGATATGAAGTTCTGGGTTGAAAATTCTTTTCTTTAAGAATGTTGAATATTGGCCCCCACTCTCTTCTGGCTTGTAGGGTTTCTGCCGAGAGATCCGCTGTTAGTCTGATGGGCTTCCCTTTGAGGGTAACCCGACCTTTCTCTCTGGCTGCCCTTAACATTTTTTCCTTCATTTCAACTTTGGTGAATCTGACAATTATGTGTCTTGGAGTTGCTCTTCTCGAGGAGTATCTTTGTGGCGTTCTCTGTATTTCCTGAATCTGAACGTTGGCCTGCCTTGCTAGATTGGGGAAGTTCTCCTGGATAATATCCTGCAGAGTGTTTTCCAACTTGGTTCCATTCTCCCCATCACTTTCAGGTACAGCAATCAGACGTAGATTTGGTCTTTTCACATAGTCCCATATTTCTTGGAGGCTTTGCTCATTTCTTTTTATTCTTTTTTCTCTAAACTTCCCTTCTCGTTTCATTTCATTCATTTCATCTTCCATTGCTGATACCCTTTCTTCCAGTTGATTGCATCGGCTCCTGAGGCTTCTGCATTCTTCACGTAGTTCTCGAGCCTTGGTTTTCAGCTCCATCAGCTCCTTTAAGCACTTCTCTGTATTGGTTCTTCTAGTTATACATTCTTCTAAATTTTTTTTCAAAGTTTTCAACTTATTTGCCTTTGGTTTGAATGTCCTCCCGTAGCTCAGAGTAATTTGATCGTCTGAAGCCTTCTTCTCTCAGCTCGTCAAAGTCATTCTCCATCCAGCTTTGTTCCCTTGCTGGTGAGGAACTGCGTTCCTTTGGAGGAGGAGAGGCGCTCTGATTTTTAGAGTTTCCAGTTTTTCTGTTCTGTTTTTTCCCCATCTTTGTGGTTTTATCTACTTTTGGTCTTTGATGATGGTGATGTACAGATGGGTTTTTGGTGTGGATGTCCTTTCTGTTTGTTAGTTTTCCTTCTAACAGAGAGGACCCTCAGCTGCAGGTCTGTTGGAGTACCCTGCCATGTTAGGTGTCAGTGTGCCCCTGCTGGGGGGTGCCTCCCAGTTAGGCTGCTCGGGGGTCAGGGGTCAGGAACCCACTTGAGGAGGCAGTCTGCCCGTTCTCAGATCTCCAGCTGCGTGCTGGGAGAACCACTGCTCTCTTCAAAGCTGTCAGACAGGGACATTTAAGTCTGCAGAGGTTACTGCTGTCTTTTTGTTTGACTGTGCCCTGCCCCCAGAGGTGGAGCCTACAGAGGCAGGCAGGCCTCCTTGAGCTGTGGTGGGATCCACCCAGTTTGAGCTTCCAGGCTGCTTTGTTTACCTAATCAAGCCTGGGCAATGGCGGGTGCCCCTCCCCCGGCCTCGCTGCTGCCTTGCAGTTTGATCTCAGACTGCCGTGCTAGCAATCAGCAAGACTCCGTGGGCGTAGGACCCTCCGAGCCAGGTGCGGGATATAATCTTGTGGTGCACAGTTTTTTAAGCCTATTGGAAAAGCGCAGTATTCGGGTGGGAGTGACCTGATTTTCCAGGTGCAGTCCGTCACCCCTTTCTTTGACTCAGAAAGGGAAATCCCTGACCTCTTGCGCTTCCCAAGTGAGGCAATGCCTCGCCCTACTTCGGCTCGCGCACTGTGCGCGCACCCACTGACCTGCGCCCACTGTCTGGCACTCCCTAGTGAGATGAACCCGGTACCTCAGATGGAAATGCAGAAATCACCTGTCTTCTGCGTAGCTCAAGCTGGGAGCTGTAGACCGGAGCTGTTCCTATTCGGCCATCTTGGCTCCTCCCCCAGCTTATTCCTTAGACAATTATCTTGACTATCAACTATCTCCAGCAGGCTTAAAATAGGAGTTTTAGGGGAGACAACTCATAAATGAGGTTTTAATGAGAATGTGAAAGGCAGACATTTTTTATTCATGACTGAAAAAGCACCTCTATGCTGTAGATACCAACCATGTTGAAAACAAAGACATTTCATTGTGAAAGTTGAATGACTTTATTCATTTAGGCAACACATATTCTTATTTAGCCTGTATTGCTGGCAATTCTACTTATCACCAGAAGTTGGAAGTACCTGTGTGCAGGATTAAATTTGTTTTTGTCAGGAAGGAACTCTAAATGTTTAAATGAATGCTAAAAGGCTATCTAAAAGTTGGATATGTCTATGAGAAGATTTGGACAGGTGTTGGAGATATACCACATACCGTCAAAAGCAAAACCTTGAGTTGACTCTCTTAATGAGTTTAGATTGATCCTCTATTGTAATTAATCTGCCAGGTGAATGTGGTTTCTAAATAGATTTATGCAAATGTACACGTTTCTCTTGCTATTGTTTTAACCTATGTTCTATACTAGGTAGTTGTGAAAGTTTCATTATTTGGAATAAAGCTCTTAACACCTCTGAAGAGGAAATGCTTGCTATATAACATGAGTTTGAATGAATAAGTGTAAAAATTAGAAGTCTTTAAAAGGAAAATTCAGTTTCTTGTCAGTTAGAGAGATTCATTTATGGAATACAGATCAATACAGAGACTATCAGTTACCAAAATGATGGAATTTTATTTATTTATTCCTTCTCATGAGCTGTGGCTGTTTTCTTTGCTGATTACAAGAGATACACTTATTTCTTCTTCCTTGTTCATAATTATTATCACTTGCTACTTTTCACATCCATAATAGAAAATATAACAAAATTAAAAAGTATTAGATTCACAATTTTCACAGCTTTTAAAGGCATTTATACATATATTTTTGATATTATGACCTCAGAGAACAATATTAACAAAATTTTCTTTTGAATAATATATTTTAAAAGGTTTTTTTAAGCATGACAAACTCTCATTTGTTTTTCCCGCATAATTAACAACTCTGACTTTCTATTTCATTTGTTTTAACATTCGCATTAATGAATTCACCTTTTGTCCTGCTTTGAATTTGATATTGAAAAGAAGTTTTATGCTTCATTGCTTTCTAATATGCCTTAGGTAATCAGTCCTGTTAGAGTAGCTTATGTAATACTTATCTGAGACAACAAGGGAGACTTTTCTAGGAAATAGAGCTTATCTCAAACTGATTTTTATTTCAATGAGGTCTTTATAAATATAATGGAAGATGTTTTGACAAAGAAATTTGTACAATTATAGAAAATGAAAAAGTATATAGACAGACATAGTATTTTTCCACATAGCCTTAAATCTCTTTAACATTGAAAGTGCTAACATTCTAACCTGCTCTTATTAAATAAATGGAAAGAGCTCTCACAACTTTACATGGTAGCACGATTGTACATAAATATCAATCTGCTGAAATATTCTGACTTTTCCTGATTGTATCCCATTTTTGAAATTCTCTGGGTCTCCTGTGGATTAAGCACCCCATACAAGTCAGACTGTTTGTTTATGCAGCTGAGAAAACCAACTTCAATCATCCTGCTAAATTTTGCAAAGATTGTGAATCAAAACATTTTGATGATAACACATACATGCATTTGACTGAGGTTCAATGATTTTCCACACAAATTCAACATTAACTATATGTGAAATAATAAATCTGCAAAAGGTAATCTTTTCCGCTTTGCAATGGTAACAAAAATTGTATGTTCTTTAGAGCCAACGGGAGAAAAATTGGACCACTTACATGGCCCTTTTCTAAATTAGCATGAGCAGTTCCTCTGTGTTTTTAATCTAAAGACAAGACAGTCATGTGTCTAAATGCATTACTAGTCATGTTGGTCAGACAAGAGTTATGAATATAGATGGTCAGCCCTAACCATTGCATAAAGACAGCCAAAATAATTTTCACATCACATTCAAGGCTCCTTGATCTGAGCACATCTCTCTTCTGTGACTGAACAGATCATGAAAAGATCTTCATTCTTTCTTAAAATAGTTGGGAATACATACCAATTTATTGGTGATGCTGCTCTATCACTTTCGTTGTGACACACAAATCACACAGAGTTTTTAAAATACCAATCCCAGAATAAGATTGAAGTGTAAGACTGAATGTCACAGCATGAAATAAGACTGAAGTACACCATGAACTCAACTAGAGTAGAATTAAACTGTCTCCTTGAATTGAATCATGACATTTTAGGGCTACTCTTCAATAATTCATCTTGTCCTTCCAAACAAGCACTTCCTGGTGATCTTGAGTTTTTTGTTCTCTATTTCAGGGTTGTCTTCCTAACATACCTGTCCTGGAACCATTAGATTTAGAAGAAGCTAAACAAATATAGTGAAGTTAACCTACATATATTTTCATAACCAGAAAATACCAGCCAACAATTACTTCAAAAATTAGAATAAACCTAGAATAAACATTAGCTAATGTCATGGCCTTATGATTATCTTATGATAATCTGAAATTTTGTTTTAGATGGGTGTGAAGCGGGAAAGAGCAAGTGGTAAGCTGAAAGCATGAGCTGAAATGAACCAAAATGGGTTGTAACTCATGTCAGCTCTCACTTATCACTGCTTTCTACCTTAATGATAAAGATATCCCATGGTAGAAGCTAGTGCCCATAATCACAGAGCTAAACACTTGTCTAGCCAGGAGAAGCTGAAGGGGTCACAGGAAATGGTGGAATAGTAGCAGGTCCAGCTTCTGTGTTCCACCATGAAGCCAGCCGGAAGATAAACTGCGATGAGTATGACCTACAGAGGCACTGGTTCACCCTGCCTAGCCTTCCAAATAAAAGGGAATATGGATGTTGCTTCACTTGTTCCCTCAAATCTCACAAAAATATGTGTGGCCCAACCTACCTAAATAATACAGGGAAGGAGATTCTGGAAAATGTAGTTGATCCTAGCCCAGTTGACCCATTACAGAGTCACCATAGTGCCATAAGTCCATTTGGAAGTCTGGTGAAGGTTATGCATTCCCTCTCAGAATGTTTGTTAATATTTTTAATACATATACTTAAATACAGAGGATTACCCAAGCAATCAATTATATTGAAACAGTGATCAAAAACATGAGAAATCAAATTTGTGCCATAGTAACAGGTAAACTTAACAAGATCTAGGCATATGTTTAATAATAATAGTAATTTTGAAACTCTAATGAGTATAAATCATAGTTTATGATATCTATAATAACCAAAATATGGTATGAAATAATTTCTTAAATGAAAATTTCAAAGATATCGCTAATGCTATTGTGGTTTACTGACTAGTCATAATTTAAGGATTCAAGAGATGATCAATTTCAGTTAGAGATTAGTGACGTCATCTGAAGTCTATTCATGGAACCCATAGATAGGATCTGTAAATCCTAGGATAGAAGCTCTTCTTTGGTGTCACAATCTTTCTTGGCGAAATATATTTACCAAGATCTTTAAAATACACTTATTTTAGGCAGTAAGTTCAAAAAATATGAGGCCTAGACGCTGTGTTGTGAGACTTGCATTACATACTAAATAATGTCTATAGTATAACAAGCCTTACATTATTTTTTTACATGTCTACAGTTTTTAAAGTCTTAATTATAGTGAACAGCTTTTCTGTACTTCTCTATGAAGAGTAAAATGAACATTAACAAAAGAATTGGCAGTGCTAAATTGTTAGTAGACTCCCCGGGGTTTTCCTCCTTGCTGTAAAGGCTTCAGTGATTTCTTCATAGTTTAGGCATAGTAAAATAGTACCACTTAAGCTTCTGAGCATCAGTCACTAAATGTTTTCAAATAAATTTCTTTCAATTTATATGATACTTATGGCTAAAAAATGATCTTTTTTGCATGCAGTGAGATTCAGAATAATGCACAGTTTTATTAAATGGATATTGTCATATGGGTACAAGGTGAATTAATCTTGTATAATGTTAGTATAGAATAACAAATTTCTATTACATTCTGTTTTTGTGTTTTCTCTAACTTTGATTCTTTTTACTTTGTGTTCACCTTATTTGCTCTTACATATTCCTTACAAAGAGAAGGACTCTGGAGGCACACTTTTTAAATTTTTTTTTTAATTTTAGATACAGGAAATACATGTGCAGGTCTGTTACAAGGGTGTATTTCATAGTGCTGAGGTTTGGGCTTATATTTATTCCATCACCCAGATAATGAACATAGTACCAAATAGGAAGTTTTTCAGCCCTTTCCCTCCTTCCTTTCTTCCTCCTTTTGAAGACTCCAGTGTCTATTGTTCCCAATTTTATGTCCACAGGAACCCAAGATTTAGCTTCCATTTATAAGTGGGAATGTGCAATATTTGGTTTTCTGTTTCTGTGTTAGTTTGCTTAGGATAATGACCTCCAGCTGCATCCATATTGCTGCAAAGGATATGATTTTGTTCTTTTTATGGCTGCATAGTATTCCATAATATATATGTACCACATATTCTTTAGTCAGTCCACCATCGATGGGCACCAATTGATGATTCCATGTCTTCGCTATTGTGAATAGTGCTGCAGTGAACATATGAGTGCATGTGTCTTTTAGGTAGAATGATTTATTTCCCTTTGGGTATGTACCCAGTAATGGGATTGCTGGGTCAAATGGTAGTTCTTTTTTTAGTTCTTTAAGAAATCTTCATACTGCTTTCCACAGTGGCTTAACAAAGCCACTTTCCCAGCAGCACTGCATGAGCGTTCCCCTTTCTCCTCAGTCTCGTCCGTATATGTTATTTTTTGACTTCTTAATCGTAGCTATTCTGACTGTGTGAGATGGTATGTCATTGTGGTTTGATTTGCATTTCTCTGATGATTAGTGATACTGATTATTTTTGTGTTTGTTGGCTGCTTGTATGTCTTCTTTTGACAAGTGTCTGTTCATGTCCTTGAGGCACAAATTTTAAATTTAAAAAGTTTAAGTTTTTTGGTTGAGTTTTGGTTTTTCTTTTTACTTTTAGAATAATTTCAGAGATAGGGATGAAAGTTTGGTTACTTTTTTACAGTAACAGATACAGTTCATAATGAAACTATAATTAGTGATTATGGTTTATTATAATTGTATTATGTTATAGTATCAAAAATCACTTAAATATACATCATTTTATTTCATACTCTTGACACAATAAATGCTGAGAAGGCAATTTTTACTTTCATTTTATGGACAAAAATCATCAATAGAAATGAGTGAAAATGACTTGACTAAGGTTGGTGTGTGTGTGTGTGTGTGTGTTTGTGTGTGTGTGTAATATAGCAAACACATTTACCACTTCTCGGGCATTTGTTTTCACCTATATTACCTCATTTATCCTCACAATCACACTAGTCATATATGCTATTACTATGCTTATTTTACCAATGAGTAAACTGAGGTACTAAGGTTAAGTAACTATCTGAAGTTCCTGATGCTATTGAGTGGTGGCTAATGAGGAATAGGCCCTGGAGTATAATCCAGGCTGTTCTGGGCTTGAAGTCTGAGCTCTCAATTTATACTCAAGGAGACCTCTCATACTTCTGTTTTCTCCCGTCTAACAACTGTAGGTATTATTTGTGGTTAGCATTTTGTTGTATCAACTAAAATGCTTAGGCCATTGTTAAGCATTGTTAACAATTAGTGATGATAATGGGCAACTTGAGACTTTAATGGGATTGCTTTTGGTTTGTTTACTGTTAATGGGTTTTTGGATGGTATTTTTATTGTTATGATACAGTTATCTTTTGTAATGTAAAGATGTGTTCTTATATTTCTATTTAAATTAGAGTGTTTCTCAGAAATATTTAAATACTATTAAATTACTTTTAGCAGTCAGATGATCACAGTTGTTCTTTTCTTTGAACTGAAGGTATATTTTTTGATAAGCATCCAATAGATTAATCATTGTGTTTTTTAAATTTGCAATCCAGTGGCAAACAACACCTAGTCATGTTTCTGAATTCAATTTTCCTGAAGTTTGCTTTGAATATTTGGTTTCATATTCTTAAACTATCTTTATATTTGTGTAATATTTGTCAGGTTTTTATATTACAATCATATTAGATAACTCTCAGTCTTTGGAGATACTTGTAAATGCACTTTCATTCCTATTCCCTTGCTCTCTTAGGTAAGAGTGATATGAAAGCAGGGCTTATATAACCTTATGGCAATGGAGGCAGGTCCATGGCCACTGATATCCACTGCTCAAATCTTACTCTGTTCTCTCCGGACTTTGCTGGAGATTAGCGTCTCTTTTTGGGCCAACTTGGCTGCACCTTGAACTGGAGGGCATAATGTAATTCTCTATTGTCCCTGTCATTTCAGTCTTAGTTTAGTTGACCTGTACCTGTATTGCTCTACAGCATTATCCTCCCTTCACTAACCTGGGCCCATGGCAGGCTGCTGGCTTCAAAATCAGTATGCATACCTTTAGTAACTGAGAGAGGATTAGAGTTTAAATTATTTCCTCTTCTTTTTCTGACCATACAGTTCAGCCCTTTTTATTTTGCTGGCACGTCCATCCACTTCTTACAGGAATGTCCTGCACAGCAGACAGAAGACAGACCCAAACAAATGTTGATCTGAAATAAAGCTTTCTATGTTACATATTTCTCTTAAGTATTAGGGGCACTCTTGTTTGTACTGAAACCTAGAGAGGTGAAATTTGGACATGTGCTAATCAGATAAAAATAACACTAGTTATTTCGAACACAGAACATATGATATTAATATTATATTGATTATAACAGTGTCAGAAGAGCTGGAGGAACAAAAGAGAAATATAAGGGGCAAAGAGAAGAAAAGATAAAGCAACTCAAGAGTTAATTACTGGTTTTTCTCTTCTGGGCTGGAGATGCACAAATTTTACCCATACATTAAGGGTGCTGTGCTGAGAAGGCTTCTGTTTCTGGAATACAGATGCCCAGGAGTTTATTTCTAGCCTGAAGGGACCACCAGGATGCTCACTGCCACTGTCCTCCCCTTCAGTGCTAAAACTTCTACTGAATTGTCCTGTGAGAGACGCTGCCAGAAACTTGAAATGTAGGGAGTCACTATTCCATTTCTCCTGGGTTCTAATATTCAACCCTAATTGAAAACTTAACCAAGAGAATCTGGGAAATATAGTTTGGGTATCATAGACTCTTTGTAACAGAGCACAGAAGAGTGAGAATGGAGGCTGAGAGCAAAGGGACAAGAGATTGATCTAGTTATTACTTTTCATTTCTCAGTGTCTATTTGCAACCTTCTGTCCATGTGTAAATTCTACACAACAATAGTATTGGTTGCCTTTGACATTTCTACTTCGTATGATAAAATCCATTTTTATAAAAATGAAGAGTATCTTACTGTCTTCTCCAAAAGGAAGAAAAATGTTCCATCAGTCCCCAAATTAATTTCAAGGGATGGTAATTCCTCCTGTGTTTTAGTTATAGTCCAATTGGGTCTACTGTAATTTAAAAACCACACTTTAAGGTATACTATCTCCAGTACTTCTACTGTAAAACAATAGGAGAAAGAAAGAGGAAAAAGTAAGTTAATATAAGCAGATAAATAAGGAAGAAATTATATAAATCTACTGCTAATGGCCTCACTTCTGTTTGAATATAACTTCATTGTTCTAGCATGCATTCCATCTTACCCAGTTATTAACCCGACCTTCAAATTACCAAGGTTCTTTACTTGTGGAGTGTAAAGCCCATTTACAGAGGGTTTTAAATTCTGTGGTCTTCTATTCATAGGATTGATCTAAGTTTTCCTTAACTCTTACCGTTGGATGTGGAATAAGAGAAGCTTTAGAAAATCCCCTGTGTTCTAGACATAATCTTTTCTGCTCCAGTGTAGATCAAGAAATCAATTTCCTTCTGATAATTGAGATCAGTCAACGTAACTTTCTTCTTTATCAATTGGTTCAATAAGATGAGAACTCAATAGTGGACTGGTGGCAGTTTCAATATCCAATTAAATTAAAACAGTATTTTTATCTCTTGGAGAAAACATTACACCCTTGGAAATGAAGAACTCTGAAGCACTGCAGACGAAAGTTTTGGTAAATGTAAGTAAAATTCTGTAAGTTGGTTATTGGTCCTAATAGAGAGAGGAACAACTTCCACTACACCCTTGTATTCTTGACCCAAGTATTCTGGATATAGAATAGACAGCTTATAAACCTGTTTATATATATCACATCCCGTTGAACTTCACTCCAACTTCACAGAATGCCTTAACTGAGCCCTCAGTCAGCTCCCCCACCTTCTGTCAGGCTAGCTGCCACTGAATGATGGGGTACATGTTGTTCTTTGGTTGAAACCAGTGTTGTGTGGGATACATGATAGTGAATATGGCCTTACCTGAGTCCACAGATGTTAAGGCTTGCAGAAACATTTTTGTCAGGGAAGACAGATGCATATCCAGAATAAGTGTCTATTCCAGTGAGTACAACTCTCTGTTCACATCATGATGGAAGGGACTTAAGGTAAACAGCCTGGTGCCCAGTGGCTGGCTGTTTCCCCCAGCTGACTACTGGTACAATCATTGAGCCTCATTACTTGTCCTTGTAGGCAGGTTAGAGATCCAGCAACAGCAGTAGCCAAGTAAGCCTCGGTGAGAAGAGACCTTGTTGATTGTTTGCATATATCCCTCACCAACATGATGACTTTGTACCCATTGTATCTTGGAGTAAGTGTGGAAAAAAGATGCCAGACATGCACATTTTGGGTCATTTTTTTTAACCTAATTATTGGGATCCTCCATATAAACAAACACACAGACACACATACAGACACACACACACACACACACACACACACACACAAAAGTATACATATACTTCCCATTTCACTAGCACATTATTACTCTTCTTAGATATTTCCTTTAGTCAAATTTCTCTGAAATTTCAAAAATTAATTAAATGCTGTTTTTTGTCACATATCCAGTATTTAGTCACAATACAACATTTCTAACACAGTATTACAATTGCCTTTTGAGCATAATTTCCAATTTGACTATAAACTACTTGTAGATAGGTGATCTTTTATTTATTTTTGAATCTCCAGTTTGTAGCCTGTATTTGAGATATAGTATTTCAAGCCAATATTTGCTGACAATGATTGCAAGTGGTTCTTACTTAATATTTGCATTTTTCTTTAACTCACCTGTTAGGAAACTATGTATTCTTAATTTTCAAGTGATTTGCTTTTCTGAGTGCACACATTGTACATATTAACTGCGTGCAATTCATTTTATACATATATATATATATATATAAAACTTGGTGAAAATTATCCCCTGTTGTCCCTATTTTTACATATGTTTGTAATTTTTCACTATAAAAAGGTTTTTAAATGACCTTAACTATGTTTCGAATATTTAACAATATTAAAAATGATGTGCATGTGTTATGGAATACATAAGCTGATGCATAATTATTAAATCAAGAAGATATCATTCAACACTTTCTGTATTTTATTTTTTAATTTTTAATCCACAGGATCTGTCAATGACAGAGAGAGAGGTGTTAAAATTTCCCATTTTATTAAGAGCTGATATTTGCCACCAGATTGACATTTGGTGTGACCTTATTTCTTTCACAGTCCATTTGGGTACCAGTTAAATTACCTTCTAAAATTTCAGAACAAGTGCAGATTGAGGCCAGAGATTCTCCTAGCTTCTCGTTCAACAGTAATTCTCAAGGTTGCCCTGTTTGAAATGGGGTGATTTCTTTAACTCACTTCAATCAAATGTGTTTCCTGGAGACAACAGCCTTCACCTTTTCTTCAGGATCTCTCTCTGCCCTTAGTTCTGGTGTTTTATTCCTGGTGTTCAAATGCAGTTATCTCCTCCTCCACCAGCTTTTCTTAAGCCTCACAAACTTTCTGATTAGTTTTTCTCTTAGTTTTGCCACCTTGGTGTCTGTCTTGCTGCTTGAGTGCCTATTAATGTGTGGGCCACTGATGATAAGATTCTTATCTCAATAAGATCTCTTAATCCTATCCTGTTAATCTTGAGATTACTTAAATTTTACCCAGATTTTGACTACTTTGTTTGTTATAATGTGTTTTTTCTGTTATGAATTTTTGCATTTTTAATATGTTTATAATATTTTATTGTGAAGCTATAAAAAGAGATTCAGAAGATAACAGGTGATATTTCCAACCAAAAATCTACAAACACCAATTCTATGGATATATACTATAATGTCTTATAGATATACCTTTTACTTATTGTTTGAATAGTGTTGTTTCAAAATTTAATCATCACAAATACAATAAAAATATTTTTAGGAATCTCTATTTTAAATTATTTTAGAATAATTCACAGAAGTAGAATGACTAATTGGGTAAGAACATTTTTGAGCCTTTAATATATTTTCTTTCCAAATAGTTTGAATCCCTTTATGCTTATATCAATATCACTTGAGAGTTCTTGTTTCAAAAAGTCTCAGCTGTATTGAAATTTTTATTTAAATTATATTTTCCCCAATTGCAAGGCAAAAGTGATACTTCATCAATTTAATTTACACGTATTGGTTAGTGATTTTTGTACTTTCTTCACATTTTGTTAGTTTATTGTGTTTCTACCTGGTGAATTGTGTGTACATGCTTTGCCTATTTATCTGTTGCCTTTTTAGAATATGTCCTATCAATAAATATTCCAGTTCAATATGAATTCTAAGACATTATTTTATTATATTTCTACAGAAATATATATATATTAAAATTTTCTAAGAAAATATAATTTACTAAAATTTGCTCAAGGAGGCAGAAAGAATCTAAACAGATTTACATATAAGAAATAAAAAAGCTTGAGAAAGAGACATCCTTCAAAATACAGCAAGCTTGCTGAGATGGTTTCACAAGTGAATTCCTTCAAACCTTTAAAGAGTCATAACTACTTACTTATCTTTCTAGATAACTCTGAGGATGAGCCCTTTCACAATTATTATTGTTCCTGAATCAAAATAGCTTTTCTTGGATCTTGAGGATCCAAGGATCTTGAGGATCTCATTCACTGTAACCATATTTGTAAATGAAATATTAGTAGATTTAAGGTCCTTTAAGTTTCTATAGCATCAACTCTAGAATATTGTTTATTTTAAACAAAGAGCTGCACATATTTAGTGTGTATAATTTAATGAGTTTGGACATATGCAGCCATTTTAAATACCATCACCTCAGTCAAGGTAATAGACATATACAACACTTTCAAAAATTTTCTTGTGTTCCTTTGTTTTTGTTTCTGTTTTGAGGGAAGAACACTGAACATGCGATCTAGTAACCTCAACAAATTTTGAAGTGCACAATTTTTAGTAGAAATTATATCTAATTGGTATGTGTTCATCTTCCATGAGTACAGATATGAAGACAAATCCAATTTATATTTGATTTCTAAAACTCTTTCATATGTATACCAAAAATATTAAAAACATTTATTTTCATGACAATATTCAATGTCGTATTTTCATGACAATATTCAATGTCATATTTTGTTATTTAGTGTATTCTTTCTCGAGAAAAATACTTTTTAATGAATGCTATTTGCCTTTTACAAGTAAAGGATAATATTGCCTTAGATAATACATTTTATAGTTAAGTACAATTTAAGTGACTGTAAGAAATGTAAAGCTCTCAGCTAAATCTTAGGAGCATGTGAAGGATCATTCTAGGTTAGATACATGTTTTCATGAAGCTTAAAACTTTGTCTTTGACATTCACTCTAAAAAAAGAATTATCCATATGTTTGTAAGTCAAACCGGTTTCAATTTTAGCATGTATCTCTTCTTACATATAATTTAAAGAAAATAATCCCTATTGTATAAAATATGCTTCTTTGTCCTAAAACACTATTGTTCTGGTTTTATGATTATCTTATTAAGTTGTCTTTTGGATTTTTTCACTTATTTGGTTACTTATTTTGTTCTATTTTATTTTAATTTTTCTGAGGTAGAGACTCACTCTGTCTCCCAGGCCAGAGTGCAGTGGTGCGATCTGGGCTCACTCCAGCTTCAGCCTCCTGGGGCTCAGGTGATTCTCCCACCTCAGTTTCCCTAGTAGCTGGGACTACAAGCACACACCACCATGCCAGCCCAAAGTTTGTATTTTTTGTAGAGACAGAGTTTTGCCATGTTGCCCAGGCTGGTCTCAGACTCCTTGGCTCAAGCAATCTGCCCATCTTGGCCTCCCAAAGCACTAGGACTACAGGTGTGAGCTGCCACACCTGGCCATTGGATTTATAGATTTTAAACAGATGCTTTCTGAGCCTTCACCCCAGATTATGAATAATATTTTATGTTAAACACTTATAGACTACTCTTGACTAAGGAAAACATCAAATTATAAAATAAATTTTATGTAAGCTTCTCAACCTAACTGTAGAATTATCAAACTTTACTTCTCATGGGAACCTTTGAACGCCAATTTATCTCAAATTAGAGTAATACCTCTGTGTTTGTGATAAGTGTGTAAATAATGAATTCTGAAAAACCTCCAGTATCTATCTTAGAGAGTAAATCCATGAGGGGAAACACACAAACACATTTTTAACGTTATTTCACTATATTGTCGTTTTCAAATGTCTAAATTAACTCTACTTCTTATTCCTGATTTATGGTTCTCAGGGAGGAAAATACTTTTCATCTGTCTAATACTCATTCATATGTATGAAGACCATTTTTATGTCATATCTCAATTTAACGTCTCTACTCAAATTTCTGCTCTATTTCAATGTCAGTCATCCATTCATTCAAGTGTAGCAGCAACTCTGAAATTATTGAAGTGATGCGGACAAAGCATGACAGATTCCAGCTGGGTTTTATGTATTTTAGCTTGGAAATGCACAGAAAAATGCTATGAGGCACAGAAAAAAAAAAAACACAGAAAAAAGCTATCAATTAAGGAATACAATGAGGATTTGTTGAGTTCCTTGATGAGACCAAGAGGGCTGTTTTGTCTATTATCTCTTTGATTTGTAGTATAGACAAATTAGTCTAGGCTAGTGTGTATTTAGCTGGGAACCTGGGATGAAGATGGAATTGGCAAAGGATTAATTTGTTTGTGAACAGAGTACATTCATCTTATATAATTTTAATTGATTCCATGTGTTTATTTGACTTTAATCCTCGGATAAAACCTAACCGATGGCTACTCTGAGAGTCTACTCTAATCTATTTACCTGACTATCTATTTTCTGTTTTATATATTGTACTTTGTCTATCTGTGTTTCTATGTCTTCATGTTTTTGCTCATAAAAATTATAACTGCTTGTTGAAAAGACTAAAAAATTTTCTAATTAACAATTTCACTATGGACATTGATTTATTCAATATCACTTTGAAATATTTATGAAGAATACTGTACACACTATAAGGGATGGTTCTAGACAATACATTTGTATGATTAAAGGAATCATTTCTTCATCCCTCTTGAAGAAATGATTCCTGCAATCATAAAATATGTTGCTTGAATAGTTATTGTCTCCTTTTCAGCATTCTTAATTATTTAGAAAAAAGAAAATTTTCAGTAAATTGACCAAAACATCAAAATTCAGTAGGTTGAATTGACTGTGCTTCATCTCTGAGGCAAAGTCATGTGGCAACTCCCCCAAGGCACTGGTCTGTTCCCTAGGATTACTAAAACATATTCATTTATTCCTGCATGCATTAAATACATACTTATTAAACACATACTGTGCTCCAGGCATTGTACTAGGTGCCAAATTAAAATGAAACTTACTAAAGGTGTTTTTAAGGTTAGTTTTTATTTGATTTTATTGTCTGTCTTTTTGAAATTATTGTTATAATATTTCCTGTCATTCACTTGACAGGTGTTTTCTTCCTCTCAAGACACCATCTATCTTCTCAAAATTATATAAAATTAATTCTGTCCACATTCATAATGAAAAATCATTTACAGAGATTATGTGTGAGTTCTTCGGAATAACTGACACCCCTAAGTACCATTTTCATTTAATGTCCATTAATTTCTTAAAATGAAGTAGAGTATGGTTTATTGATTAAAAACACAGAGTATGAATTTTTCTAGGCTTAAATATTAACTCTACCAATTTTGGATATGTGGTCCTACCAATCTGAACATTTGAGTCCTTAATATGGAAGATGGGTAGAACAAAGAGTTCAGTGAGATAATACACAGTTAATAATGTTCAATAAATATCACTCATAATAACTGGTGTGTACAGTAGTGAAGCATATTGAACTTTTCGTGATGAAACTTGAAATTTATTATATTAATGAAGGATCTTAGATGCTGTTAGCAATTTATATATCATTAAATAAATGGTTTTATATTTTTGAAACAAAAGTTTTCCTCAAATTATAAGACACAGTTTTTTTCTAATGATAATCATTTGAAAAGATTCATGATACATCTCCATGGCAATGTATATTTTTAGCCAGTATTTATAGAGTTTGTGTAGTGGTCTTTGATACAGGAAATAAAAATGTACTCAGGTATATTGAAGTGAACCAACATTTGAAAAACAAAGCCTACTTAGAGGGAAAAAGTAATTTGTTTTTTCTCAGAGCTAATGATGTTTATCTCTCAATAATATTATAAATTCCAAGATTTAAAATCAGCCAACAAAACATTATTTGGGAAGATTTGATTTCCAGAATGTATACCATTTTTTTAATAGCCTTTTCTTTTTTATAGTTATGTTATTAACCAAAGTAATAAATTCTTATAACCCCCCCATTTCTGTACAAAAATTTCTATAACTGAAAGAAACAGGAAGTTTGCCAAGATTTATTTTTTCATAATTCAAATTGTACTTTCTCCAATAAGTATTCTATCTTATCTCATGCCTATACAGAAAGGTAGTACAGAATACATAGTCATAATATAAATTATTTTTATGCACCAAGATAGTAAAATTCCGCTACACAATTGTTGCACACATATTGTGAAAAACCATTACAATGATTATCAATATTTGCCCTTGAGACTTCTCTTTAAGTACTTAAGGGTTTTATTTGCGATAACCATGCTTTATTTATAATGCACAAAAACTCTTAAATTACATATTATTTCTCCAGTCTGTGCCTTAATGTCAGTGAGTATTTGGCAAATGAAATGCCAATAAGGGAATGTGCTATTGTTGAGAACATAATATGACTTGGTATTATTACTACTTTGTGTTATTGTGTTGGAGAAAATAATTTTCTTCTATCTGAGTATTCAGAACCTTAATTTTTATCTTTAGTTTCATTATGGCACTTTATATAGTGAAGAAAATAAGACATTTCCCTTAAGTGCATGTTTTTTAAAGTGCTGAAAATCTCATTTTAGGTAAAAGCAAATTTAAGTTGGGCTAAATCTTTGCAATTCATTTTGCTTGCAAAGCCTCATAAAACTAATATTTTTGGTTTATCTAGGGATTTTAAATAAATTATAAATTAAAGTATATCTGAGATTGAGATGAAGACTTATAAATAGAATTGTTAAATATGAATTTTGCTGTAATTCAAATAATAGATCCACTACACAGAAAGCCTTTCAATTGCTTGAAAACCAATCCTGTACTTTGGGATATATGTCAACTTAGATTATGTAAATGAAAGAAATATACTAAAAGAGGAAGTGGAGAGAAAACTTATTAAATGGACTGGTTGAGATTATGAAATCAAGCTATAGAACATAGGAAGTGATATAATAAATATCTTTTCTGGGCTTTGTGGGCTTAAAAAGCAAATTTATTTAATAAAATATAAATAGATGACTATTGTTTCATTTTATTTCATTACTTTTAAAAAAATCATCAGCTTTTCCACTTACACAACACTGTTTTGTTTTATGTATTGTGATAAAGTCATCAATGTGGTTTGTTCTTTGACATTAATAGTGGTTCAAGCAATATAGCTAAACAAGTTGAATCTTACAATAAAGAGCCATGAAATAGAAACATATGTCTCCCAACTAGAACACTGAAAAAACATTGCTTACTTTGCAGTGTTTCTTAGTTGAATTTTGGAAGTCTGCAAATTTATGATTCATAGAGGCATTAAAATAGCAAATTATAAGCATTTACTTTACATTGGGAGTCAGCAAATTTAGAATTTATATAAAATGGTAGCTTAGATTAGCAAATTATAATTGCTTATTTTACTGTTTATGCAATGCTTATTACATTTATATAATGACATTATTCTACAAATAAAAAGTTTTTTAATCTAAAGCATGGAAAATGTGGAAATTCTTTTACTTTTCTTATTTAAATGCCTTATATAAAAGTAAAGGTTGAGTATCTAAAATATACCTCATTTAAAACATGAAAATGCAATTCTATTTAATTCACCAAATATTTATTATGTACCTTTATATTCAAGAAATGAATTGGTACAGCCGGGGAAAGTAATAAACAATAATCTATGGTTTCATTAGCCAAACAAATTATAGTAAATAAGTTACTACTCCAAATTCATCATTCTTAAGAGAGAAATTCTTTATTATAAAAAATTTGATAGGAGAAAAACCATAATCACAGCTTCTCTTATCAGCTGTGGGACCTAAGTTATTATAATATCCTAGTTTTCAAAGTCCTCGATTTGTTTGCCTATGAAATGGGATAAGTCACATATTCATTACAATGATTATGCAATGAGATAAGCATATTGAATCACATGCTCAGTGATTTTTAGGGACCTTACCACTAAGTTAGAGAGTTTTTATATCATAGAAACTAAAATAGGTTGAAAACAAAAACAAAAGCAAAAATTATATCTCTAGGTTAAAATAGTTTGCAAGAAGTATGGCTAATGAAAATAAGAAGTACATGCACTACAAATGATTTCTATTTTTACCTCTGTTTTCATGCCATCAGGTATAATATTGTAGTGTTGGAGGTTACTATTGAGTCAATTTAGGTTTATTCTTCTGTGAAGTGTGGAATCAGGTTTTTGAAAATGTGACTGAAGCAGAATTGGGTAGTGTTAGAATTCAGCACTGAGATCACACAAAACATTTCCTAATGCTTGTTGTGTCTTCAAAGATCTAACCAAGATGCAGCATAGATTTGGAGGGAATGCCGTGAAATACACTATTCTATTTCATTTTTTTAAGTATGTTCTTTTTGGAAAAATCTTTCCAGCTATTGCATCTACCTTGTTTTCTGCATAAAGGAAACATGCTTTCTTTGTCTGGCTATTTTCCTTTCTAACATGGAAAAAAAAATTGGGACCAAGCCCTTGTTACCAATTCCATGTTGCTTCCTTATGAGCCAGGAATGGAGCCATCACAGCAGCACTCACCTTTGAAATGCTTCTTTAGAAAACATGTGACAAGATAAGTCATCCATATATTTGTTTAATTTTGTATGATACTTGGTCTGAGAGACAGCCAGATGATTATTGAAAGATAAAAAATGAAAAAAAAACCTTTCAGTAACTTTTAAATGTTGTCTATATCCACCCTCATCTGACTTTATTTCACCACCCCGCAGAGACCATAGCCAAAAATTTCTCACCTCTTACCCATCTGAGCTCCTTTTCAGTTTTCAGAGAAGAGGCATCACCTTAGCAACTACTTTTGTTTCCTTAGGATGTAGCTAAAATGCCATGTGCTCTAAGAAAGGGAAAGAAATGAAGAGTGGTACATGGGTAGACCTTCCCTGTCTAAACCACCATTTATATTTATTTTGTAGCAACATTGGGTGGTACAGATTTTAACAAATAATTTAGAAGAAAAAAAATTCCAACATGTGAGAAGGGGTTTGAGATTTGAGATCCAGGGAAGAATAATGGAAACATGAGTTTTTAATGTTGATTCAAATTTCAATATTCCACATGGCTGGTGCTGATTTGTAGCAGTGATTTGTGAAGATGTGCTTCATTAAAATCTGGTTTCTCCTCTGCTTAAAATGGATTGCAAGTTAGGATGAAGGCACTAAATATGGTTAATTTCAGGACTGATCACATTGCTTGCTTCGTGGGTTTGAAAGTAAGACACAATTTATGAATTAGTCTGTTTTTAGCACATACTTTTTTTTGCCATTTCTCTGAACAACATATGATGCCCAATTACTTGATGTCTTTTGTGGAGAGGCCTCAAAATAATGTACTAAGTTAAAATACAGATAACATTTGTATATATGCCTTCTAGAAAATGTGTGAATCTTTTTAATGAAATGAAAATTTTAATCTCTCTGCTTATTTTCCTTTATTTCTTGTAAAGTTGGCATCTTCTAAATTGTAAACTAGCTCAAAGCCATATTGAAGACCTAAGGTGGGGACAAGAATTACTGTAAAGATCTTTCATCTGTTGCGTCATTTCTTATTATGCAAATTTTTTGGCAAAAGTTATAATGGGGCCTGTAAATTGATATATCTAAGCTGATGGCACTAAGAAATGAAGCATCTGTCCCTAGTGTTCTTGCGGACAATTTACTTCACTGATAGATAATTTTATGCCTTATTAAAATGAGAGAAACTGTTGACTACTAAAGGTGAAATAAGAAGACAGGCTTCACTGGAGAAAAACAAACCTGTGTGCTCTTCAGAGAATTTGATATTTACAGTGAACATGTATTTGCATTTATGGGCAGGAGAAGGCTTTGGGGAAAGTAGCCTCCTGGGGCTGGCTGTTTTTGCAATTTGGAAAACACTAATACATGAGTAAGTTGCCTGCCTGAGTTGGCAAGGTAGACAGGATTACACGCACAGAACAGGCCTATGTATGTTTGCCAGCCAGATGGTGTGAGACAGTTTATTAGCACAGTGTCCTTAGATTATGTCTGTATTAGTCTTCTTAGTCAAGATGACTATTAATGTAGAATGGCACTAATGTGGAATAGTGGAGTCCTGGATAAAGTGCGCCCATATAGGGAGAAGCCAAAGGCAAAACACTTAAGTAGCTAAAGGTCTAGTGAACAAATTTCCCAAGAGCTCACAAGGACCAATGATCTGGTTTCTGTATTTGTGTGTGTATGTGTGTGTGTGTGCATGTGTGTGTGTGTGTATATGCATGCACATGTGCATGTTTTCCCCATAATTCCCAAACCAAGTTAAGGGACCTTAGCTACATGAAAGTCATTTTTTCCTTTTTTCACACAACTCAGGAAAGGCCCTGTGTCATGCTGCTAGGTGAAGGAAGAGGAGCACTCATAGGGCTTAGATTCCTCTCTCCCCAGGAGTTCCCAGGCTTCGGAGAATGTCCTCTTCTTTACTGGGCTTCTTTTGTACCTTTGAGCAAGGAAGAGAAATAGGTACTATTTTTATGTAGGGCTTTGTCAGAAAAATTGTTTTACAAACATCTGTCTTTTTGCTAAGTTATTCCAAAAAGTGTTTATTAAAACAGTATTATTTCCCATAGCAAGTTGAAATAGAACCAATGAACAAGATCTGCTGACATAATTATATTGTGTGTTATTTTGAATCATGAACTCATGAACATTTCTGAATTTGGCAATTTAATATGCAAATAATATTTCTTTTTTTTTTTTTTTTTTTTTTTTTTTTTTGAGACAGCGTCTGGCTCTGTCGCCCAGGCTGGAGTGCAGTGGCGCGATCTCGGCTCACTGCAAGCTCCGCCTCCTGGGTTCACGCCATTCTCCTGCCTCAGCCTCTCAAGTAGCTGGGACTACAGGAGCCCGCCACCGCTCCCGGCTAATTTTTTGTATTTTTAGTAGACACGGGGTTTCACTGTGTTAGCCAGGATGGTCTCGATCTCCTGACCTCATGATCCACCCGCCTCGGCCTCCCAAAGTGCTGGGATTACAGGCGTGAGCCACCACGCCCGGCCAAATAATATTTCTTAATCTCAAGATATTTATCTAGTTTAGCCCTCTTAAATCATTATGTGCAAAATTTACCAAGAATAACTGGATTGACTTTTTCTATTTTTCCCCCTGAAAGTAACTTGAGAATTTTATATATAATCATCTGAGGATTTAGGGACTTTTATGCTTTTTACATTTTTAAAATATAGTTTTTACTTTTGGCTTTTCAGTGAATTTTTTGCAATGATATATATATACACACACATATATATATATATACACACACACACACACACACACAATAGAATACTATTAGATTTCTTTGAAATTCACATAAGATAATAAAAAACAAATTTTAGGAGAAATTTGTAGTGTACCAAAAATAATGAAGGAAGAGGTTCTGTGAATATATTAATTTATGACTGAAGAGTTTTTTATAGTGAAAGTCTATGCTCTATTTTTTTCCTCTAACCTGCCCATCCTCATCTATATAATAATGGAAATATAATAAAGATACATAACTGGATACGTGAATATTTGGAAGTACAATAAAGATCTATTAATGTATAACTAAACACCCCAAAATGTTAGTGGCTTAAATAAATTAACTATTTTATTTGTTCATTATTTTGCATCTTGAGCAGGGCTTAGATGCTGCTTCTGCTGGTCTCGCCAGCAGTCAGCCATAAGACTGTAGTCAATTCATAGGTTAGCTAAGGCTTAGTGTCAGCTCAGATCTTGAAAGGCTGGGAATCTGTTCTATTCTATGTGATCTCAGGATCTGTTGTTCTACATATGACTTATTCACATGGTCTTTTCAGCCAGATAGCCAGAGCGCTTACTTGATGTAAGCACAAAAGCAGAAGCTTCCTGTTTTTTTTAAGGCTTAGGTGTAGAATTGGCACATTGTCAATTTAATTGTATTCTATTAATTAAAGTGAGCCACAGGACAGCCCAGAATCAAGGGAATTGGATTACACTGGGGCATGAATAGTGAGGTATGGTTTATTGGGAGCTACCAGTGTAGTAGGCTATCACACTGATATTAATGTATTTTGTTCATAACATTATTCATTCTTTCTGTAATAAATTAGTAATATTAATATTACAGAAAACTATGCTACTTAAAATGCAAATAACTACGTCTTTTAGAATGTGTGTTGTGAAATTTCATAGTATATTGATAATGGTCAAATTATGACTACTAAAAAGTAGATAAATAGAAATAGACAAGTAGATAAAATGGACCAAAAATAAAGGATTACACAAATCATTTTAAGAATGAGTATAAATACCTAGGAAACTTCTAGACTAGATTATTCATTCAACTGCTATACTCTATTCAGCAGTTAGAAGTTAGAAGTTATATAAGTCCTTAAGCATATTTTCTAGTATATTTTTTAGGTATCAATTGTATACGAACTCTATTAAATAAGAAGAGATGTTGTCTAGATAAATACATTACAATAATAAAGAAAATGCACATATTTATTAACATTGTAAGAGTAGGATTTCTTTAAAAGTACTCGATTTGGCCAATTGTTTGTTACTTTTTGTTAAAGAAACTTACTTATTGTGACCATCTGATTTCCATTTCCATTTTTCAGTTTGGCTAAAAATACAAACTTTTTCATTTTTGTTCAGTGACTACTTCCCTGTGTTTCTTAAAATATTGGTCTTCCAGAAATAGTATAACCATTCTTGACAAAGAATACACAAGGAGAAAATATTTAACATATGTAACAACACACAGTGCTAATACCATAGTATAAAATCTACTTTACAATGGAATAAGAAGTAGGTAATAATTCATTAGGAACACAGAGGAAAAAATATGAATAAGCAATATACAGGGGAAGAAGTGCAAAAGGCCATAAATGGAGAAAAAGATGCTGAACCTTCATAAAAATAAGAAAATGCAAAGTAAAGTAATAATGAGATTCCCTTTACCATCCGTGATTG
This sequence comes from Homo sapiens, assembly GCF_000001405.40. Classification (NCBI taxonomy): domain Eukaryota; kingdom Metazoa; phylum Chordata; class Mammalia; order Primates; family Hominidae; genus Homo; species Homo sapiens. Next base: position 164,078,987 of record NC_000004.12, on the reverse strand, counting down.
TTAAGAGTTTTGAGAGAGCAGGCTCATGTATTGTTGGTGGGATTATAATTGTGATTTCTTTTTTTTTTATTATACTTTAAGTTTTAGGGTACATGTGCACAACGTGCAGGTTTGTTACATATGTATACATGTGCCATGTTGGTGTGCTGCACCCATTAACTCTTCATTTAACATTAGGTATAGTTGTGATTTCTAAAAACCAATACAGGTTTTTATGCTCGGAAATATATCAAACACATCTCTTAATAAACAAGATAAAATAGTCATGTCTAATTTGCTGTTAGGCCAGTTCTTGAAATTTTAACTTCAGTTCTAGTATTTCTAGAAGTTCTATGTAGTTCTTTTTCAAACTGTTATGTTATTTCTTATAGTTTCCTGCTAACTGATAACATTTTAAATCTTTTACTTTGTTGAACACAACAAACATAGTTGTTCTTTTTTAAAAAAAAATTATTTATTTATTAAACTTTAAGTTCTGGGGTACATGTGCAGAACATGCAGGTTTGTTAACATACGTATACATGTGCCATGGTGGTTTGTTGTACCCATCAACCTGTCATCTACATTAGGTATTTCTCCTAATGCTATCCTTCCCCTAACCCCCAACTCCCTGCAGACCCCGGTGTGTGATATTCCCCTCCCTGTGTCCATGTGTTCTCATTGTTCAGCTCCCATTTATGAGTGAGAACATGCGGTGTTTGGTTTTCTGTTCTTGTGTTAGTTTGCTGAGAATGATGATTTCCAGCTTCATGTCCTTGCAGAGGACATGAACTCATCCTTTTCTTATGGCTGCATAGTATTCCATGGTGTATATGTGCCACATTTTCTTTATCCAGTCTATCACTGATGGGCGTTTAGATTGGTTCCAAGTCTTTGCTATTGGGAACAGCGCTGCAATAAACATACGTGTGCATGTGTCTTTATAGTGGAATGATTTATAATCCTTTGGGTATATACCCAGTAATGGGATTGCTGGATCAAATGGTATTTCTGGTTCTAGGTCCTTGAGGAATCACCACACTGCCTTCCACAATGGTTGAACTACTTTACACTCCCACCAACAGTGTAAAAGTATTCCTATTTCTCCACATCCTCTCCAACATCTGTTGTTTCCTGACTTTTTAATGATTGCCATTCTCACTGGCGTGAGATGGTATCTCATTGTGATTTTGATTTGCATTTCTCTAATGACCAGCGATGATGAGCTTTTTTTCATGTGTTTGTTTGCCGCATAAATGTCTTCTTTTGAGATGTGTCTGTTCATATCCTTCACCCACTTTTTGATGGGATTGTTTGTTTTTTTCTTGTAAATTTGTTTAAGTTCTTTGTAGATTCTGAATATTAGCCCTTTGTCAGATGAATAGATTGCAAAAATTTTCTCCCATTCTGTAGGTTGCCTGTTCACTCTGATGCTACTTTCTTTTGCTGTGCAGAAGCTCTTTAGTTTAGTTAGATCCCATGTGTCCACTTTGGCTTTTGTTGCCATTGCTTTTGTTGTTTTAGTCATGAAGTCTTTGCCCATGCCTATGTCCTGAATAGTATTGCCTAGGTTTTCTTCTAGGGTTTTTATGGTTTTAGGTCTTACATTTCAGTCTTTAATCTATCTTGAGTTAATTTTGGTATAAGGTATAAGGAAGGGGTCCAGTTTCAGTTTTCTGCATATGGCTAGCCAGTTTTGCCAACACCATTTATTAAATAGGGAATCTTTTCCCCATTGCTTGTTTTTGTCAGGTTTGTCAAAGATCAGATAGTTGCAGATATGTGGCATTATTTCTCAAGACTCTGTTCTGTTCCATTGGTCTATATATCTGTTTTGGTACCAGTGCCATGTTGTTTGGGTTACTGTAAACTTGTAGTATAGTTTGAAGTCAAGTAGCGTGATGCCTCCAGCTTTGTTCTTTTTCCTTAGGATTGTCTGGGCTATACAGGCTCTTTTTTGGTTCCATATGAAATTTAAAGTAGTTTTTTCTAATTCTATGAAGAAAGTCTATGGTGCTTGATGGGGATATTATTGAATCTATAAATTAATTTGGGCTGTATGGCCATTTTCACGATACTGATTCTTCCTATCCATGAGCATGGAATGTTTTTCCATTTGTTTGTGTTCTCTCATTTCCTTGAACAGTGATTTGTAGCTCTCCTTGAAGAGGTCCTTCACATACCCTGTAAGTTGTATTCCTAGGTATTGAATTCTCTCTGTAGCAATTTTGAATGAGAGCTCACTCATGATTTGGCTCTCTGTCTCTTATTGGTGTATAGGAATGCTTGTGATTTTTGCACATTGATTTTGTATCCTGAGACTTGGCTGAAGTTTCTTATCAGATTAAGGAGATTTGGGGCTCAGGCAATGGGGTTTTCTAAATATACAATCATGTCCTCTGCAGAGACAATTTGACTTCCTCTCTTCCTGTTTGAATGCCCTTTATTTATTTTTCTTGCCTGATTGCCCTGGCCACAACTTCCAACACTATGTTGAATAGGAGTGGTGAGAGAGGGCATCCTTGTCTTATGCCAGTTTTCAAAGGGAATGCTTCCAAATTTGCCCATTAAATATGATATTGGCTGTGGCTTTGTCATAAATAGCTCTTATTATTTTGAGATACGTTCCATCAATACCTAGTTTATTGACAGTTTTTAGCATGAAGGTTTGTTGAATTTTATTGAAGGCCTTTTCTTCAATCTGATTCTTTGAGCTCTAATATTTTGTGTATTTCAAAGTCTTCTTATGCACTTTAATTTTTTATTTTTTGTTCATTGTTCCTTATTTTCTAATGTACTTGATTCCAATTTGTTTGTTTTCTCTTATGGGCTACTTGTTGTTGTTGTTGTTGTTGTTGTTGTTGTTGTTGTTAGAAAATTATTTGTTTGAATTCTTTGGGTCCTAGAATGAAAGTTATCTTTTTTCAAACAGAAATTTGACCAAGCACTTCTTTTAAGCACCTACCAAGCACCTGTATCACTAGTTACAGGAAACATTTTTAACTGCATTCATGGCTACAAGTTCAGTCATCCTGTTGACATGAATTTGGGTACAAATCTATATGATAGACAGTCAGTGGCTGTATCTGTGCTGCTTATCACTTAAGTAACTTTTTCTTATAGGCTCCTATATGCATATGTGTCTAGAGGGAGATAGGTTCAGTTCATGCCATGAGTTCATATCAGCCTCAGTGCATAACTTTTGGGGCTTTAGGTCTAAGGGGAGATGGCATCTTAGACTGCAACCCTACCTTGGGCATACTAAAACAAAAGCATGTGTTAAATCAATTTGGGAAATGTCCTAAAGACCAAATAGAGCTCAGAGATTCAATTAACATCACAGTTTCAACTATCACTTAGACTTTGACCTACGTATCAGTTATCTGTTACCACAACAATGCCATGTAACAAACGACCACAGTACTTTAATGACGTACAACATTAAGCATATATTGCACATGTGTCTGATGTCAGGTGAGGATGGCCTCAGCTGACATGATGCTGATCTGGCTCTGCTCCTTATGGCTGTCATCCACACCCTGGGGCTGCATAGGACTAGCCTGGATGAATCCCTCTCTTGGTGATTATTGAGGACATGAGTGAGCAAAGCCAATCATTCAAGTACCCTTCAAGATATTGTTTACAACATGTTTGCTAATATCCCATTGGCCTGAAGCAAGCTGCGTAGTGAAACCAGAACTAGAGCCGGAGGTCACTACATGACAAAAGGGTGTGGATACAGTTTGGGTTGAAGAATGGAAGTATTTTTCCAATTAAATGAAGCTCAATAATTTCTTACTATCTTGTCAGTTCTGTGATGCTATTAAATTTATTGTTTATAGTTTCTTGACACTTTTGCTGTTTTCTTTAGTATAGATGATTCAAATAGAAAAGCCTGAGATAACAGAGGCTGCTTTTCTTGATTTCATGTTTTAAAGAAAGTTATATAATTACTGATCTATTTTATCATTTAAGGCAGATGTCATCAAATATAATGTGCACATAGTGTCAGCATTACAAACAGGGAAATTGGTTGGACCAAACATAAATACAGTCCAGGGTGGCATTTTTATAAGAAATTATATTTTATAAGAAATTATTTTATAAGAAATATATTTTATATTTCTTATATTTTAGAAGAAATTTATTCAGATAAAATTTTTTATGAATTTACATATAGTATGTATATTTACAAAATGAAGAAAACCTCAATTTTACCTAACCAAAGCCAGTTAGGAGAAACCACTAAAGATCGATTTAAAACTAATAATGGTCCCATTTGTACTATACATAACCTGTTTTCATTTCTTTTCAAAACATAACAGAGAAATTTTTCCATGTCTATAAATACTCCTTTACTGCATACTTTTAAAATGACTACATGGTATTTCATTTTCTTTATTACCACAATTTGTTTAAACAAATACCTATTTTTAGACTTGTTGGCTTTAATTTTTCAATATTTTAAATAATGAAGCAAAAAGTATTTAGATGAATTTTTATGCTATTTATATTAATTTCCTGAGGATAAATTTCCCGACTTAGAGTGAATCAATGAACATTTATTCCCATTCTCAAGGATATGATACATTTTATTTTTTACTCTAAAATCGTGTACCTGTTACATACTCTGGAAATGGACAACCAACCACTTGAATGAGAGCAAACAGAGGATACTTACTCGGAACTTGTTGTAGCAAGAGAATAATCACCATCACTTGCTTTTTGCAGAGACTCAAAGACAGTCAGACTCTTAAAGGTGGTGGTAAAGCTTTGTAGTGAAGGAAAGGGAAGGCTTCAGGTATCCCCTGATTACAGGTTATTGGCATGGGAAGGTTGGAGGCAGGCTAATTAATTTGCATTGTGGTTATTTATTTCAAAAATTACTTTCAAAATGAAATACTTATGGAAAGTTCCTAGCAAAACAATTGATATATAGCAAGATCTCAGGGAATATACTGCTTATTGTTAGGGCAAGAGATTGACACCATCCTGGCAAACATGGTGAAACTCCATCTCTACTAAAAATAACGAAAATTAGCTGGGTGTGGTGGTGCGTGCCTGTAAATCCCAGCTACTTGGGAGGCTGAGGCAGGAGAATCTCTTGAACCAGGGAGTCAGAGTTTGCGGTGAGCCGAAATTGCGCCACTGCACTCCAGCCTGGCGACAGAGCGAGACTGTCTCAAAAACAAAACAAAACCCAACAAAATAACAGCAACAAAAAAAAAACTTTCTAAAATAGGGTATTCATCATATTACCGTTTATCAAAATTTAGTGGTGGTTAATTTCCTATAGGATGATGTGAAAACCTTTAGCTGGTATTCAGAGGCCTTTATATTCTGTTTGTTTATTTATTTATTTATTTATTTTTATTAAACTTTAAGTTCTGGGGTACATGTGCAGGTTTGTTATATAGGTATGCATGTGCCATGGTGGTTTGCTGCACCTAGCAACCTGTCATCTACATGAGGTATTTCTCTTAATGCTATCCCTCCCCCTGCCCCCCACTCCCTGACAGGCCCCACTGTGTGATGTTCCCCTCCGTGTGTCCATATGTTCTCTTTGTTCACCTCTCACTTATGAGTGAGAACATGCAGTGTTTGGTTTTCTCTTCTTGTGTTAGTTTGCTGAGAATGAAGCTTTCCAGCTTCATCCATATCCCTGCAAAGGACATGAAATCATTCTTTTTTATGGCTGCATAGTATTCCATGGTGTATATGTGCCACATTTTCTTTACCCAGTCTATCACTGATGGGGATTTTGGGTTGGTTCTAAGTCTTTGCTATTGCGAACAGTGCCACAATGAACACACACTTCCAATACTCATCTGCCTGTTCATCAACTCAGCTCATAAATTACAGCTTACTTATAATGTCTGTACAAGTCACTGTACTTCAAGAAAACCTTGTTCCTGACTTTGTTTACATTATTTTTCCCCTCTTCTGGAATTTCTTCTCTCCTTCTGACTATGCGAATTCTACCATTTTTTAAAACTCACTCATTTTCATCCTCTATGTTAAAAACAGTTGCCGTGAGGCTCTCTCCTCTGAAATTGTATTGCGCTTGATATCACTACTACTAATTTGACATGAGATGCTAATTGTTCCTGTTGTCTTATATGACCAGTTCAATTACAGGCAGGTGCAAACATTTCTCACACATTTTTATATCTTCTCCATTGCCTAATATAACCTAATAACCTTTATTAATAGGTACTCAATACACATGTCTTCATCCATCAGTGTTTTCCTATGAAATCTAGAATATAGAACACTAATGAAGTTTTTTTTTTTTTTTTTTTTTACTAGAGAAAATTTCTTAAGGGTTTTAGTGCTCTCATTTTTGAAAAGGGGATAATGTTTTAAATTTTCTTTTAGGGAGAGGAAAATAATGAGAACATTTAAAGTTTATCTGTTTCTATTTTTATTTTATTTTATTTTCTTCTTCAAGACAGAGTCTCACTCTGTCGCCTAGGCTGGCGTGTGGTGGCATAATCCTGGCTCACTGCAGCCTTAAACTCCTGAGCTCAGGTGATCCTCCCGCCTCAGCCTCCTGAGTAGCTGGGACCGCAGACACACACCACCACACCCAGTTAATTTTTATACTTTGTAGAGACAGTTTCACCATGTTGCTGAAGCTGGTCTCGAACCTACCTCTGCCTCCATAAGTACTAGCATTACAGGCATGAGCCATCGCACCTAGTCTTGTTTCTAGAGAAGACATTATGTACTAAACAACACTGATGAGAAAACATGAATAAATGACGGGAAATTATAATGTTTTTTATATTTGTTATAAGGAAACAAATTACGACGTAATATCGGCAGTTTCTGTGTTACTCTCACTGCGTATATCCTTTGATATATCAAATGGCGAAGGAGCCATGACTTTTGCCTGTCAGAAATGACTCATTGTCATTTTGACTAGCTAAAAGTGCTGAGCACAAGTGCTTTTATTACTTCTTTTTTTTTTTGGTTTCTATGTTAAAAAATATCTGCAGATGCATAGTCATATTATTGGCATTCTATTTATCTACTTGATATGAATTCTACTTTTTTGCTGCACTAAAAAATTCATTAAAAAATACAATGAAACACTTCTCTTTTGGACCAGAGTGCAGAATTTTGAAAGAAAAAGGTGTAAATTGTTATTTCATATATGTGCCATGGTGGTAAGTGTATACTTACATATATGTGCCGTGTGGTAAGTGTATACTTACAGGAGGAGCCAGAAACACAAAGCAGGGTGAGAAATTTTAAAAGCAAAGTTTACCACTAGGAAGCTATGGGTTGTGAGTAACAACCTAAAGATAGATCTTATAAAAAGAAGTAAGACCAGCAAAACATCTCAAAGGAACAGAACAAAATTTTAAGTATTCCTTATGACAAGTTGAATTAATTGGGGAACTGTCATTATGTTTTCTTTATGACTATTAACTTAAAAATATGTATTATATAAAATGAATACATATTTTGATTAAATGCAAGATTAATATAGCTGTATTTCTTAAGGATATCACTAGTTTGTAACATTTTCTTAATATTTAAAAGTATCATATTTTAATCACTATTAATTTTTATTTCAAAATGAATTATAAATAAAATATAAATTTCCACTTAATTTTGGTGAAATCTATTATAATCCATGCAAAAAACTCAACTGCTAGTGAAAAATTATACTTTCTTTTGTTTTCTGTTTCTTTTAGGTTTGAGAAATAATGCCAACACTTTCAAGAATACTGTCATGGTTTTTGTAAACGAAAATTACCATATACAATTGAACAAACATGTTTTACTTTGAAAAGGAGATAAAATGCTGCTTGCTTACTAGTTTTTACATTTGAAAAAGGTCAAACAGATTTTTATATTACTATATTAGTTTGTTTTCATGCTACTGATAAAGACATACTCGAAACTGGGAACAAAAAAAGGTTTAACTGGACTTATAGTTCCACATGGCTGGGGAAGCCTCAGAATCATGGTGGGAGGCGAAAGGCTCTTTTTACATGGCAGCGGCAAGAGAAAATGACAAAGAAGCAAAAGCAGAAATCCTTGATAAACCCGTCAGATCTCATAAGACTTTTTCATTATCATGCAAACAGTAGGAGAAGGGCCTCCCAGGGTCCCTCCCACAACTTGTGGGACTTCTTGGAGATACAATTCAGTTGAAATTTTCTTTGGGACACAGCCAAACTCTATCAATTACATATTTGAATATTTTAAGAGAATGAATTGAGGCATTTAACCTGATATAAATAGACTGCGTAACTCTGCCTGCCTTGCAGACATTTAATTGTTTATTAATATGTAGCAAGAGAATTCACTTCATACCCCTTAAAAATCCTTCCAAAATGAATAACCTATAGAATTATAGGTTGAGCATGTAATTTATCATCTAAGCTGGGATACTTTTCAGAGGGAAAGGAGAAACCAGATGTGATGGTGGGACAGCTGGTGTGAATGTAGACCATCCCAGGCAAATCAGAATATGTAGTCACTCTACAAAAAATGCACATTGAATCTTTTCCCACATCCCCAAGTAGCCAGTTTTTAAAATGATCCCAGTCTTTGTTGTATATACGTTCTGGTAAAATTCTAGGTAAGGATCCTTTTAAATTCCTGAATATCTCAAATCTCTTGGGGTGGGGGTGTTGCTCTGCACAACTTTTGCAGGGTACTTTAATAGTGATTTTATTTAAGGCCTGTATGTATCACTTATTTGTCACATTTAACATTGTGTCATGACAGAAAACTCTTTTCTTAATTTAAACTTTTATTTTAGATATAGGGGGTATATGTTTAGGTTCACTGCATGGGTATATTGCACCCAGATAGGGAGTATAGTACCTGAAAAATAGTTTTTCAATCAACACCCTTCTCCCTTTCTCCCCACTTTAGTAGTCCACAGTGTCTGTTGTTCCCATGTTAATGTCAATGTATGCTCCATGTTTAGCTCCCATTTAAAAATTAGAACATGCAGTATTTGGTTTTCTGTGCCTGCATTAGCTCTCTTAGGGCTACAGTCTCAAGCTCTATCCATTTTTCTGCAAAGGATACGATTTTATTCTTTTTTACAGCAGCATAGTATTCCATGGTATATATGTACCACATTTTTCAATCCAATATACCATTGATAGGGCACCTAGGTTAATTCCACGTCTTCTCTATTGTAAATTTCATGGTGATAAACATACAAGTTCATGTGTCTTTTTTCGATAATGATTTATTTTCCTTTGGGTATATACCTAGTAATGGTGTGTCCAGAATTGGTGGGTTCTTGGTCTCACTGACTTCAAGAATGAAGCCATGGACCCTCGCGGTGAGTGTTACAGTTCTTAAAGGTGGCGTGTCCAAAGAGTTTGTTCCTTCTGATGTTCGGATGTGTTCGGAGTTTCTTCCTTCTGGTGGGTTCGTGGTCTCACTGGCCCAGGAGTGAAGCTGCAGACCTTCTCGATGAGTGTTACAGCTCTTAAGGCGGCGTGTCTGGAGTTGTTCATTCCTCCCAGTGGGTTCGTGGTCTCACTGGCTTCAGCAGGGAAGCTGCAGACCTTCGCGGTGAGTGTTACATCTCATAAAGGCAGTGTGGACCCAAAGATTGGGTAGCAGCAAGATTTATTGCAAAGAGTGAAAGAACAAAGCTTCCGCAGTGTGGAAGGGGATCCAAGTGGGTTGCCACTGCTGGCTCAGGCAGCCTGCTTTTATTCTCTTATCTGGCCCCACCCACATCCTGCTGATTGGCCCATTTTACAGAGAGCCGATTGGTCTGTTTTACAGAGAGCTGATTGGTCCGTTTTGACAGGGTGCTGATTGATTGGTGCATTTACAATCCATGAGCTAGACACAAAAGTTCTCCACATCCCCACTAGATTAGCTAGATACAGAGTGTCAGTTGGTGTATTTACAAACCCTGAGCTAGACACAGAGTGCTGATTGGTGCATTTACAAACCTTGAGCTAGATACAGAGTGCCGGTTGGTGCATTCACAATCCCTTAGCTAGACACAAAGGTTCTCCAAGTCCCCACCAGATTAACTAGATACAGAGTGCCGATTGGTGCATTCACAAACCCTGAGCTAGACACAGGGTGCTGATTGGTGTGTTTACAAACCTTGAGCTAGATACAGAGTGCTGATTGGTGTATTTACAATCCCTTAACTAGACATAAAGATTCTCCAAGTCCCCACCAGACTCAGGGGCCCAGCTGGCTTCACCCAGTGGATCCCTCACCAGGGCCGCAGGTGGAACTGGCTGCCAGTCCCACGCTGTGCGCCCTCACTCCTCAACCCTTGGGTGGTCAATGGGACTGGGGGCCATGGAGCAGGGGGCGGCACTCGTCAGGGAGGCTCAGTCTGCGCATGAGCCCATGGCAGGTGGGGGAGGCTCAGGCATGGCAGGTTGCAGGTCCCGAGTGCTGCCCCGCAGGGAGGCACCTAAGGCCTGGTGAGAAGTCTAGCACAGCAGCTGCTGGCCCAGGTGCTAAGCCCCTCACTGCTCGGGGCCGGCGGGGCTGGCCGGCCGCTCCGAATTGTGGGGCCTGCCGAGCCCATGCCCACCCAGAACTCATGCTGGCCCACAAGCGCCGCACACAGCCCCGGTTCCCACCCATGCCTCTCCCTCCACACCTCCCCGCAAGCTGAGGGAGGCGGCTCCGGTCTTGGCCAGCCCAGAAAGGGGCTCCCACAGTGTAGCGGTGGGCTGAAGGGCTCCTCAAGTGTGGCCAGAGTGGGTGCCAAGACTGAGGAGGTGCCGAGAGTGAGCGAGGGCTGCGAGGGCTGCCAGCACGCTGTCACCTCTCAATGGGATTGCTGGATCAAATGGTAGCTCGGTTTTAAGTTCTTTGGGAAATCTACATACTGCTTTCCACAGTGGCTGAACTAATTTACATTCTCACCGATAGTGTATAAGTGTTCCCTCTTCTCCACAACGTCACTAGCATCTGTTATTTTTTTACTTTTTAGTAATGACCATTCTGACTGGTGTGAGATGGTATTTCATTGTGGTTTTATTTGCATGTCTCTGATGATTAGTGATAATAAGCATTTTTTCATATGTTTTTAGGCTGCTCATATGTCTTCTTTTGAGAAGTGTCTGTTCATATGGTTTACCCATTTTTTAATGTGGTTACTTGTTTTTTGCTTGTTGATTTGTTCAAGTTCCTTATAGATTCTGGATATTAGACCTTTATTGGATGCATAGTTTAAGAATATTTTCTCCCATTTTGAAGACTGTCTATTGATAGTTTCATTGCCGTGCAGGAGCTCTTTAGTTTAATTAGGACCATTTATCAATTTTTGGTTTTTTTTGCATTTGTTTTTGGGGAGTTGGCCAAAAATTCTTTGCCAAGGCCAATGTAAAAAAGGGTATTTCCTAGGTTTCTTCTAACATTTTTATAGTTTGAGGTCTTACATTTAAATCTTTAATCCATTTGAGTTAATTTTTATATATGGCAAAAGGTAAGGATCCAGTTTCATTCTTCTGCATATGGCTAGCCAGTTATCTCAGCACCATTTATTGAATAAGGAGTCCTCTTCTCATTGCTTGTTTTTGTTGGCCTTGTTGAAGATCATCAGATGCAGTTATACTCCTTTATTTCTGAGTTTTCTATTCTGTTCCATTGGTCTACATGTCTGCTTCTGTAGCAGTACCATGCTGTTTTGTTTACTCTAGCCTTATAGTATAGTTTAAAGTCAGGTAGTGTGATGCTTCCAGATTTGCCTAGAATTATTTTGGCTATTTGGACTCCTCTTTGGTTCCATGTCAATTTCAGAATACTTTTTTTCTAATTCTGTGAAGAATGACATTGGTAGTTTAATGGGAATAGTGTTGCATCTGTGAATTTCTTTGGGCCATATGGACATTGTAATGATCAAATAATGTTTTGAAATTAATGAAAATAGGGACACAACATACCAAAACCTCTTAGGGGATGCAGCAAAAGCAGTATTAAGAGGAAAATTAATACTATTAAAAGCCTTCGTCAGACTTTTTTTTTTAAGTTCAGAGGTACAAGTGCAGGTTTGTTACATAAGCAAACTTATATCATGGGGGTTTATTGTACAGATTATTTTATCACCCTGATATTAAGCTTAGTACCCATTAGTTGTTTTTCCTGATCCTCTCCCTCTTCTCACCCGCCACCCTTCAAAAGCCCCCAGTGTATGTTCTTTCCCACTGTGTGTCCATGTGTTCTCATCATTTAGCTCCTACTTATAAGTGAGAACATGCAGCATTTGGTTTTCTGTTCCTGTGTTACTTTGCTAAGGGTAATGGCCTCTAGCTCCATCCATGTCCCTGCAAAATACATGATCTCATTTTTTTTCTATGGCTGCATAGTATTTCATGGTGTATTTGTACCACATTTTCTTTATCCAGCCTATCATTGAAGGGCATTTAGGTTGATTTCATTTCTTTGCTATTGTGAATAGTGCTTCAATGAACATGCACATACATGTGTCTTTATAATACAATTATTTGTATTCCTGTGGGTATATACCCAGTAATTAGATTTCTGGGTTGAATGGTATTTCTGTCTGTAGGTCTTTGAGGAAATGCCACACTGTCTTTCACAATGGCTGAACTAATTTACACTCCCACCAACAGTGTAAAAACATTCCTTTTTCTCCACAACCTCACCAGCATGTTATTTTTTGACTTTTTAATAGTAACCACTCTGACTAGTGTTAGATGGTATCATGTTGTGGTTTTGATTTGCATTTCTCTAATGATCAGTGATGTTGAATTTTTTTGTGTGTGCTCGTTGGCTGCATATATGTCTTCTTTTGAAAAGTGTTTATATCATTTGTCCACTTTTTAATGGAGTTTTTTTTTTCTTGCAAGTTTGTTTATGTTGCTTATAGATGCTGGATATTATACCTTTGTTTGATGCATGCTGTGATGGTTGATATTAGGTGTCAACTTGACTGGTTGAAGGGTGCCTAGATAGCTGGTAAAGTATTGTTTCTGGGTGTGTCTGTGAGGGTGTTTCCAGAGGAGATTGATACTTGAGTCAGTGGACTGGGTGAGGAAGACCCAACTTCATTGTGGGTGCACACTATCCAATTGGCTGTCAGCTCCTAGAACAAAGCAGGCGGAAGAAGGTGGAATAAGCTGGCTTGCTGAATCTTCTGGCTCTTATATTTTTCCCACACCGGATACTTCCTTCCATTTCTCCTGCCCTGGACATCAGACTCCAGGTTCTTTGGCCTTTGAACTCTTGGACTATTACACCAGTGGTTTGCCTGGGGCTCTCAAGCCTTCAGCCACACACTGAAGGCTGCACTGCCAGCTTCCCTGCTTTTGAGGCCTTTGGACTCAAATGGAGTCACTAGTGGCTTCTTTCTTCCTCAGCTTACAGATGGCCTATCATAGGACTTCACCTTGTGATCATGTGAGCCAATTCTGCCTAATAAACTCCTTTTCATGTATATATATATCCTATTAGTTCTGTTCCTCTGGAGAACCCTGACTGATACACATTTTGCAAAAATCCTCCTCCATTCTGTAGGTCATCTGTGTACTCTGTTGATAGTTTCTTTCACTGTGTGGAAGCTCTTTAGTTTAATTAGAACTCATTTGTCAATTTTTGCTTTAGTTGCAATTGCTTTTGATGCCTTTGCCATGAAATCTTTGCCCATGCCTATGTCCATATGGTATTGCCTAGGTTGTCTTCCAGGATTTTTATAGTTTTGGGTTTTACATTTAAGTCTTTAATTCATCTTGAATTAATTTTTGGACCAGACAGATTCATAGCTGAATCCTACCAGATGTGCAAAGAGGAACTAGTACCATTTCTTCTGAAACTATTTCAAACAATTGAAAAGGAGGGACTTCTCCCTAACTCATTCTATGAGGCCAGCATCATCCTGATACCAAAACCAGGCAGAGATACAACAAAAAAAGAAAACCTCAGGTCAGTATTCTTGATGAACGTTGATGCAAAAATACTCAGCAAAATACTGGCAAACCGAATCCAGCAACACATCAAAAAGCTCACCCACTATGATCAAGCTGGCTTTATCCCTGGGATGCAAGGTTGATTCAACATATGCAAATCAATAAACGTAATTCATCACATAAACAGAACTAAAGACAAAAACCACATGATTACCTCAATAAGGATGCAGAAAAGGCCTTCAATAAAATCCAATATCCCTTTATGTTAAAAACTCTCAATAAACTATGTATTAAAGGAACATACCTCAAAATAATAAGAGCCATATATGACAAACTCACAGTCAACATCATACTGAATGGGAAAAAACTGGAAGCATTCCCCTTGAAAATCAGCACAAGACAAGGATGCCTTCTCTCACCACTCCTATTCAACAAAGTATTGGAAGTTCTGGCCAGGGCGATCAGGCAACAGAAAGAAATAAAGGGCATCCAAATGGGAAGAGAGTTCAAACTATCCCTGTTTTCAGATGACATGGTTCTATATCTAGAAAATCCCATTATCTAAGCCCAAAAGCTTCTTAAGCTGATAAGCAACTTCAGCAAAGTCTAAGGATACAAAATCGACATGCAAAAATCACTAGCATTCCTATAAACCAACAACAGTCAAGCCAAGAGCCAAATCAGGAATGAACTCCCTTTCACAATTGCCACAAAAAGAATGAAATATCTAGGAATACAGGTGAAGGATCTCTACAAGGAGGACTATAAACCACTGCCCAAAGAAGTAAGAGATGATACAAACAAATGGAAGAACACTCCATGTTCATGGATGGGACAAATCAATATCATTAAAATGGCCATACCACCCAAAACAATTTATAGATTCAATGCTGTTCCCATTAAATTACAATTGACATTCTTCACAGAACTAGAGAAAACTATTTTACAATTCATATGGAACCAAACAAAGAGCCTGAATAGCCAAGACAATCATAAGACAAAAGAACAAAGCTAGAGGCATCACACTACCTGACTTCAAACTATACTACAGGGCTACAGTAACCAAAACAGCATGGTACTGGTACAAGAGCAGACACACAGACCAATGGAACAGAACAGAGAACTCATGAATAAGACCACACACATACAACTATCTGATCTTCAAGAATCCTGACAAAAACAAACAATGGAGAAATAATTCCCTATTAAATAAATGGTGCTGGGATAACTGGCTAGCCATATGCAGAAGATTGGAACTGGACCCCTTTCTTACACCACATACAGAAACTTAAAAAAAAAAGACAGTTATTCTACATGTTTTGAAAAAATATTTGCTATAACACAGTTTATCTGACTATACTCGTATATAGAATGCACAAGTGCTATTTGAAACTTCAAGAATAATATTTGGAATATAAAAATGCTAAAAAATTCAAGCACAATGAAAATGTCTCTTTTACTTTTGTTGAAGTTGAGAGAAATAGGGGCTAGGCCCACTTCATAGGGGTAGATGATATAATGTTTGCAGATGACAAATAGAGCTACTTGAGACTAAATTTACTTACAAATTTTCCCATTTAGGATACCTCAATTTAAATATTTCCATATGAATTTAAGCAGTTTGATGCTTGCAGAGGTTGAGCCATGGTATTTAAGAAAAGACACCATCTTCATAACATAAAAGTACAAGGTGGAGCTTCAAGTGTTGATGGAGAAGCTGCAGCAAGCTATTCAGATGTAGCTAAGATAATTGATGAAAGTGGCTACACTAAACAACAGATATTTAATGTACATGGAACAGCTTTCTATTGGAAGAAGATGCCATTTAAGACTTTCATACCTGGAGAGATGTCCGTGCCAGGACTCAGAGCTTCAAAGGACAGTCTGACTCTGTTATTAGGGGCTAATGCAGCTGGTGACTTTAAATTGAAGCCAATGCTTATTTGCCATTCTGAAAATCGTAGGGCCCTTAAGAATTACGCAAAGTATACTCTGCCTGTGTTCTATAAATGGAACAACAAAGCCTGGATGGCGGCACATCTGTTTGCAGCCTGGGTTACTGAACGTTTTAACCCCTATGTTGAGAACTGCTCAGAAAACAACAAGCAAAAACCACAAAGATTTCTTCTAAAACATTACTGATCATTAACAATGCACCTAGTCATACAAGAGCTCTCAGGAAAATGTACAAGAAATTAATGTTTTTATGGCTGCTAACATAACATCCATTCTGTGCCCCCATAGATCAGGGAATAATTTTTACTTTCAGGTATTATTATTTAAGAAATAAATTGGCCTGGCGTGGTGACTCATGCCTGTAATCCCAACAATTTGGGAGGCCGAGGCGGGCGGATCACCTGAGGTCAGAAGTTGGAGACTAGCCTGGCTAACGTGGTGAAACCCCGTCTCTACTAAAAATACAAAATTAGCCAGGCATGGTGGCGGGTGCCTGTAGTTCCAGCTACCCAGGAGGCTGAGGCAGGAGAATAGCTGGAACCCAGGAGGTGGAGGTTGCAGTGAGCCGAGATCGCGCCACTGCACTCCAGCCTGGGCAACAGAGCGAGACTCTGTCTCCAATAAATAAATAAATAAATAACAACTAAAAGAAAAATTTTGTAATGTTGTAGTATCCATATATAGTGATTTCTCTGATGGATCTGGACAAAGTCAATTGAAAACCTTCTGGAAAGCAGTCACCATTCTAGATGCCACGAAGAACATTAGTAACTCATAAAGGAGGTCAAAATATGAACATTAACAGGAATTTCAAAGAAGTTAATTTTAAGCCTCATGGATTACCATGAGGAATTCAAAATTTCAATGGAGGAAGTAACTGTAGTGGTGGTAGAGATAGTGAGAGTACTAGAGTTAGAAGCAAAGCCTGTCAATGTGACTGAATTACTGCAATCTCATGATAAAATTTAAATGAATGAGAAGTTGTTTCTTATGGATGAGCAAAGAAAGTGATTCTCTGAGATGGAATCTATTTCTGGTGAAAATATGAACCTTGTTGAAACAACAATAAAGGATTTAGAATGTTACAAAAACTTAGTTGATAAAGCAGCAGGAGGGCTTAAGAGGTTTGATCAGAATTTTGAAAGAACTTCTGTGGGTAAAATTCTATCAAACACATACTACAGAATAATCTTTCATGAAAGGAAGAGTCAGTTAATGTGGAAAACTTCATTGTTCTTATTTTAAGAAATTGCCATAGTCATCTCAGTCTGCAACAACCACTAGCCTGAACGGTCAGCATCCATTAACATCAGGGATAGATTGTCCACCAGCAAAAAGATTGAAACTCACTGAAGGCTTAGATAATCATTATTATTTTTATCAATCAAGTGTTTTTAAAGTATGTACATTTTTAGATAAAATTCTATTGCACTCTTTTTTTTGGTTTATGTTGTTTTTTTTAATTTTTATTTTATTATTATTATACTTTAAGTTTTAGGGTACATGTGCACAATGTGCAGGTTAGTTACATATGTATACATGTGCCATGCTGGTGTGCTGCACCCATTAACTCGTCATTTAGCATTAGGTATATCTCCTAATGCTATCCCTCCCCCCTCCCCCCACCCCACAACAGTCCCCAGAGTGTGATGTTCCCCTTCCTGTGTCCATGTGTTCTCATTACAGTATAATGTTAATATAACTTTTATATACACTGAGAAGCCAAAAAAATTGTGTGACTTACTTTTTCTTGGTGGCTAGGAATTGAACCTACAATATCTCCAAGGTATGCCAATATCTGGGGAAAAATTATGAATCAAAGAATTGATGAAAGACAAAAATAATAAAAGTGGGGAAAGCTGTAATTCAGAAGCAAAGTGCCCAAATAACATGACTATTCATGAGAAATTATTTTTAAAATAGTTTCTGAACTGATAGAAATAATTACATTGTGAGTGGAACCAACAAGATTTTAATGTGAATGATCTGTGGTGAATTAGGCCTTTTGGTCTTTTGTTGTTATATTCAACTCATAATTTATTGGATTGTCATAGATGTAGAAAGACTGCAATAGTTTCTTATTATGACCTTACAAATCGTATGGATAAAAAAGAGCAAAATGATAGGTTAGCTGGATACATTTCTAAGTGATGGCACAACCATTGTTAGAGTATTAATTAATAAGTTGATGTCACTTAGAAGACCACCCTCTAGCCTTATATCACTTATATATTCAACATTTTGTTAGTAATTGTGTGAGGAGGTTACTTACACATTCAGCAAATCTTAATGTGATGCATGAATGCAAACAATAATAATACATGGTACAGAAGAAATGCAGAGAGGAACATCTTCGTTGTTGCTTATAAGAGTCCATTTAATCTTTGTTTAATTGCAACTGTTGGAAAGTTTTTATTTATATTGAGTGAAAATATGTCTCCTTGTAACGTTTACTTATTTTTCCAAGTTCTGTTCCTAGGGGACTATAAAGAATGCTGGATGTTTTTTCTAAGTAAAAGCTATTCAGTTATTGGAAAATTGGATAATTGTTTCCATTTTGTCCTGGAAATATCCTTATTTTATTCAATTATTTATCAAATGACATTATTACCCTTTAGTCATAAAATACTTGTATACACTTCATCACGTTTCACTACAGGACTACAAATAAAACAAGAAATACTATCTAGTGGAAGAATAGTGTGTGATTATAATCTTCTTTATTTGATGAACTATTTTCTATTAATGTAGTTTGAAAGCACATTAGAAAGTCTTTCGCCAATGATATCAATATCTATTAAATTCTACAATATGTCTTTTACATGTTTGTGTACATATGTCTTACGTATATTATAATTACACATGTAATCACAGTTTCTGTAGCCTGTACTCAGTTTAAAATGCCAGTCTTCAGCTGGATTCTTATCATTTTACATTCTGCTTCTCAATATGGTATAAAAATTTGAGAAAATATGGATATTTTAGATAAAAATGAGCCATACTTAATTGTTAAAATTGTCATTTGCTTGTACAAAACAACAATTTGGTAGACTGTGACTCAGAAACAAAGCTGAAATAATTTGAATATATGCTGATTTGTATACTAAATTATCTAATTTAATTGAGGCAAAATGTTTATTCTACAAATGAGAAAACTGAGACACAAAGAGTAAAAACAACTTGACCATGTTTATATCAATACTAAGCGGCAGGCCTAAGAATCAAATAAATGAGTTATTTACTTACCCAAACTACAAATGGTTTGCAAAAATATTTTGTTTTCTCAATTTTATCTACCTTTATGAAACATATTAAGATGAAATCTAATCAAATATTTATTCATTTCAAACAAGTATAAAATGTCACGGACCATTATAAATCATCAGATGAAAAATTGTGTGCTTCACATTGTATGATACTCAGGATTCCTTTAATAAGAATTTTAAAAAAATACCCAGCATCATGATTATGGAAATCTGTATTTATTTGCATCAGGTTAATTTTTATTTGGAAAGCATAACCATAGTACAACAATGTTTGCATGTTGTTTAATTTTATTTTCATTGCTAAGTTTGATGATACACAAAAGCTGCGATGCCTCCTATATAGGTAAGAGTTTTCTGCCAATAAATTCATATAATGCCAATAAAGCTAAAGAAGCATGTTTTATTTATTCATCTTGAAAATATGTCAGTTTTATGGAATTTTTAATGAGAGCTCTTAATTTTAAAGGACTAGAACTTTATCAAAACTTAGATTTACGTCAATAAAAAGCCTTGTCTTGAAGCATTCTACCGAATTGCATATCACGTTGCTAAGAGAAAGAATCTATACACATTGGAACGCTCTTGGTGAAGCAAACTGAATCAATGCCTGGAAATATGTCTTGGAAATATCAAGTCACTTTATGAGAAAGCAAACTGAATCAATGCCTCTATAACAGGACATCATTTACTCCGGAATCACTGATATTTCTTTTAATATTTTGAGGCAGATCCTGGAGGAATTGGCAGCTTATATTTCCCTTCTGCATACAACTAGATGAATCTGTTGTTGTTCTTTCAGTACAACCAGCTCATATGTGCATGTACCAAACATCAACAAAGAATTCTTATCCTATGAGCCCTTTTTGCAAGCTGTTAAGGCTGTTGGTATTTCAGATATTGAAAAATTTCTATGCCAAGCCAGACTTTAACTGGAAAAATAATCTTGTTACTCTGCATAGATGGAACACCTGCAGTTTTTGGCAACATCTCTGAATACACAATTTTAGGGAACAAAGAAGTTCAACAGGCATCATTGTGACTCATTGGTTTCTATATCTGTGAAGATTTGCATCAGAGACTTTACCAACCATTCCCCCCAAAATATTTTCCACTACCCCTTTCCACCATGGTTTTCCACAAAATCTTTTCCCCTCATGAAAGTTGTCAATTTCATCAGTGACAGAGATGTGCTGGGTCAGTTGCTGGGTCAGTGTGAGAGGCTGAGAACCCGCCTGTCCTAGGGAGATGGGGAGGTGGCAGGATGCAGGGTCATGTGTGATCCACACCTCCAAGTCGTTGGCATTTGCTTCTCCCATAGGCTTCACTAGCAAAACATAAATTCAAATATAAAATTATTAAGAATTTCAAGATGGCAGGCACAGACAATGCCTGAATGCCATGCAACTGAGGTCGCCTTCTGAGCATGAATCCCTGAGTGACTTCACTGGTCACAATCCCTAAAGCCAGACTTGGGTATGAGTTCTTCTACCCAATCTATTGAATAATTAACTTTTCAAAAGCAAGTAATGGTATCAAATTTGAAGAAACTTTCTACTACATCAGTGGACATTGGCTTTCAGAGGATATGTTGCAAAGAGATTGATTAGATTTTCTTTTCTCTTTTATTATACTTTAAGTTCTGGGTTACTTGTGCAGAACGTGCAGGTTTGTTCCATAGGTATACAAGTGCCATGGTGGTTTGTTGCACCCGTCAACCCATCACCTACATTAGGTATTTCTCCTAATGTTATCCCTCCCCTAGCCCCCAACTCCTTGCAGGCCCCAGTGTGTGATGTTCCCCTCCCTGTGTCCATGTGTTTTCATTGTTCAACTCCCACTTATGAGTGAGAACATGTGGTGTTCAGTTTTCTGATCTTGTGATGGTTTGCTGAGAATAATGATTTCCAGCTTCATCCATGTCCCCATAAAGGACATTAACTCATGCTCTGTTATGGCTACATAGTATTCCATGGTGTATATGTGCCACATTTTCTTAATCCAGTCTAGAGATTGATTAGATTTTCAACATCCTTTTAAGAAAAAATGATTACCTCTTTTGTCAGCTAAGGGTGTTTGCCTATACATAACAGAACAAAAATTATGGTGCCTTATTAAGATAGTTTATATTTTCCTCTTACATGAAAGGAGTTTGGGGCTGTTGACAGTTCAGAGAAGTATGGTATCTTCATTAGGGATCTCAGATTCTTTCTATTTTACTGCCTTAGCCCATGCTTTCTATTTTCAAAGTTACCTCTTGACCCAATATAGTTGCTTCATGCTTCATGTCTGAGTTGCATAAATTGCATCTTCTAAAAAGAATGAAAGACAAATGAGAAAAAAAATCTGCCACCGTTCTGGGGCAGCTTTCATGGAAGTGCCACAAAACATATATTCTTATATGTTGTCAGCCAGAATTTGGTTATGTGACCATATCCAGACATGAAGGAGATTATAAAATCTAATCTAAATTGTATGAAATAATGTGTCTAGAAAAATAATTAAGTATGTGTTACCAAGAATAAGAGGAAGAAATTGAAATTTTAATGAAACTTCTACCACATTAGCTCAGAAAAACTTAGTTGTGTATTTCTTCTTAGCTTGGCTTAATTGGTGGATATTCTTATGAAATGAATATGGTAATAATCTTCATTCAAGGTACTGCAGTATTTGTTATGATTATTATAAAAAAGTATGAGCAAGACCAGCTACATTATTTGTGGGGCCTTCTGCAGTGTGAAAATATAAAGCTCCTTGTTTAAAGAGCAAGAAAAATGCTCTTTTGTTTTATTCTGTTGTATCTTTCTTTATGTGTCACAGTGTTTTTAATTTGCTATTTAGTGTTACATTCCCTTAGCATTATCTTTCTGGGGTGTGACAGGAACTCCCTGGTGCCTGGATCGCTTCCCTACAATACCATGTAACCTTCCCAGAGCCCACATTCCAGCCTCTTCTGGAAGAAGAGTGGCTTCAGTTGCTGGGTCAGTGTGAGAGCGAGAGGCTGAGAACCTGCCTGTCCTAGGGAGATGGGAGGTGGCAGGATACAGGGTCACGTGTGATCCACAGCTCCAAGCCCTTGGCATTTGCTCCATTGTCCCATAGACTTCACTAGCTAAGACCAATTCAAATATAAAATTATTAAGAATTTCAAGATGGCAGGCACAGACAATGCCTGAATGCCACGCAAGTGAGTTCTCTTGCTGAGCATGAATCACTGAGTGACTTAGCTGGTCACAATCCCTAAAGCCAGGCCTGGGAATGAGTTCTTCTACCCAATCTATTAATCTAAATGAACAAGTCGGAAATGGATAACAATACTAACATTTTTAGGATGGACTTCCCAGAAACACACTCTTACATGAATGTTCCTGTGAAACATTCATTAGGAAATCTTCCAAGAAAAGCAGGGCAGGAGAATGGAGGATTGGCGCAGGAAGTAAAGGAACCCAAGTGAGAATCTAAAGGTTCTCATGGAAACTTTGTCTCAAATGCTCAGGAGATTTCTTGAGCCAGTGTAGGTCACACTTTTGAGATGTCCTGATCAGACAGCAGGATCGCTGGAATATTTTTATACCTCCACACCTTTCAGTGTTCAGTTAAGGAATGACCCCTGAGGATATAAATTCCCAGGCACTTTCTGTTCTCATAGCGACACACAGGGAAAATGAGCCTGGGCAGCCTGGAGGGAGCCTTTTGACAAATAGATGTAGGTGCTGGTTATGGGAGACAGAGCACACAGAGCCAGCGCATCATTGCACTAGAAAACGGTAAAGGGAACTAGGAGAATGTGACCCAAGCACCAATTAATGTGTGCAGTAACAGTCCAAAGCTAAAGGACTCCTGCAGGCTACAGTGGGACTTTTTTTTCTACTGCAAATATTTATAGACACTTAGAAACATCGCAAAGCTCTTTGAAAGTTATTTCTGCAAGGTGGATGTTTGCGCTTTTCCTTAGTGACAGAGATGAGCAGCATCACTAAAACAGACTTGACTAAAGAAGAATAAATTGATCTAAACAAAAAGCAATAATCTAATAAAATCTTCAAGATCTCAGGTACTTTTTTATGAGCCACACCTGGCAAAATTATAATGAGGATATAAAATAAAGAGGATGGAAAGTATTGTGTGCATATATATGTAGGCATTTTACTGTAGAGCATCTATAAATTTAATCAAGCAATGGTCCCCAGAGGACCTTTACTCTGAGGACTGTATTCGTTTTCCTAATCCATGCTACTTAATATATTTTAAGTCAAAAAGAGAAATGTTTTAATTGATTGAAAGTTTGATATAAATATGCATTTATTTATGATGGCTATTCTTTTTACTTTATCCATATAATAACTATTTAGCATCTAGTCCCTATTTTCGGGGAGAGAAAGGCTCAGTCAGGACATCCTTGATCGTTCCATCCAAAGAGGTTTTCCCTATTCCTAATTTTTTTTTTTTTTTTTGAGACAGGGTGTCACTCTCTCATCCAGGCTGGAGTGCAGTGGCGCAATCTTGGCTCACTGCAACCTCCGCCATCTAGGTTCAAGCAATCCTCCCACCTCAGCCTCCAGAGTAGCTGGGATCATAGACGTGTGCCAACATGCCCAGTTAATTTTTGTATTTTTGGTACAGATGGGGTTTCAGCATGTTGCCCAGGCTGGCCTCGAACTCCTGGACTCAAGCGATCCACCTACCTCAGTTTCCCGAAGTGCTGGGATTACAAGCATGAGCCACCTCACCTGGTCCCCATCGGTAATTTCTTTATTACATTATTCAGGCTTATTACCATCATTGCTGTTTTCACTGATTTACTGTACCTTTTTCATTTCTTTGCTTAGTTATTTATTTTTTACCCCTCCTGCTTACATATCCCCCAACAGATTAAACAGAGAATTTAATTAGATAACACGCAAAACCACTTACTACTTTCATATTACATGACAGTATAAATAATAATTTTCTTTTTTTTAAAATTATTATTATACTTTAAGTTTTAGGGTACATGTGCACATTGTGCATGTTAGTTACATATGTATACATGTGCCATGCTGGTGCACTGCACCCACTAACTCGTCATCTAGCATTAGGTATATCTCCCAATGCTATCCCTCCCCCCTCCCCCCACCCCACAACAGTCCCCAGAGTGTGATATTCCCCTTCCTGTGTCCATGTGATCTCATTGTTCAATTCCCACCTATGAGTGAGAATATGCGGTGTTTGGTTTTTTGTTCTTGCGATAGTTTACTGAGAATGATGATTTCCAATTTCATCCATGTCCCTACAAAGGACATGAACTCATCATTTTTATGGCTGGCTGCATAGTATTCCACGGTGTATATGTGCCACATTTTCTTAATCCAGTCTATCATTGTTGGACATTTGGGTTGGTTCCAAGTCTTTGCTATCGTGAATAATGCCACAGTAAACATACGTGTGCATGTGTCTTTATAGCAGCATGATTTATAGTCCTTTGGGTATATACCCAGTAATGGGATGGCTGGGTCAAATGGTATTTCCAGTTCTAGATCCCTGAGGAATCGCCACACTGACTTGCACAATGGTTGAACTAGTTTACAGTCCCACCAACAGTGTCAAAGTGTTCCTATTTCTCCACATCCTCTCCAGCACCTGTTGTTTCCTGACTTTTTAATGATTGCCATTCTAACTGGTGTGAGATGGTATCTCACTGTGGTTTTGATTTGCATTTCTCTGATGGCCAGTGATGGTGAGCATTTTTTCATGTGTTTTTTGGCTGCATAAATGTCTTCTTTTGAGAAGTGTTTGTTCATGTCCTTTGCCCACTTTTTGATGGGGTTGTTTGTTTTTTTCTTGTAAATTTGTTTGAGTTCATTGTAGATTCTAGATATTAGCCCTTTGTCAGATGAGTAGGTTGCGAAAATTTTCTCCCATGTTGTAGGTTGCCTGTTCACTCTGATGGTAGTTTCTTTTGCTGTGCAGAAGCTCTTTAGTTTAATTAGATCCCATTTGTCAATTTTGTCTTTGTTGCCATTGCTTTTGGTGTTTTAGACATGAAGTCCTTGCCCATGCCTATTTCTGACAATTAGAACTGTTTCAGATCAATGTCTTCTTCAGGACATTATGAATTCTTTATTGCTGCACTTTTTCAAACCAACTCTGGATATAGTTTGTTTTGTACGTTGAAGAAATGATTCCTGCATTAGAAAAGGAGGTTGAATGAAATGTCCTTAAAAATCATTTTTATCTTTGGGAGTGTAAACAAAAAGTAAAACAAAAAAGAGAAATATGAAATAAAGAAGGTTGATGAGGCACTTGAACTGTTTTTTTATGGGCTGAAATAGGGCTAATTCAGGTTAATGGAAGAAGCCTGTGGAAAGTATTGTAAAAGCTCTACTAGACCAGAAGATTGATTATACTTGAATTCTTCTCAATCATATGCAAATGTTGCCCAGCCAAGCATCACTGTTACCTTCATGTGTGTTAGCATCACAGACTGTATGAGGGCTTTTTCTATGTTTAAACATGGCATCTTAGAATGAGAAATATTAGACTCCTAATTTTCTTTCTCAATTCCTATGTTTGGGGTTGACACATATGAAACAACATTACAGGTCAAAAATGCCCAAATATCGGTCATTTCATGTAGTTTAAAACCGTGAGAAATGGTCATTGGTAACTGTTTTTTAAAAAAAAACTTCAGGATACCTAATTTTTATGCATTCAAGTAAACTTTCCTCAAGCAAAGTTTTAAAAGAGCTTTTCACTGTACTCTGTGTGTTATAAATCACAAAATGTTCTCTAAATCAATATGCTCCCCCAATAACTACATATTTTGAAGAATTCAATATTCTTTGATTATTAAAAAACTTGAGTTGTTGACTGCCAAATCAGACTTAATTATATATTCTTTTGGAGAAACTCTAAAAGTAGAAAAGATGAAGAAATTATATGAGACAGTTACTGAAAGAAAATAAGCCATCTGGATGTAAACACCATGTTTTTGTAGGATAGTTCTATGATGAGTTGAACTCTTTCATAGTTCCACTCTAAGATAATCGAGGTATAAATACCTCGATTCTAAGTCTCCTAATTACTTTTTAGCCATGATTAGTATCACTATGATTTCTAATCCTGGTGTCAGGAAGTGGCATCAGTCTTGAGATTTTACCTGACTACTTTATCATTTATGAGACAGCTGGTGAATGAGCTCAAATTGCATCAGTTCTTCTTCCCTGTTCCATGGGGGTGATGTAGAGCAGCACAGGTGGGTGCCATGCAAACAGTACGTCTGTGTCAGAGCCAAGTAAGTAGCCTTGAGCTTAGAAAATCCTTAGTTTTATAGCGCACTTCTAACAAAACTATGTTTTCTTTACCCAGGAGGAAGGCTCTTTTTTTTTTGAGACGAAGTCACTCTGTCACCCAGGCTGCAGTGCAGTGGCGTGATCTTGGCTCACTGCAACCTCCACCTCCCGGGTTCAAGTGATTCTCCTGCCTCAGCCTCCATAGTAGGTGGGATTACAGGCACCTGCCACCACGCCCAGCTAATTTTTGTATTTTTAGTAAAGATGTGGCTTTACCATGTTGGCCAGGCTGGTCTCGAACTCCTGACCTCAATTGATCCACCCACCTCACCCTCCCCTAAGTGCTGGGATTACAGGATTACAGGCGTGAGCCACTATGCCCAGCCACATTATCTTTATTATTCTGATTTGAGAGGCATAATCTCTAACTTCCAGGGCTGTTTGCTGTGCAAATATTTTTTTAAAAAATACAAAAAAAACAAAAAAAAAAACTTCCAAAAGATGTGTAGAAATGCCTCAGAATTGTCTTGGAATGTTGGTACTTTTTTTTAATAGTAGAAATAAGATAGCAAATATTATTGTTTGACTTTTGCTGTTTATTGTCTGGAAGTCAGCTAGATAGATAAATAAATTCAGTGTCTGAAATCTTGTAGCATTGTAGCAACATTCATTTTAGGTAGCTGCAAATCAAAATTCTTTTGCATTTTGAGGGGGCTATGTGGGAGCAAGTAGAAATGATGTCCTCTAAGCTATAGAATTCTAAAATTCTCCATTATTTTAAAGGAATCCGGTTAAATCTCTATCTATTCTGTGCTAACTCTAAAGACTTCTGTAGTGCCAGTGCATTGTCTTCTTCCTTTCCTTCATGCATAACAGAATAACATGGTGATTAAGTATCTGGACAAGGGAATCAGTTAGACCTAGGATAAATGCTGGCTTTGCTACTTTGTAGTTATATGTTCTTGGAAAAGTTACCTACCTTCTGCAAGTTGTAGACACCTCTTATAGTAAGGAAAAAATATTAATACCTATCTCATCAAATTGTGAGATTTAATAATGTCTAGTTGGTTGTTAACATGCAAAATGTTACCAGTTACTATAAGAATACAAATTTAGAAAAGATAGAAAAGCAGCGTATATAGGATTCTCCCACCAGGTAGAAATCACAGTTGCTATTTTGGTTTATTTGCTACCTGAACATATAAACACACACACACAGACACACACAAAGCATATTGTATATAATGTATTCTAAAGTGTTCCCTTTTAAAAGTAAGTTATGTGCAATTATCGAGTTGGCTAAATAGTCTATAGAAACATGCATTTCAGTGGCTATGCATTATTACATCATGTAGATATATTATAATTCTACTAACAGATATTTATTCTGTTTCCGTACATAAATTTGCATATATTTTCTGTAAACCTTTGAGATGAGCATCATTATATATAAGATAAAAATCTGGGAATTCAATTGGAAGGTTAAATCTTTTGAAACATTGTGCCAAATTGTCCTCCAATTCGTGGTGCACACAGGAGTGATGTAATCTCTCATTTCAAGATAATTATTTAGGTAGAAATAGTAGGGCAAGGGAGGAAGTAGGAATGCGAGTTAGAATAGTAGTACTTCTCAACTTTAATGTGCCTGTGATCTCACGGATATTATTATTATTATTATTACTATTATTATTATTGAGACAGAGTTTTGCTGTGTTGCCCAGGCTGGAGTGCAATGGCACAATCTCGGCTCACCGCAACCTCCGCCTCCTGGGTTCAAGTGATTCTCCTGCCTCAGCCTCCCCAGTATCTGGGATTACAGGCATGCACCACCACGCCCGTCTAATTTTTGTATTTTTAGTAGAGACAGGGTTTCTCCATGTTGGTCAGGCTGGTCTCGAACTCCTGACCTCAGGTGATCCGCCCGCCTTAGCCTCCCAACTTGCGGATATTATTAAAATGCAGATTTTAATTCACTAGGTCTGCTGTGGACCTGACATGCCACATGTCCAGCAATCTTCCAGGGGATGCTAATGCTGCCTGCTGGTCTACGAAGCATGTTTTGAGTAGCAGAAAGTTAGAGGACTGTTCTAGTAATGGAGATGAGATAACATGGTGGATTAGATCAGAGCATAGCAATGGAAGGAAGCATAGATGTGTGATGTATTTTGAAGGTAAAACTCACAAGACACAAGATCTGGTGAAAGACTGAAAGAAGGGTGAATGAAATATCTGAGGTCTTTGATATGTGCTATTGAAGAAATGGAAATGCCGTTAATAGAGAATGCAGTGGGAGGATGAACTGAAGGATAAAAGCTAGGGCCTTTTTTTTTTTTTTTTTTTTTTTTTTTTTTGGAGACAGTGTCTCGCTCCGTCGCCCAGGCTGGAATGCAGTGTCGTGATCTTGGCTCACTGCAACCTCCACCTCCTGGGTTCAAGCGATTCTCCTGCCTCAGCCTCCCGAATAGCTGGGAATACAGGCACCCACCATGACACCGGGCTAATTTGTGTATTTTTAGTAGAGATAGGGCTTTACCATGTTGGCCAGGCTGGTCTCAAACTCCTGACCTCAAGTGATTCACCCACCTCGGCCTCCCAAAGTGCTGGGATTGCAGGTTTGAGCTACTGCTCCTGGCCTAGGCCTTCATTTTTTATATCAAACTTGAGATGCCCAATGTTAGGCATCCAAGTGAAACTACAGAGTAACATTTGACAATGTAAATCCAGAGTTCAGGAAAGAGTTCCAGGACAGATATATACATTTGAGTTTTTATCATACTATAAATATATGCCTGCCTCATAAAATGCAAGGAAATAGTGAAAATAAAACTGTAATTTCAGTAGGTTTCTCAAATGTGTGTGTATACATGTGTGCAGTATATATGACAAGAATTGTATGGTGACATTTCCTTTCATGCTGCATTTTAATTTCTCAGTTTATAAGAAAAAATGATATTGATGATTCTTAGCTTTTTTTGTCAATTTTATTTAGAAAAAGGATAAACATATGTATCCAAGGGTATGTTTTCAGGGTGTCATAAGGAAATCAGTGTGGTAGATTATAGAGGTTACTAAATTATGTTTTGTATCAGCCATGAACAGTTTAGTACTTGTGCTAATTTTTAGCAGGTGTGTAAATTTAGTCATTAACCTCTCTGATCTCAAGTATCATTATTTAAAAAAAAAAAGATTATAGTATCTGTTCCCCAAGATTGTTGAGATGAATTGATATGGTTTGGTTTTGTGTCCCCACCCAAATCTCATCTTGAATTGTAATCCCCATGTGTCAAGGGAGGGACCTGGTGGGTGGGAGGTGATTGAATCACGGGGGTGGTTCCCCCATGCTGTTCTCATGATAGTGAGGGAGTTATCCTGCAAGCTGATGGTTTTAAGTGTGGCACTTCCTTGCTGTCTCTCTCTCACCTGCCACCATGTAAAATGTGCCTGCTTCCCCTTCCGCCATGATTGTAAGTTTCCTGAGGTCTTCTCAGCCACGCAGAACTGTAAGTCAGTTAAACTTCTTTTCTTTATAAATTGCACATTCTCAGGTAGTATCTTTATAGCAGTGTGAAAATGAACCTGAAAGTGTTTTTAAAGTAATCACTAGTATTTTATATATTAGTCTTGCCATCTATCAGTGTTAAATTGGCCTCTAATAATCAGCATAGTTATTATCTAGCTTAGAAAGTTTTATGTAAGATAATTATATAAAACTGATTTTTGGTGCTTTTTTCCCTTTATAGGTAAAGGCAGATTAGATGACAAATAGAGGTATACAAAATCTTTTATGAAAGCAGCTATAAGATAATGAGATTATTGAGTAAAAGAAGATGAAAAAATTTACTCTGCCAATTAATGTAAGGGAGAAGTTTTGAATAGATTTTTGATATTGATTGAAATATTCTGGTGGGAAAATAACTGGGAACAAAATTTCCAAGGAAACGTTGCCACAAAATATCTTGCTTTTGTTTTTGTTTTTGTATCACTCTAGTGTATCAACTTTGGAAACAAAGACATCATTCTTTTTACAGCATTTTCTTTTTAATAGTGGTATTTCTATTTACAAAATATAGTAATTCCCAATTGCTGAAAATGTCCAATTCTAGAAAATGTAACCTGTGATATTAACATTGTTCTCAAGCAGTTGTTGGCCGAAGATTCATTTGATAAATCTGATTTTTCTAAAATAGACAATTTTGATGATTCAGATGATTCTGATGTAAGTTCTGTTTATAAATAACTCCAAGGACAGTTTTTATATTTTATTTTCACATTGAAAATCAGTCCAATTTGCTTCAGCCTCAAAGAGCCTGTTTATGTAAAATTAAATGAGTGCTGTAGTGAGCTACACTTTGTTTTCTAAACTAGAAAAAAGGATTAAAGTGTAAAACAATAATAAAAATACTGATTTGTTTAAGCTGATTTAAAAATATCTATTTAAAAAATCAGAATTGAAAAGTAATATATTGTTCACATGATAAGGGAATATCATATCCAATAGAAAATTAGGAACTATTTTACTTACAATTTAATTTTATTAACATGTTATATGTATGTATTGAGCTTTTGTTTTGTTTTGACTTTTGCTTAAATTTTTTAACAGAAAAAATAAAATACATTAATCACCATAAACTTCTGAGAGAATTTTGAATATGCTAATGCTGCTCTGGGAAAAATGTTGGTTACATAGAAGGATAAAATAATATTTCTCATGGAGCTACAAATCAAAATTGGGAAATGAGGAAAATCAATGAGAAAATATAATTACAAATACAGACACTAATTATTTGCCCACAAAAAATTGCATAATATGAACTTAAGTTTATCAAACTAGAAATTTCTTTAAGCCTACATGCTCAAGGAAGAAGTCATTTTACTCTGGATTTAGGCTGAACCTTGAAGGATGGATATGATCTTATTTAGCAGAAATGACACACAAGGGTCTTTCTTGAGAACTTAAGACAAAACTTATAGTGGTGAAAGAACGTATGTATGTTTAGAAAACAAAAAAATGAGAAGACATTAGATATCTATATGGTCAAATATGGGAGAAGGTGGAAAAACCTGCAAAATTACATTGGGATGCATTACAGAAGGTCACTGCGTTGGCTTTCTGTTTCTATTAAATTACCACAAATTTAATAGATTAAACAACACCCATTTACAATCCACAGATCAGTGGGTCAGAAGTCCATGTGGATTTGGCTGGTTTCTCTGCTCCTAAGTTTCCTGAGATTAAATCAAGATGTTGGCTGGTCTGGGCTCTTATCTGAGGCCTGGAGGAAAGTCCCCTCCTAGGCCCAGTCACATGATTGTAGGAATTCTCATTTCCATGTGGTTGTAAGACTGAAGTGCCTTTTTTCTTGAAGTGCCTTTTTTCTTGAAGTGCCTTTTTTCTTGCTGCTTGTCAGCTGAAGTCATTCCCAGCTTTCAGAAGCATTGCCTGAGCTAGGGTTTCTTCTCTATGGATGTCACTGGGATTAGGACCAGAATGATCAAAACAGTGTTTTAGAAAAATTTATTTGGATATATCCTTAGCAAATTTTGTTTATTTCAAATATAAGTATTTATACATAATGACACTTATAAAAGTTTACATTTTCTTGAGGAATGTCCACTTATTTGATATGTCAAGTTTGTGGCAGTGATCTTAGTCCTATGGTTTAAACACTAGCATTCTTTTTTTAGCCTTTTTATTAAAAGATTAATCTATCTTTAATATGCATTTCCCAACTCTCCACTATGTTATTCCTTTCTCTTAAACAGATTTGGAAGTAATCCTTTTTCCATGAAACTTCTCTGAGTTCTCATCCAATACCTTACTGCTTTCCTTCACCTTGTCCTAGGTGATCATATTTCTACAGTTTCTTTCACTAAGCCTCATTAGACTTCTCATTTGTAGAATGCAGTGATGTCCTAAAAATAATGTTCTTTATGTTCATTCAAGTATTTTAGGACTGATGTATTTGTGTTTTGATTAATATTTCTTATCTTAGATTAAAAACTCATTACAGGGCAAGGATAATAAGCTATAATTTCAAGTATAGAGAAAAGACAGATTAAGCATTTAATGAGTTATTTTATTAATAGTAAAACAGATGATTATTACATTCACATTGGTCATTTAAGAAATACCAATAATTAGTGTCAGATGATACTATAAAATAATGGTTATCATTGGAATAGTTTTAATTTTTATCAATTCATCAAAGGCTGGAAGTATGCACCTATTATGTATTGGAGACAATACTTCATGAGTCTTTTGTGTTTCTGCTCATATTGTGAGAAGAGACACTGACAGCTTTTGTTCTGAAGTATCTGTTTAAGAATATGTATACAGCAAAAGACTTGGAAGATAGAAATAGTGTCTCCCTCTTGGACAAAAGGCAGATTTGTTGACAGTCCAGTAGGTAAAGATAATGTGTCCCTCTTGGGCAAAGGCCCATTACCAAACATTTGATACTGAGCTTGAAGTTCCTCTCCTAATGCAACCCACTGCATGCACAGCTGTCACCTGTCTCTTATTGCTTCGTTCTATGAAAACTGGGGCTTTAATTTAGAAATTAGAGAATTGAAGTAAGAAAATGATCATACCCAGGCTACTCTTATTGCTATGAGTAAGAAACTTTCTTTTGTTTCTGATTTAGGAATCTTGTGTCTTCTGCCAGCATCCATGAAGTGACAGCAGGCTAACTTATTTGCTTGAGAACAGGGTAAAATCTCAGATCTTCCACAGTTCTTGACAACATATTTTTAGATATCTTGCTATATATAAAAACTGAAATAAATTATATCCTTGTCCTCATGTAACTATTAAATAGTTAAAAGTATCTTGAGATGCTTTTGTTTGAGGTCAGAATGCCAGAAGAAAATCAGGAGGAGGAAGTGTATTACATGACTAGTTTTTTTTTTTCTGTTAGAACGGTGTATTTTGCTGTTTTTTTTTTTTACTAAGCCAGAATGATTTCATGACTATATTGCCATGATTTCTCCAAACAAACAAACAAACAAACAAACAAAAACCTAAGCTAAACTAAATCTGAAGCACATAATCCTTAAAATTTGGTAAATAAACGGTTTTATTTATTTATTTATTTATTTATTTATTTATTTATTTAAAGATGGAGTCTCACTCCACCACCCAGGCTGGAGTGCAGTGTCACAATCTTGGCTCACTGCAACCACCACCTCCCAGGTTCAAGCGATTCTCCTGCCTCAGCCTCCCAAGTAGGTGGGATTACAGACAACTACCACCATGCCCAGCTAATTTTTGTATTTTTGGTAGAGACAGGGTTTCACCATTTTGGCCAGGCTGATCTCAAACTCCTAACCTCAAGTGATCCATCCACTTTATCCTACCAAAGTGAAAGTATTACAGGTGTGAGCTACCATGCCTGGCCAAAAAACGTTAATTTAAAATGAATGAAATTTATACTCATTTAGAAAGTTTAAAATTTTTAGAGGGCCCTTTTTTATTGTTGTTTATTTTTTGTTTTGTTTGCGATTTTAGAAATATCTTAATTTTTTTAGTTATTATGCCATAGTATTGATTTTTTTCTAGTGTATAGTTGTATGACTTTTAATATATCCCACAAGAGCTACATTAGTTTCATTGTCACCAAAACTCTTAGAAGGTTCTTACTCTAAGTTTTATTTTTCTGAGTTACTAGAAATATAATCTTTCTTACATTTACTGAGCTTTAGAGTCTCAGTTACATCACCTATCTACTTCCAGCAGATGACACCATGGTAGTTATTTTAGAACTGGGGGAGAGAAATAATGTCTATATATATAGATAGAGAGAGAGAGTCTATAGTGTCCATATATAGTGTCCTTATGTAGAGAATCTATAGTATGTATAGACTAGAGAGTCTATAGTGTCCACACATATATATAAACACTATAGACTCTCACTATATATAGTGACATGATAGGATGACTTGAGAAAGAGAAAGATAGAAAGCAAGTACTGAGGTTCTTAGGACTAATTCCAGTCATCCACCACCTGCTCCCTCAAAGTCAAACTTCTCCTTTCCTTGAATGATTTATTTTAATTATGATATTGATATGGTTTGGATTTGTGTACACACCCAAATCTCATGTCGAATTGGAAGAAGGGCCTGATAGGAGGTGATTGGATTATGGGGCAGACTTCCCCCTTGATCTCATGATAGTGGGTGAGTTCTCACAAGATATGGTTGTTTAAAAGTTTGTGGCACTTCCCCCTTTGCTCTCTCTCTCTCCTGCCACCACGTGAGGACATGATATCTTCCCGTTTGCCCTTCTGCCATGATTTGTAAGGCCTCCTAATTATGCTTCCTGTTAAGCCTGTGGAACTGTGAGTCAAACCCATTTTTATAATAAACTACCGAGTCTCAAGTAATTCTTCATAGCAGTGTGAGAACAGACTAATACAGAAAATTGGTACTATGTGTGGGGCACTGCTATAAAGATACCTGAAAATGTGAAAGCGACTTTGCAACTGGGTAACAGGCAGAGTTTGAAACAGCTTGGAGGGCTCAGAAGAATACAGGAATATGTGGGAAGGTTTGGAACTTCCTGGAGAGTTGTTGAATGGTTTTGAGCAAAATGCTGATAGTGATATGGACAATGAAGTCCAGGCTGAGGTGGTCTCAGATGGAGATGAGCAACTTTTTGGGAACTGGAGTAAAGGTGACTCTTGCTATGCTTTCGCAAAGAGACTGGCACCTGCCCTAGAAATCTGTGAAACTTTGAACTCAAGAGATGATTTAGGGCATCTGGTGGAAGAAATTTCTAAGGAGCAAAGTATTCAAAATGGGACCTGGATGTTTCTAAAATTCTATGCTCATATGCATGGAGAAAGAAATGGTCTGAAATTGGAACTTATATTTAAAAGGGAAGGGGAGCATAAAAGTTTGGAAAATTTGTAGCCTGACCATGTGGTAGAAAAGAAAAACTCTTTTTCTGGGGAGAAATTCAAACTGGCTGTAGAAGTTTGCATAAGTGACAAAGACCCACATGATAATAGCCAAGACAGTGGGGAAAATGTCTCCAGAGAATTCAAGGACCTTTACAGCAGCACCTCCCATCACAGATTTAGAGGCCTAGGAAGGAAAAATGGTTTATGGGCCAGGCTGAGGGTCCAGCTGCTCTGTTCAGCCTCAGGACATGTTTTCCTGCTTTGTCACAGCTGCTCCAGCTCCAGCTGTGGCTAAAAGTGGTAAAGGTACAGCTTGGGCCATTTTTTCAGAGGGTGCAAGTCCCAAGCCTTGGCAGTTTCCATGTGGTATTGGGCCTGCAAGTGCATATAAGGCAAAAGTTTAGGTTTTGGAATCTCCACTTAGATTTCAGAGGATGTATGGAAATGCCTGGATGTCCAGGCAGAAGTCTGCTGCAGGGATGGAGCCCTCATGGAGAACCTTTACTATGGCAGATGGAGGGGAAATATGGTGTTGGAGCCCCCATACAGACTCCCTACTGGGGCACTGTCTACTCAAGGTTTGAGAAGAGGGCCATCATCCTCCATACCCCAGAAAGGTAGATCCATTGACAGCTTGCACTATGTGCCTGGAAAAGCCACCGGCACTCAACGCCAGCCCATGAAAGCAGCCACAGGGGCTGTACCTTACAGAGCTATGGAGGCAGAGCTTCCCAAGGCCTTAGGAGCCCCCTCCTTGCATTAGCATGCCCTGGATGTGAGAAATACAGTCGAGATTATTTTGGAACTTTAATATTGAATGACTGCCCTGCTGGGTTTTGGACTTGCATGGGACCTGTAGCCGTCTGTTTTGGACAATTTCTCCCATTTGAAATGGCAGTATTTACCCAATGCCTGTACCCCCATTGTATCTTGGAAGTAACTAACTAGTTTTTGATTTTACAGGTTTATAGGTGGAAGAGAATTACCTTGTCTCAGATGAGACTTTGGAATCAGGACTTTTGAGTTAATGCTGAAATGAATTAAGACTGGGGGACTGCTGAGAAGGGTAATTGTATTTTGCAATGTGAGGAGGACAAGAGATTTTGGAAGGCTCAGGGGTAGAATATATGGTTTGGATTTGTGTCCCCTCCTAAATCTCATGTTGAATTGGAGAAGGGGCTTAGTGGTAGGTGATTGGATCACAGGGGGATTTCTCCCATGCTATTCTCATGACAGTGAGTGTGTTCTCATGAGATCTGTTTGTTTAAAACTTTGTGGCACCTCCCCTCTTTGCTCTCTCTCCCTTTTGCTGCCATAAGAAGGTGCTTTCTTTCCCTTTCCCTTGCACCATGACTGTAAGTTTCTTGAGGCCTCCTAATTATGCTTCCTGTTAAGCCTATGGAACTGTGAGTCAGTTAAACCTCTTTTTTCATACATTACTCAGTCTCAAGTAGTTCTTTATACCAGTGTAAGAACAGACTAATACAGAAATGAATCCCTACTTGTTCAGCCTGGAGAGACTCAAGCTGGAGAGGTAGAGTGGTCTCATTCTTGGATCCTGGCCCAGGATGAACAGCTTCTGAGGACAAAAGATAGAAGACAATGGTAAACATATTCAGTCTTTTAGAAAAATAATATTAATAAAGAGAAGTAAATCGAATATTGTTGGCAATGGCATTTTGTAGCAGTATTGGTATTTCTTGGGAGCTGCGGCAATAAGTGACATTATAAGTCATGTGAATAGGGAAAAGAGAGTGTCTCCTTTTCCAAGCCTGGATTGATCATTTAAATAAGGGATCATTTTTTCCCCTAAAATACTCATGGTAATTTTAAGAAATGAGATTACTTAGTGTTCTATGATAGCTACAAAGAGAAAAGCAAATGAAATATTATAGCATACCATGCATCTTTAGATCAATGCTTCTCAAGCACCCTACATCAGAATCATAAGGAGGGTTTCTGCAAACAGATTTCTGGGCCCTACCTGCAGAGTTTCTGATTGGTCATATCTGTGGTGGGGCACAACAGTTAGCATTTATAATTATTTTCCCATTGATGTTGATGCTACTGGTGCTAGAACCACACATTAAGGACTACAACTCTAGCTAATTGGGAGAATGGAAGCTAACATGCATTTAAATATTTTCATCTAAAATATAATGGTTTTTGTTATAAGACATGTACTAATTTGGCTGTGTAATTAATGTCTTCATCCTCTCAACAAATAATTGCTCAGGGCACATCACTACCATGGAATCACTATGTTAGTATTTTGGGTGGATCAATTAATGAGGAAGGCATGAATCTTATCCACAAAGAGCTTCTAGGCTGTTTGAGATAGGACAATGATTTCTGATAGAAATGCTAATGCTATAATAAAAAGTCTAGATATAATGCTATGGTGGTTGAAAGAGGGGGATATTTCTGATAGATATTGGTAGGGTATGGAAGTTCTGGTGAGTAGGATAGGCCTCTCAGCTCCATAGCTAAATATTCTTGTTGACCTATAAAAAATATTTTGTTCGTTCATGCCATGCAATTCTCGGTCTGCTTAAGTGACAAATATCTAGATATGTTTGCCATATATTGAGAGGTGGGGTTAGTTGGCTTCAGTTTCACAATACAATATGTGGTAACAGTTTTGTTATATTATGATTCCATTAAAACTGTCTTTATAATTACATATAAGGTTTAAATTGAGTGTATTATCCAAGAGCTAATAAAATTACACACATTTAGGAAAGGTAGTAGTGAACATATATTTCACTAAAATATGCACACAGTTTTAGCTCAGTAGCTTTTCAGCATAAAACACAGGATTTATATTAGATTAAACAATTCAGAATGTCATGGTATATTCTATAATCTGTAGCTTAGAAAATGGCCAACCTTATTTTCCAAATTTGATTTTTATACTGGAAGTTCTCCAAGCACAAAATAAAGATACTCTTTTAAATACAGAAACAAAGTAAG
This sequence comes from Homo sapiens, assembly GCF_000001405.40. Lineage (NCBI taxonomy): Eukaryota > Metazoa > Chordata > Mammalia > Primates > Hominidae > Homo > Homo sapiens. Next base: position 164,040,753 of record NC_000004.12, on the reverse strand, counting down.
TAACAACAAACATTTGCTGGTGTTGAACAAAATAATATTTTGAGTATTAAGGAGGAAACAGGAAAACATTGCCATGTATATATTTACTGCAAAACCTAAAGCTTTGCTTACGTTTAAAATATATTTATCCTGCATGCCTTCCAAAAACCTACTTATTAACCATCAACACACATTCATTTCCATTCTGAAGCCTATTTTTTAATTCAAAATTCAAAAAAAACTTTATCTTTTTAAATTCTATATACTTTAAAAATATTTTTATATCTATAATTTTGTATACATTTACAAATATATATAAATATACAAGGATATACCTATATATTTATATATACAAGGATATATAAGTATATATGAATTTATATATAAATACTTATATAGAATATGTAAGTATTTAATAAGAACTAAGTATATAAGTATTGTATAAGTATTTATACATATTTATAAGTATATGTACTTATAGATACTTGTGTCTATATACACACATTATATGTAATTACATATACGTATATATAAGTATATACATGTGTACATATAGTATAAATATATATACAATGTATTTATAATATATATTTGTATATTTATATATAGTTATATATTTATATAAAATTATGGATATAAAATATTTTTAAATACCTTTATATAATTGAAAAATATACTTATATATGTATATATGCATATATATACTAATATATAATTTGTATATATAAATTATGCTTGTATATATAAATTATACTTGTATATATATTATATATACAAGCATATATAGTTTATATATATATATATATAATTTCATGAGGTGAAATTTATTTTATCCAAGATGAATATGCATTTTCTTGGCCTATTTTACTTTGTTGTTTCTGTAAGTGTGAAATGTCATAAGGTAGAACTGATGTTTGTAAGTACTCAGCATGCTAAAAATCTACCTATTCAAATGATCCCCAGTAAAGACCACTTCCATTTTCTGAAACCATGTCAAGAATTCTCGAAGTATTCATTTATTATTTCATAAAACTCTACTGTCAAGCAGCATTGTACTACAATAGAAAGTTGACATGTCTATGCTTTTTTTTTATCTGTATGTGGAGAGATACAATGTCTTAAGAAAAAGATTATGTCTTTCTAGTGAATAATGGATGAAATTTCATATCTCAGAGTGCCTTCTCTTCACAGTTCTTCCTGATAATGCAACTTCCAATGAATAGGTCCCTTTGACAGTATAAATTGGAAAGGGTGAGACATTTTGTTCTTAACTGTAATTGCATGAGCCTTGTGGCAGTGGTGGTAATAGCACATAGAAAGGATTCCTTGAATTAAGGACATCTGCACTTTTCACTTAATTTTGTTGCATAGGTTTTTACTGTTACATGAAAAATGCAATTTCAACCCAGGTTCTTTCTGTGTAACTTTATTGGCATGTCAAAATCAATATATGTTGCTACTCTGAGGCAAGCAGTTCCATAAGGAGTGTCAAGTTCTACACCAAGCCTGTGGTTCCTATTATTGTTTTTGAAACATCTTTAAAAACTGGATTAGTAAATGCTACTGCATGTGGAATTTTAAAAGTGAAACAAATATACAGAGCTTTTTTCATTTCTCCAAATTAAGAACTAGGTACTAATGGATTATTTTACTCCCTAATCTATTACACACGTGTGTGCATGTATTTGTTCTACATGTTCAAATTTCGTATTTTAGAAGTTTATATTGATCACACTCTTGAAAATATGCATTAAATTAATGATTTTTCTTTAAGTGTTTATCTTATTCAGCTTTATGATCTCCTGTAATCACATTTTATTTTCCTTTTATTTTATATTTGATTATTCATCATCAATTATGTAAATTATTGAGGGGGTTCCACTTAAAACCTTATAACTGAAGATAATAAATTTGGTAATAAAAGTAAGGTTTAATAATCTCAGATCATAAGAAATTATTTGTAACATAAAATCAGCTATGGTATTAATAAATGTACCACTTACAAATTAGCACATAGTTTTCTAGACGTAGGATGGAGCTGACACAAGTGGATACAAGACAGACATGAAGAGGCCAGTTGGAGTTTGCCAAATACAATCAGTCTACACTGAAAGTTTACAAGTGATAGACTATGCTCTATTGATCTTGGAAGAAAAAAAGGACCATGGACCACCCATGGGATATACACCTCTAGCCTACAGAGCACCTGCACAAATTTTAATAAGATAGTTCATGAGGTGAGATTTTTATTTATATTTTATTTTATTTTTATTTATTTATTTGAGACAGAGTCTGGCTCTGTCGCCCAGGCGGGAGTGCAGTGGCACAATCTCCACTCACTGCAACCTCCACCTCCCGGGTTCACACCATTCTCCTGCCTCAGCCTCCCAAGTAGCTGGGACTACAGGTGCCGCCACCACGCCTGGATAATTTTTTTGTATTTTTAGTAGAGACAGGATTTCACCGTGTTAGCCAGGATGGTCTCGATCTCCTGACCTTGTGATCCACCTGCCTCGGCCTCCCAAAGTGCTGGGATTACAGGTATAAGCCACTGTTCCTGGCCTTTATTTTTTAATTAAGCTTTTACTTTAAGATAATTGTGAATTTGTGTGCAGTTGTAAGAAAACGTACAGAGTGATCCAGTATTTCTCTAATTGTAACATATTGGAAACTATAGTACCACATCACAACCAAGATATTGACATTGATACTATCAAGGCACAGAACATTTTAATCACAACAAAGCTCCCTCATGGTGCAGTTTCATGGCCACACCCATTTCTTTCCCACCACCATCTCCTCCTTAAACCCTGACAATAACTAATTTCTCTCCATTTCCGGAATTTCATCACTTCAAGATTATTATATAAATAGAATCATGCAATATGTAACTTTTGAGGATTGGCTTTTGTTCACACAGTGTAATGGTATGAAAAGTCATTAAGCTGTTGCAACTATCAGTTATTGTCATCACATCATATCAAGGGTACATACTATCAACATGACATATCACTGTTGATGTTGACCTTGATCATCTGGCTGTAGGTAGTGTTTGTCAGACTTCTCCAACGTAAAGTATCCATTTACATACTGTACTCATTGGATTGAAGTCACCATGCACAGCCCACACTTAAAGAGTGGTGTATAATGCTCCATCTCTTTGAGGGTGGAGTTTCTGCAAAAATTACTTAGAATTTTCCTGCATGAGAGATTTGATCATCTCCCTCATTTATTAGTTTGGTTAATCATTTATTTATATGAGTGTGAATTTATGGAAATTTATTTTATCTGGGGCTGCTGATAAAGAGATCCAAAATAGTAGTTGGAAGGTGACTAAAATATATTGCTTATCAGTTCACTTTTTCATTTTTGTAATATATTCATGCTTCTTAACATTAACTATAATTGTAATCAGGGATTGATTTTCATCACTTTTTGTCTCTAATTACATTTACTTCCTTGATGACCTAAGCTAGTGGCATGACTTTAAATATCACCTATATGCCAACATCTCCAAATTTTCATCTCCAGCCCAGACCCCTCTTCTGAATTTCAGACTTGCATATCCAACAGCCTACTGAGCATCTCTGCTTGAATATCCATTAGACATCATAAATTCGACATGTCTTTTCCACCCTCAGAACTGCTCAACCTCTACTCTTCACTATCTTAGATGACCATACCATCTGTTCAATTGTTCAAGCCCCAAATCTTAGAATGATGTTTTGCTCTTTTCTTATTCCCCCCATATTAAATTAATCATGAAATCCTGTTGTCTGTATCTTTAAATATATCCAAAATATAATCACTTACAATCAACTTCATTGCTGACACTCTGGTCTGAGATATCTGTTTACTAGAGATAAAAATACTGAGTCATTTGGTATGCATATATTCACCATTAGATAATACCCATTTTTTTCAAAATTACATTGCCCCCCACCCCAGAAATATATGAATGTTTTCCTTGCTTCATATTCTCACCAACGGCCTTTTAAATTCTAGCCTTTTTATTGAGTATGTGATGGTATGACATTGAGATTTTAATTTGTGTTCTCTGATCACAGAGGTGGAACATTTTTTATCTCCTTACCATTAGTCTAGCTTTTTCATGAATTGTCTGTAATTACATCACTTGTTGAGAATGATTAAATAAAAATAAATATCTTGTATTTTCTTTTGTCTTTTAAACAACACTTGAAACTACAACAAAGCAAATTGTGTGCACTTTCATTCCTTCAGACCTTGAATTTTTATTACAAGTAAAATATCAATTTATGTATTCCACATATTTATATTTAATATATTTTCAGACAGCATTGGAATCACTAGAAGGTAATTCTATAGGTTAGTTTTACAGCTTCCCAACTCAATTAGAGTAGTCATTTTTCTTTATCTGATACTCCTAGCAGCTTGCTTCAGTCATTCAATCTCTATCTCCAATTGTAGTATAGAAAAAGATGTCAATAAGCCATTGGTTTCTGATAAATTGTTTAGAAACCATAATTAAAGGGGATTACTTATGGGTGAGGTAGATGACTACACTCCCAGAACTTCATTACTGTTAAAGTAAAACATATAGCATTTCACACACCCATTTCTAGCAACTCCTTTTTTGTTAATTAAAAATTGTTTTTTTTTTTGTTTTTTGTTTTTTGTTTTTTTTTTTTTTGAGACAGAATCTCACTGTATCACCCAGGCTGGATTGCAGTGGCACAATCTTGGCTCACTGCAACCTCTGCCTCTCACATTCAATCAATTATCCTGCCTCAGCCTCCTGAGTAGCTGGGATTACAGGTACACACCACCATGCCTGGTTAATTTTTTTTTTTTTTTTTTTTTTTAGTTTTAGTTTTAGTAGAGACGAGGTTTCACCATATTGGCCAGGCTGGTCTAGAACTCCTGTCCTCAGGTGATCCACCCGCCTCCCCCTCCCAAAGCGCTGAGATTACAGGCGTAAGCCACCGCACCCGGCCAAAATACTATTAATTAGATCTGGTTTAAGTTTTTTTTTTAATCTATGTAAAGTTTACTTGGAACCAGGAAATCTACTACATTTGATTTCAGTACCCTTATTAAAAACATTTATTTTTTTTGTCTGTGTGAATGTTTCTATTTTTGTTTCTGATTTTTTTTTTTTTGTATTCTTTATCTCTGGCAGTTTACTTGCATGAAAATACAAATATTTTCTTCCCTAAAAGGTTTAAGCATGAGTTTCTAATCAATGAAAAAGAAAAGAGACAATATACTTTATAATGAATATGTGTATACTTTACAATGAAAAGTTATGTAGTTTTTTTTTTTTCTAAAAGCTGAGATAGTCAAAAGAACTTGCTTTTATATTTCATAATTAGGGTTTGGGTAGTGACTGTTATTCTTTCAAACCTATGGAGAACTCCTTGAATTTTATTTATGAAAAACATAACTAATCTACAGAGGAATTACAGATTTAATTCATGATTATCTGGTTGTCACTGAATTATTTTGTTACTATGGGTATAGAGTAATGACTTATATGTTTCTGAAGACATTTAGAATAACATTGGAAAAGCTGTTAAACATCTACTTTCACTAAAATATATAAAACTCTTTGATTAGACTTAAAAATGTTATGTGTTCAAGTAATATATAAAAATTATATAAGTAAATTTTCATTGGTCAAAAATATTAATTAAAATATGAAAATATATCCACATGTTTAAAATTAATGGATATTAGAGGCATTTTCTCTTTGATATCTCCTTTATAATGTGATACATTACATGTGTTTAGCAGTATATGTGTGGAAGTCAATTTATAACACGGATTTTTGTTAAATTCTCTGGATTTGAGAGCAAGAGACCTGTAGGGGAATCCCAGCTTTATTGTCTATCATCTGAGAAACTTCATAAAAATAAAACTTTTGTCTGATTTTTAACATTCTTTCTGTAACACCAGGCTAGTGACAGAGTCACTTAGAGAAGTAAAAAGTGTTACATACAAAATGCTTGGTAAAGTAAAATTAAGAAAACATATATTGGGCTATGCCACTTTTCTTTTTTAAAATAAGGTTTTTTGTATTACATGATATTTACTATAACTGTTATTTCCAAAATCTAAATAATAAAGCTATTATCAGGTAATCATTATATATATATATACACACACACATATGTATGTATGTATATTATTTGCTTATCTTTTGAGTGAAAAATAGTGACAGTACAGGTTGAGCATCCCTAATCAAAATTTGGAATCATAAATGCTCCAATTCAGTTGCATGTATCTTTTTGACATAATGATTTATTTTCCTTTGGGTACATACCTAGTAGTGGGATTACTGGGTTGAATGGTAGTTACATTTTTAGTTCTTTGAGCAATCTCCATACTGTTTTCCATACAGATTGTACTAATATATATTCCCACCAACTGCGTGTAAGCATTCCCTTTTCTCAGAGGCCTTGCCAACTGACCCCAGTGTGTGTTGTTCCCCTCCCTGTGTCCATGTGTTTTCATCATTCAACTTCCACTTATGAGTGAGAACATGTGGTGTTTGGTTTTCTATTCCCATGTTAGTTTGCTGAGGATGATGGCTTCCAGCTTCATCCATGTCCCTGCAAACACGTGATCTCATTCCTTTTTGTGGCTGCATAGTATTCCATGGTATGTATATATCTCTATCTATCTATCTATCTATCTATCTATCTATCTATCTATCTATCTATCTGTCTATCACATTTTCTTTATCCAGTCTATCATTGATGGGCATTTGAGTTGGTTCCATGCCTTTGCTATTGTGAATAGTGCTGCAGAAAACGTATACATGCATGTATCTTGATAATAGAATGATTTATATTCCTTTGGGTATATACCCAGTAATGAGATCACTGGGTCAAATGGTGTTTCTGGTTCTAGATCCTTGAGAAATCACCACACTGTCTTCCACAATGGTTGAACTAACTTACATTCCCGCCAACAATGTAAAAAGTGTTACTATTTCTCCACAGCCTCACCAGCATCTGTTGTCTTTTTACTTTTTAATAATTGCCGTTCTGACTGGCATGAGATGGTATCTAATTGTGGTTTTGATTTGCATTTCTCTGATGATCAGTGATGTTGAGCTTTTTTTCATGTTTGTTGGCTACATAAATGTATTCTTTTGAGAAGTGCCTGTTCATATACTTTGCCCACTTTCTGATGGGATTGTTTGTTTTTTTGTGTAAATTTGTTTAAGTTCCTTGTAAATTCTGGATATTAGACCTTTGTCAGATGGATAGATTGCAAAAATTTTCTCCCATTCTGTAGGTAGCCTGTTAGCTCTGATGATAGTTTCTTTTGCTGTGCAGAAGCTCTTTAGTTTAATTAGATCCCATTTGTCAGTTTTGGCTTTTGTTGCAACTGCTTTAGGTGATTTCATCATAAAAGCTTTGCCCATGCCTATGTCTTGAATGGTATTGCCTCAGTTTTCTTCTAGGGTTTTTATGGTTTTGGGTTTTACATTTAAGTCTTTAATCCATCTTGAGCTAATTTTTGTATAAGGTATAGGGAAGGGGTCCAATTTTAGTTGTCTGCAAATGGCTAGCCGGTTTTCCCAGCACCTTTTCTTTTTTTTTTTTTTTCCCGAGATGGAGTCTTGCTCTGTCATCCAGGCTGGAGTGCAGTGGCACAATCTTGGCTCACTGCAAACTCTGCCTCCCGGGTTCAAACGACCTCAGCACCATTTATTAAATAGAGAATTCTTTCCCCATTGCTTGTTTTTGTCAGGTTTGCTGAAGATCAGATGGTTGAAGATGTGTGGTGTTATTTCTGAGGTCTCTATTCTGTTGCATTGGTCTATATGTCTGTTTTGGTACAAGTACCATGCTGTTTTCGTTACTATAGACTTGTAGTATAGTTTGAAGTCGGGTAGCATGATGCCTCCAGCTTTGTTCTTTCTGCTTAGGATTGTCTTGGCTTTGCAGGCTCTTTTTCGGTCCCATATGAATTTTAAGGTAGTTAATCCTCTCTGTGCCACATGACACTTACTCTAAAACCAACCACATAATTGGAAATAAAACACTCCTCAGCAAATACAAAAGAACTGAAATCCTAAAAACGGTCTGTTAGACCACAGTGCAATCAAATTAGAACTCAGGATTAAGAAACTCGCTCAAAACCACACAACTATGTGGAAATTGAACAACATGCTTCTGAATGACTCCTGGGTAAATAATGAAATTAAGGTAGAAATCAAGAAGTTATATGAAACCAATGAATCAAAGAGACAACATACCAGAATCTCTGAGACACAGCTAAAGCAGTGTTAAGTGGAAAATTTATAGCACTAAATGCCCACATCAGAAAGCTATAAAGATTTCACATTGACACCCTAACATCCCAATTAAAATAACTGGAGAAGCAAGGGCAAGCAAATCCAAAACCTAGCTGTAGACAAGAAATAACTAAGATCAGAGTGGAACCGAAGGAGATAGTAACATGAAAAACTCTTCAAAAAAATCAATGAATCCAAGAGCTGGTTTTTTGAAATAATTAATATAATAGGTACCCCACTAGCTAGACTAATAAAGGAGAAAAGAGCGAAGAATCAAATAGACACAATAAGAAATGCTAAAGGGGATATCACCACTGACCCCACAGAAATACAAACTACCATCAGAGAATACAATAAACACCACTATGCAAATAAACTAGAAAATCTAGAAGAACTGGATAAATTTCTGGACACATATCCCCTCCCAAGACTAAACAAGGAAGCAGTTGAATTCCTGAATAGTCCAATAAAAAGTTCTGAAATTAAGGCACAACTAAATAGCCTACCAACCAAAAACAACCCAAGACCAGGTGGATTCGCAAGTCAAATTCTACCAGAGGTACAAAGAGGAGCTGGTACTATTCCTTCTGAAATTTTTCCAAACAATTGAAAAGGAAGGGCTCCTCCCTAACTCATTTTATGAGGCCAGCATCATCCTGATACCAAAACCTGACAGAGACATAACAAAAAAAGAGAATTTTAGACCAATATCCCTGATGAACATCGATGTAAAAATCCTCAATAAAATACTGGCAAACCAAATCCAGCAGCACATCACAAAGCTTATGCACCACAATCAAGTTGGCTTCATCTCTGGGATGCAAGGCTGGTTCAACATAAGCAAATAAATAGACATAATCCGTCACATACACAGAAACAATGACAAAAATCACATGATTATCTCAACAGGTACAGAAAAGGCCTTTGATAAAATTCAGTATCCCTTCACGCTAAAAGCTCTCAATAAAATAGTTATTCCTGGACCATATTTCAAAATAATAAGAGCTATTTATGAAAACCTACAGCCAATATCATACTGAATGGTTTTTTTGAAAAAAAAATAATATAATAGATACCCCACTAGCTAGACTAATAAAGAATAAAAGAGAGAAGAGTCAAATAGACACAATAAGAAATGATAAAGGGGATATCACCACTGACCCCACAGAAATACAAACTACCATCAGATAATACAATAAACACCACTATGCAAATAAACTAGAAAATCTAGAACTGGACAAATTTCTGGACACATATACCATCCCAAAACTAAACAAGGAAGAAGTTGAATATCAAATTGAATGACCAAAAGCTTGAAGCATTCCCTTTGAAAACTGGCACACGATAAGGATGCCTTCTGTCACCACTCCTATGCATCAGAGTATTGGAAGTTCTGGCCAGGGCAATCAGGCAAGAGAATGAAATAAAGCGTATTCTGATAGGAAAAGAGGAAGTCAAATTGTCTCTGTTTGCAGATGACATGATCGTATATTTAGAAAACCCCATTGTCTCAGCCCACTCCTTAAGCTGAAACTTCAGCAGTCTCAGGATACAAAATCAGTGTGCAAAAATCACAAGCATTCCTATACACCAACAATAGACAAGCAGAGAGCCAAATCATGAACTCCTGTGCATTTTCAATCCACCACTCTAATCTCACCTTCTCAGTAAAAATTTCCTCCCCAAAATATACTGATTCATTCATGCTGAAAATTATGTTGAAGTTATTTATGCCACACATGTTTATGTGTGATATTGTGTTATTCCAATTGCTAAATAGAACCTGTTTTATAAGTCTTAACTCTGCCACAAAGCTATTTCCTCAGTGCTTCCTGCATACCTGACAGTGCCTAATAACGTTCTGGATATTCAGCAGACATAGCACAAAGTTGTTTTATTGTTATTAAAAATGATCACCCTCATATATGTCATTTATGGTTACAGTGAATCTTTTGTGTTAAAGTAAATCTTTCACAGAAAGTGTTCATATGAACAATGAGTTTGATCTTGAAGCAGAATGCAAAAGTAGATAGCAAATTATTATCTAAGGTTATTATACAGTAGCATTTCATCTGTCCTGACAGAATTTATGATAAAGTTAAACTTCATTTTTAAGAAGAATATTAAAAATGCTTCTTCATTTTTGAATGTTAAAAGACAATGGAAATGGTATATGAGTTATTTTTCTAAATTTTTAAAATATTAAGCTAGATTTTAATTTTTTTCCAAAAAAAGCATCTTTTGATTTTTTTAAACTCTGTTTTATAAAATATTTTTGTTTATTTTGATTTTATATTAAAATTATATTCTTATCAAAATTTTAAATATACGAACCCTTTGTAAATGATTTAAAGTATTGAGAAATATTTATAAATAGAAGAAACATTAACAGATATGTATTAATTACATATTGCTTTTCAAGAAATATAGCTGTCCGCTAATTGGTTTTCTCTTTATCTGGTGTTTTTGTTACTGACTGTTGTCAATTTTTTACTTGCAAATTATCTATGAATGATAGAATCCCCAAAGGGGAAAGGAAACATTTACAAATTTCTTCATAGAACACAAAGTTTAAAAGGCTAAAATCCTGGGCCGGGTATGATGACTCACACCTGTAATGCCAGCACTTTGGGAGACCAAGGTGGGTGGATCACCTGAGGTCAGAAGTTTGAGACCAGCCTGGCCAACACGGTGAAACGCTGTCTCTACTTAAAATACAAAAATTAGCTGGGTGTGGTGGCACGCACCTGTAATGTCAGCTACTTGGGAGGCTGAGGCATGAGAATCGCTTTAACCCAGGAGGCAGAGGTTGCAGTGAGCTGAGATGCCACCACTGCACTGCAGCCTGGGTGACAGAGCAAGACTGCATCTCAAAAAGAAAAAAGAAAAAAAGTTAAAAATGACATATATATATATGTCAATTTAATCTCACATCAGTGAGAAATAAAGCATTTTACTAAATCTTGATATGGTGTGGATCTGTGTCCCTGCTCAAATCTCACATTGAGTTATTGTAACCCCAGTGTGGAAGGTAGGGCCTGTAGGAGGTGATTGGATCATGGGGGCAGATTTCTCCCTTGGTACTATCATCATGAGTGAGTGGGCTCTCATGACATCTGGTCATTTAAAATTGTGTGGCACCTTCCTGCTCTCTCTCTCCCTCCTGCTCTGGCCATATGAAGCTCCTCACTCCTGTTTGCCTTCCTCCGTGATTGTAAGTTCCTTGAGGCCTCACCAGAAGCTGATGCCATTATGTGCTTCCTGTATAGCCTGTGGAACTGTGGGCCAATTAAGCCTCTTTTTAAAATAAATTGCCAAGTATCAATTATTTCTTTATATAGCAGTGGGTGAACTGACTCATATAAAATCAATAGATTTTAAGAATGGAATTTGCAAGCGTGATATTTCTTACGCATTTCTCACAGGAGATTAATGGTTGCTATGTACAAATCCTAAAGTAAACTAAGAAAATCACCTCAAGTATCATATTTAAGCAACAATAAATATATCACTTTGTAAAGTTACTATGAGTCAATACAAAGAAGGTAAAATTCAATAAGGTTTATTATACTGAAGTCTATATGACCACAACCTGCTTTTACAACAGGGCTGCTCAACAACACTTTCTGAGACAATAGAAACACTCCATTCATTCTGCAGTGTATGGTGAGATGATCACTATCGCATGTATCTTCTGAGTACTTGAAATGTAGCCAGTATAACTAAGGAAGTGTTTTTTTTATTTTCATTTCAACTTTTATTTTAGATTCAAGAGGTACCTGTGCAAGTTTGTTACATGGATATATTGTATGATATTGAGGTTAGGGGTATGGATCACATCACCCAGGTAGTGAGCATAGTACCCAACATGAAGTTTTTCAATCCATTCTCCCTCCTCGTTTCCCTACCCCTTCTAGTAGTTTGCAGTGTCTGTTGTTCCCATCTTTATTTCCATGTGTAACCATTGTTTAGCTATCATTTATAAATGAGAACATGTGGTATTTGGTTTTCTGTTTCTTCATTAACTCACGGAAGATTATGGCCTCTAGCAGCATTTGTGTTGCTGGAAAGAATATGATTTCATCCATTTTTATGGATGTGAAGTATTTCTTGGTGTGTATGTACTGCATTTTCTTTATCCAGTCCACCACTGATGAGCACATAGGTTGATCCCATGTCTTTGCTATTGTGAATAGCACTGTGGTGAACATACAAATGCATGTGTCTTCTTGGTAGACTGATTTATTTTCCTTTTGGTATATACCCAATAATGGGAATTCTAGGTCAAATTGTAGCTCTGTTTTAAATTCTTTGACAGATCTCCAAACTGCTTTCTACAGTGGCTGAATTAATGGACATTCCCACCAACACTGCATAAGCATTCCCTTTTCTCCATAGTCTACTCAGCATCTATTATTTTTGACTTTTTAATAATAGCCATTTTGACTAGTATGAGATATTGTGGTTTTAACTTGCATTTCTCTGATGACTAATAATGAGCATTTTCTCACACGTTTGTTGGCCACTTGTATGTCTTTTTTTGAGAAGTGTTTGTTTAGTTTCTCTGCCCATTTTTTATGAGATTATTTATTTTTTGCTTGTTGATAAGTTCTTTATGGATTCTGGATATTTCACCTTTGTCAGATGCATAGTTTGTGAATATTTTCTCTCATTCTGTAGGTTGCCTGTTTACTCTGTTGATTATTTTGCAGTGCAGAAACTCTTTATAGGTCTCACTTACTAATTTTTGTTTTTGTTGTCATTGCTTTTGGGAACTTAGCCAAACATTATTTGCCAAGGCTGATATTGAGAATGGTACTTCCTAGGTTTTCTTCTAGGATTTTTATAATTTGACATCTTACACTTAAATCTTTAATCCATCTTGAGTTAATTTTTATATATGGTAAAATGTAGGGGTACAGTTTCATTCTTCTGCATATGGCTAGCCAGTTATCCCAGCACCATTTATTAAATAAGGAATCATTTCCCATTGCTTGTTTTGTCAGCTTTGTAGATCATCAGATGATTGTAGGTGAGCAGGATTATTTCTGGGTTTTCTACTGTGGATATAGATCCATTTATCTATGTATCTTTTTTTTTTTTTTTTTTTTTTTTTTTTTTTACCTGTACCATGCTGTTTTGGTACTATAGGCTTAAAGACAGGTATTGTGATGCCTCCAGCTTTGTTCTTTATGCTTAGGATTGCTTTGGCTATTGGGGCTCTTTTTTGCTTCCAAATGTAATTCTAAATACTTTTGTATAATGCTGTGAAAAATTATGCTGGTAGTTTGATTGGAATTGCATTGAATCTGTAAATTGCTTTGGTCAGTGTGGTGGCCATTTTAACAATATTGATTTTTCCAATCCATGAGCATGGAATGTTTTCCTATTTATTTGTGTCATTTCTGGTTTCTTTCAGCAGTGTTTTTTAGTTCTCCTTATAGAGATCTTTCACTTCCTTTAGACATATTACTAGGTATTTCATTTTTTGTGGCTATTGTAAATGGGATTATATTATTGATTTGACTCTCAGCTTGACCATGATTAGTGTACAGAAATGCTACTGATTTTTGTACACTGATTTTGTATCCTGAAACTTTACTGGTCATTTATTTTATTCCAGGAGCACTTGGGCAGAGACTGTGGGGGTATTCTAGGTATGTAATCATATCATCTACGAAGAGAGAGTTTTACTACTTTTTTTTTCCTGTTTAAATAACTTTTATTTCTTTCACTTGCCTGATTGCTCTGGCTAGGACTTCCAGTACTATGTTGAATAGGAGTTGTGAGACTGGGCATCCTTGTCTTGTTCCAGTTTTCAAGGAGAATGGTTCCAGCTTTTGCCCACTCAGTATGAGATTGGCTGTTGGTTTGCCATAGATGGCTCTTATTATTTTGAGTAGATCCTTTGATGCCTAATCTGCTGAGGGTTTTTATGATGAAGGGATGGTGGATTTTATTGAAATATTTTTTTGTGTGTGTCTATTGAGATGATCATATGATTTTTGCTTTTAATTCTGTTTATGTAGTGAATAACATTTATTTATTTGTATTTGCTGAACAAGTCTTGCATCCCAGGAAGCAAGTTTACCTGATTGTGGTGTATTAACTTTTTAGTGTGCCACTGGATTTTGTTTGTTAATATTTTCTTGAGGGATTATGAATCTACGTTCATCAGGGAGATTGATCTGAAGTTTTCTTTTTCACTGTGTCTCTGCCAGATTTTGGTATCAAGCTGATGTTGGCATCATAGGGTGAGTTAGGGAGTAGCCCCTACTTCTCAGTTTTTTGGAATAGTTTCAGCAGAATTGGTACCAGGTCTTCTTTGTATGTCTGCTGGAATTTGGCTGTGAATCCATCTTGTCCAGCAATTTTTTGTTGTTGTTGTTGTTATCAGGTTTCTTTTTATTACTGATTAAATTTCTGGGACTTCTTATTGTTCTTTTCAGGTTTTCACCTTCTTCCTGGTTCAATCTTGGGAGGCTGTGTCTTTCCAGGAATTTATCCATATCCTCTGTATTTTCTAATTGTTGTGCCTAGAGTTATTCACAGTAGTTTCTGATAATCTTTTATATTTCTGTGGGATTGGGAGTAATACCATCCTTGCCATTTTTCATTGCACTTATTTAAATATTTTTTTCTTTGTTAATCTAGCTAGTAGTCTATCAATCTTTCTTATTCTTTTGAGAAAAAACTCTTGGTTTCGTTGATCTTTTGCATGGATTTTTGCCTCTCAATTTAATTCAGTTCCTCTCTAATTTTAGTTCTTTCCTTTTTTTTTTTATAGCTTTGGGGTTGGCTGGTTTGTTGTTTTTTTTCTAGTTTCTCGACATGCAAAGTTAGATTGTTAATTTGTTTCTAACTTATTGATGAAAGCATTTAGTGCTATAAACTTTTAACATGCTTAATCTGCGTCCCAGAAATGTTGGTAAGTTGTGTCCCCAATTTTATTAATTTCTAATAATTTTTTGGCCTTAATTTTGTTGTTCATTCAGGAATTATTCAGGAGCAAGTTGTTTAACTTCTATGTGCTTGTGTAGTTTTGGGAGACCTTCTTGATAGTAATTTCTGTTTTTATTTTTTTGTGTTCTGAGAGTGTGGTTGGTATGATTTTGTTTTTTTGAATTTATTGATCCTCGCTTTATGAGCCACATTTGGTCCATTTTAAAGAATATGTTCTGTGTGCAGATGAGAAGAATGTATATTCCGTGATCTTTGGGTGGAGTGTTCTGTAGATGTCTATTAGTTTCAATTGATTGTCACATTTAAGTCCAGAATTTTTTTGTTAGTTTTCTGCCTCAATGATCTGTGTAATGCTATCAGTGGAGTCTTGAAATGTTTTACTATTATTTTGTTGCTAAGTCTTTTCATAGGTCAAGAAGAGCTTGTCTTTTTGTTTGTTTTGTTTTTAATCTGGGTGCTCCAATGGGTGCATATATATTTAGAATAGTTAAGCCTTCTTGTTGAATTGTAGTCTTTATCATGTAATGCCCTTCTTTGTCCTTCTTAATTGTTATTGGTTTAAAATATATTCTATCCGATATAAGAATAGTGACTCCTGCTGTTCTTTTGTTTTCCAT
Source organism: Homo sapiens (assembly GCF_000001405.40). Classification (NCBI taxonomy): domain Eukaryota; kingdom Metazoa; phylum Chordata; class Mammalia; order Primates; family Hominidae; genus Homo; species Homo sapiens. The sequence goes on along the minus strand of NC_000004.12, from coordinate 164,024,904 downwards.
TTGCATGGTAGATCTTTCTATATCCCTTTACTTTGAGCCTGTGGTTATCACTACATGTGAGATGGGTCTATTGAAGACAGCAGATGGGTGGGTCTTGCCTATTTATCCAGTATGTGACTCTGTCTTTTAAATGGGGTGTTTAGACCATTTACATTTAGGGTTAGGACTGACATTAGAGATTTTGATCCTGTCATCTTATTGTTAGCTGGTTGTTTTGTAGACTTGATTATGTAGTTGCTTTATAGTGTCTGTGGGGTATATACTTAAGTGTGTTTTGTGTTAGTATGTGTCATTCTTTCATGTCTATGTTTAGCACTCTCTTAAGGACCTCTTTTAAAGCTTGTCTAGTTATAATGAATTCCTTTAGTGTTTGCTTGTCTGAGAAGGATTTTATTTCTCCTTCACTTATGAAACTTAGTTTGGCAGGATATGAAATTCTTGGCTGTAATTTTTTTCCTTTAAGGATGCTGAAAATAAGCCACCAATATCTTCTGTCTTGTAAGGTTTCTGTTGAGAGATCTACTGTTAGCCTGATGGGGGTTCCCTTGGTATATAACTTGACTCATCTCTCTAGCTGCCTTTAAGATTTTTTTTCTTTCACGTTGACCTTGGAGAATCTGATAACTGTACTTGAGGGGTGGTCAACTTGTATGGTATCTAGCAGGGGTACTTTATATTTCTTGGATTTGTATGTCAAGCTCTGTAGTGAGAACAGAAAAATTTTCATGGACTATGCCCTCCAAAATATTTAAAAAGTTGCTTATTTTCTCTCCTTCCCTCTTAAGAATGCCAGTGAGTCATAGGTTTAGTCTCTTCACATAATCCCATATTTCTCAGAGGTTTTGTTCATTTCCAAAAATTCTTTTTTCTGTATTTTTTTTCTGACTTTATTTAAAGAAGTGATTTTTAAGCTATGAGATTCTTTCCTCATCTTGGTTTATTCTGCTAATAATACTTCAAATTGTATTTTGATATTCTTGTAGTAAATTTTTCAGTTCCAGAGTTTAGTTTGGTTCTTTCTTAAAATGATTAGTTCATTTTTCAGCCTTTGGATTTTTCTGCTAGATTACTTGGATTTTTTAGATTGGGTTTCAACTTTCTCTTGGCTCTCAATAAGCTTTCTTGTCATTCAGATTTTGAATTCTATGTCTGTCATTTCATTCATTCAGTCTGTTTAAGAACTACTGCTGGGAAGCTAGTGGGCTCATTTGAAGGTAAGGGGATACTGGCTTTTTGAATTGCCAGACATCCTAAGCTGATTCTTTCTCATTTGAGAGGGCTGGTGTTCTTTTTAACTGTATTGTAAGCTGAGTATAGCCAATTGTCTTTATTTTAAGTATTTTCAGAGGGCCAGCCCTCTGTCTAGGATTTTATTTTATTTTATTTATTTATAGATTCTTGCTCTTTGTGTCACATGGGTCTATATTGGCAGAATATTTTTAGCACTGTAGTTTGGGCTATGATCCAATAGATGGTGCTTAAGAGTAATGGCCAGCAGAGGGGGTCTTACTTCCTTTAGAGGCTCTTTTGTATTTCCTTGTGTTGCAAGCAGTGCTCTGTAGTGTGCAGGGAAGACAAATGACACCCTTACCTGGTCTACTTCTGGGCCTTGGAGGAGCCCCCTTCAGTCACTGGTGACACAGTCATATTTCTTTTGTTAGGTGTTCCAGATTGCTTGGCTCTCCAGAGCAGAGATCTCAGCAAGGAGACAGAACATACCTTTTCATTACTGGCCCTGCATTGGGAGGGATGCCCTGCTCCCATGCTGGCCAGTGAACCCATGTGCCTCACCCCTCTCTGTGCTCTGAGAGCGGGGCCTTTTTCCCAACTCAAGTGCTGGCCACAGATCTTGGCTCAATATTCCCGAGCTGCATGCTGCAACCCTGGGGTGCTGGAACCAGGCCACACCTCTGTCCTCTGGACCCTGTGAATGATGCTCTAGCTGCCAGGAAAGTGCTCCCAGGATTCCAGAAAAGTCCTTGGGTAGAGCAAAATACCCAGGCTAGGCAGTGGAGGCTGTGCTGTGCACCCCTTTCTGTGGGGTGGCCAGGCAGGGGCCCTAGGAGTGGCTAGTGAGCAGGAAGGCCTATGCAACAGATGTGCCCCAGTCCTGCAGAGAGGTCAGCCTCACTCTCTCCTGGACCAGCTGTCAGCTGGGACTAGAGATACTTGGACGGAGATGGGGAACCTTGGGGCATTGGAAGCTATGGCCGCACTCCGCCGCAGCTGCTCCATGCACAAAAGCTTCTGGGCTTCTCACTGGCTGAAGCCCTGTCTCTGCCCACTCTCTGGGAAGATCTTTTTGCCAGTTCAAATGTCTGTGGTAGATACAGGGTGACCTTTAGCTAGGATCCCAGAGGTCTGTGGCAAGAATGGGCTGTCCATCCTTCCCTTAACTCGCCTCTTTCCCTAGAGCCATTCAGGTAGCCCTAGCATTTGTGTACCCCACATGTGGTTTTCAGCTTTCTTTCTCTTCAGCCTTGGTTTCTGTGTCAGCTCTCCATTGACTGTCAGTGTTCTCTATCCAAAGATCTGCCAAAGTATGTTGGTTTACTCTATATTTTGGTCTGTCTCATTGGAAGCAGTGCTTCCTGGCTCTGGTCATCCTTCCAGTTATCCTTCTTGTCTTCAACAGAAAGTGAATTTTAATTTAATTTAATTAGTCACACTTGGCTAGTAGCTTATGTATTGAACAGTACAGTTATGAAGAAGAGGAGGTCTTGGGACAATGTATCAGTGCTCTTGGCAAGAGATATTGCACAATCAATGGGGTTTAACTAAAGAAAAAATAATGACAATATATTGTACTTGTATAACATATGTAAAAGTAAAATATATAACAAAAATTGCACAAAGAATAGGAGGGAATAACTGGAATTGATGGAAGGCTTTTACTCTACCAAAATGTCATATAAAATATTTTTTCAACAAATGTTGCTGAACATTTGGATTTCCATAGACAATAAAATTAACCTGGATGTGTATTTCACACCATATGTAAAGCTAACTAAAAATGGACCATATATATATATATATAATTTTTTTTTTTTGACATGGAGGTTCACTTTTGTTGCCCAGGCTGGAATGCAATGGAGCAATCTCAGCTCACTGCAACCTCCGCCTCCCAGGTTCAAGCAATTCTGTCCGCATCTCCTGACTAGCTGGGATTGCAGGCATCCGCCACTAAGCCCGGCTAAATTTTTTGTATTTTTAGTAGAGACAGGGTTTCACCATGTTGGCCAGGCTGGTCAAAAATGGACCATATTTTCAAATATAAATGTAAAATGATAAAACTTCTATAAGAAGGACTTAGGAGAAAATATTTTGTCTTTTTGTCAGGCAAAGAGTTTTGGGATATAATACAAAAAGCAAAGCTCAGAAAAGAAAAATTAGACTTGATAGAAATTAACTTTTTTAATTCACAAAGGCTTAATTTCAAAGGCTCAAGGAAAAACAAAGATAAATAAGTATTTATGGGGTTAAGTAAATAAAAAATGGGATGGTGAAGCACTCTGAGACTAGTATCAGCAGGACACCATTTTATCCACAGAGTTGATGGAGCAAGAGAATTAAATGATATTACCATGACCCAGTAAGAGATAAAATCCTGGAAGAGAGATGCTGCCTAAGAGAAGTTTCATTTGATGAGGAAAGTAGCCACTGGCTAGACCACAATTAGGCAGGAGTTAGCCCAGGAAATAAATTATCTGTCTCTAACAACCTGCCTCAATTTACCTGGCTTTTGCTTCCCAACTGGTCTGGATGATATGGTCCATAGAAGTCAGCCTCTCAGTGTTCACTACAGGGAAAAAAAAAAAAAAAAAAGGGACAGAAATGGATTGGAGGGAATATCCCTCAGATTCCATGGTCTTTACACTCACTTCTATTTTTGTCCTTTCCTTAATTAAAACAAACAAAACAACAACAACAACAAATGAGCACTTCCTACACAGACAAAATACAAAGCCTTAACCGTAGTCACTATGGTCTTTATCACCCAGGCTGGAGTGCAGTAGCACTATCACAGTTCACTGCAGCCTTGACCTCCTGGGCTCAAGCGATCCTCCCACCTCAGCCTCTGCAGTAGCTAGGACTACAGGTGTGTGCCATCATGTGTGGCTAAGTTTTGTATTTTTTGTAGAGATGGGGTTTCTCCGTGTTGCCTGGGCTGTTCTCAAACTCCTGAGCTCCAGCAATCTACCTGCCTTGCCTCCCAAAATGCTGGGATTACAGGCATGAGCCATGGCACCCAGCCCTACCTGGATCATATGTTGTACAGAACGTCCAGGTATTTCACTCTTTTCCAGAGCTTATTATAAGTGGCCAAAACTCCCTCTGGAGAAGGTGTGGGGAAGATATACTCTGTAGACTTGTTGCCATGCTACAATTTTTTCAAAGTAAGCAGACTTCTCAGTTAATATTCTGCAGGTCTGTAAACTGATTTAGATCTAGGACTAGACTAAGGAGTGCGAAACTCCAATAGCAACTTGATTTGGATATATTTCTGCCACACATAGATGCTTCATCTCATATTTTATCCAGAATCCTTGGTTAACATTCCTATATTGAGCTTAGGGATAGTCCAATGTCATAATTCCTTTTTCTTGGTATAACATCACTAGATCATTTCCCAAAACTCAACTGCCAGCTCTAGACAAATGAAATTGGCAAAAGTCCTACAAATACCTCAGTATATACGATTTATTTATTTGGAAAGAGACTTTTTGCTTTCCTCTCTAGTAAACTCTTATGAAGGAACTGGAGGCAATAAAAGATGGTGAAGTTAAATCCTGAGTAAAATCACCATACTATTTTTGAGGCAAAGTGTAGTCACTAAAACAGTTCTTTGCAAGGAAGATTGCTTCTCTGAAATAAAGGAGATGAACTGCTTCCACTGCCAAAAACAATATGGGAGGACTTTTGAATTAAAAATTTCAGTTTTGCCTGTTTTTGCCGTAATCTCATGGTTCTACTCTTTCCCGACAGCTTTTCTTAGCGTAAACAGTTTGTCAAGTTGGACATTTCACTAACACTGCAACTCTACACCCTTACAATTAGGCCTCAGGCTTTGTCTTCAGCCATGTCTGCCCTATACTATCCCAAATAAGGGATTGTTTTAAGACTGCCATTAAGATATTCTGGATCTCCACCTGTGACATGAATTGGGAGCTCAGTGTTTTAAGTATATATTTATCTTTGTGTAAACTCTCCAGAATTGTCAGAAGCAGTTTTGCCTCATTCTGTAACCTTTGCAATCACCATTTTTGCCATATCCACGAAGTGTCAAAGACAATTGATTGCCCAATGCTTTGTGCTCAATCAGTAATTAATTTCACGTCATTCTAGTGAGAAATTGAAAATTGTGATGCTACTTTGTCACAGATTGCAGTGTTCTATTTCCCTCAACAATGGGGTTTTCCATCTGCTCACAGACAAGAGAGCAAACCCATCCCAGAATCTCACTCATGATACCAGTTATTGTATCATTTAGGGCTGTGGTGGAAAACAGATGGCATTCTCAAAATGGTTTTACTAAAAATAATTCAAAGAAGGAAGAATTAAGTGAACCAAAAAGGGATAGCGAGACACTTAGTGAATAATTATGGTAGTGGAAATCCTGCAGGGAACAGCAAAGAAAATACAGTGCACCTGGAGAGACCTAGCGCAATTGAAGACCCACTCAACAGGTGTTATAGCTAAAGAGGAAAGTGAGTACTGTTGGAAATGTAAGAAACAGAGAGAATTGGAAGACAAATACCCTAACCTCACTCACCTGGCACTCTTCATTCCTTTGCTGGTGCCTCCCATTTACCAAACCCAGCCAAAGGCAGCAGACCAAAATGTAGTCTATGTTAATCAGCCCCAGGATACAGAGCTGAGCAGAATAGAAGAGAGATCAGCAGGAAATAAGAGACAAACACTTTCACAAAATCACAGGCAATTTTTGAAGGACCAATATAGTAACCTCTCTTGTGGATTACGGATTTTAAAGGTAAAACTTAGAGGAACTAACTTAGTAGATGATTGTTGTGAAATAATCTAAGTGCCATCTGATAGCACTTTGCCCTTCATATGAAAATTATTGACTTGAAAACCACCATGTCACATTCTGTGATGAGTCCATTGCATTATTATGATAAGCAAAAGTAGCAATAAAAGGCAGAAAGTTTAATTTATCAAGAAGTTATGTCAATTATACAATAGCATGTAAATATAATAAACACAAACATAATAATATAACTTTTTAAAATATGTTTTACTAATGGGTTATGTAGTGGTATCTATGGTTTAATTTGCATTTCCCAGATTATTTATTATATTGGGCATTTTCGATATGCTTATTTATCAAATATATATCTTCTTTGATGAAACATTCATTAAAATAATTTGCCAATTTTATATTAGATTGTCTTCCTATTATTGAGTGATAACAGCTCTTTTCCATATTTGTAATATATAACTATGTCTAAATAGGCAGAGTTTAAGGTATAAATATATAGATATAATCATATATATGTTGCCATATATGTTAAATGTGTCTTTCCATGTCATAACTTGCCTTTTCATTTCTTTAACAGTGTCTTTCAAAGACATGGTAGTTGTTATTTGAATAAAGTTATCAATTTTTATGTATGATCTGAATTTCTTTTAGCAAAAAAAAATTTACTTAGCCAAAAAAATTTATCCTATGTTTTCTTTTAGAAGTTTTATAGTCTTGAATCTTATATTTTGATCTTTGCTCTAATTTGAGTGAAATTTTGTTTATCGTGTGAAGCAAAGTTCAATTTTTATTTATTTCCAAATATATACACGGATATTACCAGATCATTTGGTTTAAAAAATATATAATTATTTTTGATGAATTATCCTGGCACATTTGTAGAAAAATCAATTGACTGCATATGTGTGGAAAGTATTCCAAAACTTTTTATTTATTTCTCTTGATCCATTTGTCCATCCATATACCTACACCACAAAGTTTTAATTCCTGTGGCTTTTTATAAAATCTTGAAACCTGATAATGCATGTTCCTCAACTTTGATCTTTTTCAACTTTTTTTTTTTTTTTGCTAATTTAGGTTCTTTGCATTTCCATATAAACTTTATAATTAGAGTGTAAAATTTTATACAAAGGGTACTAAGACTTTGCTTGTTACTGCATTGAATCTATAAATATATTTAGGAAGAATTCACATAATTATATTGATACTCAAATAAACGTACAATAATATATGTATTTATTTATCTTCATTTTATTTCAGCAGCATTTTGTAGTTTTCAGTGGCTAGGTCTTACATATACTTTAATTTATCTTTAAGTATTCTTGGTTTAGATGCTATTGTAAATGGTGTTTTGGAAAATTATAGCTTCTTATTGTTTGTGGTCAGAATATATAAATACAATTGACATCTTGCATATTGGTTTTCAATTGTGTAATTTGTCTTAATTCAATTAATTGTAATTTCTTTCTGTGAGGTTCATTAGACTTTTCTATAGAACTGATTATGTTTTTAGAATAAAGATAATTTTGTTTTGTGTAGGCTTTTCTTTTAACATTCAGCATAGCTTTTACTTCCTTTCTTGCCTTATTGAACTGGCTAGAACCCTAATTCAATATTAACTAGAAATAATGTGATTGAACATTCCTAATGTTGCAGGGAAAGCCCTCAGTTTGTTTGTTAATCATTAAGTGTGATGTTTTTCATAAATATCCTAAATATCCTATATCAAGTTGAGAGAGTGCCCCATCTTTACTCCTTTTTTTTAAGGTCCTTAGTATAAAGGAATACATTAATTTTTGAAATTGTTAAACCAATTTTGCTTATTTGGGATAAGACCCATTTATCATGATGTATTATGATTTTCAAGTATTGTTAGATACATCTTTTAAAATTATTTGAAATATTTTGGACTTTAGGTTCATGAGGGTTTTTTCCAATTTTTAGTTTTTAATTATAATGGATACATAATTATTGTACATATTTATAGGGTACATGTGATGTTTTGATATAAGCATACTATGTATAATGATCAAATTAGGGTAAATGGGATATCTATCACAATTATTTATCATTTCTTTGTGTTTGAAACATTCCAATTCCGCTCTTTTATTTTGAAATATACAATAAATTATTGTTAGCTATAGTTTCCCTATTGTGCTACTGAGCATTAGATCTTATTCATTCTATCTAACTGTATTTTTGTACCCATTAACCATCCTGTCTTTATTCTCCCCTCCACAGCATCCTTCCCAGCCTCTAGTTACCATCATTGTACTCCTTATCTCCATGAGTTATTTTTCTTTAGCTCCTACATATTAGTGAACACGTGTGATATTTGTCTTTCTCTTCCTGGCTTATTTCACTTAAAATGCCCTCCAGTTCCATCCATTTTATTGCATTCTTTTTTATGGCTTAATAATGTTCCATTGTGTATATGTGATATGGTTAGGTTTTGTGTCCCCACCCAAATCTCATCTTGTATTGCAATCCCCAAGTGTTGAGGGAGAGACCTAGTGTGAGATGATTGGATCGATCATGGGGGCAGTTTCCCCCATGCTCTTCTTGTGATAGTGAGTTCTCATGAGATCTGATGGCTTTATAAGGGGCTCTTCCCCCTTCGCTTCCTTCACACACTCCTTGCCTGCTGCATGTAAGATGTGCCTGCTTCCCTTTCTGCCATAATTGTAAGTTTCCTGAGGCCTCCCCAGCCATATGGAACTGAGTCAATTAAACCTCTTTACTTTATAAATTACCCAGTCTCAGGGAAGTTCTTTATAGCAGTCTGAAAACAGACTAATACAATATGTATAATATTTTCTTTGTCCATTCATCCATTAATGGATACTGAGGTTGATTCCATATCTTAGCTGTTGTGGGTACTCCTGTAATACATGGGAGTGCAAATATATTTTCGATATATTGATTGCCTTTCTTATGAACATAGACCCAGCAGTGGGATTGTTGGATCACATGGTAGTTCTGTTTTTAGTTTTTTTTTTTTTTGGGGAAACTTATACTGTTTTCCATAGTTGCTGTATGTTGGTAACTTACATTTTTACCAACAGCGTATAAAGGGCTCCTCTTTCTCCGCATTTGTTATTGCTTGTCTTTCGGATATAAGCCATTTTAACTGGGATGAAATAATATCTCACTGTCATGCATTTCTCTGATAATTAGTGATGCTGGGCATTTTTTTTTTCATATACTATTGGCCATTTGTGTGTCTTCTTTGCAGAAATATCTTTTCAGATCTTTTGTCCATTTTTAAGTAAGATTATTTGTATTGTTTGTTTTGCTATTGAGTTGTTTGAGATCCTTATCTATTCTGGATGTTAATCCCTTGTTAGATTGGAAGTTTACAAACACTTTCTCACATTCTGTATGCTGTCTTTTCAGTTTGTTAATTGCTTTATTTGCTGTGCAGAAGCTTTTTTAGCTTGATGTGATCTCATTTGTCTATTTCTGATTTAGTTGGCTGTGTTTTTAAGGTGTTACTCAACAAATGTTTGCCCACATCAATGTCCTGGAGTGTTACCCTAGTGTTTTCTTCTGGTAGTTTTATAGTTACAATTTTTAGTTGTAAGTCCTTAATCCATTTTTACTTGATTTTTATACATGGTGAGAGATAAGGGTCTAGTTTCATTTTTCTGCATATGGATATCCAGTTTTTCTAGCACTATTTATTGGAGATACTGTGCTTTACCCATCGTATGTCCTTGGCACCTTTGTCAAAAAATGAGATAACCATAATGGATAGATTTATAGCTGTATTATCTATTCTGTTCCATTGTTTGAGGCATCTGTTTTTATGCTAGTACCTTGATGTTTACTACAGCTTTGTAGTATAATTTGAAATCAGATCATGTCTATTAGGTCCATTTGGTCTGCAGTAAATCTTAAGTCTGATGTCTCTTTGTTGATTTTCTGTCAAGATGGTCTGTCCAATGCTGAAAATGGGTGTTGAAGTATCAAGCTATTATGGTATTGAGATCTCTCTCTCTCTTTAGCTCTAATAATATTTGCTTTATATATCTGAGTGCTCCAGCATTGGATACATGTATATTTATAATTGTTATATTAACTTGCTGTATCAATCCCTTTATCATTATATAATGACCATTTTCAGTTTTTTTCTTGAAATATGTTTTGTCTGATGTAATTATAGCTACTCCTGCTCTTTTTAGTTTACATGTCCATGGAATATATTTTTCCATTCTTTTAATTTCAATCTATATGTGTTTTTATAGGTGAAGTGAGTTTCTTGTAAGCATCATATATTTGAGTCTTGTTTTTTATTGATTCCACCACTCTATGTCTTTTGAATAATTTTGTCCATTTACATTCATTGTTATCACTGATAGGTAAAGACTTTCTACTGCCATTCTGTTATCTGTTTTGTGGTTGTTTGGGTGTTCCTCTCTTCCTTCCTTCCTGTCTTCTTTTATGTAAAAGTGTTTTTCTCCTGTAATATGTTGTTATTTCTTGCTTTCTATTTTTATGTATCTATTATAAGTTTTTGTTTTATGGTTACCATAAGGCTTGCAAATAACATTTTATACAAATTAGTTTGAACCGATAACAGCTTAACTCTAATTACAAAGAAAGGGAAAAAAGCAAACAAAGAGAAAACTAAAAACCTCTACACTTTTTTATTCCACCCTGTCCTCATTTTTTTGACTTTCTGCTTTCTCTCTTTACTTTTTTTTTTTTTTTGAGATGCAGTCTCACTCTGTCTCCAGGCTGGAGTGCAGTGATGCGATCTCGGGTCACTGCAACCTCTGCCTCCTGGGTTCAAACAATTCTCCTGCCTCAGCCTCCCAAGTAGCTGGGAGTACAGAGGTGCATCACCATGCCCAGTTAATTTTTTTTTGGTATTTTTAGTAGAGATGGGGTTTCACCATTTTGACCAGGATGGTTTTGATCTCTTGATCCACCTGCATCATGATCCACCTGCATCCTGATCCACCTGCCTTGGCCTCCCAAAGTGCTGGGATTACAGGTGTGAGCCACCACACCCGGACTCCCTTTAGCATGTCTTTTAAGGCAAGTCTGGTGTTGAGAAATTCCTCAGCTTTTGTTTGTATAGGAAAGTCTTTATTTCTAGTTTGTGTTTGAAGGATAACTTTGATTAATGTAATATTCTAGGTTGAAAGATTTTTTTTTCCATCAGCACTTTGACTTCGTCATCTCACTTCCTTGTGACCTGCACAGTTGCTGCTGCTAGAAACATCAGAACTCCTTTATATGTTATTTGCTTCTTTTCTCTTGCTGCTTTTAGGATCCTTTCTGTATCCTTGACCTTTGAGAGTTTATTACATGCCTTGAGGTAGTCTTATTTGGGTTAAATTTATTGGATTTTTAAAATCTTCTTGTACTTGGCTACTCATATCTTTCCCAAGTTTTTGAAGATTTTCTGTTATTATTTCTTTGAATAAACTTTCTCTTTCCATCCTCCTTAAGGCCAATAACGCCTATATTTGTCCTTTTGAGGCTATTTTCTAGATTTTTTTAGGCATTCTTTATTCTCCTTCTATCCTTTTTTCTTTTTTCTCCTCTAATTGTGTATATTGATATAACCTATCTTTGAGCTCATTAATTCTTTCTTGCTTGATCAGTGCTGCAGTTGAGCAACTCTGATGCATTTTTATGTTTCTCAATTGTATTTCTAAGCTCCAGAATGCCTGCTTGAGTTTTTTAATGATTTCAATCACTTTGTTAAATTTTTGTGATAGAATTTTTAATTCCTTCTTTGTGTTATCTTGAAATTTATTGAACTTCCTCAATACAACAATTTTGAATCCCCTGTCTGAAAGATCACATATCTCCATCACTTCAGTATTGGTTGCTAGTGCCTTCTTTTGTGTGTTTGGTGAGGTCATGTTTTCCTGAGTGTTCTTGGTGCTTGAGGGCATTCACTGATGTCTGGGCATGGAAGACTTATATATTTAAACTAATCTTCACAGTCTGGGCTTGTTTATATGCACCCTTGAGAGGGCTTTTTACAAATTCCAAGGGGAGTGAGTATTGTGACCAAAGCCTGTGGTCACGGCAACTGTTTCGCACTAGGGGGCTCCATAAGCTCAGGAATGGTGCAAATCCTGTCGCCTCCTATAGACACTGCCTTGGTGAACTTGGGTAAGATAAGGGAGAATTCCCTGGGTCACCAGGCAAAGTCTCTCACTTTCTTTTCCCCAATCAAAAGGAGTCTCTCTTGGCCCTGGGCTATCTGAAATTGGGGAAAGGGGTGATGTGGACACTCTCATATCCACCATAGCTGGCACTGTTCAGGGTCACATCCAAATTTTTACAGAGCAGCAAAATACTGGGACTCACCCAAAGCCTGTGGCCACAATTGCCTGGCTGCTGCTGCTGCTGCTATTTACTCAAAGCCCAAGACCACTTTAGTCAGCAGTTGGTTAATTCAGCTGGGTCCTTCTTATCAAGGCAATGGAATCCCTTCTGACCAAAGGTAGATCTATAAGCACCATCCAGGAGCAAAGACCTGGAATCTGGGGTTTCAGGAATCTTCCTGATGCTTCATTTTACTTAGGCTCAGGTGGCACCCAAGTTGCAAGATACAGTCTTCTGTACTCACCTTCTGTCAAGCAGAAGGAATCTTTACTGAGGCTACAGTGCCTGGAGTTGTAGGAGGGGTGACACTGGCATTCATTTGGACACCACAGTTGGTGTTGCACCCCAAGTTCCCTGCCTACAAAACCAGTGCAGCAACAGGACTTGCCCTAGGACTGTGATCCTTGTGTCCTGACTGCCACTTAAATTTATTCTGGGACCCAGGCCAATTTCGTCAGCTAGTGGTGAAGCTAGCTACGACTGAGGTTTTTCCTGCTGGTGTAAGAAATTTCCCTCTGGCCCAGGGCTGGTCTAGATGTGCTCCCTCCGTGAGCACTCTCAGAATTCTGCCCTGTGCTGTGTTCTGCTGTGACAAGGCAGAAGTGAGTTCCAATATAGTGCTCCACACTCACTTTGCTCTCCCTCCCCACAAAACACATTTCCTCCCCATCTGTGCTGCCTGGAGTTAGGGTAGGTGAGGTGTAGGCAATGCAAGAGTGTCTTACCTACTCTCTTCAATACCTCTTTCCTCGATATTATGTTCAAACCAGGTACTGTGATACCTCACATGACTTTTTGATTCCTATTGAAGGTGCTATTCTTAGTTTTTTGGGGGAACCTTCATACTGACTCTGTAATAGCTGTACTAATTTACATTCTCACCAACAGTGTATAAGTGTTTTCCATTCCCCACATCTTGCCAGCATCTGTTATTAACTGTTTCTTTGATATAAGCCATTGTAACTGGGATGAGATGATATTTGTATCTCATTTTCGTTCTCACTTGTGTTTCTCTGATGGTTATTGATGTTGAGCTTTTTTAAATATACCTATTGGCCATGTATATGTTTCTTTTGCAGAAATGTGTGTTCAGATCTTTTGCCCAGTTTTTAATTGAGTTACTTTTTTGTCTGTTGAGTTGTCTGAGCTTTTCATTATATTATGGTTATTAACAACTTGTCAGGTATACAGTTTGCAAACATTTTCTTAACATCTGCGGGTTGTCTCTTCAGTTTGTTGATTGTATCCTTTGCTGTGCAGAAGCTTTTTAGCTTGATATGATCTCATTTGTCAATTTTTGGTTCTATTGCCTGTGCTTTCGAGGTCTTACACAAAATATCTTTGCCCACACCAATGTCCAGGAGTCTGTTCCCAAAGATTTTTTTTTCTAGTAGCTTCATAGTTTCAGGTTTTAGATTTAAATCTTCCATCCATTTTTATTTGAATTTGGGGCGTGGTTCGAGAATAGGGGTCTAGTTTTATTTTCCTGAATGTCATTATCCAGGTTTTTATTAGCATCATTTATTGAAGAGACTTTGCTTTCACCATTGCATATTTTTGGCAACTTTGTTAAAAATGAGTTGGCTGTAAATTTGTGGATTTATATCTGGGTTTTCCATTCTGTTCTATTGGTCTATGTGTCTGTTTTTATGCCAGTATCATGCTGTGGTTACTACAGCTTTGTAGTAAATTTTGAAGGCAGATACTATGATGTTTCCAAGTTTGTTATTTTTGCTCTGGATTGCTTTGGCTATTTGGTGTCTTTTGTGCTTGATATAAATTTTAAGATTTTTTTTCTATTTCTGTGAATGATAACATTGGTATTCTGATGGGGATTGCATTTAATCTGTAGATTGCTTTGGGTAGTATTATCATTTTAAAAATATTAATTCTTCTAAATCATGAGCATGAAATATCTTTTCATATTTTTGTGTCTTAAGTTTCTTTCATTAATGTTTTATAATTTACCTTGTATAGGTCTTTCATTTCTTTAAGTTTATTTCTAGGTATTTTATTTTGTCTGTAGGTAATATAAATGGGATATATGTATCTTTTCCTGATTGATTGCCACTGCAATATAGAAATGTTTCTGATTTTATTGTTTATTTTGTATACTGCAACTTTACTGAATTTGTTTATTAGTTTTAAGAGTTTTTGGCCGGGCACAGTGGCTCACTCCTGTAATCCCAGCACTTTGGGAGGCCGAGGCTGGCAGATCACGAGGTCAAGAGATTGAGACCATCCTGGCTAACATGGTGAAACCCCATCTCTACTAAAAATACAGAAAAAAAAAAAAACCAAAAAACAACAACAAAAAAAAACGCTGAGCGTGGTGGCATGCTCCTGTAGTCCCAGCTACTTGGGAGGCTGAGGCAGGAGAATCGCTTGAACCTGGGAGGCAGAGGTTGCAGTGAGCCGAGATTGCGCCACTGCAGTCCAGCCTGCATGGCAGAATGAGACTCCGCCTAAAAAAAAAAAAAAAAAAAAAAAGAGTTTTTTGATGGAGTCTTTAGGTTTTTCTAAAGCTAAAATAATATACTCAAACAAGGATAATTTGACTTCTTTTTTTCTAATTCAGATGTTCATTATCTTTTTCTCTTGCCTAATTGCTCTGTCCAGTACTTTCAATATTTGTTGACTAGAAGTGGTAAAGGTAGGCATCCTTGTATTTTTCCAAACCTTAAAAGGAAGTCTTTCAGTTTTTCTCCATTCAGTATGATGGTAGCTGTTATATATGGACTTTTTTATTTTGAGATATATTCCTTCTGTACCCATTGAATGAGAGCTTTTTTTTTCTTTACCATTAAGGGATGTTGAATTTTGTCAAATGCTTTTCAGCATCTATTGCAATAATCACATGGTTAGATTTTTCTTGATTCTGTTAATGTGATGTATCATGTTTATGGATTTGTATAAGTTAAACCATCCTTGCATTTCTGGATGAATCCCACTTGATCATGGTGAATGATTTTTTAACATGTTGTTGATTTCAGTTTGGTAGTATTTTGTTGAGAACTTTGCATCTAGGTTAATCAATGATATTGACCCTTAGTTTTATTTCTTTATTGTATCTTCATCTGCTTTTGGTGTCAGGGTAATGTTGTCCTTGTGAGACGAGCTTAGAAGTATTTCCTCCTCTTTAATTTGTAAAAGAGTTTGAGTAGAATTTGCATTACTTTTTTAAATGCTTGGTAAAATTCAGCAGGGAACTTATCAGGTCCTGGACTTTTATTTAATGAGAGACTTGTTATTATGGCTCAATTTGATTATTTCTTAATTGATTTTTTGAGGTTTTCTCTTTTTTCAGGGTTCAATCTTCGTAGTTGTATGTGTACAGGAATTTATTTTAGGTTTTCTAAGTTATTGGTGTGTAGTTGCTCATAATAGTATCTAATGATTCTTTGTATTACTGAGGTCTCAGTTTTTACATATTCTTTTATGTTTTTGATATTATTTATTTGGGTCTTCTATCCTTTATTCTTAGTCTAGCTGAAGGCTCACCAATTTTTTAATTTTTTCCAAACACCGTGTTTATGTTTCATTTGGTGTTTGTACTTTTTGGTCTCAATTTCATTTATTTCTGCTCTAAAGAATATGTATTACTTCTTTCCTTCTACTAATTGGGTTTTTTATTCCTTGAGGTGCATTATTAGGTTGTTTATTTGAAGTCTTTCAACTTTTTTGATATAGGTGTTTCTTGCTATAATCTCTCTTCTTACTGTTTTTGCCATATCCCATATATTTTGGTATGTTATATTCCTTTTCATTTGTTTCAAGAAATGTTTAAATGTACTTCTTAACTTCTCAATTGACTCACTGGTTCTTCAGAAGTATGTTGTTTAAATTTTATGTGTTTGTCTATTGCCTGAGTTCCTCTTATTATTGATTTCTAGTTTTATTCCATTGTGGTCAGAAAAGATAGTTGACATGATTTCTGCCTTTTTTTTATTTGTTCAGACTTGTATTTTTGCCTAAGATGTGGTGTATTCTGGAGGTTGATCCATGTAGTGATGAAAATAATTAATATTCTGCAGCAGTTGGATGAAATGTTATGTAAATGCCAGTTAGGTCTATTTTATCTAATATGTGGTTTTATCCCATTGTTTTTCATTTTATTTTCTGTCTAGATGACTTGTCCATTACTGAGAGTGTGGTGTTAAAGTTGCCTACTATTATTGTTTTGCATTCTGTTTCTCCCTTTAGATCTGTTCATGTTTACTTTACATACTTGTGACCTTTGGTGTTGAGTGCACACATATTTATGACTGTTATATTCTGTTGTTGAACTAACCCTTTTATGATTATGTAATGAACTTATTCTCCTCTTTTTATAAACAGATTTATAGTCTGTTTTATCTGATATTAGTGTAACTACTTCTGCTCTTTATTGGTTTCCAGTTTTATGGAATATCTTTTATTACTCCTTTAATTTCAGCCTATATGCATCTTTATAGGTAAAGTGTGTTTCCTGAATGAAACATACAGTTGGGTCCTGGTTTTTTAAATTCGTTCAGCCACTATATGCCTTTTAATTGGAGAATTGAGACTATTTACATTCAGAGTTATTAATAAGTGTTATTGATAGAGTGAGTACTTACTCCTGCCGTTTTGTTACCTGTTTTCTGGCTATTATGAGACTCTCCTTTTCTTCCTTCTTACTCTCTTCCTTTATGGATAAGTGATTTTTTTCTTGTAGGACAGTTTAATTTGTTGCTTTTTATTTTTAGTGAATCCATTATAAGTTTTTGTGCCGTGCTTACCACAAGGGTTACAAAAATAATTCTATAGATATAGCAAGTTATTTTAAAGAGATGACAACTTATCTTAGATCACAAATAGAAAAATAGAAAGAAACCAGGGCAAACACACACACACACACACACACACACACACACACACACACACAGAGAGAGAGAGAGAGAAATAAATTCTACATGTTAACTTTATATCCTCCACATTTTGACTTTTGCTTGTCTCAATTTACATATTTTTATATTACCTATCTCTTTAGTTGTTGCTATAGCTATTATTGTTTTTGATAGATTTGCATATGGGCTTCATCCTAGAATTATGAGTGGATTGCACACCACAATTACAGTAGTAGGATATTCTGGGTTTGTCTGAGTGCTTAATTTTACCTGTGGATTTTATACCTTGAAAAGTTTGCTTTTTTTTTCTTTCTTTTTTTTTTTTTTTTTTTTTTTTTTGAGATGGAGTCTCGCTCTGTCGCCCAGGCTGGAGTGCAGTAGCACGATCTCAGCTCACTGCCAGATCTGCTTCCCGGGTTCACGCCATTCTCCTGCCTCAGCCTCCCGAGTAGCTGGGACTACAGGTGCCTGCCACCACGCCCGGCTAATTTTTTGTATTTTTAGTAGAGACAGGGTTTTACCGTGCTAGCCAGGATTGTCTTGATCTCCTGACCTCGTGATCCGCCTGCCTCGGCCTCCCAAAGTCCCAAAGTGCTGGGATTACAGGTGTGAGCCACCACGCCCTGCCAAAAAGTTTTCTTTTTGCATGTTCTTTTTTTTTTTTTTTTTTTTTTTTTTTTTTTTTTTTTTTTTTCAGATTTCAGAGCTCCCTCTATTATTTCTTATAAGATGGGAATGATGGTGGTGAATTATCTCAGCTTTTGATTATTTGTGAAAGGTTTTATCGCTCATTTATATTTGAAAAATAATTTTGCTGGATACATAGTATTCTTGGATGGTGCTTCTTTTTCTTTGTCTACTACGTAAATGTTCCACTCCTTTCTGACCTGTATGGTTTCTGTTGAGAAGTCTCCAGAAAAATTGGAGCTCATTTAATTTTATTGGCTTCTTTTCTCTTGCTGCTTTTAGAACCCTCTCTTTGTCCTTGAAATTTGAGAGTTTGATTATTATATACCTTGGGGTAGTCTTTTTGGGTTGAATATGCTTAGTGTTCTTAGGACTGCCGGTATCTGGATATTTACATCTTTCTCAATTTTTGGATAGTTTTTTGTTGTGATTTCTTCGAATAAACTTTGTACTTTTTGCACATTTTCAGCTCCCTCTCAACACCAATAACTCTTAGATTTGTTAATTTGAGGTAATTTTCTATATCTTGTAGGTGGTTTTCATTCCTTTCCTTTTTTTTATTTTTCATTTTTCTCCTCTGACTGTGTATTTTCACATAGCTAGTCTTCAAGCTTACTGGTATTTTTCTCTCCTTGTCCACTCTACTGTTGAGAGCCTCTAATGAGTTCTTCAGTGCAACAAATGTCTTTTTTAGTTCTATGATTTCTGTTAGATTTTTAAAATTATTATTTCAATTTTTGTCAAATTTCTCTGAAAAATTTCTGAATTGCTTTACTGTGTTATCTTGGAGATCACTGAGTCTTCTTAAATCTGCTATTTTGAATTCTTTTTCAGAGAACTTACAATTTATTGCCTCATTTGGGTCTGTCACTGGATCTTTGCTTATCCTTTTGTTGAGGTCATGGTTCTGTGTTGTTTTTTTGTTTGTTTGTTTGTTTCTCGTGGGTATACATCTATATCTTTGCTTTGGATGATTAGTAATTTATTCTAGTTTTCTATTATTAGCTTGTTTTGGTTTTCATTGGATATGTTTGCTTGGGAAATCTTTATTGCTTGGTCACTATCTCCTTTTTGGTTCTAGGTGATTCCTTAGATAGGACTGCTACCTGTTTCAAATGGGATAGGTCCCATACAGATTATCCCAGCAGCATGGTAAGGCTGGATAGGTGTTTATGCCCAATGGCCCTGTGAAATGGAACTCCTACAATGTGGTGCTGCCAAACAGCCACTCTGATTTGTCATCTTCTTTGACTAAGTTATAGAGCATTGTTTCCAAGCCTGGGGATGGTAGTCCCACTTCCTCTATTTTTCTCTAACTGTCCTCAGAAATATTTTTCCTTTCAGACAGTCATGAATTTTCCCATGAGGTAAGGCAGGGACAGGTCTCCTGTAAGGGCACCCACGATGGCACAGAAGCTGGTTGACCACCTCAATCTCATTTTCTCTAGTATAGAAACCATAAGTTGGGGGAAGATTACCATGCACTTGTTGCCAAGCAGAGTTGCAGGGAGGGACATTGTGAATGTGGAAGTCCAACTATCCTACCATCTGCTCAGAGTTTGTTCACTTGCTGGTGAAAATCCTGGTGCTGTATATTTGTTTTTGTTTTGGCAAGGGGAGTGAAGCTAGCTTCCTTCTACACTGCTGTTTTAAAACTGGAAGTCTGTTGTCCTATCTGTTGGAAAGTTTTAAATTATTAATTTAATTGCGGTATTAAAATTAGGGCTACTCACACTTTGTTTTCGTGTTTCACTTTTCTTAATATACATTTTTAAAGAAATTTAAATATTTTATCTAATTTTTCAATTTTAATGACATAAAATTGATCATAATTTTTAAAATTATTTTTGCATTTGTTAAATATATAGTAATGTTTCCTCTTATCTTTGTTATTGGTAACAGAGTATTTTTACTTTTCTTTTGATTTATTTATCTTTTCAAAGAATCAGCTTCTGGTTGTACTAATTTTCTGCATTATTGTTTTTTCCAGTTTACCAATACCCTCTATTTGGTTATTATTTCCTTTCTTTTATTGACCTTTTTTTAATGTGCTCTACTTTTATTGCTGCTTAAAGTAAATATTATATCATCACTTTTAGACCTTTTTGCTTCTCTTTCATGAAGTATGAGAGCCATAATTTCTTCTGGAGCACTTATTTAAGTACATCTCACTAATTTTGATGGGCATTCTTTTATTTTTATTTATTTCCCAATGTTTTCTAGTTGTCTTTGAGATTTCTTCTCTGGCTTATGGGCTTTATTTAAAGACATTACTTGACTTCCAGTTGGGGGGGGTGATTTTTCAGACTTTTTTGTTAGTGATTTCTAATGTTATTCTGTTATGACCAGAAAATATATACATGATTATTTCAGCTCTTTCCAATTTATTGAGTTTTTTTAATTGCCCAAGTAATAATCTATTTTTGTGAATATTTTATTTTCACTTGATAAAATAATTTCTATTCTGCAGTCATTGGGTGGAATTGGTTGACAGTGTTGTTATAGGTTATCCTTATGTTTGCTTTCTCCATCTATTCCAGAAAGTTGTTTTGAAATTGTAAACTGTAACTGTAGATTAGTTTACTTCTACTTTTGGTTCTGTCCATTTCTGTTGTATTTATTTAGGATTTCTATTATGATATGCATACAATTTATGTTTGTATATCTTCCTAATAAATTATTATTATTGTTTCATTGTATTTTATTTTAAGTTCTGGGATACATGTGCAGAACATGCATATATATATATATGTATGTAAACATGTGCCATGGTGGTTTGCTAAACCTATCAACCCATCACCCAGATTTTTAAGCCCCACATGCATTAGCTATTTATCTTGATGTTCTCTCTCCCCACAATCCTCGACAGGCCCCAGTGTGTGTTGTTCCCCTTCCTGTGTCCATGTTTTCTCATTGTTCACTTTTCAATTATGAGTGAACACAGGCAATACTTGGTTTTCTGTTCCTGTGTTAGTTTGCTGAGAATAATGGCTTCCAGCTCCATCCATGTCCCTGCAAAGGACATGATCTCATTCTTTTTATGGCTGCATAGTATTCCATGGTGTATATATACCACGTTTTCTTCATCCAGTCTATCATTGTGGGGCATTTGGGTTGATTCCATGTTTTTGCTATTGTGAATAGTGCTGCAATAAACATACACATGCATGTATCTTTATAATAGAATGATTTATATTCCTTTCATTGTATACCTAGTAATGGGATTGCTGGATCAAATGGTATTTCTGGTTCCAGATCCTTGGGGCATCACCACACTGTCTTCCACAATGGTTGAACTAATTTACATTCCTACTAGCAGTGTAAAAGTGTTCCTATTTCTCCACAGCCTCACAGCATTCATTGTTTCTTGACTTTTTAATAACTGCCATTCTGACTGGTGAGATGGTACCTCATTATTTTAGCATAATGAAATGTGTTTCTTTATTTCTAGTACTATTTGATTTCTGAATTCTAGTTTGTTTTGAATAGTGTTTACATGATATTTCTCTTTAAATAATTTTACATTTTACTTATGTGTACTTACATTCAAAGTACTTTTTCGTTGACTACTGTAGTTTGCTTCTGCTTTATTTATACAGTCTGACAATTTCTGCCTTGAATTGGTGTGTTTATACCATTTACATTTAATATAAGTGTAAGACTTTTGATATGAAATCTATCCTGCTGTATTTTTTACTTGTTCTTTTTGTTTTTATTTTTTTTCTACTTCTTCATGACTTATTTTGGATTACATTTAGAATTTAATTGTATTGCCATCTTTGGCTTATTAGCAATATCTATTTAATTTTTTATGGTGATTTCCGTTATTTAAATATTAATATTTAACTGATTGCCCTCTGTCCTTATACCATTTTGCACAGATAGCATACATCATGCTATTTAACATCTAAGACCCTTACATTGGGATTTTTCCTTATTCCTCTTCTCATTCTTTCCTTCTGCCTGAATAATTTCCTTTAACATTTTTTGTAGTTCAGGAATGCTAACATAAATTTTCTATTATTACGTGTGTTAATATAGTTAATTTTGCTTTCATTTTTGAAGAATGTTTTCATTTGTGTTTAATTCATACCTGACAGGCTTTTTTATTTCAGATGTACTAAAGATAAGTTGGTAGGATTCTTATTTTTCTTCTCTTCTATGAAACAGGCCTTTTGCTCACCAGCATTATTTAAGATTTTCTTTTAGTTAAACGTTTTCAGAAATTTGAATTTGGCATACCTGTATCTGATTTTCTTTATGTTTCTTAAGTTTGGGATTTGATGGGCTTCTTGGATCAGTGGATTTAATTATCATACATTTTAGAAAATTTTCAAACACTATTTCGTTCAATGTATTTTCCTATTAATTCCTCTCTTTTCTCTACTTCTTGTACTCCAGTTATATGTGTGTTTAACGTCTTGATTTTCCCCACATGTTACTGATTCACTGGTTTTTTAAGTTTTTTTTTGGCGCTATGGTTTGGACATTATCTATTGCTATGTTTTCAGGTTCAATTATCTTTTTCTGTAACATCTAATTTGATTTTACATTTACATAGTGAATTTTTATTTCAAATATGGTATTTTTAATATCAAAAGTTCCATGTTGTTCTTTTTTTATATTTTCCATTTGTTTTTTTACTTATATCGATTTTTAAATTAATTTTTTAATATAATAGCTGTTATAACTGCTTGTCTGCTAACTTAATCGTCTCCATTTTTGGACTCTTTGACATCACTGACCTTAATCGTGATTAAGGTCAGAATTACATTTTCTTCTTCTTTGTATATCTAGTCATGTCTTATTCAATGCCAGATATTGTGAATATTCTGTTGTTGAGAATCTGGATTTTGTTATCTTTCCTTATAAAGTGTAAGTTGTTTTGGTAAACAGCCAGTTTACTTGAGTTTTAATGTCTTCCTTTAGAGGCTTGTTTTAATCTTTATTTAGGGAGGGTCTAGAAGATAATTTATTATAAGGTATGAGTGTTCTGGGATCTCTGCTGAATATCTTATGATTCTATAAGTTATCTGCTCTCTCATTTGCTAAAACTTGAAGTCTGTGTAAACTCTGATATTTGTTTTGTCTGAAGCTCTTAAGTAGTTATTTTTTTCCTTATTTGTGGAGTTTCCCTTCATAACCTTGCAAATTAGTGTGTAACCAAAGACTCAAGGGGACAGTTATACGGATTTTAGGAGCTTTCTCTTTATAGCTCGTTTCTCTCTGGTTCTTTGCTGTTGTAAATTCCATCCATCTCTATTACTCTCCACCTTCATCTTTATCTCCTTAATGAAACAGACAACCAGGCACGCTTTTTGACTCCTTCTCTACAACAAGTCAAGTAATTGCCTCCAGGCAGAAAGCTGGAAAATTGTAGGAATTACCTTCTTGTTTCCCACTTTCAGGAATCATGTGTCTGTGCTGCCTATTGTACAATGCCTAAAACCATTTGTTTCATATATTTTGTCTAGTTTTATAGTAGTTTATAGCGACAGTTGCATACAGTGTGAAAAAAGCCTGAAAACAATAGAGGAACAAATCTCCCAACCTTCATTTTTAACCTCCTACTGCTTCCTTTCCTGTGCTATTTATCTTGTCTCTTATATTATTACCTGATTTTATGATTTCCATTCTCTTCCTAGGTGTTTGTAACCTAACAGTTTTGAGTGCCTAGTAGGAATCATGATGTATCTATGTGCTTTACACTTATCTAATCTAACCACATGCTTTTAAATTATTGATATATAGGCCACAAGAGAAGTTACTAAGTATTTTTCTAGTAATTATTCCCCTACAGACACTAACAGCAAATGGTTTTCGAATTAATTTAAAGGGTAATTTATATATTAACCTCTTCTTAAAAAGGAAAAGTAGACTATTGGATAATATGACTGTGGCCACATTAAATTATCTGTTCTGAAGCAGAAAGCTTTATATAATAATTTTAATATTGTCTAAATGTCCATCACTTTTTTAAAATTTCTTATTCATTTGTTAATAGTAGCTACTGTTAGCAAAATGATCCTTGGATAATTGCAGCCCTTCTTAATGACTAACTAAACATAACCGATAATTAAAAAATTCTAAACAGAGGTCTATGTTTTCATTGCTTTATTAGAAACAACAGTAATCATTGTTTCTATTGTTTCTATTCCATATAATAGTAAACATTTTATTAGGTGGTTGTTTTTCTATGAAAGAAAAGCTGTCAAATTTAAAATTATGTAAAATATTCACAATAAAGTCATAGTACAGAATTTATTTTATTTTCAAACCAAGTATAGCTATTATCCATTGTATGGAATAAGTACTTCTTAGTTCTCTGCTCAAATGTTCCTTCTTCTTTAATGTAACCTCCACAGTGACTTAAAAAAATTACATTCTATCTAACTTAGTAATTGTATCAGCAAATGTTCTAACCCAAATAATCCAGCTTATTCTTTTTAAGTATCTTAAAGCTTGCAGTTTCTCAGTCTCTCTCTCTTGTGCTTTCTCTTTCTCTAAATCTTTCTCTTTTCTCATATATTTGAATCTACTGAATATTTTATTGAATTTTCCATCCAAAACCTACAGATTTGAGGGTAGTGAATTAATTTTGTTTTCTGGCATCCCTGGCAACTACCATCTGTTAAGACTTTCAAGAAATAATGTCTTGCTGAACACTTATCTTTTCATTTCAATAAATCATAATATGGCCTAAAGTATTATTTAGCATATCTATGTTTCATTTATTTTTTCAATTATTTTAAAGTTAATGTTTTATATTTTTGACCTATTAGTACTCTATTGACTACTTATTCTTGGGAAAATGGCCAAGTAGTATAGAAACTTATGATAGCAAAAACATTACTATAGAGTGCCTTGATCTGAGTGTTATTATTATCAAAACCAGAAGGACATTCTAATAATACCACATGCATTGCCTGCTTGGCTTTGCAGCATGGATTTCAAGGGCAGTGTAATCAGGGATCCATGATCAATCTGATTATCACCTCGCACAATTAATATCATATTTGATCTGCATTCTGTACATCAGAACTCTTTATTAACATGTTGTTATTAAGTTTTTTGGTATCAGACAGAGTTAAATGTAATCTTATATAAATCAGTCATTAACTATATGTGGGACCTTGGGCAAGTTAGTTTCCTTCTCTGTTAAATGGAGATAATAATCATGCCTAGGAAGATTGTGTTGGGGAACAAATTAAATTATACATATATATGTATATTTATATGTACATATATATGTAGAATGCTTACTACATTATTTGGCAGATATGAGTTGGCTCAATAAATAGCAATTAATGTTGCCATTATTATTTTCTTCAATACAATAATTCAAATTTATAATGGTACTGTAACACTCCCATTATGAAAAATTGCATCCTTTAAACTACAGTTTTGATGTGAGGTATATGGCTTTTTTATAACTCTTATTTTTTGAAAAGTGCTGTTTGATAAGCATCTTTATATTTAATCAACTAGTGGAAATAATTCTCTTTACATAAAAGATACCCAGTTTTACTGTGTGTTTGAATACTCTTAAGTAGAGTGTCAAGAAATATACTCAATTGTTATTTTTAAAATATTTAATATCCATCTTTTTTGCAAACTAAGTACTTTTAAATTGATTAAAGCCTTTATTAGGTAACTTTAAGCTTCAAATATGAGTGGTTAACTATTAATTAGTACTTTTTCTTTGACAAGCCATGTACCAAGGAGTTTACATGCATTATTTTCATTTTTTGTCGGTTTTTTTTAACCAAAATAATATCTATTTATAAACTACAACATGTTTTGAAATATATATACATTGGGTAATGGCTAATGAGGGATCACCTCACATCTTTTAGAATGATAATTACCAAAAAGATGAAGGAATATACATGTTGGAGAAGATGTACAGGAAAGGGAACCCTTGTATACTGTTACTGGAAATGTAAATTAGTGCAGTCCTAGGAAAAACAGAATGGATGGTCCTTAAAAATTGAAAACTGTAACTACCATATGATCTAGCAATCTATTTGCTATATATCCAAAGGAAATGAAATCACTATGTCTAAGAGATATCTGCACTTCTATGTTTATTACAGCACTATTCACAATAGTTAAGATATAGAATCAACCTAAGTGTCCATCAGTGGATGAATAAAGAAAATGTGGTAAATACAGACAATGGAATGATGATTCAGCCTTTAAAAGTAGAAAAAATTCCTGTCATTTGCAACATCACAGATGAAGCTGGAGAACATTAAGATAAATGATGCATAATCTCATTTGTATGTGAAATCTAACAAAGTTGAACTCATAGAAGCAGAGAGTAGAATGATGGTTACCGAGGATAGGAGGGTAAAGTTGTGGAGATGTTGGTCAAAGGATATAAAATTTTAGTTAGATAGAAGATATCTATTTTGTACACAATGGTGACTATAGTTAATAACAATATGTTGTATTCTTGAAAATTGCTGAGAGTAGATTTTAATTTTCCTTACAACAAATAAGTGTATGAGGTAATGAATATGCTAATTAGCTCAACAGCCATTATCTCATTTATTTAATCAAAATATTAACATAGTACTCCTGTGTTAATATTAATTAACATGAGTATTAATGCTATTTATATAAAATAATATAAAAACACCAGAACTTTACTGCTTTAGAGTATTGAAAGATCTATATGATTATTAATATTGTTTAAAGTTTTTAAAAATCTGAATGACTGTTACAATGCTCTAATGTATGAGACTTTAGAGGCCTAGTATAGATAGAGAATAGTCTATAAAAATGATATAATATCTAATAAGTCTTCTGATTTATTCTTATAGAGTAGTTGTAATGGTACTTTTAAATATTCAATAGCTTATTTTCAAATATTTTATTATATTTTATAATTTATTTTATGCCCTCTCACCTTTTTATTGAATTTTTTTTTCTCTGTGAAATTTTCTTAGGGTAATAAAACAATTTTTAGTACCTATATTAAGAATCTCTTTTGTTACTTATATCTTTTTTTAGACATTTTGCATGTAGAATCTACGTGTGTGTGTGTGTGTGTGTGTGTGTGTGTGTATTTAAGGCAATTACTTTAAATTATAGATAACAAATGTGTAATGGAAAATCAAATAGTCAATAGCTAGACCATTATATCTTACTTTTTTTTCCACAAGCTGATTATTTAAGTCTTCTTCTTTGATAAGATTGAACAACTATTATCTCCTTTACCTTTTTCTTCAGTGTTTCTGCTTTATGGTAAACCATCAACAGCAGCATACTCCTTGTCTATTCATATGGACTGCTCTTTAGCAAAATATATTACTATACAAGGTTTCTCTATATAAGGAACCATTTCTTTACAAGAAACAACCTATGTACAAATAGTAAACACAATATCTAATGTCACAGAAACCCCAAATTAAAGGGTACTTCAGAAATTATTGAACCCAGCCTTTAAAAATATTTTTGAATTAATTTATTAATTGTCCCAGTAAGTAGTTGTATATCTCCCACTTGAACATTAAAGTTTGGTACTACGAGAGTAGCCCTTGTTTATTTTTACAGAGCTCAAATTGTCATAATTATCTTTCTTATACTGACTCAGATGGACCTCTAACTGTTGGACTATGTTCAAGACTTAGGAAATATATGTTCTAGTGTTTCAAAATACACCTGGATTACCATTTGCCTTTGATCATTTACCACCTGCTCCCATACTGTTTTTTAGCCTCAAACAGCTCCTTCAAGCCCCCTGTAACCAACATGTAGGGTAACACTTATAAAATGCAAACACTGGTTCATATTCTTCATTCTCAGACTACTCTGAGGCTTTGCTTTTCTCTGCTCTTGGCCCTCACTGCATCATCCTCTGTCTTCTCTTCCTATCTTGGCTGTTTCTCTTGGATTTGATGCCCATTGCTATCATCTGAGTGTTATGCAGAGGGTTAACAATAACAATGAATCAATGGACCTGTCTGTGGAAGTGTTTTAGTTTCCTAAGACTGCTGTAACAAAGTACCAAAAACTGCATGGCTTAAACAATAGAAATATATTGTCATGGTTCTGGAGGCTAGAAGTCCAGATCAAAGTGTTGATATAGCCATGCTCACTCTGAAAGCACTAGGGAAGCATCTTTTAGGACGCAGCTTCTGGTAGTTCCTTGATTTGTGGGAGAGTAACTCCAGTCTTCACATGGTGTTCTCCCTGTGTGCATGTATGTTTGTTAGATTTCCCAATTTAACAAATACTCTAATAACTTTTACATTTGACTGAGAAGAGTTCTGGGTGAAATACCATAGATATATGTAGACCTAATAAGACCATTCTAAATTGAAGATAATATCTATAGGGGATTCTGTAGGAATTGGTGGGGAAGATTGATGCCGTTTTTAGGTTGAATCAGATTTGGCTAAAAATATATGAATGCGTATCTATAAACAACTAATGAAAATCAATATTTATATAGTCAACTAATTATATCTTTATTCTTCCAAGAACACAAAAAATGACATATTGGCTATGCCCATACGTAGTTACCAGGACAATTATTTTAACCAAATTTCGTAAGTCTGCTGATTGTTTTGGAACTTTAGGAATATAGCATATTCAGCAGCAGAAAATACAAATTATAATTTTATAGTAATAGTTCTTTCATTATTAAAATCTACCAGATATAGAAAGAAGAATATATATTGACTTTCTGAACTTTGACCCATTATTTCTTCTAGCACTTTCCACGTTACTAATTATACTATAAAAATTATTTGTCATAAGCATCATTTATTCCAAAAAATAATAACATTACTAATGTTAGATTAATTATACCTGTGATTTTTCATAATCAGTGAACCACGAGAATAAAAATATGATGAGAAAAAACAGCCATCCCTCAAACTTAACTATTCCTTCAGTAATAAAAAAATTGGATCTTTCAGATATAAAAAACTTAGTAAAATATAGTTTCCAAAGAGGCTATGCATGTAATTCAGAATTATATTATAAAATATATTCTTTTCAGAACTATTCCCAGTAGTAAAAAGTAAATAAATTACATGTAAATAAATGTACTTATTAGATTGTTGATTTTTGGTTTTTACTTAAAACATACCTATGCTTTATACTCATCAAATAGGGTCAGAAATTGATGAAAGAACAGGGGTCTCTGGATCAGGAGATTTTTCTACATTGTTTCTGCCATCTACTAGCCTTCAATGATGTCAAAACACTCAGTTTTCCAGGACTTAAACTGGTCGTCAAATGGTAGGGTGCTTTATAATTTGCCTTTAAAATATAAAATTCCATGTTGCCATTTTCCCCTTAAACTGAATAAAGACTTGTGATATTGTGAAATACATATTTGGTCTTTGACCCCTTTCCTAGCATACAACTCCTAAAATCCTTAGAATTGCCAAAGTGATGTCTTTTTTGCATACTAATGAGTTGACTGATGGCTGGCAGCCCCTGTGTAGCTTCAGGATGAAGGCTGGTCACTCAGAGACACCAAGCAGGATTGCAGATGGTTGGGACTTTTAGCCCAACCCCTCCTCCAAGGAGGAGGGAGAGGGTGAAAGTTAAATTGATTACATCAGCCAATAGTTTAATCAATCATATCATAAAAACCCAGAAGGACTGGATACAGAGAACTTATGGATGGCTGAACATGTGGAGGTTCCTGGGTGGGGGATACATGTAAACTTGGCACCCTTTCTCACATGTTTTGCTCTATGCATCTCTTCATCTGTATCCTCTGTAATAAACCCATACACCTGAATATTTCCCTGAGTTCTGTGAGCCTCTCTAGCAAACTCATTGAACCTAAGGAGGGGGTTGTGGGAACCCCAATTTGAAGTCAGAAGTTCCAGAAGTCTGGACTTGTGACTGGTGTCTGAAGGTTGGGGGACAGTCTGGTGAGACTGAGCCCTGAACCTGTGGGATCTGATACTATCTCCAGGTAGAACTGAATTTGGGTGACACCCGGCTGGTGTCTGCTGCAGAATTGCTTGTTTGTTTGGTATGTGGGGAAAAAAACCTACACATTTGGTCACAGAAGTCTTCTGTGTAAAATAGAAAATCACAGTTTGAGGGTGTTTTTCCTTGAAAAAACTAGTAAGATATTTCATTACAAGGCATAAAAATAATATTTGAGCAGATACATGTATCTCTACATCTAGACAAACTTTAGGAATCCAAAATAATGCATTTGTTTTGTGTGTGTGTGTGTGTGTGTGTGTGTGTGTGTGTGTGTGTGTGTGTGTGTGTGTATGTGTGCTTGATTAGGACTGTTAGGTCCAGGACTCCTTTGCTTGAACCTTAATATCATACAGGAAACACTTTGTTAAATTTAGTTTTTAATTCTCTGATGCATTAAGTCAGAATTTTGACACTTATAAGAGGAAACTACTACTTCTTTCTTTTTTTTAAATGTTATTATTATTATACTTTAAGTTTTAGGGTGCATGTGCACAACATGCAGGTTTGTTACATATGTATACATGTACCATGTTGGTGTGCTGCACCCATTAACTTGTCATTTAGCATTAGGTATATCTCCTCATGAAATGGCTTAGGAAACTGTGCCACTAGGCTTGAGAATACCAGGGTTTCTGAGGACCCCAGAGATACTGACAGTGAAGTTTCAGAATATGGAAGGGGAAGGAGCCTTACAGCCCTGTGTGAGAATGCTTCCTCCCCACCACACTCACACACACACACACACACACACACACACACACACACACACACACTTTTTCTCTATCATTCTTCAGCGATAAGAGTGGACAGGTTCTGACCCAATTCTGAGGCAAGCAGTAATTAAAGACCTTCCGCCATGATTCCAGTTCCCTCTTTTGGGATGACTGCTTTACATTTTCTGAAGATAAGTGAAGAAATACATACTGGCCCTCCGAAACAGTTTTTTCTATTTTGCTCCTTGTTCAGCTAGATTTACTAATATTTTGAAAGCTACAGAGAACATTAACAAAGATTAGCTTGTACATTTATTTACTTGGAGAGTAAGACTGAGGCTAACTTTATTTGCCAAAATAAATCTTGTTTTTAAATAAAATTTTCATTCCATATGTCTTTTCAACAAAGTAAAATAGAATATAGAAATTTGATTTTATTTAATCCTAAATTATATTCACAAGCTAATTATTAATACCCCTGTACCTTCCTTAGATATTTTGATTACTTCTAACATGTTACCCTTTTTAAAAAAGGATTTAATAAAATGATTCTTTTTAGTCTCTCAACAAATTAGAAAGGAGCAAAGATCAGTCCCATAGTGTTATTTGAAAGACTCAGTTTGTGATGATGTTCTTTTGTCATGAGCATAATATAAATCATATAAACTAGTATAACTGACTCTTCAGGGCATGCTGTAATTATCACACATATTATGTGATTGTGGTGACTGCTATTGATTCTCCAACAGACTGAAATGAATGTCTTGGCTATGTTGTAATCTGCTCAACTTCAGAAAATATATGTGGCCAAAATTAGGAAAAATAATTTCAAGACAATAGAATCAAAGATCTTAAGAATTCATCTGATCCATTATACTGTATTTGGTATTGAAGGCTGATCATTCAGTCGCTTCTGAAAGGTCTTCAGAGACAGAATACTTACATTAAAAAGATGTTGTAATTACACAAGATACTTGCACATACTAAGTGTAGTCACAATTGGATTCCAATAATCAGACAAAACCCATAAACATACAAGCATTTTAGAAATGCTTTATTACATTGTAGATTTTTTTATAAACACATAACCAGAAATGTTAATTATTTTTCCGTTTTATACTCCCTCTCATTATTTCCACTAAGCTTGTTTTGCTAGCATGGGTTGTTCCCTAACTCTCCAATTAATACATAAGTGTATGCTTCATAATTTCCCCAGTAACAATACCTTTAAATTCAAGTTCCTTCTCCGTCTCCTTTACAAGATAACATAAATTCTTTGTGCCATGATAACTTATCCATATGTTCTTCCCAGTAATCTTTGACGGTGGCCATTTGACACTCTTTGCAATGACACTTTGAAAACCCATTCAATCCAGGTTTCCTCCCTTTCACCAGGGATTTGTAGTGAAATATTCTTTTTCCAACTCAGTGTACCTTGTTTCTATTTTCAGAAATAACTTAAGGTTCTTATCTTTATTACTTCTCTGTCTTGTATCAATGCATTTATAATTTTATAAATATAAATATAAAATATAATTTTATATTTTATAAGTAATGTAATTTTATATTTTATAATTAATAAAATTTTATATTGCTCATAGGATTTTTCTTTCTGCCAGGTCTGGGGTCTGGTTTCCTTCCTCTCTCCTTTCAAGTGGTGATCCTAATAACTATATATGGCCTAAACCAATTAATAATCTTAAACAAATTTTCTATGTTATTTAAAATAGCATCCTGAACTCTCATATGCCAATCTCACACCATCTCTACGCCTTGAAATGATTTAATCACCTTATGTCTACCAAGCACAATAGAGGCCTCAATTCGTCCTTAAGACTTTCTTTATGTATTTAGATCTAATATTATTTATTGTTGCTCAAAGCTTCTTTGATATTTACTTTCATTATTCTATATTGTCTTTCAGATATTAATTGCCATATGCCACATATTTTTTCAATTGACTTACCTCCTTAAATCTTATTTCCCTAATGATACAACGAACTCTTTGATTACAGATATTATGCCACATAATTTTATACATTACCTGCTGCCCATTAATTCCTAGCATGGTTCAGAAAACACAGAAGATGCTTAACAAATGTTTATCGAATTGAATTTTCAGTCTATCCATTTAATGTGTTAGCAGATGTTTACTTGGTTCCTTGTCTTGGCCCAACACTGGGTTTCCTTTCTTGATTAATTGCGATCAAAATAAATGCTTTGGAGGCCTTTTTTTTTTTTTTTTTTTTTTTTTTTGCAGCTGACAAAGATCAAGCTGGTCTTATGCTACCAGAGATGCATATTTTTCTTTGTTTACCTTTTAAACTAGAGACAACCTAGGCCACTGAGAATAAGGAACAGCACCAAATCAGAATCTCTTGGGGGAAAACTGAGGTCTGAGTATTAGAGTTAATATGTAAAAATGCCAAATTTTGGAGCCAGAGGTGGGAATGAGGAACCTGTCCCCAGAGCCGAGGGCTGGAAGCCAGAATGTAGAAGCAAAACAAATACAATTTAGACATGTATATGGAAAAAGTAGTCAGTGAAGAGTGAATGTTCCAGGATGATTTCAACAGTAATTATAGTCCATAGTTTCCACAAAAATCAAGTTTAAAAATCTGGATCACATAATGTGATCACATATGTAGATGCAGCTGAGCTGAATGATTCCTGTATCCACGATTATTCTGGCCAGTGTCTGTCAGTGCTCAGTTGCTGGGTCCATTGCTCCTTGTGACTCCACAGGGTTTAATTACTATACAAGATGAACTATGCTCCCATAGGAGAAATGCATTCCACAACAATTTTCTTAGTTTGAGTTTGTTACATAATGAGTCACCCCAGAGACTTCTGATTGTTTCTAGTTGGCAGAGCACTATGGAAGCTGCTTGAGGAAAGGTATTAGGTAAGTGCAAGACATTGATATTAGCTGATGTGTATTCAGTGTTCCAAGGCAGCGAAGTATTAGAATGTACAAAGTATTAAAAGCATGTTTTTCCCCTGATACAGTTGGAAAATTTTAAAAGTTCAATTTGTGGCAATACCTAATACAATGTTAGATAAATATTTATTAAACAGACTGATTATTAATTTTTCTTAAGTTATTGCTAAAACATTTGCTTAAAAAGATATAACAAACCTCTTCTTGTTTACCATGTAAAATACTCTAAGAAATAAATTCACTTTTCCAGAAATTCAATTTATATTTTAAATGTTAGGATAAAAGAAAGCTAATTGAAATAACTCAACCACATAAATCAAATTAACTCAAAATTAAAATCTGATTTCTGAAAAATCTCATAGCAAACAAAGGATAACCTCATATGCATAATGAGGTAAAGGATTAAGACAGCCATTTAGTTAATTCAAGCTAAAAATCTTCTTTCCTATAACTTTAATGAATATTTTAAGCAAAACTACTGAAGTCTGAATTTATCTGGAAAGCTGCCTTGGCTTTTCAGAGGACATTTCATGGACCTAAACACTGACAATATTACTTTTCTAAAGAGTTTCATAATTTACATTTTAGTATTTGTCACACACTGTTAGATTTACAGACTTCTATTTCCAGCATTCTCTTAATTAAGACAGTCCTTCTAGATAGAGGGATTAAAAATTATTAAATTAAGGAACTTCTCACACAGGCCACAGATGTGAACATTAAGCTACAGAAAATTTAAGAATTATTAGTTTTAACTGTAGACATGGCATTTTTGGCAAAGGCTGGCTTTTTAGTCCTTTCATTAAAGCTCCTGTATGTCACAAATACATTCTGTAAGCTTAAGTATGATGATGAATAAATGCCAGGTTTGAGGCACCTATTTTTTAAAACTATTTTAAGCAAGAGATTTGTCTCTATATGAACTTTAATGAGCTTATTGTGCTGAGGTTATTTTCGTGATGCACTGGAATGGTTCTCAAAATTGGTTTGTATCAGAAACATCTGTAATTTTTTTTTTTAACTGTCCAGTTCAGAACTGTACCCTTCTTGTCTCCACTGCAGCCCTCCTGAAAATGTGTCTGTTAGGGATCTATGCATTATAAAATCTCCCTAGCTGATCTTGATGGATGGTAGGGGTTAGAACCATGGGCAGGTGGCTAATTTAGGTTGAAATGAAAACATATTTGGACCAAAGTTGTAAATACATTGAAATGTTTATTTCAGTGTGAATATTTAAATTGAAGATGTTAATTCAGTCTTTACATATATTGTTTTTGGCTTTATTGCCAACAGCAGTACAGATCTTTTTTCACATTTTATCTCTATCCTGAGTTTAAACAAATTGTAATGTCATAATGGAAATGATATTATTGCTGTATAATACAAAGACAGGTAGAGATGAATTGCAACTAGAAATCACTTTGAAGATCTCTGTGATTAGGGAAAAATTCTAACTTATAAGCAGTACTTGAGTATATAAAAACGAGGAACTTTCTGAATTATGCTTCATTTGGGGTGAACAAACACAAAAAACAGTGGGAGATCTGATCTATTCACAATATGCAGAAAATATACAATGTACATCTCAAAATGAGAAAAGAAAATTCTGTCCTTTTAAAGACAGAGTGCCAAACACCCTGAAAAAGAGGGAATAATCATGCGGGAAAGTTATTTTTACAAAGTTAATGTAATTTAAGAATTTACTTCACTGAGAGAGTAGGATGTTTTAAAAGGAATTTTTTTTAAATTTAAAAAGCAGAAGTTCTGATTAACCATTTACTTCTTCCAAATTGTATAACTTTTGAGAGGACAGTAATAGTAAAGTCTGTTTCCTTTATGGAAAAGCAAGGAGAAGCTGCTAGTAATTCAAACATATATTTCGGGGAGCACAGAAGTTGCAATAAAGCTGAAATGAGTAGTATAGAGCTCTATGCTTCAGACTAACTGATGCCTTCTGACTCCTGTTGCTGATGTTTTAGTAAGAAAGGTGCACTGAATGGTTAACTCTCTTTACAACCATCCAGAAAAAGACATCTGCAATTGCTCCAGGTCTCTCTTCTTTTCTCTCTCTCTCTCTCTCTCTCTCTCTCAACACCTCATTCGATCTCATGCGATGCTCTTCACTTCAGGGCAGATCCTTTGACCTAAGCAGATTATTGTAGATGCATGAAGGACACAGCCAGCTAGCCGCGCTTCTCAAGGAAGAGATTTGGCTCCAAATAGGACACTAAGCTTTTCAGCCGTCTGCTTATTTACGTAGTCAGCAAGATGCAGTGTCTCTGGGTGCTTAGTGGACTCCTGGGGAATCAGGATAAACAAAAACAAAGCGGCAGCCGCTGCAAATGTGGGAGTCTGTGCCATTAAAGGAAGCAGTTGCTAATAAGGGCCTGTGAGACCTAGGTTTCCTTGGTTTCCATGACAGTTATTAGGTACCATAGAAATTGAATTGTCTCCCACAATGCTCTTAGGGGAGAGGGGGTGCTCCAGTGACAAAGCAGTTCAATTATGACTTGCAGTAAATCATCCTTTGGAGAATGCAGTACTCCCTGGATTATTTGTTCTTGCATTTCTTTTAACTCCCCTTTCAATGTGTTTAACATTTTGACCAGAAGACTCTGGCCTCTGCTGCACAGTGTCTCAAACACTATTTTTCCCCTCTTTGTTTAGACCTGAGCTTGGCAAAGCAAGGATATGAACAATTGTGCAGGTGGGCTACTCAGGGCGAGTGAAGAGATAAGGCATCCAATCAGGGATTGGCCACCTGCAGCCCTGCCAATATGCCCCTCCACCAGATTTCCGTAATCCCAGCACGGGAGACTGCCAGCAATGGGAGAAATTCAATGGGCAGAAACAAAGAGAAGAACAAGGAAGTCGAGGTAAGAGGAGGTTTAATTTAATAAAATCAGAGAGCCAAGCCACTGTTGCCAACACTGCTCTCTGCACCGTGGGACATGGCAAGGGCTTCAGAGCAGCTGGATCCCAGCTGTCAGTGTGTAACAGTAGATTGGAAGAGAATTACTTATAACTGGCAGGGACATATTAAACTTCACCTCTATTTTGTGAATGAAGAGAGGAGCCAGATCCATAGGGACACTTCCTACTTGACAGATGGAAACTTTTGCCTCTTTTTCTAAACAATCTATGGAGTCACTTTTGACTTTTATGGCTTGTGGGTTACAACCGGCTGTTTTGGGTTGGCTCTGGACATTGCTGTGGTACATTTTCACATAGTGGAACTGGTGATGCTGGCTGGTTTTCCTCACTGCCCATTAAACTAGGATATTTGAATATAACTGTCTTAACAAAGGGACAGAGAAGCCAGTTATGACACTGAATACATAACATGAGTTAGAGCCTCATAAGATCTATTTGCACTTCATTCGTTGGCAGTGCATGGTTGTGTATGACTGTTGTTTGATATCTGTACATTTATATTTTGTTCCTCATGACAAAAAGCTTTCTTTGAAACTTCACACAGGTTATAATTTTCAACTTCTTACGGTGAGCCTTTATTTTGCAGGGAAATTTAGTGGCAGTTGTTCTAAGTTAAACTGCTTGAAAGATCATATGCTGGAAACTTATTTCAAAGGTTTTTAAGAAAGGGATTGAACTCAACACAGTCAAGGATATTGAGTGGAAATATCATAAATGTTGTCGTGTTCCCCTAAAAGGGAGCTTGAGATAGAATGCCGGAAACTGTAATCTTCTTGTCTCTTTAACATAACTATTTTCTAGTCCTCAGGTGTCCTTAGCTTTGTAGGAGATGGGCTTTGTCTACCTCCAGTTCTACATGTTAACCTTTTTTTTCCCTCAAGAATAGCTGCTGGAGACAGAGGGAGCAGCAGACAAAAAATAAAGCAAATAAAATAAAGGAAATGGGAGTGTAGTGTCAAGGAGTGTTTGAAAGGAAAAGACTAATAAATTTGAGTACATCTTCAAATGAGAAAATATATTTGCAGCCTCTTTCTACTTTATTTGAACTGATTTTGAAAATGTCATTGAATGGCAATGAGTTCTTGATGTGGCTAGAATTTGTAGATAACTTTGGGAGATTTCTCTAAGTTAGTGCAAGAGATACTTTTACATTAGTAATTGCCTCATCATAAACACATCAAATATTTCTGGAATTTCTGAGAATTAAAAATCTTTGTAAAGAAACTTCAGCAGCCCAGAATGCTCAGGCACATTCTCTAGAGTGTCTGTTTCCTTTGACTTGGAAATGCGATTATTAGAATATGAAACAGGTTTCTCTTAAGTTTGTTGGTGTTAGGTGGGGAAGGTGGGGTACACTGATCAATTCTGCAAATAGGTATAGAAATGCCAAAAGCAAGATTCATAAAAGTTATACATTGCTTACTCACAGTATAAATTTCTGGATAAATTTAAGATAATGTTGAAGAAAACTTTATGTGAACATATTGG
Source organism: Homo sapiens (assembly GCF_000001405.40). Classification (NCBI taxonomy): domain Eukaryota; kingdom Metazoa; phylum Chordata; class Mammalia; order Primates; family Hominidae; genus Homo; species Homo sapiens. The sequence continues at coordinate 163,986,954 of NC_000004.12, read as the reverse complement.
GTGGCAAATTTGTTTGGTATCTGGAATGATCAGCATCTGAGTAATATTTGGAAAAGAAAACAACATTGTGTCAATTCCAGGTCTTCGCCAGAAATCTCTTTCTGTAGATGTCTACTTGGCCTGAATTAGATAAATTGAGATGGCTTATATAATTTTTAAGAGCAAACAAATGTTTTTTATTCATGTTAGAAATAATAATGAAATTATTCTTTGTTAAGTAAAATTAGCCACAATTGTTATCAAGATATGGGTATTAATCCACATCTTTAAACATCTTCACAAATATCTTGAATTATTAAAACATGTATAGCTTTGTTTCTTTCAGGGTCAAAAAACACTCTAATGTGTCACAATGGGAGTTAGTGGGCACTCTTAAAGAAAGAAGAAGTTGGCCGGGTGCCGTGGCTCACGCCTGTAATCCCAGCACTTTGGGAGGCCGAGGCGGGCGGATCACAAGGTCAGGAGATCGAGACCATCCTGGTCTAACTCGGTGAAACCCTGTCTCTACTAAAAATACAGAAAATTAGCCGGGTGTGGTGGTGGGCACCTGTGGTCCCAGCTACTCAGGAGGCTGAGGCAGGAGAATGGCGTGAACCCGGGAGGCGGAGCTTGCAGTGAGCCGAGATCGCGCCACTGCACTCCAGCCTGGGCGACAGAGCGAGACACTCCATCTCAAAAAAAAAAAAAAAAAAAAAAAAAAAAAAAGAAGAGGTTAATTAGGAGAAAAGGAAAGGAAACTCTGAGCCTTCGTATAATTTCTAAAAAGAGATACAGTTCTGAATATCAGAAAGGGAAGCACTTATAATGTTTCAAATGCTTCTTGGTTTTCTATAGGATGTAGTTAAAAGTTTTATTTTAAAAGTATGTTTAAAACATATTAGTCAATCTTGTAGGCCGCCGAATAACTTGTTTTGATAAGCTAACTAAATAGTCTAAAAGAATTGTAAATGCCTTTAAAGTGGATAAATTAAACAGCATACATCTGTGTTTTGGACAGCAAGAAGAATCAATGATTTCTGTAATTTCAAGTGGCGATGCTTTCTAAAGAAAAGTAAAACATCTTGTACATATATGGACATTTCCTGATGAGCAAATGAGAAACATCCTTTCTTGAAGTTTCCTTAATGTTCTTGCTTGTCCTAAAGTTATCCAAAGCATGCCTATGTGCATTAGGAAAATGATCTAATTTCAGAATTAAGAATTTAGTTGTAATTAATTTAAATTAGTAAATTAAAAACTCATTTGAATTTAATGTAATTTAACTTCATTCAAAATTTAGTGACTCTTAACTAATGTATTAACTTGATATCAGATTTCTTAAGCCATATGAAGAAAAGAATTAGAAAACTGTCAATCATAGTTAAAATACAGAAGATCCATCCTGTTAAGGATATCAAGAAAATATTTCTAAAAATTCTTTTGTTGATTTTTTAACAGCATAGATCTTTTATATTTTAAGATTTTAAAAAGTAACTCCTATCTCTAGCTTTATAATGAAAATATATTTTGACATATTTTGTATGCCATAATATTATAATCATCTCTGTTTGGTTAATAACCCTGGAAGTACAAAACACAAAATAATATATTATGTCCAGTTTGAATACAGTTGATATTAAGGGTTAGAGAAGGGATGTAGGTTTATCTTTCAGAGGCACCAACTCTGGAGATTGATTAGGCAATTAAAATGAAGTGCCTTAGACTTGCAGTCCTGGCAGAAGATGTTGTTAGCAAAACCAGTGGTTACTACAAACCACTTCACTTCTTATGAAGTGAGTAGATATTGGTCCATTATGAAGCTACAGAAAATTTAACATAATACAGTAGTCAAAATAATTAATTTACACTTGGAGACTGTATATATGTGATGGAATGTTTGAGTTTTAGCTCCAGGAGGGTTCTGGAAGGAAATTAGTAATCAGATTTTCCTTGGTAAATGGAATTGATAAAGGAAATAAAATGGTTTAGGTTCACCTACACCTTGGGAAAACCACATTCTCGGGAAAGCTTTGGGAGAAGATACCTCTTCAAAATGGTTCATAGTTCCAGATTTCTTTTTCTTTTCTGGTTGAATGTCAGAATCTGACAGTTTACCCTCTTTATATCTTATTTGCCTACTTTTCTAAATAGACCATTTGCTTCTATTAATTCATTCTTCTTTTTTAGATATGTGAACACCACTTACTATGCTGTAATTAATTCACATTCGAGATTTGGGTCTAAAAGACATCTGTCTCTTACAAGGGCAGTGAATTTTATTAATCACATTCTTAGCCCTGTAGCTGTAGCTTGAATTCCTACTCTAGATCTGGAAATTCTAATAATTGTATAAATTCCAGTATTTAGTCGACCTCTAGCACATATTCCTTATACTTCCCTGGGATTTGCAAGCAAATGTGTCTATGAGTGGTAAGTGTAGAGATACAGCATGGATGGGGCCAAGGCTGTTTCTGGCACCTGCGCTGCATGCTGCTATATTCTTTCACAACACACTGAGTCTATACCTTAGATGATGGGAGGGACTTAAGAGGGAAAAACAAAACATGAGTTATTTGCTTCTGATCCTTCTCACTCTCAAGCTGACCACACATGGCTATCATGCTTTAGAAAGATTTAGGAGGAAAACAAAAACCAAACCCCTTTGTTTATATGTACATTTTCTTTACTGCTGCCATTATTTTGTAATATTTCTCTACCTCAGTTTTTACATTTTTTTCCAAAAAGAATATTTAGTTTTTCTTCCTGAGATATCCCTTTTAAGATCTTCTACTTGCCTTTCCAATGATAGCTCATGGGCCATCTCTTGTTTTTCAAAGTAGCTGGAGATCTGTTACTGGGGAATCTCTTTTGGTAGAGATTCCAGTAACCTGGAAAAAATATGGCTTTTTGTGATATATATTTTTCCTTTTGAACATAATGGACAAGTTACTGATTTATTTATTAGTAAAATAAATTTTTAGTAATTTTTAGTAAAATTTACTAAAAAAAAATTTTTAGTAAAAATTTTTAGTAAAAAAATTAAAAAGTTAAAAAAACATATTTAGTCTCAGGGCCAGAGCTGAGATTAGTATTCAGCTACTCTGGGCTCAAGTCTTACATTTTTTCTTTACAGTTAAGACAACTTAACCTTTTCACATTACTTAAGCAAAGTTGGTAGAAACAAAGGATCCCAGAATCAGAAAGTTCCTTAAAAATTATTCATTTTAATTTACAACCCATCATTGAAGTCCATAGAGAATAAAGAGTTTGCCAATGTCACACAACTAGTTAGTGGTGAATTTGGGACAAAAATGCAGGCCATTGACTACCAGTCTACTGCTCTTTCTATTACCAGGTCATTTAGCAATCTTTTTTTCAGACACCAAATTATTATCCCCAAAGAGTAAATGTAACCCCCAAACCTGCTAACCTCTAAGTGGGGGGAGTTTTGTTTTCTTTTTGTTACAGTGTCTGCCCATGATTCATAAGATCAGATGGAATATACATTGGGTGCTATTATAAAATATGACTAGAATTCATTTTATTCAAATTCAGAAAATATGGAAAAAATAAATAATAATGGTCAAAGTAATTTAGTAGGGAGGATACTGGGACAAAATTCAGAATATTTGAAATAGAATTCTGGCTTCATCAAGGCCTCTTAATCTTGAGTAGATAACTCAGCCTTTCAAGTTTGTCTCTTTGAGAAAAAAGTACATTTTAACTAGATCTCATTTTGAAAATAAGATTTTATTTTCTTCTATTATCCCTTGAAAATGATCATGTGGCCATGCTTCACTTTGGCACACAAAGGCCGTGTTTGTCTTCAAATGCATATTTGTCTCAGGCAGGATAGGCCTGAGTAGTGAGGACTCACCTCTAATGGACATCTGTTGTGATTACTGTACGTCATCCATGTTTGCTTCTGGTAACAGTGTTCAGAGAACCAACCCTCCCCATTCTCAGTCATGTGATTTGGGATGGGCCTTCACTGGCTTAAAATAATCCGTGTATCACAATACTCTGTCTTGGTAACTGGTTCAGGAATGGATACTTGATTCCATTGAATCAATGGCACACACTGAACCTTTAAAATGGTTTTTGGGAAGAGACACCTTTTTGTCCTGAAGACTTCTGAAGTAAACTTGCTTTCTCCTAATGGGTGGCTTGTATAAGGACATGTGAGATATACTGAGGGAAAAGGTTGGAGCTTCAAAGGGACCACAGATGCTCCCAATGCTGAAGTTTACTTGGAAATAGGCAGAACATAGAGAGAGAAAAAAAATAGACTCTGGGTAATATTGTTTGGGCTAGTGGATCAGTCCTTCTTTAAAACCAATCCTTGTTAAAAACCAAACAATTTTCCAATGAAGTGATTTGATATATGTCCTTTATTGTTTAAGCTATATTTTTGGTAGAATGTTATGTCACTTACAACATTAAGGACTCAGAATGATATTTTGCCAAAGGGCAGTTGCAATAGTTTCCTGCTTTGTTACCTGTGCAGCAACTGGCTTATGAGATGGGAAATAGCTGGGATCTGGGTACAGCAATCACAAACATTAATTTTTGAATAGCCTGCGCTGAGAGCACATTTACCCAGAGCATACAGGTTAATGCTCTGTATTAACCAAATGAAATGCATTTTTAGCAGGTGTGAATCTGACACTACAGGGTGAATGCCAAGGGGTAGAAAGGCTAATTCTCTTTTTCATTTCTTCAGAAAAGCACTTTCCAACTACTCTCTTGAGTCTGAATTGAGTATTAGAGTCCCATGTGCTTAGAGTGAATTCCACTGAGTATGCTAATAGTGTGAAAATAATTTTATGTAATGAAAATCAGGAAATTTCCATATTATTATTTGCTTTCAGCAATGAAATTAGCATAATTCACATTAATTTTTCTTGTTTAAAACAGATGTTGTGGATAATTGCATTAATAAGACTGAATAACACATTTTATAGACTATTAAATGAAAACAATTAGTAATTGCCGTCACACCCTGGTCCGTATTTTTTAAATTGTGGCCTCAATTAGGCAGGTAGATTGTTGAAACTCCTCCCTGGTGTAGAACTTCAAAATTTTTGTACTATGAATTTTTACTGATTTAATGAGACTCCATGTGGTCATTGTGTTTGAAAGATTGTTGAACAAAAACTTCATGTGGAAGAGTCTTGGAGCATTGGAGGAGCAGGTGTAGCTCTGCATGTTTTATTAATCAGGATTTTTAAAACTCGCTGATTAGCCAACATTTAACTCAATTCTTTGTAGCACAAAGGGAGCACTGACAATGCCAGCATGGATTTAGAATCCCTCAATTTGAGGTACTGCTGAAGGGGGAGGATCACAGACTGACAGCATTGCTTTCCCCCCAGCTCATTCCCAGGAATATCACCCTGAGCCACTTGCAGCAGCCTTCATAACCTCCAGGTGAGGATGAGAAATGACATCTATTCGATTCTCATTCTCTTCCTTGTCTCTGCGACCCTGTTAAATAATTGAAAGAGGCATGACATGGGGGTAGAACTGGTGATAGGATTCTGCTCTTAAAGGAGTGAAAAGGAGACTGAAGAAAAGGACAAAGTGCTTCTAGGTGCTGGGTGTCTGACTTTTGGCTTTCAGCCTGTCATCTTTCACCTTGACTATCCCACTCATCAAATTGTGCAAATCTGGATAACGAAAGTGAAGCAGGCAAATGATGTGGACTTACTTTCACTCAACCAAAGGTTGCACATTTTCTGCTACAAAGCAACATGCTGCATTCTTTAGGATTTGTACTTTTGATGCCAATATGAATAAAAGGGAGTTTCTTAGGAAAAAAAAAAAACAATTCTGGCACCTGGAAACCACTGGATGCACAACGCTGCAGGAAACAGATAATGAAGCTCATGTGTGAGATACAGAGTAAAACATTTAAGTGAGGCACCAGCTATACAGTTTCACACATGGTCAGATTCTATAGTAATTATCCTTACCTGTAAACCTAAATAGGTTGATTTCTAAGCGAGCTCCATACAGTGGTCTATGCCTATGAATGCTTAGTGGCTGAAAGTTGTTATGTTTAACATGTACAGACTTAGATCTATAGCACAGTTTTACTTTCCAATTTTATTCAAAATTAATTATCAAAACTTATAAATGTTAGAAATTTGTCATTGCAAATTTTACAAACCTTTAAAAATTCCAATACAGTAATCTGTTTCATTTTAACTTAAAACTACTTTCTATATTACCATTTACTATGTGAAACTACTACTACAGTTCATTTAGCTTTTGGAAGAAGTGATTTCTGCATACACTTAGCTGATTATACAGTGAAGGATTCATCTGTGGCTGTTAGTTTTACTATCTGACTCAAGCATTCTGTTTGTGGCCCCGTGAAATTATAAGAGAACTTCATGCTTTAGAATTAAAGGGCCCCTTTTGCTGTGCAGAAGCTCTTTAGTTTAATTAGATCCCATTTGTCAATTTTGGCTTTTGTTGCCATTGCTTTTGGTGTTTTGGACATGAAGTCCTTGCCCATGCCTATGTCCTGAATGGTAATGCCTAGGTTTTCTTCTAGGGTTTTTATGGTTTTAGGTCTAACGTTTAAATCTTTAATCCATCTTGAATTGATTTTTGTATAAGGTGTAAGGAAGGGATCCAGTTTCAGCTTTCTACATATGGCTAGCCAGTTTTCCCAGCACCATTTATTAAATAGGGAATCCTTTCCCCATTTCTTGTTTTTCTCAGGTTTGTCAAAGATCAGACAGTTGTAGGTATGCGGCGTTATTTCTGAGGGCTCTGTTCTGTTCCATTGATCTATATCTCTGTTTTGGTACCAGTACCATGCTGTTTTGGTTACTGTAGCCTTGTAGTAAAGTTTGAAGTCAGGTAGTGTGATGCCTCCAGCTTTGTTCTTTTGGCTTAGGATTGACTTGGCGATGCGGGCTCTTTTTTGGTTCCATATGAACTTTAAAGTAGTTTTTTCCAATTCTGTGAAGAAAGTCATTAGTGAACAGGCAACCTACAAAATGGGAGAAAATTTTCGCAACCTACTCATCTGACAAAGGGCTAATATCCAGAATCTACAATGAACTCAACCAAATTTACAAGAAAAAAACAAACAACCCCATCAAAAAGTGGGTGAAGGACATGAACAGACACTTCTCAAAAGAAGACATTTATGCAGCCAAAAAACACATGAAAAAATGCTCATCATCACTGGCCATCAGAGAAATGCAAACCAAAATCACAATGAGATACCATCTCACACCAGTTAGAATGGCAATCATTAAAAAGTCAGGAAACAACAGGTGCTGGAGAGGATGTGGAGAAATAGGAACACTTGTACATTGTTGGTGGGACTGTAAACTAGTTCAACCATTGTGGAAGTCAGTGTGGCGATTCCTCAGGGATCTAGAACTAGAAATACCATTTGACCCAGCCATCCCATTACTGGGTATATACCCAAATGACTATAAATCATGCTGCTATAAAGACACATGCACACGTATGTTTATTGCGGCATTATTCACAATAGCAAAGACTTGGAACCAACCCAAATGTCCAACAATGATAGACTGGATTAAGAAAATGTGGCACATATACACCATGGAATACTATGCAGCCATAAAAAAATGATGAGTTCATGTCCTTTGTAGGGACATGGATGAAATTGGAAATCATCATTCTCAGTAAACTATCACAAGAACAAAAAACCAAACACCGCATATTCTCACTCATAGGTGGGAATTGAACAATGAGATCACATGGACACAGGAAGGGGAACATCACACTCTGGGGACTGTGGTGGGGTGGGGGGAGGGGGGGGGATAGCATTGGGAGATATACCTAATGCTAGATGACGAGTTAGTGGGTGCAGCGCACCAGCATGGCACATGTATATATATGTAACTAAGCTGCACAATGTGCACATGTACCCTAAAACTTAAAGTATAAAAAAAAAAAAAAAAAGAATTAAAGGGCCCCAAATCCCAGCATTTTTGGAGGCTAAGATGTGAGGATCACTTGAGGCCATGAGTTCAAGACCAGCATCGCCGGCAACATAATGATACCCTGTCTATATAAAATATTCAAAACAAAAATTATCCATGCATGGTGGAACATGCCTGCAGTCCTAGCTACTTGGGAGCTTGAGATTGGAGGCTTGCTTGAGCCAGGAGTTGGAGGCTGCAGTGAGCCACTGTACTCCAGCCTGGGTGACAGAGAGGGATCTTGTCTCTAAGAATAAAACAAAAACAACAACAACAACAAAAGAGAAGTAAAAAATACAACAAAAAATCCCCAGGAATCACTTATATGTTATATGACTATTTCAATTGGCAACAGAGTAAGGTGGTTAAAAGCATGTATCTGGAAGAAGACTGACTGGGTTCAAATTTGGGCTATGATGCTTTGCAGCTGTGGAAACTCAGGTTACTTTCCATCTCTGTGCCTCAGTTTCCTCATATATAAAATAATGACAAGTATGAGAACTACCTCATAAAGTTATGAGACTTCAAATGAGTTAATATCTCCAAGGTTCTAAGATTTACTCGGATAAAATAAACACCATTAAGTGCTTGATAAACAAAAGTGCTAAAGGAGTCAATTCCCTATGTTGACTGTATTTTTCCTCAACATATTTTATTATTCTCAGTGAATATGGCTCATTAATTAATACCTTCTATTGTGATGAGAAAATATTTAAGGTTGCATGACTCCATAGATTGTGCCATTTATAGTAATGATGATAAAATTAATGATAATAAAAAGACTAAAACATTGGTATTTGAAGTTTGCCAATGGCCTGACCTCTACTTAAACAGACCATGTTTGTTTGCCTTAGATAAGTGAAATCTAACCTTATGGCTTTTCTTTGCTGATTTGGTGTCAATCTCAGAATTGCTGAGCAACGAATTTTCTGGAATCAAGAATTTATAGCGAAATACATGCTAACCTTTATGCTAATTTTTTCAACATTTCATGGGCTTTTGAATATTTTAAATATTTGTTATTTTGGTAACTATTTTTACTTGTTCACTTTTATGGTAGTAATGCTCCTGATTGCCTTTTATTTTACTGGTTGTTAGGTTTTATAAAGAACAGCCCATGCTATGAAAAGCTAAAATAATTAATAATAATGAATGAAAAAGTTCGTTGAAAGTTTATATTTATAGGATTATTTTGTGAATATCTGAGTGCTTAGAGAAATGGTAACTTTTTTCATTTTTCTAAATCACATCAAAACTTCTCTTAAAATAGCATTATGCTGAAAAGCACTTAAAATGTTCTTCAACTGCACAATGATGACTTCATTAAATTGTTGTACTAACAACATTTATCTGAGGTCTTGACCTGATTCATTTCTACATGAATTGTTCTGTGAAGTTTTTTTTTGTTTTGATAATCTTTGGAAATATCAATGTTTGTAACATCCACAAAATGACTTTTGGAGAATAGAAATGGCCTAAGAAAAAGCCTCTTAACTGAATTTGAATTAGGATAACAAAATATTATCATTGAGGGGCTTATGTATATGGACTGGTTAACACTTAGGTGATGGCTAAGAGGAAACAGTCACTGTCCCTTTGTTTGATGTCAACAAGGGAGGTGGTCATTTCCCCCCAGGTGCCTTAAGCTGTGGAAATCCTGGTTATAACAGTCCTGAATGTAGCTACTGATCAGGTTTTCTTCTCTTCTTGAATTTATGCTTATACATTCTTGGCAAACAGCATTTACAGATAATTTTCCTGACTGACTTGGTAAACTAATGCATTATGACAGTAAAAAGTGGCTTTTCTCTAATCCTGACACTAATATTAATAACAATTATTATATATTTTATATATTTATAATAATCACTATTGTTCTAGCTAATAATTATTGAACACATGATGTATGTGTTGACTTAGCACTGTTTTATATACTTTTCATCATAACTCACAACTTTTCTATGAAATGGTATTTCAGTTGCTATTTCTGTGTAATAAATTGCCCCAAAACTTAATGACTTAACAGAACTATTTTTTAACGCCCATGAATTCAGTGGGTCAGAAATTTGAACAGTGCACAGTGTGATGCTTAACTGTGTTTGGCTATAATTCCAAGTCTGTTACTCTACGGTGACTGGTGACTGAAATGCACTGCATAGAAATCTGAAACCTCATTGACTCAGATGTCAGACACGTGATTTGAGATGTTTAGAAGAATAAGACTGCCAACCAGAAAACATCCATGTGACCTACTCCCGTGATTTTGCTTCTTCACATCATGGCACTTTAGAGAAGTCAGGCTTCTAACATGGGACTCATTGTTCTAAATGTGAGTTTTACAGCAAACAAATCAGAAGTTGCAATGCGTTTTGATAACCTAGCCTCAGAAATCACCAGACGTCATTGAGGCAGTAGCCTATTGGTTAAAACAATTGCTCCCATAACTACCCAGATGCAAAGGGAGTGGATATAGATTCCACTTTTTGATGGAAGTTGGGTCAAATAATTTTAGGCCCTTGCTTTAAAATCACCATAGTTTGCCTTGTGGCCACAGTTATTTATATTTCTTCTTTTGTATTCTAGGGTACAAAATACTATTTTATCCTTCGCCAAGACCTCTAAAGTATCACCTCATTTTGTCATCAAACACAAGTCTAGGACCTTTATGTCTAAATTTTCCAGCTGCAGATAAGTTTTCTTGGGTACAGTTCTAGTATAATTGCTTTCAATCTGATGACCTCTAAAATAAAGAGACAAGTTATTTGTCCTCTACACACTTGCCCCGTTAGATGACCACCATAGCTTCTCCTGTTCAAAAAGAAGGAAAAATTAGAGACATACAGCAGTTACATGTCCATAGCAATTCTGAAATCCACCTGGGCACTTGTTGCTAGTTCTTCAACTAGGATCTACTTTTATTTCCCCCAAACAGTTTTCTGACATTCTTGGTTCCACTGTTTAATGTTTTATTTTTTTAAATAAGATATGGCTTGCATTTCAAATAAGATGCCCTCTTAATATTGCTTTGTGCTCAAACTGGTGGCAAGTCCAAAGGTGTCTTTCATTTTGTACTGACTCTATCCAATCCAAGTTGACCAATATTTTTAAACATTGTATGGGCTTCCTGTGTATCAACTTATAATCCAGTTTGTTAGAAAAAAGTAATACCCAAAGTCTCTTTGAGATAAACTCTTTTCTATTTTGGCCTCTTGTGAGGCTGCTGGACCTAAGGCCCTTATGATTCTCAGAATCCATATTGTTCAATAGAGGAGGCCAATCAGAGATGCTCTTAAGATCCTTACAAGGCTTTGTTTCTTTGAAAGGGTTTATAAGGCATCACTTCCAATCTTTCTAAGCTTTTACTGAAGGGCCATAAAGCCAATCCCTTGATTTCATCTTAATCCTGGGATGTTTACCTGAAAAGAACTGTGATTTAATATTTGACTTGCGGCATTTTTTCTAATTTGAGGTTATTCTGCTGGTAACAACTGAGGAAGGTAAACACTTCTACTTTTAAACCCAGCAAGTCCAGGCTGCCTTATAGTTTATCTAAATTTTGGTTGAAAACTGAAATTTTCTTTCAGTTTGTCTCTCCAGTTGTATCTTATATGCAGCCCAGAAATCCAATTAGCTATTTTGTCCATCACAAGTGAGAGTGTTCTAAACTTTCTCCTATTAACAATGCTCACTCTTTGTTAAGCCTTTGATAATAATTTCTTCTCAAAGTCTGCATTAGTCAGAGTTGTCAAGAAAAACAGAAACAATAGGAAGTGTGTGTGTGTGTGTGTGTGTGTGTGTGTGTGAGAGAGAGAGAGAGAGAGAGAGAGAGAGAGAGCTTTATTATGAGAAATTGGCTTATGTAATTATGGAGGCTGAGAAGTCCCAAGATTGGCAAGCTGGAGAACAAGGAAAGTTGATGGTATGAGTTCATTCCAAAAGCTGGCAAGACTGAGACTCAAGAAGAGCCAGTTTTCTAGTTTTAATCTAAAGGCATAAAAAATCCTATGTCCCAGATTAAGTAGTCAGGCAGGAGGAATTCTTGCTTAGCCTTTTATTTTTAAATTCAGGACTTCAATTAATTGGATGAGGGCCACTCATATTAGTGAAGTGAATTTGCTTTACTCAGTTTACCCATTTAATTGTTAATCTCATTTAGAAACTTCCTCACAGACACACCCAGAATAACTCTGGCCAAATGTCTGGGTACCCAGTGACTCAGTCAAATTGACACATAAACACCGTCACCAGGTCTTTCTGGCTTCCGACTGATACCTGCTCTCAAAGCCAGGGCAGATGTTTTGGGTTTTTATGATAGCACTTTTTCAGGTACCATATATCTATTATAATTTCTTTTACTATATAACAAATGACTTTAAAACTGAGTAGCTTAAAACAAATACTCCTATGCTTATGAATTCTGTGCATTAGAAATTCAAACAGGATATAGCAGGTATGGTTTTTCACTATTCCATGATTCCTGGGCTTCAGCTGGAAAGATTCAAAGGTTGGAGAGTAACTCAACAGTTGGAATCATCTGGTCTGTTCACCTGCATTTCTGGTATGTGGGTTACAAAGAGTCTAAGAGTAGGACTGCCAACTGAAACACCCACACATAGCTGTTTGTGTCATTGGCTTCCTTACAGCATGGTGATCTCAGAATAGTCCAATTTCTTAATGGAAGCTTAGCATTTCAAGAGTGAGTGCTTCACCAATCAAGGCTAACCTGTATCACCTTTTATGACCAAGTCTTGGAAGTCATGCAGTCTTATTTCCACCATCCTCTATTGATTGAAACAGTTACAAGCTCACCCTATTCAAAATTAGGGGTCACAGACCCTACCTTTTAAAGGGAGTGATGTCAAATGATTTGGGAGCCATGTCTAAAACAACCACACATAGGTACTCTCATTATCTTCATTTTACAACTCAGGAATTTAGGGCACAGAAAGTGTGGTGCTTTCTCCAACAACACACATTTAATAAGAAGCAAAGCCAGGATGTAAACTCAGGCAGTGTGATTCCAGAGGCCATATTCAAAAATTACTGTATTACCTTATTTTTTCCTACTGTGCTATACAGAGGTGTGTTTTAGCATCCTAGTCCTTGAAGAGGAAAATTCACTTCATTAAATTAGTTATTTAATCAACAAACATTTCTGCCAACCAGAGCCAAGCACTGGGCTGGCTACTCAGAATATGTTGGTGAACAAGAGGGACATGACTTTGTCTTTTTCTTAGTGCAGCATAAAATCTAGTTTATCATTACCTTTCTCAGAACTCTGGTGTCATTTCTTGCAATATTTCTTCCATTTTTTAGTATTAAGATTGACTTTTGCCTTGGATTTATTCTATGTGGCTATGGTGTGTTAATTACTGTAACAACCCGTATTTGTTTTCATCTCCCTGTATTGAAGTCCTTTGGTAGTGCCCTCCAACGCCGTTTCCGGGCATGGCTATGTGACTTGCTTTGGCCAATGGGAAGAGTTAAAAAATAATGCAAGCTGAGCCTTGAAAAATACTTGTGAATTAGCATTTGCCCTTTTGCTTTTCTTGAAAATTGGATAAAGCCAGAGTAGCTTTTGGATAATGAGGGACATGTAGCCCAACCATTTCTGTTGCTCCCAGCTAACAGCCAGTCACCAGACAGTTGAGCAAGGCTAAGAACAACCAGCTCCCAGCTGATGGCAGTTATATGAACAAGTCTAGCTGAGATTATTTGAGGCTGATGTAAATAACCCAAAAGTATCATGAGCTAAATAAAATGCAAGTTGTTGAAAGTTACTATGTTTGTTATACAGCAACAGAAATCTGTTACAGTGGTCTTTAAAATATATGCTCCTGTCCTCTGTTATAGAGTGTGACTTTATACTTGGTAAATTTGTACAGCTGGTTCTGATAGTCTTTGAAGAAGTTAAATTCAGATTTTATGCTTGCAACACTATGTTTTTTGAAAGGATGTGACAATCTATTTTAATACCACATTTACATATAGAAATCATCTTTGACATTGCTAGACTGATTAATTTCAGTGCTAAATTAACTTTACAACCATAACAATTACACTGTTAGTAACTAATTCTTATTCTTCTAAATTGAGCCCCTTAGATTTCTATAACTAATAGAGCTTTTAAACATATACATTAAGGCCGGGCGCGGTGGCTCACGCCTGTAATCCCAGCACTTTGGGAGGCCGAGGCAGGTGGATCACGAGGTCAGGAGATGGAGACTATCCTGGCTAACACAGTGAAAACCCGTCTCTACTAAAAATACAAAAAAAAAAAAAAAAATTAGCCGGCCATGGTGGCGGGCGCCTGTAGTCCAAGCTACTCAGGAGGCTGAGGCAGGAGAATGGCGTGAACCCAGGAGGTGGAGCTTGCAGTGAGCTGAGATCGCGCCACTGCACTCCAGCCTGGGCGGCTGAGCAAGACTCCATCTCAAAAAAACAACAAAACAAAACAAAAACATATACATTAAGACTTTTTATAACAAATATACCTTGCATATAAATAAATATAGTACTTAATAGTGCATTGTACTTGAACTTTTTAAACTTGAACAATTTCTAATACAAACTGTAAAATCCTTTTGGCAGCATTCTTTCCCTTGTCTAATTCATATTTCACTGTTTTGATCAATTTTTAAAAAAATTTTTTATTATACTTTAAGTTCTGGGATACATGTGCAGAACGTGCAGGTTTGTTACATAGGTATAAATGTTCCATGGTGGTTTGCTGCACCCATCAACCTGTCATCTACATGAGATATTTCTCCTAATACTATCCCTCCCCTAGCTCCCCACCCCCTGATAGGCTCCAGTATGTGATGTTCCCCTCCCTGTGTCCATGTGTTCTCATTGTTCGACTCCCATTTATGAGTGAGAACATGCAGCGCTTGGTTTTCTGTTCCTGTGTTAGTTTGCTGAGAATGATGGTTTCCAGCTTCATCCAAGTCCCTGCAAAGGACATGAACTCATCCTTTTTTATTGCTGCACAGTATTCTATGGTGTATATGTGCCATGTTTTCTTTATCCAGTCTATCATTGATGGACATTTGGGTTGGTTCCAAGTCTTTGCTATTGTGAATAGTGCCGCAGTAAACATACATGTGCATGTGGCTTCCATACTTCTTAAGTATGTAGCCTTGTATTTGGAAGGCTTAATAATTTTGGATGAGATCTTAAGAGACTGAGTCTTCTCATCTAACCCTGGGCCTTTAAACATTAGCAGCTCTCCAATATATCTTACCATGGAGACATATTTATTTAAAACACAGGAACAAAGGTTCTGTTTTATTGTATTTACTTGGTCCATTCCACCACTCCCTGGCTTTCTAATTGCATTTATTGAGTTTTAGTTTCTGTAACTCCACCCTGGTCCAGCCTCCATGTTTGACAAGCCATTTGGCCACATTTGCCTAGTGTGTCAGCCTCAAACACTTACTCCATTCCCACCTTAGTCTTTCCATTAACTTTGGTTTTTTAGAACCTTCACTAATAGAACTAACCTGACTAGCAAATCTAACATGACTTGAATTAGTCCACTCTAAAACACTACAGTTAAGTTATATGTAACACAACTGTTTCCTTAGTTTTCTATGGGCAATAACCATGGACTGTTCTTCAGTTTGGGGCAAGGTAAGCTAACTTCTGCCTCAGAGGTTGAAAATTACTGTTTTTATTTACCTATTAATACCTTTCTCCTGAGTCTTCGTGTGGATGGCTCTACCATTTGTCTGAATTTATCTGAAATAATACTGCAGCATCCTGCCTTACACTCTATCCCACTACTTGTTTTTATTTGCTTCATTAATATGGATCACTATCTGAAATTGCCTACTCTTGTTTACTCCTACTTGCAAATAATAGGGTACGAGAGAGAAGTGTTTTGTTTCTCTTCTTGGTTACAGCACAGTACTCAGAGCAGTGTTAGTACATTGCAGCCCTGCTGTAAATATTCATAGAATGAGGAAATCTTATTTCGAACTAGTGAAATTGAGAGTCTCACTGTAGTCTGTAATGTTCAGAAATTACCGGGGGTATTGTGCCTAGTTCCAATTGTTGCATTTTAAGAGCACTGTTGACAACTAAAGTTTTCTAAGAAATGGGCCACCAAGGTAGGTGAAGAGGCTTGAAATATTTATTTTCATAAAAATCTGTTTTTGGAGCATATATTGGTATGTCTTAGAGAATAAAGATTTTACATAAAATCAAAATTTGTTGAGATTATTGGAGAGTTGACCTGGGGAAATATTGAATGTTAAGAGTCTGATGATAGGTTAATAGTAATCAAGCTCCTCTTTTTCAGGTAAATAGAAATAAACTCCTGAATTTTATATACCAATATGACCCAAAATGTTACAGATCTTGATATGTAGAGGTAAAACTGAAATCTAGACATCTTTATTTCTAGTGCATTGTTCTTTACACTGTATTTGTCTTCCTTTCCACTTAACATTACTGTTTTCTCAAACACTTGAAAGGTTTGTTCATCCATCCATTCATCTATGTATCCATTCATCCACCCATCCGTCCATGTATCCGTTCTTCCATCAAACATTTATTGAGTACTTACTATCTGTATGCATGACTAATCTGTTTTGAAAGAGTTAATGGATGACTCGGTGTATTTCCCAGGTGGCCTGAGTGGCCCCAAGGCACTTTAGGACCCATGGGAGGACAGGATAATTGAAGATTCTTTACTCAGGTTGCTTGACTTGAAGCACTGCTGGGTCCCTGTTTTCAGTCAGATTGCAGTAAAAATAGAGGTTTACAATATATTACAACTTTTCAAACTAGTTGACTACCTCTAAATAAATATTTTTAAAACACCTACCATGTGCCTAACACTATAAAGAAATGTCATGAAGAGAACCTTGAAAGTTATCATGTGTGAGAGTAGTCTAAGTCACTGTGTCTTGTATTGGAGGTTGTATCTCTCTCGGGCCCTCTGAATATGTGAGATCTAATGGCTTTAGCTCTTGCTTTGCCCTAATTATCATCCTCCTGCCTTCCTTCTTGCCAAGTGTCATTTTGATGATTCCATGAGAAATATGTTTCTTTGAATAGAAATCCTGCTTATTTAAACAATGATTTTCTTCCACACTTTAGATCATTTTGAGACTGTGTTTGCTGCCATTCCCCTTACGTTTTCCCCCAAAACATGTGTTATGAAATAAATAATTTTACTACATTGAGTAGCATCATTTCTTATACCATTTCAAATTTCTACTGTAATGTACATTTTTTGAATGATAAACGCATTGATTAATAAGCTACATGACATCAAGTTTAAGAAAATTAGATCATAGAAGCATGTTGCGTGTAGCATATATTTCTGTTTCATGTCGTTTATTTTGATCTGTTGCCCATCCAGATGGACTACAACATATGCTACATTTATCACTGGAGGTAAATAATGGAAGGATGAACATACCGTCTGAGAAAAATCATTTTTACTTTTACATTAAATCTAATTTAGTTTTCTGTAAAAGCAGGAAACCATGTTAAAAAATATTCCTGTTGTTCTGTCATGTTCCAACTGTATTGGCAAGAATCAATATCTCCAAAAGAATGACATCTTCCCTGAAATATATCACCACACTGACAAGGATCTCTTTGAACACATTTTAAAGCATTCTCATTCCAGCAAAAATTTGCTTTAACTTGTAGAAAATGCCACAGGGAACATACAGAATTTCACGGTGCTGCTTTTACATTTTTCTTACTTGAAATGGTACTCTTAAATATTGAGCTTAGCACAAAATATGAAAATGCAAATAGAGTTTACCAGCTGTGCATATGAAGAGGGAAAATGTGATCTTCCTTTCTCTGGCAGTGTATGAGCTACATTTTGCTCATAGAAATGCCTTTCTGCCTCTTTTTTGTCAAGAGAAGCAGTTGGTCATTCTAGAGAGCTGCTGTCCAAACTCACCTTACTGTGTATCTGCTGAAAAAACTCCCAGCCACGTTCCTATGGCTAGCTGCAATGCTTAGCTTGGCTTCTTTATGAGCTCTGTAATCCAGGATATTTCTAGGACCTCTAAGTCCTGTTTTCCTCCCTGCTTTACATAAGCCTGGGGGAGCAATTAAGCTTAGCCCTCCTAATTAATGCACTTTGTCTAGACACAGTGATTTTGGATAAACAATTTCTGAGCCAGGAAGTCTACTCTTTATTTTGTTGCATTTTATTTTCCAGGGCGTATTGCACTTCAGAGCTGTTTGTTGGATGAGGGGCAGATGGAAGAGGAGTGAGGAAGGAAATGGTGGCCAAGTATTAGGATATGGGTGTCTGCATCTACAATCCTATGGTTCTCTTAAGTGCAATTAGTATGGTGTGCCCAACTGGGAAGAGGTCCCCAGAACCATAGGAAAGCAGAAAGTGTTTATAAAGTGCTCAGCATAGAGTAGGAGCTCAACAAACACTGGTGAGGTATAATGGTGTTTTTGATTAATGCTCTTTGTATGCATTAAAAGCTGTAAATATTATTTGAAGACAGTAAGATGTGCAAAATAAGTGAGATTTTTCTGAGTTTTCGAGAAAGACATGAGGTCTGTTATTATGTCTTTGCAACAAGTAGTGAAATGCATTTCCAAATGCCGATTTTAGAAATTGGCCACGTAGAAATCTCAGTCTAAATTTTCCTCTCACTTTATTTTATTTATGTATTTTGCCCTGCCTATGTAGCATGAGTGTCTTTAAGTGAGTTTTTAAAATGTCTTGCAAAAAACCAAGTCAAGAATTTCATTTTCTCCTGGGTACTTTAGTATAGCAAATAGGGTCCAATGAGCAAACAAGAGGCTATCTGCAAACCAAGGTTCTCACGGAGATGGATACAAAAATTCCTGACTTTGATCTTGTGTCTGAAAAATGCCTGCAGCAACTAAGAGGGTTTTTCTTGTTACTGGATAAAAGATTGCCAGCAATGCAGGGGAAATTTTTATGAATTCTTAATTAATATCTTATCAAGTTAAAGCTTTATCTAGGAATGACCACAGTAATGATTTTAGAAGATGGTTTTGGATGAGATTAACATTTAAATCAGTGAATTCTGAGTAAGCAGATTGCACTCATAATGTGGGTGGGTCTCA
The DNA here is from genome assembly GCF_000001405.40 of Homo sapiens. Taxonomy (NCBI): domain Eukaryota; kingdom Metazoa; phylum Chordata; class Mammalia; order Primates; family Hominidae; genus Homo; species Homo sapiens. The sequence goes on along the minus strand of NC_000004.12, from coordinate 163,967,914 downwards.
TCCAATCAGGTGAAGGTCTAAATACAGCAAAAAGACCAGCCTCCCCAGGCAAGAGTGGATTTGCCAGCAGACTGGGTTTGGAGTTTATCTACACCATCAGCTCTCCTGGGCCTCGAGCCTGCTAGTCCACACTGCATATTTTAGGCTTCTTAGCCTCCATAATCACATGAGCCAAACTTTTATAACAAATTCCCCCTCTCTTTATGTACATATCAATAGATATCGATATAGATAGATGGGTGAATAGGTAGATAGAGCTCCTCTTATTTCTGTTGCTCTGGAGAGCCCTGACTAAGACAGCCATCAACTGTCTACGAATGATCCTCCATGTTGTACTAATAGAAGTAAAGGGAACCCGAGAAACTGGCTGGATAATAAGAGAGAAAGTAAGAAAGCAGGAAAGGCATTGACAGCTGTGGATTTAAAAACTGCTCTTGTAATGTTTTGACTGGGCTAGTTATGCAAATTGCCAAAGTGATTTGCCTTTCTTAAAACATATCTTCAAAGTTAAAAATACATGGACCACGAGACGTGCAGCAGCACAGTGAGATCAAGTATCAGCCTCTGATCACTTATTTCCCCTTCCCTTCATTCCCACTGCTCACTGCTCCTGACTGATCTCTATCAAGAAGCGACCTTACCTCTGTCAACAAGTTAAATTAGTGAAAGATAATTTGACAATATCACTCCTCTGCTTAAGTGACTTTGATTACTTCCCACTGCCTTATTGGAAATTTAATTTCCTTATCGTGGTATACAAGGTCCCTTAATGATCTGATTCCAAAAGACATTTCTTCTTTCAAGTCTCTCTAGGGTCCTTGTATTCTCTGAGTGCAGTAGAAATTGATCTATTCATCACTGCCTGAATATACAACTATACTGGCATATTTTCCCTCCCCCGGAATGTGATTCTCCTGTTCTTTGGTGTTTGGTTTTTTAAAAGCCCAACTAAAAAGGGAACTCAGCTGTAAAATATTTTTCATCTTATAGAATCAGAATAATTCCCTCCTTTGTGCTGTCAGAAGACTTGTTTTACATGTCTGCAATCGTACAATCACGCTAGTTTTTGGTAGATTTGCAAGTGTGACTTTCCTGCTGGAGCTCTAAAGTAAACAAACCTGTGAATAGAAACTCAGCTGTGCTACCGGAGAGCTGTGTGGCACTGGACAAGTGATTCCCTCACTAAAGCCTCATTTCCTTATCTGTAAAATTGTGATGCTAATAAGAATATGAGGAAAATGGAATGCTTTAATACATAAAAGTGTTTAGGACAGTGCCTGACATATGGAAAAAGCCCTAATATATTAGCTTCAATTCAGTTATATATTGCCTCCTCAAGAAATATTTATTGACTGCCTGTTATGTGGGAAGCATTGTTTATTGTCATCACCCTTACTATTATTGTATTCTCATTCATTTTTTAATGCTGAGCATCTAGTTCAATAAATGTTACATAGATGTTCATTATATGTTTACTGATGTTAGAATTACTTTGGTCGTTAGGCTTAAACACTGTGAAATTGGATGCTCAGTTTTCATTCTATTAATTAGGTAAAAATTTACAGGCTATAGCTATGAAAAACATATTTAATACCCTAAAGCTGTTTTTTTTAATGGTGGGGAATTTAAATAACCTAATTACAATGAAATAACATCTCCCTTATATGCAAAATAACTATGTTTATAAAGACAACAGATTATTAAATTACATTGGAAGCATCAGTTTATAAATGGTAAGATTGCTTATTTTGGTATTAGTGTAATATAGCACATTTTAGTATAATTAGACCTAAATTGAAATATTAATAACCTCAGTTCTTTGAAACAAAATCAATATTTGTAAGAGTTCCATCTATAACAGTAGCTGTTTGTAATAAACCGTAGCATCAGATACCAAAAATACTTAAATTTTATAATGTTTATGTTATTGTATCTGTCATCTCTCAATCTCAGGGTATATCATAAATTTCACTAAAAATTGTGAGAGGCACAAATGAAAGTATGTCCTTTCCTTCATAGAGATAATGCACCTATTCTTAGGTATCAAGTATAGGACATACTGATTGAACCTATCACGATCTGTGTTACACATTCATGAGATTCAGTAGCAAAGCATGCACATTATGTGCTCCAGTTATGTAGTTTTTCAGTTGTAGGAATCTGTTCATTTGGGAATAATTGACATAGATCAACTTGGTTTAACTATACAGTGTTATAATCTTCTCAGACAGTGCAGATATAAATTCAGTGCCATTTGAGGAGTGAACATATAAACTATTTTGATTAAAATGTCATGTACAGTAGTACTAGAGACAAGACAGAGATAAGTCTGGGTCCTTGATGCTGCCTTTGGGAGCTCCTACCATCCCATTGTAAGAGAGAAATGAGAGAAATGCAGTTTAGTCCATAAGGAACCCAGACTCTGAACTGCCCAAGTTGAAATCCATTGGTACACTTATTCTCTGTCTTATATCCGTCATATATATTAGTTTCCTCATCTATAAAATGGGGATGCTGAAAATAATAGTCTTACTGTGTAGAGCGTGCATGAGGATTCAATGAATTGATTTACATAAAGTGCTCAGAGTAGTGGACGTCTGGCACAAGGCAAGCCTATGTCTTGATGTCTCAATCCCTAACAAGAGAGATCCTTCCCACGTTTGAATGGAGTCCTTAGAGTCTCCATATTTTGAAACTCTTTCCAATTGTCTTCCACCAGTTTGTGTGTACCTGGAGTGTTATAATTGTGCCCTATTTATCATTATTCCCAGTTCAAGTTAACATAGGTGCTTAATAAACATCTCCTAAGATCTGAGTTTTTTGAACCTCTTAAAAATATAACACTGGTGTTTCATTTGTTTTCAATTTACAGACATAATTCTGAAGCTTGTATAGAACCCTTGCCATGCAATGTCATAGCAAAACTATCAATAATATACACTTTCGATTGACTTTAATTTTACTTAAAAATTGTTAGATACCAACTATTTATTTCAGTCACGGTGTCGGGCACTGCTGATGCAAGAATAATATCAAGCACAATCTCAATCCAGGACAAGCTCAAAGATGATCATTTAATGCAATATTTCTGAATCTGAATTGAGGCAGTGGAAAATTTTAGCATGTTCTGTGTGCTTGGAGGACATCCTAGTAGATGGAGTGGCTCTGGGAAGGCAGAAATGGCTGTGAAGACTACCATGGAAAAAGGGTTATAGAAACAAGGAATCAAAAGAGAGAGAAGCAGAGGATAAGAAAGTGAAGAGCAGAGGAGACAAATTTATTTGACCTGATTTACAAGATTTTTGACCAACAGTCCTAGAAAAAAGAGTTTTGGCATTATCTTAAGCCAGGGTTCCCAAAGTGTGATCCTTGACCTACAGTGCCAGCATCACTTGGGAAGTTGTTAGAAATGTAAATTCTTGGGCCTTATTTTAGGCCTTCTGAATCAGAAACTCTGGAAGATGAAGCCCAGCAGTGTAGCTCTCCAGGTGGAAAAAAACTGTCATAACGTAACTCACACTGTTTGTAGTAATTACTCACATTGAGTTTATTAAGTAAATAGTAATGAATCTTAGTTTTCAAAACATCATCATTGTTATCACTAAATAACTACTAAGTTATGAGTTTCTACTCATAGTGAAGTTTTTAAAAAAAGTTATTTTCTGTTCTCTCATTAGTGACAAAGAAGACATAAATTAACAGCTAACAATACACCAGTAAAATTTGCTAAATATCAAATTATTATTTGTATAATAAATGTTATAGATATTTAGAGGAAGTGATGGTAAGCACCGGTGCAGGTGATTGTGAAAATGATTAGGAAATAGGTTATTACCCTGTTCGAGCTCTGGGGTCCCAGAAAACCCTTTGGCTTATTGATTGCCAAGTAACAAATTACCCCAAAGTAAAACAACCAACAATTTATTAGTATTCCTCATGGTTCTGGGGGTTTACTGGGCTCAGCTGAGAAGTTCTTGCATAAGGTCTCTTACTGTTGCAGTGGGATTGTAGCTGGAGCTAGAGAACTCCAAAAGTTGGACTAGGCTGGATGTCCATGACTGTTTCTTCACTCACTTTCTTTCTGTGCTCAGTATTTCATCCTTCAGGGCCTCTCTATATGACTTGAGTTTTTCACAGGATAATAGTCTTAGGGTAGGTGCTTCATTGCATGATAGAGGTTGCTTCAGAGAGAGAAAAAGAATTCTGAAAGACCTGGAATTAGCATAGCATCAATTCTACCATATTTTATTTGTCAAATTAATCACAAATCAAGTCCTGATTTAAGGGAAGGGAATTGTGGGTGTGACTACTTGGAAGCATGGTTTATCATAGGACCATCTTTGACGACTAGCTATTACACATCAGTGACAATCTCTTGAAAATGTTATATTTGGCCTTAATGATCTCTGCAGTAATCTTACATTAGCTTCACCTTTCAATGATCCATAAAACTTCCCTTTATAAACTGTAATTCACTAAGGAGAATAGTAAAATGTATCTTAACTCGGTATCATCGGTTTTCAATTCCTATGTCATTTTGTTATCAACTGGTTACCAATATGGTCTGCCGAGAAAGAAAAACCAACAAGAATTTTTTGGAGGTTATAAAGTCACTAGAAACCTCTGAGAAAAATATAGACCTTATATTGATGAAGCATTTTTGTGTTAATTTGATCTCTACAGTCAAAGTACACTAATGCCTTAGGCTGTGTCACAGTGTTAAAGGGCTGATGTATAATCAGTGCATTTGTGTATGTAAGTTTTTAAAAATCAGTTGTATCTTGTAAATTTATTTTAGTGGATTTTTGGAAGGTTGATTGTATTAAAACCATTATTCCTTAAGAGCATATGATTTTATTCTGACCCAGATGTTTTGCAATACAAGGTTCTGTAGAGAAATGTAGTGCCCTCTAGAAAAACCTGTTGAGTGGAAATAAATGTGGATATTTTTTAGAATGTATTGAATATACAGGCTCTGTTGTTCAGAGTACTTACGTTATGGGATCAAGCCAGATGTCATGTCCTTATATAAAAGTCATTGAAGTTTTACCAAAGAAGCAAAATAAAACTCTATGCTCTAAATCATTTTTAAAAATCGCTTTAAAAAGCTTATTTTAAAAAAAAGTGGTATAGGATTTTAAGAAGATTTGAATTTATACTAAATTCATTATAAAATTATTTTTTACTAGAATGCTGAAAACATTTTTGTAAATATATTACTACGGTATCTAAAGTTTTAAAATTAAGGAGAATAGAAAAGCTTCCATTTTATGCCTTAAACAATTTCTAACTTTATTATTCAGATTTGAATGCCTAAGCAGAATGTACATTTCCTTCACAGTTGTAGTACACAATACGGATACAATAAAGACCTGCTTTTCAAATTTAGGTCATAATCATAGCATATTTTTAAATCATTCCTTACACCATTTAAATAAGAAAAATAAGAACTATGGACCTGTAAATTTTGTGATTTTACTTCATTTTTCTTATCTAGCTACCTCCACCTTAAAACCTCCTTTGGCCCCAACCCCCAATTCCACACCTCCGCCCCTCTCCTGAGTTATCTTATTGTTTACTAGAACCTAGCACAAGGTCTAGGGTAATGAAGATGTCCAATAAATATTTGTTTCTGGTCCCAAATGATGTCAGCTTGCACTTTTAGTGTCTAAGACCACCTGGATTATGAATAAGTCTATTAGTTTGTTAATTGCAGTTGCTTCCAATGGAAAATCTCCCAAGATTTAGGCTATTGGCTTTAGGGTTGGTGGGAAATATTAGAAAACATTTTTAGACACAAAACTTAACAGAAATAACAGCAATTTTCATTTAGTGTTAACTGTTAAAATGTTCTATTTTTGCAAGTTAGAGTAAGTCCTATTTTAAACATTTTAACAGACAACTGTTTCTTAATTTTAAAGTAAAAACAAATGTTAAAATTGTCCACTTTGTCCCCAGAAAACTGAGCCATATCCAGTAAATTAAACAAATGAAAAACGTTACAGCACAGTGAAACTCTTCTACAAAATAATAATATGCTCTTCTACTTAAAACCTTTCTTCCTGGAATTCCAAGCATAATCATGAAAATTAGTGCAGTTATCCTCAGAGCATCAGTGCCTTTAGTCCCACTGTGTTTCAGAGGAAAGTATGTTTAATCTTATTTTTAACTTTGGGAAAAAGGCGTCAAAGAGAAGTTACATAAAATTTTAGATCAGAGAATATCAAAGGCATTTACTAAGAAAGAATAATAAGCAAGCCTGTCAACCATGACAGTTGAGTGTCCCTTTGATCATATAATGCTGCTTCAGCTCATGGTAAACCGAGATAGGACAAGAGACTCGTGGAGAAGGGTAGCACGTGAAAAGGTTTAAATGAATGGCATAGTGACACCATCTCATATGACTCTTCTTTATTATTTTTTGCTTCCACTTAAGTCAATTAATTCTTTTTAAAATTCAACAGGATTCAGCCACTTCCACAGATTAATAGTAAAGGAAGTATATTTGACTTTTATTATTTTCAATGACAGCATTAGAACTCATTTTAAATATAAGAAAGAGCAATGTCATATGTGTTAATTTTCTCTAGGACTATTAATGCTCAGTAAGATCACAAACACCTTTATTACATGGAAGGTCAATATGGAATTGAGTAATGGTTATTGACAGCTATTCTATAGATGAGTGTTTAAGTTATTGCTGCTGTTAAGGACTGAAATGTATCCCTCCCAAAAATTCACAGGCTGAGGCCTATGAATAGAAACATTTGGTTCCATAACCCCCTAATGTGACTATCTTTGGAGAGAGGTTCTTTAGGGAGAAAATTAAGGTTATATGAGGATGGGACCCTAATCCAACAGGGTTGGGTCCTCATATTGAAAAAGAGAGACAGAGAGACAGACATCAGGGAACTCTCCACATGCACACAGAGGAAAACTCATGTGAGGTCACAGTGACAGGGTGGCTGTCTATAAGCTAGAAAATGAGGCCTCACCAGAAACCAGCCCTGACAGCACCTTGATTTTGGACGTCTAGTCCCTAGAATTGTGAGAAATAAATTTGTGTTATTTAAGATACCCAGTCTGTTTTTTTTTTTTTTATCTTTTATTTTAGTTTCAAGGGTACATGCGAAGGTTTGTTATATAGGTAAACACATGTAACAGAGGTTTATTGTGCAGATTATTTCATCGCCCAGGTATTAAGCCTGGTACTCAATAGCTATTTTTCCCACTCCTCTCCCTCCTCCCACCCTCCACACTCAAGTAGACACCAGTGTCTGTTGTTCCCTTCTTTGTGTTCATGAGTTCCATCATTTAGCTCCCACTTACAAGTGAAGATATGCAGTATTTTGTTTTCTATTCCTGCGTTAGTTTGCTAAGGATAATAGCCTCCAGTTCTACCCATGTTCCCTCAAAAGGCACAAGCTCATTCTTTTTTATGGTTGCATAGTATTCCGTAATGTAAATGTACCAAGTTTTCTTTATCTAATCTGTCATTGATGGACATTTAGGTTGATTCCATGTCTTTGCTATTGTGTATATTGCTGCAATGAACATTTGTCTTCATGTGTCTTTATGATAGAATGATTTATATTCCTCTGGTTATATACCCAGTAACAGGATTGCTGGGTCTAATGGTAGTTCTGCTTTTAGCTCTTTGAGGAATCTCTATACTGCTTTCCACAACGGTTGAAATAATTTACATTCCCACCAACAGTGTATGAGTGTTCCCTTTCTTCTACAATCTCACCAGCATCTGTCGTTTTTGACTTTTTCATAATAGACATTCTGACTGGTGTGAGATGGTATCTCACTGTGGTTTTGACGTGCATTTCTCTAACGATCAGTGATATTGAGCTTTTTTCCATATGCTTGTTGGCCGCATGTATATTATCTTTTGAAAAGCATCTGTTCATGTCCTTTGCTCGCTTTTTAATGGGGTTTTTTTCCTCTTATAAATTTGTTCCTTATACATGTTGGATTTTAGACCTTTGTCAGGTGCATAGTTACAAATATTTTCTCCCATTGTGTAGCTTGTCTGTTTACTCTGTTAATAGTTTCTTTTGCTGTGCAGAAACTCTCAGTTTAATTAGATCCCATTAGTCAATTTTATTGCATTTGTTGCAATTATTTTTGGTGTTTTCATTATGAAATATTTTCCCATTCCTATGTCCAGGATGGTATTGACTAGGTTGTCTTTCAAGGTTTTTATATTTTTAGATTTTACATTTAAGTCCATAATCTCTCTTAAGTTGATTTTTTTATATAGCGTAAGGAAGGGGTCCAGTTTCAATCTTCTGTGCATGGCTACTCAGTTATCCTAACACCATTTATTGACTAGGGAGTCTTTTCTCCATTGCTTGTTTTTGTCAGCTTTGTCAAAGATCAGATGGTCATAAACGTGTGGTTTTATTCCTGGGCTCTCTATTGTGTTCCATTGGTCTATGTGCTTGTTTTTGTACCAATACCATGCTGTCTTGGTTACTGTAGCCCTGTAGTATAGTTTGAAGATGGGTATCACTATGCCTCCAGCTTTTTTTTTGTTTGTTTTGTGTTTTTTGTTTTTTTGTTGTTTTTTTTTTTTGTTGTTGTTGTTGTTTTGCTTAGGATTGCTTTGGCTATTTGGGCTCTTTTTTGGTTCCATATGAATTTTAAAATTGCAACCTGAGCAGACTAGCACAGCTGCTTAATGAACTACTCTGAATTTTAGTCGCTTAAAACACCCATAATTGTATTTGCTCACAATTCTGAGTCAGGTATTTGTGTACAGTTCAGCAGAAACAGCTCTTCTCTGCTCCATGTGGTACTGTGTATGGTAGATCAACCTGGGGAACAGATTCTCAGATAACCTCACCTACATTTCTGGGGTCTCTAGCTGGCATTTGGCTGGGGAGCCTCAGTTTTTCTTCAAATTGCCTTCATTTTTCTAAATGTCTCTAATTCCTCAGTGAGAACAGATGGTCTAGACAGCTTTCCGTGGTAGATGAGTTCCCTCTTTGTGAAAGTGGAGGCTATAAATCCTTTTAAAGCCTGGATTCGGAAGCCCCAGAATGTCATTTTTGTTATTTTCTATTGGTCAAAATAAATTCTTCCTGAATTCATCCCAAATGTGAGATTTTGTGCATCATACAATGAAAAAATTTTCAAGAATGATCTCTCTTCTTTTACAATAATTTTACCTGTAATTTTAGATTACAGTAGATCTTAAAAGACCAGCCAACTAAGCAATATAAAAAAAAATCAAGTAAGAAAATAGAATGAATACAATATTCTTCAAATTGTTCAAATTCACTAAATCTTACTCTTAACAAAGGCTAAATTTTAAATGTTATATGTTGTGTAACCCCAGGTTTTTCCTCAATATGTAAAATAGTCAACATCTTACATTTTTAAGGAAACAATGTATGACAATATTCTTTGTCAAAAGTAACAAAAAAAGTATTCATTTATTCATTTACAAAACTAATCATTATTAAATGCCTGCTACATTGTATGTTTTAAGCTTCTGGACACTGAATATCCATTGGGAAATGAATAAAGTCCATAACTTTGTAACAACAGTCATCATATCTAATTTTCTAGTGTAAAGAGATGGATAATAAATATTTATGTATTAAGTCAGATGATAAATGCAATGACCAAACACACACACACACACACACACACACACTCACTTGATTGAAAGTCATTTGGGAAAGCAAAAGTTTGCTGTTTTAAAGAGGTCAAATTATAGCTGTCAGAGAAGGTAAAATTTGAACATCTGAAGGCAAAGATGTTCCTGTGCAAAGGCCATCAGACAGGAATGTTATAAATGTTCTAGCAAGAATGGCTGAAGCAGAAGTGAGGGATAAAAGGGAGTTGAGAAGTGTCCAGGGAACAGATATGAAGAGTCTTTCGGGCTCTTATTGTAAGGCTCTGTTTTTTATTCTAAATGTGAATAAAATATGATTGGAAATATTCATTTTTTAAAAGACTTTCTGAATGCAGCATGGCAAATAAACTTTAGAGAAACATGAATTGAGCAGGGAGTTCATTAGGAGGCTATTGCAGGAGCCTGTGAAGAGACAAGTGCAGATCATATCTGGATGGTAATTGTGGATGTACAGAGAGCTGGTTAGATTCATGATATACAATGTAAGTAGAGTGGGTCCACTTACAGGGTGAAAGTTGGGTGTAAAGGTTATAAATTGTCAACAATGACTTAAATTTTTTTGGCGTGAGAAATTCCATGACTGACAAATAGAGCTATTTCCTTATCAGGAAACAATAGAAAAGAGTTAAGTTTCAGAATAAAGGAAACCAAGAGTTCAGTTTACATGTATATATCTGCCACCTATTAAAGTAGCTGCTCACTCAATTTGATATCTCACTTCCCTTCTTCATTACTTTTTTGGGGACTAAAACACATTTTTAAAAAACTTTTTAAAAAAAGCTAAGCTTTTGACAGCAAAACAAAGCATTCTTGATAAGAACTTTTGTATATTCAAAGCAAATTTCAAATCAGTGGATGATATAGTTTCCTGAGCAACACAAGGCCATTTACTATGTTTTATACTAGTTTGTTCTGCTGCATGGACTTAACCATAAGAAACTTTAGAACTACTGTTAAGGTTAATTTTTCATTATAGTTACTACACACATACACAGAATTTTGAAAATACATTTGTCACATTATATTAATGATGGTAAAATTTAATGCATGATTTAGAATGTAGTATCACAGTTTAATTGAGTAGCTATAATATTTTCAAAGAAAAAATTATTGTCAGCTGTAACTAGAAAATTTCTGTTAGTAAATTCAAATAAAATGTATTAAAACATTCAGATTCTATTGTTTACCTTTATATAATTATTTAGCATTTAAAAATAGTAATTAATTTAATAAAAGTCACATAGAGTCTCTACATTTGGAAGAAAAATAAAAATCATTTTCTGAAGATTCTAATAATATAGCTATAAAGTGAATAAATCTTCTGAGTTAAGTGAGGATGGGTTAGCCATAGGGACTCTTGCTGGTTGAACACTTAGCTTCTTTTGACTAAATGTATAACTATCACAGTAAGTTTCGCTTTGTAGTCTTTTGATGAAAACACAAATTTATAGGTGTTTTTATTTGAAATTGATAAATATACTATCTAAATGCTAATGCAGATATTTAATATTGAAAGCCATGTTACCACTCCGGATTTGTTATTTGTTCATTGTCCCCCAAACCACTTATTTGTTATCTCAACACATAAACTGTGTTGTTTACTTAAAATAATTTTGCACTTCATATTACAATTTTGCATATAATATTGTCTATTTCACTGATATCTTTCCTATTTTGTTGCCTTTAAAGAAAAATGTTCCACCTGGTATCATCTTTATTTGTTGCTTAAAGAAACAGTTAAGTGGCATGAAAATCTTAGTACTAATTAACTAGTGGGCTAAAGAATACTATCGAGTCCCCTCACTGAAATTGTGATATTCGGACAACAGTACTGGCTTCCTTTGTTAGCTAATTTACCAGTGACTTTAACAATGGCATGTCCAAGAAAGAAAGTCATCATATGTCCTATTATTCATGTAGCAGTCGTTCATTCAAGAAGTATTTTTGAACACTTACTATATGTTAGACATTTTCAGTAAATATTTATTGAATGACTAAATGACTTAGGAAATCTAGCTTGAGACTATGATTTGAGCAGACTTTCTTTTAACTTTCTATTATGGAACAATTTTAGATTTACATAAATATTATGAGGCTACTACAGAGTGTTCTGATACACTCATTACCCAGCTTCTCCTGATGTTAACATCTTACATAATTGTAATTTTTCATATTACTTTTGTCAAAACTAAGAAATTAACATTGGTACAATGCTATTAACAACATACCTTTTTTTCTTGGATTCCACCAATTTTTAACTCACCTCTATTTTCTATTCCAGGATCCAATTCAGGATCCATATTGCATTTACTTGTCATATCTCCCATCCCTTTCTATTTGCGACAATTTTTGAGCAGCTTTTTAGCATCTGTGTTCAAAATACATGTTTATAGTTTCTAATATATATTATTGGAAATAAAACTCATTTAGTTGTCAATTCACTGGACATTCATCAAGAATCTGTCACAATACACTGCACTTGGCACCGGAATATGGACATGACTGGAATATGCTTATCCTAGAGAGGGTCACAATCTATTGCAAGCGAAGAATTTCAGCCATGACATAAGTGCTGTAACAGGATTGGGAAGATATAAAGGAAAGCCCCAGATTCTGACTGGAAACGTTAGATGCGATCTTCAAGAAGAGTGAATGAGTGAGACAGGCAAATCAGAGTGCTTCAGATCAAGGAAAAACACACGCAGGGGCACAGACATGAGAAGCACAGCACAGTCACAGACAGGACGGGCCTGTGGAGTGAGTGTATGAGTTGTGAGAGAATACAATGGCCAGGGAGTGTCAGATTCTGAAAGCCTGTGTGTTCTGCTGAAAAGTGAAGTGTGGACTTCATGTTACAGGCAGTGAGAGTCATTAAAGTTTTTTTTTTTTTTTTGCTTTGTTTTTGTTTTTTTTTTCCCTCAAAGCAGATCCTATCCTCTATTATGTGAGAGAGCTTGCTGTAAGATCATTAAATCATTCTGGAGAGTTACTCCGGACTGTTAGACTTTTATCCAGAACACTGTGTTTCTTTTCTTTTTTTTTTTTTTTTTAATGTTCAGTAAGGATTAGGAAAGCCATTAGAACTAAAGGTGTCTTTCATAAACATTTTCAGAAGTTATCCCTCCCCAAAAGTAAATTTTAGTATAAAGCATGGAAACATACATTCCACCTCCATTGTCCAAATTCCCATATTTCTTAAAAATAAGAAATATGGGCATGGATGGAATCACAGACTGTAGAGGAACACAAAGAATGTTGCTAAAATCTGGAATTGGTTTCCCGGAGGCAGACAAATGTGTTACTTTTGTAAAAAGATTAACATTTAAAAATTTCAAACAGTCTATAGTTTGTTGAAATCTCCAAGCAAATATCAAATGAAGCAATTTTATTCTGAATTTATACAAGGTGCAAGGGGCAAAATTATAGCTCTTAAAGCATGGCTACTTGGTTTTGTGCCTCTGAGTGTGAGAAGCCAGTTTTATTTAGACATTGCCACTGAATGTGATGTCAGCATCACCAGGGAGCAATTTGAATTTGTAACAAGATCCCCAGGTGATTTATAAACACATTCAAATTTTAGAAGCACTAATTTAAACTTTGTCTATTAGATTTTTAAAATTTTATGAAGAAGTATGAGATAGCCATAAATAAAATCATGGCTATAATTTGTTTTTAAATGAAGAAATCATGTCAAGACAACATGAACATGTGAAAATTCTATAAAGGAAAGAACATTGCATACAATTATGCATCTTTTAAAATATGCATTTTATTTTTACCTAACAGTATCCAAGGGACAAATGAGAAAATTGTTTTTACGCATCTCTAAATGTCACCTCATTATATTTCACTTCTACTGATTATGTATTTTTAATGAGTAAATGAAATTTGCTATATTAATCATCCAAGAAAGTTTTAGACATGGAGTTTAAATGCCAAGTATTTTACATAACATATAAATATTTGGATTTATGCTAAACAAAAACATGACTTTTTCAAACTCTGAATTTCTTGGGAATTAGTCATGCTCTCTTAATATTCCATGTGATTTTTATGAGAACTATAATTTCCTACCTTATTTTAAGGGAAATTTTAATAAGTGAAAGAATCATTTTACCTTTCACAGGACCTATGTCTTTTACCTAGTTATTTCTTTATGTATTAAAAAATGTCTATTCTGAGCTTACTGTACACAACCTATTGTTAAGTTGCAGCCATTTTTGTTATCAGGAAATTAGAACCAAAGTCTGGAACAGTAGCCTGCTCATGAATAATTCTGCTGTAGTTTTTTATTGGTATTAATGGAAGACAAGCGTTAGTGGACTTTTTCTGTAAAAGGCCAGATAATAAATATTTTAGGTTCTGTGTCTCATTCACCCTTATCCACTCAACTCTGCCATTGTAAGAAAAATGCAGCCAAAGCCAATACATAAAGAAATGAGCATATATGTATTCCAATAAAACTACATGAGCACTGAAATTTCAATTTGACATGATTTTATTATTCTTTTGATTTTTTTAACCCCTTAAAAGTGTAAAAACCATTCTTAACTCATAGGCTATGCAAAATATGTAGGATGGATTTGGACTCCAGGCTATAGTTTGCTGATATCTACTGTAAGACATTGAGTATATGAATGTATGTTAACAGTGGATTACTATTGACTATGGGTTTATTAGAAACTTGATTAATTTCTTGTATCTATAATATTGGCACTATATACGTAGATCTGAGAAGAAAAACAGAGGCCAAAAGAGAAAGAAGCAAAGAGAACTAAAAGTCATTGTGAATCTACCATGTATTAAACTACTATGTGTTCAGCATTTTATATATTTCATCTTGTTTAAACTTCATGACAGCCCCATGAATGGCTTGATGACAACCATTTTACACATGAGAAAAAATCAAGCCTTAAATGACTTTTCAAAGTCATACAGCAAGAAAGTGGGTAGAAATAATCCAAGTCTGACGCCAAATCCTGAAATATTTTACATTGTATCACAGTAGCCACGATGCCTCACCCAATAGGATGCATGCTATGTACTAAAAATATTTATTTTTATAGGAAGGTGAGGGAGACCGTCACAAATAATGCAATATTTGTTTGGAACTTTGAGATGGAATTCTGACAGGTAGCTGGAGGTTGGAGGAAGGCATCCACATATAGGGGTGTAAAGCTAAAGAGAACATGGAGGTCAAAAAATGGCAGGTGAATGACCACTTCTGAATTTCCAATGGACATGACATTGTCTTTCATTTCATTCCTCTTGACTTTATCTTTCTTTGCTTCTGCAACTTTTAGCCTTTCTAGCCTGATGAAAATGGATTGGCTCACATTCTTCTTTTTACTTATCTGTTTTTGTTCTTGGCCCAGATTTTCAAAAGATAACCTCAGAGCTTCTCACCTGCCATTTCTGAGTCCCTAGGAAAAATTTCAGAAGAAGCCTCTTTTTCTTTGTTGATTGTCATGTAAGCCTTTTGACTAATTGTGCTTGGTGGTGTGCAGTGATAAAAGACAAGGGAGATAGCTGGCAGGCATTGTGTCTTTCATATACCATTGACTTTTGTACTTTCTCAAAGCAGATTACAGCCACATAGCTATTTAGATGATATGCAAATTATATGTGGTCACAGTATTTGGGCTGGATCGTAATTACTACATAGATGGAGTGGTGAATGTCTCATTAATACAGATAAGCACCTCATGCAGACCCTCTTTTTGTTGTATGGTATGCATGCTGAGAAACGCAATCCACAATTTTCTCTTAATGACCCAGTCTCATATTTTATAACATGCTTAACATTTAAGCACTTTAATTATTTTCTTTTTAGGAATCCCTTATAGCCCAGAGAGATGGAGTAGGACATTGAAAATATTAGTATAGAAGCTTTGCACTAGCGTGTAGAGTAAATTTTATAAAAATATGAGAGAAGTCTACCCAACAGAGATTTCACATGTCTTTGGTTTAGCATTTTCTACAGTGTGTATCGTTATATAGGCTAAAGAAAGAATAAAAGAATGTGTGAAATAATCTCTCATAGATGACATCTACTATACTCAACAGTGTTCGACTTTGATTTAGGAAATGGAAAATATGTCTGTATATTTGCAAGATCAAACTCAAATATATGTTTCTCATGGCCTGATGCTTACTTGGGGAAAAACAAGCGATTTTCATGGAGTCTTAAGGGGGTAGGAGATCAATAGAATCTTTGTTGCTACTAATAACTACTTCTCAACATTTAAGAAATGTTCTCTTCTTTATAATGCTAAGTTATATCACAAAATGAAAAACAAGGAAACACGGGTGCTTTTATAATTTTATAAAAATGTTGACCTCTATAATTCACAGTGTGTAGCATATTTGAAATGGTAATCTGGGGACTGTCTGCTTCTGATAATATCATTCTAAGGTACCTTCATATATAGCTTATTGAGATAACAAATATTTGAGAAGCTATAACCAGGAGCGTAACTCTTACTTTCTAAAGTATACTTTCAGCTGATCTAAGCTATCCCTAGATCTTTAAAGTCAACTGACTTATCCACAAGACCTTTCTAGGAAGGCCTCTGAAAACCAGCTGTGAACTGCAGTACATACAGCACTTACCTTTGACAATTACTCTGGTCCCGTCTGCTTTACCTTTCTGATATTTCTCCTTCTCTTCCTTGTTTCCCAGATTGTAGTCCTTGCTCCCTTGGAGGCTTCGTTTTAGGGATAGCTTCAGTCAATCATTCAGACCTTTTCTCTCATTCCCTCTTAATTGCCCAGACTTCATTTTTCTTTTGGTTTTAGCTTTGGTTTTGGTTTTGCCTGTGTATCCTCTACCAGGAAGTAATCCTCCTGCTCACTTAAATTGGCATATTTTCTTCAAACTCTACTATCCCTAACTTTACTGAAGGCTTACACCTGTGTTCGTAGTTACATGCATCTAGATAGCAAATCTACTTCATAGATGAGAGTTAAGGACAAGGGTTAACGGTGAAAAAAAGAGCCAGGAATTTTGATCAATAGACCTAAAGATAAAGTTACAGATATGTTCATGGATAAGTGCAAATATATCTGGCTATTTCCAGATGTAGTAAATCTTTTTCCCTCCAATTTCCTTTGCTTCTGTTAATATCAGTTTTTCTCATTTCATCTAAATGTTGTTTTTGTTGAAGTTTATTTTTCAGTCTAAAATCAAAATAAGTGAAGTGATATTTTTGTGTGCTCTCATTTTTTGGTAGATACTCTGTTCAGTTTACATGACTTGACTCTCTCTGATACTATGACATTTCATGCTTTTGCAATAACTGTAGTGGTCTCTAAATTATTAAGTTGCTTTGCTCATTATGGCCCTGAACAATGTTCTTTGGAGCTCATGTCAAGATGAGAGTTCTTCTAACGTCAAGGAAGAATGGATTTCTTTAGATCAATTTCTTGAATATGTACTTTTCATAAATTTACGTACTCAATACAAATAATCTTATAAATTAGTATGTTTGATCTCCCTAAGTTAACATTTATACTATTTAAGCATCACAGTGTGGACTCAGAACTTTATAGTATCACAGGTAGTAGCCTATCTGGAGCAGCCGCTGCCATGACGCTGGCTGCAGTCGCGGAGGTGTGGATGGGGCTGTATGCCCCACGGAGCCAGCGGGAGCTGGGAACAGGAAGAAGCCATGCCCCCTTCCAAGTGGGAGGGGCAGGAGCCCCACCCTCCTGAGCACCGCTGTCTAGCCAGGGCTGCAGACCCAGACATCTCTACACTCTCTGGGACCGGGAAGCAACCGCCGCCCCCTGCTGCAGGCTCAGAAGTGCCTGCTCCTGATGCCTGGCCTCTCCCCATTCTGGGTGCCCACTTCAATTTCAGAACAAATTTGTGGCACAGTCCGGATGCTGTCATGACCTGGCTGGGTGTGCACACACTCGAGGCAGCACTGACACGCCAGTCCCCTGCCACCTTGGCCCCCTCTGGACTTTGGGCACTGATAAGCACAAGAGGGAGTCCAAGGGCGGGGCTAAGGGTGGCTCAAAGCAAGCCTGCAGGCACCCCTCAGCACAGCTTGGGTGCTGTGGGCACTGTGATGACAAGTTAATGGCGGCAGGAGGCAGACAGGCTCCCAGGCAGAAAGGGGTGGGTCGCCAGTGAAACCCCACCTTCAGGCTGGGCCTGGCCTGTGCCCTGAGGGCCAGGCTGCCAGAGTGAGAACTTATGGTGCTTTTCCTGGGCCCGCCCATGACCACCCATGGACCAATCAGCACACACTTCCTCTCCTAAAGTTCATAAAACCCTGGACTCAGCCAGACTCCAGCAGTGGACGACCTGCCTATGGAGAGGGGGTACCCACGTTGGGTCTCCTCTCTGCTGAGAGCTGAGCAGAGGACAGGACAACCTGCCTGCCTAGAGGAGCTACCCAATATGGGTCTCCTCTCTGCTGAGAGCTGAGCAGAGGACAGGACAACCTGCCTGCAAAGAGGAGCAACTCACTGTGGGTTTCCTCTCTGCTGAGTTCTAAACACTCCAGACACTGCCTGCAGAGAGGAGCTACCCACTGTGGGTCTCCTCTCTGATGAGAGCTGAGCACTCATCAGGACAACCAGCCTGGAGAGAGAAGCTACCCACTGTGGGTCTCCTCTGAGCTATTCTGTTGCTCAGTAAAGCCCCGCTTCATCTTGCTTACCCTCCACTTGTCTGTGTAACTCATTCTTTCTGGACACAAGACAAGAACTTGCGACCCGCTGAATGGCAGGGCTGAAAGTGCTGTAACACAAACGAGCTGACACAGGCCCCTTTCTCACCACATTGTGGATGACGAGAAGGAGAGAAGAGAGGATAGACGAGCTGCAGCCCTTTGGGGAGCCCAGCCCTAGAGCTTCACGAGCCAGGGCTGTGACACCCTCTTTGGGGCTTTGCAGTTCCTGTCATCTCCAAGCTTCTAGGTGCCACTGTGTTCCCAGTACCAGCCGTGGAAGCCGTTTGCAGTGCTCCTGGTCCATCTGCAGCCTCACAGGGAGCTGGCACCTGTGCAGGCACTTGGAGCTGCCTGCCCCACCGCAGCCGGCATGCTTGGCTGTGTGCAGTGGCCAGACCCCATGCTCACTCACTCACATACCCATCACCACTCTGCACCTGGCTTGCCCTTAGCAGGCAAGGGATCCAAGCCGGTAGTGAGAGTTGAGTGCAGACTGCCAGGCCAAGTGGGCAGAATGAGCCCAGCGGGCCCAAGCAAAACACGGGCAAAGGTGCCATTGGCCACAGAGATTTCCCACTGGAAAGATGACACCCAAAGGATCCTGTGACAGTACTATGGGTCAGATGGCTCCTTGATTAAAATCTTGTTCTCCATTCACAATCCCCTAGACTTGGTGTTTCTAATTTGTGGCTTTCTCACCCTTCAACTTGTTGTAGTAATCATTGTCTTTTTAAAGCTTTTATTCACTTTATTGCTAAAGCTAACATGATATTTCAAAGTTGTTGCTGATTGTTCCATTAAATGTAGACTTTCCTTCCTGTTTATTCTTATTTTCCACAGTTCCTCCATTTTACCTAATAACTGAAGTGTTCTACTTAGGTTTTCTTCTTGTCTTTACTCCTGTTGCTTCATTTAGAATGGCTTCTCTCCTCTCCTGTATTTAACTGCATCCTGCTCATAATTATAAGCCCAGCTCATGTCCTGTCTACATATAGGCTTTTCTGAAAAACAACCTATCCTCGATCAGTCTTTAATTTTCTTTGTATAGATTGTATTGACTGAAATACCTGATGACTAATCACATACTACTTTTTTTAACCTGCTTCTGCTATTTCCTCAAATGATTCTAAGCTTCACATATGTAAAGAATTAAAGTTTCAAGTCTTAAAGTACTGGACAGGTAGTAAATGCGTAGAAGATTACTCTTCCTAAGAAGGCTGCTCTTTCCTAATGAGAATAAATGTGTTCTTTTTACTATATTGGGACATCTACAATTAGTTTAACCTCTAAGAATTTGCTTCTTAATATGAAAAAAGTCTAGCTAATGATATTACCTGATTTGACTAGTGAACCATTGAAACGTAAAGTATACCATGTGATGCCATTTTAGGATATTGGTTATTTAGTTTAAAATGCATGTTTTGTGCCCTTGTTGTCATCAGATAGATCTTTGTTCTGTACTTAGATTTGTAATGTGCTATAGTAGAAGACACAATGTGGCAAAGAAACAAGATAGATTGGTGAGAAGGCAAATCATGTAATCAAGAGGAAGTAGTGGTGGCTGATGATTAAAAGTAGAGAAATCTACTTTGGGGGAATATTATTGCATACCTTTAGAATCTTGCTAATAGCCAAAAGAAATGGAAATGTTACATCATATAGTTATTTTTCTCCTAAGAAACTAAAATAACTACAAAGCAGTTTTTAGTACTTAGATATGAAATGGAAAACTATGGTAAATTATTATAAACTAAAGGTAGCTCAGATCATACACAAGAGGAAGCTACGTTACCTCAAAGGCAGATGGCTTCTAGACAATATAAGCTACGCTACTAGTTTCCTACTTCTACCACACATTTAGTAACCTAACACACCACACATTTTATTATATAGTTATGAAGTTGAGAAATCTAAAATTGGTCAACAGAGCTTATTTCTTCAAGAGGCTCTTGGATAGGAATCATTTATTTACCTCTTCTGTCTTCTAGAGGCTGTGTTCATTTCTTGGCTTGTGGCCACACATCACTCTCATCTCTGGGTCCAGTGTTACTTGGTCTTCTCTGACTCTGACACTTCTGCCTCCCTCTTATGTGGACCCTGTGATTATATCGGACCCACCTGCATAATCCAAAATAATCTCCCCATCTCAAGATCTTTAACTTCATTACATTTTCAGAATTCTTTTGGCCACATAAAAGAATAATATTCACAAATTTCAGGAATTAGGACATGGCCAACAGTTTGGGAACATTATTCTGGCTACCATAGCTACTAAGATTGTTAGGACCACAGCTCATCATCTTCCTACTCTAAGGACCTGGAAAAAATAACAAAAAATTAAAAATCTAGTATTTTTAGACAATATATTTGTAACTGAGTTATTATCATATAAAGTGAAAAGCCTTCCTATAAGTGAATTCAAATTGAAATTTGCCACGAAGTACAATTTTCCAATATATTGCTTCTCATTTACACCATTTCTATGTACACTTGCTGAGTCAAAAATATTCAAATAATTTTTCATTATTTGCTGAATATGCTATGTTCATTCATATTCCACAAGCTTGTATAAAAGGTAAGTGCTGCCTACTTTAAAAAAAATCTGTAAACAAGAATTCTTTATTTAAATACAGATCTGGAATGTCTTTATAGAATTTGATAGGGTATTCTAATGGTGTAGAGATAACATCTTAACAAATTGTTGCAGTGATATTTCAGGTGCATTTTTATAAATAATGCAAGTCCATCCATGGAAAATAGATAATGGGAAATTGAATCACTTTTTAATTGCTAAGGGAGACTATTGAGATGCCACTGTGCCTTTAAAACCATGGCCACAATCGTGTAAAATTAGCAAGATTACTGAAAAATAGCTCATTGTTCACTTGTGCTCAGCATAATCTGAAGCCTTTGGGAGAACATCAAATGAATGTATGCATGGTCTTGTCTACCAATCTGTTTGGGGGAGATTAGGGAAATAGTCACATAAACTAATTTCATTAGAAATTGGGAGATGAAAATAACTGTCTTGGACTAGAAGAATCAGGAAACATTCCTGGGGGATATTATTCTTACCTTGATCCATACAGGTGTGTTGGATAGGTGCAAAAATACAATAGACCAAGGTATAAAATTTATTTTTAAAAAGATTAGGGTGAATAGAGAAAATCAGGACTATAGAGAGATGATAGTATGGGATCTATTTTGGAAGGATATTATGGGGCCAGGTTAAATGAGTCTTTATTTAAGGACAAGTGGAAAAGTTTGGGCTTGATAATACAAGGATATTTAAAAATCAGTCAATCAAAGAAACAAAACCCTGGAGTGTAAAGCCCTCTCTCTACCCCAGGCACATAGTAGAAAATATATTTGCGACGTTGAGAGGAAATGGTGGAGATTTTTGTCTTTCTTTTATTTTCACTGATATACCAAGTGCCCAGAGTGATGCCAGATATGTATTTATTGAATGAATTATTTTCCATATATTTTTGTAGCAAATCAACTTTAAAATTAATGTTTTACTATAAATGATATAACATCAATTTGGTGCTATATGGAATTAAGTGTTTTTTTTTTAAATGCACTAAAAATACAGGTTGAGAAGCTGGGTTTGATATTTACCATAACAGAGACCTAAAAACTAGGGAAGCTGTGAGACTGTAGAGTCTCCACTCAGCATTAGAAGGGTGACTCGGTTCAGGCTTCTCTCTAAAGCTGAACCATCCTTAGACACTCCAAGGCAGTAGAACCCTTTTCAAATGAAAGCTTTTTTCTTAAACTGACTAAAAAGCAGAGTATTTTAACAGTCTTCTGTGGTAAACCTCTGAGTGTATCCCATTTGTATTTGTAATGTTTTATCCATTGAAATATCAAGATTACTCAATAAATGAATTAGGTGTGCACAGAGGAAATGCAATTTTCAATTAAATTCATATGCAAAATATTGAGTTGCTAATAATAAGCTAGTTTATGGAGATAATGAATTATGTAACTCCTGTGAAGATCTGTCCTTGTTGCATTGCTGGAACTGAGTTCAATAATTCAGAAAGACCTAGGCTGTTTTTCTTTACTAACTTAACTGTTGGATACACTAGTTTAGAAATATTATTAGTGGTGATTTTAGATACCATTTCAAAATTACTCTACTTGCAGCTGCTCACCATAATCAACCCCAAACAGATTGACAGCTATGAAGATACATGCTTATTATCAAATATCTCACAGGACAGCAGAAATGTTTGATTATCTTATTTTCTCCTTGTAGTATTGACTCGTCTAGTCTCCAATTGGAGAGTTAAATAATTTGTAAGGTTTTATGAAAAAGAACCCCAGAAAAAAAAATACCATGTCTGGCCAACAACCAGGATTACAGAGAAAATTAGGAGAAAACCAGACATTTCTGTAAAGAAATAGATAACATGTGTGACATTATTTTCTTGAAATCTTTGGGAGTAGAGGCTAGCATAGGAATTATTGGAGCATCTCATATGCCTGAGATGTAGCTCTTGTGGGTATTGCTCATGTTTGTAAGACAATATCAGTTTGTTTTTTATCTGTACCCTTAAGGCTGTACCATCAATTAGCTGATGTATGGAGATTGAAGGATGAACCAGCAACCTGTGCTTGAAGTTCTTAGGTCCTAGGAATATGAATAGTCAATACAGGTGGCTTTATGGTTTTCATTCAATGTCTATATCTAATCATTTTAAATTGATATTACTCTTGCAAAACTCACATTAACCAAATTGTCATGGATATCTGTGGACATGGGGCTGAATGGAAGCGTAGAAAATTGGATTTCTGGTTAAAAGATTCATGCCCTAATGAAATGCCTGCCTGTAATTAACGTGATTTTTAGAATGTTACATTTCTATTACCTCAGTTTCCAAGAATTGCAAGTTACATTTTTTGGAGTAGATGTTAAGATGAATTGGGGCTTTAGGATATTTCTTAGAGATTAATACTTGGGAAAGAAAGTGGGAGGAAGTGGGATGGAGTGGAGGAAAAGTTGAAATGCAGTGCAGATCCAATACAGCCTTGGCCAACCAGGAAGGAAGCTCAAGGAAGAATGTGGCACATCAGAGTTACCCAAAAACTGGCTCAAGCAGCTGGGCCTTTATCCTGTTACCTTGCTCACTTGGTCACTGGTTGTGGACTTCCCCACAAAAGGTGTGACATCAGGTGAAGCAGCTTTCTGCAGCTGAATCAAATCTAAAGGAGGTAACAGCTAGAGTCTTATCTACTGACCACACTGACTGCAGCTAGACAACTCCCTCCTTAAAAGATGGCATATTTCTGGCCAGGCGCGGTGGCTCACGCCTGTAATCCCAGCACTTTGGGAGGCTGAGGCGGGTGGATCACGAGGTCAGGAGATCGAGACCATCCTGGCTAACATGGTGAAACCCCATCTCTACTAAAAATACAAAAAAAAAAAAAAAAAAAAAATTAGCCCGGTGCAGTGACAGGTGCCTGTAGCCCCAGCCACTCGGGAGGCTGAGGCAGGAGAATGGAGTGAACCCGGGAGGTGGAGCTTGCAGTGAGCGAGATCACATCACTGCACTCCAGCCTGGGTGATAGAGCAAGACTCAGTCTCAAAAAAAACAAAACAAAAAAAAGCATTTTTCTGTGTTTACCATCCTGAGTCAGTAAATGGTGCATTGTAGTAAAGGGTTGTATTAATGGTAGGGTATGAACAATAAGATGATATATAACACTTAACATTCTGTGAATCTTGTTTGTAGCCACCTTAAGCCCTGGTTTAAATTCCGTGGAAGGCTCTACAGCAAGCCCAGGGATGGAGGTGTGGTCTTTTTTTTTTTTTTTTTTTTTTAACTTCTATTTTAAGTTCAGAGGGACATGTGCAGATTTGTTACGTAGGTAAACTTCTCTCATGGGGGTTTGTTTTACAGATTATTGTGTCACTCAGGTATTAAGTCTGTTACCCATTAGTTATTTTTCCTGATCCTCTCCCTCCTCCCAACTTCCACCCTACATCTACAGTAACCAAAACAGCTTGGTATACTAGTACAAAACCATACACATAGGCCAATGGAACCCTATAGCCCAGAAATAAGGCTGCACACTTACATCCATCTGACCTTCAACAAAGCTAACAAAAACAATGGGGAAAAGACTCCCTATTCAATAGATGTTGCTGGGACAACTGGCTAGCCATACACAGAAGACTGATACTGGACCCCTTCATTACACTATACACAAAAATCAACTCAAGATAGATTAAAAACTTAAATGTAAAACACAAAACTACAAAATCCCTGGAAGACAACCTAGGCTGTACTATTCTGGACATAAGAACTGGCAAAGCTTTCATGACGAAGACACCAAAAGTAATTGCAACAAAAGCCAAAATTGACAAATGGGATCTAACTAAAGAGCTTCTACACAGCAAAAGAAATTATCAACAGAGTAAACATATAAACTACAGAATGGGAAAAAATTTTTGAAAACTATGCATTTGACAAAGGTCTAATATCCAGCAATTATAAGGAACTTAAACCAATTTACAAGGAAAAAACTTCATTAAAAAGTGGGCAAAGATATGAATAGACACTTTTCAAAAGAAGACATACATGCGGCCAACAACAACAAAAAACTAGTGTATCCATTTTGTTCTTTTTTTTTTTTGGAAGAGAGGTTTTCTTCAAATAAGTACAGTTTCACATTGAAGGGGGATATTGGTTGATGGTCTTGAATATGAAGAAACTAATGAGTAAGAGAAAGGAGAAAGCTAAGGTTGAGAGGAAATGGTTTCAATTTATTATAAGGGAGACTTTTTTTGTCCAACAGAACTGTCCTAAAAAGATCGGGGGAGGTAATCAGTTCTTTCCTATAACTCCCTATGGGGAGGAATAAATAGGGGAAAAACATTTTGTGTGCAGGGCCATATTGAAGATGCATATCCCTTCAGTTCTCTTATCATGCTATATTCTACCATCACTGTAAAATTACTTGGCATGGACATTATATATGGAAATTAGGCAGAAGTGTATTCAAGGTGGAAAACCATCCTTTTAAACATGCACTTTCATGACTCTCTGTGCCCATATAATCAGTCACTTATTTCATCAGTTCAGGTTCTTAGGAGCACTGGCTCGTTAACATATGTAGCATAAAGTCAGGAAGCTGTCCAAGGGGCTTATTGAACAATTCTCCTTATCATCATGGTGTAAGACTTGACGAGCTATAATTAGACAGAGAAATATCTGTGCTCTTACCCAGAAGGGTATGCTTCTAAAAGAACTGTATACGAAGGAGAGAGTCGAAATCCATGACTAATGTCTTTGTTTCACTTTATGCTACCTGGTGTACTTTGAGAATAACTTCCAAATTGGACACGGTGGAGTTGGTCACTTTTCCAAGGAAGTGATGATGTGAAACCTTACTGCTTCACAGATATTTTATAAAAGCAGGCTGTAACTTATGGAAGATGGAATATGAAGCAATAGAAAATAAATATTTTAACATGCTGTTTTATTGTTCATGAAACCAAATGCAACAGTTTTTATTGAGAAAGTGTTTTACCTTTAACCACCTCTTCACACTCAATTTCATGTATCAAATATTTGACTTGGACTAAAAAGTAAACACAGAGAAGAAAGTTCTTTTGGCTTGAGAAACAAAATATGGAAAGAAGTAGGATTATTTTATTTAACTTTATTATTTCTGAGTATAAGCTGACACTCTTTAAAGTTGACACATAAATTTAAATAGTAATTTTAAAACATTTTTATAGCACTTACTATATGCCGTTTTAAGTACTTTCCATATGTTGAATGCTTTAATCACTGCAACAACTCTGTGATATAAACACTCTTATCTCCTTTTGACGAATGAGAAAACTTGGGTACTTAAGCACAAACTGTTCTTTAGGCACAAACCAGAAAATGGAGGAATGTCTCTGAAGGACCACGGGTAAAGGGAAGTCCATCTATTAGGCAGAACTTGGCATAGTGTATTTTGTTGTTTGTTATGTATGGACTGAGAAGGACCCAAAAAGGTCACACAAAGTAAACAGCAAGGCAAGGATATGAAAGCAGGAAGAGTCATCCAGAATCCAAGCATTTATCCTTTACTTCTATTTAACCTACCTAACTAATTCTAATCTGATACCTGTGTTTTCCAACTGGTGCCACGTCTGTCATGTTTATCCCTGACTCAACGTTTACTCATGTTCTTTCCATTTCATGGTTTCTTGGAATGTTCTTTTCTTCTCTTTAACTTATTTGACTCCGTTCAGTGCCTAGCTCAATCCTAACACCTTCCTGAAGCTTTTCTTGACAACCACAGCTAAGACTGAGTTTGCCGTTCTTTTCACTCTTAAAGCTTACAGTGTTTGTATCATACAAATCACTACTTAAATCTTTGAAATATCCATTATTATTTCTATTTTAGATAAAGACATAGACTTTCAGAAAAAAACAAGTTACCCTCTCAAGGATACATAGCCTGTTTAGCAGAGTAGGATTCAAGCATAAGACTTCTAAATTTAAGCAGGGTGCTATTTAATCCTTGTATTATTTTGTCTTTAGCTAGGTTGGAAACTCCGAGGAAGACAATATTGTACCTTATACCTCTATGTCTCCCCAAATTTACTACTATAATGCTTGACATAAAAAATAACAAACATTATGAAAACAAGTATTTATTGAGAGTTTACTCTGATCCAAACTTTATATGTTTATCTCATGTTATTCCTTTAGCAACATTTAGCAACATTGTGAAGTAGGAACTCTTATCACTCCTGTTTTCCAAATGAGGGAAAATCTTTTAAGAGATAATCAACCAAATGGATATATACTGTGTCCTTTTTAATTCTTGATTTATTTTTCCAATGCTGATTCATAAGTTCCATATTTAGTTTATAATTTTACTAAGACACACAAATATTTTATAAAATTAAAGAGAATCCCAGTAAACAGCTATGTGATTTGTGTCGTCTATGAACAGAGTACTTTTTGAGCTTTTGATGTTACACCTGATGCATTTCCCATACTGTGCAAAGATCCAATGGTGGACATAGAGGAAACACATATGAAACACACACACACAGAAACACACACACAATCTATTACAGTATTCATGTATTTAACTACCATATGCGTACATATTTATGTATAAGCAGGTATATCTTCTGCCTCTTTTTGGCATATTTATAGATATTTACAGAAACAGATAAATATATACATGTATATATCAACACCAGTGCAGTACAAATAGAATATTTAAATAAATACAACGGAAGACACAAATAATTTGCATGAACAGGTGGCTTGAACTCCTTTTCTTAGTCATTTGCAAACTGCCATTATATAATAGAACATCATAAAGTTAGTGGCTAAACAACAGAAATTTATTTCTTTGTTTTTTGGTCTGGAAATTTCAAATCAAGACACTAGTTGATTTGGTGTCTAGTAAGGGCACTCTTCCTCATTTGCAGATGGCCATCTTATCATTGTATTATCACATGGTGGAGAGTGGAGAGAGGAAGAAAATTATTTCCTGTTTCTTCTTAGAAGGGCACTAACTCCATTCATGAGGGTGTCACCCTTGTGACCTTATTATCTCCAAAAGTCCCACCTCCTAATACCATCACATTTAGAGGATTTAGGATTTCAACATATCAATTCTGGAGAGAAACAAACATTCAGTCCATAACAGTCCTATAACACCTTTCTATTCTGCATTGAATTCTCTAGTCAGTTCAAACATGTGGTATCATAAGCAGTTCCTTAGGATTAATAGTTCGGCATGTTATGCTGACATCAGCTGAAAAATGCTGTGTAATTAAAACCCCAACCACAAATGTCCCTGAAAAGCAGTGTCAAAAGGCCATCTTTCAATTGGGCAGAACTTGGAATAGTAGATATTGTTGGCATTTTGTCTGACTTAAGATACACCCAAAAATAAAGAGATAAACATATTTGTCATTAGTTGCTAACATTTGGTTTGATGGTCAGATATGTAGAAAAATATCAGAGTTGGTAAACTGATGGCAAGGAGCAATGGAGAGCTATGTGGATGAGCCTCTCAAAATGAGCATAGAGTGTGAAGAGTGATTATCACAGACCACCCACTACAGAGGACACTTTGAATAACAAGATAACAAGAAAATACGTTCTGTGGATACCAGTCAGACATTTCCCTAGCGAGCTAACATGCACAATTGGATTATCAAATAAGTCATCTGCATCAGAGATCTTATCCAGTATCAAGCTTTATTAAATAATTATCAAGGATACAGGAAGTCAAAAGGCTGAAGAATAACAGATGAGGTCTCTACATGAGGTTGTGGGATCAGCTCACATAGTGAGCACGTTTAAATTACAAAACACCTCTGTTTTATATCCCAGAGAGTTTCCCAACCGTGCCTGGAGCTGTGCCTCAAAGACTGAGAGTTCTATTTATTGTAAGTCATCTTTAGCCAGAAATATACTGCTCAGGGCATTTCAAATATAAAGTCTCTACCTACTAGCAAATATGATCAGTGTAATTTACCAGAGGGTTAGTAACAAAGGAGATTGCACCAGGTCATCTGCATTTTTTTCTTACCTTAAGTGCTGATGTGGTTTGGCTGTGTCCCACCCAAAATCTCATCTTGAATTGTAATAATCCCCACATGTCAAAGGCAGGACCAGGTGGAGATAATTGAATCATGGTGTAGGTTTCCCCTATTCTGTTCTCATGATACTGAGTGAGTTCTCACCAGATCTGATGGTTTTATTTATAAGGAGTTCCCTGCTTCCTGCTTCACTCTGCGCTTCTCCTTGCTGCCACAATATAAAGAAGGATGTTTTTGCTTCCCATTCCACCATGATTGTAAGTTTCCTGAGGCCTCCCCAGCTCTGTGAAACTGTGATTTAATTAAATCTCCTTCCTTTATAATTACACAGCCTGGGGTATTTCTTCATAACAGCATGAAACCCGACTAGTACAGGTGCATCCTTCAGGTTAAAGGAATAAGTGGATCTTTCTTTTCACCCAGCAACCCAGATAGTTGTTCAGTGTGCCAGGGTACAATGTGGCCATTGTGGCAGAGCTAGAGGCTACGTAATTAGCTCCACAGTGTGCACTTTTCCTTACCAATGAATATCTGGCTGCCACCACTACTGAATGCCTAACTCTTTTAAGAGCAGAGATCAGTACAAAACCCTCAAATGGCACCTTCCTAATGGGGGCCAGCCAGTCACCTCATTGCTGAGTGATTGAATGCCTTACATCAGGGAGGAGATAGTAATTTGCCATCATTGGATCGAGATTGTATTGTGGATATACATTTGCTTTTTGTGCCCCAAAGCTTTGTATTAGCACAAATATCTGTGGCCTTATTTACCTTCATTTTATTTCACATAACATTTCCTAAGACCAAGATCCTTATGTCACACTAAAAGAAGTGTGCCAAATGGGTTCATACTCAGAGAATTATCTGGTTTTATTCATGCACTTTATCACTGTAAAGCAGGTGGCCTGAGAGGATGGTGGAATGGTCTGTTGAAAACTTAATTCCAGTGCAATTTAGAGATCATCTCCTGTTTTTAAAAAAGATTTTATCTTATATAATGGAAAATATGTTTTGAGCCATTGACCAATATGTTCTGTTATGTGCCCTAGAGCCAAGATATATAGGTCTGGGAATCAAGGGGTGGAGGATGGAGTCACATCTTTCACTATTTTTCTTAATAATCCATTGAAAAATTTTTTGCTTTATTTCCTATAATTTAAACTCTGCTAGTTTCAATTTTTTACCTCCTAAGGAAAAAGTGCTTTCAGCAGAAGACACAATAATGCTTTTAGTGAATTATAAGTTGAAACAGCCACTTGGCCAATTTGTGCTTCTCTTGCCATTGAACCAACGGGCAAGTTATTGCACTGGTTGGCTTGATTGATCCTGATTACAAGGAAAAATTAGGTCACTACTCCAAATATGTCAGCAAACCAAAAAGATTACCTAGGATGCCTCCAAGTCCAACTGCAAAGATTAATGGAAAATTATATGTGTGTGCGTGTGTGTATGTGTGCATGCATGCATGTGTTATATATATGTATATATTTATATTTATATATGTTATACATTTATATATGTAAAACCACTGAGGATTTGAGGATTCAGATATCCTAGGAGTAAAGATTTGAGTTCATTCCTTTTTTCCAAGGACAAAAGACATATGACATTGATAATAAAATAAAGAAGTGAAAAATTCTACTGTAGCTTTTGTTATTAACTATAAAATAAAAACTCTACTCTGCATATTTTTATCATATATTTGGGTATGTGAGTATATATGTGTATGTATATGTTTGTATGTATATGTATGTATTGACTAATTTCTTTTTCTCTTCCCTCATTTCATTTATTATTTTATGTAAGGCTTGGTGGTGGTGGCTTACATTAGGATTTAGTCTTGAGGTTGCAGAGTATTCCAGTGGGACTGTAACTGAAATAGAGGACTACTGAACATCACTAGACAAGTATAAATTATGGTCAATTAGAGATGAATACGTGAGAGTTTAGCTTTTATACCACCCTTGTTAGGGAGAAGGTGAGAGTGATTTCATTTATACAGCTATACATTTAACTTGTTATATGGCAGCATAAAACTGGTATTGTTTTGAATGGAAGTTCAAGTACGTATACATGACCACCAAGGATGAACTGTGTCCCAAAGCCACTCTTATATACTCTTCTTGGAGAGGCTGAGCCTGAGGATCTGAGAACTACCTTCTCTTTTCAGCTGTTAGTTTTACCTAATTGGGGACACTGAGGAAAATGAAAAGGCAGGGAGAAAAATTTTGTTTATATCAACATCATTCTAGCAGATGGTGTTTCACACAATCAAACTGCAGTTGGTTTACATCTCAAGCTGGTATAGTCATTTCCAGAACCAGCCTTGATGTGCACACACAGAGATACCAAAAGCAGATGGGTAGTGCCTGCTCCCAGAGGCCTCAGTCCCAGGTCACAATGTCTAATCTCCACAAGCTTGAAGTACCATCATTAGCCAAGCATCACACCATCCTCAGAGATCTGAGCCTCAGCTCCTAGTGTGCTCCTCTCTGAATTTCTCAGGTACAAGAATTAGTCAAATATATTTGGGTTCTCAAGAGAAATAGAAGCAACAGTATATATACAGGCACACCTCATTTTGTTGAGGTTCACTTTTATTGTGTTTCACAATGCAATTTTGTTGTTTTTACACACTGAAGGTTTGTGGCAACAACCCTGTGTTGAGCAAGTCTATCTGCACTGTTTTTTCAATAGCATGTGCTCACTTCAAGTCTCTGTTACATTTTGGTAATCCTCACAATATTTCAAACTTTTTCATCATTATTATATTTGGTATGGTGATCTGTGATCAGTGATCTTTGATGTTACTGTTGGAGTTGTTTTGGGACACCCGGAATCATGCCTACATAAGACTGTTGTGTGCGTTCTGACTGCTCCATCGTCAGGCCCTTCCCCTGTCTCTCTCCCTGTCCTCGGACCTTCCTATTCTCTGATACACCACAAAACTAAAATTAGGCCAACTAATTACCATACGATAGCCACTAAGTGTTCAAGTGAAAGAAAAAGTCACACATTTCTCAATTTAAATCAAAGACTAGAAATAATTAAGCTTAGTGAGGAAGGCATGTTGCAAGTTGACATAGGCTGAAAGCTAAGCCTCTTGTACCAGTTAGCCAAGTTGTGAATGCAAATGTAAAGTTCTTAAAGGAAATTAAAGTTCTACTCCAGTGAATCCATGAATGATAAGAAAGCAAAACACCAGCATGGCACATGTATACATATGTAACTAACCTGCACAATGTGCACATGTACCCTAAAACTTAAAGTATAATAAAAAAAAAAAAAAAAAAAAAAGAAAGCAAGCAAAACAGCCTTGTTGTTGATATGGAGAAAGTTTTAGTGGTCTGGTTAGAAGATCAATTATCTACAACATTCTCTTAAGTCAAAGACTAATCAGAGCAAGGTCCCAATTCTCTTCAATTCTGTGAAGGCTGAGAGACTGAGGAAGCTGCAGAAGAAAGGATAGAATCTATCAGAGGCTGGTTTATGCGGTTTAAGGAAAGAAGCCATTTCCATAACATAAAGAGCAAGGTGAGGCAGCAAATGCTAATGGAGAAGCTTCAGCAAGTTATCCAGAAAATCTAGCTAAGATAATTAATTAAGGTGTCTACCTTTAAAAACAGATTTTCAATGTAGGTGAAAACATCCTTTTATTGGAAGATGTTACCACCTAGGTCTTTCATAGCTAGGGAAGATAAGTCAATGCCCGACTTCAAAGCTTCAAAAGACAGGCTGACTCTTCTGTTAGAGGATAATGCAGCTGGTAACTTTAAATTGAAGCCAATGCTCATTTACCATTTAGAAAATTGTATGACCCTTAAGAATTATGTTAAATCTACTCTGCTTGTACACTTTATATTAAGCAACAAATCCTAGATGACTCTGGAGCTCTGATGGAGATATACAAGGAGATGAATGTTGTTTGTATGTCTGTTAACACAACACCGATTCTGTTGTGTTGAGGTAATTTCAACTTTCAGGTATTATTTAAGAAACATAGTTTTTAAGGCTGTACTGTAGCTGCCATAGATAGTGATTCCTTTGATTGAATCTGGGCAAAATAAATTGAAAACCTCTGGAAAGGATTCATCATTGCAGATGTCATTAAGAATATTTGTGATTCAGGGGAGGAGATCAACATATCAACATTAACAGGAATTTAGTTAACTTCAGTTAGTCAACTTCAGTTCGGTCAAGTTCAGTTGACTAACTTGACTGAAGTTAGTCAACTTCAGTCCTAATAGATGACTTTGCATGGTTCAAGACTTCAGGAGAGGAAGTAACTACACATGTGGTGGAATTGGCAAGAGAACTAGAAGTAGAAGTACAGCCTGAAGATATGACTGAATTGTTACAATTTCATGATCACACTTGAACAGATGTGGAGTTGCTTCTTTTTTTTTTTTTTTTTTTTTTTTTTACTTAAAAAGAGTTTTTAGAGATGGAATCTTACTCTGTCACCCAGGCTGGAGTGCCATGGCATGATCATGGCTCACTGCGGCATTCAAATTTTGGGTTCAAGCAGTCCTCCCACCTCAGCCTCCTGAGTAGCTGGGACTACAGATGCATACCACCACACCTGGCTAATTAAAAAAAAAATTGCAGAGATGAAGCATTTCTATGTTGCCCAGGTTTGTCTGAAACTACTGGCCTCAAGCAATCCTCCTGCCTCAGCCAGGAGTTGCTTTCTTATGGATAAGCAAATA
This sequence comes from Homo sapiens, assembly GCF_000001405.40. Taxonomy (NCBI): domain Eukaryota; kingdom Metazoa; phylum Chordata; class Mammalia; order Primates; family Hominidae; genus Homo; species Homo sapiens. Next base: position 163,934,290 of record NC_000004.12, on the reverse strand, counting down.
ATGTAGTGGTTTTTTGTTGTTGTTGTTTATAAAATATAATTGTATTTTATGTTGCTCTGCTGTTACATAGGGCATATCATTTTCACAAGGCTTTTTTGGGACTATAGTCAATGATTAGCAGTGCACGGTAGTGGTCCAAATCTCTAAATAACAATACTAGACAAACTGTACACCCCACACATGTGCACATATCTGCATGGAAAAGTACTAAAGCTTTAGACTTGGACTTGTGTACTTTTATTTATTTCCCCTTTGCAGTGTATTAAGAAATGACATATACTTTAATTTCCCAAAAGCAATGCTTGTATTCTGGCAGCAACATGCTACTTGCATTACACAGTAAAGTGAATACCAGAACTACAAAGGCAGGAGGTGTAAGTGAATTTTTATTGGGAAGGGAGGTTGTCAACTTAAACAGCAGCAAATAAAGAGTGAATAAGGAAAGTCCCTGTTGCCACAGATATATATGACCTCCATAATATGTGATACAGGAGGCATTTCAATTTGTGACCTCCAGCCAGAAATGGCAAGGGCTTTTCCATTCAATTTAATACTTCTGGATTCCTACTAAAAAGGAATACATTAGGAGCATGGAAAAGTTGCTTATTGAAAGGAAACCCTGACGAGTATGGGAGGGAATGTAGAAATGGAGAAGTTGTGTGGAACACTCTTTAAATTGTAATTAACTACATTTTCATATCTTCACAGTAATACAAAACACAGTCACTTGCAGAACTGGTTCAGATTACTTAAATACCAGATACATTTTTAGTCCTCTACCTAAGTGTTTGGAAGTTGCTTATGTTTATATGAAATGAAGGTATTAATACTTTTCTACAGCAGTAACTACACACTAGGAAGGCCAAGACAAATCAAGGAATGAAGTTTTCCCAATGCTGCAGTGTGAAAAGACTGTAAACAGATGATTCCGTATACATAAATGGGTTTCTTTGCTATAGGAAATCCAAGTGGAATAAGGAATGGAGATATGTAAAAAGGTTTCTTGAAGGGAAGAAGGATGACACCCTGTCTGGATTTAGTTTCAGCCCCTTCTGCTGCATCACATTCTTCTCCTGCACTGTCTGAGGTCCATAGTGTTAGGTTGTCTCTAAGAAACTCCATAATGAGGGTGCTGTCTTTTGGATGAATCTTCATTCAGTGTATCAAGTTCTGCAATGGCCTCATCAAAAGCCGTTTTAGCCAGCGTGCAGGCAAGCTCTGGGTTATTAAGAATCTCATAGTAAAATACAGAAAAGTTAACCGCAAGCCCCAGGCAGATTGGATGTGTGGATTGTATCTCTTTCTTGCTTATATCAAATGCCTTTTGGTAAGCTCCTTGGGAATTATCTATCATTTGTTTTTGATCATTACCACATGCAGCTTCAGCAAAGTACTGGAAGTAATCACCCTTCATTTTCAGATAGAAGACCCCACTCTCTGGATTAGTTGCATTGGCTGTTAAATATTTATCCAACAATTCCAGGACCATGGTGCCGATCGATCTCAGCTCAGACTCCACTTTCTCCTGGTAGTCCTTAATCAGCTGCAACTTCTTGTCGGAGGTGTCTGTCTTCTGCTCGATGTTTAAGATGACCCTGCAGGTGGACCTGCAGCCCCCAACCGCACTCATGTAGGCCACGGAAAGCAGGTTGCACTCCTCATAGGACAGCTCGGTGCCCTGCTTGGTCATGGCCTTCATGCAGGTACCCATGTCATCATAGCACTCAGCTAGCTTAGCCTTCTGGATCAGCTCCATTTTCTCTATGGCAGGAGTCAGGGTGAAAGTAGTTTGTTGAGATGGAATTTGCTCCTGGTGAACATGCTGTGAGCATTGTTGAAATGACAACAAAGGATTTAGAATATTACATAAACTTAGTTGATAAAGCAGCAGCAGGGTTTGAAAGGATTTACTCCAGTTTTGAAAAACATTCTACTGTGGGTAAAATGCTATCAAATAGTTTAGCATGCTATAGTGAAATATTTTGTGAAAGAAAGAGTCAGTCAATGTGGCAAATCTCATTGTCTTATTTCAAGTAATTGGCACATACACCCAATCTTTGGCAAACACCATCATGGTCAGTCAACAGCCATCAAAATCAAGGCAAGAGCCCTTACCAGCAAAAAGATCATGACTCATTGAAAGATAAGGCAATCATTAGCTTTTTTTTTTTCTTTTTAGCAATAAGGTTTTTTTTAATTAAATTACGTACATTGTTTTGTTGATATAATGCCTATTGCACTTAATAGACTACAAGATAGTATAAACATAACTTTTATATGCATTGGGAAACAAAACAAAATGTGACTCACTTTATTGCAATATTAGCTTTATTGTTATGGCCTGGAACTGAACTCAAAATATCTCCATGCTGTGCCTTTATATACAGAAAGATTTATTTCAAGGAATTCGCTGATACCATTATGGAGATTTGGTAAATCCAAAATTGATGAGGTAGGCCAGTGTGCTGTAGACTGAGGGAGAGGTTTTAGTTCAGTTTGCAAGTGTGTCTTCTTGGAAGAATTCTTTTTCAGGAAACATCTGTCATTGGTGTATTTAAGCCTTCAACTGATTGGATAAACCCCACCCCCACATTAGGAAAGCAATCTGTTATATTCACCATTGTTTTAGTCTTTTGGGTTGCTCTAACAAATACCATAGCCTGGTAGCTTATAAACAACGGAAATGTATTTCTTTCTGGAAGCTGAGAAGTCCAAGATTTAGGGACTAGTATATTCAGTGTTTGATGAGGCCCCATTTTCTCAAAGACAACCATATTCTCAGTGTAACTTCTCGTGGTGGAAGGGGCAAACACGCCTCCTGAGGCCTCCTTTATGAAGGCACTAATCCCATTCATCAGGGCTCTACCCTCATGATCTAAATACCTTCCAAAAAGCCCCACATACTAATGTCATCACTTTGGGGGTTAACACTTTGAACATTTGAATTTTGGGGAGATACATGCATTCAATTACAGCACCAATTTAAATGTTAATATTACCCAAAAAACACTTAGTCAGCTCAGGCTGCCATAATAAAAATACCATAGACAGGGTGACTTAAACAACAGAAATTTATTTTCTCACAGTTCTGGAGGCTAGAAGTCCAAGATTGAGGTTCCATCCAATGCAGTTTCTGGTGAGGGTTGTCTTCCTTGCTTGCACGTATCAGCCTTCTTGCTGTGTCCTCAAGTAGTGAGACAAAGAGATTTCTCTTTTCTTCTTCTTAGAAAGCCAGCAAACTTATGGGATTAGAGCCTCACTTTTTTGACCTCATTTAACCTTTGTTACCTCCTAAAGTCCCCATCTCTAGATAGTGTCACATTTGGGGTTCAGGCTTCCACATATGAATTTGAGGGCATGGCACAATTTAATTCACAGCATTCTGCACCTGCCACCCCCCAAAATATGTTACATCCCTATTTCATGCAAAGTACATTCATTTCATCCAAATAGCCCCAAAAGTCTTAACTTATTCAGCATCAACTTTAAAGTCAAGTCTCATCTTAAAAAATCATCAAAATTATCAAGATTATCAAAAATATCATCTAAATCATACAAGGATGAGTCACAGCGCTCTTTGACAATGTACCTAGTGAACCAAAACCTGTGATTTATCTAAGGCAAAATTCCTCTCCAGCTATAAACTTGTAAAAACAGACTCTGTGTTTTCAAAATATGATGGTGGAACAGGCATTGGATAGACAAACACTTCCAGAATGTTTAGAATGAAGTTTGACTGAATATCTGGGCATTATGACCCAGCCAAAGTGAGGCATAAAATTAATCATCACACCAGAAAAAAAAAAAAAAAACACCATTTTCAAAGGCCCAAACCACAAGTCCTTTTTCCAAACTCCTAAGGTAACATCCTCACCTGGACCTCATGCCTTCCCCAAAGGTCTGAGTCCCAACTCTCCTGAGGTCCTCTGTTCAATTTCTGAGGTATCAGCAATGATCTGTTGGTTCCTATTCCCCAAAGGGGTTTAATTCTAGGTCTCTGGTGCCCTCCTCTGAACTTCTAAGGTTTGAAAATATCAGTGTCTTTATTTTTGTTTTCCCACCCCAAGAAATGAGGGTTGATTCTTACAGTTACTGTCTAACTTAGTGTTCCCTGATTGCTTTTCCATTTCTGTATACCTTAAAAATACCCCATGTTAAATTCTCCATATTAAAATACTTGACAAAATTTCCATTTTATCTATTAATTCATGGCTGGTATGCCATAATCCTAGTTTGCCTGAGACAACAAATTAGCTATATATAATATAGTATATATAATATATTTATATATAATATATTATATATATATTATATATATTATATATATTATATATAATATATATAATATAAATATATAATATATTATATATATTATATATATTTCCAATATGTTTTTTATAGTGCCCTCTTTCTTTCACAAAAGTGTCTTAGTTAAACAATATATTATATTACCATGCTAGAAACAACAAACCATGCACTAGAAATCAGAATATATGGGATCTAGTCCTGCCCTGCAAAAAATGTCATGTGGCCTGGAACAAATCACTTAACCTGAGGAGTAGATGGTTATTTCTACCACATATTATAGCTCCCAAACTCTGATTTCATCGTCTGTGATACTGTCATACAATTTACCTACATTTGCTTAAATGTGTTATCATTGACATATTGATATATATACCTGGTTAGCATTAGAAGGTGCCACAGTTGGCACGATTTTTAAGCAGTGTTCTGATGAAGGGAAAAAAAATACTTAATTGGCAAAAATGAACTGTAAGAGCTTTTCTGAAAAAATTGTTAAGTCAATCTGATCACTATGGCATCAGAATTATTGCAGCAGAAAAGGATAAATATATATGATAATTTTGAGTACATACAACTGTAGATAAAAATTAGTAGCTAACCTTCATTGATTTTTTTGTTCTCTGTACAGGCACTGCTTTAAGTGCTTTGCCTATAATAATTCTATGAGGCAGCCATTATTATTGCTGCCATTTTACTGTTGAAAGACTTAGGAGGGTAAAGTAATTTGTTTGAATATGTGCAGCAAGGAAGCAGTGATCCTAAGAAATGTACCTAGTTGTCTAATTTCATAACTTCTCTACCATAATTTTAAATATCAAGATTAATGTAGCTGGATATAGAAGAAATAAAGTTACAATGAAAGTTTGATGAGAGAAAGTATCCTACTTAAGCTCTATTAAAATATTTGGATGATTCTTTTTCAGAATTATTTGTGCCTATTTTAAATCTCAAATATGTTTTGGTATAAACAATATGTTATTTTTTCTCTCTATTCAAAAGTTACAAAGCTTCTTAAATAGAAGCACATATAGGTCTCTTATTTTTTCCCCTTTGTCCCATTGGTATCTTGAGGACAATTACTACACTATAGAAAACAATAGAACAGTGAGATTTCAAAAGTTATATTAAGAAAATAATATATTTTAATTTCATTGTGGTTAAAAATTTAAAACCCAGTGAAAAGAAATTAAAAAGTTAGTCCTTAAAGTAGATTTTTACCACTCTCAGCATGTCCAATTTTCCTTGATTGTTACTTTACAAATTACTTTTTTATATTTAGTCTTTATAATATTGATACATAAATTAAATCAGAATTTTAACGTTTTGTTCAAAGGCTGCTGCAAACTTGATTGAAATGCCATTTCTATCCAGACTTTTCAATCAAAAAAGAATATAGCAACTCACCTTTCTGTCATTGTGATAATGCAGTTAAGATTGCCTCAAGTCAATTACATTCTGTCTTTGTCCTAGATTCTTCATCCATAAAGTGCAAGTCATAATACCAACTACCCTAGAGTTATAATAATTGTAAAGTCCACCTAAATGCCAAAAAGAGTCCTCTGCCACCACGCCTAGCTCTTCTTCCCTATCCATTGTCTGATTGCCTGTCCTCTTGCACTTGTTGTTCTGCTTTATCTTACATTTTTGTTTTGTCTAGCTACTGGGAGGGTAGCATCTTCAATCAAAGGCACTATGTTGATGTGTTGTTTTATTTTAATCCCTTTGGCCCAGCAGAATAATTGGCATATAGATAATACTAAGTAAATATTTATGAATAGAAAGAGTAAATCAGTGAAAAAAGAATGAGTGAGTGAAGTTGACAAAGGCACTTTCTTTCCATTTTTTCTACTGTAGAGAATTACATGAAAGAATTACATAGAGAATTTCTCAAGAGCTTGAACATCTAATTGAAGCCTTTCTAACATGAGTAAACTATATATATACCCCATTCAACATCAAATGCCTAATTCAGAAGTGGGCAATCATTAAAAAAAGAGAACTTGGATAACAAATAACAGAAAGAAAATGTACAAACTTCATTCCTTCATTTATTATACTTCATTTGGAAGAGAGAAAAAATTTTAAATCTTTATACAAAGATCCCCTTGCTCATGAAGCTCCGCTTGTGTGAGTGTACATGTTAAATATTCAAACGGTATGCTAATTTTAAAATTAGGCTTGATCACATCTATCATCTTAGAATTTGTATAAAATGGATACACATTAAACCCTGGGTGCATTTTACATTTTACCAAGAGTCCATAGACATTCTATCTTTCTTTATTGAGGACAGTTTCTGTAGCATTTGTTTTAACTGTGTATATAGTTTACTCTAAAATTACTCTGCAAGCTAACCAGGCAACCTGTTTCATTTCAGTGCTGGAAAAGTTATTTCTTGAATTTAACAAGTTTAAAATGAATATCAGAATCAAGAATTCATACATAAAAACCTCCAATGCACTGAAAATATAACGGCAGCACCTCTATGACTTAAAATTTTCATAACTTCATTGTTATAAAACAGCCCTTTCCCCCTTTTTTCCTCACATGAAAGTGTTTGTTTGCTGAATATAATATGCAAAATTCCCACGTTAAATTTTAGTTTCAATGGATGTAACTGTTTTTGCCAGTTCCTTACAAGGATAGTGCCAGCAGTTTATTTAAAATTGAAACTCTTTCAGCTGCAAGACCAGAATTATGAATCTTGTTAGGCTTGTCTTATTTGTAGTCATCTGAAATACAAATCTAACTAGTAGTAGGAATGACATAGTCTAAGAAGGGAACACTAATCACATCAAGTTGCGCTTTTCCATCTTACATGTCAAAAGTGTGAAGCCTCATTGTAAAAAAGAAAGAAAATACAAACATTTAAGTCTGTCTCAAATACAACAAAATTGTGAGATTTGAAATATTTTTCCCAAATCAAATTTTTTATCTAAATTTGGAAGTGATTGGAAGTGTATGTAGCATTTTGATAGCTTAAAATTAGCATTGGTTATACCACAAAATAATAAAAACTAGTATTTTTAGTTCTATTAATATTTAGCTGTTCTATGACATATGCATTCTATTCTAGAATTTTGTTTTTTTTAATTTTGCTAGCACTCTCTGAATTAATAAAGTTGACTATGTTCCTTGGGAGACATATTCATGGATTGTCATAGTTTATATTGATACCTGCCCAAATTGTGGATTAGAAATAGTAATCCATTCCTCTTTTTCTTTAAAAACTCTTTAAAATATAAATGTCTTAGTATCAGAGAAATGCAAACTAAATCTCAAATGAGTTTCTACTAGTAATACATATACCAAAATATATGACATTTTTAAAATTACTGATATTTCTAAGTATTTTTAAGGATGTAGAGCAACTGGAATTCTCATATGGTATGTTGGGAATGTAAATTGATAAAACCATTTTGGAGAAGGATTAGACATAATTACTAAATCTGAATCAATGCCTTTTGCCAGAAATTCCATTACTATGTATTGGCCCAACAGTTAAGAGTATATGTTCACCAAAAGTTCTATACAAGAATCTTCCTAGCAGCAATATTAGTCATGTTCTGTTACTGAAAAAAAATCCAAATGTCCAATAACAGTTAATGGATATATATAATATAGTATAGTCATATAATGCAGAAAGTTTTTGAAAAACTCCAACTGACTGCAAAAATGTGGATGAATCTTACAGTACATTAAGTGAAAGCAGCCAGTCACTAACATCTACATAATATATGATTTCATTTATATGAAGTTCAAAAAACAGCCAAAACTAGCCTATGGTTTTCTGAAGTCAGAATAATGGCTGCCTTTGTGGGACAAAGGAGGTTGTTAACTGGATGTTCTGCATTTTGACTTAGATGGTAATTATATGCTGATTTGTTATATGTAAGAAGGCATATACATTTAAGATTTTTCCCTTCATATATGTAATACCTTAATTTAAAAGTATTAAAATATAGTTATATATAACTTAGTTACTTGCATACTGAAATCAGAAGAAAGTAAAAAACAAAAACCTCAGAATGTTTTGCAACTAAATACTTCCTGGAAGGGGAGAAACTTTGGACAAGTATTTATAAATTTTAATTATTAACTTTCATTTTTTATACCAGAATTTTTTCTTTATTAACAGGATGCATATATTATGTCAAATTTTCTGTCCACATATTTTAAGAGTAAGTAGTATGTTATTAACTAATAATTCAGCTACACCACCCAAAATGAGCAGTTTCTCTAAAGAGATTGGGTTCAGTAAAGGTCAGTCCTACTTCAATTTCAGTCTGGCCCTTCTCATTCTTATGTTCTACTTAAATATTTATCTTCTATTTTCGTACCAAAATTATTAGATGTTTCTTAGTTTACATTAAGTTTCTTTTAACTGGTAACACGTGAGGATTTTCATAGACAATTTTTTCTTTTGAACAAAATTGTCAATATGTCTTCCTTGATTTAAGTATCATTCATTTGTGTTGAATACAAGTAGTAATGTAACAATGGGTTGATTTAAAAGAATTATTTCCATTGTTAGATAACTATTGCATAACAGTAATTAAAGCTAGAGACACTAAGTAGAGAGCATTTCCACTTGGGAGTACATAGTACATTCAGGTATTGAGTTGGGATGTCTGAGGAATGGACCATTTTATAAAGTGAGGTAAACTTGTGACTCTTGAGTCCCAAACAAATACTGCATATCTGGGGTTCTACTCTGAATGGCTTCGGGTATGAATAAAACCTTATTGTTTTTTTCTTATTAATCTTTTCCTTCCCTCTCTTGAAAATAACTAGTATGGCAAAAAATATTTGCAGATAAATAGAAAAACAAATTTCAAAAATGCCAGCGTTTGGCCAACCTCACTTCCTGTAACAAGGTCTATAAGAAGTTTATCAGTGGTTACAGTTTTTCTTAAGGGGACCAAATTCAAAACCATTGGAAATCAACAGTTACTTTGGGACATTAAAAATCTATTTTAAACTACAGGTTCTGCAGTTTTGCTCATGAGAAAAGCCACTCTGATGTTATTTTATTCCTGTATGCATAGGGCTGGATCAAAGATAAATTGGTTCATGGAAATGGATTATCTATACAAATAAAGTTTGTATAATCATTTACCATGTTGCTGCTTATTTTTCTTAATATTATAATTATTAATTATAAACAATAGGAAAGAGAGACAGTAGAGCAAATTTGGCGAAGAGCTTGGACTTTGGATTAAACCTTTCTAGGCTCAATATCCAGCTTTGGTATCCACTAGTTGTGCACCCTTGATTAAATTTCTTATCCTCTCTATCCCTATTTTCTCATCTGCAGTATTTACACCCACCTCATACTATTGTCAACATGATCAAATGAGTAAGGTCATTTATGTTTGTAAGGTCATAAGATAAATTCTTGTCACTATACATATTTTTTAATAAAATCGCAAATTTGGAAAGAAAGTAAAAGTGAAAATCACCTGCAGCTCAACCACTGACATAGCCTTTACCTTTGTTACTATATTCTTCTTTTTCACTGTTCCTTGTTCTATAAGACTTGTATGCCCATGAACCTGATGTATTATGCCACACTTTCTGAGGTGTTTTGTCCACATTTTACATGCAAGTCTGCCTCTTTTCCTTAGCTCATGATTTTTCTTCACTTGTAAAGTCTGTTCTTCTCTTCTTCACATGTCAAAAGTCCAGCCAGCCTTGACAACTTAGCTCAAATGTATTGACTCCTTTGATTACTTTCTAAAAGAGGATCTTAATTTTTTCCTCCTCTGAAATTGCAAAGCATGCTGTGCTTTTGCAGCATTAAGTAATTTTCCTCTGTGTCAACAGCATGAATATGGCACTTCATCTCCTAGTCTTTGGAAATGTTGTGCAAACCTTTCTACACTCCATGCATCAAGCACAGTTCTTTGCATAGATTAATGAATGCTCAATTTAAATACATTTTAACACAAAATACATTGATCTTAAAATCAGATATTCTAAAAATGTTTATTGGCAGGCCAAAATAGTCATGATACAATGGTAGATGATATAAAACCATAAGCAATATGATTATAATTTTTAAAAATAAAGTATCCATTTATTTTTTATCTATCTATCATCACCTATCACAAAATGACTGAAAAGTAACTTCCTAGATGTTGACAGTATTTATGTCTGCATTGTAAGATGCGGGTGATTTAAATTTTCTTTTACTTTTTTCTATTTTTTTTTTTTTTTACAATTCTATCACCTTCAAAATCATGAAGACTTAATATTGTAGCATAAATGTATATATTAAATACAATCACTTTAGCCTAGAAATATAAGAAATGCAACTGCCATCTTTGAAGAGTTTAATTTTATATTAGATAGATTTACTTTCCTGCTTACAGCATATTGATCTTAGGCTCACTGGAGTGAGATAGCATATAAGATAGTATCCTTCTTCCTTGCTTATCCTAAGTATCATAACTAGCCTGTAATAAAAACTGTAATGCTCAGCTTGGGCAATTTTTCATAAGAAATCTTAAAAGAACTACTTTATATTTTCCATACAGAACTCTTAATTACAGAAAACGAAGTTTATTTTTAACTTGCTGTTAACATGTAGAAAGGAAAATCCTGTAGAGAGAAATGAAGAAATACTTACAGGGAACTGAAAAAGAAGGTGGTGATACTCATCTTCAGAATTATTTTTAATGATTCATTTTGAAAATGGATTTCAGAGCAGTACATATATAAGGTAATAATGCATAAATATTTTGATTTTTTGAAGGGAAAGTATTTGTCATTTCAGAAAGCAGTTAGAAGTGAGTTCCATTAATCTTTCAAAATGTATTCCCAAGGAATTACATAAAGTATTTTTTACCTGTGAAGTTTAGCAACCCTGGATCACCGTAAGTGTGCTCTTCAAACACATATTTTAACAACTTTTTCCAACAGGACTTTTTTCAAGCCTTGTGAATGTTATACATGCCTGACATTTGTTCATTTAGAGAACTCTAATTCTTTGACAATTTTTTCTCTATCTCTATAGCTTTGCTTAGGATAAAATTTTCTTTTGATTACTTGATTGAGCTGAATTTTACTTTATTGGTGATTCTTTTTTCTAAATTTTTAAAAAATAGCTCTAAAATTTTTGGAAGAAAAATGCATTTGATTTTTTATGTATCCATTGAAAGAAACAACTCTTTATTAATCAAATGGAAATAAGGGAGTTGTTTGTTCAGTGAAGATCTATTGATGTGTGTCATTTAGCATTTAAGGGAGAATTAGTTGCTTTTAGTGAACTTGCTTTATTTAGCTAAAATATCTAATGTAGCTATGAAAATACATTAGATAGACACATTTGAAATTCAAATGATATAAAAGCAAACACTACTAATTCAACACCTAAGTAATCAAATTGCTCACAGAATTGTAAATTACAATAGCTGTATGTGAGTAACAGATGGATGAATTAAATGTGTTCAGCAGCCTTTCTGTATGTTACAGGAAGCCTGACTGCCAGAGATATTTTGGTAGAGTGCAACAGGCCTATGTGACTCACTGTACAATAGGCAAAGGAAAGTTATTTCCTGTTTAGTACAGAAAATTGATCTAACATGAAAAACCTCAACGATATTGATTTTTTTATTATTATTATACTTTAAGTTCTAGGGTACATGTGCACAACGTGCAGGTTAGTTACATATGTATACATGTACCATGCTGGTGTGCTGCACCCATCACCTCGTCATTTAACATTAGGTATATCTCCCAATGCTATCCCTCCCCACTCCCCCCACCCCACAACAGGCCCCGGCGTGTGATGCTCCCCCCCGCATCCATGTGTTCCCATTGTTCAATTCCCACCTATGAGTGAGGACATGCGGTGTTTGGTTTTCTGTTCCTGTGTTTGCTGAGAATGATGGTTTCCAGCTTCATCCATGTCCCTACAAAGGACATGTACTCATCATTTTTTATGGCTCCATAGTATTTAATGGTGTGTATGTGCCACATTTTCTTAATCCAGTCTATCATTGTTGGACATTTGGGTTGGTTCCAAGTTTTTGCTATTGTGAATAGTGCCGCAATAAACATATGTGTGCATGTGTCTTTATAGCAGCATGATTTATAATCCTTTGGGTATATTTTTTTAATACTGTATAGAGGTACAAAATACCTTTGCCAATTTCCAAGATTCCTGAGAATTTTTCCCAACTTCAAAGTCTATTAACTAACTCATAATCATAAAAGAAACAACACTTTTTCATCCAAAAATTTAATTCTTGATTTCCTGATAATTAAACAGTTCTAATTAATCATAAATTGATTTCTTTTTATGATATCACCTTTATCATAGCCATTTTAAATCCAACACAGCTGTAACAATGTGAGAAAAAAATATATAACCAACGAAGAATTCCTAAAGTATGTGTGTACTATTGCTATCTTACTAGAAATTATTTTATTGTCTTACTGTACTCTCTTCAAGTTTTGATTCATAGTAGTAGTCAAATTGTTTATGAACACCAAAGTCCACAATAATTTTTTAATTTCTTAGAGTCTATGACACATTACCATTGGATTAAAGGCAAACATGTAATATGAATATAAGCTTCTAGATATACCTTCTTTTTTTTGAAGTGATGATTTAAATGATTCCTGACATAGGCTCATAAAAATCGAAGTATGATATCCTGAGAAGATTTTTAGTCCTATCTTTAGGCACGATTAAAAACTCCAAATTAATGGAAGTTTCCTCTGTTTCCAAACATCTACAAGGGAATTAGATCCTATAACAAATTGATAGCACTGTGTGTGTTTAAGAAAGAACATTTCCATCAGGCTATCTTTACTTCTTCTCATATGAGTTTCTTATCTGATATTTTACACTTATTTAGCCTTAGTTTGCTCTCTATAGAAACACAGACATTTGGTATCAGTTTCTTTGGAAAAACATGCTTTGATATAATTCAATTTGAACCTGCTATATCTCTCAAATTGTACGTTTTTCCAAATTTTACATTGCTAAAGCTTTACAAGTTTTATTTTCTGAATTGTAGCCAGTTTGGCTACAATCTTTTGCTTGAATGCTTTTTACTTTTTTCTGAGTTTCTGTTTGTAAGATGTTCTTACATTGTTCAGATTACAGTACTTAAAATAGTTAGGTTCTGGAAATTCTAAAACATAGAGACATAGTTATTTTTCAGATTTATTTTAGCAAAAAGATTCAATAACTGATTTCACTTAATATATTCCAAAATTTCTATTAAAATACAAAATTATAGCAAAAATGTTTCCCAGCTCTTGGCCCATCTGTCTCTGTCAGTCCATCCTGTGGGGGCAGGGAATGCAGGTTGAGCTCAGAGGGCAGGATCCCAGAGCATACTGAGAGCATAGCGCACAGGAGTTCTCCCTGGACCAAAGAGGAACACCAGGGCTATAGTAGCATAGGGTCAGCAGTCTGTCTCCAGGGAAGCTGTCTAGGGCATAACCTCATTCTTCAGAAACTGGCAAAGGCTGGAGTAAGTACAGCAAAGTAAAGCAGGCTTTAGAAGGCTAACATGTCGTTGAAGGTGAAAACAAAGCATAATACTGATAAGAAAAACTACAAGGTATCAGCATCAATCGATGGCAATACCAAGTCTAGCATCTTTGACCAACCAAGAGAGTTTTATACAATTAATTCTTGCAAGAAGGTGAACAATTTCATGGTTATCTGGGTTCTTACACATTAACAATATTAAGTCTATGTTTCCAGCTGGAATAGGGGATTTATGGTGTTTATGGTGGGGAACGAAAGCAGAGCTTGACCTCAGATCATTTCTAACTGTACCACTTACCATTTCATAAATGGCCAGGAAGCCACTAAGTGCTTCTATTCTTTGAATATCATTTCTGAGTCAAATCCTACATAGGACATTTACACGTGGTTACCTAATTCTAAATTAATTATTCTAATAGTCTTTCTAAGACACCCAGGAAATATTACATATCTTTCTCATTTTAATGTAAAGAAATGCAATCAAGAAGACTTATCACCTACCAAGATTACACTCTAATGAGGAGGAGGAGCAAGATTCAAATTGTATTCTATTCTTTTTATTTATGAATAGGATGCAGGACCTATACTTTCTTGTAGAATGGTAGATCTAATGTTGACCACTTATGACTAAAATAGAAAAATGCTATTAAAACAAAAGTGTTCTTAAGACATAGTGCTGAAATACGTTTGTTAGTCCAAGATACTGTTAAAATATCTCTGGATATTTTGAATTATTAAAACATTTTCCTAACCTCTTTTGAAAAGTGATACATTGAGATAACAGAGTTTGTACTCCTATTATGTACAATTCATTAATGTGAGCTACATAATTGGGTGTAATGATAGGAAAAATGGAAGTGCTTTAAAATGTATCTTTTAAAATTCTTAAAATTTTTACTCTTTGCAACTATAATATAAATATTAATTTCACAAACAAGGGGAAATACAGTAATATAGAGAGAAAGAAAAAATACACATAAACTCTATCAATGCAGGACATTGTAATTCTTATGTCCTTTGTAATTATATAGATACAATTTTAACTTTTTGTTAACTTATAATTTTCAGTGCAATATTTCAAGTGTTCCATTTTTACTTCCCTTTTCATGAATTATTTATTTGTATTCATTTTCCTGTTGTGTTATTAATCTTTTTCATAATGAAAATAGTTACTCACTCTTATTGAAATACCTTTTCTCTTCTCCCAGCAACTCTAGCTAGGTTTAACATCTTTCTCCAATATTTTCACAATGAACTTTAAGCAAACAAAAAAATATTTTAACATTTGCTTTTCAAATAAAATTCAACTCATAATAACATTTGTTAGTCAATGGTACCTCTCTGATTCCTGCTTACAATCTTCAGAAGAAATCAATATTAATCATAGATTGTATGTCAATATAGTTTCATAAATAAAACTGAAACAGATTTTTGCTTTAGAAATGCTTATGGTCTTGTCAAAGTATTTCAAAGCATAGGAGAAAACCAAAAGCAAAGAAAAATTTACATTTCTCTTAGTTTCACATATATTCAGGCGACAGGAGGAAAAGAGTATCTATGAAGACCAAACTGATATAAAAATCCCTACATAAATTCCACACTGATGAGAAAACATATTAAATTGATGCAGAAACATTTTTGTTTTTCTCACAGAGCTTACATTGAAAAAATAATGCATTTTTTTTGCTCCTAACTGCTGATTTCTACCAATTATCAGTTAATGCATACATTAGCAAAAATAAACACGCAACAAATCAGTAAACAACTATATAAAAATAAATGACTTCAGGTATAAATTTATTTGTAATTATAACCTGAAAGAAGAAAACATTACACACATTTCAATGAACAGAAATGCTCGTAATTATAAAGTGAAGTTGCATGTTGCTGAAGATACACACTTTTTTTTCCTCATCACTTAATCTCTACTGCTGGATTTCCCCCACAATCAGATAGGCTACATTTCCACAATTAATGCTTCTTTTCAGATTTTGGCCTCTTACCTTAATACCTTTTAATCCAATGGAAATGCCTCCATATATTTCTCTCCCTAACTGTGTGTGCTCTTAGAGTAGACACCATAAAAGGTATAACACAGTCAAAGCATGAGAAGACAAACAACAGACGGGGAGAAAATATTCACAAAACATACATCTAATAAAGAATTTGCATCCAAAATATACAGGCAAGTCTTTGCAACTCAAAAGAAGAAAATGCAAAATCTATTAAAAATGGTCCATGATACAGAGCTCGGAAATAAGATCACATATCTACAACCATGTGATCTTCACAAGCCTAACAAAAACAAGCAATGGTGAAAGGATTCCCTATTTACTAAATGATGCTGGGAGAACTGGCTAGCCATATACAGAAAATTGAAAGTGGACCCCTTCCTTACATCTTATACAAAAATTAACTCAAAATGGATTAAAGTCTTAATTGTAAAACCCAAAACTATAAAACCCCTAGAAGAAAATATAGGCAATACCATTTAGGACATAGGCACAGGCAAAGATTTCATGATGAAATCACCAAAAGCAATTGCAACAAAAACTAAAATTGATCTAATTAAACCAAAGAGCTTCTGCACAGCAAAAGAAACTTTCATCAGAGCCAACAGGCAACCTAAAAAGTGGGAGAAAATTTTTGCAATTTATCCATCTGACAAAGGTCTAATATCTAGAATCTATAAGCGGTGAGAGAGAGAATATCAGGAAGAATAGCTAATGGATGCTGGGGTCTTAACACCTAGGTGACGGGTTGATCTGTGCAGCAAACCACCATGGCACATATTTAGCTATGTAACAAACCTGCACATCCTGCACATGTACCCTGGAACTTAAAAGTTGAAGAAAAAAAAGAAATTAAATTTAGTATCAGGAAAAAATTGGCCCAAAGACCTGAATAGACACCTCACCAAAGAAGATGGCAAATAAACATATGGAAAGATTCTCAACATTTTATGTGATTAAGGACTTGCAAATTAAAACAACTATGAGATGCCACTACACATCTATTAGAAAGGCCAAAATCTGGAACACTGATAACAATAAATGCCAGAGAAGATGTGGAACAGAAACCCCCATTCATTGATATTGGAATGCAAAATGGTACATTGTTGGAAGACAAAATAGTACTGTGTTGGAAGAGAGTTTAACAGGTTCTTAGAAAACCAAATGTACTTCACCATAAAATAAACCATCAAGCTTCTTGCCCACAGGAGTTGAAGATCCTAACAAAAACCTGTGCACAGATGTTTATAACGGGTTTATTCGTTATTGCTAAAAAGAAATTATCCATCAAGCAATGAAAAGTCATGGAAGAACTCCAAGTGCATATTACTAAATGAAAGAAGGCAATCTGAAAAGACTACATACTGTGTGATTCCACACATAGAACATTCTGGAAACAGCAAAACTATGGAGATAGCAAAAGGATCAGTGGTTGTCAGGAGTTGTGGGGAGGAGATGAATAGGAGGAGAATAGAGGATTTTTAGGGCAATGAAACTACTCTGTGTGATCCTATAATGGTAGATACATATCATTATACATTTGTCAAAACCCATAGAGGACACAACACCAAGAGTGAACCTTGATATAAACCACAGGCTTAGGGTAATAATGATGTGTCAGTGTTTGTTCATCAATTGTAACAAATTGATGTAGCACTCTTGTGTGAGGTGTTGATAGTGGCAGTGGCTGTACATCTGTGGGGGTAGGGAGAATATGGAAAATTTCTGTATCTTCTGCTCAGTTGTGCTGTGAACCTAAAACAGGTCTATAAAATAAAGTCTGATAAAATATATACAAAACACAAGAAGATACATGCGGCACTGTTTGTCTGATAATGCCATAGGGAAGTAGCCCAGTTGGTGTGTTTCTCAGAGCCTAGGAAGATAATTTCAGTGACTCACGAGATCACCAGGGAGGCAGTGATCATGTCTCTGGCTATTCACAGGCACATCTTCACAATCACCTTTTCTCTTAATCCTTTCTACTTGTGCCTTTCCCCTCTCAGACCCTTACACACCTGTGCACCTGCTGTCTCCTCTCAGATTCTGACCTGCCATGATTCTTAGAATGACTTCTACTGTACTAGAGTGGGAGAACACCCAATTTTGGTGCCAGTTTTCATCACTCTTATATCTAGGCATTGGATTAAAAAGGTCCCTGACTCTGGGACAAACATATTAGCTGTGTAATAAATTGTGGAGATCCCTCTTTCGAAAGACTGAGGGAAACCAGCATTATATCACAAAGGTGATTGTTGCTTTTTGCCTGCACTGGTCTACTTCAGTTACATGTACCATTCCATACATTTTTCGAGAGACGCAGATCAACCTGCCTCATCACTGGCATTCAATCAGGCTCCAAGTTCCATGCACTGGCCACCCTGAGGCAGTTTACAGCAGATTCAAATCAGGTTCTTACTGAGTTCAATGGGAAGACCCAACTGTCTAATGGCAGGCAGAATTAATTGCCATCCTTCATAAACCACTGAATTTGGTACTAGAATTAAAATATCTATATTCAGGTTCTTAAATGGGAAGGTTTTTGTATCAAGCCACTGGCCAAGTAGGAAATCAAGGAAAGCTCTTACATACTAGGAAACAGTGAGGTCTCAGATCCAGGCCAAGGCTGACGATCTTACTACCTGACTATTTAAGGGTCCCAAGACTGCTCTAACAACAACACCCATTTCCATAAATATGGATCAATAAACACTTATTCATTCTTTATAATTAGACTCTATTGTTAGAATTGTTTTAGGTTTATAGAAAAATTGAGCAGATAGTACAGAAGATTGCCATATACCCCTCACCCACAGAATTTCACAATTTACCCTGTGATTAAAGTCTAATGTTAATATGATATATTTAGTACAAGTAGTGGGATTATATTGATACATTATTATTAATTAAAATCCACAATTTATTCAATTTTTTTAGTTTTTACCTAAAGTTATTTTTCTGTTCCAGGAGTTCATCCAGGATACCATATTACATTTAGTTTTCATGTCTCCTTTTGCTTTTCTTGGTTGTGATAATTTCTCAGTTTCTCAGTTTTTCATAATCTTGACAGTTTTAAGGATGACTGTTAGGATGCCTATCTATTTGGAGTTTTTACATTTTTCTCATAATTAAGTTGGGATTATGGTTTTGGGGTGGGGATATCACAGAGGCAAGGTAAAGTGCCATTTTTATCATATCATATTAAGAGAGAATTTTTTTCTTTCTCTCA
The DNA here is from genome assembly GCF_000001405.40 of Homo sapiens. Taxonomy (NCBI): domain Eukaryota; kingdom Metazoa; phylum Chordata; class Mammalia; order Primates; family Hominidae; genus Homo; species Homo sapiens. The sequence goes on along the minus strand of NC_000004.12, from coordinate 163,915,233 downwards.
TTCTTTCTACTTTTGGATTTCAAAACAACTTAAGATTTTTTAAAATTTCCTTTGTCTTTCTCCACTCATTTCCAATCTTGCTTTCTCACATTCAAATCTTTACATAAGAGCAAGAGGTGGTTTTTAAAAATAAAACAAGATATGCTCCTGTTTAAAACCCCCAAATACATTATATTGCTCTTGGAATAAAACATCCAAAGACCTCACCTTAGTTTGCAGTGCCCTGCAGGGATCTGTCCCCTGCCTATTTCTCCAGCCTTATTTTGGCCACTATCCCTGCCCCAGTATGCCCCAGCCATGCTGTTTATAAAACACGGCAGCTCGAAGTATTCAACATGGTTATTATGCAATAATAGGTAAAGGTATGTACTCTAATAATACCTAGTGTACATTCAATCTCCAGAAAATATGTAATAGAAACCTACAGGGAAAAATATGACAGAAGCTGCCAAGCAGAACTGGATAGCTACTTGTTTTTCACGTGAGCTTTAGACACTTATCATTTCTCAAAATAAAAACAAAAACAAACACTACTAGTATTTTTCTTAGAATTACAGTATATTTATAAAATAATTTGGAAATATTTGACATTTTTCATTGTACTTGGGAGGATGTTGTCTATTTAATTCTTGTACTCAAAAAACTAGCCATCTGATATATTTATCACTTTTACTTTTATTGTGTTTAAACAAAAGTAAAATGTTTCTTTTTAATTTATTAATTTTGCTTTTAAGTTTTAATCTTTCTCTTCTCATATATGTTATACTTGCTCCTAGTTTATTGAAATGTATATTTAATTAATTGGTTTACATTCTTACACATTTAAAGATGAAAAACTTTTAAGAAGACAAATTTGCCTCTAAATGAAGCTCGACAATTTCACTTGTTTAGTTTTTACATGTCATAATTTTCTAAATAATGTATATTAATAATTTTTGCATTCTCTTTAAACAAAATTTTTAAAGAAGTTTCTTAAATGTATATAAACCTCTATTTTTATTTTATTGTCAGTGGTTTGATAGCCAAGTGATTTTTCAAAGAATATTTGGCATGAGCTTGAAGTGTACTTTGTACAAGGTACAAAGCTGAATGCTCCTCAGCATTCATGATTTTTGAAGCTATACTCTCTATATGGAAAAAAACACAATTTTTCCACATCATGTAAATTATTTAGAGTTTGAATAATAACTGTCAGAAAAGATCACTTATTTCTATGAATAGACAAAGAAAAAAAAAAAAGAATAGAGATCCCCGTGCTGTCACATCCCTTTCGTAAGTCAGACTCACGCCTGTTTTGTAGTCTGCCGCCCCCACTGTGCAAATGTTAATGACACATATCATTCAGGGCCAAATGAAAGCCAAGAGTCTGATCAATGAACATTTATTAATGCCCAAGATATGCTAACTTTGTGTGTGCAGACTGTGATGGCAGTTACAATTGGTGACAGTAGGAAATGTCAGAAGGAAAGATACTGGAGTACCAGTGTCCAGAAAGCAGTAGGATTGGGGTTTTGCCAGCTTCATGTGTTTGATAACAAGAGTGGCTATCCAGAGGAAGGCTCATTCTCCTCAGTTATCTTCCTCTTTACACGAAACATATTAAACATTGACTATCAAGTTACACAGGCTTAAATACCATCATTTTAGTGCAAATTATGGATGAGGGTGAGGGGAATTTCCTGACGTATTCCCATTAGTAATGTAGGATTCCATAGAGGTAGTGGGATGTAGGGAAAATAGCAACTGTCTTTGATAAAGGAAGAGAGTTCTAAACGTAAGACTAGAGCACTGAAAAAACATTGCTAACATTTTTATGATAGGGCACCAGAAAAGGCTGTTCTGAGTAACAACTAAAATTAAAAGCCAGGGCAGTTGTATTACACATTAAAACAGAAGCAGATCCCTCTTTGGAGGCACAGAAAATTAATCAATAACATTATAATCACCAAAAATAGAGAATTTGACATCAAGACCCCAGACCAGTGTTCAAGTACATTATGCATGTGTGGTCACACAAAACGCAAACACATAACGAGGCTTTTACCACTCTGATGCATTTTGGCTAGGTAAGGAGAATGAAATAAGTCATAAGACCTGCCATGTTTCTATAATTTTGTAATTTTTTAAAAAGGCCTTACACTTTGAATGTCTCAAAAATCTCTTTGGATACTGTTTATCAACAGGTTGAGTTCCACAAAGAAAATATATATGACTGCAAATCATAACAGAACATTTTAAATTTTATAATGTGTCATTTATCTAGGAAGAGCCTTTCTGTGACATGTTTTAAATTAATGTGCAACTTGCTTTACAAGAATTTATCTTTCAATTTATGAAGCTCTTCGTATTTTTTAAAGTAGCTTTATTTCATGTGAAATTATTCGTAGTAACTTCCTAAATAATTTTCTGTTATTCCTGCAGAAATACATTTTGGTTTCTATGGTTTTCAGACTGGAGTTAAGGCCGGCAGACAATCTTGAAAATGCCACTCTTATGCAGCCACGGTATATGATTGTTTTGTCTTAATCTGTTTTGCTTCTTCCATTATCACAAACAAGAAGAAGAAATGTTAACTGTCTTAAATAATCAATGTGGATCACCATATAATTGAGTAGAAACTAGGAAATGGTAATAACCAGGAAAATGGTGAAAACAATCAAATCAGCCATGCTTAGATCCAACTCAAAAGTCAGCTCTTGTGGATTTCCAGGATAATTTCTTGTACGCAAATGTATTTTTTCACTCATATCTGTTTTTAAAGGCAATCTCAAGTGTCCCTCCCTTCCCATCCCACGGAGCTACCTATAGTGCTCTGAATAAATCTGTGTTTAAAAATCGCTGGTTCTTTAGGGAGTAATTACATAACACTTTTTTTATTTTCCTTGACTCAGATCCCTTTGAAAGGCAGCTCCTTGTCTGCCAGTATCTATTCTCTTCTCCTTCAGTAAGGAGAGCTCAAGTTTTTAGCCCAGCACAAAATACTAATTACATTATCCAGCCTTCCTCACAGCAACTAGGTGTGGCTAATATCTAAATTCTGACAACGACTGTGTAAGCAGAAATGGTCACACAAAAAGAGAGCCCTCATCTCTCTCTCTCGTTTTTTTCCCTGCTGGCTGGATTGCAGATGTGATGTCTAGAACTAAAACATGGAAAAAAAAAAAAAAACCCTGCATTCCTGATGACTTAATAACACTGGTCTACCAGCCTAGACTAACGATTTCTTTTCTTCTGAGAGAAGAAATATCTCTCTTGATTAAATCGTTCTATTTATGTACTAGCGCTACCACAACATAGTACCACAGATGGGTGACTTAAACAACAGAACTTTATTTTCTTATAGTTCTGGGGGCTACAAGTCTGAGATCAAGGTATCAGCAAGATTGATTTCTCCCGAAATCTCTCCCCTTGCATAGTAGGATAGATGACCATATTCTTCTTCTGTTTTCAAAGGCTTTTCCTCTGTGCATATCAGTGTGTAGCTTTCTTTTATGAGAAGGAAGAAATATGACACCCATATGACATCGTTTTACCTTAATTGCCCTTTTAAAGGTTTTTTTCTCAAAATACAGTCACATTCTGAGGTACTGGCGGTTAGGACTTCAACATAAGAATTTTGGAGTGACACGATTCAGCCCATAACATGCTTATTTTTTGTTAATCTGTACCAGAATATATTCCTAATGGATACAACATAGGGGATGTTCAAATGCTGTAATTACTACTGAAAAGTGGATGATTAGATGATCTGGCTTAGATATGTGGACACCTCAGGCCTTGTAGAACTTTTCTCCTCAGTAATACTGACTTCCCACCTAAACTCAGGCACACACCTCTCCTCTGATAGGGAAAGCCTGTCTTACTAAGCTTATTATTGCAGGGAAGAGAGCAGAACATAAAGTGTGCTTCGTGTGTTCCAACAAAGAGGTAGGACTTGGAAGATGCAATACCATGTATGTGCAGTTTCTTCTTCCAAACCCACCAATCAAATTACTCAATCACCCCATCCTCTGAAGATAAGTGATAAAGATAGATGGTAAAACATAAGATGTTACTCTAATTAAAAATTGTCGTCTGTAGTCCAAACCACAGCATCATGCAATACACATAACAAACCTGTATATGTACCCCCTGAATCTAAAATAAAAGTTGAAGAAAAAAACAGAATTTAAAAAATTCTCCACATGAAAACATGAAGTAAGGGAAAATGACATTTTCCCCCACAGTAATGCTGAATCAACTACCTTTCATGGGCCTGCTATTACTGATATTCATTCATGTTATTTTTGCATTTAACTTACTGTTAAGGATTGATAACTTATTGCAAGTCAGGAGTCGAACATGTAGCAAATCAATTTACTAAAATTATTAGTGGTAACTCAAACTGTCTTTTGTAGGAGAGACTTTTCACCAGGAACTTTAGAAGATTACTATTTGGGCTGGGCGTGGTGGCTCACGCCCGTAATCCCAACACTTTGGGAGGTCAAGGTGCGTGGATCACCTGAGGTCAGGAGTTCGAGACCAGCTTGGCCAACATGGTGAAACCCAGTCTCTACTAAAAATACAAAAAAATTAGCTGGGCATGGTGGTGGGTGCCAGTAATCCCAGCTACTCATGAGGCTGAGGCAGGGGAATCACTTGAACCCAAGAGGTGAAGGGTGCAGTGAGCCAAGATCGCGCCATTGCACTTCTGCCTGGACAAGAGCAAAACTCTATCTCAAAAACAAAACAACAACAACAACAAAAGATTGCTATTTGGGAAGCTTAGAAAAACTGGGGTCACTTGAATGGCATATTATAGCAATAGGTCACAGTGCATAGAGAAGAGAACATAGCTTTGAGAAAATGTTGAAGCCACTTGGATTTAGTTTATTTGTTGGCATAATCCTCATGTTGGCAAATAGTTTTACTGCAACACATTGTTTATGTAGTGTCTAATGGTTGTTGTTTATGTTAAAACAACAAAGTGGAATCATTATGAAAGAGATCATACTGCCCATTGCCCACCAAGCCTAAAATATGTATTATATATTTGTATATAATTTAGTTATTCATAGAAAATTTGGAAGGATTAACTCAGATATAAACTAATGAATTCTACATTTCTTCACAAGCTGAGGATTTTGTTCTTATATGTTAGATGTTTGACTATGCTTCGAATATTGTAAAATAACTCCTCATCTAGACTAAGAACCAATGTCCTAGGTGAGATACAATTAAATAATTTTATTTCCAGTGTACTCTAATGAGAAAAAATTGTTGATAAATGTTTTAAAAAGTTGATTCAACTGGGTAGCTAGTATTTAATGAAATGTTTTCTCAATGTACTGATTGTTGAGGATAGCTGTTCACTAGCATATCTCATTTTTATTGATATCACATACAAGCAAACTCTCAGATATCTGTCTTTTAATTATATTTATGCCCATAGCCTGATTGTTTTCTAATGATTGATAAAAAATATGAACTCAAGCAATTTAAGCTGGATTACCCAATTTTATTTTATATGAAATTAAGGTTCTTTAATTCTTCAAAATTTATTCAGAGTTCACTCAATGGTATGATGTATTAGATTATGGAAGATAAGACTTTATTTTTAGCTCAGCCATCTCAATAAAACTTTTGATAGTTGCTTAATGAAAAAAGTATGAGATTTAGCATTGTGCTATGAAGCATACTCCTCCCACTCGACTATTGAACCCCTCATAGAAGGCAAACCTTTTTAATTACAGACATGAAAGTTTTTCTCTTTCCCTTGAAAATATTTTGTAGCATTACATGGTAATTATAATATGAGTATGGATTAAACATGATTGTAAGTGTCATTTATATTTACCACAGTAGGACACAATTTATGGGCTTGCAATGACAGAAATGCTTATGTTTATACATGTGAAAGACAATGGTAAGCTTCTGAAATCGGAATCCTGGAGTGCTACAAGAGTATATTATCATCTCACATTCAAACACTTACTGTTTCTATTATTGCTGGTGGTTTTCCATGGTAACCACTGTGTGAACACAATTTAATTACATTATTCAAAAATTTAAATTAAATTAAGTTAATCCAGGATGGGCTGTTTAAAGAAGGATATTATACTCCAGTGTATCAATTAACACATTAAAAATAATTTTTAATCCTAAAAGTTCCACAAGAACTATATTATTAGGAAAAATGTAATGTTAAAAAAATGAAGTTGTGTTATTGATTTTCTTTTCCTAATGTTATATTTTTACCTCTTGGCCTGCTTGGGGCTCTTGATTTTATTACTGAAAGTCCTATATTCTGAGAATCCTATTGGTCCCCAGTAGATACGATTGTGACAGATCTTATATTATTCATGTATCTAATCTTGCACATCTACACTAGAGAATCATTATGTTAAATATGCCTGGTTGGAATCCAAACATTTCTGGACAGTGATCCAGTCTTAACTTGTAATATTTTGTGTCGTGGTGGGGAGATGCTCGCAGGATTACATTTTAGCCCTTAGCCAAGACTCCTGGGGCCACCATTAGTCCTCTAATTGCCTTAATGGAGGAATCCTGAATTCTGGGTAGGACTTTATAGGACTTCTTGGTTTTGACTCTAGTGATTTAGCACATGGGACTCTATCTTTCTAGAATTCCCATCATCTAATCTACATTCTTAGCCTCCTTCAAATCCAGCACAAACCTGTCCACCTACAGGATATATCTACATAGACCACAACTCATTTTAATTTATTCAGCATTTAATGAACTTGGAATTTTATTGATATTTTCTCTATTAAAGTATATTTTAGATCTAATGCATTCTTCTTAACCAGCTTATAAGTTTGTAGCTCTGAAAATATGAATCAGCATAAAATCTTCTCTCTTTTTCTCCTCTCTCTCTCTTTCTATCTCTGATGGTGTCTAGATATCTTTAAGTAATGCATGAGGCAAACATGCTGCATGTCATAGGTACATGATTAATATTGTTGACTGAAACCTTGTATCTACAGCAAGGTAAATTTTCATTTTGATGTATGCAGAAGATAGTTGCAGATTTTCTGTTAGCTGCTGATTAAAATCTTTTGTGTGGATAGAATATAGTCTGAGTTTTAACCTTCTTTATCTGGATATTACCAACCTATATTGCTGAATTAATCCTGTGAGATGAGCCATCATACTGCGTGTCTTCTCATATGCATGCCAACTTCAGGCACTGGCTTGTATTACCATTGAAATAAGTGTCTTGAGGATGAAGCATGCTATATGTAGCCACTTGAGTTGAGACTTTTAGAGGGGTGCAATAATATATTCTAACACCAGTCTTCAGGTTTCTGGTATGATTCTCAAGCGACCTTATTTCTCTTTGTGTTGAAATATAATGGGGGAGTCATGTGCCAGGAACTCTTGCATGAACTTTCCACACATATCGTTCTAAAGTAATAAACCTTGGTGAAGATATAAAGGAATCAGGCTTTCTTAGTAATTGATATAGTTCAGCTTGATTTAGTGTCTAGATAGGAGAAATGAATCAAAATGGACAAGGCAGGCTGCCCATATCAAATAAGAAATTGCAATTCCAATTCATTCCAGCTAGTTGGCTCATCTAAACTTTCATTTTCTCACGCATGATTATTATCTTATTTGATTAAAAATTCAACTGAGAAGTTATTGTAGAAAGTTTTGAAGTAAAAACCCTAGGCAAATATGTGGATGATTGGTTTAGAATGAAATGTTTTATTCTGCCGTGACTTGGCTACTTTGTTTACATGGGGCCATTAACAGACAAAGGAAGTAATAAGATAGGTGCCATCTTCTAACCTATGTTTTCCTTCAATACATAACTGTTTTTTATATCGTGACCTATTACTACTCTTTGCAACTCATTTGTCACCTGTTTCCTACTTACATTTTCTTAAAACAAACAAGACAAAATTACACAAACATGTAAAACCAACAACCTTTTACTGAGACATAAAAATATATTTCATTCATTTGCAGTCTGTTTTGTTAAGAAAGCTATAAAACAAAGATCTTACAATAGAAATATAGGATACAATTTATATAAACTAGGCAATGTAAATATATAAGAAAATACAGTTAATGTGATTGAGCATAAAATTTACTTCTGAGCTTCTGAATACAAGGAAAGTATGGAAAAAGGACTTCTGTATAATTTGGATTATCAGATGATATAAAATACATGTTACTGAAGAAATACCATCATTTTTGACACTAAGGTTTAAAAAGGAATGCATCACATATGTTCACACATATTAAACACAATTAATGGTAATATATGGACAATGGATTTGTAAAAGATGCAAAAAATATTCATAAAAATACTTTATTGATTTTCAATGAATCTCAAAAGCATACAATAACATTAGTACTGAATAAAATATGGTGGTTATTATGTGGGGGGGGAGGGGTGTATATATCAAGATCAAATCTTAGAAACCTAGTCTCTATAAGACAAGAGAGAGTGTTTTTCTTAAATTGTCTATGTCAAATAATACCAGTTTTTTCTTTTTTTTTATTTGTCTAAGACTTTCATAGGACTTTGAGAGTAGTCAATTTAAAAATTAAACTTCTTGTCCTTGAACTAAAATGCAAAAAGATGCAAACTTGCTACATAGCTGATAAAAGGTGATAAATAGGTTTATGGCATAGATTGTGGTGATGGCTTCATGGGTGTATATTTATCTCCAGACTCATGTAGTTGTACATATTAATTATGTACAGCTTTTTGTAAGTCAGAAATTTAAATAAAAAATTTTGTATTTGAAAAAAAAATATTTGAATTGTAGTCAGATATCTAACAAGCTTTCTATTCTTTCATCTACATCTTCTCTTCAGATTCTAGTCTTTTCTTCCCCTTCAACCTGAGCAGTATTACAGCATCCTCAAGGTGAATTCCAATGAGCCTGGACATTTCCCATATTCTTCCTCAATACCCCATTTATTTATTCAGTTACATATTCAGGCACTGGGGAAATGCTTAATTCTCTGTGAGCAGAGAAAAATGGGAGGAATTGAGTAAAAGCCAGTAATCAACAAGAAATCCTCCTGTGGAGGAGGGAACAATTTGTGACTACTTATCTATTAACACTTCTGTACTAAATAAACTAGCCATCATTTGAGTGTTTTAAAGGCAAAGTATAATAATATTTCTCCATGTATCCATTGGGTAAATTTTAAGCTTTCTGTAGAATACCAGAAATTTGGTATCCTAATATCTTATTTTGTCTGACAGACATGAAGTTAGTCTGAATTATTAAATTACATATGTTAACAGAGAAATATATGGAAACATTTTTGAACTTTCCATGTGACTTAGAAGATCCAATAAATGAATTTTTTATAGTAACTAGTTAAACTGACTGTATGACTGGAATACATTGTCAGTGGGAGAAGTACATTCAGCCATATTATTATCAGGTTGTTCTTCTAGAGATCAGGTGAAGAAGAATTGGAATATGGGTACTTTCCTACCTGAAGGATTATCTTAAGAGTCTGACAATCATCTTAGTCTTCCTGCACCTCATAATTAACATCAGAAGATGCTCAAAGATAAAACAATAACACAGGTTGCCTAAATCTGGATTATAGCATCTCAAAGGACCTCCAGAGCAATATCTTCGAGGATTTGGATCCTTGGACTTTTCATAGCAGAACTATCCCTTCCCCTGCTCTCAGCAGAAATTCTTCCTTTCAATGCTTTATTTCCTCTTTTTCTGTGATATAACCTAAGATATATATCCTTGAAAATATATGCAAAGTGAACTTGAGATTGAAGTTAGCTCAATATTGGAATAGCTGTGTTCTATTTCAGAAGTTTCAATCTGTAAGCTGTAGATAAACAGTCTGGAGAGTAATCATTAACAGCATATTACGTTTGTTCTAGATTCATATGTGGCTCAAATAGATCATTATCTATGTTCGTGAATGTTCATATTGGGCACTCGATAAGTATTTGTTGAATGGAATTGAAAATTATAGTAGGCTTGACATTTAGGATTGTTTTATAATTTTCTTCACTTTTTGTCTCAAAATTAAAGTATAATACTGTTCATTATGCCCCAATTTCTTCATCTGTAGTGTTAGAAACACCTGCCTCCTCTAATGAATGATTGCAGCTCTGCCAAGGTATCAAAGTAAGACCTTTAGGGATCATTATCCACCATACTTGATGCCTTTGTTCTAAAACATGGAACATAATTTTTATTAATGATATATCTTAAATAAAATATTTTAAAAGGTTGTAATGCAGCATAATCACAACAGTATTTTTGCTTTTGTAGCAGAACCAGCTTTAGTTATTGTTTTCCTTAAGCAAAGTGAAATACAAGTTAGAATCAGATGTAATGTAATGATCCAATGAATAATTCCAGAATTAGGAGATTCACAGTTATTTTATAAGTGCATGCAAACACATTCATTCTCTCTCTGTCTCTCTCTCTCTCTCTTTCTCTCTCTGTCTCTGTCTCTGTCTCTTTCTCTCTCCTGGAAACCATACTGAAAGAATAAAATATAAACTCCTTCAAGTAAAAAACCTAGAGAGTGGGACCTATTCATAGAAATGGTAACTAAATATTTCCTACTATAGAATAGAGGCTTGCTACTTGATAACAGTCTTTCCCTAATATCTACTGTGCCAAGGGCTAAATCTCTAAGTATGGATTTTCTCTAACTGTGCTCATTTTCCCAGAAAACCATCCATTTCTCTGGTTAGACCTTCCTGATGGCTGCAGGTTTTGTATTTGAGGTACCCACTGTTTGTTGTCCCTGTTGGGTGAATTTCTTTTAACACTCAGCACCTGTCCCATTAAAATTCCCTATCTACTTCCAAGGATATTAAACTTTAAAAACTAACCCTGCCCTAATATAACCCAGTATAACAGTTACTCTCAGAAGCTAAGACACAGGGAGCGCTCTAATTTAATGGAAGCTTCAAGCATTTAGTTAATTGCAGATTAACTGGAAGTTGTTCAGCTTTTCTTTTTTGTGGATTCTGTGATTCAAAGCAGTTTATTTTATGAGACTTCAAGGCTTAATTTTAAATGGGTTACATCTATAGGGATTTGCCTCAAAGCTATATTTTTCATGTAATTTTAGACAGAAAATATTATTAGCCAAATGGAATATTATTAGTCACAGTTAAGTAATTCTTATAAGTATGACAAATGTGAAATGAAAAATAAGAGTGTCTAATACACAATTCAGATTACCTATATTTGGAAATTTTAAATAGAACCAACTTGTTTTAAGCACAATAATTAAAAACACTATTTAGATAGCTTTTATTTAAATTATTATGCAGTTAGAACACAATTTAAGTTTATGGCCAGGCGAGGTGGCTCATGCCTGTAATACTAGAACTTTGGGAGGCCAAGGCAGGCAGCTCACTTGAGCTCAGGAGTTTGAGACCAGCCTGGGCAACAATCTTGGCAACTATATCTCTACAAAAAATACAAAAAAATTAGCTGGCGTGGTGGTGCAGGTGCTTATAGTCCAAGCTACTTGTGGGGCTGAGGCAGGAAAATCACTTGAGCCTGGGATGCAGACGTTGCAGTGAACCAAGATTGAACCATTGCACTCCAGTCTGGGCGACACGGGTGAAATTCTGTCTCAAAAAAAAGAAAGAAAGAAAGAAAGAAAGAAAAAATAAAATTTATGGAGAATAAAAAAAAGTTTATGTAGATTAAACATTTGTTATTCTATGTAAACTTTATGTTTATCACTAGTATTTGGAAGCTTTAGATTTAAAACATACAAATCATCTATTTAAAATAATGATCCCTTTTCAGCTACAACAGAAAATCTCTATGCTTATCTCCTTTTGTTTGACTGAGTTAAGCAGGCATTTCTGAAATCACAAACTGAACCATTTCTAATTCCCAGGTTAAATAGAGATATCTTGAGATAAGCTGCAGTAGAATTTCCAAGGCTGCACTAGAACTTTTTGAAGCACAGCCAGTGTATACATACAAATATATATGCATACACACACACACACACACAAGGGAAGGAAGATCAGAGATAAATTAAAATCCAAAAGTTACACTTCCCACACAAAAGTTAAGTATTTGGGACTTTTTTTTTCAAATATAAAGTAAATTTACAAGATTATGTGATTTGTCTGTATTGACGGTAATCTGAGTCTTCTGAATCTTCAGTCGATTTTAAAGAATGGGTAGTTATTAGGAATGATTTTAGAAATGGAGGTTGTTGGGAATAGTCTGGAGAGTGTGAAGGAAAGAGGTGTATTTGGAAGTGCAAGTATGGTGGGAGTAGGTAGGAGACGATGATGTGCCTCTCGAAGGGAAAGGGGCAGACACTGGAGAAGGAAGACAATGGTCTATGGAGCTATATAACAGGAGTGATGGAGTCAGCTCTAGTTTTGGAGAATTTAGACATACAATGTTTAAGGAATTAAGACATACAATATTTGGAGGCTAAAAAAAGCATTTATTTGCAGCAGTAATAATGATATGTATTTGTTCATCATGACTGGCAATTGGAAGCTTTCTAGAAACAAAGATTAAATTATGATTATTTCCTTTTGATAGAAAGACTAAGCTTCAGTTACTTTCTGCCTGTCAGGGAATCTGGGATTGTGACAGTTTGGGCTTTTCTAGGACAGTGCTGTGAGAATTTCTTACCTGAAGCTCTTTGTTTAGGGGAGGAAAAAGCCATTAAAGATGCAATAGGTGGTTTTAACAAATGTATGCAAATTACATTCTGATGTAAATTGTGTCTCAAAGATTTTCTCATTAAAAAAGGGGCCAACATCAATAAGTATAAAACACTTCATGTCTGCAGGTTGATCCATTCGCCGTATTAATGCCACTTAAGATACTCTGTGAGCCAGAGATAGCATTCTCTTGGTCTGTGTGATCATCTGTCTCTAATTGTGGTATCAAATCACTAGAAAGGATGTGTATTGCCTTCTTAATATTTAATTAGATTTTTTAAATTAGCATTCTCTGATGGTAATTCAGGCATATTACAGCTGCTACAGCTAATTGAGAGACCCCTGTGGGATCTAAAGGTATGTTTGACATTAGCTATGGTGATCTGTTTTGATGTCACTTCACTAATGTCTTATTGTAGAATATTGTCAAGTATCTCTAACAGTGCTTCTGATATGTGTTACCCTCCCCATCCCTGTAGATTTTTCACTGCCCATCTTTTGAGGAGGTATTTGGGGAAATGAAAAATAAGCAGAGTTTGATCCTCACAGGCACCGTTTTCTTGTTCATCCAGCAGTTATTAGAGCAGAGTTTCGTACTTAAATGCTGTGGTATAATTCCATTATTCACAAGACTTGGAGTTTATTTCATATTAATTTTAAACAGCCAGGGCTTTTAGACAGGAAGACAAAGGAAGCCAAACACTTGAGGCAGAGCCACATTTGTACCGTTGTTGGTTCTGAAGTTCCTGAAATGAGTGCTTCAGTAGATAGGATAAAAGGGGAGATTATAGATGCCTTGGTTGTTTCCATAAATTTTGCAAAAACTCTGAATATCTGCAATAGAACACAACAATTGCTCTACTGGGAAGAGAAATGTCATTCCTGCTGTAAATCTTTACTGCCTAGGCCTTCACAACCCATTTGTCAGTCTATGCTTTTCTATAACAATTTTAACTCTGAAAAAATATTCCCAGGGCTGAAAACGTATTAAAACTCTCTGTGTGCAGTAAGTGTGCTGCCTTGGGTGCTCCATAGAGCTTCAGAAAAAGAGAAGGCTGCTCCTACCCCTAGGGGCAGTAAATCTAATGAGAGCCACAGGGAAATAAAAAGGACTATGCCTATAAGACAGGTGACAAAGTGTTAATGAAGACAACTGCATTCATAAAATAGGCTGAATGAAAAGTTTGCCATTAGGTTACTGAGCTATATTACAGCAAAAACAAGACATATGCTAGCCCTGCTACTAATAACTACTATTGAAATCCTCTGTGTACTAAATATTTACCATAATTTATTAAAACATTGTCATAGCTCCATGAGATATTATAATCATCTGTTGACAGAGAAAAAAAGGTGAGATTCTCAGGGCATGTTTACTGAACAAAGGTTCCTCAGCTAGTTTATCCTTAAAGCTGAATCTAAACCCAGATTGTCTCTTTACTACTCTAGTGCTTCTACAGTATGCATCACTTACAATCAATAAATATAAAATATACAATGGGATGGTTCTCACCAATGTGCATAAAGTTATGTGGTGAACAAAAGTGTAGCAATGTGGTGTCTAGTTTGTTTTATGGTAGACAGGCCAGGATCTGCCATAAACATCTGACATTACACCAACAGTTTTAGTAATGTCATCCTGGAACCATTCTTCATATAAAATGTTAATTGTTAAATGATATATTAATATTTATGTCATTAGTCCCTTAATATACATGTTTATTATATGGCTACCTTTTTTTGAAAGTACTGTAAGAACTAGCATGTCAATATTCCCTCAGTACCTACCACAATACCAAGCACAAGAAAGATTCCTAATATATGCTGTTAGACCAAACTGAATTAAAGACAAAATATCTAAAATGAGACTCTTTCATCCATGCCAGCGGAAACAATTTTGCTTATGATATCACACAACAATCCTTAGTTAACTCTCTATAAGAAACAGATAATCATGGTATCAAAAATGTTTACATATTAGGTTTACATCAGTAGTAATTAGACTGGATTGAAGAAATATCTTTAACACTTTCTTTGCCATTTACCTTCTTAGACTTATTATCCAACTCAACTACAGAACAAGTCCCTAGGTACTATTGTTTAGGCCTGAAACTATATAAGGATTTTGCATTTTCTGGGACAGAGATTCAAGATGCAAGATCAATTATAAGACAAGAAAGTTCACTATGTGTAAACATTGGAGAGTTTTTTTAAAAAAAAAAAAGGACCTATACTCTGTGGGTAGGAACATAACGATGTCTGCTTGCCAGTTCTCCCTAAATATTTTTTTAATTTGACGGAGTACCAGTCAAAATTCATTCATTCACAAATGTGTATTGAGAGACTGCTGTTATCAGTCAGTATTCTGAATGTGAGATTTTTCAGGGAACAAAACTTCATTGAGTTCGTATTCCAGTGAGAATGGATAAACAATAAATATTAGTAGCAAAAGATTATAAATAAAATCTTGATGAAGGCAATGGATAGAAATAAAAAGGGGAAGCAAGAGTTCCTGGGGATGGGATCACTGAAGGTCTCCTGAGAATGTGACATTCTAGCAAAGACAAAGGACATGAAGGAGCAAGCTATGTTGATATTAGGAAAAATACTTTAAGGCTAAGGAAAGACCATTGCAAAGGCCTAACTTGGCAACATGTGTGGAATGTTTAAAAAAAGAAAAAAAGAAAAAGAAAGGCATAGCTTGGAGTACTGCAAAACCCACTTTATTGTTATTTGCTAAGAAAGAGAAAACTGTGGCAGAAACTGAGGAGTGTGTGTGTGTGTGTGTGTGTGTGTGTGTAGTGGGTGAGACTGGGAGTTTATGAATATGTTACGTTGTTTGGGCTATTCATTAGACATCCCAATGGAGATGTCAAGATACAATAGTAAATATAGATCTGAAGGTCAGGTCAGGAGAGAGAGGCCTGGGATATGGACATTTGAGAGTCATCGTCATTTAGATAGTTAAAGCAATGAGACTGTTGATATCAGCCAAGAAGAAAGTCTGTAAAAAGAAGAGATCTGAGGACACAGCCAGGGACTATTCTTATGTTTACAAAGAAAAATGAAGTAGAATTGGCAAGGGAGGTGGAAATAGGACACAAAGAAGTAGGAGGGAAAGGAGGAGCATACTGTGTCCTAGAAGCCAAGAGAAGAAAGTCTTCAAAGAGACAGGGAATAATCTATCATATATAGTGCTGCTGATAAAGTAAAAATGAACAACCAACCATTAAATTTAACAATCCGGCATCATTAGTGACCTTGGAAAAAGACGTTTTAATGAAATGGTACAAGTAAAAGTCTAATGGGAGTTAGATATTGAATTGAGGAGGGGGAACAAATTTAAGAAAAGGGAGTATGGACAACTTTTTATTTAAACATTTTGTATTTTGTTTTGGATTCAGAAGGTATATATGCATGTTTGTTAGATGAGTATATTACATACTGGTGGGGATAGAGCTTCCAGTGCAGGTATCACCCAAATACAGAACGTTGTACCCAACAGGAAATTTTTCAACCCCTTCCACTTTTGGAGTTCCTAGTGTCTATTATTTCCATCTTTGTGTCCATGTGGACACATTGTTTAGCTACCACCTATAAGTGAGAACATGTGGTATTTGATTTTCTGTTTTCTAGTTAGTTCACTTAGGATAAAAGACTCCAGCTCCACCTATATTGCTGCAAAGAACATGATTTTATTCTTTTTATGGTTACGTAAATACTCCAAGGTGTATATATACCGCATTTTCTTTATCCAGTCAATCGTTGACGGACACATAGGTTAGTTCCATGACTTTGGTATTGTCAGTAGTGCTGCAATGAATATACAAGTGCAGGTGTCTTTTTTATGTAATGATTTCTTTTCCATTGGGTAGATACTCAGTAGTGAGATTGCTATAGGTTGAGTGATATTTCTAGTTTTAGTTCTTTGAGAAATCTTCACACTGTTTTCCAGAGAGGTTGAACTAATTTACACTCGCACCAACAGTATTTAAGCATTCCCTTTTCTCTGCATCCTCACCAACATCTGTTGTTCTTTGACTTTTTAATAACGGCTATTCTGACTGGTATAAGATAACATCTCGTTGTGGTTTTAATTTTCATTTCTCCGATGTATATTGATGTTGAGCATTTTTTCATGGGCTTGTTGACTACTCATATTTCTTCTATTGAGAAATGTCTGTTCATGTCATTTGCCCAGTTTTTAGTGGTGGTGTTTGCTTTTTTGTTGTTTGAGTTCCTTGCAGATTTTGGATATTAGTCCTTTGTCAGAGGCATAATTTACAAATATTTTCTCCCATTCTGTAGGTTGCCTGTTTTCTTTGTTGATTATTTCTTTTGCTGTGCAGAGCTTTTTAGTTTCATTAAATCTCATTTGTCTGTTTTTGTTTTGGTTACATTTGCTTTTGGTGTCTTTACCATAAATTCCTTGCCTAGACCTATGTCCAAAAGAGTTTTTTCTAGTTTCTCTTCAAGGATTTTTTTTTTTTTTTTTTTTTTTTTGAGACGGAGTCTCACTCTGTCACCCAGGCTGGAGTGCAGTGGCGCGATCTTGGCTCACTGCAAGCTCCGCCTCCCGGGTTCGTGCCATTCTCCCACCTCAGCCTCCCAAGTAGCTGGGACTACAGGCGCCCGCCACCATGCCTGGCTAATTTTTTAGTGTTTTTTTTTAGTAGAGACTGGGTTTCATCATGTTAGTCAGGATGGTCTTGATCTCCTGACCTCGTGATCCACCCGCCTCGGCCTCCCAAAGTGCTGGGATTATAGGCGTGAGCCACCACACCTGGCCTCTTCAAGGATTTTTATAGATCCACATCTTACATTTAAATCTTTAATCCATCTTGAGTTAATCTTTTTATGCGGTGAGAGATGGGGGTCCATTTCCATTTGTCTGCATATGGTTAGCCACTTTTCCCAGCACCTTTTATTGAATAGTGTGTTCTTTCCCCATTGTTTATTTTTGTCAACTTTGTTGATGTTCAATTGGTTGTAGGTATGTGGCTTTATTTCTAGGTTCTCTATTCTTTTTCATGTACCTATGTGTCTATTTTTGTACCTGTACCATGCTGTTTTAGTTATTATAGCCTTATAGTATAATTTGAAGTCAGAGAGTGTGATACCTCTGGATTTGCTCTTTTTGCTTAGGAAAAATCCTGAGAATATAAGGAATGTGAGGGTGAGAGGAAGAAAGTGATTATAATAATGGGCTCTATCATTTAAGTTAGACAGAGATAGGGGTGAGAATATGTTAGGCAAGCCACAGAAAAAGATGATGGGTTCAGTAAGTTGTATATCCCAATGAGGTTGAAGAAGTTGTTGACATCAGATATTTGAGGTAATAAGCTGAAAAGTTATGAAAAGCTGGACAATGAGTTGGGTGTTTGATCTTGATATTAAAGATGTAATGCAGTTGGTGGTAATGACAAGGTCTATAGTGTTACTCCATAAAAATTGGCCATAGTTGGGTGAAGATCAAGAGATTTACAGACCACTATGTTGGAATATTTATCCATGTGGATATTAAAATTGTAAATAATTATTCACGAGTAGTAGAGAGAATGAGCAATGAGATAAGAGCTCAAATATTCAAGAAATGAAGGGGGATGGACTGGTGCTGAATGAGCCACAGTTGAATTAATATAGATACTGTGGTTTGGGGACATGCATTTTAAAACTGATGAGTTTTAGAGAGGAAGCGGGATAATTATTTAGAAATAACATTGAGGAGCATGGATGACTCTTACCTCCCAATCCTGTGGTACAAGAGCTTTGGGGAAAAGAGGCTTATCATTGCACCTGCAAAATAGGCGATTTCCCATTTTGTTCAATTCTCTTTTACAAGCACTTGAGAAAAGTAACTATTTTTGACCAGGATATTGCCAGGATAAGAGATAGATGTCAGGAAAACTTATCTGCCAACTATGTTTCAAACAAAGGAGAGAGAGGCCAAGAACAATGCTATTATACAAGTCCAGGTGAGAAGTCATAAGCATTCGAAAAGAAGAAGTGTCGTAGAGGGACAATTGGAGAAAAACCAAGAAAAAGACTATGAAAGAAAGGAATTTCAAGAAGGGAGTGAATATCATTAGATTCTGAGAAATCCCTAAAAACAATAAGGAGAGAATGCCTTATTTTGACCATACACAAACCAGAAAACTAAAGCACAAAGAAATAAAATGACTAATTAAGATCACAATACTGAGTACAACCTGATAGAGCTGGAATCAAAATTCAGCCTTCCTGACTTCCAGGCAGTGCTACAGAGGTGAAAGAAAACAGCCAGATCCCCACTGAATCCTGTAGATTCTGTTCTTCTTGATTTCATCATCTCTATTATTGTTGTTATAATTAATTGCCTGCTAATAAACCTGAGCTTGAATAAAACAGAAAATTATTTTTATTCTTTTTTGGCACAATATATATTTAGCATAAATTCAACAGAAGGCAAAAGAACACAGTGAAAAAAATGAAAGTGTAATCAGAGGGAAATGGTTACGCATGGTATTTTATTATTGGTTTTAGAATATCATTTTTATTTTACAAAACAATGATTTAAAAGTGTCTATCAATGCTTCTCACAATGAAGTAATTGAACTACTTTTGCTAGGATATTTTATTTGCCATTTTGCAGTTGTATTTGTGTTTATTGTGGGGCAGTGGGGGGGTCATGCTTACTGCATGACTGAGCAAATGAGAGAGTCATAAGTAAGTGCTGAGGAGGCTTAGGGACTCTGTTTGTGCATTACCCATGTCATAGTGACAGCCGAGGCACTCACTGAGCACACCCAGTGGCAAGGTAGACAATTAAAGCCTCCACTTATAAATCAGAAGATTAAGAGCAAATATGCCCACACCTTCCCTGTGAAACCTGATCAAAACAGAACATCCTCTTTCACAGCATAAACAGACCTCGCTAAGTTTGTGGTGCAGGCAGCCTTAGAGAAGGAAGCCCTCTACTGCATTATCTGTCCTTTCTGCCTCCACCCACACTATGCCCCTCAGAGGTGGGAAGAGCAGTGGCTAACCACATGAACAATTAACTGTGGAGAAATATGCTCTGCCTTACTTCTGGTTTAGGTGGCAGAGTGTGATTTGCGGTTTAGATAGTTACCTTCCCATAACAAATATGGTGCTTATCATCTGCCAAACATCATCCTTTCAGCCAGTTCATCAAGCATCCAGGAAGTGTAGCTATCTCAGGAAAGCAGCTAAAATTATTTATTCCTGTTCAGAGGAGGGTTTAATTGGCATTTTGAAGAAGTGAGGGCAATAATGAAGCTAAATAATTCCAAGTAACTATTGTCCTAATTGCATAAATAGACATCTTAATCATTAGACTGCTGAAAACTTCCTTGTAAAAGTTGCCAACATTCTAGCCATTGCAAGTGCATTGTTATACACACATACGTCTTATATAGGTATTCTATGCATGCTTGTAGAAATCGACTCATGCGTATATATATGCATCACATGCACATATATATGCATCACATGCATATTTATGCATCACATGCATATATGTATATGTGTGCATCACATGCATATGTGTGTGTATGTGTATCACATGCATATATATGTATATGTGTGCATCACATGCATATATATATATGCATCACATGCATATATATATATGCATCACATGCATATATATATATATGCATCACATGCATATATATATGCATCACATGCATATATATATGCATCACATGCATATATATATGCATCACATGCATATATATATGCATCACATGCATGTATATATATGCATCACATGCATGTATATATATGCATCACATGCATGTATATATATGCATCACATGCATATATATATGCATCACATGCATATATATATGCATCACATGCATATATATATGCATCACATGCATATATATGCATCACATGCATATATATGCATCACATGCATATATATATATGCATCACATGCATATATATATATGCATCACATGCATATATATATATGCATCACATGCATATATATATATGCATGTGCAGGAGTAGATTTCTTATCTTTCAGCAAAATTATTTTACAGTGACTTCTGTGTATAACTGTCATCTTTATTCTTACAGAGGCTGGCATTGAAGTTTATCTCTTTATTAATCTTTCATTCACTCATTGTACATTTAATTATTACAAATCTATATAGCTTTGTATTAAGCATATTGGGTATGTAGCTATGATTTATGGCTCAATTTTTGTTCTATATTTTCTTATACCCCCATGTGCTGATTTACACAAGTAAATAGACCACTGCAATATAAAGTGCAAAATGCTTAAATCAGGATGCTGTAATAACATAGAGGAAAATTGCCAAACTGATCCTGCCTTGAAGGAAGTTTTCTTCTTACAGTTAGCTGAGCTCTGAAGGATGACACAAATTAGGTCACTGTCCCTAATACGAAATAATATTACTCTGTCCCTAAGGCTTCAATGGCCTTGTAATTCTGAATCATCATTTTATGCTGCTTCATTTTCTGGGATTACACGAGAAAAATGAGGAAATGGATAAACAACTTAATTGAGGTGTCATAAAGTGAGCTTGAATTCAACTTATTGAGGAACATCCAGTGTTCCTATGCTATTTCACCAGTGATCAAATTTTGAGTAGGTAACCAGTTTCTTATCTGGCTGAGTCCTTCATGCTGCCTGTGAGCACTTCTTTGATGTATTGGTGTCTAGCTGCCTGACATATGGTGGCTCTGTGGCTTACTCTTGCAGGCTGTAATGAGGCTTCAGTGAATGTTTTAGGGATGCTATTAAATGTCTCTTCATCTTTACTTTAAAAAATCATTATTATTAATTTATGCATTTATTCAAAAGACACTTTTTAAGCTTCATCTATGTGTCAAAGGCTCAATACATTTTTTAATGTTTTCTCACATATATTTCAGCAATAGTAATTATCTATTCAAAAATGGGGAAGACATTTAAATTTTTAATAATCATTTACTTGAGTTCCCTTTCCATTTGTATACTTTACGTGTCAGAAAATTATTTTCCATGGCCATCCTGCATTTCTGCACATCTTATGAGTGGAGACACAGAGTGCCTTTGTTCCCAACTATCTTTGCAAGGATGATTGTATGGCAAACAGCCCTAAAAGACAGGTAGGGCATTGTGGCTCACGCCTGTAATCCTGGCACTTTGGGAGGCAGAGGTGGGCAGATCACTCAAGGTCAGGAGTTCGAGACCCTTCTGGCCAACATGGTGAAACCCTGTCTCTACTAAAAATACAAAAATTAGCCAGGTGTGGTGGCAGGTGCCTGTAATCCCAGCTACTCAGGAGACTGAGGTGGGAGAATTGCTTGAACTGGAAGGCGGAGGTTGCAGTGAGCTGAGATCCCGCCACTGCATCCCAGCCTGGGTGACAGAGTGAGACTCCATCTCAAAAAAAAATTTTTTTTAAAGTATGTAAGGTTGGGTCTCCCTCTGGAGCGGAAGGAGGTTTGTTTACTGTCCAGATTTAAAAAAAAAAAAAAATCCTTCTGGGGCAAAGGTCAAACTGACTTATTGTGCTTTATAAAAGATCCGTTTTGCCTAAGTTCAGGGTCGTTTTGCTATAATGCTATCCACTATGCAGACAGGCATCACTTTGTCCTCTTTGCATTTCCTTGTGGAAATATATGTTCAAGGAACTGGCACAAATATGAATCCTCCGGCTACTGCTATTTCCATGAGCAATAAAACCATTTGTCTCTAACCCTGGAGCCTCTTGTCTATGTCAGCATCTATAACTAGCACTTTCCTACTAGCTTTCAAGTCAGATGAACCTTCAGACCCTTACCAGCTCTTGATATAATGTCCTTTTAAATAGCTTTTCTTCTGTCATCATCTCCCTTATGGCAAACATAAATACATAAATTGATAACTCTTTAAAAATAAAACCACCTAACATTATTTTTATTTTTTTTTAATTTTTTTTATTTTTTTATTTTTATTTTTATTTTTATTTTTTATTATACTTTAAGTTTTAGGGTACATGTGCACATTGTGCAGGTTAGTTACATATTATATCTGTATTTTTGTGACAGAGTATTGAGTACCTGATGACAACTCTAGAAGGTTGTCTCTCTCTAACTCAAGCAGCATTTCCTAAGGAGTGGTTTTTAAACTAAGCTCTACAGGGTGGGCCATTCAGTGGGATTGTGACAAACTTGAAGTGTTTGCTTCTTCCGCTTCAAACAGAGCAGCTCCACTCTTAGATGTTCTGAATATTACAGGTCTGCCTAAAGTTTTAGACAATAAATAAATAAATGAAAACTTAAATGAATTAATAAAATGATACATAAATATAATTTTTAAAGCACTGCACTAGATTATGCATTTACAGGATTTGTAGACTAGTAGAGGAACAGTTAACTGGTTAAGTGTTTGTGCTTTATTTTCCTTCACCTTTGTTAACTTAAAATGTGAATCTAGTTGAGTAAATTAAGCTATTTGGACATAATTATGGTTTATTTTCTACATATTTAAAATTAAATTGTTACAATGTCAGTGAGCTGAGGTTTTCAATTTGTTCTTTGTTTTTTTTAAAAAAAAATCTGTTGAATCTATTGAGACTTTTTAGTGCCTCATTAAAAAGGAACAAGTTAATGCCACATATATTAGTTGATGATTGTGGGATGCACAGCAAGACATAATCTTGTAGCAAAAGCATGTGCTAATAAAAGAAAGACCCGTCACATATGTTATTAATTGCCTCTAGAAAGATGAGCATCATGGATTATGTATTAAAAAAGAAAGAAAGAAAAGTCCAGGTCAATTTGTTGTTTTTTTTGTTGTGCTTTCTGCAGTAACCTGCTTTAGCTCTGTTTGGGTTAGCCTTAGATGATAAAAGGAATCAACGCTCCGCTACTTCCCAGTCCTGCTCAATTCAGGGGGAAAGAGATACAGATCCTTAAGGCACAGTGAAGTCTATGATGGGAATGCATCAGAAAGCTCCTTTTTCTATGTGCAATGGTGACAGGTTTTTTTTTAGCTTTTTTTGGTGGTTGTTTCATTTCGGTGAGTTGAGAGAGTTCATAAATTTCTGTAGGCAAAAGTGCTCCTTTGTGAAACATAATTCGGAAAAAAAAAATGGTGTAGCTTTATATCTGCTGGAAATTTATGTTAACCTTTTAAAATGAGAAAACAGAACATGAAGCGTTGTGTAAATAATTTAATTGGAAATCTCAGTTTTGTGTTTTTTTAGTTAACACCTTTTATTCTGGATTTTCCTCTACAAATTCAGGTATTAAAATTATTCACCATTATGAGCTAGTGAAGTTATTTATCTCCATGGGACCTAAGTAAGAAATCAGGAAGATAATTACTCACCTTCTCAGAGTGAAAATATAATTATTGTTTGTATGCCACCAAGATAAAAGCATGGCAATAATGATTACAAAAACATATACAATAGAGATCTCAAAATTGCGACCTGACAAGATTTGGGGACCTTTCCTCTCCTCACATGATGTCCCCTGGGCTCTAAAGCTTGCTTTTGTCTCTGGTGTTTGAAATTTAGGTTAATTATATTAAGTAGGGTTAAGTCAGAAAAATAAAATGAATATGAATAACAGCAGTATATTTCCGACTATCCTGGCACAATTTTCTGAATATTTATGCCTTTTTTAGGCACTAGTTTTTTATACTAGGAAACAAAAAAAAAAACTGAGGTTTGAAATCTAGCAGAAATTTTACCCCTGAAGCTAACTTGTACCAGATTAATAAAATTTCCAGACTTATACTGGGGAGGCCGGGTTCCGGTGGGTCAAACCTATAATCCCAGCACTTTGGGAGGCCAAGGCAGGCAGATTGTTATTCCAAAAGTAATTATACACAATTATTATAAAAACTTAAATATATAATGTAAATACTCCCGAATCAAAAAAATAAAATCTAAATCTGAAACACTCCTGGTCCTAAGCATTTTGGATAAGGGATTGTCAACCTGTATTCACCCATTTGAGCTTTCTAGCAACACAATGAAACAGGTATATAGTTATCTTTCATTTTATAGGTGAGGAAACTAAGGCATAGATTGATCAAGTTATTTGCCCAAAGTCACACAGTTAATGGAAGCAAGAATGAAGGTTTGATCTGAGTCAGTCTAGCTCTAAAGTCCACACTCTTATTTTCTGGCATTTTATTGTCCTTCAAGTAGCAAACAAGAAGAAAAAACAGAGAGAGAGAGAGAAAGCCCATTTAAATATTTCAAAGCTGCCTGGAATATTTTGTGAAATAAAGGAAATGAATTTTACTTATTAATTTTGGCACAAAACATCAGAAATTAGAACATACATTCCTACATTTAAAGTTTAACATAAAGAGGCTGGGCGTGGTGGCTCACGCCTGTAATCCCAGCACTTTGGGAGGCCAAGGCGGGTGGATCACGAGGTCAGGAGATCGAGACCATCCTGGCTAACACGGTGAAACCCTGTCTCTACTAAAAATACAAAAAAAAAAAAAAAATTAGCCGGGCATGGTGGTGGGTGTTTATAGTCCCAGCTACTCGGGAGGCTGAGACAGGAGAATGGTGTGAACCCGGGCGGCGGAGCTTGCAGTGAGCCGAAACAGTGCCACTGCACTCCAGCCTGGGCAACAGAGTGAGATTCCATCTCAAAAAAAAAAAAAAAAGAAAAAAGAAAATAAATAAACGAAGTTTAACATAAATAGTATGTGCATTTATTATTGAGATTTTTTTTTTTTAATCTGCAGGTAGTGATTTGGCAGTAATCACTTGGGAACATTTGCTAGAAAAATATATGCTGAGGTGGATTAAGAGGGTGTGACAGTGGTCAGAGCCACCAGCTAAGGAGTAAATGGCTTCTGGTCTGTAAAATATGTCAGAAAAGGGAAATAGGATCGAGTCATGATTCTCACTGCTTATGACAGAAGAGCAAACCACTTAAGCAGGAGATGTTCAGGCAATGAGACTATAATCTGAGAAATTTAATCAGAGTCTCTTTTTTTCTCAGTCTCATCTATTGTCTTTACTTCTTTTCTCCCCCCATGTAAGATATATTTATTGAATATGTTTGGCTGTACTACATGGTGATGGGACTATACCAAAGAATATGAAATTTTCCCTGCTCTCATTGCATTTAAAATTTAGTGTAAATGCTTTTAAAATTACCTTATTACATAGTCATCAAGGATGAGGCTTCTGGACTCCCACTGACTGGGTTTAAGTCCTGGCTCCAGGACTATGACTTGTGTGACCCTAAATAAGATATTAACCTTTCAGTTTCCTCATCTCAAGAGTGGAGATGAAAAGAATATCTACTTTGTAGGATTGTTAATGGATTAAATGGTCTGATACTTAACAAAGTACCTAATACAGTGCCTGGCGCATAGTGAGGACTCTGTAAATATGAGTTGTTATTTTAATGTAATATATGTGATAAACTACTGTGGTCCCTAGAACATAACATTTCATTTAAGTTCTGTTTTCCTTCTTTCTATATGCCATTCCCTGACTACTCATTTAATTCCAGTTTGCTATTGAAATCCAGCTCAAAAATCCACCCAAAGCTCAAATAGCTCTTGTATACCTACCATGCAATAATAATCGATATAATTTATTGTACACATTGATTTACTTAGACACAGGCTTACACTCACAGGGATTGTATTGAATGTATTTGAATCCTCAGCATCTAGTAAAGTATCTGGCACTAGTGTAGAAATTAAGGAACAACAGCAAAACAGTGCTTGCTGCACACAAGATGATAGGGACATAAGAGAGATGCTATGATCTCCAAGAAGAGGACCTCTGGCTGCCAACCAAAAAACCTTCAGAGGGGTTGTCTTGATAAATTTCCAACTGTTTTTCTGATTCTTAGCCTTATAGGCTTAGAAAATGATTTGGCTGCACATCAATAGTTGATTTCTTTCTCTGGAGTAGTCTCCAACCTCATTAAACAGATATAGGAAACCTCACTGCAATTTATCAGTTAACAGTGAGAAATAACTCTTATGCAAACAAGAATACTCAAAATGCAAATAATCAGTATTTTCTTTTGCTAAAGACAAAAGTGCAGAAGGAATAAAAAGATGCCAGAACATTGATTTGGGAATATGGAACTCAAAGCAGGGGCATTAAGTTGTCTAAAATGTGTTGAAATTATATTTTCTTCAAAGTAGTGATGGATTTGCCAATCACACCAGAATTCTATAAGGGCTGCCTTTGAGATTTGCTTTATATTTTGTTTCCATGTCTAATAAGACTATTCCCTCTCTACCCTGTGCCTGTGTTTCATTTGACTTCTTTTCTTTAGTATATTCACTTATGTAGTCAGGTTACCTTCAATTCTATGGCTCTGAGGGCCATTTCATCTTTACTCCATGGTGTATATGTTGATAATTTTTTAAATTATTATACTTTAAGTTCTAGGATAAATCTGCAGAATGTACAGGTTTGTTACATAGGTATACACGTGTCATGGGGTTTGTTGCACCCAACATAGGTTAATAGTTTTAAAGCGCAGACATCCTATTTTCACAATTTTTAAGTCAGTACTTTCCTATAGTCCTTTTGTAACATCAGCCAAGAATAAGCATTGATTCTTATAGAATGAACAAAACACACTTTATATCATTGTGAAATAAGAGACCAATAGGCAAAGGAACATTAAATGGAAATAAAAGAAGGGATAGATACTTGAGTTATTGCCCCTAAGAAGACTGACTTGACCAGAGTCTGTACCTATTTGAATGTGGGACCAAATAAGGGAAGAGTTATAAAATTTGGAGTCTCACTAAAGAAAGAGCACAGTGTAGAAGAAGAAAATAAAGGACTAAAGATGTTGACTTCAAAATTTAGTGTTTATATGCACATGTTGGTGAAACAGCCAAATTGATTTTCTTGGTGTAGATAAGGGTTTTCTACAGACCTTGGAATACAACTCTCCAGCCTCTTGTAGCACTCTCTTCGTAAGTACATATTCTAGGACAATACTTCTCAAACTTTCATGTTCATGTGCATCACTTGGGCATCTTGTTAAAATGCAAATTCTGATTCAGCAGGATAGGAATAGGATCTGAAAGTCTACGTCTCTAACAGGTTCTGGGTGATAATTATGCTGGTGCTGCTGGTCCCTGAACACCCTCTGAGTAGCAAACTCTGGGACACTTGCCTCTTTTCTTTTCTTTAGAAACAAAATTCTTTGCCAGTTCAGGACATTTACTCTAGTAATTTTGCATATCTGGAGTACATTTTCCCAGTTTCTTTGAGTGATTGGCTCCATCTCATTCTAGATTTCAATAGAAAATTCCCATAAAAACCCCCTTTTTGATCTCATCTAAAAATGTCCCCTCTCCTCCCCAATCATACATCTATTAATTACTTTCAATCATATCTACCTCTTTCTTTTCTTACAGTCATTATCACAATGTGTAATATTTTTATTTATATGATTATGTAATTATTGTCTGTTTCCTACTAAAATCTCAGTTTCTAAAGGTAGAGAATATATCACTTTTGATAATTCCATTCAATAAATATATGTTGATTAAATAATAAGCTTACAAAAACACAAGTGAAAGTTGGAAATGGGGGTCCAGAGCTCAAGAGAGGTTTCTGGGTTAGAATGTATAACATTTGAAGATGTTGAAATAGAAAATTCTAGCCAGGAGAATTTGGGTAGGAATATAAGAGGATGAAGGACAAAAGCTTAGGGAACATCTGACATTTTCATTCTATTTTTCAAAAACACCTCTTCATCTTTAGAAAATGTGTTCCTCATGCATGAAGCCTGGTGTTGCTCTTGGCTTTGACTTTATTATCATCAAGGATCTTTTAGGTATTCTGCTTCTGAAAGACTATCTTTCCTTATCTCTCACCAAGGAAAAATGCTATATGCCTTTTTAGTTTGGAAGTGAGAATTCTATAGAAGTTCCCCCCAAACACAAAAGGTCTTTCTGTCTTCCTTCAATTACATTTGCATTTTCTGTACTTTTTTTGTACATTAACAGAAGTCTCCATCCTCTCCTCTTCTCTGCTTATTCTATTGCACTTATCTAATCCTAGGATTTTAGTAACTGTTTTTTGTTGTTAATGCTGCACCAGTATTTTTTTTACAAGCTGCCTCATGCTAGTTACACAATTTTTTGGTTGAGATGCTTTATTATAGTTTAAGGCAATTGCCACACATTCATCTCCCTCCCCCCGTCTCTCTAGGTACCTCTATCTGTCTATATCTATCTATCTATATCTATCTATCTATCTATCTATCTATCTATCTATCTATCTATCTATGTCTATTAAGAGATATATCTATATATCTATCTATATCTACCTATATATCTATCTATACCTATCTCTATATCAATATATATTTATCTAGATATATATATTGAGAGATAGATCTATAGATTCATATCTATAGATATATAGATCTATTTATAGATCTACATATTTATAGATCTATCTCTCTAGATATAAATATCCAATTACTTCAATTTAGTATATACATTAAAATATATATATCTATATATAGATACCACAGGGGCACACTATCATACCAGGCTATTTTTTTTTTTAGCTAGGTATGGTAGTGTGTCCTGTAGTATCTATTTATCTTTATATATAGAGAGATAGATACATAAATATATATATTTATATATATATTAGATAGCTAGATAAAATATATATATTAGAGACGGGTCTCATTTTGTTGCCCAGGTTGGTCTCAAACTCCTGGGCTCCAGTAATACTCCTGCCTTGGCCTCCCAAAGTGCTGGGATTACAAATGTGAGCCAGTGCACCTGCACCCCCCCAATATATTTTCTTTGCAATAATTACATATAATAAGCCATATATGGGATCATTATATTGTGTACATTATAAAAACATACATAAATTGGAAGCTCAAAAAAGTGAGGTAAAGCTGAAAACAAATATTTTTAAATGCTGTCTATGGTGATGACTTTATACAATCATCAGTTATCACAAGGCCCAAAGCACCTAGATGTCAAGGCCCACTGCTGATGATAGAGGACAGGAAACATCTTTCAAATAGTAATTTTGAGAATTTTGTTATTATTTGTGGCTCTTTTTAAGATCTGACTATATGATCACTATTTTGTACCTATAATGTTCCTAATAAAGATCTTGTTATTCCTTTTTCCTATGAGTTGTACCTTGTATTACTTTATTTTTTATTTTTGGTTGATGGTGTCTTTTAAGGCAGCCTTAAAACACTGGTCCATAACAAATGATACAGGGTTAATTTATTAAACTACATTAAATCTTAAAATCCATTTTACAGGACCTATCTAAATGAAGGAAGGTTGAGACATGCTAAAGGTGAATGACTGAGTGAGGTGGTCACCCATCCATCCTCACCAAATGCATACTTTCCCTTCAAGGAACCTCCCATGGTGTGTATGGCTGATTGAGGATGCTGACACCAGCCATTGTATACCAAAGTTTAGTTAAGCTTAGTTTTCTTTATAGTTACATGCATGTAAATACACATATTGTTTTTTCCTTCTAAGTCTTACACACTGCCTCATTTGCTTATTCTATTTTGGAGACCACTAATTTAAATGGAATACTTTTCACAATTTATCCTAAAATGTCACCATCTGCAGAGGGAAGAAATGCATGTTCCTGAATAGTGGACAATTAGCTTTAAGTGTCCCCCTTTAGTCTCTAAATTTTCTTTTGAAGTATTTTTGGTATGTCCTTAAAAGTAAAACAGCTTTGGTATCCATTCATTTATCAGTTTTTAAAGTACTGGTTTCAATTACTAACCATTTCTAAAATGGATGCCACATATATTCTCTGGCTTGGGCTGCCTCCTGGTATTTCCTTGTTATTTAAGCTTGAAACCAAGTTGAAGGACAATATGGACTGAAGATAAAAGAGATCTCATTGAATGTGTTCAGGATATTTGAAAGTAAGCAGCTCTGTGATGATCATTTTTGAAGACCTGGTGAACCGGACAAAATCTGTGACCTGACTAGGTCCCAAGAGACTTTGAACTAGGGACTTGGGGCCTTTCATTAAATGTTACTAGGAACAAGGGGAAGGAGAAGCCAGTGACAGAGTTCTTGTTTTACCTTTGTTTCCAGGACCTCTCAGAGGTAAGAGAGGCTGGGGACACTTTCATTTTAAAAGTTAATTTATTTTGACTACAAAGAAGAATAAAGAAATGGCCAAATATAGTCATAAATTATAATACATTTTAAACTAAAAAAGGAAACAGCTCATATTTATGTGACACTAGAGATATATTTATTTTATAATTATTATATTTGCTTAATATCAGAATCCCTTCCCCTTTCTTTCTAGAAAAAAATTTAACAGGAATTTGATCCTCAGGTCCCAGGGCATGAGTTACTCTGGGGGGTGGTCTCTCAGAAGGCCACTTAAGCTGGATCATTCTAAAAACTTACAGTTCCCTGAGCTACGCCACTGATGGTTTGAGCACCTCTAACAATCAACCATCAACTCCTTTGCTCAGAAACCAGTTTCCAGACACAATTTATAAAGCCTAGTAAATCAGGAATTTCTTTATCTTACACCATATGAGGAGCTATTTTCTTATCCCACTATTTTAATATCCTGGGGAGATGGTCAGTAATCACAGTGCATGTGATTCAAAGACATGTTTGTCACTTCATGCACCAAGCAAAGATCTATGAATACCAATTTGCTATTTTGTGATAGACTTATTGAATGCCCTTAGCTTTGATGCAGGCTAGGGCAAGAAACGGGCTCAAAGAGGTGTTATATTGTCTGAATATTTATCATCAGTGATCTGTGATTGTGTTGTTAGAGTTAGCAAAAAAATACAAGACACCCAGTTACATTTGAGTATCAGATAAACAATAAATAATTTTTAGAACAAGTATGCCCCATGCAACATTTGAGTCATACTTACACTAAAAAATTTTCTTTGAAGTTTAAATTTAACTAGGCATCTTGTATTTTATCTGGCCGTCCTATCTGTATGCTTCAGGAAAAATATATTGTAACCATAATATCCTTCTAAAATCTCTAGTGTTGGCACTCAGTACTCTTCACACATTGTACAATATCTGATCAGTTTTTCATAGCAATTATTAAGACTCCTTAATAAAGAGATGGGTCTCCTACTGGAACTTTTCAACTTAAAAGACAATAAAGAATTCAGTTCAGAACCCTAAATGGCTGAGTAATTATGAGCCCTTGTTTCTTCATATGTAGAGGGCAAAAAAAAAAAAAAATACATCCGTAGGTAATTCTTGCTTGTTTAATATGGATCAACAATAATTGAGTTAAATGTAATCTCTCTCTCTCTCTCTCTCTCTCTCTCATATATATATATACACACACATATACACATATATATATATCTCAAATAGTTATAAATAAATTATTATTTGTTGTATTAGTTTATTTCCAATGGTGAGAAACTGTACAGGCAGGAACAAATGTTAACAAAGGGAGCAACTCCCGTGCATCTGAGACATAAGCCACAGTATGAGACACAAGTGCCATGGGCCTTTTTTCTGCAAACCTGTCTCCTAGGTGCTCTTACATATATTTCATCTCCTCTGAAATGTAAAACCACATGTATGAAATAAATATATTATTTGAGACAAGGTCTCACTCTGTTGCCCAGGTTGGAGTGCAGTGGCCTGATAATGGCTCACTGTAGCCTTGACCTTGTGGGCTCAGGTGATCCTCCTACCTCAGCCTCCTGAGTAGCTGGGACTACAGACATGCACCAGTGCACCACACGCCCTGATAATTTTTTGTATTTTTTGTAGAGATGAGGTTTCATCATGTTGCCCAGGCTAGTCTCGAACTCCTAGGTTCAAGCAATCCACCTACCTCAGCCTCCCAAAATGCTGGGATTACAGGTATAAGCCACTGCCCCCAGCTAATAATTTGTTAAAATTTTAATGTGGTGTCAACATTAAAATTTTAAAGTGAGAGGAAAAAGAAAACCCATGAGGAAAAGTGAGCCAACAGTGCTCTTCAACAGGCTCTGTGAGAGGTTCTGAGGAATAAATCAAAATAAAAAGATAACATTTAAACAATTTCACAGAATTATGAAACTTAAATATCGGGTAAATTATTTAGACATTTGTAATCCCTCTCCTAATATCATAGCTGCCTACCTGACTCAAGTAGTACACCTTTGCCTGAAGGCAGGCATTTAGATTCAATAGCTTAGAAGGTTCTATCTTCCCTGGACCCTGGAGATTTCAGGCTGTCTAAAGACTTTATGATAGCTTTCCATAATGTAAGTTAGAATTTCTATGTCATCTTTGCTTTGGCAAAAAGAGGTTAAAGTAATTCACTGGCCCAATTATTACCCCCAAATCCCAGAGACACAATCCTGTGTTTATTTCTATGACAAATGCTTTTTATGATTATGAACTTTTTAAAAAGACTTTCAAAATAAGACATCCAAAAATTTCCATTAATCTCTGCTCTGTGAAGTACTGTATTTCTCCAAATTAAAATGAGAAGTGAGTCTCTTGCCCTTTAGAAAAGGAAAATAAATCAGTAAGTAGAAGCTGATGCTGCAAACACTAGCTACCATTCACTATTTATGTAGCTTTCTTCATGAAGTGACAAAGAACTTTATGATTTTATTTGTAGTTTTCACTAGGGTAGCCTCATAATCAAAATATTTTATCTTTGTGGCACTTTCTTCTTGAAGGAATGACAGTTGAGAAACATTAGACTACCGTGTCTGCTCATGTACAACAGGTAGAATTCAGGCTGCTGTCAGATTTAATAAATAGTATCCATCTACATGACTTTGACTGTTATTATTAAGGTTATGGGCCCAAGTAAAGTTCATAGGGTATGTTTCTGTTATTGAATCTGTCCATACATTCCTGGATAGTATTTCCTACATTCCATATATTTCTTTTCTTTTCTGTAGCCTGATCCCAACCAGATTGGCTCTAGTTAGTTTATACCTCTCTTCCTCTTTCCACTATTATACATTCAATTATTTTGTAGATGAACTACCTCAAGGTCTGGAAACATGTCATAATTACTTCTCCTCCAGTGCATGGCAAACAGCCTCATGCGGAGTGGGTGCCAAATCCACATTTGTTGGATAATTTTTTTTTTTCTTTTGAGATGGAGTCTCGCTCTTGTTGCCCAGGCTGGAGTGCAGTGGTGCTATTTTGGCTCACTGCAACCTCTGCCTCCCAGGTTCAAGCGATTCTCCTGCCTCAGCCTCCTGAGTAGCTGGGATTACAGGCACCTGCCACCATGCCTAATTTTTGTTCTTTTAGTGGAGACGGGGTTTTGCCATGTTGGCCAGGCTGATCTTGAACTCCTAAACTCAGATAATCCGCCCGCCTCGGCCTCCCAAAGTGCTGGGATTACAGGCATGAGCCACCATGCCCGGCCTTGTTGGATAATTTTATTCTCTGTACTTGACAATGTGAATTGAATTCTGTGTTTAAATGTGCACCTGGATGTGATGAGATCATGAATGGATGAAGCTATGGTAATTTCCAGCTCCCATGTCTTTTCTCTACTGTCATCTGTAATGATGCTGGTTTACCAATCTCCTCAGACCTTTATCCCTATTCCTAATTTAATCCTCTTTAAAAGTACTTCTGTCTTCCTTAGGTGATTCCCTGAGTGTGGAATAATGGGTACTCAACTGACATGGGTATGAACGCAATCCCTGAGGCAGGAGTTCAGGTGGAAACCCATGAGATATATGTCAAATATTTAAGTTTTAAATAAAGCTCATACATTTTTAAATAAATGTGCTCCATATACTTTCATTGAAAAAAATCACTATGCAATAAATTATTTTTAGAAAGTATATAGCTATGTTTTTAAGTATAAATTGATAAAAATTTATGAATATGTTAATTACTGCTGTTAATATCTATGTCTTGATAATGGACCAACAATAGTTGGCAGAATCATGCAATAAAACCTTCCTACTTCATATATTATTATATATGTATTCCATAAAAGCTATTTTCTTTCTTTCACTTCAGCAAAATATTTACAGTCAATATATTGCATAATTTTTATGTAGTAATAGTAATAATTTAAAGGATTAAAAGAATAATATATAACTGTATTAGAAATATAGAGAATTGAAATCTATTATCATAAGACTCCTAAAGTAAACATAAAATAATAAAAATTATATTTATATTACTTTTAAAGTTATTTTTCTAAATATTCAAATTTATAATTAGAAGGCAATTATAAATTATACTTGAATATCAAAATTTGAAAGGAAAATTATTTTAAGAATAACATTTAAAAATTATTTTCTGAAAAGTTATTTAAATATCATAAAATAATTTTATAAAAATAAAAGTATTTTTAATTCTATATCTGGTTGCTAATGTATTGATCAGCATTAGGGTTCATGCATGTTATATCTCAACCTCTCTCTCTCTCTCTCTGCATATGTATGTAAATTTAAGAGTAAGAATATGGATTTTTGAAAGTATTTAGTTAATAAAATTTTACATAGGAAATGCTTATATCATATGGAAATTTGTTAAATTTATAAATATCATATACTTGTATAATTTATAAATTTGTGAATATAGCAAAACTTTTTCTTAGCCATCATGGGCAGCTGTTACAAATGCTTGCTAATTAGATGTTACCTTAGGTATCATGAATTGGAACCTAAAGAAAAGCAAAATTTCTAAATAGCTCCCATATTAAATCTTTCAATGTATGCAAGTTACATTGCCTTTTACCCTTAACTTTGGATTATAAAAGCTACACACACACACACACACACACACACACACGCCTCTAAATCCTTTCTTTAACAAATGATTTTTGAATTATCAAAGCACAAATATTCATTGTATAAATTTAAACAACATATATGTAAAGTAAAATGTGACTTTTTTTCAGTAATCTTACCCCCTTCCATAGTCCACTTTCCTAGTAATTATCGTTTGCAGTTTGATATAACACTTTTCAGATATTTGCATTAGTGTGTATGTAACACACAAGCACGTGCACACATACACAAACTATTTTCACTGTAGCAAATGATACTTTACATATAAGCCTTTGGAATTTGCCTTTCTCCTTAAAGAATATATCATGAGCACCTTTCCAGATTAGTACATAGAGGCCTCCTTCTTTGTTTATAATGTAAAATTGATTTATTTTTTATCCCATGAAGGATGTTTAGATTGTTTTCACTTTTTTATAAATAAGTAATTTTGCCATGAAAGCTGTAGTTATACAAATGTTATATATAATTAGCTTGTATTACTAGGGACAGCTATACTAGTTGGCAGCCATGCTGATGTTCTGAGCACCCTCAAACCCAGGAATTCCCTCTTATTGCCTCAGTTGCCCCAGTTTGTTCCCCAGGACACTGCATGCTTCCCCTCAATAGGCAATCTCTAGGACCCTTTTCCAATGTATGCAAGTTACACAAAATCTTAAGAAACATTTGTCTTCATAGTGTCTCTTTCACGATTGCCTTAAAGATGAGTTTTCCTTCTAAAATTCAAGAAATCTTACATTCTTTACTGTTCATGATTTAATTAATGATTCAATACTTAATATTGTTTTGCTGTGGGAGCTGGTTGCCCTTTGCTAGTTGTAATTTCTCAGAGGACAGATATTTTAGATGTCTCTGTATTACTCAGTGCTTCACAAATGAAACTACTCACAGTCATATCCAGGCCTAGTCCTGAACATTTCATGGGTGGAGAAGGGGCCTCCAGGTAGCATTCAGAATAAACTTACCTAATTACTCTGCAATTGCTGGTACAAAATAATTACACTGTAATTGCTGGTACAAAAAAACTGACTTTGGATGATACACAGATAATGGTACCCATAATTTAGTTTTTAATTCTACGTGAACCACAAACTACTGAAGATGGTTTATTTTGGTGGCTTAGGGAAAGAGTCCTTCAACTAGGTTAAGGGAGAGTCCCCTACATTCCTTCTCACCATCCAAGAGAGAAATGGATTCACATACACTAGTGCTGCTGGATTTAAGGTCATGCACTGAGTTTTAGCCTAAATTCCAAAAGAACAAAGAGATGAGTCAGGGTTAAATCTGGAAAGGAACTGAATGTTCCCCAAATCCTGAGTTAGAAAAGCCTTTCTGGCAGGACAAGATGCTGCACTTCTTCCAGAGTCTTTCGAATCCCTAAAACCCAGACAACCCAAAAGCAATAATACCTCTTTGATGGACTAGCTGGGCACAGATTCAGTCTACTGACTGTCTAAGCACAGATCAAAATCAGAACAATGACAGATTCATATGCATGAGCAAATATCCTTTTTATCATAGCAAAGCCATGTTCTCCTGTTGCTTATCTCCACTGCTACTTACCTACCCTTTTTGGCTGCGCACCAGACTAAAAAAGCTAGTGTTATAGAGAAGCTGGTATTCGGAAAGTGTCTGTCAAAAGTGTGTGTAACTACAAGGCCCTTGGAATAATTCTTCCAAAGGAAGTTAAGAAGAAGCAGTGCAAGTCAAGGGAGCAGAGGGCTTCTTGTTTCCTGACAAAGTGGCTGGAAGGGGAAAGTGAGAAACATAGGAAAGAAAACCTTCAGGTAGCTTGAGAAACGTCTCACGAATCCATGTTTGAAAGCGTGTGTTTGTTTTCCCCTCTCTCTATCCTCTGCTTTCACTTCCATGTTTGCATGCTTTCACCCCCACATAAAGGCCATGGGAAGAGATCTGGCTTCATTCTGAGTGTAACCAAGTCATTGGAGGGTGTTCAGCAGACATTACTCGATTTACACTTTTAAAAAGACTTTGTGACCACTCTGTGAAAAATATACTGTATGAGGACCAGAGTATGGGTGAGGAGATCCAAGATGGTAGCTGTGAAGGTGAGACGTGCCCAAGTTGTTACATATTTTGCATGTAAGCAGGAGAGTAGTAAATTGGGGAGAAGCAAGATGCAGAGAAGAAAGGTCAAGAGTTTATTTTTGGACATGGTAAGTAGAGATGTTGAATGGGGATTTGGAGATATTAATCTATAGATAAGGAAAGTAAAGAGATTAGGGTGATAAAATTTGAGAGTATCTGTGATTTTTCAGACAGGGAGAAAGTGTAGACCAGTGATTCTCAATCCTATCTTTCTGTTCATTAGAAAAAAAAAAAAAAACAGTGCCCACACCCAAGTGCAAACTAATTGGATAAAAATGTCAAGGGTGGGACCGAGGCAGTGGTAATTTTTTCAGAGCTCTTCAGTTAATTCTGATGTGCAATGAGGGTTGAGAAACATTGTTGAAAACAGAGAAGAAGACTAAACCCTGGACATGTACAAAGAAAAAGATAAATGGTGAACATATTGAGATTAAATCACTGATACCTCTGTCACTTAGACATTTAATCAAGAACTTTTCAGTAGGGATGAAAATAATGATCTTGATATCACAAGTGATAACAGATCAAAGAAGCTTACAAATAATGCTGTCATTATCATTTATGCAGTACAGTTCTGAACACGGTTTCCATATACTTAAGTGTGGATAATAGCTATTATTCAGAAACCTGTGGAGATATAAGATTTGGGGACTACTTTCTACTTTCTAAAATTTCCAAAAATTAGGACTAATTAAATAATGTTGTAATATAATTACATTTATGATTGAATCCATAAGGTTATCTTTTTCGTTATGGCCTATTAATTATCATTATTATTAGCTTAACATTTTCTCTACATAGCCTTCTCAACTACCAATATTTCTTCTTATGGTTATTTGGAGAATTGGGCTAGTTAATTTCCTGACTTACCTAGTAAATTAATAAAAATGTATTCTACACGCACATGCAAGATTGTAGAAAATCATCAGCAGTAGACTGTCAAAAAGCAAAAGACATTGCTTCGTTTTGTTATTTCAATACCCTTTTTCCTTTTTCAACCTCCTTATTTTGGCAATACCATCTATTTCCATGATCTCTAATATTGCTTCTATCCTGATGCCTACCAAATTTGTAACTGTGTGCCTTACCTTGATCCTGTTTCATAAGAATACTTTAAACTGCCCTGTGAGCATTATTTGTATGGAAAATTTAGTGGCATGTCACATTCTACATACTTTATAGGGAAAACAGGCAGTTGTTTTAATAATCCAAATTAGAGCTGAAGACTGAATTAAGTCAGTAGTGGAAGTAGTTGGAGGGAAGAAACAGGATTTGAGACACATTCTGAAGTCAATCTTTATAATCTGGTGGCTCACTAGAAATATTAGGAAGACATCAACTGAATGATATCCAAGTCTCTATTTTAGGAATCCGAGGGGATGGGAGGTCTAAAGAATAAATGGAAGTTTTAGATGACAGAACAAATTCTGAAGAAAAGTTGTATCTTAGACATAGTAATTCTACAATTTGTTGTGCAGTATATTGAGGTGGATATAGTTGAGCTGGCTATTGAAAATAAAGTCTGAATGTGGTGACACGGTTAAGGCTACATTTTAAAATGCAGAATTCAAATATCAATTTTTACTGTCTAGGGTTTGTCATGATATAATTTCTGTGAATATTTATTTTTAAAATAAAGAGATTGTGTCTACAAATCAAATAAAGGTTTTTTATTCCAACTCTAATATTTACTTTCCTTTATCGCTTCAATATATATGTCCTTATGTCCTTATGGTTCTGTGTTCTCTAGTTCTCTCATTCTCTCTGCCTTAAATCTACTTTCTTCCATTTTAAAAGTATCAATTTATTACTCAGCCTTCCAAGGTTTGCTAAATTGCCTCTCTTTGGTACCCCTGATCAAAATCAGTTAATCATTCTTCTCTAACCAGAGCAATTTTCTTCAAACTGTGTATTGAACAAATGGAATTAACCTGACCTCGTTGTATTGTTGCATGAGAGTCTTAACAATTTGCAAAATACGAATTAGGCAGTTCACATCAGTAAATATTTTGTATAGTTTGGTTTAAACATGGAAAAATTGATTCACTTTTCATACATTAGTGCCAATGATAAAGGGAAATAATAAAGATTCCAACCTTTTATGCAAAGCAGAAGAGAAAGTTCATGAGACCGCTTTCCATTCTGTCACCGAGCAAGATAGGGCAAGTTGTGGAATTTGTGAGTTGTTCTCATAGCATGTTGTGGCAGGGAATGTAATTAAGGGAGTGGATTTTCTTTCATATTGAGATTTTAATCATCACCAATTTAAGGTTATTTCTGAAAGAAATTGTGACAGACTATTAAGATTTAGTATATTTTACTGCTGAGACTTGCTGAGTTGCCTTTTCACATCGATGACCTTTTGGAATTAAAGAGTTTTTAAAAATCAAAAAATCACGGACCTCCCAGGGAATCACTTGCTTAGGTCACAAAACTATCTGAACACACTTAAGGGAAGATAAATTGGGGAATTTTTTTTTTCAAAAAAGCATTACTGATGTGTTTAAAGAAATGCAGACATCAAACTAAAATTCAACGTGTGTGTCAAGCTAAGGCAAATGAAAAATTGAGCTAACTCCACAATCATAAATTATCCTTAACTGACCAGAATTAAAGAAAATAGGGAATTATAGAGATATTTTATAAACATGAAGTCAAAATTTTCAGAGATTCAGAAATTTCATTGCATATAAAAAGTACTCAAGTCTTTGTGGCTGAACAGCAAACCTCAGAGTGACAGTGTGTGGAAAATGTGTTTTTTTCCTATAAATTTTCATTTATTTCCAAGGAAACAGGTACCAACCTTTGCCTAAAAGAGGACAAAATATCCCAAAGGCAAGTAAGTAAAGTCCAGAAGTTTTCTGGGCATTTTAGCAACTCAGTGCTTCTATTTGTCTAAAAATATATCATTTTTCATAAACTTTTACAAACTAAGCTTAAGTACCGTAGAGATATAAAATTGCACAGAAAATATAGCTCGGCCCATAATGAACAAAATTTCCAATGATAATTTTATGAAATAACACATTTGTCACTGAATATTTTCTGAGCATGAGTTCATGTCTGGTATATGCCTGTAGCCACACAATTTTTATATGAATAATGTTGATTTAATTCTTAAGCTTGATTTTCTCTTGCTACGAAAATATGTTACCTTGATAGCTAGCAGGCTATCTAAGTAGACTTTAAAAAAAAATCAAGTGTGGGAGGAACCCATAATATAATATTCTAACTTTGTTCCCCACTAATACAAATCTCAGTCACTTCGGTATCCCTTTGTTCCTGCCTCTTTGGGTCTTACAGTATTTGGTGTGTAGAGCTGATATTGAACGGCTACATGCTGGAACTACCAAACTTGATTTTACAGGTAATATATTCCAGTTCTTCTCCAGTTGACAAATTATCACAGACCTTAAACTTCTGAGTGTACTTCCGCCACGTGGCTGCCCAAACATCTCTAATAATCCAACAACTTAAAGGCTAATATCTGTTGCAGTTTGTGAGTTCCCATGCCCCACTGACTGTTAAATATTTGGGATATCATCCCGGTTGGTAACTATTGCTTTAGTGCCTCTATCTCTTTTGCTAGACTAATACCTCTATGATAATTCAGCCTAGACTATATTTATGTTTACAGCCTTCCAATATCTTAGACTTAGAGGAGAATGCTTATTAAATTAAATTTAATTCTTTTAAATTCTTTAAAAAATAAGAGTTGAACTAATATTAGGGTTTCGTTACTGTCTAACCCAGCTAGCCTATAGAACATAAGGCTGAGGCAAGGCCTACATGCCAACATTTTCTTAGGGGTACGATTCCAGAGTAGCACACATGAGGGTAAACGCATAAAAGCGGTGCATTACCTTTCTGCCTACAACTTCACAAGAAGACAGGACCAGTTGGCTTGGACAAAAAGGAAGTGTCCAGGGAGAACATATAGAGCTGCTATGCCTCAGAACAGTCCAAGAACAGGAAGGAAGGGAAAGGAATTTTTTTGTCATACTGTTTTTTTATTTTCTGTCTCTCACTGATCTTAGTTTTCCACACTGGGCATTAATCTCCACACACTTCTTGATTGTGTAACCAAGCCACTAAACTCAGATGCTGGGGAAGCCAGAGCTCCTGTAAATTTACCATCAGGTAACACAGGGCTGTCTGAGCGGCTGCATCTCCCACCATCAGGAACCTTGTGGATGCCATGCAGAGTCCAGCTCTGTCAAAAGCCTGACTCTTAAATGAGGCTGAGATAAACAGAGGCATTAGGAAATGAGGCAACAGCAGGGGAAACCAGAGGGCTCTGATGAGAGAAAATGGCCAAGGTTCAGGGGCTAAGGAAGTCTGGAGTGGCAGATAATTGAGAACCAGTACAATTTCTAAAAGACTTTCCATTTTGAATACTTAAACTTGGTCCTCTGTCCCCACAGCCTAATCAACAGTGCCAGTACACTGAGGTGTAAACTAGCTAGAGCAGAAGCTTAAAGGGAAACTACTTAGGCTCCAGTTTTACCAGTCTAATGGAAAGAGAGAGATTGTTCATTAGCTGAAGAAAAACCTTAAGAAATTGATTATTTTTCCAGTTTGTAACAAAACTATGACTTCATCATTTTTTTTGTTTGTTTGTTTGTTTTTTTTTGTTTGTTTGTTTGTTTTTTTTTTGAGACGGAGTCTCGCTCTGTCGCCCAGGCTGGAGTGCAGTGGCGCGATCTCGGCTCACTGCAAGCTCCGCCTCCAGGGTTCACGCCATTCTCCTGCCTCAGCCTCCCGAGTAGCTGGGACTACAGGCGCCCGCCACCACGCCCGGCTAATTTTTTGTATTTTTAGTAGAGGCGGGGTTTCACTGTGTTAGCCAGGATGGTCTCGATTTCCTGACCTCATGATCCGCCCGCCTCTGCCTCCCAAAGTGCTGGGATTACAGGCGTGAGCCACCGCGCCCGGCCGACTTCATCATTTTTATTATCTTTAAATAAATGTCAAAATATCACAATACATGACTATACACATACACACACGCACACACATACACATGCACATACACTAGTATTCTGACATAGAATACCTTGAAAGTAAAACACGAATTTTTGGTTTGGTAAAAACACTTCTCTTTGAATGCAGGTAACTCATAGTTGACCCTGTTTATCTTTTACTTAGTGATACAGCACTTCTACAAAATAATCTCTTCCAAAACAAAAGAAGTTACTACCACACCACTTATTTATTGTAGAAAAGATAAGCATGATTTTCAAATTTCTCACATGAGACCATTCTTTGCTGAGAGCTTTTAGCTTCAACTCTCCAAAGAATCTACTTTCATCTTCTTTTGTGGGTACAGATTGACCATTTTTCAAAGGTTCACTGTGTAGATTTAAATGAAAAAATTAAGTGTTCTTTGGCATTCCGTCCTATTCAAGTGTTGTCTTTGCCTTCCCTTTGGGCAGGCAATCTACTTAGTTTCACTTCAAGGTGACACACATGCTCAGATAGCCCCAGAACACATACACATTACATAGACAAAAGGGCTGGCCAATGCAATGCAGGCTACCTCTGGTTATTCTGAATTAGAATTAAATGTCACTTATACTCACATACTTAGAATTTAGTTCCACTAACTGTGTCTAGTAAAATATTCAACTTCATCTACTGGTTGATTTATTGTATTAGTAGTTTTAATTTTTTTCTCTTAAGCTTCTTCAATTTAAATACTTGAAGCTACATCTTGACTAACTTAATAACAAACTCCAGTATAAAATATCTTTCACTGACAAATAAAACTCAATTGTTTTGGATATTATAGGTCATGAAATTATTAATTGTAATAAAAAATCTAAAACAAATTTTCTTGGCATTTGATTTTGGAATACTCGTTAACTAGGAATCCCTGGGATCAAATATTAACAAATGAAGGTGTATTTTAATCTTCATAATTGCCTAATATAATAGGCATATAATTACATAATAAAATAATAAGCATATGATTTTCATATGATATAAATACAGTTATCAAATACACATCCTGTAACCATTGCTTTTTACGTCTGGTATCATAGAGTCATATACATATATTTTAACATAATAAAATGCGATGTATTTATTTTAAGATTTTAGGTGTTTCTGCAAGTGAATTCTGTCTTATATTCTACCTTTCACTTTTCTATGCTTTTTATTATGAAATTCTCTAGCAGGCAAAGACTTGTATATACAGTTCTCTGAGTGAACCCCACACAGCACCCTTAGTGGGGGGGTACTTAGTAAGTAGAGTTTTGATATTGGTAAAGATGGTATTAGGCATAACACAAGGTAAATGTTAATCTCAGAGTTGTACTATACTGAGACTATTGGGTTGTTTCCCCAATTACACCTTACATTAAACACCCTAACTGTGCCAGAGCATGTAAAAAGCAATGCTGTTTTGTGCTGACTCTTCAGATATGATTGTGAATGAGTGTCACATCATAACGCAAAAGAAAAATACCTTCTCTGTCTCTCACATATGAAAGATGATGATGTATGTTTTATTTACTACTTTGCTTGGTTTCTAGCTATTTTTATCTTAGTTTTGCTTTTATTAATATTTTTATTTGACACATAATGATTGTACATATTAATGGTGTACAGAATGATATTTTGATACCTGTATACAATGTATAATAAATCAGGGTAATTATTATATTCATCACCTCAAATATTTATCATTTCTTGCTGTTGGGAACATACAAAATTTGTTCTTTATAGCTATTTGAAAATATACGATAAATTATTGTTAATTATAGTCACCCTATAGTGCTATAGAACACAAAAACTGATTCCTTAATCTAGCTGTAATTTTGTATTCATTAACCAACTTCTGGCAATGCTCTTCCCTCCACACTTCCCTGCCTCTGGCAACCACTATTCTACTCTCTCTTTCTATGAGATCAACTTTTTTAACTTTCACATATGAGTGAGAACATGTGGTATTTGTCTTTCCGTGCTGGCTTATTTCACTTAACATAATGTCCTCCAGGCTCATCCATTTTTTTGCGAATGACAGGATTTTATTCTTTTTTAAGCCATCCTAATCTTTCTCTAAGCTACAACAGAAAAAGCGGCATCTCTAGACTGACAGTTTCCCTGAATTCATCCCACTTTGCTTTACCATCACGTCAGGTAAATGTGATAGCAATTAGGAAAGAAATGTGCACTCCAGAATCTTTTTTATATATATTAATTTTAAATAATGTGTCTTTTCTGTGGTATATAAAACATAATTCATAATATGCCAACAAACCAAACAGAAAACTTGTATATTCTGCAGAAATGCTATATATTTCCGCTTATTTGTCCATATCTTAAATGTATTTGGACAAAAACAAGAGTAATGGAAAAATGGGGTCAGTTTGA
The DNA here is from genome assembly GCF_000001405.40 of Homo sapiens. Taxonomy (NCBI): domain Eukaryota; kingdom Metazoa; phylum Chordata; class Mammalia; order Primates; family Hominidae; genus Homo; species Homo sapiens. Next base: position 163,870,322 of record NC_000004.12, on the reverse strand, counting down.
AAGATAAACCTTTTGAAATGGAAAATATTTTTCAGACACATCTTAATGAGAGTAATTTAGAGCAATTAGACACTTTAAATGTAATACAGAAAATTTTTAAAAATTGAATGTAGAGAATTGAAAAATAATTTTTCTATTATGAGTCATTTTTTTCCTTTACATTATTATACTTGAAGTACACAGAAATCCTGTTTAGCCAGAAAATCAGCCATTAAACTATGTGAAGTGTTACATATTGGAGTTTTGACTTCGTAATTAAATTGAGTGTCAGATTTTTAGAACAAGACCAATATTTAACTATGTTCATTTCTTAGGCTTTATATTTCTCTCATATTCAAAGGCAGTCTCAGGAGAGTTCACTATTTTGAAAGATGCCAATCTTCAATATTATTTCCACCAATCCACTCACATGTTGACTCAGATATAAGCTTGAGATTTTGATGCACACAGGGTCATGGACAATATATTAACGACAAGAGAGTGTCCATTTTTAGGAGTATGAAATGTGGTCAAACTATTATATAAATTTCACCTAAGTTGTGAGGAGATTCATAAATATAGCTATAAACTCCATGTAATATAGAATAGTCATTGGTTTAATATTATTTAATTGCCTTAGTGCTTTCTAGTCTTAAAAAAAGTAGACTTTTATAATGTCCTTTAAAGGGTAAACTGCTTGGAAAGGTTCTCTTGTATCAGCATTTTTCTATTTCCATTGGGTTGTCTGACAGATAATATAGAAAGAATTTTCAACAGTAGCAACATATAATTTGTGTTTTTATTTGATTGTGAATTCTGGGGTCAAAAAAAGCAAGACATTAATGGCTCTGAGGCAGATTTTACACCTGTTCTGGAATTGCAGTCTCTCAGGTCAGGACTTCATTTATGCAGCCCACTGGATGTACAAAATTGAGTCTGCTCATCATATGAGCAAATCTGTTGAATTGCCCTTGTTATTGGGATTTACCACTGCCAAAGGTCATGGAGCATCTCTGTGACAAATTTCCTAAAGAACAGCCTTCTGTTTATACCTAGCTTCTCAGAAGCCATAGTTAAGCTTGCGTAAATGTCCAAGTTATCACAGAACTAGATTATGCTTGGGGAAATAAAGCATGACACCTAAATGTTACCAAACTCACTCACGTAGTCTTTGAACTACACATGCATTCCTGGCTTTTTCTAGCTTCTCTAGAGATCTTTTTTTGGGGGGTTTTTGGGGGAGAGCATGTCTAGTAGAACCTTACTTATTCTAGGCTATTGTTTGAGGGTTTATGCGTTTTATGTGTATTATGAATTAAATTTAAAGAGACTGTTAGACACATTGTAAATGGTCTATTAAATATTAGTGAAAATAGTGCCATCAGGAATATTGCAGGAAAACATGTGTCATGTTATAGCTTCCTGCCTATTTCACATGGCCTTATTCATCTTTTTTGAAAAAAAAATTCCTGAAGTTGGACACTACTTGCTTGTCCCCACCCAGGCAGTCTTTGGAATGATATAATGTCCAGCAAAGTCTCTTTTTATTTTATCGTGTCAAAAAACATTTTTTTTTAAATCACCAGTTCAACTTTTGTCTCCACAGTGAAACAGAATATATTTTAAATGTCAAACTTATCTTCAGATGGATCTTCACAGATGCTGTTTTAAAAGTTACTATTCACATATCCAAATTTAGGTCTCATGGGATCGGCTCCAAAGTACACATTTGTATGTATGGGTATATATAGATATATGTACACAAATACATACATTTGTGAAATGATGAAATTGCACAGTGAAATTAGAACTCTTTTAAAGCTCCTAATGTTTGATGTATTCAAATTATGTTTTATTTTTCTCTTTTAGAATCAACTGTTGAATATTTTCCACAATATATCTTATATTTACTAGTTTGGTGCCAACATTTTGTTTGTATTTAAAGAGATTTGCAGTTTTTGTCATATCCTCACAAATGAACTTCTCTCTGTATGATTTTCCTTTTAATTTATATTTTATAGTATTCTTATGTATTTTTCATGTAGACAGCAAAATAGTATTCATCATTGGGTCATAAATTTTTCTCATTAATTTATGACAAAATTTTTATTTTGATACTATTTTTCCTATTTTGATATTGATATTTGATATTTGAATGTTGAACATTATTGAGTGCTATGATCTGTTCTTGGTCCTGGAGATATAAAAGCCCCATTTGAAATTGCACCCATCCATTTCTTGGAGTACTCTCAGAGCAGGTGGTGAGGCAGAAAATTAACAACTAATAGTAATGCAATGCAAAAGGCCTTCTGGTGATGGAATAAACAAACTACCAAGTTCAGATAATTGGGGAAACAGGTAAGTAACCAGGCAAAATATTGCTGAGCTACTGATGAAGTATTCTAGTGTAGATAGCATGTCCACAAGTGTGAGAGTATGAGGCAGGGAGAGAAATAACAGGGAAATGAATACAGAAGAGGAGACTACTCACCCGAAGAATAAGCTTCTCAGGAAAAAAAAAAAAAAAAAGGAAATTGATGAAAGTTGATATAGCTATTATCACTTTGAATTTTGGATGTTTGTTTATAATCAATTAAATTGTGATATTTTAAACTTAGATACCAGTGAATACCTATATTAATATTCTTGGAATTTGAACAAAGTAATTTCTGGGAATGGCAAAGAATAGTGTGTGGCAAATTAGCCTACTGCAAAAAAAGAAAGCCTTGGTAGTCAGTATCTGAGTCATTTTTCAGGTAAAGTGTCCCTGAAGAAAGGGGACCGAGTATACAATGGCATATTCATTATATTTCTACCATTTGAATTAATTCTAATTAGATTATATATAATAAGTTTATTATTAAAATAAGTAAATTCTACTATATTATGGATATGTGTGTCCAATTAACTTCATATATGGAAGGAAATCCACAGATAGGCCTCCGTATATTTAGTGTTGCCAAATTTATATTTATTGTCATTATCACCAGTTATCTAACAAAGAAATTAGATGGCAAGAATAACTGATAATACATTAGTACTTTATCTCTTTTTGTCATCACTTTATGTAAATATCATAGTTTAAAAAATGGATGAAGAAGGAAGAGAGGGATTTTATGTTGGGCGTCTCAGACCACAACTGATAGTTTATGCTTATGAGGTGACTCATGGCGAGTCCCTAGATGGTTTACACTAATGAGATGACTTAGGATAAAGTCTAGCCGTGCCAGAAAGACTAACCATGTGATTAGAAATTTGAGTCATGTGATATCACCCTAATCTCCAGGCAATTTAGGGGGCCTGGAGACTGAGTCATGTGAGTGATGATTCAATCATGTCTAGGTAAGACACCAATAAAAATATAGGCACCAAAACTCAGGTGAGCTTCCCTGGCTGGCAGTACTTTTTGGTCATTGTGATACCTCATTGTTGGGAGAGTAACATGTCCTCAAGGTCTGTAGTAGTTTCACTTTTGAAAGGCTTCTAGACTTCTCCTTATGTCTTTTCTTTGGGTAGTTCTAACTTGATTCCTTTTGCTATAATAAAACTGTAATTTAAAGTACTGTGCTTTCCTGAGTTCTATGAATTGGTCTAAGTGAATTATTAAAACTCAGTGCTGTGGGAACCCCAATTTTACAGCCAGCTGGTTAGAAGTGAGTATGGCCATGGGGACCTCTGGGCTTCTGGCTAGTATTTAAAGTGAAGGTGAGAATTTTGCCCTTAACTTTTAGTTTGACTACCTCTGGGTAAACGGTTACCTAGACATGTATTGACTTACCTACTTTTGTATAATTGATATTTGAATAATATATAATTCATAATATATTATTATATATATTATATAAACTACTACAGTCCTATTATATATATATATATAACTACAGCTTTATAATCAGAACACGTAATTCCATATAGTCTCTTTTCCCAACTTGTATGCTATTTTTTCTCTATTTTCATTCTACATGTATATTTTGAAACCTGAAATAAATTACTGTTTTACCTAAAAAAGAATTCTTTGACTCTTGGTATATAATACAGTTTAGAAATATATTTATCTGAGTGTAGTTTTTATAATTTGCAAAATAATTTTGAGAGAACTATATAGATTTTTGGAATAGTTAAAAATAGGTAAAAAAGTTGAATACCAATGGCTAATGATGTTCAGGCATTAAAACATGCTCAAGATTACACTAAGTAAGTAAACATAAATACTAGAGACATTAAAAAAAATTAAATGATGTTGTTAATTGATTTCTGAGTTCCCTAGAGACCAAAGTCAAGAAGAAAATATATAACTCTTTTAGAAGAGTTACAGTGTCAAAAGATAAAAATATCTCTTTGGTTCTGAGAAATTTAGTAGAAATTTCAGCTGTTACTATGGGAAAGGAAAAAAATGGAGATCCATATTACCTTAATAAGGGCAGAGACAGAAGGAAAAATTGTAGATGACTTTTTTTAATCTTTAGGGTTTTGCAAAATTTATCAGAAAAAAACTATATTCATATAAATGATAAAAATCCCCAAAATAAACCTAGACATTCAGGCAAGTATTTAGTTACATTTTCACATGTTAACTATTTAGATTTTATATTATATTAAATAATAAAACACCCCCACCCCAGCTGTTGTGCTTTTAAGTGAAATAATAAAATGTATGTAAAATATTTATATTAAATATTCACTCATGCCTATCTGTTATAAAGCCATAGGTCTTTCATACACACTTTATAGGTAATGAGTGATGCAATTTTCTTGAAATCAACTCAAAGAGTATGACAGAAATAAAACTGATCTTCCTGGAAGCCATTTTTTTCAGGCTGCATGTGGCTAGTAAAAACTGTATTTTAGAAATGTTTATGCAAAATATCTAATCATTCCAATGGCTTTTAAGATGCAGGCCATAAATCCCTGGGTTGGATTACAAAGTTATTACAATCAGAACTTAAATCCACATGGCAATACAGTTTCTTAATAAATCTATGTGAAAAAATAAACTTACTGTTGTGTCAAGTATCCTTGCTAAACTTATTATATTCAAAAGATGTTTCACACTGGAGAAAGCTGTAAACCCATATTTTACTCAGACACTTTAAGTGTGTTCATAAAGGGCTGCTCAAGAAACCCAAGCTTCCTTTTCTTTACCCTTCTTATACACTCATAGTTTCATGCCTTTGAGAAACAGAAGCTTGAGAAAGTGTGTATGTCTGATACACATAGCAAAACATATTCTTAAGGCATTGCTTTAAATTCTGTGAATTTTAGTTTCATACCAAATTCCCTTATTTAAAGAGAGACGGGAGTGGAACCTGGCTTATTTTAAGTCCAGAGGTGAGTACTTTTGAAAAATGAAACAACTTTTATTTCACTGTTTAGTCCTAAATCAGTGATATATGTTTTTCTTCCAGTCTCCCATAGTTATTTTTCTTAAGAAGGTAAAAAATAACTCCACTCAAAATTTCTAACTTTATCTGTTATCTTTCCTTACAATAAATGCCTAAACCATAGAATTTGGAACAATTTGTTAGTGTTATTAAATCATTAATTAGCCTTTGGACACACAAACTTTTCTACAGGTTATGGCTTAGAACTGTATATTGAAATAAGATGTAGTTTTCACCGACCTGAAAATATAATTCACATTTTTTAAATAATATTTTTTAAATTTTAGAAAACTGCAAACCTATTGCAAGGAGTTCCCATATACTCTACACCCCATTTCTCCTATTATTAACATCTTACTGTGATAGGGTACATATTTATTACAATTAGTGAATCAATATTAATATGTTATTATTAACCAAAGTGCAAACTTCATTCGTATTTTTTTCATTTTATCCAATTTTTTAGCAGCATCTCATGCAGGCTGCATTACATTTAGTTTTCGGGTCTCCTTGGGTTCCACTTAGCTGTAACAGTTTCTTAGACTTTCCTTGCTTTTCATGTCCGTGACAGTTTTGAAGATTATTGATCAGGTTTGTTGTAGAGTGTTCCTCAATTGAGATTGTTCTGATTTTTTTTTTCTGATGATTAGACTGGAGTTATGTGTTTTTAAGAGGGAAATCGTTCAGGTAAAGTACCATTTCCAACACATCTGAAGTCAATACATCATTTTGATTACCTGGCTAAGGTATGTTTTTCAGGTTTCTCTACTATAAAGTTATTTTTCTGTCTTTTCATATTGTACTCTTCGGAAGGCAGTTTCTATGTACAGTTCACAATGGTGTGGGAGGTTATGTTTCTCCTCCACTTTTGAGCAGAGAAATGACAGTTCTGCACAAGAGACTGTCTTTCTCCTCCATTTATTTCTTTATTCAATCATTCATTATATCAGTATAGACTTGTGGGTGTTTATGTTATACTTTGGGTCATAATCTGTTACTACTTTATTTTGTTGCTCAAATTGTGTCAGCTTTGGTCATTGTGGAGCTATTTTGTTTGGCTACTGTGTCTCTTTAATATATGCCCCAAATTGTGTTTGGTTTGTGTCTTGTTTTGCCTTGTTTTTAAGCATTTCCTTACTTTCTAGCGCTACAAGTTTCTCCAGGCTCATCTTGTATTTTTCCTACCCTAGCCCCAGAATCAGCCATTTTTTAAAGCAGCCCTGGTTCCTTTTACTGGAGAATAATATTAAAAACCAAAATCGGGGCACTCGGCATATTTGTTGCCACTAGGGTATCATTGTTTCCGGGACCCGTCAAGTGACACAGCAGTGAGATATGAATGTATACTAACCTAAGCATATATACGTGTTATGTAATCACATTTATCCATATTAAACTAAACATGAGTTCATATTAATGTCTCCAACTCTGACCCATTATTACATGGCATATGCTTTTCCACTTGCTTATCTGCAACCTCGCACTCCAACAATTAAAAACCCGATCTTCTACTATCTGCCAAACCTCTGTCTAATTGTTCTGTTCTCATATGCATTTATAGCACTGTCAGAGTCATACCTCCATAGGGGACCATGTTATGAACTAGAGCACAGTGCTTATGTACAATATATTTTGCCTTTAACCTTTCAGACTGCACTCCTTTCTAAAGGTACTTAGCTTAGGTCAGCACATTTTCCCTCACCATCTTCAGTGAGGTGGTTCTATAATTCATAATATATGTAGATTGTATTTTTCACAGCCTGCTTTCCATCCTGGGATCCCTGAACTCGAAATGATGTCTTTTAATTTTCATACATTAAGGTTTACACTTTGTGCTGTGAGGTTCTATAAGATTTTCACAAATGCTTAGGATGACATATCCACCACTAAAGCATCATACAAAATAGTTTCACTGCCCTCCACTGATCATTTTACTGCTGCTATAGCATTATCTTTTCTAGAATGCTATATAATTGGAATCATACAGAAAGTAGCACCTTTCAGTTTGGCTTTTTTAATGTAGCAATATGCATTTAATATTCATTCATGTCTTTTTATGGTTTGATAGGTAATTTCCTTTAATTACTGAATAATATGATGTATGAATGTACCACAATTTGTTTATCCATTCACCTATTGAAGGGCATGTTTGTTGCTTCCAGTTTTTGGTGATTATGAATAAAACTCCTATAAGCATATGTGTGCATGTTTTCATGAGACATAAATTTTAAAAATCAGTTGGGTAAATAGCTGTAAGTGCAGTTGCTGGATTGTATGATAAGATTATGTTTACCTTCATTAGTAAACTACCAAATTGACCAAATTGTCTTCTAAGATGGCTGTACTATTTTGTATTCCCACGAGCAATGGAAAAGAATACCTGTTGCTTGGCATCCTTGTCAGTATTTGGTATTATCAATTTGTTGCATTTTAGCCACTCTAATAGGTATGTAGTGGCATCTCGTTGTTTTAATTTGCAATTCCTTAATGACATATAATGTTGAGCATCTTTTCGTATTCTTGGTATCCATTTGTATATCTTCTTTATTGAAATGTCTGTTCAGATTATTTGCTTATTTTTATTAGATACTTCACTTTCTAATTGTTGAGTTTTAAGAGTTCTTTGTATGTTTGGAATACAAGTCCTTTACTCAATATGCATTTTGCAAGTATTTTTCCCAGTCTGTGGCTTGTCTTTTAATTCTCTTAAGAGTCTTTCATAAAGTACAAGTTTATAATTTTAACAAATTCCAACTTATCAACATTTTTTCTTTCATGAATCATGATTTTAGCGTTGTATCTACCACCTCATTGCTAAACCCAAGGTCACCCACATTTTCTGTTTCTTTGTAGAGGTTTACAGTTTTGCATTTACCTTTAAGTTTATGATTCATTTTCAGTTAATTTTTGTGAAAAGTATAAGATCTGTGTTGAGTCATTTTTTTGCATATGAATGTCCAATTGTTCCAGAACCATTGACTGAAAAGATTAGTCTTTCTCTTGAATTGATTTTGGTCCTTCTTCAAAGATGAGTTGACTCTATTCATGAGTCTATTTCTAAAATCTCTGTTTTATTGTCTTATATATTTACTTTTTTTTCCAACACCACACTGTCTTGATTACTGTAACTTTATAGTAAATTTTGGAACTGGGTAGTGTGAGTTCTCCAACTTTGTTTTTCTTCAGTATTGCCTTGACTAGTGTAGGTATTTTGCCTTTCTACGTAAACTTTAGAATAAGTGTATCACTATCTATAAAATACTTTTCTAGGATTTTTATTCAGATTGTATGAAATGTATAGCTCAAGTTGGGAAGAATTAATATGTTAACAATGTTGAGTCTTCCCATCCATGAACACAGAATGTCTCTGCTATTATTTAGATTTTCTTTGATTTTTAAATCAGTTTTACAGTTTTTTATATAAATCCTGTAAAATTGTTATATTTATACCTAGATAATATTTGATGCTGTTAAAAGTATTAATTTATTAATTTCAAATTTCAATTGTGCATTGATTGTATATAGGTATACAGGAAAGCAGTTGACTTTGTATATTAACCTTGTGTCCTAAAACACTTCTTCTGCTCTATTATCTCTTTGTTCTTCTTCTGGTATTCTGGTTGTACATATGTTACAAATTTAAAAATTATACCACAGTTCTTGGATGTTCTGCGTTTTCTTTTCTCCATTCTTTGTTCTCTTTTCATTTCAGTTCTGAAGTTTCTCTGTCATCAAGCTCATTGACACCTTTCTTGGGCACTTCCAGACTACTGATGAGCCCACCAAAGGTATTCTTCATTTTTGTTACAATGTTTTGGTTTCTAGCCATTTGTGGATACTTTCTTAGAGCTTCCTTCTCTGGGCTAACATTCCCCATTTGTTACTGATGTTGTCTCCTTTTTCCAGTATAGTCCTTAATATATTAATCATAGATATTTTAAATTCCTTGACCTATTATCTGTGTCATATTTGATTTGGTTCCAGTGCTTTTTTTATATCTCTTCACTGTTTTTGCCAGCTTTCTAGCATGCTTCGTAATTTTTTGTTGTTGTAGAAAGCCAAACATGATACATCAGGCAGTAGAAACTGAGGTAATGGGAGTTTCTGTGTTATTCCGGCTAGAAGTTGGGCTGTATTTAATGTTTACTCTAGCTATAGAATTCTTGTAGTGCCCTACTATTTGTCTATCCTGTTGCCTTTGGGCTCCCCAAGTACTCCTCCACAAAGAGAGTGTGCATCTTGCAGTTCTTTAAGCTATACATCACTGTTTTACCTTAAGCCTTGTTGGTATCATGGTAAGTTACAGTAGAGGAGAAGTATTCTGTAACTTTATGATTCAATCAAAGTCTTTTAGTGAGCCTGTATTTCTCGGCTGTGGCCTTCACAAGTTTTTCTTAGCTTCCCTCCCCACCATAGGCAGGGCAGAAAGAGTAGAAAAGCCTGGAGTGGAAGAAATGCCCTTTATTCTGATGGGTTAGTAAACCTCTGCAAGATATTTTCCCTTGGAGAATAAGTCTTTTTTGTAAGACTGTTTGGGGGTATTTCACGGTGTTTGCTTATCCTCTTCCCCTGCTAGTACCACCATAGTATCTTTCTCAGATATTCTCATGAAATATAGATAAGTTGCTTAGCAGTAAAACCCAGGAAAGTGTAGAGTCCCCACTAATAATGCAGCCCCTGGAAGTCCTCACTTTCAATCTAATCCCTACTGTGTCTCCAATAATATATCGAAGATACAGCTTAAGAATTTCTACCCCGTTAGGGCTCCATCAACTTCTCTCCATGTATTCTGAAATCGACCATAATTCTCTATATTTTCCTCTCTCCATATTTTTGGGGTAGTGGTTTGTTCTGCAACTTCAATTCTCTAATGGGTCCAAGAAAAATTATTTTCAGGTTTTATGCAGCTTTCTCATTTTATAAGAATGGGAGTGATGACTTCCAAACTCTTTACATGTCATAGCTTAAACTGGAAGTCTCTACATTTCATTTTTATGTCTACAAGATTGGCCCAAGCTGTGTGCTGAGTTCCACACTAACACAGTCAATTCCATAAGGAAGATTTTCAGTCATCACTTAAGAACACCAACTGCCCCATCTCTGGGTGTAACTATTTATGTGGGAGTTTCATTCTCTCTTTGGGGTCACTTACATCTCTTAGTATAATGAGGATTGGAAGAGTCACTATTGTTATAGTTTCTCCAAAGTTACCTACCTAGAAGCCTCTCCTTCCTGTTCCTGAGGATCTCCAGGACAGTGGCTCATATTGCTACCAGTACTCTCTTTTCAAAAAGCTTTTCTCGCCCGGGCACAGTGGCTTATGCCTATAATCCCAGCACTTTGGGAGGCCGAAGCAGGTGGATCACCTGAGGTTAGGAGTTCAAGACCAGCCTGGCCAACATGGCGAGATCCTGTCTCTACTAAAAATCCAAAAAATTACCCGGGTGTGGTGGCAGGCACCTGTAATCCCAGAAACTTGGGAGGCTGAGGCAGGAGAATCGCTTGAACCTGGGAGGCAGAGGTTGCAGTGAGCCAAGATCACGCCATTGCACTCAACCTGGGGAACGAGAACTCCATTTCAAAAAAAAAAAAAAAAAGCTTTTCTCTCTGCACTGCCTCAATAGAGGAGAGAATGAGAGCCCTACTTCCTTGTATTGTGCCGTTTCTTCATTCACCATCATGCCACCTTACAAGGTGAGGGTAGCTTATCTGAATTCATAGAAAGGTTAGTGGTTTTAAAAGTAATTGCAAGGTAGAGGCAAAATTTTTTAAAAGAAATCTGTACACTAAATATATATTTCAGATAGTCTAAGCTAAAAGCACCAAGAATTTAAGCCTTCATTACAAGTCATGATTATTCAGAAAAGAACTCCTCTTTACCTTCTTATTCATTGTATCATCAACAATTACTTATTGGATTCTATTTCAGTTGCTCTTCCACATCCTAGAATACAACTATGAACATCTCTCTCCATTTGAGACACCTAACATCCTACTTGCAGAAATTAAAAAGACCCCCAGGACACATCTGCAGTACACAGCAATAAATTTATCATATACAGTAATCTGTTCTTGCAGAATTCAACCCAAGCAAGAAGTCCTTAGCGGTCATTGGAACCCCAAGTCTTTAGGAACAATTCATGTGTAAGGACTGTGTGTGAGCACGTGAAAACATCCACTCAGAGGTCCACAGCAGCAGCAAATGTGAGTGATAGGCATGAATGTTAGAGTTTTCTCAATATATAGTGAGTAACTCTTAGAACACACACAGGCTCACACATTTTCACTTCTCTAATTGCAAGTTGTTCCTTTCATAATGGAAACTGAACTTTATTATTATTTAGGTGATGGGCTAATAGTTGAGACATGTTTCTTAATGACACATTAGCTAAATAAATACATAAAATCTCTAAAATTTTCCGTTTAGCAGCCCTTCACATTCTTAGACAAGACCATTCTCAAGTCTCAAATTTGAGAATAGGGAAGGTGGGCACTTTCTCAGTTCTATGCATGTGGTAAAGAGAGGGAGCATTCAGCTTAATCATAACTGCACAACTAGATAAGATATGGAATGGGCAAATTTGAGGAAGGAAATAGTTGAGGAGACAGAGAGATAAATAGAGGTAGGCAACTGCATTTTCCTGTGGCAAACAAATCTCTGCGTTTAAGATTAAATTACATTAGCCTTGGGGTAAAATAAAGTGAGTAGAATAAGCTTCACTTGGAGAAATCAGCCCAGCAGGGCTGCCAGGTTGCACAGTTCTAGGCGTACCATGCTCATGGTGTTTAATATGAAAAGCATTCCTTAGAGTACAGTGCCATTTACATGGATTGCAATGTGGATGATGCCCCCCCCCCCCCACCCCCCGGAGTTGTGCAACACAGCTTGTAGTGACAGAAGCCTTTAGAGTACTAACAATTTTAACTTTCATGTAAATTACTTGTAATTGTTACTTTCTTTGGAAAGTCTTCCAAAATCAGCCATCCCCTGCATCTGATGCTAAGTTAAATGTCTTTTCTCAACATTTTCATAGTGCTCAGTATACTGCTATCATAGCTCCTATCACACTGTCTTACAAAAACTGGGTTACTTCTCTGTTTCCCCTCCTAATTGTAAGCTCTGGGTCTTTTCTCTCTCTGTACCAAAGGTTGCAAGCACGGTGTCTGGAACAAAGAAAATGTTCAGTAGATGTTTTCTGAATTAAAAGTAAATTATTCTCCACAAAATACACCCAATTTCTTGGCATTTTTTCCTAATATTAATTTGTTGTCAATGTAGTTCGCAGAGAATGCACTATGCTGCTATTTACTAAATTAAATATCTGCTTGAAGTAGCATATTAAAAATTAAGCTTAGTTAAATCTCAATTTCCTGTGATCATTATATAAGTTGCTCATTGCTGTATCTCATATTAGCTTGGTTCAATGACTAGATAGCAATTAACATGAGTGCTTAATGACCACTTTCCTATTTTGGTATATTACTAATGATACTTACATTTTAAAGTGCTTTGGGGTTAATTATAAATGCTTATAATTTGCCTACCCTTCTGGCTGACAGCACATTCTTACACCTAAAAATATGATGAGTACTCCAGACCTGTGTAGGAAGAAGGCTGGTCTACAGAGGCTCAGCAATCAACATTTCAATTCTTCAGTTCTCTCAACTCATCTCAACTATTTTTAGAATCTATATTGTAGCATCGATAATGCAAAAAAGAAAATATTTTTGAAATGTGATCCAAACTTTAAGTGTTTTGTGATAACAGAAAAGAACATATTGTTATTGGGCAATTATAACTCTCCCTTACCAACAGGGATTTAAGGCAACGGTCTTTCCTTGTTTTTTTTTTTTTCTCTCTCTCCCTTCTGATTTGCACCTATACTCATGCTGCTTCTTTTGAGACTATTTATTTATTTATTTATTTATTTATTTATTTATTTATTTTTCGAGACAAAGTCCTGTTCTATTGTCCAGGCTGGAGTGCAGTGGCGCCATCAGCTCACTACAACCTCCACCTCCCAGGTTCAAGCAATTCTCCTGCCCCAGCCTCCTAAGTACTAGCTGAGACTACAGGCACATGCCACCACGCCCGGCTAATTTTTTGTATTTTTAGTAGAGACAGGATTTCACCATGTTGGCCAGGCTGATCTTGAACCCCTGAGCTCAAGTGATCCTCCCACCTCGGCCTCCCAAAGTGCTGGGATTACAGGCATGAGCCATGGTGCCCAGCCCCTTTGGAGGCTATTTAAAAATTGACTTCTCCAGGAGATGATGCTGTGATTCTAACATACCTGACAACTCAGAAGATGCATATTATTTAGAGGAAGTCATTAAACAAACTTTATCTCTTGGATATGAAATGAATGTCCAGATGTAGAAATGCAACTATCACAGGCATTTTTATTGTTTTCATAGATTCTACATTAATATAATAAAAAGCTGAAGTGAAGCTGTGTAGTTAGATTGCTCTCTCTCATTTCACACGCTTAACTGTCTTTATAAACATTCCAATAAGTTCAAACTAAATTATAAACTTTGCAGTCCCTAGCAATGTATCTCGTTTCTTGTCTGCTTTCTTAAAATAGCCTGTACAATGTCCATGGATAGTATTCAATGATTATTATTAACATATTATTTATATTAAAAGTATGTATTTTAACTTTCTGAATTATTTAGCCTAGCTAATAATCCTAAAATAAGATAATGACAGTTATATGCAATAGAAAACTAGAATGCAGTTGGCATTTTGTTATAATACTTCAGCAGGTGTAGCCAAAAGTTTATAGCTTTTTTCATGATGATTTGTTGACAGCTGTCCAGCAAAACAGTTCGAAAAGATGATTTGCACAGGCCAGCTTCAAGGAAGACATGATTAGGGGGAGCAGGCAGTCACCTTAGAGTTGTGCAAGTAAGCGTACAGATCTAAAAATTAGAGATCAGAAAGATCCCAGTGGTTCATGGACTTTAAAATTCTCTAGAATAGATCGATGCACTGAACCCAAATCACATCAAAAATGAAAGTTATCCTCTTCTTATGACTACTATTCCTGCTTCAGTACCTAAAATATATTTGTGGATTAATGTTGACTGAGTATAAGAAATGACAAAGCTACTGCCACCACAGCATCAAAAAGAATCTAAATGGGAAATAAGAAGTTGGCTACCTTTACAAACACATCTCAGAATGGATACTGATGGTGTCATAATTTTGTGGGCCACACAATTATGTTCTTCATTCATGAATGAATTTAGCATTTTATTATAAGTACTAAAGTGATATTTAATTATAGAGTTAAAATTGACAAAATGGTAAATAATTTAGAAGTAGAACATTTGTTTATACTTGATTAAACTGTTTTGGTCATTATGTATCATTTCACTCCTTGCCTTTGAATAAAGATCCTCATTTTCATTTACTCTTAGCACACTTCAAGAAATGCAATTAAAATCTGATGATTAACCAAGATAGTGTTACTGGGAATGAGGAAATATTTACTTTCTGTAGAGTGCAAATTAAATATGCAGATTTTGTATTGAATAGATCACAATTTTACATAAATCTCAAGCAATGTGTTTGAAAGGCCAAGCACTAATAATTTGTTGCCCATTCAAACAATTGTTTTCAAGTTCCCTTTATCATTTCTCTGTACCTCAATTGAATGAGTCACTCATATTAGATTGCTGGTTTTATTAAGAAATCCATTCTGTTGAGTATCTTAGACATTTTTAATAAAAGATCTTTTTTATCACTTTCGTATTTACATTGTTCAGATGCATTTAACTTGAGTATTTTGTCATTTAGATTAATAACTCAGAAATCTGTTAGTGCAACCGTTCTTATGTTACTTTTCTTAGTGCTATGAAATGTGCAGTTTTGAATCTCTGAAATGTTATAAATGACCAGATTGCTAATTGCTTTGGATGCTGTGAAAAATAATTACTCCACATTATTTTTGATATTTAATTGACAGTGTAATGCATTTAACTAAAGACCTGCAATAAACTATTTCTAATTACTGAGGGTGGTGGAGTGGAAAAGTAGGCTGTAAAACTTTACAGGGGAAACAATGTTTCTCCATTATGTTAAAAGTCATTGTTGATATGACTTTTTCAGAGACAAAACATTCCCCCAAATAAGAAGTTCTAGAAGTCTAGAAAGAGTTGTGGAATATTTCTACTCATGACATAGTAAGGATTGTTTTAAATTATTACTTTTGAATAGATTGTACTGGTGATAGATGTCATATACTTAATTTATTATACTTGCAGTAAATTTTTTTTCAGATGGCAGAACTTTATAAGAGAGAAAATCATGGCACTGCCAGAATGAGTAATATTTGTCACTGGCCTGTATTCGATTTATTCGGCTTCTGTAGGACATTTAGCTGAAAAGCTATGCCAAATTTTAGATGTCATTGAAATATGTAGATATTATCAGGAACCAGGTCTATTCTTATTTCTTGAAGTAAGGACTTACTGTTATAAGCTGATCTCTGAAAATAACACTTAGAACCTGGCACAAGGAATTCTCATTGTCTACTAGTGTCACAAAGAGAGATATAAAAGATGTTAGGCCCTTTGAAAAGATGTATACTCTTTCTATTGTCCTGTGACTCTAGGATATTAGTAATAATCAGCATATTCTTCTTTTCCTCCTTGTAACCCCTGGTTTTTTTAAAAAAGTCTCAATTAGTGTTTTGTTATATTGTTGATTTAATTTTGATTATATGTATTTTCCAAAACACAGCTAAAATAAGTGACCTGTTTCAGGGAATGTAAATTATTTTCAGAATTTCAGAAATTGAAAAGGGATAAGAGGAAGGAGAAAATGCTGGGCTGGTGTGAAGCGATAGCCCGTAACCCTCACAGAATTCCAAACAACACGCGAACACCCGAGATCTCAGGGGATTTGGCTGACGCCTCACAAACCTCCACATTGGTGAGTGGAAAGTTACTTTACCTCAAATTGGCTTATATGTAAATAGAATGCTAAAGAAATGTGGAGAGGATGACCTTATAAGTAAATGTTATCGTTGTTTACAACAGTATTTGCATTTGTATTATATAATATATTCATATAGATTTGGTTAGTTAGTAAACTAATAAAAATACCTTAGTGACATATAATATTAGAGTTTAATTCCAATTAAACAACTGTTTCTCTTTTTGTTAGTTTGGACATCATCCATTTATTATGTTAGTGACCTTAAAAATATTTAAATTAAAGTTTATGTTCTTGGATTCTATACTGCGTAATGAAACCTTTGGAAGAAAAGTAAGTACAGAGTCATCTAAAGATGATTTAAAGAAAATCAGAATCCTACTTTCTGTATTTTTCTATATTTTTTCTAAAAATGTCTCAGTAATAGAATCAAAAATTATAATTTTCACAACAAATTGTGAATTACACAATTGCAAAAATATTTTGAAGACCAATTCAAGAATGTGCTCCTTCATGTTTTGTTTTCTGCGATAAGTTTAAATGCTGAGCTTTAACTAGCTATCATTTTCCAGGGATTAGGACAAAGCACTCATTAGCAAAAGGAATTTTAAATGTTCTTTGTTTCGATTTGGCTGTAACATTCTTCATTTTAATTTAAAGGAGGAAAATTCCATTCGGTTTCCAAGTTTTAAACTAATATTAGATATATTTTAATGATTGTTTTACCTTTTTACAAGAATGAAAGTGTTTTGATTAGCCTGATTTATTAGCAGTTGAACATATAAGTAAATATGAACAAAGAATCATTTAGGGTATTTTTTACTGTTCATTTTGTTTTATTTTACAATGTCTATTATTTGACTATCTTAGTATGTTTGGGCTGCTATTACAAAATACCATAAACTGGTAACTTATAAAAAACAAAAATTTATTTCTCACAGTTCTAAAGTCTGGAGTCCAAGATTAAGGTGCTGGCTGTTTTGGTGTCTGGTGAGGGCCTGCTTTTCTGATTCATAGATGGTGCCTTCTCACTGTGTCCCTACATGTTGGAAGGGGCAAACAAGCTCCCTCAGGCTTCTTCTATAATGGCACTAATACCATTTATGAGGGCCCCACTCTCATGACCTAATCACCTCCCAAAGGCTCCACCTCCTAATACCATCACCTTGGGGGTTAGGATTTTGACATGAATTTTGGGAGGATACAAATATTCAGACCTTAGCAGTTACATAGAAATAGCGACCTTGAATTAACCTTAGTGAGTTGATATTAAGAGAAATCATCTGAAAGAATAGGCTTTCACTTGATAAAACATAGAAAGAGAAGTGAGGATCTTGCTTAAATCCCACCCTTAGATTGTAAGGGGAGGGCTGAAGGTATGGAGAGATATGTGCAAAACTACTGGGTATTCAAAGTTTTAGGGAATGGTTTCCTTTTGAAATTGTCATCTGCATTATCTCGTCTCACTCTAAAATGACTTATGTGTTACACTTGGATAGCACAAAACTGTGGGGCATGAGTTAACACTACTAAAACATTGTATTACATAATATTTATGCGTACAGCTGCACTTTGTCAGGTATCATACTATAACCAAGCATTTTTAAGTAAGAAAAAATTACTGCTTCTGTGCTTTAGTGCTTAACTCCTATCTCATGGAATCGCAGATCAAAAACCATAAAAACTGTGAGCAAATTTTTGGACTGGCTTTCTGCCTATAATTGGGTAACCTAATAATAAACCTAATGACATCTTCATTTTACAGCTTGCACCATGGCCCAGGAAAATTAATTGACATTCCTAGTGCCACTTATCTAGTAAATAATAAAAGGGTTACTAGGAATGGGACTTCTCAAAACAATGCTTTTTCTACTACACCTCATAATCTCAATTTCTTGATGACATTTTCTTCACATTTAAATAATTTTAATATAAAGAAAAAGATATCAAGTTACCAATGGAATTAAATCCAGTAATTAAATCTAATGCTGTATTACAGGGATAACCTCTATACACTTTAACATAAAACCCCCAAATCTCAGTTTCTTAACATATAAAATAAGAGATTTCTTCCTTGTGTTATGGGCTGATGTGTGTTGGCCAGCTCTCCTTGGAGGTTCACTGCCAAATCATGATTTAAAAATCCAGACTCCTTCCATCTTTTGATGCTGCCTTTGTAAGCACATGGCCACAGGGGAAATGGAAGAGATTGTGTGGAACATCGAGCATGGGCCATTATGGAGCAACCTTGTATGCAAGGACGTCCTTCCATTTCAGGCCCAACTGAGTTGCAAGGGAGGCCTTTCTATGTGGCCAGGAAAAGGAGATGGAATTAGTGGGCATCTAGCCCATCTCTGCCACAGTCCATTTTACTGGTCACCAGATATTCATGTCATGTTCCATTATCTCCAGAAAAGAGATTATTACTCTTCACGAGTGACAACTCAAATTCTTTCAGTCACTAATTTCAGCACAAATCCGTGATCTCTGGTTAGCCATTGTCCTCATCAAACGATGAAAATGAATCACCCATGAACAAATTACCTGCATTTTGCAATCCACTTCCCACACACCCAATATAAAAGAGAAGCATAGGAAAAGGGAATCCACAATAAACCATGATTCTTGGATAGAGAAAGAATCAGGTACACATGTCAATCACAGGCACAATCCTGCTGGAAAGACATTATAAAGTCTCCCAATCTAGAGGTCAGAGAGGATCTTTGAATAAGCTCTGACCACCTCTCTGGGATATCTTCCTTGTCCATAGTTCCCTCTAGCCTCTGGAAATGACTTCTCAGATGTTTCTCTTTTTCCGTTATTCTACTTAACCATGTTTGAAGTGCCTATTGAGAACTATATTACCTTAATTTTTTTTTCCTGTTTGGGGAAGATAATGGGACCTAGAGTTATTTTAAGTTTTAAACATTTAAGTGTTATATTCCGGAATCATGGGGTTTTAGTACAATTCCCTGAGATCTTAGCAGGGTTTGCCTTGAGTCTGTTACACAAATGGAACTTTTCACTGGACCTTTGTTGTTCAATGCCTTCATCAATGTCATGTTCCACCATTTGGGCTTTAGAAGAAGCCAGCCATTTTGCTCAATAAGTCCTGGAAACTTCTGTATTCTGTTTCTCTACGTATCTGCCTTCACACTAGCCGCTCAATGTTTCTCTTGTAATACCCTGCCAAACGTAGCCAGTAATAGTCAACACACACTATTAAAGTTTTGTTTTCCAATCTCTTTTGAGTATTGCCAGCCCAGCAGACTCAGTGCCTCTCTAGTTAATTCAAACAGCAGTTTTGCCAAGAGTTTTGACAAAACATTATGCAACTAGAAGGCTTTCTACCTTTGAAATCAGTTTCCTTTCTGCCCATTGCCCAGCTATTAAAGAAATGCTGTATATTTTAGATTTTTGCTATGGTAGCATAGGCTTTGGCTTCAAATTTCTGTATTTCAGTAGCATAAAAATTGGAGTACAGTCAGGAAAACAGAAAGAAAACCAGCAGTTTTAACAAACAGAATATAATATGCAAAAGTATTTAATCTGGTATTGGAAAGCTAAAATGTCAAAAAGGTTCACAACTTTAATGTCTGAAGAAGTAAAAACCACTCATACAGAAGAGTAACAGAGGGAGGAGGCTGGAATTGTTAGAACCTGAAAGGCTAGAGGACAAGCCCCTCAAAACTGTGCCTCGGGCCTCTGAGGAGGAGTACATCTCCCCAGATACAGATACCTCAGGGGTTCAGAGGTGGGATCCTGTGGATCTAGGACCCAGACCCCTGAAGGGGGTGCACTTCTCTATTTTTATACATCTGGGGTGGTGGTGGTGCAATAAAGATAGTTCAGCAAGTGTGAAATAAGCTTAGAAACTGGACCCAACGTCCACTGCTGATCTAAAGAAGCATTCCTGGAATGACACTGACAGAAACAGGATAAACAAGAATGAGTCCTTTCTCCTCCCGACCTCTAGTTGCCTTCAGGACTACCATTGGCAGAACCCAACCAAAAAGTTAGTGGCAAAGAAGAAATCTGGTTTGAAGGCTCCCAGCTTTAGGATCTTGAGGTAGAATATAGAAAAATGGGTTTAGGGCCGAGAGGTAATAACTTAGTAATCAGTATAGAAAGTTAAGGATAGGAGCCTTAATAAATAAACTCAGACATTTCAGACTTAACATGATAAAGGTTTGCTTTTGCTCACCAGTCACTCTGATACAGATAATTTGACACTCCAACCAAAAACAAAAAAAATGCAGAGTTCTCCTGCTGCTATTATATTATAAATATGGCTTTTGAATTTATCAGAGAAGAGAAAGAATGGGAGTGGGTAATCATGGAGATATATGGTTTAGGTTTGGAAGTGATATGCATCACTTCTACCCTGATACCTTTGGCTGGAAACCAGTGACATAGACTAATGGATCTGTAGGAATGATGAAACATACAATCTTCTTATATAACCTGAATAGGGAAATTGAAAGCGTTTAGCCAGCCTCTATCACAAATGCATTCCTTCTTTGGTAAGTAGCCTGCTTATCCTACATTTCCATTGTATATACCCATGCTTTTATTATTACTATTTTGCTGTCACCCATATCAGTTGAGGCTTTCCAGTACAAATTATACCCATCTAAAGATGATGATAATAATGATGGTGGCTGATTATTATGTTCCAAGAACTTTTCTAAGTGTTTTACAAATATTCTCATTTTTAATACTTACTACAATCCAGTTTGGCAAGTGTGATAATTACCCCCATTTCATAAATAAAGAATCTGAGGTATAGAGAAATTTAAAAACCTGTCCAAGGTGACTTAGGTAATAACTTGTGAAACTGGGATTCCAACAGTCCAATCAGTCTCAATCTAGAGGGCCACTCTATCACGTCTTTCTCAGGTTAAGGGGAAGAACACAGTCATTATTTGGATTGTACATATTTGACTAAACACAAAGATTATAAATGAGATAATAATTCATTGCACTGTGGCATAAAGACAAATAGGATCTTTCCTTTATAATCCAAGATTATACATATCTACTGAATTATTTTCTGCTCTGCATTGACTGACTTATAGCCAGTCTCACCGCCGTTTTATGTATAGAATTCTCCATAACTGACCTGATTGAAAAGAGTAGTTATTTTTTCCTTTTTTAATCTGTAGAGCAATTTATACTACCTGTGTTTTAAATTCGGAATATATTTATTGAGCTGAAAATCTTTCATAATGAATAATAACCTTGAGGGGTTTGGAAGATTATGCTTATTAAGCACATATCCTCACAATTGTAACCTAAGGGCGGGAAGTGGCCTCCTCTTGTATGACAGCCAGGGGAGAAACCTCTCTTTTAAATTTAGTGTAACACAATTTTACTCATTAAAAACAAAAACATCTTATACCGACTATACCCTTAAGGAATTTACTGAATCAAATAAGAGTTTCAATATTAAATTTAAAATGAGAGCAAAGGAGATCATAAGAATCCGAAGTAAGAAGGTGAAAGATTTTATGAGGATTAGAGTTGAAAAATCCATGGAAGTCAAAACAAGAAGATTAAAAAAATGTCATTTTAGATGATCAGCAATGACTCTAGAGAAAATTACACTCCTATAATCAATTATGATTTTTTGAGGCTCCAAATAGACTGGAGTTACAAAGAAAAAAAGAACAAAGTGTCACTCTATGTGTTTGATAGAGGTGACTTGCCACTTTCAAACATATGTTCATCAGCTCAGAGCACACTTTCTTGCCTGTGTATTATATTCCAGGATGAGATGCTTGTTGCTCTAGAAAAAAATTAAAGAGGAGAAACTAGATAAGAAACTCTCAAGGAGAAGTATGTAATACTCATACATGAAATTAAAATGAAAAATGATTTGTAATCAGACATATACAACTTTTCAAAGCAGTCTTTATGTCCATCATTTCATTACAGCTACAACCCATTTTACTCAGATGCACACAATGCAGATTTCATTATTCAAACAGATAATAAAATAGGACTGTTAAGAGTTTAGGCATTACACTCCAAATCATAAGAATTTAGGTCTTCTAATTTTTAGGTTATTTATACACAACACGCATTATAAGAAGTTGATACTGTTGTTTGCACAACACTAGTGGAAAGACTAACTCAGCCGGGTGCAGTGGCTCATGCCTGTAATCCCAGCATTTTGGGAGGCTGAGGCAGGAGGATCGCTTGACGCCTGGAGTTCGAGACTAGCCTGGCCAACATGGTGAAATCCTGTCTCTAATAAAATACAAAAAGTTAGCCAGGCCTGGTGGCAGCCACCTGTAATCCCAGCTACTTGGGAGACTGAGGCAGGTGAATCGCTTGAACCCAGGAGGCGGAGGTTGCAGTAAGCCAAGATCTCACCACTGCACTCCAGCCTGGGTGACAGAGTGGGACTCCATCTCAAAAAAAAAAAAAAAAAAAAAAAAAAAAAAAAAAAAAAAAAAAAAAAAAGCAAACTGTAATTCGAAAAGATCAAATGAAAAAAAAAGGTAGTAGCAGGTAAGAAGGGAGCATTGGTGAGCTTGGGTTCTGTCAGATTTTAAATGCCAAGATTTTTCTAATTTAACATAAACAATCTCTAGAAATAAAACAAATTTACTGATAATACATGTTTTGCAAGTCAAATTTTCAGCTACTGAACCAAATACCTTCTTACACAGCCTAAGTATTAATAAAACAAGCAGCTAAAAATAATCATTTAATTTTGTCATAATCTTTTGTTTTCAAAGTAGAGTAGATGTATTAAAAGTTAAAGTTTCAAACTTACAAAACGAAAGATCAAGAATGAAAATTATATACTTTTCTTTTGACTTTTAGAAGTATGTAAATGAATTTTATGTTTTAATTGAGGAATCTTATCATTATCACCTTATTTGTTCTAGTTCTTGTTACTCATAGGCCATTCAATTATCCTTTGTTTGAAGCTAAACCAGCCCACTTGGGTATTTCAATAGTACGGATGAAAGCAGCCCCTGGACTTGAGATTTTTTTTCTTCTAGAATCCCATTCTTTGTTATTTCATAAACACTGCCATTCTCTGGATATCATACAGAAAACAATCTGGCTTTCACTCAGTCCATTGTGCTCTGCTCAAGCTGTTTATGCATTCCACAAATTTTATTAAGTTTTTATTATATTCCTTGAGCAGAGCAAATGAACTGAGCAAAAGTAAGATTGTGTTTTTCTTATAAAGCTCTATTAAGCACAATATCTTGTATATTAAACCTTTTCTGCTTGTTAGAAATGCCATATGCCTTAAAATATGGAAGAACTAATCTTAAAGATCAAACAAGTCTGAGATGGTTTCTGTGATCAAAATACATTGTAAAAGTTTCAGAAACTAAAATGATTACAAAATTACTTCTGTTATACTAATATTCTGCCTTCAGTAAGAATCTAGAATATTGCAGATAGTTTCCCCAATGCATATGACAATGAAATGTAAATTTGTCCTTACAAAGAAACCAAATTTACCAGTTAATATTTACCAGTGACATCCTCCTCACTCTCTTCCGAGTTATTCCCATCTTCTACTTTTAGTCTATTACAAGGTTAAAGGAAATCATACATCCACCTACAGCAAATGGACCAGAATTGCCCCGCAAACATAGCCTCTGTTGGAACCCAAATAAATGGTAAACAGAAAGAGGAGGTTGAGTATATTAAATTTCTCAGTAAACCTATTGCATTATTTCTAACAGACTCACCCTTATTTCTTTTAGTCTCTGAGCAAGTGGGCCAGTTTATTATACAGTGGCCTTAATGCATTCTGAAAATAAATCAAGTCAGAGCAGATAGAGTTTTCAGTTGCGGTTCCTCATTTTTCTCCCTCCTTTTAATTCTTTCTTATTCAATCATGTATCAGTTATTGTTTCCAATTGCTATTACAAAGCCTTTACTAAGTACTGCCAAAGGTAATGGTGAATGAAATCTAAATTTTTATTAGAATAACCATCACAAACAAATGAGAGAAATTAAGCAAAAGACGTGATGCTTTTAAAGAACTTTGATTTTTGTAAGAAAGTAAAATCATTAAAAATATGTCCCAATGGTTGTTATGGAAACAGATTGAATTGAAGAATGCGAAGGGGAGACTGATGCTTTAAACTTCACACCATGAGGAAAAAATTACATTAGCTGTGCAGCTTAAAGTATCGTATTAACTTTAATTGTATAGTTACTGAACAATGTCAAAACATGGTTATTCACAATAGTAATAATTGATCTAAAAATGCTCCTTACATGAATAAATCGTTTCCTCTACGGAGTAAAGTCATGAGATCATGTTCACAGCTGCTCTTTATCAAAATGTGTCATGTCTGTGTGCTTAACTTAGATATAAATGAAGTTGTGAGTTCCTCCGAAAGATGTTTAATTCTTATGGGTTGTTTAATTCTGCTATGTGTGTATAGTGTTTAGAACACTTTAGTTTTTTAAGATCTTAATTTCATTTTCAGAGGATCAGTGGGTGGGTACTCAAATAGGAGAGGCCTTACGTGTGTGTGTGTGTGTGTGTGTGTGTGTGTGTGTGTGTGTGTGTAACTGAGGTGCATTGTCTCTCCCCATTCACAGATAACAAAGATGCCAAAGGTTTCTTCTTTGTCTTTGGTTTTGTGAGAATGTTTTTATGTTTTGTAAAAATGGAGCAGGCAGGACAGATTAGCCTTGTCTTTGTTGAGTCAGCTTGGTTTTGCCTCAGAATAAAAATTGTAACTGGAAATAAATGGGACCTGTTAGAATAGGACTATATTCCAGAGCTGTTTCCATGTAAAAGACAAGTGAAATAAATAAATTATAGTTCTCAAAGAAATGTATATATCAAGGCACAATAATTAATAATACAATCATAATATTGTAATGCTTTTTCCAAGCCAAAGATTTTGGATGTTTACTCTAAAAGTGCTCAGTAACTCTGAAAGTAGGTAATAACTCTTCTCCTTATACAGAGAGAGAAATTAAGGTCCAGAAAGATTAGAAAAGTGGTGGAACAGGAACCCAGAGTCCTATATCTTCCCAGTCCTTTATGCTGCTTCATACAGAATATTTTCTTCATGTAAATAGTTGATAGACAGTTACATGATATAGCATGATGGTTCTTAACCTGGCACAATTACTCTGCTGATTCTCCATCTGCAACACACAAGCTTCTTAAGTCCATTATCAACCACCAGGTCCATTACAGATTGCACTGTCTAATTAATGAATTGTTTAGTATTCGGCATTGTACATTGCTAAGTTGCAGGTTTGGGCTCCATAGCTGTCTGTTATCATGGAACAAAATAGGAATAAATGAATCACAGAGAAAATGAATGATTGGCTATATTCTCATTCAGAAATATTTCAATCACAGTAATCACCCAGTTGGAAAATATCTTCATTAATTTACCTGGCTACTCTATATTGAATCATTTATGTGCCAAACACTATACTATGCAACAAATATGCAGTTTGGTTTTTTTTAAAGACACAATCCTTATCCTCATTAACGTAGTCACATCGGCCTTGGCAAATAATTTATAACTAAGTCCCAAAAAGCAGTTGCAACAAAAACAAAAATTGTTCAGTGGGAGCAAATTAAATTAAAGAACTCTGCACAGCAAAAGAAACTATCAACAGAATAAACAGACAACATATAGGATGGGAGAAAACATTTACAAGCTATGCATCCAACAAAAGTCTAATATCCAGAATCTATAAAAAACTTAATTCACAAACAGAAAACAAAGAACACCATTAAAACATGGGCAAAAACTAACACAGGAACAGAAAACCACGTACCTCATGCTCTCACTTGTAAGTGGGAGCTGAATGATGAGAACACAGGGACGTATAACGGGGAACACATGCTGGGACCTTTCAGAGAGTGGAAGGTTGGGGTAGGGAGAGGATCAGGAAAAATGATGGGTACTAGGCTTAATACTTGGGTGATGAAATAATATGTACAACAAACCCTCATGATACAAGTGTAGCTATGTAACAAAACTGTACTTGTACCCCTGAAGTTAAAAGTTTTTTAAAAAAGAAAACAAATTGAAAAAAAATGAGCAAGGGGCATGAGCGAACAATTCTTAAAAGAAGACATACAGGCATCCAACAAACATATGGAAAAATACTCATCGTCACTTATCATTAAAGAAATGCCAATCAAAACCACAATGACATACCATCTCACACCACTCCAGAATGGCCACTATTAAAAAGTTAAAAAAAAAATAGATATTCTCACTTATAAGTAGGGGCTGAACAATGAGAACACATGGACACAAGGAGAAGAACAACACACACTGGGTCCTGTCGGGGGCAAGTGGCAGGGGGAGAGAATTAGGGAAAGGAGCTAAAGCATGCTGGGCTTAATACCTAAGTGATGGGTTGATAGATGTAGCAAACCACCATGGCACATGCTTACCTATGTAACAAACCTGCGCATCCTGCACATGTACCCTGGAACTTAAAAAATAATAATTAAAAAAAAAACAGGTGTTGGCAAGGTTGCAGAGAAAAGCGAGCACAGATACACTGCTGGTGGAAACTTACATTAGTTTAGCCACTGTGGTAAGCAGTGTGGAGATTCCTCAAAGGACTTAAAACAAACCTGCCATTCAACCCAGCAATCTCATTACTAGGTATATATCCAAAGAAAAATAAAGTGTACTACCAAAAAACACATGCACTCGCATGTTCATTGCAGCACTATTCACAATATCAAAGACAGGGAATCAACCTAGATACCCATCAATGGTGTATTGAATAACGAAAATATGGCACATTTCCACCATGAAATACTATGCAGCCAAGAAAAGAATAAAATCATGTCCTTTGCAGCAACATGGATGCAACTGGAGGCCATTATCCTTAGTGAATTAACACAGGAACAGAAAACCAAATACTGCATATTCACACATATAAGCAGCAGCTAAACACTGAATACACGTGGACACAAAGAGGGGAAGCAATAAACACCGGGGACTACTTGAAGAGGGAGGAGGGCAGGGGGACATAGGTTGAAAAACTACCTATTGCACCCTGTACTCACTAACTGGGTGAGGGGATCATTCTTACACCACGCATCAACGACACACAATTTACCCATGTAACACACCGCACATGCATCCCCTGAACCTGAAATAAAAGTTAAGAGAGAGGGGATAAAAAACAGAAAACAATGGGTATTCCCAGTAAACAGTGAAGAGGAGCATGTGTCAAACAAATTCTTTGGGAATGAAACAAAGACATGTAAGTGTATTTGTATTCACTCACTTTACAAAACACAGGGTAGAAAAATAACATGATAAAAGCAAATATTGCTAACATTTATTGAATACATACTACGTGCCATGAGCACCTGACACGTTAACAACTCATTTAATCCCCACCACAGCATTATAAGAAGTGTACAAACTCCTCATTTTGTAGAGGAAAACGGCAAGTAATTTGTCAAAGTTTACCCTGTAAGTAAATCAAATTTTAGGATCCATGCTCTAAGACACTCTTCTATACTGCAAAAAAATATGCTCAGGTAAAGATACAAATATTGACTTCATTAAAAAATAAGCTTAATTTAAATTCATATTTAACTAACCATTACTAAACACTTATTTTACATATATATGTAATATTCTCTAATATTTATATATACATATATATCTTAGAGATACATGATTCTCAAAATAGGCCTCTAATGTAGATACTGTATTCCCCATTTCACAGATGGGAATCTAGAATTTTGGTTAAACATCTCGCCCAAGGTGACACATTAAGATTGGATAGATAGGTAGATACCACATATACATGATATGGCTGGCTGATTATCCTCATGGGTACAAATAATTATCCACTACATTTCTGGAGGAAGAGGTAAGGTTGTTTAATAGATTCTCTTTTTTAGGCTTAATTTGTTTTAACTTTTTAGCATAATGTCATTCAGGAAAGTATTCAACATTTGAAGCCAATTCCTTAGGTTAAAAGCCAAAAGCCACCTCTTAGTTGATGGCCCGTTAAATTATTTTTATATCACCATAGTAATTGTCAACTGTAATTATTAGGTGAAATAATCCATAAGTACAGCTTTGTGATTCCACATTAAGAAACCAGCAACTCAAATGCTGATATGAGAACTTAGACACCTGGTTTCTGTGTGTTTGATGCAGCCTACAGGAATAAAATTTAACAATCCAGTTATTCTTTAAAGATAAAAAATGAAATAGCTTTTCACACTGCAGTTACCGAATTGTCAGCTTCCACAGACACATTGTCATACCAACCAAACTTTATTACACATATTGCAATGAGACTGCAAACAAGAACTGGTTATCTTGTTTTCATGGGTTGAATAATTTCACCTATGGAAATTAGACAAACTAGAACTATCCAATGGGCATAAAATTGCTGATGTTATTACTGCCTCTGACTATGTGAGAATAAATTCAAAAATTAATGCAACTATATGCATAACTGTATTATGAAAGCCTGGAAACATATCATTAACTATATTTTCTGTAATTTCTTATATTTAGGCTCCACTGCTACTGGCTCGTATTCTTTTTTTAAAAAAAATAGACTCTATTTTATATAGCAATTTTATGTTCTTAGCAATACTGAGCAAAAGGTATAGAGATTTTTCATATACCCCAGCCCCTACACAAGCATAGTCTCCCCAACTGTTAACATCCCCAAAGTGGTCCATTTGTTATAGTTGATGAACCTACATTCGCATGTCATAATCACTCAAAGTCTATTGTTTATATTGGAGTTCACTCTTAGTTTTGTACATTCTGTGGGTTTGGACAAATTTATAATCGCATGTTTCCACCATGATAGTAGCATAAAGAGCAGTTTCACTGCCCCAAAAATCCTCTGCTCCACCTCTTCATCCCTGCCTCCTCCCTGGTCCCCATGTATTAATTTTATTAGTGAAAGAATTACATTCTTTTACCTAATCTTAATACAGTGTGTGCTAATCTTTGAATTACTATAATATGTTGAGTTTGCTATACAAAGGTAAATGCAGTACAGAGATTTTTTTTAAAAAATTGCTCATAAAAATGCTTTCTTCCAGATTTATTGATGCATATTTGCCAAGTAAAAATTGTATATGCCCATTTAAGTTGTATATCGTGATGTCTTTATATACACATACATTGTAAAATGATTACCAAAATCATTAATTAATTAACATATTCATTACTTAACATAGTTATGAGTATGTATCTCTGTGTTGGGGGTCAGGGGTGAGAACACTTAAGGTCAATTCTTAGCAAATTTCAAGTATACATTGCAACATTATTAACTAGAGTCACCATGCTTACATTAGATTACTGAATCTTTGTGTATTTTGACGAGCATCTCTCCTTTTCCGCCACCTTCCAGCCCCTGGGAACCACCATTCTACTCTGCTTTTTAGATTCCATATGTAAGTGAGATCATACTTTTATTCTGCCTTCTCGTTTTCAAGGGACAAAGTGACGTTTTCTTCAAATCAGGTTAAACTATTGGGTACTATGCTCACTACCTGAGTGCTGGGATCAGTTGTACCCCAAACTTCAGCATCACACAATATACCCATGAAACAAATTTGCACATGGACCCCCAAATCAAATAAAAGTTGAATTTATAAAAATAAATAAGTAAAAGTGTTTCATTCAAATCATCTGCCTTTTTCTACTTCCTTTCGACACAAATGTCTGCTTTCCTTTCAGAGTGGTAGATTGAACACGCCCCATTCCCTTCCTGGGGACCTCCAAAAAAAGGATTGTATAAAAATACAAAAAGGAATAAAACCATTACAGTGAATAAAGATTTCAACGAATTTCAGAAATGTAAAAGGCATAATTTATTTCACTTCTGTATCAATTGTGATGTCATGTTTTTCCAGAGCCATCTCTGTTTCATCCAAATGATAATTAGATTGTCAAATTTATTAGCATAAAGTGGGTCCTATTGTTCACTTAATGTCTATAAAATCTACAGTGATGTCATCTTTTATGTTCAAATATTGATATTTTGCTTAGTCTCTTTTTTTGTGATATTTCTTGCTAGGTATGATCCATGTTTTCCAAAGAACAGACTTTAGGCTTTTTCAATTTTCTCTATTGTACATTTTTTTTCTTTACAGCTCAAGTGAGATATATTTTACATATCATTAAGTTGATTCATTTAAAGCACACATTTCAGTGGTTTTAATATATTTACAGAGTTCTGCAATCATCGGTATAATCTAAATCTGGAACATTTTCAGCATCCCAAAAGAAACTTGTATGCATTAGCAGTTACTCACCAGCCCTTCCTCCATTCCCAACCAGTATTTGCCTCCTCCAACTAGGCAACTATGATCCACTTTGTCTCTGTAGATGTGTCTAATCTAGACATCTCATATAAATTGAATCATGCAATATGTAGTCTTTTGTGACTGACATCTTTTATTTAGCATGTTTTTGAGGTTCATCCATGTTGTAGCATGTGTCAAAACTTCATTTTGTTGTTAATAATATTTCGTTGTATGAATACAACCTATTTTATTATTTGTCCAGCAGTTGATTTGGGTTGTTTTCACTTCTTGGCGATTCTGAATAATCCTGCTATGATCATTCAAAATGCAAGCTTTTATGTGAACCTATATTTTTATATTCTTGGTTAGATGCTTAGGAGTGTAATTGATTGGTCTTATGGTAACTCAGTGTTTAACAATTTAAGGTACTGAAAAATGTTTTCCACAGTGGATGTACTATTTTAAATTTCCACGAGGAATGTATGAGAATTTCCATTTCTATTCTTTTTTTCCAACACTTGTTATTGTCTGTCTTTTTTATAGCCATGCTAATTGGTATGAAGTGATGTTTTATCAAGATTTTGATTTTGATTTCTCTGCTAAATAATGATGGTGATCTTTTCCTGTGTTTATTAGCTATCCATATATCTTCTTTCAAGAAATGTCTATTCAACTTTCTATTATTATGTTGTCAGAGTTATTTTTGTATTCTGCATACAAGTCCCCTATTAGATATAAGATTTACAAATATTTTCTTTTAGTTTATGGGTTGTCTTTTCACTTTGTTAATGGTGTCCTTTAAAGCATAAAAGTTTTTCACTTTGATGAAATCCAACTTACCAGTCTTTTCTTTTATCACCGGTGCTGTTAGTGTTGTATCTAAGAAATAATAACCTAACCAAAGATCACAAAGATTTACTCCTGTGTTTTCCTATAAGAGTTTTGTAGTGTCAGCTCTCACATTTAGGTCTATGATACACTTTGAATTAATTGTTGTGCATGGTGTGAAGTAGAGATCCAAATTTATTCTTTTTCATGAATACAGTTATCCTAGCAACATCTGCCACTAACTTGGAAGACAGTTCAGTTCAATTATCTTGGCCCTTGTACATTTGTTTTTAATTTAGTTATTTTGTTCTTTTATTATTTTCTCTCTGCCATTTGCTTTGGGTTAAACTTGCTTATTTTCAAATTTCTTGATAAATGTACTTAGATCGTTGAATATCCACTTATTTTCTAAAACAGTTTTTTTTCCATATCCATGGGTTCCATTTATGTGGACTCCACATTCATGGATTCAACCAATGTTGGAGCCAAAATAGAAAAAAATTGTGTCTATACTGAACATGTACAGACTCCTTTTTTCTTGCCATTACTCCCTAAAAAATATGGTATAACAACTATTTCCATAGCATTTACATTGTATTAGGAACTATAATTAATCTAGAGATGATTTAAAGTGCATGGGAGGATGTGCATAG
Source organism: Homo sapiens (assembly GCF_000001405.40). Taxonomy (NCBI): domain Eukaryota; kingdom Metazoa; phylum Chordata; class Mammalia; order Primates; family Hominidae; genus Homo; species Homo sapiens. Next base: position 163,838,255 of record NC_000004.12, on the reverse strand, counting down.
GTTATATGCAAATACTAAACCATTTTACATCAGGAACCTGACCATCCATCCATGGATTTTGGTATTTTCAGGAGTTCCTGGAACCAGTCTTTCACAGATAACTGGGGATGACTATATGTGCATTTTAAGGCTATAAATTTTCATCAAAGCATAGCTTTCCCTATATCACTTATTTGATACAGGAAATACACTGTTTTAAAATTATTACTTGGTTCCAAATAGTTTTGTACTTCCATTAAGATTTTTTGACCCATCTTAGAAAGATATTTCTTAGCTTTCAAACTTTGAAGAATGTTTTTAGTTGTCATTTTATTACTGATTTTAATCCTTAGAAATTTGTTACAATTGCTTTATGTAGCACAAAATGGTAATTTTGGTAAATTTTCCATGTGTACTTGAATATGCATTTTGCGGTTATTAGGTACAGTGTTTTATAGAAGTCAATTAGCTAAAATTTGGTAATCATGTTTTTGATATCATGTGCGCTTATTGATTTTTTTGTTTGCATGTTTTAGTAGTTACAGAGACATGTTAGTGTTTTCCATTATGATTGTAGGTTTTTCTAATTTTGTTAATTTGTTTTCTTTATATTTTGAAGCTATGTATTAGTTGCATAAAATTTTATTTATATATTCTTTTGTGTATTGACTGTTTTATCATTATAAAATGTTCTTCTTTAATGGTTTTGTTTCTTTCCTTAAAGTCTACCTTGATATAGTTTAGCTGAATCAAGTCACTTTTTACAAGTTTTGTTTGATATGTATTTTCATGTTGTTAACACATTTTTCTCTGTCATTATATTTAAGTTGTGTCTCTTACATGCAACTTATAAATAGTTGTACATGTTAAATTAGCACTGAAAATATTTGCCTTTTATTTGAGTTTATATAATGACTTTTAATATTGGTGTTTAAGTCTACTATCTTACTTTTTTTTTGTATTGCAGCTGCTTTTTTGTTCCCATTACTTCAGTTTGAACATAGCTTTGACACTTTCTACTTGTGTGACCATAGACAAGTAAGAGTCACAGTATTGAAATAACGTCACCAAGTCTATTAGCACTGGATCTAGAATTCTGTCCTTCTGACACATATTGCTTCCCTTAATTGTGATTCATGAAAATGGTATGTTTGATTCTGAATCCACCAAAAATTAGTGGTGTGTCCTTATTTATGTTAGGCACTTAACTTTCTTATGATTATACAAATATGATAATTGCCTTATATTTATACATATGATGTTTTTAATTTTCACAAAAAATGCATTTCTATTTCTCTAATTCAGTCCTGTATTATATACGAGCAATTATTAAAATTCACATTAGAATGGCTTCTGCTTCAACTTGGTCACTTAAAATTAGACCTCCTCAAATTTTTCTCCAGTTACTCTGTGAGGCTTCCAGGGGGCTAATGGGCTAACTCACATGAGATCAGGAATAATTCTTCTATTGTAGTCCTGTCATCAAGCAGACTCAGTGCTCTTTGCTGCCAATGGCGCACTTGGTATCACTGTTTATTGGGGGTCACACTTACCTCTGCTGATGACTACAGCTTCTATTACTCAGCTTTGGCCAGATGGACCCTCTGTTTCCTTATTTTGTCTACTTTATTCTAAAGGTAGAACTTTCTTCCTCACAGCAGAGAGACTAGGAGGCATCTTTTAACAAGCCCTGAAATATAAGGTAGAGTAAACGTGTATCAAAAAATAAATTAGCCGGGCGCGGTGGCTCACGCCTGTAATCCCAGCACTTTGGGAGGCCGAGGCAGGCGGATCACGAGGTCAGGAGATCGAGACCATCCTGGCTAACATGGTGAAACCCCGTCTCTACTAAAAATACAAAAAATTAGCCGGGCGTGGTGGCGGGTGCCTGTAATCCCAGCTATTCAGGAGGCTGAGGCAGGAGAATGGCGTGAACCTGGGAGGCGCAGTTTGCAGTGAGCCGAGATTGTGCCACTGCACTCCAGCCTGGATGATAGAGCGAGACTCCATCTCTAAATAAATAAATAAATAAATAAATAAATAAATAAATAAATAAATAAATTGCAACTACCATGTAGGTAAGGATCTGAAGATGGGTCACTATAAAGCCAGCTCCTTCCACTTACATGGAAAGATGTTTATTCTAGAGGGCTCCATGACAATTTTTGGCATTATAAAAAGAAGTACGTACTTCATTCAATCTTGCCTAATACCATCCCAGGTTGCCCATCACCAGCCTAGGCTGGGAGGAATTGTGCCAAGCTGAGTCCGGTTCATTTTCTCTTCCAAGGGGCCCTTTGTTATATTATTTTCCTTATCTAGAGCTGGAGAAGCTGAGATGAAGACATTTCAAGCAAATTATTTTCTTATCACCAAGCCAGGTAATAATAAAGAAAGAAAAAAACAATCTATTTCTAATTATAGTACGTTAACTCTCTGCATAAACTGGTTATATGTACTTTTGTAAAATGCATGTGAAATTCTCAAAATTGATATATGTATAGCCAAAATCTATATATGAGTGCATTACTCATGATAAAAGAAAAAATTTGGCCAAATTAAATTTAAAGTTAAATTGAACAATGAACGATTCGCGAATTGGGCAGCCTCCGGAGCCAGAGTAAACTCTGAAATTGCAGCACGGCCACATGGTGGAAGAAGATTTATGGATAGAAAAAGGAAAGTGACATACAGAAAATGAAAGTGAGGTACAGAAACAGCTGGATTGGTTATAGTTTGGAGCTTGCCTTATTTGAACACAATTCGAAATATTGGCTACATTTTATTGGCCAAAACCTGGAGATTGGCACAAGTTTAGGCTACAGTCTGTCTACACCTCCACTTGCTATAGTTCACGTTGTACAGAAAACCTTCAGGCCAAACTTAAAATTTGGAAGGAGACAGCTTTAGGCTAAACTTGATTTGAAACTCATCTGTCTGCCTATTTAAATAGATTTCTGACTGGGATTTTAAGAACCACGAATGTGGTCTTATCCATTTCTATATATTTATTATAAATGATAAGAAGAATGCTATCCTGGTAGTTATGATGGAATTTATTCCCTATAAATATAATTAATATAAATAGTTACATGGCCCGGACATGGTGGTTTATACCATTTATCTCAGCACTTTGGGAGACTGAGTGGAAGGATCACTTAAGGCCAAAAATTTGAGATCAGCCTGGACAACACAGCAAGACTCCATCTCTGCAATAAATTTAAAAATTAGCCAGGCATGGTAGCATGGGCTTTTAGTCCCAGCTCCTAGTATGGCTGAACTTAGGAGGATAGCTTGAACCCAGGAATTCAAGGTTATAGTGAGCTACAATCACACCAATGCACTCCAGCCTGGCCAACAGAACAAGACCCCATCTCTAAAAAAAATAAACAAGAAGATTAAATAAATAATTATGTGCATCTCTAATAATAACATAGGTCAACCAGGAAGCTGCACTGATCTGAGTATATGCCTAAAAGGCCCTGGTATAATTATAAAGGGATTGACTTAAGATCCAATATGTGTTCTCATTGTTCAATTCCCACCTATGAGTGAGAATATGCGGTGTTTGGTTTTTTGTTCTTGCGATAGTTTACTGAGAATGATGATTTCCAATTTCATCCATGTCCCTAAGGGGAACATCACACTCTGGGGACTGTTGTGGGGTGGGGGGAGGGGGGAGGGATAGCATTGGGAGATATACCTAATGCTAGATGATGAGTTAGTGGGTGCAGTGTACCAGCATGACACATGTATACATATGTAACTAACCTGCACATTGTGCACATGTACCCTAAAACTTAAAGTATAATAATAATAAATTTTAAAAAAGATCCAATATGTGAAAAACAGCTTTATTTTCTTATAATGCTTTATAGAGATTGAGAAAATATAATAAATTATGTATGTCCTTTTGTAATTATAAATATCACCAAATTATTTGGAAGGACAAAGAGCATTCTACACAATTTCTCAGTTAGTAATGTTTTTTTTTTTTGGCAGGTTTTTGTCAGGCACCCAATTCCTGCTGCTAGTCTCCTAAAGTTACAACTTCAAAGTACCACAAAACAAGATGATTTTTCATATGCTTTTATTTCTGTGTCAAACATGAAATTAGCTCAGGTGCTGATTTACAAGTACAATTTTTTGTCTTGTTTTATTTTTGTTAGAGAACATATTGTCTCTTTCTCCTTGCAACAAAACCATGTTGCAACTGCATTTGTTTTTTAAATATAACAAGACAACACATAAAATGGCTTTTATCCATTGCCTTTTTGCTTGTCAGAATGGCTGAAAAATAAAGACAGGATTCTCCATTGGCACTGCTGCTCATTTGTAGACATGGACTGATGATGAAATCGTAGTTCACTCTGTTCTCCTTTCTTCTAATTGCCTCAGAAAAGCTTTGATTGATGTTACACAAGGGTGTGCACAATAAACTGAAACTCATTATTCCACAGTAATTGTCCCCATTTCCATTGTGATCTCTGAATTACATCCACTTTCTTCAGTTGTCTTTCTAAATAAAATGACATGCCCCACACCACGTTATTCATTTTTTCACACAAAAGCATCCCAGAGCACCTACTCTGGGGCAAAAACAATAAATAATATTTTGGTTTTGATTTGCATTTCTCTGATGGCCGGTGATGATGAGCATTTTTTCATGTGTTTTTTGGCTGCATAAATGTCTTCTTTTGAGAAGTGTCTGTTCATATCCTTCACCCACTTTTTGATGGGGTTGTTTGTTTTTTTCTTGTAAATTTGTTTGAGTTCATTGTAGATTCTGGTTATTAGCCCTTTGTCAGATGAGTAGGTTGCAAAAATTTTCTCCCATTCTGTAGGTTGCCTGTTCACTCTGATGGTGGTTTCTTTTGCTGTGCAGAAGCTCTTTAGTTTAATTAGATCCCATTTGTCAATTTTGGCTTTTGTTGCCATTGCTTTTGGTGTTTTAGACATGAAGTTCTTGCCCATGCCTATGTCCTGAATGGTATTTTGGCGATCATTAAAAAGTCAGGAAACAACAGGTGCTGGAGAGGATGTGGAAAAATAGGAACACTTTTACACTGTTGGTGGGACTGTAAACTAGTTCAACCATTGTGGAAGTCAGCGTGGCGATTCCTCAGGGATCTAGAACTAGAAATACCATTTGACCCAGCCATCTCATTACTGGGTATATACCCAAAGGACTATAAATCATGCTGCTATGAAGACACATGCACACGTATGTTTATTGCAGCACTATTCACAATAGCAAAGACTTGGAACCAACCCAAATATCCAACAATGATAGACTGGATTAAGAAAATGTGGCACATATACACCATGGAATACTATGCAGCCTTAAAAAATGATGAATTCATGTCCTTTGTAGGGACATGGATGAACCTGGAAACCATCATTCTCAGCAAACTATCGCAAGGACAAAAAAACCAAACACCGCATGTTCTCACTCGTAGGTGGGAATTGAACAATGAGAACACATGGACACAGGAAGGGGAACATCACACACTGGAGACTGTTGTGGGGTTGGGGGAGGGGGGAGGGATAGCATTAGGAGATATACCTAATGCTAAATGACGAGTTAATGGGTGCAACACACCAACATGGCACATGTATACATATGTAACTAACCTGCACGTTGTGCACATGTACCCTAAAACTTAAAGTATTATAATAATAATAATAATAATATTTTGGATCCAACTTTGAGCTAGATGAAAGAAACTAATTTAATTTGTCAAGTTTTTAGAGTTTTTACTAGACCTTTCTAGTTTTGCTAAATGAGTTATAATAACAATCAAAAGCAACTTAATTTGTCATGTCACTGTCCCAGTAGCTCATTTTATATTCATCCCCATTACATGCATTGTGGAGGATAGATATTATTACCTCCATTATACAAACGATAGAAGCTTGAAATGAAGGGATTTATTAAGGGTTGCAAAACTCACGGAGAAAAGGCCAGCATTGCAATCTTGCATTTCTGACTTTTGACCTTGATGAGTCCTAATTTGTTCTTTATTCTCATGAATCTGCACGTATTCTATATCTCCATAGAGGGCATCACAATTTGTCTGTTTTCCCCAATTAGAAACGACATCTCCTTTTGTCATGTACCTCCAATCTCTTACTCGTTGTCTTGTTAAATCTGCCTTATATACCTTTTCAATTTTTCTGGACTTAGTCATGCCTTCATCGTAATAGCTTCCTAATTTGTTTATCTACTTTGAAGTCTTACTAGTTCTAATCTGTTTTGAGCTTTGCTTGAAAGTTTTCTTTCCAAATCATAGATGGAACCCAGCACTCTAGAGCCATCAATGGCCCTGCCACTCTCTATAACACAAACTCCAAGCTTGTTAAGTGTGGTGCATGTATGAGGACCTTCTCACTCAAGCTCCCTATCCACTAGTCATGAATCCCTTAAGTGGTTCAAGCTCTGCCACACCAAAGAATTACCACATACACTACAAAAATGACATTGGAAATGCTGAATTTCAGCTGACAAATTTCTCTGTACCCATTTCTATTATCTTCCAATGTTGTCATGAATTGCCTTTCCTGTTTCCTCAAACATTTGATTTGGCAATTTGGCTTTTGATTTTCCTTTACTTCTGTTTGGATTTGGATTTAGTGACTATCCCAACTTTGGACTTTATTTTTATTTTTTAAAATTTAATTGATTAATTTTAACAGATGGAGCTTTACTCCAGGCTGGAGTACAGTGTCACAATGAAAGTTCACTGCAGCCACCAACTCCTGGACTCAAGCAATCCCCCCACCTCAGACTCCCGAGGAGCTGGGACTACAGGCACATACCATCGTGCACAGATAATTTATTTTTACTTTTACTGTTGTAGACACAAGGTCTCACTATGTTGCCCAGGCTGATTTTGAAGTCCTGGCCTCGAGTTACCCTCCCACCTCCATTTCCCAAAGTGCTGGGATTATAGGCGTCAGCCACTGTGTCTGGCCAATCTTGGACTTTAGACTTGGTTCTAACCTGGCAATTCTTTGAGGGTTCCACCTGGGCAATTTCCTTGGTTCCAAAGAGAGAAAATTCAGTTCAGAGGCATCTAGCCCCCACTCCCTTTGTCACTAAGGGTTCAGTGCAGAAAACAGAAACTACACCAGGAGTCAGTTACGAAGAGAATTTAGCCATAGGAAAGACAGAAGAAATTTTTGGCTGAGCTTTTTGTAAAGACTCGCAGAACTATACCTATTGACCCACCAAGGAAAGTATTAACTCTGAGAACATTACTAGGACGATGCTTGGAACAAGAGCCCCCACCAATACTACCAAAACTGCATCTCAGAATCTAAAAGACTGGATAACATGCTTCAGTGTTGCTGGTAGGCGTCCTTATATTTTCATAGCCTTGGTTTCCAGCAGCAGCTGCCACACAGCAAGAGAAAGAATTCTTCATTTCAACTCATCTCAGCTTTTCCAAATCACAGGAGAGCATATACTTTGTTTTTAATTTTATTTTTAAAAATTTTTCTTTTTGTTGTTGTTGTTTCTTTTTTTAGAGACTGGGGTGTCACTCTGTTGCCCAGGCTGGTCTTGAACCGCTGGCTCAAGTGATGCTCCCGCCTCGGCCTCTCAAAGTGCTGGGATTACAGACATGCGCCACTGTGGCCAGCTGGAGAGCATATAATTAATAGGACTTAATTTGCACCTAGAACCCTAGCTACAAGGAAATCTGAGAAAAGCAGTTTTTACCTTTCCAAATCTGGAAGGAGGGAGGAATAGAGAATGAGTGAGCCAGTGCAGGGTCCTCAGCATCCTGTCCACCCCAGCTCTTGCGCTACTTCTCTGAGAGCCCCAACATTTCTTTCCTCTCCTTTCCATATTTTCTTTGTTTCAGGTAGAGAGTTGCCTCCTTTAGTCCAATTTGAACCATCAATGTACTATGATTGTGCTGATACGTGCATATATCTTTAATATATATTTATAAAATATATGAATTTACATATAATTTATGTAATTATACAATTATATGTTTAATATATATTTAAGAAAAAAGCAGCGTAAAAAGAGAGATGAAATATTCCTAGGAAATCTATGAAAAATTTCAAGTATACTAGGTGTTGTTTGATCTAGTCTGCATTTATTCTTCAAACGCTAAAGCAGATAAGAGAATAAAGCTAAATGTAAGTTGAATCCTATTTCAGAACTTTTTGAACATTTGAGTTAAGCTTTTGGAGGCTTTAATTAAATTGTTCACAACAATTTACCCACAAAATCCTGACATTTCAACATTGCTCCAGGGTATACACAATACGTTTTAGAAACTAAACCAAAAACTGGACTGGCCAGATAATATCTATCTGCTATTTGAAAAATTAGTTTCAGAAACTTAGGAAGCCAGGCAAGGCCAAGTTATTAACCTGTCTGCTGGGAAAGGTGAGAAGCTTATCTCCTGTATACAGTGAGGCCTGCCGTCCAATTGTTTGCCTAATTAATTTTCACATAGCTGTTCACATTCCCTTCAGTACAGAACTGTGAAGAAAAATCTAAATTCATAATATACATTTGCATTGCCAAAAGTAATGCTGGCAGAAACAGTGTTTACAAATTTAAGTGTTATTTATTTTTTTAAATATTTGCGTACATATCATCCAGTCCAGGGGGAAGGCAGTCTTCAATATTGTCTTCCTTTTACCCTGAGCCTGCGTGCACTTCTGTAGAAATTCAGGGAGAGGGATACTGTGTGGTGCTGAAAGAGCAGTAAGGAGATTTGGCAACTCCTGAATTTTGACGTTTCTTGCTCTGTGGGTGACTTAAATTGGCATATATTAAAGTGCATAAGTCAAAATAGGATAGTCATAAATATGCTAGTGATAGAGGGTGTTTATAATAGGTTTTATGAGATGATAGTCAAGCACCTTGAATTTTGGTTTTTATATTAACTAAAACAGTACCTCTAGTCTTTCTGTGTCTCTATATGGCAGAATAGGCATGGAAAAGTTCTTACCATCCGGCCCTTTTCAAGATGTGGTGGTGTTCCACAAACTGTGTTGAGCTTCTCTGAGTAAAGTAGCTTTTTAGAAAATCCACGGCATATAAACACTGAGTGACAAAGTATGTACCTAATGGTCACAAATCATACTGATTAAAGATATATATTTATTTTTGAGTTCTCTTTCCCCTTGCCCTTTTGGGTGTGAAGGATTTCTGGCTGTGATATTCATCATCCCCCTGACTTGACAGGGTTGGTTCAGATGCTCAGCCTGGCTGGCCAAGTGCCCTTCCCTAACTCTGCCCCTCGTGAATCTCTCCTGAACCTGAATGTTCATTTGAAGAGAATGACCTTACCAGCAGCAGAGACCTTCAATCAAGGGGACAAACAGCTCTATACCTCTGTCTAGAACCTGCAGACTGCTTTCATTTAGCACAAGATTCAAAAAGAAGTTATAATTGTTTCTAATCAATTTACCTTCAAAATATGTCTAGAGCCCATTGAACTTGCTTTTTCTTACACTCTCCTGTTATACAACACCGACTTACATGGCCAGAATATCCAATGTTCAGGGTTGACGAAGAAATTTAAATGTTGTTTTATGGTCCACAATGAGATGTTTTGCCAACCAACAATTTTTCCTTTTAAGTTGTTTTTGAGGCTTTGCGTGTATGTGTGTGTGAAACTTGAAATCATATTTATTTCTATTTTTAATGTAAATACCTCCTTATTTTTTCCTTTTTTGGTATCAGTATGACTTACTTTCCGAAAAGAACTCTTAACACATTCATGACTATGTTTTTACTTTAACTTCTTTAAAATATTAGCATTAGTCCTTTGAAATGTGCCCCCCATTCAGCTACATTATTTAGAAGTCTTGTGCATATAAGAAAGATAATCACAGAACAAAAGTCTATAATGACTGAAGCATTAGGTTTCATCCAAAAATGAGGAAAGAAAGAATGATGTAAAAGGTAAAAATAGTTATGAAAATCAGTTGAAAAACAGTTGTTTTTCATGCTTCATTTCACACATCTATAGGTTGGTCCAAAAGTAGTTAAAAGTACTTTGCCGTTAGAAGTAATGGCAAAAACCTCAATTACTTTTGCACCAATCTAATAGTGTCATTCAAGATACTTCTATAAAGTGAAGAGCAACTATTAAACAAAGAACATTTTTAAAGTAAACCAAAAGCATACGTTTTCAACCAGGATGAACATCAGAAGTGCTGAGGAGGAGGAGAATGACAAGGTGTGTCTGTGTGTGTGTGTGTGTGTGTGTGTGTGTGTGTGTGTGTGTATGCCTGCGCACACTTTTGGAGGGAGGATGTTCATATCTGTCCGTCATCTTAAATCAACTGAATCAGCGTGCATAACATGCAGTCTATGGGCACATTTACACTGAAACCTGATTTTACTTTAGATTTTTGCTTCCTTAGCTCTATTGGTTTGAAAGTTTCCCGTCAAGAAAAAGAAAGGTCTTGTTTTCATTGGCAGCATGTCAAATTGCATGGTCCATTCAACTTCAGTTTTGCAAAATTGCAAAATAAGGTTCAGTGTATACATAGTATACAAAGAATTAATAATATTACCTGTAACTTACAAAGCATCCCTGGAGTATATCTAGGATTAACTTCATTGACTGCAATAAGTGGAAAGGACTTTTTCTGTTCAGCCATGTCTTATTGATGCTAACCATGTGACAGGCATTGGGCTAAGCTACACAGAGGGGTGCTCTGCTTTTTAAAGGAACTTACAGTCTAATAGGAAACATTTTATTCAATCTTAGAAGCAATACACTAATCACTTATTTTGTGAAACACATTTATTCAGAAAATTTATATCTTATGTCAAATAAAATAGAAATTTAATCCAGCTATTTAAAGAAATCATTTGACCTAAGATTTTATTTTCATAATGTCATTGGTTAGAATAATCTCCTACGGAAGTGTCATGTGCTGTAGTCTTCAGCTTGACTTCAGTCTTTGAAATGGTTCGTTCTTTATCCCTGACTCTCCTAATCCCATGGAGAAAAAGTCAATATGTTGGTCAAATATCTGATGATTGAAAGGCAACTAAAGCTCCATAAAACATCAATATGTTTCAGAGAGGTTCAAATGTAAACAGTTCTATATCACTACAAATCTTATTTTCAGCCGAAGATAAAAGGAGACATTGCTACCTGTCACACACAAAAAAATAAGATGTTTTCATTACTTTTTTTTTATTTTAAAAAGGAAACTGCTGGTATATGCAAAGGTTAACATAAGTTCATACAATTTTAGGCTGTACCATATTTTGTAGTCGTTAATTGCGCAGAGATAAATTTAAGGAAACCATAAACTTAACCCAGCTTTTTTCTTTGTGGAAATTGTGGAAAATACCTCAGTATTGTCATTTGTAAGTCAGATTTGCTAATATTATTTCTCTGTTGTGCCTTATTTTACCAAATTTTTATCTCTGCTGGGGATAACCCTATATACTTTCTAGCCCCTGCCAGAATTATCCATGAATATGCAGAGATGAGCATAAATGTTATATCTTTGTAGTCACCTTCTACCCTTTCAAAGCAAGTCCTCTCTTATTATTCTGTACTTCAACACTTGTTTCCTTACAGCATTCATCATATTTTATAATCATTTAATTAATATACTTATCTACTTTTATTTTGTCTGTTTCCCCTATGAACACTATGAAGTACAGTGTATGTTGGTTTTGCTAAATACTGTCTGTAGGGCTTAATACAGCGCATGTTTAGAGCCTCAATAAATATTTACTAGGTTAGCAAAATCAATTTAATATTCTGTAGTTCAATAAAACCTATTCATGGACGGCTTTAGGATATTTATGTTCATAACTATGAATTTTGTAAGTCACTTTATCCAAAGTAAAATTTTTTAAGTGAATTTTAAATATAATTATTTTTGGTTTTTCTTCTTACATTGACTTCTTTCTAAACCAAAAGGAAGAAATGTCTTTATTCATACTTGCTGACCACTTAAACCCTCCAAAGGTATCTTAATAACTGTTGGATCTACAGTGGGCAAGTAAATTGCCAATGTCAGATTGCACTAAAAATTACAAATTACTCTACAAAAATTGTTAAATTACTAGAAAATAATCTAAATAAATTATACTAGGTAAATTAATAGGTAAGTAAATTAAACAATAAAATATTTCATTGGTTATTTTTAATAACTCCTAAAACAATGTTATTTATCAGTGAGTTTATCAGTATTCGAGGTCTATAAAAGTTGCATGACAAACTAAGCATCTAACAGTGATACAGAGGACAGGTTCAATGACTGACCAAAAATATTTTACTCATGTTGTATGACAATAGCCAATTTACTCCTCTGCTCTGCACTGGGTGTAGGGGGTAGGTATAGGAAAGTACATTCAATATCTGGATAGCCATGAATAATTAGCTCCATCAAGCCTGTTTTCATATAGGGAGAGGTGAAAAATGAATTGCTAGTAGCTGATTTATCTTACCATTTCACTGAAATTCCAAAATGAGTAAACATTCTTAAGAAAAAAAAAATTGGGTGAGAAATAATTAAAATGATTAATAATTCTGTAAATGCAGCCAACATTATATTAAAAAATGCTTAACGTCACTAATCATTAGAAAAATACAAACCAAAACCATAATGAGATACCATCTTACACTAGTCAGAATGGCTACTATTAAAAGGTAAAAAAGTAGCAGATGCTGGCAAGATTGTGGAATAAAGGGAATGCTTATACACTGCTGGTGGGAATGTAAATTAGTTCAGCCATTGTGGAAAGCAGTTTGGCGATTTCTGAAAAAACTTAAAACGGAATTACCATTTGACCCAACAATCTCATTACTGGGTATATAACTAAAGGAATATAAATCATTCTACCATAAAGCCACATACATGTGTATGTTCATGACAGCACTATTCACAACAGCAAAGCTATGGAACCAACCAAGATGCCCATCAATGTTAGACTGGTTAAAGAAAATGGTGTACATATACACCATGGAATACTATGCAGCCATTAAAAGTAACAAGCTCATGTTCTTTGCAGCAACATGGTTGGAGCTGGAGGCTGTTATCTCAAGTGAACTAACCCAGGAACAGAAAACCAAACGCAGCATGTTCTCACTTATAAGTGTATCACATATGGACACAGAGACAGGAGCAACAGACCCTGAGGACTACTTGAGGGTAGAATGTGGAAAGAGAGAGAGGATCAAAAAACTGGTATTTTGATAGATTTGGTTGAACTAGTTTACGGTCCCACCAACAGTGTAAAAGTGTTCCTATTTCTCCACATCCTCTCCAGCACCTGTTGTTTCCTGACTTTTGAATGATTGCCATTCTAACTGGTGTGAGATGGTATCTCATTGTGGTTTTGATTTGCATTTCTCTGATGGCCAGTGATGACGAGCATTTTTTCATGTGCTTTTTGGCTGCATAAATGTCTTCTTTTGAGAAGTGTCTGTTCATGTCCTTCGCCCACTTTTTGATGGGGTTGTTTGTTTTTTTCTTGTAAATTTCTTTGAGTTCATTGTAGATTCTGGATATTAGCCCTTTGTCAGATGAGTAGGTTGTGAAAATTTTCTCCCATTTTGTAGGTTGCCTGTTCACTCTGATGGTAGTTTCTTTTGCTGTGCAGAAGCTCTTTAGTTTAATTAGATCCCATTTGTCAATTTTGGCTTTTGTTGCCATTGCTTTTGGTGTTTTAGACATGAAGTCCTTGCCCATGCCTATGTCCTGAATGGTAGTGCCTAGGTTTTCTTCTAGGGTTTTTATGGTTTTAGGTCTAACATTTAAGTCTTTAATCCATCTTGAATTGATTTTTGTATAAGGTGTAAGGAAGGGATCCAGTTTCAGCTTTCTACATATGGCTAGCCAGTTTTCCCAGCACCATTGATTAAATAGGGAATCCTTTCCCCATTGCTTGTTTTTCTCAGGTTTGTCAAAGATCAGATAGTTGTAGATATGCGGCATTATTTCTGAGGGCTCTGTTCTGTTCCATTGATCTATATCTCTGTTTTGGCACCAGATTTGGTATAAAAAATAAAATAAGCCTAGCCTAGGACTTTAATTTATGTATATACATTTTAAAACCTTAATTTGAAATAAATAACCATAAATATGAGCTTTGAAAGATGGCATTAAAGTGTATATTGGAATTATCAAAAGCAGACTATATGCACTAATTGTCTAAGTTGATCATTTTTATATGATTTTTATTTTTGTGATTCCATCCCCTCAAGTTGCTACTTGGCTTTATTTCTGCTTTTCTAGATATTGTGATATTACACCCCCATCTTTTAATTAAAAACTTGAATGATATATAGGGGATTTGTACTTTCTAAATTTTTATAAAAAGGTAATATATTCTCTAAATTGGCTATAATTTCTTTTTCTCAATTTCTATTATTGAAACTTTAACATAACTTAATTTTACATCGATTTTGTCTCAAAGCACATTGACTATGGTTTTATTAAATTTAGAAAAAAATAACTATCTTGGAGGCTCAACATTATTTGATTATTCTTATTAATTTTCTGTAGGTTAGTTTATTTTAGCATACGTTAATTACTACTTTTGATCATTCTACTTTGTAAATGTTTATGCTTTAGCAATGATAGTGATAAAATGGGTGAACCAGGATAGAACATTATCAACTCAGTTAATAATCTAAGAATAATTTAATAACCACAAATATGATTTTTAAAACAATAATGGTTTATACATTATGATAACCTGAATTTGGTTAGGAAATTGTTTTTCTTGTCAAATTATACGTAATAGTTCTTTTAAATCTCTAATATTCTAATACATACCTTCTGTCTTTCATTAGATAAAATTCAAGTAGTGGACAAGGCAAGGTATTTAGAGTTGATTAGATTTGATCACAGTTTATTAGGTTTGATTTGGGCAAAGTGTTTCGAGTTTATTAGATTAGATTTACAAATTATGATTCTATCATATATCAACTACCTGATCCAGGCCAAGTTGTTTCATATTCTCTTATATTTAGTTTTTTCATCTATAGCTTCCTTACTGGGGTAGCTGTGAGGTAGTCCATACAAGATACCTGGAAAAGCAATTAGAATTGTATAACTATTGTTTTTCTGACACAAATGTCAGATATCAGAATACTTATGGACATCTAAGCTAATGTGGAAATATAAAGAAAATTCTTCATTCATCCCTAACTCTCCCAATTTTGTTAGGCCAAAATTGTATTAGTTTTGTAAGTGATGTTGATATGGGTGGTATGAGACAAAACAAAATGAAGTAAGCCTGTTTGTGTTATTAGCATAATGGATCTAACAGCGTGTGGAAAAGAGAGGAGGACTCTAACAAGCTGCTATGGTCTTAGAGTCTACAGTTTATAACAGGGTTTCTCTACCCATATCTATGAGTGGAATTCAGAGTGCTACAAATCACCTAACATTTTCTGTAGAATTGTACGTAAATGGGTACAAATATACACTTAGAAACAAGACCTCCTGGTTTTCCAATAGATCAGTAGGGTGAGTATAGTTAACATAAATTGATTGTACACTTCAAAACAGCTAAAAGAAAAGAGTTTGAATGTTTCTAGCATAAAGATAAATAAGGTGGTGGATATCCCACTGACCCCTATTTGATTGTATGACTGTATCAAATTATTACATTACCCTAAAATATGCACATCTAATATCACCAATAAAAAACAAAATTAATTTTTAAAATAAATTTTTTGTTTAACGTGCAGTACAGAATCAAATGTTGAATGATCAAACATTAAAATAGTCCCAATTATTTTTTAAAAAGAATCGTATGTGAAGTGTACTTTTCCAGAGGAAGGAGTCACATTTTATTATATTCTCAATGACACCTATGACCTCTATACCTTAAACAACTGGCTTAAAATTTAGTACTTCTTTTTTGCAAAACTATTCATATAATTGGCAAATACATAGATTGCAGTGGTGTTTTTAACAATTGCTCTTGCATTTTCTTATTTGTGAATGCATGTTGCACAAAGTAGAAATAATTACAGAGCAGGTAGCTTTTAGAGTTTTCTATGTAATAAAGGAATTATGTGATCCAATGTGCAGAGTGAATGTTCATTAAAAAAAAGTATACAAACCTTTTGTCTCTTTTCTTACAGCTCCCTTTAGGTTCTCAACTTAGAAATCAAATGGCAAATTATGTGTCTCTAAGAAATTCAAAGTTAAGGTCATGGTTTAAAAACAGGATAAATAAAAAGTAATTAAAAGTTTTGGCAAAACTTAACAAAATCATGCAAAGTTATGCTTTTATTAATTTTGTCTTATTACACTGTCTCATAAAACCGTGAATTTCCTTTTATATCTGCTTCCAGTGGTATAGGTGACGTTACAGAGGAAAACTTACTCTATGCTTTTTTTGTCAAAAGAGTTTGTGTTTTGTGACACCAAATCCACAGATAGTATTTTCCCATGGAAGTGTGATTATATTGAGTAGTCTGTTTTCTCTGAGCTCTCTTTTACAAAAAAAAAAAAACCCTCTTTTCCCAGGACGTTGCCAATATGTAAGAGATTTGAGTTGAAGCTGTAATTTTCCACCTTCATGGTCTTTTATTCTACAAAACACAGCTTTTCATTAATTTGTGGAATTAATCATTTCTAAATGAAATTGGAAAATAAAAAATTAGAACCTAAAAACTAATTAAAGCAGTCACTTTCTAATTCTGCTAACAAAATTTTTATGATTAATTTTTTGTTTATGTTCTTTGAACTTTTTAATTTTTATCTCATAGGATTTTTTAATTTGCCTCATAGTGTTAGTGATTTTACTTTCCACAAATGTATCAATCTGGATGATTGAAATTTATTTGTCTTTAATGTTTTACAAATATTTACTGAATGCCTACTATTGAAAATCCTCTAGCAGGCAATAACCATACATGGTTATTGATGTCATGGTCTAATTGGAGAGATGGCCATTCATTAAATAATCAAACCCACACAAGTATAAAATTGAAATTGCAGTGGATCCTAGAGAGGAGAGGTAGTTGGGCCAAAAGTGAATACAATTAGAAAATAAGGCCGTCTTGAAGAAGTGACCACTTGTGTTGAGATTTGAAGGGTAAGAGTTAGTTGAGCAATGGAGGGAGGGAAGCATGCCCCAGAAAGAGGAAATCATGTGCAAGGGTATGCATACTATAAGCAAAGATTAAAGTGTGTATAAAAGCCTAGAAGGCCAGGGAGACTGGAACAGAACAAGTTGATCAAGTGCAGTGCGAGCTGAAGTTAGAGAGGTGGAGCCAGGACCATGCGGGACAGTGTAGAGGAAGTTAACAAGCTTACTTTTTATCTTAAGAACAATAAGGAATTTTAAGCAGGTAGTTAGCAAGATTACATTATGTTTGCATTTTTAAAAGCTCAGCCCACACTATAAATGGGACAAGATCAGATGTGGGTAGAACTTAGAAGGCTATTTCAGGGTCCCAGGAAAGAGATGATAATAACATGGACTAGAATTCATGGGAGTAGTGTTTAGGGATGGAAAAAAAATTGTTTGCATATGAAAATTATAAAGTCAACTTTATAAGATTTAGTGATGGATTGAATGTAAAATGAGAGAGAGGGCTCTAAAACCACCGTAGCTTTCCAACTAGTAGACTTTGATGAATGGGTTATTATTATTAGAAATAAAGAACAGTAGTCTGGAATTAAGTTTGGATAGAATGTGAGAAAGATAGTAAAACTGATGGCTTTTGAATATCCAAAGTAAGATGTAACTAGACTTTGAATAAATGATTTGCAACTTGAAGAATTGTCTGGGTTGAAGATACGTATGAGTACATCATTGAATCTGTGAGCATGAATGATTTTTCCCAGTGAAAGAGGATAAAACAAGAAAAGGCCAAGAAAAAAGTCTAGGGAATTTCAAATTTGAATGGCCAAGTAGTGAAGGGTAGACTAGAACTTTACAATAGGCAGAGAACAATCAGCTGGAGAATGAGAACACTAAGAGAGGGCTGTGACATGGAAGTTTATAAAAGAGATTACTTCAAAAGGATAACTGGGTCAGCATTACAGAGTGCTGATGAGAGGTCAGGTAAGAAGAGTAAAAAATATGTATTGGATTCGGTGATGTAAAGTCAGCACCGTCCTCACAAAAAAACTATTTCAGTGGACTATTGGGAACTGAAGCCAGATTGGCATACTCTAGAGAAAAGAAAATACAGACTATAAGTATAGATAACTCCTTTAAAAAAATTGGGCTATGGAAGAAAGAAGGCATTCGCTGGAGGAGAACACAGGATCGGTATTTTTTAAAAATTATTGATTTAGGTTTGTTTTCATATGTTGATTGCACAAACTTGTGAATGTTTAAAATACGATGGGAAGGAATCATGTAAAAGGAAGAGGTTGAATATGTAATTCTGCAAAGGAATCATCTAGTTTATGATGTCCAGGATGCAGGATGAGATGAAAGCTGTAGTTCAGGTGGTGAGCATGGCTTTACATAGGCATGGGACAACCTCTTTATTGTAGTAGAAGAGATGACAGAAAGTGTAGGTGCATATGCAAGTTGGTTTGTAAGATGGTTTGTACGAATATTGGGGAGAGCATTAGGACGATAAAGACATTTCCATCTGAGAGCCTCTATTTTCTTTGTAAAGTAAGAGGTAAGATCATCTGCTGAATATGGAGATTTGGATTCGGAGAGGGATTTGGAGAGGTAGGAGGGTGTCAGAAATTTGATGAGGCTTGAAAAGTTTTCACATGGTTGTGGTGAATTGGAGAGTTTTTCAAAGAGACAAAGTAAGGCTTACAGAAAGTGTTTTAGGGCTTTTTTAAGTTTGGGAATTACTAATTTATAATCGAATGAATGTTACCTGTTGTGACACTTTCTTATGCAAAGCTCTGCTACTCTGGAGAAGACACAGAATTCAGATGTGCAATGGTTTCATTCAGGCTTGTGGTTCAGCCATCCAAATGGAATGAGAAAAACAGAAGAAGGGACATCACAAAGTATGTTATTAAAGTTAAAGCCCATGGATAGTCAGCTTGATAAGAAGTGAAGCAAAGTAAGTGAAAGGCTTATGCATCAGGAAACAGTAGAGAGAACAAAGGACTGGGAAGAACAAGTGTGTCTTTAAAATGGTATAGAGTATGTAGTTGGATAATAGAGGTGGATTTGGAAGTGTGGTCATTAGAGAAAATGGCAACTCCAAGCTGTGACTGTTGGGTGGATGGTTGAAGCAGAAAAGGCAGGAAGAGCATTGGAGATATGGAGGCCATGCTGATGATGGATCATTAAGATGAATATTGTCATTGGACAGATAAATAGCATGGTTTGGGTTAGAAAAGAAGACCGTGAGCCTGGTGCCAGAATCTTCAGTGAAAGACAAGGGAGCAGGATGTCAGTTGCTGCTAACAATGAGAAGGTGGTAAATGTAATGACGTGTGCTTCAAAAAGAGAAGTGATCATATGAGAACTTTAAAGGAGAGCAAACTCAATGGCAATTTACTGTCTTGACCATGAGGTTCATAAGATGGTGAGAAAATAACCACAACTTGAGAGACTGGTGTCTTTTAGAGACAAACGAGAGGTCAATTAAAACCTGGAGAAAAGGAATATTTTGAGAAGAGCCTGAGGATATGGGGGCTTTGCAGGTTTTGGAGTGGCAGTTCCAGAGGATAACATGCAAAGGTTTGGGAAATGAGGGACAGATAAAAGGCTGGGTTCAGGGCAAGGATGGCCAGAGCAACGTGGGAATGATAAGCTTGTTTTGAAATGATAAAGAGATCAGAAAAGAATTATCTAACCACAATTTCAACTTTATAAAATGAATGTTATGGTATACATGCCTTATATCTATCAGGATTCATGAGAGTTGGACAAAAAATATAGTGTACAAAATTCCACAGAATCAACAAGGCACAGAATCTTATTAATGGATGCTGGGGTTAATACCTAGGTGATGGGTTGATAGGTGCAGCAAACCACCATGGAACTTGTTTATCTATGCAACAAATCTGTACATCCTGTAGGTATACCCGGGAACTTAAAAAAATAATAATAAAATAATAGAAAAAGAAAACATTAAGACATGCTTAATAAGGAAATATAAAGAAATAAAGTATTAGTAAATGAAGCAACCTAGAACAAACTAAAATATCTAAGTAATCATTTCATTATGACTATCTTTCTAAGTGGCTTTCTTTTTTTTATTATACTTTAAGTTTTAGGGTACATGTGCACAATGTGCAGGTTAGTTACATATGTATACATGTGCCATGCTGGTGTGCTGCACCCATTAACTCGTCATTTAGCATTAGGTATATCTCCTAATGCTATCCCTCCCCCCTCCCCCCACCCCACAACAGTCCCCAGAGTGTGATGTTCCCCTTCCTGTGTCCATGTGTTCTCATTGTTCAATTCCCATCTATGAGTGAGAACATGCGGTGTTTGGTTTTTTGTCCTTGCGATAGTTTACTGAGAATGATGATTTCCAATTTCATCCATATCCCTACAAAGGACATGAACTCATCCTTTTTTATGGCTGCATAGTATTCCGTGGTGTATATGTGCCACATTTTCTTAAGTGGCTTTCAAAACATACGTAAACCTTTAATAGAAATGCTATCAAATCCTAATTTATGTGTAAATTTTATTTTTAATTTAACTGAGTCTACATACATTCAATTTGGGTACTGTCCTATTGAAAATACTTTTGAGTGCAACAGATTGTGAAATGTGGTTTATAATTGTGTGAAAGTAGATCTCATTACCTAGTAAAGAAACATAGTGTAGTAACAATTGTACACCAAAGATGTGCTTACTGAAACATGATGGATATGTGTGTGTGTGTGTGTGTTGCTCTCCTAACCACACAGCTACATATATGTGTGTGTGTCTATATATACATATATATGTATATGTGTATATATGCATGTGTATATATGTATGTATATGTATGTATGTATATGTGTATATGTACATATATATGTATATGTGTATATGTACATATATATGTATGTATGTATATGTATACACACAAACACATACATGTAGCTGTGTGGCTAGGACAGCAAACAGAGCTGAAGTGTACCAAAACAAGCAGTGGTAAAATTGGGGAGAACTTGTGTGATAATTTTGAGTGAGATGTAATTAGGAAGGACATGTCTAGCATTGTTTTTCATCTTATGGGCGTTTCCAAAATACCCTGGCATGTGATATCATGCAACTTATGTAAAATTGCCGAGAAAATAACTGACAAAGCCAGAGCATGGTAGATGGTGAATAAAATTGGGATCTGAAAGAGCAGAGACAGAGTCCATATTCACCACCTCTTGGCTGTGGGCCTTCACCAAGCAAATTAGGTTGAACCTCATTTTCCTCATTTGTAAAATAAAGATCATCATAGCTATTGGGATGATTGCTGGCAGTGGTGGGGTGCAGTGGGGGCACAGCGGGGGGAGTGAAGTGAAATTATGTAGATAGTATATGACAAAGTCCTGATATCCAAAAGCTGCTCAGTAACCCTTTATGGAGGTAGTGCAGTGTGATCACTGAGCATGGGTTTGGAAACCAGATTTCTGGGTTCAGATCCCAGCTCTGCAGTTGCTCATCTCTCTTGTGATTCAGTGCCCCCCTCTGTAAGGAGAGATAATAGCACCACTTATCTCAAAAGGCTGTGGTCAGAATCAAATAAATATATGCCTCTTAGAATACAGCCTGATGCATAGTCCTGGCTGACACATTCATTTATGTCCAATAAATATTTGTAAAAATTTAATTTATAATATTAATTATAAAATAGTATTCCTAATAAAAGGTTACTAGTGGTAGTATCATTAAAGATGTTTTGTTAGGGTAACCAGTTAAGAGAGATTCCCCTTGTATGTATGAAGGTAAAGAGTTTTAGTTGAACTTGAATACTATTTATAAAAAAAAAAACACCAGAAGGTACTATTTCACTCATCTAATATGTTCTAAATGCTTTTTTGAAGATCAATGTTATTTATGATAATGATCTGCCAAAAAGTTCACATAGGACTGTATGAAAAGTAATCTCCTGACTATTGATCAGCCTCAGGTTTTATTTCCTTACCTAGCCAATTTTTCAATGCCTTCGCAGCAGTTTAAATGTAATTACAAACATCTGGTCCCACTGAAGTCTCCTTAATTTTACAGTTATTGCTCAAACTCCAGACATTCTTCTTAGAAGTGCGATTTTATTGTTCATTTAGTAGAAATGAGGCAACTCTGATGCAATATGGTTGCCGTGAAATAAGTAATTTCTGGTAACCCATAGAAACAATGTTTACCACTTTGTTCTTGGTAAATACATGTGCATTTCCCTTGAACATATTACTTGGAGATAGTATTTACTTTTTTCCAGCCATAAAAAGGGGAAGTGAAAGAAGTTAAGATTATTGAAAAAGATGTATGCTATTTTTATGTTCATTTGGTTGGTTGGTTCATTTCCCTGTTTCTGTATTAATTATTAAGCAGGTGGCTTCTATGATTTTTCTATGAAGTAAATGCTTTTCTGTAATATCTCTTACAATATTCTGGTATCTTATAAAATCTATATAGAACAAGCATTAAAAATGATTAAAATTCTTGGAAGATTTAGATATCCCTAAATCTTTTGACACCTTTGAAGAAAAAGGTCTTACTGTATGGAACAGTAAGCACACAAAAAAATTCACTGTTAGCAGAATGCAAATAAATTGGGTTTGGGGACCTGGTATATCAGGGTTGGAATCCTAGCCACTCCAGAAGATAGCCCTGTAATCCTCATGGAGGAATTTCATCTCTGAGCCTCTTTACTTTTATCAGTAGCACCGATAAAACTCATCAAAGCCTGTTGTGATGATTTAATGCAATCAATGAAGATTAATCAACCAGTACAGTGCATTACTCATAATAGATGCACAGCCAACATTTCTGCCTTTCTTTATCAACCAGAAAATGTAGCACATAGCTTTATTTGGCAATTTTCTTGATCTGCTTCAAAATAAATTTTGTTCAAAAATTTGCAGCATGACAGTTTTAAATAAAACTACATTTATAGTATGCACATTGATTATCACTAGGATTTTAGGGAGTTTTTAAGTCCCAATTTAAATGGAAAAGTCATTGTGAGGACATGTTATGATAAAAGTGAAATACCTAAACTTTTTCTTATTACTGTATTGAAGAATGTGCTTATGTAAGATTTAAGGTAGAATGCCAACTTGTATGTTATAGTAATGTTGCCATTACTATTTTACTTTCTAGATAAACAAACCAGGTATATTTCTTTACTCATGAATATGTCTGAAGCTGGCATTTATGGCCTTTTCATTTCATTTTTTAAGTAATGCCAGAAAAAAATTCAGCTTATACACGTTAACTGTATTTATTATAATAACTAATGATATTCTAAAAAGAGGTACTGACATTTTATGGCATTATAAAATTTCAAGTTAATTTCTTGATTTGTTTATGTAATTTCAACATCTCAGAATCCTGTAGCATTGATAGTTCTATTGCTGATAGTTGTTTCTTAAACAAGAAAACTAGGGAGAAAATAAATGATTTGTCCAAAGCCACATGATATGTAAGTGCTGGAACCACAAATGGAAACAAAGGGATTCTGTTTTCTGCCTTTTAGTCCATCTCAATTTCTGTTGCATTGTGTGGCAAAGTTTCATCACCCTAAATCATATGTTACCACAGCAAACAATTTTTTATTTTTTTATTTTTTGAGATGGAGTTTTACTCTGTCGCCCAGGCTAGAGTGCAATGGCTTGATCTCGGCTCAGTGCAACCTCTGCCTCCTGGGTTCAGGCGATACTCCTGCCTCAGCCTCCTGCATAGCTGGGATTACGGGCATGCGCCACCACACACAACCGGCTAATCTTTTTCTATTTTTAGTAGAGATAAGGTTTCACCATGTGTTGGGGCAATCAGACCCAACACCAGGTCATGGGGGCAATGAAGTCGGGCGGAGTCAAAGGAATGAGAAAAGAGAGTTTGAAAGAGAAAGTGGGTCCAGGGGACCAACCTGAGTATGGAGACTGCGAAGGCCCCAAGCTCCAGAAGCCCAGACTATTTATTGGTGATCAAACAAAGAAACAGGTGGTGAGAATGTGAGGGTCGAAAGGGCAAGTGCATGATCTACAGCTGTGATGGTTTAGCATTTCCTTTGAAGCAGATGGAACATATTCTGCTACTTGAGATAATGGAGCAGGTTGTTTTAACTCAAGATACAATCGATCCTGGGAGAGCAAGGAGCAAGGACCCAGCAAACCTAGATACATTCCAGAGGCTGTGAGGGTTTTATGACCTGAGCCCTGGATTCTGTCCAAGCCACAAGGGGTTTTATGCCCTGGGCTTAGATTTTGGTGCATCAGGACAGCCTTCCACCCTTTGGCATAGAGCTTGGTGTTCCAAAGGCCATGAGGGGTTTTAGACCCTGGACCCCAGACATGTTCCAAGACTCTTTTACGTTATGTCAGACATGCAAGCCCTGCCTCAGCTTCTCCCAACACTCAGCTTCTCCCAACACCATATCGGCCGCAAACAATTTTAGAGTCATGCTAGAAATGTTTTTTTAAACTATATTACTTACTGGTGTCTAGGATGTATAGTATTTGCAACTCATTTCTTCACTTTATAGTTTTATTTTTGACAGATGCTGCTTAATATTTAGGATCTTGTATATTAAAAATTCAGTAAATGAAGGTAATTTATGTATTCAAATATGAGCAGATATAACTTCAGTTTTTGTTCTTTAATTTCCTCTTAAATACAATTGATGACAGGAAGCTTTGTAGAAGTCAGATGTGTGTAATATTCTAATATAGCATTCTGGTTGTGTTACCCAAAAATTCATGCTGTGCATTGTCCTGAGGAAATCTGAGGGTGGAAGGAGAGTGTCATGAGTAATTATTATTTAGAGACAACCAACCAGGATAATAAAATAGTTTGGCAGAATTGAGGCAAGACATTGACTAACATACAAAGAAATTGAAATCAAAGTCTGAGAGTTGAGTCAATATTTTTGAGTTAAGACAAATATGGGTTTGAATTTTAGCTCCTCTACCCATTACCTCTATGATGGATAGTATAAGGGTTATTTTCCACTCTGGTTCTTGGATTATCCTTTCAGAAAACCACTGGAAGTGTCAGTGGCAAGTGTATGAGCTGAGAAATCAGCTTCACAGTGTTCAAGACTCAAATTCACCAATGACCAGTCATGTAAATTCAAGCAGTGATAAGTCTATAATTCCTAAATCCACAAAGCTCTAAAATCATAATGACTTTTATAGCTCATTTAACTATAATACCCTACCTCTTCTGAGCTGACATGAACCATATATAATCTTTACGTATCCCACTTAGTGTGAAGAGTTCTGTGTTTCACTGGTAGCATTGTCCTATCCCCTGTTGTGATGTTATACAGTCTATAGTTAATTATCATATTACTTTCTAAAATCAAATAACAAACAAAAATTTTGACTTCCAAAGCTCATTTGGTTTCAAAAGTTTAGGTTTTTTGGTTTGTTTTTTGTTTGTTGTTGTCATTTTGAGATGAAGTCTTGCTGTGTCTCCCAGGCTGGAGTGTAGTGGCACAGTCTCTGCTTACTGCAACTCCCGCCTCCCAGGTTCACGTGATTCTCCTACCTCAGTCTCCCAGATAGCTGGGATTACAAGTGTGCACCACCACGCCTGACTAATTTTTGTAAATTCAGAAGAGACAGGGTTTCACCATGTTGGCCAGGCTGGTCTCGAACTCCTGACCTCAGGTGATCCACCCGCCTTGACTTCCCAAAGTGCTGGGATTACAGGTGTGAGCCACTGTGCCTCGTTGGTTTCAAAAGTTTTGAATCAGACACTGTGGACTTATACCGAATATATGTAAGCCTCAGCTTCCAAAACTACCTGAATGTATTAGTCAGGGTTTCTCCAGAGAAATAGAATCAATATGTATATATACGTGTATATGTATACATGTATGTGTATACATGTATATATAGGAAGAGATGTATTATATATATAATATATGTTATTGATATATAACATATAACTATATATTATATAGAGATATAGATGAAGAGATTTATTTTAGGATATTGGTTAATGCTATTATGGAGGCTGAGAAGTCCCAGGATCTGTGAACTGCAAGCTGGGGACCCAAGAAAGCCCATATTGATGGTGTAGATCCCCACCAGGGTCTGATGGCTTGAGAACCAGGAGCACCAAAGACAGAAGATCAATATTTGAGCTCAAGTATTCAGGCAGAGCAAATTCAACTTTCCTACACCTTTTTATTCTGTTCAGACCCTCAACAGATTAGATGATGTCCACCACATTGGGGAGAGTCATTTGCTATACTCAGTCTAGCAATTCAAATGCTGTTCTCTCCTGGAAATCCCTCTGCAGACACACTCAGAAATAATGTTTAACTGGCTATCAAGACATCCCATGGCCCAGTCAAGTGGACACATAAAATTAATGTCACACTGAGCTCTATTAAGTTGTTGTGAATATGAAATGATATAATCTATGTAACCCACAGGGCCTAGTAAACTGTAAGCATTAAATAAATCTGAATCATTACTATTATAGTAAAGCTTTCTCAATATCAGGCCTGCCTACTTTTTTCTAATAAAATTGTGTAAGCTTTATTTTATCTGTAATTCAATGAAATTCCATCTTCCTGCCAACATACATTTTCAGCCAAGGCATCGGAAATTGGATTCTACCATTCCTTATTTCCCTCCTGCTCTCCGTTTCTCTATTTTGGTCTTTTTCTTTCCTTCCTTCCTTCTCTCTCTCTCTTTCCTTTCTTTTCTTTCTCACTATGTTGCTGGCCTTGGACTCCTGGGTTCAAGCAATCCTCCCTTCTCAGCCTGCCAAGTAGCTGGGACTATAGGTGCACACTACAGTGTCCACCCAGCAGTTTTGGTTTCCTTAAGACAAAATATTTAGGAACTTTTATTTTGGCAGTTAAGCTATCACCAAAATATTTTGGCAGTTAAGGTATCACTAAACAAAATAAATTGTTTAGTGCCACTAAACAATGTTTAGTGCCACTAAAAATCTTAAAACAGTCTATAAAATCGGAACAAATTAGAGTTTATAAAATAAGAACAGAGTTTGTAAAATTAGACAAAAGACATCCTGAGGGTTTTAAAAAGTCAAGAAAGAAGCAGCTCCAGATATGAACAGATGAAAAGCTCAAGGTCTTATCTGTAGTGTCCTGGAAAGGAAAAGCAGGCAAAAACTGACAGGTTTCCATTATGATCACCTTTTACTGTAGTGAAACTTCTTAAGCTAACCCAAATTTAACAACAACAACAAAAAGTACCTCTCACGAACAGCAATATTTACCACCAGCCACTCCCTGGCATTGACGGAAGTATCTGAGTCACTATTGCTTAAAGGTTTATTCAAGCAGATTTAATGATTAGTCTGCTTTGTGGAAGGTGGATGGAAGGGAATGGCTTCAACGTGACTTCTTGACTATGGATGAAGTTACATTAAAATTCTTGTTAATTCTTAGTTATATTCTACTAAACTAGCAGAAAGTATTAAAGACATTTTATTAAAACATTAACACTTCACATTTATAAAAAGAAAATCAAAATTTTACTTAGTTATTCTTAATTTTAAATTTAAACAGCACTCTCAATGATTGTTTTTAGGATGAGGACTTCAATTATAATTTTAACTTAAAAAAATTTGTCACATCATCATGGAAATTATTGTCATATGAATGAAGTGTGGAAGAATTTCAGGAAGCAACTAGCAATTGTTAACCCAAGGAACTGCTGACTAGGGAGGAAGAGATAGATTCACCCATAGACTTTCTTGCTTAGGTCCCAGTGAAGCAGTAGAACCTGATTATTTTTAGATAGAAGTTTGTATTTGCTACTTTGTAAAAGAAGGTAAAAACAAACATCATGGGAAAGTTATGAATGTTGTTGGCCATTCTAAAATTTATCTGTGATTAATAATTTTAAAAAATATTATTGAGTTACAGATTGTGGAAAACACCATTATCATTCTGAGTTTAGCATTGCTAAAGAACTTAAATCAGACCAGAGTGTAGGCATCCATGGATTTATACATTGAACTTTCCTCATTTTCCTCCTCTTTCACTTTATTTTGTACAACAGCAATCTCAGTTATCTACACCAAGGATAGAATCCAAATTTACAAGGTTAGTCCTAGAGGCTTGTTTATTGTCGGGCACCTTGCATCGGTCTTTCCCAGTTGTATCTTGGTGGTCAAGAATTCCAACTGTCAGTGTCTCCCTCTCTGATAACATTTGCTTAGAACTTTTCAAATGGCACCATTTACAGGATACAGTACCAAAGAAAATTCTAAGACAGGAAAAAAAAGTTTTGTGGTAGTTACTGAATCTGAAAGATTATAGTATAAGATGATAAACCTCATTAAAAATCTATAATATTTCTTCTTTCTATTTCTTCATTATTTAGATGATACAACTCAGTTCTTAACATTTTAAATTTTGTTTTTGTTTAAAAATATCTTTAGTGTGACTAAAAGCTGGTCACATAAATATATTTGTGTGTGTACTTGACTTTTACATGTATGTGTAAATACATGTATATGTATATAATATACATGATATATGTTATAAAAAAGGAAAGTAGACAAAAGAAATTCTATCTTTTGCACACAATAATATCCTCAGCAGATACTATTTGCCTCATGCAGTTCTGGCTTTTAATACAAATTGTGACCTTTTCCTCTGACTTATTCTGAAATCATGGAGGACTTCATAATAGTAGAGGGTGAAGCAAATAGCAATTTAACATTTTCAATCCTTGTGGAAATTTTCTCTTACCAAAGAGATGGGCAGAAATGGTATTTATGACTAGGATGCTATTTTGAGATAAATAGAAGTGTGAAATATTATAGATGCCATTATAAAATGCAAATGTCACAGCAGAGTGGATTAGAAGTTGAGGTCTCAGCTGGATTTTTCTCAAACCTCTTGGTTTGTAAAATAAATTCTGGTAAAAGGTTTTTCTTCTTACTATTAGTAAGCTATTTTGCATAACCCATAGCTATGCTGGTCTTACACAAATTATGACCCTTGTTTAAAACTTCCCAGGGAATATTTATTAATTGACTTAACAATACCAAAGCATTTTAAAGTTTAAAATCGTGTGTTGTTGATTGTTATTTACAGGAGAGGATTAGATAAAATAAGAGTGGAAAGGTGGAATGAAAGCCGGGAATCAATTGCAAAGATGCAAGCGGTGAGGAAAGGCAAAAGGAGGAAGAGAGGACCTACTGTTTGAGATGAGGTGGTAGAGGTGGTGCTGGCGTTTGAAACCCCAACTCTGTATGAAATAGACGAGACAGTCTCGTCTGACAACTACTCAAGCAACATATCTTATTTTCTCCTCAAATACTAACGTGTACTTAAAATGCATTTCCAGGCCGGGCACGGTGGCTCAGACCTGTAATCCCGGCACTTTGGGAGGCCGAGGTGAGTGGATCACTTGAGCTCAGGAGTTCAAGACCAGCCTAGCCAACGTGGTGAAACCCTGCCTCTACTAAAAATACAAAAATTAGCCAGGCATGGTGGCAGGTGCCTGTAGTCCCAGCTACTTGGGAGGCTGAGGCAGGAGAATGGCTTGAACCCAGGAGGTGGAGGTTGCAGTGAGCCGAGATCACGCCACTGCACTCCAGACTGGGTGACAAAGGGAGACTCTGTCTCAAAAAATAAAATAAAAATAAAATACAATGCATTTTCATGTGTCTTTCCCCTCACATTACTATTTCTGGAGCACAGGCCTCATTTGTACTCATTTTACCTATGCTTTTTCTGACTCTAAAAACACTCGTGTTAACCAATATTAAAATTCAAAAACATTCATTGAAAAGGCATTTTAACTTACATTTGAAATTTTATTTTAGCAGTGGCATATCAAATTCAGGCTGCAGAACTTTCACCAAACTAGGTCAGTTAAGCTGGGGCAGGCCTGCCAGTTGTGTACTTGAATCAGAAATGCTTATCCAGGAAAGCCAGGTAGTTACCATGGAGAACGGACATTCCAGACAGCATGTGATTAGTGAAATTGACATTTCATTTTATGTGAGCAGAAGTTATTATTGGGTTTTGGTTAGCTGGGGGTTTTGTTGCAGTTACATTGCCTAGTTGGAGATAAACTAATGTCACTTAGTATCTGCGTGTAAGTAATTGTTTTCTCTCAAAATATTGTGTCACAAAATAGCACAACAGAAAGGTAGCAGTGCATGAAATATGTGTAGGAGTGAGGCAAGAAAATATAAAGGCAGAGCCTGATTTGTACTGTGATTACCCAGATCAATCACTAAAGAGCCAATTCTGTAATTCAGAAGCAAGTCTAAAAAATACTATTAGCAAAGTGTTAAACCTTTACATATAACAATTTTATAATAAAGGTAATTAACACTTCTTGGAGAAAACAGAAACGTATAAGAGGCAAAAGAAACAAGCAAACAACAAAAAAAAACCTATGATTTCACTACTCAGAATTAATTATTTACCACCATATTTGGGGGTATATTTCACTTCATTATTTGTTATATATGTATTTTTATTTAGTGAAAATAATTTTATATGTGAAGTATTATACTTTTCTTCTTTACATTGAAACAGATGCATATTTATAAGTTCATTATAAATTTTCATTAGCATTATTTTAATAGCAAAACATACTTATTAAATGGATGTGCCAAATTTTATTTAACAATGCCCTTTATTGTAATATATTTGAATTACCTCTACTTTGTCACTTTTACAAACATATTTAGCCATATGAATTCTTCTGGTAATTGTGAATTATTTTCTTAAACTAAATTTCAAAAAATGAAATGATAAGACAATAAATGTGATGAAGATTGTAAAAGCCTCTTCGGAAAAAGTATTAAGTTGCTTCCAAAACAGCAATTTACATACCCATAGAAAGAGTATAAATATTCATTTCAAATGTATGTCTGTATACACAGTATATAAACATTTGACTAAAGGTTATAATTCATTTTGCATTTCTTTTTGTCAGTGATAAATTTTTAAAATGTTTTTTAGTCATTTATGTTTTCCTCATAGTAAATTGTTTATATATTGACCCATTTTACTACTGGAGACTTCCGTGCTCCTCTTCACCAATTTTATAAGCATTTTACAAAGTATCCCCTTTGTGAAAACTTCAGCAAATATTGTGCTGTGTTTTGATCCAATTATTATTTTGTTTCGGATTTTTGACAAACTGAAGTTTCTGCTATTTATTTTGCATATTTTATCTGATACTCTTTTGTGGCATCTTCTAATTTTAAGCTTAGAAAATTTCGTTTGATCCTGAGATTTGTTAAGTGTACATTTTTTCTTTCTGCTACATTTTTTAGTACTTTTTTTTCACATTTATCTGTCTAGTCCATCTGGAATGTAGTTGGTTGAGCAATGTTTCATTAGTCAGGAATTTTTTTTCTATCATGAGCGATCACACTGTTTTGGACTAAGGTGGGCAGGTTTATTGATCCATAAAAGTGAGAATGGAAACCTTTTAACTTGGGAAAAGAGTAGCTGGGACTGGATGCCACCAGGATGCTTTTCCCATCACTTTTTCTTGCATGCTAGCTTCTTTTTCTCCTTGAGCTTGGGAAGTGGTGACCAGCCATTCACATTTTCACAGCTTTGCCACCTGAAAGTAAACCCCTCCCCAATAAAATATTCTTAATAAAGGTTGTAAGTTGTCACAGCATGGTTTACTTAACTCCAGTGGCCAAGGTGAGAGATGGGTACCAGTATTAGCAGCCCCCACTGGAGCCACATGGCTAGAGTGGGAGGGAAGTAATTTATCCAAAAGGGTAAGATTCCCGCAATTAACAAGAAAAGAAAAGAAGCTGGGTGGAAAGAAAGGGATTGGCACTGAGATGAGAGTCTTTCAGATGAGACTTTCCTTCAGTGTTCAGTTTGACTTTGTTTCCTTTTTTGAGATTTATGAGGGTTCCTAATCATGCTCCCATTCCTCCCATTAGTCCCTCTTACCCAGAATGTGGAGCCAACTGAGAAATAAAAGAAGGATGTCAGACAGATGGTGATTAGCACTTTGACTGTATTGCTTATAATGTTGTTTGGGAGAAAACAGCATGTTTATTTCCCAATAATTGAGTTCTTATTGTGAAACTTCTAAATTAAACCTACACCTTGATGCTTCAGGCCTGCACCTAATAAGAACACAACTCCTCCTTGATAAGTTTAGTGCATGAACTAACAGAAAATCCAACCATCCTCTGAAGAACAGGCAGATCCAAGTGTAGAGGATATCTTCCCTGAGATAGTGGATAGAATGAAACTAGAATTAAGATCTCTGGAGAATCAAGATGTCTAATATGCTGACAAAAGAAGGAGAATCCTTGAGTCCTCACAAAAAAATTGGGGTAGAGTATTTTGGCAAAGGTAAGAGAACAAGAGAAGAGGGGATTCTGCAGCTGAGCCTAGTGTTTGTGTAGATATCGTGACCATTGAAATCCACAGCATTGATCATAATTATTTTATCGTGTCAGAGCAACTAATGTTGTGGCATGGAATACACCAAGGTCTGCATTTTTAAAGAGGCAATATGGTACAATCACTTCAAATCTGTGTCTTCTACAACATAAGGAAAATTTGGAGCATAATGGCCTATCGTTGGAGCCTGATGTTCTCACATGTTTACTTTCATTCAGGAACATCAAATTAAAATTTAACATTTAGCACTTGTTATTTTTCATGCTGCTACTTCTGTGCAGTAGGACAAGCTAAATTTAATGTTTGGGGCTCAAAAGTGCCATGCCAAATTTTGCTTTGCTACCATTTTGGTTTTGAGTTTAAAGTTTTTTGCATTCATGTCTCTTAAAACTCATTTTTTAATCTTGTATCAACTATAAACTTGTTGAATGTTTTTTTTTTAGAGACAGTGAAATATTTTATTTCTTTTACTTTCATCCAAACACATCCATTTCTGAAAAACATAAAAGCATGCACAATTATGGCATTCTTATAAAGAAAAATTAATAACTAAGCTGTAAATTAACAATAATAATACAACGTTTAAATGATATGTGAAAAGATTTACAGGTAGGTATAGGGCTCTTAATTTTAGAAAATAATTCTAATCAATATCAATACAGGTTAAGGAGAAGCTTATAGTTTTCCAAACACTTGACTCTTAAAACATGTGGGTACATATGTATATATATCATATATACAGAATTCTATCTTGCCTTCATGGATTATGCAGGTAGCTAATGTATGGGAGCCATTATCCAAAGATGAAAAAAATAAACTATTTAAGAGCATCTTAGGAGTACATAACTTTATTGTAGTCTCATTTCGAGATTGCAATCACTGAAATTTTCAAAAGCTGTCTTTTAAGTGAGGAATTTGAAACACAGGAGACTAAGAACAATGAGAGTAGTACATGTGGGTGCAAATGAAGACAGGTGAGAGAGATGTCTAAAAGGGAATGCCGTGAAAAATGGTGAGGTGCAAGTGAAGTCATTTCTACAGTTTTATGGTTTTAATGCACCCACTAGTAGGCATTTGCATAAATTTTGGCTCTCTATTCTATGGATGATTGATTCAGCTTTGCATGGAATGTCATTTCATTACAGCTGTAGGTCTCTCAGAGATAAAACTTCTCGTATTTGGTCTTTTATTTTTCTCACAAGAGGTGACAAACATTGATTTAGTCTGGTGATTCTGCTTAATATAGAGTTTACTTATAGACCACTGAGTCTTCTTCCAGATATTTTCATATTCTTTTAGTTCAATATTTCTATTGAACAGTGGTTTACAAACTTTTGTGTGCATCAGAATCCCCCAGTGAGCTTGTTAAAAAGTATCATTTGTCCCCAGCCCAGGAGTCTTTTAGTAGGTCTGGGATGGAGCCTGGGAATTTGCATTTCTGTGAAGTTCCCATATGATATTAATGCTGTTTTGAGAACCACATTTAGAAAGCCAGTGCTGTAGGAAATTGGCTGTGGCTCAAAAATGGAGGTATTTGGTGTGCTTGCTTTTTAAAAGTTTCTGTTTTGAGTTCTAAAGTGAACCATGTCTCTAGATGGTGGTTGCTTATTATGAAAATGTGAGAGGCTTGTGGGAATATGGTTTTATTAGCAAGTGAAGATGTCTATGAGTAGTCTTGTTGTAGTTCTATAATGACAGTTCTTTAACAGATCATTTCACTGTGATCTATTTGACTCAAGAGCTGCTTCTCAAGAATTATTTTTTCTCAGTCAAGAGTGAACCTTAAGCCTTAACTTGTCTAGAAAAGAAAGGGTATACTGCGAAAAATAAATAAATAAAAACATGCCTGCCATGTCACATGTCTTAAGAAGCATGCTCTTTGAAGCAGCTGTTGTTTCAGCTGCAGAAGTCAGAAATTCAGTGCTTGGTTTACAAGTGATTTCAAGCAATTCTTCTAAGATGGTCTTATATTTGTGTAACTTTAAGAATATACCGATATAGAAATATTTTGCCAAAGTATACTCTTGACTATTGGGATCAAACACTGTATTTTCCTTTTTTTTTTCCTCTCCAAATCCACATGGAATTGAAATCAAAAGATGCAAAAGATCATTACAGTGAGAGAAAAAAATAACTGACTTTAGCTCTAGGTAAAAATCCCTACTACCTTTTATTATCAATATCATAATCTCAAGTGGGCACTATGCTTGAGCTGTGTACATAGTATTACATGAAAGAGAATATGCTTGCAAAGCTAAAGCATTTAATTAAAATGCAAAGTTTAAAGACACCTATGGATTCAGGATGGTGAATGAGTATACTCCGTAATAATATGTTTTACAGCCGGGCAGTGGCTCATGCCTATAATCTCAGGACTTTGGGAGGCCCCGGTGGGCGGATCATATGAACTCAAGAGTTCAAGACCAGCCGGGCCAACATGGCGAAACCCCGTCTCTACTAAAAATACAAAATTAGCCAGGCGTGGTGGCGCACACCTGTAATCCCAGCTACTCAAGAGGTTGAGGCGGGAGAACCACTTGAACCCGGGAGGCAGAGGTTGCAGTGAGCTGAGATCAGGCCATTACACTCCAGACTGGACAAAAAGAGTGAAACTCTATCTCAAAAAAACAATTAATAATAATAATAATATGTTTTACATTGAGACAATATTATTTTAAAATAGTCACAAATAACTTCCCAATGATGTGTGTAACCGTGTGAACTGCTCCTTCCAGAAATTCCAACCAGTGTATTTCAGCAAGAATTCAACAGATTTAAATATATAGGGAGTCAGAGGAAACTCTTTAGGATGAGGCTTGATAAGGGTGAGTCAGATAGTGAATGAGTACCTTTTTTATCATTTGAGTGTGCCATCAGAAGTCATTTCTGCGATGTGAAAGCAAAGTTCTAAATCACTATTAGAATAGTCAGGATAATAACTCTCTGTAACATAACATTCACTGTGATTAGAACAAAGCACCTAGATACCTTGACTGATCTATGCTTAGCATTCTCACCACAGGAAAGAACAACATTTTGTTATCTATCTTTCTTTTATAAATGCAATAAGTCCCTGGTAGCAATATGTGCAAAGTTACAGAGTATAAGCCCTGGGCCAGTCAAGTGAAATTTTGGTTGATGATTTTCTCTCAAGAATCGAATATGTCTAATGTACATTCAAAGTTACCTTTGCTTTCCAATTTCATATATTTTCTCTCGGATACAGAAAACCTCTTAAAAAGCCTCCTGTAAAAAACACTGCAGTTACAGCAAAAGCTGCTTGAGGATTAAAAAGGGAATGGTTACTTTTCTAAAAATACACAAACAGCCATAGTAATCTAAAAATACAACCATTCAACATATTAATGAATTAAAATCATAAAATATGAAGTAAATTACAGGCTTTTGAAATGTGTTTGACTTTTATTACCATATCACTTTAATATTTCTGAGTGTCTGCTTTGTACCTAGCAGAGATCTCCACATTAGCAATTTAAAGTGAAAAAATATATAGGCCCACCTTTTTGGTTTAGTGGGGAAAAACACAGATGACAACAATGTGTCATAGCTTTGATACCGGATAGACTCTGGCATGTTGAGGGTGCGTTTCTACTACTAAGAATGTCACCACTAAGAATGGTGACATTCTTAACTTTTTGAGGGATGGATTCAGAGGAAAATTTAGAGAAACTTGAAGGTGACATGTTGAATTGAATGAGAAGTCTATCAAAACTCTGCAAAGAACTATCATTGATGCTTCAACAGTTTCCTGAAATAGGATTGTCAAATCTGTAAGTCTGTGAGATTTCCGGAATCAGAGGTCTAATCAAAAACATTTAGCGTTCCCCACCCCCAAAACAACGGAAATTTTAAAAGTAAAAATTTCTCTCTTGGGTGAAAAAAATAAACACCCCAACTGATAAACGATATACTCAATGCTTACCAGAAATTTGAAAAAGAACTTATATAGGCAACAACATGGATGAAACTCAAAACCTAAGTTTGCATGAAACAAGCCAGATACACAAAGTGTGTTTATTGTTATTCTATTTGTATGAAATTTTAAAACAAGCAAAATTAACGGAAGGTGATGGAAGTCTCACTAGTAGTTACCTCTTAGGAAGAGGAATTGACTGGGAAGGGGAAAATCATATTAGGGTGGGGAAGATGGTGCATATTTTAATCTGGGTGCACAGATGGTATATAGGAATGTAAAATTTCATTGTGCTTTATACTTAAGATTAGTACACATTACTGATGTTATGATATACCTTAATAAAAATTAAGTAAAAAATCACTGTGTGGAATTCAAAGTATTTCCGTAGCACATTCCGGAGTATTTAGACATAGTGTCTTCTAAATAGAACCAAAATCAGAGTTTACTTAAAGAATTTCAGAAAACTTGTAGATAGGTGTCTAGGGATTTTTTTTTCAAGAACTGGTGCATAAAGTATTACATTCTGTTCTTGGCATTTGGATGATTTTTAATGAGACCCTACTGTGGTCATAAATTTATGGATTTTCTATGACTAAAAACAGAAAATTTAGGATTCATCCTTTATAAGTTCTTGGTAAAAAGAATAGCTAAGATACAAAGTTGTGGGTTTGGATGGGTAGAGGAATGGTGTCGTTAAGCAACAAAGCACAATCTTTGTTCTTCCTCCAACTCCCGAGTGCCGTCATGATGATATCACCAATTCTTTAAGAATTGCCAAAAGAAAGAATAAAGTTAGAGACAGTTTTCTGTGAATGCCAGTTATAGACATGAACAGATTTAGTACTTGGTGTTCTTCCCATGAGTATTTCAGTTCATGGTAGTCTACAGGATTTAAGATAGTTGACAGGATTTAAGAGGAAAATAATTGATTTTAGAGACACCTTGAACTTCTCAGTTATTATCTATTTATTCGCTGATGTAAGAGTTGGCCTTGTCCTCTGGAGTTTAGAGACGCTGACAACATCTTGCCCAGTGTCTTTCCCCTGATGGAAGTTTACAATGATTTTTTCCTTTAAAAGGTTTGCATTTTCCTCTTGTAATGATTCTTGATGTTCTGTACAGTCTGAAGACTTTCTTTTTGAACAATCAGTTTGAAAAGTAAAGTGTGACATAATAATTTTCTAAAGCCTCTGTACCAGATGATACTTTGTTGTTTCTTGCTTAAACGTAGTGAAAAGGAAGTCAAATATATTTTGTCATAGAAAATACCATACAATTTTGTTTATGTATCTTTTTATTGTCATCAGAATTCTCTGTGTTTAAATATACAGAGAGGAGATGGGAGGGAGCTACTTTAAGTATCCCTTAAAAGCTCTTAACTTTGATTTAAAAG
Organism: Homo sapiens; assembly: GCF_000001405.40. Classification (NCBI taxonomy): domain Eukaryota; kingdom Metazoa; phylum Chordata; class Mammalia; order Primates; family Hominidae; genus Homo; species Homo sapiens. The sequence continues at coordinate 163,800,481 of NC_000004.12, read as the reverse complement.
TTAAAAGTAAAAAGAAAAATACTCTTTGGAATTATACATTAGATATTTTAATATCATAAAGTAGCAAAGCAAAAAAATGTTGAAAGAACAACACATGTGCCACTTAAATGAGGGAAGATACTCGTTATAATTAATAATAATATATAATTAAATGTTTAGAATAAAAATTAAAACATCAGGTTAAAACTATTACATTTCCTTTTTCTGATTTTTATTTTAGACTCAAGGAGTACATGTATAGGTTTGGCTATATTGTGTGATGCTGAAATTTGGTGTACAAATAATTCCATTCCCCAGGTATAATCATAGTACCCAAGAGCTAGTTTTTCACCCCTTGTTCCCAGCCCTAGTAGTTCCCAGTTTCTATTGTTGCCATCTTTTATGTCCATGATTACTCATTGTTTAGCTTCTACTTATACATGAGAATATGCAGTTTTTGGTTTTCCGTTCCTGCATTAATTCACTTAGCATAATGGCCTCCGGCTGCATATGTATTACTGCAAAGAACATTATTTCATTCTTTTTATGGCTGCATACTATTCCATGGTATCTATGTATCACATTTTCTCTATCTAGTTCACCATTTATGGTCAGCTAGGTTGATTTCATGTTTTTGCTATAGTGAATAGTGCTGCGATGAATGTAGGAGTACATGAGTCTTTTTGGTTGAATGATTTGTTTTCTTTTGGGTACATGTGTAAATTAGTTCAGCCATTGTGGAAAGCAGTCTGGACCATTCAACTGAGAAATCCTATTACTGGATATATTACTTTTCTTTATTGAATTCTTCATCATTAAGGAAAAAAATAATGGTTACTGTCTTATTTTTAAGCCCTATAAAGATATTGTATGTTTTGAAGGAATTAACTTTTCTCCGGAATCTTGTTGAGAACTGTCAAATATTTGTAAGTGGGTATATGTGTGTATTTGTTTTTTATTACGTCTCAGATCACTTAAGCTTATATGCCTTTTTACATGCTAGTTCACACTTGCCTGATTTAGCAAAAAATTAAATTTATTTAAATTATTCTTGCCTTTCAAGTATTTGAAGACATTATATTAACTTTTTAAATAGTACGCTAAACACTTTTAGCAAGCTTGCTATAAGATGTATATTCTTCTATGCATAAAACTTGCAAATTAAGGAACATCTAGATACAATACCTTGCCAGAATTGTAAGAAATTATTTATTAAGAATTTCTTTGAAGAACCACATTAGATAAATGCTGGCCTGCTAGTCTCTGTGATACTGAAAATGCTCTCAGTCCGCACTATCCAGATAGGGAGCTGCTAGCCACATGCAGCTACTGAACACTTGAAACGTAGCCAGTACAGATAAGAAACTAAATTTTTCTAATTTTTCTAAATTTCATTTTATTTACTTTTTATTCATTTAAATAGCCATGTGTGGCAGTCATTATTACCATTTTTAACAGTGCAGCTTTAGATTCAGAAAATATCAAATAGTGGGCTATTGTGAAGATGAAAATATCTACCTGACAACACCACTGAGAAGACTAAACGAACTAACATTGATAATATGCATGGACAGTGCCGGGCATGCGCTAGAAGTTATACATAAGTAACTTTCCTTCTTTTTCTTCTTGTAGCTCAATATGTACCCATTACTGATCCTCTTAGGGATGTGCCTACTCTTTGTACTACTTTTTATAGCCTTTTTTCCATTCCCTTGTTATGGTCTCCTTTTAGAATTCTGTCTCTTTCCTTGCTGTCACTCTTTTTCTTTGTTTCACTAAATATTCCATCCATTTCACTGTATTTTCTTACTTTTACTTCTATTTTCAACTCTTTTGTTTTCTCTTTCCATTCATGATAGGAAGGGCTACTCAACAATTACTTCTCTTTCCCAGAATGCTCTATCTTGAGTGTAACTATGACTTGGGGATGAACTTGCTTGATTAGAATTTGGCACCTAATGGAGACATAACACATTTGCCCTGAAAACTTGTAAATATAACCCAGGTCTGCAAAAACCCTTCAAAATGAGAATCAAATTTAAAAAGACATTATGTTGATAATGCTCTCTGTCTTATTCTGCTAAGACTTCCATAACAAAATACCATAAGTTGGGTAGCTTAAACAAAAATAATTTTTATTTCTTTTCTAAAGACTACAAAATCTAAAATCAGGGTTCCAGCACAGTTGCTTTCTGATAAAGTTTCCCTTCCTGGCTTGCAGACGGTTGTCTTCTTGCTTTATCCTCACAATGGTTCTTCCTCTGTACACTGGAGGGAAGAGAGAGAGAGACATTTCTCTTTCTTTCTCTTTGTATAAGGCACGTGTTCCTATTGGATCAGGTTCCATACTCATGATCTCATTTAACCTTAATTATTTCCCTAAAGCCTTATATCCAAATATAAGCCACATTGGTGATTAGGGTTTTGATATATGAATGTGAGGAAGACACAGTTCAGTCCATAGCACCCCCTAAGTGCAAACACATATCCTGTCTTGAAGACTGTACCTTTAACAATGGCCTTTAAAAACTTCTGAATTAAAGTTCTAAGAAACATGAGCTTAGAGTTGAAAATTACAGACACACAAACACAAATATACAAGCTCTAACATGAGTGTGAGCAGAAAACAAGAGAAAAGAAACAGCAGGCTTAGACTCAAAAATACTTAATGTTGAAATTATTGGGCATAGAATACTGAATAACAATAATATATTATAGAAAGTATAAATTGTGGATAAATAAGAATGGATTTTCTAAAAGACCAACACACTTGGAAAGAATCAAATGAAACTCTAGAAATAAATAAAAATAATAAATGAAATTTTAAAATAGACAAGTTAAAGAACAGATTAAATGCAGCTCAAAAAGTTAGTGAACTGGAGTATCAAACCAAATATCTGAAATGTAGTACAGAGCAAAATTAATGTAAATGATAAAAGAGATGTTAATTAAAACTAAGAATAACATGAACATGTCTAATATATACCAATCTATCCTGAGTTCTAGAAGGAAATAACAGAGAGAAAGGAAATCTGGCAATACTTGAAGAGATAATATTTGGCAACTTCAAGAATTGTTGAAAATACCAACTCCATATCAAGAAGCCCAAAAAATCTCACATGGAATAAGCACACACACACACACACACATAAACACACACACACACACATACACACCGTATCACACTGAGAGTACATAATACCAAAGACAAAAAAATCTTTAAAAGTATCTACAGAGAAAAGACAGATCACTTACAAAGGACTACCAACTTCTTGATAGCAGGAACAGAAACCTGAGAGCAATATAAATATATACTCAATATATAAAGAGAAAAATCCCATGCAACTTAGCAAATGTGAAATGCAGCTCAAAAATAAAATGAATTAAAGAGAAAAAGAAAAAAAAAGATTGGAAATTTACCAGAGTTTATTACCAACAGACCATTCTGAAAACAAATTATAAGATATGTCTCTGGTTATTGAAAATTAATTCTAAGTAGAAGGTTTGAGATATAAGAAATTAGTAAAAATTAAAATAATGATATCAATACTTATTTTGTGGGGTTAAGAATAAGTAGATCCAACATATTAGACAAAGCTGGCATAAGAATCGTAAGATGCAGTCAGATCTAAAGCACTCTTAGGACATTTATAATTCAGGATGAGGGTGAGTATTTTGATATTCTGCATATGTTATTAAGTATGCAGGTTAAAAGCTATATAATTACTAAAAATAAGCCTAATGAATATAATTACCAAAATAGTGGGAAAAAAAACATCAGAATAGGGGAAAGAACAATTCAAAATAATCCCAGAACAATGATGGGGAGAAGTCCAAAATAATCATAATTGATATGAATGCATTATACTCACCAATTAAAAGAGAAAAAATATCAGACTGTATGAAAAAATAAATATAGTGTTGTGCTTTTTTAAGTAGGTAAAGCAAATACTACCCCTCTATTCTTCCTCTGCTCCTGGAAAAAAGAGAACAAATCAAACTGATGTGTCTATAATAACAACACATGAATTAGACATTAAGCCAAAATTCATTGCTAGAGAGAAAGCTTGACTACATACTTATAAAAGTTGCAATTTTCTACAAAAAAATTAGCCGAGCATGGTGGCATACACCTGTAATCCCAGCTACTCGGGAGGCTGAGGCAGGAGAATCACTTGAACCTGGGAGGCGGAGGTTGCAGTTAGCTGTGATCGTGCCACTGCACTCCAGCCTGTGTGACAGAGCCAGGCTCTGTCTCAAAAAAAAAAAAAAAAAAAAAAACTAGAAGTTTCACTTTTCTGGAAGTATATAGTCACACATTTACATATTTATATGCAATTGACCCTTGAACAACACAACTTGGAACTTCCTGGGTTCACTGAAATGCAGATTTTCTTCTGCCTCTGCTACTCCTGAGACAGCAAAACCAACCCCTCTTTTTGCTCCTCCTCTTCCGCCTACTCAATGTGAAGACGAGGATAAAGACGTTTATGATGATTCACTTCCATTTAATGAATAGTAAATGTATTCCCTCTTGCTTGGGATTTTCTTAATAACATTTTATTTTCTCTAGCTTACTTTATTGTAAGATACCATATATAATACATATAATGTGCAAAATATGTCTTAATCAACTGTTTATGTTATTTGTAAGGCTTCCAGTCAACAGTAGGCTATAGTTGTTAAGTTTTTGGGGAGTCAAAAGTTATACATAAATTTTTGACTACATGTGGGGGCCAGTGCCCCAACTGTCACATTGTTCAAAGGTCAACAGTACATTAAATAACTTTCAAAATTAGACATTATTACATGGAGTAATTTATAAATCCCCATCATAATGGAAAATATTTAAAACATTTCTGCCGGGAAATGACAGACAGTTCAAGAGAAAAATTAAAGTTACAAAAGTATGAACACTGTAACAAAATTGCATTTCCATACAAGTAAATATTAGTTAGAAAATATCATTAAGATGCTGGGCATGGTGGCTTACGCCTGTAATCCCAGCACATTGGGAGGCCAAGGCAGGTGGATTGCCTGAGGCTGGGAGTTCGAGACCAGCCTGGCCAACATAGTGAAACCCCATCTCTACTAAAAATACAAAAATTAGCTGGGCCTGGTGGTGTGCGCCTGTAATCCCAGCTACTCAGGAGGCTGAGGCAGGAGAATCTCTTGAACCCGGGAGGCAGAGGTTGCAGTGAGCCAAGATTGCACCATTGCACTCCAGCCTGGGCAACAAGAGTGAGACTTCATCTCAAAAAAAAAGAAAGAAAATACCATTAAGATGTCTGGGAATTAATCCAACCAAAGATGTGCAGCATCTATGCAGCATGTTATAAACTTGTGTTGAAAGACACTGAAAGAAGACTAAATGTGATTGATTAGGATAAATCAATTTCACAAATTGACATTTTTATGAATTTGATTTATAGATACAATTCAATTCCAATCAACAGAGATTTTCCTTAAAAATGATAAACTGAATCTAAAGTATGTATAGAAAGAAAATAGGTGAAGAATAGTCAAGACAGATTGGAAATAGAGCAAGGTGGGGAGGCAGGATTCCAAGTGCTGATTTAATGTTCTATTTCTCAGTTTTGGTGGGGGATTTTAAAATGTTTGTTTTATTATTTTTAATCCAGAAATATATTTATATGCATTTTATGTTCATGTGTTCTGTTTCAAAATAAAATTTTTTAAAGCTCACATAGTATAAGTTTGAGGCTCAGATCTCTGTAGAATCAACAAGTAAAACCCAGGATGTTTTATAATTATATGTATAGAATTTGTGCTGATAGTTATTCACTGTTTAACAATAAAATACATTTTAACATAAGATGTAATACATGGTTAATGCAGAAAATTTGGAAAATATAGGAAATAGGCAGAAATGAATAAAAAGCCCTGTGACCCCCCACCATCAATTTCAGACACTGTGAATGTTGTTACATACATTCTGGTCTTATCTATGCTCATGTATGTGTGCTTCTGTATTTGTAAGTTTTTAGAGAATTACTGTCCTATTACATAATAAGTTTGTGTTATACTTTTTATTTGCCAATACAAATGTATTATTTAATGTGTTAGGAACTTTGCAAAACCACCAGATTTTTATTATGAAAAGGCACAGTTGAAAATTATATACTTGCTCAAGCAATTCTTTCAGAAAACAGCAATATTTTAGAAAATAAAACTTGAGAATTCAGCCAAGAGGGATTATATTGATAGGAGAATGCAGAATATGTAGGGAACATACATAATTTCAGTAATCCACAAAACAGGAGAAGGAAATACACATCTCATACACTGATGTTAGCTGGAATCACAGTATTCTGTACCACATCTGCTACTCAGTTGATTTATTAGTGATTAAAATGTAGTACAAATAGTTGTCCTTAAGCAGTTCCCTCACAGAGCCTATTCTCAACAATTTGCATAAGTGACACATTTATTTCAAAAAGTACTTAGAAAGAAAATATAATACTGAACTTGATAGTATTGTAGCAGGACAAGCCTCAGACAAAACCCCTCAGACACCGAGTTAAAGAAGGAAGGGCTTTATTCAGCCGGGAGCTTCGGCAAGACTCACGTCTCCAACAACCAAGCTCCCTGAGTGAGCAATTCCTGTCCCTTTTAAGGGCTCACAGCTCTAAGGGGGTCTGCATGAGAGGGTCGTGATCGACTGAGCAAGCAGGGGGTACGTGACTGGGGGCTGCATGCACCGGTAATTAGAACAGAACAGAACAGGACACGGATTTTCACAGTGCTTTTCTGTACAATGTCTGTAATCTATAGATAACATAACTGATTAGGTCAGGGGTCAATCTTTAACTACCAGGCCCAGGGTATGGCGCCGGGCTGTCTGCTTGTGGATTTCATTTCTGCCTCTTAGTTTTTACTTCTTCTTTCTTTGGAGGCAGAAATTGGGCATAAGACAATATGAGGGGTGGTCTCCTCCCTTAGTATGACCAAACACTTTGTACCCGCTTCTTTCAATCTATCACGAAAATGTAATTTATCTTTGAAGCCAGGAAATATCCTGATTAGTGTTTCAAGGGAGGGTAAGGAAAATCTCACAATTGGAGAAATCCTTCCTTTGAGGCCCTATCTTTGTTTCCCAACTGAAGAGAATTACAGGCCTTGGGCTAGATCCAGTTCCCAAGAAGTGATTTTATAAAAATCCACCAATGCTAGTAACGCCGAGACTTTTCTAAATGCTGTTTTCAGTAGGTAAAACATATTCCTGTTACTACCTAACTAGAGAGAATAGTAGGATGATATTTGCATTGCCGTGGCAACTTGCATCTCTAGAGTGAGATGACATTTTTGCCTGTTTATTTCTACTTTTCATTTAGGAATAACATTTTTTATTCCATTTTAACTTAAAAAATAACTTGGGTGTGTATAGATAGGGAGAGAAACTGAAAGTTATTTAACGTCTGCTATATGTCAGACACGGAGTTAAGTTGTTTATATGCACCACTGCATTCAGTCCTCCAAGGACTCTGGAAAGGAAGATTCGCTTTAGAGAGGAGACAGAGAAATTTCAGCACTTTTCTGTGCTTTAGTTCAAAAAGTTACAAAGCAATAGAGCCTGGGTCTATTCAGAGCTTGGAGCCCCTGGTTCCCAGGCCAGTGTTTTTTCCCTGCTTCACATTTCGTCCTACGGTTTATTTCCTCCCTGGGTTCCTAGTCTAACTTTCCCTTAAAACTGACAACCACCTTGTGAAATACAAGTAAGTACATTGCAATATGTAGTTTTTAAGTGTTGTGGTTCTTAACGTTTAATTCTAATTTCCATATATAGAAAATTACATCTAAATCAGGATTGACTGATTATGTTTTACTCTTCAGTTAAAATAGTTATTCAAATGCTTTAATTGCATACCATGTGCTTCAGAAGATGATACCAATTAAGTAGTTAGGATTTAGCTGTACATATGATGGAGATTTAGTTATGTCACTATAAAAGAATTATATATATATAATTCAAATTTACAGATATAGAATATTAAATATGAAATGCAAATATTGGACTATGAAGATCAGCAAGTATTTGTTGAACATAAGGAGCTATCTGTATAGATTATTTGTGGGATATGTTACTCAGAAAAAGCAAAAGAACAAACGTGAATTATATTTACAATCCATTGAAACAAAATTAAGATGACCATTTAATTCTTCAATTCTAAATATTCTGTTTATTAAAAAGTAGCTCTTACTTCCTTTATATTTTGCTATTGGGATTTTCTCTCAACTAAAAGAACGTGAAGACAAACGTAAAGAGAGAATTCCTTTGTGATAGACTTTATGAGACATTTAAATCGTTATGGCATAATGACATGTTGTTGATCTAAAGGCCTTGGTGGCAACTGCAGGAATGAAAAAAGTAAAAGTTATGTTTGTTGATATATTTATGAAGCTGCAAGTGAAAGGAAGTATTCTGATATTACAAAAATGGTGACATTATGGCTTCAGCACCAGATCCATTACTTTTTCCCCTCTTAATTCCAGCAAGAAACGGTCTCAGAAACAGTTATTGTCTGGGCAGTTTGAGGGATCTTAGAACTTGAAGGAAAGACAATTCTATGGATGTAATAGGGGCAAAAGGTGGCTAGGAAGCTACTATGGACTAGTGGGCTATGTAAGCAAAATACATGGAATGCTTACCCGAAGTTTAGGAATGATGAGAGAGAGAAGTGCAGCAGGGTACAAGGAAGAGTCTTTGTTGGACATGGAACCTAATTTGTTCATAGGTAATTAGAAAGAAATCAGGTGAAGGAAACAAACTGAAGATGCAATATTAAGTTGGAAAAGTTATGTAAGCTCAAGGGAGGGAGGGAGCAATGTCTGGGTGAATACATTTGTTTTTGTAAACAAAGGGCCGGTAGTTTCTTCAGGAGCCAGTGCCTCAACTCTCATTCTGCAGTCCTATAGTATCCACGCTTGTCAATCAGAAGTGGTTTTGAATGGATATGATGCCACATTCTTGCATAAAAAAATTTTGTTTTTGATTGACAAATTATTTTGCAAGGTTAATATGAATATGTATAATATGCAGAGCACAAAACTACTAAAATGTTATGAGTCTCATACATAATTACCTTTAAATGAAACTATAGCTGTGAAAGTAATTTCACAGTCACGTTCTTTTAGATTTTAGTAATACTATATGTGTGTGGCTTTTATATGGGCATATTATGATGAAAACCCATATATAATAGAATAAATGTAATAGTAGCCTGTAAAAGTACAGTGATGGCTATATGTCCACATACCTATCGTAAGTTTCTAAATCAGGTGTGGTACACTTTCAGCTAGAAGAAGAAAACACATTCTTATATGCCTTAGTTCTGGTACTGAGTAAATGTTCTCCTACCGTAAAATTTTCTTTACTGTGCCCTTGGAACTCTTAAGGTGCTATGGTTTTTACATTCTCATTCTAAACTCATTGTTGGAATAGCCTCCCATGTTAAACCAAAGAGGAGTCAATGAGTCATTTTGTTACTCTTTTTTCAAAAACATGTCAAAGGAAACTGAAAACATGGTAAGTGCGTTATTGCAGGGAGGCATTTAATGAGAAACTCTTCCTGACATAAATACTTGCCCCTTAATTACATTCCTTGCATGCTAACAACCCCTTCAACCAGGTCACCTCTCAGCTATAGGAATTCTGTTTTTATCCCTCATGCCACTGCTGGGCATGTAGCTCCATGTTTTTGTTCCCGTACTTCTCATTCCACTTATGCCTAAGAAGACACTACTCCACTGTGTTCACCTCCAGGCCCCAGCATTTTTGGTTTAGTTTAAGTTCATCTGGGCTATTAAAGTGTGAAAAAATTATGCTTATACTGCAGATACAAAGTCAAGATGCTTTTTTTCTCTTGATCTATTTTCTAAGAACTTTCAACTATTAGTTTCTAGGATAAGATGAATCTGATTTTACTGTGAAATGCAGGTGGCTTCAGGTCTTTGCATAGCTTAAGAGACATTATTAGCACCTAAGTGAAATTTGCATAGACAAATGAAATATTCTGCCTTCTGAGACCCTATGAAAATCTGCCCTATTAATAACTACATCAGATGGAAGTCAGATTTTTGTCATTTCAGCATTTTCCTTCTATCAAGTGGTTAGTTTCTGTCCACGTAATTGAGTAATTTAAAAGAGCCACTACCATTTGTCTTTTCTGGGCTAAGGACATTTGATTTCGTAAATAACAACAAAAAAGGCTTACGTGACTTTTTGGGAAAGATTACAGCAGGAGGAAAATAAAGTACTATTAAGCTTCATAGTTCTTTTTAAATGTTCTCATTAAACACAGTGAAGAAATAATTAGTATACCTTTCTTTCTCATATGACTGCCACTTGCAACCGTCCCTTGGTTATACCTACCAAGTGCTACAAAGAAATCTATAAAATGGATGATAATCAATGAAATATTTGAAAAGATGAAAATTATCCTGATCTTAGCTATTTATCATGAACCTACTTTTTTGTGTAGTTATACTTACTGAACTGGTGCTCTGAGAACACTTTAATGTTATATCATTGTCAAATTTGACAGACACAATATTTATACTTTTACTTGCATCATTAGTGATAAACAGCATATATAATATTGAACTATGGCATTCTGAAACTTCTACTTAATAGATGAGCATTTTCAAACATTTTTCCTTAAGGTTATCTAATCAGGTTTCTACAGATCCATTTATTCACAAATAATAAAAAAAGAAGTCCAAGTACTATATTTTCCCACATATTAAACAATGGTGAGTGATGTTTACTTCAAGCAAGACATCCCAAACTTTTTCATAGGCATGTATCAAAATCATCTGATATATTTGTTAAAATGCTAAATTTATGCCCCACCACAGACTTTCTAAATCATAATAGAGAGAGCCAAGAATCAGCTCCTTTTTCTAGCTCCTCAGATGACTCTAATATACATTAAATGTGAAAAGTCTTTATTAAAATTTTTATTTTCTTTTTTTTAAAAAGACTTTTAAGTTCAGGGGTGCAAGTGCAGGTTGTTACATAGGTAAATGTGTGTCATTGGGTTTGTTATACAGATTATTTCATCCCAAGGTATTAAGCAGCCTAGTCCCTATTTGTTATTTTTCCTGATCCTCTCCTTCGCCAACCCTCCACCCTCCTAAAGGCCCCAGTGTGTGCTGTTCCCTTCTACATGTCCATGTGTTTCTAAAACTTTCCAGTTATTTTAAATATTTTACAAAAATGATCTTTAAGTCGCTTGTATTTCTATCCTGCAGTATTTGCATGTTTTAAAATATGAGATTAATGAGCAACAAAATAAAACGATTTATAACACAAATAATAAAATAAATATCCACAAATCTATAGAGACTAATAAATGTTTAAATACATACATAAATGAAAAAGAGAAAAATCTTTCTTGCAGAAAATTTTCAAACAAAAAATGTAGAAAGAATGGGAGAAACAAAAATCACCATTAGAACATCTCAGTAATAATTGTGGCAGGCAAGATCTGCGATGAATGCTAAAATTATTGGAAAAAACTTTATGGAGAAACAGAATATTTGCATTGCCTCAAAGTATTTTCTCTCAAATATTTATTAATCATGTGATGCTTCTAGCATGTTTCCACCAATTTGTTGAGATTGCTGTCTGCTAAAGGCAAACTTACGTCCCTACTCTTGGATTGTAGGCTCAATTTAGTGGCTCACTTCTAACAGAGTAAGGAAAGGGAAAATTAAGCAAAAAGCTGTCAGATGCCACCTTACCAGGTGACCAATGTTAACAGCACCAGTAATACGCTTATTGATAGCATGTACCTCCTGATATGATGCAGTGAGAAAGGCCCTTCACCTCTCTGGGGTTCTTTACAAAATTCATAACCCCAATCTAATAATGGGAAAAAAATAAGACAAACTCAAATTGATAGACAGTCTATAAAATCCCTGGCTAGAACTCTTCAAAAGTGTCAGGTCATGAAAACCAGGGAAATACTAAAAATCTGTCTACATCAGAGGAGACGAAGGAAACTTGATGAAGACATACAATGTTGTCTTCCTGATTGGATCCTGAACAGAAAAAGACATTAGTGGGAAAACTACTGAAATATGAATAAAGCCTATAGTTTAGTTAATATGATACCAATGTTAATTTATTCACTTAAATTATTCATCGGTAAAATGCTACTATTAGAGTGAGAATTCTCGGTATTATCTTTGTAACTTCTATAAACCTAAAATTAGTTCAAACTGAAACAGGGTTGTCGTTTTTCATTGTGGTAAAACATATATGATATTAAATTTGTCTCCTAATCATTTTTTAATGTACAGCTCAGTAATATTAAGTATATCTACTTTGTTGTGCAGCAGATCTCTAACTTTTTCCATCACGCAAATCTGAAAATCTATTCCCATTAAACTCTAATTTCCTCTCCCCCTTCCCCTATCCATTGACAATCACTTTCTACTTTTCTGTTTGCATAATTTTCACTACTTTAGATACGTCAAAGTATACAATATTTGTCCTTTTGTGATTGGCTTATTTCGTTCAGCATAATTGTCCTTGAGGGTCTTCCATGTTGTAGCATGTGACAGGTTTTTCTTCTTTCTTAAGGTTGTATAATATCCCATTGCATGTATATGCCATGTTTTTGTTATCCATTCATCTGTCTGTAGACATTTGGGTAGCTTACATCTCTTGGCAATTGTGAATAATGCTTCAGTGAACAAGGCATGCAGATATTTCTTTAAGATCGTGCTTTGAATTATTTTGGATGTATACCTGCAAGTGGGATTGCTGGATCATATAGTAATTTTCTGTTTTAATATTTTTAAGGGACTCTCATACCATTTTCCATAGTGACTGCACCATTTTACATTCCTAATAAAAGTGTACAAGGGTGTCAGTTTCTCCACATTCTTACTAAGACTTGTTATTTCTTTTTTTTTTAATAGTAGCCATCCTAATGGGTATGAGATAATATGTCACCGTGGTTTTGATTTGCATTTTCCGAAGGATTAGTGGTGTCAAGCATCTTTACAAGTGTTTGTTGGCTATTTGTATGTCTTCTCTGAAGAGATGTCTATTCAGATCCTTTGCCAATTTTTTAATCAGGTTTTTTTTTTATTGTTGAGTTTAGAGGTTCTTCATATATTTTGGATAGTAACCCCTTATATGTCATGTGTTTTCCAAATATTTTGTCCCTTTTTTACATTGCCTTTTCACTTTGTTGATTGTCCATTTTGATGCTTAGAAGGATTTAAGTTTGATGGAGTCCCATTTGTCCATTTTTTTCTTTTGTTGTCTTTGCTTCAATGTTATATTCAAGAAATCATTGCCAAAAACAATGGCTGAAATCTTTTCTCCTTTTTTTAATTCTAGAAGTTTTATAGTTTTAGATCTTTGGTTTATATCTGTTAACCAGTTTGTTAATTTTTGTATATAGTATAAGGTAAGTGTCCAACTTCACTCTTTTGTAAATGGATATTCAGTTTTTCCATCATCATCTGCTCTAGAGACTTTCCTGTATGTAGTATTGGCATCCTTGTCAAAAATCATTTGACCGTATTCTCAAGGGTTTACTTATGAACTTTCTATTCTGTTCCAGTGGTCTATATATCTGCATTTATGCCAGTACCACATTGTATGGATTCCTGGTGATTTGTAGTATATTCTGAAATCAGGAAGTGTGAGGCCACTAATTTTGTTCTTTCTTTTCAAGATTGTTTTTGCTATTTAGTGTCCTTTGAGATTCCATCTAAATTTTAGGATGATTTTTCTATTTCTGAAAGAAAAATTATTGGGATTTTGATCGGGATTGCATTGAATCTGTGGATTGCTAGGGGTACTATGGCATCCAACTAAACTTTTTTTGATATGTAAGTCTAACATTTAATTTTCCAGGAATATTGGTGCAGCTCATGATTTTATGAACACCAAATATTTATTTGCTATTTTCATTTGATATATTTACTATAATGTCTTATTACTGCCAATGTTTTAGAAGCAAATTTAGTAATGTCCATTATTATTTTCTTATTCTTCATTATTTATTATTCTACATTACTTAGAGGGAGAAAGAGTGAGAAAAAAAGGTGTATTTGTTTTCTCTTACCAGTTTGAGATGCTTTTTCAGAAATAATTTTCAGTGCCTCTATGCCTCAAATCGATTGATGCCAAATCCAATTGAAATGTTAACATGATTACACAATTTAATTTTAATTCATATGCTTCAAAATGTCAAAATTAAAAAAGTAATAGAGTCATAGAGTGAATGCATTAATTTCCTCTTGGTGCTATAACAAATTAACACAACTTAGTGGCTTAAAACAACACAAGTTTATTATCTTACATTTCTGGAGGTCAGGAGTCCTAATATCAAGGTGTCCGAAGGACTGAATTCCTTCTGGAGATTTTAAGGGAGAGCTCATTTCCCGGCCTTTTTCAGCTGTTGAGGCTACCCACATTTCCTGCCTCCAGATTTCTTCCTTCATCTTCAATGTCAGTATCATAGCATGTGCAAACCTCTCTTTCTGACCTCTTCTTCTTTATAATATCTTCCCTGACCGTGTCCCTCCTACATTCCTCTTTTTGAGAATATATTGGGCCCACCAAAATAATCCAGAATATTTTCACCATCCCAGAATCCTTAATTTAATCACATGTGCAAAGGCCTTTTGCCATTTATGGTAACATATTCACAAGTGTTGGGAATTTGGATGTGGACATTTTCTAGGTGGCCATTATCCCATCACAGTGACTTTTTTTTTCCTGTGTCATTCATTAAATTTGACTGTGACTTTTAATCATTTGACAGGTACTATGGGAATATATTAGCTATTATATATTATTCTAACAATGTGTAAAAAAGTGGAATCTTAACTTTTATTCCTCAATTAATAGCCATTAACAACCACTAGATATTGTTCTCCTACATATCCCCACACTGTGTTTCATTAGTAAATTTTTCTTGAGATTGAGGAGGAAAAAAAAGTCATTGTCTTGATTTTGTTTTGATTCTGGCTACATGGGAACAAAAGAGCCATAATTTGAAATTAATATTCAACAACATCTATATTAGGAAAGGCTAAGTGTGTCAGGGTGTGAACTACCAGCTTCTTTAGGTTGTGACACACTTTCAATCGAGCAAGCTATACAAATGGATGAGTGAACTGTGGACATTGGTATGAAAAACAATGGAGAAAATTTCAAATTGCAAAATTAATATAATTGGAGGACCAATGCAATTTGTGTCATTTTTTTCTTTGTGACTATGGAGATCTTCAAATTGGAGTACTTAAATTTTAATCACGTTAAGTTCTAAAATCTGTGATTCTGATTTCTAGCGCACCAGACCTTATGTACTCAATGAAATTAAAGGTAACTATTTTAGTGTATATTATTTAAGATTAATTATCTCTCTAGCATTTATCTTGCCACAGTGTCTATAAACGCATTTCTCCATTCTGCAGTCAATACCTTTGCTGGTACAAAAGAATATCGGTTGAGAACAGGCAGTGTTTTACAAGAAAGAGGTTGAGAGGCCTACAGATCAGATAGAAATCTTTGTATGTGGGATTTGAATTTCTCAGACAGTGTTTGGGAGACATTATAAGTCAAGAATATATAAAGCGGAATATATTTTTGTGGGAATCAGATTTTTCTGTGGAAAGTTGCATAGAAAAATCCTTCACTTAAAAATTAATTACTAGGACAGCATGCATATTGATTGTTTGTTATATATTTTGTTTGCTAGGCATTTACAAGCATTTAATGATTACTGTTTTCAGCAGTTCCTATGAAATGTCACTGTCTTCCAGTTCTTATTTTTCCAGAAATATAGAGGCAAACAATAAGTGAATTATCATATTATATATGTCAATGGCATAGGTAGAATCAATGGCATAGGTAGAAACAGATCTACTGCTAAATTTTTAGTCTCTGACTTGGATAAATTGTCCTGGTGCTCCATGACAAACTTGTCCTAGAGCTCCAAAAATGTTCAATCAACATAGGATTCCTCATGGCATAAAATATTCATCTACTTACCAGTCAAATCATTTGTTCTGCCTATTAAGAACACCAGACGATATCCAGATGAAAGGATCAGTCCATTTATAGGAATGTGTTCCTCTATAGACTAGCTAAAATGTGTGTTGACTACATAATGCCCTGGCCCATGGAACCCCCCATGAAACTGGCTTTATGTCCTTTTTGACTTCTTCTAGATTGGTATAATAATAGAGCAAATTTTGAAGCTGCATGTTGAAAACAGAATGGCTTCTCTTTGCCTGAGTTCCCAAAAATCTAGAAGAGGTATTGTTGTCAATTGAAACTATCCACCCTAGAGTAAAAAAAAAAAAAAAGAATTTCTGCTGGTTAGAATCATATTTTCATCAATCATAAAACAGAAATTAATAACTTGAATTGAGTGCTGCTGTAACACAAACTTGAAATGTTTAACCTTGGTTTAACATGAACTACTGTTTATGTAGTATGCTGCAGGCAGCAAGCAGACACTGCAAACTGGAAAGCTATAAACCTATATTTTTTCCAGGGTAAAATATTTGATGCATCTATGATCTGTGGTGTCTTAAAAGACATAGCAAGTGCCAACCAAGCCTATAGTTCTAGGAGAAATAGCTGGAAATCATCAGAATATTAGTATGTGTTGGCTGCTACTACCTGCTTTTAGAAAGATATTATGAGAAAGGGACCAGCATTGCAGGCAAGAAAAAAAGATTAAAGAGAGTTCAAAAATACAGAGCTGTGAGGTTTCAGAAAAGCCAATTGCTCCTGTACCTCAAACACTAGGAGAGGCAATTGTCACACAAAACTATTTTAAATGCCTCCTTCATAATTTGACATTTTTCTGCAATAAGATTCTTAACTTTTCAAAACAAAGAAAACAAAAGGAAAAATCAACATTTCCCAGGCTCTCTTGCAGCTACGGTGAAGACAGATGACTCAGATCTCAGGCTAGGATAAGGACAGTGAGGTACTCAAGGTACAAAATTTAAGGAGGTTCAAGGGAGTCTCCAGCTCCCTTATGAGATCAGTTTTGTGGTATGGTTCTGGAAGCTACCTAAACTCGGCCTACAGCCAAGGACCCTTCCCTTTCAAGGATCCTGTGAGCTATGTAATGACTTATGTTAAATACATTCCTGTTTAAGCTAGTCAGGATAGGTTCTGCTGCCTACAATTTAAACTCTTGATAGTCAGAAATATTGCCTCTGTCATTTCCTAGGCTTTGTGATATTTGAAGTTATTTTACTCTGAGCTTCATTTTATCATCTGTGAAAGGGGAATAACAATTTCTATCTCATGGGACTATTTTGAAAATTAAACATTATACATAACAACATGGTTGAAGGCATATATCAGATAACTAATAGATATTAGCTATATTTTGTTAATGTTTTTATCAATTTGAGAATTTAAATCATTTATATTTCTGATCTTTCTTTATCTTTATATTGAAGTGACCAATGTAATTTTGTTTCTTTGTCCTTGTTTTCCCTTATACAATTGTCTTAATCTAGTTCTCCATTCTGTCACAGTTCTTCTAGTCCAAGTTTTTTTACATTGATAATCTACTCTGCACCTCATTTCCAGTAAGACCCCAATTCTGAAATTCTTTTGCAAGCCCAATGGAGACCAAAATTCTAAATCCTAGTTCTAGTACTTCATATTCTTTCTTCCTGATACTGCTACACTTGTCTGACTTTGCAGCCTACTCTCACCTTTGTACTCTCCATCCCCATGTATATATGCCTGTTTGCCCATGACTACTTGCTGGACCTTCCTTTTCTTTCTTTCTTTTTTTTTTTTTTTTTTGGAGATGGAGTCTCACTCTGTCACTGAGGCTGGAGTGCAGTGGCACTATCTCTGCTCCCTGCAACCTCTCCCTCCCAGTTCAAGTGATTCTCCTTCCTCAGCCTCCCAAGTAGCTGGGATAACAGGTGTGCACCACCATGACCTGCTCATTTTTGTATCTTTGTAGAGACGGGGTTTCACTATATTGGCCAGGCCTGTCTTGAACTTCTGGCCTCAAGTGATCCACCCACCTCGGCCTCCCAAAGTGCTGGGAATACAGGCATGAGCCACCACACCCGGCCTGCTGGACCTTTCAATAAGGACTCTGCTGTGATGACATATATTGCCTATTGCCATATTGCTGGATAATGTCAATCTGCTTTGTGACTTTTTCCATTGTTTAGAGGTAGATACACCCTGAACATCTATCTCCTCCCAGAGAGTTTATTGTATCTTTGAATCAGAATGCTTGTGCTTCTTCCTATCCAATTCCCATCTCTTCAAGGATGGGTATAATACTAAAGCTATTCTGTCCTGATTTGAGGGAAAAAGCCATTTAATATTTTTTTTTTTTCTGGGCAGTTAAATATATCCCTCAAGAAACTGTAGTTTGATATGAGGGAACCTGTTACTGATAGTGGTTTGATCTTAAGGTGACTATTATACACAGTAGCTCAGAGGGAAAGATGCATCATATGTAAGACTGAACAAAGCACTGACCTTATCTGACTTCACCTATGTAACAGCTTTTTCAAAAAGTGCCTCAGGCAGTTTTCTTAGATTAATGATAATACTAATATGTTATCTTTGTAAAGGTAATCTCTGACTTACGTTCAACCCAAGTAGGCAAAACTCACATATGATTTTTTCCAAACTTGGAATCATTTTGCCTCAGGCCCTCTTACAGAAAATGTTTTTGTTTTTAAATTATTCCTTCTCTTTTCCGTGTTTTCTCCTTACTCCTGCTGCAGAAAATGCTGAACCTTTACAAAATGATCTGCAGGAATTCACTGCACCCAACACAATTTCTGCTTAATATTTACCTTCTCTACTGTTTTAGCAAACACAAGTCACTTGCTAACTTTGAATCCCGCTTTTCAGCTTAATTTCTTGGCCATTAGCTTTTATCCCACATTATTAGTCAGGACATCTAAATAATTCCAAATTAATTATTTCCAATGAATAATACCAAATAATTCCATGTCACTTATCAAGAGTGATTCCATTGATCAGCTAAAGGCTCCCCTCCGCCACCAATTGGGCTCAGGTACAGAAAATGGCCGTATCTGGCTCCAAGCCTGAAATAATCTAGGTCAATAGTTTTCTCTCTGTTCTTTTTTTGAGATGGAGTCTCACAGAGTTTCCCAGGCTGGAGTGCAGTGGCAGAATCCTGGCTACTACAACCTCCGCCTTCCAGGTTCAAGCAATTCTCCTGCCTCAGCCTCCCAAGTAGCTGGGATTACAGCCATCTGCCACCACGCCTGGCTAATTTTTGTATTTTCAGTAGAGACGGGGTTTCATCGTGTTGGCCAGGCTGGTCTCGAACTCCTGACCTCAAGTGATCCACCCCCCCCGCCCCTTGGCCTCCCAAAGTGCTGGGATTATAGGCGTGAGCCACCGTGCCCGGCCTCTGTTCTTTTTAATTGTCCTTTCCTTGTGTCTTCCAACAGTCAAGACTTACATTCTATCAGCATGTTGATCCCTGCAGTAAAAGACATCTCAACGGGCTCTGATGGAAAATTACCAGGGAGGAGTTTTACTCACTTAACTTCAGTCACTTGCCCTTTTCACAACAAGCTCAACAGTCAATGAGGTGTGAGGTGGCACTCTTTTTGGCCAGGCCTGGGTCATATGGACACTGCTGTGGGCGTATGCAGACAACCCTGCCAAACGCACATAGAATGATTTTCCCACCGAAGAGATGGTTCTGCTATTAGAAGAAGAAAAGTTTATTTGAAAACCAAAAACAACAGTTCACTCACTGGCCACCTAATAGCTATGCACACTTTTTTCAAATATGATTTTCTTAAACTGTCCCTTCAAATAAACCAATGATTCCTGGTAAAATAAAGCCATAATTCCCACTTTCAAAGGAAGTTCTTTTTTTTCTTACAGCCTTCATTTTTTTGCTCAGGACCACCAAATAATGACCCCTTCTATTTGACAAGCCCGGAATGTCTCCTCATGAATAGAGAACCTATAGAGCTATCTAATATCCAAAATATGGGTAGCAATGAACAAAATATAGTAATGAAAATATGAAAAAGGATAATATAAATTTTAAAATTTCACATTTGAAAGCAAATGAAGAGGAATCAAAATACGACATATTCCACTGGACAAAGATAAGGATTCCTGTCCTGGCAAAGAGTGATTCCCTTGATAAGCTAATTTGACAGCTTTCCATGCACACCTTTTCTTTCTATTGTCACAGCCACATATGAGAAAGGCATTAAGGAAGATTCCCCTTCTTGGGGCTCTGCATTCTACTTTTTGAAGATGTGGATTTGGAATTCTGAGATTTCCCTTAAGTGTTAAACAACTATAGGCCCTTTTTCACCTGTCTTTAGGAAAAAATAATATCTGTAAACTTTTGACTGTTCTCAATTTTGTCCACTCAATGGGCTCATAAACAAATCCGTGTGGTCCAAGCCTGGTCCTTGAGTTCATTCCCAGACTTAGGTGTCCTCACTTCTCAGCAGTGTCCTTGATGCACTGCCCAACTAGCTCACCCTCAGCTGCACTGCTTTCACAGTAGTTTATGCCAACAACACAAAGTGCTGTGTTAATTATGAAATATTAATTGCCTCTCAATCAGAGGTTTTGCCCAGGGGATGGATCTATGTAATAGGGGTTTTTTTTTCTTCTTTTTTTCAAGTAGGCAGTGGATGACAGAGAACATTAGGGTAGATTTTAGAAAACGAATCTCTCCATTCAGTTATTTGGTTTCTTCTACATCCCAAGAATATCTCCCACTTTGTTCCCTGTTTCATAATAACTTCAGTTCAGAGCAAATAAATTGACCTCCTAAGTTCTATGAAGCCCATCACTTTTTTTTTCTGGACTGTTGGTTATGGTGCAAACATCCTCTCTTAAGCAATGTCTTTTTCCTTTCTCATTTATGGCCAAGCTACCTCAGATTTAGGCTTGTCCTTTTTGTCAAGTATTTATGGAAAACTATAAGAAGTAGCAAACTTGTTCTGAAATGCTAACTTTTTTTCTACAAAATTTCAATCCTCCTTATGTATACAGTCTAAGTCCTAAGTACAAGAGGCAGTAATTAAACCTATAACTTTGCTGCTAAGTAAAAAAAGACTTCCAATTTCCCAGCTGGGATGAAGCTTTTCCATGCCTCTTCTCCATCTTGACTTATCTTTCATATATTTAACTATTACTTATAACACTCCAATTTTTTATATCATTGTGTGATTCTATGTGACTAAAATATCATTCAAATTAGCTAAGACAAAAAGCTAGTTAAGTAAAAAAGACAGAAGGAGAGATTTTATTTACTCATGTTAGTAAAAAGCACCAGCATAGTTGAGTTCATTTCTCTCCATGTAGCATATTTCATATTCTGGTTCATAAAAACTTAGATAATGGCAGGCAACCAACTCTAATGAAAAGACAATACATTTTTGAAAAGAGGAGATGAGAAAATTTATGGAAATGCTGCATGCTTCTATTTATTGTTTTTATTGTTTTTATTTGTATAAGTGTATGGGGTACAAGCATAATTTCGTTGCTTGCACAAATTTCATAGTGGTGGAGTCAGGGCTTTTACTCATTGTACCCGTTACATAATCTCTCATCATATACCCCCCTCCCACCCTCTCACTCATTCTAGTCTCTATTGTCTATTACTCCACACTCTACATCATCCACGTGTACACATTGTTTAGCTCCCACTTGTAAGTGAGAACATGTGGTATTTGTCTTTCTGTGTCTGACTTGTTTTGCTTAAGATAATGGCCTCCTATTCCATCCATGATGCAATAAAAATATATGATTTTATTTTTAATGGCTGAGTAGTATTCCATTGTCTATATATACCACATTGTCTTATCTAGTCACCCATTGATGGACAATTAGGTTGATTCCATTCATGATTTTAAAAAAAATAGTGTAAGAAGACACATAGTTCCCAGAAATGGGCAAAAGATTTGAACAGACACTTACCAGAGCAAATGTATAGATGACAAATAAGCACATTAAAAGATGCTCACTTAGCTTTATTGTTCAGTATAGCAATATGAAATAAACCACAATGAGATGGTACCACATACCACTAGAATGGCTAAAATTCAAAAGACTGACAATGCCAGATATTAGTCATGTGAAGCAACAATTTTGCAGTTTCTTATGAAGTCAAATATATATTTATCACATAATGCACCAATTTGTCTCCTAGGTATTTACCCAAGTGAAATAAAAATATATGTGTACATAAGCATGTATTCAAACAATTGTAACAGCTTTCTTTATAGTACCCAATTCATGAAACAACCAAAATGTCCACCAACTGCTAAATAGATAAGAAAACTGTGGTATATCCATGTAATCGAATCCTGCTTAGCAATAAATAGGTGCAAACTATTGCTAAATGCAACAACATGAATGATTCTCAAAAATACTACGTTAATTGGAAGAACAAGAGTATATACTTCATGATTCACTGATGTTACATTCTGGAAAAGGCAAAACAATGGTCATAGAAAACAGTTCAGTGGTTGCCAATGGCCACTAATTTGGCGGTGTAGGCAGGGGATTGACTGCAAAGAAACCCCAGGGAACTTTTTGGGATGAAGAAATTATTCTGAATCATTATTGTGTTGGTGATTAGTCAACTGTATACATTTGTCAAAACTCATCAAATTGTATGTTCCAAATTGCTCAATTTTATTGTATGTAAATTATACCTTAATAAAACTTACAGGAAAACAGTAAAAAATATGAAGGAGGTAAACATTAAGTAAAAGTATTATTATTTATTTGGGTAGGCTTGACTCTTGTGCCTGATATCTTTATACCCCTAAAAATTTTTAAGAAAATGAAAATACAAACCTGCCAAAACAAATAAGCATGTAATTCCCAGATAAAACTGAAAGTCTATCTGCTGGTCCCAACCTCTTGTTTTGTAAGTGATTATCACTGTGTTATTAAGAAATTAGTTTTGTAAAGAATCAATTGACCATTTTTACACAATTTTTTGCAGTGAACATGTAATGCCTTATAATAGAAGTCCTGAAGCATAATCCAAAATATCTGCAAAAGTCACAAGGGACTTTAAAATGTTCCAGTGCAGACATCTGAGATAAAAATAGATATGTAACTTTATGCTGTGTTTTACATTTATGGATACAAATATGGATTCATCACAAAAAGAAAATGAATGAAGTGGTCCATCATTAGCAAAATAGCTTTTTGTGGAATTTATATTCTCAGAAAATTCCCAAATGCAGAGCTACTGTTTGAAAAACCCATTCATCTTCAGAGAAGGCATAACCTTATCATCATGCAGATTAGCATGCAACTTAAACATGATTCATTGACCAACGCTTCTGAGAAGACAGTGTCCTGACCCAGATGCAAATAATCATAAAATATTTTCTGACTTGAATCACATAGATTGAAAGGCTATGTCTTTTCTCTTTAAATATGAATTACAAATTATTTTCTTTGCAAAAGAGTTGAATTAAAAAGCAAAACAGGTTAGAATAAAAACATGTGTAAAGGGAGTACAAAGGCATTGTATCTTGAGGGTAGAAAAAGATGCCACGAGTTTGTCTATACTCTCACAATTACCTTTTTAATCTACATGTTAATTTGAATATTTCAAATCAAATATTTTTAGATATTCTAAATTCCATTACCCAAGACTAACCATTTCTACAGCAGTGATAATACTTACAAGATACTTTCATATATTGTCTTGCTTATACAATTTTAATTATTTTCCACAGAAAATAACTTGAGTATCTTCTGTGTATAAAACAATGTGCTGAGTGTTGGAGATACGGAGATGTGTGAAAAACAGTCAGCCCCCAATGGATGGATAGTGAGAACATGAAAACAATTAAGTATTACTATCTTGTATATCAATCAAAACATGAGACCAACCAAGTATATTACCAAAGGCAAAATGCACTACATATTTGAATGAAAGTAAAAGCTAAACACTATTGGAAAATTGTGCTTTATCTTGGATGAACATTTTATGAAGTTTCTTCTTTCACCATATGTTACTCTGGTAAATTTTAATTATCTAAACAACAACAAATTAAATGATATATGTATATTATTTATTATTTATAAATTAAATTATATATAGAGAGAAAGAGACAGAGACAGAGAGAGAGACAGAAAGAGAGAGACAGATAGAACAGATACTGAAAAGTTGCAGGTCTGGATTTGAACACAAAGCCTGAAACTTAGTAACTAATTGACCGTAAGCAAGTTCCTTAATTTTTTCTAAGCTCTAATTTTCTCATTTATAAAACTTACATAATGATGTCAAATAACACCTTATAGGTATTTGTAGTGATTTAAAGACAGTGTATGCAAGGGTTCAGAAAAGTGTCTGACACATAGTAGAATCTAAACAAATTGCTGGTTTCTATTTTTCTCTCCATCTCCTCATAGGATTTCAAATCCATGGTCTATCAGAATCTTCTTGTCAGAAATATAGCCTAAAGCTGCACCCTTGCCACCAAGTTTTTAGGACCATTGCCAGCTAGGTGTCTTACCTTCCATTTCACTGGGTCACTGCATCTTCTAGCTTGATCACCTGTAGATGCTCATAACACTTCAGATCCTATACAAAATCCTCTCTCTCTTCTTGACCATCCAACACTGGCTGCTCTAAATGACCTCACATTTCTGGTCTGCTCTTTTTTCCCCCTTTTTTTATATCCACTCAACTCAGATCAATTTGCTCACTGTTTTCTCCTTGGAAACATTCTTCATCCAAAACTAAGCACTTTTCCTAATATTTGTCCTACTCCTAGCCGCCTTCTTATTATCTTAAAATCAGGGAATCAAGTCCTTTAATCTCTGAAAATAATATCTGCTGTTTTCAGCCTTCCCTGACTTAGGAATTTGTCAATAAATTCCTCTTGTATCTTCTTGAACTGAATTTGAGAGTATCAGGACCCAGTCGCACAATGCATATTCTTTATCTATGTATAAAAATGTTAAGAATTCATATATTCACTCAACAATATTAAAATAACTACTACATGATAGGCTTTGTTCTAAGCATAGGGGACATGGTACCAAGCAAAAAGTCCTATTCTCATGCAGAGAGAAAGGAGAGACATACAGATGACAAACAAGTAAAGAAATATTTGTACATAAATACTATGAGGAAACATAATACAATATTAGGGGAGAATGATTAGAACCCTGTCTGATAAAGTGGCATATGAGTAAAAATGGGAAAGAAGTAAGCAAGCAAAGCATGCTAATATCTGTGGAAAGAGAATTCAGTAAGAAGAGAACAGCAATGCAAAAGCTGTTTGTTTGCTTTTGCAACAAAACAAGCTGGAGTTTGCTTGAGAGTGGCTAGACCTGAGTGAGTCAGGAGAAAGTTCAGTGTTGAGCTGAAGTGAGAGTTAGCTGAAGCCTTACCTTGAATGAAAGAGTGATGATTTGGGATGTCTTTGAGAGAGGGGAGAATCCATTAAGTTTTTAAACAGAGAAGTGACGTGACATGACCTTTCTTTAGGGGGAATCTTGAAGCAGCCTTTGAATACAAATGAAAATCTCCTACTGGATCCTGCTGAAGTAATCCAACATACTGAAGTCTCAATTTCCTCCTTTAGAAGATAGGGATAATAATAACGGTCATGTCAAATTGAGATAATGAAATAAAGAGTTATCAAAATGCCTAACGTGACTGGGCGTGGTCACTCACACCTGTAATCCCAGCATTTTGGGAGGCTGAGGTGGGTGAATCATTTGAGGTCAGGAGTTCAAGACCAGCCTGGCCAACATGATAAAACCCCATCTCTACTAAAAATAGAAAAAATTAGCTGGGCTTGTTGGCACATGCCTATAATTCCAGTTACTTGGGAGGCTGAGGCAGAATAGCTTGAACCCGGAAGATGGAGGTTGCAGTGAGCTGAGATCACACCATTGCACTCCAGCCTGGGCAACAGAGTGAGACTCTGTCAAAAAAAAAAAAAAAGCCTAACACTTGAGTGCACTAAACATAATTTTATTTGCATTTGTCAATATCAGCTTTTATCTTTCCCTATTATAATATTTTTCTTGAGATCACATGTAAATGACCGTGGAAACATTGGATACATTCCAAAGATAATCACTTCATTATGCTTTATATAGCTGGATCTCTGTGTCCATGGGTTCCACATTAGTGGAGTCTACCAACAGTGGATTGAAAATATTTGATTAAAACATATGCAAATGTTTTTCTTTTACTATTCCCTAGACAATTCAGTATAACAACTGTTTGCATAGCACTTACATTGTTTAGGTATTTTAAGTAATCTGGAGATGATTTAAATATATAAGAGGATATGCACAGGTTATATGCAAATACTATGCCATTTTATATAAGGAAGTTGAGCATCTGTGGATTTTAGTATCTGCTGGGTGTCCTGAAACCAATCCCCCACAGATACAGGGAGACAATTGTATGTGCATTCTTAAGCTAGTTAGGCAGAACTGAAAATAATCTGCATTTAACAAAAAGCATAAAAAACAGATATGATTCTGACTTCTTTGAATGGCAATTGGACCTGTTTTATTTGGCTTGAATGGCACCATTCATGGCATTATATATATTTTTATTGTAAAAATGTTTATGAACTTATCTTAAGGGAAACAGATA
Organism: Homo sapiens; assembly: GCF_000001405.40. Lineage (NCBI taxonomy): Eukaryota > Metazoa > Chordata > Mammalia > Primates > Hominidae > Homo > Homo sapiens. Next base: position 163,773,836 of record NC_000004.12, on the reverse strand, counting down.
TGTAGAAACTTTGTCTTCCTCACTGATTAATTATCAGATTATAGGCTTTTATTCAAAACATTATGTGAAATTTCTTAAAACCACTCTTAAGAATATCTTAGAAGTTTTGGCCTAAAGAACATCCCCTTGAGGCTGTTGTCCCTGTGAGGTGTGTGAAAAATGAGGTGTCACCCATTGCTTTTGTCAGTCTCACACTTCACAATCTCTTATCTGTAATAAAATGCGAGAGAAGATAATATAACTGTCCCTCTGTGCTATATTGTTTGAGCATCATTATCAAGAATCTCTCAAGAGAGTCTTCACTATTAGCAAGGTAACCACAGCATTTGCCTTATAGCCCATGGAAGTGATAAAACTGTCTTCGTGTGGCTTATAAAAATCCCTGAAAGAAATTAATTCAGTGGTATCATCCATCTATTTAAAATCCTGCAGCTCAAAGGATATGTGATCCTCTTTAGTTCATATTCATTTCACAGTAAAAAAGAAATAAAAATTTAGCACATTTCTCTTCCAGGTATTGGGCTGAGCCTGGTGGTAACCTGGCTCCTTTTGGAGGAGACTGATTCTTGGATAGACCTCAAAAGCAGGGCCTGCCCCTTCCTCCTCTCCCCATTTCTGTCAGGTAACTTCTAGTCAGTGACTGCTCCGCCTTTCATAACACATCTATGCTCTTCTGAGGCACAGCCTGTCTCCTGCTGGACTCTGCACTGTCCAGCAACAGTGGACATTCATTCTTTTCTGTTAAACTCTTTCCCCCATTGCCTCTAGCAAGTGTTTCAAAACTGTTTTACTTGCCTTCAAACTTTGAGACAGGTACTTTCCATTTATTTTCAGCAAACTAAACACTTGACAAATAAAATCCTCCACAGCCAGATTTATAAATTTGCCACCACATATGCCCACCTCCTTCTCCTTCCATATACTACAGGGATTTTCCTTCCACTTGAGGCTCATCAGTTCAGTGGCAATGTGCAGCAGGCAGAATTTTAAGATGCTCTCCAAGATTTCCTGCCCCTCCTCCACATAATCCCAAGAGATGTGAATGTTTTGCTTTCTTGCTGAGATGAGAAAGGGGGGTTATTTGAACGCCCTAGCCTAATCAAATGAGCCCCTTTAAAGCAGGGCTTTTCTTTGGCTAGTGGCAGATGGGAAAGACTAAGATCCAAAGTATAAGAAGGATTCAATGAACTATTGCTGACTTGAAGATGGAGGGTGCCACATGGCAAGGATTGTAGGTATTCTCTAGAAGCTGAGAGTGACCCCCTGCTGACAGCCTTCTAGGAGCTGGAACCTCAAGTTATGCAACCACAAGGAACTGAATTCTGCCTGCATGAAGAATTAGATGGGCAGTGGATTTTTCCCCAGAGCCTCCAGACAAGCTAGCTGACAGCTTGTTTCATCCTGGTCATGTCCTAGGCAGAAACCCAGTCACGCCTACATGACAGTGACTTAATAAATAGGTGTTTGAGGCTGTTCAGTTTGTGGCAATTTATTACACAGAAATAGAAAACTAATATACCCTGGGTTCATTCTTATCTTTTCTAAGGAATCTTTTCCATTACATTATTCCCTGTCTTCAGCCTTTCCTTATTGCTCTATTTATACTGTCATCATTACCATTATTACTAATGGTAATCACCACCACTTCTTATAGGAATTGAATATGCTGGGTACTAAGATACTTTATTTCATTTAAAGCTGTACAATTGTAAAAGCCAGAGATGTTGTGAATATGCAGATTGTGAGTCTGTAGGTCTGAATTGGAGCCTGAGATTCTAACAAACTCCCAGGTGATGCCTCTGCTCCTGATCTAAAGCCACATTTGTAAATATATTGATAATTCATGAAATTCAACTAGAATTTCTAGTTGCATAACTAGCCCTATTGAAATGGGCAACTCCTTTTAGTCACCATTTTTATGTTAGATAGTGATCATCAATTGGTAATGACTTAACTTTGATTGAAGTATCTGAGTACTTTGTTTCGTGTTTCTCAAAATAGAACCTGAAAGGGGGAAAATGTAACCTGAGGAAAATAGTAACCTGGGTGCTGATTCCTGAATTCCACCTCCACCCTTGAGATCAGAATTGCTGGAGCAGTGCTCAGAAACTTGTATTTTTAATAAGCTCTTGCATGATCTAAATGTGTGTGTCTTCCTAAAATTCATGTGCTGAAATCCTATCTCCCAAGGTGATGATATTAGGAGACAGGGCCTTTTGGGAAGTTATTAGGTCATGAGAGAAGAACCCTGGTAAATGGTATTAGCACCCTTACAGAAAAGGCCCGAGGGAGCTCATTTGTCTTTCTACTGCGTGAAGATACAGCAAAAAGATGGTGTCATCTGTGAATTAGGGAGTAGGCCCTCATCAGACACCAATCTTGCACTTTCCAGCCTCCAGAACCATGAGAAATTCCTGTTGTTATGAGCTACCCAGTTGCTGGTATTTTGATACAGCAGCCTGAATGGACTAAAACAGCTCCCCAGGTGAATCTTAGAAAAGCCGCTTTCTCAACCTCAGCACTATTGACATTTTGGACCAAAGAACTTTTTGTGGTGGAAAGCTGTGTCCCGTACATCGTAGACTGTTAATAACATCCCTGGCCTCTCCTCACTAGATGCCAATAGCACTGCCCCTGAGGGATGACACCACAAAATAGCTCCTAATTAAAAACAACTACTCTTAAATTCAAGGATACATAATTAGGCTTTAATTGGGAAAGGAATAACTAAAAGTACATATGTTAGCACAAAATTTGGTCACTATTTTTCTATAAAAAATATAATGGAATAAATGTAAATCCATAAAATAGCTATGAAAGTCATAACATGATTTGTTTAATTAAAAATATGTAAGTAGAGCCTGTCTTATTTAAGTGAAACTTTTTTCAATCACTGCTGAATTAAGTTTTAATTTTGCAATAACTTACTGTTTGTTAACACTCGTGCCCATATAAGGCTGAGTATTTCTTTAGCATTTTAAAAGATCATAACTGTCTGATAGGAGCTATAAAGAAAAAGAACTGTCTTTTGTCTTCTTAACATTTCTCATCTCATGAGCGTTGAAGAACTTTTTCTTCCCAACCCCTCTCAACCTTTTTCCCATCCAGTTTATTAGTTCTTTGCTTCTAGCAAATATCTGCTGAATAGCATGCCACTCTTTATTCTCCACAAGTAAGACAGATAAAAAAAAGACCTGATTTTGAAACTCTCAGAGTCTGTATAAATCCCCATCATTATTACGTGAGTGCATGTGGGTATGTGTGTGTGTGTTTGTGTGTGTGTGTGTGTGTGTGTGTGTGTGTGTGTGTGTGTGTTCAGTGAGGGAAAATGTATTCTAACAACTATGCTTCTATGTTATGTACCAGTACTAATTCTCCTTTGAGCTCATATTTTATACTGAAGTTTATTCTTAAGGCAGTCTAGCAACAAAGCAGATGTGTATCTGTGGGTATCTTCAATTAATCATTTTATTTACTATACACAATCTTTCTTTTCCATCTGACCATTTAAAGACAAGTTTAGGCTTAAAATCACTTAAGGGAGGATTTTAAATATACAATTGACTCTTGAACAATGTGGAAGTTGGGGCACAGCCGCCCCTATGCAGTCAAAAATTTCTGTATAAGCTTTGACTACCCAAAAACTTGCCCTACCAATAGCCTATTGTTGACCATAACCCTTACTGACAACATAGTCAATTAACACTTATTTTGTATGTGATTATTATTTTATACCATATTCTTAAAATAAGCTAGAGAAAAGCAAATATTATCAAGAAAATCATAAGGAAGAGAAAATATATCTACTGTTCATTAAATGGAAGTGAATCATCATAAAGGTCTTTATTCTCATTGTCTTCATGATGAGTAGGTTGAGGAGAAAAAGGAAAAGGGGGGTTAGTCTTGCTATCTCAGGGGTGGCAGAGGCAGAAGAAAATGCACATATAAGTGGATCAACGTAGTTCATACCTTTGTGGCTCAAGGGTCAATTGTATACACATTCACTCCCTGACCATTGATCTCTAGTAACTGGTAACCCAGTTTGTATTGTATATGCCATTCTAAGTGGTTATGGTGCAATTACTCATTTGTAATTAAGTGTGCCCGGCTACTGCTAATATTTCCAATTCACAGACCATTCTAAAAGAAATGATCTACTGAACAAGGTTATAGTAGTCCTGTTAAAGTTGGCTAGAATACTGCTTATTCACTTTCATAGTCGTCAGGTAGCTTTTATTCAAGGTGGCAATATCACACAATGATGTGACAACATGGCCTTTAGAATGGGACAGACATGGGTTTGATTCTAGCTATGTGGCACCTTGAATTCTCTAAATCTTAATTTCTTCATTCACAAAACTGTGTGAACCTACCTTATAGATTTCTTGTTAAGATTAAATACATTAATATATGTAAAATGCTTAGCTCAGGGCTAGACCCATGGAAAACATTCAATTTTATAGTATCTATTATACTACTTCTTCTAATCTAAGAGATATTGTCTGTCACTTAGATACATATAGCTAAGTGATTGCCATAAAAATGAATGAGCAGTGTTCTGGCCAAATTTAACAGAACTATGACAACCCTGTTTGGTAAATTATTTCTTCTAGAATGATTGTTTTTCTTAATCTTAGGTAGACATATGGGCATGTCTATATCAGAAATGTGTTTGCCTGTTTATAGTAATATGTAGGTAACAGAAACTTACCTATAGCTATAAGTCACATTAAAATATTTAGGTGTGCTTTTTAAAAAGCACAGCAGAGACCTCTCTCTACAATAGTCTTTTGCTAACTAAGGAATAATGGGCCTTATTATTAGCTGGACTTATTCACGTGGTATACATTTTAAAGGCTTCATATTAAATATTTTCGGCATTATTGTAGCCACCAGGAAGTCCAGATATTTGACATATAATGGTTGCATATCAATTCAAGAGCTAATGGCTTAAAGAAAGAGAAAGTATAGGAAATTTAATCCTATCCCCCTATGTTGAATGATTATTGACTTACAGTTCTTACTTTGCTACCTATCTGCCAGAACTCAAACCAAAAAATGAGATTCAATTTGGTCTTCCAGAGAGATTAGTTTTCAGAAACATATTACAAAGTGCAAAAGGTTACACTCAATAAATTTCTAATAAGCACAGTATTGTAGATGATTCATTCAGTCTTTGAAATATATTCAAGCTCTTGCAAAACAATAATTAGCCATGCATTTCCTAATAAAAAAAATCAGAAGCTGCTATAGCATGATTTTAATAAAATATTTCACACTTTTTGATCATGACTTTTCATTCAGTGCAACTGAACAATCTTCATGTTTGACAGAACTTTTTTTGTTTTTCCCCATGCCAAAATGGGAGTAAAACTACATGTCTTTCTAACTAATTTAAATTCTATTTTTAATATGCTCATAACTTTGTAATAAGGCAACTTAAAGTATTAATATTTCTGTCCATAACTCATTGAAGTTGTTTGTTAGTGTTCTTTTCAACAAGAGACGAAGTAAGCCCTTTATAATGGCAATTCTGATTTCTTTTTAATCTGAGAATATGTGTCAGTTGAAAAATTGGAGTGAGGATCTCCAACTGAGAAGGAGAAGTTAAATTGAAAGCTAAATGCTTCAAGGCAGAATTATCATAGATTGCGCAAGCTCCTAGACACTTCAGAGAACATTTAAGTTCAATTTGGACCTACTAAAGAAATCAAACCTCAAAATTCAATTTTTAAAAATTTCTTAAATCTTTTAACAAAGACGGCAGGTCATTTTAAGCCATTTCAAAGAAAAAGATATAAAAAAAATGCACTCTTTCTAAATAAACTTGGCCATCTCTGTACAGAGACCCTCAAGCTGAAACTTTAAACCAAACAGGAAAAAGACCTAAATTTCTTACTTGATAAATTTGGATGATAGCAATGTACAGCTAGAGTCATTGGTGGTAACATTTGTGAGTTTAGAAAAATTATAAATGTGCAGAAAATTAACCTATTTTAATTTTCTTTTTTTATTTTAAAGAAAAGGCTGTTTTAAAGTATAGTAGTACAAAATGCAATAAAAGAAGTAAAGCAAATTTTATAAAGTTAACTTGACAGAACAAATAAAATCTCTCAATATACAGATGAGGGTAGATCAGAACATAAGGCGGAAAAAGCCAGCATCAACTTTGGTGTCTCTGCTGGGTCAAAAATGGCAATATTGGCTGGGCACGGTGGCTCACGCCTGTAATCCCAGCACTTTGGGAGGCCGAGGTGGGCGGATCATGAGGTCAGGAGATCGAGACCATCCTGGCTAACACAGTGAAACCCCGTCTCTACTAAAAATACAAAAAAAGTAGCTGGGTGTGGTGGCGGGCGCCTGTAGTCCCAGCTACTCGGGAGGCTGAGGCAGGAGAATGGCGTGAACCCAGGAGGGGGAGCTTGCGGTGAGCCGAGATCGCGCCACTGCACTCCAGCCTGGGCGACGAGCGAGACTCCATCTCAAAAAAAAAAAAAAGGCAATGCAATGTTGGGTTTGAAGTCAGTACAACGTGTTCTCTGTTGATAACTAGGCAGAACGCAAATTAATCAGATTTTCACAGGTTATAAAAAAAGAAAAGAAGTTTTTCTGTCTGGATTGCCTTTTCTTCCCATGGGAATGAGTGAAATTTCTAAAAAAACTGTAGAGTCAGGCAGATCTCTAACACCTACAGGCTTTATATCCTTGGATAAGACTTTTTTTTTTTTTTTTTTTTTTACATCGCCGTATCCTTATCTGAAAAAAAGACAGCAGCATGTACACTGAAGATTTTTATGGGAATTAAATGAGATAATGAAAAAAATATGTCCTAATGCTTGGCCTATAGTAATTATTATTTTTACCACCAATATTAACAATATAGGTATTGACTGGAGTTCTATAATGTTTAAAAATCTGAGGAAACTATTTTTTACATATGAGTAAATGTTGCAAAATTTTTGCAGTAGATGCAAAATGATAAGGAAAGCTCTGATGTTTCATAAAATTATGGCTTGGAAACATTCATAATACCAAAGGGTGTCTTTTTGTTATCAAAAGATAAATAATCCACTAGCTCTAAAAAATGAAGCAAATGTTTGTTTGTCTCTTTGAGGAAATTTCCTGTAATCAGGTGTGTAGTTTATTTCGTGTTGTGTTTTCTGTGATTGATTGAAGGGTTATTATCTATTAATCTGTAAGGAAAACATACTTCTCCCTTATTTGTGAAAGACGCATTTTCATCTGCAGCCACAGTATGTTATAGGGTGTCTGCCAATGGAATGTTCTTGCCAGCCTAGAGAGTAGAACAGAGTCTGTGCAAATATATTGGACCTGTAGTAAGGCTGTATATTTGAATAAAGATATTTCTTCAATAGCCATATTCAGCCACTTATATTTTATTTTTAATATTATGTGCTAAGTTCTCAGACCTTTAGAAATGTAGGTAAAAGGTAAATATGAGAGGAGAATTGAGGGAGTGAAGCATTCTCTTCTCTAATTTACATAAGCATTATAGGACTTCTGGATCTTTTACTTTCCCCCAAAGTTATATTGGTTTGCTCTGGATGACGCTTACCCTATTCATTTTTCCTTTAGTTTCTACCAGTGAGAATAGAAATTTTAAAAGAAATGCTGAGATGATTTATAGGTGTCACCACACCTCTGGCGTAAAAATATCATCTTCTGTGATATACCATTTAGGGGTATTTTATTATTTTATAACTTGTCAGGAAATTGCTGGAGTTTGACTTTTATTATGCTTGCATACTCATGTGAGAACTCATTGATAATCATAGAAAGAAACTCACAACATAAATTAAGGCAAAAAAGCAATCTTAAACCTGTCATTCAGGATTCAGAACACAGAGGAGGGACATGAACACTATATATTATATATATTTATATGTATTATATATAATTATATATTATATATAATTATATGTATTATATATGTATATATTATATATATGTGTGTATATATATCTATATGTATCTATATCTATATCTATATCTATATAATCCGGTATATCACTTTAAGATGAAGAGCTAGGAAATATTCCATAAATATGTTAAGTTATTTCAGGATACAGCCAGCTAGCCCCAAAATGTCACACTTGGACACCATGAAAGTAGTAAACTTGGTTCCATGTCTGAGGCAGTGGTGTTTAACAGGTGCTCACTGAAAAAATAAGGTCTACATACGTATTTCTCTCTATATATTTATTTATAAACTACTGATGTCAAGAATGTGTAGCACACAATTTATAAATACTAACAAAGTATGTTTATTGTAAATTTTGTATCATTAGTTTTCACAGAATGCCTTAATTTATGTAATATAGCTGTAGTTAGCCTATGGCTACAATTGACAGATTAGTGTAATGATAAGAGTATTGGTTGGTGGTTTTGTTTAGTTAACAGTAAGATGAATGTGAATCACTGAAAATGTACATTGGAATGTTATTTGGTCATGAGTAGTTAGTGATGAGTGTTTTCTTTTGTACATTGATAATAGTCTTTGAATATCAGAAGACTGTACTCTCAATTTTTATGCTGTTTAGAATATAATGACTATACAGCAAATAGGGCTTCACACTTTTAAGTTTAATCTTCATTATTAACATTTTCTCTGCTATCTTAATTCTAACAATCAATGAAACAATAAACCAAGCCTACATTTGTAGAATTTGCCAATTTCAGTGGTGTAAAGTCTCTCACTTTGACTGACATTAGGGCACCCATGTAACCTCATTAGATGCAGAGTTGGTAAGGATGCACACTGATTTATAATATTTCCACCATCCAGGTACAATAAACATGAGAAAACCTCAAGAGCTCAGATAACATTAAAATGTACTAAATAATTAAGTAATGAGCCTGAATATTTATTTTGTTTTCCATATAAGTTTATATCATATGAATTCTGAGTAATGGCTGTGTTTAATAAACAACTGGTCACAATATTCAAGGTTAAACTATTGGCTCTCATGAACTGGTAGAAGCTAGCTCCAGCATGCCACTGGTCTCAGGTTATGGTATCATAGTGACAACCCTCAATAACTGAAGTGGGAAATGGTTGAAACTAGTCATACTCCTTTGCTGACTCACCTTTACGTCTAATAGAGTTAACCTTATCATCCCTCTTGGGTTTTCTATTAATACATTTACATGGTCACTGCAGTCGTTACCAGGAAACTTGAAACCTTGAAGCCACATAATATTCAGACAAGGATATTTCTTTAAAATTATCTAATCCCAATGGGTGAATAATTTTCATCACAAAGACAAATTTTCTTAACGTAAAAACTATCTATTTATTATGTTTTATGATGTTCTTTGATGTGCATGTATGTCACTATTTCTCCAAAGAATTAGCAAATCTAGCAACCTTACACATTTTTCCTCTGTGCTAGATAATGTCAACTTTTCATGCAAAGAAATAGTCATTTTAGCCACTGAAAATACTTCAACAAGCTTCTGGATACGATTTCTTACCCTTACATAGTCTTTTTCATATTATTTATCTTATTAAATGGCTCTTCTGTCTACTAGTTATCCACAAAAGAAGTGTTGAGGTCATACTAATTTCCTCTTTTTCCTTCGTTCTTCAAAATTTGTAAGTTACTGAGACCTGGTGTTTTTTCTTCCTAAGTCTCATTGAATCCAAAATGCTGGAACAATGCCTGGGCCTACTAAACCCTCAAGGAATATATCATTCAGTAAGTTGACTTAGGCACAGACGAATAGAAGAAAGTCAATTAGTCTAGACTTTGTGGCAAAAGAGAAGGTTTACGTTTTTTATTTTAGCTGCCTGCAGTGGTGTACACTTGGAATGGTATTTAGTTCTACAAGAAAAATTTAAAATGAGAAATCTCAAAAAATATGGGAAAATGGGTGTTTTGTGACTGACACCTTTAGCCTTGTAGTTGTATCATCAAAAAAACACACATTTACAAAGAGATTTTAATGTTGTTTCTTTGATTTAATTTACCTATTTACTTAATACACACTAGAATAGAATGAGTGACATTTGGGACTAAATAATTTACTGCCAACATGACAGTATAATCCATTAATTTGAAAGCAGAGCTATCAGAGTTCTTACTACCACAGCCTTCATTGCTATACGGTACATAACATTTCCAAACAAGATACTACAGTCAAATGATATGCAGCGTGTGCTGAAATATTTCTTTTTTTTAAGTGTTTAGGGTTTTCTTAGAAGTTCGTAAGGGGGGAAAGTCATTCAGAAACCCCTCTAAAGCAGTAATTGTTCCATTTTTGTTTGTCATAGTCCCAGTTAAAAACTTATAAAGGCTTGGATACTTCTGAGAAAAACGAGTATCTGCATATAACAGACAATTTTGCATGAGATTTCAAGAAGTTTTACAGTCTACAGATTAAAAATCAATGCTCCAGAGAAACTGAGTTTTGGTAAACCTTGGTAAATAAAATTAATCAACATTAAATCAGGGGAGGGTTAATTCAATCCTTGGACAAGACAAGACTGTCCTAGCTCTGAGAATAAGCATGTTCCTGCTCAATGAATGAGAATGACATCTGAATAGGTATAGAAGTAAGGACAGAGTACAGGTCATGATCACGTTTACCTCTCCAGGGGATTTGCTAGGGCCTCCCTTGATTTCTGTTCTCAGATTTCATTAAGGATAGAATGAATTGTAAAGATATGTGGTTCAGATCCCAGAAAATAATTGCATCCTGACTGATTTATAGTGAAATAGGAACTATAAAGTCTCATTTAAGGTTTCTCTTTTACTACACGTATAAAAAGTAAATGGTAAAATTGTGCTCAGAATGCTACAAGCACATTGAGGATTCCAGTGACATGAACACACCACTTGTATTTTGCCTCTGTGGTTTATATTGTCCTCTGAACATTTCAATATAATTAGAGCCTTGTTATGTGCAGTAGGAAGATGCATAATTACTTTATAATGAACAGAAAGCTAGTGTAAGCTTTTAAAATGGCCATTTATGTTCTTATTATATCCCTACTCCTATTATCATATTCATAATAACCATCAGGGAAGTATATAGTAAGAAACTTAACTTTAAAACAGTCAAACAGTGTACCAAGATTTCATATGCTCAGCAAATGCATCATAGATACATTATGTAAATTTTTGATTACTAATTAAGGTAAGTGTGCTATTTGTATAATTTTAAGTCATTATAACATTGTTTACAACGGTCAAAGAAATGATGCTAAAGATGCAATTTCTTCTAAAAAATTCTGGAATACAAAAACCTTTTATTTACATTTAGATTTACTTTGAAATACATAACTCTTTGTGTACACAAAGGAATTTGGACAATCAGGACATTTTGAAGGAAAAAATAGCACAAGTAATGCAATTTTTGCCTTAAATATCCAACTAAAAAAAGATCATTTTTCTAAATACATATTCCAGGTAATTGTTGCATTTTTCTCTTGTTTCTGTATAGACATATTTATAATGATTTTTGCCAATTTCCTAAACCAAAGTATAAGTAACACTTCACCAATTGTTAGAACCAAATATAATGAAAGTTGGTTTTATAAAATGCCAGTGTATTATTCGTACATATCACACATACAAATGGGAAATAAAATAATGAATAAATTGAAATATGTGAATAATTTAAAGTAAGAAACCCTGTTTTCAGAAATACAATTTAAGGAAGAGAGGCTTTACTTAAGAAACAAACAAACCTGGGATTATACAGAGAGTCACTTCAATATTCTACCTCATTTAGCTAGTTAAGAGTATGGCATTTCTATAAAACAGGGTGCTTAATTCCTGTCCTATTGCTTTATTTTCCATTACTTAAATAAAATAAATTATTATTTGGCCTGAAAAGGCTGATGACATCAGACAATGTATTGAGAAATATAAATGAGAGACATAAAGGCTTTATCAGTTAGTGTTTTTATCTCAAAAAATTATGTGACTTCTATTTCAGTAAACAAATACATTCAATACTCAAATCGAATGTGAAGAAGGGAAAGGAGGAGAGCAAGATGATGTGTTGTATTTGGTGGTGGAGAGTTACTGGAGAGAAATATTTTATTAGATCATAAATGTTCTCATACCATGTGGTGGCTTTGTAGTGTGTCAACTTGGCTAGACTGAAGAACATTTCCCAGAATTCCCTTCACTGTGGGTTCCACTTAGGGTGGGCAACAAGGAAGATTACTGTGGGGCTCATGGAGGGCAGAAGTGAAGCAGCAACTATGCTATCATTCAGACATTCTGGCAATTACCTGCTGGCTGATCTCATTGGAGTGAGGCTTAATCCAGACCTACAACTTCTTCCACTTAATATTCAATTATCCTCCTTCAGCTTCTACGACACCTAGGCTCAAGGACAATGGACCTCAGCTTCTACAGGACACCAATGCCTTCAAGGTCACAGATAGCAAGAGATGATATAGGTTATGATCCATTCTTGTGGGCTCAAACTCATGATTGGGAGCTCATCCTTGCTCTCTACTATTTTATATCCATCTTCCCTTCTCTGCTTTCTGCCCTGCAGACTTTAAGCTCTAGCAAAGCTTGAAGAAAGACAACAGAAACTGCTTAAACATCTCTCACAATTGTATAACATCAAATCTATATAACGAATCCCTTCATATACAAGTATATATTCTAGCAGTTCTTAAATGATTACAATATGACTGATAAACATCAGCACTAGAAATTCTTGTATTTTTCTCATTTTGAAATAACTGTCCCACAAATACAAGTAATATTTTGCTTGCATTGTCACTATTATAAGAGTCATATTTTATGTTTATCTCATTGGGTGTATTCTTATTTGCAGAAGTATTCACTCATATTGTTAAACGTTTTCCATGGAGTCTGGAACTTGGAGTTGGACTAATCGTGATGTTACAATCTCAACAAGCAAAATGTAACTTCATACCCATTTAAGTTAGGCAGAAATATGTTTATCAGTTGAAAAACAGCTTTCACTTTAAATAGAAAAATGAGGAGAGTAAATTTATAAGATGAAATGTTGGCTAACCCATAATTAGTAAATGAGAAGTTTAAAAAATTAGGCACACCATAAAATAAGAGCGCAGGGAATTTCTGAGTTAGTTTTAAAAAAATACTGCTTTTTCATGCAAAGAAATGGAAATTTATATGTACTCAATTGTACATTGTAATAATACCCAAGGGAATCGCCTTTTAATGCAAATTGTATCTCCAGTTCTGCATCCCTTAGGGAAAACTCTTGTTGTATGACTAGAAAATGTTGCAGCATATGTGCAAACTGGTAAATATTAGCCAAACCAAAAAGGGAAAACTCTTTCAATTACTTCAAGAAGAAAGCAAAGGCATCACTCTCTACTCAGGTATAAGGACTAGAATAAACTAGTTATGTATGGAAGACAGAATAATGGCCCTCAAAGATGCCTGCATCCTCATCCGTAAAACTTGTGACTGTGTTATCTTATGGCAATAGAAAATTAAAATTGCAAATAGAATTAAGATGACTAATCAGCTGATTTTAAAATAAGGAGATTGTTATGGATAATCTGGATGGGCTCACTGTGATTGCCGGGGTCCTTAAATGAGAAGAGAAAAGCAGAAGAGTCAGAACCAGAGAGAGCATCACAAGAAGGAGCAGATCAGCCATGCTGGCTGCTGGCTGTGAAGATGGAAGGGAGACACAGGCCAAAGAATGTGGGTGGCCTCCTGAAGCTGGAATAGGAAAGGAAACTGATTCCCCCTTACAGCCTTCTGAAGAAACACAATCTTGCTGATACCTGGATTTTAGCCAGTGAGACACATTTCAGACCTTCCACCTCCAGAACTGTAGGATAATAAGCTTGTGTTGTTTTAATGCATCAAGTTACTTGCAAATTTTTTAACAGTAATAGAAACCTAATACACATGATATCAGAACAAAATGAGTGATTGAAGTCAGCAGCTTTCAAATAATGTGTGCTCACATCAGCTTTATCAACCCTACCGAAAGTGAAGAGAGAAAATAGGAATAAATGTGCAGTTAGATGAAATTCACATAAAGGTAAATGTTCCCATATTGAGAAAATCATAAGGAAATTCTGTATTCCCAGGCTTCTGGCTTTTATAAAAGAAAAAAGTCTTTTAAAAAAGAAGAAAAAATAAATTAACATGTGCAACAGTAACTTATATCTCCATGTCCCCCACTGCATTATATCCTTTGATTATGCCAAGTTCATTTCAGCTCAATGTAGATTAAATCGAATGGTGACATTCCCAACTGGACCACCAGATGGAATCACATTTTAATTAACTTTTCAACCAGCATACAGATGTGCTTCTTGTGATCATTATCAAGAAATCATTTTCTTTCAGCAAAATGAGAAGCCCTGGTGGCAGATTGTAACTTACAATGATTGATCACATCATGAGATCATTAACCTTAAAATGCTCTTAATCATTTATTGACCAAATGAAAAAAAAGCTTATAAACCAGTATTGAATATATCTAAGGCACATTATCATGTACCTTTTGGAAGATTAAGTTAAAGGAAATATTTTTACAATAAAATAATAATTGGTATGTGTGTATTATGTTATTGACTTCCAAAAGAGTCACATGGCTTCTGAATTTAAGCTTCCATACATTAATAAACCAATATACCATTAAAAAAAAAAGGTCTCTACTTTCCAAACCCTTACACACTGAAAAAGAAACCAGCATGAATAATTTATCCTTATGTAGGAAAAAAAAAAGTGAATATTAATGAGCTCTAAAAGATAATTGAAAATACATAGAAAGAATGAAACTTTATATTATAAAACTTATTACTTTGATGCTTCAGTTCTTTTCAAGATATAACGGGAACTCTAGTATCTAGAACTCTAGTAACTAATAATACTAGTAATAAGAAGCCTTTCCTAATATTTAAAAACCTTTTATTTGCTTATTCCAAATTTCATAAGTGAATATCAATTTGCAAAATGTTTATATTATCAGTTATTGAGTTACAATAATATGTTCAATATCAAAGAAAAAAACAAGAGGCATCTGTCTGAAAAGTTTTAGGCTGTGAGAAAATACAAGGCAGGCATTTTAGGAGGTCAGAACCAAGCCCACGTTATTCAGTGTATCTTTCAAGGTGTCAAGGTGGACAGCATTTCATTATTCATTTCATCTTTACTCATAAAAGTTACAACATGTGTATTAACCTAGGCATGAAATGTTCACTGACTGAATTGTAATTGCAATTTAGGCTTCTGTCCTTCAGGGAAATTGGGATTCTTTTTATAGCACTGTGGGTAACCATGGAAAAGACAGCTAAACACTCAGGATCTCAGTTTATTTATCAGAGAAATGAGGAATTTTTTTTGAATTTTAATTAATACCTTAGCCCCCTTTTTAAATAAAATATCACATACGACAGTCTAGTTCTTAAAGCTGACAATAGTGGAATGTCCTTGGTTGAACTGGATCTGGGATGTGGAGACTGGACCCCACTCACATTGTCTTGGTCTTCCCCTGAAGCACCTAAGATGTGAGATTGGAAATCACTGTGTCTCCAGCCCAGCCCGGTCCAGCTGTCTTGTCTGAATGTAACTTTTTGGAATTATCAAGACAGAAGCAATGGCACCCCCAGCTGGGGCCTTCTGCCTTCCAGACTCCCTCATCCCTCAGCCAAGTGACTGGCCCAGGAAATCTGACTATGAAAATATTTGTTTTGGAATTAAAATATTCTAGAAAGAGAAAAATAATGAAAAAGAAAACAGGTAGAAAAGGAAACTACTGGATTAAAAAATGAATAAAACTTCTAGCTTTAATAACTGGTATTTTATTTCCATCTCTAAAAATCTCATCATGCATTTTTTTACTATACGTAAACAGAAAAATTAAATCATGAAATTAACTTTTACACGGAAATGATTACTCTGAAATATCATTTTGACCCTATTAATAGGCTGGACTCAAGCTCCCTGTGAACGAATGACATCTTAGCACAGTGAGGCATGCTAATGCTCCAGTCCTTAGCGTAACTCAACCATTCTTTTGTCTTGAAGCCAAAATGGCTATTTAATTCAAAGGCCATTTAGTCAAACAAATATGAAATAAATTCTTAAAAATTTACGATCAGATAGGTCAACAGAACCCTTAAATTCATTTGTAATAGTTGCTTCTCAAGCTATGAAGGCAAGATTGGACTAGTTTTGTGTTTCTATGGTGTTTCTATTTTTTTTCAAAGAACTATTTTTCTTTTCCATGTTTGCTGTTCCTGAGCTTATTAGCAACAAACAAAAAAATTACTTATCTTCTTAGGCAATATTCTCTTCAGCTTTCCCTAAACAGGCATCCTTAGGATATAAAAAATGACATCATTATTACAGACTCAAAATAGGGATGGGCAGAGGATCTGAATAACAAGCTGGATGTAGCCCAATCAGTATTGCTAATGTTCAGGATGTCCACATTTTCCCTGAGGTTTATTCAGAAATTCATTGGCAGTAACTGTACACTAACACAATTTAGTGTTTGGGTGAGGTCCCTGGTTTTTTCCTAGTTTCACGGTTCTTCAAGTCTCTTCACATGGAGACACCAACAGAATGCCAGGACATGGGAGAAGCAACCATGGAAACTCAAGGTTGCACACATATGATCTCTCTAATTCCAGAAAGAATGTTGAGAATGAGTTTGTGTTTGCCAGTTTACACAATGATCTTCTCCCCAGGGACTAAACTTTGCAAACGTTACTGATTTAACAAAGATTTTGATGTAGGAAAAGTTGAGTTTAAGGAAAAAATATTTCAATTTCCATTTTCATTTTTAGTGTGATTCTTAAATCCATGTAAGTCTTCAATACAACAAAGATGGGCAGCCCATTTCTTCTCCATCCTCTTGTGTATGGCCAATTAGTTTCTGAAGAAATAAATTTAAAGCCTTTTGAAAAAATATATCCATTTCTTTTTTTTCTCATATCCTGGCTTTCTTTCATTTGAGATATTTCTGCTTTTTCTTTAGACATATCACAAAATATCAGAATTCTAAACAAATTTACTTTAGGAATCTGAATATAAACAGGATGCTTATACTAGACACCTGAATATAAAACATTTCATTCAAATTTTACTTTATTATTCTCAGAACACATGAAAGTTAGAGAATTAGAGTCCCAAATATTGTTTTTCTCCTGCTCATTTTCTTTGTCTTTTCCTTTTTTTTTTTTTTTTTTTTTTTTTTGAGACAGAGTCTCGCTCTGTCGCCCAGGCTGGAGTACAGTGGCGCTATCTCGGCTCACTGCAACCTCTGCCTCCTGGTTCAAGTGATTCTCCTGCCTCAGCATCCCTAGTAGCTGGGACTACAGGCACGTGCCACCACGCCCAGCTAATAATTTGTATTTTTTTTTTAATAGAGACAGGGTTTCACCGTGTTGGCCAGGATAGTCTCGATCTCCTGACCTTGTGATCCACCCACCTCGGCCTCCCAAAGTGCTGGGATTACAGGCATGAGCCACCATGCCTGGCCTTCTGCTCATTTTCTTAACTGACTTCCTTCTGTACCCATGATCTCTCTATACTGGTGTAGTAGATAGTGCCCTGGAGTAAGAATTAAACAAATAGGATTACATTCTGGCTCCAGCTCTATAACTTTGGACAAAGTATTTTTCTACTTTGTGTCTCAATGTTCAACCTTGTACGTGGGCTTCTGTGATGGTCTAAACAGAAACTGTATGTGAAAGTATCAAAGTTACTATGTCTGTTAAGTAGTATTTGAGTTGCTTTGAAAAAGTCACAAATATCCTTAAAATGACAAGCATTTAGAAAGCTTAGGCAATTGCTGCATACACAGGGCAAGGTCAAATTATATAATAGAATAAAATATATTTCACTGCTTATTAGAGGGGGTGAGATTGGCACCAGTATATCTGTGAATTGTAGGTAAAGCCCAGTAATTTGAGTTCAACTGATAATTCAACATTGGTAATATCGCTTACTTCCCTAGGAAGACAAAGTTCATGTACACCTTTACATAGTTGTCTATATGTTCCAGGGGATCTCTCATTTAGCACCAGTGTTATTGAGCTTGCTCAGTTTTCTGTCAAAAATTTATATTCTTTGCTGTCTCTGTTATTATAACAAAAATACAGCATGGCTTCCATACTTATTTTGGTGATCTTCTTTTTCTTTTCAGATGTCCAGTAGTTCAAGGTTCAACTTTGGATCTTTTTCCTTCAGGAAAAAAAAAAAAAAGGGATCTTTGCCCTTTGGTTTACTTTTTATCTTTTCCTGCATGATCTGTCCAAAATGTTAGTGTCATACCCAACAAGACAGTTGTCTTCACTGCTGGGGTTAAGTTTGAAATTAAATTTACAGAGAAAACTAAGAGCCCTGGTATTATTAGGGATTCAACATGCAACATCTCTTAAGTTGATGTTTGCCAACTATAATATTTTAGGTAGGCTGGCAGAGTAGGCTTTACCTGCTATGAGAAATCTCCATCACCAGCCTCATGATGTGGTGTACTTTAAAAAGAAGGACAAAAAGTTTATTAGCTGTGGTATACGACTTCCTGTGTGCTATAAGCTAATCAGTAGGGGGCAGCAATCTCCCTGTACATATTTTATTGGCTTGGAATTTAGAATACATCTAAACGGTTTGAGAAATGTCTGTACCTTTCTTAACAGCAACACTATTGACATACTGGACAAGATAATTATTTGCTGTGAGGGGCTATCTTTGCATTGTAGATACTTAGCAGTATCTCCTGCCTCTGCCAACTAGGTGGCACCACCACCACACCCCTACTAAGATAGGAAAACTAAAAATGTCTTCAGACATTGCCGAATGTCCCCTTGGGGGCAAAATCATCCCTAGGAAAATCATTAGTCTAAAACTTAAATGGATAGTGAGACTAGGGGCAAAATTGCAGTTCATCCGTTGAATCTTTGCCGTCTCCTTTCTGCTTCCTTCTCCCCTCTTCATTCTCCCCTCAAGACTGCTTCCTTTTCTATTTGCCTTCAGGGTCCCGTGTTTTAACTTACTTTGTCTGTCCTTCTGTTATTAAAACCTAATCTCAATGCTTTTGAACTCTTTTTCCTGTGTAAGTGTAAAGTGATATTTTTGCACTTTATCTAAAAAAAAAAGAGTCTTTAACAGGTTTAAATCAAATCAATAAAATTTTAATTGTGGAATTTTAGGTGTTGAGGCTTAGCGTGGTCTTGGATTTAGGTGATGGGAAGAATGGATGGTGCAAAAAAAGATTGATTTAACTTTCTCCCCAACAAATCTCTAGAATGCAACCAGTAATCTGAGTAATCTACATCTTATCAGCTTTTCATTATTACGGAGGTCATATTATCAGTAATAACTAATTTATTCACTGACATATGATCCCATCTGAAGAATCCAGGATGTCTATTCTTGCAAATTTCACCCTATGTAATAGGTATTTGTTGTTTTCACTTCCAATTTTTATTCTATTATCTTCCAGTAATAGCTACAGATTTCATTTTGAATAAACTCCTCTTCCATTATTGGTTCAAGTGATCTGAAAGGGGAGAAGCCCCTTCTAGCTGAAGGTCTGATGCCCACAACACAAATATAATCCAATAAGAGTGGAGATTTTGGCTTATAGGGATAGAGGAAAGCTTTTGTTCTTGCTCGGCTTGAACCAAGAGTAATATAAGTTTGGAGCTATTGCAGCTATCTGGGATCTAAGAATGAAATCACACATGGAAGAGAACAAAGCTTAGCAACAAGGAGGGCCATCTATTCCTGATAACAATGTTGACCTTCCAAAAGCAACCCAACACTGGGCCTTTCAGTCATGAGTCAATGAATTCTTTTTCATCCCTTGCAACCAAGAGTCTTACTGAACTGAAACATTTAGTTATTTCTGGTAGTCCTTTGAGGTATCTCTTGTTTGCTCACAAACAATCTTTTCCTCTGCTCCAGGTCCCCTAAGTGATGTCTGCTCTTCTGCCGCTATTGCTGTTCATTCTGGAATTGACACAATAATGCCAGTGTTTATGCCAAAGGTGATATTGCTCAGTGTTCCCAAGCCAGCAAACACCCATCCTAACAACATTGCCTTCTCTAGAGTCTTGGTGTGTTGTAACTATAGTAGAATAAGAAGAAAACTACCTTGCTTGCTCTTTGTCTATTGTCACAAATATTCTTTTGAATATTAAAACAGTGTTACTTTTTCTTACAGGGACCCTAATAGAAATACTTCTTTCAGCTCCCGTCTTTAGGTCCAGCCATGATATTAATGAACTAGTAAGGCTCAGAGTTTAAGGGTTTGGTCTTGTCTAGGCTTTCTCTCACCCCCCATCCCAGGTTTCTCAGGCTATTTATGACAATATCTTCTCTCCTACAGACAACTTTCCATGACAATGGAGCTGTGGTGATTAAAAAAATAGAAAAAAGAGAGAATAAATAGCACATTGTTCTTCAAAAAGCAGACACTAAAATTGGGCATAATAGTACTTTTAACATTGTTTAAAATACATATTCATTATCTTTATTAATTGTTCCTTACAGTAAAACCATTTGGAGTAGTCTTTTTTCATAAAATATTCTTCATGAAGCAAAAATAATAATAATAATAGAAAAAAAAGCAATCGTAGGTTCAGGAAAAGGCATTTCCTGGAACATTAAATAACTAAAATGCTAAATTTGAAATTTTTAAAACCTCATAGTATCCTAATCCAGAAAGAAACCTAAGGGATCATCTAGTTCAAATAAGTCATTTTATTTTATTTTGTTATTTTATTTTGTTATTTTATTAAATAACGAGTAGATGCAGAAGAATATCCATGAAATATGGGTATATGTGTGTGTTCAAAAGAATACATGGTAACAAAGCCTCATATACCATTCTGTTGAAGAAAATTGCCATTAAGTGTGCATACCTTCAGTGTTACTGGCAATGAAAATTTATTTTGCAAAGTAGTTGTAAAAATTTAAATTTTCCCTAGCAGGGTACTAGTGATAGCAATGCATTCTTGCCAAGATTTGATGTTGTCGAACTCTAGTTTTCAACAACATAGTGGGAATAGGATGACAGCTATGAATTTGGATTCTATTTTATAATAACAAATGAAGTTGAATAGCTTCAAACATTTATCAAACATTTGTGATTTTTCTTCTTTGATTACCTATTTAGACTATTTTGCCAATTTTTCCACACAGTGCTTTTGTCATTCAGAAAATTCTAGGAGTAATTATGAATATCCTGTATACTAATCCTATGTTGGTTATATATTCTACAAACACTGTATCTATTTGTGACTTGTCTCTTCTTTTTATAATAATAATGCTTAAAGCTTATATAGCACTTATCACAATTTTTAAAAATGCCTGAAAACAAAGAAACTGAGGCTAAAGTCACACAACTACTAAACAGTGAAATGAAAAATTAAAGCCAAGTAGGCTGGCTTCAGAATCTATGTGCTTGTGTTGTATACCACACTGCCTTCCTATGGTGTCGTTGTGATATCTTTTGTTCAACAGAAATGATTAGAATAATGTCATCCAAGTTGAACTCTTTTCTCCACAGGTTTCACAATTGTAAGTTAATTTTAAAAAACCTTTCCCATTTAGAATCATGAAATTATTTTCTTATGTTGCCTTCTAAACATTTTATACTTGTTTTCTATTGCATTTAGGTGTTGCATTTACTTTGGATTGATTTTTGGATGTCGTATAAGATAGCAGTCCAATGCTGAATTTTTTTCTAAATAGATGACACATTATTACAGCCGTCTTCACAGAAAAATTCCACTATGAGTTATAAGTCCCTATTATGAGTTATTTCCATCATGTGTCCAGATATTTATCATCTACCTATTCACTTCCAAAGGAAATTTTTTTATATTGTGCACATTTCACCTAACTTTAATTACTACTGTTGGAAGAGAGTTATCGCTATCCAGTAAGGCAAGTCCTCCCATCTAGTTTCTCTTCTTTAAGATGGCCTTGACTCTTCTTTGTCTTTATTTCTTCCATATACATCCTGCAAACAGCTGGGGAATTTCCTCATCACACACACACACACACACACACGTGCACATGTGTGTTGGGATATTTTATTGGAAATACATTAAATACCTACTTGAGGAGAAGTGACATCCTTCAATATTGTGTCTTTCAGTCAGGAATGTTAAGTGCATTTCTCTGTTTAAGTCTGTCTTTACTGTCTTTCAATAAAACTTCACAAGTCCATTTTTATAATTTTTTCATTAAGTTCTTGTTTAATGTTTTCTAGGTCATATATTATAATTTTTGGTAATGTATAAAATTGTGTTTTATTACAGTATTTTGATTTTGTATGCATAAACCTTCTAAATCTTTTAAAATTAATTATATTAATTTTCCTACATAATCTTTTTTTCTATATAAACTTGCATTCTCTACATATTAAAAAAAATGGTGGTTTGATTCCCTTCCTATCCAATCCTTATGCCTTTTATTTATTTTTTTCATGTATTATTGCATAGCTTAGACTCCAGGACGATGTTACATAGAAATGGTAATAAAGCCTAGCACAGTGACACATGCCCGTAGTCCCAGCTACTCGGGATACTAAGGCAGGAGATTTGCTTGAGGCCAGGAGTTTGAGGCTATAATGAGCTATGATCACACCTGTAGTTACTGCACTCTCCAACATGGCCAATATAGAGGGACTCTGTCTCAAACACACACACACACACACACACACACACACACACACACACAAAGTGGTAATAGCTGACACCTCTGTCGTGTTCTTTATCTTGAAGTGAGTGTTTTCAGTATTACACCATTAAGTATGAGATAAATATGCTCTTTTTGTGGTCATTCTTCCATCAGTTAAGCAAATTTTATTATCTTTCTATTTTGAAAATAATTTTTATCATGAATTGATGCTAAAGTTCAATAATTTTTTTCCTTTACATCTTTTAGGACATTATTTTATTCTTGAATTTGTTAATGTGGTAAAACATAAATTTTTTAAAATTTAATCTAATCTTACATACCAGAGAGAAATACAGAATGGTCAATTTTATTATCTTCTACATTAGTGGATTTAGTTTGCCACTACTGTGTTTATAATTTTGCTCCTTTGTTCAAGAATTAAGTTGTCCTTTCATTTTTCTCCCCTAAATATTCTACTGTGGGTATCAAGGTTATGCTAACTTCATAAAATGAGACAAAGTGGTTCTTTGTTATTCTCTGGAGGAGTTTGTGTGTGCTTGAAATTATTTGCCCATATAAGTTTGGAATAACTCAATGGCAAAGCCATCTGGGCCTTATGGTCTCTTTGTCAGATACGTTTATTTATTTATTTATTTATTTATTTATTTATTTATTTATTTTTTGAGACAGAGTCTTGCTCTGTCACCCAGGCTGGAGTGCAGTGGCGCGATCTCAGCTCACTGCAACCTCCGCCTCCTGGGTTCAAGCGATTCTCCTGCCCCAGCCTCCTGAGTAGCTGGGACTACAGCTGCCTGCCACCACACCTGGCTAATTTTTTGTATTTTTATTAGAGATGGGGTTTCACCGTGTTAGCCAGGATGGTCTCGATCTCCTGACCTCATGATCCGCCCGCCTCGGCCTCCCAAATTGCTGGGATTACAGGCATGAGCCACCACGCCTGGCCCTGTCAAATATGTTTATTGATTCAGTGTCTCTGATGGTTACAAAGTGTTTTGGCCTAGGATTCCTAGGGAGCAGAATAGGCTGAGACCATTCATTCACAAAAATGAGGAGTGATGGACAAGAAGAAGTAAATAGAGAAAGAGGAAGAGATCTTTTTTTTTTTCAAGACAGTCTCACTCTGTCACCCAGGCTGGAGTGCAATGGCACGATCTCAGCTCACTGCAACCTTTGCCTCCCACGTTCAAGTAATTCTTCTGCCTCAGCCTCCTGATTAGCTGGGACTACAGGCATGCACCACCATGCCCGGCTAATTTTTTTGTATTTTTTTTTTAACAAAGATAGGGTTTCACAATGTCAGTCTGGCTGGTCTCAAACTCCTCACTTCAAATGATCTGCCTGCCTCGGCCTCCCGAAGTGGGGATCACAGGTGTGAGTCACCACACCTGGCCTAATATTTGAACATCTTACTGAGATAGCCACTGTTAAGTGCTTCTGCTTGGCTGATTCCACAAAATAGGCTCTTAGAAGCTGTCTAACCACATCATATTATCAACTCAATAGATTCAGAAAATGTGTTTAATAAAATTTGATAGCTATTTATGACAAAAATTATCAGCAAACTAGGAATAGAAAAGAGATATTCCCCCAATTTGATAAAGACCATCTACAAATAGTTACAGCTGATGTTGTGCATGGTGGTAAAGGCAAACTGCATAAGGTATAGAAAAGGCAAAGATGATCACCCTCATCACTTCTATTAATATTCAATATTTTACTGGATTTCCAGGGCAAGAAGGCAGTACAAAAAGAAAAGCCATAAAAATTGGAAAACAAGAAGCAAACCTGATTTTATTTTTAGATGACCTGATTGTTTGCAAGGGTATTCCAAGGAATAAAAAAACAAAAACAAAAACAAAAACAAAAAACAGAAAAAAAAAGCAATACTAGAAACAGTAAGTGAATTTAGAAAGGTCAGTAATGATGTTAGTGTACAAAAAATTAATTATGTTTATATACTCAGAAAAAGATAACTTAAAATGAAATCGTGAAATCAATACCACTTACAATAGCATTAAAATATAAAATTCTCAGGAATAAGTTTAATAAAAAGATACAAGATCAGTATACTGAAAACAATGAGCAACTACAGGGAAAAAAAGATTTAAATAAATATAAAAAGATACACCACATTTATAGACTAAAGAAAAGGAATATTACCAACACCTGTTAGAAAAGGCAATCATATGTAGCTCTTGACCCTTACACGTTCACATGAATGGCTTCAAGCCTGAAGCATTTCCTTACAAAGAGATGAAGAGCCCTCACAACCTATGTGGAGCATCTCTCTTTATTTGGTGATGTATTTGTTATTTTAGTCTTAATATGTACTTCTTTGTTCTGCTCAAGCATATGTGTCAATGGGCGGGGGGGCTGTGCCACCCTGCTGCTATATCTGTTTCCACCAGGGAGGGAACTAGATCTTTTTGTGATAGCAGGAAATGGGATGTGTGCAGCCACACTGCTCACATAGGCTTGAAAGGCGATCCCTGGCCCTGAGGGATGGATCACCTGGCAATGGGCCAGATCTAGTAACCTTTCTCTCTGTTCTTTCCATACATAAATGCTGTCTTACTTGAGCCTGGCAGGCACATTGTCTGTTCTCAGCAACTCAGAATTATGCAGTAAGCTCTTCCCTGTTGGCATGCAGCCTGATCACTTGAGGAACAGTGAATCAATACCAGCTATCCCCAGTATGACTGTAGTTTCAATGCAATACCTTTAATTATGCCAGCGAGCTTGTGGGATCTTTTTTTTTTTTTTTTTGGTAGAAATTAACAAGCTGATTCTAAAACATATATAAAAATACAAAGGACCTAGAATAGTTAAATGTAGCCTTTACCTCATTCTCTTGTCTAGTCAGATATTTGTTAGATGTTCTCACTCAGTCATCTGTGGGGGATTGAACAGAGTGGTGGGAAAAACTATAGGGAAAGGACGCAAATCTTCTGAAAGATCAGAAGGTTCTGTAGAGCCCCAGGGGGAGAATAGCTGAAGGTAGCTGTTCTATAACCCTGAGGCAGAGGGCAAGGAGTAAGTACAAGGGAATGTGGGGGAATGTATCCTTAACAGGCTTGTTTACTTATGTTGACCAGGAAATGACCTTTGACCATCCAGGCACATGACTTTCCCTGAAAGGGGAACAATAAATGTTAATTACCTACAGGTTGTGTGGGCTCCAGGTTTTTGGCATTGTACCTGCACTGAATAAAAGCAAGCAGCTCCAGCTTCTCGGGGCTGCTCTCTGGCCACTAGAGTCAGACAGTCACCTAGCTGCTCTTATACCGCATACCTGTGTCTGAGTACTCATTTCATCCGTTGGCCAGGGTCCACGGGACAGACCCAGCAGTTGTCCAGGTCTCTAAATGTCTTTGTTATATTTCTTTCTGTTTTCTGTATTCTTTGTAAATTCTTTCACTGTATAACTTTCAGCTAACTAATTCTCTTATCAGTGGCATCTAATTTATTGTTATGTGAGTTTTTAAATTTCAGTTGTTATATTGTTATGTTATTTTAGCTCTAGAAGTTCAATTTGGTCCTCTTGTTCCATTTTTCTAGGAATCTGCCTGATATTTTTTCCTTCTTGACTTATATATTCAATCCCGTCATTTATGTTATTAAACATTTTGAGCATATGGCTTGTCTCACACTACCAGATTTCAAAGGCTTTGCATGTCAAATTCAACTGTCAGCAAATTCACTGGGTCTTACATGATAGCTTGTTTTCTTGTGAATTTCGAGTTTTGACTGTGAGCTTATATATCTTGGAACGTACCTGTGGGAATTATTTTGAGACCTAAACGGGAGTTCCATCAGAGAAAATTTATATTTGTTTCTGCCAGTACCTCGGGTCACTACAGCTTGGGATCACTTTACAATAAATTCTCAGCTTGAGGTATTTTGTTCCAGTCAGCTAATGTAGATTCAGGCTGGCAATAGTTACAAATTCTCAAAGGAGAATATTTTTCCCCTCATCTAAGTGTCATGGTTTGTGAAAGACAATTTTCTTTGTAGTACGGTGAAAGGACATGAAACATTTCCTTTTTGTCATGACACTGACAGTGCAGCCCCTTAACGTTGCAGATTATACATTTCTCTCCTATTCGACGGTACCATTGGCAGACCCTGAACTTTGTTCCCTTTACCTCAGCAAAGTGTTGTACTAGAAACTGCTGATCAAGTTCACCCAGCTTTGAAAATGTGCTCAAGATCAAAGACAAGCTTCAGTGGTCAACTTACGTCTCCGGATTTGCGCTTTCATTTAGTTTTTAGCCTCTGAGAAAGGAGCCTCAATCCCCAAAATTCCCTCACTGCTGATACACAATGATGAGGATGATGGCTCATGAGGTGAAGTGATTCCATCAGCTTATGGGTAGCACGATACAGATGTCAGTCACATTAGCCCATATTTCTAAGAAAACAAAGCCTCAGTCAAAATATTACATGCTGATATATTATCAGAATGTGTTTCCAAAAAAATCATGAAAAAGAAAATGGAGGCATGGGAAAAGGGAGAGCAAAAAACCAGAGTGTGCGAACAGGATACTGCAGGAATACAAAATGGTACAGCCATCATGGAAGTCAGTTTGGCTGTTTGTTACAAAACTAAATATAACTGTTATCACACCATCCAGAAATCCATTCGTTGGTATTTACCAGCATGAGCTGAAAACTTATTTCCACAAAAAAAAACCCTGCACATAAATGTTTGTGTCAGCTTTATGCATAATTGTCAAAACTTAGAAGCCACCAAATGTCCCCGCTGGGTGAATGGATAGATAAGCTGTGGTACCTACAGACAATGGAATATTATTCAGCGCCAAAAAGAATGAGCTCTCAAGCCATAAAAAGACATAGAGGAAACTTAAATGCACGTGACTGAATAAAAAAGACAATCTGAAAAGGCTATGTACTGTTTGAGTTCAACTACACCTATTCTAGAAAACGCAAAACTAGATAAAAGTGAAAAGAGCCATGGTGTCCAGGGATTAAGAGGAAGGGAAGAAAGAATAGGCAGAGCACAGAGAATTTTTAGGGCAGTGAAACTGCTGTGTATTATACTGTAAAGATGGATCTATGTCATTATACATTTGTCCAAACCCATAGAATGAACAACACCAAGAATAAACTCTAATGTAAAATATAGACTTTGGGTGATGTGTCAGTGTACGTTCACTGATGTAACAAATGTACCACTCTGGTGGGGGGTGTTGATAATGGGGGAGGCTATGCACTTGTGGCAGTAAGAGGAATATGGGAAATCTGTGTGCTTTCCCTTCAATTTTACCATGAACCTAAAACGGCTCTAAAAAATAAAGTCTCTTTTTTTTTTTAAACTATAAGACTATGCATTACTAAACTGACCAGCTTCAAAACAACCCAGCTTCTGTAAGGTGAAAAGAAATTCCTAAACTCCTCGGAGGAAAGCAACAGTGCCATCCATGCAGGATGCTCACTTGCTTTTACATTGCTAGCTCCTGGGAGTTATCTCATGGCATGTTGTTGGATGAGCAATTGGAGAATGTAAATTTTGATTAGATGTTTTATTGTTTGAGGGTAAAAGGTGAGGAGATAAGAGGGATCCATATTGAGCTATTTGAGAACTGCTTCTCAGGACTCAGTATACTTACCTGCTAGCTGGAGTGTGTCCCTGGCGCTCCTCCAGCATGATGACCTCATTCAGAGCTCTTCCCTTGTGTATTTGTATCAGCGGGGTCGAGTATGTTACCTACTACACGTGCCTTAAAAAACAAGCATGGTGGCTGGGCATGGTGGCTCATGCCTGTAATCCCAGCACTTTGGGAGGCTGAGGCCGGTGGATCACAAGGTCAGGAGTTCAAGATCAGCATGGACAAGATGATGAAACCCTGTCTCTACTAAAAATACAAAAAAAAATAGCCAGGTGTGGTGGTGGGCACCTGTAATCCCAGCTACTCGGGGGGCTGAAGCAGAGAATGGCTTGAACCCAAAAAACAGAGGTTGCCATGAGCTGAGATCGTGCCACTGCACTACAGCCTGGGTGACAGAGTGAAACTCTGTCTCAAAAAAAAAAAAAAAGAAAGAAAGAAAAAGAAAAAACGAGCATGCAACACTTCTTGGCACTCTCTTATGAAAAGTTTCACTTCTGGCGTGAGATTGCTAAGCTGTTTAAAATAAGTAAGCTACAGTTTGGTGTTGGTTTTGTTTTCCCTTTTGCTTTTGGTCCCTTGGGAGCACAGAGCCTAATTTTTAGGCCTATTTAGTAGGGAAAAATGTATATGGACTTAAGGTCTATTTTTCATAATTTCTATATTATATTTCTCTCTTTTATATCTTTAGTCAATATATTTTCTGGCTCTATTTTATTTTCAATTTTACTGTATTTAAAATATTTTTACAGCTTGACTCAATCCTGTGAAATGAGGCACATACATTAAAGGATATAAACACACATATGTAAAAGGATAATTATTTGTTTTACAAGGAAAAGGTGTAACATTTTCTTGTAAAATCTGACTTCACTCTCTTCTAATTTATAATGTAAGCAATGCACGATTAAGAAAAAAGTGCTCTGTAAATATTCCTTATTTGACAGGTATTATTCTGGACACTTATATTTATTTGACACTTACACACTATTTACCAACAAATTAAGTATGTTTTTCCATTTTATAGACAAGTCACTGAAGATCAGAGGGCTTAAGTAACTGCAAATTCCGATTGACTCAAAAATACAGACTTATTCTAATACATGGTGCTGACTCAGATACCTAGACAAGGACATGAGGAGATACTTACTATATAAGAGGTCCATTGCAATCTGATGAATAACTTTCTATTTTTCCATGCCTTTCATGGGATGTGTGGACTTCTAATACAACTCTGCACCTAAAATATGGAAATAAATATGAAAAACCTAACCCTGAGGCTTTCCCCTAAAAAAAAATTGGTTCGAAAATGCAGATAAAATGCCGTGAAAATTCAACCAGTGGGTCCTTGGAAACCTTGTCTTGGCGAAATAAATGCACACAGTAATAAATTGATCACTGTCCCTGTGAGTAAGTTGAATGCAGTCACTTTGAAAACTGCTCCAGCACCTGCTAATGGAATAGAAACTGATTTGAAAATAACAGTCCATTTCCAAATTTAGATTAATATTTTATGGAACAACTACATTTGAAGTACTTCTCACTTCTCACTAAAACCGAGGTGATTTATTGCAAACACCTAACCAGTGCTGGAGCTGTAGCCAAACTGTGTTGTCATACAATTGAGAGTATAAGTTGTGATACAAAATGTCTATTTCAGTGCCAATTTCTGGGTATTTATTTTTTAAAATCTAAGAAAGATTACTAATTTCAGCAAATTATTTAGCTCTACATAGCAAAAGATGGTGTATCTCCTAGCTAACACGGTGAAACCCCATCTCTACTAAAAACTCAAAAAAATTGGCCAGGCATGGTGGCGGGCGCCTGTAGTCCCAGCTACTCTGGAGGCTGAGGCAGGAGAATGGCGTGAACCTGGGAAGCGGAGCTTGCAGTGAGCCCAGATCGCGCCACTGCCCTCCAGCCTGGGCGACAGAGCAAGACTCTGTCTCAAAAAAAAAAAAAAAAAAAGATGGTGTATCATCTTTCCATTGCTTGTTAATTTAATTGAATTTGCTTAAACAGAGAAGCGAATTAGGTGTGGGTAATTAGTGTCCACTTTATACATTAACTTTACCATAATCAGGTACGGTGGTAAAACGCTCAACGTTACATTTCTCTCATAGAGCATCTTATTGGGTTGCCCCTGTTCGTTGGGTTTAATCTGAAAACAATCTTTAGATGCTTGGAAATTCTGCCTCATACCACTCTTCTCATCTGCTTATCTGTAATGAGTATATGAGAGCTGGGAATGAGTAAAAGCAGTGGAACTGTCCTGGCAGTTTTAGTGCCACATCAGATAATTTTATAATCTTTTTTTTGACCCTCTAGTGAATGCCCAGTGTTAGTCAACATTCCAGACTTTACTGTTGTTTCCTTCCAGATTCAAGGTTGTTCTTCACCTCTGTCCTCTTCCCCCAGTAGCTCTTCTAAAATTGGAATCAAGGATATTGTTTAAAGCAAATGCTTTAATTTTTCATAATTAAGAGCAGATAAGCTTTGCAGAAACAAGTGCTTAAAGCTGTACTTAAATAGCAATAGTTCGACTATTGAAATGTCAATTTTTTAGTTTCAACCATTCAAAGAATTCAATTCCAGAGATAATATGAAGAAATTATTCCCAACTTTAAAATGGTATCTTGTCTCATCTACATATTCTTTAATTAAAAACCAGTCCATATTTGGCCCCTAACAAAATCAATTGGGTGATAGTTTAAAATACAGATTTGTAGGTGCTATCTTAGATCTCCCATCTTAGATTCAGAATCTTTGGTATTCCAGTACTGGGCGTACCCATAATTCCAACACACTGGGAGGTCCGGGTGGGAGGATCATTCCAGCCTAGGAGTTCGAGACTAACCTGGACAACATAATGAGACCCTGTCTCTACAAAAAATAAAAAAATTTAGGCAGGCATGGTGGTGTGCACCTGTGGTCCAAGCTACTCAGGAGGCTGAGGCAAGAGGATGGCTTGAGCCCAAGAAGCTGAGGGTGCAGTAAGCCGTGATCATGCTACTGAATTCTAGCCTGGGTGATGGAAGGATACCCTGTCTCAAGAAAAAAGAAAAGGAAAGGAAAGGAGAAAAGAAGAGTGAAAGAAAGAGAAAAGAAAGAAAAGGAAGGAAGGAAGGAAGGAAGGAAGGAAGGAAGGGAGGAAGGAAGGAGGTAGCGAGGGAGGGAGAGAGGGAGGGAGGGAGGGAGAGAGGGAGGGAGGGAAAGGGAGGGAGAGAAAGGGAAAGAAGAGTTAATCCCTTTTAGTACTAGCCAATAATTGACTGCCATATTTGTTTGACATCATTCAGTCTGAGGAAGAGGAATTAGAAGAAAGTGAGCACAATCGATGAACACAGATCAACTGGTGGATGTGGTAGAAGATCATGGAGTATTTCCCTAAGCCAGTGGTCCCCATGATTTTTGGTTATGCACCATCATAAAAAAAATTGCAGACACACCCCCCAATGTGCCTATATTTTAAAAGATCATTTAAAAATGCATATGCTACTGTACTACTTTATTCTACACATTGTAAGGCATACACAAAAATAAAAACTTCAGATGATGAGACTAAACAAATTAGTAGAGGTTGCACAACTTTGTGAAGGAAATTAAAATAACAAATTGTATGTTTTATATAAATATACATATTATCATAATGGAAAACATTAAAATGTGTTAGAAATAATTAGAAATAATATTGCCTCAGTTCACAATGGCTAGTGAACCCTGTGACTTCGCTGGAGATATCAGAGAAGCTTGAAGAAGAGAGAACAGAGATAACATAAAAAAGACAACACACTCCTTATCCTCTCTATTTCAAGCCAGATATCCTGTGAGACAGAATTCCACAGGGAATTGTCTGTGACACGGGAAGGAAAACAATATATAGTACCAGCTTTGTGATCTTGGGCAAACACGCAGTTGCTTAAACACGCTGATATTAGGTTTCCAAATTTTTTTTTTTTTTTTGAGACAGAGTCTCACTCTGTCACCCAGGCTACAATGCAGTGGCACAATCTCTGCTCACTGCAACCTCCATCTCCTGGGCTCAAGCAATTCTCCTGCCTCAGCTTCCTGAGTAGCTGGGATTACAGGCATGTGCCACCACGCCCGGCTAATTTGTATTTTTGGTAGAGATGGGGTTTCATCATGTTGGCCAGAGTTGTCTTGAACTCCTGACCTCAAGTAATCCACCCACCTCGGCCTCCCAAAGTGCTGGGATTACAGGCTTGAGCCACCACACCCGGCCTGTACACATACAGGTACTAACACATCAATAACACTCGTAATCAATTAAACCATAAAAGCACAAGTAAAAAACATAATTGGGGTAACAGAACAGTGTTCCAAATTTAGCCCCCTAATTTTACATATAAGAAAATTGATAGTGATTTTAAATTATTTACCCAAGGTTGCATAACTAGTAGAAAAGAATTCAGTTTAGAACCCAGTTTTCTGACCCCAAAAGCTATGTATTTTTACATTTCACTGTGTGCTACAAAGACTAAGTAGACAAAAGAGCCACATAGACAATAAGGAGACTATAGAGAAGGTATCACAGAAGGACAACATGCAACCTGAAGAGTGTAAGTGGAAGAAAGGAGAGGTCCATATTGACAGATGTTATTCTTAAAAATGGCAAGGGCTCTTCTTTGCAGCAGATGACATAAAAATGTCCTTTCCTGTGGTTGCCACTATGTATCTTTTGTGAACTATGAGCTCTAGAGTTTCTTCATTCTACTATTCACCTACTCAGTAAAAACAACTCAAACGCATTACCTTAACATGAAATTATGTTGGAATATAGTTCTCCATGAATCTTTTACATTCCTGCAGATCTTGCTAACATAAGTGCTGTTTGTGTTCCATACTATCTTTGTAAGAATGTTTATATAGTGAAGATCCTTCGAAGGGAGACATAGTATACAGTAAAGGGCAGGCATACTTACTGGCCAGTATAATTAACTTGGTTCCCTAAACTCAAGGTTTCTCCCCAGTTACACAACCCACTGAATGTATAGACATCACCTGGCCCTGTACCCTATTGCTCAGTGGTGATTGGGCCATGAAGAACCAGCACAATGTGACACTCTGGGTACTGCTATTGCTATAAGTAATAAACTGACCTTATCTCTGACCCATGATTCTTGTGTCCTCTGCCCACATCATGAAACTGTGGCAGACTAACTTGATAGCTTGCAAGTAAGGTAAAATCTCACTATGTTCACAGTTCTTGACAACAGAAAGGATGATATAAGCTAGGACCGGTACTGGGACTAAAACATATAATGGTGAATAGCATGTGTCCTACACTGAGTGAGGTCAGGTTAGAGCAGTAAGTTAGTGGGAGGTTGGGGGATTAGGAGGACAGGGGATGGAGATAGGTAGTTTTACAGTGCCATCTGTCTTATCAAGAGCTAAAACTCTGCTCTCTCAGCTGGCATAATCAAGTCTCTCATTTTAAATAACTGTGAACCAAGTTTAGTTCAATCATGCAGTGTGCCTATAATGATCAGGTAATTTACATATTGGTAAGTAAATGGCAAAAAGTGGTTGCCACAAGAAAAAAAATAGACCACAGTTTATCATTTCTTTTACCATCATTCAAGTATTTTGACTTATGGGTGGAATGCCCTCTCAAAGAGAATTATACTCCACTGTAAGGTGTGTAATGAGGAAACAAATAGGCTTTTTTACAATAGGACAAGATTTTGTGAAGTTCTAAAGTGATGATTGTTATTGTATTTTAAATAAAATGTACCTTGATCTTAACATAAAAGGGTGAAGTAAAGATTATTTCTGAAAATTAGCACATAAAAGAAGTTTGAGTGATTAAATATAACTGAAAATTTTTCCTAAGAGAAAATTATTTCCTCCTCAGAATTTATTCTGAATGTCATGTTAACGAATTTCACATGATTATCTCTTATACTATTTTAGTTGCTAAATACTGAAGAGTGTTCGTTAAAACTTGTAAGAGGAGGGTATTTTTGAGTTCATGACATTTCAGTTTAGCGTTCTTTTATTAAAGATATGGCATACTTTGAAATTACTGTTCTATAACACTTACCACACATACAATTTTGCCATTCTTCCTGACATAAATGTCAAAAGCGGGGATGTCGTTTTCATCATACTGAATTTTCTAGTATATAATAATCAGCCTTCATAATTTGTGAATAATAACTTGTTGAATAATGACATTGAACTAGTTTGTTATGTCCTTTTGTGACTTGTCCAGTGATCCTGTATTTCACTGGGATAGTCTGATTCAGTGGCAACTCTATGAGGAGTCTCTGTAATATACCACTTGGGAGGAAGAGTATAAAATCCCTTCACCACTCAATGTGTTGATAAAGGTTGTGAAATATTTCAAAGATATGAACAAATATGCATTCCATGTGTAAAATTTTTAGAGTAAATAAATGAAAGCCAAAATGCTATAAAATTATATTTGTTGAGTATTGTATTGAGGTATTTGATTTCCATGACAGAATACTTTCTTTCATAAGACAAATATCACTAACTTTTGAAGAGAACTTGACAAAAAGAATAAAATCTTCTGAAACTTTAACCATCGACTTAAGGAATTTTTTCCCCTTCTTTTCAGTCTTGGGTATGGGCAGCAGCTGCCATTCATTTAAAAACAATGTAGGAAGGAGGTAGAGGTTAGTTGCTGGCCTAAGAATTTAGGATATTTATGATGTTTGAAGTAGTTTGTAGTTTAAAATATGCTTTAGGTTTTAAAGTTTAATGAGTGCTTTTCTGCCATCTATCCAGCTGTGGCTTTTGTCTTTATGACAGTGAAGTATTTTTACTCAGCCTAAATCCTGAACAGAAGAATGAAATTCTGTTCTGCTTTGCATTAGTGAGAACTGCTATTTGGGAACATGTTAATCACCCAGCATAAAGCATTCCTTAAAACATCATTTTGAATAAGAAAAATAGCCCTTTATTGGACACATAAAGACATTGTGGACCTATTTTGGTATTTAATATGAATGTACCAGGTGGCTGATAATACATTACTCCTCAATTTGTAGAAGTTTTACTACGTAAAAATGTAGGCTCTCACATGTCATATCACCTAAGAGGCAATAATAGTTAGTGAAAATATTCTTACAAAATATGCAGCTCTCTGTTGCTAAATATATGTATTGGGATTTAATAAGGCATGAGGGAAACAGAAGCCCGAACCCAAAAGCACTCATCTTTGTTCTGCCAAGTAGTTCAAATGGCCCCAAAGAAGGTTTTGGTTCTTTGGTGGAAACTTCCACCATAAACTGAGAAAAACCGATGTTTACTCCAAGTGCATGAAATCAGATTAAAATGTGTCCTCTACATTTTTCTGTTGCCCACACTAATTGAAGCCAATTTGAAAAGACTCTCCTCTAGCCCCTTCTGAAGCAACAAGAATAAGAACTGAAATATGTTTGTTAGGACCAGATCTACAAGGCAGCCTGCCGATTTCAGAAGAGCATATAACCCTACCATGTCCTCTTCAACGCATCCAACATCCAGACCACCAGGAAGCCTAAACTGCTTCCGGAAGCAATTGAAAAAAGCTGCGAATAGTGCCGCAATAAACATACGTGTGCATGTGTCTTTAGAGCAGCATGATTTATAGTCCTTTGGGTATATACCCAGTAATGGGATGGCTGGGTCAAATGGTATTTCTAGTTCTAGATCCCTGAGGAATCGCCACACTGACTTCCACAATGGTTGAACTAGTTTACAGTCCCACCAACAGTGTAAAAGTGTTCCTATTTCTCCACATCCTCTCCAGCACCTGTTGTTTCCTGACTTTTTAATGATTGCCATTCTAACTGGTGTGAGATGATATCTCATAGTGGTTTTGATTTGCATTTCTCTGATGGCCAGTGATGATGAGCATTTCTTCATGTGTTTTTTGGCTGCAAACCCAAATGTCCAACAATGATAGACTGGATTAAGAAAATGTGGCACATATACACCATGGAATACTATGCAGCCATAAAAAATGATGAGTTCATGTCCTTTGTAGGGACATGGATGAAATTGGAAACCATCATTCTCAGTAAACTGTCGCAAGAACAAAAAACCAAACACCGCATATTCTCACTCATAGGTGGGAATTGAACAATGAGATCACATGGACACAGGAAGGGGAATATCACACTCTGGGGACTGTGGTGGGGTCGGGGGAGGGGGGAGGGATAGCATTGGGAGATATACCTAATGCTAGATGACACGTTAGTGGGTGCAGCGCACCAGCATGGCACATGTATACATATGTAACTAACCTGCACAATGTGCACATGTACCCTAAAACTTAGAGTATAATAAAAAAAAAAAAAATTAAAAAAAATAAATAAATAAACTAATATGTGAAAAAAAAAAAAAAAAAAGAAAGAAAAAAGCTGCGAGCGCTGATAAGTGACTTAAATAAATGAGAATAGCCACAGGCGTTACCTAATTAAAAGACACTTAGACACCAGGTCTCTACTTTGAGGCCTGGCAAACAAATGAGCTTTCCCTTACACATTTCTGGCTTTGCTCCATCAATCTTAGTTGATGGTAGAAGTTTCCCTCAGAGATCCTGAATGTGTTAGGGCCATCATAAATTTAT
Organism: Homo sapiens; assembly: GCF_000001405.40. NCBI lineage: Eukaryota > Metazoa > Chordata > Mammalia > Primates > Hominidae > Homo > Homo sapiens. The sequence continues at coordinate 163,736,943 of NC_000004.12, read as the reverse complement.
TAGGCTTTTCACTTTGGAGTATTAAGGGAGAAAACTAAAAAATGATATGGAATTTAAAAAGTATGAAGACAGTATATTTTATGCAAGACTTTATTTTTAATGAAAAAGCATTTCTGACTCACAGGTGTAAAATAACTATCTGTTGACTGTAATAGAATAAAAACATACTTGGTGAATACTTTATAATTTTTTATTATATTTCTTAGACGTGATACAATTTCATGTCATCTACATTTATTTTACAGCTCTAAGTTGCTTTATCTTAGGACTTTAGCCCTATATGTCTTAGGCATCATAATATTCTACTGAATTTAGGTATCACTACCCATTTCAGCATGATTCTTTGCACTCTGGAAAAAGTTAGGTTAGAGATAATACAATAGTCCCCCCCCCCACCCAACCCTTATCTGCAGTTTCAGTTCCTACAGTTTCAGCTACCAGAAGTCAACTGAGATCCAAAAATATTAAATGGAAAATTCTAGAATTTAAACAATGTATAAGTTTTAAATTGCATACAGTTTTGAGTAGCGACATGAAATCTCAATGTCCTGCTCCATCCCACCTGGGATGTGAATCATCACTTTTCCTAGTGTATGCATGCTGTCAATGCCACCTGCCCCTTAGTCACTTAGTAGCTTTCTTGGCTATCAGATTAACTGATATAGTATGCAGTGCTTGTGTTCAAGTAACCCCTATTTTACTTAATAATGTCTCCAGAAATAAGAGTAATGATACTGGCAATTAGGATATCCCAAAAAGAATTCATAAAGTAATTCCTTAAAGTAAAATGATGAAAGTTTTCTACTTAATAGGAAAATTTAAAACATATATATGCTAAGGTTGCTAAGATTTACGGTAAGAATAAATCTTCTATCCATGAAATTGTGAACAGCATATTGTTATAATTGTTCTATTTTATTATTACTGTTATTCATATTTTATTGTGCCTAACTTATAAATTGAACTTTATCATATGTACATATAGGAGAAAACATGGTGTATATAGGATTTGGTACTATCTGTAGTTAAAGGCATCCACTATCTTGTAATGTATCCCCTATGAAGGGGGGACCACTGTACCAATAGTTTAAGACTCCAATCCTAACACATATATCAACATATCTCAAGAAAAAATAGAAGGAAAAATTTAAATTGGTAACAATGAGTGTTCCAGTATAATAGTGTACAAGAAGCAAGGGTTTAGCACTTGCTGTGGTTTGAATGTGGCCCCCTAAAATTCAGGTTTTGCCAATCTGATAGTATTAAGGGGTGCGGTCTATAAGAGGTGATTAGGCCATAAGGGCTTCTCCCTTATTAATGGAATTAAGGTTCTTATACAAGAAACTTCACACATGTCAGGACATAGCAAACATGTCCTCACCAGATGTCAGCACATTAATCTTGGACTTCCTAGCCTCTTTAACTGTGAGAAATAAGTTTTTGTTCTTTATGAATTACCTAGTCTCAGCTACTCTGTTATAGCAACACAAACCAACTAAGACAGCCTGTGTCTAGATATTTGTGTCAATAAATCTTTATTGACTGTATAATATGTTAGAAACTGTTCCAGTTGATAGAGTTATAGCACTGGACAAAACAGACAAGTTCTCCATAACCATGGCTCTCACATTCTAATGGGGAAATGAATAATAAATAAATAATTATTTAATGTAATACCAGGTGGTGATAAGATCCAGGGAGATAGGTGGATTGGGGTAATAGGATGAAGAGTGACATGTCCTAAGTGTGTGAGGACTACTGTCAACAGTGTGGCCAGGGAAGCTTTCTCTGAGAAGGTAACACTGGATTAGAGAATTAAAGAAAATGAGGAAGCAAGATGTAAATATCCGTAGGGAAGGTTTATGCAGTTGAGAGAATAACAAGTGTTTTTGACCAGGAACATGCTTATGTTCGGTGTCAAAAGGAAGACTAGATGAAGTTAATAATAAAAAGTATAAAACACTAGCAAGGAGCCAGATCATGTAGAACCTTTGAACTCATAGTAGGAACATTAAATGTTCTTCTAAAACAAATGGAAAGACATTAGAGGGCAATGAGCAGAAGAGTGATTTGTTTTATTTTTATAATTTTATTGAAGTGCAACTGACATACTGCAAATTGCGAATGTTTAAAGTGTATAATACGATACATTTTAACATATGTATAAGCCTGTGAAATCATTACTGCAATCAATATAATGAGCATATTCTTCCCCTAGAAACTTTCCTCCATGCCCTATACAATTCCTCTACCCTATCCCTCCCCACTGCTTTTATCCCCAGGCAATTATTGATCTGCTTTCTATCATCGTAGATTAGTTTGACTGTTCTAGAATTTGACCATCCTACCTTAGAATTGGAACATTACAAAAAGCAGGAGCTTTTTTTTCTTTTTTTGGTCTAGCTTTTTTACTCAGCATGATTATTTCGAGAATCATTGATGCTGTTTTGTGTGTCAGCCGTTCATTCATTTTTGTTGATAAATAAGATGTCATCGTATAGAAATTTCACCGGTATTTAGTTTTTTTCCCCAGTATTTTGCTGTTAGAAAGAAGGCTACTGGGATAATTTGTGTGCAAGTCTGTCTGCACATATGCTTTAATTTTCACTGGATAAATACCTAAGAATAGAATGACTAAATCATATGGCAGATGTACCTTTAACTTTTTAAGAAGTTGCCAAACTATTTTCCAAAGTAGCTGTCTCTTTATACATTCTCACCAACAGTATGTGAGGATTTCTATTTCTCCCTATCTTGCCAACACTTGTAATGGTCAAGTCTTTTTGTTTCTTTGCTTGTTTGTTCTAATTTTAGCCATTTCACTGGGTATATAGTGGTATCTCACTGTGGATTTAATTTGCATTTTCCTCCTAGCTAATTATGTTGAACATCTTTGCATGTGCTTAGTAGACATCTGTATGTCTTCTTGGTGATGAGTTTGTTCAAATATTTGTACATCTTTAAATTGAGTTGTTTATTCTCTTATTATTGAGCATCAAAATTTCTTTGTATATTCTGGACAAAATTTCTTGATATGATATGTGATTTGCACACATTTTTGCTCAGTGTTTTAGTACTTTTACTAGTGTCATTTGAAGATCAGTTCTTTATTTTGATAAAAGCCAGTTGCTTATTATTGTTTTCTTTTATGAATTATTCATTTTGTATTTCACCTGATAAATCTCTGCCCAACCCAAGGTTACAAATTTCTTCTATGTTTTCTTTTAGAAGTTGTATAGTTTTAGATTTTACAGTTATGGCCATCATTGATTATGAGCTAATTCTTGAACAGAAAATGAAGGCTATCACACTCCGGGGACTGTTGTGGGGTAGGGGGAGCGGGGAGGGATAGCATTAGGAGATATACCTAATGCTAAATGACAAGTTAATGAGTGCAGCACACCAACATGGCACATGTATACATATGTAACAAACCTGCACATTGTGCACATGTACCCTAAAACTTAAAGTATAATAATAATAAAATTAAAAAAAAAGAAGGCTAGATTGAAGTTTTGGGTTTTTTTTTTCCCTTAAAAATAGTAACCATTTCCAGTGCTTTTTATTATTTTGTATAGATCCAGATTTCCATCTCGCATTATTTTCCTTCTGCTTGGAAGACTTTCATATATATATAATATGTGTGCGTGTGTGTGTGTATGTGTCTGTGTGTGTGTGTGTGTGTATATATATATACACGTGTATATATATATATACACGTGTATATATATATATATATATATATATATATATATATATATATATACACACATACAGAGAGAGAGAGAGAGAGAAATGGAGTCTTGCTCTGTCACCCAGGCTAGAGTGCAATGGTGTGATCTTGGTTCACTGCAACCTCTGCCTCCCAGGTTCAAGTGATTCTCCTGCCTCAGCCTCCCGAGTAGCTGGGATTACAGGCATCTGCCACCATGCCTGGCTAATTTTTATATTTTTAGTAGAGACGGGGCTTCACCATGTTGGCCAGGCTGGTCTTGAACTCCTGACCTCAGATGATCCACCCACCTCGGCATCCCAAATTGCTGGGATTACAGGCGGGAGCCACCGCATCCGGCTTCTTTAACATTTCTTATAGTGTAAGTCTGCTGGGGGTGAATTCTTTCAGCTTTTGTATGTCTGAGTATGCCTTTATTTTGCTTAATATTTAAAAGACATTTTTACTGGGTAAAAGTATAGTTGAAAGATTCTTTTGTTTCTTTTGTTACTGTAAAACTGTTGCTCCACTGTTTTCTAGCTTGCATTGTTTCCAATGAGAAGTCTGCTGACAATATTAGTTTTGCTCCTCTGTACATAATGTGTCTTTTGTCCTCTGGATGTTTAAACATTTTCTCTTTATTATTAGGTTGAGAAAATTTAATTATGATATGCCTTGGTATATTTTCTTCATGTTTTTCTACTTAGAGTTAATTGACTGTCTTGTATCAATGTATTTATAATTATCATCAAATTTGAAAAATAATTTTCTTTACCTCCTCTCTTTTCTTCACTAAGGATTCTGATTACATATATAATTGGCTGCTTAGAGTTAGCCTCTAGTTCACTGATGTTCTTTTTTCCATCTTTTTTCTGTGTTTCACTTTAAATGTTTGCACTATGTCTTCAAGTTCACTGATTATTTTCCCTGCACATCTAATCGTACTGTTGCTACCATTCAGTACATTTTTAACCTTATACATTGTAGATTTCATCTTTAGAAGTTTGGTTAGGCTCTTTTGATCTCTTTCATATCTCTAAGTTTATATATTAATAATATAATTATATGATTAATAACTAATCATATATTAATTCTATTATCTGTGTCATTTATATATAAGTTTTGAATGATTGATTTTCCTTCTCAGTATGGGTCATAGGACATATTTCCTACTTCTTTGCATACCTAGTAATTATTTATTTGACACCAAACAATGTGAATTTTACCTAGTTGGATATTAGATATTTTTCTATTCCTAAAAATGTTGTTGAGCTTTGTTCTGGGATCTTGTTGTTGGTTGAAAGCAGTTTAATGCTTTTAGGTTTCGCTTTTATTTGTTAGGCCATATCAGGGTAGCATTTATTCTTGGATCATTTGACTCCATTACTAGGAAAAACTTCCTTAATACTTTAGCTGATTCCTTGCGAATTATAAGATTACCCATTCAGGTGATTAACGGCAGACACTATTCCTGGCTTTGTGTGATATCTAGACAATGTGTCTACTAATCCTTTTGAGTGATTCCTTTAGGTAGTTTCTTCACATATATGTGATGATCAATACTCAGCTGAATATTTGAAGATCTCCTGCAGATCTCTGGAGCTCCCTCACTCAGCCATACTGTCCCTCTGGTACTGAGCTCTGTGACATCTAGCCTCCTTGGTTTTGTCACACTCCCAGAATTATCTTCTCAGCTGAGGGAACTTGCTAATCACTGCCTGGGTTTTCCCTCACTATGCCATGCCCTGGAAACTTTCTCCAGGCAGCGAGATGGGATAATTGTAGGCCTCACTTTATTTGTCTATCATCTGTCAGAATCAATGTCCTTTGTAGAACACTGTCTTGAGAGCCATTGTGTCTTATATTTTGTTGTTTTTTTCAGCTGTTCCATATGGGAAGATAAATCTGGCCTGTGTTGCTGTATTGTTGTCAAAAATAGATGTCATTTCCAATTAATGCTGACCATGCAATGTTGCAGTGCTAATGCTCATAAGGATTTCTGTTTTTCCGTGGCCTGAATTACTTTTTAAAAATGATTCCAGCTACTATGAAGAGAATTAATTGGATATGTAGAGGGATGTGCTTGGTCATAGGGGGCTTTACTTTACTCTTTTTTTCTGAAAATAATTAATGTTTATCAGAGTTATGAATTAAGAAATGTTTATCCTATTGTTTATCCTTAAGTCATTTAACTGGAAGAGATCATTCCACAAATAAGTATATATAGGGAAGAGGAGAAATCTAAGAGCTAATCCCTGGGGTAGTGTAAGTTTTAGAAACCTGAAAAAGGAGAATAATTTAGCAAAGAAGACTGTTAGAATGGTTAGTGAAAATAGGGGATGACATTGGGAGAGGGAGAAGCAGTAACACATAATTGACTTTTACTGGTCTGTGATGCTAAGAACTCACTGAACCACAATTAGTAGAACAAATTCATACTCTTTGGATGTGGAAGAAAAAATAAACAGGCTTTTAAAAGACCTGAGAAGACCTTTAGCTTACTCTTCAGGCTGATCATGAACACAGAGGCAACTTACAACAATCAAAAAATAAAAATAAAAAAGTAGGTGCAGCACACCAACATGGCACATGTATACATATGTAACAAACCTGCACGTTGTGCACATGTACCCTAGAACTTAAAGTATAATAAAAATATGTATAAAAAATAAAGAATAAAAAAACCAAATCTTGAGTAAAAGGTAGTATTGGATTTCCAGAGTTACCACACAATTACATTCACATGTCCGCTTTTCAACAAAACAATCAGAAGGCATAAAAATAAATGAAAAAGTACGACTCATTCTAAAGAAAAAACAAACCATAAGAAACTGTTTCTGAGAAAATCTTGATGGTGGATCTGCCAGACAAAGACTTTAAAAGAGCTGTCTTAAAGATGTTCAAAGAGCTGAAGGGAGAAATGGAAAAAGTCAAGAAAACAATGTACAAACAAAATAGAAATAGCAATATAGAGTTAAGCAATCTGACACAACACCAAAAATAGATTCTGTAGATGAAAAGTACAATAACTAAAACGAAAAAATTACTAGAGAGATTCAAAGGCAGTTTTGAACAGACAGAAGAAAGAATCAGCAAACTTGAAGATAAGACAATGTAAATTATCAAATCTGAAAAACAGAAAGAAAATATTGAAGAAAAGTAAACAGAGACTAAGGGATAACTGGGACACCATCAAGTGGACCTACACACAAAAAGAGCACAGAGAAAATCTGAAAAAATAATGGCCCCAAATTCCCAAATTTAATGAAAGGCATTAATATTAAGATCTAAGATGTTAAATGAACTCCAAGTAGAATGAACTCACAGCGAATAATAACTGAGACACATTATAATCAAACTTCCCAAAGACAAGGACAAAGAGAATTTTAAAGACAAACAGAACCAATTTCTCACATGTAAGGAATCCTCAATAAGGTTATCAGCAGATTTCTCATCAGAAATTTTGGTGGCCCAAATGCCAAAATGTCTGAGAGAAGACAAAAAGTACTAATATCAGATGAAAGAGGGGACATCAGTGCATATCTTATAGACATCAAAAAGTTAATAAAGGAATGTTATAAACAACTCTATGCCCACCCACAAACTTGATAACCTTGATGAAATGGATCAATTTCTTTAAAGAAAAAATCTGTCAAAATTTACATAAGAAGAAATAAAAAACTTTGAGTAGGCTTGTATCTATTAAATAAGTGGAGTCAATAGTTAATAACTTTCTAAGACATTAAGCAAAAAATCTGAGTAGGCTTATATCTATTAGATAAATTAAATGAATAATAAATAATCTTCCAAGACAGAGGGAAGCACCAGAAGCAGTTGAGTGAACTGGTGAACTGTACATTTAAAAAGAAATTATAAGAATTCTGTACAATCTCTTCCAGGAGATAGAAGTAGAGAGTACACTTCCTAACTCATTTCATGAGGCCAGCATTACCCTAAAACCAAAATCAGATAAAGGCATTGAAACAAAAAAACAAAAAAAGGCATTTTCTTTTTTTGTTTCCTCCAGGAACATAGATGGAGGAATCTTCAACAAAATATGGACAGATTGAATCCAATAATGTATAAAAAGAATTAAATGCCTTGACCAGTGGGATTTATCTCAGGTCTGCAAGGCTGATTCAACATTCAAAAAATTAATTTATTTAATCCACAACAACAGATTAAAAATATAAATTATATGATCACATCAATAGATACAGAAGAAAACTGACAAAATCTAATAGCCATTCATGATAAAAATTCCCAGAAAACTAGGAATAGAAGAAAACTTCCTCAATGGGATAAAACTAACCTCATACTTAATGGTGAGAAATTCAGAGCTTTCCTGCTAAGATTAGGAACAAGGCAAGGATGTCACTCTCACCATTGCTTTTCAGCATTATACTGAAAGCCCTAGCTAATGCAATAAGACAAGAAAAGGAAACAAAATTATGTTGATTGGGAAGCAAGAAATAAAGCTGTCTTTGTTCATGAAATATGATTGTCTATGTAGAAAATCTGAAAGGATCAACAAAATCAAAAAGGCTAAACCTAGGAAGTGATTATTGTGAGGTTTCAGGATACAAGGTTAATATATATAAGTCAATTACTTTCCTCTATACCAATAATGAACAAGTTAAATTTGAAATTGAAACCACAACACCTTTTATATTAGCACTCAAAATAATGAAGACTTACGTGTAAATATAACAAAAGTATGGGGGGGAAGATCAATGTGAAAAAAGAACCCCAAAACTACGAAAAGAAATCAAAGAGGAACTAGAGAGATATTCCATGTTCATTATGAGAAAACTTAATATTGTTAAGATGTTAGTTTTGCCCTAATTGATCTATAGCTTAAATATACTCCAGTTGCCATCCCAGAAAGTTATTTTTTGGATATCAACAAACTGATTCTCAGAATATTCAATGAAATATTGATTCAGAGCACTGCCACTACCTGACATTAGGGCTTCCTATTGTAACTACAGCAATCAAGACAGTAATAAAAAAAGGGGGTGATAAAAATTGTGGCACAACCTGTGCAACATGGTAAAACCCCATCTCCACAAAAAATACAAAAAACTTAACTGCGTGTGGTGGCATGCGCCTGTAGTCCCAGCTACAGTGTGGTATTGTGAAAATGTAGGCAAATAAATCAATGAAACAGAACAGAGAGCCCAGAAGTAGATTCACATAAATACAGGCTGCAGATATTTGACAAAGGAGCAAAGGGAATAAATGGAACAAAGATAGTCTTTTCTTGCTTGTAATCCCAGCACTTTGAGAGGCCCAGGAGGGAGGATCACTTGAACCCAGGAGTTTAAGACCAGCCTGGATAACATGGTGAAACCTTATCTCTATATAAAATTAAAAAAATAAAACAATAAAAATACCCGAGCATGGTGGCATGCACCTGTAGTCCCAGATACTTGGGAAGCTGAAGTGGGAGGATCATTTGAGCCCAGGAGGTTGAGGTTGCAATGAGCCATGATTGTGCCACTGCACTGCAGCTTGGGCAACAGAGTGAGACCCTGCCTCAAAGAAAAAAAAAAGAAAACACCTTTTCAACAAATGGTGCAAGCATAATTGTAAATCTTCATGGCAAAAAAAAAAAATTAATTTAGGGCCAGGTGCGTTGGCTCACGCCTGTAATCCCAGCACTTTGGGAGGCCGAGGTGGGCAGATCACAAGGTCAGGAGATCAAGACCATCCTGGCTGACACAGTGAAACCCCATCTCCACTGAAAATACAAAATTAGCCAGGCATGGCGGCATGCGCCTGTAGTCCCAGCTGCTGGGGAGGCTGAGGCAGGAGAATGGCGTGAACCTGGGAGGCGGAGCTTGAAGTGAGCTGAAATCATGCCACTGCACTCCAGCCTGGGCGACAGAGCGAGACTCCGTCAAAAAAAAAAAAAGAAAAAAAAGAAATGAATTTAAACAGAAACCCTACACCCTTCATGAAAATTTATTCAAAATGGATCAAAGACCTAAATGTAAAACACAAAACCATAAAATTATTTTTTACAGGATAATTACAGCCACTATTTTTACAGGATAAAATGGAAGAAAATATAAATGACCTTAGGTTTGGTGATGACTTTCTAGATACAATACCAAAAGCATGATTCATGAAAGAAAAAAACACAAACTGGACTTCATTAAAATTTAAAACTTCGCTGCAAAAGGCACTGCCAAGATAATGAGAAGACAGGTCACAACCTGGGAGAAAATACTTGCAAGATAAATAACTAGTAGTAAAGGACTGTTACCCAAAATGCACAAAGAACTCTTAAAACTCAACGATAAGAAAATGAACAAATTCATTAAAAATGGGCCAAATACATGAACAGATGGCAAATAAGCATATGAAGAGATGTGTGACATTTCATGTCGTTAAGAAATTGCAAATTAAAACAATATCACTATACATCTGTTAGAATGGACAAAACCAAAACACCACCACCAAATGTAGCAGGATGCAGAGTAACAGGAACACTCATTTATTGCTACTGGGAATGCAAAATGGAACTGCCAATTTAGAAGATAGTTTGTGAGTTTCTTACTGAACTAAACATACTCTTATACAGTCTAGTAATTGTGCTTCTTTGGATTCACCCAAATGAGTTGAAAATGTATGCCCTCACAAAAACCTACACATGAATGCATATAGCAGCTTTGTTCATAACTGCCAAAGCTTTAAGAACAACAAGATGCCTTTCAGTAGGTGAATAAAAAAGTGTGGAATATCCAGACAATGGAATATTAAGGACCTAAAAAAAGATCTGGTGAGCCATGAAAAGACATGTAGAAAAGTTAAATGCATATTACTAAGTGAAAGAAGTCAATCTGAAAAGACTACATCCTTTATTATTTCAATTATATGACATTCTAGAAAAGGCAAAACTATGAATACAGTAAAAGAATTAGTGGTTGCCAGAGGTTGGGGAGAGAGGGATGAATAGGCAGAGCACAGAAGATTTTTAGGAAAGTGAAACTATTAACATATAATACTATGATGGTGGATACATGTTATCATACATTTGTCAAAGTCCGTAGAATATACAACACCACAAATGAACTCCAGAGACTTTGGGTGATAATGATGTGTCAGTGTACATTCATGAATTGTAACAAATGGGACAGGATTTTGATAGTGGGGAGGCTGTATATATGTAGGGATGGGGGATATAAGGGAAATCTCTATACCTAAAACTGTTCTAAAAAGACTAAAAAGAAAAAAATGGTAAAGGTAAGTAGTAGCTTATATTTGTTATCAATTTATTACAGTTTTACATTATTAGAAGATGATTGGAAATCATAAGATGTCATCCTAAGCATAGTTGTTTAGTAAAAATTAACAAAAACAGACATTAACTGTATGTTAGGCTAAAAACTTTTACATAATATCTCATTTAATTCTTTCAGGACAGGTACCTAACGATAAACAGGCATGGAAAGCTTGAATAAGTTTTCCAAGATTGCAGAGCTAATTGACAAATAATAGATCCAACACTAGAGCTAGGGACTTTCTGACTTGAGATTCTGTGCCCTGACATGCTGTTCTATACTGTCTTACAACCATAGACTATGAAAAACTACAGGGTTTAGTTTTAAATTAATTTTAAAGCACTTATTGAATGGAAAATGTATAATTCATTATCACTTGAATTCATTACTTTCTATATTACCATACTTTTTTTGTTCATATTTTCTTTTTATGTCATTATTGTTATTATTACTTTTTTTTTTTTGGAGATAGTGTCTCACTCTGTTGCACAAGCTGGAGTGCAGTAGCACAATCATGGCTCACTTCAGCCTCCACTCCCTGGGCTCAAGTGATCCTCCCACCTTAGCCTCCTGAGTAGCTGGGATTACAGGTGCATGCCACCATACCCACTTAACTTTTTTGTATTTTTTGTGGAGATGGGGTTTCACCATGTTGCCCACACTATGCCACTACTTTTATTACCCCTTTCTGTAATTCTTGAAATATGAACTTATCAGTAAAATAAACTATAATGTTATGCCACTCTAGAACATTTAAGATTTTCTAGAGCCATTATAAATTAATATATATGGGGTAGTTCCAAGATGGCTGAATACGAACAGCTCCAGCCTACAGCTCCCAGCGTGAGCGACGCAGACGGGTGATTTCTGCATTTCCAACTGAGGTACTGGGTTCATCTCACTGGGGATCGTTGGACAGTGGGGGCAGGACAGTAGGTGCAGCCCACTGAGTGTGAGCTGAAACAGGGCGAGGCATTGCCTCACCCGGGAAGTGCAAGGGGTCAGGGAATTCCCTTTCCTAGCCAAGGGAAGGGGTGACAGACGGCACCTGGAAAATCGGGTCACTCCCACCCTAATACTGCGCTTTTCCAATGGTCTTAGCAAACGGCACACCAGGAGATTATATCCCATGCATGGCTTGGAGGGTCCCACGCCCGCGGATTCTCATTCATTGCTAGCACAGCAGTCTGAGATCAAACTGCAAGGTGGCAGCGAGGCTGAGGGAGGGGCGCCCACCATGGCTGAGGCTTGAGTAGGTAAACAAAGTGGCAGGAAGCTTGAACTGGGTGGAGTCCACTGCAGCTCAAGGAGGCTTGCCCGCCTTTGTAGACTCCACCTCTAGGGGCAGGGCATAGCCAAACAAAAGGCAGCAGAAACCTCTGCATACTTAAATGTCCCTGTCTGACAGCTTTGAAGAGAGTAGTGGTTCTCCCAGCATGGAGTTTGAGATCTGAGAACGGACAGACTGCCTCCTCAAGTGGGTCCCTGACCCCCAAGTAGCCTAACTGGGAGGCACCCCCCAGTAGGGGCAGACTGACACCTCACACAGCCGGGTCCCCCTCTGAGACGAAGCTTCCAGAGGAACGATCAGGCAGCATTTGCTGTTCAGCAATATTCGCTGTTCTGCAGCCTCTGCTGCTTATACCCAGGCAAACAGGGTCTAGAGTGGACCTCCAGCAAACTCCAACATCTGAGGATCGTGACCATTAGAAGGAAAACTAACAGTAAGGACATCCACACCAAAACCCCATCTGCACATCACCATGATCAAAGACCAAAGGTAGATAAAACCACAAAGATGGGGAAAAAACAGAGCAGAAAAGCTGAAAATTCTAAAAATTAGAGTACCTCTCCCCCTCCAAAGGAACACAGCTCCTCGCCAGCAATGGAACAAAGCTGGATGGAGAATGACTTTGACGAGTTGAGAGAAGAAGGCTTCAGACGATCAAACTTCTCCGAGCTAAAGGAGGAAGTTTGAACCCAAGGCAAAGAAGCTAAAAACCTTGAAAAAAGATTAGACGAATGGCTAACTAAAATAACCAGTGTAGAGAAGTCCTTAAATGACCTGATGGAGCTGAAAACCATGGCACAAGAACTACGTGACAAATGCACAAGCTTCAGTAGCCGATTCGTTCAACTGGAAGAAAGGGTATCAGTGATTGAAGATCAAATGAACGAAATGAAGCGAGAAGAGAAGTTTAGAGAAAAAAGAGTAAAAAGACATGAACAAAGCCTCCAAGAAATATGGGACTATGTGAAAAGACCAAATCTACATCTGTTTGGTGTACCTGAAAGTGATGGGGAGAATGGAACCAAGTTGGAAAACACTCTTCAGGGTATTATCTGGGAGAACTTCCCCAACCTAGCAAGGCAGGCCAACATTCAAATTCAGGAAATACAGAGAACGCCACAAAGATACTCCTCGAGAAGAGCAACTCCAAGACACATAATTGTCAGATTCACCAAAGTTGAAATGAAGGAAAAAATGTTAAGGGCAGCCAGAGAGAAAGATCGGGTTACCCACACAGGGAAGCCCACCAGACTAACAGCTGATCTCTCAGCAGAAACTCTACAAGCCAGAAGAGAGTGGGGGCCAATATTCAACATTTTTAAAGAAAAGAATTTTCAACCCAGAATTTCATATCCAGCCAAACTAAGCTTCATAAGTGAAGGAGAAATAAAATCCTTTACAGACAAGCAAATGCTGAGAGATTTTGTCACCACCAGGCCTGCCCTAAAAGAGCTCCTGAAGGAAGCACTAAATATGGAAAGAACAACTGGTACCAGCCAGTGCAAAACCATGCCAAACTGTAAAGACCACTGAGGCTAGGAAGAAACTGCATCAACTAACGAGCAAAATAACCAGCTAACATCATAATGACAGGATAAAATTCACACATAACAATATTAACCTTAAATGTAAATGGGCTAAATGCTCCACTTAAAAGACACAGACTGGCAAATTGGATAAAGAGTCAAGACCCATCAGTGTGCTTTATTCAGGAAACCCATCTCACTTGCAGAGACACACATAGGCTCAAAATATAGGGATGGAGGAAGATCTACCAAGCAAATGGAAAACAAAAAAAGGCAGGGGTTGCAATCCTAGTCTCTGATAAAACATACTTTAAACCAACAAAGATCAAAAGAGACAAGGCCATTACATAATGGTAAAGGGATCAATTCAACAAGAAGAGCTAACTATCTTAAATATATATGCACCCAATACAGGAGCACCCAGATTCATAAAGCAAGTCCTTAGAGATCTACAAAGAGATTTAGACTCCCACAAAATAATAATGGGAGACTTTAACACCCCACTGTCAACATTAGACAGATCAATGAGACAAAGTTAACAAGGATATCCAGGAACTGAACTCAACTCTGCACCAAGTGGACCTAATAGACATCTATAGAACTCTCCACCCCAAATCAACAGAATATACATTATTCTCAGCACCACATCGCACTTATTCCAAAATTGACCACATAGTTGGAAGTAAAGCACTCCTCAGCAGATGTAAAAGAACAGAAATTATAACAAACTGCCTCTCAGACCACAGTGCAATCAAACTAGAACTCAGGATTCAGAAACTCACTCAAAACCGCTCAACTACATGGAAACTGAACAACCTGCTCCTGAATGACTACTGGGTACATAATGAAATGAAGGCAGAAATAAAGATGTTCTTTGAAACCAATGAGAACAAAGACACAGCATACCAGAATCTCTGGGACACATTTAAAGCAGTGTGTAGAGGGAAATTTATAGCACTAAATGCCCACAAGAGAAAGCAGGAAAGATCTAAAATTGACACCCTAACATCACAATTAAAAGAACCAGAGAAGCAAGAGCAAACACATTCAAAAGCTAGCAGAAGGCAAGAAATAACTAAGATTAGAGAAGAACTAAAGGAGATAAAAACACAAAAACACCTTCAAAAAATCAATGAATCCAGGAACTGGTTTTTTGAAACGATCAACAAAATTGATAGACCACTAGCAAGACTAATAAAGAGGAAAAGAGAGAAGCATCAAATAGGCGCAATAAAAAATGATAAAAGGGATGTCACCACCGGTCCCACAGAAATACAAATTCCCGTCAGAGAATACCACAAACACCTCTACGCAAGCAAACTAGAAAATCTGGAAGAAATGGATAAATTCCTGGACACATACACCCTCCCAACACTAAACCAGGAAGAAGTTGAATCCCTGAATAGACAAATAACAGGCTCTGAAATTGAGGCAATAATTAATAGCCTACCAAACAAAGAAAGTCCAGGACCAGATGGATTTACAGCCGAATTCTACCATAGGTACAAGGAGGAGCTGGTACCATTCCTTCTGAAACTATTCCAATCAATAGAAAAAGAGGGAATCCTCCCTAACTCATTTTATGAGGCCAGCATCATCCTGATACCAAAGCCTGGCAGAGACACAACAAAAAAAGAGAATTTTAGACCAACATCCCTGATGAACATCGATGCAAAAATCCTCAATAAAATACTGGCAAACCAAATCCAGCAGCACATCAAAAAGCTTATCCACCATGATCAAGTGGGCTTCATCCCTGGGATGCAAGGCTGGTTCAACATATGCAAATCAATAAACGTAATCCAGCATATAAACAGAACCAAAGACAAAAACCACAGGATTATCTCAATAAATGCAGAGAAGACCTTTGACAAAATTCAACAACCCTTCATGCTAAAAACTCTCAATAAATTAGGTATTGATGGGACATATCTCAAAATAATAAGAGATATTTATGACAAACACGCAGCCAGTATCATACCGAATGGGCAAAAACTGGAAGCATTCCCTTTGAAAACCGGCACAATACAGGGATGCCCTCTCTCACCACTCCTATTCAACACAGTGTTGGAAGTTCTGTCCAGGGCAGTCAGGTAGGAGAAAGAAATAAAAGGTATTCAATTAGGAAAAGAGGAAGTCAAATTGTCCCTGTCTGCAGATGACATGATTGTATATTTGGAAAACCCCATCGTCTCAGCCCAAAATCTCCTTAAGCTGATAAGCAACTTCAGCAAAGTCTCAGGATACAAAATCAGTGTGCAAAAATCACAAGCATTCTTATACACCAATAACAGACAAAGAGAGACCCAAATCATGAGTGAACTCCCATTCACAATTGCTTCAAAGAGAATAAAATACCTAGGAATCCAACTTACAAGGGATGTGAAGGACCTCTTCAAGGAGAACTACAAACCACAGCTCAGTGAAGTAAAAGAGGACACAAACAAATGAAAGAACATTCCATGTTCATGGATAGGAAGAATCAATATCGTGAAAATGGCCATACTGCCCAAGGTAATTTACAGATTCAATGCCATCCTCATCAGGCTACCAATGACTTTTTTCACAGAATTGGAAAAAACTACTTTAAAGTTCATATGGAACCAAAAAAGAGCCCACATTGCCAAGACAATCTTAAGCCAAAAGAACAAAGCCGGAGGCATCACACTACCTGACTTCAAACTATACTACAAGGCTACAGTAACCAAAACAGCATGGTACTGGTACTAAAACAGAGATATAGACCAATGGAACAGAACAGAGCCCTCAGAAATAATATCACACATCTACAACCATCTGATCTTTGACAAACCTGACAAAAACAAGAAATGGGGAAAGGATTCCCTATTTAATCAGTGGTGCTGGGAAAACTGGCTAGCCATATGTAGAAAGCTGAAACTGGATCCCTTCCTTACGTCTTACACAAAAATTAATTCAAGATGGATTAAAGACTTAAATGTTAGACCTAAAACCATAAAAACCCTAGAAGAAAACCTAGGCAATACCATTCAGGACATAGGCGTGGGCAAGGACATCATTTCTAAAACACCAAAAGCAATGGCAACAAAAGCCAAAATTGACAAATGGGATCTAATTAAACTAAAGAGCTTCTGCACAGCAAAAGAAACTATCATCAGAGTGAACAGGCAACCTACAGAATGGGAGAAAATGTTTGCAATCTACTAATCTGACAAAGGGCTAATATCCAGAATCTACAAAGAACTCAAACAAATTTACAAGAAAAAAACAACCCCATCAACAAGCGGGCGAAGAATATGAACAGACACTTCTCAAAAGAAGACATTTATGTAGCCAAAAGACACATGAAAAAATGCTCATCATCACTGGCCATCAGAGAAATGTAAATCAAAACCACAATGAGATACCATCTCACCCCAGTTAGAATGGCGATCATTAAAAAGTCAGGAAACAACAGGTGCTGGAGAGGATATGGAGAAATAGGAACACTTTTACACTGTTGGTGGGACTGTAAACTAGTTCAACCATTGTGGAAGTCAGTGTGGCGATTCCTCAAGGATCTAGAAGTAGAAATACCATTTGACCCAGCCATCCCATTACTGCGTATATACCCAAAGGATTACAAAACATGCTGCTATAAAGACACACACACACATCTGTTTATTGCGGCAGTATTCACAATAGCAAAGACTTGGAACCAACCCAAATGTCCAACAATGATAGACTGGATTAAGAAAATGTGGCACATATACACCATGGAATACTATGCAGTCACAAAAAAGGATGAGTTCATGTCCTTTGTAGGGACATGGATGAAGCTAGAAACCATCAGTCTCAGCAAACTATCGCAAGAACAAAAAACCAAACACTGCATGTTCTCACTCATAGGTGGCAATTGAACAATGAGAACACTTGGACATAGGAAGGGGAACATCACACACCACTGCCTGTCATGGGGTTGGGGGAGGGGGGAGGGAAAGCATTAGGAGATATACCTAATGTACATGACGAGTTAATGGGTGCAGCACACCAACATGGCCCATGTATACGTATGTAACAAACCTGCACATGGTGCACGTGTACCCTAGAACTTAAAGTATAATAAATAAAAAAGATGAGCTTGAAGATATACCCACTTCCATAAACTTCTAGTAATTTATAGAGTTGGACATGTGGCAGAACTGTATAATATTTCATGTAGAAAGTGATCTTGGCTCTGGTCCTCACCTCAGTCCTCACCAATCAACACAAAAGATTTTACAATAGCAGATGCTAACACCTACGGCTGGAACAATATCAGAGAAGAGTCATGAGGTTGGAGTTAAATAGGAGAAGTTTCTTCTTCAGAAAGTTGGGATAAATACTGGTTATATTGAACACATTTGTAATGTTCTAGGCAAAAGTCCAACCATGCTATAAAACAAAATAGGCTCCTTGGAAAAAACAAAGTATAAGGAAAAAAAAGGCTTGTTAACCACAACTGACCAGAGTCATAATCAATATACAACAATCACAAATATGTTCCTGAAATGGCTGAAACATAATGACTGTTTGGTTACTATTACAAAGCAACACACATGGGTTTTGCCTTTCTACATCAGAATAGATTGGATTTATTGATCTCATAGAGCAGTTATTTTGGCACTATGTCAGTATAATTTGATTTTAAATTAAAATAAATGTTTTTTTCTTGTAAATTTGTTTGAGTTCATTGTAGATTCTGGATATTAGCCCTTTGTCAGATGCGTAGATTGCAAAAATTTTCTCCCATTCTGTAGGTTGCCTGTTCACTCTGATGGTAGTTTCTTTTGCTGTGCAGAAGCTCTTTAGTTTAATTAGATCCCATTTGTCAATTTTGGCTTTTGTTGCCATTGCTTTTGGTGTTTTAGAAATGATGTCCTTGCCCACGCCTATGTCCTGAATGGTATTGCCTAGGTTTCCTTCTAGGGTTTTTATGGTTTTAGGTCTAACATTTAAGTCTTTAATCCATCTTGAATTAATTTTTTGTGTAAGATGTAAGGAAGGGATCCAGTTTCAGCTTTCTACATATGGCTAGCCAGTTTTCCCAGCACCATTGATTAAATAGGGAATCCTTTGCCCATTTCTTGTTTTTGTCAGGTTTGTCAGAGATTAGATAGTTGTAGCTATGTGGCATTATTTCTGAGGGCTCTGTTCTGTTCCATTGGTCTATATCTCTGTTTTAGTACCAGTACCATGCTGTTTTGGTTACTGCAGCCTTGTAGCATAGTTTGAAGTCAGGTAGCATGATGCCTCCAGGACGAATTTACAAGAAAAAAACAGACAACCCCATCAAAAAGTGGGTGAAGGATATGAACAGACACTTCTCAAAAGAAGACATTTATGCAGCCAACAGACACATGAAAAAATGCTCATTATCACTGGCCATCAGAGAAATGTAAATCAAAACCACAATGAGATACCATCTCACACCAGTTAGAATGGCGGTCGTTAAAAAGTCAGGAAACAACAGGTGCTGGAGAGGATGTGGAGAAATAGGAACATTTTTACACTGTTGGTGGGACTGTAAACTAGTTCAACCATTGTGGAAGTCAGTGTGGCGATTCCTCAAGGATCTAGAAGTAGAAATACCATTTGACCCAGCCATCCCATTACTGCGTATATACCCAAAGGATTACAAAACATGCTGCTATAAAGACACACACACACATCTGTTTATTGCAGCAGCATTCACAATAGCAAAGACTTGGAACCAACCCAAATGTCCAACAATGATAGACTGGATTAAGAAAATGTGGCACATATACACCCTGGAATACTATGCAGCCATAAAAAATGATGAGTTCATGTCCTTTGTAGGGACATGGATGAAGCTGGAAACCATCATTCTCAGCAAACTATCGCAAGGACAAAAAACCAAACACCGCATGTTCTCACTCATAGGTGGGAATTGAACAATGAGAACACATGGACACAGGAAGAGGAACATCACACACTGGGGCCTGTTATGGGGTGGGGGGAGGGGGGAGGGATAGCATTAGGAGATATACCTAATGCTAAATGACGAGTTAATGGGTGCAGCACACCAACATGGCACATGTATACATATGTAACAAACCTGCACGTTGTGCACATGTACACTAAAACTTAAAGTATAATAAAAATAAATAAGTAAATAAAATAAATGTGTATGTGTAGATTTTAATAAGTGTTAAATTTAATAATAAAACAGTAAAATAATAAAAAATTAATATGTATTATTAACCTAAAATGTTTATTCTTATGTAACAATTAACAAGAAGATTGCTAATTTGCCTATTGGGAATAACAACAAAGAAAATCTCTCTGGATTTGTAATAGTTTGTGGAACCAGAGTTGCTGTTCAACAACCAACTCAAACTTTGACAGTTCTGTGTGCATTTTGATTGTTAGGTGATACTCTTTTGCACATGGCTGCATCCCAACCCTGCCAGCTGCCCACTGGTGATTTTGGCACTGGTCCCTGAAGCACCAATCATGGGTGTGGAGCTACTATAGTGCAAATGAGCGAACAACACTACAATAACAAACACCACTGTATGTCCTCTGGACTCCTCGGCAAAAGGCGTGTATTAATAATAATTTAACATTATTAATTCTCTATACCTGTTTGTAAGTTGAGCTTCTGCCTGTGTTTTTATAGGAATAATGAATTTGTCGAGTTTGCAGGATGCCTAAGTTTAACTTAACTGTAATTCTGTCTAGCATCAACACCTAAGAATGTCAGTATTTTCATCTGGAAAGTCATGAAATGACCCTTGTGTATACTCAGGAGGCAATTTGCAAGGTACACCGTACAAATAAACATAATATTGTGCATTTTGTATTCTGAAACTTATTTTTAAAATTAGGACTAAATCCAAATTATCATACATATTGAATACTTGTATTGTTGTTGTTGTTGTTGTTGTTTACATAAATTGAATTACATTTACCAGATTAAGATGCCTCCTGGAACATGTTGCCAAGTAAAGAACCATCATAAAAGTTCAATTTTGTTCTTCCATTAGGAGTTTCAGAAAGCTAGTTACATAAGTATATGGATTTTCCTGGTAATAAACAATAATTTAGTTACACTGCTTTATTTTGGATCACCCGTATTTTGATGACAGCACATATCCATCTTCTTGCATTATCTTGATGAAAATTCTGTACTTTACGTTTTTTATGTTTGTCAAAAATTTTAGAAAGTTACTTGCTTCCTGAACTATATTATTATAACTGGATATCTAGGAAGTGTTGATTTTAATTCATCCCATGGAGTGTTGTTTGAAAATTCATTACGTTTTTTAAAAATCTGCTTGTGGTCAAAGGCATTAATGCCTTTATGTTTTTGAGATTGGAGCAGAGTATTTTCAGCAGATACACTAGCCCTTATTTATTTTATTTTATCCCTAGTGAGTATTTCTATTATGAGAAATTCAGATGTCTTGAATAGTCATTAGTTCATCATCTTTTTTGCCATAGTATGTACATATATTGGATCTCAGTAATTTCCACTGAGATTAAAATTCACCTCCTTCAGATTTTTGCATCTGGGTGGTAGAAATCTTAGAAACACTTTATAAACCCAAAGAAGCACAAATACACAAAAGAAAATACCTTTGCTTGGGGAGAGTCAGCTAATACAGATGCAGTATAGCTTACAATACTAGAAGTTCAGGTAACATTTTGAAAGCACGTGAGGCCACTGTTCTTGCAACCTCTTTTTAAAATTTCGGCTCATCTGGTGGCGGGCGCCTGTAGTCCCAGCTACTCGGGAGGCTGAGGCAGATGAATGGCGTGAACCCTGGAGGTGGAGCTTGCAGTGAGCCGAGATCGCGCCACTGTACTCCAGCCTGGGTGACAGAGCGAGACTCCGTCTCAAAATAAAATAAAGTAAAATAAAATTTCAGCTCATCATCCTAGGTCAAAGTATGATTGCCTCTGATTAATCCAATACTGCTGCCAAACATTCATAAATAGTACCACATGGAAGAGTTGATAATACTGTATGTTAAATCCAAATTATAATATACTATGACCAAAATCCATTTAATGGCGTTTTATCTTTGTGGCTTCTAATTTAGACACATTTTAAAAACAGATGTGACTTTTTTCTATAAAAATAAAATCAAATAAATTATTCGTGAATAAAACAGTGTATAGGCTGGGTGCAGTGGCTCATGCCTATAATCTCAGCACTTTGGGAGGCTGAGGCAGGAAAATTACTTGAGGCCAGGAGTTCAAGACCAGCCTGGGCAACACAGCAAAACCTTGCCTCCACAAAAAATAAAAAGTTTTTTAAAAAAGTTAGCCAGGCAAAGTGACATGTGCCTGTAGTCCTAGCTACTGTTGAGGCTAAGGTGGGAGGATCACTTCAACCTGGAGGTGGTGACTGCAGTGAACCATGCACTGCACTCAGCCTGGGTGACAGAGCAAGACCCTGTCTTAAAAAAATAAAAGAATAAAAAGAAAAATAAAATAGCATGTTAATTGTCGTATACTTCCCACCTACTATTCTCAAGAATGACTATGCTAATATGTCTCTGAATCCAACATGTAGAATTACCGTCCTACTTAATTTATGAAACATCTGTGATATTCCAGGCAGGTATTGTGTTAAAGAAAGTAAATGTGATTGAAATATAGTCTCTTCCATTGAGAAACAGTTTATTAAGTAATGGTGGTAGAATAATACATGTAAACTTACCCCCAAACTGATTTCATTAGCAGTAAGCTATTTATGGACAGTGAGTGGCCAGGATTTCTATTTAAAAGAAGTTCGAGTGCAGTAAGATAGATAGAATTGGAGCTAGAGTATTTGCACAGCAATTTATATAGCACACACAGTGTTTTAACTTACATTGCATATTTATTTGGAATGGCCCCTATGTGTGTAATGGAGAATTGGGTTTTTCATGGAAGATGAATGGTTAAATATTCCATTTTCAAGCCAATCCTTATAACTATTGCTCTTTATGGAAACATGTGCCAGAAATCCTACTGAACCCTGTGTGTATAATATTTCTAAATATTAAAAACCCAGTGAAAGAATAACATGAGACACTGAAATGTAAATCAACTGGCTCAAGGTTACATAGCTTGTGGGTGGTGAACTGATTTATAATTTCAACTACGTACAATCTTACTGCAAATTTATTGTTATGCTTATTTGTTATTATTATAAGCTTATTATGTGTTTGTTCTTTCATGTCTTCATTTCTTCCCACCTGTTTACAATAGGCACATATTTTCATTATGTATTGCCAACTTATGAAGACTTTTCGAGAAGTGACCAAGGTTCATTGAGGCTTTGGTTGTATCATACAGGTGAAAGTCTGAGGCAGACATCCTGTTCCAGTGTCCTTATCCTTACTGGGGTCTCACACCTCTCCCACTATCCATAGGTGAGATCTAAAGGGAGTGGTTTTAATTTTATTGATAAATATTTTATAGCATATTTCTGAAACTAATTTTTTTACATTTAGAAGAAATGCCTTCAGAACTTCTATTTCTAACAGCTATGCCTTTAATATAATGGCATACAGGCTGTATGTAGACAAGATGTAAAGTTCACATAAAATACAAGATTGGTTATGCTACCATTTGTGTAGCACATTATGTTCCATGCTAAACACTTAATCCCATTTACTTATTTAATTCTTACAGCAACATTGAGAGGACTGTACTATTATCATGATTCTACAGATGCATAAACAGAAGTCATGAGTGAATAAGTAACTTGCCTAGGATTGCACCACAAGTGGTATAGTTGGGATTTGGACCCAGGCATTATGGCAAATTTTTTATTTATTAGTAGAATACTATATGAAGTAATAATTCTCTAGTGACATTTCTATTTATTTCCTCTTGGATCCAAGAGAGCTGGTATGTAAAAAGATTAAATTTGATGTTTCTATAGGCCGGAAAGTGGCCACTTATTTTCCTACCTTCTACTATTTTTCCAATAATTAATCCAATAATAATGGACAAGAATTCTAAAATTCTTATCTAGGGTGCAAGTTAAATTTGATTTTTTTTGTTTTTAAAAATAGCTTAATAAGGGAATACTCTAAATAATGAAGAGAGACAGAAAATGATGAAAGGAGATGAGTCGAAGCTACTGTAGAAACAATAGGATTCATAATATAGAAACAATTCAGCTGTGTTGATTTTTTTCATGGTGTATGAAATTTGCATTCATGAAAACTAAGGTTGCTTTTCAGGCTCTTAGAAGAGCTCTGTAAAATGTTGTCTTAAGACTTGTGACTCCAGACTTCCTGGTAGGCCAATATTATTATATAACAAGGGATTGTCAGAAATGGACCTGACCATAAGTGACACTGAGGGCAAAACCTGAAACACAGGCAGTATCAACTTTCCTGGCACTTTGTTCTGATCCGTATTTAAGTCCTTGTGTCTATTTGTTCAACCAGGAAATTCTCGTATGTATCCTCAGCTGTTTTATAGAACCAGAATGTATACATCCAAAGATTAAAATTTCATCTCATTTATTTACATATTACTGACATAAGGGAGGAATAAGAAAGAGTTGAATAATGGAGTAAGACGCAAGAAGAGAAGTCAGGCATGAGACTGGAACAAAAAGGTTTGAAGTAACGACCTCACAAATGAGTGAAGCACTTCTACATGAAGGATGGATTACCAACCTTTGCAGGAATCATACATTTTCCTCAACATTTATTTTGTTTGAATCACAAAGTATCTAGTATTTTTAAATTTTATGCCTCCAGGTAACAGATGCATTGTCTAGATTGGCACTGACACACAACTTTTTATTTTTTCATAAGAAAGCCATTGCCCATATACATACACTTGTGTGTGTGACCCATGAAGGTTTTAGAACTTTTAAATCCAATTCCAGAATTTAGTAAAAAACCTAGCTTGCAAATTCCCTGACAGTCTTAAAAAATATATGGCCATTAAAGTGCTTTTAATAGCATGCAGGATGAAAAACACTAATGAAAACATTCCACCATGCAGCAGATTTTACATGGTCGGTCTATAATGTGTGGTCTGTTTTACAAACATGTCTCCAATCTTAAACCCACAGAAGAAAACAATATAACTCTTATACAGAAAGTGGTTTGAAACCTACTTGATAGGTTTTTAAGTCACTGCAGACTCTGATAAAATATGATTATACCTCCAGAGTAACTTTCTAAGATATTAATGTGACAAAAATAGCAAAAATTAGTAATAATGATAAGACTACACAATACTAAAGATGACTTTTATCCATCGGGGTCTAGAAAGAAACAGATAGCATTTCCAAATTGGATAATTTGGGGAGAGTTAATAGTCAATTTGCAATGAGTATGAGCAGAATATATTGAAAATATAAGAGATAGTTGTATACCCCATGGGTGGAAACAGCAGTGGGTGGTTGTCACCCATAGTCTTGAAAAAGCAGGGAGAAGTAGCATTTTCCAGAACCCAGAGAAAGAGAGGCATTTTTGCAGAAAGCTACCTGACAAATACTGAGACCTCCAATTGTGGGGCAAAGTCAGTTTGTGGTGATCCTTCAAGGAAGGGATAATTACTCTAAACTCACCCTCTTCCATTCCTGTAATCTACCAGGACTCTGCATTAATTCTCATTGGTGTAATGAAACTGAAAGCCAGGAGCAAAGGAGCCTTGGTGAGATCCAACCGGGTGTGCCTCCTGGGCACAGATCAGGGTGGGGAACAGTGGGACATGGATCTACACGGACTGGTGGAAGATACACCTAGCACACCTGTGAAAATAACATTTGAAACGCAAATGAACATGATACTTTAATTATAACTGAAACTGGGATTTCCAACAGAAAAAAATAAAGATCTTAAAACTCAGTGGAATGTTAAGCACTTATAGGAAGGAACAGTCAATTAATTAATAAGCAATGGGTCTTTCCATTTTGTTTTGGAAAATTAAATTTACAGAATGAAACCACTGGCAGATTTTCCTTTGGGTGAACTTAAGTAAGAAGACTACTGTGAGAGAAGGATTTTGTAAATGACGTGTAATTTACAAAAAATTACACGTCATTTACAAAACTTCTGTTTGTCTTATTAAGAAGTTTGCCACACCTCTGGTCATCTAAGAAACAACCAGAGGTGTGGCAAGTTTTTTGTTCTCATGTGAACATAGTCATATAAAACAGAATTTCGGGAAAAAATAAACCTGCCCATATACCATCCTTTATAAAGGTTCAACAAGTGTTACACTAAAAGCTTATGCCAACCTGACTTTATATATTGCTTTAAAAAAAGTAATCACCTTTTCATACAAGCAATTGAAGTAAAATCATCACCTTCTGCATTTTAGCAATCATTGAATGCCCTTATTTTCCATCCTTTCATTACTATAAAGATGTGTGAATTCAGTCCTCAAGGCTTTTTCCATGGTGCTTTGACAATTTAGCCAATGATCATTTTACTATATTATTTTTCTTTTCACCCAAATTAGAATCCGTTTGAAACATTTTCAGTACAAGAGTGTGTAAACTTAAAAAAAAAGTCTTTGGTTCTCCTCCTAGGAATTACAATTACTAACTTGTTCAGAATGGCAACTCATTTATCAGTAGAGAGTCTTTTATAAGTGTGTAGAGCAAGGACATGCTTTTGAATAATATTTTTTAGGGAGAAAAGGGAGCTCTTCTTTAGATATTTTTGATATTATTTCCTAGCCAATACAATTGTTTGGACTGCCCAATTATAAATACAACTCATATTCATGGTCGTGATTAATAAATGTGTAAGTACATAATATATTATGTTGGTGCAAAAGTAATTGCGGTTTTGTCATTGAATGTAATGGCAAAAACAGAAATTATTTCACACCAACTTAATATCTGTACCAAAATTCAGATGGCTTGTTGTGATAGCTGTCTTCTTTTTATAGGATAGTCTTTGAATGGTCACCACTTTTCAAAGTATTGGCCTTGTACTTAGGGAAAAGTCCTAAGGGGTGTATAGAAGTACCTTTAAAATAGCCTTCTGGTCACAATTGCTAGACTTTTCATAGTGATCCTGAAGTTAGATAAAGAGATTAGCAAGTTTACCCATTAAATTTGACATTTAGGGAATGATATGTTCATTTTTAAGAAAATTTGGAGTGTTTGTAGAAAATTCTACGTAGTGCAAAATTTAATAATAAATGTGGCAACTTACAAGCAATTGTCCTTATTATCTTTCTAGCACATCTAAATTTAATAATCCTAGTTTATATTTATACAGTGCTTTACAATTTGAAATATACTTGTCCAAAGTTTGCCATGTTTGCTTCAACAGAAATTCTATGAGGTAAACATGCAAGGGTCTTTATACGCATTTTGCAAGTTCAGCAATTTAGAGGTAGAGAAGGCCTGTGATTTTCTTACCATCACATGGTTAGTTATGAAGCTGCAATTCTAATGCAAGTGTTGTAACTACAAATCTTGTGATTTTTCCACCAATCCCACTTGACTGAATAAATAATTTAGTGCCTGTATATTCCAGGTCCTGTATCATCTTGGAGAATATGAACATTAACTGTTTCTTGCAGCTCTTTTTGATTACATACACATACATACAACACACATAGATATACCTTTATGATATACACTCTGTTGAGTAAGGCCAATTTTGCCATTTTTGTTTTTCAGAGTTTCTTAATTAGATGTTCTATTGTTTAAAAGATTATAAAAAACAAGTAAACTTTTAAAATTTAATTTCTTTTTATTTTTTAAAATTAGAGATGAGGTCTCACTGTGTTGCCCAGGCTGGTCTTGAACTCCTGGGCTCAAGCTATCTTCCCATCTTGGCCTCCCAAAGTGCTGGGATTACAGGTATGAGCCTGCTTGCCTGGCCTAAAACAACTGAAACTTTATACACAAAGTTGTTTAAAGAAAAAGCTAGACTACTCCCATGGGCCTGCCTGCTTCCCTCAATCCCGCCATGCTAAGGACTAAAGGTAACCATTGTGCATAGATTGCAGTGTTAATAGCCAAGATTGGATTAACATATTTCTGCTCAGTCAAACATACATCTGTAAATATGTAGACATATATAGGAGTTCTGTTTGTTTTTAAAGAAATGGAATTACTCTCTATACATAATCTATTTCATTATTTTTAAAGAAATGGAATTGTCCTCTACACATTTTTCTATAACTTTATTACCTTAACAATATATCATGAACATTACCATTTACCAGTAGAGAAAGATATAACCTCATATTTGCATTATAATTTCTGTATGCACATCATACCCATATATAATTTTACAAAAACAGAGCTCTAACATTCTCTTTTGCTTTTTAAGATTCCTTGCCCTCCATCTCCTCTCTTTTCTTCATTCCCCTCCTGCTGGCCTCTCTTCCTTCCTCCCACTGCTCTACCCAATAATTCATGTTAATATAGTTTTTGCATAACTTTCCATGACTTTTTCCATGCTCATATAGTCATAGACTACTGCATGTCTATACACAAACATGTGCATGCATATATACTTACAGAGGTTCTAACCTGGTATGTTTTTAAAAGAATCATATTTTATCACTTCTTATTTTACTTTTCACTCTCGAAGTTACCTTATGGAAATCTCTCAAATGCCAGAGATCCAATTCATTTTTTATGACTGCATGATATTTTCAAGGTTTGGCTCTACTATAAATTACTTAACAATTCTTTATTGATGAACATTGTTTATTCTGTTAGTCAAGAGGGAGAAATGATGCCTTTTGTTTTAACACAGATAATTTAGTATAAAGATATATTCCCTGGCTGTAAAAGATCATTAACTAGGTAACTGAAAGGAAAAAAATAAGGACACAAAGATGTTACAAAGGCAGGAATTGTAGGAAGCAGCCATCCTCCCGAGGTCTGAGTGAACAGGGGAAGGAAATTAAAATTATTAAAAGCTTGGAGGAGGGCCCCATAGAACTGGAACTCAAACTTCTTAGAATTCTAAGAATCCACCAGCTGGTCTTCAAAAGAGTACAATGAGCCTGTTTCTGAGGGTGTTAGAAACCTTGTATCTAGATGCCAGCTGCTGCTACAGGGGGGGATTGCAACTAACTCCCAGGGTGAAGAAGCATTTCTAGGATGATGCAAACACAAGAAGCCTATAGAAATCAAATAGATGGAGCAAATCCTGTTTTCCTTTTCTAGCCTTCTAGTTTCCCTGTGGCCCCCCTCTGTGCCCACTCCCCAGTAAGCAGAGCTTAGTAGGGAGTCAGATGGCACAACAGAAAAGTAGTTTGTAGAGTTCCAGCCCAGAACAGAAGCTAGAAGAGTGGGTTTAAAGCTTTGAGACATTAACTTAACAACTGTCCCATCTTTATTGCTGGGATTCTTTTTTTTTTTTTTTTTTTTTTAGTTCAAAACAGAGTTGTATATTAAGTGTCCTCATTCACATATTTTTATATACTAGTGCTTGTATTTCTCTGGGAGAGATTCCCAAGGGTGAAATTACTGCATGAAGTGATATTTTTAATTTCAATATATGTTGCCAGATGTTTTTTCAATGATATTGCAGAAGAAAATCACATTTCTACTAGCATTTTTGAGAGTATTCATTCTTCCTATTGCCATCAGCAACAGAAGCTATCACTCTTAAATTTTTTCAGCATGATGAGTAAAAAGTGATGTCTTGTTGCTACTTTAATTTACATTTTTCTGACTGCTCGTGATTTTGAGCATCTTGCCATATATTTATTGACAATATGTAATTCCTTTTTTTGTGAATTTCTGTTTCTATCTCTTGCTCATTTGTTTTCTATTTGATTCCTTACTGTTGCCTCTCTTGTGAATAGACAAAAGCAGTTTGCATATTCTAGAAATTAAACTTTATCAGTCTTTTGTGTTTCATTGTTTACTAACACAATTGTTTACTCACTTTAACTTTTTGTATTTTTCTAGACAGAGGATAATCAAATATACCAATGACATATAGTTTCTGGTTCGTGTCTTAGCTATGTAAATCTTTCCCACCCCAAGACTGAATTCATAATTTAGACTTATTTCAAAGATTTTTTAATCTTTAACATTTAAGACATTGTTCCATCAGGACTCCATGATTATATATGCTAAGTGATAGAAGTCTGGCTTTTTCTTCCACAGAGGTAGCCAGTTGTCCAGCAACATTTATTGTATCAACTATCCTCAATACTGACTGGAAATAATTTTTATATGTGAGATTCTTACATCTATTTCTGGATTTTCTATTCTTGATTACACTGATCTTTCAGTTAATTTCTATGCCAATACCATATTGACTTAATGATAGTGAGTTTTAATATGTACAATGCCTAGCATAAAAAGCTCTCCTTTTTTTCATTATTTTCTTGGTTATTCTCAGGTATTTGTTTTTATTTATAAGTTCTTTAAGAACATTGTTTTTTAAGATCATTTTATCTACCTCCTTTCTTCTCCAGAAAACAAGAAATAAATTCTATTGAAGATTTAATTGGAACTGCATTCTACTCATATGTCAATTTGTAGAGGGTTTATATATTAGAAAATTATCTTCCCATCAAAGTATGGTACTTTATTTGTTCAGATCACAATTTATACTCCTCAGTAATATTTTATAGAATATATTTTCAAATAAAATTTCATGTCCTTGTTAAGTTTATTCCTAAGTATTTTATGGTTTTTGTTTCTGTTATTGCATTTCTGGATATTTATTGCTAAAAGAAAGCTATTGATTTTATAGTGTTTCCATTAGGATAGACACAATATTAAATAAATCAAAAATGTAATGGCTCACAAGAAATACACTTTTTTTCTCTCTGATGAGAGTTTAGAGTATGTACTCCAAGTTGGCAGAAGGCTTTTCATTATGTGGTCACTCAAAGACCCACAAGAATTCAGCTCTACCATCTTTGATTTGTGGCCTTCTGTCTTGCCCTGATAGTTTCCATCCCAGCATAGAGCAGTAGGAAAAAAGCATGTAAGAAATTATATGGGAGATTCATGTGACAGTCAGGAAACTGACAATTGTTAGTTCTGGTCACATCTCACTGGAGGAAATTTGACCTTAGGCAACCTATAACCAAAGGAAGGCTGGGAGATATAATGCCACTGTGAAGGTGTATATTCAGTTATTATTCCCTTAATGCACAAGCAAGAGATAATGGATTTTAGGAAACCTAGTAGACTCTGCCATTATCTAATTGTCATGTATCTAAGTACTGTAATAAAGTCTAATTAGCTGCAGTGGTTTTGTTTCTTAACCAGAGACACTTGGGATTTCTAAGATGTTATGTCATTAATAAGAAAGGAGTGTTGTATTGCTTCTTTTTCAACACCTTTTCTACCAAATACTCCATTTCCTTGTTATATTTGCTAAAAACTCTAAAACAAGTTGAATAATTATAGCAAGCACCCCTAATAGAGGTTCTATAATTTTTGTAGTTTCTGTATTTTAACAATTAGCATTATATTTTGTAGTGTTTTTTAGAATATTGTCTTTATTACTATAAGGGGTTTCCTTCAATTCTTGTTTTACTTAGAGCTTATGTTAGAATAAGACTGCCAAAGTTTGTCAAATATCTTTCCAGAATTTAGTTATAAAATCATAATGTTTGTCTCTTTCAATGTATTAATCTAACGGATTATGTTGACAGGTGTCCTGAGTTTTTAAAACCTGAAATAAGTAAATTCTATTTATTCTATTCTTTGGGAATTTTAGTGATACACTGCTCATGTATCAAAGACATATGCTATTATCAAAATATACACTAATTTTTAACATTTTCTGCATCTGTAGTTCCAAATGAGAGCAAGGCACAATTTTCTTTTTTCCTTTTTTTTTCCTACTGGTTTTTTTTGGTGGGGTAGGGAGTACTATCTTAACACATCTGAAGTTTCATTTACGCCATGTTAATAATATGGATTAGGGATATTTATGTTTCTATGACAATAATAGTATACGTAATATTGGAATTATGTGTTCTTTAAAGTAAAATACAGCTCGGTTGTAAAATCAGCATGCCCTTATCCATTTTAGGAGCATATAGACTTTTATTTACTTTTTGAATATTTCCTTGATTAACTATCTTATGTTTTTCTCTTTTTCTTGAACAAATTCTGGGAATTTTTGCTTTACTTAAATATAATGTGTTTCCTCTAGGTTTTCATATTTGTTGCAATAATGTTACATGTAGCATTCTTTTTATATAGTTTTTTGTGTCTATGATTATGTATCATTTCTGATATCATTTTTTTTGTTCTCTCTTTCCCTTAATAAGTCTTATGGGAAGTTCATCTATTTTGCAATTATTTCAAAGACTTCCTTTAAGAAAATCTTTTTATCCTTTCTCTAACTTAAATCAATTTAATTAGTTTTAGCTTTTATGTTTCTTTTATTACGTTCTTGTGTTCTTTAATAATGAAAACATTTACAGTTATAAACTGTTATCTGGATACAGCTTTTGCTATATGCTATAGGTTTTAATATTATATATTCTATAGCTTCTGGCTCTATTTCAGAGTTTTCATTCCTTTGGACCAAGTATTATATAAAAGTATCTTAGTTAATTGTCAGGCGATTAAGACTTACGAGTCACTTTTCAAAATTGGATTTCTAATTGTATTGGCTCAATATTGAAAAAAAAAGACCCTGTAAAGTCTCTACTTGGACATATTTGTTAAGCTATTATTTAAGGTCAAATAATTTTTAAATGTTTCATAGACATTAAATGTTTATAACTTAATAGGTATGAGATTTTTTATATATCTTTTAATCAAATTTTATTGCAGTATTCAATTTCCCTATGTCCTTGCTTATTTTTTATTTACAAACCACATTGTTTAAGACTTTTCTTCTATTCCAAGTTATAATTACCCTAGCAAAAACTGCTCTATTGTCTACTTAAAATTTTTCAGATGACCCTCCAAATTACCTTAGTTTCTCCTTTCAAATACTTGGGATTTTTAACCTGAAAAAAGGGGGGAAATAAAATTGCAGAATATCAGATTAGTGGTCTCTGTAAGAATGTCTTAGTGTGTTTTTTTTTGCAGAAATATTTATTTTTTTTTCATATTACATTAAAAAAAAACTTTTTTAAGCTTTATTATGTCCCTCAGTCAATGACATAGTATACAGAAAGTTTATACCTAGATTCACACATGTCCAGTCATGTTGTGTATTGTTAGGACAGACCACTTCGTTTTAAAGGAACTGTGTCACTTTCCTTAGACTCTAACATTAAAAATTCGTTAAAACAAAACTTGGTAATGATTTTCTCATTTGGTAATCATTTTTCCTTGCTAGTAAAAAGAATCCAACCATGTTTAGTAGGATCAACTTTGAAAAACGATAATAGTCACAAAACAGAACTATTAATATCAGACACATTCATAGCAAACCAAAAATTAGAAACTTCTTGAAAATATTTTCAATAAAACTTAGGAAACTGGAAGTCTCTCTCCCTGTCTGTATACTATGAATGACATGCTGAAATCCAACATTACTGCTTAATGATCCTCTCCATTCCACGCAGACTTGTTAGGAACTCTTGTTGCTTCCAACTTTTATTGACCTACAAGGTCACTATAATTTGGGTGCCAGTAAGTTATGTTAGATTCTGAGATTCTGAGACAGCTTATTTTTAATCTAAGGTAAAGTAGTTAAACTGATTGTAATGAGGTATGACAACCATATTGACTAATCTTCAAAGAAGAGTATGACATTGCAATAGTAATGGGACAAGCCACCCAATTAATTAGTAGCAAATTGGACAGATTGCTTTGGACGTTTTCCAAGAGAGGAAATGTTTCTGGTGCTTTGCTTCAAAAGCAAGGCAAACCAATTTTCTTAATCCCCCTGGGCAGAGAATGATTTAATTTTTAATTTTTAAATTTTATGTGCCAGAATCAAAGGCAGAATTGCAAGATATAGAAAATAAGATGTTTATGTAAAAAAAAAAATTGTATAGTGACCTATGATGATCACCATGATTTTTAAAGAAAGCTCTTTCAGTGTTTCTTATACCTGTGAATTATAATGGAAATATCATAACTTCACAATTTATAAAATGTTTTCATTTATAACTCATTTGTTCCTTACACAGATTTCCAAGATATTATCTCCCCAATTTTACAATGAGGAAATTGAAGTCCAGGAATGTCAAACAATGTACTCCTGCCAGAATTAGCACATCACTAGAGTTCTCATTGCAAGGCAGTCTCTCAGTTTACATCACTGCCAGCACAGCATAGCGTACACCACTGTCCTACCACGTGTTAACTTTTCTGATGCACTTTCCTCTTCCATGTACTGGTGTAGAAACAATAGAGAACGTAGCCGTGGCAAAAAGGTTAACCTTTGCCTAAGTTTGTTTATTTCAATGCCTGACCTTATATTGGGAGAAAATAAAGCCAATCCATTTCAAGTTAAAAGATCCTTTGAAGTATTAAATAATCAATCAGATGCTTTTCCCCCATTAGATTGGCAGATGCTGGTAGAGAGTGTGGAAATAATATTCTTATTATAACTGTGTGGTGAACTCACACATTGTAAAGTGAATCTGGCCTTTCTTGTTTTATCTCAAAACACCATAAAGTCCCATTCAGTGTGAAAAATTAAGTAATCCTATGCAAAATTAAATTTCTTATTTTGCGTGATTCCTGTGGCAGCACCTTTCAATTCTAGTTCTTAATCATGTTCTCAAATGTCATGTAAATATAGAAAACATAACAAAATAACCACTGCTACCAGTCTCTCCCAAAGCCTATTATATTATGTGACTCTGTCCTACACAATAATGTGTCAAAATCCTAAATTTCACTGAGAAGGAAAGATGGATTGATTTTGTTTTCTAGTCTCTAGAAGAGGAGTTGAGACGTCAGTAGAAAAGTGCCTCCCTCCATCACCAGTGGAGCTAATCAGGGAAAAATGTCTGTGGTAGCATATACATTAATCTCCAGCTGGAGCA
The DNA here is from genome assembly GCF_000001405.40 of Homo sapiens. NCBI lineage: Eukaryota > Metazoa > Chordata > Mammalia > Primates > Hominidae > Homo > Homo sapiens. The sequence goes on along the minus strand of NC_000004.12, from coordinate 163,702,221 downwards.
TGGGGCTGTTATGAGCTGTAACTAACCGTATCGTTGTGACTCATCTCGGTCTGTAATAACATGCTCCACAGTGACATCAGTGGTTGTATGAGATGGATGTTGCATGTAAAGGAAAAAGTACTGTTCAGCTGGAATATCTGTAAGCCTGCACATGACACAGTGACAGTTTGCAGTGAATGCAGCCACTGTTTTTCTGCAATAACACATCTGCCATATCCTGTCATCACTGTGTCTCTAAAACTGTCTCAAGTAGTCATCATGGGCAATTTCAGCCCCACGGGTTGTTATAACAACTTAGTTCTCAAAAATGACCTATGTCAAGATGCATTGCAGTTGCCTACTCAGGCCCACTTTGGGGCTGAGTCCAGAAGTTAAAAAAAAAACAAAAGGAATTCTTACATTGGTAAATTATTTCAATGACAATGTTATGTCAGATCCTTTATAAACTTTTAGTATTCAGAATTGATTGTTCCAACAACATTTTCTCTACAGAAGTAGAGGTGTCCTTTGATCTTTGATCTCTTTCTACATGTAGAATGCATAATGCTTATAAACTCTGATTTTTCCAGTTGATCATCTATCAGCACATAATTGGCAGAGTAGAAAAAGTAGCTATATAATTTTCAGGAACACAATGTCTCTGGGCTTCAAACGGGAGGGCCCAACTACTTAAGGTCCATTTCTACTTTAAAATTATATGACCTTTTAAAAAACATTTATTCAAAAGCTTTTTTCATGCCTCTTTTCTGCTAAATAAAAAAATTCTTTAAGAGGAAAGAACTGAGGATATAAATATTTATAAAAGTTTTAAGTTTTAATTGAAACATATACAGTCAGAAGCATCTTAAATTTTAAAAAGTAAATGTTTTAATTTCAGAGTATGTAAAATAACAAAAAATAAATAAAATGCAGTTTAGAAGAATACGAGGTGGATGTATATAGCATATACCCAGCACAGAATATTTAATGATATTGAAAACCAGAATTGACTCAAACTTTCCTAGTTGCAAGGGCAAGAGGGGAAATGGTAGACTACAGTTTTACTGTCTAATTTTAGTGCCGAAGAATTTCAAAAATTTTTCTGGAGAAATAATTATTTCCTGGAAACAAATACTTGTAACCTGATTAATACTCAGATATTAATTGAAGCATTTTTAAAGTACACTAATATATATTAGAGAAATATGATTTCATAAAAGAAAAAAGCATTCTGTGTAAGCAATTAATATGTGTATTAGTCAAAACAATATAGAGAGCATTCACAGATTTCCTTGTGCTGTGGTTTCTCTTCTCAGTGGTACAGTATGGTGAAAGTACCATACCTTCTTTTAATTAATGTTTCCCATTTTATTTTTCAGAATGAAAAATCCCCAGGGCGATCTGCAAGTCGATCAAGTAACATTTCAAAAGTAGGTGAAGTACTCATTTTCTTGTTTGTTGACTTCTGCACTTCATGAGTTCACATAAATGTTTATAATGTTTAACCTATAATTGTTATCTGTGAGCAGAACACAAATGTGATTTGTTCATGGTTTTAACTCTTTTAAGCTTTTACTGTAATAAGAAGACATGATTTTACGCAAGAAAATAAGTAGGCTATTTTTTCTTTTTCCATGCTGTGTGCAAGAGATAATTTCCTTCCTTCCTTCCTTCCTTCCTTCCTTCCTTCCTTCCTTCCTTCCTTCCTTCCTTCTTTCTTTCTTTCTATCTATCTTTTTAGACAGAGTCTTACTCTGTCGCCCCAGCTGGTATGCAGTGGTGAGATCTTGGCTCACTGCAACCTCCGCCTTCTGGGTTCAAGCGATTCTCCTGCCTCAGCCTCCTGAGTAGCTGGGATTACCGGTGCCCACCACCATGCCCAGCTAATTTTTGTATTTTTAGTAGAGATGGGGTTTCGCCATGTTGACCAGGCTAGTCTAGAACTCCTGAGCTCATGATCCACCCTCCTCAGCCTCCCAAAGTATTGGGATTACAGGAGTGAGCCACCATGTCTGGCCAATTTGCTACTGTCATAGTATTATGTAAAGTATGTTTTTTCTCTCATTTCAAACACCATAGATCTGCCACATATCCAAGTTGAAACTATATCAACATTCATGGTATAATTCTTATGAATTTAATTTTTCTGGACTTTGGGCTGAACTCTGGGGGAATTTAACTATTTTTGTCACCAAGGCAAGTTTTAGAAATCAATTTGATAAAAACATCAGTTTGGCCATATTTAGAGGTTGTAGAGTCAGTGGATTAAAAAAAAAAAACAAAATATTCCCTAGACTGTATATAAATCTAAGTAGGACCCCAGAGTGTTGAAAAGATTATCGTTTGAGAGACATACTCTAGATTTTATGTTGCCTGAAAAAACAAAATGTAAGAGCTATTCTTTAAAATGAGTCGCCATGTGATATATACACCTGGTGCTTGGGAAGTGAAAAGTAATTTAGAGTCATTTGTCAAAATGGAAAACAATGACTTTCAAAAATATAATTAGAAGCAAGATGGATTTGTCACCATTAGAGATTCCATTTCAAGGCTTCTCAATTGCCAGGACCCCTCCACATTCCTGAAATTAACTTTATATTAGTAATTTTATATTACTTTCTTTGAAGAGGATCCCCAAAATAGTCATAATCTTCAGACATTAAAGAAAGTAGATCAACTTCCAATTTAGAGACGTTTTTGTTTTCTTCTCTTCTGTTTTCAGAATCAAAAGGCTTTATAACTCATTAAGAAAAAAATTGTGACCACAGTATCAACATTATCTTATGCTGGTTTCCAAAGCCCAGTTTTTTCAGGACAATGCCAATGGTCAGATAACATCTGCACACACACTGGGATGTTTATAGGAGCAGACCCTAATATTTTAATAAGAGTAAGCATGCCTGCCATTCCTCCATAGGGAGACCATATCTCTGTCTTGCAACACCATCCACTATACTAACATTCTTTAAGATAGTCTAGTATCAGTCAATGTGTGTGCTTGCAAGACATGCAGAGATGTGACAGACACATAGAGAATTGTACCTCAGTGCTTGGTAGTGAACATTTCTAATTACATTCAAATCTATGTCCCTTCAGAGATATTTGAGAGGCAATGTGCCCTACTGGTTAAGAGCACTAACTCTGGAGAGTAAGGATCTGAGTGTAAGTCACCGCTGTGTCGCTTCCGACTTACATGACCCTGAGATGTTCACTTTACCTTCCCGAGACACAGTTGCCTCTTTTATGACATAAGGATGATGATAATATCAGTCACCTGAAGGAGGTTTTCTGAAGTGGTTATAAATTAAAACAATGCCTTTCAAGTATCTATCACCCTAGTTTCACAATGAAGAGATTTGCCTAAACCAAAGAACTCTGTCATCTGTCTCAACTTGAATACTAATGTTGAATAAGTAATGACCAAAAAACTTGTAAACAGTACTGACAACGCCTTTGTCACACCAAATACTGTTTCATGATCTAGGGGTGAAATTATATCTGCATTTCTAAACTGCTCTTTGAGTTTTACTTAATCCAGCCCGTTTATCATGTTTTAGTATTTAATGCTTTAAGAAATCAAAAAAATCCACAGTCTAGTTTCCCTTCTATGAGTTCTTCTTCAGGGTCTGGTATGTATTAATTGTACTTCTGTGTGGGAGACAATTAATTATAAAACTGCATCCTATTTGGAGAGAAATAAAAAAACTCTATTCTTAAACATAACTTAAATTGTACCACAAACACTCAACCATCAACCAGTGATAGGAATAAACAGATTTCAGTGCACATGAGTTTACCTATTTAAACCAACTTAACTTTCCTTTTATGTTCAGAATGAGTCACAATGCTAAATATGTTGTTGAGTCCTCACTACTTTTTCTTAAATTGATAAGTGGAAAACTATTCATTGACTACATAATTTTTCAATCATGAAGTGGCCAAATCTAGAAATACTTAAGTTGTTTAATTTGTAAAGCATTGGAGAGGAAAAATTTAACATTGGAACCAAGATTTTTTCCTTAATTTTGTCAAAATAACTGCTTATGTTGAAAACTGTGAGCATTTCTAGTGTATGAGAATCAGTATAATGGAGTGATTGGATGGACAGCAGAGTAACTCTTAGGAAGGTTATTTAACATCCCTAGTAAGTTTGTCTGTAAAAGGAGCATATATATTAGTATCTACCTCTTGCAGTGGTGCTTAGAACAGTGTTTGGCCTGTGCATTAGCTATTTTTATTATGGGGTTCTTAATATTTTTCTATCAGTGATGGCTTCGAGCAAGTGCTCAATAAATATCTTTTTCAGCCAATAAATTGGAACATGGTCTATAATATATGCAATGTTTTCTAGGTGTAATAATAATAAAATGCAGAGTGGACAGGATTAAGGAAAATGTTAGTGATCTGAAGTTATTTCCTTAAAAAATGCATATTCCTATTTCCATAAAATGTATACATATATTCAACAATAAATAATAAATTGTCTTATGTCAGTAATAGTATTACTCATAATGGGTGTCTTCCTTACCTTTTATCTGCTTATGCCATCTCCTGTCCTTAGACACAGGAAAATCACAGAGAGTACAAAGGACTCCATCTAGAATGGAATGGCAAGATTATCTTTTATATTTCTAAGTCTGCTTTCCTGCCTATTTCTTGCAGTTCTTTAATGAATCAGACTTTCTCATCATCAACATTAGTTGAGTGTCACATATCAGAAATCTTGTTCTATACTGGGAATTATGGAGTAATAATTTAAAACTTTCCTTCCCCATTCCTTAGTGAGCTTACAGTGAAACGGGGTAACTAACAGTGCACAGAAGAGTTCACATAACAGGCATGAGACTCCTATCCTGAGAATAGCCTGTGGCAAGATTAGCCCTTGGCTGACATCTGGAAACTTAGATTCCATAAGTAGTGCTTCACCCTACCTGTTAAGGATGATTCACTGTGCCTGAACTGCAAACAACACAGCTATCCTAAGCACATGCCTTCCTTGTGGGAGTCTGGAGTCTTGGTACATGTGGTTGCCTACACCCTCAGCCCCCAGTAAAAACTTTGAGCACTGAGGCTCTTACGAGCTCCCCTGGTGGCAACACTTCTTCATATGTGTCGTCAAACTCATTGAGCACATCCCAGCACACCCTGCTGGGATGAATTTCTGGAAGCTTGCTCCTGGTTTCCTCTGGACTTCACTCCATCACTCCCTGTGCCTTTTCCCTTTGCTGATTTGCCTTGTATCCTTTGGATACAAGGATACAAATAAATCACAGCCATAAGCATGGGTATATTCTGTCCTGAGTTCTCTCAGAAAGTCACTGAACCTGGGTGTGGTGAATGGAACCCCTAATATGCTACCTAAAAAAGAAGTATAGACAGAAGCTATGGGAATTCGGAGAGCCATCACTTCCATCTAATTGGGACAGGGTAGCAGCAGAGAAAATTTCTTAGAAGCATAGTATGTAAAAAGGCACTTGAAGAATGGGTGTGAATTGATCAACTGTCAGGGAAGGCTGTTTAAAGGGTTATAAGTCCAAGCCATGGAAGCTAGAAAACATAGATCATAAGGAAGAAGTTATATAAAATACTTTGTAAGGGTTTTTGAGATGGAACTTTAAATAATAGAATGCATTATCTTCAGTCTAGTCATAAAGGTCATACAATCTCAATCTATGTGAGACTGTCAAGCTCAATGAGTTTGACAGCTCATGTGAAGAAGTGTCACCTACCAGGGAAGTTCATGAGAGTCTTGGTGCTCAACAGCAGTCACTGAAGTGTCATCTGGCTTAGAAACAGAGAAATTGATCTAGAACCCATCAAGGTCCTTGAGACTTTTCTTAATGAGTATGTATGAAATGGAACATTATTATTTTTGCCATTCAGGACTGTGTCTTATAAACATGATCTTGCTACTGTGAAAGTAAAAAATTCCAAACATGGGATAAATAATAAATGTGCAATTGCTCGTGAACATCAAAAATTATATCTCCTAAGTTTTTACCTCTGGATCTTTGTACCATATATTATTCAACAGCAATTATACTTTGAATTTTATGGTCCTTGCAAAATTTACTTTTTTATTAATTTATATTTCTAGTTTGTCTTAGTAAATATAAGACAGTTACACCTATGATTCTCTCTTTCTTTCTCTTCTTTTTTAATTCAAGTAAGGTTGGTGTGCCTTGGATACGTTACAGTTGATCCAAAAGCTACAGATAAGTTATATAGGTTTACTATAGTATATGTGAGATTATCAAAATATCTTGGATGTGAAAAAGGCAGCTTTCAATTATCCATCACTTAAGTTTTTAATACTTTTTTATATTAGTGCTTGTTACTGCTTTTTAACACACATATTACTCACAAATAGGTTCCTCAAGAAGAAAAGTCAGCCAAATCTTGCCTTTTATTTCTTCTAGGGTAAAGGATCATTACATTTAACTAGCAACAGTGTAATATGTATCTCCCAAGAAAAACCTTTCAAAAGCCAACTGTCAAAAGGAAAGAACGGCTTGTACTTCCAATTCAAGTCAACAGAATTTTCTTTTAAATAAAATCCTTTGCTTTTTGGTGTGTGTAGGAAGCAGCTCACAAAATCTAATCTGTTTATGAGAAGAAATTCAAAAGCCACTAGCTTAACAAAATGATATTTCAGTTAGTTTCCATCATTTCCTATTACATTCACTAGACTTCATTTACATGACAGAGAGTCATTTCAATTCTTCAGTTAGTCTCTACCTTAAAATATCTTACAAAATTTCAAGGTAAAGTTTATAAAATGTGCACACCAGTTAATTCTGCAATAAATAAAGATGCATGGGATAGTCAGTACAATTTCAGTACAATTTACTCAACAAATATTTTTTGATGACGTACTGTGTACAAGGTATTCTATGGTTCACAGCATTTTAAATAGGTGTTTTCTTCTGATCCAATATATACTTTAATTTTACTTCTGTAAATCTTCATCTCTCCATATTTTTCCAGACTTGCCTTTAAGATCCCAAAGTACTTTCCAGCAAGGTCAAGGTGAAAGTGTTTCTTATGTATAAAATGTACTGAGAATTCTTTTCAGCTGAAAACCTGAGCCAAGTGTTTGCACCTCTGAACAGGTGTTTAATGTTCTGATTTATTGAGAGATCCATTTTGGTTTGCTAACACAATGGACCTATAAATCATCTATCCCTTCAGACTATATACCTTTAGAGGGTAAGTTTGGTAGGTTGATGAAGTAAAGTAGGATATATAATTAGGAAATAACTAGAAATGAGGTGGACTAATTTGAGGACTTTCAGAGACCCTGAGTTAAGGTCTGTCCTGAGACCAAAGTTGAGGAAATGGGTATAAATTTAGTTTAATTATTCAAGGGAGAAGATAAGAAAGTCTGAGACCTTCTTATGTCCTGAAGCATGTTATTTATATACACTCACTCCTTGGGCGATCTCATTTAGCCTCATAACTTTATATATAATCAATAGCCCAACAGCTATCAAGATATTTTTAGCTCAAATCTCTGCCATAAATTCCAGACTCAAAATGGTAATCAAATTTCCCACAAAATGTGTAATAGGAATCTGTCTTAGGTCAGGTTTATCACAGCAGATCCTGAGATGATAATTTTTTTGCAATGACTCACTATGAGAATATTCCTAGGACAAGACATCCAAGGAGTAAGAAAGGCAGCCCAGGGAAGAGAAAGAAGTCAGAATTTCCCTGCTCCTGCATAGGGATTCTGGAATGTAAAATGCACTTCACTTTGTCCCCTCTTGAGGCAAGGGAGCAAGGCTTTCATCCTCCAGTATTTGCCATTCATTGGCTCAGGGTCATTCAGGGTGAGAAAAACTCCCAGCCATTTTGATTCTCTTTACATGCAGGTAAACTGTCCAAGAAGCCAAAGGGAAGTTTTCCAAAGAGAATTGCAGTAGTGGGACTTTAGAAACAAAAGCACCCAGAAGCCAAAGGAGATGTGTACTGAACCAGTGAGAGGGACCCAAAGGGATTTTGGTGGAATACTCACAGCACCTGCTGTCGTCCATCCTTTGAGCCACCCAGATCCACATGAACTCATTTCATCCTGTCATGGATTTGTATAGATGATGATTGGCCACCGTTTCTGAGGAGAAACTTAAAAGACATTGATTAGCCGAATGGGCTCTCACTACTTGCAGCTGCAAAGTTATAACTGATTCATCATATCCTTCTTCTGACTCATTCCAAATATCCTTCATTCTTGATGATCACTTCTGTTAGTCTAAGTGGCTTGCTGGTGAAGTGTCTCTGACCTTTGAACCTTATCATGCTGTAGTTGCTGTAATCACTTATTTGAAGTTAAACCTGGGTGTGGGTAAACGAAAATATGCAACAGTGGATTTCCGCAAATTTCAAAATATTTCTTGCTCTCCCAAGTAGCAGCAACCCTACTTTCTTATAATGAGTTAGTTCCATTGTTCAATAAATTGCTGCTCTGCCTACTGGACAATATAACATGTGTTATTAAGCTCATGAGGGATAGTTCCAGTCATATGGTCAACTGATGTCCATACAAAGGCCTTTAGTCTTACTATGGCCAGGTAGCTTGTTAGGAGCTGCTTTCCAAATGGTGAAAGAACTATGCTGCAATAGTATGGCCTTGATCCAGAACACTAGGGTTTTCACTGCAGTTCTCCATTCAGATTTGACAGAGAGCCCACATTGCATTTTTATTTATCATGGTACCTCTAGTAGTATTGCCATTTATTATTGCTGTGGCATCAAGGGTGCTTGTATTGCAGCTGATATTGCTGCAGAACCTTCTATCATTCTAGGCCCCACTCAGAACTGCAGCTTTCTGAGTCATCTGTTAAAGAGGCATCATTCCAAAATGTGGTTTATGCTGTGTTTAAAATTCAAAGAGTTCTACCAAACAGCCTGGGTCCTTCTTGATAGTAAAGTAAAATGCAAAATTTGGTCTTAACTCTGGAAGAAATGCACTAGCATGCAGTAGACTACAGAATTTCTAAAAATTTCACTGATTTGTCCAGCTCCTGAAGATACGTTCGTTTTATTTCCTACTCTCTGGGACACAGATATCCTAACAAAGCATTCAGATTATTGGCCCTTCCTGCTCATTAGACCTCATTATACCTGATGATATCATAAATACAATGGACTGTTCTGATATTTGACAACCACTGGACATTTGAGTCTACCTCCTATCTGTTTTGCAAAATATCCCTGGAACAGGACCATGATTGTATATTAACGTCCATGCCAGATGAATACAAACTGCTTTTGATCCACATTTATGACAAATATTGAAAAGAACACATTCGTGGATTAATAGCCTCATACCACATGCCAGATATTGTGTTGTTCTTCTCTAGTAAAGATATTACATACCGCACACAACAGCTTCAGTTAGTGCTTCTACTTGGTTGCATTTGCCATGATCTACTGTCATTTGCCTGACCTACCAGTTTTCTACAGGGAACAGACCGAGAAGCTAAATGGTGACATGGTGGAAACAATCATCCTTATATTTTTTAAGTCTATTTTTCATACAACAACCAAAATGATCCTTTCCAAATATCAGTTAGCTAATGTCTTGCTGCTGTTCAAAACCTCTAATGGTTTTCTATATTACTTGAAATAAAACATAAATTCTTTCAGGGGCCAAGGAGCCATAATCCAGCCCTGTGGTATCTCGCTAATTTTCTTCTCATTCTTCCTCTTAATAACTCATGTCCAGACACACTGACTTCCTCTTGTTCCTCAAGCATAGGTTTTGTTTTCAGGGCATTTGCCCTTCATGCTGCTGCTGCCCAGAATGCTCATTGCCCACACAGCACTAAGATTGGTTTCCTTGTCTCTGTTACATTTCTACTCAAATACCACTTTATCAGTGAGGACCTATTTCCTTTGCTACTTATTTTTATTTAAGAATTTTATCATAATCTGCAGTATTATATATTTTTTATTGGTTTAACTTCTATGAGGGCAATAACTATTTCTTCACTCAAGGCTGCTTCCTCAGCCCCAGAAGAGGGACTGATAAGTAGGACACACTCAACAAATATATGTTGAATTAATGAATAGAGCCTGCTTTGTTTTGTTAACTTATAATACATAAGTTCTTAACATGGGATCTGTGGACTTATGAGCAATGATCCTTGGGCCACGCCAGTCCGTGAACATGTGACCAATACACACAAGCTTCCTGATCCCGTAGGGAACCTCTGCCAGACAAATTGCACCACATGTTAACCCTCTCTTGAGGAAAAGCAGTCAGTCTCCCCATCTCTGTCAAGCAGCTATTGGCCTGTTGGGGTAGGAGAGTATATAGACTTTTGGCTGAGAAAGTTCCTGTTAGGCCAAAGGTGATTCTCCAGAGAAGGGAGTAGCTATGATCATCAGCCACACAGCAGCTGGGTAATGTGGGCACTGGCCTGTAGTAAACATCTGCGTGGGGAAAAACCTCCACCATTGATGACTGCTTGGACCACTGAGATCCATTTAAGTTTCAAATTAAGTTTGTTTCACCTCAACATAGCTTCTCCAGGATTTTGGTTGGTTACAGTTTGTAGGAAACTTATAAGAAAAGGTTAAGTGGAATGAAACAGAGCCCTCATTGTTGCATCTGGTTCACAGGTCATAACTGATACTCACCATTGTTTTCACCCATTCATTTTAGATTCCTTTCACCTTTTTCCAGCACTTATGCTGCTCTGGGTAGCTTGCCTGAGAAATCTGAGTCCCTGGCTGCCATTCTCTTATCAGGCCATAATTTCTATATTTCTCCACTTACAGCCACACTAGTGCGAGGGAAAGAGATGTCCTAGTATATCACTTGAGGGACATATGTATTTCTCCTGTCACCATTATGTGGCAGAATTTTCTCATGCTGTCATCCATCACCAACATCTGAAGTCTCAGTATCTGACCTACTAACATGGGGCAGGATTCTGCCTAACATGGTCTCTAACCCAGGGATTCACCTTATAGCAAAAAATGGTGTGGCAGTGAATATATGATCATGACATTTACTGGGATTAGCACATAGCCTACCAGCCAGATGCTGCCGGCCTGATACAACAATTCGATAGCCTTTTGAAGATGCTTGAGAGGCATCAGCTTGGAAAAGGCACCCTGGGAAAATGGAGCTAAATCCCTCAGGATGCAGCATATTTTTTGAATCCACAGCCATAAAATGACGCTTTGCCTTATATACTTATAATACTTGGGCCCAAGAACTAACAGGTGCAAGTGACCCTGCTTATCATCACTCCCAGTGGTCGCCTTGGGGAATTTGTGCTTCCCACAGCCAGCGCTTTGGGCTCTGCAGGTTTATAACTTCTGGTTCCCAGAAGGAGATGTAACGCTCCCAAATGAGAACAAAATAAGAGTCCAATAAGCCTAAAGCTTTGATTGATGCCTGGCACTTTGAGCTTCTTATGATAGGAGCCTAGCAAGTCCAGCAATCTGTTACCATTCTAGCTCGCTTTGGTTAGCCTGTTAAATTATGTCTAAGGCTTCCTGTTGTATTCTGGCAGTGATAGGGAGAGGAGAGTATGAAATATATCCCCTCCTTTTTTCTTCAGTAATATGGTCCTTAAATTGTGTAATCTTTATTTATTTGCTGGTTTCTTTCAGCATTAGTCCACATTCAGCTTCTTCAGCCTTTCAGTAACTGGAAGAATGGGAAGCACTTTTTAATGTACTTTTATGTGAACAATGTTTGGATGGCCTCTGAGGAAGGGCTCCATCTCTCGAACAACAACATTTGGCTTCATGGTTTCTAAGGACTTCTTTCAACTCTACCTTTAACTATTGTCAGTGTCTAAAGCCCTGAACAGAATGCCCACTAAGAAGCTAGGATCAATAACATTTTATCTCCTCCAGCACTGTAACAGACAAATACAGTCTTCTTTGAATGTTTAATAAGCTTGCATTCTATTGACACTGTGAACATCTCTTAACAAGAAGACTCTTTTTTGAGGGAAGTCCAAGGTCAAAGCAATTTTAATTGAAAATATTTTTGTTGAAAAACTACATTTGTGGGGTTGAAATTCAGAAATGAGGCTGCAAGTTGGCTCACAAATCAAACACAATGGGACATGGGATTTCTGTTGGCAAGTAGTCTTCATGCTCTGTGTCTCCTTAGCTGAAGAACTCTGGCCTATCACCAGGAGTGTAGACAGCTCAGGTCTCTTGACACAATCCCCAGCCAAGTACAGGCTCCCAAAAACCTCAGAAAAAGGGGTCATGCCAACCACATACTGGGTGAGGACAGGCAGAGCAAGAGCTTAGAGCCAAGATAGTAAGAAACACTGGCAGGGGCAATCTTGACATATAAAATGGACCATTTTAATTTAATTTAAACTCTTTGATAGGGCATTTTAATATGTTTTGTAATTTCCTTTTTTACTATAATATAAATTAGTAGACTTATGACATGAATTTAGGATATCGTGTATTTTAAATATGCCAGATGATGTGAATAGTTCTTACTCATCCCACACATGATAGGACAAGTCTTTCTCCAAGAGTCTGGTCCCTGAAGGTCAAGATGAAAAAGGATTTACTTTAGGAGATGCCTGGGAAAAAAAAAAAATCCACGCAGGTGAATTTACAGTAACAAGTAGTTAGTTATTGACTCTAGAACTGCACTATCCAGTATGGTAGCCATTAGCCATAGGTGACTATTTAAATTCAAACTAGTTGCAATTATATAAAATTTTAAAAATAAGTTCTTCAATTTTGCTGGCCACATTTCAACAGTTCAGTAGCTACAAGTGCTTAGTGATTTCCACATTGGACAATATAGCTATGGAATATTTCTATCATCACAGAAAGTTCTATCAGACAGATATTACTTCTCTAGAAAACATGTTAAACTTTTCTCTAGGAAGAAGTGAATGGTGCCTAAATATTTTCAGTACAGCTAGAAAAATAACCCAAATCTGGACAATATGTGATGATGTTTTCAAGTTCTTACATCCTAATACTTGCCATTCAGCTTTGGTTGAATTAAGGTAATATTTTTCTTAACAAGAAATACTGAAGATTAAAAACTATTGACCATAAATGGTCCCCAGAGAATTAAAGAAACATCTCTAATTGTTGTAACTGTGGTATTGTGGTAATGTTGGAAGTTGTTTTTCCAGGCCAGCAATAAAGCTAATGTGGGTCAGTATTTGCATTTCATAATAACTCAAAAGCAATGAATAACATGGTTTTGTGGTGCTAGGGATGGAACTCATTCCTTGCCACTGACCATCTGTCATATTATACCAAGCAGAAACTAAAACAACCTTGCAATTACAGTTGCTTTTCCAACAGAAGGAATTTATTTTAAACAAGACTGATTCCATTTCATTTATTTCTAATTTTTGCAGATACTCAATAATTCAGTATAACGAATCTCTGATGAAATAAGAGCATACATTCAAAGTCTATCCGTCCATCATTATAGTTTTCTAGGATTTTGGAAGGTGGCATAGAAGACAGTACTCAGAGAGGAATGAATGCTCTCTACTGATACTCTTAGCAATCATTATTTTCTCCGTCTGGATTTTCTTAATTAAAAACTCCGTGCAAGAAAAGTTGTTCTGAGGCCAAATTGGTGTATCTTAAAAAAAATCTGTGAGGTTGATGAACTATACAAACATTCTTTAAATTCATATTATCTAACATAGTAGTTTGGAGGTTGTATCTTTGAGTTTTTCACTTATTTTAAGAAATAATTTTATTTTGCAGATATTCTAACTATGACAATAAGCCACATTTAGATCCATCATCAATAAAGATTGATCACTCAAAGGCTTGGACATATTTTCATTCAAAAACCTCAAGTAAATTAAAGGTGCAATGTTTGAGTTGTTAAAAGTCAAAGAAGTCAGGTTTTTAAAATCATCTTTAATCCATTTAAACAAAAGATGATACGTTGATATGGTCTTCATAGGATTACACCATCTCTTCTTATTATCTCATTTTATTTCTTATATTATTAAGTACTAATGAGCTATTTTAATTTTTTATAACTTCAGCTTTTTTTTTCTTTTTTGTTACAATTGAGTCCTGCTTTTTTGCTTCTTTCAGAAGCTATCACTATCATCCAATATTTGTTTTTCGTGTGGTTTATCACCCCCTATTTTTGAGCTGTTTCCATGTGTCCTACAGTGAGGATAATGTTGGCAGCTGTGTTGTTAATATAATTAATGTGCATAGCCTATTTGGATTGACTAGGCCAAATAAATCCACTTTGAGACATTAACTACCCAATTGGGCTGTCTTTGTTGATCAGATTAACTGGATAATTGTCAAATCTCTATTGCACTAATTACTGCAGAGTCACATCATGTATTCCCTCATTCGATTCTCATTTCATTAAAATTTACAGCCAAAGCTACATGAAGAAATGGTGACATATAAATACATATAAATAGACCAATTTAAGATGGAATTCAATAACCATGTGCATTGTTTCCCTTATTGTCTTTCTACTGAAATAAGAAAGGGAAAGTTATAAGAAGGCATCCTTCTTCCTGTCACCAGAGAGAGGGTGAACCAGAAGAACTCTATATCCACTATACCTAAAACCCATAAAGATAACTTCCTCACAACACATTGAAATTCACAGACTTAATGGCTCTTTATTTTTACCTTTAGCAAATGAAAATATAGTAATTAATTACTTTTTGGTTCATCACAGGCCTTTAATCTACCAGAAAAAAATTAACTGATCTTTAATAAATTATTTATTTTTTCAGCAAAGATCTTTTGTACTTGGTTTGTGCTACATTAAAAGAATATGACTTTGGACCATCCTGGCCAACATGGTGAAACCCCATATCTACTAAAAATACAAAAATTAGCCAGGCGTGGTGGCGGGCACCTGTAGTCCCAGCTACTTGAGAGGCTGAGGCAGGAGAATCCCTTGAACCGGGGAGGTGGAGTTTGCAGTGAGCCGAGATAGCGCCACTGCACTCCAGCCTGGGTGACAGAGCAAGACGGCATCTCAAAAAAAAAAAAAAGATCTGACTTCTCACCTCTTGGAATTTACATTGAACTTGGGGGGTTAGACAGGTAACTCGATGATCACAGTTCCATATTTAAGTACTTTCTT
Source organism: Homo sapiens (assembly GCF_000001405.40). NCBI lineage: Eukaryota > Metazoa > Chordata > Mammalia > Primates > Hominidae > Homo > Homo sapiens. The sequence goes on along the minus strand of NC_000004.12, from coordinate 163,687,139 downwards.
GTTTCCCCAACTTGATATTTCCAATATTTTTAAAGGATTTTGTTTAAAGTAAGAAAAAATGAAATACAAAAATTTCTCTTTGTGGCTGCCCATCTGCAAAATTAGATAAAACACATTTGCCAAGCCCAAAAACAATTTGAAAATCATTAATCTATGCACTGCAAGGTAAATGCTACGTGGTTTGGAGAGACTTCTAATAGAAGATATTTGTTTTGCAAAAACTTACTTGTTCTGAGAACATAACAAGATGACTACAAATAACAAAAATTATTGCAATTATTTAATGACTACAAATATTTCATTTGGTTATCATATTTCTAAGTTTTGCAAAGTTAATTTTAATAGCACACTCATTTTCTGCATGGGCCTACACTGTTTAAAAGAACATTTTTCTTATGTCAGTTGAGTCTTTTCTTTGACTTGTATTTTTAATGGAAAAATACATGACATCAGTAATAATGTTTAATGTTTATTGAATACTATTTGTGAAGTACTGAGTTCAACATTTTAGCTAGGAGATGAAATTTTTCCAAGTAGGTGTTTAGAAAATTAGAGCTTATTATATAGTTTGATAAGTATATATTTAAGGTAGTTAAAGGAGATTTGAAGAAAAATGTTATTAGCTTGGTGCAAAAGTAATTGTGAGTTTTGCCATTTCTTTCAATGGCAAAACCCACAATTACTTTTGCACCAAGCTAATAACAGAAATTTGGTGCCTCCATTCAACTTTCCACTTATCTTATTCCCTATTACGTTTATTCACTCCCATGTGAACCCCAATGAAGAAACAGAGCAACATATAATTTGTAGATAGACCTTTTTCTGCCCAAGTATAACAAGAAGCTTTGTTTGCTGCTTAATGCATAATCAAATTATTTTTTATTATATCTGAGGTAAAAACATTATTTGATATGGAAAATTATTTTATTAACACAACAAAAGATTGAATTTAAAATTTCTGGAGTTTAGAACTTTATTATGTCTTACTAATATTAATAAGATCACTCAGTAAGCATCTGCTATATATAATTTATTAAGCACTTACTATGTGTTAAGCATTCCAGTAGGTACTATACACATGTTATTACTAAACCTGACAAGAACCCTTCTAGACAGATTTACAATTTGAAGATTATGAAACTAAGACTTATACTAAATAATTTGCCCTCAGTCCAAAAACAAGTTAGTGGAAGAGCCTGCATATTTAACCAGGTGCTGTACTCCAGGAGTTATTTGTCCACAGATCAAAGTGCCAAACCACCTCCATAATCCTCTCTGACTTTTCTTCAGTGTGACACACACAAAAGTGTAAATTGGCATCACAGATTATGTAGGACCAATACTATCAAAGAAAAGGGGAGTGATTTCAAAAATAATTGGAGAATTGGCCGGGTGTGGTGGCTCACTCCTGTAATCCCAGCACTTTGGGAGGCTGAGGCAGGTGGATCATCTGAGGTTAGAAGTTTGAGACCAGCCTGGCCAACATGGTAAAGCCCCATCTCTACTAAAATACAAAAATTAGCCTGGGGTGGTGGCGCATGCCTGTAATCCCAGCTGCTTGGGAGGCTGAGACAGGAGAATCGCTTCAACCCAGGAGGCGGAGGTTGCAGTGAGCTGAGTTCACGCTACTGCACTCCAAGCCTGGGTGACAGAGTGAGACTCTGTCTAAGACAATAAAAATAAAAATAAAATAAATAATTGGAGAATTAATGCAGTTGTATTAAGAAAAGATTGGGAGACTTATTTTGCTAGTCAATAGTAAACTATTTGGGTTTCTTGAGAAGGGGAATAGGATAATTAAAATGGAGCTTACTAATATGAGGCATTGTAAACTTGTCACATGTTTAAGATTTATGCATTTCACTACATTAAGTCTTCACTTAACTGCCGTCAAAATGTTCTGAGAAACTGCACCTTTATGCAAAAAAAAAAGTGTAATAAAACCAGATATTTTTTGTCAGAAATGTTGTAATAAAACGATTTTTAATGAAGGGAGTTGAGGACCTACTGTCCATCATTTTTCTTAAAGCCAGTTTCCAAGAACCTATTCACAATGTTAAGCAGGACTTACTGTATATGTAAATTTTACCTAACAAAATAAATGTACACAAATATTCAATGCTGTTTAATAGTTAATGATATGCATTCTGAATTATTTAGGAATGAGGTGTACTTTAGTGTGCAGCTTACTTTGACAGGCATCGTGGAAACAAGATACATTTATGAATGGATAAAGGGATGGATAGCTGAATAAATATGTGATAAAGTAAAATTAGAAAAGTTTCAGAAATGTGGATGTTGGATATACTGATGTTTACTGCATAATTCTTTCAACTTTTGTGTTTATTTGAAAATTTCATAAAATGCTAGAAAAAAGTAGATTCATTGGTAGCAATATATAGGATAGATTGGAGGAGCAAAGGGAAGAGAGAAATGCCCAGAGGCAATAAAATAAACTGGATATGGGCTATTGAGTACTTAAGCAATGCTGGTAACAAGAAGAAGTAAATATTGATCATGATATTGGTCATTTCATGATTTAAAATGAAGAAATAGGAGTTATCAGATAAAATTAGAAATGAAATACAGAATAAAATAGAGATGAATCTTATGAAGGAATTTCTAGCTTGGTAAAAAGAACAAATGGTAGTGCTCTCAAAATCTGGTGTTGAGGAATTGGTGTGACATGTAGCCAAATGCTGGCTTTCTTTTGAGGCATTTCTGTAGCAGTTTTGTTTGTTTGTATGTTTGTTTTGTTTTTTTCTTTTCTTGAGACTGTCCAAACTGGAATTCTTTCTGACATGGGCAACATATATTCCAGTTGATATTTCATGATTTTTCTAGAGCTCCTTTTACTTGCTACACCAACATACAATCCCTGCCACATGTTCTTCCTACAATGGGACATTGACACTCTTCTATTAATTGGAGGGCCCTATGTTCCCTTCTCCTTGAAACTAGGCGAACCTTTGCTACTTCCTTGACCAACTGAAGGTGGCTTAAGAGGTACTACGTGGTGGCTCCCAAGGCAAGGTCATAAATGGTGATACAACTCTTGCCTTTCATGGTACATACCTTGAGAGGCATAAAGGCTATGCTGGCTGCCCTGAAGCCCCCATGCTGGAGAAATCACACGGTTTCCAGAGAGAGAGAGAGATGCCCAAGGAGCTTCAGCTGTTTCAGCCCCAGCCTAGCAGGTAGACGTGTGAGTGAGTGAGTGAGTGAGTGAGTGAGTGAGTGAGTGAGTGAGCCTCCACATGATGTCTGCCTTGAGCCTTCAATCCTTTTTAGCTGATACCAAGCAGAGCCCCAAGGATTATCTTTGCTGAGCCATGTCCAGAATGCAGAGTTGTGAGCAAAATAAATTGTCATCATTTTAAGCCACTAAGTTTTGAAATAATGTGTTTCTCAGCTATCATAAGTCGAACACATGCATGGACCTTTTCCAAGCAGGTCCCTTTACCCCAGCAGGAAGACCTGATTTTGTTAAGGACTATTTAAGTTAACAGAAAATATGAGCCTTGTTCCCTATCAGTGTAAATACACCTCGTTCCAACTAGTTTTTTTTCTTCATTCTGCATTACTGTCAAGATTTGGTTAGTCCCTTATCTTTAATATTTTTTAGATGAGAGACAGTCTAGTCTCTACAGCTTCCAAAATCTAGATCATTGACGTGGTTTGGCTGCATCCCCACCAAAATCTCATCTTGAATTCCCACATGTTGTGGGAGGGAATGGGTGGGAGGTAACTGAATCATGGGGGCAGGTCTTTCCCGTGCTGTTCTTGTGATAGTGAATATGTCTCACAAGATCTGATGGTTTTATAAGAGGCAGTTTCCCTGCACAAGCTCTCTTCTCTTGTCGACCACCATGTGAGATGTGCCTTTTACCTTCCGCCATGATTGTGAGGCCTCCCCAGCCACGTGGAAGTGTAAGTCCATTAAACCTCTTTCTTTTGCAAATTGCCCAGTCTCAAATATGTCTTTATCAGCAGTGTGAAAACAGACTAATACATCATAAATATCAAACTGAGGTCTACCACCAATCCTTAGTGGCACCTCTATGCAAAGTAGAAAAGGCACCACTTACTCAAGATATTATACTTCTATTTGTCAAAAAATTATCAAAATATACTGATTTTATTACAACAATACATTTTAATGCCACTTGACTGAAATTATTTTGCTGTACTAAACTATAATATCTATGTATTAGCCCGTTCTCACACTGCTAATAAAGACGTACCCAAGACTGAGTAATTTATAAAGGAAAAAGGTTTAATTGGCTCACAGTTTAGCATGGCTTGGGAGGCCTCAGGAAACTTACGGTTATAGCAGAAGGGGAGGCAAACATGTCCTTCTTCACATGGCAGCAGGAACAGAACTGCTGAGCAAAGGGGGAAAAGCCCCTTATAAAACAATCAGATGTCATGAGAACTCACTATTATGAGAACAGCAGCATGGGGGTAACCACCCCCATGATTCAATTACCTCCCACTGGGTCCCTTCCACAGCATGTGAGGATTATGGGAACTAATCTGGCCCAAGCTGTACCTTGGCCCCTTTTAACCATGGCTGAACCTGAAGCTTAAGCAGCTGGAATGCAGGGCACCACGTCTCGAGGCTGCACAGAGCAGGGGGTCCCTGGGCCCGCGGCACTAAACCATTTCTCCCCCCAGGCCTCTAGGCCTGTGATGGGAGGTGCTGCCACAAAGGTCTCTGCCGTGCCCTAGAGACATTTTCCCCATTGTCTCTTGGTGATTAACATTCGGCCCCTCATTACTTATGCAAATTTCTGCAGCTGGCTTGAATTTCTCCCCAGAAAATGGGTTTTTCCTTTTCTATCACATTGTCAGGCTGCAAATTTTCCAAACTTTCATGCTCTGTTTCCTCTCGAATACTTTGCTGCTTAGAAATGTCTTCCACCAGACACCCTAAATGATCTCTCTCAAGTTCAAAGTTTCACTATCTCTAGGGCAAGGGCAAAATGCTGCCAGTCTCTTGGTTAGAGCATAGTAAGAACAACTTTTATAGTTCCCAACAAGTTCCTCATCTCCATCTGAGACCAGCTCAGCCTGGATTTCATTGTCCATATCACTATCAGCATTTTTGTAAAAGCTGTTCAACAAGTTAAGAAGTTCTAAAGTTTCCCACATCTTCCTGTCTTTTGAGCCCTCCAAGTCTCTAGGAAGTTCCAAACTTTCCCACATTTTCCTGTCTTCTGAGTCCTTCAAACTATTCCAGCCTCTGCCTATTACCCAGTTCCAAAGTTGCTTCCACATTTTCTGGTATCCTTACAGCAACACCCCACTCTACTGCTACCAATTTACTGTATTAGTCTGTTCTCACACTGCTATGAAGAAGTACCTGAGACTGGGTAACTTATAAAGGAAAGAGGTTTAATTGACTCACAGTTCAGCATGGCTGGGCAAGCCTCAGGAAACTTACAATCATGGTGGAAGAAGCAGCAAACACATCCTTCTTCACATGGCAGTAGGAAGAGAAGTGCCAAGCAAAAGGGGAAAAGCCCCTTATAAAACCATCAGGTCTCATGAGTACTCACTATCATGAGAACAGCAGCATGGGGGTAACCACCCCCCATAATTCAGTTACCTGAATTATATGTCATGGGTGCTTCCCATGACATATGGGGATTATGGGAACTACAATTCAAGATGAGATTTGAGGGGAACATAACCAAACTATATCAGCCTATGATGTGACTATCACCCCTAGGGGGCAGTATACTACCTGTGTAACTGTACATGCCAGTTCTGAAAACTCTGCTCAAGGTTTTCCTAAAGAGCTTCCCTTACTTGGCTTGAGATAGATGGAAACATTCTCCCAACCACACGTTATAGCCCTTTTTTTCTATCAATCTTTCTTTCTTTATATAGCCTGAAAATGGTTAATGGTATAAAAAAGTCGGAAAACTAGTCAGGAAAAGGGAGATATCTTAGCAATTCCCATATGCATGTGATAGCACAGCCCTTTAAAATATGGAGATACTGTTTACCGATGCTGTTCGCAAATAAGTTAGTTCCCTTTAATATCTGGTTAGCATTCATCTAATGAGCACCTAATGCACCATATTTATTACATATAAATAATATTTAATATATTTATTAAATATGTTAATATTACATAATGTATTACATATATTATTAGGTACTCAATAATATATATGTGTGTATGTATGTATGTATTAGACACAGTGCTAGGCAACTAGAAATACAATGATGAGCCATACAATTTACAGTGTAATGAGTCATTCAAGCAATAATAAATTATAGAAATACATAATGGTAAACTTCAATAAGTGTTGTGAAAGTGTTTTAAGTCATAGTGAAGCATCATGTAACACAAGTCTGGATTAAAAATGAAGATACAGGATTTATCCCTTAGAAGTGGTGGTTCTAAATATAAGAAATGATATTCCAGGGAGAATATGTAGAAAAAAAGTTTAGAAGTCTAAAGATAGAATGGCAAGAAACACTCCTAGTTCCACAGAGGAAGGATGACAAGGAGCCTGGAAGAATTCAGATGTGGCAAGAGACAGATGAGCAAATCTAGAGAGTGACGACCCACAGAACACCAAAGAGAGTATGTTTCAACAAGAGCTGGTGTTCCAGGGAGCAGATTCCCCAAAGAGCTTAGGGAGGAGTAATACTGAGAAAGATTATTAGGTTTGACAAAGACACAAGTACTAGTTACCTATAACTTCAAAGAAATAGTCCTGAATGTTTTTAAAAGACACAAGGAAGATATTATAGTGTCACAAACAAGAGGGATCCAAATTGGACTGTGGTATCTCAAAAGGCTTTCTGGGTAGGTTAAGCGTAAGCTTAGTTTTAAAAAATAAATTAATATTAGATTTAAAACAAGAAATGTAGCAAAGCTATAGAGAAACAAAAGAGCATGATATTCTGGAACTGCTGGTAGTTGGATCAAACGGTTGCATCTGGAAAAGTGACAGAGAGGGAAACCTGAAATAAGTATAGACCAGATCATGGAAGATCCTTGGACTCAGTTAAAGAGAACTTTACTATGAAAATTATAAGGAACATTAAAAAATTTAAAACAGGAAAGCAATGTGAAAAGCCTTGAGTTTTAGTAAGAGCCCTGTTGTTAGTCAATTTAGAAAAGAAAAAAAAAAAAAAAACAGATAAAAAGCAAGAGATAGTTAACAGGCAATTGCAGCTGGCCCAAGTAAAACATGGAAGTTTAAGAAGCGGAGATAAAGGCCGGGCGCGGTGGCTCACCCCTGTAATCCCAGCACTTTGGGAGGCCGAGGCGGGCGGATCACGAGGTCAGGAGATCGAGACCACGGTGAAACCCCGTCTCTACTAAAAATACAAAAAATTAGCCGGGCGTGGTGGTGGGCGCCCGTAGTCCCAGCTACTCGGGAGGCTGAGGCAGGAGAATGGCGTGAACCCGGGAGGCGGAGCTTGCAGTGAGTCTAGACTGTGCCACTGCACTCCAGCCTGGGCAACAGAGCGAGACTCCATCTCAAAAAAAAAAAAAAGAATTGGAGATAAATATGAGATATTCTTTAAAACAGCAGTCCCCAACCTTTTATCGTTGCCAGGCTGTGACTCAGAGGTCAGGGACCCCTGCTTTAAAAGGTCACTTATGTAAGGAGTTGAAGACTCTGGAGTTTGAGGAGTAGACAGGAGAGAAGACTAAGATGATGTTCAGATTTCTGTCTTTATTACCGGGATGAAGATGTGGGGCCACGTGCTGCCATCTACTGCTAAAAAAGCGTTAAGTGGCAGTAGGCTCTAGACAGGGTGATCTGGCAATAGGAAAAAAATGGACGCAGAACATACTCAGAGATTTTCTTCTGGAAAAGAATCAAACAGAGGTGTCTTCCTATCTGGTAGAATATTCCTGAAAAATCTAGTGATCTGTTGAGATCCATACCACCAGTTCAAACATGAGGTCCAGAAATTCCCATTTCAGATTCTGCCAAAACATTCTAGCAGGAAAGGAAACAATTTCAACCTCTCCTCTTTCAACGGATTTGGATGTTTTGAGAGCCAAATACTACACATAATGATTTATGGCCACAACTTACAACTCCACTGGATGCTTCATCCCTCTTGCCCAAATCCCGTACCATGATGACAAATGCAAATGCCCAAAGTATACATCTCGTTAGTTCATGCATTCATTTTTGGGAAATCAGGGCAGGTATGGAAATGAAATGTTGCTTAAAACCATCAAATAAAATTATTTTATCTACAAGGAGCTGCTATTACACCTAGTGAAATTACTGTGGTTGTCTAGCTGACCAAACAACCTGATAAATAAAACTGTTAATATGTGGATAAACAGTGAGGCAGGAACTTAAATTTTGTTAAAGCTCCATAATTCCAAGAATCCAATACTGAGAAAGAAAATGTAGAAAAATACAAGGTATTCCTGAAAGCATCAAGTAAATCCCAAAGAGACACAGGCAATGAAGAGAACAGTATTCAATGCACTACTGTCAGCTTTATGCCACATAACTCACACAAATAGCTTATTTTCTGTCCAGAAAATGCTCCAGGATAGTAGAGGAGATATACTGAATGTTTATTCTAAAATTACCTAGTGTGAGATTTAAGACATTTGTTTCCTTAAAGGAGTCTGCCTGACATTTGAACTTCCTTATAAAATTACATTAAATATGTATCAGCTTAGAGGGCCTACCAAAAAAGAATAATGCATTTTCAATTTAGTCTTGGTTACACTTGACCTGTTTTAAAGTGCTCCTCTAATGAAATGGAAGCTATACCAAAATTAATTCTATGCAAGAGGCAGAACAGATTCTGTGTTATTTAATCATAATGTATACCATCCACTTTCCTGGGCATAGAAACAACACTGAGATGGCGATTGCTTTAACCTGGCAGGCCTGATAACATTGTCATCATAATCAAAATGAAGTTCAAGTGTTTTCCTGACCTGAATCTAACACCCATGTTTTAGTATAAGAAATAGGGAAGAACAGAGAATCAAGGAATTCCATCTGTGGCAGTTTTAGCTTATAGTTGCACTGATAATTCTGTATCAAGGGCAATTGAGCTAAGAAGGAAGAGTCCAGAACACAATCTTCTTCATTACCATCACCAATTTATCTGCTAAATTCTAGGCACCATTCTTGGAATTTTTCATATGAATTCACTCATGAATGAATTCATCCTTCCAACCTTGCTAAGTTGTTAAGAAACTATACTTTTACAGATGAGGAATCTGAGGCCAGAAGAGTTGTAAAATTACACAACTGGCAAGTTGGAAATCTGGGATTCCAAAGCTACATCTTTTCCTCTGCCATGCTGCCTAATTTAGTAATATGTTGGCATGTAGTGTGTGTCCAGCACTCTGCTGGAGTTTAAATGTGCGAGAGGTAGAAAGTCGTAGTCCTCAATAGGGCTTTTACACTAGTGGGAGAGACTGACAAAGATGAGTAGAGATATAAACAAAATAATATCACATGATGTAAAGTGTTGCTGAAAAATAAAATGTTGGCACAGAGAAGTATGGGGAAAAATAGGCATCTTTGTTTGTTTGTTGGTATTAAATATAGCATGAATTGACAAGACTTCTCTAGGGAAGAGATATTTTAAAGAGAAATGTGTTTATTGCTTACAAAAGCACTAAACATGGAGAAAGCTGTTGTAGCAGGGGACAGTAAACTCAGTACACTCCAAGATTCCAAGGCAAGAAGGAGCTTGGTGTCTTCCAAGCTGGTACCATGGAAGGCCAGTTTGGTGAAAACTTGATATATAAAGGGAGAGAGAGGAATGAAGTAAGATGGGAATAAATGATGACCAAATCACACAGAGACTTGCAGAACCTTCTGGATTTTATTCTGATAACGGGGGAAGCTATAGAATTTCCGTAGGGAAATGACATGATCTAATTTACATCTTTAAAATTTTGCTCTAGTTTCTGTGTGGAGAATAAATTGCTTATTTTTTGTCTGCTTGATCACAGTTTCTGACAGGAGTGTATAAAATCTCAAACGACAATTGTTAACCTACCTATTTCTCCCTGAAAGGTTTTGATTTATATGTTTTGAGCTTGTATTATAGGCACATAAATTCTTATGTCATGCCTTCTTTTTCTATTTTTTCTTTTTTCAGTACATAACATCAGTGTTTTCTCATGTGATATTTTTGCCTTAAATTCTATTTTCTTCTATTTTAAAATCACTACCCTGGCTTTTTTGTGGTTAATATTTTCCTTTTTTGTTGTCAAATCTTTTTTAATCCAATCTGAGTGTCTATATCTGTTTTATTTAATTATATATGAACTTAATTTTTTCTCTCTTGCTTTTTGTCTTTTATTTTGTTTCCTTTAATAGACCTAGTTGAGTTCTTATTTTATTTATTATTTCTTTTTGGGACAGGGTCTCACCTTGTCACCTAGGGAGTGCAGTGATGCCAACATAGCTCATCGTAACCTCAAATTCCTGGGCTCAAGCCATCCTCCAGCCTCAGCCTCCCAAGTAGCTGGGACTGCAGTAATTTGCCACCATGCCCTGCCAATTTTTTAATTAGTTATTTATTTTGTAGAAGTAAGGTCTTGCTATGTTGCCGCAGCTGGCCTTGAACTCTTGGCCTCCAGCAATCCTCTTGCTTTAGCCTCCCAAAGTGCTTGGATTACATGCATGACCTACTATGCACAGCCTCTTATGACTTTAAACCTATACATTATCTTCTTGCTGTTATGCTGCTTGATCTCAGCTGAAGAACCATAGTATGTTTTCTTAATCTTCTGATTTTTTTTTTTTTTTTGAGACAGAGTTTTGCTCTTGTTGCCCAGGCTGGAGTGCAATGGCGCAACCTCGGCTCACTGCAACATCCGCCTCCCGCGTTCAAGGGATTCTCCTGCCTCAGCCTCCCTAGTACCTGGGATTACAGGTGCCTGCCACCACGCCCAGCTAATTTTTTTTTTTTTTTTTTTTTTGTATTTTTAGTAGAGATGGGGTTACACCATTTTGGTCAGGCTGTAGAACTCCTGACCTCAGGTGATCCACCCACCTCGGCCTCCCAAAGTGCTGAGATTTCAGACATGAACCACCACACCCGGCCAATCTTCTGATTTCTGACATAGATTGAGTAGAAATATAAACTAAATAATATCACATGAAGTAAAGTGTTGCTGAAAAACAAAATGTTGGCACAGAGAAATATTGGGAAAAATAGGCATCTTTGTTTGTTTGTTTGTATTAAATATAGCATGAATTGACAAGACTTCTCTAGGGAAGAGATATTTTAAAGAAAAATGTGTTTATTCCTTACAAAGGCACTAAACATGGTGAAAGCTGTTGTAGCAGGGAACAGTAAACTCCAAGATTCTAAGGCAAGAAGGAGCTTGGTGTCTTCCAAGCTGGTACCATGGAAGGCCAGTTTGGTGAAAATGTGATATACAAAGGGAGAGAGAGGAATGAAGTAAGATGGGAACAAATCATGACCAAATTTACTTAAGTTCACTAATTTACTAATATCTATCTACACAGTCCCTGTGATAAAACCACTACTTTAGCACAGACATATCCCTTTGTTATTGCCCAGTTCCAATTTTGTTAATATTTTCTAGAACTTAAGAACTTAATTTTCAGTTGCTACTAATGAACTTTCTAGTTTAATCGGGTCCTAGCAATTTTGTGCTTGTTCTTTCACTCTCTCTCTCCTCCACAATAAGTTGCTGAAGAATTTGGCTACCCCACGTTCCCCTGATATTTGTAGCGCCTTTGGGATTTGTTTATTTATTTTTCACTTACTTAAATACCTACTGCAAGGGTAATTTTATTATATGAGCTTAACAAAAATTCTGAAATCGTAAATGCCTAAGAATATTTTTATGCCTTCAAATTTGAGGAATTATCCAGCTGGATATTTTTCAATACTTTAACATTATTACTTCATTATTCTTACATCCTGCTACTACCAAAATGTTTGACAATCTGATTCTTGTTTTTATACAGATTTGCAATTTCCCTCAGAATGCATTTGGAATATTCTCATTGTCTTTGATATTATTAAATTTCATTAAATGTGCTAGGTAAGGGTTTTCCTTTTTCCTCTTATTTAGCATCCATCAACTCTTCTGACTTGAGGAGTCTTCTGTCTTTTGTTAAGTTTATCTTTATTAAATTTTGTGTATATTTTCTGTATCTTTAGAGCTATCATCTAGAAGATTTCTTCAACATTATCTTGCAAATTACTAATATATTCTTCAAGTATATCCAGGCTGGTATTTTTCCTTCTATTATGTTCTTTATTTCAACCATAACATATTAATGTCTAATATTACCAATTATCTGATTTAAGTTCCTGATTTCATATTGCTGCAATCTTAACCTTTCCTGCCTAAGCACAAATATACATATTATACTTATTTAAATTATAAGTCTAATTATTGTGCTTCAAATGTGTATATTGTTCAGTTTAACCCATAGTGGCATTAGTCAGGTATCTAGTGTCTGATTTGTGAGCCCCTGTTTCCCTGGAGGTATCAGCTACTCTGTGCAGTCACTGGCACTAGGGGTGGAGATAAGCACCAAGGCAGAAAACTCCAAACCCCACTATGGATAACCTCTGTTTGCTGCCACTCCCCCAGGCAAACTCATCGGTCCTTTTCACTTCCACTTTTAAGAAAGAGCTGGCTGAGGAGACTGTCTTTGATACTAATCTAATGGCCCAGGCGATTTAGAAAGGAAGAGGCTGCAAGCTCCAGGATGCCTGCTGCCGTTTGGTCAGCTCCACTTGTCTTCATCAACTTCTCAGCCCATCACATTTTTTTTCTTTTTTTAAAATTTGTATAAATTTATGGGGTACCAGTGAAGTTTTGTTACACGGGTAGATTGCATAGTGTTGAAGTCAGGGCTTTTAGGATATCCATCACCTGAATAACATACATTGTACACATTTTTGTTTCCTTGTTGTTTGCATTTTGCTTTGTTATGTTTTTATAGCCTTGATTGTTCATAAATAACTATCTTCCAGGTGTTGGTGGTTATTTTGATGCTGAAAGGGAAAGTAAGGATTGTCTGAAGGCAGTGAAGGAGAGGAGCTTAAAAGGATTTTAAAGATCACTAGGGGCCTCCTTCTACCACCTATCAGATTCACCAGTTCAAGGCCTGAGGAGTTGCCCAGGGTGGACCAAGTTGGGTTTTTGTTTGTTATTTCTGTTAACTCGTGGAATTCATATTCCTACTCCTTTCTTTGGTTTTTCCAAGTTTGATTTTGAAGGAGGTGGCTAGGAACCCATGCTAGTTTATCATCATAAAAGGACTGGCAGTTTTGATTTTGGGGTTTCTTTTTTTCCTCATGTTTCTTTGATTTGAAACAATACTGTTTGTATTCTCCAGCTCCAATTCATGAATTATATTCAGACAGATTCCAAAGTTAATATTATATACATCAAGTCTGTGGTATATGGCAAGTACTTTAAGAAAACTCTTGCCTCCTATGATAAGCTACTTATTAATTTATCTAGTAAATCACAGCTTTATTTCTTCTTTATTTAGATGTTACAACATCTCACCTATTTTTGTCACCTGCATTTCCTAAAATGGCTATTTTAGGGTTAATATAAAAACAAATCTTATTTAATAGGATTCTTTCTTCTGTTAGTGTTTTGTTTGAGTATAAAAAAACTAAAGAAGTTCCTCTGTTTTTATTATTGGAACATGGCTAAATGAATAAAAAGCCAAAAAAGAAAAAGAATAACAAAATAAAAGCCTAGTGTTAAGCTGATTAAAAGGTCTGGAGATTCCAAACTGTTTAACATTAAATTAAAATGCATCTGCATTAAAATCCTCGTCAACATCCTTAGATTTAATTAGATAATACTTGCTCAATTAGGCTTTTGCTAAATGTTTAACAGGCTAATATTGAGTAAAAATCAATGGGCAGTTATTTAATCAGTAACTCTCTGTCCAGAAATATATTCCTAGAAATAATGGAGTACATGAAAATTAGTTGCTCTAAAGATGTTTATTTCAGTTTGATGTATGTGGTTGGCTGAATTACAGCCCTTCAAAGATAGCCACTTCCTACTCCCTGGAACCTTTGACTATGTTGCCTTCCACAGCAAAAGAGATTTGCAGATGTGATTAAGAATCTTGAGATGAGAAGATTGTCCTGGATTAAGGGGAGGAAGGAGGGCAGTGGAGGGGCAGGGACAATGTAATGACAAGAGTCAACAGAAGAGGGAGACCAGAGCGTCAAAGTCAGAAAAAGGACGTGTGACAAAAAGACCCAGAGCTTGGAGTGATGCAGTTTGAAGAGGAAGGGGCATGAGCCAAGGGATGCAGGAAACGTCAAGAAGCTGGAAAAGGCAGGGAGCTGGATTCCAGTCTCCAGAGAGAAGACAACCCTGCCCACCCCTTTGTTTTAGACTTCCGACTTCCAGAATTTTGAGGTGATAAATGTCTGTTGTTGTAAGCCACTATGTTTGTGGTAATTTGTGAAAGCAGTAATAGGAAAATATAGTTTTCAATGGTAGTTAAAAACAAATAAACTATAAAAGTTTATTAAATAAAATATGACACATCAAAACAATATGTATTATGCAGCCATTAAAATTATGTTGTAAAATAGTATTTTACCATATAAGGCAGCTATACTATTTTATTAAGTAAAAAAGAGTCTTATAAAACAAAATGTTAAATAACTTATTTTTAACAAGGAAATTATGAATAACAAAAGCTGGTATTTATTAAGTGCTTCTTGTGTGCCAGGAACTTTTAAAGAGCTTCACACCAAGCTGTGCCGTGCTGAGGGATCCCTTTTACTCCCCGCCATGACATGTGTTTACCTATGTAACAAACCTTCACATGTACCCCAAAACCTAAAATAAAAGCTACAAATAAAAAATTAAAATAAAAAATACATAGTTTAGAGGGAAAAAGATCTTCACACATCTTACCTCAATTAACTGTTTCTATGGGGTGAATAATATTATCCCAATTTTATAGATAAAGTAATTATGGCACTGAGAGGTTAAAATACATGCTCAAGATCACATGGTTAGTGTGACACATTTGAAACTAGGATATCAGACCCCTGAGCCTGCACTCTTAGTCCTCTTTGTATAAACAACCCTGGAGTAAACAAATCAAACATATTACACAGTACAAAATAGGTGAGTTATATTTTCATCTTTTCTTTATCTGAACAATAATCTTTGATTACTCCTAAAATACAGAATAAATAAATGTTTGAAAAGAACAGAAAATAGAAGTTTTAAAAGACTGTTGAGATAATCTTTAGAACATACTTCCTGTTCTCTTTTATCTTTAGAAAAAAAATAGTACCTTTCGCCTTTCAAACTAGATTGCTATGAGGATTTTATGTAAATATGTAATTGTCTAGGAATAAAATTATGCCATGACCTGCTTGATTACATACCATTCAGAGTTTTGCAAATTTAATATATGCATACTTAAATACGAATACATTTACTTACAAATACCAATGAAAACACATATAAGAAAATATAGCATAAGGAATTAAACTAAAAATTAACGCTAAGGGAAAAAATGGCACCTGGTTAGCCATTTATGTGACCCACTCCATCACTACTTACAAGGAAAGTATCTACAAAGACACAAAAAACTATCAGAGTAATATCATACTTTTAAAAATGCAATTAGTAAAACACTTGCATTGTGCTCTTTCTGAAAGTAAGTCGGATAACTATTATACTCTGCCTTTACCAGATCCCTTGTTCAAATTATAAATCTCTACTAAAGCAAAATTTTGGCAGCTATTCCCGTACTGTGAGTATTCTGCTTTTGAAGTAGACAGAGTGCTGATTCACTCAACTTAGTCCATCTCAGCCTTTGCACATCTTGCTAGTAATTACATTTTCCTGAAAATAAAAGGCAGATTTACAGAGAAATGGCTGTAGCCATCAAAAGAGATAAGACACAAGAGCCTTTGTAACAATAAATAGTGATAGTGTTGTTTTCATTCATCTCATCCATTTATAAGTCTAGGTATTAGATCTAAGAGAAGATACCCTCTGCATCCAACTGCTAAAGCAGGGAACTGGGCAAGGAGCTACATCCTTCATCAACTATCCAGTCAAATGCAAGGGAAAGGGCTGAAGCAGCAAGCAAATGAACTCAGAAGAGGTGAAATCAATGAATTTCATGTTCTTTCCATTACCATTTGCTAGGTCAGCCTAGCTATCCTCATGGTCAAAGATTAATAAACAGAAATAAAAACAAATTCACCATTGCTAGGCACTACAGGAAGCTAAAAAGGAAATACTTGAAGATTCAGAAAAAAATAAAAGGAACACTTACAGTGATTTACTACCAAAATAAAAACATTTGTGTTTCTCGATAAGTATTGTATTCCCGGCTCCTAAAATCTTTGTATGACAGATGGTCAGCATTCAATAAATATACATTGAATTAGTGAATAATCTTTTAGAAAATGATTCCATATCCTCAGTGGGTGGCAAGAAGTCTTTGAATCCATAAAGCATGAATGTAAGGCTATAGAAAGAATAAACTGAGACCAAAAAATATATAGAGAGAGAAAGAGAGAAAAGAAAAGAAAGCAAGAAGGCAAGCAAGAAAGAAAAAAACAGAAACAAAAGAGAAAGAAATGAAAACAATGTACAAAGTAAGAAAATATGAAAAATGAAAGTGCAATTGAGGGATTAATAGATGCGTGTAAATAAAATTTTCCACATATATAAGAATTTTTCCATAGATAGATAGATAGATAGATAGATAGATAGACAGACAGATAGATAGATAGATAGATAGATCCTACTCTAGGTCTATAATTTGTCTTTTGATGTCATGTTATTTTTTAATAAACAGAAATATTTATTATATAAAAAAATCTCTCTCTCCCCCCATGGCCCCTTCTTCCTGGTTTCTAGTTTTTATGTCTGACTTAGAAAAACCCTTATCAAACTAAAATTATCTTTCTGATTTTCCCTAATTTTATATCATATTTTTAATTTTAATCTTTTTAACCTAACTGAAATTTTTTATTATGTCTGATGAGCAATTTGTGTTTAATAAATGATATTAAAGAAAGAAACTTTGGAAGAAGTCACTGATGGTGGCTTGTAATTACAGACTAAGTAATTTGGATCATGATTCCTTCCAAAGACATCTTAAAAGCTGAAAAATTATAAAAATAATCTCTTTGTAGGCTTTGGAGAATTAAGAAGATGGTGAGAAAATAGTGGGCAATGATCCATAAGAAGATAAACATCTCAGGCCGGGAGCGGTGGCTCACACCTGTAATGTCAGCACTTTGGGAGGCCGAGGTGGGCAGATGCTTGAGCTCAGAAGTTCAAGATCACCCTGGCTAACATGGTGAAACCCTGTCTCTACTAAAAATACAAAAATTAGCCAGGTATGGTGGCAGGTGCCTGTAATTCCATCTACTTGAGAGGCTTAGGTAGGAGAAGTGCTTGAACTGGGGAGGCAGAGGTTGTAGTGAGCCAAGATTGTGCCATTGCACTCCAGCCTGGGCAACAGAGTGAGACTCCATCTCAAAAAAAAAAAAAAAGATAAACATCTCAAACATCTCAAAAGAAGACCTTGGCATTTGGGGCTACTTTTCCCTAGAGGTATTTACCAATTTTGGAAGTAGGAGTCCAGGACCTGCCCTCTCAGAGTCCTGGAAAATACACCCTGCTTTCAATGTTTCTTCCAGCCTGAGCCCAAGGATTAAGTGTTAGCAGGAAGTAGTGGTGCTTCACGTCACCTGCAGATCATTTCAAATTTCAAATTATTTCAATACCTAGAATAGAATTAACAAGATTCCAAATTAATAGTGGTACTACTTGCTTGGCATGAGCAAGCCTAAATTCTCACTTTGCCTCAAATTATTTCTGAGAAGCACTCTTACTAATAAAAGGTCAAATGATAAAAGATAACTAGGAGTACAATGAGACAAGACAATAAAACCAGAGCCAAGTCAGCGTTCACTCAGAAAAAGAAAGACCAATGTACGTACTCCAGGTATAAAGTATTTAATGTAAGAATTCGAGGCTTATGTCAACCCTGGAAGATCTGCAGAAACGAAAATCTGAGAAGCTTCCACTGAAAATCACTCAGCTTGAAGCACCAGAGAAGTGCTTAATAAAAGCAGCTGTAATTCTCCAGAAGTTCTCAGAAGCTCCATGAACTTTCAGTCTGCAGAACTGAAATGGATGGATCTCAAGGACTCACCAGAAAGCCACTGTGAATCTCAGGTCGGCCCACACACCTAGCTACAAATGCCTCTGGAGAATAATGACTTCTTTGACTCCTCTACCTCCCAAATCACTCCCAGAGGTCTCTCACTTAGCAGTAGGTAGGAAAGGGAATTTTGAGAACTGTGGTCCTTGGCTCCTTTTCTTGGATTCTGCTATATTTGGTTTTGCCTTTTGGAGATACTACCCCAAGCCATATTTATGCTTTCAACTTACCTTATTTGTGATTAGCCTGCTCTAGTCTCACCACCCAGCTCTTTACTGATGCTGTGATTCAACAATAATTAACATGCTCTGCTGTTTATCTGTCATCAATACAGTTTCCATCCCACATGTATCTGGTAAGGTCTTGATCTTTCCTAAAGACCACCCCACTTGTTATATACTCTAACTTTTCCTTGCCCATTCTACCTCCATCTCCTCTTCTTCCTTCTTAGAATGAGTCATTCTTTTGTGCTAGTCTCTATCATGTATGTGCAACGATCCTATTGATTTATTATGAAATAGTATTTTTTCATTAATTGTTTATATATCTACTTCACCTATAAGACCATTCTTGAGGGCAGGTACTTACTATGTCTTTCTTACTCATTTTCTTTATTGGCACTTAGCTCTCTGCCTCACTGAGGTTAGGATCCCAGCAGTTCTCTTGAATGAAATTCACTAATTCATTGCCAGCTTGGCAGTGAAATTTGTGAAACTGGATGTTTGGACTATGCCCACAAAACTGCAGTAAACTTTCCCCAAAGAATGGTAGTCTACATCACAGAGAGTGCTATAACTGTATCATGATCAGTTGGTCATATGTTGATGTCAAATAAACAGCATATTTCAATCTCTAAGTGCCAATATTGTTTCTAATGAGAAATAGCTGGCAGATTGTGATAGGGACCATGTACACATTCATTCTAACACAGATCTTTCCAAATTTGCTTTTTCAAAAGCAGGACCGTAAAAATCATACTTTTTATTAAATTTAAGTTTGGCAGCCAGGCGCTGTGGCTCACACCTGTAATCCCAGCACTTTGGGAGGCCAAGGTGGGTGAATCACTTGAGCTCAGGAGTTCAAGACCAGCTTGGGCAACATGGTGAAACCCCATCTCTACTAAAATTACAAAAAATTAGCTGGGTGTGGTGGCACACACCTGTAATTCCAGTTACTCGGGAGGCTGAGGCAGGGGAATAGCTTGAACCCAGGAGATGGAGGTTGCAGTGAGCTGAGATCATGCCACTGTACTCCAACCTGGGTAATAGAGCAAGATCCCATCTCAAAAAAAAAAAAAGTTTGTATAATAATGGACATTATGCAGTGGTATAACCAGGTAAAATTCCCTAAAACTGACAGAGATCTCCCCTGGAATATTCCATTATTCCAGAGACTTCTCACATAATTCCAATCTTAACTGAAGATTATGGAAAATAAATGTGTTTATTTTGATGTCAATAAAAGGTTTTATGACTCACATGTTCAATCTGTAGAACACTATTTTCAACATCTTCTAATATATATGGTATTTTTGTTGTTGTCGAAGATATCACTGTAAGGGAAAAAAATCAAATGTAGTTAGTGATTTAAAAATGTGGTGCTTTTCACTTGTTGGTGGGTCATCTGGTTCTAGCCTTGCAGTTTCAGCCAAGAATGCAGCTTGAGTCATTTATGATAATGCCACGCTCCAGCACAACTTCTTTTTGCCACCTGCAGTTCAAGAACCTCACCTTTCCTCCTGAATCTAAAATAAAAGTTGAAAATATAAATTTTTTTTTAAAAAAAGAACTTCATGATGTGCCTTATCAGAATGTCTGCAAGCAGTCACACTGCTGGATTTTTTTAGAAAATATTTTGTACCCAACAAACTACTAGCTTTAAAAAAAATACTCTTGAACAAATTTTTTGCTGATAAAATTTCTCCCGTATTATTTTAGCCACCAAATATTAATTAAACAACAAAGCAGGGTATAGATAGAAGATTAAAATGGTCCCTTCTCTCAAAAAGATTAGAGTCCTCAGAGTCCACGCATAACACAAGAACATCAAAAATGCAAGGTTTTTTCAGTTTTAGTGTCATTTCTATTTACCTTTGTTAAGCTAGAATTCTAAATTGTTTTTAAATTACATTTTAAAATGGGAACATATAACTGTGGTTAGAAACAGGAAGTATAAAGCAGAACCTTGAAGTCTCCTGAAAATAGGCCAAAAAAAAAAAAATCTGAAAATTTCTTGTGACAAGACATCTTCTGTCTGATCCTACTGTTCCCTGAAAATAAACTGAACAATGAAGACCATGATAAATGTTCTATCCATTCATTGAGAGTAAACACAGCAGTCAACTCAAGAAGGATGAGCTATTGCTATTTAAAATGGTTGTTTTATATTTATGGAGATGCAAATGGTGTGTTTGAACATGTACTTCCTTAAAAAATTCTGGATAATAAGTGCATGAAATAATCCCTATTGCTGCAACATTTAAACAGCACTGACACTGGGAACTTTTGAGGGGGTTGGGTGTAACTAAAAAGTGGAAGAATTGCTTAGGAGCAATAAAATAAAATGCACTTTTTTACTGCTCAAATACTCCTTCAAAATCAGTTTCAGAATCACCTACAAGATGAAGCTCATGTAATGGAAAAAATATATATTATTATAAAGCCGTATGTTATCAAGGTCAAAACTTTATCAAACCACGTGATAGTATCAAATGACACGTTATGGTTTTCAGAAGACTCGTGAACAAATGGTTCAGATGCTCTGGTTAACCAAGTACTTTAAAACTAGACAGAAGCAATGATATTAATGACTTGGGCCTTCTATTGAGGCTTGTTCTCCATATTTAGAGTGATGATGTATATACAATGCTTAACAGTAATTAAAGAAGACATTTTCAACTTCCCACAGGAGAATTTTAGTGAGCACGTCTGCATGTGGCATGAACATTGATGGTTGCCTGAAGGGGCGTAGAAGTGTTACCCATTGTAACCCACTGGGTACAGTATCCTCCTCAGCATTCATCCAAAAACTCTAACCTCTGAGAGATTATCTTGGTATGCCCAATGGAGGAGTAAAACTAATGGCCTATAGTTATTAAAAAGTAATTTAATATGTTTTTAGACAAATGTATAATAAAATGGGAAGTATCTTTGAGAGTTTATTTATAACACTGATTTATTCTGTCTGAGACAGTAGATGGCAGTGGTCAGATTTCTACTTAGGGTTTCACTATTCTTTGTTATGAAAGAAAACAAAATTTCACAACAAAAGGGAAGACGATGAATAAAGGGGACTAGTTCACAGTTGACCTTAACAGGTTTTTATTTTCTTAAGTGCTATACACGCTCCATCAATATCTTCACACGAACACTGACTGTTATCACATATGTAAAAATTGTTGTAACAAAAGTAAATTACAGTGTTAGTGGAAGAACATCATCAGTCATCTTTAATGCCTAAAAATGCACATTGAAAAAAATCTTTTTTTAAGATGGAAAGACTAGACAGTTCCTCTAAGTCATCCTGCCATAAGAACATCTGAACTTGTAGGCCATAGCTAATGAAGTTCTCACCCAAAGCAAGATCCCATTTTTGGCAGCATTTTCGGCATCTCTCTTCAATCATATCCTTGAAAGAACCTTTTACGCAATTAAAAAACATTGTAATTTGCATTTGTATCATTATTTTAGTCTACATTACTAAATATTATGACATCAAGAGTGACATGGGAATTTTCCCATATACTAAAATTCAGAGACAGAATCAATTTGCCTTAATTCTGTGGACTGTTCTGAAATTGCTAGAATCAGAGCCATAGCATTGTGTCCAGTAACCAACATTAAGATAGACCCAGCGGAATTACAACCTTTGTGTGCCTTAGACACTTTTACCTTGGTAGACCCCTCCTCCAAAAAAATATTAAAATTGTATTTTGTGACTATTTTAGCATATAGCTAAATATAATCTAATCTGGGTTCATTATGATATGTTCATTTTTATTATATTAATTTTTCTAATTTTAAAATTAAAATCAATATGCTTTCTTGGGCCTTTGAAAATATCATAGGCCCTAAGCCCTATGTATACTGTGCCCACTAAATATATTGACCCTGCTGATAGAATGTCTTTATTGTAGCCTATGGTTATTAAAAAGTAATTTAATATGTTTATAGACAAATTTATAATAAAATGGGGAGTATCTTTGAGAGTTTATTTATAATGCTGATTTATTCTGTCCTAAGCCCTATATATAATGTGTCCACTAGATAAATTGACCCTACAGATACAATGTCTTTATTCTAGCATGTTAGGAACTTAAAACATGATTTTTAGATTCAAATCCCCTCCTTACAGAATCTGGCTTGTTCCTAAGTAAGTCTGAGGGCAGCTGAGTTCTCTGTAGGTGGGGCACTGACTGGCTAGGGTGTTGGGGAAATCTCCTCCATTTCTTCAAAGAAAACATTTTAAGTTTCATCTCTTTTATATTTAAGCATTCTTTGTCATGTTTAATTTGGAAAAAGGGGCCTCTCTGCCTTAGAATTTTTTTTGAAAATCATTGATATGAACTGCATACATTATTTTAAAATAGTATCCAGTTACTGTATTTCAAAGTATCTTTTCATTAACTTGATCTTCTGTATACATCTGGGAATGTACTGAGCAATCTGTTCTCAGCAAAATCATTATATATGCTGTGAAAATTACATGTGGGAGTACATTTATTATTTTCTCAGGAAAAGGCAAATAGAGATGGTCTTACACATGTTCTTTGCTTTAAACTTCTTCCTGTTTGTTTCTTAAACATTTTGTCAGGCTTTTACAGCATTGAAAGTGCCTTTAGATTCCATTGCCTATGAAAAATAGGGTAGTGAGAGTACTCGGTTTATTTTTCAGTGTCCAACCTCCAGTTAGACAATGCAAATTCATGTATCACAGCTGATTGCATTTGTCAGCTGTTTGATGTTTTTGGCAGTTTTTTTTTTTTAGCTGCCCCATTTTTTCAAGTACATGAAAGCTTTGACATAACTGTGTTAATAGCTCAAAGTTCTGATAAACAATCTAGTAGTAAGAGGCTAATATTAAAGCCTAAAGATTTTTAGTTTCTATCAATTTTTATATACTTGATTCTCACTTCTGAATATGAGATCATAGATATTAGCATGAGCTTATAGATATTAGTCTATGTTGAAATCAGAAAGTTTCAGACATAGAAGAGATCTGGGGACACAGCATGTTGGAGAGAGCACCGCGCCAGGAGAGACGTGGCCTTAGCCCTGCCACCTATTGCTCACTCTTGGGTTAGTCATTTATCCTCCACAAGCTTCAGCTCCCTTGCCAGTAAAACCCATGATTGCAAAGATGAAAATAAGACAATTAGAGACAAGCAATGTTGCAGACGAGATGATCCAAAATCATTCAGAATATAAAAACATAGAAATGCTAGATAAAAATATAACAAATGTCCTTATTTATACTCAGCTGTGCTAGGAAAAAGAAAAGAAAAATCTCCAGCAGTGAGAAAGGAAGAGAGAAACATAAGCCAGAGAAATTGGCCTGAGAGCTGACAGTGTGGCTGCCCTGGGGGGTGGTCAGTTGTGATCATCTAGTGGCAAGGGTGTCAGTGCCCAGGCAGAAACAGAAGATAAAGCAATGGGCCTGAGTGGGATGTACACTTAAACAGCCCTAAATCTAAAAAAAAAAAAAAAGATGATTTAAAATACTATAGTCTCTGTGTAAGCATCCACTAGGAAAAAATATCCAACTATCCACACAGAGAGATAAAAAGAAGCTTGACTTTTTATTTTGGCCTGAATTCTGTGTATACAAGAAAAAACAAATTCTCTGAGTAATGTAATCACAGACTTATATTACACTCCAGTTAGAAGGTTAAATTTGTATTGTTTGCATGACCTGGGAATCCCCTAGTTAAGAAACATTTTTTTTTTTCCAGGCCAATAATAACCCGTGGCAAACAAACACAATCTCTCTGAAGAAGGGGTGAGGTTACTGTAGTGCAGACAGTCGCATCCTTAGTGGTGATAAGACCTTGACTCCTCTTTCCCATATTTGCCTCGGAATGCCGGCCTTAGCGTGTGCCTTCAAACAAGAGATTGTACGATTTTTTTTTTTCTCAGTGAACTGACAAAACAGAAAGAATAGCTGCAGAATTGAGAAAATTTTCCCAAAAACAATCCGGCCTGAGTACCCTAGAGGGAAAGCCACCACTAGCCGGAGACACACATAGACCTAATCAGCTTTTGAGTGAGTGTGTAATACAACTAATATCCAGAGATCAACAGATATTTGAGGAAAATTTCTATCAGAGACAGAGAGAGATGGTAACAGACGGACTTAGAGCAAGTAGAGACAACTAAAGCCGCAGAGGGCTGAAAGGGAAGATTCTGGGACTAGAAAGGAATGTGCTTGGATATTACAAATATGAGAGCAGAAATAAAAAATAATTTGGAAGTTTGGGGGAAAAAAGGAAAAGAAAACTTCCAGAAAGTATGACAAAAAGAAAACAGAAGAGAAAGAGTTAGAAAATTTAAGAATTAATTCAGGAGTTTAAGCATCCAAATAATAAGAGTTCCAGGATGAGAGAACAAAGAAAACAATACTTGAAATAAGATGAATAAGAAATAAAAACAGTACTAGAAACAATAAGAGTTCCAGGATGAGACAGCAAAGAAAACAATATGTGAAATTTCATTATTTGAAATTATCAAGGAAATAATTAAAGAAAATATCCAAAAACTTAAAGACATAATTTCCAGATATCATGGACCAACTGTGTACCTAGCAAAATGAATGGTGGAAACAAATGCTACATCTTACACATACCAAAAAAGGAAGAAAAAAAAGATTTTATTCCAAGAATCAAGAATCAGGATGGCTCCAAACTTCTCATAACCCTGGAATTGTTTTTTAAAAAGGAGCAATTACTTCACATTTTTGAAATAAAGTTATTTCCAATCCAGAATTCTATATCCAGTCAACCATCAATTGAATGGCATGATAGCATAAAAATATTTTCAAAAATTAAAGTCTGTCCTACGCTATGTAATTAGATTTGTATAAAACTCTAGAAAATCCAAACTAATCTGTAGTATTAAGTAACAGGAAGAAATCAGCAGTTGCAAGGGGAAAAGGGAGAGGAAAGAAGATACACTGCATGGGCAAGAAAATACTTGTGGGTGATTGACACGCTCACTCACTTGACTATGTGGATGGTTTCAAACATCTACACATTTCTCAAAACCTATTAAATTGTATGCTTTAAATATGTTGTTTATTGCATGTCAATTATACATCAATAAAGCTATTAAAAACTTTTTAAAGTATCAAAATTTTGCATCCCGTTCTCTGATACTGACATCTGTATTTTTTTGAAAAAAAGAAAAGCATCTAGAAAAATGAAGATACTGGATTCAGGAAAAAGGGCTTCCAAAATAGGAGAGACACAAAGGGAATCCCCAGAATGATGGCAAAGAAAGTTGTCAGGGCAAAGCAACAGCTTGAAATCATGCCTAAAAAGCCAAAATTTCAGATCACAGAAGAACAGAAGGCTCCAGAGGAAAGTACTATGAAAAACAAAATAAAATTAATAGATTTTCTGATGTATTCGAGTGTGGAGAGAAAATATAACTTCTAGCAAGATGAGGGATGAATTTCAGGGAAGATCATAGAAAATTAAGCAAAAAGCAAAAAGACAGCTAGTAGCAAAAAGTTAGCATAGCAGGTGACTTAATATTCGTGTAGCCAAATTATTATACAATCTTATTTGGAGAACAGAAGAAAGAGATGGATGGGCAAGGGAGGAGTTCAGGAAGAATCAGAAAGACAACTAAATTTCCACAGTAACAAGTCAATAAACAGCATCCAATTAAATAAATAGTGATAATACAACCAAGATTATCAAATTTTTAGGAATACAAAGTGTAAATACCTAAAGAAATATAATACCTCAATGAGCTGAAGGTGATGTGTCTACAGAGGAAGAATCAGAGTGAAAATTATAACCTAGGTCTACTTTGAATTACATAATAGATGAGAAAGAATGGGGAAACATGAGTCAGAGAAAAATGGGAATTTTTTTGAATTTGGATTCTTTAATAGGCTCAAAATAAGTGTCATACAGAGTGTTTATTCACAGGCTTGAATGAGAATTGAAGAAATTCTGACAAGTTTAATATCCGTCTGTGATTAAGTCTGGCAGAATACAGGTCATTGAAACAGACATTTTAATTGAGTTTTATAAAACTATACAAATCTTCCAAGTGATCATAAACCAGTTTCTCATTACATGTGCTTTAACGCAACTTTTTGAAAGTCAAACAATTACAGTTTTTTTTTTTTAAGTTTTACTTTAAGTTCTGGGATACATGTGCAGAATGTGCAGGTTTGTTACATAGGTATACATATGCCATGGTGGACTGCTGCATCTATCCACCCGTCATCTATGTTTTAAGCTCCTCATGCATTAGGTCTTTGTCCTAATGCTCTCCCTCCCCTTGACCCCCACCCACCGACAGGCCCCGGTGTGTGACATTCCTCTCCTTGTGTCCATGTGTTCTCATTGTTCAACTCCCACTTATGAATGAGAACATGCAGTGTTTGGTTTTCTGTTCCTGTGTCAGTTTGCTGAGAATAATGGCTTCCACCTTCATCCATGTCCCTGCAAAGGACTTGAACTCATTATTTTTTATGGCTGCATAGTATTCCTTCATATATATGTGCCACATTTTCTTTATCCAGTCTATCATTAATGGGCATTTGGGTTGGTTCCAAGTCTTTACTATTGTAAATAGTGTTGCAGTAAACGTACATGTACATGTGTCTTTATAGTAGAATGATTTATAATTCTTTGGGTATATACCCAGTAATGAGATTGCTGTGTCAAATGGTATTTCTGGTTCTAAATCCTTGAGGAAACGCCTCACTGTCTTCCACAATGGTTGAACTAATTTACAGTCCCACTAACAGTGTAAAAGCATTCCTATTTCTCCACATCCTCTCCAGCAGCTGTTGTTGTTTCCCAACTTTTTAATAGTCGCCATTCTGACTGGTGCGAGATGGTATCTCATTGTGCTTTTGATTTGCATTTCTCAAATGACCAGTGATGGTCAGCTTTTTTCCGTATGTTTGTTGGCTGCATAAATGTCTTCTTTTGAGAAGTGTCTGTTCATATCCTTTGCCCACTTTTTGATGGGGTTTTTTTTTTCTTGTAAATTTGTTTAAATTCCTTGTAGACTCTGGATATTAGACCTTTGTCAGATGGGTAGATTGCAAAAATTCTCTCCCATTCTGTAGGTTGCCTGTTCAGTCTCATGATAGTTTCCTTTGCTGTGCAGAAGCTCTTTAGTTTAATTAGATCCCATTTGTCAATTTTGGCTTTTGTTGCAATTGCTTTTGGTGTTTTGGTCATGAAGTCTTTGCCCATGCCTATGTCCTGAATGGTACTGCCTCGGTTTTCTTCTAGGGTTTTAACGGTTTCAGATTTTACATTTAAGTCTTTAATCCATCTTGAATTAATTTTTGTATAAGGTGTAAGGAAGGGGTCCAGTTTCTGTTTTCTGCATATGGCTAGCCAGTTTCCCCAGCACCATTTATTAAATAGGGAATCCTTTCCCCATTGCTTGTTTTTGTGAGGTTTGTCAAAGATCAGATGTATACTTTTAAGATAACAGTGTTTAATGAAATTCATGAAAATCATGAATCCTTAGATTTAGGAACATTTATACCTTCTGAGTAAAAATCTAGACTAGAGAAATGTAGTGAATGCAATACACAAAAGACAATGAGGAAGAGCAGAACAAGAAAGATGGCTGACTCTAAATAAACTAATACCATATTTTTCAATGAAAACAATAAAATCCAGAGAACAACAGCATACTATTATGAAAAGATTTTATAAATTGTTAATATAAAATGATATATCCAGCTAAATCATTTTTTTTTCTTTTCTTGATCCTTTTTATTTTAAGTTCCAGGGTACATGTGCAGGATGTGCATGTTTGTTACATAGGTAAACATGTGCCATAGTGGTTTGCTGCACCTATCAACCCATCACCTAGGTATTAAGCCCAGCACACATTAGTTATTTTTCCTAAAGTTCTCCCTCCTCCCACATTCCCCCGACCATCAGGCCCCAGTGTGTGTTGTTCCCCTCCCTGTGTCCATCAGTTCTCATTATTCAGCACCCACTTAGAAGTGAGAACATGCAGTGTTTGGTTTTCTCTTCCTACATGAGTTTGCTGAGGGTAATGACTTCCAGCTCCATCCATGTCTCTGCAAAGGACATGATCTCTTTCCTTTTTATGGCTGTATATTATTCCATGGTCTTGATAGTAGAATGATTTATATTCCTTTGGTTACATACCCAGTAATGAGATGGCTGGGTCAAATGGTACTTCTGGTTCTGTGTCTTTGAGGAATTGCCACACTGTCTTCTACACTGGCTGAACTAATTTACATTTCCACCCACAGTGTAAAAGTATTCCTATTTCTCTGCAACCTCACCAGTATCTGTTATTTCTTGACTTTATAATAATCACCATTCTGACTGGCATGAGATAGTATCTCATTGTGATTTGCATTTCTCTAATGATCTTTTATGACATTGAGCTTTTTTTCACGTTTATTGGCTGCATGAATGTCTTCTTTTGAGAAGCATCTGTTGATGTCCTTTATCCACTTTTTAATGGGGTTGTTTGTTTTTTTCTTGTAAATTTGTTTAAGTTCTTTGTAGATTCCGGCTATTAGACCTTTGTCAGATAGATAGATTATAAAAATTTTCTCCCACTCTGTAGGTTGCCTGTTTGCTCTGATGATAGTTTATTTTGCTATGCATAAGCTATTTGGTTTAATTAGATCAATTTTAGCTTTTGTCGCAATTGCTTTTGGTGATTTTTGTCATGAAATGTTTGCCTGTGCCTATGTCCTGAATGATATTGCCTAGATTTTCTTCTAGGGTTTTTACAGTTTTCGGTTTTACATTTAAGTCTTTAATCCATCTTGGGTTAGTTTTTATATAACATGTAAAGAAGGGGTCCAGGGTTCAATTTTCTGCATATAGCTAGCCAGTTCTCCCAGCACCATTTATTAAATAGGGAATCCTTTCCTCATTGCTTGTTTTTGTAAGGTTTGTTGAAAATCAGATGGCTGTAGATGTGTAGTCTTATTTCTGAGTTCTCTATTCTGTTCCATTGGTCTATGTGTCTATTTTTGTACCAGTACCATGCTGTTTTGGTTACTGTAGCCTTGTAGTATAGTTTGAAGTCCAGAAGCACGATGCCTCCAGCTTTGTTCTTTTTGCCTAGGATTGTCTTGGCTATATGAGCTCCTTTTTGATTCCATATGAATTTTAAAGTAGCTTTTTTCTAATTCTGTGAAGAATTTCCATGGTAGTTTAATGGGAATAGCATTGAAACTATAAATTACTTGGGGCGATATGGCCATTTTAATGATATTGATTCTTCCTATCCATGAGCATGGAATGTTTTTCCATTTGTTTGTGTCCTCTCTTATTTCCTTGAGCAGTGGTTTGTAGTTCTCCTTGAAGAGGTCCTTCACTTCCCTTCTTAGCTGTATTCCTAGGAATTTTCTTCTGTTTATAGCAATTGTGAATGGGAGTTCATTCATGATTTGGCTCTCTGCTTGCCTCTTGTTGGTGTATAGTAATGGTTGTGACTTTTGCACATTGATTTTGTATCCTGAGACTTTGCTGAATTTGCTTATCAGCTTAAGAAGCTTTTGGCTGAGACAATGGGGTTTTCTAGATATAGGATCATGTCATCTGCAAACAAAGACAACTTGAGCTCCTCTCTTCCTATTTGAATACCATTTATTTATTTATTTCTCTTGCCTGATTGCCCTGGCTAGAACTTCCAATACTATTTTGAATAGAAGTGGTGAGAGAGGGCATCCTTGTCTTGTGCCAATTTTCAAATGGAATGCTTCCAGCATTTGCCTATTCAGTATGATATTGGCTGTGGGCCTGCCATAAATGTCTCATTATTTTGAGGTATGTTCCTTCAATACCTAGTTTGTTGAGAGTTTTTAACATGAAGGGATACTGAATTTTATCTAAGCCTTTTTCTACATCTCTATTAAGATAATCATGTATTTTTTGTTTTTAGTTCTGTTTATGTGATGAATTACATTTATTGATTTGTGTATGTTGAACCAGCCTTGCATCCTGGGGATGAAGGCAACTTGATCATGGTGGATAAGCTTTTTATGTGCTGCTGGATTCTATTTGCTAGTATTTTACTGAGAATTTCTGCATCGATGTTCATCAAGGATATTGGCCTGAAGTTTTTTTGTTGTTGTTGTGTCTCTGCCAGGTTTTGGTATCAGGATGATTCTGGCCTCATAAAATGAGTTAAGGAGGAGTCGCTCCTTTTCAATTGTTTGGAATAGTTTCAGAAGAAATGGTACCATCTCCTGTTTGTACCTCTGGTAGAATTTGGCTGTGAATCTGTCTGGTCCTGGGGTTTTTTGGTTGGTAGGCTATTAATTACTGCCTCAATTTCAGAACTTGTTATTAGTCTATTCAGGGATTCAACTTCTTCCTGGTTCAGTCTTGGAAGGGTATATGTGTCTAGGAATTTATTTATTTCTTCTAGATTTTCTTGTTTATTTGCATAGAGGTATTTATAGTATTCCCTGATGGTTGTTTGTAGTTCTGTGGTATCAGTGGTGATATCCTCTTTGTCATTTTTTATTATGTCTGTTTGATTTTAATTTCTTTTCTTCTTCATTTGTCTAGCTAGTGGTCTATTTTATTATTTTTTTCAAAAAAAAAACAGCTCCTGGATTCATTGGTTTTTTGAAAGGTTTTTTGTGTCTCTGTCTCCTTCAGTTCTGCTTTGAGCTTCATTATTTCTTGTCTTCTGCTAGCTTTGGGGTTTGTTTGCTTTTGATTCTCTAGTTTTTTCAGTTGTGATGTCAGGATGTTGACTTGAGATCTTCCCAGCTTTCTGATGTGGTCATTTAGTGCTATAAATTTCCCTTTTAACACTGCTTTAGCTGCATTCCAGAGATCCTGGCATGTTGTCTCTTTGTTTTCATTAGTTTCAAAGAACTTCTTGATTTCTGCCTTAATTTCATTATTTACTCAGGAGTCATTCAGAAGCAGGTTGTTCAATTTCGATGTAGTTGTGTGGTTTTGAGTGAGTTTCTTAATCTTGAGTTCTAATTTGATTGCACTGTGGTCTCAGAGAGTGTTTGTTATGATTTCAGTTCTTCTGCATTTGCTGAGGAGTGTTTTGCTTCCAATTAGGCAATCAATTTTAGAGTAAGTTCCATGTAACACCAAGAAAAATGTATATTCTGTTGTTTTGGGTAGAGAGTCCTGTAGATACCTATCAGGTCCACTTGATCCAGGGCTGAGTTCAAGTTCTAAATATCTTTGTTCATTTTCTGACTTGACGATCCATCTAATATTGACAGTGGGGTATTAAAGTCTCCCACTATTATTGTGTGGGAGTCTACGTTTCTTTGTAGGTCTCTAAGAACTTGTTTCATGAATCTGGGTGCTCCTGTATTTAGGATAGTTCAGTTAAATTATTTTTCAAGAGATAAAATAAAATGAATTCTGAAGGCATTTACTACATAGATTATCACTAAAAGAACTTTAAAAATTTACTTATTCAAGAAGAAAATTAAGTACGAAATGTCATGAAATACAAAAATAAATTATGAATGAATAAACAAAAGAGTAAAGCTAAAAATAAATCATCTATTGTAAGACAGTAGCAAAAATAATAATTAAGGTATTTGAAATGCTAAGCATTCAGCAAGAAATCAGTGAATGACTTTAGAAATGTAAACAGTAATCTTAAAATCATAAAAATAGAATATGTAACTTCCAAATGCATGTGAATGGGAGGAAGGGAGGGTGACAAGGAGAGACGTACATAAATTAAATTTGAACAAGATAGTAGAAAGCAGAAAGAGAAAAGAGGCAAAGAAAAGAAGAAGCATGGCCAGTAAGAAGTACATAAAAAGATAATAGAAATAAATAGAGATCTATATGACTAATCACAGTTTATGTATACAAATCATACTCAATGTTTAATGACAGATTGTCATGAAACAGAGATTAAATTGACAGATTGTAAAAGTGACTCAAGAAAGCAAAATTCAGCTGTATGGAATTTACAAGTGACTTACCTAAAGTCTAAGAAAGACACTGATGATCGAAAGTAAATAGATAGAAGAAATAAATAACAGGCCAATAAATGGCAAAAGAAAGTTGGAGTTGATATACTAATATCAGACAAAATTGACTTTATGGCAGGAATAATTATCAAAGATGAAGAGGAACACTATAGAATGAGAACAATTCACCCAAAAGATCTCTTAATTCTTAAATTGTATGCACCAATAACCCAGTCTTAAAAATATAGAGTAAAAGTTATCAAAATTTCAGGAAGAAATAGAGGAATAGAGGCCTCTATCCTGTTGTATACCTAATATATTTTATAATTTAAAAATGAGAGAATTTAATGTTCTTGAGTAGGTTTTACAATCTCTCAACTGCTTCAAAGGCAGAACTTTAAAACATCACACAAACTTCATCTGCCCCAAATTTTCCTTTTTTCTTGCACTTTTTAATTTTGTTTTTCCTGGAAAGAACTCTCCATAGCTACTGACATGATTTCTATTTCAATTATGTTTTGAACATCCTCTAGTCAGGCTTTCTACCATCATGTTTCAATGATCAAGGTGAACAATGAATCCCACATTGCCAAATAGTTATTAGTGTTTATGTCACCATATATTTAACACAATGGTTCTCTCTATCCTTCTCCAAGTGCCTTGTCTTTGTTATCTGATTTCTAAGGCCTCACACTGTTGACTTTCCTCCCACCAGACTGATTTCTATTCATGGTGGTTCTTAATGATTTATCTTTACCTTTCTGAACTCTAATATCAGAGTGCATTGGGATGTATCTTTGTCTCTCTTTCCTATCTATACTCAATTCCTAGGTTATCATATCAATTCCATGGTTTAAAACACCATTTATATAATGTGATTCCAACATTTATAACTCCAATATTATATATCCAACTACACATACCCATCATCTTTACTTGGATTTCTAATAGCCATCTCAAACTTGTGTTTCCAAACCCAAACTCTAAAATTCACACTCAGCTGTCCAAAGAAAATCCTCATTTAGCTCTGAGTGCTCCTCATCTTCAAATCCACTCATCTAGTTCCTCAGAACCAAACCTTGATGTCTACCTTCTTTCCTTTCTTTTTCTCCTATCTGACATTCAAACTGTCCCATAATCAGTTGGCCAGCAAATTACATAAACTTGTCCTTCAGCATATGTCCTAAATCCAACCACTTTTCACCTCCTCTATCACTATCACCCTACACACAGCTCCTATATCTCATGCTACAGTTACCGTAACCTGATAACTAGTCTCCCATTTCTACTTCTACCTTCATAAACTCTATTCTCTACACAATTAAGAAAATTTTCAAATATAAATCCGATCATGTCACTACCATGCTCAAAGCTCTTCAATGGGTTTCCATCAAACTCAGGAAAATAATCCAACATTCTTACCACATGCTACAAGATATACATAACCTGGCCCCTGGCTATTTCTCTGAACATTTTTCTTCTCACTCTGTCTCTCACCTGCTCTGCTGCAATCATATCAGAGCATGTTCATGTCTTCTTAGCTGGTTCATGTCCACTTACAAGAGCACTCACTGTTCTCTCTGCCTAGAGTGCTCTTTCCAATGCATGAATCACTCCCTGACTTCAGTTGCCTCTTTAGAGAGGCCTCCGTTAACCACTCTATTTAATAGTGACCTCCATCACCAATGACTCCATCCCCTTACCTTGATTTTCTCTAATAGTACGTAGCACTACCTGATGCATTTTCTTTTTTCTATTTTTTAAATTTCCTGTGTCCAACCTTCCCCCCTTTGATAATACATGAACTCCATGAGGGAAAGAACTCCGTTTTATTTACTGTTATATCTTCAATTCCTAGAACAACACCAGGAACATAATTGGAGCTCAATAAATATGTCTGTAGTGTTTGCTGAATTAACACATTTGGACTTCAGGCAGGCAACTGGTACACATTAAAAGTTGGATGAGAAAATATTACTTGGAAATGTGCATACAAATGAGGTCACCCAGTGTCTTCCCCTTTAATTAAAGAGTAAAACGTCTCTAAACTTTTATGGAACACTTAGAAGAAATAAAAGGTATATTGAAAGATACGGTCAAGGTTCCTGACCTCATGTACGAAATTCAGAATAAGTACTATAGAGCACATAAGCAAGGTTATATGTCACAGTGTTACTGGAAACGGGGACTTTTAGATAGGGGAAATAACAAGGGCTTGAGATGAAGTTAATTGATGGGCAAAAGGAAGCTACTCTGCCGAGAGCTGGAGGAGAGACATCACAGTCAGAAACAAAGAGTAAATGCAAAGTCACTCTTCCAGGAGAGGTCTTAGTGTGTTGAAGGAACAGAAAAGAAGTGAATATGGCTAGCTCATGGTGAATACAGGGAGAATCGTAGATGACATCACAAAGACGTATCTCATGTGTGTCTTTGCCAGCCACTGCAAAGTGTTTGAATGTTATTCTAAATAAAACAGGGAGCTATAGAAGTGTTTTAGTTAGGGAAGACAACAACATCTGTTGAGATAATGTCAGTTTGTTGTGAAAACCACTGAATTAGGAGTAAATGCAGAATATTATGGGAGCAACTTGAGAGGCATCTAAAAAAGCCCAAGAGACTCAGAGAAGCCTTCCTAGATGAGATAGTGTCTGAAAGATAAATAGGCATTATCCATCTGCACATGACGGCAGAACATTCTAAAAAGAGGGAATAACATGTGCAAAAGCCCCATAGTAAGAAATCAGGAGACTAAAAATAGTTCAGAATGAGTCAGGCATATTATCTAAGAGAGAAAGGGAAGAGGCTGCATGACCAGGGGCCAGATCATAGAGCCTAGTGGGCCACAATGAAAGGCCATGACATTGTCTTTAGGGAAATGGAGTAGCATTGAAAATAATCCAATTAGGAAACTGCTGATCTCACATGGTCCAAAAATAATGCCTTGGACTAACTTTAAAAAAAAAAAAAGTGGAAATGGAGAATGTGAATAGACTTTGAGACTAAGGAGGAAAAAGTAACAAAATTTGATAATGGCTTAGATGTGAAGATAGTGTAAAGGGAAAGACATCATGATAAAACCTAGGTTTTTTGTTCAAAATGGTGGGGCTGACGCCATCTACTTATCTCCAGTTTCCTTTAAAATGCCACTAAAGTATGACTAAAGGAATTTTTATAGGTATAAAACCACTTTTAAAAAAAGAATAAGAAAGTCTATTGCAGTAAAAAAAAAAAAAAAAAAAGTATGGTACTTGAAAGACAGAGAGAGCTGCAGGAATTAAAGAGGCAGTGGAGAAAGCAGACACCTAAGGTGGCAGTAGGAAAACTAACACTCAGCTTACAAGGAATTCCCAGAAGGTAAACTGATGACCTTTGGAACCAGGGGAAAATATGAAACAGAAAGTACTAGGACTGGTTGAAAATCTGTTTTAGAAGCAGTTAAACCCTCAGATCATATTGTTTGCATGTTCTAAGAGAAAATTCTACAAATATATAGAATATAGTGACAGCAAATTTTGTAAGTACACAGACTAGCAAACAACAATCCAAAAACATAACAATGAACTCCAAGGACCACTTCCACCTGGTTTCAAATGGCACCCAAAACAAGCCATTCATTCATTTGTCCATTTATTCATCAAAAACATATTACAGCAATATAATGTGATGATTACATCATTGATTTTGGAACTAAACTTCTTCAGTTCTTACTCTGATAAGTGTCAGACTGGGATACTGTTTTCTGTGTGGCTTTAGATAGGACATGTCACCTCTTTTTACTTCAGTTTCCCCTTTATAAAATAGGACTATAGGCATATTCACCTCATCTAGTCATTATGAAAATCAAATTAATATTTTGAACTCCTGGCATACAATAAACGCAACATAGTGCTTCTTTCTACGACGACAACATATCCAGTTGTTTCAGACTCTGAGATTAGCAGGAAATAGGCAGTTTCATGGACATTCTAGGGTGGAAGACACACAAATTGACCAAAGGCTAACGAATACACATGGTAAGCTTAGACAGTGATAAATGCTATGAAGAAAATGAATTACCTATTGTGAAATTTTTTAGATATCTGTTTTCAGATTAAATAAATAAGTAAATGAAAAGGTTTTAATTGGCATTGTATTATTTTTCTGTGGAATTTAATTTTCAGCAACAATCTTAAGAAAGAAGAGAACTAACATAGTACATGTACTATGACACTTTACACCTGATTTAATATAAGCTTCATCGTCACATATAATGCAGGCAGTATTATCTTTATTTTACAGACAAAGAAACTAAGCCTCATTAAAATTCAGTAACTTTCAGGGGTCTTGAGAGCCATAATACTAATGAATGGCAGAGCAGGAATTCAAACAGGTTTGTCGGACTCCAAAGTCCTGCCACAAAGTCTCATGTTTTTTGAATACCTTAGTATTTTTCATTGTATAAATATTTACTTCTAACCTTTAACTTATAAAGTAGCTTTGTTTTCCCTTTTTATCCTTTTTATTAGTTGCATTAGGTTTATTAGTTTAATAACTACTTTCAAAAGATGTAAATGCTTATGTTTAGTTATAGAGATTTCCATACAGCTTTTTAAATATCAACTTCACACTTCTCAGTGTGACCTCAAAAAATACGTGTGTTTATAAACACCGTGTGCCATGGCCTTTTCTAAAATCTTCTGTTTACTCACTCATTGTACTGTAACATATTAACTTTAACACCTACCCATACCTTGTCATTAATCAGAGCTTACATCCTAAAGATCTACCCAGGACTATTTATTTATCTTCTTTATGAAAGGACTTCTGACTTGCTGAGTCAGAAATCACCTTCTCATAAATGTAAATGGTAGTACATATTTTTGTCTCTAGTAATCAGGAACTGGGTTGTGCTTATTCAGCTGCTCATTTTGCCCTTACCCTCACTTGGGTCCTCTCTAGGTTTCTTGAGGTGGAAACTAGATTATAGCCCTTCAGCAATTGTATCAGGCACACAATGACAGAACCAGGCATGAACAAGGAGAGACTCCACAGGGTATCATGGAAGGTGGTGGGGGTGGGGGTCAGTTAGCTGCATTTGAGAAAAAGTCCCATGCGGTTTTTTTTGTGTGTTCTGTTTATTTGTTCTTTTATTGTTATTCATTAAAACTATCAGACTAAGAAGTGATGAAGTACTTCTGGGGTCCTTCTGCAGATGGACCTACAGCCTCAGCTACTGGAGGCAAGCAAGGCTTAGAGTCTACATTGCGGATGCTATTTATATCCTAAAATCTATTTAAAATTTCACCAGATCAATCTCTGGTTGATAGATTTGGAAACAAAACACATAGATATCACCGATTATTTTTCCCAATAGCCTTTCTTTTGTACAATGTGTTTCGATTTACAACTCTCTGCCTATGAATTGCTCTTTCATTGTACCATTAGGCATTCCTGTGGGTTTAAAAGACAGTAAACTTAGAGTAGCTAGATTCCAAAAATACTCCAGGAAAATGTCCTTTTTGTATGATATAAGTCAATGTGAGGGCTCGAGTAGCCTATTTCAGTGCAGAGAATCTATTCATTTTAATGGAATATCCAGTCTAATGGAGCATATTGTGCTCAAAGAAAAACTCATTCTCAGGAATGTGCTGAACCAGGTACCTAATTCACCAGAAATAAAGTGAAGCTCAGCATATTCTAGAAAAAAAATAAATCACATAAGCCTTGGATCTCAAGCTATGCATTCAAATTAAATAGTAGTTTGCTTTCAACAACCATGATTATTTTTAGAAAAGCAAAAAATATTATCACATTGGGAAAATAGGTTGCAGTGAACTCCTTGCTCCTGTAAGGTTTTTTTTTTTCCCCCAAAGATTGTGTCTGTAGCAATACCTTGGAGGCATAACAGGGAAGGATGGAAAGGGATTTAAAAATTGTTGTCATTGTGCGTTTGCATGTTTCAGTTTTTTCAAACATCCAAATTCCACGTTCTTTTTTGATCTTACATCCATTCTTCTTTGAACTGCTATTTAATACTAGAGTTGTAATTTTATATATACGCTGTTATTTTATATATTTCTTCTCCTTCTTCTTCTCCATGATAATTTTCAGCTCCTTGTTTTTTTTTTTTCCAACAACATTTGCTTTCCTCTCTAGTTTTTTTTTTTTTTTTTAGCTCATGGGCTATAATTTGCTACCCCTGCTATAGAATGGGGGTACTATTACTAGGCTATAGAATGGCAAAGTGAATAACGTCTTCACAATTAACTAGAAGAGAGGCAAAAATGCTTAACGTGCCTAGTTTTATGCATCAAATTTATTCAAATGTTTAAGAAACAGTCAGTATGTCTTAAAATTGCTGATTCACCAACGTTCAGAATATGAATAAATTGAACACAGAACTCCTAATCCTTAGACAATGTTCTGTACATGTCCAAAATTAGTCTCACTAATTGTCTAACAATCAAGCCTAATATCTTGAAACTAGGAACTATATGAAGGTACATTTCTACTTGGTCTTAGTTTCCTATCTTTTAAGAAGAAAAATAATTTTTCTTTACAGTTAGCCTGGAAACATTTTTATTAACTAAATGATTAATTTCAAAAACTTGAATCCCTAATGGAAAGAGGAAAAATCCCAAGTTTTATTTTTATGTTAATAGAAAAACTTTATTAGGTAATATTCTTTCCTGTAGATCAAAACTTATCAAACACTTTTCTGAATTTGCTTCCTTTCTTGTGGGCAACAGAAGTTTGAACCTTCTCTTTTTTTCTTAGTTTAGCTAAAGGCTTGTCAATTTTGTCTTTTTTTTAAAAAACCAACTCTTCATTTTAATTATCTTTTCTATTTTTTTCCAACAATTATTTTATTTATTTTTCTCTGATCTTCATTATTTCCTTCTTTCTGTTAACTTTGGACTTCTTTTGTTCTTCTTTTTCTAGTTTCTTGAGATGAAACATAGGTTATTTATTTGAGATTTTTCTTAAATGTACATATTTATTACTATAAACTTTTGTCACAGAACTGCTTTGGCTATATCCTATAGTTTTTTGTATGTTGTGTTTCTATTTTCATTTGTCTCAAGACTCTTTTATTTTTCTTTTTATTTCTTCCTTCACTCATTGGTTGTTCAGAAGTATGTTTAATTTCTACAAATCTGCCAACTTTCCAAATTTCTTTCTATTACTGTTTCCTAGTTTTATACTATTGTGGTCAGTAAAGATACTGCATACAATTTTAGTCTTTTTAAATTTGTTAAGACTTGTTTTCTGGCCTGCTGTATGATTTATCGTGGAGATTATTTGGTGTGTGCTTGAAAAGAAATACATATTCTCATGCTGCTAGATAGAAAGTTCTCTATATATCTGTTAGGTCCATTTCACCTAAAGTGTAGTTCAAGTCCAGTGTTTCTTATTTATTTTCTGTCTGGATGATCTATCCATTGTTGAAAGTGGCGTATTACAGTCCCCTACTATTATTGTATTGCTGTCTATCTCTCCCTCCAGATCTATTAATATTTGCTTTCTATGTTTAGGTGCTTCAATACTGTGCATATATTATACATTTACAAGTGTAATATGCTTTTGATGAATTAACCCCTTTATCATTATATAGTGACCTTCTTTGTCTACTTTAACATTTTTTGACTTAAGGTCTATTTTTTCTGATATAAGTAAAGCTACCCCTGACGTCTTCATTTCCGTTTGCATGGAATATCTTTTCCCATCCCTTCACTTTCAGTCTATGTGTGTCCTTAAAGCTGAAGTGAGTCTCTTGTAGGCAGCACAGAATAGGGTCTTATTCTTTTATTTATTTAGCCACTTTGTCTTTTCATCAGATAATTTAATGTATTTACATTCAAGGTAATTATTGATAGATGCAGACTTACTACTGCCATTTTAGTAATTGTTTTCAGATTGTTTTGTGGATCTTTTGTTCTTTTCTTCCTCTCTTGCTATCTTCCTTTGTGCTACAATAATTTTTTGCAGCGGCATGTTTTGGTCCCTTTATCTTTTGTGTATCTGCTATAGGTTTTAAGGGTATTGTTTTCCTGACACTTCATAAAACATCTTTAACAACAGGTTATATTAAGCTGATAACTTAATTTCAATCACATAAAAAACTACATTTTTACTCCCCGCATACAAATATTTTATGGTTTTTGATATCACAATTTACATATTTTTATATTGTGTATTCCTTAACAAATTATCACAGCTATACTTATTTTTAATAGTTTTGTCTTTTAATCTTTATATTAGAGATATAAGTAATTTATACACCACCACTCCAGTATTGAGGTAATCTGAGTTTGACTATATATTTGTCTTTACTGAGTCTTTTTAACTTTTATATGTTTTCATATTATTAATTAGCATCTTTTTACTTGAAGAACTTCCTTTGGCATTTTTGATGAGGCAAATATAATGGTAATGAACACTCTCAGCTTTGTCTAGGAAAGTCTTTACCTCTCCTTCATTTCTGAAGGAGAGCTTTGCTGAGTATAGTATGCTTGGTTGCCAGGTTTCTGGGTTTTTTTTAATTTCATGTCAGCCTCTTGAATATAACATCTCACTCCCTCCTGGATTGCAAGTTTCTGTTGAGAAGTCCTCTGATAACCTAACGGAGGTTCCCTTGGATGTGACCAGTCTCTTATCTCTTTTTGCTTTCAAGATTCTCTCTATGAGAACTTTTGATGTTTGATTGCAAGATGCCTCAGAGTATTTTTCTTTGGATTGAACTTGTTTAGACTCCTTTGAGCTTAGGAATCTGGATTTACATATTCCTCCAAGATTTAGAAAGTTTTCAGACAGTATTCCTTTAAATAATATTTTTGCTCCTTTTTTGTTCTCTTCTCCCTCTGGAGCCTCTATAATTTGTATTGGGTTGGTGTAAAAGTAATTGCCATTAAAAGCAATATATTAATATGATTGATTGTGCCCCAAAGGACCCTTATTGTTTACCTGGCTCTTTTTATATTTATTCTTTTTGTTCCTTGAATTGGCAAATTTCAAATGATCTGTCTTCAAGCTTTTTAATTCTTTCTTCTCCATGATTGAGTCTGCTGCTGAAGCTCTCTATTGAGTTTTTTACTTCTGTCTTTGTATTCTTCAGCTTTATATCTTTATTAAACTTCTCATTGTGTTCGTGCATTGCTTTTCTGATCTCATTCAGTTGCCTGTGTTTTCTTGCACCTCATTGAGCTTCATTAAGATGATTATTTTGAATTATATTTCAGGCAATTTATAGATCACCATTTCTTTGGACTTGGTTGCTGGAACTTTATTTCTTTCTTTTGGTGGTGTCATGTTTGCTTGGTTCTTCGTTATCCATAGACTCGTTTGCTGGAGTCTCCATTTGAAGGAACAAGACCCTCTTCTAGTCTTTACAGACATGTTTTGGCAGGTTAAGGCTTTCTCCTATTAGGTTCCAGGTGTGATGTGATTGCCTCTAGGACTGCGGTTGTATGGGGCTGGAGTCAGGTCACATGGCTGCTACTGAGACTGCAATGGGGTCTGTTGTTGGCAGACCTGTTAGCAGTGCTCTGGTGGACATGGATGGGTCCTATCTATGTGGTCCCTAGGTGGACTGAACTATCTTCAGGACCTTGGTCTGTAGGGCTGGTACTGGGATGAGGGTCCACTTTTGAGTCTGAAGACAATGGGCCTGTTACCAGGTTTATGGATAAATGTGGCTTCCTCCAGGTTCCTGGGAGGGCTTCTGCTATGTCACTGGGTGGGTCCCTGGGCAGGCAGTACTGCCTTGGTTGTAACTGAGAGGGATTGGAACCAGGTCACAGAGCTGCTTCAGGGTCTACAGCTGAGACCAAAGTCATTCAGCCTATCTCTGGGGTATGTCTCTTAGGAGGTCACTGTGAAGGTAAGTCTGCTCTTATGCCACAGTTTACAGGGACTGGAGCTGAATTATAGGGACTTTTGAAGATGCACAGTGGGACCAAAGTTAAGCAGGCCAGCTTACAGGAGCAATGATGGACACTGGAACCATCTATGGACCTTTCAGGTCCGTTCATGGACAGAACTGCTCTCAAGCCACAGTTGAGATGAACTATAGCTGAGTTCCTTGGTTTTTTCGGGATCTGCTGTATAACCTAAGTTAGCTGGCCTGCCTGTGGGAACATGGATGGCTATGCTTCCCTCCAGATCCCTGAACAGGTAGAACTGCTCTCTGACCATAGCAGAGGGGGTCTGGGGCTTGGATTCAGTTTCAGGATCTGCTGTGGGACCAAGGTTGGCAAGTCTGACCCAGGGAGTCAGATGGGTGTGTCTCCCTCTGGGTCCTTGCGTTAACAGAACTGATCTCAGACCATAGCTGAGAGGAGCTGGAGCTGGTTTAGTGGGTCATTAAGTTGTCCACAATCAAGATTGAAGTGGGCAAGCCTGTCTCACTTTAGGTAAATCTGGTGCCTAAGTATGAATCCGCCCCCTCAAAATGACCCTCCTAGGTCTTGGGCTCCACTGGGGTTTCACAAACTCCTACTTGAATTCCAAGGCTCCCACAACAGTACATTTTGCAATGGATGGCTGGGAAATTATTGCTGCTATGAGGGAAAATGAGTGGTGGACCTTCTATTCTAACATCCTGCTCAAAGAATATAGCTTTTGAGAAAACAATATTTTACCTAAAATGGTTAAAACTTGCTTAGAAAAACATGGCATGAACAAATACGTAAAAATATTAGCTTTACCTAAATGTTATTAATTTTATAATTTAAAAAAAATTTTGAAGAGGCGTGGGCATTATAAGAGCACTACTGAAGTAAGAAAAACACATTTGAAGTTTAAGAAAGCATAGGAAAACAATTACACAATACTATTGTCATTTGTACTCTTACATTCCTTTCTTCATTACTCCTATCTCCATTCCATTCTATCTATTAAGAATATATATAATTTTCTTCCACATATTTTCTTTGGTGATTTTCTTTTTGTTGTAACAAAAAAACCTAAAAGCTTGCTTTGAAAAATCAAAAATTTTGCTTATCTTTCCTCCTCAAATAAAGGAAAGAATGTTTCAAGAAATGTAAATAATTGAAGTCATTGCTAATTATTCAAAACATCCCCTAGGAAATTACAAAAAGAGGAACAATAGCCATTTTCACTTTTAACTATTTCAAAGTTGATATTTGGGAATCATTTACTTATACAAATGTGTTTCTTTCTTGTACCCTGACATCCCCATTTTTAACAATAAGGAGAAAAACAAAATGTTAAATTTAATATTTTTAAGAACAAAATATTAAAATGTAGGGAGCTGGATGCAGTGGCTTATGTCTATAACCTCAGCTGCTTGGGAAGCTAAGGCAGGTGGATCACTTGAAGCCAGGAGTTTGAGGCTGCTAAAGCAGGAGGATCACCTGAAGCCAGGAATTTGAGACTAGCCTGGGCAACACAGCAAGACCCTGAATTTATTTTTATTTTTATTTTTATTTTTATTTTTGAGACAGGGTCTCACTCTGTCACTCATACTGGAGTGCAGTGGTGCCATCTCGGCTCACTGCAACCTCCGCCTCCCAGG
This sequence comes from Homo sapiens, assembly GCF_000001405.40. Classification (NCBI taxonomy): domain Eukaryota; kingdom Metazoa; phylum Chordata; class Mammalia; order Primates; family Hominidae; genus Homo; species Homo sapiens. Next base: position 163,643,249 of record NC_000004.12, on the reverse strand, counting down.
CTCAAGCAATTCTCCTGCCTCAGCCTCCCGAGTAGCTGGGATTACAGACGTGCACCACTACCACTTGGCTAATTTTTTTTTTTTTTTTTTTGTATTTATAGTAGATACAGGGTTTTACCATGTTGGCCAGGCTGGTCTCAAATGCCTGACATGAAATGATCCACCTGCCTTGGCCTCCCAAACTGCTGGGATTACAGGCATGAGCCACTGCGCCTGGCCAACCCTGACTCTTAACATACATATATGTGTATATATATGTGTGTGTATATATACACACACACATACACATATGTATATGTATGTATGGAGATAATACCATATTTCAGTTAGTGCTTATGCCACATTAAGGGGATTTTATTTTCTATTTTCTTATTTTAATCTAAATACTTTCAGTCTATTGCCTAATAATTATAATAAATAATTCCATTCATTGTAGTCAAGTAATTTTTATCATAGCACTCCATAGATACAGGTGTTTTTAGGAAGATTATTTTGACAGACTCAGAAACCTATAGCTCTCCAAAACATGTTTAGAAAATCTGGAGTTCTGGAGGAACAAACCAGAAGGATAAATAGTATATCCTCTAAGTTCCATTAATCACCCATCCCTTCATTTTAGAACACACAAAACAATCTAATTGTAATAGTCATTATGGTAAGAACTTTACAAAAAAATCTAGCAAACTTGTCTCCTTAATGAAAAGACAAATATGCAATCAAGCCAACTAGAATGCAAGTCAATGATTTATAAATTCAATGAGATTCACCCAGAACCGAAGTGACTTTTAAACACATATTTTAAAGCAAATAGTGACAATTATACATATTAATTGGAAAGTAAATTCAGGTAATCTGCTACTCTACAGAAAATATCAACACTGACTGTTAAAATCAGGGGGAACTTAAAGAAAATTTATGTTAATAAAAAAGAACCAACTCTTTATTATCTTTATTAAAAGAAAAAAAAGAATGTATAAGTCTGTCTTTTCCCCTGGGGAGCAACAGAAACCTAAAATCAGGTCTTAAATTACCTTCCAGAGAAAGGCAAAAATAAGCCCAATCACTGGCACCGCCACATATTTATGAGCACCTGCGTACTTAAGCTCAGTTAAATGTGTTGAGTAATTTATCCAAATACAAAGTCACATTGCTAATTCTTTGTAATTTTGTCTAAGAGATCAGGAATTTTGCCTAAACAATACGATCACTGAAGAATGAGGCAGCATTAGCACTGTAGGAGTGGAGATGGAGGTTTGTGAGAGGTCCACAAAAATAGTAACACAACGTCTCCACTGGTGGACAGAAGACATAGGTGTTACATTGACCTTCAGTTCAACATCCTGAGAAGTTACACCCAGTGCCCATCAAAACAAAGAAATTAGGAAAGTCTGACTAATATTTAACTCCAACGCAGATAAGCCAACTTTCTTCTTTGTCTCACTAATCTCTAGCACCAGTCTGGAGAAGATAAAACCTACCAATAAGAAGAAATGAGATCAATGGAAATCAAAGAGAAGAAGACTAGCATAGAAAGTTGCCTTTTGTAATTCTTTGGTACTGCTAAATATATGCATCAGATTTGTGCTCCTTAACAAAAGTTCTACTCCTCTTAGGACTTCAGAAAGGAACATTCTGTTCCTAGCATATAAATATTTGCTTTGCATTGAAGTGAACTTAAATATATGTATTAACCCCTGTATGAACACAGGAATTAATATCTTCTTTGTAGCTTCCTACTTCTCGTCTTATATGTGGTAATTACAGAGTAGATGCTTGGTTTTCAGAACAAATACATCCCAAGATATTCTGAATATCACAAGAGTTCATTTCCTTTAGAAACTTTTTTTCCTGAAAATAGCCATAATTTTTTATACTATTATCAGTCATAATAACTAAATTACAGGAATTGTACTAACTTTAGTTCTTCTGTTTTTCCCTCATATAGTATTCTTATTTGATTTCCCTATGCGTTGTCAATCAAAATTAAACTGTCATTTTATTCTGGAAAAGTGACAGATTTTATAAAGTAACAACTTTGGTATTAAATGTTCTTTAGCTTCTGATAGCAGACACTATTTAGAAATTAGCATGTGAGAAATGTAAGAATGACATATTGTAACATTAAGTAAATGTAGTATATTTGCCAGATGTTAAAAATGACTTTAGAGACAATAGAGACTGCACTTATAGGTTGACATGATAATGAAGTTTTATGTTAAAATCATAAAAAAACAGAATTTATAAGTGAAGGAAGTATGAAAACTGAGACTAATATTATGAAGTCTTTTTTTAATTCTTTATCTTATTGCCCATTTTTAACCCCTTGGTGTTTGAAATGGAAAATAAATATTCTCTTCGCGATAGATAATATGTCAATAACCAAAAGGTGGCCTTAACCAATAATTGGCCCAACTTTAAATTATTACCCTAAAGATATATAAATTAACTAATCTAAAATTAAATGCAATTTTGCTATGACTTAAAGTGTCAATAATCCTGTATAAGAATCCAATTTATGCAGTCACTTAGGCATGAAGTTGGCAATTCATCTAACTTGGTGGATATAATAGAACAGATCAGGCTGCTAAATATGCTGTAGTTGGTTTGCTGAATTTTTTTTGGTATGAACATGGTAGAAATATGATTGGATATACTTTAAAATTTTTCCAGGCTAAAAGTATCCATGGCTATGGTCCATAGTAGTGAAAGTTGATATCTTAACTGTCCTTTTATATTTGCACTTGTGTGGACCTCAAAAGTTTCTTCTGATAGCTCTTAGCCCTGACTAGGTGTATATCTTTAACCAACTTCCTTATCATTGTTTGCCACCTCACATTTTTGATAGAATCTTCACTATGCATAAGAAGTTGTCTGACTTTAACTCCACACTTAACTAGTCACATGGATATGGCTTCATGGAAGCATATTACTGGGCATATAAAACTCTTAACTCATCTAACTCCTTATTGACAATCCTGTTGAGAGACACAGTATTTATAGAGTATTATCTGATGTCCAGCTTTTTCTGCTGTACTCTAAAATTGATTGCTGAATTAAGCTAGCTATTAGCAAAGAGAACTCTAGATCCCACAGTTTGTTCTCCTGTAGAGCTGCTTTTTAATGTGTAATCATCTAACCTAGTAAATCCAGGTCTTCTTGCTTCCAGTTTAAGTCCTATCTCAACCCAAAATCTCATTTTAAAAATGCAATTCCTATTCTGCAAGCACTGGTAAACTCTTTCATTAAGGTTTTCTTGGAGTGATCTGTGAGATGAGGGCATGGATGAAGATGAAGTTGGAATCAGTCCAAAGAACATGCCATAAGAATTCCTAAAGATACACTTTTCTTACCTCCATCCCCTAACTCTTCACCAACAAAATAGCTGTTCGTCTTTGTTTCATCCACAAAACTCTTAAAACTGATCACAGCTACCAGTCTCACTCTGTCCTTACTCCTCCTCCTTATTAGATCTTACTTTCTTTTGAAACTTTCCATTTGTAGAGAAATCTATTCCACCTCTCTTTCTTCCCTTAGTATACTCTGTCTGAAAGTCCAAATAGTGTGACAAAGACCTGGTAGACAAGCAGGGAAGATTTTTAGAAAGAGGAGGTGGGGAAGGGAGCTAAGCATAATTTATAATGAACAGAACAAAAACGTTCCAACACACATGTTCATTACTATTTTCTGAAGGCATAATGTCAAAGTAAAAATTTTTCTGTTACACTGAATTTTATTTTGGCATTATGCCATCAAAATATAATAAAGAACATGTGTTGGAAACTCCTTGCTTTACTCATTATAAAAATCATGTTGAACATAAATGTTTACCACTGTTTCTCTCGAAGAATCACCCAAAGATGAAACTTCTCTCTGGTCTCAGTACCAGCAATGTGCTTCTTCTAATTGTGCAGCTTGTTTTTATATTACGGACAGTGCAACTCATGTAATTATTTGTATCAGGGACTATAAAAATTACAACCTGATATGGATTATGGTTTCAGCTATGTACTCAAAGAAATAAATCTCATCTTTCCTGCTCTGATTTTCTGTGTCCCATTTGTGGTTAAATACACATAAAGTAAAATTTACCATCTTAACCAGTTACAGTTAAGTAGTAAGTACATTCACATTGTTGTGTAATCAAATTCCAGCACTCTTTTCCTCCTGTAAAACTGAAACTCTATACCCATTAAACAATAACTCCCCATCCCCCACTGCCCTCCAGTCTCTGGGAACTATTATTTTCTCTATATATAAATTTGGTGACTCTAGGTACCCTATGTAAGTAAAATCATAGACTTATATGTGACTTTTTGTGAATGGCTTATTTTGTTTAGCATAATGTCTTGAAGTTTCAACAATGTTGTTGCATGTAACAAGATTTCTATTCTAAGACTAATAAATATTCTATTGTGTGTGTATAGATAATATAGATATACGTATACATACCTTATTTTGTTTATCCATTCATCCATCGATGGACAATGGGTTGCTTTCACCTTTTGGCTATTGCGAATGACATTTCAATGAATGTGAATGTACAAATATCTATTAGAGATCCTGCTTTTGATCCTTTTGGATAGATACCCGGGAGTGGAATTACTCAGAAGGGGAATTATTTTCCTTTCTTGTGTTGCTATATAGAAATATCTGAGGCTGGGTAATTTAAAAAAAAGTAATTTGATTGACTCTTGGTTCTCCAGATTGTAGAGGAAGCACAGCACCAGCATGTGCTCAGCTTCTGGCGAGGGCCTCAGGAAACTTTCAATCATAGCATTAGGCAAAGCAGGCGTTAGTACTCACATGGTGAGAGCTGGAGCAAGAGAGAGAGGGAGGGTAGGTGCCGTATACTTTTAAACAACTGGATCTCACATGAACTCACTCATCACCAAGACGATGGGACTAAGCCATTCATGAGGAATCCTCCCCATGATCCATACGTTTTTCACCAGCCCCACCTCCAACACTGGGATTACATTTCTTTTTTTTTTTTTAATTTTTTTTTTTATTATACTTTAAGTTTTAGGGTACATGTGCACATTGTGCTGGTTAGTTACATACGTATACATGTGCCATGCTGGTGCGCTGCACCCACTAACTCGTCATCTAGCATTAGGTATATCTCCCAGTGCTATCCCTCCCCCCTCCCCCCACCCCACAACAGTCCCCAGAGTGTGATGTTCCTCTTCCTGTGTCCATGTGACCTCATTGTTCAATTCCCACCTATGAGTGAGAAAATGCGGTGTTTGGTTTTTTGTTCTTGCGATAGTTTACTGAGAATGATGATTTCCAATTTCATCCATGTCCCTACAAAGGACATGAACTCATCATTTTTATGGCTGCATAGTATTCCATGGTGTATATGTGCCACATTTTCTTAATCCAGTCTATCATTGTTGGACATTTGGGTTGGTTCCAAGTCTTTGCTATTGTGAATAGTACTGCAATAAACATACGTGTGCATGTGTCTTTATAGCAGCATGATTTATAGTCCTTTGGGTATATACCCAGTAATGGGATGGCTGGGTCAAATGGTATTTCTAGTTCTAGATCCCTGAGGAATCACCACACTGACTTCCACAATGGTTGAACTAGTTTACAGTCCCACCAACAGTGTAAAAGTGTTCCTATTTCTCCACATCCTCTCCAGCACCTGTTGTTTCCTGACTTTTTAATGATTGCCATTCTAACTGGTGTGAGATGGTATCTCATTGTGGTTTTGATTTGCATTTCTCTGATGGCCAGTGATGATGAGCATTATTTCATATGTTTTTTGGCTGCATAAATGTCTTCTTTTGAGAAGTGTCTGTTCATGTCCTTCGCCCACTTTTTGATGGGGTTGTTTTTTTCTTGTAAATTTGTTTGAGTTCATTGTAGATTCTGGCTATTAGCCCTTTGTCAGATGAGTAGGTTGCAAAAATTTTCTCCCATTTTGTAGCTTGCCTGTTCACTCTGATGGTAGTTTCTTTTGCTGTGCAGAAGCTCTTTAGTTTAATGAGATCCCATTTGTCAATTTTGGCTTTTGTTGCCATTGCTTTTGGTGTTTTAGACAAGAAGTCCTTGCCCATGCCTATGTCCTGAATGGTAAAGCCTAGGTTTTCTTCTAGGGTTTTTATGGTTTTAGGTCTAACGCTTAAGTCTTTAATCCATCTTGAATTGATTTTTGTATAAGGTGTAAGGAAGGGATCCAGTTTCAGCTTTCTACATATGGCTAGCCAGTTTTCCCAGCACCATTGATTAAATAGGGAATCCTTTCCCCATTGCTTGTTTTTCTGAGGTTTGTCAAAGATCAGATAGTTGTAGATATGCAGCGTTATTTCTGAGGGCTCTGTCCTGTTCCATTGATCTGTATCTCTGTTTTGGTACCAGTACCATGCTGTTTTGGTTACTGTAGCCTTGTAGTATAGTTAGAAGTCAGGTAGTGTGATGCCTCCAGCTTTGTTCTTTTGGCTTAGGATTGACTTGGCAATGCAGGCTCTTTTTTGGTTCCATATGAACTTTAAAGTAGTTTTTTCCAATTGTGTGAAGAAAGGCATTGGTAGCTTGATGGGGATGGCATTGAATCTGTAAATTACCTTGGGCAGTATGGCCATTTTCACAATATTGATTCTTCCTACCCATGAGCATGGAATGTTCTTCCATTTGTTTGTATCCTCTTTTATTTTCTTGAGCAGTGGTTTGTAGTTCTCCTTGAAGAGGTCCTTCACATCCCTTGTAAGTTGGATTCCTAGGTATTTTATTCTCTTTGAAGCAATTGTGAATGGGAGTTCACTCATGATTTGGCTCTCTGTTTGTCTGTTGTTGGTGTATAGGAATGCTTGTGATTTTTGCACATTGATTTTGTATCCTGAGACTTTGCTGAAGTTGCTTATCAGCTTAAGGAGACTTTGGGCTGAGACAATGGGGTTTTCTAGATATACAATCATGTCATCTGCAAACAGGGACAATTTGACTTCCTCTTTTCCTAATTGAATACCCTTTATTTCCTTCTCCTGCCTAATTGCCCTGGCCAGAACTTCCAACACTATGTTGAATAGGGGTGGTGAGAGAGGGCATCCCTGTCTTGTGCCGGTTTTCAAACGGAATGCTTCCAGTTTTTTCCCATTCAGTATGATATTGGCTGTGGGTTTGTCATAGATAGCTCTTATTGTTTTGAAATACGTCCCATCGATACCTAATTTATTGAGAGTTTTTAGCATGAAGGGTTGTTGAATTTTGTCAAAGGCCTTTTCTGCATCTATTGAGATAATCATGTGGTTTTTGTCTTTGGCTCTGTTTATATGCTGGATTACATTTATCGATTTGCATATATTGAACCAACCTTGCATCCCAGGGATGAAGCCCACTTGATCATGGTGGATAAGCTTTTTGATGTGCTGCTGGATTCGTTTTGCCAGTATTTTATTGAGGATTTTTGCATCAATGTTCATCAGGGATATTGGTCTAAAATTCTCTTTTTTGGTTGTGTGTCTGCCTGGCTTTGGTATCAGAATGATGCTGGCCTCATGAAATGAGTTAGGGAGGATTCCCTCTTTTTCTATTGATTGGAATAGTTTCAGAAGGAATGGTACCAGTTCCTCCTTGTACCTCTGGTAGAATTCGGCTGTGAATCCATCTGGTCCTGGACTCTTTTTGGTTGGTAAGCTATTGATTATTGCCACAATTTCAGCTCCTGTTATTGGTCTATTCGGAGATTCAACTTCTTCCTGGTTTAGTCTTGGGAGAGTATATGTGTCAAGGAATTTATCCATTTCTTCTAGATTTTCTAGTTTATTTGTGTAGAGGTGTTTGTAGTATTCTCTGATGGTAGTTTGTATTTCTGTGGGATCGGTGGTGATATCCCCTTTATCATTTTTTATTGCATCTATTTGATTCTTCTATCTTTTTTTATTAGTCTTGCTAGCGGTCTATCAATTTTGTTGATCCTTTCAAAAAACCAGCTCCTGGATTCATTAATTTTTTGAAGGGTTTTTTGTGTCTCTATTTCCTTCAGTTCTGCTCTGATTTTAGTTATTTCTTGCCTTCTGCTAGCTTTTGAATGTGTTTGCTCTTGCTTCTCTAGTTCTTTTAATTGTGATGTTAGGGTGTCAATTTTGGATCTTTCCTGCTTTCTCTTGTGGGCATTTAGTGCTATAAATTTCCCTCTACACACTGCTTTGAATGCGTCCCAGAGATTCTGGTATGTTGTGTCTTTGTTCTCGTTGGTTTCAAAGAACATCTTTATTTCTGCCTTCATTTCGTTATGTACCCAGTAGTCATTCAGGAGCAGGTTGTTCAGTTTCCATGTAGTTGAGCGGTTTTGAGTGAGATTCTTAATCCTGAGTTCTAGTTTGATTGCACTGTGGTCTGAGAGATAGTTTGTTATAATCTCTGTTCTTTTACATTTGCTGAGGAGAGCTTTACTTCCAATTATGTGGTCAATTTTGGAATAGGTGTGGTGTGGTGCTGAAAAAAATGTATATTCTGTTGATTTGGGGTGGAGACTTCTGTAGATGTCTATTAGGTCCGCTTGGTGCAGAGCTGAGCTCAATTCCTGGGTATCCTTGTTGACTTTCTTTCTCGTTGATCTGTCTAATGTTGACAGTGGGGTGTTAAAGTCTCCCATTATTAATGTGTAGGAGTCTAAGTCTCTTTGTAGGTCACTCAGGACTTGCTTTATGAATCTTGGTGCTCCTATATTGGGTGCATATATATTTAGGATAGTTAGCTCTTCTTGTTGAATTCATCCCTTTACCATTATGTAGTGGCCTTCTTTGTCTCTTTTGATCTTTGTTGGTTTAAAGTCTGTTTTATCAGAGACTAGGATTGCAACCCCTGCCTTTTTTTGTTTTCCATTTGCTTGGTAGATCTTCCTCCATCCTTTTATTTTGAGCCTATGTGTGTCTCTGCACATGAGATGGGTTTCCTGAATACAGCACACTGATGGGTCTTGACTCTTTATCCAATTTGCCAGTCTGTGTGTTTTAATTGGAGCATTTAGTCCATTTTCATTTAAAGTTAATATTGTTATGTGTGAATTTGATCCTGTCATGATGATGTTAGCTGGTTATTTTGCTCATTAGTTGATGCAGTTTCTTCCTAGTCTCTATGGTCTTTACATTTTGGCATGATTTTGCAGCAGCTGGTACCGGTTGTTCCTTTCCATGTTTAGTGCTTCCTTCAGGAGCTCTTTTAGGGCAGGCCTGGTGGTGACAGAATCTCTCAGCATTTGCTTGTCTGTAAAGTATTTTATTACTCCTTCACTTATGAAGCTTAGTTTGGCTGGATATGAAATTCTGGGTTGAAAATTCTTTTCTTTAAGAATGTTGAATATTGGCCCCCACTCTCTTCTGGCTTGTAGGGTGTCTGCCATGAGATCCGCCGTTAGTCTGATGGGCTTCCCTTTGAGGGTAACCCGACCTTTCTCTCTGGCTGCCCTTAACATTTTTTCCTTCATTTCAACTTTGGTGAATCTGACAATTATGTGTCTTGGAGTTGCTCTTCTCGAGGAGTATCTTTGTGGCATTCTCTGTATTTCCTGAATCTGAATGTTGTCCTGCCTTGCTAGATTGGGGAAGTTCTCCTGGATAATATCCTGCAGAGTGTTTTCCAACTTGGTTCCATTCTCCCCATCACTTTCAGGTATACCAATCAGACGTAGATTTGGTCTTTTTACATAGTCCCATATTTCTTGGAGGCTTTGCTCATTTCTTTTTATTCTTTTTTCTCTAAACTTCCCTTCTCGCTTCATTTCATTCATTTCATCTTCCATCGCTGATACCTTTCCTTGCAGTTGATCGCATCGGCTCCTGAGGCTTCTGCATTCTTTACGTAGTTCTCAAGCCTTGGTTTTCAGCTCCATCAGCTCCTTTAAGCACTTCTCTGTATTGGTTTTTCTAGTTATACATTCTTCTAAATTTTTTTCAAAGTTTTCAACTTCTTTGCCTTTGGTTTGAATGTCCTCCCATAGCTCAGAGTAATTTGATCGTCTGAAGCCTTCTTCTCTCAGCTCGTCAAAGTCATTCTCCGTCCAGCTTTGTTCCGTTGCTGGTGAGGAGCTGAGTTCCGTTGGAGGAGGAGAGGCGCTCTGATTTTTAGAGTTTCCAGTTTTTCTGTTCTGTTTTTTCCCCATCTTTGTGGTTTTATCTACTTTTGGTCTTTGATGATGGTGATGTACAGATGGGTTTTGGTGTGGATGTCCTTTCTGTTTGTTAGTTTTCCTTCTAACAGACAGGACCCTCAGCTGCAGGTCTGTTGGAGTACCCTGCAGTGTGAGGTGTCAGCGTGCCCCTGCTGGGGGGCGCCTCCTAGTTAGGCTGCTCAGGGGTCAGGGGTCAGGTACCCACTTGAGGAGGCAGTCTGCCCGTTCTCAGATCTCCAGCTGCATACTGGGAGAACCACTGCTCTCTTCAAAGCTGTCAGACAGGGACATTTAAGTCTGCAGAGGTTACTGCTGTCTTTTTGTTTGTCTGTGACCTGCCCCCAGAGGTTGAGCCTACAGAGGCAGGCAGGCCTCCTTGAGCTATGGTGGGCTCCACCCAGTTCGAGCTTCCAGGCTGCTTTGTTTACCTAAGCAAGCCTGGGCAATGGTGGGCGCCCCTCCCCCAGCCTCGCTGCCGCCTTGCAGTTTGATCTCAGACTGCTGTGCTAACAATCAGCGAGACTCCGTGGGCATAGGACCCTCCAAGCCAGGTGCGGGATATAATCTTGTGGTGCGCCGTTTTTTAAGCCCGTCGGAAAAGCGCAGTATTCGGGTGGGAGTGACCCGATTTTCCAGGTGCCGTCCATCACCCCTTTCTTTGATTAGGAAAGGGAACTCCCTGACCCCTTGCGCTTCCTGAGTGAGGCAATGCCTCGCCCTGCTTCGGCTGGCGCACAGTGCATGCACCCACTGACCTGCGCCCACTGTCTGGCACTACCTAGTGAGATGAACCCGGTACCTCAGATGGAAATGCAGAAATCACCCGTCTTCTGCGTCGCTCAGGCTGGGAGCTGTAGACCGGAGCTGTTCCTATTCGGCCATCTTGGCTCCTCCCCCTACATTTCAACATGAGATTTGGAGTGGACAAATATTCAAACCATATCATAGAGTAATTCTACCTATATTTTCCAGAGTAACTGCACCATACATTCCCACCAATAGTGCACAAGGGTTCCAATTTCTCCACATCCTCACCAAGACTTGTTATTTTCTGTTTTCTTTATAGTAGCCATCTTAATGGGTGTGAGATATCTCATTGTGGTTTTGATTTGCATTTCCCTCATTATTAGTGATGTTCAACATCTTTTCATGTGTTTTTTGGCCGTTGGTGTATCTTCTCTCAAGAAATGTCTATACAATCCTTTGGCCATTTGCAATAATTAACATGATTTGTAAATATTTTCTCTGTATGTAGGTTGGCTTTTCATCCTGTTGTGTCCTTTGATGCGCAGTTTTTGAAAATTTTGATGTAGGCTGATTTATCTCTTTACCTTTGCTGCCCATGCTTTTGGTATCATATGTAAGAAATCATTGCCAAATCCAATGTCATACAGTTTTTCCCTATGTTTTTCTTCTAGGAGTTTCTTAAATATATTCTTAATTAAACTTTATCTTGTATTGTTTGTATCTGTGTATTGTTTATATTTACGTAAGTTGTATATTCCCTGAAACTTATTCTTAGGCAAAATGCAGAAGAGGTATACAGATAGGTTTTCTAAATTATCTGACTATTTTTTGGCACTGTTCCTGAAATACTCAAACCAATAGACAATCTTGCCACATTATAAGAATGTCTTGGCCTGGCGCCATGGCTCATACCTGTAATGCCAGCACTTTGGGAGGCCGAGGGTGAAAGATCACCTGAAGTCAGGAATTCAAGACCAGCCTGGCCAACACGGTGAAAGCCCATCTCTACTAAAAATAAAGACGTTAGCTGAGTGTGGCAGCAGGCGCCTGTAATCCCAGCTACTCAGGAGGCTGAGGCAAGAGAATTGCTTGAATCTGTGAGGCAGAGGTTGCAGTGAGCCGAGATCACACCACTGCACTCCAGTCTAGAAGATAGAGACTCCATCTCAAAAAAAAAAAAGTTCTGCAACTTATTTTCTGTTACATATTTAAATCTTCATAAATATATTTTATTCTAGTTTAAGATATACCTAATATGCTTCATGTCTCAGAAAGTCCAGCTTTGAAAACCAACTTAGCAAAGTAGCTAAGTTAAATAATTTGATATTCTATGAAACTGGGAATCACTCCTGTAGTGCATACTGTTTCAAAACCACAGACACTTACATTCCTCTCCACAACATACAACATGTATGGACAAAAATATCATTTCTCTTTTTTCTCCCTTTCCTTCTCTCTTTTCTATTCTTTCATCTTCCTTCTTTTCCTTTTTCCTTGCATTTCTTCTGGCATTCTCTCAGCTTTTTTCTTTCCAACTTTTTCTGCACTACCAATTTTTTCCTTTTTTGTATTCATCTTTCTCTTCATTTCTCTCTTCTTTCCCTTTTTCTTTTGTTCTTCTAATTTTTAACATTTCCTTTATCATACTCTACAACAGACATTAATAATATCTCACCTTGAACATAGAAATATGCTTTGCTTCTATAGCTTCCGGTCTGTTTTTTCTCACCACAATCCATTTTGCACACTATAGCCAAATTAAACTTTATTCTTATCAAATTTATTTAGGAGAAATTTAAAGTACTTTAAGTAGAATGGATAGGACAATAGACCATTTCCCTTTAAATTGTTCAAGCCAATGAGTTTTGATTAAAACTCTGCTGCAATCAAGACGTAGAACATTTCTATCAACTCCCCAAAAATTCTCTGGAACCCTGTGAAATCTATCCATCTCTCTTTCCACCTCTGTCCTCAGCAACCGCTAATCTGCTTCATGTCACTCTGGATTGTTTGAATTTCATAAATAGAATGATGCTTGTATACTCTTGTAACTGGCTTCTTTCACTCAGCATAATTATTTTGAGATTCTTCTATTTTTTGCATATCTCAATAGTTTTTTCTTTTTATTGCTGAGGAGTATTTTATTGTGTGAATATACCACATTTTGTTTTATCAATTTACCTGTTGAAGATCTTGGTTATTTACAGTTTGGGCCTATTGTAAATAAACTGCCATCTATAAACATTCATGTATGAATCATGATGTGGGTAGACATATGACATAATTTTTCTTAGGTAAGTATATAAAAGAATGATTAGGTTATATGGTAGGTTTATTTAACTTTATATGAAACTGCGAAATTATTTCCTCCAACAATGTACAAAACTTTCAGTTGCTCTGCTTCCTTGCCAGTACTTGATATTGCCATGTTTTTAATTGTAGCTCTTCTAATGGTTATATACTGGTATGTCATTGTGGCTGTAATTTGCATTTCATTGATGATTAATGACTTGAGGCACTTTTTATATACTCATTAGAAATCCATTTTTTAATTATATTTTAAGTTCTGGGATGCATGTGCAGAACGTGCAGATTTGTTACATAGCTATACACGTGCCACGGTGGTTTCCTGCACTCATCAATCCTTCACCTACATTAGGTATTTCACCCAATGTTATCCCTCCCCTAGCCCCCTTAGATTCTGGATATTAGCCCTTTGTCAGATGGATAGATTGCAAAACTTTTCTCTCATTCTGTAGGTTGCCTGTTCACTCTGATGATAGTTTCTTTTGCTGTGCAGAGGCTCTTTTAGTTTAATTAGATCCCATTTGTCAATTTTCGCTTGTGTTACCATTGCTTTTGCTGTTTCACTCATGAAGTCTTTGCCCATACCTATGTCCTGAAAGGTATTGCCTCAGTTTTCTTCTAGGGTTTTTATGGTTTTAGGTCTTACATTTAAGTCTTTAATCCATCTTGAGTTAATTTTTGTATAAGGTGTAAAAAAGGGATCCGGTTTCAGCTTTCGGCATATAGCTAGCCAGTTTTCCCAATACCATTTATTACATAGGGACCCCTTTCCCCATTGCTTGTTTTTGTCAGGTTTGTCAAAGATCAGATGGTTGTAGATGTGTGGCGTTATTTCTGAGGCCTCTGTTCTGTTCCATTGGTCTATATATCTGTTTTGGTACCAGTACCATGCTGTTTTGGTTACTGTAGCCTTGCAGTATAGTTTGAAGTCAGGTAGCATGATGCCTCCAGCTTTGTTCTTTTGCTTAGGATTGTCTTAGGGTTGTCTATATGGGTTCTTTTTTGGTTCCATATGAAATTTAAAGTAGTTTTTTTCTAATTCTGTGAAGAAAGTCATTGGTAGTTTGATGGGGATAGCATTGAATCTATAAATTACTTTGGGCAGTATGGCCATTTTCACAATATTGATTCTTCCTACCCATGAGCATGGAATGTTTTTCCATTTGTTTGTGTCCTCTCTGATTTCCTTGAGCAGTGGTTTGTAGTTATCCTTGAAGAGGTCCTTCACATCCCTTGTAAGTTGTATTCCTAGGTATTTTTTTCTCTTCGTAGCAATTGTGAATGGGAGTTCACTCATGATTTGGCTCTCTCTGTTTGTCTGTTATTGATGTATAGGAATGCTTGTGATTTTTGCACATTGATTTTGTATCCTAAGACTTTGCTGAAGTTGCTTATCCACTTAAGGAGATTTTGGGCTGAGACAATAGGGTTTTCTAAATATAAAATCATATCATCTCCAAACAAAGACAATTTGACTTCCTCTCTTCCTGTTTGAATACCCTTTATTTCTTCCTCTTTCCTGATGGCCATGGCCAGAGCTTCTAATACTATGTTGAATAGGAGTGGTGAGAAAGGGCATCCTTGTCTTGTACCAGTTTTCAAAGAGAATGCTTCCAGCTTTTGCCCATTCAATATGATACTGGCTGTGGGTTTGTCATAAATAGCCCTTATTATTTTGAGATACGTTCCATCAATGCCTAGTTTATTGAGAGATTTTAGCATGTTGAATTTTACGGAAGGCCTTTTCTGCATCTATTGAGATAATCATGTGGTTTTTGTCGTTGGTTCTGTTTATGTGCTGGATTACATATATTTTTAAATGGCTACTCAAATCTTTAGAGCATTTTTATTAGGTTGTCTGTTTATTATTGAATTACAAGTGTGTAAGAGTTATTTCTATATTTTGAGTACAATGTTTTTATTTAATGTGCACTTTGCATTTTCTCTTTCATAGTATCTTTCAAACAACAATTTTTTTAATTTTTATATTGTCTAATTTATCAACAGTTTATTTTATCATTTGTGCTATTAGTGCCTCATCTAGAAAATCTTTTCTACTCCAAGATCACAAAGATTTTTCCTGTGTTTTCTTCTAGGAGTTTTTTAGTTTTAGCTTTTGTGTTTAGTTCTATGAATCATTTCAAGTAAATTTTTAACATCTGGTAAGGTAAGGGTTGAGATTCATTTTCTTGCATGTGGCTATGTGTTTATTCTAGCACCATCTTAAAAAAAAAACATATTCCTTTCCTCATTGAGTTATCTTGCAGCTTTGTAGTAAATTAATTGACCATAATTGTGTGGATCTATTTCTAGACACTCTATTCTCCCACTGCTGAGTTAGATTGTATTTTATGGTTTTAGTGCATTATAAATTAAATTTTTAGGGTTTTTTTTTCCTATAGACTACTCTTTTTAAAGAACATTTGTCATCATCTTTATCTCCAAGTCAGAACCCTTCACTGATTACATATCAAATAAGATTGAACGATACTTAACCTGACATCGAAGGCCCAACATTTTCTAAAATCTTTCTTTACCAATTTGTCACCCACATCCTTTGTTTCTGATAAAATTACTTACTCACTGCTCCAAATGTATACCCTAAACTAATACAAGGCAGAAAGAGGGTCAAGTGTGGGGTGCAAGAATAGGGTATATATGAGAATTAATAAGCAGTAAAGGGCTATGCTATCGAAGAAAGGTTTAGACATTAAGCAGATTCTGTGTGGCTTTGGAGATCAAACTAGGAGCAGTGGAAGAAACCACAAAGAAACTGACTTCAATAAAATACTAGGATGATAAAATACTGACTTCAGTAAAATACTAGGAGCACTCTAAAAATGCAAGAGATGTTCTCAGATGATAGTGAATTTCCTGTCATTGGCCTCAAGCAGAGGCCAAATGACCACTGTTGGAAATATTATAAATGAGATAATAGTATAATTATAAATGGGATAATAGTATCAGATGAGGGTTAGACCAGGTCATCTTTATAAACTTCCATCTAGTCCTGAGATTTCATAAGTACATTCTAAAAATTTATCTTTATTAGACATTAAATAAATTTTTCACAACCAAAAAGACTCTTTCAGATCATTTTTGGCCTATTTCTGTTCCCTAGAACTAGGTTTGGTTTGGTTTGGGTTTGTTTGGGATGGAGTCACATTCTGTCACCAAGATGAAGTGCGGTGGCATGATCTCGCTCACTGCAACCTCCACCTCCCAGGTTCAAGCAATTCCCCTGCCTCAGCCTCCCGAGTAGCTGAGACTACAGGAGCACACCACCATGCCAGGCTAATTTTTTGTATTTTAGTAGAGATGGGGTTTCACCATGTTGGCCAGGATGGTCTCGATGTCCTGACCTCATGATCCACCCGCCTCGGCCTCCCAAAATGCTGGGATTACAGGCATGAACCACAGTGCCCGGTCCCCTAGAACTAGTTTTAATATTTCATTTAATACCTAATTCTCAAACCTGTTACTCATGAACTATCACAGATATTAATGGGGCTTTAAAAAAAGAATCTTCTGCAGCAGTATTTCCCATCTGAAGTTCTAAAATCATTCTTTACAGAGTATAATTAATGTGTTACTAAATAAGAGAAACCATTTGTAAATGATTATGCACGATTATTCTTTTTCACACTCATAAATTATATATTGGGTTCTCCTAGTGGATTGGATCTAAACTGGTCAGGGCACCAGGAAGCAACCACTTTAGAATCTTTTGAAACCGTAATTAATTTTCAAAATGCCAAGGCCAATTGGCAATAGTTAACATTGCCCCTAGAGCACAATCATGGCCTAGATGCCACTAAGACAAGTTGCCTTGTGTTGTCTATAAATGGATTTTCAGAAAACCTAATTTGAAATTACTGCCTTTAATTATACTGCTGATATAAATAACTTTGATAAAATTAGTGCAGCTGGCCTCCTGTTTGTTTTTCCCATTTGAATGCACTGTACAATGTAATCATCTGAAATAAACATCCATTACAAAGAATGCTTCATTTCAAAGAACATATTATTCTGCTCATCCAGCCAATTGTTATTTTTCCCTTCCCAGCCCCATTTCAATCTTACACCTAATAAAGGGATGAACAAATTACCAAGCTCTCGTAATGTACCAACTAGCAAATTAAAACAATACATTGCTGCTGAATAGGGCCATGTGTTTAAAAGACATTAATTCATTTTATCCTCAATTACAGTGTTTTCTTTTTAAAAAGACCCTTCCAGCTTCAAAATTGTTAAAGGACATACTCTTCTCCACATAATAAAATTATGGTATTTCCTAAATAGAAATTCATACTTTACAAAGAAAGCAGAAGATACAACTTCCGTTTGATGTGTTTTTTGACTCTGAAGTCCAAAGAAAGAGCCTCATGACTTACATAAAACTTTGGACTGAGTTCATTCATTTTGTTACAGTGTAGAATTGCCACTTCCACAGAGGAGAATGGAGCCCTTTCTTTTTTGTTCGCTGTGATGCGATTGTCATCTCTATCTCTACTGCAATCAGCATAGGATTTACCCAGGTCAGTTCAACTTGGTTCAACTATTACCAAGTTCAGTTCAACTCAATTCTACTATTACCACACTCCATTCAACCGCACAACTCTTTATTAGCTACCTACTACACACAAGACACTAGGAAGATTTCCAAAATCAGTATGACTGTGGCCTTTTTTTCTCAAAGTGGTAGTGAAGCACAAAATAAGATTAACTATAAAACATTGTGGCAATTTGGAAATGGTTAGACAGTAATACAGGTGATAAAATAAATGCTAGAGCAAGATTAACACCATAGTAGAAGTTGAAAAGGGCCCATGCAGTTAAAGAAAAATGGGTGTACATAAAGCTAGGAACCATCACTGGACCTTGAGGGAAATTCCAAGAGTATGCTCTGTTTTGTCTATAGAGTAAAGGCATAAAAATAAAAGAATGGGTGTGTTTGGGAATATAAAATGAGCTAGGTTTTGCTGGAATCCTGGAATTAAAAAGAATTGCTGAAGTTAATACCAGAAAAGTAGATGGGTTCCAGAATATAGGGCTCTAAAATCCCAAACTGGTCTTTTGTATTTAATTTGTTAGATAACGAGAAACCACTGAAGCCTTTTGATAAAGGAAAGGAAATGACTGGGGTTGTAACTTCAGAGGATAAATCTCAAAGCTCTGAGATCTTGAGTACAGATAAAAAAGAAGAAAAGTTGAAGGCAATGAGAACTGTGAGAATAATATTTTCCTATTTCTCAACAATTAACTGCATTGAATTGAAAGAAAGGCCAAGTTCTGGAACTTGATCTGTTTGCAGTGAGACTGAGGTTGGACACTAGACCTACAACTAGGACACTCAGGTAATGGGGAATATATAAAGCTACAAGAGCACAGGAGATAGTCCAGGCCATTAGGTGTGATGGCAACAGTCAACCAATTTATATTCCAAATGTGCAGCTTATGCTGAGGACCTCATCTCTCCCTAATCCTCTAGTGGTCTGAGGATTAGTCTGAGTTTATGTGCTCACAGAAGCAGAACCTGGGACAAGAACTTTTACAAGTAGTTTATTTGGGACGTGTTTTCTAGGCAGCAGGAGTGAGAGAGAAAAGGCAGTGAGACAGTAAAGGAGGAGAAGTCAATAAAAGGTATAGTACAGCAGTCACTGATGTGGCAACAGGGCTTGACTGAGCAGAATCTAAGAAATGTAAAGAAGCTCTCCAAGAATTGACCGCTTGAAGGAATGGGTGTTGGCGCATTTATCCTCCAACGCCTGATCTCTCTTGGTTGAGGATTGCCTGGGAATAACACCTCTGCACTTGGGGCTACACTTGTGCACAGGGTTTCACGGAGCATTCTCGGTTGATAGTTGGCTCAGCTGAACTTGCCATTGTCTTTCACAGATGTTTCCAAGGCAGTTAACCAAAGCCTTGGAACAGTTAACAACTGCATAGCCTTACAATTACCATTGGCCCTTCCTATACATATTCTTGGGATACTGCATGCTTCCCCACCCACTTGCACCTCATCCAACCCAGTAATTGTGATGTTACGGTTCACGAGGTATTATCACCATCCCATTCACCAACAGCAAAGGTATGCCTGGTATGCCTGATCGTGAGTGATCTAGCTCCTAAATTCTGTCTTGTGGATCTGCTTTCTGGCACTATTTCTAGTATCAACTGCCTCTCTCTCCAGTTTGGGTTCTCCTCAAAGCACTGCTTGTGACAAGGATGTTGGTGCAGGTAGGGGATTTAGGAAGTCACCCCGGGATTATAAATGAATGGGTAGGGAAAATGAGACAAGAATGCAGAAAAAAAGTTAATTTAAGGATACATTTTGAAGACAGTAATGAAATTAGTAAGGAGTTTAGTAATTAGTTACTTCCATTGTAACTAATGAAGTTAGCTGATTCCAAAGGGACACCTGAGAAATATCCAAAGTATCTCTTAGAATTTTCCACCTGAAAGTCAATGAGATGGATCTCTTATCCACAAGCTCTCAGACCCCATTATTGAGAGTTGTCCCTAGAGGTGTTAACGCCGTCCCATTTAGGCTTGTGCAAGAAACGTGGATTCTCATAGAATCAGGAATAAAAAGTAGAAGGTAAGTGGCACTCATACAATGTAGGACATTTTCACCATAACATTAGTTGGCACTTATAAAGAACTGTTCACCAGTGCTACAGCTGATATGAGAAGTGGACTGAGAAGTCGTGACCCAGTGTACCAGAGACAACTGCCTGAATCTGTTTCTGTAGCTGCCAGAATGCCTACATTTTACTAGGAAGCCTGAGTACTATAATGGATCCTCACCTCCTTTGCATAATGGTCCCTAGTCATTACCCAGGGAGATGGTCCTTGCTCTCAGAACTAGCCTTATCATCTCCTGATCCTAGTGCTTCAGTCTGCGCTGCCAACAAAACTTCTCTTGGATCTTGTCTATATTACTAGGAATGCATGGCAATTTCTGTTGAAAAATGGGAGGTGACATGGGCTAGTACTTCAAACCAGATTTCCTGCCTTGCCCTCCCTGATGACAGTCATTATTCCAACTCTCTTTCCAACTGTATGTTTCAGTAGGAAATGTCTCCTGGCTGAGCTTGTCCTCTGCATACCAGTGTAGTGCCACTTGCTGGCTTTCTAGGGCCTCTCAAGACAGGCTAGATTCTGCATTACTAGTTGCATCTTTGCTATTTGACCTGCTGAAAGGGCCTAGCCTTGCTCTAAGCCACTCCCCTAATGTTGTGAATTGTCAAAGGAAGACTTACTTGGCTTTCCCTTTCTGAGAAGATGTTCAGTTCCTTCCAAATTCTGGTGTGCCAAAAGGAGCATTAGGCAACTTGCCATGCCACCCTCTTCCACGTTTAGCTGTCTGGCCTGAGTCTTCCTTTAAAATTATAAACTCGGCATCGAGATAACTTTCTCCTACAACTAAATATTTTAATCAGCCCACGGTGCAGATGTTTGCTACGTATAGTTACTTAGGAATCTTAGATGACCCTCAGTGGGTAGTGTGGTAAATTTTGCACAATATAAGGAAGGAAAGCATGTGATTTTCTCAAAGTGATCTCAGTCTTTTCTTATTGAGCTCCTATTACTGTAGATGTGGGAAATGAAATGTTTGATTTTTTTTTTTCAAAAGATCTGTTTCTACCAGTTTAGAAGCTAATCACATTCAGTTTTTTAGGGTTTCTTCCCATTCCCCTTCCATTTCCTGATATACTGGAGCAGGGACTTCTGTTTAGAGTTCTGCCCTCCAGGTTTTTCCCAGACCTGTTGCTACAGTGCTCCTGGCTGGTGGATCGGGGGCCAGTTCTCTTGTCACTGTCAAGCCAGGCCCTGGCCTTCCAACCCATTTCATCTGTCACTGACAATGCCAAGTGTCTCTGCTTGGTAGTGTTTTCTGTGGCTTTCTGTTATAAAGTCACATTAACTTTAACTCTGGTGACCCCTGGTTACTTCCCTGGGTAAGCAATCTCAGCTGCCTTTTACACAACCCAGAAAGGCAGAAGAAGATGTCTAGATTTTCTAACCCCACATCAGGCTGGGGGTGGGAGGGAACTATCTCAGGTCCATCTGCCTCAGTCACTCCTACCCTAAGACACCGGTGCCACATTAGGCACTGCCCATGCTGGCTGAGAAGCTGGCCTGAAAGGCACATAGTCCTCCCAGGAAGGGAAGAACAAGAGTCGTGCTCTTGGTTTTCCCCCAGAAATATCCTGGTGAGTCTTCCTCATACCCTTCTCTACCCCCACACCCTCTGCCCAAACCACATTCAACCCAGGGTGGATAAATGGAGAGTAAAGGCAGTGGAATTTCAGTCTTTGTTTTTCTCCTCCTGTCCTGCTCTTCAGCAGCAAGTAGTAGTAAGCAGAGACCCAGTGTTCCTGTATGCTGCAAATTTTTCTTCAGTCGTACCTTCTGTCTCCTTTCTCTATAGATTGTAGTAAAATTATGCCCAGAACTCCAAGATCTCTTATAGATATATAAAGCAAAAATTGGGAATTTAGAAAACACAGTTTTCTTTGTTTAAAAAAATCAAGCTTTCACAAATATTCTCTCACTGAAATCTCAGAAAAAAATCTAATACAAAATTCTAAGTAGGATAGGATCTCCTTTAACCTAAACCAGTGGTTTCTAACTCTGGATGGGCGTTACAGTCACTGGAGCAGCTTTTAAGGATACTGACATCCAGATGCTGTGCTACAGGTCCATTCCTCACAGATTCTAGAATCATCAACCTGGGCAAAGGTATTTTTTAAAAACTTCCCAGCAATTCTTATTTTTAGACAGGATTGAGAGTTACTGGTCTAAGACTGTTATGTGTCTTCCTTCTGAACAGGAGAATACCATTGAGTTCATGTGTGGGGAGAAAAAAATGACATACTGAGAATTAGTAAAAAGAATTATAGTATTTCAAGATCAGTGTCCTATTACAACTCTTAGACACTCTACAAAACAGTTATCAGATCAATGATTTCATGTTATTATCCTCACAATCCTTTTATGTGGATGTTATTATTGACTACATTTAATGAAAGGGGAAGTGGAGCTCTAAGACTTTAAATAAGCAAAGAGTTTATCACTTAAATAGTGGAGAACAAAACACAAATCTTGATTCTTGATGTTAGTAGTTGTCATTTATGACATCATCAACGTGACCAAAGAATTACTTTTCTCATTATTAAATTAGAGATTTTAAACATTACGAAATATACAGCCTGAGAAATAAAGGTTTCCAATGATCCCAACTCACAGGTATAATCACTGCTAATGGCTAGATGTGTACTTTTCCAGATTTTTTTCTGTGCATACACAAACAGATAGCAATAAAGCACTATTTACCCTAACAAGATGACACTGTATACAATTTTGAAACTTTATTTTTCTCCTAAAAATATATTCTATAAATGTGTGTGTGTGTGTGCGTGTCTCTCTCTCTCTCTCTCTCTCTCTCTCTCTCTCTCTCTCTGTGTGTGTGTGTGTGTGTGTGTGTGTGTGTGTGTGTGTGGTGTACCTCATTCTTTTTATGGCTTATGTATTTCATTGTAAATAATGAATTAACACTTGGGTTGTTTCCAACTTCTTGCTATTACAGATAATGCTGTAATGAACAATCTTGTAAATATATCTTTGGACAATTATAAAAATGTTTCAGCAAAATTAATTCCCATGAGTAGAATTTCCAACTTTAATGGTATACATTTTTTTATTTTAATAGAGTTTATCAAATTTCTCTCCAAATAAGTTGTACCAATTTACAGTTACTTCAACAATATATAGCAACGCGTGGCTTCCCCACCTCGGCTACACTGGGTATTATCAATCTCTTTAAAATGTGCTGATCTGATAAGTTAACGTGGATACCATTGTTAATTGAATTTACATTTATCTGCTTATTGAGATTGATCATCTTTTTACACAGGGCTTTTGGCCATGTATAATTCCCTTTCTGTGAACTACCTACCTGTTTTGCTCATTTTTCTGTAAAACTGATCAACTTTTCCTTCTTGATCCGTGAAAGATCTCCAAATACTAGAGAAATTAGCTATTTGGCTATCATATATGCAATAAAATGAGGCATTATTTATGAATTCTGGTTTTGTCCAGGATGGTTTTGGTATATGGGTGTATGTGTTTCCTTTTTATAAATTAGAAGTTTTTATTTTTTAGATCATCATATTTATCTGTTTTCCTATATCACATTTTGTTTTACATCATCATAAGAAAAGGATTTTTTCCACCTATTATAAACATTAATTAAACATAAATTATGTTTTTCTCATACTTTGATGGGTCTTTTTTTTTGCTGTATTTAAATCTTGCATTTGCCTAAACTTTACTGTAACCAGTAGACTCAGGTTTACATTCTTCCAAATGACCAGTCAACGCCATTTTTTTAATAACCTACCTTTTCCCACTAACTAGAGATGCAAATTTGTCTGTACCGAGAAACAGAAAGATACATATAGACAGATAGATTCCTAGCCTCTCAGTTCTATTCTAATGATGTGTCTTTCCCTGTGCCACGTGCATATTCTGTTAATTTCTAGAATTATACTACATTTAGATGTCTGGTAAAAGTATCCTCATTTCTGGATCCTACTGAGTTTTATTAAATAATTTTCCTGAATCTTTTCCCCTGTGTCACTTTTTCAGTTGATCTTTCAAATTATTTTTACCATATCTTAAAATAAAACAACCTGTTGGGATTTGATTGCTCAAACTATCCCTTTTCTCCATCCTCACTGCATCCTGGATATATGGAATCCTAACTCTGCTCTTTGCTTTCAGACAACCCTGAACCTTCCAATTCTCAGCTGCCAAAATGACCTTTCTAGTACCCAGATTTAATAAGTTCTATTTCCTGCTGAATACTTGCAATAACTTTTCATTCTTTTCAGGATGCAATCCAACACGTCAATGTAACATTCAAAACCTCCATCTACTTTTTCATCTTGACTATGTACCACTTCTCACCTCACTCAACATCTTTCTCCCAGTCATTACAAAACTTTCTGTAGATCCCATACCAAGACGTCTTCTCTCTACTCTGTGTTTTGACACATCCTTGTCCTTGCCTGGACTGCCATCCCCTACTTGAGTCACACTCACCTTGTGTTGGACAGGCGTCTCCTTCTCTGGGAAGCTGACATTAAACCCCTGTTCTACTCTACGTTAGATGTGCTTTCTTCATCAGAACCCCACTATTGGGCACTATCAGGATATACCAGACTGTATTAAAATTGCCAGTTCATCTAAATCTCTCCACTAAACAAGAAGCCCCTTTGGGCTGCCATCTGTTTCTTTATTTCCAGAGTATATCATATTATCTATCATGTAATAAACCTTTAATTTTTGTTTGCTGAGCAAATGAATCGACAGTGAAACAAGCTAGGATTCATTTTATTTTAACTGGGTTCCACAACAAGAGGCAGCTGGTTAACTAAATCCCAGTCTTAATTTTGATGCTATTTTAGCAGAGTGCAGATAGTTTGGCTAGGAAGTGATCCCATAAAGGACAGCAATACATGTGAAAAGTAAGACAGAGAAAAGGGAAATGTTAAGAAGCTATTGAGATAGGGGAAACTAGGCCTGCATCCAGCTTGAGACCTTTCAGAAACTCTGGAAGTTACCTCAGAACTTCCCAGAACCGCCCCTCTGAAGAGTGAAGAGGCTAGAACATCCATCCACTGACTCTAGTCCAAGAGTTGTCCTCGGGCGTATTAACTTATCACACTTCCAGGTTGTGCCTGTGTGCAGCCAAGCAAAAGCACATGGAACAATGAAAGACCTGGGGCAGAGAAACAGATAGGCACAGGCACTGACATGGGAAGCAGTCAGCATTCAGGTGAACTCAGAAGAGGGCCGAGGATTCAGGCACAGTATCTGCTATGGCAGCCCACCAGCAAGCGGAACATGTACAAATGAATATTTGATATGACCTATTTGAATATTCTTCGGCAACAAGGAATGTTTTCCATTCCCTTCAAAATACTTAAGGGCTGTAGACATAAATGCTATCTGATTCACTGTGATGGTGGACAGAAAAACTCTCCAAAGGAAAGCTGTGTGTTTTAAATATTCTGTGTTACTATTCAGTGATCCATCATTTTCCCATTGTAAAACATACATTTGTTCAGACCTGTGGAATTATGACATTTGTTTTATTATGATCATGTCTATTTTGACATCTTTGTCTGTATAGCTTCATAGCCATAGGTATCCATTATGATGCTCATCATCACGTGGTTCACATACATAATAACATCATCAGTGATTTGAGGACACTTGGGCTGCATTAATTTTTTTCAAAGAGGGCAAGTAGCAGACTTCACAGGTGACCTTTACTCAGTGCCTGCTATATAGAGAGTTCTTTATTAGATTCTATGGCCATACATAGAATAAAGAATGTATAATTTAACAACATTATATACTGCTTAGAGAACAGATATTCTTATGTTTTAAAAAAGTAGCTATTTATCTGTTCAAAAGATGAAAATAAGAAGTTGATCTTAAAAAAACTTGAATGAAGTGAGGTTTTAAAAATTCTTATTTTTACTTAATGTGTAATAATTTACATTATTAGGGATACCAAGTGATATTTCAATATTTGTATACAATTTGTAGTGATCAAATCGGGTAATTACCAACCCATCACCTCAAACATTTATTATTTTTCTGTGGGGAACATCCAACATCTCTTCTAGCTTTTTGAAAATATACAGTAAACTATTGTTAGCTATATTCACTTTATGGTGTTATAAACCACTAAAATGTCTTCCTCTTACTTGGCTGTAATTTTGTATCTGTTAACTAACTTTTCCCTATCCTTGCCAGTCTCCAATGACCACAATTCTAATTTCTACTCCCATGAGCCCAATTTTTAAATTCCCACAAATGAGTGAGAAATGCAATACTTACCTCTGCGCTTATTTTACTTAACCTGCTGTCTCCCAGGCTCATCTATGTTGCTGCAAATGACATGATTTTGTTCGTTTTTATGAGTAAATAAAATTGTATTATGCATATATATCACATTTTCTGTATCCATTCATCTGCTGATGACCATTTAGATTGAGTCTATATCTATTGTGAATAATGCTACAATAATCATGGGGGTTCACATATCTCTTTGACGAACTGGTTTCCTTTTATTTGAATAAATACCCAGTATAGTGGGATTGCTGGATCATATGGTAGTAATATTTTTAGATTTTAGAGAAATTTCCCTACTGTTTTCCATAATGTCTGTACTAAATTACATTCCAACAATAGTATATATGAGTTTCAATTTCTTTTCATCCTCACACATTCTGGTGAATTTTATTTTGTTACTTTTGTGTGTGTGTGTGTGTGTTTTCAGAGACAGGGGTCTCACTATGTTGCCCAGGCTAGCTTCAAACACCTGGGCTCAAGGAAGCCTCCAGCACATCCTCCCAAGTAGCTCGGACTACAGGCATGCACCGCCATGCCCATTTGCTATATTTTTGATAATAGACATCCTAAGGAGAGTGAGATAACATCTCACTGTGGCTTTGATTTACAGTTCTCTAATTATAGTGATATTGAGCACTTTTTCATATATGTATTGGCCATTTGTCTGTCTTATTTTGAGAAATGTCTATTCAAATCATTTTCCCATTTTACAATCAGATTATTCTTATTACTGCTGTTAAGCTGTTTGGGTTCCTTGTATATTCTATATATTAGTTCCTCATTGGATGTATGGTTTGCAAATATTTTCTCCCATGCTACAGACTGTCTCTTCACTACGTTGATTGTTTTCTTTGTTGTGCAGAGGAAACAATCCTTTGCACAAGCAAGGAGAAAGCTTTGCTTTTTAGTTTGATGTAGTCTCATTTGTCTATTTTGTTTTTTGTTGTCTGTGCTTTTGAAGTCGTACCCACAAAAACTTTTCTAAAAGATCAATGTCCTGAAGCGATTTCTCCATGTTTTTCCTAATAGTCTTTTAGTTTTGGGTCTATATTTAAGTCTTTAATTCATTTTGAGTTGATTTTTATATATAGTGAAAGATAGAAGTCTAGTTTCATTCTTCTTCATATGGATATCCAGTTTACTAAGCATCATTAAGATGTCCTTTTTCCAATGTAAGTTCTTGGCATCTTTGTTGAAAATCAGTTGGCTATAAATACATGGATAATTTCTGAATTCCCTGTTGTGTTCCATGGGTCTATGTGTCTGTTTTTATAACAATGCCATGCTCTTTTGATTACTATGAATTTGTAGCACATTTTGAAGTCAAGTAGTGTGATGCTTCTAGCTTAGTTCTTTTTGCTCAACATTGCTTTGGTTATTTGGGCTCTTTTGTGGTTCTATGTGAATTTTGGGATTGTTTTTTCTATTTCTTCAAATAATTTGCTTGATATTTTGGTAGGGTTTGCACTGAAACTGTAGATTGCTTTGGACAGTATGGTCATTTCAACAATATTAATTCTTCCATTCCATCAGCACAGAATCTTTTCATTTTTTTTTATTCCTCTTCAATTTCTTTCATTACTGTTTTGTACTTTCCATTGTAGAGAGCTTTCACCTTCTTAGTTAAATTTATTCCTAAGTGGGGTTTTTTTGGTCATCATTATAAATGGGATTTCTCTTTTGATTTCTTTCTCATCTACTTTGTTTCACTGGGGTTTGGAAACACTATTGATTTTTGTATGTTGATGTGTATCCTGCAAATTTACTGCATCTGTTTATCAGTTCCAGGAGTTTTTTGGTGGTGTCTTTAGGTCTCTTAACAAATGGTTTCCTCTACCTTAAATATTTTTAAGCTTTTAAAATAATTCCTATTTGCCTTTTAAGATTAGCTGGATCGTTACCTCCTTATTAATTTCCTATAACTACTATCATAGGGATCACCCCACCTCCTGGGACCTAACCTGCTGCAACATGGCACCATTTTGAGAGCAGAGCCACCACCAGAATACATCACGTCCTGGGATCCAGTAGTCTCTGCATCTGCATTTCCCTGGGGCTTTGTCGTCTTATAGTTCTAGAGGTCAGAAGCCAAATAGAGATCCCACTGGGCTAAAATCAACATGTTAATAGGGCTGAATTCCTTCTGGAAACTCTAGAACTCATTTTCTAGCCTTTTTAAGCTTCCCCATGCCACCTTCCTCAGGGTTTCCCTTTTTTCACCTTGAAAGCCATCAGTGTAGTATCTTCCTCCTTTCTTACCTCTATTCATATTCTTCATCTTCTCTCTCTGACTAACTCTACTGCCTCCCTCTCATAAGGATCCTAATGGTTACATTGGGTTTACCAGTATAATTTGCATAAATCTCCTCAACTCAAGATGGTTAACTTAATCACATCTGCAAAGTCCCTTTTACCATAAAAGGTAAAATATTCACTATCCAAAGATTAGGATGTTGAGATATTTGGGGGGACCATTATTTAGCCTACTATACCTTCTCTTCAAATATGACCTGATCTCTTGAGTTAGAATTTGTTCCTTTTTCTCTGGATTTCAGAATCATGATTACATAGTTCCAATATGAGAATTTTTAGAATGACTTCGAAATTTGGGGTAATCTTTTTACCTTTACTGTTATTTTCTTGGTGACGAAATTGTGCATTTCATCTCTGCAGTCAAACAGGCCTGAATCTGGACCCAGATCTCCACCCATAGTGGAGCCAGATACCTGGTCCAGATCTCAGCGTTACCACCTATCAGTGAGAAGCAGCCCCAATTTTTCAGTTTCCTCAGCTGTAACATGTATGTAATTATAGTATTTACTACAAAGATTTATTGTGAGCATTAATGAATATATGGAAATGGCTTAGAACACTGATAAGCACATATTATTCACTCAAAACTGTTAGTTATTATTACTTTCCACTTGTGAGATTATTGTAGAATTAAAGAGACAGTAAATAAAGCTACAGCACAATGCCTGGAACATAGAAAATTATCCCTACATTCTAGTTTTTTATTTATCATCATAACCTATATTAAATACAACAGGTTAAAGTCAAATAGAGTGAAGAAAATACTGTTTCAAAGGTAGGACTTTAGTGAAATGCACTCAACTTTATGCTAATAATCTGATGTTTCAGGCTTTCTTATTTTCAGACTTAGTATGGTTATAGGGTTAAAAGATATGAAAGGCCAATAGTGTTGCAAGGGATATATTTTATTAGTTTCATTAATGAAATTTTAATAGCAATAAATTCAGGCTTTTAAATATTACAAAGTATTTTCAAATATCTCATGGGGCCTTGATGTTAGCTTCAGGAAGTATCTAGCAACCTAATGGCTGTTTGATTAGACTTCTCAGACTATTATTATCCTTGTCACATAATAGTGCTTTAGTCCATGTATCATAGGATCTTCAAGTATTATTCATTTGTTTCCAAAGCAAATTGAGCTATTCCACTCAAATGATTACAGTAAATAGAATAGAAACTTGTGGAATCATCTTCCTCTCTCGTAAATGAAGTAACAGCAAAATAGCGCAGCATCTCAGCTGTTCCAGGTTCCTCAAATAAGTTTTACTTTTGCAAAACCAACCTCAAACTTCCTATATTCTCTGTTCTGCATTATAAGCAACATGACCAGCAGCCACGTTTGTTGTAATTTTTTAAATATGTGGAAAAAAAGCAAGATATCAACCATGTATTACCTTAACCAAGATGCCAAATTATCTAACTTGTTTCTCCAGGCAAGCAGCCCAACAACAGGGACAGCTCCCAGGAGCCAGTCAAGGTTGTCTGTCTGTCCATCCACTCAGGACATCTGCAGGTAAGTGCTGAACAAATTATCTTAATCTATATTCTTTGGATCAATATTCGTATTCTTGTTGTTTGTTCTGAGAATGTGTGTCTCTTGCTTCTGCTTTACATGGTCCATAGAAAATTTATACTGGCTATTTTTTTTCATTTAGTTCATTTTCTTCAGTTGATCTTTATTTATCTACTTCTGGTCCATGCTGTCATTTTCATCATTCTCTCTCTCTGTTTTTCCATGGCTTTCCTCTCCATTCCCATTTCCCATCCTTTGCCTGCTGCTCTGTCTAGATCTGCCATCTTGCATGACATGTCAGAAGAGTCATTTGAGTATTGCACCCCTGTCATGGTGCTGAGCCCTGCTAGGAAGGAGTCTGGTAAGAAATCAGTAATACAAAGACCTAGGAGGAGGAGAAAAGCCTCTGAGAGATATGAGCATGCTGCAGAAGAACAAATAAGAGGGAGAAAAAATGACTTTCACCTTCAAATCTCAAGCCCCAGGTGGAGGGAGCTTTACACAGATTCTTCAGATTCATCTTCCACAGATGAGAGTCATTGGATTCAGGCAAAAAGAAGAGCCCAGGTTAAATTCAGACTGTCAAGAAGAAGGAGGAGAAATAATAATAAGCCGTGTGAAAACTTAGCTGGGTCTTCCACTCCTAACGGAATTGAGCTCGTTGATCTGGGATCCAAAGGTAAAGAGCAACAAGAGCTGATTGAATGTGAGAGTTGCTCTTTAAATCTCCACAGAGGAAAACATACAAGGTACCAAGAATGCAACCCTTCTCTGACTCAAGGGTCCTCTGAAATTAAGAGATCCTCAAGGAATCATGAGAAGAGCAAAGGCAGATATCACCACAGAGATCCTCAGCTCTTGCAAAGTCTTAGGAAAAATGAAATAATGAAGAAGACATTTTCAGAAACAGATTCCAGCACTGAAATACTGGGAGTTCCAGAAGGCAGCAAGGACATGAATGATGCAGGGCTCCAGGTGAATAACCCTGTTCAGAAGCCTCCTGCCACCTATGACGATGGGTCTGATAATTTAGAAGTATGCAGGTCAGTCACTGTAGAGAAAGGCTTGATGTCATCCATATATAGTTCTTTTTGCAGTGAGTTAGGTGCGTGTTTGACACCTACCCTCAAAACTTAACATTTATTTACATTGTTCTTTTTCTGATTGGATATAAAAGGAGAAAAGGTGGGTATGAAAAGAATAATGCAGATGTAAACATGGGTGTGAAAGCTGTTACCAAGTACAATTAGATATCCCCTTCCTTTAAACTGAATAATGATTTATCCTGGTAAAGGGGCTGACTCAGCTGAGTCTTGCACTCATTCTAGTTATGACAGTAATAGTGGGGGAATTAAGAGTGAGACTGTGTGAAATGTTAGACTTTTCAATGCAAATTTGCTGGCATCCTGACAGAAAGATATTCAAGGCTTGAGTTCTTTAAGGTCAGATTTTTGTATCAGAAAATAACATTCTCTGCAGTTGGCTTTAATTTGTTCTCCAATTGTTTGACTCAGCAGGGTAATTGAAGACTCAAAGGACACAGAAACAGGTCAGGGACGTATCAGTGGGGTTGCAAGAGCCTGTAGGGAAGGGGGCCACATTAACTTTACTGATAAACATATACCGAAAGGTTTCAACATGTGGATATTTTCTAGCTATGTGGCAGCGTTCTTGCTCTTTTTAACTCAACAGCATATATTTTCAAAATAACCTTACATAAAAAGAATTATAGGAATATCCAAGCTAGTGTGCATAAATGAGACAATTTCAAACAAAAAAATATATTTGTACATTTTCATATTATACCTAATCATTTAAGCTGTTTAGATTCTGTATGAGAGCAAATGAAGATTTTCACTGCGCAATACTTGTTATGTTTTGCTTTGCTTTTATAAAAGCAGAAGTTACTTCATAAAATATGTATGCATGTTCGTGTGAATTACGTGACCCAGAGAAGGCTGCTCATGTCCATTGAGGGCAGCAGTGAGAAGAATTAAACTCTACATGTGAATAATATAAGAATGGTTTGTTTATCTGAAAGTTTTATAGGATAGTCATTCATAAAATCCTCATTCATATATGTATTCAAGCATCTATTATGCATTAAGCTTTATTCTAGACATTGAAAATAATATAGTGAGTAAGATTTGTATAGTTTCTAACATCTTACAGCTTATAATTTAATATGGAACAGAGACCCAAAACAAATTAATTTACAGCTGATATATAATTATAATTATGATAAGAACTATGAAAGCACATGGCAAGGAAGCTTCACCTATTGTGGGAGATGAGACAAAAACTCTCTAAGTAAGTGACAAGCAGGCTAAGGCTCAAAGGATGACAGGAATTGATCAGGAAAGAAGCAGGGAAGACCATCTAGGCAGAGGCTGCCACTAGCAGGAAACAAGAGGAGGGACGGAGCTTGGCAATTCAGGGAACGTAAAGCTTGCCATTGCAGCTAGGTTGTGGTGAATAGGGGGATGGGTGGTAGAGAGAAGGATGGAGAAGTGGAGAGGGCTCGACTGTACAGGGCCATGTGAAACATGCTAAAGGACTTAAAAGGGATTTACAAAGAAACTGTCACCGTGTAATTTACCTATAAATGTAAATTTCTTATAATCTTTTAATTATGATCTATATGTATGTTTGCTGAAAAGTTAGGGGATGGACTAAACCACTCTTTCTAGTCTGAATGGAGAATTTCCCACTTGCAACCATCTGTTGTCATTCCCTAAATCTAGCTTCCAACATAATCTAATGAAAGACAGTCAAAGAAGCTAGTTGTAGGCTAAATGGTAATTGGAGAGAAAAATAATGCTTGCAATTAAAGTCGTAGTGACTGGTTCTCCTTACTTAAAAACCCTACTCTGGAGAAACATTTTCAAAGACAGGATATTTAATTTAGACTTCTATTAATGAAAGTGAGATAGATGAGCCAATAGGTATTATTTCCTGCTAGAGATTACCATCAAAATATACCAACTAAGCAAATGCTACAGGCAGCATGTTATACTCGATGCTGAGGATAAAAAGTAGCAAAAGACCTGATTCTTCCCTTAAGTGGCTTATGATCTAAGTGGCAGAGATTGAACACATACTCGAAAAAAAGCATATAAGATAGTACAGGAAGAATGTAAGAAAAGGAATACTGCAGGATTTGAAGAAAGATTTGCTGAGATCTGGGATGATCTAGAAAACCCCTAAAGAAGAAGAGGTACTGGGGCTGAGAAAAATAGAATTTACGTTAGAACTCAAGGCGGGGGAAATGCCATTAGCACAACAGGGATGGGACACTGGCACTTGCATTTATGAATTTTACATGAACTTATATGACTAGGTTGGAAAGTTTGCATACATTGATAAAAAATAACTCTTTAAAATAAGACATTTTGAAGAAAACTTACATATTCAGAGTTGTTTATGCTGTAAATCCATGTTTTCAAACTCCCTCAATGGATCTCTTGAGTTCCAAAGAGGCTGCCTCTAAAGTTGAGGCAGGTCAAGGGGATTGTGCTTCCCTCAGCCCATTTTCAGCCAGAATACCTTCATGATTATGTCTCTTACATAGTGGGGTTCTACATAATATTCCTTTAAGAATAAAAAAGGTTCCAGGGCAAAAAAATATATATATATGTGTGTGTATATAAATATATACGTGTATTATATATATACGTATATATATATATACACACACACACACACAGAAAGACCTTTTCTAAATAAAATAGGCTTAATGAAGTCACATACACAGTGTAGTCACCAGTGTCTCTGATAAAGGAACCTAGATTTAGGAGATGGAACTATCCTGTGGGTTGAGTAGAGTACTAGGACAATAATGGATAAGGAAAGGGAAGAACAAATGGCAAATTAGCCTTCCACCAAGTGAATGAGGACAATCTCAGAGTTTGGATTTGGTGAGAGCCTAAGACAGAGGAGTCAAGAATGACTCCAAATCTTGGAACTTGGGACAACAGTAAATGTTGATGTTAATGAACAGAGGCAGAAGACAGAGGCAAGTTGATTTAGGAAAGACATAGTGAGTTCAATTACAGGCAAGCTATTTGTGGTTACAATGACATTCCAGGGTCAGCTGTCCAGCAGACAATATGAGACATATTATTGAACTGCAGAAGAGCAGTCACAGTTGGGCGTGTATAGTTTTTCAATAATTAGTGAACTATACATAGCCTGACACTAAACAACGGCATGTGTGCATTTTTTAACACAATGTATTAGCACAAGGTACTAAAGATATTAAACACTGAAAATCTATTCAAGGTCAGGAAGGACATAGAGATTTTGGAATTATTCTCAAGGAGGTAGCAGTGATGCCTGGAAAGTGAATTAAATCACTACAAAAGATCTTGTGTAGGAGAAAAGATATATATGATCTCTAGAAATGGATACAGCCTGAGAACCAGGGTCTTCTATGTAGGCAAAACAATGACCCCTGAGAGAAGCAGCAATTGCCTGTGAACTTGCCCTCTCAGACATGCATAGAAGGAGCAGTCTCAGCCACAACCACAAAAAAGAAAGAAGCTCCTAAGCCTTCTTCCTTTTCTGTTCCTGGCTTCTGGTCCCCACATGCACACTCTATTCTGTTTGCCTCCTTCATCACAGCCTTTTTCAGAGAAAGTATCTCTACCAGCCTATTATACCTTAGAGGGAATTTAACTCATCATACTATTATACCCACAGTTATTTCCACAGTGCAGTGGAAAAGTATTTGCTTTTTTGAAAAAGGAATTGCATTTAATTAAAAGGCAAACAAACATGAATCAGATCATGTTAGCCCATGATTGAAACTTTTTCATGGCCTGTAAATCGCCCTCACTGGAAGGTGCAAAATCTTTAATATTTACAAGTCCCTGTTGATCGCTCTATCAGATCTGCCTCTCTAGCTCCACCACCCATCATTAACTATGACCTTTTCATGCTGGTCTGTTTCCAATTCCCTGAAAGTGTTCAGACCTACCCCTTTCAAGACCTAGAATGGCTTTACCTTACCTCCTTGGATCTTCTCCAGACGACTTCCTATTCTTTCTCAGTTTAAATGCCATTTCTTTAGGAACAGCTTCCTAACCTCCTAACCAACACTCAGGTCCCCTGGCAGTCACTTCCATAGCATAACTTTTAATTGCTAAAATATAGGCATTATTATGATTAACTGTGTCAAATTTGTTCACTGCAAAATCCAAAGTACCTGGAACAATGCCTGGCAGATAGAACATTCTCAACACATAGTTTTTGAATGATAGCTTTAGTGAAAATGTACTTTTCTAAGGGAATAATTCTTAGGATGCAAAATCATAGCACTGTATGTTGGACTGCCTCACCTGCTGTAGAGCCAACATGGAAAGAATACTCTACACCAGCAGTTCTAAAACTTTAGTGAGCATCAGTGACAACTGGAGGGCTTGTTAAAATGCAGATTCCTGGACCCACCCTTAGAGTTTCTGATGCCCTTGCTCTGGGGTTAGGCTCATTAACTTGTATTTTTAAAATGTTCCCAGGTGATTCTGAAGCTTCTGATGCAGGAATCACATTTTGAGAAACACTATTCTATGCTACAAATCGTTCCCATGCTTTAGATAGGAAGAGAAAGGAGAGAAAAGAATCTAAAGAATGTATTTGAAAAGCCAAATGTCTATAGTTTTTTATCATATTCCCTTGAATGCTGACACAAAGCATGACTAGGTTACATTCCTGTACTTCACATTGTTAGACCAATATAGCATGGGTTGTGTCACCAAAACCATAGACTGGCAAAGTCCCACCTCTACCAGGAACTCAAATGTCATGGTTTGGTTATTGCTTCCCTTCAAATCCACTTCCTCATTTCAACTACTTCCATTTCTATCAGTGAGTCCACTAATTTCCTGGATTTTCCATTTTTGATCTTATTCCTTCCATATTGGATGTGTCCAGTCTCCAACAAAGTACTGACATTTCTTTCTCCAGATACTAGTTTCTGATCTGTGCTTTTTTTCTCAATCCCAGTGTTCCATTCTAGTCCTTCTCTACACTTTCCATCTCCACCACATCCACTTTTTAGCCCACTACCTGTTTTGTTAAGTACTTTTCTAATGGGATAAAATCAACAGAAATCAATTCAAATGAGCTTAAACAAGAAAGGGGTATGTTAACCACACGAACAGTAAAACAAAGTATACAGATGGCTTCAGGAACTCCAGAAACAATGTGGTTCTCTCACTCTCTCTCTCCTTCTCTGTGAGGAGTCATTTCCTCCAACTGCAGACAAACTTCCTATATATAGAAGAGGGAAGAGATAGTCTGGCCAGAGGTAGCTTCGGGCTTACATTTTAGCAGCAGCAGCCTAACAGAAAAGAGAAATGTTCTTTTCAAGCACTTATACATGAAATCCCAGGGAAGGCATATAATTAGCCTGCCCTAGGTCACATACCCATCTTTGAGTCAATCACTGTCACCAGGATCATAGGGTATTGTGGTTGGACTAAGTCCTTGAATGGGAAGACTGGATTTAAAATGTAGCCATCGGCAACCCCTCCAAATCTTATGAATTGGGAAAAGGAAATTTCAACAGCAAAAAGAACTGCAGTAGTACCAGAAGAAGTGAAACAAGAATTCTGAGCAAGAAAAATAAATGAAACAATACAGTAATGCTCAACTACACCACCACCAAATGTAGTTCTTCCCCTCTTAAATGTCTCACTCCTCGTCTCCAAATGCTCATATTTAGGCATGCTTCAATATGCACTTCATTTTTATCCTCCTTTATAAAGGAGGATAAAAGGTTTTCTAAGCTAGTCTGGTCCACAGTTATCTTTTCTCTCTTGGAAATCTCATAATTCTTCTAGTCAGTATCATATATTCTCTACTTTCATGTGTGTTAGCTCTCTTTTCCCTACAGAATAAGTTCCTTGAACATAGGAGTCCTGCCTTACATCTGTTTTGTGCCCTCCACAATACTCAGAACAATTCAGGCAGTGCTCAAACAGACCTTTTGGGACAGCTTCCGAATCAGTGCATGCTAAGAGAGTAGACTTGCAGAAAACATGGAGACAATAATGGGAATTCGGTGTTACAGGGTAAAACAAGTAAAGAACATTGAATTCCACTAATGGTTTCTTTAAAAGAGGAAGAGCCCAAAGACAAGTGATAACTCCTGGTAATGCTCTAGCTCCAGCTTAGGTTGGATGGTGAGTTTGAGGATATACTTTGTACCATTATGCTATAGGTTTCATATATGTTATGCATATTCTCATTTTTTTAAATTATACTTCAAGTTCTGGGATGCATGTGCAGAACGTGCAGGTTTGTTACATAGGTATAAACGTGCCATGGTGGTTTGCTGCACCCATCAACCTATCATCTACATTAGGTATTTCTCCTAATGCCATCCCTCCCCTAGCCCCCCAACCCGCAACAGGCCCCAGTGTGTGATGTTCCCCTCCCTGTGTCCATGTGTTCTAATTGTTCAACTCCCACTTATGAGTGAGAACATGTGGCATTTGGTTTTCTGTTCCTGTGTTAGTTTGCTGAGAATGATGGTTTCCAGCTTCATCCATGTCCCTGCTAAGGACGTGAACTCATCCTTTTTTATGGCTGCATAATATTTCATGGTGTATATGTGCCACATTTTCCTTATCCAGTCTCTCATTGATGGACATTTGGGTTGGTTCCAAGTCTTTGCTATTGTGAACAGTGCTGCAATAAACATACATGTGCATGTGTCTTGATAGTAGAATGATTTATAATCCTTTGGGTATATACCCAGTAATGGGATTGCTGGGTCAGATGGTATTTCTGGTTCTAAATCCTTGAGGAATCTCCACACTGTCTTCCACAATGGTTAAACTAATTTACACTCCCACCAACAGTGTAAAAGCGTTCCTATTTCTCCACATCCTCTCCAGCATCTGTTGTTTCCTGAATTGTTAATGATCGCCATTCTAACTGGTGTGAGATGGTATCTCATTGTGGTTTTGATTTGCATTTCTCTAATGACCAGTGATTATGAGCTTTTTTTCATATGTTTGTTGGCTGCATAAATGTCTTCTTTTGAGAAGTGTCTGTTTATATCCTTTGCCCACTTTTTGATGGGATTGTTTTTTCTTGTAAATTTGCTTAAGTTCTTTGTAGATTCTGGATATTAGCTCATTTTTTAATTAAGAAATTGTGCCTAAAGCGAACCCTTCTAGCTCTGTCATCATATCTGTGTATTCATTTATTTATACATTTATATAGAAAATAACTATTTATTTTTGAATTTGTTCTGTGCCAAGACAATGTCTTAGAAGCTGGAAATAGACAGTAATGGTGTCATCTTTTATGAACTTATATTTCAGTTGCTAAGACAAGTAATTAAACAGGCATAAAAAAAATCTGTGAATGAAGCTAAAGGAACAACTTGCATCTAGTAGAGCATTTCCCTGAGGAAGTAATAACTAGGGAGAAATCCAAATGAGAAGTAAGAGTAAGCCAAGCAAAGAGAAGGGGTAACCTGTTCCAGGAAAATGATATGGCATGTCTGAACACCCAGACCAGAGATGAGTGAGATATGGTATACAAGGATTTCAATGTAGCCTAGTAGAGAGCCAGGGAGCAGAGGTGGGGGAATCCAATCATGGACTTCCTTATCAACCATAGTTAGGAATTTGGACTTTGTTCTAACAACAAAAAGAAAGTTTCTGCAGGCGTTTTAAGCAAAAGGATGACACTGTCAGACTTGTGTTTTGGAAAATCACTTAGGCTGCTGTTGGAAAATAGATTGGTGGAGACAAGACCAAAGACAAAGTAAATCAATTAGAAAGCCATGGCTGTGTCCCAAGGAAGAGGGTAGAGTGGCTGTGAGAATAAAAAGAGGTGGATGAATTTTTAAAAATGTTTGAAACTAAATCAAGCAAGAATTGGTCACGAACTACATATATATAATCGGCTTTCAGGTTTCTGATTTAGAACACTGGGTAGGTAACCACACCATTTACTACCCTACCAAGAGCAAAACATTGTTTGAGAGAGAGATTTAAAAAGGGAGGATGAGTTCAGTTTGGGACATGGTAGTTTGAGGTGCAAGACAAATATCCAAAGAGAGATATTTGGGAGGGAGATACAGGCAAGGTCTAGAGTTCAGAGAGATCTTGATTTAGATGAAGACGAGGAAGTCTTGAGTAGCTAGGTGGTGATTGTCAAGATCCCCCATGGGAATTCTGTAAACTGAGATGTGGTCTTGAAGAACCCTGTGACTAGCAATGTTCAATATTCCCTGGGAGGGGGAAAGAAGCCAATGCAGGGAAGGAACAAAACAGCCGAAAAGGCAGACAGAAAGTGAGGAGTCTGTAAAGAAAAGGGAGAGTATAAAAAGTGGAGAGAGAGGTAAATTCAGAGGCCTTTTTAGTTTTTGTTTTTAATTTAAGGGACCCTTGAGTCAAACAGAGAGCCTTTGAAGATTTGGAAAATTGAGAGGCTCAGTTCTTTATTCAATTCCCACAGAGAAGGTAGGAAGGTATAGGACCTAAAGTGGAAAGATTGGCCATGGAAGGGAAAATAGGTATGACTTTTTTTTGCAATACAAGTAAAAGAGAAAAATGATAAATGTGGATATGTGCAGGTCTACAGATTTTAAAAGTTTCCATTTGATGGCCTTCTAAGGTCATCTGTTCAGAGTAAGGGAGTTGGTTGCAAGATCAAACGTCCAGTGAAGTTTCAAATAAACAACAAAGAATTTTTCACTGGGATGTCCTCATGCTAAAGAATTACTCATTGTTTATATGAAATTCAAATTTAACTAGGCTGGACATCCTGTATGTTTTTGCTAAGTCCAGCAATGCTAAACATAGTAAGATAGATAAGCATTGGTGAAAGCCCTGTCGAGGTTGGTAACTAAGGGTTTATGGAAGCCACAGACTGCAGGAAGTATAATTTACCTCTGCAGTACATCACTCAAATGCGGATACAACCAAGCAAGGCAGCTGAACGTGAATCTAGGGGAGTGGTATCATAAAACATTTAGATTTTCTGTTTTCCCAGTTTCGTATGTGTATCTTCAGATGAACCTGAAATTTAATAACTAAGAAAAATTTGCATTATAAATAAGATTTTTGAGTAAAATTATATTTTAGTGAGTAGCTTTGCTCTCAACATTTATTTAGAGAAAAAAAAATTACACTTCCCTTTACCTTAATCTTTCAGACAATTTAGTCATTGGGAAGCCTGAGTTTATAGAGTCACCCATTGTCTAGGTCACTTGCCCATTGGCTCTCTGCAAACCTTTGGAACAGTAGCACACGTTATCATCTATCACATCCTTGAACATAGTATTTCCTGGGGCAGCCTCATTCTTTTCAGAGTCTCTAATTGTGAGAAAGTTCTTTGTCACATTTAATATTTAATATCCAATATTTAATCAGTCAGACTCATATTTTCTACCTGTTGGTCCTAGATGTACAGTCACTCAGTAATAGATTTTTTTTCAGCTTTTGTTACTTATTCTGTTACTTCTCCCTATTATTTTTTCTGTACAAAAATGAGACTGACATTCTGTTGTCAAAGTCTGTTCTACAAGTAAAAGATAAGCTGTTCAGTCTTCAATATTCAGGTGAGAAAGATTACACTAACCAACCTAATGAAGCATTCATTTCTAAGAGGTAACAGACTCTTAAGAAAGTTCAGATTTATTCTCTTATGTTTTTGCCTTTGTTTTGCTAAGTCTTGTCAGAACAAAGACCAACCATTCTCCTGTTGATTTTAATAAAATCTGAGTTGGTAGGAAATATAGGTGTAAACTTTGCTGATAACCTGCCAAAGCTGAGTTACTTGGGACTACTCAACATACAGTCAGGAGGTCTTGCTTCCAACTTTTCTCTCTACTTGGAGTGGTCAGACTTGAAAAAGGTAAAATGGCTCTCTATTTATAGGATCATAAAATGAGAAAAATGATATGTGCTTTGCAAATGAATACATTACTAACATAATTCAGTGTTTTCAAACTAATTTGTTTCCTTGATATGAATAATTTTAATCGCTGCAGTTGTCAGTAAATATTCAGATATACCCTATGGTACTGTGCTTTACAGAGTAAGCATTTCTCCAACAAAGAGAAGTAAAATGTTTATAACACCACATTGTATATTATAAATGTTTAGTATTATTTTATACAGCATTTTAGCTCAGTAATTTGTATTTTGAATGGATAAAAATGAATTAAGACACTGACGCACACACACACCTTATAAAAAATAATTTTAAAAAATTGTAGAAATGGCATGTTATCTTTTCTTTATATATTTTAAAGATATGCCTTGTTCTTAGCAGTTTTTTTTTTCTGATTGTTTTCAGTTTGGGAGCTAATCTTTCCAGGGATGAAATGATAGTATTATCAATAATACTGATTATCTTGACTGGCAAATTATCTTACATGACTGAAACCAATTGGATTGATAAATTACTTTCTAATTTAGCTAAACAGTCACTTCAATTTTTAGAAATAGCATGTATTCTGAAGGCCAATTATTTAACAAGTTGTGCCTTTAGATAGAAACAAAGAAAAACAGACATTTCCTTGCTTAAAAAAAAATTAAAGTAGATTTGAATATCAACCAGGAATTTTCTAATCTCAGAAAATTTCAAGCAAAAATAGATAGAAGTATGATGCTCATTCAGACATGGATCAATATTTACGTGTTATGAGGCTATATTGTGCTATATTTATCTTTTCCTTGGTAATTTCTAGTTTGTTGAATATCCAATCATATAGAAGTGCAAAATATTGAAGAGGAAGGATTATGAATTAGATAGAGTTTATCTACTTCTTAATTTAAGAACAATATGTGTCCAGAATTGCAGTTATACTGAACTATGTGCTTCCTTTAATGAATTTATATCTGTTTAGCAATATGAAATTCCTCCTCTGTCTTAAAAAAAAAAAAGCAACACTTTCTTTCTTTTCTCACACATACAATTCATTTTTAAAACTATTGTGTGTGCATTAAATTTAGATTCCCTATATGTTTATACAAACAGAAAATAAACATTGTGTGTATAAACATGAATACTGGGTACAGTGTTTGTTGCTACCAAATAAGGATATATAGCTGAGAATTTATATATAGCTTGAAGATTTTCTGCATTTCTAATTACCACAGTTAGGTTCTCATCTTCCCTATAACCATTGCAGAGTAGTTGTATATTTATTTCAAATCTTCTGCAGTTGGGATTTAAATAGGCAAATTTAAATACTAGTATCTAATTTGGTTCGGAAATTAAAATGCCCCTGCAGCAACCTCAACGAGTTTTCTTTTGCTCTTAGCACTCTGACAGCCCTAAACACAGCACAGTATCTTCCTTCCCACTTCTGTCAGATACAAGGACTCCAGGAGCGTGTTAGTTCTCCTTCATTCACTTTCAGGTTTATGCAGAACTGAAGATGCCATAATTCAGAAGTGTCTGTGTTTGGCGACGGATTTTAGTATCGACATTAAACTGAGAACTTCCTTCTTTCCCTGAAGGTTACCCAACAAGTGCTAATCAAAACCTCTCCATGTTCTGCCTGATTT
Organism: Homo sapiens; assembly: GCF_000001405.40. Classification (NCBI taxonomy): domain Eukaryota; kingdom Metazoa; phylum Chordata; class Mammalia; order Primates; family Hominidae; genus Homo; species Homo sapiens. Next base: position 163,600,774 of record NC_000004.12, on the reverse strand, counting down.
TTACCAGCTTGTTCTTATTTGGACCCTCTGAGGCCCACTTTAACAATTCTGATGTCTTTATTTTAGAAACTCTTTTACCTAAATTAGATCATGACTCTCTGGGGGTGTAACCAAATTAAAATGTTTTGCCACACAGTAAGAGGGTCACAATGGAGGAAAAAAAGGAATAAGGAAAAAATAATCATAACCAGAATGAAATAGAAGCCATATAGACTGTCAAAATGCTCCACACATCAGAGGACTCTTTGTTCCAATCAGCATTCCACAGTCTCAAAACTCCACCAGTTAGAGCTAGAAAAGCCCTGAGACATTGTCTCACCAAGTGGTTCCCAACCTAGGCTTCATGTTACACTCACCTGGGAAAATTTTATGTTTTTAATGCTGCCAGGATTCCATCCAGATTGCTTGGAAGTGGCGCTTCAGCATGGGTACATTATTAGAAGCATGCCAGATAATTTAATGAGCAACCGAAAGCTGAGAACCACTGATTTTTAGCCTAATCTGAGGTGAACAAATTGATGCCCAGAAGATATATGTGTGTGTGTGTAGTGTGTGTGTATATAAAATATGTGTGTATAAATTTATATATGTATATAAATTTATATATGTGTGTATATAAATAGATATATGTGTGTGCGTATAAATACAGCAAAAATATATATGGAACAGGAGGTCTACTTGAGTGTATCTCTTATAATTTAGACACACCAGAAAAGAAGCCTGGGGGCTAGCAACTGGTACAAATTTATTTTCCTTCAGCTCCTGAAGCCATCTAAAATATAGGACATTGGTCCTCAAACTTGACACACTTACTGATGGAAATAGAAAATACAGTAGCTTTCAACAGCCTTCATCTTGGAATGACCTCAAATTTCTCATTGGTATGGAAAATTGCAATTCATTTGCAAATGACCCTTTGCGGGGGAAGCCCTAAATCCATGGTTCTCTAAGTAGAGTCCCTGGACTAGTAGCATCAAAATCACCTCGGAAGTTTTTAAACATGCAAATTATGAGGCCCCAATCCAGACCTATGGAATCAGAAACGCTGGGAGTGGGACCTAGCCATCTAGGTTTTAACTGACCCTCCATGCGAGTCTGATGCATGGTAAAGTTTGGAAACCACTGAAGTAGAGAATACAGATAATAAAACAATAAATTGCAATAGAGTGTGTTCACTGTGCATGGGGATAGGTATAGGGCTTTAGGGAAAAGGAACCTAACAAATCTGTGAAAGGACAGCAAAAACACAAAGCAAAATAAAGGAGGTGAGCATTTGTATTTGCTGAGCTTCTGTTAAAAAAATTAAATATGCACATACGTGTTTGCTTGTGTGTATATTGTGTGTGTGTGTGTGTATGTGTGTTTTGATCAAGGACAGACTGTATATATGTGTAGGCATAAGCTAATGTGTATGTTTTTGTCTTTGTTCTTAATTTTAAATGTTTAAAAAGTAAAATAAAACATATATATATATATAATTTTTTTGAGATGGAGTCTCACTCTGTCGCCCAGGCTGGAGTGCAGTGGCACAGTCTTGGCTCACTGCAACCTCCACCTCCTGGGTTCAAGTGATTCTCCCTGTCTCAGCCTCCCAAGTAGCTGGGATTACAGGCGCCCGCCACCACGCCCAGCTAATTTCTTGTATTTGTAGTAGAGACGGGGTTTCGTCATGTTGGCCAGGCTGGCTTGAACTCCTGACCTTAGGCGATCCGCCTGCCTTGGCCTCCCAAAGTGCTGGGATTACAGGCATGAGTCACCACGCCCAGCCAAAAATTTTTTAAATAGAAAAAGCTTATAAAATAAGAATAGAAAGAAAGTAAATCTTTTAAACAGCCGAACAATTTATTTCTGTTTTAAGCTGTTACGACAAAAGAGTCGAAAAGTTTAAAAACATTAAAAAGTTTATAAAATAAAAGTTAAAGTAAGCTAAGGTGAACTTATTACTGAAAGAAGAAAAATATTTTTTATAAATTGAGTGTATCCAAGTGTACAGTATTTATAAAGTCTAAAGTAGTGTATAGTAAGGTCCTAGGCCTTCACGTTTACTCACCCATCACTCACTGACTCATCCAGAACAACTTCCAGTTCTGTAAGCTCCATTCATGGTAAGTGCACTATACAGGTGTACTGCTTTTTAGACATATCATTACTGTACCTTTTCTATGTTTAGTTGCTCAAATACTTATCGTTGTGTTACAACTGTCCACAGTATTCAGTACAGTAACATGTTGTACAGGTTTGTAGCTTGGGACCAACAGGCTCTACCATACAGACTAGGTGTGGAGTAGGCTACACCATCAGGCTTGTGTATGTTCACTCTGTGATGTTCACACAATGATGGAATTTCTAACAAGGCATTTCTCAGAACGTATCCCTGTCATTAAGGGACGCATGGCGTGACTGTACTTCATAATGAAAAATTTTGACCAAGAAGGATAAAGGTCAAAAGATCCTGAAAGGACAAGGAGACAAAATGAAGGACAGGCATTGCAAAAGGCTCAACAGACAGTGATGAGTGTTGAGAAAAGTCAAACAAACCTACAAATGCAGGGATCTGAAAATGCAAATGATGCGGTTGAAGACACCCCCTTTCAATGGCAGATGACAGGGTAAAGTAGTTTTATCTTCTGGGAAAGTGCAGCAGAATCTCACATACCTAAATAGAATGTCTGAATACACACACTTGCATAGAGTATAGATGTATACCATAGCTGACATGAAACATGTTTTATGTACTTAAAATTCAGATAATACAATATATTCCTAGAATATTGGTGTATCTGAAGGAGGAGGGGAGCAGACAATACTTTTCTGTCCTTGCAATGACTAAGTGTATTGGGATATAAAATTAATCATAGGGTTGGCACCTGCAAGTTTATATTTCTGTAAAAATATGAAGGACAGTATGTAGAAGTCTTTTGCTTACTATGGAAACAAAATGCTACAAAAGTTGCTCCTGAAGCTGGACAGGAAGGGAACTAGACACAACTCAGTATCTACTGATAACTCATGGCATGTTTCCAAATTGTTCAGATATATAAATCTATCAAATTTATTCATGAATCTATTAATTAACTAAAGAATGAGAAAAAAAGTGAAGTAGAATTAGAAAAATATAATCTTTGTATTTTAATATTTTTATTGATTATTACAGTAGTTTGTAGTTACTAGAAATAAAATTTAAAAATAGAGAAAACATTTTAATGTAAACAACTGAATAATCACTATTTAGATTTTCATGTTTCCTTATAACCTTTTTCCATGAATGTAATTTTTAAATTAAGATTTTACTGTGTTTTGAGTTATATCTCTCAATGACAGAGTTTAAACTTCATACACAGCTTTTGGAGAATGGAAGGTATCAGAAAAAAGTCTTAGTGGTTTTGCCTAACTAGAAATTCCATTCTGTCAGGATTCTGAATAAATAAGCTTTTGTAATTTTATTTTTGTATGGCATTTTCATTTTGTTCCAGAAAATTATATTTTGTCCTATTTGAGAGGTAAATAATTGGGAAAGGGCCAGGCGTGGTGGTTCATGCCTCTAATACCAGCACTTTGGAAGGCCGAGGTGGGCAGATCACCTGAGGTCAGGAGTTTGAGACCAGCCTGGCCAACATGGCGAAACCGCGTCTCTCCAAAAAAAATGCAAAAATTAGTCGGGCGTGGTAGTACATGCCTGTAATCCCAGCTACTCTGGAAACTGAGACAGGAGAATCCTTTGAACCCAGGAGGCAGAGATTGCAGTGAGCCGAGATTGCACCACTGCACTCCAGCCTAGGCGACAGAGCAAGACTCCGTCTCAAATAATAATAATAATAATAATTGGGGTAATTAAATGATGTAAGAATCATTCTGGATTCCCTACACACTGGGAAAATGTAAATTAGAAAGAGGAAGGAACCACATTTTATTAGATTGGTGCAAAAGTAATGGCAAAACTACAATTCTTTTTGCAGCAACCTAACAAATTGTATGTTTGTAATTTTACTGCTATTTTGAAAAATACCTTTTAAATATGATTATTCATTGAACTATCTCAAACCCAACAGAGTAGCAGCTCTGAGAAAGTTTGGACTACTTCCTTATCCTTTTCAAGACTACTGTCTCCATACTGAGTAACTAAGTCAAAAATCAAATTATAAGCATTATTGTTTTCAAGTGGTAATTGTGGGGACAAACAAATGCTCAGAGGTTCTGTAAATAGATGATTCTTTTTTTTTTTTTTTTTTTTTTTTTTGAGACAGCCTCACACTGTCGCCCAGGCTGGAGTGCAGTGGTACAATCTCGGCTCACTGTAACCTCTGCCTCCCGAGTTCAAGCGATTCTCCCGCCTCAGCTTCCCAAACAACTGGGATTACAGGCACATGCCACCATGCCTGGCTAATTTTTGTATTTTTAGTAGAGACAGGGTTTCACAATGTTGGCCAGGCTGGTCTTAATCTCCTGACCTTGTGATCTGCCTGCCTCGGCTTCCCAAAGTGCTGAGATTACAGGTGTGAGCCATCGGCGCCCAGCCAATAGATGACTCTTGAGCGTCTATCCTCCAGGAGCTTAATTGAAAGCTTAAAGTCAGCTTGGTCCATCCTTTGCTCTCTTCCTCCATAACTCATTCCCTTTCCTTTTCCCAAACTGATGCCTAAATTCTACCAACTCTAAGTTTATAAAATATCTGTTCTCTTTTTCCATTTCATTCTCACACTATGACACTAGCTTTTGTTCTCATTGTTATTGACTTTGACTATTGTGATAGGCTCTCCCTGTTCTCCCTTTTCTTTCTTATCTAATATGCCAAATTAATCCTTCTAATAATCTTACTTTTTTTATGGGCAAATAGTTTATTTATCTTTATTGTGGTTAAAAAACCCTTAACAGGAGATTTACCTTTTTAATAAATTGAAGTGTGGAGTACAGTATTTACTGTTAACTATAGGCACAGTGTTGTACAGCAGATCTCTAGAACTGAATCATCATCTTGCATAATCAAAAATTACTCCCACTGAATAACAACTTCCCATTTTCCCCTCTCCCCAGCCTTGGCAGCCACTATTCTACTCCCTGTTTCTTTGTGTTTGACTATTTTGTACATTTCATATAAGTGATATTATGTGATATTTATCCTTCTGTGATTGGTTTATTTCATTTGGCATAATTTCCTCAAATTTCATCAATGAACAGCCAATCCTGTAGCAAATGGCAGTATTTCCTTCTTTATTTAAGGCTGAATAATATTTCATTGTGTATATATACCACATTTTTTGGAGACAGGGTCTTACTGTGTTGCCCAGGATGGAGTGCAGTGGCATGATCATAGCTCACTGCAACTGCAATCTCTCGGGCTTAGGCAATCTTCCTGCCTCAGCCTCCCAAGTAGCTGGGACTACAGGCACATGACACCACACTCCGCTAATTTTTTTTTTATTTTATTTTTAGTGAAGACAGGGTCTCACTGTGTTACCCAGGCGGGTCTCAAACTGAGCTCAAGCAGTCCTTCTGCCTTGGCCTCCCAAAGTGCTGAGTTTACAGGCATGAGCCACTCACTGGCTTATACCATATTTTCTTTCTCTATTGATAAGTTGATGGACATTTAGGTTGTTTCCGTAGCTTCACTCTCAAACTGAGCTCAAGCAGTCCTCCCGCCTTGGCCTCCCAAAGTGCTGAGTTTACAGGCATGAGCCACTCGCTGGCTTATACCATATTTTCTTTCTCTATTGATAAGTTGATGGACATTTAGGTTGTTTCCGTAGCTTCACTCTTGTCAATAATGCTGCAATGAACATGGGAGTTCAGATACCTATCTGAGGTCCTGATTTCAATTCTTCTGGATACTTAGACGTGGGATTGCTCGCTCATATGGTATTTCTATTTTTAATTCTTTGAAAAACCTCCACACTGTTTTCCATAGCAGCTGCACCGTTTTTATTCCTAACAGCGTACAAGGGCTCCAACTTCTTCACATCCTCAGGAGCATTTATCTTGTTTGGGTTTGGGTGTGTGTGTGTGTGTGTGTGTGTGTGTTTGTGTTTTGATAATAGCCATTCTGATGGGTGCGAGGTGACATTTCACTGTGACTCTGATTTGCATTTCCCTGATGATTAGTGATTTTGAACACCTTTCTATATAGCTGTTGACCATTTGTATGTCTTCTTTGGAGAAATGTCTTTTTAGCTCCTTTGCTCATTTTTTAATGTAATCTTAATTTTTTATTTAAATTATGTAGTGGGTTCCTACTCAACTAAATACAATTAAAGTTAGTTTGTGTGTGTGTTTGTGTGTGTGTGTGTATTGGCACTGGTTGAGGGAAATACCAGGCTCTGTGTAATCTTTATTTTTCAGCATGATATCTCCCTACTAAAGTAATTAATTGTATTATTATATCATATAATAATAATGTGGTATTATTGTATATACTAAATAAATATACTAAATATATACTAAATATTGTATTTAGTTGGAGTAAGAACTTTCATGCTCTTTTCATACTTGGCCACATAATGTTACCAAATTACCCAGTCAATCCTACTTCTAAGCATTGACTGAAAACATCTTCTATGCCTAGTATATTCTACCAACATCCTTCTCCATCTGCCATAATTCTACCCCAGCTTCAATTCCAATTCCCATGCCACATCTTCCATTAAACTTTCTACCCTCCCCCGGTCCCCAATCTGAGATGATCTTTCACTCCTTTGCATACAACAGCACTTGACATGGCACACATCCCATTTTAAATGTATCCTGTCTAATTTTGCAGTTGTCTGATGCATAAACTGTCAATATAAACTTCTTAAAGGAAAAAGACTGAGACTAATTCATCTTTATATTTACCATAGGACCTTATAAAACCTTGCATATATACATAAGCAACAAATTACTTGTTGACTGAATGAATGAATGAATGAGTGAATAAATGAATAAAAGTTGATCATTCTTCACTCAATGTGGTTGGAACTGCTGTAAAACATCAGTATTTTGTACTTACTTGCCTTTGTAGAAGAATTCATATGCAAAGGCGTATTTCTAATTCAATGCATTTTTGGTTATCTGTAAATAAAGTGCCTGCTTTGTCAATTATCCATGGCAACTTGAGACTTTCTTTGATGTAATGCTCAGCCAGATAAGATTAATGAGTGGACAAAATTGGAAGGAAGTCATGGTTGAGGATGAGCTTAGAAAAATTCAAACACCTAGCCATCACAAAAAAAAGATCAGAAAATCAGTTTGAATTAAGAATTTCTGCCACATGCAGAAATGAAAAAGGCTAAAAGGTTATAACTGCATAATTTTTCTGATAGCTGTTATTATGTATATACAAAAGCCTTCTCCTGTATCTGACCATATATATTTCTTTGATTATAGCTACATATTAAAGCCAAATGAGTTTTTATTATCTGTCCCTTTGTTTTGCCTTTTTACTTCAATGTATGCAGCTAACAAAAATTTAGCCTAATAACTGTAAGCACATTTGCTTAGAAATATCTCTAGTTTAATTTTGTCAGTCTTACAAATGCACCCAAAAAGACCTCAAAGCTGATATAAAATGAATATTTATGACATATGCAAATGTAGAGAAAATCATAACCTTCGGATATTCGTTCAATATATATTATCTATTTACTTATCCACAAGTCATCAAAATTGTAAGGTAGGATCTGGAAAGATAAATGGCACTGGGGAACTCATTTCCTTTATGCAGAAATACATGGTCCTCTGAGCTAACCAATGAGTATAGAGAGGGCAGTAAAGCGATGGTTAACAGGGAAGGGATTATCCTAAAAGATGCAATCCAGCTTTTGATTTCTCCTGATTTGGAGGATTTGGACAGTCTGAGCTGATCTTAAGATTGCTAGATATACTGACTGGGACTCCTAGGGGCTACACACATCAATAGAGGGAATGGGGGAATCTTAATGTGTTTCAAGAGCCCATGGAGACCTCTCAGATAGTCTTCAAAGAGGCTCCGGCCCACTATGAGACTGAACCACTAGGCTAGATGATAATAGAATCTCAGTGGGAATCCTCAGTCCCAAGCAGAATTTAAAGTCCTAGTATCAATGGCATCGAACCATCTCCAGAGGGGATGAGACACCCAAGAGAAGCAATTCCAATAGAATCTTCCCAATCCATTGCAGAATTCAATGTCTGTGAATTCAAATAAGACTTGGCCTCCTCTGCTTTCATTATTGACCAAGCAAGGTGATCATTATCTTCTTCTCCACTGTTTTCCATCAGTGTGATGTCTGGTGGTGAAAAAAAAAAAAATGTGGCTGATTACTTGCGACTCTTGGATCAGCTCCAGGAATAGAGTTAGGAAAGCCAGGGACATTGCCATGTCATTGTCTTTGTTGTTGATCATTCCCTACAGCTCTGTGCAGATGGTCTGAGGTTTTGACCAAGTCAGTGGTGACAAATTAGGGCATGAAATTAAACTCAGGAAGTCATGCTATGTAGCAGCTTTTTTGAGTTGAAAATATTCCTTTGAGAAAACAAAACACTTTTAAAAAATCACATATGTATGAAGAACTGTCACTCGTCTGCACATGTAAAAAAGAGTACATATTCAGAATGACAAAACTTATGATTACAAAAATGGTATTATCTGTTGGTAAAATATTTTTATTCTTATGTCATGATTGTATTTTGAACTTGAGTTTTCAAGGTATTTTAAATCTCAGGCTGAATGATGGCTTAGGATATTTATCTTCGTTTCTGTTAAGGAAACCTTAGAAATCTGGCTTATAATGCCTTTTTGTTTACAGTCCAAAATTGCTTGCTGTCTCCATGTCAATAAGAGTAGCTGCAAACAGCTGTTAGTCTGAATGATATTAACTACTGTCCATCTTGTTCTCTATTTATGAAGTATGTTACTTCTCCTTTCCACTGCAGATCAGTTTGCTTGACTTCCTCTGCTGCTCAGATAGGGTATAAAATTGTTACACCTCAATTCAGTTCCTCAAATGCAAATTAAAGAGTTCATGGTATATAAAAGGATCACAATTTCTCACTTTCACTGTAAGTGAATTTTCCCGAAACATAAACAAAACACTGGTCATTGGTAACAACTTCTGAGAATTGCCATATGATCTGACTAAGCTGGCTTTTTTTGGTCTGTGCTCTGTAAATGTTTAAATAGAAGCTTAATGAAAGCCAGTCCATTATGGTCTAGTGCTTTGCCATCTTTAGCCTGACTTCTTAACATTCTCATAACTTAAATTACTCTGAATATCAATACAAATCCACAAAAAGATCCTGCCCCCATAAAATTATTAAACATGAATTTATTCAGCTCATAATTCCAGAACTTGTGTAAATGAAACAGTTAACAAACAGCAGAGACTGTATCTGTGTGGTATAGGCTTTAAGAGCAATGACAGCTCAAAAAATAGGAGAGAGCATTGTAGGGAAGGAAAAACTAGGGGCTGTTTAATTAGGGATGTGAGTCTGAAATTTAGATGAGTCTTAATTTAGATGAGGCATTATTAAAAGAGGGAAGGTGTCAAAGGTATGAAGAACATACTTGAGGAAATTCTCAAAGACAGACTTTAATATAGAGAATGCAATACACTCAGGAAATAATCATCTGACCATTAATTTTAATAAATACTACTTTTAGTAGACTGTTATGCAGTAAAATGGGACAATAGTGGTCATAGACTGTTAATAAGGATTAAATTAAGTGATCAATTAAGTGACAATAATTAATTAATAATCATATGAAATAATTGATTATTAATAATTATTGTCACTTAATTGATCACTTACTTTAATTCTTCCTAATAGTCTATCACCACTATTCTCCCATTTTACTGATGATGAACTTGAAACACAGAGATTAAGTAATTTAACACGTATAGATGGGCGGAACTACAAATATAATGCTGATTGTATTTTCAATAGCCACACCAGTGTTTCCCAACATTTTTTACAACACGCAGAACATGATAACATTTGTGAGTCAACCAGGGTGAATGGACAACACACCCAAGACCTCAAAACTGCCCTCTAAGCTAACAGGAATCAAGATCTTGGCACAGCAATAACTTATTTGTGGCAAAACCCACAGCTTATTAGCTGTTAAACTCTGTACGATGCCACTGTGGTTGTATGTCAGAGATTCGTGGAAAATATGCCTGAATAGGTAAGGTAAACTCAAATTGTACAAGCTCATATGAAAAGAAGGTGAAGCAATTTGGGTTTATATGATTGGTGATAGAGTTCTTGAAGAGTGGCAGTATATTAAGAGGATCTAAATAACTGCATATCTTAAGAATGATTTCCTGATGGAAGGAACACAGTCTTAAAGATACTTTGTGTATCTGTTGACAATTCAAAACCACTAGAGAAATTGCTGTGGGGATGAAAAGGAAGAAGATATGAAAGACACTGAGATGTCTGATTTTCTTTGCATATAGCAAAAACCAAGAAACTGTGCAGGAATGAAATGACTATTGAGTGAAAGAGTTTAATAATTTCCAGCGTTGCATAACACTATGGCCCTCACAAAGATTTTTTTTTTTTTTTTAGTGATGAGTTTAAAAAAAAACTTATGAAGAAAAAAATATGATTCTACCAGTGCCAGGAAACCTTGGCAAAGGATGGGGGCAGGGAGCACTAAAGACCATTTTAAGATATGTAAGACCCAAAAAAGACCCCTACTTTTCTTAAAACTCAAACATTAAAGCAAGAGATGTGAAGCACACACACACACACACACACACACCAAAATCTAAAATTTAATTTGCTGCATAGCGTTATGTGGTCTGCTATTCACAGATAGCTAGAAATAATGTAAAAGTAAGAGTTTATTCAGTCATAAATGGTAAAAGTCTCAACATATGCTGACTGGATTGCAAGCAGACTGGTAAAATACTAAAATGCCAGTAAAATCTGTGAATTCAGCTTGTATGTAGCTGTCACTAGGTGACAGATACCAATGTGGATCACCAATAATTTTATAGAATCATTCAGTTCCCAAGCCCCAACTTCCCATCAGGTAAAAATGTACCAAAATTACGAATATTTTGCCATGCAATTTTATTACATTATTGAAATCAATTTCTCTACACAATTATTCGGCTGGAAAGGCATATTTATGTTTTCATTGCTGTTTCCATTTATAATTCAGCGATTGTGATTTGTGTGAAGTATATCAATTTAGGAATTATTTAATTCTTTCTTTAATGGCACGATCACATTATTTTTTATTTCTAGTAGATATTTGAAGTTGATATTTAGCTTTTAAATTTATTTAGAACAATCTCAACATGATTTGAAAAGACTCTTGAGGTCCAACTTGAGCCAGATAATTTGGAAAAATTTCAAAATGCTAAAAATATATAAAAATAAATCATGTGAAATGGGAATGAAAAATGAACCAAGTTTTTGATTTTCCCTATGGGAAATAACCTTAATTTTATGAGAAAATGATGTTGTTAGTGGTGCTTCAGGTAGTAGTTTTAGCAGAAATTTTTAAAAAGGACTTTATGAGACATAAGAAGCTGGACGATAGTAAACTGGTCAGGTCACTTTGAACTCAGTAACCAGCAAGGTCTCTGTTTAAAGCAGTTTATGAATAAATTACTTTTTCAATGTCAATGAAAAAATCAGAGCTGCAAAATCTTTTTGGTGCCTGTAGAGCATTTGACACAATCTTTTTTTAGTGATGAATTTATCTGATAGCATTACCTGCAGTTTTTTTTTTTTTTTTCAAATAAGACATTTTGTTCATGGAAGCAACAGGAATTAATGCCAGGCCAAGTGGGGTTTTCGTTTTTATTGTGTGTTTCTCTGTGTACTTTTACTTCAGTTTTATTGTTAATTGCAGAGGTTAGAGTGATTTATTTTGTAAAATTTGTTTTTATTATTGTCAATAATATTCATACATTGTCTTTAACTCAGAATCACGTGTGTGCTTTAAGACAGAGATCTATGACCATTTTCTGAAAGGGTCAGATTGTAAATATTGAATTGAATCATTTACCAGATAGTAAATGTTTTAGTTTCTGCAGCCAGATGGTCTCTGCAGCAACTACTCAACTCTGCTGTTACTCTGCAAACACAGCTCTAAACAATAGATAAACCAGTGGGTGAGACTGTGTTCCCATAAGACTTTATTGATTAAAAATATTCAGTGAACAGAATTGGGTGTTAGTTTACTGACCCCCGGTTGAAGAGATTTTCTTTTTGTGGAGGCAGGAGATGGATGTCCAAGGAGTTAAGAAATATCAAACTCTTATTGTCTATAATTTATTAGATTTTAGTGGCTCCAAAAATAAATATTACAACTTAATTAGGTGTTAGAGAAGCCTCTATTTACTTTTCCTGGCTGCTTTTGTAATAAGTCATATTTTGTTGACTGAATTCAATTCTATTCAATTTACATCTACTGAGCATCTATGCTATGACACTAAACTGGCAACAAGCATGACACAAAGTGTAACAAGTCCAGTTTCTGAGGCCTAGGTTTGGAGAGAAGCTATTTCAGGTTTTTATATTAAAAATAGGCACTCAGATAATTTTTAATTTTCCCTTAACATATTGGCCTTTCATATGTGGTGCTATACCCAATGTGGCTGCTTCCTAAGTCAGTTCAGGGGGAAGGGGACATTAATACGGACCTTCCCTGTGTTCTCATCCCAGCACTTCCACCCCGGGACTTTAGATGGCAGTGTTCCTTTTTGCTCACTTTATTTTTACTTAAGAAATTCGTTCAAAATCCTGGTGTAGTCTGCCATACTGTTTTACTTTGAGGTCTCTGGCAATGTTGGGTTTCAGTTCCTGTATCTTTCTGCACTATCTGAGTGAGCAGCCATTTCATTTCCCCTGGGGAGAGAGCAGATATATCTGTATCTATATATACTTTATACACTTTAAAGGAAAGAACAGTAGCAGTGATTCATACATTCTTCCAGCCTGCCATTGTGACTCAGCTCAAAAAAAGCAATTATGTAGATTTTTTTAAAAAGTTTAAATGTTACATTGCACATTTATGTTGCATTTTGTAAAATTTTGTTTTAGATTCAGGAGCTTCCTGTGAAGGTTTGTTACATGGGTGTATTGCATGCTGCTGAGGTTTGGGCTTCTAAAGTTCCCATCACCTAAGTAGTGAACAAAGGACTTCATAGGTAGTTTTTCAAACTTTACTTCCCACCACCCTCCCCCGCTTCAACAATCTCCAGTGTTTATTTCCATCTTTGTGTCCCTCTGTACATAATATTTAGCTCCTACTTATAAGTGAGAATATGCAGTATTTGTTTTTCTGCTTCTGTGTTAATTCACTTAGGATAAGGGCCTCCAGCTGTATCCATGTTGCTGCAAGAGACATGATTTCATTCTTTTTATGGCTGCATAGTATTCCATGGCGTAAATGTGCCACATTTTCTTTATGCAGTCCACCACTGATGGGCATCTGGATTGGTTCTATGTCTTTGCCATGGTGAATAGTGCTGCAGTAAACATATGAGTGTATATATTTAACAGATTTAAAGCAACATTTCTAATGAAATTTATTAGCCATGTCTAACTGCTGGTTACATCATTCAGATTATTAAAGGGCTGAGATTTGAATTCACCAGCTAAAGTTATGGGAGACTTGTCTCATCCAAAGAGAAAAATAAATTGCTTTTTAAAATCTGAATATGAGATAAAATGATTTCAGACCATAAATCTGTGAAACTAGAATTCATAGTAGTTCAGAAACAAATTCAACTCAATTCATTGGTAGATGTATTTATTAGCATTTTTAAACAATAGGATTTTCTGTACTCAAATTTTATGTAACCAGTGATTTTTGTGATTTTTTTTAGACAATGATGATTATTGACAGTTTAGACCATTTGTTGTAACCAAATAGGTGTGCTTCTTCCTAAGAACATATCTGTAATATTTTCAAGCTAAGACTTCTTGTATTAACTTTATTCCTTCATTATACTTTAAAATTTTTGAGAATTTTTCCACATTGGTAAGATACCATATTTAATAAATTACATGCCATGGTCTGATATTATCAAAGTAACACAATAAAGTTTACCAAATGATAATATTCCTTAGAATACTTAAAACTCATAACTTTTATATATGAAAGCCCATAGATAGTATCCTGTTAAATAGATTAAATTGGGGACATAGCACGATAGTGGTGCTATTAAAATTGACTTCCATGTATGAATTAAATGACAGTGCATTGTTGATGTGCTGGTGTGTAAGGCACAACTTATTACATGATTTGAGTCCAGCAATGACCATAAAAGTAAAAGTCAATTAATATAGGTTGAGTATTCCTTTTCCAAAATGGCTGGTGCTAGAAGTGTTTCCAATTTCAATTTTGGGAGGATTTTGGAATATTTGCACATACATAATGAGATATTTTGGGTAGGACTAGAAGTGTGTTGGATTGGGGACTTTTTTTTTGATTTGGCAATATTTGCACATACATAACGAGATATCCTGGAGATTCAACCCAGTCTAAACACAGAATTCATTTATGTTTCATATACGCTTTGTACACATAGCCTGAAGGTAATTTTACTTTTCCCTTCAAGGTAGTGAATAAACTTTGGGTTGTGCACCTATGTTTTGACTAAATGGAATTTTCTACTCACAGCATTATGTTGGTGCTCAAAAAGTTTTGGATTTTGGAGCATTTCAGATTTAGGATTTTCAGGTTAGGAATGCTCAATCCGTATTGATCATAGATTTGGTTCTAGCATCAAAGTTGGAGTAAAATGTCCATGTGTTCTAAATCTTAGGTTGCGGTTTATAATAGCCCTAGTATAAGCAAGGGCAGAAATAACACAGGCGAGAAATGTTCTCTGGGAGATCTCATACTGGCTGCTGTGTCTTTCTGCAGAATCTGTCACTGCGAAGGGGATGAAGAGAGCCCCCTCATCACACCCTGTCGCTGCACTGGGACACTGCGCTTTGTCCACCAGTCCTGCCTCCACCAGTGGATAAAGAGCTCAGATACACGCTGCTGTGAGCTCTGCAAGTATGACTTCATAATGGAGACCAAGCTCAAACCCCTCCGGAAGGTACAGTATCCATAGGAATTGGTTTGGGAGGGACCATTTGCAAAGCAGACTTGTTTTAGAAATCTATTTCCTTTGCCAATACGATTCTCCTAATATGCTAATATCCATTAAGGGTATGTGTCTTGTGTTGAGCTCAGTGCACAAAATTTATCTAAGTGTTTGCAGATAATCCTTCCTTTCTTCTATGTTTTATATTCTAGAGCTTCTGATTGATATATTACTTTCAATGCTTTTTTAAAAGTCAGTGTGTGCACGTAATAGATATAAACATATATATGTATATGCATGCAAAATGCACTTGTAATTCAATGTAATTGAATTGATGAGAACTATGATAGCATTGTGCTTACGGAAGCCAGTTCTCAAGAAGGTTACATGATACATTGCCTTAAACAACATCAACTCATCAAATTTCTTACAAGTTATTTATTAGGTAATAGAAGAGAATGATTTCTTCTATAAAGTGTGTACTATTTATGTTTGCTTTTATTTGGGAATTGGTTTAATGGCACATGTGTAATTAGAGTAGGTAGAAATAAAAAGTACTATTTTCCATATTGTGCATCAGGCTGTAAGAGAGAGGTAAGTGTATTTTGTATCTGTAATGTTTGTCTTCAAATTCCTCATTTATGTTATATTTTTCTGAAGAAGAAAGGTAAGACTGTGAGTCAGATACAAAGTTAGTGTCTCACTCAAAGCCACCGAAGAACAGCTTGTAAACAATACAAACAAGGACAATGAACTTATACAATTCATGTTTGATAGCTGGACTTCTGGATTTTAGCATGTAACTTATTTATCTTTTTGCCTAACTGTAGCCTTACATATATGGCTGCCTCAGTTTCCAAGGGAGAGTATGAAGACCACAGTTTAAATAATGAATCATCCCAGAGTTGCTTTTTTTATTTAAATTGAATGCAAAGCAAAAGTTATAGGACATTGCCTGGAAAGAAACACAACGAGTTCCAGAATGAGCAGAGTTGAAATGCAAATAAGAATATTCTAGCACATATCTGATTGCTGGCTGACCATTGCAATTCTTCATTAATTCTGTAAATTGTGGAGGGAGAGAATCACATTCCTTGCTTTTGTGGTAGCCTCAATTTTTAAAATCTGCAAATGGTTTATAGCTATCAAAAATAATGCATAAAATTCCTTTAGGATATGTGTGGTCTTTTTTTAACAATGGGGTAACCTGAGTGCTGCAGGGTAACCCTGTTTTTCTAGGGCCCAGAGGTGTCAATGCCAGAAATAGAAATGGACCCTGATTCCTTGTCCTTTGCTTCATCCGCTGGACAGATGCTGAGCATTGTCTGCAGTAGTTAAATGGCACATTGTACTCCACGATTTTCCAAATGTTTTTTCTTAGTTCTCAGGGAACTACAAATTATTTCATAGAATCTATATATTTCTTCATTTTTTTTCTCATGCTAAATTTACATAAAATTTTCATTTCAACTTTGTCAAATACAGTATTTTAATTTGAGGGCCACGATCTAGGATAATAACATATTCTAATTTTCTCTTCTTTACCATATCTATCACCACTACTCATTTTTGTTTAATTAAAAAACATGCTGCTGAGAAGAAACTTGAAAAGTCTTTTTATTCCACCGCCAGCTTTTGTAGTATCTAGTATACCCTGTCAATACAACTTTCATCCTTTGTTAATATTCCATTCTCAATAATTTACAACTCTCTTAGGAAATCTTATTTTTTTCCTCAACAAACACACTTATAAACCAGAGAAAGGCAGCAAATATGTCTATCTTTTTAAATATTCATGATAATGGACCAGGCACGGTGGCTTACACCTGGAATCTCAGCACTTTGGGAGGCTGAGGCAGGCGTATCCCTTGAGCCCAGGAGTTTGAGACCAACCTGGGCAACAAAGTGAAATCTTGTCTCTACAAAAAAGTTAAAAAAAAAAAATTAACCTGGCATGGTAGCACAAACCTGTAGTTCCAGCTACTCAAGAGGCTGAGGAAGGAGGATCCCTTGAGCCTAGGATTTCAAGGTTCCAGTGAGCTTTGATTGCACCACTGCAGTCAAGCCTGAGTGACAGAGCCATACTTTGTCTCCAAAAAAAAAAAAAACACACAAAAAACAAAAATTCATGATAATGAATGTGTCACAGCAACCTAGTGGGCACCTATGTACCTACTATCTGTTGATGAATATCCTAGTTTCTTCTAAAAATATCTTCTTTGATTAATTTGAATAAATTGAATACTTTTATTGATTATTAATATATCAATATATTAAGCATTGATGAAGGACAGCATTTCTACATTCTTTATTTTTAATAGCACTTATATATGTATAGGGGTGTTGGAATCTGATCCAGAGGTTGCTTCCCCAGCACCCACAGATGTGTTTTATTTGAGCCATGGGGCTTAAAATTATAATTTTAGTTACCAACATTTCAACATGTAATTATTTCATGTGCAACTCCATCCATGTGAATTTGTTTGAAAAATCACAGTATCTGGCTTTACTGGAACCACATTCCCATATGACAACAACCAGTGGAGCCAAGTGGTATCTAGCCACTTTAAAAAGGGACTTGCTTTCAAATTCGTCACAGATCTCAGCCTTCCCTCTCTTTCTGATCCTGAGTCCTTGTGCCATCTCCACTCATCTGTGTACCTCTGTGGCACTTGTGTAGGGATCTGAATCTTCAACTTCTTTTCTAACACATGAGTCCTAGACATGAGGAACGTGCATTCAGTTCCTCCCTCCATGATGCATAGGCTTTAAAAACCTAGAGAAAGTATTCCAACGTCTCACTTTCTCCTTTAAAAATATGAGGCACTGGAATAATACTTAAGAGGCAGTAATCATAATGATGACCTTCTCAGTCATCAACCTGAGTCATCACATTCTGAGGTGACACAAACTATACAGATATGAGGCATTTTAAAACTGTTCTAGTTGGGCTATTTTGATGGCACTAAGATTCATCAATAGTTTTTTTTTTGTAGTTTTTAAACAGTTATAGAGAATGCTAGCTATAGCATTTGGTTAGAATATATTTGAAGTACATCCAATTAATTGCCTTCAACTTGGTAATTCCATTACAGTTTATAACATTCTAAAGAACAACCCACATGAAACAATTAATTTAGCTAATGATGTTGAATTTCTCCAATTAGCCAATGCAGGCAGGAGATTCTGTTTAGATGAAATGATTTCTTAAAGTAGTAAGGTATAATTCTGCATAGAAAGGTGCAAATCTTCATAGACAAACCTTGGGGCTTAATGGTTAGTTTCTAAAGATATCAGCAAAATGTTACCTCATTAATTGCAACTCTTACTCCACCAAAATCTAGTTAGTAAATTCATCAAGGTATCTTAATGTTTCCAGAAGACAATCTTTAAAGTGAATATAAAATCAAGCGCTTATCCAAGGAAAAGCAATTTTCATCATCTTTAAGTCAGTAGCCCAGCTACCTTTGGAATACTTAATAAAAGTCTCATTAATCTGCTAAGTTAACCAAGGTCAGAAATAATTCTGAGGGCCCAGAAAAGTCAAAATGTCACACATAAAGAAAGCATAGTGACTACTCAGTGCAATTGGAAGTGCACTCAAGATCAACTAGGAAGCATAAACTAATTTCCTATTCTGAAGCTGAAGAATTGCATGGAGTTCAGATCTGAGTTACTCCTGACTGGGCGAAACCAACTGTTAAATATGAAACCAAGTTTATGAGGATAGCAAATACTACTGACAACTATCTATCTCCCCTAATATATTTTTTCTGTAATACTCTATATAGAAACTATTTGACAAATGTACAATACAGGATATGTAACTCCATGCATCTTTTTGTCCCTTGCCTCATTTGTACAAATAAAATAAGATAATGAATAAATTATCTTTGCTTTAGTAATGCTTATGTTGAGCCATATGCACCATTTTTGTAGATCAAAAATAGTGAAAATTGGAAAGTTCATAGAATATAAGTTCTGTGTGAATTAACTGTCAAATGAAAAAGAGTAGTCATCTTGGTATTTCTACTTTTCCACTATAATTATTTACAGTGCTGTAGTTGACATGCCTATTTTTAGAAATGAAGAACTGTCTTTAACAAACACTGTTAATTCCTTCCTTGCCTTAATTTGATGTAGCATTCATCTTTCAAAAGAGCCAAGTGCTGGTACAAGTTACCATAGCAGGTTAACTGCCCCAAACTTGTTATTGATTATTTGATGATCCGGATGTCTTATCATTAATAGCCTTAAAATTGAAGAGAAAAAGGGATAAGGCCAGATTCCTAGCTAGAATCTTCCTGCACCCTTTGAATGATGTTGCCTAATGACAAAAATAAATTCAAAATGCATAATTTTCTTACCATTAAGGGGAATTTGCTATTTCACTGATATGACCACCACATACTGAATTCCTTCTATGGGCCAAATATTTAGCATATATCATTTAACTAATTCAATTTTCATTACAATCCTATTTTATGTAGGCATATCAAGACCCTTTTGCAGAGGAGAAAAATAAAATATCATATCAAAATCATTCAATATCACACAACTCAAAGCTCCCTGATTCTAAAGCATGTGCTCATTGCACTGTGCCACTCTACCGCCAAATAGCTGAGACATTCTCTCTTTAAACATCAAAACTTTAATACTGGCCGGGCGCGGTGGCTCACGCCTGTAATCCCAGCACTTTGGGAGGCCGAGGCGGGTGGATCATGAGGTCAGGAGATCGAGACCATCCTGGCTAACAAGGTGAAACCCCGTCTCTACTAAAAATACAAAAAATTAGCCGGGCGCGGTGGCGGGCGCCTGTAGTCCCAGCTACTCGGGAGGCTGAGGCAGGAGAATGGCGTGAACCCGGGAAGCGGAGCTTGCAGTGAGCCGAGATTGCGCCACTGCAGTCCGCAGTCCGACCTGGGCGACAGAGCGAGACTCCGTCTCAAAAAAAAAAAAAAACTTTAATACTTACTTAAATCATTCCTGATGGAAATCTTTTAAAACAAGTCATTCTAAAACAAAAATTTTTCTGAAGTCTTCTTTCTTAAACAATAATATTTTACCCAATATATTTTCCTAATACCTCAAGTATATCATTATATGCACACCAATTATTTTTCAGGCTGAAAACATTAACAACTTCTATATCTTGAAATACATATAAGGCTGTTTATCTCCATTCTGCTTTCTACATCCTGCTATGTTTTAAAAGCCTTTCTATCTGGGTTTGTTGTTTCTCTTTGTTCTCTGTTCTCAGAGCATCAGCTGTCATTTCTGTTTCTCCAATAGTCCTTATTCAACATTTAATGTAGCTACTCCTTTTCTGCTTTAAACAACATCAACACCAAAAGAGTTAGGGCTTATAAAAATGTGTCTACAGGGCCAGGTGCGGTGGCTCACACCTGTAATCCCAGCACTTTGGGAGGCCGAGGCGGGCGGATCACGAGGTCAGGAGACCGAGACCAGCCTGGCCACCATGGTGAAACCCCATCTTTACTAAAAATACAAAAAATTACCTGGGTGTGGTGGTGAGTGGCTGTAATCCCAGCTACTTGGGAGGCTGAGGCAGGAAAATTGGTTGAACCTGGGAGGTGGAGGTTGCAGTGAGCCAAGATCATGCCATTGCACTGCAGCCTGGGTGACAGAGCAAGACTCCGTCTCAAATAAATAAATAAATAAATAAATAAATAAATAATAAATAAGGCTCTACAAAAGACAATTCTGGATGAACTTCTGTTCTTTTGATCATTGGCAAGAGTTTTAGTGCACATGGACATTCTGAAATCATTCTATGGTTCTTTGAGTTCTCTTTGGCATTCTTTTTAATTAATTCTCAATTTTACTTAAAGTACTTGGGATTACATGATAAGAAAGCCCTCAGCAATGAAGTTTTGATGTCTTCAGGCTATTTCCCTATCATAGGAACCCAATTCTGTGAGGTAGATTTGCTATTCCATTTATTCACAAATGTATAAGACTGAAAGCAATGAAAATTTCTCCCGTAGTATAGCTCAAACACAGCTTTCCTATAATGCTTGCAAAAAAAAATTCATACTCACAATTCACAATGCATATTCATTCCGTTCTATTATTATGTGAAGCCTAAGGGAAGTCTAAGTGACTGAGAACACTCTAGGGAAATGATTTTGTTTTCAAACTTAAATTCTTCAAATGAGCCAGATAAGTTTTTCACAACAAATTTCTCATTGTCCAGTGGTGGTACTGTCTGCAGTCAAATGCCCTTCCCTTTACTTTCTCACTGCTTCATTCATTAAGAAGGAGGAGTCTAGTATGCTACTTAGGTGTTTGCTATGGGAAAAGACAAAATAAGTAGACTACAAAATAACAAAAAATTATTAAAAGAAAAATATTTCAACTTGATTGCAGCATTAATCTTTTTTACTAATTTTTTGTCTTTGTTTTGTTTTTATTTGTTTTATTTCCTAAACTCTTAGAAGTGCAATTCTTGCTCTTAGAAGTACAATTGATATTTCAACTAAAATAATATTGCAGTGTGAATAGATTACAATGCCAACATGTATCAAATAATTATGAGATGAAAAGTATAAGTGTCTCCTGATTTATTCTAATAGAACTTGGGATTTATCACATGGATTTTATCTTTTGCCTTTAAATAAAATACTAGTAGGTCAATTAGTCTTTTGAAATGTCAAAGAAATTCACCTGAGATTGGTATTATAGAGTAGGTTGTTCAGATAGAAATATTCTTCTCTAGGCAGCAAAAGAGCTTATTCTTTTGGGAAGCATCCATCCGTAAACATAGTTCTCCCTCTAGTCAGAGTTCAGTTCACATCACCAGCAAACTATGTTCTGAATGATTGTTCTGAGAGACCTCCAATCATGCCCAGTTTATTAAATTCTCTCAACTTACTGTATTATATACCATATACCAGTCATGTGCAGTAGTGAACAAGATAGAATAAAACCCTACCCTTGGGGAGCATATAGTCTACTGCAGAAGGATGGAACAAGATGAAAGAATTTTCTGTAACTGCAGAGGAAATGGTACAGGCAATTCAAAGAGAGAGCTGGACACCATCATGTGCTTGGTCTTTGTAAGACAATTCATATCTAAAGATATACAAAACAAAAATAAAGCCAAAAACTTTATAAACACATAGAAAAATTAATGTTTCTCTCTTTTGTTCTCCATGCTTCACAAAACCAAGGCTAATCAAAAAATGTTACTTAGCAGTTAAATATCCAGGACACTACTGGGGAGAGAATTGGGAATACGGAGCAGGATTTGATACAGGCTGTCACAAAGTAGCTTTAAATAAACAACTGCTGAATAATAATTGTTGGCTGGATAGATTAAATAGAACTTTTTTTAGTACTTCCTTATTAGTGGATTGATACACTACTTTAATTCTGTTAATTCTGTTTCTTTCTTTGAAAATGATTGCTGGGAAAACATAACCTCACTTGCTTAGTAAGAATGTCACCTTGTGTTGCTATTACAGATATAATAGGAAATGCTTAACTGTAAAAGGATACAGATCCACTCCTGAGAAAATCCATTTTTTATTTTAACAAGAACTAAGAATACACAAGAACTAAGAATACACAAAATGGAGCTTCTTTTATTCTGGTTTTTGAAACATAAACTATGTTTAAAATGATGGAGTCAATATTCCAATGATCTATATGGAAAGCATAAAAAAACATCAAGTTAGAGTGTGCAGAAGTCAGAAGCATACACACACACACACACTTACAACTAAAGATTTCCCCAAAGCATCATCTTATGATTGAGTTTTAAATTAATTTCATATTTAAATTTTTATTAAGTTAAATATATTTCTCTCTCAGCTGTGGGGATGTTTTTCTTAATTTAAGGAAGTTCAAAATGCAATTGAAAGCTATATTAATAACCAAGCAGAAGAAAGAATTTCAGAGCTTGAATACTGGTCTTTTGAACTCACCCAGTTAGACAAAAATAAGGAAAAATAATGTGTAAAAGTGAACAAAGTGTTCATGAAATATAAAATTATGTAAAGCAACCAAACCTACAAATTAGTGGCATTCCTGAGAGAGAAGGAGGGATGTAAACAACCTAGAAAACATAATTTAGGAAATAATTCAAGAAAATTCCCCTAATCTTGCTAGAGGGGTAGACATCCAGATACAAGAAATTCAGAGAACACCTGCAAGATACTATCAAAATGAATATCACTGAGGCATGTAGTGACCAGACTGTCCAAAGTCAACATGAAATTTAAAATCTTAAAGGCAGCTAGAGAAAAAGGTCAGATTACATACAAAAGATAACTCCATTAGGCTAACAGTGGACTTCTCAGAAGGAATCCTACATGCCAGGGGATATCAGAGGCCCATTTTCAGCATTCTTAAACAAAAGAAATTTCAATCAAGAAGTTTATAACCCACCAAACTAAACTTCACAAGCAAAGGACAAATAAAATATTTTCCAAACAAGCAAGCACTAAGGGAATTTGTTACCACTAGACCAGTCTTATAAGTGATCCTTAAGGGAGTTCTAAACATAGAAACAAAAGAACAATACCTGATACCACAAAGCCACACCTAAGTACGTAGTCCTACAAAGCAGCCCTACAAAACAGACCCTATAAAGCAACCACACAATAGAAACTACAAAGCAACCAGCTAACCATCTCATGATAGGATCAAAACCTCACAAATCAACATTAACCTTGAATGTAAATGGTCTAAATGCCCCACTTAAAAGGCAAGTTGTATTTAAAAAAAAGGAAAAAAGAAAACACACTCATTTGTCTGCTTTCTTCAAGAGACCCATCTCACATGTAACGACATACATAGGCTCAAAATAAATGGCTGGAAAATTATCTACCATGCAAATGGAAAACAGAAAAGATGATGGGTCACTATTTTTATATCAGATAAAACAGACTTTAAACCAATAGTTAAAAAAAAACAGTAAAAATGGACAAAGAAGGATATTACATAATAATAAAGAGTTCATTTCAACAACAAGATTTAACCATCCTAAATATATACGTTCCCAACATTGAAGCACCCAGATTCATAAAAAAAGTACTTGTAGATCTAAGAAAAGACTTAGCCACACAATAATAGTGTGTGCCTATGTCAGTGGGCAACACCCCACTGACAACATTAGACAGATAATTGAGGCAGAAAATTAACAAATTCTGGACTTACATTTGACACTTGACCAATTGGACCAAATAGACATCTACAGAGCACTCTATTCATCAACCACAGAATACACATTTCTTCTCATATACACACAGAACATACTCTAAGATCAACTACATGCTGAGCCATAAAGCAGAAGTCTCAATAAACTCAAAAAAATCTAAATCATACCAACCGTACTATTGAACCATGGTGAAATAAAAATAGAAATCTATATCAAGAAGATTTCTCAAAACCAAACAATTACATGGAAATTAAACAACTTAATCCTAAATGACTTTTGAGTAAACAATTACATTAAGGCAGAAATCAAAAGTTCTTTGAAATAAATGAAAACAGAGACACAAAATATCTTGATCTCTGGGATGCAGCAAAGGCAGTGTTAAAAGGAAAGTTTATAGTGCTAAACACCTACATCAAAAAATTAGGAAGATCTCAAATTAACAATCTAACATCACACCTACAGAAACTAGAAAAACAAGAACAAACTAACCTTAAAGCTAGAAGAAGAAAAAAAACTAAAATTAGAGCAGACCTAAATGAAATTAAGAACCAAAAAAAGCATACAAAAAATCAATGCAACAAAAAGTTCGCTCTTTGAAAAGAAAAACAAGGTCAATAGGCCACTAACTAGATTAACAAGGGAAAAGACAGATCCAAATAAGCACAATCAGAAACAACAAAGGTGACATTACAACCGATCTCCCAGAAATATAAAAGATGTCCAAAGACTATTATGGACACCTCTGTGCACACAAACTAGAAAATCTAGAGGTAAAAGATAAATTTCTGGAAACATGCAATCTCCAAAGATTGAATCAGAAAGAAATGGAAACCCTGAACAGATCAATATCAAGTTCTGAAATTGAATCAGTAATAAAAAAAAAAAATTTAAAAAGCCCCAAACCAGATGGATTTACAGCTAAATTATACCAGCTATACAAAGAAGAGCTGGTCCCAATTCTACTGAAAATATCCCCAAAAATCGAGGAGGGACTCCTCTCCAACTCATTCTATGAAGCCAGCATCACTCTGATAACAACCCTGGCCAAGACACAACAAAAAAGAAAACTACAGCCCAGCAACCCTGATGAACATAGATGCAAAAAATCCTCAAAAAAATTAGCAAACTAAATGCAACAGATATCAAAAACCTAATTCACTATGATCAAGTAGACTTCATTCCTGGGATGCAAGATTGGTTCAACATACACAAATCAGTAAATTTGATTCACCACATAGACAAAGTTAAAAACAAAAACCATATGGTCATCTCAATAGATGCAGAAAAAGCTTTCAATGAAGGAAGCTTTTCAATGAAGTCCAGCATTCCTTCATGATAAAAACCCTCAACAAACTAGTCTTAAAAGGGACATATCTCAAAATAATAAGAGCCATCTACATCTAAAGAGCCCTACAAACCCACAGTCAACATCATACTTAATGGACAAAAGCTGGATGCAGTCTGCTTGAGAACTGGAGCAAGAAAAGGATGCTTACTCTCACCGCTCCTATTCAACATAGTACTGGAAGTGATAGCCATAGCAATCAGGCAAGATCACGTCAAGGAGAACTACAAACCACTGCTCAATGAAATAAAAGAGGATACAAACAAATGGAAGAACATTCCATGCTCATGGGTAGGAAGAATCAATATTGTGAAAATGGCCATACTGCCCAAGGTAATTTATAGATTCAATGCCATCCCCATCAAGCTACCAATGACTTTCTTCACAGAATTGGAAAAAACTACTTTAAAGTTCATATGGAACCAAAAAAGAGCCCGCATCGCCAAGTCAATCCTAAGCCAAAAGAACGAAGCTGGAGGCATCACACTACCTGACTTCTAACTATACTACAAGGCTACATTAACCAAAACAGCATGGTACTGGTACCAAAACAGAGATATAGATCAATGGAACAGAACAGAGCCCTCAGAAATAACACCGCATATCTACAACTATCTGATCTTTGACAAACCTGAGAAAAACAAGCAATGGGGAAAGGATTCCCTATTTAATCAATGGTGCTGGGAAAACTGGCTAGCCATATGTAGAAAGCTGAAACTGGATCCCTTCCTTACACCTTATACAAAAATCAATTCAAGATGGATTAAAGACTTAAACGTTAGACCTAAAACCATAAAAACCCTAGAAGAAAACCTAGGCAATACCATTCAGGACATAGGCACGGGCAAGGACTTCATGTCTAAAACACCAAAAGCAATGGCAACAAAAGCCAAAATTGACAAATGGGATCTAATGAAACTAAAGAGCTTCTGCACAGCAAAAGAAACTACCATCAGAGTGAACAGGCAACCCACAAAAATGGGAGAAAATTTTCGCAACCTAATCATCTGACAAAGGGCTAATATCCAGAATCTACAATGAACTCAAACAAATTTACAAGGAAAAAACAAACAACCCCATCAAAAAGTGGGCGAAGGACATGAACAGACACTTCTCAAAAGAAGACATTTATGCAGCCAAAAAACACATGAAAAAATGCTCACCATCATTGGCCATCAGAGAAATGCAAATCAAAACCACAATGAGATATCATCTCACACCAGTTAGAATGGCAATCATTAAAAAGTCAGGAAACAACAGGTGCTGGAGAGGATGTGGAGAAATAGGAACACTTTTACACTGTTGGTGGGACTGTAAACTAGTTCAACCATTGTGGAAGTCAGTGTGGCGATTCCTCAGGGATCTAGAACTAGAAATACCATTTGACCCAGCCATCCCATTACTGAGTATATACCCAAAGGACTATAAATCATGCTGCTATAAAGACACATGCACACGTATGTTTATTGTGGCACTATTCACAATAGCAAAGACTTGGGACCAACCCAAATGTCCAACAATGATAGACTGGATTAAGAAAATGTGGCACATATACACCATAGAATACTATGCAGCCATAAAAAATGATGAGTTCATGTCCTTTGTAGGGACATGGATGAAGTTGGAAATCATCATTCTCAGTAAACTATCACAAGAACAAAAAACCAAACACCGCGTATTCTCACTCATAGGTGGGAACTGAACAATGAGATCACATGGACACAGGAAGGGGAACATCACACTCTGGGGACTGTTGTGGGGTGGGGGGAGGGGGGAGGGATAGCACTGGGAGATATACCTAATGCTAGATGACGAGTTAGTGGGTGCAGCGCACCAGCATGTCACATGTATACACGTGTAACTAACCTGCACATTGTGCACATGTACCCTAAAACTTAAAGTATAATAATAATAATAATAATAATAATAATAATAAGAGAAAAAGCATCCAAATAGGAAAGGAAGAAGTCAAACTATCTCTCTTTGCTGACAAAATAATTCTAGTCCTACAAAACTCTAATGACTCTCAAAAGGCCTCCTGAAACTGATAAACAACTTCAGTAAAGTGTCAGGATACAAAATCAGTGTAGCAAAATAAGTAACATTTCTAACATGCAAGTGTGAGATTATCAACATTATAATAAGACAGATAGCTGAGAGATTTAATCTCTCCCAAGTCAGCCTCCTTCTGACCTCCTATTTTTCTCTGAATGGCACCATCAGGTAGCTTCTCTTCTGTTGTTTCCCACATGAACACACCACTCATAGCCTAATTATTCCAATGTTATTATCTTTCACATGAGTATTTATTTCAAACTAGACAGCCACAGATAGATGAGAACTGTGAAATACATAGCATGAGAGATTCTAAAATATGTGGGAAATGTAGGGCAGGAGGTAGACAGATGCTGAGCAATGCATACCCAGTATTTTTTCCTCATTCTTGATGGTGAAGAAGTGAGTAATGGGCTAGCTTTGTTATTCTGACAGAGGTCCCTCCACATGGAAACATGAAACAAAGTAAAAACAGGTTTACCTATAACACAACAGTGCTTCTACTATAAGGAATTCCCTCCCGAGGACTTTGTACTCCCTTCCCGTGGCACAAAGACCCCTACACTTAGGGAATGATAAGTATTTTAAAATCATTTTTTAACTAAAATATAAGGAGCATAGCTTAATAAAAAGAAGAAATAATTTCAACACTAAAGGAAAGAGTACTTCTGACTAGGAGGCCAGAAGGTTGGGTTTTAATTCTGGTTCTGCACTTAACCACTTTGAGTCTTGTCTCAGTTTCTTCATCTGTAAAACAAGGAGACTGGTAGCATATCTTTAAAGTTTCTTCCAACTTAAAATCCTGTGATTTTGTGAAAAGCAAGTGAAGAATCAATTTATTTAAAAAAAAAAAAAAAGGAAGAAAGAGACCTAACATTCAAATGCATTTTAAACGTTCAGAAGAATTTTTAAAAGATATAAAGAAAATCCTTCATATCTACAGTAGCTTAAGTGATGAAGGATAGGATGCTGAATAAGAAGGGGAGTCCAAGACCTAAGCGATAAAGAAACAGCCTGTGTCTGAATCTTTCTCATTACCCTTCAAAGCAAACCATGGTGAGAAAAGCAAGAAGGACTCTCTATATATTTTTTTAAATTTAAAAAGTAGGATGAAAATAGTCAAGTTAGAACAGGGAAGAAAATAGAAGAGAGAAAACGAAAATGTTTGAGGGCAGTTAGCATTTAGGAAGCATCCTGAAAAGTGACTGGAAGCCAGATATAAGTACCTTCGCTACACTTACTTTTTTCCTTATAAGTTGTTGGCAAGTGAGTAAAGGCTAAAATAAAGCAAAAGCAAGTGACAGCAAAGCTCTTCTGCAGCCCTGAGGCATACATGAAAGACTTTTGACCCTAAGAAAAGAGGCTGGATGGGCTGAAAACCATTTTCAACTTGGCACAGTGAAAAAACAAACAAACAAACAAAAAACCCCAGTGTAGATTTGAAGTCTGAGCAAATCAGTTTAGTTAACCTAAGAAATATAACTCTGTTTTCTTAAAGGCTAGGTTTTCTGTAAATGTTAGTTCAATACAAAAACTGATATTTTGAAGGAGTATTTTTATCAATAAACAAAGTTAACAAATTTTGGAGCTAGATCCTTTTCTGTGTCTAGGAAATGAATTATTTCCCAAAAGATTGCTGAGAAGAGAGGACTCTGTTCATACAGAAGACCACACAACAGGCAGCTAGGTCTGAAAGACCACACTGAGAGGGCTCCAGTAACATCCACTTACGATTCATCATTTTTACCTTCATTCAGTAAACAAATATTTACTGAGCACCTGCCGTGTGGCCAGTCATTGTACCTGGCCTAAGATTTTAGTAGTGGACAAGACCAGAATCTTCTGACCTCAGAGAATTTACATTCTGGCAGGACAGAGATGGAGGGAGGGAGTTGGAAAATGAGTTAGTCAAAATAATTTGAAACAGACTTGAAAGTGGTATGGGGAATAATTCTAGTAATTCCAGACAGGTCCAATTCCAACTATTAAAGTATGACTCAAGGGAAATTTGTGGGAATTTTTAGCTGAAGAAATCTTCAATTTCAAAGCTGTCTCTCTGTTCCATTAGGGGAACAATTTAATGAAGAAAATTAAGATAAAAAGGTTGTTGACTGTAGGGAACCAGGGCTAGAAAGATGCATAAAGATTACCCTGTCCAAATTGGATGAGGAAAATTACTAACGGTATCTGTAGAGATCTGCTTAGTCCACAGACAATTTACTTTATATCAGGAACCAGATAGGTAATAAAAATGAATGAAGAGATCTTGTTTTATGATGAAAAATAGCAGATAACAGTACTGAGGGATATGGTAAGGAGTGGTGAGGTCTGTGGCATTCTGAAATAGATGTGCCTACTCTCAAGGGGGATGTCCCTACTAAGTTCTAGCTGATTGTTGCCAAAACTATTTTGCAAATGAAGTGAAAATCGCAGATTTAATCTCTTACCATTTTTAAAATAATAGTAACTAATTCAAATTCAAAAACTCTTCAGGCAAAACAAAAGAGGTCTGAAGGCTAGATTCCGTCCCCAGGCCAAGAATGTATAATCTCTGTGAGGTAGAAATGTTCGTATAACTCTGCAAATATTTTCCTAATGGGATACGGTAAAATACAGTGGAAAGAATCTAGATTTAGTGTGTGGAAGAACTGGATTCACCCTCCCCACCATGTAGTTGTTTGGTGGCTTTGGGTGAGTCCAGTAACCTAAGAGTTTTATTTCAAGAAAGGGAAAGGAGGTAGAAGGTTGGCAATAATACCTAGTTTTTCAACTTTTGGGGGTTCCGTTGAATAAAATGATGTCAGTAAAAGTATTTTGTAGAGTCCTAGAAAATAATGATATTATTGTCTCTCCCATCCCTCCATCATCAACACTGTAGCAGATTCACTGTTTTGTTCTTACCAAATCAGTATTTAGCATTGAATCCACTTTAAGGCCAACAAGAGGGTAGCGTGCACATTTTTAAAGAGCTGACTATTTCTCACTATTTCTCAGGCACTAGATGATTGTGGGGGTTCAATGCATTGATTAATTTGCATATCAGTCATTCAGAATGTATGGCCATCCAGATAAGGGTTATGCTGGCTTAAGTTTACAATCTAGATTATCTATAAAGACCTTGCTGAGCAAATTAATAAAGTAAGCACGATTGAGACAGAAAAACAGTTATACCAAAACCTCTTCAGGAGTTCATTTTAAAAAGTTAATAAAAACAAGTAGCCTTGTCTGACATATTTGAACAATATTTATCTTATGCCTACTTTCTAAAGAGTTGTACTAATTGCTCCAGGCGTTCATTTGCATAAGAATGCCTTATAAGAGTAATAAATAATTGTACAATTAATTACAGATAAGTAACTGTAATAAATCATTGTACAGATGCATTCAAATATTTACCTGAAAGACTTCTCTTACAAAGTAATCCAATAGCCTATAATTTTAATCTACTGCATTTGACCAGTGTAGTGATTAAGATCTTGAGCTGTAGAGTCAGCAGCTAGGGTGTGGGTTCTTAAAAGCAGTCATCGTAGCTTTGTAACGTTGGATAAGCTATTCCTCCATTTCCTCCTGCGTAAACGGGGATAATAAGAGTATGTACCCCCTTAGATGGTTCGTAGGAGAGCTGAATAAGATAATGCATGTAAACCACTTAGCATCATATCTGGAACATGATGAGAATAAATATGAACTATTAGTATGTTTACACTATAAGTTAATTTCAGCTTTTTAGCATTTTGATGGTTCTAGAATTTTCGTTCAAAGTGTCTTTGAGATTACAACTGGTTTTCAACGCTGTTTAATCCCCCCTCCCACTTCAAAATATAACCTTATTTAGAATTCAAAGATACAAAAAACTAAAAGGACACAGAGTAGACAGAGACATTACAGCGTGGCTATCGTGACCCAGCTGATTGAACTGTAGCATTCCCAAACAATCTCATGTCAGCAAAACCAAGCTGTGCACATTGAAGCCATCCAGGTTTTACCCTGGAACAGCTTAGAGTGTTGAAATGTGTGTTCCAAAAGACCGTGTACACAGATTGCTATGCAGCATCAACCCTCCACCTTGATGATCCAGTGATAACTATTTGGTTCAAGAACCTTGAAATGGAAGAAGCAGAAGTGAAAAACTCAGCAGTGGCTGACACCAGGAGCACCAAAGCGTACCATTTCAATGAAGGAGGAGAAACCTACTTGGCCCCAACTGCTACAGACAGTCTTTTGAGTGCTGGAATTTAGATGCCTGATGCACCTGATTCACCTTAGTTTTCTGGCACTGAGCAACCTTGAACAACTGTGGCTTCTGTTTGCAGTTCATTGTGGGATTCTTAGCCTCAGGCCCAACAGATATGTCTAGGAGCCTCTGGTCCTCCTTGGACCACTGCTCCCTGTGACAGCCACAGACAAATTTGTGCAACTGTATGCCTTAAATGTGGAAGATGATCCCAGCAGCCTAGATAAATATTCCTTTCCCAAGGTACACTGGCCAAAAAGGGCTGGCTGGCACTGATCTTCAGTATGACTTCAGCCACTCAGCTCCTGAAGAAGGTGCGTGCTCCAAAGACTCATTGTCATAAAGATATTTCATTGTCATAAAGGTATCTCCAGACACCTTTAATAGGTAGGCTCGAGTCTTTTGAAAAAGACTAAGCTCAAGAATTTATTTCTGTAAGAAAAATAATCTCCTGGTTTCCACATAGCCTACATCTTCAGTCTTCCCTAGAGTGTCTCCTCATCCAAATTTCTGAATCAAAGGCACTTATCAAGTGACTTTGGAGAAACAGTAGAAACTAAGATCCCAGCTTAAGTTGATTTCAATGAAACACTCTAACCAAATTTAACCAAATTTGGTTAAAATAAAAAACAAAGAATTATCATTAGTTTTGACTGCATGGATCCCTTGAAAGGGTCTCAGGGTCCCCAGAGGACACTTTCAAAAGCACTGCTCTAGAGTAACAGTTAATTTATTTAATGAATGCCTATTTTATATAGTTATAATGTCTTATATTGATATGTCCAATGTAGCCATACACTTATATTGGGACGTTATGGGAAATGCGAGGGAGAAATGGTATGGCTAAGCATTAAGTCTTCAACAATAATGAGATCAATAGATAAACTGTAATATTAATGAGCCGTCAATAGCAATAGAAGACCATTATATAAAAAGATGGAGGTAAATATCAGGAGGATTATTTAACATATTTGAAAGTGATTATCTTGAGATAATGGGAAAGAAGGGTGCAGAGGAATAGAGCAAGATATTGTCATACAGTGAAATTCTAGATGGTTGTTAAAATGGTACTTTTCCTCTAGGTATATGGCATACGTCTCAAAAAATAAAAATAAAAAAAAAATCAAGTCTTGTGTATTAGTCTGTTTACATGCTGCTGATAAAGACATACCCGAGACTGAGCAATTTACAAAAGAAAGAGGTTTAATGAACTCACAGTTCTACATGACTGGTGAGGTCTCATAATCATTGTGTAAGGTGAAAAGCACATCTCACATGGCGGCAGACAGGAGAAGAGAACTTGTGCAAGGAAACTCCCCTTTATAAAACCATTAGGTCTCATGAGACTTATTCACTATCATGAGAATAGCACAGGAAATACCCACCCCCATGATTCAATTAACTCCCACTGGGTCCCTCCCAAAACACATGGGAATTATGGGAGCTACAATTCAAGATGAGATTTGGGTGAGGACACAGGCAAACCATATCATCTTGGTTCAGTAGGCATAAGGTGGGGCACGAAATTCTGCATTTCTACCATGTTCCCAGTGAACACAGCCAGTGCAGGACTGCGTTTTGTGTAGCATTGACTCAGGGAGAGAATGATTACTAACACATTTTTCAATCATTCTGAAAATATCAAAAAGAAAGCCTCAGTTAGGTGCTAGATGTCATTGGCATAAAGATGGGTTCTTTTTTTTTAATATAGAATTACTCTGCCACACTTCATTTCTTACTGCCCTATTATTTATTTGTGGAAGAGATTTTATTCTTCACTGAATATGCTGTAGCTAGAATTTTTTGTTATTATACTTTAAGTTCTGGGATACACGTGCAGAAAATGCAGCTTTGTTACATGCATATACATGTGCCATGCTGATTTGCTGCACCCATCAAGATGGGTTCTATTTTCTTAGATTAAATTCCTGGTTCATGTGGTCCCTAAGAGTTTGCATGCAAGGTGTGTTGGTGAACCTATTAACTTATAAGGTAGAAGAACGTAGTAAAGCACAAATTATGGCTTTATACTTGTGTGGATTTTCTGCATTCTTATATTGATTTAATGAGAAATTCTAATACTTAGGACTGAATTAGAAGCTGTCCATGATTCTTTCTTTAGCGAATTTCCCAAATAAGCTTATTTTTCTCCCTGGTATATAGTCAGTGAACCATTGTTGATGCTATGTGTGTTCACTTGTCACTTCTAAAGGTACTTCTAGCAAACAAGGCTTTCATTCATCCACTGGTACCCTTTAAACTATTTATAGGCTTAGAGTGATGGTTTGTGCTTCCACCAGACATAAAACCTGATGAGTAACACTGGCCTTTATTGTAGATGGTGGGTCCATCTATTAGGCATCCTATCACCCAGGAGAAAGAAAATAAATGCCAGTTGGAACAAAGACTCTCTTTGTTCTTAGCTTTCATAGTCAACACCACAGTCTGTTAGGTTACCTTGGCCCTGCACAGGTTGGAGCCATCATCGTGTGCAGATTCATACTATCTGAACTCGTGGGACTTTGCCCTAGTGCTTCGCAACTTTGTTGTTACAGAGGCAGTTCCTTTGCTCCTAATATGTGTCCCTCCAGTCCCAATTCACTTCCACAATCTTCAAGTCAGGAAAGACAAAAGCAAAGGGCAGCCCGGACAAACAGTATGTCCCCTGCACTGGGGACCACCTCTGATAACATCCAATGGGTCGCAGCATGCGACAGTGTTGAAAATGAAACTCATACTGCAGTTTAAGCCAAAGAAAAGCATTGCTCTGATTACCTTAAAAGAATCCTTTATAAAAGAAAAATCTAAGCTCTCATTCAAAATTGCTTTATGGTGATTTTTAGAAGCAGGGTATCAAAATTGTGAACTTTGAACAGTGCCACAAAGGGGTGCTTGCTGGGGGAAGGAAACAAGCATGTTCAATAATGTAGGTTTTCAAAAACAGGCTTTGTCTTTGAGGCTTAATACTTTATAGATAAATCTTTCCTCAGCCCCACCGGGATAATTGGACTACAGGGCACATATGTTAACAGGTTTTGTTTTCTATTTAACTAATAACTAGCTTTGTTGTGGTAATCCTTATTTATGCTCATTATTTAAGAATATGCAATAGGAGCAGTGATAATCCCCAGAGAGAAGCTTTGTGGAGACTGCTGGGGAAATCAACAGAATCGGGGTAAGATTTTTCTTAGCAGGATCGACTTTCAGAGAATATGCAAGAACTCCTGGAATCCTTCTGGGGGTGAAGTGCTTTAGAGGAGAGGAGAGCAGACTTTTGAGTGAAACCCACTTTACTCCTGCTCTCCTGTCTGTCTTGCCCACCTAGATTTTTTCATCTTTTCTAACAAGGTTCATGATAAAAAGTGAGAACTAATATTTCATAGGTCAGATAACACTGCCTTGCTGTGGGATTCGTTTTCTTTTAACCTAATTTGGTAGATTGTTTGCAATCTTGACATAACAGAAGAAGGTCCTGTATTGCCATGGATTTCTTGATGCAACTAACCCACGTTGTCAAGGCAACCCACCTCACTGATTTCTCCTGTCTAGAAAACCATTTCCACTGTTGCAAACCTTGTCACAATCATCTTTTAAAACACACAAGGTCAAATATGTCTCCTGTATGCACAAACCTGTTACTTTTTTATAAGATATCATGTCATTACAGTGAAAGAATTTGGCATGAGGGATGTGTATATTAAAGCATTAAAGTTAAAAGAACCCCATAGCATTTATGGCCTGCCTCTGCATTCGCAGGAGATTCAGGGCTGTTTACTACAGGCAGTTATATTTTTTGAAGCTGCAGTCACAATGTTGGCATAGTTTGACAAATTTCTATGTAAATTGATTGCAATCAACAGCTTTCTCATGGTTTGAGGAATTAAGTCACTGAAAAGACGAAGTATTTTCTGAGCTTAATATCACCCACTTGTATATTTTTCTTCTTTTTAAGAGTCGAGGCCCAGTTTAGGGAGTTCCTTCCATGGAAGTGGGGTCACTTCAAAATTCTGTGAGACTCTATGACAGTATCACACTTGAATTCAGAAACTGACATCATGAAAAAAAAAAAGTGTTTCCCCAGAGATCTGCGCTGCTGAGTGGTTGATTTAAAGGAAAATCCCAATGACAGGATAGTAACAAACATCTGACTCTTTTCTGCTGGCTCACTATTAGCAAGAAAACTGGGCTTCCTTAAGATCCTTATTGAAGTTTGAAGATTGAAAGAGCTTTTTAAAACCTAATCCTGGCAATGCACCTGGCAGGCTACATTTAACTTACATGGTAATTTGAAGTAATTCTTAGTCACTCACTCACTGATCTAGGTTTTCAGATAGTTTTTAAAATATTTACAAGACTCTTTTTTCTCTTAAGTTTTTGTTCAGAAACTGATTACATAAAAGGTAGCCACATTTCATTTCATGATTCCTAAAGATTTGAGAACACAAGTATGTGGCCTTAAATAAAGTTTCTGTATGGGTCTTAATGGTTCAGAGCATTTTCATGCTGCACATTTATTAGATAAAACATACCTCAGCTCCTTTCAGCTGCTATTCTTATTTCAATAAATCAAAGAATTTTATCCATATAAAATAGTGCAAATTATCATATCCATTATTGAGGAATTGGCATTATTTTCTTTCCATTATTGTGATTTGACAGATCAGGCATTCAAACGTCAGTCAGTCAACAAAGGCTTTTTGGTTGCCGAGCTCAGCCCTTTCTTGTTGTACCCTCCAAAAATTACTAGCACTCCATCTCAACGCACAAAAGATTTGAGCCTGTTTATAGAAATATGTACCGAACAGTAAGGCGAATGGTTAAGGAGGTTGTGGTAAAAGAGAGTGAAGTGAACTCATAAGGCAAACA
This sequence comes from Homo sapiens, assembly GCF_000001405.40. Lineage (NCBI taxonomy): Eukaryota > Metazoa > Chordata > Mammalia > Primates > Hominidae > Homo > Homo sapiens. The sequence continues at coordinate 163,564,076 of NC_000004.12, read as the reverse complement.
TAAGGACAATGTGTACTCCAGGTCCCGTATGTAGTTAGGTGGGAAGATCATTTGCTTCTAAAACCTTTCACAGCCAAAGCAAAAACAGAAGCTTGGTCAATTAAATTATTTATAGTATATCCATAGAAATGTTTTGGCAAATACAGAGGATATCAGGTCGCTTAGAGCCTAGGGAAATTTGCCTTCTGGGTTATGATTAAGTAAATTCGATAAACGCACAGATTTACCATGACAACTGTATTCTAAGATCCACTATGTTAATGACTACAATATTCGGCCAGAATTCACACATTGCTTAATAGTGCCAAGCATTGTGGTATGTGCATTGTTACATACGTAGCCCCATTTAATCCTGCTGAGAAACATGAAATCGGTATTCTTATCATAGTGTCACAAATGAGAAAACTGAGGCTTAGACAGACTAAATAAATCTTCTGAGGTCTCAGTTTTCACCTGGTGGAGCTGAATTAGTTTCAAATCAATGTGATGTCCAAGTCTATGGTTGTAAGCATGATCTTACGCTGCCACTGTAGTTCAGGGTAGGGAGGGATCATTTCTGCCTGGGTGTATTAGAAAATGCTTCCCAGGGGAGGAGGTAGTTGAAACTGGTTTTGAATGGTGACTAGATGTTTCCCAGTGAGATACAGAGAGTTGAAGCAGTCCTAGGAAAGAAAATAGTACATTTAAACCCGCAGAGGATAAACCATTCAGAAATTCAAAATAGCTGGCTTTGCCAGAGAGAAGGATGACCACAGGCAAGTTTCTTAGCCACCCCTTTCTTATCTAAATAGAGGTAATAATAGGATGTCCACCACAGAAAGGTTGTGAGAATTAAGTTAATAATGTAAAACCATTAATATTAATATTAAGGCAGATAATATTCAAGGTAAAATAGAAAGCAAGTGTCAGATTATAAAGGATGCTTTGCTAAAGAATTTCAACTTTATCCAGAAGGAAATGGAAAGACAGTTACAGGTATTAGATAAGGAATTAATATATTTGTAGTTTTCAAACATCACTCCACAGCAATGTGTGGAGAACGAAGTGTCCAGGTGAGTGAGCCAGGCACAACATTCGAGCTAGAAAAGGAGATGGACTCAATTAAGTAGCAGCTGAGAAGACAGAGTAAAAGCACTTGGCAGGGTTTAGTTCCTGAGCTAAAGTTTAGTTACTGCCAGGGCCGAAGATGAAGGATGCGCTGGAGAAAGTGGTTCATGATACTCAGCTTTCTGACCTGAGTGATGGGGTGAACAGTTTAATTATTAACTGGGAAGAACATAGAAATGTGTAAATCTGGGGAAATAACATAAAAAGTCCCATCAGGACACATGGGTTTGGGATGACTGTGAGCCAACCAGATGAGTGGTAAATCTGAGAAAGGTTGAGTCTGGACTGACAGAAGTGTGAGAAAAGAAGTCATCAGGATGTCTCTAGAAGCCTCAGGCTCAGAGGAGTCAGGAAGAGAGCAATGAGAAAGATTGGGAGAGTGTGATGAGACTGGGGGTGAAGGTGAAGGCCTGGGAACTGAGGGGCAGGGGCAAGTAGAGAAGAGGAGCAAAAGAGAATGAGAAGCAGCAGCCATCAGAGAGGTGCAAAGGACCAATAGAGACTAACACTCTTGAATCAAAATATAAAAAACACGGGAATAGTCAATAGTATCAGGTGCTGCAGACAGGACTGAGAGTAAATATACATTTAGGATGTCATTGGTAATTTTGGCAAGAGTAGTTACAGTGGAGTGTTGGGTTTTGTTTTGTTTTGTTTTGTTTTGTTTTGTTTTTGAGACAGAGTCTGGCTCTGACGCCAGGCTGGAGTGCAGTGGCGCGATCTCTGCTCACTGCAACCTCCACCTCCTGGGTTCCAGCGATTCTCCTGCCCCAGCCTCTGGAGTAGCTGGGATTACAAGCATGGGCCACCACGCCTGGCTAATTTTTGTATTTTTAGTAGAGACGGGGTTTCACCATGTTGGCCAGGCTAGTCTCAAACTCCTGACCTCAGGTGATCTGCCCACCTCGGCCTCCCAAAGTGCTGGAATTACAGGCGTGAGCCACCACTCCTGGCCTGGAGTGTTGTTTTTGATAGCTACATTTCAGAGGGTTGAAGAGTCAAGAAAAGATGAGAAAGGGTTGACATTTGGAGAAAGGTACAATATTCTTTCCAAAATGTTGCCTGTGAAGAAGTAAGCAAGTCAGTAGCTATAGGTGGAGCACAGAACCAAAAGATAGATGTTTTTACTGGAAGATAAACATAAAAGAGTTCTGAAACATCAGTACGATGAGCAAACAATGGAAAACATATAATAGGAAACAGAAAAAAAATTCACAAAATAATACAAATAGTAACTACACAAACAATTATATCCATCCAGGTTCCCAGCATGGATGTGGTTTTATCTTCTTCCTCCATCCTTTTTCACATTTCTTATAAATGTGAAAAAAATGAAAATTTAAACAATAGCTGATACCAATTTTATCCTCTTAAATTGGCATTCAAAACGTGCTAATAGTGAAATAATTTGGTATAATTTTCCTGGAGGGCAATTTGGCTATATATTTGTGTGATAGATGTATTGGCTATATATTTGTGTGATAGATGTATTTCAGAAATCTTGACTATGTATCCAACCTCTCCCTTAAATTTCATTTCTAAGAATTTATCTTAATGAAATAATCACAGATGTGCACAATATTTTGCTACTTAAATTTTGGGCACAGAACTAGCTATAAGAGAGAATACAAAATGTAAAACCTAAAACAATTATACTTTTAGAAGAAGGCATAGAAAAAATTTGTATGACTTTGAGATGGGCAAAAATATCTAGATATGACTGACATCCAAGCAAACAAAAGTTTCTAATTGTAATATAGATAATATAGATTTTAGTTGACCTATATGATATCATGTATGTAGCCATCAAAAATGAAATACATGTACATGATATATTGTTACATTTTAAAGCAGTTATCATTGAAGCATGTTAGTATAATTTTGTTTTTTTATTTAGAAAGAAAACTGTTATTTGACATTTCATTGAAGGTTCTAGCCAGTGCAATAAAGCAAGAAAAACAAATAAAAGCATCTCGATTGGAAAAGATTCAAAAAAGTGGATTTTATGCACAAATGACATGATTATCTATGTAGAAAATATGATGGAATCTACCAAAAAGCTACTAAGACTAAGAAGTGAATTTAGCAAGATTGCAGGATGTAAGCTCAATATATAAAAACCAAATGTATTTCTGTACACTAAAAGCAAACTATTGTAAATTGAAATCTTTAAAAATATTATTTGCAATAGCATTTAAATTATTAGATACTTAGGGATAAATATGACAAAAAATACACAAGACCTGTACCTTGAAATCTACAAAACATTGTTGAGAGAAATTAAAGACCTAAACGAATGTAGATGTCTATTATTGTCATGGGTTGGAAGACTCAATATTGTGAAGAGGTCAAACTCTTCCCCCAAACTAACCTACAGATTCACTACCATACCAATAAAATTCACAGCATGAATTTTTAAAATAAATTGCCAAAATAATTTTAAACTTCAAGTGGAATGCAAAAGAACTAGAATAGCCAAGTTAACTTTGAAAAATGACAAAATTGAAGGAATAATACCTGATTTAAAGACATATTATACAGCTACCAAAGTCAAGGCAGGGTAGTATAGTTGTTAAGACTGACAAGTAAATTGATGGGCCATAATAGACAATCCAGCAATAGAGCCACACATATACAGTCAACTGATTTTCGATAAAGCAATTCAGCAGGGAAAGGAAGATGTTTTTAATAAATGTAAAAAAATTATCTATATCTCACACCATATACAAAAATCAACTCAAAATGTATCCTATAAATATAAAACCTAGAACAGAAACACTTCTACAAGAAAACGAAGGAGAAAACCTTTATGACTTTGGGTGAGGTAAAGACATTTGGATGTAACACCAAAAGCAAGAAACAAAAGAACAAATTGATGTATTAAATTATGTCAAAATTAAAAACATCTGCTTTTCAAAAGTTACTTTTAAGATAAATTGACAAGCCATATATTGGAAAATAATATTTTCATATCAAATGTCTGATAAAGAACTTATATTCCACATAAATAAAGAAATCTGAGAACTCGACAATTAGAGAACACTGTATAACAAAGAAAAATGGGCAAGAAATTTTAAGACATGCCACTAGATTTCCGAGGCTGACACTCTTCCTATATGTACAAATGTCCTGAGGCATTGTAGAAGGCATTGTCCACACTGGTTATTCAGATAAACACTGAGAGAGAAACTGTGGCAAGGAAGGGGACACTCCTCTGCTTGGCAGCCAAAGACTGAAGTGACAGATGGAGATAAATTAAAGTCCTCTTGGGCCCCACTGATGTGAGGAATAATAGACATAGGACACAAGTGCAGATAATCGGAGGTTCTAAAATAAAGGACCATCTTTGAGAGGTGACTCAAATCCAGTGGTGGCTCCTGTCATTTAAACTATGTTTCTCAAAGTGGTTCTGTGTTAGATCTCTTCTCCGAGTTCTTACTAAGCAATGGGACCACAGTCTGCAGCTTCTCATTGTCATCATCCAGGTTCCCAACATGGATGTGGTTTTTTCTTCTTCCTCCATCCTTTGACTTCTTCTTAGTTCGAAAGGAACCTTCCTTTCTACTTTCCAAATCGCCAACCACTCCCTATATTTCTGCATTGCATTCTGCTAGTGCCCCAAAGAAATGAAAATATACAAAAACTAAAGTTGCATTTTAAAATGGTTTGAATATTTACATTCCAATACATTTGTGTGTATACTTGAAGACTAAAAGAGGACATACATTGCAAATGAGATTATGAATAATTTTATTTCCGTTTTAGTTTTCTATGTTTTATACATTTTCTACAATGAACATGCAATTAATAAAAAATAAGCTATTGTATAAAAGTTGAAAGAGACATAGAAATAGGTTTTAATGCTGAAGGGAAGGGGGCTATAGGGCTAGAAAGAAATTAAATGTAAATGAAAAAATATAATCAAAGGATCAAGGGTCATGGAGAATGATGAATTTGGACTGTACGGGAACATTTTGTCCTCATAAATAAGAGGAGAGGAAGTGAAAAGGGTGTGATGCAGTTATAAATGTATCTATTCTGAGGACAGGAAGTTAAGGGAGTTTATCTGTGAGAGGATCAATGTTCTCTGAAGTAGAAGTCATATTTAATAAGACCCACTGTAAGACAGCAGTTCTTTTTATTCTCTGGATTGTGGGGGCCACAAGCTGCTCACCCTCTCTCTAGGGCACGCTCCACGCAGCTGCAAGAACAGGCTTTCTGAAACCCTGGCAACGCAAAAGCCTGTTTACCTTACTCCTTAGAGATCTGCTTAAACATAGCCCACATTTCAAAACCATGCCTGGCCTGAGCCAATCCACACCCCTCATGTGCTCTCTGCAAGTGCCTGCAGCTCATCGTCCTGTTTCTGCAGACTCTCTCTATACGGGCTGTCCCTCAGCTGTTGATGTAAACCTGAGTTCAAAGATCAGTTACTTCCTAGATTTTTGTCCCTAAATCCAGTCACTTCAGCAATGACCAAGTTGAGTAGCAGAAGACCCATCCTGAAGCCAGAGAACCTTCTATCTTCTCCGAAGCATCTCCTCCACTTGCTCAAGCATCTCCTCAGAACAACAGAAAAACTCTTCCTACTGCCTCACTCAGAAGAGGTCAGCTTACATTTGTGTCCCTTGTAATCATGCTTTCTACCCCAAATAGTCATAAAGAGATTCCTTTTGAACGAATTCCATGAAGGAAATCTGGGAAGAACACTTTCTACTTCTCCCTGCACATTGAACCGTTCACGCCTGTTCCACACCCCATGTTTCCCCGCTCCGGATGATAATCGGGGGTCCTCATCATCTGGTCCTGCCCACTCTTCCCCCCTCACCTGTGCCCTTCCACCTCATGCTCAGACACTCAGTCATCTCAGTTTCTTCAGACAAATCTCTATTCCATGCAACTCCATGTATTTTCACAGAACCCAAATTTTTCTTTTTTCCCCCTCTTTGTCATGGTCAGCTCAAGTATCAGAAGACTTTTATGTTCTTCAATAGAAAGGAGATGTTTAAATGGGAATATTAAACCTTCCTGCTCCATTTTCAGTGTGGACGCTGAACCTTACCTCCTTGCTTTCTGTAAGAACAAATTACTGGAATAATATTAGATTGGTTTAACATTTAATTTCTATCCCCTGGCTGTGATCCAATAATGCTAGAGAAATGGACAACTGAATCTTCAGTGAAAAAGTATTCAACATGAAGATTTATAAATAATAATCATAATAGTAAATAAGTGGGAATGAAGGATATAGGCAAAAGAAAAGCAAGGCTAACCCATTTTTATTAGGTTTCCAAAGAGAGAGGAAAGAAAAACGACAGGCTATTAAAGAACTTTTAAATGAGTTCCTTTCATGTTCAGTTCTCACTCTTGAGCTTTAGGAAGAAAAATGGGAACTGTTCTAGAATGTGAAAAATTATCACCTATGTCTCAAAAAATTTCACATAGAAAGCATAAAGGCCTCAGGAATCATTACAAAAAAACACACCCCTTGGCATGGGCTCCCAAAGACCCAGACAAATTATTCTGGTATCCTTGGAACTGAATGAGATTCTTAGTCCCCCTGAAGCTTTCTTTGGTTCAAACCAACTGCTGTCTAATTAGAGGAAAACAGTATTTGGAGATGATAGGATAGGACAGCTTATACAGCAAAATAATTAAACAAAGTTGAATATTGCCATGTAAACACAAATGAGCATTTTACACTTTCTCCCATCACCCAGTAGGATGAGAATCAACATTTGGGATTTCATCCTAAATGCTGTAAATGAGGAAATTTGGCCAGTTGTGGTTGCAAAGTCATTTTTTGATTTCCAAACATACCGAGTCCCTGAACCACAAGTTTCATTTCCCGCCTGTGGAGATTATGTATACCTCCAACCCTTCCCTGCTATCGCTATTAAATCAATTCAAGGGAGAGCAGTTTAAAGCAAGGACTTTAACTTGGAAAATGTCTCCGATTTCTTTGAGAATCCATTGAAAATCATGGACCTTTCCCCAGAAAAAAATAAATGCACACAATATTTTGTATACAATTTAAGAAATTTCTATACCCCAAAAGAATCTTCTCTTTAAAAAAAAAAAAAAATCTTCAGTTTTAGGACAAAATTCTTAAGAAACGCTGAGTCAGTATGGTGCCAAAAACAAATTCAAATGTAATATATTGAGCCAATTAATCATGCTTGATATCAAAGTACTGATAAAATGGATTTTTAGATATAGTAACTAAAACACTATTTTTTAAAGTATTATTATATCCAAAACTGGAACCAATACTTCAAGTTTCACAGGCTCTCATTTAAACTGGAGTAGAATATATGTACAAATATATATTCTGTTTTATTTATATATAAATCGTATATATATGATTTATTTCAAGTGTATATGTGGCTAAGAGACTCTCGAGAGTAAAAAAAAAAATCAACTCAATTACATTAAATACAATGTTCAGATGTGACACTGCTATTAAAGAGTGCAAATAGGATGTAAGAATTTTTTTGACCCATGAGAATAAGCATCAACAATGGATTGTCAGTAGATGAGCTTACTGTGGGTAGATACAAATAGACGGTTCCAAAAAGATTCTCTTTTTATTTGCTGCCACCCAAAGGAATATTCTAGAAAGACATTTCTAAACATACACAACAGAATTGAGAAAGGGATAGAAGCACTTATGAAATCAAAACCTATTATCTCTTATTGATGGAAAATTACACAGTTCCCTATTTTAACAACTACACAAAATTCCACAATTGGGACCCTAATATAAGCTTCATCAAAGCAGAAATCTTGGCTGTCTTCTTCCCTAGCATCCTACAACAATGTCCGATACATTGTGATGCTTTAATAATTAGCTCCTGAACGAAAAAAAATCTAATAATGTCATCTAATAATGACTGGGTAAGTCAACTCAGTGCTCTGGGCCTCAGTTTCTTCAACTAGAAAATGATGGGGTAAAATTGGGTATTTTTAAAAGCTTTTCTCTTTTAATCTTCCCAGTGTCTGTGCTTCTGCTTAGTACACGAGCACTGTCTCCTAAACGGCAAGGCTATGATCACTTAGGCACAGAGAGTGACCACAGACCTGTGCAGATTCCACGTGTGCCATAGCTGTTCACTGAAGAGGTAAGAGGCGAAGAGCCCACAACAGAAATGGGCTTCCAGGGAAAACATCATCAATGGCAGTGTCATCCAAGAGTCCGCTCGGCAAGGGTTTCAACCTCTGGGGAAGAGAGACTATGCCACTGTGAAATGTAACCCAATTATTCCTTTTGTTTTCTTTATGAAGCCACAATCCATAATTAAGTATCCTCATGGACACAGCTCAGTAGATTTTCTGCTGGTTCAACATGCCTGAAGCAGTAATATACTGACTTCTCTTTCAGAATGTGTGATAAAATATCTTTCACCATAACCTCCGAGAGAAAACAGACAACCAAGTATTGATTCAATATTTTTAAAGGAACTTTGTTTAAATGCATCTATTAATTAAACTTTCAAGTAATTTGTGTTCTTACATGGTGATATTAATCAACTCAGATTTAGGTGAGTTTTTTGGGGGGATATGGAAGGAGGTGAAAGTATATTCACTCTGTGAAAAACCGTCAGATATTACAATGCCACTCTAAAATATGTCCCTGAACTTTTCCTTCCTTAGGGAAGTAATTGTCAAAGTTCAGCATATATAAAAATCTCTCGGAGTGCCTGCCAGGAATGCAGATTCCTAGGCCACACCCCCAGATATAAATCTGGAACAAAGCTTAGGAATTTGCAATTTTAACTTTTATCCCAACAGTTCCACTGCAAATGTGCCTAAATCCCACATATTATATCTACCCTCAGGACAGATATACAAACATTTTTCCATTTCTCTTTTTTCCATTCATATCATCATTATGCGTGATATCATTACTCCCTCTAGTGGATGATTTTACTCAGCACCTTTTTTTCTATATTACAAATATCTTGCTTAAAACTTTTAGGAAATCCCATCTGTCATGAAAATCTTGAAAGAAACCAGTGAGAGATCAAGACAAGGTTTATAAGAAAAATTATTTTGGTAATCTAACATTGGGCTCATATATATTTACATATGCATGTAATAAGTAATGTGCATATATTTTGTAGAGAAATTCTTAATCATCATTTAGTTGACTGAACATAAAATGGCTTATCTGTTTTATAAAAATAATTTGGTAGCTTTGAATTTACTGGTCACACTATTTTTAGAATATTTATGCCTGGTTTACTTCCCTGTTTACTATGTGCTAACTAGATTATCTCATATAATTCCAGCAAACTCTATACAAGAGACACTGTTGTCATCCTGATTTTACCAATGAGAAAACTGAGGCATTAGGAGGTTAGGTTACTTGACCCAAGCCAGACAGGGGTCTCTGACCCAAGTCTCCCTAACCCAGGAGTCTGAGTTCTTAGTTGCTTCGCTCCAAGCCTCTCTGACCATGTGGCTTCTAGCCTGTTCGACCTAACTACCACATTGTACTCCTCTCCCTCCACACCACCCCAGGCCTCCTGCTCCTACCCCAGCTCTCTCTGCTCTCCATTGTTCTTTCCAACACCTTCTATGTTCCCTTGGCCTCTGACTCTACTAATACCTTTGCATTTGGACAATTTCTCATCTGGCAGTTGTTAACACCTCTCTCATGCATCCAGCAGCACCACTGAGTCACAATTCTTAGTGGCGTATTCCTCACATTGTAAACTAACGTGACAAGCATATCAGTACAATATATATCTCTTACTATTACTTTAAATAAATGCACCTTTTTCTAAAGCCTTAAAAATGATATTTCAACCATGCTTGGATTTATAAGTTGCATTTTCCCTGCTATCACACCTCTATTTTTTACTCAACTGGTGTGTCTCAAGTACTAGTCTAAATACTGCAAAGCAATGTGAGCCCTTCTTGGTAAAATACTGTATCAGCTAACCCCAAAAATGTTTTTGAAAAGTAAAAGAGTCTTCATGTATAGAAATCCAAGTGAATTAGCTTTTGAGGAAAAGAGCCATTTTTTTCATGTATCCATTCTTGGGTAGCTTCTTGGATTTTGCAGTCACTAAGTTTGTTAGAATAGCATCCCTGGGGCAGAGACAGCGGGACCTTTCTAGTCAGACTGCTTCTCATGTCCTGCGATGCCCACAGAAGACATAATTCTAAGCCACACACCCACGCTCATGCTTTGAGTTTATTTGGAATGTTTGAGTTCCTTTAACCTTTTGTGAAATCTGTCACCCAGAGCAGTATGTCTTTGGGAAACATGAAACCTTAAGATACCATTTTGAATTTGACAACAAGAATGAGAAGTTACTGGGGCATATATTAAAACCTATAATGATATTTGCTCCATTTCTTACAGAAATGAAGCCATCATTGTGCCATCTTTTAGCTGTTTCTACCTAGTATATGCAAAGTAACTTTTGTAATAACCCTTCTTATCTTTGTTCACATAGTTAATAAAAATAGATTGTATTTTCCTGATATGAGACATATGAGACTCAGTATTCCGAAAAACATATTTGTACTTAGAAAACAGAAGTGGGGAACAGGTGCTTTCGCTGACTTAATTCTGCCTGAACAAATCTCATCTTCATTCCTCAGAGATGTTATCAGCATGACGCATTAATCTAGACAGTAAGAACAACTGAGGTCTAATTGGATGCGGTGCTGCAAGCTCCAAGTTGTGATAACTGCTAACATTTATTGAATTCTTTTTAAGTGCCTGATAGTGTTCTGCATTTACATGTATTAAGTTGCTTAGACTTTACCCTGCAAAGTAGGTTCTATTCTAATCACCATTTTACAGATAAAGAAATGGAGGCACAGAGAATTAAAATAACTCACCCAAGGTCACACAGTACTTAGTGGCAGAGCTAGAATTTGAACCCAGAGCGCTCATTCTTCTTTTTTTTTTTTTTTTTTTGAGACGGAGTCTCGCTCTGTCGCCCAGGCTGGAGGGCAGTGGCGCGATCTCGGCTCACTGCAAGCTCCGCCTCCCGGGTTCAAGCCATTCTCCTGCCTCAGCCTCCCAAGTAGCTGGGACTACAGGCGCCCGCCACCATGCCCAGCTGATTTTTTGTATTTTTAGTAGATGCAGGGTTTCACCACGTTGGCCAGGATGGTCTCAATCTCCTGACCTCGTGATCTGCCCACCTGGGCCTCCCAAAGTGCTGGGATTACAGGCCTGAGCCACCGCTCCAGGCCCCCAGAGCCCTCATTCTTAAACACTTGTTGGATCACAGACAGAATACACCACACAGCTGCACGGTTCATTCCTCAGTGATGGATTCAACGAGGCCTGAGTGTGTCTATAGGGAACTTGATGCCCCAAATGATCCTGTCAAACAGCTAATACTGAAAACCACTTCTAGTTAGAAAAGACTCCCATTACCCAGCAGTTCAGAATGCAAAAGGAGACTCAAACTGAGTGGTAGCAAAATGAAGCCATTGATTTCAGGGTCTTAGATATGCCTCTTTGTGGAACTGTTTATTACCGTTTTTCAGTAAGACTGCCAATTACTTGCAGTGGTATCTTTACCCAAACCTGGGTCTCAGTTAACTACTTCCCCCGATTCTAAACCGCTGCGTGCACACACTGTCTCAAGATGGTAGCTGTTAATTTGCTGTCTATATTTGGGTTGGTGATCTCCCAGGTCCATCTGGACACATGGCCCATTCCTCACTGTTTCCACTTGCAGTTCCTTTGGATTGCAGATCCTAATCTTTGGTGCAGTACAAGACCTTCTTGTACTGTTATCAGGAGAGACAGAGGAGCTGCACTTAATCAGAAAATAGTGTCCCCTCACATTGGGCCATGTACAAAAGATGTCAAATGATTATCACTGGTGGACCTAACGTGGAAGAGAACTAGGGGAGAAAATGTTTTTTTAAGGAAATGATAGACTCACAGAGCATTTATGGCTATTATATCTGAGGTTTTGACTCTTAGTAAGAAAGCCTTCATGTACATGCTTATCTGTAAAGGGACTTATATTAGTCCCTTTTTGCACTGCTCATAAAGACATACCTGAGACTGGGTAATTTATGAAGAAAAAGAGGTTTAATGGACTCATAGTTCCACATGACTGGGGAGGTCTCACAATCATGGCAGACAGTGAAAGGCATGTCTTACACGGCAGCAGGCAAGAGAGAGACCTCATGATCTAAAACCATCAGATCTCGTGAGACTTATTCACTACCACAAGAACAGTATGGGGGAAGCCATCCTGATGATTCAATTATCTCCTACCAGGTCCTTCTCATAACATTTGGGAATTATGGGAGCTACAATTCAACATGAGATTTAGGTGGGGACACAGCCACTATATTACTGTAATTCTGAGAGAACAAGTTTGCACTTGTGTACACTTCCTGATTTGTGTCCAACAGTGAGTGCCTTAACTAGTGAACTTTACCAGCTGCCTACCACCTACCTGGCTTTGTTGTTTCCTCCCTATCATCAGTTTTGTAGCAAATTTCACTAAAGGTCTGCAGAGGTCAAATTTTTCTGCTGGTCTTTTAAAATACATTTTTAAGAGGGAAATTATTTACCATAGGCATACCTCTGAACTTAAAGATTTATTAAGGTTCAAGAGTTACTCCTCATAATTAAGAGTCTGTTGTTTAGTTCTCTCCCAGAGTATTTGAAATTGTTACTAGTATAATTAGATTTTAATAGGCTTTTATGTTACCTAAACACTAATTTGAAAAGTAAAACAAAAAATGAAAGTTTGCTTTAGTGATTAATGAGCTAACTCTGAATCATTTCAGTTCAAATAAATGAATTATGTAATTTTTTTCAGTCGACCTGAAATATTTAAATCACAGCCAGAAAACAAAACTCATTTGTTGATTACCCTTTCCTGGACTACTAATTAGTTCATGACAGGGAGTGACAAGTACTACTTCTGATATAAACTCCACGGAGGTCACCGTGCAACTCTGCTAAGTGTCATCCTTTAGGCAGGTGGTTCTCTAACTGTAGCTTGCATCGGAATCACCTGAGGGCTTGTTAAAGCACATTACAGGGTCCCCATCGCCAGAGTTTCTGATTCCGTGAGTTTGGTGTGGGGCTCAAAATACTGGGTTTCTAACAAGTTTCCTGATTGCTGCTGCATCTGCTACTGGGGAACACTGAGAACCACTGCTTCATATGAATGGGTCCTCTAGAAATTTCTCCAGCATAGCAAGTCCAAGGATTTGTAAAAGGTTTACTTATTATCCTCCAGCACAACATATCTTACTAAGGCATGTAAATAATGTGATAACCTTTACACTTGCTGTTTCAGGTATTATTTTCGCTCGTCTGCAGCAAAATCCAATATGACAGGCAGAGCCAGTAAACAATTAAAATGTGGCTTTGCATTTATGCAAAATGACAGGAAGAACCTGCACACCTGGCCGGCTGGGAGCTCCTGGGTCTGGCGGTACCAAAAAAAAAAAAAAAAAGGGCTACCGTACTAGCTACTGTTTGGGCCTGGCGCCACCTGGTGGTAATTTTTTGGTCTATCATTCTATAGATTGAAAACTCTAGGTCACGTGACTGTTACGGAAGCTGGAAACCATAGGTGAACTGTCAAGAAAAAAGACGAAATGGATTTAATGGATTTGGCAAAGTAGTCCCTACCTCCTGCTTTTTTCTTTTCTTTTCTTTTCTTTTTTTTTTTTTTTTTTTGAGACGGAGTCTCGCTCTGTCGCCGAGGCTGGAGTGCAGTGGCGCGATCTCGGCCCACTGCAATCTCTGCCTCCCGGGTTGAAGCGATTCTCTTGCCTCAGCCTTCCGAGTAGCTGGGACTACAGTCGCCCGCCGCCACGCCTGGATAATTTTTGTATTCTAGTAGAGACGGGGTTTCACCGTGTTGCCCAGGTTGGTGGCGAACTCCTGCGCTCAGGCAATCCGCCCGCCTTGGCCTCCCAAACTGCTGGGATTACAGGCGTGAGCCACTGCGCCCGGCCTGCATTTTTATGTTATACAAATAAACTGCCTTTATTCTTCACTGGTATAAAGATTTAAACAACACTTTTCTGTGGGCAGTACTTTTAAATTTATATTTTAGGACAGAATATAATGCAAGTAATTTGAATTAGAAAACCTGACCCTATCATGCAAAGTTTGATTTAACTTCATCAAATAGACAATTTCACAGAAACAATGTTTGCATCAAGTTATACTACAATTCAGAAAAAACATACAGTCATATTTTTCTAAGTGAATAATAGAGTTCTGTTGGATTTCTTTCTATTGTTTAGTGGCTTCTGCAAAAAAAAAAAAAAAATCAAAAGCAAGAACAGTAAAACAGGCACCAAAGGCCCAGGGACTGTAAAGTCCAAAGCGAGGTTCAAGACTACCTATGCAGGAAGTGCTAAGATTTTGTGAAACTACTTTTGCCTAATCTTAGCTCATCCCCCATCTTCAAGGTATAAAGGAGAACTTGAAGACTAAGGAAGGGCAGATCAGAGGGTCGGCAGTGTAGACATTGGTGAAAAGTATGGTGGTGTATGTGCTGTCGTGCGTTCCTTCTCCCTGACCTTTGGGAAACGGGAAAGGGAGCTGCCGTCTTACCATTTCCACCAGCTTCCTTGAGACCCCTTGGAGAGATAACGTCTTCTCAACACCGAGAGACTTGAGGATAAAATATTCGACTCAGGCCCAAGCAATAAGCAAAAGAAACTTTACTTCATCACTGACAAGGCAATAGTTTGTATTTTCTAGGGGGCATGTGGGAAAAACTAACATAGAGTCATCTCCAAAGCGGAGCTCAAGAATTTACAAAAAATTAGCCAGGCGTGGTGGTGGGCGCGTGTAGTGTGCCTGAGTGAGGCTGGCACTGCTGAGGCTGATCAGGGACCACACTTTGGGGACCTGAAGAGGATCTTCTCAGGAACAACCTTCTCTAGAGGTGTAACCATGGTAACAATATACTCCTGGTAACAGGGCCATAAGTCACACGTTATTTGGTAAAGCAGGACAGGGGAGCAGAAATGCTATGAAAAGTTTCACAGATTATCACTTGCCTATCACGAAATCTTTTGTGAACTGCCACTGAATTTCAGCATCATGAATATTAATTGAAGGCACTTTCATGACAGCTTTGTTAAAATAAGATTTCTATCCTTATCCTCTCCATTTCTCATTCTTAGTAAGGCTTGCAAAACATACTGAAATTTTGTAAACAAACCTGAAAAGACAATATGAAGGGAAAGGTTTATAAAATACATTGATTTCTGCCAGCGCCATTTACTGAATATTGCATGCAGTAATGTAGTCGTTAGGAAGAGGGCACTGTGGCATTACATTTACTTGTGTGCTGTCTAGTGAGTTTCTAAATGGTTCCTGTAAGGATTTATAAAGTGGAAAACGTGGATGGTTCCCTTATGCTTCACTTCTCCTTAGAATGTTAACTGCGATTTAGAAGTGACAACTTCAGAGCTTCTATTGTCTGGAACTAGATGAATCTTTACAAATGATTTGGTCCATTCTTGTCAGCCCCACTGATATTTTTCTATTTGAGGAGCCTTACTTTTTAATAGTGTTCCAGCCATTTAATCAAATTGCTCCATAGATAGAAGTCCCAATTTTAATAGTATTTTAAGCCAATTTTATAATTGAGGGTTGATTTGATATGAATATTTCGTTACTGCAAGTATTCTATCCACTTGCAACACAGAAACTTTAAAAACGTGAAGCTGTTTTTCCATACCAGCTTCCACTTTTTATCTGTCTGTATTAAATACTGAAGTAATTCAAGGAATATTTATTAAATTGCAAAATGCTATTGCCAAATAATAATATTCTATGATTATATGTGTTATTCAGATTAATACGACAATAAACCAAAGCCAAAACAGGATTTTTAAAAAATCAATCTTGCACGGACATGAGGTTTTGAAAAAACTCAATTAACATTAAAATCTTCTCAGTTCAAGACTGATTAATTCAAAATAGAGTCTAAATTGAAACATCTGTTTATTCCTTAATCACATTATTAATATTTACCCTTTGTTATGCTTGGAATAATATATAAATATAGTTTGATAAAAAACAAAGTACAAGATAAAGAATGAATTTTTAATTAACTCTAACAAACTCCTTCAAGGAAAATTACATGATGATTGGCCAGTAGGAGGAGAGGAAGGGATGGTGTTTGTAAATAAAATATTTCTTTCTCTAAAATGTTTAAACTGCTCTAGAGCATCAAGGTCATACTTGAAGTATCATGCTCTCTTGCAAATGAAATTATAGGCTCTTATTCCATAGACTGGAAGAGAAGCTAGGAAGTATCTATTTAATTCTTTTACCAATAATTGCATTTGACAGCAAGTGGCAGAGACCTGGGAAATAATGGCTTAATCAGGAAGACAACAGGATGGCCAAAGGCAAGCTGTTGCTGATTGGGCTGAGAAAACTCCAGTTCTCAAGATTTTTCCTCAAGATTGCAAGATGAACACTCTCCCACTTAATTATGAATTCCAGGTAGCAAAGAGCAGAAAATGAAGGAAAGGACAATACCTACATTAGAAAGGCAAAAACTTAATGTCCCACTAGATATTGGCTCACATCTCATTGCTGGAAAATAATCAATGTACACCTGAGCCAAGAAAGGTTGGAAAGGCAGCTTTAAGATGGGCACAATGCCGACTCTAATGAATTAGTTTGTTAACAGAAGAAGTGAAGAATGGTTATTCTCTTCTCCACCTCTGTCACAGCCTCTGTTGAAATCTGCTCCTCATGAAGACGAGGCAGTGAGGCCCAGAGAGAGTACATGATTTTAACCACGTCTCAAAGCTGGTGGCAGAGACAGGACTTTATGTACCACAATGTACGCCATCTTGTTTTTGGGTTGTGCATTGAAATCCACATGTGGGATGGTCAGGTGGGGAAGGAATGGGGTCTTCTGAAGTTCTGAAGATTTTGCTTTAGTGAGGGCGTAATAATGTAAAGAATCCTAGATTATTAAAAGCTTGGCATGTCAGTTCACGTCTAATAAAATCACTGTAATTTTTTAATGGAAAGAATGCAAAGAAAAATAAAAACACAATTCCTAACATAATAATGAAGTGATACTGTAGCTACAAAGACATTAAAATATATTTTGAGAGGCTATTTCTTCAAAGTAAATATGGGAGATATTCCCTTATGGAGACCATAACTTCAATAAAACTTGCGGCCTTCTTCCTCTCCCAGACTGAGGGAGCAGCCCTCAACTTTCTCAGGAGTGTGATTAAAGGACAGCGGTCGTCACAGTAGTTACAACCCTTACGGTAGCAGCAACTAAAGGTTGCTCTAAAAGAGGCTTCAGCAGATTTTCTAGTATCGCCCAAGTGATAAAATTTGTTTTTCTATAATAGTTGTGAACAGAAAATGTTGACTTTCTCTTGCAGGTATCATTCGGTCATTCAAATACTTATTAAATTTATACATTCAAGAATGTAAAACTATGTCCAGTTGTGTGATAATCCAAGAAGATAGTGTTACCTATTACTACGTATAACCTAGTACCACAAGGAAGTGATAGGCAGAATCCTGAAAAGGAAGTTTTTAATTGTTCAATATTAAAGCTATCTCATTCTTGGTACAGATGAGGAAACTATAGACTTGCAAAACAGAAATGACTTGATTTAATTCATTTGGAGAATAGAAAATTATTTTTGTTTGCAATTTAATATATATCTGAGTTAGGCCGGGCACAGGGGCTCATGCCTATAATCCCAGCACTTTGGGAGGACAAGGTGGGGGTGGATTACTTGAGCTCAGGAGTTTGAGACTAGCCTAGGCAACATGGTGAGACCCCCATATCTACAAATACATAAAAAAATTAGCCAGGCATGGTGGTACATACCCATAGTCCCAGCTACTCTGGGGGCTGAGGCAGAGGTTCTCTTGAGCCTGGGAGGCAGCGGTTGCAGTGACCTGAGATTGTGCCACTGCACTCCAGCCTGGGCGACAGAGTGAGACCCTGTCTCAAAAAAATACACACACACACACACACACACACACACACACACACATATGTATTTAAGTTATATGTAACTCTCTAGGTTATAATTTCATATCTCTCTAAACATGAAGACTTATTTGAATATTACAGTGTCATCTGAAATTGCAGATATTTACTGTTTTTCTTCCATTCATGATCTGTGTCTGGGAAATAAAAGAGGAGCAAAATTTCCTAGTTTGCAATTCAGTTTTGTGTCCTTCATTTCTGATTGCAGTGGGAGAAACTACAGATGACCACAAGTGAAAGGAGGAAAATATTCTGCTCTGTCACATTCCACGTAATCGCGATCACCTGTGTGGTTTGGTCTTTGTATGTATTGATAGACCGGACAGCGGAGGAAATCAAGCAAGGCAATGACAATGGTAAGAGCACATCTTTCTTCTTACCCTCTTGGATCCTAAAGACAATACTCAGAGGTGGATAGGGAAGTTATTTCCCCAGGTTAGGCCTTCATCATGTATGATACACTAGAAAAGCTAGTATTTGCTATTGATTCTTCCCTAATCATGTTATTGATTAAAATACTCTGATTAAAAAGCATTAACTATATGGAGTCCCAAGCTGAGATGTGAAATTCATCAAATCCATATAAAACTTAGTGGCAGTTACACACAAATGGCACACACCACTTCGGGCTTTTTGGGAACTGAATAAGGATCAAGTTCTGCCTGATGTGAAAAGGCAAATGGCTGTAAAAATGAAGGTTTCTCATTTTATTTAATTCACTCTAGTCATCTCTCCTTTAAAGCATGAAGGAGATGGCATTCCAGTAGAGAATGTGTTATAGCTCTTTAGTTAGTACTATATAGTTTGATAGAGTGGGTTAGCACCATGGTTTGACATTTTAGCCATGCGAAGTTTGATTGTGAAGGATGGTGTCAAGTCTGCAAAGAAAAATGTTTCTAAATCAGTAAGGCATATTCTCACATTAAAATGGGTAAGTCACTTAAAACAGAAACAAAAAGAGAAAGCACAATGTCTATAAAATATTATTTTCATGTGTGAAAGGACCCAGTTCTGTTTCTCATTGGGCCCTATAAGTTTTCATACCTTATCCAGCCTAAATCGTTGGTGGTAAAACAGTGAGAAACATCCCCACACTCCCGCAGGAAACAGTATTTAACCACTGATGCCTCTAGAAAAGACATTGTTCAGATAGTAACATTTTGAGTTTGTAATGTTGTGAAAAATGTTTGCACATCCCTACACCCAGAGAAAAAATGGAAGAAAATGAAAGAACAAAAAAAGAGAGGAGGTAAGAAAAATATAAATAAGGAGGAGATTAAAACACAGAAAGGTTGGTTACTTCTGCATTTCTGCGTGGGGATTCATAAACACAGAAGGGGAGGCTCCATTCTCACACTCGCCCTCTAGGTGGCAGCAGCACACGCCAGCGTGCACCGCCCTGAGCATTTCAAAAAGCCGAAAGGGGCTGCGGGGATAAAGGGAAGGCCAGGACCCACGATAGGAATTGTGGATGGGGTTTCTGTGCGTCAAAGAGGGGATGGTGACAGCGTTCCAGGTGCCACTGTCCTTTTCTGGAAGAAAATGAAAGCACTACCGTGTCGAGTCTAAATGCTAGAAAAACAGTTAGGATGGGGTTTTGTGGGTTGTTTTTATGTGTTTATTTATTCCATATTAACTCATTTACATACCATTAATATCAAACTACATTGTTTGCAACTACATTATGTACTGTTTCAGAGAGTCTTGATTTTAAAATGTCACATTACATCCTTATTAAATAAGTTCCCTGAGGGTAGAACTTTCTTTTTCTTTTTTAAATCCAATGTCCTCTCTTGATATAGGTACTGGCCCAAGTAACAAACAGTGTGCTGTACATCCTGCAGTCGCATATGGATGGAAAAACAAAAAGGCATCCCCACCTCGCTTCACCCAATGTCTTACCCTAGAACTCTAGTGTTTTCCTAGCAATCAAGGGCAGACATGATACCCTTAGATTAGATGACACATTTAGAGCTCAGCATTTGAGAACCACAAATTTCCTCCAGGTAATGTAGTCTCTCCCCTCTCCCAGTGGTCACCCTCACTTGGCCTCTTTGTAGTAAACTGCAGAGCTCTTCTCCTCCAGCTACATGAGAAGGAAAGAAAATTAAGAGCCCTTCTCGTAGATGTAAGAAGAGGAAGCAATCTCACGTCATGTATACATAGACCCTCATAGACACCCATAAGAAAACCCCTCTCTTACATTTATTTTATCCAACCACATTTCTAAGACATGTGACTGAATAGCAATCATTTACCCTACAATGAACACGATGGTCTCAACTTCAGCCACAAAAATATCTCCAAAAACCAAGAAACTCATGGCTCCATGCTTTCTTCCATTTTTCTGTCTCCTTGCTCATTCTGTAGGCCCCCGCTGATAACTTCCCAAATTCATTTCCCACTCCTACTGTACTCCAACCCATACATCCACCTATCTTCTGAATGATTGTTTGAAAGTCTCAGCGTGTCGCAATGCATAATCCCCTACCACTTCTCACTCTAACACCTGTGGGAACGGCACCACTAACATCTAGTAGCCAAACCCAGATACACAGCTTTCACTCTGATCTCCTTCCTCTTCTACCTTAAATCAATCACCAAATCCTATTCACTCTGTCTCGAATGCCTCTGGAATCTGTCCATTTCTTTCCTTCCCTATGGCTACCATCCATGTGGAAACTATCATATTTTTAACTTGAAAACTGCAGAAGCTTCTTGACTAGACTTTCTCCAGTTTTGCCAACTTCAACCCAACCCATGCTCAGTAATGTAATCCCAGCAGATTTACAAAAACACAAATCTAATCACATCCTATTCCCACTTAACCATTAAAAGGTAACCGAAATTCCTCAGTGGGACTATGCTGCCCCCGTGACCTAGTTGAAGCCAGCTAGGCCGAACATTCATTCAGCTCCTCAAATCTATATCCAGGCCCTTGCTCAGCTTTCCTCTCTCTGTAAAACATTTCCTTCCAGCTTCTCTTGTCCACCACCACCACACACACTCAAACACTCATATATTCTCACACACCTCCCTCATCCCAACTCAGCCTTTGCAGTTTACCTTAAACATCACTTCCTCTGGGAAACTCATTACAGCTCCCTGAAGTAGGATCGTTATTCCTAGCACAGTGATTCTCAAAGTATGGTCCTGGGACCAACAACATCAGTATCACCTGGGCGTTCACTAGAAATGCATATTTTTAACCTCCTGCTTCCCTAGACCTATGAAACCCTGATGGTGGAGGCCAGCAGTTTGTACTGAAGAAGCCTACAGGTGATTCTGATGCTGGCTAAGGATGGAGAGTCACTGCCCTACCACGTAGTCCCATAGCATCCTGCATTTACCCTCCCCAGGGCTTCTCCACATTTACTGCATGGTAGATTACCTGTGGTATGTTCCTAATGCTGCAAAGCTGGGCTTTATCCCCAGAGGTTTATACTTAGTCACCCTTAGATGATTCTATCATGCAGCTAGGGAAGCTGTGCCTGACTGTGAAACTCACCACATGCCATTGCAATTGCTCATTTAATTGTCTGTCTTCCTTCACCTGCTCAGAGCAGTTGGGGGCTTTCTCTGTCCTGCTCACCACTACATCTCCCCGGTGCTGAACACTGGTCTGGGACCAGGCAAGTAGTCCGGTCAACACTGTACAAGGAATGATGAAGTGTGAATGCCTGGTACCTAAGCTTTTCCACCTCTTATTTTTCTTTTAGAATTGTTTTCAAAATATTTTTTTCTTTCTCAGCTGTGGGTGGGTGCAGGATTCCAGACAGTAACCTCCAGTGGACTCTTCATGACAATCAAGGGTCCGTTTCTTAAAGGAAACTGAAAATGACATGATTTTTATATTTGGCATTTAGAGCCAAAGCAAAACAGAAAGCAAGATATGTATCAAGAAGCAGTGTCCGTGGTAATTCCTGTAGAGCCGCTTGCCAGCGGGACAGCTCTAGAACTTGGGTAATTTCAAATGGAAACCATAGTGACTTTCATACAGGGAATCATTTGTATTTATGTTCAAATTATATTTAAACCTGCTTTCCAATGTGCACATTGAAGAGGAGTGTGGGCATCTGTATAAACTGTTATTTCTTTAATCTTCCTGTGGCATTGGGACTGTGAGTGCTGATCCTGAATTTACTTGTAAAGTTGTTGGGAAAAAATTGCCTAACTTAAAAGAAGTCAACATATTTTAAATCCATCTTGAAAAACCTTTAAAATATTTTAAAAGAAACAAATTTGTCCTTTTTCAGCCAGAATTGAGGTTGAATATAAAACAGCAAAATCTTTTGAACTGTAATGATGATCCTGGAGAGAAAAAAAATTCCTCATATGTCTGTAAATGGTTGTTCTTTTAGATTAAATAGTCATGATGCCACAGAGAGCCCTCATCTCTCTTTCCCCTGCGATGACAGGAAAAAAAATAGCAAATATATGGTACTTGGAGCTTTAACACCCTAAATAAGCCTATCGCTAAGTTTAATTTGGGCAACAGTTGTTATTCTTGCCTTATCTTTACATAGTCTAGAAGAATGCTTCAGTATATTATCTGTGTATAAACAACAAAAATACAAACCAAAAACAACTACAACAATTTACAATATTAAAGAGACTGTAGGTGTAGATAGTAAAGTTGCCCCAGAAGTATTTCAATGTATACATAAGGGACTAGCATAACAAATTGACTTTGTTTTCATGGCTGACTCACTCCCAAGCCTCCAAGCTCCTCCAGGGCAGAGGCCTTGCCTCATTATTCAGAAAATACTTGGTGTTAGTAGAGGCTCAAAAAATGTTTGCTGGCTGTGGCTGACTCCAGCAGATGAGAACAACCCAAAAAGAATAAACACTGGCTTGAGCTAGTTGTCAGAAGGCCAGGGTTCTAGCTCTCCCTTGGTCACTGACTAGTTATTTTTTTTTTCCTTTGAGACGATTTCACTCCTCTCGCCCAGGCTGGAGTGCAGTGGTGCGATCTTGGCTCACTGCAACATCCTCCCCTCAGTCCCCCTCCCTGGGCTCAAGTGATTCTCCTGCCTTAGCCTCCCAAGTTGCTGGGACTACAGGTGGGAATCACCGTGCCCAGCTAATTTTTTGTAGGGACAAGGTTTCATCATGTTGCCCAGGCTGGTCCTGAACACCTGGGCTCAAGCGATCTGCTCGCCTCAGCCTCCCAAAGCGCTGGGATTCCAGGCGTGAGCCACCGCACCCAGCCTAGTTATCTTCAATACAATGATTAATCACTCTGAAGCTCAGTTTTTTCATTTGTAAAACTACCAAGGTTGGAGTGAGTAGCTGCTAAAAGTTATTTCTATGATTTATTATTCAGACAACATGAACTTTACCTTGCATCAAATAGATTGAAACATGGCTATATAAATAATGTACATATATGACACATAATTACTCATGGTGAATATTACCATTAAAACAAGTTAAGAAAAAGGTTATAAATATGTGAAACAATTTTGTTGTTGTTAATAATCTACCCAACTGGAGAGAAGCAACCAGGACAAAAGTAAAGAAGAAAACCCGCTCCCCTCTGCAACCCCAAGGCCCCAATAGCCACCCACACACACCCTTCCTTATACACACACTTCGTAGTTCTGCATACCCTAAGCACCCAGCCAAAATATTCCAACTTAGAGTGAGATGCTTTCTGTAAATACACACAGCCACTGTCACTGTTAAGTGAAACAGGTTCTCTTCTGCTGCTTGGTTGATTTAAAAAAGCTTTTAGACATGCTCTAGGTGTCTCCAGTTGCATGATCTCCTATATAACATTTGCAGAATACTCTGAGAAATCAAATTTCAAAGCTGCAAGAGACCTTAGAGATCATTATTTATAGATGAGGAAATAAGCAATTTGCCTGATCTCCAGCTGTATTATAAATGCCCACCTGGGAGCTTCTGCTTTACCCAATTTGACTTAAAGAGAAAATACAAAAGTGAGATGTTACAGGTATGCCCCTGTGCCTTCAGGGGAGAGGAACCAGGACCCCATTCTATTACCAAAGGAAATATATTTTCAGAGAAACAGTATTTCTGGAAAGTAAATGAGTCTAAAAGGATCTGGTAGATGAACTCCAGCTGATAAGCCATTGTCACTGTGGTCTGAAAGGTTGGCAGAAATATTTCCTAACAAATACAATATACATAATTGCTACTTAAGCATTTAAGGGTGTTTTAGTTTATTTTTTGATGGGATTTCTGAGCATTTCTCCTGACGAAGGGAATTGTAACTGCAAGAGATGACCAGAAACACACTATGACTAAACGCCAGTGGCCTGGCTGACAACTAACTAGACTTCCTCCCTCTGTGATTCTGGAGAGAAGCTTACCTTGAGTCAAGCTGGGACACCCTAAACTTATAACACAGTGAAGTTAGAAAGATCTTACTGGTAGACACCTGTGAAAGCCCCGCTCTTAACCTACAGCTGAATCAGCCAAAGGTGTGTAGCGTTCAAATCACACAGATAATAACAATAATGAAAACTTATATTTACACTTCCTATGTGTCACGCACCGTTAATTTGTTTAACTCACACTAACAACCATATGAAATTGGTAGATACTATTACCTCCAATTTTAAGTAATGTATCAGTTGGCTTTAGCTTTATAAAAACCATCCCAGGCTGGGTGTGTTGGTTTAAGCCTGTAATCCCAGCACTTTGAGAGGCCAAGGTGGGCAGATCACTTAAGGTCAGGAGTTCAAGACAAGCCTGGCCAACATGGTGAAACTCTGTCTCTACTAAAAATACAAAACTTAGCTGGGCATGGTGGTGCATGCCTGTAGTCCCAGCTACTCAGGAGGCTGAGGCCAGGAAATCTCTTAAACCCAGGAGTCAAAGGTTGCAGTGAGCTGAGATCGCACCACTGCACTCCAGCTTGGGTGACAGAAGCAAGACTCTGTCTCAAAATAAATAAATAAATAAATAAATAAATAAATAAAAGCATCAGGAGAGAGCGAAACCACCATCTGCAAACACACTTAAAGTTTCCGAATGAGTTGTGTTTCCTATTGTCCTATTGGCCAAAGCAGGTCATATGACCAAGACCAGTGTCAATAGGTGATGGGATACCCCAGGACAGGATTACCGGGAGGCATGAGCCAATCAGGGGCTATTATTGAAACAAGCTATCAAGGATAAAGAAATTGAAACCAAAGAAAATAACAGAACAGGCTTAATATCTCAAGGAAATGAAATAGCTATCTGAGTTTAGGTGGATAAAGATGTAAAGACTGAAGTAGACTCTTAGGAATAGGGTTCTTCGGAATAAAATCCGTACCCCTCGAAAACAAGTGGAGATTTTGCACAGGAAAACTACTCTTGAGAAGCCATTAACCTTAATAAGAGAAATCCTCTTAGGGCATGGGCTGTAAAGAAATTAACCAGAAGTCTGAATCATTTGGGGATTTGGCTATTCCTTAGCCAGGAAAGAGATGAAAAATTCAGTCCGTTGCAGAGGTCCTGTTTATAACTAATGCTTAATTCTCAGGTTCCTGGTGGGGAACCTGAGCTCTTGGATAACCCATGTTGGGTCCATGTCTCCTGACCCAACTCCAATAGAGTACAGGATTAGGAAGATGTGGGGGATTTGTGTGTGTGTGTGAAAAAAAAAAATTTATAAATTTTACTTTTTTATTTTTGCCTTTTCATTCAAGTTTTTTAAATACTGTTACTTTTAACCTGGACATCCCAGTTTCCTTCTCTGCCTTGCTAAAAATAATCTTGTCCAGAGTCAGACTCCCAAGAGTCTAGAATGAGCTGTGAAGTCCATCTGCTTTTCTTTGTCTAAAGTGTTTTCACTCGCTCTTTAAATGTAAATTTCCCTACAAACTGTGGACTGAAATTTCTGGTTCTGGTGGCACTAGACTTTAAGGCTGCAGCATTTTGATTCCTTTAGGTCTAATTTGTGAACTTTTCAATATCACATTCAAGGGCAAGACTACAAACTATCTTAAGCCTTTCCTGGAAAACCTATTCGCATGTTGATTGTTTGGGAATGGCCTGGAGGATGCTGCAGCCTGCAAGTACCAGATCACATATATGTGACTGTAAAAAGGAGTCCTGGAAGAATTTACTTTAATAATCATATTAAATCAACAAAAATATTGAGACTGAGAACTTATCACTCTTCCTTGTGGGATTAGCATAACATGGAATGTGAATGAATCAATTAAAGTTAATATGAGAGACTACAGTAGCTTTCTATTTCCTCAGAAAATGGTGGTAGAGAGAATGCCTGCTCTTTTAATTGCTGTCCAAGAATTTCCAAGAAATGTTTCCCCTTAATGCTTGAGAGGTAAAGATGGGCAGAGAGTTTATTATTAAACCTACAGAAACTCCTGCAAAAGTATTCCAGACACAAAGACAGAAGTAGAGATGGGTTCTTGGGCCTCAGATAAATGAGCAGATGCTTGAATTGCCTAAGTTAGATTTTCCAAATTCCTCTGCGAAATCGGCAAATAGAAACAACTTTGTGCTCCCGGCATTTTGAAGTGCAGGATACAGCTTTATATATGACTGAGGACAAAGATACCTTGAATTGTACATAGGATCCCCAGGGAAAAGATTTAGTGCCTTCCTTTCTCTATCATTGTCCTTTTTTGTGGTGTACATTCTTTTGTCTTTGCTAACAATAGCATAGAAACTGACTAGTCTAACAGAATGTAAGAAGACAATTGGCTGTGTCTCAATAAAAGGAGGCAAGTACATCTTCCTGATGAAAACATTCTTGAAAAATCCATTTAGCCCCATTTTAGCATCTCCTCTCAAGATGTCCTTAAAGTGAGTTTTCCACATACAATCCTTATAACCACTCAACAGTAATTTATTTTGTAGAAAAAAATCGTGTCCACTTATTTGAAGGCAAGAAAAAGAGCTGGCTGTCTGTTAAAGATGGTCATTTGGACAGTAAGTTTGTATGAAGGCAAGCAAAAGAGCAGGCTGTCTGTTAAAGATGGTCATTTGGACAGTAAGTTTGTACTCAGATGGCTTTTGTATGTGGGGATTGGGGTGCTCTGCACTCTAAACTTAATGGAGGGGTTTTGTGGGAGATTTGACTTCCCAGGAACATATTGAAGGATGGTGTGGGCAGGGGAAACTGATTCAGAGATACCTTGTGAAGGAAAGTGGAGGGATCAGGCTGAGTCTCCCAAAAAGGGCAGAGAAAATGGCAACTGTTTCCCCCTGGCTCAGATTCCCAGGTATATTATAGGCTTTGGTCACTGTTTCTGGAAAGAGAGGTGAAACTTGAGTGGACTTTTCTTTAGATTGTCTACCATCTAAAGCATAGCTTTACTGACAGTGAAGAGGGGTTGTAAAAGCTTTCATTTATCCTTGAAATACCTACTGAGCAAGGAACTATGGAAAACAAAGTCCAGCCCAGACAAATTCTGTGCTCGTCAAGATTATAGCATGACACAGTAAAAATGCTTATGTTAGAAAGTGAGCTCATACTGCACACGGAGAAATAACATGGAAGTGTAACAGTGGGAAAACTTATTTCCAGCTGGAAATGACCTCTAAGATGGGTTTTGTGGGACAAGTAGACACATAGAAGCAGGGAAGCAAAACACAGAAAGAAAAAAGATCGGAGACAAAGGCTCAGAAATGGAAAACTTCCAGGCATGTATAAGGAACAGCTGCTAGTTTGGTTAAGCAGAGGAGAAAGCTGGATGTAGTCCATGAGAATTTCCCTAAAAATGGGAAATAAAGCACATTTCATCTCCAGTCTGTCTGTGGTTAAAGCTTTCTAAACACATTGAAACTACTGCTTAATATAAGTTTACAGCAAAAATCCTTTTGAATTTGGAGAACTGCAAGATGTCTTGCTCATATTCCAAATCCTTTCTGCAAATTTCCCAATAAAGAGACGTAAGTTATTGTCTTCCACAGCAGGGATTCTCAACCTCAGCACTATGGACATTATGAACTGAATAATTCTTTGTTGGAAGGTACTGTCCTGTGCATTGTAGGATGTCCAGCAGCATGCCTGGCCTCTAATAAAAGTCAGAAGCACCCCACTCCAGGTACAACAATCAACAATGTCTCTAGACACTGCTAAATGTCCCCCAGAGAACAAAACTGCCCCCAGTGGTGAACCTATGGTCTACACTGAGTCAGTGTTTCAGATGATTGTTCTCCTTGCATAGATGAAGACAGCCAAGTAGGAACTTAAGAAAAAAAAAAAAAAGCCCTTCTATATTCCAAATGCATGGACTCTCTGCATAGAGAATAATTTAGCTCTTTTTATTACTAACTACCGTTTGATGCCACTGTGTTACTTAGCATACAGGAAAAATGGACACAGGCGTCCAGCCATGTATAAATGTGTGCTGCCACTTATCTGGGACTATTAGAATCATCACATACTCCTGATTATTCTTCAGAACTCTTTAAATCACTTATGAAGACTTTGCCTTGGAGTATTTTTTAAATAAAAATAGCAAGTTAACTGCTATTTCCATGCAATACACAAATCAAATTTCAACACTATCAAAGATTACTAGGTCAAGATCATTGGGTAATAAGCTCACCTTTGGCATGAAATAGCAAAAGGGGGAGAAGAAGGGAGAATTGAAATAGATGGTCTTTAAAGGCCTTTGAACTCTGAATTTTTAGTTCAGTTATTTTGCTGGAACACCAGAAAAATCAAGAATAAAACAATTTGTATTGTATCAGCCTGATATTTTCTTTAAAAACTTTTTTATAAGAAAAATGATTCTTTTATATACCCCCCTCAATTTTTTTTCCAAAAATGAATAATATATGCAGGAATACCTAGAATATGTTAAAAGTGTGGAACGTATGTTTCGTTATGAACGATACTGTGAAATCTTTAGATGAGGAACTAGTGCTGTCAAAGTAGAACAACATTTTTTAAAAGTTGCACTAATGGTCAAAAATTATTATTACTACTTTAAAGTATTATATTTGTCTATAAGTTACTTGGGAAATTTATAAATAAGTATAAAGCAATTCATCTCATAATTGTATGTAATTATTTCTGTATTTTTTATCCTAAAATGAAAATGTTTCTGGAGAGTATTGGAATACATGATACAGTACCACTATTACCACTAGATAACAACAGTGCTATTATCGAACACGTGTTCGTTGCAAATGCATTTGTATAAATAAATCAAATCCAAGTAGCATACTTCTATTTTTAAAATTCCTATCCTTAAGATCAAAGAAGTCTATAGGAGAAAGGGACCATGGAAACATTTGTATACGACTAACAGACACTGATTAATGATAAATGCCTGGTATAGTCCATTTTCGTACTCTAAAGTTTCTAAAATCAAAGGTCTGTTTTCTTGACGATTTGTTTTCTAACATCTTTTAGCATCTTCTCTTAAGTAAATATATTGATAATTGAATCTGTTCCTTCAAAGAGTTTAACTCCATGATACACTAATTAATTTTTTTAAATAGCGACTTGGGTAGGGAGAGACATGAAACCGTCAGTCTTTCTCCTAGTTTTATTAAGAAGTTCAGAGTTACTCTATTTTACTCCAAACAACAGCATTTAATTAGTTAACATTAATAGGGTTTCTCCTGGACTACGATGTAGGGAATTTGCAATATTGTGAAAAGGCATCTTCTTCCTCTGGGCCAGATGGCAAAAAGATTTTTTCTCATGCCAACTCCAGAAGTTGACCTAGATTGTGGTGTTAGGAACCATGAAGCTATCATAGGGATTAGCAGGAAAGAGTGTTGGTAGTAATTAGGGCACGAATGCTGTGTTTGCCAACCTCATGACAGATTGCACCTTTTTCTCCCTGGAGTGGGTTCTGAAAGATTAGTAGAAGTTTATTGTAAAGAGCGCGGCACTCTAAACAGAGGAATAGCATGTGCTAAAGCTTAAACCTATATTAGGATGTGCAATGTTTGGAAAACAGCTACCCAGATAGGACTTTGGATAAAGTTTACTAAGAAAGGCACTGGATGAGAGAAATCAGGCAGCTGAGGATGACGATAAAATAAATAGAGGTATAGATCATGAGCATTTATTGTGCAAGACTGCAGCAAATTTTAGGCACAATAAACTCCATTGGGCATGGCTAAAAAGAAATGGAGTGTTTTTGTGCAATAGTTTCCATAAATATATCATGCATACATTACCAATTTCCAAATACCTAAATGCTCACAAACCCATCTCTTACTCGAAGAAATTCTATAAACTGACCTAGACACAGTGATGAATTCATGGAACTAATCTCTCAAGTAAGGAGCTAATATATATAAATATATATATATATATTATATATAAAAGACTATTTTTGGAGCAGATTTAGGTTAACAGAAAAATTACAAAGAAGGTAAAGAGAGAGTTCCCACATACCACCCTGCACATACACAAGGTTTCTCCTGTTATTAACATCTTGCCTCAACGTGGTACATTTGTTACCACTGAGGAGCCAATATTCTTACATTATTAAAGTTCATAGTTACATTGGGGCTCACTCTTTGTGTTGTACAGTTCTATGAGTTTTGACAAACGTGTAACGTCCTGTGTCCACCGTTACAGAATCATACAGAATGGTGTTGCCGCCTTAAAAAGTCCCTGTGTTCCACCTATTCATCCCTTCCTTTCTCCTCCTAAACTGTTGGCAAACACTGATCCTACTATCTCCAGTTTTGCCTTTTCTAGAATGTCACATAGTTGGAATCACGCAGTATGTAGCTTTTTCAGACTGACCTCTTTTATTTAGCAATATACATTTAAGGTTTCTTCGTGTCCTTTTGTAGCTTGATAGCTCATTTCTTTTTAATCACTAAATAATACTCCATTACATGGATGTATCACAGTTTATTCATTCACAGATTGAAAAACCACTTGGTATTTCCAGCTTTGAACAAATATATGAATAAAGCTGCTACAAACATTTGTGTGCAGGTTTTTGTGTGGACGTAAGTTTTTGTTCATTTGAATAAGTATAATGTTGTATCATTTGAAAAGCTGTGGTTACCATTGTAAAAAACTGCCAGACTGTCTTCCAAAGTGACTGTACCATTTTGCATACCTATCAGCAATGAATGAGAATTCCTGCTTGTCGTTCCACATCCTTTCCAACGTTCAGTGTTTTCAGTGTTCTTTTTTAAAACTTTAGCCATTCTAATAGGTATATAATGATATCTTGTTTTAATGTGCAATTCTCTAATCACATATATTAATAATCTTACCATCTGTTTATCTTCATTGATGACATATCTGTTCAAATCTTTTGCTCATTTTGTAATTAGGTTATTTTCTTATCATTGAATGTTAACAGATCTTTGTATATTTTGGATACAAATCCCTTTTTCAGAATATGTTTTGCAAATATTTTTTCCTGTGGCTTTTCATTCTCTTAACAGTGACTTCCTCAGAGCAAAAGGTTTTAGTTTTAATAAAGTCCAATTGATCCATTTTTCTTTTCATAGATCATACTTTGGTCACCTGAATTTTCTTATCTTTTAGAAGCTGTATAGTTTCACAGTTTACATTTAGTTCTATAATCCATTTTGAGTTAATTTTTGTGAAAAATTTAAGGTCTGTTTACAGACTCATTTATTCGCATGCAGATATTGTTATACCAGCACCCATTTGTTAAAAAGACTATCCCTTCTCCATTGAATTGCCTTTGCTCCTTTGTTAAAGATCAGTTTCCTATATTTGTATCAGTCTATTTCTGGGCTATTCTGTTTCAATGATTTATTTCTTTATTCTTTCATTGATACCACACTGTCTTGATCACCGTAGTGGTAGTAATCAAGGATAGTGTCAGTTTTCAAAAACTTTATTCTTCCACTTCAATATTGTGTTGGCTATTCTGGTCTTTTGCTCTCCATATACACTTTAGAATCAGTTTGTCAATATCCATAAAATAACTTGCTGGAATTCTGAATGGGATAGTATTGAATCTGTAGATCAAACTGGGAAGAATAGATATCTTAATAATATAATATTAAGTCTCCCTATCCATAAATGTGGAACATCTTATTTCATTCAGATATTCTTTTATTTCCTTCATCATAGCTTCATAGTTTTTCTCACATAAATCTTGTACATATTTTGTTAGGTTTACACCTAAGGTTTTTGTTGTTGTCATTGTTTTTGTTTTGTTGGCACAAATGTAAATGGGCTTATGTTTTTAATTTCAAATTCTGGTTGTTCACTGCTATATATAGGAAAGCAATTGACTTTTTGTAAAACTTTGTATCCTGCAACATTGTCATAATCACCTATTTAAAAAAAAAACTTAATCAGTTCTTTGAGATTTTATACATAATCATATCATTTGTGAACAAAGATAGTTTTATTTATTCTTTCTCAATCATCTTTTATTATTCTTGTTTTATTGCATTAGCTAAGACTTCCAGTGTGATGCGGAATAGGCATGGTAAGAAGGAACATCCTTGTCTTGTTCCTGATCTTAGGGGGAAAGCATCTAGTTTCTTACCATTATGTCAGCTATAGGTTTTCTATGTTCTTTATCGCATTAAGGAAATTCCCTTCCGTTCCTAGTTTTTATCATGATTGAGCGTCGTATTTTGTCAAATGTGTTTTCTGCACTTATTGATATATTCACATTTTTCTTTAGCTAATTGATGTGATTACATTGATTTCTGAAACTTGAACCAACTTTGCATACCTAGAATAAATCTCTATTGGCTGTAGTGTGTAACTGTTTTTATACATTGTTGAATTCAATTTGCTAATATTTTGTTGAGAATTTTTGTATCTGCTCATGAGAGATACTGGCCTATAACTTTTCTTCATAGTAATTGTCTTTGCCGAATTTAGTATTGGGTAATGCTAGTCTCACCCGATTAGTTAGGAAGTATTATCTCTTCTATTTTCTGGAAAAGACTGTAGAACATTGATGTCATTTCTTCTTTAAATGTTTGGTAGAATCCACTAGTAAAACTATTTGAGCTTGGTGCTTTCTGCTCTGAAAGGTTATGGTTGATTTAATTTCTTTAATAGATCTAGGGATATTTAATTATCTGCCTATTAATTACACCTGCCACTGTAATGATCTCTTATTTCTCCTGTGTGAGCTTTGGCCAATGATATTTTGAAGTATTATTTCCATTAGGATTAAGTAAATATTCAAGATGATGACTACTATGAATTATTCAAGTCATAAAGAAGTCCTTGCGTATTAGGAGTTAGTTAGAAAAAATTTACCTTTGCTACCGGTAAAGGTTCTAATAAATTTGATTGCATATATTTAATCTACTCAAAAACTAAGTTCAGATTTGATTGCTGAAAGAGGCATAGAAATTTATTTTAAATTGACAGTGCCAAACAGAGCAACAAATTAATGAAACATCAACAACAGTGAGAGGCTTTTCATGTTTTCTTACAATCCCTTTTAAGATCAGAGAACATTTTTTCCCCAAAAATTTCAAAGGAAGAGTCAGAGCCAAAGCATTTTGAAAAGAAAAAGAGTTTACTTGAAAAGGTTCAAGGGAGTCAGACTTCAGAAAAACTGGATAAGCAAGTGAAAAATATAACAGGTATTTAAAGAAAAATATAAAGAAGATTACCATGATTACTAAGTTTGCATTAATTTGTTCATGGAGAAAAAACAAAATCTTATCACATGATGATCATATTCAGAAAGATCTTGCAACATGAGCTAAATAAAAGTCAAGAATAAAATGGTGTTTGCTGGGGATCTGGGATTATAAGAAATACTCAATGTTTCATTATTTTGGGACCAGAAATTGACAGGGTAACGCTGTTATTTTTGGTTAATCTTAGGGTACAAGGTGCTTCATCATGATGGAAACAAACAGGGCATGATTTCTGCTTTGCTTCCAGAAGCATAAAGCAAATGTCACTACTACAAAATATAGATAGGATATTTCTTATAACTCTAATCACTGTTGTAAGTAAATAAAAATCCAAAGTCAAATCATAGACTCTCAATTACCATGGTTTTTACACATTTCTACCATCCCTTCCTGGTGCACTGTATTGAGCCATACTGAGCTATATTTTTCTACTTCACAACTTTTCACTTACGGGAAGACAGCTATTGTCCCCCACACCACCCTAATGTGGGCAAGAGGACCACTTGACCCTCATATATTTAACACTCTTGACCCTCATATATTTAACATTCATAATTATGTATTGCCTAAATACTCACTGTTGTAGTCACTGAAATGCCTGTGAAATAATTTTTAAAACTGTATTTACAAAAGAAAGCCTATTTCTAGTAATGGTGATGGAAATTAAGAGAAAATATAGACATCTATAAAAGTGTGATGGTTCTCAATGACAAAATATGATTTATGAAACAAATGGCTAAAATCCTAAATCTTTTGCATGTTTGTACTCAGGAATTCTCTCTCTGGTGAGATGTGGCAGCTTTTTCCTTCCCCTCCCTCTTACTCCTCCCCATCTCCCTTCTTCCATTCCTTCCTTTCCTTTTACATTTTAAAATAAATGAGGGTGGGAAGACCTGTACATACAAACCCATACATGTACCTATACCTCATCTTCTTAGAAGGATTTTAAACTCTGATTCTTCCATTATGTTCACCATCCTTCCTTAAAAGTCTAGCTATAAGGGATAAATGTCAGTGTCCAAATGTCCAAAATCTAACATAATATCTCATAATTATGATAGGTACTTGATGCTAGGAGAAATAAGAGATTTGACAGTGATAGGTGAGAAAATGTCCTGATATACAATTTTGACAGTACATGTAGGATACTCAAAAGGAATTACGCCAATTCGGGTTATAATTCTTTCTAGTTATGAAGAATATATTATTTCTGTTAACATACATAATCTAGAAGGCAAGCACGGGCTTTTGAAGGGTCATAGAAAAAAAAAATGACCAAATCCACTGAGGACAACTTGGTGATAACATTTTCTCTTTTTCATTTCAAAGGTGTCCTTGAATGGCCATTTTGGACAAAACTGGTTGTGGTAGCCATTGGCTTCACAGGAGGTCTTGTCTTCATGTACGTACAGTGTAAAGTCTATGTTCAGTTGTGGCGCAGGCTGAAGGCCTACAACCGTGTGATCTTTGTACAAAATTGCCCAGACACTGCCAAAAAACTGGAGAAGAACTTCTCATGTAATGTAAACACAGACATCAAAGATGCTGTGGTAGTGCCTGTACCACAAACAGGTGCAAATTCACTGCCATCTGCAGAGGGTGGCCCCCCTGAAGTTGTATCAGTCTGATGGAACCTGTTGGGAGTTTCTTCACCGAAGAATATCTTTCTAGCCCTCAGCCACTACAAATGACAGAAGTGATCTTGAATTATTTACTCCCTTCAGCTCCTCCTTTCTCCTACTGACACATTTTTCCTGACTTTGTTCAAAGAGGAAAGGAGAAAAACAAACAGACCAAATGCCCAGGAGCCCATGAAGTAATAGCGTAAAGTAAAGTATGATATGGAAATGTGAAGTTTGCAAGAGAATGATTTCCAAGACAATTAAGAACTACTGGGGCAATGAATGCTTTTAGGCAGTAATCAAAGATTAAATGGACCCATGATACTCTTCTTCACAGTAACAGGGGAAAAGTTCAAGAATACAGACTTGAATTGCGATGTGTATTACTTCTAGGGCCTTGTAATGTTAACTGTCTCATCTGGAAATAACTAACATATTTGGTTTTAAGCCTGAAATTGTCTGCATTATCCCTAAGTCACATTGGAAGTGAACTTGGAGGATGCATATTTTGATATGCTTTGACAGCTAACAGATTTGTATGGTTTAGTGGAGTCTGGTTATTTTGACAGATGCATGTTTTTTTTAAATAGATGCAATATACATTTGAAGACATTGATATTTGGAATTAATTACGTTTGTTTAAGTCACGCAAAAGATTTTCAGAAAATGTTCGGATATAATTAGCTCTGTTAAATACCCACAGAACTGTTATCAGGTCTTATATTTATTTTCATCTGGTTCCTCTAATACAGTGCTGTCCAATAGAAACACAACAGCCACAAATGCAGGCCACAGATGCAAATATTTAACTTCCCAGTAGCCCTATTTTAAAAAGTAAAAATAAATGTTTGTTTGTTAAAATGAATTTTGATTTTTTAAAAACACTATATGTTATTTCAACATGTCATCAATATAAAAAATTGATTGATTGATTGATAGTTTACATCTGTTTCTTGAACCAAGTTTTCAAAATCCAGTTGGTAATTTAAAAGTACACTTCAACTTGAATTAACTATATTGGATAGCACAGCCGTAAAATTAGAGACTAAGCTTCTGCTTTATTTAACAGTTGTTGAGTATTTCAAAACAGTTTAATTCATTCTTTTATTTCAAAGTCACAAAAGTTAGTTATGATTTTTAAAAGCATTAAATTAAGTGTCCTCATTTTAAAGTCAGATGAAGTTCACATCTCTAAAGGGTAAAAATCCAAAAGTATAGAAAGATAAAACAATCAATCTGCCTATAGCAGAGTTGTGAAATAAATAAATTGTTACTATGAAGTACTTACAATAGGGGAATAAAATTACCTATTTTTGTTATTAAATCAAATGTGTAAGGCTTATTTCATCCATATGAGGTGTCAACTTGACAGATGATGAGTAATTATGACTAAGAATCTAGCCCTTACTTTTAAAAGCTGACAGGATTTCCCTTGCTCAGTTAGAAAACAAAAATATTCAACAGATTCTGTGATAAGTAATTAATCGTTTAGGTTTGACAGTTGATTATTGTGTTCTTTGCATATTCATGTAAAACTGATGTGTGAATGACATTGCAGTGAGCTAGATTAACGGTGATTATAGATACAGTAGCCTGTCAAAGAAAGATGTCCTACATTAAAAAAGGTGACTTATTTTTGTTAGCTGTCATTATTTATTAACATGAAAAGGCAATGATGGCCATAAGAACCAAAGCATGAGTATCACACTGCACAAATCTGGGTATCACATGGATGCACTTTGTAATTATCAGTGTGCTTGTTCTTCACAGATCATAGGAAAAAGGGAAAAAAAAAACAAACCTTTAAATGAGGAGAAAGATGGTATAAATATTAGTAGTGGCTGACACTGAGTCCAGATAGTCTTGATTCCTAGAAATAAACAAAAGGTAAACAATGTCAATTTTGTGTGTGTGTATGGCGTGTGTGTAGTCATGTATATATGCGGGGAAAATGTTAAGGTATTCAGTCAGGAAACAAAAGGTTTAAAACTCATCTTTCTTAAAACTTGTTATAAGCACAGGGAAAGCAAAGTTGAGGTAACTAAACTGAACCAAAAATTCTGTATAAATAAGGATATAAGTAATTAACGTTTTAAAAAACATGTGGACCTTAAACAAACTGTATATTAAATTCCTCTTAAATGCCCATTTTAAATATTTAAGATAAATACATTTATGAATAACAAATCTGTGGGTGATTTAACCATGGCACCATATCCAAGGGATTAACCTTAATGCAATTTTCCTGTTAATTGTCCTAAGCTTTTTACTAATCCATTTTCCCTGTGGGTTAGTAATGGCAACATGCTGCTTACAGATATTCCCGGGGAAAAACATCCAGACACCAGCAAACAAAGAAATGTTGATTTCTCTTTTGTTTGCTCTGAAAGTAAAATAATTATTTACTTTAATTAACATGGAAAATATTGTTTAAATTCTGTACGAACCTAAACAAGATACGTTGCAGGGCTGATTTCACAGTGGAGGATGATCGGCTAAAATAAAGCCTCATTTATTAAGGGCTACACTTTTAACACTAAGAAAACATTTCTAGAATAAAAAGCAAAGGTAAGCATTATTCTATTAATAGTAAAAGAGGACATGGGATTTTAAAACTATACCTAAATTCTTGCAATTAACTTTTATGGGCTTGGACATTGTTGAAATGAGAAAATAATATAATATAGCTTCCTGGCAGGTTAAAAGTCAACACTTGATTTTGCTATTCTTCTGACTTTTTGAAACCCTGAAGTTCTGAATTTCAAGCTTTTAAGAAGCTTTTCAGCAATGGTTGTTTGTTTATGGTTCAAACATCTGAAATAACTACCTGCATTTAAAATCTAATGTTGATTATTTTCTTTTTACATTCTGTGTGGCAATGGAACATTTGCCCTTTCAAACAATAAAACGATTTAGCTTTGTGGCAGTGCTTTTTTGTAGACTGACTGACTATACCCTTCAAAAAGAAAAACTGCTCTACGGAATGCAAATTTTGAGGCATGTTTACCTGCTCGTGGAAGAAATAAAATGGAATTGAAAAAAAAAGGACTAAAATTGAAGAATGAAATTACAGTTGTGTTAAAAACCTTGGCTCTTTATAATCATGAATCTTCAGTATTAAACCAGACATTGATGCTGTTAATTTTTTTAAAGAACTATCACTCTTATCGTACAGGAGTAAAGATTAAATTGTAAAAGAAAGAAATTCCAATTTTTTAAAAAGTAAAGCCCAAAAGGCAATTAAGCTTAAGTACAAAAACAAAATAAAAATGAACAAAATCTAAACTAAAGTGAGCCCAACAACCTGAGATACAGCAATGTGTAACCTGAAGGAAGATAGGTGTAGACTGAAGGAGTCTTTCAAAACACCCCAGCATTAAATCTCACTCTGCGCTGCTTCTACACGTGATTATAGTCCCAGACAGACGACCTCATGGTTTTTTATCTTGTTTTACAAAAGGTCCTTGGGTACTCTTTAAAACATCTATTCTTTGGCAGGAAAATTAGCTCATTAGAACAATGACACCATTAAGGGACATTATAAGGGTCCTGGGGCTGAGGTGGGAAGATTTTTCTATCTGCCCCATATAGTTTACCCTTCCTTGCCTTGAAAATGAATATTATAGAACAGAGTACAGCTCTTAAAAGTTATTAGTATCATTATTATTATAGTTGTTATATAATACTTTAATTAAGAAAGATGAAAACCTTTTTTCTTTCCTAAGTCAGCCCAATGGTGCTATTTTACATATCAACACAGTTGAAAGGAAGTACTGTTATTTTGGGCTGCAGTGTTTCCTCCACATCTAAAGAAAGCCCATTTTGAAACTGGATACTGCATTAAAACAAAGAAGGAAAAATTATTTTAACTGTGTGCAGTTTTTGAAATTAGGCATTTGTACTATTTTGGTTTTACATAATTCTCTTGCATTAACAATTTACTGTTTTGTGAATCATGTGTACTAAAGCAAATTAAGAAAAAGAAAATAATTATCTGTGAAAGACTTTGTATATTAAACAAGTGACGCAAACCTTAGTTGTGGTTTCCACAATTTTTGCCTAACAGACTGATATTTGTATTTGCAACATCCAAACACACATACATTTTTTAAGATTTTACAAGGGTCTGAACATATAATTATTTTAAAGCAAACCTACGTTGACTAACTCATGACATGGTACAAATAAATAAATACACAAACAGAGGGAAACCAATGAAAATAAACTATGTGGACTTTCAAACCTGCTTTAAAAAAAGAGTTCAAGAGAAATCACAATGTAATCTAAAGCGGGACTGTCTCAAGAATAAGTCTTGGATATAGAAAAATAAGCATATAACAGCATTTTTCTGTTCAGAGATAATAGTGGATTCAGATAATTGCATGGATAATAAACATTAAAAGCAAGATATTAGAATCTAAGAGGTTTGGTGATAGCAAAAAACAAAGCTGTTTCCAAATGTCCAACTTCTAAGGACCTACAGGGCTTTCTACCAGTCTGCTAATTATATGAGCCAACTCCTCTGCCCAAAATGGAAATCTGAACTTAACACCCTCCCTCACCACCAGAAATTATAGCAAACATTCCTAGATCATTAATCACTGTCATTATGTGTCCAGTGATCCTAAACTGGGTGCTGTGATAGAGATTAACCAAGAGTAGCAAGGGTGTGGGGGTAGAGATGCTTTAGATAGAGAGAACACTTTTAAGCTCAGACCTAAAGGAAGAGAGAACAATCAGTTATTGTTGGCCTTGCAAAAGCTCAGGGGAATGGCAACGCAGGAAGAGGGAATGGTAAGTACCAAAATCCCGAATGGGAAATGTCAAGCAAAGGCTGATGGATTCGGCCAGTAGAGAAACAGGCCCTTGTAAGACTGTTTTATTACAGTCATCCCCCCAGTATGTGTGGAGGACTGGTCCCAGGACCTCCTTCAGATACCAGAATTCATGGATGCTCAAATCCCTGATATAAAAATGGTGTAGTATTTGCATATAACCTATGTATACCCTCTTGTATACTTAAAATCATTTCTGGATTACTTATAATACCTAATACTATGGAAATAGTTGTTACAATGTATTGTTTAAAGAATAATGACAAGAAACAATTCTGCATGTTCAGTACATACTTTTTTTTTTCGGACTATTTTTCATCTGTGGTTGGTTGGATCCAAGGATGCAGAACCCTTAGATAGGGAGGGTCAACTGTACTTACACAGACAGTAAGATGCAAAGGTGCGGCCTTCCCGTATGTCTTGTCCTACAGAAAGACACAAACAGAAAAGGGCCAGATGAACTGGTAGTGCTACATAAGGGGAAGGACACTCTGTTGCTGAGATGCTGAGTCCATGCTGCAGCTAAGTATTATATTAGATTGGTGCAAAAGTAATTGCGGTTTTTGCCATTAAAAGTACTTTTAAAAAAAAAAATGACAAAAACTGCAATTACTTTTGCACCAATCTTGAGTCATTAGTTTTATAGGCTGCAGCTCTATGCTACAGTGACTCGAGGTAGAGTCTCAGAGTTCATCAGAACCCAGGTGATGACAAATTGTCTCACTATCTCCTTCCCAGAAGATCAGGAGGCAAATGATATCCTCCATATCCCCATGCTCTGGGAAGATTATAGGACAGTCTTCCAAGGCTCAGTCAGGTCATCCGCAGCAAAACCCTGCCCAGCTGTGGATCAAGTGGACACACACAAGGCCATCAGGGTGCTGGCAACAGGAGCAAGAACAGTGGCAAGAAGGCCAGTTAAGAAGCTACTGCACATAGGACAGGCAAGACATGGCGACTTTGGTAAGGATGAAAAGTGAGACTGCCTGACACGGGCCAATTTGATTTTCATTTTGGAAGTGGAATCAGAAATACTCGCTAATTAAATTATATTGTGGGAAGGCATAGAAGAGAGAAAGTGAAAAATCAAGGATGATTTTACAGGCAGATTCCTGGCTTGAGAAATTGCGTGAAAAACTTAGAAAAATCAGGTTTCTGAGAAAATAAGGAGTGGGAAACAGAACATAAGTAGTATTTTCCTTTGAAAGGAAAAAAAAAGATATATCCATTAAATCAAAAGAAAGTGGTAATTTGTATTTTCTCAAAGATGTATAAAAAGCCAAGGGCTGAACATTGAGAAGGCTAGTATTCAAGTCAAGCTAGAAAAAAATATAAAAAAGTAGTAAAATAATTATCTCAAAGTTAGAAAATGAACTTAGTAGGGGAACATAATAAGATCACTAAGCAGTACTGAGAATCCACTTGAGATTTGCAAACATCAGTATGAAAATGGTCTGTTTGATATTCTCCAGCGATGTTGAGCTGCGTGAGAACAGGCATGAAGGAAACATAGCTGTTACTTGGTTTGGGTTCTGAAAGAGAAATAACTAGAGTCAGAGACAAGGAATTCAGGGTATATGCAAGGAAGCAACTATGAACTTGAAGCTAAGCTCAACAAGACAGATGATGCGTAATGAGAGTGAGGTCAAAGTGCAGAACTTCAGCAATGAAGAGGAGTGGTGACAGTGAATGGAGAGTGGAATACTCAAAATCAGGTCTACAGAGTGGAGGTGCTGATAAGGATCCAGGTGTGACCACTGAGAGGCCTCTGATGGGACAGAGAAAAAGACTGGAAAACTTAAAACTCATACTGTTGTTATATTTGCTAGCCACTATTTGTTATCCACAAGGAATCACTAAAATGATTGCTGCAGGGGAGAAGAAAACTAGGCCACGAGCTAAAGTATTCTATGAATGGGCAGAAGGTTCTTCTGGGAGGTAAGATAGTAAGGAAAGAAGGCAAGAATAGAACTTCAAAGACCTAAGGGAGAAAGTCTGAAGTGGCAGTAAAGCAAAAAGGACACCTACCCAATCTCCTGCCCCTGAAGCACACAGAAAGTAAGAATAGAAAAAAGCTTCTATTTGAGGTAAGCAAGGTCCTGAAGGGACACCTCTGTCAGTAATTACGGCAAGGAAGCAACTAGGATATTAGAGGAAAAGACCACAGATGTGAGTCAGCTGCTCTGAACTTAGAAATGTATCATTATGTCCATGGAAGTTCAGCTCATTGGTTTAGACAAGGGGTCAGCCAATTATGACAAGCAAGTCAATCCCCTGGCCTATTTTGTATGGCCGTTAACTAAGAATGGTTTTTATATTATTATTTTACTTATTTATTTTTTGAGACAGGGTCTCACTCTGTCACCCAGGTTGGAATGCAGTGGCACAATCTTAGCTCACTGCAGCCTCTGACTCCCGGGTTCAAGCAATTCTCCTGCCTCAGCCACCCCAGTAGCTGGGATTACAGGCATGTAATCACCTGGCAAATTTTTGTATTTTTAGTAGAGATGGGGTTTCACCATGTTGGCTAGGCTGGTCTCGAACTCCTGACCTCAAGTGATCCACCTGCCTCAGCCTCCCAAAGTGCTGGGATTAGAGGCGTGAGCCACCGCACCCAGCCGGTTTTTATATTTTTAGAGGGCGGCAAACAACACACATATGCACACGAATATGCAACAGAAACTACATTTGGCCTATAATGCCTAATATATTAATATTTACTTTCTGGCCTTTTATAAAGAAAAAGTTTGCCAGTCCCTAGTTTACAAAAATAAGTTACCTTTACTTTGTTCCATGGCCATGAACTATAGACGTTGTCTTACAAAAATATGCCACTGACTTAAAAGTGGTCTAGATGAAGGGAGCACAAGTTATCACCCCAGAAAGAACATGTTCAACAGGCAAGGAGTAAGAACATCTTAAGCATCACTCTAAAGACAAGTTATCTCTGAGGCTGCTTTGATCCAACTAGGAGTGACATGATTATTATGGTCCTAAATGTTATATGCATTCATTCAGCAAATACTTACCTAGTTTCCCGGCAGTGTAGCTTGTTAGTTGTAATCTTTGCTTTGACAACACATGGGAAACTAGAAACAAATGTTTAAGAAGGAGGACAATCTGTCACTTTTCACAAGTTATTCATCTAACAGTAGGGGCTTTTAAGTGTCAGTCCAGATAAAGCAGTTCTTATTCTCTTTAATGCAATTTATGACTCAGTTTTTACAACCATTTTAAGACTACGAGCCAAAAGGGAGAGAGAAGGAAACTTTCAGACATTAACTACTCATGGAATCCTAAAACCACACTTTTACACAGATTACTAACTAATCAACATGTTACATCACTAAAAAAAAAAAAAAATTAGGACTGTAAGAAATGAAATTGCAGAAATAAATTTTATTTTTAATTTTCAGAAGTAAAAAAAGTTATAATACTTTAACTGTTAACAAGGCTTAGTTGATATCCAGTTAACCTAATACTGCATTAATGTTTTTATTCTTTTCTTGAAAATACTCAAATACACCTACATTGTGCTCTTTTAAAAAAAAAATAAGGATACTTACATTTAAAAAGTTTT
The DNA here is from genome assembly GCF_000001405.40 of Homo sapiens. Lineage (NCBI taxonomy): Eukaryota > Metazoa > Chordata > Mammalia > Primates > Hominidae > Homo > Homo sapiens. The sequence continues at coordinate 163,520,338 of NC_000004.12, read as the reverse complement.
TTGAGGAAGAAAATTGTACAACATTCATGTTTTTCATGACACTGAATGATATATCAATTTATCTCTTAGAAGAAAAAGTAGCATAATTAAAATCACTGGTTCCCTAATCTTCAACTCTCTCTCCACAAATAAAACCTACCTCTTTTCACAATAAAAAAGCAAAAAATAATATACAATCAAAAGGAGCTAAACTGAAACTCTTTATCCCCTTTGTCAAAAGATAAATTAATTGTGGGAGATCAACATAACAATCATCACTGATTTTTTTTCTTTTACCATTTAGCTCTGGTTCAAAAGATAAATAATAATCTATAATCCAGAAATGTATACAAACTTCTTATCACATTTTCCCTTATTCTGTAAAAAAGGAAAATAGGTTTAATGTTTAAAAGAAGCATTAGTGTGATATTATTACCGAAAAACAATTTTGCTATTATCACAGCTCAAAAAGTACCCACAGGAATCTTTCAGGAAACAGGTTACTGTCCATTTCACAAAACGTGAAATTAGGTGATCATAAATACACAAGAAAAACAAAACATTTTTTGTCCTTAGTTATATTGCTCCCTCCCAGCCTGAAATTCAGATGAAGACTAAACAACTTCTGCAGATCACATCTATCTATTTTAGCAACTTAATGGAAATGAAAAGCAATCTTCATTTTAAAATAAGTATCATAACACCATTTTTGAAACGCAAATGAAACTCTCATCATATAAGAGAATGTCAGTATCAAATTTTTGTATCATGACAATTAGGTACCATAATCAATGAATATAATTTGAAGCTCTCAAATTATTTATTTTCAATTCAAGTGAAGACAATTAGGCCACTGCAGTCATTTCCTCATCTGAATCACTTGATTCATCGTTTAGTTCCAATTCCCCCAAATCTTGGTCTACAGTTATAATAGTTTTCCTCTTGCACGTCTTGGGAATTGCATCATTAGCGCAAATTTTTCTCATTTTAATGTTTGGTAATTTCTTCAGATCAAAGTCCCATTCCCTAGACAAAAGGAAAAAAAAAAAAGAGTGCAGAGTGTTGGTAAGAGTTAATGTGGAAAAACAGGAGATAGTAAATTTTCGAAACTCTGAGGATCCTACATATTCAAAACTTCAAAAGCGTTAAAGGAAAATATTAGGCACAAATTACTAGAAAGCTGTTCTATTCTTTCATCCTCTCTAACCTGAGTATCTCCTTCTCTCATGCTACCCAGATCAAGAATTGCAATCAAAAGTAGGAACTGTATCATACCTGACAAATCTCCAAAATACAGTCAGAAGAGGTTTTCCTTTTCACACACAGAAGTACATCCCAGTTAAGTTTCAGTAATCAACTGTTATTCTTATAATGGAAAATTTTCAGTTTTTCAACCTCAGTATTGTATTAATTACTTTAGACGTAATGTGAATATTATTTTGGGAACTGAACTCTTAACCAGAAGGCTATACTCATCTCTTTTCTTGTTTCTGGCTTTGGAGGAGGTAGAAGATATATTGTTTTAGAAATAAAGAGCATATTTATATATTTAAGATTACAGGCAAAATAAAATTAAGGTATAAAAAGAATCTTAACTCCACATACTTAAATTATAAATACATGCTATACATAAGCTCAAAAGTGAACTGCACCTTAAACATGATAGATGAATTCTATTAAAGCTAATTTAGTTTCAATGAATTCAAAAGTATAGACAATGACTGGATTTAAATTTACCTAATTTCAATTAACATTAAATATAAGACCCCTCAACATGGTCTAGTTAAGACCAAAATGATTAATAAAAATCTATGTTTAAAAACTAAAAAACTGCTTGTTGATTCATTTGTTTCTTATAGATTCCAGATATTAGGCCTTTGTTGAATACAAACAATTTGAGAATATTTTCTCCCATTCTATAGGTTGTCTATTTATTCCCTTGACAGTTTATCCTGCTGTGCAGAAATTAGGTCCCATTTGTCAATCTTCGTTTTTACTGCAATTGCTTGAGGACTTAGCCATAAATTTTTTGTCAAGGCTGCTATCAAGAAGGGTATTTACTAGGTTTTCTTCTAGGATTTTTACAGATTATCCTAAGTGAACTAACACAGAAACACAAAACCAAATACTACATGTTCTCACTTATAAGTAGGAGCTAAACATTGGGTACACAAGGTCATAAACAAGGGAACAATAGACACTGGGTAATACAAGTTGGGGGAAGGAAAGGGGTAAGAGCTAAAAACACCACGTACTGGGTGCTATGCTCACTACCTGGGTAGATTCATTCTTACTCCAATCCTCAACATTACACAGTACACCTTTGTAATAAACCTACTCATGTACCTCTGAATTTAAAATCAAAGTTGAAAAAAGAAAAAAAAAAAACCTAAAAAATCGAAATCCTACTCGGTAGTTTCCCAGTTTACAAAAGAGTACAACTAGAAACCACTGGACAAAGCGGGTCTTGATGACTTAACCTGTTCCCTGGAGTCATTCCTATAACCATCTTCTCTGCAAAAGAGGCTGCTACAGAACAGCCTGGGGATATGACTCTGAGCCATCACGTCTGTTGCTGTTACTTCTTTTTTAAAAAAATAAAACTGGGGAGGAATAGTGAGATCACATACTTTGAGGTACTATAACAATGTATCTTAAACCATTTTGAAAAACAAAAAGCACACCAGGTTACCATCCTGTTGGTGCAGATCAACTGTTTGTACGCCCAACTTCAGAAAATTCTTACTTGGTCAGATAAAAAAGAAAAGGTTAAAAGAAACCCGATTTTCTTTTAGTTCTACCGGCTAGACTCAAAGGGGAAGAAAGTTCACCTGTCAGGTACTTTACACACAGCTTCAGGGGAACAATACAAGACAGACTCACCTAAATGTTTTCAGATTACTTGCATTTAGAATGTCTGGAATCTCTGGAAAAGAAAGTAATTTATCTCCATGAGGCAATGTTTTCTAAATCACATAATTTTATGTACAACAAATAATAATTTTTAGCAAGAATATCCAACAGAAAACAAAATTTCGAAGTATTGCTGTAATTAACATGAAAAATTTGCAAAAGGGGTTAGTTTAAGATGACTTAAGAAAAATCCTATTAAATGATAAATTCTAGCATAGAATCCATGAAATAAAACAAAGCTATTAGGCCAGGCGCGGTGGCTCATGCCTGTAATCCCAGCACTTTGGAAGGCTGAGGCAGGTGGATCAGGAGGTCAGGAGATCAAGACCATCCTGGCTAACAAGGTGAAACCCCATCTCTACTGAAAATACAAAAATTAGCCGGGCGTGGTGACGGGCACCTGTAGTCCCAGCTACTCGGGAGGCTGAGGCAGGAGAAAAAAAACAAAACAAAACCAAAGCTATTAACAAAATAAACCCTGTCCTTTTTTAACAATAAAAGGTACCTGGCAAAGTATAACTGTCAATTCACTAAAATAACATGCCAGGTTGTATATTTTTTCTTCGTGAAAAGTACAATGTTTTCAAACGTATAATCTGCCTTCACAAGGTAGAATTTATCTCAGGAATGCAAGAATTAATGTTTAAAAAAATCACATTTTTCCAAATGTGAAAAAAAGACTTTTTTAAATTAAAAAAAAAATTTTGCTTAAAGAAGTTCAATAAAACTTAAATCCATTTTTAATAAAAACCAGGTATATGGTAGTTCTTTACCATATTTCAAAAGTTCCATCATAAACCAATATGCATGATACACTTAAATTGGTGAAATACAAGAGGCATGAACAACAAAAACTGGAAGGCTGCTGCCAATATCTGGCCAATTCAATACAATGTTAAATGAAATTTAGTATCAAGTAATAAAGAAGATAAAATAAGCATGTTTGCTACAACTGTCTATTGACTTTTTCAATAGTTTCAGAGAATAACAGTATGAGGGGCTAGGTGTTAAAAAGTATAAATAAGCACAAAAACAATTTGTAAAGGAATCTTAATGAATCAGAAATAGTTACACCACATAAGGAGGGGAGAGGGGATGGTTCTATCTAGTCTTCTCAAAATCTTATCAAAACAGAATTTGGTGACAATTTCCCCAAAGGGAAACGGACACCTGCAAACTCATCAGAGTCTGTTCATCAGACCCATCCCCTGATTCTGGGAAAAGCACTGCAGCACAGCAGATCTGAGTTTTAGTCCTAGCTGTATCACCAACAAATGGTTTACTTTGGATGTGCTCTGATAAATACTGCCAACTCATCTGGCTGCTACATGTTGAACAGACTTTAGCAGGAAAGAGTGGAGGTACAGAGAGCAACTGGGAGGCTATTACCATAGTACAGGTGAGACGATAGTGGCCTGAACCAGGGAAGTGGGAGATGGTAGTAGTAGTAGTCAAAGTCATCAGATTCTAAACGCTTTGCTGACGGGTTGGATGTGGACTATGAAAGTGACTGTAGAGTTTCTGATCTGAGCAACTGGGCAGGTGGTAATGCCACTGACTGGAATAAGAAACCTGCAGGAGGAGCAAGTTTTAGGAGAAAAGCTGGCCTTTGTTTCATGACATGTCAAGTCTGAGATGCCCAAAAGACATGCAAGTAGAGAGTTTGAGAAATCCATATGTGATACTGCAAATTTGGAGTTCTGGAGACAAGTTAGGGTTGACAAGATCAATGTGAAAGTAATCAGTATTACTATCACGGTAAAAAAGACATGATGTCACATCACTGTCACAAACTTGATAGTTTTGTTGGGAATGTAGGGGAAAAAAAAAGAATCCAAAATTTTTCTAAACCCTCACAAAGAAAAAGACATCAAAGGAAGAAAATCAAATGAAATAAACAAGATCTAAAATAAAACCTTTGAAATCAATCACAAATTGATACTGCTATGTCATATAAAAGGAAAATAAAAAATCAGTGAGCACACCAAGGCCATATCCCTCAAACTGCTGTCGCTCCCGCTCCATCGTCTGCTTGATGACGGTCTCCCGGGAACAGTGCCGCCTCCCCTGCCTGTCCCTGATACTGTTATGTAACTCAATCTGCTCCAGCTCACTGCTGAATCGATTTAAGTACCTGAAAAATACGAAAATGATTTGTGTTACATACAAAGTATATGTATTGGGCTTACATTACTTAATGGAAAACTTAGTATCCAGCCTTCATGTGGCCTTTAAATGTTTATGTTTCTCTGAGTTCCTCAGGTCCTCAAACCTCTTTTACCCATTCCCTGGATAACTCGACCATTTCTTTAACTTCAGTGACCAAATCGCAGCCTTCTATCAAACTGCAGACCCTCACATTCAACCACCATCTCAATCTGGATGTCCCCTAGTGGCTTCACCGTTAGCACATCAAAACTGAACTTGTCATCACCCTGTCCCCACCTACCCCCCACCAAACCCCCTCCATCTCCTGGGTTCCCTATCTCAGGAAACAGTTGTCCAGACGAGGAATCTGATGGCTTCCTTGACTGCTCTCTATCCCTTTTATTCCACACCTAAGTTTTCACTGAACACTGAGACTTCTACCTTCTTAATTTCTTTGGAATCTTTCACTTCTTTATCAGGCTATGAGCCAAGCTGAGGCCACCATCATTTCTGGCCTGGATTGTTACAGCAACCTTTCAACGGTTTCCTGACCAGAGTCATGAACCTCTCAGTCTGTTTTCTTCATTCTCAATGTGTCCCTTCTAATGTTAAGTATGATCATTTCAGTTGCTTGCTGTAAAAGCCTCCTGTGGTTCCTAATGTCCTTGGATAAGGTCCCAACTTTTAGACTGACATCTGAGGTCTTTCATGAGCTAGCTATCACTTATTGTACCTGCCACAGTTCCCTCCTTCAACTTATTTTAGTCATATTAAATGTCTGGCAGATCACTAAATACGTTATCTTCATTCTCACTTCTGGGCATTTTTAAATATTCTTCTTTCTTGCTAGGGGTTTTTCAAACTACCTTGCCTCGATCTGCTAACCCCCACCTTTCAGCTGCCAGTTTAGATGACACTTCTCCAGGAAGCCCATCCTGATCCCAAGAAAGTGGCCTAACTACCACTCTGAGACCCAAATAGGTTACAAACCTCCTATAGTGACTAAGCCAGGAAATAGTCTTCCTGATAACAAAGCCCATTTGCTCTTCTGCAAATCCGTAACAGAGCTCTGTGTCTTAAAGAACCAGGCTGGACAATTCCCTTTTCTGACCCTTTGCTCATAATATGCCCAGTGTTTACCTTTCAATTAGTTCACAAGCATCTTTCTTTGAATATCTCTTTTTTTGGGGATCAAGATGATTTTGAAACCATTGCAGTTTTTCACCTATAAACAACAAGTACCAAGACAGTTTACCCCACAAGTCATCATTTAAGCAAGTAAATATTCATTATCATTTTCAACATTAACGTGTTTAAAACAGAACCAAAATTTATGTCAATGTTAAACATAAAGCCTTGTGTGGGCTCAAAGCTAATTAAACCAGTCTGTCACAAATTAAACTGTCAGATTTTAATTTAGAGAAGAAAGAGGAGTGGGAGGGATGCGCTTCTGTATATATTTCTTATCCAATATGGATGCAAAAAAGGAAAATGATTATTTAGTCGAGCTTGAACTTCTAAGTATTTAAAAGCAAAGGACAGCTTGTCAAAAATAATAAAATGAAAACTCCATTAATGATGAGAATGATATTTGCTGAGTATTTAATAAGCTGTAGGCACTATGTAAATAGCTTTATAATCCCATGAGAATTAGTACTATTATTACCCCCATTTGTAGATGAGAGATGTTAAATGACCTGTCCAGGGCCCCAAAGTTAGCAAATACATTAAGCATATAAGAGCTGCCAGGTACTGTGTAGAGTAATTGATATATATTACCAAAGAGCCAACAAAATTCACCCTTGTGAGTAAACCTGACCGTCAGGGTCACTTTCAGTTAGATTTCTCAAGATTACAGATCAAAAAAAATCACCCGGCCCTGTACAATGAGATCCCATTTAAAAATACTATTCTATTACCTGATGAAGCATTGATGGGAGTTCAAATACCTTTAATTTTAATAAAAGAGCCTAACAGTCAGTATTTAAATCTCAGATTTGTGAGTAAAAAATTATTAGCAATAAATCTGACCAAAAAAACAGTGACATGACACTGAGATACAAACTGAAGATGTGTATGTCCACATCATTAAATAAATATGAATTGTGGTTTCTACCTAGGCCATAATCCTTCATAATTCTAATGGTTAGGGAGGTAGAGTTAAACATCAGATAGATGGACAGATGGATATGAATGTTATGTGTAGACAGGTAGGTAGGTAGATAAATATAAACTAACAGTTTCTGGAAAACTGAGCTAGAAATCATTAACACTGTTTATTCCAAAAGTTTAATGATTGATTTGCTTTGTTTAGATCAAGTCTGATCAAATTCACTTTGATAAAAACAGTATTTCACTAAAAGAGTAAAAAGAAAAACAAGTATAGGGCAGAAATGCCCTATACTCTAGCCAGAGTTTCAAATAAGTAAACCCACTTACCAACAAGGTTGAGACGCAAGGCCTTTTCATTCTTCAATCTTTGAAGGAAAGGTAAATATATGTGTTAGAAAATTTCCAAAGCAAGTTTTAAAACTCTGACAATAACAACGAAAAGAAAAACTGCCTAAAGAACTCTAATTAAAAGGTCATTCTTTTACAAATTTGAGAATAATTTTGTTAACAGAAACATTAAATACTATGCTTCTCTTTTGAATCACTAGAATTTTATCAGAAACTTCCTTTAAGCACCTCAATGTCTAAAGGAAGCCTATAGAACAAACCAGTTTTGAAAACACAACTGAAAGCTTTTCTGAATTGTGAACATTCAGATGGGTTCTGTAATATGCAGAATACTTGAGCACAAGAGTAATGCAAACCTTCTGGAAGACTGAGTACTGCCACCAAGATCAAAATGCACTACTGTCATCTTTTAAATTTCAATAAGAACAAAACAGAATGGTTACTTTCAATGAATTTGAAAAGAATTATAACAAACAAAAATTTCATCTATGCTCAGAAAGTGTATAGGTAACACATGCCTCCTATTACTGATATTCTAAACACTTACTCATTCAGGAGACCTCTGGATACCAAGTCTTTGCCAGACTTTAGTTTCTGATAGCCCCAAAGGATACAGCCATGAACAAAAAAAATTCACTGTCCCTGTCCTGAAAAACCTTAAAATCTAAGGGCAATAAAAACATGGAGAAGCATACAGAGCTATAAAAGCATATTTAAAAAGCACCTACCATATGTTTTAGGATTTGGGAAGGTTTTCCAGAGAAGTAAATTTTAAGCTGAGACCTGAACATACAGAGAAGTTATTCAGGATTAAAAAAAAAAAAAGATAGGGACTACGGGAATGGTAAAAGAAAAATCTTAGCCATAGGAGAAGGCTTTGTATAAAGCAGGAAGTATACATGGCTTTTATCCACAAAGAAGTAAGCAAACCAGATTTATCCTCCCATTTTACACAACTAGAAAACTGGAGAAATAAAATGAAATCTTTTGTTATTATTATCATTATTATCATTAGAGACAGGGCCTCACTGTGTAGCTCGAGCAGGACTGCAGTAGTGCTGTCATTGCTCACCACAGCCTCAAACTCCTGGGCTCAAGCAACCATCCTGCCTCAGCCTCCCATGTAGTTAGGACTACTGTTATATACCACCATGCCTGGCTACTTTTTTTTTTTTTTTTACTTTTATTTTTGTAGAGACAGAGTCTCACTGTGTCACCCAGGCTCGTCTCAAACTCCTGGCCTCAAGCGGTCCTCTCACCTTGGCCTCCCAAAGCACTGGGATTACAAGGATGAGCCACCATACTAGGCCAAAACCTTCTTTATATAAAATTTTTAAGTTACAGATTAGGAGAAAATATTCATAACACAAATAACAAAGGACTTGTATCTAGAATATATAAACAGTCCTTACTACTTAACAACAGATTAACCCAGTACCAAAAAGGCAAAAGATTCGGACAGATTCTCCATCAAGAAAACACAAATGACCAAAAAGAACCTAAAAAGATGCTCAACATCATTAGTCATCAAGAAATGAAAATTAAAACCACACTGAAATACCACTATACACCTACTAGATTGGCTAAAATTAAAGAGAAAAAAAAAACCCTGACAACATAACATGTCAAAGAGGATATACAGCAAATAGAACTCTCATACTCTGGTGGTGAAAATGTAAAATGGTACTATCACTTTGAGAAAGGTAATTTCATATATACTTAAATATACACCAAATGATCCAGCAATTCTTATATACCCAAATTCTCATATACTTAAGCAAACATCTTAAGTGTGTTAACCTAACGTCTTATAAACTGAATTTCTTATAAACTCAAACATCTACCCAACAATTATAGTTCTAGGAAGTAAAAGAAAAATGAAAACGTATGTCCACACAAACACCTGTACATGAATGTTTTACAGGAATGAACTTTATTCCTAACAGCAGAGGTTGACAATATTTTCTTCAATGGTCAAGTAGTCACATTTTAGGCTTTGGGGGCTGTGTACCTGTAACAATTACTCAGCTCTGCCACTGCAGCATGAATGCAGCTATAGAAAACACAAAAGGAACCAGCATTGATGTTTTCCAACAAAACTTTTCGTAATAACAGGTGGCTAATGCCTTAGCTTGCCGACCTCTGATAACAGCCAAAAATGAAAATATAACCAAACGAACATAGACAGTGAATGGATAAGCAAGGTGCATATCCAGTGAATGGATATAAATAAATTGCCTGAGGATGGAATAATACTCCCAATAAAAGGAAAGAACAACTAATACATAAAATGACATGGATAAGTCTCTCAAACATTATGCTACGTGAAAGACGCTGGCACAAAAAACCACATACAGCATGATCCCATTTATATTAAACATTAGAAAGATAAATCTCACCTATCAAAATAAAGAGCAAATTAGTGGCTGCCCGAGGCTAGGGGTAGAGGGTGAGGACTGACTGGGAAGATACACAAGGGAATTTTCTAGGAAGATGAAATTGTATACTACATACTGATCAGGGTGGCTACACCAATGTATACAATTGTCAAAACCCAAAAACTACACTTAAAATGTGTTCGCTTTATTATATATTAATTATACCCCAAAGTTGATCTTAAAAAACAAAGAACACTTCATAAAAAGTTGGAGAATGGCTCTGAGGGGAATTTCTTCCTTTTAAATAAGGCTGGAGGGAAGAATCTAGTTAGAAGTCAAGTTGCAATAATTCTGAATGGACTCAGTGGGAACCTGAACTTACAGTGGTATCAGCTGGAATGAAGAAAAGTAGAGAGATGTGAGAATTATTTAAAACAGTACTTGCATGTAAATATGAAAAAATTCTTAAAACAATATGTAAACATGAGTTTTAAAGAGAATCAATAAGATTAATTCTCAAAGGTAGTTGTTTCTGAGATTCTTACCCATCATGCTTAGTTTCCTTTGTTAATCTTCCATTAGGAGTCATTTTCATTTGCTATCTAGAATTATTTGCCAAAATGTTGCTATACTGTGAAATCATAAAACAAAAATCACATCATATCAAAGAGCCACTTGCTGCTTGTAAATTGTTCATTGTCGGGAATGTGCTAGTCTTCAAACCATCCTAGTTCCTGTCATACAGTCCTAAATCAGAGCTTTTCAAATGTTGAAGATAAAGAATATGCTTGAACTTTTACTCTAGCATTGTTATCCACTCCTACAGTATCTTTTCTGAGGTCTGCCAACAGCCATGTGAGGAAGCTTGGAAGCAGAAATTCTCCCTAGCAAGCTCTGAGATGAATGCAGTCCCAGACAACAGCTTAGCTGCAGGCTTGTGAAAGATGCTGGGTCAGAAACACCCAGTTAAGTGGCAACGGGATTCCTACCTGATCCAGAAACTGTGTTTGTTTTAAGCTGCTAAATTGTAGCAGAATTTCTTATGCAGCAACAGTTACTAAAACAACATCTGGTAACTGCTATTCATTTCTAAGAAGCCACAGGTACCCAAGTTCAAGTTGTCCTGTTGGTACCTTCTTCAATCACCTTGCTTAAAGTTGTCCCAACCATCTGGGTATCTTGTCACCAATCATCTTTTGAAATGGGGCAGGGAATCAGCAGCGTTTCAACGTGCCTTTTGTGACCACATTCCCATTTAAAGTTAAGTATGACTCGTGGTTACTGATGCTGCTACTCAAAAAACTGACATCTATAGTGGCCTAAGCCTATGATTTCATAACATAAAATAATGTTAAGTACTATTAAAATTGTATATTTGGTTCTAGAGCCATGACTACTAAGAGAGTGACTTTTTGAAAATAAATTTTAAAAAGGGAAAAAATCCAATCTATTTAGAACATTGTCTAAGCAGAAAAATTAAGTGCTTTCTACTCTGCATTACTAAAATAAAAGTCTTGGCCAATAAACAGAATTTTCTTAGGACAATATATACATATCAGATTAGCATGTTGTTCTGTTTTATTCTTCCATAATTTTTCTATAACGCTAATTCTGTAAATCAATACACAACATGCTGAATATACCTGACAACATACAAACATTGTAGGCTCACGGTCACAATGACAGTGAACCAAGTACTTAATCATATTCTAAAGCAGTTACTTGCTAAAATATTGCATATCATACCACTGGTACTATATGTAAGGTAAGCAGTTCATAGACACAGAATTAAACAATCTTTAATAAAATGGTAAGCACGTTGCTTCCCCTTCCTCCATTTTCTTTTGATCCTTTCACTTTACATTAAGGACAAAAGTGTGGGTTTGTTTTACCAGTCTTCCAACCTTCACCAGATCTTTTCACCAAACATATACAAAAGTTATGTCTCAGCCTCAGACCATTTACAGCAGGTAATAGTATCTATTTGATTTTAAGAGAGAAAAAATATCTCCTTTTTAAAAAATGGTACTTAAGGGAAAATAAATAATAGTATAGGTCAGTGATTCTCATAGTGTGGTCCCTAAACCAGCAGCAACAGCACCAGCATTACCTGGAGACTTGTTGGAAGTGGAAACCCTTAAGCCAGAAACCCAAACCTTCAGAATAGAAAATTCTAGGGGTTGGAACAAACAGTTTTAATAAGTTCTACAGATGTATTTCATGTACTTAAGTTTGCAAAATACTGATATATATGAGAGCAGAAACTGCAAAATCACAGTACTAATAAATCATATTAAAAAGATACAGCAAAAATCATAAAAGTGATGCATAAATAGCTGAAGTTTGAAAACTACTGTGCTAAAGCAAAACTGCTATCATCACAGTAAATCTTTATGTTGAAAAAAATAAAAAACTACCCTGCAGAAAATAAAGAAAATTTGACTCTGCTATCACAACACTTATTTCCTTCTAGCCAAATCACTGTGAAACAGGTAACCTTTACTATATAAAGCTTATCTTAAGCAAAGAATCAACATTTAAAAATATACTGGCTTCCATTATCTGGTATGCAAATGTATCTAACATTCATGAAAATGGCAAGGGCATTCTAAAATAGTCAAAACGATGATGTTTATTTGAACTTCACTTCATTTTAAGGAATCTTTGAAACAGCCTTCTTTCTCCTCCTTCTCAGTCTCACTTGTGGAATGCTCCTTCTTTTCCTAACCTCTAAATGGTAGAGGGCCACTGAACTCAGTAATTGGCTCTCTTCTCTTTCCTGTCAACAGTTACTCCTTAGGTGAACTGATCCTATCCAGTCTCACGGCTTGAAATCCCACATGGATGCTGATCGCTCCCAAATTTGTGTCAATACCCCTAACCTATTCTCTGAACACTAGACTCAACATATCTAACTATCCATTCCATATCTCCTCTTACATGTCTCATGGGCACTTTAACCTACATGCCTTATATACAGACCTCACATTTTTCAACTCTCTGTTCAAATGTAACTTCTTCAGAGAAGGCTTCCATGACTATCCCACGTAAAACAACTTCTCCCTCACTGTCCATCCCATAACTTTTTAAATTTTTCATGGCACTCATCACCTACTGCTACATAAATTACTTATCTGTTTTAGGTAAGCTCTAAAAGAGTAGAGTCCTTGTTCAGTTTCACCCTCTGCATACAGAACACACTTAATAAATATTTATGAAAGGGAGACAATACTGTGAAAGGATATATGTTTGAAAGATAAAAGTATAAAGGGGCTTTTTACCAACGAGTAATACAAATGATGAAAAGATACTTACTTTTCCTTTTTTTCTTGTTTGTGGGCCTCTCTCGTAATTTGAGCTGCTTTTCTACTATATGGATGGATGACTTTTTTTTCCCGTCCTGCACTTTTTCCCTTTGGTGCTTTGGGCTAAAATGTATGAAAACACATGACACATATAGTCAGATATGTAAGTGCCTTCAGTCCCAAAAATATTCTTTACAAATAAATTTTAAAAACAGTAATATGACAGAAATACAGTAAGCTAAAACTATTACAAGAAAAATCAGGAGATAAGCCAGGATCATTAAATAATTCTAATAATCTGTTGCCATGGTAATGACAGAAACGATATATTCAGAGGTGCTCTCCAATGACAGAAGAAAGGCACAGAAGGAGTCAATAAACTCAGCTCTTCAACAACATGTTCTATCTTCAAAGAAGATACAGGGACTACAGATAGTGAGGAGACTCACAGCCAGAAATTTGTTACAGTTAAGAAAATTAAGGGGTCAGAAGGGACTTGGATTATTAGTAGGGGCTTGATTGTAGATGTTTCACATGGAACAAAGCGGGCAATGAATCATGCAAAATCAAAGCTGGGCTCATTGCCTGTACAAATTAGGAATAGAGAAAATAATAGAAGCCATCTCAAAATTAGTATATCCAAAAGGAAAAATGTATCATTTTCCCACTGAAGCCTTATGCCAGTTAATCAGCCCACAATTCATTAGGTCCTCCAAACTAGACATCTCAGGTTTCTTTTATTCCTACATAATCCTGTATCTTACCTCACCTATAATGATCTAGGAATCATATTTGGCTCTCTGTAATAAAAACCCCAAATAATGGCATAACCCAGCTTAAGTTTGGTTCTTTATTGTTAAAAGTAGGAGCTGAAGGTTCTGTTCCACAAAGCCCTTAGGGATCCAGGATCCTTCCATTTTTTTGTCTACTAGCCTCAGGCTATACCTCCTATCTAGTTCAAGACAGCCTAATACCAGGTCTACACTCAAGCCAGTATGAAGTAGGAAAAGAAAAATCTGAAGGTACATCCCCTTTTTTTAAGAGCATGACCTGGGAAGTTGCAGATCCTTTTGCTCACATCCCACTGACCAAAATTTATTCACAGTGTTACATAAGGGAGAGTAGTAAATATAATCCTTATTCTGTGAGAAAAAGATCCATTCATATAGAAAAACAGAAAGAATACATTAGGGGACAGCTGGCAGTCTCCAACATACCTATTCCAGAAAAAGGCCAAGTGGCTTTACACTCTTCTTCAAAATTATTGTCAATTGCTTAATTCAATCCTCAGAATCTTTCATAATCAGGATAGTCTTTAGATTCTCCCCACTAGTCCTTTCTTCGGCAAAGCTACAGAGCTTGTCTTCATAAAACACTAATATAGTAAAGTCCCTCTCCCCTGCTTAAAGTGCTCTACTAGCTCACAGTTAGGTCCCAAGTCTTTAGCACAGAAACAATCTAGCCCCAACCTGCTTCTCCACCATTATTTCCCATGCTCCTCTATAAAAGATTCTTCACGCCATTCTTACTGAACTTCTCACCATTCCAGAACATACCAAGCTATTTCATAACTTCTTGAGACTGCACTTGTTATTACCTCTGCCTGCAAAATACTTTACTTGCCCTTTGATAAGATGCAGTTCAAAATTACTTCCTTTGTAAAACTAGGCAGAACTATTTAAAATAACCACAAATTCCTCATTCACAAATATATTCATTCTTTCAACACTCATTGAGCGCTCTGCTCGCTTTCTGATAAACCTGAGAAGATATATCCACATCTGAATCTTAAGGTATCACTGGAAGTTGGTTACAGGTATAGGAAAATATGTAGAACCATCATATAAGAGTATATGTACTCTTTTATGTATCTCTCTGCTCACATGGCAAGTGCAGAGGAGAAAGGCAGGTGTAATGAGGAATTTTTGAGATTAAAGTACCTAGCAAACATGAATCAAGTAAAAACTTTCAGGACATTTGGCAGGCTGCCTCTAAGATGGACCCAATAAACCCCACCTCCTGATCCTCATGCCCTTATGGAATCCCCTCCTTTTGAATGTGGGCTGGACCTACCGACTCACTTTTAATGAAGAGCATTTAGCAAAAGCAATGAAATGCCAATTCTGAGATTAGGTTATCAAAGAAGTCTGGCTTCCATCTTTCCCCCTCTCATGGAAACCAGCTGTCCTGTAGTGAGCTGCCATATGGAGGGGCCACATGACAAATAACTGAGGGAGGCCTCCAGACAACAGCTAGTGAAGAAGTGAGGCCTGCAGTTCAACAGTCCACGAGGAGCTGAATCCTACCAAGAACCAGCTTAACAATCCTACCAACAGCAAGCTTAGAGGCAGATCCTCAGCCAAGCATGGTGGCTCATGCCTGTAATCCCAGCACTCTGGGAGGCTGAGGCAGGTGGAATCACTTGTGGCCTGGAGTTCAAGTCCAGCCTGGCCAACATAGCAAAACTCCATCTCTACTAAAAATATAAAAATGTGCTGGGTGTGGTGACACATGCCTGTAATCCCATCTATTCAAGAGGCTGAGGTGGGAGGATAGCTTGAACTACGGAGGTGGAGACTGCAGCGAGCATAGATGGCACCACTGCACTCTAGCCTGGGCAACAGGGTCAGACTCTGCCTCAAAACAAAACAACAACAAAAAGAAGTAGACTCTCCGCAGCTGTGCCTTGAAATCACACCCCCAAGTAATACTTTCACTGCAACCTTGTGAGAAACCTTGAGGGAGAGGAGACCAGTAAGCCATGCCTGATTCCTGACCCAAAGAAAGGGAGAGATCATAAATATTGGTTTAAGCCATCAAATTTTAGGATATCTTGTTACACAGGAATAAATGACTAATGCAAGACCAAAAAACCAAAGCAAAGATGCATCCTGTGAAAAGAGATCTGATCCCACATATCATTATTAAAAAATGCTTAACAATATTTTAAAAATTCACAAAAATCCCAGGGAAGAAAATATAAAGTCTCTGAAGCTGCTAAAACTGAAAATGCATAGCCATGAAGTTCCAGCAATATGTTCAAAACTACAAAAAATGTCCTTTAAAGACTCAAAAACTTTCTTTAGGGAAAAGAAGTTTGATACCCCTTGAATATAAAAACGTCCTCATAGCTTTATACGATCTTGGCTAAAGAACCTTCAAGACTTAGTACAAAGAAGGTACAAAGAAATTAACTTATTTTTTGACTCAACTGTAAGTTATGATTCCTTATAATAATTTATTCATGAAAAGGTTGCCTCAAGGCAGGATATGAATATACAGTGAGACACAGAAATATGTACAATAAAATTTACTATATTTTAAAACTTTCATATTTTTCAATACATTAAAATTTGGAAAAAAATGTTTCAACAGGGAAAAACTAAAGTAAAACTCTATCATAAAATAACTAACAGACCATTTTGAATATCTATGCCTATGAAAAGACTCTGGCACCACAGAAATAGTCCAGTTAGAAAACCTGCATTAAAAGTATCTCTTCCCTACACTCTTCAGTGACTAATTCAAAAAATTCAGTCTGAAAGTCTATTCTCTTTGGATTCATAACTAGAAGTAACAAAAAAACACATAGTTTATTCAAAACGACATAATAGAGTTATTTTAGGGGCAATACGCTTTAAATATTCCTGTTAAAATCATAAGTAACAAAAAGGAACTTTGCCTAAAAGACCATCAAGTTGAGCCGCAGTCTAGGCTCAACTAGAGACAGAAGTGCCATTTAGACTACTCAGTGAAACAAGAGACATAAAGGAGTGATCATTTCAGCAAACACACTTGAGGTCCACAAAGTGTACGTAAATACATTTTTTTTTTAAAGTTTAAGACCAAACCCATGCCTACAACTGAGAAAGCTTAGAGTGCAATACTGTAAACATCATAATACCCTTAAACATAAAAATACAGGCATGCCTCACTTAACAGGGATACTTTCTGGGAAACGAGTCAGTAGGTGATTTCCTTTTTATGGAAATATAAAGTGTACTTACACAAACCTGGATGGTATAGCCTACTATACACACAGGCTCTATGGCATAGCCTATTGCTCCTAGGCTTTAAACCTGTCCAGGACGTTACTGTACTGAATACTGTAGGCAACTGTAACACAAAGGTAAGTATTTGTGTATCTAAACATGTCTAAACATAGAAAAGGTAAAGTGAAAATACAGTATTATAATCTTATGGGACCATCATCATATATGTGGCCCACTGATGACCAAAATGTCATTATGCCGTGAATGACGGTAAATTACAGTAAATGATGTACCAATTTTACACCAGTGACATGATCGAAATGATGGACTAAGCAAATCTACACTTTTTTTGCAGTGAATCTTCACTGCAAAGATAGTAGTGAAATGCACCAGTGAGCCCTAGTGCATCTTCCTTCCTTAACACATAAATATGATGCAATGACACGTGTCAATGACAAATAATTAATTAGCGCTTCCAAGAAGACTTTAATAGTTCCATACATAAGCCTTTCTAAACCCCACCCAATCTTCGAAGACCACTTAAAGGTCAAGTTCAACTGCTCCTTGAAGGGATCCAAGAATAATTTCATATCTCAGTAGCCTTTCCCTCTTGGTAGCATTTACCATTTAGCACCTAATAATGTACTGCACTGCTCAGCATTAATTGTACATTTGTGTGTTATTTCCTTAATAGCAGCTCATTTGAGACTGCAAATATGTCCTGAGGTTGCAAATCACAGTTTGAGAGAAGTAAAGAAAGTGGGATGCTGCCCTGAGTGAGCATTTACTGAGCATCCACTTTGTACTGTACAATGGGCTACTATGAATTAAAAATATTAAGTATGTTCTTTAAAATAGTGTGAGGTATCAAATATAAAAGTAATTTATAAAATAGCTCATGATGGTGCCTTCCTTAACATTAAAAGAATATCTTAATAATTCTCTAATGCAGACTTTAATTTTATCTTCATTTTAGATTCTAATATCTAGCTCAACTTATGTTATTCCAAACTTACCTACTAACGTCTAGTCAGAATAAACTTCTCCCAGATTCTCTACTGCCACTCTTTACACCGCAACCTCATATTAATATATACATATTTTTAATTACTGAGCACACACTAAATATACCATGTACTAGGATAAGCACTGAGGCTTCCAGATCAAAAACTGACATGAACTTGCCTTCATGGAGTTTACAATCTAGTTTTCTCAGGAATAGCTAACTTAGTAAGTGCTGGCTAGAAAATGGATCAAAAGCATAGGGTCCTGACTCACTTTGGGAAGTAAGGAAAGGCCTCCCTGAGAAAGTAACCTGAGATCTAAAAATCAAGAAATTTACTAAACATTTCTCAATTTCCAGGCTACAAAATAAGCCTACCACCTAATTAATGTGGAAGTTAATGTTTAAATCAGAAAATCAAATCAAAATATCCTCCTTGCTCCCAGAACAAAAGAGAGAATATGAAATAATACTGTTAAGTACAGATTTTGATCCAATGTCAACAAACACTTGCATCACTGTATATCTCTGGATACAGATAATCAAACACTCTTTGCAACGAAACAACATCTAAAATCAACAAGTTGAAAAATGATTGCCTTGCATACTGGTACTTTTTAATGGCAAAATGATGAGAACTAGCAAACCTAAATAGCAAATGAAAAGAGAAGCATTAAAATAAGCTGTAGAAAGAGACACATAAACAGACTGGTTTTAACTCTCTTTAACTTCAGTCAGAATGGCCTAACCAAAGTTTGAAAGAAGAGTTTAAAGAGAAGAGGTCACATATTATAATTGTTTTTACTCCTGTAAAAGTAGACAATAAACGTACTAAGAAAGAAGTAGCGTGGTTTAAACTCATCTCACACGCAACCCCATTTAGGTCTACCCAGAATAATAACACAGGAAATTAATATGTCACTAAGTGAGACTTCTATCAAAGACCAGAATATTTGGGATCATAATGAAACAAAGATATAACTATGAAGGAAGGACTAGTTCTTTCCAGAGATAACAGTAAGCATAGTCTCCCAAGAATATTCAGATGGGAGGCAATAAAGAAATAAAGGTGACTGGCCTGATCAATTTTAGTGACACAATTCTACAATAAAAATAAAAATGTTTACCTCATTTAAAATTTCCTTCTGACTGAATAAAACTTTGAAACAAAAGCATTTTGAAAAACTTTTGCCAGGTCACACACAAAATAGATCAGTTTTTCCAACTTAAATACAATAGTACTTGCCTTCTATCTTTTCTAACACATAGTACAGGCATACAGCCACTGGAATTCTAGCACAAATTCATGTTTATCCTTCTCATTCCTGGGTCTTTTATAAGAAGTGAAAAACAAGATTGTAGCTAAATCAGTTTGACAGGTTTACTGTATTTCTACCTAAATTAATTGCTCCTGGGAGAAACAGATTTTCTTGTTGGCCTGGCCCTGAAAAGGAGCAGGCGAATAGATTACCTATACACTTAGATGAACAAAAACTCTGTGCCAGTCCCTGTCAGAGGCATTCTTTTTCACTGACAAAGTTATACAGCAAGAAAGAAGGCACTGTCTTGTTTGAGTCAATCCACCAACCACCATGACCACCCCAACAGACATACAGCTTTCAAAAACCCTTATCAAGTAATAAATAATGGGGCCGGACACAGTGGCTCAAGCCTGTAACCCCAGCACTTTGGGAAGCTGAGGCAGGCAGACTGCTTGAGGTCAAGAGTTCAAGACCAGCCTGGCCAACATGGTGAAATCCCGTCTCTACTAAAAATACAAAAATTAGCCAGGCGTGGTGGTGCACGCTTATAATCCCAGCTATTTGGGAGGCTGAGACTGGAGAATTGCTTGAACCTTGGAGGCAGAGGTTGCAGTGAGCTGAGATAGCACCACCATACTCCAGCCTGGGTGACAGAGCAAGACTCCTACTCAAAAAAAAAAAAAAAAAAGAAAGAAAGAATGGATAAATAAACTATACGTTTCTTAAGTATTTAAATTAGGATATTTCATTTATAAGCCTTCATAAGTCAGTTTTGGGATCTCCAAATGTACTTTTGGATTAGATTTAGCAGTGATTTAGAAAATAGTCACTACTTAGCAAGCCTAGGTTTCAAGTGCTGAACATAAAGCAGATGTCACACACGCACAAAAAAGAAAATTCCTTAAAGTGTATATTATGTAACAAAGTAAGACAAAAAATAACATTTGGTAATAATTCATCCTTTAGGTCACAAAGGCTTAGCTGAGCTACTTATTTATTTGTAACATTTGCTGTGTGTTCAAGTTTTAGATTAGCATTAACTATTTCAAGCACTCAAAAAATGTAAATAAATTCAGTTGGCCCTCCAGGCTTCACATCTGGGTATTCTACCAACAGAGGACAGAAAATATTCAGAAAAATAAATAAAAAATAATAATATAACAATAAAAATAATAAAAATTTAAAAAACAATATAATCACTATACAGCGTTTACATTGTAATAGGTATGGTTAAGTATGACTTAAAGTATACAGGAGAATATGCACAGGCTACACGCAAAAACGACACCATTTTATATAAGGGACCTGAGCATCCATGGATTTAGGTATTCGAGTGTGTCCTCAACTAATATCCCTCGATACCAAGGGACAACTATAAAAAGCATAGGAATCTTTTTAAAATTTGGTATATCACTCTGTATTCTAAATTAAGTTCCTCATAGAACACATTTAAGCATAAAAAATGAAACCACACAGATCTCAGAAGAAAAGATTTTCTTATTTTTTTGTAGAGGAGTCTCAGAGAAAGGTCTTTCTAAACATTATATAAAATTCAGAAGATTTAAAATAACAAATCTACATAAAAACTTAAAAGTCTGAACTTCAAAACATAAACCAAGCTAAAAACAAACTACAAAAAACTTGCAACACAAACAAAAGAGTTAATTATCTTAAGAAGTTATTTTAAGATTAATATGAAAAAGATCAGCAAAAGATATATACAAATCACAGGAAGACTAAAAACAAGTGTTATTTAAAAGCTGGAAAAACTTTAAAAACAAAAACTTCAATGAAATAGAATTATTAATGTGTAATATTAACAAAGAGAAAAAATTATTCACATTGCATTAGTGGGGGTGTGGGTGTATTAGTAATCTTATAGTTCAAGGGGGTGCAAGCCAGTACAGTCTTCTGGAAGGCAATTTGATAGTACCCATCAGGGCTAAACACAGTGGCTTCTGCCCACTATCTCAACACTTTTGAGAGGCAAAAGTGAGTAGATCATTTGAAGCCAGAAGTTCGAGACCAGCCTGGACAACATAGTGAGACCCTGTCTCTACAAAAAAATCTAAAAAATTAGCCAGGAGAGGCTGTGTACCTCCGTAATCTTGGCTACTGGGGAGACAGAGGCGTCAGCCCGAGTTTGAGGCTGCAGCGAGCTAGCTATGAGTGTGCCACTACATGCCACGCTAGGTGACAGAGTGAGACTCCATCTCTAAAAAAAGTTTTTTAATAAAATAAAATAAAAATAAAGATAGTACCCATCAAGATAAAAATTGAAATAGAATTTCTTGGTCAAAAATCTTTTAACCAGCCGGGCACAGTGGCTCATGCCTGTAATCCCAGCACTTTGGGAGGCCGAGGCGGGCAGATCATGAGGTCAGGAGATCGAGACCATCCCGGCTAACACGGTGAAACCCCGTCTCTACTAAAAATACAAAAAATTAGCCGGGCGTGGTGGCGGGCACCTGTAGTCCCAGCTACTCGG
Organism: Homo sapiens; assembly: GCF_000001405.40. Classification (NCBI taxonomy): domain Eukaryota; kingdom Metazoa; phylum Chordata; class Mammalia; order Primates; family Hominidae; genus Homo; species Homo sapiens. The sequence continues at coordinate 163,498,410 of NC_000004.12, read as the reverse complement.
GAGGCTGAGGCAGGAGAATGGCGTGAACCCGGGAGGCAGAGCTTGCAGTGAGCCGAGATCACGCCACTGCACTACAGCATGGGTGACAGAGCAAGACTCTGTCTCAAAAAAAAAAAAAAAAAAATCTTTTAACCAAGAAATTCTATTAATTTATTCTACAGACATATTTACACGTGTACCAAAGGGGGGATAAATAATCAATGCAGCAGTATTGCAATGTCTGTGGTAGCAAAAGAATGTAAACAATTTAAAGGTCTATCACAGATCGGGTTAAGTAAGTTACAGAAGCAAACAATGGAATATTCACTGTTTAAAAAGCAAGAAGTGGATCTATATGTACTTACATAGATCTATAAGATCAGGTAAGACAAAAAAGCAAGGGACTAAGGTGTCCAGTATACCATTTATGTAAAAAGAAAGGTTAGGGAACATACATATATGCTGGTACATACATATAAAGTATCTGAATTGATAGCTAAGAAACTGTTAACAGTGGCTGTTTCTCAAGTGAACCAGGGCATTAGGCAAGAGAGCTGGAAAAAGTCTTTTTGTGGCAGACGCAATAATGCTCTGCCCTCCTCCGACCAAAAGATATCCACGCCCTGATTCCTCCAGAACCTGGGAATATATTACCATATATGACAAAAAGGACTTGCAGATGTGATTAAGATCTTGAGATGGGGAAAATTATCCAGGTGGGCCCAACATAATCCTAAAGGTCCATGTAAGAGGAAGGCAGGAGGATCACTGTCAGAGAAAATGTAACCTTCTCTGGGGGAAAATTTAAAGATGCCATGCTGCTGGATTTGAAGAGGGAAGGAGCCAAAGAATGTAGATGACCTCTAGAAACAGAAAAATTCATTAGAGCCCCTTAAAGAAAGACAGCCCTGACAAACACCTTAATTTTATCTCAGTTAAGACTCATTTTTGAACTTCTGACCTCCAGAGGTTTCAGGAAATGAATGTGTTGCTTTAAGCCACTAAATGCATATCACTTTACTATGGCAGTTAATAAGAAACTAATACAATTTTTATGAGAAACCATTTTTTAGTGTTTTAAACCATGTACAAGTAATATTGTCTCAAAAAGATTGGTATACTAGGTAGATTTCCATTAATGTTTTTCTTTAGTTTTACTAACTTTCAGGAGCAAGTTTTCACTAACAGATAATCTCTATGAGATGTATTAAGCTGATTTGTTGTTGTGGCTCACATTTATAGATGTAGTCCCCAAAACACACAATCTCTACCATTAAGGTAGTCAGTAACAGCTAATGCCCCACAGTAATGTGCATGGATAAATGCACGGAGGATGATGGCACACTTTTCAATGGTATATAGTCTAGCTAGGGAGGGAAAGAAGCACACACAAGCTCTATGACAGGTTTATATAAAAAGGAGTATACCCATGGGTGCCTAGTAGTATTGTATGAGCCATACTTAAAAATACTAAAATCCTGGCTGGGCACGGTGGCCCACACTTGTAATCACAGCACTTTGGGAGGCCAAGGCGGGTGGATCATTTGAGGTCAGGAGTTCGAGACCAGCCTGGCCAGTGTGGTGAAACCCTGTCTCATTTGAGGTCAGGGGTTCGAGACCAGCCTGGCCAATGTGGTGAAACCCTGTCTCTACTAAACATACAAAAATTAGCTGGGTGTGGTGGCTGGCACCTGTAACCCCAGCTACTCGGGAGGCTGAGGCAGGAGAATCACTTGAATCCAGGAGGCGGAGGTTGCAATGAGCCGCGATCATGCCACTGGACTCCACCCTGGGCAACAAGAGCAAAACACCGTCTCAAAAAAAAATAAAAAATAATAAACACTAAAAACCTTTTTAATGCAGCATAAAGAAGTGTTGAGTGGAATGGATTAATTTGAAAAGATTATTTATATATAACAGGTAAACTAAATTTTGATATAAAGATATGAACTTGCTAAGCTCCAGCAAAGATTTACAATAAGAGAACATTAATGAGCAAAGTAACAAGGATGAACAACTATAAGCTGTACACTGTTACTATTTATATAACTAAAGTTAATAACAATAACATTTACTAAGTGCCAGGCACTAGACTAAGCACTTTACATTTAATTTCCACAATTCTATGAGGTAGGTACTATTGTTATCCCAATTAAACAGATGGGAGGTTAAGTAATTTTGCCAAGATGGCAACTCAGGGAAAGACAGGTGCCCAACTCTGTCCTTTGGGACCACATTCTGAGCTGTACTGAAAGAGGATGCAGCAAAACCACTAATGAGGTTATATCAAAAAAAAATGACAGAGCCAGAAATGAGCCAATGAAAACAGGTTCATATGCCACTCTTTTGACTTCTATGCCAAAGCAACGTACTTCTACTATACAGCCTGATAAAAAGTGAAGCTCTGATAGTCAAGGACAACTACAGTCAAATACCAATCTATCTCCCCAATCACTCAAACACAATGAGATGTAATTGCTTTCATATTCCACTCTGAAAAGGGGAAAAAAACTAACACTATAAAGAGTTGGAAATCCCACAAGCAAAGTGACAAGCAAACACTGAATTTACACAAATGTGTACAATCTAAAGTACAAAATATGCGTCAGCAGTGGATCAAAATAAAGCACAAAAAACTCGCGAAACAACGAAAGAACCAGACTGTAAGACAAAAATGGCATACAATGAAAAGAGAAAAAAATGAAAAGAAACAAAGAGGCCACATTGTGGACACAATATCGTAACTTCTGACCAGATTATAAACTTTTAAAATTTTGCTTTTATTAAAAATTAATTGAAAAAAATTTATAAAGCATGTTTCTATGCAAGAATTACTCTCAAGAACACAACGATTACGTAAAAAATAGGCAAGAAACAACATACTGTTTCAAAATACAAATATATGTAGTAACTATAAAGAAAAGTAGTGAAATTATAAATACAAAACTTAGATAATGTTTGCTTCTTAAGGTTTCCTGAAAGTTCAAAGAAGGTAACACAGGGCTTTCAAAGGCTATGTTTTATTTCTTAAAACTACAAAATGGGTAAACGAGAATTCCTGAAACTGTTCATCTTTACACTTGAAATGTGCTTTAGTAACACTCTTTTGTATCTACTCAGTTTTTAATAAAAACAACAAAACTGCTTCAGTGCCCTGGAGCGAATGGGGGCGTAACGGCAGGATTCAGGGCACTAACGAGAGGTGAACGGACGCCGAGGAAGAGGCGACTAAGCCCACATACTGAGTCTACCCAGGCCAGAGAGGCAGAGGTGTGTAGGGCCAGCGATCTCAGAAGTTTTGCCAAACTCCTCGATGCGTTACAATGGAAAGGTGCCGGGTTTCCCCCAGGAAGTAGTGACTAGCGAGAAGTTAGGCACAAGGCAAAGAGGAGCAAGGCGACGTGTGAGCACTTCAGCACTCGGACGCGGAACTCTAAGGTCCAGGCGTTGGGCCTGGGACTCGCCTCCCAGAGGCTTCGCCCCGCACCCCGCACACTCCCTGAAAATAAACACTTTGCATCCTCCCCTCTCCTAGGTTCCCGAAACCGCACCCTCCCTCTCTGCCTGCTCAACAAGAGCCTTCCGGGGAACCAACCGAGCGGTTCGGGGGAGCAGGAGGGGGCCCACCATGGTGACGTCCTCGTGGCCACGGAGCAGCTCCGCACTCTAGACCCAGGTAATCTCACCAACCGCAGGAGCAGCAGCTCACAAGAGCACCCGGGCCGAATCCCACGTGGCGCCTGAGAAGCCCGCGCCGACCCAACCGGAACAGGAGAGGCGAGTGCGTTTCTCTAAAGCGTCCCCGTTAACTGAGACCGCGTCTTTTTCGCCCGTGTTGGGCTTTTAAGCTCTAGCCCAACGGACAGCCAGACCTGCGTGCTCGCCGGGAGCGGCGGAAGGGAGCTTGCGGCGGGAGGCTGAACTCTGCCTGGTGCTGAGTGCGAGGCTGGGGATTGGAGCCCGGGTGGAGACGCTACACGCTTCCGGCCCCAAGAGCGGAGCTTGCCCATCTGTCCCAGAGCACGACTCCAGAGCGCAGCAACCTCTTCAGACAAGAGGTTCCCTCTTGCGGGCTCCCGCATCTCAGGGGCTGGGACCCTCTCAAAAGGGCCGCTCGGTGTTGGCTCCCCGGAGCTCTTGCACGGCACAGGCTCCTGCCCTCCGCTTTTCCACGTACTAGATTACCTTGGGCAAGTCCTTTCCTGCACTGAGTCTTTTTTTGCCCTGCCCTGCCCTGCCCTGCCCTGCCCCGCCCCGCCCCTCTTCTCTTTCCTTTCTTTTCTTTTCTTCTTTCCCTCTTTCCCGCCTTCCCTCATTCCCTCTTTCTTTCTTCCTCCCGGGTTCAAGCGATTCTCCTGCCTCAGCCTCCCGAACAGCTGGAATTACAGGCCTCCGCCACCACGCCCGGCTAATTTTTTTTTTTTTTTTTTTTTTTTGTATTTTTAGTAGAGACGGGGTTTCGCCGTGTTGGCCAGGCTGGTCTCGAACTCCTGATCTCAGGTGATCCGTCCGCCTCGGCCTCCCAAAGTGCTGAGATTACAGGCCTGAGCCACCACGCCCGGCCGAGTCTTAGTTTCTTTATCCGGAAAGGCCACTTCCTCATATTCAAGGCCTCTGCCAACCCAGTTTTTGTTTTCTTCTCACAGCATGTGAGAGTCTTTGTTTCACCCATACATGTTAGAATTCCGTAGACAATGTAATCATTCAAAAACTATTTATTGAATGCCTACTGTGTGCCTGGTACTGGGGATACTCCAACAATATCCCTCACTCAGCTCATTTTCCAGGGGATGGAGGCATGTAAAAATATTATTTCAAATAATATAAGTACTCTAATAAAAATTAGCTGGCGGGGGCATGTAGAAAAGCTGTTTTACACATGGTGGTCTCTATAAAGTCCTCTTTTAGAAGTGATAATTGAGCAGAGACCGGAATTGTAAGAGAAAACTAGGCATGGGAAGAAGCTCCAGGCAGGGTGAAGCTGGTGTGCCTTGATATGTGTGTGCAGCTGTTAACAGTTGAGGGTAGTTGGCTAGGTCCTTGGCGTTTTGAACAAATAATTGGACAAAACACACAAATAAAGCAAGGCAGCGAAAGCAGAGATTTATTTTAAATGAAAGTACACTACTCCACTGCGTGGAAGCAGGCTGTGGCAAGCTGCTCAAAAGCACAGGTTGCAGAATTTTCTGGGGTTTAAATACCTTCTAGAGGTTTCCCATTGGTCTTCCACAAGTCTGATTGGTTGAGGAAGGGGACCAATCTGAGGCACTTTCATTTTTCAACTGCCACACAGAAAAAGAAGGGCTTGCAACTGCCAGGCAGCAACTGCCATGCAGAAAAAGGAGGGGTTGAAGGGGAGTAGTCTTTCAACTGATATCCCATCAGCACAAATCAGTCCTAGCTTCCCTGCTTCCAGACCCTATTCTCCTGCCGCACAAATACTTGTATTTAATCGACAGATATATCAATTTTTGGAAATAATTTAAATTGTAAACAAGAGTGTGTCCAGAAGATTCCTGAATCTAGGGGCAAGGTATTTTCACATGGCTTTTTTTGTGTGTGAATCTATGCAATGAAGGTCACCTTTGAATATATACTGTGGAGGCAGCACATTCATGCATCACTTAAGGACGGGGATACTTTCTGAGAAATATTTCAATGGGGGTTTTGTTGTTTGTTTTTTGTCATGTGAATATCATAGAGCACACTTACACAAGCCTGCATGGTATAGCTTACTACCCACCTAAGCTGTATGGTATAGCCCATTGCTCCTAGGCCACAAACCTGTACAGCATGTTACTCTACTGAATACTGTAGGCAATTGTAACACAATGGTAAGTACTTGTGTATCTAAACATAAGAAATGTACAGTAAAAATATAATCTCATGGGATCACCATTGTAATGCAGTCCATGACCAAAACATTGTTACATGCACATGACGGTACTCTGTGAAAGACTCCAATTAATCTAGAATATTTACACCCTAGCTCCATACTTTAGCCACTTCCTGTGAAGCCATCTTTCACCCACCCTACCCCATTCCCTAAGTCTGGCCCTGTGGAGATCACCCTCCTAAGTTCTATGTTACTGCAAATCTTTTAATTATTAAATTTTCCTTCTGGCTATTTTAGCTGTTACTGATTGCTCTATTGATCATAAAATTCCTACCTACTCCTAACCCATTCCTAAACTTCAAATTGCCAACAACTCAATAAACCATATATCTTGAAACTTTTATTTTTTATTTTTAGTTGAGTTTTAGAAATAAATCTTCATATTTTCCTCATTCAGATTCAACCCCTAAATAACATTGATTATAGACATGTTAAAAATATACTGTATATGTTCAAAATACACTGTAGCAAATACAAACATGAATTATACAGAGCAAGAATAAAGATAATAATGATGGCTAATGTTTTGTCATTGTTTAATATATGTATGCACCACTGTGATAAGCAAAATGAATCCCCCAACTTTTCCCCTCCCAATTCAACCTCCCCTTTGCCCCGTGCAATAACCACTGTAGATGATTTGGAGACATCTTTAGAGATATTTTCCTGTACTTTAACAAATATACTCAGATGTGTGTGTATGTGTGTGTTGTATGTATGTGTGAGGATTAAGTATTGATTAACATTAGGTATTGATACAATAAGTACAAATGCATAATTCTAGTGTCACAACTAAAAGAATAGAAACAGGGTACCTAACTTTGTACAGGCTACACACAAGTAGAGAAAATAAAATAAATGGAATGATTAAAATATACTCAGGTAATTCCAACTAAGAAAATAAAGGAGAAAACATGAAACATAAGACAGGAAAACAAAAAAAAATATGGCAGTAGATTTAAATCCATAAAACAGTAATTACGAAATAACTGCCCCCAACTAAAAAAAAGTCAGATTGTATTGAAAACATCCAACTGTATCCTGTTTATAAGACACATCTAAGGTACACGAAAATAGAAAAATAAATGGAAAGAGTTATGCTAGGTGAATGCTAACTGAAACAATCCTGGTATACATATATCAATGTTATACGAAATAGACTTTAGGTCAAAAAGTAATATGGTATATATAAAAGATCACTTCATAATGATAAAAAGTTTCCATTTTAAATTCATGTGCATCTAGTAACACAGCCCCAAAATATATAATGGAAAAGCCGATGCAGTTTCAAGTTGAAAAACCAACAGCCTTGGTGGAAATTTTAGCATGCCATTTTTCAGTAAATAATAGAACAAACAGATAAACAATCACCAATGACTGAGAAGACTTGACCACAACAAAATTTGACCTAACAAATCTACACAGAATAGTGCTTCCAGTTCTTACAAGAATACGTGTGTTCTTAAATACGTATGGTATAGTTAACAACATTGATCACACATTAGGTCAGAAAGCAAGTCTAAACAAATCTGAAAGGATTTAAATCTATAGAATATGTTCTCTGACCACCTCATAATTAAACTAGAAACCAATAACAAGGAGACAACTAGAGAATTGTCATATATTGAGAAATTTAAAAATTGTGCTTTGAAATAAGTCAGGAACTAAAGAAGTCATAATGAGAATTAGAAAATAGTTTGGGCTGAACAATAACAAAAACAATAAATATCCAAACTAGTGGGATGCACCTGAAGTAATAATTAGCTCCATTCATGTAAATATTAGAGGCTTCAGTATAAATATTAGAAAAGAAGAAAGACTGAACATTAAGAACTAGCCATCCATATGTCAAGAGGTTAGGGAAAAAAAAAAACCAACAAAATAAGGTCAAAAAAGGAGGTAGAATAGAATAAAAAGCATAAACTATTGAAACAAGGACAAAAACCTACGTAATTGAGGACCGGGAGAGCCAAAGGTGTTTTTTTTTAAATTTTTTAAGAATAATAAAATATTTTCCTATGTTAAAATTACAGGCCTAGATTTTTGTAAAATACACCCAGGTGCAGTGGCTCACGTCTGTAATCCCAGCACTTTGGGAGGCCAAGGTAGGCAGATCACTTGAGGTCAGGAGTTCGGAGTGTGAGACCAGCCTGGCCATCATGGTGAAACCCTGTCTCTACTGAAAATACAAAAATCAGCTAGGCATGGTGCTGCATGCTTGTAACCCCAGCTACTTGGGAGGCTGAGGTGGGAGGATTGCTTGAACCTGGGAGGTGGAGGTTGCAGTGAGTGGAGATCCTGCCACTGCACTCCAACCTGGGTAACAGAGTGACTCCATCTCAAAAGAAAGAAAGAAGAGACGGAGAGAAGGGACAGAAAGCAGAAAGAAAAAGAAAGAAAGGAGAAAGAGAAGAAAAGGAAGGAAGGAAGGGAGGGAGGGAGAGAGGGAGACAAGGAGGGAGAGAGGGCAGGCAACATTGTCTTATTCCTGACTTCAAAGAGCCAACTTTTGTTTAACAATTTTGGAAAACAGTTAGGCATTACCTAAAAGTTAAAATGTGTACATTTTCTAAGGCAGCAGTGTCATTCCTGGGTATATACCATAGACTAACTCTGGCACATTTCTCTCAGGGTACATATACAAGAATAGCAGTAGTGTTATTTGTAATAACAGTGTTGTGTGGTAAATTTTAGATAGCAATGAAATGAACAAAGGACAAGTACACTAAACCAGTTGGATAAATTTTTATCATAATGTAAAGGAAGCAGTGCACAAAAAAATATATACAGTATAATCCCATTTATATAAAATTTAAAATCAGGCAAAATGGATTACATTTTTTACAGATACTTTTATAGGTGGCCAGCAATATTCTTCACCTCTGTGGTGGTTACCTTGGTGTTTGCTTTATAATTACTCTTTCTTTTTCACGTTTCCATTTTGTGCACTTTTATGTTTATATGCCACACTTCACAATGCAATATGTTAAATTTTTTTAACCACAAATATATTAGTTCATATTCTCTTGGAGAATGTGAGTCCAATATTCCTATTGTGAAGTTGCATCTTAAATTTCATTCCTTTGTGAGTGGTTTAGCTTTGCGGAATTGTTTAATAATATCTGCTGTCTTTGCTCTTCTTCAATTTTACTTTATGTTTCTAGGTATTGGTATTTTGTTACATACATCTTTGGTAATCTGTGGCCTCTTTCAATTTGCTTTTGGAATTTATACTATCTGGGCATTGATAATACTATCCTCCCTAACTTTTATTGCCCCCTTTTCATTTTTATGTTTTGTATTTTCCATCTCTTTATTTATTTCTGCTGCCCTAGGGAGAGTTTCTATTGATCTTCCGATTTACTATTTTCTGTTTTTTTTGTTTTTGTTTTTTGTTTTTTGTTTTTTTGAGACGGAGTCTCGCTCTGTTGCCCAGGCTGGAGTGCAGCGGTGCGATCTTGGCTCACTACAAGCTCCACCTCCCGGGTTCACACCATTCTCCTGCCTCAGCCTCCCGAGTAGCTGGGACTACAGGCACCCGCCACCATGCCCGGCTAATTTTTTGTATTTTTTAGTAGAGATGGGGTTTCACCGTGTTGGCCAGGACGGTCTCAATCTCCTGACCTCATGATCTGCCCACCTCAGCCTCCCAAAGTGCTGGGATTACAGGCGTGAGCCACCACGCCTGGCCCTGATTTACTATTTTCTTATTTGATGTAATCATCTTGCTGTATATCCCACCTATTGTCATCTTCATTTTAACTATCTCATTTTTAAAATAAATATTTACAATTTTTAAAAGTAATTTCTTATTTCTTTGTTCTATCATCAATATCCTTCCTTAACTCTTGCAGATATATATGGTGCTTGCTTATTGGTCCATCTCTTCCAATAAATCTGCTTCATGTGGTATGTGTTATTCAGTGTGCTTCAAGTTTCTTTTATTATAAGTTCTCCTCAGGTACTGATATAGTTTGGCTCTGTGTCCCCACCCAAATATCGTCTTGAATTGTAGTCCCCACATGTCAAGGGAGGGACTTGGTGGGAGGTGATTGGATCACGGGGGCAGTTCCCCCATCCTGTTCTTGTGATAGTGAGGAAGTTCTCATGAGATCTGGTTGTTTGATAAGTGTCCAGCATTTCCCCTGCTCTCTTTCTTGCCACCATGTAAGAAGTGCCTTGCTTCTCCTTTGCCTTCTGCCAAGTTTCCTTGGCATATATGGCATATAGGGCTCCCTATATGCCTCCTGTATAGCCTGTGGAAGTGTGAGTCAATTAAACCTCTTTTGTTTATAAATTACCCAGTCTCAGGTAGTATCTTTATAGCAGTATGAGAACAGACTAATACAGAGAACTGATACCAAGGTAGTGGGGCATTTCTATAAGATACCTGAGAATGTGGAAGCGACTTTGGAACTGGGTAACCAGCAGAGGTTGGAACAGTTTGGAGGGCTCAGAAGAAGACAGAAAGATGAGGGAAAGTTTGGAACTTCCTAGAGGCTTGTTGACCAAAATACTGATAGTAATATGGACAATGAAGTCCAGGCTGAAGTGGTCTCAGAAGGAGATGAGGAACTTATTGGGAACTGAAGCAAAGGTCACCCTTGCTATGCTTTAGCAAAGATACTAGTAGCATTTTGCCCCTGCCCTAGAGATCTGTGGAACTTTGAACTTGAGAGAGATGATATAGGGTATTTGATGGAAGAAGTTTCTAAACAGCAAAGCATTCAAGAGGTGACCTGGCTTATTCTGAAAAGCATTCAGTTATACGCATTCACAAAGAGATGGTTTGAAATTGGAACTTATGTTTAAAAGTGAAACAGAGTATAAAGGTTTGGAAAATTTGCAGCCTGCCCATGTGGTAGAAAAGAAAAACTCATTTTCTGGGGAGGAATTCAAGCCAGCTGCAGAAATTTGCATAAGTAACTAGAAGCTGAATGTTTTAATAGCCAAGACAATGGGGAAAATGTCTCCAGAACATGTCAGAAAATTCATTGCAGCCCCTCCCATCACAGGCCCAGAGGGTGAGGAGGGAAAAATGGCTTTGTGTGCCTGGCCCAGGACTCCTCTGCTCTGTGCAGCTTCAGGACATGCTGCCCTGCATCTCAGCTGCTTCAGTTGTAGCCATGGCTAAAAGGGGCCAAGGTAGAGTTTGGGCCATTGCTTTAGAGGGTGCAAGCCCTTAGCTTTGGCAGCTTCCATGTGGTGTTGGGTCTGTGGGTACTCAGAAGACAAGAGTTAAGGTTTGGGAACCTCTGCCTAGATTTCAGAGGATGTGTGGAAATGCCTAGATGTCCAGGCAGAAGTCTGCTGCAGGGGCAGAACCCTCATGGAGAACCTCTGCTAGAGCAATGCAGAAGGGAAATATGGAGTTGGAGCCCCCACACAGATTCCCCACTGGGGCACTGCCTAGTGATGCTGTGAGAAGAGGGTCACCATCCACCAGACACCAGAAAGGTAGATCCACTGACAGCTTGCACTGTGCTCCTGGAAAAGCTGCAGGCACTCAACACCAGTTTGTGAAAGCAGCCACAGAAGCTGTACACTGCCTTGCATCATGTTTTATATTTTGTATTTATGTTTTGTATTTTCCATCTCTATATTCAAAGGAGATTTTGGAGCTTTAAGATTTAATGACTGCCCAGCTGGGTATCGGAATATCAGACTTGCAAGGGGCCTGTAGCCTCTTTATTTTGGCCAATTTCTCCCATTTGGAATGAGAACATTTACCCAATGCCTGTACCCCCACTTTATATTGGATGTAACTAACTTGCTTTTGATTTTACATGCTCGTAGGTGGAAGGGACTTGCTTAGTCTCAGATGAGACTTTGGACTTGGATTTTTGAGATTATGCTGGAATCAGTTAAGACTTCAGGGAACTGTTTGGAAAGCATAATTGGTTTTGAAATGTGAAAATAACATGAGATTTGGGAGGGGCCAGCAGTGGAATGTTATCATTTGGCTCTGTGTCCCCACCCAAATCTAATCTCAAATTGTAATCCCCACATGTTAAGGGAGGGACCTGGTGGGAGGTGATTGGATCGTGGGGGCAGTTTCCCCTATGTTGCTCTTGTGATAGTGAGGGAATTCTCATAAGACATGGTTATTTGATAAGTGTCTGTCATTTCCTATGCTTGCTGTCTCTCTCTCCTGCCACCATGTCAGATGTGCCTTGCTTCCCTTCACCTTCTGCCATGATCATAAATTTCCTGAGGCTTCTTCAGCCATGCGGAAGTGTGAGTCAATTAAACTTCTTTTGTTTATAAATTACCCAGTTTCCGGTAGTATCTTTATAGCAGTGTGAAAATGGACTAATATAGGTACCTAGTTTCTTTGAACCTGTAGCATCACATTAATTTACTGATGAAATCAGCTATACTGCTCTGTGTTGTCTATTAGGGAAGTGCTCAAAGACACATTCTCAACTGAATCCTTTTTTGAGAATTTGAGGAAAGCAGAAGGGTTAAGTTTCAGAGGAGAGAGCTCCAGGGACCAATAACCTCTGCTGACAGGAGTTGGAGGCCTGAACATTCCAGGGTACAATTCATCCTAGTCCTATTTCTATCAGCTCCTTATTAGCCTGGCCTTGTGCTCCTCTGGTAGTGCTTCACAACACTGGGAGGGCAGCAAAGCTTCCCAGGTGAAGTACGGGAGACAAGAGCTAAGATTATATATGACCTCCCCAGAGCCTCCCAAGCTTCCAGGGACATCCTCCTCCCCATGTGACTGCTGTGCTCTTCGGCTGCCTCCCTCCCTTCTAGTCACTAGTTCCCTTCTTCCCAGGGGTTTCTCACAGTCTTCATTTACTTCCAACAGCCAATTTCTTCCTGTTTCTGTAGTTTTCAAGGTTGATTTTGGAGACAGCTGTGCTAATTTATCATTTTTCTTATTTCTAGGAGTCCTGATTATACTTATAAAATTAGACTTTTGTCATATATAAATTAGTAATTTTTCTTTTGACCTGTTTGTGACTCTTCTTTTCTTTTTGGCTTGGGAAAAATCATAAAGTGCCTTTCAATAAGGAGCTAGTTGTTACAAAAATGAGTTAAAATGGCCCCTGGCCCTGTGTTGTTTACTTCTTCACAGCAGCCTGGGACTTCTTAACTCAAAAGCCGGCTACGGCCAAACTTAAATTTCTACACATCCAGTTGTTTTAAAATATAGCCCCCAAAAGCAGATTGTTAGCCATTTACAGCCTGCCTGCTTTGCACATCCTGAGAAACTGCACCCAACATCTGCTAACCATAGGTCCCATAGATTAGATAAACGCTGGGGCCACTGCTTCTCTCAGAGTTCTTTGCCCAGAGACTCCCACCATGCTGCTGAGTGACACCACCTAGACACATAACCCCCTCTAAATACTCTCCCTCAGATCTTCCTCTATGTCCCTTCTGGAAAGTCGCCTGTGCACCCTTGCCTTTGGAAGGTATCATGCTGTCACTGAGAAACTGCCCCTGTCCTCACCCCAACCCCCACCCTCACCCCCAGGCAAATCTGTCAATCTCTGCCCAAATAAACTGTGTGCTAGTGCCATCTGGTGGTCGTCCAAATCCCCTTTGTAACATATTTAACTCCTTACACAAGTTAAATTTGTTACAAAGAATTATCTGCCGCTGTTTTAAAGAAATGAGTTAGATTGATATGTACCTGTGTGGAAAAATGCTCTAAAATTGTTAGGTAGAAAAAAATGAGTTATAAAACAATGTGCAAAATAAATCCCATTTACAATAAAATGTGGAATGAAGACATATATATGCCCATTCATGCATAGAAAATATGTGGATGGAGTTACAATATGCTGTTTGTAATTTACGAGATTAGGATTGAGGTAGGGCGCTCAGGAAAGGACCTTTCATTGTATTCTTCTACAGTGTTTGAATTTTTCAAAACAGTGTATTTTTTAGCTTTTTTCCAATTAAAATGAGGAGGACTGGGGAAAGCTGAATTTAATGAGTACAGTGGCAATAATGCACCAATAAAGTGGTGCATTAGAGATATGCTGATGCAAACCAAAATATACAAGTTGATAATTGAGATTAGGCTGCAAGTGTTATTTCTCTTTTAAGAACAATGTTAATGAAAGGAAGCTTTGAAGTCGAAAGAAGGAAATTTTGGTTATTCTTGTTAAGATCATTTTATTAAATTTTGTTTTAGGATGCCTTGTCTTAACCACATCTACGTAGTAGCAGAATCAATAAAAACTGAGTTTGATAATGTTTTTGTTCTCTCATTGTCATATTTATAAGGCGTTATAAGTCACATATCTTTATGAATATATGAATATGTGATAGATTTTCCTAAAATGTATTGAGTTTTTTAGAGCAATGAATACTTTAGGTGAATCTTCATTGTTGTAGGTTGAATTGTGCCTCCCCCACCTCTCCCACTAAATTAATATGTTGAAGTCCTAACCCCCAGTACCTCAGAATGTGACCTTATTTGGGTCACAAAGAGCCTTACAGGGTCACTGTAGATATAATTACTTGAGGTCCTACTACAGAAGTGTAGGCCACTAATCCAATATGACTGGTGTCCTTATGAAAAGAAATTTGGACTCAGACATGTACACAGGGAGACTCCATGTAAATGTTGTGGTTATGCCGCTACAAGCCAAGTGTTATGGATTGAATTGTGTCCCCCCAAAAGATACATTGAAGTCCTAACCACTAGTATCTTAGAATGTGACCCTATCTGGAGATCTTTACAGAGGTAGTTTTAGGGTCTTTACAGAAAGGTAAAAATGAGGGTATTAGGGTGTACCCTAATCCAATATGGCAGATGTTCTTATGAAAAGGGGAAATTTAGACACAGAGATATACATAGAGGGAAGATGACGTGAAGACATAGGGAGAAGGCAGCCATCCAAAGTCAGGGAGAGAGATCAGGAACAGATCCATCTCTCAGCCATCAGAAAGAACCAACCCTATTGATACACTAAATTTTGACTTCTAGCCTCCAGATCTGAGAGACAGTAAGTTTCTGTTGTTTAAGTCATCCAGCTTGTGACACTTTGTTGTAGCAGACCTAGCAAACCAATACATTCATCAGAGCACATCCACTGCCTTCCTCACTCCTTCTTCTCAATCTTGTCAAGTAATTCCACTTGCTTGCATTAAATCTGATGATCAGTACTATCATTTAAAAAATGTTATGGAACTTACAAGACAAAGAACTCCCTACTTTAGTCCTTTATTATCTGACTTCTGTGTTTCTGCAATAAAATTATCTTCCTTCCTGTTTCTTTCTCAACTTGACCTATCTTTCCTAACACTACCAAAACAATTTTAAAAAACACTACTCTGATCAAGACACTCAAATGATGAAAAAATTTCCATTGTACTTCACCCTCAGCCCCAAAGCAAGAGAACATAGCAAAACCTCTTACTTGTCTGTGTTTCGAGGCCTTTTCAAAATTGATCTTCCTGCTTTCTCTACTGTTCTCAGGATGAATCTTTCCTTCCTTTCAGATTAGAAATTCTCTCTTTTTATTCTCATAACTTTGCATTGACTTCCTCTCATATTTACTCTAACAAAAATTGTACTCATTCTACAACTGTACTCATCTTCAGTGGAAGTATTACCTTTTCAATGACATCTTCCTGGTCACTATCTAAGAGTAAGCACTTGTTTCTATGCCCTGGTATAACATTTGGCACCTATTGGCACACTACTGTAATCATGTGTTGTGCCTACTTTGTCTTCCCTATTAAAGTCCAGTATCTGGAGAGCAAGAACCATCTTCAACTCCTCCATAGAGCATTACATAAGGTTATTATGTATCAAGTATGCAATAAAGAAATGAATAAATTTTCACTATTCAGTCAAAAAAATCTGCTTTGGTTCTAAAGCATGTAAAAGCATTGCTTTGAAGATAAACTGTTTTAACTTGTAAATGCTATAAACAATGTTACAAGGTTGTTTGTCTACAAAGCACAACCAAAAGTTAAATGTTAAAATAATAAGTGGTGGAGATTATAACTTGTCCACCAGTATTGGTTCTTCCTTTTGTCTTTGTATTATAATCTCCTAAGTTTCAGCAGATCAGTGGGCAAATTGCTTCATTTCACAAACTCCCTTAATGTTGGCTGTGGCTAGGCAAGTAAGTTCTCACCAACAGAGAATGAGAAGTGAAATTTACAATTTCTGGGTTGCTTCCTGAAAAAGAAATAGATTGTCCCCCTGTATTCTCGTTTTGTTCTATTCTTTGGTGGCCCAAGTGGTTTCTGGCTTCAATTTTGCAGATGAGGCCAACACCTGAGTCAATGACTAGGCAGCCATGAAAAGAATCTGGGACCCTGTAAAACCCACTTGAGCAGAGCTGCCTGACTTCCAAGCATACTCTGAGCATTTATGTGAAGGAAAAATAAACTTAAATCTTGCTTGAGCCACTTCCTTTTTTTTTTTTTTTTTTTTTTTTTTTGGTTATTTTGTTACTACAGCTACATACCCTGAAAAATATACTACAGTAGAGTAATAAAAATTGAACATTTATTCTGAACAAAGATGCTGGAATAACCTTCCTTAAGCACCATTCTCAATAGTAATTTTGATTTATTTGATTGAATTTCAATAAAGCTTAATAGCCAGTGGTCATAATGATGACCATTAGTCATCAAAGAAAAGGTTAATGCTCCACATCCCCTTTATAAGAAGAAAGGCAGTTATTTGATATGTTTTAGAGAATTTAATTTAAAATCATACAAATGCCAAGGGTTTTTGGGTTTATCAGAGCAGTACTAAATCTCTCTGGAAAATTTAACCATAACAATGAAATTTTTTTGATAGTTCTTAAAAATTAAAATTTCATTAGACCATGCTTTGAGGGACATCTTTTTAAAATGACACCATAAGGGTTAGTAACAATTGGTGTAATTGGAAATTCCAAAGTCTTCTGGGTTCAAGAAGTAATATAAATGTGGGAATCAGAGGGGTGCTAGACATAAGGAGTAGTGTGAGTTGGGATACCGTTTTCTGGAGAATATATGCCCAGTATAAAGTATTAACATTCAAAACATTTTAAATGCTGTTCTGAGGCTATGAGGAAGTAACTGGAATGAGATTTACCCTCCAGCCATAAACAACTAGAAAGCTAGACAAAGTTTATAAGGTAATAGTTTTCATATATTGGAAAACAGGCAGCACAGGATCGTGGTCTATGAAAGAGAGAAAACATTATCTTTCTGGCTTTCTTCCTAGAGGCCCTTTCCAGACAGTGCTACAGGGAAGGGCATCTGACACACAGCATGGCAAATAAGGCAACAGAGATTGGAGCTCAGGAATCCTATGTTGGCTAGCATTTTGAAGGCAGAATGATTATAAGGAGAAACTGCCCAAAGAGCTCCAGAAATCTTTAGAGTACCTTTGCATAAAGCATACATCTTACATGGCCAGGAAAATGACAACTTGGGAAAGGTGATAACCAAACAGTTCCCAGAACTCACAGAAGCTAAGCCACACTTGAGTCCTAGCCAGCCAGAGTTGAGGGGCCTGATTGAACACACCGGCGCATTCGGTGGAAACCCTGGAGAGATTATGCTTTTGTAGGGGAGCTAAACTAACACTAGAGTAAAGCATACCCTACATTTGCCTTAACAGACTTAAAATACTCGAAAGGAATGAGTGGCTTCTCAGAACAAAGTCCAACACTCTTTAAAAATATACAATAAAATAAAATCCAACCTCCCAAAATAATGTCAAGCATTTAATTTAAAAACTAGATATTCCATAAAACTGGACAGTGTAACACATTATCAGAAGAAAAATTAGTTAATGGAAACAGAGAGACCGAATAATAGGCTTAGTAGACAAGGACTTTTAAAAAAATCTTCTTAAAATATGCTAGAAGGGCCAGGCATAGTGGCTCACGCCTGTAATACCAACAACTTTGGGAGGCTGAGGCAGGCAGATCACCTGAGATCAGGAGTTCAAGACCAGTCTGGCCAACATGGCAAAACCCCGTCTCTACTAAAAATACAAAAAATTAGTCAGGTGTAGTGACACACACCTGTAGTCCCAGTAACTGGGCAGGCTGAGGCAGGAGAATCGCTTGAACCTGGGAGGCAAAGGTTGCAGTGAGCAAAGATTGCTCCATTGCACTCCAGCCTGGGTGATAAGAGTGAAACTCTGTCTCAAAAAAAGAAATTTTATATATATATATATATATATATATTTATATATATATATTCTAGAAGAATTAAAAGGAGATTAATATTATGAGGACAGTAAGATATAAAGAAGAACCAAATGGAACTTCTAATGATAAAAAGTATAATATTTGAAATAAAAAATTCAAAGGATGGGATTCAGAGCAGATTAGACACTGCAGAAGAAAAATTCAGTGAACTTTAAGACACTGCAATAGAAACTATCCAAACTGAAGTTCAGAAGGGGAAAGAATAAAAAACAAAAAGGAACAGAACCTCAGAGACAGAAAGCAAATCAGTGGAGCCTAGGGTGAAGAATAACTGAATGCCAAAGCATACAGGAATGTTTGAGGACGATAGAAATATTGAAGTTATATTTTGATTGTTGTGATAGCTAAATAGAAATAAACATTTGCCAAAATTCATTAATTTGTTGGTTAAATGGATTAATGTTATTACTGTTATTGTTTGTTGTTTGTAACTCAATACATTTGCTAAAATATTCTAGCCAAAATAAAATCTCAACAAAGGGCTGAATTTGACCTGAGGATGGGAAGGAGTTAGGTGGGACATGGCGCAAGTACTAATCCACTATTTAATGCATACAATAGTAGTATCTAATAAAAATGGTTTATAGAATGAATTAAATTCCTCTCATATATTTAAAGCTGATCATACTGATTTACAATCAGTAATATAAGTCTAATACCTTGGATTTTAAAAAATTACTATTGCTATCATTTGTTATTATATTTTAGTTTTCAAAAGTAAGAGATTTTGTTGTAATCTACTTCAAGGTTATTATCTGGATGGAAGGAAAAGCATTTTCTCCACTAAATGTAGCTAGTCTATATGAGAATAAATCCAGCTATATCATTTTCATATTTCCATCATACCCAACCATCTAGGCCAGACAGCAAATGAATATGATAAGGTATCTGAGTGTTTTCTATACATAAAGCCCATGTACCAAGTTTAAAAATCCTAGTTTTTGAAGAGATAGTCAATGTAATAACAACAACAGCAACATAGCAATAGTAATTATACAAAAAAGACCAAAGTTGTAGGTGTGTGGGTGGGACCAGGCACTGAGAATAAAAATACTGAGTAAACTACATTTTCTAGAGCCCCTTCTCTTCTACTGTGAGCCGTCTTGATTGTTTTTCTTGTTTTTTTCCCTGATTACTAGACTTACAGGAGCTTGTTTAGGGGATCTATTTTTGTATCTCCCAGAAATGTTTTCAGTTGAAGATAACAGAAACTCATTCATAAAGTGGGAATATTTAATTTTTTTCTTAACAAGGAGTCTAGAAGAAGCTGGTCTCAAGGCTTGTGGACCCACGAAGTTATGAAGAACTCATACTTTCTATTTTTCCAGTCTACCGTACTAAGCACGTTAACTTTTATCTGTAGGTTTTTTTTTTTTTTAATCATGGAGTCTCACTCCATCGCCCAGGCTGGAGTGCAGTGGCGCCACCTCAGCTCTCTGCAACCTCCACCTCCCAAGTTTAAGCAATTCTCTTGCCTCAGCCTCCCAAGTGGCTGGGATTACTGATGTGCAGCACGTTGCCCAGCTAAGTTTTGTATTTTTAGTAGAGACAGGCTTTCACCATGTTGGCCAGGCTGGTCTCAAATTCCTGCCCTCAGGCAATCCGCCCACCTCAGCCTCCCAAAGCGCTGGGCGTTAGCCACTGTGCCCGGCCTGCACTATTTATTTTAATTTCTTTTAGGTTTACAGGAAAAGTGGCTAATAATTGATCTACAGCGCCTGGCCTTATCCTTAGGCTTTTGGCTGCTATAGCTCCAACACATCCTCTGGTGGTGGTGGTAGAGGGGTTGAAAAGAATGGCTGGGCGTGGTGTCTCATGCCTGTAATCCCAGCGCTTTGGGAGGCGGAGGTGGGCGGATCACCTGAGGTCAGGAGTTCAAGACCAGCCTAGTCAACATGGTGAAACACTGTCTCTACTAAATGACAGAGCAACAAGAGCAAAACTCCATCCCAAAAAAAAAAAAAAAAGAAGAGATCACAGTTCTTCTTGTACTCTCTCCTGTTTACCAGGAAGAAAATCTTTAATAGAAATTATTACCAGCTGGGAGACCAGGCAGGAGGATCACTTGAGGCCAGGAGTTCAAAACCAGCCTGAGAAACATAGCAATACCCCATCTCTAAAAGAAAGAAACGATGAGAATTATTACACCCAAAGCAGACTTTTACTTACATCTTATTGACCAGAACTGGGTCAATAAGTGCTGACTGCCATTACTAGCCAAAGGGAATGGCATTGTGATGCTGGTCCTACATTAATTATGATTTTCTCCTGGGACTAGGAGCTGGGCCAAGTTTCTTAAATTTGTTGCCACCTCTCTCTTCTGCCCCTTCTCTCTCCACCGCAAAATAAGGACTTGTAACTGTGGAAAAAGTGGGATAGCATCCTACAGATGCATCATAATAGCATCTGTTAAAATTTTCAAAGCAATAATCCAGGAAGATAAAGTACATTTTTCTTTCCAGGAGACTTATTGCCTTACACAAGAATCTTATTCTCATTTGCTCCATACTTTAGCTTCCAAAGCCAACCAAATTTAAACAGTGGAAGCAAAAGATGAATTCAGCATTTATGTATTTTATATAATTCCATTTTAACAAAACTTAACAGTTTAAATAAGATTTAAGTAAAATTTCAGCGTTCCCAACTCCTAAATATCACTCACCCTCACATGGCAAAATATCTATTTTCACAAATCAGTGTAGACCTACTCAGTAATCGGTAATTGTGTGTTCTGTTTTCTCTGCTGCAGCTCAGTAGAAATTACACTTATCAATTGCTACTATTTAAGTTTTTCCCTCATAGCTACTTGTATTGGTAATCCTGTTAGATTTTGTTTTCATGTGAAGTACACGCTATAATGAATACTTTTAGATACTATGAGAAAAAATTAAGTGAAAAATTTAAGCAAAGTTAAAACAAAAATTATTGCTGCTTTTAAATAGACTTTAAATTGGGGTCAAAAGTGGCAGCCTGAAGGTATATTTTATTTTTCCAACAAAATGTTTATAAGTTTTTCAATTTTGAATGCCTTTAAGTGGTCTTGTATTCTCCAGTTTAACACAGGCCCCTCTAACCCTCTTATAGCTGACATCCAAGCACTCGTGGTAACTCCTTATCCCAGTAGGCACTTGAATTTGCCAATCTCTGCTTTGTCTGGATAAACCAAGATTAATAATAAATGAATAATGTTTTCCTATTTGCAGAACATTTTTGACTGGCTTCCAAAATGATCTCTAAAATGAATAATGAACTTTTCTCCAAGACAACTACATTTTTGGCGTGCTGGTTTAAAAGTTTTTGGCTGACATTTTGTCAGCCAAATAGGGTTTGGCTCCCCTATTTTGTCTTCTAAATAGGGGAGAAGGTGGTATCACGTCTTTGTTTGATTTATTTGACGAAGTTGTGTTCCCAGCCATATTGGGTAATTTTGCATTATGAAATTGTGCATACTTTAAACAAGTTGAGTATTCTTTAGTTGAAATTATTTGCTTGAGACCAGAAGTGTTTTGGATTTCAATTAAAAAAAAATTTGGAATATCTGCATTATACTTAACAACGGAACATTCCAAATCAGAAAAATCCCAAATCCAAAATGTCCTTTGAGCAGTTCCCCTGAGTAACATGTCAGTGCTCAAAATGTTTCAGATTTTGGAGCATTGGAAACATCAGATTTTCAAATTTGGGATGCTCTACCTGTATTTATATATTTTCAATTGTATATTTTAAAATATATTTCAAATTTAAAAGACTAAAATGCTTAAAGAAAATAATTAACAGCTTATATATGTTATTTATATAACATATTAATATAAAATTAATTTTATATAAACTTAATATATATTACATATATTGATATGAGTTTTTATATATAATATATATACTTTTATATATAGTATATCTTTCCAGATATTTTACTATATATATACTTTTATATATTTATATATATATATATATATATATCTTTCCAGAGTTCCTTTTACAAAATCTCAGAATGGTTTATAAGTATTTTACACATAATTTATAAAATATTATTTTCTATATAGTATAAAAAATTCACACGGTCTCACAGAATGATAGAGGGAAATTCACACTCACTATCTAGGGTATTAAATCTCCAAGACTACATTCTTCTCTTAATAAAATTGACCTTTGCTAATGTTAAAATTTTTTTATTTAATACTTTAGGAAATAGCTGTGCAATGTTTTAAATGAGTGAAAGAATGTGGGAACTTGGAAAGAAATGTTAAGAAGTCCCATGTTTTTATTCATGGGAACATTGCCTCATAAATCATTTTTGTACTATCATGTTTACTAATTGTGTGGATTTATTAGAGTTCTTTTTGGCCAAAATAATGGTGAGCTACCTGTGTTTATATTAACTACTTTCCTGTCAGCCTGTAGTAGTTTGCTATTATTTTACTGTGATTATTATTTTTTCTCTAATTCCCATCTTCTGTACTACCAGTTCTAGCCTAGTCTGCTTGTATTTCCTCCTCCTTTATTTGTCTAAAAAGATAAACAAGCTTTAATTTGCAAAGGACATGGAGAGTTATGGATACATGATGACCTCTTAAGAACTTCTCCAATGCCAACATTCCTGCAACAAGTCTTAAAATCAGTAGTGTCATATTATTACTATTTATTCTAATATGTGTCCTTAAAAGTTAAAATGATAGAACTAGTTGAAATAGCAAATAACATTTGAAATATTTTTCTGAGATATAATGCAAGAGATAATAAGTATAAAGAGTAACAACACCCCCTGAGTTAGTTGTTTACAACCCTGACTGAACATTGAAATTGCCTGGGGAAGATTTTAAAATTACTGACGCCTAGATCTATTGCCTAGAAATTCTGATATAATTGGTCTGGAGTGCAGCATGGACATGAGATGTTTTTAAAACTTCCCAGATAATTCTAAACTACAACTAATGTTGAGAACCACTGGTCTCAGACTATCTCCAGATTATGTTATTAACCTTGACTACCCATTATAATCAATGGATGTATTTTAGAAACATAGCTTCCCAGACTCCAGGTCCAGAAATTCAAATTCTATTTTTCTGGGATGGAACCAGGCATTGTGTTTCTTATGTGCCCTAATTTTAACGTGAAGTTAAGGTAAGAATTATTGCTCAAGAAACCAAGAGGTTTAACATCGCAATATGGGAAGGTATGATATATTATCATTGTGTTTTTTTTAATTGTTGTTTTATTGATGACAAACCATAACCTTGGCCTGCTAGAAGAGTTCAATGGCACAAATTTAGTTTTTTTTGTTTTAGACGGAGTCTCGCTCTGTCTCCCAGGCTGGAGTGCAGTGGCACAATCTGGGCTCACTGCAAGCTCCACCTCCCAGGTTCACGCCATTCTCCTGCCTCAGCCTCCCGAGTAGCTGGGACTACAGGTGCCCATCACCACGCCCAGCTAATTTTTTTGTATTTTTAGTAGACACGGGGTTTCACCGTGTTAGCCAGGATGGTCTCGAACTCCTGACCTTGTGATCCGCCTGCCTCGGCCTCCCAAAGTGCTGGGATTACAGGTGTGAGCCACAGCACCCGGCCCACAAATTTAGTTTTTTAAAGTAAGTAACTTTGTCTTAAAAATGATTTGTAGTAATAGTCATTAAAAGATAAACTGAGGCACATTAAAATATTAAAGCATTTATTTGACCATTCAGTGATTCATGAATCTGGTAGCTCCTGATAAAGGAGCCAAGGAGAAGGCTTTTATAGGGTGAATTTGGAAGCAAAGGAAAGATATTTGATTGGTTAAAGTGGAGTACTAGACTTATTTGGGTCATCCCAGTGGAAAGTCCCCAGTTAGAAGTTAGCTGGCAGTTTCTGATTGATTAAGCTTAAATTTCCTTTTTATCATTTACACTGATTTGGGTTTCCTTTCCTTAGGTAGGAACTCATGGAGCTGAAGCTACCTCAGCCTACTGGCCTTCTAATTATTTCAACACAGAAATAGTACTTTACGGCACACTGGAGTTGCAATTCTATTCTGCAATTGGGTGGTTTCAGATTTGTTCTTCCTATAAATTTTGGTCAAATTAGTCATTGCATTTCTTTCTATAAGTCTGAGATTCAGATATTTGGTTGCTCTGAGAAAGTCTCTGTTGAGATAGCATTGCCATACTGGTCAGATTGAAAGTGACTTTGTATCCTTTCTATTAATGTTCTGATATGAAAGAGTGATGACTCGGATATAGTGTTAATGCATTAAAAAAGCACAGCCTGACAAATCGCTTCCTATAATACACAGAAAAATGTCTAGTCTTGAATTTATAACACAGGGAAAGGTAAAAAATTTAATTATGCTTCCTAATGTTGAACATGCACGTGACAAAGTAAATACTAAAAATCCATTCAGCTGGGCGTGGACAGGGAGAGGGAACGGTGCACATCAGAGGGTGCAGGCTACTCCAACGTTTCCGTTTCCTCAGTCTCGCGGGAAGCTCCGTTGTGGGCGCCCCGGCTGGTGGCTGAGCTCAGGCCTTCAGGCAGAGGGGAGGCGAGGGCGGGGCGGTCACGTGAGAGCACTGCCGCGGTGGGTTGTGGGGGTGCTGCGGCGCCGTTTGCTTTGCCAAACCGACAAAAGAGAGATGATGGCCAACGACGCCAAGCCCGACGTGAAGACCGTGCAGGTGCTGCGGGACACAGCCAACCGCCTGCGGATCCATTCCATCAGGGCCACGTGTGCCTCTGGTTCTGGCCAGCTCACGTCGTGCTGCAGTGCAGCGGAGGTCGTGTCTGTCCTCTTCTTCCACACGATGAAGTATAAACAGACAGACCCAGAACACCCGGACAACGACCGGTTCATCCTCTCCAGGGGACATGCTGCTCCTATCCTCTATGCTGCTTGGGTGGAGGTGGGTGACATCAGTGAATCTGACTTGCTGAACCTGAGGAAACTTCACAGCGACTTGGAGAGACACCCTACCCCCCGATTGCCGTTTGTTGACGTGGCAACAGGGTCCCTAGGTCAGGGATTAGGTACTGCATGTGGAATGGCTTATACTGGCAAGTACCTTGACAAGGCCAGCTACCGGGTGTTCTGCCTTATGGGAGATGGCGAATCCTCAGAAGGCTCTGTGTGGGAGGCTTTTGCTTTTGCCTCCCACTACAACTTGGACAATCTCGTGGCGGTCTTCGACGTGAACCGCTTGGGACAAAGTGGCCCTGCACCCCTTGAGCATGGCGCAGACATCTACCAGAATTGCTGTGAAGCCTTTGGATGGAATACTTACTTAGTGGATGGCCATGATGTGGAGGCCTTGTGCCAAGCATTTTGGCAAGCAAGTCAAGTGAAGAACAAGCCTACTGCTATAGTTGCCAAGACCTTCAAAGGTCGGGGTATTCCAAATATTGAGGATGCAGAAAATTGGCATGGAAAGCCAGTGCCAAAAGAAAGAGCAGATGCAATTGTCAAATTAATTGAGAGTCAGATACAGACCAATGAGAATCTCATACCAAAATCGCCTGTGGAAGACTCACCTCAAATAAGCATCACAGATATAAAAATGACCTCCCCACCTGCTTACAAAGTTGGTGACAAGATAGCTACTCAGAAAACATATGGTTTGGCTCTGGCTAAACTGGGCCGTGCAAATGAAAGAGTTATTGTTCTGAGTGGTGACACGATGAACTCCACCTTTTCTGAGATATTCAGGAAAGAACACCCTGAGCGTTTCATAGAGTGTATTATTGCTGAACAAAACATGGTAAGTGTGGCACTAGGCTGTGCTACACGTGGTCGAACCATTGCTTTTGCTGGTGCTTTTGCTGCCTTTTTTACTAGAGCATTCGATCAGCTCCGAATGGGAGCCATTTCTCAAGCCAATATCAACCTTATTGGTTCCCACTGTGGGGTATCCACTGGAGAAGATGGAGTCTCCCAGATGGCCCTGGAGGATCTAGCCATGTTCCGAAGCATTCCCAATTGTACTGTTTTCTATCCAAGTGATGCCATCTCGACAGAGCATGCTATTTATCTAGCCGCCAATACCAAGGGAATGTGCTTCATTCGAACCAGCCAACCAGAAACTGCAGTTATTTATACCCCACAAGAAAATTTTGAGATTGGCCAGGCCAAGGTGGTCCGCCACGGTGTCAATGATAAAGTCACAGTAATTGGAGCTGGAGTTACTCTCCATGAAGCCTTAGAAGCTGCTGACCATCTTTCTCAACAAGGTATTTCTGTCCGTGTCATCGACCCATTTACCATTAAACCCCTGGATGCCGCCACCATCATCTCCAGTGCAAAAGCCACAGGCGGCCGAGTTATCACAGTGGAGGATCACTACAGGGAAGGTGGCATTGGAGAAGCTGTTTGTGCAGCTGTCTCCAGGGAGCCTGATATCCTTGTTCATCAACTGGCAGTGTCAGGAGTGCCTCAACGTGGGAAAACTAGTGAATTGCTGGATATGTTTGGAATCAGTACCAGACACATTATAGCAGCCGTAACACTTACTTTAATGAAGTAAACTAGGCTTATTTCTAAAAAGTCAAGTCTATTGGCTTTGGCCCAAAAGCACTGGTATCTTTGTATTAAATTCATGTTTATTGTCACAAAACCATTATTTATACCTATACAGTTGTACTGTTTCTTTTAAAGCAAAGCCATTTAACATCTTTCTTCATTCCTAATTTGGAAATTAAAGTTTACCTTTCTGTTAATCTATGTATAAATGTTACTCTGAGTTATTAATGTGGATTTTAAAATTGTAAGCAATAGAATAGGAAATAAAACAACTACCTAATACAAATATTTCTGATAAGACTACAAATATCTGACTGAGCTGGGGATTAAAGTAGAGGTAACTGTATCTTAAATGAGTATGATTTCCTTGTAAGTTAAAAAAATTGAAATTTAATTGTAGACTTCAATAGTCCAAGTTTTGAAGGATGTTTGAGCTTTTGTATAATGCCATTTATACCTGCAGTTTTACAGATAATGTTTGACTGCAGTTGCCTTGGAAATTCCTCCAAAGTTTGCCTTCATCTCTCCTCTACAGTTTGGAGGTGATGGTGCAGCAGTGGAACATCTCTTGATGCACCACACTACTTGTGTTCTGTGAAGTGATGAAAGTATAACTGGTTCTAGTTTGCACACTACACACATAGTTTTGTGAAGCTTCAGAAATGTTTTTTCTTTTCCTTGTGGCCAAACCAGTTTGTTAATCTGATTATATTCATCTGCTAATGATACTAAAGTTAATGTAATAAAGCATTTAAAAATCAGATACTTCAGTCTGTGCTGTGTATGTGGGATTTGATTTCTTCCTGATGAAATCCTAAATAAGGAGAACTTGTGTCTAAATAAGAAACAGAGAGAGTCATGACCCCCAGAAGCAAACCTGGAAAAAGGTTGAAGCTGGAGATAAGTTACTAGAGAAGATTGTATGGACTAAAAAGCCATCCCTTAAGCAGACTCCTGACTTTTGGCTGTCAGTGTGTAAATATATGCTTGGAGTACAAGAAAGTACCAGTCAGGCAAATCATAGATGGACCCAAGGTTCCAAACTAAATTAAATTACTCTGTGTCTATGTCAGGTAATTATTTCCTTACTTTTATTACCCTCATTAAGTTCTTTGGAGGCATAACCAATTTGTCTCAGCAATCATTGTCTTAGGAGGTATAATAGAGCCAAAAAATATTAATACTAACCTGGGAATTAGAGAAACCAGGCTCTCCTCATCTGCTACTACCCGTTTTCTCTAAGCTAATTTCCTCTTTTGTAAAATGATTACGAAAATTGCTCTGTTTTTTCATAAGATTTAAAAATTACTTTGTAGAAATAAAAAGTTGACATAAAATCATTGCAGAAGTTTAGAAAATGCAAATAAGTAAAATATGTTTACCCCCCGTTTCACACACACAAAAATCATTTAATTGTATTCACAGCATGTTTTCTGTACATGCTGTGAAAGTGGGCATGTAAAATGGTCTGTTTCCAACCAAACATGCATAAGCACACCTTTAATAATGACAGTAGATCAGATTCTTTATGTCTAATGGAATCTCAGACACCACCAGAAATTATATTTTTTGTAGCTGGAGGGGAAGCCCTTAGGAATCTCTCTTGTAAAGACTCTGTTCCACAAGTTATCAACCAGAGGCTATGAGCTCCAGAGAGAAGAAATAGCAGGTGAGTCTTATGTCCACAATTCTTCAAGTACGAATCATATCCAGTTTTGCTATATTGAATGTTCTCTAGCTTTGAATCTGTGCTGAGATCTTTAAAGTGTCCATGGGAATCTTAGGAGAGAATCAACCTGACATATGCTAACCCTTGACTGCTAAAGCTTATGAAGATGTACTTTTGATGAACAACATGATCACTGGTTTAACTCTGGCCTTCTATTCATTGTTTTTGCTGTGAAGGTCTATTAGATTATCAATAACCTGGTGATATTCCAGGGACAGCTGTTGACACCAGCAGCTGCCTTGCTTATGTTTGCAGTTCTAAAGGCTGCAGTCATCTGAGAGTGACACTGGTCATTTACATGGTGAATGGCTCCCTGGTCATTTCCTGATTTCTGTGACCCTCAGAGATAGCAAAAGAAGGAATCAGTACACTGAACTTTCATTTTATGTTACCTTATTTAAATATATCAATGGCTCTTAAGCTATATGGAACTTCAATGGAGAGCCCTATTTGGGAAAAAAATATAATTTTTTAAAAAGTAAGAATCAATATTTCTGATTTTAAAATTATGTAAGAGTAATGTGAACTACTCACTGAGTTTTAGTTATCTCAGTTTCCTGAACTTTACAGGAATCACTAAATTCTCCAGAGTCCAATCAGAGAGGGGTTGGTTTGGGAAGTTGAGAAGTATTGAACTGTTTTGGTGACCCTTACTATCATGATATGGAAGAAAGGTCCTGGCACATTTTTGTGGTAGAATGGAAGAGTGTACTGTTCTTAGAGAGAAACTATCTTCTCCATCCTCCTATAAGATAGGGAAGGAGGCACTGAACCAATTCCCTTTACTGACATTGGTAGGGGAGAGTTTCTATAAGAGAATTGCTCACAAGGTTTGGAGTTAACACCAAGAAAGGGAGACAGGTATTTCATTGCAAGGTTGGATGTTGATTTAGACAGGGCTTGGTTTCCTGACCATAGATAGAACTCCTGGGTTAGAGCAGAACAGGTTGGCAAACACTGACAGTAGGCAAAATCTGCCACCACCTGTTTTTATATAACTGTAAGATAAGAATGGTTTTTACATTTTAAATGGTTGAAACAATTAGAAGAGGAGTACTATTTCATGACATATGAAATTCAAATTTCAGTGTCCTTGAATAAAGTTTTATTGGAACATAGTCATGCTCATTCAACTGGGTATCATCTGTGGCTGCTTTGGAGCTACATTGGCAGAGTTGAGTAGTAATAATAGTCACCTTATAGTCTGCATAGCCTAAAATATTTACAACCTGACTTTTTATTATTATTATTATTATACTTTGAGTTTTAGGGTACATGTGCACAATGTGCAGGTTAGTTACATATGTATACATGTGCCATGCTGGTGCGCTGCACCCACTAACTCGTCATCTAGCATTAGGTATATCTCCCAATGCTATCCCTCCCCCCTCCCCCCTTCCCCCACCCCACAACAGTCCCCAGAGTGTGATGTTCCCCTTCCTGTGTCCATGTGTTCTCATTGTTCAATTCCCACCTATGAGTGAGAATATGCTACAACCTGACTTTTTAGAGTAAACGTTTGCAAACCCTGGGAGAGAGCATTGGGGAGAGATGAGGGTGACAGTATAGACATGTGGAGGGGATAAGGGCTCACCCCTTGAGGCCCAGGCCTCCAGGCCACCTCTATATTTGACTACAGAGTGTTAATAAGATTGGAGGTTGCAGGCTTGTCAGAGATCACCACACTAAGAGTAGAGAGGTACATGCCTCAGAAATTCTGTGTGATGCCTGCAATTGGGAACAATAGAAAAGGGTCCCCCAGAAAAGGACCACCAACTGTTAGAGTATCTACTTGCTATTAAACCCTTCAGTTGGGATCAGTTGGCTCTAAACCTTGCTGAGTTTTTACATAGATTTGCAGGGTTGTTTAACAGAGAGTGGGCAGTAATCTATTTGGAGAAACTATTGGGAAGAGAGATGGAGAAAAGTTGTGAGAGAACTCTCTTCAACTCTCACTGTTATAACAACGGGGGAGAGAGGGAAAACTGAGATTGTAGATTTAAAGGGTGTATAGTTAAATTTTAATACAATAAAGCTGTTTTAATTACTGAAAATGACTGAAAGTGTTATGAACTTACAGACAACATTAAACGTAATTTATACATAATGGGTGGGATACAGGAGGTTTCAACAGAATACAGATGATAGAGGTTAATGTAAAAATAAAACTATTTTGTGATTACATATACCAGAGTTGAGTAACTGCAATCAAACTGGTTATCCTAAGAAGAAACATAATTCTTTGTACAATATTTTTAGCTATTATAAATTTCATATTTGTAATATTGAAATATTTTTGTAATAAGTTCATGAAAAAATGATTTATGATAAGATTAAAACAAAACTTTATTTTTGTTTCCCACTATCCCTTTAAAAGGAATTTAACGTGGGTAAACTAACTGTGGTTCTGGATGGAAAGTTGGAGAGATCCAGTGACTATTCCCATTTGCTCTTAGGTAATAGAAAGTACTATAGCTACTTTACATCACAAAAATCCAATCTGGATTCAGTGATTACAATGTGTCCAGCTTAACATATTGCGCAATGCTTGTCTTGACTAATATTAAGACTTTTGCTTTACTTTACCTGAATAAAGAGCTATGGCTAGCAGCTGCTGAACCTCAGGAAAGGATGTGTTGTTGCCTTCAGTTTCCTATTCCCTTCCCTTCTCCAAGCCTCTACAACTTGCTAGCTGTAGTTGTAGATCAGAAAAGGGTTGGTAGGGGCAAAGGAGAGAGGAGAAATCACTCTCATTTGGCTGGAAGACTCTATGTTCCTTGAGTTTTGAATGTGGTTAAAGCTGGTGCATCATTGTACTTATATCTGTATTTTGCATATGCAAG
Source organism: Homo sapiens (assembly GCF_000001405.40). Taxonomy (NCBI): domain Eukaryota; kingdom Metazoa; phylum Chordata; class Mammalia; order Primates; family Hominidae; genus Homo; species Homo sapiens. The sequence goes on along the minus strand of NC_000004.12, from coordinate 163,467,285 downwards.
TATTTCTGAAATTTAGAGAACCTCATCACTATGTCGTACATTAGAATGAATGCAAACTGTTAGAACCAAATCTGACAGATATACAAACATTCATTTGCAAGAAGGCAGAAAAGCAGCCATGCAATGCGTTGTAAGCTCAGGGAAGTTGCCACTCTCTAATATGAGGCACTTTGACCAACACCCTGGATAAATGTTTGCTCCAAGAGGGGCATGAGTAGATTTTGTAAAATTCAAAATTATGCAGCAGCCACTATGGCATGGGCACCTACCACTAAGAATGGATGCTGACCTAATCGGAATCTCCCTGCCTGAAAGGATGTTTTCCTTCCCTGAAGACACATGACCACACAGAGCTCTAGACTTGGAGTACGGATCCTCTAAAATAAGACTGTTTTATTTTAGATATCCAGATTCTTATATCTCATGGCTTCAAATGGTGAGTGATATGCATACAATTTCCAGTCAAATCCATATCATGGACACAACGTATTCCCCCAATTAAAAATTATTTTAATATACTGATTAACAAAAATCTATGTTATGAATTACAGATTAGTAGTTTTAATTTCAAAAGTAAACTAAGTATCCTAAGCATGTGTATGAAAACTAACATACACACAGACATTCATTCACATGTGTGTTTATCATACTACTTTTGCTTTTTTTCCTTTTTGAGATGGAGTCTCGCTCTGTTGCCCAGGTTGGAATGCAGTGGTGCAATCTCAGCTCACTGCAACCTCTGCCTCCCGGGTTCAAGCGATTCTCCTCCCCTAGTCTCTTGAGTAGCTGAGATTACAGGTGCCCTCCACCACATCCTGCTAATTTTTGTGTTTTTAGTAGAGATGGGGTTTTGCCACGTTGGCCAGGCTGGTCTTGAACTCCTGACCTCAAGTGATCTGCCCGCCTTGGCCTCCCAAAGTGCTGGGATTACAGGCGTGAGCCACTGCACCTGGCCTATCATACTTCTTATACTTAAATGTTTTAAAGAAATTTACTAGATGAATAGTAAATGGTACTGTATTGTCATTTTAGAGATGAGGAAGCCAAAGTGCAGATAAATTATGTATTCAAAATTTCTCCAAGGTCACATAGCTAGCATGTTGTAGAGCCTGAATTTAAAGTTATGTATCTCATATAATTGTAACAATAATTTTGAAATATGTATTTCATTATTATCCCCATCATCACATATGAGAAAACTTACTCTCAGAAAGAAAATGTTACTTGTCTATTTGTTTCTAAAACTTATTTTTCAATTGCATTATACCTCTTTGCCTCCACATATTTGACTTTCCCCCTGAATTACGTTTTCTTTCTTTCTTTTTTTTTTTTTTTTTTTGAGACAGAGTCTCGCTCTGTTGCCCAGGCTGGAGTGTGGTGACGCTATCTCTGCTCACTGCAAGCTCTACCTCCCGGGTTCACGCCATTCTCCTGCCTCAGCCTCCCGAGTAGCTGGGACTACAGGTGCCCGCCACCACACTTGGCTAACTTTTTTGTATTTTTAGTAGAGATGGGGTTTCACCATGTTCGCCAGGATGGTCTCCATCTCCTGACCTCTTGATCCGCCCACCTGGGCCTCCCAAAGTGCTGGAATTACAGGCGTGAGCCACCGTGCCTGGCCTATGTTTTCTATTTAAATAGATTTTTTATGCAGTATAAATACTAATTTTATAAAGACAAAATGTTACAAAATAGCAATAGTGTGGCTCCAGCTTTACCAGTGTGACCAATTTCTGGAATTATAGGAAGAAAAAGGGAGGAAATGCAAATTTATTCTACTGCCTTGGCATAGGTCAAGTCTTTGCACACATACCTAACCTCTGCAACTACTCTCTAGGAAAGGAATTAATGCCAAATATATGTTAGATGTTCATTATATTAAAACATCTAATTCAACCAGCTAACAAGTGAATTTTATTTATTAGAAATGAAATTTATTTATTAGAAGTTTGCTGATTTGGTTAATTGGTACTTTTACCTTCTTTCTGGACAAACGCAAAGATGTTGGAATGCTTTAACTTTATTTATACCAACCTGCCCTCACAGAAATGGTGTTGTTTTCATGTACATTAAATCTTTTTCATGTATTTTTGAATTAAAAATCTAATAAACTCTTTTGATGTCTAGCATTCAAACAATAAAGTACACAAATCATTTGTGCACAGCTCAATGAATTTTCAGCAAGTGAATACATTTATCTAACTCATACCTGCCTGAAGAATTATAACACTACAGTACTCTGGAAGCCACTTTCTTGTCCCCTTCCACAGATTACCTCCTCGTCCTCCTCAAAGATAACCACTATTTAAACTTCTAACTCTATAGACTATCTTTGCCTGGCTTTGAACTTTATGTAAATGGAATAATGCAGTGTATGCTATTTTATGTCTGGGTTTATTTGCTCAATATGGTGTTTATGAAATTTTCCATATTGTAACCTATACTTGATGTTCATTTCATTCTCTGCTGTACAGTATTTCAGATCATGAATATGCCACAGTGTATTTATTTAAATTGTTGATGAACATGTGGGTGTATTTATTTGGGGGCTATTACAAGTAGTGCTACTATGAACATTATTGTACCAGTATTTTGGGGAACACATTAACTTATTTTTATTGGTTATATAAATCAAGGAGAATTACTTTCATTGGCTGTACATATATTCATCCTTAGTATATACTGCCAAATGTTTTTACATAAATGGGTATTCTATTTTTATTTGCTATTCTTGCAAACTTCTCCATAGTCATTATGCTAATTTATACTCTCATGTCAGAAAATAGACTGGGTGCAGTGGCTCACGTCTGTAATCTCAGCACTTTGGGATGCCGAGGCGGGTGGATCACCTGAGGTCAGGGATTTGAGACCAGCCTGGCCAACATGGTGAAACCCTGTCTCTACTAAAAATACAAAAGTTAACTGGGTGTGGTGGCACGTGCCTGTAATCCCAGCTACTCAGGAGGCTGAGGCAGGAGAATCGCTTGAACCTGGGAGTCGGAGGTTGCAGTGAGCCGAGATCTTGCCGCTACACTCCAGCCTGGGTGAGACTCCATCTCAAAAAAGAAAAGAAAAGAAAAGAAAAGTTCAGGTGACACCTCAGTCTCCACAACATTTGGTTTTTGTCTTTTCTCTATAGGTTGTTTGTATATTGTTGATTTTTATGAATATATACGTTGGATATACACCCTTTATTGGAATATAGGTATTTCAAATATCTTCTGTCACTATGTGTATTTCCATTTTACTCCCTTAAGAGTTTCTTCTGATGAACAGAAGAGTTAATTTTGATGTACTATTTATCATTTTTCTCTCTTTGGTTTGCACTTTTTGTATTCTGTTTAAAACATCTTTGCTTTCTCCAAGATTATTGAATATATTTTCTTATGTTTTCCTCTGCAAATGTTATATTTTTATCTTTTACATACAAATCTACAATTCACCTGGAATTGATCATTGTGTGTGGTGTGAAGTTGGGGTCGAGACGCGATTTGTTTTTTCATATTGACACAACTACATAGCACTGTTTAAAGAAAATACCATCCCTTCACTTACTGCACCATGGTGTTATTTTTCTCACAAATCAAAGGACTGTGCATGTGTAGATCTGTTTCTGTCCTATTGGTCTATTTGTCTATTCTGATGCTCATACTGTACTGTTTTAATTATCATTGCTTTATAATAAGCTTTAATATTCAGTAGTTAAGTTCTCCATTTCCTCCACTTTTTGTTCTTCTTTTTCAAGATTGCCTTGGCTATTGCTGGTCTTTTAATTTTCATATAAATTTTAAAACCAGACTGACAATTTCCACAAAAATTCAGTTGCATCTTGATGCTGTTACATCTGGATTATAGTTCTTTTTAATCTTCCATTTAAAGAGATCATATTATTAAATGTCCTATAGGAAGTTAAACTAAAGAGATCCCATTAAAGTGCTTCTAGCGAGTGAAGTTCACAGTCTTCAAACTGAGGTAGGCCTACTTTGGAAGGATCTTGGTATGTCGGCATGGAAGATTTTAAGTGCGTCTGCTTCCAGGTCCTGAAGTCCATGTTTTTGTTTCTAAAACTGATCTGTTTGGGAATACCCCTGTCATCATTTCCAATATTGTCTTTCATAATTACCCTTTTTCTACTTTTCGAAAGAAAGGCATACTTCTTTCCATTCTTAATGTTATTATTCATTGACAGTTGTGAAATTGTCACAGCACCAACCAATACTTCAAAATACTGGTTCTGGCAAAACCTCCTTAAATGAAGTCACTATGAACCAGCAGTAAATCATAGTGTTTTTCCTTGTTTTACTCCTAATATTGGTGAAAATGAATCCTGTAAGTAGGAAGTTACTTTAACCCATAAAAACATGTTATGAATTCAACATATATTATAGATTGGAGTCGTGGCAATGATCACAATTTTTGTTTAATAAAGTCTTTTCTCCCATCACTCAACTATTGTCAAAACACTGTTGCTGAGTATCTCAGGGGAGCAAAGCCAAGAACAACAGTAAGGAATACTGAAGATGGTAGCACCTGATTCATGCAGTCTACAAGTTCTGACAAGTCTCTATGCCTTATCTGTCTATGCATTTTTGAAGTGGAATATTCAAGACTTATGAAAGGCATTTTCAGTCTCACTAAGGAGAAGAAATCTGGTAAAGACTCTCATTCGGCTGGACGCAGTGGCTCATGCCTGTAATCCTAGCACATTGGGAGGCCGAGGCAGGCGGATCATGAGGTCAGGAGTTCGAGACCATCCTGACCAATATGGTGAAACACCGTCTCTACTGAAAATACAAAAATTAGCCAGGCGTGGTGGCACGTGCCTGTAATCCCAGCTACTCAGTAGGCTGAGGCAGGAGAATCGCTTGAACTTGGGAGGCAGAGGTTGCAGTGAGTCGAGATCCTGCCACTGCACTCCAGCCTAGGTGACAGAGTGAGACTCCATCTCAAAAAAAGAAAAGAAAACAAAAGAAAAAAAAATGGCTGTCACTCATTTGTGCTTTGTATGATAAGATAGAGGAAGTTAAAATTTGCTATGTATTTCTGGAAGACCAGTAGATTGTTTTCTTTTTTCCCTACTATTTATTTAGATTCATAGGAGACATCTGTTTCTTGACTTGTGACAAAATTCCTGGATAATGTACGACTATGTGCATTTTTTCATGTGGGTATCAGATTCCCACTTGTCACTGATACACCATAGCTCTGTTTATTTACCAGTAACATTCCTGGTTATCTCTCATGGTGTGTATTTATTCCATGAACTTACTAGATTTACATTAACCTAACTTCAGTATACTGTGGATTATACTGTATAAAAAGAGCATTTAAAAGATAATAATCAATGTACTTGTTTTAAACCTTATATTTACCTTCGGTCCAATACCTTTTCCTATTTTTTATGTTAATTTCCACAAATTAGGTAAAAATCTGCTCTCTTAATAGTAGAAATCTTAAGTGCGTGTGCTGGGCAAAATGTGCTGCTATTACAATCTAGGCCAGTCTAGGGCAGAGTGCCCTGCACTTCAGAAAACCTGCTTCTTATAGTCAGAATTAATTTATCCCTCTCAGATGTGATATGTCATTTTAATTCTATTGGATGTATTAAAAATATGTTTAACAACTGAATCATAAAAGGACACAAACATTAGTAACATGACCAAAGCTACATCCTTAAAATAATAATTAAAAATTAAATGTAACCTTAAAGTTTCTGGGAGTATGTAAGGAGAAAAATTTTAATTCCACAGGTTTAGTTTATTGGGGCTCATTTGTGCCAGGTAGACATGACAAGTTGCTGGCTTGAGAAATGAATCCAGCCCATAAAAGTCATCCTATTTCAGCAAGAAGGCTTTTCTTTATTTTTTTCTAACATTGAATTTGTACTGAAATACCTATAGACAATTGATTTCCTCTGCTTCCTTTCCACTCTCCCTCCCTACTTTCTTAAATCTGTTTCACAAACTTTTTTGTGCCCGGCTCTTGAATCAAGCATTTATTTTGCTATTCAAGTGGCAATTGGTAAGGAGATTGTAAGGATAAAGAGTAAATAGCATTGATGGGCATTCGGGTTGATTCCAAGTCTTTGCTATTGTGAATAGTGCTGCAATAAACACACATGTGCATGTGTCTTTATAGTAGAATGATTTATAATCCTTTGGATATATACCCAGTAATGGGATTGCTGGGTCAAATGGTATTTCTAGTTCCAGATCCTTGAGGAATCACCACACTGTCTTCCACAATGGTTGAACTAATTTACACTCCCACCAACAGTGTAAAAGCATTCCTATTTCTCCACATCCTCTCCAGCATCTGTCTCACTCATAAGTGGGAGTTGAACAATGAGAACATATGGGCACAGGCAGGGGAACATCACACACTGGGGCCTGTCGGGGGTTTGGGGGCAAAGGGAGAGGTAGCATTAGGAGGAATGCCTAATGTAGACGACAGGCTAATGAGTGCAGCAAACCACCATGGCACATGTAAACGTATGTTACAAACCTGCACATTCTGCACATGTATCCCAGAACTTAAAGTATAATGAAAAAAAAAGAGTAAATAGCTTCTTTAACAAAGTACAAACTCTATTTGTAAGAAAGTATAAAATTTTACTGAAGCAAAGAAAACAAGATCTGAGTAGATGTCAAAAGAAACACAAAAAACAAGATCTGAGTAGGTGTCAAAATAAACTATGTCTAGGATGGAAAGTCTCAAAATAATAAAAATGCCAATTCTTCTCAAATGAATGAGTCAGATAAAATACCAAAAGGATGTGTGGGGAGTGGGTAAGGTGTACTAGGGTGGTTAGGGTGAGGAGAAAATAGATTGGTTCTAAAGTTTTTGTATTAAAATAAATGCCTGAACATTGCCAAGACATTTTGAAAAAGAAAAATAATAGTACTGACTACATAATTTGAGGGGCCTAATGCAAAATAAAAATACAAAACCCGTTGTTAAAAAAATATTAAGAATTTCGAGTCAGCAAGAGCAGAGAATTACACCAAGTGTAGAAGTCTGCACTACTGCACACGGATGAAGCTGATCATGGATATGACCATTTGGTGAGATCTACAAATGGATTAACGGACATAGAGATATGTTCACTGTTTTGTTAGAGACTACAATGACTGGTTCACGATTCTTTTGTGTGCTTTTTATTTGCCTAGTTTAATCTCAAATCAATTAAGAAGTTGGGCTTCAACAGGAAAAATAACAGCTTTTTGATATCTGAACCAGTGAACCCCGTTGTTTATCTCTTGTGTCTCTTGACCTGTGGCCAAAATTCTCCTATGTAGGAGAATATTAATAACTTAGATTATAAGTAACTTTAACTAAAAGAATTGTATTTCAGCGGGCTTATAGAGATAAATCAGTGCGTATATAAATCAAATATTCCTAATGTTTCAAGAAAACAAAGACTTTAAACTTATAACTAAAAAAATTTTAGATCTAAAATTTATTTTCTTGCAAAAACTTAGAAATGTTTTAAGGTTTCAAGCTAAATTAAGATAAATCTTTAAGCAAAGAAGCCCAATCTAACAATTTTGATTTAATTTAAAAAACTGTCTTCTGATTAATCGATGTGAAGTTTAAGACCAACTTATATTTTATTACATTTGAGTTTGTTTTTAATAAACTTTAATAGGCTTACTGATAAAATAAGCTAACTTTAACATAAAGTTTATGATTGTGAAAATGTAAGTTTTTATGCACCTTAATTGTATTATTATTCTGATAAACATTGTTTCAAGACTAATCATATTTTGTCATATGTCAGCTTAAAGATAAATTCTAAGACCTTTAGATAACTTAAAACCTGATTGAGGCTGGGCGCGGTGGCTCACGCCTGTAATCCCAGCACTTTGGGAGGCCGAGGCAGGCGGATCACGAGGTCAGGATGTGAGACCATCCTGGCTAACACGGTGAAACCCCGTCTCTACTAAAAATACGAAAAAAAATTAGCTGGGCATGGTGGCGGGCGTCTGTAGTCCCAGCTACTCAGGACGCTGAGGCAGCAGAATGGCGTGAACCCGGAAGGCGGAGTTTGCAGTGAGCCGAGATTGCACCACTGCACTCCAGCCTGGGCTACAGCGAGACTCCGTCTCAGAAAAAAAAAAATAAAAAAAAAAACTGATTGATATAAAGTTGTGTTAATTAATACATAATCATTAGATATATAGATATTTTTAAAATAAGACGACAGCAAAACATAGGAAAACTTGGAAAGTAAATTTTATTCGCCTTGATTTATCATACCTGAGACTGAAAAAAAGTCTGTAAAATGTGTTAAAATTGTACAGTTTGTTCAATTTTTATAGTCTTTCTTCTTCCTTGGGTTATAGATTAACACCTTTGTCCACAATATGAAAATATTTTCAATTATAAAAGAGCTAATGTTCTTTTTAATTGTGGAGCCTATTTTTTTAAAAAAGCATTTTATTATAACTTTTATTAAATATGTAACAAGTATTGTTTATCAGACCATATCTTAATCAAGTATCTAAATCTCCTCTTCTATTTTCTTTCTTGCATTCTTCAAATCAGATTCTAAATACATAAAAAATGAATGCAATTGTCAGGATATCTTTTATACCTGAAAATATTTTGAGATAGCCCAAAGGGCACCTGGAAAATAAAATATTTTTTTCACCTTATAAATAGAAATACTAGAAAGCATTTGGTTTGTTTGATGTGTTACTATGATAACAGTTGCATGGGAATAGTTATTGATTCTCAGCCTTCATTGACCTAACTTTGTATAGGTAAAATATTATTAATATCAATATTTAAGAAATTACATGCTTTATGGAAGTTTAGAGAGAGTTGTTAATGTCCTCGCTGTCCATAATATGTTTCAATCTCAAGAGAAACAGTTATCATAGCTCTTTGGAATATTTGTCCAGTTTTTGTATAGCTTACAGCTTCCTGCTTTGCCCAATATTTGATAATAAATAGTAGTCATAATTTCAGTTATTATTTAAAATGTCAATTGATGATAGTAATACCTTTTTAATTCAAATATAACATCTGTTAGACACTAGTTCTCAATTTTCTCAATTGGGCATACATATCAGACTTACCCTTGGAGTTTGAGAGAAATACAGATGTCTAGGCCCTACTCTGGACTTATTGCATCTTTTTTGCTTTACATACTTGATCTATAAAATTAAGTCTCAGAACCACTTTATCACATATCTTGAGTTTTTCTCTTAATAAAAATCATGTTCATACATTTGTGTAAATCAGATGTGATATTCAATGTCTTGAAAACAGGCTTAATTATTGACCTTAGGAATATTTTGTCTAACTTTGATTTTGGAAGTGTGTTGTTGTTTGTTTTGTATGCCTCAGAAACAATTTTTTTGTCACTTGCATTATGCTTATTTTGAACCCTCATTCGACCTCTCAAATTTAACTGTTATTAGGAATAAGTTAAGTACAGCCATTTTAAATAACCATCATCCACAGACAGTTTTCATTTGAACCTGATGCTTGCCTGAAGTCTCTGCCAAAACCAAAAATCAGAGATTTTTTCTTCAACAAGTAAAACAGTTTTAGAGACTTAAGTAAGAGACTGTACTAGGTACTTAAACTACTGACTATCCAGATAACAGACTCTTGAAGACAGACTTCTGAGCAGATATCGTTTAGACAACTTTCAAACATATCAGTGGACTGAATCAGGATACCCAGAACTCAATTCCAGACAAGAAGCAGATGATATAATGTGACTGCTAACTCATGATCCCACAGGACGACAATTAATGACTAAATGGACTAATGGGGGAAAATGTATTATGGTTATCTGTTTGGAGTATTATTGATTTTGTTTTTACAATTTTTTTTTAGATATATAAGGAAGCTACTTCTCTTTCTTCTTAAGCTATCTAATCAACACTGATTTTACAAATTCCAGTGAAGCATTTTAGAAATAATATCTGATTCTCATGACACCCTCTCCTGCTAGAATTGGAAAATTTAAGTAAATCTCCTTATTTTTTGGCGGCAAGTTACCTTATGGTAGTTATTTGCATATATTTGGTAAGAAACTGTTCTCCTTCTTACCAGGTAATAATTGGACATATAGATTATGCAACCACTCCAATATGGAGTATCATATCTGAGAATGGTGATTATCAAGTCAGGTATTTTAAAGTACAGATATTTTAAAGAACAAAGATTGATGTACTTGTGGGACCAATGCCTATGGAGTCCTCCCGGGAAAGCTGGCCTGGTACAGGTGGAAAGAAAGGCAAGAAACCTTAATAAATTTAGAGTCCTTAAGAAAAAAAAATATCCATCCCTGTTCTTAGCTACTATGGTGAAAACTGGCAAAAAGAGATTTTGGACTTGGATTCCTAGCTTCAGGACAGCAAGTAATAGAGGCTTTCACACACTGGGAGCCTTCAGTCTAATATCTCTCATTCACAATTTAAATACTGCATGCATTTCTTATCCTTTCTTTTATTCCTTCTTCCACACTCTACACAATCAGAATACTTGAAATTAATACAATAAAGACATGTCCTCTATCATGTGTATACAAGATACCACTCCTGGCCTGGTACGGTGGCTCAGGCCTGTAATTCCAGCACTTTGGGAGGCCAAAAAAATAAAAAAAAAACTAGCCGGGCTTGGCGGCATGCACCTATAGTCCAAGGTACTCAGGAAGCTGAGGCAAGAGAATCGCTTGAACCCAGGAGGTGGAGGTTGCAGTAAGCCAAGATCACACCATTGCACTCCAGCCTGGTTACAGAGCTAGACTCTGTCTCAAAGCAAACAAACAAACAAACAAACAAAAAACAACAACAAAAACACTTTTTCACTTACAGTGATAATAGCTTCTCTTTGTTGTATGATATAAAGTTCATGAATTTCCAGTCAAGACATTGGCTCTTTGGGCTTCTTTTTGCTGGGTCCACAGAGATCAGATACTGTGGTACTACTGCCCAATATGGCATCATTGCACATTGACTGGCAATATTCTGATCTGGGCACAGCTTGGCCAACATCTTATCTTCACTCTGTTCTGAGGGATGTCCCATAATTTCAGCAGTACTTTTTCCTTTTCAAGGTTTACTTGTACCTAGATTTAAAAAAAAAACTATTCTTTTTATTTATTCTTCTATTACTTTTTATATTCTTGGGACCTTACTCAATTAACTATCCCTTCCTTTTTCTAGAACCTTCAAGAGAACAGATGCAATAGCAAAAGGAAGTAGAATTCAGATTATAATAGGTAAGAATGAAGGAAGTGATGAGAAAGTTAAGTCAATAACATATGACAAGACTTTTGAGAATTTTATCTACTAAAAAGATCCTGTAAAAAGTAATAGGCTTATGAAAATGGCTTTTTAAGATTAGTGAAGGACGAGGCATGGTACAGGCTTAGAAATAAATGGCGAGAGAATGCTATAAAATTTTTAGAGATGAAGGCATTAAAAGGAGTGGCTTTGAGTTAAGAAAGAAAAGGATTAACATCATAGAAGCTGTGAGGAAATGACAAGAGAAATAATAACGATATTTAAATTTACAGAGGAAAGTTGAATAGGAAGGTATAAGGAAGTATATTGAAGAAGTATTTGTGTAAGATTCCAGGTTATCCACGAAGCGGCAGTGACATACTCTACAAATTTGTTCATAAACTGTAGAGTTTACAAATCACAATCTAAGAACTCCAAATGTCACCTATGCCCTTTATATCAGTCATCTTCATTCTTGTCCCTTTCCAGCTTTGTACTTATATCTTAAAAATCTATTTCTTCCCTCATAAAATGAATGGAAAATAGCTGTTGGTGCTGGCTTACATTTATCTTTAAAACTCCTTCTTAGGTAAGTCGCATCCAATATTTTTAAAGGCAATTTCTCAGCCATACATGTATTCAGTGGAAGATGGAACAGAGCTCGACAGTATTGTCTTCAATCTTAAAGCCTTCTCCTAAAAGCTTTCCTTTCACTGTCCTCTCTTTGATCTTAAGTGCACTTTCTAAGCATTCATAAGACTAAGACTCATATCATTTTCCATTTTCAAAGAATGACTTGAATTAGATTGTATAACATATTTCCTAACCATTTAGAATTGCTGTTCCTTCTGGACTTGTGTCCTTCAGCATGACTGTATATTTTGGAATAGAAATAGAAAATATATCCCTTAGCAATCAACAGATGGGTTTACCATTAATCGTAAGAGAGCAATAGAAAAAATTGTTTTATGACCAATGTTGATGCCTGTTTTTTGGGATTTAGCTAAATTATACACTAATAGCTGTACCTTTAATTTTTATACCCTCAAATAAAGCGTTTTATCGTTTCCTTTTAATCACCTTATCTGCCTCTCGACTTCAGAATTTCTCCGTATATTCATTTACTTTTACACTCTGCAGTCACCTGATGAATACATGTACTATGTACAAAATACTTTGCTGGCTTTAGAGACACAGAGATTAAAAAAAAAAAAAGATTTGGGCACTGAGGTAGATCTCACAATAGTCTTGCTCAATATAGAGTTGCCACAAACCTTCAATTTGAAAAACAAACAACAAAAACAAAGTATCTGTGAAGTGCAGTGAAGCAAAGTGCAATAAAATGAGGTATGCCTCATTATATATATATAATATGATATAATATAATATGATAAATTATATATAGCTTCAATTATAGTCTTAGTCTTATAGCTAGTAAGTGGTAGAGTAAATTTTACACTCAGATTGTCTGGCTAGCTCTCTCAACAGCTACATGCTTCTTATACTTCCTAGAATATGTTACTTTATGCCTTCAAATCTAAAAGATTTTTGCTTTGTATAGAATATACTTTTTCCCTCATCTAAAATTATCATTTTCTTTCTCAATCTCTTTACTGCCTGATTAACATTCATTTCCTGACATTTTTCACAATACCTTAAGCAAAACTTCCAATATACTACCGCTTGTTATAGTTTCAGGTTAAACCACAGTAATATGCAATATTTGACTAAATTTGACAAACAAAAATGGAAATTTTATGTTTTGATTTAATATTTCTTTGTGTTTTACAGATGTTACCATAAATTTATTTATTTAGATTTGGCAAGTCTATATTGAGCAAGACTATTGGTGTAATTTTTCCAACAGTATGTGACCACTTTGTGCCTCTGTATCACATTTTGGTAATTATCACAATATTTCAAACTTTATTATTATTATATCTATTATAGTGATCTGTGATCAGTGATCTTTGATGTTACTATCGTAATTGTTTGGGGGCACCACAAACCATGCCCGTATAAGATGGAGAACTTAATTACTGTTTTATGGGTTCAGATTGCTCCACATACCAACCATTTCCCTGTGTCTCTCCCTCTCCTTGGGCCTCTATCCCCTGAGACGCAAAAATATTGAAATTAGGCCAATTAATAACCCTATAAAGGCCTCCAAGTGTTCAAATAAAAGGAAGAGTTTGACATCTCTCACTTTAAATAAAACGCTAGAAATAATTAAGATTAGTGAGGAAGGGACTTCAAAAGCCAAAATAAGCCAAAGGTTAGGCTTCTTATACCAAACAGTCAAGTTGAGAATGCAAAGGAAAAGCTCTTGAAGGAAATTAAAAGTGCTACTCCAGTAGACACAGGATTCGTAAGAAAGTGAAACAGCCTTGTTGCTGATACGGAAAAACTTTGAGTGGTTTGGATAGAAGATCAAACCTACCACAACAATTCTGTAAGCCGAAATCCAATCCAGAGCAAGGCCCTAACTCTCTTCAATTCTATGAAGGCTGGAAGAGGTGAGGAAACTGCAGAAAAAACTGTGAAGCTAGCAGAGGTTGATTTATGAGGTTCAAGGAATGAAGACATCTCTATGATATAAAAGTGCAAGGTGACTTTGGGAGGCCGAGGTGGGCGGATCACCTGGTCAAGAAATCGAGACCATCCTGGCCAACATGGTGAAACCCTGTCTCTACTAAAACTACAAAAATTAGCTGGATGTGGTGACACACACCTGTAGTCCCAGCTGCCTGGGAGGCTGAGGCAGGAGAATCGCTTGAACCCAGGAGATGGAGGTTGCAGTGAACCGAGATCTTGCCACTGCACTACAGCCTGGCGATAGAGTAAGACTCCGTCTCGAAAAAGAAAAAAAAAGTGCAAGATTAAACAGCAAGTGCTAATACAGAAGCTACAGCAGATCATTCAGAAGATCTAGCTAATATTGTCTGTGATTTCTTCTAGCAGCATTTTGTAGTTTTCTTTGTAGAGGTCTTTCACCTCCTTGGTTAGTTATATTTTTAAGTATTTTGTTTTATTTTAATTTTTTGCAGCTATTGTAAAAGGGGTTGAGCTTTCGATTTGATTCTCAGCTTGGTTACTGTTGGTGTATAGCAGTCTTACTGATTTGTGTAAATTGCTTTTGTATCCTGAAACTCTACTGAATTCATTTATCAGATCTAGGAGCTCTTCGGAGGACTATTTAGGGTTCTCTAGGTATATGATCATATAATTGGTGAACAGTGACAGTTTGACTTCCTCTTTACCAATCTGGATGTCCTCTATTTCTTTCTCTTGTCTAATTGCTCTGGGTAGGACTTCCAGTACTATGTTGAATAGAAGTGGTGAAAATGGGCATTTTTCTCTTGTTCCAGTTGTCAGGGGCGATGCTTTCAACATTTCCTGGTTCAGTATAATGTTGGCTGTAGGTTTGTCATAGGTGGCATTTATTAGCTTAAGGTATATCCGGTCTATGCCAGTTTTGCTGAGGGTTTTACACATAAAGCAATGCTGGATTTTGTCAGTTGCTTTTCCTGCATCTATTGAGATGACCATATGATTTTTGTTTAAATTCTGTTTATGTGGTGGATCACATTTATTGACTTGCATATGTTAAACCATCCCTGCATCCCTGCAAACCCACTTGATCATGGTGGATTATGTTTTTGTTTTTGTTTTGATATGCTGTTGTATTCAGTTAGCTAGTATTTTGTTGAGGATTTTTTTGCATCTATGTTCATCAGGGATGTTGGTCTGTAGTTTTCTTTTTTTATTACGTCCTTTCCCGGTTTTGGTATTAGAGTGACACTGGCTTCATAAAATGATTTAGGGAGGATTCCCTCTTTCTCTATCTTTTGTAATAGTTTCAATAGGATTGGTACCAATTCTTCTCTGAATGTCTCATAGAATTCAGCTGTGAATCCATCTGGTCCTGGACTTTTAAAATTACCATTTCAATCTTGCTGCTTGTTATTGGTCTGTTCAGAGTTTCTATTTCTTCCTGGTTTAATCTAGGAGGGTTGTATATTTCCAGGAATTTATCCATTTCCTCTAGGTTTCCTAGTTTGTACACGTAAAGGTGCTCATAGCAGTAGCCTTGAGTAATCTTTTGTATTTCTGTGGTATCAGTTACAATATCTCCCATTTCATTTCAAAGTGAGCTTAATTGGATCTTCTCTCTTCTTTTCATGGTTAATCTTGCTAACAGTCTATCAATTTCGTTTATCTTTTCAAAGAACCAGCTTTTTGTCTCATTTATCTCTTTTTGTTTGTTTCAATTTCGTTTACTTCTGCTCTGATCTTGGTTATTTCTTTTCTCCTGCTGGGTTCAGGTTTGGTTTGTTCTTGTTTTTCTAGCTCCTTGAGGTGTGACTTTAGGTTGTCTATTTGTGCTCTCTCAGTCTTCTTGATGTAGGCATGAAGTTCTCATAGCAGTGCCTTTGCTATATCCCAGATGTTTTGATAGTTTGTGTCATTATTATTGTTCAGTTCAAAGAATTTTTTAATTTCCATCTTGATTTCATTGCTGACACAGACAGCATTCAAGAGCAGATTATTTAATTTCCGTGTATTTGCATGGTTTTGAGAATTCCTTTTGGAGTTGATTTCCAGTTTTATTCCACTGTGGTCTGAGAGAGTACTTGATATAATTCTGATTTTCTTAAATTTAGTGAGACTTGTTCTGTGGCCTATCATATGGTCTATCATGGAGAATGTTCCATGCGCTGATGAATAGGATGTCTATTCTGCAGTTGTTCAGTAGAATGTTCTATAAATATCTATTAAGTCTATTTGTTCTAGAGTATGGTTTAAGTCCATTGTTTCTTTGTTGACTTGCTGTCTTGTTGATCTGTCTAGTGCTGTCAGTGGAGTTTTGAAGTCCCCCACTATTATTGTGTTGCCATCTATCTCATTTCTCTTGTCTAGTAGTAATTGTTTTATAAATTTGGGAGCTCCAATGTTTAGGTGCATATATATTTAGGCTTGTGATATCATTGATGAAGGTGGCTACACTAAATAATAGTTTTTCAAGGTAAATGAAACAGCCTTCTATTGAAAAAAAGATGTCATCTAGGACTTCCATGGGTCGAGAGAAGAAGTCAGTGCCTGGCCTCAAAGCTTCAAAGGACAGGCTGACTATCTTGTTACAGGCTAATGCAGCTGGTGTGTTTAAGTTGAAGCCAATGCTCATTTATCATCCAAAAATCTCAGGGCCCTTAATAATTATGCTGAATCTACTCTGCCTGTGCTATAGAAATGGGACAACAAAGCCTGGATGATAGCACATATATTGATAGCATGGTTTACTGAATATTTTAAGCCTATTATTAAGACCAATTGCTCAGAAAAAAATATTTCTTTCAAAATATTACTGCTCACTGGAAACATACTGGGTCACCAGAGAGCTCTGATGGAGATGCACAGGGAGATTCATGTTGTTTTCATGCCTGCTGACACAACATCCATTCTGCAACCCATAAATCAAGGGGTCATTTTGACTTTTAAGTCAAATTATTTAAGAAATATATTTTGTAGGCCGGGCGCGGTGGCTCACGCCTGTAATCCCAGCACTATGGGAGGCCAAGACGGGTGGATCACGAGGTCAGCAGATCAAGACCATCCTGGCTAACATGGTGAAACCCCATCTCTACTGAATATACAAAAAATTAGCCAGGCATGGTGGCGGGCGCCTGTGGTCCCAGCTACATGGGAGGCTGAGGCAGGAGAATGGCGCGAACCCGGGAGGCAGAGCTTGCAGTGAGCCAAGATCGCGCCACTGCACTCCAGCCTGGGTGATAGAGCGAAATTCTGTCTCAAAAAAAAAAAAAAAGAAATACATTTGGTAAAGCTATAGCTGGCATAGATAGTGATTCCTCTGTTGGATCTGGGCAATATACATTGAAAACCTTTTGGAAAGAATTCACCATTCTAGATGCCGTTAAGAATGTTAGTGATTTATGAGACGAGGACAAAATATCAACATTAACAGAGTTGAAAGAAGTTGATTCCAACCTTCTGGGATGACTGTGAGAGGTTTAAGACTTCACGGGAGGAAGTAACTACAGACGTGGTGAAAATAAGAAAATCAGAATTAGAAGTGTAGCCTGAAGATGTGACTGAGTTGCTGTAATCTCATAATAAAACTTGGATGAATAACAAGTTGCTTCGTATGAATGAGCAAAAAAAGTGGTTTGAGATGGAATCTGTTCCTGTGTAAGATGCTCTGAACATTGTTGAAACGACAACAAAGAATTTAAAATATTCCATAAACTTAGTTAATAAAGCAGCAGAAGCAAGAATTAAGGAGATTGACCCCAATTTTGAAAGAAGTTCTACTGTGGGTACGATGCTATTAACAGCATCACATGCCATGGAGGAATCTTCCATAGAAGGAAGAATTAGTTAATGTGGCAAACTTCATTGCTGTCTTATTTTAAAAAATGTCCACAACCAATTCAGCCTACAGCAACCACCACCCTGATCAATCAGCAGCAATCGACATTGAGGCAAGACCACCCACCAGGAAAAAAGATAATGACTTGTGAAGGCTCAGATGATGATTAGTGTATTTTAACAATCCAGTATTTTTTAATTAGGGTATTTACATAGTATTTTTAAACGAAATGCTGTTTCACACTTAAGAGACAACAATATAGTGTAAACATAACTTTTACCTGTATTGGGAAACCAAACATTTGTGTGACTTGCTTTATTCTGATACTCACTTTATTGTGGTGGCATGGAACTAAACCTGCAATATATTTGAGGTATACTTGTATGTAATTAAGACTATATTAAGAATATTCAGCTATGAGACTATAAAGCTGTCAAGTTCTCTGTCTCACCTGTCTCACTGTTACTTCATCTGTAAAACAGAGGTGATGATAAGACCAATTTAATATGCTTGTTGGAGGATTAAATGAGTCAAATGTATAAAGCTCTCAGAACTGTGACTGCCAAAAACTAAGCAGTATGTGTCAGTTATTATTGTTGAAAGGTAGACCGAAGAGGCCTCATCCTAACTTGTGTTGCTGAAGAAGAGCCAGCCTTCCCCCTTTTAAAGACTCTCCCCTTAGGAACTGCCGGATCTGATTAAATCATCTCCTGACTTACTCGCTACATCTTTGCTTCATCAGTTTTCCCTCTTCCCAGTTCATTCTCTGTCCCTAAAGATATCAACACTTGTTTCCTTACTGAGGAGGCCTCAGAGTTAAGGCTGGAGGTGAGCTGACACAGTGTTCCACAATTTTCGAATCTGAATGCTTTGCAGTTGCCACAGACCCACTCACAGTGCAAAATCTGCAAGGCCCCTGGAGCCATTTGTATGACTCATTCTGCAGTCACATACAACATTGTACTCACTATGCAGTAGCTACATGTCAGGTTGACATTTTTCAACATTAAAATCGACCTTATGTCACTACTACAGCTTCATTTTTTTTTTTGCCTTTCTATATTAGATTTTAAAATGACAAAAATCGTACAGAATTTTATTAGTAAGAAATTCATGATCTTACACATCGCAACCTTTCTTTAGCTCATCCCTCTGTAACAACCAATGTTAACTGCCTTTTACTTCTTTCAGGTTCTTCTCCATAGTCAGACAAATGGCCTTTTCACAAGATATTCTTATTTAGTATATAATACATGAAATTTAGTTTGGTTTTGTTTTAAAACAATATACTATAAACATCTCTTGAAGTCAGTGGCTATGGATACAGTATAACTTGTGCTTTTTTATTATAGTTTCAAGATATTCCAAGGCATGGATATAACATAATTTATTTAGCATTTTCCCAACTGGTAAACTTTCAAGTGCTTTCATGCTACAAAAAACATCTTTGCCTAGGCGGGCAGATTGCCAGAGCTCAGGAGTTCGAGACCAGCCTGGGCAACACAGTGAAATGCCATCTCTACTAAAATACAAAAAATTAGCCAGGCGTGGTGGCGTGTGGCGTGCGCCTGTAGTCCCAGCTACTCGGGAGGCTGAGGCAGGAGAACTGCTTGAACCTGGGAGGTGGAGGTTGCAGTGAGCCAAGGTCGCACCACTGCACTCCAGCCTGGGCGACAGAGCAAGACTCCATCTCCAAAAAAAAAAAAAAAATCTTTGTGTGTATATACATATACACATATACATATATATTAAATATATTTATACATATACAAAATATGTATACATATATAATGTATATATTCATATAAAGTGTTTTGTATTTCTGTAAATGAAATTAGAAAAAATGGGACTACTGAATCAAAAGCTGCTTGTCTTTTAATATATTAACAGTTATTGGCAGATTACTTTCCAAAATGATTTTAGCAACTCCCTCTCCCAGTGCTTGTTTTCTGAACCATTGCCAGAAGGAAATGTTTTCCGTTTTCTAATTTTTGCCAATCTGATAAGTTAAAAATGTCATGTCATTATGGTTTTATTTTGTGTTTTTCTTACTACAAGAGAAATTGAAAAATATTTTATGTTTGTTGATGTTTGGATTTTATCTTCCTTGACTGGTCTGAAGTATTTTGTGAATCCTTTGCCTCTTTTTTTCTAGCTATTTGTACTATTAGTTTATAGGCTCTCTGTATATTAAAAATATTGAAACAAATTTAAAACACGAACAATAGAGTTGGAAAATATTTATAGTGCAGATGATAGTAAAAGCATTAGCAGCAATGGGTAATTAGAAAAAAACAAATGCTGGCGGGGCCTGGTGGCCCATGCCTGTAATTCCAGCACTTTGGGAGGCTGAGGAGGGCGGATCACAAGGTCAGGAGATCGAGACAATCCTGGCTAACAGGGTGAAACCCCAGCTCTACTAAAAATACAAAAAATTAGCCAAGTGTGCTGGCGCGTGCCTGTAGTCCCAGCTACTTGGGAGGCTGACGCAGGAGAATCGCTTGAACCCGGGAGGTGAAGGTTGCAGTAAGCCAAGATCACGTCACTGCACTACCGCATGGGCGTCAGAGCAAGACTCCATCTCAAAAAAAAAAAAAAAAAAACGAAAAGAAATAATAAATTTGGTTGAAAATTTTAATATAATCAAATATGTCTATTTTATACTGTATGACTTCTGGGTGGGCTGTTTTGTTTTAGAAGGTCTACCTTTCCCCACGTTTTGCTAAATCTAAGACTGTACAAATATTTTCCAAGACTCTCTCCAATAATTCAATGTTTTTTATAACAAACTTTAATTTAGATTTTTAAAATTATTGTTTAAAGTGAGACTTGAACTTTCTTTCTTCCAATGAATTTGCAAAAAATATCATCACTTGATACTTTAAAAGATTTTATGTTTGGATATTATATTTTCTAAGAGAGATATCTGTTAAAACTGAACAAAAGCCAGCTACAGAAATTGGGGACTGGGCTTTCTTTCATCCAGTATATCTTTATTTCTGTAGTTCCTAAATTTAGGAATCTTTTACTTCACTCTTAGGGCCTAGATTTATTTCATTTTTTTCTTTTTTTCTTTTTGCAATTTTGACTTATATATGGGAAATGATTAGGAGCTCAAAACCTGAAGCCAGATAAGCCAAATTCCATGTATGTGTGGTATTTAGCATGTGACCAGGAATTTATACAACTTTTGTAATTTTAGTTTCCTCATCTTTACAATGACATCAATGAAATAAATCTATAACATGGTAATCCCATGTAAGGATTAAATATAATAATGCATTTAAAGAGAATAAATGCTTAAAAAATAATAAGCTTTCAACAAATGCAGCTATTATTGTTATAATCTATTAAAAGATATTTTCTTATTATCTGAGATGGGCCTGTATGCCTGATTTAGAACTTAAAAGAAATATCAGATTATTAAAGGATATATATAATGAACTAAAAGACTATTGTATTCTAATATTAAAAATGCAGCCCAATGTGTTCTTTTAATTTACTCCAAAGATAACATCATTGATTATTTATGATTTATTATTTATTATACTTTAGTTCTTTTAATTTACTCCAAAGATAACATCATACTTTAGTTCTGAAAGTTGTATCTGACTATTTTAACTTGATATGCTGAATGTTAAAATATAATTATTTAGCTCATATATTTTTGGAAGAAATTTTTGAAATATTTAACTTATAAAGCAGAAAACAATTAATCCCTGCCCCCTCAAGTCTTGCATCAAAAAAAGAATATAGTACACAGATTGGTTCCAACATATATCCTAGACTTTTTGTTGTCATTTACTGGTGAAGTAAAAATAGAATCTGGTTACTTCTGTTTTAATTAAGATTCTTTTAGCTCTAAATAAAAATAAAATTCAAACTGGCTTGAAGAAAAGGGGAATTTTTGACTTTCCTAACTGATGAGTACATGGGTACAGCAAGCTAATGTACTGCTGGATTTCGGGCCAAAATTATCTGTGTCTTTCCATCTTTTGGTGCCATGTAACACTGAGATAGCTTGCTTTCTCCGTTCCTTCCTTCCTTCCTTCCTTCCTTCCTTCCTTCCTTCCTCCCTCCCTTCCTTCCTCCCTTCCTTCCTTCCCTTTTTTTAAGACAGGGTTTCACTCTGTCACCTAGGCTGGAGGGCACTGGCTTAATCATGACTCATTGTAGCCTCTACCTCCTGGGCTCAAGCGATCTTCCCACCTCAGCCTCCCAAGTAGCTGGGACCATAGGTGCATGACACCAAACCCAACTAATTTTTTTTTTAGTATTTGTAGAGACACGGGTATTCCTGTGTTGCCCAGGCTGGTCTCCAACTTCTGGGCTCAAGTGATCTTCCCATCTCAGCCTCCCAAAATGCTGAGATTACAGGCATGAGCTGCTGTACCTGGCTAAGTTTCTTTTTATAAGTACTTTTCCAGGGTGTTGATCACAATAACCACCAATTGCTCCAGGTTTACATTTGCCAGTTTAGGTGCCAATACAAAAACAAAACAAAACAAAACAAAAAAACCCCACATTTCTTTCCCAAGAATTACAAAGGCTCAGAGCTGACTGTACTGACTTTAATTGAGCCAGCTTGCATTAGGTAATATTTCTTAATCTGTTACTGTTATTCTAATAGGCCAGGCCCAAGTCTTCACTCTATTGCTGAAGTCTTCAGGTAGATTCCACTCCACCAGATACACATGGCCGGAGAGTACAGGGAAATAGTTTTCCAAGGAAATCTAAGATGCCATTACTAATCGTTCCATATCTTTATCAATAGGCAGTGGAGTTACTCCTTTTGATTTTAGCTTATTTACTGAGTATGAAATGGTACCTTATTGTGGTTTTAATTTACAGATTCCTATGACTAAAGATGTTAAGTGCCAGATAAGGTTGAGGACATGCTATCCCAAAATATAGCACCTTAATACATTGTATGTCTAAACTTTCATGTGTTTATAGAGCATTAGTTCATCTCTATGGTAAAGTGTGCAAATCTTCGACTTCTTTTACAAAATGGGATGGTCATCCTTTTACTGTTGATTTGTAGGTGTTCTTTATGTGCAAGTTCTTTGTCATATGTTACAAGAATTTTTCCTTAGTCTGTGGCTTGCCAATTCATTTTTATAATGGTGTGCTTTGCAGAGCAGACATTTTAGTTTTTTGTGGAATTTAATTAATTCATTTCAAATTATTTGTTTCATGCTGATTGTGTCCTGCTCAAGAAATTTTTGCCAAATCTGAGTTTCAAAGATAATCTCCTGTTTTCTTCTAGAAGATGTATGGTTCTGGGTTGAATGTTTAGGTATATTATCCATATCAAAATAATTTTTATGTTTAATATGAAAGAGTAGATGAGCGGAGTCTTTTCTGGTGTTTTTTGTTTTGTTTTGTTTTTTGTTTTTGCTTTGCTTTACTTTCCCCATAGAGATTTCCAGCTGTAATAAAGTAACATATCCTAAAAAGGGTTTTCTTTGTTCATTGACCTCTCCATTCTGCTCAAATAATTGAATGTTTATTTGCCTGGCACTACCCTATCCTATAGCTTTATGGTAAGTCTTGACTCTGGATATCTGGTACTATAAGAACTCTCCTTTTTCAAAATTGTTTTAGCTACTGTAGATCTTTTATGATTCTATAACATTTTTACAATGAACTTGTCTATTTCTTTAAAATGTTTTTAATGACACAGTTTTAACAGGAATTTTGTTGAATCTATAAGTCAATTTAGAGAGAATATGAATCACAACAATCCATGAACTAGTAGAGCTTTCCACATATTTAGGTCTGTTCAAGTTTTTCTCAGTTCAGTCTTACAGATATTTTTGGGTAGAGATATCTTACATTTTATGTAAAATATAAGGTCAGGGGTTCTCAACCTTGGCATATTGACAGGTTGAATCAAATAATAGACATTTGTAATAAAAATTCTTTGTAAGATATAAATAAATTTTCTTAATTTTGTTAAAGGTATCTATAAAAATGACAGCAAACATTACACATAGTGATGAATTGTTAAAATAGTCTCATTAAGGGAGAAAAAAATCTGACAAGGATGCCTATTGAGAAAGAAAAGAAGCAATTCTGACAACCATCAGGTTGATGATCTGATACTCACAGCAAGGCTATGGTGTTTCTTCTTTAATATAAACAATTTCATGGAATACTCACATCAGACAAGGTCACTGTGAATGACTGTGACTGAGTGAGAAAAACAAGACTATTTCTTAATCATGTCTGAGCACAGAAAAGATAAGAACACTCAGCAAATCACAAAACTAAACAAGCATGACCCCTGCATGCTAAATGAGCAGCTGCTAACTTTTTAAAAAAACAATTACAGCCTTAGCCTAATTTCATATCACCTTCTTCCTAGATAAATATTAAGATACACAATTGTACAATCACCTCCACTTTCTTACAATACACATTCCAGAGGTAAACCTGCTTGGTCCCACCCTAGCCCAAATTTTATAACAATCTCCTCATAGTATCCTTTTAATGATACATCCCATTGTTTCCCCGAATTTTATGGTTTCTCCTGTTGCAACAAGTAATAAACCCAACTTTGTTTGATTCTTGTGATTTTGTGGTCTTCAGCTGTTGGGCATCTACACTACTTTATCGCAAACAATAAGCATTATTCAAAAAGTAAGGGAGAGGAAACTAGGCACTCAAAAAAATGTAGGAGAAGCAATAGCCTCAGTAGGTGTCACTGAAAGTGAGAAGTTGAGGGTAAGATTCAGAAAAATGACTGATATTGTCTGGCTCTGTGTCCCCACCCAAATCTCATCTTGAATTGTAGTCCAAATTGTAATCCCCACATGTTAAGGGAGGGACCTCCTGGGAGGTGACTGAATCATGGGGGCAGTTCCCCCAGGCTGTTCTCCTGAGAGTGAGTGAGTTCTCACTAGATCTGATGGTTTCGTGAGGAGATTTTCCCCACTTTGCTCTGCACTTCTCTCATTCTTTTTCTTCCTGCTGCCATGTGAAGAACAACATGTTTGCTTCCGCTTCCACCATGACTGTAAGTTTTCTGAGGCCTCTCCAGCCCTGCAGAACTGCGAGCCAATTAAACTTCTTTCCTGGCTGGGCATGGTGGCTCACACCTGTAATCCTAGCACTATGGGAGGCTGAGGTGGGCAGATCACCTGAGACCAGGAGTTCGAGACCAGCCTGGCCAACAAGGCAAAACCCCATCTCTACTAAAAATACAAAAATTAGCCAGGCATGGTGGTGAGCTCCTGTAGTCCCAGCTACCTGAGAGGCTGAGGCACAAGAATCGCTTGAACCCAGGAGGCAGAAGTTGCAGTGAGCTGAGATCATGACACTGCACTCCAGCCTGGGAGACAGAGCGAGACTGTCTCAAAAAAAATAATAATTTTTTTTTAAATACCCTCTGTCCTTTATAAATTACCCACTCTCAGGTATTTCTTCATAGCAGCGTGACAATGGACTAATACAATGACTGAGGATTCAAGCCTCACATACAGTTGAGGGGTTGTGCTCTGCCAAAGATGTTATGCAGAGGGCACTGGGAGCCTAAAATACAGCCAGGACCCACTACTCAGCCTATGAGTGTTGACTTGGCACTCTCACACTGGGAGACAGAAGTACCTCTGAAAAGCTATATAGCAGCACAGTGTAACTTAGCTGTGGTGCATTTGATAAAGAAGGCTTTTCTGTGAGCTCATGATGAGCTCCAGAGGGAGATGTAAAGAACTTCATGAGGATGAGAAGCTAAGGGATGAGGATTGGTTCACAAGTCTTGGGTTTCTTGTAGTGACTTAGGTAGTCACATAACATTTATGAAAGGATCAACTCTGTCTCAAGTAGAATGCGCTATTGGGGTTATGAGATTTGGGGATGGGGTCCCTTTTACCAGGAGCATGCTGAACATGGGCCCCCCTCTCCACAGCCTCTATCAGTGAGGTAGAGACCAGTCTTCTCAAAAGTCTTGTGTCTTTGGGTCTCCCGTCTATAAGAGGCACTACAGCATCCACTTGATTTCTGCCAATTGTGTCATGGAGGCCAGGAGAAGGGATGATTTACTTGGTGTATAAGAAGTTCCTGGCTTTCCTCTTTAATTTCTGCTGTTGGAGGTATGGGGGCCAGGAGAAGTTCACAGAGAAGGATATGTTCTTTTTTGCTTTTAGATCTTATGCTAGGTCAGGGGTTCTCAACCTTGGCATATTGACAGGTTGAATCAAATAATGGCTATGTAAGAAAAATTATTAGTAAGAGAGAAATAAATTTTCTTAATTTTCTTAAAGGTATGTATGAAAAAATGTCAGCAAACATTATACTTAGTGATGAATTGTTAAAATATTCTCATTAAGGGAGAAAAACAATTTGATGTGGATGCTCTTTCTTTTTTCTCTCTGATAGAAATACTCTCCCATTGGGTTTGACAAATAACTGATCTCTCCTCAAACTCCATTCAGAAATTAACTTTTCAGTGACGCTATCACTGAATTGAGCTGATTTCTTCCTCTTTGAACCCCCAATACTTTCTTGATGGCACTGATCTCAAATAAATACAATTTATTTATGTACATATTTCTTTCTCCTTAGAGTATGTAATATCTTTTATTCTTTTGTTTCCATCACTCAGTGTTTGAGTAATGATTAATATAGTAATATTAATAGTGCTTGATTATACTGAACCAAATGGATTGTACTGAGTTGATTTATAGATAAGCTAATGTTATCTAATGGAATGAATCTGTGATCACAGGCAGAAAACTCTGCTTTTTTTGTTTGTTTGTTTTTTTGAGATGAGGTTTCACTCTGTCTCTCAGGCTGGAGTTCAATGGCATGATCATGGCTTGCTGCAGCCTCCACCTCCCTGGGTTTAGGAGATCCTCCCACCTTAGCCTCTAAAGTAGCTAGGACTACAGGTGCACGCCACCACACCCAGCTAGTTTTTGTGGAGACATGGTTTACCCTCTTTCCCGGGATGGTCTCAGACCCTTAGGCTCAAGTGATCTGCCCACCTCAGCCTCTCTTCCAAAGTGTTAGGATTATAGGTGAGAGCCACCATCCCTGGCCAAACTCTGCTTTCTAACTTTACCTGTGCTAACTGGTTTCATTTTTAGAAGCCTCTTAACCTCTGTGCATTTTTTTCCTAATCTGTAAAAATGAAAATATCAATTGATCGCTGACATTACTTTTGATATCAATACTCCATGATTCAGACTGATTTATCCCATGCTTGACCTTGCTAGCTGAGTTTTCATAATTTGCATAAGGAGCGCTGATGCATTCATTCCTAGGCACCGAGGATCAAATTCAATTGTATAAAAATTGATAATA
Organism: Homo sapiens; assembly: GCF_000001405.40. NCBI lineage: Eukaryota > Metazoa > Chordata > Mammalia > Primates > Hominidae > Homo > Homo sapiens. The sequence goes on along the minus strand of NC_000004.12, from coordinate 163,440,342 downwards.
AGGCTTTTGCTCAAGGATGAATGGCTAACTAGGAAGTCTGGCTATGAATACAAACATTTCCCAAGGCTACCATATTTCTCACACTGACACAAAAACAAGCAAGAATGTAATTAATCAAGCTTTTATCTAGGTAGTTATTACAGTGCACTTAAGTTCTACTGAATTACCTTGAATACAAAAAGGCTTACATGACTAGGCCAACTGGAACCTGTGATTGATTGGAATGATTTCAAAGCCTATACACATACAATTAACCCATGTCATTAAAGAGTAATTCCCTTTCTAGATTTTGAATTAAAAAATATTTGGCTGCCAGGAACCAGTTATCAAAACAGTGTGATTTGAAGTGATTTAAATTTCAACAGTAGCTCTAGCATTATGAAGATGTTTACAAATAATTGAGTTGCTTTTGAACTGTTTCCATAAAGAGCTACACTAGCTTATAAAACAAGGACTTTTCCATTATCAAAATTACACTATTTCTTCAAGCTGCTTTTGTAAAAGCGATTGGTGATTTTATTTTTTATTACCAACTGGATAAAACAGTAGTATACTTTTATGCAAAGTAATCTAAAATACAAATAATATTCTTAGAAATATGTCAATTTTATCAACCAATATAAACTTATAATGTGTACATTACCATGGTGAGGACAAGTAATATGTTATTCCAAAGTGGTGCCTGCAGGTTTGTATTAATTAAGTAGCTATATATGTATTAGTCAATGTACTTGAAAGAGTGACAAAGGCAGTTCAGGTCATAGACTTTGCATTTCATAAGTTATTATTTCAATTTTGAATGAGCATAGATAAAGCATTAAATCACTGTAGAATTTTTCCAGCTGCCAAAAATTGCTACAATTATATTCAAATGATTATCAAGGTTTTAAAATTGTTTTCTAGGAAAAACAATTGCCTTTGAGTAAAGAATGTCATTTGTGTAAATGCTAGGTATTGGATCTATTCAGTTTGAGATCTGAACAGTGATCTTTTTTCCCAAATATCAGAACATATATCTACTCTTTTATTTTTGGTGTGAGGCCAATATAAACTACTAAAACCTTAAAGATGTTTTGGTACTAAAATGGCTCCAAGAAAACAAAGCATTTGTTCTTAGTATTATTCCATTTAACCAAGGCTATCTTCCTGTATGAAAACATTGAATTGCTTCTTCTAAGTTATAGGGGAACTGATATTACCCTTCAGCATCGAGCAAAATCACTTGGGTGTTCTTGACTCTGACACCATGATGTATTAGTTTCCTACTGCAGCTATTTCAAATTACCAGAAACTAAGTGGTCAAGACAACACAAGTATATTATCTTACAGTTCTTGAGGTCAGGAGTTTAAAATGGGTTTCACTGAACCAAAATCAAGGTGCTGCATTCCTTCTGCTTACTCCAAAAAAAGTGTGTGTTTCCTTATCTTTTCCAGCTCTTAGCACTGCCCCAAGTCCCTGGCTTATGGCCCTTTACTTCATCTTCAAAGTGCATCACTCTAACCTCGGCTTCCATTGTTATATCTATTTTTCTGACTTTTACACTTTTGCCTCTCTTAGGATCTTGTGATTACATTGGGCTCACTGGGATAACTAATCCAGGACACTCCTCCCATCTCAATTTCCTTAACTCAATCACACGTGCAAAGCTTTTTTTGCCATATAAGGTAACAGATCCACAGATTCCAGGAATTAGGACATGGATATTTTTGGGGGGCTATTTTTCTTTCACACATGGAACCCTTTGCAGTCTGGTGAAGCCTGCAGTTTTCTTCTCAGAATCATGTTTTCAAAGCCTAAAATATTGAAATATAGTAATAAAAATATTTTAAAATAAATGTATGCTCTAGTAATATATGTGCTTTTCAAATTACTGCATTAGATAATCATTGTAATGGCTAATAATAGCCATAATAATTTCAAGGCAGTTAAGGGTATAAATAATATTTGCCACACCTGTTATGTGATATGAAAATATCTGCTTTCCATTGTACTGCTAATGGTGTGGTGTTTCGTTTTGTTTGTAATTCCAATTGATCAGTATGAGCCAAGGAACCTGCTATTATTCTATAACTTCCTTGCATTCACTTTTTCCTATCATTGAGCTAACTGAAAAGTAAAATAAACTAGAGTGTGGACATTGTTTATCAGAAGAGTATACATGTTTTACGAGATACTCATTCTGCTCAACATTAGAAGCTAAGATATTCTTAAACATGTGACAAGTCTTTCAGTGTGTTTTTAAATTTAAATGTATTGTCCTGTCTGATTAATTTTAATACTTATTAAACATTAGGGTTGCTATAGATTCATAATATAACATTTGTCTAGGAGCTTCCATTTGATTTAAAGTAATAAGATGTACATATTCCATTGCACAAAAACTATCTAAAAGCATTTTGGAGAAATAGTGGCTTAATCATTTGTTGTTTTCATTAGCTGAAATTTTCTTTACATTTATATACAGTAAGCAAGCTTATGTCATTGCAATCCAAAACAAAATAAACAGATTATATGCTATAAAGGCTTATAGGTGGCTGAAAGTTTACCTTTCAAAAATATTTTTGTACGCAAAGTGTTGACCAAGTAAAGTAGAAGTTCTTTATTTTTTACTAGACTTTATTCCTAAATAGCCCATCTTCAATAAGCCCTGATAAGCAGGTATAACATGATTAATTTTATATAGCTAGATACATACACTAAATATATATGACTAACTAGAGAAAGATTGAACTATGTTTTAATAGTTCCAATAACTGGAAACTCAGAAATTAAGGCCAAAATATGATACTTTGATGCTCAAGTTATGGTTTAATATGGAGACATTTGAGGATTGGATTTGTAGAGCTTTTAAAAGTTCTTTTTTTGTCTCACTTTAAAATAATCAGTGTGTTCCACTTAGTCATGGAGTCTGCTTACACTTTCTAATCAGGGATTTTGCTTATATTTTGATTATCCAATAAGCACATCTTTCTGGAAATTGGGCAATTGTAGGTTATGTGAAATTACGTGAAATTGTTTAACCAGGAAAGTCGATTTATAGGCATAAGAGTCAAATAAGAGTGGATTTTGTATATCAAGGCCCCTAAACACTATTAGAGCTTTACTGGATTTGTGGAAAAGGTAAGTGATTTGTGAATTAAAGTGCTCCGCAATAGTAATAGGAATGCTGAACTGTGGTGCCGAAGCGTTTCATATTAGCTTGTCCTTACCGACATAGTTGCCATCTCATTCCTCCATGTTTTCCTGTTTTCACCAGGGAGTCAGTACACTCCCATTTTTAGTAGTTTGAAATTCTATACATTTTTGGGGACATCTGTCTTGTGTATGTGCCTATACAATTTACATAAAACAGAAAGCTGCCGTGACTAGTTTGAGATTTTAATAACACTAATAAGACCTGTTATATTAATATTCTATTTTTTTTCTTTTCATGAGAACATTTTCTGTAAAGAAAGGAATCTCCATGTTTATTTTCATTTCTTTATTTTTGAGGAGAGTTGCAGCCTTGGTTAAATTACCATGACAGAGCTGAGGAGTTCAAAATCTCAATTGCTGGGAAGATACGCTTATCAGACATTAGATAACATGTTTCTTTAATCAACCAAAGAGATAAATCTGAGTAAGTGTCTTGGGAGTCATAAGCGACATTTGCTAAGTGGAATGTTATGGCTAGATTGAAGGAAGTACAACTCAAGAAATGTCTTTTGTATTTGCCACTAAATATCATTAAAATGTTTGGCAATGTGCTATCAAAGACATGCTAAAGTGTGACGCACATAATAAAATATAAAAATTCGAGTAATATGATTTGAAGCATTAGAAGAATTATAGACTTAACAGTACATTTTTATTATTATTTGCCACCCTTAGTGTTTATTTAGCAGAAGTTTATTAAGAGCCACTTCTTAACATTCACTATGCTAGGTAGGCATTGGTAACACAAAGATGAATGTACTACAATTCTTCTTTGAAATCACAGTTTGGGTAGAGAAAGTTGAAAAATAAAAAAAAAAAAACCAAACCACAGTATATTCCAAAAGTGGAATAAAGTTACATGTAAAACACTGTCTGAGATCAGAGAGTAAATAAAGCATAGTTCTAATTTTAAAATATTCCTAAATCTTTCAATATTGAATTATATTTTATAGCAACATATTATTTTGGAAAAAGCAGGATTGGAATTCTGACTCTCACTGACAAAGCTCTTACAGATGTCTATCTTCTCAAACCTCAGATGTAACACTCAGAATAATAATAGCTAATGCCTATAAAGCACTATGTACCAGGCATTGTTTCGAAGTCCTTCACATATATTATCTCATTTAATCCTTACAGCAACCCTTTGAACTAAGTGCTACTGATACTGTTTCCACTTTTCTAATGAGAAAAATGAGGCACAGAGAAGCTAAGTAACCTGACCAAGTTTACGCTAATCAGTAGCAGAGTAGGTATTACAATCCAGTCAGTCTGGCTCCAGGGGCTAATCTCATATTTGTTATATTCTACAACCTCTCAAGCAAGAATTTAATAAGCTGCAACAATAATGATGATGATATATCCGTCTTAATTCAACATTTGGATTTCACAAGCCATGCACAAATAAATATTGCCCTTTTTATATTTTCAAAGACGAACTAGTATCCTTTGTCATATGATGTGGATGGTCAGCTTTCACTAGGTGCTTATGTACATAGTTTCTTTCTGTCATTTCTCACCCGTTTGTACTACCCTTTTTGTTGTTCTTTTTCACAAATAATTAGAGGAGTGCCCATTTCCAGATGGTTCTCTCTAATATTTACTTGCAAATCCTCATACAAGAACGGTCTAGCGGTTAGGAAGTTTCCTTGAGAGACCCTGAAGCAAGAAGGGGCTTGGAGGCAGAAAGATTCAAGTCAACACAGGGAGAGTTCTGCAATATTCACGTTGGCTCCCCAACGTTTTGCTTCCTGCATCAGACACATATTCTCTGATCCCTAGTTAATATATGAGATTTCAAAGTAGGGTATTGTGGGTTTACCACAAACAGCACATCTCCATTTTTATATTCCAGTTTATGTGACATTTTCCATAGACCAGGCCTATAGATTTGGGGTTTATTTACCACATGTTTTACTTAACCAGAAACATCCTGTTAAAAACATTCCATAGATAAACATCCTCCTCCTGGCCAATATATAATTAACTCAGAATTTTTTTACTCAGTGGTTTAGTTAACATGTTGACAAGGAGATTATACAGGGTCATCTGCCCTTTTTCATTTCCTTAGGGGTGTCCCCCAGTCAATTAGGGAAAAAGAAGCAAGGATCACAGACCAGTGCCCTAACCTCTTCCACATCACAACACATACAAATCTTGCAGTGTCACTGCGAGGATCAAAGGAGGTAATGCACACAATGTGCCTGGCACATTGGTAAACAAGATCGGATTTTACTCTCCCTTTCTCTCCATATATATGTGTCTGTATATACATACACACACACACACACACACACACACACATGTTCTGTATCAGTTTTAACGCATCTATGTTAGTGAAGAACTACTTCACTAAATTCAAAAAAATATAAAATGAGTACAGTTGTTCTTTAGTATCCTTGGAGGATTGGTACCCAAGCACCAACACCCCCAATACCAAAATTCAAAGATGCTTAAGTCTCTTATATAAAATGGTGTAGTATTGACATATAACCTTCATGCATCCTCCCATAAACTTTAAATCATCTCTAGATTACTTATAATACCTAATACAATCTAAATGCTGTATAAGTCATTGTTATACTATTTTTTTATTGTTGTATTTTCTGTTTTTTATTTTTGTAGAGACTGAATCTCATTACGTTGTCCAGGCTGGTCTTGAACTCATGGTCTCAAGTGATCCTCTCACCTTGGCCTCCCAAAGCACTGAGATTAAAGGTATGAGCCACCACATCCGGACTGGTATTGCTATTATTTGATTGTTTTATTTTCAAATATTTTTGATCTGTGGTTGGTTGAATTCAAGGATGCAGAACCCATGGATATGGAAGGCTGATGGTATACAGCAAAAATAAATTTTCCTTGTATCTCTTCCTGCTCCAGTCAACCAGTTCCCTTCTTTAGAAGCAACCACTGTTACCAGCTCCAAATTGCTCACACGGTTTTTAGAGATATTTCAAACATTTTAAAATGTCTGGCTTAAAAAAAATGGATGTTTAATCTCTTTGGGGGAATTCACCAGGGAAGAGGTGGTTCAAATGGTGGGTGCAATATTTTACTCTTGTGAGTGGTGAGTAATGAAATTAAAACAGGCACAGAAGCCTGGGTTTTAGTCTTGTCTCTTCAATAATTAGCCATTGTCCATCTTGGCCAGGTTATTTAATTTCTCTGATTTAAGTTACACACACACACAAAATACTGTAACTGGATGGTTATATGTAAGGTACCTCTAAGCTGTAGCACCTTAGGATTTCCCATATAGCTCCATACAGTTTTAGTAATGTGGCAGGAGTCTGCCCCAAGGAGAGGTTTACTTGAAGAGTCTCAGATTAGTAATAATATTTTCTCTTTATCCAGTTACCAAAGTTGCTACCAAGAGGTTTGCACACTGGGAAAATCCTAAAAGCCATGGAAAATGCTATCGGGTTTAATAAAATGGAACTTCTTTTTCTTTAGAGCAGAGAGTGCTATCCTGAAGTGAGATGTGTTGAGACCTGTACTTCCTATGGAAATTAGGGTGTTCCACAGGTAAACTGCGATATGGTAAGAACTAGGTCACTTCAGATTATTGGACTGATCTTTGTAACTGTTGGAATAATTCCTTCCCAGGCTAATTAGGCAATCCATTAAAAACCTTTGACCTGATGCAGAGGGAGAAAAGAAAATTTGACTTAATTTAACTTAGAAACTCTGAGAATGCTTCATTTCATAAAAAGTAACACACTGAAAGAAAAAATCTCTTTTATGCTTTGGAGTTGATAAAATAAAACCTCAGCCATTAGCTTACTAAGCATGTTTCCAAATCTCCTATAGAATTTAATTAAAGAGGAAGAAATTTGACTTCCATTTAAAATGGCAAACTACTGCATTTGTTCAACTCCACTACCAGAACTTTAAGTGGAAGAAAAAAGTCCATATGCAAATAAATAAAATAAAACTAAGACTAATCAAATAAAACAAACAAAATTCCAAAAATAAAAAACTGGAAGAGAAACTTCTTCTACACTGAAGTTAGGGAACAACTATAATTTCATATGAATATCCTAAGTAATGTCTGCACCATAGAAAATAATTAGGACCAAATTAAAAGATGATTTCAAGATTTGACATAAATCTCTAATACTGTCCAGAGCAATGTGCTATAGAAATGAGGAAGTTTCCAGAGAGCCTACTGACAGTGAATGACTGAAGGCATTAACACTTGTGAGTGTGGCTCAGCTATGGGCAGGTAGAGAACTTCTACTTAGAATCTATTTCTTCACTGCAGAGTAGGTGCGATTCAGGTCAGGCAGAAGGAGAGTACTTACCATAATATCATTTAGGTTTTTGTCTATTCGGTGGGAATAAAGACCAATTGTGTTTGGGAAATATTTCTAACTCAGCTCACTAACAATGTCTGGCAAAATCTGGCTCTAATTTACCTTTCCCGACTTGTTTCCTTACTCGTAGCTCGCCTAACTCACCAGGCATTGGTTGAGTTGATCATCAATCTGGACAATGCATGATACCTGTATTAACTTCATCTTTCTAATGATGACTTTGTGGTTAATGTGGTATTAACTTCTTGCTATGCTTCTTCCAATAATATGTACCTGTTGCAATTCTATCCAGACTTTAAGATCTACTCATAAGCAACTGTCTTGATCCACTGATCTTGGCTCCCAAAACACTTTTTCATCTTAAGTAGTCCTTTATATATTCTTTTATGACATTTAATGTTCTACCTCCTAACAGTTATTTCTGTTGATGACTTCCGTCTTCTATGGTTCAAGTTTCTTAAGGTGGAAATCATGGCGGTTTTGTATTTATTTATTCTGCCTATCTCCTAGTACAGTTCTTTTTTGGGTACATGTGCACAACGTGCAGGTTTGTTACATATGTATACATGTGCCACGTTGGTGTGCTGCACCCATTGACTCATCATTTAGCATTAGGTATATCTCCTAATGCTATCCCTCCCCCTCCCCCCACCCCACAACAGTCCCCAGTGTGTGATGTTCCCCTTCCTGTGTCCATGTGTTCTCATTGTTCAATTCCCACCTATGAATGAGAACATGTGGTGTTTGGTTTTTTGTCCTTGCGATTATTTGCTGAGAATGATGGTTTCCAGCTTCATCCATGTCTCTACAAAGGACATGAACTCATCATTTTTTATGGCTGCATAGTATTCCATGGTGTATATGTGCCACATTTTCTTAATCCAGTCTATCATTGGAGTGAACTCCCATTCACAATTGCTTCAAAGAGAATAAAATACACAGGAGTCCAACTTACAAGGGATGTGAAGGACCTCTTCAAGGAGAACTACAAACCACTGCTCAATGAAATAAAAGAGGACACAACAAATGGAAGAACATTCCATGCTCATGGGTAGGAAGAATCAATATCGTGAAAATGGCCATACTTCCCAAGGTAATTTATAGATTCAATGCCATCCCCATCAAGCTACCAATGACTTTCTTCACAGTTCTTTAAATAAAAGAATCATTCCATGACTACTGCTGAATCTATCTATATTTTGATTTTTTAAATTTGAGACTAACGCAGACACGAAAAGCCTTTAACTCCTGAAAGATATTTTTTTCCCTGGACAGTGTAAGTCTCAACATTATCTCAGTAATAATGACCCACACTACTGATTAAATACCCATAATACACTAGACATTATTACAAAATGTCATAAAAATCTCATAAAATGCCAAAGACATGAGAATTATTTCATCATTTTACAAACGTGTTCTACAATCTGTAAACAACTTATCACAACCAAAACAGCTACTTCTAATAGATACAGAAGTTGTGAATCAAAGAGATACAATACATTGCTCACCTATCCAATAAATAATTATTGGAAGCTAGTATTTTCTGATTTCAAAGCCTCTGTATTTTCTATACTATTTATTAGACTTTTTGATAATGTTTTCAACTGGGAAAAACTGAGCTATGTAAGAAAGAATGTAATATAGAAACTTTCAAAGAAAACCATGTTTGTCTTTCATTCAAATAATACTGACCTGCAAATATTATTTTATTTCTAAAAATAATTATTTTGCTAGTACTGTAGAAAAAGCTTTGTATTTTCTTATATCAGATTCTAATGTCAAAAATCCCTAAATGGTGGATAATCACATTGTTATTTCATTGTATACAATCATACTTATGAACTTATCTATTTTTGTATTTTGTTGAAAAAGCCCAAAGGATTGGTTAAACACGTAGATGGAGGCAGCATTAAATGAATAAAAGTTTAAAAAATAAGTTGTACTCTCAGCAAAATGTACCAGAGCCACAAACTACAGATAGGTTGCGTTATTTTTAGGAAACTTTTCAGAAATAACTCATCTTGGATCAAGCTTGTGAGCTAATTGACTGATTAAATTACAAATCAGAAAACACACATCCTGAAAACTAAGGTATGCAAAATTTAATCTTGGGAACTCTAATCTGTTCATGAGATAGTATTGCACTGACTTATCAACTGATAAGAAATATCAAAAAGGCAGTGTGAAGAATGGAAATTGGTCTGTGGTGATGGAGAGGTGTTCTGATTCTGAACTGTTGGTCCCATTTGCTTAGATATAACTATCTCTAATATAAAGAAAATCAATTTATGAGAGTATTAGAGCTTGACAGATGCTCCTTTGTAATATCTCACCTTGTGGGTTATAATACTTAGTTCAATAAACAACATTTTTCTATAGTTTTCCAGAATCATCAGGAAAGGGTTAGCCTCTTCAGATAATTGGCTCCAATTATTAGGCTAAGCTAATGTTAACTTCTAAATAAATTGGAATGCAGGTAAATCGCGCTGGGGTCAGAGTACCTGTTCAGTAATATTATTGAAACTTGGAGTCAGTGAGTACTTAAGTACTCACTTAGGACAACTGTGGGTCAGGTCTGGTCCTCCTGGTATCATTTTTTAGAAAATAGTAGGGGATAAACTAATTTTTTGGAAAATGATAGCATGAGAACCAGACCTGACCCACAGTGGTCCTATCTGAAGTAGGCCCTACTTTCGTCTTTCCACCAGAGCTTAGGTCCACATTAAAGAACTGAGTAACAAAGAGTGGATTTTGAGTGTGTTTATCATGTGTGACCTGGAAAATGGTGTGACTCTAGAGGAAAATTCATGTGCATTTTTATATTCCTTCCATTTATGAGCAGAATGTGAAGCAGAGTTGATGCAATTTGGATATGTGTCCCCACAAAATCTCATGTTAAAATATAATCCCCAGTGTTGGAGGGGGGGCCTGGTGAGAGCACCTGAGGTGTTTGACTTATGGAGGTGAATCATTCATGAATGGCTTAGTGCCATCCTTGATAGTGTGTGAGTTCTCCTGAGATCTGGTTTTCAAATGTCTCTCTCTTGCTTCTCTGTCTCTTGCTTCTGCTATCACCATGTGATGTACCTGCTCCTGCTTCGCCTTCTGCCATGAGTAAAAGCTCCATGAGGCCTTCCCAGAAGCTGAGCAGATGCTGGCACCATGCTTCCTGTATAGCCTGCAGAACCATGAGCCAATTAAACCTCTTTCTTTGTAAATTACCCAGTCTTGTGTATTTCTTTGTAGCAATGCAAAAGCAGACTAACACAAGAGTCCTAAAAGTGTGCAATTTGTAAGCCTTAAAGCAACCATCAATGTCATCAGGAATGTCTGGGAATCAGGTAGCAGAGTAAGGAAAGAGAGTGTGTGGCTTTGTTTTTGAAAGAAAACAGATGTAAGAGTGGAGAGCCCAAGTGCAGTAATATTTTACCATTCCTTTTTGAAGTGTTTGTTTGCTTGTCTCCTTTTCTAAAAAAATGTACTACGGAGAAACTTCCTAGAGTGATCTCTATGCACAATAAAGGCTGAGAGCCACTGATTAAAGTGTACTCTGGAAGAGAAAGCACTGCTAAAAGAAAACACTTCAAAGTCTCTTTGTAAACAGTGAAGAGTCAGGAAGTATCCAGAGCCAGATGGGAATTGGGGGTGGAGACCAGGCCAGATTTTTGAAGGGTGCTTCCTGAGCCAGACGGATCTCTTGCTAGTAATCATGACTGAGTGGGAGGAAGTCTTGCTGCAGCCTCTGAAGACCATGGGCCAGTGTGAGATTACCTGGCACTTCATGTACACTCTAATTTTTAAAGCCTTTATGTTAGTTAAAGCTCATCTGAAAATATGCATGGGTTGTTTGCAAGTGATGCTCATTAAAGAGAACAATAGAGTCCATCTTTTCTGATTCTTTAAAGGACTGTGAGTCTAAGTGTCTCTGGAATTTATTCCTTCCAGTGGGTTCTTGGCCTCGCTGACTTCAAGAATGAAGCCGCGGACCCTTGCGGTGAGTGTTACAGCTCTTAAATATGATGTGTCCGGAGTTTATTCCTTCAGATGTTCAGATGTGTCTGGAGTTTCTTCCTTCCAGTGGTCTCACTGACTTCAGGAGTGAAGCTGCAGACCTTCGCAGTGAATGTTACAGCTCTTAAAGTTGGCATGTCCGGAGTTGTTTGTTCCTCCCAGTGGGTTCGTGGGCTTGCTGACTTCAGGAATGAAGCTGCAGACCCTTGCAGTGAATGTTGCAGCTCGTAAAGCTACTGTGGACCCAAAGAGTGAGCAGCAGCAAGATTTATTGTGAAGAGCGAAAGAACAAAGCTTCCACAGCATGGAAGGGGACCCCAGTGGGTTGCCGCTGCTGGCTCAGCTGGCCAGCTTTTATTCCCTTGTTTGGCACCACCCACGTCCTGCTGATTGGTCCATTTTACAGAGTGCTGATTGGTGCATTTACAATCCTTTAGCTAGACACAGAGTGCTGATTGGTGAGTTTTTATAGAGTGCTGATTGGTGCATTTACAATCCTTTAGCTAGACACAGAGCACTGATTGGTGCATTTTTACAGAGTGTTCATTGGTGCATTTACAATCCTCTAGCTAGACACAGAGCGCTGATTGGTACATTTTTACAGAGTGCTGATTAGTGCATTTACAATTCTTTAGCTCGACAGAAAAGTTCTCCAAGTCCCCACCTGACCCAGAAGTCCAGCTGGCTTCACCTCTCAATCCCCTCTCTAAATAGGACACCCTAACTGCAGTTGCGAATTGAGTGATGACTGTTCTAGCTACTTCCTGCTGGATAGGGGCAAAGAAGGGGCCCTGCAGTTGTAGTGTCCTCCAGAAGGGAACTCTTTAGGCCAGTGAAAGGGCCAGCGGGTCAGTCCAGGGGTCCTTGGTAGAAGTTGTTAGTTGGGCTCATTTGGGGTTCCATTTGTAAGACCATCTGTAGCTTGATGGCCTCGATCCTAGAGGACACAAATTTTACAAGGAGGTTAAAAATACAGGGCCCAAAGGCGAGTAATAGTAAGATGGCTGTCACAGGACCTAGAAAGAGGAGAAGCCATGTTGCCCAACTCCAGAGGTTGGTATAAGAATTTGAAAGGTGTTGTCTGATTTCAGAAGTCTTTTCCTGTAAACACCACGTGGCATCTCGTACTATCCCTAACAGGTTAGTGTAAAAACAACACTCTTCCCCTAAGAAGGTGCAGAATCCTCCTTTCTCAGCAGTAAGGAGGTCTAGGCCTCAGCAGTTTTGGAGAATCACTGCTGCCAAAGAGTCTATTTGGGATTGTAGAGTAAGGATAGATTTCGTTATTTCTTGCAAACTATCTGAGAGGCAGATATAGGTTGAAGTTCCACATAAGAAGAATATGCCTTGGCTGGGTAGACAGAAATTTACCCTGGCTTTTAAAGGAATAGAGTACACTGTCTTTTCTTTACTACTTCTATCTCTTTCTCTCTCTTTGACTCCTTCTTTTTCTCTTCCTCTCCTTCCTTCTTTCTGACTTTCTTTCTCTGTCTCTTCCTCTCTCTGTCTCTCTCTGACTTTCTGCCTCTTTCTCTCTTTCCTTTCTGCTGGTCTTTCCCTGCCTCTGGCAGCCACTTATGCTGCTGTTCTCCTCTCTCCTTCTCCTTTCTGATGGCTTTGGCAGTGTAAGACTGCCATCTCCTTGGGTTTTTGCACTGCATGGAGTAACTCCGTGATTTCCTTGTGGTATTTAATGGGGGTTCCCCCAGAGGTTAGGAACTCCCTTTCTTTCCATATTGCAGCATGGGCATGTAGGATTAGATAAGCATACTTACTATCTGTATACACATTTATTCTTCTTCCCTTTCCCAGTGTTAAGGCTCGGGTAAGTATCACTAGTTCTGCTAACTGGGCACTGATTCCTGGGGGAAGAGGCTTACTTTCAAGTACTGTTACTAACTATGGCATAACCTGCCCTTCATATCCCATTCTCCACAAATGAACTTTCATCAGTATATAGATTAAGGTCAGGATTAACTAAGGGGACTTCTAGGAGATCCTCTCGGGTGCAGAAGTCTGGACTATAATTTGTTGGCAGCCATGCTCAATTGGTTCCCCATCCTCTGGGAGAAAAGTGGCAGAGTTGAGGGCCGCACATGTGCATATTTGAAGCACTGGTCCTTCAAGGAGTAGTGCCTGGTATCTAAGCAGGCAGTTGTCTGATAGCCATAAACTTCCTTTGGCACCTAGTATGCCATTTACATCATGAGTAGTCCAGACAGTGAGTTCCTTTCCTTGTATTATTTTGATAGCCTCTGACACTAAGACAGCCACCGCCGCAACTACCCTTAAACAGTGAGGCCAGCCTTTTGCTGCTATATCAATTTCCTTACTTAGATATGCCACTGGTTGTGGGGTTGTCCCACGAGTCTGAGTAAGGACCCCAAGAGCTATTCCTGTCTCTCTGTGATGTATAAAGAGAAGTTTCATCCTGTGGGAAGGCTTAAGGCTGGAGCTTGAGTTTGTTCCTTCCAATGCCCAGACTTCAGGGTGATTCCCTCCTCAAGCGGGGGGCAACAAATGGGTAACTTGTTCCCCATATTCATGTAGACAATAGCTCCAGCTTTGGCTAATATGTCACTCCCTAATAAGGGTATGGGACTTTCAGGCATAACAAGAAAGGCATGTGAAAAGAGCAAAGTCTCCCAATTACAACTGAGGAGGTGGGAGAAATACCTGGTTACAGGCCATCCCGGGATTCCTCAGATGGTAACGGACCTTGAGGACAGCTGTCCAGGACAGGAGACTAACACTGAGAAAGCCACGCCAGTGTCCAGAAGGAAGTCAATTTCCTGGCCCTCAATGGTTAAATGTACCCGGGGCTGAGTGAGGGTGATGACATGAGCTGGCGCTTGCCCTGGCACCCTCAGTCCTGTTGTTGGATCATCTGGTTGGGGGCTTCTGGTCCAGAGAAACTTTGTCCTCTGGGGAAATGCTCCTTCCAGTGATTGCCTCATCACAGTGGACATGGGCGAGGGGGCAACTTGTTTCTCAAAATAAAGTTATGTTCCCCTGGATGAGGAGCATAGTCAAGACCCTTTATCCCAAGGCATCTCTGCTATTATAATTTCCAAATTTCTTTTTAAGTGTGGGCTTTATGCCATTCAAAAACACATTAATTAAAATATGTTTATAATGAAGTATAAATGTACACTTCAACATGTATAATAGTAGGGGATAAACTAAAGACCATTATAACCTTAATTTCTAGATTGGTTGGAATTATATGATCATAATGTTTCTGATATTAAATACAAGGTTGACATATGTAAGCAGTTTTTTTTTTCTTTTGAGATGGAGTCTCACTCTGTCACCTAGGCTGGCACAATCTCAGCTCACTGCAACCTCCGCCTCCCGGGTTCAAGCGATTCTCCTGACTCTGCCTCCCAAGTAGCTGGAACTACAGGTGTGCACCACTATGCCCAGGTAATTTTTGTATTTTTACTAGAGATGGGGTTTCACTATGTTGATTGGCCAGGATGGTCTTGATCTCTTGACCTCATGATCCACCCATCTTGGCCTCCCAAAGTACTGGGATTACAGGCGTGACCACCATGCCTGGCCCATATGTAAGCAATTTTAAATGAAACTCCACTGTGCTAGAGATGGGAATGCAACAAATAAAGTTTGCAAATCTTGTTAGATACCCAGAAATTTTGCACATTTGAAAAACAGCTTTCAGGCCTACATTTTCTCTTGATTGGGAGGCCAATCTTAATGAGGCGCTGAACAAGACAGTCCACTCTCTACCCTCCTTATCTTAGAAACATCTAGGCTAATCTTAATAGGATTAGTTCTTTATAGATTTTATTTATATAATCTGTATTACTTGTTAAATGTTTAGAATGCAGAAATTGAATGTTTTGGGCAACTGAAGATCTTAGGTGAAACTGGAAAAGAAAAGTACTGTATAAGCAACAATCTCATTAGGGACCAAACATGTTCAGAGGGGCTCCAGTCCTTCAGGGACCAGATTCTCATTCTCTGCTTTTGAGTTGCTGTGATGAGAGATGAATACAGAAAGTGTACATAGATGAGACTTGTAAGGTGATATTTTCTGAGACAAGCAAGGGGGACAATAATGAGGGAAAGGCAGCATAAATGAGATGGATTTGAGACATATATATATTTTTTGAAAAAGTTCTACAAAAGGAGACAAAATTATGGTCACTGAGAAAAGTCATATTACAGTCTCCCCAGTGGCAAAAGAGGGATTAAGCTCACTTTTGAAGGAAAAATGGCCAGTTGGACTGCTTCAGGTTGAAGTAAATCATTACTAGACAGAGGATAAGACAAGCTTATAAGAGTTAAAGTCAACCAAGCCAGAAACAATGGATATAAACTAATGATGTGGAAATTTTCAGACAAAGAATACAGATTTGAGATAGTCTGGTATAGAATACAGGAATACAGAAGAGCTTTGTGTGAAATATTTAAAGAAATAAGGGATGCAATCACAGGGATGGGCAAATATTTTTAGAAAATTTAAACAAAATGTATAGAAGTCACAAAAGCAACCCTCTAGCTAATTATTGAGATGCTATAGAATAGAAAAGTGTTCACTGCCACTAGAGTGAAAGTTTAAAACTATTTAAACAATAGCATTGTTTAAAATTATACAATGGTGTGTTTTTTAATTTTTAAATTTATTTAAATTTATTCTTCTTTAATAATAATTTTTTCATTAAAAAAAAAAATAGAGATGAGGTTTCACTATGTTGCCCAGGCTGGTCTCAAACTTCTGAGCTCAAGTGATTCTCGATCTCTCAAACTGCTGGGATTACAGGTGTGAGCTACCATGCCTGGCATACAATGGTGAAATTTATAATGTATTATATTCGGGGGTAAACTAGCATGAAAAATAATGTGGATCTCAGCCAAAAATAGACGAAGCAGGAGTCTGCTTGTTAGTTATAATCGTTATGAATGTAGTCAAACTGACTTTGCCCATCAAAAATAAACCATTTGGGCTGGGCACGGTGGCTCACGCCTGTAATGCCAGCCCTTTAGGCTGAGGCGGGCAAATCACTTGAGGTCAGGAGTTTGAGACAAACCTGGCCCACGTAGTGAAACCCTATCTCTACTAAAAATACAAAAATTAGCTGGGTTTGGTGGTGGGAGCCTGTAATCCCAGTTACTCAGGAGACTGAGGCAGGAGAATTGCTTGAGCTGGGGAGGCAGAGACTGCAGTGAACTGAGATGGCGCCACTGCACTCCAGCCTGGGCAACAGAGCAAGACTCCATCTCAAAATAAATAAATTAATTAATTAACAAAAATAAACCATTTGATTAGGAAGTCTCCTCTTTAAAGAACTTTTGGGAGGTTGCTAATAAATGTCTTGAGCTTACCCTTTGTTTATATTTCAGTTTCCTATCTTCTTCTGTTTCTTATTTTATTCTGATAATTGATTTATAGCCTAGTGAAATGAACTATTCAGATATAACATCTATTTCATTCGCATCTTGTTGGGAAGGAGAAAATTTACACAATGTACTTAATTTCATTTGGTTCTTAGTTTGAAAATCCCTAAAAATTTAGGTTTATTCTAGAGCATGATAGAGTCAAAACTTGTAATATTGACCCTAGAATTCACCTAAACTCAAGGAAAATACTAGAATAGAGCTGGGTTTCCGCTAAGTCAAATCCAGAACCAAATTTCTTTTCTCTGTTCAAAACGAATGAGATCGTCTTATTTGTTTTCAAAAGAAGTTACGAAAAGACAACAACACAATTGTGGTAGCTGTCACAGCTTCTTACAATGATCATTTGTGCTTGAAAATCAGGTGGACATTTGCTATTATTAGAAGACGTATCAATCTAGTAACCGCAGGATAGGTTACTATTTAAATTTTTTTTTTTTTTTTTTTTTTTTGAGACGGAGTTTGGCTCTTGTTGCCCAGGCTGGAATACAATGGCGCGATCTTGGCTCACCACAATCTCCGCCTGCCGTGTTCAAGTGATTCTCCTGCCTCATCCTCCGGAGTAGCTGGGATTACAGGCATGCGCTACCACGCCAGGCTAATTTTGTATTTTTAGTAGAGACGGGGTTTCTCCGTGTTGGTCAGGCTGGTCTCAAACTCCTGACCTCAGGTGATCCACCTGCCTCGGCCTCCCAAAATGCTGGGATTACAGGCTTAAGCTGCCATGCCCGTCCAGGTTACTATTTAGAGTAAAAACTTAATTTTAAGAAATGTGTTCCTGAACTATAAGCATCGAATTAAATACTTGTAAACAAGAAATAAATGAGTTCAAACCATTTAAAAACATATTCCCCTTAAGAAATGTTTAGTTTTCCCTTTGAATAGCCTCATTGCAATAAAGATGTGGCCTGTCAGAAAAGATCTTGACAGGTCAGGGTGACAGTTCTACTTAATAATGCAGTCGTTTCTAAAAAACAATTCTTTGAAGCCTGTAAAAGACATTAATCCCATTTCTTCATTTTGTAGATGAACAAAGTGGAAACCAGAGAGATTAAGTAAGTTGCTTAAGATTTCATAGTTACTTAATAATAAAATCAGAATTTCATATAAATTGACTCCACAGCACATGCCACACTCAACTACCTGTTTGTATACTAATCAACTCATTACAACAGAAGGTGATACCTGTAATTCTTCTAGTGATCCTAATATTCAAATCCAATAGTTACAATACCTCATTGTCAGCATTAAGGTACCTGATAAATGAAAGATATCAGACAGTTGAGCAAGAAAGGATGAATAATCTTACCTGATTAAGCCTAGAGAACCGCCTTTGCTCCTCTCTGAGAACATTTTTCTAAAAATGACTTTAATACTCTTGTCTGTCAAATAAGTAAAGAGTGTCTGTCATCTGCATCCTTCTGGATAAACACTGACAAATACTTATTCAATGCTTTTCATTTTTGCTATTCTTTATTTGTCTCCAAAACTCCTGTTATCATACAATCTCATGTTTGCAAAATGTTAGAGTTCCCAAGAGTGCAAATTTTCGTGCATTAGCTATATTTTTGGTAGATGATTATTCATCACCTTAACATTATAAGTAAAATTTTCTCCAAATCATAATTTAAGATGGATTTTACCTGCTTCTTGTCACTGGGCTTGATTCATGCACACTTTAGTTTCATATAATTGCCCATTCTTGTTTCAGAATTTATCTTTTCTATTAGTACTAGAGTTCTTTATTAATGGATTTATGTGTGATTTATCACTTGACAGATATTTGCCATGACCTAGTTAAATTTGGGTCATTGCACCAGATCTTTTTGGAAGCATAAAAAATGAATATGGAGCTATGGTTCCTACCTAGCTCAAAGAACATTATCTCTTAAAGTATATTTGTGGTTAAATAAATAAATCACTGAATTTTGAATTTTTAAAATTAATTTCTCCTGAACAAAGAAAACATGCATAAAATAGTTTATAAGCAGCTAGGAAAGCTGGATCATGCATAAAAATAAGTTAGAATTTACAAATTTTGATTAGTATATGTAAGATACAAACTAAGTAACATGAAGGGACAAATAAATCAATTCCTTCATTGGAGACATAAATGTCAGGATGGGTAATCATCCTGTGAGGAATTGTGTGTTTTAACAGCTGTTGAGTTCATGCATGTTCATTGCAACACTATTCACAATAGCAAAGACATGGGATCAAACTAAATGCCTCTCAGTGGTGGACTAGATAAAGAAAATGTGGTACATATACACCATGGAATACTTTGCAACCATAAAAGAATGAGATTATGTCCTTTTCAGGAACATGGATGAAGCTGGAGGCCATTATCCTTAGCAAACTAATGCAGGATCAGAAAGCCAAATACCACATGTTCTCATTTATAAGTGGGAGCTAAATGATGAGAACACATGGACACATAGAGGGAAACAACACATACTGGGGCCTATCAGAGGATGGGAGGAGGAAGAGGATCGGGAAAAATAGCTAATGGGTACTAGGCTTAATACCTGGGTCATGAAATAATCTGTACAACAAACCCCCATAACACAAGTTTACTTGTATAACAAACCTGCACATGTACCTTTGAATTTAAAATAAAAGTTAAATAATAAAAGAGCTGTTGAGTTAAATATTTTAATATAAATTCGAGAGGGAACTCAAGAAAATACTGAGAATTATGTTATGAAACCAAGGTTAAAAGTAGGAGTTGAAGATAAAGATTCAGATTATTGTTGTAGAAACATAAATGGATATGATATCAAATGGGGTTTCCGTGGTAGATATAGAAGAACCAAGAATTTTAGCTTACAGTTCTAATATTTTGAAAGGTGTAATTATCTTAGTTTTAAAGGCAATTTTTTCCATCATTAAGCAATTATGTTATTCTATTCTCTTCTTGATTTAAAAGAGATTTTATATAAAGCTAGGAATTTAAAGGTCCAGTTATGGCATAGCAATACAAAGTTGTTTTAGTGTCGCGATAGAACATGGAATCATCTATAAAACATAACACCCAAGGAAAATCGGCAAAATGATTGTTCTCAGTATTTCACTTTCTCAGATGGTATAGTGGGGAACTAAAAGAATAAACTTCAGGGTCAAAGCCTGGGTCCAAATCCTATTTCCACCACTCACTTTTTGCAGGGCTTTGGACAAGTTACTTAACTCTGTCTGAGCCTTTGTTTTTCATCTGAAAATGTGAATAAAAATATCAAGCTTCAACTTGGTATGAAGATTAAAGTAAATTTATATCATGTGTAAGTAGCAAGTGCTATGACACCGACTTTTAACATACCGCTATTATTGTTATTATTATGTAATGGCAAAGTTATTTTTTGGGATTGTTAGTATATCAAAATGGTGTTGTTTGAGCCTTGAGAGTTATGGTAATCAAATGTTGATTGGTTGCCAAAATTTAATGGATCCACATTATTAAGAAAATAGAGAACTTAAAATAATGAGAAAGGAACTCTACATTTCAAGAAAATGTATAGAGATACAGTTTACTAAAGCATTTATCATTAAATTTCTAAAGTCCTTACATTTAGAAGTAGGTTATATTAGTTTATGCCAACCAAAAGATATAAGCATAAAACACATTTTTAAAAATTATTCTTGATGTTATTCCTTGAGAAGTTCAAGTCATTTGTGAAGATGCATCATTTTCTTCTTTGGATCTCACAATGCAAGTTCTTAATAATTACATTTCTTCTCAATTCATAATTTTAACTGATATAAGATAGGCCCATGTGTGCGCACACACACATGCATACATTTATCTGTATACCAAGTCCAAGGTTAATATTAGTTAGGGTAGGCTAAGCTACAATAAAAATACACCTCCAAAATTTAGTAATTTAAAGAACAAGAAGATTATTTCTTTCTCCTGTAACAGTACAAGGCAGGTATCTAAGTCAGAGCCTTTCCTTCATAAAATTATTCACTGAAAAGGCTGACAGCTTCTCTGCCATCTTGGACATGTTGCATCCAAGGTCACCCAGGGTATTGCCATCCTATCAGCTGGAAGGGGAAGAGAACATGCAGGGACATTATGTAGGAGAATTTATGAGCCTTCAATGGATGTGACTGATTAACCTCTGATCACATTGCATTGGGTAGAACCCAACTCACACAGCCAAATCTGAGTGGAGTGAAATAATCTTGTTTGGTGCCAAGAAAGAAGACAATGGATTTTAATAAACCTCCAGCAGCCTCTGTCACATTTTTCAATAGGAAGGCAAGCATGTTTAGCTGAAATGGTCTCTGTATTCACTAGTTACTTTTGGGAGATATGTCAAAGGCATACAATTTGTTCTGTTTCAGTTTCATGAACATGTCATTTCCTGATAAAAAATGAGACAATATATCCCAAAACTTGATGTAAGTTCATTGGTAAATGTTAACCAGAGTAAGGGCAAAGGAACATTATGTCTATTAGTTTGAAAATTGACCCCTAAATGAAACCATCAACCCATGGCAATTTCATGTTCCCCTTAGCTCATCATGGTAATGGAAATGAATCAGCTTTTCATGGGACAAAAATCTGTACTTCAAAAACGTGCTTCATACCAGGAATAATTTTCCTAGGTTTTCATGTTCATTTTTAAAAAGCAAATGTTTTCCTGATTTTAACCCCTTTACCACACTGTTGGTATTGTGTTTTTAGTGAATGGTATGCAATTATATGCAATAAATAACAGATCAAGTCATTTCACTGTTTACACACCTATTTAGTGAAAATTCCTATATAAAACACCCACATTTTTTTCCTGAATAAAGCTAAGCCTGCAAACAAAATAAATCAATACATGAAGGGAAAATCTGAATTTAGGCTGGAATTTTCTAGCTAATTCACTGGCCATGGGGTTTGAACCTTGGATGCTGTTGAAAATGGCCTTAGTTCTCTATTTTCAGGAGATGTTTCAAATAAAAGCTCTAATAGCTGCCCGTTTGCTTTCTTGCTACTCTCTAAACTCTGTCTGAGACTATTCTTTGTCCTGAATCAGGTTTGCATGGTTAGTGCCCATTCAACCTAGCAATCACCCTGATATTTATTGATATTGAAAAGCAATTATATATAATGTTCATTAGAGAAGGTTGCTTTACAAGATATAAACAAATACAAGACAAAATAAGATTCCTCTTCCCCCAAATTTACAGTCTATTAAGGACTCTAGACCACAAAGAGTTAATTAAAAATAAATCACTAAGTGAATAGACAGAAGTTGCTCATCAGATATTGAGGGAAGGAAAGGTCGCTGAGATCTGTGATAGAAAAGATACAGACCTTATAGTCTTTATGTTACCATTGCCAATGGCATGTAGAATGCCAGTTTTTTAATGTATATCCTGTTACTTGTTAAATCATTCACCTTAATCACCCATCATGTTTAAGTATTTAGCTAAGCACTATACAACCACTAATAAGAAACAGTTCTTTTTTTTTTTTCTTTTTTGAGATGGAGTCTCCCTCTGTCACCCAGGCTGGAGTGCAGTGGCACGATCTCGGCTCATTGCAACCTCCACCTCCCAGGTTCAAGCAATTCTCCTGCCTTAGTCTCCCGAGTAGTTGGGACTACAGGCATGTGACCACACCTGGCTAATTTTTTGTATTTTTAGTAGAGACAGGGCTTCACTGTGTTAAACAGGATGGTCTCAATCTCCT
The DNA here is from genome assembly GCF_000001405.40 of Homo sapiens. NCBI lineage: Eukaryota > Metazoa > Chordata > Mammalia > Primates > Hominidae > Homo > Homo sapiens. The sequence goes on along the minus strand of NC_000004.12, from coordinate 163,417,706 downwards.
GACCTCGTGATCCACCCACTTGGCCTCCCAAAGTGCTAGGATTACAAGCGTGAGCCACTGCGCCCGACCAAGACATAGTTGTTGACCTCTGGAAGTTTTCAACCTATTGGGAGAGACAAACTAAATACACAGTTACAATAAAATGTTACTATTTGAAAATTGCAGCATGCAATTTGGAGGACTGAGGAAAAGGTTAATGGAGGAAGTAACTTTACTGAGATCTAAAATGTGTTTATGTCCCATTATTATTGAAGCAAATCTAACTAGCATAAACTCCACTTTATAGATTATTTATTTAAAAGATACTTGATTACACTAAGGCAAACAATTTGGAGTGTTTGTAAAATTTTGGGAAAGACTTCCAAATGCATCAAACAGTCCTTTTCAGAATTTCTTCTAACCATGCCCAGTATATTTTGCCAGCAAGGAAATATGCTTCAGGTTACAATAGGTAAAACCAAACAAACCAAACAAAATAGATGCATTTTACCCACAAGTTTTACATGAGTGACAATCACTAAGAAACACTTTAGAAATTAACTATAAAATAACATTCTAGCTATTGACATTCTAGTGATAAGGTATCTAAAGAGGCTCAAGGAGGCATATGGCCATCACTGCCCCCATATAACTCTGTAGTGATGTCACTTTTTTTTTTAATAAATAACAATAGGAAATCTATATTACTGGTACTTTACCAACACATTTTAGCTAAATGAATTAATTACATCTACATAAGCCTTTTCTCTGTTGGTAAAGTTTCTAAGACCACAAAACCATTTTAGATATCTAATCATTTATTTAATTTTCTAATTTCTGTATCTTGAACTGAGACTAATAACTGATTTTGAGGAGTATATGTATGTGTGTATGTATGTATGCATTCATGTACGCATATATATGCACACATGTATCAGGTAGAAAGTTGCAAGAGGACTGGGCAGGTTTACACAATGATGTGGTTGAAATATATGCAGGATTCTATAGGCTAAAGTAAATAGTTTGAATTTTAATCTGAGTATGATGGAACTGGAGAGTTTTGAGCAGAGGAGTGACATGACCCGATTTAGGTTTATAAAATGTCACCATGGCTGCTGTGCATATGCACTTTGGGTGACAAAAGTAGAAGTGGGATAATCAGTTCAGTTACATTTACAGACTTCATAATGAGACATAATGGAGATTCCATGGACTTGAGTATTAGCCATGGAGACAGTAAGAAATAGATATATCCATGTGTTCCCTGAAAGATAGCCGGATATACTCAAGCAAATACAGTAATAGCAAAGTAAATCAGCATCTCTTTCTGCCAGATATACATTAAATTCATATTTTAAGCAAGCAACAATTTTTTTAAAAATATGCAATGATTTATTAGGAGTTAGAGAACATAAGCCATGTACACTTTGGTTCATGCCAATTAATCCTCACAGGGTTGACAGGAATTGCACACCGGGTTCTGCACAGAAATATAGGTATAATGAAACATTAATCAGACTGCACTTTCGCCCACTTCCTTCTTGCTGAAGTCACGTAGCACTAGATACTGATTGTTCCCATAGGTAGGATTGCTGACAATAGGATCATAAGACCATTTAAGAATTGATTTGCATTCACATTGTTCTTACAGACAGGATCTTTGACATTAGAATCATAAGATTTTGTTTATGGATTGCTAAAGGTGTTTTTGTGGATCCCAAATTTCGGCAAAATAGCTAATGCCTACCAGTTTAAAGACTCTTACAGAGGAACGGAATCAGCATGAGAATATAACTTCTTCATCTCCCTGTCCCATGACTTCCCTCTGCATTCTTTGACCAATTAACAATCTCTGCATTTCAATCCCCTCCAAAACCTTTTAAATCCCTAGCCCCAAACTCCCTGGGGAGATAAATTTGTGGTTTCCTCCTGTATTAGTCCGTTTTCACACAGCTGATAAAGACATACCCAACAATGGGAAGAAAAAGAGGTTTAATTGGACTTACAGTTCCATATGGCTGGGGAAGTCTCAGAACCATGGTGGGAGGCAAAAGGCACTTCTTACATGGCAGCCACAAGAGAAAATGAGGAAGATGCAAAAGTGGAAACCCCTGATGAAACTATCAGATCTCGTGAGACATTTTCATTATCATGAGAACAGTATGGGGGAAACCGCTCCCAAGATTCAAATTATCTCCCACCAGGTCCCTCTCACAACACGTGGCAATTATGGGTGTACAAGTTAAGATGAAATTTGGGTGGGGACACAGAGCCAAACTATATCATTCTACCCCTGGCCCCTCCAAATCTCATGTCCTCACATTTCAAAACCAATCATTGCCTTCCCAACAGTCCCCCAGAATCTTAACTCATTTCTGCATTAACCCAAAAGTCCACAGCCCAAAATCTCATCTGAGACAAGGCAAATCCCTTCCACCTATGAGCCTGTAAAATTGAAAGCAAACTGGTTACTTCCTAAATACAATGGGAGTACAGGCATTGGGTAAATACAGCCATTCCAAATGGGAGAAATTGGACAAAACGAAGTGGTTACAGTTCCCATGCAAGTCCAAAATCCAGGAGGGTAGTCAAATTTTAAAGCTCCAAAATGATCTCCTTTGACTCCAGGTCTCACGTCCAGATCATGCTGATGCAAGAGGTGGGTTCCTATGGTCTTGGGCAGCTCTGCCCCTGTGGCTTTGCAGGGTACAGTCTCCTCCCTGGCTGCTTTCATGGGCTGGCGTTGAGTGTCTGTGGCTTTTCCAGGCAAACGGGGCAAGCTGTTAGTGGATCTACCATTCTGGGGTCTGGAGGACAGTGGCCCTCTTCTCACAGCTCCAATAGGTGGTGCCTCAGTAGGGACTCTGTGTGGGGCCTCCAACCCTATATTTCCCTTCTGCACTGCCCTAGCAAAGGCTCTCCATAAGTGCCCTGCCCCTGCAGGGAACTTCTGACTGGGCATTCAGGAGTTTCCATACATCTTCTGAAATCTAGGCAGAGGTTCTCGAACCCCAATTCTTTACTGCTGTGCACTCACAGGCTCAACACCACGTGGAAGCTGCCAAGGCTTGGGGCTTGGACCCTCTGAAGGAATGGCCTGAGCTCTGCGGTGGCCAATTTCAGCCATGGCTGTAGTGGCTGGGATGTAGTGCACCAAATCCCTAGGCTGCACACAGAATGGGGACCCTGGGCCTGGCCAGTGAAATCATTTCCTCCTAGGCCTCTGGGCCTGTGCTAGGAAGGGCTGCCTTGAAGACCTCATTTATTACTTTTGACATGCCCTGGAGACATTTTCCCTATTGTCTTGGGAATTAACATTCAGCTCCTCCTTACTTATGCAAATTTCTGCAGCCAGCTTGAATTTCTCCTCAGAAAATGGGATTTTCTTTTCTATCGCATTGTTAGGCTGCAAACTTTCTGAACTTTTATGTTGTTTCCCTTTTAAAACGGAGTGTTTTAACAGCACCCAAGTCACCTTTTGAATGCTTTGCTGCTTAGAAATTTCTTCCACCAAGATACCCTAAATCATCTCTCTCAAGTTCAAAGTTCCACAGATCTCTAGGCATTTTGCCCCTGCGGCAAAATGCCAGCAGTCTTTTTGCTAAAGCATAACAAGAGTCACCTTTGTTTCGTTTCCCAGCAAGTTCCTCATCTCCATCTGAGACCACCTCAGCCTGGACCTTATTGTTCATATCACTATCAGCATTTTTTTTTATTATACTTTAAGTTTTAGGGTACATGTGCACATTGTGCAGGTTAGTTACATATGTATACATGTGCCATGCTGGTGCGCTGCACCCACTAACTCGTCAACTAGCATTAGGTATATCTCCCAATGCTATCCCTCCCCCCTCCCCCCACCCCACCACAGTCCCCAGAGTGTGATATTCCCCTTCCTGTGTCCATGTGATCTCATTGTTCAATTCCCACCTATGAGTGAGAATATGCGGTGTTTGGTTTTTTGTTCTTGTGATAGTTTACTGAGAATGATGATTTCCAGTTTCATCCATGTCCCTACAAAGGACATGAACTCATCATTTTTTATAGCTGCATAGTATTCCATGGTGTATATGTGCCACATTTTCTTAATCCAGTCTATCATTGTTGGACATTTGCGTTGGTTCCAAGTCTTTGCTATCGTGAATAATGCCGCAATAAACATACGTGTGCATGTGTCTTTAAAGCAGCAAGATTTATAGTCCTTTGGGTATATACCCAGTAATGGGATGGCTGGGTCAAATGGTATTTCTAGTTCTAGATCCCTGAGGAATCCAACAGCAATGGCAACAAAAGACAAAATTGACAAATGGGATCTGATTAAACTAAAGAGCTTCTGCACAGCAAAAGAAACGACCATCAGAGTGAACAGGCAACCTACAAAATGGGAGAAAATTTTCACAACCTACTCATCTGACAAAGGGCTAATATCCAGAATCTACAATGAACTCAAACAAATTTACAAGAAAAAAACAAACAACCCCTTCAAAAAGTGGGCGAAGGACATGAACAGACACTTCTCAAAAGAAGACATTTATGCAGCCAAAAAACACATGAAAAAATGCTCATTATCACTGGCCATCAGAGAAATGCAAATCAAAACCACAATGAGATACCATCTCACACCAGTTAGAATGGCAATCATTAAAAAGTCAGGAAACAACAGGTGCTGGAGAAGATGTGGAGAAATAGGAACACTTTTACACTGTTGGTGGGACTGTACACTATCAGCATTTTTTGTCAAAGCCATTCAACACGTCTCTAGGAGATTCCAAACTTTCCCACATTTTCCTGTCTTCTTCTGAGCCCTCCAAACTGTTCCAACCTCTGCCTGTTACCCAGTTCCAAAGTTGCTTTCACATATTCTTTTGGGTATCTTTTCAGCAACGCCCCACTCCACTGGTACCAATTTACTGTATTAGTCTGTTTTCATGCTGTTGGTAAAGACATACCTCATATGGGGAAGAAAAAGAGGTTTAATTGAACTTACAGTTCCACATGGCTGGGGATGCCTCAAAATCATGGCAGGAGATGAAAGACATTTCTTATGTGGTGGTGGCAAGAGAAAATGAGGAAGATGCAAAAGTGGAAACTCCTGATAAAACCATCAGATCTTGTGAGACTTACTCACCAACAGGAGAACAGTATGGGGTAAACCACCCCCAGGATTCAAGTTATCTTCCACTGGTTCCCTCTCACAACACGTGGGAATTATGGGAGTGGAATTCAAGATAAGGTTTGGGTGGGGACACAGAACAAAACCATGTCACCATTGTTAGGTGGTCCTGTAATTGTAACTCTTTCTCTGCTGCAACTTGGTGTCTTGGCGTATTGCTGTATGCATCAGGACACATACATATTACCATTACACCAATAAGCATGGTTTTTAGAAATGGCATTCCAGGTATTTAAAAATAAACCCAGAGTTCTACTGTGATCAAGACAATTAGTACTCAGCTAACCCAGTTCTTTCCTTCTTAAACACATGCAAGGAAACCATTTACCAGCCTCCTGCAATTAGTCAGGACATGTGATGAATTCTGGCCAGTAAAATGTGAGAGAAACTAATGCAAATTCCTTTCAAGTTGAACATTTTAATGTACCCTCCACCTTTACCTTCCTTCTTCCCAGCTAGAGAGGCCTTAGAGGACAGGTGTTAAGATATCATTCTATTCACTACCTCCATGAGACCAATTTTAAAAACTAAAAAAAAAAAAAAGTTTTTAATATATTAGTCATCACAAGATGGATGCAGCCTGGATCCCTCAAAGTGTTTGTGTAAGACTTTGTAAAATAAATATTGCTTCCTTTAAGTTATCAAGATCCAAGACTTATTGGCTGACTGTAGCAAAGCTAAACATTAATTATGTTGACGAACACATATATTCAGGAAAAAATTAACACTCTATAAAAATCGTACCACATATTGGCTTTCCAACGTAAAAGGGTGCACTGGGATTATTTGATTTGTTTATGCCTACTATGAAACAAAACATCTATATACAGAAAGACATATATTTACAACAACCTTGAGTTAGGGATTATTAATCTCATATTTTATACAGATGAGAAAACTGTGGCTTATAGTGAGTCTGACTGGCTCATATTTATGCAGCTACCAATGGCCAGAATCAAGTTTTGAGGCCAAGTCCACTATATTCACTTCTAGCCATCCTGTTCTGGAAAAGGAATCATAGATTACATGTATCATTTATTACTTCTAAGATTTTTCATAGAGTATGTGAGTATTTGATTTCTTTTGCATAAGAAACTCTAAATTAATGTGTTACAAGTTTCAGTAATCCTTTATCAAACGGTTGAGATCACATTTTGAAGGAACATTTTGATTCCATAGCTTATTTTATCTGTCAATATTTTTCTAGGCTAAAAAATTTTCCCATTCTTAATGCACTGCATTATTAAACACATTTTTTGCTCACCACATAATTTCTCATTTCATGCTGTTCTATTTGGTGAATCTGTCACTGCAAATTGCATCTCTCAACTTCTTCCAGTATAACAATACACAGAACTGGAGAATGTTTCCTTCAAGTTTCTTCAGCATTCATTATACACTTCACGGAGCAGACCACAGGGCTAAATACGGCCTTTAAACAAACAGCTTTACTTCACTCCTCAGCAAACGTAAAAGAACAGAAATTATAACAAACTGTCTTTCAGACCACAGTGCAATCAAACTAGAACTCAGGATTAAGAAACTCACTCAAAACCACTCAACTACATGGAAACTGAACAATCTGCTCCTGAATGACTACTGGGTACATAATGAAATGAAGGCAGAAGTAAAGATGTTCTTTGAAACCAATGAGAACAAAGACACAACATACCAGAATCTCTGGGACACATTTAAAGTAGTGTGTAGAGGGAAATTTATAGCACTAAATGCCCACAAGAGAAAGCAGGAAAGATCTAACATTGACACCCTAACATCACAATTAAAAGAACTAGAGAAGCAAGAGCAAACACATTAAAAAACTAGCAGAAGGCAAGAAATAATTAAGATCAGAGCAGAACTGAAGGAAATAGAGATATAAAAAACCTTTCAAAAAATCAATGAATCCAGGAGCTGGTTTTTTGAAAAGATCAATAAAATTGATAGACCGCTAGCAAGACTAACAAAGAAGAAGAGAGAAGAATCAAATAGACGCAATAAAAAAATGATAAAGGGGATATCACCACTGATCCCACAGAAATACAAACTACCATCAGAGAATACTATAAACACCTCTACGCAAATAAACTAGAATATCTAGACGAAATGGATAAATTCCTGGACACATACACCCTCCCAAGACTAAACCAGGAAGAAGTTGAATCGCTGAATAGACCAATAACAGGGTCTGAAATTGAGGCAATAATTAATAGCCTACCAACCAAAAAAAGTCCAGGACCAGACGGATTCACAGCCAAATTCTACCAGAAGTACAAGGAGAAGCTGGTACCATTCCTTCTGAAACTATTCCAATCAATAGAAAAAGAGAGAATCCTCCCTAACTCATTTTATGAGGCCAGCATCATCCTGATACCAAAGCCTGGCACACAACAAAAAAAGAGAATTTTAGACCAGTATCCCTGATGAACATCAATGCAAAAATCCTCAATAAAATACTGGCAAACCGAATCTAGCAGCACATCAAAAAGCTTATCCACCATGATCAAGTGGGCTTCATCCCTGGGATGCAAGGCTGGTTCAACATACACAAATCAATAAACGTAATTCAGCATATAAACAGAACCAAAGACAAAAACCACAGGATTATCTCAATAGATGCACAAAAGGCCTTTGACAAAATTCAACAGCCCTTCATGCTAAAAACTCTCAATAAATTAGGTATTGATGGGACGTATTTCAAAATAATAAGAGCTATTCATGACAAACCCACAGCCAATATCATACTGAATGGGCAAAAACTGGAAGCATTCCCTTTGAAAACTGGCACAAGACAGGGATGCCCTCTCTCACCACTCCTATTCAACATAGTGTTGGAAGTTCTGGCCAGGGCAATTAGGCAGGAGAAGGAAATAAAGCGTATTCAAATAGGAAAAGAGGAAGTCAAATTGTCCCTGTTTGCAGATGACATGATTGTATATTTAGAAAACCCCATCAGCTCAGCCCAAAATCTCCTTAAGCTGATAAGCAACTTCAGCAAAGTCTCAGGATACAAAATCAATGTGCAAAAATCACAAGCATTCTTATACACCAATAACAGACAAACAGAGAGCCAAATCATGAGTGAACTCCCATTCACAATTGCTTCAAAGAGAATAAAATACCTAGGAATCCAACTTACAAGGGATGTGAAGGACCTCTTCAAGGATAACTACAAACCACTGCTCAACAAAATAAAAGAGGACACAAACAAATGGAAGAACATTCCATGCTCATGGATAGGAAGGATCTTCATAAATTTGAATTATTTCTAAATCTATCCCTTTTAACTAATTTCCATTTTTTATTAAAAAGAAGGAAGAAGCACTTTGGGAGGCCAAGGTGGGTGGATCACGAGGTCAGGAGATCGTTACCTTCCTGGCCAACACGGTGAAACCCCGTAACTATTAAAAAAAAAATACAAAAAATTAGCCGGGCATGGTGACGGGCGCCTGTAGTCCCAGCTACTCGGGAGGCTGAGGCAGGAGAATGGCGAGAACCCAGGAGGCGGAGCTTGCAGTGAGCCGAAATCGCGCCACTGCACTCCAGCCTGGGCGACAGAGCAAGACTCCGTCTCAAAAAAAAAAAAAAAAAAAAAAAAAAAAAGAAGAGTACTGTATTTAATGGAAAAAACAACAAAACTGTCAAAAGTTATACATAGATGCCAAATCTTAATTTTAAATTAGCTCCTTATGCCTTGTTGCTCAGGCTTCATTCTTTAATACTTTTATTTTGAATAATATTATATATGCTTTTAGAGGCTTGACTAGCTGTTTAAGTTTGTAATATTTGTTTATTAATAGTTGGTCTTAGAGGCATAAAGATTAGAAAAAGAATAATTTTAAAATACTAGTCTAAACCAAATTTGCCAAAACTTAAAATAACCAAGTTCCCCAAATTAGGAAATGGAAGTTTTTTTGTAAAGTTTCATGTGTTCAGGCAGTTGCTAAGACTGATGGAGTTAAATGTTAGACAAGAGCCTATCTTTCTTATGACTAGCTAAGGTTCATAAGTACTTTAATTTACTTCCATATCCTTTTGTCCTCAGAAAATGTATTTGTTCTCTTTCACTAAAATGTACCTTTAATCCATGCGAACCTGGTGCACCTTTTCTCTTACTTATTGATGTTTACCTTCTGGGTCTTAATTTTCTTTTATATTCTATATGGAAGCTTACAATGTAATCCATTTCCAACACTCCTTAATTAATTCCCTTCCAGTTGACCTTCCCACTAAGCAGATAAATTCAGTCTCCTCAGTGACCTGAATAAAGCATGTAGTCATGCTAATTCAATATATTCATGAATTAGGCTGAATCTGTCTTCAGTGAAATTTTAAGAGCAGTTTGAGTCTGGAAGCATTGCTGTAGTCTTCTCATGAACGCTGTATAGTAATTTTTGGACTCGATAACAAGTTTAATATTGGCTTTGCCAGCTTCATGTCTTTTACTGAAATGAAGAGATGAAATAAGCTATTCGGCAACTGACTGTAGATTCCAATTTCTAGCTTTCACCAACTCCATATTTCCCTGTAGACTTAATAAGCTTTATTGAAAACTCACCAAATCAGAATTATCTTTCTTTTTGATTAAGGATCAGTAATTATCTCCTCATCAAATAATTATTATTTTGTGATGGAATTAAAAACAAATAAAAGATCTCATTGTTGATCACATGATATCATAACTGTGTTAGATTTAGAAAAGCAATTTCACTTAAAGGATATGATCCTAAGATCATAGTAAGAGATATAAATATGCCTAGAAAGGGTAGAATTCATTAGTGTATGCTTTCCACAAGTTAGGATAAACCTACACAGACAATATTTTCATTCATTTATTCATTCATTCATTCAACAAACATCTATTGTGCACCTATTATGTACAAGGCACAAAAGATTTATTATATACCCAAGTATTAGGGTAGGAAGTGTATGTTGTCACTTTTTTCTTGCCAAGTGTCTACTTGTGAATTTTAGGTTCTAAAATATCAAAATGTGGAAAATATGTATTGGATAAAGATTGTTTCAAATCTTAACACATTGGTGGACTTTTCACCTCCTAATTACATTAACCCAAGATGTCATTTTCTCCTTACTTTATGCTTACATTACCTAAAAGTGAAGAAATATGCCTAGGGATTTTGGGGGAAATGTAGAAAAGCCGTAATTTAAGGAAGCTTAAACTGGATTATGTAGACCAGGATAGACTAATGTTGAGCCTCATTTGCAAAGCTTTATCCCTCAATTTGGGCCTCTCCTAAAACCAGACTCTCATCTACTTCAGGAGTATCAAGTTTAAACAGATCACTAATTTGGAACCTAATTATGTGCTTTCACATAACAAGGTCAACAGGACTTTCTATATCATTAGGAAATAACATCGGTCACATTAAAAATTGTTAAGCATGTTTTTGAAATACTTTTGAAAGCTTCCTGGAATATAAATTTGATAGTATTTTATGTACTGAAACACTGAGAAAATTAAGGAAATAAAAACATATTATCTAAGAAAGTTATCTATTGAAATATACTACTTTAGAAATAGCACTTTATGGGCTCCAGTTTCAGAAGACCTCATCATAGAATATAAAAGTGTTCTTAAATTTCCTGGAATGGAGGAAAGACCCTCATTATATTTTACATAGTATTTGCTCCAAATCTTTTTGAGTTGCATGTAATTTCTTTTTTTTCTTTTAAATGAAACTAACAACTCTTTAGTTTTAAAAGGCACAACTCTGCAAAAGAGTCTCAAGCAACCACATAAACAACCATGTAGTTATCAGTGGTCAAGATGATGCAGTCTTATGTATATTCCTAAGTAAATCACATAGTAAATAAACAAGATTACAGTCACTCCATATTCTGGGAAGTAGCACTTCAGCAGAATTTTAAAAACTGATTTTATTTGAAATATATTCATCACAGTTCATGAGATATTACCTACTGGTTTTCTAATGCTGCCCTCTTTCCATAGTATGATTCTCATTGGGCTTTTGGTAAAGTGAATTTCCCTTTATGAAAGGATCCACTTTCGTTATTCCATACTATTATTCCACTTACTAAAAGTATGCTTTAAAATATATTGCGAGGAAATGTTTTATTATTATGAAATTTAAAATATAATTAAATATGTTTTATTTTTAAACCCAGGCTCTTTCTCTTTGTGCCCATCTTTTGGCTATTTCATTGTTTATTAGATAAACAAAAATTCTTAACTTTTGGTTCAATGATATCCCAGGGCACTTATGTTCACCGTGGATCTTCAATGTTAGAAACGTTGAAAGTGAGGCCAAATATTAAAGAAGGGTCAGAGGGAAATAACCAACCTGAGGAAGTGTAGACCATTAATTGTACGATTAGTAGATTCTAGCAGAACACTCAGGGACAGGATCGAGCTACTTGTACTTCTAGAGATACCAGCCAGCGTGCCCTGGAAGATTAGCAGAAAGCTGAGGTCTTCCTCTCCCTCAGTGGCATGGTGTCATGTACATTGCCTGAAACAAACATGAGACTCCATTTTGGGGAGGAGCAAAAGGATGGGGGCAGAAAATGAGGAAGGCTTGGCAGTTACTCTGAAGAAAGAAAGTTCAATCTAAATAGACTAATCTTCAGGTAGATTTGATTAAATTTCATTTATTTTCCTGGTATTCTGTATTTGGAAGAGGAGAATCACATGTGATATAAAGAAATAAAGGACCCAACCTATAGAGTAAATACATTTTTGAATCTGCTAGAATTTGTGATTAATATCTGTCTGTCTCTCTATGTATCTACCCACCAGTAGCATAAGCCTGTGTTTAACGTGATACTCTGATCCCCTGTGCTCCCAAAGATAAGATCCATCCAAGTAAATTTTTGGCCAGCCTTAAATATTGACCAGAAACATTGAAAACTGATAGGTAAATTTTATCTGTATCTATTGTCCAGATATAGATAAAATACTCAAATATATTAGTATTTGATATAATAATGTATGTTTGAACACATTTTTATATAAAGTAATATAAATTTCTAAATAATTATTTTCAGCCTCACATTTTACAAAGCAATTTTTTCATATTGCTCACATGGATCTCTGACTTTGGTGTCCTCATTTTCACTAGAGCCGTATTTTGAATCTCTAATACACCTGGGGCTCGTTTTTACTTTTCCTGAGTTGTAAGATGATAGATAGAGACATAGATAGATATGATAATTTACTTTTTCTGAGAACAGAGTTTAGGCAAACTTTTTTTTCATATATGCAGGCATATGGTATACTATAAAAAGTTTCAAAATGAAATTAATTGCAGCTATAATAGAGTTGAAGGATTTTTTTTAGTTTGTTTGTTTGCTTTTCTGGTTTAAATCCTTTAATTATTTCTCATTGCTTTTAGGATAAATTTCAAACTCCACGGTATGGCTCAAGCCTATCAGATATTTGGCTGCCAACGATTTCTTGGGTCTTATTTCTAGATGTTTCTTGTAACTGGTGTGCATTTCCAAGAATCATGCACATTTCTCTCATTACTAAAAAATCACGGCATAATATCTTATTCAAAAGTTCTTCTTGACAGCTTTAAAAGAGTGGCAAATCCAGCAGGCTCTTGCTGAATGCTGGCATCTCCAATATAACTAGCATGAGCTATCATTAAGAAAAGGCTGAGTTTATTGCTTATTGCAGGAAACAGCACCAATGCCACAGAATGCTGGCAGTATTGTGGAGTGGGGAAGGCGTATTCTTTCTGATAGGGCTGCTGCTGTAGCAAAATACCACAAACTGGGAAGCTTAAACAGAAATCGATTGTTGCACCGGAACTTCCTGTCATGAACAAAATCCTTTGCTTAAGCAAGAGACTCCAGGAAAAATAAAATAATGCCAACAAAAACAAGGAAATAGCAAACTCATGTTATTGTAGGCGTTCATAGGGTTGTAGATCCAGTTCTCAGTGTTCAGGTTGAATATAGGGGTAGAGGGTTTCGGCTCTCATTCTGAAGACTATAAACTTTCAGGGAAACGACTTACCTCGGCATAAAGGGAATTTATGTTTTACTATTTAGGTTGGGAAAATGCTTGCATCAGCTGCAGATGTGATTAAAAATAATTCACTTAATTATAGAAAGGGATTATGGAAATTTTACTCACCAAGGATTAATGTTAAATTCATTTCCCTTAGAATGGTCACAATTCAAAAATTCAGGGAAAGAAAAGCACTTTTAAAACTGCTTTTACAGATTACTCTTTTTCTTAATGATTAACAGAGGCTTTCCAGCTGTGTTTGTTAATCCCTATTAACCAAAAACCTTGAATTGCTCTGTTGCCATACACTAAACTCTGAGGCAAACTGATCAAATGTGCTTTTTTCCTTCACACTCTTAAATGGGATTGGGAAAATCTGAACTTTCAGTTCTGGTCTTACATTGGCACTTCCCGAAATATGTTCCAGTGATATAGTGGGTTTTAATATTTAAAAAAAACCTTCAGTGAGTCCTCACAGCCTAGAGCTATGTTCTATGGAATAACATTAGCATCAGGGGGTATTAAAAAATAGTTCATACAAATGTTCTCAAAGGTAAAATAAATTTAGAGAAAGTTAGATCAAACAAAATGAGACAAATACCTCCACTGCAAGAAATATGTTAATAAATGTGAACCTTTAAAATAGGGTGTGATATGCAGTCTCCAAAACTTCTTTGCCTCCTCTCCTCCATGTGTTTTAACAGAACATCCTATGGGTTAGGAGTCTAGAGAACGAACTTTCATGAACACTGCCCTAGTTTACTATATCCTGTCAATCACCAGTTTTTTACACTATTTTGCATTTAAACATGTAACTCTTCATAACCCCACATCAATACATCCATTCATGCAATTCAAATGTTTTATGAAAAAATTGAACTGATATTCTTCTGAAAAGGCACAAAGCACACCTCTTTAATACCAAAAAGAATAATTCACTATGAATTCCTCTAACAAGTAAGTTATACACATCTTTTAAAATTTCCATTGGTGAAATGTTCATTGTCTTTACGGTCTTCATTCTCTGTGCTCAAAACTCAAGTTTTAGAAGGATATATTTTCTCTTGTTGGGAAAATATAATTGAAAACAAAATCTCTTTCTAATTCTGGAAACCTCTACATAATGGTGGAAGAGAAAGAATAAAATTGTAATATTGAATAAACATTAAACCAGAATGCGATGCATATCCTAGGCAATCATCAAAGAGATTGCCAAGATAGAAAGAAATCTCACTCGTATATAGCCAAGCAGATACAACCCATTACATACATGTCCTCGAAATAAACATAACTATTCCTCAAGCAAGAGGACTTGACAGCACCATTTGTTACACATAGTTAATCCTATATTTACTTGGTAATTGGGGTGATCATCTGTGTTAGCTAATTGGCTTTATGCAAAGAAAAAAATAAATATGGCAAGGGGGTTTTGCAACTCAGACTGTAGTGCCTGTAGAAGTATAAAGCTCCCATCCATCCCAGAAACAGGGAGATAGGGCCACAATCTTTCTTGATTGTATGTTAAAGAGGTGATTTCCAGGTCCTGGAGATAGATATTTCTGAGTAAGAAACCTGACAAGAGGCTTAATTAGCTTTAAAACAATTTACATACAGTTTCAATGATAAGTTTTCTAAAGTAAATGCTTTAAGAAAAGGGAGAAAAATCATGTCTTTTCTTATTTTCAACCTGGAGGAATTAAGCCTCTTATTTTTAATTTGCATTCGCCCTTGCACTCTCAGCAGATGATCTCCTGCTGCTTACTGTACAGATAGTTTCTTTAAAATAGATTTTCTTGGTATAGAATGAAGGACATGGCCAAACACTCTTCTAAAGTAGTTTCTAAATTTGTTAAGCAAATTGTTTTTCTATACTGGAAGCATAATTATGACCCCAGCTCATCTACTACCTTTAAATTTTCAAAACACTTTCATCCTGATTATCTCAATTGACCTTATTAATACCCAGAAAAGGATAATAATATACCCTTAGGGTAAAATAGAAATACAAAAGGCAATGACATAAATGTTTAACTAATATCATAAAATAGTGGTAGTAGCATGAAGTGTTAGAAAGAACATGGGTGAGAAATGAGAACTTCTTCAATGACAAAAGGGAAATTGTGGCTTTGTGTTTACAATTGATTTGGTAGGGAAAAAGGAACCATTGTGTTTTGGATTATTGGAGTACAAACAAAGTTTAGCATATGGGGAAGGGCACAGAATTCAGAGTGCCATTGCCAAAGCTTCTTTGCTTCACCAAACTTTAGTTAGGCTTCTGAGCCTTCCCCTAGGCCCATCTGTATACTTCCTTACAAAATCCAGTTTTAGCAAGAACCTTTCTTTGTCAGTTTAGCAAGAACCTCCTGCCCTTGATAGCTGATCACCCTCAATATCTAATCAGAGTCTTCATCCTTCATCACTCCCTGGGTGATATCCTGAATACCCAAGCTAATCTTTACCAAGAATCCTGTTAGATTGTTTTAGACAGAATTCTCCTTATTCCTGATGTTACCTCCTAGTAATTTTTCATCCAGTGACCTCCACCCTGCTCCTTGACTATATATTCCCACATGCCCATGCTGTAGTCAGAGTTGAGCCCAGTTTGATACTGAAGTCTCCTTCCCCCTATTGTAATAGTCTTAAATAAAATCTGTGTTTACTACTTATCTGCTGATCGGCTCTGGTTTTGCTTTGGTACAACATATCTTGATTTTAATATTGGGTACCTGCTTACCCCCTGTCTGCATGCTTTGGGAAGCCCTGAGATGCTGCTTGCTAATTGTAATATACAGATAAAGATGCTGTCTCACAGGATTATTTTGATGACCAAATGAATGTGTGGACAAAGGGCCCGACAGTGCTTGACATAAAGTAAGTCCTTAGTGAAAAATATTCCTTTTTGTTTATTTTTTCAAGAAATTGAATTAGTGGCAAAAGTAGTTTGGGTCATCTTGTTGCTCCTGTGTTGTACAGTCCTTCTAATTCAAGCTACATACTGTTGTTAACAAAGGGAGTTCCAAATTGTGATGAATTTGGCTAGTGTAAACAAAGACTTTCACGTATGTTAACTTAATTTTTATTTATAAAAACAAGAATTTATTTTATTTAATATATATTGCCTATAAATGTTACATTCTAAAAAACACTTTTGTGCTTCTGCTGATGTTTAGTAATTTAATCCCAAATTCTTCTTTACTCTTCAATTCTGAAAGAATATTAGCATTAAAAGGAGTTTCAAAAGTACAGTTCACTTACTTGGATTTGTATTTTATTACCTATGATGCAGTGTAACAATACTTACTATTAAAAAAAATACTTTACTCCATATTAAATAACAGCAAACCTGAGGCCTTGTGCTCTTTCCAGCTGCTGCTTTTGAAAAATTGGAGCTGTGTGATTGAAGGTTTTTAGTATCCGTTCACTGGTGATTTGGTGCTGTGCCGAAAAGCTCCGGCCTTGTTTATTTACATATGCAACCATTATCTGGCACAACTCATTTCCAGGCCTCTCAAAGTATAGCAATGAGCCACACGACTCATAAGTTAAAATGTGTGACCTCCACTATCAAATCACTATTGGAAATTGTTTTGTAAGTAATCTTTTTCAAGGCTGCACATCCAAATGCACATTCAAAATCAGGCAAATAAATGCAACTGTTTCAATAAAATAGTGACTAGGGGTATATCTTTGGAAATGTCAGAAGTTGAATTGTGTGAATGTCTTTTAGATAGAGAATAGAAATATATTGCTTTTACTCCATTTTATGAAGAATTAACCAAAATAAATGTAAATTAAAAGATATTAGTGTCTTCTACTTTCATGGGTTTATTTATTTTCTACTTTTATGGGTTTATTTATCATAAGGGTCACAACTGACATTTCTAGAACAAAAGACTAGATAACAAGAGAAAAGCATAACAGATTTATTTAATCAAAGTTTTACATAACATGGAGGCTTTGGAAATGAAGGCACAAAGGCTCAGGGAAAACTGTCTATTTTTATGATTTGGTTCCATGAAACATGGACAACCATGTAGAAATGTGTTTGGACAAATGGGTATGACCTAAATGCTAACAGACTAAGGAGGGAAACTCAACAAGGCCTGTCCAGATTCTTCTTAGCCTCTCTATTGTAGCATTCCTTTCTCCTGGGTATGGGGTAGGACCCCTGGAATGAGAGTCTTATTACCAACTATCAGACAAGGGTAAGTCAGAGAATTTCTTTATGGCTAGCTCCTAAACAGAAAGGCAGAGAAAGCTTAGAGTAATGTTTCTAGGTTTTATGGCTTGTTTTGGGGGAAAAGGGTTCTAGTTTCTATGACCTACCTTGAGGAAGAGAAAGTCTTATTTCTTTGACTCACTTTATGGGAGAATGAAGGGTGAGAGATGGGAGATGTTCAGAGAAACCTTGGCTCTAAAGCTGCTTCAGATGACTTCCAATATCCTTTTGTTCAAGTACTCAGCATGTCAAACCACCATACTTTGGGATATCATTTTCTGAGCCCCAAAATGTGCATTCAAGTCATGATAAATTATGAAGAGTATGTCTTCTAAGAGACATTTTTTTTTAGCTGGCTTTCTTTTTTAAAAAAATTTTAAGTTCTGGGATACATGTGCAGAAAGTACAGGTTTGTTACATAGGTGTACCTGTGCCATGGTGGTTTGCTGCACCTATCAACCCATTATCTAGGTTTTAGGTCCCTCACACATTAGGTATTTGTCCTAATGCTCTCCCTCCCATTGCCCCCCATCCCTTGCATTTTTTCTCTCCCTGTGTGTTCTCATTGTTCAACTCCCACTTATGAATGAGAACATGTGGTGTTTGGTTTTCTGTTCCTGTGATTGATTGCTGAGAACGATGGCTTCCAGCTTCATCCATGTCCCTGCAAAGAACATGATTTCATTCTTTTTTATGGCTGCATAGTATTTCATGGTGTGTATGTGCCACATTTTCTTTATCCAGTCTATCATCGATGGGCATTTGGGTTGGTTCCAAGTCCTCGCTATTGTGAATAGTGCTGCAATAAACATACGTGTGCATGTGTCTTTATAGTAGAATGATTTATAATCCTTTGGGTATATACCCAATAATGGGATTGCTGGGTCAAATAGCATATGTAGTTCTAGATCCTTGAGGAATCACCACACTGTCTTCCACAATGGTTGAACTAATTTACAGTCCTACCAACAGTGTAAAAGTGTTTCTATTTCTCCACAGCCTCACCAGCATCTATTGTTTTCTGACTTTTTAATAACTGCCATTCTGACTGGTGTGAGATGCTATCTCATTGTGGTTTTGATTTGCATTTCTCTAATGACCAGTGATATTGAGCTTTTTTAAAATATGTTTTTTGGCCGCATAAATGTCTTCTTTTGAGAAGTGTCTGTTCATATCCTTTGCCCACTTTTTGATGGGGTTGTTTTTTCTTGTAAATTTGTTTAAATTCCTTGTAGATTCTGAATATTAGCCCTTTGTCAGATGGATGGATTGCAAAATTTTTCTCCCATTCTGTAAGTTGTCTATTCACTCTGATGATAGTTTCTTTTGCTGTGCAGAAGCTCTTTAGGTTAATTAGATCCCATTTGTCAATTTTGGCTTTTGTTGCCATTGCTTTTGGTGTTTTAATCATGAAGTCTTTGCTAATGCCTAAGTCTTGAATGGTATTGCCTAGGTTTTCTTTTTATTTAATTATACTACATTAAAAAATCAAGATGGTTTTGACTTAGGAATTAGAAATAAATATATTTTTCTGCTGTTCTCTAAATATTACTAGAATTTTTTTGCAATGATAGCTGGCATTCTATCACATTTTTGTGTTATTTGAAAACTTTCTTCTGTCTGCTAGCTTTTCGTAAAAAACAAGGATCTCAGCTGGGGCAGTGTCCTTTTTCCTATTACCTATGACTGGAAATGTTGAGAGAGCTGCTGAGATTGTTTCTTTAAGAATTATATGTACACAGGAGCTGAGGAATTGCTTGGAAAATCAATTAAACTATATTTATTTCTATGGTTCAGGCATATTTTGTCATGCCTACCAAAATGGTGCAGTTGCCTGTCTTTGCAGAAGGACTGAGAAGCATAATTGGTGCTTAGTCATTGAAGAGGAAAATGAGTTCTGAGTTTGGTTGCCAGTAATTAAACCATTCTTGGACTAACTCCTGCATGCATTATAGATTTTGTGAAGATAGTGGGATATAATATATACCATACAGGCAATCTCCACTTTATACAGTCATGCAGGAGCATGAAAATAGCTTCAAGCTGAAGCCTTGATCTTGAAACCTTTTTATCAAAACATTTAAAAGATGTTGTTTTACTGTCAGTTATAGATATGTAAGGAAAA
Source organism: Homo sapiens (assembly GCF_000001405.40). Taxonomy (NCBI): domain Eukaryota; kingdom Metazoa; phylum Chordata; class Mammalia; order Primates; family Hominidae; genus Homo; species Homo sapiens. The sequence goes on along the minus strand of NC_000004.12, from coordinate 163,398,217 downwards.
AATAGTAAAACTAGTATTTTTTTAATACACTATAATTTAAAACATTAGAAATGTTGAGAAGTAATGGGTTTTCTTTGTAAAAAACTTAGCAAGAATGGTTGGAAATGTGCTTGCCTTCTTTTTGTATAATGACACAAAGCCAACATCTTTTCTATGCCTTTGCAAATTGTCATACTTCCTTCTAAATTTGAATCAACTTCCAACGTTCTATTCTTTATGTTTTCTATCTCTGGAAGATTCTTTAATGAAAAGTTTGTTGCTAACGTCCCATCCACTGGGACATGTCACCATACCACCTTCCTCATTTATGTTGATACATTTACCTTGCTAAGTTCCTCTGGTTACATATCTAGAGTCTCTCAAACTGCATCTGTGTCAATATTTCTATAATTAGCTAATTCTTCTATGACTGCACTTATGTTTGATTTGAATTTCATTCACGGCATTATCACTTTTTGTTTCTTTGCTGCACCTGTGTCTTTATTGGCCAATTCCCTTTTTCAGTCATCTTTTTTTTTTTTTTGTAAAATATCATGTGTTTTCACTGAAAAACAAGGAAGAAATGAAACTACTTGCCTTGCTATCTGAACATGAACCAAATAAGAGATGTGCCACAACCGATCACCAACAGACTTTGAAAGTGGTGTGTTTTGTCATTGATCATGATGCACATCTGTTATTTCGGTAGTGATATGTAGACTAAAGAGCTAGTGGTGGCCGGGCGCGGTGGCTCACGCCTGTAATCCCACACTTTGGGATGCCGAGGCGGGCGGATCACGAGGTCAGGAGACCGAGACCATCCTGACTAACACGGTGAAACCCCGTCTCTACTAAAAAAAAAAAATACAAAAAATTAGCCGGGCGTGGTGGCGGGCGCCAGTAGTCCCAGCTACTCAGGAGGCTGAGGCAGGAGGATGGCATGAACCTGGGAGGCGGAGCTTGCAGTGAGCGGAGATCGCGCCACTGCACTCCAGCCTGGGTGACAGAGCGAGACTCTATCTTAAAAAAAAAAAAAAAAAAAAAAAGAGCTAGCGGTGAAGTTGGTGCTTTATGCAATTACAGTTAATATACCATGGTAACTGAAATATGAACTGCGTTGATAGAAACTAGTAATGTTTAACTAAACCGTAATAACTGAAATGTATACATATCAGAACCATGCAAAGAGATTGCCTGTAGTGAAATATCTGCTTAGCTAAATTGTATAACACATCATGGCCCAAGCAACCCTACTTTGGGACCCTTTTACTAAAGAAAACTGTGGCCAGGCACAGTGGCTGACATAATCCTAACACTTTGGAAGGCTGAGGCAGAAGGATCACTTGAGCCCAGGAATTTGAGACCAGCCTGGGCAACATAGTGAGAACTTGTCTCACAAAAAAAAAAAAAAAGAAAAGAAAAAATCCAGGCATGGTGGTGTGCACCTATAATCCCAGTTACTTCAGAGGCTGAGGCAGGAGGATAGTTTGAGCCCAGGAGTCTGAGGCTGCAGTGAGCTAAGATCACACAGCAGCACTTCATCCTGAGTGACAGAGCAAGATTCTACATCTACAAAAAGCAAAAGTAAAAAAAGAAAACAAGTTTTCTATCCTCTAGTCATAAAGAGTCAGCATCTCAAGTGTTCAAGGCAGATTCTAGCAAAGAGAAATACTATGCCTAGCAAAACAGAATTGTTTAATATCTATAATTGAGTAAAATAAAAAGTTTAATAAGCGTAGGACCCAGGTCTGTGTTATACTCTGTATCCCTATTGCCTATTACAATATTTTCCATGTGGTAGACATTAAATAAATGTCTGTTGATAGGATGCATGAATGAATACATTGATAAATATCAATATGATTAAAATTTTGATTAAAAGACTGAAATATAATAAAATTTTGTGTTTAATAAAATGAATAATACATCATAGATTAGAAACTACATTCCTTTTAAGCTTCAAAGACAAAGATATAAAGTTTAAATGAATGGCCGAGTAGCTTCAAAGTTTCCCACTGATTAGAAATACAACATGCTTCATTCAAGATTACATATTTGGAGCTTTATCACAAGACTTATTTTTCTCTCTTTTTCACTTCGAGAGACAGCTCACCATCCCAGAAAACTGACTGAGTGGGCCTCAGACACAGTAACACCTGCTATCTCTTTAGACTGGGAATTGCCAAATGACTTTTAAGCAAAAAGAGCAGATAATACCTCATCGCATTCTCCAACACTGGAGGCCGGCAAAATTGAAGACAAACAGAAAGTGAAAGGAGAGAATGGAAGCCATTGCATCCAGCAGAGAGTTTTCACCATTTCCTTAACGTGGAGGACTCTAAACTGTCAACCCCACTCTATATTGTTCGCTATTCAATTATGCTTAGTGAATTATACTGTGCATAGCATAGGGCTCACATTTCATAAATATATAGATTATGAGAAGCCTAAATGGCTGTTGTCATGAATATTTTGTTGTTTCAAGTGAGCAGAGAAAGAACATAGCGCCTTTTATAGAGTGTTGCATTAACAATAATTAACTATCACATTAGCAATACTTGATAATGTTAAGAAAAAGGTTACATTTGAAACCATGTTTGTTTAAAACCTTCCACATTTCAGTATTATTTTATGACAAATGATATATTTGGCAATTGCTAAATGTCCTGTTTTCATTAATACTGGTGAATGGAGAACATATAAATTCTTTTTTAAAATAAATTTTATTGTATATACTTAATTTACAAAACATGACGTTATGGAATACAAATAGGAAAACGGTTACAATAGTGATGCATAGTAGTTTGCATCTTTTTCTTATCTCTTTGTATTTCATAACATCATGATGATTCCTTATCTTCATCTTACATAGTTACATAGTTTTTTTTATGGCAGGAGCAGCTGTAACCCACTCATTTAGCAAAAATCCCAAATACAATTCAGTAGTCATCCCTTATCTGTGGTTTCACTTTCCAATGGTTGCAGTTTCCCAGGGTCAGCTGCAGTCTGAAAGTATCAAGTGGAAAATTCCAGAAATAAACAATTCATGAGTTTTAAATTCTGTCTTGTTCTGAGCAGTGTGATGAAATTTTGTGCCATCCCATTCCATCCTGCTCAGGAAGTGAATCCTTCCTATATACACTACTCTCTAGTTAGCCACCAACATCATCTGCATCTGACATCCAACCATCAACACCATCATGGCTTCATGATCCAGGATCACCCAAAGCAAATGATTTTGTTTCTGACGAATGATCAGAGAGTCAATAGTAGCCTAATGCTAGGTCACAATGCCTGTGTCATTCACCTCACTTCATGACATCATGTAGAGCATTGTATCATCTCACATCATTACAAGAAAAAACGTGCGTTCAGCACCGTAAGATATTTTTAGAAAAAGAGAGAGACTACATTCATATAACTTTTATTACAGCATATGTATTATCATTGTTTTGTTAATATTAATAATTGTTAATATCTTACTGTGCCTAATTTATAAATTAAACCTTATCATAGGTGTGTATACATAAGGAAAAAATACGTAGCATGTATAGGGTTTGGTACTCTCTGCAATTTCAGAAATCCATTAGGGGTCTTAGAATTTATTCCCCGCAAATAAGAGAAGACTGCTGTACACTACTATTAACTATGGTCCTAAAGTTGTAAAATTTTTATAGTAAATGCTATCAGTGGCACAGCCTTGATTTTGCTGATGACAACACCTGTTAATTACAGGTAAAGTACCAAGTGCCTGTTTTGCAAACCCAAATTCATGAAGTCAAATGAACATCATTGAAAACCCCTGTCGAGTGAGCATCACACCAGTTTCTTTATTTGCTTTCTCTCAGAATTAAACAGTAAAAAGAAAAATGGAAGAAACTACAATCACTGAAGGATCAAATCACTGCCTTTATGTAGTAGTTATCTTCTGAATTCACATTCAGTTTCCATTATTATCTAATAACATGTAAATCCTGCTTTACAGCATTTGAATTTCTTAGCTAGAAATGAATACTTTTGGGAACATGAAAAAGATTAATATTAACAGGAAAAAATTAAGAGATTCTTTGGTTGCAATATACATGCTAAGTTTCCAAGGAGCATACAATTTGTATTCAAATTCTATGAAAGAGTAGTGAAGTACATGGTACTTTCTATTCAAGTAAAATTCTCATATTTAAAAAATAAGCATGTCTACTATTTTAGGCCAATTTTATAAAATATTATGAAGCTTCTTTATGTAGAAAGAAAAGGTTTATTTTAGTGTGTAAGGATAGAATGCCAAAATTGTGTTTACTAGAAATATTGCTGGGCTTTGGAATTTTAAAAATAGTTATTAGGGAATATAGGTAGTAGTAGGTGAATTGGTTAAATTTATGATATCCTTGAATAAGACTGAAGTCCTGTACCATCCTATGTAGTTTGTTATATAGAACCAAAGTGTGGTAACCTGAGGAAACATGAAAGTACGACAGCAAATGATATCACGTGTGGCCTTCCGAGAAAGAACAGCAACATGTAGCCTAACAGTGAATGTGCAGCAATCCGAATAGTTTGCGGTTGAAAAAGCAAGAAACAACTGTCTACCACAATAAGCAAATATTAGTTTTGTAAATGTCCCCAAATAGGAAAGCCCTGTTGATTGCATCTTGTTCTTCTCAGTCATACACACAGTTATTGCTTTGATCATCGTCAGTGGCATCATTTTATAATGAAACAGACATGCTGAGGGTTTGCAAAAGGGATTTGCATCTTAGTGATTTGCATTAAGTAAAACACGCTGCTTGCTTAAACAGCCACATTTATGCCTTTTCACACATTACCCAGTTATTATTCAAGTAAAATACCATATACTGAATAACCGCAGTTCTCTACCAAAATCCTCATTTATCTAAACCTTGAGCTATTATTCATGAACTGTTCTATCATTCTTTTTCCCCCCTGATTTAAATCATTTTTCTAGGAGGAAATGAACAATAACGGGTAGATATACAAAATTTGCCTCAAAGCTATTATAATTTATAAATATAAGAAAACACTATCATTTGATGATTCGATATTATTTGGTCTGCAGAGTATCTGGCAAAGCTTGAAAACCTTAGCTACATTTTCTCTATGATTCTAGGTTTTGTATGTTTCTATGCTAAGGTATAAAACATGACTGCTTAAATTTAAGGGCAGCAGGACAAACCAACTGTTCACACATTTCTTTCTCAAAACCTTCTTGTCCTTCACAGTGGCAGAAGTATTCTGACTCACTAATGGTGGGTGAAACTACCCTAGTGCAGTGACTAGAAATGAATTGGTTTAAGTTTCATCCCATTGGAGGCATGTTCAAAAATGTATAAAAAGTGATACATACAGATGGTTAATTTTTTAAAAAAAGATTCTAACAGCACAAGAGGATAAAAGATGAAGTAAAATGTTCTCCCCTAAGGCTGTTCCAAGTCTTACTATCCAACTGGGAGTCTTCCCAAAAACCTTTCCAGGCATATACAGATATCTCTCTATGAATGATAAGGGATTTCTTACTATTGGTTCAAGTCTTTTAAAATCTGTATCAATTTCCTGTTTTTGGTTGTAAGAAATTACCACAAGTATAGTGGCTTAGAGAATAAACAAATGCATTACCATAAAGTTCTTGAAGTCAGAGGTCTAAAATGAGTTGGCAGAGCTTTATGGGAGAAACAATTTCTTTATCTTTTTCAGCTTCTAGAGGCTGACTGCATTCCTTGCGAGTAGCCCCATATCCCTCTGACCTCTTTCAGAAGAGTCACATGTCCTCTGACTCTGATCTCCTGCCTTCCTCTTTTAAAGACCGTAGCGATTACTTTGGGACTACCCGGATAATGTAGAATAATCACTTTATCTCAAGATCCTTAATATGATCTGCAAAGTTCCCTTTGCCAAGCAAGGTAATTTGTTCACAGGTTTCAGGAATTATAACACAGACATCTTTGGAGGGCCCTTATTCTTCCCACCACGGTATCCCTCAGTAAAGCTTTTATTTTCATTCAGATCCTATACTTTTCTTATTTTGTTTATTCCTAATTATGTTATCTATCTTTGCCATTGTTGTTATTGCTGACTATTGTTCATACCTAGAGTTTCATCTAAAATGGGTTCTTTGGAAACTTGGAAAACATTATTTTTCTCTAGTGACAGGGCTTTCTAAAGATCCTCAATTAAATGCAGGAAATGAGCTGTCCACACCGAGAACTCCTAAATCCAAAGAACTATTTCCTGGAAATATCTGTCCTTTTATCATCATTTGGACTTGTCAGCATCAATTGATGGTTTCCTCCTGCTTGAGAAGCTTTTTTTCACTTGTTCTCAAAAGGCCTTTCTCTCTTGATTCTCTCTGCTTCCCTTGTTGCTCCTTCTCGGTATCCCTTGTCATTCTACCACATCCTATCTACATTTGTGTGTACAGTATTTGTATTGTTAATCTTCTCTGGGTGTATTTATTCTCTGAGTAATCTCCAGTCTCAAGCCTTTAAATACCACCTCTGTTCAGAAAACTTCTAAATTTATGTATCCAGCTCCAAACTCTTCCCTTAATCCCAAATTTGACAATTCAGTCTCTCTCTCTTTCTTTTTTTTTAACAATCTCTTCATAAATATCTAATTGGCATTTTAAACTCACATGTCCAAAGCAGAATTTTTGAACTTCTTTACCACCACCCCTACTAAATAATCCTCTTCCCTCCCTAGTCTTCTCCAGATCAATATGACAACCTCTTTCACCCTCCTGATTAGGAAATAAACACACACTCGCGTGTGCATACACACAAGACATATTTGCCTCTTCTTTTCTCACATCCCCTTCCAATTCAACATCAAATGTTGATAGTTCTACCTTTAAAAATATTCAAGGCCTCACCATGTTTTAACCACCTCTAATCACTAACATGCTAGTGCAAGAGACCATTATCAATCACTTGGATTATTGAAATATATTCCTTTTTGTGTTCACTCACTTATGTCACTCAGAGTGGCTCTTTCAAAAAGTTTAATAGATCATATCACTTCTCTGTTGAAAACTCTCTGGCTTCTAATTTATTCAGACTAAAAATTCTCCACATTTCGATATTTTGGTAGATTTGGTAGATTGAGAGGATGGACATTTTCTGCTTAGATGGCTACAGGGAATGTGGTGTTTTTGAAGAGGGAAGTTTTCTACTTAATCTAGATAGTAAAGGTAGTATCCTGTGAAGAGGTTTAACATGTAAATGAATGATCTGTTAGGCAGAGTGGAAATGACCGATGGGTCAGAGAAGAAATTGGGAACTTGTGCTTGGATTGTGACCTACGATATCAAGAACATGAAATCTGGTGGAAGTGACATTTCTGAGAATCCAAATTTAACACTGGTTTCAGTTTAGACTAAGGCTTCATAGATTCAGATTTAGGCTAAAAGATTTAAGGCAGGGTTGTTGGTATACTAAGGGGAAGCCCTGGGGACCAGCATATTAATGGCAGTAGGAAAAATAGAGAACCCCAGATAGAAGTAAAAACCAAGGAGACAGAATTGGTAACAATGAATACAGCAACCCCTTTCTATCTGCTGATTCTCCAATCAATGCCAACTGATGGAAGTTCTTAGATTCATTTTATTTAAAGGGGTCACTTCACTTCTAAAATGAACTATTCTTATTCATTTATTTATCCTTTGAATTCCTGTCACCTCCATGGTCCTTCCAAATCCCTTTCTCCATATCAATTTTTTATTAAAGTTTTTTTATTTTAGTAACAATTTGTTAATGAAACTTCATTTCTTCAATAAACAGGGGTTAAACAAGACAGTAAGACTTCTTCCGCTTTGGTGTTTTTTAAGGCAGCTACATAACCTCAGTACTTTGTAAGGCCACAATGTTCTGTCTCATGTGTAAGAATGTATTTTGGTCATTTCATAAGCTTTTAAGTCATTAGTACATTAGGACAGTTCAATTTCTCATGACTCATATTCACAAAAAGATCAATTATTGTTAATATCTTTAACCCCATCTCCTGGACAGTAAGGGCAAGGTTTTCCGTGGCAAAATATTTTTACTTTTGTGCGATAGTGTCATGTTTCAATATTCCATATAATTATCTTTGGCTAGAGATGTCATTTCACTTGTATCCTTTTATGACCTTTCTTAATTATGATCTTAAAATAAATGTGTTACAGAGACACCATCAGAAAAATTACCTGTATAATGATGCCTTAGGTCTGCAAAGTGGTGTGTGGTTTTTTTTTTTGTTTTTTTTTTTTTGGTGTACAAACCATCTATACCCACATTATCTCTTTGGTCATCAGAAGAACACGGTAGGCTACACCTGGATCATCACACCTGCTTAAAGAGAAAAAATAGTAATCAACAATGTTTAGTAGCTTGGTGATAAGTATCAGCAACAATTCCAGAACACAGACCTTCTGATTCCTAGTCTATGGTTCTTTTCATTTTGTGATACAATGGTCATTAAGGAGTTACACAGGCAAATCCAGGAGAATATATAATTTAGAATATGGATAATTACATTGTATTATAACTGTTATGATATTCATGTTTTTGCCCAATGGAGAGTCCTTTTAAGTTGATACCCAATCAAAAAATTTTACCTTGTCATAATGAAACAGAGGATAAAATTTCTTCCCAGGGAAGCCGTGCTGAAAGACCAGAGAACACTGGGACATCTGATGAAAGAACAGACATCACTCAGAGCAGAGACAACCAATCAGAGTGTTCGTAAATAAAACTGTTGACAGGTATTTTGCAGGGCATAGGGAAGAAAATCGGAGCCCCACAGACAATACAATAGGTAATGACTCTGTATTTTAATGAACCTTGTGTAATCGTAGAAGTGGAAACCAGGTATTTTCTACAGAGTATTAAATAAGCTTTCTGCTAAAAGTAAATGGCATTCAAGCACAGACATGTGTGACAGAAGAACAGTGGAGAACACACACACAAATCAGCAGCAGCAACAAAAGAACAGAAAAATAGGTACCAGATACAAACAGAAACAAAGAGTTTAACCTCACGTGGTTAAGAAGTTTCTCCAATTCCTAGAGAATGGAAATCCACAGCTGTTGGTAATTTAAATATATATGATATTCAATATATATTTATATTTAACATATCATATTTATCATATATATTATGTATACAGAGAGAGTAGTGATTTATACGTGTACATTAATTACGTGTTTGCGATTAGATGAGATAATTCAGCAGAGGATTTGCTATATAACACCCACTTGAACATTAAGTTCCCTTAATTTAGGATCCTATGTGCAAGTTGTGCTCTGCAAATCTCTGAGGGGCACCATTCACATAGACTGTGCTAGGCATAGACTATATAGTGAATGGCCCCCATCTGCTTAACTGTATTTCAGCTGCTCTTATGAATGTATGCCTTATCTCATCATCCTCTGCTCAAATTAACTTTGTGTGTGTTGGAGAGTGTGTATTTTCTCATCCTTGTTTCAGCTCAGTTGTCATCTCAGAAAGACTTTTTCAAAACACTTGATTTAGTATCCTCTCCAACCACGTTCAGTCTGTACTTTCTTACTCAATTACATTGTCCTTGAAGGACTTCCCATTACCTGAAATTTTCCTATTCATTTATTTGTGGTTATTGTGATTTTCCTGCCCCATTAAAGTCCAAACCTCTGTGAATGAGCAACAGCTGAGGTAAAGTCCTTGCCACGTAATAGGTACTCAACAAATATTTAAATATCAGTGAAATGAATGAATACAATATCAAATAATGTTTTGAAGATTAATGACATAATGAAGGTAATCTATCTGGAACAAAGTGTCTGAAATTTACTAAGAAATCTATGATTTTTGTTTTTTGTTTTGGTTTTGGGTTATTTTTGGCCATGTTCTGACATTGATATCACCTCTTTATATACAAGCTCAATTCTTTAGCCCTCTTTTCCTTCATCATGTTTTCCTGGAAAAAAAAAATTCCAGTTCCGGTTAAATCCAACTCTTCACATACCCCTCCCTGCTGCACCTACACATCTGAATGTGGCTGGAGAAAATCACACCATCTTGTGGCTTGGTCTTTTTAAAAATTCATTACTTAAATGCAAATAGGGCCCTTGAGCTGCTTTCTCTAGTTCATTTCCTCTCTCTTCTACTCCTCCTAAATGATTTAATTTCTTTTTGTCTCCTAAGAGCACCACCACTAATTCTTTCCTTAGTTGATAATCTCTTTTTATTGAGAAAATAAAAGTAATCAAAAATTCCGCAAGCTTCACTAAGACATTACCTATCTCCATCTGGGCTGGGTTACACTTTATGGCTGTGGGACCAGCGCAATCACCTATGGACCCATGCTTAGAAGGGACTACACTCACTTCATGGCTGTGGGACAAGTGCAATCACATAGGGACCCATACTCAGAAGGCACTGCACTCAGGGTTTAATCCTCTGTGGATCCCGTCTTAAAATAACAATTCTTAACACTTTTGTCTTTGAATTCGTGTTTTGTGTGAAGTCCAATATGACAACAGAGCACCCTTGAGGGACTTGGAAACAGCTCACAGGTCCTGCCTCGTACTGCTTCTCTGCCTGACCCAGATGGGTTCTTGTTCACTCAATCTCTGCCCCAGCCTTCCCCTCCCCTGACACCCTCCACATAGGGTTGCAGGTTGGGTTGGACTGGTGGTCTGAATTCTGCTGTCACCCTCCATGCCCGGAAGAAGACCTGGGCCCTAGTGCAGGGTGGGTCAGGGTCAGGCACACCCCTGTGGGCATCTCGGAGCAAGGCAAGGAAAGCTGGTGTGGCAGCTGGACAGTTCATGCAACAGGCATCTAGGCAGGGGCCTCTCGCCCACTTCTGATCCAAGTCCTGAGTACATCTTGGGGAAAAGATGTAGTCTCTTCAGGGGTTACCCATTGTGAGGGTTAATTTTATGTGTCAACTTGGTGGGACCAAAATGCCCAGATATGTTGTCAAACATTATTCTGAATGTTTCTATAAGGGTATTTTTGATGCAATTAGCATTTAAATTGGTAGATTTTTAAAGCAGATTGCCCTCCATAATATGCGTGCGTGGACCTCTTCCAATTAGTTGAAGGCTTCAATACAACAAAAGACTGACCCATCACAAGTGAGAGGGGATTCTGCCAGCAGATTACCTTCGGACTTGAACTGCAGCGTCAGTTCTTTCCAGGTTTCCAGCCTGGGAAGGAAGATTTTGGACTTTCTTGCCTCAACAATTGCACACACACATACACACACACACAGACACACACACACACACACACACACACCCTACAGGTTCTGCTTCTCTGGAGAACCTTAACTTAATATGCCCATCCACTGTGGTTGGGGCAGCCAGCTCCTGAGGAAAATAGATTGACTTCCCTTAACCAGGGCCCCATGTTTTCATTTTGCATTTGGGTCACAAAGTATGTAGCCAGCCTCAATCTGTCCTGTATATGCTCTGCCATCTATCTGTTGTTTCTACAGATGAGTCTTTATCTAAGGCTAACCTCACCACTTATGCACTAATATTCCATTTACTCTAATCTGCTCAAAGACATTGCTTCAACAATTCTTTCAACTTTCTTCTATGTGATTTCCACATAGAAGAATTCCACATAGAAGAATGTTATTCCACAGAATAACATTGAGTTATTCTGCCAGCCTCTAAAGTATTAGGAAGGTCCATAGCAACTCTCACTCCAGTCAGTACTGATGATCATTCCTTTGTTTTAACATGCCTACTTACTTTCCACAGATGCTATCCTAAGGCAGGCAGAGGCAGCCAGAAAGATGGAGGGTGCACCATTACACTGAATATTGTACAAATACCAACCGCATGGGAGCACACTGGCAAAGATATAGCAAATATCATCCCTAGCCAAGTTGATATTATATCCCATCTACCTATCTTGTAACAGGATTTGACAATTTTTTTGAAATAGTCTAGAATGTCAAATCTTGGGTTTCTTTTTTTAAATCTTTTTAGACAAAGAGTAAATAAGTCAGTTATTTCTACTGTGTAATAAATAGCATCATATTGTTACCTGAAAGGGGTCCCAATCCAGACCCCAAGAGAGGGTTTTTGGACCTCGTGCAAGAAAGAATTTGGGGCGAGTCCATAGAGTAAAATGAAAGCAAGTTTATTAAGAAAGTAAAGGAACATGACAATGGCAACTCCAGAGGCAGAGCAGTGGCATGCTGCTCAACAAAGTATACTCATAGTTACTTCTTGATTATATGCCACATGAGGGGTGAATTATTCATGAATTTTCTCGGAAAGGGGTGGGCAATTCCTGGAACTGAGGCTTCCTCCTATTTTTGACCGTATAGGGTAACTTGCTGATGTTGCCATGACATTTATAAACTGTCCTGACACTGGGGGGGAAATGTCTTTTAGCATGCTAATACATTATAATTAGGAAATAATGAGCAGTGAGGATGACCAGAGGTCACTTCCGTCAACATCTTGGTTTTGGTAGGTTTTGGCCAGCTTCTTTAGCGCATCCTTTTATCAGCAAGGTCTTTGTGACCCGTACCTTTTGCCAACCTCCTATCTCACCCTGTGACTAAGAATGCCTAACCTCCTGGGAATGCAGCCCAGCAGGTCTCAGCCTTATTTTACACAGCTCATATTCAAGATGGAGCCGCTCTGCCAAACACCTCTGACACTATCATAGTCTCTGTTTAGCTGACATGTTAGTGCTTTCTAAAAAAGAATAGCCTGTTAAATGAATTGGTCTTTCCATTGAGACAAATACAGTAGGCAGCAGCAAATATTTTTATGCCAGAGTTACTGCTGCTGTCGTTTTTACTTTGAGTGTAATGTTGGTTTTCTATATTTTTCTGTGCGCTTGAAAACCTAAAGCTATAATTGATTTTGGATGGAAGATTTTTTATGAGTGCTTTATAATGAGACATTTATTCCAGGAAGCCACATGCCCCAAGTCTTCAGGTCTCAGAGTTTGTATTTACCATTTGTTTTATACTGAAGAATAGGGGTAATGAAAGTACATAGAAATCAGACAAGCCAAGCTAAAAGCAGCATGAATACATGGAAAACTACAAAAGAACATGAAAGAAGATGAGTCAATGAGTAAGAAGCAATCTGGCAACATAAAATCCACTGAGGACAAACATACACATGGCCTCAGAGAACAAATAAATATTTGATAACAATCAGTTATGAAACCATCTATCCTTAGGAGAAACATTCCTGCTCAGTTTTTTCTCATCTCTTTTCTCTTTTTTATTGTGTTGTTTATTTTATACTTGAAGAATTAAAATTGTGCTCTCAGCATTGTAAAATATTCCTTATAGATACATATTTTAAAAATACAGTTGATTGTTATCAGAACAGTTTTAGACTCACAGCGAAATTGAATGGAAGGTACAGCAATTTCTTATATACTCCTTTTACTCACATATGCAGTTTCTCCACTATCAAAATCCGATACCACAGTGGTACGTTTGTTACAATCACGAGCCTACATTTAAGACATCATTATCACCCAAAGTCCGTGGTTCATATCGAGGTTTATTCTTGGTGTTATACATTCCATTGGTGTTGACAAATGTATAATGATATGTGTTCATTGCTATAACATCATATAGAATAGTTTCACTTCCCTAAAAATCCTCTGTGCTCCACCTGTTCATCCCACCCCTCTAACCCTTGGCAACCACTTATCTTTTTTCTGTCACCATATTTTCACTGTCTCCATGCCTTTTCCAGTGTCATATAGTTGGATTTATACAATCTGTAGCCCTTTCAGATTGCTTTCTTTTACTTAGTCATATGCATTTAAGGTTCCTCCAGGCTTTTTCATGATGATAACTCATATCTTTTTAGTGCTAAATAATGATTTATTGTCTGAATATACCACAATTTATTTGTGCATTCACCTACTGAAGGATATCTAGGAATATCAGTATGCAGGTTTTTATGTGCCATAAGTTTTCATCCAATTTGGGTAAATACTAAGGAGTACAATTGTTGAATCATATAATAATAATATGTTTAGTTTTGGAGGAAAATGTCAAACTGTCTTTCAAAGTGGCTGTGTCATTTCGCATTCTCACCAGCAGTGAATGAGTGTTCCTGTTGCTCCATATCCTTGCCAACATTTGCTGTTGTCAGTGTTCTAGATTTTGGTCATTCTAATAGTGTGTAGTGGTATCACTCCCTATATTTCTATAATTTGTTTCCCTGGCATTCTGCATTTGCCTCTTAGAAACAGAAAAAGTTTGATTACTCAGGTTTGAGCTTTCTTTTTTTCTCTATTTGAGCCTTTTTTCTTCTCTCTCTCTTCAAGTAGAACTATCTTAGCCTGAACATAAACAAATAAAAAGATAGGTACCTACCTACATTCTCTGACACTGGTACATTGACAAGAATGGAAAAAATCTTATCCTTAGCTAAGCATGCAATATATTTCATCTACCTGTCCCATAACAAGATTTGGTAACTTTTCTGAACTAGTCTGGTAGGTCAAATTTCTCATTTTTTATTTCCTGAGGCAAAGGGTGAATAGGATGGAATCTGATCTCTCTTGATAATTGCTTTCTTTTTTAGCGAAGGACTAGTAATGTGTTGGTGATAAAACTTTTCAAATGTAAATACCTATGAGAGGTATAACTTATGTTTATTAGCTAATTTGAAAACAGCACGTTAGTGATCAGGTGCGGTGGCTCACACCTGTAATCTCAGCACTTTGGGAAGCTGAGGCAGGTGGATCACTTGAGCTCAGGAGTTTGAGACCAGCCTGGCCAACATGGCAAAACCCTATCTCTACAAAAAATTAGCCAGGCATGGTGGCATGTGCCTGTGGTCCCAGCTACTCTGGAGGCTGAGGTTGGAGGATCACTGGAGCCTAGGATGTGGAGGTTGCAGTGAGCCAAGATTGTACCACTGCACTCCAGCCTGGGTGACAAAGTGAGACCCCATCTCCAAAAACCCCCAGCAACTGAGTATCCTATTTGATTTCTTAAGTAATGCTTATTCAGTCAGGAAAATTAAAGAATAGCATATGACATATCTAGCTACCTATCTCAACCATAATCTCACCAAATCTTTGCTTGCTATTGGCCTTTGAATGTGTATCCTTCTAGCTATTGCTGCTTTGATTTGTATATATGTGCATACATTTTTGAGATGAAATTATATGGTTTTATTTTGATATTTTCAGTTTATACATTACTTATTCCAAGTCAAGTGTTATATACTGGAATGCTTTGTCCAGCCACAAATTCCAAGGATATCTTGCCCTAGCCTATCTGAATGAGCTGCCAAAAACCATCAACATAATCTCCATTTAAATTATTTTTAATTTCCATTTTTGCTTTTCAGTTTCCCAATCAAACTATATTGAACAAGTACATACTCTTACAAGGTAATTTAAGGGATAATTTTAAGCTTCTTTCACTAATTCTCATCATAATGATGAAGACAGTCCCCTTTGCACTTTCCCCAAAGCTTACTTATCCCCCACAATCCATGCAATAAGGCCTTGTACTAAGATACGTTAAAACCCTCGTTATCGTCTAAGTCTCTGTAATCACCCTTCAATCATCATTCATGTAGTTCATATAGCTCTGACTTCCTTATACTCTGAAAATGCTGAATAACCTTCGCCATTTTAAGCATACAACTCAATTCAGGGCAATACTTTTTAAAAGCCACCTAACAAAAATACCAGAGCACAAATTCCCCCTTTATTGATTTACTTTTCATCAGTTTAAAACCTTTAGGGGTACAGCTTCACACGGATTCTGTGTCCAGTGCCCTTAATAGGCAGATTGCTTCAGAATTTGGCACAAATCATGCCACTGTTTCCATGGACACAGGTTACCTTTCCCCAGATTACTTTTGTTTGGTTTGGTTTATCACTGACGTCACTGTGTTGTGATTTGCTCTATATACATAAGCACATCTCTTGCCTGAGTAGAATTCAGTTTCATCTCAGGCATAACCACCTTCAGTTTGAAGAAGAGCTGTGTTCTCCGTTTGGTTTTGGAAACCCTATTTATAGTCAAGAAAACTGGCTATAGCATTGGACTACAGCTTTCCAGAAATGTTTTAAAAGTCCTATTTCCAATAGACTGCCACAGGTTCCAAGATGGCAGGAAGAGCAGATTTTTAAAAATTATTTCTAAAAAAATCATAGTTTGTATTTTTTCTATGACTTATTTTGTTCATGCAATAAGATAATCTCATATTATTATTACAATATATTTTTATTGCCTGTATATTATTTCACTTTATTAATATATCAGAATTAATTTTAGCAATCTCTTATTGATGGACATTTTGATCATTTACACTTTTTTTTTTTTTTTTGAGACGGAGTCTCGCACTGTTGCCCAGGCTGGAGTGCAGTGGCAAGATCTCGGCTCACTGCAAGCTCCGCCTCCCAGGTTCATGCCATTCTCCTGCGTCAGCTTCCCGAGTAGCTGGGACTATAGGCAGCCGCCACCATACCCGGCTAATTTTTTGTATTTTTAGTGGAGATGGGGTTTCACCGTGTTAGCCAGGATGGTCTCGATCTCCTGACCTCGTGATCCGCCCACCTCGGCCTCCCAAAGTGCTGGGATCACAGGCGTGAGCCACCACGCCCGGCCCCTACACTTTTAAAATTATGTACAATTAATATCCTATAGCTGATTTTGTGCACATTCCTGATTATTTCTCTACTAGAAAACTCCTTGAAGTAAAATTTCTAGGTCAAAGAGAATGAACTTTTTAAAGTCTTTTGAAACATAGTGCCAAATTATACTACTACAAGGCTATGGTATTGTAGTCCTTTGAGAAGTACATGAGAGTTATCAGACAATATTTAAACCATCACTTAATATTTTTATGGGTTTGTAGAATCAGTCACAGAAAAAAACACCAACATATGGGAGAAAAAATAATTGAGTTGTGGGAGGTGGGTAGAAAATGAGTACTGAGTCTTACTCCAACAGGCCATGCAATTGGTCTTCAGATTATAGAGAAAATAGGCTCTATATGCTGTTTACAATTTTATTATATTCTTGAATTCTTGTTAAAATCTTTCTTCTAACATTCCCACCTGTGACATCATAACAATCAGAATGTAATTACCTAGAAGTGTAACCAAGTACCCTTTTTTCTTAAAAATAGTTTTTTCCTTTTTCTCCTTTTCTTGTTTTTCATGCATACTCACGCCTTAGCTCTCAGGAATGTGATTATAACCTTTGCTCTTTATGCACCGGGCACTCCTTACACCGCTAGCTTATGTAACTATATGTTTGCTTCAAAGTTTCAGAGAGGAGATCTTAAAACAACCCAGGTGCCTGTGAAATTCTCCCCCATCAGGAGATCACTTAAAGGCTGTGGTTAATTTACAACCTGGCTGTGCCCGCCATGGCACCAACCCATTCAGTGGATGGGGCAATAACTCAAGATACATCATCAGAACAAGTCACATAGACCTGTACTGCCTCGCCCCCTTCTGCATCTCCCTCATGCCAAACTTCCCTTTTTAAGCATTTCCTTTCTGCCCCAAATTTGAAGCAATTCCATTAAGGCAGGAGCCTGAACCACTTCCCCATTGCTAGCTTTGGCAAATAAAGTCACTTCCTTTCTATGGAATCTCGTCCTTGTTATTTGACTTCTCAAGCAGTGAGTGGCTGAACCTGCATTCAGTTACAAAGCAAGGACATGGGCACTCGTTCTTAAATGTTACTCTTAATAAGCCAAATTCTGAGGGTCTCTCATTGTCCTCTTTTCTAACATATTCTATCAGTAATGAAGCTATTTAGATAAGATGGTAGTTAAGAGTCCATTTAGCTTTTGGGCAAAAGTGAGTTGCTGTTGGAATTCAGTGGAGATCATGCTCTAATATAATGCTTCCCTTAGAGTGGGGGAAAATTTTGACAGTTATCACTTTGGAATGATTTGCACAGAGAGCCACCAGAGAGCTGGTGTCTGATAGCTTTGCAATAATATGGCTGTCACAAGCCCCAAATCCCTCTGTCATCTCTCTGGAATTTTCTTTTCTTTTTTTTTCTTTTTCTTTTTGTTTTTTGAGACAGACTCTTGCTCTGTCATCCAGGTTGGAGTGCAGTAGTGCGATCTCGGCTCACTGCAACCTCCATCTCCTGGGTTCAAGCGATTCTCCTGCCTCCCTCCCGAGCAGCTGGGACTACAGGTGCGCACCACCATGCCCAGCTAATTTTTGTATTTTTAGTAGAGATGGGGTTTCACCATATTGGTCAAGCTGGTCTCGAACTCCTGACCTCATGATCCACCCACCTAGGACTCCCAAAGTGCTGGAATTACAGGTGTGAACCACCGAGCCTGGCCCTGGAATTTTGTTTATTTACTTCTTTCTCTTGGACCAAGCTGAGATTTTATAATAAAGAGAAAAAAAGATAGGAGTAAGAATAATAGACAATATTGGGAAATGTGTTTGCTTTTTAATAGCCGTGGTTAGTGTTTCTAATTTTCTGGTATGTTGGTGTAGAAGTGTGCAAAATTTTTGGTTCCAGTTTTGATCTAGAAATTGCAGAAGAAAGATGAAAAGTATTAATCCACGATTGGAAGCCCTCACTGTTAGGAAACCTCACACATGGCAGGAGAGAGGAAAACATGGTATCTCTTTATTGGTAGTGAGTATGCCTGTGTGTAGCCACCTTAGGTGACTGTTTGTTTTCTTTAATAATGAAAAAAGAAAGTATGTGTCCATATTGAGACTGCAACGTAATTATTCAATTTGCAACTTTTTACCAGATAACATGTTTTACATATTCTCAAACAGTGCCTATTCATATTCAGCCTGAGTATTTTGCCAGTTACTTGATTTTGGCCAAACACCACTTACACACACACAAAAAAATAGTTCACATTAATTTAGTAGTTATTTGCTAATGTACTCTTTTGAGAATAAAGAGCTGATCTTGCCATTGCACATAATGCTTTTAGGAAACACATTTAACACCTTTAAGACCTGGCACTGTTCACTTTTCACCAGGACAACATGACTAGTTAAGAACAAGTGGCTAGCCCTATCTAATAAATCAGCCAGATGCTTGATTTGCTTTATAATATTTTAGAAAACATCACTTCTCTCCAACCAGGTTGCTAGGGTGATATGTGACCTCTGTCTTTAAAACCTTCCTTGAAGCTGTGAAGCCAAAGAAGTGAACTAAAGCCAGCAGGACTGTTTTTAAAAGACTGAAAGCAAAAGAATAATTTGAGATGAAAGTTGCAAGGAAAGCAAGAAAACTCTAATAGATTAATAGTTGATGCTCTCTTTTTCCAAATTGACAAAAACATCCTCACTTAGCAACAGGTCTCATGGTAAGCAACTGATTTATCTATGTTCTGTTGAACTTTTGAACTAGATAGTTAATTTTCAGCCATAGTATGTTTAATTGAAATGTTAGACATATTACTCATCTGTGGTATGCACTTTCAAAACCCTATTGGTAATTCATTTGCCTCAAAAGAAAAATAATGACTATAATGCAATTAGTATGATTTAATATTTATTTTATGAAACCTTAAAGTTTATTGCTGGGGAAAATCACCTGAAAACAATAGTAAAGGAAGGAAGAAATGTATTTTTATTTTTGTGTGTGAAAAGTACATATTCTCCAAGTCAAGGTTTTATGAAAACAGTAGAATTCAATACATCTTTATATTATATATGTCTTACAGAAAGAAAAAGCTATTACTATGGCTATGTATACTCTTTTCTTTTCAAAAATTGATAAAGTCCAAACCCAAACACAGATTTTCAGCTACAGAGTTCCTGTAAAACATATCTAAACTCAGATTGGAAAGAATGAGTTTTGGAAGTATTGTTAGCTATCAATACTATCAACAGATTTCCACATGGTACCATGCAGAAATTAATTGGAGAAAAACGTTCATGACTATAAACAGCATTAAGAGGACTTTTTTAAAAAAGAACAAGAAGTAAATAATTTATTTCTCTTTTCAATGTAAACTGTTAGGGAAGCCCTGCCCTGGCACCTCTGTCCTGATATAAGGGCTGGTCCTTATGCTTTGATAACGCAGTGCTTTCTTAGTCCAGGCTAGTAATGACTATCATTGTCAATCACAAGGTTTTTGGCCTTCTTCGTCTTAAACTGAGCATGGTAGCAGAAAATTATGAACAATATTTTGAACTACAGAAGAACAGCTTGTGAATATTTTCTACTATAAGAGATAAACAGAGAAATTTTAGAGCCTCTGAAGTTAGCCAAAAATCAAGGTGACTGTTCTGATGGAGTATTGCAGTCATCATAGAATATTAGCAAAGTAGATGAATGAAGAAGAGGGACCAAAGGAAACCAGAATAAAGGTGTTCCCTTGTTGTGCACTACTAATCATGTTACCGTTTCTCTTTTTTTTTTTTTTTTTTGAGATGGAGTCTTGCTCTGTCATCCAGGGTAGAGTGCAGTGGCATGATCTCTGCTCACTGCAACCTCCACCTCCCGGGTTCAAGCCATTCTCCTGTCTCAGCCTCCCAAGTAGCTGGGATTATAGGCATGCACCACCATGCCCAGCTAATTTTTGTATTTTTAGTAAAGACAGGGTTTCACCATGTTGGCCAGGCTGGTCTCGAACTCCTGACCTCAGGTGATTTTCCCGCCTCGGCCTCCCAAAGTGCTGGGATTACAGGTGCGAGCCACCTTGCCCAGCCCCCTTTCTCTTTTTAAAAAGATCTGTTGATACCAGAAAAGTATTTCATTTATATTGAATTTGAAACTAGATATGTTTGGAGTCCATATGACTCAGTCTTTACATAGAATAGTATTCGAAAAGGCACAGGCCAGAAAGCCAACAATAATTAGAAACAAATATTAACACTTATTTGATAAAAGCTTGATATAAAAAAAAGGCAACAAATTGATAGTTAACAATACTTCCCAAACTCATTCGTTTCCACTCTGAGTTTAGATATGTTTTACAGGTACTTTGTAATATTTATATATATTATTACATATGTAAATATATATCTCATATATATATAATATGTAGTCTTTCGGATGCTAAACTCTCCAAATATTCATTTAAACCCACCTGTATGGTTTTCTGTCTTTCTTCTCTCTCCGTGTCAACCCTTTATTGTGTAGATAAACTCAGCCTCTTAGCTCTCTTCATTCTGTGGGTTCTGCTTCATACAAAGAGTAGGTAAATAAATAATACTACTTGAGGTAAGGATTGGGGCACACATGTGAGTTAATAAAGACCTGAGCTAGAGGTATGGGGTGGAGGAGGTGGTCTCTCAGTTAAATTAATACACATCATTACTCCTCCACCATTTGAACAAAATTATTATTTTAGCAAAATAAATACAGTCAAATACTTTAATATCATGCTTTGCTGTAATGTGAGTTTGGATATTATGTGAATGTCAGTAGGCTTGTATCATTTATCCAGCATCCATGCCCAAATGGGAGGAAGCTAATGTATGAGGGGTTGTTTGGAAGCAACTGCTTTGTTATTTTTTTGGAATGGGATTTTCTCAGTTCAATGTAAGGTCATTCACGTACTCTATAGGTTTTACTGTTATACAGTTACAACATGGCAGTCTAATTGATAATAATATTTTTACTTTACTGTTTTAATAGCATAACACATTTTAAGAGACAGAATTTTGTGTGCCCCATATATATTGTTATAATAGAATACCTCATATGGATTATATGAAAATAATATATAATACATGCTCATTCTGAAGAATTATATATAATATAATATAAAAAATACAATAATACAAATAATATAAAAAAAGAAGAAAGTAAAAAAATTACCACATCTTATTACCTACCAACTGATATGAACATTAAAAACCATTTCCTAGAAAACATTATAATTGAACACCCTAGGGAGAACACCATTCTATGTAATACATATAACTATATTTCATTAATAATAAAAGCATGTTTTAAAAGAATGTCCTCATATACAAAAGATAGGTATATAAAAGATGATATCTAAACCAGACATATTCTTGTGCATACAAGGTAATAAACGTCCATTATAGGTTGTCAGCTTAAGAAAGGGCCTTCTGTCTGTGTGAGTATCAAATAAAACTAGAGCAATAGGATCTGAATTTATAGTCTGGTTCACACAGCTCATCTCAATAAATCTTTTCTGTTGATAGTATAAAATTGCAAAATAAGGAACCCCTCCAGGTATTACGAACAGACACAGGCCTCAAGTGATAATAGCAATAAAGATTCTCATGCCCGGGAATTAGCAACTCAGCTAAACTACAGCCCTTACAAAATGGAGCTTGAGTTGGGCTTCTTTGGCCTGGATGTTATATTTATTCCAATGGGTTTTTCTCCAATAATGTAACCCTGGCATGTGTGGTGGGGTTGAGTGGGGTAGGGTGGTCTTGGATTATTTACCACCTGCTTGTAAACCTTAAGGAAATTAATTATATCTATATGTCTCCTTGTGAAAAGTGTCTCTTCATGTCCTTTGCCCACTTTTTAATGGGGTTATTTGTTTTTCTCTTGTAAATTTGTCTAAGTTCCTTATAGATGCTGGATATTCGACCTTTGTCAGAGGCACAGATTGAAAATATTTTCTCCCATTTTGTAGGTTGTCTGTTTACCCTGTTGATAGTTTCTGTTGCTGTGCAGAAGCTCTTTGTTTAGTTAGATACCATTTGTCAATTTTTGAGAATAGAGGGTTGAAGGAGGGAGAGGATCAGAAATAATAATCACTGAGTACTAGGCTTAGTACCTGGGTGACAAAATAATCTGTACAACAAACCCCTGTGACGTGAGTTTACCTAAATAACACACCTATGCATGTACCCCTGAACCTAAAATAAAAGTTTAAAAAAAAAAACAGTAGCAAGAGTCACTAAAGAAAACTTGTATCTATAGAGGCAAAGGTGGATAAAGTCAGTTTAGGGCAGGAGAAACAAAGGTCTTTTTTTGTTGTTATTTTACTGTTGTTGTTTTAAGACCATATAGCATGAACAAAAAGAGAACAGTGACATTGACAACTGAGTCTCAAATCTTGTCTCTGCTGCTATCCAGATGTTGATATATGTGAGTAATTTAGTCCTATAAGCCTCTGTTTCCCTATCTCTAAAATGAAGATAACTCTTCATTAAGTTGTTGCAGCAATTAACTAGAGCAAACAAATGTTAAATTACCTAGTTCGTTCATCTTCACCTTTGTCTCTTTCTTCATGTTTCTGATTAATCCCAGTATACTGGTAAGAAAATAATATGATATATATCAACAGTGCAGAATTTAAATCAGATTATACAGATGATCATGTAGGACCCAGAAAAATAAACTACATCTCCCACCTCTCAGACCATTTCTGTGTCCTCTGGGATATGTTATTTCTCTCAAAGGATGATATATTCCCCTTTAGTCACTCACAAGAGTAAGTTCTTTTCTAACTTCCTGGTCATGAAGACTGAATTTAGTTTCACGGCACGAGAAAGGAAAAAGTCTTTTGTATTTCTCTCAGATGCTGAATCTAGCTGCTTCTAAGGAAAATAATTCAATGTTTCCTGATGAGTAAAATTCACCGATGTGTTTCTACTCCTATTCAGGAAATGAAGGTCCTAGATTATTCACTAAGAGGCAGGGAAGCTTATTGAAGTCCAGAGAATATGATCACCAGCAGGTTAAAGATACTGAAAAAAAAAAAAAAAGATTTGTGGGCTTTCGAATTTCTGAATAGTAATCATCATAGTCTTGCTGGGTTTGGGGAAGAATACCTGCTTAGCTAGGTTTGAACTTTTTGTAGAAAAGTCCAAGTACTATTTTTTAGATGACCAACATGTGAAATCTTGTTTCTATACCTGAACTTAAAACAAAACAAATAGCATTAAGGGAAGATTCATTTGTCAATGAGAAATTAGTCTACAGGATGAAGGTGAGTGTGCGGAGACTAGAAATTGGGGGGAATACTTTTGTCTTGTACATATGCACCACTCATTGTAATCATCTGTTCAATTCTGACATTTAGAAGTTTGGAATTGCTAAGTTGATCTTTAATAATATTGGTAGTAGAGGTAGTAGTGATGGTAGTTATATTTGTGGTGATAAGTGTTGATTGCTGCAATTTTAGCACTTCCTACCTAGGGTATCCTTTTAGAGCTTTCTATACCCTAACTTACTTGGCCTTTACAATGTCTAACAACAGTCATAATACAATAGTTGTTACCATCAATTGTGGGCTTTTCATGTGCTAGAAACTGGGCTAAATTCCTTATACACAGAATCTTATTTAACTTTCATTTTAACTCGATAAGGTTTGTATTATTTTCTACAATATATATGCGGGAACTTATTTTCAGAGGTGTTAAGTAACTTGCCAGAGGTGTGAATATATTCTATGTATTTACATAGTTTGTAATTGGTGTAGCTAAGATTTAAATACACATCTAGATGATTATACAGCCTGAGCCAGGTTTTCATCATTATTTGCTATTACATGATTTAGACATATCTTATTATTGCTGATGCCATTAATAGCAGTTCATTTTTATTTGGGGCCTTCTCATAATATCAGACATTATACTAGACACTTATTATTGTGTGATCTTGGTTAATATTCACATAGCTTTACCATTGCTTTTATCCCTGTTTAATAGGTGAAGATACTGAGGTTCGGAAGAATGAGTCCGTTGGGCTAAGGTTATACATCTTTTGAATGACTCTGGTGAAATACTAATCCAGGCCTGTGCTGGTTCAAAGTCGATGGCCTTTCCACTAAAATTCACTGGCTGAATGTACCTAGGGGTGAGGGTAAGTGGAGGACACAGCAACCAAATAATGGTGACTGCATCATTTTAGGTATTGTATATATATCATATTTTATATATGATATTTATATATAAATATCACATATATAATATTATATATGCTATATAAAATATGATATATTGTATTATGTATATGATATAGACCATATATAAAATATGATATATATATGTATTTTCATCCACAGTTGCTGGCTCATATCTCTCATAACCTTTATTACAATAAAAAGAATCTCTCTCTGATGCTCTCCTATCCTCCTTTCACCTGCCAGAGAGTGTCCTGCTCCATATCCCGGAAGAAAAAATGCTACACAGAGAGGCCAAAAAGAATCTGCACCGACAGGCATTGCTGAGTTTAGTTCGTACCCTTTTTGTCCAATCATATTTCAGTATGGTTGTATATTTCAATCATCTCTAGGTGAAAAAGCTACCATAAAAACTCAAGAGGGCAGGGCTAAGAGAGTTTCCAGATAGCTGAACACATGGAGGTTCCTGGAGGGTGGCGCACCCAGGGAGGGCATGGAAGCTCCCGGCCCCTCCTGCTATGCACTGCTTCATCTGTATCCTTTGTAATATCCTTTATAATAAACCAGTAAATGTAAGCAAGTCGTTCCCTGAGCTTGGTGAGCCATTCTAGCAAATTAATCAAACCTAAAGAGGGAGTTATGGGAACCCCATCTTGAAGCTGGTGGGTCAGAAGTCCTGGAAGCCCAAACTTGTGACTGGTGTCTGAAGGGGTGGGATGCAGTCTCAAGGACTGAGCCCTCACTTGCCAGATCTGACGCTACCACCAGGTAGATAGAATCAGAACTGAATTGGAGGACACCAAGTTGATTTCTGCTACAGAATTGGTTGCTTACTTGGTGGTGCAGAGAACCCCACACAATGGGTCACAGAAGTCTTCTGTGTTGATGATTGTTGTGGTGGTGGTGTGAAAGCGAAGCAATGAGTGGCTTGTGTTTTTTTCCAAACAAGTATACAGACACCTACTGCCATGTTGAAATAAGTGTTAGCTAAATCTCTGACATCTGTAAGACAATCATATTAGTTGTGAAATCACCAAGCTGTGCTGATGTATGTCAACTTAAAAAAACACCCACACAATTTATACATTTGGAAAAGAAGACTTTATTTCTTATAAAGGTGTACAGCGTGCTAGGTGGCCACCCCACAGGCTGGGAAGCACAGCCTCCGACCAAGACCGGAGATAGGCTCTTCAGAGGAGGAGGGGTTGGGGTAGGAGCTTTATGTTGAAAGAACTGGCTAAACCTGTGTATTCAAGAGGTTACAGAAGGAGCTCTGAATATTCATGAAGGTAGTCCTGCTGCATGTGTATTGAAGGAACATGCATGTACCGTAAGGCCCATGTTCATTTTGGGGTGGCGACTTAACACTTAAATGTATTACAATTAGGCCTTATATGTTGAAAGGTCTTTTCTGGACATGAAGGCACTCCAGTGTGCAGCCTCTGTAAACCAGCCAGAACCAATCCATGGTCAGGAGAAAGTGACTGAAGTCAGTCCCCTGTCCAAAGTAAGCTGTAGTTATGGCTGGTGAAACAGGGGGTACAGCTTGTCAGTGTCTGTGACTGGGAGGGTTGTAATTGTTTTAATGTTGCTGATCTAGAGGCCAGTGCTTGTTTAACTGCTAGAGAAAAAGAAAAACCTTGTGGCAGTCAGAACATAGTTTATTCTCTAAGTGTAGGAGTGTGTGACTTAACCCTTGCTTGGCATGGCATTAAGTCCCATTTATAATTTGTTTCTTTATTGCCGTGAAGAGTCTGCTCTGTGAATCTTATGATCTCAGTTTTAACATTAATGCTGTTTTTATTAATTTAACATTAATGTTGTTGTTTATTAAGGTTTATTAATTTAACATTAACATTTAATTAATTTAACATTAATATTGTTGTATCTGAACAATAAAGAGAGGGGAGTTATCATGAGGTGTGTCTGACCTCCTGTCTTGTCATGGCCAGAAACTCAGTTTTAAGGCTTTTCTGGGGTCTCCTTGGTGGCAAGGAGGTCTGTCTGTTCAGTCAGTGAGGGGGCTTAGGATTTTATATTTAGTTTACACATACAAAGATGAAGAAAGTGAACTTTAATCATGCAACATCAAAGAATAGTAATGTAAGACGGGCCGAAAGGGGCTGCATAGACATGTTCTGATTTCCTTTACCAGACTCTTATCCCCCAACTAAACTGAGGTGAAGCCTACTGGAGAGAAAGGAAGAGCCTCAACCAACTTTGCAACTGACTTGAATTAGCTAAGCAGAAATAAACACTTAAATCTGCAAATGAAAACATGTAGACTTCCTTGAGAGTCACACTGCATCCTCGTCGGGGTGATGCGCTTATCTGGAGTGAGAGAGATTGCTGAAGATTGTCTCATTATAGAAAATATCATGATCCTGGCAGGAGAGACTCAATTTTTACCTAAATTATTTTTATATTTGATGCAATTCATGTTTCACTTTATAAAATTCACCTGGAAAATTAAATGGATAAGAACAGATAAAAAAATTCTTTTTTTAATTATACTTTAAGTTCTGGGGTACATGTGCAGAACGTGCAGGTTTGTTACATAGGTATACACGTGCCATGGTGGTTTGCTGCACCCATCAACCCTATTCCTCCTCTAGCCCCCCACCCCCTCAAAGGCTCCAGTGTGTGATGTTCCCTTCCCTGTGTTCATGTGTTCTCACTGATCAGCTCCCACTTATGAGTGAGAACATGTGGTGTTTGGTTTTCTGTTCTTGTGTCAGCTTGCTGAGAATGATGGTTTCCAGCGTCATCCATGTCCCTGCAAAGGACATGAACTCATCCTTATTTATGGCTGCATAGTATTCCATGGTGAATATGTGCCACATTTGCTTCATCCAGTCTATCATTGATGGGCATTTGGGTTGGTTCCAAGTCTTTGCTATTGTGAACAGTGCTGCAGTAAACATAAGTGTGCATGTGCCTTTACAGTAGAATGATTTATAATCCTTTGGGTATATACCTAGTAATGGGATTGCTGGGTCAAATGGTATTTCTAGTTCTAGATCTTGAGGAATTGCCACACTGTCTTCCACAATGGTTGAACTAATTTATACTCCCTCCAACAATGTAAAAGCATTCCTATTTCTCCACATTCTCTCCAACATCTGTTGTTTTCTGACTTTTTTAATGATCGCCATTCTAACTGGCATGAGATGGCATCTCATTGTGGTTTTGATTTGCATTTCTGTAATGACCAGGGATGATGATCTTTTTTTCATATGTTTGTTGGCTGCATAAATGTTTTCTTTTAATAAGTGTCTGTTCATATCCTTCACCCACTTTTTGATGGGGTTTTTTGATTTTTTCTTGTAAATTTGTTTAAGTTCCTTGTAGATTCTGGATATTAGCCCTTTGTCTGATGGATAGATTGCAAAATTTTTCTCCCATTCTGTAGGTTGCCTGTTCACTTTGATGATAGTTTCTTTCGCTGTGCTGAAGCTCTTTATTTTAATCAGATCCCATTTGTCTATTTTGGCTTTTATTGCCATTGCTTTTTGTGTTTTAGTCATGAAGTCTTTGCCCAAGCCTATGTACTGAATGGTATTGCCTAGGTTTTCTTCTAGGGTTTTCATGGTTTTAGATCTTACATTTAAGTCTTTAATCCATCTTATGTTAATTTTTGTGTAAGGTGTAAGGAAGGCATCCAGTTTCAGCTTTCTGCATGTGGCTAGCCAGTTTTCCCAGAACCATTTATTAAAGAAGGAATCCTTTCCCCATTGTTTGTTTTTGTCAGGTTTGTCAAAGAGCAGACGGTTTTAGATGTGTAGTGGTATTTCTGAGGTCTATGTTCTGTTCCATTGGACTATATGTCTGTTTTGTTACCAGTACCATGATGTTTTTGTTACTATAGCCTTCTAGTATAGTTTGAAGTCAGGTAGCGTGATGCCTCCAGCTTTATTCTTTTTGCTTAGGATTGTCTTGGCTATGCGGGCTCTTTTTTGGTTCCATATGAAATTTAAAGTAGTTTTTTCCAGTTCTGAGAAGAAAGTCAATGGTAGCTTGATGGGAATAGCATCGAATCTATAAATTACTTTGGGCAGTATGGCCATTTTCACAATATTGATTCTTCCTATCAATGAGTATGGAATGTTTTTCCATTTGTTTGTGTCCTCTCTGATTTCCTTGAGCAGTGGTTTGTAGTTCTCCTTGAAGAGGTCCTTCACATCCTTTATAAGTTGTATTCCTAGGTATTTTATTCCCTTTGTAGCTATCATGAATGGGAGTTCACTCATGATTTGGCTTTGTGTTTCTGTTATTGGTGTATAGGAATGCTTGTGATTTTTGCATATTGATTTTGCATGCTGAGACTGCTGAAGTTGCTTATCAGCTAAGAAGATTTGGGGCTGAGATGATGGGGTTTTCTAAATATACAGTAATGTTATATGCAAACAGAGACAATTTGACTTCCTCTTTTCCTAATTGAATACCTTTTACTTCTTTCTCTTGCCTGATTGCCCTGGCCAGAACTTCCAATACTATGTTGAATAGGAGTGGTGAGAGAGGGCATCCTTGTCTTGTGCCGGTTTTCAAAGGGAATGCTTCCAGTTTTTGCCCATTCAGTATGATATTGGCTGTGGGTTTGTCATAATAGCTCTTATTATTTTGAGATACGTTCCATCAATGCCTAGTTTATTGAGAGTTTTTAGCATGAAGGGCTGTTGAATTTTGTTGAAGGCCTTTTCTGCATCTATTGAGATAATCATGTGGTTTTTGTCATTGCTTCTGTTTATGTGATGGATTATGTCTATTGATTTGCGTATGTTGAACCAGCCTTGCATCTCAGGGATGAAGTTGACTTGATCATGGTGGATAAGCTTTTTGATGTGCTGTTGGATGCAGTTTGCCAGTATTTTATTGAGGATTTTCGCATAGAAAATTCTTGATAATAAAGGATAATTAGGAAACATAGTGTACTAAATTTAAAAATGGATTAAGTGGCTAGATAAACTAAATGATTTTGGTGCTGGCATATTTCAGGGCTCTTAGAATAAGAAAGCTTACGTTCTTTGGGCAGCTGAAATTTTTTTTTAATTTATGAAAGTTATTTGCTTATTTATCTATTTTTTACAGATGGAGTCTCTCTCTTTTTTTAGTCTAGAGTGCAGTGGGGTGATCAGAGCTTACTGCAGCCTTGAATTCCTGGACTTAAGTGGGCTTCCTCTCTCAGCCTCCCAAGTAGCTAGGACTACAGGTAAGCTCCACCGTGCATGACTAGTTTTTAAATTTATTTCAGTAAGATATAGTGTCACTTTGTTGCCAGGCTAGCTGCAATCTTTAATCTATTTTATGCCCTTAGCCTAATCAGGTGTTCTCAGCTTTCTAGTTGTCATAATCAGACTAATGACTCCAGTCTTCTCAACTGTCTTTCTCCAACTCCACTTCTAAATTCCAAATTTTCCATTTCACTCTTTTCTTCTCAGTCCATTCTTCAATGGGATTGTCATTAGGGAAGTCCATCCAAGGCGGGTTGTGAAAGTTTACAGTTTATTGCAGGTGACCTGGGGCTCTGCTGGAGCAAGGAGGTAGGCTGTACAGTTTGTATTTATTTTGTCTACTCTGAACTAGATTTCCCCAGTTCCCTGTTTTGGTCGAGAGCTGCAATAAAAAAGTATAATGACTTTATTGTGTTCTCCAGTTGCCACATACACACTTACAGTTAAACCAAGCACCATGAGTCAAATGCCGACTTGTGTGTCATTCTTGTTTGCAGCCTCTTCCTGTCTCTAAGCTGGCAGATTTAATAGTTCCCTTTGGAAACAATGTTAAATCCAATGATTTTATTTCTATCATTTGACTAAATGAATAACCCAGGAACTAGCAGTTTTAAGAGATGTTTCAAACATGATTTTATATATATATACATATATATATATTTTATAAATATATCCAGGTTTTTCATGACTAACTTCCCTTTAAGACACAGTTTGACATTTTTATGTTGTTAATTATATTATTAAGTTGAGTATTTCAAATAATGATGATTATATTTAATAAATTGTGTTATAATGCAGTTATATGAAGGGTGGCTATATCTTAATGTTCAACGTCTGACAATAAACAGGTTGCTCAGGACTTAAAAATAACAAAGGAGACAGACACACTTCCTCCTATAAAAGACTCTGTTGTGACCACTTTGCGAATCTCAACAGTGAGGAGGATAGATGCTTACTGAAAAGGCAAAGTCTAAAATCGTAATAGACATTGTTAGTTGCCCTCAATATCCATTACCCTCCTCCTTTAGCAATTTTTTAAAACTCTGATTTTTTGTTAAGAGTGTATGACAGAAAAAAGTTTCCACTTAACAGTCTTTCTAGTAGATAGGAGTAATCATTAGACTGAATGTGGCAAACAGGATTAGTCAGGTATTGCCAAAATAGTGTTGTGTAACAAGCCCCTCTAAAATTCCATGGTTACAAGTATAAGCATACATTTGTTTTTTTTTTCCGAGACAGAGTCTCTCTCTGTCACCCAGGCTGGAGTGCAGTGGCGCGATCTCGGCTCACTGCAGCCTCCGCCTCCCGGGTTCACGCCATTCTCCTGCCTCAGCCTCCTGAGTAGCTGGGACTATAGGCGCCTGCCAGCACGCCCGGCTAATTTTTTGTATTTTTAGTAGAGACGGGGTTTCACCGTGTTAGCCAGGATGGTCTCAATCTCCTGACCTCGTGATCCGCCCACCTTGGCCTCCCAAAGTGCTGGGATTATAGGCGTGAGCCACCACGCCTGGCCTAAGCATACATTTCTTACTCACATATCTGTGAAGTCTCCCGGAGTTCAGCTAATATAGAACTGATTTAGAACTTCTGGGCTTGGCTCTAAGTATGGATAGGGTCCAGATCAGCTTCCTCTGTCTCTTATCCTGAACCAGCAGTTCTCTAAAGGCATATTCTTCTCATGACAAAAGACAGAGAACAAACCCAATTACACAGGCACTGTTCAAGCTTCTGTTCATATTACATTCACTAATATTTCATTAGCCAAAGCAAGTCATATGGTCAAATCTAAAGTCAAGGAGCAGAGAAATATTTTCTGTCTGCTATGAAGCCAAAGCAAGTTACATGGTGTATTAGTCCATTTTAGCACTGCAATAAAGAACTGCCCAAGACTGGGTAATTTATAAAGAAAAGAGGTTTAATTGACTCACAATTCTGCATAGCTGGGGAGGCCTCAAGAAGCTTATAATCATGGCAGAAGGCACCTCTTCACAAGGTGGCAGGAGAGAGAAGAAGCATGCTGGAGCAGGGAAAACTGCCTTATAAAACCACCAGATCTTGTGAGAACTCACTCACTATCATGAGAACAGCATGGGGGAAACGACCCCATGATCCAATCACCTTCCACTGTGTCCCTCCCTTGACACATGGAGACTAAGGAGATTACAATTCAAGATGAGATTTAGGAGGGGACACAGCCAAACCATATCACATGGCCAAGTGCAACATCAATAGAAAAGGAAATAAACTCCTCCCATGAAGAGAGATGGGTAATGAATATTTGCTGCAAAACAATCTAGCCTACCACAAAACCTAAGTAAAAGTCTTACGTGTCAGCCTTCTTTAAAAGCTTTCTGGCTCATGCTCTTTGCCCCAGTGATGACTACAGTTCTAGTTGTCATCTTTGCTCATGAGATAAAGGCTCAATGCCATACCTAGAGATGGCAGAACAACAAAGTAGAAAATGGGTTCCTGAGATCTTTAAACAGAGCCACTACTAGCCCTGTTTTCAAATCCTCTGAACTTTAAATGATAGCCTGATATTGACCATGTTGGAAGTATGTACACTACATAAATCCTGAACACTCCAAGTCAGGGCATTCCAACTCTCCTGCAGAAAGTCATTTTTTAAATGTTCACCAGAACATTCTGAGAGGCTCTGTTAATGGCATAAGTGTTCTGAGGATAATTATTGACAGTAAAATTAGTGGCAATCGGCTTATAGACAAGATGACTATACTATATTATATATATAGTATATATATAAAATAATTACATTGGGACAGCATATATACATATATATATTGTACAGCAAATATATAAATATATAAAAAGTGGGTGCTGTTAATAATTAGACTGGAGCAAAAATATAAATATATTTGCTGTTTTGGGGGATGAATGAAGTGGAATGGAGAAATATTTCCCCTCACATATGAGACTCTAGTGGCCCTTGGAAGAGTTATATAAATATATCCTAGCACTGTTAACATGTTGGGTTGGATATTTCTTTGTTGCAGGGGACTGTCCTATGCGCTGTAAGATGGGTTAACAGCATCCCTGACCTCTACACACTAGGTGCTGGTAGCCTCCCATCTCCCAGTTATGACAACCAAAAATATCTCCCAACACTGTCAAGTGACCCATAGGGAGCAAAATTGCTTCCTTCTGTAAACCAATGTTGTACAGTGTAAGGGTAAAAACAAATCTCAAAACAAAAACCACAACAAACATGGTTTTTTAGGTGCCAAGAAAGAAAGATATCCCTTCTTTTCTCTTACATCATTTTCTTTAAAAAACAAGTAATTGTAAATTATTTCTGTCTTTTTTATTTGGATGTAAATCTTCCAAAAAGCTAAAAGCGTCCTAACGGTTTTATTACTCAGGAGTGTTTTACCTGAAGAAACTTGGAGCCCTGTCTTTGAACTGTACACATAAGGAAGATAGTACCCCTATATTTCTGTCTATAGGAGTTTAACTAGGTTCCTGGCTCTCAGTTGTAATTACCACCATAGCATAGCATAGCACCGCACCGCACCGCACCTCATCGCATCGCATCGCATAGCAGAATAAGACCTTTTGGATAAAGACAATCAGCCAACACAGATGTCCACGCAGTACCAAGTGAACTTAGGATAAACTACGTAGAGCGAATGGTTCTGTCAAGTCTTCTTACTGGTGGACAAGTTATCCTTTATCTTGAGAACATACAGGCAATGGGTTGCATGTGCCTTTTTTTTTTTTTTTTTTGAGACGGAGCCTCACTCTGTCACCCAGGCTGGAGTACAGTGGCCTGATCTCAGCTCACTGCAAGCTCCACCTCCCGGGTTCACGCCATTCTCCTGCCTCAGCCTCCCGAGTGGCAGGGACTACAGGAGCCCGCCACCACGCCGGGCTAATGTTTTTGTATTTTTATTAGAGAAAGGGTTTCACCGTGTTAGCCAAGATGGTCTCGATCACCTGACCTCGTGATCTACCCACCTGGGCTTCCCAAAGTGCTGGGATTACGGGCGTGAGCCACCACGCCCAGCCGCATCTGCCTATTTTTATAAAATGGTGAGACTTCTTTCTGTTCTTAAAATTGCTTTAGCAAATTGCCTGTGATGTGCATTGCAATCTGGTTTAATGTTTATCTAATAATGAAATTGCTTAATTATTTTCTACCTTTGTGGAGAGAATTCAGCGGACTGGCAGAAAATTTTATTTTTATTTTCCCCAGTGAGAACATCAGGAATGAGAAGGAATTGGGAAAGTGGAAGCAAAATAGGACATAGGGGTGACTACAACTGTGTCACCATCAGAGATAATAAACACAGGGAGCACTGAGTCTTAAGTGTAACTTTTTCAAGGGCCACTCTCATCTCATATATGGGGGGAAATGTTTCTCCCTCACATCACGTCTGCTCCTAAGTGAAGATGTGCTGAGGATTGCTTCCCAGTATTGTCCGTCTTCTCACCATTGTTCTGGGCTCCTCTAGTTGCCACCCTCTCCCCATCCCACTTCATTCATCCCCTAAAACAGCCACTTAATCAAGACTATTATGTATTGTAGATTTTCTGGAGAAAATGGGATAGGTGATACTGAGGAAGAATGCAACATTATAGCACAGCATACTCACCAGTAGAAAACTAAATACCATACAGTGTAATCATTATTCTAAAGTTTCTCCCTTGCCACAGGGACTTTTCCACTAGGCAACTTTTTCTCTCTTCATCACTGGATTTACCACTTTGGACTTCCTATCTCTAGACCAATGGCCATAAAAGCTGCCTGATACATCATTTTTGTGTGACCATTTTTACTTCCCACAGTGTCTAAAAATACCATTTATCTAGTCAGGTACTATGCTTAGTCCCTATTGTGAAAAAATGAAGCAGTTAGCAATATAAGCAAAGTGAATGGGGTGCAATTAAGAAACACCAGATATTAAATTTAGGATCCTGAGATAAAATTGATGTTGAGAAGAGAGGAGTGTCATAGCAAGTGGAGAAAATAGGAAGGAAACAGAAGAGAATAATATATAGAGAAGACCAAATTCATAAAGAGTTGATAGTTACTCAGAAGAAAAGCAGATACATGGACAATAATTAAATCACCTCTGTGGCAAAACCCAAGATTGAAGATTCATAATGTCTTGTGACTGAGGCCCCAGTGCTTCATGAACCCTCTTGATTCTAAAAATATATTTAATTATTTGAGAAGGCTTGTTATATGTCTGCTCATAGATTTGATCTTACAACACTTAATTATTTATCACTCGCTTAGCCAAGCACCAAAATAAACACTGAGGAGAAACTGATGAATAATTTAGACAAGTCTCTGCCTTCATGGGGATTATATTTTAGTGGAATGCTCTCAAGAGATTCCATAGCTCCCTCTTGTCACATATATTCTTAAAGTGAATGCCATAGTATTTTAATATAGCTTAAGTTTTTTTATAACCAATAAACATAAATGAAACATTATACAAATATAAAGAAGTAGAAGAAAATAAATCTCCTTCCCGGAATAGTCTTAAACCTCTATAACTTGCCAATGTTGGACAACTTCCAGGCTTTTATTTATAGGTTGAAGCTTACGATATGATCATTTTTTGTAAGTCAAAATGATTGATTATTGGCAGTTTTATATGGTTAGACTTTACATATTTTCCTTTATATCCACAGATTACTATAAGAAGAAAATTTTTCTTTAAAACTTCTGTTGGAATGAAAATTGATTTTTGTTAGAATTACATACTTACGGCTAAATAATCAAAACACCTAAACGAATGTAAAAATCACCTGAAACAAACTCTTTGGAAAAGAAAGACTATGAAATCAGAAATTCCTAATATTAGGGAGTAAAATGATATGAATGAAAACTGACACTATAATATATAAGTATGTTCAAATAGCATTTTACAAATATTAACCTGATCTTAGAGGAAAAGATTAGCACCAACAAAATTACAAGGAGAGTAAACAATAAGTGGTGTCAGTATAACACTTCCAACTGGTTTCTACAGAATACTGAAAATATACATCTGGTTCTTTGAATACATGGTTTGCTCATACTTAGAGGAAAGTAAACTGGCATTAGAGATTTCTACTACTCCCATATTTAATGACATCACCTTAAAATAGTGGATCTGCACATCTAAATCTTAGCATTGAAATAGGAAGCACTATTTTCTACCATGGGTAGTAGAGAAAACATAAAAGAAAGTTGGAGTCAAAACAGGAACAACAATAACAACAACAAAAAAGTAAATCTAAACATGTGTTTCTGGGTCCTGGAGAATTTTCACAGGTTCTCTGGTCAGTTCAGGGAAGTTCCAGTTACTATACCCATTTTATGATGTAGTAGTTGCTGGTGTTTACCCATACCACAGTTTCCTGTGGCATGGGAAAAGCAGAGGCTAATTTTCCTAGTAAAAGAAAGAATTCTACACAAGTTACCCAGAGTTGAGGGTCTATTATTTAGTTTGCTACTTCTGCTGTTGTCATCATACCAGCAAGTTGGGCTTGAGCAGGAAATGATTATGACAATTATTTGTAATCACCAGAAAAGAGAAAATGATATGCTTCTGTAACACCTAGCTTACCTAACACACAAATCAAAGGAAATACACAAAAGACTTTAAAAGTGACAATACTTAAAAGCATAAGAATTAAAGAATATTATCATTTCATAATAAGATGAAAAATGGCCTTGGGAAAATAACAAATATATTAAAATACAGAGAATTTTCTAAAACAAACTCATTTTACTATGAGATCAATATAGGCATAATAGGAGTTCCAAAAAGAGAGGAGAGAGTGAGAAATTTATGCAAACAGAAGTACCCAAAACAATCTTGAAACAGCACAAATTTGGATGACTTACTTCCTGATTTCAAAATTTAACTACAAAGCTACAGTAATCAAGATGGTGTGGTACTGACATAAGGTAGAAATGCTAATCAGTGGAGTAGAATTCCAAGTCCAGAAATAAATCCTTACATTGATAATTAATTAATATTTGACAACGGTACCAAGAGAATTCCATAGGGAAAGAAGTCTTTTTAAAAAATGTTGTTGAGACAACTGCATAGCAGTATGCAAGATAATGAAGCTGGACCTCTGCCTTAAACAATATACAAAAAGTATCTCAAATTGAATCACAGACAGAAATGTAAGACCTAAAACTATTAAAGTTCTAGAAGAAAACTTAGAAATAAATCTCTGTGACTTTGGGTTAGGCAATGGCATCTTAGACATGATACCCAAAGCCCAAGGGAAAAGAGAAACTAGCGAAATTGTACTTCATCAAAACTAGAAAATTTTGAGCTTTGAAGAATACCATTGAGAAAATGAAGACAACCTACAGCATGAGAGAGAGCACTGGCAAATCCTCTGTCTGATGAGGACTTTTATCCAGAATATGGAAAGAACTCTTACAACTCAACGATGGAAAGATAAATGGACATTTCTCTAAAGCAGATAAGCAAATGTCCAATAGGCACATGAAAAGATGTTCAACATCACTGGTCATTAGAGAAATGCAAATCAGTCTGGGTGTGGTGGCTCATGCCTGTAATCTCAGCACTTTGGGAGGCTGAGGCGTAAGGGATCATTTGAGGTCAAGAGTTCGAGACCAGCCTGGCCAACATGGTGAAACCCCATCTCTACTAAAAATACAAAAAAAAAAAAAAAAAAATGAGCCTGGCATGGTGGCACACACCTGTAATCCCAGCTACTCAGGAAGCTGAGGCATGAGAATCTTTTGAATCCGGGAGGTGGAGGTTGCAGTGAGTTGCGATTGCTCCACTGCACTCCAGCCTGCGCGACAGAGTGAGACCTTATATCCAAAAAAAAAAAAAAAGCAAATCAAAACTACAGATGGTACCACTTCATGCCAACAACCCAAATGTCCATCAGCAGAAAATGGATAAACAAAGTGTATTGTATCAATGCAATAAAATAGTAAGTGACAATAAAAATTAATGAAGTACTATCCATTTTACCGCATGAATTAAACTTGAATACATACTATTGAAAGAAGCCAGTCATAAAAGACTACATATTATATGACTCCATTTATATAAAATGTCCAGAAAAGAAAAATTCATAGAAATAGCAACTAGATTAGTGGTTGCCAAAGGAAGGGAGAGGGAGAAAATGATGAGTGGCTGCTAATGGGCACAGGGACTTTTGGAGTGATGAAAATAGCCTAAAATCAGAGAGGAGTATGAATTGCAAAACTCTGTGACTATATATTAAACACTTTAAAAGTGTGAATTTTACAGTATATTACTTATGTCTCAATAAAGCTGTTACAAAAAATAGATCTTCACCTGGTTGCTGGAATAAGAGTACAATGAGAATAATGGAAATGACTTTTTAAAATCAGGCACTTCAAAGCTTTCTGTGGTCACCTGAAATTGATACAGTGAAAATATCAGTTTATTGTATTGACCACCATAAACCCTTCATCACCCACCTAAGTGATTAGGAAGTCATTTCTTTGCTACTCATCACTGTAATCCTGGAATAGTGTGTATTCAGGGTAGTAAACACCTGTTTTATCAAGAACTTATGTGAATATGATAACAAAAACAGTAAATTTTCCAAAGTGAAAAAGGCATAGCAAAGTCAGCCAAATATTTTCGTTGAATTACCTGTGACATCCCTCCCTCTCCCATTCCTATTCCTTTTGATTACATGTCAGGATTAGCAAATTACAGCTACATATAGGTATCTGAAATTATCTGTCTTATTGGAGGACAAGAAACAAAAAAACTTGGGTTTTGGTAAAACGGAGGCAGAAAAAGTGGACATATATTCCTTAAAGGACTCAGGAATTGAAAGAATAATCTAAATGTAGGTGTCTGCTGCCTAAACCCTGAGAAGACAAATACAGTGATCCGAAAAGTGGCAAAGCTTCTGACAGAGACCTCTTATGATAATAGAATTAGGTTCAAACAAGAAACAAATCTTTTCACCATCATGTTCTAATAAGTCAAAAAAGAAAGCTCTAATAAGAATCAAATTGTCCTTTAAGAAAAATGATTAAAGTTAGGGTAGGGGATAATCTGTCACCATTTTAATCAAGATACACAATAGAAAAAAAGGAAAATGTGTACAAAAGGTGATAGAAAAAAAAAATCAGTGAAAGATGCTTGGTTAACTCTAGGGGAAAAGAGAAGTGAGACCAGCTAATTGGAGAAGAGGACTGCAAATTGGTTAGCATTGAGTGTGGGAAGGCTGTCAGCAGACTTTAACAAAGACCAAGAACAAATAAAGTCCAAGATCAGAGTGGACCTCTATTGCCTATTTCTTTTCTATCTCTTGAATTGCCACCAAACTCTTAGCTCTACACTTTGTACGAGTGTACAACAAAGGTGTCTATAGAGACCGCCCAAGCTGCTGTTTAATATATTCTCTTTTTTTAATTTTAGGGGGAGGAGGATCTTATTTTCATTTACCTTTAACAATATTCACTATATCTGTAGGGAGAGAGAGAGATTTTGATTTTTTTTGCACATACACATGGTACTTAACTTACTTTAAAATAAATTGAAATAACTTCACCGATTCCCAAATAAAAATAGTATCTTTGATGGTAGATGTATTTTAAACTATAGATTCTGATGAAACTAAATATTGATGAAGTTAATAATATACAAAAAACCCTCAAAAACCTACTTTCACAATCTGATGTTTGTAGTTGTTTCATTTTGTACTTCATAAATTCAACTTTATAATATTTTTGCATTTTGATTCCAAATGATTCAATATTTTAGCAGTTTAGTGCTTCTCTTCAAAGCTTTACTATGGATTTGATCATCTTTGTTCCCAATAAATCAAACACCAAATAGGCCCAATTATTTTCTCATTTAACAATGTTTTTATTAGGTATAGAAGTATCTTAATATGCTATATAAACATTTAAATTAGATAATGGAATTTCTAAAGCTGTTATACAGCATCTTGAGACAAATTTGCAGGTTTATCACCACAATCATCCTCCTTATTAACTTGTAGTTTAACGCAGTGTTCCCTATGTTTCCTATTCAACAGTGGTCCATATTAAACAACCTAAGCCTAAGTCTTAAAATAATTACAAACTGTATAATGGTCAAAAGTACCACTGTGGTTTACAGCATTCTGCTAAGTGCTTTATCAGCTGAGTTACTGCGTCACCAGCAGGCTCTCTGGACTATATTAACCATCCTAAACTTCCACTCAATGTGCACATAGGAACTCTCAAAACTGCTCTGTTAAAAGAAGGGAGATTAAATAAATAATATTTTAGTGGATATTTAAATAGCACCTAATTGTGTCTTTAGTGACTTTAATGGCCCAAAATACTTCCATGGGCTACCCGAAGGTCTAAAGAACACACTAAGGAGACACTGACACACAGCAGCACCAATGGCACTGTCCTTGAAGGCAGGGATGCAAATGAGATCACTCACGTAAAGTGCCTTCAGTGTGTCTAGCAAATAATAAGCTTCCATTGTCTATGATGACAGTGATGACAACAACTATGATGATAAAATAACACTTCATATTTTTATCATACCAATAATCATTATAATGTTTTCTAATTGTTAGGTTTCGATTCAATTGTTGAAAAGAGGAAGCCTAGAGACTGTGCCTGGATTAGATGGGAAAATGGACTGAAGCAAGGTCCACACCAGTGCTGCTCTGATTTTGCTTCTTTGCCTCCAGGGAAGGCACTGGACATCATTCATATCACCCCCCATCTCCAGAGACCAGAGAGGCCTTTACAGTCCCTGCTACCTGGTATCCAAGCACCCAAGACTAATCAGAATTGCCATGCCTGCCAAAAACTATTGCTATTCTAGACCTCTTATCTCAAGGATTAGGGAATTTAGACGGCGGGTTTTCCAAGCTAGCATCTAAGAAAAGGGTATGAACTTTAGAACTAGAAAATTTAGACTTATGTGACAGATCTACTGACACTTTTTTTAAATAGATACCTACCTACATACATAAGGAATAAAAAAGTCCAAAGAAATTATTTACTAAAGTGTAGTTGATGGGGAATAAGTAAGTAGTAGATATATAGATTGTATATCCATAACCCTGTATCTAAAATTCTGAGATCCAGCATATTTAGAAAAATATTAATATAACTTCATATTGGATATAAATATTATATGGATATCCATGCTATGCATTATTTACTACCCCCAGTGTGGTCTGGGGTCGCTGTCTATAATCAAAAATATTAATATTTCCGTAGCAAAATGCATGACGATACCTGCCAAGTGGGCTAAATAAAGACCATAATTAGCATCTTATGAGTTCCGGTCAGCTCAGTAATGATTTATAAAGGATGATAAACCTGTATTTAGGATGCAATACTAGGAACAAGAATTTTCATGGAAAACGTAAAAGAATATAATTGTAATATCTTGTCATCCTTTTTATCACCATCCTCACAAACACTTCTATGGTGAATTTGAGAGTAGTTAGTGCCAGACTGACCACCATTTCACCTGGAAAAGCTATTTTCCTGAATATCCACTACTAAACAGTCCTAGCTTTTAACACTTTTGATAAATGTTTCTGATTTACATTGAACTGCATGCGTTGCATTAGCCTGCCTTTAAAACAAATTACATGGAGTATAATAAAATTACTAAAAGTGTTCAGGATTATCCAAGTTCAATATTATGCTGACTAGCTCTTGACGTTCAACCCCTTTAGGAAACCTATTGAGAGAAAGAGAGAGAAACCTAAAATCCCATGGTTGAGAAACTCTCATTCTTTCAAATTTTCCCATTATCATTTATGATTTAGAATTCACATAATGGACACCTTCTTCTGTTGTGATTAAGTAGCTTCTACTGTATCAGACTGTTTCACAGGTAAAAATTATAAATACTGAACCAAAAAAACATAA
The DNA here is from genome assembly GCF_000001405.40 of Homo sapiens. NCBI lineage: Eukaryota > Metazoa > Chordata > Mammalia > Primates > Hominidae > Homo > Homo sapiens. The sequence goes on along the minus strand of NC_000004.12, from coordinate 163,356,324 downwards.
TGACCTGGAGGTAACTTGAAGGAGCTCCTACTGGCCAAAGATGGAACTATTTGAGCTTCAATAATGATAATAAAGGCAATGAATCAAAGCCAATCAAATGTGTTTACATCCATGAGTTGATCACTTTCTAACAATTCGTAAATAAAGAGATAGTATCAAACTTTCATTGTCTTTCCTAAATGAACTGTACCATTGCATAACCAAATTATAGATACAAGAAAGTATCTTTTCATTAATGTATTTAATCTAATAAATGTGAAATAAATAATAGAATTAAAACTTCACCATTTTTGCAACCCCCAGTGAACTAACATATATATTGGCATTAAGCATCCATGGTGGTGAATATCACAAATGAAGTTAGAGGAACACAGTCTGTTTTCATAACTACAGCTATCTTTTTAGTGTAAGACAGATTATGTCTTCTCGCTGATCAATATCCACAATAACTCCTCATTTCACCAAAAGTGAAATTCAACATCCTTACAAATACCTACAAGGACCTGTGTCATCTGTCCCTAAACCGGCTCCTTGCTTCATTTCTGTCTGTTGCACTTCTGCTACAGTGAAACCTTCCTGTTCCTTTGACATTCAGTGTGCTCCTGGCTTCAAAGCCTTTGCACTGGCTGTACCTTCTGCCTGCAGTCCTCTTTTCCCCAGTAGTCACACAGCTCACTTCCTCACCTCTTCCTAGTCTTTGCACAAAAGTCATCTTCTCAATGAAAGTATGGAACCATCCCATTTGAAGTTGCATCCATCTCTTTTTTTCCCTCATGCCACATGCGCGTGACTTCTGACCCTGCTCTGTATTGTATTAAGATTCTAATCATTACTACTAATATACTGTTATTGGGTTGAATTGTCCTCCTGCCTAAAAAAATACTGAAATATTAGTCTCCAATACCTCAGAATGTGACCTCATTTGAAAATAAAGACATGGCAGATGTGGTTAGTTCAACTAAGATGATGTTCTGCTAGAGTGTGGATGGGTTTGGGGGGTGATCCAATATGACTGGTGTTTTTATAAGAAGAGAGAGACTGGAGCACAGAGACACAGGGAGAACATCATATGACAAGGCAGAGGTTGGAGTTATGCAGCTGCAAGGAATACCAAAGATTGCCAGCTAGCCCCAGAAGCCAGAAAGGGGCAAGGAAGGGCTCTCCTTCAGGTTTCGGATGGAGCATGGTCCTGCAGACACACTGATTTCAGGCTTCTAGCCTCTAGAACTGTGAGACAATAAACGTCTGTTGTTTTAAGCCACCCAGCTTGTGGTGCTTTGTTTTGGCAGCCTTTGGAAACAATACATGTATCTATATAGTGTACCACTACTATATACTTCATTTTATTGTTCTTATTTCTATTGCTTGTTCACCTCCTGCCACTGACTCCCCACTTTCCAGAAAGCCAGCATCAAATGAGTAGGGATCTTTTTGGTCTGTTACCTAAAAGAGTCCCTAGTACACACTAGATATTCAATAGACATCTGTTGGTTAAAATAATCCTCATATATATTTCTTCATCATTTAATTGAATTGCTCTTTGTGCTTTTGCCAGCTTTTTTAAAAAAAAAATCTGGTGTTTTATTTTTCACAGTAATGGGCAACATAGCTGGAAGGAATAATTTTTTTTTTTTTTTTGGGACAGGGTCTTGTTTTGTTCCCCAGGTTGGAGTACGGTGGCATGATTATGGCTCACTGCAGCCTCCAACTCCTGGGCTCAAGCAATCTTTCCAACTAAGCCTCCTGAGCAGCTAGGACTACAGGCATGCACCACCACACCCAACTAACTTTTAAAATGTTTGTAGAGACAAGGTCTCCCTATGTTGCCCAGGCTAGTCTTGAACTCCTGGGCTCAAGCAATTCTCCCAACTTGGCCTCCTAAAATGCTGGGATTATAGGCGTGAGCCACCATGTCTGGTCAGGAATAATTTAAATAACCAGTAACACCCAATGTAACATCTCTTCCTGAATTAAATATTTCTAAATAATTGCAAAAAAGTAATGAGGTTGACTGTTTATAATTTCATCTCATTTCCCCTAGCCATGCTTTTGTGAAGATGCTAACAAGTAATCAAGTCAGACACCAGGAGAGAATAGGAAAAAGATAATCAGCCTTTGAGCAATGGAGAGTTGAATGAACATAAATTGTTTAACTCACTAAGCAAGTGTCTATAAAATAAATCATTATTCATAATAATCTTCTAAAACCATTAATCCCAATCTCAATGACTTCTGTCCACCAGCCCATCCAAAGTTCTCAACTTTCAATTATTAAGAACATTCGGTTATTTCTGTTTAGGAAAGATAAATTTCTTGCTTCGAGTTCAATAGTTTAAGAGCCTCAAATTAGTTTATCCAGCTGAAGTAAACTCATCTATCAACAGCCATAAAACCTGTGAAGTTTGGCAGTTATTGTATATTTGCTAATGCAAGTTTTTCTAACAGGATAAAACACCTCCCTATGCATTTATATGAGCCCTTATCGGTGAGATTTTTCTCCCTTCAGCCACTAACATCGAACCTTGAAATTAATTGTGCTAGTGAAAGTGCAAATGCCAATTGCTTTTAAATGAGAGGTCAGTCCTCAGATTACTCCCCTTTCCCTTCTTCTTTTGTCCATGGTGAGAATGAGAGAAGAAAAAAAAAGTTTTAATCACAAAAATCTTCCCTTCCAAAAGCAAGCCTTGATTAACATAGTTCTACTATGTCATAGTGCAGAGAAAAGGGATGATATTCGTGAGGGACATTCTTACTAGGCAGAAAAAAGTAGAATCCCTTAGAATAAAAAGGAAAGAGGAAAACAGAAAAGCAAAAGTGAACCAAGTTTTTTCACCTTTTCCATCTGTTATAATATAAAAACTTGGGACAGGCACTCATATAGCACCAGAAAGATTCGAGGGAAGCTAAAAGCAGAGGGGGCTTGTGACCAGATTTATATTTGAAAGTCTAAAAAAGGACTGAGAGGCAGAGTGCTATTGTACCAACATGGACTGGACACAACAGAGTTGATAGGGCAGCTTATCACATATGAGCAGAGAGAAAGCCTGAGTAAGCCCAAGTTGCCTCAGTTCTTTGTTATCTATGTGAGGAATAGTGTTTCGTAAGTTCCTGTGGAGTTCCAGTGATGAATGTAAAGTTCTCCAATAGTTTCCAGGTTTGGCAAGGGGCAATGTCATTGACTGCATAGCAAGACTCCACAGAGTAGACAGCCTAACCTTTGAACAAAACAGAGGATGTGGCTGACACTCAAGCAACGACAGTTTAAGTCAATGAGAATATCAATCCTACCATGTCAGCAGGGGTTGGGGATTCTGGAGCTGGACTCTGAGGCCTTAACGTTGTTGAGAACAGAGCATACATGGTACAGCAGAGCCTGATGTAACACAGAAACAAGGCAACATTATCGTGCCTCAACTGGAGTTCAGCAGGAACCAGTAGAGGATATTTTGTAGACCAGCACTATTTTCCCTGTGGCAAGAAATCACACCAATTTCCCGTATGTGGATATCATCCAGGGAAGAAGAAGGGCATAAAGAATGCCCCATAGAGATTTTGGATTTTTAATTAATTAAATACTTACCAGCATGGCTTATTACTTGTAAACTTAGAGCTTTTGTGTTTGTTTTGTTTCATTGTTTTCCCGTATTATGAACAGGAATCAATATGGAAAAGGCTTAAATCAGTTATAGGAACTGAAGATGTCAATGTTATTATGAACATCTGAATCGTATATGAAAATATGCTATTTTTTTTCAGATACTTGGTTCTTTAAAAGACTAGGCTAAAACAAAGTTTCAACAATTGAAAAGACTGACCTCAATTTAACAAGACAGCATATGAGACTACAGTATTGAAACAGTATAAAGTATATTAATCATTCTATATGTTGGCCAAAAAAAAATTATCTGTGCACATTTAAAATATTCTTTAAAATTATTTAATAATTGGAAATACAGATACCATTTAGACTTCACATTTTAGAATAGAAAAGATGTATATGAAAACAACTTTTATTGGTAGTGTTTAATGTTGTATAATGAGTCTGGAAAGGATTTAAAATTCTTTATTTGGTAAATTACTTGTGTATTACTAGGACAGTGGAGTTAAATTGACAATTTGACCAATTCTCAATAGGCAATAGCATTTTCCTACAGGACTTCCAAAACTGTACTTAATGTTGAAGATTATAATCATAATTTGGGCATACATCTGTCATTTAGTTGTGATTTTCCAGGCATATTAAATTTTTTCTGTACTTCACAAACTAAACATTAAGAAGCCTATGGAGTAGAAATGAATATAGATAGCTGGTAGATATTCTTCAAGTTTGAAATTAAAAGTTCCTCGAGAAAAATTTTTTCTTATTATATTTTTGGACAAAAGTACTGAGTTGGTTAGATATAACTTTTACTTTCAACAAAAAATACAATTCATTTGTTTATAAGACAACATGGAAGTGGAAGGTAATACAACCTTCTAAAGTGAAATTACAGATTGGATTGACACTGACTGCACAACTAAATAAATTAATCCTACTATAACACATAAAATTATCTTCCATATATTATGAACTGACATTTGAATCCAGAACTCTTTCACATAAATTAAATTCCATGTTAACAAAATTTCTATTTATTATATGTAAATAGTTATCATAAATATATTTTATATGACCCCAGCATTTGTTCTTTCCTTGGTAAACAGTGAGAATTATTACATATGAAGACAGTGTATAAGGGACACTAAATCAGCTTTAATCCCATTATTAAGAAACCCATATAGAATTGGATTAAGACAACAGGACATCATGCCCAACAAATGACAAATGCAATACACCAACTTGAAATGCCTATTTGAAATAAGATTGTCATTAAAATCAGTTACCACATGGAAAAGGTGTAGTGGCATCCAACTAACAGCAAATACTAATATCAGTATGGTCAGTCTGTAGAAAACACTTCGAGATCTCTTTTTTATTCTTGTAACAGAACGTTTTACTCTCAATTCATGAACATCTGAATTTTCTTCAGGTTTTATCTCAAAGCAAGTGGGGACCCCTGGTATGAACTTACTGGATGAAGAGAGCTGACTTCTTACAGAGCCAAAGTTTTCTGGAAGTATTCTGGAGTGGTTCTCTTGAGAAGGTCTTTCTGGAGCAGGTAACACACATGCTGTCTTCTTGCTATATCTTCTTCTGTGTTTTTTGATGAATGAATAACTCCATTTATGGCTGCCAGAGAGTTTCACCTGAGGCCCACTCTTTTTGGATGGATGAAGAGTTAAGTTGATCATCTCATTTTCTTCAAGTCTGTTTTCTTTGTTGGACAATCCACAGCTTATACTTCTGCAGACACTTGTATGACTTACAGTAAGACAAACTAAGGGCAGAATATACTGAACTAGCAATAAAGAGATAGTAAAGGCAATTCTGTATGAATCAGATGGCCATGACTCAACACATAAATACCTGCTGCTCAGCAATGCTGAACCAAATGTTTCTTGAAGTTCCACAAGACTGTGAAACACTGGAAGGGGAGAACAGATGGCAAAACCTAGTGTCCAGACAGTAGCTATCAGAAAGTAGCCATGGTTTGCTGTTAAATTATTAGATATGGGATGTTTTATCATATGATACCTGACAATGGCAATTGATATTAAAATTAAAGTTGAAACCAAAACTGACACACATTGAAGAAAAGGCATAATATGGCACATGACTTTGCCAAACATCCACTGATCCAGCAAGACAGACGTCAGTGTGAAAGGTGAGCAAAACAGCACAACCAAGATATCAGAAAAGGCCAGATTGCCTATGAGGAAGTTTACCGTAGTCTTCTGATTACGCTTTTTCATGAGAGCCATTAAAATAAGTAGATTCCCCATAAAGCCAAGAAGACTTACAAATGTATAGAGCCCAATCAGAAAATACTGTAAGTCATCTACACTGCTTTTATAGTCATCCCAGACTGGGAAATCAGAATTCCGAGTGGCAGCAGTATTATTCTCTGTGGCAAGTGTCTTGTTATAATACTCGTCGAGCTCTAAATCCATATTATAGTCCTGCTTGGAATAAAAAGACATTTGTCAGCAACCAAAAAAACATTACATGACTACTTTAAATTAATCTATTCAGAGGGAAACTAAATATTACAATCAGCTCCCGTGACCTTATTAATCTCCTAAGGAAGTTTATGATATCTTTTTTTTTTTTTTTTTTTTTTGAGACGGAGTCTCGCTCTGTCGCCCAGGCTGGAGTGCAGTGGCGCCATCTCGGCTCACTGCAAGCTCCGCCTCCCGGGTTCACGCCATTCTCCTGCCTCAGCCTCCCGAGTAGCTGGGACTACAGGCGCCCGCCACTGCGCCCAGCTAATTTTTTGTATTTTTAGTAGAGACCGGGTTTCACCGTGGTCTCGATCTCCTGACCTCGTGATCCGCCCGCCTCGGCCTCCCAAAGTGCTGGGATTACAGGCGTGAGCCACCGTGCCCAGCCCAGAAAGTTTATGATACCTTTAACTCGTTCCAAGGGCAATTCAAGTATCAGCCAATAATGATTATAGTAAATTTAATTTTATCATTACTTCTAAGATGTATTAATTTATGTTAAGGTAGTAGATTGCATTTTTAAAATTTCTGTAGTAAATAACGTAAGGAAAGAAAAAGGCAAATGTAGACAAGAACTTCAAGATACATGCTTTGCAATCACTCATTAATATTATTCTCCAAGTCAATATACCTGGTATGTAGTATAGTCACATAATCTTATCATAAAAATTCCATTTATTTCTATCTCAATCTAGGCCAAACTTAAAAGTCACTTGTCCTGGTCAACTCGGCTGGACATGATCTCCTCTTCAGAACTCCTGTTACATTCTGTTTACAGTTGTCTGATGCTACATATCATAATCTGCTTTCATTGCATTATAATGCCTACCCATCTACCTTGTTTATTTACAAGCAATGGAAAAGCAGAAACTATCTCTTACTCACTTTGGAATCCATCCCAATACATGGCAGAGTAACTTCATCACTGCAGGTATTAAATAAATGTTTATGAGAGAATAAAACGTTCAAACAAAACTCTAGTAACAAATATCACCTAGTTCGTACAATGTTCAAATTTATGCTCCTTGAGAATAGGATCACTATCTCATGACCCAGATGCATATAGTAGGCACTCATTAAATATATTTATCAAACTCTACTGTTGACTGTGTGGACGCAATGCTGGATGATGACATCTTTCTGTGACCAATCCTCAATGGTTTGAGATGTGCCAGATTATCTCTGATTAGGACAACCACTGACAGACTAGCAGGCTGTTGGCGTTTTAAAAAAACAAACAATCAAATTTCACCTGTTGATTAATTTAAAAACTGTGTATAGATTTTGGCTTATGAACGAGTCAATGAATTCATTGTTCAAGGAAAACATTATACCTTAAACGTAAATGTAGCAGTGATATTAATATAACTCCCGGTAATAAGTTTTCTTCATTTCAAATTAAATTAATGTCATACATCAATGGCATTACGTATTTACCTCTACATATTAGACTTTTGATGCTACTGCCTGATGAAGCACTAAATTGCCTATAACATACCAATAAGAGGCAAAAGGACTCCCTCCTCTCGTTTAAAAAAAAAAGGACTTTTTTTTTTTTTTACCTTTTTATTTTTCTTAGAAAAAGGGTCTCATTCTGTTGCCCAGGCTGGGGTGCAGTAGTGTGACCACAGCTCATTGTAACCTTGAACGCCTGGACTCAAGCAATCCTCTCATCTCAGCCTCCCAAGCAGCTGGGACTACAGGCACGTGGGACTACAGGCACGTGCCACTACATCTGGCTAATCTTTCTATTTTTTGTGGAGATGGGGCCTGGCTATGTTGCCCAGGCTGGTCTCAAACTCCTGGCCTCAAGTAAACCTCCCACCTTGGCCTCCCAAACTGTTGGGATTATAGGCATGAGAGGCATGAACCACTGTGCCCAGCCACTTTAATGTTCTTTTAACAAGAATTTCCTACAGAAAACACAAACCAACAAAGAAATTAATTCCAATAAATACATTGTCGTAGAGATTGTGATATATATAGTTAAAAAACCACTTTTGTTACCTATCAATATATGTTTATCTACTTATTTCTAGATCTATAATTGAATAATTATACTAAAACTATAAAAATACATGTTTATTTAAATTAATAGTAAACACTGTTATCTTTAATTTATGAGGGACCTGCAGGTCTTCGTTCAATAAATTTCCAAATGGCAAATACTATTGTGTACATACATTCATTACAAATAAGTTTAACTTCAGTTCTATGTGTAGCAAGTTTCAAACAGGATGACAGAGTCATCATTGTGCTATGAGAAAAGTTACAAGTTTTTCACAACTTCTACAAGTGATTCTATGTTGACCAAATTATTTTCTGGAAGCTAACTACATCCTTTTAAAGGATAAGTTAATTCAAAGACTTAGGATTGTATTCATTCATTCTTAGACCCTAGCCAACAATTTACATTGATATTGCCTCAATGACAAAGAACACCTGGTACAAAAGTGACTCGCATGACCTACTGAATCATATTATTCATCATATTCCCAGTCAATGGCCTCTCAGCACCTACTCTGGATAGGTCAGCAAGCTTCTAATCAAAACAGCTTTGACTGGTGCTTTTGCCTAATTTCCTGAGTTCTGATGATCCCCTGGCTCAATTCAGCTTATTCATGATCCTATTTATATTTATAATTGTGTACAGGCTGCTTGTAACTGCAATCCTGCTTAGTTGTTCTTCTCTTGACTTACTTTCTTGAATCAATCCTTTCTTCTAACTTTGTGGCAGGTCAGTTGTTACCGATAGCCTTTCCTTGTAACACCTAAGCAAGAACAAGAGAGAAATTAGATGGCCCCTTCTACAACGGCTTTGTGCCTTTTTGGAACATGTAACTGTGGATGATACTTACTTAGTGTAAAATTGCTGTCCAAAATTTTTTGAAGAAAGAGAAGATGCAGCACAATTTGTGGTAATAGAAACAATGTAGTTTTGAGTCTAAAATTCAGATTTTTCTCCATTCCATGTGGTTAGACCTCTCTATTATATTCGAATGGAGATAAAACTCTTAATTATTTTCATTCTAGAAATGATGTTTAATAAAGCATATTACACATAGTGGATGCTAAGTAAATATTTCTTACCAATCGTTTTAGAAAAGCAGTTTAATTTCCCTTGCTTTAAAATAACAGAAATGAATCATTCTGGCAATGTGGGAAAATTCAGGATAGAGTATGACTATATTTTTGTGTGTACATATATATGTGTGTATATGTATCTTTATATATACATTTATAGAGAACCATTGAAATTATAGATGTTTCAAATGGCCCCAAAATGCAATGAGGAGGAGATACCTAGACAGACAATAAAGATAGTTTAGCACTTTAAATTTGGATAACTTCATTGATAAAGGCTATCACACAAGCAACATGCAACTAAAACTGTAAGATATATTTACAACATTTAAAAAATGTAAATGAAAAAAGAAGTATATCCATTTCCACGACTGTGCAGTCTGTTATTAAAACTTTTATTTTAAATATATGCACATAAAATATTGAATGCATTAAATTGTAAAACCACATCTCCTTAGTAAGAAGATGAAATAAATGCCATCTTGAGTATTCATTGGACACTGGAGAAAAAACTGAGGATGCTTCTTTCATTCCTTAAAACATTTGAGTATTTTAAGAAAGTAGATAATTTATATATAATTTTAAAGGGTAGGCTCCTTCTATTAATGAACAGCTAAGAATGATTAGTTGTTCCTTCTTTTATTCATTCAAAAAGTATTTATTGAACATATATTCTGCTAGGTGCTCTGCTCTGCTCTAAGCATAAAGACGACTAATGCAAGGTGCTATGCCAAGAATATTCTATATAGATTAATTCAAGCTCACACCCTGAGTAACTGTAGATTGCTGAGATATAAAAGGCCCCAAATTGGATGATGAATGAATTAATAAATGAATGGCATTCTCCTGACTGATAGTAATATATTATTTCTCTATAGCATGGACACATGCATTACTGCTGAATATAATGAATACTTTATGTAGCTACTGATAGATTGATAAGCAAATTTAAAAAATTCTCTCTTAGCATTCATTCATTCAACATTCATTTATTCATTTTATTTTGGTGTGACTGTAGTCAACTTTCTCCTGCTCTCCCTCTAGCCCCACCCCACACCATCTACCACATAAACATACACACATGTAATATCTAATATATAGTCTGCACAGAATGAACATTCTGTGAATCTTTGCTCCAATGAAGGAAGAATTTCTTCTTACGACTAAATAATGAATATTGCAAATGCTGGAGGCAGGGAGGGGGGGTGGGGGAGGGGTGGTGGTGGACGTGTAGTTTTTTTAAAAGTGCCTCCTGGTAGCCAGGGGATAGTTTAAACATTAGGAAAATTTTGTACAATAAGATTTAAGTTGAAAATCTAAGGTACAGGAACGCACTTAAAATGAAAAAACAAACAAAAAAGCAGGATTTTTTCCATTAAACTTACCCTTTCCCTTCCTTTTTCCTGAAAAACACAATGAGCAGACCTACAATGGAAATCCAAATTTCAACAAGTGTTATTACGAGTGCTGTACATTTTTATGCAACATATTTTATCTATTATAAAAGTAATGATATATGTGAATCTTCTGAAATTGCTATATAAATTATGAAATATAGCCAGAGAAAAAATATTTTAACATGGAATATTATTTGACAAGAAATCTGATATTGACAGCATGAGACTTTTGTCATACCTAATTACTATATTTACTCATTCTCTTTTGTATTAGTTGTATCTCCCACCATCAGAATTTCCAGGCTGAAACACAGAACTTTAATCTCTGAGTAAAAAGTGTGAAAAATAAAAGTTCTTTATTAAACTATGGCAACTTATAAAAAATAATATCTTTTTAAAGGTTTACTGGAATTTTCTTATAAACTCTTCTATATCTGACACCTAGACAAATGAAACCTTCTGAATAGATTTTAAGTATTTTAAGAAAGTAGATAGTTCTCAAGAATAATAGGAGGAACTGCAGGGAATTCAAAGGATATTAAAAGTCTGACTTGTACATTTAAATAAGGTTTCTTTGTTTGAATAATTTTTTGCTTTATGAAAATACACATCATTCTTTTCACAAAGGATGACAATCACACAAAAGAATAAAATATATGTAATTCTTTTTCCTCCTGCAATGATACAATATCAACTATTGTCTGTTTTGCTGTGATCGTGGAACAGCAGCATGATTCCATGTTCTCAAATATTCCCATGGTTTGTTCTTAAAGCCAGAATCTGGCACAATTTGAATTGGAAAGATAAATACAGCTCTGCTCAGCTGACAAACACACAGGCATGCACCACCCTCCCTTCCAAATTCTAACAGCAGAGTTTCTCTTCCCTTGAGAAATCTGAAATCTAAAATTGCATTCGGACTGCAAAATTCTGCTGAAAGAGCCTTAGGCTATTTTCCATGGTCTAAGGTAAAATCGTTTTGGCTTTGGTCCAACACAACGCCTCAGTTCCTTTAAAAGATTAACTAAAGGTCTGTGAACTTGGAAAAAAGAATTCCCGTTTCTGGAATTCGAGTTCTATGGATGTTTGTTATTGCTCGCATTTGTTATATGAAGACACCTCGCAAACAGGAGCGCAAACCTTAGAGCGCAGCTGCCTCCCGGGCTCGGGTCAGCGCTGGACCGCGCGGCAGCTGGACGGCCTGAGTGGCGCCCCGCGGGCTGCGCCCCCGGCCTCGCCAGAGACCCGCTAGGGTTGAGCCCTGACCCGGGCACCCCGCGGGCTGCTGTTCCCAGCTCCGGATGCCAGCCGGGCTGCAGCCAGAGCGCGTCCAGCCGGGGGCAGCGCTTTGTCCATCCCCCGCCCCATCCCCAGGAGGCTCCTTCGCGGATCCCCGACACTCTCCTCCCGGGTTCGGCCCGCGCCTGCTCCACCCGGGTGAGTTGGGAACCGGAGGGACCTGCTCGGCACGAAAGAATTCAGCCCAGTACCCTCTCCGCTGTCTCTTCACTCCTGACAAGTGCCTGTTCCGCCACCCTAATCCCCATTTTTCCAGCCGCGCTCCCTTCACCTTCCCCACCCCGCTCTCTTGGGACCCCCGACAACGCCCTGGCACCAGAGACGGGTGCGGGCTCCCAGGGACCTGCGCAGACTCGCAGCCCGCGCGGGGACCCGCCACGGCCCCTCGGTGCAGGCCTACCCGGCGCGAAAGGGGTTGGCAGGGAGGGGCGGGAGCCCGTACCTCGGGGCGCCCCGGCCGCTGCAGGCCCTGGGCTCCCGGGAGCGCGGCCCAGCGCGATCGCTCCTGCACCCCGGCGGTGGCGGCAGCAGCGGGAGCAGGACCTGGAGGCGGCGGTGGGGAAGAGGGGGCGGGGGTTTAACGGCGTCTCGAGAACACGTGACTGTTCCGGGGACCCCCGAGACCCTGCTCCAAGGCGCCTGCTCCGCGCCAGCCTCTTCCAAAGCCGGGGGCCGGGGGCGTCCCAGACCTACGCCGCTGTTTGGGCGCTCTAGGGAGAAGCCACAGGGCCCCGGGATGTCGTCCCTTCACCCTGGCCTCGGGTCCCAGGCCGACCAAGTTAACTTGATGGGCAAATCGAGTTTTGCCGGTCCAGCCCTCAACCCTGTGTAGTGAACTCTGAGAAGTCTTGGACTGGTGTGAGGATGGCTGTGCCCCTAAGTTCTTAGTATTCCTGAGAACAAGCTTCGACTCTCAGGTTTTATCTTTGTTTGGGGTGGGGGACGGTGGGGGGTGGTGTGGTGATAGAAAGAAAGAAAGAAAAAAGACAAAACACTGCTCTTCCTTTGCACCTCTTTGAAGTAAGGAAGAGTGGAGGTGGGGAGGCTGACCCAATGTTCAGGAGAGGCAACAGCGTCTGCGGTAATGAGCCCAGCAGAATAGAAGGGAAGTTTCCCCACTCCAAGGAGTGGCAGCTGTGGGTGTGGGCAAGTGGCAGGAGCAGGGGAGTGAAGCTGAAATGAAATCAACGCTGCTCAAGACTATATTCAATAGCAAAGAGAAGACGAAGGGCTAAAAACGAATTGTCACAGGTTAAAAAAAAAAAAAGACGGGAAAAAAGCCCACACAAAAGAAGAAGAGAAAACCTGTCCTTCTGTTCCTTCCCAACATGATTTCCATCCCTAATGTTTCCAAATCTGTATTGCGCAGGTTTGCTTTATTTTTAGCTAATCATTAGGTGGCAGGTACTTTAGGCGCGCGCGCGTGTGTGTGTGTGTGTGTGTGTGTGTGTGTGTGTGTGTCTGTGAGAGAGAGAGAGAGAGAGAAGGAGAGAAGGGAGAAAAGAGACATTGGGTAGATGTCCATGTGTCTTTGGACATAGCTTTACCATGAGAAAGGGTGTAGTTATTGTACCCTTTAATACTGAGAACTATTATGTAACAGACAGCATCTCCTGCTGAGTAGAGTCGTGTGGGATAAACCGAAGAGAACTGTACCCCTTGGGAGCAATGTGACTTGTAATTCTAACATCTGGGGCAGACATCACTGTTACAGAAGAGGTCAAAGAAAATTTTTTGTGTCCCCTTTCTGCTGGATTTCAGCATTCAATACTCAGGGGATCTGTATAGATTGCTATTTCATCAGTCAAAGAGTCATCCAAGAGCTTTTAAAGAACTCAAGTAAACACAGTTCCTGTTTTATTCTTCTGTGTGTTATTTCTGAAATATTAATATATTCTCCCCAAAAGCTTAACAGAATAGGCCGTCTGAGCAGGCACCTGGGATTCTGCAGTAAGGAGTAGGGGATGAAAGTGTCAAGAAGGGATGACCTTGAGAAAATAAGGCTTGTTTTTTAGACTTTCTTAACTCCACTGTCTCTGCGGTTAATGCAGTACACATTGCCACATAAATTTCTATCTTTCCATCTCTTGCACAGTCATAACATGTACACTTCAAATACACATTGTCTTTAAAACAAATTCCAAGTGAACCCCATTGTGACTTTCAAAACACTAGTCTATGCTACAGGCTTTTGCATATTAAAAGTATTAAAAAATCTTATTTTTTATTTTCCACAAATTTGTTTTCTATTTTGATGATATGAACCTTTAGGTTGAAGTCACTGTTATTAGAGTATTGAAAATAAAAGGCTACCTGCCACTGATACAAAGATTCTAATTAACCTGGCTATTTTCCCTTCCCACTGCACCCACAAACAAGCAAGTCTCAAAAACAGGAGTTGGCATTTCTTCTTTAAATACACGTGACAATACACAGTATTAAGAACACTTGGAGTGGACAAGTTATTAAGAGTTTTTTTGAGGAAATTATAAATTTACAAATTTAAGCAATATGCTACATAAAGAGGAAGATATGAAGATAAGTGTGTTTTTACCTTTAAATTTCCCAGGGGGGATTTGAGACTGATCATCATTACTCTTTGTAGAACATAATAATTTTATTTTTATTTTATGGAGTAACATCTTAGCGAAGGGGAATACCAGAACAGAAGTAGTAATGTCCACCTCTGTTTTATGTATTTTTCCTACTCACTATTTATAAAATGCTCATTTGGGAAATTAAGTTGGATTTTATGCATGTTACAAAATTAAACTGGCTATTGCCCTGTTATTACAGTTCATTATCAGTTATGAAAGAAAGCTTATCTGTAAAGGTAAAAGTTAAAGGTGACTTGGGACTCCTAAGACAAATTATTGAACGATAAAACAGTCACCCAACAATTCCTGGGGTAGTATTTTGCTGAGGAACATGGCTGTGGTTCTTGTCAAAGCTACTGCTGCATTTTAATAACAGCTACTATTTGTGGAAAGCAATTACTAAAGTGTTTTGGTATAATCTCAAATGATATTTGACTTTGATATATTAGTTATAGAACAAGTAGAGGTAAATAAACTAGAGAAAACAGTATTATTTTACTTTATGCATTTATTTCTCTGAGAATTTCGTTGTATTCCTTAAGGGTAAATGTTTCTTCATCCACTTTTTCTATCACGGTAAATTTAAATCCTTAATACTTAAAAGATGTGTTATCAAAAATATTTTATGATGCTCTATGCTGCATTGATTTCTTTGGAATAGTAATAATTTGTCACATAAATCAATATTTAGGACTTCAAATGAGGAGCCAACTTCTTATTATGAAATACATGATTTTTTTTTGAACAAAAAAAAAACCCAAAAGCTATTGAAAAGAAGTTTAGCCCAAAGTATTGTGTGCATTGAGTCCATTTCCCAGGCAACTTAACGATAATTGTGAGGTCCTACGGGGGCATCATTAACATTGTATTGACTTCTGATAAACACTGTGCTCCTTAAGCAACACTTTATTTATCCTTTTGATGCCCTAATGATTATACCATAAAACAGTGACTGACTTTCAGAGAGAATGTATAATTATTTTTACTAGCAAATACTCATGTTAAAAATACATACACACATAGATATGATACAGATGTATTTTATATGTTCATGTATTACATACATATTTTTATAATAGACACTTATCAGAACACCTGAGTTGTAGCCAGGCTTGATCTCAAATTAATGGTGTGGCTTTAGATAGGCACTTGATTTTTCAGTCTTCGTTTTCTTTATAAAATGAAATATTTTGAATCGAAGATCTGGAGTCCCCTTTGAGACCTGACTACTTATGACTTTATGCCATTAATTAGCATGCATTACAAACATATGTGTAGAAAAATCATATTTTTAGATCTTCAGAAAAATTTGATAGCCATAGGCATTGTTTATTTTCCCTCTATATTAAAATTTACAAAGAAAATACTGATGCTAAAGTTTTCCATTATTATTGGCACATTCTCTTCTCTGCAGCTAGTATTAACTATATTTCATGTATTCATTTCAAAAAGTTATGGCTGTCTTACATATCAGTACTTCATTCTTTAATTACATTGTTTTTCAGTTTTGCAGCACAAATATATATATATATATATGTACAAGAAGAGAGCATGGATTCCTTTGAAAATATAACATTTTATTATGTCAATCCATATATAGGCCATACAATTATTTCCTTTTGTAGTTTAAAACTCCTCTGAGAAAAGATAAGTATCCTGTAATATTTTTAAAAATGTTTCCATTTCCTATCTATTTTTTGTAGTTAATATTTTAAATCTAATTATAAGTCTAAATATAGCTTTACTATATTTAAGTGGAAATGAAAGGGAAACGGTTTGTTTATATTTGGTATATTGGTTTGTTTTAATCTTTAAAAAGAATGTTTACAGAACTGTTCAAAGCATAAGCTCAGGACCAAAAGTTGAATGATATGCCTTTTAAAATGTATGTTACCACATTCTTAGTCTTATTCTCACACGTAATACAGCTATTAAAATATGTTATTGAACAGGTAGAAAAAAATATGAGACCGTTCCTCAAGTAGACATTATAAGCATTTTCAAAGGAAGTAGGGTCCATATTCAAGTTTATACCTAATAGAGGAGGCAGAGCTAACACATAAGAATATCCAAAAATATGAGGCAGATCATCAGAAGGAGTGTATTAGTAAGCAGACTATGCATAAAATGTATATGCATAAAGTAGCAATCATCCATCATAGCTGCAAATGCTGAAGACACTTTTTTAATGTTTGAGATGAACAAATGGGCTTGATTTGTGATATTCAAAAATTTTTGTAGTCCTACCCTATTCCTAGTTTTTCAATCTTTCAACAAAACTTCTTCAGTATCTTATAATGTGTTAGATGCCCTTCCAGGCTCCTAAGTTTAAGAGATGAAAAAAAAACAGTCACTGTCAGTAAGAAATCAGAGTATAGTTGTAGATATGTGCAGCTACATAATTAATGGCAATACAATGTGATAAGTTCTGCAATTGAAATAAACTCTAGGTTTATTTCTTATTTATATTCCTGGGTAATTCATTCTTAAAAATAAACTGGGGATGTAACAGAGGGCTTTATACCTGAGAAGACACTTGAACTGAAATGTAAAGGGTTGGTAAGAGTTAAACAGGCAGATGGAGGGGATGGAGAATCGAGAAGTGTTGTAATAGCATGAAGGTGAGAGAGTATGAGGCATTCAGAATCATGTAAATGGTTTCGTATGACTGCAGTGTATAGGGTAGAGGATGATACTGAAAATGTTGATTAAAAAGGATGTCTTTGGCCCTTCACTTGAGACACCTGGATGGAAAGCAGCTAAAAGATTTAAACTGGGAAGCTGTATGACTGGATGGCTGTGAAAGAAACTGATGGATTTAGACCATTTAGAAAAGAAATAAGTAGAGCTTGATAGAGGTGAAAGAACACACGTGAGAGATACTTAGGAGATAAAATCAGTGGCAATCTGAGACCAGTTGGATTTGTGAGTGAGAGTGAGAGACGGGAATACATGGGACAATTCTTAGGTTCTGGCTTGAGGGAGAAGAATGATGCTACTGATCAGGTCCATAAGCAGAGAAGCACAATGTCCAAGGAAACCTGAGAGGGATCTGTACTTTTGGTAAAGATTGAGGGTTGGGTACATGCAAGCATGTAGTTGATAGCAGAGGGTGTATTTGTGTGTTAAGAATGAAAAAAGGAGAAGATTAAGATTGGGATCTCTGGTGGATTCTGGTAATTTGGGGGTTGGTCAAGGAAGAAACAAGACCACTAAAAGCACAAGTTTATTTGGGTGGCACTTGCAGGAGGTTGCATGACAGGAGTAGTCCCTCCTAGCAAGAGAACTTCTAGAGACAATGATGTGGGGTACCACCTAGAAGGGGCAGAAGGGGAAAGTAGAGAGGAGACTTACATGTGTGGGTGATGTCACTCAGCAACAAACGGGGGAGCCTCTGGGTCAGAGTCCTCTGAAGGGAGCTGTGGTTTGGTGTCTTTCACAGCTACAAGATTTGTCTTATGTATCGTTAGCAGATGTTGGGTGGAGTTTCATGGGGCATTTAAGAAGGTAGGCTCTAAATGGGCTAAAATTAATTTATTTTTGACTATATTTAGAGCAATTAGATGCGTGAGATTTTGAGGTGGTGCTGGCAGGCTTTGGGCTAAGGGCCTTATCCTGCTGTGAAGAAGCAAACAGTATGGGGACCATTTTAGGCCATCACCCATGGGCCATCTCTCACCCATCTACATAACAGGATCCTAGGGGGAAAAAAAAGCCTAAGAAGTAGATGGAAATAGTAGATCTTGGGAGAGATGACTGAGCAACAGCCAATGAAGAAAAGCCTGAAGTGTGGAGTTGGTGAAGTCAAAGGAAAAAAAGATTCCAGAAACAGTGGATGCTCAGTTGAGTCCATTGCTACATAAAGAACAAATACAAGCAAGTCTGAATTGTGTTCATTGGCTTTGATCATTAGTGTCCTGGGCAGAAACAGTTTCAGGTGGGTCATATTTGAGGAAAAAATGAGGTGACTGTATATGTACCTTATCCTCAAAGAAGCTTGCCAGGAAAGAGAAGCAGCTAGGGAAGATGTGACTCCAGTAAGGGAGTTACTATGAGAAAGAGATGAGCAATTTTGTTTTGGTCTTTATTTTAGTCCTAAGCTAAGAAAAGTGAATTTTTGACTAAACAGGTATTATAGTTATTTTATTGTTGTTTAATAAACCTTCCTCAAACTTAGTGGAATACAACTCATGGATTTTATGCTTATGGACTGCGTGGTGGGACAGCACCTCAGAGGAGCAGAGTGAGATGGCTTGTCTGTCACATGGTGCTTGGGGCCTCGGCTGGGAAACCTCAGCGGGACAGGCTGACTCAAAGCCTGGGGTTGAAACAGCTGGGTTGGAGAACTATTGCCAAAAGGAGGGACTTGAAAGTTAGGGGGTAAATACCCTATGGCGTTTAATTATCCCAAAAAGAAGGAGTCCGTTGAGACTGAGGGTATGAGGTAGGAGGCTGGGAGAGGGGTGGAATTTCAAAATAGCTTCTAAAAGGAGAGAGATTGGTAATCACCCAAGCCAAGGCATTTCTGGGTAATATTTAAGGCTCAGTGAAGGTTTTGAATTTGTAGTTGCAATAATCTGCACAGTTGAGCTTTAACCTACATGCTATGCTAGCGGAGAGTGGCAGCTAAACAATCTCATAAGATCAGGTGGGTCATATTATACCATTGACCATCCTTAGATGTGTGTACTCTTTCTAGATGTATTTGTATCTGGGGAAAGGAAGCAATAGCTAGACCTTAAACAAAGGAATGAAAGGAGGATACTTACCTTAGCAAAATGATGCCTCAGAACATTTCGTGCCATTTTTGCATGCACCTGCTTGTGCTATTATGTAGGTGTACAAAAAAAAAACACTTTCTCCTATTTATTTGTTTATTTATTTAGAGATGCAGTATCACTCTGTTGCCCAGGCTGGAATGCAGTGGTGCAATCTCAGCTCACTGCAACCTCTGCCTCCCAGATTCAAGTGATTCTCCTGCTTCAGCCTCCCGAGTAGCTGGAATTACAGGCACATGCCACCATGCCTGGCTGATTTTTATATTTTTAG
Source organism: Homo sapiens (assembly GCF_000001405.40). NCBI lineage: Eukaryota > Metazoa > Chordata > Mammalia > Primates > Hominidae > Homo > Homo sapiens. The sequence goes on along the minus strand of NC_000004.12, from coordinate 163,336,796 downwards.
TAGAGACAGGGTTTCACCTTGTTGGCCAGGCTGGTCTCGAACTCCTGACCTCAGGTGATCCACCCGCCTTGACCTCCCAAAGTGCTGAGATTACAGGCATGAGCCACTGCACCCAGTCTTTCTCCTTTCTTTAGAAAAAATTATACCTTCATAGCTTTTCTTCATAGGCAAAGTCTGATCTATTGACATTGGCCATCTGAAGTGTTGTGCTGTGAGAAAGTCTAATACCAAGCTTGAGATTTTGGGGAGCGGGAGTCAGGGGCAAGACGACCAAGTAGAGATGTTTGTCACAGATGATGAGAGCTGTTGTGGTGGCATTCATACTTATTCTTTTTGCCAGCTATTTTTATTTTGTCTCTTCAAAAGAATATATGAAGGGAATAGTAATAATAATTATTAAAAACAGTAATAGTAACAGTGGCAAAGCTCCTTTCATTATATCATATAGTAAAAACATAATGTTATGGTTTTGTAATATAACATTACACTTTTTTTTGAATGTCTAAAGGGTATCTGAAAGTATAAGGCATGCAGAAAAAGATTTGGCTATTTACTAAATTTTAAGATCCTACTTGTCTAGAGCCTTATTGTGACAGAGTTTTTAAAAATGCCCCGAAATATGCAGCCCATGTAACAAAATGAGAACTTTACTGAAAGGCATTCACATTTCAAATCAAGATCAAGAGAAAATCCACAAATAGTATTGTGTGTTTTCTGCACAAAGGAGATCATTGAATTGTCTGTGCACTTGTATACTCACATTTTTAACTAAATTAATCATCACTTTTTTTCTGCTAGTTAATGCTCTCCAAAAGTCAGATGAATAAAATGATTGTACTGACTATTTGATTGTGCTGATTAAGTCAAAACTCTTTACCAACTATATTTCATTGGCTTTAAAATGTGGGCTTAAAAAGCATTTTAATATTTTAATATTCATTTGCTATTGATGGTATGCCATTGCTTTACTGAAAGCATTTTTTTCTTGGTGGTCCATAAAATAAAATTGTGCTTTACATTCTTGGGCGTCAAAGATCCAAAGAAATGCAGCAGGTAAGTCACAGAAAGAAGGAAAATCCTGACACAAAATCAATTCATAGAATATGAACTGATTCACTGACGTGCTTCATCATAGTTCTACCCCCATGGAATTACCCCCTTATCAATGTCATATACATTTCAGTTTTCTCGTGTAGTATTAATGCCTATTAAGTTTCTTCTGAGTGACAATTCATGGTAATTTACCTGTATCAAGGCCTGATAGCATTTCAGAAACTTTAACTCTTGTAGCAGAAATTCCTCAGAAGACTAGTAATTAGTGTGTTTCAATTCCAGTAGCAAGCATACTGTCACACTTTTATTTAAGCAGTTACTGAATCATGGAATTTAAAGGCTGAGCCAGGCCATAAGTTTGTTCCATTGTTTAGAATACAAAACTTAGATTTACAGAAATTTAATGAGTAGATCCTATCCCTCAGTTTATATCACAGAGCAAGACTGTTGTTCAAGAGAGCATGAGATTAGGTCATTAACATAATTCCCCTTGGTTTATAGGTCAGGCTGTTATGAAACTACAGAAAGAAATACACAGAAATAAAGAAAAAATTCTCCCTAGCAAAGATGAAGTTTTATCTAGTTTGAATCCCAGATAGGAAAGTAGGCAGCTGATTATTCACTGAAGAGTAGAAAAATATATGATCTTAAAATTGGAATGAGGAAACTCTTTAATAAGTATTTTCTAAGAAATTCAAACTACTTTGCATATTTTAAATCTTCTATAAGATTACATTATTGGAGAATTTTATGTTGTGTTTGGCCATTGGACCATGTCTAATTTCTCTATTTTTCACATTGGAAAGAATCCTAGTAAATGGTATTCCTAAAGAATTATATAATTTTGCTGTTGAGCATTTCTTTTTTTTTTTTTTTTTTTTTCCAAAACAGAGTCTTGCTCTGTTGCCCAGGCTGGAGTGCAGTCGTGCGATCTCGGCTCACTGCAACCTCTGCCTCTTGGGTTCAAGCAGTTCTCCTGCCTCAGCCTCCTGAGTAGCTGGGATTACAGATGCGCACCACCACACCTGGCTAATTTTTGTATTTTTAGTAGAGACGGGGTTTCACTATGTTGGCCAGCCTGGTCTCGAACTCCTGACCTCATGATCCACCTGCCTAGGCCTCCAAAAGTGCTGGGATTACAGGCGTGAGCCACCGCCCCCAGCCACTGTTGAGTATTTCAGAACTTCTCTTTGTATCATAAAGTTGTCATAGAAAAGAGTCCTTGAGACCAATGATCTTTCAAAGATTGGTATCTGACATTAATAACTCAAGAATGCAGTTTCACAAATTTTCCTTAGGGAGAACACTTCATAAAAATTGAGTTAATAAAATGATAAAATACAATGGCCATAATAGTTCAGAACTCTGGCAGACATGCCTTTATTAGTATTCTTGGGAAATAGAGAAAGCATAGTACCTGAGTCCAAATTATATTCTCAAGTCCAAAATATTTGCTGACATAATAATAGTTTCTACATAAAAATATATTCTTAGTAGAGAATTAAATTACTTCATTTGTAATTCTTATAGCAGGCTAAAGATAGCCAATTTGATGATCAAAACCATGGGGAAAACTTCCTTCTAAGAACAGAATGTGACTTAAGGCAATAGAGTAGACAGAGGATGCATAGAAACCTGAATGAATATTAGTTATTCTTCCCTGAAAGAGTTGAAATTCCTAAATTGTGCCTTGGTAAAAATTATTGTGCCTTGGTTAAAAAAAAAAGTATGTGTGTGTATATGTGTGTGTGTGTATAAATGAATCTGTTGTCATTTTACTCTGCTTAACCATTAGAGATTTTTATATGTATGCTTATATCTGTTGTTATACACTAATAGTACAATCATTACATAATCATGACATTTTAATTCTTAATTACAATGCCTTTCCAACTATATAAAAATATGTCTAGTGACACATATTTTGGAAAGCTTTCTTGGAAAAACATCCAGAGATTGTGTTCATCACTATCTATATAAATGAGCTTATACTGAACCTTAAATATGTTTATTCAGCCTAACAATCAGAAAAAGAAAACGTTTTTTAACAGTATAAAGTTCAGATGAGTCCACTTGTCTTGGAATTTTATTTTGATTTTAATTAGAAGAAAGACTGCCATTAGAATTGTTTTCTAATGAAATCTTTATAAATTCTCTGGGCAGTGCCCTGTATCTTTATTAGAAAGACTTCTTATTTTTAACAATTTTATTTGGAAGAAGTTCTACTCATTTGCATCAGTTCATCGTCTACATAATTTGTGTGTGTGTGTGTGTATGTGTGTGTTTACAACTTTGACTTTTGAAACTAGAATAGAATCAGGTAAAACATCTAAGATCAGTGTGCCAGTAATTGGCCTGAATCATCGGGCACCATGATGGGTTTGGCCGCCTTCAACGTACTCGGTGTACATTCTATTTTTTTCTTCATAATGTTCAGTACTGTAGTACTAATCACCGAGAAAATTGCATTGACGCTTTTCGACCACCAGGGAAATATTCAGCTCATGGTTCTCCCCTAAAAAAACTAAAAAGCAGCTAAGCGCTGGGAACAAATCTGACTTAATGCATTTTCTCAGTGGGCCAAAGAAAGGAGGGCCGATTGACTGCTTTGACTTTTTAAAGGTCTTCTCTTTGTTCACTTATAAAGTGAGGAAAACAAATTCTCGGCACTGGCGTGAGAGTTATTTGAGCGTCACAAAAGAAAGCAAAAGAAAATATTAGTGCCATTATTGTGGCGAATTTCATGTTTCCCAGCGAGCCCTTTGATTCCTGGTTTGGGCTGGCGCTCGAGCTCTCCAGCCGGGTATGACTTCGGCCACAAGATGGCACTGACCTGCAAACAAAGAAAAGCACAGTGGCACCGACTTTTTCAAGCCTCGGGAAACTGCCCTGCCTTCCCCGGAGTCGAGGACTGTGGGGATTAGGGCTTCCTTTCCCCTGCGCGGGAGGTCTGTGTCGAATAATGTGTGGCTTCTGTTGGATTGCTTTTCTTTCCAAAATTCCTAGGCAATGCTTCCCCGAGGTGTGCACCTTTGTGAGGTGTTTGTGGGGTTGGGGGAGCTTCAGGCGCTACTCGCGGGACGCCGTCACGTGATCCGGGATGAGGTGGAGTTCGGCTTTAAGGAGGCGTCTCTTCCTAGCTTCATCAATCTTTAGGATCTGAGCAGGAGAAATACCAGCGGATCTTCCCCACTCTGCTCCCTTCCATTCCCACCCTTCCTTCTTTAATAAGCAGGAGCGAAAAAGACAAATTCCAAAGAGGGTAAGTTGCGAGTTTATGCCTTTCCAGAGACTTCTGCGAAATCTCTCATTGACAAGGTGAAGGATGAGAGGGGAAGAAAAACGATGCGAGTGTCCGAAACTGGCTCTGGGGGACCAAGGTGGGGTCTCCAGTGCAGGCAGGTCGCAGGTTGCTCCAAATCACCGGACCGTTCGCGGGCTCCTGCCGAAGGGTATGGGGACGACGCGGGTGAAAGGAGAGGGTACCCTACGCGGAGTTCGGGCTTTCCCACCACCTGCTCCCGGGGAATTTCTGGATGGGGATCCAAGTTTTCCTTTACCCCGGTTCTCTTTAAAAGGCCGAGGCACTGGGAAGGCGCCCGAGTTCGCCTATCCCACACCCGCTCATTTTCCTTACGTGTCTTGAGCTGGCTGGAGGCGCTGGCTCTGGCCGCACCGGAGTTTTCGCGGAGTAACTGGCTGGGATGAGCCGGAGAAGGGTGGGCTTGGCGCGTCGCCCAGCGTCGCACGGGTCCCGCGGCAGGTGTCGGGCTGGGAGCTGGCGGAGGTGGGAGTAGCCCTCGGCGCGGACCCCAGCGCGCAAGCCCACCCCCACTTGCGGGTTCCGCGCTTCTCGGCTGCAATCGAGCCGCGCTCCGCAGTACCGGGCGCTTCGAGTGTGGCGCTGCGCCCCGATAGACACCCGAAGCTTTTAATCATCGGAGTTCTAATCAGGGAACTCTTTAGCTCTTTCTTTTAGAAAAGTAATGATGGAACGTGGCTGGGTTAGGAGATTGGGAATGGACAGGAGGTGGAGGTGTCTTGATAGGGTGTGCCATTGGTTCCCAGGTAGACTGGAGAGATAAGAATGTTTTAAGGTCTGATGTTGGGCCAAAGAGAGAGAATTGACTTCGGTTTGGGATCTGCTTGGTTTTGGTTGTTTATATCTTTTCTCTTTTGCCAGTCTCTTATCACTGGTAGAAAGGTTTTTTGATGAGAGAGAGAGAGAGAGTGAGAGTGTGTGTATGTGTGTGTAGTAGGGAGTCAGGAATGGAGTAAATTTCGGGCGATTCACCTAGTTACGCAATATGAAAAAGGTGGGTGGGTAAGCGTGCCAACAGGAATTTTGACTGAACATGTCCCATTTCCCATTTCGTTGTTTGATAACTTCTGGAGCACAGGAAAAACCTAGGGGAGAGGAGCAAAAGAGAGTGTGTTTCCATGTACACACACTCACACTCACACACACACAGAGCACGCATTGCTTCCCCCACTCCCCATCCTATGAGAAAGCATGACGGGCGGGATGGCACACACAGGCAGGGGACATGTGGAGCTTGTCTGTCAGGTCTGGAACAGAAAAGCAGTAGCTGTTTGTTCTCGACCCTGGGCCGGCTCTCTGGCGAAGCAAGCGAGGGAGCAGAAAGCTAACCCGACCAGGTTCCCCACCCAGGACTAGACCGAGTGCTCTTCCGTGACTACTACTTTATTAGTCTTTATTGTCTTAAGGCAGCAGTCTGTTGAACAAGCCCTCCCCAGCAAGGAAGGAGCAGAGAATTATGTAATTCATTTAGATAAGCTAGCAGTAACTTTGGGAGGCTGTATGTAACAAGGCTGACATTTCTTTTCCAACACAAGTGAGGTGAACAGCCAGCCAATCCTGAGTATTTGAAAAAATGTATCTGCAGCAGGTTATGATCAGGGAGCTGTATTTTCAAGTAGTAACAGCACTGCGAAGAGCAAGCAATGAAAGGCCAGCATTCTAATTGGAAAGAAAGAAGAGGAAATTTCCCTCTGCAAGGGGGCTAATTTGCCAACTGGTGATGTATGTAATGTCTGTTTTGTCTCTATATGCACATGGCAGCTACACTGAGATTTAACAGTCTTTAATTTTTGCAGTTTCTGCAGTTGCATAGCTTATTTTACAAATTATATTAGAATAGTAAATATCAAATTATTTTCTTTTGCAAAGATAAAGTGTGTAAATTCTCTCTTAGTATTGTTATTTTCTGACAGTTATTCTTTCTTGAAATTACACTAAGGTAAACTGAAAATACACATTTATCCAATGCAGAATTGGTTTACACAACTGGAATAACTATCAAATGTGCACTTAGTAAAATAGGCTTGAAAACACCTTAAAAAAATAAACTTTTCATTTTCTCTATAGCTAAATTAACTTCTACCTAGTAAGAAAAATGCTTCCTCATTGGGCATGCCTATTAAATACAATTTCAAAGGTATCAGGCTAGAGCTTCAGTACGTTTACCTGAACTCATCTGTAAGAAAGCTATGTTTGTAGCCTGTACTTTGCAATAATTTAATGTCTGTGTGAATTCTTATATGTATTCATTTTTGCCAAAATCAGTCAGTGGATAGAATATTTCTGTTTCTTTTTCTCCATGGTATACATCTTGGTCTCTGTCCCTATTATTTCTCGCCAAAATTATTGCACTAGCTTTCTAATGAATCTCCCCATTTCTTCTCTTTCCTTGAGTGTGTTGAAAACAGCAGCGAGAATAGTAATTTTAAATCAAAAGTCATAAAACTTCACACCTTTGCCAAAGACTCTCCAGAGGCTCCCCAGCTCTCTCAGGATTATAGGCACAGACCATAAAAAAAAAAGGCTCTACAGTCTGTACCCCCCTCTTTAGCCTTCCTAATTAATTTCCTAAGAGTCCCTCCCTTATTTATCCTACTTCTTATTGCTACTTAGCACACCAGTTACACATGGGCCTTAGGGATTTTTGTTCTTTCCATATGGGATGCAATCCCTGAGATACTTGCATAGCTTCCCTACTCACCACTCCTCTCAGGTCTTAACTTACATGCCTTCTTCTCAGACAGTCAGAGGCCATCTTTTACAGTCAAGTAATAAATTGCAGCTCCCCCAAATCCCAGTTTCTCTTTCTTTTTTTTTTTTTGAGACGGAGTCTTGCTCTGTCACCCAGGCTGGAGTGCGGTGGCCTGAACTTGGCTCACTGCAACCTCTGCCTCCCAGGTTCAAGCAATTCTCCTGCCACAGCCTCCCGAGTAGCTGGGACTACAGGTGTGCTCCACTCCGCCTGGCTGATTTTTGTATTTTTAGTAGAGACAAGGTTTCACCATGTTGGCCAGGCTGATCTCAAACTCTTGACTTCAGGTGATCCGCCTCGGCCTCCCGAAATGCTGGGATTACAGGTGTGAGCCACCTCGCCCGGCCCCAGTCCCTCTTTCTTGCTTTGTTTTACTTCATAATATGTATTATCATCTAGCATACTATATCTTTTACTAATTTTTTTCTTGTCTTTCTCTGCCCACAAGACTAGAAACACAGTGAGAAGGTCACATTATCTCCAGTAAAACCATGCCTAACACAAAATAAATGTTTAATTAATATTTGTTGAATGAATAAATTTTCTTTCAGAAATAATATTTTTATATAAAGTGTAACATTTTCCCCTATATACATGACCTAGGAGTACGGCTGTTGTGATTAGCATACATTTTGCCTGTTCAAGGACTATGATGGAATTGAGCTATTGATGTTAGGATTAATTTACCCAAGAACCTACTATTCCAACCATGCATCAGTTATATCAGTCAACACAGTTTTATTCTAAGTCTAATACTTGCAAGGTACTATGAAGTATGCACAATGCCTACCTCAAAGATGTTATATTAAAAATGAGAGGAGCCAACTAAGGATTCTAGGGACTAAATGGTGCTTTGAAAGATGGGTAGAGTTTGGATTGGTGGTGGGAGAGAGAGAACACCCAGCAAGAGGAATGGCGGAGGTGGAGACGCAGAGCTATATTTGGTAGACTGTGAACAGACTCACCTGCCTAGAGCAGTGTATTCACATTGGGATTATTAGAGTAAAGTGTGGACAAGAGGTATAATGCAGAGGTCTTAATGTGTCAGGCTGGGGAATGTACTTAGTATTCTGTCTCTCATGTGTCTCAAACCAGGGTCCTCATTCACCTGTTGGTACTTGGTGACAAGGATAAAAAGCTTTTCCCTACTCTGCTAGTTTTACTTCAAATAATGAAGGGAAACTTATAATTAATTGATAAGTCATGTTAAATATCTCTGTAGCAACTTAAATAGGAAATATGATGCTAAATTTTCTTGAATTCTTAAAATAAGAGATTTCCAAATAATTTGAAGTTATTACTGCTCTTTTGAGATTGTTTTCAAACTCTGACAATCGCTGATCATTCTCTCTGCCTTTGGAATTCTTGAGAGACAAAGTGTGGTTATCACATAAGTATTAGGGAGTCATTACAGGTTGATGCATAGAGGAAGAGAGAGCCACGTTTCTAATAACACTCATACCTGAAATCATTCCATTACCATTCTTTAATAGTTTCATTCTGACTTCATTGTAGCAACTCTTACTTTATTCTTCTTAAGTTTTTAAGGCCAAATCATGGTTTCATAATAAAAAAAAAAAAACTCATGTTCTAGAAAGCACAAAAATTAAAGGAAAGGTTTATTAGAGGCATTAAGTAAAAGGCAAATGCATTTCTTGTTCATTAAGTTTTTTATCTTTCTTTCAATGGAAGTAACTCTGCATGATTTTCTTTATTGGTCTTATTTAAGAAAGAAAAGAATGAAATTCAGTTTCTTAATACAAGCATGATGGCCTGTTAATTAACATAAGAAACTCCGTCTCACATATTTACTTAGTAATCTAGGGAATATCAGACTTATTTTTGAAAAGGAGTTTTTAAAATAATTTCAAACTTTTTAAAACTCTACAAGTCTGTGATTTGTGTTGTTAATAAGAGAAAAATGTATCACAAAGTGCTGTGAAAAATCAAAATTACAATTAAAATCTAGATCCTTGCATTGGGCACACATATAGTCTGGTGGGTAGGGAAGATATTTACATAAATAATACCTTAGAAATCCTTGAAAGCTTCTAACATATTAATAAAATAACAGACTCTTAAAGTTAGAATCTCCCACACAATATAGAAACTCTCTGAAATGGTTTTTCATATGGTGGTTATAAAATTTGTATATGGAACACTTGCTAGATTTGCAGGCAAATAATTCCATTTTACTAAACTTTTGTTCCTCACAATGATGTGATTAAAAAAATAATGTGCACCTCTTGGTCCTACTTTTAACTTGTACATATAATTAGATGTAACATTCTAAGCTCAACGCTGTGTTCTACATGCTACCCATTAAAATACAAGAAGACATCTGTACCATTCCTACTAAGTATTTTCCGGATTAAACATTGTCTAGTCTCTCAATAGTCATTCATGGCAAAGTTTTTTGATGTTTCACTGTAGTGATCATCTTTTGTTGAATATGTTTGTGCTGAATAACATCTGCCCTAAAAAGCAGTGCAGTGTATGTATGGTGGAGCTATTGCTATAACTTGACCTTGACACTAATTCTTCCATTTCTATAGCATATGGCAGAATTAGGTAATTTATTTTCTTTTGCTTTGTTTGTTTATTTTTCTTATGTTTTAATCTGTGCATTAAGTGGTTTTTATACATTCATATTCTTATAATGTTTAGGAATGTGCTGTTATTACTGTTTATGTAAGACTTGGGGCATAATATTTATATTCCTTACTAACTTATAGACCATTATGTTTTACTAAGACTTGTTCTGTAAGCAAGTCCAATTAAAAATTTTATTTTTTCTTTATTCAGTATGTTTTCACCATTTCTGCTATTTTAGAAAGATGTTTACAAGATTACATTTTGTTTATTTATTTCAGTGTTTTCACTTTAAAGAGTTCTGTGAGTCAGAAGTCATTTTGACTGCCCTCAATAAAATTAGTAATGCAATTGGTCATTTTCTCTTTACAGATTGTTCAGTTCAAGGGAATGAAGAATTCAGAATAATTTTGGTAAATGGATTCCAATATGGGGAATAAGAATAAGCTGAACAGTTGACCTGCTTTGAAGAAACATACTGTCCATTTGTCTAAAATAATCTATAACAACCAAACCAATCAAAATGAATTCAACATTATTTTCCCAGGTTGAAAATCATTCAGTCCACTCTAATTTCTCAGAGAAGAATGCCCAGCTTCTGGCTTTTGAAAATGATGATTGTCATCTGCCCTTGGCCATGATATTTACCTTAGCTCTTGCTTATGGAGCTGTGATCATTCTTGGTGTCTCTGGAAACCTGGCCTTGATCATAATCATCTTGAAACAAAAGGAGATGAGAAATGTTACCAACATCCTGATTGTGAACCTTTCCTTCTCAGACTTGCTTGTTGCCATCATGTGTCTCCCCTTTACATTTGTCTACACATTAATGGACCACTGGGTCTTTGGTGAGGCGATGTGTAAGTTGAATCCTTTTGTGCAATGTGTTTCAATCACTGTGTCCATTTTCTCTCTGGTTCTCATTGCTGTGGAACGACATCAGCTGATAATCAACCCTCGAGGGTGGAGACCAAATAATAGACATGCTTATGTAGGTATTGCTGTGATTTGGGTCCTTGCTGTGGCTTCTTCTTTGCCTTTCCTGATCTACCAAGTAATGACTGATGAGCCGTTCCAAAATGTAACACTTGATGCGTACAAAGACAAATACGTGTGCTTTGATCAATTTCCATCGGACTCTCATAGGTTGTCTTATACCACTCTCCTCTTGGTGCTGCAGTATTTTGGTCCACTTTGTTTTATATTTATTTGCTACTTCAAGGTAAGAAAACTTTTTTTCTATCATTTCCATTTTTACCTTCTTTACACAGAATTCCTCATCAAATGAGTGTTTCTATTTAAACTTTTTTCTTCCATAGATATATATACGCCTAAAAAGGAGAAACAACATGATGGACAAGATGAGAGACAATAAGTACAGGTCCAGTGAAACCAAAAGAATCAATATCATGCTGCTCTCCATTGTGGTAGCATTTGCAGTCTGCTGGCTCCCTCTTACCATCTTTAACACTGTGTTTGATTGGAATCATCAGATCATTGCTACCTGCAACCACAATCTGTTATTCCTGCTCTGCCACCTCACAGCAATGATATCCACTTGTGTCAACCCCATATTTTATGGGTTCCTGAACAAAAACTTCCAGAGAGACTTGCAGTTCTTCTTCAACTTTTGTGATTTCCGGTCTCGGGATGATGATTATGAAACAATAGCCATGTCCACGATGCACACAGATGTTTCCAAAACTTCTTTGAAGCAAGCAAGCCCAGTCGCATTTAAAAAAATCAACAACAATGATGATAATGAAAAAATCTGAAACTACTTATAGCCTATGGTCCCGGATGACATCTGTTTAAAAACAAGCACAACCTGCAACATACTTTGATTACCTGTTCTCCCAAGGAATGGGGTTGAAATCATTTGAAAATGACTAAGATTTTCTTGTCTTGCTTTTTACTGCTTTTGTTGTAGTTGTCATAATTACATTTGGAACAAAAGGTGTGGGCTTTGGGGTCTTCTGGAAATAGTTTTGACCAGACATCTTTGAAGTGCTTTTTGTGAATTTATGCATATAATATAAAGACTTTTATACTGTACTTATTGGAATGAAATTTCTTTAAAGTATTACTATTAACTGACTTCAGAAGTACCTGCCATCCAATACGGTCATTAGATTGGGTCATCTTGATTAGATTAGATTAGATTAGATTGTCAACAGATTGGGCCATCCTTACTTTATGATAGGCATCATTTTAGTGTGTTACAATAGTAACAGTATGCAAAAGCAGCATTCAGGAGCCGAAAGATAGTCTGAAGTCATTCAGAAGTGGTTTGAGGTTTCTGTTTTTTGGTGGTTTTTGTTTGTTTTTTTTTTTTTTCACCTTAAGGGAGGATTTAATTTGCTCCCAACTGATTGTCACTTAAATGAAAATTTAAAAATGAATAAAAAGACATACTTCTCAGCTGCAAATATTATGGAGAATTGGGGCACCCACAGGAATGAAGAGAGAAAGCAGCTCCCTAACTTCAAAACCATTTTGGTACCTGACAACAAGAGCATTTTAGAGTAATTAATTTAATAAAGTAAATTAGTATTGCTGCAAATAGTTAAATTATATTTATTTGAATTGATGGTCAAGAGATTTTCCATTTTTTTTACAGACTGTTCAGTGTTTGTCAAGCTTTCTGGCATAAATATGTACTCAAAAGGCATTTCCGCTTACAATTTGTAGAAACACAAAATGCGTTTTCCATACAGCAGTGCCTATATAGTGACTGATTTTTAACTTTCAATGTCCATCTTTCAAAGGAAGTAACACCAAGGTACAATGTTAAAGGAATATTCACTTTACCTAGCAGGGAAAAATACACAAAAACTGCAGATACTTCATATAGCCCATTTTAACTTGTATAAACTGTGTGACTTGTGGCGTCTTATAAATAATGCACTGTAAAGATTACTGAATAGTTGTGTCATGTTAATGTGCCTAATTTCATGTATCTTGTAATCATGATTGAGCCTCAGAATCATTTGGAGAAACTATATTTTAAAGAACAAGACATACTTCAATGTATTATACAGATAAAGTATTACATGTGTTTGATTTTAAAAGGGCGGACATTTTATTAAAATCAATATTGTTTTTGCTTTTTCTGAGGAGTCTCTTTCAGTTTCATTTTTTCTCATCCCATGACTTCCCTCCCATGGTGTTCCCAAAGCATCCTGTATCTGCTTGCTAATGAAACATAACCACTGATGTGATATAACCATTGATGGCTGTGGTATAACCATCAATGGTTATAACCATTGATGTAGTATAGCCATTAATGGCTCAGTCTCCCTCTCTTGCTAGATCGTAAGCTTCTTTAAGGCAAGAATTGTTTAATATGACTGTCCCCAGTGCATATAGCACAGTGCAAATACTTAGAAGCATTTTCAAAATATATTTCCAAAACAAATGATTAATGACCAAGTTTCCTTCCTTCTCGTTGATAATCTTATTGAACTCACGTCCTGCAGTGTTCTTGGATCCTTCCTCCTAAGTTATTCTTTACCAAGAAGATGTTTTCTCTTTCAATGTATTATTTTCATTTCTAAACTGAGCAAAAGGGCATTTTAGATTTTAGAAATTTGCATGATCAGTCCTGTAACTCAAATGTCACACTTTTTGCATTGAATGGTAATATGAAATAAAATTATGGCCTAAGAATGTCCTTTAGTTAACCAAATTAAAAAAAAAAACAATTCGGCTGGGCACAGTGGCTCACACCTGTAATCCCAGCACTTTGGGAGGCCGAGACAGGTGGATCACGAGGTCAAGGGTTCGAGACCACCCTGGCCAATATGGTGAAACCCTGTCTCTACTAAAAATACAAAAATTGGCTGGGTGTAGTGCTGTGTGCCTGTAGTCCCAGCTACTTGGGAGGCTGAGGCAGAGGTTGCGGTGAGCTGAGATCGTGCCACTGTGCTCCAGCCTGGGCAAAAGAGCGAGACTCCATCTCAAAAATAAAATAAAATAAAATTATAAAATTATCTTTTAATACTTATTGGAAAATATCATAATTTTTCCTTACCCAAGCCTGAATTTTTGAACTACTTGATGTTTTTTCTGCTTTTGGGGACAAATGGGAACTTCTTTCTTTCTCTGTCTAGGTAATATGGAAACAAGTTGTTACTTGGGAAGAGTCTTAATAAGTAAGTGCTTCTTTGTCATACATTTGCTGAAAAGGCCATTTCTAGAATTCTCATTCAGTTGTGTATGCTGCCAACTCCTTGATTTCACATAAATAATGAACCAAACATCAAATTCTTCTTCTGTCCAAATATGTTGATGAGCTACTAGTAAAGTCAAGGGTCAGCCACAGATGCATTGGAGTTCAAGAAGAAAAAAATGGCCATATTAAACATGAACTATGGAACGAACCACTGGGTTTTCTTAAACCCAAGAACAAAAAAAATTAAGTTAGTAGAAAAGTGTGATGATAATGTGGCTTATAAGAATTTTAAGTATTTGATAATAGCTAGAATATTTAAACTAGTATGTGCCAAGTACTGTGTCAAGTACTTAAGTACCTGTGAGGACTAATGTTACTGCCACTTTACATAAGAAGAGACTGAAGCTCCAGTTGGAATATCTGTATGAGGCACACATTGAATAATAGGTAAAGCAGGAATCAAACCCAGGCCTGTCCAGTGCTACTAAACTAATGACTGAACTATACCTGCAACAGTTTAGAAAATAATTTTCTTCTCTCTTTACAAGTTACAATCTTAGGGCGTAACAGTGCCATCCACCTTCTTTCTGATTTTTGGCTGCAGAAGGAATGGAGTGAAGTAGAAGAGTTGAGAGAAAATGGTCATTTTGATTATATGTACCCATTATCTCCCTTTCTGAATTAAACAATTCTGCTTAAAAATAGAATTTCATTATTCACATTAATTTTATTTCTGTACTGTTAACTTTAGTCTCATTTTATTTTACATATTCCAAGAAAATATAAGTACATATTATACTGAAATTTATTCCACAAATTCTCAAGGAAATATAAATACATACTGTAATTTCCAATTTTGACAGTCAAATAGAGACTTTGACAATTTAAATATATACACATAATAATAATGGTGGAAAGAGGCAGTTTAAGCTGGGGCTTCAGGAATGTCTGGCCTTGTGTCGTTACCGCAATTCAGAGTTTATGGGTACTGCTAGGTGTTTCATCACAGCCAGGGTTGCTTTCCTCAGCAATCAAGGATTGTGCTGGAATTAAGGTAGTTTCTCAGGGAGTCTTGAATTCTTTGATAGTCTCCATATTTTCTTTGTCTACTTATCTCCATGATCCATCAAACAACATGTTGGACTTAAGTTTCTGAGCAGGCGAGAGCAGCTAGTGAGAATGAGAACATGACTTACCAGGGCAAATTAGTAAGATTTCTCAAATTGTATTTTTTAATGATTCGTTTATTAATATATTTTTGTGTAAATGTGTGTGCACATGCTACATATTATATGGCTAAGAATATATATATTTGTATATATAGATATATGTCCTATATAATTCTACAGTGAGTTTATTTTCATTGCTATTCACTTCTTGATCTCTTATCAAAGCTATTACATATGTAGTGCTTATCACAAACTACCCTATGAAGTAGTACTTTTGTTTCTCTCATTTCACAGATAAGGAAATTCAGCATGAACTTGCCCAGTGTCACTCAGCTAGTAAATGATAGAACTAGGATTCAAATCCAGGCAGTTTGGTTCCTGAGTCTTAATATGACAATAAGTTTTTAACTAGCACACACTAAAAATCTTCCCCACACGCCACCCTCTGCCTGAATTCCTCAACCTCTGCATCTCATATCTTTCCATTACTGGATCCACATATGACCCCATCTGCAGTCCAGGTCTGTTCTGAGCCTTAATAATTTCAAAAAAATAAAAGATATTTTTAAGGTCACCCTCTGAGATCTAAGACAAACTTCTAATCATGGTGGTTTAGACACAGTTGCAGAATTGAGACACAAATCTGTTCCATCCAAAAATTATCACTGCAAAGCTGCAGGTCTTCATTTCCTCTGTCGTTTTGGTTTACACAATCCTTATTTTTCTAGTTTCCTAGTCAATGTCAGAGTCATCTTCTGGGAGCATTTTCCCAGTAAATGGCTGGGGCTTTGAAATCTGACTAGTTTTGATCAACTCTCTCTCCTTTGGAGTCCAGAGTATTACTCTACATGGTCCCATATTCTAGCCCACAGACTAGAAAAACATCTATGAATTCAGTTTTAGAACAAACACTGCTGCCTATCTGACTTCTAAATCTTGAATATTGTCTGGAAGATAACAAAAAGGGCTATCAGTTAAAATTGTTGACTAATGGTGAACACTATTTTATTCAAGTAAAAAAACATACTGAAGCAAAGTAATTGATAAAATGACACTACAGCCCTGTCACCTAACAGCATTATATTGTGGTCTGTGCTTTGTGACATAGCATTTAAATACATTTTATTATAGGACTACTTTTGTCGTAAATAGCATTTCTCGAGCATCTTTTTGTTTTGTCATCGGGAATGAAAACTGTGAAGGTTATTTGTATTTCAGGCTAATCTGTTGTATGATTTTATTATTGAGATACAATTGACATACTAAAAAGTGACATACATTCACTTTTTAAAAGTATACAATTCAGTAGTTTTTAGAATATTAACAGAGTTGTTAAATCATCATCCCTATCTAGCTCCAGAGAATTTTCACTACTCCAAAAACAAATTTCCAAGTTTTGGTTTCTGGTCTCATATGAAAGGGGCTTGAAAGTTGTCATTTTGTCCTAACAAGCAAAAACCTGAACAAACTGAAAAATCAACAACTCTTCTTAGATCTTTCAGAAAAGTGAGGTCAGAAGGAAAATCCACTGTCCCCCAAATTAGAGAGGCAGACCAATATAAAAAAAATTCATAATTCACCATAGCAGAAACCCCTAAGAAGAAACCTCCATTGGAACCAACCAGTGCCTGAGTGTGAGACCTGAGTGGTTCCTACAATAGGGCAAGTGTGAGCATTAAAAACTCCCAGGGAAACCAGTCATAGGGAGATCCCCCCACTTTTGTGAGTTTTACCCCTAGGAGTTCAACTAAATTATCACAATGAATATTGGAGAAAAATTCCATGTGCTTCTGGCAGGGAGAGGAGAAAAGAAACCAATGCTCTGAAACAGACCAAAGCATTCTGCTCTTCCTAACAGGTCTGCCCTCAACAGACACTGTTTTACTATAGTGTAAGCTGTTACAGTTTTATCAGCACTTAAGTGACCTGGCAGAAGAGAAATATCCAATTCCTGCCTCCTGTGGTCATCCTGTTTCACTTTGTGAGAGAGAAAACTGAGAAGCACTTCTGAAATTCCCAGTTCAAAGGCTTACTAAAAGACTGAGGACAAATCTTAGTTCTATAGAATGCTTTCCCATCCCCCATACCTTCCCACTACATTACTAAAGGCAAGTCTATTCCCCAGCACCTCATATCCAGCCATCAAGGAAAAATTACAAGGCATACTAAAAGGCAAAAAAAAAACACAGTTTGAGGAGACAGCAAGCATCAGAACCAGACTAAGATATGGTAGGGATATTGGAACTATCAGACAAATACTTTGAAACAACTATAATTAATATGCTAAGGGCTCAGATGGATAAAGTAGATAGCACGCAAGAACAGATGGACAATGCAAGCAGACAGATGAAAATTCTAAGGATAAAAAAGAAATGCTAGAGAGCAAAAACACTAACAGACATGAAGAATGCTTTTCATGCTCATTGGTAGAATGGACATGGCTGAGAAAGAGTATTGAGCTTGGACATATGGCATGGAAACACCTAACAGGAAAGCAAAGAGAAAGAAGATTTTGAAAAGAACAGATATCTAAAAACTGTGGGTCACCTATAAAAAGTATAACATAAGCAAAATGGGAATATGAGAAGAGAAAGAAGGAGAGTAAAGAACAGAAGAAATATTTGAAGTGATAACAATAAGGAATTTCTCAAATTAATAACAGACACCAAACCACAGACCCAGGAAGCTCAGAGAACACAAGATAAATATTTAAAAAGCTATATATAGGTATATCATTTCATATTTTAGAAAATCAAAGATAAACAAAACATTCTGAAAGAAGCCAGAGGAAAAAAATGTTACCTATAGAGGAGCAAAGATAAGAATTATATCTGACTTGTCAGAAACCATGTAAGCAAGAATAGAGTGGAGCAAAATATTTAAAATCTTGAGAAGAAAAAAAAAAAACTTACCAAGCTAGAATTCTGTATCCTTTAAAATTATCCTTTAAAAGTGAATGAGAAATAAATACTTTCTCAGGCAAACAGAGAAATCATCAGAAATCAAAATAGGCCTGTTTTAACAAAAAAATATTAAAAGGAGTTCTTTAGAGAGAAGGAAAATATTATAGGTGAGAAACTCAAATCTACATAAAGATGGGAAGAACATCAAAGAAAGAATAAGTTAGGGTAAAATAAAACTTTATTTTTTTGTATTCCCAATTGACCTAACAGATAACAGTTTGCTCAAAATAATAATAGAAAAAATTTATTTGATTATATATACATTTCTGTATATATACATATATAATATATGCTTAAGTGTGCTTATATACAAGTAACATGAATGACAGCCATGATACAAGGGATGGGAGGAAATAATTTAAATTATTTTATTACAAGATACATTACCTGTGAAGTGGTGATATGGTTAAATCTCTGTTCTCACCCAAATCTCATGTTGAATTGTAATCCCCAGTGTTGGAGGTGGGGCTTGGTGGGAGGTGATTAGATTATGTGGGTGTATTTCTCATTAATGGTTTAGCACCATCCTCTTGGTGCTCTTCTTGTGATAGTGAGTGAGTTATTGCAAAATCTGGTTGTTTGAAAGTGTGTAGCACTTCCCCCCACCCCCCAGAATTCTGCTCCTGCCATGTAAGAAGTGCCTCACTCCCCCTTTGCCTTCTTCTATAAGTAAGAGCTTCCCAAGGCCTCCCCATAAGCAGAAGCCAATATGCTTCCTGTACAGTGTACAAAACTGTGAGCCAATTGAACTTATTTTCTTTATAAGTTATGTAGTCTCAGATATTTCTTTATAGCAGTGCAATAATGAACTAATACAGAAAATTGGTACTGAGAAGTGGGGCATTGCTATAAAGATACCTGAAAATGTGGAAGCAGCTTTGGAATTGGGTAACAGGCAGAGGTTGTAAGACTGTGGAGGGCTCAGAAGAAGAAAGGAAGATGAAGGGAAATTTGAAACTTCCTAGAGACTTGTTAAATTGTGATCAAAATGCTGATAGTGATATAGACAGTGAAGTCCAGGCTGAGGAGGTCTCAGATGGAAATGAGGAACTTATTGGGAAGTGGAACAAAGCTCCCTTTGGTTATGCTTTAGCAAAGAACTTGTGCTTCTGTTCTAGGGATCTGTGAAACTTTAAACTTAAGAATAATGATTTAGGGTATCTGGCACAAGAAATTTCTAAGTAGCAAAGTATTTAAGATGTGGCCTGGCTGCTTCTAACAGCCTAAGCTCATATGCATGAGCAAAGAAATGACATGAAACTGGAACTTATATTTAAAGGGGAAGCAGAGTCTAAAAGTTTGGAAAATTTGCAGCTTAGTCATCTGGTAGAAAAGGAAAGCCCATTTTCAGAAGAGGAATTCAAGCAAGCTGCATAAATTTGCATAACTAAAAGGAAGGCAAGTGCTAATATGCAAGACAATAGGGAAAAGGCCTCTAAGACATTTCAGAGAGCTTCACAGTAGCCCCTCCCATCATAGACCCAGAGTCTTAGGAAGACAATGGTTTTGTGGGCCAGAGCCAGGACCCCACTGCCCTGCGCCAACTCTAGACACTGCTTTCTGCATTCCAGCTGCTCCAGCTCCAGCTGTGGCTCAAAGGGGCCCATGTATAGCTTGGACCACTTCTTCAGAAGATGTAAGCCATAAGTCTTGGCTGCTTTCATGTGGCATTAAGCCTGCAGGTGCGCAAAATGTAAGAAGAGTTGAGGCTTGGAAGCCTCTACCTAGATTTGAGAGGATGGATGGAAATGCCTGGATGTCCAAGCAGAAGCCTGCTGCAGGGGCAGAGCCCTCATGGAGAACCTCTATTAGTGCAGTCCAGAGGGGAAATGTGGGGTTGGAGCCCCTACACAGAGTCCCCACTGGGGCACTGCCTAGTGGACCTGTGAGAAAGAGGCCACTATTCTCCAGATCCCAGAATGGTAGATCCCCCAGCAGCTTGCACCCTGTGCCTGGAAAAACTGCAGACACTCAACATCAGTCTTTGAGAGCAGCCACTGGGACTGGATCCTGCAAAGACACAGGGGCAGAGCTGCCCAAGGCCTTGGGAGCCCCCTCTTTGCATCAATATGCCCTAGATGTGAGACATAGAGTCAAAAGGGATTATTTTGGAGCTTTAATATTTAATAAATGTTCTGCTGGGTTTTGGACTTGCTGGGGGCCTATAGCCCCTTTCTTTTGGCTAATTTCTCCCTTTTGGAATGGCAATGTATACCCAATGCCTATAACCCCATCATATGTTGGATGTAGCTAACTTGTTTTTGATTTTACAGGCTCATAGGTGGAAGGAACTAACCTTGCCTTAGATGAGACTTTGGACTTTGGACTTTTGAGTTAATGCTAGAATAAGTCAAGACTTTGAGGGACTGTTGGGAAGGCATGACTGTATTTTGCAATGTGAGAAGGACATGAGATTTTGGAGGTGCTAGGGGTGGAATCACATGGTTTTAATCTGTGTCTCCACTCAAATCTCATTTTGAATTGTAATCCACAGTGTTGGAGGTGGGGCCTGGGAGGAGATGATTGGATCATGTGGGTGCCGTTCTCATTAATGGTTTAGCACCACCCTCTTGGTGCTCTTCTTGTGATAGTGAATGAGTTATTAGAAGATCTGGTTGTTTAAAAGTGTGGAGCACTTTTCCCCCACAAGTCCTGCTCTTGCCATGTAAGAAGTGCATCACTCCCCTTTTGCCTCCTGCCATGTGTAAAAGCCTCCTGAGGCTTCCCCAGAGGCAGAAGCCATTATGCTTCCTGTACAATGTGCAAAACTGTGACCCAATTAAACCTCTTTTCTTTATAAATTACCTAGTCTTGGATATTTCTTTATAGCAATGCAGGAATGGACTAATACAAGTGATATAGTGTTTCTGAAAGTGGGCTTAGATTAGTTGTAAATGTGTATTACAAACTCTAGAAAAAATATTATAATAGTAAAAAAAAACTACAATACTAAAAACAGTTTTAAAAACCCACTAAAAAAATTAAAACATCATAACTGACATACTGAGAAAGGATAAAATGGTATTATGCGAAATGAATAATTAAAACCACGAAGGCAAATAAAAGTGGAAAAAATTGGAACAAAGAATAAGGGCAACAAGCTGAAAATGGTAGCAATTATGACAAATATTAATCCAACAATATCAAGAATGACTTTGAACATCAATGATCTAAATGCACCAGTTAAAATATGGAGATTGTTAGAGTGGGCAAAAAACAAGATCCAACTATTTGTTGTCTACAAGAAACCATTTTAAATATAAAGATGCATAGATGAAAAGTACATGGATAGAGAATGATATACAATGCTAATACTAATCAAAGTAAAGCAGGAGTAGCTATGATAATTTCAGACAGAACAGAATTCAAAGGAAGGAAAGTTATCAGACATAAAATGGGCCATTATATAATGATAAATGTCGGTTCTCCAAGAAGACATAAAAACATTAACATTTAAATGACTAACAAAAGAGTAGCATAATATGTGAGGTAAAAACTGATTTAACTACAAGGAGAAATAGATGAATCCACTATTATAGTTGAAGATTTCAACATCCCTTGATTAGAAATGGACAGATACAGCAGGCAAAAATTCAGTAAGGGCATAGTTGAACTCAACAATACCATCAATCAACTGGGTATAATTGAATATCAATTAATGTAATTTATCACATCAACAGGCTAAAAAAATCACATGATCATGTTAACGGATGCAGAAAAAACATTTGAAAAAAATCTACCATCCATTTATAATAAAAACTCTCAGCAAAGCCAACTAATAGAGGAATAGAAAACCAAATACCACATGTTCTCACTTACAAGTGGAAGCTAAACATTGAATACACATAGACACAAAGATGGGAACAACAGACACTGGGAACTACTTGATGGGGGAGGGTGGGAAGGAGGCATGAGTTGGAAGGCTACTTATGCTACATTCGCTACCTAGGTGATGGGATCATTCATACATCAAGCATCAGTGACATGAAATTTACCCATGTAACAAACCTGCACATGTACTCCCTGAACCTAAAATAAAAGTTAAAAATGCGAAGAGGGAATGAGAAGAGAAGCCACAGACCTAGGAGAAAATATTTTCAAAAGACATATCTGGTTCTAGATCCTTGAGGAATTGCCATACTGTCTTCTATAATGGTTGAACTAATTTACATTCCCACCAACAGAGTAAAAGTGTTTCTATTTCTCTACAGTCTCACCAGGATCTGTTGATTCTTGACTTTTTAATAATTGCCATTCTGATTGGCATGAGGTGGTATCTCATTGTGGTTTTGATTTGCATTTCTCTAATGATCAGTGATGCTGAGCTTTTTTTCATATGTTTGTTGGCTGCATAAATGTCTTCTTTTGAGAAGTTCCTGTTCATGTTCTTTGCCCACTTTGAAATACCATTTGACCCAGCAATCCCATTACTGGGTATATACCCAAAGGAATGTAAATCATTCTATTATAAAGATACATGCACATGTATGTTTATTGCAACACTATTCACAATAGCATAGACATGGAATCAACGCAAATGCCCATCAATCATAGCCTGAATAAAGAAAATGTGGTACACACATACCATGGAATACTATATAGCCATAAAGAGGAATGAGATCATGTCCTTTGCAGGGACATGGATGGAGCTGGAAGCCATTATCCTCAGCAAACTAACACAGGAACAAAAATCCAAACACTGTATCTTCTCACTCATAAGTGGGAGCTGAACAATGAGAACACATGGACACAGGGAGGGGAACAACACACACTAGGGCCTGCTGGCAGGGGGTCAGGGGAGGAAGAGAATCAGGATAAATGGCTAATACATGTTGGGCTTAATACCTAGGTGATGGGTTGACAGGTGCAGCAAACCACCATGGCACATGTTCACCTATGTAACAAACCCGCACATTCTGCACGTGGATTCCAGGACTTAAAATAAATTTTTTAAAAAAGACATATCTGATAAGAGGCTGTAATCAAAAATATATAAAGAAATTTGAAAACTCAACAACAAGAAAAGTAATAACACAATGTAAAATGTATAAAATACTTGAACAGATGTTTCACCAAAAAAGTTGCACAGAAGTTAAATAAGCATATGAAAAGTTGCTCAATATCATATGTCATTAGAGAATTGAAAGTTAAAATAACAAAGAGATACTACCACATATCATTAGAATGGCCAAAAGACTAACAACACCAAATGCTGGCAAGGATGGGGGGCAAAAGGAACTCTCATTCATTTCTAGTGGGAATTCACAAGGGTACAATCACATTGGAAGATAGTTTGGAAATTCTTATAATACTGAACATACTCTTACCATATGATCCAAAAATCACACTCCTTGGTATTTACCCAAATGAGTTAAAAACTTATGTCTACACAAAGCTTGCACATGGATGTTTATAGCAGCTTTAGTCCTACTTGCCAAAACTTGGAAGCAACCATGATGTTCTTCAGAAGGTGAATGGATAAACAGTGATATATCTATGTCAATAGATATATTATTTAGTGCTATATTATTTAGTGCTATATTATTTAGTGATATAGATATAGTGATATCTATATCAATAGAATATTATTTAGTGCTAAAAAGAAATGAACTATCAAACCATTAAAAGATGTGAAGAAACCTTAAATGCATTTTACTAAATGAAAGAAGCCAATGTGAAAAAGCTTTATACTGTATGATTCCAACTATATGACATTGTGAAGAAAGCAAAATAATGGCAACTGGAAAGAATTCAGTGTTTTCCAGTGGCAAAGGGAATGAGGGACAAATAGACAGAGTGCAGAGTATTTTTAGGGCAGTGAAACTACTCTGTAAGATACTATGATGGTGGATACATGTCATTATACATTTGTCAAGACTCATAGAATGTACAACACCAAGAGTGAACTGTGATGTATACTATGGACTTTGGGTGATAATGATATGTTAATGTAGTTTCACCAATTGTAACAAATGTTCCACTCTGGTGTGGGATTTTCATAGTGGTAGACCTGTGTGTATGGGGGTGGCAAGGGGTAAATGGGAAATTTCTGTACTTTGCACTTCATTTTGCTGTGAACCTAAACCTGCACTAAAAAATAGTCTAGGCCAGGTGTGGTGGCTCATGCCTGTACTCCCAGCACTTTGGGAGGTTGGGACAGGAGGATAGCTTGAAGCCAGGAGTTCAGAACAGCCAGGGCAATACAGTGAGATCCTGTTTCTACAAAAAATAAAAAAATCAAAAACAGTAAAATAAGTAAAAAAAAAAAAAATCTATTCACAAAAACCAACAAACAATAATATATCCACTAGCAATGGCTTCTGATTCTTCTTCCCCTCCACCTCCTGGCAACCACTAGTCCTATTTTTGTCTCTACGCATTTGCCTATTCTAGACATTTCCTATAAATGGAATAATATAATATGTGATCTTTTGTAACTTACCTCACTTTGCGTAGCATAATATTCACAAGGTTCATCCATGTGGTAACATATATCAATATTTCATTCCTTTTTTATTACAAATAATATTTCTATGTATGGATGCACCATATTTTGTTTAACCTTTCATATGTTGATGGACATTTGGATTGTTGTCACTTTGTCAGCTATTATGAATAATGGTGCTATGAACCTTCTTGCATACTTTTTTTTTGTGGACATATGTTTTCCTTTCTCTTGGATATATACCTAGAAGTGAAATTGCCAGGTTGTCTGCTAACTCTATGTTTAGATTTTTGAAGAACTGCCAAACCATTTTACAAAGCAGCTGCACATTTTACATTCCTACCAGCAATGCATGAGGGTTCCAATTTCTCCACTATTGTCTGTCATTTTGATTATGCTCATCCTTGTGGGTGTGAAGTGCTTATCACCTCAGCATGATGTTAATTTTCATCTCCCTAGTGACTAATGTCATTGAGCATAGTTTCACATGCTTAATGAACATTTGTATATCTTCTTTGGGGAAACATCTATTAAAGTCCTTTGCCCATTTTCAATAGGGTTATTTTTTTGATATTTTTGAGTTCTAAGAGTTCTTTATATATTTTGGATAATAGTCTTTTATTAGACGTATGCTTTGCACATATTTTCTCTTATTCTTTGGGTTGCCTTTTATAATTTAATTTTAAAATATAAGTTCCTAGGAGGAAAACTTACGTAAGAGGCATTTAATTATCATAAAAAATGAATTTTATTTTCACAATGATTTCTACAGGGGAGAAAAAGGTACAGAAGGCCAGAAAACTACTAAAATTTGAGCACCTACTATATGCCGAAAATTTCATGTATGTCATCTCATTTGATCTTCATGAAACATCTGTAAAGTCACTTCTCTATCCTAATTTCACAGATAAGGAAACAGTTTTGGACAGATTAAACAGCATTCCAAACTTCATTCCAAATATTCTACTTACAACAAATCATGTAAGAGAAAGTGTCCTGAAAAATAAAGACAAAGGCTGGGTGTGGTGGCTTACACCTGTAATCCCAGCACTTTGGAAGGCTGAGGCAGGCAGATCACTTGAGGTCTGGAGTTTGAGACCAGCCTGGACAACATGGTGAAAGCTTGTATCTACTAAAAATACAAAAATTAGCCAGGCGTGGTAACACACACCTGTAATCCCAGCTACTCGGGAGGCTGAGGCACAACAATCACTTGAACCCAGGAGGCAGAAGTTGCAGTGAGCCTAGATCGCACCACTGCATTCCAGCCCGGGTCACAGAGCGAGACTCTGTCTCAAAAATCAATAAATAATAAACATATAAAGGCGTGGTATAGCAAAATAAGAAGAACTCTGTGACTTATACAAGGACAGACTAGGGAAAATGGAGGTGAAATTGTGGTCAAAGAGAACCAAGTCTGGCTGAACATATGTAAGACTGAGGCAGGCTGGAAGGAGCGGAGGGTGTGGAGGAGCTGCCTGGGAAAGTGCACCTAATTTTCAAAATGGACAATACATTTAAAGGCCATATAAAGGACATTTTGCAACTGGAAAGAGAACATGATGTTCATAAATGTATATGGATATGAATGAAGTAGAGGAAAGCAAATTAGCCAGACTCTATATGAAAGGTGAAATTCACATTCAATGATTATACTATGCATGGAATCATAGAGACCAGGAGTTTGTGGTGAGGTAGAAGGAAATAGAAAACATGGCAGTTAGTAAGACAGTTAGTAAAATGAAGACAGTGATCTGTCTTTCCTATAATAGGTTGGAAATTAGAAAATACCCAATTGGAAAGTAGACAAATCCCTTGACATCAAGTGAATAGTTTAAAAAAAAAAAAAACTATTTCATAGAGGGTATATGAATAGCTACCAATTGAGAATTTAAAACCTCAAAACATGCCATAT
Source organism: Homo sapiens (assembly GCF_000001405.40). Lineage (NCBI taxonomy): Eukaryota > Metazoa > Chordata > Mammalia > Primates > Hominidae > Homo > Homo sapiens. The sequence goes on along the minus strand of NC_000004.12, from coordinate 163,310,411 downwards.
GTATACAGTGTTATTATTTTATAGGTGAGAAAGATGCAGCTCAAAGAGATTACATAGAATCCCCAAAGTCTCACTTATTAATCTGCAGAAGTTGAATTTAATCCCACATCTGGGTGACTCCAAAGCATGTCTACTTAAAAACTAGAGTATTACGCTTTCCAATGACAGCCAAATGGAATTTTTAAAATTGCATCCGTAGCTTTCTGCTTGAGCACATCCATAATACTAGTCTATTTTTAAAATAATCAATCTCAAGATACTGTGGTTAGCCTATATTTAACACTAAATAAAGAACACAAAATACTTTTGGAAAAAAGTGCAAGTTTTTCTGCAAATTTTTTATGTGGGTATTTCTTTAGGGGAAAACATGTACCTAATATGATTAAGCACTGTATAAAAGCTTTAAAAAGTCACATCTTGAGAGAAAATACAAATTATAATTAAATAGCCATGCTAATACTCCAAATATCTCATTATTACTAGAATGTCTGCACCTAAGTCAGCCAAATACAGGGTGAAAATAAAATAAGCTAATATATTAGAAGCTAGAATATAGTTAAGTCTTACTCAAATATTTTGCCTTTGAGGAAATCAGAAACTTTGTGCTTTGAAAATATTTCAATTGTTCCTGGCTTCCAAGGCATCTTAACACTTCTAACTTTATACTTCCAGAGAAATTCTTTTATTTCCTTTTCATGCTTCCTGTGGCTTGGACATAATGTTCTCTTTCCAGCCAGATTTGCTGGGTTTCTGAACAGTTTAACACAGTTTTCTTGGCTGGAGGGTCGGTAAGGGAAAAACAGCAAAGTATGAAGTTAAGAATTCTCATCCCATCTTTATTTAGTAGAATATGTTCATCTCACTCTCAGTTTATATGAGAGAAGAATGGATTACAGCAAGAGGTAGTATCAGTTCAGGTTCATTCAACTGACATTTAAGGTGTAAACCAGCTGGTGCCAAGTTCTGCGGAAGATGATGGCAGTAAAATGAGACTGTCCTTACTTTGGACAGACACTAAATTCAGTGGGGAAAATATACAGAAATATATCATTTCGCATGTAGCATATGGTGAACATAACCCTAAATGTATATTCACAGCATTCTCAGAGGTTCTTAGCTCAGACAGGACTGAAGGAAGCTTCTTGAAAACACCTGAACCAAACCTCGAAAACAAGGTAGAATTACAATTACTTGACAGAAAAAATCATAGAGAACCTTAATCTGTCCAGTTCATATAACATACAACAAAATTATTAGAGTTTTTGCTTGTTTTTTGTTTGCCTATGTTATACATAATTTATGCATTCACATCAAAAGTTATTTTTAAACACAATAAAACTAGAAAGATTTTAGCTAAGGAAGGAACTAACATTAATCAAAGATAAGTGTAAACAAAATGTTGGCTACTATTCATAGTGCTAGAAAAATAATTACCACATTTAAGAATCATGCTTTTTTTTTAGCTTTTTGGTTCTAAGTTCAGTTATTTAAGGACTGTTTCTTCCTTGAATACAGCTATTGGCACCTGAATAACACCTAGGCCAGTGCTGGAAACTCCAGTTTAATATATTTAGGTTGATTGAGGAAGATGTATTATTATGGGTGTCTATTGTGTAAGTTAGATATTTGAAGGTGAGGTACATGTGATACCCAAGTACACTTTCATTTTCTTCAAGCAGAAATTCTTTTTTATTCAAACAATCAGACTTGAAAACAGACGCCAGTTTATTAGTCAGAATGAAGAGGCTCTCTTGGGGATCTGTGTGAGTACGAAGCAGGTTATTTTTTCTAATAATCTTGATTTGCACCCAGCTTTGCTCAACAAGTCTTTTCCATTCCAATTTGCTGTCCAAGCCACTTTGTTTGCTAAATAATAACCAAGTAAACTAGGTGAAGTTCAAGTGGGCAGACACTATAAGTTAGTTGCACTGGGGCGACCAATAGAATGGTTGACTTGATATTAGGGCTAAAGGAATATCACGGCCTGGCTCAGTGGCTCACACCTGTAATCTCAGCACTTTGGGAGGCCAAGACAAGCAGATCACTTGAGCCCAGGAGTTCGAGACCAGCCTGGGCAACATGGTGAAACCCATCTCTACAAAAAATAAAAACAAAAACAAAAACAAAAATAAAAATAAATTGGCTGTGCATGGTAGCATGCACCTGTAGTCTTAGCTACTCAGAAGGCTGAGGTGGGAGGATCTCTTGAGCCTGGGAGGTGAAGGTTGCAGTGAGGTAAGATCATGCCACTGCACTCCAGCCTGGATGACAGAGTGAGATCCTGTCTCAAAAGAAAAGAAAAGAAAGAAAACAAGAGAAGTGAAGAGAAGAGAAGAAAAGAGAACAGGAAAGGAAAGGCAAGGAAAGGAAAGGAAAGGAACAGAACATGCACATATCTCCCACTGCCATTTATATTACCTGATAAATGGCCACACTGACAAGAAGATGGTGCCTCAGAAGGCGCACAGGACACCATTTTCAGTTTCTAATAGAAACTGACACTAAGTCCCTGAAAGTTTGCACTCATTCCTTGTACTAAGTAATTCAGTATCTCTTGTTCCCAGGTATTCCTTGACCTGATAGCTCTTTAGAGGAAAATAACTTATATTTAAATAATATTTTGCAATTCATTAACTGCTTCCATATAGTTTGCTTTATTTAGATATTTTCGGCCGCTCTTTGTACTAAGTAATTATTAGTTCAATTTTACAGGCCAGAAAACCCAGATTAAAGGAGAATGAGAAATAAGATTTAGTGATGCCTGCTAGTCTTCATAAACCCTGTCAGGTAGGTGTCATTCATCCCTATTTTACAGTTGAGAAAACTAAACGTTTCTGTAACATCTTCGAAGTCATAAACTAATGTATGGTAGATTTGGCACTTAAAATTAACATTGTCAGAAAGTTACTCTTTGGAGTAATTATCAACAAGAATATCATTGGAATCACCTATGGAGCTTTCTCAAAATACACATCTATCCTGTATCTTATACTTCTTTGAGACTAGTAAAACATTTGAACTTTGAAAGCCTCCTCAATTTATTCTAATGTGCACCCCTGGTTAAGATACTCTGCTTCCTCATTTGCTTCTTTATTACATATTATCTTCTCAAACTAGAGTTGGATCATTAAGAATCATTTACCATCTTTTAAAAATGAATCATTGGCCAGGTGCAGTGGCTCATGCCTGTAATCCCAGCACTTTGGGAGGCCGAGGCAGGTGGATCACGAGGTCAAGAGATTGAGACCATCCTGGCCAACATGGTGAAACCCCGTCTCTAATAAAAATACAAAAATTAGCTGGGTGTGGTGGCCCATGCCTGTAGTCCCAGCTACTCCTGACGCTGAGGCAGGAGAATCGCTTGAACCCGGGAGGCAGAGGTTGCAGTGAGCCGAGCTCGCGCCACTGCACTCCAGCCTGGCGACAGAGCGAGACACCATCTCAAAGAAAAAAAAAAAAAAAAAAGAATTATTGGTTTACATGGATTCTGATCATCAAGTTGATCATTAACAATTATGAAACTTACCAAAGAGATATCTAGTTTTTTACTATCTTATAATACCCTCAATATGTTGTAATATTATAATCACTTAAAACATCTTAAGCACAGATAAAGTTATTACAATTAAAACATTGGTGCTGAAATAAATAAACACACAGACAAATACACCAGTGGAACAAAAGAGAGAGCCCAGAGATAGCCACGTTTTTATTAAATTAGTATATTTGACTATATACAATGAGCACCATATTTGATATCATTATTGTCATTGCTATTATTATTATTGCCATTATTGTTATGGGAGAGGTTACTCTACAGAAAAATGAATGAGGGATGGTCTTCTCACTATAGTTAATGATATGAAAAAGTGGTTCTAGATTTAAGAAAGAAAAAAATTATTCTCTAGCCTTAGACCATATAAAAACAGTAGCTCCAAGTGGGATGTAAACTTACATGTAAAAGATAAAATTAGAACGATTTTAGAAGATACTATAGAAGACTATCATCATAACCTTGGGGTTAGGAAAATATTTCTTAAATGAGACACAAAAAAAGCACATTTAAGAAATAAATTATTAAATTTGACTACATTAAAATAAGAACTCCTTTATCAAAAGACATCATCAATAGAGTAAAAATACAAGTCACAGAATTGAAAAAAAGTTTGTTAAATAAATAACAAAGGACTAGTACAGAGACTTTAGAACAAACAATAAGAAAAAGGAAGAAAATCCAGTAGAAAAATTGACAAAATATTTGAACAGGAACTTCAGAAGAAAGGAAATTCAAATGGTTGTGAAACATATAAGAGGTGTTTAACATTATTAGTAATCAGGAAAAGGCACATTAAAACTGCAATATGACACCCTTGCAGAGCCATAAGACTGAGAAAGATGGGAACAGTATGAGTTGCATACACTGCTAGTAGGAGTGTAAATTGGTACAGCCATTTTGGAAAACAGTTTGGAATTAGCTAGTAAAACTGAAAATATGCATGTCTTATCATCCTACAATTTCAAACCCTGGAATAAAACTCATACAATCTCCTCCTATGTGGATCAGAATATACGACATGCAAAAGAATGTCTATAGCATCATTTCTTCTAATTATCCCGAACTGGAAACAATCCAAATGTCCAAAGACAGTAGAATGGTTAAGTAATATCATGTATTCATAGATTGGAACTTTTATAGCAATAAAATAAAATAAACCCTGGCCGTATTCTGCAATCTTCCAATATGATATTGAATAAATGAAACCAGAACATATAATAATACATTTTGCATGTATCCACTCAAATTAATTTTTTTGCTTTTTTGTTTTTTGTTTGTTTGTTTGTTTTGAGACGGAATCTCGCTCTGTCGCCCAGGCTGGAGTGCAGTGGCGCGATCTCAGCTCACTGCAAGCTCCGCCTCCTGGGTTCACACCATTCTCCTGCCTCAGCCTCCGGAGTAGCTGGGACTACAGGCGCCCGCCACCACGCCCGGCTAATTTTTTTGTATTTTTAGTAGAGACGGGGTTTCACCGTGTTAGCCAGGATGGTCTCGATCTCCTGACCTTTTGATCCGCCCGCCTCAGCCTCCCAAAGTGCTGGGATAACAGGCGTGAGCCACCGCACCCAGCCCAAATTAATTTTTTTAAATGCAAAATTCAACTACATTACTAGGGATGTGCACATAGTTGGGAAACTATAGAGAAAATGGTTGCTGTAAAAGCAAGGCAATTGCTGTCTCAAGTGGGAAGGAAGGAGGAATAGAATCTGGAAGAGACACACAGTGATATAGAAAACCTCTTTGAATGTAGCAATATTTTATTTCTCATATTGGGTGTTCTCTTTATACTTTTCATTGTATTCTTCAACCATGCTTTATACTTTTTTTGTATTTGTGTTATATCTCACAATACTGAACAGGTTTTAAAAAGTCTGCTTAAGCAGAAAACCTCCTGTGAAACGTTTATTACTATCAAATTTGAGTATAGTAAATATTTAGTGTTAAGAAATAACAAGGATAAATGGGATAAATGAAATAAGTTCGGTCTACTGCTGAAATGGTATATATATATATTATATATTATATATATATAATAGTACGCATCAAATGTGTTTGTGTGTTTTTTCATTTTCATGTGGTGTGGAGCAGTTGGTGATTCTGGAGCTGCTTTTCAAATTATAATAAGACATCCCATATGATAATCTCTAGAAATCAGAGAATAACAATACAGCTTTGCTCCTGGTAACACTAACAATGAAGTGCCTGCAGGCAGGGCATGGTGACTGAGATTTTAATTAATCAGTATGTTTATTTTAGTATGAATTACACTCCCACCACTTCCTGTGTTCAGAGTTTATTATTAATATTTCTATGGATGACATATCTTCCTTTCCAAGACATTGGTGCTTTCTTTTTTTATTGACTTGGGTAGCTAGGGGGTTGTTTATTTAGCTCTGGCTGATTCTTACATGAATCTTTTCACAAGAAGAGCCTGATGAAAGGATAAACTAATGGATCCTTATTAAAATATGAAAAACAAAACTATGGACAGCATGGCTACAGATTTGGTCATAAAACCAAGAGCACGCTATGTCAGGACTAAAACATATTGACACATTAAATAAGAACATTATGAATGAGCACACAGAAAATAGAGCTATCACAACAATGTAAATGGAAACTAGCCCCTTATCTTATTTGACACTTACAGAACCCTTCACCCTTCACCATCTAGGGAAATAGGACAGAACAGAATAACAAATAGAGGTGTTCCTTCTAGCACCTCTAGATTTTTCCTTTTCACCAGGAGTTGCATCTTTTTATTCTGATTAGTGGGTCATGGTCCAACCAAACCAAACAAAAAATGACAACTTTCCTGAAATGAGAGTAGTTTTTAGCTCTTTCATCATATGCAATAAAAGCTAACATCCATTTATCCCTTAACATCTGAAAGTGACTTACCTATATTATTCTTCAATCCTCACAAAATTTTATAAAATTGTTATTCTGCTTCCCCATTTTGAAGAAGAAGAAACTGAGGTGTAGAGAAGCTGAGTATTTTGCATACAGCAAACTGGTACTTGTGGAAGAGTCAAAATTCAACCCCAGGAGTCTGATTCCAGAGGCCACACTTAACCCACTACATCATATAAGATGACAATTGTCCTCCCATCAGCTAAGGGACCCAAGAGATTCTATAGAATTTCCTGACACTTCTGGAAATGCTGTGAATGCTGTGCTTTGATGATAATCTCTAGAATAATGCCTGGACAGCATCCTTAAAAGCCTGAAGAAATTATAGTAGATTTTAGAAACATATGATTTATTCCCAGAAATCTTATCCATAGAGCCTTTGCCATAGCTAGAAAAGGATCAGAAATGTTTCTAAAATTCTGCATCTTAACATAATCTTATGAGTGATGTCTCTCTCGGTTCCCAAAGGCAATATACCCATGTCCCTTTGCCACTGCATTTTTCTCATTATACTCCTGTTTATTTATGTTTCTTTCATCTCTTCTAGATTTTGAGAACCAATAAAACCAGGAATTTTGAATATTCATATGCCCAGTACTTTCACAAGGCCTGGAATATAGCAGTTACAATATATCATTCTGGAATGCAGGATTAAGCAATCCCATAATAGCATTGATATGGTTTTGCTGTGTCCCCACCCAAATCTCATCTTGATATGTATAGTAGTTCCCATAATCCCCATGTGTTATGGGAGGAACCTGGTGAGAGGTAATTTAATCCTGGGGGCAGTTCCCTTCATGCTGTTCTCATGATAGTGAGTGAGTTCTCATGAACTCCGATGGTTTTATAAGGGGCTTTCCCCCTTTTTCTCGGCTCTTCTTTGTCCTGCCGCCCCATAAAGAAGGACGTGTTTGCTTCCCCTTCACCCATGACTGTAAGTTTCCTGAGGCCTCTTTAGCCCTGCAGAACTGAGTCAATTAAACCTCTTTCCTTTATAAATTACCCAGTCTTGAGTGTGTCTTTATTAGCAGCATAAAAATAGAGCAATATAGCACTTAATATTTATTGCATCTACTCTGTGTTAGGTGCCATAGAAGATATTTTGTATGTATTATCTTATTTATTCTTCACAAGAACTTAATGAGGTTAAAAATTCTTATTAGGCTTATCTTTAAGTGTATAATTAAATGCTTAGGTTATATCCAAATAGCTTGCTCATGGTCATTGTAGGTAGTTATAATGAAGACAAAATCCAAATTCAGAGCCATCTGGCTCCAGAGTCTGCCCTCTCAAACACTACACTGCTTTGTTTTCCTGTCTTAAAATTCATCACTTTTGTTAGAAAAAATTAGTCAGATTCAAATGGTAGGTTTTTGTATGACTTGATGATAAATGGCACTGTTTAGACTGGTATGCATAAATATTCCTCTTGAAATCCTTTTAATTTCCTGGATGGATGATTCCTTAAGAGTCAGAACTGACTGGCATAGTGGCTTCATGCCTGTAACCCCAGCACTTTGGGAGGCTGAGGCGGGCAGATCACGAGGTCAGGAGTTCGAGACCAGCCTGGCCAATATGGTGAAACCCCATCTTTACTAAAATTACAAAAATTAGCCGGGCATGGTGGCGTGCACCTTCAGTCCCAGCTACTTGGGAGGCTGAGGCAGAAGAATCTCTTGAACCCGGGAGGTGGAGGTTGCAGTGAGCCAAGATCGCACCACTGCACTCCAGCCTGGGCAACAGAGCAAGGCTTCATCTAAAAAAAAGAAAAAGAGTAAGACCCTTCAACCTCATTATAATCCTGTTTCATAACTGCATACATGGAAGAATTAATAGTGTTTGCTCTTTCTGGGGTATAAAAACTGAATAATTGAATAGTGAAAGCAAGTTTCTACTGACTGTGTATTAGATATTAAAATATAGTGGCAATTGGGTTGTAGAGAGCACAAATTATTCCTATGAAATACAGTTACTGCATTTCTAATAGTTCTAATTACCATCAAATATAAGCCCTATATACTTAAGAAAAGAGAAAATAATGTTAAAGAGCACTCCAGTTTGAGGAAAAATGAAAATGATTCCCATTAACTATTCTGGAAGGTTGTAAATATTATATAGACACTGTAGGTCTGATTCTATGTAAGATTAGCTATTTTTATTAAAGGTAGTTTTTTTTTCCATGCAGTATATTTCTGCACTTTGTTTTTAATAAGAAATTTAAGAAGCATTACCAGAGCCATGGGAACAATTTCACACTTTAAGCAAGAGCTTAGAGAAAACATCAAACTATGTATTTGAAATAGATATAAAAAAGAAACCATTTGTTCTGGCATTTTTCCAAAACTTGGTCACAATAATTTGAATTTTTAAGCAATATAAAATTGTTCTCTCTAAAGTGATGAAATTCAAAATAAGTCCAAAGAAAATGCTCACAAAGATTTGCTTCTCCATAGCAATTCATGGATTCTGAGGTTAAATTATTCCTGAAAATAAAACAAATGAAACTGTGATACTAGCAACCCATCAGGCCAAGTTTCAGCAATAGATGCTATTGTTTTTTTTCTTCCATTCTTTCTTATACTTCCTACTCAAACCCTTGCACGAGAAAAACATAAGAAAGTTAAACAGTCCTCAGAAAATAATGCATTTCAGAAGGCAAAAAAAATTAAAGTTTGTTTTTTTGTTTGTTTGTTTTTGTTTTTGTTTTCCTGGGAGAGGATGAATTATCCACCACTGGGCATACCGAAGCAGAGAATAGACCATCACTGGTCAGGATATTGTAGGATACTGAGAATTACATCAGTTAGTTTTCTCCCAAATCTGAAGGTCTATGATTCTGACACTCATTTGTGCTAATTGCTTGTATCCAGCTGCTGTGAGGTCATCCTTTCCTGTCTTGACTTCACTTTTTAAGGGTAGGATTCGCTCTCAGGCCTCTGGCTTCTGGCTGGCTGGAAATCACACCTCTGGGTCCAGGAGCACCTCTGTCCAGGCAGTTTAAAATGGAGCAGAGAGTAAAACCATCTCTGTGCCTGTTCTTAGATTTCTGTTCAGAGTTCACCTACCCTGGTTCTCCTTCCGGCCAGATCCACTTATCTATTTATAAACATAAGCTGGTACGAGGTGGGTCAGCATTTAAACCAAGGTCTAACTCCAATCTCATGTTCCCATTGCACGTCACATTATCCATTATCCTAGATCTTTCACAACTGAGCAGTGGAATTATAATTTGTTGTTGCTCATGTCCTGACATAGCTCATAGCCTAGCAAAGACTGCTTAGCCTGGAGTGTGCAAAGGTCAGGGACATGGCTAAGCCAGATGGTCATAGCTGAAAAGATTCTCTTGTCCATCATCCAGGCTAGCATTGATGCCTCGAGCATATCAGTTTAATCCTTTCAAATAAATGAAACTGTGCTTCTGCTGATAACATCCTACACTAGGGATTGTTGGCTACAGGATTAAATTTGCATGTCCCAGCTAAATTGGAGAATCACAGAATTATTGAATTGAAAGTAGTATCTTAGAATGTGTAAGTTACATTTTTAAAGGTGGGAAATGGAGGCTCAGTAAAGCCTGAGTAGCACGGTATGAACTGATACTAACGTTGGAATTAGAGCTTTGGTCGGAGCCCTTTCTCCAACATAAAGGGATAGATTATTTCATCATGCTTTGCTTTATTGGACTTCACAGATAATGCGTGTTTTACAAGTTGAAAGTTTGTGGCAAACTTGCCTCAGACAAGTCCATCAGCATCATTTTTTCAACAGCATGTGCACACTTGGTGCCTCTATGTCATGTAATTCTTATGATATTTTAAACTTGATTATTATCATATCCATCATGATGATCTGTGGTCAGTGATCTTTGATGTAACCATTGTAATTGTTTTGAGGCACTAGAAATCACTCTCATATAAGATGGCAAACTAAATCACTTAACGTTGTACATGTTCTGACTGCTCCACTGGCCGGCTGTTCCCCTGTCTCTCTCCCTTTCCTTGGGCCTCCCTATTCCCTGAGATGCAGCAATATTGAAATTAAGCCAATTAATAACCCTAAAATGGCCTCTAAGTGTTCAAGTGAAAGGAAGAGTTGAACTTCTGTCACTTTAAATCAAAAGCTAGATATGATTAAGCTTAGTAAGGAAGATATGTCAAAAGCTGAGATAGGCTAAAGGCTAGTCCTCTTGTGCCAAACAGCCAAGCTAGGAACGGAAAGGAAAAGTTCTTGAAGGAAATTAAAAGTGCTACTCCAGTGAACACATAAATGAGAAGAAAGCAAAACAGCCTTATTGCCAATATGAAGTAAGTTTGCATGGTCTGGATGAAAGATCACACCAGCCACAACATTCCCTTAAGTCAAAGGCTAATCCAGAGCAAGACTCTATATCTACTGCATAATGCCAGAGAGGCGAGGAAGCTGCTGAAGAAAAGTCGAAAGCTAGCAGATGTTGGTTCATGAAGTTTAAGGAAGGGAGGCATCTCCATTACATAAAAGTGCAAGGTGCAGTAGCAAGTACAGATGTAGAAGCTGCAGCAAGTGATCCAGAAGATCTAGCTAAGACAATTGATAAACATGGCAACACTAAAAATCATTTTCAGTGGAGACAAATAGCCTTCTATTGAAAAAAGATGCCATCTAGGACTTTCATAGCTACAGAGGAGAAGTCAATACCTGGCTTCAAAGCTTTAAAGGTCAGGCTGACTCTCTCGTTAGGGGCTAATGCACTGGTGACTTTAAGTTAAAGCCACTATTCATTTACAATTCCAAAAATTTTAGGGCTTTTCAGAATCATGCTAAATCTACTCTGCCTGTGCTCTATAAATAAAACAAGAAAGCTCAGATGACAGCACCTCTGTTTACAGCATGTAAACAGAATATTTTGAGGATTCAAGACTTTAGTGAAGGAAGTAACTGCAGATGTGTTGGAAATAAGAAGAGGACTAGAATTAGAAGTGGAGCCCAATGATGTAACTGAATTGCTACAAGTTCAGGAGAAAACTTGAATGGGGCCTGGGCATGGTGGCTCACGCCTGTAATCCCAGCACTTTGGGAGGCAGAGGTGGGCAGATCACTGAGGTCAGGAGTTCGAGACCAACCTGGACAACATGGTGAAACCCTGTCTCTACTAAACACACAAAAATCAGACGAGCATAGTGGTGAACGTCTGTAATCCCAGCTACTCGGGAGGCTGCGGCAGGAGAATTGCTTGAGCCCAGGAGGCAGAGGTTGCAGTGAGCCAAGATTGCTCCACTGCACTGGGTGACAGAGCAAGACTCCATCTCAAAAAACAAACAAACAAACAAAACTTGAATGGATGAGGAGTTGCTTCTAATGGATGAGTAAAGAAAATGGTTACTTGAGATGGAATCTACTCCTGGTGAAGATGTGAACATTGTTTAATTGATATCAAAAAAATTAGAATATTACATAAACTTAGTTAATAAAGAAGTGGCAGGATTTGAGAGGATTAGCTCCAATTTTGAAAGTTCTACTGAGGGTAAAATGCAACTAAACAGCATTACATGCTACGGAGAAATTTTTCATGAAAAAGAGATTCAATCAATGTGTCAAATTTCATTGTTGTGTTATTTTAAGAAATTGCCACTGCCACTCCCACTTTTAGCAACCACCGCTCTAATCAGTCAGCCTCCATCAACATCAAGGCAAGATCCTCCACCAGTGGAAAAGCTGACAACTTGCTGAAGGCTAAGTTGATTGTCAGCATTTTTTAGCAATACAGTATTTTTAAATTAGGGTATATACATTGTTTTTTAGCTACTGAACACTTAATATAGTGTATTATAATTTTTTTTTGAGACAGAGTGTCACTCTGTCATCTAGGCTGGAGTGCAGTGGCATGATCTTGGCTCACCGCAACCTCTACCTCCCAGGTTCAAGTGATTCTCCTGCCTCAGCCTCCCAAGTAGCTGGGATCACAGGTATGCACCACCGTGCTGGGCCAATTTTGTATTTTTAGTAGAAACGGGGTTTCTCCATGTTGGTCAGGCTGGTCTTGAACTCCCGACCTCAGGTGATCCGCCTGCCTCGGCCTCCCAAAGTGTTGGGAATACAGGCATGAGCCACCGTGCCGGTTGCGTATTATAATTTTTATGTGCACTTAGGAAACCAAAAAAATTTGTGCAACTCACTTTATTGTCATGTTTACTTTATTGTGGTGGCCTGGAAAGGAACCTGCAATAGATCTGAAGTATGCCTGTGGTCCTTCCAAAGTACACCATGGAGGGAGCTTAAGGTCAGCAACCCTCTCTGCATGTTGAAGAGAACTCAGGCATTGTCTTTTCTCCCAGAGCTAGAGACCAAACATAATAAAATAAGCTTAATCAACTTGTCATGAAACCAGGGTGTCCAGAGGAAGTGTTTAAAACAATGGTAAAGCAGACAACATCAAAGGGCAGCTAGAGGGGAAAAAATTAAATTCAGAGTATTTAAAATTTGAAACACCTATTCTTTTTTTTTTTTTTTTTTTTTTGAGACAGGGTCTTGCTCTACTGCCCAGGCTCCCAAGTAGCTGGGACTACAGTCACGTGCCACCATGCTTGCTTGGCTAATTTTTTGTATGTTTAGTAGAGATGGGGTTTCACCATGTTGGCCAGGCTAATCTTGAACTCCTGACCTCAGATGATCTGCCCACCTTGGCCTCTCAAAGTGCTGGGATTACAGGCGTGAGCCACCATGCCTGGCCTGAAACACTTGTTCTGATTTTAGTAGGTGCATTCTCAAGTACTATTTTTTCTAATGTTTTAATGGACTTGTCAAATACTTCTTTTCTTTATAGCAACTTTATCTATAAAAATAGAATAAATTTCTGGCTGTTGAACAAATGAGGATATAATTTAGCTAATGCTGAAAATATCTCAAGCAAGTCCTAAATATGGCAACAAGAGCATGAAGTAAGCTCATTATTCAAGCACAGGCTTTATCCTTATAAAATTTTAGCCCAAAGTGAAAATTTCAGCCAAAAGCATAGGTGGAAAGGCATCTTAATTATAAAGAATTGAAGGTGTATTTTTCTAAGGTTTAAGAAAAACTCTTAAGACATAGAATAATACACACACATTATACCAATGTCAGATTGCTTATTTTGATATAGTATAATAATTATACGTGATGTAAACACTGGAGAAGACTTCTTAAAAGGCAACATCCTATGAAACTATAATTATTTCCAAATAGTTTTTAAAAGCTAACTCTTGAAGAAGTTAATTAAGTAAAAATAATGCACATACATTGCAGGTTATTTTATGACCTAATATCATGATCAATTGTTTTTATTAGTGTTCAGCTGGTGTTTTTCTTCTGTTTTTATGTGCTTATTTTTTAGCCTAAGTAAAGCACTATCAGAAAGCCAAGGTACTCATTTCCACTATCAGTATCACAAAAATTTCACTAAATACTAAGTATATTTTTCCATTTAGGAAAATATATGATATAGGCCATTATTCATACCATGTAGGTAACTGTTTAATGAATTTAGTTATCTAGACCTTTATAATGGTTCACATTTTACTTTGCCTGATATTTATTTTTTAAAAAGTACCTTAGTCTCAAGCCACAAAAGAAAAACCTCTACATGTTATGATTCATTGAAAGATTGTCAATGTTGATCAAATCCTTTTCAATGCTATAGATTGTGACTAAATTTTTGTTTTTAATTGCGAAGGCAAAAAGCCCAATTTAAGAAATGTTAATTTTATTGAATCTACCCTAAATGGATCATGATTCTTAACAAAGTGTTGATTTACATAAGGACATAAATAAGGGCTTCTCATGAAATGTTGAAGTAGGAAGAGACCATAGGATCATCTAATCTCCATGCCACTCTTGCTAGGTGATGTACCTGAGGCTTAGCAAGATCAAATGACTTCCCTTCTAAGGCCACCAGTTATAACTGAAAAACCTGGGACATCTTTATCACTGCAAACAATTTGTACTCAAGTTTTGTTTGCTTGAATTTAAGAACCATGCAGTAGCTATGTGTCTTTAGGCAAGTTATTTACTCTCTCTATGCCTCAGCTTCTGTATCTGTAACATGGCGATACCAGTAGTGCAGTTGCTGAGGTCTTGCTAAGGTGGTTAGATACTTTTCATTCTAGATAGCCTAGATTTTAATTGAGGTGATTTTATACTTGTAATTCTACATGGTCTTGATTTTATCAGTCTTTCCCCTTACATGACTTTTCTATTTTAGAAACCATTATTTATCGTATAACATTCTTAATTCAAAATTGAATATGTGTATTGCAAGATTCATTGTCATAGTAGACACTACAGTTTGTGTATCTCACATCCACTGCTCTTCTTCCACATTCACAGGTAGACAGGACTCTGCCCAACATTCTTCTCTCCCCAGATGGCAGGGAGACTCACAGGTCCCCTCAGAAAAAATCTTCCCCTTGCTTTGGTTCATAGCTTTATCCCAGCGTTTTGATCTTCTCCAAGAATTTCCAGTCTCAAGGTTTTTGTCCTATCTAGAGGGGAACAAGTCTGTACCAACACTCTCAATTGGGATCTCAGCAGGGCTTGGACAGACTCTCACTCTCCAGCCTTCCTGTCCCAAGATTCCAGCAGCTGCCCCTGTGAGGCTGTCACTTAGCAGTTGAACCGGGGTAGGCGGAGTACATCAACAGTCATCTTAAAGCCATAATCTTCTTAGAAACTTCCTGTGACTTTTTTAAAAGCAAAGAACAGAATTATTAATTCCTCAAGCCCATTTATCTTCCAGAACACTGGAGTTAATCACTAATCATCCAGCTTCTAGAAATCATAATGGGTTCTTCTTTCTCTCCTTCCCCATTTCAAGTCCATTCCCATGGCCTGTTAATTTTACCTCCACTGAAAACTGTGTACTTTCTCCATTGCTGCCACTGTATCTCTACTACTTCAATGGAGCATTAGCCTTATAACTAGTTCTCCTGGTTCTCTGTTGTATATGGCATCTTCAGTTCATTCTCCACACAGGAGCCTCCTTGAGCTTTTACGTACAAATTGAATTATGTCTCTCCTGGGATCCCCACATGTAGCATAAAATTAAAAATTCCTATCATGGACTGTAAATCCTTAAGTAACCTGGCCCTTGTTTATCTCTGCAATATCTGGTACAATTTCTCCTCTCACTCACTATGCTTCAGCCACTATGGGCCCTAATTCCATTCTTAGAACGTTTTGAGAGTTTTCTTCACTTATTTTAGGGTTTCTGCCGATGCACCTCCTCCTGTCTGGAATGTTCTTCTCTAAGCTCTGTATAGCAACTTTCCTCTCATCCTGCAGCTCTGGGTTCAACGTCTCTTACTTAAGGATACATTTCCTGATCATTCTAAGTGGGTTCTTCTTCTGTTATTTTTTTAACTAACATGTTTCTTTATTTCATGACATTTCACATTTTGTATTTATTTATTTATTTGCTAATTTATTGTCTGTTTAGCTGTATATTCTATGATAGCAAGGACCATGTACAATTTGCTAATAACTTTATACCATGAACATGATTGGTTTCAATCAAATTTTGTTAATTAAATAAAATGTGCATGAAAAAGATATACAAGAATACATTCCAAACACAATGCATTGACTGTCTTTTTTTCTTTCTTTCTGTCTTTTTTTTTTATTTTTTTGAGACGGAATCTTGTTCTGTCGCCAGGCTGGAGTGCAGTGGTGCGATCTTGGCTCACTGCAACCTCTGCCTCCTGGGTTCAAGCGATTCTCCTGCCTCAGTCTCCCAAGTAGCTGGGATTACAGGCACGTGCCACCACACCCAGCTAATTTTTGTATTTTTACTAGAGACAGGGCTTCACCATGTTGGCCAGGATGGTCCCAATCTCTTACCTCGTGATCCACCCACCTCGGCCTCCCAAAGTGCTGGGATTACAGGTGTGAGCCACTGTGCCGGGTCTGTCTTAAAAGGATATAAATCATGTATATTAATGACTACAGTATAAATAAACATATACGGTACACCACATGAAAGACATAAACTCAGTCCATGAAGCATAGAGAGAGGAAAAAGATATGAAGGCAACTTTAAAGAGTAGTGGGTGTTTTAATTGAGCCTTAAGCTCAATAGGCAGAGATGGAAAGGAAGGGTTTGAAAGCAGAAACAACTTAAGTACAAGCATGGGGATGGAGAAGTTCTATTATGTATATCCAAGATATAAAGCAGATAGGAAAGTGGGCTTTATGGGGAGATAAGACAATGGACTGAGGAGTTTGCACTTTGTTCAGTAAGTAGGAAAGGGAAAAGCGTTTAAAACTTTAAGCTGGATACTGGCATATTCATCAGGAAGTATAAACACAACAGAAGAGATTAGGAGAGGATAATATTGATGAGGAGAGTTTTAAGGTTGGCTTGAATTATGATGGTAATACTCGAAATGAAAGATAATGGATGATCAGAGGCTCCAACCTGGGCTCCTTGGAATGTTAGAGTTCCTGGAAATAGCTCCAGGGAGGTGGAAATCCCTGAATGTGTATATAAACATCTTGTGCATTTTTCAAGAGAGAATCCTGGGTTTTTATGAGAAATCTCAAGGGCGCCTCTAATTTCAATTTTTTTTTTCTTTAGACGGAGTCTCACTCTATTGCCCAAGCTGGAGTGCGGTGGCACGATCTCGTCTCACTGCAACCTCCACCTCCCGGGTTCCAGTGATTCTCCTGCCTCAGCCTCCCAAGTAGCTGAGACTACAGGCACGTGCCACCACGCCCGGCTATTTTATTATGATTATTATGATTATGATTATGATTATGATTATGATTATTTGTATTTTTGGTAAAGATGAGGTTTCACCGTGTTAGCCAGGGTGGTCTTGATTTCCTGACCTCGTCATCTGCCCATCTCGGCCTCCCAAAGTGCTGGGATTACAGGTGTGACCCACCACGTCCAGCCTAATTTCAAAATTTTAAGGAGGCTGGTTTGCTTGACCCTAGTTTTCTGGAGCTATGTAGAAATCCTTATCCACGGCCTTAGCTTTTCCTGCTTTGTCTGAATTATTTGGTGGAGTAGGACATTACCCAAATTAGTTTACATTACTAAAGAACACCTCCTGAACACAGATCTACTGCACATCATTTATAGTCATTCTTTTTTTATTTTAAGACGGAGTCTTCCTCTTGTTGCCCAGGCTGGAGTGCAATGGCACAATTTCGGCTCACTGCAACCTCCGCCTCCTGTGTTCAAGCGATTCTCTTGCCTCAGCCTCCTGAGTAGCTGGGATTACAGGCGCCCACCACCATGCCCGGCTAATTTTTGTATTTTTAGTAGAAATAGGGTTTCACAAATGGGGTTTCACCATGTTGGCCAGGCTGGTCTCTAATTGCTAACAGGTGATCCACCCACCTCGGCCTCCCAAAGTGCTGGGATTACAGGCATGAGCCACCAGGCCCGGCCTATATTCATGCTTTTTCACTCAGAAGGGACTATTTTTCTCCTTCTCACTGCACTTACCTTATGCACCTAAGGCTAAGCGTTCACATTCAGTGGATTAAATATACCCACTCATCCTTTTAAACTGGCATCCAGTTGACCTTATTATGAGATTTATAAGTTGTGTTCCAAACTTCTAACACAAATGACCTCTTAAAGGGCATGCCTTTTAGCCTTACACCCAGATTACTTTCCTAATACCTAGACCAATGGATCCAAGTAATAGATTTATAAACAAAGAAGTGAAGTGCTTCAGATTCTATTCGGAAATCTGTCAAAGTCCCGTAGATTTTCAGGCATTGTTTATTTTCCACTAAGGATTTGAACCAGTAATGTTATCTTGCCATGGTTTTCATAGGTGTGGATATTAGTCCAGAAAGTCTGTTTCCTCAGTCACTGAAGACATGTTTTGGAAATTTTGGTGTTCATCTGTTTCTGTAGTGTGTGCTCTGGTATGCCAGTCAGACGGTCTCTCCCACAAGACTGGAGCACTCATTCCATTTAGTTGCTGGGACATGGCTGCTGACAGGCCTTTCCCTGGATAAAGGAAACTCTTTTAGCCATGCTCCTTCCATAGTGCAAGGAGTCCAAAGGCTGAAATAATATGCCCACATGGAGTCCAAACCTGCCTTTCTTTTCTATCTCTCTTTTCCTCTTCCTTATTCTTTCCCTTCTCCTTCCCCTTTTCCTCCCCCTTCCCCTTCCCTTCCCTTCTCTTCTTTTCTTTCTTTTCATTCCTTTCTTTAACAGACCAGGTTTCCCTCTGTCACGCAGGCTGGAGTGCAGGGTCACAATCATAGGTCACTGCAGCTTTAAATTCTCAAGCCCCAGCAATCCTCCTGCCTCAGCCTCCCACATAGCTGGGACTACAGGCATGCACCACCACATCCAGCTATTTTTTATTTTTTTGTAGAAAAGAGGTGTCTCTATGTTACCCAGGCTTGTCTGGAACTCCTGGACTCAAGCAATCCTCCCACCTTGGCCTCCCAAAGTGCTGGGATTACAGGCATGAGCCACCACACCCTGCTCATGCCCCTTCTTTTATACTACTTTCTGGGCACACAGGACTCAGGAATCCCTGCCCAAACAGACTCAAACTCACTTCCTTAGTAGAAAGTAGCATAATTATTTTAATTATTCCTTAAGTTTCTGTATATTTGATAGAAGAGACATGAAAATCTCCAGCAGTAAAAACAGATTATGATTTAGGGTTTATAAAATAAAAGCAAACACTTTTTAGGAGAAACTCATTTATTGTACTGAGAAAAGTGAACAATTTATCTTAAGGTCCTCTGATATGGCTTGGCTCTGTGTCCCCACCAAAATCTCATCTCTAATGATGATTCCCGCTTGTGGAGGGAAGGAAGTGATTGGATTATGAAGAGTGGTTTCCTTCATGCTGTTCTTGTGATAGCGAGTGAATTCTCATGAGATCTGATGGTTTTGTAAATGGTAGTTTTTCCTGAGCTCCCAACGCACTCCCTCCCTCTAGCCTGCTGCTATGTAAGACGCGCCTCTTCCCCTTCCGCCATGATTGTAAGTTTCCTGAAGCCTCCCCAGCCATGTAGAACTGTGAGTCAATTAAACCTCGTTTCTTTATAAATTACCCAGTCTCAGGTAGTATCTTTATAGCAGTGTGAGAACAGACTAATACATCCTCTTAAAGAAGGATGCTGCATATTTTAAGAAACAACAATTCCAGCAACATCTTTAAAATAAGTTCATCAATGAGCTTCATAAAATCGTTTCTTACCATGTTCCTCAATATAGAGCATTAGCAAAAGCATAAGTAAATGAGGACAGTTTTACAAATGCTTTTAATCTTGTAGTTCAGGCATACATTTCTTTTTTGGTCAGGTGTCAGGGATAAAATAAAGATTACCTAGAGTAATAAATGAAATGTGCATGCTTCCAAAGTATTTCACAAACACTGTTTTTTAGCATGATGTTCTAAAATACTGCCCAGGCTGGGTGCAGTGGTTTACGCCTGTAATCCCAGTATTGTGAGAAGCCAAGGTGGGAGGGTTGCTTGAGGCCAGGAACTCCAGACCTGCCTGGGCAACATGAGATCCTATCTCTACAAAGTAAAAAATAAAAAGTGAAATACTGCTTGTTTTAAGTGCCTTTAAAATAAAGCCAGATGCACCGTGTAAGCACAATTCTATAAAATGCAGGGACAAACAAAAGGATCACCACATTAGTCTACAAAAATCTTAAAAGAAGTAAAAAAATTTGTTTTTATTTGAGTATTAACCCTAAAGCTCTGTTATATTATTTTTAAATGCCTCAAAGTTCTTAAGCACAGAAGTCTAGCTCACTTTATTTCTGTCATCATTTTTTCCTAGGATTACAGCAAAAACCTCCACATCCACTCTTGGCTTTCTTCCATTCATTATCCAAACTTTAGACAAAGTGATCTTTTAAAAATGCATACAACTAAAATACAAAGTTAATAGTGTCAAATCCCTGATCAAAGCCCTGCAATATTCATTGCTCTGGAATAAATCATGCTCAACATGATCTGGTCACTCCTTTCACAGTCTCCTCTGCTCTCACTACACAAACACACACCGGAATACTTCAATTCCTTGGGTGCTCATTCCCATAGTTTCCTCAGTTTCCAATCCAGAATATTTAAATAAATTAATATCTGCCTTGAGCTTTGAAATCTCCACTTATTATTCTTGATTCACTTTTCAAACAAAAAGTTAGAAGTTTTAAGACAGTTTCCTCCCTCCTATCCCATCCTAGACAAAAATAATTTTCTAATAATTAGGAAGGAGCTTTGTGAGATGCACCAACTTTGGAGACTTTTAATAAAATGCTCCAGGATCTGAAAGAAAAGTAAAAATTACAAACCTTCTGGCCCATCACCAGTTAGAAACTGGGCACATGAGGAGGCAGGCCCATTGATGAACAAATAATTCCACGGCCAACTCTTTTATTTGGTGTGAGGTTCTGAATCTCTGAGTGACTACTAGTATCCAAACCTTCTGTCCACTTACTGTGAGAAGAACAAGTGGTAAGGGCTGATGGAGACAGAATTCACTATTTGGTCAGGAAGATTACTAATTAAAATACAACTTACGTATCTTCAAAGATAGAGTTTTCTTTTACTTTAGTTACAAGACACCCAGTTTATCAAACTATATTAGTTATTATATAAATGTACCTTATATTGTATAACTGAAATTTAAGCATTTTCTGTGTTCTTTTGCTAGAACATTGCTATAGATTTTCCCCTGAGGAAATGTGTTTTATTCTTTTTTAAAAGATTTTTTGAGATAATTGAGATTCACATGCAGTTATAAGAAATGATACAGAGATATCCCATATAACCTTTGTCTAGTTTTCCCCTATTGTAACATCTACCATAACTATAGTATAATACCACAACCAGGAAACTGACATTAAAAATCCATCAA
Organism: Homo sapiens; assembly: GCF_000001405.40. Taxonomy (NCBI): domain Eukaryota; kingdom Metazoa; phylum Chordata; class Mammalia; order Primates; family Hominidae; genus Homo; species Homo sapiens. Next base: position 163,289,077 of record NC_000004.12, on the reverse strand, counting down.
TCATATTCACACTTCACCAGTGTGTGTATTTAGGTATATACAATTTTAACACGTGTAGATTCTTGTGACCATTGCCACTGTCAAGATACAGGACAGTTCCATCACACAATCATATCTTATGTAGCCTTTTCGCCATGTCTCTCCCACTCTCCCTTACCCTATCCCTAGCCCCTGACACCCGCTAACCTAGTCTTCATTTCTATTTTTTTATTTCCTAGAATATTATAGAAATGAAAGCGTATAATATATAACTGTTTGGACCTTTTTTCACTCAGCATAATTTCCTGGAGATTCATTCAGGGAGTTGTGTGTATTGATATTTCATTCTTTTTTATTATCAAGCAATATTTTCTGATATAGATGTGCCACAGTTTGTTTAACCATTCACCTATTTTAGGATATCTAGGTTATATCCTATTTTGGACTATTATAAACGAAGCTGCTATGAACATTTGTGTATAAGTTTTTCATGTGAACATAAATTATATTTTTTCTGTAGTAAATGCTCAAGAGTGCAATTAGTGAGTAGTACAGTAATTGCATATTTAGTTTTATAAGAAACTGCCAAACTTTGTCATTTTGGTTGTACCATGTTATATTCACACCAGCATTGTATGAATGATCCATTTTCTCTGTATTGATCATTTGTATGATCAAACATATGATTATTTCCCTGTAAAATGATTCAGTTTCACCTTACTAGTGTTTGGTGTTGGCATTATTTTTTATTTTAGTCATTCTGATACACTTGCGGAGATAACCCATTGTGGTTTTAGTTTACATTTCCTTAATGTTTACATTTAGTTTACATTTCTTTAAGGGCTAATGAAATTAAAAATCATTTCACATAAGATGGCTTATTTGCCATGTGTATATCTTCTTAAGTGAAATGTCTGTTCATCTCTTTTGCTCACTTTCTAATTAGATTACTTGGCTTATTTACTGTTGAGTTTTGAGTGTTCCTTACATATTCTGAAATCTAGTCCTTTGTCGGATCTGCAAATATTTTCTCCCAATCTGTAGCCTGCTTTTTCATCTTCTTAAGAATGCCTTTGCAGACAGAGTATAAACTTCCCATTTAGATGAGGTTGAATATATCAGTTTTTCGTTTTATGGATTGTGCTTTTTGGTGTGAAGTCTAAGAAACCTTTGCCTAAAGCTTGAAGAATTTTGCCTGTCTACCCAAATGAGAAGGAACCAGAAAAACAATTCTGGTAATATGACAAAACAAGGTTCTTTAACGTCTCCAAAAGATCACACTAGCTCACAAGCAATGGATTCAAACCAAGATTAAATTTCTGAATTTCCAGAAAAAGAATTCGGAAGGTTGACTATTAAGCCAATCAAGGGGGCACCAGAGAAAGGTGAAAGTCCAACTTAAAGAAATAAAAAAAGTGATACAGTATATGAAGGGAAAAATCTCCAGTGAAATAAATAGCACATATTAAAAATAATATAAAAATAATCATGATTTCTCGAAATGAAGGACACTCTTAGAGAATTGCAAAATGCACTGGGAAGTCTCAGCAATAGAATCAAACAAGCAGAAGAAAGAACTTCAGAACTCAAAAACAAGGCTTTTGAATTAACTCAATTTGACAAAGACAAAGAAAAAAGAATTTTAAAAATTTGACAAAGCCTACGAGAAGTTTGGGATTTTGTTAAACAACCAAACCTAAGAATAATTGGTGTTCCCAAGGAAGAAGAGAAATCTAAAAGTTTGGAAAACATATTTCAGGAAATAATGAGGAAAATTTCCCCAGCTTTGCTAGAAATCTAGACATCCAAATGCAAGAAGCTCCAAGAACACCTGGCAAATACATCACAAAAAGATCATCATCTAGGCATATAGCCATCAGGTTATGTAAAGTCAAGATGAAGGAAAAAATCTTAAGAGCTGTGAGGCAAAAGCATCAGGTAACCAATAAAGGAAAACCTATCAGCTTAACAACATTTTTCTTAGCAGAAACTTCACAAGCTAGAAGGGACTGGGGTCCTATCTGTAGCCTTTAAACCAAACAAATATCAGCCAAGAATTTTGTATCCAGTGAAACTAAGCTTCATAAATGAAGGAAAGATACAGTCTTTTTCAGACAAATATTGAGAGAATTCACCACTACCAAGCCAGCACTACAAGAACTGCTAAAAGGAGCTCTAAATCTTGAAACGAATCCTCAAAATACACCAGAATAGAATCTCCTTAAGCATAAATCTCACAGGATCTATAAAACAATAATGCAATGATTTAAAAAACCAAGGTATTCAGGCACCAAATATCATGATGAATAGAATAGTACCTCACATCTCAATACTAACACTGAATGTAAATGGCCTAAATGCTCCACTTAAAAGATACAGAATGGCAGAATGGATAAGAATTCACTAACCAAGTATCTACTGTCTTCAGTAGACTCACCTAATACATAAGGACTCACATAAGCTTAAGGTAAAGGGGTAGAAAAAGATATCCCATGCAAATGGACACCAAAAGCAAGCAGGAATAACTATTCTTGTATCAGACAAAACAAACTTTAAAGCAACAGCCGGTAAAAAACACAAAGAGAGACATTATATAATGATAAAAGGACTAGTCCAGTAGGAAAATATCACAATCCTAAACATGTAAGTGCCTAATACTGGAGCTCCCAAATTTATAAAACAATTACTACAACACCCAAGAAATGAGATAGATGGCAACACAGCAATAGTGGGGGACTTCAGTACTCCACTGACAGCACTAGACAGATCATCAAGACAGAAAGTTAACAAAGAAAACAATGTACTTAAACTACACCCTACAACAAATGGATTTACAGATATGTGGAGAACATTCTACCCAACAAATGCAAAACATACATTCTATTCATCAGCACATGGAACATTCTCCAATATAGAAAATATAATAGGCCACAGAACAAGTCTCAACAAATTTAAGAATATCAAAATTTTATCAAGTACTATGTCAGACCACAGTGGAATAAGATTGGAAATCAACCCCAAAAGAAATCTTCAAAACATTGCAAATACATCAAAATTAAACAACCTGCTCCTGAAAAATCATTGGGTGAACAATGAAATCAGGATAGAAATGTAAAAATTCTTTCAACTGAACAATAGTAGTGACACAACCTATCAAAACCTCTGGGATACAGCAAAGACAAAGGGATTGGGGTCCTATCGGTAGTCTTTAAACCAAACAAATATCAGCCAAGAATTTTGTATCCAGTGAAACTAAGCTTCATAAATGAAGGGAAGATAGTCTTTTTCAGACAAATACTGAGCACTACAAAAACTGCTAAAAGGAGCTCTAAATCTTGAAACAAATCCTCGAAATACACCAGAATAGAATCTCATAGCATTACATACCTACATAAATAGAAACTTGATAACATTAAATACCTACATCTAAAAGTCTGAAAAGCACAAATAGACAATCTAAGGTCACACCTCAAGAAGCTAAAGAAGCAAGAACAAACCAAACCCAAACCCAGCAGAAAAAAAGAAAAAACCAAGATCAGAGCAGAGCTAAATGAAATTGAAACAAAAAATATACAAAAGATAAAACAAAAAGCTGGTTATTTGAAAAGATTAACAAAACTGATAGACCATTAGCAAGATTAACCAAGAAAAAAAGAGAAGATCCAAATAAGCTCAATTAAAAATGAAATGGGAGATATTACAACTGTTACTACAGAAATACAAAAGATCACTCGAGGCTACTATGAACACCTGTATGCACATAAACTAGAAAACCTAGAGGAGATGTGTAAATTCCTGGAAAGATACAACCCTCCTAGATTAAACCAGGAAGAAATAGAAACTCTGAACAGACCAATAACAAGCAGTGAGATTGAAATAGTAATCAAAATGTTACCAAACAAAAATAAGCCCAGGACCAGACGGATTCACAGCTGAATTCTATCAGGCATTCAAAGAAAAATTGGTACCAATCCTAGTTACACTATTCCAAAAGACAGAGAAAGAGAAAATCCTCCCTAAATCATTCAATGAAGCCAGTATCACTGTAATATCAAAACCAGGAAAGGACATAACAAAAAAATAAAACTGGAGACCCATATCACTGATTAACCTAGATGCAAAAATCCTCAATAAAATACTAGCTAACTGAATCCAACCACGTATTAAAAAGATAATCTACCATGATCAAGTGGGTTTCATACCAGGGATGCAGGGATGCTTTAACATACACAAGTCCATAAATGTGATATACAACATAAACAGAATTAAAAACAAGAATCACATGATCATCTCAATAAACACAGAAAAAATATTTGACAAAATCCAGCATCCCTTTATGATTAAAGTCCTCAGCAAAATCCACATAGAAGGGATATGCCTTAAGGTAATAAAAACCATCTGTGACAAACCCACAGCCAACAACATTATATTTAATGGGAAAAAGTTGAAAGCATTTCCCGTGCGAACTAGAACAAGACAAGGGTGCCTACGCTCATCACTCCTCTTCAACATAGTATTGGAAGTCCTAGCCAGAGCAATCACACAAGAGAAATAAATAAAGGGCATCCAAATCGGTAAAGAGGAAGTGAAACTGCCAGTCTTTGCTGATGATATGATCGTATACCTAGAAAACCCTAAAGACTCAACCAAAAGTTCCTAGAACTGTTAAATGAATTCAGCAAAGTTTCAGGATACAAAATTAATGTACACAAATCAGTAGCCCTGCTGTACATGAATAGCAACAAAGCTGAGAATCAAATCATGAACTCAACCCCTTTTACAATAGCTGCAAATATATATATATATATATATTTGGGACTATACTTAACCAAGGAGGTGAAAGACCTATACAAGGAAAACAACAAAACACTGCTGAAAGAAATCATGCACAAACAAATGGAAACACATCCCATGCTCATGGATGAGTAAAATCAATATTGTGAAAATGACCATACTGCCAAAAGCAATCTACAAATTCAATGCAATTCCCATCAAAATACCACCATCATTCTTCACAGAACGAGAAAAAACAATCCTAAAATTCATATGGAACCAAAAAAGAGTGCTCACAGCCAAAGCAAGATTAAGCAAAAAGAACAAATCTGGAGGCATCACATTACTTGACTTCAAACTATACTCTAAGGCCATCATCAGCAAAACAGCATGGTACTGGTATAAAAACAGGCATACAGACCAATGGAAGAGAATAGAGAACCAAGAGATAAAGCCAAACACTTACAGCCAACTGATCTTCAACAAAACAAACAAAAATATGAAGTGGGGAAAGGATATCCTATTCAACAAATGACACTGGAATAATTGGCAACCCACATGTCGAAGAATGAAACTGGATCCTCATCTCTCACCTTATACAAAAATTGACTTAAGATGGATCAAAGACTTAAATCTAAGAGTTGAAACCATAAAAATTCTAGAAGATAACGTTGGAAAAACCCTTCTAGACATTGGCTTAGGCAAAGACTTCATGACCAAGAACCCAAAAGCAAATGTAACGAAAACAAAGATAAATAGATGGAATTTAATTCAACTAAAAATCTTGGGCACAGCAACTGAAATAATCAGCAGAGTCAACAGACAACCCACAGAGATGGAGAAAACCTTCTTAATATATACATCTGACAAAGGATTGATATCCAGAATTGACAAGGAACTCAAACAAATCAGCAAGAATTAAACAAACAATCCCATCAAAAAGTTGGCTAAGGACATGAATAGACAATTCTCAAAGAAGATATACAAATGGCCTGTAAACATATCAAAAAATGCCCAACATCACTAATGATCAGGGAAATGCAAATCAAAACCACAGTGGGATACCACCTCACTCCTGAAAGAATGGCCCTAATAAAAAAATCAAAAATTAATAGATGTTGGTGTGGATTTGGTGAAAAGGAAACAATTTAACACTGTTGATGGGAATGTAAACTAGTATAACCACAATGGAAAATGGTGTGGAGATTCCTTAAAGAACTAAAAGTAGATCTTTAGACCCTACTCCTTTTGCCCAGAAGAAGTCATTATACGAAATAGATACGTGCAAATGCATGAGTGCTATAAACGCATGTTTATAGCAGCACAATTTGCAATTGAAAAAATATGAAACCAGCTCAAATGCCCATCAATCAAAGAGTGAATAAAGAAAATGTGATATATATATATATATATAGTGTATACACACACACACACACTATGGAATACTACTCAGCCATAAAAAGGAACGAAATAATGGCATTTTCAGCAACCTGAATGGAATTGGAGATCATTATTCTAAGTGAAGTAACTCAGGAATGGAAAACCAAACATCATCTCTTCATCAGTGGAAGCTAAGCTATGAGGATGCAAAGGCATAAGAATGATACAATGGACTTTGAGGACTTGGGGGAAACGGTGAGGGGGGATAAGGGACAAAAGACTAACACTGGATACAGTGCACACTGCTCAGGTGATGAGTACACCAAAATGTCAGAAATCACCAGTAAAGAACTTATTCATGTAACCAAACATCACCAGTTCCCAAAAAACCTGTTGAAATAATTAAAAAATAATAATAAATATTAAAATCTTGCACTTTGAGATCTTAAATAAGATACGGATGTCAGCTAACATCCCTTCCATTCAACAGTGTGCTGAATATCTTAGCCAGGACAATAAAGCAAAAAGAAATAAAAGGCATGAAAATTTGAAATAAATAAACCGTCATTATTCACAGACCGCATGATTACTACATACAGACAGTCCCATAAGAATCTATGCTGAGAATTAGTAAGTAAATTGAAAAATATTGCTAGGTCAATATGCCAAAGTCATTATACAAAACCAATCGTATGTCCATATATTTTCACAGTTAGAAAATAAAATTGTTAAAGGATAAAAAAACTTGAAGAATTTCTCCTAATTGTTAAAAAAATTATAGTTTCATGTATTACGTTTATTTCTGTAATCTATTTTGGAGTTAGTTTTGTTTAAAGTGTGAGGTTTGGTCAATGTTTGTTTTGTTTTTGTTTTACTTATGAAGTTCAATAGTTCCAGCACTCATTTTTTCAAAGACTATCCTTCCTCTACCGAATTGCTTATGAATCTATTAAGAAAATAAGTTGGGCATATGTATGTGGGTGCATCGATGAGCTTTTTTTCCTATTCCATAGATCTAGATATCAATCCTTTCACCAAGACTATATGTCTTGCTTGGTGTGGTGATATACTAAAGTTTAATATAAAGTAGAGTGATTCCTCCACTTTATTCTTCTTTTTCAAGATTGAATTATCTATTGTAGGCCTATAATTTTCCATATAAATTTTAGAGTAAGCTTGTCCATATTACTATGGATTTTTATATGCTGGGAATGTTTATTTAAAAGTAATAGTTAAGCATAAAATACTCCATTTCTTCTCTTCTATAGTTATTATCATCAAATAGAATACAATACTGCAACTAAGACTACAGTAATCACTTTTATTAAAAACTAAATTTATGCTACTATTACTTTTGATCTGGCATTAAGAATGAAGCATTTGGAGGCATGTAACATTTTGGTAGCCTCTTATATCCAGTGCTACTTATTTGAGAAAGATTGGATACAGAAAAGAGTAATCATGGCATCTTCTTCTGGCCACATTTGCCTACATCATGCTCAGAAAAGCACAGTGAAATTTGATAGAAGAACCTATTCAAAACTATTGCTTTCTGTTTTATATTGCAGGAGTCTTGTGAGAGGACTAGTGTCATCCAAGCTAGCCTGGCTTTCCTTGACCTGAGATAAAGAATAATCTAGCCTGTAACTGCAATAAGATACCTTTGGATTTTCTGTTTTGTCACTGTCACAATACCATGTCCTTGAACCTGTAAAGCAATGCCACAACTCTTTTAAAAAATAACATCCGAAGAATATCTCTTTAAACAGTTTCCTTCCCTGAATACTTTTTTATCCTGTTGATAAATAAGCCCTGGCTAGAGCTTGAGATAATTTGGAGGTGTGGCTCATCCCATAGCCACACTTTCTGAAGGCTGCCAAGTCCTGAGTGTGTCCCCTTATGCTTCCCACTCGAACTCCAACCCTGGCTATAAATGGATGGATCCAGTGCATGATCTTAGCTCTTCCCATTCTACTCTCTCTCCGAGGAGTGTGGAATCAGAATAAGGACATGTTAGTCAACCTGAGGACATAACTACCTGGCAGCCAAAGCTGTCACTGTGTGGAAGTTATCTCTACCCAACACACCCTGACTCCACTTAGACCAATTTTCTGTGAGACCAAAGATAATAAATACTAAGTTTGGATTTTGCCAACCAAAAAAAAATGCATTAGAACAGAGGCTAGCTAGATCAGGGTTAGGTTGCATAAGTATAAATTTGTGTCAAAAGTAGAGGGAAATAGTAGAAAGATTTCTTTGAACATGTAAACATGGAGAAAGATAAATTATTCTTGGCAAAAAATGCCCTAGGGGCATATTTTTAATTCTAAGAGTGTGGGTGGTTTCCCCAGAGCAAAATGTGCATGCAGTATGGTGTTTTGTTTTTTTTTTTGCCTTTGTTTGTATGCTGCTTTCTCTAAAATATGTATCTGATTGTTCTGCATTATGTAGAAAGTTATATTAAAGAGATTGAAATGGGCCTTTAGAGTCCTCTTATATTTTTGCCCTTTCACATTGTACCTTGCCACTTTTATCTTTCATATCTTTCTAGTAAAGCTTCAATCAGGTATAAATCTATTGAACACATACTATATGTGTATGTAGAAAGGAAAATGATTTTGTTGCATTTTATATATATATATATAATATTAAACACAGTGCTTATTTTTAGACAATTATAAGACATAAACAAAGCTTTAAGAAAGAATTGTTGACTATTCAGAAGAAGGCATTTAAATATCTAAAAATATTAAGAGAGAGAATTGGGTCTTTTTCATTGTCCAGAAGCTGCACTGAGCATCACACAGCAGGGGTTATACTTCTCTTAAATTATTTTCTCACAGTTCTCATTTCTTTCTTTTAACACAAGATACGCTAATAGGGATTTTTGGAAAGTGGGGAGAGGGAAAGGGTCAGGATACTATTCTTCTCTTTTTGTTTGCTTATTTGTTTGTTTGAGAAAAGGTCTTGCTCTGTTAGCCAGAGTGGAGTGGAGTGGCATGATCATGACTCACTGCAGCCTTGCACTTCTGAGCTCAAGTGATCCCCTCAACTCAGCCTCCCAAGCAGCTGGGACTACAGGCAAGTACCACCTTGCCCTGTTAGATTTTTTTTATTTTTTTGTAGAGACGGGATTTCACCACGTTGCTCAGGCTGGTCTCGAACTCCTGGGCTCAAGTGATCCTCCCGCCTCAGCCTCCCAAAGTGCTGGGATTACAGCATGCACCACTGTGCATGGCCTTATTTCTCTGTTTTTGACTTGAAATTTTTGATTTGATGTCTTTTGTTATTCAATCCTCTTATTTTCTGAATTTCCCCTTCCCTTCCTCTACTCTGCAGGTTTCTGCCCATATCCTCTCCTGCATATGGTGAGCTGACTCTCCAAGTTAATTTTCTCTGCTTAGAAATGCATCACCAGAAAGCCCAAAGAACAAATGCCTTCCTCAGTTTCTTGCAATTAAGGCTTATTAGTTGCATTGAAGTTATGAATGTTTCATTTTTCAGATTTTCTGATCTCTCCCTTTTATCCTTCACATAAGTGGTTTAGTGAGAGTAGAACTGAATCAACATTGCAGGAAAAACTTAAAACACTAGCTGGTTATTTCTTGTAAATAATGCCAAACAGTTAAATTTCCCCCTAACTTAATATACTTTTTAAAATATTGAATATGCTTTTTTACTTTTCTTAACACGGGAAAAGATCTGTATTTATCTAGAAGAAAAAAAATGTACATATTCACCTTATATAAGCTTCTCTTGAAATGAACACGGTTGCCACTTAGGTCATGAACCAACTTTGGGTTCATTTGCTATAGATATAAAAAAAAAATCTGAGATCATTCTGGGGAGCTCATGTCAGAATAACAACAAAAACCACCGGTCATTTAAGATATTGCTTATTAAACACTTTGAACAAGCCAACTCCTCTTTTAAATGCTTAACCTGAAATATCTTATTTAATTCTTACAAAAATCCTGTGTGGTTGGTTATCCACAAATTAACATCATTTAGCATACGAGGTCACTCACACACAGAGAGCTTAAATGAATTGCTCAAGATCACACAACTAGAAAGAGGCTGAACTAACAATAAAGATACAGTTCATTCTAGAAAATATATCCTTAATCGCAATCCTACACTGCTTTTCAGCAATGGAAAGAATGCATAGAATAATTGAAACTATTGCTTTTAAGGAAGTATTATGTTTAAATATGGCTATTGGAGGATTCATTATCAGCCACTGTCCTTTCATTTTTGACTTTTAAAACAGACTTTTTCATCATGATACCATTTACTTAGTTCTCACTCATAAAAGCATGATACAGTGTTTCATACTCAATAGACAGAGTAAGGGAATTTTACATTTTGATAACAGAAGACCATAGTGTGTAAGAGGATCCACATGAAATGCGATAAGATCAATAATAACACATCGCTCTCCTTCCTAGACTTCTCTTTAAATACCCATTCCTTGATGACTCTGACATCTCCACATAGACCTCTCACAAGCTTTGCAAATCTGCCTTCCATGTCTACAGCCACTAGCCTTTCCCTGGACACAAACCCAAATCTGTTTTTCCACTTAGCTTTGCTAGTTTCCATTAGTGGAATCATCAATTGCCAGAAAAAAATGAGAATTAAATTTCTTTCTCCTTTTCCCCAAACATTACCTCTGAAATATTTTAATTCTTTCTTCCCTTTCTACCTTAGTGCCAAGGCCATACTTGGAATGGTTTGTCATTTCTTTCTATCTTTTTTTTTTTTTTTTAGATGGAGTCTTGCTCTGTCGCCTAGGCTAGAGTGCAGTGGCGCAATCACAGCTCACTGCAAGCTCCGCCTCCCGGGTTCACGCCATTCTCCTGACTCAGCCTCCCGAGTAGCTGGGACTACAGGCGCCCGCCACCACGCCTGGCTAATTTTTTGTATTTTTAGTAGAGATGGGGTTTCAGCGGGTTAGCCAGGATGGTCTCCATCTCCTGACCTCATGATCCACCTGCCTTGGCCTCCCAAAGTGCTGGGATTATAGGCATGAGCCACCGCACCCAGCCTGTCATTTCTTGATAGACTTCTGTAATGGTGTCTTCATTATCATTTAAAATCTACCTTCCAAACAGCTGCGAGGTGGATTTCCTCACCTGCAAATCCTAATATACTACTAATATGAGCAGCTTCTCATATGTTCAGGATTAATTTCAACTCCCTGCTTACCCTTTCAAGCTTACCTCCCAAAATGTCCACACATATCCTTCACATCAGTCACACCTAGGTACATTCAGTTTCTCAAGTGGCCAAATGTTCTCACACCCCTGTCACTTTGTTCACAATCTCATGGATCCCACCCCCTACTTAATTGCCTGGCCGACTTCTATTTTTCACCCAGGACAGATCGATCAATACCTACATTTAGAAGTAGTTTCTCATTGAAACCCCACATATCTCAAGTAAAGTAAGTATTTTTTTATATGCTGCTACTTTATTGTGGCTACTTCAACTTATTCGGTTTATATATGATTAAACCTAGTCATACTGTCTCTAGTCATTTTTTTAGTGTATCTTTTCATTGTGAGGTTTTAGAACATAAAGACTATGTGTTAATCATATCTACATACCAAAACCTTGAATTTTGACTGACACATTGTACGTGCTTAATACATGCTTGTTGAATTGAATTGAAATGTTTACCAGAAATATTCTTGGCAGCCTTAAACAACAAGAACAAAAACACAATGATGGAAAATTGAATACAAGAGAAAATAGCTTTCAGAACATTATGGCAGGTTGCACATTAAATACAATCACCTCTGCATTCTTTTTGTACATTGAGGCTAATTTATAATACAAGCAATGTTCAATGATTTCTGATTATGGCACCTCAAGGTTTTCGATCACCAAGACTCAATTATTTGCAATATATTCTTTATCTTCTATTACACACACATATCTTATGCACATTTATATAGATGCCCCCCGATCATATCAACCTGAAAGTAAAAATAGACTCACAATTCTTATTATAAACCCATTTTTCTCTCTTTTCTCAACTGCTCTGCAGAAACTCTAGACTCCTAACAAATTCCTCCTGAATAGTTCTTGTAGACTGCAGACAGTTTCCCAAGTGTGCTAGATAAACTAGTACTCCTGATGACCTGTGGTGCCTGCTAAGCTTCTCTTCTCCTGCTGTAGCTTGCCCTGTCTGTGCTTTCTGTCTCTACTGATGCCTTCTGGTGGCATAGGCATCTTTGTTCTGAGCGAGATGCTATTAATGCTGAGAGTACTGATGCTCAACTTTCCCCACTTCTACGGGACTGCCATTAAAGCCAACCTAGATTAGCAAATAGGAAGGGAAACACATGCTTAGGAAACTAAAAAAAAATGGCATCAGAAAAATTTCTGTAAATAATTTAACATTAATTATTTTTAAAATCGTGATTTTTTATGGCAAAAATCAGAATTTCTATTTAAATTTACTTACATGTATTTAGCAGTTTGGAATTACTATTTTTTAATTTCCATGTGAGAAAATGCCCCTAATATTTTTAGTCATAAATCCTCTAAAGATTAAGGCAGCCTTTCCTGACACTAATGGCCACTGATGCCCAGGCAGCAAATGCAGGTTGCTAGTGTGAAGGGTGCTAATGTCTGTGGTGTTGGCATCATCTCATGTTTGAAATCCAAACACATGCTCCACACTGTGCAGGTCTTCTTTCTTTCTTTCTTCTCCTATTTTTATTGCAACTGCCTTGTTGTGGACTCAGGTGTGTGTTCATGGAGACCGAATTAAAGGACAATCTGAGAACTCTGTTTAGAAACATGCTTCTTTTCAGAACTTGAACTATGCTTCTTGATACTCTTTTTTTCTTGGAATAAACTGCTTATGGCGAGGAACCTTGGCGCTTTATGTAACCACACTAGGGACAGACCCATACACTACTCCAGGTAGGTTTAGGATAAGGGTCACTGAAATTAGGTTTTATGTGGGAACGCTTGATTCACTAATGAATTTGTAAACATTTTTCAGTAACAATTTTTGAAATGAAAATAACCTGTTTCATTTCATTAAACTCCAGGCTGGGTGTGGTGGCTCACACCTGTAATCCCAGCACTTTGGGAGGCTGAGGTGGCTGCCTGCCTTGAGGTCAGGAGGTTGAGACCAGCCTGGCCAACATGGTGAAACCCCATCTCTACTAAAAATAAAAAAATTAGCGGGGCAATGAGGTGCACGCCTGTAATCCCAGCTACTCAGGAGGCTGAGGCAGGAGAATTGCTTGAACCTGGGAAGCAGAGGTGAGCTGAGATCGTCCCACTGCACTCCAGCCTGAGTGACAAAGTGAGACTCTGCCTCAAAAACAACAACAACAACAACTACAACAACAACAACAACAAAACCACCCAAAAAACACCACCAGTTAACAGGACTAAACTTTACCCAGGTAATCTGGCTAACTGAAGTATTACTATATCATTTTGATCCTAGAATTTAAAATAAACCTAAGAAGACTTTAGAAAGAAAGAATCAAAAAAATCCTTAAATACTTTCGAAAAATAAACCTAAGCCTGCCACATGTTGCCAATGTCTGGTTTGTTCCTAGAGAGTCAGGGGTGGATTAAAGGCTGCAGAAGCTAGTTCATGAATGCAAAGTCCTCACCTAATTATTCCACAGGCAATTTTCAGGTGGCTTCATTAGTTAGTGGGACAGAGTGGGCAAGGATGAGAGGATTTTCTTCTAGTCTCTGTCTCGGAACACCCCTGGATTTCACTAGGTCTGTAGGAAAATTTCCAAAACCTAACTATAATAATTTTTCTCATTTTAAAGAAAAAGAAGTGGCAATTACAGTAACAATGAATGCCAAATTTGCTTTGATTCTTTTTCCAGGCCATCTGCTCTTCTCTGTGTGCTTGTATTGTAGCGTCTGCTGAGATCATTGAACAAGATAAGTGAGAATAAGCAAAATAGACTCTACTTCGCTGAATCCTAAATTGCTCAAATATATATTCTTGTTGTTTAAAAAGTCATCTTTAAATTTAAAACTAAAATAAATGCAGAAAATTCAAGTAATTTTGTGATATATACTGTATTGATTTGGGTAAAAGCTAAGCTGCTATAACAGAAACCAAAAGAAAAAGAAAAAAAAAAACCCATACAACAGTATTGGATTTTTAAAATGTAGTTTATTTCTCTATCGTGTAATAGCCAGAAGTGGTTGTTATTTCAAAAAATGAAACGACACTGAAAAAATATTTAGAAATGCATTAGTGAATCAAGAGTTCCCATAAAAAACCTAATTCCAGTGACCCTTTCCCTAAACCTACCCGGAGTAGTGTAAGGGTCTATAATAGCCACAAGTGAGTTGCCCAGAGCCAACTATGAGGCTCTGCCATCAGCACATTTTGCTTGGTTTTTGTTTGTAGTGCCAGATAAAAGAAACCAGAGCTAGATCTGATGAAGACGATGGAATATCACCCAGAAATTCTGACTTTGTGCTGTATGGAGAAACAGGATGAAATTTTGAGTTGTCTCTGTCAGTGGGAAAGGGAGAGTGTGTTGTATGCATAGGAAAAACGGTGCGTATGTGTGGAATTCGGGAGAAGAGAGAAGTCAGAGGGGCAGATGGAGGCTTCCTGCTTCCAGTATTTCTTCTCTCCTTCTTACTTTTAGTAACAGAACCCCTCAACTTTTACCTGGGAACGTGTACACCTTCACTCCCTGCAAGCTACATACTATTCTCCTAGGCTCTTTTCTAGTGATGTGAGCCCATGTGGACTAAATTCAAGCTGCTGAAGTGTGAAAGAATCTGAAGTATGCAGTTTCCTGGTCATCTCTTTACGGATTCTTCCTCTGCACTCTCCGCTTTCTGATGCCTGAAAACTACTGTCAGTGGAAGAAACCATAGGTTGAAGATAGAAGACCACTCCCAGCCCTGGAACGCTCACCGTTGACGTGTTTATTTGTTTGACGACCTTGTGAAAGTTTGAAAACATGACATCAAAAGGTGAAGTCTATGTAGTCTATGTCTTCTTTTTTCAAAAGCCTTGTGACTTCTTATACAACGGAGGATAGCAGAGTGATGCTATGTGACTTTCATAGCTTGGCCAGAAGAGGCCTTGTGACTTCTCCTTGGTTTTCTCAGAATGCTCATCCCCAAGATGCTCCCCATTGGAATTCAGCTGCCCTCTTGTGTTATGTCCAAGGCCACATATAGGTGCTTGATTGACAGTTCCAACTGAACCAAGCCTTCATGTCCTCCGAGACCGAGTACAGCTATGTCAGTAGAGAAATCTCCAGGTTGCCCCACAACATTTGAATCACCCTTAGACATACAAGCTTTCTCAACTGAGGCCCCAGTTATCTTGAAACAAGATAAGCCATCCCCTCTGACTCCCATCTGAATTCCTAACACATAGTATCTGTGAGCATAAGAAAATGTTTTAAGCATTTTAAGGTATCCTTAGTAAAACAACATAGCTTGTACCCTAACTAATGCAAATGCCATAAAAATTAAATAATTATTAATAATCTATATAATATATAATACAATATAATATATAATTTTAATAATTATAATAATAATTATTAAATAATTAATTTGTCATTCTAAAACAAGACTATTTTAAGGGCCCTAAACAATCTTGAATGTTACTCGATGTCTTAGATAGCAACTATTTACCTATAACTAAGCAACTAAGCAACCAGTAAATAGGGCAATTCTGTCAAAAATTGTTCAGAACTCTGGAGGAAAAGAGAGGCTGATCTGAAATTTGAATCTATCATACTTTATCAAAAGAATTTGTCTAGCTTGCTGGGCTGATGTCATTCAAACTTGTGTCATCCTTCCTTCCCTATATAACTTGCTGCTCAGAGGTCTGAAGGTGGATTATGTTTGAGTTAAGTTTAGCTTATGGTGTATACCTACATAATAAAGTTGTGATTGAAAACTTTCCCGTTAACCTTTATCTCTGGGCTGCTACATAGCTCTACAGCATTTAAATAATTAACTGCTTGCCTCTCAATTTGCCTTTAAGTCTCTGTATATACATGGACAATTGCTAGCACTTGTGGTGATTGGGTCTACAGTAACTATATGTTCTAACTCCATAACTTTAAAAGTTTTTTTTAGAAGAAAAATCTCTCATCTTTTTTAGTTTTCCATCTGTATCATCATTAAGATAGAGACAAATGCTGTGCCAATTATGTTGCAATTTAATCTACACCTGCCTATACAGAGATAGATGTAAATATGCATTATGCTACATTCCTGGGGCATAGGCCACTATGCTTGAGAGAAAGAGAAAGAGGTTGTGATCAGTGAAACTATCCTCCAAAAGTATGACATGAAAATGTCAATGTAGGGACTTGGCATGTATACCACTTACCTTTTCTGAGCCTCACTTTCCTCTCCAACAGAAGGAGATAATTGAATCTCCACGGCATCTCTCCCAGGATGGTTGTCAAGAATAAATTACACAATGTGAACAGTTCAGGGCTACTCTTATAAAAGACCCCTTGCAGTCTTATTACATAGCCAACTGGAGACCAGTACTAAGGGAACCGAACACACATCCTCCAGATTACATGTAGGCAAAATGAGTCCAAAAATTTAAACGTTCCTGTACCCTCTCTTATTTCTTTATACAGATGAAGTCCTAGTAAGTGATAGACTGAGGATGAAAATCCAAAGGCCATACCTTCCCATATTTGGAGATATGGTGAAAAATCAAAATTAGCTTCAATTCTGTTAACTTCCCCTCTTCTCCATTTCCTTCTGCTTTGTTGATTCTTTTTTTTTCTAATGCTACAGATGAAATGAAATTCCCCCAGGCCAGGTTTATTTCATCAGTTTATATAAACTATCTAAATCATATGAAACCTTTTCTTAAAATAAATACTCTTTTGTTTGCACTCTTGAAAATGCTTGGACAACCCAATGAGTGTCTATCGTGTGTGGGGAAAGCTCTCTCAGTGCAGAGGGAGGCCACAGGCAAGGACACAAGAGACAGGAGAGTGGCTCCTCCTGGGTCTGCCACTCACTAATGACTCTGACTCATTCTCTGAAGCCCACGTCCCTCATCTGTAAATGATGGGTTGTACTGAACTATTTCAAGTGTCTTTCATTTCTAAGATTTTGCAATCATATTTATTTAAAGAATAGTAGTTAAGAGTGTGGGTTCTTGAGCCCATTGCCTGGGCTTAAATCCCAGTTCTCCCACTTACCATGTGTGTAACCTTGGGTGAATGACTTAACTTTATATTTCTCAACCATCTCATCTGAAAAAGAATGTACAAATGATTGTCTCTACCTCATAAGGTAATATGAATATTAAATGAGGCAATACATATGTAATGACTAGGATGGTGCCTGGCACTTAAAGGGCTCAATATGCATTTAATTACATTGCACATAAAACAGCGATCCTTTATTTCCTACTCATTAGGTGCCAAGCATGTGCTAATCTTTGCATTCTCATTTCTTTCATTCTTCGTAACAACTATTTGAAGTTGATTTTGATTTTCTTAATAAGGAAAATAAGGTTCAGAGAGCTCAAAAGCCCCAAATCACAAAACTAGTAAATTGTGGAGCAACATCTCCACCATAGATTTGACTGGCACCAAACCATTGTCTTTAAAATTTGCATAGCCATAAAATATGGATTATTGAAAATTCTAAGAAATGGCTAGACATAATGTACTCTAATCTTTAGAATTATAGGACTATTTGAAGACAGTTCACCTTGAACTCCTGAGTTTGTTGTCATTATTATGTTCACCTGTTTTTTTAGTGTCCCTTTTTGGCAAGCTTTCTATTCCTTATAGTCTGGTCATTTGTTTTGTTTTTTGTTCCATTTCTCTAAAACAATCTGAATCCTATACCCAATACCCTCTTTCAGCATTTTCCCCGGGACACATACAGGCAAAGTATAAGGTTTGTGTGTCCTTATAGTAACCAGGCAGTCCAGATGTCAGTAATTTCCAAGTTAAATTTTTATCTGCCAGCAGGGTAATTTCTTTACTGTTCTCTTTTACTAACGTGGAGAAGGGAGATAAACAGGAAAACAAAGTGATCCTGAATCAGTGGAAAGGGAAAGAAGAAAAGGGACGTACTGGGACCAAACCAGGGAATGTCTGGGATGGGGAAGGTGGGGAGGTGACACTAAAACATTGAAGTCCAGCCTGTGACTCAGACACCAGAAGTCTGGTGAAGAAGTTGGACATGGAATAGAAGGCAGTGACCCCAGGAGTGCAAGGAAGAGAGCTGTTTATGGAAGAGTTCCTGAAGGGTTAGTTGCTGTCATTGAGTGAGCGGATGATGAATATTTTCTCAATGTGGTCCTTCTGTATTAGTCAGGGTTACAAAGACATATCAAGGCCTTTGCAGTAAGGGCAACACTTTAAATGTCCTCACAGAAGCTTATCAGATGCTTAAGGACTTATAATTAATAAGCATAAAATTAAGTTATATTTCCTGGGTATACATAGGCTAAGAGATAGGACAAGTCGGCTCGGTTTTGGGGAATGAAGCAAAGAGGTACATTCATTGAATGTGGCTAACAAGAATCTTGTCTAGAGTCATAAAAGCAACATGAAACAGGCTAATGGATCAGGCTTCATTCGCAAAACCAAATACGAATTAGGCCAGTTAGCTGGCCTTGACAAAATGGTTGAGGCAGACAAAATATTACTTTGGAACCCCACGGTACACTTCCAGCTCCTTTTCTCCCTTGCCTGGCAAGAAAGGTACCCTCCAGACCTCTCTTCTCTCACCACCCTTCTCTCCTATTGACAGCTAGTTGCCCAGAAAATCCCCTGTGAAGCGTCAGCTGGAGCGTAGTTATGCCTTCCTCTTTCCTCTGGAGGTGCTCACATTTCAGCAGCGGCTCCTGAGCAAGGAGTCATTGGGGCTTTCAAATGTGGGTGTCTAATGGTGGGTTTTCAGGGAGTGGTGGAGGAGTTATCAGGGAGTGACAGGCTGTTCTGCCTCCCTTAGAGCTCAGCACATGGGGAACAACTTACTTTGCTGTCTTTATTAGGCAGCCTGCATGCCAACTGCTCCCTGGAGCAGGGGCGCCCAGTTGGAATCCCTTCAGCCTTCAATACTGGTTCCTAATATGGGGAATTTTAAAATCTATTGTAAGTGGTAACAATCAAATTCGCTCTCTTTCTTTCTGTTTCTCTCATTTATTTATTTTTAATGGACAGGCTGAGACAGAAATATTGAGGAAAAAAAACAAGTGTCCTCACAGAGCCCTGCAGCAACAGTATCAGTGTCATTTCAAACCGGACAGATCACTAGGGTTACAAAACAACTCATCCTTGTCAGTAACCTTAGACTTGATCACTCTTTCCCCCAAACCCTTAACCTCCCTTCACC
This sequence comes from Homo sapiens, assembly GCF_000001405.40. Classification (NCBI taxonomy): domain Eukaryota; kingdom Metazoa; phylum Chordata; class Mammalia; order Primates; family Hominidae; genus Homo; species Homo sapiens. The sequence goes on along the minus strand of NC_000004.12, from coordinate 163,269,580 downwards.
CAGTTTCAGGGTAAAGCAAAATAATTTTAGGATGAGCTGAAAAGTGGATCCTGTAAAGGTTTATCTAAAGCATTGTCTCAGTCCTCTCAAAAGATAGCTCACATCTTTGGCCAACTGCTTTCCACATTTCTTTCTCCCCACACCAGGATGTATATTTAAAATAACATTTATTTACAAAACTGTATCTTAGCAACAGTGGTACAGCACAAGAGTGTGTTATCTAAAGCAAACCAATTCTGGTCATAAACTACATAAGCATAGCAGCCAAATGTGATTGGTAGGGCTTTCCTGAGATACCGTGAGCCTGAGGTGTCACATAAGATTAAAGCCATATTTTTCAGACTTGAGATGATTCATCATTCATGTTTAACTCAAGGGATGGGCAACACATTTATTCACAATTATCGAAGCATAAAATTTTAGAACTGAAAAGGATATTGGAGGCTACCTAGTCTAGTCCTGTGATATTATAAGGGGGTTAAAAAAAAAAAAAAAAAAAAAAAACAAAGAAAAAGAAGAGATAATTTGCTACCTCTGAACAACAGGTGTTTAGTAGCAGAGCTGGTGTGAGAAATCAGGTTTCTTGACTTTAGTCCAGTTACTCTAGTAATTTTTGCATGAGAACACCGGTCAGATCTTTATCCCACATGGACCTATTTAAATTCCCACATAAAATGAATGCATTGTTCTCTGAATGCATTGTTTCAACATGTGTGAATATAAATTTGACAAAGCTTTTATTTTTGTACAAGAGATAGATGATATTTTCAATTTACGTAACTCACGAACTACTAATATGACGTTTGCAGAGATCATTGAAACTGAGAATTACACATTAGACCAAAATCTAAGTGACTGCTTGTGATCCACGACAAATCTATTTTTTGTGTGTGTCCAAATTAAGGGAGACTCATCTAGTTTAGCGAGGTGCTGTTAAAAGTGCTGATTTTAGAGTCAGACAACAACAGTTTGAATCCTAGCTCTAGTTTCTAACTACTAATGCTTCCTTGGGATAGTTGTCTGACATCTCTGGTGCCAGTACTTTCAACTAAAAAATTAAGATATATTTATATGTACGGGGCTATGGGATAATTAAATGAGATAATTTATGTAAAATGCTTTAACAGTTCCTGGCAAAGAGCTCTTATGTACATGTTAACTCTTTTCATTTGTAATGGTAAGTAAGCCATTGAGAGAACACCAAGGGTAAGTTCTAACCATATCTTTCTTCTTTTGGTCTGAGAACCTATATTCAAATTCCAAACATCAAGTTCTACTATGAGGGATACTCCAGCGGCTGTCTCACAAATCATGGCATCCACTAATACTTTATATTTTCTAATTTGTGTCACATCCTTGATCTGATCAGCCTGTAACATTTGCATTGTTTATAAAGCTTCCATTTGAGTAGCATAAATATATTTAAAGCATCTTTACCCTTAATGCTTATCTACTTAGAAAGAAGGTGCAAATGAGAGTCAAATAAGTTTGACAACTGCTCTTAAGAAACAGAACTCATCAGTGAAGGAGGCAAAGCAGGAATCCATGTCTCCTTCATCCCAGACCATGCGTTTTACAAAAATCTACTTTCAGATCAGAACAAGTGTTTCCAATTTCCTTCTTTTCCTCACCCCAAATGATCTTGCAGAGTGTTGTGCTTCTGGTTAGAATGCCTCAACATCCCACAATTGCTGTTTCCTTAAGGTATGAACAAAGACTATCTTTTTTTTTTTTTTTTTTTTTGAGACGGAGTCTTACTCTGTCGCCCAGGCTGGAGTGCAGTGACGCGATCTCCGCTCACTGCAAGCTCCGCCTCCCGGGTTCACGCCGTTCTCCTGCCTCAGCCTCCTGAGTAGCTGGGACTACAGGCGCCTGGCACCACGCCCGGCTAATTTTTGAACAAAGACTATCTTAAAAAATGTCACCCAGCATTTTTGCTACACATGATTTTCTGAACCTCATCCTAGACCTACTGAATGAGAATTTTTCAGAGTTGGGCATTTTAACAAGTTTCAGTTCATTCTTATACACACTGAAGAGACGCACCTGCCAGCGGGATAAAGTCTCATTGCTTAGCTTCAAATACAAGGCCCTCCACATTTGGCTCCAGCCTACATCTTCATACTTATCTGAGCTGCAATTCCCACCATTGATCTTCAGCAAATTCAGTAGGTCTGACCTTACCGATGTTTACATTCCTCAGGCCTTTGCACTCATTATTCTGTCTGGAAAATCTCTCATTTCCCACCCATCTCCACCTACTCATCAAACCGTAACCATTCCTGAAACTAGATTAGGCTGCTCCTACTTTTCCAAGCCTTTCCTCTATCCCTAGAAGCAAAATCGATTACATCTGCAACTTCTTCTAGGAGCATGTGTATTTATCTGTCTGTTTACACCCTGTGCCCTCAGTTTTTAGATACAAGGGAACCAATAAACATTTGAAGAAAGAATAATAAGATGCATAGGGATGTGATAGCTGTCGCGATGGTACTTCTGCAAATCGCTTAGTTGTAATCACATACAGACTACTTGACTATGGAGTGCCATCATTTCCAGATGACACCATTGTTGCCAAAATATAAAACAATTCTCTATAATATTCATGGTGATATGCGTTAAAAATGTATTTTCAAAACAAATAAGAACCTTCCTTTTAGTCAATATCTGCACCAATTGGAACAATATCAAAAGTTTTTCTTTCCTCTTCTTCTCTCGCTGTCTTTTTAAAACTCTTTTTCTGGGTGAGTGCTGCCTCCAAGGATTAGAGACTTACTTCTAACATGAACAAGCAGCTTTCATGGTTTTACTAACATTATACACTGATGAGAAGATTTGGAAGCACTGTCTTTTATCACAGTCTTCCATCTTTTTTTCTTTTGCTTGTAACAGACCAGATCATTGTTTGCTGACCAGTTTTATTTGAGTTTTCAATTCAGTTCCTCAGGAATTTGATATTGATTTTATAGTTGCTGCACTTTTAGGTGACTGTCTAGGAAATTCCACCGCAGATGAGCTGTGGAAAGGTGTTTTAGCAGAGACTGGTGCTGGAGCAAGAAAAGGAAGAGGCAGCAGAACTAAAAAGAAGAGAAGAAAGGATTTGAACAGGGGTCAGATCATTGGTGAAGGGCATTATGGTTTCTGTGGCCTGGTCTGAATGTCTCTCTTATTAAAAATGGAGCAGTACAGATCATTGCCCAAAAAAGCAAGGAAGAACAGAAGGAGGAGGACAACATGACCCAGCAGAGAGAATAATGGGACCGGAAGAGGAGGATGAAGATAAATGAGAGCGAGGATGCAGTGGAAACTTGTGGGGAGGCATCAGTCTTAGCCCTCTGACCCTGGTCCCAACAGAGAAACATATGGTAATTTTGATACCAGGATACTTGAGGTAGGAAAGTTTTCAATAGGACAGCAAAAGAGGGAAGAAAGAGATTGGTAGGTGTCCTGCAGGCTGTGGGGAATGGACAACGAGCTTCAAGTTTTGCTGTTGTGAAAGCCACTAAATAAATAGATAGATGCTTTCAGAAAAGCAAAGAATAGAGCAATTCACTATTTGCATTATATAGAACGATATGAAGACCATACAATATTCCGTGATATTTCGTTAAGATTTAAAAGGAGGCATATCAAGATGAAGAAACAACCCAGAGGTTACAAGGTCTGCTGCCACAGGGGCATCAACACCATATGCCAGCTCGCTGGCATCAAAGACATGTATGCCAAGGTCTCTGGGTCCATCAGTATGCTCCCCCTCACCTGGGGCCTCTTCCATGGGCTCTCAGTCAGAAACCCGTCAACAGCTGGCAGGTAAGAAGGGCCTCCAAGTTGTGGAATTCTGGGAGGAATGTGACCCTCTGCCTATCGTGGTTTCCTCCCCAGGGGGACCTTGAAAAAGGAGCCAGGTGATGAGGTTCCACATATCAAACTGGACTTGGAAGAAGTGAATGCTCTACAGGGAATGTGGCGCTCTGTGCGGTCGGGTTTCTAGAGAGCCGCCACGTAACCTCTCTGGCCTTGTGCAGCCAGTGCCTGGTGCTGCCCAGCACCTAGGAAAGACTCAGCCCCTCACACCCTGGGATGTCACCTGGTTTTTTGTTTGTTTGAGGAGAGTTTAACCTTTAAATTGTTTATACATAAATAATTATAGCTTTAAAGACATCGGTCCTTTATTTTACTGCCACATAATGGTTGCTAAAGCAATTTATTATGAACACGCCTTTGTTGAATACAGATATACAGCAAAGGTGATAAATAAAATCAGATCCTGAGAAAACATCCTTGAGTTAGACAAGCGTGAAAATGACCTTAGGTATTATCAAAGACCAGTAATTTGTTACTTTTGTAAAGGTCGATTTTTTCATAATATAATAAAGACAGAATTAAATCAATATTATAATAGAAATGCAAACTAAGCTTCAGGAACATTTTGGGGATAGCAATAATGCTGACTTGGGAATTTAGAGAGGACTACAAGGAGGAAGAACCATTTGAGTTGATGTTTAAATAAGAATATGAAATATAAGAAAATGGAAAAAATGGGATGTGGTTAAAGTTTAGGAATTTTATTTTGGAGGCCATACTTTGCCAGTTGATATGATCTGGCTCTGTGCCCCCACCCAAATCTCTTCTTGAATTGTAATCTGAATTGTAATCCCCACATGTTGGGAGAGGGACCTCATGCGAGGTAACTGAATCATGAGGGCAGTTTCTCCATATTCTTCTTGTGATAATGAGTAAGTTTTCCTGAGATCTGATGGTTTTATAAGGGGCTTCCCCCTTTGCTCAACTCTCATTTTTCTCCTTCCTGCTGCCATGTGAAGTACATGTTTGCTTCCTCTTCCGCCATGATTGTAAGTTTCTCAAGGCCTCCCCAGCCCTGATGAACTGTGAGTCAATTAAACCTTTTTCTTTATAAATTATCCAGTCTCAGGCAGTTCTTTATAGCAGCATGAGAATGAACTAATACACCAGTATTGTTCTATTTTGTTAAATGCTAGAGATTAGTTTATAGGAGAAGATCCCCTTAGAGGCCGGGCGAGGTGGCTTATGCCTGTAATCCCAGCACTTTGGGAGGCCAAGGCAGGCGGATCACCTGAGGTAAGGAGTTCAAGACCAGCCTGGCCAACATGGTGAAACCCTGTCTCTACTAAAAATACAAAAATTAGCTGGGCGTGGTGGCGGGTGCCTGTTATCCCAGCTACTCGGGAGGCTGAGGCAGGAGAATGGCATGAACCCGGGAGGAGGAACTCGCAGTGAGCCGAGATCGTGCCACTGCACTCCAGCCTGGGCAACAGAGTGAGACTCCATCTCAAAAAAAAAAAAAAAAAAAAAAGAAAAAGAAAAATCGCCTTAGAATGGCCTGCAATATTTGTACTGGAAATTGACTATGCTATTTATAACTTTCCACAGAGTAGCAGATGCTCTGATGAGGGTACATTAATGTATATCACAAAATACGGATCTAAAAGTGATCAATGTACAAGGTGCTGTTTTCCCAGTTTCTTTAAAAACAAAGGAAAAAAATCAGCATTTATTTTCTCCAGGATAAAAAGCTATTACTGACTAAACAGTAAATAAAAATAAATGTGCATGTCTTTTACCTTTTCACTGCTTTATATTTTAATCAAGAAATAATCCTGAAGATTGGAATTGCTGCCATGTGGGAACAAGGGCTTCCTGGACAGCCAGCAACTTTTCCTCCACACAGCACAGACTCTGAAATCATCCGTTCTCAGCACCATTGCTCTTTGCAGCTGTGCTCCTTCTCCCTGCTTAGCATGCCTGCTGTTTCCCACATGGCTGAATCAGCAAGTCCCAGACTCTGCCTGCTCCAACTAGCACTGTTCTTCACCAGCTATCAGCTACTGTTGCTTCAGGTGGTTTTTTTTTTTGCTCTCTTGGTATAATTAAACTCCATCAGTCACCCAAGTATTTCTAGTGTTTGTTAATTAGCTTTATTAGTTTTAGAAATGAAAATCTAAAGGAATTCTTTGTAAACATAAACCAACAAAATTTGAGGAAAAAACGTAAAAGGAATTTAGAAAGCGTGGATCTCAATAGAATTAACTGAAGTCATCCTACCCCTCCTAAGTGACTAGTTTGCAGTTTTAGTAACACCTTACAGAGTAAAAAGGCATGTGTGATATTTATAAGTAAAATAATTTAATTTGAGATATGTAAGGTCTGTGATGATCTAAATAAAATATAAGGCAGTGCTACTAACAGTAAACCCAAAATAAATTTATGAAAGCACAATCAAAAGCACTCTACTGTTTCTTTTGAACCATAACAAACAAGTCATTATTGGACATAGTTCTAACACCACCAGAGGGTACATCACTTCTAACAGAGCCAAATGTCCTCTAATATGTTAAAAGCAATCTAGGTACCATCCTGGCTGAAGTTTTCATATAAAATTCAATGTTCAATAAGTACAACTTTTTCTTTAGAGCATTCTTTTCATTAATTCATTCATAATTCTCTGCCTGTTCATCATGATCTGAGATTGAAATATGTGTTCACTAGAAAATACACTGCAATTGACTAACAGATAAATTAGAAGCTATGACTTTCCTTTTCGTTAATTTCCAAGGGAACTTTTTAAAAGATAGAATTGAATTAACTTTTGTGCAACATAATTTTTATATTTGAATTCTTATTTTTAATATAAACTGATACTAAAGAAGTGGGGTGGGCATAGTGGCTCATGCCTGTAATACCAGTGACTCGTGAGGCTGAGGTGGGAGGATCACTTGAGGCCAGAAGTTCAAGACCAGCCTTGGCGATATAGAGACACTTCATCTCAATAAATAAATAAGTAGCTGAGTATAGTGTCATGTGCCTATATTCCCAGCTGCTCAGGAGGCTAAGGTAAAGGATCCCTTGAATCCAGGAGTTCATGGCTGTAGTGAGCTATGATGGTGCCACTGCACTCCCATCTGGGCAACAGAGTGGGACCCCTTCTATAAATTTAATAAATATACAAAAACTTTTTTTAGAAAGGAAAGAAATGGTTTCAGAGGTAAATAAAATTCCATTTCACAATAAGTTCCAATCATTCCACATTTGAAATTTAAATTTTATTTTAAAATATGTAATTGAAAAAATACCAAATAAACATGGCAGGCTCTAAGTTTTGCCTTTTTTTTTTTTTTTTTTAAAAAAAAACCTATTCAGAATATGAACTGCAAGCACTGTGAGTGATGTTTGAAGATTTAAAAGATATTGAAGAGGCAATGAACGGAAAGATTTTTTTTTTAATTTCCTCAAGGATCAAAAGTTATAGACTCTATAATATTTACTCTAAATACAAAATGCTCTGAGTTGAAAAAAAGGGCAGACTAATACCTTGCAAATAAAATAAGACAATTGTTTGGTACAAGCTGGAATTGTAGGAGATAAATACCACCATCCCTGCAGTTCTTTTTAATGTGAAAACAGTAGAACATGAAAACATGTGCTTCATGGTTTGCAATACTGCTGGTCAAGTACAGATGGTCTCAACTTAAAAATTGTCCAACTTACGATTTTTCAACTTTACAATAGGCAAAAGGGATGCACATTTAGTGGAAACTATACTATGGATACCCACACATCCATTCTGTATTTCATTTTCAGTATGGTATTCAATAAATTACATGAGATATTCAACACTTTATTATAAAATAGACTTTGTGTTGGATGATTTTGTCCAACTATAGGCTAATGTAAGTGTTGTGAGCACCTTTGAAGCAGGGTAGGCTAAGCTATGATGTTTAATAGGTTAGATGTATTAAATGCATTTTCAGCCGGATGTGGTGGCTCACGCCTATAATCCCAGCAGTTTGGGGGACCAAGGCGGGAGGATCACTTGAGCCTAGGGATTTGAGACCAGTCTGTGCAGCATGGTGAAACCCAGTCTCTACAAAAATTAGCCAGGCGCAGTGGTGCACACCTGTAGTCACAGCTACTCAGGAGGCTGAGGCAGGAGGATCGATTGAGCAAGGGAGGCAGAGGCTGCAGTGAAGCAAGATCATACCACTGCATTCCAGCCTGGGTGAAAGAGTGAGATCCTATCTCAAAAAAATATAAAAATAAAAATAAAATAAATGCATTTTCAACTTATGATATTTCCAACTTACGAAGGGTTTATCAAAGGCATGTCTGTGTTAGACATATTTGGATAGTATTGGTAGTATTGAAGCAGAGGGAGTTTTTGGGGGCGCAGGGCAAGTCTCAGAAAAGTTACTTAAAGGATGCTGTATGCCCTTTCTTTCTCTCTTTCTATTTTGTTTTTAACCAATGGGTTTTACCCCGTGCTATGGGTCTTCAGAGCAGTTAGATTTTCCGACATTTAGGATGAGATCTTCCAGGAAAGGGATCTTCCAGTAGAGAGATAGGGCTGTTTCTCAGGTGAACCCCCAAATTTTATGTCACATTACTATCAAAGGACACATTTGACAAAAGTGGTCATTTCCCTCTTATTTAATCAGCCATGTTTAGAAATGAAGTTGGCACAATATTACGGCATTTAACATATGTTTTTAACAATTATTATTTGTTAAATGCTATGTAATTATTAGTGATACAGCTTGAGTTTAAGGAAAGCTTTCTTTTCTCAAAAAAATTAGTCTAATTCTGCTCCTCTCAGTTGAATGCCTAGTTATAATCATTGTGACATAATAAAATAAGCATTTTGAATGTTTTTAATCCCTGATAAATTATACTTTAAACGTTCCCTTGCTACTTCATTGTTATTCTTAGAATTGTCCAGTGATTTTCAAATGTAATATTTAATTCTTGCTTATTTCGTGTCTCTACCAAATCTGTAATACTCTTTGTGCCTTTTGGGAAACGCCTCTAAAATACTGTTCAGTTCTACACTAAAGAATACTTTTTCTTTTTTATACTTGTAGCTCCATAAACCTAGTTTATTGTGTTGAAGCCCCATTGACATGATTTTTGATATTTAGTAGATTTTCCTATATCTTGCCATCATATCTTGCATGGTATTTTTAGTAAAGCCTGACTTTTTGCAAGGTGATTTTTCTCTTTTGCTCTATTTTAAAAATTGTTATCAAGCAAGTCTCTAGTACAATATTTGAAAATATCATCTGGCATTAAATATTTGGATTACTAAAATCTATTTGAAAATATTACCTGCTGAAATGTACATTCCGGGAGGGCATGGAAATCCCATAAGAAATTTCTGCTTTGTTTACACATACAACCCAAGTGCCTAGAATAATATTTGGCCTAGAATAATATTTGTATGCATTCTTTGTAAAAATAATATGATCAAATTTTTCCCTAAACATTTGAAATTTTTTTTGTATATTTTATATACTATGACCACGAATGCTAATCAAAGTGAGTTTATTATGTAGCCTGAATTAGAAGGGAAACAATAAAGTAAATAATATCCATGAATAGAATAGTGAAGACGAAACTTTAAAATTTTAAATTCTGAATTCTCTTTTTTTTTTTTTTTAATTGAGGCAGGGTCTGGCTCTGTTTCCCAGGCTGGGTCTGGCTCTGTTTCCCAGGCTGGAGTGCAGTGGTGTGATCACAGCTCGCTACAGCTTCTACTTCCCAGACTCAAGCAATCCTCCCATCTCAGCCTCCAAAGCAGCTGGGACCACAGGCACATGCCACCATGCCCAACCTTCGTTTCTTTTTGTTGTTTTTTTTGTTTGTTTTTTGTATTTTTTTTATAATGATGGAGTTTTGTCATGTTGCCCAGGCTGATCTCAAACTCCTGGGCTCAAGCAATCCACCCGCCTCAGCTTCCCAAAGTGCTGGGATTACAGGTGTGAAGCCACTGTGCCGGGCCAAGTTCTGGATTCTTTTATAAGCCTTTTAATTCTTCAAAATGATTAAACAAATTGTTCAAAATTAAAATCTAAGTTATTTTCTTTCTTTCTTCCTTTCTTTCTGTTTTTTTTTTCTTTTTTTTCTTTTTTGAGACAGAGTCTCGCTCTGTCGCCCAGGCTGGAGTGCAGTGGCGCGATCTCGGCTCACTGCAAGCTCCTCCTCCCGGGTTCACGCCATTCTCCTGCCTCAGCCTCCCGAGTATCTGGGACTACAGGCTCCCGCCACCATGCGCGGCTAATTTTTTTGTATTTTTAGTAGAGACAGAATTTCACCGTGTTAGCCAGAATGGTCTCGATCTCCTGACCTCGTGATTCGCCTGCCTTGGCATCCCAAAGTGCTGGGATTACAGGCGTGAGCCACTGCGCCTGGCCAAATCTAAGTTGTTTTCAAAAGTATGATATAAAGGTGAAAGCTGTAACGAACAGAACACGATCTTTCCCCCCTCTCTCAAAACAAAAAGGGGAAGGTAGAGAGGAAAGTGCAGATGTGTCTAACCCAGGAAGGATTCTTTAATTAGCCAAGAAGTTTTTCAATAGGCAATATATGTGAAGTGAATAGCAAAGGATGTGTAGACATACAAAAAGGATGAGTAAAAAGCCAGGAAGGAAGTTTACTTGACTTCACTTACCTGGACTATTTGTTTTTGCTACCCTATACTGTATTTGAAGCTTTGTAGTCCAGTACACAGAACTCTAAAGGAACCTATGCAGTTTGGAAGACTATTCATTGGAATGGACAAACAACTGCCCATTATATTTATTTTTCACAACCTTCTTTAAAAAAAAACTATAATGTTCATGATATAAAAGTATGGGGTAAGCCCATATAAAATAGCCATTTTTGCATATCAGCTATTTTATATGATTCAACCTAATGTATATGAAAAGATTCAGTAAATATTTGTACAGAGAGATGAACACTTAAATCTTTTAAACCAATAAATAAAGGTGTTGAGAACTTTGAAGAACCTTTGTCTCATCAATTTTTAAAGTAAATGTCTTCAACTCTGCTTGCCTATCAAAAAATAAAAGTAAAAAATGCTTAAAGGAAAAAGGCATCTGTTTTTCCTCTCTTTTGATCATGGCTATATTATATCTTAAAATCTACTTCTAAGAAGTATTGTTTTATTGGTTATTCTAATTAATATTTTCATATAGTTCTTTCTGTGTTCTGTTTCTCTTTCAAGTCCTGTTTTCTAAACTTGCCTTACAAAACCAATTTTTATTATTACAATAATTCAACAAGTAGATTCATACAGTTTGATTGCTGATGTTGTAGAAATATTCAGCCAAATCATTGCTATGCTCTGAAGAACTACTAGGTAAAACTTCATTTTATTTCGTTTTTGCAGTTGTTTGGAAGCTCAAGATTTTCAATTAGAAAGTGCATTTTATCTGATACATTTATATGACTCGATTTTCTATGTTTGAAACACTTTCTGTGAAGGCTTTAAACCGCTTTTTATTTTCAGAGGGTTTGGTTTGTCTGTTTGGGTCTGTGAGCTTCTAAAGCTTTAATCTGAACACCATCCCAACATCAAGAGTCTGTCTAATGTGTATCATGTGTGTCCTACAAATCCTTCACTGTTATTAGAGGGTAGCCCTTGAAATGGAAGTTCTTAGATGACAAATCCTATGACATTTGTGTATGTATATGGTGCTAGTAAAAATCAGCATTCAATTGTAAGCCTATAAAATAGAATAGAAATGGATGTGAATTTTAAGATACCGTTTGGTAGCTGAAAACATGAAAGGAAGATAACAATAGTTGTCACAAATTAAAGATGTTCTTGGCTACTCTGCCCATCACTTGTAAACCAACCCTTTTATCTCCATCTTTTGACTTTTGTCCTTATCTTGTTTCATCATATAATATTTTAAATATTTTATTTTTGTCTTGTCCATTTCTGCCTCTTGCCACTACAATATTAATTCAATGAGTTATTTTTCATGTATTTATTCCGGCACCTAACGTACTATTAATACAGAATGGCTGGGCTTCTGGCGAAATCCCACCCTTCAGCCTGGAACCACGGCCCTAAGTGAAAACAGCTGACATTGTTTTTCCACCCAAATGCCGCTCTTTTGGCCTGCCGCGCCCCTATCCTGCCCCCATAAAAAGACTGCAGCTGACAGAGCCACACAAGTGGCTGATGCAAGTGGTCGGGGATGCAAACTGCTTAACATTGAGGATACAAGCTGGTGAACACTAGGGAAACAAGCAGCTGAGCATCGGAGACTATGGATAGACATGGCTAACTTCAGATGGTGCAGCTTCAGGGCAAGATTACCTGTTTCTCACACCAACCCCTTTCCAACTCCCCATTCGGCTGAGAGCCACATCCGTTACCCAATAAAATCCTTCACATACACTACCCTTCAATCTGTTCATGTGACCTGATTCTTCTTGGATGCCAGAGAAGAACCCAGGTTCCTAGAGGGTAGGGGCTTGGATGCTGCTGCAGGGCCCACGTAGACCCTACTTCCATCAGAGAAGAGTGATCAGCCACTTTCAGCATTTGTTCCCTCTGGTTCCTGACCTCACTTGTTTGCACAATCCCTCTTGTGAGGTGTGGCCAGCAGCAGGCTGAGTGAAATGAGCTACTCCAGTTCCTGCCCATGAAGGGGGTCAAGGTCAAGAGAACAATCCTGTTTCATCTCTCCTGTGCCCATAAAAAAACTTCAGCTGGCAGAGCAACACAAGTGGCTGATGCATGCAGTCATGGATGCAAGTTGAAGTCTTTTTATGGGCACAGGATCGGGGCATGGTAGGCCAAAAAAGCAACATTTGGGCAGAAAAGCAGGATCAGCTATTTTCACATAGGGCCACAGTTCCAGGCTTAAGGGTGAGATTTGGCCAGGAGCCCAGCCTTTCTGTATCAGTATGGCATATAAAGGTACTCATTACATATTTGTTGACTGGCTGAATGGATGATTGCTGAATTGGATGTTAAAGGCTATGCAGTCTTTTATGAGTGTTGGAGGCCTGCTGAGACCGATTAAAGCCATTTATTCATTTGTTCAACAAGAATTTACTAAGCATGCATTTTGTCCCAGGCACTGTATTAGCCTAGACATGCAGTGTTAAAGGAGACATGGCCCTGTCCTCTGTAGACAGGTTTTCAAACGACCCTAAAAATAAGAGTCACTTTAGTCTTGCATAATCATTATCTCGCTCCTGGGACTTTTGTATATAAGTGGCAGGTCTGTCACCTGCCCAGGTCTGAGACATAGGTTTTTCAATCCATGCAGTTGGTAAGGAAATATTTTGCCACCATGCCTCATGTACTGCATGACAGTCTAAATGTTGCCCATATACAATGTAGATATCTCTTTCTGGAAGATGAATTAAAGTGTAAACAATATCTTTGCCACTTAGGAAAACAAAAATTATCTGAAAATAGAATCACAAGGACATGAATTTAAACTGGCCTTGGATTAGTACATTTAGTTCTGAGATGTTTCCAAAAACATAAGGAGAATTGGTGGTGGTGACCTAATCGGGTCACTGGGCTTCATTTAGAAGGTTCAAGCTTTTTGAATTAAATGAAGAAAACACACACAATGAGAATCAGAATGGAGTGAAGTAGCTCTGGCCCTGGAGTCAAGGGACTAAAATTCAAATGAATTCACATATGTACTAAACTTTGTGAATTTCACATGTGATTCTTGGTTACTACATCTGTAAAATAACTACAATGACTTGTATACACAACATTGGTTTCTTTTGAGAACTAAGATAATATTTATGAAAACATTTGTAAGAAATAAAATCTATGCAAAATCAACATATGAGTGGCCTGTGCTATGATGAACCTCTTTATGCTCAGGCGATATTAAAACTGATTTTCTTTTTCTCACTAGTGCAACTTTACAAAATTCCAGAATTAACACTCCTTATACAAGCAAAACAATTTCTATTTTTCTCTACCCAATTAACACTTCAAATTTATCACTGGGCTTTTTTTCTTTCTATTCTAGGACTGTGGTACATAAAACAAGCTTTCCAAGCCCTCTATGGCTTTCTTTAAAAACAAACAAACAAACAAACAAAACTTCCATGGTTCACGCAATCAACCAAATGTGTTTGTTGAAGTAAAGAAATTGCTACAGACAATGCTCCTGTAAATTTTTTACCTTGCTTTGAAAAACCATGCTCCAAATAAACAGTTGGAAATCATAAGGATTATTAGCTGTTTGTGCTAAGAAATTTCAAGTGAAATTAGGCTACTTAAGTAGCACTTAGCATTATAATTTTGGATGATTGCTCCTCGAATTTATCTTTGTTTTATGTCCCATAGATAGACTCCTTTGCACATTTAGATTTACTTCCAAGCACCCAGGTGAAAGATTCACAATTTTTTAAAAACATACTGTGTTAAAATAATGCAGTAAATATTTTTGTATCACATATGATGTTATATATAACTTATTCATAATACATGTATAACTTAATATTTTTGTAAAATGTATATGTTATATATAACTTATACATAATATATGTATAACTTAATATAATTATACTTCGAAAAATATATTAGAAGTTGATATGAATTGGCTCCGTGTCCCCACCCAAATCTCATCTAGAATTGTAATCCCCATAATCCCTATGAGTCAAGGAAGGGATCTGGTTTGAGGTGATTGGATCATGGGGGCGGTTTTCCCCATGCTGTTCTCATGATAGTGAGTTATCATGAGATCTGATGATATTATAAGTGTTTGACAGTTCCTCTTTCACACACTCTCTCTCGCCTGCCACCATTTAAGACATGCCTGTTTCCCCTTCTGCCATGATTGTGAGTTTCCTGAGGCCTCCCCAGCCATGCAGAACCGTGAGTCAATTAAACCTTTTTACTTTATACATTACCCAGTCTCAGGCAGTTCCTTATAGCAGTGTGAAAATGGACTAATACAGAACTATAATATATAGGTATATTTTATATATAAGTATAACAATTATTATACACTGATTACAATTATACTCTGGTTTTGCAGACTGTAAGTGATGGCCACTGCGGCCCCTGTGGACTGGCCCCTGTGAAGATGCCAGCTGCAGTTGGGGAGGTATGGCTGGGGCTGCACACTCCATGGAGCTGACCGGAGCTGGGAACATGCAGCAGCTGGGAACAGGTGGGAGCCCTGCCCTTTCTGAGTTGGAGGTGCAGGAGCCCCACCCTCCCAGGCTGTCGACCCTGGCATCCCTGCACTCGTGAAGGCTCAGAAAGTCCCCCTTTCCCCTCAGGTTCAGAAGTGTCTGCTCCTGCTGCCTGGCCTCTCCCTGCTCCTGGCACCCACCCACTCTGATTTCAGAGCAAAGTTGTGGCTGAGCCAGGGTGCTATCTTGACCCGGCCAGGTGTGCATGTGCTCAGGGTGGCACTGACATTCTAGTTCCCTGCCACCTCAACCCCCTCTGGACTTTGGGCACCAATGAGCATGAGAGGGAGGCCAAGGGGGCTCTGGGGATGGCTGGGTGTGGGCCTGCCGGTGCCCCTCAGCAGGGACAGCTGAAGTTCCAGAGACTACATGTTGATAGCAGCAGGAGGCAGACAGGTTTCTGAGCAGAAAGGGGTGGGTCCTTGGTGAAACCTTTCCTTTAATCCAGGGACAGCCTGAAGGATAGGGGCTGGGGCTGCCAGTTCTGGGTGGAGTCCACTGCCTAGAGTGAGAACTTTTGTTGCTTTTTACAGGCCCACCCATGGCTGCCCATGGACCAGTCAGCATGTACTTCCTCCCTTCTGAAGCCCACAAAAACCCCAGCCCCAGCCAGACTCACAGAGATGTCGGGACAACCTGCCTGCAGATAGGCACTACCCACTCCAGGTCTCCTGAGAGCTGTATTGTTGCTCAATAAAGCACCTCTTCATCTTGCTCACCCTCCAGTTGTCTGCATACCTCATTCTTCCTGGAAGTGGGACAAGAACTCGGGACCTGCTGATTGGGGGGACTAAAAGAGCTATAATACAAACAGGGCTGAAATACACCCCCCTCTCTCACCATATTGCAGGTGACTAGAAGGAGAGGAGAGCTATGGCTCTTCCAGGAGCCCAGACCTAGGGGCTTCCCAAGCCAGGGTTTTGACATCCTTTTGGGGGCTTTGCAGTTTCTGGTGTCTCCAAGCTTCCAGGTGCCTCCACATTCCCCTTGTCCAGACATGGGTGCCCACAGTGGAAGCTGCTTGCAGAGCATTAGATTCAGCTGCAGGCTTGCACGAAGCCAGTTCCTGGAGCTGCCCATTCAGCCATAGCAGCTGGCGTGTCTGGCAGTGTGCAGTGGCTGGACCCTGCTCTTGCTCGCTCAGACACCCCTCATTGCTCTGTGCCTGGCTCATCCTTGGCAGACATGGGATCCAGGTCAGTAGCAAAAGCCAAGTGCAGCCTACCAGGCCAAGTGAGCAGAACAAGCCCAGCAGGCCTGAGCAAAACTTGGGCAAAGATACCACTGGCCACAGAGGCTTCTGGCTGGAAAAGCAACACCCCAAGGATCCTGTGACATAAGGTGGTTATACATCTGAAGGAAAGGGAAAATTAAAACAATTGTTTTTTAGTAAGAAAAAGATAATTAACATAGAGACTTAAAACTGTCTTCAGATTCATAAAATTCTTAAAATGTTATTGGTAGAATTTCTTTAGATTGATGACCCAGACAAGTAATAGTTAATGTCACAAAGTGGCAAAAGATAACTGAATTAATATTAGCTCAACACTTAATTACCTCTTGGGAAGAAGAGGAATCAAACCTGGAACATTTTACTCACTGCAATATAATGTTAGGGAGTGATATTTGCTAGTAGTTCCTGGTTTACAGTAAAGTAACTCAATTTGTTAGTATAGACCTCAATTTTTAAGAATATAGTCAAGATTTACTTATAAAAACTATTGTCTAATTCTCCTCTCATCTTTCTTGACATCTCAGCAGCTTTGACCATGTTAACAACTAAATTTCCCAGATGTTTCTGTAGCTGAGGGCTCTCTTATGACCCTGCTAAACCCTCTGAGCCCCAAGAAAAAAAACAAAAACAAGAGTCTCATCTCTCACCCTGATTTCTTTGATTAATTTGAGAGACTTATATAGCACAAACCATGTTCTAGGCACTCCTAAGCACTTTACAATAATTAACTCATGTCATAGTCATAGCAATAGGTCAAAATCCAGGACATGAAGACAACAAATGTAACTGTTCAAAGCTGAAGAACTAGTAAATGGCAAAGTTGGAATTTGAACCCACGTTCTCTGGCTTCAGAGCCTGTGCACTTAAATGTGATAAGATGCTACCTCTCCAATCTATAATTAAGTTTGTTACTTGTTCCTCATAAGTCACTCAAGTCCTTCTGCTTTTCTCCATCTCCCCTGCCATCAGGCTAATCCAAGCCACCAACATGTTTCACATGATATTTTCACACCCTCTTCTCCTCTCTCTAGTCCATCACTCATTACCAGTTATTTCTTAAAAACATAAATCTGATTATATTGTTCACTAGAATAGAAACTTTCAATAGCTTTCCAGTAACATAAAAATCAACTTCCTTTACACTACCTCCTTTGCACCTTTTTTCCAGCCCTCCATTCCCAGTTACTCTATTCCAGATACAGTTGGCTGCTTCTAATTCCTCAAATTATTCCAGGCTCCTTCCCACTTCAGAGCCCTCTCCATTTATCATTCCCTTAGGCCAAGGTTTCTTGACCTCAGCATTATTGGTACTTTGGCCTGGATAGTTCCTTTTCGTGGATGGCTGTTCTGTGCACCATAAGATGTTTAGCAGCAATCCTGGCCTCCACTCAACTAAATGCCAATAGCAACCCCTAGTTTTAACAACCAAAAATTGCCAAATGCTCCCATGGGGGAATGGGAGGATTACTTCTATTCAGAACCATTGCCTTAGACTGAACTATTCTAGCCCCTTCTTTTGGTTTATTCTTATTCACCAAGAATAAGAGAAGGTAAGGAAGCAGAATTGGGCAGAAGGAAACACTGAGCTGTAAGAATACAGCTCACTGAAGCATTCACTGAAGACCACCTCTTGGGCCACTCTTATCCACTTGTTAATATACAAGTTCTGGTGGGCCTCTTTTCCTGGAGTAAATTCATAAGAGTGACAAACTATAGTCCCTACTGCTGCAGCAGGTCTCAGGATTGCATCTGATATTCATTGCCTCCCTCCTCTACAGTTTATTTGACATTCCCTCACCCCAAGCTATCTCATGGTGAGGAGTCTGTTGTGACACATATACTCATCCTTGTGGAGTCTGTGCCCTTCTCAGGCTGTGATTGTTGCACTGTCTATCAAAATTGGGTGAAAGAGTAGCAAGAGCGGCTTAAGTGAGTTGCCTCAATGCCAATCATACTCCTCTTTTGCTCCCCCTGTGGAGAAGTAGCAAAGTGCTCATAGCAACTCCAAATGAAGCGGCATTCTCAGCACTGGGAGAACCAGAGCTGCCATCCTGAAAGAGTAACTGGATACCACACTAAAGTAACCACTACACTAGGTCAGGTCTCTGCAGTATTTGCCCTCATGACATTTATTTCATTTGTAATGAAATATTTGCTTATATTGGGTAAGTGATACCTCTCCTCTCCTACCATAATTCCTTCCTCTGATACAAAAGCAAAAAGACAAAGATTCTGTTAACAGAGATAAGAGAGTTATGCAACAAGAGGCAGTTCACAGAAGAAAGATTTTCTTTTTCTTTCAGATGTTTCCTCCTGAGAGACTTGAAGGACCTATGAGCATCCACCTACTCTTCCCAAAGATCAACTAGAGGGGAAAAGTATAGAAATAATTGACTGCAATCCAAGATCCTGAGGGAGATCGAAGAGCTTAAAGACCCAGGAAGAAGATTAAGTAAATTAACAAGAAAAGACTCCTCAATACACACCTAAGGTGGATTTTGTGATGTCGAATAAACTATGAGGAAAATAAAATACCACCCTGCACCATTCTCTGAGTTCCAAATTAAGGAAATGTTCTATTCACATAATTTTATGGTAATGGTTTGTACATCTGGCCTTTAGAGATGGTTTTGATTTTTAATGTCTGTCTTCTCTACCAGGGTGTGTGCCTCCTGAGGATAGTGACTGTGTCACTCTGAGGAAAGAAAGAATGAGTTACTCTGATCTTAATTTATTTAAGCAGAAGCTCACTCTTGCACCAGGACAGGACTGATCAGGGCTTTAGAGATTGTCAACAAACTTGCAATTCAAAAAGATGACAAAAAATTTGACATGTGACTTTTTGTAGATCAGAGAAATAGTGAGATACCTATTAAAGTAATATTTCTTTTCTTCATTCATGAGGGTTATCAATGACCAGGATAAACCTCCTCAAATTTATGACAAAAATAGAGAGACATTAATTTTACCATAGACTATATAATTGAAGTTACATGAGATGGATTGTTTTTTTAAAGTTATATAAGATATATATATATATACACACATACACATGCAGAGTGCATGCAAGCCCCTAAATCTTTTCTGTTCCCAGTATCAGATATATATATATATATTATATGGTTTGGCTGTGTCCCCACCCAAATATCATCTTGAATTCCCACATGTTGGGAGAGAGACCTGGTGGGAGGTAATTAAATCATGGGGGTATGTCTTTCCCATTCTGTTCTTGTGATAGTGAATAAGTCTCATGAGATCTGATGACTTTATAAGGCAGAGTTTCCCTGCACAAGCTCTCTCTCTCCTTGTCTGCTGCCATCCACGTAAGATGTGACTTGCTCCTCCTTGCCTTCTGCCATGACTGTGAGGTCTCTCCAGCCCTGTGAAACTGTAAGTCCATTAAACCTCTTTCTTTTGTAAAGAAAAGAGACATACCCAGTCTCTTTGTAAAAAGACATACCAAGTATCAGGTATGTCTTTAACAGCAGCATGAAAATGGACTAATACAATATCCTCTGTTGTCTTTCTCTCAATTATCAATCTTCACTTGTCAGTGTAGGCAATAGCCTCATGTGGACCATTTTGCTAGCTGTCAGATTTTTCTGTTTTTCTGTCATGTTATATTAAGGGTGTCATCTATTATTGCCATTATTTCTATCATGCAAAGGGATCACAGACATGCACACTAGGATCACATGTTGCAGGTATACCATAGGGTTTATTGGGCCAAAACTTACAAGCAGGGAAGTAGCAGAGTGCATGCAACCCCCTAAACATTTTCTGTTCCATAGCATAAACTGGGGTTAGATATATTGTATGTACCATGGACAAGGTGCAAGCAGAGAGGAGCTTGCCATGACCAGCAGGCTTGAGACAAAGCTGAACACAGTATGGGGAGCACTTTCACCAGTGAGAATGAGTCCACCTCAAACACTGTGTTGCCTATTTATAGATTACCTAAGTGGGACTTGGAACATCTAGTTTCTCTAGGCAACAAGAAAGATATCAAGGGATGTCCAGAAATAGCACAAAGCAATATGCATACCAAGGGCCAAGGTCTGCCCACCAAAAGCTCTGGGAACAACCTTGCCTGCCAGGGATGCTGACATCATCCCAAGCCTCGTCTCTTTGCAGATGGCAGCTGAGCCAGGTCTTGGCTAAACTACCAAAAGAGGAAAGGAAATATGCTTCCAAGTCTATTCAGATTTGTCTCTCATCAACTCCTCCTGACCTTAACGATCTTTCTAGAGTGCCTTTCCCTACCACCAACTTTGACCACATTTCTGAGACAATGACTACTTGATGCCTATTTCCTCTTTATTGTCTTTTATATTTCATCAGTCTTGGACTTCTTTCTCTTCCTCCTCCTCCTTTTTGCCATCCTTTATTCAACTGATTATTATGATTCAAAACATTTTCCATTTTGGACATGACATTTGGTACAACTCTAAAATACTTGTCACATTGAAAGGCTACTGGGTGTCCCTGTATGCACTGACTTTGCTACACAGCCCTGGGGTTTAATCTCTTGGTGCCTTATTTTTTTTTCACTTTTGTTATTCAGTGATCATTAAGACAGGTAATTTAGGTGAAAGCATTTTAGACATTATAAGTGCTGCTCAAGTCAAAGACATTATTGAAGCTATTTTAATAGCAGTGGTGGAGAACTTGCTACAGAACGTTCTGGCCTTTCCCTTCATCTGACTTCATACAGACTGGGTAATACTTCTCGAACTAACAGGAAGCTCAGAGAATAATGTCTGCTGCTAAACTGCACTTGTTGCATTATTTTAAGTAAGCATTAGAAAATTATTAAGGTACAGAGCTTTGAATAATGGCTAAACAATATTTAATAATAACTGTTAAGGTTCTAAAACATACAACCTAAGCATATCATCTTGAACTATCCTTATTTCAAATCCATTGAGCCTCTTTCCATTTCTGTCTCTCAATCTTTGTCACTTTTAATATGACAGCCTTGTATAAGATGAATATAAATTCTACAGATATTGAGTTAGAGGTTCATAGCCATGTTTAGCCATTTACTAACTGTATGCCTTTGGAAACTTAACCTTGCTGAACCTGAATTTTCTTAAATATAAAATGTGATGATGATATCTACCTTGTAGATTTGCTATGAATATGTGTATTCATTAAAATTTCTTTCCATCCGGGTGCGGTGGCTCATGCCTGTAATCTCAGCACTTTGGGAGGTCGAGGTGGGCGAATCATTTGAGCCCAGGAGTTCAAGACCTGCCTAGGTGACATGGCAAAACCCCGTCTCTACAAGAAATACAAAAATACTCATTGGGTGTGGTAGTGCACACCTGTAGTTCCAGCTACTCAAGAGCTGAGGTGGGAGGATTGCTTGGACCTGGGAGGTGGAGGCTGCAGTGAATCCAGATCATGCCACCGCACTCCAGCCTGTGCAACAGAGCAATACTGCATCAAAAACAAAAAACAAAAAACAAAAATCAGGGAAAATGAGTTCTTCCATTGCAACTAACAGAATACTTAATTAAAAGAGGCTAAAGCAGGCTGGGTGTGGTGGCTCATGCCCGTAATCCCAGCAGTTTTGGAAGGCCAAGGCAGGGGGATCACCTGAGGTCAGGAGTTTGAGACTAGCCTGGCCAATAGGGTGAAACCCCACCTCTACTAAAAATACAAAAGTTAGCTGGGCATGGTGGCGGGCACCTGTAATCCCAGCTACTTGAGAGGCTGAGGCAGGAGAATTGCTTGAACCCAGGAGGCAGAGGTTGCAGTGAGTGAAGGTCACACCCCTGCACTCCAGCCTGGGTGACAGAGCAAGACTCTGTCTCAAAAAAAAAAAAAAAAAAAAAAAAAGGCTAAAGCAGTGAATATGTGTATATATATATATATGTATGTGTATATATATGTATGTATATATATATATAGGCAAGAAATCAAGGGTTGGATAACTATAAGATTGGTTCATTTAGTGGCTACAGAGTGTCATGAGGAAGTGAGGTTTTTTCATAGTTCTTTTCAGATTGTTTCATCCTTAGACTTGAACAGTCATGCAAGATGGCTGCCAAAATACTAGGTTCAATCTTCCTCATCATTGCTGCCAAGCAGGAAGGCTGGTTTTATCTCAGATATCTCTGTATGTCTTGGCTTTCCAGTCAATATTAGGGCATATGCCCATGCCCTAACTGTCAGGGTATCTGCAAATGTTAGTATCTGGCAGTTTTTGTCTCTATCCTAGGCGATGAGCCATGAAAGCAGGGAACACACAGGTTGGCCTAAGTCGGAAACCAATCAACACTGCCACCACGGGCAGTGATACATAGTAGGAGCTTCATCAATTTTAGTTTCCCGATTTCCTCATATGTCTGGTTTTTTTCTCTCTCAATCGGTTTTTTTGCTTCTATTTTTCTAATTCTCTTCATGTTTTTTCTTCATGCCCCTTGTCTTCATTGTTATTCCTATTCGGTTTTCTACTCATAATACAAAAATAAAACATGTTATCAATGTTTTGTGGGTTTTGTTCTTTACATAAAAGAAAAACAGATTAACTGAATGTTTTATTTTTCTCCGTAGGAAAAAGATAACAAAATACGTTTTATTCAGTGACATTGATTTTTTTTCTTATATCTTTCATATTCCTGTGTCTTGGTATACGCATAAATATAGTGAATACCAGAAGAAAAACAGAAGAGCAAAGGCAGTGATGGGAAGGTGCACTTGTATTTAAAATGACAGGTCCTAAGAATAAGAATAAATGGACTGCAATCCCGGATAGTCCATTCACTAACTTTAATGTTTTAGGCAAGCTCTGTAAACTTTCTCTCCCTCTGTTTACTCGTCTATAAAATGGGAATAATAAAACTACCTGCCTCATGGACTTTGTGATAATTAAAGGAGAAAATGCATGTAATGCTCTTAATAAAACCCTAAATTAAAACTTATTTGTCTCAACACTCCCAGGCAATAAACTATAGGAAAAAATGAAGCATTTGAGTTCAAAGTTGGGCTCTCCAATCTAGCCTCAGGTCTTTTATGCCAAAGTAGCTTTCAAATGATTAGAAGCATGCTTTCTAATGTCTACCTTTCATGGAATAATTTATCCTTCATTCTTATTCCTTATTCTTGCCTGTCCACCCACCGCCAACTGAATGCTCTTTTAAATTTTATGAGAAAGAATCCCAAATCTATAGGTCTAACTTGCAACTCTTTTATGAAATCTATATTTACATTTCCAATCTCCTACTAGATATCTCTATTGAAACATACCATCAGCACCTTAAAACACCACTGATTGACTGCATGGATTTAAGCATGTTAAGTAAGTTATATCTGGGGTTCTCTGTTTCTTGTGTTAAAAAAAAAAACAGGGTTGGGGAATTAGGGGCTGTGGGCTAAGGGAATAACTTCTAAGACTTTGTACTAACAGTTTATGATTCCATGTCTAAAACTAAAATTATCATTCTCCCTCTCCAAACTGCTTCTATTTCTGTCTTTTCTGTGTCAGATTTATAACATTAGAGCTATGAAAACAGATTCAAGAATCAAACATAATTCTGTCACTGTCATGTTCAAAGCACTTCAGTTGTTTCTCATTACCTGAAGAAAATAATTCTTCCTCAGTCTGGCATCACTTGCCTTTTCAGGCTACTCCCCATCATTCCCTTTAACGCACATCACACTCTATCAGTGTGTCAGTGTAGGGGAGAACATTTTTCTATTTCCTCTGCCCGTCTTGGATTCATTGGCTGGGGAGGTTGTAAATGAGACTGACAAAAGACAGATCACAAACAAACAGATGTTTATGAACATGTGCACAGTGCATACACAGGAAAGTGCTCAGTGATGAGTAACTCAAAAGGGCGGTTAGAATTTGGGGTTTATATACCTAATTTAGCATAATAGAGTGGGGAGAAGGGTACTTACAGAAAAGCAAATGACTTTTTGGAAAGGTCAGTGGGCTCTTAGGAGAATAAATGGGAGATATGACAATGTGACAATGTCTATGAGATACGACATTGTGACAATAGTCTATTTGGCTGTGGTGCCAATTTCTCAACATTTTATCTCTGAGAAGAGATTAGAGTTGCTCCCAGGGAGGGGATTTATGATAATTGAGTTCTTCTGACTTCTTTTGAGAGCCTCTGCTTTTAGGCAGATAAGGGACTTCAGGAATTCAAATGCCTTCAGCTCCAAATAATGCTTATGTCAAAGTGGCATATTTTGGAGTGGCATATCCTGATCCCTTTCATCAGTTTTGGCTTCCGTGAACATTATTTTATTATGCCTCAAATGTACTTCCTCCAGTACAAGTGTGGGAAGTCCTGTTACTCCAATATCTGTCTCAATTGCCCTCTCCAGTGCCGATCACAGACACTTACTCCTGTTTCCTCATGGAGCCTTCTTTAAAGCTCCTTAGCACATAACATCTGATTAATATTAGAACCACTCACTTGTTTTATTCCCCCATTAGTTTGTAAACTCCTTTAGGCAGCAGCCATGTTTTGTTCATATAACCTGGAATTCACACTAGTTCAAAACATTTTATGATAGCTCATATAGTAAAAACAAAAATGCTTGTGGAATAGAATCATCTTTACAATGCTTCAGATGTCCAAATTTGCATGCAGTTTTGATCATACATTTAATTCAATGGGATCAGTGAGATGTTTTAAAATCTTAAACAGTTTATTTAGCCATTTCCTGGTGTTTTCACTTTGAAGATTTTATTATTATGCATATATTTTTGTTCAATTAAAATGTAGTCACTCTTGAAATGTGTAACACAGGAAGACAATACGGCTTATTCTCATTTAGTAGATATTTGTAGTACATTTTAAGCTCTTTGAATTAAAATCTATAGAAATGTTAAGTATTATTATGTCATATCATTAGCATTTTGGCTGGAAACCTCTCCCTCTAGGCACATATGGGATTTTTATTTTTATGCATAAATTTGCATAGCTGTTTCACTATCTTTCACAGACGAAAGTCTTTAGACATTAACTTGACAAATATCATGATCAAGTCATCAGTTTCAGTCTGGTTCAGTGGGTTTGAAACTTCTTAACGGAGATATTTTCGTATCTACTCAGGCTTCAGTAGTATCTCTCTCTCTCTCTCTCTCTCTCTCTCTCTCTCTCTCTCTCTCTCTCTCCCTCCTACAAAGAGGCGCTTAATTAGTAGTGGCTGTACATTGACTTAATGAACACATTCATTTTCAAGAATAATTTAAATAATTCTACTTTGTATTTTCAAATAACTCTATGGCAGCATAAATATTCAGACTGCCAAGTTTCAAATAACTATGGCAGCATAAAATATTCAGAAACAAGTTTCTTCAGAATGTAATCACCAATTTTACACGAGAGATATTTTGCACAGACATGTGAGTGATTGGGCTGTGGAATTTCATAGCTTATTTATTTTCTTTAATCTTTATATAACTTAATGTTCTGGCATCATCAGCCTACACGTGAAATATCGTGACACCTACATTAACACTCTATCTGTAAACCCTCCTCTGCTTGACTGCAATATTCCCTATCCTTATCTCCACTCACATATGTATGAGTCCTGCTTGCTGTCCTTCCCACAACTCATTGGGCTGGGCTCCCATGCCTCAGGAACAGACAGGTCCACAGACAAACAGACCTCTGCTCCTGCTGCCCAATAAAGCTGTCACTGGTGACAAAATTATTTGAGCCTTGGAATTGTTGAGCTGGGGCTCTCTCACCATACTTGCCAAGTGAGAGAAATGTTATCCTCTGTCTTACACTCAATTAATTGGGTCCCACAGTGACTTTGCTTCAGTGTCAGAGTTTCAGAGTCAAAGGAAACATCTCTTTCAACTCCTACACAGTCCTCTTCTGCACAGAGCACTGAGATGCCATTAGAACTGGTAACTGCCACCAAGCTGTGCTCTGAGCTATCATTTTACTTCAACCCTAGAGCCTCATTTAAAGTTGAGATGATTGTGTTAGATGCAATCCCCTCTCACAGAAATTTAATATCAGAAACCCCATCATCTCCCATGTGTATGACTACTGCTAGGGTATTTATCAAACTTGTCTTTATCTGAATGCCAGTTATGGGCAAAGTTCAAGTCTTTCCCTCACTCAGAATACTTTCCAAATCTTTATTTCTCAATGGATGCAAGTAGATACCCAAGAACTCTATTAGATAGGAACATCTTACTCTCAGGTAACCGATTTTGGCTTTTATCATGGTACCTTTTATAATTAAAACTGGTACTAGAACAATTTCTACTGAAACATAAAAAATAAAAATGTTCCAATGTAAAAATATAAAATTGCAGCTGTTAGCATAAACTTCCTAAATCAAACTGTCAAGTTTCACATTCTTACTCATCAACTTATTACTTCCATTACCTTGAGCAAATTTTTTAGTTCTCTATTGCTGTGTAACTGATTCCCACAAAATTAGCAGCTTAAAACAAGGTATGTTCGTTATCTCACAATTTCTCTGGGCCAAAAATCTGGGTGTGACTTAACTGGGTTCTCTGCTTCAGTGTCTTTCACAAGGTTGCAACCAAGCTATTGTTTGGGGTAGACTCTTATCTGAGGCTAGACTGTGGAAGGATACATTTTCAAGACACGTGGTTGTTGGCAGGATTTAGTTCCTTACAGGCTATTAGGCTGACAGAATCAGCCTCTTGCTAGCTATTAGAAGGGGTCCTCTTTCATTCTTTCAGTTCCTTGCCATGTAGATCTTTCCATGTGGTAGCATGTTTCTGACAGAGACTTCCTGTAAAAACAGAGTTAGGGTCAAATAAGAAATGAATCTTTTCATTATCATCTCCAATAAGTTCAAGAAGGGAATTGTTGGTAAGAAATCTATTTTTCTATAAGAAGAGTCATCAAAATAGAGGGAAGAGGCACTCCATCACAGTTTCAATCAGAATGCACAACAGCAAAAGGGGTAAAAAGTAGGAAAAGGAATAGAAAAGAGTGAAGTGAAAGATGTTTGCTTATCTCTGGGTGAAAAGATAGGTGAAACAGGTTATTTGGGGAAGAATATGACAAATCGGTTATCACTGGGTGTAGGAAACTTAAGTCAGTGGATTTAAGGAGATTTAAGGAGAGACCAGGATCAAATGGTAAGAAAGTCCAAGCTTATAGTGGACTTTGCCTCTTTTTTTTTCTTGCCTATCCTCTGAATTGCCACCCAAACTCTTTAGCTTGATAATGTGAACAAATTCACATCAAAGTTATTTATTATTTATAAAGACTGCCCAAGCTGCTGCTAAATATAGTATCTTTTTTGTTTTAGAAGAATTTTATTTTAAATCATCTTTAATAATAGTCACTACATCTATAGAGTGATTCTTGTTTTTTTTTATATTTAACACATGATATCTAACTTAGGAGAAAATATGAGACTTGGAAAACAATATAAACCAACTAGACCTAACAGATGTGCATACACTACTGCACACAACAGGATAATGCGCTTTTATGAAGGGCTATAGGTTATACTCCATGAAATAATCTATGTTAGGACAGAAAAAGAGGTTAAATACATTTAAAAGGATCAAAATCAAAGAAAGTATGTTCTATAAACATAATAAAATGAAACTAAAAATCAGAAGCCAGGAGCAGTGGCTCCCACCTGTAATCCCAATGTATTGGGAGTTTGAGGCAGGAGGACCACATGATGACAGGAGTTCAAGACCAGCCTGGGAAACATAGCAATAATTTGTGTATACAAACAAAAAAAATGTTTTTTAATTAGCTGGGCATGGTGGTGTGCACTTGTAGTCCCAGCTATTCAGGAGGCTGAAGTGAAGGATCTCTTGAGCCCAGGAGTTTGAGGTTGCAGTGAGCCATGATCACACCACTGCACTCTATCCTGAATGGCAGAGCAAGACTGTGTCTCAAACAAACGAACAAAGTCAGTAACAGAGGAAATTTTCAAAATTCATAAATATGTAAAATTAAACAATAGTCTTAAATAATCAATATGCAAAAAAAGAACTCACATAAGAAGCTTCTAACACTCTAAAATAAATGTAAACAAAACACAACATTTGTGGGAGACAGCTAAAACAGTGCTTAGAAATAAATGTATAGCTGTAAGTGGCTCTGTTAAAAAAAAAAAGAAGAAAAAAATTTTAAATCAATAACTTAACTTTGTACTTTAAATAACAAAAGAAAGGAGAGAAATCTAAGCCAAAAGAAAGCCTGGAGAAAATGATAAAGATTCAAGGTAAAGAAAATAAAATAGAGACAAGAAAAACAATAGAGAAAACTAACAGAAATAAAATTTGGTTCCTTGAAAAGATCAACAAATTTGACAAACCTCTTGCTAGACTGCCAAAAAAAGCTCTCATATTGCTAAAATTAGGAATAAAAGGCAAAACATCACTACCAACCTTACAGAAATAAAAAGTAGAATAGTATGAACAATAGTATGGGAAAAATTAGATATCTTAAGTGAAATGAACAACTTCCTAAGAAGACAAAAACTAACACAACTAATTCAAAAAGAAATGTAAATCTTAATAGCCTTATAGGGAGAAGTTGAATTAATAATAGAAAATTTTCCACAAAGAAAGGCCCGGGACTAGATGACTTCACAAGTGAATTCTACCAAACATTGAAAGAATTAACAACAATCCACAAATTCTTAAATATCAATCAATCACTTTATATCTCAATTCATTGATCACTTCAAATCTTATAAACATAGTGTTTAACATTTGATAAGATCTAGCAACACCCACTCCTAGATATATGCCAAGGGAATGGAAACACATGCCTGTTCAAGAACCTAATAAATGTTATGGAATGTGAATGACATTTTAATAAAGCTATTATTTGAAAAATAATTAAACTGTAGAATATAGAATAGATCTAAAGAGAAAAGGAAACTTTTATATCTATGCAGAAAATGGTTTTTTTGCTGAAAACTGTATGCTTTTTCACTTTTAAACTGCCATATGTTTATCCGTTGCAGATTATTTCAATCATGTTTGCCCATGTAATTATGCCAAAGTGATTTCAAAATAAATAAATATATTCATTCTCTTAATTTGGTTGTGTCAAAATCAGTTATGCCTGTCAAAATTGTCAAACCATGATGAAATATATGTGCAAACAAACTGAAATACATTAACTTTAACAAAGAGTGCAACAAGTTTCTATTAATTATTGGAACCACTATTTTGCTAAACTTAGATGTATAGTAACCAAATTACATAACTTCTTACATAAAGTAAGGGTACTGTAACTTTAAATTTCAAATAAAAGCATTTGCTTTTTCTAGTCAAAGTAAAAAATAACAGCAGAAGCAGCAGCAAAAAACAATAGAAATTATTTTGCCTCCATTTCCCATTGGATTACTTTCTTCCTTTGAAAATAATTTACCAAAATCTCTTTTTTAATGTCAAAAAATGAGTTCCTAGATGTTTCTATACTTGAAAAAAATAGTCATGGACAGTTTGTTTCAAACATCATAAAACTCTGCTAGGCTATAATGATCCATTTATTTTTTCAGCCACCTGGGAACTGTGGGTTGTGTGGGTTCTCCAACTATCTCTTGATTATGTCCTTGGAAAGGAGTAGTAGGTGCCATGCCAATGTTCTTTTGGTATTCTCTTAATGCCAAATAGATCATGTTTTGAATCCTTGTCAGTCTTATCCCTTAATACTAAATGAATTCAGTCCATAGTCATTAAATAATACTGTGACATATAATGGTAGAGTTACTGCAGCATTCACACAGCGGTGGCCAGGATACTAAAAATGTGATGGCAGCAAGCTCTATTTTTCCTTGTTTCTCTTCTGAATTGCACAGATATCTATATAATGAAACCACAAGCAGCAATGTGATTATAGTCAACCCTTTCCTGGGGTTCCATTAAAATGTCCCAACATGAATCAGATTGATTATATACTTCAATACCAGTGTATTTCAGCTG
Source organism: Homo sapiens (assembly GCF_000001405.40). Lineage (NCBI taxonomy): Eukaryota > Metazoa > Chordata > Mammalia > Primates > Hominidae > Homo > Homo sapiens. The sequence goes on along the minus strand of NC_000004.12, from coordinate 163,239,410 downwards.
CAAAATTATACAGACTGAAATATAAGACTTAAAATAAAGTCTAGGTTAAGCACAGTGGCTCACACCTGTAAACCCAACACTTTGGGAGGCCAAGGCAAGAGGATCACTTGAGCACAGGAGCTTGAGACCACCCAGGGCAACAAAGTGAGAGACCCCATCTCTACAAAAAAAATGTTTTTTTTAATTAACCAGGTGTGGTGGTGTGCACTGGTAGCCCCAGCTGCTCTGGAGACTGAGGCAGCGGGATTGTTTGAGCCCAGAAGCTTGAGCTATGCTTGTGTTGCATTCCAGCCTGGGTGACAGAGCGAGACACTATCTCAAAAATAAAATGAAACGTAGTCTCATTTATTTATTATTTAAACCTGCCTGGTTAATCACAAGTCTACATACCCTCCATTGACTAATTAATTTCATTTTCTTTTTAACATGTTTTAATTGACACTGTAATTGTACATATTTATAGGGTACCATGTGATATTTTGACATGTGTGTATGTTATATCATGATCAAATGAGGAGAGTTAGCTAATCCATCAGCTCATGCCCTCATCATTTCTTATGGTGAGAACATTCAAAAGCCTCTTTCTGGCTATTTTGTATAATACTTTACTGGTATCCATAGGCACCCTACTGGGCAATTGAACACCAGAACTTATTTCTCCTATCTGACTGTAACTTCATACTCATTGAATCCCTCCCCATCTTCCCTTCCCATCTCCTCAGTCTGTGGTAACCACTCTACATTGATTGATCAGCTACTTTTTAAATGTCATAGATTCACCGAAAGGCCTTTGGGTTATGAGCTTAACCTTAAAAAGCCAAATAAAATAAAAAGCCAAATAAAAAGCCAACCCATCAAAATTTTAAAATACTTATTTGATATCTTTTAGTTTTTATTTACACAATCCTAAAATAAGGTTAAGAGCAATTATATTGAAATATACGCACAATTTAATTCTAAGACTAAAGCAGATCAATAAAAGAAACAGAAAATACATTTTGTCTTTTATCATATTATAGATGTGTTAAAAATTCAAATATAAATTTATTTTCAAAGTTTGTAGTAGATACACTGATTCATTCAATCACTCACTAATTAAATTCAATGATTATTTGTCAAGTACCCATTATGTCGGATACTGTCAGGGATCACTTTGAACATCAGCTGTATGATCCGTTTAATAATATGAACAATAATTAACATTCGAGTGCTTTTATGTGGCAAGCAGTGTCTGGAGCCATTACCATTTTACAGAAAATAAAACTGAAACACAGAGTGGTTAAGTCACTTGCCAAAGGCCAAAAGGCTAGGAATGAAAGTTGGATTCTAATAGAGGCAACCTGACTCTGAAGCCATCATGTTTCACCACCACTAGGCTCCTCTGCCCTTATACTATACCCACTGCATGCTACATTTCTCTCTCTCTCTCTCTCTCTCTCTTCAGTTTTAGCAATATGCAGTACTTTGGCTACACAATTTTCTTTCATTTCTTTATCGTTCTAGAGTTTTCTATTTTTCCTCTCAACCCTTGATTGTTGGTTGAAGTATCCATATTTTTAGGTCATGTTGATATCAGGCACATCACAGAACCCTGATCTAGACAGTGCCTTCATCATCTGATCCTGTTTCTTAGTTTTTCATGAGGATCTTTGAGGTCCCGAAATGGTAAGAAGCTTATTCAATTCGCAGACTTGTCAAATTCAGTGATTTGACCAGTTTAAGCAACTAGCTAAAGATACTCATCTTATTATTTGTTCACTCTGACAGTTTGTAGCCTTGGTTTATAGAGTAATTTGTATGTCAGACAGGAGTTGTTTCAGTGAGTATCCTTTAGGGATGTCTCTAGAAAATCACTTAATTCCCCAGGGGTTGGAGTTATATTAATTCCCTAATTATATTAGTCACACATTTCAAATTAAGTTATGCTTTTTTTCTAGAACAAAAAGCAAGAGCTACTATAATCTCCAAGGCATACATGCTTCAATAACAAAAAAAAATTTTCAAGGACTTGATGGCAATTCAATTATATCAAAAAGTAGTCAATGTTTTGTATCATGAAACTTGTGCCTTTTTTAATCAATGAAAGCAAAGCTGAAAAAGGTTTTTTGAACATTTTGTTTCCACTTTAAAAAGTAACACAATAACTATTTAAATTAAGAATCACAATAATTATGAAAAAATTGGTATTTAATACTGCCATAAATTTATAAATAGTAATTGTCTGTTCCCTTCCTTGGTTTTATTCACTCCTCTTTCTGTTGGAAATGGAAATTGATATGTTTTTTTAAAATAGAATACTCTAACCTACTCTGAGAGTATGAGATCAACACTATTAATGTCATGGATCTTTATGGCAGGAGATAAGTAATCTGCATATGTTATCTTAACCCCACAATAACCTGATGGCACAGGCAGAACCCAGGATTCAAGGACTGTCAATGACCTATATAAGATCAGTGACATGGTATTGCTGTTTGCTCACCAGATCTCAACTTGAATTATATTTCCCAGAATTCCCATGTGTTGTGGAAGGGACCCAGCAGGAGATAATTGAATTATGGGGTCCAGTCTTTCCCATGCTATTCTCATGATAGTGAATAAGTCTCACGAGATCTGATGGGTTTATCAGGGGTTTCCACTTTTGCTTCTTCCTCATTTTCTCTTGCTGCCACCATGTAAGAAGTGCCTTTTGCCTCCCACCATGATTCTGAGGCCTCTCGGTAGCCATGTGGAACTGTAAGTCCAATTAAACCTCTTTTCCTTCAGGTATGTCTTTATCAGCAGCATGAAAACGGACTAATACAGTAAATTGGTACCAGGAGTGAGGTGTTGCTGAAAATATACCTGAAAATGTGGAAGCAACTTTGGAAGTGGGTAACAGGCAGAAACTGGAAGAGTTTGAAGGACTCACAAGAATACAGGAAAATGTGAGAAAGTTTGGAACTTCCTAGAGACTTATTGAATGGCTTTACCCAAAATGCTGATACTGATATGGACAATAAAATCCAGGCTGAGGTGGTCACAGATGGAGATGAGGAACTTGCTGGGAACTGGAGCAAACGTGACTCTTGTTATGTTTTAGCAAAGACACTTGTGGCATTTTGCCACTGCCCTAGAGATCTGTTGAAATTTGAACTTGAGAGAGATGATTTAGGGTATCTGGCAAAAGCAATTTCTAAGCAGCAAAGCATTCAAGAGGTGACTTGGGTACTGTTAAAGGCATTCAGTTTTAAAAGGGAAACAGTATAAAAGTTCAGAAAATCTGGTGCCTGACTAGGTGATAGAAAAGAAAAACCAATTTTCTGTGGAGAAATTCAAGCTGGCTGCAGAAATTTGCATAAGTAGCAAGGAGTCTAATGTTAATTCCCAAGACCATGGGGAAATATTTCCAGGCCATGTCAGAGACCTTCATGGCAGCCTCTCCCATCACAGGCTTGGAGGCCCAGGAGGAAAAAGTGGCTTCATTGGCCAGGCCCAGGGTCCCTGTGGTTTGTACAGCCTAGGGACTTGGCACTCTGTGTCCCAACCACTCCAGCTGTGGCTGAAAGGGGCCAACGTAGGGCTCAGGCTGTGGCTTTAGATGGTGGAAGCCCCAAGCCTTGGCAGCTTCCATGTGGTGTTGAACCTTCAGGTGCACAGAAGTCAAGAACTGAGGTTTGGGAACCTCTGTCTAGATTGCAGAAGATGTATGGAAACACCTAAATGCCAAGGTAAAAGTTTGCTCCAGGGGTGGGGTGCTCATGGAGAACCTCTGCTAGGGTAGTACAGAAGGGAAATGTGGGGTCAGAGCCTCCACGCAGAGTCCTTGGGAGCTGACTAGTAGAGCTGTGAGAAGCAGACCACCATCCTCCAGACCCCAGAATGGTAGATCTGCCAGCAGTTTAAACCATGCACCTAGAAAAGCTGCAGACACTCAACAACAGCCTGTGAAAGCAGCTGGGAGGGAGGCTGTACCCTGCAAAGCCACAGACGCAGAGCTGCCCAAAACCATGGGAACCCACCTCTTGCATCAGCATGACCTGGGTGTGAGGCCTGGAGTCAAAGGAGATCATTCTGGAGCTTTAAAGTTTGACTGCCCCACTGGATTTCAGACTTGCATGGGCCCTGTAATCTCTTTGTTTTGGCCAATTTCTCCCATTTGGAATGGCTGTATTTACCAAATACCCAAAACCTGTACCCTCATTGTATCTAGGAAGTAACTAGCTTGCTTTTGATTTTTGCATAGGCAGAAGGGACTTGCCTTGCCTCACATGAAACTTTGGACTGTGAACTTTTCGGTTAATGCTGAAATGAGTTAAGATTTTGGGGGAGTATTGGAAAGGCATGGTTGGTTTTGAAATGTGAGGACATGAGATTTGGAGAGGCCAGGGGTGGAATGATATGGTCTGGTTGTGTTCCCACCAAATCTCAAATTGAATTGTATTTCCCAGAATTTCCACATGTTGTGGGAGGGACCCAGGGGGAGGTAATTGAATCATGGGGACCAGTCTTTCCTGTGTTATTCTCATGATAATGAATAAGTCTCATGAGATCTGATGGGTTTGTCAAGGGTTTCCGCTTTTGCTTCTTCCTCATTTTCTCTTGCTGCCTCCATGTAAGAAATGCCTTTCGCCTCCTGCCATGATTTTGAGGCCTCCTCAGCCATGTGGAACTGTACGTCCAATTAAACCTCTCTTTTTCTCACTTTCAGGTATGTCTTTATCAGCAGCGTGAAAATGAACTAATACAGTCAGTCTGCTAGGAAGTTGCAAGCCCAGATAAGAACACACTTTTCCAGAGTCTTAAAGTAGTATACCTTCTAACACATTTTTTTGTCTCTGAGCTTGTGAAGAAAGAGAGAAGTCATAACATAATCCCTATACCTTCCTTCCTGTCACTGCAGTGGTTCTAAACTTGAGTATATAAGAATTACCGAAATGTAGATTTGGGGGTTCTTTGTTTCAAAATGTCAGGATTGAGGCTAAGAACTCTGCATTTTAGTAGTCATATCTGTTGATTCAGTTGCCAGTTCAAAGCCAAAAATTAAAAATACTTCTGTGTGCTAATTCTATCTTAGTTTTTTATTTAATGTAGGCAAATTACAGGAGTATTAGATGAGGAATATGATGGCCAAACTGTGAAGTCTTGAGCAAATTCAAGGGCAACTTCAGAACTAGAGTGAGAGGAGTAATTTAACTTCCAAGACTACATTTTGGATATAAGTGGCTCCCTACAAACTGTGTTTTCTTTTCTTACTACAACTACAGTTTTTTTCTTTTTTAATATTCCAAACTAGGCTAGAAATTTGAAAGCAGTTTTCTTCATAACATTTTCCATCCCTACTCAAACCCCAACATTTGGAAGAAATGTCTGTTTCATGTTATTTTTGACACTTTTCATTTTTGTCCCTGATGGAAATTGGCAGTGAAAAAACATGGAAATTTTCAAAATCCAGTAATCAAATTTAACTGCTGTCTTAGAAACAAGCTAGCAATTTTCAGAATTCTTCCTAAGCCATTGATTGTATCTATTAACATTTATTTAAAATTCTCCTCTGTTGAAAGATTTCTAGCTGTAATTAATAATAGAGAAATGTTTCCTAGTTCATTTCTAAAAAGTGGTCATCTTTGAAATTTAGCTCTCAAAATTATACCCTACTGCGGTCACATCTGGAAGCAGATTTGGAGTTTTATTAAGTGTGGTAATTACTTCTTTGTAAATATGGTACTCTTTAGTTAAATTATAAAACTTGAACTTGAGAATATGGTTTTAACTGTAATTTTTGTATACACAGAATATATCTTTGTTACTGACCTGTCAGTCACTTTATTGAAATCTGCTATAATTAATTGACTTACTCAGAAATGAGTAAGCTTTTAACACTTGCAGACAATAAGCTCCTTAAGGTGAATGTATGTGTCTGATTCATCTGTGATCTCACCAGTACATTACATCTATATAGATTGTCAACAAATACGTACGTAATTCATTTCTTTTATAAGAGTTTTAAAGACATACAGACCAGAAATCAGATCCTGAATCTTCCACATATTTATTTTTTCTATTTAGGCAAATAGATTTTCTTCATCCGTAAAAAGAGAATAAAAAAAGTACTAAATAAAAAAACAGTACTAAAATAAAAAAAAGTAACTCTCATGGTTAGTTTGAAAATTGAATGAGATAATGTATATAAAGCTCTGAACATGGGGCTGAAATTATACTAAGTACTCATTTGAAGTTAGTTATTAATAAATGAAGGAAAGATTATGAAATATTTTTGATGGTCACATGTACATTGTAACAGCAAGCTATTAGAAACAAATATGTATCTAGAGAAGATTGGTTGAAAAAACTATGCCATATATATATGAAGAAATTTTAAAGCACCATAAAAGAAGGTAAGAAAGTGTTTTATGTACTGATGTGGAATTTACTACAAGAAATGCTGTTATGTAACAAGTAAAACCAAAACCCCAAAACAAAATATAGTACAGAATATATATATATATTTATACAAGTATATATATATATACAAACGTATATATATATATATATATATATACTTGTTGGGAGATCACACAGATGAATCAGATAGGCACTCTCATCTTAAGGGATATGTCTGTAAGTGTTAAAAATGGCCTGATCATTTCTGAGTAAAAGTATAAATACACACACACATATCCATATACACGTATGCATACACATATGTATATACACATACATATCTATAAATGTAATTTGTACATATTTACTTGCATATGCATAAAATATTTCTGTAAAGACAGACAAGAAAATGAAACTCCATTGCTTGCAGGGAAGAGAATTGAGGTCTAAGACACAGAAGTAATATTCTAGTTCTTATAGCTATATTTTTCTTGTATTCACTTTTATAGCATTTGAATTTTGAAAAGTATATATTATTGACTCAAAACATAAGTAAATATAACTAAATATTTTTGAAATAACAAACAAGAGAGAGATTTAAAGTAAGACCATAACAAGAAAATAATGAGGAAAGAAAATAACTTTCATCTGAGGAATGTGAGCCCTTTCAAATTATTAGGCCCGGAGACCCATTAAAACGAGACAGTTATCACACCATACTCCCCACTCTGAGCTATGCATTCACCTTCCAAAGGGCTTGCTATTGCTACAAGTACCTATAAAGTAACCTAATAATGCCACACTGGGATACTATAACCCACACCCTGCAAGTTAACAATGGATGGCCAATCACTAATCAATGTTATTTCTATAAACCAATGAAAATTTTTGACAAAGAATTTTGTATCAGCCCATTACTCATCCCCTCCTTTTGTTTGCTTTTAAAAATCTACTTGTAACTGCTACTAACCAGAATGTATATTAAGGGCAACTTAAATCTATGCTTCCAGGTTGTGATCCTCAGCCTTGGCCCAAATAAACGCTATACTATTAATTTTGCCTCGGCTTCTTCCTTTTAGGTAAACAATAACAATTACTTAGAAAAAATATTTGTCATTCATGCAAAGAAAGACTTATAGATTGTAAAATGGTCTCACAGGAAAATAAAAACTTTTAACATGTTTACATGGAAAGTATAATAAATACAAGCATTTCTTCCTTTTATGTTTATAGATTTATCTTCTCCTCCTTGTTCTACAGTAGGAACAGTCTTCATATTTTAATGTAATAAACATCTTTGGGAATGGTCATATACTTCATTATTACTATACAACTCTTAAATAGTTTATTGTTATATTTAAATGACATTAACATTTTACTAGTGAAAGTTGACACACTCTCTACGCATAAGAATTTTTTCTTAAACATATCCATTCTTTCTGTACCATATAATTAAGAATGACATGATTTTAAGGTATTTATGAATAAGAAATAAATTATTATGGAGCCCAATGTCAGAGTTCATTCAGAAATCACCACTTTATGTTTTCTTTCTTATGTACTGTGCACCTACGAGTGATTATTTAAAGATAATTTCAGGACTATATTACTGAATAATTTTTAAAGTATAAGTCAGCTTTTGTTTTTATTTTAGTATAAGCTGGAGCCACATAGCATGAATGGCTGGCTTAAGGAATCATGAGTGTATACTTGAGGCTTGTTAGAGAATTGAGAATAAAATTTCTCTGTATAGCCTAGATTTTTAAAATTCTAATAGGAAAATGTTCCATTTTTCTTATAGCCAACATTAGTCTTAAAATGGAGTCCTTATATGTTAGGACTGAGAAGTGGTGTCACTTATCAAAAATGAATGGAGAAAACAGGCTCAGTATAATTAATAAAATGTTCTTTAGTTATGAGTTTCTTTGTGAAAGTGGAAACTGTTTTTCATACACATCAAAGATTTTGCACTAATTTATTAAAACTTGAGTATATTAAATTAATCATTATATGTAGGAAACACTTTACTTGTACCTGAAAGCAGTTTAACCAATTTGGTGTTGATTTAACTCTAAAAGCATGATGGAGTAACAACTGGGTATCTACCCAGAGGAAAAGAAGTCATTATATGAAAAAGATACTTGTACACACATGGTTATAGCAGCACAATTCACAACTGAAAAAATATGGAACCAGCCCAAGTGCCCATTCGATCAAGAAGTAGATAAAAAAATTACCATGGAATACTACTCAGCCATAAAAAGGAATGAAATAATGGCATTTGCAGCAACCTGGATGGAATTGGAGATTATTATTCTAAGTGAAATAACTCAGGAATGGAAAACCAAACATCGTATGTTCTCACTCATAAATGGGAGCTAAGCTATGAGGACATAAAGGTATAAGAATGATACAATGGACTTTGGGGACTTTGTAGGGGGAGGCACGGGGGAGAGGGGTAGATAAAAGACTACAAATCATGTACAGTGTATACTGCTTGGATGATGGGTGCACCAAATCTCAAAAATCACCACTAAAGAACTTACTTACGTAACCAAACACCACCAGTTCCCTAAAAACCTATGGAAATAAAAAACAAAAATAAGAGATTGGAGGAAACATTAAAAAAAATAATAAAAGCATTACAGGTTAGAGAAAGATTTCTTAGCCAAGATACAGTATACCCCAAAGGGCAAATATTTTTACATTTGATAGGTAAAATGGAATTGATTATAGCTTGTGAATAGACCCATTGTTCCTCTATTTGTAAATTTCAGCATTTCTTCTTTGCCTATATATGTTTAAAACTGGTTGTAGCATCTTACTAATTTTATCATCAGTTAACGGGTTAAAATATTTGACGTGTTACATTTGTATGAGAGTCATAATTTTATCCTTTAAAAAAATCTATTTTTTTCTTCTTTCTTTCTCTCTGTCTCCTTCCTTCCTTCCTCCCTCCCTCCTCTTTCTTTCTTTCTTCCTTTCTTTTTCTCAGAATCTCTCTCTGTCACTCAGGTGAGAGTGCAGTGACACGATCTCAGCTCACTGCAACCCCCGCCTCCCAAGTTCAAGTGATTCTCCTGCCTCAGTCTCCCAAGTAGCTGGACTACAGGCGTGCGCCACCATGCCAGGCTAATTGTATTTTTAGTAGAGATGGAGTTTCACCACGTTGGCCAGGCTAGTCTCGAATTCCTGAACTTAGGTGATCCGCCTGCCTCAGCCTCCAAAACTTCTGGGATTAAAGGTGTGAGCCACAGTGCCTGGCCTAAAAATCTATTCTTTAATATAATTTGTAATACCTTGATCGTTGTGTATCATATACATGCTTATTTTATAGAAACTGGAACAAATTTACTACTAAAACAAATTCAAAGATTTATGGGCATTCCAATTTTAGTTAAAGATACCGTTTTAGTCATTTCTATGAGTCCTTGCTCAGGAATGGAATTAATCTTTATGGTAATACTCTGATGGATCTCCTTTATAAGACCCATCCATACATAATGTGGCAAAAATAAGCATTTAATTATATCACTCGATTCCCTAACTCTTTTTAGGAGTTTCCCACTACTTTTTATTATAGAACCCCAGGTTTTAGCCCCATTTTTCCTCTTCTGAAAGTTTACCACACTTCAGAAATGGTGCTCTTTTTTCAGTTTCACAAACACAACATGAATATTCCTGAACTGAGATCTTTTCAGGTGTTATTGGTTCCACCTGGAAAGCCTTTCTTTACTATCTAAAACTCTCTATTTTGGCTGGGCATGGTGGCTCATACCTAGCACTTTGGGAGGCTGAGGCAGGTAGATCATTTGAACTCAGGAGTTCGAGACCAGCCTGGGCAATATGGTAAAACCCTGTCTGTACAAAATGCAAAAAATTAGCCAGGTGTGGTTAAACTGTAAATTTAAAGACAGAGGTTAAAGCTGCTTTTTATCAGCCCTGAGGTGATGTTTTTCATGTTGAATTGCAAATTCAAAGGAGCAGCTTCAATCCTGCTGGGGCTTCTTGCCAGTGGCATTTCCCTGTAGTTCCAGATAGTCTGGAGGCTGAGGAAGGAGGATCACCTGAGCCTGAGAGGTTGAGGCTGCAGTGAGCTGTGATCACACCACTGCACTCCAGCCTGGGCAACAGAGTAGGATTCTGGCTCAAAAAATAAATAAATAAATAAATAAATAAATAAATAAATAAATAAATAATAAAACTATTCTTTTTATTCCTTACTATCTCCCTTACTTTTTTTTTAAAACTAGACTTCCTTTCTCTTCCTTTCCCTTCCCTTTCTTTCCTTTCCATCCTCTCTATCCTCTCCTTTATTCATTCTTATTCAAGCTTCAGGTTTCAACTCAAGTTTCTCCCCCTCAGGCAAATTTTCTTAATCTCATCCCCAGAATCAGTCAGGTCCCTTTGAAAACTCTGTTTCAGCTTCTCTTGCTTCTTAGCATTTAGTTCAATGTATTAGTCTCTTCTCACACGGCTATAAAGAACTACCTGAGACTGAGTAATTTACAAAGAAAAGAGGTTTAATTGGCTCACAGTTCCACCAGCTATACAGGAAGCAAGGCTGGGGAGGCCCCAGAAAACTTACAGTCATGGTGGAAGGTGAAGGGGAAGCTGGCACATCTTACATGACTGGACCAAGAGAAAGACAGAGAGTGAAGGGGGAAGTGCTACACTTTCAAACAACCAGATCTCATAAGAACTCACTATCATGAGAACAACTAGGGGGAAATCCGACCTCATGATCCAATCACCACTCCTCCAACACTGGGAATGAGGCCACTCTTCCAACACTGGGAATTATAATTCAGCATGAGATTTGGGTGGGGACACAGAGACAAACCATGTCATTCAGTTTGTAATTAGGCATTCAATTTTTTGCTAATTTAGTTGATTTTTTTGGTAAGATCCTAGACTTTTTATTCACTCGTGTATCTGCAACTTCTAGTTTAAAAAAGCCTGACGGTCGGGTGCCATGGCTCACGCCTGTAATCCCAGCACTGTGGGAGGCCGAGGCAGGTGGATCGCCCGAGGGCAGGAAATCGAGACCATCCTGACTAACACAGTAAAACCCCATCTCTAATAAAAATACAAAAAATTAGCTGGGCGTGGTGGCAGGCGCATGTAGTCCCAGCTACTCAGGAGGCTGAGGCAGGAGAATGGTGTGAACCCGGGAGGCGGAGCTTGTAATGAGCCAAGATTGCGCCACTGCACTCCAGCCTGGGCGACAGAACAAGACTCTGTCTCAAAAAAAAAAAAAAAAAAAAAAAGAACTCTGACATGTGATATGTGCTCAATAAATACTCAACTACATTGGCATCATACTACTTTTCTTTGCTATGAGGTCAAACATGAAATTACCACTATCAGCCATTTTTATATCATAATAATGACAATTTATAAAGTTTGAATCAAATAAGATCTTTCTAGACATAGTTCTCTGAGGTAGTTTCCAAATGAATCTAAGAAGCTATTTCTCCATGGGAGTTGATGACAAGAAAACCACACTGTGACAAAATATTTTTTAAAAAGAAAGAATTTGACCAAGGGGCAGAAGGCTGAAGGAGAGACCAAGGTACATTTTCAGGCAGGAGTGAAAGTTTATTCAAAAGTTTTAGAGCAGAAATGAAAGGAAATAAAGCACAATTGGAAGGGGGCCAAGCAGACGACTGGAGAGGTTCAAGTGTGTGGTTTCACCTTTGACTTTAGGTTTTATATGTTGGCATGCTTCCAGGGGGTTACACCTCTTCTGTCCTGATTCTTCCCTTGGGGTTTACTGTCTGCATACACTGTGGCCTGTCAACACTTAAGAGGGGCCACATGGACAGTATGTTTACTGAAGTTGTACACATACTCACTTCCAGTGTCTTTCCCTTACCAGTTGAGTGTTCCCAGAAGAAGGTTATATACCAGTTAAACTCCACCATTTTGCATCTTAGTGTGCATGCTTAAGCCCACTCGCTCAACTTCTCAGATCTTATTAAAAAACTGCTAATCACCAGTTTTGGGTGTTTTCTATCTATTGGGAGACTGCCTTTCCCTGGCGCTGGCTGTGACCAATTATTATTTTAGAAAGAGTTTAACAACTGCCTGACCATCACCTGATGGTCACCTGACATTCCTGGTGGATGTGGGGGAGCCCTCTTCCCGCCCTGCTCATGTCTGACTACTTACTTACTGTGCAATGCCATGCTAGAGTCAGGTCATAAAGTAAGCCACAATATACTGAGTCAAAAAGACCTGTTTAGCAAAAATGTTATGGTTTGTAGGCATGACCTTCTCGGGACCCCTTAGGAAAGAATTTGAGCCAGAAAAATGGTGCATTCTCAGAGTATTATGCCTCACTGATTAAGAATGACCTGGAACCTGGGTTTAAATTTGGTCCCTGTGTGTCCACGTGTGGCATAATCTAGAAAAAAAAGTTTTAAAATATCTGTGTATCTTCTCTTTATAATTTATTAAATGGGAACGATATAAGTGCTTTCTTGCAGGGTAGTTACAAGGATTAAATAGATTAATACATTTAAAGTAGTAAATATATTTAAACTGTGCTTAGCTCAGAGTAATGTTAGCTATTAATATTATTTTTAAGGTACTTTAGTGGTCTGATTTAATAAGAAATTTACAATATTAAAAAAAGAAGGAAACTCCTGTTTTCTGAAAGATAGTAAATATTCATTATCCTTAAGATTGGCATTGACAGCCTTAAGTGACTAGTCAATGCAAATGTTTTCTTTTGGAGGAAACAAATTTGACAATATTGCAACACACATTCATAACTGGTTATATCAGTAGCAGCCTTATTTCACATGATAGGAGGAAAAGGAAAATAAACGAACTTTCTGTTGTAATTTATATATTATGACTGATAAACCTGTGAGCAGATATGAAACTGGAAGAGCCAATCCTTCAAGAAGGATTTCAAGTGGCTAACTGTATCTAAATTTAAAACAGAGGCTGGGCTTGGTGGTGGCTCATGCCTGTAATCCTAGAGGTTTGAGAAGTCAAGGCAGGAGGATTGCTTGAGGCCAACAGTTTGAGACCAGAATGGGCAGAATAAAAAGACTCTGTCTCTACAAAAAAATGTAAAATTAGCTGAGTTTGGTGGAGTGTGCCTTTATTCCTAACTACTCCAGAGGCTGAGGTGGGAGGATACCTTGAGCTCAGGTGTTTAAGGCTTCAGTGAGCTACATTCTCACCATTGCACTGTGGCCTGGATGACAGAACAACACCTTGTAAAATAGAGCCAAGTGGCCATTTTCTTACTAGGGGTCACACAGTCTGCATTCCCCCAAAACCCACACCTCTGTTTAACTTTGGGACTTTCAGAGGTCACAGGAACCAACCAATCAGCGCTCATCTGCTCTGGCCAATCAGGGGTCAGTTATATCAACCAGCCAATGCTTAGTTCTTAGCTATAACAACCAATCAGGGATCAACTATATTGAGTAATCAGAATTCAACTGTGTCAACCAATTAGAAATGGGACCTTTGAATTTTTCATTTTTCAATCTGATTGGGAAGCTGGGTGGGAACTTTCTCTATAAAAGCTGAAACTTCCTTTTGTTCTCTGGATTTCACTATTCTTTATTTTTATTTTTATATTTCAATAGGTTTTGGGGGACCAGGTGGTGTTTGGTTACATAAGTTATTTAGTGATGATTTCTGACATTTTGGTGCACCCATCACCCAAGTAGTGTACACTGTATCCAATGTTAGTCTTTTATCCCTCACCCTGCCCACAATTCCCTCTGAGTCCTCAAAGTCCATTGTATTATTCTTATTCCTTTGAGTCCTCAAAGCTTAGTTCCCATTTATAAGTGAGCACATACGATGTTTGGTTTTCCATTCCTGAGTTAGTTCACTAAGAGTAATGGTCTCCAACTCTATCCAGGTTGCTGTGAATGCCATTAATTCATTTTTTTATGAATGAATAGTATTCTATGGTATGTATATCACATTTTCTTTATCCACTCATTGATTGATGGGCATTGGGCTGGTTCCATATTTTTGCAATTGCTAATTGTGCTGCTTTAAACATGTATGTGTTAGTGTCTTTTTCATATAATTAGTTATTTTCCTCTGGATAGATAGATACCCAGTAGTGAGTTTGCTGGATCAAATGGTAAATCTACTTTTAGTTTTGTAAGGAATCTCCACACTGCTTTCCATAGTGGTTGTACTAGTTTACATTTCCACCAACAGTGTAAAAGTGTTCCCTTTTCACCACCTCCACAGCAATATCTATTCTTTTTTTTTAGTTTTTAAATTATGGTCATTCCTGCAGGAGTAAAATGGTATCACAATGTTGTTTTGACTTGCATTTCCTTGATCATTAGTGATGTTGAGCATTTTTTCACATGTGTGTTGGTCATTTGTATATTTTCTTTTGAGAATTGTCTATTCATTTCCTTAGACCACTTTTTGATAGGATTGTTTGTTTTTTACTTACTGATTTGTTTGAGTTCATTGTAGATTCTGGATATTAGTCCTTTGTCGGATGCATACTTGGCAAAGATTTTCTCCAACTCTGTGGGTCGTCTGTTTATTCTGCTGTTTTTTCTTTTGCTACGCAGAAGCTTTTTAGTTTAATTAAGTCCCGTCTATTTATCTTTGTTTTTGTTACATTTGCTTTTGGGTTCTTAGTCAATCTTTGCCTAAGCCAATGTCTAGAAAGGTTTTTCTAATGTTATCTTCTAGAATTTTTATGGATTCAGATGTTAGATTTAAATCTAATCTGTCTTCAGTTGATTTTCGTATAAGGTTAGAGATGAGGATCCAGTTTCATTCTTCTACATGTGGCCTGCCAATTATCCTAGTACCATTTGTTGAACAGGGCATCCTTTCCCCACTTTCTGTTTTTGTCTGTTTTGTTGAATATCAGTTGGCTGTAAGTATTTAGGTTTATTTCTGGGTTCTCTATTCTGTTCCATTGATCTATGTGTCTGTTTTTATGCCAGTACCACGCTGTTTTGAGCATACAAGGTGACCATAGCCTGGTAGTATAGTTTGAAGGTGAGTAATGTGATGCCTCCAGATTTGCTCTTTTTGTTTAGTGTTGCTTTGGCTATGTGGGCTCTTTTTTGGTTTCATATGAATTTTAGGATTTTGTTTTCTAGTTCTGTGAAGAATGATGGTGGTATTTTGTTGGGAATTGCATTGAATTTGTAGATTGCTTTTGGCAGTATGGTCATTTTCGCAATATCGATTCTACCCATCCATGAGCATGGGATGTATTTCCATTTGTTTGTGTCGTCTATGATTTCTTTCAGCAGTGTTTTGTAGTTTTCCTTTTAGAGGTCTTTCATCTCTTTGTTTAGGTATATTCCTATGTATTTCATTTATTTATTTTTTGCAGTTATTGTAAAAGAGATTGAGTTCTTGATTTAATTCTCAGCTTGGTCGTTATTGGTGTATAGCAATGCTACTGATTTGTGTACTTTGTATCTTGAAACTTTACTGAATTCACCTATCAGTTCCAGGAGTTTTTTGGATGAGTGGTTAGGGTTTTCTAGGTATACGATCATATCACTGGCATACAGAGACAGTTCATCTTCCTCTTTACTGATTTGGATTCCCTGTATTTTCTCTCGTCTGATTGCTCTGGCTTGGACTTCCAGGGACTGCATTATTCTTTTTCACTGATAGCTCCATCTTCTTGGCTTGTAAGCTGTTCACTGGAATAATGTCTCTTTTCTTCAAATTCCATTTCAGAGAATTTTTGTCCAGAAACCATAGACACAAGACACCTTCCTGCAGCTTTTTTATCTGGAATCTGAATGGTCTTGGATTGGATTTGGTTCTTTATGTTTTTTTTTTTTTTGTAGTTGTTTTTTGTTTGTTTGTTTGTTTTGAGATGGAGTCTTGCTCTGTCTCCCAGGCTGGAGTGCAGTGGCATGATCTGGGCTCACTGCAACCTCCGCCTCCTGGGTTCAGTTGATTCTCCTGCCTTAGCCTCTCTAGTAGCTGGGATTACAGGTGCACACCACTATACCAGGCTAATTTTTGTATTTTTAGTAGAGACGGGGTCTCACCATGCTGGCCAGGCTGGTCTCGAACTCCTGACCTCATCATTCACCCACCTCGGCCTCCCAAGTGTTGGGATTACAGGCGTGAGCCACTGCACCCAGCCCTTTATGATATCTTCAAGGAACATTTGAATGGTGGAGTCATGAGGAACCTACGAACAAGCTTCATAAACTAACAGTTTCCTTAAAGTATTCTCCGATCGCTAACAATTCTAGTTGTGCCAGAAAAAAAAATATCTATAGTCAAAGAACTTTAAAAAGTGTTATATACCCTCTTATCAATTCACACTAAGCATTTTTATATTAAAGGCTCTAAGAAGTTCTCTAGCAAATAAACATATTTTACTTTATTTAACTCAATGACTTCCAAATTTATTCTACTGTAATAATTTTTTTTGAAACATTGTTTGAGAAACCAGTGTTCCATTAAACGTTTGGGAAATTCTGGTTTAGCCTTTTAAATAATCCCAAATTATAATCCAATTTGAAAGAAAAATTCAGTCAAACAAGTGTATTTTATGAAAATAATAATAAAGCTGTAATATATTTTTTGCAAGCTACACGTTACCAAAACAGCTTGGGTTTGGTCTACGTCCTGCTGCTCACAGCACAGAAAGCTAGTCACTGAGATGATGCATATTGCCATAGAAGAAGGCTATAGTAGGATGCTGCAGCTGAGGAGATGGGAGATAAGTTTCAAATCCATCTCCTTGACCTACCAGAATTAGGAGTTTATAGCAGAAAGGTAACTACATGCAGGAAAATGAGAATTAAGGAGGAGTAAGAAAGAGGAGTTGGTCAACTGGAAGCAGAAGGCAATCATGATGGGCGAGAGGTCTGACGTCTCATTGTCCGGTTTGTGGTGCTCTAGTAAGTTTCAATTCCTTGATACTATCTGAGAGACCTGATGGTTGGTTTCATGAGAAGGTAACTCAGATAAGACAAATGAAATTTCTCAAGTTTCAAGCCTGGAAAAGTCAATTTCTATGTTTATTCAACAGAAACTATAAATGTCAGTTTTATGGAAAAATTGGGTCGGTTTCACCCAGACACACAAATATACCCCTTTAAATTCAAGTTTATGATAAATACTTTCAAAGTAAAATTCCAAACTTCAAATTCAAAAAATAATTGCCACAATTACATATAATTTTATTTACAGTCAATATTATGGGCTAGGGAACGGCATTTAAGGCAGAAAACCAACTTTAAACTAGGGGAAATAGTATATTCCAAAGCAGGCATATACAATTAAAGAAAAATATATTTAGTATATTTTTTAAAAGCAATCTAGATAAGAAAATTTTTCTTACATGATTTTTAGTTATGGCTCTGAATGATGATGCAACCTGGGACTCATTGCTACTCATTTTCATAGTTTGAAAGATTTCTCTAAAAATAAAACTGCAAAGATTATGCATATTTCA
Source organism: Homo sapiens (assembly GCF_000001405.40). Taxonomy (NCBI): domain Eukaryota; kingdom Metazoa; phylum Chordata; class Mammalia; order Primates; family Hominidae; genus Homo; species Homo sapiens. The sequence goes on along the minus strand of NC_000004.12, from coordinate 163,221,592 downwards.
CAGTTGGCTATGTTGTCATGGCTTACTCTATAATTATAACACAAATTTATTAAGAATTGTTCATACCTATATGCCTTTCTTTCTGTAAACTTTTATACTGAAATGTAATAAAAAGCTTTTAATACTTTGATAGTGATTGAGGCTGGACAAAATTAGTAATTTTTAAAGTGAGAAAATGAGGAGGTCTTTTAAGAAAATATTTACCAGCCTTGAAACAGCATTTGTCTTACTGAATGCAAGCACCATGAGCTCTCAGGTGGCTTGCATTATGTTTGAAATGTTTGCTAATGACATGCGGCAAAGACCACTAAGTGTCTGCTACATATTCTTGGTCAAGACATTAACTGCTCACTAAATACTCTTCCTCTCCTTCTATCACGAGATGTTGCTACTAAGTAGCTGCCCGCTCAGAGATTTCATTTCTTAACCTCTGTTTCATCTAGGTGAGATCATATAATTAGCTCTGACCAATGGAATGTACAATACGGTGGTATGTGTCACTTCCAGGTCAAGTGTCTTTCTTTCTCTGGCACCCCATGTAGCCTCATAGGGCATTTTTTTTTTACCTTGTAAGCTGTGTATATTTATTTATGACATAGATATCCATGTTGCTTTCTAATGTTTGCTCTCTATAATTATTTGTTGGACCATTATATGTGTCAAAGATAATTTTCCAGAAAAAGGTAAAATTATGACTCTCATACAGATATAAAGTTGAACTCTTGGTAAATAATTTATTATACTTATTCAATGGAGGAGCTGTGCAGTCAATGGGGGAACTGTGCAGATGTTATAATCAATTCAAATAAAACGTCCAAAAATCACAATGTGTATGAAGTAAAAGGAAATTGAAAATGACAGCAAAAATGCTTTCTGTGGGAGAGGAGGGAGGCTGTAAAAGTCAATTAAATGTCTAGGACAGATTTTACACATGTTTATCAGTTACTGTAACTTAAGAATTATAAAATAACTGAAAAACAATGAAAGGCTAGAATCAGATAACCTGGAAGGATTTTTCATATGTAGGCAGTATACAGTTTTCCACAAATTGTTTCCTATATGTGGAAAGAGATGAAACAGAAGCCAACCTGCTGTTTAATGCTCTTATCTAAGCCAAGTAAGAAAAACTTACATGAATATATTGAAAAGAAATTTACTTTAACTTGCCTTTTTAAAAAGTATTTTGTTTTATTAGATGTAGTAATAAAGTAGCAAGTATATTATATTATGCATTTTTAAATATGCTTATAGTCATATTTCTATATCATTTATTTTTCTATTTTATCTTCTGTGTTTTACTTTATATATTTTCTTAAATTCTGAGAACAAGTTGATAGGATTCTGTAGACTACCAAAGGGGTTCATGGGGAAAAAAAGTTAAGAACCTCTGCTCTAGGGGAAAATATTTGGAAAGGTGTGTTAGCAATTTTAGTTGATTATTAATTGTGGTGTTTAGCAGGGTAGTAAAAGAAAGAGATATGCTTAGATGAAAATTGACCATTTTGCAAGCAAAACTAAATGTGAGCAGGAGAAATTTAGGACCTTTCTGGATTGGGGAAACAAACAAACAAAAAACCACTACTGCTGCAGACACCAAACAGTCTTATGATTGATAAATCTTGAGCAATGGAGGTTCATTAATGATATGGATTTGCTATTGAATCATATTTTTTCAGATTGCCTCAAAGTAGTCACTATCAAGTTAAAAGAGAGAAGCAATGGGCAGGAAAAGATTTTAAAAAGCTGACCTGAGAAATACTGTCTTAAAAAGAAATTTGGATGGGGTTATAGTACATGGAAACAGAAACAAATAGATGAGAAGCCTACAAAGTGTTGAGAAATTATATTGCTAAGGAAACTAGTAGCTTATCTTTGAGCCTTCAAACAGTCACTGTGCTCTCAAACTTGCACAAACAGGAAAAAAGACTGTGAAAGTACACCCCAAGTAGGGGCACATATTCTAAAATCCACTTCAGATGTGGCCATCAATATAATAGACAAGACAGAACATCCCAGAAGATAGTTCTGATCCATGGAGACAGTGGCCAAATAGAACAATGAACAAATGAGTTCTTCCTGGAAGGTAGAATCAGAGACGAATTAAGAAATTCTCCCCTTACCTGATTAAACAATCTCACAGTGCCTACCCTTCAAGTTTTCATCGTTACTGTGGACCAGTGACTGCCATATGTCCCTTGCTTTTCTTTTTAGAATGTGAGCTTTTATTGTACTTCTTTGTCCCCGCTCTACCTCTGTGTGTTGGATGCTGGCGGTGGAGGGTGGAGTAGACAGACAACTTTTCTTTTAGTTCATATATTTTCAGAGCACAGGGAGCCATATTCACTGCTGCTAGAGTGAACCATTCATCACCTAGAGATTCTGACTCTTCACTGGATGCAGCAGCTGTATGACACTTACGGTTGTTTCACTCAAAAAGCAGAAGATTGAATTTTGTGTAGAACAAGAAAGAGTTTGGATGTCTACTGGGTGGCAAGAAAGGCAGTGTGACAGAGATGGCTAGGTGTCCATCAAAGATTCATATTCCCCTTAGTAGAGTATAGCTACTGCTGGTGAGCAGTTTTTCAGCCAGAGACAATATTTCCCAGCTTGTACTGCATCGCTATGGGGCCATATGACTATTTCTCACCAAAGGAAAAATGGAGAACATGTTGTGCATCATTCCAGGCAGAGGAGACAGAGATATGCACATGCTTTATGCACCTTGATTGTCCATCAACTGAATGCAGAATATCCTCAGGCCCTAGATAGGGGAGAAAACATAAGAAAGATGTGTAGGACATACCTCACCACCATGAAGAAGGACACATTTGGAACCCTCCCCCCGCCCCAAAAAAAGTCATTGTTTCTGTAAATGAGAAATGAACTTTTATTATCATATTAAGCCACAGAAATTTGGAAGGTTCATTTGTTAAAGCAGCTAATGTCACCCCAAATAATACATTGCACAAGAGGAGATTCCATCCAGGCAGTTAGATATGAGCCTAGAGCTCAGAGGACAGGTCAAGTGGAGAGATCTAAATGTTGAAGTTAAAATATAAAATGTTTTTAAAGGCATGCAACTAAACTTTCCTGAAAAAGAATGGGTATTTAGAGATGAGAACTGCAATCAAAGTTTAGCTTTGAGAACTCCAGTATTAGAGGTTAAAGAAGTTGAAATCTGTAACGGATCTTGAGACCACCTGTGAAATAAAAAACAGAAAGAAATTAGAAAGACAGTTGTGTCCTAGAAACAGAGAATACATTATTTCAAGAAGCAGAGAGTGCTCAATGATATCCAATACTGCTGAGAGCCCATTCAAGATGGGACTAATGAATAGCCCATTGAATTTGATAACTGAAAACTGCTGGAGACCTTGACAAAACAATGTCAGTAAATTTGATGGGAACAGAAGCCCAATCTGAGTAGGGTCAATAACAAATGGGAAGGGAAGAAATGAAAAAGATCAAGCAAAAGGGAGCAGACAAACAGGATGGAAGACAAAGAAGGATGTGGAAAATGTGGCAGAGATGGCTAGTTGAAAAGAAAAGATAACGTTGAGGTAGCATACATGTGCTGAAGAGAATAAGAAGGATCCAGTAGACAGGAAGAAGTTGCTTCAGGAGAAGGAGGGAAAGGAAGCTGAGACAGAATCCAGAGCATTATGAAGGGTTACCCTATTTCAGGGAACAGAAACACCTACTTCTTTTGAGGCAGGAAGAAAGACACATACCCTGTGAATATGGATGGATGGGGCTGGGTTGATTTATTTTGACTGGTTTTGAGTATTCTTATGATAAAAACTGAAGAGAGATTATCACTAAAGGAAGTGAAGAAAGGATCATGAGAAGTTTGAAGAGAGAAGTTATGAAATAGTCATCTCAGAAAGTGAAAGCGGCACTTCTAACCAAACATGAAAGGATTTCTGGGCACGTTTGAATACTAGTTTGAAGGCTTTAGTCGTAGTTTTTGTAACATATTAAATCATCCAATCACAATATATGTGAGTATATATATTTTTCTTCTGTAATTATGTGATGCAAATGTAGTGAAGATAGCTGGGTTCAACAAAGAATGGATTTTTTTTCTAGTGTATATATAAGAGAGAGAAAGCAAAATATTTAAGAGTGATATGATGGCCATTGGCCATGAGTAAAGAGGAAACTGAAGAAAGGAGGGAGCAGTGATACTGAAAGGTAGATTGGCTGAGATCAAATAATTGAGGCAGATTGAGTTAAATACAGTGATTGAACTGATGGAAGCTACTAGAACTAAGTTAATAGGTCAGAGTGTAAGATGCTTGAAACAGAAATTTCTGTGATGGTGCAGGTACTGGTAATTATAGGGTGTAGGATAGAGTGGAACCCTAAAAATGGCTGGCAAGATCTGGGAGAAAATTGCAGCTAATGATATCAAAGAACCGAAAAGCCAACACATTTACACTGTAAATGATCTCTGTGAAAGACAAGGATTTCAAGTCTTCTGTTTAGCTTAAAGAGAATGACCTAGAAAATGGTTTATGACAGAAATGAAGAAATTTGGTGGGTGGTATACTAAAACAGACATGTTTCCGAGAAGCTATGGTTTTAGAAGAAGGAAGGTAGAAGTAAGAAGAAAGTTCACTCACCCCTGTATCCTAATCTTAAGGGACATGCACTATATGTTTTGCATTTTCAGTACTGTCCCTCATAAACTTGTGTTTCAAAACTAAACAGGGTGGGATAAAATCTGAATATTGACTAAATAATTCTCCTCTGAAAATTCCTTGTATTGTATCCTGTGGCCCTTCCTGACAGTCTAGGCTGTTAGCAGAGCACATCTTACCTCAAAAAATGGTTGCTATCATAGAAACAGAAAACAGGAATTCTTTAGCATTACAGTATATTGGTAAAACTTAAGTATGTAAATTATCTTGAAAGAAAAAACTTCTTTGATTTGAAAAAACTGAGCATCTCAGACCACCACCACCAAGAAGACTGGAAACTGGTATTGTAATGTGAGGGTTTAATTTCTGCCTTAGACTTGGTAAAGATTTTCATAAGCAGAGACTTTTATTTCTGGCAATAAAGAGTTTAAATGTTCAGAGAAACCTTTTCAGTATAGCACATATAAACTGCTGGATATATTTTTGAAACATTCTTTTTAGAAAAAAAAAAAAGAAAAATTCTCATAGAATAAAAACAGTAACAAAGCAAAAATTCATAGAGCACATGAGAGTTAAAGCTGCCAATTGCCTTGGGTATATCTTGCCAATTCCTTCCCTCTCTCCTCCCTCCCTCTCTCCTCCCTTCCTTCCTTCCTTCCTTCCTTCTTTTCCTTCCTTCCTTCCTTCTTTTCCTTCCTTCCTTCCTTCTTTTCCTTCCTTCCTTCCTTCCTTCCTTTCTCCCATATATTTCTTCTGAAACTTCTGATTTTTGCAGATTGGATTTCTCATTTTTTTTTCCTAAGGCTCTCAGTTTCTTTTGTAACTTATCTTCCACCTAGGTGGTTAATTTGTGTTCTGTGTTCTGTCTTTGCTGCTTTTGACTCCTCAGCATTAATGATGCTTTGCTATTCTGGGTCAACCAAACCCTATTAAAATTCCCACTGAATTTGTTTTGTTCCTTCACAATTTTTAAAATACAGTTCCATTTCCAGTACTATAATAAATCCCTTTTTGCAGTTACTCTTTAAAATTTTTTTGAAGTGCCTACTTTTGAACTCCTTTTATCTGAAGATATTAGGTAATGATGAAATGTTCACCACTGGTAATAGCTGCTCCAATACTCTGCCACTTTAATCTATACTTTTGTTTTGCTGCATATATTCGGTGGACTGGAGTTTTTTGTTTTATTCATGGTCTTTTGGATGTGTATCTCACTGTATTCATCTTTAATTCAGGAGTTTCTTCTATGCATGGGTTTTATATTTGTATGTTTAGGAAGCAGAAACCATTATGCCTTATTATTTGAGTATATTCTTGAAAATGCCTTCATCTTATTATCTATGATATATTTCACTATAAAAAATTAAGTGACTAAAAGCAATATGCTTAGATTTATATTCTGAATTTCTACTCTTCTAATACCTATTAATCAATTTCAAAATAGTAAAATTTCAGACTATAATTGCAAATATCCTAAAGCCCAAGAGCAGATTTCTACATTTGATGGAACCTAGCTAAAATTGCCTATCGAAATAGACATTTCCTGCATCTTAAATGCAATAAGAACTATCTGTTGTTGAGAGAGGAGGGAAAAAGTCAACTATCTTATATAAACCTTTTTCAAGTTCTAAAATATATGATAGACTATTGCAAGCTGAGTTTATAAAGAAAGGACCCAGCTGCTTTTCAGATTTCATTTAAAGATTCATTAAGATCAAAATAAGAAGGTACAGAAGCCCAAGGATGACATTTTTGCAGCATGAGCTGAAAGCACAGAAGAGAATTACCGTTGATTTAAAAGCATTTTCTAGTTAGACACTGAGATCAATTAGACTAAATATTTATTCCTTAACCTCCTACTTCCCTGCCCCTTGATGTTAGCATTCTCCAGGTGACTGATTTGGGTCCTTGGAATGTGGGTGAAAGTGACCGTGAATATGTTTTATTCCAGATCTTAAGATCTTAAATGTCATTGTCTATTTCCACTTATTCCTCTGGAAGTTTTGGATCTCTTCCAAAGTAGCCACTACTCCTAGTTTCTAAGTTCCAGAATGAACATTCATGGAGTGGAGCCACCTCAGAAGTAGAGCCATAGAAGCTGACCCACATGGTCTTAGTGTGAGAATAAATACTTATATTTAATATGGTGATTGTAAGGTTGTTTCATGTGCAGCCAAAACTGACTAATACCAATACCTGGTGACTGTAGGAACTAATGAGAATGCGCAGTGTTCAATCCTCACACCCATGATCCTTGAACACTTCTTCAGCTATAACTTCCCCTCCAATACTAGGATTAAATAGACACTAACTTATTCTTAAGATTTATTTTTCTCCTTAACAGCTGCACCCCTTTGGTTCTCCAATTCTGGTTTCCTTAGACCCTTAACTTTTCACTTTACATGCTGCCTCTTTCAAGCTATGTTTTACATTTGCTAAAGTTATATACTTCTGAGAATATGTGTATTTTAGTGAAGGGATCCTGCTAAGATAACTTAAATCATGTATATTTAGAGCAACTGACTGACCTAAATGAGAGAAAAAGGAATTCAGAATAAACAAAATGAATACTTAACAAATAGCAAAATGATAGATTTAAATCCAAACATATCAGTTATTAAATAAACATGAACCAACTTCTCAACAACAAAGACAACTGTATACTGCTTATAAGAGAGTCATATAAAATATAATACTCAAAATATAAGGAAAAAAGGATCGAAAAGATATACCATGTAAACATTACCTAAAAGAAAGTTTGTGTAGCTATATTAAAATCAGACTAGTAGGGACTAGGCACAGGGACTCAGACTTGTAATCCCAGCACTTTGAGAGGCTGAGGCAGGAGGATCATTTGAGGCAAGGACTTCAAGACCAGCCTGGGCAACATAGTGAGATCCTTTCTCCACAACACTAAAAAATTAGCTGCATGTGATGGTGCACACCTGTAGTCCCAGCTACTCAGGAGGCTGAGGTGGAAGGATCCCTTGAGCTCTGGAGATGGAGGCTGCAGTGAGCTGTTATCATGTCACTGCACTCCAACGTGGTTGACAGAGCAAGACTCCATCTCCAAACAAAACAAACAAAAAATCAAACTAGTAGACTTTTAGCTAAAAACCCACAAAAAAAATAGTTCAAATAAAAATACATATGTGTGTATATATATATAGAGAGAAATATATGTAAATATATCATCTCTGTATAATATATATGTATGTATCATATATAAATGTATACATGTGTATATATATCTTTATGTATGTATATTATGGGTATTATATGGATATAATATACATTATATAGATATCTATCTATACATATATACACATGTGTACTTATATAGATATATACCTATATATACACATATAGATATCTATCCATACATATATATGCATATATACACAGATATATGTAGAGATAGATATGTATCTATATATCTATGTGTATTATATATAATACATATATATGTATTATATATAGATCACACATATTTATCAATAACTTTTATAAATCTAGAGTAATATAATGTGGTGTTGGTATAACAATATACATATGGAAATGGAACTGAATAACAACTACAAAATAAGATCCACACAAATACGAATACCTCACTTATTATTTGAGTGGCACTCTTGAGGAAGAGAATCAAATAGGGATTTTGACCGATTATACAAAAGAAATCAGGCTGGGTGTGGTGGCGCACGCCTGTAATCCCAGCACCTTGGGAGGCCGAGGCAGGTGGATCACAAGGTCAGGAGTTTGAGACCAGTCTGGCCACCACAGTGAAACCCTGTCTCCACTAAAAAATATAAAAAATTAGCCGGGTGTGGTGGTGTGCACCTGTAACCCCAGCTACTCAGGAGGCTGAGGCAGGAGAATCACATGAACCCGGGAGGTGGAGGTTGCAGTGAGTTGAGGTTGCGCCATTGCACTCCATCCCAGGCGACAGTGTGAGACGCTGACCCCCCCAAAAAAAAAGTGGGGGGAGGAACCAAGATGGCGGAATAGGAACAGCTCCTATCTACAGCTCCCAGCATGAGCGACACAGAATACAGGTGATTTCTGCATTTCCATCTGAGGTACCGGGTTCATCTCACTAGGGAGTGCCAGACAGTGGGCGCAGGTCAGTGGGTGCGCGCACCGTGCGCGAGCCGAAGCAGGGTGAGGCATTGCCTCACTCGGGAAGGGCAAGGGGTCAGGGAGTTCCCTTTCCTAGTCAAAGAAAGGGGTGATGGACAGCACCTGGAAAATCGGGTCACTCCCGCCCGAATACTGCGCTTTTCCAATGGGCTTAAAAAACGGCGCACGACGAGATTATATCCCGCACCTGGCTCGGAGGGTCCTGCGCCCACGGAGTCTTGCTGATTGCTAGCACAGCAGTCTGAGATCAAACTGCAAGGCGGCAGTGAGGCTGGGGGAGGGGCGCCCGCCATTGCCCAGGCTTGCTTAGGTAAACAAAGCAGCCAGGAAGCTGGAACTGGGTGGAGCCCACCACAGCTCAAGGAGGCCTGCCTGCCTCTGTAGGCTCCACCTCTGGGGGCAGGGCACAGACAAACAAAAAGAAAGCAGTAACCTCTGCAGACTTAAATGTCCCTGTCTGACAGCTTTGAAGAGAGCAGTGGTTCTCCCAGTACGCAGCTGGAGATCTGAGAACGGGCAGACTGCCTCCTCAAGTGGGTCCCTGACCCCTGACCCCCGAGCAGCCTAACTGGGAGGCACCCCCCAGCAGGGGCACACTGACACCTCACACGGCAGGGTACTCCAACAGACCTGCAGCTGAGGGTCCTGTCTGTTAGAAGGAAAACTAACAAACAGAAAGGACATCCACACCAAAAACCCATCTGTACATCACCATCATCAAAGACCAAAAGTAGATAAAACCACAAAGATGGGGAAAAAACAGAACAGAAAAACTGGAAACTCTAAAAAGCAGAGCGCCTCTCCTCCTCCAAAGGAACGCAGTTCCTCACCAGCAATGGAACAAAGCTGGACGGATGGAGAACGACTTTGACGAGCTGAGAGAAGAAGGCTTCAGACGATCAAATTACTCTGAGCTACGGGAGGACATTCAAACCAAAGGCAAAGAAGTTGAAAACTTTGAAAAAAATTTAGAAGAATGTATAACTAGAATAACCAATACAGAGAAGTGCTTAAAGGAGCTGATGGAGCTGAAAACCAAGGCTCGAGAACTACGAGAAGAATGCAGAAGCCTCAGGAGCCGATGCGATCAACTGGAAGAAAGGGTATCAGCAATGGAAGATGAAATGAATGAAATGAAGCGAGAAGGGAAGTTTAGAGAAAAAAGAATAAAAAGAAATGAGCAAAGCCTCCAAGAAATATGGGACTATGTGAAAAGACCAAATCTACGTCTGATTGGTGTACCTGAAAGTGACAGGGAGAATGGAACCAAGTTGGAAAACACTCTGCAGGATATTATCCAGGAGAACTTCCCCAATCTAGCAAGGCAGGCCAATGTTCAGATTCAGGAAATACGGAGAACGCCACAAAGATACTCCTCGAGAAGAGCAACTCCAAGACACATAATTGTCAGATTCACCAAAGTTGAAATGGAGGAAAAAATGTTAAGGGCAGCCAGAGAGAAAGGTCGGGTTACCCTCAAAGGGAAGCCCATCAGACTAACAGCAGATATCTCAGCAGAAACCCTACAAGCCAGAAGAGAGTGGGGGCCAATATTCAACATTCTTAAAGAAAAGAATTTTCAACCCAGAATTTCATATCCAGCCAAACTAAGCTTCATAAGTGAAGGAGAACTAAAATACTTTACAGACAAGCAAATGCTGAGCGATTTTGTCACCACCAGGCCTGCCCTAAAAGAACTCCTGAAGGAAGTGCTAAACATGGAAAGGAACAACCGGTACCAGCCGCTGCAAAATCATGCCAAAATGTAAAGACCATCGAGACTAGGAAGAAACTGCATCAACTAACGAGCAAAATAACCAGCTAACATCATCATGACAGGATCAGATTCACACATAACAATATTAACTTTAAATGTAAATGGACTAAATGCTCCAATTAAAAGACACAGACTGGCAAATTGGATAAAGAGTCAAGACCCATCAGTGTGCTGTATTCAGGAAACCCATCTCACGTGCAGAGACACACATAGGCTCAAAATAAAAGGATGGAGGAAGATCTACCAAGCAAATGGAAAACAAAAAAGGCAGGGGTTGCAATCCTAGTCTCTGATAAAACAGACTTTAAACCAACAAAGATCAAAAGAGACAAAGAAGGCCATTACATAATGGTAAAGGGATCAATTCAACAAGAAGAGCTAACTATCCTAAATATATATGCACCCAATACAGGAGCACCCAGATTCATAAAGCAAGTCCTGAGTGACCTACAAAGAGACTTAGACTCCCACACATTAATAATGGGAGACTTTAACACCCCACTGTCAACATTAGACAGATCGACAAGACAGAAAGTCAACAAGGATACCCAGGAATTGAACTCAGCTCTGCACCAAGTGGACCTAATAGACATCTACAGAACTCTCCACCCCAAATCAACAGAATAATCATTCTTCTCAGCACCACGTCGCACTTATTCCAAAATTGACCACATATTGGAAGTAAAGCTCTCCTCAGCAAATGTAAAAGAACAGAAATTATAACAAACTATCTCTCAGACCACAGTGCAATCAAACTAGAACTCAGGATTAAGAATCTCACTCAAAACCACTCAACTACATGGAAACTGAACAACCTGCTCCTGAATGACTACTGGGTACATAACGAAATGAAGGCAGAAATAAAGATGTTCTCTGAAACCAACGAGAACAAAGACACAACATACCAGAATCTCTGGGATGCATTCAAAGCAGTGTGTAGAGGGAAATTTATAGCACTAAATGCCCACAAGAGAAAGCAGGAAAGATCCAGAATTGACACCCTAACATCACAATTAAAAGAACTAGAGAAGCAAGAGCAAACACATTCAAAAGCTAGCAGAAGGCAAGAAATAACTAAAATCAGAGCAGAACTGAAGGAAATAGAGACACAAAAAACCCTTCAAAAAATTAATGAATCCAGGAGCTGGTTTTTTGAAAGGATCAACAAAATAGATAGACCACTAGCAAGACTAATAAAGAAAAAAAGAGAGAAGAATCAAATAGATGCAATAAAAAATTATAAAGGGGATATCACCACCGATCCCACAGAAATACAAACTACCATCAGAGAATACTACAAACACCTCTATGCAAATAAACTAGAAAATCTAGAAGAAATGGATAAATTCCTCGACACATACACTCTCCCAAGACTAAACCAGGAAGAAGTTGAATCTCTGAATAGACCAATAACAGGATCTGAAATTGTGGCAATAATCAATAGCTTACCAACCAAAAAGAGTCCAGGACCAGATGGATTCACAGCCGAATTCTACCAGAGGTACAAGGAGGAACTGGTACCATTCCTTCTGAAACTATTCCAATCAATAGAAAAAGAGGGAATCCTCCCTAACTCATTTTATGAGGCCAGCATCATTCTGATACCAAAGCCTGGCAGAGACACAACAAAAAAAGAGAATTTTAGACCAATATCCTTGATGAACACTGATGCAAAAATCCTCAATAAAATACTGGTAAAACAAATCCAGCAGCACATCAAAAGCTTATCCACCATGATCAAGTGGGCTTCATCCCTGGGATGCAAGGCTGGTTCAATATATGCAAATCAATAAATGTAATCCAGCGTATAAACAGAGCCAAAGACAAAAACCACATGATCATCTCAATAGATGCAGAAAAGGCCTTTGACAAAATTCAACAACCCTTCATGCTAAAAACTCTCAATAAATTAGGTATTGATGGGACGTATCTCAAAATAATAAGAGCTATCTATGACAAACCCACAGGCAATATCCTACTGAATGGGCAAAAACTGGAAGCATTCCCTTTGAAAACTGGCACAAGACAGGGATGCCCTCTCTCACCACTCCTATTCAACATAGTGTTGGAAGTTCTGGCCATGGCAATTAGGCAGGAGAAGGAAATAAAGGGTATTCAATTAGGAAAAGAGGAAGTCAAATTGTCCCTGTTTGCAGACGACATGATTGTATATCTAGAAAACCCCATTGTCTCAGCCCAAAATCTCCTTAAGCTGATAAGCAACTTCAGCAAAGTCTCAGGATACAAAATCAATGTACAAAAATCACAAGCATTCTTATACACCAACAACACACAAACAGAGAGCCAAATCATGAGTGAACTCCCATTCACAATTGCTTCAAAGAGAATAAAATACCTAGGAATCCAACTTACAAGGGATGTGAAGGACCCTTCAAGGAGAACTACAAACCACTGCTCAATGAAATAAAAGAGGATACAAACAAATGGAAGAACATTCCATGCTCATGGGTAGGAAGAATCAATATCGTGAAAATGGCCATACTGCCCAAGGTAATTTACAGATTCGATGCCATCCCCATCAAGCTACCAATGCCTTTCTTCACAGAATTGGAAAAAACTACTTTAAAGTTCATATGGCACCAAAAAAGAGCCCGCATCACCAAGTCAATCCTAAGCCAAAAGAACAAAGCCGGAGGCATCATGCTACCTGACTTCAAACTATACTACAAGGCTACAGTAATCAAAACAGCATGGTACTGGTACCAAAACAGAGATATAGATCAATGGAACAGTACAGAGCCCTCAGAAATAACACCACATATCTACAACTATCTGATCTTTGACAAACCTGACAAAAACAGGAAATGGAGAAAGGATTCCCTATTTAATAAATGGTGCTGGGAAAACTGGCTAGCCATATGTAGAAAGCTGAAACTGGATCCCTTCCTTACACCTTATACAAAAATCAATTCAAGATGCATTAAAGACTTAAACATTAGACCTAAAACCATAAAAACCCTAGAAGAAAACCTAGGCAATACTATTCAGGACATAGGCATGGGCAAGGACTTCATGTCTAAAACACCAAAAGCAATGGCAGCAAAAGACAAAATTGACAAATGGGATCTAATTAAACTAAAGAGCTTCTGTACAGCAAAAGAAACTACCATCAGAGTGAACAGGCAACCTACAAAATGGGAGAAAATTTTTGCAACCTACTCATCTGACAAAGGGCTAATATCCAGAATCTACAATGAACTCAAACAAATTTACAAGAAAAAAACAAACAACCCCATCAAAATGCTCATCATCACTGGCCATCAGAGAAATGCATATCAAAACCACAATGAGATACCATCTCACACCAGTTAGAATGGCAATCATTAAAAAGTCAGGAAACAACAGGTGCTGGAGAGGATGTGGAGAAATAGGAACACTTTTACACTGTTGGTGGGACTGTAAACTAGTTCAACCATTGTGGAAGTCAGTGTGGCGATTCCTCAGGGATCTAGAACTAGAAATACCATTTGACCCAGCCATCCCATTACTGGGTATATACTCAAAGGACTATAAATCATGCTGCTATAAAGACACATGCACACGTATGTTTATTGCGGCACTATTCACAATAGCAAAGACTTGGAACCAACCCAAATGTCCAACAACGATAGACTGGATTAAGAAAATGTGGCACATATACACCATGGAATACTATGCAGCCATAAAGAATGATGAGTTCATGTCCTTTGTAGGGACATGGATGAAATTGGAAATCATCATTCTCAGTAAACTATCGCAAGAACAAAAAACCAAACACTGCATATTCTCACTCATAGGTGGGAATTGAACAATGAGATCACATGGACACAGGAAGGGGAACATCACACTCTGGGGACTGTTGTGGGGTTGGGGGAGGGGGGAGGGATAGCATTGGGAGATATACCTAATGCTAGATGATGAGTTAGTGGGTGCAGCGCACCAGCGTGGCACATGTATACATATGTAACTAACCTGCACAATGTGCACATGTACCCTAAAACTTAAAGTATAATAATAAAAGAAAAAAAAAAGAAATGTAACTATGTGATAGCATATTAATTTTCTAATAACAATGTGTATAAATAATTTATTTTAAAAAATGCAGTTTGAAATCTTAATATATGATTTCTAAACCTAATTAAAAAAATAAATTTTTCTCTAAATAAAACCTTAACTAAAACTATTTTTTCCATAAAATCCTAAACTTCCCTGGCAGCAGCCAAGAGAAGTTCAGCTGGGTTTCAAGAAAGTGATGGTTGGATATGCAGGCCAGTAGTCCATCCAGTATTAGAGGTCTAGTAGCAAGATGAGGGTCATAAGGCTGAGGTTCTGGGATAATTCATAGGATTCACATTGTAATTGAAACACATTGTAAACACATTGTAATTGAAAAATGCTTGTCGAATTACTTTCTTCTTCAATCACATCTAAATTTAACTGCTCTGCCTCCATTAAAGTGCTTCTGTTATATTTTCCCTATGAAGTCCTTTATTTCTGGTTGGGCCAGTCTTCTCCCTGCCTGCTTAGTCACCTTCTGTTCATGTTGTTTCCTGCTCACAACTCTCCAAAGGCTTTCAGTTGCTTAGAATAAAATATAAATTGCTTAAATTGGCTATAAAAGCTCTTCATTTTCTCCATCCTGATGATCTTACAATCTCATTTCCTTCCACTGTCCTCTGTTGTTTTAATCACAGTTGCCTCATCAGTTCCTCAAACAGGCCAAGCACATTCCCATTTCAGGGTCTTTGTGTTATACTCCTCTTTCTGGAATGTTCTTCTCCCTACTTCTTTGGATCTCTGCCTCCCTTCAGACTTCTTTTCAAATGTCGCATCATTCGGAGAGAGACCTTCCCTGACTACCCTATCTAAAGTAGTTATCTGTCTCAACCTTTCTCTGTCCCCTTATTCCTACTATTTTCTTCTTACCAGTTATCTCTACCTGGTATTCTTTTTTTTTTTTTAATTATACTTTAAGTTTTAGGGTACATGTGCACAACGTGCAGGTTTGTTACATATGTATACGTGTGCCATGTTGGTGTGCTGCACCCATTAACTCTTCATTTAACATTAGGTATATCTCCTAATGCTATCCCTCCCCCCTCCCCCCACCCCACAACAGGCCCCGGTGAATGATGTTCCCCTTCCTGTGTCCATGTGTTCTCATTGTTCAATTCCCACCTATGAGTGAGAACATGCAGTGTTTGGTTTTTTATCCTTGCGATAGTTTGCTGAGAATGATGAATATCTGCCATACTGCAGGCATTATTCTAGGTGATGGGGATACAGGAGTGAACAAAACAGACAAAATTATTCTTCTTGGAGCTTACATTTTAGAGGAAGGAAGCCAGCATTAATTCTTTTTTAAAATAGGTATTATATGAAATGGTTGTAAGTGCTATGTAGAAAAACAAAGCAGTGTAGAAAAAGTGTATAGGGAGTGCTAGAATCAGAGGGAGAAATTTAAAATGAGGAGGTTACAGAAGGTGTTCTGAGTGTCAGTATGACATTTAGAAAGTAGGGTTGAACAGAACCCCTACCCCAGTCCCTGAGTCTCAGGAGTCCTCTTATTTTGGATCTCCTTTCTCCAAATATTCTAAATCCTACTTTAGTGTTTGAGACTGCCTAAGGCCAGGTATGCCATAAGGCAATTGGAGTCCTGGTTCAATTTCTCTTCTTTGTGGCATTCTCTGCCCTTCATCCTTATGCTTGGAGTTCACTGGATGCCCTGAAGAACGCTGGGACTCATCCCTTTGGGGTCATACTGGGGTCCTCTGGCCAGACCCCAGATCCCCAGAAAGATGGCATCACTTCTGCTGGCCATCACATTATTTCTTTCTTGGGATTTTGAGAGATTGAACCACTAGAATAGTACTGACTGCTGATTTTATGTAACTCTAGTACAGGTCAGACACAGGACTAAGAATCTTCATGTGCACTGATTGGACAATAAACAAAATATTTTGCAAATACATCTCTTTTCTTCACATAGGTCCATGACTTTTATAATATTAAATATATATTTTTTATCATATAGTTTATATAGACAAGGGCCTCACAGTAAATATTTGCCTAGGGTCCCACATATTCTACTGGCAGCCCTGCTAGTTATCTATAACTGTGTAACAAATGACCCCAACATAGTAGTATAAAACAACCACTTGTTATCTCAAGGATCTCTGAGTAAAAAATTTAGACAGGGCATAGTGGGGACAGCTTGTCTCTGTTCCACAATGTCTGAGGCTTCAGCTGGAAGACTTGAAGGCTGAGGCTACCATCATCTGAAGGCTTGCTCACATAGAAATATGGCAGTTAATGATGAAACACTTACAAACAGCACGGCCGTTCCTCACAGCTTGGGCTTCCTCACAAAATAATAGCTGGGTTCTATGGACTTGAGTTCCCAGAGAGAGAAAAATCCAAGCAGAAGCACTTTGTGGTGTAATCTCAAAAATCATGCAGTGCTGTGCTGCTTTCTATGTGTTCAGGTAGTTATAAAGGCATACATAGTTTCAAGGGTTGGGAAATAGGTTCTACCTCTTCACCTGGGAGTAGCAAGGCTCTGGAAGAGCATGTGGGACTGGAAATATTATTGTGCCATTTTGGAAAATAGATAATCTGTCATAGAAAGTCTCACTGAAGACAAAGAATTGTGAGGTCAGATTTGAAAGGGGACAGATTGTGTAAAGTCTTATAGGCCTATGTAAGTACTCTGCCTTTACATTGAGTGAGATGGAAAATAGGCAGAGCATTTTGTTTTTTTTTTTTTGTTTTTTTTTTTAACATTTGCTGGTATTTATTATGTCTCACGCCTTGTGTTCAACACTTTATTTACATCATCTCACCTAGACCTCATATAAATCCATAAGGTAGAGACAATTATTTTTCAATAATTGTTTTAATGAAGTATAGGACATACAGAAAAGTGCCTAAAGCACATGCAAAATCTTTGCCTGTATCTGATACTAGGCTGCAAACTCATGGAGGACAGAGGATATCTTTTTCATCTTTATGCCCCCACAGCATCTGGGATCAAGCCTTAACCTACTCATTAATGCTTATTAAGTGGTTAAATAATACATTAATAGCCAAAAGAAAATAAATGCCCCCTTGTCTTAATAGTTTTCAACTTTTGGTACATGTCACCATCACCCATGGAACTCTAAATGAGGCAGAGCATTTTGAACAGAGAAATAACATATTCTGACTTAAGTTTTAAGAGAATATTTTTTCTGTCTTCTATTCAATCATAAGCTCTAGGAGGTCCAGGCAAAAGCATCCTCTAATTGTGGGGTGATAACGACGATCCTGCCAGAGACAGCATGAGAAATAGTGAGATTCTGGATATATTTTGAAGGTAGAGAAATAGAATTTGCTGATGAATTGGCTGCAAGATATGAGAGAATGAAAATGACATGAGAGATTCCAAGGCTTTGGGCCAACGAAATTGCAGAGTCTGGTTGTCATTTATGAAGAGAGAAAGGTGGCAAGAGGACACATTTTGAAGGAGAAATTAAGAGTGTGCTTTCTGGATATGCTAAGTTTGAGATGCCTATTAGACATCTGATGTCTAATAGAGTTCATGGAGGCGACTCAAAGTTTGAGAAATCAATCTGAATGGTAAGTACACACAGATGATATTTAAATGTGAGCCTGGATTAGACCGCCAAAAGAGTGAATATAGCTAGACAGGTAAAATAACTGAGCCCTGGGCTGCAGTACTCAAAAGTTAGAGTTCTATGAGATTAAAAAGAGTCATCCAGACAGAAAAATTGGTCATTATGATAGAAGGTGAACAATGTGAGTCTGGCCTCATAGAAAGCAGGGAGGAAAGTGGGAAGGGGTAGTGAACTCTGTCAAATGCTACTTCACATAGGCTAATTACTTGATTTTTACTAGAATAAAAGCTCTTTGAAGGCAAAGACTTGGTCTCACCACCATATTCCTAGTTTTTAGAATCTTCCTGGCACCCAGTAAATACTCAAAAAGTATTCATTGAATAAATAAAAACCTAAATGGCATTCCTTCGTATTGAATGTTCTTCCCTTTTCCACTAATTATGAAAATTTTATCTATCCTTCCAGGCTCAGCTGAAGTGCCATATTCAGCTTAATTTAAATTTAACTCAATTTAATGTTCACTTCTATCTTTTTTGAATTGCTACATGATTTATTATGGCTATTATGTGCTTCAACACTGCACTACACGTTATCTTCTATTATGTAGAATCATGGCCTATTTTTGCTGACAGGTTGATTGGTTTTGTTTGTTGTTTATTTGTTTTAGTAATCCAAATGGTGGTTTCAGATACATATATAGATTTTTAAACTTCAGGATATTGATTTCAGGAGAGATTAAATTTACCTAGAAAATATTGAGCAGATCAATGATATTTTAGAGAACAAAGTTGGGGGGCTCATTTCCACTGTTAGACTAGAAAAAGACAAAGTGGAATAAAATGGAAATCTGGAGTGAATAACTGTTTTCTATTAATGATTTTACTTCTTTTCATGTACTAACTTTCAGTTTATCACATATTCTAAGTTTTTATGAAAAGTATTTTAACTTTTGGAGTTTCGTAAGCTCTAACACTCTCCAACTACTGCTAAGAGAAGTGACAAACATAATTCTGAACAAGAAATTGAATTTTATTTTAAGCAATTTCTTATAATTTGTACCAAAGGGAAATCTAAATGCATTGGTGCAACTTTATCAAATAACTACTCTTTTGAGTATGTGTCTTTATTTGAGTATGTGTCTTTGCTTGAGAAAAAACTTGTCTGAATTATATTTTACTTTCTGGTTTCCCTCTTCTCTCTTCTTATTTTTCTTTTCTCCTTTTTTTGTCTAGTATATAATCTAAGTTATCAACCAGGTAAAAGCATCTTCTGGTTCTAGAAATAATTTATGCAATGCACAAATTTGTGATTGCTGGAGCTAAACAAATAATGGAAAAAAGAATGATCTGCTGATTACATAAATACATGACAGCATATGGATATAGAGGTGGATCCTATTTGTGACTCAGAATATGTTAATGACACAATAATACAAAGGAAATAAACTCACAACTCTCTTTTTAAATGTACTCCCAAGCCAAGGTACAACGAAGACACTGTTAAATTAGCTATTATTATTCTTTTGTAAGTATGATCTGACAGTATATGATCTCAGGGAACTAAACATACCCTCAAATGCCATATCTCTTTCCAAAAATTTATTTGAGTATATATTTTTCTAGCAAATTGTCATGCAATTAGTTACTGAAAGAGTTATTGAGGTGGAAGAGGGGTAAGAGTAGTCATATTCATCTTTTCGAATTATCAGTCCCTTTTTCTATTGGTATATGAATAACTACACATTGTCCAAGGGCATATTTTTTAACTTCCCTTATTTTATTTGTAACTTGCCACACTTCCCTCTTATCTCCTCTATTTTGACCTTCACTCCTCTTCTCCTTAACTGTAGCTGGAGCAAGTAGTTAAGAATATGGTGAGAACTGACAAGAGCTTGATAATAGAGAAAGAATCTGTGAAAAAAGCTAGCAATATCACCAAGTCACTGAGAATTTTTAAATAATGTGTTTCTTACTTTAGTATATATTATCCAATATAAAAGTTGTTTAGAGTGAAATTAATTAGTTTCCTAATCTTAAAATCTAAATACAAGTTTACATGCAAAAACACCATGCCATTTTTTTGACCAGTATGGTTGCTGGGTATCAGGTTTTGAATAGGGTAGCCTGGTATTTGAACTTTTCCTATGAAGGACCCTTGGCAAGAAGTTTTGCTGTTTCCAAGTCATGTTGGTGTGAGAGACTCTGCTCAGGGTGGGATCCCCTGTGCTTTAAATCAAACCTTTCTTGGTACACTGTGGAGCTATTCCCTCTGAAGGCCCTGTCACTTCCCCATTCCAACTACCCATAAACATGTATGACTTTTTTATCCTCTAGTCTTCAAGAAAGCTTTTCCAGCTCCAGCATCTTCCTTTTCCGGGCTACTAGAAGCAGTTTAGGTCTTGGAGTGGGAGTAGGAGAAATAACTGTGATTCTGCTTTAGAGAGTTAATGTTCTGTCTGCACTTTAAACGGAATAAGCTTGTCAGTTTATGATATCACTTGCATGCACACAGCAGTGCAATTTCATGTACAATATAGATTTTTATTTGGTTTCTGTATTATGTCTTTTCAAAATGTGGTCAGCAAATTTTAATCAAGCGTGTCTGGTATTCTTCTTAAAGTCACACAAGTCAACTGTCAAAATTTAAAAATGCATATAAAATATTGGCACTTACTCTTTTTGTTGAATTTGTGCATGGAAAATTTTTGCTGTTTCTCATATAAGTTTCCATTGGTGGAAGCAGGTATTTCTCATTTCAATGAAATTGACCAGATCAGGTTTAAAATCTGTTACTGTAATTTTTATGTTTAAATTGGCAAAATTTCTTAATCTTTTGTTTATACGAATCTAACATAATTACCTGTGGGAGCTATTAGCATTTTAGACATATTCCAAGTATCATTTTCTAAAGGTAATAGATTTTCTCAGGAAAAATATCTATTAATACAATTTCAAGCAATATTTATATTTTGTGCATTCAAAAAGAAAAGTATATGTTTTTGAAGGTAGAATAATTTTATAAATGTAATTATATTTTGTAATATTAGACAAAGCCTGTGAAATATCCGAAAGTCTATCAGGTAATGTTTTAAATATCCATAAAAGTTTAGAGGTCCTGAAAAATACGGACAAGATTCTTTAGCATGAAAAAGGAAAACTTTATATATTTTAAAAGTTAAAGACATACAAATTTCTCTGAGGTATCTGCTGTAGAGTTACAGACTTTTGTGAGTGAAAAGAAAATTAGGTAAGGTGAGCTGTGAGGTCAATCCCTACACAAATTTTGTAGTCAGTGATCTAGCGACCAAAAATGAAGGCTCAGATGACAATAGAACCAACATTTCTCAATGTTTGCAGATCCAGATCTTCCGACCTACTCAAATCTACAATCATAAGTCACCTCAGTTCCCTGGTGACCCTATTTAAAATTGTGTTGGGCCCCTTTCCAAGTTTTTTTTTTTTTTCTCCATAGCATGAATTACCTTTTAACATACTATAAATTGTAATTATTTGTCTTATTTATTATTTGTCCTCTTCCTCAAAAAGTTAAGCTCCATGACAGCAAGCTTTTTTTCCTGCTTTGTTCACTGTGTTTTACACACAGTGCCTAGAACAATGCCTGGCACATGATAGGTATTCAGGAAATATATGTTGAATGAATGAATATGTGAGTGAATGGGGATAGTTTTTTTTAGGTATGCATCTTTTAACCACAAGAATATAATAAATTAAGAATTTAAAGGTTTATGATTTAATTAATCTTCTAAGCAGAATATTAGTATATTTTTGTGTTTAGGAGAAAAGTACATATTAAAGTCTTAAATATTAGTCATTTAACAAGAATTTGGTTAATTAGAATGAAAGTCTTATTACTTAATTTAATATGTGAAGTTGGATAATTAATTTAGACTTGTGATTTTTAAGCAGAAATATTACTGTTTTCATAGCGTTAGGACATCTGAGAGTTTAGGTTTAGCATGTTTACTAATTTAATTTATTACATTTATAAGAGGTTTTTTGTTTGTTTGTTTGTTTTTTGAGACAGAATCTTGTTCTGTTACCCAGGCTGGAGTGCAGTGGTGGGATCATAGCTCACTATAGCCTTGAACTCCTGAGCTCAAGCCATCCTCCTGCCTCAGCCTCCTGAGGAGCTGGGACTACAAGCATATGCCACAATGACCAGCTAATTTTTAAAAATTTTTTCATAGAGATGGCGGTCTTACTTTGTTAGCCAGGCTGGTCTCAAACTCCTGGGCTCAAGCAATCCTCCAGCCTTGGCCTCCCAAAGTGCTAGGAATATAGGTGTGAGCTACTGTGCCTGGTCTAGGTTTATAAGAGTTACTTTAGTAATCAGGAAGGATCTATTTGAAGATAATTGAAGTACTCAAGAAGGAAATCAAGTACATTAGACTTATAAATGCAACTTGAAATGGTGATGGTGTTTTTAACTGTTTGAACAGTTCCAAATATTATCCAAAGGTCTCTTAAAAGTGGTTAAAGCTTATGAATCTTAAAAGTAACTAATAAGATTATGATATTAACTTAAATGCTTAAGAAAATATCTGGGTTTTAAAATTGTAAATTTAATAGATTAGAAGTTTTCTTGTGTATGTCCAAAGTTTCTTTTCTACACATAAAACTTCCTGAGAGGACACTGAAAGATCCCACATGATGTCATATATTGCACTTTTAAAGATGTTGTTTAAGAAAACTACACTTTTTTTTTTTTACATTAAATGTTCTATAAATATCTAATTGAGGGATTTCTTTTCAGGGGATAGAACCACCATTTGTTGTACTAAAAAGAGGACTATTTATAATATTTTCTATATATTTAATCTAATTGCTATTGAATACAATAAAACAAGAAAAACTGCTTTAAGATAAATACCACTAAGTTTAAATAAAAAGAAACAATCAGCCACTCTAAGTATCATCTATTAAACAATCAAAGATACACATTCTTCTTTAATCGTCCATTATTATTTTCATCACTATAAAGAAAGCTTTAAAGAGTAGGTAGAATGTAATAAATAAATTGGTAGAGAATTGATACCATGTTGGTTAACAAATAACTTTATTACATTGAAGAAGGATCAAGTTGGAAGTCATTAAGTGCTTTCCAAATTTCTATTTTTCCCAGTTTAGTCAGGTTTATTAGTGTATCTTTGGATTTTCCGTATATGTATTTTAGAGGAAGATGACATCAGCAGTATCATATTCTAGCGAATAGAGTCCTATTCAATATAATTTATTAATTATGAGAATATGAATAGATTTAAGCTATATAAATCTTTGGAAGTTATTTTAAGCCCTAAAGGCAAATAACGGCCTCAACCACAGGCAATCCAGTTCTTTTTTTAACTGAGTGATGGTATTACTCACATTTTTGATACTATTCTTTTAAATATTTTTCTCCAATTGAAATTTTCCAGAACTTCAGAGGTAATTTCTTTGCCTACTGGATGTTGATAAGAACACAGATGGAATATTATGCTCAGTTTGAGGTTTCATATTTTCAAAAGAACATTGAAAATATGGAAAATGCCTTTTGTTTTTATTCATTCATTCACTCATGCATACATCAAATACTCATTGAGCATTTGTGTGGTCCAGAGAACATAAAGGCACTGGTTAAGGTGGGGAGGCATCTTTTCTAGGCGCTTAGAATTTATTTAAAGTAAGTTTGAAAAGCTTGCTCATTTTCTTTTAAGATGTCTCTAAAATATGTAAAATTACGGTTATTGCCTAAGTTTCCGTAATCATGAAATTGAACAAACCAGCTATAGGGTCTTAAAGAGAAAACTATTACCTATGGAGCTTGCTTAACCACAGAATATCCAAATAGCTATAGTTAATTTCACAGGCTGCTTTGCAGTTGTTATATGCCATAAAATTTTGCTGCCTTATCCAGAACTAGTGTTTCCAAGGACAACTGCAAAAAGAAACTTTGTATATATGAGATCAACTAGGGATTTCTGGGGAAATTTTTTAAAATACAGTATAAAAACTAGCTGATTTAGAGCCCTCGTATTTTGCCAAAACCAAAGCATGTTATCCCATTTCTCTGCCAGACCTTATTGGATACTTCAATTGCTATGGGACTGAAATTTTAGATCACTAAGATACAGAGACTAAACAAATATTTTTACTCTCTATGGTCCTATTAAAAAAAAAGTATTCTCAGTAATTCTAATTCTAACTTAAGACTAAAAGTTATAGACAAAAATAAAGTAAAATAAAACCCTAGGAAAGCTGCCAAATGGTAGATTTGCAACACCAAGTTCCCAGAGAGAACGGAAGTTCATAGAGGTGAACTCAGGATATGCCAATTCCAAAGTAACTTCTGAGGCTGGAAAGCTAAATAGAGACTTGAGAGAAGTTCAGGTAATAAAAACTTGGATTTTAGGGACTACAAGGAGGAAGTGAGCCTATTAACACTGCAAGTTTTATGCTAACACCATAAAGGGACCCACCCTAGGTATCAAGGGTGAAACAAAAGTAAATCTCAATTAGAATCATCTCAATTGCTGATTAGAATGAGATGATCTGAGGTGTCTAGCACTTTAGGAAAAGAAGTAATAGTACAATTTATCTGTGGGAAAATAGCATCATCTAGAGATTCAAGTCATCTATAATTTTCCACATATAATTTCTGACATTAAAAGAAAAATCACTAGGCATCATAGAAAACAATACGTGACCAAATACTGAGAGAATAATAATCAAAAGATTCAGATTATGTAATTATTGGACATGAGTTTTGAAATAACTATGCTTAATATGGTCAAGGAATTAAAAGACAGTGTAGCTATTTTGGCAGAGAACAGTAAACTGAAAGCAAGAGTCAAATGAAAATTTTGCACTGAAAAATACAACAACTAAGATAAGGAACTAAATGGGTGGGTTTAACAACAGGTAAAGTCCAGCTGAAAAAAAAAGAATGAAATTAGAATATAGGACAGAAAGAAAATGTCCAGACTGAAGTATGAAGACAAAAGAAAAATAGAAATCACACAAAAGAGCACAGGAAATATACGTGCATAGTAAAATGATCTATTACATATGAAATTAAAGCCCTAGAAATAGAGGAGGGAGGCTGTGGGATATAAGCAGTATTTAAAGTAATAATTCCTGAGATTTTTTAAAACTGATTTCATGATGAAGAGTTGAGAAAGATTCCCTTGTGACTCTATCAGGGAAAAGGGTAGAGTAACAATTGTGGAAAAAATGCCCAGAGCCCAGTACATAACAAAGATGTACTCTCCAGGTGAAAAAAACTAGCAGAGCCTTATATCAAAGAGGGAAACAACATTTCACTCTAGTCCCTTCTAGACTTTTGTCTCACACGAAGAAGAAAAAAATCTAAGAAACATTTGGGAAAATAAAAGCCAAAAACAAATGTCCACTAAAAGACTGAAATTTATTCATAAAATTATAGAATGATTCCCTTCTGCCACACCTACTACCTACCTACACTGCTCCCCTATAGGAACAGTGAGTTACTGCTAAAAGAGTTGTGAGATGCAAACTCTTTCTAAGAAGTAGTAATACAGGAGATAGAAAAAAGTCATTTAGGTAGATCATTAGGGTGAAGAGAGTCCCAGGCAGAAACTTTCCTTCTAACAAAAAGCAGCTCAGAAATTTCTCCCTTTGTAACCACATGCAGTTGAAAGAAAGCATTTCTCTTCTTACAAAGAGCAGCCTGGAAGAACAGGCTGTAAGACACAGATAAGCAACTCAGGCACAGAGCCAGGAGTTTCCTGGGTAATCACCAAACTTAACATACATATGATGGACCCCGGTAAAAACAGTGGGCCTTCACAAGCACATTCTTTTCCCTTTCTTTAGTCAAACTAAGATAGGAAAGCTGGAAGCATGCAAGGGATAGATACCTGCAGCTGCAAGAAGGTGTCTGGGAACAGGCACAGAAACTCTCCCTCCCCTTTTTAGCACATGCAGATAAGCAGCACGGAGGAGCATAAACTAAGAGTCGGCCTCCAAGGTCAAAGAATGGAGTGGGGGCTGATAGAGACTCTGCTCTATGCAGATAGCACACCTGGTCCTAACCAGTTCTTCGGGCCCCACAGAGATAAGACACCCCCTCCTTACTAGCCCATTTATAAAAACCTTGACATTTTTACTACAATTTGGAAACGTATTCGGGACCTGTCTCTGTGACAGAGAGATGTTCTTTCCTTTAAGCCCATTAAACTCCTGCTCTAATCTCACTCTGTGTGTTCATCCACATCCTTGATTTCCTTGGCTATGAGACCAAGAACTTCGGTATTTACCCCAGACAACAAGGCTGTTTTATACTTGGGGTCTCATCCAGGATTTGAAGGTAAATTCATTGGAAGGGTGAGTATAGGAGCAGACTCCATACTTTCACTTCCAAGGCTTCTTGTCCTCATTTTTCATTCTCTCAAAGAACTATCAAAAACCCAGGCATCTGACAGCTGGTTAAGGAGCCACCAGGAGAAGCTGCCAGTCTTGAAGACTCAGAGGAGAGGCTTGCTGTGCAGGACTTAGTCAATCCTCCAGTGTCCTCAGGGTGCTGGGAATGTTGGCTCTGTTCTAAACTAGTTTCTTTTCACAGAGAACCTTGCTGTTGCATGGGGCTGGAAAAGGTCCTGGAGCAACTGAGTATTTCTGGCCAGGGCTACACTCTGGTGTTATCCAAAAGCTTCTGGACTGACCCAAGCCTCCAACTGCCCAACGGGGTGTTGGCCACAGCATCTACAAGCTTTCCTATTGCAAATCTTACTTTCCTCTTTTCCTCTCTGTGTTCACAATGTCTCCCATCCCCTCTCTGTATGTGTTGCTACAGGAGTTTTTACAGTCTTGGAAAATAATTCAATTAGCCAGGCTTAGCAACAAGAATCTTAGCAACCAGGAATGCTGATCAAGGGATTGCTGTTTTTGTTACTTCCTACAGACAGGCAGATTTTCCAGTTCTTCTCCCTTTTGCATCCCTCTGTTAGAGACTAAACTTTATTCCCCCTCTGCAAGCAGGAGAACTCTGCTTTCAGCAGTGAGCAGAAAAATGTCCTCCAAAACCAAATTTTAGTCTCAATACTCTCTCCATTAGCAGGAGGGTCACCATTTGACCCTTATGTTCTCTTGAGACACCTATTCTGCCTACAACTAGGATGTCATTTAAATAGAAAGTGAATTCTATGTCTGGAAGTTAACAGAAACTACCATTTAAGAATGAATTCTCTAGTCTGGGCCATAATAGCAGAATATAGAACTCAGCCCAGTACACTCCCTCTATTAAGAAGCATTGCTGAAATGCAACTGTTGCATAGTCTCTCCTGAGACCTATCCATCAAGGAGTCGCACACGTCACAGAAGTTTAGGAAGTCAAAAGGGAATCACAAGCAGATAACTAAGACTGTGTGGGTAAATTGTGACTAAATCCCATCACTTAGTTCATCTGTTTCCATGGCTTGGGGACTCACACCCACAACCATGGGTAACACATTTAACACAGTGCCAGGACCCTAGGGAACCAAGGAGGGAAAACTTTTGGGGGGGACACTCCCACTATCTTCCTCTCCACTCTGGGTCATACTGAAAGAAGAGGGAGACTGAGGAATGCCTCTTCTCTGGTCTCTTTTTCTAGATTCGTAACAGACCAACTTCAGCTTGCACCCCTCTGGAGCGCACTCTGAAACACTCAAACTGCTTTGACCCCAGGAACTTGAAGAGAAAAGTGAGTTGTTTTATTTGGCACAAAAGCATGGCATTTTTACTAAACCTTTGCAAGCATTCTAAGATCAACCCAGCTTTTTTAACAGTCATATCAGGCAAGCCTATTGAGAATAATTCCCCAGAATTTAGAAAAGCAACTTCTGGGGGAACCATCAGAGAATTCTCCTTATTTGAGGTCATCTCAAGTTCCCTTCTCATTACAGGACCTTAGGCAAGTAAAGGAAGACTTAGGTTGATTTTCTGTTGACCCTGATATATAGAAGCTTTCCAAAATTTAACCTGGGTGTTTCACCTCACATGAACAGATGTTATGCTGCTTCTAAGCCAAACCCTCACTTCAGCCAAAAAACAGGCAGCTCTGCAGGCAGCAGAGAATTTCAGAGATGAGCAACTTATCTCCTATAATACAACAAAAAGGAAAAGCGGAGATAAGGAAGGTGAGAAAAAAATAGAATAACCATTCCCAATAAGAAGGGAAACAGTTCCTCTTAACAACCCTGATTGGAACCCCAATAGCTCTGCAGATGAATGGAAAAGAAAACACTCATTAATGTGCATTTTAGAGGGCCTATGAAGAACTAGGGCCAAAGCTCTTAATTACTCTAAACTGTCCATGATAAACCAAAAACCAAATGAGAATCCTGCAGCCTTTATGGAAAGGCGGAGAGGCACTAATAAAGCACACTTCCTTATCCCCTGATTTAGTTGAGGGACAGTTCATTCTAAAGAACAAGTTTATTACACAGGCAGCTCCCAATATTAAAAGGAAACTACAAAAGCAAGCTACAGGACCAATTAGCACCTTAAAGAACCTCCTGAAGGTGGCCACTTAGGCCTTTTATAATAGGGACCACGAGGAGGCCCGAGAGAGACAGAGACAGCATAAAAGAAAGACTGAGGCTCCAGTACCTGCTTTGCAGGCTTGCAAAGTCCAGGATCCCTGAGGTGCATCTGCTCATTGCTATCGGTGTGGCAGCCAGGGCACTTTAAAAAGGAGTTCCAAAACAGCAAAAAGAAGCCATCTCAACCCTGTCCAGCCTGTGGTGGAGACCACTGGAGATCAAACTGCCCCCAAAGACAGAGGTCACTGGGTTCAGAAGCAGTCTCACAAATGGTCCAACAGGACTAATGGGTCCTGGCGCTCAAACCCCAGGCTCCAGCAGCTTAAACTGCCATTACAGCACAAGAGCCTCACATGATTCTAGGAATTGAAAGAAGGAAGATAGACCTCCTTCTAAAGACTGCAGCCAGTATCTTTCTTCTCTCTAATCCAGGCCTCCCTTCTTCCCAAGGCACGACCATAAAGGGCATCTCAGGAAAAATTCTAATCCAGTATCTTTCTCAACCCCTTAGTTGCAGTTAGGAGGACCTATTATTTACACATGTCTGCAAGCCACTGCCACAGTGGCTCTGCTAGTCAAAGAAGCCTCCAAATTAACCGTGGAAAATAACTTAACTGTTTATACCCCACATAATGTGGCAGAATTACTGTCCTCTAGAGGGAGCCTTTAGCTAACCAACAGCCAGTAAAGCAAGAGACACGTAACGCAGGATAAGCAGTGGTCACCCTAAATTACATCTCTCCCCAGACACAAGCACTCAATTAGCTGAACTAATAGCTTTTACAAGAATACTTGAATTAAGCAAGGGAAATGTAGGCAACATTTACATTGACTCCAAGTATGCTTTCTTAGTTCTCCATGCTCATGCTGCCATTTAAAATGAAAGATATTTCTTACTACTAGTGGATCTACTATAAAATATCACCAGGAAGTTAACAGGTTATTATCCTCAGTTTTCCCTCCACAAGAAGCAGCAGTGATGCGTTGTAAGGAACATCAAAAGGAAACACATGAAATAGCTGAAGGAAACAAGTTAGCTCATCAGGAAGCCAAGACAGCAGCAAGAAAGCCTCAGGGCCTCAACACACTTAAAGCCCCTCTAGCCTGGGAAGGCTCCATAAAAACAATTAAGCCTCAGTAATCCCCTGCAGAAATGGAGTGGGCCACTTCTTGGAGGTACACTTTCTAGCCTTCAGGACAGCTACAGTCAGAGAATGGCAAACTCCACTTGCCAGCCTCTAGACAATGGAAAGTCCTTAAAATCCTTCACCAAAATTTTCACCTGGAAAAGGAAAAAACTTACCAGTGTGCCCAGAGATTGTTTTCAGGAGATTATTTGATAAAAAAAGAAAAAGAAAAAAAAAAAGCCAAATAGGTTATTAATGCTTGAAAAGTCTGTCTTAAAAATAATTTCCTCAACAAACGGGTCTTTCCTCCTCAAACCCAAAGAATAGAAAGCTATCCAGGGAAGACTACCAAATGGACTTCACCCACATGCCAAAGACATGGAGAGAAGAATTTCTCTTCACTAACTGGAAAGAAGAATTTCAATGCTGTACAGAAAAGCCTGTGAGGTAATAAAAGTGCTAGTTAATGAAATAACCCCTGGCTCTGGTCTACCTAAGTATCTCCAAAGTGACAATGGCCCCTTATTCAAAGCAGCTGTCACCCAGGGAGTCTCAAAGGCACTAGGCTTATAGTATCATCCCCATTGTGCTTGGAGGTCCCAGTCCTCAGGGAAGGTACAGAAAACAAATGACATTACCAAAATACACCTCAGAAAACTTCTAGGAAACTCACCTCCTTGGGTCACTCTTCTTCCCTTACTACTACGGCCTTACTACAGAAAAAAAAAATACCCCTTGAAAGTTAAGCCTGAGTCCTTGCGAAATGCTGTATGGACGGCCTTTCATTACAAATGACTTCCTATTAGATCAGAAAACTTCTAAATTAGTTAAGCATGCAACCTCTCTAGCTCATTTCCAACAAGAATCAACACAACTAGCAGAGGCCCAATACCAAGAAATAGGACCACCTGTTTTTAACCCAGGAGATTTGGTTTTAGTAAAAACTCTCTCTTCCTCGCTCTCCTTCCCTAAGCCCAAGCTGGGAAGGGCCCTACACTGTTCTTTCAATGCTCTCTCCCACTTGGCAATAAAAGTTACAGGTATCAACTTCTGAATACATCACACTCAAGTAAAAGCCTGAAAATCTGAGGGAGCAACCCGACAGCCCAGAGAACACCCTGAATATCAATGTGAAGAAATAGAAGATACTAAGCTGAAAATCATAAAAGATAAGTAACTGAGGGCTACTCGCCTTACTCAGTCCCATCTTTACCTCACCAAATCCTTTTTGTTGTTTCTACCTTCCCTCTCAAAATTCACCACCAAATATTAGAACTTCTTTTTAACAGATATTTGCAAGGAAACTTTAATTACTCATACACTTGCATTTATAACTTCATAGGACCCCAGAGGGAAACTATATCTTGGCAAGTAAAATTTTAAATGGAAATTATCTATCACGCCACTCTCGCAAGAATTGTTATACTCACTCCACTATTTGCAATAGAACTATACATTGTGGTGAGAGGTGACAGCGTGATGGCAGTCCTCACAGCCCTCGCTGGCTCTCCGCGCCTCCTCTGCCTGGGCTCCCACTTTGGCGGCACTTGAGGAGCCCTTCAGCCCACCGCTGCACTGTGGGAGCCCCTTTCTGGGCAGGCCAAGGCCAGAGCCGGCTCCCTCAGCTTGCAGGGAGGTGTGGAGGGAGAGGCGCCAGCGGGAACCGGGGCTGCGTGCCGCGCTTGCGGGCCAGCTGGAGTTCTGGGTGGGCGTGGGCTTGGCGGGCCCCGCGCTCGGAGCAGCCCGCCGGCCCTGGCAATGAGGGGCTTAGCACCCGGGCCAGCAGCTGCGGAGGGTGTACTGGGTACCCCAGCAGTGCCAGCCTACCGACGCTGCGCTCGATTTCTCAGCAGGCCTTAGCTGCCTTCCCGCGGGGCAGGGCTTGGGACCTGCAGCCCGCCATGCCTGAGCCTCCCACCCCCTCCATGGGCTCCTGTGCCGCCCGAGCTTCCCCGACGAGCGCCACCCCCTGCTCCAGGGCGCCCAGTCTCATCGACCACCCAAGGGCTGAGGAGTGTGGGCGCATGACACCGGGACTGGCAGGCAGCACCACCTGCAGCCCGGGTGCGAGATCCATTGGGTGAAGCCAGCTGGGCTCCTGAGTCTGGTGGGGACGTGGAGAACCTTTATGTCTAGCTCAGGGATTGTAAACGCGCCAATCAGCGCCCTGTTAAAACAGACCACTCGGCTCTACCAATCAGCAGGATGTGCCTGGGGCCAGATAAGAGAATAAAAGCAGGCTGCCCCAGCCAGCACTGGCAACCCGCTCGGGTTCCGTTCCACCGTGCGGAAGCTTTGTTCTTTCGCCCTTTGCAATAAATCTTGCTACTGCTCACTCTTTGGGACCACACTGCTTTTATGAGCTGTAACACTCACCGCGAAAGTCTGCAGCTTCACTCCTGAAGCCAGCGAAACCACAAGCCCACGGGGAGGAACGAACAACTCCAGACGCGCCGCTTTAAGAGCTGTAACACTCACCGCGAAGGTCTGCAGCTTCACTCCTAAAGCCAGCGAGCCCACGAGCCCACGGGGAGGAACGAACAACTCCAGACGTGCCACCTTAAGAGCTGTAACACTCACCGCGAGGGTCCGCGGCTTCATTCTGGAAGTCAGTGAGACCAAGAACCCACCGATTCCAGACACAGTAGCACCCACAATGTGGGATTCTGGTTGTAAAATTCTAATGGCTATAATATTTTGCCTAATTATCATCTTTATTACAGGATTAATAATTACAGGAAAGATTTAGTCAAGGTTGTTTTATTATTCTCATAGCAGGGGCAATAGTTACAGACAAAGAAAGGTTACTATCACTAAGCTTGATATGACTTTTTATTGAAAATTATTAGTATGATGCACTCTAAGTATGAAGAGAAGGTTATAAAGAAAGAGATTATATATAGAAGGAAGGATCTTGTATGGCAAATTCTTATCCTAAAAGGAAATGACTGCTTGTTTAAAGGAAGAATGCTTAGGACAAGTCAGAAAGTTCAAGGATGTGGTAAAATGGTCTGTGGAAGTCATAAAAGAATTTAATCATTAAAGAGAAGGGATTGCCAAGATTAACACTAAAATTATTTTATCCTCCCAATGATATACTTTTCCCAATCATATCAGAAATTATAAAAAATGGCCTAAACCTAAAATTATTCCTTAGTAACAAGTCCAAAGGAAAATGTATGTTTTCTCAAAGAAAAATGTTACTTTTATATTAATGTTTCTGGTAAAGTACAGCAACATCTAGTAGAGGCAACCAATATTATCACCCACTTACAACAATACCACCCATCTAAATGGCTCACTGGTATCAAACAAACTCTGCTGTCATAGTTATGGCCTCTAGTGCCCCCACTGATAATGGTAGTCAGTACTCATATTTGAACCCTATCTTCTAAACCTCCTTGTATAGTTTATCTCTTCTCACCTAGAAACCATCAAGCTTCACATGGTGTCGCAAATGGAACCCAAAATGAAGATGCCTTTTTACCAGGGACCCTTAGATCAACCCCAGGAGTAGCCCTGGCTGCTGTTCCAATATAACGCGCCTCTCCAGCAGGAAGTAGCCAGAAGTCGTAGCCCAACTCCCCTTAACAGCAGTTATGGATTCCATTCCTGAGGGAGGAAATATGATATAGGATATGAGATAGAAATAATTTAGGTAAATAGATAGGGTGAAGAGAGTCTCAAGCAGGAAAGTTCCCTTCTAACAAAAAGCAGCTCAGAAATTGCTCCCTTTCTAACCACACACAGTTCAAAGAAATCACTTCTTTTTTTTTATTTATTTATGGAGTCTCGCTTTGTCGCCCAGGCTGGAGTGCAGTGGCGCAATCTCGGCTCACTGCAAGCTCCGCCTCCTGGGTTCACGCCATTCTCCTGCCTCAGCCTCCTGAGTAGCTGGGACTACAGGTGCCTGCCACCACGCCTGGCTAATTTTTTGTATTTTTAGTAGAGAAAGGGTTTCACCATGTGAAATCAAGGCCAGGATGGTCTTGATCTCTTGACCTTGAGAAATCACTTCTCTTCTAACAAAGAGCAGCCTGGAAGATCAGGCTGTAAAACACAGATAAGAAATTCAGGCACAGAGCGGGGAGTTTCCTGGGTAATCACCAAACTTCACATACGTAAGATGGGCCTCAGTAAAAATAGTGGGACTTCATAAGCACATCCTTTTCCCTTTCTGTAGGCACACTAAGATAGGAAAGGTGGAAGCGTGCATGGGGTAGATAACTGCAGCTGCAAGAAGGTGCCTGGGAATAGGCACAGAAACTCTCCCTCCCTTTTTAGCACATGTAGATAAGCAGTGCAGAGCAGTGTAAACTAAGAGTCTGCTTACATGATCAAAGAATGGGGTGGGGGCTGATAAAGACTCTATGCAGATAGCACACCTGGCCCTAACCAGTTCTTTGGCCCTAGGATGATAAGGCACCCCCTCCTCACTAGCCCATTTATAAAAACCCTGACATTTTTAGAACAACTTGGCAACCCATTCAGGACCCCTGTCTGTGACAGCTGTTCTTTCCTTTTGCCTATTAAACGACTGCTCCAATCTCACTGTATGTGTGCATCCACATCCTTGATTTTCTTGACCCTGAGACCAAGAACCTTGGTATTTACCCCAGAAAATGAGGCCATTTTGGTAGTACCCTTACAGAGCCCCAAAGCCAACATTGGAAACAAAAAAGAGGATACGAGAGTAATGTGAAGGCTCTAGTGCTTACAGCTACAGAAGACATTAAACACAGCCAAATTCCTAATCAAATTAACATGAAACTTCACCCTGAAGACTTATTTACTTGTTTTACTATGTATCAGATAATGTATCAAATAGTAAAACAGGAAAATAGGTCTTCTTTAGGTCTAACTGGTTTTTAACAACAACAGCAGCAGCAACAAATTACAATGCATGCTAAAAGTCAAGAAAAAAAAGTCTGAAAAAACAAAGCAAGCATCAGACTAGATTTAGAGATTACAAAGAAGATTACAAAGTTGTTGAAAGTATGAGACAGGGAATTTAAAGTACTATGATTAACATATTAAATGTTCTAGTGGAAAAAGTAGGCAACGTGCAAGAACAGATGGGTAATGTAAAAAGAAAGATGGAAAATCAAAGAATATAAAAGATGCTAGAAATAAAAAACACTGTAACAGAAATGAAAAGTATTTGATAGGCTTATCAGTAGACTAGATATTAGAAGAAAAATAAATAAGCTGAAGAGCTATCGATAGAAATTTCCATAAATAAAATGCAAAGTGGAGAAAGAAAGAAAAAAATTCCCACACAAAAAAGGAATAGAGTATTCAAGAATTGTGGAACAATTTCAAAAGGTATACCATGTGTGTAATTGGAATATCAGATGAAGAAGAAAGAAAGAATAAAGCAGAAGAAATAGTTGAAGTAATAATGGCCAAGAACTTTCCAAAAGTACTGATAGCAAATTGCAGATACAGAGCAGAAAGCTCAGAGAACACAAATACTTCGGGTATGTTCATCCAAATAAACACATCCACTCAGTGACAAGCCACTGAGTAAGAAGAAATTTTAGAACTTCCATTTTTATTTATATTTATATTTTAATTAGGATTTTTTTGGAGGAGGGAAGATTTACTAACATTAAATATATGGATTGACTCTGTACCCTGATTCTGCCGTTAGGTTCGTTAAGGCTTTCCTATAATAAGAGAGGTATTCTAGGGGGAAGAATGATGGTTCCACAGCACAGAGGACACAGAAGTATATTGCAACACACTAAAGTTTAAGGGTGACTCAAGTGGATTTAAGGCTTTGACAACCTGGTTTTAACTAAAGTAGTTCTCACAATATGTCCAAATAGCTTTAAAAGATTACTCCAAAGAAACCGAGGTTTGACAGTGATACCAACAAAGCAAGCAGGGAACAAGACAGCTTAGCTGAACATCTCTGTTTCCATCTCTGTTTCTTTTGACAGCTGTACTGCATGATGAAAATAATCTAATCCTTTGCTTGCAATATTCTAGGCTGGGTGCGGTGGCTTACACCTGTAATCACAGCACTTTGGGAGGCAGTGGCGAGCAGATCACCTGAGGTCGGGAGTTCACAACCAGCCTGACCAACATGGAGAAACCCCATCTCTACTAACAATACAAAATTAGCCGGGCATGATGGCACGTGCCTGTAATCCCAGCTACTCAGGAGGCTGAGGCAGGAGAATTGCTTTAATCTGGAAGGTGGAGGTTGCGGTGAGCCAAGATTGCACCATTGCACTCCATCCTGGGCAACAAGAGCGAAAATTCATCTCAAAAAAAAAAAAAAAAAAAAAGAAAGAAATATTCTAGTATGGTTTTAAATTCACCAACTCAGGAAAAAGCTGGCTACATAGTTGAATTGTGCCGCTTTCAATGCACAAACAAATCAGCAATCCTTCCTTAAATTGACACTTCCTAGGAGACAGGTAAAGAATGGATAGAGGTAGCAGGACCACCATTTTTATCTGTAGACAGGATTCATTCAACAAATTCAGATTTGTTGTTGTTGTTGCTGGAAAGTGAGTTAATCATGTGATCCCTGAAAAATACTGAAATGCTCTTGTTTAATTCCATCAGAGCACCAGATTGTCTTTGACAAAAAGACTCCCGGCCAATGAGGCCAAAGTATCTTCCTCACTCTAGCAATCAAGTATTAAATTTCCAATGATACAAGCAATAAATAATCCACTGATTACCATCATCATTTAATTCAGAGAATTGAACTAGGAATGACCTTGATATCTTTGAAATTGGAATCTAGAGGAAAATAAAGTACTTCCTATAAGTGCTTTCCCTCAATCATTACTCTTAACAAAGCAGTGTAAAAATAATTTTCTCTGATCCAGCAAACAAACCACAAAACATCTGTTTTCATTGCTTCTTTCACAAATTGGAAATGATGACAGCCATTACATTCTAACTGGTTATTTCATACAACCATTCAATTATTGGTTGACCTTTGTTTAACTTTCATACTGCTTTATTAAAAAGAATATATTTTTCTTGGAAAAGGAAAATCAATTTTAGTAACTTCAGGATTGAATTATAGCCAACAAATAGAAAGGCCACTGAAAGCTGGCCTGTAAACTATAATTTAGAAAAAGGGGAACATAAACGCTGGCTTCAGACAGAACTGAAAATAAACAAAATTCAAGTGAGGAAAATATGTTGAATGCGTTACCTTTGCATCCACCCTATGTTACAGCAGTTCCAAAAATGCTCACGTTTCTCGAAGCTATCTTCTCTTACGTCTCTCTGCCTGCCATGCCTGCCTGACTCAGCTCAGATCTTGTCCTTGAGGCATAGGTGAGAAAAGTGTGTGGCAGCCCCGATGATAGGAATGCATCCCTGGGTTATAGGTTATTTGAGAGTTAGTAGAGATTCTGAAGCAGTATTAACCAAGGTAGTTCTGAGATCCGTAGGTGGGATGAAAAGACAACATTTAATAGGGCCAAAAGTGTAAACAGATACATAATGAATGCAAAATCTGATGAGATTGGATTAGAAAATTACTACAAAGAGGTTACCAGAAGAATAAAGGGTTAAGCAAAGATGGCTGTAAAGATTATTTGAATCTAGCAGTTTAACACATCACACAGACCCCCTTTTAACCTAGAGCCCAGAGGCTCCAGGAGATTGGCTTGCCAGGAAGGACATAATGACACAATCACTCTCTTGTCCTTACTCTCTCCACCATAATGTGACTGATCTTGAGTGTGTCTGAGGAGGGAAGCAGGCCCTTGCCATGATCCTCAAGCCCATAATCTAGCCAGGCACTGAAGCTGTGTCTGTTACAGAAACATATGAGCTGGTATCCAAAACAGGATAACAGTGAAGAAAAACAAGGTTAACATACAAAGTGGGTGAATTTAGGCAAGAAAGTGATGAGATCAATAATACCATACATTTGGTGTGAACCTAGTCTTCTGATGTGTAGCACTTTGTACCTTCACTTGAATTATCTCCTGCTGTCAGAGAAGCAGGTTTTTTGTGAGGCTTTATTCGATGCTGGGTTTTGCCTAGAGTATGCTGCAGCAGAGAACTTGGCAAGGTCTTGACAGGATGGCGGCTGGGAAAGCCTGGGGACTATGACTATGTAACTGGTACTTTGAATATGGAGGATTCGTACCATATAATCTAAAAAACAGCTTTACTTTGGTCTTCTGCTGTCCTATTAAACCAGCCCAGTGGGAGTAATCCTACCCCTGTCTGTAGAAATTTAATCCCTCTGACTTATCTGGTTATGTGTTTTTTTCTCTTTTGGCAAGTACAACATATTGCTGTTTTGAAAATAAAATTAAAGCCAGTGAAATATTAAAAGGAAAAGATAAGTTGATTTGGCCATTGTTTCCAATGAATTTGCCATTTTGTAAATTCATCTGCTTCCACAAGACGTATGCCGAAAACAGACTGGCTATAAAATTTATTGTCCAACATGAGATACTCTTGAGAATGAAAGGCAGAGCAATCCTCGATTGCACTGAGACCACAGACATAGTAATCGTAGACCACAGGATTGTTCACAGCAAACTCTGAAGGGCAGTTACCTTAACAGAAACATCTGACAGTGTTTGGATGAAACCCAGCTTTCATGACACCATCTGTCTGGTTACTCTTCTATAAGAAAAAAGTCCTCAGATCTTTTATCTTATTTTATTTTTAAGTTTTAGCACTTTAATTTTCTTTTCTTTTTTTCTATTTAAAAATATGTTTTTCTTTTATAGAGATGGGGTCTCCCTATGTTGACCAGGCTGGCCTCAAACTCCTGAGCTCAAATGATCCTCCCATCTCGGCCTCTCAAAGTGCTAAGATTATAGGCATGAGCCACTGCGCCTGGGCAGTTCTCTGACTTTTTAAAGTGGCAAAGTCGTAAGCCAGAAATGTAATATGCCCTAGATAATAATCTCAGCTCTAAATTTGACTTCAACATAGAATCATCTCACCTATGTCAGTGGAAGCCCTCATCTAGCTGGCTACTGACGGAGGGAAAGGGAATGTGGTCTTCCTTTTCTTTTGCCCTGTTGTTTCCTTCTTTTCCATCTTGTTATCATTCTGGGGTTTTCAGTCCTTCCTGTGTGCAGGGGAGATGGCAGAGAAAGAGGTAAGGGGGATTGAGGGTAGATGTGCAGGTCACCACAATCCACCAAATTGTCTCCCAAGATCTTCTTCACAAAATCCTCTGACTCTCCACTCTTCTACTTGTTCATAACCCGGATGTGAGTGTGGGAGTTTGAGGTTTTTATAAATGAGTTTTGGCTGTTTTCTATGAAATTCTGCATATGGTCTAGAACTTCCTTCACTGTAGCACCTCATGTATTCTGTTGCTTCATTCAAAAGTTTCCATTTAATATCCTGTTACAACCATGTTCATGGGGTGTTGGTTATATATAAATTCTGGCCCCAGAGAAAGAAGTAACTCTGTAATCCTCCCTGGAGGATTTGTTTTCGTGGACACATTCTTCAAGGATCTGGTTCATATGATCTATCTGGTTTTTGCTGTAGTAACTGTGGGCAGTGGAAAAACATATCTGCCCTAAAAGAGCATTGAAGACTCCCTGAAAGACTGACACCAACTGGCTGGCAGTTTAATTCAGATTTGATGTGGCTAGAGGTTCCTTAAAATACCTGCCATAAAAACAGGGTTATACCGGTGGGAACAGAGGATGATGTAAAACAATGGGTAGATCATAATGTTTAAGGGTCAGCAATAATGTACATGGAGTCTTCGGGGCATTTTAAGATAAAGTCTATGACTCTACCTCTCAAGAGCCCACAGTATTAGATAACATCCCACATATTTGTTTTTTAACAAAAGCCCACAGTATTAGATAACATCCCACATATATGTATTTTAACATATCTGAGAACAGTATGTTGAACGTAGAAATCACAAAATTTCCAGCCCCAAAGAAGACAAATTAGCCCAACATTTTCCTGTCTCTATCCTTTGCTTAAAATCAGCTCTAACACAGAGATGAGAGAGAGGAAAAAATATAAAGAAGGTCTCTGAGAAGGCACAAAAATGAAATCCATAGCACAGCCAAAGAATTAGATTTAGACTAGAAAAGACCCCTCGGTTTTTGAGATCAAAGTGATGGTAGTAAAAATGGGTATGAATGAGGTTTATCAATCTCTAGGCAAAAAGATGAGGGAATTCATAATCTAACGTGTATTTGATGAGAGTAAAAGGATTATCAAAAGCAGTTTGAGAAGTATGATGAAGGTATGAAATGGCGCTGTTCAATATAGTAGCACTACAGCAAAATGAACTTTTGGGTCTAGACAGATTTGTTCATCCAGTCACTGTATTAGCAGTTATCTTCAGGCCCCTTCAGGAGGAACATTCAAATTTAAATTAATTAACATTGAAGTAAAAATTAGTTTCTTAATTGCCTTAACAACATTTTATGTGCTCAATAGCTAAACGTGGCTAGTGGCTGCTGCATTAGACAGCGCAGATGTAGAACGTGTCTATCACTGCAGATATTTCAAAAGGACATCACTGGTTTAAAATGTCCTTTTCAGAAAGTGCAACATTTGTGTAGGTCTTTTGTTTCTGGAGGGGTGAGGTGTTGCTACTCAGCATTGAAAACTCATTTTCTATGTGTGTTGCTCTTCCGGAGCTCTGGCCTCTAAATGTTAGACTTGGGTGGTCAATAAGCCTGGCTTATTGTGGCTCTGTACTTCTGAGTATAGAGCAATTTAGAAATAAGACTCAAGAGACAATTATTTGGAAAATAACAATATTGCTTTAATTAGTGATAAAACCAATTAGACAACATATTAATAGTTTTAGATCTACAGCAAAATGGACTTCTAAAATGAGACAGACTTGACTACCCAGTCACTGTGTTAGCTAGAATCTTCAGCCCTCCCCGAAGGAGCATTCAGAAACATTTATCAACTGTTGGACCTCAGGGAATTCACTAAATCTCTTTGAGCCTCAGTTTCCTTATCTGTAAAATGGGAATAATTATATCTCAAGGTTTTGGGGAAAGAAGTAAATTTATTTATATAGTGCTTAGAACAGTCCCTGGG
Organism: Homo sapiens; assembly: GCF_000001405.40. NCBI lineage: Eukaryota > Metazoa > Chordata > Mammalia > Primates > Hominidae > Homo > Homo sapiens. Next base: position 163,180,691 of record NC_000004.12, on the reverse strand, counting down.
ACTGTTTATTTATATGTTTGGATTTATCATTATTTACAATTCTATTTATATGTTTGGATTTATCATTATTATTGCATAATGGAAAATAGCTCAAAATGCATCCTCTCTGCCGATAGGTAGAGCTTAAGGAGAACCAAAATAAAATGGCTTTGTTGTCTGGGATAAATACCAAAGTTCTTGGTCTCACAGCTGAAGAAATCAAGGAAGTGGATGCACACACATGTTGAGACTGGAGCAGGAGTTTAATAGGCAAAAGGAAAGAACAGCTATCTGTCACAGAAAAGGGTGCTGAATGAGTTGCCAAGTTGCAGTAAACGAAAGTGCTTATTAAGGCCCACTCTTTTTATCAGGGCCCATTGTATGTATGTGAATTTTGGTGATTACCCAGAAAACCCTGCTCTGTGCCCGAATTGCTTATCTGTGTTTTACAGCCTGACCTTCTAGGCTGCTCTTTGTTAGAAGAGAAGTGATTTCTTTGAACTGCTTGAGGTTAGAAAGGGAACTATTTCTGACCTGCTTTTTGTTAGAAGGAAAGTTTTTCGCTGGAAACTCTCTCTACCCTAATCTATCTACCTAAATAATTTCTTTCTATCTCCTATAACATATTTCCCCCCATCAGGAATGAAATCCCTAACTGCTGTTAGGGGGAATTGGGCAACGACTTCTTCTGGCTACTTCCTGCTGGAGAGGGGCATTGTATGGGAACAGCAGCCAGGGTTCCTTCTGGGTGGATCTAAGGGTTCCTAGTAGAAGGGTGGTTTCATTTCGGCTCCATTTGCAGCACCATCTGAAACTTGATGATTTCTAGGTGAGAAGAGATAAACTTTACAAGGAAGTTTAGAAGATAGGGTCCGAATATGAGTATTAAGACTACCATTATCAGTGGAGTCACTATAAGCCATAACCATGACAGCAGAGTTTGTTTGATACCTGTGAGCCATTTAGATGGGTTGTACTGCTGCAAGTGGGTGATAATATTGGTTGCCTCAACTAGATGTTGCTGTACTTTACCAGAAGCATTAATATAGAAGCAACACTCTTTCTTAAGAAAAACACATATTCCTCCCTGACTTGCCATTAGGAGGTCCAGTCCTCTTCAATTTTGCAAGGTGACACCTGTGAGTGAGTCTATTTGCCATTGTTGTTTCTGAGTGGCAGCTATAATTTCAGCTAGGGCCTGGGTTTGCTGAGAAGATAAATGTAGAGAGATGGACCCAAGGGTTGTTCCCAGAAGTCCAGTTACAACAGGTGCTAAAGGGAGTAGAATTACATGAGCTGCCCTTTTTGCTACAGCGTGGGTATGTTTTATAAGGAATGGGAATTGTGTAGAGCATTGGCATAGGATACTTTTGGAAGTATTGCTGCAACACCACAGGCTCCCTCCATTGACTTGGCAGGCTCACATATCCCGTGTTTCTTCATATGAAGAACAGTTCCTGTTTGGGATCTAAAGATACTTGATATCCCCAGAAGGCCAGCTCTAATTTCAGGAGGGGGGGGTTAGGGGGTGTCCCATGCACTTAGGTAGTTTCCAGTGAGGTCCTCCCATATTGAGGCAAATTCTGCCCGAATGTTGGAAAGGAATACGTGATTGGGGTGGAATTTTAAGAACATTCTTTGTATTCCCCAGGCTAACATTCGGGCTAGGGGTAAAGGTGAGTTATCTTTCAACACTGAGTACCAACCCGTAGAAATGCAGGAAGTGTTGGTGTTACTAGTAAACTGAGGTCACCTTGAATTTGGGTATTTAAAGAGAAGGAACTGGTGTTGCTTTCTTACTTTAAGATACCATTTGTCTCTCTTTTCTGAAGAGTTGTATTACCTTTCCTGAGTTGTCCAACTAAGAAATACTTCATATGAGCAGCTGGACAAGGTTCCCAGGTAAGTTCCCTTTGTTCTCAAAGATGTGAAACAAATGGATAATGTGCACCTTGGAAGTACAGTGCAAAAGACTCTTACAAGAGGTGAAGATTCTGTAAAATTCAGGTCTGGGCCATCCTCTATAACTTGTGATATGATTGGGAGAAATACATTTTTTACTTGCTCATCAGGATAAGTTGCATTGGACTGAGTGACTAGGGTAACTTTAGTGTTAACGTTAGCTAAATCTTCTAATGATCGTGGTAATACTTCAGCTGACGGCGAATCTGAAATACAGATATAACATGAAGTTAGATTGACTGCCCAGGCTAGGCACTGGATCTGTTCGGCTATTGGGTTCAGGAGATTAACCTGCACTATTAAGAGGAGGAAGAGAAGTTTTAGCAACAAGGCCCTCATATTTGTCTTTTTCCTGTAATTATTAGGCCTGCTATAAAGGTGATAATCAGGCACAATATTAGAGCAACTAGAATTGTTTGTCCAGAATTCCACTGTGCAGCTGCCACAGTATATAGTCCAACTGCAAACAGTGGAGTGAGCATAGCAGTTCCTCCAACTGTAATGCAGTAAATTATTTAAAATTTTATTCACCAGGATATAGAATTTCCCCCTGTGAGTCTATGAAGCTACAAATGTAACCCCACAGATAGTCAGTCTCCCTGCAAGTATGCGTCAAAGAGGAGTTCTAATATCTGGTGGCAAATCTCAAAGGGAAAGGTGGAAATAACTGAGAGTATCTGGTAGGACGAAGGTGGGACTAAGTAGAATGAATAGTCCTCACTCATTTACTTATCTTTGGTGATTCTCAGCTTGAGATCCCCCATTTCTTCACAGTGATATTGAGGGTGTTCCGAGCTGTCAGGGACTTCTCCTTCAGTTCTTCAAGGCTTAACTTGATTGTGATGTATCCAGGAGTTGATTCCTGTAACTTTTACTGCCGAGGGGGTAGAAACAAGAACAGTGTAAGGTCCCTCCCAACTTGGGCTTAAAGATGGAGAGAGAGAGGAATGAGCCTTCACCAGTACTAAATATCCTGGGTTAAATAAAGGTGGTCCTGTTTCCTAGTGTTGGGCCACCTCCACTAGTTGGTTAATTCCTGTTGGAAGTGAGCTAGGGAGGTTACATGCTTAACCAATTCAAGGTTTCTTGGTCTAATAGGAAGTCATTTGTAAGGAAAGGCTGTCCATACAGCATATCGAAAAGGCTCAAGTCTGACTTTGAAGGGATACTTCCTACCTGTAGTAAAGCTATGGGAAGAAGAGTGACTCAAGGAAGGTGAGTTTCCCTGGACAGTTTTATGAGGTGTCTTTTGATAATGTTGTTTTTTTCTCTACCTTCCCTGAGGACTGGGGCATCCAAGCACAATGGAGATGATACTGTATGCCTCGAGCCTTTGGCCCTCTGGGTGACAGCTGTTTTAAATGAGGGGCTGTTGTCAGTTTTGAGATGCTTAGGTAGGCCAAAGCAGGGAGTTATTTCATTAACTAGAACTTTTATTACCTCAGAGGCTTTTTCTGTACAGCATGGAAATGCTTCTACCCATTAGTGAAAGAAGTCCCACCTTTGCCTTTGGCATGTGGGTGAAGTCTATTTACCAGTCCTGCCCTGGATAGCTCTCTATTCTTTGGGTTTGAGGAGGAAGGAGACGTTTCTTGAGGGAATTATTTTTAAGCCACACTATTTGACTGTTTTTAGTAAGTTATCTCCTGAAAACAATCTCTGGGCACACTGATAAGTTTTATCCTTTCCCAAGTGAAAAGTTTGGTGAAGAATTTTAAGGACTTTCCATTGTCTAGGAGGTGACAAGTGGAGTTTGCCATTCTCTGGCTATAGCCATCCTAAAGGCTGGAAAATGTACCTCCAAGTGGCCCACTCTATCTCTTCAGAGGAGTACTGAGGCTTCATTGCTGTTACGGAGCCTTCCCAGACTAGAGGGGCTTTAAGTGTGTTGATGCCCTGAGGCTTTCTTGCTGCTGACTTGGCTGCCTGATCAGCTAACTTGTTTCCTTCCGCTGTTTCATCTATTTCCTTCTAATGGCCTTTACAATGCATCACTGCTACCTCTCAAGAAAGGAAAACCGAGGATAATAACCTGTTAACTTCCTGATGGTATTTTATAGGGTACCTATTAGCAGTTAGAAAGTGCCTCTCCTTCCAGATGGCAGCATCAGCATGGAGAACTAAGAAAGGATACTTAGAATCAGTGTAAATGTTAGTTACGTTTCCCTTGCTTAATTCAAGTGCTCTTGTAAGAGCTGTCAGCTCAGCTAGTTGAGCGCTTGTGCCTGGAGAGAGGTGCACTTTCCATAACATTATTCAGAGTGACTACTGTGTATCCTGCCTACTCACTCCTTGTTCTACAAAGAAACTCTCATCCATGAAGAGGGTCCAGTCCGGATTTTCTGGGGCAGTCTCCTTGAGATCCTCCCTGGCTGCATAGGTCTGTACCACAATGTGTTCACCGTCATGTTCAGATTCCCCAGTTTCCTTGGGGAGGAAAATGGCTGGATTTGGGTGAGAGCAAGTTCTTAGCTGAACTGCTGACCCTGCTAACAGCAGAGCCTGATATTTAAGGAGCCGGCTGTCTGTTAGCCAAAGGCTTCCCCTAGGGGACAGCAATCCTTCTACATTGTGTGGAGTGTAAACAGTTAAGCCATTTCCCAGGGTTAATTTGGTGGCTTCTGCTACCAGATACATAAAGATTGAGGGCCCTCGTCGGGGAAGGCTGAGGGCTGGTGCCTTAAGTAGGGCTTGCTTTAACTGGTTAAAGCCCTTTGGGGCTTCAGTTTCCCAGGTCAGGAAGTGAGTTTTAGCTGCCTGAGTTTCTTCATGAGCTGACATAGAGGTCGGGCTATCTCACCATACCCAGGTATCCAGTCTGCAATATCATGTAATGCCTAAAAATCCTCTTAGTTGCCTGAGGGTCTTGGGGAGGGGGAAGGAAGAAATGGGCTTAACCCTTTCTTTCTCTAATGCTCTGGTTTCCTCAGACAGCAGTAAACTCAGTTACTTTACTAAAGTCTGGCAAAGCTGGGTCTTAGATTTTGAAACCTTGTATCCTCTGTCAGCTAAGAAATTATGAAGAGCTTCAGTGCCTTCCTGGGAATCTTCCTCACTTGGGGCACAGAACAGAAGATCATCTACATATTGCAAGACCTGGTCTGAGGATGAGACAGTGCCTGTCCAAACAAGTGAGGACTGTCTCGAAATCCCTGAGGCAGCACCATCCAGGTTCACTGGGAAGTTTGGCCAGAGGGATCCTCAAAGGCAAATAGGTATTGAGAGTCAAGATGTAACAGTGTGCAGAAAAAGGCATCCTTTAAATCTAGGACTATAAACCATTCTGTTCCCTCAGGTATTTGGATTACCAAGGTGCAGGGATTAGGAATTATCAGATGAATTGGGACTATGGCTTCATTAATGAGGCAGAGGTCCTGAACTAGTCTCCATTCCCCATTGGATTTTTGCACTCTTAGTATCGGGGTATTTCAAGGACTGTTACAGGGTTTGAGGAGGCTTTGCGTTTTCAGGTTATTATTATGGTTTCTAGCCCTTTCCTAGCCTCTGGCTTTAGGGGATATAGTCTCTGGTTAGGAAAAGAAGTGGGATTTTTAAGGTGGATCTAAACTGGCCTATCAGTTTTAGCTCGACCTATTCTTTCTTGAGCCGCCTACACTTCTGGATTAATATTGGCTTCCATTAGGGGAATACAAAAAGTCTGTCCCAGGGCCATGAGGATGCTAGTCCCTATGCAGGCTAAAATGTCTCTACCTAATAAAGGAATGTGACTTTCAGGCATGATCAAGAAGGCATGTGTAAATAACAAGTCCCCCTGACTACAAGTAAGGGGTTGAGAGAAAAACCGTGTTAGTCTTTCCTATAACACCCACCATGATTGTGCTATGGGAAGAGGGGAGGCCTGGATTGGAGAGGAGAACAGAAAGACTGGCTCCAGTGTCCAGGAGGAGGTCCGCCCTCCTCCCTTCAATTTCCAGAATCACCCAGGGCTTCTGAGCAGTAATGGCAGTTTCTGTAGTTTCCTTCTAATATCAGGAGCTGCCTGGATAATAAACTTGTCCTTTAGAATGAGCTATCCCTCAATTGAATCAGGGGACAAAGAGGTGTGTTTTACTAGTGCCTCTCTCACCCTTTCCATGAGGGCTGAGGGATTCTCATCTGGCTTGTGGTCTATTGTGGACAACTTAGAGTAATTAAGTGGTTTGCCCCTAGTTCTTCTAAGGCCCTCTAACACACACATTAAAAGGCGTTTCCTTTTCCATTAGTCTATGGGGTCACAGGGAGTCCAATCAGGATCGTCAAGAGGTATAGCCTCTCTTCATATTGGGAATGGTTGTTCTGTTATTTCCTCACCTTCTATATCTCCCCTTTTCCTTTTTGGCCTACTATAAGAGATATGTTTTTCATCTCCGAACTTCTCTGCTGCCTGCAGAGTGCCACTTTTTCAGCTGCAGTGAGGGTTTGGCTTAGAAACAGCATAACATCCCTCCACGTGAGGTCAAACACTTGAGTTAAATTTTAGAAGGCCTCTATATTCCTATCAGGGTCATCAGAAAATTGGCCCAAGTCTCCCTTTATTTGCCTAAGGTCCTGTAATGAGAAGGGAACTTGCACCCTAGTGGTGCCCATTCCATCTGGCATTTTTTGTAGGGGTCAGAGTGAAGATGGGGCAGTGGAGAGCTTTGGAGATGGGGGAGCTGGAGGAGCCAGAGGAGCCAATGGCACAGTCACAGGGCATCCTGGATAAGGGGGACAGGAAGAACTGGTGGGGCACTTAGAAGTTGCCTCCAATGGCTCCTTAAAAACTTGCTTTTCTGACTTAGTCTACTCTCTACAGACTTGCCCAATATGGCCATCAAGAGGGCTTAGTCGATTGTGCAATGCTTGCAAAGGTCTGAGTTGTCTCTCAAGGCAAAGAAAGCCTGTACATAGAGGAGCTTGGGCCACTTGCCCTCCCATCTACAAACAAGGTCTAATTGTTGGATAAGATTAAAACCAAGGCTCCTTCAGCTGGCCAGGTCTGTTCATTTCCAAGATAGTAAGAAGGCCACGCCCTTGTGCAAAGGAAAATGAGCCACTTTTTCTTCAAAGTCTCAAGGTCAAAGGAGTTCCAGTGCTTCAGAATGTACTCCAGAGGAGTGCAGGCCAAAGATGGCTTGTTATCCATTTAGAAAAGAGACAAGAGGCATCCCTCAGTCTCCTTGTTCTTTTCAGTGTGACCCAGGGTGGAGGGGAAAGACAGTGGGAGCATCACCCCAACTGTTCTCCCTCCTTGGTTCCTGGGTCCTGGCACTGTAGTGCCACCCATAGTTGCAGGTATGACCCTCAAACCATGGTACCACAGAACTAAGCAATGGGGCTAGTCACACTACTAGCCCATGTGACCTTAGTCCTCTGCTTGGTGATTACCCTTTGACCTCCTAGACTTGTGTGGTCTGCATGACTCCTTGATGGATGGGTCTCGAGAGAGACTATGTAACAATTGCATTTGGGCAAGACCCCTTAATGGAGGGAGTATACTGGATTGAGCTTTATAATCTGCTCTTATGGACCAGATTAGAGAATTTATTCTTAGGTAGTGGTTCCAGTTAACTTCGAGACACAAAATCCCCTTTCTATTTAGATGCCATTCTAGTTGTAGGCAGAATAGGTGTCTTAAGAGAACATAAAGGTCAAATGGTAGCCTTTCTGCTAATGGAGAGAGTATTGAGATTAAAATGTGGTTTTGGAGGACATTTTTCTCCTCACTGCTGAAAGCAGAGTTCTCCCGCTTGCAGAGGGGGCAAAAAGTTTGGTCTCTAGCAGAGGGAAGCAAAACAGAAAAGAACTGGAAAATCTCCCTGTCTGTAGAAAATCACAAAAAGAGCAATCCTTTGATCTGCATTCCTGGTTTCTAAGGTGGTTGCTAAGCCTGCCTAATTGAATTTTTTCCAGGGCTGTAAAAACTCCTGCTGCATTGCATACAGAGAGGAAATGGGAGACATGGTGACAGTGGAAAGGAAAGGAGGAAAGTATAATGTGCAGTAGGAAAGCTTGGAGATCCTGTAGCTGACACCTGATTGGGCAGTTGGGGGCTGGGGACAGTCCAGAAGCCTTTAGATAGCACCAGGGTATAGCCCTGACCAGACAGAAATTTTCAGTTGCTCCAGGACCTCTCCCAGCCCCACAGGATGGCCAGGTTCTCCATGAAAGGAAACTGGTTTGGAACAGGGCCAACATTCCCAGCACCCCGAAGACACTGGGAGATTGACTAAGTCCTCCCCAGCAAGCCTCTCCTTTGAGTCTTCAAGAGCAGCAACTTGCCCTGGTGGCTCCTTAATCAGCTGTCAAATGCCTGGGTTTTTGATAGTTGAGAGAATAAAAACTGAGGATGAGAAGCCTCGGAAATTAAAGTATAGAGTCCGCTCCTATACTCATCCTGCCGATAAATTTACCTTCAAATCCCGGATGGGTCCCCAAGTATAAAATGGCCTCATCGTCTGGGGTAAATACCAAGGTTCTTGGTCTCACAGCTGAGGAAATCAAGAACATGAACACATAACCACAGAGAGTGAGACTGGAGCAGGAGTTTATTCGGCAAAAGAAAAGAACAGCTCTCGGTCACGGAGAGGGGTCCCAAACAGGTTGCCAAGTTGTAGTAAAAAATGTCAGTTTTTTATAAATGGGCTAGTAAGGAGGGTGTGACTTATCTTCCTAGGGCCCGAACAAATGGTTAGGACCAGGTGTGCTATCTGCATAGAGCAGGGTCTCTATCAGCCCCCACCCCATTCTTTGATCATGTGGGTACACTCTTAGTTTATGCTGCTCTGTGCTGTTTGTGTGTGCTAAAAGGGAGGGAAGAGTGTCTGTGCCTATTCCCAGGCACCTTCTTGCAGCTGCAGGTATCTCACCTGTGCCTACTTCCAGCTTCCCTGTCTTAGTATGCCTAAAGAAAGAGAAAGAGATATGCTTATGAAGGCCCACTGTTTTTACTGGGACCCATTGTATGTATGTGAAGTTTGGTGATTACCCAGGAAACTCCCCACTCTGTGCCTTAGTTGCTTATATGTGTTTTACAGCCTGAGCGTCCAGGCTGCTCTTTGTTAGAAAGGAAGTGATTTCTTTGAACTGATTGAGGTTAAAAAGGGAGCTATTTCTGAGCTGCTTTTTGTTAGAAGGAAAGTTTTCTGCCTGGGACTCACCCTAACTCTCTACCTAAATAATTTCTATCTCCTATAACACAAAGATACTGGACCAAGTATGCTCAGTTCCTTTTCCCAAGATCACCAGTCAGATGTCACTCTCTTATCTGATAAGTCACTCTCTTACAAGCTGAGTGTGAGAGGAGACTAGGTGGCAAGAGATGCCTAGTCTCTAATCTATAATTTCTGTCCATACTCTCAAATGAGTCCAGTAGAGTTTCAGTCCATTTTGAGTTAAAATAGCACTTATACCTCTCTTTTCCCTACTACACTAGTTGGCAATGCAAACATATGACCTTGACTTAAATTAGTGCTACAATATATAAATAGGAATAGCAACTCACCCAAACAGTCACATAACCTGCTTTTAATCATTTTGTGATATATATTAGAAAATCTCATCATTTTTATCTAGCAAGTGCATTGTAGGTTTCTGGAAATGTAAATGTGTCTATTCATGTATTTTTAAACATTGAAATAGACTAAGATCAATCAGTGACATTTATAGAAATAATTTAAGTTTTACGTGCTCCCTTTGAAATGTAATATGCCATTTAAATTGTAATTTAATTCAAGGTAAATTCTCTCATAACGTTAATAGTGACCCTGTAAGCTACACAGTCTTCCAAGGTGTTTTTTTGGATTTAGTCTTAGGTTAAAGACTTCAGGCTAAGTTTAGCAACTGTTAGAAATAATGCGGTTGAGAGGAAGGCTGTGGAAGTAGGTAAATTCAGGACATTCTGAAACAAGCACTTAGAAAAATTACCATTTGTGAAACACTGACCTACTTCAAAGCTAGGCATAGGTACCACTATCATTATGTTGAAACACAGAAACATTTCCACCACACAAACAAAAGACTTTTATTTAAAAACAGTAGCCTTTCTTAGATATCATCAGATTAATTTAAATTGAAAGAATAACAGATATTATCTGTTAAGTCATATTCCTTACTCTGATTGTCCCATTGAGCTTTATTCTTTCTTTCTTTCATTCATCCATTCAAAAATCCTTATAGGATTTATTCTGTTTCCAGGCACTTAGAGAAACAGCTGTGAATTAGACAAAGATCCTGGGCACCTGAGACTTAATTTTATGAAAAAACAGACAATAAAGAAGTAAATAAATATAATTTCATGTGAAGATAAATACTATTTAAATAAAAACAGTGAGCTATAAGCTAGGAAGTGATTGGTATTGAGGGGTGCACTTAGATTGGGTGGTCTGGAAAGCTCTCTCTTAGGTGTAGTGTTTGAGTAGAACCATAAATGAGTAAAAAGGCCACGTTAATATGAAGAGAAGAGAGAACAGAAAAGTGAAAATGTCACACGTGAAGAATTAACTTGGTGAGTTGAAGGGAGATCAAGACCAGTGCTCATGTGAAACAAGGGTGGGGAAGACGGTAGGAGATAGAAACTGGAGAGGTAAGTAGTGGCCAGATCAGGTAGACTGTTGAAAGCCAAAGCAGGGAGTCTGAATTTTATTCTAAGTGTGCTTACAAATATTTAGAGTTTATAAATAATTAAGCAGGAAATTACAATGATCTTATTTATTATCCCCTGTGAAGGTCTCCTGTTTTCTCAGATTAACAAATTCATGGTTCTCTTTAAAAGTCCAGCTCAAGTATCACACGCATTGTAAAGCCTTTTGTCATTGTCAGTGAGGCAGTGGTTGGGTGGTCCTGTTTAACCAGCTTTCCTAGAGGTGACTTCTCCCATTCAGTTCTATTCAAGTCAAAGATGAGTCTTAGAGACTGTCTCATGCTTTAGTAGTTTATTCTGGCATCGCTCTTAAAAGATAGTGGGAAGAGGCTGGGGGTATAGACCAGATAGTCAGGGCTCGGATGATCAAGAGAGCCTCCAACCAGAGACTGTTCTCAGTGTTGGGGGTTTCTTCCCCCTTTTTAAAACCTGTATTCAGCTTGGTCAGTTATCAGATGTTTCTCTCATAAATGGAGTCGAAGCTATTCTTACAAGGGTAAGCTTTAAGGTTCATGAAAGTTGCATCTGTGCTGAAGTGGCCTGGTCTCCTGGAAATCACTGGGCCAGGGGTGGAAATCTCCAGGGCCAGTTAGTATTATATTGATAAATACATTTAGTGTCAGCCCCTCAAGACACTTGAGTGAGCCTTATGGCTATAATTACTCTTATAGCCACGATATATCTCTTATAGTACATTTTCCTTAATTTTCCAAGTATCTTCTCTGTCTTTAGTTTTCCCATTTCATACATTCTTGCATTTACATGGTACATTTCTCTACTATAGTACCTTCTGCTTGTTTTCAACTTGTCTGTTCTACTGAACTGTTAACTCCATAAGGGTAGGGACTGTGTTTATCTTCCTGTATGCATAGTTTATAATGCAGTGCACAGCATATCGTAATGTTAAGAAAATGATTACTGAATGAACAAATGAGTATTTCAATTATCCCATAACTTAGGCTTCTGGTCTTAACCTTTCTGTCAAATTCCAGTTTCTTATTTTTAAATGCCTATTTACATTTTTAATTGTCTAGTTTTTCTTCAGACTCAACTTCACATACCCACATCTCTTTCCAACTTCTCCGTTTAATTAATTAATTAATTAATTTGAGAGGGAGTTTCCCTCTTGTTGCCTAGGCTGGAGTGCAATGGTGCAATCTTGGCTCACTGCAGCCTTTGCCTCCTGAGTTCAAGCGATTCTCCTGCCTCAGCCTCCCAAGTAGCTGGGATTACAGGTGCCCACCACCATGCCCAGCTAAGTTTTTGTATTTTTAGAAGAGATGGGTTTTCGTCATGTTGGCCAGGCTGGTCTCAAACTCCCGGCCTCAGGTGATCTGCCTACCTCAGCCTCCCAAAATGCTGGAATTACAGGCGTGAGGCCCTGCGACTGGCCAACTTCTCCGTTTTTATTGGTAATACCAACTTCTTTCTAATTTCCTTGACCAGAAATTTTAGAGTACTTTTATTCTTCCCCTGATGCTGGGGATGTCCTTTACTCTATTTCATTGACTGTAAGCCTAGTTCAGACTTTTATCACCTAATTCCTGGAAAAATGCAACAAAGTGGCTGGCTGGGGAATAATTCTGGCTCAAACGTCTTCCCTTCTCAAATCTGTACTGCATGTCTTTGCAAGATCATTGTTAATTAAATATTTTATTCGTGAGTTCATGCATTGTTCCATTTTCCAAGTATTTTTGCACACTGAATGTATGACATGCCACTCCCTTATATAAAGCCTTACTTAGTGCTCACATGAACTAAATGAGATAGTATTTTTATCTCCATTTTACAGATAAGGAAATTAGGATTTAGATTAACTGCCCAAAGTCAGTAACACCAAACACAAAATGGTAGAGCTGAGGCCTGAACACAGGTCTTTTTAGTTGAAAACTCTGAGCTCTGCTTAATCATTGTGCTAGTAAGTTCGTATCCCAAGTTTAAAGTCCTTCTTCACTTTGGAGGATTTCCATGAAATAGCCTACCAATCCTACTTCCCATTTCTGCTGCACTTGGATTTTCTATTTCATATTTCAAATATTTTTCTAGTTATCTCCTGTGCATTGCCCTTCTCTACTTCAAGTAGATTGTAAGCTTCTTAAAACCTTACTCTTATTACACTTGCCTTGCATTTCTATGAAGATCTACTGTTGTAGATGACACACTAAATTCTCAGTGAATAATTTATAAAATCTTTAGCACAGTCCTTGGCACATATGCATGTTTAACAAATGGTATCAATGATTATTATTACTACACAGGGACTGATGCCTCAAACTGAAGACCTAATAGGAAACCAGAAAATTCTGATCTCTTCCTCAGTCCTAAGAACTCTGCTTGCTTTCTCCACAATTTAGACTAGTGGTTTCCAACAATAAGTGAGTACATTTCAGTCTCATAGTCTCATCTCTCTACTACGAAACAGTGCTAAGTATGATATAGACATCACCATAACATGAACAACACAGCAAAATTTTGTCCATTACTGCTCTCTTTGAGGGTACTTTGGAGAAAGGAAAATGGAATAGTTGTAGTTACATTTTTGAAAAAATGGTTAATACCCTATCTATCGACAGATGGATCTATTGATGGATAAACTTCATTTAACTTTCATGAAGTTACTAGCGTCTTGTCAAGACTTCCTGGCTCAAGTTTCTGATGTACAGAACTTAGCATTCTTCAGGCACCCCCCTGTTGTATAATCCCTGCTTCATTTTGGCGCTTCAAGCAGAATTGGTTCACATGCAGCAATAGGAAAATCCGACATTCAGGCCTTGAATGGTTCACATGACGCAGTGAAAACGGTCGATTTAGGGCCTCCCTAGTCCTGATTATTTTTTTTTGAGACGGAGTCTCGCTTTCTCGCCAGGCTGGAGTGCAGTGGCGCGGTCTCGGCTCACTCCAACTTCCGCCTGCTGGGTTCAAGCGATTCTCCTGCCTCAGCCTCCCAAGTAGTGGGAATTACAGGCACGCGCCACCATGCCCAGCTAATTTTTGTATTTTTAGTAGAGATGGGGTTTCACCATGTTGGGCAGGCTGGTCTGTGAACTCCTGACCTTGTGATCCGCCCACCTCGGTCTCCCAAAGTGCTGGGATTACGAGCGTGAGCCACGGCGCCCGACCCCCTAATCCTGATTTTCGAAGATATGACGCATGTATCCTGCCCCCGCGAGCGCCGTCGCGCCGTCGCGCCACATACGTCACACGCTCTTCGGAAAGCGTTGCTGCGTAAATGGCGGGGGCGTGTCTTTTGGCTCCTCCGCGTGTAGTTACCTGAGAAACGCGGGAAGTTGGGCCCAGGCAGTGTTGCTGCGGTTGCCTAAGTTGTTTTTCTATTTCTGGAGAGAGCCGTGAGCTTGTCCAGGGGCCCCAATCCTGAGGCCGACCCGGTTTCTGGCGCGGTGCGATGGAGGTAGTGGAGGCCGCCGCCGCTCAGCTGGAAACTCTGAAATTCAATGGCACCGACTTTGGAGTTGGGGAAGGTCCGGCGGCTCCGTCTCCGGGCTCTGCCCCTGTGCCAGGGACACAGCCGCCGCTACAGTCGTTTGAGGGGTCCCCGGACGCTGGGCAGACCGTGGAGGTTAAGCCTGCCGGGGAGCAGCCTCTGCAGCCCGTTCTGAACGCCGTCGCGGCCGGGACCCCGGCGCCGCAGCCACAGCCACCGGCTGAATCGCCGGCCTGCGGAGACTGCGTCACCTCCCCAGGAGCCGCAGAGCCTGCGCGGGCGCCGGACTCCTTGGAGACCTCGGACTCGGATTCGGACTCGGACAGGTCGGGTGCCTAAGGGACCCGGAGCTGTGGGGAGAGGTCTTGTATGACGGGCGGGGGTGGCTGGGGCCTAGGAGCCTAGAGGTTGCTTGTGTGGGCCCTGGAGGGTGGGCAGGTCGTTGGTGCTCCGGGCTCACGTGTTGAAGTATTGGCTCCGACTGCCCCTTATTCGCTGCCTCTCAAAGCAGGTCGCGTTGTGAATCTGAGCTTAGTACTGACTTATTTCCTAAATTTGGTGGCCTGAAGGGTTCTATGTATAGATCGTATCATTTTTTGTTAGACTTTAGAAAACCCGAGGATCTTAGGTTATTTCCGTAACTACTCAGTTTAGGCTGTACTTTTGTGGTTATAGTTGAGTTTTGTGTCAGATCTGATTTTTTTTTATCATCACATCTAGGCTTTGTTTTTTGAACCACATACATTGGGGATCAGGAAAAGTATTATTTTTTGTGTTTCAAAGCTGGCTCTTGATGATTACGTTAATTTATAGAATCCTTGCAGGGAACACGTGTTTATGAAAGTAGCCAAACAGTGTTATTTAGTAGTATCTTATGCTTCTTACGTTTTGTGAGAGCCTTTCCCCCTTGCCCCCACACCTGTCTTTTAAATATGAAATCTCTGGGCTGGAGAGGACTCCAGCATGTGGGATGTTACTAAACCACACTGAACATTGTCTACAAATAGTTGAGTGTGTTGAGTGGGGTACTGAACAGGTTAACAAGATAGACACGTGTTGAGGAGGTGAGAAGTTTAGTTTTCAGGGAAGTCATCAGCGGAGAGTGGAAGTGAAGAAGGCTGAAGGATTTGAGTAGAAGGAGAGGGTATGAAATGTACTGGGAGGGGGAAGTAACAACTGTAAACAAGGTTGGATTTCTTGGCAGTACTAAGATTGCAGTATAATCATCTTGTGGGATTTCAGAGCTCATTTTACTAGCAAAGAAAAGTAAATGGTAGATGATTTGGGGATACGTTTTGAAAGCAGAAGGGATATGGCGTCATAATAGGCCAACTTAGTGTCAGGATACTACTTCTGACTCTGTGGGTGATGGCAGAGGATACCAAATATTTGAAGAAGTCAAAAGGGGTACAACTTTTTGCCAGTTAACAGCAGTGAAATCAAATGGAAACTGAAGAAGCAGGTTTAGTTAGTATAATGCACTTTTTCTTGTTTTAACTTGCTATGAGTGTGGGTGTATAGGCCATTCGTACAAAGGTGGCCAGTATGCCGTCAGAGATTGGACATGGAGTTTAGAGATGTCATAGCTGAAGATTTAGGCGTTAATTCACATGGATGATGACTGAAATCATTAATGTGTATGGGATTATCCATGAAAGTAGTAGCGAAAGAAGAGAAAGTGAGGATGGAACCCTTAAAAATAGTATATAAAAGGGCTTCAAGTGGGGAGCCAACAAACAAAATTTAAACTGAGACAGTGGTTGCTGTTAACGATAATTTCTGTGGAAGATAAGGACCAAGTGAGTTTTCAGAAAGTAGAATGGTCTACATACTTTCGTAACTGAGGATTTCCCAAGTTGTCTGTAGCCTGAGAAGAAACTCATTAAGCAATCTGGCAATTAAGCGATCTGGTGGTTGTGACTAAGAGAGGTGCCATGCCCAGAATTCCCTTTTTTTAGTGGTTTGTCACATGCTTGCTTATATTCAGACAGGTGTATGATATGTGAGAGTATTGTAATAAGAGGATCTGGGTTATGGCAAAGGTTTGAAAATGTTATTGGTAAACTAAATACTACTTTCCCAATACCATATCAGTTTTGAAGTGCTAGTTTTGAATTAGAACAGCAGTAGTAAACATGTAGTAAAGTTGATATTTCTTAATTGCATAATCTTATTTTAATATTAGAATAAGCAATAGTAAACTTGTATTAAAGTTGATATTTCTTAATTGAATAATCTTATTTTAATATTAGTATAATAATACTGGACTATTTTTTTAACTGTTTTCTTCCCTACAGTGAAACAGATTCAGATAGTTCAAGTTCATCGTCTTCCTCTTCATCTTCCTCATCGTCGTCTTCTTCCTCTTGTATATCACTTCCTCCAGTGCTGTCAGATGGAGATGATGATTTACAAATTGAGAAGGAAAATAAGAATTTTCCTCTTAAAACAAAAGATGAATTACTTCTTAATGTAAGTACTTAGATTTATTAAGCTTAGTTTGCATGTTTTAAAACGTATTCTGGTACCAGTATTGATCTAATTTTGCCTATATCTGCTCCATAAATTTGAAATTTATTCTCAGCCTAATAGGCATGCTTTTGGTATGCCTTGGCTTTCTTATGTAAAAGAGAGTAGTGATCTGGATAATTTCTTAGGTTGCTTCTAACTCTGCTGACCTTTGATAATTGTTCCGATTATGGCATCAACTTCAGCTTTGAACTTTACATTTTTTACATTCCCTAGAAGAAGATATTTCTTATGTAGATTTGCTTTTTTTTTTGGTCTGCACGTCAGAAAATTTTGCTCAATAGCAATTGAAATTTCAATAGCAATTGAAATCAATTTTTTTGGTCTGCACGTCAGAAAATTTTGCTCAATAGCAATTGACTTTTTAATTGACTGCATTTAGAGAAGTAGAAGATGAAATTCAGAGGGTTGAACTTGTTAGGATTCCTATTGAAGTTTTTGGAGTGTTTTTATTATTACAGTTGGAGAAAACTTGTTAATTGTAGAATGGTATTTATTGGCACTCGATAGGTTTGGTTTGCAAAGTTAACTCTTGCAAGGTTATTTCCTCTTATGCTGTAAACATCCTTAGGAGGATGATGTTAGTCTGATTGAAACCTATGACCCAAGAGGAAAGCCTTCTCAGAATTTCAGAATGTAGGCCATATTATCACATTGTTTTTTTTCTACCCCTGCATGTAGTTTTAATTATTAATGCTTTAAAAATATTTAATGGTCACTAATCATAATTCTTATATAACACTTAAATTGATGAGATAGTTTAATGCAAGATTTGAAAAAATAAATTAAAGCCTACAGGCACTCAGGAGCCTTTTTCATGAATGGATTCTGCCAGTCTGAATTATTTCTCTTTTTCTCTACTCATAACAAGAAATTCTCGTCTCGCTTATGCTTTATAACTTGAAGACCTTTGGATTTGTATGCAGCTTCATCAGTGGCTCATATTTTCATGCTACAGATATGTTAATATTTCTTAGTGGTCTTTGTACACAAAGGCTCCCAGCATAACTATTTTCTGAAAGTAGGAGACTTGTTTGGTCTTTCTTGCTTGTCTCTTGATCATTTTTCTACATAATTTCCTTATTAGAATATAATAACGAACAAAGAAAAGACCACAGTACTTCTGTAAATGCATACATATCATTGTCTTACTAGATTTGCAATTCTTACCTTGGGAATTTCTTCCAATTTAATGCAAAGTCTTAGCATATTTGTTTAGGTATTTTTCTGAACAGAATGTCCCTGTTTTCATCAGAAGATCAAAAAGGATTTGTGGCCACAAGGAGTCCAAGAACAAGTTCTTTGAGGACTGAGTTCATATGTGATCCTTGTAATTCCCATAGTCCCCAGTGGAGTGCTTTATAGATAATGGGTTCTCAGGCCAAAGTAATACATGATTATAGAATGAGTGTGTGAATAGGCATTTTATATTTATTAATTCTTTAAGAAATTATTATAGCACACCTGCCATTTGCCAGGTGCTGTAAACAAGACCAGTCCAGTTTCTGCTCTCATAGTGTCTAATGGAGAGACACAGACAGTAAATAAAGTGGAGACAAATAAATTTAATTGCTAAAAATGCTATTGAATTGTGTAAGTGTATGTTTGCCTCGAAAGACAAAATTCCATTTGAATGTTATTAGATTTTCAAACTTGGAATGATGGGTTGGTCTGTTCCTCTCTGTGACCATTTCAATGGATCTTTGGGAATGATGGAAGAGGCAATTATAGTCTTTATTTGGGAAACTTATTAGAAGTCCTTCAGACCACTGTGCTGCTAGAGATAGGTAGAGGAATTGATGAGTTTCCCAGTCTGCCCTAAATCTCTGGCTTACAGGTCTGAAAGAAGATATAAGGACTTCTTCGGGGTTTCAAATCTTAAGTTTGGGGGAAAAGAATGACTTTGTCCTGAGTACTAAGGATAGTGTATAGTTACAGGTATGTAGTGTGTTTAGGAGTCTGCCTCTTTGTCCGTTTCTCAGGGCTGGCAGTTTTACCACTGATAGACTCTTGCATGAAAGTCTTGGAGTTGACTTTTGCTGGCTTATGGTCTGTTAACACAGCCTTGAACAGATCATTGAGGCTAGTGGAATGGGTATTCAGATTGCTTGGCTGTGAGTCACATAGTCACTCCTGTTTGTGTAGGCGAGTGTGTAGGAGAGAGTGAGGAGAGCATGTGTAGGAAAATGAACACTTGAAAGAGCACATGGGCTAGTGCGAGAGGGTGGGAGTGCGTAACAGCCAGTTGACAGAAAGGGAGTGTGAATGTGTATGTATTGTGAGGAGGGTGGGATGTTGGGTGTAATATCAGCCCTATATAAACCACATGGAATGGTTTATCTTTCACAGGAAAGGGAGCTTATATCCATTCCAAAAGGGGATGCTGGGCAGACAGTAACAACGGATTATACTCACTAGAGGGAAAGGGAAATACTTGGAAGTGATATCATGTACGACTTATGTTGGACTCATTGTTAGGAGGAGCAGAGACTCATATTACCTCAGGAGAAATGGAAGTTTATTCGAAAGCAGCTGGGAACTAAGGCAGCTGTGAAGGCTAGTCACACTGTTTCTTTTACATGCCTCTGGATAGTCTCACAGTTCTCTGGCATTTTATTCTTTCATTATTGGTTGGCTTCCTCTGTTTATCTATAGATTTGTTTTTTGGTTTTTTTTTTTGGTGAGGGGGGACAGAGTTTCGCTCTTGTCGCCCAGGCCGGAGCCCAGTGGCCGATCTCGACTCACTGTAACCTCCACCTCCTGGGCTCAAGCTATTCTTCTGCCTCAGCCTCCCAAGTAACTGGAATTACAAGCGCCCACCACCACGCCTTGCTAATTTTTTTATTTTTAGTAGAGACAGGGTTTTGCCATGTTGGCCAGGCTTGTCTCAAACTTCTTACCTCAGGTGATCCACCTGCCTCGGCCTCCCAAAGTGCTGGGATTACAGGCGTGAGCCACCGTGCCTGGACAGATTGATCTTTTTAATTCTAGCTTATACATGGATTTCAGTATCTCTGGCTCTAAAAATGGCATCTTTTGCTTTCAGTGTCCCATGAACTGGCTAATTAGTGTTGTATTTCCTTGCTTGCTTTTGGGACAATTCTGTTATTTAGCTTAGATTTTTTTTTTTTTTTTTTTTTTGGAAAATGACAGTCCATTCTTTCTGGGAAGCATCTCCTCTCCACAACTATTCCTAGCTTGTGTGGTATGTGCCATTTTGTTCAGGCCTCTTGATATGTCACTTAGACTTTTAGGCAGCAGAGGTTGTGTATCTTAGCTAGATGGAGCTTCAAGCTCTATGTGGTCTATTAACTATCTAATGAAATTCTGAAGAAAATTAATGAACTTTTCTGCCAAAAGATATACACAAATTAAAGTGTGCCAAACAGTTAAAACCAATTTTAGAATTTGTGCTGGACCTTCAGGGATCTGGACATAGACATGCCCAATTTAGCCCAGTTTAACCCAATTTTATGTCCAACCACTTTCTAAAGAGTTTTCTAGCAGTTTCCTATTGTCACTCAGGCATGCTTAGCTTAATTTTTACCTCCATTTAGTCTGTGCTTCAAGCAGGAATGTCGCCTCTCTGGATCTATCCCTTTAAATCTTTCCATTGTGGGTTGTTCGATCTCTGCGATCTAACTATGTACAATGCAGATCTTTAGGTAGATGAGAACTACAGTGAAATAACTTTATGATTGTTCTTAAACCTTAGAAAGATATAATTTTTAAAATTAGGTTATAACCAAATCTTGCCATCCCAAGATGTGGTTATAACCCAGTTTTTTGTTTTTGTTTTTGTTTTTGTTTTTTAATGTGAGGGTACGTTAAGGGGGAAGAGAATAAAAGAGGAATTAGCGAGCTATAGTGGCAATGAAAAAGGAGAGTCTTAAGTGGCTCTCTTCATAATGTCACAATTAATAAGTTTAACTAGATAAAATTATTCTTTTAAACATAAATTCTTTTTTAATGCTCAGAAGGTTTATATATAACCTACACAGTCACTGTAAGCAGCATACATATTACAGCTTTGGAACTACGTTGAGCCACATAGGATGTATTTAGTGTTTTGATGAATTGGAAAATTGAGATTCTTTTTAAACAATTTTATCAGCAGTTGATGCTCTGAACTCTTCATTCAAATGTATCAAGTGTAATTAAAAATGTAGGGTCATAAAAATATTTGGGATTATAATTTTTAAAGTCTTAATCAGAAATGAGTTTTATAAATTAGTGCCCATTGTTTTCTGAAAACCTGAAAGGCTTCACATAACATTTAAAAATTATTAGCACAATGTTTATGGAGATAAGAAATGGATAATACTTCAGTAGGGATAATAATGTGTCTTTAGGCATATAATGTAGCATGACCAAGAAAAAAATTAATGCTTATTGGCAATTTTGGGGGAAATTTAGCTGTCATACTTTGGTGACTGCTTATTTTATAAAATAAGTACGTTTGGTAGTTAGGTTGAGTACACTCTATTCTCCTGATTGTGGCAGTGTGGACACATTCTAAAATGTCCTAACGTGAATGTATGGAAATATCTGGACCACTCAAGTGGTTGGAAGTTGCAGTAGAATATTTCATGCCTGTTTGATCTCCCATCATATATGAAATTGTATTGCATCTTGGTCTACACTTAGTAATTATCAATTGAATATATTGTTTTCTAGGCATAAGTTGGTTTATAAATTTTGTCCTGAATGCAGGCCTCTTTTAACTTAGGTTTTTATTACTATATGTATATTTGGAACTATTAAATTCTATTTTAGAATACACTTTGATAGCACTTATTAACATTCTTCCCAAAGTGCTTGTTATTTAAGCAATGGTTTGTATACTTAAGATCATTTTTCATTAATATTCACTAGTGTTCTTCAAAAATAATTAATACTCAGGGTTTTTTAAATTAAAGTTTTATATCTTACAGAATATTTCAATAAAGCTTACATGAGGCATGAATGATTTCATAAACATGAAATAAATACTGTTTTATTCAGTAGAGTATCCATTTATGTCCTGTGTATATACATATATAATTATTATTACACAGAAACATTCAATTGTTTAGATTCCCCCATTCCTCAGTAGTTTCTAATAAGTGAATTCTGCTGATTGCTTTAGAAGATAAAGACAAATATCTGTTAAAGAGCAATGGAACTAGAGAATGAGCATATACACTTTAGCTGAAAGCAAAGTAGCACCAGAGAGTTAATGGTTGAATGTCAGATGAATGGTGTACTGCACATAAGAAGTGATAGGATTGAGTGGAAGGGGAGGTAATAAGGATTTCTGAAAAATTTAGGCTAATACTCTGTGGCATTTTACAATTATTTGGCAGTCTTTTTATCTTAGTGATATAAAATCAGTGTCTTAAAGTTGATGAAATATGCACTCAATTAACATGAAAGATAGGCTTAAAGTTATATTCATTGTTGGAGGTTTCTTATTGAGATGGACTATAGTTTTATATTTAAGCAAATTAAATTTTGAAAGTATTATGAACTTTGTTTCTCTTAACAGTAATTTTAGAGAAAAACAGGATAATAATGTATTCATTTAAAAAAGAAAAATATCAAGACACTTCAAAGAAATGTTGACCCTCATTTTTTAATTGACTTGTCTGAGTCTTAAGTTTAGTGTCATACACAATAGGGTAATTAATGAGGGGACTAATGCTTACTGGTGATAAATAGCTGAGTTTCATGGAAACTTGTAAAATTACTTCCCCTGAAGAAGTTAATGAATTAGAATACATGTTAAGTATGGTCATAGTTGACACAAAGTGTACAGACCTAATCCATTCTTTTTCCAATATGTTTTACCAGCTATAGAGAAAAAAAAAATTCAGTCATGGCTCTCAGTACTCCAGGGATTGGATCCTACTTTCCAACCATATCTGAAAAGTGAAGGCTCACCTAATAGCATCAGGTAATTGGCTGCCACGTGCATGTCCTGTGTTGGGTAATATGAGAAAAGTGGTTAGATAATTTCATCCCACCTTCCTCACTTTTCTCAATTCTCCCCAAACTGACACCAAAAAGGTTTAGTTTTCATTTGGAATGTTTGATTCCTTCTCCCACCAACCTCTGTTGTCCTTTTTCCATATTTGTGAGTGAAAATCCTACTGAAAGTTCTTTATATAATTTTACTTTAGAAAGTCATCAATTTACTGATACTCTTTTTTGCTCAATAAGCCTTCACAAATGCTTGAAAAGTCAACAGTGTTGTAAATTATAAATGTTACCTTTTCAGAGGGCCACTTTTGACATATTAGCTTCTTCCATTTTTGCATTGAAAGTTTTAGGCACCCATTTTTTGACTGGTATGTCTATAACCTCATTTTTAATAGGATGGATTTTTAATGTTATGTGGTACTCTTTTGAATATTTTGCTTAACTGAATAACCTTGTAGACCATACAGATGTTAGAAAATTAAAATATAATAATCTTACAAAACAGACAATAATTGCTCTTTCATGGATATTCCAGAAGTGTGGTTAGGATCTTGCATTTCTTTAATGCCATCGTTACGAGTATCTGTTATCACAGAAGCACAGTAATTTTTTTATTGGGATCTAGTATATAATTTCTGTATTAATGTGTTGTCTTTTTGATTACATGCAGTTGGACATTTAAATTGTCGTTAGCCATTTGTGTAACTGTTTAGAACTTGTGCTCAGTTTCCTTACTATTCGTAGGTAAGAAAAATGAAACCAGAAAGAAAGAGACTTGTCTGAAGTCATATTAGTGGGGAGGAGCAGATCTGAACTGGTAATAGATACATTCCAAACTGCTGTGTTTTTAGTATTTGTGGAGACCTGCATAGCAACGTTGGAATCTGGTCGTTTGGACTTTCTCATTATTTGGTTTCTGAATAATCATGTAGCATATTTTCTCAAAGTGAAGGATGAATGTATCATCTAATGTAAGCTTTTTAAAATTGTATTTGCTTGGATTATATTGCCTCTCAATAAAGCTTTTGACTTGGAACTGTGTAGTGTGTGGGAAATAAATGGTGGAGCTTCTTTAGTATGTTGAATTTTAGTAGTTCATTTGCGAAATGCTGTGGTGTTTGGGGATGTTTATTTCCATGCAAGCTTTTCATTTGCTAATGATGTGAATGAAATAGTTTTCTTCCTTTCCTTTCCTACTCTTTGTTATGTGTAGAAGTATTGAATAAATGAGTCCAGAAAAACTTTTTGCTGTTCTTTGATTTTTTGTTAGTAAACATTTACAAAAATTTCATTTGTATGATAAAATAGTTATTTCTAATGGCAGATAATGTACATCCAGAACAGGCTTTTAGTTGCATTTTAATTTTGGGAAACAATGAAATTAAAATATAGATTTATCACAAATCTCCATTTCCAAGTAGAGTATTCAGGTTAGCATTAAGACTTCATTAGTAATATGGTGCATGCTGTTAAAATGTGGTCTTAAAATTATACCTGTGTTAATGGCCAGAAATAAATTGATATTGTTAATGCCTGGGAATATGTTTTGTAATGGAGGGCTTTTTTGATGTGTGAGAATGTAAAGCAGTGCTGTGTAATAGAGCTTTCTACAGTGTTGGGGATGTCCATATTGTGCTGTCTTACTTGAAATGTGGCCAGTGTGACTGAAGACCAAATTTTAAATTTTATTTAATTTTAATTAAATTTAAATTTGTATCTAATATTGAGTAAACAAAACAAAAAGTCTTTCCTATCTACTCATCATTCTTTTAACAGGGGTTGTTGGTATCCAGGCAGATACTTTAATCTTTCTAATCTGCACTAAATCACCTTGTCTTTTATTTTTAGTACCCTTGGTTGTTGCTTATGTGTGATGAAGAAGGTCTTTCTATCCCAGGCCTTTCCTATCACCTCTACCTTCAATTTTTTTAGTTTATTAGTATGCCTTTTACATCTAATTCTTTGTATCTTCTGTGCACTGCCAGAGTGGTAATGTCCCACAGTATGTTTTCTGAGACCAAATTTTAAATTTTATTTAATTTTAATTAAATTTAAATTTGTATCTAATATTGAGTAAATAAAACAAAAAGTCTTTCCTATCTACTCATCATTCTTTTAACAGGGGTTGTTGGTATCCAGGCAGATACTTTAATCTTTCTAATCTGCACTAAATCACCTTGTCTTTTATTTTTAGTACCCTTGGTTGTTGCTTATGTGTGATGAAGAAGGTCTTTCTATCCCAGGCCTTTCCTATCACCTCTACCTTCAATTTTTTTAGTTTATTAGTATGCCTTTTACATCTAATTCTTTGTATCTTCTGTGCACTGCCAGAGTGGTAATGTCCCACAGTATGTTTTCTGGCCGTATTTTCCCCTTTATTGGAGTGTGTCTGTGTTTCTCTTCTCTGTCACACATATACACCCTTCCCTGAAACGTGGAAAAGCAAAGTGATTGATTTTTATTTCCTTAAAGGAGATTTTATATCTGAGGAGATTTATTCATTATCTTAGGAGGGGCAGCAGGTGTGTTTTCAGGGAGCCAAGTGTTAATCTAATAATTGTAATAATGTTTGCTACTGCAACCCAGAGGTACCTATGCATCAATCCTAGGCAGTTAAGCTTCCTTGGAAGCCTGGCTTTTAAATTTTATTTTTGAGAAGATTAGGTTCAAGTCTTTTTCATTCTTTGAGGATTCTATATCGGGTTATATTTTCATTATCTGATTTCTGCTCAGACAAAGACTGACTTTTGAGATTTTTGCTAAGCTTGGACTGAAGAGGTAGGTTAGTTCATCTAATAGATATATATTAATACTAAATACCTACTATGTGCTAGCCATCTTTTTGGGTGCTATAGCAATGAGCAAGACTGGGTCCTCGTTATGATTGGGACTAAAAAGGTCTTAGTTATGGTTGGATTTATTGTGTAGTTAGAGAAATAGACATTAAGTAAATACAGAAATATTGGACAACAATGTGTTTAGAAAAAAGCAAAGCAGCAGGATAGTTTGATAAAGAATGACTAGGCTTGGTAGTGATACAGTAGATTAAATTTGCTAGTTGAAAAAGAGATGGTGACATTTGGCATTCATACATCAAAACAAAAATCTTATATTACCTTGTCTGACATGGCTGCCAAAGGAAATCGCTTTTTGTACCTTTCAGAGATCTATCCCCTTTGAACCTTCTAAAGTTCTCTCTGAACCTGCCAAAAATTTTCATGGAAAGCACATCTCTTGGGTGCCTTCCTGTTGGCGTTTGAGTTATTTTTCCTCTTTGTTCTCCTCTCTCGCTCTGTTTTTTTTTTTTTGTTTTTGTTTTGTTTTCTGAGATGGAGTCTTTTGCTCTGTCGCCCAGGCTGGAGTGCAATGGTGCGATCTCTGCTCACTGCAACCTCCATCTCCCAGGTTCAAGTGATTCTCCTGCCTCAGCCTCCTGAGTAGCTGGGATTACAGGTGCCTGCCACCATGCCTGGCTAATTTTTGTATTTTTAGTAGAGATGGGATTTCATCATGTTGGCCAGGCTGGTCTCAGACTCCTGACCTCAGGATCCGCCTGCCTTGGCCTCCCAAAGTGCTGGGATTACAGGCATGAGCCACCATTCCTGGCCTGTCCTCCTCTCTTAGCATGCTCATTTAAAAGAAACAAATAGATCTGTTTTCCCTTAATTCAGACCTCCACATATGTGCCTTTTTCAAAATTAATATATACTGCTTCATTTAACTGTACTTTCAAAGGCAGACTCTATAACAGGATCTTAACCTGGAATTATACAAGGATGGTTTCACTTACCTCTTACATATTTTGTATATACTATTTAGTTTTTATATACCTTTTATGTTTTGTGGAGTATTTGGGGCGAGACTTCATGTGCATCACTTTTATAGGTAGAGTTGTTACTATCAAGAGGCAACTTAATGCCATCACTGGCCTTTTTTAGGAATGCACAGGAAACTGTACGTTCCTATATTACAGAGTACTAGTGTGTCCGGAATTGGTAGGTTCTTGGTCTCACTGACTTCAAGAATGAAGCCGCAGACCTTCGCGGTGAGTGTTACAGCTCTTAAGGTGGTGCGTCTGGAGTTTGTTCCTTCTGATGTTCAGATGTGTTCGGAGTTTCTTCCTTCTGGTGGGTTCGTGGTCTTGCTGGCTCAGGAGTGAAGCTGCAGACCTTCGCGGTGAGTGTTACAGCTCTTAAGGCGGCATGTCTGGAGTTGTTTGTTCCTCCCAGTGGGCTCGTGGTCTCGCTGGCTTCAGGAGTGAAGCTGCAGATCTTCGCGGTGAGTGTTATGGCTCATAAAAGCAGTGTGGACCCAAAGAGTGAGCAGTAGCAAGATTTATTGCAAAGAGCGAAAGAACAAAGCTTCCACGGTGTGGAAGGGGACCCGAGCGGGTTGCCAATGCTGGCTGGGGCAGCCTGCTTTTATTCTCTTATCTGGCCCCACCCACATCCTGCTGATTGGTAGAGCCGAGTGGCCTGTTTTGTCAGGGCGCTGATTGGTGGGTTTACAATCCCTGAGCTAGATACAAAGGTTCTCCATGTCCCCATCAGATTAGTTAGATACAGAGTTTTGACACACCAGTTCTCCAAGGCCCCACCAGAGCAGCTAGATACAGAGTGTCGATTGGTGCATTCACAAACCTTGAGCTAAACACAGGGTGCTGATTGGTGTGTTTACAAACCTTGAGCTAGATACAGAGTGCCGATTGGTGTATTTACAATCCCTGAGCTAGACATAAAGGTTCTCCAAGGCCCCACCAGAGCAGCTAGATACAGAGTGTCGATTGGTGCACTTACAAACCTTGAGCTAAACACAGGGTGCTGATTGGCGTGTTTACAATCCCAGAGCTAGATATAGAGACTCTCCACATCCCCACCAGACTCAGGAGCCCAGCTGGCTTCACCCAGTGGATCCCGCACTGCACCGGGGCTGCAGGTGGAGCTGCCTGCCAGTCCCACGCCATGCGCTCGTACTCCTCAGCCCTTGGGTGGTCGATGGGACTCGGCGCCGTGGAGCAGGGGGTGGTATTCGTCCGGGAGGCTCGGGCTGCACAGGAACCCACGGAGGCGGGGGAAGGCTCAGGCATGGCGGGCTGCAGGTCCCGAGCCCTGCCCCGCAGGAAGGCAGCTAAGGCTCGGCGAGAAATCGAGCGCAGTGCTGCTGGGCTGGCACTGCTGGGGGACCCAGTTCACCCTCCTCAGCTGCTGGCCCGGGTGCTAAGCCCCTCACTGCTGGGGGCCAGCAGGGCTGGCCGGCTGCTCTGAGTGCGGGGCCCTCCAAGCCCATGCCCACCCGGAACTCCAGCTGGCCCGCAAGCGCCGCGCGCAGCCCCGGTTCCCGCTCGCGCCTCTCCCTCCACACCTCTCTGCAAGCTGAGGGAGCCGGCTCTGGCCTTGGCCTGCCCAGAAAGGGGCTCCCACAGTGCAGCGGTGGGCTGAAGGGCTCCTCAAGTGCCGCCAAAGTGGGAGCATAGGCAGAGGAGGCGCGGAGAGTGAGCCAGGGCTGTGAGGACTGCCAGCACGCTGTCACCTCTCAGTAGGATCACTGAACTGGTATTGGAAATATGGTGGTGATTTCAGATAACAGTGTCTATGTCTGTTTTCCCCAAAGTTTGGTTCTACGCAAAATCAGAGAACCTTCACCTTTGTGGGCAAAACTTTTCATTCTTCCAGTACATAGGTTGGAAACATGGAACAGCAACAGGAACTAAGAGGGCCTGCCAGACACTGTTTTTGACCAAAATTGTGAGACCCTGACTCACTACAAATAATCTGGCTTTATATATTTTCCCTTATCTTGGTCATACTGGATGTCTCCTAGTACTCTTTAGAGCAGAACATCAGGACTTCATCAGACCTTGTAGACTGAACTGCTCAACTTACAGGAAATTACGTTATAATGATCTCAAAATGATAAAAGAATATTTGATGAAACTCAACACTTATTTCTGATTTTAAAAATTTTATTAAAATTGGAATAGATGGATACTTTCTTAACCCATTAAAAAGAAATTCCGATAAAAATGCATCATTATGCTTAGGATTTGGAACATTCCTATTAGCAATGTCCACTGTCATCACAATTGTTTCATATTTGAGATTCTGGAATTTGGAATTGTCAACCAGTATCATCTGAAAAATGAAAGCCATGTACTAATATTGAAAAGAAGGACAACTTACTCTTTGAAAATATGGTTGTATAATAAATATACAAGAAAATTACTAAAAGTAAATTTCAGCATGATGCTTTCTTATGTTCAAGCAATACCCTATAAAGGGTCTATTTGTAATAGCAATAAAATATATTAGATAGGAATTTATAATAGCAAGTAATATATAAAATAGCTTGGAATAAGCCTAAGCATTTGTATAGGACCCTTTATGAAGACAACTGTAATTAAATGTGATCTCAATCAATACTGATAACACTAATATGACAAAATAGTTCTGAAGTGTAGTGAGATAAATATGTGAGAACAGTTAAAAAAAATTCCAAGGGGAAAAATATTTATGGATTGGGTAAAGGAACTAGCCCGTCATCTCAAATATTGAAATGTTTTATGAAAACCACAGTTGTTAAAATAGTTTAGTACTGACACTGAACTAGATCAGTGAAATTGAATGGAGATTCAGTAAAAAACCCAAATATATAAGTGTACTTAGTATATGTTAAAGTTTGTTTTTCAAATCAGTGAGAGAAAAGATGGATTATTCTACAGCATGTCAGGATAACTGGCTAGTAGTTTGGATAAAGATAAAGCCAATCACTGCTGCACTTTTATACAAGAATAAAATTGTGAATGGACCAAATACACAAATATTAAAAAAAAAAAACTAGAGAAATAAAGAAAACAATAGTGAATTTTCAGTGATTTTGGGATAGGGAGGACCTTTCTAAATGTGACACAAGTTTCAAAAGCCAAATATGTATATATACTTGACTACATAAAAATTAAAATGCTAAAGGTTAACTAAATGACTGAAATTGTTTAGTTTCTTTAGCTAAAAAACATGCTGTGGGGTAAGGGAGTGGATATTTGCTACATATTTGATAAAAGACAAATGTCCTTGAAAATCCAAAGGTTTTTTTTTTATAAATTAATAAAAGATAAGCCCTTAAAAAATATGTAAAGTTATACAAGAAACAATTCATAACACACATAAAAATGGCCAGGATACATGCAAGGATGTTCACTCTTCTTTATGAATGAAGAAATTCAAATTAAAGCAAGATACTATTTTATATTCATAAGACTGGCAAAGATTTAAAATTTACTTATCAGTAATGGCAAGGTTGTGGGGAAATCTCTCATACATTGTGGAAATGTGAATTGACGTGACTTTTTAAGAAGAAATTTAGCAGTAACTGTCAAAATTTTAAATATGCATGTGTTTTAGTCTATCAGGACCACTTAAAATAATTTATCACAGGGGTTACACAAAGATATATGTAAAAGAATGTTGTATCATTGTGTGTAGTGGCAAAAGTTTTGAAAGGGCAGATATATGTTGTGTCAGGCAGCTAGTGTATTATAGTACCACTGATAAAAGTGGAATATCCTAAGTGTTTAAGGATATATGTTGTGTCAGGCAGCTCGTGTATTATAGTACCACTGATAAAAGTGGAATATCCTAAGTGTTTAAGTAAAATTAGATATATGTTTTTGTTTGTTATAGAAAGATATGCAGGGTATGATCAGTAAAAAGGGTACCTTGTATTAAAATATGGATATTTTATTTAAGTAAAAAATATTTTGAAGTTAGAATTAAAGTTTATATCTGCATAGTAAAGGTATTTGAAAGATACATGTTAACATTAGCTGTCTATGGGGCTTGGCACTGGGTGGTTGAAAGGAATAAAGTAGGGGAATTTTCACTTTTTACTTTGTATCCTTCCATAACTGCTTGAATTTTTCCTTTTGTAAAAATAGGAACATGTTTTACTTTTTTACTTTAAACAAACAACAAAAGCAAAACAGTATCAGTTTAGATTTATATCAAAGCATAACTATTATATTACATGGGCCTTTATTTCTCATAATAGAAAATACAAAACCAGGGGCCTTTCCTGCTGGTTAAATAGCACTTGTTTATTTGAGAATATTTAACCAGTAGGCTTTATCCCAATCCAAAAGTACTCAAATTTTTGTTTTAGATCTTATAATTTGGCTAGGTAATGGGACAGATTTTATCACTGTACTTCTGGATTAGCAAATGACATTTGCCACTTAACAAGAGGAGCCACTCCCAGAACCCGAGTCAATGTGAAACTCCCCTCACAATTGCCCTCTGAAATATCATTAAAGCCCTCTTCTCTGCAGTCCCCCAAAATTATAGTTATCCAGTCTTGTATTTAACAAGGTTTGAGATTGCTTTAGCTAAGAACTTCTGTAAAAAGGCTATTTAATGTCACAGTTTGTTCTAACAACTAAACTCCCTTCTGCATTCTGATACACACATGAACCATTTTCAAACCATGGTCTTCCCAAGATAAGGCTTTCCACGTTTAATATGATGAAAGGGCAAGTGGTTATTCTCTCTTTGAAAGTACTCATAAGAATTCTGATGGATAAAACAAAATAATTTCCTCTAACACCAGGCAGACTAACCATACAAAGGCATGTTGCTGACTTCCTTCTGCATCAGTTGGTTGAGACCCGTAGTGTTGCTCTCCATAAGTAATCCTGTATCAGAAAATAGCATATCCCAGAAACAAAGTGTATTTTAGATGTCTGCTTATCAACTCTGGTTGAATGATTTTAAGAACCTAGTTTAAGTTTCCGTAGGGGTAATATGATTACTCAGGATGCATTCGTCTGCAGTATACTTCATGTTATGTAGGTTTTCCCACCTTTTCCAACATTTCTCCAAAAGTTATCCTTCTCCCAGTTTAACTGCTAAAATGCCATTGGTAGGGTCTTTGCACTTCAAGCCATCTTGAGGAAAAGCTTCCTTCTGAGAGTTAGATCATTTGGCAAGGGTCAAGAACAGAAAGCTGTGTTTTTAATCTAAAGGCTAAGGTCAGATTTATTCTTAGATTTCTCTTCAGATTCATCTGTACTTCAATATCTAGTTTCCATAGCAACTGAGATGCAGTTTGCAGGTGGGTAAGAAAAGAGAAATCTTTAGGTGTAAAGAAACTTATTTTTTAACCTAGAGAGAGAAGGTATCAGGCAACACCTTCATAGTTTTTATAGGCTAAAGCCTATATTCTTTTTTCAGGACTTCAATGTTTCACTGATAGGTGTCATTTCCTTTTTCCTGAAGAGGCCATTCAACTCTTCTTGACACAGTCGCAGAAAAGATTGCTGCTTCTGTGTTCTGTTTAATCACAGTCAAACTAATTAACTAACCAATTTAACAAGACAGCTAAAAGAACTTATGTGGAGAAATTATAGTTACTAGTAGAATTATTTCTTTTCAAATGGAATGTCTCTGCCTGATAATAGCCTTTTTTACAGGAAGTAGGTAGTCTCTTGTTCAAGTGTGACTGAAAGAATGTAGAATAGTACTTATGTCTGTGTTCTTAGTCTAACTGAATTTGGGGTGTATACTTGAGACCTGTTGAGTCACTTAGGTGGAGAAATGTTGGAGGGAGAGAAGTGCTATCACAAGTCTGCAACCACTAAAATGATAACATTAAAGAGATGCTCTAAGCACTTAAAGCATTTTCAGAGATGTGTAGCACTTAAAATGGAAAATTTATTTTTTTTAAGTTGTTGAAGCTGGAGGAAGTTTAATGTTTTGTTTTGTTTTAAATTATAGGAACTGCCTTCTGTTGAAGAACTCACTATTATTCTGCCTGAAGATATTGAGTTAAAGCCTCTTGGGATGGTTTCAAGTATTATTGAACAACTAGGTATGTTAAGAATTCTATTAATAAAAATTGTTTCCAAACACACACTAATAATTGAATCAATGACTTTTATGACTAGTAAATTTTCTTTGACATACGTAATTAACACTTTATTTTATAGTCATTAAGTTTGAAGGGATAAAATTCAGTTTTCATATACTAAAATTATATATAAATACAGTTTATTTATAGAAATTTAAATGTCTGCTTTTACTGACATACTTCCTCCGGAATTTCCTTTGATTTGGTTTATTAGTTTTCTAATGTTGCTATACCAAATTACTGCAAACTTAGTGACTTACAGCAGCACAATTTTATCATACAGTTCTCATGTGGGTCTCAGTGGGCTTAAAATCAAAGGTGTTAACAGGGCTGAGTTATTTTCTGTAGGTACTAGGGGAGAATCTTACTTCCTTGCTCTTTTTGGGTTCTAGAGCCTGCCCACATTCCTTGACTTTTGGCTCTCTTTCTTCATCCTGAAGGCCAGTAATGTAACGTCTGTCTCTGAGCCTTCTTCCATTATCTCACCTCACTCTAACCACATGTGGAAAGGTTCTCTGCTTTTAAAGACTTTTTAGATTGAGTTTACCTGCATAATCCAGGATAATCTCCCCTATCTCGTGGTCCTTAACTTTAATCACATCTGCAAAGGCTCTTAAAAATGTAATGTATTTACAGATTCAGGTATTTAGAGTGTGGATATCTCTTGGGGAGCCATTCTGCTCACCACCTTTGATTTTGTCTTAAAAACATGTGAGAAAGTTTTGTAATTTAATACTGTTATTAATGGCATGAAATATGAAGTTGCTGAGTTATAAGAGAACTTAATATTTTAGACTTCTTTAGCCCCAACATGTGAGTTTGTTCTGTGAGATTCTTGTTAATATAGGTACTATTAACTCGTAGTAGGATATGCTGGAGAATAGAACTCAGCACTGACAAAGTAATAGGATTTTGGAACTGTGAAGAGGACCTAGATTGCCCACCAGCCTCCACAGGACCTGAGGAAACAGAAAAATTCAAGTCAGTTGCTCTTAGGACCAGTTGTATAGTGAGTCAGTGGTAGAAATAGGACCTTTTTCTTTTGACTTTTTTCTAACAGTGTCTATATTGATATTTTTAAAAATTAACACTTACATAATTTTGTACTTTTTCAGTTTATTAATAAAAATGTAGATTAAAATGAACCTTCTTTTCAAAAATAATAATTAAAATTCTTTCCGTGATTCTGGAATCATTACATTTACTAGTTTTAGAGTTATGGTATTTAATAATATATATAGATAAATCAAACAGGCAACTAATTTCTTGATTATGTGGTATGATTTAAACATTTATTAGACTTGATGTATACAGAAAAATTTTAGGTCATAATGTTGATCCTCAAAAAAATAAATGTAAACTCTGACGTACATGGAATAATGCATGTCATTTTTGCATTTTTAACAATACTATTTTGACTAACATAGACTGAAAAAATTCTCAACCTAATGGGAATAAAGAGTAAATGGGTCAAAATCAGCACATGCTACTGTTGCAGATTTTTAATAGAGATTTTTAATAGAGACAAGGTCTTGCTACGTTGCCCAGGCTGGTCTCAAACTCCTGGGCTCAAGCCGTCCTTCCTCGCCAGCCTCCCAGAGTGCTGCAGGCGTGAGCCACCGTGCCCAGCCTGAAGTATCCACTGTTAAAATTAATTGAGATACAAAAGAAATTGTTTGAATTAATTTTGATAATCTGAGGTAATATATTTTATTCCCTTAGTTGACATGGTATTATCTATGTAATGTAACAGTGTTCTTACTTGTGGCTCTGATGTTCTAAAAACTTATTGAGAGTGTGTTTGTGTGTGCGTGTGTTTTCTCTTTGTTATGGTAGATCAGTTCTTTAATATTTGTGTCATTTAAAAGAACTGGAGATTTGGAGATTATGTTTTTGCTTTTTGAGGAGGGAATTTTCATGTAATGATAAAAATTACTGTGAGCTCTAGCACTTTTACTTCTTCTGTTCATAGGAAGATGCTTTTGTGAAGCCTTTTATTTAACTTTTTCATATACCAGTAACTAAACAGTGCTTTGTAGAAAAGAATTTTTAAGAGTGAGAAAGAAGACTAATTTCTTCTAAAACAGTTTTACAACTAAACGTGATTACACTATTTTTGGTAAAAATTACTTGAGAATATGTACATAGCTTGAATTTGTTGAATCTTTAATGGATGATTCAGATTTTCTGTGGGATTTGCATTTTAATTTTTTTCCCTTAGAATTATAGCTTTTTGTATTAAAAATAGGTATAAAAACATTTCCCAGTGCTATTTGGTAATAAGTAGACTTTGTTTACTGAAGAGAAAATGGTTAATGAGGTAATAATCCCACCTTCAATTTTTTTTTAAATTATGTTGGAATTAAAGCTTAGATTTTCATTAAAATTCTACATTCTCTTATAAGTAAATCTTGAAGTAATCTATTTTATTTTTCAGTAATAATTGAATCTATGACTAACCTACCTCCAGTTAATGAGGAGACTGTAATTTTTAAAAGTGATCGACAAGCAGCAGGAAAGGTTTGTAAAACATTTCAAATCTTACAAATTATTCTATTTATTTATTGTTTTTTTCTGACTTTCCCCATCAGTTCTCAGAAGAGTTTATTTATTTTAATTGATGGACAATCTAGAGCTCTCTAATTTCAGTACGTTCTTGATTTCCTTTAGTACTTCATATCTGTCTGTAAATTGGTTTAATACTGATTATTACTCTTTGCCACATGAGTTATTAAATACACATATATAGAATTCTTTCCTAGTGTTTGTCAGATAACTTGCTAGGCAGTGAGTCTACGTAATGCATAACACATCGTTTCCTACCGTCCAGATACTCAGCTGAGTGAAGAAGACTTCCCATAGTATAGTAGCTCTTAAGCATTTTTGTTTTGTGAGCTCCTTTGAATAGTGGCTCTCAGACTTTTCAGACTTTGACTTCCTCAGGTGGAAGCTCGGTGTGGAATCTTTTCCAAGTGGAAAAATATTT
Organism: Homo sapiens; assembly: GCF_000001405.40. Lineage (NCBI taxonomy): Eukaryota > Metazoa > Chordata > Mammalia > Primates > Hominidae > Homo > Homo sapiens. The sequence continues at coordinate 163,145,315 of NC_000004.12, read as the reverse complement.
CACTGACAGCAATGAATTGTCACTGTAGGCACATCCTGGGGAATTACAAATATGTGCATTCAAGTAATTACTATAAGATTTGGTCCCTTTTAACATCTTTCTAATGGAACAACCCTGCATGTCCACCTTAATGTAGAAAACTGTGCACTTTACTCAGCAACTAGGCAATTCTGACTGGTTGGCAGAAGACATAAACATTCTAAAATCAAGAATGTAAATACTAAGTAAGTATTTATTTCCTGGCAATAGGGACAGTTTTATTCACCTTGATATTCCCCATTGTATCTAGTACAGTTCTTTGTAAATTATTTGTGCCAAGTAAATGTGTATTGAGTTGAATACAAACAAATAAGAAAGGAGCTATTTGTGATTTTCATGACAGTTGTCTTTTTTTCTTAGTACCTAACTTAGACAATTTTAATCTGAAAATACTCAACACTTTGCTAAATTAAAACCTCTAAACAGACATTTTTTTTGTATTTCCCACTACATTTGAATTTCTAGACCTGTAAATGTGACTAATATTAATATTCAGCTGTCATTTAGATTTGAAAGGAGTCAGATAAAATATAACATTTACACCTCTAACTTTAGTTATATGGCATAAGCCTGTTGGCAAAAATTAAATCTATTTCTAAATTTTACATAGAATGCTTTATAAATGCTTTTGAAAGACTTTGTGACAAGTTTTTAAAAAATACTTGATTATAAATCTAAGTGCCTTGAAATGATTCTCCAAAATAGTAGTGGGAGTAGAGATTAGAAAGTATTTGTTAAACAAACCAATAACCAGAATATGAAACTGAGTACCTTTTAGATTATTAGCATGTCTTATCTAAATACTAAATTAGTTTTACCTTCAGTAGCAAGCCATCGAACATCTTTTCCCTCTTTTCTTCAGTAACACGATAGTAATCAGCTACAGTGATATTTATGTTATCTTTTTAAGTTCACTGAAACCCTGCAAGGAAGTAAAATTACCTCTATTTTAAAACTTGAGAAACCTTGCTAAAAAGTCACAAAGCTGAAATGGATGAGTTTACAGCCCAGGTTCATTTCCCTTCCACCTCCCTTTGCCTTCCCCACTGATTAAGGGAGGACAGTCTCAGATTTTTATTCCTACCTTTGCCCTTTAATCCTAAGAATTGCTAGTTCCCTTGATGAACTAGTGAAATCTGTTTCCTTCTCATATATCAGTGGGTAGGAAATTTTTACTGATTCCTTTTTAAACGATTATATTACTGTCTTGTTTGGTAGGATGTGATGATTTTCTAGAGGACTCTGTATTATATTGATGGAGTGTTGTTCCCCACCCCCTCAGTTCTCATGACATATTTCAAGGTAACTTATGATACAGTAATACACACAGTGATTGAAATGATCAGTTTGCCTAACTAATAGATTAGAATACTCTATTCGTCTGTATTTTCTTCATTTTTGTTGATGGGAATTGAAAAAAGCACAAAGTGATTGATAAAAGACAATGTTGAATAGTTGTAAAGGTTCATTTCCTCATTTCCTTTCTCCTTTGGCAGTTTAGCCCAAAGCTGGCTCACCTAGAGAGACATTGTTTGAAGGCTGTTCCCAGGTGGCAGCATGCAGACCTTGGCCCTTCACAGGCACAGCCTGCCAGCATTGTTCCTAGGCCTGGAGATCCTTGATATATTTATTGTTACTTAGAGAAACTAGGATTTACCTAGTCCCCTCCTAGATAATAGAAAAACTGGGAGTTACCTAGCCCCCTCTAGATAACTTAGTAAGTTTGTGACATGGTATGTGTGTGGAGAGGGGGAGGAGAGTACAGCTCATTCTCCCTTTTGCTGTATTGTCTGTGCACCTCCAGCCTGCTGGCTCAAACAGGCCTTCTACGCCGCTGAAACTTTTGCCATGGTGCACACAGAACATTTAAGCCCAGCCTACGCTGGGATGGAATTTGGGGAACTGCATGCACTCTATATCTTCTCTGCTTGTCAGTTATTTTTCCCAGCAGATCCTACATTATAGCTGTACCACGTTGTTGTTACAGTGTGTGTTAACCTCTGTGTGTGATAGGAATCCTTGGAGATCTTGTAGCAAAAATATAATGACTTTGAGTAAAAAATGGTGAGTATTATCACCTAGAGCCAAGTGAAAGGATACCTAGAAAACCACTTCTCAATGACAGGGCAAGTATAAAGCATCAGTTGGATTAAATTTTTATATGAACACCTACAGAATATATACTAGTTTTAAAGATATAAAGAAAGCTGCTTGCCCACCTCATAGTAAAGGTCTCAGGTGCTACTTTTCCAAATTCAGTTTCTTATACTCTCCTTACAATCTATTACTTCCTTTGCTTTTATCTTGAATCAGGTAGTATGGAAGTTCCAGAATCCCCTAAGTTGGGTGGAATGACCAAGAAGGGATATGGGTGCCTCCTATGGAGCTGTATGAGGAGAAGTGGGCCGGCCTGAGCCTTGCTGTGTCTTAAGTTGCTCTTTACAGTTTAGCTCTCAGGTGTTAGTCAATCTAAACTCTACACTCAGAGGCTAATGGTTATTTAAAATATTGTTAAATTCCTCTTTTCTACTCTGGATTAGCCAAATTGCTTATGTGAACTTGGTCAAGTTTTCCTGTAACATACCTATTAGTATTGGCTCATGCCACATACTGTCTATTGTATGGCTTCCTGTTATCTACTGCCTGTGATGTTGTTTTACTTAAAACTTTATAATGATTTCATTATAGTTGTGGCTCATAAACACTTCAGAACCTAGGAACAGTCAACTAAAATACTATGCTTTGCTTTTGTCCAAGAATTTTGAATGTCACTTATATTTTAGTTCAAACCATACTGCACAGACCTGAAGTTGGCAAGGAATTTTTCCACTGAAATTGTTTTTCACACTTAGGAAATGGATTCATGCTATCTAGGAAACAAATCCCTGGGAAACAGTCTGTGTACCAGGTTGCAAACGATGATTATTTTACCTTGTATTAATGGATACACAGGAAACTTAAAAGATATTTTTAAATCTCTGACCAAATGAAGAATTGGGTTTGTGTATATGTGAGAGAATTAAACTTGTGAATTGTTTTTAAGACAATTTTAAGTGAAAGTAAGACTACAATAATATATGTCATGTAGGCCAGTAAGAGTGGTGCTGAGTGCACCTCTTCTGTCCTTCACAGTTCTTACTGGACGAGGTCTACTGGATTTATCTAAACCTTTTCAAAGCAGATGTCTTGCTATTTTCTTAAAGTTTTTTGCTTTTACACTTTTTTAAAGCTTTAAATTTGTGATGCTATTAGTGTTATTTCATAATACATTGGCATTTTAATAGTTTTTAATGTCACTACTTCTTTTTAGAGTACACATATCTTCAGAATGGTGGTGCCCTGATAGGTGAGCTGTTTTACGCCTTAATGAAAATTAATGAAAGATTCAGTGCTGTACTGAAATCATAAAATGTGAAGAGCATTTACTATCAAAAATCAAGAACTGAGGATGTGATAAAACAGCCATGTTCAATGCAGTTGGTATAAATTGGTCCAAGCTATTTAGAAAGCTATTTAGTAATTTCCATTAAAACTTTTATGCCTTAGTGTTAATTATCGTACTTTCAGCTTCAATACCTCCACTCCTTACAAATCAATTTTTAGGAAGTCTGAAGTATAGTGATTTATATATGTTTATCATGGCATCATGTATTATGTTGAACAAATTGGAAGCTGCCTAAATGTCCTACAATAAGAAAGAAGTTAAGTAAGTTGTCCTGAGTCTGTAAAGGGGTGTTTTATGATAGCTAAAATTATACTTACAAAGAATATAACATGGAACAACTTTAGGTTTTTAAAAGGGGGCAGTATACAAAACTACAGTATGGTCTTAAAGAAAAAAATAACGTATTATAGAAAAAAGACTGGAAAAATCTATACTGGCATTGATCATGGTCTTATCTCTATAATATACATATATTATCTCGCTTTTGTCCCCCAGGCTGTAGTGCGATGGCACAATCTCGGTTCACTGCAACCTCTGCCTCCTGGGTTGAAGTGATTCTCTTGCCTCAGCCCCTGAGTGGCTGGGATTACAGGTGCCTGCCACCACACCCGGCTAATTTTTGTATTTTTAGTAGAGACAGAGTTTCACTATGTTGGCCAGGCTGGTCTTGAACCCCTGACCTCAGGTGATCCGCCCGCCTCACCTCCTAAAGTGCTGGGATTACAGGCGTGAGCCACTGCGCCCAGCCAGAAAATATATTTTTTAATTCACGTATTTTGAGAAGAAAGTACAATTTGAAACCAAGAAGTTTCCTTTCATTATTCTTAAAACGTTTTCAGAAGTAAAATATGTGGTTCTGCTAAAAGCAGTTCTTTTAGTTAAATGTTAAAGGCTGCACCATCTTTGTGTTTTTTAAACATAAATAACTTCTACTTTATTAGTTGTTAAATTAGAAAAAGTCTGTAATTTTACAAAATTCCTAACACTGTGGAAACAGCAAAAGTGATTTAACTCCTATTGAAGTCAGAAGCTTGCTTTTATATTTCCCATCTGATGATTCCAAATGTATACAGTTTTCTCAAAAGTTACCAATTATAATCCTTTTCTGTGTACTTTACAAGTTAAATGAGCAATAATTTAAAAAAATCATAATTTGCATCGAGTTGGTACCATCAAAATGATTTGAATTTGGTGAGGAACAAACTTGTTACTATTGTTTCACATTCATAGAAGGGAAATCTGGAATGAGCGAGTGCATTTTAATCAATATATGAAGACTGAATATGTAAAAATGACATAAATATAACTAAAAAATTATTTTATTGCCCTAACACTGACAAAATTACCTTGTTCTGGCAATTATCAGTGGGATTTTTAAAAGAAAACACTGCTGACTTTTCAAATAGTTATTTTACATGTTAAAAGAGGCCTTTATGTTTCTATTACAGATATTCGAGATATTTGGACCTGTTGCACATCCATTTTATGTGTTACGGTTTAATTCTTCAGATCACATTGAGAGTAAAGGTATTAAAATAAAGGAGACTATGTATTTTGCTCCATCAATGAAAGATTTCACTCAATATATATTCACAGAAAAACTAAAACAGTAAGTACTTTACCGGCATGTTGTTCTTCACTTACCTAACGTTTATATTTTAAGAATAATTCTCAGTGATGTAATTTCTTACAGTTATATTGTGTGTGTCTTGCAAAGAGTTCATTTATCTTCCTAATAATATCTTTGAAGCCTACAATTTATTTTCAGATTTTGTACGTAGAATTCATATCTTTTGTAAAAAATGAGATGATCAGCCATTAAGAGCACATTTGAGCCATGTACACTTTCTGATTCTAGTTCAGTGTTTTTTCCATTATGTACATTCTTTAATGTACTTACTATTTTAGTATTAGTACTAATATTATTATCATTTCTTAATAACTTTTTTTTCAGTTAAGTAAAATTCTCTTTGGATTCTATTTAGGGGCCTTGCTCTTCAATAAAACTTTAAAATAGTTTTCAAGAGAAAAAAAATGAGTGTTATCTCTTTATTTTGCTTATAAATTTTAAGTTTGTAGAAGAGACAACTAACACGTGTCCCTGAAAAATTGTGTAGAAAGTTACGGTGTATGGAGTTGACCTAACCAACAAACCAGTGCTCTCCATTTTGTCTATCAATAATGCTAAGTGATTTCTGTGGCATGTGACCGCAATATTTTTTTATATTTGTGCTCCCATTGGTTGAATATTTTTCAAATGTTAGCTGTTGCCAGCTGTTAGTTGTAGAGCTGTTTGTATCAGCTAAACTTGTTATAATTATGTTATTTAATTTTTTATATCAGCAAATAGCATATGAATTTAAGATTTTTTTTTAATAAAAATAACTTGAATGCTTTCGAATGATGTAATGAATATGAGCCACTAAAAATATTTTCAAATTGGGAGTGGAAGAAAAGACTGCCAAAGACTGGGGGAAGGTTAAATCCAGAAAGACTTTGCACTCAGTTTGACACAGAAGTTCCTTTTAGTTCTAGCTCTTCTTTTATTGGAGACTTAAAACCTAGGCGATACATTTTTATAGATGTTGTTTTTGCAGGAAAACAAAGGAACTTTGGTCACTGAGTAACTTTGGTATTATGTCAAAGGTACCAACCCCAGTTGCATGGCATAAGAAGATTACTTATACCACTTACATGTTAAATCAAGTCTCAAGTCACCAAATTTCATTTATTTCAGAGATGAAAATTTTGATCCTGATAATTGATTTAACTCATGTTTAAGAATCTACATAAAGATCTGGAGGAATATTTTGCCTAAGTTATTCTTCACATTGCATAAGGTTATTTTCTTAAATAACACTGACAAGAAAGATGAATTAAATACACATAAAGTCTTCAAGATATTAATATGTTCTAAAATGCTTTAAATATTTAGCATTTCATCCTGCTTTGAATATAAAGATACTGCTGTGGATATGCCATATATTTAGCTTTTTAACAAATAGAGTATTTTAGCTTAAAACAGATAAATTTGAAGAGGTTTTCTGAAGATGGTTTTTAAATAGATTTTAGATAATAGACTCAGTCTTTGGTTTTGATTTGCAGTTCTTCTATTAAGAAGCAGTAGTAAATCAGTGAATTGGGAAATTAGACCTATATTGCAGAAACCTCCCTCTCCCAGGAAAACTGTTGTATTCTAGACCTCATTTTGGCATCTGTCATGGGAACTTGGTGGAGTACTTTGTCTTTGAGGTAGAGAAGTTCAGCTCCTTTCCAGCTTACTGTTCTCTAATGAGGCTATTTTGATCTTAGTTTCTCATGTACTTACTGTCTTGTTAAAAGTGCCTTTTGAAATGTTGCTTGATCTTTCCTTTAGTAGATTTTGATTTTTTGTAATAGACGCACTAGTTGGGGAATTTTTCCCATTTATGTCTGTGATTCCAGGCTAACAGCAGTCCAGATCATGAGATGTCATATGTGCAGAAAGGAATACCAGAGATATATTTAAGGCCCATGTGTGAAATGACAATTGAGGAAATGCTTTTTTCTTTTAAGTGATGGAAAAGCCATTGATAATGGCTCATATATAATGTCAAAGTTCCGAATCAAAAATTTAAAGCAAACTTAATAACTTTCATGTTGTGCCAGCAAACTGACATCTGTACATTGATTTTAATGGCCTTAATTCCTGGGAATCTCATTTATTTTTGAGATCTAGTTTAAAACAATAAGGACATCTAGTCCTAATACTTTGTAATATTTTACTTTGTGATATTTTAACATAATGGAATAACAAAATAGTAGCTGAAACTATGAAATTAACAAAATTAAAAAGATTAAAAATGAGCTTTCACAAATTATACTGCTCATAATAGATATCTGTACTTTTGTTGGATGTAAAGTGTAAAACTCTCCACCAAAAGTTGTTGATTTTCAGCTGCAATTACACATTTCACACATGCCAGTCATTATATTGTCCTTCAGAATCTTTAAAGCAGCTTCTCTTCCTCTTCCTCCAACTATTCATAGTTAGCCTTTGTTTGACCCTCACTGCTTTGAGAATCAGTGTTGGAATAAGCCTTGGTTACTCATAGAGGATTGCTGACATTCCTCAGGTAAACTGAGGAGAAAATAATTCATATTGATATCTCTGCCATTAAACCTGTAAAATCTGTGAAAAGGGAATGCCTCATAGTCATTTTTATGTCCTTCGCACATGGAACAACTTCTGATCTACAGTTGGCGTGAAATAAGCATTTTTTTTAAACTGAGTTTTGTGAAAACTGCAAATATTATGAAAACAAAAATCAAAAGAGCTGTCCATCTGCTTTCCACTGCACACCATAGCCTTGGCTTCTCATTCCAGTTCCCTAATCCTAATATTTCTACTTGCTCAACTTTTGTGTTTTTCTTAGGAGCTTCCCACATCTTTTGAAATAAGGTAAAAGACACATAACTGTATTGCAAAATTAAAGGTTGAACTCATGTCCTTTACTTTATTATTTTCTGTACTTTTAAGTTATGAGCACTTAATAGAATTGTGATGAATACTTTTTTGACTCCCATCCCCACCCCACTCAGGGATAAGGGATCAGATGCATCATGGAAGAATGATCAGGAACCACCACCAGAGGTAAGTATAAGTCTTTTTATGCAACATTTTATAAAGTAGGGCAGGACTTAATCTTATAAATTTTATCATTCTTGCTGTTAGGGAAGTCATTAATACTGGCTAGCAGCCATACTGCCTTATCCTGTCCTAGCGCATGTATTCTCTCACCGTCCTAGATGACTATTTCATACCTTTCAGTGAAAGGTTTTGATTGATCATTTAGGAAAAAAACTTTTTTCAGTTACATTTAGTTGTATTTTAATAATTATCACCTTATCATTTACATTGTAGTTTACTATTTTTGTCAACTTTGTTGATGTCTGATAAAGGCAGGCTGTCATTATTTTTTAAAAATTTAATTGAGTTTAGTAAATACACCATATGGGACATGAAGACATGGTGCTTTTAATAGCTGTCCTTCTTTTGGAAGTACAGAATCATTGGAAGCACAAGATCATTGGAAGCTACCTACCTCTCTACTTTTTACGATATAACTACCTTTCTAAAAAGAGACCTTGATTTTCTTTTTGTATCTATGTCAGCAAAACAATAGTTTTATGCCCCAAGGTGACTTGATAATCTAGTCTTCCTAGAGATGTGAAGTAAATTTAGGAATAATATGTAAATAAGTTAATGATTTAATAGGATTACTTGGTTAACATTCCATGAAAGTGTTTAAGCAGATTATCTTGAGGGGTTTTTTTTTTGAATTACAACAATGAATATATTCATTTCTTAAAAATAGCATGTATTTATACAGTATAAAATAAAAATGTATATAAATATTTTTATAAGTAAAAATTATACATGAGAGTTTTTAAAGCTTGCTCAGCAGTTCTTATGAAGTTTTCTCAGTATTACAGTTTTTTTTTTGTTTTTTTTTTTTTTAACAAATATAGACATGGGGGTCTCAGTGTGTTGCCCAGGCTGGTCTCAAGCTCTTGGCCTCAAGTGATTCTCCAGCCCTCAAGCAAGCTTCTGCCTTGGCTCCCCAAAGTGCTGGGATTACAGGCATGAGCCCCTTGCCCAGCCAGTATTACAGATTTTTGATACTTACCGATTTAACCTTGGCCATTTTAGATGTTTAAAGCAATCGTAAATCATGATCTGTGTTTCTAATTTTACTGAGGTATGAATCAGGTTTATGCCCACTTGGAGGGTTCTATACAGGTATGAATCACTTAACCAGTGAATGATCCTTGCTTAGTATCTGAATTGAAATGGAATTATGTTTTCTAATTAATGTTATGTATTTATGTGATTTCAGTTAAGGCTCTGAATATTCACTTAATGTTCTGAATTAAGTTTTAGAGTATCTATAGCATCTTATTACTGGAATTACATGTTTTAAACGTGTTTAGAGATTCATAAACATCTCAAATCATATTTCTTTTAAAATCCAGATATTCTTTTTTTCTTTTTTTGGGTAGGGGATGGAGTTTTGCTCTTTCTGCCCAGGCTGCAATGCAGTGGCACGGTCTCAGCTCACCGCAAACTCTGCCTCCGGGTTCAAGCAATTCTCCTGCCTCAGCCTCCTGAGTAGCTGAGATTACAGGCGCATGCCACCACGCCCAGCTAATTTTGTATTTTTATTAGAGACGGGGTTTCACAATGTTGTCCAGGCTAGTCTTGAACTCCTGACCTCCAGTAATCCACCCCTCTCTGCCTCTCAAAGTGCTGAGATTTCAGGCGTGAGCCACCGCACCTGGCCAAAATCCAGATATTCTAATGAATCCCTCTTGTTTCGGACCTAAGCATTGAAGTTACCAATTACAACAATGCGAGTTATTTGTAAAATTGGTTTGACTAGGTTAATTGCAAAATTACATCTCACCTAGTTCATGGTGTTTGTTTTTTCCAGGTAGCTTGAACTGGATCATTAAGTATCTTGGGATTTAATTTTGTAATATTTGTTGGTGAAACTTTGTAGTCTAGAATTATTGCCTGGTATTGATCATAGATTAAAATTAGAAATTTGTGAGGTTTAAACTTAAAAAGAGAAAAAGGAGAAACATTGCGTGATGTGAAAATAGAAAGCTTGCATAAAGGAAAATAAGAGAAATTATGTGCTATGAAATGTTGGGCTGCATAAAGGACCTAAAAATTACCTACGGTTGTATCATGTTCATCTTCATAGCCATTTTTAATATGCCACCGTATACTTTATGGTTGAATAAATGTATTTAATGAATGGAAATTTGAATTAATTTGCATATAAGAAACATGAATTTTTCTCTGATTTTAGGAGTGATAGCAAAATACTACCAGAGTAATCTCTCTGAAATAAACTATTCCCAATTAAAATCCTTACTTCCTCCCTCCTGCTCTTAAGATGATGTTCAATTATTTAAAATGGCACAATAAGGTTCTTTGTAAGCTTCTCCAATTTTATTTTTTCTGGTTTTGCCATGTAAGAAGCAGCAGCTTTCACTTTGCCTTTCAGAACCATTTTTCTTTTTTGTATATACTGTTCTATCATGCCTCTGTGTGTATTGTTCACATTTTCTGAAAATTCCCTTTATTTTCATAGCTAACTCATTCAGGTATTTCTGTTGGGTTATCCATACCAAGAAGTCTATCTTTTCCTTTTTTCTCTTTATCCAGCACTATAATAACATAGCATTAAGTCGTAGCACTTGTTCATTGTACATTTAATCTGTTTTCTCAGAAAAAGGAGTCTTCTATCTGATCTCCATACTTTCTAGTGTCTTTCAGATACCAGATTTAACCTGAGTTTTAAAATCTTATCGTATTAAGATCAGTAATAAGAAATTATGCATTGGAAGGCATACAATTAGTTCATGTTTTCAAATTAGATTTCAGAATCTGAAGTGTATGGATTCCTGGTTCATGGAGGATTTGATCTAGAATGTATTCCAGTGAAGCCATACTGAAAATTACATACAAAGACTTTCATATACATTTTATTTCTTCTTTTTAAATGTGTATCCATCCATATATGGTGGGCCTGCTTTCATATATTTTTTGTATGAAACATAATAGACGTTTTCTGGCATTAATAGAATAATAAATTAATAGAATAATTAATAGAATAATAAAATGCCTGAACTATAGATGACAGTCATAATATATATAGCTCATAATCTTGGTTTTCTTGGTGGACTATAACAATGAATCCTAATAATTAGTTAATGTGAGTTTTACCACCTTTAATTTTTAAATAATTTCCTCTTAGGAGTTGGATCATTCATGTATCTGCTTATAAAAGCCTTTGCCATGTTGATCAGGCTGGCCTCAAACTAAAAATACAAAAATTAGTTGGGCATGGTGGCGTGCGCCTGTAATCCCAGCTACTCAGGAGGCTAAGGCAGGAGAATCGCTTGAACTTGGGAGGCAGAGGTTGCAGTGAGCTGAGATTGCACCACTGCACACACACACACAAAAAAGCTTTTGCCTATGGTTTTATCTAAATAGCTTCCCCATGATTTGTATACCCTTATTTTGCCTTATTTATTTATAACTCTTGCTCTGTACCTAAAATTATATTTAAAAAATAAGATGGTAAACCTGTAAAGAATGAACCTGTGAAATGTTTAGAACAGTGCTTGGGTGTGTATTTTGAATGAATGAATTATGGAACATTGTCTTCTGTTTTTTATTGGCTCTGATAATATATATAATTTGCTTAGTCCTTGATACTCTTACCTTTGGCACCCTTTTGCATCTGATACTATGATGAATTTTAAGTCTAAACTGGAAGTCAGACTCATATCTGAAGGCTGATTACTGGCCTGTGTTAATTAAAGTCATTAAGCATTTATCAAAAAATGCTTTATTTTTATACCATGTCTAATTCAGATATAGAAAATATTAAGTATCAAAAAGACAACTTTTTTTAGAGTCATTGATGCATAATAGGCTTATTTTCTTCACCTCCAAGTATGTACTATTGAATTGGCAAATTCATGTAACATAAACCTATTATATACTTTTCTCTGCAAGGCCTTAGATTTTAGTGATGATGAAAAAGAGAAGGAAGCCAAACAGAGGAAAAAATCTCAGATTCAAGGCCGGAAAAAACTCAAATCTGAATTTAATGAGCCTGGTGAGTGAATACAATATATATACTCGTTCTTTATCTTCATTTACATCTATATAAGTTTATCAATAATAAAACTGAAGGAAACATCTGGGTTCTCTCTGTTTACCTCCTAGCATCCTGCTAACATTTAGAGCCATTACATAGCAGGAGGTGTGGTAGTTTTATGAGCTTAAGCAGTAAAAATGGCTTCCTGGGGTAACAGAGAGACTAAACCTTGTTACTCGTGCTTGTCAGCACTTTTTTCTTAAGATACCTATTTGCTTCCATTTTTAGGATTTTATGATCAAGTACTTGATGAACCCCTAAATCACAGTGTCTTATTTTTAAACATGCATTCCCTTTACCTTTTTTGAAAATTAAACTTTCTGAGATAACCATAGATTCACATACAGTTGTAAAAATAATAGGAGAGGTGCTGTATGCCCTTTATTCAGTTTCCCCCAGTTGCAACATCTTGCATAACTATATATGGAACACTGTCCCAGCCAGGATATTGACAGTTATACAATGAAGCTATACAACATTTCCATCACCAGAGAGCTACCCAGTTGCCTCTTTATAGTCACAGCCACGTCCTTACCTCTCAGCCCCTCCTTCACTCATGGCAACCATTAATGTGTTCTCCATTTTCATATATTTTGTCATATCCAGAAAGTTATATAAGTGAAGTTATACACTGTAGTACGATTAGGGAAAGGCTTTTGCCACTGAGCGTAGTATCTGTGCATCCACCCACATTATTGCATGTATCAATAATAGTTTGTTCCTCTTCATTACAGAGTAACATTTCATGGCATGAATTTACCAGATTACCTAACCATTCATCCATTGAAGGACATCTAGGTTGTTTCCATTTTGGGGTTATTAGGAATAAAGCAGCTATAAATATTTATATACAGGTTTTTTGTGAAAAGAGGTTTTCATTTTTCTGGAATAAATGCCCAAGAGTATAATTGCTTGGTTGTATAATAGTTGCATTACATGTTTAGTTTCCTAAGAAACTACCATACTGTTCTTCAGCATGGCTATACCATTTTACATTTTTATCAGCGATGTATGAGTGACAATTTCTTTGCATTTTCTCCAGCATTTGGTGTTATCACTGTTTTTAATTTTGGCCATTCTGCTAGGTTTGTAGTGCTAATATAATTGTGGTTTTAATTTGCATTTTCCTAATGGCTAATGGCATTGAACATCTTTCCATGTGTTCATTTACTATCGGTATCTTCAGTGATATGTCAGTTCATTATCTTTTGCCAACTTTTAAATTGTATTGCTGGATTTTTACTGTCGAGTTACGAGAATTTAAAAATGTATATTTTAGATACTAGCTTTCTGTCAAATATTTGGTTCGTTCATGATTTGTTCTAGTCTGTAGTCTTTTCCTTCTTTTAAGATGGCCTTTTGCAATACTAAAGTTTTTAGTTTTGAGGAAAACTAATTTATCAATTTTGTTTATGGAATCTGAGAACTTCCTGCTTAGCTTTAGATCCTAATGATTTTCTTCTATTTTTTCCCTAAAAGTTTTGTAGTCTTCTGTTTTAAATTGTACACTTGTGATTCATTTTGAGTTAAATTTTGTATAGAATGTGAGGTTAGTCTTAAAATTGCGTGGAGTGATAACTCCTACTTTATTTCTCTTTTTCAAAATTATAATCGGTATTCTAGGTCCTTTACCTTTCAGTATAAATTTTAGAATCTTCTCTACATCAACAAATGTCTTGCTGAGGTTTTTTTGTTTTTGTTTTTGTTTTTGTCTGTTTTTTGAGATATTCTTGCTCTGTTGCCCAGGCTAGAATGCAGTGGTACAATCATAGCTCACTGTAACCTTGAACTTCTGAGCTTTTTTCTTTCATTCTCCTGATAGTATCTTTCGTGGAGCAGAAATTGTTAAGTTTAATGAAATTCAGCATATTGATTATTTCTTTCATGGGTCATGCCTTTGATGTCCTATCTAAGAAGTCATTATCTAAAAAGTCATTATTGGCCGAGCGCAGTGGCCCAATGCCTGTAATCCCAGCACTTTGGGAGGCCGAGGCAGGCAGATCAGGAAGTCAGGAGTTCAAGACCAGCCTGGTCAACATGGTGAAACCCCATCTCTACTAAAAATACAAAAATTAGCTGGGCATGGTGGCGCATTCCTACTTGGGAGGCTGAGGCAGGAGAATTGCGTCAGCTGGGACCCGGGCAGCGGAGGTTGCAGTGAGCTGAGATCGTGCCACTGCACTCCAGCCAGGGCTACAGAGCGAGACTCCGTCTCTAAAAAAAGAGTCATTATCAACCCAAGGTTGTCTAAATTTTCTTCTATGTTATCTTTTAGGAATTTTGTAATTCTGCATTTTACATTGAGGTCTGTGGTCCATTTTGAATTAATTCTTGTGAACGGTGTAAGGTTATTGTCTAGATTTATTCTTTTTGCATGTGGATGTCCAGGTGTTCCAGCCCCATTTGTTGAAAACACTACTTATGCTCTGTTGTATTGCTTTTGCTCCTTCGTTAAATATCCGTTTATTATGTTTATGTGGGTCTATTTTTGTATGTTTATGTGGGTCTATTTTTGTACCTTCTATTTTGTCCCATTGATTTATTTGTGTGTCCTTTCACCAGTACCACACTGCTGTGATTACTTAAACTTTATAATACGTCTTGAAGTTGGGTAGTTTCCGTCCTCCAGCTTTGTTCTTCTCCTTCAATATTGTTCCATTGAGTTTTTAATTTTGGTTATTGTAATGTTCAGTTCTAAAATTGCAATTTGTTCTTTATTTTATATCTTCTTTTTTTCCTAAAACTTTGTAATTTTAATTTTTTAGAATGTTCATAATATCTTGTTGAAGCATTTTTATGACTGCTTTAATACCTTTCATAATTCTAACATCTTTGTGACACCCTTGCTTGATTTATTTTTTTCATTGAATTTGAAGTCTTCCTGGTTCTTTTTGTGATGAGCAATTTTCTTTTATTGCAACCTGGGTATATTGAGTATTATATTACAAGACCATGGATCTTATGTAAATCTTCTGATTTAGCTGGGTTTGTTGTGATTGTTTCTTTGTCTTTTTAAAAATGCTACTCTGGCAGCGAAAGGAACAGGGTAGATTGAAGTCTAGGTATTCCTCTTAGCCTCTGTTGACACCTTTGGCCAAGGGGTGCCTTGTTACTGCTGGATGAGGGTAGAAGTTCTGACATCCCACGAGGTCTTATGCCTGGTAGGGACAGGAGTACTTTGTCACTCCTCCCCATATGGTATGCACTGACACCAGTGGAGGATGGCCTTGTTATCACTGGTTGGGGACAAAAATCCTAACTCTACTCCATCTTCTCTGACATTGCCCCAGTGTAAAAGAGGGAAGAACACTGGGTTGCCGCCAGTGGAGGTGGAAGTTCAGGTTCCCCATGTGATGTTCATTGTTTGCAGGGAGGCTTGTTACTGGCACCCTGTTCAGCCTGTTCCTGATGCTACTGTGGTGGAAGGGTTGGAGTACCTCATTACTGCCTGTCAAGGATAGAAGTCTAGGATCTGTACTCAGCCTTTGAGAGTGTGTAGGGATGGTGCCACATTTTCTTCTGTGGTGTTTGGCTAGAGTAGAATGGTTATCATCTAAGTGTTTTCTGACTTGCTGGGTTCTCTTTCTTTGGCATTAAGTTTTGTCTTTTCAGTTCATTTCAAATTTACCATTTTATGTCTTACACTTTTTTAACTGCCACAAGATATACTGGATAATAAAAATCATAATTGAAATTTCAAACAATGCTTTTTGATATATTAAACTTATTTTCCTTTTTATGTTTTCCCTCCCCTCACTCAAAGGTGAAGATTTTACTGAAGTACATCAGAATTGGAATGCTCATAGCTCTGCTTCAGAGCATGCAAAAGGATATCGTAACAGAGAATTCACACGAGGATTTTCCAGGGCCAGATACCCTCGATCTTGCCATGGCAGGCCTCCACCTCAGCATTTCTATAACTCAGAACATATGGTATCTCAGGAGACTTCAGGATTTCCTTCTCAGAGACAAAATAATCCCATTATGCCACAATACCCCTTTCCTCTTCCAGTGTTTGACATGCATAATTTTCCCCTCCGCCCTCCACCCCCACCACCACCCCCACCTGTAAACATGGGTTGGGCTACACCAAACATGGCTGCTCATCCATTACTTAACTTACCATACTCCCTACCCCCACCCCCTCCCCCTCCACCACTGCCTCCTCCACCCTCTTCTGGAGATAGTAATTCTCATTTTGGACCTTACTATTAGGTGACTATGCATTTCCAGAGAAATGTGGACTTTTCATATTATGTGGTAAGGATTTTTTTTTTTCAAGAGTGATTATGGAGCTAGATTTTTAAAAACACTGTAAAATACTAAATGATTCCTTCTGTTGTAAGTTGATATATATTTGTAACCTTTGTGAAATTGTATTCATATGAAAATGTCAGCTCAAATTCTTGGGAGAACATTAAATTATGTAATATTTAATTAAAATTTTGAATTCATGCCTTCTCCCTCCCAACCCCACCCAGTTAAACTATATATATATATATATAGTAATGGATATGGGACAAGTTTCATCATGGGTAAAATATATGGAGCACATTGATTTTCTTGCTATAATCTGAATATAAGATGAAGTCCTTTTGAGAGTCTTTAAACTATTTTTATAAATTTATACTTTGGAAATCAATTTTAATTATAAATGTAATTTGTGAGTAAGTTTAAATGACCATAATTTTTCTTTTTAAAGCAGTTGAGGGATATAGAGGAGAAAATTCTTATATATTGGTAGAAGCTCTGATTATAGCTAAAGTAAAAAATATTTATTATGCATAGGCAAGCTTCCATTATCTGTGCAAAATAATTCCTTTATTTGGGCACTGTTCAGAAGGCTTTACTATTTAACCTCCTAAAAGGGATGCAAAGATTATTCACAATAAGATCTATTTAGGGATTTTGTCTTCCATATTTGTTTTCCAGATCCTCACATGCAGACTAGGTTCCATAAATAACAAATAGTTATTGAATATCTGAATTAAGAGTTTTTAATTAAATGAGTAATGACTACTGCTTTATATTATGAAGTGTCAATGTAAGGGAAATTATGAGTTTTAGAACTAGAAGAGACCATTGAAATACTCCAGTTTTCATTTAGTAAATGAGGAGCCTAAGTGTTCCAAAGAGGTTAAAATAATTTAACTAAGATCACTCAGCTAGTGAGTTGACAAGGAGTTGAACCTAGTTCTTCTGGTTTTCTTATTAGCAGTTTCCACTAAGTAGATGTTTCCCAATCTTACATTCCTTTACACACTTAGGAAACAGTATTTGTATGGCACATTGGAGTAATCTGGAGACCACTTAGCACAAGCCCATGCGCTCTGGTTGCACTAAGGCCCCACTTTTCTTCCCCATGAGCTGAGGGGACTCTTTGCAGCATTCCTAGTACACAAGTTGAGAGGCTCTGCCTTGGTATACCTTAACTTTATCATATGAGTACTTTCTTCATTATTTTTAAAAATATTTTTGCAACTTCTCTTTAGAAGTTACCTTCACAGGTTATAGCACAGTCTTTTTATGATTGTTAGAATATTGTAAGAGTTCATGAGATTATATCTAAAAGCACTAAAAGAAAAACCCAAATCCTTTTCCACAAGAATGGGAACAGTAACATGTTATTATTAGTCATCAAGCTGTTCTGATCATCATGGCATTTAAAAACCTGTCCATTTCGGCCGGGTGCAGTGGCTCATGCCTGTAATCCCAGCGCTTTGGGAGGCTGAGGTGGGTGGATCACCTGAGGTCAGGAGTTCGAGACCAGCCTGGCCAACATAACGAAAC
This sequence comes from Homo sapiens, assembly GCF_000001405.40. Classification (NCBI taxonomy): domain Eukaryota; kingdom Metazoa; phylum Chordata; class Mammalia; order Primates; family Hominidae; genus Homo; species Homo sapiens. The sequence goes on along the minus strand of NC_000004.12, from coordinate 163,127,321 downwards.
CCTGCCTCTAGTAAAAATACAAAAATTAGCCGAGCGTGGTGGCACGTGCCTGTAATCCCAGCTACTCGGGAGGCTGAGGCAGGAGAATTATTTGAACCTGGGAGGCAGAGGTTGCAATGAGCTGAGATCACACCATTGCACTCCAGCCTGGGTGGCAGAGCAAGACTCCATCTCAAAGTAAAAATCTGTCCATTTCTTTACCCCAGGTACAGGTATATCTCACAGATATTGTGGCCTCGGATCCAGACCATTGCAGTCAAGTGAGTCACACAAACTTTTTGGTTTCCAAATGCATATAAAAGTTACGTTTACATGCTACTTTAGTTTATTAAGTATGCAATAGCATTGTGTCTAAAAAAACCAATGTGCATATCTCAATTGGAGAATACTTTACTGTTCAAAAAATAATAATGACCCTTTGAGCCTGCAGTGAGTTACAGTCTTTTAGCTGTTGGAAGGTCTGGACTCAAGTGCTGTTGGCCGCTGACTAATCAGGGTAGTTGTTGCTAAAAGTGGCAGTTTCTCCTAATAGATAGCAGTGAAGTGTGCTACATTAATTGGCTCTTCCTTTCACCAAAGATTTCTGTGTAGCATGTGATGCTACTTGATAGCATTTTATTCTCTGTAAAACTTTGAAATTTGGGATCAAGTCCTCTCAAACCCTGCCACTGCCTTATCAACTAAGAAGGTAGCATTCTAAGTCCTTTGTTATCATTTCAACAGTGTTCATAGCGTCTTCACCATGAGTAGCTTTTACTTGAGAAACCTCATTTTTGCTTATGCATAAGAAGTAACTCCTCATCTGTTCAAGTTTTTTCGTGAGATTGCAGCAATTCAGTCACATCTTTAGGTTCCACTTCTAATTCTAGTTCTCTTCCTATTTCTACCACATATTCAGTTATTTCCTCCAGTGAAGTCTTAAACACCTCAAAATTATTAATGAGGGTTGGAATCAACTTCTCCCAAACTCCTGTTAATATTGGTATTTTGACCCCCCTCATAAATCATCAATGTTCTTAATGACATCTTAAATGGTGAATCCTTTCCAGAAGGTTTCCAGTTTACTTTGCCCAAATCCATCAGAGGAATCACTGTGACAGCTATAGCCTTGCAAAAAATATTCTTGCATAATAAGACTTGAAAGTCAAAACTATTCCTTGATCCATGGGCTATGGAATGGATGTGTTAGCAGGCATTAAAAAAATTCAACTCCTTGTACATCTCCATTGGAGTTCTTGGGTGACCAGGTACATTGTTAATGATCAGTAGCATTTCAAAAGAAATCTTTTACTGAATGGTGGACTTAACGTCTTCAGTAAACCATGATTTTAAAAGATGTGCTGTCATCCAGGCATAGTTTTTCTATCTATAGAGTCTATAGAGCACAGGCAGAGTACATTTAGCAAAATTCTTAAGGACCCTAGGATTTTTGGAATTGTAAATGAGCATTGGCTTCAACTTTAAGTCACCAGCTGCAGTACCCCTAACAAGATAGCCTGTCCTTTGAAGCTTGGAAGCCAGGCATTGATTCCCGTTCTACAGCTATGAAAATCCTAGATGGCATCTTCTTTGAATATAAGGCTATTTTATGTACACTGAAAATCTGTTGTTTAGTGTTTAGTGCATCCATCTTATCTAGATCTTCTGGATAACTTACAGCTTCATCTTGCACTTTTATGTTATGGAGATGGCTTCTTTCCTTAAACCTCATGAGCCAACCTCTGCTACCTTCCCACTGCAGTTTCCCACTGCAGTTTCCCTCTGCGGTTTCTCTCAGCCTTCGTAGAATCGAAGAGAGTTAGGGCCCGCTCTGGATTAGGCTTTGGCTTAAGGGAATGTTGTAACTGGTTTGATCTTTTATCCAGACCATTTAAACTTACTCCATATCTGCTGTAAAGCTGTTTTGCTTTCTTATTCCTGTGTTCACTGGAGTAGTACTTTTAGTTTCTTTTAAGAACTTTTTCTTTGCATTCGCAACTTGGCTGTTTGGCACAAGAGGCCTAGCTTTTAGTTTGCCTCAGCTGTCAACATGCTGTCCTCAATAAGCTTAATCATTTCTAACTTTTGATGTAAAGTGAGAGATGTACAACTCTTCCTTTCACTTGAATACTTAGAGGTCATTATACGGCTAGTGATTGGTTTAATTTCAGTGTTGCTGTTTCACGAAATAGGAAGGCCTGAGGAGAGAGAAAAGGAAACAGCAGATGTGTGGAGCAGTCAGAACATACACATGTATCCATTAAGTTCACTATATTATATGGGCATAGTTCATGGTGCCTCCAAAACAATAGTAACATCAAAGATCACTGATTGAGATCGCTATAACACAAATAACAGTTAAGAAAAAGTTCAGAATATTGGGAGAATTACCAGAATGCGACAGAATACATGAAGTGAGCATATGCTGTTGGGAAAATGGAGTTGATACACTTGCTAGGTGTGGGATTGCTACAAACCTTCGATTTGTAAAAAATGCAATATATATGAAGTATAGTACAATGAAGTACAATAAAACAGTGTATGCCTGTAGTATTATCTGACTGGATGTTTACTATCTACAGAAACATCTGAATTATACCATTTGATCTTTGCTTTAAATTAAGTTGGTGTCTTAACCACTTAGGTCTGGTTGCCTTCCTCTCTATACAAATTGGCCCTCTATGTCTGTGGGTTCTGCATCTGTGGGTTCAACCAATTGTGGATCGAAAACATATAGAAAAAATAAAATGTGTGGTTGCACCTGTACTGAACATGGTAGACTTTTTTTTTCTTGTAATTATTCCCTAAACAATAAAGTATAACTATTTATATAAGGTTTACGTTGTATTAGGCATTATAAATAATCTAAAGAAATTGTTTAAAGTATTGGGAAGTGATTAAGTCATGAGGGCTCTGCACTTATGTATGGATTAGTGCCTTATAAAAGGGGCTGGAAGGAACTGGCTTAGATCCATTTTGCTCTTCAGTCTCATCCACCATGTGAAGAAGACTCAGTATTCCTCCCTCTGGAGGATGTGGCAACAGGGTGCCATCTTGTAAGCAGAGAGCAACCATCACCGGACACTAAACCTGCTAATGCCTTCATCTTGACTTCCCAGCATCCAGAACTGTAAGGCGTACTTATTTATTTTAGAGACAGGGTCTTGCTATGTTGTCTTAGCTGCCCTCGGACACCTGGCCTCAAGCAATCCCTTTGTCTCAGCCTTTTGAGTAGCTGAGATTACAGGCGCAAGCCACCATGCCCAGCATAAATTTCTATTGTTTTTATAAATTACTCAGCCTGTGGTATTTTGTTACAGCAGCACAAAAGGACTAAGTCACCAACTGTCTCTTATTGGGGAGAGAGAAATAATGCAGTTGTCATTATCCTCACCTTAATCTTACAGTGCTTCTTTAAAATTGTGTCCCTAGATCTTTAAACTGATGTAAAGGCAAATACTTAAAATGTTCCACTCACACAGTTTCTCACTTTCTATGGAGAATTCTTTATATTAGCCTTTTACTATATAATAAGGTAGGCTGACATTCACATGATTGTGTATGGATAACCCCTTTGCATGTCTACAGTTGCAAATATAGAATGAAATTAAAATCATTGCCTAAGCTAATATATTTGTTTTATTAAGGTGAGTAGCTGTAGGCCGGGTAGGGTGGTTCATGCCTGTAATCCCAACACTTTGGGAGGCTGAGGCAGGAGGATTGCTAGAGCCCAGGAGTTCAAGACCACCAACCTGGGCAACATGGTGAAACCTTGTCTACAAAAAATACAAAAATTAGCCGAGCATGGTTACGCATGCCTGTAGTCTCAGCTACTCAAGTGGCTGAGGCAGGAAGATCACTTGAACCCAGGAGGTTGAGGCTCCAATGAGCTATGATCACACCATGGTAATTGGGTGACTTGTTTACTTATTAGAAATAGATAATTGAAATAACTGGGTTGAGACTGTGCTACAGTTTGGACCTTTGTCCCCTCCAAATCTTGTGTTGAAATGTGATCCTCGTGGAGGTGTTTCGGTCATGGGATGGAACCCTTATGAATGGTTTGGTGCTGTCCCCATGGTAATGTGTGAGTTCTCACTCTGTTAGTTCACACAAGAGCTGTTGTTTAAAAGAGCATGGCACCTCTCTTGCTCACACTCACCGTGTGACATAACTGCTCCCACTTCACCTTCCCTGTGATTGAAAGCTTCCTGAGGCTCTAACCAGAGGCAGATGTTGGTGTCATGTTCCTTTTACAACCTGTAGAACTGTGAGCTAAATAAACCTCTTTTCTTAATAAATTACTCAGCTTCAGGCATTTCTTTATAGCAATATAAAACAGACTATTACAGACTGTCTAGGGGAAACCTGGAATAGAGTGCAGTTTCATAACTTACCAAAGGACATGTTCTGTTTTGTGCTTTTTTATCAGAATATCACAGACTGGGTAATGTATAATGAACAGAAATTTATTGGCTCACACTTCTGGAGTCTGGGAAGTCCAATATCAAGGCATGGCATCTTGTGAAGGCCTTCTTGCTATGTCATCACATGGTGAAGGCAGGAGGGTAAGAGAGGACAGGAGTGGCTGAACTCACCCTTATAATGGTAGAAGTCCCCCAGTGAGGGGGGAGCCCTCATGGTCTACTCACCTGTTAAAGGTCCCATCTCTTAATACTGTTACAGTGGCAACTAAATTGCAACATGAGTTTTGGAGGGGACAGACAGTCAAACTATAGTAGGATACTTCTTAAAAGCCATGTAGTTAAGTCATATAAATTCCAAAATGTATCAGTTTCTTCTGTGTAGGTAAGTGACTAGTAATAGAAACTAAATTATTAATATGTACTAGTGGGACATAGGGAAGATGTAAGTAATTACCATGGTGCCTGTGTACAGGTCTCCATTGTTTTGGGGCAATGAATATCGAATGCTTTCTCATTCTTTTCCTCTTTTCCCACCAAATTGTGATTTGTCACTCCTCTCCACTTCTTTTTGTTCTGCATTTTTTGTTGATTGTTTAGAGCTGGTGAACAGCAACTATATTTAAAAAAAATTGAGGCCAATTTGGTAAAGAAATGAGAATCTGAATTCCAGTTTGCTATAATTTTAAGCTATTTATTAAATATAAAGAAGTGGTATTTAAAATTCTCAGGTATTGGAAATCTTACTGTATGTTTTAAGGAACAGTTTCTTAAAGTCCTAATCATTGAATTAGGGAGACATAGAGTCTCAAATATAATGTGTCATTTGTATGTATTTTCTTTCAACGATAATGTTTGGCATTTGGATTTGATTTTATTAACTTAAAAGTTTTTAGGCAGTATGTTAAACTGGCTCAATGCTTCGTACTAGTTCTTTTACACAACTTGCCATTATTGAGTTATTTTCTGTTGCAGAAAAGGCAATCTCTTTCACCTCTGGATGACTCAAATCAGGAAATATAAGCAAAAGAAGATAAACAATTCTTTCTGTGTCTTTACTTCTCAGTCTTTCCCAATCTGGCTGAGGCACATAAAGCAGACTTGAGGAAATTCTTTACTTAGGACACTATCTTAACCTGCTCAGGGTATTTAGAATTTTTTGAAATAAGCAGTCATGTACTTCTATAAGTGCTAAGGAAAGTAAATTAGTGTATTATTAAATATTAGATCTTAAAAAAAGAATTAAAAACTAATTTGTAGAATGAATTCATGTTCACACAATATGCATTCATAAAATATTCAGTCTGACGTTTCATGTTTAACACCAATAATAATCTCTGAGGTCTAAATGTTTAAAAAGTAGGTAATTTTAGTAATGCAAGCTGGAAAATATAAAAAATAAAGAACAGTATTATTCACAAGAATTCATTTTCAGGTAATGTTGCAGCTACACTGTTCATGATTTAGTGCATTCGGGATACAAAAGAAAAAAATGCACATATTTGTGTCCTTTTCTGCAGATAAATTGCCAGTATTTCAAAAGTTTTTTTTTACTTCTCATTTTGTAACCCAGTCCAATCCTAAATTTATATGGATATAAATTAGGATATGGATAATATCCTGTATGGAAATGGACTACATGCAATTATGTTCCAGAAACCAAGGGACTATTTTCTATAGTGTGGCTGAAATTAAAGTTGAGAAATATTCCCTTAATATTACCTATCAGGCTGGGCGGGGTGGCTCACACCTGTAATCCCAACACTTTGGGAGGCTGAGGCAGGCAGATCACTTGAGGTCAGGAGTTCGAGACCAGCCTGGCCAACATGGTGAAATCCCATCTCTACTAAAACACAAAAATTAGCTGGGTGTGGTGGTGCATCCCTGTAATTCCAGCTACTCGGGAGTCTGAGGCAGGAGAATTGCTTGAACCCGAGAGGCGGAGGTTGCAGTGAGCCTAGATCGCTCCACTACACTCTAGCCTGGTTGACAAAGCGAGACTCCGTCTCAAAAAAAATAAATAAATCAGACCAAAGGACTTGTTTTGAGCTACTAGCAGCAATAAAATTACATCTCATTTTTGACTCTGTGCAATGATAAATTGCTGTCATTGGCAGACTAGATATATGCAATTACCTGAAAACAAAGTACAGATTCATGTATCAAATGGTAAAATACTTAATAATGAAAATAAGCCATGAAGAAAAACATCAAATATTTTCTTCTGTGCATTCTATAGAAAGCATACATTTACACTATTATCTGTATAAGTACACACATATTTATTTGAAGGCTAGTACAGAAAGCCTAATTGTTACGCATATTTTAGTTGAGTACCCTTTCATTTCTACTCATATAAAGGTGAAATGGGAATAAATTTTACATTGCATATCTTACAGTTAGTTCCATTACTCCATCTTTCAAACAGAACAAACTGACCTTGTTTATGTGGTAAAAGCTTTTTATTTATATTGAGGATAGATGGGCCAAACATTGTTTCTAACAAGAGATATGACCCAAATAGTAAAATAGAGCAGATGCAAAGGGATAAAATATTAGTATAGAATTCCTATTAAAACGTAATAGATAGATATGGTGGTGTGTAGTGTTTGGATGATAGAGATGAACTTCTAAAATGTTCTCAGTGTCAGTAGCCACTACAGTGTGCAAAACCTATTATTGCAGCTCTTTAAACCTTTTATTATTGCAGCTTTTCAAGTGTTTTATTGTGTGCTCCCATGACATACAGGAGTGCTGGGAAACATTTGCACTCTCCCCCAACCCACAGCTCTTGCAAATGTCTGTTTGATTATGTATCATGCAGCATTTCATCTCAGACATGATTTGGCACTGTTAGGCTCAATTATATAAGCTTTCTTAATAGTTGATTTATTCAAAGCAAATGATTAATTTTCTTTAACATCAGTTTGGTTTTTGTTTTTGATTAGGTATAATTGTTCGTATATTTGTTGGCAACAACGTAAGTTCAGATGAATTCTGTTTAGCAAGATTATGGGCAGAAAAATATTTACCGGCAGAAGAAAGTAGCTGTGGGCATTAATTTTATTCATTCAAATCCTATTAAACTATATCAAATTGCTGTTGTGTAGGCGATCTAATATATGACTGTGGAATATATTACTTTCCATATTTATTTTTATTAGTCCGATCTAATATACGGACTGTGGAGTATATTACTTTCCGTATTTTTCTTCATAGAATATCACCCTGTACCATTATTCCACAGAACACACTGGGAAGTGCTGTCATAGAAGATAGCTGGAAGACATTCATGGCAGTGCACATTTCTTGGAGATGTGTTTAGTCTTGCTAAGAAGACAATTAGAAGATCATGGGAGCCAGAAGAAATCTCAAATCTCTCGCATTAGGTTAGGAAACTGCTGTTCATTAGTGTGGGCTCTGGTTCCTGGTATTCCAGAACTCACTGAAAGTCTGTAAGATGTACATTTTTCTCGGGAGATTCCATGGCTTTCATCTTGTTTTCAAAGTAGTATCTGAAGACAGAAAAAGAGGCTGGAGACAAAGAGTCCGTCATTTAGGATATAAATAGGAAATCATTCTTACATTAAAAGAAGGGGCACTATATTCAGCTTAACAAATTTAATGGTCTGTCCCTATTTTATGAAGCTGATTCCAGGCATATTGTGATAAACAGTGAAATCTGAGCAAGTCCACACAAATTCTAAGGACATTCTACAAATAGTTAAAAAATGCCCATACGCAACAACAACAGAAAAGGATAAGATACAAATGGAATGTAGAAAATCATTCAGAGAGGTTTCTGGAAGGAGAGAAATGAAGACCAGAATGAGACCATTCTCATAGGCCTAATAGGCTAAGGTGTCTCTCCATTTACTTAGAGGACCTGAAAGTTTATATATAAGTCTTATAGTTGCATAATTTGTTTTTGTTATAGAAAAGCAAAATATATAAATTGCCCTTATAAAAAAGTAGATTCAGTCATGCTAGTTAATATTTTGTTAGTTCTCATAGAGTTCTAGTCAAAGGACCCATCCAGGTACTTTTTCACATAGCTGGCTGGACTGGATAGATATGTCATGACAGTTCCTAATGTGGGCAAGTAGCAATGACCGTTACAAATGCTCATATAAAATAAGTTTTATTTCTTTTTTTTTTCTTTTTTTGAGACAGCGTCTCTCTCTGTCGCCCAGCCTGGAGTGCAATGGTGCGATATTGGCTCACTGCAGCCTCTACCTCCCGGGTTTAAGTGATTCTTGTGCCTCATCCTCCCAAGTAGCTGGGACTACAGGCATGTGCCACCACGCCCGGCTAATTTTTGTGTTTTTAGTAGAGACGGGGTTTCGCCATGTTGGCCAGGCTGGTCTCAAACTCCTGACCTTGGGTGATCCACCTGCCTTGGCATCCCAAAGTGCTGGGATTACAGGCGTGAGCCACCGTGCCTGGCCAAAAATAGGTTTTATTTCTGTCTGTGAATGTAACATGAGATATGAGAATAGACTTCAGTTCTCATACAGTGCTCTACTTGTCATAATATTCATGACATTTTATTGTAATTGATTGCTTAAATCATCTTTTCTGTTTAAGTATTGTCTGAGGGCCAGCACTGTTTTATTACACCTGTCCCTACTCTAGTACAGAGAAGCTACTTGAGAGACAGTAACTGAAACCTTGTTTCTAGATACCGCTTTCTGATTCATCACCCCTGGGATTCTCCTTTGTGTTTCTAGAGTATAGTGGTTTATATGTGTGGATTCAAGATTATTGTGACAAGCATTAGTGAGGATTCTTTTTTTTTAATGACTTGAAAGTATTTCACAAGGTATCATAAACCTATTTTAGCACAGATTTCCAGGTCAGTTGTTCATCAAAAATGGCTCTGAAAGATAAATGGAACATGAATTCTCTTTTTCTTGGAACTGGTTTTGAGAGGACCCTATCACCTCTAATTTGGAAATCATAGCATTTTAGAAAAATTATTATTTTTTCCCTAGGATAATAAAATTTGCTTAAAAAAATTCAACTTCAGATGACACCAAAATTTGGCTACCAAATGATTAAGGCTAATCAATCTGCAAGGTTTTTGGGTTGATCTTTATATGATCATTCAGTAAGAGTGTATCCATGCTGTTCTATCCATAAACATACCAGAGTGCTGACCTTTACAGATAGCAACGAATAATGGATGATGTATTCATGCGTGTGTGTGTGTGTGTGTGTGTGTGTGTGTGTGTGTGTATTGCTTCCAGGGAGTTTAAAAATAATAAGAGAAGACTTAGTATCCTAGGAGACATTTGCTTTCCCTTTCTGGTTTTCTCTACTTTGTAAAATAGTTCAGGATGAGAAAGCCATCTGAGGCCATGTACTTAGATTTACTTGAAAGTATGAAAAAAAAAAATAGAAGCACAAACCTGTAAATCTCTTGGAGCAACAAGTGGAGAAGTACATATAAGTTGCTGTTAATATTTCCGTTAATGAACCAACCTAGTGAAATTAGAGAGCCATTGAAATTTAATATATTCATTTATTCAATGAACATTTGTTTTGTGCTTATTATTGGTCAGTCATTTGATGCTGGGAATGCAATCCTAAGTGCAATATTAGAAAATGGATGAATAAAGACACTAGGTGCTATAATACAAGTATATGTTTGTACAAGGTATGGTGGGAACATAGAGGTGAGAAAAGTCTATTCCACCTTGGGTACAGATGGGAAGAGGAGGAAGGTAGGGAATAATTCACAGAGAACATGATCTTAGGGCTGAATCTTAAAAAATAAAAGATAAACCTGAGAAAAGCCGTAGAACTGTAAAACAGCTCAGCATGTTTTGAAACCAGCAGGTAGATAGGTATGACGGGTATGAAGAGTGTACAAGGATGGAATAGAAGAAAACAATTCCTAGAGCTAGAAAGTAACCATAAGTCAGGTGACAGGAGACCTTTGGGGCCTTACTGAGGAGTTTGGATTTTATCCTGGAAGTAATGGGACATGAATTGACAGGACTCTGCAATGTTAGGGATTGTGCTGCAGAAGGAAGATGTCTGGAATGACTCTTGGCTTTATTGATGGTTTGAATGGCTAGGTAGGGTGGTCGTCCCTGAAAAAAGGGATATATTTTGCATCTTTTATGTGTTTACATCTTCACAACAATTTTGTGAGGTAGTAAACATTAACATTTTATAAGGAAGAAAAGTGAAGACTTGTATAGGTTAAAGATTTTGTTTGATTTCTTGCAGCTAGTACTTGATGAAATCATGTGGAACACAGGAGTTGTCTGATCCCAGGATCTGAGCTTGTAGCCACTATTGTAGGATTCCTCAAAGGCACTAGTAAACCACAAGATTTTCAAAGTTGGAATTGAGGAAGAGAAGAAGAAATATTATAACAAAGACTAAGGAAAAAAACTGTTAAATTTATATTTAAGGAGACATTAGTGCTAAGAAATTCTGCTAGAAACTAACTGCATATATTTAATACCCATATATGCCTTAATACAGATCTCTCTCTCACACACACACAGACATACACACACACACGAACAAAAATAATTCAAGGTTAACTCAGTGATAACACTTTTCTATTCATCCAATTATAATTTTCTCAAAATTCCATAATAAGGACACTTGTGGTAGCAGTTTCATAATTAAACTACACATTTTCAAGGGTTTCACTTATGTATACACCACTGGGTTAAAACTTCATAACATTTTTGGACCTATTAATTAGTTGGAAACTGGATTGTTGTTTATTAGCATTAACTCAATATCAATCAAAAACTGATGATGTGTCATCAGATTGCCATATTGTGTCAGTTTTAGGAATTTATTTAGAATAAGTTTAGCAAGAACTTAGACTTCTAAAATCTGTTGAATTGAATGCATCTGTTGCATCTTTATTGGTTTATTAAATCAATTTTGCTTCAAGAGGCAATTTAGTGTCATGATGATATTAGTATACATGATAATTTGGCAAATGTAGTTTTTTGTTTTACTTTTAAAATTGTGCATAGAAATAGATCTCTACAAATAAAACTGATAGGGAAGAATTATGCAAAACAGCTGCAAGATTTTGTTGCATTTGTACACATTATAAAGGGTACAACTTGTATTTTCAGTAGTAATTTCCTATTAGTAACACTGGTCAGTGGTCATATTGAAAGAACTTGACTTCTTTTCTGTTTGTAGATTTTTCCTGTTTACTCATTTAAATCAAAATGTAACCCACAGGATGTGTCAGCCCAGTCACAAAAAAACTACCAATAAAAATTTGCAAAAATACTGCCCAACCTTCCAAATAAACTTAATTAAAGAAATAAAAATAAAATTAAGAATACTATTTTGAGTGTATCAGATTGGCAAAAAATAAATAGAAACATGATTATCATACTGAGTATGGCAACGGCTTCAAAAAAATTATTGTCCTGGCTGGGTGTGGTGGCTCACGCCTGTAATCCCAGCACTTTGGGAGGCCGAGGCGGGTGGATCACGAGGTCAGGAGATCGAGACCACGGTGAAACCCCGTCTCTACTAAAAATACAAAAAATTAGCCTGGCGCGGTGGTGGGCGCCTGTAGTCCCAGCTACTCGGGAGGCTGAGGCAGGAGAATGGCGTGAACCTGGGAGGCGGAGCTTGCAGTGAGCCGAGATGGCGCCACTGCACTCCAGCCTGGGCGACAGAGCGAGACTCTGTCTCAAAAAAAAAAAAAAATAAATAAAAAAATTATTGTCCTATATCGCCAATAGTATCAAACTTTATTGAGAATAACAGAAAAAATGTAGAGTCTTTCATGCCTGTGGTCCTAATGATCCTACGTTTTGAAATTTATTTATGATGACATTATGAAGAAAGTCTAATTGACTGTCACATTTTTATAGTTAAGATAACCGTCATAGGAAATAGGATGATATTATGAATAACTTTATGCCAATAAAATGTAAAAATGTAAGTGAAATAGTCAAATTTCTAGAAAAACTTATGAAAATGGATACAAAAAGGAATAAATTATCAGAGTAGTCCTCTATTAAGTAGAAACCATATGGAAAAATAAAAGAATCTTCCCACAGCAAATACCCCAGGTCCAGATACCTTTACCAGTGAATTTTACTAAATATTTTAGGACAAAATATGTAATTTTACGTAAACTTTACCAGAAAGTAGAAAAATAAGAGACAATGTCACCCATTTGTGAGGACAACATAAACTTGATGCCAAAATCTGACAAGGACATTATAAAGAAGAAAAATTGCAAGCAGATCTCACAAATGTAGATATAAAAATACTACTCACAGAGTGAATTAACAACATGGAAACAGCAAATATAAAAAGAAGATACACTACCAAGTGGGACTTATTCCAGGAATACGAGATTGGTTTAACACGTGATTATCCATCATTATTCATCACATGAACAGAATGTTCTGAATTTATCAACTTGGCACTCCCACTCCTGTGTAAGCCTTGAAAATAAATTTTCTGGAATCCTGTGTTCAGCATAATTCTGGATTCGAGTTGATCAAGGAAGGCACTCACAAGATTGGACAGGTAGAAGCAAAGGAGGGGTAAATACCAGGAGGAAGCTCCTGGTCCCAGACTTAGTGACAGACACAGGTAGCTCTAGCTTCTAGCTCTGCCCAGCTTCTGGACCTGCTGACTACTAAGTGCTTTATTGCCATTTCCTCAGAGGCAGTAGATTCCACAGACCTCTCCACAAATCCCCTCTGTGGTTCTACTTCAGTGGCTAGATACATGCAGTTTCCTGAATTTTACCTCATGCTCCTACATACCCACAACTGTCATATTAGTGATGCTGTTATTTCTCCATTCTCTTCCAGTCTTTCCTTTTCCAGTTTCCCACACATTGGTGTATGCTCTAATTCCTGTGGTAAACCTCCTTTTCACATGATATTTGTAGTGGCTTTGTTTTTCTGACCGAATCTTGGCTAATACAGTTTTTGGTAATAGAAGTGAATTAGAGTAGAAGCAATAGAATTTTAAGGATGAGAATCCTACTAGATTTAAAGGCATTAGTGACCTCATTGCCATGGTAAATAAAACACAAGTAGTCCATGGCATGCAATAACTAAACAGGTAGCTATGGTCTGGAGAAGATAACTTTAAGTGATCAAGTAGTTGCTGCAATAAACATTATTGTGGGAATAAAGAATAAAGGCTTTTGCATTGATTTGATTTCTACTAAGTGTACTGGAGGATACGGAAGAAGGAAAAGATGAGTTCATGGCTTTAAATCCTAATCCACAACCTGGGTAGGGATCCAGGAAACTTCTATAATTGTCCTGGAAAACACAGACACAGAGAAATATCTCCTGTAGCTGCAGGGTTAAAATTTCTGAAAACCAAGCTTGAAGTCTGATCCTGTGGGCGGCTGAACTTACAAATGCAGCATTGTGGATGCATCTCAAAAACATGATGGAGAGCAAAACTTCCAGATACAAAAAGGATATACGGTCTAATTGCATTTTTGAAAAGATGAAAAAATTAAAACTAACCTTACAAGTTTTGATGGCATAACTATTAAAAAAATAAAAACAAGGGATTACCATAGATGTTAGGAGAGGAATTATGAAAGTGGAGAAGTGAATAATAATTGGGAGAGGACCAGAGGGGACCGTTTCCATGCTGGCCATACTCTCTTCCTTGGATTGACTAAGGTAACAAGGGGGATCGCTTTGTGATAGTTTTTTGAGCTGTACACTTATATTCTGGAACTATCTATATATGTATTATTTCTCAAAACCAAAAGGATTAAAAGGAACCCTGAAGTGCTTGCCATCTAACTGGGAAACAAAAGACAAGATTCTTAAATGGCTGACAAGTCTCTAAATAATCTGGCCTCCTACTAATGGTTTGATGTCTCAATTTTTCTTCTTGTCTCCCTTTGCTCCTGCATCTACACATATAGAGTTGAACGTGATCGGAGAAAACCCAACACTCATGCTGTCTGGTATCACTTGAGATTCATAACTACCAAACCTAAAAGGGAGCCTTAAAGCTGCAATATTTTTTTCCTAGTCCATTCACTTGTCACTCACCAAGGTGACAATTTCATAACTCTCCTCTACAACCTTCAAGCCTTCTGTTCCCTGATTTCACTATCCCTCCTCAGTAGCAGTTTTGTTTTCCTCTTTGTACTGAGAAAATGGAAACAGTTTTATTGGGTGGACATAGAGCTGTATCATCCACATCCCTCTTCACAAAAAGAGCCTTATACCCCAGCTGCTGGGGTTAGCAGATATCTTCCAGCATTCAGCAACTATAAAGTCCATCTCACTTATGGAGAGCCCTAAGTGCACCTTTCTAGGGGGAGCCCAAATCCAATGTCCATTTCCAGAAGGAGTGGTTGAGGGCAGCATAAAGGCTGGAGGAACAAATCCAGAGCTCTCTTTGGGTTGGTTAAGCTTTGCCAAGCATGTACTGCAGTTTGAATTTCTCCTCCATCCATGTGTTTCCTCTCTCTCCCTTCCCTAAGTGTTGATCCCTAACACATGTTCAGTATTCCAATTTCCATCTCAGTATTTGCTTCCAGTGAATCCAACCTGTGATAGCTCAAATACATTCAGATTTCCATCACCATGTTCACCTACCAACCTACTTTTTTCCTCAATATTCTATGACTGCCTTCTTTACAGAGTACTTTTACTTAAAGCTAATCACTTTATTTGTGTACTGTCTTTGCTTACTGAGAGAGAGAACTCTAGCAATTTTTCTCCCCCCCCAATCATTTTTTCCATTTTGTAAAATCGCTATTATCTCTCTCATCTTATTTTTTTTATCCTTGCTTTGGCCCATTTCACCAGCTACTGAGCTGTTCTGCTTTCTTTTGCAAAATTATTAATAATCTCAGACTCCCAATTCCTCTTCTCCCATTTCCTCTGTAGCTTATTCTAATCAGGCTTCCCCCTCCATTAGTGGAAACTGCCCTTTTCAAAGTCATCAATGGCTTTTACAGTGCAAACTATGATGGTCTGACCTCAGTCTTCATCATACTTAACGTTTTTTGCGTGATTGATAAAATTTTCTACTCCTTAAAATGTTTCCCACTTGGCTTCCAGGACATCAAACTCTTTTACTTTTTTCTCCTCCTAGTTCACGGCTCACTCTCAGATGGGCCACCTAGTGCACAATTCGAAGAAATGCCATTTACCTAGAACAAAACACTAGCGGTGGCTCTACTTTCTCAGTCCCCTTTTCTAATTGATTCTCTTTTCCCTGTCTCTTAAGGTAGGAGGGTCACAGAGTTCATGCTTGATCCATTTATGTTTTTTATGTACACATTTCTCTTCCAGACACTTGGACTCAGAAATGCACAAACTCCCTGACATCTTTATTTAAATGACTAATAGGTATGTTAACGTCCAAAATGAATTCTAAATTCACCCCAAACTTGCGCCACTGGACATTTCTGCTCCCTCAGTTTATGACAACTCCATCCTTCCAGTTGATCAAGCTCATTCTATTTCATTTTATTTTGTGTTTCAAAACAAAATAGAAGAACAATAAGGATTGTATATTACTTTTACTTTATGCTCAGAGATGGGGAGGGAATAATGGTGGTTAAAGAATTAACCTGCTTTCCAATTTTCTAGGGATAGCACTCTGAATTTAAATGTTTCAAATGGGTTGACAACTACCAAAGACATTTTCCCACTACTTCCTCCCTCTCCTCTGGTATTCAATTACTTCCTAACTTGACTCATATTCACCTATTTTTTTAACACCAAATCAGTCCTTCAGCTTTGTATCTAGAAGTATATATTCAACACTTGTCACTTCTGAAAAAAACAAAAGGTAGTTATGCAATAGTTGAAGTTATGTCCAGAAATCTACAAAAAAGTTTTTTTGCGAGATATAAATTAGTAAGGAGTTTTCTGAGGAACCTTCAAAAAGCAATTTTTGGGGTTTACCTTTTTTAAAATGTTTCCGGTGTTTAATATGTGAAAAGGAATACAATTTCTAGTTATTATAGAGGGAGAAACAAAACTCAAGCAGCTCTATCTCAGTTTTGATGTAGGCCTTAATCCATTTTTAAAAAATATAAATAAATCCCTAGAGATTACAGTTCCAGGTTCCTAAGACTAAATATGTAAATAACTACGCTACAAAGTGCTAGAGCTCATCAATTTTGAGTTAAAAAAATCCATAGTAGAATTTAACTTGATGGAAACAAAAATAGGAAAACCAAAAACAAAACTGAAAGCTTAAAATCTGTCTCTAGTTCCTGTCCTCTTTCAGTGGAAATGTATTGAAGCAAATAAACATCACTTTTGCTTGACCTTAGATTTCCAGATCAGTAAGAGAATATGCAAAATTCATTTACAAGTTAACTTTCAAAGTTAAGATGATGATACAGTAGCTCCCCCTGAGCCTTGGGGGATATGTTCCAAGACCAGCGGATGCCTGAAATCACAAATAGTAGCGAACCCTATATATACCATGATTTTTCCTATACTTACATACCTATGATAAAGATTAATTTAGGAAATAGGCACAGTAAGAGATTAACAACAACTAATAATACAATAGGACAATTATAACAATATTTTGTAGTAACAGTTATGTGAATGTATTCTTTCTCTCTCAAAATATCTGATTTTACCTCACCTATTTTCAGACCATGGTTGACTGAAGGTAACTGAAACCACGAAAAGTGACAGCACAGATGAGGGGAGAGTACTGTATCCTCAAATGATGGTATGGCTGGTGATGGTAACAGCAAGTCTACCAGCCTAGTCAAGCATTCTTATCCATAGAAGAGTTGCCATGGGAACCTCATGGCAACCCACAGATTTCAAGTACTGTATGTTCTGCCTAAATAAATAATGAAAAGCTATCTTACTGAATGTTCTCCATATCTGCATACTTAATAGGGCAGGATGCTACCTCACATATCATTTGCAGTAAACAAAGGTAAAAATGAGAGACATACAAAAGTAAGATAAGGATTACATATCTGCATTTTAAAAGCACATTCCGTGTTAACTAATTATGTTTTCATTTCATTCTGGATCAGAAGATCAGACACACATCATTGCTTATTCAGACCTCACCTGATCCTATTTATAGGCCCCTCTCAAACTCACTGAAGATGACAGTAATCTCTATATCTATGCAGAGTGTGAGGTAATTCTAGGAGACACCTTTCTGTGCAAAATGTCAGGTGTTAGCTCCCCATGGAGCACTCTCTCCTTGCCACTTGGGGACCTCACAGAAACAAGTCATAGCATTCTTTTTTTAGGCTGTGAGGTAGGGTTAGATCATCCTCACTTTTCTGTTACCACTTGTGTTCTTTCTGTATGTGCTTTTTAAATTCACTAACTAATAGAAAAATGCTTTGAATACATTATTAACCTCACAAGAGGATTTTTTTTCTTCCTAGACATTGAAATATTTTAGACACTAGAAAATAAAGGATTTTTAATAAATGGAGTGTAACTACTCAAAACTTTTTTCTTCTTTCCCCAAAGTGAATAAATAACAATTGTAGGCTAATGTTTCAGATTAGCATAGGTAGATAATATTAGTTTTTAATCATGAAATTATTTTAAGTGCATCATTTGAGAGAATTTATGGTATAAATTCTCTATAAATTTTATATTTGATAAGAAATACGAAGATAGAAGCTAATGAAGAGGGAGAAGAACTAAGTATTCTTGAGTTGTTTGTGAAAGTAGTAATTTAATCGAAGTTGTATTCACTTAGCCCCTCCAAGATTAAGTTTCCATGTGAAAAAAAAAAAAAAAAGGGTGAAAAGGAGAGCACCAAAACCTTACATGACTGGAGATGATTTAATAAAAAGCTTGTTTCTGCTCCTCACTGAAATGCCTTGGAATATGATAAGTACAGTCAGAAAGTTTTTAATATTTACTCTCAACATACAGTAAAGATTTAGGAAGAGAAAGGACGGAATAGGGAACTCAGTCTTCCTAAGCCTAATTTCATTAAGAAACTTAACAAAGGGAAAAGACACTAAGCCCTTTTCTTGTAAGAAACTCACCTGAAAAGGGAAGGGATCCAAATATGAACAAGAACAGTGACTTAGCACTGGCTTCTCAAGAAGATATGTTTTCGTCTGGTGCATAATGCCTGGCACATAGTAGGCCCACAGAGAGTATTCACTGAATGAGGGAATGCATGATAGAATACATTAGAGAGTGTATTTTTGCCTGTGTTAACTTTAATTGAATACATTTTAAGAATAATATGTTACTCTTTGAAAACCCATATTCTATTAGTTTTATAAAGCATAATGGAAGAAAATATCAGTGAAGCACCATTTATTTTAATTGTAAAGATTTCTTGATTTATCAACCAATATGGAGGACATTTTTGACTAAGTGAAAAAACAGGTTAGTGTAAATCTTAGCAATTATTTCTTTAATCTGTGACTGGCTTTCTCTTATTGAATTCAGTGCTTAACATTTGAATATTATTTTCTTTTCATAATTGAAGTTGGGGAGTAAGAGATGTTCTCCAGGTGTCAACTATTGTTTTAGGAGGCTTCAAAAGAAACATGAGCAAGCTATTGGCTAATGGGCTTGAATTAATGGTTATTGGAAAGTTAAAGATGTACCATATGCCATGATCTAGGTACCTACAGCCATTTCTCTGTTCTTTCTCCATATCCTTGTCTCTCATTCTTCCACAATCCTTCCCTGCCTATAAGCAATTACAGTGAAAAATGCTGGAGTAGAATGACATAAGATCTTTTAAGGTCAAGGGCCAGGTGATTTCAGATACTATGACTTTTCAGAAAGCCCAAATAAGTTATTTCCTTACTTACATCGCTGTTGATATATGCAAATTATGTTGCATGCAGGAAGAAAAAAAAATTTTCTTAATTTCCACACTCTAGCAAGCTAAATGGTTTGAAATATACTTGACAATGTTCTGCAATATTGAAAGTAGTATCTATTTCTGATGTTTCAATTCCTGTATGTCAAACATTATCAAAGAGGGCAATATCGCCCCCAAGGGGATAAAACTTCATTATTGGAAGGTGGAAAGTTCTTATCTTTTTAATGTACAATATTAAGCACAGACATACATACAGTAATTACAGATACAGCATATCTGGGGTATTATAATTTCATAGTGGGGGATTAGGGAAAAAATATCTAAAAAGGCTCCTTGGCAAGCAGGGTGGAGGGGATAACCAAAAAAGCTTAAGAAACACTATTGTACATTGTGCTTTCCATTTATTAAAAAAATCTTATTCTCCCCAGGTTCAGGCTAATGGAACAAATAATAGAGAACTAATAGTCCTATGGGAACCATTTTTTTAAAATAGTCGAGCAATGTAGGACTCTCAGGTAAAAGCTTCTTTACAGACTGTGCTTAGATCTGGGACTGAAGTGAGGTCCATATTGTTTGAATTGTAGTCAAGTCATTCCTACAAGACGATCTAAACCTGAAACAGAAAGAGGGAAAGCTCTGTCCTGGAGAGAAAATTGCACAGCGAGAGCACAGTGTACCTGGACACAGAGTGAAAGAGCAGGCTGAAGGAGCCTGCTGTATCTGAGCACAGGCTGCTCTCAGCAAGTACACATAGAGACTTGCTTTTGGGCCCAATGATCCCCTTTACTAGCAAAATGACGTAAGTAGCAAGAGTCTCAAAGTGCTAGGCACAGTGGCTCATGCCTGTAATCCCAACCCTTTGGGAGGCCAAGGCGGGCGGATCACTTGAAGTCCAGAGCTTAAGACCAGCCTGGCCAACACGGTGAAACCCCGCCTGTACTAAAAGTACAAAAATTAGCCAGGTGTGGTGGCAGGTGCCTGTAATCCCAGCTACTCGGGAGGCTAAGGCAGGAGAATCACTTGAACCCAGGAGGCGGAGGTTGCAGTGAGCCGAGATTGCACCACTGCACTCCAGCCTGGCTGACAGAGCGAGACTCCATCTCAAAAAAAAAAAAGAAAGCCTCAAATTAGCCACTTTTTCTAAGAAAGGTAGGCGTGGAGAAATAACCCTGAAATGTATCATTCTTTGAAAATATGAGAAAAGAATGGAGGATTCTCTCAAATGTGTGGTACTATAAATTGAAGTGAATTTTGTCTACTAGTTTTGCCTAATTTGCCACTGATAAATAGATCTTTATTTTAGATTTCTCTGTATAAGTTAATATTCATCTAACACTCAGGTTTTTTTTCTATATTCTCAGAAAACATACCTCAGAAAACATAAGATTAACTCTTGATTGTTTTTCTGAATTATTTATTAATTAAAATAAATTATTCCATTTTTAGGCTGAAATCTTATTGGATGATTCTGTATTAATATAAGAAACAAGTGGGCAGAGAAAAATACAGAAATAAAAAAATGACTATTTACTATTCATATTATTTCAGTAGTTCTTTTTCACTTTAGTTTTCATTACTATAGAAAATGGAAACGCTAGACTAGTGTTGTCCAATGAAATACCCTGCTGTGATGGACAGGAACTATATAGGCACTTTCTAATATGAAAGTGCTAGCTATTTGGGATTAAGTTCTTGAAGTATAGCAGTGGGACTGAAGTATTAAATTTAAATTTCATTTAATTTTAATTAAATTTAGCATATAGTCACTTGGGGCTAGTGCATTACCATATTGGTCAGTGCAACACTTAGATTCTGAGGATGTTTGGCATACTTTAATTTACAAAATCAAATTCCTTAGTTTGAAATAATGTAATAAGAACACTGGCAAACCATTGTGAGTTTTCCTCACTACACATATTTGGGGCTCCTAGGTTAATATTATGTCTTTGTTTGGGATAACTGTCAATAGTGGTCTCCTGGTTCAAATCCAAATGAGGCCTCCCACAGGTGTGGTTAATGAAAATGCATTGATTAATTGTGTGTTTCTTACACAAAAAAACTAACATCCTTTAAATGATTAGACTAATATTAAAGAATATTGACATGTTTAAATGAAATATGCAACTTAGAACAAAATGTTTAGAAGTAAACATTTTTCAAGATATAATTGGCAACTTGCTCATAATTTTCTTATTCTCAATCATAACTTAAGCCTAATTCTCAGCAGAAGTTGAATTAGAGCTTGCATTCAGTGACAAAACCTAGCAGACAATTATTGAACACTGCAAAAATAAACATGTTTTCCACATCTGCTAAAAGATTTAAGACAGATACAAGCCAGACAAGTCCAAATAATTTACTTATAAAATGCAATATACTTGTTTAACCAAAAGGAAGTATATCAAATTTATTTGAGTTAAATAGGCATTCTATTTTGTAGGGATGAAATTTTGCTTATAATATAATGAAAATGTAATGCACTCTTTATGATCTTAAGAAATTATTTCCAACAGATTTTTATGCAATAATAAAAGACTGTCTTCTAAAGTTTAGAGACAGCATGAGATAGGATATTCATATTAATTGGTTTAATATTAAATAGCTGACGCATTTTTAGTTAAGGGTCACAGATAACAGCTTCAAAAGTGATGTTTCAGCTTGTGATTATTCTATTTGCCTCCAGTTTTTACTTTAGGAACTATTTACAGGTAACATTTATTAAGCATTTTGAACTATACACCAGGCATTGTGTTAAGTGGTAATTCGATAGATGTTATCTTACTTAATGTTTATAATAATGCTATTAGAGCTGTTATTATCTGAATTATATCATGAAGTAAACTGCAGTTCACAGTGATTAACTTACCAAAGCTCACACAGCCAGCAAATTGCAGAGCTGAGATTTGCATCAGGCTCTGCCTTAACCCAGAGCCCATGGCTGATATCTTAACCTCTGCACCAACTGCATCTTAAGAATTTTCCAGCATATAACAATACACACCAGGAACAACAATAGAAACTTCAAACTAATGATTAAATAGTAGAGGGCTGCTGATCCCTTCTTATATACTGCAAGAATAACACTTAATAAAGGATGAAGAAAGATTTGTACTGAGTCTAATAAAGAAAATTTCAACGACTGGTTTTGTTTTGGTTTGGTTTTCTGAAACATAATTTCCCAATGCACAAAAAAGCACTGAGCAAATTGTTGAGTTATGGATATAATTAAGTTAGGTTTCTCTTATGCACAAATAATAGCTTTCCTAGTCATTTATACTAAAAATCACCACGAATTTCACAAGATCTAAGTGATCAACATTGAAAGTGGAAAGATTGCTTTGCCAGGATTCTTATGGAACCTCTTGCTCTGCTGTTACTCAGAAAGTAAAGCGTATCACTTTTATTGCATTGTAAATTGTTCCTTAGTGATCTTTCTGACCGGCTAATTAGTGAGTTCAGTGTCTGGGATGGGTGAGTCTTCTTAAATATAAATATCTATTCTTGATACTTTACTATAGCTGAGTAATTTCAGAAATAAAAACAACATCTTTGGGTGTCCAAGGTTGGTTATATCAGTAAAACTAGAAACAAAATGAGATCATAGGTATGAAATATATCAGAATCCAATATTAACCCAACATTAACCATATTTTTATAGCCATTTTTACAAAGTATCTTTTTTCAGTGAGTATGTATGTTCAAATTTATTGAAAACCTATTTTTATGAATTGCGAAGTACACCAAATATGGCATTAATAGAACTACAGCCTTAACTACATGCTTATTGTCAGGCCTCTGAGCCCAAGCTAAACCATCATAATCCCCTGTGACCTGCATGTATACATCCAGATGGCCTGAAGCAAGTGAAGAATCACAAAAGAAGTGGAAACGGCCGGTTCCTGCCTTAACTGATGACATTGCGCCATTGTGATTTGTTTCTGCCCCACCTTAACTGAGCGATTAACCTTGTGAAATTCCTTCTCCTGGCTCAGAACCTCCCCCACTGAGCACCTTGGGACCCCCACCCCTACCCGCAAGAGAACAACCCCCTTTGACTGTAATTTTCCACTACCCACCCAAATCCTGTAAAACAGCCCCACCCCTATCTCCCTTCTCTGACTCTCTTTTTGGACTCAGTCCGCCTGCACCCTGGTGAAATAAACAGCTTTATTGCTCACACATAGCCTGTTGGGTGGTCTCTTCACACGGACGCGCATGACATTTGGTGTGGAAGCCCGCCTGCACCCAGGTGATTAAAAAGCTTTATTGCTTACACAAAGCCTGTTTGGTGGTCTCTTTACACGGGTGTGCATGACATTTGGTGCCGTGACTCGGATTGGGGGACCTCCCTTGGGAGATCAATCCTTTGCTTCCCTGACTGTTCCTAGGCTACAGCCACACCTCGTTGCCACCCTTTTCCCCAGTTCACAGCCTCCTTCGCATCCTCCCCTTGTATCTCCCCACCTTAATCCACAGGTATGGGAAACCTCTATTCCCTCCTTGGCGACTGATCATGCACCCCTTACCATCCCATTAAAACCTAATCACCCTTACCCTGCTCAATGACAATATCCCATCCCACAGCACACTTTAAAAGGATTAAAGCCTGTTATCACTCCCCTGTTACAGCATGGCCTTTTAAAGCCTATAAACTCTCCTTACAATTCCACCATTTTACCTGTCCAAAAACCAGACAAGTCTTACAAGTTAGTTCAGGATCTGTGCCTTATCAACCAAATTGTTTTGCCTAACCACCCTGTGGTGCCAAACCCATATACTTTCCTATCCCCAATACCTCCCTCCGCAACCCCTCCACAACCCATTATTCTGTTCTGGATCTCAAACATGATTTCTTTACTATTCCTTTGCACCCTTCATCCCAGCCTCTCTTCGCTTTCACTTGGACTGACCCTGACACCCATCAGACTCAGCAATTTACCTGGGCTGTACTTCCGCAAGGCTTCGCAGACAGCCCCCATTGCTTCAGTCAAGCCCAAATTTCTTCCTCATCCATTACCTATCTTGGCATAATTCTTGATGAAAACACGTGCTCTCCCTGCCAATTGTGTCCAATTGATCTCTCAAACCCCAACCCCTTCTACAAAACAACTCCTTTCCTTCCTGGGCATGGTTGGATACTTTGACCTTTGGATACCTGGTTTTGCCATCCTTACAAAACCATTATATAAACTCACACACACACAAAAAACCTAGCTGACCCCATAAATCCTAAATCCTTTCCCCACTCCCCTTTCCATTCCTTAAAAAATAGCCCTAAAAGCTGCTCCCACAATAGCTCTCCCTAACTCATCCCAACCCTTTTTTGATTACACACAGCGGAAGTGCAGGGCTGTGCAGTCAAAATCCTTACACAAGAGCCAGACCACGCCCTGTAGCCTTTTTGTCCAAACAACTTGACCTTACTGTTTTAGGCTGGCCATCATGTCTCTGTGCGGTGGCTGCCACCGCCCTGATACTTAGAGGCCCTCAAAATCACAAACTATGCTCAACTCACTCTCTACAGTTCTTATAACTTGCAAAATCTATTTTCTTCCTCACACCTGATGCATATACTTTCTGCCCCCCTCCACTATCTCTCAGCAAGCCAAACTCATTGCCTTAACTCAAGCCCTCACTCTTGCAAAAGGAGTATGTGTCAATATTTATAATGACTCTAAATATGCCTTCCATATCCTACACCACCATGCTGTTACATAGGCAAAAAGAGGTTTCCTCACTACGCAAGGGTCCTCCATCATTAAGGCCTCTTTAATAAAAACTCTTCTCATGGCTGCTTTACTTCCAAAGGAAGCTGGAGTCATTCACTGCAAGGGCCATCAAAAGGCGTCAGATCCCATTGTTCAGGGCAACACTTATGCTGACAAGGTAACTAAAGAAGCAGGTAGCATTCCAACTTCTGTCCCTCACGGCTGGTTTTTCTCCTTCTCATTGGTCACTCCCACCTACTCCCCCACTGAAACTTCCACCTATCAATCTCTTCCCACACAAGGCAAATGATTCTTAGACCAAGGAAAATATCTCCTTCCAGCCTCACAGGCCCATTCTATTCTGTCATCATTTCATAGCCTCTTCCATGTAGGTTACAAGCCGCTAGCCCATCTCTTAGAACCTCTCATTTCCTTTCCATCATGGAAATCTCTCCTCAAGGAAATCACTTCTCAGTGTTCCATCTGCTATTCTACTCCTCCTCAGGGATTGTTCAGGCCCCCTCCCTTCCCTACACATCAAGCCTGGGGATTTGGCCCTGCGCAGGACTGGCAAATTAATTTTACTCACATGCCCTGAGTCAGGAAACTAAAATACCTCTTGGTCTGGGTAGACACTTTCACTGGCTGGGTAGAGGCCTTTTCCACAGGGTCTGAGAAGGCCACCATGGTCATTTCTTCCCTTCTGTCAGACGTAATTCCTCGGTTCAGCCTTCCCACCTCCATACAGTCTGATAACAGACAGGCCTTTACTAATCAAATCACCCAAGCAGTTTCTCAGGCTCTTGGTATTCAGTGGAACCTTCAGACCCCTTACCATCCTCAATCTTCAGGAAAGGTAAAACGGACTAATGGTCTTTTAAACACACACCTCACCAAGTTCAGCCTCCAACTTAAAAAGGACTGGACAATACTTTTACCACTTGCCCTTCTAAGAATTCGAGTCTGTCCACAGGATGCTACAGGGTACAGCCCATTTGAGCTCCTGTATGGACACTCCTTTC
The DNA here is from genome assembly GCF_000001405.40 of Homo sapiens. NCBI lineage: Eukaryota > Metazoa > Chordata > Mammalia > Primates > Hominidae > Homo > Homo sapiens. The sequence goes on along the minus strand of NC_000004.12, from coordinate 163,101,377 downwards.
TATTTGGCCCCAGTTTCATTCCAGACACCAGCCCAACTTGGACTGCACCCCAAAAACTTGTCATCCCTACTATCTTCTGTCTAGTCATGCTCCTATTCACTGTTCTCAACTATTCATAAATGTCCTGCTCTTGTTTACATTGCCAGTTTACACTGTTTCTCCAAGCCATCACAGCTGGTATTTCCTGGTGCTATCCCCAAACTGCCACTCTTAACTCCCTCTTAGAGTGGATAGATGATCTTTGGTAACAGGGTACACTCCAATACTTTCACCCTGATGAGGTCCTATTCTTTACTTTTACACTCACTCTTATTCTTGTTCCTGTTCTTATGGCACCCTCTACCTCTCCCCAGCTATCTCCACACTATCAATCTCACTCTCTCCTAGCGGTTTCTAATCCTTCTTTAACAGACAATTGTTGGCTTTGTATTTCTCTTTCCTCCAAAATCTCGGAAGCCTCAACTTACTCACTGCTAGAAAAAAAAAAAAGGACTCTGTATATTTTGTATATTTTTAAATGAAAAGTGTTGTTTTTACCTAAATCAATCTGGCCTAGTATATGACAACATAAAAAAAACTCAAGGATAGAGCCTAAACTTGCCAACCAAGCAAGTAATTACACTGAACCCCCTTGGGCACTCTAATTGGATGTCCTGTGTTCTCCCAATTCTTAGTCCTTTAATCTGTTTTTCTCCTTCTCTTATTCCGACCTTATGTCTTCCATTTAGTTTCTCAATCCATCCAAAACCGTATCCAGGCCATCACCAATCATTGTATATGACAAATGCTGCTTCTAACAACCCCACAATATCACTCCTTACCACAAAATCTTCCTTCAGCTTAATCTCTCCCACTCTAGGTTCCCACGCTGCCCCTAATCCCGCTCGAAGCAGCCCTGAGAAACATCGCCCATTATCTCTCCATACCACCCCCAAAAAATTTTCGCTGCCCCAACACGTAAATATTATTTTATGTTATTTTTCTTGTTAATATAAGAAGACAGGAATGTCAGGCCTCTGAGCCCAAGCTAAGCCATCATATCCCCTGCGACCCACACGTATACATCCAGATGGCCTGAAGCAAGTGAAGAATCACAAAAGAAGTGAAAATGGCCGGTTCCTGCCTTAACTGATGACATTCCACCATTGTGATTTGTTTCTGTCCCACCTTAACTGAGTGATTAACCTTGTGAAATTCCTTCTCCTGGCTCAGAAGCTCCCCCACTGAGCACCTTGTGACCTCCGCCCCTGCCCGCAAGAGAACAACCCCCTTTGACTGTAATTTTCCACTACCCACCCAAATCCTATAAAACGGCCCCACCCCTATCTCCCTTCTCTGACTCTCTTTTTGGACTCAGCCCGCCTGCACCCAGGTGAAATAAACAGCCTTGTTGCTCACATAAAGCCTGTTTGGTGGTCTCTTCACACGGATGCACGTCACACATATATATATATGCCTAAGGAGCTCTTGAAATTACCCAGTGCAGACCCTGTACTGTGGTAAACAGAGTAGTTTGAACAAGCAAATAGAAGATATATTCCCTGTCTGCAACAAGCTTACAATTTAGTTGTAAACAAACAGCTAAGAAAAAAGAAAAATTTCAAGTCCATACATAAAAACTTTACCAATCACAATTTGTTCAATAAAAATTAATCAGTTCTGTTGTCATTGTTTTAATAATAAATAGTCAACAAACACTCAAGTGAGCAGGAGTGTAGAATAAAAAAAAATGTAAACTCCCGGTGAGTTTGTCATTTTATATTATACGAGATTAGGCTTGGGCATTTTTTTGACTTTTCAGCATTGAAACACAGACATGTAGCCTCTTTTTTTCTCTTTACCTTCAGCCCTATTTCTGCTTCTTATGTTGAAGATAAAAACAGGGAGAAACAATCAGAAAAAACGGGCTGTTTTCTTTTTTCTTTTGGTAGTTCACCCTATGATAGATGAAAGAGAAAGAAACTGAATTTGAAGTCACAGCCTGCAGCAAAAAGAAATTTCTTAGTTGTTTACTCCAAAAGAAATCTCTGAGATCAGTACTGTTAAAGTCCTGATATCTCAGAACTGAAGCATCTGAAAGAAATTAAGAGTGTTTCTCTGCAGCGAGAAAGAGAAGTGATGAATAATAAGAACCATAAACAAAAGTTAAGTGATAAGTGCATTGATTTTGATTTAAGTTTTTGTTTAACTTGAAAGACTTCTTCTATAAGAAAGTAAACTTAACTGTTGAATGTTTAAGTTGCCCTTAGTAAAGGTTTAGTTTTGAAAAATGAAGAGAGCCTGCTTAACTTTCACTCAAACAAACCATTCAGTAGAATAAATAGGCATTGCCCTACTCCTGGGGCTGGGACCAATGTACCTCTGTCAGCTGATGGGTGGCACACGTTGGTTGTACCAAAATTTTTCCAAGTTCCAAATTTTTCTTGGCAAAACCTCTTGAAAGATGGTACAGAATGACTCAAGAAAGCTCAACTTCAGGCTGCCAGGTTTATTCTGCAGGGGCTGTGCCCCAGTAGGTGGATAGGGGGCAGCTGGGGAGCTGCTTTCTCCTGGATCCCCCAGCCCAACCCACCTTGGTCTTATCTCATATAGTATCTAAGTATCTTTCTCTCACTCGCCACCCCTCATCTCCCAAAACACATAGAGCCTAGAGAACCTAAAATTAATTTGCACACATTCGACCATGTACCACCTCTCTCTCCCTCTTCCCCATAACACCCAGTAGGAGGATTTTCTCTACATCGTATCTTCTGACTTGCTCTCCTCTTCCTTCTGACTCTAGCTAAATTTTAATGATTCTTTCTCTACACTATAAAAATTTCTATGAACGAAGTACTTCAAAATTGGTTGTTGATATACTGTTGGGAAAAATCATTAATTTTTAAAATTTTCTCTCAAGTCTGACAGTGTGGCCATTGTCTTGCTGCATAATCTTATCTGTGAATAATACATTTAACTTTCCTAGATGAATAAAAATAACATATTTATGTGATTCACTTTTCACAGGTGAATAAAAAAAGGAATCGCAAGATGTAATAACACGTACGTATAGAAAGCAAAGTAGAACTTGGAATGAAAGTCATTCCGTTTTACTGTAACAGTAAGATAAATATTTTTCATTTAGGTCCTTGACTTCCTATATTAGGTAAATGAGAGGATCGATCATCATACATTGATGCAGGGAATAGTTAAGCCAATAAGAGCAATTTGAATGAACTACGGGAAAACTCTAAAAGGGCCATTTAAAAAATATATATATATATAAAATTATCTTTGATCACCAGTAAGTCTTAGAATGATCGAAAGGAAAAGGAGGCAAGTATTGTTAGCACATTTATGTATTTTGTTATGAAACTGTTGAAGCTCACTAGAAGGTCCTGGATCTGGTGCTCAGCTCAGATGAATCCATAAAAGGGAAATTATTTTCTTCTTCCTGAGTTCTCACTAAGTGTACAGAAGCCATCAGTTTCATGTGCGTCCCTGTGAAGAGACCACCAAACAGGCTTTGTGTGAGCAATAAAGCTGTTTATTTCACCTGGGTGCAGGCGGGCTGAGTCCGAAAAGAGAGTCAGCAAAGAGTGGTGGATTATTATTAGTTCTTATAGGTTTTGGGATAGGCGATGAAGTTAAGAGCAATGTTTTGCGGGCAGGGGTGGATCTCACAAAGTACATTCTCAAGGGTGGGGAGAATTACAAAGAACCTTCTTAAGGGTGGGGAGATTACTAAGTACATTGATTAGTTAGGATGGGGCAGGAACAAATCACAATGGTGGAATGTCATCAGTTAAGGCTATTTTTACTTCTTTTGTGGATCTTCAGTTACTTCAGGCCATCTGGATGTATATGTGCAAGTCACAGGGGATGCGATGGCTTGGCTTGGGCTCAGAGGCCTGACATTCCTGCCTTCTTATATTAATAAGAAAAATAAAATAATGTTGAAGTCTAGGGGCGGCGAAAATTTTGGGGGGTTGTTGTGGAGAGAGAATGGGCGATGTTTCTCAGGGCTGCTTCGAGCGGGATTAGGGGCGGCGTGGGAACCTAAAGTGGGAGAGATTAAGCTGAAGGAAGATTTTGTGGTAAGGGGTGATATTGTGGGGTTGTTAGAAGAAACATTTGTTGTGTAGAATGATTGGTGATGGCCTGGATACGGTTTTGCATGAATTGAAAAACTAAATGGAATAAGAGGAGGAGAAAAACAGGTATAAAAGGTCTAAGAATTGGGACTACTCAGGACATCTGATTAGAGAGTGCCTAAGGAGATTCAGCATAGCCCTGCCAGCAAAGATTATTTATTTACTTCAAGAGTTAAGAATGGCAGTTTGGGGATAGCACGAGGCAAGCATGATCAGGGTGAGGAACAGGAAAGAAGGAAATATGGGGAAATGGGGGTGAATATCAGGTGGATCAGAGAGATACAGTCATGGGGGTCAGGTGTGGTATCAGGAATAATGTGGGAGGCCGGATTGAAGTCCGGGCCAGGAACAATGGTAATTGTGGGACTTAAAGAGTGAGTACAGCTGAAGGAGCCGGGGAGCAGAAAGTATATGCGTCAGGTATGAGGAAGAAAATAGATTTTGGAAGTTATGAGAAATGTAGAGAGTGAGCTGAGCATACTTTGTGATTTTTAGGGCCTCTAACAGTATTAAAGCAGTGGCAGCCACTGCACGCAGACATGAGGGCTAGGCTAAAACAGTAAGGTCAAGTTGTTTGGACAGAAAGGCTACAGGGTGTGGTCCTGGCTCTTGAGTAAGAATTCTGACCGCACTAACTATGCCTAGGAAGGAAAGGAGTTGTTCTTTTGTAAGGGATTGAGGTTTGGGAGATTAATCAGAGACGATCAGCAGGGAGAGCACGTGTGTTTTTATGAGAATTATGCTGAGATAGGTAACAGATGAGGAAGAAATCTGGGCTTGACTGAAGTAATGGGGGCTGTCTGTGAAGCCTTGCGGCAGTACAGCCCAGGTAATTTGCTGAGCTTGATGGGTGTCAGGGTCAGTCTAAGTGAAGGCAAAGAGAGGCTGCGATGAAGGGTGCAAAGGAATAGCAAAGCATGTTTGAGATCTAGAACAGAATAATGGGTTGTAGAGGCAGGTATTGAGGATAGGAGAGTATATGGGTTTGGCACCATGGGGTGGATAGGCAAAACAATTTGGTTGATAAGGCACAGAATCTGAACTAACCTGTAAGCCTTGTCTGGTTTTAGGACAGGTAAAATGGGGGCATGGTAAGGAGAGTTTATAGGTTTTAGAAGCCCGTGCTGTAGCAGGCGAGTGATAACAGGCTTTAATCCTTTTAAAGCGTGCTGTGGGATAGGATATTGGCGTTGAGCGGGGTAAGGGTGATTAGGTTTTAATGAGATGGTAAGGGGTGCGTGATCAGTCGCCAAGGAGGGAGTAGAGGTCTCTTATACTTGTGGGTTAAGGTGGGGGAATACAAGAGGAGGACGCAAAGGAGGCTTTGGACTGGGAAGAAGGGCAGCAATGAGATGCAGCTGTAGTCCAGGAATAGTCAGGGAAGCAGATAATTTGGTTAAAGTGTCTCAGCCTAATAACGGAACTGGGCAGGTGGGGATAACTAAAAAGGAGTGCTTAAAAGAGTATTGTCTAAGTTGGCACCAGAGTTGGGCAGTTTTAAGAGGTTTAGAAGCCTGGCTGTCAATACCCACAACAGTTATGGAGGCAAGGGAAACAGGCCCTTGAAAAGAAGGTAATGTGGAGTGGGTAGCCTCCGTATTGATTAAGAAGGGGATGGGTTTACCTTCCACTGTGAGAGTTACCCAAAGTCCGTGATGGTCTACAGGGCTTCCGAGGTGATCGGGCAGCATCAGTCTTCAGCTGCTAAGCCGAGAAGGAGTCAGTCAGAGAGCCTTGGCCCAGAGTTCCAGGGGCTCTGGGAGTGGCTGCCAGGTGAGTTGAACAGTCCAATTTCCAGTGGGGTCCCGCACAGATGGGACACGGCTTAGGAGGAATCCTGGGCTGCGGGCATTCCTTGGCCTGGTGGTCAGATTTCTGGCACTTGTAGCAAGCTCCTGGGGGAGGAGGTTCTGGAGGAACACCTGGCCGCTGTGGTTCAGGCGTTTGGAAGTTCTTGTGTGCTGGAGATGTGGCTGGGGTTTGTCTCACAGTGGAGGCAAGGAATTGCAACTTTTTTCTATTATTGTACACCTTGTAGGCAAGGTTAATTAAATCCTGTTGTGGGGTTTGAGGGCCGGAATTTAATTTTTGGAGTTTTATTTAATGTCGGGAGCAGATTGGGTAATAAAATGTATATTGAGAATAAGATGGCCTTTTGACCTTTTAGGGTCTAGGGCTGTAAAGCGTCTCAGGGTTGCTGCCGAACGAGCCATGAACTGGGCTGGGTTTTTATATTTGATGAAAAAGCCTAAACGCTATCTGATTTGGGATAAAGAAAAAGGAGCATTAACCTTGACTATGCCTTTAGCTCCAGCCACCTTTTTAAGAATAAATTGCTGGGCAGGTAGGGGAGGGCTAGTCACAGAACGAAACTGTAAGCCAGACCAGGTGTGAGGAGGGGAGGCGATAAAAAGATTACAGGGTGGAGGAGTGGAGGCTGAGGAAGAATTGGGACCTAGCTTGGGCTGGCGAGGAGGGGAGAGGTCAGATGGGTCTGTAGAAAAGGAAGATTAGAAAGACTCAGCGACGCTTGGGGTTGGGACTGAGGGGACAGGCGGGAGGGAAAGAAGGAAGATTTGGGAGGAGTTGCACTGGGCACAGAGACTAGGAAGGGACTGATGTGTAAAAGAATGCCTGGACGTCAGGCACCTCAGACCATTTGCCCCTTTTACGACAAGAATTATTTAGATCTTGTAGGATGGAAAAATTGAAAGTGCCATTTTCCAGCTATTTGGAACTACTGTCGAGTTTGTATTGGGGCCAAGCAGTGTTGCAGAAGAAAATAAGGCGTTTAGGTTTTAGGTCAGGTGTAAGTTGAAGAGGTTTTAAATTCTTGAGCACACAGGCTAAGGGAGAACAAGGAGGAATGGAGGGTGGAAGGTTGCCCATAGTGAAGGAAGCAAACCCAGAGAAAAGAGAGCGTAGAGACACAGAGGGAAGGGGTTTGGGGGTTCTTGCCCCCTAGAAAAGCGGGACTTGCCACTAAGGGTGAAGGAGAAGGGGTTGAGGGGTACTTGCCCCTGCCCCAGGAAAGCGGGACTTGCTGCTAAGGGTGAAGGAGAAGGGGTAGAGACAAGGAGAGAAGGGGTTGGGGTACTTGACCCTGCCCCAGGAAAGCAGAGAAGGGGTAGAGACAAGGAGAGAAGGGGTTGAGGTACTTGCCCCTGCCCCAGGAAAGCGGGACTTGCCGCTAAGGGTGAAGGACCAAGGCAGGCCTCCCTGCGTGGTCTGACACCCTTGAAACGTGGGTGTATAATCAGAGAGGCATCCCTGCAATGATTAAACACCAAGGGAAGGCTGCCTTCCCATTCCATCACCCACGCCAGAGTTTTGGGTCCACGGATAAAATGTGTCTCTTTTGTCTCTACCAAAAAATGAAAGGAATTGAAATTAAGAGAAGGGAGAGATTGAAGTGTAGCGCCAAGATTGAAAGGAGAAAGAGGTTGAGGGATAGTGAGGGAAGTTGGAGAAGAGAGTAAAAGGAGGCCGCTTACCAGATTTGAAATTGGTGAGATGTTTCTTGGGCTGGTCGGTCTGAGGACCTGAGGTCGTAGGTGGATCTTTCTCATGGAGCAAAGAGCAGGAGGACGGGGGATTGATCTCCCAAGGGAGGTCCCCGGATCCGAGTCACGGCACCAAATTTCATGCGTGTCCGTGTGAAGAGACCACCAAACAGGCTTTGTGTGAACAATAAAGCTGTTTATTTCACCTGGGTGCAGGTGGGCTGAGTCCGAAAAGAGAGTCAGCAAAGAGTGGTGGATTATTATTAGTTCTTATAGGTTTTGGGATGGATAGGCGATGAAGTTAAGAGCAATGTTTTGCGGGCAGGGGTGGATCTCACAAAGTACATTCTCAAGGGTGGGGAGAATTACAAAGAACCTTCTTAACGGTGGGGGAGATTACAAAGTACATTGATTAGTTAGAGTGGGGCAGGAACAAATCACAATGGTGGAATGTCATCAGTTAAGGCTATTTTTACTTCTTTTGTGGATCTTCAGTTACTTCAGGCCATCTGGATGTATATGTGCAAGTCACAGGGGATGCGATGGCTTGGCTTGGGCTCAGAGGCCTGACAATCAGTATTCCTGACATTTTGATACTGGCATCAATTTTCAAATTTCATGAGCTCTCTATCTATGAGACGTTCTGGTTATTGGAATTTCCCCCCAACCTGGCCCTTTAAAGAGATGATATCCCTTACGATAAGCTCCCTTTAACTGCCTTATCATTTCTGGTTCAAGTTGATGAATCAGAAGCATAAGAAAAAGACTTATATTTTTCTTTATTTACTCTATAAGTATTTATTGAGCACCCATGATCAGGACATTGTTTTAAGTTTTGGAGACATACGAATGACTAAACTCAGAACTATACTCTTAAGGATCTGATAGTTTATCAGGGATGACAGAGAAAAAAATGAATGATTTCCATTCAATGATATAGGTTCCTTCGTATAAATAATTATGGGGCACAGTAGATACTAAAGGAGAGAACAGGGAAAGGGCAACACAGAGGAAGTGACACTTATGCTGTAGCTTAAAGACTAAGTAGGAATCTTCCAGGCTGACAAAAAGAAAAAAATAGCACTCAGAATAGGCTACAGTATCTACTAAAACAGAGAGTAGTGTAAAAGCATGACTATGAAATCACAGCATTATTTTGGTTATATTCAGCTTGATTCTAGGAAAACTCACAATCGTTACATCTTTAGTAAATCTTTTTCAATTAATCTTTAAAAATGGAAACTGGTAGCATATTTATACATTTTTATACATGGGCCTTATACTTTAAGTGTGAAGTTCATCCTTAAATTCACAATGAACTTCAGTTTCAGCCAAATATTTTACCGTTTGTTTTCCTTTCACCCTGTTAAAACAAAGATAAACTGTAGTAAATAAAAATGAAAGTAATGCATCAATGAGAAGAGAAGTTTCTGTAGTTTTGCCTTTGTAATGACACCCACTTTGATCTGTCAAGAAAGAGACTGGGTGCAGTGGTTCACACCTGTAATCCCAGCACTTTGGGAGGTTGAGGTGGGAGGATTGCTTGTGTCCAGGAGTTTGAGACCAGCCTAGGCAACATAGCGAGACCTTGTCTCTACAAAAATAAAAATTTAGCAAGGCATAGTATGTGCCTGTAGTCCCAGCTATTCAGGAGGCTGAGGTGGGAGGATGGCTTGAGTCCAGAAGGTCAAGGCTGCAGTGAGCTGTGATGGCATCACTGTATTACAGCCTGGGTGACTGAGACTCTGTCTCCAAAAAAAAAAAAAGCGAGAGAGAAAAAAGAAAGGAGACCATTTCAGGGACCTGTATTCTAGTCTAAGCTAGTGTGGCTGTTCTCTTAGGTCATGGTTAAGTGGTGTAGGAGGAAGACATTTCTGCTCCGTCCTTCCCACTCACCTCCTAGCACTCAGCTAAGAAAGAGGAGCTGCCGCCCTGGTATATCTATCAGCCTCCAAGACACTGAGGCTTACTTTACTTCTTTCACCAGGCGTGGCATTGCTTTATGATAAAAATGCCATGTTAATCTTGAAATATTCTCGTCTTTCTTTTTTATATGTTTTGTGGCTGGATTCTAGAGAATTTACCAACAAACTCAGTCAACTTGCTGTCTCCTCCATTTTTTTTAACCTAATAGATCTATGTGATACTCAGATACTCCCAAGATATAGCTTTGAATGGGGCCTGGGGTGATACGGGTATTTTTAGCCAAAGCCACAAAGCCTGTGCCAGAAATATGCTTTTGTGGTCATTGGTCACTGACTCCACAGTTACTAAAGTGATGCTCTATTTTCCATTTTTTGCTATGTTTCCTTTTAGAGAGCTAATTTAGGAAATTTGTGGAAATTAGGGAGAGGGAGGAATGATTGACAGGCTTTAGGCATTTTTATATTTTTAGATATAAAAGCACAAAATACCATCAAAAGTTTGCTCTCAATTTGTAACATTTGGCATAGCCTTAGCAGGCTGGAGAGTGAGCTAATGCACGGGAACTAGCATTTGTGAATTAAAAGTGCTCATCAAGAAATCAGGACAGTGCTGAATCAGCAGATACTGGGCCGTGATTGGAAAACATTCATTTTGAGGCTAGGGAAAATATGTATTTGCTGAGGGTTTAGGAAATAAGAATTCATGTACTATTGTGGGTATGTTACTTTATGCAATCTGTGAAGTGCATAATGAACTACTAAAAATCAGATACACAAATCCATTAACCCAGAAATTCCAATCTGAGGAATTTATTCTTCAAATGCACTGCACAAGTACTTAAATATTTATGTACAATCATCCTCATTGCAGCATTGTTTACCAAATTGGAAGCAACCCAAATGACCATCTTTATGACTATCTTTATGATGGTTATCTAGGTTGCAGTGAGGGTCATTTATTTGATATATTCATTTATAGCAAATAAATTGTGCAGATCTAGTTAACTACTTTTCTTTGAAGTGTTTTCTTTACTTGTCTTCTGTAACATCCCTCTTCTGTTTTTTTTTTTTTTTCTTTCTTCCCTTAAGTTTATGGTCATTCTAGGTTCCTTCCTGTTTTTGGCTACTCTTTCATCCATTTCTAAAGATTTCTACTGGACCTATTATTATCCTCTCACTGTGCAGATTTTCTCATGATAACCTTTTGTGCCCCACTCTCTCTGGTTTCACTTACCATCTTTTTACTGGACTCTCAGATCTATTTCTCAGTACAAAATCATTTTCTGTGTCTTGGATCAATAAATCTAATTACCTTCAAAAATTGTACCTCCCACTCGACATGCAAAAACCAAAACTCTATCCTGTTACTCTCAAATGATCCTATGCTTTTTCAGTATTTCTCTTCTCAGTAAATGTCACCAGTCGAAGACCACCAGGAGACATCTGTAGTCAAACAAAGTTGGGTTATTATTCGCTGCAGCAAGGGAGACTCTACACACAGAGAATGTGGGACATTTCAGTAAGAGGATGCTAGGAAGGGATTGCTAGATGAGCTTGGGTTTGATATTTTGGAGAGCATTCATGGAAGTGAGGATGGCTCCAGATTGGGTGTATTCATTTAGGGACAATTCTGTAATTAGTTATCTTAATATTTGTTACGTAGGAGGCGGAAGGGATGGAGCAGGGCTAGTGCTATAGTCGATAGAGAAGTGGCATCACTCCTAATTGCTTGAAGAAGAAAATGTTTGGTCATTTTTGAAGTTTGCATGGTGTTCTTATTTTGCTTATGCTTGTCAGAATTACAGAGGGTCTTGTTTTTGTCTCACACTAGCGTGATAACAGAAGGAACTTGTCTAATGGTGATGTTTCCTGCAACTGTTTGTGTTTAGCAGGAGAATGGCATGACCAGCGACCAGCCAACAGTATCAGGGCTGCTAATTTATTGCTTACAACCCAGACTTAGTTGCCCAGGCCCAAAAATGGTATCATCCTTGAATCCTTTGTCTTTACCTACTGTATTCGGCAAATTACCAGATCTCTTGATTATCCAAAATAACTCTAAAATCTATCAACTTATTTTTTTTTCTGCACTCCCACCACAATCATTTGTCCCTTCTCCTACTGTATTAAAATCCTAATTGGTCTCAGTGCTCCCATTGTGCTCTTTTCTTGCTGATTTTGTTGATGTCTTTCAGAATGTCATTCCCTTTTTAACATATAATTCTTTTAAAAGAGTACTTTGCAACCTTGGCTGCAAATTAGGATCACTAGTAGAGGCTTCAAAAAAATTATGACATCATTCTCTTTCTCTTTTTCCTAAAGGGAAAGAAAAATACCCAGAGTTCTCATGCAACCGCTACCCCACAGACAACTTCCCCACTATCCCTAGCTCTCACTGGAATGATACATTTATTGCAACTGATGAACTACATTGATCTATGTTTGTATTACTCAAAGTGTGTAATTTGCATTGGGGTGCTCTTTTGGTATTGGACGTTCTATTGGTGCTATGGTCTGAATGTTTGTGTCCCTTCAAAATTCATATGTTGAAACTCAATTCCCTCTGTAGTGGTATTGGGAAGTGGGACATCTGGGAGGTAGTTAGGTCCTGGGGGTGGAGCTCTCATAAATGGAATTAGTGCCCTTATAAAAGAGGCCTGAAGGCATGTGTATCCTTTCCATCATGTGAGGATGCAGAAAGAAAGTGACATCTATGAAGCCCACAGCGCCCTCACTAGACACTGAAGCTGCCAGTGCCTTCATCTTGGACTTCCCAGCCTCTAGAACTATGAGAAACAAATATCTGTTTTTCATAATTCATCCTGTTTATGATAGTGGTGTTACAGCAGCCCAAACAGACTAAGAAATGGGTTTGAACAAATGTATAATAACACATGTCCACCTTTATAGTATCATACAGAGTATTTTCACTGCCCTAAAAATCCTCTGTGCTTCACCTATTTATCCCTTCCTTCCCACCAACTCCTGAGAGGAGTGGATTTTTTTTTTTTGACTGTCACCAGAGTTTTTCCTTTTCCAGAATGTCATAGAAGTTATGTGTCATTTAACAATGGGGATACATTCTGAGAAATGCATCTTTAGGCAATTTTGTTGTTGTGCAAACATCAAGAATGTAGAGACACAAATCTAGTTGTTATAGCCTGTTACACCCTTAAGCTATGTGGCATAGCCTGTTGCTCCTAGGCTACAAACTTGTATCGCATGTTACTGTACTGAATATTATAGGCAGTTGTAACACAGTGGTAAGTATTTGTGTATCTAAACATGTCTAAGTCTACAAAAGGTACAGTAAGAATATGAGATAAAAGATTTAAAAATGGTACTTCTGTAGAGGGCACTTCACAAGGATGGAGCTTGCTGGACTGGACCTTAGCTTACTGTAATTTTTTACTTTATAAAGTTTTTTTAAACTTTTTTTCTCTTTTGTAATAACACTTAGCTTAAAACACAAACACATTGTACAGCCAGCCATTCAAAAATATTTTATCTCTATTTATCTTTATTCTATAAGCATTTTTCTATTATTTTTTTTATTTTAAATGTTTTCTCCTGTGTAGTATTTTCTGAAGGACTTGCTTGAAGCTATTTTATAGTTAACTTTTTAAAAATAAATAAGTAGAATTAGTACACTCTAAAATACAATAAAAAATTTAGTATAGTAAAAACATAAACCAGTGACATAGTTATTAATATTATCATCACCAAGTATGATGTGCTCTATACAATTGTATGAGCTATACTTTTATGACTGGCAACACAGTCATAGCTTTGTTTACACCAGCATCACCACAAACACTTGAGTAATGTGTTGCTCTGTGGCGTTGCAAAGCTTTCAATGGCACTCAGGTGATAGGAATTTTTTAGCTCCATTATAATCTTATGGGACCACCATTGCATATGCTGTCTGTTGCTTACTGAAACTTCAGTATGAAGTGAATGACTATAGTTGGAATGGTACAGTATGTAGCTTTTCAACTTGACTTCTTTCACTTAGTAATATGAATTTAAGGTTCTACCTTGTCATTTAATGGCCCGACACCTCATTTATTTTTAGCATTGAATAATATTCTATTATCTGCAGGAAGCACAGTTCATTTATCTATTCACCTCTGAAGGACATCTTGATTGCTTCCAAGTTGTGGCAATGATAAAGTTCCTATAAAGATTTTTGTCTGGATATTTTTATGCCTATTTTTGTGTGGATATAAGTTTTAAACTCTTTTGGTCTGTAGCAGTTTGTCCACCATGACCTAGACTTTTGCCATATTTATGGTTCCCTTTTCTCTCTCACAATAATTTTCTTCTCCCATTGACTTTTCTTATTTCACACCCCCTCCATTTGCACTCTGTCACCAAGTCATTATGAATCTGTCACCTAAGTATCTCTCCTGACTACTAGAACAATTCCCACTACCATTGTTTCCATAACCCTCTACTCTTGTCAAGAATCGCTTCTTTGGCTCCACACTGGGTGAATACGAACTCATCCTGTAAGACTGCGTGGTGGGCTCTCCACCTCTGGGAGGCCTTTCTCCCCCTGCAGCGCTCGGCCTCTCCTGCTGTGCTCTGCGGCTCTGCACCTCCTTCACTGTCCTTTTCCTATTCATGGGGGCCTCATGTTTTTCCTCCCCAGACTGTGAGCTCTTTGAGCTTTGCTTTACTCATTTTTGTGTCTTCAGTGTAGTGTCTGACTCACGAAAGAAGTGTGGTAAACATCTTTTAAGAAGAATGGAAGAAGACAAAGAGCATCTTTTTTATTTCTTCATGTGTGTTACACTTTTTCAGTTATCACAATGAAAGAATAAAGGGTATGAGAATCGTGACAGAATGAGTGCCAAACAAATTAATTGTCTGAAAAAACTGTGTTAAATTTCATTTCGATGACAACGGCCATGGTCTCTCATTCTAAGTTGATTTCTACCCTTGGCTCTGCGTCTAACGCAAAGGGGAGGCTACGTACTTCTCAGATGTAATATGGCATTATCACCTATTATCAAGCATGTGAAAAGTGGGGAGAAAACATAAGGAGAATAATTTAGATTTTGCTAGACATGAAAAAAATATATTCCAAATGAGACTCAATAGAGTCCTGTCTTCTGAGTTTTAAGAATGCACTTACACATCAGTTATTTATTTATTTATTTATTTAACAAGTACTATTAAACATTTATTATGTGCTCAAAACTGCCTGAAGGATTTAGCGCTGAAGGGGGCTGGGCAAGTTTCTTTCTTTCTGTAATTTACCTGTTTCACAGAACTCAAAATATCAGTCTATTTTTGCCTTGTAATTTGCAGGAGCCATCAAAGACAAATGAATATGCCTGAAGTGTGCTCCAAATATCAAAACAAACTCATAGATTGCCCCTTTTATCTCTCTTTCCTATGGCAATGCCTTCCTTGTGGCATAAAGTTTTTTAAAAGTAGGAGCAAAATTTTAGGGTCTTTGTAGAAAGAAATGGACAGTAAAAAAAAAAATATTTCAGAGATAAATTTTACTTAGAAGCTTATGCTTTTATCATAGCGGCTCTCTCCTCAATACCTCCCATTATGTGAAAAGGATAGTAAAAATTACCTATGGCTGCTCGTTTTTAAAAAAAATAGGGACCTGGCTTTGTGGCTTGTGCCTGTAAACCAGCACTTTGGGAGGCCAACTTGGGAAAATCACTGGAAATAAGGAGTTCAAGATCAGCCAGGACACACAGTGAGACCCCGTCTACAAAAAAAAAAAAATTTTTTTTTTGAGACGTACGTAGTCTCACTCTGTCACCCAGGCTGGAGTGCAGTGGCATGATCCCTACTCACTGCAACCTCCGCCTCCCAAGTTCAAGCAATTCTGCCTCAGCCTTTTTAAAAATTAGGCAGGTGTGGCGGCAGCCACGTGTAGTCCCAGCTACTTGAGAGGCTGAGGTGGGAGGATTGGTTGAGCCCAGGAGGTCAAGGCTGCAGTGAGCTATGCTCCTGCCACTGCACTCTAGTCTGGGGGGCAGAAGGAGACCCTGAATTAAAGAAAAAAATCATGGAGTATAACGATGCCTTAGAATTAATTACGATAAAAACAAAATGCATTTCTGTATGTTTTGGCTATTTTGCCTTAATGAACTTGCTAATTTTTTTATCATTCAGCTTTTGGACTGGTTTAGAAAACAAAGAGACCCAAGATAAGTAGGCCTTGGGACTATACTCATATATTACTTTCCTACTAAGAAACTGCTACAGTCACAGGTAAGGTTACCTAGGAAGCTAACTGAGAGGCAGTGATGGGTGCTTCCAGAAGGAAGTGCTCTCAGGATCAGAATGGATCTTGAGGACAGAAAGCAGGATTGGACTTAGGGAACCACAGTAGATGCATTAGCCAATCCTACAGGGAGCTCTAGGGATAAAATAATTTTTCAAAGTTACCCTGAATTCCATCAGGAGGACTGGGTCTTTCTACTCCTTCCCCTTTACTCACTGACCAATCATGGCTGACGGCTGCCCTGAGGAGGAAGTGTAACCTTGGGCAAGGCAGTTGCCTTAGGCTGAGGGTAGTCATCTGGTACGGAGATCCTGTGACCTGACAGCTGTCAGCAATCTAGAAGCTGGGGGAAGAGTGCTCCCATCTTGAAAGAGGGAGGTATGGATGGGGCAACTCTGTGTTCACTGCAGCAGCTGAAGGAGGAAATGACCGAAGACACCCAGAGTACTGGGACTCATACGACCTTGAAATTTTGTAGATAACATCATAGACATCAGGTTTAAAAATGAGGGACCTGAAGATTTGTGATGCTAGACAATTTAATATACTGGTGGATACTGTGTTTGTGCGTGTGTATCTGCACAACTGTCGTGCCCTGCAGTCTTTCCCCAGCTAGCTGATTTGTTTGTTCATTCATTCATTCATCCTCACACTATTCTGTGATCATCTCTGAGGACAGATTTTGGGAAATTCCTTCTGAGAGAGCCTTAAAAGTTGGCATTTTTAGATCATTTTAAATGCTATTTTAAAGATTTCAGATTATATATAGTTAATCTCTTGCTAAAAAGCGGATGGAAGTGTTTACTACATAAAATGATAGAACCTCAGGTTTGAAGGAGACTTTCAAGCCACTGAGTCTTTAAGGATAAAGTGGAAAGCAGATTTTTTTTGGATTCGTGAAAACAGAGGAAATTCTGGCCTCTGAATATACAAGGGCTGTGCCTCCTTTTCCTGTTTTGTACTCTGGCAGAAAGGGAGACTGAAGCCTGTGAGGAATCCTTCAGCAGTGAACAGGGCAGTAGGGGGACAAACAGCTCTGCCCACCATGCTCCTGGATGAGGACTGATAGAGGCAAAAATAGGATCTTCACATTAGGATTTCTTGAAGCTCTGGAAACACACACACAGGCACACACACACACACATACAAACTCATGCACACATACAGGTTTTGATCACGAGCTGCAAATTAACAGCCCTCTAATCAACATCAATGTAACCTACATTGATTAAGACTCAAGAGTGCATCCCTGTTAACAAATCAGGAGAGCAGCAATTTTACTGAGTACCTTTCTAGGTGTACTTTTCAAGTGCAAGCTGCTTTATTAAGAAACTGGTATAAAAGGTTGCAGTGTGTCAGAGTATTAATCTGTTCTTGCCCCGTATTTTGTTTTTCAGTTTTCGGATTGTTCACTCAATTCCCTCCTGTTCATTATCAGCGATCCACCCATTCTTCCTGAATTGACAACTGGTTTGTGTGGTTTTGGGCATCTGTTTTTAGGCTGCCTTTGTCTCTGTTCTCATTTCATGGTATGTCTCCAGTGGTAAATGATACTATATAGTTTGGTGGATTTTTATTTATTGTTGTTGTAATTTTATTGACTAAAATCCATGCTAAGAGTTCCCATTTCACAGTTTTTCCTAGTTTGTGTCCTCATGCAGAGAAATTGTTTTTCAAGTCACGGTTGAATCCAGATGGACATTCAGCCACATACACGCTCTGGCTGGAACCGTCTCTCCCCAGGAACAATCAGACCCTGACACAGAGCCTGCACCCTCCTCCCAGCTCTGCCACTGCCCTCTTGATAAGTCCCCTTTGCAGAGACCTTTGGGTCCTTTCCTATCAGCAGACAATCCTAATCCATTAGTCTCTAATAATATTGCAACTGAAAAGCAAGAGGGCAAGATGCCTGATCCTGTTTCTAGGAGAAGACTCCTCAGCTCTCTCATGACAATTCTGCATGCCACGGGGTGTAGTGAGAAGCTGCTTTAGTCTCACCGTTGAATGTAGTGTTTTGCACTTTTCACAGGGTGATAGAGTGCTACCCTTTAAACATTTATATGAAGAAGGGGAGTTTTTCAAATGAGTGCTATAAGGTGAATTGCTTTCATCCACCCACAGGAAGAAGCAGTTATACCTCTTGGAGGAAAAAAAAAGGTTCTCATCAGTTACCTTGAAACAATTTTTTGCTATTTAAACTAGTTATTTTTAATAAACTTTAGTTTTTTATCACCTCACCTATATTACCATGCCTAATTATGAAAAGCCTAGCCTCAAAAACCTTCAAGTATTAACGTGGCGACAGATATCACCACGCTTTAAACATTGTTACATTTTTCATAAAGGCATTATTTGAATATATAATTATGTGTTGGTTTGTATTGGTGTACGCCAAATTACTATAAACCTGGTGGCATAAAACCACACCCAATTGTTAGTTCATGATTCTGTAGGTCAAGCTCTGGGTGAGCTCTCCTGGTTTTCTGCTTATAGTTTCACAGCTCCCAAATCAAAGCACATCTGGACTGGTCTCGCGTCTGGAGGCTCTGAGGAACAATCTCCTTTCAAGCTCATTCACATTGTTGGCAGAATTCATTTGTAAGGCTGAGGTCCCGTGGTCTTGCTAGCTGCTGATGGGGGCTGCTGTCAGCTCCTGGAGGCAGTTTTCAGGTTGTATTCATGTACCTCCACCTCAGATCCTTGCCTCCGTATTCAAACAAGCAAGCGTGTAAGTCCTTGTCACACTTGGAATCTCTCTGACTACCTCTTCTTCCTCAATGCTAGAACACTCTCTGCTTTTAAAGGGTTCATTTGACCAGGTGAGGCCCACCTGACTAACTTGCCTTTGTCATGTAATGAAACAATCATGGGAGTGATACCTACTCATAGGTTGCACCCACACTTCAAGGGGAATTGATAATACAAGGGCAAATGTCACTGGAAATCATTTTAGAATTCTGCCTACCACAATGCATAAATGTTTAAAATGGCATTTACTTATACTTCTCCAAATTCTTGGTCTTGGAATTCCAATTGTTTTAATTCCATTCTTTTTTCCTTAAATAAATACTTACCATTAACTCCTCTTCACTGATAAACTTTGTGGAGTCAAGCAGAAAGCTCAAAATACCCTCCATCTGCTTGACTTCTGTATCTCCTCCAGTGTTGTAAAGCCAATATAGACTTAGAAGAAACCTGAGTATCAGGACTGATTGATTTATTTTTTAATTCCAGAAATGTAACTAATAGGAGGGCCATGGTGACATGGTTATAATTTTTTTTTTTTTAGATGGAGTCTTGCTCTGTCTCCCAGGCTGGAGTGCAGTGGCGGGATCTCGGCTCACTGCAACCTCCACCTCCTGGGTTCAAGCAATTCTTCTGCCTCAGCCTCCTGAGTAGCTGGGATTACAGGTGCGCCCCACCACGCCAGGCTAATTATTGTACTTTTAGTAGAGATGGTGTTTCACCATGTTGGTCAGGCTGGTCTCAAACTCCTGACCTCGTGATCTGCCCGACTCGGCCTCCCAAAGTGCTGGGATTACAGGTGTGAGCCACCGTGCCCGGCCACATGGTACTTATCTTATTTGTTTTGTTTTCTTTTTGAGACAGGGCCTACCTCTGTCACCCAGGCTGGCGTGCAGTGGTGCAATCACAGCTCACTGTAACCTGGGTTTCCCCGGCTCAGGTGATCCTCCCACCTCAGCCCACTGCATATCTGGGACTACAGGTGGATGCCACCACCTGGGCTAGTTTTTGTATTTTTAGTAGGATGGGGTTTCTCCATGTTGCCCAGGTTGATCTCAAACTTCTGAACTCAAGAAATCCACCCACCTCAGCCTCCCAAAGTGCTGGGATTAAAGGGTGAGTCACTGCTCCTGGCCCATAGTGCTAATCTTAAACTGAAGGTCTGTATTTTTTTTTTTTTATTTCCTCTGCTTCTTGTGAATATGGTGAGAAAGTCATCAAATTTCTTATACTTTGTTTTACCCCATGGGATAACTATTTGACTTAACAATATTTACCTAATGGTCTACTTTTTCCTCATGGACCTGCAATTCATGCTCTGTCATACACTAAATTTCTATATATTTATGAATCTGTTTGCAGGATCTTCATTCTCTTTCATTCATTTATTTATTTACATGGCATCAATACTACCCGTCCTGAATTATTGGAGGTTTATAAGAAATACTGATATCTGAAAAGGCAACTTCCTCCCACTGGACTTGTTTTTATTCTTCTGGAGTGTTTAAGCTATGTTTGGCAATTTGCACTTTCATATAAGTTTTAGAATCAACTTACAAGTTCCACAAAAATCTTTTGCAATTGCATTGACTATATTAATCAAGGAGAATTGAAACCTTTCTAATATTGAGTCTTCCTAGTTATGAACATAATGTATTATAAACCAAAAGTCATCTGAGACAGGTCTCAATCAATTTACAGAGTTTATTTTTCCAAGGTTAAGGATGTACCTATAACATAGTCTCAGGAGATCCTGACGACATGTGCCCAAGGTGGTCAGGGAACAGCTTGCTTTTATACATTTTAGGGAGACATGAGACATCAATTCAGTCTGGTAAGGTGGGACAACTTGAGATGGGGGCTTCCAGGTCATAAGCAGGTAAGAGATGAAAGACTGCATTCTTTTGAGTCCTTGATCAGCCTTTTTTGAATACACAATTTACTTCTGTCTGTGGTTCGTCCACAAGGAATTTCCATGTGGGCAAATTGTGAGGGAGGTATGTAGCTTTCCATCTTTGTAGCCGTCTTATTTAGGAATAAAACAGGAGGCAGTTCCCAGCTTGACTTTTCCCTTGGCTTAGTGATTTAGGGGGAGGGTCAAGGAGGGTCCCATAATTTATTTTCCTTTCACAGTATTTCCACATGTAATATGATTTTCTTTCATGTCATTCAATTCTTTAAATATAATTTTATTCATAATGGTGTTACATATTATTTAAAATTATACGATCTTATTTTTTGTTATATAATTAGTATGCTTATTAAAAGTATTTTTTTCTAATTATTCATGGCTGTGTAGAAAAGGTCAAATGCAATACACTGATTTTGTATTCTGCAAGTTTTCTAATTATCTTAGTAATTTTTATATTCCAGTGGTAGATTCCTTTGAATTTTTATGTATACAATAATAAAATCATTATAATTACAATTGTATTTCTTTCTTTCCTATTCTTATAGTCTATCTAGCTATCTATCTGTCATCTATCTGTCATTGTATTGTTTAGGAACTCCAATGCCAGGTCCAATAGATGTGGTAATAACAGTTATGTTAGTAGGCTGGGGCTGCCATAACAAAACACCACAGACTGGGTAGCCTAAACAACAGAAATTGATTTTCTCACAATTCTAGAAACCAGAAGTTGGAGATCAAGGTGTACAGGGTTGGTGCCTGTGAAACTGTGAAATATATATTTGGTCTTCCTTCCCATTTCTCAACATACAGCTCCAAAGACCCTTGGAATCTCCAGAGTGATAATGCTAATCAGATGACAGGTGGCTGAGGACCCCTGGAGAGTAAGGATAGGGAAGGTCGCCAGAAAGAACAAGGCAGGATTAGAGAGTTGGAACTTTTAGCTTCACCCTCCAACCTCTGGGAAGAAGAGATAGGCTGAAGGTTAAGCTGATCACCAGTGGTCAATGATGTCATCAATCATGCCTATATAATGAAGCCTTCATAAAATCTCAAAAGGACAGGCTGCTGGGAGCTTCCTGACTGCTGAACACATGGGAGATCTCGAAGGGTTGTGCAGCCAGAGAAGGCACAGAAGCTCCACATCCCTTCTTTCAAGCCTTGCCCTGCACAAATCTTCCATCTGGCTATTTATCTACGTCCTTTGTAATATCTTTTATAATAATTGGATAAACACTGGGAACTGCTTTAGCAAATGAATCAAACCTGCAGAAAGGGTTGTGGGGACCCTAAATAGAAAGTTGGTAAAAATTTCCAGAGGCCTGAACTCGTGACTGGCTTGGAGACTGTCTTGTGGTCTGAGCCCTTAACCTGTGGGATTCGATGCTATCTCCAGGTAGGTAGAATATAGGACAATCAGCTGGTGTACACTGCAGAAATGATTGCTGGTGGGAGAAATATTCACACGTTTTGATGACCAGAGATGAAGTGTATTGAGTAGTTGTGTGAGAGTAAAGAGTAGAGAATAGGAAAAAAGTATGCTTTTTGTTGTTGTTGTTGTTGTTGTTGTTGTTTTTCATATATCCCTAGTAGTATCTTCTAGGGCTTTTCCCCTTGACTTATAGAGGGCTGTCTTCTGCTGTCTTCACACAGTTCTCCCTGTGACTGTGTCTGTCTCCTAATCTCCTCTTCTTATAAAGACACTGATCATGTAAGATTAGGGCCCATCCTAATATCCTTATGCATTAGTTTGTTTTCACACTGCTTTAAAGAACTGCTCAAGACCGGGTAATTTATGAAGGAAAGAGGTTTAATTGACTCACAGTTCCGCATGGCTGGGGAGGCCTCAAGAAACTTGCAATCGCGGTGGAAGGTGAAGGGGAAGCAAGGCAACTTCTTCACAAGGCAACAGGAAGGAGAGTGAATGCAGGAGGAACTAACAAACACCTGTAAAGCCATCAGCTCTCCTGAGAACTCACTCACTGTCACGAGAACAGCATAGGGAAAACTGCCCCCCATGATACAATTACCTCCATTAGGTCTCTCCCTTGACATGTGGGGATTATGGGGATTATAATTCAATATGAGATTCGGGTAGGGACACAAAGCCTAACCATATCACCTCATTTTAACTTAATTACCACTTTAAAGACCCTATCTTTACATACTTTGCAAGGTATGGGATTTAGAACTTCAACATGAATTTTATGAGAACACAACTCAGCCCATAACAGCAAATATTCTTGTCTTCTTTCTGATTTTAAAACAACTATTTTAACATTTCCCAATTATATAGAAGATGTGGATTTTAGTTAGATAGTGTTGGGGTGCGGATGTTGGCATGCTGAGAGTTTTGAAAATTGGAAGACCTCAGAAATAAGCCTCAGAACCAGCTGGGTGCAGTGGCTCATGCCTGTAATCCCAATACTTTGGGAGGCTGAGGCAGGCGGATCACCTGAGGTCAGGAGCTTGAGACCAGCCTGGCCAACATGGTAAAACCCTGTCTCTACTAAAAATACAAAAATTAGCCTGGCATGGTGGTGCATGCCTCTAATCCAGGCTACTTAAGAGGCTGAGGCAGGAGAATCATTTGAACCTGGGAGACGGAGGTTGCAGTGAGCAGAGATTGTGCCACTGCACTCCAGCCTGGGTGACAGAGAGAGACCCTGTCTCAAAAAAAAAAAAAAAAGAAAGAAAAGAAAAAACAGAAATAAGCCTCAGAACCAAGGTATCTCTCTAATCTTCCTCTGCTTACCTGTTTCTGATCTTCCTCACAGCACCGAGAGGGACTCTCTCTAGAATTTTCTTCTCTAAGAACGCTTCTTTCCAAAAGAAATACAATTATTTTAAGGTACCCTCCCTAGCAATCTCATCAAATAACCAGGAGTGATCAATCACTGGAGAACAGAAGAGACTGTGAGTCATCAGACTGATTTTTCATCTGTTCTTCTGAAGGCACTCTGAGAGATTACCTGGCAGACTTTATCTGCATAATAAGACAATCTTTGTTCCCATGCAGCTCTGCCTGTCCCTTTCTCATAACTTGTCTCATCTAGCTTCCAAAGAGAATCATTTACAAAATAATATCTGCCTCCCGGGGATTCATATATCTCCTGTGAAGAGAGTATTTAAGTCTTGACCATCTGGCCCCTCTTTGAGTCTCATTCTTTGTGTATGGCTTCTGTGTTTATGCACATTAAATAAACTTTGTGTATCTTTTTCACTTATTAACCTGACCTTTGTCAGTTCCTTTTCAGTGAACCTTTAGAAGGTGGAGGAGAAGCTTTCCCTTGGCCCCTGGATTAGATGTTATCAGTTTACAAAGAAGTGACTTTATTAACCTTGTGTCTCTATAAAGAAGTTATTCTTTATCTCTAATAATTCATTGTGCCTTAAATTCTATTTTGTTTTAAATTAATATAGCTATGCTGACTTAATTAGAATTGCCAGATATTTATATTTTCCATTATTTTATTTCCAATATTTCTGTCTTTAAGTTTTAGATGTGTCTACTGCAGCAGTTCTCAAACCTAAGGGTACCTTGGATTCACCCGGAGAGTTTTTTAAAGCACATAATTTTGGGTTCCTCTCCCAGAGCTTCTGGTTGAGTAGGTCTGGAGTAGGGCCCAAGAATTTGAATTTCTAACACATTCCATGTGATACTGAGGCTGCTGGTCTAGAGGCTACACTTTTATAACAACTGGCCTATTGTCACTTTCATAGATTTTTTTTAAAAAAAATCTAGTCATCCAATTTTTGTCTTCTAAAAATACTTTTTAAACACTTAAATATATTAAACACATAGAAACATGTGTAACTCATATACGTATAGTTTAATAAATTATCCCAAGTTGGAAACACCTACATATGCACTACATAGATCAAAACGTAGATGTAGAGAATTTCCAGCACACCATTAGCCTTGTCAGGGCCCCTTCTAATTTCTATCTCTATCCCCTTTCCCAAAGGTAACCACTGTCCTTAATTCTGACACTATTAGTTTTTCAACTCTGTTGTAATGTAATCCTATGGTATGTAATCTTTGATGTCTGCCTTCTTTTGTTCAAGATTTATGTTTTGAGTATCATTCATTTTGTTGCAAATAGCAAGTATTTCTTTAATTTTCCTTTCTGTACTATATTTTATTATATAAATATATGACCATTACTCTTACAAATAACAGTGCCATGAATATACTTATGCACAATTTTTCTTGTACATGTGAAGGCATTTCTCTCGGTCATGGGGTATGTATACATTGAAATTTAGTAGATAATGTAAAAATTTCCAAAGAGTTTATACCAGTTTATATAACCTTTACTGTAATCACCCAATGGTTTCTTCCTGCCCATTGCACAAAGAAAATAAAATCACTGAGACTGCAGCATTGTAGTAGAGAAATCTAATTGACATGAGGCTGGCTATGCAGGAGAATTAGAATTATCATTGAAATCAGTCTCCTGGAAGACACAGAGGTTAAGGTTTTTATGGACAATCTGGTGGGCAGGAGGCTAGGGAATGGGTGCTGCTGGTTGGTTGGGGATGAAATCATAGGGCTGTGGAAAACAGTCCTCCTGTGCTGAATCACAAGTCAAGGGTCTGGGCGGGGTCAATTGTTGGCCAAAAAGTCTGAAAAAAAATCTCGAAACACCAATCTTAAGCTCTACAATAGTGATATTATCTATAGGAGCAAATGGGGAAGTCACAGATCTTTTTATTTATTTATTTTGAGATAAAATCTTGTTCTGTTGCCCATGCTGGAGTGCAGTGGTGCCATCTCGGCTCACAGCAACCTCTGTCTCCCAGGTTCAAGTGATTCTCCTGCCTCAGCCTCCCAAGTAGCTGGGATTACAGGGGTATGCCACTGCGCCTAGCTAATTTTTTTGTATTTTTAGTAGAGACGGGGTTTCACCATGTTGGCCAGGCCGGTCTTGAACTCCTGACCTCAAGTGATCTGCCTGCCTCGGCCTCCCGAAGTGCTGGGATTATAGGTGTAAGCCACCACGCCTGGCTGGAAGTCACAAATCTTGTGACTTCTGGCCATTTGACCTCTGAGCAGTAAGGAATTATAAAAACTATGTCTACATCTTATCAGAATTCATGCCCCATCGCCTAATCCCAACCTTGTGCCCTTTCATTAATTTTATAAAGGCAATTTAGTTTGGGGAAAGGCTATTATCATCCTAGCTTTAATGTTAAATTATAAACTAAATTCCTCCCCAAATTAGCTTGGCCTATGCCCAGGAGTGACCAAGGATACCTTGGAGGTCAGAAGCAAGATAGAGTCAACTATGTCGGATATTTCTTACTGCCATACTTTTGCAAAGGTGTTTTTTTGTTGTTGTTGTTTGTTTTTGTTTTTTTTTTTTTGAGACGGAGTTTTGCTCTTGTTGCCCAGGCTGGAGTGCAATGGCACAGTCTTGGCTCACTGTAACCTCTGCCTCCTGGGTTCAAGCGATTCTCCTACCTCAGCTTCACAAGTAGCTGGGATTACAGGCACCCACCACCATGCCCGGCTAATTTTTGTATTTTTAGTAGAAGTGGGGTTTCACCATGTTGGCCAGGCTGGTCTCGAACTCCTGACCTCAGGTGATCTGCGTGTCTCAGCCTCCCAAAGTGCTGGGATTACAGGCGTGAACCACCGTGCCTGACCACAAAGGTGGTTTTATGATCATACATAAAATTACCACTCGTCTATATTCTTGCCAACATTTGTGTATTTTTTAAAAATTAACTATTCTGGTCAATATGTAGTGGCATCTCATTGAAATTTTATTTCTTTTCATTACTTACGAGTTTGCATTCTTTTAAATATATTGGCTATCTAAAGAACCTCTTTGGGTCAGTGGCTGTTCAGGTCTCTTGTCAAACTGAAAAACAGTACCTTGCCAATCTTTTTAAACATTTTGATAGTTCTTAATATATTCTGGATATGATCCCCTTGTTGGTTTCAAGATGTGGGGAGAAAACAATTTCTTTTCTTTTCTTTTTTAGGTTCTTAGTTGAGACACTCTTGTGAAAACAAATGTCATATTAATGCAAGAAAAACAGAAGTTAATTAACGCATGGTGTGCCCATCAGGTAGGAAAGGCCTCAGTTCAAAAGTATTTCTCTTTTAAGGCAATGGCTTCGAGACCTTGCTTAAATAGTATTTTAACAAACAGCCATAAATTCTATGTAGTGACAAGACAAAGAAGAGAGCAGTTCAAGTCTTTGAAAAGGTAGGAATATGTGGGAAGGTAGTAAAATCTGTCCCCAGATTCTTCTGGTGCCTTTGATGTCTTCTCTGGGCTGATAAACAAGTGCTGTTTCCAGTATGAAAGGATTTATGTTTTGCCATCAGGAAAACAGAGGCTGAGGCGGAGTGTTCCCCTGTGTTTTTAATGTCTTTAAATTAACAATCCTCAATATTTTGGGGAAATATTTTGGTTTCCTTCAATGTGTTACAAATATCTTTCCTACTCAGTGACTTGCATTTTTATTTGCTTAATGGTGCCATTTATGAACGGAAAATACTAATTTTACTATAGCTTAGTTTGTCGATTTTTAAATTTATGGTTAATGATTTTAAGCCAGTGTTTAGTTATCTTCTAAAAGCCTGTTTATTTTACTTTCCTCAAAGCATAGTCACCCTGGAAAATGGTGACAGATTCTTTTAATGAAGGCTAGGAAACAGATTGACAGTGTTAGTTTTCAGCTGGCAAAGAGGGTCTTTCCCCAAAGGAAACTGTTTGGATGACTCTGGGTCTGTCACTGATGAATGTGCTGGATTTTGCTTGTGGGGCTGCAGCTCCCTATTGTGATAATTCAAATCAGACTTGGATTTGCCAGATCTAGAGCTTTTCTTCTATGGAAGTCAAGCAATGCTTCAATAAGCAGCCATTTATTTCTGTTATAGAGACACTACAATCTATTAGCTAATGTCAAAGATTCCTCTAGACCAATCAATTCTGAGTACTGCTTTGGCTCTGTTGTTCATTATAGTAAAAATACCCACTTTGTCTCTGATAATTGGGTGTCTGCACTTGGCTGCAGTCACTATGGGATCCTGTCATCAGTAAATTTAGAGAGCCCACCTTGGGGCAGCAGTTAGCACTGTCATTTCTGGCCTACTGAGAATGGCCAGCACAGCTATTTAACAATGCTGGCGCTCTCCTCACAAATGTATTTCTCACAGTCTTGGTGAAGGTTGTATCTTCTTAATCTTCTCAGGAGAATGAGGGAACTAATTATACATTATAAATCTACCCCGGCGTTCCAATCTTCTTAAGTCTTTAAAACCTTCCTCATTCGTTCTCAGAATTTTTGGTCTCAAGATGCATTGATAGTCTTAAAAATTATTGAAGAACTCAAGGACTATGGGTTATTAAAGAGAAATTAAAATTGTCAAAATTTAAAAATGTTTATCTCTAATTTATCTTGAATAACAATAAACTCATCACATATTGATATAAATATGTTTTTAATAAAAATAATGGAATTTTCAAAATCAATGGTGAGAAAAGTGATGTTGTTTCATGTTTTTAAAGATCTCTTTAACATGTGGCATAATAGAAGTTAATTTGATTCTCCTATCATCTTGTGCAATCTTTTAAGGTAAGTTATTTTTGACTGGAGTATATGAAGAAATTGATCCACATAGATATTCAGTTGGAAAAAGTGAGAGCCTTCTCAGATAATTGTGAATACTCTACAATTGGTACTGCACAAGATGGATCCATGGCAATTTCTTTTTCTTTCTTTTCTTTTTTCTTTCTCTTTCCTTTTTTTTTTTTTTTTGAGACGGTCTCATTCTGTTGCCCAGGCTGGAGTGCAGTGGCACAATCTTGGCTCACTGCAACCTCTGCCTTCTAGGCTCAAGCAATCCTGCCACCTCAGCCTCCCTAGTATTTGGGACTACAGGTGCACACCACCACACCCAGATAATTTTTGTATTTTTTATAGAGTTGGGTTTTCCCCATGTTACCCAGTCTGGTCTTGAACTCCTGGGCTCAAGCAATCCTCCCACCTTGGCCTCCCAAAATGCTGGGATTACGTGAGCCACCACTCCTGGCTCAGTGGTTGTTTCTTAAAGGTTAATTTTATTGTGACAATAAAACCATGTAAATATACTTTTGTATTCCGTAACATTAACATTTTTCTGTCTTACATTTTGAAGGTAGTTCTAACTCACGCATGATTTTGTAGTATCATGCACAAATTCTCTGTGTTATGCAAATTTTCCAAATATTGACACATTTCAGTGTGTAATATCAAAAATTAACATTTACGTACATCACCAGTAGTTCAAGTTCTTTATGCATATGTGTATGAAATATACACAAAATATTAAAAATATGTGTACTAAATAGTAAAATTGTACGGTTCTTTGCTGATTTATCAAAGACATTTCAAAGCGAAACTGTCAATTTTTATTACGAGTTTGTGGTTATAAAGAATATAATGATGATTAATACAGTTGAGTGCCACTGCTGTGATTCATGGTAAGATGTCAGCAGTTCTACTCACAGTTTATTTTTCATCATCAATGTAAACGTCCAGACAGTGAAAAAATAAATAGTACTATTTGAAATTACTTTTTGATTCTGCAAACCTCATGCAAGATTCTCAGAGACTCCCAGGCATCTGTGGACAACACTTTGAGAATTGTTGCTCTACAATATATCAAGAGAGTTCTAGCATTTTAACTTTATTTAGTATACACTGTCAAAGATAAATCTACATTATAAATAAATCAGCAGCTGCATACTGGTGAAAGTGATAAAATATTTTAATTGGTAATATACTACTGCAATAGGGAAAAGAATCCAGTGTGAATGGAAGATAACTTCAATTTGTACGGCAGTGACTGTGTGTTTTAAAGAGAATGAGCAAATGGGGAGAGTGAGCAGAGAGGCTCAGTAGATTCAGGGAAGTGAAAAATTACAAAAAGCAGGAATGGGCACTTGGTCCATGTGAAACCTATCTGGGTTTGACAACCGGCCTGATTGAAGTTATAAGCTCCTACGTTCCACAGAGAGTGGGAGACAGGAGCCCTATCTTCAGGTGCTGGTTGGAAGAAACAGTAAATTATTTTGGCCTCTTTGTATTTTCTCATGTGGGTACTTTGGGCGGGACTAGAGTCATTCTAGGGAGATGGCCTTGAGGGATTAGAAAATATGTTAGTGATTTGCTCAAGTCTTTATAAGCCAAGGTTGAGGCCTAGTTGGGAAGAGGGCTCAGAGGAGCTTGGCTAGAGTTTGGTCAAGGAGAGAATTTTTGTCAAGGCTTCCACTGGCTCCAAGTTTCTGTTAACTGACCTAGTAAAATGTTAGAGCTGCTTCCAGACACTTACTGACCTAGTTGTTCTGGAATCTCTCCCTAGTGAGCCCATATTAATAATTTGAGCTTGGTCCAACATGGCATTTCTTCCCCTAGACCAACATTGTTACCAAATTGAACTTGGAGCTGCCTGCCTGGCATAGCAAAGCCAAACACTGACATCAGGATTGCAGTGAGAAAAAGTGAGGCAAAAATTTTCCCTCATTCTGTGGGGAAAGCATTTCTCTCATGTCTTTTTACTCTGCTGATAGTTTCTTTTGCTGTGAAGAAGCTCTTTAGTTTAATTAGATCCCCTTTGTCAATTTTTGCTTCTGTTGCAATTGCTTTTGGTGGCTTTGTCATGAAATCTTTGCCCGTTCCTGTGTCTAAAATGGTATTGCCTAGGTTGTCTTCCAGGGTTTTTATAGTTTGGGGTTTTACACTTAAGTCTTTAATCCATCTTGAGTTGATTTTTGTATATGGTGTAAGGAAGTGGTTCAATTTCAATTGTTTGCATATGGCTGGCCAGTTATCCCAGCACGTTCTCACTTATAAGTGGGAGCTAAATGATGAGAACACATGGATACCGAGAGGGGAACAGAAGATACTGGGGCCCACTGGAGGGTGGAGGGTGAGAGGAGGGAGAGGATTAGGAATAATAATTAATGGGTACTAGGTTTAATACCTAGGTGATAAAATAATCTGTACAGCAAACCCCCATGACACAAGTTTACCTATATACCAAACTTGCACATGTACCTCTGAACTTAAAAGGTTAAAAGAAAAAAGTGAGGCATTTCTTGCAGGGCACTAAGCAAGGAGAATTGGGCAGCTAATGCTTCAGACCCAAACTCCCTAATGGCTTACAGGGAGGAGTTTTTAAAAGGCAGGAAGACAGAGGTTACAGGAAAAGTCATAAATTATGCATGGAGGCTATACATTGCTTTGACCTAAAAAATTGGGACATCTTGAAGTGGAAGCCACAGGTTATAGATTTTCTGACTTGCAACTGGTTAAGGAGGTGAAGTTTTGTCTAAAAATTTGGGGTCAACAAAAGGAATGTTGAGATCCTACCTGTGGGGGTGACTTCCTTCCGGCTTCTCAGGAGGAAATTTAGAACACAGAATAGTGGTTGGAGTTCATTCCTCAGCTCCCCCTTATCTAAAGTCTATGTGCCAATGGACAGCATTTTTAATTTGGTGGTAATCTGCATTTCTGAAAACGACTCAGAATTATATGTTAAGATGTTATTTTTAGTTTCTTTCCTTCTTTTTTTCTTCTTTAGAGACAGGGTCATGCTCTGTCACCTAGGCTGGAGTACAGTGGCCTGATGATAGCTTGCTGTAACTTCAAATTCCTGGGCTCAAGCCATCCTCCTGACTCAGCTTCCTGAATAGCTAGGTCTACAGGCGCACACCACCATGCTTGGCTAATGTTTCTACTTTATATTTTGGAGAGATTGGATCTCATTAGTTGCCCAGAATGGTCTAAAGCCCCTGGCCCTAAGCAATCCTCCTGGCTTGGCTTTGTTTTTAGTTTCTATAAGAAATCAAACATCTCATGATTTTAATATTCTTGGTTATTGTTTTAAGCTATTATTAACTTCTTGCTTATCAGGTTGCTAATTTACTTTTCAAGGCTAGCTAGGTGTCTGGACTTTGCCATGAAGGTACCCAAGATTTTCCTTTATTTTCATGCTTGAATGAATAGCTGTCCAGCAGGCCCCCAATAAGGGGTTCCTGTTCCATCTCAGCATCCTTATGGCCCACTCTCCTCAGTGCTATCCAGATTTCTGTTGATATAAAATGTCAAAATCCTGAATTCCTCTGATGTGTTTTAGACCTCCTTACTGGTCATACTTCTACTTTCCCCGATTAAAAAATACCCAAATTCTGTTTTATCCTTCTTTCACACATTACTCAACACAACACTTCTGACACCACATGTGTAGGAGTTTGTCCTCACACACCAAGCAATTCTCTGGCAAGCACCGCCTGGGTGTTCTGTAGTTCAGTTCAATTCTGATACTATCTACCTGGAGTTAGCATTGGATCCACATACTAAGAGCTCAGTCCCATAAGACTGTCCCTTACTTCAGATGCCAGCTTCAAGCTCTAGACTGTGACTTGTGCTTCTTATCAAGCAGCTATAAATTGGAGGTTCCCACTACCTTCTTCCTGAGTTGCATTAGTTGCTGGAGCAGCTCACAGAACTCTGGAAACCACTTTACTTATGTTTACTGGTTTACTGTAAATTATATTACAAAGGATATAGATGAACAATCAGCTGGAAGAGATGCATAGGGCAAGGTATTGGGTGGAGATGGAGCTCCCCTGTCCTCCTAGGATGCACCACCCTCCGGGAACTCCATGTGTTGAGCAATCTGGAAGCTGCCGTGACACTGTCCTTTTTGTTTTTTATGGAAGATTGATTGATTACGTGACTGATCATAGGCATGATTGATTACTTCATTGGCCATTGGTCCTCAATACAATCTTAATCCCTCCCTGGAGGACTGCCAGTGGGACAGAAAGTTTCCACTATCTAATCACATTGTTGATTCCCCTGACAACCAGCCTCCATCCAGAGACTATCCAGGAGCCCTCATCCAGTCTTCTTGTTAGCATGCAAAAAGACACTTAGCACTTTGCCAATTCCAAGAATTTAGGAGCTGTGTGCCAGGACCCAGGGGCAGAAACCAAATATATATTTTTTATTACATCACAGTATCACATTTACCCTCTGGCGTCATCTAAGACTTGTCTGCTTGTAGGTCTAGAAACAATGAAAAATGGAGGAGGTAGGTTAAGAGAAGGATTATAATCCTTTGTAAGGCAACTTCCTTACAGGTGAGGCCGTAAGAGTTTAGGCAAGGGAAAATCAATTTTCTCAGATAGAAATGGAAGTGCTTTTTTTTCCCACCATTGGCAAAGAAGGCAGCAGAATTTAGGGTTTCAGGTGTTTCGGCTTTATGAGAATCTTCAATGAACCTGCCCTGATATTTGAGGTCCTGTCCTTCCTAATCAGTGCTCTAACTTTAGCATAAGAGACCCTGTGAGTTTGGAAATTCAATTTGCACCATAAGTTAATCACCTGAAAGTTTACTTTTTGATATTGGTTTAAAGAAATATTAGCCCTTCAACTACAGGAAATATGGTTTGTTTTAGGGTCATCATAGAAGATTCACTTATCCAGAACTTGAGCTTGATTTTTTTTTTTTAATTTTCATAGGTTATTGGGGAGCAGGTGGTGTTTGGTTACATGAGTAAGTTCTTTAGTGGTGATTTATGAGATTTTGGTGCACCCATCACCTGAGTAGTATACATGGCACCCTATTTGTAGTCTTTTACCCCTCACTCACTTCCCACCCTTTCCCTCTGAGTCCCCCAAATCCATTGTGTCATTCTTATGGCTTTGCATCCTCATAGCTTACCTCCCACTTATGAATGAGAACATATGATGTTTGGTTTTTCATTCCTGAGTTACTTCAGTTAGAAGAATAGTCTTTAATATCATCCAGGGTAGCGTGAATGCCATTAATTCATTCCTTTTTATGGCTGAGTAGTATATATATATATATATATATATATATATATATATATATATATATATATATATACCACAATTTCTTTATCCACCCATTGATTGATGGACATTTGGGTTGGTTCCACATTTCTGCAATTGCAAATTGTGCTGCTATAAACATGTGTATGCAAGTATCTCTTTTTTTTTTTGTATAATTACTTCCTTTCCTCTGGGTAGAAACTCAGTAGTGGGATTGCTGGATCACATGGTAGTTCTACTTTTAGTTCTTTAAGGAATCTCCACACTGTTTTCCACAGTGGTTGTACTAGTTTACATTCCCACCAGCAGTGTCAAAGTGTTCCTTGTTCACTGCATCCACACCAACATCTGCTATTTTTTGATTTTTTGATTATGGCCATTCTTGCAGAAGTAAGATGGTATCACATTGTGGTTTTGATTTCCATTTCCCTGATCATTAGTGATGTTGAGCATTTTTTTCATATATTTGTTAACCATTTGTATATCTTCTTTTGAGAATTATTTATTCGTGTACTTAGCCACTTTTTGATGAGTTTTTTTTTCTGATTTGTTTGAGTTTGCTGCAGATTCTGAATATTAGTCCTTTGTCAGATGAATAGATTGTGAAAATTTTCTCCCACTCTGTGGGTTGTCTGTTTACTTTGCTGACTGTGCCTTTTGCCGTGCAAATGCTCTTTAATTTAATTAAGTCCCAGCTGTTTATCTTTATATTTATTGCATTTGCTTTTGGGTTCTTGGTCATGAAATCCTTGCCTAAGCCAATGTCTAGAAGGGTTTTTCCAACCTTGGAAAAGGGTTATCTTCTAGAATTTTTATAGTTTCAGGTCTTAGATTTAAGTCCTTGATCCATCTTGAGTTAATTTTTGCATAAGGTGAGAGACAAGGATCCAGTTTCATTCTCCTACATGTGGCTAGCCAATTATCCCAGCACCAATTGTTGAAAAGGGTATCCTTTCCCCACTTTATGTTTTTGTTTGCTTTGTTGAAGATCAGTTGGCTATAAGTATTTGGGTTTATTTCTGGTTTCTCTGTTCTGTTCCATTGGTCTGTGTGCCTGTTTTTGTATCAGTACCATGCTGTTTTGGTGACTATGGCCTTATAATATCATTTGAAGTCAGGTAATGTGGTGCCTACAGATGTGTTCTTTTTGCTTAGTCTTGCTTTGGCAAGCAGGCTCTTTTTTGGTTCCATATGAATTTTAGGATTTTTTTTTCTAATTCTGTGAATAATGATGGTGAATTTTGATGGGAATTGCATTGAATTTGGATACTGCTTTTGGCAGTGTGGTCATTTTCACAATAGTGATTCTACCCATCCATGAGCATGGGATGTGTTTCCATTCGTTTGTGTTGTCTATGATTTCTTTCAGTAGTGTTTTGTAGTTTTCTTTGTAGAGGTCTTTCATCTCCTTGGTTAGGTATATTCCTAAGTATTTTATTTTATTGTTTTTCAGCTGTTGTAAAAGGGGTTTAGTTCTTGATTTGATTCTCAGCTTTGTTGCTGTTGGTATATAGAGCGCTACTGATTTGTGTACATTAATCTTGTATCTGGAAACTTTGCTGAATTCTTTTACTAGTTCTAGGAGCCTTCTAGAAGAGTCTTTAGGGTTTTCTAGTTAAACAATCATATCATCAGCAAACTGCGACAGTTTGACTTCCTCTTTACCAGTTTGGATGCCCTTTATTTCTTTCTCTTGTCTGATTGCTGTGGCTAGAACTTCCAGTACTATGTTAAAGAGGAGTGGTAAGAGTGGACATGTTCCAGTTCACAGAGGGAATGCTTTCAACTTTCCCCCATTCAGTATTATGTTGGCTGTGGGTTTGTCATAGATGGCTTTTATTACATTGAGGAATATCCCTTGTATGCCGATTTTGCTAAGAATTTTAAGCATAAAGGGATGCTGGATTTTGTCGAGTGCTTTTTTTGCAGCAATTGAGATGGAGCTTGAAATTTAAAGCCTGAAGCTTTAAAGATTTTTCCCACCCCTTTTATAGTGCCTTTAGAAGTACACAAACAACCCCCACTGTACTCTTTATTTTTTTCTAAAATGTTCAATAATTGTAACTATTGGTTACCCTAAGCCCTGCCATCTATGGACTTGTTAGAGGTTTCTGGAGGTGCTGTTTTGAGAAATGAACTCCTTGAATGACATGGACTATACCAGTTTCCTTCAGCAATGTCACTAATGCCTTTAAATTTGATTGGATTAGAGAAAACACAGAACCTGTTCAGAGAACCCATATTTAAGGCTCTGTTTCCCTGAAACCACGTTTGTTACTGTGTTAGTCAGTTTGGGCTGTTATAACAAATTACCATAGATTGGTTGGTTTAAAAAATAAACACTTGTTTTTCATAATTCCAGAGGCTGGAAGTGCCAGCATGGTCAGGTCCTTGTTGAAGACCTCCTTCCTGTTTTACAGAAAGCCATCTTCTTGCTGTGTCCTCATGTGGTGGAAAGAGAGCTAGCTAGCTCTCTGTTCTCTTTTTATTACGGCACTAATCCTCCAAATACTGTCACATTGGGGTTAGGGTTTCAACATATAAATTTTGGGGGCACACATTCAGTCCATTACAATTATAAATTTTGTATCAAATTTCATTCAGAGCTGCAGAACCTGTGTGATATGGAATAAGGGATTTGTTGTAGGCAGTAGACTTTATGTAATTGTGAGACATAGTGAAGATATTTTTAGAAAGAAAGCCATTGCCTCTGACACTGTTGAGGAGCCTGAAGTCACTGTAAGTCAGCAAGGCCAACAACCAGGAAGAAAAACTGCATAGGATGAGAGTGAAAGAGCAAGGATACACTGGAATTCACAAGGACAAGCTGAACATTACGTCTGCCTCTCACCACCTCCAATCTCAATGTCATGGTGATCTGCAAAAGAAGCTGTTATTTTTTGCACTAGAGCTGCACATGCATCTTATCCAAGACATGGCGAATCTGAAAGAGAAACTCCTGTAGGGGCTGAAAGAGCTACAGGCTCAGCAGAAGCCCCCTGTCAACAAAGTAAGCTGGAAGAGCCAAATATGACATAGCTCTTCCCGGAGCCCTGTGCGGAACTCCAGACGCCTTACCAAGCTCATGCAAATTTTACCTGTGGCCAATATTTGCCTAAAAGTGTACAAAGAATTGTAGTATCTAGCTCTAGTAGTTAAATGGCACAGTACAGAGCTACTATAGACTTCATTCATTCCTACATAACTTGATTTATCGCTTTAAATTCTCTTTGGTCTCAGTTATAAAAAGATGAAGATAGCAGGGTACGTCTTCATGTGTCCTCTGTATTTTGACATCCTAACCTTCCTTACTATTTCTACAGTGCCACAGTTTATAACAGTAAAATTCTGTTCTATAACCATAACTGCTGTTTTAGATTACATCCTATATTTAAATGAATTGAATGCGCTCTGTCAGCAGTTGTTACCATAGTACCTCTATTAATTTATTTTGCATTTTAACTTCTTCCTTGAATACATGTTTCAAAGAAAGATCATGTGGATCACTTTTACTAAGTTGCATACATTAAAAATATTTTTCTGCACTCTTTAAATGTATAAGACAGCCAGGTAATCCTTTCTTCCTTCCTCCCTTTCTTTCTTTCTTTCTTCTTCTTTCTTTCCTTCTTTCTTTCTTTCTTTCTTTCTTTCTTTCTTTCTTTCTTTCTTTCTTTCTTTCTTTCTTTCTTCTTTCCTTCTTTCTTTCTTCTTCTTTCTTTCTTTTCTTTCTTTTCTCTTTTTTCTTCTTTCTTCTTTTTTCTTTCTTTCAGGTTCTTGCTGCATCACAGAGGCTAGAGTACAGTGGCACTATCACAGCTCACTTCAGCCTTGACCTCCCTGGCTCAAGCGATCTTCCCACCTCAGCCTCTGAGTAGCTGGGACTACAGGAATGTGTCACCATGGCTGACTAATTTTGTATTTTTTTCTAGAGATGGGGTTCTGCCATGTTGTCTAGCCTGGTCTTGAAGTCCTGGGCTCAAGTGATCTGCCCGCCTTGACCTCCCAAAGTTTACAGGCATGAGTCACCGCCCCTGGCAGTTTTTCCTTATGTAATGATTTTGATTTTTCCCTTGAGGATGTTGTCTGCATTGCTCTGATTTTTTCCCAGAAATAAACACTGCTGTGAAAAGTGTGGGGCCACCCTGATTTTTGAAAGAGAGATGGTGACTGTTTTTTTCTGGATTGCCAAAACTACTTTTTTATTTTTTTCTTGATAAGTAGATTGCTTTTCTAGTACATATATCGGAGCTGAAAATTCTGTAGCAATATTTTCTGACTTATGGTGTACCCTTTTAATCTACAATTTCAAGTGTATTTTTTTATTTCAATGAAGTTTTCTCGAATTAAAATTTTGTTGACTTCATTGCTGTCATGAAGTGTTTTATCTTTTCTCTTCTATTTTGTTCATAAACTCTGCCTGCCATTTTGCATTTCTTTGGTTGTCTTCTTAATTCTTTCTCACATTTTATACCTTTTTTGAACTTTATTTTTCAGATGCACTATTTTTATTATTTTTAAGCTATTAGACATGTTTTTACTCAAATTTTTTTGGTTTATTTTTCATCTCTCATTTTTGTTCCTTTGAGCTTTTTCATACACACATATTTTAGAAATCTTATATAATTAAGAAAACACAAAATATATTTTTAATTTCCTGGACCAGCGATTTTGTAAAGGATCATTGGTAGAGGGCCAGGCTGTTGTCTGGGCTCATAGACACTTTCCCTGGCTCACTCGGAGGCCCTCCAGCTGTTTAGGAACATTAGAAGCTTCAGGGATCCTGATTATTGAAGTGTCTCTGCATTACAGCCCATTTGCAGGTAGTGTTTTCTGTACATTTCCAAATTTAGCTGCTGCTCCTGCCACATCAAGATGTCAGGAGGAATACAGGAAGGCGTCTAGAATAGTATCTGCAGTCAGTTCACGTATCTCTTTCTTGAAGTTCCAAGCCAGGGGTCCTGGACTGTACCACATTTGTAGGCCGTGTGTTCTCTCACTGTAGTCAAATTTTCCGTCTTCTCAGTAGCCCATATTGTATGAGTTTTGACTATCAGTGAATCCTTATCTCATCCAATATAAAATTTCTTTTCTATTTTATGTTCTCCCTGTTGTCTTGGGATGCAATTTTAAAAGGATGAGACATCTTTTATAATTCACCATTTTCTGGATCAACTTTAAAAAAAAAAAAACTTGAAAATTCCAACGATGTCTCAAACATCTTCACAATATTAAAACAATTTCTGTAGAAAACATAGAGAAAGGTTTATACAGACTTGGCTCTTCCAGTTTTGGAGCTCATTCCTATGTACTCTGCACATGCCAGATGAAGAGGGTAAAGGCAACACAAAGAGTCCCATTAGGAGAAAGGCAAAGGGACTGGTCCAGGATCTCCCCTCAATTTTACTCTGACTCTCTCTGAATAGAATTCCCTACTATTCATAGTAATTTTCTGGTTTGAATAAGTTCATATGGTAAGAAAATATTTCCTGTTTCTTAGAGATAAAATAAAATAAATATCTCTTAATATTAAATAATTTTCTCCCTCTCAAAAAGTACTTTTATTACACCTAAAAGACAGCAAAGAGGGGTTGCCTGGAATTGACGAATACAAAGAAATGGATTTTTTCTATTTATAATGATTAATCACATTGGTTAGTGGCATTTGGTTTTGGTGGGTATTTTTTGTTTTTTTTTTGACAGGGTCTCACTCTGTTGCTCGGGCTGGAGTTGTGATCACAGCTCACTGCACCCTCCACCTGCAAGGCACAATCAATCCTCTCACATCAGCCTCCTGAGTAGCTGGGACTACAGGCATGGGCCACCATGCCTGGCTAATTTTCTTATTTTTTGTAGAGATAGGGTCTCACTACAAATCCCAAGCTGTCTTAAACTCCTGAGCTCAAGCAATCCTCCTGCCTCAGCCTCCCAAAGTGCTGGCATTATATATTGGTGTGCTCCACTGCCCCTGGCCTGGTGTTGCATTTTTTTCCCCCTCATCTTTGTACCATCCCAAATATGCTCTGTGATAAGATTTACTTAACTTAATCAATATGGGCTATTTTTTTTTTACTAATTTACCTATATTCATTTTTACTCAAAAAGATTTGAAGCCCCTTACCTGTGTAGCTGGAAAATATTAAACAATGTTTCCTCCATCCCAGCATTTCTTCCATTCTCCCTTTTACCTGCTTAAAAAGTTATGCTGTTCTGTGCTCATTGCTATTTGGAAGGCTGTAAAGTGAACAAAAAAGCCCTTCATGGCTTTAGCTTCTGAGATTCTTATCCCACTTTGGGCTCTCCGTATGCCAGCTATATACAGGCTGCTTGAGAGCATCCTGAAAAAAAGCACAATTCTTCCACTCTTCTTTTCATTTTTTTCCTCCATTTAAAAATGTGCTATCTCTGCCAGGCGTGGTGGCTCACGCCTGTAATCCCAGCACTTTGGGAGGCCAAGGCGGGCGGATCACGAGGTCAGGAGATCGCGACCATCCTGGCTAACACGGTGAAACACCGTCTCTACTAAAAATACAACAAAAAGTAGCTGGGCTTAGTGGCGGGCGCCTGTAGTCCCAGCTACTCCGGAGGCTGATGCAGGAGAATGGCGTGAACCTGAGAGGCGGAGCTTGCAGTGAGCAGAGATTGCGCCACTGCACTCCAGCCTGGGCGACAGAGCGACACTCATCACAAAAAAAAAAAAAAAAAAAATTGTGCTATCTCAAAGCTATGAGAAATATTTGAGGTAATGGATATCCTAAATACCCTGATTTGATTGTTACACGTTGTATACTTGTATCACAGTATCACATGGACCCCATAGGTACCTACAATTACTATGTAATAAATAAATAACAATAATAAATTTAAAAAAAATTAAAAATGCAAAAATCTCTCACTTAAAAAATGCTGTCCTGAGAGAGGATGGGTAGATATGGAAAGGTCTCAGAGTCCTAGGATCTGGCAAGATCCTTGAGAAGTTTGGAGAACTTGGCAGCAAAAGGGATTGAGCTGAAGTCCAAATCTCAAGGCTGGAGCCAGACGCTGGAGAGAGGAGTAGCTGTGGGAGGGTGATTAGATCACCTGCATGGTTTCCCTTGCACTAGAAGAGCGCCGGAACAGAACTGTGGGTCTTGGTCCATCAGCTATAGCACAGAAGTATGTAGAAATTCTCTGACCTGAAGGGCTCATTTGGATGAGTCATGAAGATACGTTTTTGGTGGATGGCTGCTTGCACAGAAGTTGGTGAAATTTATATATATTCCTTCTGATCCCCGATATATTTTAAGCCCCTCAGAACTTAGACACAACTCTGAAGAAATGGAGAGAAACTAGAAAGCAAATAAAATTAAAGTTCCCACCAGCTTAGTAGAATAAATACCAAGATGAATTAATTTGAGCAATAAAATAAAATGAATAATACCTTATTTCTAGCACACCTCAAGTTGAGGTTAGATAGCCATTTTTACCACAGATACAGCCAAGCACTTTGGCTGGACAAGTACTTTAGGTAAAATTGTTCACGGATGGCATTAGATGTCATCCTTCAATCAATATATTCATTGTCATTTCAGTCTTTGCCGTGCCAGATAGAAGTATTTTGGATCTCTCCCATATGTATGACTTTGAATATATAATTTTACAAAAGGGCAGAAAAGGGGTTTGGATCCTGAATTCCCTTCTTTCATAAAATTAAAAGACTTAGAAACATTCCTTAAATTGAGATGTTTCCTAATCAATGATGTGCTTTGGAAAGTGACAATGTGAGCTTTTAAATGAGAATTTGTTGAATTAAAGAGTTGTCTAGATACCCGACTTGTATATATCAAAAAGACAGGTGTTACGAGAAGGACAAATATATCCTTATGAACTTATTTGAAGTTGCTTTGTACCTTCTTCGCATCCATAGTAAGGCTGAGGTTTGCATGGAGAAAAATCCCCATGGTTATGGCACAAAAATTGAATTTTTGCTTCTTCTGCACCACCAAAGAGAATCTGGAAATGTCCCATTGATAGTAACCTCTAATAAAGGAAGGAGTCTTTCTTGCTGATAAAGGAACTAAGTCAATATACATCAGAGAGTACAGAGAGACAACCAGTGAAAATAATGAAAGCAAACTGTATAATTCATAGTTGGGTAAGAAATTTTTAAAGAGGTTTAATGGAAGGATATAGCCACAGAGAGTAAGGAAAATGTGTGGAAGCAGAATGAGTATTTTTGTAAATGATGATGTGGATTATTTATTTGGATGCTTTGAATATTCTTTATTTTAAACTATATGTTAGGCTTCATTTGGGTTTATTGAATGCAACACCACCCTAGGACAGAAATGTGTGGATCTAACATATATCATACAGCGTCATGTGCCTGAATTTAGAATTGTGGCATTTTAGGCCAGGAAATTTTGCCATGAGATTATTACATCAAATACCTCCCTTTTCTGCCTTAGTGGACAGGTGACACCAGCAGCAGGGACAGTGGTGCTTCATCAGCAACAACAGGTGGTCAAAGCAATCAAGTCCAGTACAGAAGCTGACTGTTGTGGGATCTGGCTTCCAAGCGAGAGTCTTTGTTTCTTCATTACCTTACCAAGTGCCAGTGAATGATTCATGGACCTGTGTAACCTTCTGGGGAATCCTGGAAAGTATTTGGAAGGAAAACTGGAAAATTAGAAACTATGCTAGTAAGGCGAGAAGAATTTTCAAATTTACTGTAAACTGGTATAAATATAAATGGGACCTAACCTGTAGATGTCATTTGGCACTGTGATCTTTTGATGATGTCTTCTATGACTGCCAAAATTTTTCAGGACATTTTATTTATGCTATTGTTTAAACCAACAGTATAACTTAGACTATTTAGAGAATAAAATGTTCTGTCTTGTGAGATTTAAGCCAATACAATTTTAGAGGTTTGCTACTAAAAATATAATTTGAGACTTCTAATAGTTTATCTTAAGCTATCCCTTGGGGTGGTATTCAATGGTATAGCAAAGCTAGTGTAATCGCAATGCTATGTTATGATAATAAAACATCATGTTTAGCTTCCTGTTTGCTACAGAAAATGGAAATGGGATATTCATCCAACTCAGAGCCAACATGATGTCAAAATATAAAGTTATAAAGAAAGAGGTAAAAATCTATGCCTGCTTCATTCCTTAGGAAACCATTACTGACTTCAACAAATCTCCAGGTTCTTGAGACTCTAATGGGTGATTAACCTATGAATTGCTAGGAACACTCATGAAGTTAGAAAATAGCTTCCTCACTAAATATGGAAAGGAAAAACTGGTACAAGCCACTGCAAAAACACACCAAAATATAAAGACCAATGACACTATGATGAAACTGCATCAACTAGCGTGTGCTAGCTAGCATCATGATGACAGGATCAAATTCACACATAACAATATTAACCTTAAATGTAAATGGGCTAAATGCTCCGATTAAAAGACACAGACTGGCAAATTAGATAAACAGGCAAGACCCACTGGTGCACTGTATTCAGGGACCCATCTCACATGTAAAGACACACACAGGCTCAAAAGAGATGGAGGAAAATTTACCAAGCAAATGGAAAGCAAAAGAAAAAAAGAAAAGAAAAAGAAAAAGGATGCATTCCTAATCTCTGATAAAACAGATTTTAAACTGACAAAGCTCAAAAAAGACAAAGAAGGGCATTACATAATGATAAAGGGATCAATTCATCAAGAAGAGCTAACTATCCTAAATATATATGCACCAAATACAGGTGCACCCAGATTCATAAAACAAGTTCTTAGAGACTTGCAAAGAGACATAGACTCCCACACAATAATAGTGTGAGAACTTAACTCCCCACTGTCAATATTAGACAGATCAACCAGACAGAAAATTAACATGGATATCCAGGACTTGAACTCAGCTCTGGATCAAGTGAACCTAATAGACATCTACAGAACTCTCCACCCCAAACTAACAGAATATAGATTCTTCTCAGTGTCATGTGGCACTTATTTTAAAATCAACCACATAATTGGAAGTAAAACACTCCTCAGCAAATGCAAAAGAACTGAAATTATAAGAACAGTCTTTCAGACCACAGTGCAATCAAATTAGAATTCAGGATTAAGAAACTCACTCAAAACCACACAACTACATAGAACTTGAACAACCTACTCTTGAATGACTCCTGGAAAAATAATGAAATTAAGGCAGAAATCAAGAAGTTCTTTGAAACCAATGAGAACAAAGACAAAACATACCAGAATCTCTGGGATACAGCTAAAGTGGTGTTAAGAGGGAAATTTATAGCACTAAATGCCCACATCAGAAAGCTAGAAAGATCTCAAATCGACACCCTAATGTCACAATTAAAAGAACTATAAAAGCAAGAGCAAACAAATCCAAAAGCTAGCAGAAGATAAGAAATAACTAAGATCATAACAGAACTGAAGTAGAGACATGAAAAAC
Organism: Homo sapiens; assembly: GCF_000001405.40. Lineage (NCBI taxonomy): Eukaryota > Metazoa > Chordata > Mammalia > Primates > Hominidae > Homo > Homo sapiens. Next base: position 163,057,596 of record NC_000004.12, on the reverse strand, counting down.
CCTTCAAAAATTAATGAATTCAAGAACTGTATTTTAAAAAATTAACAAAATAGATAGAACACTAGCTAGACAAATAAGGGAAGAATCAAATAAACAATAAAAAATGATGAAAGGGCTATCACCACTGACCCCACGGAAATACAAACCACCCTCAGAAAATACTATAAAGACCTCTATGCAAATAAACTAGAAAATCTAGAAGAAATGGATACATTCCTGGACACATACACCCCCAAGACTAAACCAGGAAGTCAAATCCCTGAATAGACCAATAACAAGTTCTGAAATGGAGGCAGTAATTAATAGCCTACCAATCAAAAAAGCCGAGGACCAGATGGATTAACAGCCAAATTCTACCAGAGGTACAAAGAGGAGCTGGTACCATTCCTTCTGAAACTACTCCAAACAATTGAAAAGGAGTGACTCCTCCCTAACTCATTTTATAAGGCCCACATCACCCTGATACCAAAACCTGGCAGAGACACAATAATAAAAGAAAACTTCAGGCCAATATCCCTGATGAACATCAATGTGAAAATCCTCAATAAAATACTGGCAAACTGAATCCAGCAGCACAACAAAAAGCTTATCCACCACGATCAAGTCGGCTTCATCCCTGGGATGCAAGCCTGTTCCAACATACACAAATCAATAAACGTAATCCATCATGTAAACAGAACCAATGACAAAAACCACATGATTATCTTAATAGATTCAGAAAAGGCCTTTGATAAAATTCAACATACCTTCATGTTAAAAACTCTCAATAAACTGGGTATTGATGGAACATATCTCAAAATAATAAGAGCCATGTATGATAAATGCACAGCCAATATCATACTGAATGGACAAAAGCTGGAAGCATTCCCTTTGAAAACTGGCACAAGACAAGGATGCCCTCTCTCACCACTCCTATTCAACATAGTATTGGAAGTTCTGGCCAGGGCAATCAGGCAAGAGAAAGAAATAAAGTGTACTCGAATAGGAAGAGACGAAGTCAGATTATTTCTGTTTGCAGAGGACTTGATTCTATATTTAGAAAACTCCATTGTCTCAGCCTAAAAACTCCTTAAGCTGATAAGCAACTTCAGCAAAGTCTTAGGACACAAAATCAATGTGCAAAAATCACAAGCATTTCTATACACCTACAATAGACAAGTAGAATGAATGAACTCCCATTCACAGTTGCTACAAAGAGAATGAAATATCTGGGAACACAGCTAACAAGGGACGTGAAGGGGCTCTTCAAGTAGAACTACAAAACACTGCTCAAGGAGATAGAGAGGATACAAACAAATGGAAAAACGTTCCATCATCATAGATAGGAAGAATAAATATCATGAAAATGGCCACACTGCCCAAGGTAATTTATAGAGTCAATGCTGTTTCCATCAAACTACCACTGACATTCTTCACAGAATTGGAAAAAACTGCTTTAAATTTCATATGAAGCCAAAAAAGAGCCTGTATAGCCAAGGCAATCCTAAGCAAAAAGAACAAAGCTGGAGGCATTACACTACCTGACTTTAAACTATACTACAAGGCTACAGTAACCAAAAGAGCATGGTATTGGTACCAAAACAGACATATAGTCCAATGGAACAGAACACAGATCTCAGAAATACCACCACACATCTGCAACAATCTGATCTTTGACAAACCTGACAAAAAACAAGCAATGAGGAAAGGATTCCCTATTTAATAAATGGTGCTGGGAAAACTGGCTAGCCATATACAGAAAACTGAAACTGGACCCCTTTCTTACACTTTACACAAAAATTAACTCAAGATGGATTAAAGACTTAAATGTAAAACCCCAAACCTTAAAAATGCTAGAAGAAAACCAAAGCAATACCATTCAGGACACAGGCATGGGTAAAGATTTCATGACCAAAATACCAAAAGCAATTGTAACAAAAGCTAAAATTGACAAGTGAGATCTAATTAAATTAAACAGCTTCTGCACAGCAAAAGAAACTATCATGAGTGAGCAGGCAACCTACAGAATGGGAGAAAACTTTTGCAATCTACCCATGTGACAAAGGTCTAACATCCAGAATCCACAAGGAACTTAAACAAATTTACAAGGAAAAAACAACCCCATCAAAAAGTGGGCGAAGGATATGAACAGACACTTCTAAAAGAAGACATTTATGTGGCCAAGAAACATATGAAAAAAAGCTCAACATCACTGATCATTAGAGAAATGCAATTCAAAACTACAATGAGATACCATCTCATGCCAATCAGAATGGCAATTATTACAAAATCAATAAACAATAGATGCTGGTGAGGACGTGGAGAAATAGGAACACTTTTACACTGTTGGTGGGAATGTAAATTAGTTCAACCATTGTGGAAGACAGTGTGGCGATTCTTCAAGGATCTAGAACCAAAAATACCATTTGATCTAGCAATCCCATTACTGGGTATATACCCAAAGGAATATAAATCTTTCTACTATAAAGACACATGCACATGTATGTTTATCGCAGCAGTATTCACAACAATAAAGTAATGGAAAGGACCCAAATGCCCATCAATGATAGACTGGATAAAGAAAATGTGATATATATACACCATGCAATGCTATGCTGCCATAAAAAAGAATGAGATCATGTCCTTTGCAGGGACATGGATGAAGCTGGAAGCCATCATCCTCAGCAAACACAGGAACAGAAAACCAAACACCACATGTTCTCATTCATAAGTGGGAGTTGAGTAATGAGAAACATAAGTGGGAGTTCAGTAATGAGAACCCCTCCCTGTGAGGGGAACAACACACATCAGAGCCTGCTGGAGGGGTGGTGGGTGAGGGGAGGGAGAGTATCAGGACAAATAGCTCATGCACAAAGGGCTTAAAACCTAGATGATGGATTGCTAGGTGAGCAAACCACCATGGCACATGTATACCCATGTAACAAACCTGCACGTTCTGCGCATGTATCCTGGAACTTGAAGTAAAATAAAAATAAAAATAAAATAAAATAGCTTCCTAGTTAAAGATTGTGGAAGTAAGATGAAATATTGAGATGAAACATTGCAGGGACCTCTGGTGCAAGGTCATGCAGATCCAAAGGAGAATAGCTGCTGCCTTCACTTGTCTTTCTAAAACTGAAAGAGCAGCAAATATAATCATGGCAACCTGCCTGAATATCATCTGAAGCTTGATTCATGATCATCAGTTGACATATAATTATGCTCTGTTCTCTCCATCAGAAAGTGGATCAAATCATAATTCCAGCCGTGTCTCTCCCAACTTTTACTCATATATCCAAGTGAAGTATCCAAGAAATCTGTCACCATTTTCAATTATATAGTAACTTGGTTACCTATCCCAACCTTTTCTTACTCCTCCTACACTCCACAGACATATAAACAGATCATGAAAACTACTATCATTTTCAGTGTGGAAAGAAGTGTAGGGTGATATGTATGACTCTGAATCACAGGGAAGATTCTTTAGGGGAACAATGTGCTTAGAATATAATACCCTTCTAAATCTAGGACTTACAAGCAGAGCAATGAGTGAGTGGTTCATAATGTTTTTAAAAGATGACAGACTCCTGACTCCTTTGAGAAGATGATGAAAGCACCAGATCTATCTCCAATCGGGCCCAGAAAGAAAAGACTTTTTTTTTTTTTGCATTAAATTTGGGAGAGTTCATACATCTTCTGAAACCCAGTTAAATATCCAAGGTTTAGCAAGAATCCAAGGTTTAAGGGTTGGCGAAAGAAGTTTAGTTGAATGATTGCAAAAGTTATAGAGAAGCAAGCTTCTAAATAACCTTTCCTATATTAATATGTATCATGTCTGTATTTAGAATGTATCATATTTTAACTCATGGATGGAACTCTTTTGGAAAGCAAAGGTAGTATCATTTAATGTTTAATTCCTGGTGATGTGTCTAGATAAACTTACAGAATCTTGAGGAATGTATATTTAAGAATCTAAGAGACTGCTTAAACTTTCTAGACAGCAATCAATTCTGGGTAAATCAATTACCTCGGTAAATAGTCAAACAGGGATTTATCAACTTTATCTAAAAGACCAGTAGATCAATGTGAGGAATAGGAGTCAGCAACCACTTGTTCCCCAGCATCCCTTATTTACTGTTATCCTTGGTCCCAATGTGAAGATTAGTTCATATTGCAGTCAGTGGGACAATGTTCATTTAGTTTTCTTTTCCTAGTTGCTCTGTTAAATACTTGAGTGAGGCTTACATTAAAAATGGCAGTACAGAACGTTCATGATACCTGGAACCTGGCCAATGATAAGCCAATAGGAATGTCTAAGTTTGAGTTGATAATAAATGACACAGGTGGCTCTCACTCTGATAACAGGACAGCACCTCTGTTTGTTTCAACTCTTATCTCTTCCTTTTGATACTTTTAGTATGATCTTTTAATCAACTATCTCACTTCACAATACTCAAAAGACAAACAGAGTTTGTCATAATTGAAGAGCAAGAAAGACAAACTGTGTCTTCTTTTTTCTCATGTTGCTGACATCCATCCACTTCCTAGGACAAGTTCAATAAATATTTGTTAAATATAGTTGAATTTTACATGTGAAGAAATCAGAAACAAGACACATTATCTGAGTTCCTCAAGGCATTTATCTAGTTAGTAATGGATTAAGGACTATAAGTTTGTCTATTGACTTAAAAATAATCCTTTTCCATTATAGGTGAAATTCTAAGGTATTTTGTGTGACCACCTAAAACCTACAGTACAGTTAGGATCCTAGGAGTCCTTTCCATAGGAAATTTTATGTTCTCTGATTTTGCTGAAGTTCCTTTAGCAATTTCAACCATTATAACGGAGGCAAGCACTAATAAAAACATCTTACAAATATTCACGAGCACACCTTTGACAGAGTTCAGGTGCTGGCCTGCTAAGATATTCCATTTTCCATTTTAGTTATCATCAACATCTAGGGATTCATCAAACTATATGACTAAAAGCTGGTATTATCTCGATTTTTGAAAAATTAGCTCTTTCTGCTCTTTTCTTTATCTGGTTATTTTGCCATTTGTTATGTTAAAATAAAATTGCTTCATACTACTTCATGGTGATGCCTTCCCTATCAGTTTCATGCACTGTACATCCACAAATGCTAGATGAATAAATACAGCACATTCTACCATTACTCCCTATTTAGCATAAGAATGCATGACAGACTGGGGGCCGTAGCTCATGCCTGTAATCCCAGCACTTTGGGAGGCCAAAGTGGGTGGATCACCTGAGGTCATGAATTAGAAACCAGCCTGGCCAACACAGTGAAACCCCATCCCTACTAAAAATACAAAAATTAGCTGGGCGTGGTGGCAGGCACCTGTAATCCCAGCTACTTGGGAGGCTGAGGCAGGAGAATCACTTGAACCCAGGAGGTGGAGGTTGCAGTGAGCCAAGATCGCATCACTGCACACTGGCCTAGGTGACAGAGTGAGACTCCGTCTCAAAAAAAAAAAGAAAAAAAAAATGCATGACAAACTTGGATAAAAATGAATGTGTTTTTAGTTTGAATATTTCTTTATTATTGTTTTCACTGGAGAAACACAACAACTCATTTATTTTTATATCCGATACAAATTTCTCATATATAAAGCAATATGATTTCCCCATACCATGAAATGTTTTCTTACCTGTCATTAATTATTATTAATAGTAATGGGAGACAGAGCGAGCTCCTGTCTTAATGCTGCTGCTACTACTACTAATGGGCATTGTGTGTACTGTGAGCCACACTACACAATTTTTTTGGTGTGTTTCTCCTTCTGTTTTCTCTTTAAATATCTTAGTGCTACGAACTTTGAGAAAATTTGCTACTAATGAAACAAAATTTGCTACTAATGGAAACTAGCGACTCCACCTGTCCCTTTCTGTTCAGTTATTAGAAGAAATATCACTTCTTATTTTGAGAACAATATGTAACTATTTTTATTGAAAGGCCCTAGTGAATTGTTGGGAAACTAACTCATGGTAGTTACTCTGTGGATTGTCACTTCAGCAGAGAACACTTTCTGTTACAGAATAGAGCAGACAGATGCTGGGTCTACATCTGTGTACTTCAAACACACTGAAAGCATAAAGTCAGGCTAAGAGCACTTGATGAATGGAAGAGGCAAGGAGAGATGAAAAGGCTGTAAATACAGAAAGAGTTACAGTACAGCAGGTTCTGGAAACCATTTGGTTGGAATACATTTAAAGGATCCACATGGCAATGGTAACGATGTCTTGCCTAATATCCAGCCCTGGGAAGCAGATAACTTCAAAATATGCCATGTCATTTCAACTGTGGTAATAGAAGTCATTTTGCAACTCTTAAAGTCCATAGAATACAAGAAACTGAAGCAGAATTCACTGTGGTTTTAATTCCACATTGCTTTATGGTATGATCTACCTTGGCTACAATACAAAATTTCTAGACAAAATTTTAGATGATACTTTGTTATCACTGCCTCTTAAATCTATTCTTGTCTTTATATACAATAAATTAATTTTAAACTGAAGCCACAGTTTAATCTCTTACTTCTAGAGGAAAGATGCACTTCCTTTTGTTAGGTTGTTTGACTAAAACAACCTAAAAAAAAAAAAAAAAAAAAGCACGTCTTGTGACCAGCCTGGCCAATATGGCAAAACCCCATCTCTACTAAAAATACAAAAATTAGCTGGGTGTGGTGGTGGGCCCCTGTAATCACAGCTACTTGGGAGGCTGAGGCAGGAGAATCGCTTGAACCCGGGAGGCAGAGGTTGCAGTGAGCTGAGATCGGGACACTGCACTCCAGCCTGGGCAACGAGAGTGAAACTCCATCTCAAAAAAAAAAAAAAAAAAAAAAAAAAAGGACCTCATTTTAGATTAGGTTTTCTATACCTCAGCAATATGGATATTTAGGCAGGAAAATATTTTGTTGTGGGAGGCTGTCCTGTGCAATGTGAAATATTTAGCAGCATGTCAGCCTCTGCCCACTAGATGCCAGAAGCATCTCCCCCATCAGGTTGTGACAACTAAAATGTCTTTGGACATTCCCAAATGTCTTCTGGCTGCAGTGGAGTGGTGGTGTGTGCAGCAAAATCGCTCCTACTTGAGTCACTGCTCTAGATTCTGGTCCTATAATGTTATTTTGTGGAGTCATGTGATCCTAATTCCTAGCAGCATTAAAAGGATGTGACTGAGTGGTGAACTGTAATAAACTCAATAGCTTCAACTCTTGAAAAATTTAGAAACAAAAGATAATTTTTAAAAAAGTAAAATTCACAATTATTTTGGCAACCAAGATGGAAAGATGCTTTCATATGAATGACTTGATCTTCAGGCATTTGGTGCTTTACTTGAATATGGCTATGATTATAAAATTTCATTAGCATGCTGCCTTCAATGCTTGGTGTTCACTGAATAATTACTTACCACTGGGGGTGTTTTACCTGGTGATTCTAGCTGGTAATGTGCTACCCAGGCTTTCATTGCTATTATATGTGTATCATATTAGCTTTTACTTTCTTTTTTACACAAAAGACCTGCATGAATCCCACACTGTAAGAATTAGCTTTCCTTTTTACACAGTGAATGTACTGAGACCCCCTGTTGGTACAAATAGGCCTAGAATGGAACATAATTTGGCATTATGTTAAGTGCTGCCATTTCCAGGATGGTATAAATCCTGCATTTAGGAGGGCTTCTTTCTCAATGAGAAAGTGGCACAAATGTTTACCTTCCAGCAGGTATTTTTTCACATTCATTGATTCAGGATTTACTGGGCACTATAGTGCATACGGCGCCAACATACTACCTTCCCTCAAATTATTTACACTTTAGACAGACTAGAAAAATGACTTAATTGTGTGGGAAGGTAAATTACAAAGCAGAACAATGATATGAGAGTGGCTGAGAGATTATATGCAAAGAATTTTTAATAGGGTGCTCTATGCACCATAGTATTCTCAAGATAAAATCTAGAGGGGAGAGAGATCACTGCCGGATCTTAGATTACCATGTATATTTTCATCTAGATCATTTTGAAAGATGAATAGGAGAAGGAAGAGCTTTTCAAAAGGGTAAAATGGTATGGGCAAAGCACAAAAGAAGCAATCCAATTGCGTATTTGTGGGGGATGATATGTAGACCATTCCGATTTGCATCGATATTTTGTGTATGGAGTAGAGAGGTTAATTAGAACAAGGTTAGAGAAGGTTTTACAATTTTGGTTTCATTTTTTCTTTAGGAAAAAGGGGAACACTTTTGATGCTTTTAAACGAGGAGGATAACTTAAATAAAGCAGTGTTTGAGGAAAATGGATCTGATAGTAGTACTTAGTGAGGACAATGAAATGATACAGCCATGGCAAGATCTTTGTATCTCATGTCAACACCAACCAGAGAGCACCCATGATGGAAGAAGCACTGAACAACCAAGAGAACGAATGGCTCAGCCAGTTGACCCTACCAGCCTGGGTGATTGGCCACACCAGCACTGGCCCAGTGGGCACAGAAACAGTGACCTTGTTGGCAGAGATGGAGACCATATATATAAAGTCCAACAGCACAGGTCCCCCCTAACTATAGCAGTCCCCCTTTATCTGTGAGGGCTATGTTCCAAGACCCCCAGTGGATACCTATAACTGTGAATAGTACTGAACCCTGTATATACTCTGTTTTTTTCATATACACATGTATCTATGATAAAGATTTGTCTATAAATTAGGCACAGTAAGATATTAAAAACAGCACTAAGAAAATAGAATAATTATAACAATATACTGTAAGGAAAGTTATGTGAATGTGGTCTCCCTCTCTCTGTACCACAGGCCACGAAGACCCTGGAAAGCAAACTTGCACTTAAGGGACAACTGCTGCACATCTGATCTAGCCATTGCCGCTGCCAAAAGTCCCAACTGCCTACAATGGTAACTGATGGGGAGGACCTTGGTCTTCAGAAGATGAAGCAGCCACCTGGTGGCAAGTGGGCATCATTGCTCTTTTTCTACCCTGAGGAGAAACAATTAATTTTGATGGAAATATGTTACATTTTTCAGCTCCAGGTTTGCCTTTCCTACTTTTGGGGCTTTAGCCAAAACCCATATTCAAGGGCTGACATGCGTCTGATCCATTGATATGGTAACCCATGCAACATCACATCAGAGAGCCTACTTAACAGGAAAGGAGGTTTACCAATGAAAATATGAACCAAAAGGTCTACAGGTTCTGTCACATACTATACCACCCGGGACCTGCAGGGATTATAGAGCAATGGCATAGTTCATGGGAGGCTCAACTGAAGCACAAGCCCGATATGATGCACTGCAAGATGAGCTGCCATCCTCCAGGATGCAATATGCAAGTTAAATCAAGGACTAGTGTGTGGTGCTGTGTCTTCAGTTGTTAGAATACATGGGTCTGGGAGCTAAGGGGCAGAAGTAAGCATTCTCCTGCTAACTATCATCTGTACTTTCTAGCGCCACAATCATGGCTTCTGCAGATTTAGAGATCCTGGTTCCCAGAGAGGGAAAAGCTTCTAAAAGAGTTACATGAAAAGTTGCCAGCTTTAAAGAGCATTCATCATCCTGGCAGAAATAATACACCCAGATTATCAGGAGGAAGTCGTGGTGTCATTACACAGTGGGGGAATGGAGGCATCTCTTTGACATCTAGCTATCCACTTGGTTGTCTCTTGGTACTCTCTTGCCCAGTTTTCAGTGTAAATGGGTATAATAGTCATTGCCTGAGAAAGAACTGGTGGCCAGAGGCTGAGAGCCTGCAAGGATGAGGATTTGGCTCATGCCCATCAGGTGAGCCACCTAGTCCAGCAGTGGCACCAGCTGAAGGCAAGCAGGATCTAGAATGGATAGCAGGGAAAGGAAAAGATGAGTAATAGTCGTGAGACTCTGTGCGCGCTAGAGTTCATCCCACAAACCTCCCCGTTCTGTTTCTTCCCAAGAAAAGAGGACTATCAGAATCCTGGAGGAGCTGTTTCCTGAACTTACATGAAGTGGATCTGAGTGACCAAAGAGTAAATGGCATTAGATGCTGTGATGCACTGTCCAGTTCCCCTTTCAGAACCGAAGGACTTACTCTCCCAGCTGCTGGGAATGATGCCTGCTGATAATGATCAATTATTGACCTTCTCCTGTTAACTTACCTCAACAACTCCCTTCCCCAGGGCAGCCTGAATCCAACCCATGGTTGATGTGGAAGTGGGGGCTGGGGAGAGGATTATACAAGTTTGCTGTCTCAGTCATCCCTGAGAAGCCTGAGGAGAAAAAAGTTTGATGTCTTTGTCTCAACTCAGGAAGTCTCTGAAGGGTGATTCCAGCTGTAGAGTTCCTTATTACAAGTGTACATCAGTAAAACTTTTTCCTCTGCAAATACAGCTTCCTCTCCTTCCCTTCTCATCCCAAAAGTTGATTCTAGGAATATGTATGAAGTTGTAATACACTTCTTGAGCACTATTCTACATCTCAGAGTTCACCTCCTGGGAAGCCAGCTATGACAGTTACATTCTACTTCTCTACTACTCTGTTTGCCTTTATTATAATCTGCATAAATTTTTACAATAGCCCTTTTATTTCCCTCCCCTACCCCCATTCAGGCTTTAAAATAGGCCACATATCTAATGAAATTATACTGCTGTCACATTTCATTTCTCTAAAGATAGCTTTAGCACAGTCGCCTAGAAAATTGGTGAAAGACTGTTCACTTTTACACATTTAACTGTGAAATCAGGTGATGATTTACATAACAGTAGGTCTCCTACTTTTAGAAGCTTTGGAATTGATTAGATAGTAACTTTTCACTCAAATTTAGCCACAAGTTGTAGGCAGTGACTGATGAGGTGAAAATGTAGATAATTCTCTCACTGTTTTCTTTCTTTTGTAATATTTGTAATATAATTTCTCCTCAATTATTGATCCAGCATCATATTTTCCTCCATAAAACACATCTATCCCCTCAATTGCATAGGCTTAACATGGTTTTTCTTTGTGTTTTTATATGTGTTTCTTCTCCTGAATTCCAGAGTAGCTATATTTGAAAGAAGACAGAGTCATATAAATATTGAGTGTATTTTGTATATGAAATCGCTGTTACTGATGAAATATACAGAGAGAAAGATAACACAGCTTTTCACATTGAAAGTACAAATAAAAATTAGGAAGGAATGAGTTGTTTTACTATTTCTATCTCATACTCTCATAGACATAAAAATTATAATTTTTTGCAGACATTACCATATTAGGTAAATAAATTTTCTTCATTGCATTCCTTTAACAGCCAATTTGCAAAATCAGAAATAAAAAACCTACTATTATGAATGAGCATACACAAGAAGTCTTTGACTTTGTTTTCTATTTTTACTTCATCTTAAGGCATGTTTCCATGTGCCAGTTTTAATTTCTTTTTTTAAGCACACATAGAAATAAGCTGAAGCTAATAATCTCAGCTTATAAAGCAGATAAGTAGTCAAGACAAAATGTCTACGGCTAATAGAACAAGAAATATAAATTAAACAGATTTTACAATTTTCCAGCTATTATCGTATTTGGAAAAGGTGGAGGGAAGGTGAGACATCTTATAAGTGAAAAAAAACCCATTTATTTTATTAGGATGCTACTAAATGAAGTTGAAAGTTTGTGTATGAAGAAATAGGAAAGAAGCTCAGAATTTTGGGGATAACAATAAAAAAAAAACAAATGGTGAGAAGTGATTGCACATGGGCGCGGGATGGAAGTGAGAGGTGTGGAAAAGGTCACTCCTCAATGTTTCAAAATATTTGCTTACATTGTGTTGATTTAAAAAACGGAATTCAAGTTTTATATGTAAAACTTTTAAGATGGTTCAGTATTTGTAGATCAGAAGGTGTTTAGTTACTTCTCTTGGTAGCACAATTTATAGAGATGGGAAAAATCCATAGATGAGCTCTATGTTTGTGTCTCCTTACTCTGTTTCTTGTGCCTCCAATCTGTTATTTTACAATTTGCCTGTTTTCTCTAGATTGAGTATTAGAAACGGGATTTTTCCCCTCCAACATCTTGGTTTTAGATTCAGGTCTAGCTTATATGCGTATCAGAACATCTCTTGTTCTTGGTCTTCTCCCTGGTTTAGCATATTTTGTTTTATAGTCCTTCGTATGGGGAGATGAAGACTTACAATTTACAACTCAGAAAATAAATGCTGATTTGAATTGCAGAGTCAACAATGGGAAAGATTAATTTATTCCTCTGAGACACTGAGTGGAATAAATATAGTTCTTGTCCCAATTGGGTGTAATATCTAGCAAGATAGGAATATACGGTGGCTAAAATAACAATATTATTGATAACATCGTTACAATAATCCAGTAATGTGGTCAGGAGGGTCTTCCAGGAAGCAGAGCATTTACAGAAATACCCAGCGTTCTCTTGGCTGAAGAAGATCAGGGTCCTGATGAGGTGAGCAGTGCAACCATAGGAATGGTATGGAAACAGGATTTGTTATGCAGCATTTCTGCAAAACCAACGTGGTGAAGTGGATTTGGTGAGAAGTAGAAATAAAGTGGAGTTTGCAACCATTCAAATAAACATTGAAAACTGCTGGTAATGTGACTTAAGATTATGTACAATTTTATATGTTAGGATAAAGAATATGGATTTTACTCTGTTGGAAATAGGGAATAATAAAAATTTTTAAGCAGAGGAGTCATATACCAAAATTAAAGTTTTTGGAAACTTGGCAGTAATAAGGAACTTTGAGTCTATGTTATTTTTTATGAACTAACTCTTAGCAGTTTTTAGAACACTGGTAGACAGTGATTTGAAAGCAATAAATATCTCACTACAATAGAAATAACATTTTTGAGCAGTGACATATTTAAAAATACTTTTACATGTTTTAATATTTACATCTTACGTTTTTAAAATTTTTCTCATTCAAGAGAATTTAATTATTTGCATTATAAAATACCTTAAGAATTTTTAATTCATACTATTAGAATTTTAATAATATTTTGAAAGAATGTAACTGTATTAGTCAGGGTTCTCTAGAGGGACAGGACTAGTAGGATAGATGTATATATGAAAGGGAGTTTATTAAGGAGAATTGACTCACATGATCACAAGGTGAAGTCCCACAATAGGCCCTCTGCAAGCTGAGGAGCAAGGAAGCCAGTCCGAGTCCCCAGATCTCAAAAGTAGGGAAACCAACAGTGCAGCCTTCAGTCTGTGGCTGAACGCCTGAGAGACCCTGGCAAACCACTGGTGTAGGTCTAAGAGTCCAAAAGTTGAAGAACTTGGAGTCTGATGTTCGAGGGCAGGAAACATCCAGCACGGGAGAAAGATGGAAGCCAGAAGATTCAGCCAGTCTAATCCTTCCACATTCCTCTGCCTGCTTTTATCCTAGCTGCCCTGGCAGCTGATTAGATGGTGCCCACACACATTGAGGGTGGGTCTGCCTTTCCCAGCCCACTGACTCAAATGTTAATCTCCTTTGGCAACACCCTCACAGACACACCCAGGAACAATACTTTGCATCCTTCCATCCAATCAAGTTGACACTCAATATTAACCATCACAGCAAGCAACCAACAGTTGGCAGAATATGTGAAAATATTTCTTATTGTAATACATCTTCCCTACAGTCAATAACTCAAAGCTTTCACTTGTCTTTTCCCTATAAAATGAAGTGATTGACCTAAATGCTTGGTAATGCCTGATTTAATTTAACCACAGCTTTTGGTGATATTTATAATTCTGAGCAATCAAAGATCTATACTTGTAATACTATAATTTTGTCTTGATTTTGTACTTTAATAGATTTTTCACTAAGCACTCATTCTTTGCCTTGACATGGCAATCTACAAGTGAAAAGGAGTGATTTTAGGAATGGATAGTTACATCAACATGGCTCTGTGTAATACAATTTTCATTTGTATCCACATCAATTTCATTCTTTCTCTCTATAATCAGATGTTTCCTACCAACATTTAGAAGAAACTGTTTCTATCATCTACTTTACACTGAAAACAGAATTTGTGTTGGTTAGTTTGCTCTTTTCATTCCTTTTAGACAACAGTGAAATCTAGTGACTGATTTTCAGAAAATAATGCAAGTTACTTATCTCTCTTTCCTAGTTCACTAAGTGCAAGCTCACATATAAATCAAATTGTCAGAAAATTTTCTTTTTATTGGTATATCCTTCAATGTCAATTCTATCTGAGGCATATTCTTATAACTAGATTATAGGAAATAGGAACTTAAGCATTTTCTAGTGAAAGTGGCAATGCTTTTAGCAACCAATCAATCACTTTGGTCTTGTGATTTGTAGAATCTACTTTCCTGATACTCTCATAGCTAAATGAAATAAATGTCCTTTTAAGGCCTGTTCAATACAAGCTCCTAGGATTCTATTTGTATATATCAAAAGGTAAAATTGGAAAAGGAATTTGTTGTCTTGCTCTTTTTTTTTTTTAATTTGAAGAAAAATTCAAATTATTTGTGCCAGTTCTCAGGTCCAGAAAGTCACCAATATGCTGCTATTTATGGTTAAAAGTTCAAGTAAGTGGATCTGGGACTGTATTCCAAATAAAATGTCTTTTCTTAGCAACATAAATGACTCCGTGCTCTACAGAAGAATTAAAAAAGAAATATATAGATCATACTCTATGGCAGTTCTAAGAGCAAAACCAAAGAGAAGAATAATACAATGAATTATTTATGGAATCTAAAAATCCTAAAATAACAACTCTGATGATAAAAACTAAAGAGCTTTATGCTACTTTGTATCAGGTATGGCAGAACAGAAATTAATGATCAATTAAGCATATTACTGTGTTACTAAAATAATAGAATAGAAATAAAGTTGATGAGTAGTAAATTACACAGTCACAAAATCCTTCAGAAACAGAGGTAAATAGTACAAATAATCACCACCATTTCTTTTCATCTCAATGATAACTGAAAGAAACATATGTAATTTAAGAAAAAGGTCACCTCACATCACAGTTTGCCTATTTGTCTAATACAGTTCTTGTCATGTTGCATAATTATTATTTATCTCACTTTTCCCCTCTATGTCATGTTAATTATTTACACTTGACACTTAGTACTAAATACATATTTGTGAACTGAAACTTAATAAGTGAATGATTGAGGAAAATTTAAAAATACACCACCGCATTGACAGTTTTGCTTTTCTCAGTCTTCAGTGGGGTCCAAAGAAATCTGAAATTTTTGCTCACTAAAAAGTCTATAAGAGTTTAACTCAGAGTGACGGAGTACAGGAAAACTAGTTATTGCCTGGGAGGTATGCAGCCGCTGAAGAACTTTCTGGCAGAACATCCAAAGGATACATCTACATCAGTTAAAAAAATCTTCCCTTGTGTCTACATATTATTTTCAGATGCCTTAGAGAGAAGCATTTGTCTGAATTCCCTCCTTGGAATGGAGTTAGAATAGGGGAAGAAAGTCTAGCTTTATGGGGCTCTTTTGTAGTACGTGTGCTTGGAGATATTTTAGAAAGAGCATCTTATAGATTGCTAGGTCAAAACCAAAATCAACATTCCAAAAAGCATTCTGAATCCGAATGAGACAATATAAACAAAGGAAAAAAAAAGAAGAAGGCAAATGTGAAGGCTTGGAGCTTGGGAACCAACAAAAAGAGTTCTTGCAAAGACAGAAGGAAGACAAGTCTAGAGAAATTTCCCCAAAAAATATCCTTTGCTGCCTTTTGCCTCTGGAATTGTCCTGAGGGTAAATAAAGGTTCATTGAAGAGTGGGCACTTCTGGGCTTGGCATTGATTTTTATCAGAGTATTAAAGTGGTAAAAATGCATATTGCTATCCTCCTTCCTAGACTCACTAAATCAAAATCTCTCGAGAATAGGAGAATAGGGCTCAGGGGTGTATGTTTGTGTTTCACAAGCTCCACATGTGAAACTTATGCTCTCTAAAGAAATGGAATTGATGACTCCAATAATTGAAATTATTTATTTCACCATTACACTCTTAGGAGTATCTATTTAATTTCAGCCTTCAAAGTCAAACATGACACACAAATCAACACTCCAGAGTTTAATAAATAAGCATTAAGCAGTTTTCAAAGGGCTCACAGCTGTGTATTTTAATCTTGTGAATAAACAGATCTGGGGGTTTGACCCTCCCAAGCCATAAACCTACTTTTCTTTCATTGATCTTTTGTATTTTTTGTTACAGTTTCATTTATTTCTGCTCTGATCTTTATTATTTCTTTCCTTCTACTAATTTTGAGTTTGGTTTGCTTTTGCTTTTCTATTTTTTTTTTAAGATGCATCTTAGGGTATTTATTTGAAGTTTTTCAACTTTTTTGATATAGTCACTTATTATAAACTTTCCGTTTAGTACTGCTTTTGCTGTATCCCACAGGTTTTGGTAGGTTGTGTTTCCATTTTCATTTGTTTAAACAATTTTTTAAAATATCCATCTTCATTTCTTCATCAGCTCACTGGTCATTTAGGAGCACACTGTTTAATTTCCATATGTTTATATAGTTTCCAAAGTTCCTCTTGTTAGTGATTTCCAGTTTCACTCAATTGTGGTAACAGAAGATACATGATATGATTTCAAATTTTTTGATGTTTTTTAAGAATTGTCTTACGACTTAACATATGGTCTATCCTTGAGAATGATCCACATGCTAAAGAGAAGAATGTGTATTCTACAGCTATTGGATTCAATGTTCCTTAAGTGTCTGTTAAGTCAATGTGGTCTGTACTGCAGATTAAGTCTAATGTTTCTTTTTTGATTTTCTATCAGGATGATCTGTCCAATGCTGACATTGGGTTGTCAGGATCTCCAGCTACTATTGCATTGGCATCTATCTTTCTTTTTAGGTCTAATAATATTTGCTTTATATACTTGGGTGCTCCAGTGTTGGGTACATGTATATTTACAATTGTGATTTCCTCTAGCTGAATTGACCACTTTATCATTATATAATGACATTTTTGTCTCTTTTTACAGTTTTTGTCTTGAAGTCTATTTTTTCTAATATAACTACATCTGCTCTTTTTTGGTTTCCATTTTCATGGAATACTTTTTGTCACCCCTTTATTTTCAGTCTGTGAATGTCTTTATAAGTAAAGTGAGATTCTTGTTGGTGACATATAGTTGGGTCTTGTTATTTATCCATTCAGTCAGTCTTTTGATTGTAAAGTTTAGTCCATTTATATTTAGTGGTATTACTGACATTTAAGGGCCTACTTCTGCCATTTTGTTGTTTTCTTGTTATTTTATGGCCCTTCTTCCCCTGCCTCTCCCTCCCTCCCTCCCTCCCTCTCTCCCTCCCTCCTTCCTTTCCCTTCCCTTTCCTTCCTTCCTTCCTTCCTTCCTTCCTTCCTTCCTTCCTTCCTTCCTTCCTTCTTTCCTTCCTTCCTTCCCTCCTTCCTTCCTTTACGTAAAGGTGATTTTCTCTAGTAGCATGTTTTAGTTTCTTGATTTTTATTTTTTGTGTATCTATTGTAGGTTTCTTGATTTGATGTTACCATGAGGCTTGCAAATAATATTTTATAACCAATTATTTTAAATGAATGACAACTTAACTCTGGTTACAAGAAAAAAAACACAATGAACAAACAAGGAAAGAGAAAACTAAAGAACTCTATATTTTAACTCCATTCCCTTCCTGCCATTGACTTATTGTTGTCTCTATTTATATCTTTTTATACTACCTTTTGAAAAGTTGTTGTTATTTTTTATGTTTATCTTTTAGTCTTTCTACTCGACATATCAGTGGTTTACACACTGCAATTACAGTGTTAGAGTATTCTGTGTACTTACCATTATTAATGAGTTTTATACATTCAAATGATTTCTTAGTGTTTGTTAACATCCTTTTCTTTCAGATTGAAGAACTTCCTTCAGCATTTTTTGTAGGACAGTTCTGGTGTTGATGAAATCTCTCAGCTTTTGTTTGCCTGGGAAAGTCTTTATTTCTCTTTTAGGTTTGAAGGATATTTTTTGCTGGATATAATATTCTAGAATTAAAGTTATTTTTCCTTCAGCACTTTGAATATGTCATCCCAGTCCTTCACGGCCTATAAAGTTTCCACTGAGAAGCCTGTTGCCAGACATATCAGAGCTCCTTTGTGTGTTATTATTTTTTTTTCTTTTACCACTTTTAGAATCCCTGCTGTATCCTTGATTTTTGGGAGGTTGGTTATTAAATTATTTGAGTTAAATAAGACTTTGGTGTTCTATGACCTTTTTGTACCTGAATGCTGATATCATTCTCTAGGTTTGGAAGATTTCTTTTATTTCTTTGAAGAAACTTTCTGTCCCAATCTCTCTCTCTCTACCTCCTCTTTAAGGCCAATAACTCTTATATTCACCCCTTTGAAGCCATTTTCTAAATTTTATAGGTGTGCTTTATTCTTTCTTATTCTTTTTACTTTTTTTCTCTGCCTGTATATTTTCAAATAGCCTGTCTTCAAGCTCACTTATTCTTTCTTCTGCTTTATCAACTCTGCTGTCGAGAGACTCTGTTGCATTTTTCAGTTTGTCAATTGAATTTTTCAGCCTTAGAATTTCTGCTTGATTTTTATTACAATATTTCAACCTCTTTGTCAAATTTCTTTGGTAGTATTCTGATTTCCCTCTCTGTGTGTTATCTTGAAGTTCATTGAACTTCCTCAAAACAGCCATGTTGAATTCTCTGCCGGAAAGGTCACACATCTCTGCCACTCCAGGACTGGTGGCTGATTCTTTATTTAGTTCATTTGGTGAAGTCATATTTTCCTGGATGTTCTTGATACTTGTAGATATTCATCAATTTCTGGACATTAAAGAGTCAGGTATTCTAATATTAACAGTCTGGACTTGTTTGTGCCTGTCCTTCTTGAGAAGGATTTCTAGGTATTCAAATAATTGAGTATTGTGGGCCTTGCGCGGTGGCTTACGCACGCCTGTAATCGCAGCACTTTGGGAGGCCGAGGAGGGCGGATCACCTGAGGTCGGGAGTTTGAGACCAGCCTGACCAACATGGAGACACCCCGTCTCTAATAAAAATACAAAATTAGCCAGGTGTGGTGGCGCATGCCTGTAGTCCCAGCTACTCGGGAGGCTGAGGCAGGAGAATCGCTTGAACTCCGGAGGCGGAGGTTGTGGTGGGCCGAGGTCGCGCCATTGCACTTCAGCCTGGGCAACAAGAGCGAAACTCCGTCTCCAAAAAAAAAAAAAAAAAAAAAAAAAAAAAAAAAAAATTGAGTATTGTGATTTAAGTCATTGGTCACTGTAGCCATAATTGCACTAGGGGGCACTCCAAGCCCAGTAACGCTGTAATTTCTGTAGCCTGGTAGAGGTACAGCTTTGGTGGGCCTGTGTAAGATCCAAGAGAACTCCCTAGATTACTAGGCAAAGTTTCTCATTCTCTTCCCTCACTTTCCCCCAAACAGAAGGGGTCGCTTTCTCTGTGCTGGGCTGCCTACGGTTGGAGGATGGGTGACACAAGCACTCCCATGGCCACTAGAGCTGACATCTCACTGGGTCACGTTCGCTCCAAGTCCACTGGCTGTGGTCCCACTGCAGCACCAGGACTTGCCCCCAGTTTTCTTGTGGCTCGACTGCCTTTCAAATTTATTCTAGGCCCTAGGTCACTTTAGTCAATTGGTGGAGCTAACTGGAAATCTGGTTCCTACTGCTGGGGTGGAGGATTCCTCTCTGGCCCAGAAATGGTCTAAATGCTTCCTCTGTGGGCATCAGTAGAATTCTGCCTTGTGTTGCTCTCCACTGTGACAAGGTAGCAGTCAGTTCCAATGCAGAGTCCCACAATTACTCACCATCCCCCAAGTACACATATGTTCTGTCTGTGCTGTGCTTCCAGGAGATGGGAGAAGGGTGGTGTAGGCAATGTAAGACTGTCTTTCTCACCTTCTGTGGTGCCTCTTTCCTTAATATGCCCTTAAAACCAGGTGCTGTCATTGCTCACCTGTATTTTGGTTCTTATAAGGGTGCTTTGTTGCACAGATAGTTGATCAATTTGGTGTTCCTGTAGGGGGAGGATCACAGGAGGGTTTCATTTGGCCATGCTCCGCCTCCTTCTGGATGTGAATCTTTTGAAATACATTTTCAGTCATTTCAACCCAATATTTATGTAAGCTAACCTTAGAAACTGACTTGTGTATCTCTGCATCACAAAATATTAAATACATATTTAAAATATAAGGAAGTATATTTAATCACATTACTGTCATTAAACATAGTAGTAACATAATGAATGTTAGTGAAAGGAAATGCATTATAGCATTAACAATTAAAATTAAAGGGTATTTATTATTCATCTTTATTACAGTCTTCTAAAATGTACATTTAACATTTATAATGTGTATCTTACTATAGGTAGTATATAATATATACTATTAACCCGTAAATAAATATCAGGATTAAATGCTATAATTTTTGCACTTATGGGGTATAAATTATATCTTTTAATATAAAAAAGATAAAAAAGGGATAGAGTTGGTAAAGAATATTTTCTTTAGCTTTTACACCCACAAACACGATCTTTAAATCCTGGTCATCCTTCCATTTTAAGGCTTTGAATTCGGGGAATCCTGCCTATAACCTGGCAGGTTAAATTCTGTGGCTGCCCCAGAAACAGGCATTGTGAGCTTATTCCTGAATCTTGACATGACCTAGCACTGCCAGCAATCAGTGAGAGCATGGCAGAAGAATGGCTCTCAGAACTGAATTCTTTGATTTACTTGGAGAGTGCTCCTAATGAGCCAAAAAAAAGGGCTTTTTTTCTTATATAACTTTATGGGAAGAAAGAAGCCAATAAGCATTATCTTATCTAAATAACATAGTGTATTATACTGTACATTTGTGTTATGGAGGATGGATAAAATGTCTAAAATTTCTTGTCCACTTAGTGTGTGTCTACTTTTAACAATTACTCAGTTACTCATGATAGCTCAGCAAAAATCTAGACTGCCTTAAAGGAACATATTTTTGATTATCTAAGTGGCAAATACATTTTTTAAAATAAAAAAATGGAAAATCATATGCTAAGATTTTAGATGGAGAAGCAGCCTCATCACTTATCTCTCCATTTCCCACAAGTCCTTTTTCATTTGATCCACAACACTTTTTAGATTTTTCAGCATTTCCTTGGTGCTCTTCACGAAAAGCCAAAGGCTAAGGATCCTCGATGGAATAGTGAGTCGCACACTTCACGGCAGCCTTGAGAATCTGAGGCTTTTCCTGAGATCTTAGTTTTACTTTTATTGGTTCTCTTTGATCTCATGTTTACAGATGGTCCATTAAAGCGCATACTGATTTCCATTCTTAATTACAGGATAGAGTACAGTGAATGCTACGTAATATATTCTGACATTCAGGTCATACCAATTTATTGAGAAAGCAACAAATTCATGCTAATGGTATTCTTCTAGATATAACATTTAACAGTTTTTATTTTATAGGAAAATAGGTTACACAATTCTCAATCTGAATTTTCTCTCTCAAAGTATATTTATAATCTATTTCCATGGTTAAAAATACATTGCATAGTATCATACTGTATTTGTTAATTTAAAGGATGAATGTTTTTTTCTCTAATAAATTATTTTTAAAAATGGGAACAATCACACTAAATTAAAAAAAGTCAATTTAATACTACACAAAATAAAGATTGTTACGGAATAAAATATTAACAGATACTTTTAAATCCATTTGTTTTTAAGGACAAATAATTTAATCAGTTGAAATGTATTATATCCTTTGTACATGGCAGGTATAGAGAACTGATTGATTAACTTGAGTGACATTTAATAATACAGTTTCATGAAGCATCTGGTCCTACTGCTGACTAATCGTATTTATTAGAGGTATAGAGAGTATGACATGGTTACCAAAACAGTGCTTCCAGCATCAGACTGTCTGGCTTTGGATTTCAGGGGTGATGTGAGGCAATTTACAAAGGGTCATTATGAAGATTTAATGAAATTATATACAGAATGTAATAGGCACATAGTAGCATGCATTAAATGATAGTTCTTATCATTAATTTGGTTTTGATGTTACTAGAAAGTTCTTTCTTATAACAAGTTGAAAACCAACTACCTGTGTTCCCCAACTTTTGTTCCTTGTTCAGACTTCTGTGTGAGCCTATATAATGGGATTTCTGGGGTATTTAAAGAAATTATCTCCATCCCTTCATTCACATCAATCTCCCTTTCAGTCCTGCAGTAGTGTCTTCAGTTTAATAACTAGAGTTTATTTTTCCAGGATGTGATATTATGGCAAACGCACTTCAGAGACTTAACGCATTAGTTGATCACAAGTCTTTAATATCTCAGTGTTATTTCATTGCATGACTCTTTACAATAGGCCCCATGACAGGATAGGAAGGGAAAAGGGCTAAATCCATAGTTTGGGCATTAGTCCTGAAGGATAGTCCTCCATTTGACTAGATGGAATTTCTCAGTGCTTTATGTTTAGCCCAAGCCCCGCTGTTCTGTACCATTGCACTTTTGATCTTGGCTGCATTTTGAAAGTTGGGCTGCACTGTCAAATATTATGTGATTAATTTTTTCTCAACTTTGACAGGCTGTCAAATCCAATCATAATAAGAATGTAGAGGATTATGCTACCTGCCCCTTTTTATTGCCATATATATGACAAAATTGAAAGGGAGGGTTAGAGTTTGAAATTGTCAGGTCAAACAATTTGATTTTGCATTTAGGGGTCTTGTAGATTTGGTCTGTTTCTGCAGCTCACACTGTCATCTGAGGCAAGGCTGCTTCCTTCATTCCCTGGATGCTTCATCTATGATAGCTCTGCTATTCTGTTTGTACTCAGAGGAGGCAGCTGCGTAGAGGCATGGGAACTGCTGTGGCTCTCTACTCATCTCTGGAAAATCTTACTTCTTTCTAGAATGTTATTCTTTAAGTGTTTTTTGGTGTTTGTTGCTTTTCATTAGCTCCATAGAAAAGTATGGTTCTTATTTTGTCCAGGTTTCTCTTATTATTGTGTTTTCACATCCTAACAACTGGAAGCAGAAGAATTTCTTTTCTTTTCTTTCTTTTCTCTTTTCTTTTTTTTCTTTCTCTTCTTTTCTTTTCTCTTTGTTTCCCCTTCCCACCCTTTCCCCTCCCCTCCCCTCCCCTCTCTTCTCTTTTTTGAGACAGGGTCTCACTCTGTTGCGCAGGTTGGAGTGCACTGGTGTGATCATGGCTTACTGCAGCCTCAACACCCTGGATTCAAGTGATCCTCCCACCTTAGCCTCCTGAGTTGCTAGGACTACAGGCATGCACCACCACGCCTGGCTAATTTTCATATTTTTATAGAGATGGGATTTCACCATGTTTCCCAGGCTGGTCTCGGACTCCTGTGCTCAAACAATCTGCCTACCTCGGCCTCCCAAAGTGCTTGGATTACAGATCTGAGCCGCTGCTCCTGGCCAGAAGACATTCTTTCATATAAGGAAAAGAAGGTTTATCAGAAAAGTGGTGTTCTGTCTCTATTGTTGGTACATTTTATGTTTATGGGAAATAAAAAATCAGAATGGAATCCTCATTGAAAGAATATTAAGGCACCCATAATTGTGTATTTCCTCATTTAATCCAAGTTGCAAAAGTGACTTTGCAAACCTATTGCTCTTTACCAAAACATGGAAAGAATCATTAAGAACTAAAAACAGTTTTAAAATGATCTTATGTTTTTTAGGTCAGCATGTGAGGTTTCACTGATGCTTTCAGTGAGATAGCTAACTAGGCTGAATGTGTTCACATCATGACTGGGCAAAGCAAAACCTGGAATCCCTCTCTGAATTTTTTTTAGATAATCTTTGCTACTGCTTGGTTATTTTAGCAGTATAAATATTTACTGATATATTTTCTTATAACCAAAATTTTGGTTCACATTCTTGAAGAAAACTCTTCTTAGGCCTTACCTTAGGGGAAGTTAGTTGACATTTGGATTATCTAAGGTGTCCTAATCAGAGACAATCTAGGGGTGGTTTGATAGCCTTTGAACACTAGTCAGAAGATCTCACTCCAAAGGCTTTAATGTAACTACCTGTAATTAACCCTAGTTGGTTGTTAATTAGCACAGTAAATACTTAAGAAAATTGTCTTAGTCCATTTGGGGATGCTATAAAAAATACCATGGACTGGGTGGCTTACAAACAACTGAAATTTATTTCTCACAGTTCTAGAGGTTGGGAAGTCTAAGACTGAAGCACCAACAGATTTGATGTCTGATGAGGACCTGCTCCTGATTCATAGACGGCTGTTTTGCCGTGTCCTCACTTGGCAGAAGCAGGGAACTCTGGTATTTTCAGGCTCTTATAAGGGCACTGATTGACAGAGCAGGAGTATCACCATCTTGGACAAGCACTGTCATTTTAAAAATCACCTTAATCAAATACCGCCTAAATCCAAAGGGCATCAGCCTAATGGCTAAGGTCAGTATGACCATAAACCACATGTAACAGCTCCAACCATAAACACTCCAAACTCCTCCTGGACCAGAGACATGCTAGCCCTGAGATAACCCCCATCTGGCCAGAAAGATGTCATCCCCAAGATAACCTCCACTCTGCCCAGAGACATTCCAACCCCGCCATAAAACTTCTCCCCCACACAGAAACATTCCAAGCTTGTAATAAGCTCCCTCACCCTAAAACCAATATGTACTCTTAGTCTGTAAAAGAAAGCCCTCCTGACTGAAATCAATCAGAAGCCCCTCTTGGGTTTTGTCTCTAAAAGTATTTGACTGTTAAGCCGCGTTTCGTTTTTCTTTCCTCTTTCTTTAACTCTTACACTGATCTCAAACTTATCACTGCCAAAAGGTCTTACCAACTGATACCGTCACACTGGGGATTAGGATCAACACATGTCAATGATTTTCACTGATGAAAGAGTTCAATTTATGTGAAATGACTAGAATTATTGTACCACCCTTTCCAAACTTTCATGAATAAGGAGTAAGAATCTAGAAAGTCAAGTAGCCTATCCCTTTCTGAATAGCCTGGTAAAATTGTGGATTACATGTGGTCTTCTGAAGGTTTCTGTCAGTTGGTTCCATCTAGAAGATTAGCTGAATTTTGTCACTACAATATTATAGTATCAGCTTGGTTGTATTCCTTATTGCTGGATTGATAAATAATAATCTTATGTATTAATGCCTACCCTGTACTTATTTCTAGTTAATAAAATAGTACTAGGAAAGGAGAGGTTGTAAGTATGTAGAGTGTTGTAGTTGACATGGCAAAATGAATGTGCACAATAAATGGAATAAAAGGAAGACTGGGCACTTCTAAATGACTGCTAAAACAGAAATGAAGAAATTCATAGACAAGCGGCTGCTTGAATTAAGCTTTAAAGATAAGTAAGCAGTCAATGAAGGAACAATAGTACAGGGCTGGCTATGGCAACAGAACAGGCGAGAGACTGTGTTATTTTCATGGAACTGAAAGTAACACAGTGTGACTGAAGAATAGGTTGTCTTCACATGAAATCATTTGTCCATCTTGTGAAAAACTTTGGTTTTATTTTCAATCATTGCAAAGTAATGGAAAGGTTTTATGCAAGGCAATAGATTGAATTTGTGCCTTAGATAGATTATTCTGATGTCGGTGGCCATTCCTGCTAGCAAAAAGATCAGCTAAAACATTGAAACAGAGACTGTTAGATGTTCACCAAACCCATTTTCTCTTTCTCTCAAACACACACTAGATTATATTCTAGCCTCTTTTTAAGGTGGATAAAACCATATAAATGAGTTCCAGCCAAAGGGAAGTAGATAGAAGTGAAATGTGTTATGTCCAGGCCTGCTGCACAAAACCCATCAACATGTAATTCTGCACGTTCTTTACTTGTAGGAAGCAATATGTGATATGATAGAACCGCTAGATGGATGTTGCCTGGGTTGTTCAGTCATTATTTGAAGGAGAACCACCTGTGACATTACAAAAACTATTTGGACATTTTGTGGGTGAAAAGTAAATTTCTGTTGTGTCAAGCCACTGAGATTTTGAGGTCAATCTCATATAGCAGATTCCTTTAAATACAACATATTATTATTATAGTTTTGTGAGGGATGACAAGATCCTGAAATACTACAGTGGTTGCGAAGACAGAAAGAAATGGTCATTGACATTAGATGTTAAGGAGATAGAAGTATGGAGGGAATGTTGACTGATTTAACGTGGAGTGAACAGAAGAACAGAGGATTACTTCTCACTTTTCATCTTGGGCAACTGGGAATATGATAAAGTAGTAACAGGAATCACTGGGTGATATAAGGTATTTTGGAAAGATAAGTATCAATATGAACCTACTGCTGTTAGGTGTAACTGTTTGGAAGATTGTTTAATTTGTTTATAATTTTTTATTCTTTCCTATTTTTTGCCGTGTGTTAATGTGGATAGAGTATACTTCTTTGCTCCATTGATTTGGGGCTTGACCATGTGGTTTTTCTTGGACCAGTGAAATGAGGGCAGGAACTTTGGTGTTCCAGTTTCAAGCAGAGGTGTTAATGGAAACCACTCCCCATAAGTGCTCTTACTCTCTAACATAAGGACATCATCATAACCCAGGAACTACTTCTTCCATCATCCCCATAGTTATTATATCTCAAAATAATCTGGAGAAGAGCTGCCACAGCTGACCCTCAGATCACATAAACAAGAAGTAGATATTTGTCCTTGTAAGTTATGTGAGTTATGCAGTGTTATTACAGAAAAAAAAATGACCTATTTGGAATAAGATAGTTGAAGCATCTAATAGAGAGCGGGGAATACTATTCTGGAGAAGAAGAAGCTGGAGATACAGATTTTGGTGTTGTAGTAGTTAAAAGTTGTTAACATGAATAAAATGACTAAGGTAAACCAGAGAAGAGAAGAATTCCAAGGATGCAAAGAACCCTAAGAGCAGCAACAATTGAAGTGTGAGCTGGGAAAATGGTTCAGATTGGAGAATGAGAATGAATAGTCATGGTTTAAGAAAAGAATCATGAAAATGCAATGTATGGATGGGGGTGGTGGCTCGCGCTTGTAATCCCAGCACTTTGGGAGGCCGAGGCTGGCAGACCACGAGGTCAGGAGTTCGAGACCAGCCTGGCCAACATGGCAAAACCCCATCTCTACTCAAAAATACAAAAATTAGCTGGGTGTGATGATGGGTGCCTGTAGTCCCAGCTACTCAGGAGGCTGAGGCAGGAGAATCGCTTGAACCCAGGAGGCGGAGGTTGCAGTGAGCCGAGATCGCACCAGTGCACTCCAGCCTGGGCAACAGAACAAGACTCTGTCTAAAAAAAAAAAAAAAAGGAAAATAAAAGAAAATGCCATGTAATGAAAATAAAGGAATGGCAGTATCTCAAGGAGGGTATTGTGGGCAATATTAAACATCACAAAAAGTTGAGGTAAAAAATGCTGAAAATAATCCTTTGAATAACAGAAATTAGAACACACTGCTAAAAGTCACACATTGTGGTACCATTTCCAATAGACTTAATACCGTCTGTACATTTATTAAGGCTTGTTTTATTAGTGCTTGTTGAGTGAATTTTTTAAAATTTCATTTTATTTTAGATTCCAGGATACATGGGCAGAACACGCAGGTTTGTTACATAGGTAAACGTGTGCCATGGTGGTTTGCTGCACCTGTCAACCCATCACCGAGGCATTAAGCCGCACATCCTTTAGCTATTAAATGAATGTATTTGTCCACTGCATTTACACACAGAAACAATCTTGGCATTTATTCAGCATTTACTACAGTTAAACTTCTATATTATGTGAACCCAAAACATTATTGTGTGCCTCAAAAAGTTACTGCTTTACTTTTAATTCTATAAAATAATGACTTTTCAAAATTATATGTTAGACATAGAACTCGATGTTTAAGGAAATTTAATGCTTAAGGAGAAAATATATCTTTTGGCTTTTATTTCAGTTAGAAAAATGGCTCTAAATTGGAAGATTTCACTCACTTAGACAAATCTTTTAAAAGACCATTTAAAAATGACAGTAAATCTTGTTGACAGCATTGAAAGTATACATATGTGCTCTTTAGCTTATTGGAATTTAAAAACAAACATAAGCTCCATTAGAGCACTAAGGAAAAACTGGAGCACTTTGTATATAATGGGCTTTGATTGATTACCTTCTGGGAACCAGAGATTCACAAGCTTTTATGAATCATATCATGGATGAAGCATATTTTCATCAGGAAACTTTTATGACTGCTGGGTTCTTTAGGGAATTTCCATACTTTTTTTCAGATGAGGCTTTGCTATGTTGCCCAGGCTGCTGTCAAACTCCTAGGCTCAAGCCATTCTTCTACCTCATCCTCGTGAGTAGTTGGGATTACAGGCACACATCATCATGCTCGGTTCTTAGAGAATTTACTTCATGATAAATACTGAATATTTTGTTTAACAATTTTCTGCCTAAAAGCTTCTGCAATTTGGAATTTTGTCATGTTGAAAAGCTTTCAGGAAGCATGGTAGAAAAGGTTATTAGTATTTAATTTAGTGAACTGGAAAACACAACAATGGTTTTTATGGTCTAGAAAGGTATTATGAACAATATTTCTGCAAATATTTTATATTTATATTGCTATTCTGGTGTTCCCAAACACTAAATATTTCTAAATTTAGGGTCAACAGTGTTATCTCTTATGGACACAGTCTGAATATAATAATTATGAAATGAACATGTGTTTTGAGGACACTACATTCAGCAATAAACTGCAAAAGCTCCCCAAGCATATTTCTGAGGCACCCAGAAGATTATTTTGTCACACTGAAGATTTCAGCCTAAGTAAAGATAATATTTTTCTTTCAGGGAAATCAGAGTTCCTATAAGCAAACTCTAACTCATAAGACCCAGGAAAGCTGAGCTAGCTCTAAGAGTTGACCTTGATAGAAGACTGCAGACTACTGAGTTTCTCTATTGAAGTAATTGCATTGTGGCATCTTGCATTGGACATCATGAGTTGAGTCCTTCATTTGGACTAATTGATGCTTTCCTTTCCCTTTGTTTAATACTGACTGATACCCACAACTTACTGAATGCTTGCCACTAGTGTGCAACTTCTGCATACCCATGCACTTCTGCTCTTACAAGCCTTACCACAAGTCAACCCTGTTAGCAATTAAACCTGCTATGCTGGTTGAATTGCTTTTATAATTATGTAATTTACCTCTTTCCAAAAATGGTAAAATATGAACTGGAAAAAAACATGAAAATTAAGTTCAATATTTTCGAAGACTTAAAAACACTTTCAAAATAGGTGTGCATTAGATGACTCTGAAATAACAGAAGGAAAGTCATGAAAAACTTGAAATCCAAGGGGAGATTCTGTGAGGTCAAGTTGCCTTTAAAGGTCTCTATGTCCTTATTCTACTTTTAGAAGCCACAAACTAGAAATCTTAGATAATACATTCTGAGTGTGGTTGATGCAAGAAAGACAGAGAGTCTGCTCTTGGATGTTTACCCAAAGAAAAGTCTTGGACCTGACAACCAAAAGATTGTAAATAAATGTAATAAAAAATAAAAGCATATGTGTATACCTCTTTTGTGAATAGTTATTTTAAATAATCTTCTATTAACCAATCCACTTCATGCTTCTATCTCACTGGGTAAGAAGGCTTTGTGGTGTTGCCCAGATTTGCTGAATCTTCCCTTGCCAGCCTGCCGAGACCCTTACCTTAGATTTTTGACTCAGTAATTGTTGTCCCATTAAGACTTGATGCTTTATTAGTGATAATTTGTGTGAATGTGACAGGCCTAGGTGTATCCCCACCCATCACTGCAGATAAAACAGACCTAAGCCTTAATGAGGATTGTGTCTTCTAAGACAAAGCAGATAGGCCTGGAGTGCCATGTGAAGCAAAGAATCTCCCAGAACCTGGCATCTAACAGTGCTCAATAAATGTTGGTTGAAATAAATGTTCCTAAATCTCCCAGCTGGGCAGTGGTTCTGCTCATAATTCATTTTTCTTTGGAAAGATGATTGATTATTTCTATTATTGTCCTTCAGATCTTAAGTCGTTGTATGAATTAGTTTTTTCCTTGTTTCCCCTTCCTATTACAGATGAAACAAACATTGGCAACTTCCAAGCATTATCTCTACATACGAATTGCCTTAATTATTTATGTGTAATTTATAAGTGTTACTATTGATCTTATGATATTAAGTATAAAGCAAGTAAATGAGTATTCTACTCAATAACAGCACCAGATTTAAAATCAAAAGAACATGTTCAGGTCACAAGTATGTCATTCTTCATCAGCATGATGCTAATGAATTAATTTAATCTTTTTTCAGGCTTTATTTTCCTCATTTGTAAAATATTAGTGATCTCATGCTAATAAGTTATACATTTTGTATGTTTTAACACACTAGGGCGATTTATCATCATTGCAGCTATTATCCATTGCTGCTTTGACTTAGATTGCTATTTTGATATTAAAAAAACTATTGTGTCCTGCTGTAACTAATATTTAAATAATTTTATAATATCCTTCTGTAGAAGACATACATCTCTTTACTATTTAATTATAATATAACTTGAATGAGAATCAAGTTCTTTTCCAACTGTAGATTTACCCAAAGACAATTGTCCTATTTCAACTGCATAGTCCCAAAAGAGTACTTCTTCCCTATAACTGTTTTTAATAATTTAGACTTTCAGTGTGAACTGGAATACTGGATTGAGGGTCAGGAGCTTGGTTTCTATTTCTGCCACTGTAGCTAGCTTGCTATTCTTTGGGGACAAGGCATTTAACTCCTTTTCATTTTAGTTTTATCAACTGTAAATTGGTATAAAATTGGCTTGTAGGATAGAATGTCTGAAAAGTTACATTTATTAAGGCAAATATAATTTTTAAAAATTATAAATGAAGGAAAATGTTATTGTAAGTGAATGGTTGAGTGGAATAAATTGCATATACTATAATCTAATGCAAAAATACCTGACATAGATAGAATCAATATTAATCATTAATTTTCATTTTTTTGTCAAAGAAACACATGGGATAACTTTGCCTTTCTCTTAAGGATATTGTAAAACAATAAAAAGGCAAAGAGGTATTGTACTTTCTCTCCTTTTTAAAAAATAGAACAATTCCAAAGACCCTTGGGGAATAGTGAGAATCACATGTGTGACACCCACTGTTCTGGCAATGCTTGGCTGATGGTGTTCAGTACAGTCTTGTTAAAATTGGACAGAGTAGAAATTAGGATAGGAGATTTCTAAGTCAATTTCCTCCCTAAGGTTCCTCAAACCTTTGGAAACTTAACATGTCCTTACCATTCTTGCTGTGGATGCTTTTTTCTTGCTTATTCTTAGAGTTAAAGTAACCCCTCCTGTAGGAGGGAAACAAAGTAGACATCTCTGGAAAACAAGATTTAATAAATCAGATATGCTTGTACTTTCCATCAATATTGATCATATTTTGATTCTTATAATTGCTAATTCACTTTAAGAAAGGAGACAGTGTTTATAGCCCCCACAATTAAATTGCCAACTTAGGCCTAAATAATTCTAAATATATCTTATTTCCTATTTCTAACTGCTCAGAAAATATTGCTTTTGTCAAACCTTAGCCTGTTAGAAATAACCCTGTGAGAATTTAAAAGTGCATTTTCAGTGCAGAGCAGTGGCGTAGTGCTTTCTTTCTTTTCCAAACCATTTTTGGTTCCCAAATTCTCTGGGAAACTGAAGTAGCCAAGATTTATGTCAGAGATGAAAAGATTCTCAAATTAGTTCTGGGTCTCTAGAGGGCAAATGACTTATTATTATGACTTATCAGGCAAACATCTAAAGGTTAGTGCTTTACGTTTTAAAAACCAATAAAAAGGAATCCCTCTTTTTAAGAAGTGAAAATGCTAACACTAACCTTACTGTCTATCAAAAAGAGATGAAAAGAAGGAAAAAAGAAGATATCTAGGAGAGATAATGAAGGACAAAGAGCTTGTTGATTAAAGTGAAATATAAGTTCAGAGTTTATATGAAACAAGAAAGGATTTATTCCTCTTAAGCTTTCCTCAAACTACATTGCCTAACCTAAATGTCCATCCTGCCTGTATGAATGAAGAATGACAATTATTTACTCTCTGAATGAATCACTGATGTTTTTATTCAATAGGTATCAAAATCAATTAGAAACATCTTTCTAAAAGCAGCAGGAGTTCTGCTCTAGGGAGTTTCTGAAACCAGAACAGACATCGAGACTTTCTTTTTCCAAGTTGATGAAGAGAATAATACATTTTTCTCTAGTAAGTTGAACTGCAGGCCCGTCTATTCAAACCTCATTTACATAGCCTTTCAGATACAAGCGTATGTTCCCCTACAAGTAGGTTAGGTAGGCCAATAGAAGCCAGGCAATTAATCTAGTTATTTAATTTGAGAGAAACTTAATGGTGATAATGGAATATTTCAGAAATGCCTGACTAGAATAGCATAGTATTTTTGACATATCAAATTAACATTCAGTGTGTTACCAGATGGGTTGACAATCTCAGGATATTTTCTCTTCCCTAGGAAATCTGGGACACTAATTCATACTTAATTCATACACAAACACACACACAAACATTTATAAAACATTATTCATCTTCTCATCTAAATAAATAGTGGCAAATGATCAAAACAATTAGCATGAGACAGAAGATTTGGTGCTTCAGATTTGCTACTATAAATAATTATTTCCTGGAAAAGGAGCCTTGGAAAAATACAAGAGAGGTAAAAGATAAAGTACTTTTAGTTAAGTGTGCATTATATCTGTGCATTCTAAGATATGTGTAGTAACTTTTCAGGTGTAGTAACTCAAAGATATGTGTAGTAAGTTTTAAGGTGTAGTAACTTATTAAAAATGGGAAATAAGTTTTAATTCTCCCAAATGACCAGCCAGAGCTCCCTTTTTAGGGAAAATAGAGAAGAGAACATGAGGAAGATTTTGCTTGCTTCTATAAAATATAATTTATTTGTACCATTTCGAAAAAATTTTAAAAATAAGGGTAATAGCATCAAATTTTTCTATCTGGAGGTTCAGTTTTTTTTTTAGTTGTAAATTAACTGATTCACTGTTTAACTCCTTGATCCACTAGAATTCTAGAAGTAAATTCTTCATAGAGCAGTGGTGTAAAAAGTATGTTAGTGATTTAACATAGTTTAATGGAATTTCATCTCATTTTGAAACCATCTTTGAAGACTGGACAGTTTGGTACCAGACCTATCTCTGCATCTCTTCAAACATCTGTTCTAGATTATTATCTTAGAGAAAAAAAGTCTTAGACTTTGGCTAAAGAGCAGGGAGGATTGTGTGTTTTTGTTATTTAATCTCCCTGTGTATGTTTCCATACTTGTGTAATGGAAGTAATAAACAATTTACCTTATATGATAGCTTTGAGACTTAAACAAGATAATGATTCTAAAACACCTCTGCTATAATAAGCATATCATGAATTTAGGTATGTTAACTAATTATCTATTAGTTATTCTAATAGATAATAACTATTCTAATCACAATTAGAGGGGTTTATTAACATTTAAGTATTTGAGTGCCTGCTTTGTAGACACTGGTATTGTAAAACTTACCTGATATATTCTCAGTTGTCTGATCTCACTAATTATAATTGATATATAATGTATAATTTTCATGCCAAAGAATAATAAGTAATTTTGTATGCTAGAATTTTAAATGAAAGCAAATCTTTCTGGGGAAATTCATGTAATACTGTAGAAGCAAAGTCAATAATTTATCTTAGGTAGAGTAAGAGAGTCTTGGCTTGACTAAATAACTCAAGAGAAAACCATTACTATTCAAGAGTGATTAATGGTTCTATAATTGTTATTTATTTTGTTATCTGTTAAAAATAGCTGCATACCATTTGTCAGTAAAATGTTTGTTTTTGTTAGTTCTTGTATTAGTCAAGGTTCTCTGGAGGGACAGAACTAATAGGATAGATAGATATATATAGGGGAGTTAAGTATCAACTCACACGATCCCAAGGTGTCACAATAGGCCATCTGCAAGCTAAGGAGCAAGGAAAGACAGTCCGAGTCCCAAAACCAAGGAACTTGGAGTCCAGTGTTCGAGGGCAGGAAGCATCCAACAGAGGAGAAAGATGTAGGCTGTGAGGCTAAGCCAGTCTAGTATTTCCATGTTTTTTTTCTGCCTGCTTTATATTCTAGCCACGCTGGCAGCTGATTAGATGGTGCCTGCCCAGATTAAGGGTGGGTCTGCCTTTCCCAGCCCACTGACTCAAATGTTAATCTCCTTCGGCAATACCCTCACAGACACACCCAGGAATGATAATTCGCATCCTTCAATCCCATCAAGTTGACATTCAGTATTAACTATCACATTTCTCTTCTTCTATATTCCCTCAACAGAAGTGTAAGACTTGCATTTCTTTCCAAAATAAAATTAAAAAATCAAACAATTAGCTTTATTTATGTGGAACCACATATTTCTTTCTGGTTACAGATAAGCATTCCTAACTTTTTGTGAAGCTCTAACAAACAGATGGAGAAATAAAAATAAATTTCTATGTCTGCTTAAAAGACCCTGTATCTAGTTTCTTTTTCATTGAGATAGGGCCACTTTTTCTATCTTGTTTAGAGCATGTTTCTAATAAGATACACTCCAAAATGGAAGAGCTCTGGGCAAGGAGTGAATTCCGTAGTGAATACCTGAGTGTTTTTTCACAGCTGCCTTTAACTGTGTGTCACAACCACCGTCAAAGAAAATGAAAATATTTTTTCTTTCTGTATTATAATTTTTTCCCCTTCTCTTTCACCATTCCCATTCTGGTCTTTTTTACTTTAATCCCTATCCTTTTTTTCTCTCTTTACCCTCTCTTCCTTTTTTCAGATGATGGCTCCTATTGTTTAAGGACTGAATACCACTTTATTTCACTTGTATGCTTCAGAATTGGAATTTGTGAACACAACTTATTTCCTTACACCAATGTCTGGGGAAAAACTAAATATGCCTTGATCTCTCATAAAGAGGTGGTTTTAAAGAGTGCCTTGCCATGGACTGATTTAATTTTTTGTTCTTTTTTTTAAAAAAATTAATATGTTATTTAGCCTAATACATCCAAAATATTATCATTTCCCCATGAAATCAATATAAAAATTATTATTTAGATATTTTACATCCTTTTTTCCTAATATAAATGATTTTGTTCTTTTAATATTTGTGTTTTATCTATACAGAGTTTATTTTCTCATTTAATTTAAGAACTCTGGGATATATTCACTAAAGATTTTGTAGAAATACCTGGTTTTACTCCACAGGACAGTGAATGTCATGTTAGATACACTTGACAGTAGGAGAATACTGAACAATTCTATTATTAGTTTGAGATCTTACCATTTTATTATATATCAGAAATCTTAACTACTAAAATAAAAGATGCACCTCTGAGTGATTATAAAAAGACTGGGTTAAAATTTATGTGGACCAGAGGTTAAATTCTTGGAGCCAAAGAATAAGGTGAATTGAGTAATATCTTCTTGTGTATATCAGTTTCCTGTATATCAGACTAAATAATTTTTTCTGGTATGGAAATATAATAAATTACTACTAGATTGTGAGGCAGTGTATTTAAAAATTCAATGACTCTGACAAGATAGCCATTGCACTGACCAAATTACTAACAAATTGAGTCAGTTGGTTAGTTTTGTTAGTAAAACAGAGACCACTCAAGATAGTTCAACCAGGAAGAAATTAATGTAAAAAAATTGGATACCTGTACAATCTTTGGAAGGACGAACGGAGTGAAGTTTAGGGAAAGCTACCACTAATATTCAAGAGATCAGGAAACTACGTAATGCCTAGGAAACCACTGCCTATAATCTCAATTGTCTGCAGAATGGAAGAAGGACTCAGAAGGTGATGCTTACATCTGCCATTTATCCTTGCTAATGATTGTCACTGTGGAAAAAGAATAACAATGTCATCCTCTTGTTTGTTTTCTGAATCTCCTGCCAGTGCTTCTCACTGATACTTTGCAAACTGAGACTCAGCTATAGTTTTTAAATTGAGACTCAGCTAGCGAGAGATTCTGATGGCAGCAGACTCTCCCCTGGGACACAGGTGAGAGTTTAGAGAAGACAGAGGACATTGCTGATTTGACATTGGACGATCTTGTGAGAGTAGCCTACAAGTATCGGGGTAAAGTAACTAAATATGGCAGCCTTGGACTTTTCTCGTGATTTGTCTTAAGTATCCTTATCTACTAGACCTGTAAGATTTACTTGTTCACATGGACATTAGTTCTCCTTCCTTTATTTTGTTTTTTTGTTTGTTTTTTTAAATTTATTATTATCATACTTTAAGTTTTAGGGTACATGTGTGCAATGTGCAGGTTAGTTACATATGTATACATGTGACATGCTGGTGCGCTGCACCCACTAACTCGTTATCTAACATTAGGTATATCTCCCAATGCTATCCCTCCCCCCTCCCCCCACCCCACAACAGTCCCCAGAGTGTGATGTTCCCCTTCCTGTGTCCATGTGTTCTCATTGTTCAATTCCCACCTATGAGTGAGAACATGCGGTGTTTGGTTTTTTTGTTCTTGTGATAGTTTGCTGAGAATGATGGTTTCCAGCTTCATCCATGTCTTTACAAAGGACAAGAACTCATCATTTTTTATGGCTGCATAGTATTCCATGGTGTATATGTGTCACATTTTCTTAATCCAGTGTATCATTGTTGGACATTTGGGTTGGTTCCAAGTCTTTGCTATTGTGAATAATGCCTCAATAAACATATGTGTGCATGTGTCTTTATAGCAGCATGATTTCTAGTCCTTTGGGTATATACCCAGTAATGGGATGGCTGGGTCAAATGGTATTTCTAGTTCTAGATCCCTGAGGAATCACCACACTGACTTCCACAATGGTTGAACTAGTTTACAGTCCCACCAACAGTGTCAAAGTGTTCTTATTTCTCCACATCCTCTCCAGCACCTGTTGTTTCCTGACTTTTTAATGATTGCCATTCTAACTGGTGTGAGATGGTATCTCATTGTGGTTTTGATTTACATTTCTCTGATGGCCAGTGATGGTGAGCATTTTTTCATGTGTTTTTTGGCTGCATAAATGTCTTCTTTTGAGAAGTGTCTGTTCATGTCCTTTGCCCACTTTTTGATGGGGTTGTTTGTTTTTTTCTTGTAAATTTGTTTGAGTTCATTGTAGGTTCTGGCTATTAGCCCTTTGTCAGATGAGTAGGTTGCGAAAATTTTCTCCCATTTTGTAGGTTGCCTGTTCACTCTGATGGTAGTTTCTTTTGCTGTGTAGAAGCTCTTTAGTTTAATTAGATCCCATTTGTCAATTTTGTCTTTTGTTGCCATTGCTTTTGGTGTTTTAGACATGGAGTCCTTGCCCATGCCTATGTCCTGAATGGTAATGCCTAGGTTTTCTTCTAGGGTTTTTATGGTTTTAGGATACTGGCAAACTGAATCCAGCAGCACATCAAAAAGCTTATCCACCATGATCAAGTGGGCTTCATCCCTGGGATGCACGGCTGGTTCAATATACACAAATCAATAAATGTAATCCAGCATATAAACAGAACCAAAGACAAAAACCACATGATTATCTCAATAGATGCAGAAAAGGCCTCTGACAAAATTAAACAACGCTTCATGCTAAAAACTCTCAATAAATTAGGTATTGATGGGACGTATCTCAAAATAATAAGAGCTATCTATGACAAACCCACAGCCAATATCCTACTGAATGGGCAAAAACTGGAAGCATTCCCTTTGAAAACTCGCACAAGACAGGGATGCCCTCCCTCACCACTCCTATTCAACATAGTGTTGGAAGTTCCGGCCAGGGCAATTAGGCAGGAGAAGGAAATAAATGGCATTCAATCAGGAAAAGAGGAAGTCAAATTGTCCCTGTTTGCAGATGACATGATTGTATATCTAGAAAACCCCATTGTCTCAGCCCAAAATCTCCTTAAGCTGATAAGCAACTTCAGCAGTCTCAGGATACAAAATCAATGTACAAAAATCACAAGCATTCTTATACACCAACAACAGACAAACAGAGAGCCAAATCATGAGTGAATTCCCATTCACAATTGCTTCAAAGAGAATAAAATACCTAGGAATCCAACTTACAAGGGATGTGAAGGACCTCTTCAAGGAGAACTACAAACCACTGCTCAATGAAATAAAAGAGGATACAAACAAATGGAAGAACATTCCATGCTCATGGATAGGAAGAATCAATATCGTGAAAATGGCCATACTGCCCAAGGTAATTTACAGATTCGATGCCATCCCCATCAAGCTACCAATGACTTTCTTTACAGAATTGGAAAAAACTACTTTAAAGTTCATATGGAACCAAAAAAGAGCCCGCATCACCAAGTCAATCCTAAGCCAAAAGAACAAAGCCAGAGGCATCACACTACCTGACTTCAAACTATACTACAAGGCTACAGTAACCAAAACAGCATAGTACTGGTACCAAAACAGAGATATAGATCAATGGAACAGAACAGAGCCCTCAGAAATACTGCCGCATATCTACAAGTATCTGATCTTTGACAAACCTGAGAAAAACAAGCAATGGGGAAAGGATTCCCTATTTAATAAATGGTGCTGGGAAAACTGGCTAGCCATATGTAGAAAGCTGAAACTGGATCCTTTCCTTACACCTTATACCAAAATCAATTCAAGATGGATTAAAGACTTAAACGTTAGACCCCTTCCTTTATTTTGTATTGGATGATGGTGAAACACAAAGATTTATGATGCCTTAAAAATAATTGTATTCATGTTAATAACATTGAGGTGTAATTGAGGATAGAATGAGCCAGCAATATTTATGCAGTTCTGCACAAACAGGCCAGGACATTAAAAAAAATTTGTTTATTTTAAAATAGCTTGAAATTTACAGAGACAAATATGAAAATAGTACAGAGAGTTTCCATATTCCTGCACCCAGTCTCCAGTTTCCTCTATTATGAATATGTAATATGTGTATGGTATATTTATTATAATTTATTAATCAATATTGATACAGTAATATTAACTAAGTCTATACTTTATTTAGCTATTCCTAATTTTTACCTAGTTTTTTTTTTTTTCCTTCCAGGATCCTATCCAGGCTACCACATTACAGTTAGCTGTCATGTCCACCTAGGCTTCTCTTGGCTGTAGCAGTTTTTCAGACTGTTCTTGATGATATTGACATCATCACTAGTCAAGTTTCGAAGAGTACTGGTCAGGTATTTTGTAGACTGTCCCTCAATTGAGATTTCTCTGATGTTTTACTCATAATTAGATTGGGATTATGGGCTTTTAGGATGAAGATGACAGATGTAGAATTCCATTTTTATCACATAATATAAAGAATATTTACTATTGACAAGACTTATCACTGTTGATGTTGACAATTATCATTTGGCATACACAGTCAGGT
This sequence comes from Homo sapiens, assembly GCF_000001405.40. Taxonomy (NCBI): domain Eukaryota; kingdom Metazoa; phylum Chordata; class Mammalia; order Primates; family Hominidae; genus Homo; species Homo sapiens. The sequence continues at coordinate 163,018,187 of NC_000004.12, read as the reverse complement.
TTCTTAACTTAAAGTTACTCTTTTTTCCCTTTTTGTTCTGTACTTTTTGGAAAGAAATCACTTATGCGTAATCCACACTTTATGAGTGAAAAGTTATGCTCCTCTCCCTTAAGGGTAGATTTTACATAAATTATTTGAAGTTATTCTGCATGGAAAGTTTGTTTCTTCTTTCTCCTTCACTTAATTAATCAGTCATTTATTTATATCAGTATTTACACATACTTATTTTACACTTGGCTTATAGCCCAATGCTACTTTATGTATTTTGCTGCTCAAAGTGTACCAGCTTTGGCCACTGGGAGCTCTTTCAATTGGCTCCTGTGTCATTTTGTCATATTATCATCACTGTGCAGTTATTTTCTGAGCACTTTCTTTTTTTCTAGCACTATGACAGTTTTAAGATTCATCTTGCATATTTCCTCCCCCCATCTGTGATCAGCCATGTCTCCAATAAGCCCTGGTTTCTTTCATTGGAGAATAGTATTAAAAACCAAGATGTAGACATTAAGTGTTCCCATTGCTACTGGGATGTCATTGCTTCTAGGCTGTCTCAGCTAACAAAGAAGTATATGTGTATATACTAACCTATGTATATACATATATCTGTAAATATTTTATATATAAACATCTGTATCTATGTTAAACTAAACATGAATTTATACTGTTGTCTATAACTCAAATCCATTACCACATGGATTATTCATCCTCCTCCCCTTGCTTGTTGGTCAACTGCCACTCCAGAAGTGAGGAACCTGGCTTTTACCATTCACCATCCATTACTTAATTGTTCAATTCCAGTATACATGTACAGCGGTATCAGAACTGTTAAGCCACTCATTTCCAAAATGACTTAGGTCAGCATCTTTTCCCCCCACATGCCAGGGGTACTTTGAACATTTACTATATGATAAATGCATATGTATCATATGTGCTCTGCATCTGTGAACACAAGGAATTGAAAGAATTGTCAGTAGTTGAGCATGGTAGAGCAAGGAAGCCTTGTTCACCTTATTCTCATAAGATAATTAAGTTTAAAAACCAAAAAAATTAGCAAAAAATGCTCCTTTATTTTCTACATCCTCATTTGTCATGTGATATTTTTGCATGCTTGTAGCTTATGATATCTCTTTTATAGGGTAGAGGAAGCATGCTCTCAAAGGCCAAAAATGAGAAAGAAAAGTTTTGATTATATCATTACTGTCAACCATACTGGATAAAAAGAAAAAAGAAAGGCTAACTCAAAGGATAATAGCTGTGACTAAGTTTTTTTCTATGATGCCCACTGATGGACAAAACTCTTTTTGCCTGCCCCTGTGGAACATTTCCTAAGTCTCTACTCAGACCTTTAAAATGCTTGACCATGAAGTGAAATAACTCATTTCAAAAGCCTGAGATAATAAAGGAGAGGACAACTGATTATCCCTTATTGTCATCATGAGTAGAAAGTAAAAATATATTGTTAAAAGAGCTCTTTTTACAGAAGCTTTTTCTCAGACTTCCCAACCTTTTATATATTGCTTACGAATTTGCCAATTTTTCAGTTTCTTTGCTCAGAGAAGAAGAAAGATGTCTCATTGCTTTTTGATTAAAAATCCTACTAAAATTCTTCTCCTTTTTTTTGTGTTAAAAACTGTGCTAGATGGTTGTGGGATACTACGACAAAGAAGTCTCAACATGCTGTTTAAGTAAAGTTAAAGATAATGTTGGAGATGATATACAGGCACACTTCATAGTTATCACAAGCATGGTTCTAGACTACTGCAATAAAGCAAATATCAAAATAAAGCGAGACAATTTTTTTTTGGTTTCCCAATGCATATAAAATTTATGTTTATACTATATTGTAGTCTATTAAATGTACAATAGTATTATGTCTAAAAAATTACACATACCTTACTTAAAAATACTTTGTTGCTAAAAAATAATAATGCTTATCTGACTATCCATTGAGTAATAATCTCATTGCTGGAGGAAGATCTTGCTTCAGTGTTAATGGTTGCTAATTGATCAGGGTGATGGTTGCTAAAGGCTGAGAGGGCTGTGGCAATTTCTTGAAATAAAACAATAAAGTTAGCTGCAACGGTTAATTATTTCTTTCATAAAATATTCTTCTGTAGCATGCAATGCTATTTCATAGCATTTAACCACAGTAGAACTTTCAAAAATTGGAGTCAATTCTTTCAAACTCTGCCACTCTTTTATCAACTACATTTATGTAATATTCTAAATATTTTCTTGTAATTTCATAGCATCATAGATTACATCTCAATAAACCACTTTCTTTGCTCATCCATAAGGAGCAACTTCTCATCTGTTCAAGTTTGATCATGAGATTGCAGCACTTCAGTCACACTGTCAGGCTCCAATTCTAATTCGTCATCTTGCTATTTCCACCACATGTGCAGTCACTTTCTTCACTGAAGTTTTGAACCTCTCAAGGACATCCATGAAGGCTGACTCAACTTCTTTTAAACTTCTGTTAATGTTGATATTTTGACCTCCTCTAATGAACCACAAACGTTCTTAATAACATCTAGAATAGTGAATTATTTCCAGTAGTTTTTCAATTTACTATCTATGGCAGCTATATATATTTTGGTCTTACACAAAATATGTCTTAAATAATAAAACTTGAAAGCCAAAATTATTCATTGGCCTATAAGCTGCAGAATAAATGTTGTGTTAACAGGCATGAGAACAACATTAATTTCTTTGTATATCTCCATCAGAGCTCTTGGGTGACCAGGTGCATGGTCAATGAGCCATAATATTTTGAAAGAAATCTTTTTTTGAACAATAGGCTTAAAATATGCAATAAATCATGCTGTAAACAGAGGTGCTGTCCTCCAAGCTTTGTTATTCCATTTATACAGCTCAGGCAGAGTTGATTTAGCATAATTCTTAAGGGCCAGAGATTTTTGAAATGGTCAATGAGCATAGGCTTCAACTCAAAATCACTAGCTGCATTAGCCCCTAAGGTTGGGACCCAGACTTCTCTACAGGTAATTCTGATGCACATGGAAGTTTAGAACCACTGCATGAAAACTGTGGCAGCCCACAAGTGATTCACCACGCCGAGCAAATGGGGAAACAGAAGCAGCAATTCTGAGAACACAAGTGTTTGTAATGTAGACTCCTGGTAAGTCACAGGTAGGTCCCTTCCTTTCCTATGACACAGAACATGCATGAAATGGGAATGAGTGTTGTCAGTGGCCCCTAAGTGAAGCTCATCTGGCACCTGCTTCCACCTGTCCTGATCCTTAGTTAAACCTGAGAGCAGTGAGAAAGAAAAGAGAACTGACTCTCATTATCTTTCTCTATGCCCAGTCCACTCTTCATCCTTCTGGTTTATTATGGGTTGAATTATATCCCCCTGAAAAGGCTGTTGAATCACTAATCCCAAGTATCTCAGAATGTGACCTTATTTGAAAATAAGTTCTCTACAAAGGTATCAAGCTAAAGTGAAGTCATTAGGATGGGTCCTAATCCAATATAACTGGGTTCTTTATGGAAAAAAAAAAAAGAGAGAGATATTTGGACATAGAGACAGACACACGTAAATGAAAGATTTGAAATCACACAAGGAGAAGATGGCCCTGTGACTGGAGTGATGCCTCTATAGGCCAGGAATGTCCCAGCAAGACTTGCCAGCAAGCAGCAGAAACTAGAAGCCAGGAAAGATACTCTTCTAGAGGCTTCATAGATGACATGGTCCTGCTGACAACGTGATTTCAGATTGCTGGCTTCCAGAACTATGAGACAATACATTTCTGTCAAACTAAGCAACCCAGTTTTTGGTATTTTCTTATTAGCCCTAGAACACGAATACACTGCTCTACGTTTTCTAAGTCAGTGTATACAGGAATACTCTGACACTGACTGTCCCCTAGTTATTTGAAATACTACATGGTTAGAAGGGAAAGAAAATATGTCCACAAAAACATACAGCCTAACATTGCTGGGGCAGTGGGTGGAGAAGACTTTTTGGACGAGAGAGAGTTGACCTTCAAAGAGAGGTCAACTTCTTGATGGAAGCTCTGGGACACAGAGCTTGATTAAAGTGCACACATATAAAAGACTCAACTGTTCTGAATATATATTTTGTTATTGCATGTTTTGTATTGCTTGAAAAATAACAGGTAAACCTTTCCAAGATAACATAGTCTGGGATTGTGCAGTGTTCATGAATCAGGGGTGCATTATAAATCACATCTCTTATCACCACAAGCTGCAGAGGAGGATGGGGAGGCAGGTAACATAACTGTGTGGAGCCAGACTGTTAGAAAAGGGCCCAAGGAAGGGAAATTATTCATATTAAATTTAGTTTTTAAAACTGAACAGTAGGAAAAAAGCAATCACAGGAAAATTGGGTTCAGTTGTTGCCACATTTATTCCCTTGATTTCAAACTCTAGCTTAACATTGCAGAAAGGACTTTGAATGAAATCCTGTTTTATCTGCTGTAATAACATAAACATTCATTAATTAAAAAGATAGGGCTTAAATGTGATCAATAAAACATTACAGCTGTAAAATGTCTAAGTCCAAGACACACTCTAGTGGCAGGTTCTAGGGCTAATTTAGAAAGACTGGCTTCAGCTGGGGACTGCAAGAAGACTGTGCTGCAGTCTTCACTAAGTCATCAGAGAGAGAGAGAGCTGTTCTTGTAAGCAGAAAGGAAAGCTGTCTTTCAAGTGGGGCTAAATCTTTGCAATTCAGAGTGGTGTTCAAAACGGAGGGTCTTTTCTTAGCCTGCTGCAAGATGCAGACAAACTGCAAAAGGAGATAGAGGAGAAGTGAAACTTCCAAATGCCACTGAAAAAAGAAAAATTGAAGCTCATCTATCCACAGCTCTCCTTCATCTCTCAGCGAACTCACTAATTAATTAGTTAATTTATTCAACAAATATTTCCAGTGTCTATTCTTTGCTAGCATGTGGTAGGTCATGAATATAGTGATGAAGCGGATAGAACAAATTTTTTTCAGTTGAACTCGTATTCCAGCAAATCATAAAAAAATCAGCTTGCCCTTCACCCCTTCTCTTATCCCTCAAATACGCTCATGTTTAGCTGAAGAAAACTGCCAACTAAGGATTGAAAAGACATTACACTTTTTTGTTTTTGGAGACACAAAACATTGCAGTGAGGCAATTAGGAGTCACAGCTATAAATAAGAAATTCTGCCTAATAGAAGAGACATTTCTAGATCTTGTCCCAATCTCTCTCACTTTTTTATGGCATTTGTTTCGTTTTATGACATTTTATTGCTTTTTTATGGCACTAAAAACTGCAAATGCTTTTCCAGCATATTACAATATTCAAAAGACAGCCCTCATAGATGATTGAATTTTCAATCGGTTGGAATTTGGAATGTATTCAGTTTAACCTTTAAATAACCTCTTTTTCACAGAAAGAGAAGCTATTAAATACCTAGGTCATTTTGCCTGTAAAAGTTTGTAACAGACTGTTAAAACGAGTAATCATTAAAGATGTGGATGGCTTCTGCATGTCTGATTGACATATACACACTGTAGTCACATTACATGAAAAGCTATTTTTTTCAGACGACATTACTTTCTGATATGGTTTGGCTGTGTCCCCACTCAAATGTCATCATGAATTATAGCCATAATCCCCATGTGTCATGGGAGAGACCTGGTGGGAGGTAATTGAATCAAGGGGGCAGGTTTTCCTGTGCTCGTCTCATGATAGTGAATAGTCTCACAAAATCTGATGGTTTTATAAAGGGTAGTTCCCTTGCATGCTCTCTTGCCTGCCACCACAAAAGACGTGACTTTGCTCCTCCTTCACCTTCCACCATGATTGTGAGGCCTTCTGAACCACGTGGAACTGTGAGTCTATTAAACCTCCTTTCCTTTATAAATTGCCCAGTCTTGGGTATGTCTTTATTGACAGCATGAGAACAGACTAATACAGTAAATTGGTAGTGGCAGAGTGGTGTGCTGCTGTAAAGATACCTGAAAAAGTGGAAGCGACTTTAAAACTGGGTAACAGGCAGAGGTTGGAACAGTTTGGAGGGCTCAGAAGAAGACAGAAAAATGTGAGAAAGTTTGGAGCTTCCTAGATACTTGTTGAATGGCTTTGACCGAAATACTGATAGTGATATGAACAATAAAGTCCAGGCTAAGGTGGTCTCAGATAGAGATGAGGAACTTGTTGGGAACTGGAATAAATGTCACACTTGCTATGCTTTACCAAAGAGACTGGTGGCATTTCACCTCTGTGCTAGAGATCTGTGGAACTTTGAACCTGAGAGAGATGATTTAGTGATTTAGGGTATGTGGTAGAATAAATTTCTAAGCATCAGAGCATTCAAGAGATGACTTGGGTGCTCTTAAAAGCATTCAGTTTTATTCATTCACAATGATATGGATTTGAATTGGAACTTATGTTTAAAAGAGAAGCAGAGTTTTTTATAAAAGTTCAGAAAATTTGCAGCCTGACTATGTCATAGGAAGAACCCATTTTCTGGGGAGAAATTTAAGCCAGCTGCAGAAATTTGCATAAGTAACAAGGATCCAAATGTTAGTTGCCAAGACAATGGGGAAAATGTCTTCAGGGCATGTCAGAGGGCTTCATGGCAGCCCCTCCCATTACAAGGCGGGAGTCCTAGAAGGAAAAAATGATTTAATGGGCTAGGCCTGGGGCCTTGCTGCTTTGTGCAGTCTCAAGACTTGGTGCCCTGTGTCCAAGCTGTGGCTAAAAGGGGCCAACGTACAGCTCAGGCTATTCCTTCAGAGGGTGCAAGCCCCAAGCCTTGGTGGCTTGCACATGGTGTTGAGCCTGTGGGTGCACAGAAGTCAAGAATTTAGGTTTGGGAACCTCCTCCTAGATGTCAGAGGATGTATGGAAATGCCTGCATGCTTAGGCAGAGGTGTGCTGCAGTGGCTGAGCTCTCATAGAGAATCTCTGCTAGGGCAGTGCAGAAGGAAAATGTGGGGTTGGGGGTTGGATCCCCCACATAGAGTCCCCACTGGGGCACTGCCTAGTGGAGCTGTGAGAAGAGGGCCACAGTCCTCCAGACCAACCCTAGAATGGTAGATCCACCAACAGCTTTCACTGTGCCCCTGGAAAAGCCACAGACACTCAATGCCAGCCCATAAAAGCAATAAGGAGGGGGTCTGTACCTTGCAAAGCCACAGGAGTAGAGTTGCCCAAGGTCATGGGAGCCCACTTCTTGCATCATCATGACCTGGATGTGAGACGTGGAGTCACAGGAGATCATTTTGGAGGTTTAAGGTTTAATGACTGCCTTATTGGATTTCAGACTTGTACGGGGCCTGTAGCCCCTTTGTTTTGACCAATTCCTCCCGTTTGGAAAAGGTGTATTTACCCAATGCCTGTTCCCCCATCGTATCCAGGAAGTGACTAACTTGCTTTTGATTTTACAGGCTCATAGGCAGAAAGGACTTGCCTTGTCTCAGATGAGACTTTGGACTATGGACTTTTGAGTTAAGGCTGAAATGAGTTAAGACTCTGGGTGACTGTTAGGAAGGCATGATTTGTTTTGAAATGTGAAGACCTGAGATTTGGGAGGGGCCAGGGATGGAATGATATGGTTTGGCTGTGTTCCCACCAAAATTTCATCTTGAATTGTAGCTCCCACAATTTCCATGTGTCTTGGGAGGGACCCAGTGGGAGGTAATTGAATCGTGGAAGCACATTTTTTTGTGCTGTCCTCCTGATAGTGAATAAGTGTCATGAGACCTGATGGTTTTATAAAGAGCAGTTTCCCTGTACATACTCTCTTGCCTGCCACCATGTAAGGCATGCCTTTCTTCTTCCTCTGCCTTCCACCATGATTGTGAGGCCTCCCCAGCCATGTAGAACTGTGAGTCCATTAAACTTTCTTTTATAAATTGCCTAGTCTCAGCTATGTCTTTATTTGTAGAATGAGAACAGACTAATACACTCTCATTATTGTAAATCTTAGCTTTATAAGTGGCCAAGAGGCTATAGTATTATGAATCATTTGAAGAGTACTAACAGGACATTCCATGTTCCAAGGTGAAGTTGTACCAGGGATGCTTACAGAATCTTCTTGGGAGATGCAGTAGCATAGTTATTTCGTAGGCTTGGCATGTGGAGTGAGTTAGAATTCAGAAAAGCAGCACTCATATCTCTTTATAATTTCAGGCCTATGTGATCCACTCAGTTTTGGAAATTGCATTATATTCTACTGCACTCTTTTTAAATTCAGTTACTTATTGATTTCAGATACTTAGAACATTGTCTTCTTTCAATAGAGTGAACATTTGGAAATGAGTAGCATTTTTCAAAGGGTTCTGACATTGTTCAAGATGACTTGTGTATCAAAGTGACTTGGTTCATTTATGAGCTGTGTAGTTTTTCAGGGGCCCGTGGTAATTCAGGTGTTAAGGTCCAGAATTCTGCTCCCTTTAGAATACCCACTTCCACCCACAGAGTTTGCAGAGCCTTGGAGGCTGACTCCCATGTGTGGCCAATCCTCCTTGCAACACACACATATCCTTTGTGCTCAAGTGTGATGGGGAAGTATTAGAGCCTCCCACTCTCAGGAGGCCATGAGGTTTCACCAGTGTAGACTAATGAGTCAGAATGGCCTTCATTCTGTAAGACACTGGAGAAGGGGTAGGATCCCAATAAATACTGAGCACAATTTTTTTTTTACCTATTTGGCAGGAAAGGGTGTGAGAACTCATTAAATTGATTTAGAAGAATCAATGAAATGTGACATTTCTTGTTTCTGAACATGTGGCTAGTTGTAAATTTGTAGCTAATGTGTATTAATTATAATGAAATTATAGAATTCATGACAAAAATATCAAGATAGGGAATGTTTGGCAGAAGAATTAAATAAGACTTTTTTATTTTACATGATGTAACACATGATTCAGCAAATTACTTATATTTTTCCTTTATAATTCACCTTGAAATCACAGTTATAGAAACCAGGGTTTACTTAAACATAAATTATTGGTATAATAAATTCTTTTCTTCTGTTTATTATTTGTATGTAGATTCTGACACTTCATTTAAAAACAGACTGTCTATAAAATTAGTAAAATCATTAAGTAGAAATTATGGTTTTCATATTCTTTTTAATATTAATGATCATATTTGCTTTTCAATAACTGAATGTCACATGCATTTTTACAAAGAGAAAAGACATCAAGTTGAAAAACAGTATGAATAAAAGTGAAAGGAAGCAAGAAATAGTAAAAATGAAAAAGAAAAAGATGAAAAAATACAAATTACTAATATTATGATAAACTTAGGTAATTTTTAAAAATCCAATTACTTGTAGTTCCTCCAATCACAATTTTGAAGCTAATCTCTACATTCACCAAAATAGAATTAAGTGGGAAATTTTTAGTGACCTGTTGAGTCTAGTATATATTTAGGGTTCTCAAATCTTTGCCTTTCCTCTCCAGCATGTATGTGTGTGTGCTTATGTGTGCGCTTATGTGTGCTTGTGTGTGTAATAGCAGAGAATGTTTCAATGTCAATATTCATTTTTATACCTGCAATAAGTCCTGCTGATTTTTCAAACAATCCTTTTGCCTGTCCCACTAATGAAGACAACTGTCTATCACCTGTAGGCTTAGATGCCTTTCAAAATCTAAGACTAATTCTGAGTTCAGACAAGAAGGGAATCTCTTGCTCAACCTTCTGAAACTTGGTCAAACCACTCTGATTGCTAGTTAGTCTAATAATTGTAATTGTGAGTTTATTTCATTCTCTACATCTTGCCTCCAGCTCTGGCTTTCTCTCTTCATTGTCTGTTACTTTGTCTTGGTTTAGAAGACTTCCAAGGACACTTAGAGATACCCATCTGAGCACTGCACAACTGCACAGGACACACGTCCATGAAGCTGTCTGGCTGTGGTAGTATTCTTGATTTAAGCCATCTCTTCTTGTTTTTCTTTCAGTCCTTCCTCTCTCTAGATGGTTACTTTAACCAGTGGTTCAAGGTTTTAAAATTTTGTGTCATTCTTACATTTTTTCCCTTATACTTAGGGTACCAACAAATCTGGTCTGCCTGGGACATTCCCAGTTTATGTCTGTTTCTCCAGCATAAATATTAATGGAGTCCTCCTTCATTCTTAAATTGTTCCGGTTTGGGTAATAAATTATATGTTCATGTTCATTTAATTATTATTCCATGGAGCCTTCTATACAATGCATCAAAAATCCTATTGGCACCACCTTCAAAATATATCCAGTATCCACTCACTTCTCCCCATTTCTAACAAATCGTCATGATGCAAATTATTACTCTCTCTCACTTGGAGCATGGCAACAGCCTTCCAGCTGGTTTCTCTGCTTCTATGATTGCTTCACTATAGTCTATTTACCCTGGAGCAAGCTTGTGTCACTTCCTCCTACAACGTTTCAATAATTTATCATCTGAGAAATCTGAACACCTTACAATGCATTATAAGGCTAGTAGTGACCCTACCTTTTTTCTTTCCATAATTGTATGCTAACCTTACTCATCCTCTTCAGCTGCATTAGAGTTCTTGCTGTTTTGCAAACATATTGAACTCACTCTCATCTTTGTAGCTTTTATTCTCCCTACCTAGAACTCTCTGCCCCTGGCCTTTGTATGTAAAGCCCTGGCTTTATTCAGGTGTATCTCCACTCAAAGTTCAACTCATCTAAGAGACTTTATTTTTATTTTTATTTATTTATTTTTATTTTTGAGAGAGAGGGTCTATTGTCCAGGCTGCAATGCAATGCTGTGAAAATACCTCACTGCAGTCTTGACCTCCTGGGCTTAAGCAATCCTCCCATCTAGGCTTCTTGAGTAGCTGGAACTATGGGTGCATACCACCACAAACAGCTAGTTAAAAATACATTTTTATTTTCACTTTTTTTGTAGAGATGGGGTCTCACCCTGTTGCCTAGGCTTGAGAGATTTTTTTGGCCAAGATTTTTTGGGCATCTTCCCTGATTCAGTGCAAGAAATAGAAATAACTGTAGGTATATCAAGTAGATAAGAATTTAATTTAAATATTAGGAGCTTATAAAATTATTAGGAGGAAGGAAAATCAGGGGATCACCACTGGATCCCTGGTTTTGGGTCATACCACTGCAGAGTTCAGAAAATTCCCAATGGCACCGTGACCTCCCTGGCTGCTACCATGACTACCTCATACCCATGAAGCAGGTATTAGACAATAGACACATGCTTACATCTGCTGAAGTCTGCCAGTTGGTTGCCACCAGTGCAGGAAAATGGCCTCAAGCTCCGTGAATCTTCCACACTTTATGACTGATAGAACCTAAAGCTCGCCTAGTAAGCTAGCTGGAAAAGAGCCTGGGAAATGTATTCTTTCTTCTTCCAATCCTAACCCAACTAGAGGACATAGCACAGATGGGCCGGGTGCAGAGTGCCAGAGGACTACACATGATCCCCGAGTACTGGCACAGTTTATTTTCCACTCTGCTTTATTTTTCTCTAAAGCACTTATCACCATCTAAAATATTTATTCATTTGCTTGTTATTTTCTGTCTTTTCTAATAGAATCTAGAGTTTAAGACAAGAACTAGAACTAGAACTAGAAAAATGTCTGTTTGCTCAGAGCATGGCACTTGAGAAATAGGTGCTGCATGTATGAATAAAGAAACCTTTACTCTCTCAGATGGATAGTCATATTTAAAATGTAAAAATAAATAGCATGTTCTATATCATGTAGGAAGTATTATCAAAGGATAATTTCTTTGGACAGAAAAATAGGAAGTCATTAGGAGTTAAATTAGTAAATTTATGTCAACAAGATTTTGTGAGAACAAAAGCAACCAACTAATTGTGTTTTTGCAATTATAAATTGAAATTATATTTACCTCTCTTGGAGAAGAAAAACAAATATCTGATACTTGGAAGTAGCAGTAATTTTCCATTATTTTTTCCACCTCTCACTATTCTTCATGGGAGATTGGTCTGATTGATGAGTTTCGGAAGGCCTTGGGTATGCTGGTTTAGTTTCTCTTCTCTCCCTCACAGTACCTGAGTGCTGCCAGGCCAATGTGAGAAGCCAGCTGGGCAAAGCTTTGGCCCTGCAGGGAATAGCCTGCAATTGTCCAGCTGCTCTGCCTATGACTGAGGAGTTAAGTTCAATTCATGCGCAAAGAAATGGAAGATTATTTTGACCTCGTGGGTGAAACTAGGTTCTTCAGTAAAGACGCAGATTATTTTTTATCCTTAGTTGTCTTCTGGGTTTACTATAGAAGTTCTCAAACTAAAATACACATTGGAAACAAAGCTTTCAGATACATTAGTATCTGAGTCCATCTCTGGAGATTCTAATGTAATTATTCTGTGGTGCAGGCTTGAGAATTGGGATGTTTAAAAGCTCCCCAGGTGCATCTAGTAATCAGCCATGGTTGCCTATATGAAAGGGGTGTTAATTATTATTTTCCAAACCCATGCAGCAGATTGGAATTGATAAGTGTTTATTGCTTCCAGATGTTATAGGTTGAACTGTGTCCCCCCAAATGATATGTAGAAGTCCTAACCCCTGGTACCTCTGAATGTGACCTTATTTGGAAATAGTTTTTTTGCAGATGTAATCAAGTTAAGAAGAGGCCATTAGGGTAGGTAATTCAATATGACTGGTGTCTTTATAAGAGAACACACACACATGTGGGCTGCACACACAGACACACATGCTCAGAAAGAGAGAGAGAGGAAGAGAGAGAGAGAGAATGAAGAGGAACATGTGAAGTCAGAGAGAAATAATGTAGTTATATTCTCACAAACTGAGAAATGAATGTCTGGGGCTCCTGAAAGCTGAAAGAGGCAAGAGTGGATCCTTCTCAAGAGGCTTTGGAAGGAGCATGGGCCTGCCAATACCTTGATTTCAGATTTCTAGCTTCCAGAGCTGTGAGAGAATAAATTTCTGTTGTTTTAAGCCACACAGTTTATGGTACTTTGTTACAGCCGCCCTAAGAAACTAATACAAGTAACTTGAAAGTGGTTCTTAAAAGTGCATTTCAGGGGCCTCCTGGGCAAGATGGCTGAATAGGAACAGCTCCGGTCTGCAGCTCCCAGCGAGACCAACACAGAAGGTGGGTGATTTCTGCATTTCCAACTCAGGTAGCTGGTTCATCTCATCTGTACTGGTTAGAGAGTGGGTGCAGCCCTCGGAGGGCAAGCCGAAGCAGGATGGGGCACTGTCTCACCTGGGAAGTGCAAGGGGTCAGGGAACTCCCTCCCCTAGCCAAGGGAAACCGTGAGGGACTGTGCTGTGAGGGGATGGTGCTATCCAGCCCAGATACTGCACTTTTCCCGTGGTCTTTGCAACCCGCAGACCAGGAGATTCCCTTGGGTGCCTATACCACAAGGGCCCTGAGTTTCAAGCAAAAAACTGGGCTGCAGTTTGGGCAGACACTGAGCTAGCTGCAGGAGTTTTTTTTTTTACTCTAGTGGCACCTGAAACCCCAGTGAGACAGAAATGTTCACTCCCCTGGAAAGGGGGCTGAAGCCTGGGAGCCAAGTGGTCTAGCTCAGCAGATACCATGCCCATGGAGCCCAGCAAGGAAAGATCCACTAGCTTGAATTTCTAGCTGCCAGCACAGCAGCCTGATGTTGACCTGGGAAGCTTGAGCTTGGTAGGGGGAGGGGCATTAGCCATTACTGAGGCTTGAGTGGGAGGTTTTCCCCTCACAGTGTAAACAAAGCTGCCAGGAAGTTAGGACTGGGCAGAGCCCACCGCAGCTCAACAAAGCCACTGTAGCCAGACTACCTCTCTAGATTCCTCCTCTCAGGGCAAGGCATCTCTGAAAAAAGGCAACAGCCCCACTCAGGGGCTTATAGATAAAACTCCCATCTCCCTTGGACAGAGCACCCAGGGGAAGAGGCGGCTGTGGGTGCAGCTTCAGCAGTCTTAAACGTTCCTGCCTGACAGCTCTGAAGAGAGCAGCAGATTTCCCAGCACAGCACTAGAGCTCTGCTAAGGGACAGACTGCCTCCTCAAGTGGGTCCCTGACCCCTGTACCTCCTGTTAGGGCATCACCTCCCAGCAGGGGTCGACAGACACCTCACACAAGAGAGCTCTGGCTGGCATCTGGTGGGTGCCTCTCTGGGATGAAGCTTTCAAAGAAAGGAGCAGGCAGCAATCTTTGCTGTTCAGCAGCATCCATGGGTGATACCCAGGCAAACAGGGTCTGGAGTGGACCCCCAGCAAACTCCAGCAGACCTGCGGCAGAGGGCTCTGAGTGTTAGAAGGAAAACCAAAAACCAGAAAGCAATAACATCAACATCAACAAAAAGGACGACAATGCAAAAACTCCATCTGAAGGTCACCAACAGCAAAGACCAAAGGTAGATAAATCCATGAAGATGAGGAGAAACCAGCACAAAAAGGCTGAAAATTCCAAAAACCAGAATGCCTCTTCTACTCCAAAGGATCACAACTCCTCGCCAGCAGGGAAAAAAACTGGATAGAGAATGAGTTTGACAAATTGACAGAAGTAGGCTTCAGAAGGTGGGTAATAACAAATTCCCCCGAGCTAAAGGAGCATATTCTCACCCATTGCAAAGAAGCTAAGAACCTTGATAAAAGGTTAGAGAAATTGCTGAGTAGAATAACCAGTTTAGAGAAGAACATAAATGACCTGGTGGAGCTGAAAAACACAGCACAAGAACTTTGTGAAGCATACACAAGTATCAATAGACAAATTGATGAAGCAGAAGAAAGGATATCAGAAATTGAAGATCAACTTAATGAAATAAAGCGTGAAGACAAGATTAGAGAAAAAAGAATGAAAAGGAATGACCAAAGGCTCCAAGAAATATGGGACTATGTGAAAAGGCCAAACCTATGTTTAATTGGTGTACCTGAAAGTGATGGGGAGAATGGAACCAAGTTGGAAAACACATTTTGGGATATTATCCAGGAGAACTTCCCCAACATAGCAAGATAGGCCAACATTTAAATTCAGGAAATACAGAGACCACCACAAAGATACTCCTTGAGAAAAGCAACCCCAAGACACATAATTGTCAGATTCACCAATGTTGAAATAAAGGAAAAAATGTTAAGAGCAACCAGAGAGAAAGGTCAGGTTATTCACAAAGGGAAGCCCATCAGACTAAAAGCAGATCTCTCTGCAGAAACCCTACAAGCCAGAAGAGAGTGGGGGCCAATATGTAACATTCTTGAAGAAAATTTTCAATGCAGAATTTCATATACAGCCAAACTAAGCTTCATAAGTGAAGGAGAAATAAAATCCTTTACAGACAAGCAAATACTGACAGATTTTGTCACCACCAGGCCTGCCTTACAAGAGCTCCTGAAAGAAGCACTAAATATGGAAAGGAAAAACTGGTACCAACCACTGCAAAAACATACCAAAATAAAAGACCATTAACACTATGAAGAATTCGCATCAACTAATGGGCAAAATAACCAGCTAGCATCATAATGATAGACTCAAATTCACATATAACAATATTAAACTTAAATTTAAATGGGCTAAATGCCCAAATTGAAAGGCACAGACTGGAAAATTGGATAAAGAGTGAAGACCCATTAGTGTGCTGTATTCAGGAGACCCATCTCATGTGCAAAGACACACATAGGCTGAAAATAAAGGGATGGAGGAAGATTTACCAAGCAAATGGAGAGCAAATAAAAAAGCAGAGGTTGCAATCCTAGTCTCTGATAAAACAGATATTGAACCAACAAAGATCAAAAAAGACCAAGAAGGACATTAGGTTATGGTAAATGGATCAATGCAACCAAGAAGAGTTAACTATCTTAAATATATATGCACCCAATACAGGAGCACCCAGATTCACAAAACAAGTTCTTAGAAACCTACAAAGAGACTTAGACTCCCACACAATAATAATTGGAGACTTTAACAACCCACTGTCAATATTAGACAGATCAATGAGACAGAAAATTAACAAGGATATTCAGGACTTGAGCTCAGCTCTGGACCAAGCAGACCTAATAGACATCTACAGGACTCTCCACCCCAAATCAACAGAATATATATTCTCCTCAGCACCACATCGCCCTTCTTCTAAAATCGACCACATAATTGGAAGTAAAACACTCCTCAGCAAATACAGAATCACGGAAATCATAACAAACAGTGTCTCAGACCACAATGCAATCAAATTAGAACTCAGGATTAAGAAGCTCACTCAAAACTGCACAACTACATGGAAACTGAACAACCTGCTCCTGAATGACTACTGAGTAAATAACAAAATTAAGGCAGAAATAAATAAGTTCTTTGAAACCAATGAGAACAACAACACAATGTACCAGAATCTCTGGGACACATTTAAAGCAGAGTGTAGAGGGAAATTTATAGCACTAAATGCCCACAGGAGAAAGTGAGAAAGATCTGAAATTGACACCCTAACATCACAGTTAAAAGAACTAGAGAAGCAAGAGCAAAAAAATTCAAAAGCTAGCAGAAGACAAGAAATAACTAAGATTGGAGCAGAACTGAAGGAGATAGAGACACAAAAAAGTCTTCCAAAAAATCAAAGAATCCAGGAGCTGGTTTTTTGAAAAGATAAACAAAATAGATAGACTGCTAGCCAGACTAATAAAGAAGAAAAGAGAGAAGAATCAAATAGACACAATAAAAAGTGATAAAGGATAGATCACCACTGATCCCACAGAAATACAAACTACCATCAGAAAATACAATAACCACCTTTATGCAAATAAACTAGAAAATCTAGAAGAAATGGATAAATTCCTGGACATATACATCCTCCCAAGACTAAACCAGGAAGAAGTCGAATCCCTGAATAGATCAATAACAAGTTTTGAACTTGAGGCAGTAATTAATAGCCTACCAACCAAAAAAAGCCCAGGGCCAGATGGATTCACAGCCATATTCTACCATAGGTAAAAAGAGGACCTGGTACCATTTCTTCTGAAACTAATCCAAACAATAGAAAAAGAGGAATCCTCCCTAACTCATTTTATGAGGCCAGCATTATCCTGATACCAAAACGTGATAGAGACACAACAAAAAAAGAGAATTTCAGGCCAATATCCCTGATGAACATTGATGCAAAAATCCTCAATAAAATACTGGCAAATCAAATCCAGCAGCACATTAAAAAGCTTATCCACCACAATCAAGTTGGCTTCATCCTTGGGATGCAAGGGTGGTTCAACATATGCAAATCAATAAACATATTTCATCACATAACCAGAACCAATGAAAAAAAACCACATGATTATCTCATAGATGCAGAAAAGGCCTTTGATAAAATTCAACATCCCTTCATGCTAAAAACACTCAATAAACTAAGTATTGATGGAACATATCTGAAAATAATAAGAGCTATTGATGAGAAACCCAAAGCCAATGTCATACTGAATGGGCAAAAGTTGGATGCATTCCCTTTGAAAACCAGCACAAGACAAGTTGCCCTTTCTCACCACTCCTATTCAACATAGTATTGGAAGTTCTGGCCAGGGCAATCAGGCAAGAGAAAAACATAAAGGTATTCAAATAGGAAGAGAGGAAGTCAAATTATCTCTGTTTGCAGACGACATGACTGTATATTTAGAAAACCCTATCGTCTCAGCCTAAAAACTCCTTAAGTTGAGAAGTAACTTCAGCAAAGTCTCAGAATACAATATCAGTGTGAAAAAATCACAAGCATTCCTATACACCAATAATAGACAAAGAGAGAGCCAAATCATGAGCAACCTCCCATTCACAATTGCTACAAAGAGAATAAAATACCTATGAATACAACTCACAAGGGATGTGAAGACCTCTTCAAGGAGAACTACAAACCACTGCTCAACGAAATAAGACAGGATACAAACAAATGGAAAAACATTCCATGCTCATGGATAGGAAGAATCAATATTGTAAAAATGGCCATACTGCCTAAAGTAATATATACATTCAATGCTATTCCCATCAAGCTACCATTGACCTTCTTCACAGACTTAGAAAACAAACTACTTTAAATTTCATATGGAACCAAAAATGAACCCATATAGCCACGAAAATCCTAAGTAAAAAGAACAAAGCTGGAGGCATCATGCTACCTGACTTCAAACTATACTACAAGGCTACAGTAATTAAAACAGCATGGTACTGGTACCAAAATAGAGATATAGACCAATGGAACAGAACAGAGGCCTCAGAAATAACACCACACATCTACAACCATCGGATCTTTGACAAACATGACAAACATGACAAATACAAGCCATGGGGAAAGGATCCCCAATTTAATAAATGGTGCTGGGAAAACTGGCTAGCCATATGCAGAAAACTGAAACTGGATCTTTTCCTTACACTTTATAAAACTATTAACTCAAAGTGGATTAAAGATTTAAACATAAGACCTAAAACCATAAAAACCCTAGAAGAAAACCTAGGTAATACCATTCAGTACATAGGCATGGGCAAAGACTTCTTGACTAAAACACCAAAAGTAAAGGCAACAGAAGCCAAAATTGGCAAAAGGGATCTAATTAAACTAAGGAGCTTCTGCACAGCAAAAGAAACTATCAGCAGAGTGAGCAGGCAAACTACAGAATGGTAGAAAATTTTTGTCATCTATCCATCTGACAAAGGGCTAATATCCAGAATCTACAAGGAAGTTAAACAAATTTAGAAGAAAAAAACAAACAACCCCATCAAAAAGTGGGTGAATGATATGAATAGACACTTTTCAAAAGAAGACATTTATGCTGCCAACAAACATATATGAAAAAAAGTTCATCATCACTGGTCATTAGAGGAATGCAAATCAAAACCACAATGAGATACCATCTTACCCCAATTAGAATGGCTATCATTAAAAAGTCAGCAAACAACAGATGCTGGAGAGGATTTGGATAAATAGGAACGCTTTTACACTGTTGGTGGGAGTGTAAATTAATTTAACCATTGTGGAAGACAGTGTGGCGATTCCTCATGGCTCTAGGATCAGAAATACAATTTGACACAGCAATCCCATTACTGGGTATATACCCAAATGATTATAAATCATTCTACTATAAAGACACATGCACAGGTATGTTTATTGCAGTACTATTCACAATAGCAAAGACTTGGAACCAACCCAAATTCTCATCAGGGTTAGACTGGATAAAGAAAATGTGGCACATATACACCATGGAATACTATGCAGCCATAAAAAAGGATGAGTTCATTTCCTTTGCAGGGACATGGATGAAGCTGGAAACCATCATTCTCAGCAAACTAACACAGGAAGAGAAAACCAAACACCGCATGGTTCTAACTCATAATTGGGAGTTGGACAATGGGAATGTATGGCACAGGGAGGGGTGGGCGGCAAGGGGAGAGATAGCATTAGGAGAAATACCTAATGTAGATGATGGGTTGATGGATGCAGCAAACCACCACAGCACATGTATACCTATGTAACAAACCTGCACGTTCTGCACATGTATCCCAGAACTTAAAGTATAATAATAATAAAAAAGAATAAGCTTTAAAAAAAGTGCATGTGAAAGACTAAAACATGCCTAGAGATCTCATATTCCAAGACAGACATTGCTGTTGGATATAGCTAAACTCTTATTTAACCAAACCCCTTTTGTAGCCCTAGATTCAACTATAGTCATTCTTCAGAGATTGTAGCTGAAGAATCTCCTGTGCTCTCACTTGATTTATCATAGCCTTCACACCCTTTTACAAATAATTCTTCTTGCAAGAGGATTCAATATGATACATTCCTTAGGTGAGAGCCCAGGGGATTCTGTAACTACAGTCTCTAAAGAAAAAGACTTCATAAATAATGTATGCTCAAATAAGTACCAATTGATTTTTCCAGGACATCAACCAAGAGTCTAACAAAACTTCTAAATTCTTAAGAATGGTGACCCCTGTAAATCTAGGAAGATTTTTTGTATTAACACATGTGCCCAAATATTGCTTTAAACAATTTTCCTACTATAATTTTTACTATCCAGGCACATGTTTTATGTGTGCTCTTTCTTTACCTATAAGGCAATTGGCCCAAGAACAGTCATATGATGACTTGATACAGTGACAAACTGCTTATAGATTAGCCTATGAAATATGTTGTATGAAGAGTCATAGAAAGATAATCTGAATGTATCAAGTTACCTCTTGAGATAATTTGCACAAGGAATTCCAAAAAAATTGAATCAGTTAGAAGGGACAGAAGTTGACCATATTGTATGAAGAAATCTATAAAGTTTGTGTACAGCCCAAGTTATGAGGAAAATTATGAGTTAGCATTAGAAGATAGTGTACAGAAAGAAAGAAAACAGACACACTTGTTGAAGCAGTATCTTCGAGGAATAATAATGTGTGGAAGAGAAAGAGAGAGAGATAACATCATTAAAATAACTCATGAAGTTGGCCTTTGTGACTCTAGTTCTAGTTTATAGGCAACTTTTGATAGGCCCCTTTAATGTAGTGTAAGTCTCCACTTTAAACCAAAGATCCAAACTAGAACAGTGTTTTATACAGGGTAAGTTATTTAGTTTAAATGTAATCTACCACTCAAGTTTACATATGCAATATTAACAAACTTGGAGATTTCTAAAAAGTAATTCACCAGCTACAGTAAACTTTGGAGAATCTCTCTCTATTTCCAAGTTATATTGGAATAGTCTCATGCCTAAATCAATAGGAGAAATGCTGGGTCATGGGTAGGATTCAGCCCACAATGGTATCTGATTGGCCTATTCTATATTTTAATTAATTAATTAATTAATTTAGAGACAGAGTCTCACTCCGTCACCCAGGCTGGAGTGCAATGGCACAGTCTTGGCTCACTGCAACCGCCACCTCCCAGGTTCAAGTGATTCTCATGCCTTAGCCTCCTGGGCAGCTGGGACTACAGGTGTGTGCCACCACAGCTGGGTAATTTTTGTATTTTTAGTAGAGATGAGGTTTCTCCATGTCAGCCAGGCTGGTCTTGAACTCCTGACCTCAAGCGATCCATCCGCCTCGGCCTTCCAAAGTGCTGCAATTATAGGTGTAAGCCACTGCACCTGGCCCTATTCTATGTTTTAAATGGGAAGATTGTACATAAAAATCTGGATTTCTACCTTTTCTTGAAAAGTTAAGCCTGAAGACAATATACTAATATCCTGTGGGTCAACAATTTACTGGATTTGAATAGGGGCTACATACTTTGAATGATAATTGTATTTTCCGGTTTGCTACAGTTCACCATGCTATGGAATATGTAATAATTAAGTATCAGTTGCTACTTGCTCTCTCTCTCTCTCTCTCTATATATATATAAATATATATATATATATTTATATATATATAAATATAAATATATATATTTATATTTAGTATATATAGAATTTATATATAGTAAAATATAGAATAGGCCAATCAGATACCATTGTGGGCTGAATCCTACCTATGACCCAGCATTTCTCCTATTGATTTAGGCATGAGACTATTCCAATATAACTTGGAAATAGAGAGTAAATATATATATATTTATATATAGTATATATATATATAGAAGTGTGTATCTGTGTGTGTGTTTGTTGGGGGCGGGGTGGTAGTAGTGTGACTGGTCCTGAAACAAAAGGGAGACAGAAATTTTTTATTGTTGTAGAGTTAAGACTATTTTTATATACTTAATCTAAAAACAGAGTATGCTTTACCAAAAAAAAAAAAAAGCAATTTAAGAAAGAAATTATGTTACCTACCTGGCACAGAAATGTGTTTGATATGGCAATGTGTTTGATATTTCAAGCCCAGGCTGAACTGAAAGGCCAATCTTTTTGCCTGCAAATGAAAGATCTCAAGGGAATTAGTAAAAAGGCACTGGCAAACTTGTTTTCCTTAAGTTTTCTCAGGAGTTTAGACTAGAGACCATAATATCTTTTCTCTTCTTTAAAAAATATAATTCTTAAAATCTTTATTAATATACAAGCCATAAAATTGTACATAAATGTAAATATATTATACACAAACAATGCTTTTTTTTTTTTTTAAGACTTTTTCCTTTTCACTTTTTGGTTGACTCTCTCCTTCTTCTCTACTTGATCCCTTCACCTTCTTCAGTTGCCCCATCAAACCACTCCAGGCAGGTAACCCATGTTAACCATTTATGATACTTCCTCAATATATTTTTCCATGCTCTTCTGATCATCTACTGAGATACACGCATACACACATAACTTTACTAAAAGGTTTTGCAGTTTTTATAGTTTTGTATCTTGGAGTTAGATTTCAGGATTGGGCATTATTCCCAAATCCTGGAATTAGGTTCAATAATATAGGCATATTTAATTTGAAGTGACAATACCAGATTCCATTCCAAAAAGTCAGCAACAAGTTATATTTCCAGAGCTATACATGAGAATATCCTTCTGCTGACATTTCCAAACAGCAGTAGATGTTAGATAGCTTTTTGTTTTTTAAACTTTTATTTTGAGTTCAGGGATACAAGTACTGGTTTGTTACATAGGTAAACTTATGTCATGGGGGTTTGTTGAACAGATTATTTCATCACCCAGGTATTAAGCCTAGTACCCATTAGTTATTTTTCTTGATTCTCTCCCTCCTGCTACTCTCTGTCCTCTGAAAAGCCGCAGCATGTCTTGTACCCCTCTATGTGTCCATATGCTCACATAATTTAGCTCCCACTTAGAAGTGAGAACATGTGGTATTCAGTTTTATGTCCCTGTGTTAGTTTGCTAAGGATAATGGACTCCAGCTCCATCCATGCCCCTGCAAAGAACATAATTTTGTCCTTTTTAATGGCTGCATAGTATTCCATGGTGTATATATACCATAATTTTTTACCCAATCTATCATTGATAGGCATTTAGGTTGATTTCATGTCTTTGCTATTGTGAATAGTGCTGCAATGAACATGTGTGTGCAAGTGTCATTATAATAGAATTATTTTTTATATTTGAGACAGAGTCTTGCTCTGTCACCCAGGCTGGAGTGCAATGGTGCGATCTTGGCTCACTGCAACCTCCGCCTCCCGGGTTTGAGCCATTCTCCTGCCTCAGCGTCCTGAGTAGCTGGGATTATAGGCATGCACCACCACGCCTGGCTAATTTTTGTATTTTTAGTAAAGGCGCGGTTTTACCATATTAACCAGGCTGGTCTCGAACTCCTGACCTCAGGTGATCCACCCATCTCGGACTCCCAAAGTGTTGGGATTACAGGCGTGAGCCACCACACCCGGCCAATAGAATGATTTATATTCCTTTGGGTAAATATCCAGTAATGAGATTGCTGGGTCCAGTGGTATTTCTGACTTTAGGTCTTTGAGGAATTGGCACACTGCCTTCCACAATGGCTGAACTAATTTACTCTCCTACCAACAGTGTATAAGCATTCCTTTTTTTTCTCCACAACGTCCCCAGCATCTGCTATTTTTTGACTCTTTAATAATAGCCATTCTGACTGGTATTAGATGGTATCTCATTGTGGTTTTGATTTGCATTTCTCTAATGATCAGTGATGTTGAGCTTTTTTTCATATAATTGCTGTCCACATGCATGTGCTCTTCTGAAAAATATCTGTTCATGTCCTTTCCCACATTTTTTATGGGGTTGTTTGTTTTTTTTCTTGTAAATGTATTTAAGTTCCTTATAGATGCTAAATATTAGACCTTTTTTGAATGCACAGTTTGCAAAAATTTTCTCACATTCTGTAGGTTGTCTGTTTACTCAGCTGATAGTTTCTTTTACTCTGTAGAAGCTCTTTAGATTTTATTCCTCATTTGCTTATGATGCTTAATTTGGCTGCGTATAAAAATTCTTCATTGGAATTTATTTTCTTTAAGAATGTTGAATATTGGCCCTCAATCTCTCCTGGCTTGTAGGGTTTCAGCTGGGAGGTCTGCTGTTAGTCTGATGGGCTTTCCTCTGTAGGTGACCTAACCTTTCAGAGAGCTTTTAATTTTTATCAGTTCAATTTATGCAAAGTAATTTTATTAATATATTGTGATTTAATTTCTATAACTACTAGTGAATTGAGTATCATCACATCTATTAGACATTATAATGCTAAATTATGAACTAATTATTCAGTACATTTCCATTTTTCTATTTTCTATTCTTTTCCTTGTCAATATTTAAGCAGGCCTTTTAATGTAATACAAAGATTACCTTTTGGTTATATTCTTCAGTGAAATTTTATTTAGCAGTTATATACCATATATATTTATCTTAATATTATCATTCAATAGTTTTAATTTTATATAGATTTTAAAAATCTTCTACCTCTAGGCCAGAAGATTTTTTAAATCTATCAAAAATTAAAAAGATTATTTTCCAATAAAACTTTATTGGAACACAGCCACCCCTGTTCACTTGTGTATTATATGACTCTTTTTGCATTACAATGTGAGAAATATGTAGTTGCAATAGAGACTGGAAGCCTGAAATATTTACTATCTGATCCTTTCCAGGAAAAGTTTGCTGGACCTTGCTCTAGGTTAATATATTCTTCTGAAGAATTATTCTGGACATTTCATTTTCCTAGCATTACAACTTATTAACTTAATATGAGTCCCATTCTATTGGGCTTTTGTTCTCTGCCTTCCAAGGTGAGAGCTAGCTACCTTAGATCTAATTTATGCTGAGATATTGAAGATGGATGCTAGTTTTCATGCTTTTCTCTCAGGTGGCAATTGCTCTCTAATAGAAAACTTCTGAAGAGAAATATTGTAGAACAAAGAAATCAATATCTCATTGTATAATTTCAGAGTCCACAGAAAATTAGAAAAGATCTTTCTAGCACCCTCTAATTATAGTAGCTACTCCACTTCTGATCTCATTTACCATGCATGTGCTTTGTTTGCTTTGTCTGAGATTTCTGTCTCTAGTAGTTACACACTTAAATGAGTGATGATCTTCTCTATTGGATCATTGACTCAAGTCTGGTTGTCATAGGTCATTAAGTGGTCACAGTCACAAAATGATGAAAGGGAGGTTATCCCTCCCTCTATGACTGACAGTCTGTTTCTTCCCAAAAAAGAGTTCATGGAATAGTTTCAATACCCAACTTAAAAAGAGAGAGAGAGAGAAAGGGACTGAAGGATAAATATTACTTGGCAGAAAGAAGAAGAAAAAGCTATTGTAGTGATGACAGCTGACCTGTAATTGTAAATATTTCTATAGATTTTTGAGGGTTACAAAGCAGTTTCCAAAGCTCATTTAATCTTTTCTACATCTTTGTGAATGACTTTTTTTTTTGTACTCCCATTTCACAAATGATATAACAGATTCGGATTAAACAGCTCATACGTGACAGAGATAAAACAGATCTATGTCTTTAGGTACCAAATATCATGTTTTTTCAAGTGTCTGTATTGTTTTTATTGGAAAGAATGTAGAGAAGCATGATGGAGGGGAATTAAAAGACTCTGCAGGGACAAGGCTAGGACAAAGGAAAGCAATTTTCTCCTCTACAGAGAA
This sequence comes from Homo sapiens, assembly GCF_000001405.40. NCBI lineage: Eukaryota > Metazoa > Chordata > Mammalia > Primates > Hominidae > Homo > Homo sapiens. The sequence continues at coordinate 162,992,772 of NC_000004.12, read as the reverse complement.
AGGCAATTTTCTTCAGTGCAAGGAAGAAAAATTAAATGCATTTTCAGAAGTTTAACATTCATGTACCCATTCATTCATTTACCAAGTACTTACTGAGAGACAACTCCATGGTGGGCATTGTTCTAGGGGCTGGAGATACAGCAATCAACAAAAGATTCCTCTCCTCATGGAGCGTATATTTGGGGGGAGACAAATAATAATAATAGAATATAGAGTATATGAATCAGTGGTAACTATCAAAAAAAAAAAGCAGAGGAAAAAATGTAAAATGTCAGAGTATCAAGTTGAAATTTTAGAAAGCATGGTGAGGAAAGGCTTCACTGAGATGGCAACTGAGAAGTTACCTGATAATATCAGTAATGTTATTTTGACTAACTTATTTAACATTATAGTTTATTTTTGTATTTCTCTTAGAAGATACCTCATACTCATTCTATTCTTACCAAAAGTACACCAATTAATTCATTATCAAGTGTTTCTAATTAATTATGTCTACTAATTAATTAATCTAATGATTTTCCAATGCAATAAGTAGAAGGTGTCAAACTTGGTGAAGCTTGTCACGCCGTATCACATTAGCTCAGCACTGTCCCAAGTAGATGACACTTTTAAAATGACTTTCTGCTTAAAGAATGTGTGTGAAAAAGCTGCAGCATTCAGCATTGTCAGAATGTTAACTTGGATAAAATCAGTCACCACAATGTTTTGTGCAATGGTCCTAGTAATGTCAGAAATACAGAAAAGCTAGAAATACAAGAGTTAAAGTTGCTGCCTCTGGCTCTAGGAGGAAATGAGATAGAAGACAGTTAACTACTCTGTTTCTCTTCCCCCAATCGTGGGCATCCACAATTACTTTTTGATACATTCTGACAGTTTGTAGTAAGAAATATGTGCTTTCCTCTTATGAGGTTATTAAAGCAATTTATAAAAAGAGGCACTGTTGTTGACATTTAAGGGGGGGTTACCAAATAAATAACAGCACCTTTTTCTTAGTACCTACATTTATAACCAAATGACACAAAAGTTAAAAAAACCAAAACAAAAACTATCAGCTTCATTACTGAGAAAGCTGTTTGGAGAATGTAGCCTGGATTTGGATGCAAGTAAATTGTTTTGCTAATGTTGCTCTCTACAATTAAATTTATCCTATAAATATTTATGCAGACAATCAGATCCACTAGAGAGAAGAGCCACCCAATAGACTATGGTATGTATGGTACTCCCATGGAATTGTGGAAACAGCAGGCCTGACTTGTGTCAAACATTCCCCTATCTTTCTCCAGGGAAATGTGAGTTTTGAGGGAAAAGTACCAGGATAAAGAGGCCAGAGTGTCACCTTAATGGAGTTCCCTCCATATGGAAACATTAGTAGAGGAAAGATTATAGTTCCTCCCTTAAGATTTCATTGGACCTCGCAATATTTTCTTACATTGCCATTAATGGAAGACAGAAAAAAAAACCTTATGATTTATTCCTGAAAATAATTTGATCTTAGTTTTCATATCAGTCACTCAATTAAAGAAAAAAAAAAAAAGACTTGCAAAAGTGCTTGGAAAAAAAGTGGGTATAATAAAATTGCCCCAGGAAATGTTAATTGCCAAAAATTGTGCTCAGCACTATAAATATACTAGCTTCTAGAGATATTTTAGAATCAAGCATAATCTTTACCTTCAAGGGATTTATAATTAAGCAGTTTAGACAATAATAATAATAAAATAATAACAAGCAATACAGCATAAAAGATAATTGTTACTTAGTGGGATGAACCAAATGCTCCACAGGAAGAGAGGGCAAGACGGCATATTGTAAAAAGCCCTTGCCAGCGAAGCCAGAGACCTGGCCTCCTGTTTTGCCAAAATCTAACTGAGAATTTCTAGATGAGATTAAGTCTTGTTTAATCTCTTTAGGTTTTAATTTCCTATTCTGTGAAATGAAGGGTTCAACTAGAACCTATGCCAAATTTTAAAAATTGAAAATGTCCAATGTAATAGTAACCAAAATAACCTGAACTTTTAAAGTTACAATGGATTAAGTCCCATATACTTTGCTTTTCATGTTAGCAACTGCAAGAGAACAATGAAAATAGATTGTAAATTGATAGAAAAGTAATAATGAACTGCGCAAATAAAGAAGAATAATCAAAGGCACTAAGGAGGAAACCCAGTCCTAGCTATTTCAAAGGCCCAAACATTTGTTAAAAGAATGGTGAGGTGCAGTCATGTACTCATGTTACCAGAAAGTGGTCCCGATCCAGACTCCAAGAGAGGGTTTTTGGATGTCGCACAAGACAGATTCGGGCCGAGTCCACAGTGTAAGTGAAAGCAAGTGTGTTAAGAAAGTAAACTGGCGAAAGAAGAGCTAGTCCATAGAAGAGTAGGGCGTTGCCGAAAGTAAGAGGAGGTATGCGCCCTCCCCAGATACAATGTTTGCTTATACATAGGATAACAAGGACAACAACAAAATCATGGGGAGATGTGCTCTGCTACAAGGGTTTGTGATAAAGGATTAACTTTCTTAATTACTATATTTTGCAAGAATCAATATTATTACCTTTAAAACAAAAATTAAGAGTGCTTCTGTTCTTAAGACTCAAGATATCGGGGTATCAGGACATTACTGATTCTGGGTCTGTTTAGTAAACGTTATCAATCTTTTCCCTTAATTGTAAACATTTAGAGGCTAGAAGTATCTAATTTCCTGGGAATGAGGTCCAGCAAGTGCCTGCCCTATTTTTCCTAGCCCACTCTTAAGATGGGGTCGTTCTGATTAAAATGCCTCTGACACTTGGTGTCTCTGCCTTTTTACTCAGGTAAAAACCATGCTTCAGCTGCTCTGCAAAAACCCTGTGCGGGACCCTTTCCTGGAGTGTAATTTCACATAACCTAGGACTACGAGGTAGGATCTAACAGTAGATATCTAACAGGATATCAGCTTTCTGTTCTAGCCCTGAAAGGTGCTACTTCGAACAGATTGGAGTGTCATCCTTACCATGTGCACCCCATCAAGAAGTGGTAGAAAGTACAGAAAAAGACGCTGTTCTCATATACTCCATCATCTCTATCACTGCTATGTATTTTGTAGAATGAAGATATTTTCTTCTGAGGAATTTGCTGTCCTTCTGCTAAAGAAAAATAAGGCAATTTCTTAAAGAAAAAAAAGAAAAAATGTTATGTTTGGGTGATCCTGAGAATAATTCAGAAAGGGCTGGCTGTCCCTAAAGCTGTTAATACAGGCTGAAGGGACTGCAAGAGCCTCTTACTGATTTTAGGAAGACCCTTTGTTTAATGACCCTTTTGGTAGGAAAGACAAGGAAATTGAGATAACTAATTTCTTCTACTTAATAGTTTAATAAAATAATAGAAATTTTGATTTTTGAGCTTTTTGCTGGAACATATGAAGGGAAGGAAGGGAGGCCATATGGGAGGAGGATGTGATGGGGAGAAAGTTCTGGTTAGGGAAGATGAAAACACAAAAATTAAAGAAACAAACAGAGGCATAGAGAAAGGGCAGCTGGCAGGAAGTTTTCTGTGGTGGTGATGTCTAATGTCATTAATGACACTGATACCTAGCGATCAATTTAAAATTGTGTTGTTTCATGTACTTTGCTAAAGCTTCTCTTCTTTATGTCAAAACCTCCAGGAAAAGTTGGTTACCCAAAAAGAATTCTAATGAAGATGTAAGAGAAGGAATGAAGTATGAGGTTCACTCTGGGATAGAAAGAAAAAAAAAGCTACAAAGGGTGAGATCACAATGAAAGAACAAAGCATTCAGTAATAATTGAAATTTAAAACTGAACATAAAGGGTCACAAAAGGAACTTAAGCACCTCCTTCCAAGAATTTCAGAAATAACTGGGGCAATAATAAACTTCCCTGAGTAGGTGGGATGAAAAGGAATTAGACCACTTTATTTTCCATAAAAGAAGGAATCTTAGAGATTAAAGGGCTCAAAGTCTTATGGGTGATACTTTCTCTCTAGTGCCTACAGTACCTAGGATCTCTCAGGCTCAGGTCTCATTTTTGATAGACTTATTTGTTAAGCTTAGATAAGCAAACACAATGCAAATCATCTAAGAGAATAAACTTAGGTAAATGCAATATATTCAGAAAGACATATTGACTTTGGGTAACTTCTTGTGAAGTTACATAAATCCTGTATCCAGTGATTCATCAAACATTATAGCTAATAGCTCACAAAATGAGATTTGAAGTTTATAGCTTGAAATAATTGTGTTTGTTGTGCCTGCACGTGCAGGCAAGGGCACATGCCTGCGTTTCAGTGAGGGTGTGTGCTCTTTGTCTTAGGAAGGAAGAAGTTAAATTGGGCCACTGAAGTGGAAAATAAAGGTTCCTCTGTCCCCATATAACAGATGAAATGTCAACCTGCAGCCAGGGATTTTTAAGATCCCTAAATGAATCTCTGTGTTGCTTATGCATTATTCATGACGGATTGTGGGATTTCAGTGCTTGGCACTGCTGTCAGAAGAAAATGAAAGACATAGATCAACATGGGCACTAACATTTTTGTATTTATAAATTGATCTGTTTTCAATTTTTTAAAATTTTATTACTGAGCTATGTGTCTACCAGGAATTTTTCTCCAAAGTAATAGTTTTAGGGGACACTCTTCACTTCATGGAAGTATTTGATAACAGCATTCAGACATCGTGGTTTATACTTGTGACTGCTGAGCCATTTCAAATGGCTTTGTTTTCAGAAATACCAGTAAGTGGGTTGCTATCAAAACAGTTCAAAATCTGTCAGGTTGAACTTATTTTAATGTATTCATGTCTAATAACACTTATTTAACTTGTATCAGCATTGTAGTATGCTAACTCTAAATATGATACTCTACTTTTAATTTACCCTTTAAAAATCTATTAACATTTCTTGTATTTTCTTGATGCTTTCAGACCTAAAAATGTGGCTACCTTCATTAATTGTATTGATAAAGTGAAGCAACACTGATTACTTCAGTTCCGATATCCTACTTTAGTTGGAACATGTATTCTTCTTATGCTATCGGATGAATTACATAAATGTCGGATGTATTCAAAGCTGTGGAGTCAGTTGGGGAGAGAAATTGTCAAAAACAGAAAAGTAGAAGTCACAGAATTACAAACCACTGGCATGAATGAATTAGAAAGTTGTCACATATTTTGTATTTTTTTAAAAGAAAATTAGACATAAATGTCATTTCCTCATTTTCCTGGATTTTGATTTGGAAGCAAAATGATATAACAAAAAGAGTGTGAATATTGAGGTTTTCACACTGGCATTTAAATTTTAGCATTTGATTTTATTACCTAGATTACCTTAGATAATTTGTTAATGTTTCTGAGCATTAGTTTTTCTTATCTGGAAGATGGAGCCAGTACTATTTAAATTATATATCTGTTGTAAAAATGACATAAGACTATGAATATAAACAGGACACATACAATAAAGGCACTTAGCAGTCGTTATTTCTGGAGTGATTTGTTATTGGGGCCTCAGCTGTTCCTAAAGCTCAGTTGCATTCTTGCCCTTTTCCAGCCTGATTATTCAACTCCTCCTTCTGTTGCATAAGTTACCCTGGTGTCTTCATATCCCCACTAGATTTTTGCTAAAAGTGCAGAGAACCACAGACTTATTGTTTACTTCTGAATATATGACACTTAGCACAGTGTCTATGATATTTAATTACTAAAAAATAATAAATATTTGTTTATTGAGTGAATCCATTCAATATATTTTCCATTTTTGACTAAGCTAGTAAGTTTCTATATCTTTCAAATGGAGAACTCCTGAAAAATTCAAACATTAAATACTTAGAAGCAGGATATTTCAAAGCTTATTATAAAATGTGGAATTGGTTGAGCTAAAGGAAGGTGGGAGACTGTGAGTTTCATCATTCTATTCTGGTAAATTAGCAGGTATTGATCTTGGTTAGTGAAGCTGCTGTTTAAACTGTTAGAAACTTTTTAAGAGACATTCTAGGAAAATGTCGGGATATGAGAAAATGTTGGGATATGTTGGCTCCTCTTGCCCCTTGAATTGCTTTAAGAAAGACAAACTTTATTAAAGTGGATTGGAAAACACAAAGCAAGTATATAGGTTTAGTTGAAGGAATCCTGTTTTAGCCTGTACCCAGCAGTCTTGTAACTGATTACCTTCATTTTTCTAAGAGGTAGTTTAATTTATTCCCCTCTCTCTTCTTGTTTCCCCGGTTTCCCACTTCCTACTTAGTCCTTTAGAAATGAAAATACAACCTTTCACCTCCCCCTCACCAAACATTTCCTACAGGGCAAGATGAATCTCTCCTTGAGAGTAGACAGTCGATTTGCAGACCAAAGCATGCCTCCAAGAAACTCTCACCTCCAGGGTGTTGCCTCAGGAGGGCATGTGGAAAATATGCCCACTTGGCCATTTTTACTACTTACTTCTGCCCAGGGAGGCACCAACTCATCTGCCCATAGATAAGGCACCAACCTAGCAGGGGGTCCCCTGCTCTTGCTCATTTACTCCCTTAAAAGTGCCTGCTTTCTGCTCAAAAAGTGAAGTGGTGGGGCAGGACAACTGTGCCTCTTTCCCAAGCTGGTTTTGTAATAAATTCACTTGCTTTGTATTGGACTTTGCTCTTGTTAACTGGATTCCACATGCAGCAAGCAACTAACCCACATTTTGGTTACAATCTGAGACAACACAGCTTCAGACGATCATTTGTCTCTTCTCATTTTACTCTCCATCCCTAGGCAATTTAATCCATTTACTCGACTTCAGTTAACAACTACATGCTAATGGACTTATATTTTTAGCCTTATTTATTCTCTGAACTCCAGATCTCTACAGGCAATAAACTATTAACTTTTGTTTTTACTTGAACTTCCAAAAGTACCCCAAACTGAACATGTGCAACATTGATGTTGGCCTCTCTGTTGCTACACCTGAGCCTATTCCTCCTCTGGGGTTTCTATCTCAAAAAATTGGACCCGTTTCCATTCAACAGGAAGTGCCACAAGCAAGACTGCATCCTTGCTTTCTCTCTCTCCTTTACCATCTGTATCAGTTTTCTATTGCAACCATAACGCTGTTACCACAAACTTACTGGCTTGAAGTAACACTATTATCTTACAGTTCTTTAGATAGAAGTCTGTTACTATGTGGCTGGATTTTTTTTTTTTTTTTTGGAAATACAATTATTTATTAGAACTTTAAGTTTGTATTTGCAAACATTTAGCAGAAGGGGAAAACAAAAACAATCCACACCATACACACCGTAGAAGAATCTGGCTCTTCCAAGGGCTTCCACTTCAACCCCTGACTGGCTCTGCTCCAGGGCCTGAGATGCCTTCGTAATTTGGTAAACTGGTCCTTGGCAGCCTCACCACCGGCCAAGCGAAATCACTGACTCCCTGCCTTGCTGGCAGCTTCGGGAGAACATTGGGTCCCCCACTCGCTGGCAGCCTCGAGAGACTGCTGGGTCCTGGCCTCCCTGACCTCGACCAGAGGCTGCTGGGTCCCAGCCTCCCGGACTGCGATTGAAGACCACTGAGTCCCGATCTCCCCAGCAGCCTCCAGAGATGGCTGGGTCCTGGCCTCCTGGCCAGCTTTGGGAAAGTGGTGGGTCTCAGCCTTCTGAGTGTCGACATCCTGGGCGAGGGCCTTTTCCGAGGCTTGCACCTGGAGCTGGTCGTGATAGTCAATCAAGTATTCATGATCATCTTGAATGTGTCCTTCTGGCAATAAGGCCTCCCAAATATCAAGATCTCAGCCTCGCTTTCTGGGTCCCACCGATTCACTCGAAGCAGGACATGTGACGTACACTCGGCTTCCGAAGATCGCTTCCACCAGCCAAGCCTCAAGGTGAAGTGCCTTCAGATTCCTCAGAAACTCGGAGTGGAAGCATTAGGGCCGCTTGGTGAGGTTACTGAGCACCTCGAATGGCATCCCTTCTCTCTGCTGTGGTTGCAGGAGCGTGGGAAAAAGCTTGGGGATGGCCGTGCTGCCGCTAGCCTTGCCCGGGACAACAGCACCACTGCAAACCCGAAGGCCGGCAGGAGCTAGGCCGAGGGCTGGGTTTATTGCTCAAGGTGTCATCGAACTAAAATCAAAGTATCAACCAGGCCTGCTGCTTCAGCAGTTATGTAACAAAACCATCTTAATTACATCTGTAAATCCCTTTTGCCAGGTAAAGTAACATATCCACCAGAGTAGCACCAAGGGTTGAGGTTATGGGGACCAAAATTCTGCACACTCTCTAACGTTCAATGTAAGATTTCATAATTTTTGATTCCAAATATTTTTCAAATGGTTCCACTTCTGTTGCGTACTACCACCAACATCCTAGACCCAGCCGCCATTATTTCTCACCTGAACAAGGAAATTACATGCAAAGTTGTCTTTTTCATGCCACTGTTGCCCTACTACTTGTTTCTATCCTTTTCCTTTGGATGTAGACTGCTTCATGTGTAAATGAATAGTCTTTAAAATATACACAACAATTTTTCTCTTTAATAATTAATCCAAAGCTCAGTCTTTTAATACTTACATCTCGGTATGATATCAGTGAAAATGGCAGAGGAGAATCTCCAAAAACTCATCCCGTTATTAAACAATGAGAAAACTGGATAATTTATCAGAATCAAGTTTCTCTGAATTCTACAAATTAACCAAAGGTTTCTGGGAGTATTTATTCAACAAAATGGCTGAATCTCAGTAAAAGCAGGGAGATTTGTGGTGTTTTAACTTGCCCTATGTCCATCTTCTCTTAATTTCATCTTTGAAAACCAATAGCCCACAATCACAGTAAAAACTAGCCACTTGGCAGCTACTGGAGGGACCAGAACAGAGCTAGAACTCCTTCACAACCTCATTCTCGGAGAATTGTCAGTGTTGGAACTGTCTGGTGGTTCTCTGGAGGCCTCCACTTACTGAGCTGTGCATGTTTTTTTGTTTGTTTGTTTTTTGTCCTGACATGGAGCTTGCCCAGTGTGAAAAGTCTTTTTCTTGGGGACATTTGTTAAATTGTTTGGAGGCAATTCTGTAACTTCACATTCACTGAAAAGGTGAATAACAGGGGAAAAAAACAGGCTAACCAGAAGCTTAAAAGTTGGGGAAGAAAATGTCCATAGGAAAGGAAAATCTCTAAAAAATCTAGAAGGTCATATGCAGGGGTAGGGTTATGTGTATGATAGGGTGGTGTGAATTCTCAGGAAAGACCTGAGAAGGTCTGGGCACCTCAATTTTGGCTGATTCTGAGGTTCTGTGCAAGCAGAAAATGAAGGTTAAGACAGTGTTGTCAACTGTGTGGCTTAGTAGTTAGGGTTAAGTCCCAACACGTGCACAGAATCCTTAAGCAAAGGTTAGGAGACGTTGGTTTCAGGCATTTGAAAACAATTTATATCCAATGATTAGATGACCGCTAAGCTAAACATCTGGGACTCCAGCAGTCACACACAACAAAGTCTGTAGACTTAACAGAATTAACTTCAGAAAAGTCACCAATTAAGCAACAACAACAACACACAGCAACAACAAAACAGCAGAGGCCCAGGACTCTGATCTCCAGCATTGTTACATTATATTATCTATAATTTCCTATCTTCAAGAAAAAGGAAAAAACATACAAAGAAACAAGAAAGTATGGCCCACACATAGAAAAAAAATCAGTAAAAATCATCTCTAAGGAAGCCCAGGTGTTGGACTTACTAGGAAAAAAAAATAAATCAGCAATTTTTAATCTGTTTAAAGAATTAAGGAAACTTTGTCTAAAGAACTGATTTTTATATAATTTCTTCATTAATGTAATTTTCATTCATTCACTTATTCAATTTCCTTCTTATACTCCTGTTCTCTGAATCAGAGACTCTGTATCTCAAGGCAAGATTATTTGTATTCCTCATGATCTTCACCTCCTTTTGCATACCATTCCTGTGGGCTCTTCCTGAGTACAGACAAAGTTGAATATCCTAGCTACTCTTGGTGCTTGCCATGGACTGAATGTTTGTGTTTTCCCCCAGTTCCTACATTGAAATCCTATTCCCCATTGTGATGATACTAGGAAGTGGGGCCTTTGGGATGTGATTAGGTCGTAAGGAAGGAGCCCTCATGAATAGAATTAGTGCCCTTATAAAAGAGACCCAATTTCTCTCTCTGTCTTTCTGCCATGTGTAAACAGAAGATAGCAGTCTGCAATCTGGAAGAGGGACCTCACCAGAACCCAACCACGTTGGCACCCTGATCTCAGACTTCTGACCTCCAGAACTCTGAGTAACAAATTCCTGTTGTTTATAAGCCACCTTGTCTATGGTACTTAGTTATAGTCACAAGAACAGATGAAGACGGTGCTCTTATAGCTCCATTTTGTTCACTCTTCTTGGTGCAAACCACTTATCCCAATATTTCTGTGCATTTCACAATGCAGGGAAGAGTGTACAACAAATGCTTTCGAAGTTAGTTGTGATCCTCTTACTTTAGAGTTTTGGCTTTCTGTCCTTTTATCACAGTTTCAGAGTAGAAGCACGTGTGGGCAGAAGGACATAGAAGCGATATTACTTATAGGGAGAATCTTTTCCTCCTTCTGTATGGCTCTGATGATTCCCCAAATTGGCATTCAAATCCTCTTGAGGATATTGGGGAGATAACTGCTCTAATTTACCCCCCATTTTCTCTTTTTAGTTGATGAACAAGTGCATGTGTGGCCCAGGATCATTGCTTCCCCCTGGGACCGGACTCCTTGTAATCATCCTTACTCTTTGCTGTTCCTGCTCCTGCCACAGGGTCAGTCTACTGGAGCAAGTGCTGCTTCTACTTCACTGGTGATTTCCATTTGTTCAGCGGCTATACCTGTGAATGTCTGGAAAAGGCCAACTTGGGAAAGAGTTAGTAAGTAGAACTTTTCTCTTTCCACAGCTTTACTGCTACTAAAATTTATATTTTTATCTTGTTGAATCTTGAAGAGGAGGGAGCAAAACTAAATGACACATTCGACTGACAACATTTTCAAGTAAAAACGATCATAAAAAGTTTGAAAAGAGATGAACAAGGAAGAGCATAAAATAAAGAACAATTACTTTTTTTCACTATAAAAGCATGTAGAAGTATAATAGATTACCTAACCATCATTTTTTTCTACTTCTTTCTTACTATCAAGCTAAAATAAGTATACTTCATCATCATGCATATTACTCACATTCTTAAAGATGAGGGCTTATTATAACATTTTTGCTTTAATTACAAAAAGCTCTCATATCATTTCAGTAGGCAGAATAATGGTCTACCAGTGATGCGCTAATCTTCAGACTGTGTGAATATACTACTTTCCATGACACAAGGGACTTTGGAGATGTGATTAAGTTAAGGACATTGAGATGGGGAGGTTATCCTGGGTTATCCAGGTGGGCCCAGTGTAATCACAAGGGTTTCTATTAGAAAGAGGGAGGCAGGAGAGTCAGAATCATAGAAGGAGATGTGAAGAGGAAAGAAAGGTCAGAGTGAGGCAAAGCCACAAACCAAGGCGGGTGGCCTCTAAATGCTAGAAAAGACAAAGAAATCAATTCTCCCTGAGAGCCTACAGAAGGAACATAGTCCTCTGCTGATACCTTGATTTTAGCTCAGAGACTCATTTTTGAACTTCTGACCTTCAGAACTGTAAGATAATTTTTTTTATCATTTTGAGACACTAAGTTTGTGGCTACTTGTTATAGTAGCAATTTGAAACTAATATACTCGTTGTTGAGAAAAAAATGGGGCATTTTGTATCTATATGTGCTTACTGTGGCAGATTTTGTATCTGTGTATGCTTATAGTGTTACATTATTTGCTGGAAAATCAGAATAATAGATGACTTAGGAAACTGAAGAACAGGGCATATATGAATATGTAAATCACCAATGGGTAGGCAACAATCCAGTGATATGTATTATTGTACTGGACACTGTACAGGCTTTGGTGTGACCCAGATCTATGTTTGAATATCATTTTCTTCACTTACTGGCTATGTGACCTTAGGGAAGCTACTTGAGCCTCAATTTCCTCCCCTTAAATTAAGGAGATTTCTAATTACATGATACTGTCATTGGGAAGAATAGACATCATGTCCATAAAGTGTATAGAGTAGTGGGCCCTAGTAGGTGTTCAGTTAACTTTCGTTTGTTAGCATTGTAAATTGTATTTTTATAACTTGTTTCTTCATTTATCTCCTACATTTCTTTCTTCTAGCTTCAGCAGATGCTTCTCTCCTTAAGGAATTTTATAAACAAGAGTAGCCTCCTGTTTTCTGCTGTTTTTCTTGGATTAAAAAAATCAATTGATTTAATAAACCAAATATTAAATATTAAATAATTATCTTACTCTGTCCTCATTCCTGATATAGAATTTCTAAAACGCTTGTACCTGAGTTTATGCTAATAAGGTGACTTTTTGTGAGCCCTTAAATAGCTTCAGGATGGGGGCTGGTTGCCAGAGGAACCAAATGTATGATTAGAGGGCTGGAACTTTCAACTCTTCCTCCCTCCCTACCCCTGCCTACCTCTGAGGAGGGAAGAGGGGCTAGAGATTGAATTAATCATCAATGGCCAATGATTTAATCAATTATGCTTATAGAATGAAATATCCATAAAAATCTCTGAAGGGTGGGGTTGGAGAGCTTCTGGATGAAAACATCAAGATATTGGGAGGGTAGCTGCTCAGAGAGCTATGGAAGCTTTGTGTACTTCCCCCAGCCACATAACTACAAATATATTTGTATCATGTACATCTGAATCTTTGACCATAGCTGTTTATTTCTGGGATGAAAACTTGACCTAACATGGACAAATCAGTTTCTATATTTGTCAATGTAGGTTGTGAAAGGTCAGTTAGAGAGTTACAGGCACGTCGATGAGATAAGCAAAAAAATCTTCACGCCTGTAATCCCAGCACTTTGGGAGGCCGAGGCGGGTGGATCACGAGGTCAGGAGATCGAGACCATCCTGGCTAACACGGTGAAACCCCACCTCTACTAAAAATACAAAAAATTAGCTGGGCGTGGTGGTGGGCGCCTGTAGTCCCAGCTACTCGGGAGGCTGAGGCAGCAGGAGAATGGCGTGAACCCGGGAGGCGGAGCTTGCAGTGAGCCAAGATCGCGCCAGTGCACTCCAGCCTGGGCGACAGAGCAAGACTCCTTCAAAAAAAAAAAAAAAAAAAAAATCTATGCTAGAAGGAGAGCCAGAGGAGGAAGAAAGGGAAAGAAAGAATCAGGGACAAAGAAAAATGAAGCATATTGGAAGAAATAAGTAGAGATTAAGCAAAAAGATGACTTCCTGAGCAGTCTCAGTTCCAGTTCTAGCCTAAGGCCTTGCGTCATTCCTTCCACAGGTTCTATAAATTACTTAGTATGCCTCCAGTAAATTCTAGTTTTTCCATTAGTTACTTGCAACAGTGAGTACTGGCATTCATTTTGTTCATTCACTTGTTCTACAAGCATTTACAGAACTCTTAGGTGTGTCAAATATTTTGCTATTGCAGGGGATATAGATATTTGCCTTCAGAGGTATAAGCACAGTAAAAAGAAAATGAAGGTCTCTTTGGTAATGACATGTGAGAGATATTAATGCATAGAATTTAGAGTACATGGTCTATGTTTGTGGCTGATCAGAAATTGAAGGAGAAGCAATATTCCTGTTTTCTTATGTTTTGTCTAATTAGAGGATGATTATTCTGATGTCATGGTTTGGGATACCAGAGGAAAGGGTATATCTAATTTGTATTCCAGAGGCAATAATGAAAAGGGTGACCTGGAACAATAAATCATTAACAACATGTTCTACTTTTCAAATGATATTTTGAATCACTGAACAGCAGGTGCAAATTATGAAAGGGAGGGAGGGTTCCAACAGCCTATAAGGATCAAGGGTGCATGTAAGAAAATGGAAGGAAAGGTTGGTAAATAGAGAGCCTTCTGTACTAGGCTTAAAGAGTTTGAGTTTTACTCTCTAAGCAATGAAAAGCTATATAAATAACTAAAGAGTAAAACATGTCTAAGGCCAATGAGGTCAGGATTTCTCATGTCAGTTTTGGGACTGAAAAAGTCCCAAAGGATTTTCACATTTTCTACGGGTTCCAGTAATGAGACCAATAACTTGTACTTACTGTGTCTGTGTCTTCCAGTCACATTCTCTAGGGACTAATTTCAGAAAAGGAAAGAGACCAGATAATGAATGGATCCAGCTGTGTAATCAATAGAGCAGTGGCCATCAAGGCATTGTCTTTCTCAAACCTCAGGGAAGCTGATACAGTCTCTGTAACAGCTCTAATAAGATGCTAGACTTCAAAGTGAGCAGTGTTATTTAACTTCATCAATTTTCAGCAGCTACGCCTTACTATCTAAAAATAGGAAAAAGGTTATAAGCTTGTTAAAGTAAAACCTAAAGGGGAGGAATTTACACAAAATTGGGAGGGAGTAAGAAGGGCTAGACCAATGAACCAATAGACAGAAGTAAGGCAAATGATATAAATGTCAACACCACCGAATCATAAGAAAACCACAGATGATTCTTCAAATGTGTAAATTCTAGATTTTGCTGAACCCAAGCTTCTAAGCTACAAATATAAATTGTTCACTTTCTGTCTTAAAAAAATCATGTTCACTTATTCAACACTTTCAAAAAGTTTCATTGCTAGCTTTCTACCTTGGCATTTTGATTGGTGCTTCAGTCACTTTTTTGAAATTTTGCTTGCAACTATGTGCAAACTTTGTCAGTTGAATGCATGCCCAAACCCTCCCAATTTAGCTATACTTTCTGAGGAAAATATATTTGTACACATTTGAAAATTGAGTCAGAATTCGTTTTGACTGGGTGCCATGTGGGTACAGCTCAGTCAATTCAACCATGAGTAGAACACATCCTATATTGCTACAGCTGATTCACGGTATTATGAAGACATTACTGAAAATACTATTATATCATTCATAATATGTTAACAATTAATATAGATATTTCAAAAAGAGAAATTCAAATGCTTCCTAATTTTAATGTTTTTTACTAAATGAGACAATTAAACCAGATGATGAGAGATTCATTACATTTTATTAACAACTTGTTTATTTTTTAAATGTAGTGATTCATTGATAAGAATTGACAACCTAATTGACTGCATTTATCATTATACAGACACAACTTTGAGCTCCCAGAGATTTAACACTTGAGGACATACAGTTCATGACAGCCAAGAAATTAATTTTTCTTATTAAAGATTGATATGTTAATCTCATAAGTAAAGACAAATTAAAGTATAATATAATATGTGATTATAAATTTTTACTTTACTCTTTCCCCATTTGAACACAAAATATTCCCTTCAAGTAATAGAACATAAACATGGCTTAAAAATAAAAAAAATTTAAGACTCTCATAATAGAATCAGTTATTTAATTTTGAAGAAACGCATTTCTATTTTTCATATATGAATAAAATACATATTTTAGATTTCTAGTATAAATGTCATTGACCTGATTTGATTTTTTTCTTAAAAATAGGTCAAATGTGGTTAAAACTCGAAGCATTCAGAAAAAAACTAATGAGCAAACAAAATATCACTATGGTGTTTTAAAAGTTTATCCTCTTGCCATTTAAAATATTACCTGCTTATAAAAGTGGAATATTCTATACTATTAAATTTTTTTTTCAGGGAGAATCAACAACTTGTAGTGATCATGGGCATTTTATTCTTATAACAAGTTCTTATTAAGCACCAGGATTTTAGGAAGAAGCTCCTATGAGTCAGTCACTGTGTTGGGACTGGAGATCCTATGTTGAAGAAGACAGACAAGCTTTCCATCCTAAAGGCACAAGAGTGATGTGAACTTGGAACTTACCACCCCATTCCACAGACTCTCTGTCATTCTTCTCTGCTTTACTTTCCCTTTATAGAAATTATCATTTTCTAATATCTTCTATGATTTACTTAACTGATTTTGTGTACTGTCTTCTGGAATAATATATAAGCATTAATAGAGTATAAATTTTTTACTGTGATAGAGCAGTTCCAAGTACCAAGCAGCGGCTCAGTAATTATTGTTAAATAAATACAATTAGAACATAATTAAAATAAATGAATGACATGAGATGTAATTGAAATATTAAGCAGAGGCCAGATTGGTCCTTACAGATAAATTTGAGTTTTTTCTAGGCAATTGCATATTTTTGACATATCTAATTTATGTTTAAAAATTTATCCGTATGTTGTGTGGGGAATGTTATAGAGGAAGACAAGGTGCCTGTCTGAACATCAAAAGGGCCAGGCACTGTAATCTCAGTACTTTGGGAGGCCGAGGTAGGTGGATCACCTGAGGTCAGGAGTTTGATTCCAGCCTGGCCAACATGGTGAAACCCCGTCTCTACTAAAAATACAAAAATTGGCCAGGTGTGGTGGTGGGCACCTGTAATCCCAGCTACTTGGGAGGCTGAGGCAGGAGAATCGCTTGAACCAGGGAAGCAGAGGTTGCAGTGAGCTGAGATTGCCCCACTGCAATCCAGCCTGGGTGACAGAGCAATACTCTGTCTCAGAAAAAAAAAAAAAGAAGAAAAAAAAAAGAAAACAACAAACAACAGCAATGAAAAACATCAAAAAGATGGCCTTACAGGACCACTAAGGTAATCATTTTTAGGAGAGCAATTACAAAGAGAGGTAGAGATGTATTTTTTAGATAAAGATGACATGAGTTGCTGATGAACTGGATGTGAAAAGAGAAATTAATTTATTGAGAATGGCCTCCATATATTGATATTTATTAATTGGGTAGATGAATTAGATAGTTGTAATAATTATTGAGACTGAGAAAACTGTGAGAGGGACCATATTTGTAACAGGAAATTGAGAATTTTCTTTCTTTACACCCATTTAGGCTTGTGATGCCTGTTAGATATTAGACAATAATATCAAACAAAGTTACATCTAGGAACACATGTTGTGAAAGGAAAATAAATCTTGGGGCCACGAAATCCATAAGCTAAAGGGAAAAGTCAAGCTGGGAATTGCTTAGGGCCAACGTGCCTCCCATTCTATTCAAAGTCATCCCTCTGTTCACTGAGATAAATGCATATCTGATTGCCTCCTTTGGAGAGGCTTATCAGAAACTCAGAAGAATGAAACCATTGGTCTCTTATCTACCTATGATCTGGAAGCCTCCTTCTGGCTTCAAGTCTTCCTGCCTTTGCTTCAAGTTGTCCCGCCCTTCCAGATGGAATCAGTGTTCATCTTGCATATGTTGATTGATATCTCATGTCTCCCTAGAATACATAAAACCAAATTGTGCTCTGACCACATTGGACCCATGTTGTCAGGACCACCTAAGGCTGTGTCATGGGCACACATTCTCAACTTTGGCAAAATAAACTTTCTAAATTAACTGAGGCCTGTCTCAGATTTTCAGGGTTCACAATGTCTACAATCTACAAATCCTAAAATTAGAAGTCTTTAGTCTCAGATAAACAAACACACTCACTCTCATGTCTATGATGATGTAATTAGGAAAAAGAAAAAGTGTCATTTGTGATAACAATTTGGGTACTGCCACAATTTAGTGGAGAGAGTCTCAAATCATTAATTTTCTGACAACTTTTAGTTCTCACACTAGATTCTTTTTTTAGGACATCCTACTTGACTGGATGAATAAAATCACACAGCAGGCATCCTATGGCAGAGTATGTAGCATGGTTCTCTCAACTGAGGGTTAAAAGAGTAGTATCAGGGATGCCTATGATGACCTTTCACTTATGGTCATCAACAATATTTTATAAATTAAGTATTAGAATGATCTTGAAAACAATGTCTCAATCTTTGGAGCCTGTGGTGGCACAATGGTAGTCAAGATATCTGAAAGGTCTTAGCAGAAGCAGCAGAACTGGGTCACATTGTTGAAGAAGTTCTCTTAACCTCTGATATCCAAATAGAGATGTCAATTTGAAAGTTGTGTTTATGAGTCTAGAGCTCTCAGAAGAAGACATCTTGATTGAAGTACAAATTTGAAATCAATGGGATACAGAAGGCATTTAAAACCTTGGGAATGGATGAGGTCACACAAGGAGCAATTAGACAGTGAAAAAGGGCCTAGAAAAATGCCTGAAGATGGTAGTATTTGGAAATTGTGTAGAAGAGGAGTTGACTGTGGAAAGTGAAAAAGAACTTCCAGTGAGGTGCTGGAGAAAATATATGAAAGTGTGATAAACTGGAAAGTGAGATAAACAGTATTTCAAGATAAAAGGAGTGGTCCCCTGTGTCCAATCCTGCTGAGAGTTACAGAAAGATGAGGAAATAAAAATATCCATTAGAAATGGTAATGTGGAGGTCAGTATTTATTTCAAGAGAAGGAGAAGGATGAACTCCATATTTTAGAGTGTCCAAAATTGAATATGAGTTGACGCAGGTAGCCTGCATGGTCAGGGGAGAAGAGAAATATGGACATAGCCAAAGACAGATGAGGAGTTTGTTTGTTTGCCTTGACTTGTTTTCAGATTGGATATATGTGGGCATGACTGTGAGTTTACAGAAATAATCTAGTAGAGAGGGAGATCTTTATGAAGAAGGAGAGAAAGGGTAATCAATGGAATCTTTAGTAGATAGAAAGAGAATGTTGATAAGAGCACAAGCAAATGAGTTTAAGACACTTCTATACTAATAGATGCAAATATAACTGACACTATTGAACTTTTCCAGAGTCCTATGCTACTGGAAAACAACGATGGTTACAAAAATCCTTCATACTTTTGCATTTTGGGAGATGGCATACTGCAAGAAACAACCCATCCCCTTATGGCTTAGATGAGACTCATCATGTCCCTCTTGTTTACCTATGATAAGGCCAGACACAGACCATCTGAATTTCTATTTGCCTCATAAAAGATTAGTTGAACTGTTTGTCTCTCCTGATCAGTTAAAATAAACTGCTTATTAGCTGATTTGACTAAATTTGCTTTTCTCCTTCTCCAGGACCCTGATTTTGACCTATCCTCACCCTGAGCCATCAAACAACCCTTCTGTGTTGGCCACTCCTGAGAATTAGCTGACTAAAAGGAAAGACATTCCTTGATCAACTGTCTCATTGCAATCACGCCCACTCCCTCACACCTAGTTATTTCCAAGCTTTTTTCTAACCTTTATAAAATAAAATTCTATTCTCCCTGACCTTTTAGATTCTTGCAGATCTCATGGCCTGAACCTTCTCCCTATTACAATACTCTCCCTTCACTTATCATAATAATCCCTTTTGAATAAAGCCTAGCTTTACCTAAGTTGATTTTTTTACTTGACAATATAAAAGATGAATAAAAATACAGATACATTATAGATTTGCTGCATGAAGATAATTGAGTTTTTGTTTGATGACTTATTTTCTTAAGGAAATGGAGTAATCAATTGAGTTTGAAAATGCATTAGTAGACATTGATAGTGTGA
This sequence comes from Homo sapiens, assembly GCF_000001405.40. NCBI lineage: Eukaryota > Metazoa > Chordata > Mammalia > Primates > Hominidae > Homo > Homo sapiens. The sequence goes on along the minus strand of NC_000004.12, from coordinate 162,973,358 downwards.
GAGAATACCATATGAAATAAACATTTTTAAACATGAAAAACTGATCTCACTAAAGAAGTGTGGTAGGATTATAGAGTAAGTATGAGCAACATTTGTAATTTGTGAAAGTGAAAGCAAGTTTATTAGGAAGGTAAAGGAATAAAAGAATGGCTACTCCATAGACGCAGCAGCCCTGAGGGCTGCTGGCTGCCTATTTTTATGGTTATTTCTGAATTATATGCTAAACAAGGGATAGATTACTCATGAGTTTTCCAGAAAAGGGTGGGCAATAGGGTTCCTCCCCTTTGTAGACTATATACGGTAACTTCCCAATGTTTCCATGGCATTTGCAATCTGTCAAGGTGCTGGTGGGAGTGTCTTTTATCATACGAATGCATTAGAATTAGCATATAATGAGCAGCAAGGACCAGAGGTCACTCTTGCTGCTATCTTGGTTTTTTGGTGGGTTTTGGCTGGCTTCTTTACAGCAACCTGTTTTATCAGCAAGGTCTTTGTGAACTGTATCTTGTGCTGACCTCCTATCTCATCCTGTGACTAAGAATTCCCTATCCTCCTGGGAATGCAGCCCAGTAGGTCTCAGCCTTGTTTTATCCAGCCACTAGTTAAGATGGAGTCGCTCTGGTTCAAACACCTCTGACATAATGAGGTCAAAGATTTAAAGCAGAGAAAAAGCAGAGCTATGAACCAGAAATATAGGCGATGTTTTTAGAATACAATGTTCAAAAAGATTTCAGAAGTGATAATGTTGTTTGTGACAATATGGTCTAGGATATAGTCATGAGAGTAGGTAGCTGTATTGGAGTGGAGGAAATATTGAAGGAAATGAAAAAGGCCAGAAACCAAGAGGGCAAGGTGTGGAATGAGTTATTAGCATGGATACAGTAATCACCAAAAGCAATGGCTTGATGACTTGAGTAATTGTAGAGGGGAAGATATGAATCAATTTAGTCGAATAACATAAACTTCAAAGAAGTAGGATTTACTTTCTTTTTTGTCCCTCCTCTTCTTCTTCTGCTTCTGCTTGTTTTTTTTTCTATTAAATTAGAGAATTTGTTTGACGTTGAGAAGATTATCTGAAAATACAATTTTCATCAACACATGAAAAATGGTTTTAGTAATACAATAACTATCAGGAAAGATCAATTAAATAAAAACCTTTTAAAAATATAGAACATTGAAACAACTGATGTAAAAATGTAGGCAATAGGAAAGAATACTTAAGTAAAATTATTGAAATGGTTGATTCATTACTAGAAAGGATGTTTGTGGAAACAGCAGCATTACCTAATTCCCATTTTGGAGATGGAGAGATATGGGGCTACTTAACATAGAAAATGTTCTCCCAAAGATCAGGTTTCTTGTTTTTGATTCTAAAATAAACAACCTACAAGCAATTATTATAAATGGTAATTTCAATCATATGAGTTCCTTTTGTGTAAAGATGACTGAAATAGATTAAATATGTAATTTTCTTCTAATAGGCCTCAGATTATTTACATAGAAACATCTAGAATAATTTAAAATCTTCCCTTTTTAAAAATACATTTGTTTAATTGGGCCTTGGTTAAACCAATAAAACTTAATAAACACTTATATAAACATTGTTATAAAAACAATAAGATGGATATAGACACACCTCTTTGAAAACATTTGTTAAAACTAACTAGTTTTACAATTTCTCCTATTGAAAGTTATTCTTATTTCATAGTTTGTTTTTTATTTGTGTTTTTATATTACTGCTTAGAAAACTTACAGAATTTAAAAATGTATGGTTATCAGCTATTAATGTATGGTATTAGTTATTCTTCAGATATTTTAATTATATAGCTTTCATAATGGCTCTAAAATGACATACAAGTTTAGGATCAATGAGAAAGTCTATGGTAGTTCTGTTTCCTAAAATTAATGATTGATAACTCATGCTTATCTATCAAACTCTCTAAAATTATAATTTAAATTAGATTTTAAATACGTATTAGAGTCACATTCACATGAATGGGTTTACATTCTCATGCTTGTGAAGGTCAGATATGCTCTTCACCTGTCCCTATTCAGATTGTTATATATATGTGTATATATATATATATCTCCAAATAGCTCTCATCTTGTCTACTGATGATATATGAGAGAGTAATACTCATGTAAATTCATGGACTATTATCTTACACTTTCTAAAAGAATCTGAATTAATCAAATGCTTCAAAAACCTTCCTGATTCCAAGGTTTATTATTTGTCTCCTGCTCTTTTGGTAATTACCAGATAATAGCTTATTTTGCTTTAAAACTTAGTTCAGTGAGAAGAGAAGGTGCTTTATTTTGATTGTCTTTAAAAATACAAACTTTCTTTTATATTCTGTCAGTCCTTTATTTATAAATGGAGATAATTAAAAGAGAAAAAAATTCAAACGAATCTCTTGGAAGCTTTTATGCTTCTGAAAAAGGCTAAAAGTTTCATTAGCATAGTTACTTCAAGCCTCACAATCATAATTGACTGTTGGAATCTTATTCATTTGAGAATAATTATATTCTAAGCATAATGGCTTCCCGACAATTCTCTATGATGAGATAAAAACTCATTTTGGAGGTAAAAGCTATGCAGCTTTCATTGTGATTATAATTAAAGGGTAGAGAAGCCTGTGAAACCAATTGTTACCAACTTAAACAATTAGCTATATCAGACTAGTATTAAGATTATAAAATATATAAACTCAATAATGCAAATAAAAATGTTAGTTAGGGCTCTCCATTATTTTAAAATCGTGCACATTTAATAAAATTGTAAGACTCTAAAGAAATGCATGGAAAATTATTTGCTAGGAAATAAAACAGAATTTCTTTTTGACATTTACAAATAAGACCCAGATAAGATACAATTTACTTTATTTTAAACTTTTATAATGATAAAAAAACAAGAAGAAAAAATAAGTTTTTCACAGGGTAAATTATAATTTGATCTCAATTATAATAATAATAAATTTAATATGTTAGAACTAATGTAAATTTAAAAGTATCATAAAAGTATTGGTGGCTGGCAAGATGGCCGAATAGCAACAGCTCCAGTCTGCAGCTCCCAGAGAGATCAATGCAGAAGGCAAGTGATTTCTGCATTTCCAACTGAGGTACTCAGCTCATCTCATTGGGACTGATTAGACAGTGAGTGCAGCCCATGGAGGGCCAGCAGAAGCAGGGTGGGCCGTCGGCTCACCTGGGAAGTGCAAGGGGTTGGGGAACTCCCTCCTTTACCCAAGGAAAGCCTTGAGGGGCTGTGCCATGAGGAACGGTGCATTCCAGCCCAGATACTATGCTTTTCCCACAGTCTTTGCAACCCGCAGACTGGGAGATTCCCTCAGGTGCCTACACCACCAGGCCCCTGGGTTTCAAGCACAAAACTGGGCAGCCATTTGGGCAGACACAGAACTAGCTGCAGGAGTTTATTTTCATACCCCAGTGACACCTGAAACATCAGTGAGACAGAACCGTTCACTTCCTGGGAAAGGGGGCTGAAGTCAGGGAGCCAAGTGGTCTAGCTCAGCAGATCCCACTCCTACAAAGCCCAGCAAGCTAAGGTCAACTGGCTTGAAATTCTCGAAATTCTCGCTGCCAGCACAGCAGTCTGAAGTTGATCAGGGACACTCAAGCTTGGTGGCGGGAGGGGCGTCCCCCATTACTAAGGCTTGATTAGGAGGTTTTCCCCTCACAGTGCAAACAAAGCCACCAGGAAGTTGGGACTGGGCAGAGCCCACCGCAGCTCAGCAAAGCCACTGTAGCTGGACTACCTCTCTGACTCCTCTTCTTGGGGCAGGGCATCTCTCAAGGAAAGGAAGCAGCCCCAGTCAGGGGCTTATAGATAAAACTTCCATCTCCCTGGGACAGAGCACCTGGGGGAAGGGGTGGCTATGGGCGCAGCTTCAGCGGACAAACGTTTCTGCCTGCTGGATCTGAAGAGAGCAGCGGATCTCCCAGCACAGCGCTCAAGCTCTGCTTAGGGACAGACTGCCTCGTAAAGTGGGTCCCTGACCCCCGTGCCTCCTGATAGGGCATTACCTCCCAGCAGGGGTCGACTGATACCTCATACAAGAGAGCTCCAGGTGGCATCTGGGAGGTGCCTGTCTGGGACAAAGCTTCCAAAGGAAGGAGCAGGCAGCAATCTTTGCAGTTCAGCAGCCTCCCCTGGTGATATCCAGGCAAACAGGGTCTGGATTGGACCCCCTGCCAACTCCAGCAGACCTGCAGCAGAGGGCCCTGAGTATTAGAAGGAAAACCAATGAACAGAAAGCAATAGCATCAACATCAACAGAAAGGATGACAATGCAAAACCTCCATCTGAGGGTCACCAACAGCAAAGACCAAAGGTAAATAAATACCCAAAGATGAGGGAAAACCAGAACAAAAAGGCTGAAAATTCCAAAAACCAGAAAATCTCTTATTCTCCAAAGGATCACGACTCCTCACCAGCAAGGGAACAAAACTGGACAGAGAATGAGTTTGACGAATTGACAGAAGTAGGCTTCAGAAGGTGGGTAATAAAAAAATTTCTCCAAGCTAAAGGGGCATGTTCTAACTCAATGCAAAGAAGCTAAGAACCTTGAAAAAGATTAGAGGAATTGCTCAATAGAATAACCAATTTAGAGAAGAGCATAAATGACCTGATGGAGCTGAAGAACACAGCACAAGAACTTCATGAAGCATACACAAGTATCAATAGTCGAATTGATCAAGCGGAAGAAAGGATATCAAAGATTGAAGATCAGCTTAATGAAATGAAGCGTGAAGACAAGATTAGAGAAAAAGAATGAAAAGAAACAAAGCCTCCAAGAAATATGGGGTATGTGAAAAAACCAAACATATGTTTGATTGGTGTACCTGAAAGTGACGGGGAGAATGGAACCAAGCTGGAAAACTCTTCAGGATATTATCCAGGAGAACTTTCCCAGACTAGCAAGACAGGCCAACATTCAAATTCAGGAAATACAGACACCATCACAAAGATACCCCTCGAGAAGAGCAACCCTAGGACACATAATTGTCAGATTCACCAAGGTTGAAATAAAGGAAAAAATGTTAAGGACAGCCAGAGAGAAAGGTAGGATTACCTACAAAGGAAAACCCATCAAACTGACAGCAGATCTCTCTGCAGAAACCCTACAAGCCAGAAGAGAGTGGGGGCCAATATTCAACATTCTTAAAGGAAAGAATTTTGAACCCAGAATTTCATATCCAGCCCAACTAAGCTTCATAAGCAAAGGAGAAATAAAATCCCTTACAGACAAATAAATTCTGAGAGATTTTGTCACCTCCAAGCCTGCCTTACAAGAGCTCCTGAAAGAACCACTAAATATGGAAAGGAAAACTGGTACCAACCACTGCAAAAACATACCAAATTGCAAAAACCATCAACACTATGAAGGAACTGCATCAACTAATGGGCGAAATTACCAGCTAGCATCATAATGATAGAATCAAATTCACACATAACAATATTAACCTTAAATGTAAACAAGCTAAATGCCCCAGTTGAAAGGCACAGACTGGAAAATTGAATAAAGAGTCAAGACCCATTGGTGTGCTGTATTCAGAAGACCCATCTCATGTGCAAAGACACGCATAGGCTAAAATAAAGGGATGGAGGAAGATTTACCAAGCAAATAGAAAGCAAAAAGAAAAGCAGGGGTAGCAATCCTAGTCTTTGATAAAACAGACTTTAAACCAACAAAGATCAAAAAGGACAAAGAAGGGCTTTCCATAACAGTAAAGGGATCAACCCAACAAGAAGAGCTAACTATCCTAAATATGTGTGCACTCAATGCAGGAGCACTCAGATTCATAAAGCAAGTAGTTCTTAGAAACCTACAAAGAGACTTTGACTCTCACACAATAATAGTGAGAAACTTTAACACCCCACTGTCAATATTAGACAGATCAACGAGACAGAAAATTAACAAGGATATTCAGGACTTGAACTCAGCTCTGGACCAAGCGGACCTAATAGACATCTACAGAACTCTCCACCCCAAATCAACAGAATATACATTCTTCTCAGCACCACATTGCAGTTATTCTAAAATTGACTACATAATTGGAAGTAAAACACTCCTCAGCAAATGCTAAAAAAAACAGAAATCATAACAAACAATGTCTCAGACCACAATGCAATCAAATTAGAACTCAGGATTAAGAAACTCACTCAAAACTGCACAACTACATGGAAACTGAACAACGTGCTCCAGAATGACTACTGGGTACATAATGAAATGAAGGCAGAAATAAATAAGTTATTTGAAACCAGTGAGAACAAGGACACAATGTACCAGAATCTCTGGGACACCTGCTAAAGCATTGTTTAGAGGGAAACTTATATCACTAAATGCCCATAGGAGAAAATGGGAAACATCTAAAATTGACACCCTAACATCACAATTAAGAGAACTGGAGAAGCAAGAGCAAGTAAATTCAAAGGCTAGCAGAGGACAAGAAATAACTAAGATCAGAGCAGAACTGAAGAGATAGAGACACGAAAAACCCTTCAAGAAAAAAATCAGTGAATCCAGGAACTGGTTTATTGAAAAGATTATCAAAATAGGTAGGCTGACAAAAGGCTAATATCCAGAATCTACAAGGAACTTAAACAAATTTACAAAAAAAAAAAAAAAAAACCCATCAAAAAGTGGATGAAAGGTCTGCATAGACACTTTTCAAAAGGAGACATTTATGCGGCCAAAAAACATATATGAAAAAAAGCTCATCATCACTGGTCATTAGAGAAATGCAAATCAAAACCACAATGAGATACCATCTCACCCCAATTAGAATGGCGATCATTAAAAAGTCAGGAAACAACAGATGCTGGAGAGGATGTGGAGGAATAATAATGCTTTTACACTGTTGGTGGGAGTGTAAATTATTTCAACCATTGTGGAAGACAGTGTGGTGATACCTCAAGGCTCTATAATCAGAAATACCATTTGACCCAGCAATCCCATTACTGGGTATATACACGAAGGATTATAAATCATTCTACTCTAAAGACACATGCACATGTATGTTGATTGCAGCACTATTCACAATAGCAAAGACTTGGAACCAACCCAAATGCCTATCAATTATAGACTGGATAAAGAAAATGTGGCACAAATACACCATGGAATACTATGCAGCCATGAAAAAGGAAGAGTTCATGTCCTTTGCAGGGACGTGGATGAAGCTGGAAACCGTCATTCTCCGCAAAGTAACATAGGAAGAGGAAGCCAAAGACCACATGTTCTCACTCATAAGCTGGAGTTGAACAATGAGAACACATGGACACAGGGAGGGGAACATCACATGCCAGGGCCAGTTGGGGGTGGGGGCTAGGGGATGGATAGCATTAGAATCACCTAATGTAGATGATGGGTTGATGGGTGAAACAAACCACCATGGCACATGTATACCTATGTAACAAACCTGCACCTTCTGTACATGTATCCCAGAACTTAAAATATAATAATAAAGTATCAATATAGGTATTTCTTCACCTAAAATTTTTAATGGTAAAAATAGAGTATTTTCAGTTGATAAAATATTATTCACAAAATCAACCAAAATACAGATGAAACCTGTAACACACTCTACCAATATGAATGAAATATCCTTAAAACATGCAATTTCAGATATTCAAAAATCTAATAAAAATTTAACAAGCCTAAGAATAAACACAATTTAAAAAAATCATTTCAGAAGTGAGTATCTAAGTATAAGGTAAGAATATATTTGACTATATGTATAATAAGGGCTATTGAAGAGGGAATTAAAATAGGTAAGAACAAAAAAACTTTTTTAAAAGAAAAATTACTAGTAATAATGTGATTGATGCAGAAGATTATCAAGAAAGATTAAAAATACCTACAATTGGAGTTTTTCAGGAAAAAAAAGATGCTGCTCTGCCTGGTGTAGCCATTCTTTATTCCTTTATTTTCCTAGTAAACTTGTTTTTTACATAAGAAAAAAAAAAAGAAAAGAAAAAGGGACACCAGTCTTTAAAACTATAATCCAAGAAAAGTTTGTAGAAATAAACAAGATACAAGTCTATATTTTACCACCATACACTTGTGAAAAATTAACCAGAAAAGTCAGCTTTCAAATGTAGACTAGAGGAACTTTTGGACTGCAGGTATAAATAAAATATTTTCAGGGTACCAAAGGAAAAAAAAATTCTTCCAGAGAAAAGAAAAATCAGTTTCACTCAAACTTCTCATTAGCAACAAACAAAGGAAGACAAAAAGAAAGAAAATATTCTGGAAATCCAAAGAAAGTAAGTGTGAGACAAGGATTTTAAATCTGTTCAAGTGCTCCTTGACGTTTCTAGACTATACAAGGATAATAGTAAGCAGGCAAACATCTAAACAAAACTAAGGATTGTTGTACTTATAAGCCCTTTGCAAGGACTCTATTAAAGGACAAACTTCACCAACCTAAGAAATGATTAGGAAAATTGGACATGGTAAACTGAATATACTTAATAGAAGATCTAAGATTTAAAAAATGGTAGGATTATACATAGAAAAATAGTATATAAATGTTATGGACTAAGAGAGAGAGCGGCAAAAAACATCAAAAAATTGTTGTTCTTTTTACAAGGAAAAATGAGAGAAAGAGGAGAGTAAAATCTACTCATTAACGTCTGTGCAGAGAGAATATTTGAGAATCAAAGGATATCAGAAGCCTAATAAAAGAATAAAAGGATTATTAACATTATACAAAGTTATTTGCATGAATGTTACCCCTAGAACAAAAAATATAAATCTTACTCAGTAACAAAATAGATTAAAAATAAAAATACCTGGCTGGGCGCAGTGGCTTACGCCTGTAATTAAAAATAAAAAGAGCTGGCCGGGCGCAGTTGCTTACGCCTACTGTAATCCCAGCACTTTGGGAGGCCAAGGTGGGTGGATCACGGAGTCAGGAGTTAGAGACCAGCCGGATCAACATGGTGAAAGCCAGTCTCTACTAAAAAAAAAAACCAAAAAACTACAAAAATTAGCCGGGCATGGTGGTAGGTGCCTGCAATCCCGGCTACTCAGGGGGCTGAGGCAGAAGAATCTCTTGACCCCGGCAGCAGAGGTTGCAGTGAGCTGAGATCACAGCACTGCGCTCCAGCCTGGGCGAGATCACGGCACTGCGCTCCAGCTTGGGCGACAGAGTGAGACTCCGTCTCAAAAAAAAAAAAAGAAAGACCTGAGGAAACATATTTTATAGTGGGAATAAGACACATTATAATATAAATGAAACAGTTGAGAATAAAACATCATTTATATCAATTGTTTTATATATATGCTTGTCTCACATGTTAAATGAAATTATTTTTAGGTTGGCTCACATTGCAAATCCTACTCTATGCAGTATATAAAAGACATACTTAAACAAAGTGAATCAGAAGAACGAAATACAAAGGGAAAGAAAAAAATTTATCAGGCAAATGCAAACAATAAGAAACTAGCTGTTGCAATGTTAATATGGACATAGTTGAATTTAGGCCTAAAAACAAAATGAGACCAAGAAGGGCACTCATCATGTTAAAGGCCATAATTAATAATGAATATATAAAAGGAATATCTATACACTAAACAACACTGAAGATTGCCTTCTTAACACAGAAATACTAGAAACGCAAGAGAAATAAACAGAAACACATTAATATTAGATTTCAACAATGCATTCTTAATCCAAGTCAGGTCAAGCGGATAAGAAGTAAGTAAAGTTATAATTAGTTATAACTATATAATTTAAGAGTAAGGCAAATAATCACTAAGATTAATCCTATAAGTAAATTTTATATTTTAATAATAGAAAATACACCTTCCATTCAAATACCCATAGGACATTTGTGAAAACTTAATTCGACATTAGTTTACAAATAAAACTAAATTGTTAAATTCCAAGTAGAGGTAATATATAACACTCAATAATTAAAATTCAATAAAATTATAACTTTACTACAAAATAAGAAATAATTCCCAAAATGTTATTTCACATAACATTTGGGAATTGAAAACAAAACAAACCAATTACTTAACAGCTTTTGAAAAAAAAGAGCAGATGTCAACTGAAATCGCAGAATTTCTATATTAAACATGTCAGTGGATATAACTAATGCAGTAATCTGGGAAAATGTTATAGTCTTAAATATTTATATCAATGTGATTAAGGTGAAAAAGTGAATAAAATACCAAACAAAAATTTAGAAAAAAATAGAGTAAATTAAAATGGAACAGAACAAAGGAACTATCAAAGATTAACATGAAAATTACCAAAAAGGAAACACAAAATAGTAAAAACAAAAAGAGTAAAAATGCTGATTGGCTCTTTGAAAAAAATTTAACAAGTTGGACAAACCACAAGTTAACCCAATCAAGAAAATCTGAGAAGCTGAACAGGATCAATGTTAAAGCTTATATAAACAATAAAAGAATGCAGTAAAGGAGCAAGATATGAAATTAACATCCAATATTTATAATAGCTTTCATACTTATTAATAGTAACCAGTTAAAATATACAGTGGAAGAATATGTTGTATTTACAATAACAGGACAAAATACTTAGAAATAAACTCAACAGTGGCAAAACTTGTTGAAGGAGTGCTTTAAAACACACATGAAAAACACAAAAGTAGGTTTGAAAGATGTAAAGATATCCATATATAAGTACATAAGCATGTGTATAATATAGACAGGTATCTGTATAATACAGACAGGTATAGATATATATCTATGTATATGTGTGTGTGTGCGTGTATATAAAACCAACAAGTTACTTTTTTCCCTAAAGTTAGTAAACTTTATTCTAAAGTTCATGTGGAAAATCAAACATGCAAGAATACCTAAGGCCAGTTATGAAAATACACTGAAAGCTTTTACAAATAAAATACTGTGTAATGAAAATAAATGGATGGAGCGATCAATAGGAAAGCAGAAGTCAATATAGATACTCATGGATACTAAGTTCATTATAAAGGAAGTACCTCAAATCCCTCAGGAAATAGACTTTTAAATAAGTGGTATTAATACAATTGGTAGCCATTTGGAGAAGAGCTGAAAATTGGACCCATAACTCATACCACATACAGAATAAACTTTGTAATAACCTAGATATATGGAGTATCTTTCAAACAACTCAAAAGCCAGATGCAATATTTAAAATGTTGCTAAAAGCAACTATAAAAAACGACAACTAAACAAGTTGTTTAGTAGCAACAACTAACCAAAGTAAAACAAAACCATAGGCAAAGTAAAAGCAGATGACAAAATGGGAATTTTTGTTGTTGTTGCAATTTAAAACTTATATCACAGATAGAGGGTTAATCTCTGTAATATATTATTTTTAAAAATCAAGAATGAAAAGACTAAACCAAGTAATAAATGGGAAGAAAACACAACCAGACAGATGACAGAAAAAAATATACAAATGGCCCTTAAACATGAAAAAATTTCAGCTTCACTCTGAATAAAAAAGTACACAAATTAAAACTACACAGATATCATTTTTCACATATAAGATTGGCAAACAACAATAACGAAAAACACAAGACCTTGCTGGGCAGTGCTCCCACTTGACAAAGTTGATAATTGGAGTGCCAAAAAAGAATAATGACAGTAATTATTTTGTGTTAAATAACAAAGAAAAATCTACTATTCTTTGTGAGCAAAAGTACAAACAATAAAGGCTAAGATTAATAAACGAGCTCATTAAACCCAATAACTTTTATATATCAAAAAGACACCACAAAGGGAGTGAAATGACAAGCTTCAAAGTAGAAGATATTTGCTTTATATACAACTGACAATGATTGGTGTCCCAAATATTACAAAGCTGCTTTTGAGGGTGTGGAGCAATGATATTTCTTATCCAGTGCTCAAGGGAGTTTAAATTTGTGTAGTCCCTTATGAAAACTGTTTGATATTACCTACTAAAGGGAATCAATTGTGTAGTTTTTTTCTTGCCTCTTTCATTCAATAGTTTATTTACAAAATTCAAATAAATAATAGAGATCTAGTTCTTTCATTTCCCTGTTGTCCCATACTCCATTATATGAATATAACAAAATTGGTTTATTCCAGTGTTGATAGACTGTAGGCTTTTTTCATGTTTTGTTTCAATGATCAACATTGCTATGAGCACTCTTGTGCACCAGGAATTGCTGAATCAACTTACTTTCCCACATAATGTTGGGAAGCGGCAGAGACGGGGCTCCAAATCACATCTCTGGTTCAATATCTCTGGTTCACCTTTACAAATCCACCCCCACTGCCTCAAGAACAGACCCGCGATTCTCTCTTCAGTGGTTGGAATGTGAAGAGGGTTCTTCCTAATAGGAAACTAGGGGACAATTATTTTTGAGGTGCTCAGAAATGGACATTGTGAGTAGGCGTCTTTGTCATACCTCAATTGCATTTCTCTTAAAGTGAAGAACCATCTAATTTTTATTGGAAGTTTTGTCAGTAACCAAAACATACTATGATCTAGGACCTCTACTTGTTATCTGATTTAATTCTCACAACAACCTGAGAGATAAATATCCTTCCCATTTTCATGATCAAGGAAGCCAGGGACTCAGATGGTTAGACAATTTGCCCAAGTTTTCCTAATCAGGAATTAACAGAGCTGTCCCACTCTGAAGTTTGAGCTATTCCTCTGCATTCTGCCAAGTTTATGGAAGGCTGCACATGGACTATGCTATAATTTAGGATAAAAAGGAGGTCTTTCTATCGTTTGCTTTGCTTTTGTTGTTTGTTTTGTCATTGCTATTTTGCATGAGGTCCATTTTCGGGATAAAGACAGAGGCTAGAGTTCTAAGAACTGGTTCAAATACATTACATTAAGACTTATGTTGTCAGAAGAGCTTAGGATTCTGTCTGTAATCATTGTAATTGAACCGGGTTTCTTATTCCACATAGTGATTAGCAAAGTTCTGTTAAGACACAACTGAACAGTGGGCTTGCCTTCAGCAGGAACAAGAATGGAGGGTTTTGGGGAGACCAAGTTCCTGCTAAAGCTGAGCTTTGGGGGAAGGAAGAAAAGCAATTGCTTTAAGTATTGAAGAAGAGTGGGAGAGCTCTTGAGATGTGACATAAAGGAAATAATAACAAAAGTTTATGAGATGCCTACTTGACAAGGATTTACAGTTCTATATAGAATTTCTTTGATATGTTAGCTGCTGATTTTTTTAAAGAAAGATTTTGGTACATAGAAATTATTGTAAACTCAATATGTTCATTTTTCTTCATCATTCACTTCTTTCAAGTTGTCTACAAAGTGCAATTTTCCCTTATAAATTATTACACTTATAAATAGAACTAAGTTTTATATTAGAATAATATATAATGGTGTCTTAAATTGTTTTATAGCAGGATGTGAAAGGGGACTTTTCATCCTGTCTTAGAATTTTGGCTAAAACCTACAGGTTGAAAACAATGGTGGTGGGAAGGGCTAACAACATCTGCAGTCTGAAGGGAAGTGCTGAACTTATCTATGCAGGTATTGCCAAAAAGCAGCCAAAATAGCACCTGTACTAATGGCTACTGGGGAGGCTAAGGCAGGAGGTTCACTTGGGTCCAAGAGTTGGAGGCTGTAGTGATCTATGATCATACCACTGCACTCCAGCCTGATCAACAGAGCAAGATTCCATCCATTTAAAAAAAAAAAAAAAGAAGAAGGAAGAAAAAGAGAATTCATTTGAGTACAAACGCTATGGTGGTGATTCTCTCTCTTTCCTATGGAGAGAAACAGGGAAGGACGTTACCTTACCCACTTGAAGTCATGCAAGGAAGGGGTGGGGACACTTAAGACTGGTGTTCTGGGTAATGAAGGGCTGGCTTGCATCTCACTTCTTGGGTGAGGCTTGGTGGGCAGCAGAGTCAGGGAGCCCTGCCTAGGGCTGCAGCTGGCATTAAAAGGGGTTCTTGGTAGAAAGATCCTGACATGTTTTCCCAGAGGTTGGAGGCACGTGTGAGCAGAGAGCCTCATGCCTGCTTCTCTCCTGGTGAGCTCTGAAGAAGGCAGGTGCTGCCTGGAGTTGCCCATGAGAGGCAGATGGACAGCAGAGGGAGCTGAGGGACCCATGTGCTTACACACATTAGTGGGTTCAGGATGTATGTGTTGGCTTGAGAGGAGTGACACTGTAGAGAATAGCTGAAACCAGATCCTCTTGAAACACCTCCATCCAAGAGGAATGCCTGACTGGGGAGGAAAGTGGGGAGGAAACGGGTCAGGCAGAAAGTGTGCTATCAGTGTCAGTGACAGGGAAGTGGGAGGTTCTCAGGGGAAGGGTGTCTCTCAGTTTCTCTGAAGAACCCAGCAATGCTACCCATCACAGGACCAGGAGAAAGCACACCAACCACAGGGATGACATAGGAAGAGAATGTGACATTTTGTCCTTGTTTCATTCCCCTTTCTTCTGCTCACAGTCCACAATAAGCAGGAAGAATCAGAGCAAGTGGAGGAGGAAAGTGGAAGAAGAATAAATGAAGGAACGTGTCAGCTTGTCTCCCTACTGCTGCTCTGCAACCTGCGGTGGAGAGAAGTGATAAAGAGGACTTTACACCGAAAATATTATTGGGGCTAGAAATTGTCTTTAAAAAGAGAATGTTCTTAGAAGCAAAATGACCCCAAATCATTGTGATTTACCAGATTAAATTCTTGGTCAATTAGCAAAGAAGGGATCTCTGACAAACTGAATTAACAGACTAAGATGGCAGAGAAATAAAGCCCACTTAAGAAACAATTTGCACTTCATTTGTTGGGAAACAATTTTAAAAAGGAAATTACCATATCTTATTTAAGTTTACACCCTTAACAACTGGTCAAGAGTCTGATACCTAAGTAAACATTCAGTATGTTCTGTTAAAACAGAATAAATACATCAATTAATTCTCCTGGAAACTAAAATTAATTATGAAACAAAATAAACATGTGCCTTATCATGCTTGCAGAAAGAGGAAAACAACAAATATATGTGAAGACTGAAGTGCAGCCATTTGAGAAATACTATTGTTGTTAGACTTGTGATTTCTCAGGAGGGTAATCACACTCCAGCTACCTTTGAATAACGTCTTGAATTTACTAGATGTGAAATATATTTCCCTGGAAAATTAAAATCTCCACCAGAAACATACTGTTTTTTTTTCTTGATTTTAAAAATAAGAAACTGATTTCAAGAAGGAAATAGATTTTCCGTTAATTGGCTTGATCACATTTTTTTTTTTCAGTAGAGGGTGCTCAATTTATTTTATTTTTTGTTTTTCAGATAAGCCACAGATTATATCATATCATCAGCCTTGGGCTAAGAAAGAGAGATTCAAATTTTGATATTCAGGTTTTGCTCAATGACAATTTCAGGCCTTTGCATATAAAATGATGATAAAAAGAGGAAGTGCTAAAGAGTATAATTAGAAATGTGGAAAACAGACATTGGAAATGGAAACACTACATAAGGGCCTCCATAGTTGGAGGAAACCCAATTGGGTAGAGAGAGAAGTCAAACAGGGGCAGGTACAACAAAACCTCAGCTACTCCCACAGCGGGGAGGTTGTGAACTGTGCATTGCGTGAGGCAAGTTGGTATCTCGCAGTAAGGGGAAATGGCCAGGCCTGTAAGACAATGTCATTATCAGTCACTGGATGTGATCCAGCCAGGAAGACCATGCCCTTGGGCTATACAGCTGTCTGCAGCCAAGGAAAATTCTGAAAAGACTGACCCACCCAGATGCTGAGACAACTTCAGTTCTTTTCTTGAAGTAGAATCTGGGCAGTGGTATATCTCCATGTTCACAACACTCTGTCTCTTGAGCTGATTCTTAACTGTACTTCCCAGTGCTCTTTCATATCAACAGCTTCTAATGGTGCATATGTGACACAACCAGTGTTGTGTGCCACTTCCGCACCTTTTTTTTTTTGCTATAAAGAAGGACCTTTCATCTGACCAGTGATATGTGGGATCCTCTCCTGGAGAATTAAACACTTCATTTATCATTGGATAGTTGTTCTAGTAATATCTTGTGGGCAGAAATAGTAAAATCTCTCCCACATATGTATCTATTCCTTTTAAAGCAAGTTTTCATGCTTTTCAGCTTGAAAGGGGCCCAGTGTAGTCATCAAATATCTGGTTGGTCTCCTTGATGATAAATTCTATTTAAGATCCCAGAATTGATCTCTCTGGCTGGCAGGTTGAGCATTCAGTTGTAGCAGTAGCTTTCGTAAGTGGAAGCCCATGTTGTTGGGCCCATGCTTAGCCTTCATTGTTTTCACTGTGGCCACTGCATTAATTAGATTTATGTGCCCATTATGCCTATCTGGCAGGGCCAATGACATCAACTGGCTGAAGTCAAGTTCCCAAAATATACTTGCTCCTTGGTAGGTACTCACTTGTGAATGATAGTAGATAATACAAAGATATTCACACTTTGTGTTTATCTCCATGTGTTCCTGTGTTTGTATACCCAGAGATCAATTCTGGGATCCTATATATATATCTCTTATATATATAGGGGAGTTTATTAAGTATTAATTTACATGATCACAAGGTCCCACAATAGGCTGTCTGCAAGCTGAGGAGCAAGGAGAGCCAGTCTGAGTCCCAAAACTAAAGAACCTGGAGTCTGATGTTTGAGGGCAGGAAGCATCCAGCACCGGAGAAAGATGTAGGCTGTGAGGCTAGGCCAGTCTCTCTCCTTTTCATGTTTTTCTGCCTGCCTTATATTCGCTGGCAGCTGATTAGATTTTGCCCACCAGATTAAGGGTGGATCTGCCTTCCCAGCCCACTGACTCAAATATTAATCTCTTTTGGGAACACCCTCACAGACACATCCAGGATGAATACTTTGTATCCTTCAATCCAATCAAGTTGACACTCAGTGTTAACCATCACACATCCCAACCTCTGGGTACACAGAGTGCATGGCCAGGTTTACCATCTGAAGCTCTGCCTAGTCTGTGGATATTTTTCTCAGTCCCCATCGTCTTTTGAGGACTATCTTGAGTGAGGCTGCTGTGTGGTTGCTGCCATTTTCAGTTTATACCCACATATCAAGTAGACCCATTTGTAAATCAAGGGCAAGATTTTTTATCTTCTGCCAGCTGGCCATACTAGATATCTTATGTGGCAATAGGTATGAGCCAAAGGGAACAGACACAACATTGGGAGATGTGAGTCTGGTTTACCTGCTCACGTGGCCTGCTTGTGCATTCTTATCTGGGTCCTGATTGATTCTGGATATACCATTTCATCTTAATAATGGGTTACTTCTGGACTTACCTAATTTTACGACTCAGTGGGTGTGGCAAAACCAGATAGAAGGTGTCAGATGCATGACATCCATTGTCAGACACTCTATCTCTACAACAGCCAGTATCATGCCAGCGATTGTTTTCCCAGGATATATGATTCTTCACTGTAGATTCCAGAGTCTTGCTCCAGAACCCCATATGCTTGTGTTGTGATTCTCTTTTGTAGAGTGCCATAAGGCAGAGTTGGTCACTACTGGTAGTTCCAATACCAGAGGGTCTCTTGGTTCTATGGCTTAACTGGCAGAATTGCTTTAACTGAAGCATGCATCTGCTGCAGAGGTCTTTCTCTCTCTGCAGAAGGCTTTTCTTCTTTAAGTGGGGACCCGCTCAAAGCTGCCAAGTTTCCTTGTCACCCAGGTATGGGCTATGCTCTTTCTAAAACACAAAGAGGCCTGCCAGCCACCCTGCTTCCTTCCTTGTAGTAGGAGATGCAAAGTGTGATAATTTATCTTTTAACTTAGAGGCAATACACTTGCAGTGCCTGAATATTGGACTGCTAGTAATTATACTGCTGTGTTGAGTTGACCCCTTACTCTTTGTAGGGGGATTTATCTCTCTCTGGGATATATGTCTTATCAAGCTTCTGATTTGTGAGCCAATTCTTGCTCAGCAACTTAGTTTCCATAATTCACATAATGTTATAAATGTGGTGAATCAATGTGATATTCTGTAGGATGTCAAGGCAGTTCAGATCTCTTAAAACTATATTCTTATAGAGGAAGTGTAAGTTAACAGAACCCTGAGGGAAAAGTAGACATATCTAATTTTTCCCATTCCATGTGAATACAAACCATTTCTTATCTGTTTGATCTGACTAGAAAATAACATATTTGTCAAATCAATGTGCCAGTACCTGAAGACAGATGAATTTACGCTAGAACAACACCGCATCTGGGAAAACAGCTGCAATTAAGCTGCTATTCAGTTGAATCTGTCATACTCTGCAGTCATTTTTCAGGATTCATTTGTTTTGTTTTTTTTTATATATTTTAGGTGACAGACTGCTGACTTAATTTAAGACATGATGGGGAGCACCATTCTAGCATCCTTTAGCTCTTAAAGTCCTTAAGGTTGGTAATAACTGGAAGTAGGTATGAATTTTCCAAGAAGGTGGGGTGAGGGACTATTTCAGTGGCTTGCACTCAGTCTTCACAAAAATATACCTTTACCTTACAAGTCAAATGCCCTATGTGGGAGTGGCACAGTAATACATTCAGGGACCTGGGCAATGACCACCACTGTAAGCCAAACTGATACAGGAGTTATTAAGAAATTATTTTAGGCAGGTAGTAAGGATAAAGGTTCTTGGTGGAAATCTTCCTTTAATAAGAAACAACCCTAAATGATCTCTTTTCTAACAGAAAAGACTGCTTGAAGGGCCGGGCTGGCAAGCTTTGATCTGCAAATGCCAGCTATTAGAAACTGGGTTCACTCAATATGGCGATTCCCACAGTCTTTTCCTTGTCACCAGGTATACCAAGTGTCATGGCCACCTCCAGATAACACCTTGTGTTCAGAACATTATGGCGACCTGCATTTGCATATTAAAGGGCTAAGGTGGGAGGGCTGAGTTTTCCACAGGCTACGTAAATGACACACCTGGTCAAACCAATCCCCTGGGCCCTATGCAAACCAGACACCACCTCCTCTGGCATCCCAATGTAAGCAGCCACTTTTCCGCCGCACACGGGGTTTTCTCTGTTTGAATCCCCCCTCCCTCTGTCTCTGTCAGAGGGAGCTGTTTTCTCCTTCCTTCCTTCTTTCTTAGCTATTAAACTTTTCGCTCCTTAAAACGACTCCACCTGTGTCCGTATCATTTTATCTAAACTGGCGTGAGACCAAGGACCCTGGTGTTCCTCCAGTCATTGGAGTCCTGTCAAAACCTTGGCTCAGAATCCATCTATCTGTCCCTATGTCTCAATCCGTTGGATAATGAGGGGGGTGGGACATTAGGAATGGGATGCTCTGGTCTCTGGGTATTAATTACCACTAAGAACCTATTTCCAATTGGTGCTATATTTCTTGTGAAATACAGATTACATTAATCATTGCCAATTATTTTGCCATGGTTAGTCAGCTTGATCCTACAATGGATTTTGGTTTGAAAATTTTCTGTATCTAGATTTTAAAATATGGATACGTTGTGGTTTAAGCAATATTATCTATACTTTTTTGTTAAGCAGAAGCATGCAAAATTCAACCTCACCATTACAATATGATGTTTTTGTGACTACATTGGTGATGTAATTTGTGAGTGATGTCTGAGGAGCTGCGCTATTTGGATGTCCTGAAACACACAGTCAAGGTAAGTGTATTAACTGTGAAAGGAAAATCTTGGGGCCCCAACATTACTCAGCTAAAGGAAAAAGTCAAGTTGGGAACTGCTCAGGGCAAACCTGCCTCCCATTCTATTCACAGTCATCGCTCTGCTCAGTGAGATAGATACACATCTGATTGCCTCCTGTGGAAAAGCTTATCAGAAAAGCAAAATAATGAAACCATTTGTCTCTCACCTACCTGTGACCTGGAAGCTCCCTCCCTGTTTCGAGTTGTCGCTGTCTTTCTGGAATCAATGTACTTCTTAACATGTATTGATTGATTGATGTCTCATGTCTCCCTAAAATGTATAAAACCAAGCTGTGCCCCAAATACCTTGGGCACATGTCATCAGGACTTCCTGAGGCTGTGTCATGACTGTGTGTCCTCAACCTTGGCAAAATAAACTTTCTTAATTAACTGAGACTTGTCTCAGATTTTTGGGGTTCACATGACATTTCTGTATTACTTAAAATTTTATTGGGTTTTATTCTATAATGTAAAATCAAGGGCATAACATATTTTCTCCTATAACATAAAGTACAATGGCTGTGTGTGTGTGGTATAGTGTGGTGTGTATGTATAACTCACAAAAGATTTATCCTAAGCTATTAAATTTGTGCCCTTTCAAACATTTTTTCACCACGGAATCATTTTCTCCCTTAAACTTGAAGGTGGGAGTAGATATTTTAGGTGGCTGCTGATTCAAAATACATTTGGTACAGATTTTGCATGAGGAAGAGTGTGTGTGTATATTCACATTTGTGCAGATGTGTGCTTATGTTCATGCATGTGTATGCATGTATTTGGTGGGAAAAGATGAATAGAAAGAAAAACAAGAGAATTTAATAGGCATTCCTTTGGCATTATGGTACCAATGGTATTACCTAAAGATACTTAGACACTGCAGTCACGATTTACAAAACACAAATCTCAACAAATGATCTGAAATAACAAAGTCCAGCACTGCTAACTGATTGTAGGAACATAAAAGATAAGATCAGATGAACTGATATGTTTCATCTTCCCCAGGCTGGTCACTGGGAGGACAGGGAGGACAATGGTGCGTACTGAAGCAGAAGCTCTGAGCTGGGGTAGAACCATCAACTACACAGGAAACAAAGCAGAATAGAACAAACAGAAACATACTTCAAAAACAGCACAAAATAAAGCAGAGTAGGCTTGTAAGTGGTAGCCATAAGCATCACAAATAGGATGACAGCTCTCTGGGAGATTCCGACTCACTGAGCTGACTCAGACACAGGCATTGCATCACAAACAGCAGGTGTGTGACCACATGCTCCACGCTCCTGCAAATGGCCAAAGAATGGCAAAGAAGAGATTGTCCTGCATACTTTAGCTTTACAGAAAAATTCAAATATACATAATCACAGGGTTGGTAGAGTAAAACAATTCTAGGCTAGAAATCTAAAGGATCAAAATGTTTTATCTGTGACATTGTCATCTTTCACTGACATTGCGTCACTTCAGTTATATGGGTCTCAGTTCACTCATTTATAAAATGCAAGGAGTGGGTCAGGTGCGGTGGCTCATGCCTGTAATCTCAGCACTTTGGGAGGCCAAGGAGTTGGATCACCTGAGGTCAGGAGTTTGAGACCAGCCTGGCCAACATGGCTAAACCCTGTCTCTACTAAAAATACAAAAAAATTAGCTGAGTGTAGTGGCGCATGGCTGTAGTCCCAGCTACTGGAGAGGCTGAGGCAGGAGAATTGCTTGAACCCAGGAGGTGGAGGTTGCAGTGAGCTGAGATTGCTCCATTGCACTCCAGCCTGGGCAACAAGAGCAAAACTCTGTTTCAAAAAAAAAAAAAATGAAATGAAAATAAAATAAAATATAAAGAGTGAAGTAACTGAAAGAAAGCTCCTGTCCGGTGCTAGCCTTCTCTTGTTCTAATCTCTAAAGATAAAGGACAGCAGTATGATGTTTATAAGCAACACTAAATTTAGGTGCTCAGAACCTCAGCTTGATACTCGTGGTTGGATTATTAAAGGGCAAAAACAGAAAGACCGATTTCTAGGACATAGATCATTTAGTTTTAATAAACAGAACATTCAACAAGTTTCCAGAAAGAAGAGTGTTGATAATCAGGTTACAGAGGCATCTCATGTAGCCCACCATTGGAAATGCAACTATGTGTTACTGCAACCGCAAAAAGTCGATGTGCAAGTTTCTTTGTTTCTCTGTCTCTCTCTCTGTCTCTGTCGCTGTCTACTTTTCTCTTGGCCATAATGTACTTTCTAATTCCATCTGTTTGATTTTATATTTGTAGGCTAGGATTTTTTTTTCCATGATTACCCTTCTGATTTTCTGTAAATCTGACTTCCATGACTCTGGCTTGCCCCAGTACCAATTTTGGCCTCAGATCCACAAAAATTTATGACTTCAGCATCTCAAATCACCAGACTCATTCAAGCTTTGGGACATGTAGTTCACATTTTTGTGGAAAATTATGGAAAAATCTGAGTGGCTAAACAATATAAATAAATTCCTATTGTTTTATGTGTCCACTCTTGGTCTAATCCCCTGTGCCTAATAGGGTAGAATCATGTGGTCCCGATAAGGCCATCAAGGGCCATGCACTTAAAAGGATACCTGTGAGAAGGAGAACTTCACAAAAGAATGTTTTCTGAGGAGAATGAAATTATGGCTATGTACGTTTCAGACTTGAGGTATTATAATTAAGATGCCACGAGAAATAAAAGCTAAAAATCAGGAAGACAAACTGGCTTGATGCATAAAGCAATGGAACAAGCTTAATTTTGCTGTGGTGTGTAAATCCTGATTGATAAAGGCAACCTTAGTAATTCCACGTGACATTATTCTGACCAACAAGATAAGTCGGGAAATATGTTTGAAGGTTTCTACCAAAGGCTGTTCGTGATGTTACATAGTCATGCATGAGGGGGAATACTATCTTTTTTGCCCTGAAGAATGTTATCTTCATGTGATCCCTAAAACTGTGGCAGCCATCTTTAGAGTATGCAAAGAGCCAATCCCAAAGAATAAGCTGATGCAAAGAAGGTGGCAAAATAGACAAGAAGATGCTAAACTCCTAAATTAAGCACTCTGGAATTTTGTTGCTTTGTTATTCTTGTTATGAAATAATATATTTTCTTATCTATAAAAACTTGGGGGATGTTTTCTACAACTTACAGCATAAAGCATAGAAAGTGAGACAAGCTACGAATGGTTTACAATGTTTCAAAAAATTAGACTACTAAAAGAATACTGAATATAATTTTTTTTATCCCGTAGTGCTTCAAGGTCGTCAAGGGAATTTAGTCCTTTTTCTACAATACTATAGAAAATATCCAGTTATCCAGTTATTTTTATTCATGATAAACTAAAGCTTACAAAATTCCTTTCAGTATTGTGAGCAAACATTTTCTTCACTATTTTTTAGTTTTCTATCTAATTTCAATCTTCAATCAAGACTTTTAATGCTCTTTTGGTTTTTATTGCTTTAATTCTGCTATTAGTTTTCGCTTTAAATACTATTATACCTATCATAGGATTTCAAAGCTCTAGACACATAGTTGGAAATTCTAATAAGAGCATATTCACAACACATTAACATTATTAATACATTTTTAATTGATATATTTTAAAATTTATTATACATATATTCAGGAAATATGTCAATTTCTTTCTATGTTGATAGGAAATGTAACTTAATGTAATTAAATTTTGGGTTTATAAGAAGTACAATTCTGTATAAACATAAAGAAAAAATTTTACAGGGTAAAAATAATACATTTTAATGTAATAAATATATTTATTTACTTAAGTGAAAGAGAAAGAGAGAGGGAGAATATTATGTGCCAGGTACTCATTTAGGAACAGCAGATTCAGTGCTGAATATACAAAGTCCTTGCCTTCATGCAGCTTACATGCTAAGGGAACTGACAAACGATAAGCATGTAATACACAAGGAAAATGGCTATTAATTGTGATTTTTCTATAACAGAATTAAAATGTGTGATGATACAGAGTACAACTAGGGGAGGTCACTTGAGATAGGTGGGCAGAAACAATATTCTGCTGCAGTATATATTTTCTCTAAGCCTTGAAGTAAAAGATGCACTAGTCTTATTAAAAGGGGGAAAAGTACAACCAGCCAAAGGAAGAAAAAGATTTGAGAGGTCAAGAAACAAAAGCAGATCAGGTCTTGTGAGCACCGTCAACTTAGTCCATGGTATGAAGAGGCACATTCAGATCACTCATCCATCCTTCCTTTCCTCCATGCATCCCTCTTTCTCTTCCTACTCCCAATACAAATCTGTTATGCCAGGCAATATGTTAGCATTATGCATTTGATTTAGATCGAGATAGATATACTGATTTCTATTACAGCATTTATAGCTCAGCATAGAATAAAGACAACTTAACATGCAAAAATAATGGACACTCCAATAGGTAAAATACAAGGTAATATGAGGGTGCATAAGAAGAATATATATCCCAGGTAAGGGATGGAGATATCATGAAAATTCTCTAGTGAAGGAGGGTTTAAATCTGAAACGTAAAGAATGAGTGAAAGTTAGCCAGGTAAAAAAGAAAGGAGAGGTTACCATAGGCAAAAAGAAGAAGATGAACATATTGTCATGTGTTACTTAATGACTGGGAATTGAAATGTGTCATTAGTCAATTTCATCATTGTGTGATCATCATAGAGTATACTTAGATAAATCTAGGTGGCACAACTTACTATACACCTGGGCTATATGGTCTAACCTATTGCTCCTGAGCTATAAACCTGTATAGCATGTTACCATACTGAATACTGTAGGTATTTGTAACACAGTTGTAAGTATGTGTGTATCTAAACATATCTAAATATAGAAAAAGTAAAGTAAAAATATGGTGTAAAAGATAAAAATAGTACACCTCTATAGAACATTTCCCATGGATGGAGGTTGCAAGACTGGAAGTTGCTCTAGGTGAGTCAGTGAGTGAGTGGTGAGTGAATGTGAAAGTGTAAGACCTTACTGTACACTATTATAAACTTTATATTTATTTATTTATTTGTTTATTTTTTGAGACGGAGTTTCGCTCCCGTTGCCCAGGCTGGAGTGCAAAGACGTGATCTCGGCTCACTGCAAAGACGTGATCTCGGCTCACCGCAATCTCTGCCTCCTGGGTTCAAGCGATTCTCCTGCCTCAGCCTCCTGAGTAGCCGGTATTATGGGCATGCACTACCACATCTGGCTAATTTTGTATTTTTAGTAGAGACAGGGTTTCTCCATGTCGGTCAGGCTGGTCTCGAATTCTCGACCTCAGGTGATCCACCCGCCTCGGCCTCCCAAAGTGCTGGGGTTACAGGAGTAAGCCACCACACCCAGCCTATAGACTTTATAAACACTCTACACTTAGGCTACACTAAATGTTTATAGATATTTTTCTTTTATTAATAATAAATTAATTTTAGCTTACTCTAACTTTTTACTTTATAAACTTCTAAGTTTTTAAATTATTTGACTCTTGCATAACAACACTTAGCTTAAAACATAAACATATTGTATAGCTGTACAAAATCTTTTCTTTCTTTATATTCTTATTCTGTAAACTTTTTCCCATTTTAAAAATTACTCACTTGTTTTTTTACATTCTAAACCTTTTCATTAAAACCTCAGACACAAACACATGTGTTAGCCTAGACCTATACAGGGTCAGAACCATCAATATCACTGTCTTCTACCTCCATGCCTTGTCCCGCTGGAAGGTCTACAGAGACAACATGCATGGGGCTTACATCTCTTCTGGTAACAATGTCTTCTGATGGAATAACCCCTGAAAGACCTGCTTAAGCTTTCTTGAGGAAGTGCCACTCTTTTCAGAAATATGTTCACGGTGATTTGCTTTATTGGTTTCTTTTTTGTTTCTTCATGGATTTGCTTGTAAGAAGATAATGCACCACTAATATTCCTCTGTATTTATAAAAACCTTTCAGTGTTGTGGTCCATGTTTTCAGTTTTTCAGGAGCTTGCTGAGATTTGTAAAAGCTTCTGCTAGAACTTTTAATGTAAATTTTCTTGGGGGATCTTCTTTTTCTTCTCCTGTGGTTTCCTTTTCTCTTGCCTCTTCTTCAGCTATGCATTTCTGTTCTAGTTACAACAACTTCTCATTAGTCAATTCCTTAGGAATCACCTCTAGAAGCTCCTCAATGTCATCTTCATCCACGTTTAGGTTAAAGTTGTTTAATATCTCAACTACAGGCTTGTTGAATTTTTCAACCTTCTCATCCTTCGCAAACCCTTTCAATTCACGGATAAACTCTTCAGTGTTGTCTTCCAGATGCCATCCATACACTCCGTGGTGACATCACCCCAATACCAGGCAAGGTTTTTCAAAAATTGCAGATGCTGGAATCTTTCCAGAATTGCATCCGTGTCTTCTCAGGGTCTTTCTCAGTTGCAGAAATAGCCTAGGCATTGGTCCTCCTTAGGTAATAGGCTTTAAAATCTGCTATAACTCCTTGATCCCTTTGTTGGATCAAAGAGGTGGTGTTTGGAGAAGCGCCACTTTAATATTGGGATGAAGGTTATTAATGAAAGAAGAATGTGAAGGAGCATTATCAATAATAAGCAAATCCTGAAAGATACATTATTCTCCAACAGTACTTCTCCTTTTTATTGGCATAGCAATTCAGGAGGGCATCTTCAAAGAAGAGCTGGGTCATCCATGACTTCTAATAAGCCCTACAGTGCACTGGCAGTGTGTGCTTATTAATATGCTTGAAGGTCCTGGGGTTCAATTTGTAGCCTGCAATACTGCCTCCAAGCAAGATTGTTATCCTTCCCTTAAAAGCCTTAAAACATGGCATCGAACTGGCCTCCTTATGGTTGAAAGTTTTTTTCAGGCCTCCATTTCCAGAATAAGGTGGTTTTCTTCATATTGAAGATTTGCTTTGGTGAGTAATTTTTCTTCATATTCAGTCTATCTTATCCAAAGTTTCCAAAAACTCTTCAGTTGCCTTCACATCACCACTCACAGACTCATTACTGACTTTCACATTATGTAATGAATAATCATTCCTTATTAGTTAAACCACCCAGAACTAGCAATAAATTCAACATGTAGTTGGTTATAGATTTTTCTTTCAACATTGCAAACAAACTTTTCCTTTGGCTATGGATTATCATTGTGCTGAGAGACACTTCCTTGTCTGGTCTTAATTTCAGGTTACTAGAAGTTTCTCCTTATCTGATACAGGCCATTCTTGAATTTTTGTTAGCCTTATTGTCTCTAAGAAGCATATTCTCTAACATCTTCTGTCATTTTGTTCTTGTTGTTGATCATAGCAATGGTGGAATGGGATATGCCTGTCTGGCAAGCAATAACCACCGATTTTCCACCTTTGTAGTCTGTAATAACTTCTAATTTAGTTTCCAGGTCAATCACTGGAAGGGACCTCTTACTGGCCACATTAGCAGTAGATTTTGTACATTTAGGTATGGCAATGGACAAAACAACCTGAGATTAAATCAATCACAAGAGAACACGATGCAATAATGAGACACAGTCAACACAAGATGTATGAGGCTGCTGCTGGCTTAACATGGCATACTGTCTTACAATGCACATTTTTATTTTTAAAGCAGAGGGAATACTCTTTAACATTAAAAAGTATAGTGGAGTAAATTCATAAACCAGTAACATAGCCATTTGCTATCATTATTGAGGATTATGTACTGTACATAATTTTATGTGATATACTTTCATAGGACTGGCAGTGCAGTAGGTTTGTTTACACCAGCATCACCACAAAGACATGAGTAATGCACTGCACTGTGACTTTTTTATGGCTATCATGTCACTAGGTGATAAACAATTTTCAGTTATGGGACTGCTATCATATATGCAGTTCTATGTTGACCAAAATGTCCTTATGAAAGCCCTAGAGCTAGGGGAGCATTGGCCATATGGGAGACAGAAAGCAGCTGTGTGGCTGAAATGCAGAGGTGAAGGTGTGATGGTGCCAGGTAGTATTGGAAATGCTGGTGTGGCCTGTTCGTGAAGGTGGAAATATTCTTTAGTGAGCCCAGCAGTAATTAAAAGGATTCACTTGAAACCTATGTACTTGGCTCACTGAAGATTTCAAGGAAATTTTGGAGTAAGCTAGTAGATTTAGGTAAACTGTGAGAAAAGTCTTTCTCACAATTTGCCTAAATCTTTTTATTTTATTCTGGAAAAATTTTTTCTTTTCTTTTTTAATCTGGAAATAGAATTTTTTTGTCAAAAATCCAAGTGACTCACAGTACCATCACCTCTCTGGATTAGCAATTCTCAAATTGTGAGGAAAAACAAGGCTGAATTGTGAGGAAATAAAGAGTGTTAAACCTTGTTTATGATAGAAAATATCCATTGCCTAGCTCCTTGAAAGAATCAAGCTATTTAGTCTACAAGTACCAAAAACATTTGCAATGAATTTTAACGATAGATAAATTGTCCAGAGAATAACTTAGTGGGATTTCACATTAGTCACACCCACAGTGGTGATACAGTCATCTGGAGACTAAGCATACTAAATACGATGAATGGTAGCTCAAGCAAAGAGATACTTTGTATGACCAAGTAACAACAGGCTAGCAGGACCCTAACCATTAGGACACTCACCCAAACGTGGAGGGAAGAGATCTAAGCAGGGGTATAAACCAAGGGGATTGGGAGTATAGGAAGAGGAAACCTGTGAAGACTGACTCATTTATTTATAAAACTGTTATTTTGTTTCTGGCATACTTATATGCCAGTGATTGTGGTAGATTCTTGGAAGTCAAGTCCAGAAGATATTTTCCTAGTGTGTATTTCAAATGGGATGACTGAATTTTTACCACCGAGAACCAGAATGCAGTTACAACCAGGGGCCTGGGATTTTATAAGATCATTATACTCATGAGAATGTGTGAGAGAAATTTTGAGATTACTTAATTTGAAGATTATTAGAGAACCTGAAAGTAATGAGGTCATCAGGGTGAAGGCTGGCCAATGGAACTGGGATGAAAACAGCAACTAAGAGCCCAAATATAGGGTTATAGTTTCGGATTACTAACCATCCCAGTTTTCCTGGAATGAGAGGACTTCCTGAAACACAGGACTTTTAGTGATAAGATCAAGAAATTCCCAGGGAAAGCAGGAAAAGTTAATCACTCTAGAACTTCATGTTAAATCTTTCAAATCTGGATTTTGAACTGTTCAGTATTCTTTAACTAAATGCCTAATTTTTGCCAAGGCCTGGGGCAGTTGAAGTTTCAAAATTTCATGGATATTTTTAATTCTGGAAATAGATTTTTTTTTGTTAAAAATCCAAGTGACTCACAGTACCATTACCTCTCTGGATTAGCAAATTGCAGAAAGCTACTCAAAGTAGCTTAGGCAAAAAATTGGGGTAGCTTGCAGAATTCAAGAAAGAATCAAAGAAATATGTTCTGTCAGGTTGAAACTGACAAATGTTGCAAATATTTATTCTCTTTTTCTTCTGTTAAAACAACCCCATTTTAAACTGTATACATAGACATGTCCAGTTGGAGGCTATATTTCTCAGCCATCACCCCACCTTTCCTCCTCACCTTTCCTCCTTGCCTAGCTGCAGATATTTGGCTAAATTCTATTATGGAGACAATATGTTATGCAGCAGATTTTACCCCTCAAACAAGGGCATTTTTCCAGGGGATGTAGAGCAAATGATAGAGGAAATATTGTTTTATGTGTAACTTGCAAAAGAGAATCTTCTTTCCCCTCCCCATTGCTTGCCTACAGCTAGGTTATTTCATTAGAAAGAAATAAACTACTATCTGGTTTGAGCAATGGCATTTTTGTTCTTCTTTGTTATAGCAGTTTAGCCTATACACTAACTAAAACATTGAGGTCATACAGAAGCAATTCTAGGAACCTACTGGAACCAGAGACTTGAATGACTGTTTCCACATTGCAGGCAAAATGGCATTGGTAACTTCAAGTTTGCCTATTATCACTTTGCCTCTCTTTATTCTACTTATTTTGTATTCTAAAGGTTTCAGTGAGGGGTTCCTGACTGGCCAAGCATGTTGCACATGCACACCCCCATACCAGTCATTGTGACCAGGAAGGTGAGATTCTGGAATTTTCCACTGTTGATCAGATTCTTATTATTTGATCCATTACTTTAGCTAGGGTTATATAAAATGTGATATTTAAATTGGAATTTTCATGGTGAAGGAGTTTCAAGGGGGTTGATTCCTCATTAGAACTCAAGGGGGAGCCAGTTTTTGGAAATTGGGATTTTCAAAGACCCAAATATGATCATTTTCTAGGGTACTCAAAGTAAGTGTAAACTGCCTACTTTCACCCTTTGGTATGATCAGCCTGGGATTATGCGGGAAATGTCATCAGCATATGACAGAAGAAAAAGACTAAATTATGTCCCAGATGATCTGGAGATCACCAAATCTTTATCTATTAATTAACTAAATTATTTTACATAAAGAGAAATTCTTGAGACTAATCTGGCTCATTTATTATTTGCATGTCTTGATGCTTAATGGTTGGACATGACAAACTATCACCATCCAGGAAATCTTTCACCTCCAATACAGAAAATTTTCATGAACTTGAAAATGATAATCCAGAAACTCCTACTAGAGTATCTGTAAGAAAACCCAACTGAAAGTATCAGGGTTAGTACTTAAGTTTTGTTGCCCAGTGGTTGGTACTGGAACAAACACACTTTCCTGTTAACTTTCTTGTGTTTTTAACAAAAGAATCAGCCTTGGAACTAAACTACCAATTGAAATTCCCAACTTGTTTACATAATTTCCTGATTTTTCTGTAGTGTCAGCAATCACTAGTCTTAAACTACGCTTAATCAAAACATATGCTTATTTTATTTGAAGAAATATATAATATATATTCAAAAATGCACTGTATATCCCTGAAAATTGGTCCAATCATGCCCATCCTTCTTGGAATGAGCCCCAAAACTATAACCAAAAAAATGATTTTGGTGTAGCATGGTGATTGATAGATGACCTGGATTTTTTTTTTAAATCCACATACCTGTTTTTCCATAAAATAATACCTAAAAGTGATCCTGGAAAAAGTGTGCATCTTATGTGTACTAGTTTAGGAAGAATTGAATCTGACACAAACAAGACAAAAATATCCTCTCCAATTTCATGCTGAGAACATTAGTGAATGCAAATTCAAAAATCCTTCATCAGAGATCATGCTGTGATACAATATAAAAGGCTAAAATGAAGAAACTAGTTTTAGCATCCATTCTGGTACTTAGAAGATTAACAGAAGGAGACTATCTCTTTGAAAGGCTTTGCAAATTATGAGTCACAGATACTGGGGCTGAGGCAATTTTCCAACCTAAGGGCATTGGAAAGGTTTTGGTAAAACCACTTGAGGCCGGGCGCGGTGGCTCACGCCTGTAATCCCAGCACTTTGGGAGGCCGAGGCGGGCGGATCACGAGGTCAGGAGATCGAGACCATGCCGGCTAAAACGGTGAAACCCCGTCTCTACTAAAAATACAAAAAATTAGCCGGGCGTAGTGGCGGGCGCCTGTAGTCCCAGCTATTTGGGAGGCTGAGGCAGGAGAATGGCGTGAACCCGGGAGGCGGAGCTTGCAGTGAGCCGAGATCCCGCCACTGCACTCCAGCCTGGGCGACAGAGCGAGACTCCGTCTCAAAAAAAAAAAAAAAAAAAAAAAAAAAAAAAAAAAAAAAAAAAA
The DNA here is from genome assembly GCF_000001405.40 of Homo sapiens. NCBI lineage: Eukaryota > Metazoa > Chordata > Mammalia > Primates > Hominidae > Homo > Homo sapiens. The sequence goes on along the minus strand of NC_000004.12, from coordinate 162,941,998 downwards.
ACCACTTGATACAGAAGGAGAACGATGGAAATTTGAGGCTTTCAGATTCGTTATGAATATACATATTCAGTTGATATTGATGATATTCATGGGATCATTCCAATAAACCCATTCTATGGGTCATTTTAGTTTGTCTGAAAGTGACAGAAAATTCTGCATAGCATTAACTTAAAGAAAACTGCAATTTGTTTCTTGATCACCTAAAGGCCAAATAGGCTGCTCTAGTTTTACTTGGATCCGTAGAAACCTATTTACTTTGGTTTTCTTTAATTTTTCTCACCAGAGTACACACACACACACAAACACACACACAGACAGTTTTTGCATGATGCTGATTTATTTTTAACACAAATAGTATTATATAATATACATATTATTCTACAATTATTTTAATGCAATAATGTATCTTGGAGATTTAAAAAACACTTTCTTACATTCTCTAATATGAATTTACTATACAATTCACCATTTTCTTAGTGATACACATTTATGTTTCCAGTTTTTTGCTATTGAAATCATAGCTGCAATCTATTTGGATGATAGATGCTTAGAAGTAAACTAATTGGAGGAAAAGATGTATTTAAATTTACTTTTGTGGTGTCTATTCTGTTCTTTATATAGTTCAGCATTTTAAAGTATATAGTTTCTTCTTGTAGATTTTTTGGAATTGATTTTTAATAGTTTTGTTGAAATTGTGACTAAAAATTTTTTCTATTATATTTAAAAGTTAATTATTGCTAGGGGTTGGAAAATTATTGTTTTGTGTAAATATTGTATTTGATTACATTACTGAATTATTGTTTGAATAACTCCCAAAATGAGAGTGAAGTTTACTCAAGAAACAAATTTCATCTTGTCTATTGGATATGAAATTTGCTTCATAGCAATCAAACAGCAGAATTATTACATTCCAGTAAGTCTGTGTTCTGCTCCGAGCTCACACTTGTCGCTGGTGAAATATTAAATATTCACCATCACTGAGACCTCCCTTCCTCACCTACTGGATTAATAAACAATCCAAGTTTTTCTTTGGTGCCAGAAGTTGGAGTAAGAGGAGCTAAGGTGGTAGAGCCTTACACAATGGTGGTTGCCATAATTTTTATTACACAAAAGTGTGGCTTTCTTTTGTTGATATTCATTGGCAAAACAACAACAACAACAAAAACACTGCTCACAATAGTGTAAATAACATATGCTTTTATATCCTAACAAGTTGTCTTGCCTCACTCATTTAAAAGGCCTTTACAGTCTGGCCCACTTTACTTAATCCATTGTATGTCACACTAATCTCCAGCAGGACCTTTATCTACCATCTTCCCTTGTTACCTTCTACTGCACATGGTCTTTTTACGTTCATCATTTTGTGGTAATATTTCCTTCACTGGCAATATGGTTTGTCTTTTGCCAAGTTTTCAAAAACTCTGGTCATGTTTCACACATTTTTATTCTTCTTAGTGTCTCAAGACAGCTAGACCTCATAGATTTTTCAGTGAACACTTTCTGAAGTGAATGGAAATTAGTGAATAAAAATCAGGATATTCAATGTTTGGAGCTCAGTATTCTCCTTCAGTTCACACATTCAGCACCCAATAACTTACAGAATAGCTATCAGTGCATCTGTGTAAAGCTGTCCTGAGAAGACAGTTTCTTGTTTGTTTTTTCATATGTGATATTGAGCTGGCCTTAAAGCAGAAGAGTGCTGAAACCCTTTGCATTCCAATATGACACTGCTATGCTCAGTAACATGGCAAGGGTTAAACATAGCCACAATATCTATTGGATTAGGGCTTCACATTTAAAATAAGGCACAGAAAAGGTAGGGGTGATATTAACAAAGTATGTTTATTAATAATAAACCTCCCTAAATAATCTGGAATATAGAAATCTATATTCTCAGCCTACAAGGACTATTGAAACGAAGAGGATTAAAAACTGTAACATTGCTAATTTTAATTCCTTAGACTGAATTTCATATAGCAAAGAGACAATTTTCTCTTCTTTATATTTAGGTCATGAAATAACTATATGAAGCCAGATAGCAGATTGATTATGGTAAACCAGATGGCAGAATAGGAGGTTTGATTTTGGTAAACCAGATGGCAGAATAGGAGGTTATCTGAGAAGACTTTTCATAAATAAATTCTTAAAACCTCTGCTGGGATTAGTACTGCAGTGTGGAAACAGTACTTTTTTCCTGTAGACCCCTGAGTTTATGTATCATATACAAATCCAGAAACATGAATAAGCACAGCCATTGACCACATTCTAACCAGAGACCTATTAGAATAATGAGACACTTCCAGACCAAACGCTATATTACTAGAATGAGAAGTGGTATGAAAATTGAGTTCCTTTGGCTGGATTAGAGATAATTTAGACTGTATGACAAATAAGCTCTACTGGGAACACAAAACCCTAGAAAGATGTGAGAAATTAATTCTCAACAGATACGGTAAATTAATGTCAAGCATAATTTTTTAGAAAAACAATTTAGATCAACTGAATCAGGTGTTAGGAGGCAAAGCAGAAAAACTTTCTAAGTCAAGGAAAAAATAGGGAAGCTAGTTGGCTGAAAATTTATTTCCTTAAGGTTTTTTTTTTATAGTTTTTTTAATAATAGCCCATCAGCTTAGCTTTGTTTTTATTTTTCAGTCACTAGACAATGTTAAATATTAATAGTGATTTGGATGTAAGCTGTACAAGCATATAATGATGCAACACTTGTGAAATACTGGCAATTTAGGCTGTGTGATAGTAATTAGTAACATACCACTGTGAACTGCGATATCCTGATGAATTTCAAGGAGACATAGGAGAGAAAATTTAAATTTTTTTCATTAAATGAAACACAAAATTAAATAACCTCTACCAGATTTCTAATAATGTGGTCATGGAATACTTTCTTCTCAGGGATTTGAAACTCATATTTTTATATCTGGCAGTTGAAGGTATTCTTTCTCCTCTAAAAATATAGGGAAAGTAGTATTAAGAGTGTGCTTCAGGCCAGGCATGTTGGCATGCACTTGTAGTCCCAGTCCTGGAGCAGCTGAGGTGGGAGGATTGCTTGAGATCAGGAGTTCTTTGCTAGCTGGAGCAACATAGCAAGAGCCAGTCTCAAAAAGAAAAAAAAAAAAAAGGAAGAGAAAAGAAAAGAAGGAAAGAAAAAAATTCCAGATGAAGATTTTTGGGGATTCAGGTTTTTAAAATTTAATGTGGGACTAGGAGTGGAGTAATTATTTGAAGCATAGTGCTTAGAATAGAGAAGGTACTTAATATATGCACACACACACACATATATATAATATATAATATTGAAACAAGACAATAAAAAAGCATCTTTGGTGGTGAGAATGCATTGAGGTAGGGCTTTTATTTTAATGTGCTTTTTTTTTTTTTAACTGCTGTAGAATTCTTAAAATAACTCTGCAAATCTCATGAAGATAAATCTAGCATGTTTTCTAAGAGTCTTTATTTCTAAGGACATGGATTTAAAATACTGTTATGCCAAAATCTATGTCTTTTGATCTTTGTGAACCATTACTCAGATATTACTTTTACCCTCTTTAGTTTAAAAACAAACTAAGGAAGATAGGAATCCATTTTAAACTTCAGTGGCTTTCAAGAAAAAGAAATATTTATATCAAATAGAAAAGGAAATAAAAATAATGAACCTGATGTAGTATACAGCGTGAGCCAGGCAGTATGCTCCACCAAAATTATATCATATAATCCTCACAACTCTTTGAGGTAGGCACTGTCATTAACCTTGTTTCTCAAGTGAAGAAACTGAGTCTTAGGGAGGCAAAATATCCAAAGTCACTCACTGAAAATTTAGAACTAGGCCTGCTCATCTCCAGGTATTACACAAAATCCCTCACATTCTACTACAGAAATGAAAGATCTATCGGAGTGTAGGCTAAGATTTTTTTAATTTGTAAAAGCCAAAACAAACTTCCGTAATTTACAGATTCCCTAAGTTTCAGTTCTACAACTTTTTACCTCTTTATTTGATTTAGGGTCTAATTGCAATCTCTTTAGCTACACATTTCAAAGTAAGGGTATGTAACATCTTGAAAAAGAACAGAAAAGTAAATGTATTTATTTTAATTTTTCCATGAGTTTTCACCTTTTTTCTCTGGTTCTAATTCCATGTCTGTCAATGGTAAGTGATTTAACGTTTCTTTGCCTTGGTGTACACACTCATAAAATAGGACCCTGAAAAGCAAATATCTGAATTTCTCTCTAGGTCTATGGTATATTTTTTTCTGAGCAACTTACTGTTTTTTGCTGAAAAACTGAACATGAGATTTATATGTAAACTACGTATTTAGCTTGATAGAAATATATACGTATGTATATATATTTTCTGTTGCTCAACCATGGAAAACTATGTAGCCGAGATTTGTAAAAACCATGATTTGAGGTTGTCTTAGTGCTGAAGAAAATTCTTGGGTACTTTGAAGGCTGTACAGATAATTTTATGCGCCTGGGTTCAGATAAGATTAATGGCTGTACATTAGTGGCCTGGCAAAATGTATTACCTATAGCTAATGATTAGGTCAAGTTCATGGAGATTTGAAGCAGTCTTGGGTTTAACTTTTGGCTCTGTCTCTTACCAGCTGTGTGACTTTAGTCAAGCAGTCTAAACTTCTCTAAGTGATTTCCGCATCTGTAAAACAGCATAACAATATTTACCTCAGAGTTTGTTTTAATCATTAAATAAGACACAAGTAAATCACTTGATGCTGTATCTTACATATTGTGTGCATTCACTAAAAATTTACTCCTGCAATTACTCTGTCTTCTTCATCTTTCACTACTTCATTTCGCTTGTTTGTATTATTCAAGCATTCTGTAAACTTCCCTGCCCTTAAAAATAAGCTCCAGCTAGTACCTACTATCATTTCACCCCTGTTCTGCAATCTCTTAGAATAAAGCTCTTTATAAGCATTGCTCAAAACGCGATTTCCTCTTTTTTCCTCCCATTCTCTGTAACAGACCTGTAATCAAACAATCCTGCTTGTTTCTCTTCTGAAATGCTCTTGACAAGGTCACCAATGACTTCGATCTTGACCAGAATAATGACAACTTTTAGTCTTGATTTAACTTGATTTATAAGTGATATTTAACAAATATTATTACTTTCTCCTGATGAAAACATTTTGTTTACTTGGTTTTCCTTTTGCCTTACTGGCAGCTCCTTTCCAGTCACCTCTTTTAATGTTCTAACTTGTAAGTCTTTGTCATTGGATGTTTCTGTCCTCTATCTACCCTTGTGGGCTCATGACTTCAGTAGAGTTAATATGTTAATTGCTTTCTTATTTCATTTCCTGATCTTTCTCTTTCTCTCTCGAACTCTGTTAGTCTATATGTCTGTGTATGTCTCTATATGTCCGTCTCTCTCACTCTCTCTGTTTCTGTCTCTCTGTGTCTGTCTGTATGTATACTTTTCTGTTTTCTCTCATGCCACATATCTATTTCATCACACATCTTGTTGTTTGTACAGTCAATATATATTCAGAATTTGCCCTCTTCTCACTTCAAGAGCTACCACTTAATGTGAAAACTATTGTTATCTCTTACAGCTCTCCTGAGAGAGCCCTTTGCTTGTTTTTTCTACTAATGGTCAAGGTAATGAAAGAATAAATGATAGGTAGGAGCTATCATTATTACATTTCTTTTTTTTTTTTTTTTTTGAGACGGAGTTTCACTCTTGTTGCCCAGGCTGGAGTGCAATGGTGCAATCTCAGCTCACTGCAACTCCGCCTCCCAGGTTCAAGTGATTCTCCTGCCTCAGCCTCCTGGGTAGCTGGGATTACAGACATGCGCCACCACCCCGGCTACTTTTGTATTTTTAGTAGAGACGGGGTTTCTCCATGTTGGTCAGGCTGGTCTTGAACTCCCGACCTCAGGTGATCCGCCCACCTCGGTCTCCCAAAGTACTGGGATTACAGGCGTGAGCCACCGCGCCCAGCCATTATTATGTTTTAATATAACAAACATTGAACCTTAAGCATGAAGACAATTGGCACTGTATTGTGGAAGCCCATCCTCTCCACTTCCAATGGAATTATTTCTTCCTAGTTGGAAATGTCATTCACTTAGTCATTTAATCGACAGATTCTTATCAGGTGCTTACTATCCCATAGGTGTTGAGTTTACAAGATGAAAAAAATGACTAATTCACACGTACTATCCTCTGGGGATTTTTCTCTAGTAGATAGTATGGCATCGTTAAAGTACCCAGAAAACATGAGACAAGAATGTTTGTGATTTTCTTGAGGGTCTATGAGTATGGCTTAAACCAGTAGCTGGTGTATCAGAAGTCCATGATCATGAATTATGATCTTTGGAGACTGCTAAGTCCTGCTTTAAGTATTCAACAAAGTGGCTCATGTGAAGAATATTGAAGCAGTTGGAAGTAGCGCAAACATTATCAGCCGAGGAATAAGAGCACAATGTCGGATGCTTGCTCATTCAGTGACTGGGCCATTTGCTGCAAACAGAATGCAGCCCCCGGACTATGGAACAAGGCCTGGACCCCAAATCAACAAAGACTTGGTTATAAACAGACACTGATGGCTCTCAGTTGGAGGGGGATTGCCAGTTAAATGTCTTGCCCCTCGGGAAAATTGGTATCAACAGGAAGTAATGCTGTCAGAGACAGCAATTTCAAACTCTGCAGGCAATGATACATTTCTTTTTAAATGTTATTTTTTAGAACGTAATTCTGGAAAAATTATTGTGCCATTTTAGATATCACAACTTTGGTCTTCTTAATATATAAGCATTTCATTATTTATTGTATGAGAATCTTTCATTTTGTTAGTCTGTTCTTTGAGACAGTCTGATGTGGTTTTTGTTCACGGTGGTTTTATGTTGTGCTCATATAATTAGGATCATAAACAGTAGGTGCTGTGGAGCTTTGTGAACTGTCAAATTGGGTGTCTTGAGAAAATGGCAATTATTTTATTGAATACAAACAATTCAGCACTTAGAACACTCTCTAATGGCACAGTTTCAGTTCGTCTCTAAACGCTGGACATAATTCACTTTATTCCCATTCTGGAAATATTACGTACTTAGTTGTGTTTAAAATAAATTTCATATTGGAAAACTAATTGACAGCTTAAGATGTTCTATCTAAAAGTTAATAGCATGTTTTGTCATGTGGCAACCTAATTATTTTAACTTCTAAGGACAGTGTAGTGGACACCTACTGATTTTCTGTTCAGACTTCTCCTTCATTCTTGGATATGGTAGAGGTTTCCATGGCTACAGTGATTGACCTAGGATGCAGTACCTGACCCAAGTTGTCCCCATTATGATGCCCAATGCCCCTGACTACTATTATTTGTCCGAAGATGGACAGTGTATTCAATTAGGACCAATTACAATACTTTCTGGGAATTTTTAGAATTTAACATTGGGCAAAGAGCATTTCAGTTCTTTGGAAGTGAACATTAGCAATATTAATAAGACCATTAGTATTCTTGTTTCTAAGCCAGTGGGAAAAACCAGATTAATTAGATAAAGAGGATGCACACAGAAAACCAAGGGCAAGAAGTGAAAGGAGAGCATCCTGGCAAGTCCTTTGATGCAGCCGCCTTGTGTGACCCAGCTGCATTCTGACCTTGACAAAGTTAGATTACATGTGCCAATGAATCCTTTGCAGGAAACTGAGTTGACTAAGGTGGGTTTCTATATTTGCAATTAAAATATTTCTAAAAATACGGCAAATATGATTTTTTTCTCATACTTGTATTCTTCCACATTCTTCCCTACCCCATACCCCACACATTAACTCACATAATAGCAGCATGTATTTGGTCCTCTCTTTATATGCGAAAATAAATGAATAGCATAATTCTGGGCTGATATTTTAGATTAGGTTTTATTTGCTAGAAATAGGTTTGTTGGAACCATATTGACATAATCATTTTTTCCTCATAGTTGTCCCACATACTCTGTATGTTTTTTTCCTCAACATTTGGCACAAGTGTTTTCTATTTTAAAATACACTTTAAATAATATCCTCTTTATCTAGGGTAAAATGGTGCCAAATAAAGTATATATTTCTGATATGGGTAAATGAGGTTAGATGTTCTGATAATTCACGCAAAAAGACTCACTTTTTTTCAACATTTGTATATTTAGGAAAATAAATTTGGGTTAGCTATCTGTCTAAACATTCAAGGTTTCAGAGAACTTAATTACGTTAAAACCCATAAATAAAATTTTAGTTAACCAAAAAAAAAAAAAGAAAAAAAGAGCTGACTATACAAGAGTAATTGTAGGTAGTACGTATGTGCTATACTATTATTTAGAACTATGTAGTCTCATGCATCACATAAGGTAGTTCTGGTCAACAATAAACCACCTATACAATGCTGATCCCACAAGACTATAATGGAGCTGAAAAATTCCTAACCCTTGGTGATCTTATAGCAGTCATAAAGTCGTAGCACAAAGCATTACCTTTTCTATGTTTAGATATGTTTAGATACACAAACACCATCTTGTTACAATTGCCTACAGAATTCAGTACAGTAACATGCCGCACAGGTTTGTAGCCTAGGAGCAATAGGCTATACCATATAATCCACATGTGTAGTGGGCTATATCACCCTCTAGGTTTGTGTAAGTACACTCTGTGATGTTAGCACAATGATAAAATCACCTGAAGATGCATTTCTCTGAATGTATCTCCACCATTAAGCAATGGGTGACTATGTATGATATTGTTTGTTTTGTTAATATGTACATAAACTAAAGAGGGGGAGTTTTTGATAAACCTAAACATTGCTTAAGCACTTACTTCCATCAACGACATAAATATCAATTCATTCTTGTGAAAGGGAGGAATACATGTTAGCATTCCTGCATACTAGGAAGTAAACTATGGTGGATACACATGATGCTCAGTAAGTGAAAAATGTTGTTATACGTACACTATAAATATAGCAAGTAAAACATATTCAAATTTAATCAGATAGTACATATGGTGACCAATGGGTAGACAAGACCTGATTGGAACCGTGCCTACCAGAGTAGGGTTCAAAAATATTTGTTAATATAATTAAGTGTGTGTGGGAGGAGGTTTGGAGAAGCATGGGTATTGGGCTACGTCAACACAAAAATGTAACAGGAATAAAAATAGCAGTAACAATTTAAAAATTCTTTTCTATTTATTTTCCTAGTAGTTTTTTCTTTATTGTGGCTAATTTTCTAAAGAAAAAACAACTACATTGATTTTTATGTTCCCATGCGAATTATCCCTTTTAGAGTAATCTCGTAGGGAAACTTGTTAGACAAAATATTTTTGCAACTTCTTTTGGAATTAATACCTTCAGAATTTGTACCACTTTAAAAAATAGAAGTCTTAATCTTCATTTTTTGAGAGTAGAACTGATTCTTTTTGGAAAATGTGAAAAGTCATTTTTAGATGAAGGCTGGTATAACTTTCAAGCTAGGTAATACAATGTGGGGTTAAAAATAAGGTGTGGCTAAACACAGTTAGTTTCACTTTATTATATGACTTGAAAATTGCTCAAAGCAAGTATAAATGCTAGTTAAAATGTGTTGTGATTAACAGCAGTCACAGGACAAAATACTTACAATGTGTATACTTTGAATGTTTATTGGATTTTCACCTTGTGGTTTCCTTGTTTAGGTATTCACCACACCAATTTTCAAATGGGATTTGAAGCAGTGAATTTATGGTATATTCATTTTTAAAAGTCAGAAATGTCAGAGAAAATTAGTTATGTTCTGCGGACATTTAATTTCCTTCTCTTGTGTTCTAACGAAAGGATCTCCTGTCACAAGAACATATTTTACAATTAGTAGAATCAGAATTAGTCTCCTAAAATGCCTCCTCTGATGACAGTTTTTTCCCTCATAGAGGGTCTCAGTTTGCTGATTCAGTCAAGTCAAAATTGCCCTCGAAGAAATGTTCTTGGAACTCCCAGAGGGAGGTCCATAATTTCCTATGGCAATTCGTGATGTAAAGGCAACTGCAAGCAGCTGGCCCTCCACTTGGAGATGTTGGCTTGTTTTTTCAGGCTGATAGGATTAATGATATTTCCTGATTTTATTGTGAAATACAAAAATACTGCTGCTGTATATACAAAATACCTGTTTTTCTGTTTTTTGAAAACTTCTTTGTCTTTTTGCTTAAATAAATGGCTAAACTGTTTCAAGTGTTAACAAGAATGTACAGAACGTGGAAAGACCGCATGCCTTTCAGAAAAGGAGATTGAGATTCCGAACTAATTTTATGTTGCAAGGATGGGAGGAGATACAAGTATTATCTATAACTTAAGAATATTTATTTTACAAGAGAGGCTTAGTTATCCTGTTTCCTTCTATGAAAGTGTGTCTGCTCATCCCCTGATAATATGCCTCTGAGAATGGGGTTTAGGCATATTTTCGTTTCCAGAAATGAAGAGTTGGAAGAGATTTGTAGAAAGCTTGGGATAAGCTAGTTTGATAAGAAACCAAACACACATGGAGTTTACTTCTAAAAAGGGAGTATTTCAAAGACAGAAACGAGTTGGAAAGATGTCAGTCTTGATAAAAGCTCTTGTTCTCATATGTCACAAGCTCATTCTTTTTCCAAGCTATTTCCTCTCTGTTGTCAGCTCCATTTTTCTCTCCCTTCTGACCGCATTCCTGGGGGTTACATACGATGTTTGTGCTTATAACTTTGATTTGGGACTTACCCTTCCAGCCCCTTCCAGCTCCAGTTTTCTTTAGTAACCAAATTGATTGTCTTGGAATCACTTAATTCACACTCCAGCGGAAGAAGTAGGGCTCCGTTAAGGCTTGTTTTTTTTTTTTTTTTTTTTGAGACGGAGTCTTGCCCTGTCGCCCAGGCTGGATACAATGGCACGATCTCAGCTCACTGCGACTTCAGCCTCCCGAGTTCAAACGATTCCCCTGCCTCAGCCTCCTGAGTAGCTGGGATTACAGGTGCCTGCCACCACGCCCAGCTAATTTTTGTATTTTTAGTAGAGACAGGGTTTCACCATGTTGGCCAGGCTGGTTTCGAACTCCTGACTCGTGATCCGCCCACCTTGGCCCCCCAAAGTGCTGGGAGGCTTCATTAAGGTTTTCAAGTCAGGCTGTAGATAGTGATTAGCCATGGGGGAAGGAAGTGGGCATGGGTGAGTCACAAAATAGAAAACATGTCTGCCTACAGTCGGCCTTATCTGGCTCTGTAGTGAGGATCATGTGATGGGCAGCTTCTCTCAGAAGGGATAATGGGCCACTAGGTAATATAAACAAATGCATTATAAAGTGCTAGTAATTTTTCAGCTATTGAGTCACATGAGATGCTGCCATTTAAAAATTGGGGTTACAAAAATGTTCTCATTATAATAAACCTAAATTACTTTTTAAGTAATGCTGAAAAGAAATTTGAAATGGATAGTGAAGTGAAATGGCAATACATCTAAAAGAAAATTTGGAAATAAAACGAAGTAATAAAATCTAATAAATAGCCAGGAACTAATCAAATAGCAATTTGTTGTTTTAATATGTTTTAATAAGTAAAATCAGTACACTCACATCTTAACAGGTAGAGAAATAGAAAGAATGTATAAACTGAAAGTCATAAATATTTTTAAAAGAAAACAAAACGAATTCAACCAATGGTTACAGCATAAAAATTAGCCTTAAAGTTTAAGCTAGAGCTTTTAAGTCAAACTTTAGGGTCGTATTTGATTCCTCTATAATTTATCCAATTCCTCACTAATTTAATCCTAATTTCATTTGCCCACTTTTGTGGTTTTCTTCTTCCCTCTCTTCCTTCCTTTCTTCTTCCTTCATTCTTCCCTTTCTTTCTCTCCCTCCTTTTCTTCCTTGCTCACCACTGCTATCCTAATTCAGGGATCTATTAATGCATTTTTCCTTTAATGATCTCCTTGCCTCAAGTTTTCCCCTCTTTGAAAACTGCCTCCAGAGAAATATAACAAGGCACACATATCACCTATGAAAGTTGTCAGAATTAAAACTGAGTCACTTGTGTCAAACCCTAACAAAAATAAATAAAACCCCAGGAGGTTAGGAGTGGAGGGCCCTCATACACATGCCAATGATAAGACCTATTACAAAGACCCTCTAAAGGGCTCTTACACACGTATGCCTTATAACAAGAACTTTTGGCAGTGATTTTTTAAACTGCAGTTAGCTGAATGCACAAGAACAGTTGCCTGACACTCTGTCTCCACTAATGAATGGGGTCAACTCCTGCGATAAGCCTCTGTAACCAGTGTTTGCTTTGTTTACAAACAAAATATGTATAGTTTCCCCTTTTGTCTTTAAAAGTTTCCCTTTGCCTCAACTTCCTTACCATGCCTATGGTCCCCAAAGCCTGCATATCCTGGATTTGCAAATCACCTGCACATTCCCCAATCAATTCAATATCTTTGCAGAATTTCTTTCTGTTTTTTAGGTTGTCACACCATACCAAGTTTGCATTTAAAACTATTTCATGGCTTCACATTTTCTAGAGCCTCATTATAACTCCAAAACATATTTTTAATGCCTATTCTGAATCTGACCTTGACTGACATGGGCAGTCTGATCTTCTGCTTCCATGTCACTTATATATCACATGTCACCTGAAACATAGGACACAATTTCAAGACTCCATGCATTTGCTCCTGTTATTCTCTTTGTTCTTCACATTTTTCAGTTGATGGAAATCCCAGTCTTCCAAGTCCAAGTCAAATTTACTTTTCTTTGTGTGATCTTCTACAAAGCTTTCCAACTCTTCTCTCCATGCCTTCTCCCAGACATAATTATGTTACTTCCTCTATTCCCATCATCTTTATACCTCCATTAAAACACTTGCTATACTCACTCTATTATACAGTTTGATGTATATATGTAGGTTAGATTCTGAAATACATAACAATAGTATCTCTGTGCATAGCCAACATCCTGCACATAATAGGTATTCAATAAAATGTTGGGTAAGTGTACTAACTTCATACAAACTACAGTCAGAATGATCAACTTAGTAGCCAATGTCTCAGTTATATAAATTATGATATTTTGTTTAAAAAATAAATAAGTTTGGAGGAAAAATGAATTACTACTCCAAAAAGAAATACTTCAATGTATGTTAAAGAATTATTAACATTGTATTAGTCATTCAGGTTACATAATATTCTGATAGAGTCTACTGAAACTTTATGTGGTTGTTCATAGCTTACCAAATGCACATTTCCTTTTGTGTATCTTCATAGTATGACCATCAAAAAATATATTAAATATTTTATTCACATAAATATGCTATACAAAAAAACTACCTAAAGATGGAACAAATACAGCTACTATAGTAAAGAATATACATGCAATTTTGAATTATTTTAATCTTTAGAGACAAGGAGATGTTAATTTAACAAAACTTCTTTGAAAAATTTTTAAACTAGAGCCATCAATGTAATTATTTTTCAAAGTGATAAAAATTTTATCCTGACCAACGTGTTTACATTACTTTTAACTTCACATTTGTGTACATTGTGCACATTTATGAAGCTGGGCAGCTACATCATGATTGATGGGATGAAATGGTTTTAACTGAACATTATGTACCTTATCCCAGTCTCTTAAAATGATTGCATTTAAATTTAAATGACTTTAATAAACTCCGTCAGATTAATAAACTTAAATAAAAATTTAAATGGAAACTTTTAAAACCTCAGAAGGACTTTACTTAGATTGTACTGGAACATTTTCTCAAAGTGTGTAACTTATCTCACATTTGTCAGAATCACCTTGTATACTGCTAAAATGTAGATTCTTGGGCTTCCACCTCAAGATACATATAATTAGACTCTGTTAAAGGCGACACTCCTTTGAAACCGTGTTTTTAGGAAGATCCACGCGGGCTTCTCTACATTACAGTTTAAGAATCACTGATGGTGACAAGATTATAACCCCAGACTTAACACAGTTTAATACATCCAAAGCGTCTTTTAAACATCTCAATGTAGTTCTGCACTTATGGATTATCCTTTCTTGGTGAAAATTACATTAATTAATAATCACTATTCAGGTAACTATTTGAATACATTTGCCTCTGTGCCAAGAAAAATAATTACTTCCAAAATAAAAAGGTAGCAAAACCTCCTCCTAATCCTACTAAGATAATCAGGATTCCCAGAATGGGATTGATTATAAGCCTCCATACAAACTCAGCATTGTCTTTTATTTTTAAATCAGTTAGAGAAAATGCAGCTAGCTGTCTGACATTTTTTGTGTGTTTATAAACAAAAAAACTCACATCTTAGATCTGAGTAAAAGTTATCCTCATATGGTCTCTCTCTCTCTCTCATTATGTAGGTTTTAATTTCCTTAGCCAAGAGGATACCTCATGTATATTATGAGATTTGTCAATTTATGAGCAGATGTAATTTTATTTTCTGTGATCTTTCAAAAATTTTCTATGCTGGATAAACTACAAATAAACACAAACTTTCTTGAAAGGAAAATATCTAGGATTTGTAAATATTAATTTTGAAAATGTTTTCTTTTTAATATTGCTGATTCTTACACTTCATCCAAAGTACTTATTATATTTTTTAGAGATATACAAGTTAGAAAATTGAAGTGTTTTGTGAGTTAGCATTTTAGACTTTAGTCTTATTTTTACTAACATAGTTTTGATCTTTTGCTGTGGTTTTGTACTATCTCACAATATTGAGATTATGTCACAAAAAACGTATAGTAGTTTATTTCTCTCTTTCATGTTTGATAAAAGAGTCTAATTCAGTTCTATCAATAATCACAACATCTTTTTGTTCATACTGTTTTTTTAGCTAGCTAATCTAGTGCTGTGACTCTCAATATTTTTGGTCTCATGTCCCCTTTTACAGTTAAGAAAATAAATATTAATAATTTTATAAATTAAAACTGAAAACAAAATAAAATATTTACCAAATAATAAGCCCATTATACTTTAATGTATACATAATATATTGGTATGTAAAATAACTATAATTTATGGGTCAAAAATGTGTGAGAAGAGTGGGATTATTTTACATTTTCATAAATCCCTTAAATATCTGCCTTAATAGAAGACATTTGGATCCTCATGTCTGCTTCTGCATTCACACCATCGTGATAGCACAACACATAGCCTTTGGAAAAGTCCACATTACTCTTGTAGAAGATATGAGAGCAAAAGAGCAAAAAAATCTTATTATTACAAAAATAATTTTCACCACAGACAGCCTACAAGGATCTGGGGACTACTGAGACCACACTTTAATAACTGCTGTTCTAGAAAAGCATACATTGGAGCTTAACATCTTTCATCTCCCTAGAATGTTAATGTCTAAGTAAAAATCACTCCCATCTGTCCTGAACTCTTTTTGCATTTCACTGGCACCACAAAATATAATGCTTTCTATAGAGCACATCTCTTGGGACTCTTTTAGATGTTTAGTTACTAATATTCCCAAAGGACTTCCTGATTAAGACAAGCCAAGATGGACAACTTGACCTGGTAATATGTCTTTAGGTAAATATTTTAAATGTGGAGGCCTCCATATTTTGTTTAATTGCAAAATAAAGTCTTTGAACTAAATATTCTTGCTTTTCCTCCAAAGGAATAACTTTTTGATAATGTTATTTTGATGCTCTAGGAGAAGTAACTGCTATTTAAGCAAACGCAACCGTAAAGAACATTGATAAAACTATTACATCTTGAGTAAGGAAAATTCATCACACTATACTTGGTGTGTTAGCCCAATTCTCTTTTATCTTTTATTTTTGTTGAATTGTGAAAGCCATATTTTTATAGAAACACTGACAACAAAGAATCTGCACAGAGAACAATCATAAGAGTACAAGGCTTAGAAATATTTTTTGAGGATAATTTAATCCTATTCCTCCAACTATCAATCTGTCTCTATTGATATAATTCATGCTTCTCTAAAAGTTAAAGCGGTAGAAAAACAAAAATTGAAAGCAGATGTATTTTCCTCCACTAGCTTGCCATTTTCTAGATGTAATTGCTACTTAGTTTCTTGCATATTCTTACGTAAATTATACATGGGGATGTCTGTACATATACACACATGTCGCTCTCTCTTCCTCTCTCTACCAATCTATACATCTACCTACTTTCCTACCTAAATCTCTGTTTGTTTGAGATTTTGTTTCCTTCACATAGAAGAAAAGAGACTGTGCTAGTTGCTGATGATACAATTTTGACCAAACAAATTGAACTTTTATTCTTATGGTGGTAAATTTTACAGGCAACTGGAAGTATTTAGACTAGAGAAGACATAGGTGCATAAGAAAGAGAGGACTTCTGGAATGATGCTGTGAGGAATTTGATGAGCTTGTTCTCCCATAAAAACAATGTAAAAACATAATAAAACAATTAAAATTCACCACTTCACAACTTTGAAAATTAACCAAAACCATTAAACGAACTAGATCATTTATCTGTGAGAAAGTACTGAACTTTCATAAGAAAGCAGGGCCTGTGATATTTTAAAATGTGGTTCTGGTTCTTTCAATCCTCCATCTCCAGTTCAGTGGTGTGGTAGCTTATGAAAACCCAATAGACTTGCAGTCTAAAGTGAGGAAGTTTATTGTTATGTTAAAAATTTATTGTTATATTACAATTTCCATCCCTGAAGCACAGTCAATATGTTGTCTGTACCAACAACTTCTTGGAAAATCTCCATTCCCAGAGTATTGTGGCTATTTGATTTGACTTACAGCTTATAGAACAGTGCAAAAGCCCTATCCCTCGAGAATAGCAATCTGAAAATAACATCAGTTTGTTGGAAACATCCAAGCTGCCTAAGACTGTGATTTCAGTTGGAGAAACAAGAGCCTGACACAAAATTTAAAAGGAAATCTTAAACAACTGAATGACCATAGGGAAACTTGGAAAAAGCTCAATATAATAGTCCTGGGATCAGGATGGCTACACTCAACATGAAGGGCTTTGTGCATGATCAAAGTGTCCTCAAAGGAAAGAAGAAACAGAGAGGGGAAAAATATTATATAAAGTAATGATGACCAAAAACTTCCCAAACGTAAGGAAAAATATGCATCTACACATCGAAGAAGCTCAATGAACTCCAAGTAGAATAAACTAAAAAAGATCTATAACCAGAGACATCATAGTCAAATTGACAAAAGTCAAAGACAATAAGAAAATCTTGAGAGCAGCAGCAGTAAAATGGCTTATCACATATGAAGAATCTTCAATAAACTCAACAGATGATTTCTCATAAAAGCCAGAATACAGAGTGATGACATCTCCAAAATGTTGAAGGAAACAAACAAAAACCCTGCAACTAAGAATTGTATTTTCAGCAAAACTTTCCTATGAGGAGAAATAAAGGTATTTTTCAGATAAAACAAGATCTGGCAGAACTCACTGCTAGCAGACCTGCCCTACGACAAAGGCTAAACAGAGTTCTTCAGGCTGAAATAAAAGGACATTGAATACTAACTTGAATCCATATGAAGAAATAAAGGGAACTAATAAAGGTAACTACATAGGTAAATATAAAAAGTAATATTAACTTTTTTTTGTAACTCTTTTCTTCCCCTATATGATTTAAAAGACAATTTATAAGGCAATAATTATAAAACTGTGTTTATACGCTTATAATGTAGAAACATATAATAGCACAAAGGATGGAGGAGGGAACAGAAGTATTTGGAGAAAAGTTTTTGTATAATATCAACATTAAGTTAGTATCAATTAAAATAGATTATTTTCTATTACGATAATAATTGTGACCCTCAGGCATCCACTAAAAAACTAAGAGAGGCAGTGATGTATTTGAAGTCAGCCATGTTTTGAAAAATTGCCATATATAAGAGACATTATGCTTTAGATCAGCAGTTTCCAACCTTTTTGGCACTAAGAACCAGTTTCACGGTAGACAATGTTTCCATAGATGGGGGTGGGAGGGCATGGTTTCAAGATAAAACTGTTCCACCTTAGCTCATCAGGCATTAGATTCTCGTAAGAAGTACACAACCTCACATGCACAGTTCACAGTAGGGTTCACACTCCTGTGAGAATCTAATGCTGCAGCTGATCTGATGGAGGTGAAGCTAGGGCAGTAATGCTCTCTTGGGTGCCGCTCACCTCCTGCTGTGCAGCCCAGTTCCTATCAGGCTATGGACCAGTACTGGTCCACAGCCCAGCGGTTGGGGATCCCTGCTGTAATCACAGAAAAAAAGACTAGATGCTTGAAATTAGAGGTGTGGCGGCCATAGGCTCTTGACCCCCTAAAGGTTCACTAAAAGTCACTGAAATGAGGCATATTGATTAATAAGGGAAAAGGGATACTAATTTATTTAACATGTATACATGTGGGCTTTCAGAATGAAGACCCTACTTCCCAGTACAATATAGAAACTTACATACCATCTTAAGGCCACAGTAAAGAATGCAGACTCAGAGCATGGCCAAAACAAGTAAATTAGGTTACTGACAAGAAAGGAAGAAGCTTGGTCAGTAAAGATGGCCTTATCATGTAGACAAAGCCTCCCTCAGAGAGAATAGACAGAAAATGTTGCTTTTCAGACTTCAAAAGGTGTCAGACTCAATCTTTTCTGGATCCAGGTGAAAGGTATAGAAAGGGGAGGAAGGCATGGCTGCATTAATGGAGATTCTCTACAGATGACAGATTTTCCCCACTTAAGACAGCTTTGCAAGACTGCTTCTGTCAGGGTGGCCAAGTGACAGCCATTTCAAAATATGTCAAATAAATACATTTTGGGATAAAATATTTTAATTTTCTTCACAGGAATGCAGTTTTAACACCATTACAAAAGGAGATTTTTAATTAT
The DNA here is from genome assembly GCF_000001405.40 of Homo sapiens. NCBI lineage: Eukaryota > Metazoa > Chordata > Mammalia > Primates > Hominidae > Homo > Homo sapiens. The sequence goes on along the minus strand of NC_000004.12, from coordinate 162,923,152 downwards.
TAGAATTGTTTGCCAATGAAATGAGCTGACGAGAAAAAGATTGATAGAGAGGTTGAATGATTTAGTATTGTTTAGATTTGGAAATGGAACTTCTAATGCCAATTTCTGGTTCTTAAGATCTAAGAAAAATTAAAAAAGAATAAATGTCAGTAGAACCTCATTAAGACAGGTCTGACATTTTAAATAAAATAGGAGAAAAATCCATGAATATTAAATCCCTGTTTACTTATCTTTCTGTAATATTTGTGATATGAATTTCTTCCAGGCATCCCATCTTTCACACATAATTTAACACTTGCATTACCTTACTTCCTCTAACCATGTTATCGGGAATAGTTGATTTAAGGCACATGTATTATTTTACGTTTCCCTTTAGCACTGCGTTAGGGTATCTCTAACTTTATCTTATCTCGACTTCTTTGTTTCCCGAATTTGAGGCATTTTTCTTTCTTATTTTATTCCATTTTAATGGAACGTTTTCTCCTAGAGCTTCCTGAGAAAGGTTGCATGCAAGGAATTTTTGTTGTTATGATTTTTCATGTCTGCCGGTGCTTTCATTCTGCTTTCACGTTAAATTGATAATGTGACTTAGTATAGAATTCTAATTTGAAAAAATTTTTCATAGAGTTTGAATGCACCACTCCATTCTCTCCTAGTTTTTACTGCTGTTCTTAACAAATTTAATGCTATTATTAATTTTAGTCTTGTTCTGAAACTGAAATTTTCCTGTGGAGATTTTCAAGAACTTCTTTTCGCCTTAATATTTTAAAAATTTGCAAAGATACTTATTAGTTTGGTTTTATATTTGTCTATTTGCAGGGCCATAAGTGGGCCCTTTCTATCTACATATTCAAGTAGTCCTGAAAATGTTTCTTGTATTATTTTATTATTAATTTTCTTCCATTGTTGCTGTTATCTTATTTTAGAACTTCTGTTTTGGTTCCCCCTAGAATGTTCTTCAATTTTTACAAGAAACTGCCTTAATTTTTTTTTTTTTTTTGTCTATGTCTTTTTTTATTATAGTTCTGGGAGATTTCCTCAGCTTCATTTTCTGAATTTTTTTGAGTTTTTAAAAATTATTTTCCTTTTTGGCTATTACATTTTTAATACCTGGCACTATTTTCTTGTACTTTGAATGCTCTTTTTTTGTTTTGTTTTGTTTTGAATCACATCCTTTTCTTATTTAGTAGCTCCAATAACTTTTCTCATCTCCTGAAGATATTAACTATATATGGTTTTCTAAAAGAAATTTTTCTCTTCTTTTTTAGTTTATGCTTCTCCAATTATTTCTTTTATTTTTTAATATACTCTATATTTCATGTGATAGGTTTTTTATTTTTTTACAAATATCTGGTAATTATTTATTTTTGGTTTATATTTAAGAGTGGAACAGTAAAAAGCCTGTATGCATGCTGACTGGGTTTCCTGGAAAGGTAATCAGGCTGGATGGTTCTTTGGCTATCCCTCAACATTTCATTATCTTTAGATTCCGCTATCTTTGTTGTAGGAAAATCCAGGTTCTTATCACATGACCAGGAAAGATTAGGCACGCAGACACTTTGAAGGGTGAGGGGTTATCTTTGTTGTAGGAAAATCCGGGTTCTTGTCACATGACAAGGAAAGATTAGGCACGCAGCTACTTGGAAGGGTGAGGGGTGACGGAATTTATTGGGTGAAAAGGAAAAACAACATAGCAAAGCGAGAGGGGTTACTGTTAACAGGACCCCATCCACAAATGGCATCCTAGGTTACCAACCCTGAGCAGGAGAGGCCAGACTCCTCCCCGCTGCAAATGGCTGCAAACTTCCTGCGGCTCCACCCTGTACTCCCAGTGGGCAGGCCAGTTGGGGATTCTCCAGGAAGCCCTTTTTACGTGGCTGTCTCATCTTGATGTGGTCAAATGTTCATTTCTAACTCACTGTGGAGGGTGGTACAAACTTGGTGGCCAGAATTCTTGGTATCTAGTGTGATAATATGGGGACCAGCTCAGAACTTCAGAGTTGGTATGAAAATTACTTTTAGCTGAAGATAAATTTGAGATTCAACAGATGCATAATAAAATCTACTTGGAACTTCCCTTATCTGATGAAAAACAGCAGCTTCTGAGAAATCAAGCGCTATAAATGCCCTCTCCAGGAGAATGTTACAGCCATCATGAAGACAGAGAAACCACTGCAGTCATATAAATAAATATAATAAAAAACTTCTTGTCTTTATTTGCTGTCATAAAAACCTATATATCTTTCCTAAATAAATCTATTTGTTATTTTCAGAAAAGCCTATAAGCCTCTATTTCCTGAGCTCGCTACTTTTTTTGTGGACTTCCATATGCATATGAATGAACCTTTTCCCCTCTTATTAGTCTTTTGTCAGTTTAATTCACTTGCCACCACATGCAGAATTTAACAAAGAAGAGGAATTATTTTTTTTTTCCCTAACGATAATAAAGTTGGAACTGTCTACATTTCCTTGGTAATCTTTCATTTAATCCTTTTGTCTTCAGTACTGGGTTCTTGCTCAGCTATGTCTAATAATTGCCAGTGTTGAGATCCCCTATTAAAACTGTTTTAGAAAATAACTATTCAGCCTTATTTCTCTGCATGGAATGGAGGAATTTCTTCAGATACATAAAGTAAGAAGACTACCTGGGGGTCTAAAAGCTTCTGAAGTCTTAATCAGTTCTCTTATTTTTAGTTGTTCTACTTCAGAGATGCTAATCTTCTTCAGAGTTCCATGGTACTAATGGGTTGCTTTGCAGCTTTCAACACTGTTGTCTTACAAGTTAGTCACTGCCCCTATCTGCTTTCCAGCCATCAAAGTTATATCAAAATCTGTCTTATTTTCTATTCAATTTGTTATTGTGCATTTATAATTTCTTTTAAAAATCCACTTTTAGGAGTTTCTGTAGATGTTGAGAGGGAGTGAAGGGTACTAAGCATTCAGTCCATCATTTTTGATATATATAAAAAAACTCAGGGGTTGTTTTGTTTTTGTTTAGAAACATTATTAATGTGGACAAGCTAAACCTTATATAACTAGATTAAAGAAGGAGACCATAAAATGAAAAAGTGGCTTGATTAAATTGATGCTTTTTGAAAAGCTATTTATCATTATAAGTAATCTTTTAATCATGTAGATTGTGACTAATTTTTTGCTTTCTCTGAGGCAGGCATTTTTCCATGAGATTTATAATATTGACTTCGTTTTTTTCAAAAAATTATTTTAGTTTGAGGCAGTACATGTGTTTGTTACATAGGAATTAAATGTGTAATGGTGGGGCTTCTAGTGTACCTATCACTAAAATATTGAACATTATACACAATTGGTAATTGTCTAACCCTCACCTCCCTCCACCTTCCCTTCTTTTGTAGTCCCCAGAGTCTGTTATTTCCATCTTTATGTCCATATTTACCCATCATTTAGTTTCCACTTACAAGTGAAAACATGTTGTATTGGATTTTCTGCTTCTGAGTTAGTTCACTTAGAATAATGTTTCTAGCTCCATCCATTTTGCTGCAAAGAACATGATTTCATTTTTTTTTTTTTTTTTTTTTGAGATGGAGTCAGACTCTGTCACCCAGGGATCTTGGCTCACTGCAACCTCTGTCCCCCAGGTTCAAGTGATTCTTCTGCCTCAGCCTCCTGAGTAGCTGGGATTACAGGCGTGCGCCACCACGCCCTGCTAATTTTTGTATTTTTAGTAGAGACAGGATTTCACCATATTGGTCAGCTGGTCTCAAACTCCTGACCTCGTGATCCACCTGCCTCAGCCTCCCTGGATTACAGTGCTGGGATTACAGTGCTGGGATTACAGGCATGAGCCAGTGTGCCTGGCTGATTTCATTCTTTTTTATGGTGGAATAGTATTCCATGGTGTATGTATGTATGTATGTATGTATGTGTGTGTGTGTGTGTATATATATCATATATATACACATATATATGATATATATACACATATATATGTATATATATAATATATGTATACAATATGTATATAATATATATGTATATATACATATATATATAAAAGATCACATATATATATTATATATCACAGTTTCTTTATCCAGTCAACCATTGGTGGACTAGTCTGGCAATAAACATATGAGTGCAGTTATCTTTTTAATGCAATGAATCCTTTTCTTTTGGGTAGAGATCCAGTAGTGGGTTTGCTGGCTTGAATGACAGTTTTATATTTTGTTCTTTGAGATATATCCACATTTTTTTCCATAGAGGTTGAACTAATTAACATCCACTCCAACAATATATAAGTGTTCCCTTTTCTCCACATCCGTGTCAACATTTGTTGTTTTTTGATGTTTTAATAATAGCCATTATGATGGGCATAAGATTATACCTCAATGTGCTTTTAATTTTTATTTTTCTAATGATTAGTGATATTGAACATATTTTTATGTGTTTGTTGCCCATTTTTATTTCTTCTTTTTAGAAATGTCTGTACATGCCCATTGCCCAGTTTTTAATAGAGTTGTTTGTTTTTTCTTGTTAAGTCATTTGAATTCCTTATAGATTCTTGATATTAGCCCTTGGTTGGAGGCCTAATTTGCAAATATCTGATCCCATTCTGTAGGTTGTCTGTTTATTCCCTTGATCATTTCTTTTGTTTTCCAGAAGGTTTTTAGTTTAATTAAGTCCCATTTGTCTGTTTTTGTTTTGTTGCATTTTTTGGGGTCTTTGTAATAAATTTTTTGCCTAAGCCAATGTCTAGAATATTTTTTTCTAGGTTTTCTTCTAGTATGTTTTTAGTTTCAGGTCTTAAGTTTAGGTATTTAATCTATCTTGAGTTAATTTTTGTATATGGTGAGAGATAGAGTTCTAGTTTCATTCTTCTGCATATAGCAAGACAGTTTTCCCAGCACCATTTATTGAATAGGGTATTCTTTCTCCATTGTTTATTTTTATTGACTTTATTGAAGATCAGTTGGTTGTAGGGATGTGGCTTCATTTCTAGGTTCTTTATTTTGTTCCATTGATACATGTGTCTATTTTTGTATCAGTAGCGTACTGTTTTAGTTACTATAGCCTTGTAGTTTAATTTGAGGTCAGGTAATGTGATATTTCTGGATTTATTCTTTTTGCTAAGTAGTGCTTTGGCTATTTGGGCTTTATTTTTGGTTCCACAAAAACTTAAGAATTGTTTTTTTCTAATTCTGCAAAAAATGACATTGGTAATTGGATAGGAATTACATTGAATCTGTAGATTGCTTTGGATAATATGGTCATTTTTAACAATATTGATTCTTCCAATTCATAAGCCTGGAATGTTTTTTATTTTTTTGTGTTGTCTACTATTTCTTCCATCAATGTTTTATAGTTCTTCTTGCACATATCTTTTGCTTCCTTGGTTAAATATATTCCTAGGTATTTTGTGTGTGTGTGTGTGTGTGTGTATGAGGCTATTGTAAATGAGATTGAGTTATTAATTTGGTTCTCATCTTGAATATTATTGGTGTATAGAAATGCTACTGATTTTTGTAGGTTAATTTTGTATCCTGAGGCTTTAGTGAGGTCACTTATCGAGTCTAGGTTTCTTCTGGAGGAATCTTTAAGGTTTTCTAGGTATATGATCATGTCATCAGCAAACATCATTTAACTCCCTTTTTTCCAATTTGGATGTCTTTTATTTCTTTCTCCTGCCTGATTGCTTTGGCTAAGATTTCCAGCAATGTGTTTAAATGGAACGATGAGAAAGGACATTTTTTTCTTGTTTCAGTTACTGGGGTAAATGCCTTTAACTTTTCCCTATTCAGTCTGAGGTTGACTGTGGGTTAGTCATATATGACTGTTGTTATTTTGAGACATGTTCCATCTGCACCTAGATTGTTGAGGTGTTTTTTTTTTAATCATAAAGTAATGTTGGGTTTTATTGAATTCTTTTTCTGCATCAAGCTTAATATTTTTACATGAGGTTTTGTTCCTGTCGTGGTTTGTCATGTATTGTTAGCCAGTCATTTTGGAGTTTTGATTTTGTAATTGCTTTATAGGATCTGTGAGTTTTATACTTATCTGTCATTTATATTGATGGGTTTCACTCATTTGTTTCCATGTTTAGAACTCCTTTGAACATTTCTTGTAGGGTCAGTCTAGTGGTGACAAATTTTCTTAGCATTTGGTGTCTTGGAAAGGCTTTATTTCTCCCTCTTTATGAAGTTTAGTTTAGCAGGACATAAAATTTTTGACTGGCATTCTTTTATTCTTTAAAGATGGTAAATATATGCTCCCAGTTGATTCTGGCTTATAGAATTTCTGCTGAGAAGTCTGCTGTTAGTCTGAACAATTTTTAAGTAGATAATATGACCCTTTTATCTAGCTGCCTTTAAGATTTTTTTTTTAGTGTTGACCTTGGATAGTCTGATTAGTATATGCCTTGGTGATGCTTATCTTGCATGCTATCTCACAAGTGTTCTCTGAATTTCTTGTATCTGGACGTCTACTTCTTCAGTAGGATTAGGAAAATTTTTGAGAATTATTCCCTTAAATATGATTTCCAGGTTGTTTACTTTTTCTTCTTCTCTATCATGAATGCCAATAAGTAATAGGCTTTGTCACTTTTTGTAATCACATATTTCTGGAAGGTTTTGTTTTTTAAAATTCTATTTTATTTATTTATTTTTTTTGTCTGACTTAGTTCAAAAGAATGGTCTTCAAGCTCTGAAATTCTTTCTTCTACTTGATGCAGTCTATTGTTAAAGCTTTCAACTGTATTTTGAAATTACTTGAGTGTATTTTTATTTCTGGAAATTCTGCTTGCTTTTTTTTAAAAAAGATATTTATCTTTTTCTTCATTTCCTGGATTGCTTTTGTAGTTTATTCGTGTTGGTGTTCAACCTTTTCTTGGCTCTCCTTGAGCTTCTTTTCAATCCATACTTTGAATTCTTTATGTTGTTTCTGGGCTTCCATTTTGCTTATGGTCCATTGATAGAGAGCTAGTGTGATCCTTTGATGGTGTCACAATATTCACATTTTTCATGGTGCCAGAATTCTTATGCTAATTATTTCTCATCTGGAGAGGCTACCACTTCTTATTTTTGAAATTATTTTCATTTAAATGGGATTCTTTCTTTTTCCCTATTTTTTATTTTGCCTCCCTCCATTCCCAAAGGGGTGTGACTATAGAGTACATAGGGTCTTTGGCTTTATTTATATAGCCCTGCGGACTTTGTCAGCAGGTTTTATATCAGGCTGGGTTTAGTTTGACCTGCAGAATAGTAGATGGTACTTACAGTTATGAGCCAGCTGCGGCACAAGCAGATGGATATATACTTGATCTTTTTGTACGGTGAAGTTCTCTCTGTTGTTTCAGGTGATTGGCTGGACAGTGGCGTGCCTAGTTGCCTGAGCTTCCTGTTCATCAGTGGTTGGGGGAACACAGCTGATCACAGCTGGTCCCCCTGGCTTGCCCATGAATACCTTAATGACAAGTGCTGGCACCTGTGATGGAGGTGGCTGGGAGAGCTCCTGGTGAAATGCTCTGAGGTCTCTGTGGAGGGTGAGGAAGCTACAGCGGCTCCATGTCCTACATAGGCAGGAATGTAATCTGTTTGCCTGTCACACTCCTGTACCAGAGGTTGTGACTCATTCAGATGCACATTGTTGTCTATTTCCAGGCCACGGTGCGTCTGAGAGCCACAGAAAATGTCTGTCTTGTGACTCTCCATGGGAATGGTTTTGAGATGAAATCTCTTTATTCAACCAAATAGAGACAGCTTTAAGGTTCACCTCTTCTCTAATGTGGCAATGCTGCTGGTTCATAATGCTGTTCTGTCTCTCAGCCTGTGAAGGTGGGTATCAGTTGTGGTGATCTTGGCTAGTTGGGTTGGCTCAGCCTGATCTCAAACCCTCGGGGAAGTGGTCCAGTGCCAGGAGTGTCATACTAGGCTAGGTACTTCCCAAGTTCCCAGGCCCTTAGATGGCCTGCTGGGTATCGTGTGTCAGTTCTGAAGGGGCTGCACTGGGGTCAGGCCAGACCAGAGTTTAGGTGCTGGCTGTGATGGGGTGGGTTCGGCTGGTCTCTGAGTCACTGACAGAACTCTTAGGTGTAGGTAGGCAGAATGCTCAGGCAGTCAGGACCCAAGGGCAGATCACAGACCTGTGGCAGTTGGGCTCCCAGAAAAAGCTGTGCTGTGGACCTTTCACTGGGGAGGGCTGGTCCTCTCAGCTGAGGCAATGGAACCTGGCAGCTGTGAGGTACCTAGTACACTCACAGTTTCCTCCCACAGAAGCAGCGCTGGGTTTTGCTGTTGGAGACACACAGAAGTGTAAGGCTTCTCCACTTCCTCTGTGGCCTGGTGCAAGGAAGAGGCAAGCAGCAGCAGCAGTGGCCACTGCAAAGGGTCCGTCTGCAACCTCTGGAAGTTAGACTTTCAGAGGCACACTGAGCTGTGACCACAGTGTTCAGGCAGGGGCAGAGTGTGTGTGCTGAAGGGCTGAAGCTGGCAACCCCATCTGTCAAGGGGCAGTTGAATTGGGGCATTGTGGGGCACACAATCTGCCCACTACTCCTCCATATCTCAGCTGCAGTATTTATGCTGAGGCACATGACAATTCCTAGCCTTCCCATTCTCTCCTTGGCCTAGGGATTGCAGCGGCAGAGGCAGCAGTCGTGGTGACTATAAAGGGTCAGTCTGTGACCTCTGGGAGTTGAGTTTTCAGAAGCATGTTGAGCCATGACTGCAGTTTTTAGACAGGGATGGGACAGGTGTGCTGGGGACAATGTCCATTTAATGGGGAGCAACCAAGATGGGGAGTTGTGTGGTGTGTAGTCTGGCCACTTCCCTGTACCACAGCTGCAGGCTCTATTAGGTTGGTGCAAAAGAATAAAAGTATTTGTGGTGTTTGCCATGACTTTTAATGACAAAAACTGCAATTGCTTTTGCACCAACCTAATATCCTGGGGACACATGAAAGTGCCTGGCTTCCTTCCTTTGTGAGGTGGTGGTAGCTGGTACGGGACTGCTCAGGGATCAGAAGCCTTGGGATTCCATGTAGGTTTGAGTGGTGCTTCTGCACAGTCTGTAGGTGGAGGCTGTCTCTCTGGAGGCCCAGGGGGCGGGGGCCAAGGGGGCTTTCCTATGTCTAGGATTGTAAAGGTCCATGATGGAGGTGTGGATCTCCAGAAATCTCTCCCTCATTCACCCTTTCCCTGCATTAGGAAGCCTCTCCCAGCTTCACACAGGTCCAAGTTTGATGGCTACCTGGCTTCTCTCTTCTCTGCTTTCCACGGGTCCTGTCACTTCTCTGGTGACTCCCAGTGTGCTCTCTTAGATGATTTGCTGCAAGTGTTATAGTGACTTGTTATGTTGGTTCCTCTTCATGAGATGGCCTGCACGAGCTACCTCTAGCCAGCCATCTTGAACTGGAACCTCTCACTTAATTTTTATACAATTTTTCTAGGCATATGCTACTATAATCCCTGTTTTAAAAAAATAACTTTAGGCCCTGTGAATTTATCTGAGTCATCTGAGATCACAAACAGTGAATAAGTGCTGGAGCTAGGATTTAAACCTCAGCAGATCAGCTACAAAATCATTGCTCTCTATCAAAATCCTTGCTTTCTATCAAACTTTACTGTTTAACAGGGCTACAAAAAGACTTTGTAAATAAGGTATGGTGAGCTGGGATACTGTTACCCGCTGTAGCAAACAAACAAAATATGTATAATGACTTAAACATAATAATGGTTATTTCTTGCTTATATAAGAAGTAACTTTGTAACAAGTGCAGCTGAATTACAGGCATCTCTCTTCCAGATAGTGATTGTGTCAGGCTTATTCTGTTTTATGCTTCAGCTATCTTTACACTGTGGCTTCTAAGGTTTCTATGCTTACTATAGCAAGTTGGAGGAATGCGTTAAAGACAGTGGAGAAGGCATAACTACTTTTTAACTAACTCTTTAAACATCTTAACCACAGACATGGCACACCTCTCTTCTGTTCATATTCTGTTGTATAGGCATTTTCACATGGTCAAAGTCAATCTCTATGGATGCTGGGAAATGCAGCCTTACTCTGTGCTAGGAAGAATGAATGTGTTTGCTGAACTGTTTAACAAACTTGGTTACCATTTGCCCTTCAGTATCCATATCTCTCTTCCTCCACACATAGTTAGAAAATGGCAGGACCATTTTAAATCCATGTCTGTGAACCCAGTGTCCATGCCAATTAACTGCTGATATCAAACTATTTTTTCTGACATGCAAAAGTAACATTGACTTTGACTGTCAGAATACATTTTCTTAAACTCTCTAAACTTTACCCCTGTATATACTCACATTTTCTAAAATATAGTCTGTTTTATATAAGGATTCATTGCCATTGAGAGGCAATACTGAGCGCTCTGGAGTTAGACCCTCTGGGTTTGAATCTTGGCTTTGTTATAATCTGTGTGGGAGAGGCAAAGGCCTAGCCTCTAGTGCATCTATAAAAGAGGAATCACAGTGCCTACCTTGTAGTGTTGTGAGTAAAAACGAGAACATAGTCAAATGCACACTGCTTGGCATATAAAAAGCTCTCAATAAATGTTAATGATTACTACCCACTTTTAATAATTATTAGTAATTCACTTGGTATTTTAATATCAAGATTTTTTTGCCATGAGCAAAAGAATAACTTATGGACTTGCCTGTAGTTTATTCTTCCTATCTGAACTGGTATTTTAATATCAAGATTTTTTTGCCATAAGCAAAAGAATAATTTATATGCTTGCTTGTAATTCGTTCTTTGTATCTGAAGGCAAGATTGCATGGTTCATCAGTATCACACTCATAGCTTTCCAGTGAATTGTTGTCCTTATTTTGAAAAGAAAAGGAAAATTAGGGAAACAATTTTTTTTTTGAGACAGAGTCTTGCTCTGTCCCTCAGGCTGGAGTGCAGTGGCGTGATCTAGGCTCACTGCAACCTCTGCCTCCGGGGTTCAAGCGATTCTCCTGCCTCTGTCTCCTGAGTAGCTGGGACCACAGGTGCACCCACCATGCCTGGCTAACTTTTGTATTTTTAGTAGAGACGAGGTTTCACCATGTTGACCAGGCTGGTCTTGAATTCCTGACCTCAAGTGATCCACCTGCCTTGGCCTCCCGAAGTGCTGGAATTATAGGAGTGAGCCACTGCACCTGGCTGAAGGAAATGAAATATTATACACCAAGGTTCTTGTCTACTAGAACTTTGAAAATTCTATACGTTTTGTAAAATCAGCATGTATTAACATTTTTTACATTTATATTGACAAATCACAAAATTTATTTAACATTATTATACTGCTATCTAGTTAAAATCCTCAATGGTTATTGAAATGTGACAGTTTTTACTTTAGATTCTACAGATTTTAGGTATATTCATGAGCTTTTAGGAAGAGACTACAATGCCAATAATGTGGGCATGAGTGAATGTCTCCCTGTCTCTGTGTACACGTGTGTATGTGTGTGTGTGTGTGCGTGTGTGTAGTGTCTATATGTAAAAATAGGGGTAGAGGATTTTGAGAGTTCTGTCACAGTGTTTTCTTTCTTTTATTATTTTATTTTCTTACATAAAATATAGTGTTAGCTGGCTTAGGAGAAATAAAGGACTGGACAAGAGGGCTTAATGATGCAATATTTGTTACAGATTTCTTGTATACAGTTATGTACTTCCGTTTGCTCTTATGCTCCAGGAGAAAAACAATTGCTTGCAACTTTCTACTTAACCTTTTTTTTCCATGAACTCTTTTGACTGGGAGGGGATAGGCTAAGAAACTTTAGATAATAAGCTCTGTCCCAGGAGAGATTCTTAGTGAAGGCACCAAGGTTATATTCTTTCTATGTACAGTTGACCCTTGAACAACATGGGGGTTAGAGGCACTGATCTTCTGAGCATTTGCATATAAGTTTGATTCCCCTGAAACTTAACTACTACTATTAGCCTACTATTGACCAGAAGCCTTACTAATAACATACACAATTAACACAAATTTTGTATGTTATATGTATTATATACTGTATTCTTACCATAAAGTAAGCTAGAGAAAAGAAAGTTATTAAGAAAATCATAAGAAGAGAACATACATTTGCTATTCATTAAGTGGAAGTGGATATCATAAAGGTTTTTATCCTTTATGGGTTGAGTAGGCTGAGGAGGAGGAAGAGGAGGAGGAGTAGGGGTTGTTCTTGCTGTCTCAGGGGTGGCAGTGGCACAAGAGGTTGAGGAGGTAGAATGAGAGACACACGTAGGGTAACTTTACAGAAATCATTGTAATTTCTTTCTGGCCCTTTTGCTTCTTCATTTCTCCAAAAATGTCTCCATATGGTACCAATCCTTCTTCCACCATTTGCTTTAGCTTCAGTGCCTGTATAATAGAAGGGTCCAAGTCAAAAAGAAGTTAAAAGCAGTTTTGAATTATTAAAACCCTTCAGCCAGATTGTCTAATATCAATTTGTTTTCTGGCACTGCTTCTTCTACGTCTTCTTCCTCATTGTCTGGTACTAGTTCAAAAACATTCATTTCCATCATGTCCTTTTCTGTTAATTTCTCTGGTGTGATGTCCATTAGCACTTGAATTGCCCTAAGATCCATATGTTTAAAACCTTTGCCCCCAGCCTTTTGCCATATCCACCATCTCTTTCATGATTTCCTTGTTTGGCTCTGTGATAACTCCTGTGAAGTCATTCATAACACCTGGACACACTTTGATCCAGCAGAAATTTATTGTTTGGGGCTTGATGGCTTTCAGAGCTTTTTCCATAACAAGGATGGTGTAGTCAATGGTGTAATCCTTCTTGACTCATGATGTTTCTTCTGTCAGAGGTCTCTTTCACAGAGCTCACAATCCTTTCCATAGAGCATCATGTATAACAAGCCTTAAAGGTCCTTATGACCCACTGATCTAAAGGATGGATTAGAGATGTTCTATTTGGAGGTAAGCAGACTACCAAATTTTGGGGATTACAATTGGAGATGAGATTTCAGTGTTAAACACAAGAAGTTCTGGGCGGCCAGGAGCATTGCACAATATCAGAAAAACCTTAAAAGGCAGTCTCGTACTGGAAAGATACTTCCTGATTCCAGGGACAAAACACTGATGGAACCCACCTATTAAAAAAAAGCATTCTTGTTGTCCAGGCCTTCAAGTTGCACAATCAAAAGGCTGGCAAAAGACTGGTATAATATTTTCCCTTTAAGGCTAGGGGATTAGCAGCTTTATGGATAAAATAAGTCTTTATCATAAACTCAACTGCATTTCCATAAAACAGTAGAGTTAACCTATCCCTTCCTGCCCTCAATCCTGGTGCTCTCTTCTCTTGCTTACTAATAAATGTCCTTTGTGGATTTCTTTCTTCTTTTTTTTTTTTTTTAGAATAGAACAGTAAATTAAATTGCTGGCATTAAATCCTTCAGTTTTAGAATCTTCCCTTTCTTTATTCTTTATGTTGTCATATAATGACTGTTTCTTCTTGAATCATATTAGAGTCTATAAGTATGCCGCTCTTATGGCAATCCTTCACCCAGATAAAAGTTACATTGCTAATACAAGATAAAAAGGTATTTCACAAATGTGCAAGGTTTTTGCCCTTGTTGGGGTAACTGCAGCAACAGCTTCATGATTTTTTTTTTTTAAAATCCTTGCAACGGTCCTTATGCTGGATTTATTTACCTTAAATGGCCGGAAACCACAGAGGCAGACCTCAATTTACAGTACATATGAAGCAATTCAACTTAGTCTTGTAAAGTCATGACTTTGTTTTCTGCTTTTAGAGAGCACTTCTAAAATCTCTAGTGGCACTTTTTATGGGTCCCACGGTGTTAATAGAGGTATACGGTATTTCACTAAACACAGTGAAAAATACACAAGAACTGCAACAGACCATCTTTTATTTATTTATTATGTATTTTTATTTTATTGTATTTTAAGAAACAATTGTAGAGACAAGATCTTGCTATGTTATCCAAGCAGGTCTTGAACTCCTGGCCTCAAATAATTCTCCCACCTTGGCCTCCCAAAATGTCGGGATTACAGGAGTGAGCCACGATCATTAGCCAGAGACAATTTTTTTTTTTGCTGAGATAATGTACTGGCGAGAATTGCTCAAACAGAGATGATTAGTGTCACATGGCATTTTAAGTGGACATTTGCAACACTTGAGCTCACCACAACAGCAACAGGGGTGGCTACAAAATTATTATATTAGTATAGTATGTACTACAGTTCATTTTATGCAGTTATAATTTAATACTTGTTTTGTGTTTGTTTACATTTCTTATGACTATAAATGGCACCATATACAGTCAGTGTTTGTGTAAGTTTTGATAAATTTTTACTTTTTATAATAGATTTTTGTATACTTTATGATAGGAAATGATAAAATAAACTAGTATTCACATTTATTTTATATATTCATGACATACCTAACTTAAGAAATGTGGGTTTTTAAAAAATATTTCTAGACTACATGTTTTTTCTGCAAAGTTTTTCTAAATTGTCCCAAATCTCCAAAAAATTTTCCAATATATTTATTTTAAAAAAACTTTGTATGGATTGACCCATGCAGTTCAAACCTCTGTTGTTCAAGGGTCAGTAGTGGTTTCATTCCTTAAAGTTCGGAGGAGCTGAGAGCTTCTGCCTGTATCATAGATTCACTATTCAGGGGACTAACTAGAATATTGAATAATGATAGCCCATTGACAGCTGACCTTATAGTTTATATGGATGTAAATAAGACGTGTATGCTGGTTAAGCTGAACATAGACTCTCTGGAAAAATTTTTTCTTGTTCATAGAAAATCAAAGTAAAAATCAGAGGTGTATACTACTCAGTGAAATTTCTCATTGTTTATTTAAAACATTAATTCTGTACTTGAAAGGTTTTGAATTAAGTAGCAAGCAGCCTTTTAATTTTTGATGTGCCCTTTCTCTTACTCATCCACTCACCATTAATAACTGTTTTCTAGATACTTCCTTCAGAAATGTTTTGCATATCTTTCCCGTCCTTTTCATTCTCATTGTCACTACTTTAGGTAGTATGATGTAGTGGTAAAGAAACCAAGTCTTGAGTTAGATAGGCATTCAAATCCTGGCTCAGCCAAATACCAACTGTGTGTCTCAAGGGGATTATTTAGTATTTCTGAATTTCAAGTCCGTTTTCTGTATACAATTGTCAGGATAAAATGGTCTAAAGTGTGCAAAATAATAACTAGTGTCAAACTTTGGGCTTTTCTGTTCCTCTACTAAATTTAAAGCGAAAGCCAAAAGCTGCTCTTCCCACTTGCTCATTTTGTAAATCATTTCTATGTCTGATCAAGGCACTCTCATGAATGAGAGCTGCACTGTTTATGGAATAAAGTAAAACTTGCTAGCTCAGAATTAAAAGAAATATCTTGTCTGAATAAAAATGATATTTTATCCTTATTTCCAAACTGTACCTTATGTTTAGTAAAATAAATATTTCTCTTTTGCCTTTGCTTTTGCTGTCCTCTCCTCTTGAATGCTCGCCTCCCACTCCACTTGAAGACGTACTACACACCTTCGATGCCCAGCTTGGGCTCCATGTTATTCAAAAATATGTTTTCTCCTAATTGAGCCTATGATCTTCTTTGTATTTTACAAACTTGCATATGGCTTATGTTTAGCTATTTATGTGCTTTCTTTCTTTTACTATGTAATTAATGTTAGCATTTCAATGCATGGTGTACTAGGCTGTTCTTGCATTGGTATAAAGA
Source organism: Homo sapiens (assembly GCF_000001405.40). Classification (NCBI taxonomy): domain Eukaryota; kingdom Metazoa; phylum Chordata; class Mammalia; order Primates; family Hominidae; genus Homo; species Homo sapiens. The sequence goes on along the minus strand of NC_000004.12, from coordinate 162,907,446 downwards.
AATACCTGAGACAGTAACTTATAAAGAAGAGAGGTTTAATTGGCTTACAGTTCTGTAGGCTTTACAGGGAACATGGTACTGGCATCTTCTCAGCTTCTGGTGAAGGCTTAGAGAGGTTTTTATCATGGTGGAAGGCAAAGCGTGAATAAGCACATCACATGGTGGAAGCAGGAGCAAATAACAGAGGGAGGAGATGCCACACATCTTTAAATGACCAGATCTCATAAAACTCATGTGATATCATGAGGACAGCACTAAGCCATTCATGAGGGATCTGCATCCATGACCCAATTACTTCCCACCAGGACTCACCTTCCACATTGGGGATTACATTTCAACATCAGATTTTGGCAGGACAAATACCCAACTATAACATTCTATCCCCGCCCTTGCCTTCAAATCTTATGTCCTTCTCACATTGCAAAATACAATCATGCTTTCTCAGTAGTCCCCCAAAGTCTTAACTTATTCCAGCATTAAATCAAAAGTCCCAGGTCTAACTCCAAAGTCTCATTTGAGACTCATCTCCTTCTACCTATAGGCCTGTAAAATCAAAATAAGTTATTTATTTCCAAGATACAATGGGAGTGCAGACATTGGGTAAACACTCCTGTTCCAGAAGGAAGGAATCAGCCAAAAGAAAGGAGTTATGGGTCCCACACAAGTCTAAAATCCAGCAGGGCAGTAAATAAATCTTAGAGCTCCAAAATAATCTTCTTTGACTCTGTGTGTCACATCCAGAGCACACTGGTGCAAGGGGTGGACTCCCAAGGCCTTGGGCAGCTCCACCCCTGTGGCCTTGCAGGGTTCACCTGAATGGCTGTTCTCACAAGCTGTTGAGTGCCTGCCACTTTTCCAGGTGCAGGGAGCAAGCTGGTGGTGGATCTATGATTCTAGAGTCTGAAAGAATTGGAGAATGCAAGCCATAAGCCATGATAGCTTCCATGTGGTATTAAGCCTGCAGATGCACAGAATGTAAGTGTTGTAGATTCTTGGCAACCTCTGCTTAGATTTCAGAGGACATATGGAAAAGCCTAGGTGTCCAGGCAGAAGCCTGCTACAGGGCTGGAGCCCTCACAGAGAACCTCTGTTAGGGTAGCTTAGAGGGGAAATGTGGGATTGGAGGCCCCATGCAGAGTCCCCACTGGGACTGGCTCCCTTTTAATTATGAAACTGTCTCTAGCAAGTGGTTGCTTTACAGCCTGCTTAGATTTTTCCCCTGAAAATTAGCTTTTGTTTTCTACCACATGGCCAGGCTGTAAATTTTCCAAACTTTTGTGTTCCGCTTCCTATTTAAACATAAATTTCAACTTTAAGTCATTTATTTGCTCCCACATCTGAGCATAGGTTGTCAGAAGCAGTCAGGCCACCTCTTGAACATTTTGCTGCTTAGGAATTTCTTCCTCCAGGCCAGGTGCAGTGGCTAACGCATGTAACCCCAGCTACTCAGGAGGCTGAGGCATGAGAATCGCTTGAACCCGGGAGGCAGAAGTTGCAATGAGCTGAGATCATGCCACTGCACTCCAGCCTGGATGATAGAGCAAGACCGAGTCTCAAAAAAAAGAAAGAAAAAAAGAAATTTCTTACTCCAGTTACCCTCAATCATAACATAGAAGTTTAAACTTCCAGGGATCCTTAGGGCAGAGGCACAATGCACCCAGGTTCTTTGCTAAGGCATAACATGCATGACTTTTGCTTCAGTTTCCAATAAGTTTCTCATTTCCATCTGAGACTTCATCAGCCTGGCATTCACTATTCATATAATTATTGTCATTTTGGTCACAATTATTTAACCAGTCTCTAAGAAGTTCCAAACTTTCCCTTACCTTCCTGTCTTCTTCTGAGCCCTCCTAACTCTTCCAATCTCTGCCTGTTTCCCAGTTTCAGACAGCTTAATAGCAATGTCCCACTCAGTATTAATTTTCTGTGTTAGGCCATTCTGGCACTGCTATAAAGAATGACCTGAAACTGGCTAATTTATAAATAAAAGAGGTTTAGTTGGCTTATATATAATAGTATATAGAGTATATAGTATATATATAGTATATACATACACTATATATAGTATATATATAGTATATATATAAAATATATACTATATATGTATATGTATATACTATATATACATATATACTACATGTATATACTATATATACATATATACTATATGTATATACTATATATACATATATACTATATGTATATACTATATATACATATATACTATATGTATATACTATATATACATATATACTATATGTATATATAAATATATATACTATATATATACTATATATGTATATGCATATACTATATGTATATACATATACATATACCTTACCTTCCTTTACCATGCTATATGTACATATTATATATGTGTATATATTATATATTGTACATATGTATACATACATAAAATACATATAAATATCTACCTTACTAGTTACCAGTTGTATTTTTTAGGTTTTCTGTATAATTGCATAGATTTTGTTTATTTAATATTTTAAGGACTAAGAAATTTGAATTCTCCTATGTCTAGAGTGTCTCTTCCTAATTATTAATAGTAGCTTCATGAATTATTGCTATTATATCCTCCTTATGGAACTGCTTTTGTTAATATTATTAACCAACCTTTTAGACTGCATACTATTATTAAATAAATGCATATTATCTTATATTATGGTCTTTACTTTTTACTTTTTATTGATAGGTGCTTGTGTTATAGACGCATATTATTTTTAAGAAAGCTTTTTGAATCACTTTTCTTCAGGTGTATTTCACAGCATTAGGTGGATTTTTATTGTGATGTAATAATAACATTTTATATAAATAAACTCATATTTATCATAATGGCAGAAATTTTAGTCTTGGTTTAGTAATATTATTTTCTTATGTTTTCTGTTGTTGTAATTCTTTCTTAAGTCTTTTACCACAAGGTCTTATTTCTTTGTGATTTTTGTTCTGTGTATGTATCTAATATTTATAATTAGATTACAATTTATGTTTTTCTGGTGTTTATCTTTATTATTTTATTAGCATAAAACACCCTTGAGTATTATCTATTTTCAACCAACGATTGGGTGGTTATGTGTTTTCTTTAGATAGCATCTATTATATTCCTAATATGAACAGTGATAAAAGTTGGCAAATATCAACTCTCCCCTCTTTTATTCAATTCTGTGATTTAAGTGAATAATATTATCATTCTTTGTGTTTATCTTTTTGTAAATATAGTCATATTTTAATGCCTTATTTAACAGCTCTAAGTTATACTTTAAATTCCAGGTGATGAGTCAATCAGCTGATTTCCTCTATCAGTTTCAAAAAAGGTAGTATTTCTATACTCTAAAGCAACATAATATTTCATCACCCTAATCCTCATATTAAAAATATTCTTAGTTTTCACCAACATGGCACATGTACACATATGTAACAAACCTGCACGCTGTGCACATGTACCCTAAAACTTAAAGTATAATAATAATAAAATAAAAAAATTCTTAGTTTTGCAGTTAAACATATTAAAAATTGACCATCATTTCTTTCCCCTAAATTGTGTTATTGTTTTGGCAGGTAGAATACATATTTAATAGTTTCCTAAAGATAAACTCATGGGAACAACAATTGAGTTCTTAAATATTTACAAGTATCAGTTTCTTCATTCTTCTGCATTGGTTACACTTCCTTGAGGATCTTGCGTGTGTTGCAGTATTGTCTATGGTGTTCAATATTGCTGAGATATCTGAAGCCAGTGTAAATTTTTCTCCATATAAGTAATGTAAAGGTTTTTCTTGCATGCCAAAAATCTTCTTTAATATCCAATAACTTCACAGGTATGTCTCAGTCTTTACTTTCTAGATATATATTTTCCCCTCTGATATAGAAGTAAAAGAAACTAAGTGTAGAAGCCAAAGAAATTAAAAGAAGAATCAGCAGATTGTGTGTGGGTGTGTGCATGTGTGTCAAAGTGTGTGGGGGGTGGGGGGCAATTCCGGCCGTCTGCATGGAGAAAACTGAATATCGGCAGGCAGAGGACCATTACTTGGCAGGGAAAGCCTCCATTTAAGCATCCTTAGACTGACAGGTAGAGTCAGCATTTGAACATGAGCTACTGTCGCATGGCATTAATGCCAGCCAGGTTCCACCAGTCAAGAAAGCACTATTCTTTTCTCATCTATCTTCTTATCATTCCTCTTAACTCCACCCCAACAATGACAAAGAAAAGGTTGGTGTGGAAAAGGAGTAGAGCAGTGAGATGGAAAATTATTAAGGAATTCAACCTTGAGTCTTTCAGTATTTGGAAGGTTCTGAGTCTCAATCAGATCAGAACTAGAGAGGGGAGAAAGCTTTAAACTGAACAAAAAAAATAGAAAGTTTAACATTATTTTTTTTGAGATGGAGTCTCGCTCTTGTCTCCCAGACTGGAGTGCAGCGGCACAATCTTGGCTCACTGCAACCTCTGCTTCCCAGATTCAAGTGATTCTCCTGCCTCAGCCTCCCAAGTAGCTGGGATTGCAGGTTCCTGCAACCAATGTCCAGCTAATTTTTGTATTTTTAGTAGAGATGTGGTTTCACCATGTTGGCCAGGCTGGTCTCGAGCTTCTTATCTCAATTGATCCACCTGCCTCAGCCTCCCACAGTGCTGGCATTACAGGCGTGAGCCACTGCACCTGGCCTAACATTAACTTTGATGTAACTCTAATACCTAACATTTAGCCTATTCATGAATATCAAAGAAGTCCTGGAAAAGTTATAAAATTTGCCAAGATTTTCCTTGGAGCTGGAGAGGAATGATTAAAGAGTGGGTCTCAAGGCAGCTATGAGAAAGAAAAAGGTTATTTTTTGCTTGCATCTGAATGAATTCATTCTGAAACTGATTACATATATAAAGTCTATTAAGAAAAAAATATCCCTGATACTTGGTAAAAATGGTAAGGTGGGCTTTATTCAAAAAAGGTCATGGTGATAGGTCTAGGGAGCATTGCAATGATCTATGGGTAAACAATAATACCAAATTCAGTGTTGTGGATAACATAGGGTTCACAGAGAGGAATATTATTATTGTTAAGGAGGAGTATATGAAGTGCCTCAAATATATTTGTAATATTTTATTTCTTTGGGTGGTAAATATATGGGTGCTTATTCTTTTTTTGTTCTCAAACTATTTCATATTAATATATAAATCATTATGGATATATACATATACTGCTACTGATGTTGTAATGGATACATCTTTTTCTGAAAAACAATTTGGCAATACACAGATTTTAGTTAAATATTCATAACCTTCAAAAATGAGTTATCACCAGAGACATAAGTGAGATCACTTAAAGAGAGCACATGGAGGCGGGAGAGGAGAGAGTCTGAGACGTAGCCCGGGTTCAGCGTAGGGAAGGATAACCCAGGAAGGGAGAGCACCACAGCACAGCAAGAGAGGTGGGAGAAATAGAGGAGAGAGCCATGACACAGAAGTGGGACAAGAGGGCTTTTCAAGAAGAGGAAATGGTAAGTAGAACTGTATGTCTATTAAAAAAAAATCTACTAAATAGAAAAATCTGCTTTAGCTTCAGGTACATGGAAGTCATTAGTGACCATAGCCAGAGTGATGGGGATGGAAGAAAAATTGTTAATGGCGCAGTGATAAGCACACGTGGTAGACTCCAAGATGCAGCTCCGAGATCCCTCTTCAGAGATAAAGAACTTATTGCTCTAGCTGCTGCCAGGGCTGCCAGCACACAGTCCTCAACTACCATCCCCCTTTGGGATTTGCCTCAGCTGCGGAAAGCCACTTCACTCAAGTTCACATCTCCATTCCTGTGACCTCCTACATCCAATGACTGACTGATATGGGCATAAAGTCCCGGTTCTCTTGCCCCCACCACAGACAGCTCTGAAGTTTCATCTCATCTTCAAAACTCCCACTAGGGTCAGCCGAGGCTTCCATTGAGACTGCACTGCAGTCTCCTCTGCTCCTCTGCTCCATTGGGCTTCTATCCTCTCCCTTCTGCAGGTGTTCATCCCAAGAGCACTTTGGAATAAACGGACTTCGTGCAGATTTCTATCTGAGCACACATACATAGTTCACTTTGAAGAAAAGTAAACGATGGCCTTACTACAGGCAAGGCCTCTTAATAGTAGACAGTAAGAAAATTGAAATAATGATTAAAGGCGACATTTTCAAGATGTTTGAAAATTTAGAGTAAGTAAAAGATGCAACTTAAAAGTGTGGTGAGAAAATTTCCTGCCTTTACATTTTTATTTGAGAGAGACATTTCATGAAGCAGACACATTGAACAATACTTTAAAAAAATATGTTAAAGTGCTTGGAAACAAACATTTTGAAACACCTACATACAAACAAAAAAGGGTAGAGAACTCTCAGAGGACAAAAACAATGAAAAATCTAGACTTCAGAGAAGTGGCAAAGTTTTAAAGCCAACAGCTATCCTGGGGTATCTGTCAACCCTGATGGCTCCCAGGCCTTTGTTTTAATGGGCTTGACATAGGGAAAGAAAGCAAAGCATAGGACCTACTCAAGGTGGGAGATCCAGCCAAGACCCCCACACAGAGCTAGGACCACTGAAGAGCACTCACAATCAAATGGAGACCAAAAAAGGATCATCCAGAACAACTCTTCCCACAGAGAGACAGAAAGGCAACCATCTCAGCCTTGGGTTTCAGGTATGGAGGGAGGAGACGCGACGTCTGCTATTCAGTTTTCTAACCTAAATCTGTTATTATATAGGTTTGAGGCCAGAATGTATATATTACCTCTGAAAAAAAATTAATGTAAAACATAAGTCTTTTTATAGCACCTGGCTGGTGCACACACCAAATCTCTTAAAAAACTTAAACTTGAGCCTTAAAGAGTTCTTCCAAATAAACTTCAGATGATTGAAATAAATTTTTAAAGTAGATAAAACTCATAAAAAAACCTATGAAAAAGATCAACAGAAACAACAACAAAACTAAGGAATGCTGGAGATCCTTTAATGATCAGACACTGAATATAAAATAAGTAGTGTAATGCATTTTAAGAAATAAAAAGTAATTTTAAAAGTGTGGTCAAGTTTTGAAAGGTTATCAAAAAGGATAAGATCAGTCTGAAAGTCTGGAAATAAAATATAAATTTTAGAAATGATGCATATAGCTGGAAAGTAGAAACACAATAGATTGTTTAAAGAATAAAAGTATGAGTGCTTATTCTATCATTCTTTTACTTTCTTTTGTTTGATGAAATATTTAATAATAAAATAAAACAAAATAAAATTATAGTGGACATTTTTTTCCTGTTCTTCCATGGCATGTAATAAACAGAACAGCATACAAGCATTTTATTGTATCCAAGTGCTTAGTTCTCATGTTCAATAAAAGATGATGTACCTGGAGTGTTCCTAAGTGGCATATCCAGAGAATTTGATCAGTCTGAGGCTTGACTTAAAGCAGTGTGTTCAAGGAGCTCTAACTTCCTGTGGAGTGTTTGACTGAAGAGTACTAGAATATGCCACCCCAAAACATGCCTACCTGGCATTTGGGTTATTTTAAACTAAAGCCCATTAAAAACCAGCAGATGCAGGCAAAGCTCTAAAAACAGGGTAGAGCTTTTTCTTTCGTAAAGGAAAATCAGATTTACAAACGAAATTTTCATTTGTAAAATAGATCTTTCTCACTTGTACCAGGAAGAGGACTCTTAACAAATATTTTTTTCAGTGGGGATGGCACTGACTTAACTCTGCATAACAAAGTTAAGTCAACAACTTTGTTTTCCATATTTTTTCCCGGTCACCTTCCCGTAACTTGCCTCCACTGCCTAGAAGCTGAAAAACTCCTTTTCCTTGGTTTAGCTTAAGATGGTATTCAAGTCTATGTTTTAATCATCCTTCAGGTTGAGTCATTGCTGGGTACTTCCATTTGTACATGCTCAATGCACATGATAATAGACTACTGTTTGCTTTTCTCTTGTTAGTTTGCGTAAACCTTAAATAATGATATTTTAAAAGTATGATTAGGTATGGAGCTTATTTGACTGCAAAGCTCAGTATGATTAGGTATAGAGTTTATTTGGCTACAAACCTGGGAAACACTGACTGAACAAATGGGGTCAGCATTTCCAAACTGGAGGAGTTAAGGTTTCACTTTATAGGCACAGACAGAAACATTTCAGTAAGATTACAACATTTTGTTACAGTAGGTAGTCAGGCAAACATGAGTAGGGCAGGAGAGGACCCCTACTCCAACCAGGAGTGTCAGTCGACCATCACATGGTGGTCAGGATGTGGTTAACTATTTCTCTAAAATAATAATTGGTCTCAGCCAGCTCCAGGGAAAAGGCAGTCTCCCTATAGATAGGAAAACCCTGAAACTGATGATCACCAGCTTCCCAATAAGATCTCAGGAGTTGGTGAGTGGGCTCAAGCATGCACATTAAGAAGCAAAATGGCAGAGTTTAGCTAGTATATAACCTTCTGCGGGCATTCCACCAGAAAAGGGAAGAATGCTTTGGGTGAGCATGTGTACAGCTACAGTAAACACACTGTGCATGCTCACCGCCCAAATGCTAACAGACCACCACATATTCAGGCAGCTCACCCCCAAGGGAAGAATCAAGGAAAAAGGGATGCAAGATACTGGAAGTATGCCAGCATATAAAACCCTAAGTCCAAGGTCAAATGTCAAATTGTGCACTTGTCCTCCAAGTTGCTCACTGGTCCTTATTCCAAGTGTAATTTACTTTCTTTTCATTCCTGTTCTGAAGCTTTTTAATAAACTTTTACTCCTGGTCTAAAACTTGCCTTGGTCTCCTCTTCTGCCTTATGCCCCTCAGTCAAATTCTTTCTTCTGAGGAGGCAAGAATTGAGGTTGCTGAAGATCTTTATGGATTCGCCACCAGTAACCTGGATACCTGCCACTGCTAGCAATTTTCCATACAAATCCAGGTGTATACACCACAGTGACTTGGTTGGTTATAGATTGTACATTCCAAGGAAGATTATTTATACTTTATATATCCATAAGGAGGGATAGTGATCTGGAGGGAAGTCTTTTCTCTGGTGCCATTTGGTCTTAATTATATATAGAAAAAAAAGGCAGAGGTTGCAAAGCTGCATCCTTCAAGGCTCAGGATAATCTAAAGTTTCAGAAGTTTCAAGTTGTAATTATTTTTAATTGAAATTATTTAATTTTACTTTTTCATCAAGATGTTTAGAAGAAATTATTATAGATAAACTCAAATGATTTAGCTCTTTTTATGTTATGGAGCTTAGTCTTACATTGCTAGGAAGGTTCATTGAGAGAGTGCCATGTTCTACAGCAGGGGGACCTTTTCAGGCTACAAAGTTGGTGGAATATAGGCCAAATTTAAAGCAACAAGAGAGAAGTGAATTTGTGACCTGAGTCAGGCTATATGGCTGCATCTTTAATTAATGTAATTTTTTGAATGGCCATTATTTTAGTTTTTTCAGCTGTATATTGACTTCATTGAAAACAAATGCAGTAGCAGCAGTGAAGACAAAAACATGACAAAACACACCAAATGACTGTAATTCCTAGAATAAATAATAAGCAGTCAGGTTTCCCGAGATCCAAACCAGCTCTTTAGCCAATCATTCAGAAAAGGTGTTGGATCTGAAAGGTTAGTTATTTAGGTTTTCCTATCAGCACTTAATTTAGTGATTTTATTTAATTTATTTGAGATATAGACACAACTCTCAGTTTTTACGGTAGTGCAGGTTCTTCCTTAGGCTGCAGTGAGCATATCTAAAGCCATATAGTTTTATAACACAGCCTTTCTCATAAAAGCTAGTTCATTGTTTAATAATGAAATGCTTATGTGGCTGTTATTTGGGGCCTTTTGTGGTACAGCTGATTAGGGCCTCTATATGATATTACATACTCAATACCCAGTTGTGGCAAAAAGATGGAAGCTAAATGATTATATTAATACCTAAATGATTAATGCCAATGGAGTATAGAATGAACCCAACAAGATGGTAAATGAGAAAGACTGTGGGCTTTGAAAGAGTATTCGACCTTGGCCGGGAGCGGTGGCTCACGCCTGTAATCCCAGCACTTTGGGAGGCCGAGGCAGGCGGATCATGAGGTCAGGAGTTCGACACCATCCTGGCTAACGCGGTGAAACCCTGTCTCTGCTAAAAATACAAAAAAATTAGCCGGACGTGGTGGCAGGTGCCTGTAGTCCCAGCTACTCCGGAGGCTGAGGCAGGAGAATGGGGTGAACCCGGGAGGCAGAGCTTGCAGTGAGCCGAGATCGCACCACTGCACTCCAGCCTGGGCGACAGAGCAAGACTCCATCTCAAAAAAAAAAAAAAAAAAAAAAAAAAAAAGTATTCGACCTTGTGCTGAAGCATAACCTCAAGAGCATCATCCTAAGCATCCTAGGGGTAACTGGCCATGGACTGGCTCTGCACAGCCAAGACATTTTATCTGGAGTTAGCGAATAATTGCTTGGTCACTGTGCCCATTCAGTGGTATGTCAATCAGTAATCTGTAATCGAATGATGCAGACACACTGTTTTTTAGGCATCTATTTCATATTTTTAGCCTTATTGGGCCATGAATATTTGGTGTGATTCTTTTGTTTGCAAAATAAACGGGCAAGCTGAATAAGCTGACCAAAAGAATGGGTAAGCCTGATCAAACGGTTCCAAATTTGTGTTGCACTATTTTGAAATCCAGTTGTCTTCTCTTTCAATTGGGGCAGCATGAGTGTGAAAGCTGACAAATTGGTCTCTTACACAGAAAAGCTCTTCCCATGTCCTTTGTTTTGTAAAGTGTTTAATAGGCTAGTGATGTACCTCCTTCTTAGTCATACTGGTGTTAAGCACTGATGACTGTTTTTGAGAAACATGTATCTATTTCCAATATTCTATCCAGTCTTGTTCTTAGAAAGGAGATACCCACTGTGGGAGGCCAGAACCAGCAGAGAGGTACATGAGGTCGCATACTCAACAAGTATTTCTATAATATATTGTCATTGTCCTGAGAGGTTCATTTCATGGATAACAGCTGGTGATAATAACAACAAAACATAAGAGCTAGCAACAAAAAGAAAGAAATTTGGTAGGAACTTCCCTATCTATTAACAATTATCAATGTTTTGTTTATTTGGATACCGGCCGGGGCTGGTGTGTTGGGAAAGCTGACTACCTCAGATGTCATATTTTTCTCCTTGTTGGTTCTGAAGAATTTTAATTTTTTATCAGTTGTTTGAGATAAAGTCCAAATTAGCAAAGCTGCTTTCCTTAAATGGGTGACATATATCCAGGATTCAATTCCTTCAGCTTAGTGGCACAAGGGTTGGCTAGGAGCACCTAAAAAGATCCCTTTCACCTTGGTCAGAGTCCTTTGAAAGATACTGTTTCCAACAGACAAAATTTCCTGGTTGATGTCTGCGATCTTTGAGTGTTTTGTCTCCCAGGAGCCTGCTATGGAAAGAGTCTTACTAAATTACAGTTTTTAGTTAGCTGTCTTATAAGGCCACTGCAATAATACAGCATATCCCCTTTTAATATCATACACTTACAATTTCCTGGAGACAATTTCATAGGTGTGCACGTTATACCTTCAAATGGAGACCTCTGGTGTTTACCAAAAGGTGTTGATATTAGGTTAAGCAAAACCAATGGAGAGCTTTTGGCCAAGGAACTTAAAAAACCTCAGTTAATTTTGTAAATTGAGTTTTAATTATTCCATTTGTGTGTTTCACTAATGTAAATGAAAAGGTGAGGCACAATGAAAATGTTGGAGAATGGGCCAGACTTTTCATACTGACTAGATTATGTATCAGTAAAATGAATAACTTTATCATTATCGAGTTCTAGAGGAACTCCTAAATTGAAACAATTTTCTCTAAGAGAATATTACTTACTGCTAAGGCTGTTGCTCTTCTGTATTGAAATGTTTCTATCCAAAGAGAAAACTAGAATGTGATGGTGGTAGCTGAATACAATCTAGCTGCGATGCCTCAAAAGGGCCTTTTGGTAAAGAAATATGACCTTGAGAACTATGTAAAGGTCTGTTTTGGGCAGCTATTGCAGTCATTGTATACCTTATAAGCAACAGTTGAAGAATGTTTTCAATATACTGTTTTCCCCAAGCAATCTTTTTATTGAGGCTCTCAGGAGTTAAGTCCTGTACATAAATTAAGAAAGATGACTGTATTTTGGTTGGAAGTGAGGGTAGACCATTTGGACCATATCACAGTCTAGTTTTGGAGGCGTACATTTCCTCTTTTGTTTCCAGAGTCTCTTGTTCTGTTTTTGGAGCTTTGTATTGAGATAATTCTATATCAAAATTAGGTGCTTCCTTAAAAACTAAAATGGGCCAATTTTCTTATTCAGATATCTTTAGGGTAGCCTTTTTTGCTGTACTATCTGCTAACTGATTTTATATGCTTGCTGGAGTGTCTGACTTTAATGGCCCAGACTCTTGACAACAGTTAATGATTTTGGTAATAGTATGACTTCCAATAAATTTAAAACAAGGCATCTGTTTTTTATGGACTGACTGGAAGAGGATAAAACCTTCTTTGTTTCCATAGCATCTTGAAAGTCTTCAGCTACGCTGAAAGCATATCTGCTATCTGTATAAATATTAACATTCACTCCTTTTACCAACTGTTAGGCTCTAATTAATGTTATTCACTCTGCTTGTTGGGCTGAGATTGCTCCTGGAAGATGTGCACTTTCAAATTTTTAAGCCAAAGATGCTATGGCATTACTTGCGTGATAAATTCCAGATTCATCCTTTAAGTAAGACTCGTTTGTAAACCAAATACTATTAGTGTTAGTAAGGGTTTTTTTTTTTTCAGGTCCGTTCCAGGAGAAAGAAGCTGGTCAGTTAAGATTATGCAATCATGCAGCATGCCATCTGAAGGCAGGGCAGAAGAGTGGCAGGATTTAGATTATTTCATCTGGAAATTGTAATATGGGGAGCAGAGAGAGAAAGAACTTCATAAAAAGTCATTCTACAAACCAAATACTGTTGAGTGTGATGTGAATTTAGAAGCACTCCCACAGAATGTGACAAAGACAGTGAGGAGAGGTCTCATTATTTCTTCAGTTGCTCTTATTAACAGTGCTATAGAAGCTACTGTTCTCATGCAAATGGCAATCCTTCAGCCACAGAATCCAACTATTGACTATAGCATCTTACAGGTCTATTTTGATCTCATGGATTTGACTCAGAACACCTAAGTTGTTTCTAAGATTTTCATGAACAAATAATGAAAAAGGAATATTATAATTTGGATGTCCTAAGGCTGGGGCATCTATAACACTCTTTTAGATTTCTTACGTTGGTAACTGATTTTCCACTGTCTATTCCAGGAGGTCTGGCTTATCTTGTTTTAAAAGAAGATATAAAGGTTGAGTTTTAAAGAAAAAGGCTGGAATCCAATTTCTGCAGTATCCTGCTAATCCCCCAAATCCTCTCAATTGTTTCTTAGTTTTGGGGGTAGGGAAGACTAGTAATCCTTTCATTCTATCCAGATTGATAAAAAGGTCCTCCTTTGATATTAGGTGACCTAAATATCTTACTTGTTTCTGACAAAACTGAAGTTTTTCTTTTGAGGCCTTGTATTCCTTTGAAGTTAATTGTATGATAAAGAAATTCCAGGCCGGGCGCGGTGGCTCACGCCTGTAATCCCAGCACTTTGGGAGGCCGAGGCGGGCGGATCACGAGGTCAGGAGATCGAGACCATCCCGGCTAAAACGGTGAAACCCCGTCTCTACTAAAAATACAAAAAATTAGCCGGGCGTAGTGGCGGGCGCCTGTAGTCCCAGCTACTTGGGAGGCTGAGGCAGGAGAATGGCGTGAACCCGGGAGGCGGAGCTTGCAGTGAGCCGAGATCCCGCCACTGCACTCCAGCCTGGGCGACAGAGCGAGACTCCGTCTCAAAAAAAAAAAAAAAAAAAAAAGAAATTCCATCCTCTATGGAGGCTTGCTTCTACTCTGAGCAGAGAAGTCAGTTATCTACATACCATATAAAGGTGGTTTTCTTAGGGAAATTAACATCTGAAAGGTCTGCTTTGAATATTTGTAAAAAAGAAGTTGTCTTTTGAGTATATTCTTAAGAAATGATTGTCCATGTGCATTGTCTGTCTTACCAGGTGAAGGTGAAGAGAAATGAATTCCCTTTATCCACAGGAATGCTAAAAAAATTCATGACGTAGGTCTGTTAGAGTAAAGAATTCACCTTCAGTTGGGAAGGCAATCAACAACATATGGGGGTTTGCAACAGCTGGTATTTCTAATGGTGGATCTCTCCTTAAGGAGGAAGACTCAGTTTTAGAGATACGATTGTCCATAATTTTCATTTTTCTTTCTGAATGATTGAAAACCTAGTGGAAAGTGTTTGGAATCAGGTGTATTGCTTATGGGAATAGCTTCTCAAGGTGTCACCTTGAGTCATTTCTTCACTCTATGTGTCTCAGTGATCCCAAGAAACTTGGGTGCTTAAGGCTTCAGGTGATAAACCTTTATGTGTGCCCACTGGATTAAGGAAGATTCCTTGTATGTTCATAAGGAATTCCTGTTTCAAATAATAAGCAATAAACTTCAACACTCCTAAGAGACCTTAGTTGCCTAAGGTACCTTTGGCTGGGAGGAAGAGGCACCTCTTTTTTCAGGACTTATTTTCATAGAGCCTTTTATAACTCTGGTTATTCATGGAAAAAGCTTAGATGTATTAATTGAACTGAGTTTCAGAATCTGGCTAGTTTTAAAGGTTTTTTTTTTTTTTTTTGCATAAGCCATAAAGATTCACTTCCTCCTTTCGGAAACTGTTGTCTCCCTGACCAAAATTTTGAACATGAGAAAAGGTTCTGATAACTATGAGTAATCTCAAACAAAACCTTAACCTCAGAGAAAAGTGAAAACCACAAAGCTGCAATCGGCTGAATCTCTAGAGAATAACAAATAAAACTACCTTACAGCAGAGCTTCAATTCCAACCTTGTTAAGTTAGATATGTGTGCAGCTCAAGCAAATCTAGGAGGATTCAGACAAAGAGGGGCCTTACCAGAGATCCCATTGGCTCTGGTGAAGTCAGATGAATGAAAGCTGTTCATGCTGGTACCATGGCTCTGGCTGTCAGAAAAGTGACAGAGATTATTAGAGGTCTGTTTTTATCCCTTTGTGGTTGCCAGAATGGCAACCTTAAATAATGAGATTCAGAAAACATGATTACATAGAGTTTATTCCAGTGCAAAACTTCAGGATGGCCATCTGGGAAAACACTGACTGCAAACAAATGGGGTCAGTGTTTCCAGAGCGGAAGAGTTAGGGTTTTACTTATATAAGCAGAGACAGAAAAGTTCTAGTAGAATTATAACATTTTCCATACAAGACCAGGAACATATGCCACAGTGATTTGTTTGGTTACTGGTTGCTACATTCCAGGCAAGATTATTTTATTACTCCTTGAGGAGGGGTAGTGATCCAATGGGGGTGGGAGGTCCTTATCTCTGGCACCATCTGGTCTTAATTATTCACAGAAAAAAAGGCAGAAGTTGCAGCTGCATGCCTTGTAACTCAGGTTGCATAGCTACATTTCTTGAAGGCCCATGATAACTTAAAATTCCAACAGCTTTAAGTGTGAATTATTTAATTTCATATCTGTCTTTGAGGAGTCTAATTTACAGTGCCCTATTTGGAAAACCTGAAATATGTAGAGAAAAAGATATTTTTCCTTCTCTACAATATCTATACCCAAATCAATTTGTTTCTTAAGTTAACCCATCATATCGTCAATATTATGGTATTTGAGTGTCTTATTTTAACATCTCATCCTGAAGTTAACTTTAAAAACTAGCCGTTAAAAGACTAAGGCCTAGCCTATCTATGAAAGTATTATGCCTTCATGATTTTCAATTTAGGGCTTATATATAAAGCCATTGTTTCCTCCCTGTTCATCATATCTTGATATGTATGCAATATTACCCCAGATTGGAGTAAAATATTGCTCTTGTTCTAATTCAGTTTTAAACTATTTTATTTGAGGAATCCTCAAAAATGACCGGCTTTCATAATTTTGAGCTTGGCACATAGACCATCTCAACTATATCCTCCAAATTTGGTAAAACTGTACTGGCCATTTTCCCATAGTGCAATCATAAACACAGATAATTTGATTTAATTATATAGTCATTACTATCATGTTCAAAAACCTTTAGTGACCCTCCTTTGTCTACAGAGGAAAGTTCTGACTCTGGCATGAGACACCAGGACATTTATCATTGGAATAGAACCAATCTTCTTAGCTTAACCGGCTCTCATTTCTTCCAAGTTAGCCTTTCATCTAGCCATGCTGGATTACTTGGTTTCCCACATAGTCCTCAAACTTTCATTCTACTGTGGTTTCGAACATGTAATTTCCTCCTTTTTCTGCTTTCATGATGATGGGTTTAGGACACACTAACCCAAAATACAGCACCTTGGCATTTGAGAAAACAGCAGACTCAAGAAGGCCATTCTCACCTTCCCCTGACCCTTTTCCCCTGAAGCTGGTATTAATACCTAGGAAGGTCACTCTGTGATCACTCCCACCTTTCTCCTCTGAAGCGGGTCATAAGACCCTTACTTGAGAACAGCCCTCCCTATACCTAGAGCAAAGGAACATCTTTACATTTGAAGCTCAGGGGCACAGTGAAGAATCTGAGTAAATAGGCCTTGTTAAGGCCCCCACCCCTGTTCATTAGTATTAGGTTATACCCTCTTTGTCCAATCATACTTCTCCATGACTGTCCACTCTTTATTAAACCTAAGTGTAAAAATGCCCAAGTTTATCTCTTTATTTGAGTTTTCATTACTGAAGGCTGTTGTGTGATATAAAATTTATATTAAATAAATATGTATGCTTTTCTCTTGATAATCTAGTTTTTTGTTATAACACTCTCCATTGTGAACCTAGTAATGGGTGATGTATTAGGCCATTCTCACACTGCTATGAAGAAATACCTGAGACTGAGTAATTTATTAAGAAAACAGATTTCATTGGCTGACGATTCTGCAGGCTGTAAAGGGAGCATGGCGGCAGCTGCTCAGCTTCTGGGGAGGCCTCAGGAGACTTACAATTGTGGCAGAAGGCAAAGGGGAAGCCAGCACTTCAAATGGCAGGAGCAGGAGGAAGACAGAAGGAGGAGGTGCCTCACACTTTTAAACAACCAGATCTCATGAGAACTCTCTATAGCAAGGACAGTACCAAAGAAGAAATCTAACCTCATGATCCAATCACCTCCTACCAGACCCCACCTTCAACACTGGGAACTACAATTCAACATGAGATTTGGGCAGGGACACAGATGCAACTCATATCAGATGAGAAAAGAAATCTTTCTCCCCTAAAAGGATAATCCTTTTGTGAGACTCTTCAGCAGCACACATTTCAGAATTCAATTAATTCAATATATATTTAGTAAGTATTGTTGTTTACCAGTTACTGTACTAGGCACTAAGCATAGTGTTCAAATATACTGTTCTTCCTTTCAAAAGTGATCATAATATGGAGAGACAGGCATGTAAAAATATTCTAGTGCCATAAGAGGGAAGTATGTGGGCAATAAGAGAGAGCCATGTGGGCAATAATGAGAAAATAATAAATTATATTGCACAATGCTTTAATTACTAGTATGTCTCCAGTATTGCCTTTTGGCAATGAGTTCTGCATCATAATTATTTCTGGGTTCTTGATGTCAGAATTATTGTAGTGGCTCAAAAAATATTATCAAATAAATAATAAATTACTGTTGTCCAGGTCTTCTTGACAAAATGAGTCAAAACGGTCCACATATTTGACTGACAAGAAACAGGACCCAAAACAAATAAAAACCAAACAAACAAAACATTAATTAACAATGAAAATAACAGCAAGAAACAATGTTTATCTGTCCGGGATTTTTGCTGTTTTGTTAAGATAGTAATTTAAGTTAAACTTTTTATTTCAGTTTTATCTTTTCTGTTTGCTCATGCAGTAGAAATATCTTTCTTGTTTTGAGTAGAGTTAATTATAACCTACTTTTTCTGGGAAAGTTTTATATAATCCATCTGATCTTTTACCCTTAAGAAAGCAACACTGACTTTTTCATGCAGTAATTAATTTTGGCAGACCTCCCCTCAACCTTTTTTTAGTTTAATAAACATAAACTCAAGCTTTACACAAAGCATATTATACTTCCTGGGTGTGTCCATCAATGGAAAGGCTGAGCTCTAGTTTATGTATAAAATTAAACCCTATATTACAAATCCAGATGTTGTAAATCTGAGAGAAAATGAATTGACTATTACCCAGGAGCAAGTAGTTACTTAGCACCAGTAGCAGAAATGAACAAAAGCACGTTTTTATAAGAACATGTGACATTTTCATAACATCACCAGATAAAAATTATGACCTAGCTAATGATTATTTTTTTTACAAATGTTTTAGTAAAGATATGAGAGTTTTTGTGTATATGTGTGTGTTGGGCAATAGGACGGTACAGCAACATGTATTATTGGACGTTCCTGGGTCCTGCTTCTACAGAGTTCCTTCACTGGGATCTAAACACCTGAATGACGGCATTTCTTTGGGTTGGCATATTCCAGGAAACTTTGTACATCTTAAGCGCAAAGCATGGATACATTTCTTTTAACAGACTCTCACATTTTTTTTTTTTTTTTGAGATGGAGTCTCACTCTGTCGCCCAGGCTGGAGTGCAGTGGTGCGATCTTGTCTTACTGCAAGCTCCACCTCCCGGGTTCACGCCATTCTCCTGCCTCAGTCTCCTGAGTAGCTGGGACTACAGGAGCCCGCCACCATGCCCGGCTAATTTTTTGTATTTTTAGTAGAGATGGGGTTTCACCGTGTTAGCCAGGATGGTCTTGATCTCCTGACCTCGTGATCCACCCCACTCGGCCTCCCAAAGTGTTGGTATTACAGGCGTGAACCACTGTGCTCACATCTTTTGAATAACAAACTTAGCTGATTAGACACAAGGACAAAGTTATAGAAGGTAATTTTCCCTCCTGCCTGGTGATAAGGAGTAGGAGAAGGAGAAACCTGAAGATCTTTTGCTTATAAAAATAATCAGTCTTGTTTATGAATAATAGGTAGGACTGACTCTTGCTTTCACAGTAATTACCCTATTGTAACTTTTTTTCTCCCTTCTAAGTTGATATTGGTATTTGATGCGATTTGATTTCCCATGTATGAAAATTGTGTGAAATACCCTACAGTGACTTATGATCACGTTGAAGTAAGTTCTGACACCAACCTTGAATCCTATCTATGCATCAAAAGTACTTTTGCTGGAAGACTATATGGACTCTTCATGTTTCTTTCCTTTTTTTTCTTCTACCCTATTAGGAAAATATTTTGTCATTAATATCAGAGAATGAGTTGTGTTGAAGGCCAACATCTCCATGTATCCTCAGGTTTCATTTTCTACTGCTTTCACTGAGATATTGCTCTATCCATCACAAATATTTTCTCATGAACATTCAATATTGCTTATGTGATTTTATCCTATGCAGTTTATATATGCCCAAGTCTCTCCATTTTTAATACAAAAAATAATTCTTAACTCTCTTGCAGTTATTATTTAAATTTTCTCATTTTCTGGAAAGAGGTTGCTATAATCACTAGCTCTAAATTCTCACCTCTTATACATTTCTCAAATCAGCCACAAACTGCTTCTACACTTATAGATCTATAAGAACTTCCTTAACTAAGGTACAGAGTGATTGTATAACTGCTAAATCCAAGAGATAACATCGAGCCTTTACTTTAGTAGAGCCATATGGTGTATTTGACATTGTTGATATTTAATGTCTGTTTTTCCCTGGCTTCCAAAACGAAATGAACTGGTTCTCTACATACTTTTTAAAAATAACATTTTAAAATAATTTCTTACTTTGATTTTCTCTTTAGCCTTGGTATTTCATTAGAACTCATACTAGAGTCACTGCTAATATCAATTATAGGATCAGAAACAGAATATTGTCGATAAATAGATAGATAATAGATAGATAGATGATAGAGATTTATCACAAGGAATTGGCTTATGTCATTGTGGGGGCTGGTTAAACAGTTTCTACAATAAGACTATGTCAGATTGTGATTGATGCTGGAGCCTGAAGTTCACAGGGTAGGCAGACAGGAAGAGAAGATCAGGAGCTGGCTAGCACCTCATGAGAACACACTTAAACCCACAGGATAGGTAGAAACTCATGTGCTTTTTTTTTTTTTTTTTGAGATGGAGGAGTCTCGTTCTGTCTCCCAGGCTGGAGTGCAGTGGCATGATCTCGGCACACTTCAACCTCCACCTCCCGGGTTCAAGCAATTCTCCTGCATCAGCCTCCCGAGTAGCTGGGATTACAGGTGTGTGCCACCATGCCCAGCTGATTTTTTATAGTTTTGGTAGAGACGGGGTTTCACCATGTTGGCCAGGCTGGTTTCGAACCCCTGACCTCAAGTGATCCGCCTGCCTTGGCCTCCCAAAGTGCTGGGATTATAGGTGTAAGCCACCAAGCCTGGCCTCATGTGCATTTTTGTTGCCTCTGGCCTCGATGACAAGAATATGCTGCAGAAGCTGGAGCCCTTTGTTTTACAAAGCTACACAAACATGTTTTGTTTAGCTGCTCCTTTATGTCAGTCAATGAGGTAAGCCAGCAGATCAGCAACTAGTGTATGCTACAAAATGGCTGCTGCCAAACTTTGACCCTCTAAAATCTCAAGATTGAGTTTCCTGTAGCCTTCACTAACCAGAATCTTAGTGTTGTGAAAATGTGTTCTGGCTATATGACCAAGAAGTGAGTTGCAGGATGCACTGAGTTGAGGACCAAAATAACTACTGCTGCCCAGAACACCTTCTCCTTCCTTAGGAATGTTGATCAGATTGCAGGAAACCCAAAGCATCCCTTTAAGAAGAAAGTAAATAGATTAAGAAAGCAACCAGATGGGTTAACACACAACTAGTGACTTTTCTTTCTTTTTTTTTTTTTTTTGAGATGGAGTTTCCCTCTTGTTGCCCAGGCTGGAGTGCAATGGTGTGATCTCAGCTCACTGTAACCACTGCCTCCCGGGTTCAAGTGATTCTCCTGCCTCAGCCTCCCCAGTAGCTGGGATTATAGGCATGCGCCATCAAGCCTGGCTAATGTTTTTGTATTTTTGGTAAAGACTGGGTCTCTCCATGTTGGCCAGGCTAGTCTCGAACTCCCGACCTCAGGTGATCCACCCGCCTCGGCCTCCCAAAGTGCTGGGATTACAGGAGTGGGCCACCATGTTGGGTCTCCTTTTTCTTTACATGGCATAAGAGACAGGTCAGACATGCATCACAAGCACGAAGATCTACCTTGTCTTGCTGCCCTTGAAACTGACATTCAAGCGGCTGGTATGTCAGTTTCCCCTGAATAAGTGTTTGACTACCTACCAACCTGTTTCTTTCTTTGGTCTGAGTTTACCCTCTGCTTATGGAGGGTGGTTCTTCATTTGGCAAGGAGTTTTCTCATCACATATACCAAAATGAATTTTGTTAAAAATTTTTATATCTATGTTTATGAAAGATGTTGGTCTACAGTTTCTTTTTCTTGTGTGGGAGACCAGAATGCTGTCTCAAGACATGGATTGTTCTGCAAAGAACAAGAAGCAGATGCTGGAAAGCTCCCGGCCCTCCCTCTGTTGGTCTAATAGCAGGACATAGATTTACCAAAGACAGAATCTATCCTGCTCCCTTCTACCAAGGAGAACAAAGTTTAACTGTTGGACACAACTTTAGACTCCTTTTATCTGGAGATAGTACCAGAGGAATCTGCACAAACAAGCTTTACGTTATGGTTGGATATGGTTTATTTGTCTCCTCCAAATCTCATGTTGAAATTTAATCTTCAGTGTGGCAGTGCTTAGAGGTGGGGCCTAGTGGGGGATGTTTGGATCATGATGACCCGTCCCTCATGAAGGGCTTGTTGTTGTTCTCATGATAGTGAGTGAGTTCTTGCTCTGTTTTGAGACTGAATTAGCTCTTGGGGGAAGGACCTAGTTCCCATAAAAGTGGATTGTTATAAAGCAAGGACACTCCTCAGGTCTGGCTCCTCTTTGCACATACCCGCTTCTCTTCTGCCTTTCTCCACTATGGTTTTTTTGTTTTGTTTTGTTTTGGTTTTTTTTTTGAGACAGAGTCCTGCAACTTCCGCCTCTCGGGTTCAAGTGATTCTCCTTCCTCCGCCTCCCAAGTAGCTGGGACTACAGGTGCCAGACACCACGTTAAGCCAGTTTTTGTATTTTTAGTAGAGACAGGGTTTTGCTGTCTTGGCCAGGCTGATTGCGAACTCCTGACCTCAAGTGATCTGCCTGCCTCAGTCTCTCAAAGTGCTGGGATTACAGGCATGAGCCACTGTGCCTGGCCTCCACCATGTTTTCACATAGCCCAGAAGCCCTCACCAGAAACCAGTCAGATGATGGTTCCCTGCTTCTTGTGCAGCCTGCAGAACTATGAGCCAAATAAACCGCTTTTCTTCATAAATTACTTAGTCTAGAGTTTTTTTTTATAGCAGCACAAAATGGACTGAAATAACTAATTAGCCTTTATATGCCATTTACTTGCCTTCACACAAGTTGCTGCCACAAGAAACTCAAATATCTTTTCCTTTGTATCATCACTTCTTTAAAAAGTTACTGTTTTTTGTTGAAGATGCTCTATAAGCTAGAATTCAAAGCCACCTCTTTGAGAACTACTCATTGACTGATGTCTTCCATGTATATGTGAAATATACATGTTAATAAAATTATGTGCTTTTTTCCTCTTGTTAATCTATCTTTTATTACAGAGTTCTGTCCCAACTAAGAATCTATGAGTGCTGAAGAAAAAAATATTTTCTTTCTCCTACACTCAGAATTTATTTATCTGATATTGGCATTAGTTTAATGCAGTCTACACACAAAGTTAAAAAGTCTTCCTCGTTTCTACTTTCTAAAAGGAAATTATGGAGAATTTGTACCATTTCTTTCTTAACTTTTGGTAGAATTCATCGGTAAAAATATCTGAGACTATTACATTTTTTGGAAGATTTAAAAATTATTGGTCAAATTTCTTTAATAGGTAAGGAGCTATTTCTTTTATATAAGTTTTGGAACTTTGTGTCTTTCAAAGGATTTGGCCTTTTCATCTAAGTTATCAAATTTATGGATATGCAGGTGTTCATTGTATTTTGTTATTTTCTTTTTAATGCCCATGGGATCAGCGAGGATGCTCTCCCTTTCATTTCGGACACTGGTAATTTGTATCTTCTCTTTTCTTTCATGTTAGCCTGGGTAGAAGTTTGCCAATTTTACTGATCTTTTTAAAGAATCAGCTTTTGATTTTGTCATTTAATCTATTTCTTTTCTGTTTTCAGCTTGATTCTACTCAACTTTCTTTTACCTTCTTCCAATTTAGGCTAAAATTGCTCTTCTTTCTCTAATATCCTGGGGTGGGAACTCAGATTTTTTATTTTAGATCTTTCTTATCTTCTAATATGTGCATTTATATACTATAAATTTTCAAGTACAGCTTTCACTGCATCTCACACATTTTGCTAAGTTGTATTTCCATTTAGTTAAAAATGTTTTTAAAATTTCTCTTGGGAAACTGATTTATTTTTATTTTCTTCAAGCTTTTTTTTTTTCCCCATAAAGAAGTGAGTGCTGACCTCTAAGCTGTTTATATATCAGAACTGAAAACAGAAATTCCTTTTCCTCCTTTTTTCTTTCCAGCACTATTCTCCTCATTCATTCATGTATTAGCCAATCCCATTTAATGTTTGGCTAATATCTTTAGGAGGAATATTGCAATCTATAATCCCATTTAAAGAATATCTTAGCAAATTTCTGTTGAGCAAAAAGAATTCAAAGGTATTAACATGTCCTAAGAAGCCCTTGTGATTTTATTCATGGCTGGCTTTGGTAGACTCATCATGTATTATTCTGTCCCTTAAATTTTTGATTCAGTAAAACTAAACTATTTCTATTTGTAGTTTGATCCACAAATTACACCACTTTTTTTTTGTTTGTTGGTTTGTTTTTTACTCAATACTTTGGTTCATGTTTCCCTTTCTCTTGAATGTCTTCCTCTTTGTCCGCAATTTTTTTTTGATTCCTCTTTTTCATTCCTTATATTGCA
This sequence comes from Homo sapiens, assembly GCF_000001405.40. Lineage (NCBI taxonomy): Eukaryota > Metazoa > Chordata > Mammalia > Primates > Hominidae > Homo > Homo sapiens. The sequence goes on along the minus strand of NC_000004.12, from coordinate 162,883,298 downwards.
GCTCAGGTTTCTTTTTCTCCATGAAACCTATGTGTAATCTCTCTAAGTCTGGTTCAGTGGCTCTTATCCATGTCACCATGTTATGATGTTCATGATGAACACATAAATTATGTGTGCTTGTAGAGTTTTGTCCTCTCTACTCACTAAGTTGAAACTGCTTGTCCTTTAGCTTTCTCTAAGGATAATTCTTTCTGTTCTAACTTGGTTTCTGGACTTGTTTGACACAGAATAGAGGAAAAACAGTAAAGACAGGCAGTACTAAAGAAGTTTTTAAAATTGTATTCCAATCTGGAAATGTTGATATTTATTAAGAAGGCAGATTAATATAGAATAGTGACAGAAAGAAAGGGAATTAGAAAAAAAAAAGCCAAAGTTGGTAGAGTGTTAGAGAATTGTAGTTGGAAATTCAGCATATGGAGTTGGATGATGTGGTATAAGAGATTAAGTAATGGGAACAGGTTTCAATAAGTGTTGCTTGTGGGCCCTTGTGCTGGATCCTCTTTGATGCCATTAGAGAGATTCAGTTAAAGTGCTGAATAGCTTTTAAATATTTTGTGAAAGCAGACTGGTTTTTTGAAAGAAATCTTTAAAGGATATAATTGCCATGGCTAAGCCTCATGGGACTCATTTTTTTAAATTACAAATGTACTTTTCTACTGTGGATTTTTAATAAGAATATTATAATTATTGATATACATGAATTCTTATTTGTTTTTATACCTACTACATTTACCACCATGTGCTGTACACAGTAAATGCTCAATAAATATTTATTACATGACTGAATGACACATAATTACTTTTTACTCTCCATTTTCTCCCACTTTTCCTCTTTTTATTTTCTTTAACTTTTGTTTATATGTCATGGCACACAAGTAAAAAGAAGGTCACTGATCTATGCACTGAACTAACCTCAAATATCAAGCTATTTCTAAACAATTTGGGCTTATATTTTTCTTTTTTCTTTTCTTTTTTGAGATAGTCTTGCTCTGTTGCCTAGGCAGGAGTACAGTGACATGATCTCGGCTCACTGCAATGACCTTCACCTCCTGGGTTCAAGCGATTCTCTTGCCTCAGCGTCCCAAGTAGCTGGGATTACAGGCATGCACTATGACGCCCAGCTAATTTTAGTATTTTTAGTAGAGACGAGGTTTCACCATGTTGGCCAGGCTGGTCTTGAACTCCTGACCTCAGGTAATCCAACAGCCTAGACCTCCCAAAGTGCTGGTGCCAGGCTTATATAAAATTTATGCAACACAAAGAGTGTGAGCCACTACAGGCATGAGCCACTGCGCCTGGCCAGGTTTTTCTAAAATTTATGCACCACAAAGAGCAAGTCTACAGGGTCATACTAAACTAGATTAAAATAAAGAGAAGTGCTTAATTTCTGATACATGTTTTCATAAAACATTTTGAAAGCCTTAATTTAACTATGTTACAGACAAAAACTATTAAGTAATTAAATTATAATTTTTGAAAGCAATAATTTTTGCTTAACATTGAATACAGTATTCAAGAATTCAGGAATATTAGTAAACAATTTAGGACTATTCTCTAATGTATTAGGGTGTTATGAAATATTAATAGGTAACATCATTGTAATAATGAAATGCAACATGGTATAGCAGAAAAAAAGCTGTAGCAAATTTCTTAGAGATATGGGATCTTCTCCCAGGTGTTTTATTGTAGGAGTGAAGACAAAAACCTTCTCTTCACCCTTTTAAGGTTTGCTAAAAATGAAGTGACAATAGGCAGATTAACAGGAGAAAATGACTATTAGGTTGGTGTAAACTTATTCAATGTGCATAAGCACAAGTGAATCACAGGAGAATGATCAGCCAATAACCCAATGAGGTCCAGATATTTGTATATCCTTCTTCATAGGGGAAGAGGAGATGGAGAAAATGTGGTCATTTTGAAGGATAGTAAATGATTTTTTTGGGAAATGAATGGGCCTAATGTTTAAACAATGGTAAGTAAATGATTCTCTTTGGAAATTGAATGGGACCAGAAAAAGACAATAGTTGGGGAAAAGTTAGTCTGAGCTCTAGGTGTAGTGTTTAATTTTCAGTATTTTTCTTTGGATATGAGTTTTAATTTCTAGTTAATAAAATTTTAGGGAGGGGATCAAAGGCAATTTTGTTACTCTTTGGCTGTCTGGTTTCTAGAGAGATAAGGGAACTTCAGAGAACAACCTCATCCTGTGCTTTAGGAGAGACAGAGATTGAGAGACAGGAGTGGGGAGGTCAGACAGATTTTGAGTCGGCTTCTTTAGTTCAGCATGACAAAGTGCCATATTTTGAGATATTGTTTTCTGACCCCCAACACCATCAATTAGCTTTGCAAGCTTAGTAAATTTACTTCATTGTTTTCAATTTCATATTCTTTAGATTCTAAATCTTCTTATATATAATGATTTATTTGTTGAAATTGTGGTAAGTAATTTAGCATATTTCTTATTACCATGTGAAATAAATTTGGAAAATGTAATGCATGGAGTCTTTGAAAGAACTAAAATCTCATGGCCATATTTAGTTGTAGTACTCAAGTTATATAGCAATTTTGATGATTTGATATTTACATTACAGATATTTTTCTACTGATTACAATCAGTGAGGTATTGTCATTATTGTCATTACCATACAACTCGTAAAGGTAATAAGACCACTTCAAGTGATATTGTTAGATTGGTGCCAAAAAATGCTGTACTTTCATTACTTTTAATTAAAAATAATGGCAAAAGCACAATTACTTTTGCACCAACCTAGTATTTGACTGGAATGGTAATGGAGACCATCCCAATCTAATATCATCTTCCAACTTCATCATGGTGTCTAAAGTTTTTGTTTGGAATAAGTCATCAAATTCCTTAAAAGAAATTGAAAATGAGGATATTAACCCATTAAGCTACAATGACCAATTAATCCTATATTAAATCTAGATTTTTGGTTGGTTAGTAAAGGTGAATGCCTTGGTAAGAGGACTGCCAACATGTAAACTTTAGTAGATAGGAATGTAAAAGTGGGAATGTTAAATCTCACAACTGCTTGTGGAGAACAGGTTTGCATAAGATTTCACATTGCAAGATCCTGGAAAACTGGAGGGTGAATCTATTTTTTTTTCTTACTGTTTTCTTTTTCCTTTTAAATTTAAGTACAGTCTATTTTGCTACCCATTCTGAGGATAAACCCCATTACCTGAGGTAAACTGAACTTGTCTCTGTTTCCAGAATCATAAAACAAATAAACTGAGCCATATTAAATGAAAAGGAAGGTTTAGAGAATGCTATTATGGCACATAAATTTTTAGAAACAGTTTATGTCTCATACATCTTTATTTTTTGCTTCAAAATTCAAAAAGTAGGCCATTTGCTCAATCATTTGGAGGTGAATGGGCAAAAGGATGGCTTTCAGAACTGAGACTGAATTCCCTTCCAGTGTGGGGGAGATAGGCTCAGAGCCTTATTTTATTTGATTAAAAGATTACTATGAAATTTCATGCACACAGTTTGTCATGATAGGATTAATACTTGTGCACTAATTTCTTGGTTGAGTGACATACATACCCATTTAAAACAGGGTGCTTAAAAAATGGAATGCTGCTTAAAAAATTAAACATATGAAAAAATATTGAATAAATCTGAGAGGAAAATTAATGATGGTGAAATTTAAGCATATAAACATGAGGAAAGCATTATGTAAGAAAATCTAAGAATGGCAAACTATTAGTTTAGAGTAGGTTTTAGATAATGATCTTAAGAAGGAGAGATTTTCTTTAAAAATGTTGAAAGGCCTTTACTAGTAATTACTCCACAGAAGTACGATCAAGATTTGAATATATTCTGACTCTGAAACCTATACATTTTATTCTCCTGGAGCATGTATAGCCATATAAATCTATTAGAAATAGCTAAATTGTGCTATGATTTTACCTACCTGTATTTGCATGCTATAAATACATTCGCTCTATTATAAAGTACATTTGTAATCTGAATGAATAATGAGTCCATTAGTAGGTGAAAGATTCTAATAAAAAAAGACTAACATTTTGTAGAATGTTCTTTGGAAAATATCTATATATCATTTGGTCACACTCTTCTGAGATGTTTTGAGAGGGATTAAAGTTGAAGTTTTTTGCTTGTTTTTCTGAAATCTTTCTTCTGCATTTTGGTCCTTTTAAAAAACTGGTAAAGTAGAGAAGATATTCAGGAAAGGATGAAGAGTTTGGTGGGAGGCTTACCTCTTTAAAAGAAATAATCTTGTTCTAAAGTTTCTCTGAAAACCGACTTTTTACTTCCTGAAGAGATGCAAAGCTTTGCAGAACAGCCCTAATGTCTTTTTTTTTTTTTTTTTTGAGACGGAGTCTCGCTCCGTTGCCCAGGCTGGAGTGCAGTGGCGCGATCTGGACTCACTGCAAGCTCCGCCTCCTGGGTTCACGCCATTCTCCTGCCTCAGCCTCCCAAGTAGCTGGGACTACAGGCGACCGCCACTACACCTGGTTAATTTTTTGTATTTTTAGTAGAGACGGGGTTTCACCCTGTTAGCCAGGATGGTCTCGATCTCCTGACCTCGTGATCCACCTGCCTTGGCCTCCCAAAGTGCTGGGATTACAAGCGTGAGCCACCACGCTGGGCCTCAATAGAAGTTAATGTCCTAGTAAATGATGTAGACAACATCTAATAAAGGAGTCACAGTAGGAAATCTTATTTATTCTTTCTGGGGTAAGTTGCCTATCCTCAAAGTAGCTCACTTTTTCTCGTCTGTAAGAAAATAATACCAGCTTTTTCTACTTCGTGGTAATTTTTTAGAAGAATATAATCAGAGAAAACTTGTGGAAAGCCTTTAATTACAAATCCATAGTTGAATGTAAATGTGTAAACATTACACATCTGGTTTTGCTCTATTCTCTGGCTCTGCTTCATCCATTTCCGAATGTCACTGGTTCATGTATTGTCACAGATGATTGCTGAATGTAGTTCTTAACATTAGTATTATATTTGCTATGGGATTTCTTTGAAGCCTAATATAACTCTTTGAATAAAATATTTTTCTGCCATGTGCTTAGCATTTTCTTATGTTTAATCTATTTCCATAAAATGCTCATGTACTCTACATTCCCCCCTGAAGAATCCTCCAAGAAACCTCTAACTTACTACAACAGGAATAGTCCTTCTTGTCCTTGAGAGAATGATCTGTTCTCAAGGAAAGGAGCCAAGAGACATATCCTTTAAAAAATTCTCTTCAATAAATAACAAGTAGGTAAACTTCCTTCTTTATTCTTCAATAGCAATATAGAAAAGCCTTTGTTATTTTCCTGTGGTAATTGTTTTCCAAAGTTTAATTGGTGTTTCTATAGGCGTGAGAAATGGAAAAAGGCTTTTAAAAGTCTCTTCTCTCACCCAGGTCAAATCTGAAAATGTGATGAGAACACCCCAGATTCTTGGAAATGTGATAAAGAACAGTGGTGATTTCCCCTTTCCTTCTTCCTAATTTCCTTTTTTTTTTTTTTTTTTTTTTGAGATGGAGTCTTGCTCTGTCTCCCAGGCTGGAGTGCAGTGGCACGATCTCAGCTCACTGCAACCTCTGCCTCCCGGGTTCAAGCAACTCTCCTACCTCAGCCTCCCGAGTAGCTGGGATTACAGGCGTGCGCCACTATACCCGGCTAATTTTTGTATTTTTATTAGAGATGGGGTTTCGCCATGTTGGCCAGGCTGGTCTCGAACTCCTCACCTCCGGTGATCCGCCCACCTCGGCCTCCTACAGTGCTGGGATTACAGGTGTGAGCCACTGCACCCAGTTCCCTCTTCTTAATTTCAAACTTGATTCTATCCTCTGCCATTCATAAGCTATGTTAAAATTGGACAGTATGTAGAACATGTCCTATTTTCTACATTTCTTTATGTCTTGCATTTGAGGGTGGATTATCTCTTCAAAAACTGTTTTGACTAAGGGGATCCAATTTACTGGAAGCAGAATTGATGCCGTCTACATTTCAAGCATTTCAATGGGAAAAGTTAGAAAATTATATTCATTTATGAGCTCAACGAAATTAGTGTACAAAATAAACTTACATTTTACATTATTATTTGTTTAATTCATGTCTCCCTCCATGAAAGCAGGGACTTTTTCTGCTACCAGTCACTGACCATAGATGTGTTGGTCTTACACTGGGTTAGGTAAGGGGATCGAAGATCTTAAGAAGGGAATCTCTTTACTGCCTGCATTAGTTATCTGTTGTTGTGTAACTAATTACTCTCAAACTTAGTAGATGAAAACAACAGTTATTATCTCAGCAATGAACAATATTGGAAGTAAAAAGATAGGAAAGTCTTGGAGCAGGCTTATGAATGAGCCTCTGGGAGAAAGCATAAAAGTGTGCAGGTTTCACATTAATGCCCACCAGAAAGCATCCACTGCAGAAGGGAAAAATCAGCAACCAAAATGTCACCAGCCTGTCTTTTGTACCCTCTGGTGCTTGCACTATGGGATTATGAATGTAGTGGCCACAGTGGTCACTGAAAGGCTTTGCTCCTCTCAAAAGTCTGATGTAACTTCTGCCTCAGCTGAGTGCCTGATCTGCCAATAGCAGAGCCCAACCCGGACACCTTCAATGTGGTACCATTTCTCAAGGATACTAACTAACCTTTGATAGCAAGTTCATAATCTCAGACTCCTTCACACATGGAGAGGGCAGAAATTCATCCTTGTCTGAACTGATACATGGGGCTGCCTTCGTGGGTTTGCCACCTGCAAAGCTGCACAGACCCCAGACATAGATGAGTCACATGCTTAGTTTTAATGCTCTGATGTAATCCATTGTGAAATTCTTAATCGTTTTTGAACAAAGGACCCTGCATTCTCAATTTGTACTGGGTCCCACAAATTATGAAGCCAGTTCTGTTGAGGCATATTCTAGCTATGGACTCACCTTCCCTTTTCCTTGTTTCAGAGACACAGACAACATCAGTATCCAAGAACTTAAGAACACCAGATTTACAGCTAGATCTCACTAATGTCACCTCTGATCAAGGGACCAACTGGCAACAGAAGATGCAACAATGTATGCACAACCACAGGATCTAATGATTCCACCATATCCCATATCACTTAGAAGCAGCTGACCTGAAGAATTACAGAAGGTGATTTAATATGGGAAACCTATCTACCGGAGCAGGGTGGTAAAACTGATAAGTATAATTTGTATAATTTGCGCTGGAAACCAATGCCTTCTAGAACTTTAGTTTCCTCTGTTTCTCAATTGTATTTAATATTTATAATTTTTAATCCTCTAAAACCATATTTTCTGTAAGATATTTTTCTTACCATGTACAGGTATTTTTAAAAATACAATATCTAAGTTAGTTCAGGATTTCTTTTTAAAATGTTTGTCTTCTCTGTATCATTATTCTGGCCAGCTATTAGTAGGAAATTAAAATGCAGTCTCTGAGGGTAGCAAGAATAGAAAAGACTTGAGGCAGTTTGAAGAATAAATCGATGTCTTACTAAAATATGTAAATTAAAGAAGACTTTCAGTTTGCAACCTAGGCAATAAAACTGACCAAACCCCAAACAGGTTTAAGAGCGTATTTAGGTTTTAGAAACTGAAAGAATATATTATGAATTATTTCAGATTGACTTTGGGAATTTCATTTTGGATTATTCTTTTAACTAGAGAATTATATGCAAACAAATTCTTGATTTAAAAATTATTTTCAGTAGTATCTGTGAGAATATGATTCAATAATGCTACAGGAAATAATTAATTTGTGTACATTCCAACCAAATGAGATTGTTTGGCAGTCTCTGAATTCCTTTCCCATTCTCCTTGGCAAGGAAAGTGGGGTCCTGGGTAACTACTATCGGATTATAATTTGCTTGTCCCACCATGCCAAACACTGGATCCTGATGACCCCGAACCAGGTAGGGGTGCCTCTATTAACGATTTCACTGTGAAAGTAAAACATATCAAGAAAAAAGAGAACAGAAGTCATCCATGAGGACCTGCAGGCAATTCTAATTGCCAAGCATACTAATGTATGCAAAGTTCATTACAGACACTCCAGGCATCTGTTGTACTTCCAGGATAGCATAGAAACTCGCCAATAAACAAAGCTCTTGGAGAATGAAAATAGGCTTCTGATTATTCTAAAATGCTGCCTTTACCCATCAACAAAGATAACAACATTGTTCCCCAAATCAAACATATTTCTCCCTCATGTTCCCCCTCATTCAGGAGGAAAATGACAGATTTCTCTTTTTTCTTTCCATGTTTTCTTGGAAGGAGAAGCAAGTTTTGATTACGTACACTACTATAGCATTGGATGACACCAGTTGAACACTAATCTGTTTTGCACGTGTAAAGAACATTTGACTGGAAAGTCAGAAAACTTGAGTTCATATTTTGGCTCCAGTAATGACCAGAACAGTGACCTTGGCCAAATGCAATGCAATTCTTTCTCAAATCTGGATGTACTCATTTGTAAAACAGAGTTTTATTGTGTGTACCATCTCTCTTATGACTATGGTGTTTGGAGGATCAAATAAAATTACACATGCAAAAGAGTTCTGCATATCACAATTGCTACAGATGTGTTAAATATTTAATTTTTTTCCTGGTAAAATCTTGAGATCTCAGTTACCAGATGGCAGATGTGACAAGGTTAAGAAGCGACACAGGAGGTCCAATATTCAAATTAAATGCAGCTATATTAACTACATTTTTATTCAATATCTCAAAATTGTGAGTAGACAAGAGTAAAATACAAAGCAGAATATACTTTAGTCTTGTTCTTGCTATGCCTTTGACAAAACTAGGTCATGGTTTGCCCCTAGCATGGGATATCATTTAGGAAGCAGAAACAGCCTGGTAAGCATAATGTAATTCAAGTCAGGTAGAGTGGCAGAGTGTTGTTCTCAAGTGTGTGTGGGAAGCAGAAACTGGTAAAACTAAACAAAGCATGAAAGGTGGACAAATTGAAAATGCTGTTTTACTAAAGTGATTAAAGGAACTGGTGAAGCAAGTTTGTTCAGGTAGCCTACAAGCTGTCATAGAGGATTACTGTCTAAAGTGAGCTGGTTTGTTGTACCTGTTTTGATCCTAAGTATTAAAATGCCTGGCTTTTTCCAAAAGCAGAGTCTGAATTAAAGGCTTGTGTTCAGCTAGCTTATTTACAAATACGCTCCCAGGCAGTAGGTTTGAGGAACAGGTGGAGTAAACGGGGAAAAAGGAAAACTCACATAAAGATGTATAATTAAGTTATCCACTCTAAAGGCAGCTAGCATTTGCTCCTGTAGGGCCTTCTAAGGAGCCTTGTGAAATATTTCTGTGAGAATTGGAAAAAACTACTTTAAAGTTCATATGGCACCAAAAAAGAGCCCGCATCACCAAGTCAATCCTAAGCCAAAAGAACAACGCTGGAGGCATCATGCTACCTGACTTCAAACTATACTACAAGGCTACAGTAACCAAAACAGCATGGTACTGGTACCAAAACAGAGATATAGATCAATGGAACAGAACAGAGCCCTCAGAAATAACACCGCGTATCTACAACTATCTGATCTTTCACAAACCTGACAAAAACAAGCAGTGGGGAAAGGATTCCCTATTTAATAAATCGTGCTGGGAAAACTGGCTAGCCAGATGTAGAAAGCTGAAACTGGATCCCTTCCTTACACCTTATACAAAAATTAATTCAAGATGGATTAAAGACTTAAACGTTAGACCTAAAACCATAAAAACCCTAGAAGAAAACCTAGGCATTATCATTCAGGACATAGGCATGGGCAAGGACTTCATGTCTAAAACACCAAAAGCCATGGCAACAAAAGCCAAAATTGACAAATGGGATCTAATTAAACTAAAGAGCTTCTGCACAGCAAAAGAAACTACCATCAGAGTGAACAGGCAACCTACAAAATGGGAGAAAATTTTCGCAACCTACTCATCTGACAAAGGGCTAATATCCAGAATCTACAATGAACTCAAACAAATTTACAAGAAAAAAACAAACAACCCCATCAAAAAGTGGGTGAAGGACATGAACAGACACTTCTCAAAAGAAGACATTTATGCAGCCAAAAAACACATGAAAAAATGCTCGCCATCACTGGCCATCAGAGAAATGCAAATCAAAACCACAATGAGATACCATCTCACACCAGTTAGAATGGCAATCTTTAAAAAGTCAGGAAACAACAGGTGCTGGAGAGGATGTGGAGAAATAGGAACACTTTGACACTGTTGGTGGGACTGTAAACTAGTTCAACCATTGTGGAAGTCAGTGTGGCGATTCCTCAGGGATCTAGAACTAGAAATACCATTTGACCCAGCCATCCCATTACTGGCTATATACCCAAAGGACTATAAATCATGCTGCTATAAAGACACATGCACATGTATGTTTATTGCAGCACTATTCACAATAGCAAAGACTTGGAACCAACCCAAATGTCAACAATGATAGACTGGATTAAGAAAATGTGGCACATATACACCATGGAATACTATGCAGCCATAAAAAATGATGAGTTCATGTCCTTTGTAGGGACATGGATGAAATTGGAAATCATCATTCTCAGTAAACTATCACAAGAACAAAAAACCAAACACCGCATATTCTCACTCATAGGTGGGAATTGAACAATGAGAACACATGGACACAGGAAGGGGAACATCACACTCTGGGGACTGTTGTGGGGTGGGGGGAGGGGGGAGGGATAGCTTTGGGAGATATACCTAATGCTAAATGATGAGTTAATGGGTGCAGCACACCAGCATGGCACATGTATACATATGTAACTAACCTGCACATTGTGCACATGTACCCTAAAACTTTAAAGTAAAATAATAATAAAAAAATAAAATAAAATAAATTAGAACAATAAAAAAAAGAAATAATCCTGTGAACTGACTGCCTTAGGAAAAAAGGAGAAAATTTTTATTCATCATCTCCTGTCTTCCATTGGCCCAGGGTTCTCCATGAGGTAACTCCCCAACACAACTGTATATGCTGAGTGCAGACAGGATTTCCATAGTCAGACAAGTCCCCGCATCCAGGAAATAACTCTGTTGGAACAGGACCCAAGCCCAAACCGGAAAAGTTGTCCTTACTTGAAGCCAATAAACGCTTATGTGGAAGGTCAGCACAAGTGTGGCAGAAATCCAAGGTGGGACTGACAGGAGAAATTCCATGCTAAAAGTTGCATTTTAACGTTTCATACAAATGGAAAACTGTCAGGGTAAAGAGACAAGAGCAATTTTTATAAATAAAAAATTATTCTGCCATGTTGGTGTGCTGCACCCATCAACTCGTTATACATATGTAACTAACCTGCACGTTGTGCACATGTACCCTAAAACTTAAAGTATAAAAAAAAATTTAAAAATAAGCCAAAAAGGGGATGGTTAACACTAATTCTAATTAAAATATATAATGTAATATATATGCCCTTCCATTTTCTTTGGATGAGTAGGGATGTTTCATTTTCTGTTTTTATGAAGAGTACAGAAATCCTGGATATTTATTGGCCTACTGAATGAATTAAATCTAAACTAGAAGGAATAGAATCCTCTTCAATTTAATTTGATTTGATATTTTAAAAGAAGAGAAGGAAAGATGTCCCTCAATTTCAGAAATAAATGAAATTCATCATTTCATAAAGTATGAAGTATTTCTTTTATCTGTTGGAGTGTAGAAGCAGTTTTCTGAGAATGAAGCTTATTACTTCCATTGGATAAGGCTTCTTATTTCTCACATCTTGAAATCAGCCAGAATTGTAGAGATATAGTAACTCATATGAATAAAGTAATCATTAAATAATTATAAGGTTTAAATAACTGTAGGAGAAACTATAAGATTCTAACATGATGGATGCTTATAGGATAACTATATCCAGCACTTTCTAAATTTTGTGTATTGCATACATAATCATTAAAGGCCTCAAGGATTTTATTTCTAAACTCTTTCTGTGTCAGATTGCTACTTCTGCTACTTGCCTTTCACACCTCACAGCATTAACCAATTTTATTTTTTATATTAAAGCTAATCTTGGGCTTCATATCATGAAGTTGCCACACAGCAATAATGTCTCTTGCTGTTGATTTCTGTGATCACACCATTTACTCTGGCTTCTTCTAAATGTGTGTGTGTGTGTGTGTGTGAATTTTGCAAATTTACTTATCTAAGATCTCAACTCTCTAACTACCTCACTCCATATATACACACTCTTACTACAGATGCGTCTTCTAATCCTCCTTGTACTCATTTTCACCAATCACCAAGAATTTCTGTTTCTACAGGTCATGAAATTTTTAGAAATTTACAAGAGTATTTAATGTGGAAATGTTTTTTCTTAGACATTCCACAGTTTTTGTTCAACCTGTTTTTACTCCATTCAAGAAATTACTTCTTCAAGAGCACAAAATAAAAGTCTATCTTCATGAAAGTGTTTGTTTACTTTGTTTGTGGGGAAGGTGAAAAGAAGTAATGCAAAATGTCAAGGACTATTAGTGGTGCTAAAAATATAGAATGCTAAAATATGTAAAAGATTAAGTAATCATATTAATTGTAACTTCAGAAGAAATTATTTGTATTTCAAACAAGCATGATATTCACCAGTTGCCATCTATACCTATGACAGAGGAAATAAATAATAACTGCCATTTAGTAGGTGCTGTGATCATTACATTCATAAACCCAACACAGCCTCGTAAGGCAGGTAAGTACTTCAGTGGTAAAAATGAAAACCCAGAGAGATTATTGGACTTGTCAAGGCTATATTATCTATCACATTTAGAATAAAACTCAAACTCCTTTCAGGTCCTTACTGGTTTCATCCTAACATACACAGGAAGTCTGCTCTTTTATTTATGTAAGTTATACCTTAGTAAAAAAAATGCAAGAAGCATTACGTAAAGTAAATTCATAATTTAAAAGCTTCTTATGAAAAAAAATTTCTAGGATAAGATGGCTTTATCCATGACTTCTGTGAAACATTTGAGGAGAAACAATACCAGTATTACCCAAGCACCTTCGGATAACAGATAAAAAGTGAAAGAGGACTATCATTTTCCAACTGATTTTGTGAAACTCAAATGTTTCATTTCTTCTTGGCAATGTATTTATATATATAGCAAAAGTCATGTAGAATGATGGTTCCTAAGAGACTAAAACGGAGGAAAACATTCAAAATCCCGTTAAAAATAGAACAGATAAATTGTGGTATATTCAGATAGTAAAATGCAACGAGAATGAGCAAACTGCAGCTACATGCATCAACATCTATTTCTGCATCAAAAATAATGTTGAGCAGTTAAAGTCAGCTAAACATATTGTCTCCAATTCCATCCAGGTTGCTGCAAATGCCATTACTTTGTTCCTTTTCATGGCTGAGTAGTATTCCATGGTATGTACAGTTTCTTTATCCTCTCATTGATTGATGGACATTTGGGCTGGTTCCATATTTTTGCAATTGTAAATTGTGCTGCTATAAACATGTGTGTGCAACTATCTTTTTCATATAATGACTTCTTTCCCTCTGGGTAGATATGCAGTGGTGGGATTGCTAGATCAAATGGTGGTTGTACTTTTAGTTCTTTAAGGAATCTCCACACTGTATTCCATAGTTGTTGTACTAGTTTACATTTCCACCAACAGTGTAAAAGTGTTCCCTTTTCACTGCAACCCCATCACATTTATTATTTTTTTATTTTTTGATTATGGCCATTCTTGCAGGAGTAAGGTGATATCATATTGTGGTTTGGATTTGCATTTCAATGATCATTAGTGATGCTGAGCATTTGTTTTCATATGTTTATTGGCCATTTGTATATCCTCTTTTGAGAATTGTCTATTCATGTCTTTAGCCCACTTTTTGATAGGATTTTTTTTTTTTAATTTGTTTGAAGTCAGGTAATGTGATGCCTCTAGATTTGTTCTTTTTGCTTAGTCATGCTTTGGTTATGCAGGCTCTTTTTTGATTCCATATGAATTTTAGGATTGTCTTTCCTAGTTCTGTGAAGAATGACCATGGTATTTTGATGGGAATTGCATTGAAATTGTAGATTGCTTTTGGCAGTTTGGTCATTTTTACAATATTGATTCTACCCATCCATGAACATGGAATGTGTTTTCATTTGTTTGTGTCTTCCATGATTTCTTTAAGCAGTGTATTGTAGTTTTCCTTGTACAGATCTTCCACCTCGTTGGTTAGGTATATTCCTAAATGTTTTATTTATTTATTTATTTATTTTGCAGCTGTCATAAAAGGGATAGAGTTCATGATTTGATTCTCAGCTTGGTCGCTGTTGGTGTATAGCAGAGCTACTGATTTGTATACATTAATTTTGTATTCTGAAACTTTGATGAATTCATTTATCAGTTCTAGTACTTTTTTGGAGGAGTCTTTAGGGTTTTCTAGGTATACAATCATATCATCAGCAAACAGCAACAGTTTGACTTCCTCTTTATCAATTTGGATGCCTTCCATTTCTTTCTCTTGTCTGGTTTCTCTGGCTGGGACTTCCAGTACTATGTTGAATAGAAGTTTTGAGAGTGGCCATCCTTGTATTGTTCCAGTTGTCAGAGGGAATGCTTTCAACTCCTGCCTTTTCAGTATTATGCTGGCTGTGGGTTGTCATAGATGGCTTTTATTACATTAAGGCATGTCTCTTGTATGCCAGCTTTGCTGAGGGTTTAATCATAAAGGAATGCTGCATTTTGTTAAATGCTTTTTCTGCATCTATTGAAATGATTGTGTGGTTTTTGTTTTTAATTCTGTTTATGTGGTGTATCACATTTATTGACTTGCATATATTAAACCATCCCTGCATCCCTAGCATGAAGCCCACTTGGTCATGGTGGATTATCTCTTTGATATGCTGTTAGATTCAGTTAGCTAGTGTTTTGTTAAGGATTTTTGCATCTATATTCATCAGGGATATTGGTTTATAGTTTTCTTTTTTATGTCCTTTTCTGGTTTTGCTATTAGGGTGATACTGGCTTCATAGAATGATTCAGGGAGAATTCCCTATTTCTCTATATTGCGGAATCCAACAGGATTAGTACCAATTCTTCTTTGAATGTCTGATGGAATTCAGCTATTAATAATCTGGTTTTGAACTTTTTTTGTTGGCATTTTTAAAATTACCATTTCAATCTTGCTGCTTGTTATTTGTCTGTTCAGGTCTAATTCTTCCTGGTTTAAGCTAGGAGGGTTGTATATTTCTAGAGATTTACCATCTCCTCTAGGTTTTCTGGTTTAGGTGCATACAGGTGTTCATAGTGGCCTTGAATGATCTTTTGTATTTCTGTGGTGTCAGTTGTAATATCTCCTGTTTTGTTTCTAATTGAGCATATTTGGATCTTCCCTCTTTTTTCTTGGTTAATCTCTCTAGTTGCCTATCAATTTTATTCATCTTTTCAAAGGACAAGCTTTTTGTTTCAATTATATTTTGTATTGTTTTGTTGTTTCAATTTCATTTAGTTCTGCTCTCATCTTGGTTATTCCTTTTCTTCTGCTGGGTTTGGGTTTGGTTTGTTCTTGTTTTTCTAGTTCTTTGAGATGTGACATTAGATTGTCTATTTGTGCTCTTTCAGACTTTTTGATGTGGGCATCTAAGTCTATGAACTTTCCTTTTAGCACTGCCTTTGCTGTATCTCAGAAGTTTTGACAGGTTGTGTCACTATTATCATTCAGTTCACAGAATTTTTAAATTTCCTTCTTGATTTCATTGTTGACTCAATGATCATTCATGAGCAGGTTATTTAATTTCCACATATTTGCATGGTTTTGAGGGTTGTTTTTGAGGTTGAGTTTCAATTTTATTCCACTGTGGTCAGAGAGAATATTTGATATAATTTCAGCTTTCTTAAATTTATTGAGACTTGTTTTGTGGCCTATGATATGTGCTATCTTGGAGAATGTCCCATGCCCTGATGAATGGAATGTACATTTTGTGGTTGTTGGGTAGAATATTCTGTTAATTCCATTTGTTCCAGGGTATGGTTTAAATCCATTGTTTCTTTATTGACTTTCTGTCTTGATGACCTGTCTAGTGCTCTCAGTGGAATATTGAAGTCCCCCCATTATTATTGTGTTGCTGTCTATCTCATTTCTCAGGTCTAGTAATAATGGTTTTATAAATCTGGGGGCTCCATTGTTAGGTGCATATATATTTAGGATTATAATACTTTCCTATTGGACAAGACTTTTGTTATTATATAATGTCCTTCTTTGTCTTTTTTAACTGCTGTTGCTTTAAAGTTTGTTTTGCCTGATATAAGAATAGCTACTCCTGCTCACTTTTGGTGTCCATTTGCATGGAAGGTCTTTTTCCACCCCTTTACCTTAAGTTTATGTGAGTCCTTATGTGATAGATGAGTCTCTTGAAGGCAGCAGATATATGATTGGTGAATTCTTATCCATTCTGCAATTCTGTATTTCTTAAGTGGAGAATTTAGGCCATTTACATTCAATGTTAGTACTGAGATGTGAGGTAGCATTCCATTCCTCATGCAATTTTTGCTGAGTAGCTTTTTTTGTTTTGTTTTTTGATTTTTGTTTTATGGGTACCGTGAGATTCATGCTTTAAAGAGGTTTTAGTTTGGTTGTGTTTCTAGGATTTGTTTCAAGATTTAGAACTCCTTTTAGCAGTTCTTGTAGTGCTGGCTTGATCGTGGTGAATTCTCACAGCATTTGTTTGTCTGAAAAAGACTGTATCTTTCCTTCATTTATGAAGCTTAGTTTCCTTGAGTACAAAATTCTTAGCTGATAATTGTTTTGTTTAAGGAGGTTGAAGATAGAGCCCCAATCCCTTCTGGCTTGCAGGGTTTCCACTGAGAAATCTGCTGTTAGTCTGATAGATTTTCCTTTATATGTTAACTTATGCTTTTGCTTCATGGCTCTTAATATTTTTTCCTTTGTCTTTACTTTAGGTAACCAAATGACTATGTGCTTAGGCAATGATCTTTTTGTGATGAATTTCCCAGGTGTTCTTTGAGCTTCTTGTAGTTGTATGTCTACATCTCTAGCAAGGCTGGGGAAGTTTTCCTCAATTATTCCCTCAAATATGTTTTCCAAACTTGTAGATTTCTCTTCTTCCTCAACAGCACCAATTATTCTTAGGTTTGGTCATTTAAGATTATCCCAAACTTCTTGGATGCTTTGTTCATTTTTTAAATCGTTTTTTCTTTGTCTTAGTTTGGGTTATTTTGAAAACCTTGTCTTCGAGCTCTAAAGTTCTTTCTTCTGCTTGTTCGATTCTATTGCTGAGACTTTCCAGTGCATTTTGCATTCTATAAATGTGTACTTGATTTTCAGAAGTTGTAACTGTGTTTTATTTATGCTATCTATTTCATTGAATATTTCTCCCCTTGTATCTTCTATCATTTTTTGGATTTCATTACACTGGACTTTACCTTTCTCTGGTGCCTCCTTGATTAGCTTAATAATCAACCTTCTAATTTTTTTTCTTGTCAAATCATGACTTTCTTCTTGGTTTGTTGCGAGTGAGCTAGTGTAATTTTTTGAGGTTGTTAAAGAACCTTGTTTTGTCATATTACCAGAACTGTTTTTCTGTTCCTTCTCATTGGGTAGGCTATGTCAGAGGGAAAATCTGGGGCTCAAAAGCTGCTGTTCAGATTTTTTTTGTCTCATGGGGTGCTCCCTTGATGTAGTACTCTCCCTCTTTCCTAGGGATGTGGCTTTCTAGGAACAAAACTGTAGTAATTGTTATTGATCGCTTTTGGACCTAGCCACTCAGCAGGGCTGCTGGGTTCCAGGCTGGTACTGGGAGTTGTCTGCACAGAGTCCTGAGATGTGAACCATCTTCAGGTCTCTCAGCCATGGATAGTAGCACTTGTTCTGGTGGAGATGGCAAGGGAGTGAAATTGATTCTATGAGAGTTCCTAGTTGTATTATTGTTGTTTATTGCACTCGGTTTTTGTTCTTTGGCCTCCTGCCAGGAGGTGGCGCTTTCAAGAGAGCATCAGCTGTGGTAGTACAGGAAGGATCAGGTGGTGAGCAGTGCCTTAAAACTCTCAAAAGAATATGACCTTTATCTTCAGCTACCAGGGTTGGTAGAGTAAGGCCATCAGGTGGAGGCAGGATTAGGCATGTCTGACCTCAGATTCTCCTTTGGTGGGGCTTGCTCTGGCTGCTGTGAGGGATGGAGTGTGGTTTCCAGGTCAATGGAGTTATGTTCTTAGGAGGACTTTGGCTTCCTTTGCTGTGTCATGCAGGTCTCCAGGGAAGTGGGGAAAGCTGGCAGATACAGGCCTCACCTAGCTCCTATGCAACCCAAAAGGACAGTCTCACTCCCACCATGCTTCCTCCAACAGCACTGAGTTTGTTTCCAGGCAGTGGGCGAGCAGGACTGAGAACTTGCCCCAGGCTACAAGCCCCCCAGCTTAGAAAGCAAGCAGGGCTTTCAGGTTTTGTCCCTCCCTGCCTGCCCACTTCCATACTCCAGATTTATCCCCTCCCCTGGGTTCTGTCCAGGAAACTTCATGTTCAGTTGGAATTGTTACAAAGTTTAGCTGGAGGTTTCCTTCTCCCTGAGGTCTTTTTCCTGTTCCTTTGGCAGCCCTCCCCAAGGACCCCTGTGAGACAAATCAGAAATGTCTTCCCTGAGGACCAAGAGAGCTTCCTCTACTCTTGTATTTCACTGACCTCTCTAAATTATCTCAGCTCCAGGTAAGGTCAAATCCTCCTGTGATCTGGACCTTCAGTTCCCCAGTGAGGGTGTGTGTTCAGGGGAAAATGATCATCTTTTCCCACTTTCATAGTTTGGGCACTCAATATTTGGCCTGGCTCCCGGGTACTGCAGGAGCAATCTGCTTCCTTCAAAGGGTCTGTGGATTCTCTCAGCTTTCCTGGTATGTTCCTGCAGTAGTTCTTGGAGCAAAAGTTCATGATGTGAGTCTCCACATGCTGCTCTATTTGTCCAAGTGGGAGCTGCGATTTAGTCCTGCCTCCTATCTGCCATTTTTTCCTCACTATTCTGTATGTATACCTAAAACTAATTTGCTGTTGTGTGGATTGTTCTTTATATGTAAATTAAGTCAAAGTGGCTAATAGTATTGTTCAGGTATTCTATATGCCTACTGGTTTTCTGAAGATACGGTCTATCAATTGGTGAGCAAGGCCGCTAGGCTCCTTTTGGAATCTCCCTCTCTGTGCTGTGGCTTGGAAACTATCTCCTGGTAGGACATTGAAAGCAATTGTAGGTATCATTTGCTTTTTTTCCTTTTTCTCAGGAGAAACAATCTCATGCTGCCTGTTCACCAATATCTGAAACCATACTTCTATATATTTGTTTATTTCATGTTGTTTAACATAGATTGATAATCTTGTCATTGTTACTCAATTTTAGCTCAAATCCAAAGAAACATTCTCTCATTTTTATCTTTTATTTTTCTTCTGAAATCTCCTGATATATTATTTTTATGATTCAGTTTTTCTCCAGACCGGTTTTTAAATTTGTATCGTTGTATATTAATTTTTAAATTTACCTTAATGAGATCTTTTAAATGTAGTCCTAATGTTTCTTTAAAATTCTCTAATCTTCTCCTTAGATTTTACATCTTGTACTTATTTTCCAAAAATGTCTATGTCTCTTCTATTAATCCTTTTTTAGCTTTATGCTTTTCTTCAGGATCTTTTCCCAGGATCTTCAGGAAAAATTTCCCCATCTTTTTTTCTTCATAATTAAAAAATATGTTTTTAAATTAGCAGATGTTATCTTTTAGGGAGATTTTAGCTATATAGAAAAATTGACCAGAAAGTACAGAGAACTTACATATATCCCTCCCCTTCCTAGTTTTTCCTATTATTAACATTTTGCATTTGTGTAATGCCTTTGTTACCATTGGTAAGCCAATATGGACACATTATTATTAGCCAAAGTCCATAGTTTACAAAAGGGTTTACTCTGTGAATGAGGCAGGAATATATGAAACTTACATAAAAGACTGAATCCATGGGATAGATAAATTATGCCTTTTCTTGTAGAAAAAAGAATGTGATAGTGAATTATTTATATATTAAAAGATAAATGGGAGAGAGTTAAATGATTGAATCTAGTAGCTTAGATTGCACTATGAAATGGTATGTAATGTCATTTGCTGAGAAACACATGCACATCAAGGAAAAAAATAAAAGCATATTTTGAAGCAAAATTATATATTAAGAAAAGCATTTTCCATGTCCAAAAGTATTTTTGAATAAGTGGAATTTTTATATTATTGATCATGTAAATAAAAATGCATTAAAGAAAACTCAGCCTCCATACACAAGTGAGGCAGAAAATTCAAATAGTATATTGAGGTGAACTGCTAGTGTCTTAACTCTTTGGGAATGCTTCTAACTGTGAGTAATCCTGGATCTAATTCTCAAGTACCTAGGGGAGCCTTCAGAGGTTAGGTAAGTTCCAAATTTCATTCTCCGTCAGCAAGAGGGAGATATGTCTTTTTGAAAAAATGGTTTGGCTGTTTACAAGTGTCTGCAGGGTCCAGTTTTGCAATTTTGTTAGTTTGTTCTGCAACATATTGGAAAACCAGTTTATGACCTACTCAATCTGAGTTTCTAGGGAAAACATGACCAGGCTACTTTTTTTTTTTTTTTTTTTCCAAATACATGTGAGAGTCAACCCGTTAGTTCAACGATTGGTGAAAATATCGTAACACATTTTGATAATATCTTGCAATCAAATTATGTTAGTGGTAATAGTCAATATAGAGTTTTTGTTTTCTATTATTACTAAATTATTCATGAGTTCTATGTTGGGTGTTTTTAAATTGGCATTTTCAATTTTATTGTTAATGATACTTTTGTAAATTACTCTTTTAGTGCAACTCTATTGGCTTGAGAAGTAATGGTGCTTCCCTGGGTATTCGAGCTATTGTCACATTAGCACTGGAAAAAAATCTGCCTAATTAGATTTCTCAGAAACTTTTTTTTTCTATTGAGGAAGCACATAAACAAAATTATGTCTCTTCAAAATAATTAGAATTGTAGTAACAATTAAAGTATTGCTTTTTTGATATAAAAACTACCAGTATTTCTTAATTTGTATTTGCTGCGGTATTACCCTTTGTAAAATGCCCTAGTGAGAGTGTTTTAATCTTTTTCAGAATTTCCATGGCCAATATGTGGTTTTGTAATAATTCTACTTTTTTCTAGCATTTATTATGATTATTATTTTTAAAAATCTCTTCTATAGAAAGCTCCATCAAACTATTACTAGATATATTGCCAAAGGAAAAATCAGAGAAGACTACAAAAAGAAATACAGCAGCCAAAGTTTGAAAAGAGTGTTTACGGTGCATGTCCATGTAAAGATTTGTATTTTAAATCCCTATATTAATAATAAAAGGTCAGTTTCATAAAATCCACAAACATCTTTAATGGCTCCATCAGATATGTAGGAAATAGGATGGAGATATGAGTAGATAAGAAAAAAAGGCAAGGGGGCCTTGTAAAGAGTTGGATTCCTTAGTTCTGTTTCATCAGCCAGTCATCAGTAATAGACCTAGATCTGTTGCTCTTTTTTATAAAAATCAGGCAATAATCCCTTTCCTCTAAGACAGTAAGTTCTCAACCAGGAGAAATTTGGCAATGTTTAGAGATAATTTTGTTGTCACAAATGGGAGTGTGGGAGTGTTAGTTACTAGCTTCTGGTGGGTAAAGGCAGGGAATGCTACCAAACATCCTACAATAAACAGGACAGGCCACCACAACAAAGCACTATCTGGACCAAATAATGCCAAAGTTGAGAAACACTGCTCCAAGGCAAAATGGGAATGATTTTTTTTCATAACTTATACTTCTTTTCAGAAATCTTTCTCAGAAATTCTTCCCCTTGACTCCAATGTTACCCTTCGTGTTCATTTCAGCTTGATTTTGACTGTAAACAAAACATTTCTGGGGAATATCGCATGGGAGTTGAGAAGAGTGACAACTATCTATATAAGTTGCCATGGCAACATACTCCCTTTGGATATTATTGAAGATCATTTTTAATGTCTATTGGAGAGATATTTTTCTGAAATATAAGATTTACATTTGAAATGTGGTATCTATTGCTTCTGAAACATTTCTGCCTAATATTGTTATATTTTCTCTGCATGATGACACATTTCAATTCAGTTTTTTTGCTTGAGGTGCATTTTTTGTTTTTTAGGACTTGGTTCAGGACAAATCATTTATTATGTCATTAGTTTGCTCCCTACCTTTCTGGAAAAGCATTTTCCAACCTAAAATTTCTGGCATACATATTCTGGAAGACATAATAGCAACTCTTTCCCGCTTAAAAAGAGCTATAAGATATGAATTAGTGTCATGATGACGTCTGAATCTGTTGGAATTCTTGAAGCAAGAACAAAGGGGTGAGTTAGGGGAATTTGTTGATTTCACAGTCATGATGTGGAGGTCTTAATTAGAATAAAATAGGATAAGTTTAAATTCAAAATATAGAGAGCATAAGTAATCACAAAGCCCGTGAAGTAAACAGATCACATGTAGGAGATATCTGTCACTTCTGGGATTAGGCTGGATTATGACATCAGCTTAAACACTCTAATTGTTGAACTCATTTCTTTCCTGAAATAGGAATTGAATTAAATTAAATTCCTATTTATTTCCTGAAATAGGAATTTAACCTACACTTGTATATGCATAGTGGTGGCTTGAAACTAAATTAAACTTTATAGACATACTATAGCCCATTATTGTTTTAAGTAGATTTTAAAGGTTTTCTTTATAAGAAATGATCCCCAGCCACAAATGTATACATTAAGTATCTACAACCTTGAAATAATTGAATAAAAGGCAGTGCTATATAGCAATTATGTGACTTGATTTCTGTGCCAGACATATCTTCATTTGATTTTATACTTGATAACTTCATGGTTGGGAACATTGGGAAAATTTTCTGACTTTTTAGGTTAGGTACATTGCAGGAGTCAAGAATATTTATAATTGGTATTTTTTCCTTGCCTTTCCCAGAATTAATGAATTTATACAATAATAAAACAAATGGTCCAAATTATTTATATTTTCAGGCTTTCTGTCTTTTTCTACCACACACACAAAGATACACACACAAACACAAGCTTATATGTATAAAGATTTTTATACATGTATGAATATTATATTTCTACTTACGAATAATGGTGTGAAGATTAAATAAGACAATGCATGCTCAGTGCTAAGTTCTTTGTCCTGACATATTAATAGCTCAATGATTTCCAGTTATTACTATTTCCAAATGTCAGACATATCATACTGAAATGACTTTTTCTGAATAACCACAAACAACACCCAAGGAATAGCAAATATATTTCTTTTTGTTGCTAATCCTCATTCCTTTAAGGCTTACATATGATTATTAAAAATTATATCACAAAATTGTACATTCTAAGGAAATTTTGGTGTTATTTAGTCTTATCTGTCGAGAGCCAGAGACTTTTCAGAACATGCCAGAGTTGCCTTTGAAGATGTCCCTGCTCATATTTATCAAAATGGTAAATATGGTAAATACATCTTTCGTTGCAAAGCCAAGAGGGATTGCCTCTTTTGAGATGCTTTTGAAGAAAAAGTAAGAACGTCAGGTTGCGCACCTTTAAGTTCAAATGAAATAACACAACTACAATGAGGGGCATGTTTTTTTCCACATGTGCCCAAACCTTTGAATGAATGATAAAATGCTTAGAGGTTTTTAAAAATCATTTTGAAGAAACAAGCTTTTATGTGTTCCCTTTCATTTGATGTGTATTTTTCCCTCAATTTAAAATAGATTTAAATAAGTTGACTAACTAGTAAACGCAATGCTGACTGAGAAATAGGCTGTCCACTCTGTAGACCCAGGAAATACAATTTAGAGTTTTAGCAGATAATAAAACTTGAAATCTGTGCTGGTTTTACGACAAACAAAATTAACGCATGATTCAGCTGACAGTTCCTAATTTGCAACCTGAATGTTTCTTCATGATTTATGTCTATAAATGTAAATATCCTCATCTATTTTTATATGTAATGTGGTTATAATTATTTATATGATGATTTACCTATTGCTATGGCTAATCATTTACATACACTTTTACAAAAATAATAGCTTAAAATTGGTGTTTTATTTTTCTGTACACGTGTATTTTGTAAAGTTTGTAGATAAAGCATATCTACAAATATGTCATTTTATATGCTGTCTTAATAGTCTTTATTATAATTTATAAATTAGCATGTGAATGGTTGATTTTAGGCAATTGTGAACTAAGTACTTAGACCAACATTTCTGAAGAAGCAGGAGATACACACACACACACACACACACACACACACACACACACACACACACACACATTTCTAAAAGCATCAGAGACACACCAAAGCAGTGAGGAACTGCAGGGCTAAGATCCAGAAGAGACAGAGACAAGAAGCCTGAAAGGGTTAGCTGGGTGTTTCGGGCTCCTTCTCTTTCAAAAGTGTTTGCCAATTAAAAAACAGACCCAAGAGGCTGAAAAGCCAAGCAAAACTTTCAAGAGACTCATGAAACTGGCAACAGAAAATTAGGAGTCCAAGTTTGTCCAGGTGGAGATGCCCTAGTAAATCCTTTGAACTAGGTTTGAATATTATGTAAGCTAGGATCATGAAGTTTATACTTCAGGAGGCATGATAAACTGGTCTTTACAAATGTAATTCAGGTAAAAATTTTGAGGTGAGAAAAGCATTCTAGATATCTGGGTTAGCCTGAATCCAATGACATGTGTCCTTATAAGGGACAGAGAAAAGCCACACAGGAGAAAAGGGAGAAGCAACGTGACTACAGAGGTGGAGATTAAAATGATGTGGCTACAAGCTAAAACATGCCTGGAGCCACCAGAAGGTGGAAGAAGCAAGGATGTGATTGTTCCAAATGATCGGAAGGAGCACAGCCCTGCTGCCACCTTGATTTTAGACTTCTGGCCTCCAGAACTGTGGGAGAATAAATTTCTGTTGTTTTAAGCCACCAAGTTTGTGGTAATTTGCTATGGCAGCCCTAGGCAATTACTACAAAGCCTAAAATTTGGATCATTAATCTTGAGAGTTGACCAGAAATTCTGTAGATGAAAGCCTGTGTCATGAGCCAGCAAAGCTCACTGATTCTGTGTTGGAACATTCTTTTCAGGCAAATGTTTCATTTATACCATCCTTCTGCTTAGGGCAATGTAGTGATCTAAAATTCCCTTGGCCACAAAAATGCATGAACTGTGGACTTACTTGAAAACTTACTGATGCTCTTAAAATGGGCTAGAAAAGTGTTAGAGCTGGTGGCATGTGAGCAACAGAGAATGACAGTCGACTAAAGAAGAGAGTGTTGCAGGCATGCTAATTAAGCGTCTTTTTCTTAGGCGACTCAGAGAACATGTTGAATATTCAGATGACTACAGGAAAGATGGAAGATTCTATTTCAATTAAGAAGCGCTTACTATATAGAAAGTGTTAAAAAAAAAAGTCCTACAGCACAGTAAGATACATACATATATGATGGAAAACCTTTCTCTCTTTTTACATGACCGTGAGATAACTGTAAGGGGAAAGGTCAGCTGTAATAGCTGTTACTTTGCTGTTAAAATATGACATATTCCATCATCTGAATATACATTAAATGTATGTCACATGCCATTAAAATTCTGGATTCTGGGGCTAAAGCAGTGAATAAGGCTAAAACAAGTTCCCTGTCCTTAGTCCTTATGGCATTTCCATCTTAGTTTAAAACTGTTTAAATTTAAAGAGTCATCTCTAAGCCAGGTGTGCTAGTACAGACCTGTAATCCCAGCTACTCTGAAGGCTGAGGTAGGGTGGATTCCTTAAGCCCCCATGGAGACTGCAATGAGCTATAGACACGTCATTACACTTCAGCTTGGGTTACAGAGCAAGACCCCATCTCTATTTTTGGAAAAAGAGTAATTTCTTTATCTTCTTTGCTCTTAAGCTCATTATAAAGCTAAGTTTTAAAAAAAGCACTTGACTAGTAGCATACACTCAAATTTCCACGTGTATTTTGTTTCGTGGAAAATAACCAAAAGGTGAAGCAGGGATTCCCCTCTGAACACAAATGCATTTCTAATCATAGAAAAAAAGCAGAAAGAAATTTGGCCCTTGGATGAAAAATCAACATCCAGAAGACTGTCATTTCTAAGCTTTTCTGTTTTTGGATGTGCCAAAGGAGATTAGGCAATGGGTTTTAAAGTATAGACTACAGAGAACTGACTTACCATAAGAAAACAGGATCAATTCGAGGGTTTCTATTCCTTAAAGAGAAAGACCAAAAGTAGAAGAAAAGAAAAGAGAATAAGTAAATGAACAACATGACTGAGCAGCTGAAAGACCTTAAAGACATTAGATGTTAAATATTGAATTGTTGACATTTTTGTGATACAAATCAAGTATGAGCACTAAAATTTAGTAATGGTCTCTATACGTATAGTTCCTTTGAGTGAAAAAAAGTATTTGTGGGTATATGTGTATATATGTATGTATATCTATACACATATACATACTATATATGTATATCTATACACATATACATACTATATATGTATTTTTTCTCCCCAGAATAGAGTTGATATACATTTGATGTTAGAAGCATGATATATAGAGGAAAAAAGTAATTCAGCAAAGGCAATAAGCTTGAACAAAAGATGACCATGGGAATATCAGAACTCTCAGAAATCATAAGAATATAGACTATGAAAATAAACTTTATGTAGAGTATGGAATATGGGTTCTAATCAAATTTGCCTAGTTTTTTTTTAGGCAGTGTGAGCCCAGCTGATGCCTGACTTATACAGAGAACAATTACTGTAGTCTCGTCACTCTCTGCCACTTTTTAAAAGTTCAGTAATTATTAGTAGCAAGGAATTTTTTAAGAGACAGAGAGGAGAGAAACAGAGAGAGAGAGACTAATCTGTTAGAAAAATGATCTGACTACTACATCTGATACCTCAAAATTATTAGCCAACCTTCTATTCAATCAAATTATAAACTCGAGACACATTGTAAACTTACACTAATTCAAAATTATTTATAACTTTGGTCACTTTTATTTTCTACATATCTACTGAATTTTTAATGAAATCTTCATATCATGGTCCTAGATTTAGTCTTTACCACTTTCAATGCACTTGAATAACTGGTATTCTTGTTTTGCCTATGACACTTCTGAAATCACATGATTACTGCCAAAACATTGAAATTTAAAAAGAACAAAACTAGTTAGTTTATCTCTGATGATCATGTTACTTCTCTTTCCAACAGTTTTCAATATTTCCCATTGTTTTCAGGATAATGTTCAAAGTGCTAAGCAGGACAATTCTAGACTTTCGAGATTTGTCCTTTGTTTGCCTTTCTAATGTGATCTGCCACGTTCTAGCAGGTAGCATATAGTCACGCATAATGAGCTTCCAAGAGTCCAAGCACACCACAGTCTATAGCATCGCCATAGATTTATATATAATTTTCCCATTTTTTCTGTCTGGCTGATGCTAAACCATTTTTAAGAGTAACTCTCATGTTACATTTGAGGCTTAGCTAAATTTCACAGTACTACGTGTCAAAATAACAGATCTTAAATCTATGAAGACCAATAGTCTATGATATTTAATTTTAGGAGCTTCATAAAACAATTTGTTAAAGATAAAACTCATAAGAATAATATGATAAATAAGTGAAGATTTTGGTATTACTAAGGGAATTCTGAAAATAAACCTAAATAGGATAAACAGGAGCAGAATTTAGTTACGTGCACATTAAGTTACACTGGCACAAGAGTTTGGTAAAATATTTGTCAAAACTTATGTAAAATACTTCAATAACTTTGTGAAGTTGTGCCAAATTCTAGACAAATAGATTTTGAGTTGAGAACAACCAACAACTATATTTAATCAATGTGATACGGAGGATTCTTTTTTTCCCCACCTGAGCATTCAGGAACAATCTTATTTGAAAAAACACTTTCAACTCTATTACAAGACTGGGCACGGTAGCTCATGCCTGTAATCCCAGCATTTTGGGAGGCCGAGGTAGGTGGATCACTTGAGGTCAGGAGTTCAACACCAACCTGGCCAACCTGGTGAAACCCCATCTCTACTAAAAATACAAAAAATCAGCTGGGCATGGTGGTGGGCACCTGTAATCCCAGCTACTTGGCAGGCTGAGGCAGGAGAATTGCTTGAACCCAAGAGGCAGAGGTTGCAATGAGCTGAGGTTGCGCCATTGCACTCCAGCCTAGGCGACAAGAGCAAAACTCTGTCTCAAAAAATAAATAAATAAATAAATAATCTATTGGAAGTGTTTTGCTATGTTTCTTTAAAGCTGGTTAAAGAGTACAAACTTTTTGTTATAAGATGAATAAGTTCTGGGGATCTAATGTACAGCATGGTGATGATAGTTAATAATACTGTATTGCGAACTAAAAATTTGATGAGTAGGTTTTTGTTTTTACCACACATACACAAATGGTAACTATGGGTGGTGATGGATGTGTTAATTAATTTGACTGTGATAAGCAGTACACAATCTACACGTATATGAAGTCATCACATTGTACACCTTGAATACCTTGAATAGATACAATTTTTGTTTGTTAATTATTTTAAAGTTAGAAAGAAAAAGAATGGGAAAGATCAAACTTCAGAATTAGTCTTCAAGTACTCAACTTTAAGAACTTGTCTACTTTAATGGCAGAATTAGCTAATCAACTGTCTATCTATGGACATTATCAAATGATTTAGTTTTCTTTCTTTTTCTGTAGACATATGTAAAATAATATGTATTATATTTTTTATATTATTTCCAGCAAGTTTTTAAAATTGATCACAGAAGTTGATTATTCGGTTGTCAGTGAGGTTCTTAGGTGAGATCTATGTACTTTTATTATCTAAAGAAAGCATTTTTAATCTATGACACCCTTGTATTTCAGACAAACTATTTTAGATAAAATCAGCACATCACTGTGATTTGCCCTTTATTAACTCACCAGGCATAAAAGTATCTTGTATTTGTAAAAGTATTGAGCATTTAAAGCAGATATTGTGAATTACTTTGCTTAACATGTATTCCCACTAACTTTCAGCCAGAAATCAGAAAGGCAAATAATACATTTCCCAGATTTCTTTGCTGCTTAGGTTTTTGATGGCAGGTGCACCAATCAAAGGCATTCTCGTAAGACTTGGATAGGAACTGAATCGGGTGAAGAGAGAGGCAAGATAAAGGGCATTCATTTTGCTGGTGCAGATTATGGACTTGTCAGCTGTTGCAACAGTTTCCAGATTCACCATGTGACTCCCAGATTGCGGATGTTCTTTCTAGAAGTCCAGTCTACAGTTTATTTCTTCATTTCTCACTACAATTTTATGAGACACTTAATCTTCTTTAGTATGCTCTTATACACAATGGCTAAAGCAGTTTCTGTTCTTTGAAACTACTGTTCAATAATTTTTAGAGGTAATTATGAAAAAATAAAAATAGCAATATATGGTATGCTAATTTTTAAATGGAACCCAAATAAAGAAAGCCATTAATTATTAGGCCTAAGTGTACATAAATATAGCTTAGGCCCAGTCTGTGTGTCATTTATAGCTTAAGAAAGAGAATAGTCTAATTCTGGAAGTATAAAATCTTCTTCAGGTACTAAACTGAAATTCTGCAGTGGTTACAGTTGTTTGTTGTTGTTACTGGCTTTTTTTGTTGGTTTGTTTAGTTTGTGTAGTATCATTTTATCCACTGCTGAGTCACACAAAAGAGGTAAACAGTTATCTTGGATTGCAAAATATTACTTTCCTATCAAAATGCATTATAACTTTAGGTCTCGGGAGCTAACACAAATAACACATGTCCTTAATTTTTACATGGGCTTTGTTTTATTTAATAAAATGACTCATTTAATGGTGCCCATGAGCAGGTTCTTGTCTAGACCTCAGCAGCCTGCTGATAGTCAAAGTCCTAAATAATCCTTTAGTGATCTGTAGCTAGGCATCAAAGGAGTGGTTTGTCATTGTTCTACTTCCACCCATTACAGGATCAGGGGTTCAGCGAGAAGAGAGATTCCCAAGAAGCCCCTCAAACTGCTGCCATCCATCACATTCCACATGTTCTCTTAGTTTCCCATTGGCACTTACCCATTCCCAATCAGGCTGGGATTCAAGTACCTGGTGCTGCCCACAGCGTTTGTCTGTTTCTGCTATTGTTGACTCTTCCTACTGTTTACTTCAGAGAAAGCCATACTCCTGAGAAGAGTCTGGGATTCTTAGACTGTGATAGAGCCTCATATTTAACATTATCGACCCAGAAAAGCCACTTGTTTCCCTTTACTTTTGCCACTTTAAAAATCCTTACCAGGGGGTTAAACTTCCTTAATGGAGTGTCACACTGAATAGCAGGGGTCAGCTTGTCAATTCTCTCCTTTGGCTCCTAGCACCACGCAGTGGCAGGGAATGGATTCAAATCTCCCTTTTCCTCCTTCAGCAAGCAGCAGCATTCTCATTCATCTTCCTCCTATTGAAAACTCAGGTCCTCATTCCCTGCCTCACCAGTCGCTTGTGGCAGAATTTGACTAGATTCCACTCAAATGTTGTGATTTTATTTCACATGACATTTTCTATACGCCTGCTTATCTTCTTCCCTTTCCAGAAAGGGCCATAATATATTTATGAGGTTTTGCATTTTAAAAAAATTAACATTATAGAACCATCAAAGCTGTGCTGACATTTTAATAACATCATATAATATATTTAGAATAGCATGCTACTTTTGGAATATTTTCTTATTTTGCCTGTCATCTCGTAGAAGTGTTTATGATGCATACAAGATTGAAAGAAAATTGCTTTTTTGCTACTTGGCATCATGTACTTTATTTCTACCATTGCTGAGTTATTATAGAACTAAGTCAATTATGTTTCCTAATATGCACTTCACATTTCCCATCCTCAGCCACATTGCAAATGGGTAGGCACCATAGCATGTGCCATATCTCTATTGATGCGGATTGTGAATCTATAGTCTTTCAACAGATGCTTTGCCAGATGACTGAAACTGGCATAGACTCTGTTGACTGATTGCTAATTTTCTTTTGAGGCAAGGATTCTGAAGTAACAAAACTACCAGGAGAAAGAACACTGATGTAACTTCATTAGGCAAGTTGACAAAATAGCAGTTGATCTGTGTGTTCTGTTTATACACATGGCTAAATCAGTGCTTCATTTCCCCCCCACCGCCCCCATGGAAATAAATTCATCCAAGGTGGCTAACTGTATGATAAATATAAGGTAAAGAAGGCTGAGTAGTTATCTGATCAAATTTAGGCAAACAATTTAGTACATATAGTTTGCACAGTATAAGCTTTTATGTCATAAAAATTGGGGATTAAGTCCTGGATATGCCACTTAGTAGCTTCATGTTCTGAAAGCAAGTTATTTAAATTTTGAAGTGTTTTCCTCATCTGTAAAGTGGAAGATAATTCCGCCAATGTTACAGTATTATGTTATTGTATAATATAGGAGTTAAATGCTTAATACCCTGTAATTATAGGGCTTTGTACAGTCCCTTGGCAAGTGCTAATTAGTGGTAGTGAGGGAAGAGAGAGACCCTCTCATATTGTTTTATATTGTTTTATACTCAGTACCTGTTTTAAGAAAAAAACAAGGAAGTGAAATCAAAGACAGGCAGCCCGGCGCCAGGCCTGAAACCAGGCCTGGGCCTGCCTGGCCTAAACCTAGTAGTTAAAAATCAACCATAGCTTAGAAACTGATGTTATTCATAGATTCCAGACATCGTATGGAAGAACATTGTGAAACTCCCTGCCCTGTTCTGTTTCACTCTGACTACCAGTGCATGAAACCCCTGTTACGTATCCCCTAGATTGCTCAATTAATCACGACCCTTTCATGTGAAATCTTTAGTGTTGTGAGCCCTTAAAAGGGACAGAAATTGTGCACTTGAGGAGCTTGGATTTTAAGGCAGTAGCTTGCCGATGCTCCCAGCTGAATAAAGCCCTTCCTTCTACAACTTGGTGTCTGAGAGGTTTTGTCTGCGGCTCGTCCTGCTACAGTAGGTGGTAGTATTTAGTTTGATAATCCAGGCTGCAGGTTTTCATATAACAGGAGACCTCAGTTTATGAGTATATATACATCATAAAATTGAAACTAATATTATTAAAATGACAACTTACAGCTGAGGAAACTGAGATTCAGGGTGATTAAATAACATGTTCAAGGTCACACAGATGATTAAATATAATATTGAGACTAGATCGAGTTTTTCATCTCCTTGAAAAATGTATTCTTCTAAAAACTTTGCTGGCTTATTCCAAATGTCTTCTTTCCACTTAAGGTTTCCAGGCTCAGCAAATAAAAATAAACTATATCATGTTAAATTTGAATTTCATGTCGACAAAATTTTTTTTTAGCTTAAGCATGTACCATGCAATACTTGGGACACATTTGAAATAAATATGCAATAATAAAAAATACTAAATAATACTAAAATATGCAATGCTAAAAAACTAAAAATTGCAATATTTACAACATATTTGCACTTAAAATTATCCTCTATTTGAAACTCAGATTGACCTGAGCATCCTGGCATCTTTTATCTGGCAATTTTATTTTTTTGTCACTAGTATTTTATAAACAGTTTAATGTTTTATACTAATTTCTTCCATTTTTAAACCTAGCTCAACTTTCAGCCATCTACATTGACTACAAAACATTTACAAGGCATAGCCACAAATTGATTTGATAGATCCTTATAAACTCGATATGAAAACCAATCTTTAAGTTACTTTTCTGCCACTGCCTCATTCTCATGATCCAAAAAAAAAAAATTGTTCTTTTTCCTTCTTTTGCATGTTTTCCATGGCTATCTAAGTGATTACCGTAAGCTGCACAAGGTCATCTTACAATTAAAGACATATTTGCACCTTATAATCTAAGTGACTTTATATGGAAAATCCAGGTTAGTAGAGCACTATTGGTTAGCTTGAAGTATATAAGTCAAAATTAACCTCCCTCTCCCTTCTTCTGGTCCTGGCTGTTTTCCTGGAACTGGCTTCAATGTACCACTTTTCCTGCCAAACTCAAGTACAGAAACCTGAAATGAGTTCAGCCAATTCATCATTAACTGGACCAGGTGGATGCTATTTGCTGCCAAATAGGCTGCACTACTATCCTTCCAGGTTGCTTATAACTCTGGTGTGTCATCACCCTACAACTCAGAATGCTGCCTGCAATCAGAGGCCATAATAGGAAAAAGCTCTCAGGAATTTATTTCCTCATCAATTGACTTACACCTGAAAGTGAGGCTTGCATTATTTCTTAGTCTCATCAGATAGTGCCTGTGCTTCCTTTTATTCTGAAGGTTTAATTCAAGAAGTCTTAGTCAAATTGCTTTCTTGTGTTAAATGAGAATTTCACCCTCTTAGAGTGAAGGAGCTGGGTAGGGAGCCATTAGCAAGGAAGTTCACACAGCTATGTTAATAGAGTTGTTTGTCCCAGCTTTCCCCAAGAATTTTTCATTTGTTTCACATGGTCTTGAAACTTATAAGAAGTGAGGAGAAAAATGAACACATTTTTACTTAGAATTGTTCTTTTCATTCAACGAATAGTTCTTTCACATTTTATCATAACAGTCATTCCTTAGTCTTAGTATTAGAGCAAATGCATTATAAGTTATGAATGGCATCCTATCAGATCTGTGAACTCTTGGATAATCTTTCACTACCTCGTGGAAGGAACAGTAAATGGCTGAGGAAATTGTTACTTGGCTGAATTCCAGATATTCTGACTTTGTATTTGCATTGAGCAAATTGCTCACAATTTAAGGTTAAATAGCATAAATGTTATATTAGGAAGCAATGTAGGTATAGAGTAAGGAAACATATTTGTAGTCCAGATGCCTTAATTCTAGTTGTAGGCATTCTGGTGGCACCACAAACTAACACCACGTTGGCCAATCTCTAATCTACTTAGATTTTGGTATTTTTTAATTTATAAAGTAAGGATTATAAGTTAATAATAATTATATCTGGTCTCTTTGTGAATATAGATGAATTATTCTTCATTTGCTCTTTCTTGCTTTCTACCACAATATACATAAAATATGTCCATAGATACTGGTTTATAATGGCTCACTAGAGATGTCAGACACATGCCCCTCTAGAAAGAAGAACCAAAATTATGAATAAATAATCATATTTTGAATAGAAATCTAACAGAGAACTCAACAGAGAAGTCACAGGAAATACCTGAGGCACTGGAGAACAAGGAAATGAATGGCAGATCATCTGAGATTAGCCAGGAGCCCCAAGGGACTCAGTATGGTAGCGAAAGGCTAAGTGGGAGAACATCAGTGGTTTACATCCCCAGGTAAGATTGCTGTAATCCAAACCTTGGGATCCAAAACTCTACCCAGATAAACCCTGATCCTAGCATGGGTAGTGATTTGGAGACTCCATAAAGGCATTGTATCAGACAGAAAATTCACACTGAGTCACTCACTCCAAGACCTAAGTGGCTGTAGCTGGGCACCCTTGTGACAGCTGTTGTAGAACTACATCCTGCATTGGGAGTTATGGCTCCCATATCTTCACATTCCACAAGCCCCCACTGACATTAGTAACCCAGTAACCTTAGTGCTACAATGGCATAGCACTGGCTGGACACAAAGATGCTATGGGGCCCCCAGTACTGCAGCCTTGGAGTACTATTCCCAGGGAAAGAGCAGTGCAGAACATAAAAAAGGCAACCCATGGAACAAAGACAACCAAAATGTGTGCTTTCCAGAGCCCAAGAGCTCCCTGTCTGGGCCTATGAGAAATGACTCCACTTAAAGCAGTGACACACTGTGCTTGGTTTTGCAAGCAAAGCATGAGGTCCTTTCCCACTGGCAGAGCAGGCTCTGTGCTAGAGCTTATGCATAGAGAGCAGAACACATTCCTCCCTTCTGCATACTGCTGTTGGCACAGTCATTGTTGCTACTACTGAAAGGTGAGCCAGAGGGCTGCCTGTCTGGGGTTGGAGGGATGATGTGTACCCACTGATGGTGTGGCTCTGTGCTGGGGTAAAAGCTGAGTTCCTTGCAATACCCTATCCATGAAGCTCTACTGTGCTAGTCTTCTGTCGATTCCTCTGCCTTCATCTGCTATAACTCTCACTCTCACATCTTCTTTAGGCATAGCAGGTGTTCTCTGGCCTTGGGTCTTTGCACTTGCTCTCTCCTCTTCTGAAATTCTCTTCTTACAGAAAGCATGTGGCTTACTCTCTCAACTTTTTGAAGTCTTTGCTCAATTCTGATCTTCTTGATGAAGCCATTTCTGTTCACCTTATTCAATATTGCAACACTCTGAACCCTACACTCCTTACCCTCTTGCCTGATTTATTTTCTTGATGGCACGTACCTATTCTATATTACAAATTTGATTATTTATTAGTCCTCTTCCCATGCAAGAATTCGATCTCCCCAGGACAATAATTATTTATTTTTGTATTCTTCCCAAAGACTAAGAGAGTGTCTGGCACATTGTAGGTGCTGAGTAATCAATTGCTGAATAAAATCATTGAAGGTATGAATGAACGTATGAATAATGAGTAGAATGCACATGGCACTTTATATATTATCATGTTCAAAACTCCCAACAACACTAGGAAGCAGGTGCTATTATTATCTCAATTTTAGAGCTAATAAAAAACAAGCTAAAACATTTAAATAAATTCAAAAATTACACTTAGCATGTAGCTATCTGGCTTCAAAGTCCATGCACTTTATCCTTCTACTATCTGTCTTCACTGCAATAATACATGATAAAGTAGTTTTAAAAGGATGAAGCACTGTCCTAAACATGTACTAATATATAGTTAAATAGAATAGTTCTATTTTTCTGAAGAAATTAAAAATCATAACAAGATAATTTATTTTGCCTTTTAACTTTGGTTCTTGTTCAAAATTGGATAAGTTGCTATACAAGTACCTCATATACATATATCTACATCAATACATAATTTTCTACTCTCTTTACTGTGGAACCCTTAAAACTTCTATTTCTGGCTTCTTTGTGACATTTCTCAACTTTAGATGCATGGTGACAGCAAGCAAGAGTAGTTGGTTAAAGTTTATACACTGAGTCATCTTCTGTAGAATATATTCCGTATAATCTACACTGCATATATATTTTTCATAAAAGTTACATACATCTTTTCCACATATATTACAGAAAGCTGTAAGTTTTAACCAGGCATAGGTCAGAGCAAGATGACTTTTTAAAAGGCATTCTGATATAATTCAATATTTTTCAAACTTAATTTAGTCAGTTACTGCTTTCATGATTATTGCGTACCTGCATTTGAACTGTAATATTGTTTACTTAATATTTTTTATTTATATAGATTCAATATTTCTACTTAAATGCATGTAGACTTAACGTAAGCAATGGAATTACAGATTTGAGGTACCAGTCTTTTTTAATACACATTAAATCAATAAAAATTAAAATTTGTATAAGTCCTATCCATATACCAGTGTTAATAGCCTACCTTTTTATACATGAGGTATACATTTCATATATATTTGCCTCATTTTGGAAAATACTGACAGAATACAATTAGCCTTTGAGGAATTCTTGAGAATACCTATATGATAAAGGTACCTGCATAATGCTGTGTCTACTATATATTCCTACAGTGAAGATGAATAAATCTATATTTTGGTTCAGGATTAAAATGCTTGAATAGTACAAAGCAACATTCTGCCAAAACAATTTTTTAAATTGAGCATATAGTACATAAGACATCTGAAATTTTATCAAAATATTAATTTTTGATTATAACTTTTTAGTTATAATCATAATTTTTAATGCTATCATTAAAAACAAATTGTCTTTATAGAACTTCAGCCTTCCTACTGCAATAATCTTTATCTATTTCTTTATTTAGTCACAATGCCTTTTTGTTTTCTGTTAAATATGAATCTACATTTTCTACAGGATTATAAACTTTAAACATCTTTCTTTTCCTTCAGTATTTTTCAAATACTTGTTACTATTAAATTTTCTCTTTGATGTTTGGCTTTTGAATCTCTCCTATTCATAGTCTGTCAGTGTCTTTTTGATTTCGTTTTCCTGACTTACTAACATAGACCTATGCAGGAGTGATATTTTCATTTCTTAATCTTATGTTTTTCTAATGTAACTGACTTGTCAGTCATCTGCTTGGGGTAAACTATGCCTTCGAATTTCAAGCATCAATTATGAGTTGCCAGTATTGCTGGAGAAAAACCTCCTTACTTATTAGGTTCCAAAACAAATTTAGACTCCTTACTTCATTATTTTTTCCCACACAGCTTAGCAATCTTTTCACTCAATCAATATCACATATTTTGTGATTGTTAAAATTTTCTACTCTCATTAGAATTACAGATATCCCTACCCTTCCATGAAGACCCTAACTAACAACTATGACAGAATATAAGTGTGCGGAGTAGATGTCATCAAAAGTCAGTGATGGATAGATCAATAACGGTTTACCCTTCTTGAAATACAGTTGGCTAGGTTATTTACATCAACTTTTCCACAAAAAGGAACCAAAAAATCTGGGTAAGACCTTAGAGGAAAAAAGCATCAAAGAGCTCCTTAGTTATTCATTGAAAGAGAAAACCTGGAGTGCTAAGGGGAGTGTTAAAGTAAAAAATCACTGAGATGTAACCATGAGACAGTTCTCTCCTTGATTTCCAGCTCAAATGATCACACATATGGTTCAAAGATTCTCAATCCATGAATGCAACTTGAAATGGTTCAAGAATGTTAGTTTCCTTGGTTTTAGGGATAGTGGCTGCCTGTAGGTATGAATCAGGAGAGACGTATGGGGAGTTTCTGGCAATGTTCTGTTTCTTGAGCTGGGGAGGGCATTATTGTTTTTGTTAAAATAATTATTTAAATTATATATATATTAAAGTATACATGAGTAATTCCTATATCTCACAATGGAAAATCTGATCTAGAATTATTTTGTTTTCTGTTGTTGAAATATGTAGAACAAATGATAAATGGACTGGCTCTGGGCACACTGCCTGTGGGTTAGCCCTGCTCTACAAGGAGCAGCAAAAAAGTAAAAAAACAAAAATTAAAAATGTAAATGTTTCCCTTCAGAGAGTTCTAAAAGGAAGTAATGTCAATGGGAAGAAGTTTCAGTAAAGCTGAAGAGGTAAATAAAGTAGGTATGTAAACAACTGAATATATTGATTACCTTAGTTTTATAGGAAAGGGCGCCTTGTCACATAGTGTAAAGGATTGAAAGAAAGGCATGTTAGAGTCAAGTAGCCAAGGATTAGGGCTAAACTATGTAGAATTGGGAATATAATAAAAATTGAAATTGGGAGAGAGAATTTCCGTGAAGAGTAGCAATTGTTGTAGCATGATTAAAGATTAGAGGATTCAAGAGTCGAATTGCTAAAGTCCACTACCCCCATAGTCTTCATCAGTCTTCTCTCCAAGCATTCTATAATAGAACTAAAATCTAAATAAAACACTTTCTTGGCCATTCGCACCACCAGTTTCATAAAGCCTGCCAACCTGATGACTGTCTTATATAGAAATTGTGGAGCTGTCCCAGAAGTTGGGAGTTATTCCAGAAGATTTAGTATCAAGCAAGGACCAGAAAGGGAAGGGGAGAAACGGGAAAGGCAGGTAACAACATAATGATTAGTTTTACTACTGAATGTATCTTTTTTTTTTTTTTTTTTTTGACACAGAGTTTTGCTCTTGTTGCCCAGGCTGGAGTGCAATGGCGTGATCTTGGCTCACCACAAACTCTGCCTCCCGGGTTCAAGCGATTCTCCTGCCTCAGCCTTCCTTAGTGGGTGGGATTACAGGCATGCGCCACCACTCCCGGCTAATTTTGTATTTTTAGTAGAGACATGGTTTCTCCCTGTTGGTCAGGCTGGTCTCAAACTCCCGGACTCGGGTGATCCACCTGCCTTGGCCTCCCAAAGTGCTGGGATTACGGGCGTGAGCCACTGTGCCCGGCCTACTGAATTTACCTTTTAACTCAATGCACTTTATTACTGTGTAAAGTAAGTTCTTTATTGCAGCAAGTACAACAAAATCAAGAAGAGATACTTATTCTTAGTGGGTAATATTTGTTAACTATATTTATAAATAAATGAACATCCATATAATATATACACATAGAGAATTGAAATTTAAATAAGATTTAAATTAAATTAAAAAGGACTGAGATAGGAATACAAAAACTGGGCCTGTAATCCCTATGTTGACATTAATTGGTTGTGGCTTTAGACTTGTATTCTCTGGATTTCACATCTCCATTTGTGAAACCACAGTACCATCGGGAGGCTGTCCTAGCTCAATGGATTTTCAAACAGAGCTTTACTAAATCCGGAGGGTTTTGTTTGTCTTTGTTTTGCTTTTTGATCCTTTAGAAGATCTGTCTTATTGGTGACTGATGTGGAAAGGGTGATGCAGTGTGTATTTGACAGTATTCCAGGCCCCCTATACCACTTCAGATAGAACAGATTTGTGTTTGTTTACGATTCTGGGTAAGATTTCAATCGAGAAAAGATTTCAGCACTGATGAAGGCTATACAATAACTGATCTCAAGGTTCCCAAATGTTAATAATTTCTTAGAAAATATTCTAAGACAGATCTTTAACTCTTAAAGTAGAGGAGTATCAGTGAATCCCAAATAATATTTCTAAGGATGCAACCCAAAGAGTTGTATTAGGTTACAATGCCAGAGTATGCTTTTATTTTCTATGTGAAGTGCTGTTACTTCAATTACGTGTGTTTGTGCTTATTATTTATTCTATGCTTGCAATAAAATGCAACAAACAATTTTTTTCTTTTTCTTTTTTACTCCTCCTTCTTCACAGACTCAACAAGCAATTGATGAATACTGACCCTATGTAAATATGGTTTGGGAATTCTGAGAAACATTCCGATAGTTTGTTCAAGTAAAATATTAGGTAAATCTCTTTGTACAGTGACACTAAGATCTAAATACCTTATTTAACAAATTATACTTCGTAGTTTGTTCAATCGTGACACTTTTTAGAGGGGAAGTTGTTTATGTACTATGTCTTGTTCTTTTGCTTGTTTTCTCAGTTTTATAACTAATAATTTGTAAATTCTGGAGCACATAAAAGTATTTAATTTCATGAGAAAAACGCAGATCTGCAGGGGATATTTTGTAACTAGAAGAAATGAAGTGAAATTCAGGAGGTAGAAAAAGAGTTTGACATTAACAACAAAATAAAAATAAAGAATTATTTTTAGAAGCATTATACGACTTAATTAAAAAGTACTTATATATAAATGAGAGCTAAAGTATACTCTATTTTAGTTCGGAAAACCTATTAAAATGTATTCATGCACTTCACATTTCTCTAAAGGTTTTCCTATTCATATGTGTGTATATATATTATATATAATATATGGAGATATATATGTATATATAGATCTCACAGACATAAACCTCTATACACATATGCACTTACAGTCAGGCATTCTTACAGTCACACATTCTCTGAATTTTCCCACACAAAGGCACATAGATAACACAGCAATCATCGTGACCTCCTTGCAGTTGAAGGAAAGGGGAAGGATCTGTCAAAAAATCATTTAATGGTACTTTTGAAAGCATAGTAAAGCACACTCTATTCAGGGATATAGCCATAGGTGATAGGTATACACACCACTGCAATGAGATTTTGCAGTAGGGGAGACTGGACTCAACTCTAAATACTGCGGCATCAGCAAGTGGGAATTTATAACTAAAAAACAGAAAAAACAGGGTGGGGCCATTAGATGGAAAATTACTCAAAGAAAACATAAGGGGTGAGGGGTTTTCTGGCTAAACCCACCTAACTGGATTCTTGCTGAAGGCAGGTTAAGATGATCAGACATCACTTAGGGAATGGTGGAGGATGAGGAACCCAATTAGATATTGAGGGTAATTAGACATCAAAGAGGGGGTAGGTTCCTGCTATAATGACTTAGCAGGGTTCTTGCTAAAATTGGGTTTCACAAGGAAGTCTACAGATGGGCTAGGAAAAAGTTTGGTCAAGCACAGAACCTTTGTCAGTTCATATTGTGCTATAATAAGAGAGCAGTGATGATGCTTATTGCTTAGGAAGGTGATTTGGAGGTACAGTCTTCAGGTACTTGTTTGGAGGGAGCAGCTCAACCTTTGCTACTGTTACAAGCATCAAAAGCTAGAAAAGAGGAAGCTTACTTGTCCTTTTAAAATAAGTGCTTTTTGCTTCCTGTCACATTGACCTGATAGCCTCTCAATCTGGCTCAGTCTCACTGTGAAGTTTAGCTGCTTGAAATCAGGATAACGTGTGCCAGGCAGGATAAATTGAGCTACAAGATAGAATTGGGTATGACTCACTGCCATCTCTGAGATTGTGCTTAAAGAGTTAGGCCATTTCTCTGTTTTGGGTTTTACTGTTCCCAGCACAGATACTTTATAATGCTTGAATGGTACTTGGAGTGAACTTTTCATGTTCCCTTTACCATGCCTTTTGACTCTTATTGTGGAAAATGCTTTCATCAGTTATTCTTGAACATTTTGTTTCACAAAACTTTCACCAGATCTGGTAGAAAATTCAGAAGAACATGTTATTAAGCCTTAAATTTATATTTTTTCCGAGATGTCTAAAAAATTTCTTTATTGAAAACAGATATTTCAAAGTTCCTCTTATCTATAGAGAACTGACTAATCCACAGCTGCTATTCAAATCAGTTTAGCCAGGCAAATATTTCATAGGAATTTTATGTATTGAAATGCATACATATGTATGTAACTGATTCTACTACAAAAATAGAGGGGGTTGTCTTTTCTGCCAAGTATATTAGAAAACATGATTTTAATGCTGTATATGCAAAGGAGCAAAAAAAGAGACAAAATGCAATATATTATAAAATGAACAATTGGTTAACTAAATTCTGAAAAATCATTTTAAGTAAAATTAGTCAAGAGAGTTAGGCAAAAGCAAGGATATGAGTACACTGAGGAATACACTGAATACTATCGAGAAACTCAGAAGGAAATAATTATAATTTTGTACTTTTTAATAAGATATCTGTGGTATCTGGCAGCCTGTCAGCAGGGACGTTTACTCTGCTCAATAATTATACAGAGAAGAATGATTTAGTCTGTGTTCCCAAACAATTAATGAGACCAAGATTTCATTCTTCTGAAACCAACTTTGATGGTTTGTTTCTGGATTGTTCAAGAATTCCTTGACAGGTTCTAATAAAAGCAAATTTAAAATTGTTCTTGAGAATGTCTTTTATTGACACTCTAGCATTTGTTACTTTAAATTTTAACACTTTATATATTTCTTGGCAAAGTGGTAGATAGAGAGAATTATGATTAGCAGATTTTTGTTTTGAATACTGGTTAATTAAGTGATAAAGTTTTATTGTATCCTGCTTTTAAAGGAGTCTACTTTATCCAGACTGAGAAACAAATGTTGTACTGGAAAACCTAAAACAATAATTTAATAACATCTGGACTACAAAAGCATATTTATTTACCTATCTGTTTGTTTATTTTTAGTATAAATTGTATAGATACTTCATATAAAACTTCCATTGTTATTTAGCTTTTAAATATCAAGAAGTTTCCATAAACAATAGAACAATGTTTGAAAAACATTTTAAATTGTGATTGCTATCATGGCAAATCCATTAGTGAAACCGATCAACTGAATTATAAACACTGTTTAAGGAGAAATTTGACATGCCATGAAAACACAGGCTCATCATGTGAGTTGGAAACAACTCCCTTTTGGGAGTATCCTGGATCTTCTCCTTAGAAGTTGAGTGATCTTGGGCCAATCACTTAATTTCTCTACACTTTGGCTTCTTCATTGGAAAACTGGGATGAGAAATGATATATTTTTGGTGTTTGGCTGTATTAGACAGGTTACTAGAAAGAAACAGATGACACACTGACAAGTTATCACAAGCTGTTCAGTGAATAAACTATTTTCAGAAGTGTGAACTGGGGAATCAATGAGGGCTGTGAAGCACCCAGAGTCTAGCAGCAGCAGGAAGCTGTTAGCACCTAGTCCTTAAAGGGCAAGAAGCTATGTAAGAGGGCCACTTGCAGGATTTAGGGCTTTAGTAGGTAATGTAGCTTCTGCTAGATCTTAGTGGAGTGGACAGTGAACTGGGAAATAACATTCCTTCTTTCTACTATGCTCTAATCTCTGGCCGGTGCCTCCTAGTGGCTGAATGCAACCAGGAAGCAAATGGACTAGAACTCGAGTGACACAACTCATAGTGTCCTGGGGCTCAGAGCACACCAGAGAAAGGTGGAGAGTGGACCTAAGTGGGACCCAAATTGAAGACAGGCACCACACTGGCATACATTAAATATTCGCTCAAGAACAAGAAGAACAAAACAATCTCCTAACTCCTAAGTCTTGCCGTGTCATAAACTTTCTCCAGGTCTTCAATAAATCTCATACATGTGCATTGTTCTTATATGGTACTTTTTTCCCTTAGTGAAAATCAAGATAAGGGGCTTAGTGCGTGTTTAGGTTAATGCTAGGGCAGAGATAAAGAAACAACGGTAAGATTCAGAACAGAAAAGAAGACATCAGCAGAGTGAGGAAGTGAGAGCCAGAGAAAGACTTGAGGACACAAAAGCCATAGGAATTCAGAGAAAGTTTTGGAAGAACATGGTGTTGGATTTTCTGCAAAATAATTCTTGTTTTGTATTTCCTGCAAAACATGAGAGGAAATTTTGTTGAGGCAAAAGGGTAGGGATACCAAAGTCTATCTTGCAAAACGAGCAGAATCCTATGTCAGATGCATGGAAAGAACAAATTTAACAACAAAACATAGTAACTGAGAGAATTAAAAATGTCTGAGATCCAAACTGATAGGGTGGTTTAAGTAAGGCAGAAGAATACACAAGCACATTTCTAGGGCAGGTTGCATGTAACTGGCCAGCATTCTCCTATAAGCATGGTACTGTCAAGAACTATGGTACCTGAGCTATTACCCTACTTGAGAGCTAAGAAGGTAGAACACAACAGTTTCATGGTTGCTGGCAGAAGACACAGAGACTTCTGGATCAAGCCCAAGGATTTTATTTCTCATGGCACAGCCAGCAGCATGAGCATCAGCATATTTGTGCCAGGATTTTTTTTTTTTTTTTTGCCTCAAGTCTTACAGGCCAACATGAATGGGTCCAGTAGATGTCTACATGCCTAGTGCATTGCATTACTAAATTTATGGAACACAAATCTTTTATAATGGGAAGTAAGCATGCTTAGCATTTGTTCCAAAAGGAGATACTATCTCTATCTTCCAAGGTTGTTCACTAGACAAATATCCATGAAAAGATTATCTACCACAAAGGACAGTCACCAAGAAGACATGCAGAAAATGCAAGAGATCCATATAGAAGTGTGTCTCAACAGAGAGTTTACAGGGCTTGCGGTTGAGCATGAGTTTATGAGACCAGCAATGGCATGGCATTTTGCCATGATTGTGTGCCATAAATCATAATTCCTATCATAAATCTGGTCTATGTAGATATTACTAGATGTACATGTATTCTATATAGAAATTATGATTAACCCAGAATAAGAGAAAGGCAATATTCTATAATAATTTGATATCGATTTTATAGGTTTTTTTTTTTTGAGACAGAGTCTTGCTCTGTTGTCTAGGCTGGAATGCAGTGGTGTGATCTCGGCTCACTGCAACCTCTGCCTCTTGGGTTCAAGCGATTCTCCTGCCTCAGCCTCTTGCCAAGTAGCTGGGACTACAGACATGTGCCACCATGTGTGGCTAATTTTTGTATTTTTAGTA
Source organism: Homo sapiens (assembly GCF_000001405.40). Taxonomy (NCBI): domain Eukaryota; kingdom Metazoa; phylum Chordata; class Mammalia; order Primates; family Hominidae; genus Homo; species Homo sapiens. The sequence goes on along the minus strand of NC_000004.12, from coordinate 162,838,420 downwards.
GAGACAGGGTTTCACCATGTTGACCAGGATGGTCTCAAACTCCTGACCTCAGGTGATCCGCCCACCTCAGTCTCCCAAAGTGCTGAGATTACAAGCGTGAGTCACTGCACCTGGCCGATTTTATAGGATTTAGATGTTTACGTTTCATAGGTACAAAATAAAGGCTAATAAAAGGACTGACAGGTAGGAAGGAATCATTTAGTCATTATAAACTGTCTACTTCTGCCTTAATTAAAGATGAAAGAAATGCCCTAGAAGCATTCTGGGGGTTAATTATAGTGTCATAACTGAAGTGATTTGGGCTCAAATGCTAATACAGTTTTCTGAAGAGCTGAAATGGATTCAGATGATGCCTCTTTTACTCCACTCCTGCCTATTCTTCCTAAGGCTGGTGGTCCATTCTAAATTGGTGGCAACTTAAGTCATGTTTTATGACAGCAGAACTCAAAAAGAAGCACTCAGAAGTTAAAGGAACACAAGATGAATCACACAATAAACTCTGAATGAATAGAATCTTAAGTTGATGACCTAAGAACACAACTGTCTTCATTCCAAGAATTACCAGCTGTCAGGCTGCTGTTGGGATTTAACAACCCCTTTGACTCTCACAATGATTTAAAAAATTGCACTAGTTGTCAACTCTTAATAATAAGAACAATTCACATAAAGAATCAAATTATTGACTTTTGCAGGAAAAAACCTCTAGTACACACGGCTGGTATTTTTAGATGGCAGAATTGGGGGCTGCTCTTTCAGGTAAATCTAGTGATTTTTTAAATTGTGTCACAGTTGCCATTACTCTATATTGTTTCTTTGAAACAGAGGCATAATGCAAGTTACTATTTTTCATACATTTGTGCTTTTTCCTTATAGCTAAACTATAAAGTAGAAATTGCTTCTTTGATTTGACTAACCAGCTTGGTCTCTTCAGATATTTCAGTTTACAAACCCTGCTTAACCTGTTTGCTCTTGACTTTGAAAGGCAATCACTGGTACAACAGCCAGGAGTGGCTTTTACCCTGATCCATGTAACTGGGATTGGGCCAAGACTTGACCTCCTGCTGGAGGATGAAAGGATCTCCTACTGTATTCCAATACTCAGGGACAAAATTTAGGCTCCAAACTGGTTATAGAGAGGGAAGATTGGACCTGCATTTCTGGTGAAGAAGCCAACGTTTGTAATGACAGTATTCTTAGTTTTTTATTATTTTGCAAGAGATATATACTTTGCTCATAAAAAAGAAAATATTCCCCCTGGCTCAGGTTCACTGTTTAAGGCTTGAATGAAAATCTTAAGAATCCTTCTGACTTTATTGAAGCTTTTCTGTCTTATCTTTCCATGTTTTTCCACACCTCTGATGTAATAACAGCCATGATTCTGTCAGTAGCATTCTGCTGCATTCCCTAGAGTGAGTGGGAAGCTTGGATGTCTCCTAGACTTAGCTTCACTAGCCATCCACCCACGTCACATCTGTCACTGGCCTTGAGCCTGTGAGCCAAGCTGAGGCACATTAGACTAATTTTGTTATCCTTAGTTCATAAATGCTGGTCCGTGTCACAGTGCCTTGTTATAATCTCCCACTGATATGTAGATGGTATTCAGCTGATTCTATGATTTTGGGACAGACTTCAAATTTAAACTAGGACAATAGGTACAATAATTTAGAAATAAAGGCAGCAGTATTTACCTCAGAGTAGTTGCCTATAAGTGAGAGGTGAAGCCAGCTGGACTTCCTGGGTCAAGTGGGGACTTGCATAACTTTTCTGTGTCTAGCTAAAGGATTGTAAAGATTGAGAGGTGAAGCCAGCTGGACTTCCTGGGTCGAGTGGTGACTTGGAGAACTTTTCTGTCTAGCTAGAGGATTGTAAACGCACCAATCAGCGCTCCGTGTCTAGCTAAAGGATTGTAAATGCACCAATCAGCACTCTGTAAAAATGCACCAGTCAGCACTCTGTGTCTAGCTAAAGGATTGCAAATGCACCAGTCAGCTCTCTGTAAAAACGCACCAATCAGCACTGTGTGTCTAGCTAAAGGACTGTAAACGTACCAATCAGCACTCTATAAAATGGACCAATCAGCACTCTGTAAAAGGGACCAATCAACACTCTGTAAAAGGGACCAATCAGCAGGATGTGGGCAGGGACAAACAAAGGAATAAAAACTGGCCACCCCAGCCAGCAGTGGCAACCTGCCCAGGGTGCATTCCACGCTGTGGAAGCTTTGTTCTTTTGCTGTTCACAATAAATCTTGCTGCTGCTCACTCTTTGGGTCCATGCCACCTTTAAGAGCTGTTAACACTCGCCGCGAAGGTCCGTGGCTTCATTCTTGAAGTCAGTGAGAGCATGAACCCACCTGAAGGAAGAAACTTCCTACACATCTGAAAGAACAAACTCCGGACACACCATCTTTAAGAGCTGTAACACTCACCGGGAAGGTCTGTGGCTTCATTCTTAAGTCAGTGAGACCAAAAACCCACTGGAAGGAAAAAACTCTGGACATATAAGGAAGACGCAAGAAAAGAGCTCTGTGGTGACCCCATTGTGCCAGCATAGTGAAGCTTAAAATAGTCTCTGCATGTGATAGGATCCCAAGAAAATCAGCGGCATGTGACACTGTTAATAGTCAAACTTTAAGTTCAAAATCAAACAAATCTCTTTTTTTTAAATCCAAGTTGTACAAGCAACAAGTTTTAAGGGCTATCATTGTAGCCCATGTGGGATGGGGTGGGGAATCACAAATGACTCCTAAGAAGAGAAGGTGGCAGCAAGGAGCTGGGAGTAGAAAGCTCATTGGCCCCTCTATTCCAGAAAGGGCAGCTGCTTAGGCAGAGATGAAGTAATTTGGACAATCGAACAGGAAAGTCTAGGCCTGTAATTATGGTTTGGGACCCACAGAAGCCTTGATAATTAGAGAGTTTTGTGTACTAAACTAAAAGTATGAAGACTCATTCAGGGATCATGAGAATAGACATTGGATAGTGGGTCCCAGGGCCATAGGTGAGATGGAGATGACACACTCAATAATTCTGTGAACGTGGTATATGGTTGACAGCTGAATTTTTAAGGTACATGTCAGCGTTCTTGTCTTTAAATGCCTGGAAGCCTTTTTTGTTGGACTGTTAGAGGATGGGGCTATGATTGATAGGTATACAATTTAAAATAATTTTTTCTTAAAATTCATGGCCTCTAGCTAACATTTCAAAAATCAAATTATGTAAGATTACCCAAGGTAAAAATGTGTCACTATCTTATTGATTCATACATAAATACTGCTATCCATAATAATATGCAGCATTTAGGCAAAGAAAAAGAACTACTGGCAGTATTTTCCTAGAGTATGAATATAGAAAATTAAGCTTGTATAACATTATAGAAAAAAACTCAGTTTACTGTGTTGCAACATGACAAGCAATATCTTGCCTTAAAATAACTGTGTGTGTGTGTGTGTGTGTATATATATATATATATATATATATATGTATATGTATATATGTCTCCTGTTTCTTGAAAAGTGTTTCTGACATTGACATTCAAAGCAGAAGTAATTTCTGTATCACTGGGCCTGCACTGGAAACATGAGAAGAGCTGAGTTGTACAATAAGAAATAATTCAAGAGCTTTCTCAAGATGTCAGTTGTCTAAAGAAAGATATTTGAACCAGAAGGCAAATATTTGAATGTAGGAAATGTTTTCCTTTGGAATTAAATTGTATATAAAATAATGCAGCCCTTTGTTTTTCTATTTTTTTCTTTTATATTACTTAGTGCAATTCTTTGTCCACAGCAGGTGACAAATGTATGCTTGACTGTGGAGCCTTGAGTTGTTAAATTTGTAACTCTACTGTGTTTATTATTACCGTTATCACAGTATTTGCCCAGGTTATCTGCCTATAATGAAGAAGTAAATGTGTTGGGTTCAATTAACTTTAAGTGGGTTAGCTTATATAGTAATGACTTCACCAGGTGCTTTCACATATATTATGTGATTTAATATTTCTTCTGAAGTAAATTATACTGTTTTGATTTTATGAATGAAGATACCAAGGTATAATGAAGCGCAACAATTTACCTTAATCACATAATAAGTAGCAGAGATAAAATTCAAACATATTTTTAAATTTCAAATCCCACACTACTTCAATCTAATCAAGAAGAGCAAAATGCCTAGCTTATACCTAGCTTATGGGCATTTTCATTTCTGTAACTCTGGTAGATACCTTAATTAATCTTAGCACATTTTCCATTAACCCAAACTTGTCTTAACAACTACTCAACACAATACTTTAGGCAAAACTTTCGGTTAATTAAATATGTCATTCCAGTTAAAAACTCTCAGTTCCAATTCTGCATGGCTACATTCTAGTTCATTTTCTTTAATGCACGGTAAATAATAACTCTTCTCGCTGAAATTACAATCAAATCACAGTTAAGGAGTGAAATATATGGTATTTACCTCCTAGAATTCTCGGAGGAAAAGCAAGGGAATAAAGAAGTATCTGAAAGATGAAAACAAGTTTTGCCTTAAGAATTCTATGTATATATGAAAACGTTAAAACAAAAATCAACACAACTGGAAGCAAAATTCCTCTCAGGGGGAAAATTGTCTTTGTTTAGGAAAACATGTATAAGTATATGGGCTAGAAGGTGAGACCTAGATTATATGGATTTACAGAAGTTAGGCAAATAAACAAAGAGAATTAGACTATTCAGAGAGAGAGAAAGAGAAAAATTGAGAGGGAATTAAACTCCAGAGGGAAGAGGATCTCAAGAAAAGGAGATACAAGAGAACACGTTGAGCATTTAAGACATTTGTGATATCCTTCCAATCCCATGAGAACCTGCTGAATTTTTTGAGTGAGAGTTCTGTATCCTGTATTCTGAGATTTCACTGATTCCTGAAATTTGCATGGCCTTACACACGGATAGTGTATTTGAGAGGTGATTCTACAAAGCGGAAGTGAAGAAACAGTAAGGGTGATAAAGGATAGGGGGGAAAAAGCATTATAAGCTGCGTATCACTCTGGAAAAATAGCATTTACTGCCTCTGGGGACCTGATAAGGATCCATATAATACATACTTCAGAGATTTTTCACCAAAGACTAGGAAGCTATGGTAATCATCCACCAAGCCCAGTTTCTCATGGCTTGAGTGTTATCCCCAGGGCTACCAATTCTCTGTACGTATGGGTTATGCCTATGTTGGCTAGGTGGTTTTTCCTGACTGTGGAGGAAGTTTCAAGGTAGTAGAGACTCCATGTGACCCAGAGGTGGGAAGCTGACAGTGTGCATGCAACAGACCATGACAGCTGTGCCAAAATCTAGTGGACCAAGAGGATGATGTAGGAGGCATCTCAATCGTCTGCTATATGTTATAATTTCCCATTTTTCTCTGGACTTATATCCATTGGATTTTGTTTATTGCAAATAGCAAGACTGAAATAGGAGTACCATCTAAATAAAATATTGGTCCTCTATGACTATTTGTAATTTTAAATTTATATCTCTGCAGTTATATGCTTTTTTTTTTAATTAGAATATCTAACCAGGTAAAGTCATATCCCTGTGGAAAAAAAAAAGTGACCTAACAAATTTAATATGCTTATCTCCTCACTTTAAAAATAAATCAGCTTGATATTTTGTATTTAAAGAATTATTTTAGAAAGGCCCATGAGTAGAATTTAACATGGAAAATATTCTGATATTAGAGAAATATCTATAGAAAACTTTAAAACAGTTGATAATTCTTTATTTTAATCAGGTTATCAAAGTCTATGCTTCTACTGAGATATTAGCATTTACAAATTTTTTAATATATTTCATGATTTAAGAAGAAGCATACATGCAAATTAATTAATTTGAAGAGCAGAATATTGTCTTACTTTGCTTTCTGACTTGGTCAAAGGAACTAGCAGTGATGGAAGTCATAAAATATATGAGTTAGATGAATTATTTTTAGGACTCTGTAAATGAACAAATAGCATTACCTTTTAACAATTCATTTCACAATATCACCACCATATATTTTTAAATTGAATGTAAGGGTTTCTCTGCAGCATATAAATATAGAAGTTTCTTCAAATTAGTTCTGCACTTTAGTTTTAGCTTCTTATTTTAAATCTGAAAAAGTTTACGTCTCTGCTTTTAAAAAAATCAGCATACAATAAAGGTAGAGTCCAAATAAGTAGAAAATAACATTTCTTGCGTTCGTATCATGAAGATGTCTACTTCTGTTTTCCAAAATGTTTCATTTTCCAGATTGAACTAATGGTTACAATATATTTTTAGATGGTTATAATTTTTTGGTTAATCAACTACATGCGTCTATGTATCTGATATATTTCATAATGTTTATAGCATTATTTTTATCGCTATAAAATTTTTTTTATTTCTTTTTGTGACAGAGGCTTGCTCTGTCCCCCAGGCTGGCTTGCAGTGATGAGACATCAGCTCACTGCAACCTCTGTCTCTAGAGTTTGAGTGTTTCTTGTGCCTCAGCCTTCCAAGTAGCTGGGATTATAGACACTCAACGCTATACCTGGCTAATTTTTGTATTTTTATTAGAGACAGGGTTTTGCCATGTTGGCCAGGCAAGTCTTGAACTCCTGGCCTCAAGTGATCTGCCCGCCTCGGCCTCCCAATGTGCTGAGATTATAGATGTGAGCCACCATGCCCAGCTTTATTCCTATAAAATTTTAAATGAATTTGAAAGTATAATTTATAAGGAATATAAAGGATAAATATAAAAAACAAAATATGTAATTTTTTTAAGTCTGCATAAAAGTCCAAAAAAGTGATTATCGAGTAAAACTAAAAACGAGGTTAAACGACAATAAAGATTAAACAAAAAAGAGAAATTGAATGAAAAATCTAGGTGAATTACTAGAAAAGCATATAGAAAAATGATAAAGCTGTAAAAAAGATAATATATTTGTTCCTGTAGTTACATTTTATTTTGTCAATAAAAAGAAATAGTGAAAGTCAAAGCAACTATATTTTTATTCAATTATATTTAATTTATTCAGTACTCAATAATTTACATGCATCTGAAATGGAGCACCGTTTCCTAATTTTTACACTGTGTTAAAACAGCTGCATGAGTATTTGCTCAGTCTGGAGGTATGTATGGGATAGACTGAATAAAATATAGATGATATGATATATATGAAAGGTACTCTGGGGAAGTTAAGGTAACCTCTCAAATATAAAGATACCAGGACGACGTGTGGCGATGACAATTATCCAGGCTAGAATAAATAGAATAATACTAGTAGCTAAGATGGGACTTAAGCATTCATCCTCTAAAGCAGTTAAAGCTGAGATTGCCATCACATTTCAAATATTTGTTTTGGATGGACAAACACAATGTAGTATAGATAAAGTTTACTTCAAATGGCCTCCAAAGAGCTTAAAAATAAGGAGAAAACACACTCCCATATAATTGCTAATAGAAACATACTATATGTATTAGATGCTCAGGAAGAGAATACAAACAGTAATTTTAAGTATGACCTTTTACTTACAAGTTACAAAGGCAGATGCTTTAAACTGCAGTTGTTGAATGACATTTGGCTCATTCTCATAAGCACGTAACTCAGCTGAGCATGACAAAGATTGGTGGTAGCAGGTATTTTTTTATTGAATAATGGTTATTTTTTGTATTAGTCCATTTTCATTCTGCTAATGCTTGGCATACTCATGGCTGGACAATTTACAAAAGAAAGGCTGGGGAGACCTTACAATCATGGGGGATGTTGAAAGGCATGTGTCACATGGCAGCAGACAAGAAAAGAGAGCTTCTGCAAGGAAACTCCTGTTTTTAAAACCATTAGATCTCATGAGATTTATTCACTATAATGAGAACAGCACAGAAAAGACTCGTTTCATGATTCAATTACCTCCCACCAGGTTCCTCCCATGACACATGGGAATTGTGGGAGTTACAATTCAAGATGAGATTTGGGTGGGGATGCAGCCAAACCATATCATTATTTTAAAAAAGTATGAGATAGTTCAGCTGTTTTATTTTAGGTATGAGTTGATGGAATGGAAGATGATGTAAGGTATAGAGAGAAAAGGAGTGGGAACTGTAATGGTTACTGGAGTGTAAGCATGTCATATTGCAGGCCATCATGAAAGAAACATGTTATGGAGAATTTTGAAGGGGGGAAAGTACAAAAGTGTAGTTTGTTTCTGAAGAAGGAGAAATTAAATTTGCAATGCCTCAGATGGGTTTAAGAGGATTATATGTGGAAATCATGACTCTCTCATAACTGGATAAGTAGAATTATGTAAGAGACAGGCTGAAAACAGATATTAAAAGCCCATGATTGGTTGTTTAAATATCATATAGGACTTTATTTACCTAAGATTTTGAATGCTAAAATGGTCATATTTACGGATGAAGAACATGACTTTTACAGTATGTGGACAAACTTAGTTACATAAAAAGGTTTATTAACAAACATATGCATATGTGATTTCATTTTTAACAGAGCTAATGAAAGGGAGTTTATTTTCCCCTAACAAATATTTTCAAAGGAGTTGGCTTACTTCTTGGGGTGTGCACAAGGGCTGAGGGGATTACTACCTAAAGATTATAAATGTGCAGAAGCCAAAGAGATGCTGAAAGATAGATTGAGAGGGACGAGTAAAATTTATGTTTTAGATATTGTTTGATATTAAGAGGCTTTGGAGGATTCAAGTGTATATACATCTAAAATCATGATATTTCTAATATAGATCTTATTTGTCTTCTGTTCTTTGGGAATATTGCTTATTCAGGCACAAAAGTATGTGTCAATTTAACTTTTCATATGAAACACTGCCTTCCTTTCTTGGTAATATTTCTCTTCCATTATCAGCACCTTAAAACCATGCCAAATAAATGGTAGCACCAATAATAACAATAACTATCATTTGTTTAGTGCTTATTCTGCCCAGGCCCTGTTTTATTTATTTATTTCTTTTCTTTATATCACTTAGTCCATAGAGGAAACACATAAAAATATTTTCTGAGGTTTAAAGAGGTTAAACATTTGCTTTAAAATGCTCAGCTTGGAATTTCTGGTTCAAGAGTCCAAGCCCAGGTTGGACTCCAAGCCTGTGCTCTTAATTTATATATCACAATGTTCTGAGTTTTAACATATTGTCAGAACTTCTCTTAATGTCTCTCAAAGTTATTAAGAAAAACTTATGTTGACTTACATTTGCAGGTTTTATTTACTGACTGCTTATTTACAATGCACTGTGCCAATTCTTTATATTCCTTATTTCATATAACAGTTAGATACAAAATAGTCACTGAGGAAGACAATGAGTTTCACAAAGATAATGGTGCAGCCAGATTATCAGTGCCTTGAACATGGAAGAGTTAGGAAAGCCATCCAGGTTAAAGAGTGAATTTGACTCTGCCAGACATTTACCTATTCACTAGGAAAATGGGAGATGATGATGATGTCAGAAGTACAATATTTATATTGTGTTTCAAGCACTTACTGCATAATTTTTATAATTATTCCACAATTAGGAAGATTATGTGTGGAAAACCATGTTTCTTAAGAATTGTGATAAATAAAATGCATAAAAATACAAAACCATTGTATATTAGCCATCAAAATACCACCTTCAATATTCTAAAAATTCTCAACTTCCACATACTTTAAAAATGTATAACACGAATAATCACAAATCTGAACTAAAACATTTACAGAAGTTTGTGAGGAACAAGTGAATATGCTTTTTATTTGGACAATTTAGAGAAGAAGAATATTTTTTAAAAATGTGTACATCTAAATAGCCACATTCTCTCAAAATGTAGGGTTTTCCAAGGGAATGGGGAGTATCTTAATTCAGTCGGTTACTGAGAAGAGGTTAGGTTAGAGAGTTTTTAGTGTGATTTTCCACGCTATAAGATGAGTTCTGTGGGTAGAGGTGATTCAGTAATGCCTACACTTCAGATGCCTAGATTATTGACATAGTGTGTGGACTGGTCTTCCTGCTTTGCAGTTTGAGCCTTCAAATAGCAGCCAGCATGTATCTATTAAGAGAAAATCAGATCATGCCACTATTCCAAATGCTCTAGGGGCTTCCATCTTACTCAGAGAAAAAGCTAAACTTTGTGCACTAACCTATGACATTTAATGAATTTTTGGTTTCCTTTCTTTCTTTTTTTTTTTTTTTTTAAATCTTCTTGTACCATCTCCCTGGTGTTCAATCGGCTATAGCCACACTGAGGTACTTGTTATCTGTCACCTGTGCCATTGTGAGGAAGCATGTGGAGGTTCCCGACTCCAGGCCTTTGCTCGGCTGTACTCTGCCAGGAACCCTCTTCCTCGGAGCATTTCTGCATAGCTCTCTTTCTCTTTCTTCCTTCCTTTCTTTTTCTTCCTTTCCCTTTCTTTCTCTCCCTCCCTTCCTTCCTTCCTCCCTTCCGTTCCCTTCCCTTCCCCTTCCTTCCTGCCTGCCTGCCTGCCTGCCTGCCTGCCTCCCTCCCTCCCTCCCTCTCTCTCTCTCTCTTTCTTTCTGTCTCTCTCTCTCTCTATTTATTTATTTTTTTGAGATGGAGTCTCGCCCTGTCACCCAGGCTGGAGTGCAGAGGTGCAATCTCAGCTCACTGCAACCTCTGCCTCCAGGATTCAAGCAATTCTTCTGCCTCAGCCTTCCGAGTAGCTGGAACTACAGGCATGCACCACCATGCCCAGTTAATTTTTGTATTTTTAGTAGAGACGGGGTTTTGCCATGTTGACCAGGCTGGTCTCAAACTCCTGACCTCAGGTGATCTTCTTGCTTTGGCCGCCCAAACTGTTGGCATTGCAGGCGTGAGCCAGCGCACCCGGCCTCTTTTCTATTTTTTGATAAAAGGTCTTGCTCTGTTGCCCAGGCTAGAGTGCAGTGGTTTGATAATGGCTCACTGCAGCCTCAACCTCCTAAGCACAAGCAATTCTCCCACTCTGCCTCCCAAGCAGCTGGGAGGACAGGCATGTGACACCACGCCCAGATAATTTAAAAAATATATTGTCGAGATAGGATCTAGCCATGTTGCCCAGGCTGGTCTTGAACTCCTGGCCTCAAGTGATCCTCCCACCTCAGCTTCTGAAAGTGCTGGGATTACAGGTATGAGCAACTGCGCCCTGTGCCTCCTTTATTTCTTTCAGATATTAGTAAAATGACAGCTCATCACTGAAAATCGCCCTGTATTCTTTGTCTAAAATTATATCCCTCTGCCAATTATTCCTATTGCTACCCTATTTGATTTTATTTTTCAGCACTTCCTACTGTTGAATATTCTACATACTTTACTGAATGTTTATTCATTGTCTGTCTTCCCCACTAGAATGTAAATTTCATGAGGAAAAGGATTTGTGTGTATTTTGTTCACTGTTATTTTCCCAAGATCTAGAATGATACCTGGGATATAATAGATATACAACAATATTTGAAGAGCAAATGAATAAATAAATTATTATTAATTTATCAGTTATGCCCATAATTTCCACAAAAACATTTTAATTGATTTGTGCAGAAAAGCAAGCACATAGTGGATACTCATGTTTTTTTCAGAAAGATTCTGGAATCCACAGGAAAAGATAGAATTATTCATAGATTTCCTCTACTTCCACTAGGATAAGACATTATTAATCTCTACTTGAAGGTAATTACACATAGTGATTTCTAACATATTTAAAAATTGATTAATTTTCATTTCTTATTGATGTTATTTTCTTGCTGATGTTTGTCCCATTCTTAAGACAGCGATTTTCAACTCACATGCAGCCCTTGCCTCTTAATGAGTTCTAGAATCCCTGGGTTGAACATTTTCCAAAATTAACCTAAGTTTGAAGGATGAAAGAAAGTTATTGGCATTAACTTTTTCTTGTGTCAGTCCATTTGCCTTGCTTAGAGAAAAAGTATCATATCCCAGATCTCAGCCATTTATGTCATTTAGTGGTTATAACTGATCCAGGCCCAAATGACAGTGTCCTTTTTGTGCAAAGGAAACAGTTACAATTATATAAGTTACTGTAACAATACTTTATAATCCTGACAACAGCAACAGAAAAAGCATAAAATCTGTTCAGCAGCATGTATTAATATTCTCTCTTCATCACGGGTACTAAAATAGCATTGCAGATATGACTAGAAAGTCAATGCAAGATGTTTCAGCAATTGTCTAGATGCCTTATTTTCCTCTTTGGAGACTGTCTCTCTTTTTCTGGAAGAATTAATCATGCTCTCCTTAGTTAACTCTGTACTCTTTGTATATTTTTGTGATTAAACTTTAGAGGATGGAGAATATGTCTTACTCATCTTGGTAAACTCCACATTAAAGAATTTGAAGGATAACTGACTTGATTAATGTTAATGCTATTTAGAATAGAATGTTTAAACATAGAATCTGATGTATAATTAAATCTTTCAGAATATACTATAATTGATAATGTAATGCACCTTGAATATTGAAAATATTTTCATAAAAATTTATGGCATATATAGAGAACCAAAAATAATTAAAAATCTACATCTTTAGAGATGCAGACTAATTTCTTTATGGTTATAGATAACTGTCTATAACCATAACAACTTTTTTTGGAAGAAAAGTGTTAGAAATAGGAAGTTTAATTTACTGTGCAATGAGGTGAATGATTATTAACATTATGCATTGAAATTCCTCCTGTTAAATTCCTTCAATGTGGTAATTGATTTATCAACTACCTTTGTAATGGTCTAACAATACAAGATTAGCACCATCAGGGAACGTGAAGTAACAAGACCTAAGCTATATATGACTCCTATTTGGCCCCTGCATTATTGTTCTTTCATAGAAAAAATAACTGGCATGTGCAGGAGTACTTTACACTTCCCCTCTGTCAATCTCTGATTTCCCAAAGATTGTTCCTCATTGATCATGTTGAAAGGGAGAAAGTGTAGTCTATTAAGCTGCTAGAATAAAACAAATTGCATTGGAGTGAGGCATAATCACAGTTCTGTGGTCCCTATGTGGCATGCTACTCAGGAAGCCTCTTGCCAGCTCTAAGATTCTCAGTTTCTCATTTATGAAATAAAAACAAACAAACAAACCAACAAATAACCTCTGGAAAATCTCTGATTCTTTACTGAGACAAGTATAGTGATTTGCAGCAGGATAGCAGCCACTGCTGGTTAAGCAGTCAAGTGATGAGATAGAACTTTTATTTGTCATTATTTATTTATCAATTTATTTTTGAGACAGAGTCTCATTTTGTCGCCCATGCTGGAGTGCAGTGGCATGATCTAGGCTCACTAAAAATTCTGCCTCCCAGGTTCAAGCAATTCTCCTGCCTCAGCCTCCCAAGTAGCTGGGATTACAGGCGCTCGCCACCACGCCCAGCTAATTTTTCCTATTTTTAGTAGAGATGGGGTTTCACCATGTTGTCCAGGCTGGTCTTGAACTCCTGACCTCAGATGATCCACCCAGCTCGGCCTCCCAAAGTGTGTGAGCCACTGTGCCCGACCAGAACTAATTTTTTAAAAAAGATCACTCTGGTTGCTGTGAGAAGATCACCTGTGAGAAATCCACATGGAAGCAGATAAATGGTTAGGAAGCCACCACCATTGTCCAAGTAAATGGCAATGGTCTGTGATTCAACAGATTGAGGTGGATTCTAAAGGACATGGGCATACTTAAGCAACCTGTGGCGTGAGATGAAAGAGAATGAGACGTTTATGGCCTGAGCAATTGCTAAGTTCTAAGAGGATAAAAACAAACAGTACAAATGAGGATATTCACAATCACTCCCAGTTGTAGAGTGCTTATTGTGTGTCAAAACACTGTTTAACATGTATTTATTAATTTAATTATCAAAATCAAACGTTGAGATAAGTAGTATTTTTAATCCCACTTTACAGATGAGGCAACTGAGGGAGACAGTGGTTAGGTGACTTGCCCAAAGTCAAACACAGTGGAGCTGAGAAGGGAAACTAAGTTATCTGGTTCTAGCATCCATGTTCTTAGCCACTGGGCAATATGACCTCACTGTCTAACACGACCTCACAAAACAGGGACAAGGGCAGTTTTCTGAGAAGGAAACCTAAATATTTAAGACATACAAAGATATTCCTTCTTATATGTGAATGTTGGCTTTAAATTAAAATAATTTATGGGGAGAAAGGACATTTACTTACTTCCCTGTTATATCCAATATATGACGTTTACTATATTCTATTCTTTTACTCTGTGAGACTAATAAGGATTCATTTATTCAGATTTATATTGTCTATTTTCACGACTAGGAAAGTGCCTTCTAAACAATGTGTCTTTTGTAAGAATTGGGTTTTGTTTTTATTTCATTACCAAGAGAATAGATATCTGTATGGTTGTTATAGCTTACCAAATGTGTTGTTCTCTTTGTATATTAGATATTGAGGCACTGAGTCTGAGTAAGAGGAGTCTCTTCTCCCATCTCATAGCACTGTAGCTAAGTAGTCTTCTATCACAGCCCAGAAATGCCAGCTATATTCTTTGACTTCCTAATCTTCCCTTCTAGACTGTGAGATATTTTAGAGAAGTGTTTATGTCAGTTATATCTGTGTTAGGTATATAGTAGGTTGTTAATAAATATTTGTAGGAGAAAATGGAACTTGGTGTGAGAAAACACAGATTTGCAAGTCAAATATAAATAGGCTGGCAATTAACAGAGCAAACAAATAAAAAATAGATTACTAGGAGACAAGAGTCTTCCAGGGGAAATAAAATAAACTACTTTCTAGGAGAATTCATCACTGCTGCGCATGTTTATTTAGCTCAGTGATGCATCAGCATTGTTAAGAGAAGCTTAATGGTGCTATTATTTATAAGTTTGATATAAGTGTATAGCCATTGATCAGTTAAACTGAAGAACACCTCAACTAACTCAATTTAATTCAATAAATTATGTTAATATTAAAGTTAATTTAAAAAGCTCATTAATAATAATAGCTAAAATTTTATAGTATTTGCCATATTATTTGCATATATACATTTGTTTAATTCTCATTACAACCCATTAAGGATGATATTATTATTATATCCACTCTGCAGTAGAGTGAAATAAAGTACAGTGGTTAAGTGGCTTGTCCTAGTTTACCCAACCTCTAAGTGGATATGCAGAAGAGATAGGATTCAAACCCACACATAAAGCTCTGAACACTGTTATGTTCAGTATATACTATACTGTTCTGTTAACATCTCACTCTCTCCTCTCAATACAATTTTACTAAGAGCAAAATAATAAAACAGCCACAACAGAAACCACAGCAAGCATATCCAGGTCTCTGCTAAGGATGTTAATAAATTATGTTGTTTAATGTCCCCAATAATGAAGTCGCAGTGGTATTATCTCCATTTTCATATGAGGAAATTGAGGCAGAGAAGGATAAGTTACTCGCTCTATGCTGTATAGTCTTGAGAGATAGAGCTAGAATATGAGAAGGAGAAGCAACTGTCCTCGATGAGTCAGTAACACATTTACTATACAAGAAAACCCAAGCCCAGTAACTTTGCCTGAATGCTTTTGGGGCTGGGGCAGAAAATCACTAGATTTAGCTCTTCTGGGAAGGGCCTTATTAAGAATCCCGAGAAAGCTTTTCTAAATTTTAGTATATTTTATTTTATGAGTTTTTGAATTTTTTTTTTTGATTTGAGATGGAGTCTTGCTCTGTCACCCAGGCTGGAGTGCAGTGGCACAATCTTGGCTCACTGCAACCTCCGTCTCCTGGGTTCAAGCAATTCTCCTGCCTCAGCCTCCCGAGTAACTGGGGTTACAAGCATGTGCCACCATGCCCAGATAATTTTTATATTTTTAGTAGAGGCAGGATTTTGCCATGTTGCCCAGGCTGGTCTCAAACTCCTGACTTCGGATAATCCACCAGCCTCAGCCTCCCAAATTGCTGGGATTATTGGTGTAGCCACCACACCCAGCCACTTTTCTAAATGTTAGTATATTTTAATGGCTACATAGCTAACTTACTTATGTTAGCATTCATGGATTAAATATCTCACAGAAGTTACATTTGTTCATATTCTTTGGTAGGCATATCAATGAAGAATTGTCTTGTTCATAAATTAAAACTGTCAGATTACTCTTACATAAAATAATGTATTAAAGATCTTTTAATTACAATAATAAATTATTAAATAAAATTGTACTGATACAATGATTTGTAAAAATTTTCCCCACTTGTTTATAAAATGACAAGAATTTTAATGAGTTATAAGATCACATAATCCAAGAGTTAGGGACTACTTTTTCCATTTCTTTTGTTGGGATGGTAATACTGAATTTGAGGCAACTTACTATTCTATGAGTTCACATGCTAAACACTAAAAAAAAAAACTAAAAAACAAAAAACAAACAGAAACAAAAAACAAAAAACAAGAAAGAAAGAAAAATAGAAAGTACGTAGTATAAAAGGAAAACAATCACCGGGTGCAGTGGCTCATGCCTGTAATCCCAGCACTTTGGGAGGCCAAGTTGGGAGGATCACGAGGTCAGGAGATCGAGACCATCCTGGCTAACATGGTGAAACCCTGTCTCTACTAAAATACAAAAAAAAAAAAAAAATTAGCCAGGCGTGGTGGTGCACGCCTGTGGTCCCAGCTACTTGGGAGGAAGAGGCAGGAGAATCGCTTGAACCCAGGAGGCAGAGGTTGCAGTGAGGCCAGATCACACCACTGCACTCCGGCCTGGCGACGAGCGAGACTCCGTCTCAAAAAAAAAAAAAAAAAAAAAGGAAAAAATAAGTTATGGCTTACCTGGAACTAGATTCAAATAGTTAAAAGTGTAACTAAACTGTGTTTAACTGGCCCAGCACAGTGGCTCATGCCTGTAAATCCCAACATGTTTGTGAGGGCAGGTAGGTGGATCACTTGAGGCCAGAAGTCTGAGACCAGCCTGGCCAAACATGGCAAAACATCATCTCTACTAAAAATGCAAAAATTAGCTAGGCATGTGGCACACTCCTGTAATCCCATCTACTCTGGAGGCTGAGGCAGGAGAATCACTTGAACCCAGGAGGCAGAGGCTGCAGTGAGCTGAGATTGCACTGCTGCATTCCAGCCTTGGTGACAGAGTGAGACTCTGTATCAAAAAAAAAAAAGTGTTAAACCATTAAAATTCCCTATTACTTTATTTTTATCTGTAAAGTAATAATATATTTCTCACAATTATGATGATCAAATGGGATATTATTTTTAAAGTGTTCATTGTATACAAGTTGTATAATAAATACTATTGTAATCATGAGATTCAATCTTAGTCCTTTATAGGATGAATTCATATTTGAATATTTCAAAATTTCCAGGTTCTGCAAATATGTTTGCACTTACATTAACCTCTTCCATAGTATATATTTTTACACCTATCTGCCAAGCAAAATTAGTCATTTTTTAGTAACCTCATCCCTGGATTAAGTTTCTTTCCCCTAGTATGCTTTGAAATTGTTTTCTGGCTGTCTTTTACATTTGCCTTTCTTATTTTGCCAGGCAGATGACAGCTTTCAGTCCCTGATGGATGAGAGAAGAGGGGAGGCCTTCTTCCAGTGAGTACTGCAGGCATCTCTGGGAACAGCAGCTGAATACAGGAGGGTTTTCTGGAGAATCCAAATGGCATATGGAATGCAAAGGAATGATGATTAGATGATCTGATTGCATTCTATTCACCAATTGTTACATTCAGGAGCCATGGCATTTTCCATGTTCTGACCTCTTTGATGCCTAATAGGTGCAAAAATGTATGAAACTGTTAGAAGGTATATTGAATATCCAGAACAGGTTTTGGTGGGTCTTGTTAAGGTTTTCACGTGTTCCGCATGTTACTAGTTCACATTGGAATTAAAAAAGCCTTCAGAGTTCAGTCTTTATATATTCACTGTTTAAGCCACACTAGTTTAAACATGTTGGCAGCAAGTCCATACCTTGTACTGGAACATAGTTAGATAATATGGAACATGCTTATTAGACATAGGAGTAGTGAATATTCATTTGCTCATGCATTATCCACACCATCCATATAGTGGAAATTAGTTTTGTTCAGTTCCTTTTCCACTTAGTAAATGTGGATTTTTCTAACTTACTGACCTCTTCTGGCATTAAAAATCAGTGTTGTGATTTGCAAAAGTGTTTTATCTTTCAGATCACTCCCTCCCCTCTGCCAAGAGACTGTCAGTGATAATTAAGCCTTTAATTAGGAATGATGACAAATTATCTTGGCCATATTGCTGTTTATATTTCTTACTCTTAGATATAATTGATATTTTTGCTTTAAAAATGTTAATGTTTTTCATAATGTCACGCAATCTATACTGTTCTTCAGTAGTTGTAACATGGTAATATTAATTACTTTAAAATATTTTTATTGGGATGATTAGAATTAGGCCAATTAAATATCTTCAAAAATAATATCTAAATTACATTATTAACTTGGACTTGAAATGTCTCTGGGCTTTTCCAATGAGACCACACCTTTTATTGAATATAAAAACTGCAATATTCAAAGCTTGGGAGGTAGGTGGTCAGTACGGGTGGGAAGATTCAGATTTGGGATTAAATTTTAAAGGCTAGAAATGTGTACAACAATATAGCCAGTTGCTGGCTTTTATGAATGCTATTGGAAAATGACCCTACACATTTTATGTTAAAAGGTGACTTTCTTCTGAAAGAAATTTTATTTTGACTTTATCTTCTTTTTGCCAATTTTCTTAGAAATAAAGTGAAGCATTCTTTATATCTAGTTTCCAGGCACAAAGACTCACATCTTATCAAAGACTCAAGTCTCTCATTCTTGTTCCTCAATAGTCAGGGCAATAGCTTTCAGCACAGGCAAGTTTGTGTCTTACTAAATCTATCTTTTTATTCTCTTCAAAGGTAAAAGTCCCTCCGTTAGAAAATGTTCATCTCATACCTTGTGCAATCATTAGCGAATATAGACATGTTTCTTGAACTACTATGCATTTAATTTCTAGAAAAATGAGTCTGCAGCCACAGAATTTTTAAGAGAAAGCGATGTGACAACCTAATTTCCTTTTTCCCCCTGAAAATCTATTTAGTAGATTTAGGAGGTGAGACGTGTAGTTCAGAAGTAACTATGAAGGACACTTGGTAATGAAGTACTTTAATAGTTTAGAGAACTTGTGTGCTCCTGCAGGACAATAAAATTGCTAATGGTCAATTACACTATTTTAATATGATTTTCTCCCTCTGCATAGATTATTGCTACAGTAGAACTGAAACTACCAAAACTACCAAACTCCCTCATCCTTTTTTGGTCAAATTTCATTTACTGACAAAGTAGTCCATACTTCTCCTTTCTTCTTCACCTTGCCCCTACCCTCTCTCATCTGACTTTTACTTCATGGAAAGAGGTTTTTCTCCATGGCCTGATGTGCCCCCAACATAATTAGTGTCCTTTTCCTTCTTGCCATAGTTGCCACTTTTGACCCAACGTCTCCTTATTTTATTTTCTGAGGATCTACATTCTGGAAAACTCAGTGCCTCCTTACAGCTCTCCATTTACACGAGAATGTTATATGCTTGTTAGAGAAATTTGAGCCAGGTGCGGTGGCTCATGCCTGTAATCCCAGAATTTTGGGAGGCTGAGGTGGGTGGATAACTTGAGGTTAAGAGTTCGAACAAGCCTGGCCAATATGGTGAAACTCTGCCTCTACTAAAAATACAAAAATTAGCTGGATGTGGTGGCACGCACCTGTAGTCCTGTCTACTTGGGAAGCTGAGGCAGGAGAATCACTTGAACCTGGGAGGCGGAGGTTTCAGTGAGCTAACACCATTTTACTCCAGCCTGGGTGACAGAGCAAGACTCTGTCTCAAAAAAATTTTTTGCTGATGTTCAAACTGTGTCAATTTTTTTTCTCCTTCCTTTTATCTGTGGGTTGCTTCCAAATATGGAGATTGGTTTATTGATGCAACCAGTAAGTAATATAGCAACTACTTGTGTTGCCACCTCCCAGAATCAAATATTTTAAACATGGCAAATATTTTGTCCAAATTGTCTTGTCTTTTTAAAAAAATAAAATCTAGAAATATATTAAAAGTTAATTTAAAAAATTAAAAAATTAATTTTACTTCCTTTTGACAGCATCTCCACTCAGGTTTACCTGACAATTGACAATACATTCTGTGCATTTAATGTATATCTTTAAAAGACATACATAAAAGACAAAACAAAACACTCTGTGTGTGTATAAACCCACTGTGAGTATGTACGCTTGTGTCTGTGTGTATATCATGTATTTATAAATATTACATAATTCTGCATTGCTTAGACTGAAAAATTTTGCAGAATTTGTAGCATATGGTAATTAATATACTATAACTTGATTTTATTTTTTACTGAACACAGTATTTTTTAGATATTTCCTTGATTATTGGGGGAACCCACCCCCAATAGTTCAACGTAGGTTCTTTCTATTTTCCGTTAAGTGGTGGCCAGCTGAGAAATAAAGAGAAAGAGTACAAAGTGAGGAATTTTACAGCTGGGCCTCCAGGGGTGATATCACATATTGGTAGGACCGTGATGCCCACCTGAGACTTAAAGCCAGCAAGTTTTATTAAGGATTTCAAAAGGGGAGGGGGTGAAAGAACAGGGAGTAGGTCACAAGATCACATGCTTCAAAGGGCAAAAAGGAGAACTACTGATAAGAGTCTATGTTCAGCTGTGCACATATTGTCTTGATAAACATCTTAAACAACAGAAAACAGGGTTTGAGAGCAGAGAACTGGTCTGACCTCAAATTTACCAGGGCGGTGTTTTCCCCACCCTAATAAGCCTGAGGGTACTGTAGGAGACCAGGGCGTATTTCAGTCCTTATCTCAACCGCGTAAGACAGACACTCCAAGAGCGGCCGTTTATAGACCTCCCCTCAGGAATGCAATTCTTTTCCCAGAGTATTAATATTAATATTCCTTGCTAGGAAAAGAACTTAGCGATATCTTCCCTACTTGCAAGTCCGTTTATAGGCTCTCTGCAAGAAGAAAAATATGGTTCTTTTTGCCCAACCCCGCAGGCAGTCAGACCTTATGGTTGTCTTCCCTTGTTCCCTAAAATCATTGTTATTCTGTTCTTGTTCAAGGTGCACTGATTTCACATTGTTCAAACACACATGTTTTACAATCAATGTGTACAGTTAACACAATTATCACAGGGTCCTGAGGTGATGTACATCCTCAGTTTATGAAGATAACAGGATTAAGAGATTAAAGTAAGACAGGTGTAAGAAATTATGAAAGTATTATTTGGGAAGTGACAAATGTCCATGAAATCTTCACAATTTATGTTCCTCTGCCGCAGCCCCAGCCGGTCCCTCTGTTTGGAATCCCTGACTTCCCACAACACTTGATAGCACCTTCTTTTTTTCTCATTATTGCTCTGTTAGCTTCATTAGCTTTTGTTTAGTTTCTTTTTCTTTTTTTATTAATTTGAAGTTGTATGGTCTTGTTAACAAAGTTAATAAATTATAATGATAATTAGGGTCTATATTCTTTTTCTAGGCAAGGTAAATAATTTATTGTATATGAAACTCCCTACAATTTCTCTAAACATAATTCCTTCCTATGATTTCTCAAATATGATATTCATCTTAAGTTTAAAATATTAAAAATTATTATCATTAATATAATTACTATTAATGGGCATGTATTTAGATTTAGCTGTATGTGCTTTTACTCATTTTTTTCTTATATCTTATTTTTTCTAGGTCATTTTTCTTCTTGTTAAGCTTATCTTTCAATGTTTCTTCTATTGGGGTATGTGAATCACAACATTTTCTAGTCATTGCATTTATAGACTTTTTTTTATTACTCCAATCATATTAGACAATGTTTACTCTGTCACTTGAACTCATAAATATGATTTCTATTCTTCATGTACTTTATATTTATTCTCTTGACGAACAAATTTTTATGAACTTAAATTACAACCTCTTATTGATGATTTTTTTAGCTATCTCTAAAAAAAACTTCCTTAATTGCACTATAGCCCTATTGTATCTCTTATCTAAATGTCACCCACCTCCAATTTTTTATTCCAATGGCAGCTCAAACTCAATATATTTAAAATTGAACCAATTATTTTATCTTTCTAAACACCTCCCCCAGCAAGTACATTATTTCTAAGTATATCATTTCACTTTGTATCACTATTGTTTCAAAACAAATTCTGTGACTTACTTCTCTGTATTCAATCTGTATCTAATTCCTTTGAATTATCTTTTATTTTCTCCTCTTTTAATATTTTTGTTGTTATTATCATAACGCAGGCCCTTATCAACCTTCATCTAGACCTCTATCATATTTGTTAACTGATCTCCATGCTTTTGGTCTTTTTCAGCCACACAGTCTATACAGTACAAAGCCATCAAAGTAATCTTTTTAAAACACAAATAAACATACCAGTTTCCTTTGCTCAAAATCTTCAATAGTTTCCCATTTTAAATAAAAGCACATCTATTATACTTATGTTTTGAAGCTCTGCATAATCTTACTCAAGCTTACCAGACAGCATACTCTCTTGTGTGTTAAGACTTTCTTTTAAGTGTTTATTTTTCTATTTTATGTACTCTTCTCACCACTCTTTGAATACCAATTTTCCATTACGCAGTGAATTTACTTGAGTTGCTTTTATATATGTCTCTTCCTCTGGAGCCATGGTCCTTCACCCTCCCTTTTATTTATTCTAAGATTACTCTTCTTCAAATTCTGTTTCAAGGCCCATATCTGACTGGGGGTGGTGGCTCACACCTGCAATGTCAGCAATTGGGAGGCCGAGGCAGGAGGGTCCCTTGAACCTAGGAGTTCAAAACTAGCTGGGCAACATAGGGAGACCCCAACTCTACAAATACAAAATAAAATAAAAATTAGACGGCTATGATGGCACGTGCTTCTGGTCTCAACTACTCAAGAGTCCGAGGTGGGAGAATCACTTGAATCTGGGAGGTTGTAGCTGTAGTGAGCTATGACTGTGTTACTGTACTTCAGCCTGGGCAACAGAGTGAGATCTTGTCTCAAAAAATAAAATAAAATAAATGCCCCTATCCTCTCTGAAATCTTTCTCAATTCAACTTAATTCAAGACAATTAACATTTATTAAATGACTATGAGGTATTAGAAATTATAAGGAGTACTGAGATACATAAAGATCTTAAAATTTATAAAGGTGATAAGCAATTTTGCAACTGTATTTTTTGCCAAATTGTAATTCAAAAGGCACAAACAGTGAAAACATACCATTAGTTTTAATTGTAATGTCAGCAATTGGGAGGCTGAGGCAGGAGGGTCCCTTGAACCCAGGAGTTCAAAACTAGCTGTGCAACATAGGGAGACCGCATCTCTACTAATACAAAATAAAATAAAAATTAGATGGCTGCGAAGGCATGTGCTTCTGGTCTCAACTGCTCAAGAGTCCGAGGTGGGAGAATCACTTGAATCTGGGAAGTTCACATTCAACTCAAAGATCAGGAAAGGCATTTATAGGAGAGTGGTCATCTAAGACAGTTTTTAAAGATGCAAAAGATACATATTGTGAAGTTTTACATAGATAAGGATAGGAAGGGTAGTAATCTAAGTAGATATAAAAACATCTGTAAAAGTTTGGAGTCAAGAGCTTTTTTCTTCATATTAGTCTGCTCAGGCTTCCATAACAAAACACTATAGACTGGATAGCTTAAAGAACAGACATTTATTTCTCACTGTTCTGGAGGCTGGGAAGTCCAAGATCAAGGCCCTGGCTAGGTACATTTCATTCTGAGGCCTCTTCTCTTGGCTGGTAGGCAGTCACCTCACACTGTGTGCTTACATGCTCTTCTCTTTGTGCAGGCAGAGAGAGATCTCTTCCTCTTTTATAAAAACACCAACTCTGTTGGATGAGGGTTCATCCTTATGACCTCATTTAGCCTTAATCACCTCCCTAAAATCCCTGTCTTCAACATAGTCACATGAGGATCAGGGCTTCAACATGAGTTTAAGGGAACTCATTTCAATCCATAGAAGTTCCCGGCCAGGTGCGGTGGCTCATGCCTGTAATCCTAGCACTTCAGGAGGCCGAGGTGGGCGGATCATCAGGTCAAGAGATTGAGACCATCCTGGCCAACATGGTGAAACCTGTCTCTCCTATAAATACAAAAATTAGCTGGGCGTGATGGCGCGTGCCTGTAATCCCAGCTACTCGGTAGGCTGAAGTAGGAGAATCACTTCAACCCAGGAGGCGGAGGTTGCAGTGAGCAGAGATCTGACATTGCAGTGAGCAGAGATTGTGACATTGCACTCCAGCCTAGGCGACAAGAGTGAAACTCCGTCTCAAAAAAAGAAGTTCCCATCACACTTTGTGGAACACATGGTGTTCTATAGGATTTGAGCTTAAGGTGTATTTAAGAGAAGGCGGCAATGAAATTATTATGTGGGACAGATAAGGGAAGTAATGCATACTGAGTTTCAACCATAGCTCAGTACTTATCTGGACATTTCTCATTTATTATGCTTTATAAGATAGACTTCAGGGGCCCAGAACCACCACATTGCACAATTCCAGAAAATATTATCTGCATTACAAATTATGATTCTAAATCAATGCCTCAAAGAGTTACAGAAACCATCAACTAACAGATATTCTTAAGTTGAAGGATGACAAGTAAGGAAAGAAACAACTTGCTGAAACACTGAAACTCCCTCGCTTGTAAGATAACAAAACAGACCGAAATCAGTTAGAACCAATATGGCCAACTAGAGTCTGCACAGAACCAGCTTGCGGACAGTACAGCTTAAATTTTCACCATTTGTTTCATACTAACTCACCACAAATTTGCATGGGGGACCCATGAGGGGTCATGAAGAGATAACTGTGCATGTCTGAGGACTTTCCTGACCTTCCATTTCCTTCCATCCATCACCTACTAATCCCAGAATCCACCTTCTCAACCTTTTCTAATACAGTTAATGTCTTAGAGCTTACACGAGTAGACAGATTTGAGCTGAACTCCTGTCTCCTTGTTAGTCAATTAGCAATAAGGAGTTTTTCTCATCTTAAAAACCAGCGCCATAGCATTGGCTTCTAGTGCATCAGGCAGTGAGCCCCTTTTGCTTGATAACAGCACCACTAGAACTTTGGGTTTTACACATTGCAAGGGTCTTTGCAGTGGCCTTGATGGAGAGGGCAAGGGCAACTCCACAACAACTAGTATACTTCTGACAATAACTAGAATATTTCTAATAAGCTTTTGAAATATTTTATTGATGCAATCAGTTCATCTTAACCAAAGGAAAGAGATTCATGTGACCTAGGACTTCTTTTTCCACAGAATGCTACAAGTTTACCTCCTACCATAGAGATTTCATAGTACAGCCTAAAAAAACCACATTGTGCTTTTCTGGTTTTAGTCCATCAACTCTGTATGTTACAAGATGAATTCTCAAGATTCTGGTGTTTTTGATTCTTTATTTCTCCCAAGGTTGTCTTATAAAAATACATTTAATCTGTCAACCCCCTTACATCACCGTTAGACAACCAATCTTGGGTTATCTTCTATTTCAGTATTGATGAACCCACACACTTTGTTATATGTTATAGGTCTCTCTCTGTAGCTAGATGTTTTCTACATAAAGCCATGCTAAATTACACCATACCAGTCATTCAGCTAACACACTCAGGTTATTTGACATTTTGTCCTGTAATAAACAAGAATAAAAAATTAGAAGAAAATCAAAACAGACAAGAACATAAAAGGTCCAGCTAGCATATCAGAAGCCTACCAAGCTCAGCATATTGCATTGATTCTTTTTGACCTTTGGAATAAGCATCCTGGAATTGGCTCCACTCTGGTTACATAAAGAAGTGTTCCTCACTGGCAACATCAAGCAGATATATAAGCTAGCTGGAAAAAGAGAAAGAGCATTGACTTTTTTCAAAGTATCAAAGCAATTCATAATATAATACGTAGCATATACAAACTAAATAACAACAAACAATAATAATGACAACAAAATGACAAACATTTTGCGGAAATTATGCTAAAGTTCTTTTCTTCATAAGCTAAAATGAAAATTTTTTACAGCTAATCTTTTAAAATCCTTTTTTATTTTATTTTCTCTTTCTCTTTTTTACCTTTTTCTCTTTCTTCCTTTTTGCTTTCTCTTTCTTTTCTTTCTTTCTCTTTTTTTCTTTCTTTCCTCTTTCTTCTTTCTTTCTTGCTCTCTTTCTTTCTTTCTTTTTTTCTTTCCTTTGCCTGCCTTCCTTCCTTCCAACAATATTCTGCATTTCTTTTATTGTTCATTGCAATAAACAGAATGTTAACTCCCCCAAAATTTATGTGTTGAAATCTTAAACCCCTAGGTGATGGTATTAGGAGGAAGGATTTTTAGGAGGTGATTATGTCATGAGAATGGAGCCGTTATGAATGAGATTAATGAATGCCTTAACAAGAGGCCTGAGAGAGACTCCTTTCCCCTTCCACCATGTGAATACACAGTATGAGGGCATCATCGAAGAACAAGAAAGAGGGTTTTCAGCAGACACTGAATCTGCTGGCACCTTAATCTTGGACTTCCCAGCCTCTTGAACTGTGAGAAAAAACAAGTTTGTTGTTTATGTGCTACCCAATTTATGGTATTTTGTTATAGCAGCCTGAATGAACAGTCATCCTTTATATTACATTTCAGTTTTACTTTCTAAATTTTTACCTTTTCTGAAAAGTTCAAAATATGGTGTATAAATAAAATAATGTATGGATACACACATATATGGTCATACATCACTTCATGATGAGGATATGTTCTCAGAAATGCATCAGTAGGTGATTTTGTCATTATGCAAACATCACAAAGTGTACAAACATCGATATTATAGGCCAGGGCTTCCCAACCCCTGGCCACAGATCTGAACAGTTAGAGGCCTAGTAGGAACCAAGTCACACAGCAGCAGGTGAGTGGCAAGCCAGCGAGCATTACCGCCTGAGCTCCACCTCCTGTTAGATCTGTGGTGGCATTAGATTCTCATAGGAGCATGAACCCTACTGTGAACCATGCATGTGAGGGAGGGATCTAGGTTGCACACAACTTAGGAAAATCTAATGCCTGATGATCTGAGGTGGGATAGTTTCACCCCCACTCCACATAGAAAAATTGTCTTCCATGAAACTTGTCCCTGGTGGCAAAAAGTTTGGGGACCCCTAGTATAGGGCACTGCTCACCTAGGCTATATCATATAGACTTTAGCTATACCACATCTGGTCATTTAAAAGTGTGTGGCACCTTCCCCACCCATTCTTTCTCTCTTGCTCCTGCTTTTGCCATGTTATACACAAGCTCCCACTTCACCTTTCACTGTGAGTAAAAGCTCCCAGAGGCCTCCTTAGAAGCCAAGCTATGTCAGTGCCATGCTTCCTGTACAGCCTGCAAAACTATGAGCCAATTAAACATCTTTTCTTATAAATTACTCAGTCTCAATTATTTCTTTATAGCAATGCAAGAACAACCTAACACAACTACCTTTGTGTATGTTATTTGTCATTGACCAAAATGTTATTATGTAGTACATGACTGTAGTTTAAAAATTAGTAATGAAAAAATCTTTCCAAGCACTGAGGTAGAAAACAGGCATATTACTTGCATTCCAGAAACTCCCTGGGTGCTTCTTTCTGAGCACATTCCCTTTTTCTCTGAAGAAGTATCACAACTCTGAATTGTGTTTTAGTTGTTCCTTTTTACTTTTCTCATATTTTAATTTTTAAAATTTATGTTGAACAATACATTGTTTATTTTGACTAAGTTTATGTTCGTTTGTTTATATATTACACTTAGTTTTTCCAATATTTAGTTTAGGGAATATGTATAAAAGGAAATGTACTCTCTACACTTCTGAGTCTTCTTTTGCTCAATATTATAATATAATGGCTCAAGATTATAATATAATTTTGAGAGCCATTTATACATAGCTTTCAATCATTTTCACTATTGTGTGATGATAGTGAAATATGATTCTACATTTTTTTTTTCAGATCTCCTCAGCAAGGGGGACTGCAGGTAAGACTGAACTTGAAGCTTTGAGGATGAGGGATCAGAAGGGAACTGTCTGAGCTTGGTATATTTCCACGCAACCTGGGCTATAGATATATCACAGGGGATGTTATGACTGAATGACATAGAGTTTGAGAGATGTATTGAAACCATTTAATTCTATTCTTATTGGGCCCATAGAATCCACACTCTTATGCCAAAAGTTAAGATTTCAGCAGATAATAAGTGTCCATTGCATACCTAAGTGTCCCAAAGTGGTATTTTCTCCCCTGACACAAAATGGCAATAGCAATGGTCATCACAGGGAGAGGACAACCATGTTCAATGTAGAATGAGTCTCATTGACAGAAGAAGCCATTGCTTGGTACCATTAAAAGAAGAAAAATGGGCCGAGTGTGGTGGCTCACGCCTGTAATTCCAGCACTTAGGGAGGCCAAGGCGGGCAGATCACGAGGTCAGTAAATCAAGACCATCCTGGCTAACATGGCAAAACCCCATCTCTACTAAAAATACAAAAAATTAGCCAGGCATGGTGGCACGTGCCTATAGTCCCAACTACTCAGGAGGCAGAGGCAGGAGAATCGCTTGAACCTGGGAGGCAGAGTTTGCAGTGAGCCGAGATCGCAGCACTGCACTCCAGCCTGGGCAACCTAGCGAGACTCTGTCTCAAAAAAAAAAAAAAAAAAAGAAAAGAAAAGTTGGAAAATTAGGTTTGCCTCCTGAGTTCACATTACTAGAAGCCAGGAAAATTCATAGAAATGACTGTTAACAATGCTGATGGGGAGTTATATTGTGATTTGGGGTACACAATATGCTTCCGCTTGCCAGTTACTAGCCTGTTTTTAAGCTGCAAATAAACAACCAAAAGCAATCAAACAGCACTGGGTATTTTGTGCTTAATCTTCCTCCCATATCAGGACTTCAGATTGCCCACACAGAGAGAAAGCCTAAAATGCTGACACTGAAAAGAGGAAAGGCCCACCTTACAGCATAAAGCACACTCCCCAAAGGTTTGTTTACAGGACTTCTAGATGCAAAAGAAAAGAATTTAGAGCTTTTAATAATACATACCAGGCTTCATGCAAGTAATTCTGTTAGATATCATTCAACAACTTATATTGAACTTAAAAACATTTTTTTATCAAGAAAGTCAGTTAGAATTCTGGTTCTTATCCCCATGCTTTCTCAAACACACCCTAAATTCAGCGGAATGTTCACATTAGTTTTAACCTAAAACATTAGTGTTAACCATTAACATTAAAAATAATTGTCTACTATACTTAGACATAATCCAAGAATCTTTTTCTACACCTTTCTGCAAATTTACAATATATAATATATAATAAATGAAGACACTGCTCTCTCCCTGTCATGTGTTTCTTGCACCTTTGTTGAACATCAGTTGTCCATAAATGCATAGATTAATTTCTGGGCCATTTATTCTGTTCTGTTGGCTGGTGTGTCCCCCATGCTCTTGTGAATACTGTATCTTTAAAGTGTATTTTAAAATATATAGAGTGATGTTTCGAGGTTTGTAGTTTTTGCTCAAGATTACTTTGACTATTCAACATCTTTTGTAGTTTCACATAAATTTTAGATTTTTTTTCCTATTTCTGTAAAAATGTCATTGCAGTTTTGATAGAGATTGCATTGAATCTGTAGATCACTTTGGGTAGTATGGACATTTTTAACAACATTAATTCTTCCAATCCATTAACTGGAGATACCTTTCCATTTAATTATGTTTACTTCAATTTCCTTTGTCAATGATTTATAGTTTTCATATAGCATATGACTTTCACCTCCTTAGTTAATTTCTAACTATTTGTTTTTTCACTATTGTAAATGGTCTTGTATTCTTGATTTCTTTTTCAAATAGCAATAGTTTCAAATGCTACTGATTTTTGTATGTTAATTTTGTATCCTGCCACTATACTGAATTTGCTTTTTAGTTCTTACTACTTTTTGGTGAGGTCTTTGGGGGTTTTCTATATATAAGATCATGTTGTCCATAAACAGTCACAATTTTACTTCTTTGTGTCTGATTTGGATGCATTTAATTTTTTTCTATTGTCTAATTGCTCTGGCTAGGACTTCTAGTACTATGTTGAATAGAAATGGTAAGAGTGGGCATCCTTGTCTTGATCTTGGTGGAAAATCTTTAAACTTTTCACCCTTGAGTATGATGTTAGTTTTAAACTTGTTGTGTGGCCTTTATTGTATTGAGGTACATTTCTTCTATAACAAGTTTGTTGAGAGCTTTTATTATGAAAGAGTGTTAAATTTTGTAAAATGCCTTTTCTGTATCTATTGAGATGATAGTACGTTTTTTATCTTTATTTTGTTAATGTGGTATATGGGCATACATTATTTTATTGTACTCTGTTTTATTGTACTTCAGATACTGTACTTTTTACAAATTGAAGGTTTATGGCAACCTTGTATTGAGCAAGCATATCAGTGCCATTTTTCCAACAGCATGTGCTCACTTTGTGTTTGTATGTCATGTTTCGATAATCCTCACAATATTTCAACCTTCTTCATTATTGTTATTACATCTGTTATGGTGATCTGTGATCTGTGATCTTTGATACATTTCAGATGCTATTATGAACACGTGTAATTCATGGAAAGAAATGAATATATCAATATTAATAGAAGTTTGGAGGAAGCTGATTCCAACTTTCATGAGTGACTTTGAAGAGTTCAAGACTTCAGTGGAGAAAATCACTTCAGATGTGGTGTAAACAGCAGAGAACTACAATTAGAAATGGAGCCTGACAATGTAACTGAATTGCTTAAATCTCACAATTAAACTTGAATGAAACTTGCCTCTTAGGGATAAGCAAAGAAAAGGGTTTCTTGAGATGGGATCCACTCCTTATTAAGATGCCCTGAGCATTGTTGAAATCACAATAAAAAGATTGAGAATATTATATAAGCTTAGTTGATAAAGCAGTGGCATGGTTTGAGAGAGTTGACTCTAATTTTGAAGAAAGATTTATTGTGGGTAAAATGCTATCAGACAGCATCCCATGCTACAGGGAAATCTTTTGTGAAAGGTCAAGTCAATCAATGTGATAAAAATTTATTGTTATATTATTTTTAGAAATTGCCATAGTCACCTCCACCCCCAGCAACCACCACTCTAATCAGTCAGCAACCATCAACACTGAGGCAGCACCCTTCACCAGCAAAAAGATTACAACTTGCTGAAAACCCAGATGATTGTTAACATTTTAAAACTATACAATATTTTTAAATTAAGGTATGTATATTGATTTTTTAGACATAATATTATTACTCATTTAATAGAGAACAGTATAGTATAAACATGACTTTTATATGTACTGAGAAACTAAAAAAAAAAGTATGACTTGCATTGTTCCCATATTTTGTTTATTGTGGTGGCCTGAAACTGAACCTGCACTATCTCAGAGGTATGCCTGTATCACACATATTGATTTTTGTGTGTAGAACCAATCTTGCATGCCAAGGATGAATCCCATTTGATCATGGTGAATGACTTACCCTTTACATGTGCTGTGGAATTTGGCTTTTCAGTATTTAGTTGAGGATTTTTACATGTATATTTTGGCCTGTGATTTTTTTTTTTTTCTAGTAGTGTTCTTGCCTGGCTTTGGAAAACTGGATATCCATATGCAGACAGGTAAAGTTATATCCTTATCTTACATTTTATACAAGAATCAACTCACAATAGATTAAAGATCTAAAGATAAGGTCAGAAACTATAAAGTCACTAGAAAAATACATAGGGGAAAAGCTCCATGACATTGGTCTGGGCAATGAATTTTTTGGATATGACCTTTGAAAGCACAGGCAACAAAAGCAAAAGTAGACATAGGGGATTACATCAAATTAAAAAGCTTCTGCACTGCAAAAGAAACAATAGACAGGTTGAGGAGACAACCTACAGAATCAGATAAATTATTTGTAAACCATATATCTGATAAAGGGTTAATATCTAAAATCTACATGGGGTAGAGGAATAAGGGAGATGTTGGTTGAAGGATATAAAATATTAATTAGACAGGAGGAATCAATTTTGGAAGTCTATTACACAGCAGGGTGACTATAGTTAATAAAAATGTATTATATATTCAAAAATTGCTGAGAGTTCTAACCACATACACAAAAATAAATATATGAGGTAATGCATGTGTTACTTAGCTTGATGTAGCCATTTTACTATATATATATCTAAATCAAAATATCATGCTGTACAACATAAATATATGCATTTTGTGTATTTAAAAATAAATGAAAACACAAGAAATGACATAATGGCAATTCTTAAGCATTATCTAAATACATTAAACTAAAAACAGGTTTCAGGCTTCTAACTAGCTTGCAGAGATGAAACATGTCATGCTTATCCTCATTGCGTTATATTCTGTTATAATATAAATCTTCAAAACAGCGGTTAATAAGGAATATTTGCTTACCTCTAAAAATGAATATTTCCAAATAATTATCTAATTTATTAATAAAAATGTATCTGCAATTAAACTGAATTAAAAAAGTAAATGCATCCTTAAAATGATGATGATATAAAATGTCTAATTAACATTATTAACTACAATACCAACTCAATGACTATGGTTTCTAACATTTATAACCCCTTACTCTTTTTGTCAAAAATACTATCTATTCAAGGCCAGGTGTGGTGGCTCACGCCTGTAATCCCAGCACTTTGGGAGGCCAAGGCGGATGGATCACGAGGTCAGGAGTTCAAAACCAGCCTGGCCAACATGGTGAAACCCTGTCTCTACTAAAAATACAAAAAAAAAAAAAACAAAAAAAAACAAAAAACAGCCAGGTGCGGTGGCAGGCACCTGTAATCCCAGCTATTCAGGAGGCTGAGACAGGAGAATCACTTGAACCTGGGTGGCAGAGGTTACAGTGAGCTGAGATTGTGCCACTGCACTCTAGCCTGGGCAATAGAGTGAGACTCCATCTCAAAATACAAACAAACAAATAAAAAAATACTATCTATTCAAAATTGTGCAAAAATTAGTTATCAGTTTCCTAAGAACCTCTAAGTTCAATTTCAGTTTCTAACCAAAATTAAAATAAACATCTCTACCTTGTTTTATGTGTGTGTGGTGGGGTCAGGGGTCTTCTGATTAGGGCACCTTTAGCAGATTTTTTAATTAAAAGGAAAAAAAAATAACAGTATAGGAGAGCTTTCTAAAACTCTGTATCAGTCAAGTTCTATTCAGAGTTAAAATTCATTTTTATCATTTCACCATCATAGGCAAAGTTTTAAGCACAAACAACTCACAAGACAATTCTTTCTGCAGAATTTTTCTTCCAGCATTTTTGATTAAAAATTTAGCACCTATCTTCTTATTTGCCAGAGCCTCAACCATACAATGTTCTTCTCTGAGTCATAAAAATGTATGGCACCATGTATTCGACCTGGATGTCTGACCAAAGATAGGAGAGGTATTGAAAAGAATGTGCCTAGTAAGCGCATGTATCCCTGACTTAGGTAGGAAGTTTTGTTTCTGTTGTTGTTGCCTAAGGTAAGGAGTACTGGTCTCCTAATTCAACAGTGTATTACCCTTTGTCTCAATCCTTGGTCCACATGCATACTTCTAGAGTCTCCTCAGGT
Organism: Homo sapiens; assembly: GCF_000001405.40. Lineage (NCBI taxonomy): Eukaryota > Metazoa > Chordata > Mammalia > Primates > Hominidae > Homo > Homo sapiens. The sequence continues at coordinate 162,804,754 of NC_000004.12, read as the reverse complement.
TAGTGACTGAATGCCGGACTGGGCTATGACTGTTACCCTGATTCACCCTTCAGAGCAGGCTTTAATCTACAAAATCTATTCTGGGATCTTTTCCTGGCTCCACTGTTTGGCACACTGACACTGTGAAAAGCTCTAGTGCATGTGAAACTAGAATCTCCATTTCTCACTGCCTTTTTAAAACCCCATCCACAATATTTTTCTTGTGGTGTCCTCACCTCTCAAGATGGAGTGAGCCCCTGCTGGTTCGTTTCCTGCATCGATTTCTACTCAGAAGCTTTCATGGAATTGTAATTTTTAATTAGATTTAGAAAGGCAAAGTGTAATAACAAACTTGCAGGAGAGGCTTTCTGATTGCTTTAAAAATCAGCACTCTTGCATTAGAAGTACATTAAATATTGTGTTTTTCAGATGAGGTGAACTGTGGGCGGATGGGGCAGAGAAGAGAGAAAAAATATATTAAAATCTCCTTTAAGAAAGATGCATTCACATATCCCTGGCTGAATATAGCACGGTGGACTACTGCTTATGATTTTAGACAAATTTCATTATCCTTGTTATTTTTAAGATTCTACTAATATTTATCTATCAATCTGTCTTTGTTGTGTTATGAGCTTAAAAAATATTTTTATTGCTTTTCTGGGCTGTAGGTAGGAAGAGCAGATAAAGCACCTCAGAAACTGCTGCCCAGACTCACAAGTTTCTGCTTTTTTCCTCTTGTTCCACCTCTGTGTGATGATGCCTAGACCTGACTACTGAATAATGATAGGCTGATCCAGCCAGCCAGTACCAAGGTCCCACTATATAAGTAAGGGTGCCAGCCCCATGAGTGAGCCCAGTAAGGACTAAAGGAACTGTCCAGTTCACCCATGACAAAATCAGGACCATAAAGTATTGTTTTAGGTCCTTTACTTCTGGAATGGCTTATGCAGCAATTGATAAATAAAGTATAGCATTAAACACTACCTGAAGTTATAATTTTATTTATGTGTATTTGCCTCCCACATGTAAATGGCAGGAGGGCAGAAATCTTGTATGGATTGCTTACTACTGAAATACCAGTGATGAGATCACAGTCTGGAATGTGGTACAAACCCTAATAATATTTGGTAAATCAGTAAACAAATATAAGTCTAACTATTTTGGTTCCTCAAAGAAACATGTTAACAAAGAAGTGGTTCTTGTGGTCAAAAATGTATAAATTTTAACCTGCTTTGATACCCATTAGACAGACATATGGCTTTGTGACCAATGTATGATCTTTCTAAGCTTTAGTTTTATAGTCTATAAAATGGGGCTAGTAATACCTATTGTGAGTATTAAATGAGGGAAGGTCTGAAAGCACCTAACAAAGTGTCCATCACATCATTTTTCTTAATAAATAATAACTGTAATAAGGATGAAGCCATATACAGAGAAAAAATAGGTGATATAATTTAGTAAGTTATAAAATATCTGTAAATGAAGGGAAAGCTTTGTTTGAAAAGACTCCATGTTATAGGACTTAAAAAATAGAGTAGACCAGGCGCGGTGGCTCACACCTGTAATTCCAGTACTTTGGGAGGCCAAGGAGATGCAAATTGCCTGAGCTCAGGAGTTTGAGAGCAGTCTGGGCAACACAGTGATACCCCATCTCTACTAAAATACAAAAAATTATACAGGCATGGCGGCATGTGCCTGTAGTCCCAGCTACTAAGGAGGCCGAGGCAAGAGAATCACTTGAACCTGGAGATGGAGGTTGCAGTGAGCCAAGATCGCACCACTGCACTCTAGCCTGGGCAACAGAGCAAGACTGTCTCAATAAATAAATAAATAAATAAATAGAACAGAGCTATCTTTCACGAATGGAGATGACAATACCATCTCAAGTTTAGGTCTTTACTGGGTAGCTTGCCCAATAATAACAATGTAATCACTTGCTATGTTGGTAACTCCATAAATAACTGCGTGCATTTGAAAGAAATAGCTGATCATGGGGCGTAGCAAATCCCTCTGACTGTCATGAAGGCAGTTCCATGAGCTTGGAATTGTTAGCACAGTTCTCTATCCAACTGTGATAATGAGCCATGGACATTATAGGAAAACATATTTTGAAGTAATTTGATTTAAGGGTGTGACAGTCTCTTAATAGCTACCTCATAGTGCTTAATAATATTATGTAAGTTTAGAGATTAGGTGGCAGAGGTCTGGAATGCCCTGGCATGTGGGGAGCACTCTCATGATTTTTAGTGACTTTTCTAAACTATTATGGCATAACCCCAACTGGCCATCAAACAAAATTAAGAGAAAATCCCACTGTCAATAGCTAGAGTTAATTAGCTACAGAATATTTAATGGTGTTGAGTAGAGTGGGGACATCTATAATTTTTATGGGAGTTATTTTGACCATTGTAAGTTGTTATAAACAATATGGTATTTATTTTCTTTTTTTATTATACTTTAAGTTATGAGATACATGGGCAGAATGTGCAGGTTTGTTACATAGATATACACGTGCCATGGTAGTTTGCTGCACCCATCAACCCGTCACCTACATTAGGTATTTGTCCTAATGCTATCTATCCCTCCCCTAATCCCCCACCCCGCAACAGGCCCTGGTGTGTGATGTTCCCCTTCATGTGTCCATGTGTTTTCATTGTTCAACTCCCACTTGTGAGTGAGAAGATGTGGTGTTTGGTTTTCTGTTCCTGTGTTAGTTTGCTGAGAATGATGGTTTCCAGATTCATCCATGTCCCTGCAAAGGACATGAACTCATCTTCTTTATGGCTGCATAATATTCCATGGTGTATATGTGCCACATTTTCTTTACCCAGTTTATCATTGATAGGCATTTGGTTTGGTTTCAAGTCTTTGCTATTGGGAATAGTGCTGCAATAAACATATGTGTACTTGTGTTTTTTGAGTAGAATGATTTATAATCCTTTGGGTATACACCCAGTAATGGGATTGCTGGGTCAAATGGTATTTCTGGTTCTAGATCTTTGAGGAATTGCCACACTGTCTTCCACAATGGTAGAACTAACTTACACTCCCACCAACAATGTAAAAGCCTGTTTCTTCACATCCTCTCCAGGATCTATTGTTTTCTGACTTTTTAATGATTGCCATTCTAATTGGCATGAGATGATATCTCATTGTGGTTTTGATTTGCATTTCTCTAATGACCAGTGATGATGAGCTTTTTTTCAAATGTTTGTTGGCCACATAAATGTCTTCTTTTGAGAAGTGTCTGTTCATATGCTTTGCCCACTTTTTGATGCCTTACAAAACTTCTGAAGGAAGCACTAAATATGAAAAGGAAAAAGCTGTACCAGCCACTGCAAAAACATACCAAATTGTAAATGATGAAGAAACTGCATCAACTAATGGGTAAAATAACCAGCTAGCATCATAATGACAGGATCAGATTCACACATAACAATATTAACCTTAAATGTAAATGAGCTAAATGCCCCAATTAAAAGACACAGACTGGCAAATTGGATAAAGATTCAAAACCTATCACTGTGCTGTATTCAGGAGACCCATCTCATGGGGAAAGACACACATAGGCTCAAAATAAAGGGATGGAGGAAGATTTACCAAGTATATGGAAAGCAAGAAAAGCAGGGTTTGCAATCCTAGTCTCTGATAAAACAGACTTTAAACCAACAAAGATCAAAAAAGGCAAAGAAGAGCATTACATAATGGTAAAGGGATCAATGCAACAAGAGCTAACTATCCTAATTATATATGTACCCAATACAGGAGCACTCAGATTCATAAAGCAAGTTCTTAGAGACCTACAAAGAGACTTAGACTCCCACACAATAGTAGTGGGAGACTTTAACACCCCCTGTCAATATTAGATAGATCAATGAGACAGAAAATTAACAAGGATATTCAGGACTTGAACTCAGATATGGAACAAGTGGACCTAATAGACATCTATAGAACTCTCCACCCCAAATCAACAGAATATAAATTCTGCTAGCACCACATTGCACTTATTCTAAAATTGACTATATAATTGAAAGTAAAACACTCCTCAGCAAATGCAAAAGAACAGAAATCATAACAAACAGTCTCTCAGACCACAGTGCAATCAAATTAGAACTCAGGATTAAGAAACTCACTCAAAACCACACAACTACGTGGAAACTGAACAACATGCCTGTAAATGACTACTAGGTAAATAATGAAATGAAGGCAGAAATAAATAAATTATTTGAAACCAATGAGAACAAAGACACAATGTGCCAGAATCTCTGGGACACAGCTAAAGCGGTGTTTAGAGGGAAATTTATAGCACTAAATACCCACAAGAGAAAGCAAGACAGATCTAAAATCAACACCGTAACATCAAAATTACAAGAACTAGAGAAGCAAGAGCAAACAAATTCAAAAGCTAGCAGAAGACAAGAAATAACTAAGATTAGAGCAGAACTCAAGGAGATAGAGACATGAAAAACCCTTCAAAAAATCAGTGAATCCAGCAGCTGGCTTTTTTAAAAGATTAACAAAATAGATAGACTGTTAGCCAGACTAATAAAGAAGAAAAGAGAGGAGGATCAAATAGACATAATAAAAAACAATAAAGGGGTATCTCCACTCATCCCACAGAAATACAAACTACCATCAGAGAATACTATAAACACCTCTATGCAAATAAACTAGAAAATCTAGAAGAAATGGATAAATTCCTGGACACATACACCCTCCCAAGACTAAATCAGGAAGAAGTCAAATCCCTGAATAGACCAATAGTAAGTTCTGATTGAGGCAGTAATTAATAGCCTACTAACCAAAAAAAGCCCAGGACCAGACAGATTCACAGCCAAATTCTACCAGAGGTACAAAGGGGAGCTGGTACCATTCCTTCTGCAACTATTCCAATCAACAGAATAAAAGGGAATCTTCCCTAACTCGTTTTATGGGGCCAGCATCATCCTGATACCAAAACCTGGCTGAGACACAAAAAAAGAAAATTTCAGGCCAATATCCCTGATGAACATCGATGTGAAAATCCTCAATAAAATACTGGCAAACTGAATCCAGAAGCACATCAAAAAGCTTATCCACTATGATCAAGTTGGCTTCATCCCTGGGATGCAAGGGTGGTTCAACATATGCAAATCAATAAACGTAATCCATCACATAAAGAGAAACAATCATTATCTCAATAGATGCAGAAAAAGCCTTTGATAAAATTCAACACCCCTTAATGCTAAAAACTCTCAACAAACTAGGTATTGATGGAATGTATCTCAAAATAATAATAATATGACAAACCCACAACCAATATCATACTGAATGGAAAAAAGCTGGAAGCATTCCCTTTGAAAACTGGCACAAGACAAGGATGTTCTCTCTCACCACTCCTATCCAACATAGTATTGGAGGTTATGCCAGGGAAATCAGTCAAGAGAAATAAATAAAGTGTATTCAGATAGGATGAGAGGAAGTCAAATTGTCTCTGTTTGCAGATGACATAATTGTATATTTAGAAAACCCCATCATCTCAGCCAAAAATTTCCTTAAGCTGATAAGCGACTTCAGCAAAACCTCAGGATACAAAATCAATGTGCAAAAATGACAAGCATTCCTATACACCAATAATAGACAAACAGAAGGCCAAATCGTGAGTGAAATCCCATTCACACTTGCTACAAAGAGAATACAATACCTAGGAATACAATTTACAAGGGATGCGAAGGACCTCTTCAAGGAGAAATACAAACCACTACTCAAGGAAATCAGAGAGGACACAACCCAGTGGAAATACATTGCATGCTCATGGATAGGAAGAATCAATGTTGTGAAAATGGCAATACTGCCCAAAGTAATTTATAGATTCAATGCTATCTCCATCAAGCTACCGTTGACTTTCTTCACAGAATTAGAAAAAAAACTACTTTAAATGTCATATGGAACCAAAAAAGAACCTGTATAGCCAAGACAATCCTAAGCAAAAAGAACAAAGCTGGAGGTATCACGCCACCTGACTTCAAACGATACTACAAGGCTAGGGCAACCAAAACAGCATGGTACTAGTACCAAAACAGACATATAGATCAATGGAACAGAACAGAGGCCTCAGAAATAATGCCACACATCTACAACCATCTGATCTTTGACAAACCTACAAAAACAAGCAATGGGGAAAGATTCCCTATTTAATAAATGGTGTTGGGAAAACTGGCTAGCTAAAACACTTTATACAAAAATTAACTCAAGATGGATTAAAGACTTAAATGTAAGACCTAAAACCATAACAACCCTAGAAGAACATCTACGCAATACCATTCAGGACATAGGTATGAGCAAAGACTTCATGACTAAAACAACAAAAGCAATGGCAACGAAAGCCAGAATTGACAAATGGGATCTAATTAAACTAAAGAGCTTCTGCACAGCAAAAGAAACTATGCTCAAAGAAAACAGGCAACCTACAGAATGGGAGAAAATTTTTGCTATCTATCCATCTGACAAAGGGATAGTATCCAGTATCTGGAAGGACCCTAAACAAATTTACAAGGTATTTATTTTCAAGCCATTTTTCTTTTCAGAAAGTAAAGTAAAACCCTTTGCATTTTGGTTTCCTATCGTTCTTACATTTCCATGTCCAAACTACCTACTGTGTAATGTCCTGTAAGATACATTAGCTTTGATTTTTTTTGAAATATTAGCTATTAATATAATTTTAGTGTACTGAGTATTGAGAAATATAGTAATTCACCCTTACTATAGTAATTCATCCCATGGGGGATACATCCCAAGACCCCCAATGGATGTCTGAAACTGCAGATAGTACTGAACTCTATGTACACTATATTTTTTCCTATAGATACATACCTATGAGAGGGTTTAATTTATAAATTAGACAGAGGAAGAGATAAACAACTAATAACATAGAAGAAATATAACAATGTATTATAATAAATGTTATGTGAATGTGGTCTCCCTCTTTTCCTCAAATGTCTTACCGTACTGTACTCACCATGGACCACGGTAGATCATGTTGAACTGAAACCAAGGAAAGTGAAACCACGGAAAGTGAAACCACGGATAAGGGTGGGCTACTGTATCATTTTTTAGGACTTCATTTAAGAAATCCAATTTTCATATTTGTTTATAAGAGTTGGTGCAAATACCCTATATGTGAGGAAAAAAGCTTAACACTTGGTATTCACAAATAAACGGGAAAGTTAAGAAGAAATGCTTTCATTGTTCTTTTTCACTTTTAGCATTCTATTTCATTTAGAACAGTTGTTTGGGGTAAAGTAAAGGTCAACTTTAATGTGATAACTGAAAACATTTCCTTAGAAATAGTATAATTATTTATTAAAATAAACTGCCAGGGCTTCCGGTGATTTACTATTAAATATGCATGTTAAAAATAAGCTATAGATGTAGCTAAGTTCTATTCAGATTTCTTGTGTCCTAGGAGCTTCCTAAGATAACATCAGTGTATAAAGAACTGTGAGGAGTCTGACATTTCACTCTCTCTGAAAGCTAACAAGTTAGCCTGCCATAGTTTCATAGATGCTGTAGAAAACACATGACTCCCTTTTTAGAGAAAAAAGACCCTACATTATCTATGGCACAGGCAATAGCCAGAATATCAGCATTTGTCTCAGTTACCTGAGTTCCAATACACACAGGGCAATATAAAGGGGACCAGATGGAACCTGCAAACACAGTAGGTTGCATTACAAAACAGGAATTCTGAGTTCAGGAAATCCACATCTTTTAGAATAAACAGTAAGCAAACCTGTCTTTTGCTCTGGAGGGTAGACAAACATCTTTTAGAAGGTAGAGCCTCTACTTGCAAGATATACAGAAATGTGATACCGTGGAGGATTGTCTCTCAACATTGTGATGGCCACTTTATCTCTTCACTTTCTTCAATTTAACTAGTAATTACAAAGCTAGCTTGACTTTTAATTTTTAAAATATTCCGCAATGTTTATCCATAATAAATACTGCATAATAAGAGTTTTTCAGGGGCACACAAGTTTAACTAATTGCCAATACTTCCACTTGTTAATTTATTCAACAAAACTAATAAGCACATGCTAAGTACTGAGCATAGAGTATACAGTGCTGAGTGAAGTGGTTTATATCCTCATGGAGTACAGATTCTATCATGACAAATGTGTAATAAACAATGAAGCAAATATGTAATTTTTAGGATATATTACATTTTATGCTTTTAAATATATTTTTATTTTGAAAAATAACACACAGAGCATCTATTATATTCTTTGGAGGCATGGCCTAGGGTAAGCTACTTGCCAGGTAAGGGATCTGACTTTCCTGAGACCACCATACACTAAGGAAGCCCAAGGTAGCCAGTTATCCCAGATGTGTGTGAAGAATCCGTCTTGTACGGTCTATATAGTCAAGCATTCAAATTATTCCAACTCCAGCCTTCATCTGGCTACAACCATATGAAAGACCTCAAGCAAGAGCCACTCAGTTAAGCCCCTCATCCCACAGAACCGTGACAAATAGTTGAGTCTGGGATACCATGCGTCTTTGGCTCCTGCTGGCTCTGACAGTTTCTCAGACTCTACAACACAGACGGAATGAGAGAAAGATCATTTGAAATCAGATGGTTCAAGTCTAAACCAGAGTTAGCATAACTTTGGCTCCTTCTGGCTCTGACAGTTTCTCAGATTCTGTAACACAGACAGAATGACAGAAAGATCATTTGAAATCAGATGGTTCAAGTCGAAACCAGAGTTGGCATAATTAAAGACCCCAGGAACGGAAGCCACAGGAAAGCACAGACATCTTGCTGGGCCCTGTGATGTATGTCCCATGCTCTTCCATGACCAGAAGAGTACCTGCAGGATGCAGCCCTCACTGGGATCGCAGTTCCCTCAGTGACTCTAGTTGAAGGCTGACAGGGAGTCACACATGGACTGAAACCAGGACATGTCAGTTCTAGAAGTTCAAGGGTGAATCTGGAATGTGGTGAATTTTTTCCTCAGCTTTTCTTTATTGGGAAGTTAACTACTTCCACATGCCGTAGCGGTGACTTTGTAATTATACTGTCTAATTTTTTAAAAAATTATTTTTCAAATTGACAAATGAAAATTGTTTATATTTATGGTATACAATGTGATTTTTAATATATGTATATGTTATAGAATGAATTAAGTTAGTTAATATACTATCACCTCACATAATTACACCTTTTTGTTGTGAGAGCATTTAAAATCTATTCTTTACAATTTCCAAGGACACAATACATTATTATGAAGTATAGCCACCATGCTCTACATTAGATCTAACTAATTTCTCCTGTCTAAATAAAACCTTGAACACTTTAAGTAACATCTCCCCATTCCCTCCCCACACTCCAGCCCCTGGTAACCATCATTCTACTCTACATCTCTATCATTTTTACTTTTTTTAGGTTCCATGTAGAAGTGACATCATGCAGTATTTGTCTTTTGGAGCCTGGCATATTTCACTTAGCGTAATGTTCTCCAAGTTCATCCGTATTGTCACAAATAACAGGATTTCCTTCTTTTTATCACACTGAACAGTATCCCACTGTGTATGTTAAACCACATTTTCTTTATCTATACATCCAGTGATGAACACTTAGGTTGTTTCTATGTCTTGGCTAGCTATTGTGATTAATGCTTGTCCAGCTGTTGTGATTAATGATGCAACAAACATGGGAGTGCAGATATCTCTTTGACATACTGATTTTATTTTCTTTAGATATGGACCCAAACGTGCTTATTTAATTTATTTTTTTTTTTTTTGAGACAGAGTCTCAGCTCTGTCGCCCAGGCTGGAGTGCAGTGGCACAATCTCGGCTCACTGCAAGCTCTGCCTCCCCAGTTCACGCTATTCTCCTGCCTCAGCCTCCCGAGTAGCTGGGACTACAGGCGCCCGCCACCACGCCCAGCTAATTTTTTGTATTTTTAGTAGAGACGGGGTTTCACCATGTTAGCCAGGATGGTCTCTGTCTCCTGACCTCGTGATCTGCCTGCCTCGGCCTCCCAAAGTGCTGCGATTACAGGCATGAGCCACTGCACCTGGCCACGTGCTTATTTAATTTTTAATAAAATACATCAAAGTACAGAAAGCCTAGAAAACAGAAAACATTTATTCTAAAATTATTTAATTCCACAAAACTTGACTACGTTTAGTGTTTTTCCATATGTATACATACTTTTACATGTTTCCAATTACAATACTCAACATTCCATTTTAATATTATGTTTCCATGCTGTTACATAATTATGATTATTTTAATAATAGTATAATTTTCCACGAAGTTAATTACCATAGTTTGTCTAATGGCTTAGCTATTGTTGATTGTTAGGTTGCTACCAGTTTTGTTTTCTATTAGAAGTAATGCTATAATGCACATCTTCATAAATTAAAAAAAATGAAGTTAAAGAGTACAAACCTTTTTGCAACTCTATGTACAGCATTAACATTTCATGAAACAATATAAAATCATATACTATTTATGTATGAAAATATGACTGGAATAAATTCAGTCCATTACATAAATTTAGTCCATTACACAAAACCCCCACACATATAAAAAGAGCATAAAACAATATGTGCAGTCTGATAAATTACTACAAACCACACATCTATGTATGTGCTATTGAGGGCAAATGTGTCTTTCTATATAACCTTTTAAAATGACAACACTCTCCTTTTTCCTCAAAAATCACCACTATCTTAACATTCATGAGTCATCATTTCCTCATTTTGCTTTGTTCTTTTATCATTTAGGTTTCCCTACCTAAAATTTATAGTTTTGCTGTGCCAATTTTTGAAATATACATAATGGAGAGTTGTAGAGTACACATTTTTTTCCTTTGCGTTTCTAAGATTCATCCATGTTGTTGCAGGCAGCTGCAGTTCCTCCATTTCATTGTTATGTGGTTTTTAAAAATTATCTAATTGTGCCATATGGCATTTGTCCATTCTGCATTGGTGATTTTGGGGATTGCTTAACTACTATAGCTATTACGGAAAATTCTGACCAGAACATTCTTTTTCCTACACTGAATTCTGAGTTGCATCACTTGGTGCAGTGATTTTGCTGACAGGTATTTTGCAAAAAAATCTAAGAGATGAAGTGGTGGGATAATAGAATTTTGAAGAAAACCTGAGACTTAAGTAAACCAAGGTTAAGTTTCCTCACAATTAGAGAAAGTAAAAGGAATTTTAATGAAAAACTTCAAAAGGTCAATTTACTCTGTGGGATTCTGTAAAAATTTTCCTTCTATTCTAAATTCTAGGTGCAAAATTTTACAGTTTGGAGAAGACCAGAAAAGCACTAGCATTTGAGAATGACAGCATTTTAGAGATGAATTGTTTACAAAGAGGATGCTGGCCATTAGATCACACTGGTTGGTCTACAACTTTTACTCCTTGTATTCAAGTGTATATTTCACTGTTCTTCGGTGTTATCTGATATGTCCAGTTCCTTATTTTATGGAAATTTCTTTTTAAATTTCAAAAACTCACCAATGAGTATAGGAAATTGTAAAACTCTTTTGCTATGTCGGTTAAGTTAATTCATAGGCATTTCAATTATTTTAGATATCAATGATTCAGAGATGGAATAAGGCTGATAAGAATCTCTTAGAAGGAAAGCAGTATTTATTCCCTTGACCCTCAAATTCCCAGTGAATTTGAGATAGATTGCAAGCACAATGCATATAATGAAATACTAAAAAGAAAGTAGAAATATAAGAAATTTAGCCTAGAAGAATGTATAAGATCCAGTTATATGTTTTGGATAATTTCTTATCTCTAGGTTTTTCCCAAGGCAAAGGGGAATGTTTTGCATTATGTGGAACAAATTACATACTAGAAAATGGAGAGTTGGCAAAGGAAAATGTCAGAGGTAGCAAAGATAGAATTCTGTTCCTAGAGTCCAATGTAAGTACAGTTTGGGAGTGATAAAAAGAAGGAACAGAAAATAGAAAGGTCTCTATAAGGCTGACACTTAACAAAGAGGCAAAGTATGATTTAAGTTCCACATTGTTCTAAAATAAAATGGTTGCTAAATCCATTGCAAACTCCACAATGCCAATCTCACAATATTCTGAAATGAATAGCATTTCAATTGTGAGATCCACAATCTCAATCCCAAAAATATTTTGGTACTATTCATGTGCTCAAAGGAAAAAAATATAAGGAGATTAGTGAAAGTGGGGCCTCGGCATGGCAAAACAATGAAGCAAAATGCTAAAATGCCATGTATTTTAATTTCCATTCTAATTCTCTTCTTTTTCTAGTTTGCTTTTCTCTCCTTATCAGAAAACATAGGTTCCCTCTCCTCATTAGACAGATCTATGAAGCCTAAAATATTGCTCTTCTAAAAGCTGCTAAAAGCAAAAGGACAGCTACCCTTAATCATTGGAGGCAGCACTTTGGAGATTGCAGACTCACACCACTGAGTCTCACATCTCATCTGTAAAAGGGTACAACGGTAGTACTGGCTCAGCATCTCTATAGATGTGTTCTGGTTCAACGAATGAACTAGGAGAAAAGCTAATTCAGTCTGTAGGAGAGACTTTATTTTTTTTTTCATTAGGAATAATTTATGTTTAACACACAGATCTACCTTTTTCTCACACAAAGCAGACCAGCTACTGCATAAAATGATAAAGGGATTGTTTCTAGATTGGGAAGCTGATGAATCTGAGTTCTAGTCATGACTTACTGTATAACTTGGACTTGTGCTAGACAGCCTCTATCCCTTTTCTGTTTCCTTTTCTCTTTGATGAACATATATCATTAAGGGGGAAAAATTAATAGGAAACATGCCAGCTCTCTGTATTAATTTTCTGTAGCTGTGTGAGCCAGTGTTTTCAGATTTTAGGGACAGATTTGTATTCAGCAGAAAAGAATATCAAGATTTCTCTTTAATTACGCCCATGTCTGTGGAAAGGAGATGATGTTATAGGATCGCCATGTGTTTTTCTGACAAGATGACTTCCAAGGTTCTTTATTCTGTGACTTCTAAGTTTTGCTTTGGGTCTTTTTCTTGTATAAAAGAATTCACTTTTGATGTTCCTTTTCTCTAGTGATTTTCACTGCTTTATTACAAAAAAAAAACTGGATGTGAGATCAGTTGCAGGAAATCTGGATCCTTTTTCATGAAACATTAAAATTTTCACTAAGTGTTGGCCTGGCACAAAGCATGCCTGTAGTGGTGTTACTAATCTCCTGTGCTTGATTAGTCACCAAGACAGCTTGAGGCTTAACTGTTATTAAGGTTCTTAGAGAACGTGTTTAACAACTGCTTGTCAGTTTCTTCTACCAAACATCCAGAAAGTTGAGAAATGCTAAGCAATATGTATGGTTTAATCATTTATAGTGTGATGAAAATAGTGAAAATTTACGACCCACTTATGGGAGAATAGACTACAAATACTAGCAAAATATACCACAAAGGAGTATGGTAAATGAAACCATGAAAAGTATCCCTTCTAGAAGCTTGTGATGTAAGGATGGTTCCTGACATGTTTAATCCCAACTAATGTCCAACAGCCAACCTCCCCACTTGCTATGCTAGACCACAAAGCTGCCATGCTTAAGAATAGAAACAATTTGTCTCAGCCTCAACCAGACAAAGCAACTCCAAAATTTGCCTCAGGTCACAGCACAAACCTGTGTGTTTTGAGCTTTCATTTTCCATCAAAAGACTGTTCAAACACAATTTCCATTGCTCTATTTAACTTGTTGACACTTACGTTACTTATCTTTCATCTCACTCCGCCTGCCAGTATAACATTATTCCTCTGCCTCCAACTTTCCACTTCTGTTTTCCCTCATAATCTTTGTGTCTGTTTCTTTTACCATGTTGCTAATTATTCAATGCTCATACTAACCATAAATATAACTGGATTCTCCTCCAACTTCCACAATTCCTATAGCCTAATTAAAGTCCAATTAATAAGAGACTTCTTTCTCTCACCATCTAGGTTGAACCTCGTTTCCATTATTTTACTAGTTACATAGCTTTGGAGAGACTGCTTAACTTTATGGGCTTACAGATCCCCTTCTGTTAAGTATGTATGAAAGTAGTGTTTATAATGTTGTTATGAGAATTAAGTATGTTAATATTTCTCAAGTGCTTAGAACAGTTTGTGAGACACAGTGTTGTGTTAACTAAATGAAAATCAAGTAACAGCCTAGCTACCTCTGTGTAGGCAGTACAAGTTGGTGTTTTTCTCAGTAAAGTCAAGTCTTTTATTATCTAAGAAGGTCACTTCTGCTTCTCTTTGTCTCTGCATTACAGAAAATCACTGATTCACTCATCATTACTCACTGATTCTTTGGTATCTGCATTGAAGACTTTCTTTGACTTTCAAGTACTTCCATTATTCTGGATTACAGAATCCACAGAGGATCAATTCCTCACGCTGGTTTCTCAATTCCCCTCAACTACAATAATCTTCCCATTTCACCTCCACTAGCTATACACCAAGAATGACTGTTGTAAAAGACTTTGTAGTTTGCGAACTACATACAAACACCAGACAAGAGGGTGATCAAGGACTGAAATCCACAAGGGCTGCATTGATGAGGAAAAACTTCTCTCCTTAACTGGGTCTCTGACCCATGACTATACTCAGTATTGTTCTGACATTCAAATGTATTAGTCGTCTCAGACCAATAGCTTTGAAATCCCATTATCTTACTGCAATATACTGTGCTCCTAGATTATTCTCAACCCTTGTTCTTCTTCCTTATTCATCAAAATCTTCTTTGTATTACTTCCCTTCCAATACAGATTTGACATCATAAATTGATATCTATACCGAAATTCTCCAAGTCTCTGTTATTAACATTCATCACCTGAATCTCAACTGTTACCTAATAAAATTGACCACCTTATCCATATTTGCACCTAAATAGCTAATAAAGACTGGTGAGTCTTATACATTAGGGCACACTGGTGCCAATATAAACTCATGGACATTAATCTCAGAACTTCACTTAATGTTTCTTTATAATCAATTAAATATTTCTAAGTGGTCCTCACTTCTATGCTCCATATTTACTATAACAAAGTTTCTCCATATTCTCAAACTGCAAGCCTCAGACATATCTTTGCCTCCTATTTCAGTGAAAAAAAAAAGAAATTACCTTGCCTCATCACAACAAACTATTACAAAATCTTAAATATTAACATATTTTCTCTATTCTTCTGTTACAACTAGAAGTTATATTTCTTTTTTGCTATAACCTGTAATCTCCCCACTATACCATTAGTCCTTGAGCACAGTCTTGTTTTTCTATTTCAGAAACTTTGACTACTCTCCTTTCATGACCTACCATTTTCTCTGCCTTCAAATCTCTCCATTAGAATATTATTAGTACATTTCTATCTGTTTTACACTTATTGCCCATTCTACGACATTTTAGCTACCTGACCTTCACAGATAACTTTCTGAAAGAGTTTTATATACTCTCCATTTTGTTATATCCTATTAACCACTCAAACATGATGAACGGCTTTTTGCTCTCATTATTTTGCTTAAATGGACTGAGGTAGAAAGTTACATTGATGCTATTTTGTCTAGTGGACATCTTTGAAGTTATCATATGGCTTCATCTTTCAGCTGTTTCCAATGTCTCCTTCCTTCTTTTCTTACTTGATTTATACCATGCTCTCTGAAGTATCTTCACAATCTTTATTTTTTTTTTCTAAATCATTGCTAAATGTTGAAACTTCTCATTACTCTGTCCTGAACTCCTTTCCCTTACTACTCTGTCTCTAGGATAAGATGATGATGATCCAACATTTACTGAGCATTTATTTATTGCCAGGCACTAGTCTATGTACTGAATGTACTTTAATTAATCCTCTCAACATGTCCATAAGTTATTCATTATCATTATTCCTATTTTTAAAGTTAGAATACTAAGGCACAGAGGAGTTAATAAACTTAATCAAGATAATTCAGATGATACATGTCAGGGTCAAGATTCAAATCTAGTCAGTCTAGTGCCAGAATTTATGTCTTACCTACTTTCTTAAAATGATGTGCTACAGAAACTTAGACCTCACCCATTTCCAGGGTTTCTGTTTTATCTAAGTATTGATTGTTTTTGTTTCTACCTCTTCGGACTAGACACATTTAATGAAGGTCTTTTGAATAATACATGACCAACTCAATGAAATGCATCCAAAGCTTAATACATGTCTCTACCCATACCTCTCAATATTCTTAATCTCTACCATTCTGTTGTCTATACACGACAGCTTCATTACTAGAAGGTCAAGTTAAATTTCTAAGAGTTATTCTTGTCTTACTCTTTCCTGCAACTACCATTACCCAACAAATCAGCACATTCTGCTAATTTTACCTTCCCGGTGTTTTTTGAAAACATCCTTTTAATTCTATTCCTACTGCCACATCTTCAAGCCAGCTATCTCTGTGACTTATTGGAAGTTGCAGACTTATTGGAGTAGCCTCCTGAGGTTTCAGTTTCTATCTTTGGTTTCTTATAATAATTTTTTTCAAAGAAGCCAGAGTAATGTTTTTAATGTGGAAATATAGTAATGATATTGCCAGTTAAAAGTTTCAATTATTCTATTCCCATCAGCAGTGGGTTAGACCACTCCTGGGCTCTGATTTATTACATGGCTTAACTCATTCTTTAGGTGGCAAAACTTTTTTTAAAAAGTATGTAAATAGACAAAATGTAATGCTTGCTTATATTTCAGTTGGAAGTAGCAACTAATTATATATAATAAAAAAGACAAAGATTATCATATAGACTTTGAAATTCATTATGTTGATATATATTCATTTGAAGTATTAATAGTCTAAAAGTTGAATGCATAACTTAGATGCAATTAAAAGTACCGTATGAAAATTGGCATAGCGTGTTTCAGACAAACGAACAGTTTTACCATTAAAATATTACTCCATAAGTCATTGTAATGGAATCACGAGAAAAGGCCAATCCAAGAACATGTTTCCTTTATAATTCTAACACTTAAAATTAAACAGGAACATTGTGTTACATAAGCCAATACTGGGTAATTTGTCTTTAAAATGAAGAATACTTCGACTCTGTAGAATAACTGGCCTAGAAATTCTACATCCTCTTGAAAGCACTCTATATATGCACTGGAGGAAATGGGAAAAGGCTAACAATTTGTACTAAAATCAACAGACTTATAAGTCTAGGACCTGGAAGAGGTCCTAGAGGTCATTGTTTCCAAGGTCTTCACATCGCAAGTGAAAATAATGAAATAGAGAAAACTTTCCTTTATCAAGATGTATTTCTGGCAAGTAGCGGAATTGGTTAGAGTCCCAGCCTATTGACTTATAAACTAATGCTCCTTTTTCACCACTAAACATTTGACTGAGCCAGATTTTAGCAATGATAGAATATAAATTAATGTCTTATTTACATGTATAGAATGCTGAGCTATACATTTTATTCATTGATTTAGCAAATATATGGAGAATTTGTCAATTAGCAGTTTTACAAAGTATGATGTTTTATACAACATGAAGTGAATAGACGAGTAGATCTTGAGGGCATTCAGACACTAAACAATTTAAAAACATGGAAAATGTGACACTGAGAAACATAAAAGTGTGAAAGAAATGTCTATGATTCATTCTGGACAAGCTGATGGGTGATAAGCAGTAAGACCTGACCGTTTACAGAGTAAGGAGAAAGGAAACTCATTACTTGTAATTTATTTTTAGAATTATTCCTTGAGGATGTGAGATGTCAGAAAACATTTGAATCAAAGGGTACAAAATTCTTGGCCAATGGGGAAAGAGATTATAAACTGTGACAAAAATATTATATTTGCCTCTTTAGGTCACACTCTTTAACCTCTCCCAAATTTTCCTCAACTATGGAAGGGTGAACTAAATTGATGACATCAGTGAGATCCCACACACTCTGGCTTCTGATTGGGTTGGGTCACTGGGAAATACTGGAAGAAATCTAAAGGAGAGAAGATAATGAGCATATTTGAGAATAAGGTAGTTATTTCCCTAATTTTCAGTAGGTAGGGTGGCTGGTTGCATCCATCAGCAGAGGGCCACTACCTCTCCTGAGGTTACCTGACCAGTGTAACATTTTTCCTTTCTGGGTTCAGAAAAGCTCTCCTTCTATTGTTCCCTAGTGCCTAGGGTGTTAGTATCTCTGCAGCTATTAGTCCTTTTTTCTTCATAATCCTTTATGGTTTCCCTGCTCTAACCTCTGTGAGCATATCCTTTGCAAATGCCTTTTTCTTGATATATCTCAATTTTACATATCCCATTTATTTCCTACTGGGCCTCTGATTGACACAGTAATTGTCACTGGAAGTGATATCTAGAAACTGGTCTTTAAAATGAGATTCTGCAGTTTTGTTTGTTGCATATTTAAGGAGCACATGATGACTTCCTTGCCAGAGGAAAATGAGACACAGGTAATTCATTTCATGTAAAAAAACATAATTATCCAAATGCTCACTAAAGGGACATGGGATAAAGTGCACGCAAAAAGTGAGGTTTTGGAAGAAGAAGTGGCTATGACAGTTATATGGTGCGCAGAAAAGATAAATCATAACAGGCTTAAGATTTCTATCCTTAATAGGCTTGCTTGCAAGATTTGTTCTTGGCCGAAATGTGGTTTTTCTGATTTGGGGAATGATTCTCACCATTCCCAGAACTACTTAGAGTAGCTCATTATGATTATACTCTTTGTACACATAATGCATTTTATGTTGAACACTTGATTTCCTTTGGTAGTCTGAAATTTTGGTATGTGCTAGGAAGCAAGTACCTATGTGACTAGCCCCCAGTTCAAACCCTGCAAACTGAATATCTATTGAGCTCCCTGGTAGACATATTCTACTTGCTGTCACAAATCATGTGAGAGGAATTAAGCCGTTCCCATGTGACTCTGCTGGCAAAGTGCTCTTGGAAGCTTGTGCCTGGTTTCCCCTGCTCTTCACTTATTTTGCCTTTCTCTTTGTTTATTTATCTTTGTATCCTTTTGTTCTAATAAATCATATCATAAATATGACTCTAAGCAAGTCCTAAACTTCTCCTAGTAAATCAATGAACTAGGGGATGATCTTAGAGCTCTGCAACATACATAGTAACAGAATAGCTTACAGTAATTGTGGAATCTCCTGACTACTTCTTCTTCTTCTTCTTTTTTTTTTTTTGAGACGGAGTCTCGCTCTGTCGCCCAGGCTGGAGTGCAGTGGCGCGATCTCAGCTCACTGCATGCTCCGTCTCCCGGGTTCACGCCATTCTCCTGCCTCAGCCTCCCGAGTAGCTGGGACTACAGGCGCCTGCCACCATGCCCGGCTAATTTTTTCTTTTTTTTTTTTTTTTTGTAGTTTTAGTAGAGACGGGGTTTCACCGTGTTAGCCAGGATGGTCTGGATCTCCTGACCTCGTGATCCGCACCCCTCAGCCTCCCAAAATGCTGGGATTACAGGCGTGAGCCACCGCGCCTGGCCGACTACTTCTTAACACCCTAGAGAACATAGATAGAAAAACAAAGAGAAATGAAAAACTACGGCTATAAAATGTATGACCATGTATGAAGAACCAAAAGTTCTCCAAGACAATTTTGAAATATCTTATTTCTTATAGTCACAGGGTAGATGTAGCTGACAATCAAGTATAGAATTGTAAAGGTCTCAAAGTCACAGCACAAATTAGACACTCTATCCCAACAAATTTCTTACACTAAAGTAATGACACTGACAGGGAAAGAGTGAACCCTAAAACATTGGCTATGAATATTATTTCCCTGAAGTGCTCATGTTATAGGAGGCAAGCTATCCCCCTATCTGAGGGATCCCAGTTCACCTCTGCATTAAAGCTCTCTTGCAACAATGGATTCTCAAGCTGATACCAATTCTCGCCTTCATCACTTTTTGCTTTCTACAGGGCTATACTTGAGTTTGATCTCAATGTAATTTATAGTGACCAAGGGGTTACAGACATGAACCAGGAAATAACAGTACTTTAAGAGAATTACAAGATCCCCCCTCCCTCAGACTTCATCTCCAGAATCCCAAAGAGCATGTGTGGCTGAAGGATGTATCGATATTTGGCAAAAGGAGAAGAAATGTACATTTTAAATAGCTCAAATTTATTGACAACAGTGAACCTAATTTGGGCTCAGGATATGATGTATTGGCTCAAGTACATAGGAGTGGTAATGAAAGTATGCCAGAACAGTAGACACAACTCAACATTAGCCTACACTTAATAAAACCAACATGCCTGACATGTTGGCATACTATACAGGAAGAAACTGAAAACTCAGGAAATTGGGAACATTGGAATGGATCTTGTATGTGAGGGCAAATCAATCATGTTATTTCCATAATCCCATAATAAAAGTTAAAATGGATGATTTTATAAATGACTGGCAGAATATTAAAATTGATTATCTGACTACAAAGTGAGAGCTATTATAGTGCAAATTAAAGCCAAATTAAAGCTCCCAAGCTTTCATCAGCAGAGATATTGTACCCAAAGTAAAGTAATATCACATTCCTGAAATGACGATAGAGACTAGGAACACTATCAAAGACTAAATAAAGATGCAAGGATGATAATTCCTAATATATTTTCACTATACTTATCTGTTTGGTCAACAAAAAGAAACAAATTCACATGAATACAGTATGGAGCACTTCAGGTTTTCATGAACTAAATGAAAGTAGTGATGCAATTCACAGCCACAGTTACAGATGTGTTATTTTTACTGGCACAATTAAACATGAATCCTTGTTCCTGGTATTTAGCTATTGATTTGTTGAGTGTATTCTTCTCTATCCCCATGGGTAAGCAAAATCAGAAATAATCTAGATGCATATAGCTTTAATCATACTGCATTTTCTTTGTCTTGGCTCAGGACTATGCCAATTATTATTTTTTTTTATAAAACAGGAGGGACCAACTTAACATTGCTATTGACAAAACATCCCATATGTCCATTACATTGATAGCTTTGTGCTGGTAGGATCAAGTGATCAAGAAGTAGCAAGTACCTGTATGTCTTAGTAAGATATGTGAGCCACAGGGTTAAAAATAAACCCAGGGAAAATTCAGAAACCTGGCCTGTCAGTGAGGTTTGTATATATCTATAACATGATGCTTGTCAGATTTTCTCCTCTAAAGTATAAGATGAGAAGATGTGCTTTGCATATCTCATCACGAAGGAAAGCAGCACAGTGCTTGGCAAACCTTTTGGGTTTAGGAAGAAATGTACATAGATCACATTTGGACATGTTGTTCCAGTTCTTTTATCAGATGACCTGTAAGGGTATAGTTTTGAGCAGATTCCAAAGCCAATATGGACCCTGAAACAAGTTCAGATTAGAGTACAAGCTGCCCTGCTCTTCAGACTGTATGACTAAGCAGGATGCAGGATAAGAATACATGCTGAAAAACAAGAGGTGGAACGGTGGGTCAGATAGCTTCCCACTCCACATCCGGTGTCTCTTCTCCAACCTGCTCTCTCCCCCAGGTGCCTGACCTGTATCAATTACATCAACAAATTCCTTTGAAGTTTGGCTTCTGTCTTGGTTAAAATAGTGGGAAGCACTAGCATGAAGAGAGGATGAGGGAGGGAGGAGGAGGGAAGAGGCTGAGGTTAGGCTGTTTATTTCTCTGTTCCTTTCCTGAGTTTTGCCTTGGCCTGGTGATATTCCTCAACTGAAGTCTCCGGTTCTCTCAAGCTGCCACATGACTCTCTTTCTTCCTCTTTTTCTTTGTTTGTGAGTCCTTAGGAATGGCTATAGCGCTGCTGCTGTTAGCTCCTGTTTCAGTCTCTTTTTTGTGATTCCTTTACGTCTTGCTTATTTTTGGGTAATTAG
Source organism: Homo sapiens (assembly GCF_000001405.40). Classification (NCBI taxonomy): domain Eukaryota; kingdom Metazoa; phylum Chordata; class Mammalia; order Primates; family Hominidae; genus Homo; species Homo sapiens. Next base: position 162,782,905 of record NC_000004.12, on the reverse strand, counting down.
TCCCTTTGTAAATATAGACTGTTCAAACGATCTCAATTTTAGCATGCCATCACTTTACTGCTGGGACCCTAACAGCATAAAAACTGAAAGCATGTAGCCCGCCCCCCTCACCCAAGGAGGGAAATAATAGTGAGATAGTTGTTTCATTGGGGAGCTAAAAAAAGAGCATGAAATCAGCAGAAACAGAAGGCTTTTGAGTAGAAAACAATGAAGAAATGTAGATGATTTGTGTATATCTACATGAAAAAAAAGTAGATGGTGGGTAACTTGGTTTTTATTGAAGATGCAAGATTCCTCTATGATAAAAACTAAGAGGAATGCAAGATAAATCTGGTTTAAGAAGAAAATGATATTGTTACATCACCTTCATATTCACCATTATTATCATCATCAGTAGCAGCATCCTTCATTAATGTCACGGTCAAAACAAAAATAATAAAGCCAGTAGCTGTAATATTCTAGCGAGAATGTTATACATAGTAGCAGCAGTACTTAAGTATGTTTTGGACAAAGCCACATTTTATAAGATTAGTGGTAAACTGATTCTGGAGACATAACTACAAAACAAAGGGGATTTGACAGAAAATTAGCAAACATAATGTAGAATCATCAGATGATAGCAAAGACTTTGAAAGCTAATCAAAAGAGTGCTCATTCAGCCACAAACATTTATTGACTTCCTTTATATGCCAGGCACTCAGATGAGTTCTGAAGCTGCACAAGTCAGCAAAACATACGAGGCCTCATTTTAAAACTGCCTCTGTTCATGGTAATGTGAAGAGCTTGTGAATAGAGTTATTATTGTTATTACTTTATCTATTCTTGGTTATTCAGTAAAGTCAACTAAGAACTACTTTAAAATGCTAGTTTTCTCAGTCATATAGGCCCATTTTGTCAATCTCTATTTAGTCATCTAGGAAGTATTCTGCATTGATGTGGCCATATCTATTAAGGATAGATGGGAACAGTAAAAAAGATACTCTTACTTATCAAGGTAAGAAAATTAACCAGGAGAAGGTCAAAGCTGGGATGCAAACTGATACAGATATAACATTCTTCAGTTTTCTAAAGCTCATATTTATCCACAGTTCTTGCCTTACCATGTAAACAGAAAGCAGGTTTATAGTAGTTGGAATTAAAATGTCCTTTCCTTTGGAAATGATTAATAGAGCTTATTTCATTCATTCTTCTTGTGGAAAGTCCTAAATTCCCTTCCCTTTGTTACATCACATATTGGCCCCTTAAGTGATTTTTATTCTTGGAATGTAAAGACAATGCTTAATAAATGAAATTAACTATAGTTTTAAATGTGTAGGATTTTCTATATTTTCAAGCTGAGATGAAGGTAATCCTCATAAGCCACAGTATTCGTCTTAATCTTTGGGGTTGGTTTTCACATTCATTTGAAAAATAGTACTTATGAGAGGAAAAAAGTTAAAAATAGGAGTGGATGAAGTGTGTCCATTTTTTTCTCTACTAACTAAAGAAATAAAATAACTTTACAATGAAGAGAATAGAGGGAGAGTTGTTAGAAGATGTGTTCCATCAAAATTAAGGAGAAAATTAAGAGAAAAATGGAAATAATCAGGAAATAATAGTGCATCCAACACAAGTGAGGGATGGACAGAATTTACAAGGTGTCAGCTGTGTGGCTGGCAAGAGAAGAGCAGTCCAGTTCAGAAAAGGAACACTGAGACCTAAAGGAAGAGGGTCTCCGGGAAAAATCATAGAGCTGTTGTGTCTATGAGTGAAATAGTTTTTCTCCTTCCTTCCTTCCTTCCTTCTTTCCTTCCTTCTTCCTTCCTTCTTGGTTTTTGTTTGTTTTTTAGAGAGAGGGTCTTGCCCTGTCACCCAGGATGGAGTGCAATGATGTGATTATAATGATCATAACTCACTGCAGCCTCGAATTCTTAGGTTCAAGAGATTCTCCATCTTCACTCTTCTGAGAGGCTGGGACTACAGACATGCACTGCTGTGCTTCACTAATTTTTAGACAAGGTCTTGCTATATTCCCCAGGCTGGTCTTAAACTCCTGGGCTCAAACAATCCTCCTGCTTCAGCCTCCCAAAGTGCTGAGATTACAGATGTGAGCCACTATGCCCAGCTGAAATATTTTCATATTCAATTTTTGGTTCTGGAGTATAAGGAATCACATACTTATGAGAATACTGATTAAATTAGCCAATAAACTCACCAAAGCATAATAGTTATTTCTAATATACATTAATTTTGGGGGTGTATGTACAAATATTCAACAGACTTTTGGAAAATTAAAAAAATAACAATTTTTAATATGGCAGAAACCTAACACTAATAGTAGAAAAGCCTAGCGATCAAATATCTTTTTAAATAAACTATGCAGAAATCTTTTAAATCAATTCTATTATTATTTCTCTATTTTTAAACTAAGCATCTGCATGAATACACATTCAAGGAAAAGTCTATTCTAGTAATTGTCTATTCCTAACATTAAAGTAGGGCATGTCTACATAACAGCTTTCTTTCTCAATTTACTTGGGGCTGGTTACAACTCCAGTAATTAGAGGAACACAGAAAAGGGATATAGAAAATAACAAGCAACAACAGTGGAACCCTAACTAAGGCAGATATGTGAGGTTCTTTCACCCAGTGAAGATCCTGACACTTACAAGTTTAAGTACTTAAAAAATAACAACTGTATAAGTTATCCCAAACTCATGGCCTCTTTCTATCATCACCTATCCAGTGCTACTGGAAAACCAGATTCTCGCCCTGGCTGAGCCAGCCAGCCACTAACCATTAGGGTATAGAATAAGTGGTACTGAAGCTCCAGAGATAAGAAAAGAGTGACAATATTGAACTGTACCTGAGTCCTATGCTTCTGGAAAATAGTGATGATTAAGAAATCTCCCCACTCTTTATGTTCTGGGAAAGGGCTTACTGCAGAGAACCACACTTCTCCCATAAGACCTAGATAAGGCTCAGGTATGACCTTTTTGTTTCGCCTTGTAGAAGGCCAGACACAGATGTTTCAAATTCCCATTTTTTTGTCTCACAAACAACTAGCTGAACTGTTTGTACCCACTGACCGATTTGAACAAAATGCTCATTAACTTGTCTTTATCAAATTTGAGTCAGGCTTCTTTCTTTGGAGGTTCCCAAAATTTGACCCAACCTTGTACTTTAAGCAAGCATTGGGTGCCTAAGCAGATAATGGAAAGTACAGCAACCATCCTCACCCTCAGTGGCCTCTCCTGAGAACTGGCTGACAGCAAAGAAAGAGACTGCCTGCTCAACTATCCTACCACACCACCTGCTCATCCCACTCCCTACGCCTGATCATTTCTATCCTTGTTAACTCTTCCCAATAAAAGAATTTTCTGTCTGACGTTTGAGACATTTATAGGTCTCATGTTTGTAGCATTCTCTCTATTGCAATAGTCACTCTTCTCCTATTCCAGTAATCTTTTCAAATAAAGTCTCTCCTTCAAGTCTGACTTTGTTTCTTCTTTAACAAGGGAATCTACAAGTCTGGAGCCTTTTTTTAATAAAATAAGGGCTTCTTCTATCTTTTTCTTCTATTGTCTACCCTCTTCTCTTTCTTCCTCCTATACTCTTCTTTTTCATTTTAATGTGTCATCAAAGACACACCTCTGTTAATTTCAGGGCATTAGTTAATACTAATTGTCCCAAGTGGTATTTGTTTGATAAAATTGTGAATTAAAATGTTAGCAGCATGTGGTTTTTAATTTTTTGATAATTTATTAAATGCCAGTGACTTTAGTATTTTATCCTATGTAATCTTCACCATAGCACTGTAGAGTAGATACTATTACTCAAGTCCCTTTTACAAGTGAGGGAATTTTAAATGAATGAAGTTTAGGTAACTTAGCCAAGCCACTCAGCACTCAGGCACTATGTGGTAGAACCAAGATTGGACCCAAGTTTCCAAGTTAGTCCAAGGCCAGATTGTATATATTTATAATTGTGTTAACTATGCCCTGAAATTAACAGAGGTGTGTCTTCTATGGCACATTAAAATAAAACAAAGAGAGTGCAGTTTTATATACTTAATGCTAATTGTGCCAAGTGGAATTTGTTTGATAAAATTGCGGATTAAAATGTTAGCATCTTGTCTTTTTAATAACTCTGGCAAAGGATGTTATAGTGGAAGAGTAAGAGCAGATTTTGGTGTAAAAAAGGGTAAGGCAAGGAAATGTGAACATAGAACATATACTAGTCCACTTGGAAACAGGACTCTATATGGAAGGGTAGATAGATATACCGCACTAGATGTAGGGAGATGCAGGTATAAGAAAACATAATTTTTTAATATCCCTGTTAAAATATCAGCATTCTTTATACAGAATTTAAGGACAAACTTAGAGGAAGATGGTAAGAATAATAATATAGGGAAGAGAAGCAATTTATGGAGTAAGTTCACCGTGTAGGCAGGAGGTAAAAATATTAAGATCACATGTAGGGTGATTGTCCGTTAGGAGATTAAAAAATTCAGACGAAAAGAGAGAGTAGTGAAGTCAAATTAGAATGACTGTAAGAGATGGATTTGAGATTTCATATGTGATGAACAATATTTTCTCAAAGAAGTCCAAGAAATGGTCATACGCTGAAAAATGGGGATCATAGGCAACTATACTGGTGAAGATTTGCAAGAATTACTGAGGAGAGTTGGAGATAATGCACCAGAGACTAGGAGATATTGGCTGGGCCCTGGATGACACTGAAGACCATGAATTGGTTGGCACTTTCCTATTATAGTTTCAGATCCTGGTAAGAGATTTCTCACTTTATGAGCAACTATTTTTTCCATCACATACAATGGTAGTGAATATTTAATTTTGAATACAAATTCTTAGTTCATTTTACTTTATTTTAGAAACTGGAAGTCAAGTCTATTTGAAATGTGCAAGTTATTTAAATGCATGAAATTTTACATCCATATTCATTTAAAGTATAAAACTCTGTGTCCCCAGATTTGATAGAAATGTTAATTGAATGAAACTGTTTTTTCATTTTGATGACTGTTCTGGGCCAAAAATCTAGTTACACATTTTGATACGCAGATTTAAAATTTAATTTGGCGTGTTCTTAAAAGAATTCTGGTTAATAAATCTTTTTGGTCTTAAATGTTTTTCTGAGCCAAAAGTGTGTGAATGCTGGCCTTTGTCTCTAAAGCCATCATCACAGAAAGCTTTAAAGTTGTTTTTACCCTTCCACTGTCTAAATAAAAATCAAGTTGAAAACAGCTGCATGCAATATCTTTTAATACACTATATAAATATGATTTGCTTGCTTTTCTCTGCAGGTATCAAGTAAATGTTAACACTACTTCATCTCATACAGAGTAACCTACGCCAATCAAGTTTTATTTCAGACAGACTGTTAAAGTCCTAAAATAGAGGTATACAAGCTCCTTTTGAAATACAAATGCTTAAGTATTTGTAAGAATTATTTAACTTCAAGAGCTCCGAAGAACTATTTGAAATAAAATCTTTAGGGATTTAAAACATAATACACTATTTGTGAATTGTCAGGTGCACATAGCTTACATTATTTAACAATTTCAAAGTATACTGTATTGTTTCTATAATTAAAATTTTGAGATGAATATACCCTAAGGTAACTGACTTTGGGAATTACATATCTCATGCCTGTGAATATACTACTGGCATGTTTAAGAGATTTGTATTAAACTTTCTAAAGTATGAGTGTTAATTTACTTAGTTTGCTATATTTAAATATAAGATATCTTGTGGCTAGCTCCTACACTAAATCTAGAGACAAATTCAAACTCATTTGTTTTGTCATTAGGTAAACAGTAATAATACAGCAGGGAGGCAAGCTATGAAGAATTATTTATAATATACATGGTTTGGGGGATTTTCTTCTAAATTATGGTGTTGGTTGTATTGAAATTTGTTAACTGGACCATAAAAGTTGTTTTGTGCACTGATGTCATTTCTGATAATAGTAATATAAACATGTTACTTATGCTTTATAGAGTGACTTTTGCCAGATAATTGTGTGTTACATAAAAAGCATGCCAAATAGCTAATGTTAAGCAGCCTTAGTGCATGTTAAGGGGCCAAGGATTAACTATATCTATATAGTCCTTTGTGGGGAAACATGAAGGACAAAGAAGTTCCAAAGTCAGTGCTTTCTAACAATGACTGAAAGAGGAACTGGGCTTTGGTCACTTGCTGCTCAGAAGCCATCACTTAAGCACTGAGCTACCCATTTGCTAATATTGTGGAGAAGTGGACAGTGAATCCCAGAAAGTAAGCAGGGAACCGATGGCTGCATTACGTTATTTTGTCTAACCACTATAATCTAAATAAACATGTTACATTTTAAGAGCTTGTGGGTCAAATTTGAGTCGTTTGAATATCTTACCAGTTGATTAACAGAGATGGGATAAGCTCTTTTTAGTTTTGATTTCTTCATTTTCTGTAGAGCTTGGTACGGTCGGTAGATAAAATAGTCCAGGGAAACAAAAGCCTTGGAACCTATAAGTTAGCTCAAAAATAGGGGCTACAAAAGTCCAAAATCTCTAGAGTCAATAGTTTTAGTTCATAAGAATTCTGACACAGTATAGCCCTTGATCTTGGACAATTAGCACATAGGAAGACATCCAATGGTTTCATGTGGCTTACACATATTATTCCAGGATTCACCACCACACAAAATGAAATGTGTACCTTCTAATTAAAGAGTTCCTCAATTTTCATTTTTATCCATCTAAATACAGGAATTATTTTAAAACAGAGATTTTAAATCAGAGATTTACTTATCATAAATATGACTGTTTAATATGGTAAATTTCAGGACGGTACAGGCTAATATATGTAAGACTAGGTCTCTGTTAATGTCCATGTCACTAAGTGTGCCTAACTTCACTGAATTTTATTGTATCTTAGTATGCCTTCTAATAAAATTTGTTTTCTTTTCCCGAGATCAAACAGTCTCTGTAAACTTCTGAGTTTACATAGACTGAGTTCCATATTCTAACTGTTGATATCTTAAGGAGTTCCCAGAGGTGGCACTACAGCCGTGTTAGAAATTAAAAAAAAAAACAAAACACACAAAATCTATGGCACCACTACTATGTATCAATGATGTATATGATATATCCACTCTAAAAAATGCATCATTCATTCAAATTATTAATTCATTCATGCTTTTTAAAAATGACATATTTAGATGCTCCGTTGAAAATATTATTCTTAACCTTTGAGATCAATTTAAAATAACACAATTTCATCTTCACAGCTCTTTCAGATAGTCGTTTTGCTGAATAACCATATTGTCTTAAATTTCACACAGAAAAACCTATAAGAGGAAGATAATTTTGTCTTGGACTTAGAAGCAGATCAATGTTAAACCTGAAGAGCAGTCAAACTAAAGTAAACTAAACTATATAGTGTAGTTGCATTTTATGGAGAAAAGCTAAACCATATAAATCCCAACTGAAGATTTTGTTAAATATTGGTCAAAGAAAGCTTTAACTGGCAGAACAGAAAATTAAATCAAATAGGTCAACATGCCCTTCAGGACAATAGCAAAGCATGTTGATGATGTGGCTTCTATGGCTAGAACAAATTGATGATCTGCAGTGTAAATTAGGATTTCACTTGTATGTATCTAATATATTTAGAGCTACTTTTGACATTACGTCTAGTTCCATTTTCCTCAGCAGTTTCATTACCAGCAAGTCTAAATCATAATCTGTATGGGATGTAACCATGGTCTCCTGGAAAACAGTGATGATTATATTTTAGACGTGATAAACTTTGAAATTCTCCACAGGGCTTACGTAGAGAAAAAAAGAAAAAATTCCAGAAGCCAGCTTTTATAGGGTGATTTGACCTAAGATAAATAAAAGAAGGGTAGGCATCAAGATTTATAGTTGTTAGTTGCAATAAGCAATGCCAGAATAGACATTCTCACCACACAATGTAGGATAGATTCAGTGTTTCATAAAAAGGCACATCAGAAAGCAGTTTAAAGAGGTTTCAGAGTGTCTGTTAAAGATGGAAAATATTATTTTTATCCTATGTGATTGAGCCCCTGTGTGTATATATCCATATATATAAATAAAATACACATATACACAGACACACATACATGCATATATACATACATAGAGACATAGAGAGTGAGTGTGTAACAGTATTAAATAAGAGAATAAAATTGTCCTTATTGAAATTGTCTGTGGAGATTCTATCCTAAATAACTGTAACTTATAAAATGGGCTAGCTTTTACTAGCTTTCAACTCACTTTAAACATCTTTCCATTTACATAAATGATGTCAATAGTTTGAGCATTTAGTTGGTAAAAATGAGATGAAAGATTTTGACAGGAAATTCTATATGACTCATTGGACAGTTGGAGAAAATTAGTAAGACAGCCAGTTCATCACAGTGCCATTTTAGATAATACAAGGAGCAGTATATTTTTAAACAATGGTGACAATGCCGGCAGATTCTAAATAAAAATTAATTAGGATTCTGCAAATTTAATAAATATGATGACAGATGACATTTATATGATATATATAGCGGACTCTAAAAAAGTAGCTTTAGAGGATATCTAGTCACAATACCAGTACATAAAGAGATTTTATCATCAAATTTAATGAATTCTTCTATGAACTCAATCAAGGACATCTAAATAATAGAAAACTACAGTACTAAGCTGTACTGACTTTTTTTTTTAAACAAGCTTTTATTGATTATCTTTTAGGTTGCTGGCGCCACGCTTCATGCTAGAATTATAACAAACAATGAGCAAGACAGACATGGTGCTTAACTTCAAGTTGCTTCTATCAGAGTATCAGATAAAGATGAATATCCAGGCAACTGCAAGGTAACACATTTGGCACTATGGTAGAGGATACATGTAATTCTGTGGGAGGAAAATATGTGAATGACAGCTTACATGCTTCCTTGAGGAATGGGCATTTTTGGGGAGATGTAAAGGATAGGTTGGAGTGACCCAGGGTAAGAGAAGGGTAGTGTCTATGTGTGCCTTCCTTAGCATTGTGGCTGATCAGGTATTCTGAATAAACATCCAGTTGTGGAACAACTGGACTCTGGATAGGCTATAACTTTTGTGTGAAGGGTAGAGAATTATGAACGAAATAGCAACTGTAAAGGCAACAGAATTCAGTGGTTTTACTCTACTCAATCGATGCTATGATTAAAAGGTAAATAAAAGCAGAAGATGATTGGCTATGAGAAGCCAAGTATAAACATTAAAGCCCTCCTTGTTTGCCTATAAAGGGGCACTCATCTCTTACAGCAGAAAAGTAGGGAAAGATCCAACAGAGGTTAAGCTCTCAATCAAGATAGGTGTGCTATGTAAAAGTCAGGGCCCTGCCTTTGAAAGAATGGGAGACCGATGCAGGTGTTGATGCATCAAATTCTTGAACGCACACACTTCCCTGAACCCTGTGAGCCTGCAGAAGTAGCCCACTTCTCTATGCTAATGGCTGGAGCTCTACTATTACCTGCAGATGATGCAGATGTCTCTCATCTGTAATATAACATGCACTCCCTCAACATCTGCCCACACACAGCCAATAAATGGGTTAAGTCACAATGTCACTCATCTGGGGATGTGCTGGATCTGCAGAAGGAGAAAAGGGACTACGGTCCTAAAAAACTAAACAAAGAGAAATTTAACTTGATTTGGGATAAAAGGTAGTTTATTAACACGAAAGGACCCTCTCCAGATGCAGGATTTAACACCCCAGAAAGGACCCTGAGAAACTATTCAAACACACTGTTAGGATATCCCAGAGATGCATGGAAAAATCATAGTCCAGACTAAGTAAGATAAAAATGCCTGATTTAGCATTACAGACTGTGGAAGAAGATAATTGAGATGTTCATGTTGGTCTGTATGTGTTAAAGTAATATGTTATGGAAGGTTGTAAAAACTCCCCAAAACTATGTTTCACTATGTCTCCTGAAGGACACATTATTTTTCAAAGTGCTGATGCATTAGCTCTGAGAGGCGCACTAGCATCATTAAGTTCAGTGGTGGCTCTGCTCTCCAGGACAGGCTGACAGAAGAAAATGCCATTGAAAGCCTGGGCTACAAAAGCAAGGAAGTTGGTTGAAGCCTCACTCCCGCCCCTTTCCTCGATAGAAGCCAGGTTTCAGCATTTAACAGTGGAGGCAATTATTGCAATGAGTGGCAAGGTCAAAGTGGCAGCCAAGAGGATTTGACCTACAGAGACTTATGGAGATAGTGGAGATGGTTAATAGTACATTGTGTCTCTCAAGCAACAAACAGGGATATTGCTCAATCTGCACACTCAAAATTAAGGAAAGATAATCAGGTTGTTGAAGACAATCCCCCTAATTAAAAACAACAACAATGAAAAATAACCCCCACAATTCCTTTGCCCTCTTTCTGGACTTGAGTTTTTTGGTTTTGGTTTTGTTTTGTTTTAACTTAGAGTCTATTGATTAAACTAGAGATGAGCTGGTTTCCCAATATGTCTGTTTTAGATGTTTTCTGGTCAGTGTAGTAACAGGGGGCTTAAGATTTGGCTATACTTTTTTATAAAGATTATTAATTAATGCACATTTTAAACTGTCTCACTTCTATCATCTGGTGACTAAAAGCTCTGAGTCTCTGTATTTCAACATCGTAGATTCTATAATCCCAAACTGACTCCTGGCTATGGAATAGGAGTAGGTGAGATCGGCTACTTGAATGCTCTCAGTTTTGTGCAGCGAGAGCCAATTAATCCTTTAGAGACTTTTAGCCTATACTCCCTTCCATTTTCCATACTGTGACTGGCTCCCCATCTCTGCTATACTTGCTGTGTCTGAGTTCGGAATCTCTCAGGTATCCCTCAGTGAAAGCCATCTATCTCTCGTTAATCTCTGCATGCACTTTAGGCTGCAACTGCCTGCATGATAGTAAACGAGATAGCTTCCTCCATATCTCCTCTCCTCTTCTCTTTGTTCTGGAGGACATATATATTGGACAAAATTCTCTAAAAGATTTCTTACACATTGGCCTTGTTGCACCAACTTTAAAGATAAATATATTTGGATAATTAGATTCAAATATATTTAAATAAATATGAGTTATTTTTTCAGATTATGCCAAGCTCCCAGTGATTTCACTCTGGGATATCTGGCTGGCATTGGAACTTCCATCTGCAGGGCACAGTCATAACTAGGTTATCCCATGGTGCTCAAGCAGGGACATAAAAGCAAGCTAGCCTTCCCTTCTAGAAATGTATATGTGAAATATAGATAGTAAATAAGAGGGTGAGTGAACTGTTTAGGGGCAGGAACCTGGTGCTCTCGAACCTTCAGCAGTGACAAGATAACTTCTACTTGTACAAAAATGAGCCACCTTCCTCAGAACTCAATTTCAGTTCTCATCATCTGACACTGAAATACTAGGTGATATGTCTAGAAGTCAAGCATGGAAAATTGTATAAAGCATGGAAAATTGTATAAAGCATGAAAAATGGTATTGAGGGTAGAGGTAAATTTTGAATTATGAAATGAAGGAGCAAATGTCAATACCTAACTGAGGGCACTAGGAGATGCACCCAATATCTCATCAACCTAAAATGAGCAGGTTGTGCCCTCTAAAGGCAATCTAGATAAATCAAGGATTATCTCCAGGGCCTCCATATTCTCTAAGGAAATTGATGTTTTTTCGTGAGTATCCAAAGGATTCCACTTGGAGGCAATTATATAGGACCATATTTTCTTTCTCCCCTTTCTCTTCCATGTGTTGGGTATTTATTCATTCATACTCCAGTACAAGGGTCATTACAAGCTAGAATAACAAAAAGAATGTTGCAATAAGACAGACAATATAGTAAGCAATGTATCTCTGTATTTCATATCTGTCATTCCAAAGCTGAACAAGGCAAGCTGTTTTTCTCTTTCACTCCTTCTATGTGCAGATCCTCTGATTGGTCACACCACCAGTCTTCATCCAAGGGAAAACTGATGCAATCTTTATACTGAAAGCCTAGTCCAGTAGCTGAGGGCAGAACTATGAGATAGTCTTCATTGTTGTAGAACAGTGGGATACAAGATCTAGGGAAACAGCTTGGAGAGAGACTGGGAGGAAGAGGAGTTATGACAGAGAAAGAGGTTCTGCCTAATACCATTTAAGAGAGATATAGATGTCAAGAGACAATGCACAAAAAAATTTTGCACCATTATCTCTAGTGTGTGAACTTATTTAATCATGTAATTAAAAATATATTTTTCAGCTAATGGACATTCTCTAATTGACTTTGCAAAGCTTAAGGGCGTTACTAAAAGGATATGAAAATGAAGTTTAATAATATTAGAGCATTATAAGATAGGGCTCACTGCAAAAACCTAACCAATCTTGGCTAGGATAGCAGGTGAGCATTGGTCTGGTTTGGATTTTCCTCATTCAAGAGTCTGGTCTACTTACTTTACTTGCATATACAGACAATGTTAGTCCAAATTATTTCTTGGTAATGCAGATGATATATGCGTTAAAGTAATGTCCCCATCTCTTGTAATACCTCAAAGCTGTATTTCAACATCAATGGAATTAAAATTCTTCACGTATTTTTATGATTTTATTATTTTTGTTACTACTGGCATGCACACTGGAAAAAGTCATTTAAATGATAGAAAGGACACATTTTAAATATGAATGCTTGGAAATTATCTATGCTTAATGCTTGTGCCTGTGAATATACTTTCCCAAATTTTATTGAAATCTTAATGAGATAACTTTAAAATCTATGTTTCCTCCAAAAGCAAAACTTGAGACAAAAGTTCATATGGGAAAGGATCAAAGGGAGCAGGGATGAGGGGAGAGAGAAAGGAAAACTAGGAAAGGCCCTTCCACGTCTGATTGATTTGACCATCTCTCCTGGCAGGCGCTGCTCAAACCCTAGGTGAGGGTGACGTTTCGAGTCTCCCTCAACCCTGCCCACATCTCACTCGCCATTGCACTGTGTTGCTCCTTCTGCAGTGTTTCCTTCCCTTCATTCCTCAATTGGCTAAATCCTGTTTTCTTCAGAGTCTCAGTTAATTAGTTTGAATGCCAATTACCATGGAGGATTTCTAGAACTTCCTTATATTTTTTCTGTCACCTATTGATACCTTCTTAGCAACTTTTTTTTTTTTTTTTTTTTTTTTTTTTTGCAGCACTTGTCACACCTGTAATTGCCTGATCTTTTGGATAAATTATTGCTTTTATATTCACCTTACTAGGTGGAAAGTTGTTGAAAGCAGGCACGACAGGTGTTTTATGTACTACAGTTAGCACAGTTGTAGGTACATATTTGTCTGAAGTATAGCTTTTACTGAGTGACAGAATGAATGAATAAGTAACATACCTAACTGCCAATGAATGTGATTAGTAAAAATGCGATTATTGAAAGCAATTCTCGATAAGATGCAGCATTATTAACTCATAGCCATACTAGACTGACATCTATATAAACAACATCTATAATGAGAGGTAGTTTCATACCCTCCTCAAATTTAACATACATTGTCTATTTCTCAAGATGTCTAATAAACCACATAAATCATTTTTATTGTGATGCCCATCTCATTGACTATCACATGTTCTGTTAGCTAGTTTTAGTGGTGTCTGCTTGCATGGCTTGACACATTTTTTTTCTTTTTTGAGACAGAGTCTTTCTCTGTCACCTACTCTGGAGTGTAGTGCCATCATAGCTCACTGTAACCTCGAACTCCTGGACTCAAGCAATTCTCTCGCTTTAGCTTCTCAAGCAGCTAGAACTACAGGTATGCACCATCATGCCCAGATAATTAAAATATATATATATATATTTTAATAAAATATATATATATATATTTTAATAAAATATATATATATATATTTTGTAGAGATGAGATCTCCCTATGTTGCTCAGGCTAATGTTGAACTCCTAACCTCAAGTGAGCCTACTGCCTTGGCCTCTCAAAGTGCTAGAATTTTAGGCCTGAGCAACTGGACCCAGTCAAGATTTTTAAGTTTAAATTTCCATGATAATATGTTTTTGCAAAAAGTTAGATGAACTTTTTTTCCCCCATGTATGTAAAACCTAAAGACTAGATATAGACAAGTATTGGGTAGGTATGAAAGGCTTGCCAATAAATCTATTAGGTGCTATCTATGTATATAATTCTATTATCAATTAAAATATCTATTAGTTTAAATAGTCATCTCCCTAATTCTGCCTATCAGTAAAATACGTTGTGCTTAAAATTCACAACAATGTGTGCATTTCAAGGCCTCTTATATTTACTATGGTGGCCAATTTTGGATGTCTTTCTTAGTGAACAATAATGAAGCAGAAATTCACATTTCTTATGACTGAAGTATAAACATGTCTAACAGAATTCTTAAATGTATTAACCTAGTTACAGAGTCTCCCAATCTGCTGATCATCAGAATTGTCTAAAGAGGTTTCTTATGTATTTAAATTCACTGGGCCAAATGCTGGATATTCTGAGTCCGCGTGGGTGGAATGGATCCTGAGATTCGGTATTTTAAACCATTTGAAAATGAATGATTCTGATTGTTAGCTAGAGCTGTGGCCCCTGGAACAATACTTACATATACAGTTTGACCACATTATATATTTATGCAAGCAATGTTTTCATAAGAGTACAAAGAAGAAAGAAAGAGATGCAGAGATGGTTATTATAAATAATTATCATTGCATAAACCCCTTAGTTATTTTAGTGAAGGAGCTACTACTCTCCAACCTGATTATCTCTGTGGATAAAAGTACTGAAGATTTTATTTCTAGTTATGCAATATTAACTTTTCTTGTATTTACATAAAACATAGTTTTTCAGTGCTTTTACTTCTGATTGAGGAACAGTGAAAGATTATATAAGGTTGATGTCGACATATTAAAATGAAGCTTAATGCTTTTTACTCAGTTAAATTATTTTAATATTTTTTCTTAAAAAGCCCACTGTATTGTTACCTTCTAAGAGCTGCTCATTCAGTCTATATTTTATTTCAGAAATATGTATTGTGGCATTTTTAGGAAACAAATATGATAGAAATGATATGAGCAACACTACTTATTTATTTGCAGTAGTGTTCTGCATTATTTCTAGGGTTTTTAACTGTTGATTTTTAGAACAGCCTCCCATTCTGTACCAAATACAGCTAGATAATGAGAGAATATTCTTTGAAAAAGTAGAAGTGAAAATCCAGGAGGAGGTTACTGCCATCAAGTACTGAAATAATGACTTTCAATCTGTAAATTTCTTTCAAAACTCATGATTTTACTCAGTTATTCTCCAGTTAAATTTAGTACATAATATAACAGGGAAATTTTATTTCAGGGACATATAGAGAAACATTGGTGCTTATTAATTCTGTTGGGTGATTGTTGATAGAAGCAAGGTTTGTGAAGACAGACTTACTGCATTTCCTAATATGAACGTAGACACACTCACATACTCTCCTATAAGGCTGAACTAGCATTGGAAGTAGACAAATAATATGCCAATGTGGTGTTATTTCTAGAAAAGGCATAAAAACTTGCTTTCTTTTTTCTCTTGCCTTTCCTGAAGCATCGTGTTGTGTTTATTGATTGTACAGGTGCTGAAGAAAGGGCATTTGGGTTCAATTCTTAGTTCAATCATTAACTAGCTCTGGAAAGACTCTTCAATAAATTACTGAATCTCTATGGACTTTTGTTTCTTCACGTGTTAATTATATCTTCCTGAAAATGTGACTATTAATAGTATCTACCTCATAAGATTATTACAAGGATGACACAAGTCAAAACAGTTAATACAGGTCAAGTAATTAAAGTAATACAGGTTGTACGGAGAGCTCAATAAGAGTTAGCTTTATTTTTCTCCCCTAAACCTTTGCTACTTGCTGATTGATCCTTGGTTTTAAATTTTTCATCTGTTTAAATGCAAATGAGCCAATGAAGAGTTTGGCATGCTAAGTCTATTCAGTCATTTACACCTTGAGGCAAATGCACATATAAAAACTTTTCCTGAGAGTAGATTTGAGAAGGGATAAAGATGACAATTAAATCACTGGACAGCCATTTTGAGAGATCCATTCATAGCTGTTAGCAAAGAATAAGTAACATTGGGTTCAGAGGTGTCCAAGGAAACCTGAAGTCCATATAAAATGTTTGCACAGAACCACCTCGGGGAGAAAT
Organism: Homo sapiens; assembly: GCF_000001405.40. Lineage (NCBI taxonomy): Eukaryota > Metazoa > Chordata > Mammalia > Primates > Hominidae > Homo > Homo sapiens. The sequence continues at coordinate 162,766,718 of NC_000004.12, read as the reverse complement.
ACAGGTATCACACAGATGGGTATTAAACATTATGTTCGTAACCAAAAAAAAGAAAAAGAAAACTGGAGAACGGAAAGTCATGTCTGGAGAACATGCCTTTAATTTATAGACAAATGGGTTTTTCTTGCAAATTCAACTTCCCATCCTTTGCTGGGAGATAATTCTCCATGGATCTCTCATGTTTCTCCATAACTCCGTAACAAGCAAGAGGCATTGACAGCTTTGTTTGCTTTGTGCTGGACTATTTTTTTTTTTTTAAAGAATGTTAGCATAGAAAAAAGCTTTGGAAGATAGATTCACAGTTCCTGATTTGGCAGTTTCTGAAATAAGTAAAAGAAAGCTTTACTAGCCTGCATACATCCAAGGTTCCTTTGCTGGCATTTGGATTAAGATTGCTTTCCATATTAACCTCTGAATCTGTGTTTTTGCTTTAAAGAGTGCTGGAGCAGAAAAATAGCCATTGGGGTACCTGTGGTACCCAATCTTGCCACAAAATGTGTCAAGATTGTTTTTTCCTATACATTTATTTTCCACAGGTACACTATCAGTACAGTATCAGACACATTTACTGTATTTCCGTACAATATCAGATACATATACACCTTCTTACTTAGCTTTCTTCCAGATGGAAGAGCATTTCTCTGTTGGACACAACACTCATACCTCCTTTCAGTTCACCTTCCATCACTTTCTTCTTTCTTTCGCTTGCAGTGCCAGACTTGCATTAAATGCCAGACTTGCATTAAATGCCAGACTGCAGGTCCTAGGATCTGGCTTCTGGTGTGGTTAGCAAGATGAAGAAAGGGAAGTCAGCTTTCTATGGGATGCATCTTGATTCATGAGAAATGTGACACATAAGGGTAAAAATGGACAAATCCCCTCTCTTTTTCCCCTTTCAAGGTGCAGATCTTTTTTGCAGCTCTTCTAAGAGAGTCCTTAGTCTCCTACAACACATCTTTGCAGTTCATTATAAAGCAGTAACCAGTGCAGTCATGTATCACTTCTTTCAATTTGCTCCTTTCCTGGCCTCACTTATTTTTTTCCTTAACTTCACTGCCCTGGGCTTGTAATTCACAAAGAAAGAATTAACACTTTAATCCATTCTCAGGCATATTTTTCTAGAGAACCCTAAGGTATCTTCTGTGTTCCTCAACCTAACAGAACCTACAAGAACATTTATGCTTCTAAAGTGAGATCCAACAATATGAGAATCAAAGAGAGACAAAAGTACACTGTCATGCCTAACTGCATTCATATCCACTATCTATGTTCTGGTCCATATCTAAGGACTTCTCGCTTACTCATTATTTAAACTGGGGATGATTTCCCCCTTTAGAAGAAGGCAAAAACAACCTTCTCAGAAAGTATAGTATTCCTCAATGGCCACAACAAGATACATTATATAAAATTGCAAAATAATAAAATGTATGCAAAGATATGTCCATGGAATAACCATGAGAGTGAGGGGAGAAGGCTTACTAGGAGAAAGAAGAGTTGCCATCAGAAATGCACTTGGCTTGCTTCTCAGAGTTTTCTTTAATTTGGGGTATATATTTTCAGTACTCATCTAGGAAAATATATTCCAAACAAACATATTGGTATGTTTTAAAGAAAACTGGCAAGATAGAAGGAGTTTTTTCCAAAAATAATAACAACTCAACATACTCTATGTTTCTTTTTAATTGCAATGCATAAAGCAAGAAAAAAATGCTAATGGCAATCTCATTCTGGGTAACTTCAGGTAATTTTAACATTGAAGTTTTATTATTCTGCCTTGACAATGATACAAATATTTTCAGTGAAGACAGCAGTCAATGTAATAGATCAAACTGTACAGTTCACTCACTCATTGTACAGCAGACAGAAACATTCCCTTTCAGGCTAGAGATTAAATTCCTTAACCTAGCATAGAAGACTTTTTTTTTTAATTTTCATTTAAATATTTTTTTTAACTTTTTTTTTTAAGTTCAGGGATACCAGTGCAGTTTTGCTACATAGGCAAACTTGTGTCATGGAAGTTTGTTGTACAGATTATTTCATCACCCAGGTGTTAACCCTAGTACCATTAGTTATTTTTCCTGATCCTCTCCCTCCACCCCTCCTCCCCTCTTTGAAAGGCCCCAGAGTATGTTGTTCCCCTCTAGGTGTCCATGTGTTCTCATCATTTAGCTCCCACTTACAAGTGAGAACTCTTTAGGATCTGATGGCTTTTCATGTCTCTAGCACCCTCTCACATCTTACTTATTACTCCTACTATACTCATTATTCCTACCAAATTCCTTCTCTTTTTCTGTGGCCTAGATAAGTTCCCTATTGTTTCCCAAATTCTCTTCCTAGAATGGATTTTTATGTCTGCATTCCTAGCTAATTCCTGCACATCCTTAACAGTTTAGCTGAAAGGGAACTAGAACTAAGTGGGCCTAAGCTAGAAAGACGTCTCTGCTTTCTAGCTTAGGCCCACTGGCTGAGTTCTTAGAGCACCCTGAGCTTCATCTATTAGAGATTATATGACAGTTGACAGTTAGTGCTTGTGTTGTTAAAAAATAAATATATATGATATATATATTTCACATATACATGATATATATTTCATATATATTTCATATATGATATATCATATATTTCATATATATCATATATTTCATATATATCATATATTTCATATATATGATATTTCATATATTTCATATATATGATATTTCATATATATGATATTTCATATATTTCATATATATGATATTTCATATATTTCATATATTTCATATATTATATAATATCAGATACATGGGATAGATATATAATATATAAATATATATATATATAGGCTTAGAGATGCCCGTCTCTCAAATTAACTGTTTCAATGAGATGAGTTGCTAGTCTCTTGTGACACAGATTGAACAGAGGCAGGTCCCACTGCGGGCTGGAGAAGAGTGATAGTGGCCAGGCAGTGGGGAATGGCTGCAGATTTAGCTTCCCAGTATCCATTGCCGCTGCAATCCCCAACCTAATATTATTGTTACTCTCACATCCTTCCTTCATAGAAGTTCCAGATTCAACATTGGGCAGAAAAGAACAGGACTCATTAGAAAGGAAAACTAAACATTTAAGTCATTTGGCAATAAGAAAAGTTTATTGGTAGAAAAAAAAGGGATTCAATTAGGTAAAAATCCCTTTAGTAAAGAAAAGATGTTTCAAACAATAGGTGTTTGAAAAATTGTGTTGAAGGTAGGTCGTAATGAGAAAAAGTTTTCAGAAACAATGGGATTGTAGAGAATTACAGTCATGAGTTTATAGATGCTGTTATTGGTTACAAATTGTAATTCCTTTTGTGTCTCAAAAGTCCTTAATAAGCAGACATTTTTTAAATTATTATTTTTAAATTTTTTTCTAAATATATATGTTTATAATTTTAAAAATTAAATTATAAACAGGGCTTAAGATGAAAAGCAACAATCTCTATTTTCTCTACTTACAGTCTAACTGATTTTCTTTCATTTATTCTGCTAGTTATAGTCAAGCATCTAAAAAATAGGCTAACTCAACTGTTTTTAAAATAATTTTTTCTAGACTGTATTAATAATTCTCAGTCTTTTTCTTTTCCAATTGAGGATAGTATTAAAAATTCACAGGACACTTTGACTTTTAAATATATGTTTCAGAGGATGGTGTAGAGTAAGAGGCAAATCTTGCACACTGGAAGCATTTTCTTAGATGTCATTTTTGAAGTTTATTGTGTGATATTACACTTTCACTGCCCCCGCTCCCCCAACTTTTTAAAACAATTTTCTTGGGTGGAATATGGAGAGCCTGAGATCCATCTTTACTTTCTTACTGTAATTAAAACTGATATTGAACATCAGAGAAAATAAGGAAAGTTTAAATTAAAGTTATGTAATAGGTTAGCTGGCTTGCAATCTTAAAACATGACAGTGTCATGAAAATCAAACATGGCTGAAGAATGGTTCTGAATTAATGGGTACTAAAGAGACATCATACGTTTAGAAAATGTGCAGTTCTTGTTTGAGCCTAGATTTTAGAAAATGAAGCTATAAGGAATATTACTTGAGTAATCAGGGATATTTTAGTTTAGACTATGTGTTAGGTAGTAGTATTATATTTGTGTTAAATTTCCTGAAGTGATGCATAGAATTTTACAATGGAGGAGAATGCCCTTATTCTTAGGAGATGCATGCTGAAGTATTTAGGGGTTAATTGCCCCAAGAATTGCAAGTAAGTATATATCTGATATGGCATGATACAGTAATATATTTTTAAACTCTGAGATTATAAGAGACATGGAGTTTGGAGGAAAAAACTCAAACAATAACAGCCACCTAGATTCAAATTACATATGTAGCACTTAGTGTTCTGAAAGGTGAAATGATGTTTTAACTGAGAAGCAAGAAGAATAATAACTACCTCTTGAGTTGTGAGACTACGTGAAAACTGTATGTGAATTTAGTTTGTAAAAGACGAAGTGTTATGCAATGGTAGCTCTTTGCCCTCTTCCTTCTTTTGCTTCCTTATCATCGTCATCATCAACATCATCATCGTCATCATCAACATCATCATCATCATCATCACTTGCAATTTGCTTTCATTAAGCTTAGGTAAGGTGAAGTCAGTCAAGAATCTGGGGCAGAAGAAATGGTATGAATAAATATGAGAGTGTTTGTGTGTCTTCTGAATGTGTTAGACTGCAGAAATAATATTTAAATTACTCACAATATCATATTATGTGAATCATGCTAAATTCCATTTTCTTCAGCTAATGTTGATTAATAATTATATATATGTGTAGTGAGTAATAATGAAGACGACAAAAATACCCATGATGATTGTCCCTGATATTTAATGAGATTAGGAAACACTGGCAATTTTTCCCACTGTATAAGAAGAGATTGTCTTGATAATAAATGAAATAAGCCATGCTTGTAGAATGAGAGGCAAAGCAGAATTTTAAAAAAAAAGATCTCAATATCACTTCTAAAGCTCTTTTCAAAAATTTTTAAGAGGTCAACATGTTCTTTATGAAAAACAGTCACTACCTACAAAAATATAAAGTCTAATCTGATGACGATCAACATGACATTTTCAAAGGAAACTAGAAGATTGTAGTTTGTTATTGGGTAGGATGACAGATGGGCTGCAGAATGAGCAATGGGTAATTCTGTGTTACAATGTCAGCTCAAGTCAAGTGTGGCTCTATAATATCATTTCTAAATTGTAAATGAATAATTCTTGTAGCTTCACAACTGATCTGATTGACAAAGTGGGGAGTACATCAGTGAAACTCTCAGATAATGAAGACTTATGAGAATTTATGCATCCCAGAGAGAAAATTATTAAAACAATGAATAAATGGAAGACTAGGAGCCGGGCCCCCTGTCATCTGGTCTCCTTTCTCTTCTCTGCAGCCTTGTGTGGGCAGGAGGAACAAGGGACATGCAGGCAGAAGCCCATGCTTTCAGACAGCTCACATAGCACTACCTATCTCTTGATAATTTAAGAAGGCTTATTTTCTATCCATCTTTAAAGAACTATATATTTCCTTATGATATTCTTTATTTTAGTTCAGCAACGTTGATGCTGGATAATAAACAGGAGAGTATAGATACAAGTTGAACTACTATTTTAGGGTAAGAAAGACAAATGTGTAAGAAATAAATGCAAGATGATGGGATACATGCAATATGGTGATGGAAAGCACTTAGACAGGAAAGGGTAGAGGATTAACTGTTTTATCAGGTGGAGCCAGAGGTAAGGAAAGGAATCACAGATTAGGAACTATCTAAGTTTAAAAGAATAAAATAAGTTTATTCAGCAGACTTGGTGGTGATGGTGACAAGGCTTTCTAGACAAAGGAACTACACACACATAGGTGAAGAGTTGCCCACTGTGTGTCCAAATAAGGAGCCCACGCTGGCTCCTAGTTATCATATTTGAAGGAAAGAGACAAGTAGTGAGGCTGGAGCAGAATGTTAGAGGCGGAATACAGAAATAATGCCTTGAGATAGGAAAGAAGTATAATTTATGTATACATAGGTAATAGCATATTAAATATTAATACCGAAAACAACACTGACGAAGTTGAAAAAGTTGATTACAATGTTACATAATAAGTGCTTTGAGATTATCTGAATATCAGGCAATCAAGATTTCCTTCAGATTATTTAATAGACTAATCTCATCCTATGTGTTTTCTTTTTTGAACTACTCTTTATTGTTCCATGCTATCTTTGGTCCTTCTATTACTTTCAATAATCTCCACAACTTAGACTACAATGTGAAGACTCCAGGAAAAAAAAAAACAAAAGGAGAAGGGAGTCTGTAAATATAGGCAATCTATTGACATATATCGTCAAATGATTTTGTATATAATTTATACCCAAATCATGTTTTGGGCTTCAAAAAAGAAATGTAATGGTATTTATTGAAAAACATGATATTCTCTAAAGGGCAAGTTAGAAACCTCTGTAGTTGAGCAGCTTTCTGAAGAAACTCGCTGACTAATCTACTAGCAAATTCTAACTCAATAAAACCCCACAATAACTATGCACATTTTTCCTAGGACAAAACTGATTCTACAGAGAATTAGAAACTATTTTCTGGGAAAAGCCATAGCATAGAATTAATAGGAGTTGGCCAGTTGCGGTGGCTCAAGCCTGTAATCCCAGAACTTTGGGAGGCCAAGGTGGGTGGATCACCTGAGGTCAGGAGTTCGAGACCTGCCTGGTCAACGTGGTGAAAACCGCCTCTACTAAAAATACAAAAATTAGCTGGCCATGATGGCAGGCACCTGTAATCCCAGCTACTCGGGAGGCTGAGGCAGGAGAATTGCTTGTAGCCAGGAGGCAGAGGCTGCAGTGAGTAGAGATTGCACCACCGCACTTCAGCCTGGGTGACAGAGCCAGACTCCATCTCAAAAAAAAAAAAAAAAAAAAAAAAAAAAACAACTAATAGGCATTTCTGCTTTCTTCCTTTCATGGGAAAAAAATTAGTTATGACAAGGAATTTTGAAATTGAATATAGCCACAGTTGGTATAGTGATGTTCCTAATTTTTCCTAATTTTCCTAAGACAAATAACTCTGCCATTCTTATGTTGTAAGAAGGAGATATGTCCATACTTACTACAATCAATTGAAAGCAGACATCACTGGCTTGTCCACAAAGCTTGAATTCCCTCTCTACCCTCCAAATTAAAAATGTAGAGTGAAATATGTCTTTCTTATTCTCCCATGGTCTGGCCAGCCCCAAGACTTGATACTCTGGGATGAGCCCCCTACTGATACTTTAGCTTCTGCTGCAGAAGCTGGAAGTCTGGAGCTGACACTCATTCCAAATGTCCAGCCTTGCTGTTACTGGCCCATCTCTATTCTCTTCTGTGCCTTACTTGTCACCATTGCTATTGCTGTTGGCTCTGACCTCCACATTTCCACAAGGCAGGAAGGTAATTCACAGTAAGAGGCAGACACTCCAGCCTGTTATGCTATGACCAGCTCCAGCCTGACTGAGCCCTGGTGGCACGGCACATCGAATGAACCCAATTAGCCAGTTCTTTATTACCTGTCACCTGTGGCTGGTTTGGAAGGAGTTCTCCTGTCAGTTCCTTTAGAATATAGGAAATCAAAGCACTCTGCCTTACTAGGTTTGGTCCTGATTACAAATGTCACCTGTCTAGTTTCTCCACACATGAATAATCAACCTTCTCATCAGCTTCCCGTTGTCATAAATGACATTCTGGCCTTAGCGGAGCCAACTCAGTCTATTATTTCCTCCCTCCTTTTCTCCTGCTCCTCCTCCATCTCCCCTTCCTTTTCCTCCTCTTTTCCTTTTTTTCTTTTCAATGTCTTTCAATACAAACTTTCTGGTGGGAGAGGCAAAGGAGAAAGAAATAAGAGATTTCTTTTTTGAATAGCAAGCTTCTTCACCCCATGCAAATGTATAATTTTTCTTTATCCAGTAAGTTCCAAAGCATAAATGCAAACGCAAGCCTATTACAGCTAAAACATACTGGATGCAGAAAGGTATATGTGTGGGTAAAGAGCAGTGTCCAAACATGTTAAAATATTTTAGGCAATTGTAATTATTTATTTGGGTTTCAAGTTATATAAAGAGGAATATACACTTCAACTTCAGAGCACATTTCTCTAACATCCTTTCGAAAAAAATCTTATATTTTCAACTCCACATTTTCTGAAGTCTTTTTGTTGCCATCAGACACTTCCATTCCCCTCACCCAATCTGCAAACATCTCCTGTCTCCCCATAGCCTGGGAATTTTGCCCCTTCTCTTTTACCCTTTTTGGCCAGAATACATTCTCTCCATTTTCTTTCTTTCTCTTTCATATTATTAGGTGGTTCGGCAACCTCTGGTTCCAATTTTTTTCCCACCTATCTGGTCCTTTTGCTGCCCATTATTTGATTATTTGCTAAAAAGATCTTTAAATTCTGGCCCTGCCAAGGCCTGAACCTATTTCCTAGGTTTCTGACTCAGTCTACTCTACTCATCTGTAAAATATGAATATAGTAACAGACACACAGGGTGAACACTAAATGAATTAACACACACAAATCATTTAGAGCAATGCACAACACATAACCATAACCAAATCATTGTCATCCTTCTTTTTAGGAAATGCATTAGTCAAGGTTCTCTTAGAGGGACAGAAGTAATAGCATATGTGGTGTGTGTGTGTGTATATATAAGTTTATTAAGTATTAACTTACATGATCACAAGGTCCCACAATAAGCTATCTGCAAGCTGAGGAGCAAGGAGGGCCAGTCTGAGTCCAAAAACTGAAGAACGTGGAATTCGATGTTCCAGGGCAGGAAGCATCCAGCACGGGAGAAAGATGTAGGCTGGCAGACTAGGCCTGTCTCATCACTTCACATTTTTCTGCCTGCTTTATATTCATTGGTGGCTGATTAGATAGTGCTCACCTGATTAAGGTCTGCCTTCCTCAGCCCACTGACTCAAATGTTAATCTCCTTTGGCAACACCTTCACAGACACACCCAGAATCAACACTTTGTATCCTTCAATCCAATCAAGTTGACACTCAGTATTAACCATCACAAGTCTACCCCTTGTAAGCTTGAACCCATACATATCTCCTGAGATCATACATAATCTTCAAATAAAGACAATAATAAGGTCATAACTACACCTAACATAATACAACTATCCTTCATACAATCGGAAACTCACCAATCCCCAAATCAAATACTATTACATAAAGTTATTAAGTACTTAAAGGCAGATGTGAAGTCAATAAATCTTATTTCATAAGATAAAGGGAAACAAAATTAAGATATTTTCTTAGTACAAGTATATACATGCACAAACATGTTTTTAACAAAAGAAGGAAGAAATAATCATGACAATTACAGTCCTCATTTCTGCAGCTGGTCACGTGGTCATAGCTGGTATTGATGGCTACCTTCTTCTACTACTCATTCTGTATTCCTTTGCCATCAGCAAGCACCTCAGCAGGTCATTCTTTTTTCCTGGTAGAGTGAACCAAACCTTCATTCCTGAAGGGTCTGGGTCATTTGTAGTCCTGCCTGGATTGGGCTGTTGCAGTTTCCCATTGACCTTAATCACAGGGCATGGTAATACTAATAGATGCCCTAATGGATCTCCTGTATTCCATGTGCACTCTTCCTTACCTCCATTGTGGAATAGTAGACTGATTTCATCTTGATAGTTTGAGTCAATCGCCCCAGCCCACACTGTAACTCCTTCATTAGCCTGTTGACTTAATGGTAAGAGGATCCCAAAGTGTCCAGGTGGCAATCTTTACTTCCAGTTTAATTGAATCATTGTTGTGTCTCCTGGTGGCAGCATTCCTCCCTCTGGAACTAAGACCTCTAGGCCAGCAGAACATAATGTCATGGGAACAGGAAGCAAAACTTTTGCTCGTGGATCACTAGAGGTGATGGTGAGTGGTACCACTTCCACTTCCTCCCCTTGATTCCTGTACCCGTGAATCCTGGCTATTGGAGAAATAGTACCATATATTGGATACTGATTCAGAGCATATGTGGCTTTCTGGAGAACACTGCCCCAGCCCTGTAAAGTATTGTCACCTAGTTGGCATTGTCATTGTGACTTAAAAGGCCATTCCACAATTCTATCAATCCAGCTGCTTCAGAATGATGGGGAACATGGTAAGACCAGTGAATTCCATGAGCATGAGCCCACTGCCACACTTCTTTAGCTGTAAAGTAGTGCTTTGGTCAGAGGCAATGCTGTGTGGAATACCATGACGGTGGACAAGGCATTTCATGAGTCCCCGGATGGTAGTCTTAGCAGAAGCATTGCTTGTGAGATAGGAAAACCCTTATCTGGAGTGTCTATTCCAGTGAGGACAAACCTCTGCCCTTTCCATGATGGAAGAGGTGCAATATAATCAACCTGCCACCAGGTAACTGGCTGATCACTCCGAGGAATGGTGCCATATTGAGGGCTCAGTGTTGGTCTCTGCCACTGGCAAACTGAGCACTCAGCAGTGGCCATAGCCAGGTCAGCCTTGGTGAGGGGAAGTCCATGTTGCTGAGCCCATGAGTAACGTCCATCCCTGTCACCATGGCCACTTTGTTCATGGGCCCATTGGGCGATGACAGGATGGTTGGGGAAAGAGGCTGAGTGGTGTCCACAGAACGGGTCATCCTATCCACTTGATTATTAAACTCCTCCTCTCCTGAGGTCACCCGTTGGTGAGCACTCACATGGGATACAAATAGCTTCAGTTTTTGACCACTCAGAGAGGAGCATCCACATACTTCTTCCCCAAATTTTTTTGTTGCCAGTTTTCCAGTCATGCTTCTTCCAAGTCCCTGACCATCCAGCCAAACCACTGGCTGCAGCCCATGAATCAGTACCTAATCGCACATCTGACCATTTCTCCTTCCAGGCAAAGTGCACAACCAGGTGCGCTGCTCAGAGTTCTGCCCACTGGGAAGATTTCCCTTCACTGCTGTCCTTCAGGGATGTCCTGGAAAGGGGCTATAGTGCTGCAGCTATTCACTTTCAGTTAGTGCCAGCATATCATGCAGCACCATCTGTGAACCAGGCCTTAGTCTTCTCTTTCTCTGTCAACTGATCATAGGGACCCCCACCCCCATGAGGCCATTGGTGTAGGCTGGGTGAGGGAAGGCAGGGTGGCAGGCATGGAGACCATGGACATTTGAACCACTTCTTATTTGTGCCTTCCAGGACCTGCTTGAGCCCGATCACATATACACCACTTACATTCAATAATGGAATGCTGCAGTGCATGACCCACTTTATGGGCAGATGGGTCAGAAAGCACCCATTTCATGATAGGCACTTCAGGCCACATGATGACTTGATGACCCATAGTCAAGCATTCAGCTTCCACCAAATCCCAGTAACAGGCCAAGAGCTGTCTCTAAAAAGGAGAGTAGTTATCTGCAGAAGATGGCAGGGACTTGTTCCAAAATCCTAGAGGCCTCCACTGTGATTCACCTATGGGACGTGGGAGCCAGCTAAAGGCTCCAAAGAGCATCCCTATCTGCCACTGACACCTCAAGCACCATTGGATCTGCTGGGTCATGTGACCCAAGTGGCAGAGCAGCTTGCACAGAAGCCTGGACCTGTTGCAGAGCCTTCTGTTCTGGAACCCACTCAAAATTGGCAACCTTTTGGGTCACTCAAAAAATGGGCCAGAGTAACACACCCAAATTTGGAATGTGTTGCCTCCAAAATCCAAATAGGCCCACTAGGTGTTGTGCTCCTTTCTTGGTTGTAGGAAGGGACAAATACATCAACTTATCCTTCACCTAAGAACGAATATCTCGACAGGCCCCACACCACTGGACCCCTGGAAATTTTAGTGAGGTAGAAGGTCCCTGGATTTTAGTGGTATTTATTTCCCATGCTCTGGCACGCAAATGTCTCACCAATAAATCCAGTGTGTTTTCTACTTCTTGCTCACTGGATTCAATTAGCATAATGTCATCAATATAATGGACCAGTGTGATATCTTGCAGCAGCGAAAAGCAATCAATGTCCCTCTGATAAGATTATGACACAAAGCCGGAAAGCTGATATATCTCTGAGGTATGACAGTAAAGGTATATTGCTGGCCTTGCCCGCTGAAGGCAAATTGCTTCTGGCAGGCCTTGTGGACAGGAATGGAGAAAAAGGCATTTGCCAAGTCAATGGCTGCACACCAGGTAACAGTTGCTCATGTAATGAAACTACCTCTTGTACAGTGGCTGCAATTGAAGTCACCACTTGGTTAAGCTTATGATAATCCACTGCCATTCTCCAAGATCCATCTGTCTTCTGCACAGGCCAAATGGGAGAGTTGAATGGGGATGGAAACTGTCTGGTGGAGTTGGGCACCCCTTCTCAAGGCAGGAGACAGGCAATAGGGTCAGGAATTATAGTGTTTTCCTTGACAATCTAAGAGCAGGGGTAAATCTGAATGTTTTTATTTTAATATTTGCTGAGAAAGGCGAGAGCTTGGCTGTATTCAAAAGCAATTAAATCCCAGGTACCTGCTCAGGTTAAGGTTCAGCTATGTGTATTTTGAAATCATACGGGCTTCAATAATTTTTATAGGTATTATGACCACAAGCTCAAACTATATGAGTATGTTATTTAGCGATGAAAGTTCACTGAGGCACTGTTGTTAATTGGCAAAATTAAGTAGTTATAATATATGAATAAAAAGAAACAGGAATATTGAGATTTCATTTTGTTTTTCTTAATGCAAAAATTAGTTTATACACTGGAAAAATCAGAAAGCATTATTGCACACTAAAGTTGGAATCATAAGAAATGTTTCATTCATACCTTATGATGTATCAGAAAAATAGGAAAATATTGATGCTTTTAAAAAAGGAAAAACATAAAATATTCTTTATAACTATATTGTGTATATAACAAACCATTTGAATTTACAATATTTTAAGCTATTAGTAGAAATGACAGAAAAATGAAATATGGAAATCTCAGTTGACATTTATGTACGTTTTTCAGGAGTACCTTTATAATATTTTAGTAATATTATGTATAACAGGTTGTATAAAATCTACGTGTATTGTCATTGTTTTAATTTTATTTTGCTTTCAATTCTTTTAGGACTGAGGTTTTAAAAAATATGACCTTAGAAGATTGAGAAAAAGTACCTTATTTAGATTTTAGACGGAGAAAAAACCATGAATAGTGATTCAAGCTGTAAATAATTTTCTGCTACTATGAAATATTTAATACAAAACAAAATTAATACAAATTTTAATTTAATGTAATTTAAATTAATACGAAAATATTTGTGTAAGCTATTTTAATACCTAATGCAAAATAGAATGAATACATACTTTTAATTCAATTTGTTTCTAATTATGAAGATAAAATAAAGAAAATTATTTACCTAGACTCCTTTGAAATACCTATAGTCAAGTGTCATCGATTGATCAAAATATGGCAATTAATCCTCTCCATTTTGACATCTTCTGTACCTTGTTTTAATCTAACTCATAGCATTTGTAAAGTGGCATTTGGAGACATAAATATTATTTAGAATAATAGACTATCAAATAGTTCTTTGGTCGAGTTACCTAAATTAAGCTAAGCTCACTTGAATAATGATTTTTAAATTTTTTTAATTTTTAATTGACAAATAATAATTATATATACTTATGGGGTACAATGTGATGTTTTGATATTCATTGTGGAATGATTAAATCAGGCTGCTTAACATATCCATCACCTCACATGCTTATCATTTATTTGTGGTAAGAACATTAGAATCCACTCTTTTAGCAATTTTTAAATATACAATACATCGTTATTAACTGCAGTCACCTTGCTGTATAATAGATCACCAGAGCTTATTCCTCCTAATTGAGACTGTACTCTTTGACAAATATTTCATCCTCCCCCTATCACTGCCAGCTGCACTCTCAGCCTCTGGTAAACCATCTACTCTCTAGTTCTATGAGTTTGAGTTTTTTAGATTCCACATGTAAGTGAGATAATGGAATATTTTTGTTTCTGTGCCTGACTTATTTCACTTAAGCATGATAACCTTTAGATTCATCCATGTTATCGCAAATGACAGTATGTCATTATTTTTTAAGGCTGAATAGTGTGCTATTGTGGATATGTACCAGGTGTTCTTTATCCATTTATCTATGGATAGGCCCTGAAGTTGTTTCCATATCTTGACTATTATGAATAATACTGCCATGAACATGGAAATGCAGACATCCTTGACATACAAATTTTATTTCCTTTGGATATATACCCAAAAGTGGGACTACTGGATCATATGATAGTTTTTTTTTTTTTTAGTTTCTTGAGGAACTTCCATACTATTTTCCAAAATGGCTATACTAATTTACATTCCCATCAACAGTGTGTAAGGATTATCTTTTCTCTACACCCTCCCCAGCACTTATCTTTTATCTTTTTGATAATAGCCATCCTAACAGGTGTGAAGTTCTATCTCATTGTGGTTTTAATTTGCATATTGTGATGATTAGTGATGGTGAGCAATTTTCATATATCTATCTGTTGCCAATTTGCATGTCTTCTTTTGAGAAATATCTTGAATAATTATTTTTAAATACATCCTAAACAATTTCTCACTGTCATAATTAGAATAATTAGAATAAATTTACCTTCTAAATCGTCTGAACCTTCTAAGGAGAGAAAAACAATGAACTGTGAGTTTCAAAGAAAAGGAGATGAATTTAATGGGATGGATGAGAACACATAAATTATTTGAGATAAATAATATAGAGTAATTCCAGTCACCATGAGTAACACTAAACCATCATCCTTCATAATAATACAGTTAATGTGTCTGATATTTATTATTTGTTTCTGCATTAGTCAGCTACTATTATAAATCATTTGGGAATAAATAAGTGGACAAGAGTGAAATGTGAAATGAAATGCAATTTATTATTATTATTTTTTTTTTGAGATGGAGTCTCGCTCTTGTCACCCAGGCTGGAGTGCAGTGGTGCAATCTTGGCTCACTGCAACTTCTGTCTCCTGGGTTCAAGCTGTTCTCCTGCCTCAGCCTCCTAAGTAGCTGGGATTACAGAGACCCCACCACCATGCCCGGCTAATTTTTGTACTTTTAGTAGAGATGGGGTTTCGCCATGTTGGCCAGGCTGGTCTGGAACACCTGACCTCAGGTGATCCGCTCGCCTCAGCCTCCCAAAGTGCTGGGATTACAGGTGTGAGCCACCGCACCTGGCTGAAATGCAAATTTTAACAGTTCTACAACTTATCTTATTTTAAATTCCTGGTTCACTTTTGTAAAGAGATTTTTATCTGTTCTAAGACATTCATTGTCCTCTTTTGACTCCTGAAAAGTTATAGCTCAGAAAGAATTATTTTACAATTCAGAGTGTTTTTAACACTCCAGCGAAAGCACAAGGCTGTAGACAGTCTAAAGACATTTAGCCATCTGGAGGGGAAAGAGAACCGTTATTTCTTTTTAGGTAACTGCTTTGAAAATTGAACCTCACTTAATGCTTCTCAATGTTAATGAGTAAGCAAAAACCTCTGGGACCATCTTACAAAACTGGCAGTGAGCATAGGGTACAATGGAAGGTTTAGAATGAGTTATAACCAT
This sequence comes from Homo sapiens, assembly GCF_000001405.40. Lineage (NCBI taxonomy): Eukaryota > Metazoa > Chordata > Mammalia > Primates > Hominidae > Homo > Homo sapiens. Next base: position 162,751,092 of record NC_000004.12, on the reverse strand, counting down.
GATATCCAGATAACCTCTAGAATAAAATTGGGGTCTCTAACATATCCTGGCTCATGGACATATATCTAAACTTTTTTTTTTCCTTTGACTAGATAAAACACTCCTTTTCCTTCATGCAGCTAATTTCTACATTTTCATCAAACCTCTTCTCGTTTAAAAGAGAAAAGAACTCTTCTCATTTAAAACTTTTCTTAATGTTTAATCAGATTTAAATGTTATTTAATATGTTCCATACGCCTGTATGCACAGATGTTTCATGGCATTCAACAGTAGTTTCACACTCATTATTTATTTGCTATTTCGGTAAGTTCAGGAACCATATTTCACTTGACCCTGTATGTAGTACACAGTTCTTAGAATATAGTAGGTGCTAAATAAATGGGTCTTTTCCCCTCATGCCTAAAGGATGGATGGAATAATTGATAAATGAATGGAAAGGATTAGGGAACTGTAAGGCTCAAGGTGCCATTCACTAAAATGGGAAATGGAAAAAATACAATTAATTTGGTTTGAGATATGTGTGAGATGCTTGGGACAGATCTAGTTACACATACATATATATTTATCAGGTAGTTACTCATAGAGAATATATATAAAGAGAAGAAAGGAAGATCAAGGGTGCAGACTTGGAAAAAAAAATCACACATTATCTTGAGAAGTCTGAAATGGTAAAAAGTAAACCAAGAAGCCAAGGTAGACAAAGATAAGTAACTTCAGGAGAGGAAATGAGGATTCTATAAAAGATAGTGGCATGTATAAGAACAGATTTTCAAAGTTCCCAAAGTTTCAAAGTTCCTTGATCGTCTTTGGACACTGGTTGAAATGACCAAGAGGAATTAAACGTACATGTTAACTTATTTTGCTGGATCTGGGGCCTGGATTTGAGATTATTTATAGGCATATTTATGTTTCCCCACTCACCAATTTGTTTCTCGTGGATCTATTTGAATTCATAATAGACTGGAGGGAGGAGGGCTGACAACCTGAAGCCTAACTATGCATCCATCAGTCAGACAAATATTTATTCAGGCAGCACCATTGAGTGCCTCCTCTGTTCCAAGCATTGCACTAAGAGCAGGGGATGCTGTGGTTATTATGAAAGACATGATTCCTGCCCTTATGTTATTGGGGAGAAGGCTTGAGAGAATAAACACATAAACAAATTAGTAACATTCCTGGAGCTGTGCACATTTCCTGGGATAACAAAATGGATTCATTCTTTACCTTTGCAATATGGTCTTTACTTAGCTTTTATTACAGCAATGGATGAAGATGGATCTAAGAAGAAAGTTACTAAGATCAAATAAATCGGATCCTGTATCATTTCCTCACACCAAAACTGGAGGGAAGTGCTGACCTCAAAATCCATTCCAACTCAGAAACTCAACGCTGTGGAAAGGGTTTGGTGAAAATGACAGATTGTTTGTGAGTTGAAACACGATACCACCTAACACCTGGGTCCAGGCAGTTTTCTCCATTACGTGGTCATGCGCAATACAGAAGGGAACTCACCTCACAGAGCCATCTCTGCCTCATGGAATTATCAGATGTTAACTATGAAATCAATTTGAATACACTTAGGTCTAGCAAAAATCCCACTACAGAGATGGGTTTTAGGTTTAGAATGCTGGAGGGGTCACAGGTATCTAAGTTTTCTTTTGGCAGTTTAGTGATTGAGGTCACTGAGATTTATAGTGTACATCATATGTGTTTGTGCGTATGTGACAGCAAGTATATAGCTGTGGTGACAGAAAGTCAAAAATACAAAAATCGTGCAGAGACCAGGACCCACAACAGAAAAACACAGTTCTAGCTTCTTGCAACCTCCATCAGGATGCTGAGACTAAATACAAAAATATATGTTCTAACCATCACAATTGTATAGTATGATACTAAGCACAATATTGCCCCAAAATGTGGAAGACACCCATGCAAACTTCCCTCACATGATCTTTTGGGGAAACAGAAGACCAGAGTAATCTTGATTTAAAATTTTCTAACAGGATAAAAAAATTAAATTTACTTATGAAACATCTTGCAATAAAATGAGCATGTAATAGCATATAAAACTAATTAAAAATAAGCATATTTAAAGAAGTAATTTCTCCAAACAATAGAAAATTCTAAAATAATAGAAAAGAGTACCAATTACTTGGTACTCTTCAGAAAATACTTATAAAACCACAATCTCTCTCTCTCTCTCACACACACACACACACACACATATATATATTATACATATAACATGTATAATATATATATAAATAATAGTAACAAGTACAACAAAAGCATAAGCCTACTGAGATAAAAAGATCTTACAAGACCTTAAAAAAAAGACAATGCAATTAGTAAAAACCCAAATGCCTGAGAATTCCAGAATTGAATAAAATGAAGGTGTTAGGTTCTATATAGAACAGGAAAAATAAAAATATACTTAAATAGGAAATGAAAAAATTAAAAGATTCTAGAAAAAGAGATTCTCTACAAAGGAAAAACAGTAAGACCGAAAGGAAAATTTTCATCAGTAGCAATAAATGCCAGAATATCAGAAAGTAATATCTTCAACCCACTTCAACCTTCATTAATTTCAACCTAGTATTCTATTCCAGTAATATCTTAAAAAGTCATTCAAGGTTGATGATGAAATTGTCTTTTCAGACATTAAAGACTAAAACTCACATCCACTGTTTGAAAGAAAAACTTTATCCCCAAAGAAAAATGATGTAGATCTATGAACAGGGAGGGTCAGATAAGTCATAAACTACATTAATGTTTACGTATTGACTATTAAAATAATTTTATTTTAAAGTAGTAATAATGGAAAATCTGCCTAAATTAAAAATTTGGAACATAGAAACATAATTAGAGAAAGCAAGAAAATAAGTCAATAAATATAAAATGAATTCTAAAATATAATGATGTTTTACATTTAATATAATTATTTGAAGAATATTAATAAAATAAATCTCAATATTGTATTTGAGGTATACAGAAAATACCATAGGCATATATTCTTGCTCATAATTTAAAGTAAAAAGAAGTTCATATTGGCTTGAAAAGCCACAGGGGTCAGCTATTTCTTACATCAGAGCAATAAAGTATATTAATGAATTAGAGATAACCATGTATTTGGCAATCTGGAGGTGACTTATTGTTACCTTTGAAATGATATTGTGAATGAAGTGATGGAGTAGATTGCAGTGGCATGAAATGAATGAGATGGCAGTAGGTCCCTCCAAGAGTGAAAGAGTTAAGAGTAGTGAGAGGGAAAGTTTAACTTGTTTAAAACTGATTCCCTACTGGCTTGTCTCCTATAAAAGAGTCACCTTTCTGAAAACCTTCATAAAACCTAGCTACAGCCCAGTGCTTCAGAAAATCAGTCCTAGTCAACTGCAATCTTTGGATCCAAGTCCAAGCACACCACAGATGGAGTGTGGCACTTCCCTAAACATGAACAGAGGCAGGGAAGGTGTTGTCACTGCTTTACTCTGCCATTGGGCTGCACGTGGAAGCCTCACACACTGGCTTGTAGGCCTAATAGTGAAGCTGTTTCAACCAAACAGGAAACGGGAAATTGTAGGATAGGGCTAAATTAAAGACATTTTTCCATTTCATATTGTTATTGTGACCTGTACTCAATTTCACCATGGAAAGAGATAGTGTTCACTTAGTTATGCCCTTTAAAAACTCAATAGTCGGCCGGGCGTGGTGGCTCATGCCTGTAATCCCAGCACTTTGGGAGACCAAGGCAGGCGGATCACGAAGTCAGGAGATCGAGACCATCCTGGCCAACACGGTGAAACTCCGTTTCCACTAAAAAATACAAAAAATTAGCCGGGCATCGTGGTGGGCCCCTGTAGTCCCAGCTACTCAAGAGGCTGAGGCAGGAGAATGGCGGGAACCCAGGAGGCGGAGCTTGCAGTGAGCCGAGATGGCACCACTGCACTCCAGCCTGGGCGACAGAGCGAGACTGTGTCTCAAACAAACAAACAAACAAACAACAACAACAAAAACTCAATAGTCAAGGGTTAGGTTTTCATGCCAGAGTCTAATGTCCAGCTCTGGTTGCCAGTGCAGTGCTGTAGAATGCACGGTACATCCCTATTGCTTCTGTCTCTGATTTCTTCCCAATTAATGTTGTTGCTGCAGGAATTTTATATAAGTATTTAGAGCACATTTCTACGACAATGAAGTAATCAAACCACAGGGAAGAGTTCGGTTCGCTGGTAAGTCTCCTACTCTCAACATTTCTCAGTCCAGAATTCCACCGCCTCCCCTCTCCTCCCCTTCCTGTCCCATTACTCTCTCCTTAAGTTGAGGATTCTTCTATTTCCTCTAAAGTACCCAAATATGAATGAATTTTGACACACGCTTTTAAATATTTAGTTAACATTCAGTTATATATACTGTAAACTTATTTTGTAGAATATCATAGCCATCTTTATTTCTAAAATATTTCAAATTTCTGGCAAAAATGTTTTACTAGAGGTCGTGCCTTTCTTAAAAGGAACATTTACCGTTATATTCCTTTATTTGTTAGAATATCAGGTACAAGTATTTATAACATCTTATTTTATTAAAGAAGAAAAAAGAGAGGGCAAGCACTGTGGCTCATGTTTGTAATTCTAGCACTTCAAGAGCCTGAGATGGGAAGCTCACTTGAGGCCAGGTCAGCAGTTAGAGACCAGCTTGAGCAACATAGGGAGATCTCATTTCCACATTTTTTTTTTTTAATTAGCCAGGTGTGGTGGTGTGTGCCTGTAATCTCAAGTGCCAGGATCGCTTGAGCCCAGGAGTTTGAGGCGGCAGTAAGCTATGATTGTGCCACAGCATTCCAGCCTGAGTGACAGAGTGAGATCCTGTCTCAAAAAAAAAAAAAAAAAAGAGAAAAGGAAAGAAATTAAAACAATTATTAGTACTCAAAATAATACTCAGTCAACAGCAATTTAGTCACTTGTTTTTTTATTCTTGTGTCTGAAATGAATATGAAGCAATATCTTAAGCCTTAGGTTTTTAAAATTCACTTAACTTTACAACCAGACAGAGTCCATACCATTCCTGTCTGACTTTTGGAACGGTTTTGAGGGACTTTTCTAGGCAATGAGGGTAGAGTTATGAAGAAGATGAGGAAATGAGTAGCGAGATAAGATGGGAAATATTAAACTGGTATGAAACAGACTTAAGATCAGAATAAATGAGATAGTTGGAGACAAGAAGAGGAACAGCTGAGAGAACATGTGGTTGCATATCTAAAGTGATACTGGTTACGGAGAAAGCAGATAAAAATTGATCAGCAAATGACAAAATTCAACCTAGCTTCATATCAAGAATTTAGCATACAAGAGAGGCTTGCAGAATCTTGACAGAAAGGGTAGCAAACTTAAGGAAGCTGTTAACTTCAATTGTAGAGTTTGCAGAAGCAAACATGAAAATATTTTAAAAGCTGGTTTTCAAAGATAACAAAACTAGAAAGAATTGAGGAAAACATACTGAGAGGTTCTCAACACATCATAGACACAGGAGTGCAGAGCTGAAAGGAAACCTAGAATTAAAGTATACAACCATGCATTTATTTTTATTTTATTATTATTATTATTGTTATTATTATTATTATTATTATTTTGAGATGGAGTCTCGTTCTGTCACCCAGGCTGGAGTGCAGTGGCGCGATCTCAGCTCACTGCAACCTCTGCCTCCCGGGTTCAAGCGATTCTTCTGCCTCAACCTCCTGAGCAGCTGGGATTACAAGTGCGCACCACCACACCCAGCTAATTTTTGTATTTTTAGTAAAGACGGGGTTTCACCATGTTGGTTAGGCTGGTCTGGAACTCCTGACCTGTGATCCACCTGCCTCGGACTCCCAAAGTGCTGGGATTAGAGGCGTGAGCCAACGCACCTGGCCCCATGCATTTCTTTATTAGACATTCATGTATGATCTTCAACAGGCCATGCTTAATTTATTTATGTACTTTGGATAGTTGACTTAAATTAATCTTGTACTTTGTACTTTGGCTAGCTGACTCAAAGAATTGATGATATCCTTTGGGAGACAATTTATAAACAGCTAGTTTCATACAGTTGGAAAGATTAACCAATTGAAGAATATACAATAAACACAGAGGAAGAGGTGGCTTGTGAAGGGGTGGTAAATACATTGAAGGGGGTTATTAAAGAAAACAATAGTTTACATTTTGCTTGAAAATTATTTATTATTTGGTAAAAGCCAGTATGATATGAGAAGACAAATGGTTAAATGTTCTTACTCTGAAGATAAATTACCTGTATCTGAATTCTAGCAACAACATTGATGAGCTCTGTGACTTTGAGTAAATGACAAGGTATCTCTATGCCTCAGTTTCCTCAAATGGAATAACAACAGTGCCTACTTATAGGATTGTTTTGAAGATGAAATATTGTTAGTGACCTACAGTAACATATGATGCCTTCAACATAGCATTGTATAATTATAAATGCTTATTATTATATTAGCTATAAAATAGACCACATGCTGTATATAATTTCTTTTATAGCAGAATTATTACTCATAAAATAGTGCTCTCACTCTGTCTCTATTACACACACATACTACTATAATCCATCAGGGGTTGCCAGATCCATCTAAATAGGAACTAGCTTTAGCTTTCTTGGAAGTTTGAAAGGAATACCATAATAATTTTATTGACAGTAATTTTACAAAGATTAAGAGGTTTGTTTTGGCTTCTTTGCTTATTGAATTATCATTCAATCAGACAGACCAGGGACAACATTTGCCTTAGTATAATAATATATGTTATCCTTCCATACTCTTGTGTTTAATAATATGTTATCCTTCCATACTTGTGTTTAATTCTATATCAAACCATTAACTCTATCTTTAAGCTTATATTCTAAAAAAAATGCAAATTTAAATTTTCAGGAATTGTATCATCCATTCATTTCCCTCATTCAATTACCTGAAATTAAGTTCGTTTGTTTTCTGTTAATACATGGTATTTTGTCAACATAGCACTTAAAAATATGTTTGGACGATATGACTAAAATCTTGTATAGCATCGTGTTGAATAATTAGAGTTTTCTTTTTCATTTCTTTTTTCTTTTTTTTTTTTTTTTGAGATGGAGTCTTGCACTGTTGCCCAGGCTGGAGTGCAATGGTGTGATCTCGGCTCATTGCAACCTCTGCCTCCCGGGTTCAAGTGATTCTCCTGCCTCAGCCTCCCACTGAGTAGCTGGGATTACAGGCACCCGCCACCATGCCCAGCTAGTTTTTGTATTTCTGGTAGAGATGGGGTTTCACTATGTTTGCCAGGCTGGTCTTGAACTCCTGACCTTGTGATCTGTCTACCTTGGTCTCCCAAAGTGCTGGGATTACAGGCATGAGCCACTGTGCCCAGCTATTTTTCTCTCTCTTAAGAGCAGTTCAGATATTGATGACTGAGGGTTATTACAGCAGTTCCAGTGGCCATCAAGATTTCAGGCTCTTTCTGTTTTGCCATCCTAGCTCAGCATGTTTCTTCCATTGCCAGTATGAACTCATTAGTGCAAACCATCGTGCAAGTTCGCACCATCATGTCCGCTCTCAGAAGGAGAAAAGGAAAAGGGCAAAAGGATTTACTTATAAAACTGAGCTCCCTTAAAGAGCTTTTATGAAAATACCACCAAACTCTTCCTATTCATATTATATTAGCTACCTCTCTTTCAAAGTATGCCAGAAAATGTAGTTTTTGCTAGGATTATTCATGGCTTTAATACAGAAGTTGTGTGTAAAAGATACGGAGTGAAGGGTTGTTTTCTGTGCAACTAGCCACTATCAACAGAAGTTTACTATTGTGATTCACTTTTAAAAGAGTGATATGAGTTTGACTTCAAGTATATTATTTAAGAGGTGACAGATAAACTAAAATACTGATCTAAGTATATTGAGATAAGAAAGGGTTGAGAAAATGGTTACAATAGAAATCAACAAACTTTTCCTATGACAAGTGAATAAGCCAACTACTGACAAGTCAATTCTGACAACTGACAAGAAATCAATTTGAAATATTTAAAACTGGAAAGTCATGACATAGAAATATAAGCAAATTACTAATTATATTAAAAGTGCTAAAAAATAATTAAAAGCATAAATAGTTAAACAAAGGAAGCATAGCTCTCTGGGGAGGAAGACTAGGCGTTGAGAAAGGTGAGACAGGAGATGTTGTTTTTCTTTATAAACTTAATTTTATAGGTACTACTTATAGTATAGTATTTTATAGTGTATTCTTTTTGTTTGTTGATATTTTGTTTTTAAGTTTTAGATTTTTTTTACTGTGTTCAGACATTACTTTGCTCAACTTTATTTTGTAAATCCACAGAATTTACCAAGATTTTTGTCTCAAAGCACATGCAGTTTACATTTCTCAGATATTCACTGAAGGTATTCTATTAGGTTGGTGCAAAAGTAATTGTGGTTTTTACATTACTTTTAATTGCAAAAACCGCAATTACTTTTGCACCAACCTAATATTAGAATGAGCAAGGGAATATAACGTTCATTAAGTATTTTTCTATTATGAAGGAGAATAAAATCTAAGGGGGAAGCTAAGATATGCATACAAATGTCTATATATAATGCAAAGCAAAAATAAAAAACATGCTCCAAAAATTACAATAGAAATTTAGGAGAGGAAGAAATTCTTCATATTGAATATATCACAGAAGACAGAAGGATTTATTTTTCTACAATAAAAATTATGCAACTTCTTTTGTTTTTATTGTCTTTACACGCTTGCTAGATTACGATCAGAAATTTGGGCAGTGATTTTACAAATGCAAATTCAAATTAGAATGGAAGTTTGAGAAGCAATAGAAACAAAACCACCCAGAGCCAAGTGATTTGGCCATAAAGAAGGAGCCAGCTACAAAGAATGAGGATGAACTCGGAAGAGATCACTGTGTTTGGAAATAGCCGGATTACCATCAGAATAATTTATACAAATAAGAATGCCTAGGCAAGCAAGCTTTGCTGACATCAATGACCCATGGAAGCATCAGTGTACTCCAATATTAGAAAATAGCCATTGTTAATGAAAAACATTCTTAGCAAATACAAAAAAGACTTTTTCAATAAGCTTTGTTTACTAAAAACAGAAATAGGTATCTTTAACATCCTTTCTTACTTCCTAATGTGTGAAAATAACAGATATATACTTTTTTAATTTAGAAAGACTAAATAAAACATATGCCAATGAAATGCAATGCTACCTCTAAAGACACCAGCCAGTAAATGAGAGAAGTTAGAAACAGTTTGCAATCACCACCGTATCAGTCCACTTACTGTAGCTTTGTTGTATTACTTCATAATCAGAGGGAAATCAGAGATGATGGGTCTTCTCAAACTGGTCTCCATCATCACATCTCAAGCTGCTTGGGGTACCTTCATCTGGATCTACAAATAAAAGTGAATGGAATGTTTTCTTTTCTTTTTTCTTGTTTTGTTTCCGTTTGTCTTCTGATACAAGCAGGGATAAATTTTCCTCATGAACACATACCACTTTTATGTTTAACTGAAGTAGAGAATATGGTTTTAAAAATAGCCGGCAGTTCCCCACAGGCATACTTCTTTCAATTCTGTGGTGATTAAATCAATTGTTACTTAGTATACTCTGAAAGGAAATAGTTCAGGAAGTGAGCTTTATGCAAATAATTGATAGTGCTCCTTAAGGAAACTACTAAATAAATTGCTCTATAAAATGATACACAGTCTCTATGAACCTGAGTGTGAAATCAGAGAACAGTTTCCATTGTATTTGTAATTTCTGTGCTGGGCTTCAATTTCAACAGTCCTCACTAATGGACTTAGTAATTTTGTGTGTGACAAATGGTCTTACCCCCACAGATTACATAGAAAATAAAAGAAGTCGTCTCTCTACCATACATCCCTCTATGTATGTTACAGAAAATGACAACTCAGATTTTTGGCTCAATGGACAGGACCCTTTTGCTTTTGAGGGAGGGATGTCTGAGAGCAAACTTCTCATTCTCAGGTGGTCAGAGAGAAGTACCCCCTGCAAGATTCTATGTGAAAGCTGTGTGTAAACTGTCCCCTTTTATTATGGTTTGCTCAAGGTATTACGTCCAAACTGGAATAAACCTGATGTATAATCTGACACCTAGACACCTGATTTATTCATTCCCTCACCGAGGTAGCGTGTCCAGAATTGGTGGGTTCTTGGTCTCACTGACTTCAAGAATGAAGCTGCGGACCCTCGCGGTGAGTGTTACAGCTCTTAAGGTGGCGCATCTGGAGTTTTCTCCTTCTGATGTTCGGATGTGTTTGGAGTTTCTTCCTTCTGGTGGGTTCGTGGTCTCGCTGGCTCAGGAATGAAGCCGTGGACCTTCGCGGTGAGGGTTACAGCTCTTAAGGTGGCGCGTCTGGAGTTGTTCGTTCCTTCCGGTGGGCTCGTGGTCTCACTGGCTTCAGGAGTGAAGCTGCAGACCTTCGCGGTGAGTGTTACAGCTCATAAAAGCAGCGTGGACCCAAAGAGTGAGCAGTAGCAAGATTTATTGCAAAAAGCGAAAGAACAAAGCTCGCACAGCGTGGAAGGGGACCCAAGCGGGTTGCCACTGCTGGTTCGGGCAGCCTGCCTTTATTCTCTTATCTGGCCCCACCCACATCTGCTGATTGGTAGAGCCAAGTGGCCTGTTTTGACAAGTTGCTGATTGGTGCGTTTACAGTCCCTGAGCTAGATACAAAGGTTCTCCACGTCCCCATCAGATTAGTTAGATACATAGTATGGACACACAGGTTCTCCAAGGCCGCACCAGAGCAGCTAGATACAGAGTGTAGATTGGTGCACTCACAAACCCTGAGCTAGACACAGGGTGCTGACTGGCGTGTTTACAAACCTTGAGCTAGATAGAGAGTGCCGATTGGTGTATTTACAATCCCTGAGCTTGACATAAAGGTTCTCTAAGGCCCCACCAGAGCAGCTAGATACAGAGTGTTGATTGGTGCACTCACAAACCCTGAGCTAGACACAGGGTGCTGATTGGTGTGTTTACAATCCCTTTATGGAGACATAAAGGTTCTCCACCTCCCCACCAGACTCAGGAGCCCAGCTGGCTTCACCCAGTGGATCCCACACCAGGGCTGCAGGTGGAGCTGCCTGCCAGTCCCGCGCCGTGTGCTTGCACTCCTCAGCCCTTGGGTGGTCGATCCGACTGGGCGCCGTGGAGCAGGGGGTGGCACTCGTCGAGGAGGCTCCGGCAGCACAGGAGCCCATGGAAGGAGTGGGAGGCTCAGGCATGGCGGCCTGCAGGTCCCGAGCCCTGCCCCGCGGGAAGGCAGCTAAGGCCCGGTGAGAAATCGAGCGCAGCGCCGGTGGGCTGGCACTGCTGGGGTACCCAGTACACCCTCCGCAGCCGCTGGCCCGGGTGCTAAGTTACTCATTGCCCGGGGCCGGTAGGGCCGGCCGGCTGCTCCGAGTGCGGGGCCCGCTAAGCCCCCGCCCGCCCGGAACTCCAGCTGGCCCGCAAGCGCCGCGCGCAGCCCCGGTTCCCGCTTGCGCCTCTCCCTCCACACCTCCCTGCAAGCTGAGGGAGCCGGCTCTGGCCTTGGCCTGCCCAGAAAGGGGCTCCCACAGTGCAGCGGTGGGCTGAAGGGCTCCTCAAGTGCCGCCAAAGTGGGAGCATAGGCAGAGGAGGCGCGGAGAGTGAGCCAGGGCTGTGAGGACTGCCGGCACGCTGTCACCTCTCAGTAGCAATCTGACTTTCCTCAGTCATTTTTGGGTTATTCCAACTCTCCTTTATATTCTTTGAGCCCCTGCTTAGACAAATGAAGTATTGTCAGGTCACTGTCGTGGCTTATAAGTTATGCATAGTATTTTAGCAAAATTTTTCCTTATTACCTTAAACAGATTATAATGTATACTTTATAAATATATACAATGTTTATATATCACATATTCCCTTTTCTCTTTTGATACAGATATGGTGTAATGACATGGAGTTTTGCACAGAATAGGGAAGAGGGAATATAGAGGGCCTGACGATTTCCCCCAGACCCATCTCTATCATTGTCTTTTCAGGGAATTGTCCTACCAGACAAATATCTCATTTCTCAGAAGCGTTCTGGACAGATTTATTCATTTGTGTGTATGAATAGAATTTCTAGTAAGTTACTTCACTAAGGGCTTTAGTGCCTGGGCAAATTTTTCAGAATAGCATTGCCCTTTGGATAAAAATATTTTTTTCTAGGTTTGAGATAAATCCTTCTGACTCTTCTCATAAAAAGAAATTTTTAGATGAAAAAAATTGTTTTGTTCTTATAAAACAGAAAGCTTTTTTCAGAGCTTTTTGGGCAAGTGGAATGGAACATTTAAGAGTTTAAGTAAGGTGGTTTTTTAAAATATTTTTTCTCTGCAGTGTTGTACATTGAGGTCATAATATTAACATTCGGAAGTCTGTATCAGCTACCTGAAAGTGACATAAAACCAGAAAGTTGCTAAAATACACAAAGTCTAAGTCATCTTGGGAAAATGCTATTCAAGTTTTAATACAGCTATTCCAGCATTAAGTTTATATATGATAAATACACGCGTACATACATCACTTTTCCTCTCATGATAGTACAGTATGTTTAGTAACATTAATCTCTACAGGGGCAGAGTAGTACAAGTGGTTTCACAGATATTGCATTCATTAGCCAGCGACTGTTTTTAAAGGTCTTATGGCAACTTCTTATATTTGCAAAAGGCTTCCCTGAAATAGCCTGACTCAGGAATGAGAATGAAGAAGGAAATTCACAGGCCTCTTCCACAGGTTCTTGTCAGTGAAAGGTCTCTGCCATGGGGCCGTTATTGCTCATCTAAAAGCCTAATAAGAGCAGCTGAAATTTCATATATATGAGGATGTGGCAGACATACAACCTATGGTATACTAAAACTAGAAATACGAAGGCAGTATTTCATTTGACAGAAAAGCAAAATACAGTTATCTTTGGGAAAGTTTCTTTAAATTTCACTGCCTTTTTGTCCTAATTCTTAAATGGTTTATTTTTATTATTTTTTATTTATTCTTATTTTTTGAGATGGAGTCTCATCTGCCACCAGGCTGGAGACCAGTAGCAAGATCTCGGCTCACTGCAACCTCCACCTCCTGAGTTCAACCGATTCTCCTGGCTCAGCCTCCTGAGTAGCTGAGATTGCAGGCATGCACCACCATGCCCAGCTAATTTTTTTATTTTTAGTAGACACGGGGTTTCACCGTGTTGATCAGGCTGGTCTCGAAATCCTGACCTCAAATGATCCACCTGCCTTGGCCTCCCAAAGTGCTGGGATTACAGGTGTGAGCCACCTCACCCTGCTCTTAACTGTTCTTATAGTGACTCTTGCTACCTAATCGTATCTGCGGATAATTCGGTTTGGAAATAAGTAAAAGTTTTGCCAAGCATACAATATTAACGTTTTTACCTAGTGTTTGTGTGGTGTCTGCCTCAATATGAATGTCTGTTGTGTGTGTGAGAATTTTGGTTTGATAGCTTTGTTTATTCAGGCTATTAATGGCTATGGTATGTGAAATTAAATGTGAGTAATGTATTAAACATCCCTAAGTAAGTTCTAGATAGTTTTGAACAATCAAATATTTTTTCACACAACTCAATGCATTGTTCTAGGTATTATAAGGTAAAGAAGAAGTGGTGCAAAGATTTATAAACCATGTTCCCGCCTAAATAGCTTATGGTGAAGACATACAAATAATATATATGATACACGCTTTTGGATACTCGTGATAGAGGCACATAATAAAAAGCTGTAAGAGTTTAGAAGAAAGAGGAATCGTATGCAGTGAACATTGTCAGGAATGACTTGAGTGATTTTTCTTTTTTTAAATTTGGGCCTAGTAACACGATTGCTTTAAGAACATGATTGCTTTAAGAACAGAGGGTGGAATAAAGAAATGTAGAAAAGTGCAAGGATTTGAAGGAAATAGCCATAATGTGTCTTTCAGGATAGGACATTTATCTAAGATATAAAGAGGCTATAAAGTTGAAAATAAGTTCCTATAGTATAAATCTGTATGTTCCAAGTTTCATAATTTATATTTAATATGCTGGTCTTTAGAAAGGGATCCACTGGAGGAGCAGAGGACCTCAAGGTTAAATGAAATATTATTCAGACATATTGGCATAAGGCTTTTTTTTTTAGGAAAAAAAGCTGGATATTTCTCTATACTAGGAAGGGTAGAATGGTCCATGAGCTCTCAAACTGTTAAAATGCTTTCTGTTTTTCTCTTTCCATCCATTCAATGCCTCTATGGCATTATGTAATAACTAAATAATAAATATTTGCATAAACTGTATTCTCTTTTTATTTTAGATATGAATGCTGCCCATGAAAAATGCTGGGGTATTCATCCCTATTTATCTTGAAAGTTTAGGTTTGTCAGAGTCTTCTGAGAGTATTTTTCTCAGCAGATAATGGAATTTTCTAAGATTATTAATTGTGACTACACAGAAAAGTTTGCAAAGAATTTCATCAGTGTTACAAAGAAAAAAACCACGTTTTTCGTTTTTGTTTTTGTAGTGAGCACACCCTTATCTCTGTGACACTATTACCTGTTATAATGACCTTTCAATTCTCTTATTTTTAAACATAAAAATGCACATATAAAAAGATCAAATGTCAGTTCATATTAGTGCAAACACACATATATATATATAAATACATATGCAGATACATGACTGTGTTAGTCAAAGTTCTCTAGAGGGACAGAACTAACTAGTATATATAAATATATATAAAGGGGAGTTAATATTAAGTATTAACTTACACAATAACATGGACCCACAATAGGCTGTCTGCAAGCTGCGGAGTAAGGAGAGCCAGTTCCAGTCCCAGAACTGAAGAACCTGGAGTCCATTGTTCGAGGACAGGAATCATCCAGCATGGGAAAAAGATGTAGGCCAGGGGGCTAGGCCAGTCTCTCTTTTCACATTTTTCTGCCTGCTTATATTCTAGCCACACTGGCAGCTGATTAGATTGTGCCCACCCAGATTATGAGTGGGTCTGAGACAAAGATCTGGACAAACATCTGAACACAGTTTCCTATACCTCCTACTGGAAGGTGAGCATTTCAAGTTCTTAAATTTCTCTACACAAGAGCCCTTCCATCTTAGTATAACAAGCTTTATTGGCTAAGAGTCCTCACAGAAACTGATATCCTAACTATACTATGGAAAAACTCTGTGGACTAGTAACTCGACTAGCTGTAACTACATAAAATGAGAAGTACATTTACAGAAATTTTCTACTCCAAAGAAATTCTGATAATTCTGAAAAGTATTATTTTTTAATTTAGAAGCTTAATTTTAACTTATTCCCTTTGCTTTCCAGTTACCTTAGCAAACTGAATTTCCCCACCTATCCACAACACTAAGATAATGGATGCCTAAGGCATCCATTCAGGTACATTGTTCATGTACCTGAAAATGCAGAGAAAAGTGCATTGATAAAAACAAAATATCATATATATTACAAATATTCACTTTTAATTTTTAACAAATATTTATCAATTGTTAGCAATGCTTTAGACAATATGTGCACAATATTTCTTGTATATTAATTATTTTAATAACTTGTAACAGATGGATGGATCCTACTATTCTGTTGCATATTGGTTTTCAGCACTCCCTTGCTGTCACGGCATTTTTCTTGCATTTTCTCATTTGCAATTCATAACTCTAAGAATTAGAGTGCTTATATTTAGCTGAAAGTATTGAAGCTCAGAGAGGTATAAGGTTACAGGGAAAAAAATTTTAAAAATCTCAGATTTGTGACACTTAATGTAGTGTTCTTTACTTATATCCCTCGAGAAAGAGCATGTAATTCTGCCTTTAAAAACAATATTATCTTAGGCATCTCATACAATCTCTGAGCCTGAGTTTTGTAATATATATCCTAAGCAAAAACCAAGGGTAGAGAAATTTCTTTCTGCTCTATGGGGTTCTTAAAGAATTAAGTAACAGATTATTTGAATCTTGAATGATTTTTGTAAAAATTAAAGTGAAATAAAGTAATCGTGTGTTATGTTTATAGATGCCTAACTTTTTTTTTTTTTTTGCAGGGAATGCTAGCTGACTAGCCCAATGTGCATTTTTGCCTTCTTTTTACATAATTCTATATTTTAACTGTTTAGAGTAAATACTGCCTTTCACAAATCCCATTGCCACTGGAGGTATCCATTTGACTAATATCTGGCCAGTGAGCCATAAGGGAAGTTGCATGGGGTTTTCAGGAAACCTCTCTTAAAAGACTGCTAGTGTATTCAATCTCCCACCCCTTTTTCTCCTTCTCTTCTGTTTCTGCTGTTGGAAATGAAAACATGATAATTAGAACTCTGGCAGCCATTTAGCACAGTTAGATGACCTTGAAAATTGAAAGCAAACCTTAGGATGGTGGAAAAATGCAGCAGAAAAAGCCCAACTCCCTCAGCTGTGGAGCATAACACCTCCACTAAACTGGTTATCTCCAGGCTTCTTTTACATGAAAGAGAGAGAAACTTCCATATTGCTTAAGCCATTATAATTTTTGGAATATGTTGCTGCATGAACATGAAACTAATTATTATAGTACTATTATCTCATGCATACAAATATTTTTAACAATGTAGCCAATACCTATTTTATATTATTAGGCCCTCATAATGTTTTGTGAGGTATAATGAGAATATTTTATTCATGTATGAATATGAAGTAAAGCTCATATTACTAGAAGAATCTGATACAGAGAAATAAATTTCAGAAAATATTGCAAAGATCTAAAGTAGGAAATTTTAACAAGGAAGTGAAGATTTCCTCTTATTAGCCATATTCCATTAGAGAAATAGTATATGGCCCAAATATTTACAAATATATATATGCTTAATACATTTATCATAATACGTTTTCTCTCTGTTTGAATAAAATGATATTACAGCACATCATTTCATTAAGCCTGCCAGCATTTCAGAAAGTGCCCATCCTTAGTAATCAGACTCAAGAATCAGTCTGCCTAGGGAAAAGATGCCAAAAGAAAAGAAAAGTATTTATCATTTGTTAGTTAAAAAAAAAGTAACTTGTTGAGAAAAGAGCTGGATTTACTATCAACTTATTTGTCCTATAAGTTCAGATCAATTTACCTACTTAAACTCTTAGATCCTGCATTTATTTATATTGAAAATAAAGTTCAAAATCTCACAGAGTTGCTACAAGAAGGAAAAGAATTAATACATCTAAAAACATAAACGTGAGAACTATCATCTGCCTGAATTGTAACTCATTCACTTATCATCTTTTTGATATATTAACATTTTAAGGAAAATATGCATAGACAAGAAAATAAAACTGACGAAAAGTATAATGTATACAGCTGAAACAGAATAGTGAGTTTTAAGCAAACATTAAATTCAGTTATCTTAGGGGCATACAATGGCTTGTAGCTATATGGGAAGGTGCATCTCCCAAGATGAGACGGGCTCCTTGAAAGAGATTAAATCATTCTGGATCTATAGCACAGTTTACTCCCCATCAGAACCAAGTAGAAATACTTTCTGATTGAAGGCACACATAATTTATATCTTCAGAATTCCCACAGATTATGTTTAACAAAATATGAACTATCAATAAAAATTATGAACACGTGATGTAACAAGGCACCCTAAGAGTGTGAGCAAAACAACAAAGATGACATTGGGATCCACAAACAGAAAAACAATAAGGTCACTGTATCCAGTGTTTAAAATAGAAATTATAAAAGCCAACACAGCCATCTGCTGATGTGGAAAGGGTAAAGAGCCTTTGCATACCAAGAATTCTGCACCAACATGAAGCAGAGATCAGCTACAGCCAAGAGAAGGGACAGGAAACTTGCTCCAACACCAGAGCGCTCCCCAAAACACTCCTCTGGCTCAAAGCAGATTTCAGCCACCATGGGAAAGTGTCAGAAACGCTGAGAAAGCCCCTCCCTTGAGCCAAAAGCACAAATGGCCTCCCTAAGACTGTGGCTGGCGCAGAGCTGCGCAACCCCATCTGCTCCTAATCATGAGCTTTGAGTTAAGTAACAAACAACAGCCGCTGATTTCCTGGGTTATGTCTAACTTCTGCATCTGTGTCATACAGGTGCAGGGCCTCAGCAAAAGCTGAGGGTGCAGCAAAAACACTGATAGAAACGCTCAGATTATTTAAGACTCACACTAAACACCAAGTAGCAGCATTTCATCTTGAGTAATTGGAAGTCTGTGGTGCACCAAGCCCAGCTCAACTCATTCAATTGCTTCAACCACACCTATTTGCAATCTGACATAAAAAGAGGTGTGCGTTGAAATTACTTCAATCTCTACTATTAATGTGTAGGTGGTGCTCATTATTTAATGAAAACTATGACACACCAAAACACATGAGAAAACTACTAATTGTCAAGAGAAAAGCAATCCACAGAACCAGACTCAGATTTGACCTACATGCCAAGACTGTCAGAATTTAAGATTAACTATGATTAATATGTTATGGTCTAATGCTATAGAAAAGAATCATTTCAAGTGGCTTTAAGACACAGCAATATATGCAGCATAGACAGTAGAATATATCTTAAGGTTAAAAAAAAACAAACATTGGCCGGGCGTGGTGGCTCACACCTGTAATCCCAGCACTTTGGGAGGCCCAGGCAGGCAGATCAAGAGCTCAGGAGATCGAGACCATCCTGGCTAACATGGTGAAACCCCATCTCTACTAAAAATACAAAACATTAGCCGGACGTGGTGGCAGGCACCTGTAGTCCCAGCTACTCGGGAGGCTGAGGCAGGAGAATGGTGTGAACCTGGGAGGCAGAGCCTGCAGTGAGCTGAGATTGTGCCACTGCACTATAGCCTGGGCAACAGAGTGAGACACTGTCTCAAAAAAAAAAAAAACAACAACAAAAAACCAAAAATCATTAATCTGTTTTCAATACTATTATTAGTAATAATACTGGAATCACTCTTTTCAATTGTACATATTACATACAAAATAAAATATGATGTAGTTTTTAAAATAATATACAATGTATTTCAAATACCAATATAAAATGATATGTGGATAAAACAAACAAGTATTTACATTAAAGTTATTGGGAACCATAACATAGGTGTAGAAGAAACAAAAACTTAGTAAAAATACCATCATTTTAAATTTGAATTAGCAATATCAGTGAATGTAATGTATTTTCTCTAAATAGGTCTAAGAAAAATGATCACCCAGTAATAATGAGCATCCCTATGTTCTCATACAGTGTCCTGTATATGCCATTTTTCACTAAAAAGGAGCAGACAGCAGCAATATGTAACTTCAATCTGAAATACGAAATGCAAGATGAGTCTGAAGTACAAAAAGACAAAAAGTAAGTACTTATGGGGTCATATAAAAAGATATTTGAGCCATACTGAAGGGGCTCCCATGAGCAAAATATGGGCTAATTTAAACAATGGAAAGAATAAAAACTACAGTCGAGTGAAAGGTAACAAATATGTTAAAATCTATGAGTTATTAATGATAGTAAACAAAAACATTCTAACAAAGCTGTTCACATTTGGATTTGCTTACAAACCACCTCATTATTATTCTGAAAACTGCTAAGAAAAAGCATCAAATATTTATTTAACCTTTCCCACTAGATCTATGAATTACAGTAACCTAATAGGTTATAAGGAAATGTTACTATTTACAGAAGAATTTCAGAAAATAAATGCAGAAAGGTTAATAGAGTTGGAATATCATCAGTTTGTAAACCGTAATGAAATAGTAAATTGAGGCAATGATCTTCAAGGGCTGCCTTTTATGTGAAAGGTTGCTGGGAAATTTTATATTGAAAGGAAAAGGGTGATAACACCTGAGTCAGTATTAATATTACCTCGAAAGAGACAACCAGAAGCACGTTTGATGTGATGCCTTTAAGATGTATGTGGCATTACCTATCAATAAGTAGTACTCTTTTAAAAAATCAAACCTAGATTTGATCTCTCTGTAAGTGTAGAGGAAATATAGAACATAGGAAAGGGGCACCTTTGGGTGCAATTTACAAAATTGATAATATGGAAAACCTTACAAAACAATCCACTTTTTAAACAAATAGTTTTTCTTCAAAAAGTACTTTTTTGTATTTTTTTAAGCCACATGAAACATATAGATCAAACATATAGACTTAATTACCATATTAATCAAATACAAAGTGTGGACCCTTGTTTTGATTCTGAATTGAACAACTGAAAATCAGAGAAATTTGAAAGTAAATGAATATTTGATAAGATTAGGTGGTAATTACTTTTATTTTAGCTAGATACGTACTGAAGCAGCAACAGATTAGAAAGTATGATGTATGCTTTTGCTTTATCTTGGAGATAAATGATAAATACTTTAAAACATAAAATACATAATATATAATGTATACTCCAAAATGTAATCTATAATCTAAAGTGTAATATAATCTATATTATAATCTATAATATAAAATATAATCTATATGTGTATAATCCCAAATGCAAAGTGTAGGCCATGTTTTGATTCTCAATTGAAAAACTGAAAATCAGAGAAATTTGAAAGTAATTGAATATTTGATAACATTAGGTGATAATTGCTAACTTTTACTTTAGCTATATATATACTGAAGCAAGTATAGATTACAAAAAATGATGTATGCTTTTGCTTTATCTTTGAGATAAATGATAAATATTTTAAAATACAGTATATGAGTGAGGTTGTGAGGTGAGAGTAATTGGAGTAAAAGAAGAAAATATGACCTTAAATTATTAGCTGTTTCAATTCATTATTGGGTACATAGGGGTTTACTATTTCTCTTCTTATTATATATTTGAAATTTTTCTTAATGAAAATTAAGGTCAAAAAGGAAAGAAAAACTAATATTATATGTCGTCAATTATTTAAATTAGATTTTAAAATTATTTGTTGGTCAAATAGAAAAGGAAAATATTAAGGTAAACATTGTGGATATAATACGTGAAGGAAATTTAATAGTCACAGATGTTTATAATAAGCAAACAAAAAGATGAAAATTAGCAAAATATGGTTCTAACTGAATTAGGAAAATAATAAATTCAAACAATGAGAATAATGAAAGTAAATAAAAATAAAATTAAGAAAATGATAAATAATGATGCAATAAACATCAAGATCATATAACTATAAGCATCAGGAGATTATTATAATTTTTGGCAAATTAGGAATAAAAGGAGATTTCTTTAATCTGATAATGTGAATCTATCAAAAACCTACAGCAAGCATAAATCTTAATATGAAACATTAGAAGTGGTCCTGTCAAAATCAGGAACCAATTTACAGAAAATGTTGAGTTTGAAGGTTTGAAGGTCTTAGCTATGCTGGTAATGAAAATAAACAGATGAAAATAATAAGTATTTAAAGGGAAGAAACTCAATTGTCATTATTAGCAGTTATACTTATCTACAAAAAAACTTCAAATTACATAGAAAAATATTTAAATTAATAATAGAGTTTATAATGCTATTTAGATATTCAGATCAAACTCTAAAAATATGATTACTACAATTAACTTTTAACTGTAGGGCTTATAGCTTAGTGCAATGATCCAGAAAGGAAAGTGAAGTTTACCAGTTTTTCTCAATCCACATGATATTGAAGTTGAATTTAGTTCACACTAAATGTAGCTCTCCCCCTGTAGTCTTTAAAATAAGAGTTAACACTGGCTGCACGTTGGAATCACCTGGAGAGCTTTCAAAATTTTCTATACACTGGTAACATCCCCAGCAGGGTGCGGTGGCTCATGCCTGTAATCCTAGCATATTGAGAAACTGAGGTGGGATCCCAGCTACTCGGGAGGCTGAGGCAGGGGAATCGCTTGAGCCTGGGAGGCAAACGTTGCAGTGAGCAAAGATGGTGCCACTGCACTCCAGCCTGGGCAACAGAGCGAGACCCGGTTCTCCAAAATTCATATGCTGAAATCTTAACCCCAAGGTGAAGTGTTTGGAAGGAGATGCCTTTGGAAGGTGATTTGGTCATGAGGATGGAATCCTCATGGATGGGATTAGTGCCCTTATGTAAAGGCCTAAGAGAGCTTGTTTGTCCTTACCAACTTGAGAAGATATGGTAAGAGACAGCTGCCTCACCAGATGGAATCTTCTGGCTCCTTCATCTTGGACCTCTCAGCCTCTAGTACTGTGAGCAATAAGTTTCTGTCGGTCATAACCCACCCAGTTTGTGTTATTTTGTTATAACAGCCCAAATGAACTGAGATACCCCTCCTCTCAACCCAGGATTCCTGCCTAGGGATCTTGGCTTATAATTCTCTTCTTCATATTGTTTTCCAAAAATTACATACGTAATGAATAATTCAATTTACCTGAGTTGTACTGGCTTCAGCTTTGTTGTTTGCATTTTCACCAGATTGTTGTGGTTTATTTGATCCTTAATGCAGAATTTCCATTAAACCACTGATGATTGGGATCAGCTAGGGCTATTTATTAAAAATACAAATTTATAGACCATTTACCAGACACTCTAAAGATTGGAGGTGTCTGGGGAGGTGCATTTTAAACAAAAGTCCGAACTTATTCTTATAATCAAGTAATTTAAAGAAACGCTGTGTAAATGAAACAATTAGCTCTATTTAAGTTTTATATTTTACCATCTTATATAATTTATTGATAAAAGACCAATACAAAACTTTTCTTTTCTATGGCCAGGAAACATATTTACATTATTTCATAATGTATGTAAGAAGAAAGGGTCCATGCTTGTTTTTGCGATGTTCTCCAAGGAGAGGACAGTCTTAGGCTCATTATAAGCTGCTTCACCTGGACAACAAGAGGCATGACATCACCATCGTGACCTTGGCTAAACAACAGCTTTAAATCATGGGTTTCATAAAGATTATTATATTCAAGCAAAATGCTCAGGAAATAGTTGATTTAAATGGCCTCTTTTTTAAACAATATTCTAATATGAATTATAACCTTAGCAACAGGAAGAATCAGAAAACTGTGACCTACTTTAAACATTTTATTTTAAGAGAGCCTAAAGTTGGCTGGCTTCAACTACAAAAGAAAAAAACAACCAGCCAACTGCTGTTAGAGCAAGTGATTATCCAGACTCTGGGGATACAGATTTCAATTACATTGAACTGTTCTCAATCTGCACAGTTAGAACAATATTATAAAATTCATTAGTACATAAGCAAGTGAATGTGAGTTCACATTTCAAAGCATTTGAGAATGCTTCATTTTAATTGAATTTTGTTATAGCTTGTATGCTAGAAAATAATGTCTACATGAATGTTTTAGCTAACATGTATATCTCATAATGTGCAAAAATGATACAGGAGTTAAGAAGGAATTACTGAGGCAGGTAGCAAGGGCATGGGAGTCATCGGTAAGACTTTTCCTTTTAATGAAAAGCAGCCCCAAATCATTTTCTAACAAAGAGCAGCCTACAAGCAGGGAGCTTGCATGGCGAATGCCAGTAGGAACTAAGGACTAGACATTTTCAAACTGGCGGCTCCATCTTCCCTTCTCTGCCAGCCACGTGTATTGTAAGGAGCAGATAAGATGGCTCAGATCATCTGGAAAGCCTATTTGCGTAAGAACATTAGGGTGGGGCGACCAGCCTTTCCCATGCACTACTTAACCATCATATCTGATCAAACCAATCTGTCAGCCCTATGTAAATGAGACACCACCCCCTCAAACTGGACTATAAAACTCAGCGCACTGGCAACCAGCCAGTCCTTTCCAGTCAGAGACTCCTTCCTCTATAGAGGGAGCTGTTTCTCTTTCTCTTCTACCAAGTAAACCTCTGCTCCAGCGGGCGTGGTGGCTCACACCTGTAATCCCAACACTTGGGGAGGCCCAGGTGGGGGGGATCATGAGGTCAAGAGATTGAGACCATCTTGGCCAACATGATGAAACCCTGTCTCTACTAAAAATACAAAAAAAAAAAAAAAAAAAAAAAAAAAAGCTGGGCGTGGTGGGTGTGCCTGTAGTCCCAGTTACTTGGGAGGCTGAGGAAGGAGAATCACTTTAACCGGGGAGGTGGCGGTTGCAGTGACCTGAGATCGCGCCACTCCATTCCAGCCTGAGTGACAGAGTGAGACTCCATCTCAAACACACATACACACACACACACACACACACACACACCCCTCTGCTCCTAAACTCCTTAAGTCCTAAATTTTCATGGTGTATGACGACAAACTCAGGCTTTATACTCCAGACAACATAGGTGCTTCAAAAACACCTCACAACAATTTTCAGAACACCAAATACACTTGAACTAAATAAGTTTCAATTATAAGTAATTGTAGCCGGTTAGTCATACCTATAGGTCTTGAATAGTACAACGTCTCTGGTCTCTTCAAAATAGCTTATATATCCCAAACAGATTTTGAACAGGGTGAAAGTATTATCCAAGATGTTCAGAATTAGTATTGCTTTTTCAGAGATAAATGTCTATTTTACTAGGTATTGTGAGAACTATCTAATCTGATAAAATGGGTCATTAGGATACAATCTGAAACAAGTGTAATTCATTCATGAAACGCTTAATAAATTAAACTGGATTAAATTAGAGATTATAATAGATTCATTCTTTAATCTATTATCATAGATTCAGTTTATTATATCTGGATTAAATGTGTTGAGTAAGAAGAAATTTAGGTGAAATGATTTTTCCTCTAAGTAAAATATATTGTGAAGATTCGGGAAATGTTTAGACAATTCTGTTAATGCAAAAATCTCCTTCGAAAAATAGTTATAAATTAAGAGTCAAAGAAATGTTTTGCCAAACTTTTAAACAAGTGTTTTTAATATTGGAAAAGAACTTAACATATAAAAGCAAATGGGCTGGGCGTGGTGGCTCATTCCTATAATCCCAGCACTTTGGGAAGCTGAGGCGGGTGGATCACATAAGGTCAGGAGTTTGATACCAGCCTGGCCAACATGGTGAAACCCCGTCTCTACTAAAAAATACAAAAATTGGCCGGGCGCGGTGGCTCACGCCTGTAATCCCAGCACTTTGGGAGGCCGAGGCGGGCGGATCACGAGGTCAGGAGATCGAGACCATCCCAGCTAAAACGGTGAAACCCCGTCTCTACTAAAAATACAAAAAATTAGCCGGGCGTAGTGGCGGGCGCCTGTAGTCCCAGCTACTTGGGAGGCTGAGGCAGGAGAATGGCGTGAACCCGGGAGGCGCAGCTTGCAGTGAGCCGAGATCCCGCCACTGCACTCCAGCCTGGGCGACAGAGCGAGACTCCGTCTCAAAAAAAAAAAAAAAAAAAAAAAAAATCCAAAAATTAGGCGGGCATGATGGTGCACGCCTGTAATCCCAGCTACTCAAGAGGCCGAAGCAGCAGAATTGCTTGAACCTGGGAGGTGGAGGTTGCAGTAGGCCAAGATCGTGCCATTGCACTCCAGCCTGAGGAGGCACAAAGAGACTGTCAAAAAATAAAAAATAAGAAAAAGCAAATGAACCTTGAAGTCAAGAGCAGCAGCCTTGCTTCCAGTTCTTACATAGCATTATCTTTTTTGCTTTTTATCTTTGATGGCAATGCTTTTAAGTTGGAAAAGTCAGCCATTTCTATGAGTCTGATTTTTTTAAAATTTCTTTAAGGTCAATTAGATTGTTTTCAGAAAAAAATGAGCTATCACTATTTGCATCTTGATAAGTAGTGAATATATATGTGAAAGGCTGGGGCTGAAGTTTTTAAAAAATTATCTGTAATTTGACAACTAAAGAACACAAAGATTCTCAATGACTAATTGCCCCAAATTTACATCGGTTTACTTTGTACAGAGTATTTCATTCGTTCGCATTATAAACTTGTTGTCCTAATTATAAGAAAAATATATATTATTTGTATGCGCATATGTCAATGCTACTTTTAGGGAAAACCTATGGCAGCACCATTTTAAAAACTATAACACATGTCAAAGGCCCTTTTCTTAACAAAATGTATTTTGAAATTAGGTACTTTTAAGGTACCTTCACCTTTTAGAATGAGGGCCATAATTTATTATAACACAGGAGTACATAATGCTTTATTTGCTGATATTTTACTATGTATCTCATGCTACAGTTTTAAACACATAAAAGATAATTTTATATCTAAAATAATGATGTCAAGGAAAAGTAATACTTTTATGTAATAGTTATTGGTTTTTTCTCATGAGAATGAAATAAAATAGGCAGTCAAGTAAAGGCTAGTTGCATTGGTCTAATTCACAATCAAAGACTACTTAGCTAATTTCTGGTTTCCAAGTGTTTGTCATAACAAGAATATACATATGTTTGTCATATATGTTTGTCATAAGAAGAACCTTGTGAAACTCTGGCTATTCAAACCTGTTGCTGCAAGTAAAGAGAAAAAAAGAATGAAAACTCACACTCTACTACTGATATCTTAGCATTCACCATTTTGGGACTAAGAATGGCATTCATGCCTAGAACGAAAGGATGAATTGCTAGGAAAAACAGCAGGCATAAGGAATACTGTTGTGTTCCAGAATAGAAATCTGTGTATCAGGGTAAACAGATGGGGGCTGGGCTCCAATGGAAGGAAACAATGTGAGAAAGAAAGTATAGAAAAATGAGAAGTAATGACAGTGTAATTAATGTGATGATAGATGCCAAAAACAAAGTGGTTAAGACAAAATGTACATTTATTTAAAACGAAGATAAAGCATAATCAATAATTTATTCAATTTTTATGAGGAATAAATAACAATTTTAATTTTAAAGGAACAAATTCAGAATACAACTTCCCTGGATATATCATCTGAAGCTATGTTATTGAGATTAATATGGATTACTAAGTAATTTTGACATCATAGGCTTATCAGTTTAGTTGGACAACAAATCTTATATTTGAGAATAGATTTGCTCTGCTTCATAGATATTCTATTAATGCTATTATTCTATTAATATGGTGGACCATGATTATTCATCCTTAAAGTTTAAGAAAGAGACAAGATAACAGAAAAGATTGAAGTGCTTGGCACAAGAAGAACAGGCTCTGAAAACCTTGATACTACAATTTAATCAGTAAGCATCAAGCAATTGCCTCTGTGTACTTTATATCAGGAACAGGATTAAGTGTTGGAATTTAAATGCGATGATTTATTTGCATATATGTAGTTGAGTAAATTTTTATGGGTGTCGTGAACTAGTGCAATGATCTTTTAATTGATTGGCAAATCATCAGATTTCACTCCCCAAATTCTATTCTTTTAGTTTATGCGTGACAGAGACTGTTTCTTTCATCAGGTACATTTATTGATGTGCTTTTGCAATCATTTTTATTCCTAAATTTTGGAATTCTTATTATGTTCTAACAATTAAACTAAACATCTTAACTTACATTGTTCTTTAAAATGAAAATTTAAGTTGTTGCATTCAAGAAGCTATCATACTATATGAAGACCATTAAAAGAAGAGTAAATGATTGAGAATGAAAAAACAAAATAAACATAAGAATCTTATCATAATGAAATTTTTAAGTAAGGAAATGAGATGAATCCCAAGGGACAAATATTTTCCTTAATTTTAAAAAAGTCTTTAGTGCTATATTTAAAGCAGAATAAACAACTAAGAACAAGTCAATACACTGAATTAGAACAAGGTGTAAGATTTTTTAAAAGGCCAACTCCTATCTTGTTTCCATCTTCTAAATATAAGAGAATTCATCTTAACATTTGGAAATACAGTACAAAGAATTCAAAAGGAGAATGCCTCTCTGAACTGTGTTGAGTCATTAGGAGGAACACAGGTGTTTTTAAAGCTAACTCACCTTGTAGACTTGCTTAATTTACATTACATGCTACTGGAATAATGTACAAACATTACTCAGTCACTGTTTAATACCCTTGAGAATTAATGAATAGAAAAAGAGGCTCTAAACATAGGAAGTTTGACTAGCTTGATTTTAAGGTTGGATTTTCAGAAGTATAGAGAAGTGAACTTGACATAAACTCATAAAATGTAGTGACATTTGCTGTTTTTTTCCTTTTTTAATTGTCAGATTCTTATAGTTTGGATTATGCAAAGTATTCTCCTTATGCACTCTCTTCACAATATTCTTCTCATATTCTAGGCACATCACAATATTTTTATTTCTTCAAACCAAATATGTGTTCATTCACATTGCCATCCCTGCTTTATAAAGTATTTATTGAGGAATAACAGGTATAGAACAAAATGTACAAATAAGTCGTATAGCTTGATCAATTTTTAAACCTGTACATGGTCATGTAAGTATAATAGAATAATAAACCATGTTCTCATCACCCTAGAAGCATGCCCTTCAGTTTCTGTTCTCCCAAAAGAGTCACCATTAGCATGACTTTTGCCACCAAAGTGTAGTTTCAGCTATTTCTAAACTTTTTACAATATAATCTCTTTCGTATCTAGCATTTATTATTCAACATTTTTGTTGCAAGTTTCGTCAATATTGATGCGGGAAGTTGGAGTTTTAATAATTTCCTTGCTCTATCACATTCTGATCTGTGAATATATTAGTTTATATATCCATTTTTGGTGGACATCTGGGAAGTTAAATATTTAGTACTATTAGTAGTTGTTCTGCTATAAACATTCTAATATGACGTGTTTATCTGTTGAAAGTGTATATGCATTTCAGTTGGCTATACATCTGCAAATGGAATTACTGGGTAATAAAGTATGCATGTTATACTTTATTAGATATGGCTAGATAGATGATCAAAGTAATTGTACTCTGACAGTATATGAGAGTTTAAATAGCTCAAATTTTTGCCCACACTTTGGTTTATTCCATAATTATTTAAATTAACTATTTTTGGAGGAGTTTACATAGTGGTATTTCACTGTCATTTTGTTTTTCATATCTAAAGTCTAAGGAAGGTGAGCAACTTTTCAATTGTTTAGTGTCCATTTGAATATGCTTTATTGCAGACATCCTGTGTAATTCTTTTGTCCGTTATTCTAATGATTTTCTTCCTTTTCCTTTGGATTCACATGAGTTCTTTATACATTTTTCATTTAACCCATAGAGGAATTTTGGAGACAGTTTTCTTAGTAACGATTTTTCCTATTCATGAGCATAGTATAATCCCTTCATGTATCTAGACTTACGGTTTCTCAACAGTGTTTTGCAGTTTTCAGTACAGATTTCTCAAATATTTTCACTCAATATATCCCAACATATTTGATGTTTTCAGTGCTATTGAAATTCTAGTTTTAAATTTCCTATGTATTTGTTGTAGTTACATAGAAATTCTCCTGTTTTCATATATTTACACTTTGCCAACCTTTTATTTAGATTTTGCTAAATTTACTTAGTAATTCTAATGGTTTTTCCACAGATTCTTTTTGATTTTCTAAAGGCACAATAATATCCTCTGCAAATAATGACAATTTTATTACTTCTTTACCCATCCTTAAGTCTTTTATTTTCATCTGTAGGCCTGTGGCATATATTAAAAACTCCAATACTATGTTGAATATAATTGGTAAAAGGAATATCTTTGGCTCATTCAATATTTCATAATTTGGCTCATTCAGTATTTCATAATTAAGCCTGATGTTTAATTTTTTGTGGATTTTACCATAGGATTTTTTGTGGCCATTGTTTTAGTTTTTAATTTGCTAAAAGATTTTTCCTCAAATTAACGGTGATTGAATTTTATCAAAGGCTTTTCTGGATCCCTAGATATGATCATTTAATTTTTCTCCATTTATTTTTCTTAATGGTCTAATTTAGATTGATTTTTAACAGCTTTATTGAGATACAGTTCACATACTATACATATAAACAGTTATTTGGTTTTTAATATTAATATGTTCACAGTTGTGTAATCATCATCACCATCCATTTTACAACACTTCTCATTTTAAAAGAAACCCTGTACTCATTAGCAGCCACTTTCCAGCCTGTCTCTGTTCTGAAACCAGAACCTCCAAGCCTTAGATCTAGATAGCCATTAGAATAATTTGTCTCTATAGATTTCACTATTTTGGATATTTTATATAAATAGAATAATACAACATATCTTCTTTGTGAATGGCTTCTTTTACTTAGCATAGTGTTTTTAAGGTTTAACAATGTTGTTGCGTGTATTGATACTTTATTCATTTTTAATGCTGAATAATATTCCATTTTATGGATATAGCACACTTTTTAATCCATCAGCAGATGGACATGTGGATGGTTTCCACTTGTTGTCTATTATGAACATTTGTGTACTAGTCTTTATGAGGATGTGTGTTTTCATTTCATTGGAGCATATATCTAGGAATTGCTTGGTCATATGGTAACAGTATGTTTAACATTTTGGGAGCTGCCAGGGCAATCGCATCATGTTAAATTCCCACAACGGATGAAGTTTTCACACTCTCCACATACTTGTCAGCACTTAATCTTATCTGTCATTTTAAATATAGCCATCCTAGAGGGTGAGAAATGCTATCATTGTGGTTTTGATTTGTATTTTCCTAATGATTAATGGTGCTGGGTTTCTTTTCAGGTGCTTTTTTTAATATCTTCTTTTATTTTTATATCTTCTTTTAAGACATTTCTTTTGAGATCATTTACCCATTTTAAAATTTGTTTTTTTTTGTTGTTGTTGGGTTGTAAGAGGTCATTATGTACTCTTGGTGCAATCCTTTATTAGGTAAGTGATTTGAGAATATTTTCTCTCATTCAGTGGGATATATTTTTACATTCTTGATATTGTGCTTTGACCAACAAAAGTTTTTAGTTTGATAAAATCTAATTAGTTTCTTTTTGTTACTTGTGCTTCTGTGTGATGTGTAAGAAGACTTTGCCTAACCCAAGCTTATGAAAATATACACTTAGCATTTGGTCTATACTGAATAATATTCCATTTGTACTTGTATTTTTTTGCTTAAATATATTCTTAATTTCTTTATTTTTGATATGATTGTAAGTGGAATTTTATTAGTTCCATTTTCATATTGTTCATTGCTAGTACACAGAAATACAACTGATATATGTATATTAATATTGTATCCTGCAACTTTGCTGTATTCATTTATTAGCTCAAATAGATTTGGTCTTTATGGCTTTTTATATGTGATATTATGTCTTATGCTAAGAGATATAAATTTATTTATGAATTAATATTTTTTATTTATTTTTGCCAAATTTCCCTGAGTAGAACATCCATACAATGTTGGCTAGAAGAGTCTTATTTTGTTCATTATCTAAGTGGAACAGTTTTTGTTCTTTTCCCATTTAGTCTGATGTTAGCTATGGGTTTTCTATAAATGCCCTTTATCAGGTTGAAGAAGTTTTCTTCTATTTGCATTTAAAGTGATTTTATCATAAAATGGTATGGGATTTTGTCAAATGCTGTTACTGCATCTAAAGCAATGATCATGTATATTATTTTCTTTATTCTATCAATATGGTATACTGTATGGATCGACTTTTCTCACTTTGAACTAGCATTGCGTCCTTGAGATAAATCCTACTTGGTCATGATGATGTATTGCTGGGCTGAACTGGCTGTTACATTTTGAAGATTTTTTCACCTATATTCATAAAGGATATTGGTCTGTAGTTTTCTTGTGATGTCTTGTTTTGGCTTTGATGTCAGAGTAATACTGATCTTACAGAATAAGGTAGGAAGTGCTTTCCTCTCTTCCATTGATGTGGAGTGATTGAAACAAATTGGTGGTAATTCTTTAAAATGTGGGTAGAATTCACCAATGAAGCCATCTGGTTCTGGAATTTTCTTTATTAGAAATTTTTTTATTAACTCAATCTGTACTCTTATTAGGTCTGTTAAGATTTCTATTTTTTCTTCTCTTGTCAGTATGTAAGTTTCTAGAAATAATATTTTCTATTTCATTTGGGTTATCCTGTTTACTAGCATGCATTTATTCATAGTATTTTCTAAAAGTACTTTATTTCTGTAAAATTAATAATGACATCCCATGTTTCAATACTGATTTCAGTCATTTGCATCTTTTTTTTCTTGCTCAGTCTATCTAAATGTTTGAAAATTTTATCAATCATTTCAGAGAACAAACCTTTGGTTTTATGATTTTTTTCCTCTATTGATTTTCTATCCTCTATTTCATTTATTTCCATCCTAATTTTTATTAATTCCTTCTTTATTTTGAATTTTGTTTGCTCTTCTCTTTCTAGTTTCTTAAGATGGAAGCTTAGTATAATAATTAGAGGCACTTATTCTTTTTAATGTATGCATTTATAGGTGTAAATACCTCTAAGCACTGCTTTTGCTGCATTTCATGTTTTGGTATGTTGTGTTTTCATTTTAGTCTTCTCAAAGTTTTTTATAACTTTCCTTTTGATTAATTCTCTGGCCAACTGGTTATTTAGGGGTGTGTTTGCTTAATTTTTACATGTGTGTGAATTTTTCAGACTTCCTTCTTTCATTGATTTTTAATACCATTTTTGTGATTAGAGAACATATCCTGTATAATTTTAGTTCTTATAAATTCTCTGAGACACATTTTATGGCTTAACATATGTCTGTCCTGAAGAATGTTCCATGTGTGTTTGAGAAGAATGTATATTCTGCTGTTCATTGGTGGAGTGTTCTATAAATATGTCTAGCTGGTTTATAGTGTAGCTCAATTCTTATACTCCATTGTTAATCTATCTGGTTTTCCTATCTATTATTGAAAGCAGGTATTGAAGTCTCCAAATATTACTGTTTAATTGTCTTTTTCTACCTTATGTCAATTTTTGCTCTTTATATTTTAGGCTCTGTTGTTAAGTGCATGTATGGTTATAATTGTTATATCTTGTTAGCAGATTAGTCTTTTAAAATTACAAAATATCCTTCTTTGTCTTAAAGTTTATTTTGTCTGACATTGATATAACTACTCTGGTTGTCTTTTTGTTATTTTTGCAAAAATAATTCTTTTGTATAACAAAAATATTGTTTTCACCTTTTCAGAGGACTAGCATATGATTAAATTATGGTTTTTAAAAAATCCATTCTGCCAATCTCTGTTTTTCAATTAGAGAGTTTACTTTGTGTGTGAAAACAACTCAAAGAATTATGGTTATTGTCATCTAGTCACAAGCTCATTTTATTAAATAATAGGTGAACTAAACAACTAATATATATACTACCTAAAATTCCGCAAATATATACACAATTATATATTTCAATCTATATAATAAATATATCTTTTCTATTAATTTGTTGATTTATATTTATTTGTTCAAAGTCTTCTCAGTTCTGCTTTAGACATCAGGAATATAAAAATAAATAAGAGAGGTCAGGGACTTACCCTACCCTCAGAAAGTTTATACTCTAGTAGTGGACATAATAAAAAGTTATAAATTAATAAAATAGTTCAAATCTTAAAGTCTTATAAAGATAATTAACAGAGTGATGTGCTAGAACGCTTCTAGAATTTAGGGAATAGCTACTTTAGCCAAGTTTGTCAGAGAAGACTTTTCTGAGAAGTTGATACTTGAACTGAGGCTGAAGAAAGTAGCTAGGTGACAATCTGGGGAAAGAACATCCAATTAAATGAAATGTTAAAGCTCAGACGTTGTGCCAGGAGAATAGGTTTCTGGCCTAAAGGTGAGAAATAAGGCCATTCTAGCTGGAGTATAGTGTTGGAAAAAAGAGATAAAGATGAAGGTGAATACAAAACAAAAAGATGTGTACAAATTATACAAATAAATTATGAATAACAATAATTACTCTAAGAAATGTGCTTTCATAATTGATAACAGCTGTTGTCAAAGTACTGTGTTAAGAATGTTGAAGCTGATTCAAGGCTTTCCAGAGAACAGTACTGTGGTCATGTGGAAATATTTGTGCACATCTTGTGTGGAGAAGTGATTATCCATAAAGATTTAAATATATTTGTATGTGTCATATAAATCGTACATAAAATTTTATATGTATAAATATATATATATATATATATATCTTATATTCTGTTTATCTACCTATCCATCTCAGGTACATAGTAAATTACATTAGACATTTTGCAGTAATATTTGTCACAGTGAAGTATATATTAGGTCAGTACCTAATAAATGGTATTATTTACTTTGGGTGGCTGCATTATGATATGTCTATGATAAAAACTTTGAAATCAGATAAAGCTAAGTCTGAAGCCTGGATCTATCAATTAAAATCTGAATGCTGGAACTAGCATATTGTGTGTTTTGAAACTACTTTTGTTTGAAAATGGTCACTGCTGGTGTTTTAAACTTACGCTTGATAACTCTCATTAGTATAAAAGTTTTTCATCAGTGAAGTGATCTATAAATATGTGCTGTGGACTGAAAATTTTGAAAACAGAATAAATAAGCAACCTCTTTTGCTCTTCTAAATGATTCATTTACTATGAATGGTTTTAAATGCACTGCAGGGAAAGTACCCGATAACTTTTATATTAGGAGGCAAAAGAACACAGTTCATGAAAATTTTGCCTCTTGAAAGAGGTAAAGTTGTTTTTTAAGCTACTCTTTAAATAACTGTAGTTTTTAAAAATCTTTTTATCTTGAGAGTACATTTTAGAGGACATGCCAAAATTTATTTACTTTTGGAAATTTATTTTTAAATTCGACATTGATGGGGCATATGTGCAGGTTTGTTACCTGGGTATATTGAGTAATGCTGAATGTATGTACACTGTCTTTTAATCATCCTGTTGTCAAATAGCGAACATAGTTTTCAATAAGTCAGTTTTCAGACCTTGCTCCCCTGTCTCCTTACCCCCACCATTTGAAACCCCCAATGTCTATTGGTCCTATGTTTGGGTCCATGTGTACCCAATGTACAGCTCCTACTTGTAAGTGAGAACATAGGGTATTTGGTTTTCTGTTTCTGTGCTTATTCACTTAGGATAATGACCTCCAGCTGCATCCATATTCCTGCAAAGGACATGATTTCACTCTTTTGTGTGGCTGTGTAGTATTCCATGGTGTGTGGCTCTGTGGCTGTGTGGTATTCCATCATGTTTATGTACCACATTTTCTTTATCCAATCCACCATTGATGATCACCTGAGTTAATGTCACATCTTTGCTATTGTGAATAGTGCTACAATAAAAATATATGACTGCTGGTGACTTTTTGGTAGAATAATTCATTTTCTTTTGGGTTGTAAACCAAAAGTATCTGAAACAGATACTTTTATCTATCAGTCAATTTAGAAAGTTTACATTTGCCAAGGTTAGGGACGTGCCCATGACACAGCCTCAGAATGTCCTGATGACATGTGCCCAAGGTGATTAGAGTACAGCTTGGTTTTATACATTTTAGGGAGATGTGAGACATCAATCAGTACATGTAAGATGTACATTGGTTTGGTCCAGAAAGGCAGGACAACTTGCAGTGGGGACCTCCAGGTCATAGGTAGGTTTAAAAATTTTCTGGTTGTCAATTGGTTCAAAGACTTATTATCAACAGAAAGGAATACCTGGGTTGCAACAAGGGGTTGTGGAGACCAAGGTTTTATCATGTAGATGAAGTCTCCAGGAAGCAGGCTTCCGAGAGAATAGATTGTAAATGTTTCTTATCAGACTTAAAGACCTGTTCTATCAATAATTCCAAAAGGGAGGTGGATATAATGACGCATGTCTGGCTCCTCCTTCCCATCATGGCTTGAACTAGTTTTTCAGTTAACTTTGAATGCCCTTGGCCAGGCGGATGGGTCTATTCAGATGGTTGGGGGGCCTTAGAATTTTATTTTTGGTTTACACGGCATATACGCAGTAATAGGATTGCTGGGTCAAAGAGTAATTCTACTTTTAGTTCTTTGAGAAATCTCCAAATTTCTTTCCACAGGGGCTGAATTAATTTGTATTTCCACCAACAATATATAAGTGTTCCCTTCTCTCTACAATCTTGCCTGCATCTGTTATTTGTTGATTTTTTAATAATAGATGCTCTGACTGGTGTGAGATGGTGTCTCACTGTGGTTTTGATTTGCATTTCTCTGGTGATTAGTGATGTTAAACATTTTTTCACAATTGTTGGCTCCTTGTATGTCTTCTTTTGAGAAGTGTCTGTTCATGACCTGTGCTCACTTTTTAATGAGGTTATTTGTTATTTTCTTGTTGATTTGTTTTTTATAGATTCAAGATATTAGTCCTTTATCTGATGTGTAGGTTGCCATGTCAAATTTAGCAAGGGACTTTTACCCTTTATTTTTAAAATATATAAAATTTTATAAACTGCGTATTTTCTGATTTTAATGAAAGGGTAACCATCTTTTCACAAGAGTTATATCATATATATAGACTTAAATTTCTTTTTAACTCTTGAAATGTACTGTCAATGGCATAAAGGATTAATGGATAATTGATTACTTTTATGCACTTCCGTGTGAAGAGACCACCAAACAGGCTTTGTGTGAGCAACATGGCTGTTTATTTCACCTGGGTGCAGGCGGGTTGAGTCCAAAAAGAGAGTCAGCAAAGGGAGATAAGGGTGGGGCCGTTTTATAGGATTTGGGTAGGTAAAGGAAAAAGGGGGGTTGTTCTCTGGCAGGCAGGAGTGGGGATCACAAGTTACTCAGTGGGGGAGCTTTTGAGCCAGGATGAGCCAGGAGAAGGAATTTCACAAGACAATGTCATCAGTTAAGGCAGGAACCGGCCATCTGGATGTGTACGTGCAGATCACAGGGGATATGATAGCTTAGCTTGGGCTCAGAGGCCTGACATTCTTGTCTTCTTATATTAATAAGAAAAATAAAACGAAGTAGTGGTAAAGTGCTGGGACGGTGAAAATTTTTGGGGGGATGGTATGGAGAGATAATGGGCGATGTTTCTCAGGGCTGCTTCGAGCGGGATTAGGGGCGGTGTGGGAACCTAGAGTGGGAGACATTAAGCTGAAGGAAGATTTTATGGTAAGGGGTGATATTGTGGGACTGTTAGAAGAAACATTTGTCATTTAGAATTATTGGTGATAGCCTGGATACGGTTTTGTATGAATTGAAAAACTAAAAGGAATAAGAGAAGGAGAAAAACAGGTATTAAAGGTCTAAGAATTGGGAGGACCTAGGACATCTAATTAGAGTGCTTAAGGAAATTCAGCATAGTCCTGCCAGCAAAGATTATTTATTTACTTCAAGAGTTAAGAGTGGCAGTTTGGGGATAGCACCAGGAGATATCAGCTGTGATGGCTTGGAGAAACAGTGTAAACCGGCAGTGTAAACAAGAGCAGGGCATGTGTGAGTAGTTGAGAACGGTGAATAGGAGTATGACTAGACAGAATATAGTAGGGATGATAGGTTTTTTTGGGGCACAGTTTAAGTTGGTCTGGCGTCTGGAATGAGACTGGGGCCTAATAAAAAGGAGCATCTATACAGGAGCTCAAATGGGCTGTACCCTGTAGCATTCTGAGGACAACTCTGACTTCTGAGAAGGGAAAGTGGTAAGAGTATTGTCCAGTCCTTTTTAAGTTGGTGGCTGAGCTTGGTGAGGTGTGTTTTTAAAAGACCTTTAGTCCGTTCTACTTTTCCTGAAGATGGAAGACCATAAGGGATATAAAGGTTTCACTGAATACTAAGAGCCTGAAAAACTGCTTGGCTGATTTGACTAATAAAGGCTGGTCTGTTATCAGACTGTGTAGAGGTGGGTAGGCTAAACTGAGGAATTATGTCTGACAGAAGGGAAGAAATGACTGCGGTGGCCTTCTCAGACCCCGTAGGAAAGGCCTGTACCTATCCAGTGAAAGTGTCTACGTAGACTAAGAGGTATTTTAGTTATCTGACTCGGGGCATGTTGAGTAAAGCTAATTTGCCAGTCCTGGGTGGGGGCAAATCCTTGAGCTTGATGTGTAGGGAAGGGAGGGGGCCTGAATAATCCCTGAGGAGTAGTAGAATAGCAGATGGAACACTGAGAAGTTATTTCCTTGAGGATAGATTTCCGCGATGGAAAGGAAATAAGAGGTTCTAAGAGGCGGGCTACTGGCTTGTACTATAGCATAGCCTGCCTTTGCTGGTGTGTGGCGATTAGGCCTGGTGGAACCGCCATCAATAAATCAAGCGTGATCAGAGTGAGGAACAAGAAAGAAGGAAATATGGGGAAATGGGGTGAATGTCAGGTGGATCAGAGAGATACAGTCATGGGGGTCAGGTGTGGTATCAGGAATAATGTGGGAGGCTGGATTGAAGTCTGGGCCAGGAACAATGGTAATTGTGGGACTTAAGAAAGAGTGAGTACAGCTGAAGGAGCTGGGGAGCAGAAAGTATATGCGTCAGGTATGAGGAAGAAAATAGATTTTGGAAGTTATGAGAAATGTAGGGAGTGAGTTGAGCATAGTTTGTGATTTTTAGGGCCTCTAAAAGTATTAAAGCAGCAGCAGCCACTGCACGCAGACATGAGGGCTAGGCTAAAACAGTAAGGTCAAGTTGTTTGCACAGAAAGGCTACAGGGTGCGGTCCTGGCTCTTGTGTAAGAATTCTGATCGCACTAACCATGCCTAGGAAGGAAAGGAGTTATTGTTTTGTAAGGGATTGAGGCTTGGGAGATTAACCGGACACGATCATCAGGGAAAGCACGTGTGTGTTTATGAGAATTATGCCGAGACAGGTAACAGATGAGGATGAAATTTGGGCTTGACTGAAGTAATGGGGGCTGTCTGTGAAGCCTTGCAACAGTACAGCCCAGGTAATTTGCTGAGCCTAATGGGTGTTGGGGTCAGTCTAAGTGAAAGCAAAGAGAGGCTGGGACGAGGGGTGCAGGGGAATAGTGAAAAAAGCATCTTTAAGATCAAGAATGGAATAGTGAGTTGTGGAGGAAGGTATTGAGGATGAAAGAGTGTACGGGTTGGGCACCACAGGGTGGATAGGCAAAACAATTTGGTAGATAAGGCGCAGATCCTGAACTAATCTGTAAGACTTATCCGGTTTTTGGACAGGTAAAATGGGGGAATTGTAAGGAGAGTTTACAGGTTTTAGAAGCCCATGCTGTAGCAGGTGAGTGATAACAGGCTTTAATCCTTTTAAAGCGTGCTGTGGGATGGGATATTGGCGTTGAGCAGGGTAAGGGTGATTAGGTTTTAATGGGATGGTAATGGGCATGTGATCGGTTGCCAGGGAAGGAGTAGAGATGTCCTATACTTGAGGGTTAAGGTGGGGGGATACGAGAAGAAGATGCGAAGGAGGCTTTGGGTTGGGGAGAAGGGCAGCAATGAGATGCGGCTGTAGTCCAGGAATAGTCAGGGAAGCAGATAATTTGGTTAAAATATCTCGGCCTAATAAGGCAACTGGGCAGGTGGGGATAACTAAAAAAGAGTGCATAAAAGAGTATTGTCTAAACTGGCACCAGAGTTGCAGAGTTTTAAGAGGTTTATAAGCCTGGCGGTCAATACCCACAACAGTTATGGAGGCAAGGGAAACAGGCCCTTGAAAAGAAGGTAATATGGAGTGGGTAGCCTCCGTATTGATTAAGAAGGGGACGGACTTACCCTCCACTGTGAGAGTTACCCAAAGCTCGGCGTCCGTGATGGTCTAGGGGACTTCCGAGGCAATCGGGCAGCATCAGTCTTCAGCCGCTAAGCCAAGAAGATCTGGGAAGGAGTCAGAGAGCCTTGGGCCAGAGTTCCAGGGGCTCTGGGAGTGGCTGCCAGGTGAGTTGGACAGTCCAATTTCCAGTGGGGTCCCACACAGATGGGACATGGCTTAGGAGGAATCCTGGGCTGCAGGCATTCCTTGGCCTGGTGGCCAGATTTCTGGCACTTGTGGCAAGCTCCTGGGGAGGAGGTTCTGGAGGAACGCCTGGCTGCTGCGGTTCAGGCATTTAGGAGTTCTTGCATGCTGGAGATGTGGCTGGGGTTTGTCTCACAGTGGAGGCAAGGAATTGCAACTTTTTTCTATTATTGTACACCTTGAAGGTGAGGTTAATTAAATCCTGTCATGGGGTTTGAGGGCTGGAATTTAATTTTTGGAGTTTTATTTAATGTTGGGAGCAGATTGGGTAATAAAATGTATTTTGAGAATAAGATGGCCTTTTGACCTTTTAGGGTCTAGGGCTGTCAAGTGTCTCAGGGTTGCTGCCAAACGAGCCATGAACTGGGCTGAATTTTTATATTTGATGAAAAAGAGCCTAAACGCTATCTGATTTGGGATAAAGAAAAAGGAGCATTAACCTTGACTATGCCTTTGGCTCCAGCCACCTTTTTAAGAGTAAATTGCTGGGCAGGTGGGGGAGGGCTAGTCACAGAAGGAAACTGCAAGCCGGATCAGGTGTGAGGAGGGGAGGTGATAAAAGGATTATAGGGTGGAGGAGCGGAGGCTGAGGAAGAATTGGGACCTAGCTCGGCCTGGCGAGGAGCAGCCTGGGGGGGAGGGGAGAGATCAGATGGGTCTGTAGAAAAGGAAGATTAGAAAGACTCAGCGACGCTTGGGGTTGGGACTGAGGGGAGAGGTGGGAGGGAAAGAAGGAAGATTTGGGATGAGTTGCACTGGGCACAGAGACTAGGAAGGGACTGATGTGTAAAAGAATGCCTGGACGTCAGGCACCTCAGACCATTTGCCTATTTTACAACAAGAATTATTTAGATCTTGTAGGATGGAAAAATTGAAAGTGCCATTTTCCGGCTATTTGGAACTACTGTCGAGTTTGTATTGGGGTCAAGCAGCATTGCAGAAGAAAATAAGATGCTTAGATTTTAGGTCAGGTGAGAGTTGAAGAGGTTTTAAGTTCTTAAGAACACAGGCTAAGGGAGAAGAAGGAGGAATGGAGGGTGGAAGGTTGCCCATAGTGAAGGAAGCAAGCCCAGAGAAAAGTGAGAGTAGAGACACGGAGGGAAGGGGTTCGGGGGTTCTTACCCTCCAGAAAAGCGGGAAAGGGGTCAGGGCACAGAGATACGAGGTCGGGGCACAG
Organism: Homo sapiens; assembly: GCF_000001405.40. Classification (NCBI taxonomy): domain Eukaryota; kingdom Metazoa; phylum Chordata; class Mammalia; order Primates; family Hominidae; genus Homo; species Homo sapiens. Next base: position 162,710,228 of record NC_000004.12, on the reverse strand, counting down.
AAATAAGGGATTGGGGCGCAGAGATACAAGGTTGAGGTAGTTGCCCCTCCCCCACAAAACGGGACTTGCCGCTCAGGGTTAAGGAGAAGGGGTTGGGGGTTTCTTCCCCCCCAGAAAGGTGGAGAAGGGGTAGAGACATAGAGAGAAGGGGTTGGGGTACTTGCCCCTTCCCCAGGAAAGTGGGACTTGCCGCTAAGGGTGAAGGACCAAGGCAGGCGTCCCTGCATGGTCTGACACCTCTGAAACCTGGGTGAATAATCAGAGAGGCGTCCCTGCAATGATTAAACACCAAGGGAAGGCTGCCTTCCCTAGTCTGTGACTGGTGCCGGAGTTTTGGGTCCACGGATAAAACGTGTCTCCTTTGTCTCTACCAGAAAATGAAAGGAATTGAAATTAAGAGAAGGGAGAGATTGAAGTGTGACACCAAGATTGAAAGGAGAAAGAGGTTGAGGGATAGTGAGGGAGGTTGCAGAAGAGAGTAAAAAGAGGCCGCTTACTGGATTTGAAATTGGTGAGATGTTTCTTGGGCTGGTGGGTCTGAGGACCTGAGGTTGTAGGCGGATCTTTCTCATGGAGCAAAGAGCAGGAGGACAGGGGATTGATCTCCCAAGGGAGGTCCCCCGATCCAAGTCACGGCACCAAATTTCATGTGCGTCCATGTGAAGAGACCACCAAACAGGCTTTGTGTGAGCAACATGGCTGTTTATTTCACCTGGGTGCAGGCGGGCCAAGTCCAAAAAGAGAGTCAGCAAAGGAAGATAAGGGTGGGGCCGTTTTATAGGATTTGGGTAGGTAAAGGAAAAAGGGGGGTTGTTCTCTGGCAGGCAGGAGTGGGGATCACAAGTTACTCAGTTGGGGAGCTTTTGAGCCAGGATGAGCCAGGAGAAGGAATTTCACAAGACAATGTCATCAGTTAAGGCAGAAACAGGCCATTTTCACTTCTTTTGTGGTGTAATGTCATCAGTTAAGGCAGGAACCGTCCATCTGGATGTGTACGTGCAGGTCACAGGGGATATGATGGCTTAGCTTGGGCTCAGAGGCCTGACAATTACCATTTGAAAATAAGTGAATTGAGAAAGCATAACAGTTGTCAGAATTGATTGTTTTTTATAAATCCTTTGTCATGGCAATCAATACAATGGAGAAGAAGAGAAGTGAGAAATTTCAAGTATGTCTTTCCATTGCTATATATAAATTATTAAATATTTTGCAGATGGAAATGGTAGGTTTCTTTTTCACCATAGTTTCTCTAAGAAGCAAGTTGTCTTAATCTTTTTTCTTCTAAGTAAAATTTGCAAAGTTCACTAAATGTAGGAGTTTTCAGAGATTGCTGTGTGGGCTTATTATAACTATCTGCAATTTCAAGCTTGTACATGATTTTTGGAAAGTTTGATTTATCTCTACCTTATTAATTATGTGCTATTTTATAATATAAATATCATTTGCTTCAAATTGGTCAATGTGTCCTTAATTGCTCCTGAAATTAAGCCTGTGAAGAAATGTATACCCAAGAATCACAAATTTGTAAGATCCTAAAAGAATAATTAACACATGCTAATCTAGTTAGTATCTCTGAAGAAGAAAGAAAATTTCAGTTTATTAAAATATCACACTATTTCTCTTCAGTATTATAGGATTCTTGACATAGAGAAATCCTAACTTAGGGGATTGTAAAATCCTATCTATTAGCAAATAAGTTAGTCCAAGGAGATTGTAAATGTTGATGGGCTATGTTACCAACTGGTCTTAGCGTCCTATGGAACTCTTTTTTTCTGAAGAAAAGGCATTTTCGAGGTATCAGAACATCCTTTCTCTACTCCCAATTAAATGCCTCTTTCTTTAAGGAGATCTTGCCCAGGAAAATATCACTGATGAAGTTAAATATCTTGACATCAAAAAATATCTTGGAAACAAATGAAAAGAGACAATTGTATTTTTCTCCTCTTATATTAGGAAGGAATAGTAATAATTTCTATGGGCACAACCATGTCTATTCTTTTAAAGGATTTCTTAAAACTGTATGACTCAGACTACTCTTCAGACACATGAAAATGAGAAAAAAAGTCTTCATGTTTATAAACCTCCAAGTACTGCAATGGAAACTGAGAGTAGTGACTTTGTACCATTCAGTATAAACTAGCACAAACACATTTGAATTCTTAGATCTAATTTTCTAAACACTGTTTTCCTAAATAAGACAAAGCATAAATTGGTCACTGTTTCTACAAGTGGGGCTTCTAAGTGGAAGAAAATTGGGGAAAATAAATCCCTGCTTCTGATTCAGTCTTGAGGGAAACAGAATGAATAGAAAGTCTAGCCTCGATACGAGAAAGAGTACAAGGGGTGGGCTTACTGTGGGCAGCACTGTGAATTGGCATAGACATTGGGTCTGCTATGCCTGGGATATCTTTTGTGAACATAAGACTTTGAGTACCAACCAGATATCTTTTATTTTCTCTGTATTGGAAAATCTATGGAAACTCTTAAGGTTCACTGTAAGAAACAGAAAAAAAAAAAAAAAAAACAAATAACAGTGGCTTTAAAGTTTTTTCTTTTCTTTTTTTTTTTTTTTTTTTTTTTTGAGATGGAGTCTCTCTTTGTCACCAGGCTGGAGTGCAGTGGCACAATCTCGGCTCACTGCATCCTCTGCCTCCTGGGTTCAAGTGATTCTCCTGCCTCAGCCTCCCAAGTAGCTGGGACAACAGGCGCATGCCCAGCTAATTTTGTATTTTTAGTAGAGACGGGGTTTCACCATGTTGGCAAGGATGGTCTCGATCTCCTGACCTCGTGGTCCACCCGCCTCGGCCTCCCAAAGTGTTGGGATTACAGGCGTGAGCCACCGCATCCAGCCTAAAATGTTTTTTCTAATAAAATGGAATCTAAGCAAACAACTAAGGTCGACATTATTTGTCTCAATTGTCAAGGGCTGAAGATGCTCTATTGTATTGCTCCATCATCCCCTTACCTTACCCTTTCATATCCTGCGCTGTGGCATTTTCAAATTAATGCCAACTTAATTTCAACAATATACCAAAACTTTGCTCCATTCTCTCTAACTCCTTCATGTTATTATCACAAATTATGCCTGTATAACTTTTGTGCCTGGCAACATAGATTTATAATTATAGCTTTATGCAGTTTTCTTTTAAATAAGAGAAGAAAAAGTGAAATATTGAAAATATATTTATATCCTGTTTGTGGCTTTTAGGACTGGGAAAACTCTGAGATCTAATAAAGACAAGCCTTTTGCACAGCTTTACCAAGAAACCAAGAGACATGTAAGATCATAATTATTTGTGAATTAGGTCCATTCTGCTCCCTCCAGTACTAGGAATGTAGACTGTTATTTTCATTACTGCCACTAAGCTAGGAAGCAGGAAATGAAAGTAGAGTAAGTTAAAACTGCCATAAAACTTGCTTTTTGTTATTACTGAGATTCTGCCATTTTTCTCGCATAAATGCTTCCCAGGTTGCTGAAAACTTCTGGTTAATTTCCAGAGTTCAAAAAAAGTTTGTTCTGACAATATTTGCCAGTTTTTTTCACTGCTTTTATTTATGGGCAAATATTCAGAGGTCTTTACTATATCATTTTTGCAGATGTCACCCAGCCATGTCATGTTAATGTAGCAACCAAGAAAGAAGAAGAGGCAAAAAAGGGTATGGTTTCTTCTAAGAACATTTCCAACACATTACACACAATACTTTGTCTTCTATATCATTAAACAAAATTTATACACGCCCCATCTAGCTACAAAGCAGGCTGGAGAAACATTTATTCATAGGGGCCAAATATCCTGTTAAAAATTAGGGTCCTGTTATTAGGCAACCATATGATAATGGTTATTATGGCAGAAAAAAGGCAGCTGCATTATTTTTTTAAATACAACCCACTTCCTCTTCCCTAAAAGAGCCATCCTAATTCTATTTTTATAACCAACCTCATAATTCTACCCAGCCACCTTATCCAGCCGAATGCTAAAGATAACTGTGTGCTAAGCTTTCCTGTCTATCCAGCTCAAGTGTAGCTTTTTACTGTGTAGCAATGTAAAAAAAATCAGAAAATATGGATAAAAAGGAAATTCACTAATGATTTATTATATCCATAATCAAACACCACTTGGCAGGAATTGCACTGATTACCAGACTTCTCAGAGGAGTGTTTCTTATTTAGGCTAACTGAAAGACCCTGGTTCTCCACCTGTCTTTGCATATTTTCCTTCATAGAATTAATGTTCAAAAAAGTTTAAAAAGAGAGAGAGAAAGAGAAATAAAAAGAAAAAAAGGACAAAAACTGCCAAATAGAGGCAGAAAAAATTAAATTATGTTTTTCATCTCCTTTCCTTATCACAGTAACGTTAGTTATTATGTTATCTTCCCTCCTAGGTACTGCATGTGATATCAGGATTAACAGTTTTTACCTCTGAAAAACAGGGCACTAGTTTTTCACCCTTCAATATCTGAGTTCCTAAAATCCACTTCTATTGCGATCTGGGAAAGAAATACATAGCACAACTCTTCTGGCTCCAGAATAAAATTATTTCTGCTGCCATTTGCACCAGCATGATTCATGGCCTATATCTACCTCTTGACATAAACAACACTAAAAATAAGACACTAAGCCCCCTGCTTCAGCTGCCATGGGGGAAAACATATCCACTGCCATACTTGTCATCAGAAATAGTAGTCTCTAATTCAGGGGGTTTAATTTTGCCTTCCCAAGTCTCCTGTGGATATGTCTGCTAAGTAAAAAACTAAGTCAACATGTAAAACCATACCTGTAAGTTTATCTGGAAAAGGAAGTATCTGTCCTCCAGACTTTAGCGTGTATTAAAGATTGCTGTACAGGGTTGAAATAGCATTCTGTGACTCTATTTTTAACATCTGCACCAAATCCCAAGGCAGTCAAGTCATGGTACAATAAAGGACACTGCATCCACTGACAGCTACAGCTATAGTGCAAGCAGTGGAGGCAGGGGATGCCAGGGGAGGTCAAATGACCAGAAGAATATTGTGTTTTGGGGAAAGAGAAATGGAAAAGTGAGAGAATAAAGAATTAGTAAAATATATTTAATGAGTCCAAATTATCCATTGCAAAAAAGAGAAAGTCTTATATTTTTCTTTCAGCCTTTCTTCCTTCTTAACCCTCTTTCTTTTATCCTATTTTTATTCTTTTTCTTTTATTCTTATCTTTTTTTCTTAAATAATAATACATTCACTAGTCCCTCTATGTGAACTTACACATTTTAAAAGCTCTACTATAATGTTTCAAATGATTCATTGAACAAGCCACATGCAAAGAAGGATAAATTTCTAATTAGTTACTGAGTAATGCTAAACCAGTAGTAAACTTTAGTCTTAATCATTCTGTTTATTTGCTTGTTTGTTTGTTTTACTTTTTAGTGTTTTACATCACATTAAACTCTTTGTGGCTTCCTTGGATAATGGTTACCCATTGGGACTTCATGAAATACTGGCTTACTGACTGTTTCTTTTCCCAGTTTTATTGAAGTATAATTGACAAACAAAACTTATATACATTTAATGCACATGATGTGATATTTTGATATACATGTACATTGTGAAATAATCACCACAATCAAGCTAATTAATATATCCATGACCTCACAGTTATGTGTGTGTGGTGAGAACACATAAGATTTACTGCCTTGGCAAATTTCAAGTCTACACTACAGTAATGTTAACTATAATCACTATGCTATACATTAGATCTCCAGAACTCATTCATCCTATATAATTGAAATTTTGTACCCTTTGACAAAAATTTTCACACTTTCCTAACCCTCCAACCCTTGGAAACCACAATTCTACTCTGCTTCTATGAACTCATCCCTTTTAGATTTCACATATAAATAAGATAATGCAATATTTGTCTTTCTGTACCTGGCTTATTTCACTTAATATAATGTCCTCCAAGTTCATTCATGTTGTCTCAAATAACAGTATTTTCATCTTTCTTAAGATGGAATAATATTCCGTTGTGTCTGTGTGTGTGTGTACACACACACCAAAATTCCCTTTCTTTCATCTGTTGGTGAGCACTTAGGTTGGTTTCATAACTTATCTGTTTTGATTAATGCTGCAATGAACATGGGAGTGCAGATATCTCTTCAAGACACTGATTTTAATTCCTTTGAATATATACAAAAATGGGATTGCTGGATTATAAGATAGCTCTACTTTTCTATTTTTAATTTTTCAGAAAACCCTCATACTATTTTCCATCATGGCTGTACCAACTGACATTTTCAGTAACAGTAGACAGGAATTCCCTTTTCTCCGCATTCTTGCCAACACTTATCTTTCATCTTTTTGATAAAAGCCACTCTAACAGGTGTGAGGTAATATTGTGGTATTGATTTGCATTTTCCTAATGATTAATGAGGTTGAAATTCTTAAAAAATATACCTATTGGCCATTTGTATGTCTTTCTGAAAAATGTCTACTCATATCCTTTGCCCACTTTGGAATCAAGTTATTTATTTTGTTGCAATTGAGTTGTTTGAGTTCCTTATTTGTTGTGAATTCCAATCCCTTATTAGATATATGGTTTACAAATATTTTTTCCCATCACTTAAGTTGTCTCTTCATTCTGCTCATTTTTTCCTTTGCAATTCAGATGTAGCCTATTTGTCTATTTTTGCTTCTGTTTTCTATGTTTTGAGTGTCTTATTCAAAAAAATCATTGCCCAGAACAATGTCACAGAGCTTTTCTCCCACGTTTTCTTCTAGTAGTTTTATAAATTCAGTTCTTACATGTAAGTCTTTAATCTATCTTGAGTTGATTTTTGTTGTGTGAGATAAGGGTTCAGTCTCTTTCTTTTGTGTGTGGATATCCAGTTTTACCATCAACATTTGTGGAAGAGACTGTCCTTTCCCCACTATATGTTCTTGGAATCTTTGCCTGAGACCAACTGAACATAAATATGTGGATTTGCTTCTCAGCTTAATATTTTGTTTCATTGGTCTACATGTATGTTTTTATGCCTGTAATATATTGTTTTGACTACTATAGCTTTGGAGTTTATCTTGAAATCAGGTAGTGCAGTGCCTGCAGCTTTGGTCTTGTTCAAGATTTCTTTGGTTATTCAAGGTCTTTTGTGGTTTCATATTGGCTTTTATCTTGAAAGTTTCTAATATCTACTCTTTCTTTTCTTTCTTTCTTATGTTTTGTCTTTTCTTTTCCTTTATTCATTTTAGAGAAATTCTGAAAATTAGAAAAGGGAAAGCTCTTCTTTAGTATACCAAGAGATACCTGAAAAAGTCATTCAACTGCTGAGGATCTTCAATTAAGAAAAGCATCATAGTCTTTAGTAAAGGCTCTCTAATGCAAATGATTGTGGTCTTATTCTGAATAATCAAATGTATGTCAAGCATTTCTTAGTTCCTAGAACATTTTCAAAAATTAAACTTTTTGAAATAAAGACTAATTATATAATTTAACTTCAGTAATGATTCTTAAAAGAGACTTCTTGAATTTCATTATTTATTTTAGTTTAAAACATGTTTTTGGCCCTTTTGACTTAAAGCTATTGTCTTCTCAGGCACATGTCTCAGACATGTCACTTGGCAAACAAAGTCGGCCCTGTAAAAATTTTCTGTCTTATAAATTTATTTTCCTTTTGAATTCTTTTTTAACTTTTTGTGCTCAGACACAAAAGACTGAGCAATGACATGAAATAATATATTGCTCTCTAGAGAATTACTCATTATCCATTAGACATTCATCAAGCGCTAGTAAGCATTAAAAAATGTAAAAAGCATAGCTAATTAATGACAAAAACATTCATATAATTAGTAGAATGAATATAATGACTTGAAAAAAGTCTCAACAAAAAGAAAGGTGAAAGTTTTTGAGAAAATGTAAAAGACTGAAAGAAGTATAATTACCTTATTTATTCTCTCAACCATCTTGTTTTGAACAGAGTGGTGGTTAAAATAAATCCCAGTTGGATCATATTGAAACACTAGTATATCAAAGTGTCATCTTCTAGACAGTGACAGTCATTGTGGTACAGAAAGCCTGGGTTGGAAAAACATCAGTTTTTGAAGCGGATATTTTTTAGCTGTAAGATTGAATTATTATAAGAATAACACAGTAAATTTGTGTTTGAGGCCAGAATGAGAAAGTAAAGCAATAAATGTACCATATGATAGAGAAAGAAATAAAGGGAAGAAAAGACTGTTTTTTCAAGAAATGGCAATGTTTTTTTAAAAGAATGTTAAATGTTTTACTTATCTTTTTTTTTCAGGGTAGTCTTTGAGATATCCTATTGCAGCCCTTTTTTTAGTGTTGTGACATTTCACAATGATGTGCCTTAGTTAGGTTTATTTGTGCATACATTGTCCCTCAAGAGATCAAAATTACATGGGGATATTCTATTTTCTTTCTCTATGTATTTCTTTTAACAGATGGATGTAACCAATAAAAAAGAAACGAACGTATAGTTTCAGATAGCTTGGGGCACTGTGACATTTGTTTTGCATAATCGTATTCTAGGGATAAAACCCAGGTTTGGAGACAGAAAATATTTGGTTTAAATCATGCTTTATTTCTTACTACCTGTGTAACATTTGCAAATTGCCTATGATTGGGTCTGTGACAGTTCAGTTAAAATGAAAATTATCAGTTAAAATGGAGATCATGATATCTGAGTTTCAAAGTTGTAATAATGGTTAAAGATGTTAGTATGGGAAAAGTACTTAACAAAACGAAAGAAGAATAATATGTTCTCAACAAAAATAGTTTTCTTATTTCATTTTTGTATCTCTTAGTATTTTATTTTTCAAAATCATTTAGAGCAGTGTTTCACAGAGTTAAATAAGAAATTATTCTTTCTTTGGAAAGGGGGGGCTCAAGAGGCAAAAACTTAAGGAGAAAATCTTTTCCAATGAAAAATGTATTTAAAATATCTATAAGTACAAAAAAGCATATCTATATAAATGATGTTGGAGGGATAATGAAGCTTTAGAAAGAGATGTCTGTGTAGTCATTTATAGCTCTAAATATGCAAAACAAGACATCAGCAAGACGGCTGACTAGAGGTGCCGAACATTCACTTCTTCCACAAAGAAAGAGCAATATAACAAGAAGATAGTCACACGTCAAACAGAACATTTAGGAGAGAACAATAGAATTTATAAAGGAAGTGCAAAGTCCCTCTGAGTCATGGGAACTCAGGATGCCATCATAGACAGAACAGCAAAACCCCAGACAGTATCAGCTTGGAGCTAAGAGGGCCTCCCCATTATGGGGAAAAGATGAGCAGGAAATCCCCAGAAGTTCACATTTTTCTTGCAGACACTTGCAATTTTAATGGCAGGAGAGCCCCCACAGTGCTCACAGGCCCTAAACCCAGTATAGGAAGTTGCCTGGAACCCACATGACTACATTGTTCCAGAGAGGGAACTAACACTGGGACCCCCACACTCCCCAGAATCCAGGCTGCTGCAGCATAGTGCCATTTTGAGAATGAAGCCACTGCCAGAGTGCATCTAGCCCAGGGGCCCAATAACTCCTGCATGACCACATTCCTGGGGCCTCACAGTCAACCTACCACATCTGCCTGGAAGGCCATGAACCCAGCTAGACCCAGCAGTATAGCCATGAACCCAGTATCTGAGCCCATGCAACATTTGGCACTTCAAAGAATAGGTGACTCAGCACAACGGGGAGGCCATCCTCGAGACAGAGGAAGCCTGAGAGCCAATAGCCAGTGGCCAACCTCCACCAGCAACTCTGGCCTCTCCAGCAGCAGAGCTTATGCTCACCCCACCCCTAAAAGCTTGAGGACCAAACCACCCAGGCTTGCTGCCACCAGTGATCCCCTCCTGCACCAGCACTAGAACTGCTGCTCACCTGTGCACCCCCATAAGGGGCCCAAGGACCAGTGTACAAGGGCCCATCACTGTCAGTAACTCTGCCCACTCCAGTAGTAAAGCAGCCAAATGCTCACATACCCACACATGGGCACAAGGACCAGTCTGGTTGGGGCTTGCTGTGGCAGCTATCCCCACTCAGTCTAGTGGTTGGGATGCCACATGACCAATCCAGAGGCCCATGAGCAGCCCAACTAGTGCCCACTGCCACTGGTGTCCATATTCTTCCAGCAGCAGAGCCTCCAAGTGCTCAAACATCCCCAGAAGTCTAAGGACTGGCCTCTCCAGGGTCAACAACTGCCAGTGACCTGGCCCACTCCAGTAGCAAAGTTACTGCACACCCCCACCGAACACCAAGGGCCCAATGACCAGTTCATTTCAGGCCCACTGCCATTAGCAACCTCATCAATTTAACCAGTGGAGTTGCCATGTGCTAGCATACCCCTTGCAATAGAGACCTGAGAGGCAGTCCTCCTGGTGACCCCTTCACTTAGCAAAGTCAAAACATAACTGGCACAGACACCTGCAGTCTAACCCAATGAGGCATTCACAGACACCACTAATGTTGAAAATACCCAAATAAATCACATGTGAACTACACTATTGCACCCACCCAGAACCAAAGCCAAAATGCTTACCCTACTGACACTAAAGGACACATCCATAGAAAACATATTTTCCTACAAAAGCTACTACATAAAATTAGAAGATGTGAGTATTCAGATATTAGTGTAGTGACACAAACGTGAAACAGCAAAGAAACATAGCACCTGTATTAGTCCATTTTCACGCTGTTATAAAGACCTACCTGAGGCTGGGTAACTTATAAAGGAAAGAGGTTAAATGACTCACAGTTCAGCATGGCTGGGGAGGCCTCAGGAAACTTATAATCATGGCAGAAGGTGATGGGGAAGCAAGGCAGCTTCTTTGGAAGGCATCAGGAAGGAGAAGAACAAGCAGGGGAAATGTCAGATGCTTATACAACCATCAGATCTCATGAGAACTCACTCATTCTCATGAGAACAGCATGGCAGAAACTGCCCCCATGATCCAATTACAGCACCTGGTCCTGCCCTTGACCCATTCGAATTATGTAGATTACAATTAAAAGTGAGATTTTGGGTGGGGACACAGCCAAACAGTATCAACACCTCTAAACTTACAAAACAATTCTCCAGTAACAGACCTCAAAAAAAGAAAATTTATAAAATGCCTTAAAAATAATTAAAAATAATGATCTTAACAAAACTCAGTGAAATAGAAGTGAATACAGATAGATAATTCCATGAAATCAGAAAAAAAAATTGTGAGCTGAATGGGAAATTCAACAGATATCAATATTATAAAAAATAACCAAACATAAATCTTGAATTAAATAATTGAATGAATAAAATTAAAAAACCAATGAGAGTTTCAGCAATAGAAAATGAAGAATTTATGAAGAATTCTTCATGAAGAAGAAAGAATTTTTGAACTTGAAAATGGTTTTTGATATAACCCAGTCAGACCAAAAAAAAAATGCAGAAAACCTATGAAACTAATGGGACAACACTAAATAAAGAAATGTTTACATTATGGGAATTCCAGAGAGTAAAGAAATGGGAAAGAATATGGAAAACCTGTTTAATAACAACTGAAAACTTTCTAAGTCTTGGAAAAGATGTGAACATTCAGATTTAGGAAGCCCAATAATCCACAAATAGATACAACCTCAAAAGATCTTTTCAAAAGCACATTGTAGAGTCAGAAGCAAAGAGAGGATCTAAAAAAAAAAAGATAAAAAAGAAAGAAAGAAAAAAGAAAGAAAAATCAAGTCACATATAAAGGAGTCCCCATCTCACTGACAGCAAATTTCTCAGCTGAAACCCTAAAGGCCAAGAAAAAAAATGAGACAATATATTCCAAGTGCCAAAAAGAAAACCCTACCAATCAAGAATACTACCACCAAAGCTATCATTCAGAAATGAAGGAGAAATAGTTTTTTCCAGACAAACAAATACTGAGAGAATTTATCACCACTAGTCCTACAATAAATGCTTAATGCAGTTCTACATCTGGAAATGAAAGAATAAAAACTAAAAACACATAAAAGAATAGAACTCACTAGCAGAGGAAATACACAATGAGAAAAAGAAAGGAATCAAATCTTATAACTGCAGAAAACCACCAAACAACAAAAATAAACAATGAAAGAAGAAGAAAGAAACAGAATATACAAAACAACTAGAAAAGAGTCAACCAAATTACAGGAGTAAGTCAATTGCCTATCAATATTAATCTTGAATGTGAACAGTTTAAATTCCCTAATTAAAAGTTATAAAATGGCTGAATGGATTAAAACAAACAAGACCCAATGATGTGCTTCCTACAAGTAACTCTTCTTGTCTGTACAGACACATATAGACTGAAAGTAAAAGGATGAAAAAAGATACCTCACACAAATAGAAAACCAAAACAAGCATGAGTAGCAGCACTTCTATCAGATAAAATAAACTTTACATAAAAAAACCTAAAAAAGATATAAAGAAGGTCATTACATAATGATAAGGGGATCAATTCATCAAGAAGATGTAACTATTGTAAATATGTATGCCCCCAACACTGGAGCACCTAGATAATAAAGCAAATATTGTGACCCAATATTTAGAGCCCAATATATTGATACTTAGGAACATCAACATCCCACTCTCAGTATTTTACATATCATCAGGACAGAAAATAAAAAAAGAAACTTTGAATTTTAACAGAACTGTAGACTCAATGGACATAACAGACATTTACAGAACATTTTATCTAACAGATGCAGAATACACACTTATCAGCACATGGAACACTTTTTAGAATAAACCACGTTAGACCAGAAAAGCCTCAAGAAAATCTAAAAAATTGAAATTATATTAAGTATATATTCAGATCCAATATAATAAAACTAGATCAATAACAAATGAAACTTTGGAAAACTTTACAATCAACATGCTCCTGAAAGACCAATGGGTCAATGAAGAAATTAAGAAAAACAAAAAATTTCTTGAAACAAATAAAAATGGAGACACATCATACCAAAACTTATGAGATATAGTAATAGCAGTACTAAGAGGGAAGTTCATAGCCATAAACATATATATCAAAAAAGTAGAAATAATTCAAACAACTTAATGATGCACCTTAAGGTACATCAAAATAAACTCAAACCCAAAATTACTAAAAGGAAAGAAATAATAAAGATAAGATCAGAAATGAATAAAATTGAGACTAAAAAAATGCAGAGGATCAATGAAATGAAAAATCGGGCATTTAAAATAAGAAACAAACTCAGAAATGTAAAAGGAGACATTTCAACAGAACCACAGAAGTACAAAGGACTGTCAGAAACTATTACAAACAACCACATACCAAAAAATTATAAACTCATATGAAATGGATTAATTCCTGGACATATATAACCTCCTGTGATGGTTAATACCGAGTGTCAACTTGATTGGACTAAAGGATACAAAGTACTTATCCTTGATGTGTCTGTAAGGGTGTTGCCAAAGGAGATTAACATTTGAGTCAGTGGGCTCAGAAAGACAGACCAACCCTTTATTCTGGGTGGGTACAATCTAATCAAGGGGCAGTGTGGCTAGAATGCAAGCAGGCAGAAAAATGTGAAAAGAGAGACTGGTGTAGCCTTCTAGCCCACATCTTTCTCCCGTGCTGGATGTTTCCTGTCCTCAAACGTTGGATACCAGGTTCTTCAGTTTTGGAACTCAGACTGGCCATCCTTGCTCCTCAGCCTGCAGATGGCCTATTGTGGGACCTTGTGATAGTGTGAGTTAATACTTAATAAACTCTCCACTATATATATATATATATTTATAATATATTATATTATATTATATACATTATATATTATATATATTTGTATATATTTATATAATATATAATTATATTTATATATATTATATATTATATATTTGTATATATATACAAATTATTATATATAATTATATATATTATTTTATATATGTTATATAAATATAATATAATAAATATATAAATATAAATTATATATAATTTATATATATAATATATTTATATATAATTATTTATATATATAAATTATTATATATAATTTATTTATATATTATATTTTATATATATTATATTTATATATATTATATATAATCTATATGTATTATATAATATATAATCTATATATGTTTATATGTTATATTAATATTTATATATTTATATATATTATATATAATCTATATATATTATATATAATCTACATAGGTTATATATAATATATATTATATATAATATATTTATATAGATTATATATAATATATATTATATATAATATATATTATGTATAATATATATTATATAGATTATATATATAGATTATTATATATATATAAAATTAGTTCTGTCCCTCTATAGAACCCTAATACACCTACCAAAATTGAACCAAGAAGAAATAGAAAACTTGCACAGACCTGTAATGCGTAATGCAATTAAATTAGTAATAATTTAAAAACTCCCAAAAAAGAAAAGCCTAGGACTAATTGGCTTTACTGTTGAATTTGTCAAACTTTTAAAGAACTATCACCAATTCTTCTTAAACTATTCCAAATATAAAATGGAATTATTTCAAATTCATCTGAAGAGTCCAGCATTCTTTGATATCAAAACCAGTCAATGAAACAACAGAAAAGGAAAACTACAGAACCATACTCCTAATTAATATAGATGCAAAAATCATCAACAAAATGCTAGGAAACTGAATCCAATAGCACATCAAAAAGATTTTGCAACATAATCAAGTGGGAGTATGCCAGTAATGCAAGGATGGTTCAACATACACAAATCAAAAATGTTATATACCACAGCAACAGCATGAGGAAAATATTTATCATCATCTCAATAGATGCAGAAAATAATTTTATAAAATTCAGCATCCCATTATGATAAGAACTTAACAAATTCAGTATAAAAGGAACACATCTGAATACAATGAAGGCCATATACAGCAAACCCACAGCTAATATCACACTGAATGACAAAAATTTTAAGTTTTTTCCTCTAAGAAATAGAACAAGATGAGGATCCCCACTTTCACCACTCCTATTCAACATAGTACTGGAAGTCCTACCCAGAGCAACAAGGAAAGAGAAAGAATGAAAAGGCATCCAAACTGGAAAAAAAGAAGTCAAATTCTTCTTCTTTGTGGGAAGCATGTTCTTATACACAGAAAAACCAGAACACTCCACAAAAAACCTCTTAGAACTGATTAAGAAATTCAGTAAAGTTGCAGTAAAGTTTTTCACCAACAGATGAATCGAT
The DNA here is from genome assembly GCF_000001405.40 of Homo sapiens. Taxonomy (NCBI): domain Eukaryota; kingdom Metazoa; phylum Chordata; class Mammalia; order Primates; family Hominidae; genus Homo; species Homo sapiens. The sequence continues at coordinate 162,695,000 of NC_000004.12, read as the reverse complement.
AAAGAAATTGCGGTACATGTAACACAATGAAATGGTGTTTAACCATAAAAAACAGTAAAATCCTGTCATTTACAGCAACAGGAATGAACCTAGAAGACACTAGGTAAAGCAACTCAGACACCAAGAAATAAATACCAAATGTTCTCATTCATATGTGAAAATAATTTAAGTTGAGCTCATAACAGTAGAAAGTAGAATTTTAGTCACTTAAATCTGGAAAGGGTAGTAGGGTATAAAGAGAGAGATTCAACAGTTTTGAAATTACGGCTAAATAGGAAGAATAAGTTCTAGTGGACTTATTGTAGGGTGACTATAACTAATAATAATTTATTGTATATTTTCAAGTAGAATACAGGATTCCAAATGTTCTTAACACCAAGAAATAATAGATGGATATGTTAATTTCACTGATTTGGTCATTTTACATTGTATACATGTATCAAAATATTACTCTGTACCCCAAAAATCTGAAAAATTATTACATGTCAATTAAAAATAAAGCTAAATATAGGTATACATATATTATTATGTTAAATGTCAGTAATAACCTCCACTTTTAGAGCTATGAACATAAGCATTTTTCAGCACGAGGAAAATGGCATGTGACTCCTCCCATTGTTTCCATCATACAAATTTTCAGTCCTTTTGCCTGAGGAATTTCCTCCCTGTATTTGATACGACTGTTTATCCTTAGGACTGGGACAACTATATATTTGCTAAAACTAATACTTGTGTGAGGTTTATTACTTATCTGTAGTCTAATCACTTTAATAAGAACCTGTATTTATAACTGATAAAATATTTGCATTACCATTGACATTATGACACAAAATAAAATTTATACTCTCTTAGTCTTTTTTTTTCTATTATAACATAATACCACAGGCTAGTTAATTTATAATGAACAAAAAATTTTGGCTTTCTATCTATCAACATATACAAAAATAAAATTAAAATGGATTAAAGACTCAAATATAAGACCTCAATCTATGAAACTACTACAATAAAACATTGGGGAAAGTATCCAGGACATTGGTCTGGGCAAAGATTTCTTGAGCAATACCCCACAAGCACACGCAACCAAAGCAAAAGTGAACAAATGGGATCACATCAAGTTAAAAAGCTCCTGAACACCAAATGATACAACCAACAAAGTGAAAAGACAACCCACAGAACAGGAGAAAATATTTGCAAACTTCCCATCTGATATGGTTAGGCTTTGTGCCCCACCCAAATATCATCTTTAATTGTAATCTCCAAGTGCTGAGGAAGATATCTAGAGAGAAGTGATTGAATAATGAAAGCAGTTTCCCTCATGCTGTTCTCATGATAGTGAGGAAGTTTTCATGAGATCCAATGGTTATATAAATAGCAGTTTCCACTGGACTTTTCACTCATTTTCTCTCATCTGCTGCCATGTAAGATGTGCCTGCTTCCCCTTCTGCCATGATTGTAAGTTTCTGAGGCCTCCCAAGCCAGGCAAATCTGTGAGTCAATTAAGCATCTTTTCTTTATAAATTACCCACTCTCAGATAGTATCTTTATAGCAGTGTGAAAATGAACTAATACACCATATCACAAGGGATTAATAACCAGAATATATAAGAAGCTCAAAGGAAACTGTATAGGAAAAAGTCTAATTTTTAAATCTGATCAAAAAATGGGCAAAAGAGTTGAATAGACATTTCTCAAAAGAAGAAATACAAATTGCAAGTGGGCATATGAAAAGGTGCTCAACACCATTGATCATCAGATGAATACAAATCATCTCATTACAATGAGATGTTGTCTCACCCCAGTTAAAATGACTTATATCCAAAAGACAGACAATAACAAATGTTGGCAAGGATGTGGAGGAAAGGGTGTATATTGTTGGTGGGACTGTAAATTAGTACAACTACTACTGAGAACAGTTTGGAGACTTCTCAGAAAATTAAAAATATAGCTACAGTATGATCCAGCAATCCCACCACTGGGTATATACCCAAAAGAAAGGAAGTCAGTATATTGAAGAGTTATCTGCACTCCTATGTTTGTTGCAGCACTCTTTACAAGAGCTAAGATTTGGAAGCAACCTTAGTGTCCCTCAACAAATGAATGGATAAAGAAAATGTGGTACATACACACAATGGACTACTATTCAGCCATACAAAAGAATGAGATGTAAGTGATTTGCAACAATATGGATGGAAATGGAGATCATTATGTTAAGTAAAATAAGCCAGGCACAGAAAGACAAACATTACATGTTTTCAATTATATGTGGGATCTAAAAATCAAAACAATTGGACTCATGGACATAGAGAGTAGAAGAATGGTTATCAGAGGCTGGGAAGGGTAGTGAGGGGCTAGAGGACAGGTAGGGAGAATCAACAGGTATAAAAATAATAGAATGATTAAGACCTACTATTTGATAGCACAACACGGTGACTGTAGTCAATACTAACTGAATTGTACATTTCAACATAATTTGAAGAGTGTAACTGGATTGTTTGTAACTCAAAGGATAAGTGCTTGAAGGGATGGACACCCCATTCCTCATGATGTGCTTTTCTCACATTGCATGCCTGTATCAAAACATCTCATTTTGTGTGTGTGTGTGTGTGTGTGTGTATGTGTGGCTCATGGTTCTGGAGACTGGGAAATCCAAAGATCAAGTTAGCAGCATCTGATAATGGCCTTTTTGCCACATCATTCCATGGTAGAAGGGCAAATAGAAGGAAAGAGAGTAAGAGGGGGGCCAAACTCCCTCTTTTATAACAAATTCACTCCTAGGATAAGAAAATATTGCTATAATAATGACAATAATCCATTCTCTCTACCTTCATGGCCTAAGCACATTTCATTAGTCCCCAGTGCCCAACATTGTTGTATTGGGTTTTAGTTTCCAACACATGCTTTTGGGGAGATACATGAAAATCACAGTAGACTATCTTCCAGCCCCTTCACTATTCCGAACCCATGAATCTTCAGAACTTTAGTCTACTACTGGGAATATTTATTTGAGAAATGGTATATTTTACCAGTGACTTTTAACCTATTGAGAAACATAAGAATGACTGTCATCTTGAGCTTTATCATGCATCGTCTGAGATAAGGTTGAACATATGACTTACTAATATGGGCCATTCTTAGGATGACTTATATTGTTTGGTGTATGTCGAAAAACTATTCAAATTTATATAAACAACCTAATTTGAAATAAAGGTTCATGACACTTATGCTTAGGGGAGAATTGTAAGCCATTGTGAGACCTTGTCTAGGCTCAGTGAGTGTGACTTTAAAAAAAAAATTAAAACAATGGCCATCATGGCCCAAAAAGGAAAGAAAGAATTCACCATGTGCTTTCTACTCCTCCTCTATAATAATATGATCTTTAGAAGCAGCATGTTTCTTCATATAGACTAGCTGCAATACTGCAAAACAAATCTGATGCAAACTACCTAGAATGATTGTAGAGTCCACAGGTTAAGGGCACAGTCCAAAATAAGACTGTTCTCATTTTAGGCACCAGCTGCAAGTTAGAAGCTTCACAGTCTACTCACACTTCTGACCAAATGGCTTCAAATTTAATGTTTCCACCACTTTCTCAGATTTGATACTTCACTAGAATGACTTACATGACTCATGAAAGTACTAGTCATAACTACGTTTTTATTATAAAAGATTCAAATCATAATCAGACAAAAGAAGATTTTTATAGGGCAAGGTCTGGTAGGGTTCTGAATGCAGAACTGATATGTTCTCTTCCTATAAACCCAGAACACACCACCCGCCAAGCATATTGATGTGTTCATCAACTAGGAAGCTCACCAAGGCCTCAGGATCACATTCTGTTGAACTTTTATTATATAGGAATAACTTTTTTTTTGAAACAGAGTCTCGCTCTGTCACCCAAGCTGGAGTGCAGTGGCTCAATCTTGGTTCACTGCAACCTCCACCTCCCGGGTTCAAGCAATTCTTGTCTGCCTCAGCTCTCGAGTAGAACTGGTCGTGTAATTGAACTGTAATTGGTCATCTTTCTTGCATGGGAGACAATTCTTTCTTGCTTGGGGGAGGCTAGTCTTTTTGTTCTATTCAGACCTTTAATTGATTAGATGAGGCCCACTCACATTATGTAGGACAGTTTGCTTTACTCAAAAGTCACCAATTTAAATGTTAGTCTCATCCAAAAACACTATCTCAGAAACAACAAAAATAATGTTTTACTAAATATTTAGGTTTCCCATGACCCAGAAAAGTTGCCAAATAAAATTGACTATCACAGAATTTAAAAAGGTACCATGACACGTGTACTATATTTTCCAGAACAAAATGGGTATTTGTGTACCTATTTTAAAGATAAATAATGATCATACTTATCTTTAATGGATCTGGAACTTTAGCATTCTGGCTCTCAAACCTGCCTCTCTAGCTGGCAGATCTTGGACTTTTCAGCTACCATAGTCATGTGACCCAGCTGCTTATAATAAATATTTTTCATGTCTTGTGCATATATGTATACATTTTATCTTATACACACACACATACATATACATACATGCTATTAGTTGTCTTTCTCTGCAGAACCCCAATTAATACAAACACCTTTTAAGATTATCTATTTACAATTGCTATTTTACAAAAGGCATACCAAGTGATACTCACCTCTTAGCCACTGGTCATTGATCCAGGATTAAACACCTGGCTGAAAAGATGCTGATTTTTAGATCAGCTAGAATTCTATAATTTCTATCATGTGTGGAATTATATTTTTTTAAATACATGAGATGACACTCATTCCTCTGTTTAAAAACTCTCCAGTGTTTTTTCATTGTTCATTTTTCTATTTAATATTAAAACAATTAATTAACAAAGACTATATATGTGTAAGGTGTGCAATATGATGATATGTATACATTGTGTAATAATTATCATAACCAAATTAATTAACAAATACATCACTACTCATACTGTATATAAGAACCCAAGAACTTGTTCAACATATAGCTGAAAATTAGTACCATTTGACCAATATTGCACCATTTCTCCCATCCCTCAGCAGTCCCTGGAAACCACTGTTTTACTCTCTGCTTTTGTGTGTTTGACTGTTTTGGATTCCACATGTCAGTAAGATCACACAGTATTTGTGTTTCTGTGACTGGCTTAACTTAGCATGTCCTCTAGGCCCACCCATGTTGTCACAAATGGCAGGATTTACTTCTTTATTTGACTAAATAATATTTCATTGTATTAATTATATATATATATATATATATATATAAAACAATTGTTTTAGTCATCAATCTGTTGACAGGCACATAGGTTGGTTTCATTCCTTGGCTATTGTAAATAATTCTGCGATGAAACCATGGGAACATGGGTTATTTATTTGAGATACTGATTTCATTTCCTTTACATATCTACCCAGATTTTTATCTGCTGGATTATACAGTAGTTCTGTTTTTAATTTTTTGAGGAAACTCCATAATGTTTTCCATAATGGCTGTATCAATTTACATTCCTGCCAACAGTATCCCAGAGAGCCCTCTTCTCCACATTGTTGCCAACTCATTATTGCTTATCTTTTTGATAACAGTCATTCTCACAGGTGTGGGGTGATAACTCATGGTGTTTTTGGTTTGTATTTTCCTAATGATTAGTGATGTCAAGCACCTTTTAATATACCTATTAGCCATGTAGATGCCTTCTTTGAAAAATGATGATGAGGCCTGACATGAGCTGAACTCACCTGTTCATTTACTTTGTCTTGTACTTTATACACACTAATCACTGCATTCCAGCCATATTGGAAGTTTCCTCCTGTTCCATGAGCATGCAGAATTTGTTCACACCCAGGGCTTTCACACTTGTAGTTCCCACTGCCTAAAATGTTCTGCCCATTTTTGATGAATCCCACTTGTCCTTACTTAAAAGATCTCAGTTTACTTGGCACTTTTAAGACAAGCCTTTCCTGAACACATTTTCTAAGGACCCCTCTGGCTATTCCTTATCATATGTCCTTGCTTAATTTCCTTCACAGCAAATATCTGTAATTATTCTCTTAAATTTGTTTATTGCTTATTGTCTCTCTCTGCCTCTAAAATATATGCTCTATGAAAGCAGGAACTATCCTTATCATGTTTCTTTTATCCTTGAATTGTGCTTGATAAATACTAGGGCCTCAATAAGTGAACATGTAGTAAAAATGGCATAGCAAAAATATCTGTTAAAAATAATGATTTAGTAATTTATAGAACATAGATGAAATAAAATATCATGCAGCAAAGGTCTGCAGGCTGAAATTACAAATTTGAAATCTCCTCGGGGATAATGACTTTTTTTGCCTTGTTCAAGTGTTGATGTTCCTCATTCTCAATTTACAAGGTATTTTTTTAAGAGAAAATCGGTAACTATTAACTAAGAGGAAAAAATATCATTCGATGGGTATTCTTAACATAACACTTGGAAAAGGAGAATACCAATTATGGTTTTTATGTGGTCCAAGCCTGTTCAAAAGTTGAATAAAAAGCTATGTGTGCATGAATGTATGTAGGTTCATCTTATCTGCAAAAAAGTCTCCATTGTTTTCTTAAATTTGAATGGAATCTTTGACATAGAAATGTTTATGATCTACAGATAAAGAAGAAAAAGTGTTTTCTCTAACAAATTATTTTTAAAGTTTGATTTTTATACAAGTCTAAATGTCTTAACTGATAAGGTTACAAATTGGTAACATCTTCAAAACTAAATTACATGTTTTGTCACCTTCATAGGTTTTTAGAATGTTAAATTACTAATGTTTGTTTTACAAAGATGTAAATCTGAAATCACAAGTCTGTTCACAGAAATTCCGCTGTTTTAAATTTTTTATTTCTAGATATTTTAATCAATGCCTTAACTCTATTCAGAAGATAAAATTGCAAAATTCTCATGTTCTAGAGAATATAAATAGTCATTGAGATGGCTTCATTTCTAAATGTATGTGACTTCTCTTAAATTAGTTTGACATTGCCCTACTTCTACGTGAACTTCTTTAAACAGACCTCCAAAACTACCACGTTTTGGTTTTGTTTTGTTTTTGTTTTTTTGTAATCTTCAGCACTTTTGGCTTAAATATTTTCTCCATTTCTAGGAAATTTATTTTTTCATGCTTGGTATGAAGGTCCATGATCTATTTCTTAATGGCTACATAATTGTCAGCTGGTTATTATCTTTGTAGAGCTATGATTATATTTAAATATCATTTTAAGTTAGCTATATGTTTCATCTAGTATAATTCTTGGTATTAGCTTATTCAACTGATTATGTGGACTTTTAAAGATTTTGTATTATTATTAATAAGGTGTCCTGAAGAGCTTTTCTGTACTTCTTACATGGGGCCAACTGTTTTGGTCTTAGTTTTCATAACTTGTACTTCAAAAGTCATAGTTAAAACTACAGCTCTTTCTAAGTATAATTTTCTTTTAACTATTTTATATTATCTTACCAAAAAGAGCAATTATCTCAATAAATAAAATAATTTACTAATATAGTGGATGTATATTGTTAGGTGATATATTTTCTGAAATCATAATTGAATCTAAAATAATATTAATTCTTGATTATCTGCAAGTAGGTTAATAGTAACTAATTCTCATCAGGGACCTGAGATGCTCGTGATCCTTTAAGTAGACTATTAATTAGGTAGTCAGTTTCATCCCTTTCAGAGGAATATAGGAGCCAAACCAGTAGCCTGGCCCACTCTCCAAATCAAGTTTAAGAACCCATGACAGATGAGTCTCAGTCTCATTACAAAAACTTCAAGTACAGGTTAGAAAGTCGTTGTCTTCTGGTCAGCCTTAAATCTTGTTAAATTGCCGAGCGATGATTCTAATGCAAGATTATCAAGATTACTAAGATTCCTAAAGAAAGCAAGCTATTGACTAGCTTTCTTTCTCAAAGATTACCTAATTATTTTCTTTGGTAATAAACTGCTCATAACTAAACTTTCTTAAAACAGTACAGTTTAATTTAATAAATTTAGCACATTTTTAGCTTTTTATTGTAAAATAATGATAGCTTCATAGGAAATATTTAAAAAAAGGTACAAGGAGATCTCGTGTACTATTAACTAATTTTCCCCCAATGATTAACATCCTGCATAACTGTAGTACAAAACTAGGAAATCAGCATTGATACAATCTACAGAGCTTACACAGATTTCATGTTTTACATGCACCTTGTGTGTTTGTGTGTTCATATGTGTGATTCTATGCAGTTTTATCATAAAATACATTTTCAAACTATTTTCCTTTTTTTTTTTTTTTTTTTTTTGAGACAGAGTCTCACTCTGTCACCCGGGCCGGAGTGCAGTATGGCGCGACCTCGGCTCACTGTAACCTCTGCCTCCCGGGTTTAAGTGATTCTCCTGCCTCAGCCTTCCAAGTAGCTGGGATTACAGGCATGCACCACCATGCCTGGCTAATTTTTATATTTTTAGTATAGACGGGGTTTCACCATGTTGGCCAGGATGGTCTCGAACTACTGACCTCATGATCCACCTGCCTCAGACTCCCAAAGTGCTGGGATTACAGGTGTCAGCTACCTTGCCTGGCCATTTCAAGCTATTTTCTCTGTTAACACACAATCAAGTAACCCAGAATGTTTTATGCTATTTCATAATTTTCTATTGCTACTTAAAGTTTTAAAGTTAGAGAAAGCCATTAACTTTCTCCTAAAAATGATCCAGATTTTGTTTTATAAACAAGCAGGTTTGCAGATAAATCAAACTGTTAATAATAAGAAAAAGCAAAATACGGCTGGGTACAGTGGCTCACATTTGTAATCCCAGCACTCCCAGCACTTTGGGAGACTGAGGCAGGCAGATCACTGGAGGTCAGGAGTTTGAGACCAGCCTAGCAAACATGGTGAAACTCTATCTCTACTAAAAATACAAAAATTAGCTGGGCGTGATGGCACATATCTGTAGTCCCATCTATTCGGGAGGCTGAGGCCCCAGAATCACTTGAACACAGGAGGCGGAGAATGCAATGAGCTGAGATCCCACCACTGCACTCCAGCCTGGGTGACATAACAAGACTCTGTCTCAAAAAAAAAAAAAAAAAAAAGAAAAATTCACTAAGTTCTTGTAAGGTTAAATGAATTTCCATCAGATCCATGCTGACCTCATTCAGGTTTGGAAATCTCATTCAGGTTTGGAAATTTTTAATTCTTAAAAAACATAATTTATATGCAAATTTTATAAACTTGTATTGCAATGACACCCTTTAAGAGCTAGAGTCTTACTGAAACACAATATGTACCTAGGAAAATTTACTGTACAACAGTATTATATTGGTATCAAAAAAACCTGCTTTCACAATAGCAATCAATAACAACAAACTGTTATTGCAAAAGAAGTGTTGAAAAAGTTCAAGTCCAGTCAGAGGACAAGTTTGACTCATCCCTTGAATCTAATTTAATGTCAGGCAATAAGCATCAGAACAGTGCGCTTAAAATAAAATGAATTTTATGAACAGATTTGCCCTGCCCTGAAATATATATAATGCAGAACAGCACTGCTTAAAATATCTTTGTTGAAAAGTCTTTTCTTTTCCTTTTCCCTCTGACAATCAATTGTGGACCAATAAATTTGTAAAATACAAGAAGAAAATTACTAGACACATGATCATATACTTAGATGTTATGGCCAAGTCAAATTGCTATAAACATTTCCCAATAGGGAATGAGGTGGTGGATTTGCAAACTTTTTCTGTAAAGTACTGGGTAGTAAATATTTTAGGCTTTGCAAGCCATCCAGTCTCTGCCACTGGAGTTCAAAAGTAGCCCTAGGCAATACATAAGTGAATGAGTATGGCTATGTTCCAAGAAAACTTTATCAAAATAGGAAGCTGGTCCATGGGCTTTAGTGTACAGACCTTGTTCAATGGTCACCCTCATTTTCATACTTATTTCATTGTGGATTAAGTCCACTTTGCAGACAGGCAGCAATCTGAGGGCTTTTTTTTTTTTTTTTTTTTGTCCCCAAGGAAAGTCCATAGGTTTCCAAATTCTCCTATAACTGACCCAGATAGCCATAGTGCTCTTTTAAATTCTAGGACATTCTGCAAATAGATACATGTCTGGTTCTTCTGGAGTGAAAGAGCCCTGTCCATATTTATTCTTTTTTTTTTTTTTTTTTTTTTTTTTGAGACAGAGTCTCACTCTGTCACCCAGGCTGGAGTACAGGGGTACAATCTCGGCTCACTGCAACCTCTCCCCCAGCCCGAGGTTCAAGCAATTCTAGCATCTCAGCTTCCTGAGTAGCTGGGATTACAGGTGCCCACCACCATGCCCAGCTAATATTTGTATTTTTAGTAGAGATGGGGTTTTGTCACATTGGCTGGGCTGGTTTCAAACTCCTGACCTCAATTGATTTTCCCACCTTAGCCTCCCAAAGTGCTGGGATTACAAGCATGAGCCACAGTGCCTGGCCCATATTTATTCTTTATTGGAGATATGTAGCAACTCTCTGGCCACTTCACTCTCCTCCCCTCCCATTCACACACCTCTCCTTCCCTTCAATTCTCCCCTCTCTCCTGCCTTCCTTCCCCTCCTCTTTCAGTTCTTTCCCCTCCCCTCTCCTCCCCACTTCTCCTCTCCTCTCTTTCTGTTTCTTTTTCCCTGTCTCTCTCTCTCTTTTTGTTTTACTGTAATAACCTAGATTTGAAGATTGCCTTGGCCTTTGTCCTGACCAGGACATGTGCCTACTTGTGTAGTGTGTGTGTCACTATGTAAACTAAGCTAGAATCAGTCACCAAGTTGTACCGTTATGCCTTTGTCTTGGTTATGTGACAATTTGGTTCTGAGTCACATTGTGTATACTGGATTTTGTCTGCTGTTAATTTCTAACTAGGTTAAACAACTGTTCACAACATAAACGTTCTGTACACCATACAGCACTTTTTACTTTCTACTGCTTTGTCTTTAACATATTTCCTCTAAGAAGAAATTGAAAGAAAGTATAAATAAGAATGTTCAGTTTTAGAAAGTCAAATTTTTGCATTTTGACCTAGTAATTGTGAAAAAACAAAACAGTTGCATTTTAGTGGTGGATATCTATAAACATATCTATGTGGTTAGTTAATCACTCACAGAATATTTTTGAAAATCACAATATTCCGGCAATGACAGATTGTGGTGACTCATTAAACAGATGTACCATGTAGTCTTAGATATTATCCGAAGTACTTTTAAGGTGTGTGAAAAGAAAGGACAGTAGACTTGTAAAGTACTTGAGAAAAGGAAAACTGACGCTCTGAGTTTTGAGAATGCAAGATCACCTAATATGAATTCTCCCTCTTATCTCTAAGAAATAAACTCTAAAATAAGATCAACAGCCTGCTAGTGCATCGAGGTCTCCATTCGTCATCTCACATTGTGTTTGGTCCACGAACATCTAAGAAAATAGATGTAAATACATGATATATTTTGGTCTACATAAGTAAGTATGTATACTTATTTGGAGCCAGTAGTGCTTAATTCAGTAAGCTGTGTCAATTATAAACTGTCTTCTCAATATTGAGACTGTCTATATGTAACAATAATCCAGGCCTTAGACAAAGTTACCTTAAGTTTTTCAGTGGAAAAGAAAACATGGGAGAAAAGACTATTAATGCTGGAAGCCTAATGGATATCTTATTATATAGGCCAGTGCTTGGGGGTCTCAGTATGACGAGTATACTTGTGCTATGGTTTGAATGTGTCCCCCAAAGTTCATGTGTTGGAAACTTAATCCCCAATGCAATAGAATTGAGAGGTGGTACCTTTAAAAGGTGATTAGGTCACAAGAACTCTCCACTCATAATTAAAGCTGTTATTACAGGAATGGGTTAGTTGTCTTGGGAGTGAATTTCTGATTTTAAAAATGTAATAATTTCTGCTCTCTTTCTTTACCCCACGCCACACCCCATGCTCTTTTGCCCTTCTGCCATAGGATGATGCAGCAATAAGGCCCTTACCAGATGCCAACATCTTGACATTGGGCTGCTCAGTTTCCAGAACTGTGAGAAATACAATGTCCACTTATTATAAATTACCCAGGCTCAGGTAATATGTTGTAGTGGCACAAAAAATCACAAGGTATTTGGTGAAGAGATAAAAGCAGGATGCTGGCTCATTCCCAGAAAAAGCAGTATCAGTGGCTACTCAAAGGATGAGGTCAGTGTCTGGGTGAGGAAGAGGAATGTGAGAAAAAAAAACAAACAAACATGTCACGTAGAATTGAACTAACAAGATGATGCTCTGAAAAACATATCAGGATATTGCTTGTTATTAATCAAGAAAATTATTGTGCTTGCCATTTTACTTATATTACATAATTACATGTCCCAGTTTGTTGAAAACTTTTGTAAAGTATTGCATTTTCTAGACCCTTACACATATATACAAGTACATGCTCTCCAGCACAAAGGCATATATCCTGGTATGTGATACATATATAAACATATATATCAGAAATATACATGTATGTGTGTGTGTGTATATATATATATATGTTATATATCAGAAACACATAATTTCTAATATATAAAAAAATTTTCTTGGGAACCAAAGCACTATCTGATTATTTCTTATAGAAGTCTCACAATAGAATGGCTGAAAGTAGCCTAATTTTTAAAGAATATCTGTCAAGAGACAGAATCAAATTACTTCATCTTTAGAGGTTAGTCTTTTCTCCATTCCTGAAGAATTATGGAAACTACACTTCAAATGATGTAGAAAACAGTTTGGTGAGATTTTCTGCTAATGCAGTTTTAAAATGATCTCAGGAAATGAATTGCACCAGCAGTGCCAGTATATAGATTCTAAGAGTAAAGCTGCATATATCATACATTTACTCTTTATGAACTGACTCTGCTAATAATCACTATGACTAGTATTTGAGTGGTTTTAATGTTTACAAAACATGGCCTGTTTATATAGCAATCAATTCTTATTCTCATTTTACCAGAAAATTTTCATTCTTAGGTATTGCTAGGAATGAAATAATACTATCTACTGATAATCATACCTGGAGAAAATTTTTAAAGATTATAAACATTTTTGGCAGATGTATAGTACATTACATGTTTTCTCCTAATAGGAAGATAAATACAGTAATAATATTGAACAAATAAAATTTCTAGCATACCTCCTTTCATTATACTAAAATGACATTATTCTGAGAGGCAATATTTGTGTAGCTAATAAAATACTATTTACAGATAATATGATTATGATTATTTATAATCATGATAAGCATAAACATCTACAAAAAATAATATTTTCATGAAATAACCATTTTTTTCCAGGTAATTAAAATGTATTGATTCTGATAGTATCTACTCAGCCAGTTTCTTGTCCTGTGTTTTGTTATAAATTAAATGTTTTTTTCCCACCAAATTAAGTTATATTTTTGTTACTTTTGGCTATCATATGTTGTATACAAAATACCGTAAAAAACAGAAAGATTGCATACCTATATATCTATTCTATCTATGTATCTATCTGTCTGTCTGTCTATCTACCTATCTATCCATCTATCTCGAGAGAGATTGGATAAGAGATGGGCATCAACTGAGTAAGAATAACCTGAAGGTGACTCATCATACTGACAGTGAATTTCAAGATCCTATGTCATCATTTTTCTTCTTTTTTTAGTTCAAGCATACTGTGAAAATTTTTATGTTAACCTAGATTTATGCACACTTGCAGGTCCTATGAGTTATCAGAATAAAATAAGAAGGTACTTTACATGTAAAGGCAAAATTTTATCCAAAGGAGGAGCAATACAAAATGGTTAGTGCTATGATCTGAATGTTTGTGTCCCCCAGAAATTCATATGTTGAAATCCTAACCTGCAGGTGATAGTATGAGGAAGTGGGGCCTTTTGGGAGGTTATTAGGTCATGATAATTCTGCCTGCATGAATGGGATTAGTGTAATGCCTTATAGAATGAAGGCATTCATTTTATAAGAAGTGAGTTCATTCACCACTTCTGCCATGTAAGATTGCAGTAATGAAATGCTTATCTATGAAGCATGTGGGCCATCCTCAGACACTGAATTTGCTTGACACCTCCATCTTGGACTTCCCAGTCTTGAGAGCTGTGAGAAATTTCTTTTTTTTTTTTTTAAGCTATCCATTTTATGGATTTTGTTATAAGCAACCCAGTGGGCTAAGACAATTAGCAAAGTCATGATTTCCATTTCTGTGTATATAGTATTCTCAAAGCTAAGACAATTATCATTAATGCCACTGATAAATAGATTAATTCATTTTATGTGGAAGATAAAAAGTCTTTTCACAGGAATCAATTGTTAAAATGCATTGGTGACTTAGTATAGGTTAACACTATGCTAAACTTTTGTATATGTTTTCACTTTAATCATTCCCAATAATCCAATGAGTTAGAAACTGTTATGTATATATTCCAGTTAAGAAAATTTAAGACTTGGCCAGTGTCACATAACTAGGAAGGGCAGTCATATGTATCCTGTCCAGGAAGTGTTTAATAAAGCAAAATAAGGTGAAGAATACAATTACAAAAATCCTACATAGAAAATAAGACAACAAAAAAGCACACATACTTTTCTAATTATATAATTACATGCTAACCACAGGCTGTAAAGAACACAAGGCAAAGGCATCTAGTAGTTGATTTAATTTGAAATAAATAAACATGTTAGAGGAAAATGTTACTCATTACAAAGACTACTCACCAGCAGATTAAAGGGTGCTACAGAATGACAGGCAAGGGCAAGTTTATTGCCGTTTTACACTTGGTTTTCAGCATAATTTACCCTAATTCCATTTGCAGATTTTTTTTCAATATATCACATAATGTATTGTTCATTTCAATCAATATTTTTGAATAGATTATGTATGCTCACTATAAAGATCTCTATGATCACAAACAGCTACACAGTGAAAAATAACCTATTTTAAAACCCGGCCCCTCAGCTTTGTAGATTCCCTCAAAATGACTACCATTTTAGCCAGTATTTTCTGAAATATTTCATCTAAATATATGGCTATAAAGGCTATTTTTAGTACCATATGAATTTTAGAATATTTCTAACTGTGAAAAATGGCATCAATAATTAGATAGAAGTGACACTGAATCTGTAGATTACTTTGGACAGTATGGCCATTGCAATATTGATTCTTTCCAGTTTATGAGCATAGGATGTTCCGTCATTTATTTATTTCATCTGTAATTTCTTTCAGCAGTGTTTTGTAGTGCTTCTTGCAGAGGTCTTTCACCTCCTCTGTTAGATATATTCCTAGGCATTTTATTTTGTGTGTGTGATTATTGTAAATAAGATTGCATTCTTGATTTGGCTCATAGTTTCAATGTTATTTGTGTATAGAAATATTACTGATTTTTGCACACTGGTCTTGTATCCTGAAAATTTACTGAAGTTGATTACCAAGCTTAGGATTCTTTTGGCAGAGTATTTAAGGTCTCTTAGGTATGGAATCATAGCATCAGTGAAGAGAAATAGTTTGACTTCTTCTTTTCCTATTGAATGCCTTTTTCTTTATCTTGTCTGATTGTCCTGGCCAGGACTTCCTGTACTATGTTAAATAGGAGTGGTGAAAGGGCATTTTTGCCTTCTTCCAATTCTTAAGAGGAATGTTTCCAAGTCTTTGCCTGTTCAATATGATGTTGGCTGTGCGTTTGTCATAGATGGCTCTTATTACTTGGAGGTATGTTCCTTTGATGCCTAGTTTGTCGAGGGTTTTTATCATGAAGTAATGTTGAATCTTATGAAAAGCCTTTTCTGCATCTATCGAGATGATCATAAGGCTTTTATGTTTAATTCTATTTATGTAGTGAATCACAGTTAGTGATTTGCATATGTTGAACCAACCTTGCATTCCAGGAATAAAGCCTATGTAAGTGTAGTGAATTAACTTTTTGATGTGCTGCTAGATTCCACTTGCTAGTGGTTTTGTTTTTTTTTTTTGAGGATTTTTATCTCTATGTTTATCAAATATATTGGCCTGCAGTTTTCTGTTTTACTTGTGTCTTTGCCAGACTTTGGTATCAGGATGATGCTGGCTTTGTGGAATGAGTTAAGGAAGAATCCCTCCTTGAATTTTTGGAATAGTTTCGGTAGGGTTGGTAACAGCTTTCTCTGTATGACTGGTAGAATTTGGCTGTGAATCCATGTGGTCCAGAACTTTTTTTAGTTGATAGGTTTTTTTTCTTAACCACTTACTTAATTTTGAGACTCATTATTGGTCTTTTCAGGGCTTCAGTTTCTTCCTGATTTTCTTGGGAGGTTGTATGTTTCCAGGAATGTGTCTATTTCCTCTAGATTTTCTAGTTTGTATGCATAAAGGTGTTCGTGGTAGTCTCTGATGGTGTTTTTTGTTTCTGTGGAATCACTTGCAATGTCACTGTTGTCATTTCTGATTGTGCTCATTTGGATCTTCTGTCCTTTTTGATAGTCTACCCAGTGGTCCATAGATTTTGTTTATTCTCTTAAATAAGCAACTTTTCATTTTGCTTGTCCTTTGTATGAATTTTCATGTCTCAATTTGTTTAGTTCTGTGCTGATTTTAGTTATTTCTTTTCTTCTGTTAGTTTTGGGGTTAGTTTGCTTTGTTTTTCTAGTTCCTCTAAATGTAACTAACTTTAGGTTGTTCATTTGAGATCTTTCTATCTTTTTGAGTAGGTGTTTAGCACCATAAACTTTCCTCTTAAGAATACTTTTGCTGCATCTCAGAGATTTTGGGAAGTTGTATCTGTTTTCATCTATTTCAAATAACTTTTGTATTTCTGCCTTAATTTCATTGTTTACCCAAAAGTCCAAAAGTCATTCAGGAGCAAGTAGTTTAGTTTTCATGTAATTGTGTGGTTTTCAAGTAACTCTTGGTTGATTTCTATTTTTATTCTGCTATGGTTGAGGAATATGGTTAGTATGATTTCAATTTTCTTTAAAATTTATTGAGGCTTGCTTTATGGCTGAGCATGGGGTTGAACATAGAGTGGAGTCCATGTGCAGATGATAAGAAGGTGTATTCTGTGGATGTTGGGTGGAATATTCTGTAGATATCTATTAGTTCCAATTTTTCAAGTGTCAAATTTAGATTCAAAAAAAATTTTTTAGTGTTCTGCCTTGATGATCTGTCTAATGTTTTCAGTGTGGTATTAAAGTTCCCCACTACTACTATGTGGATGTTTAATTATTTTCATAGGTCTAGAAGTACTTGTTTTATGAATCTAGGTGCTCCAATATTGAGTGTGTGTGTATATATATATTTTATATATATATACACACACATATGTATATGTATATATGTATATACACACATATATATATATACACATACATATATATATTTAGGATAGTTGTCTTCTCATTGAGTGGCACCATTTGTCATTATGTAATGACCTTTGTCCTTTTTTACTGTTGTTGGTTTCAGGTCTCTTTTAATTTCTAAAATGTTTGTTATCTGATAAGATTTCTTATGTGATATAAGAATAGTGACCCCTGCTCTTTTTTGGTGTTCATTTGCATATGAGATCTTCTTCCTTGCCTTTACTTTGAGTATATAGGTGTCATTACACATGAGATGGGTCTCTTGAAGACAAAAGAAGGTTAGGTCTTGTTTTTAATTCAATTTGCCACTCTGTACATTTAAGTGGGACATTGAAACCATTTACATTCAAGGTTAATATTGATATGTAAGGTTAAGTCCACTTTCTCAACACAGGGTGAAGCCTGATGGGGTTCCCTTAGTAAGTGATATGACCCTTTTCTCTAGCTACCTTTAAAACTTTTTCTTTCACATCCACCTTGGAAAGTCTGATGACGTGTCTTGGGGATGGTCATCTTATATAGTATCTCCCTGGGGTTCTCTGAATTTCTTGAATTGTGTGTCAATCTCTGTAGCAAGACAAGAACTTTTGATGGATTTTATCCTCAAATATGTTTTTCAAGTTGGTTACTCTCTCTTCTTATTGCTTAGAATGCCACTAAGTCACAGATTTGTTCTTTTTACATGCTCCCATATTTATCAGAAGCTTTGTTCATTTATTTTTTTTTGAGACAGTGTCTCACTCTGTTGCCCAGGCTGGAGTGCAATGGTACAATCTCAGTTCACTACAACCACCACCTCCCAAGCTCAAGCAATCCTCCCATTTCAGCCTCCTAAATAGCTGTAATTACAGGCGAATGCCACCACACCCAGATCTTTTTGGTATTTGTGTGTGTGTGTGTGTTTTTTTTTTTTTTTTTTTTTTTGGTGGAGATGGGTTTTCAATATGTTGTTCAGGCTGGTCTGGAACTCCTGGGCTCAAGCAATTCACCTACATCAGCCTCCCAGAGTACTGGAATTACAGGCTCGAGTGAGCACACACAGCCTGTTCATTTTTTAAAGTTATTTTTTCTTTTTCTTTTTTTTTTTTTTGTCTGACAGGGTTGATTGAAAGGACTAGTCTTCTGGCTTTGAAATTATTTCCTCATCTTGGTCTAGTCTGTTGTTAAGACTTCCATTTATATTTTGAAATTCCTGTAGTGAATTTTTTAATTGCTTAAGTTCAGTTTAGTTCTTTCATAATGTGGCTATGTTGGCTTTCCTATTTGGGTAATTGTTCTGGCTTCCATGGATTGGGTTTCAGCTTTCTCATGAATCTTACTGTGCTTCCTTGCCATCCAGATTCTGAATTCTATGTCTATCATTTCAAACATTTCAATATGGTTAGGATCCATTACTTGAAACCTAGTGCAATCCTTTGGAGGTAAGAAAACACTGAGTTTTCAAATTTCTGGAGTTCTTGGGCTGATTCCTTCTTATCTGAGGGGACTGAGTTTCTTTTTCTTTTTGTAATTATTGTCCTTTAAATGGGGCTTTTTGTTTTTATATTTTTTTTCCTTTGAGTGTTTTTGACTGTGGTGTATGTAAAGTGTAGTCAATTGGCTTGATTTCTGGGTATCTTCAGAGGTCTGAAACTGAGGAACCAATACAAACAGTCAAGAGTAAGTGCTGGCAAATAGGCTTTTGCTTGGCCCCATGCCTCTTTTGTATTTCATGGCATATGAAGCAGTACTCTTAAGAAAAGGGATGCGGGGGAAGAGAGATGAACCTTTACCAATTCCATTCCTAGGCCTTGGTGGAGCTACCTTCAATTTTTGGCACTGTGCCCACATTTCATTAGGTGCAAAGGGGGTTTTGGTAGGCTGCACTCTCCCCCTCCCTTAGGAGTAACTGAGCCAAAGATTAGGTCACCAGAAGATCTGCAACTCCCTGGAGCACCCACTCGTCCTCTGAGCTTGGCAGTGTCAGAGCAGGTTGTGGGGTATGTCTGTGGGTGGTCTGGAGATGCAATGGGTCAAGGGTGAAAAATCCCCAAACAGGATGATAATACAGTAGGTACGCAGCTGGTGTGGTGCCTGCAGCCTGGGGTTTTTTGCCTGACAGTTGGCTGTGGAGTATTCCTAGCTCATGCTCTCCCAGCCCAGCAGTTCTCCCGCTGGCATCTGCCCGAAAAGCAGGCTTGATCAGGTAGGCTTTTCCCAAAACTTCTGTACACAGATCGCTGGGCTGTTCCTGAGTTTCCAAGCCATGGGGCTCCCTGAGGAAGAAGCTGTGGTTAGTTATTAGGCCACACCCTTCCCAGACTGATCTTGTGGAAGGAGGCATGTCCAGATCCATGCTGTCAGAGGAACCCCTGCCACACTCTTCTAAATGCTCTGAGATTAGGGGCTTCTCCTCCACTCGAGCTCAGGCCACTGATCTTGGCTTGACATCCCTGGGTTGTGTGCTTGAATACTATAGGGCTGGAACCAGAACCATGGTTTTGTCCTCTGGCCCCTTGGGGTTGATTTCTGGCTGTGCTGGGTCACCAAACTACTCAGAGGCCACCAGAAAAACACTCAGGTAGAAAAATGGAGGCTGAGCTGTGGGCACTCTCCTGTGTGAGTGGCGAAGCCAGTAGTATTGGAATGGACAAGGAGGCACATAGATTCTGGTCCCCAGGGAAAGGCAGTCCTGCTCTCTCCCAGCCCAGCTATCATCAGGAACAACAATCACTCAGAGCAAGATGGAGAGCCCTGGGGAATAGGTGCCTATGGTTGTGTTTAGCTCCTGTTGTACCATGTATTGCAAAACCCACTGGGCTCCATGTAGGTTCAAGCTCTGCCTCTATTTGACCTCCAGGCAGTTCTTCCCTGCCAATTTAAATGTCCATGGGGGTCATGGGACCTCTTGTATCCAGCACCCCAGAGGCCCACAGCAGCAGTGTGGTTTCCTGGAGTTCCTTCAGTCACCCTTTCTTTAGGACCTGTTCAGGGTCAGGAGCTGGTTCTGGTGCTCAGCAACTTGTGGAGGTTTCCCAACTTCCCTCCTCTTCAGACATAACATCTCTGTGGCCTCTCTATTGACTTTTAGTGTTCTATCTCAAAATATATGTTTGAAATGTGATGGTTTAGTCAATATTTTTGCTCCTCTTGGTGGGAGATGTGCCTCTGCCTGACTGTGTCTAGTCAACCATCTTCATAATATATCAGTCTTCCACTTCTTGATCTATGCATTTAACATTGTTAGTAATAAAAATAACAACAAAGATCATTTGAATCAGACAATTCTGTTTTACTATTTTCTTAAGGAATAATAGACAAGGGAAAACTTCAGAGAAATTTAAGTAGAGACAAAGAGAGAAAGAGAAATGTATAGGGATGTGCCTTCTCAGATATTGAAATTACATAATTAAGTATGAGGATGTTTAATCAGTAAACACAGGGAGCAGTTAAACAGACTAGAAATTACACATACAAACAGAATTATATATGGAAACGTATCATAAAAATAGAATGGGGAAAGCATAGCATCAGCAAAATAAACACTAGATCTCTATCTGATACTTTAAGGTAAAAATGATTAAAGATTTGAATGATGAATAAAATTATAACTATATTAAACACATGGGGAAAATTGCAAATAACCACAGACATGAGCATATGCTCTAGTTATTTTGATTATTATTATTATTACTATTATTTTTAAATGAAGACAGAGTTTCATTATATTGGTCTAGGCTGGTCTCAAACTCCCGGGCTCAAGCAATCCTCCTGCCTTAGCCTCCCAAAGTATTGGGATTACAGGTATAAGCCACCATGTCCAGCCTAGTTGCTTCTACTGAAAACAAAACCAAAATGAAAATAAATCTTTTCTTCAATCCATAATTCTCCTCCAGTTAATGTTCTCCAACCTCCAGTTGCAAGCCAAATTATTCTGAATCAGTTGTTTTCAAATTTATGGGACAAAACTTTTTATACTCAGAGGGTGTCAGTTGAGACATGAATTATAGGAATTCATTATTACAAAATAATTCCGGACAGAAAGAAGAGCCAGTAGAAAGATTTGGTATGTGAATATCCTTAGTACGTATGAAGGAAAAAAATCAGTAAAGTTCATTGAGTAGAGCATGCTAGGTGATGAGATTAGAATGATGAGCAACCTTTGGCCATAGTAAAGAAAGTGCAGTTATCTCTTATCTAGTTTACATATATTGAATCCCTTCCCATTCCTTTTGAAAGACAATTATAATAATATGATCTATATTTCTTACTCACATTGAAGCATATCGATGGCTTTCTGTTGCTAACAGAATAGAGATTTGCATGTTCTCTTTCCTACCTACGTGTCAGTTGCATACCATTCCACGCTGGTATACAGTGCATCTCCCTACACTGGCATTCTTTCTGTACCTCAAAGTCTTCATTCATACTCCTATCAAAGGGTCAATCAGCATGGGGTTACCTTTACCTGGAATGTTATTTTCTTTCTGCTTACTTAACGCTACTCACCTTCGGACTCTCCGTTCAAGTATTTTTGCTGCAGAGCTGCCTTCCCTAATGTTATAAACCAGGGCAAATATTTGTCTTGTATGTTCTAACTACTGTGAAAATGTATATCTATTTCTATCAATTTTAATAAATGCTTACATCCTCCAGTGGAATGCAAGCTCCATGGAAGCAGGGAGCAGAGCCATTTGTTCATTACTTTTGTAGCCCCAGCGTATATTATAGTGCCTGGCACCTGGTAAACTTAGTATATATTTAATAAAAGAATGACTTAATGCATGAATAAAGAAAATACATAACAGAACTTTGAAAAATCAGCATAGTGTGAAATATATGCCAGTCACTTTATAGCTGCATATTGATGGGAGAATTGTTAAATAAAATCTTGATTAAGTCAGTTCTATGAACTGTACCTTGAAATTACTTCATTTATCTTTCCTTGTTTCTTCATCAGCAATTCCCTTTGGTTAAACCATCATAATCTCTTACTTAAATAATTGTAATTACCTCCTTAATATTAAATTGATTGAGGTATAATTTAAGTACAATAAATGGAATCTGTTTAATGAGTTTCAATAGTTATGCTCACCAATGAAATCAGTACCACAGTTAAAATACAATATTTCCATAACACACTAGAGATTCCTTTTACCTCTTTGCAGGCTCACCTCTACCCAACTCCATTTCCAGACAACCACTGATCTAGTTTTTTGTCATTATAGATTAGTTTGTATTTAATATGAATAGAATCATATAGTAATTGGGTCTTTTATGTCCAGCTTCTTTTACTTATCATAATTATTTTATGACTCATTCATATAATTGCATGTATCAGTAGCTTATTGCTTTATATCACTGTGTAGTCATATATTTTATGGATATACCAAAATATTTTTTTTCATTTACCTGTTGGTGGAAATTTATGTTGTTAAGATTTTTGACTATTTTGAATAAAGATGCTGTGGACATTCATATATAAGTCTCTGAGTAGGTATTTTATTGTTCTTGGTAAAACCTGTGAGTAGAATAGCTGGGCCCCAATAGGAACTGATTACTCTCACAAATAAATTGTCAGAGTTTTTCAAAGTGGCTGTACATTTTTTTTTATCTTTGTTGTGTTAGTTTGTTAGAGCTGTGTATTAGTTCATTCTCACACTGCTACAAAGAGCTACCTGAGGCTGGGTCATTTATGAAGTAAAGAGGTTTAATTGATGCACAGTTCTGTAGGCTGTACAGGAGGCGTGGCTGGGGAAGCCTCAGGAAACGTGCAATCATGGCTCAAGGTGAGGGGAAAGCAAACACAACTTACCATGGCAGAGCAGGAGAGAGAGAGACGGCAAAGGAGGAAGTGCTACACACTTTCAAACAACCGGATCTCATGAGAACACACTCACTATTACAAGAACACCAAGGGGAAAATCCACCCACATGACTCAATCACCTCCTACCATGTTCCTCCCTCAAATTGGGAATTACAATTCAACATGAAATTTGTGTAGGGACACAGAGCCAAACCATATCAGGTTGCCATAACAAAATACTACAGACTGGATAGCTTAAACAACAGAAATGTATTTCCTCACAATCCTGGAGGTTAGATGAGTTGTGAGCAGATTTGGTTTCCTTTGGAGGCTTCTGTCCATGCCTTGCTTTCCTCTCACTATGTCCTCACATGGCTGTCACTTGGTAAAATTGTGTGTTGTCTGGGTGCTAATCTCATCTTTTTATTAGGACATAGATCATGTTTGATTAGGGCCCACCTAAATGACCTGATTATACTTTATTTTTCTCTTTAAAAGCCTATTTCCATATACAGTGTCACTCTAAAATACTGGGGGATAGAACTAAATATATGAGTATTGTAAAGACACAGCTCGGCCCAGATCACCATGGATATTCTAGTTGCTCTCATCCTTATCAACAGTTACTATTGTACTGATTTGTATTTAGTTCCATTATTTCCAGAAAACACACTGGATATACTGCGTTTTAAAAATATATATATTTTTTGCCATTTGATATGATTTGGTTGTGTCCCACCAAAATCTCATCTTGAGCTGCAGTTCCCATAATCCCCACATGTGGTGGGAGGGACCAGTGGGAGGTAATTGAATCATGGGGTTGGTTTCCCCCATGCTATTCTCATGATAGTAAGTTTTCACAAGATCTGATAATTTTATAAGGAGCCTCCTCCTTCGCTTGGTTCTCATTATTCTCCTTCCTGTCAACATGTGAAGGACGTATTTGCTTCCCCTTCTGCCATGATTGTAAGTTTCCTGAGACCTTCCCAGCCCTGCAGAACTGTGAGTCAATTAAATCTCTTTCCTTTAATAAATTACCCAGTCTCAGGCAGTTCTTTATAGCAGCATGAGAATGGACTAATACAGTATATTGGTACCCCAGAGAGTGTGGTACTGCTATAAGGACACCTGAAAATGTGGAAGCAACTTTGGAACTGGGTAACAGGCAGAAGTTGGAACAGTTTGGATGGCTCAGAAAAAGATAAGAAGATATAGGAACTTTGGGAACTTCCTAGAGACTTGTTGAGTGACTTTGAACAAAATGCTGATAGTGTTATGGATAATGAAGTCCAGGCTGAGGTGGTCTCTGATGGAGATGGGAAACTTTTTCGGAACTAGAGTAAAGGTGACTCTTGCTATGCAAAGAGACTGGTGGCATTTTGCATCTGCCCTAGAGATCTGTGAAACTTTGAACTTGAGAGACATAATATAGAAAATCTGGTAGAAGGAATTTCTAAGCAGCAAAGCATTGAAGAGAAAACAGAGTATAAAAGTTTGGAAAATTTGCAGACTGACAATGCAATAGCAAAAGCAAAAACCCATTTTCTGGGGAGAAATTCAAGCAGGATGCAGAAATTTTCATAAGTAACAAGGATGACCAAGACAATGAGAAAAATGTCTCCAGGGCATGTCAGAGAACTTCACGGCAGCCTGTCCCATCATAGGCCCAGAGGCCTAGGAAGAAAAATGTCTCATGGGCCGGGCTCAGGGCTCCCCTTGTGTGGGCGGCCTTGGGACTTGGTGTCCTGAGTCCCAGCTGCTTCAGCTCCAGCCGTGGCTAAAAGGGGCCAACGTTCAGCTCAGGCCATTGCTTCAGAGGATGTTAGCCCCAAGCCTTGGTGGCTTACATGTGGTGTTGGACCTGTGTGTGCACAGAAGTCAATAATTCAGGTTGGGGAACCCTCACTTAGATTTTAGAGGGTGTATGGGTATGCTTGGATGTCCAAGCAGAACTTTGCTGCAGGAGCGAAGCCCTCATGGAGAACCTCTGCTAGGGCAGTGCAGAAGGGAAATGTGGGGTTGGTGCTCCCACACAGAGTCCCCACTGTGGCATTCCCTAGTGGAGCTGTGCGGAGATGGCCACCATCCCCCAGACCCCAGAGTGGTAGATCCACTGACTGCTTGCACTGTGCACCTGGAAAAGCCATGGCACTCAATGCCAGCCATGAAACCAGCTAGGAAGGGGGCTGTATCCTGCAAAGCCACAGGGGTGGAGCTGCCCAAGGCCTTGGGAGCCCAGCTCTTGCATTAGCATAACATAAATGTGAGACATGGAGTCATAAGAAATCGTTTTGGAACTTTAAAGTTTGATGACTGCCCTATTGGATTTCAGACTTGCATGGGGCCTATAGCCCCTTTGGTTTGGCCAATTTCTCCATTTGGAATGGGTCTATTTACTCAATGCCTGTACCCCATTGTTTCTAGGAAGTAATTAACTTGCTTTTGATTCTACAGGCTCAGAAGGGACAAGCTTTGTCTCAGATGAGACTTTGGATTTAGACATTTGAGTTAATGCTGGAATAAGTTAAGACTTTGGGGGGCCATTGGAAGGGCATGATTGTGTTTTAAAATGTGAGGACATGAGATTTGGGAGGGGCTGGGGTGGAATGAAGTGGTTTGGCTATGTCCCCACCCAAATCTCTTCTTAAATTGTAGCTCACATGTGGTGGGAGAGACCCAGTGGGAGATCATTGAATCATGGCAGTGGTGTCCCCAATGCTAGTCTAATGATAGCGAGTAAGTTCTCAAGATATCTGATATTTTTATGAGGAGCTTTCTCCTTCACTCAGCTCTCATTCCTCTCCTTCCTGCCATCAAGTGAAGAAGGTTGTGTTTGCTTTCCCTTCCATGATGATTGTAAGTTTCCTGAGGCCTCCCCAGCCCTGTGGATCTTTGAGTCAATTAAACCTCTTTCCTTTATAAATTACCCAGTCTCAGGCAGTTTATAGCAGTGTGAGAATGGACTAATACACCATTTTAACATTACTTTATCCATTTAGTTTTTAAGATATTTAGTCATCATTCCTCATATTTGTGATTGTGATTCCTTCTTATATTTATCGATAAAGCAACAGCTTTATCAATTTTCTTGATTTTTTAAAACCAGATTTTTCCATTGTTGATTTTCTCTATTGCTTGACTATTTTCTATTTTCATTTATTTTTTTCTAGTAATACAAATTATTATTTTTATTTTTATTTTGTGTCTATTTTAATCCCTCTTTGTCACTGTACTTTTAAAAATTCTTGAGACTGAGATAACAATCTTCGACCGACTTCTTATTTTCTAACATGTCACATCTTAAATCATACAAATATTGATATATTAAATTTTATTCACCATTTGATAAAAATATTCTCTAATTTTCTTCATGATTTTGAAATGTAAAAATTCCAAATATTTGTCTTTTTATATATGTTATTGATCTTGATTTATATTTAATTTTATTATTTGCAGAGAATACACTGGATATCCTGCATTATTACAATCTTTTAAATATGTTTAGACTTATTTAATAATCTAAGTATGCCCTCTTTTTATGAATGGGCCACCTAAACTTGGAAATAACATGTCTCTAGAGTTTTGGGGTAGCATGTATTGTAAGTATCAATTTATTCAAATTGTTTGATAGTGTTATTAAGATTTTCTGTTTTTACTGAATCCTTTGCCTAATTTTTTTTTTAAATTTATTATTATTATACTTTAAGTTTTAGGGTACATGTGCACAATGTGCAGGTTAGTTACATATGTATACATGTGCCATGCTGGTGCGCTGCACCCACTAACTCATCATGCCTAATTGTTTTACCAAGTGCTGAGAAAAGGGCATAAAAATCTCAACCTCTGATTGTTAAAATGTTTATATCCTCTTCAAATTTAGAAAATGTAGATATTATGCTTTTGAGACTGTTAGACATTTATCCATTTTTATTGTATATTTCTGGTAATTTTACCCTCATATCATTATGAAAAAGCCTCTCTCTCTTTGATAATACTCTTGATCCTAATGTTGATTTAATTTGATATTAAAATAGCCACCCCAGCCTTCTTATACTTTTGCATGTTAGAACATTTTCATCCATTTTCTATTTATCTGTTTTTACATTTCAAGTGTGTCTTGCATAGACAGCAGGTAGTTTGGTTCTACTTTTTATCCATTCTGATGATTTTCCCCTTTGAGTTGAAGTGTTACGTCTATTAATACTTAATATATTTGATATAATTAGATTTAGATCTATCGTCTTGTTATTTGTTTACCATTTTCTCCCCTCACACACTTAGTTTCTTTCTTCCCTTTGCTCGACTTCTTTTGAAGCTTTTATATTCTTTGATGGAATTTAATTTAACAACTGGCTTTGTATCTATATTGCTTTTTATTATGTTTTTAATTGTTGCACCAAAATTACAATACACATTCTTAATCTTTGTAAAACCCACTTAGAAATTATTATGTACCAGTTCAAATAAAAATGTAGGAACCTTAAAACCCATATTGGTTTATAACCCTACCATCCATTTATGCTATAATTTTATATGTATTTCATTTATATACAACATAAATCCCACAAAATAATTATAAATATTCTTTTAAGTGGTCATAGGATTTCTTAAGAAAATAATCTTTTAAAATGTACCATATATTTACTATTTCCATTGATTAAGTGTTCATAAAGATCCAATGTTTGACTATCATTTCCCTTCAGCCTAAATAATTTCTATTAGCATTTTATGTTTTTCACTTTTACTAAAGATATATCCATTTAGTTTTTTAATCTAAAAACATTTTTACATTTATTCTAAAAGGAAATTACTTAGAGTATATAGAATTTTATTTCTTTTTCCCTCTCTCAAAACTTGAAATATGCTATTCTGGTTTTTTGGTTTTGTTCCTTTTTTTTTTTTTTTTTTGACCTCTATGATTTTGTTGAGAAGATCCAAGTCATTTGAATAGTTGTTTACTTGTTTTTCCTTGGTTGTTCTCAAGATTTTCTCTCTAACTTTGGTCTCTGATTTTTCAGTGTGTCTATTATTTTACTAGTAATGGATTGATTTGAATTTATTCTTTTTGATATTCACTAGCCTTCTTGTATCTGTAAATTTGCATCTTTCATCAATTTTAACAAGCTCTTTGTCATTACTTAACCAGTTTTTTCTATCCACTCTACTTCTCTTCTCCTTTGGAAGTCTAACTATCCTTTTAAAGGCATTGCATAGCTCACTAAGGCTCTCCTTGTCCTTTTCTAAAAAATATTTTTTATTTCTCTTTTTAAAATTAGATTACTTCTAATAATTTATGTTCACATTCACTGACTCTTCCCACTGTTATTTTCTTTCTGGTAGTAAGGCCATTTAGTGATTTATTTTAGATATTCCATTTTTCAGTATGTAAACTTCCATTTTTATTTTTTATATTTTCTATTTGTGCTGAGATTTTATATTTTTTATTTCATTGAGCACATTTTCACCATTTTCTGACAAACCATTGTTTAAATGGCCATTTTGTCATTCTTTCCTGATAATTCCAATATCAAGATCATTTTACATTGACTTCCGATTATTATTTTTTTCCCTAAATCCAGGTGACATTTTTCTGTCTCTTTCTATTTTGAGTAATAATATTACATTGTAGACACTCTAGGTTTTTTTAAATATTATTATGAAGGTTTTTTTGTTTAGCAGGCAGTAAATTTGGTTACATTAAAACTGAAATCAGTCATATCCGCGGTAGGTGCTAGCTCACATCTTTGTTAACTTTGTTTAGCATTAGGCATATGCTGCTTTCAGTTTGCCTCATATGCATGGTTCCCAGAATTAGCCAGGAAATTGGTATGAGTTTAAGCACAGGGATTTGAGTTTCCGGTCTCTCCTAGCAGTAATTTCCCTTTCTCAGGAAACCTAATCACCCAGGTGTTTCATCCTCATTCCTTCGCATTCTATCATAGTATTAGGCATCCCAGCAATATTGCCACTGTGATGACTTCACATGAACACAGAACATCACCTCAAAAAAATTGGTGAACTTTGAACCAATCATTTTCCTTACATTTTGATTCCCTTTCAAAATCAAGATTTGCCTTTGTTAAGTCTCCAGAGTCCTCAAGAGCTTTTGTTTGACAGAAAATTTGATTGTCTTCTATACCAGGTGTATTAGGGTTCTCTGGAGAGGCAAAACTAATAGGATAGATGTATATGTGAAGGGGAGTTTATTGAGTGTTGGCTCACATGATCACAGGATGAAGTCTCACAATAGGCCATCTGCAAGCTGAGGAGCAAGGGAGCCAGTTCGAGTCCCAAAACCTTATAAGTAGGAAAACCTTACAAGTAGGGAAGCCAACAGTGCAGCCTTCAGTCTGTGGCTGAAGGCCCCAAAGCCCCTGGTAAACCATTGTGTAGGTCCAAGAGTCCAAAAACTGAAGATCTTGGGATTCCAATGTTTGAGGGCAGGAAATCCAGCACAGGAGAAAGATGGAGGCCAGAAGACTCAGCCAGTCTAGTCCTTCCATGTTCCTCTGCCTGCTTTATTCTAGCCTTACTGGCAGCTGACTAGGTGGTGCTCACCCAGACTGAGGGTGGGTCTGCCTCTCCCAGTCCACTGACTCAAATGTTAATCTCCTTTGGCAACACCCTCACAGACACACTCAAGAACAATACTTTCCATCCTTCAATCCAATCAAGTTGACACTCAGTATTAACCATCACAGGAGGGGCGTAGCAATTACCTCTTAACTTGTGGCTTTCCTTTCTTTATTCCACTCTGAAATCCATTCTCCAAACAATAATCAATATTTTCTTTTTAAAGACATAAAAAATTACCACACTTTTAAAAAACAGTTCAAAGACTTTCTAGCTCCCTTGTTTCCAAAATCCTGATTAACATCCGCAATCATTATATGGCTTAGCCCTTGTTGTCTCCCCATCATATACTATTCCACTGAGATTCCCTGGCTAGAGAATCTACTTTTGTACTCGTTCCAATCCCAGACCACATCTATCAAATCTTTATTTTATTTTCTTCATAATATTATTATTACTTAACTTTATCTTGTTTATGTGTCTAGTCACTGTATACTTTTGTTTAACATCATTTATAAGATCCAAAACATCAGGGATATAGCATAGTATCCTTTTTAGTTGAAATTGCTCTAAGTAGTAGAAACAATACTAGCTGAATAGATAAATACATTTGTATTTTGATGGTATATAGAAAAACTTTCAAACAAAATACTAAAATTTTTTATTTTCTTGGAATTAGATACACCAAAAATGAATTAAAGCCTTTGCAAAATACAGCCTAACTACATGCTGAAAGAGCTTTGTAGAAGCAGGAAGATGTGCTATTAATAAACAACTTAAAATGTCATTTTATTAAGCATGTTTATTAGCAATGCAAATGTTGTGTCAGCCATAAGCAGAGCAAAAAATATTAGATTATTGGAAGGTTTTAAGAGGTATTACTTTGAGAGTTTACCTTTAGTGACTTATAGCTATAATAATAACTGGAAGATTCAGTTTCCACAAAGGTGGTGTTTATTTAGTTTTTGAAGATTTAGCCTCACAGTCTTCTATAGAAATTATTTAAAATGTGCCTAATTTTAAAAACTACATGCATACACACACATATAATTAGAAATGATTACTGATTGATTGAATAATTATTTTTTTCAGTGATTAATAAATCCCTTCATTCCCCATTAGGATTTGAGCCTATAAGATGACATTTTAATTAGTTGGTGGATATATGTTATTTTTTGTACACATACGAAACATAGATTTTACTTTTTTTATCGTTAAATACTTTAAAATATATCAGATTATATTTTTCATAGTAGATTTCAACTTGTTTTATAAACCTAGTATGTTATTGGTATTTTCTGTATCAGTATGCAGATTTTCTTGAATCTTTATAGTTACTATATACTGTTCCTTGACTAGTTTTGCATAAGGATGAGATTTCAGTTACATGGACACATTTGAAATGTTCTAAAGTTAATGACATGCTAAAGCAGAGTGGAACATTCCAAAATTAAGTAAACTAGAATATGGTGTTAATAACACAGGGACAAGAAGACAAAGAAAAAGGACATAGAAGTAGATAAAAAGAAAGAGCAGAAAGCATGCCTGTGAGAAATGATGGAGATGGCAGGATAAAACTAAACTTGTAAGCAGAAGAGAGAGAATTTAAAAGTCAAAAAGATGGTAATATAGAGGTAATTGAAATATTTAAATGATCATGAAGTCTAATATAGTTATGGAAATGCATTTTGAACCAAAAGAGATTACAAAATTTGGACTTTTCCCCTGCAAGTTTTCCCAGGCAAGAAGGCAGATACTGTAATTCTAGCTAACAGGTTATTAGAAAATGTGTTTCTCTCATGGGGAATTCCTGGAGAAATCTCCAGTAATAAGGTGATTGTTTCACTAGACAAGTTATAAAACTATTAAATAAGGTATTACAGATACAATAACATGAAGCAAAGCTAACTGAATCAACTGGGTATCGTTGGTCAGGCGTATTACAAATTGACATTCAGATCCTCTTCCCATGAAAAAACGTACGTTAACCACCTATAAAATAGTCACTGGAAGGCCTCAGTCCCTAATAATAGAACCGTTTGTATTCTCTGCTCCTAAATGCTAACATGACTAAATTCTGAAAGACTTCAATGTTTTATGCCAAAGTGTACCTGGTGAAGTAAAGGACTGAGGACAATCAAATCCTTCATCATCTAGAACGCAGAGATTTTGTCTTCTGGAAATTACGTTAGAGAAAGACTGCCCTTGCCACCCACCCTGCAGCCAAATTTTGGAATCTTGGACGTTGGGTTCCTAATTTCACAACCAGAAGGGTCCCTGTAGACTCTTGGAACTGCATACACATTGAAAACCTTAAGGTAAAGCTAACCAGGAAAGTTTCTTCCCAGATGCCAGTGGTATCATAGACTTAGTCTACTTTCTCAAGATCCCGGATTAAGACTTCTCTGCTATTAGAAAACGTTTACTTCTCTTAATTTTTTTCTTTACTTATGCCTCTATGAACAACAGAGCTGTAAAAGGGGACTTGAGTGCAGCTATGGAGTATATTTTATTTGTGGAGGATTTCACAGCCAACCTTACGCCTTATGCATGAGCAAACTTATGCCTTGAAAGAAGGAAGATAAAGGACCAATGTGGGTAAGAAATTTTAATGGTACCTTTGCTGCTTCATAGTCAGAAACAGAACATTGACTAATTCCTCATAATATACATCATAGATGAAAGAGAACTTTTCAAGGAGGACTTCACCCTTCTGGGCGGGCATGATTTTGTAGGTCCCTTTTTCCATTGTTTATAGTAAGTAAGGCGATTGTAAGAAATGTGTCCCTCATAAAAGGCTCTATAGCAGATTCTACTGCAAAGACTATAGTTTCACAACATACTTTTAAAAACTCTGTTTTTAGATAGATAATAGAATTGCTCTAGATTACTTACTGGCTGAAAAGAGAAGAATCTGTTCAGTTTGTGACACCTCTTGTTGTACATGGATGAATACATCAGGTCTTATAGAGACTGAGTTGTAGGAGATTAACGAACAGGCTGCTTGGTTGAAATGCATTGACAGTTTAGCACATTCTTTGATCTATTTAATTTTAAGTTGGTTTGTTTCATGGGTACCTTGGCTAAGGAGCATACTGCAAGCTGTTGGTATTGTCCTCCTGATAGTCATAACAATAGTCTCCCTGGTGCACTGTAGTCTTTCAGGTTTTAAATGTCTGCATGAAGCCATCAATAAAATGTCATGTGGTTTATTTTTGACTGAAATGACTAAATCTTGAAGAAATGCATGGTCATGAGGACTCTGTAACCTACAAATGACATGCTGAGACTGGTAACCCAAAATGATGGTAACCGAGAGTAGTGCTAAAGCTCTAAGTTTTGGTCACACTCTCACCTAAGTGAGAACTTGATCAAAAGGAGGGAAGTGTTAAACAAAATTATGGAAGGCCATTGATTTGGACTGAGCACTAGGACCCAAAATACCAGACCAGGTCAAACCAAAATGGAGTCACTTATGTTACATGTGATTTAATCAAACTAATACTTTAAGGAAGCAGATAGATTGCAAGACAGAGCAGTTTTTTGTTTGTTTGTTTGTTTGCTTGTTTTTGTTTTTGTTTTTTGTCTCTCTTCTGAAAACAGGTGATTCTAGCATAAGAAGGTCACCTCTGCTTTAATCTTTACAAATGAGTAACCTGAAGACCTTACCCTCATCTTTGTTCTGCTGTTTCCCAGTGGGATTTGTGGCCAGTTAATTACATTTACGATGGTGACAGAGTGACATTAATGCCTAAAGTTTTTAATGGGCAATTGTTAAATTAAGTTTAGCCTAAAGCTGCTTCTGTACATATTTTAAGTCTCTCCCAAAGGTTTCTTTGTACATAGTGAACTGTAACCTAACTAGACATGTAAACAGACTAACCAACTCTTGTACCAGTCATTGAGTTTCAGCCAATCAAGGCAGCCAACTGTTAAAATTGTGTTCAAATAAGGCAAAAACTAAACTGTAACCAATCCAACTGTTTCTGTACCTCCCTTCCATTTTCTGTATGTCACTTTCCTTTTTTGCCCATAATCTTTTCTGACTATGCAGCAAGACTGGTGTCTCTCTTGAAACTATTCAGGTTAAAGCACGTCGCCCAACTTGGCAATTATTCTTTGCTCAATTAAATGCTGTAAAATTTAATTTGCCTAAACTTTTTCTGTAACATGACAAATATACTAATTACCCTGATTTGATTATTACACATTATATGCATGTAACAAAATATCACATGTACCCTGTAAATAGGCACAGTAATTATGTATCGATAAAAAACTGAGAAAAAAAGATGAGTTTTCTTTTAGGACCTAGAGCTACCCATAAAAAAAGGCTTCTTTCACATGCAATAGCCTTCTCCTAGGATAGAACAAAAACTTTGATTTATTTTTTTCTTCTGCTTTCTGTCTTTTGAATTTAAGTTTATGAAAGAAAATAATAATTTAAAGAAATAGTTGAACGTGAGCTGAAGAATATGAGTTACCTTTCTTTCTATAGACACATGAAGAAAATTGCATAAAAAGTAATAGCATTTCTGATTTTATCAGAGAAAAAGATTATTTGCCTAGATATAAAATAATAAGGCTGGATGCAATGGCTCACGCCTGTAATCTCAGCACTTTGGGAGGCCGAGGTAGGTGGATTGCTTGAGCTCATGAGTTCGAGACCACCCTGGGCAACATGGCAAAACCTTGTATCTACAAAAAATACAAAAATTAGCCAGTTGTGGTGGCATTTGCCTGTAGTCCCAGGTACTCAGAAAGCTAAGGCAGGATAATTGCTTGAGCCCAGGAGGCAGAGGTTGCAGTGAGTCGAGATCATGCCATTGCACTCCAGCCTGGGTGACAGGTGAAACCCTGTCTCAAAAAGAAAAAAAAGAAAAAAAAGCAATAAAACTCAATTCAGGGAAGCTTTGTGTTTGTCCTGACAGCTGCAAAATCATCTGTGGATGAAGTTAACTTCTGAGGTCACAACCCATTTCACTGATATTGGAGAATAAGTAGCTGAGGTTAGGCAAGATTTGTTCTTTCTCATTAATGTATTGTATTAATCCTGTTTTTTACTGCCTGTATTTTATCATGCTGTGACTTCCAGAGGTCTACCTGGAGCCTTGCTGCCCATTCTGGGAGAAACTGCGGCTCTCCCAGGTTAGCTAATTCCTAAAGATAATAAATGACTTGCCTACTAGCATTCCTTTCATATGCAAATGAACAAATCCACAGAATTTATCCTCAACCTTCTCCTTTATCTGACTGTCAGATCCCAAGCCAATATTCTCCCTGTACTAAATCACCCTAGGGCCAAATATGGGACCACTGAAAACCATCGCTATATCCCAGAGCCCTAAGAAAGTCAAACTATCCAATCTTAAATTTGCTCAAACTTGCCTCACTCATTCTTTCCCAGGAAAACCACAATAAAGGCCCTGGATTATGCTTTCTACTTAACTCCTTCTGCCTCCTGACTAAGCCTGGAACTTCACCATGTGTCACCACATGGTATGGCACACCCTCTTCTCTTGGGAGCTGTAATTAATAACCTCCCCTTTCAAAGTCAGTTGCCTCTATGTCTGTTTCCTCACCACACCTGAATAAAACAAATCCTGGGTACCTATTAATGCATGCATCAGTTCCTTATTATCTAGATATGTTAGCTGCTTTATGTAAGGTCAGAATGGAGATGTGGCTGCTTGAACCCTCCTAACTGCCACCCTTGATAGCTGCCCTGGGGCTGGAATATCTTGGCTGTATATTTACAATGAAAATAACAAGCAATGAATATAAAACGAGAGCTCCTTTAATCCAGTATATTGAAAGAGATCTTGGAAAATGCTACATATGGTAGTATCAGCCCTCTAAATTTGAGAACCATATATTTATTTCATGTTACCTTTTGAAAATTAGAAATTGTATCTGGCAAACATTAAAGCAATAAAGTTCAGGACTATTTATCTTTGCCAAGAACATCGATTCTGCCAATTAGAGACTGCACTGTTATTGAAAGCTAACAAGCACAATTGATTGCTAGGAAACAATTCTTGCCAATTCATATAATATCCCTGATGTCTGCCTTTTAAATTTTTTAATCTACAATGAATCAATAAAAGTTGATTTTACCATGCAATCAGCATTCTTCAAAATGTGAAAGTAAAAAGAAAAATTATATGAATAATCTCTCTGCTTTTAAGTATATTGCTCCATAGCTGTTTAGCTTGACACTAAAGTAGTTAGGGATGTGAGTGCATATATGTGAGTGCGAGGCTATGTGTTTCTATGTGTGGGGGCATTTCACATAACAAAGATCATCCAACTTCTAGCTAATGTAGGAAACCAAACTGTTCGCAATATCTCCACAATAGTTCGTGGACATCACCTCTAGATCCTTGACACTCCAAGTGTGGTCTGGGGACTGGTAGCATCCATAACATTCAGGAGCTAGTTGAGAAAAGCAAAATCTCAGTTCTCACCTCAGACCCACAGTATCTAAACCTGTATTTTAACAAGATCCTTTAATGATTTCTATGATTAAATGAACCCATTTATTGAGAAGTGCTGCCCTAGACCATTAACATGACTCAACTAACAAAGATTCAGATGTTGTTTCTTAGTTGAATTCCTTGGAGAATAAATACAGCAGACTCAACCTGAGTTCTGTATTGTTCTCCTTTTCTCTACCCCTCTACCCCCTGAAACACAAACAAATTAATTTTGGTTGATGACAGACATAAATGAAGGGTCAAGGAATCACTTCTTTAGGTTATGTCCTGGGTAAATAAAGTTCATTAATGTAGTTTTTCTCATTATTGTAAAAAAGGTTTGCTTTTGTACATAACCACCAAGTTGATGTGTAGAGATAACTGGAATTGGGAATAAATGGAATCCTTAGCCTGAGATAAATCTTCCCTACTAATGAGGTAGTATCTCGTAGTACTCTGATGCCCTCTCAATTAGGAAGTTTTCCAACCTTGCCTATGTGAAGTTCCAGCCAGCGCTATTCCCTTGATTCTTTGGTGTGGCTCTTTCCCTGCCTTCAGGTAGTTTTTTCACATGCATGTGATGTCAAGTTCTCCACTGAATACTCAAGGGGAACCTCCTGCATATCTCTGTAGTTATCTTTATGTGCAGTTCTCTCTTCCCCTGTACTGTGCCCTTCAGACTCTGACCATCATAGCTTCCCTGGATTTCTAAGTAACACTCTTTAACAGCAGGGGCATCATCTGGCTTTGCTTTGGTTTCCCTTTCTTGTATGGCAGTCTGGAAACTAGGCAGAAAACTGGGATCATCATAGGAGTAACTTTTAAAAATAATTTTATTTGTTATAGAAGGAAACAATGAACAACCTACATGATCATTAGAAAAATAGGTGTGCTTTTATCAGGGGTCTTTTGTGTGTGTGAACTATTAATTAATTACTAAATATTTGTGATAAAGAAATGAGATCATGGAACTTTTTTGAATATGTAACATTGTAAAGGATATATATATATATATATATATATATACTATAGACTATATAGTGTGATTAAATTAACCCATTTATTGAGAAATTCTGCCCTACACCATTAACATGACTCAACTAACAAAGATTCAGATGTTGTGTTTCAGACTATACAGACTATATAGTCTATAGACTATATATATAGTACATATATAGTATAGACTATATATATAGTACATATATAGTATAGACTATATATATAGTATATATATAGTATAGACTATATCTATATATGGTCTATACTATATATACACTATATTTATAGTCTATACTATATATACTATATATACTATAGTCTATACTATATATACTATAGTCTATACTATATATACTATATATAGTCTATACTATATATACTATATATA
This sequence comes from Homo sapiens, assembly GCF_000001405.40. Classification (NCBI taxonomy): domain Eukaryota; kingdom Metazoa; phylum Chordata; class Mammalia; order Primates; family Hominidae; genus Homo; species Homo sapiens. The sequence goes on along the minus strand of NC_000004.12, from coordinate 162,657,442 downwards.
GTCTATACTATATATACTATATATAGTCTATACTATATATACTATATATACTATATATAGTCTATACTATATATACTATAGATATACTATATATACTATATATAGTAGACTATAGACTATATATAGACATATATCTATATCTATATCTATATTATAGATATATCTAGATCTTTCTATATATAGATATATATAGATATCTATCTATATATCTATCTATCTATCTATCTTATCTATATACATATATAGATATCTATATATAGATATCTAGATCTATATCTATAGATATATAGATATCTACAAATAGATCTATAGAAATATAGATATCTATATATAGATCTTCTATAGAGATATATATAGAGATCTATATCTATATAGATCTCTCTCTATATAGATATAGATCTATATCTATATAGATCTCTCTCTATATAGATCTATATATAGATATAGATCTCTATATATATAGTGTATATATAGTCTATAGCAAATAAATGCTGGGATACCTCATCTAATAAGATCCTCTATTTTATGTATTATAGCAGACAAGACCCCACCTGATCTTATACCTGTCCATAGGTACAATTCCCCCATTTCCGGCCTTTATCACACTTTGTATCCTAATCCAGCCACATTGGACACATTGAATCCCTTGCTGTTAATCAAACTTTCCAAGTCTACACTGTATATGTATAGGCACTTGTAGGGGTCAGGGGAAAGTTTCCCCTCTACCTTCTTAAGGTTCACTAAAAATGAAGTAATAATAAACAGATTGATAGGAGAAAAAGGCATGCAAATTTATTTATTTTTCTTTTTAAAATTTTTCTTTTTAAGTTCTGGGGCACATGTGCAGGATGCGCAGATTTGTTACATAGGTAAGCATGTGCCATGGTGGTTTGCTGCACCTATCAACCTATCACCTACGTATTAAGCCCAGCATGCATTAGCTATTTTTCCTAGCGCTCTCCCTCCCCCCACCCCACCCCCCGACAGGCCCCAGTGTGTGTTGTTCCCCTCCCTGTGCCCATGTGTTCTCACTGTTCAGTTCCCACTTATAAATAAGAACATGCGGTGTTTGGTTTTCTGTTCTTGTGTTAGTTTGCCGAGGATAATGGTGTCTAGCTCCTAACATGCACAAGCACAGGGGAACTTCGGGAGAATGATAACCCAATAATCCATAGAGTTACAGATGTTTACATGCCCTTCTTCAGAGGGGAGGGGGGAGGGGGAAAATAAGTAATTTGAAGGGCATTAAATTATTTTAAAGAAGATGAATCGACCCATGGGGCAGACATTATCTTGTAAATAATTCTCTTTGAAATTTGAATGAACCCAACTTGTGACAAAATTCATCCAGGTGCAGTTACATTTTTCCCAGGTCTTCTATCTGTCATAGATAATCAAATTTTAGGGAAAGATGAAAGGCAATTGTGTTCTCTAGCAGGTCTCTTTCTAAGGCAGATAATAGAATGTAAATGGAATGTAAGAAAGTATTCTCATCCTGTGCTGTGGGAGAAACAGAGGAGGGCTGGGGAGTGGAGATGTGAACGTGAAAGTGGCTGCTTCTATAGTTCAGTACGTCAAAGACCCATATTATGGGGTATTGTAATCTGAGCCCCAATACACTCAATAGACTCTAGAAAATATTCATTCATTAAGTACATTTTTAATTAGAGAGAACTTTAAAAGTTACTTTTAAATGCTTTCTTGTATTTACATCAATGTATCTGCAATTGTATAAACTATTAGATGAGATTATCAATCGTCTTCAAGTTAAAGTGCTATTTATCAAATACTTTCTTTTACAAAATGTCATTTTTCCTGAAAATTGAATCCATTTGTTTTGATAGCCGGCTTGTTCTCACCAAATCCATTAAATTATTTGCTGGATATAGCTAAATAAAAAATAATTTAGGACTGCTCAAATATCAGACTATCTCAAGGGTGACATATTATTGGAGAGAACAGCTGTCAACTAAATTACACCAGATAGTTGGATGGTATATTAGTCCAGCCGAATGTACCAAGTTGTAAAGATTAGACCTGTTTGTTAATACTGTGACATACCTTAGATGCAGTTTATGGAAAGTAGTTTTATTTAAAATGAACACTTATGAGAGAGGGACATTTTACAAAAACTTGTAAATATTAGCAAATTCCTGGCAAATAAATGCTGGGATACCTCTTCTAATAAGATCCTCTATTGTATGTATTATAGCAGACAAGACCCCGCCTGATCTTATACCTGTCCATAGGTACAATTCCCCCATTTCCGGCCTTGATCACACTTTTTATCCTAATCCAGCCACATTGGACACATCGGATCCCTTGATGTTAATCAAACTCTCCAAGCACACTTCTGCCTCAGTGTTTTTATAACCACTGTTCCCTCAACTTGGAGCACTTCCCCTAGCTATTTACGTGTATTTTTCCTTTAGATTTATTCAGGTTTCTGTTAAATATCATCCTTTCAGCTATACCTTCCCTGACTACCTTATTGAATTAATATCCCTCTGTACTCCCCAGTTACTCACTATCCCTCACCCTGGTTTATTTTTCTTCACAGCATTTGCCATATAACATATTTGATACTCATTTGTCTATACATTTATTAAGTGCTTTTTCTTACTAGAATGCAAGCTACAGTAGATTGCAGAGTTGTTTTATTCATGGCTGAAACCTCAACTTCTAATATAGTCCCTGGTTCTTATACAGTTATTCCACGTTTGTTAAATTCATGCATAAATGAATGGATGAATAAATGAGTAAAGGAATAAATGTTGAAACAAATAACTGTTACCCATTATATGTCAAATCCTAAACTGAGAGTAGGTGTACAAAACTGTATTCATCTACAGAAGTCTGGGAGTCAGGCACATGAATAATTAATTCAAACTAGTGGGTTTAATAGTAAAGTTTGAAATATGAACACACTGGTTAATATCAATGTCTGAGAATTGTTGTAACACCCACTTTTGGGAGGCAATCTCTAGACTTTATGGTGCTTTCTCTATCCTTGACCTGTTACTTGGCTCTGTTGCCTCCAGTCTTGTCTCTCTCCACACCTTGACTCTATGTCCCAATCATTCATTCTCTTTCCCTCAAAAACAACGAAGACAGTAAAATACAATAACAATACTTAAAAAGGAAATATTTTTCGGAGCATGCACTTTTTTTTTTGAGATGGAGTTTCACTCTTATAGTCCAGGCTGACGTGCAGTGGCACGATCTCAGCTCACAGCAACCTCTGCCTCCCAGGTTCAAGCAATTCTCCTACCTCAGTCTCCCAAGCAGCTGGGATTACAGGCGCGTGCCACCATGCCTGGCTAATTTTTGTATGTTTAGTAGAGACGGGGTTTCTCCATGTTGGTTAAGCTGGTCTCAAACTCCCCACCTCAGGTGATCTGCCCATTTTGCCCTCCCAAAGTGCTGGGATTACAGGCTTGAGCCACTGTGCCCGGCCCACATTCACTTTTTTATAGGTGGCTCCCACAGATCAAAAAACTTCCACTCGACTAAGTTAATTTTTGATTGTGGAATTGTAGGTAAAAGTGACTGGAGAGCAAAGCCTAACTAATGACCAGTCCTTCTATTCATGTTAGCTCTACCTAGCCTGACGTTTGAGTGGAGTGTATGTTTAGTTGTAGCATTTCATCAATACAGGCACATCCTCCTTCAGAAAGCCCACCTCTACTCACTGCTTCAGTTGAGTGTTGTGTTGGTCCTCTAAGAAGCAGACACCAAGATCTTCTAAGATTGTTTAAGAGACACATACTAAGATATGACTAAACCTGCAAAAGCTATATTAGGTGAAATGTCTATATGAGAGAAACTAGAGTGGGAGCTGATTAAGATGAGAAAACCACCAGACTGCAATGCAAAACTGGCCCCAAGTGAAAGAAAAAGGACAAGGAGGTTGGACATAGCATTTCAGAATGCCTTGGAAAGGTTCTTAGAGTCTTTGAGGAGTCAGGGAGCCAAAGTTGGCAGGGGTCTGGCTTACTATCTTGAAGGCAGTCATTTGTTAGCTAGACATGGACTGTAGAAAAAGCGTGGCCTGAGGTCAAAAACACAGATTGGATTTTAGAGCAAGCACCTGGGGTCTCTGTCCTCATGCTCCCTGTAGTTGAAGATCTACAAGGTGTGTTCTCATGGTCACAAATGCTCTTCCTCTGTGAAGTGATCCACTTATATTTTATCTCCTCTTTTGGACACTGCACTTCTTTAAAGGAGCATCAAGTCTTGTTTATCTTTGTATCTATAGAACCTAGCCCATGCTAGATAAAATGTTTTCTAAGTGAATAGCTTTTATCTAATATAATCACCAAGACACAATCCCATCCTCTACTTCTTATTGTGTCTCAAGAGCATTAGTGTGAATGTGTGTGTGTGCATGTAGATGCGCACATAGAAATTGAAAACACAGTTTCCGAAATTAGAGAGGTAGTTTTCTCTTGCTCTTGACAAATGATCTCGGGCAATTTTCTTAATCCAAATAATATTTTCTTTTCCACCTTCAAAACTGGGTTAATGGTTGTTTTTAAATTAAATGCTGTCTGTAGGAACTAAAAAGTTAATTCATTGTCATAGCAACAACAAAATATATCTAATCTCATCATCTAGTTTATCATCTTATTATGAAGCATGAAAATAAAATGAATACAACTATAATGAAGGACACGTACTGGCCAAGCAGAGAAATCATTAAGAAAATCATAGTGATGCTGAATTAATGTGGATACTACTTAAATTGTCCATGTATATAATTGTATTGGAGACTTTATTTTAAACATGTTGTACCCATTACACATATCGGTAAATTAATATTTGTAAGAACTAATACCTTACCTTTGCTTTAGAAGATGAGGCCACTCTACACAAGTGTCATTTAGGAAGTCTCATAGGAAGGTTATCTCTTCCTTACTGAGTAATTTTTGAGACTGTTATCCCTCTCCACTATCATCTAGGTCTGGCTTGAATTCAGTATCGATTCACGTTTTAAGGTACTATTACCTTACGACCTTAATATTATCAGAAACACAAACATAAACTAGCTGACATTTCTTTAAAGATCTACCTTACAAATTTCAATTTTATTGTTGATCCATCAAGCACCATTTTATATCCATTTTATATCCACTTTTAATATTAACTATGACTTTGTAGGCTGGGCGCAGTGGCTCATGCCTGTAATCCCAGCACTTTGGGAAGCCGAGGCTGCCAGATCACTTGAGGTCAGGAGTTTGAGATCAGCCTGGCCAATATGATGAAACCACCGTCACTACAAAAATTAGCTGGGCATGATGGTGTGTGCCTATAATCCCAGCTACATGGGAGGCTGAGGCAGGAGATTGGCTTGAACTCAGGAGGTAGAGGTTGCAGTGAGCTGAGATTGCACCACTGCACTCCAGCCTTGGTGACAGAGCTAGACTGAGTCTCGAAATATATATATAAAAAATAACTTTGTGGTGTAAATCTTGTCTTCTTTATCATTTATTGACTGATGGTCCTTAATATTCTGCTGACTTCATTAGCATATAAGGTTTTTAAATAAAACAAATAATATAAAGAATAAAAAGTTAAATAAACAAAAAAACACTAAAAAGTCTACAAACCCTTGCAGCCATTTTTTTCAAAAAAAAATCCTGCACTATCAAGGTAATTTCTTTTTTAAATGAATTCAATTTGTTGCTATAATTTTTATGAAGTTTTTATTAAAACAGGGTGCTGGCTGGGCGTGGTGGCTCACACCTGTAATCCCAACACTTTGGGAGGCTAAGGTGGGCGGATCACCTGAGGTCAGGAAGGACTGAGACAATCCTGGCCAACATGGTGAAACCCCGTCTCTACTAAAAATACAAAAATTAGCTGGGTGTGGTGGTGTGTACCTGTAGTCACAGCTACCTAGGAGGCTGAGGCAGGAGAATTGCTTGAACCCAGGAGGTAGATGTTGCAGTGAGCTGAGATCAAGCCACTGCACTCCAGCCTGGGCAACAAAGCGAGACTCTGTCTCGAAAAATAAAAATAAAAATGAAAATAAATAAAAGAAACAGTGTGCTACGTCATGTTAATTAAGTAAACATTTTCCTGCAAATGATTTTAATTGTTGTCATAATAGAAAATGTTAAAAGGATAGTAGAACAATATATTGATAGCTAGTACATTTGAGGATCAATATAGTATAAGCACAAATCCCTGGGTAGCTTAAATACTTTTATGTTATAACATTCCATTTTAACTTGGCAAAGAGAAATTGATGGAATATTCTATAATTCTCAAATTTTTCTTCTAAAATGATGGTTGATAAAATCAGTGTACTTCACAAACTATTAATTTGGTTTCAGTGAATTAATTTTTTTCAGCCCAAGCAACAGGCAGGGTCAAATACATTTTTATTGTTTGGTGCCATAGATTTTTATCTCATTACAAAGTATCATATTATATCATAGCACTCTATTAGGACAGAGTGACCCAGGTAACAGCTAAGCTAATAAATGTCTGTGTCTAATAGCCAAGTACAATATGAAGACACAGTGTGCTTTTAATTACAGTTAGGCCTTTAATGTTTTTGCTGAAGAAGAAAGAGAAAAATCAGTAGATAAAAATTCTAAATTAAAAATTACTCAAACAGTTTTTATCTAGAAAGTATTATGAATAAGAAATTAAATATTCAGTATGAATTATTTTCAATCAAGACAGAGATGGCTCAGAGAGACTGGGGTTGGAATAGCCAAGTCAAAAACTAGTAAAGGAAGGTACAAGCTTGAGAGAAAGTTTCAGAGTCTAGGAATATAAATAAGCTAAAGATCAAAAACGAGCCTCAAGGAACAAGGGAATATGCACACAAAGCTGAGGTTCATTTTAGAAGCAAAAGTGGAAACTAGTTAATCAATAAGGAGAGGAGAAAAACTACTTTGAAGATACAAATTTGAAGAGACAAATTTAAAGCAAGACAAACTTAGAGAGCTTCTTTTGCAATCTGTATTAACTGACTTTTCTCAAAATATTTTGATCAAAGCAATTTATCCTGGTTTAATTAGAAACCCTGAACTCATTTCAGATTATGTAAGAAATTTAGCTGATGTTGGTGATTTTCGTTCTCAGATAAAATGCAAAAGTCTGCAATGAATCTCATATTTAATTGTGGGTAAATTTGCTCACCTTCAAGAAAAGACTAACATTGGATAATTAGTGAACTTCAAAGGGAAAAAAGCAACATTTTAGAACTTACAAATGATGAAGATAGATATCTTTTTTAAAAAAAATATATATTTCACCAGAATGCTCAGAAAAAAACACTAGTTTCAACTATAATAAAATATGCTATTTACTTTATTAAAGGAATATATTTTCTTTAGTTTATATAGGTAATGATAGAAACTGAAGGCTAAACAGAAAAAAAATCTTCCTCATGAGACTTTTATACCAATTTTCCTGCTGCATCCTTCAAAGGCAATTAATACCAGCTACTGGTATATTATTGCATCTATATACCATGCATGTATAAAGATGTATACTTCCATTTGAACAGATTTGTGTTTTTGTTCTCCTTTGAAAGCTATGTGGATCAGAAGGATCTAGACAAGATATTGTTACAAAAAAGAGACCCAGTCTTCAGTGTAACTACATTTATTCTCTCATCATTCAGATTCAGCTGTATAGTACCATGATGTGGATTTCATTAATAAAAGTTACAGTGGAAATTTGAAGCCTTATATAGAACAGGAAGCAATATGGCAAAAAGAACTGAGCCCTGCTGTGCTTGGCATTGCAATATTTAATTCTGCTCCAGTATACATTTTTTTTCTCCCCAAAAACCTGGACTATAGCAGTCCAAGTTTCTGTAAAAAAGTCATTTTTTACAGAATTAGAAAAAACTTCTAAAATTTATATAAAATGAAAAGAGAGGCCAAATAGTCAAAGCAATCCTAAGCAAGAAGAACAGAACTAGAGGCATTATGTTACCTGTCTTCAAACTATACTACAAAGCTATAGTAACCAAAATAGCATGGTTGTGGTACAAAAATAGACATGTATAACAATGGAACAGAATAGAGAACTCAGAAATAAAGCCAAACACCTACAATTAACTGACCTTTACAAAGCTGACAAAACAAACAATGGGGAAAGCACACCCTATTCAATAAATGGTGCTGGGAATGCTGGGAAAACTGGTTAGCCATATATATATATGTGTGTATACATATATACATACATATGTATGTGTATATATATACATACATATGTATGTGTATATATATACATACATATGTATGTGTATATATATACATACATGTGTGTGTGTGTATATATATACATACATATGTATGTATATATATACACATATATATACACACACGAATAAAATTGAACCCCCATCTCTCACCATATAAAAAATTAACTCTTATTTATTTATTTATTTATTGTCACTCTATTGCCTAGGCTGGAGTGCAGTGGCTCAATCATGACTCACTACAGACTTGACCTGGGATCAAGCAATCCTTCCACCTCAGCCTCCTGAGTAGCTAGGAATGCAAGTGCACTCCACGATGCCCGGATAATTTTATTTTTATTTTTTTAGAGACAGGGTCTTGCCATGTTGTCCAGGCTGGTATAGAATTCCTGGGCTTAAGTGATCCACCTGTCTTGTCTTCCCAAAGTGTTGGCATTACAGGCATGGGCCACTGTACCTGGACAAAAATTAACTCAAGATGGATTAAAAATGTAAATGTAAGACCTGAAACTGTAAAAATCCTAGAAGAAAACCTAGGAAAAACTCTTCTGGACATTTGAGTAAGCAAAGAATTTATGACTAAAACATGAAAAGCAAATGTAGCAACAAAAAATAGACAAATCAGACAAACCGAAGAGCTTCTGCACAGCAAAATAGACTTTCACAGGGTAAACAGGCAACCTATAGAATGAGACAAAATATTTGCAAATTATGCATCCAACAAAGGACTAATATCCAGAATCTATAAGGAGCTCAAACAAATCAACAAGGAGAAAACATAACTAACTCCATTACAAAGTGGTCAGGCTGGGCATGGTAGCTCACGCCTGTAATCCCAGCATTTTGGAAGGCTGAGGTGGGAGGATTGCTTGAGACCAGTGTGGGCAATATCACAAGACCTCATTTCTTTTTTTTTTCCTTTTTTTTTTTTTTTTTTTTTGAGACAGAGTCTCGCTCTGCCACCCAGGCTCGAGTGCTGTGGCGCGATCTGGGCTCACTGTAAGTTCCACCTCCCGGGTTCATGCCATTCTCCTGACTCAGCCTCCTGAGTAGCTGGGACCTCATTTCTAAAAATAATAATAATAATTTTTTTTTAAAGTGGACAAAGAACACAAACCAGTATTTCTTAAAAAAAGACACACAAGTGGCCAAAAATGTGAAAAATGTTCAGCATCACTAATCATCAGTAAAATGCAAATGAAAACCACACTGAGATACTATCTCATACCATTTAGAATGGCCATTATTAAAATGTCAAAAAATATGTTGGAAAGAATGTGTAGAAAAGAAAACACTTGTACACTGCTGCTGGAAGGTTTAAATTAGTTCTACTTCTATGGAGTATGAAGAGTTCTCGAAGAACTAAACATAGAACTGCCATTAGACTGAGAAATCCCACTACGTGGTATCTATCCAGAAGAAAAGAAATCATTTTATCGTACAGACACCTGCACTGATATGTTTATCACAACACTATTCACAATAGCAAAGTCATGGAATCAACCTAAGTGTCCATCGACAGCTGACTGAATAAAGAAAATGTGGTACACATCATGAGATACTATGCCACCATAAAAAAAATGAAATCATGTCTTTTGTAGAACCAGGGATGAAACTGGAAGCCATTATCCTAAGTGAAATAACTCAGAAGCAGAAAAATCAAATACCACATGTTCTCACTTATAATTGGAGCTAAACAACGATTACACACAAGTTTAATGATAGCAATAATACACACCAGCCAGGCGCGGTGGCTCACGCCTGTAATCCCAGCACTTTGCGAGGCGAGGAGAGTGGATCAACTGAGGTCAGGGGTTCAAAACCAGCCTGGCCAACATGGAGAAACCCCATCTCTACTAAAAATACAAAATTAGCTGGGTGTGGTTGCGCATACCTGTAATCCCAGCTACTTGGGAGGCTGAGGCAGGAGAATCACTTGAACCTGGGAGGCAGAGGTTGCAGGGAGTCAAAGTCACGCCATTGTACTCCAGCCTGGGTAACAAGAGTGAAACTCCATCTCAAAAAAATAAAAAATAAAAAATAAATAAATAATAGACACCGGGGACTCCAAAAAAGGGGAGGGTGGGAGGAGGATGAGGGATAAAAAATTACCTATTGGGTACAATGTTCACTATTTGGGTGATGGGTTCACTAGAAGCCCAAATTTCACCACTATGTGATATGTCTATGTAAAGAACCTGCACACGTGCCGCCTAAATCTAAAACAATATAAAATACCAATAAAAATATGAATGAAAAGTCATTTTAGAACTTAATTAAAGACAGTAAGTAGAGTATGTATCTGTAGAAGAGTTGGAGAATGTACTCATAATACAGTGAAATTGTAAGAGGACACATTGGAAAGAGATTGTTGAGGGAGGTGAGGAGGCACGGATTGTGTTACAAGAAAAAGCTAACATCTACAGAACATAGCAGACCATTAATACATTGTTGTCCTTACCCCATCTTGGAGGAGAGTAAGTACCTGATTCTTAGAAGATTATGTGTAGATGAAATGACTTAGTTTTTCTCACAGGAAACCTCAATAAACCTGTCCAATTATGGTATAAAAGAATATTATAAATTAACTCTGCTAAGGCTACATTTATTATTGCAGGTAGATGTCCAAAAATATTTAACTTTTTATGAGTACACTTTTATCTTCAAATTAGCTAATTCTGTATTCATAATACATCATCTCTTTGGTGTTAATCTGAGAAGGCACCCAGAAAGAATTTCATTTTGCTTGAAAAGTATTTCAAATAATAATAACCACATCTCATGAATAGTGCTAGATGACAATCAATTATTTGATTAAATACTCACAATAGCTACTTGAGTTAGATACTGTGAAAATTCCCCATTTATAGGCTTTAGGAGTTTAGATAACTTGCCCAATTTTAATATCCAGTATATTATAGGGCTGAGATTTAAATTTATGCATGCTGACTTCACCCCTTAACACTTACATGTCATTGATATAAAACTGGATTTGATATTGTTTATTATGCTAAAACCAAAAAATAAAAGAAACTGATTGTTGACTTTCAATCTCTGTTTTGTGAGAAACTGAACTTGAAATCAGTTAGGTTGATCTGTAGGTAGTCATGGAGAATGAGAGGGAACAGTTGGCAGTGGTCAAGTACACAGGCTCCTCAATGAGGTTGCTCTGTTAATTAATAGATGTATGATGATGGATTACTTATTTAACTTTTCCGTGCACCCATTTTCTTATTTTAAAATAATTTGAAAAAGAAAATCAGTCATGACTTTTAAGATTGCTTTGAGGATTACATTATTCAATACACATAAAGCACCTAAGATAGTACCTGATACAAAATAAATAGTCATATATCAGCCATTATCACTGGATACTGCTTTGAATACAGATTTTAAGAATTGGGGACTAGGCATAAAGCTTTTTACACCTCACAAACAAACAAATACAGTAGACTTCACAGTTCAAAAAAAATTTCTCTCAAGTTATGAAAAACTAATATTTTTTTCATTTAAAATTTGGCACAATCTGAGATCTATGAAAACAAAATTCTTCAAAATGTAGCTCCTTTCTTAGGAAGGCAAAAAAGTACGGGCGGTCCTTTCGTGCATACAATTGGAAGCACTTCTAGGTGGTAGAACAGTGTCACCTAGTGAGAGCTCTAGGTGAGAAAATTCTCTGAACTAAAATTACATGCCTAAACAGTTCAATTTGCAGGATTTAAATTTCTAGAATTGTAAAAACAAAAGCCATTATCATTCAAGTGACATATAAGTAACAGTGGGTGATTTAGATGAATTGATCATAGTGAAAAGGACACAAGGATTCGGAAAGTCAAGACACACCTTACTTAGCACCATATGTGGAATATTAGGTAGACCTTATCACAATTTTAAACATTTAATATTTAAAAATTTATTCCTTTGTGTTTTGGAGGTGTGGAGGTGGTATGCTTTTGTTATTGTTTTATTGTGGTTTTATTTATTTTTCGGTCTTTGATTTCCCTCTAAGGATGCCAACCACTTCTGGGAAAGCTGAGTGATGATTCTGTGCACAGTTGAAGTTCACCTGGGCCAGTGTTGATTGACTGCTATTTGAAAACACAACGGTGTTGAAATGCTACAAAAGAGATACACCTTATCTTGGACAGAGGTGGCATCCATTTTGGAAGGGGTGGCAGGTTTCACAGATGGACACTGAAAGAGCTATTAAAGCTTTACTTTTCCTGTTTAAATATATCTTTAGCAACTGAGGATGCCTCTGTCCTTAGGACATGTCCCTTTTAGAAACCGCTTTTGACTTTTGATAGTATTCTCATGATTCCAGCCCCACCCCCATCCTGGGAATGTCAGTATATTTTTTACAAAATACTTTGAAACAAAATGATGAAATAGAGCATTCCTCATAATTGTTGAAGCTATTTAGCATAGAATTTTCACACTGTGATTAGAAATTCACAAGAAAGTGAGGTGCTAATAACAGAGCAGGCAAAGAGCTCATTGTTAGCAGTGAGTACATCATACTTAAATGAAGTGACAAGCCTCTTCTTTTTGTCAGAATTGTATTTTTTCCATATGCTAACAATTAGATGACATTGCTTTTGTGTTAAATTTGCAGGAGGATCCCACATGGAACACATACTTACGAGGTTTTAGCATTTTCACCATTACTCACATTGTCTTACATGTTTGAGGTGACTCAGTTCACAATGCAAGCTCATTTCTTAGTCTAGACTAGAATTGCAGACATTCATTACATATAGGGACATTGTTGTAACTTAATAAAATGAGCCAAAACATTTAAAACTCTTTGACTCCAGAAAGAAATAAAAATTTTCACCAAAGCTCAAGATACTGTATCAGTTAATGAATAATTCAATCGAACTTATTAATAAAGTCACTTAACACTAAATAACTTAGACTGAATACAATCTGGTTTTAAATGAGGTTAAAAGTTTACATTAAAGACTTATTAAGGCTTACTGGCCTATTGGTCTTCTAATCTAGATCTTTAGCTAAAATTGAATGTAGTAAATTTCACTTTTTAATTGGAAACCTTTGGGAGGTTGTAAGATTTTAATAATCTTAAATACATTATTTTTCAATTTGGAAATAATTAACAGCATTTGTCATTCATGAAAATTTGTATATCATTCATAATTTTATTGCAATTAAATCCTCTCCTAGCACTGACTTATTCTCTCATTTGCCATAAGAATAATTTTTTCATGACTACAGCATCAATTTTTAAATATAAACTCCATAGAGCCAGCATTATCACGACAATCTGCATTAAGACATTGACACTATGCCATTTATCACTGTTTCTCCAGGTCCCCCAAACAAGCCCAAACTCCCATGACCTTTTTTCACCAGTACCTTGGATCCCATTGCAGTTCTGTCTATCCCCACCCTAATCCCACTTCACACTTGCTCCTAAAACCTTCTTCTTATACTCTGGGATACACCTCTTTCGTCAACACACCCTATTTATCACTCGTATCTTCACTGAAAGTTCTCCTCACTTTTTGAGGAGTTGGTGGCTCCTTTTCTCTGTCACTCCACGCATCATTGACCAGGAGGTGTAGTAGTTCTCCTTTGCTTTTTCTTTGATAATTCCAGGTGGTTTTCATTTCTCTTCCTGAGCATACCTGAGGCTTTGGCCTCAGATCTTTGTTGTAATGATTTTTGAGATTTTTAATATTTACAAAATGATTTAAAATATTGGTCATTCAATCCCTTTTCTTCAATAATATTTTCCTCCCTCTACCTCAGTCATCTCTGTGCCTATGGTCATACCTAAATATCATTATTATCAATAGCTACAACTCCTCCATAATGTAGTTTTCAAATTTTATTCTCTCCATCTACCAATCTCCTCCAATTTCTCCAACTTATAAGCTCTTTTACCCAAACTACAATTATTAATCCAAATAAGATCTCTAATTCATTGGTCCTACCATTATTCTGCTATCTGTTCCTCCTCATGTCCTCAACTTCTTTTGCTGTTGAGATTATATGCTGTTGGCCATACCAGTTATTACTGCATTTCATGAACCCTTCCATAAACCCACAGTGCTCTTGACATTTTCTGTCTTCATCATAAACTGTCTTTGTCATTTTCTGTCTTTGTCAAACCCCAGCCTGTTTTCATCCAAATCCCTAGTAAGTTCATGCCTGCCACACAATTGTGCCCCATTTGTAACCATAATAGTCTACTATTTGACTATTTTATTTCTTTTTTTTTTCAAGCATCAAGTATTTAGTTTTGACTCAGCCATTTATCTTGCTGCCTACTTCTCTTAGAAAAAAATAAAATGAATCAGTACTGGACATCTACAGACGTTTAGCACAGTTGTGAACACGTTTCCTTCCTTCCTCCTAGATGAGCTGAATTTCTCCATGATCTAATGAAATCCATCCCTCTTGTCTATCCATTCATAATTCCAACAATTTCTACTAAATCATTCTCTTTAATATGAAATTACTATCTAATAGATCTCAACATAAGAAAGAAAACTTACCTTTCTACTAAACTTACCTGTTTATTTTTTTACTCTATTAGAAAATTTCACAAAGACATTGTCTGTACTCACAATCCAATTTTTATTCCTAATTTTTTATTATTCCAGTCTGCTCAGGTTTCTAACTGTATTACTCCACTTAAGCATCTTTTATCTAAGTTGCTATTAGCTTTTTCCTCATTCCTTTCTTATTTGTACTGTAGGATACATTTGACCACCTCCTTCCTAATCTTCGCTTCACTTTCAGAATCAAATATTCTGTTTTCTATTTCTTAAAAATTACACTTATCTGCTTCAATGTTTTCTTCTTATCTTCCTGACCTCTAAACTATGTAGCGCCCAATCATTGGTGCATTCTATTCTTTATCTGCCCAGTAGATGATCAAATTCATCCTTGAAGCACAGATACCAATAATCTTCAAATAGGTATCTTCATTCTAGCCCTCTTCCCTGAATCCACATGCCAATTCAACTTTTCCACTTGGATATTTAACAGTTACTTCAACTTTAAAGTCACTAAAATAGTCAACACCAATAGCTTTACAAGGCAGCCACACCCACAGAGTCTTCACTCAGTAATCCTACCCGCTACATTTTCCTTTCCTTAATCTTTCTAGATAAATTACATATTAGAAAGTAACAGTTTTATTTTTTCAGTTGATCAGGGCCTAATCCTTGGAGTTGTCTTTGACTTTCATAATCCACATAAATCAATTATTTATATATGGTTCTTACTACAAGTTCTAAGGTTATTTCAACCAGTTCTCACTACCTTCATTGCTAATTTTCTCTTTCTTTCTTCTTTCTTTCTTTCTTTCTTTCTTTCTTTCTTTCTTTCTTTCTTTCTTTCTTTCTCTTTCTTTCTCTCTCTCTCTTTCTTTCTTTCTTTCCTTTGAGACAGACTTTCTTCACTCTTGTTGCCCAGGTTGGAGTGCAATGGCGTGATCTTGGCTCACCTCAACCTCCGCCTCCCGGGTTCAAGTGATTCTCCTGCCTCAGCTTCCCAACAACTGGGATTACAGGCATGTGTCACCACGCCTGGCTAATTTTGTATTTTTAGTAGAGATGGGGTTTCACTATATTGGTCAGGCTGGTATTGAACTCCTGACCTCAGGTGATCTGCCTGCCTTGGCCTCCCAAAGTGCTGGGATTACAGGTGCGAGCCACTGCGCCTGGCCTCATTGCTAATTTTCTAATCCAACTTGCCATCCACTGTATGTTAGTTTTCTATTGCTGCCATAGCAGATACCTTAAATCTGTCAGCTTAAAACAGCAAAAGTACACTATTTTCAAGTTTTGGATGTCAAAAAATTCTAAATCACAGTATTGGCATGGCCATGTTCCTTCTGAAGACTCTCACATAAAATTCTTTTCCTTGCATTTTAGAGCTTCTAAAGGCTGCCTGTATTCCTTGGCTTATAGAACCTTCCTCTATGTTCAAAGTTATCATCGCATCTTCAATCTCTTTCTCTCTGACCTTTGCTTCCATTGTCATATCTTCTCTCATTCAGACACTCCTGATTCTCTCTCATAAGAAGACTTTGGTTACATTGAGCTCACCTGGATAATTCAGGATAATCTGCCCATGTTACATCTTTAACCTCTTTGGCAAAGTCCCTTTGCCTTGTGAGGTAACATATACCTAAGTTTCAGCGATTATGATAGTGATGTATTTGGGGAGCTATTATTCTACCACCACTTACTTTTGTCTGTAATACTACAAGAATTCCAAGCTGGTCTCCCTGATTCCACATTCTCCTCTATTTCCCACACCAGAAATATCTAACTTCTGGTTCCTTCTAAAACCTATCAAAACTTCAACTTTTATGGATAAGAAAAGTTAATAATAAGGAAATTTATCTTCAAACTAGTCCATAAATTCAATGCAATTTCATTTAAATCCCATACTTTTTCATAAAAAAGAAAAGCTAATTATAGAATTAATATAAAAATGTGAGAGTCAATAAAAAATCAGATAATTATAAAGAAAAGGAACAACAATGAGTAATACTACCTTAATGGACTTTAAGGCATGTTATAAAGAGTAGTGAAGCAGGATATTTCCCTGACCCCTTCGCGGGACTCATGACCAAGGGTGCCTCCTTTACTTAGCCCACTGCTCTCAACTCCTTGTGAGATGGAGTGCGTGAGAGAATGAGGCGAGAGATAAAGAGTGCAGGAGCGCTGGAGCCAGCAGGATCAAACTCCACTCACTTGGACCCATTGCCTTCCACCTCTCATGGGAGGAAGCGCACAAGTGAGCGGGCGCAGAAGCCAGAGCAAGTGCTTTTGGGCGCTAGCAGGAGCGAACTCTGTGCAGGCCACATGGCAGTGTCCAGGTGGGGTGCCTGCGACTTCCAAAGCCCCAGAGGGTGTGGTACAGTACTTTTTTTTAAGCAGACGGCTTACGAGTTAACAGCTTGGTGGGCCCGCAGCTGCCCTCTGCCAGCAAGGGAAAGGGCCAGTTGACAGCTTTTTGTATCCACACTTGTGGCTCCCAAGCTCTTGTCTGGAGTCCAGGAAAAATGAGGTAGCATGAACGAATTGAAGGATGGTAGATGCAGAGGATTTTCTTGCCACCGAAAGTGGCTCTCAGCGTGAAAGATAGCTGAAAAGGGGATATGGGGGTGGTAAGTAATCCTCCCCTGAAATCCAGCCATCTCCAGCCAGATTCTTCTCTGAAGTTATGCCATCAGGCTGACCTTCTGAAGTCAAGTCACTTTTCTCCAATGTCCAGCCACAGTCTCCGATGTCCAGCTGCTTCTCCTCTCTGCTGGCTGAGTCTAGAGTCTTTAAAGTCACAGGATGGGGTGGGGTGCGGGTCATGGGTGGTTTAGGAAAAGGGGATACTCCAGCGGGAAAACAGTGTATAAGTTCTCACTTTGGACTAGGGTCTCCCATGGTCTCAGGCTTTTTGGCTTAAGGGTGGGGCTTCACCAGGGACCTGCTCCTGTGTTCCCAGAATTTCTCTGCCTCCTGCCTCTATCATTGTATCAGTAGTAATTAAAGTAGTAAGGTCCAGGGTATGTAGTTGATGAGCAGAATAATTGGGCAGAATAGAAAGTTCATAAACAGATCCACGCATTTATGAAAATCTGATGGGATGTTGGAGATTGAAGGAAAAATAGTGAACTTATTATTAGGGATTCCTTGGATATTAGTTATGCATAATAAATAATTACAATCCTTTAAGCCACACACAAAAACTAGTAAAATTAAGATACACATACACTCTGAACCAACAAGTCCAATCTGTCTTTTTACTCTGGAACAGGGGTCAACAAACTATATGCCTCAAACTAAATTCATCTGTCTCCTTTAAAAAAAAAAGAAATATATATATAGATACACAGCCAAGTTCATTCACTTACACATTGTCTAAAGCTACTTTCATTTTACAATAGCAGAGTTGAGTTGTTGTGGCAGGGACTATGACCCACAAACTCTAAAACATTTACTATCTGGCCCTTTAACGGAAAGTCAGCCAACCTTGCCCTATAGAACTACTACATCTATGCCCCAAGAGATATGAACTGAAATATTTATAGCAGCATTGTTAGAAATAGTACAGAACTGGGCCGGGCCTGGTGGCTTACTCCTGTAATCCCAGCAATTTGGGAGGCTGAGGCAAGTGGATCACGAGGTCAGGAAATCAAGACCATGCTGGCTGACACAGTGAAACCCCATCTCTACTAAAAATACAAAAAATTAGCTGGGTGTGATGGCACACGCCTGTAGTCCCAGCTGCTCAGGAGGCTGAGGCAGGAGAATCGCTTGAACCCAGCAGGCAGAGGTTGCAGTGAGCCGAGATCACACCACTGCACTCCAGCCTGGAAAACAGAGCCGAGACTCTGTCTCACAGAAAAAAAAAAAAAAAAAAAGGAAATAATACAGAACTATAAGCAACTTGTATTAGTCCATTTTCATGCTCCTGATAAAGACATACCCCAGACTTAACAATTTATAAAGAAAAAGAGGTTAATGGGCTCACAGTTCCACTGGCTGGGGAAGCCTCACAATCATGGTGGAAGACAAAAGTCACATCTTACATGGTGGCAGGCAAGAAAGAATGAGAACCGAGTGAAAGGAGGAACCCCTTATAAAACCATCAGTTCTCATGAGATGTATTTACTACCATGAGAACAGTATGGATAAAACCACTGCCATGATTCAGTTATCTCCCACTGTGTCCCTCCCACAACATGTGGGAATTATGGGAGCTACAATTCAAGATGAGATTTCAGTGGGGACACACAGCCAAACCATATCAAAACTAGTATCAAAACAGAGTAGATACATAGTTTTATATTCACAGCACGACATAATGCACAATACAGAAAATAATTGAACTCACATGTGGTTCCATATGGTAACTCAGAAACAATGTTGACTGATAAAAGCAAGTCACAGACAAACACAACAAAATGACCCCACTTATATAAATGTTGACAAATAGGTCAAACTGAACAATACATTATTTCAGAACATGGAACTGTGTGGTAAATCTTAAAGAAAAAGAGTAGTTAACAAAATTTAGGACACCAGCTTCTGGGAAAGAAAGATGAGGATTGCAGTAACTGACAAGGGCCACCTAGGTGACTTGAAAAGTTCTTTTGGCTGGGCATGGTGGCTTACGCCTGTAATCCCAACACTGGGAAGCCAAGGTGGGCGGATCACGAGGTCAAGAGATGGGGACCATCCTGGCCAACATAGCGAAACCCCATCTCTACTAAAAATACAGAAATCAGCCGGGCATGGTGGTATGTGCCTGTAGTCCCATCTACTCGGGAGGCTGAGGCAGGAGAATCACTTTAACTGGGGAGGCAGAGGTTGCAGTGACCTGAGATCGTGCTACTGCACTCCAGCCTGGCCGCGACAGAGTGAGACTCTGTCTCAAAAAAAAAAAAAAAAAAGTGTTTTTGTTTCATAAACTATGTGTTTCATGGCTGTTTGTTTCATAACATTCTTTTACTAAATGTTGTATTTGATTTTGTTTTGTTATATTTCACATTACATTTTTACTTAGTGATCATGATATACATATATAACATTATATTTTTACAAACTAAACTCTTTATGAAATTAATTTTGTGAAATTAAGCTACCTTTCATTGGATATTTACACTTTGCCAGCCTTAT
The DNA here is from genome assembly GCF_000001405.40 of Homo sapiens. NCBI lineage: Eukaryota > Metazoa > Chordata > Mammalia > Primates > Hominidae > Homo > Homo sapiens. Next base: position 162,637,555 of record NC_000004.12, on the reverse strand, counting down.
TCTGAGGGATTCACATATTTGATTTCTTTGATTCCTCACAAAGCCTTTTTGCAGTGTGTGTAATTAAATTCCATCTTATAGTTGAAATATTATGTTTTATTGTAAATATACTTTTCTGTAAGGCCTCAATATTGGGAGATGTGATTAATAGTTATTATACATCCATTAAATGTCAAGTAGTCTACATATGCTATCTTGTTTAATTTCCTGCAACAACTCTATACAATGTGTTATTGCTACTTTATAGTTGGTGAAATAAGAAACTTACATAACTTGTTCAATGTAAATTACCTGTCTGATCACTTCCTATGTTCCTAGCAGGTGCTCTGTGTTTTCTGGATGCCATGGTTACAGTCTATTAAATGGGAAAGCACTCAGAAAACAGCTATATTAGGAACACAGCAGCAATGTTCTCTAATGCATAGCCTTACTGCACAGACTAGAAATAAAAAGTGGATGGTAGCTGCATATTCTCATACCATTATAACAGCTAAAACAGGGCAACCTTAGGTACAGAGCAGTAGAAGTACGTCAAGAATACACTAAAATACTATCTTTAGTTTATGATGTGTACAACTTATTGGTAGTCCTCTTTGGTTTGGATCGTATTTAGTTATAATACCAATGTTAATCTGTGGAGATATTTAAGACAAAGTTCTAGAAAGGGATTCCACATGAATTTGCACATTTTCTGGTAGACATCATTTAATCTTTTGTTCAGTTGTATCAAATCCAAGTTAATTTTCAGGACTTTTATTTTATCCTCTGCCTCTTAGAATATAAGTAATAAGTCCTATTTATTGCAGATATTTCCTTGTCTAGGCTATTACATTGGCAATAGTTTATTAGTGCCTTTTATTTATTTACAGCCTGCAAGTGTCAGTTGGCTGTTAAAAAGTTTACAAATTTGTTTTAGTTTATCTACTCTTCCTACAGTATTTTAAACATATTAAAATTGATGTTATGCTTTTTATTTCTCTGATTCTGAGACTTCTTTGACTCTAGACGTCTAATTTTAAAAAAAGTGACCATGGCCCTCATCTACTTGCAATATATTTCAAATTACAGGTATTTGTTATAAATAGCATAATTTCACCTTTTACCAAGGAGACTTTGTATTGATCCTTGAACAATTAATTCTGATTTTCTTTATATTTCAAGTTGTTATATATTTTTAATATTTTATATATTAATATATAATATGTATTTTAATATACAACACATTATGTATTTTGTGTATAGATACATAAAAATGTATACGTGTGTATACATTAATATACACATTCTCCCTCTAGAGAAACAGAGGGCCATTTAATTTTATTTCCTTCTTACTTCCTTGCCATATTTGTATAAGGATTAGATTTTCAGATAATACAATTTAATCATTTAATATTTTAAATAAATAGAAAAGTATCCAACGTGTAAAAAATACCAGTATAACCTCCATTAATAGTGATGAAACATTTTTATAAATTATTTTTGAGTAATAGATGTAGTTACCCTTGCTTTATGCTACCATAAAACACCCAACTTAACTGTTCATTGTTTACTACCATCTTGCTCCTTCAACCATGAGATCCTTGAAGACAATTTACCTTAGCTTGATGTCTTCCCATTGCCAGCAAGTAGGACTGTGACTGGAATGTAGTAAAAACTATAAAAGTGTTTATTAAATGAATGGTTTTAAAAGGCACAATTTATATATTTCTTTTCTCTTTATATTCTTTTCAAGTTTTATTTTCTTTTTTGGTTTTTGTTGTTATGTATTTAAGGTGTACACCCTGAGGATATGATACATGTATGCATTGTGAAATAGTTACCTTAATCATATTAATTAATATATCCATCACCTCACTTAATTATCATTTGCTAAGATCTACTCTCTTAGCAAATTTCCAAGTATAGAGTAGTGTTACCTATAGTTACCATCCTATATATTAAATCTACAGAGATGATTAATCTGACATAACTGAACCGTTGTACCATTTGACCAATTCTTATTTTCCAGTGTCTATAGATATCCTTCATTCTAGTCATATTCTGTAGTGAGATAGTAAGTTAACGGAATACAGTATTAAATTTGATCCAAATTCAAAGTGCAATTTAGTGTAATCTTTTAAAAAGCTGTTTTAATATGGCATACTCTTTCAACATTTTAAATATTTTTATTATAGTAACCTGCTTAATTTGTGTTTTTCAAAAATGCCTTTGATTTTTTTAAAAAATTTATTTTCAATGTTTGCGAGTACATAGGTGTATGTATTTTTACTGTACGTGAGATATTTTGATACAGGCATACAGTATATAATAATCACATCAGAGTAAATGAGGTATTCAATACCTTGAGCATTTATCCTTTCTTTGTGTTACAAACAATGCAATTATACTGTTTTACTGATTTTGAAATGTACAAGAAATTATTTACTGTAGTCATCCTGTTGTGGTATCAAATGCTAGATTTTATTCATTCTATCTAACTATATTTTTATACTCTTTAATCATTCCCACTTACCCCTTACTCTCACTACCTTTCCCAGCCTCTGGTAACCATCATTCTACTCTCTAATTCCATGAGATCTACCTTCTTAGCTCCCACATATGAGTGAGAACATGTGATATTTGTTTTTCTGTGTCTGGCTTAACATAATGATCTCCGATTTCATCCATGTGGTTTCAAATGATATGATTTCATTCTTTTTTATGGCTGAATAGTGCTCCATTGTGTATATACAATGTGTGCCACATTTTCTTTATCCATTCATCTGTTGATGGACACTTAGGTTGCTTCCAAATCTTGGCTATTGAGAACAGTGCTGCAATAGACATGAAAGTGCATATAGCTCTACAATATACCGATTTCCTTTATTTGGGTATATATCTAGCAGTGGGATTTCTGGATCATATTATAGCTCTATTTTTAGTTTCCTGAGGAAATTTCAAATCATTCTCCAAAGTGGTGGTAGTAATTTACATTCCTACCAACAGGTGCAAGGGTTCTCTTTTCTCCACATCCTCATTAGCATTTGTTATTATCTGTTTTTTTTTTTTTTTTGATAAAAGCTATTTTAACAGGGGTGACATGATATCTCATTGTAGTTTTGATTTGCATTTATCTGATGACCATTGATGTTGAGAACGTTTTCATATACTTGTTTGTCAATTGTCTTTCTTTGAGAAATGTATATTCAGATATTTTGCCCATTTTTATATTGCATTATTGAATTTTTTTCTATAGAATAGTTTGAGCTCCTCCTATATTGTGGTTATTATTCACTTGTCAGATGGATGGTTTGCAAATATTTTCTCTCCATTCTGTGAGTTGTCTCTTCACTTTGTTGATTGTTTGCTGTGAAGAAACTTCTTAGTTTGATGTGATCTCATTTGTCCATTTGTGCTTTGGTTGCTTGTACTTGTGGGGTATTACTCAAGAAATCTTTGCCTAGTCAAATGTCCTAGAGAAGTTATTTTGGTAGTTTCAAAATATGAGGTCTTAGATTTAAGTCTTTAATTAATTCTGATCTGATTTTTGTATATGTCAAGAGATGAGGTCTAGTTTTATTCTTTTGTATATGGATATCCAGATTTCCCAGCAGCATTTATTGAAAAGGCTGTCCTTTCCCCAATGTATATTCTTGGCACCTTTGTCAAAAATGAGTTCACTGTAGATCTATGGATTTGTTTCTGAGTTCTCTATTCTGTTCCATTGGTCTGCATGTTTGTTTTTATGCCAGTATCATGCTGCTTTGATACTATAGCTCTATAGTATAATTTGAAATTGGGTAATGTGATTCCTCCAGTTTTGTTCTGTTTGCTCAGGATAGCTTTGGCTATTCTGGGTCTTTTGTGGTTCCATATGAATTTCGGATTTTTTTTCTATTTCTGTGATGAATGTCATCAGTATTTTTATAGGCATTGCTTTGAATCTGTACAATGCTTTGGGTAGTATGGACATTTTAACGATGTAAATTCTTGCAAACCATAAACATAAAATATCTTCCCATTTTTTGTGTCCTCTTTAATTTCTTTTGTCATCATATTATAGTTTTTATTTTACAGATCTTTCACTTTTTTGGTTAATTCCTAGGTATTTTATTTTATTCATAGCTATTGTAAACGGGATTACTTTCTTAATTTCTTTTTCAGATTGTTCATTATTGGCATACAGAAATGTTATGGATTTTGTAGTTTTTTTCTTTTTTCAAGATAGGATCTTGCTCTGTCACCAAGATTAGAATTTAGTGGTACAGTCTGAGCTCACAGCAACCTCCACCTCCCATGCTCAAGCGATCCTCCTACCTCAGCCTCCTGTGTATCTGAGACTGTAGGCACATGCCACCACACTCAGCTAATTCTAAAATTTTTTTATAGAGATTAGGTCTCATTATATTGCCCAAGCTGGTCTGAAACACCTGGGCTCAAGCAATCCTCCTGCCTCAGCCTCCTAAAATGTTGGGACTATTGGCATGAGCCACTGGGCCCAACCTGCTACAAATTTATGTATGTTCATTTTGTATTCTGCAACTTTACTAAATTTGTGTGTCAGTTCCAATAGCTTTTTGGTAGAGTCTTTAGGTTTTTCTAAGTATGAGATCACATCATTTGCAGATAAGGATAATTTGACTTCTTCCTTTACAATTTGGATGCCCTGTATTTCTTGCTGTTGTCTTATTGCTGTAGCTTGGACTTCCAGTACTATGTTGAATTGTAGTGATTAAAGTGAGCATCCTTGTCCTGTTTCACATCTTAGAGGAAAGGTTTTCAGTTTTTCCCCATTCAGTATGATACTAGTTGTGGGTCTATCATATGTAACTTTTGTTGTACTGTGGTATGTTTCTTCTATACTCAGCTTTTTGAGTAATTTTACTATGAAGGCATGTTAAATTTTGTCAAATACTTTTTTCACCATGAATTGAAATAATCGTATGGTTTTTATTCTTTATTCTGTTAATGTGATGTATCACATTGATTAATTTGTGTATGCTGAGCCATTATTTTATCCATGTGTTAAATCCCACTCAGTCATGATGATTGCTCTTTTTAATGTGTGGTTGAATTCGATTTGCTAGTATTTTTTTTGAGGATTTTCATATCAATGTTCATTAGGAATATTGGCCTATAATTTTGTTGTTGTTGTGTCTTTGTCTAGTTTTGGTATCAGGTATCAGGAACCTAGTTTTGGTACTGGCCTTGTAGAAAGAGTATGGAAGTACTCCCTTCTCCTGTACTTTTGAAATAGTTTGAGTAGGATTGGTATTATTGGTTAATTCACCATTGAAATGATCAGATTCTGGACTTTTCTTTGCTGAGAGACGTTTTATTACAAATTCAATGTCGTTACTTGTTACTTGTCTCTTCAGGTTTTAGGTTTTTTCATGGTTCAATCTTGGTAGGTTGTATGTGTCTAGGAATTAATCCATTCATTCTGGGTTTTCCAATTTATTGGCATATAGTTGCTCACAGTAGCCTCTAATAATCCTTTGAATTTCTGCAGTATCATTTGTAATGTCTCTTTTTTTATTTCTGATTTTATTTATTTGGGTCTTCTCTTTTTTTTTTCTTTCTTAGTCTGGCTAAAAGCTTGCTGATTTTGTTTACTGTTTTTTTAAAAAAATTTTTTGTTATCTTTTGTATTGTTTACTTTAATTTTATTTATTTCTTCTCTGATCTTTATTTTTCTTTTCTTCTACTGAGTTTTGGTTGTTTGCGCTTGCTTTTCTAGTTTTCTCAGATGGATTGTTAGGCTGTTTATTTGATGTTTTTCTATTTTTTTGATGTAGGAGCTTACAGCTTTAAACTTTCCTCTTAGTATTGTTTTTGCTGCATCCCATAGGTTTTGGTATTTTGTGCTTCCATTATTATTTGTTTCAAGAAATTTTGTAATTTTCTTCTTAATTTATTCATTGACCCACTGGTCATTCAGGAGTATATTATTTAATTTCCATGTGTTTGCATAGGTTCCAAGATTCCTCTTGTTAGTGATTTCTAGTTTTATTTTATTGTGATCAGAGGAGATACTTGTATAATTTCAATTATTCTGAAATTTTAACACCTTTTTGTGGCCTAATATATGATCCATTCTTGATAATAATCCATGTGCTGAGGATGCTGTGTATTCTGCAGCTGTTGAATGAAATGTTCTGTAAATACCTCTTTGGTCCATTTAGTCTACAGTGCAGATTATAAATCTGATGTTTCATTGTTGATTTTCTGTCTGCATGATCTGTCCAATGCTGAAAGTGGGGTGTTGAAGTCTTCAGCTATTATTGTATTGGGATCTATCCTTCTTTTTAACTCTAACAATATTTGCTTTATATATCTAGGTGCTCCAGTGTTCAGTTCATATATACTTACAGTTTTTATTGCCTCTTGCTTAATTGACCACTTCTTATCATTATATTGTAACCTTATTTGTGTCTTTTTACAGTTTTTATCTTGAAATCTATTTTGCCTGATATAAGTATAGCAAATCTTGCTTGCTTTTGGTTTCCATTGGCATGGAATATCTTTTTCCCATCCGTTTATTTCCAGCCTATGTGTGTCTTTATAGGTAAAGTGTGTTTCTAGTGCATAACAGATGGTTGAGTCTTGTGTTTTTATCCATTCAGTCCCTCTGTGTTTTTTGATTGGAGAGTTGTCCATTTACATTCAATGTTATTATTGATAAGTAAGGACGTCTGCCATTTTGTTATTTGTTTTCTTGTTGTTTTGTGGTCTTTTCTTTCTCCTTCCCTTCTTCCTGTCTTCCTTTTAGTGAAGGTAATTTTCTCTGGCCATAAGCTTTAATTTCTTGCTTTTTGTGTGTGTGTTTCTGGTTTTTTTTTTTTTTTTGAGGTTACAACGAGGCTTATAAATAGTAACTTACTACTCATTATTTTAAACTGATGACAACTTAACATTGATTACATAAACTAACTCACAAAGAAGCAAAGAGAATACTAATGTGAATTCTACACTTTAACTTCATTGCTCCACTTCTTAACTTTTGTTGTTGATATTTATATTTTATTGTACTGTCTATGCTTTGAAAAGTTGTTGAAGTTATTTTTATCAGTTCATCTTTTTATCTTTCTACTCAAGATATGAGTTGTTTACATACCACAATTACAGTGTTATAATATTCTATGGTTTTCTGTGTAGTTACTATTACCAGTGACTTTTATACATTTAAATTATTTCTTATTGCTCTTAATGTCATTTGCTTTCAGATTGAAGAACTCTCTTTAGCATTTTTTTGTAGGACAAGTCTGGTATTGATGAAATCCCTCAGTTATTGTTTGTCTAGGAAGTCTTTGTTTCTACTTCTTGTTTGAAGAATATTTTCACGGTTATACTATTCTAGGATAAAAGTTTGTTTCCTTCAACACTTTAAATATGTCATGCCACTCTCTCCTGGCCTATAGGTTTTCCATTGAGAAGTCTGTGGCCAGACATATCGGAGCTCCATTGTATATTATTTGTTTCTTTTCTTTCACTGATTTTAGGATCCTGTCTCTACCCTTGACCTTTGGGAGTTTGATTATTAAATGGCTTGAAGAAGTTTTATTTGGATTAAATTTACTTGGTGTTCTATAATCTTCTTATACTTGGATATTATTGTCTTTATCTAGTTTTGGGGTGTCCTCTGTTATTATTTCTTTGAATAAACTTTCTAGCCCTATCTCTTACTCTTAGATTTGCCCTTTTGAGGCTATTTTCTAGCTCTTGTAGTCGTGCTTCATTTTTTAAATTCATCTTTCATCTCCTCTGACTGTGTATCTTCAAATAGACTCTCTTTAAACTCACTTATTCTTTCTCCTGCTTGATCAATTTGGTTGTTATATGACTCTGATGCGTTCCTCAGTATGTCAATTGCATTTTTCAACTCCACAATTTCTGCTTGATTCTTTTAAATTATTACAATCTTGTTAAATTTATCTGATAGAATTATGAATTTCTTCTCTGTGTAATCTTGAATTTCTCTGAGGTTCTTCAACACAGCTATTTTGAATTCTTTGTCAAGAAAGGTCACATATCTCTGTCTTTGTGATTGGCCTTTGGTGGCATATTTAGTTCATTTGCTGAGGTCATATTTTCCTGGACGGTCTTGATACTTTTGGATATTTGTTCGTGTCTGGCATTGAAGAGTTAGGTATTTATTGTAGTCTTTACTGTCTGGGATTGTTTGTGCCTGTTCTTCTTGGGAAGGGAAGGCTTTCCAGGTATTCAAAGGGACTTGGGCACTGTGATTTAAGTTTTTGGTAACTACAGTTGTATCTGCATTAGGAAGCACCCCAAGCCCAGTAATGCTGTGTGTCTTGCAGACTCATAAAGGTACTACTTTGGTGGCTTGGATAATAGCTAGAATTATCTGGATTACCAGAAAGAGGCTCATGTTCTCTTCCCTTATTTTCTCTCAAACAGAGTTTCTCTCTGTGCAGAACTGCCTGGAGCTGGGGGAGGGGTGATACAAGCACTGCTGTGGACACCCCCAATGGGATTGTGCTGGATCAAAGCTGAAATCAGCACAGCACTGGGTCTTGCCCACAGCCCATGATAACCACGGCCTGGCTATCACCTATGTTCACTCAAAGCCCTGGGGTTCTACAGTCAGCAGGTGGTGAAACCAGCCAGGTTTTGTCCTTCCCTTTAGGGTGGTAAGCTTCAGTCATGTACAGGTCCAGAGATGTCTGGGACCCAGGGCCTAGAGTCAGAAATGTTAGGAATCTACCTAGTGCTCTCTTCCACTGTGACTGAGCTGGCACCCAAGCTACAAGACAAAGTTCTTTCTACTCTTCTGTCCTCTTTCCACAGGCAGAAGAGTCTCTCCCTCTGACCACCACCACCCCAGACTCACAGCAAGTACGGCCTGACTACTGCCGATGTTCATTCAAGGACCAAGCCCTCCTTCAGTCAGCTTGTGGTGAATGCTGCCAGGCCTTGAACTCTTTTTTTCAGGGCAGTGGTATTCCCTATGGCCCAGGGCAGGTCCAGAAATGACATCCAATGGCCAATGCCTGAAATCGGAGACTCCAGGAGCCCACATGGTGCTCTACCTCACTTTGGCTGAGCTGGTACCTGAGCTACAAGACAAAGTTCCCTTTACTATTACCTCTCCTTTTCACAAGCAGAAAGTCCTTCCCCATAGCCTTGACAGCTGGGAATGTGCTGGGTCACACCTAAGGCCAGCACGTCTTTGAGTCTTACCCAAGGCCCATATACTGCCTGGGTACTGGTGCTGACTATTCAGGATCTGAGGGCTCCTCAGTCAGCAAGTGATAAATCCTGCCAGGACTGGGTCCTTCCCTTTAAAAAGGTGGGTTCCTTCTGGCCCAGGCTGTGTCTAGAAATGTCATCTAGGAGCTAGGGCCTGGAATGGGGGCCTAAGGACTCTGCCTGGTGCCCTATCCTACTGTGCGTCAACTGGTATCCAAGTTGTAAGACAAAGTCTTCTTTATTTTTCCCTCTGTTCAACTCAAGCTGAAGGAAGGAGTCTCTCCCAGAGCTGTAAGCTACGCTGCCTGGGGTTGGGTTAGGGCTGGCACAAGCACTCCCTTAGCTATCCCAGCTAGTGTCTCACTAGGTCGCATGCCCCCCACGGTGCACTGATGTCACATCCAGCACAGCACCAGGACTTGCCCAGGAATTGAAGTCTTTGCCAATAAATCTTTGGTTTTTGAAAAATAAACATTGGCCAGGCACGGTGGCTCACGTCTGTAATCCCAGCACTTTGGGAGGCCAAGGCAGGCAGATTGCTTGAGTTCAGGAGTTTGAGACAAGCCTGGGCAATATAGTAAAACCCCATCTCTACAAAAAATACAAAAATTATCTGGGCATGGTGGTGTGTGCCTATAATCCGAGCTACTTAGGAGACTGAGATGAGAGGATCACTTGAGCCTGGGAGGCAGAGATTGCAGTGAGCCAAGATTGCAGTGAGCCGAGATTGCAGTGAGCCGAGATTGCAAAACTGCACTCCAGCCTGGGCAACAGAGTGAGACCCTGTCTCAAAAAAAAAGAACAAAGAAAAAAATAGGTTTTTAAATTAAAACAATGACATATTTTTAGTATGTTTTATTCTTTAAGTCTACATTATGATGAAATATGTATTACTGCAATAATTTGATTTTTTCACAGGCAAAAACTATAGTTTACCTTGCCACTTAATTTTAATTCTAAAATCCAATAAGTTACATCTAAACAATTAACAAAGAAATCTAATTAAACAGCTGGTATGATAGAAGAGAACTACATTTATGATTAAGTTATGTAAATAATAGAATGTATTTTATAGAAAAATGATTCCAAATTAACTCTGAGTTTAGTTGCTACAAGTGAATTTAAGATCCATAGGCGTTTGTCTTTTAAGCCAACATTTTAATTTACTTTGATGATTTAAAAGGTTGTTGAATACTTGTGAACACATTCAGGATGATAAATGACCTCCACTCCCATTATCTCTTTAAAATTACTCGGGAAACTCCTTATGTTATCTTGGTGCATTGTTTAGTTTTCTAAATGCAATTTTTCTACACCCTAGTTGTCACAAAATGTCTCTTAGACTGATTTGATTTAATTATATTCCTTTAAAAATTTAAACTCAAAGAAATATATCAAGAGAACAAACAGAAACTGGTACTTTCCGACAAACTTAAACAGAACTAATGATTAGTTGGTAGTAATCCCTTCATAAAGGAGTTTGGCCATTAGTTTATGTGAGGCGACAGCAGGGTTTGATCTTCCAATTCCCAAATATCAAGGTAAAGGTCTTAGAGCACTAGGACCAATAATTTATAGGTATTATATTAAACTACACGTAATTTACTGATATATTAAAATTATATCATATAATTAACAATTATTCTTTAAAATGAAAACATTAAGAGGAAATTTAGATTTTGGCTTTTAATTTCTGTTTTAAACATCAAATTATTCTAATATGTTGCTTTGAACGATTATAAAAGGATCATTTATACAAGTTACAGAACCTGTTTTATTCTTCTTACTTACGCTGTTGCTATCTTACTTGAAAATTTTATTTTGTAGGCCCTCTAGCTGGCAGTTCTGATTAAATAGTCTTTTGCTTTTAATGCTTTTGAGTAGTAATTTCAATTTCTCCAGAATCTAATATGAGAGTAGTGTCAATATACATGGAAAAATAAAGCAGAGTGGCCAGGCGTGGTGGCTCAAGCCTGTAATCCCAGGGAGGCCGAGGCTGGCAGATCAAGAGGTCAAGAGATCAAGACCATCCTGGACAACATGGTGAAACCCTGTCTCTACTAAAAAAAAAAAAAAAAAAAAAAAATACAAAAATTGGCTGGGCATGGTGGCATCTGCCTGTAATCCCAGCTACTCGGGAGGCTGAGGCAGGAGAATCACTTGAACCAGGGAGTCAGAGGTTGCAGTTAGCCGAGATCGTACCACTGCACTCTAGCCTGGCCGCAGAGCGAGGCTCCATCTCAAAAACAAAAAATAAATAAATAATAATTAAAAAAATAAAAAACAGTGTCAGTGTGTTGTTTTAGGTTAATTCTTGCTAGGTACAAAAAAATGTTAAACTACAAGAGAAGTTCAAGCTCATGAAGATAATTCCATCTCTTTCATTTTTCAAAAATAAATGGTAAATTTAAAAAAGTCTATACTTTTAAAGTTAATATAATTCTTTTAATAATTATGTTAATCGTCAAAGAAAACTGAATATTTCACCTGTGTTTACACAGGTAAAATAGAACTAACTTATGGAAAAAATAAGATTAGCATAAAAAATGGCAGAATGCAAAATAATACAGCAATAGTCATATGCTGAGAAGCAATTCCCCATGGATCTCTTGCATTTCTGCACATCTTGTAAAGAAAGGGCATTGACAGATTTTGTAATGGATTATCATTTTAAGAATTTTTCTTGTAGCAAAACAACTATGTACAAATAGTTTTCTCTTTTCAAAGCAGAGGACAGAATAATATCTTGACCAGCATAATAAATATAATGTCTTTTGGAGTAAGGTTTGGCAGATATGCTAGCAGCCTCCTCAAAAGATTTCAAATTTCATAATCGAGGGATTCCCAGCTGTGGCACAAACCTACTGGGTGTGTGCCATCCATTTTGGCTATTTTGCATCATATTCATGAAGATCATACTTATCTGAAAAGTATATGATCCAATGTTCAATGAGATCTATAGCATAGAGTGTTGTAAAAAATAATTTCCGGAGACCCATGGCCTATTGAAACTAAACCAATAACACTTCTCTAACTCTTAAAGGCTAGTTTTAGCCTTAAAGTACAACATTGAGTTGTACTTCTATGTGTATAATTACATACCATGAAAACTTATTGATATTTAAAATCAAATTCTCAAAAAAATGATTAAGTATAGTGGACTTTCCAAAAACTGAGAAAAGGCCAGACTTGGTAGCTCACACCTGTAATCCTAGCACCTTGTGAGGCAGGAGGATCATTTGAGCCCGGGAGTTTGAGACCAGCCTGGGCAACATAGTGAGACACTGTCTCTACAAAAAAATTAAATAATAAAAATAACCAGGCATGTAGTGTGCACCCGAAGTCCAGATTTACTCAGGAGGCTGAGATGAGAGGATCACTTGAGCCCAGGATTCCAGCCTGGGTGGTGGAGTGAGATCTTGTCTGGAAAAATGAAACAAAACAAAATAGAAAACCCATATAATTTTAATAACATCAATGAATGTGAAATCTATGACTCTAAACTCACCTATCAGAAAGAATAAAAAACTTACCTTCTGTGCACATTCTAATGCAATGGGTGAGTTTGAAGGCATCTCCAGATGTTACAAAGTCAAATTACTTAAAATCACTTCATTAGAAAAATGCCTTGCAAAGTGAAGAGTAGCTTTAATAAAATTAACTACTCCAGAGAGCACATTAATCAAAAAGCCACATGATGGAAAGCACTCTTAGAGGCAGGAGAAAGAGGTTTCGATGGAAAACCACAAATCACATAATTCTGCACCACAGGAAGAAAATGCCACGAGAACATTGTCAATGAATAAACTCTCTTTTTCTATGTGGAATGGAGAGAATATAACATCACTTGTAGAAAATGCTGAATGAGGTTGAACTTAATTTTTTAATGTTTTTAGAATTACAAGTATTTGATAATTTTTTAAATAAGTAAACGTCTTATAGCATAAATTTCCACTTTTCTTTTAGAGACAGAAAGAAACCTCACTCTAGTCTAATAGCAAAAACAAGCTAAAAAAGGAAAGAGTATAGGTATAGTTGTTAAAGTCCATTTGAAAGCTGAAGAGAAAGAGTAATCTACAAACCCACGTTTCAGAAATCAACTAGCTTCTTCAGAAAGATGAGACTAAGGACTGATTTCTTCCCTGGTGGTAAAGTGGGAGAAGGAAGAATCCACTATCGGCAGGCATTAGGAGGAAACAACTAAAGATTTCTGTGACTTTTAATGTCTATGTATAGGTTGGCATAAGAAATTGGAGGACTAGGATGCTACAGCCAGAAGGTAAGTCTAAACACGTGAGTCTTCACTATGATATCATCTGGAGATTTAAGAGATATTCCCTCTATGGAAGGCAAGGTCTTCCTATATACAAGACAGCTGGCCTTCTGGAGAAGGCTGGAGAAGGGGCAGAGAAATTTAGAGAGACATCACTCTAAGACAGGGATGTCTAACCCTCAAGCTGTGAACCATACTGGTCAGTAGCCTGCTGGGAACTGGGCTGCACAGCAGGAGGTGAGCCATGGACCAGTGAGCATCACCGCCTGAACTCCGCCTCCCATCAGGGAAGCGTTGGCATTCGATTCTTATAGGAATGAGAACCCTGTTGTGAACTGCGTATGCGAGGGATCTTGGTTGCACGCTCCTTATGAGAATCTAATGATAAATGTGGTGCGCTTGAATCATCGCCCCCAGCCTCATGCATGGAAAAATTGTTTTCCATGAAAGCAGTCCCTGGTGCCAAAAAGGTGGGGCACCGCTGCTCTAAGACATTTAGGACATTCTCCATAGACTCAACAGTCCTCCCAAGGATGAGGGTCATGAGACCTCAAATAAATTTCAGTGGGGCTTTCTATATCTTCATTGCTTGCATTGCAGCAATCTCCTATACGTTAAGAAAAGATATGTGACATGATTGGGCCAAAGTCCAATCTGTATAGTGTGTCCATACCAGAGCCACCACTGCGTTCCTGTTCTCACTCCTGAGTTTAATTTTCATCACACAACTTCTAGACTATTTTTGATTCTTTCAGAAAAATGGCTTTTTGTGGTCAAAATCAAAATGTTCAGACATAAGATGTCAATCATATTGAGCCCTTTATAAAGATACTGCCAATATTTAAAAAAGCTATTTTTATGTTGAATTTTCTCTTAAAAGATGGATTACAGCTATGCACACTTCAACTTACCACTTGACATGTCAGAGAACACAGTTCTTAATGGGTCCTAGATCACACGTTCACTTTTACTTGACAGCTCATGTTTCTTTATTCAGTCTTTATTAGTAACAAGTCAGAAATTGCTATTCAAAAGAATAATGCAAGTTTTGGTTTCTGGCTTTATAACAAATTGGAAGTCCTCACTGTCATCTTCAAGATGATAAAAAAGCTGAACAAATTGAAAATCAGCATTTATTACATCCATCAGAGATCTGAGGTCACAGGGCAAACTGCTGCCCTTCAGACTAGAAAGATAGACGGGGGAGTACAGAGCAGCACAATTTTCCAAGAGCAGAAGCCCTGGAGCAGTTGAAGCCAGTACTGGTAAGAACACTTCAAACTGTAGTTGATGAATTGCTGGAGGCTGTATGTGCGTAAATATGAAAATGTAAAACTGAGGGTTTCCAGTCCTAGGAAGACCCCACCACACTTTTGCAAGTTTTACTTCCAGGAACCCTATCAAATTCTCACTGTGAAGATCTGGGAAGAAATTCCACTAGTGCTTCTGGCAGGGCTTGGGAAAAAAGGAACCATTTTGAAATACGCCCAGAGCTCTCTATTTTCCTTAATAAGACCTTCATTATTCATTGAGGGGAACAATTTTAGCAAAGCCTAATGACTGGAGTTGCACCAAAGCCTAACCAATCTGGGAGAAGGAAAATGCTCAACTGCAGTTCCTGTGTAGATTTTGAAAACATGAAGAAAGGGTAGGAACGAACTCAGGCTTACTAAAAGACTGAGATTGAATTACAGGACTAAGTATGATTTCCCTCTTCCCACACCTTACCACCATATCAATATTGTATAATAGAGGATTATAGCCAAAAGAGTTGCAATACTAAGATCCTGCTTGAAGAAGGGGTTTCTGAAAAAAATTCCAAGACAATAGACAAAATAATAATAAAAAAACATTAAAATTCTAGCCTCTAATATCACAGTGACTGAAAACAGCAAATACAGCCTAATTCAGCCACATAAATAGAAAATCTCACACTAAATGCCTATATACCTCAGTTTCTTTTACTCCATACATCATATCTGGCTTTCAACTAAAACTACAAAGTAATCTAAGAGGCAAAAAACACAGTCTGAAGAGACAAAGCAAACATCAGAAGCAGACCAAGATATGAAAAAGATTTTGGAATTATCAGACTAGGAGTTTTAAAAATCTACAATCAATATGCCAATGGCTCTAATGGAAAAAGTGGATGACATGCCAGAAGAAATGGACAATGTAAAATAAAAAAGCAAAAGGAAATGCTAGATATTGAGAAGAACGTTACAAAAATTATGAATGCCTTTGGTTGGCTCATAGGTAGCCTGACACATATCTTTCTAAGGCAGTGGCCCCAACATTTTTGGCACCAGGGACTGGTTTCATGGAAGACTTTTTTTTTTTTTTTTTTTTTTTTTTGAGGTGGAGTCTCGCTCTGTTGCCAAGGCTGGACTGCAGTGGTGCTATCTCGGCTCACCGCAACCTCCGTCTCCCGGGTTCAAGTGATTCTCCTGCCTCAGTCTCCTGAGTAGCTGGGATTACAGGTATGCGCCACCATGCCCGACTAATTTTTGTATTTTAGTAGAGACAAGGTTTCACCATATTGACCAGGCTGGTGTCAAACTCCTGACCTCAGGTGATCAGCCTGCCTCAGTCTCCCAAAATACTGGGATTGCAGGTGTGAGCCACCACACCCGGCTGAAGATGATTTTTTCATGTACCAGAGATGATACAAGTGCATCACATTTATTGTACACTTTATTTCTATTATTACATTGTAATTATAATGAAGTAATTGTACAACTCACCATAATGTAGAATCAACGCGAGCCCTGAGCTTGCTTTCCTGCAACTAGGCGGTCCCACCTGGGGGCGATAGGAGACAGTGATAGATCATTAGGCATTAGATTCTCATAAGGAGCACACAACCTAGATCTCTCGCATGCTCAGTTCATAATAGAGTTTGAGCTCTTATAAGAATCTAATGACACTGCTGATCTGAAAGGAGGCAGAGCTCAGGCAGTAACGCAAGTTATGGGAAGCAGCTGTAAATACAGATGAAGCTTTGCTTGCTTGCCCACCGCTCACCTCCTGCTGTGCGGCCTGGTTCCTAATAGGCCATAGACTGTTACTGGTCTGTGGCCCAGGGATTGGGACCCCTGGTCTAATCTAAGATACTTGCTACTTTCTATGTACAATAGTAAATAACTGGCAAGCCACCGTTTGAACTTATAATAAAGCCATAACAATGGAAACAGTGTTAGGCATAAAAACCAATGAAATAGCTTGAATACTTTTACAAGAGACCCACATAAAAATAGGTAATTGATGTGTCTGAAGATTCCTACAATTTGTGAAAAATAATTGTTTACTAAAGTTGAGGTTATTGGGAAAATACTACATTCAGATTTTTTAGGATAGATTTAAAATTTCCAAATGGATTAAATTCCTAAATGTGACAAGAAAAACTTTTAACCTTTAGAGGAAAGAAAAAAGAATGCTTTTACCATGGCAGAGTACGGACACAAAAATACAAATTACAAAAGAAATGTCTACCAATTACTATCTTTAATTAAAAAAAGATTTCTGCACAATAAGACTTCTTAAATAAAGTTAAAATGATAGTCTCATTGCTTTAAAAAATAATCAAAACATTTGGTAATAGTAAGTGTTGACAAGGATAGGGAAGATGAAAACACTATTTTATTGGAAGTAGAAGAATGAATGAAAAAAAAGTTACCAATGGCTCATACACCATGATAACATCCAAAGCAATACAATATATTGTTATAAATATATAGATATATAGTATACAGTATATGTGCATGCATGGGATGATACAGAATAATTAGTGTTAGGTAGGGATTCACATAACCAATGATGGAAGGGGTAATAAACTAAGGCACCATATGTTACATTTTCTGTCCATATTCTTAAAAAATGTGTCGAAATACTAAGATTCTTAAAAATGTGGATGGAGATTGTACTGCTGCTTTTTACATGTTGAATATTGTTCTGTTTATTTAACATATTTACATGGTTAAATGTTATTTTCCAAAGTTTCATCCTTATACAAATATGACAAGAAAATTAAGAAAACAAAATGGTTCTTTGTTTTCTAGAGGGAATATAAATACTATTCATTTAATACATATTTTTGTATAATCATTTACTTTATTCTAGGATGAGTCCTATTTGCTGGTGATGGGAAAGTATCTAGCCAATTTGTCTTAAATGATCTCATAATTGATGGGGCAAGGTAGTAAACCAACAGTAAGTTGGATGTATTTTTGGAACACAAATAAAGGGTAACTGCATATCCATTAATCAAAATAATTTATGAAAGTGTTTCATCACTACTTAGACTTAACATAAATTTTTAAATCCTTAGTTGGCTAAGACTCAACATAAGCTCAGTTCCCACGTTTCTAGGCATATCCACCCTTTCCACACAATTCTCCTAAAAGCCTCTATTATCCATTGGCATGATTATTCATTTATTTATTTTTTCCCAGATGTATCAAGAGATACCAAAATGCTTCCCAGTTTGTAGCCTTAGTACATGCTATTCATGCTGCCTGGAAAGACTTTTTCATATTTATTGACAAGCCAGCTTCTACCCATGCTTACGGTCTATGTTGAAAGTGTATTTTTTTCTAGAGAAAACACACTTTAGTATTCTGGCTATCTTAAATCCCTAATTTATCCCCATTCGTAATCTACATATTTCTCTTTTTAGTACTTAATATAACTATAACTTAAAAATAAGTTTGCTCACTATCTACCTTACTTGATATGTTGTGAGCTTGAGGGAATAAGGGGCTCTATTTGTCCTGGACATCACTGCATAAGCAATACCTGATATGTAGTAAGAACCCAAGTTGTTTCCAATTACTTAATTAATATAACAAGAATAAATTAATTTTCTAAATAGACTATTCATAAATCTATTCAAGGTGTTATTTTTAACAGTTTCAAGTGTTATCATTTCAACATATAATAATGGGAATTCAAAAGATTCCTTAAGTATGCATAGCAGAACAATATGGCCAAGAAACATATTTGCATATTTGGCTAAGTTGTAACTTAGTTTTAGATTATGAATGTCTTATTTTCTCCCTGTTCCTGGATTTGAAGTGATATTAAGTTATCTTGGCCAGGTAGTTCCTGGGTTGCCTGAACCATCTCTTTCATAATAAGACTTACCTAGTTAGAAATAGAATTGAAAGTTACAATGAATAAAATTAAAGTTACTATTGCAGGGTCTGTTCCGAGGCTGACTACATGCAAACTAAGGGTCCTCCACGAAGGCCTTCCTATGCTGCTGATGTTGCATTCAATGGCCATGAGTCTTTTCTATGAAGGACGGCAACATCTGACCTGTATCTGTCATTCACTGTAAGTTATGCTCGCCATTTAATCTCTCTGAGTTTAAATGCCTTCTATTTAATCTCTCCTTTTTAGTTGTAAAATGGGAATAACAATAATAATGATAATAGCAATAGTATTTCTTTTTTTATTACACTTTAAGTTTTAGGGTACATGTGCACAGCGTGCAGGTTTGTTACATATGTATACATGTGCCATGTTGGTGTGCTGCACCCATTAACTCATCATTCTCCTAATGCTATCCCTCCCCCCTCCTCCTACCCCATGACAGCCCCGGTGTGTGATGTTCCCCTTCCTGTGTCCAAGTGTTCTCATTGTTCAATTTCCACCTATGAGTGAGAACATGCAGTGTTTGGTTTTCTGTCCTTGCGATAGGTTGCTGAGAATGATGGTTTCCAGCTTCATCCATGTCCCTACAAAGGACATGAACTCATCATTTTTTTATGGCTGCATAGTATTCCATGGTGTATATGTGCCACATTTTCTTAATCCGGTCTATCATTAATGTACATTTGGGTTGGTTCCAAGTCTTTGCTATTGTGAATAGTGCCGCAATAAACATACGTGTGCATGTGTCTTTATAGCAGCATGATCTATAATCCTTTGGGTATATACCCAGTAACGGGATGGCTGGGTCAAATGATATTTCTAGTTCTAGATCTTTGAGGAATCGCTGCACACTGTCTTCCACCATGGTTGAACCAGTTTACAGTCCCACCAACAGTGTAAAAGCGTTCCTATTTCTCCACATCTTCTCTAGCACCTGTTGTTTCCTGAGTTTTTAATGTTCGCCATTCTAACTGGTATGAGACGGTATCTCATTGTGGTTTTGATTTGCATTTCTCTGATGGCCAGTGATGATGAGCATTTTTTCACGTGTCTGTTGGCTGCATAAACGTCTTCTTTTGAGAAGTGTCTGTTCATATTCTTTGCCCACTTTTTGATGGGGTTGTTTGTTTTTTTCTTGCAAATTTGTTTGAGTTCTTTGTAGATTCTGGATATCAGCCCTTTGTCAGATGAGTAGATTGCAAAAATTTTCTCCCATTCTGTAGGTTGCCTGTTCATTCTGATGGTAGTTTCTTTTACTGTGCAGAAGCTCTTTTGTTTAATTAGATCCCATTTGTCAATTTTTGGCTTTTGTCACCATTGCTTTTGGTGTTTTAGATATGAAGTCCTTGTCCATGCCTATGTCCTAAATGGTATTGCCTAGGTTTTCTTCTAGGGTTTTTATGGTTTTAGGTCTAACATTTAAGTCTTTAATCCATCTTAAATTAATTTTTGTATAAGGTGTAAGGAAGGGATCCAGTTTCAGCTTTCTACATATGGCTAGCCAGTTTTCCCAGCACCATTTATTAAATAGGGAATCGTTTCCCCATTTCTTGTTATTCTCAGGTTTGTCAAAGATCAGATGGTTGTAGATGTGTAGTATTATTTCTGAGGGCTCTGTTCTGTTCCTTTGGTCTATATCTCTGTTTTGGTACCAGTACCATGCTGTTTTGGTTACTCTAGCCTTGTAGTATAGTTTGCAGTCAGGTAGCATGATGTCCCCAGCTTTGTTCTTTTGGCTTATGATTGTCCTGGCAATGTGGGCTCTTTTATGGTTCCATATGAACTTTAAAGTAGTTTTTCCCAATTCTGTGAAGAAAGTCATATAATAGGC
This sequence comes from Homo sapiens, assembly GCF_000001405.40. NCBI lineage: Eukaryota > Metazoa > Chordata > Mammalia > Primates > Hominidae > Homo > Homo sapiens. The sequence goes on along the minus strand of NC_000004.12, from coordinate 162,617,105 downwards.
TTCTTACTTAGCATTTCAAAGGTCCTTGATAGATAATGAATATTTATTTATGTCTTCTTTCATGAAAAAAAAACTTATTTTCTTTGCAAGACCCACTATTTCAATAGTTGGCCATTACAGAAGTTCCTCTAAGATAGCTGAGTATTTTTCTTTTGGCTGTTTGTAAGCTGACAAAGAGATTTTAAATTACATAATTTGGAAGTTAATGAATACATAGACATTTTCTGTTTAGACCCTTCTTCATACACACAAAACATCAATTAGTAATTAATATACTATTATCATCTCCTTAAATATCACCTGACATTTTCTACATTTAAATAGGCAAATGGAATAAAATGAAAGGCTTTTCCTTTCCTACTATTTTACCTTATTTTCTTTCTCTTTTGCTTTCCTTCTTCCCCTCTTTCTCTCTTTCTCCCTTTCTTCTTTACATGTAATAACTTCTTATAACCTCATTCAACAAGTATTATTAGAAACGTACTTGAATACTTATGATTGTTGTCTTGGATAGTTCATACTAGGAAATAAGTACACCCAGATCAAAGGGGAAATTTCCCAGAATGACTCAGTTATTATATTTGACATTGGAAAGATCTAATCACACTGTTCCTTTAGTCCATTAAAAAAATTACTCTTAATTTTTGTCCATGTCATAGTGCACTATTTTGCTTAGGAGTAAATCATGAGCTTCACAGGATATTCCTGGAGTACAGAGGAATGGATTTAAGGAGGGAACATAATATAATTTGCATTTTAGAATTATTTCTTTGATAGCAATATGGAGAATAAACTGGCTGGGAACAGGAACAAAATTAGATGGATCAGAAAAGAGGCAGTTGGAGTAAACAAGGGGAGAAGTTATTAGTGCCTAAAATAAGACAATGGCAATTATCATGGCCAGGATGATATAATTTGATATAATTTAAATTAGACACAGAAGAAGAAGCCTTGAAGTTCTGCAAAAGGTCTGACTTTTCTTTGTAAAATAGCCTATTGCATAATAACATGCTCTAGAAGTTATTCATACATAGTGATTATGAAATGGTTCAGGTTGTATCAGCTGTGTCATTTAAAAACAGATAAACAATCAAAAAAGATCTACTTATGATTACTGTTTTTATTTCTAAAACCCTTTGTGAGAGAATATTAAATTGAATCAATACTTATTTAAAATCTCTTCTTCAAAGACACATAGCCTCACCTAACACAATCTGTCTTTTCTTGTAATTTTTCCTAAAGATGTATAGTATTTTTTACAAAATTAATTTATGCTGGTTATATTAATTAAATGATTGAAGTAAGGGGCTATATTTTTGCTCCAATAATACACCCACCTTACTGTTGGTTTACTACCTTGCCCCATCAACTATGAGACCCTTTAAGACAAACTGGCTAAGTATCTTCCCATCACCAGCAAATAGGACTGCTCCTAGAATATAGTAAATGATTATACAAATATGTGTATTAAATGCGTAGTATTTATATTCCTTCTAGAAAACAATGAACCAATTTGTTTTCTGTATTTCCTTGTCATACTTGCAAACTGAAACTAGCAGAACATCAAGAAGCTAATAAGAATGAAACTTTGGAAAATAACATTTAATTATTTAAACATGTTAAATAAACAGAAAAGTATCCAACATGTAAAAAGCACCAATAAAATCCCCATTCATATTTTTAAGAATCTTAGTATTTTGCCATATTTTCAAAAATATCTACAGAAATAAAATGTAATATATGGCAAATGTAGCTCCTTATTCCACTAAGTTCGCAACATACCAAAGAAGATAGTGAGCAAACATTTTTAAGTTACAGTTATTTTATTCTCATTCATTTCCTTATATATGTCATGATGTTCATGGGTTACTCTACATAATTTTCTTTAAAACTCCTTTCTTCAACACCCAGCAGAAAGTGACTGCCAGATTGTCTGCTTCTGTCCTCTGTGTCTACCTAGATCTGTGCAGGAGAAGTCTGGGCACCTGGAAGAGCAAGTGATTCTAAGTCTTTTCAGACTACGATCCATCTGATTAGTTTTTATAACATTCACCAATGGCTTTATTCCAAAAAATTAACTTGAGAGTTTCTTGTCTTATGCAGAACAGGGAAATAAAAAGATGAAGAAGTCAAATAAACATAAGTTTAATAATTTTTTTTTTTTTTGAGATGGAGTCTGGCTCTGTTGCCCAGGCTGGAGTGCAGTGGCATGATCTCTGCTCACTGCAAGCTCCGCCTCCTGGGTTCACGCCATTCTCCTGCCTCAGCCTCCGGAGTAGCTGAGACTACAGGTGCCCGCCACCACACCCGGCTAATTTTTTGTGTTTTTAGTAGAGACGGGATTTCACCATGTTAGCCAGGATGGTCTTGATCTCCTGACCTTGTGATCCGCCCGCCTCGGCCTCCCAAAGTGCTGGGATTACAGGCGTGAGCCACCGCTCCCAGCCAGTTTAATTACTTTGATAAAAGCAGGAAAAAAACAGAAGACATTTTCATTTTCCTCAAGAGTATGCCTTGGAGTTGTGACCTTCAACTGCTTTTTTTTTTTAATATAGCTGCTTAGAATTCTTTTTCTTTTTCTTTTTAATGGGCCATAATTTATAGCTCAGGTATTAGGTGGTTCTGTACACTCTGGTGCTCAGAACCTGAGGTGTTTGTTGTACTTACTGATGAACATTTATGAGGTTTTTATTGCTTTTCTGTCACACAAAATACTGCCACAAACAGTCTTTGGTGATATTGTCTTGTACTGTGAAGATGTAGAAAGGAAAATGCTGGATCGAGTATGTATGCATAACTGATTCTAAGAGATACTGGAAAATTAGCTGTCAGAATTTATAACAATGTTCAGTTCCACAAGCGATACATAAGAATTCCTGTTTCTCCTCACCTTAGCAAACAAGTATCAACTACCTTATTGCTGCTATGCAATGGGTTAAATCTATCTTCCGAGTTTTAATTTTCCCTTCTCTAATGATGAAGAAAGTTGAACATCTTTTTCAGCATTTAAATAAGTGTATAAGTTTCCTCTACCAATAATTGATCTTCAAATATTTTGCTGTTTTCTTCCCGACCCCCCCAGCTCCGTTTTACCCTTCTTTCCTTCATTTCTTTCTTCCATTATTTTGCATTTTTCTTAATCAATTTTGGTTATTTTTTTAAAAAGTAATTTCAACTTTTATTTTATTTTGCATGTGTATGTTTGTTAGTCAGGTATATTGTGTAGTCCTGAGGTTTAGGGTATAGATGATACCATCCAATAGTAAGTGTAGTAGCAAATAGGTAGTTTTTCAGCCTGTGTTGCCCCCCAGTTTCTAGTTGTCTTTAGTCTCGATCGTTACCATCTTTATGTTTATGTGTACTCAGTGCTTAGCTCCTACTTATAAGTGAGAATATGCAGTATTTGGTTTTTCCGTTCCTGCATTAATTTGCTTAGGATAATGGCCTCCAGCTGCATCCATGTTGCTGCAAAGGACATGTTTTCCTTCTTTTTTATGGCTTCGTAGTATTCTGTGGTGTATATGTACCACATATTCCTTATAAAATCCACCACTGATAAGCACTTGGGTTAATTCCATGGTTTTGCTGTTGTGAATAGTTCCACAATGAACATAGGAGTGCATCTGTCTTCTTGGTAGAACAACTTATTCACCCTTGGCTCTATATCCAATAATGGGATTGCTGGGCTGGGTGGTAGTTCTGTTTTTAGTTCTTTCAGAATTCTGTAAACAGCTTTCCACAGTGGCTAAACTAATTTGCATTTTCACCAACAGTGTATGAGCATTTAAGCATTTCCTTTTCTCTGTAGGCTTACCAGCATCTATTGTTTTTTTGACTTTTTGATAATAGCCATTCTGACTGGTGTGAGATGATGTTCCATTGTGGTTTTGATTTTCATTTCTCTGATGATTGGTGATTATGAACATTTTTTTCCTATGTTTGTTGGCTGCTTGTATGTCTTTTTTTGAGAAGTGCTTATTCATGTCCTTTGCCCATTTTTTAACGGGGTTGTTCTTTGCTTGTTGATTTGTTTAAGTTCTCTATAGATACTGAATATTAGTCTTTTGTTGGATGCATAGTTTGTGAATATGTTCTCCCATTCTGGCGGTTGTCTGTTTGTTCTGTTGAACGTTTCCTTTGCTGTGCAGAAGCTTTTTAGTTTACTTAGATACCACTTGTCAATTTTTGTTTTTGTTGCAATCACTTCTGGGGACTTAGACATAAATTCTTTCCTAAGGCTGATGTTGAGAAGAATGTGTCCTAGGCTTTCTTCAGGGATTTTTATAGTTTGAGGTCTTACACTTAAATCTTTAATCCATCTTTAGTTAATTTTTGTATATGGTGAAAGCTAAGTGTCCAGTTTCAATCTTCTGTGTGTGGCTAGCCAGCTATTCCAGTATCATTTATTGAATAGACAGTCCTTTCTCTATCGCTTATTTTTGTCAACTTTACTGAAGATCAGAGGATTGTAGATGTGCAGCTTTATTTCTGGGATCTCTTTTCTGTTCCATTAGTCTTTGTGTCTGTTTTTGTATCAGTTACTATGCTGTTTTGATTACTATGGCCTTATAATATAATTTGAAGTTGGGTAATGTGATGCCTCTGGCTTTGTTCTTTATAAAGAATATTTGCTATTTGCCTATGATATGTTGAAACTTTTTCCAGTTTGAAATATTTTTGGTATGGGGGTTACATATAATTATTTAATTTGTGTATGGTAAATTTACATTACCTTTATTTTTGTATAATAAAATTTATCGATATTTACTTTCATTAGTAATGGCTTTTACATTTTATATATACCAATTCATATTCACCAAAGCATATGATTTATTTTAAAATTTTATTTGTGATGATTTCATCTTCAGAAGTGAGAAAAAGAGGAACAGGTGTCATTGTATGCAGGCATAATTTGTTAAAAGACTGTTGATGTGTTACTTTTACTTTATCTATGGAAAGGAAAAAGATATACTACCTACTAAGTTTAGAATATAGTGTTTTATTTGTTACATGAATATCATTTGAGATGAATTGGTAACAATGCTTTACCATTAAAATTTTAATTTCTAAGTATGCCTTGCTTTAATCAGAACTGTGTACTAATGAACAGAAAAAGATATTAACTTAGCCATATCTTTACCAAAGAGGTGTTCTGGCCTCTAGAATTATACCCAATTTGGAATGAAAAAAGAGAGAATATGTGGTGTGCGGTCACCTCTGCTTTCTTCTTCTACTGAACAAATAGAAAATCTTAATTTTTGTTTGTTTGTTTGTTTTTGAATGACTGGTATTAAGCTTTCTCATTTCAGATAACATGTGCATCCTGGGTATAGATGAATAAATCAACAACTCTTTTAATCCCAATAGCTAATTTAGACACCATCTGGCATAATTAGATAACAAATAGTTCAATTCCCTTTAAGAAGAAAACATTTTAGAGATGTAAAAGATAGCAGGGATTAAAATCTCATTTTAAAATGCACTTAGTATATCTAATCTAATAGGAATTCCAAACAGAGGTATATCATCAAGCCATTTCTACAGATTCTTCTTTACAGTTTGACCTATTTTACTACATTGCCTATAATTTCATGTGGAGTAGACAGTGCTCATTTTATCCAAGTAATTCTATAGCTGAATATCTCTCCCTTCATAGGTAAGAGAAAAAAGACTAAAGGAACTCTTTTTAAAGCATACTATAAATAACAACATCTCCTTAAGGCCTACCAAAGTCTGCAAAGTAATAATATAAATTAATCTAATTAAGGCAGAAAAATAACCACAAAAATATTTAATTTATAATTTTAGATTTATATTTCAACAATTTTAAAAGCAATCAGTGTTCACTTTTTTTTTAAATGAAGAAAATAACCAGCTGCAACTCCACAACAATTAACATGTTGGTATATATTAGTTCAGGTCTTTAATGTGTAGAAATGTCTGCACAGGCATGAGAGTACATGTACACACACACAAATGCACAAGCATAGTATTGCACTTATTGAATTCCTTTTTGTCAATTTTCCCAGTAAAATATAAATAGAATATTATATAATTTTTAGACAATACAGATAAACTGAAGTTTCTTTTGACACATCCTCTTGCAGTTTTTCACTCTGCATACTAGTTGTTTGTCCTCTTTACAGAGGAAATAATTATTATTTTGTTTTATGTCTTTCTAGGCATTTTTAAAGTATTTTTATTTATTTATTTTATTAATATTAACATTTGAAAGGGTTATATTTTTAAAATAAATGGTGATATAAATTATTGTAAAATTTGGTTTTTCCACTTAACAGTATATCTCAGTTTTTTTATCATTATATCTCATTCTTATTTCTTTTAATTTCTGCATATTATTGAATTATATGAATGTAATCCCATCCTTTCATTTCTTTTTGATTCTTTCTTGTTTTCATCTCTCTCCTTACATAACCAATCTGTTGCATTTTGTCTACTTTTCCCATTAGAGCCATTAACATATTAATTATAGTTATTTTGAATACCTGTTTGGTAAATACTACATCTGTGTCGTATCTGAGTTTTGTTCTGACGCTTGCTTTGTCTCTTCAGACTTTTTTTTCTTACTTTTATAATTCCTTGTTCTTTTATGTTGTTGTTGAAAGCTGGAAATATTGAACTGGGTAATAGGGAGTGAGGTAAATAAACCATTAGTGTAAGGATTTAGGTAATCTGGGGTGGGAATTGGTCTGTTTTTAATGTTTGCTAAAACAATAGGTGCCAGAAGCTTAAAATTCCTCTAGTGTTCTTGTTTTTGTCTCTCTCCTTGCCTTTTTTACTCCCCTTTGTTCTGCTTTTCAGAAATAGTCTGTGTCTTGCAAGTCTTTCAGCTGTAATCCACTGTTGCTATACTTGTTGGAAGCTTGTTGATCTGGCCCTAGGATGTGGGGGAGGGGGACATTCAATAATCTTCTGAATAAGTTTCAATACTTCATGAGGCCTGTTTATCAAGGCTGTAGCCTTCACAAGAATTTCCTATGCCTCATCCTGGGGTATAGTATATACTCCCCTGTCTCTCTTTCCTCCCTTAGCTATAGTGTTTTTAACTTATTTTCTTGAAGTTCTGTCATCCAGACTGTGTCTTTCTTCACATTCTCCCCCCATTCACTTAAGTGTAACAGAAAGACTGGAGTGCACAACATTAGTCCAGAATTCCCTTCTCTCATTTGTGATGTGATTTTAGAGTTTCTCTTGGTGAATTTCTTTACCCCGGATATGAGGCCTTTCAGAGGAATTAGAGTCTAGAAGAGTTTCAGGATGTCTAATCTACCCTTCTCCTTGCTATTAATAGAAAAACCAAACTTTAAAATATTTTATTCTGAACCAATATGGGTGATCATAGCCTAGGGAACAGTCTTAAGAGGTCTTGAGAAAGTGTAGCCAAGGCAATTAGCTTACAGTTTGGTTTTATATATTTTAGGGGGACAGGAGTTACAGGAAATGAGATGAATCAACGTATGGAAGGTATACATTGGTTTGACCAAAAAAAGGCAGGACATTTCAAAGTGAGGCTTACATTCCATAGTTGGATTCAAGGACTTTCTGATTGGCAATTGATTGAGAGAGTTAAGTTTTATCTAAAGACTTAAGTCAGTAGAAAGTAATGCTTGGGTTAAGATAAGTGGGGTTGTGAAGGCTGGATTAATCTGTTCTTGCATTGTTATAAAGAAATACCTGGCTGGGCACAGTGGTTCATACCTGTAATCCCAGCACTTTGGGAGGCTGAGGCAGGTGGATTACCTGAATTCAGGAGTTTGAGACCAGCCTGGCCAACATGGTAAAACCCCACCTCTACTAAAAATAAAAAAATTAACCGGGCATGGTGGCAGGTGCCTGTAATCCTAGCTACTCGGGAGGCTGAAGCACGAAGATCGCTTGAACCCTGGAGGCAGAGGTCACAGTGAGCTGAGATTGGGCCACTGGACTCTAGCCTGCGCAACTGACTGAGACTTTGTCTCAAAAAAATAAATAAATAAAAATGAAGAATACAATATTATATAATTTTTAGGCAATACAGATAAACTGAAGTTTGTCTTGAAACTTGAAATTACCCGAGACTGGATAATTTATTAAAAAAATATAGAGGTGTAATTGACTCCCAGTTCTGAAGGCTGTACAGGAAGCATAGTAGATTCAGCTTCAGGGGAGGCCTCAGGAAGCCTCTAATCATGGCAGAAGGCAAAGGGGAAGAGACACAGGGACAAGCGAGAGAATGGGGAGGTGTCACAGACTTTTAAATGACCAGATCTCATGAGAATGTAGTCACTTTTGTTAGGCCAGTACCAAGGGGGATGATGCTGAACCATTCATGAGAAATCCACTGCTATAATTCAATCACCTTCCACCAGGTTCTCCAACATCAGGGATTACAATTCAATATGAAATTTGGTGGGGACACAGATTCAAGCCAAATTATTCCACCCCTTGCTCCCCCACATCTCATGTTCTCATATTGCAAAATGCAGTGATGCCTTTCCAACAGTCCTCCAAAGTCTTAATGCATTCCAGCATTAACTCCAAAGTCCAAAGTCTCATCTAAGACAAGGCTGGTCCCTTTTGCCTATGAGTCTGTAAAAAAAAAAAAGAAAAAAAAATAGTTATTTCCAAGATACAATGGGGGTATAGGCATTGGGTAAATGCTCTCATTGCAAAAGGGAGAAATTGGTCAAAAGAAAGGGGCTATAGGCCCTGTGCAAGTCCAAAACCCAACAGGACAATCATTTAATCTTAAAGTTCCAAAATAATCTCCCTTAACTTCATGTCCCACATCCAGGGCACACTGGTGTGACGGGTAGGCTCTGAAGACCTTGGAAGCTCTGTCCCCTTGGCTTTGCAGGCTTTGCCCCTTGAGGTTGCTCTCATGGGCTGACATTGAGTGCCTGTGGCTTTTCCAGGCACAGGGTACAAGCTGCTGGTGGATCTACCATCCTGGGGTCTGGAGGATTGTGGTACCCTTCTCACAGCTCTGCTAAGCAGTACCACAGTGGGGACTCTGTGTGGGGTCTCTAACTCCACATTTCCCCTCTGCACTACCTTAGTAGAGTTTCTTCATGAGGGCTCCACCCATGCTGCAGGCTTCTGCCTGGGAACGCAGGCTTTTCCATACGTGTTCTGAAATTTGGGTGGTGGCTCCCAAGCCTCAACTCTTACCCTCTGTATACCCATAGGCTTAACACCACATGGAAGTCACCAAGGTTTAGGGCTTGCACACTCTGAAGCAGCAGCCCAAGTTGTACCTGAGCCCCTTTGAGCCACAGCTGGAGCTGAAGCAGCTAAGATGTAGGTAGCAGTGTACTGGGGCTACACAGGGGAGCAGTGCCCTGGGCCTGGCCCATGAAACCATTCAGTTCTCCTAGGGCTCCAGGCCTGTAATGGAAGAGGTTGTGATGAAGGCCTCTGAAATGCCTTTAAGGGCTTTCCTCCATTGTTTTAGATATTAGCCTTGGCTTTTTACTTACGTACATTTCTGTAGCCTGCTTGAATTCCTCACCTGAAAATGTGTTTTTTTTTTGTTTTTGTTTACCCACATGGCCAGACTGCAAATTTTTCAAACTTTTATGCTCTCCTTTCCCTTTAAATATAAGTTCCAACTTGGCCATTTCTTTGCTCAGGTATATACGTATAGGCTGCTGGAGGCAGTCAGACCACATCTTGAACACTTTGCTGCTTAGAAATTTCTTCTGCCAGATACCCTAAATCATCACTCTCAAGTTCAAACTTCCACAGATCCCCAGGGCAGGAACACAATTCAGCCAGTTTCTTTGCTAAGGAATAATACATGTGACCTTTGCTTCATTTCCTAATAAGTCCCTCATTTCCATCTGAAACTTTGGCAGCCTGGACTTCACTGTCCATATCACAATCAGCATTTTGGTCACAACCATTCAACGAGCCTCTAGGATGTTCCAAACTTCCCTTCATCTTCTTCTGAGCCCGTTAAACTCTTCCAACCACCTCTGCCTATTACACAGTTCCAAAGTTGCTTCCACATGGTTAGGTCTCTTTATAGGAGTACCCCACTACTCAGTACCAATTTTCTGTATTAGTTTGTTCTCACATTGCTATTAATTTAAAGAAATATCTGAGACTGGGTAATTTATAAGAAAAGAGGTGTAATTGGCTCACAGTTCTGCAGGTTGTACAGGAAACAAAACGGCTTCTGCTCTGGGGGAGGCCTCAGGAAGCTTTCAACCATGGTGTAAGGCAAAGGGGGAGCAAGGCATCTCACATGGCAGGCGCAGGAGCAAGACAGAGAATACAAGGGAGGCATGACACACTTTGAAATGACCAGATCTCATGAGAACTCACTCACTATCATGAGGACAGTACCAAGGGGGATGGTGTTAAACCATTTATGAGAAATCTACCCCTGTGATCCAATCACCTCCCACCAGGACCCACCTCCAATACTGGAGATTACAATTCGACATGAGATTTGGAGGGGACACAGATCCAAACCTTGTTCGTGGCAAGGCTCTTGTTATGTCAATGAAGCCTCAATAGGTAGCAGCCTTCAAAGACAATATGGTAAATCTCTCTTTTTGGATCTTAAAAGGTGTTAGACTCTTAATTAATCTCTCCTAGATCCAGGAAAGGCTTAGCCACATTAATAGAGACGCTCTACCGATAGAAATTTACCCCCACAAAAGATGGCTTTGCAGGGTCATTTCAAAATATATCAAATAAATATATTTGGGAGCAAAATAGTTTAATGTTCTTCAGGGCCCACTATCTGTCATGTGATGCTATACCAGTCAGGTTAAAATTTCGTATCCTATTGCCACAAAGAGCCTGTTTTGTCCGTCTTATGATATCTACTTTAAGGTTAATGCTGGTCAATTGTGCCTCAAATTTAAAAGGTTGTAATGAGGCATATTGACCTCCATTCCTGTCATGGCCAGGAATTCAGTTTTTTAGGTTTCTCAGGAGTCCTCTTGGCCAAGAGGGGCTCTGTGTAGTCATTTGGGGGACTGAGGATTTTATTTTTGTTTACATTTTCCCACTTCATGACAAGAGTTGCCAGAAGCAGCATCAATGGCCAAATTTTTCATTTTGTTCCACATCATAACTGGGGTAATATGGCTACCTGCCCTGGGTCCATTAGGTCCCTTGTTGGATTCTTTATGGCTAAGGGGCTTAAAGCCAAAGACTTACGGCCAATTAAATATTTTAAGTCAGACAGGAATGGAGGTGGGCATGTATTCATCAATGCTGAAAACCTTTTAAGCAGTGTAAGAGCCAAAACCTAAAAGCCAAATAAAAGGTTACAAAATTGACTTATCTCTAAGTTTTATCCATTGAGTTACTGTAATCTTGGTTTTAGTTAAAAATTTTTAGCAATTAGCTTTACAAAACACAAGCTTTTTCTTGAAACCCTTTGAGCTAAGAAATTTCAAGACTTTTGTTGTGCCACAATGCTTTTTGTGGTCTCTTTAGTAATTTGTTCTAAGGTGGCCAATAAATTTCTTAATAGATATCTGTTTGCATGAATCTTATAACTGAGAACAGCTATACCCAGGAGGCTTTGTCACTAGGTTTCTCAATATCCTCTCAGTAATTTTTTTTTAATTCTATGGGAAGCAGGAAGTTCTTTATAGTTGGGATGAAAAGGATCCACATAATTGCCCAGGAGTCAAAGTGTCCCAATTTGCTAGCTGTTTAGGCATCTGTGTGCCTGTCCTTGATTGGGAGAGTCTGAACTAATTCTGTCCTTCAAATTTGGTCCTCACAATCTCATGTGTTCACCTCTTCCATGATAGTCCTTGTACCTAGAGGCAAGGTGCTCATATAGTATTAGCAGCAGGGTGCTGGCAAGGAAAACAGATTTGACTCAGTGAGATTCTAAATAGTTTTTAAATTTTGGAGATAGCAGGTAGAAAGAAAAAGGTAATCTTTGTTGTTTTACTCAATTTCTTAAGCTACAAATGGCTCAAAAGGAAAAAGATTTTGTTTATTTTTACTTTGGTAAACAAAACTGAAAGAATTTTGTTTTCCCAATTTAAAACTTTTAATTTAAAAGTAAACTTTAGTGTCGAAAATGCAAACTTGGTGAGGGCAGAAAGATCACACACAAGGCTGCCACTTCACACCTGGAGGGTTGCACGGTGGCCAGGCAGAGGTGCTCCTCACTTCCCAGATGGTGTGGCAGCCAGGCAGAGGCGCTCCAAAACTGAAAGAATTAATACATTTTACACAGAAAGGATATAAGCCCAGCCTAATTCTGACAATGACGGGAAAAGGAAGTTATCAGGTAGTTAAATGTGTAAATTATTTAGTATCAATTAATGCATATAACAAATTGTATTAATTTATATAGAGGAAAAATTAATAAATAAGTTTTAATGTATTTGTATACAGGCCAATGTTACATGCAAGCAGTTTATTTCAATTGTCATCCTTTCCCAGGTCTGGAGGTGAAGCTTTAATTAACATGAATTGGGTGCCATATAATAGTGTTGACGTTTAAGATTCAGTAGGAGTTGGTGCCCTTTGTTTTTTGGAGGGGATATGTGTATCCGGGAGTCAAGCCCCGCAACTTAACCGAGTAAAGGCTAGTTAACAATATTTAGAATTATTCCTTGATTTCTCTCAGGAAATCTTGATTTGTTATTAGAGTGAAAGTCAGGAGAATTTGGGGGTCCCACATAAGACTGTGGCCCAGGAATTTTTCACTCTCTGCTAGTCTGCACCCAGCCTACAGAAATTTGTTAAAATAACTGTTTAAATGTTTCTACCAGTGTCTGGATTCCAAGGGTTTCTGTTGCAGTTAGGCAAATCTTGGAAACTCTGCCTCTCTCTCAGGATTTTGGGTTGGCAGTTTGCTTCATAACCTCAATTTTGTAATGGCTCCAAGAAAAGTTACTAATTTTCATTTTGTCCATATTTGTTTATTTTTTGTTTAATGACAGGAGTGAAAATTTCCAAGCTCTTTGCGTGATGAAGTTGAAAATGGAGGTCAATTTTTAAGTATTTTCAAATGTGTATTGCATTTTTTGTGTGATATTGGATTTATTTTTCCTTCTGAAAAATGAATGTACCTTTAAATCCTTATATTTCAATTCAAGGCAAAATTATATTAGTCAGTCTGTTTTTCCATAAATTCTGTCCTATTTCTTTCTGCTGCACCTTTTAGTCTCCTTAACTGTGGAAGATAATATGGCAATATAAGAAAGCTATTAATTTCTATAAAAGTAACTTAGTATTCATAGTTATATAATATTTAGCTGATATGATATCACATGACATATAAATGAAACAAATTTTATTTTCATATTATGTGAAAATTTGTTACAGACTACATACTATGGCCTTGACCTGCTGAAGTGCTCTCTCTTTCTCTGGGTTCCAGGTAAATCTAGCAACATTCTATCTATGTCATTCAGTGAATGGAAGGGAAGAGTATTTCCAAGTGCAGAATATACAGCTTCCATAACTCCAGGACATCTACCAAACATTTTACTTCTTTTTTAAGTGGTAGGAAATTCAAGGAGCAATTTATCTTTCATGTTGGAGGAGCACTACCCAAACTACTAGACTCTGAAAACTTCACCGAGGTGGCTGGTCTCTGAATCTTTTTAGGGATTATCAACCACCATCTACAGAACATATTCCTAACAAGGTATCCATTTTACTAGCCACACTATGCTTATGTCCAACTATGGACATAATTATGTGTCCAATTATGTGTCCAATTATGTGTCCAAATATGTGTCCAGTTATGGACACACTCTGCTTATGTCCAATTATGCTTAGGTCCAATTAACACAGTATTATCACTGTGGTGGAACTCTGGTATGCTTTGCAAAATGTTTTGTTGACCCAGGTCTCTTCAACTATATTATGACAGGGTGCAAAAGAATTAATATAGTTCTGGGGCAAGAGTGTGCATTGTGACTATTTTCTGTTACATGTGATAGAATTTACTTTTGATTCTTCATTCCCATGAGTATTAAAAACAGCACATTCATCATATCGATAGCTATATACCATATACCAAAGGCTCTGTTGGTAAATATAAGTTGCCCTCCTGCGGGGGTCTATATGAGACTGGCAACATAAACTCATAGGGCACTGGAGCAAGGCCATGCCAATGGAAGAAAAAAATTATATGCCCTTTGAAATGCAGCATCTGACATGGTACTAGGCCTGGGTAGAGGGTGAGCTTTTGCCTGTGAGATGTAAAGTGACCCTATGGTCATAACTCCCCATCATGAGCTGGATACTGTCAGGATCAACAAGTTGTAATGTTTGATAGGCCCAAATCAATGTGCTGCACCCAGGATCAAACTTGTCTCCATCTAGGGGAAACTGTACAAACAAGCTTCAGATCCAGGTGACCCTCATGACACCCACCACTGGTACACCAAGGTCGCTCCATCAACTCACACCTATTATCCTCATAGATCTTTCAGGGGAGGAAACACACCTAAAATGTATTTATGAATAGATTGGCTTAGTACAAAGATGGAAGCTAAAATTGACTTCTATTGTACTATAGCCCCAAACAAGCGATTTGAAAAGGAATTTTGCATGGAAATTCTCTTAATGGGCAGAGTTTGGGGGAGTGCACTTGATTGTGCACTCTGTGTGGGGAGAACTGACCCTGGGAAGGTTATTGATAAATCATGAGCAGAAGAAAAAAAGTACCAAGATAAATAATGAGGTGCACATTACTTTATACTGAACAGTTTTGACTGAAATCATTCACATTTTGAGGAATGAAGCTACGATATTTACAGAAGTCTTCCATCAATCCTATATAAATCAAATTAGGACACTTAAAACACTTCTTGATTTAAATATAATAGTATATATCAGAAAAAATTAAACCCGGCTTGAACAAAAATTTAGTGGGATCACTAAAACAGTGAGATAAGCTTAAATTTAAATCTAATATAATACTTTATTCAAATTTAGAACTCAGTATGTGTTGTGTAAGCACTAGCTGGTGATTAATGGAAAGTCCAGAATGTAAGTTTCCAGGAAGCACAAGGGTCCTTGTCAAATGACATGTACTTTTCTTTGTTTAATATTTAACACAGAATAAGT
Source organism: Homo sapiens (assembly GCF_000001405.40). Lineage (NCBI taxonomy): Eukaryota > Metazoa > Chordata > Mammalia > Primates > Hominidae > Homo > Homo sapiens. The sequence goes on along the minus strand of NC_000004.12, from coordinate 162,602,036 downwards.
GATTCATATGTAAATATGTCAACAAGAATTGTCACATGAAGAATTCCCATATGAAACATATTTTTCTACAATTCATAACTGAGAATTATATGAGCTTATCGTATTGCTTCCCATTCCAAGCAACCCTGTAGAATGAGCCATCATGTTTCCTATAAAATGCTGCTCCACATATTGGAGAATCAAATTTTAAAATGAACAGTTGTAGTGCATTAGTCAATCTTGTCTTTAATATACGATTTGTCTCTCATACTAATTTTGAGAATAACAGCAAATTCTGATCAAGCTATAAACGTATAATGGAATTTGGCATAGCAAGTGCAATTGAAATTCCTACTTGTTTACTTTTGTACAATGTCATTTACTATGATTGGTCTAATATTTGAAGAGGCCAGACTTGTGAATTAAATATGATATGAATATAATAGATACTACAATTCCTGAAGTCCTTAAATTTTTGAGGGTCACGCCAATTCTCCCCCAGTGTAATATAGTTTTATTATGAAAATTGTTTCTGGGGGTGGTGAGAGGCAGTTTTAGGGAGTTACATTTGGCCTTTCCTATAACAATAACTCTTACTCTACAAGTCAAAGGCTTACTCTACAAACCTTGAATGAATGTATGTTCTGCTACCTTTTAAGTATGTCTATTAGGATTTTACTCCTAATTGGCATATGTCTGTCTCTAACAAGAGGGCCACAGTGGTGCCTTGGTCCCCAGATATTAGTGTCACCTTAAATCATTTATCAAGAGCCCTCACAAGATCTAGGTATTGCCCTTTTCCTGTGTATTGATATCAGAATAAATGACCATATGTCCTTTTGAGAAAAGATTCAAGGGATCACTATTCTATACACTTGCACAACTATTGTAGGGTGCTTTTCTTAGAACCTGGCTTCTATTTCAACTAAAAGAGTTTGAGCCAAAGAACTGCTTCATTCTGAAAGTGGGCACAGAGTCATGACTTTTCATTACAACAGTAGACTTTAAGCTTGTGTTTTTCTTTTTCTTTTTTATGTTTCATTTCATCATCATGAAAAGCATTTATTAAGATGCTTTTGTCTATAGATGGTGACATGCATTCATATCTTCATCCAAAAAACTTTGAGAAAGTCAGTCATTCTTAGAAGCTTAATGTTCTGTAGAGTTACAAGTTTGTTGCATTAAACACTAGAACTTCATTTTTAATAATCACTTTAGTTGGAAATTACACTGAAATGGATTACATCCTTTTTTCTTCTTTTTAATTTAGCTTGTTAAGCCTGATTTAAACTATGCCATCTCTTTTTTATCTTTCTTCTTCAAATCAGCTTTATTTGGGTATAATCAAATACAGTAAAATTCACAAATTTTAAGTATACAATTTGATTAATTTGCCAAATATATACTGTCATGTAACTGAGAGTTGAAGCTGGCTGGGCTTCTGGGTTGGATGGGGACTTGGAAAACTTTTCTGTCCAGCTAAAGGATTTTAAACACCCCAGTCAGCGCTCTGTGTCTACCTAAAGGTTTGCAAATGCACCAATCAGCACTCTGTAAAAACGCACCAATCAGCACTCTGTGTCTAGCTAAAGGCTTGTAAACGCACCAATCAGCAATCTGTAAAAACGGACCAATCAGCACTCTGTAAAATGGACCAATCAGCGCTCTGTAAAATGGACCAATCAGCAGGATGTGGGAGGGGGCCAAATAAGAGAATAAAAGCTGGCCACCCGAGCCAGCAACAGCGACCCACTCAGGTCCACTTCCACGCTGTGGAAGCTTTGTTCTTTTGCTCTACAAAATAAATGTTGCTGCTGCTCACTCTTTGGGTCCGCACTACCTTTATGAGCTGTAATATTCACTGTGAAGGTCTGTGGCTTCACTCCTGAAGTCAGTGAGACCATGAACCCACTGGAAGGAACAAACAGCTCCAGACATGGCACTTTTAAGAGCTGTAACACTCACTGCAAAGGTCTGTGGCTTCGCTCCTGAAGTCAAGCAAGACCACGAACCCTCTGGAAGGAAGAAACTCGGGACACATGTGAACAAACAAACTCCGGACACTGTCTTTAAGAACTGTAACATTCACCACGAGGGCCGGGGGCTTCATTCTTGAAGTCAGCAAGACCAAGAACCCACGGGAAGGAACCAATTCCGGACACATAACTGCCACCATAATCATGATTCAGCCTATTTTCCTCACCCCAACAGATTCTCTAGGAAGCTTTCCCATAAATGGAATTTTGCAATCTTGTAATACGCATATTGTACTAGTCCGTTTTCATGCTGCTGATAAAGACATATACCTGAGATTTGGTAGAAAAAGAGGTTTAATTCGACTTACAATTCCAAATGGCTGAGGAGGCCTCAGAATCATGGCAGGAGGCAAAAGGTACTTCATACATGGTGGTGGCAAGAGAAAATGAGGAAGAAGCAAAAGCAGAAACCCCTGATAAACCCATCAGATCTCATGAGACTTATTCACTATCATGAGAATAGTATGGGAAAGACCGCCCCCCGTAATTCAATTACCTGCCCCTGGGACCCTTCCACAACGTGGAAATTATGGGTGACACAATTCAAGTTGAGATTTGGATGTGGACACACAGAAACTGTATCACATATGTTCAATAAAATAAGTAAATTCCAGATATAATTTCCCAAGCAATTGTGCCAATACACCATCCTAGCATCAGTCAACATAGTTCTCGTTACTCCATATAGTCACAAACATTTGATACTGTCAATATTCTTAGTAAATAGTGACTTGGTATCTTATCTTACTCTGCTACTCCGTGAATGATAGTGAGGCTCAGCATCTTTTTATATGGTTGTTGGCCATTTTTCATTTCCTTTCCTGTGAAATGCGTCTTTGTGACTTTTGTTCATTTTTATATTACAGTGCTTATCTTTTTCTTAGTAGTCTATAAGCTGTCTGTATATATTCTAGATATCAATAGTTGGACAGTTAAATACATTATAAATGTCCTTTCTCCATTTGTAGTCTCGCCCTTTCTTAGGCTGTTTTTTGAAACCAGAAAATGTTAATTTAATTTCAATCTAATTAAGGCTATCAGCATTTTTAATCATTACATGTTGCAAATTTCTTAAAAAATCTCAAGGGTACAAAGATATTCTCCCGTACTTTTGGCTACTAGATAGAATGTTTTACTTTCATGTTTAAATATTCTATTTATTTGGAGTTGATTTGGAGGCATGACTTGACATACAAATTTAAATTATTTTATTTTTATTATGGATAACCAGTTACATTACTATTTATGTAATTTGCCACCCTAAAATTTCCAGATATGTGGATCTGTTTCTGCACTCCTTGTTTTCTTCCACTGGTCATTAAAAAAATGTTGCTATACCAATACCTCATTGTATAACATAGCTTAATAAAAGCACAATTATAAAACAAACAATAATAGTTATTGAGGACTATGGGCATTATTTGCATTACTCATTAATCTATTTAATCTTAATAAGAAATCTATTAAAATAGCTGAGCTAAAACAAGATAATTAAAAAAATAACTGAGAAGTTGCTAGCCAGTATGACATTTATATACAATTTAGAAAAATCTTACACTGGGCAGATACAGGCTTCAGGGTGCAAGAAAGTGGTGACTCTCACAGCCTTATCTTTTGGGCTGAAGATGAATGTCCAAGTGTTTAGCAGCCTTTGTAGCATCTCAAATTTTTATATATATATTGATTCATGTTGATAGACATATTTTAAAAATTTTTTAGTCTTGTTGATAAACAATCTCTGACTTTGTGTATTTGAAAATATCTTAACCTTCTCAGGCCTTTACAGATGATTTCACTGATTTATAGTTTTCATTTGACATTTACAAATTTTCAGTTGGAACCCTTTGGGATTTGCATGTGTTCATACACGTGTCTTTAAATGTCTTTTTCTTACAATTCCAAACTCATAGCTGTATTGTGTGAACACTTTGAAAGTTTTGTTCTACTGTCTGTTCACAGAATGGTTGAATGAATATTTTAAGCCTCTGTTGAGACTAACAGCTCAAAAGAAGATTTCTTCAAAATATTGCTTCTCATTGACAATACACCTGGTCACCCAAGGGGCTCTGATGGAAATGTAGAAAGAAATTGATTTTATTTTCATTCTTGCTAACACAATATCCATTCTGCACCCCATGGAGCCAGGAGAATTTTTACTTTCAAGTTTTTTTATTTAAGAAATAGATTTCATAAGGCTATAGTTGCCATTGATAGTAATTTGTCTGATGGATATGGGCAAACTAAATTGAAAACATTCTGCAACAGTTTGGCCATTACAGATGCCATTGAGAACATTTATGATACCTGGATGAGGTCAAGATATTAACATTAATAAGAGTTTGGAAGAAGTGAATTTTAATAATCCATGAATGACTTAGAGGAGTTTGAGACTTCACTAGAAGAAATAATTGCAAATATGGTGGCAAGAGAACTAGAATTAGAATTGGAGCCTGCCTGGAGATGTGACTGAATTACTGCAATCTCATGATTAGACTTGAACAGATGAGGAGTTGCTTCTTATGCATGAGCAAAGAAATTGATATCTTGAGATGGACTCTATTCCTGGTGAAGATGCTGTGAACATTGCTGAAATGACAACAAATACTGTAGAATATTAAATAAATTTAGTTTATAAAGCAATGGCAGTGTTTGAGAGGATTGACTCAAATTTTGAAAAAAGTTTACTTTGGGTAAAATGCTAGCAAACAGCATCACATGCTACAGAGAAATCTTTCATGAAAGGAAGAGTCAACTGATGCCATGACCTTTATTTTTGTCTTATTTTAAGAAATTACCACAGCCACCCCAAGCCTCAGCAGTCACCACCTTGATCAGTCTGCAGCCATAAACATGGAGGAAAAGTCTCCTCCAGCAAAAAGATGACAACCTGCTGGATGCTAATATGATTGTTAGCATCTTTTTTTAGCAATAAATAATTTTCAATTCAGGCATATACATTTTTTCAGACATAATGCTATTGCATACTTAGTAAACTACAGTATAGTATAAACATAACTTTCATATGCATTGGGAAACCAATATATATTTATGTGACTCATTTTATTGCAGTATATGCTTTATTGCAATAATCTAGAGCTGAACCTGCAGTATCTCCAAAGTATGCTTGTAGATGTTTTTTCCTCAATTAAAATCAACATCAATTTAAAAACATCACTGACATTCTCATTGAAATCAGAAATAAGACCAAACTCTTCACTAGTTTACCTCTACCTATTTCATGACATGTGAAGATACTTGCCAACACATTTCAGCAAGAAAAGTGTTGTTGTATTGGATACAATAAATTAAAATAATACTAAATTGCAGAGAATAGCTATAGAACAGAAAATTAAAGAAGACCAAAGAATCAGAAAATTCCATGAGTCTATTAATTTAACAATGTTTCCAAAATTAAAAAATAAGACAAGTTATGTACAACAAAGATGTTAGACAATCGGAAAGAATAAAACTCAAATATGGAGGGAGAACTGAACCTAATAAAAATTACCACATATCTTTTAAATACAAAAATGAATATTTCTGAAAAAAAGCATCATAAAGAAAACTTTTCAGTACATAAAAAGTAAAAAAATTAGAAGATTGTGATATAAACTACATGAAATAAAATATCCTTATTTGTAGTCCACATTATAAAGTAAAGAAAAAAAGTGACACAAAGGGGAAAGTAGCTACAGTACTTATTATGATAATTATCTGATTACCTTAAAACATAAAACAAAGCATTAAAAATCAATCATAAAACAACGACAGGAAGTGAACTAATGAGAGTGAAGATTTGTACAACCTCTATACAGAAAAAAATTTCTTGATCATTTACCAACATTTGGCATTGTGATTTTTATCAATCTGATAGCTTGACAAAATACACTGATTACTAATGTTCATCATATGGAATTCCCCTTCTGTAAATTGATTTATAATTTTGCTCATTTTTTTCCATTTGACTTTGTGTATGTTTTTGTTTATAATAGTTTCTTGCATTTTCTAAATATAATTTTTTCTTTATAATTGTTCATAACTGTTGGCATCACAAATATTGTTTTATAATATTTATCAGCTTGTTTACTTTGCCTACAATGTTTTTCTATATATATCTTTTATTTAATACACATAAAATATATATAATATATGAGATATATATGTAAGATATGTATCTTTTATATATAATATTACACATATATAAAAAATAAATATATTTACTATATATAAATATATTTCCTATATATAAAATATTTTACATGAAATAAAACATATATGTATCTTATATATATATCATATATATGTTGTTATGCTGTGTGTGTATGTTTGTGTGTGTATATATATATATGGAAAATATAGTTTTGGTATAATATTACTTTCTTCCATATGGAAATAATATCTCTTAGTTTTGGTGTAATACTACTTTATTCCATATGGAAAAACAAAGTAATATCACACCAAAACTAAGAAATTATATAGCCGAGCAAAATTTCTTAGTTTTGGTATAATATTACTATTTGAGTCATTACAGTTTACCATGATTACTGCTTCATTTGGGCTCCTTTACGGTCTGTTTCGGGTTTCATTAACTATTCTTTAAAAATATTTCTTCTTTTTTTTGTATTGATTAAATGCTTATTTCTGCCTCAAAATACATATTTACTAATTTTATTCTTTTAGAATTTATCTCTGAGATTCATTCAAGTATTTACCTAAACTTGTATTTATTTTTTTAATCAATTTTTTTCAGACTCTAAATATCCTTGAGTGAGAAAACTTCCTATGCATCATTTTATGGTGTCTTGCACCCTACTTTCTGCCCTCCACCATGTTGGTATATTCAAGAAATTTCTTCCTAGATTATTAATAAGGAGGTGGTATCTTTTTTCTTTACTTTACTTTCCTTTTCTTCCATTCCTTTTCTTTCCTTTTTTATTTTTTTTGGGGGTGGTGGTGGTGAGGGTTGTGCTTATTGGCAAGTAAATATTTTAAAATTATTTTAATCCACATAACTTTCACTATCATATATCATTCTTCTTGATAAAATTCTTTTCGGGCAGGATTTCATATTGAGTCTTTATGTGATTAGTTTTCTGACACCTTGTATTTTCCTTTCACTTAAATAAATGGAAAATTTGAATTTTGCAGTTTATTTTTTAATACCTGTAAATATGACTCCATTATTTTTGACAACAGGTGCAATGTAGATAATATCAAACTGTTACTTTTTTGTTGGTAGCTCGTTTGATTCCCCCCTTCTTTTAGAATTTCCTATCTTAAAAAATGACTTAAAATTTACTGAACATGATTTTGTGTGGAATTTTGTTTGGTACTTTACGATACCAGAAATTCTACATCATCCTTTCATTCTGAGTATTTCTCCATAATTTATTTTATTTATTTATTTATTTATTTATTTATTTATTTATTTATTTATTTATATTTATTTATTTATTTTTGAGACGGAGTCTCCCTCTGTCGCCCAGGCTGGAGTGCAGTGGCACAATCTTGGCTCTCTGCAAGCTCCACCTCCCGGGTTCACGCCATTCTCCTGCCTCAGCCTCCAGAGTAGCTGGGACTACAGGCGCCCGACACCACGCATGGCTAATTTTTTGTATTTTTAGTAGAGACGGGGTTTCGCCATGTTAGCCAGGATCGTCTCGATCTCCTGACCTTGTGATCCGCCCATCTTGGCCTCCCAAAGTTCTGGGATTACAGGCGTGAGCCATCACACCTGGCCTTCTCCATAATTTTTTAAAAAATATTGCCTCATTACTCTTTATTTCTAGTAAATCTGTAATGTTTTACATTGGAAATTATATTTCTAACATCCATATCCCTTTCATGTTTCTTTTAAAATTTCTTTTTCTCTTCCTAACAACTGGAAGAGTTACTCTACCTAATCATGCAGGTCAATAATTCATCCCTCTCTCATTTTCGTTCTAGAACTCATTCCATCTGTTAAGTCCTTTATCTCAATTAGTTCTTTCCATAAATTATACCTCATTTATATTTTATGACTTCTTGTGCTTTCTTCATCTTCCCTTATATTTTTGCAGATATTAAATATGCTTGTTTTAAATGATTGCTTATTGAAAATGTAAATTCTGCTTAATCTACTCTAGATTCTTTTCCTTTTAATTGTAGTATATTAAATTTTTATTTTTCTGTGAGTTCTTATGCTTTGGAGCTATATTCATGATGTGTACCATGGTGGAATAGCTAAAGCCAGTTGCTAGCTTGAGCCTTGCTTGATGAGTTTGAAGTACAGATTAACAGTATCCTAGAAGAGAGCATGATAGTGCGTACCTCTGCTATTATCCTTACTTAAAATCACCTAGCTCTCGGAGGCAGCAAATGCGACAGCACTATAATCTGAAGGACTAGGGAAGTTTGTCTAGGTTAGTCTTGCAAATTGTACTTATATTAACCTTGGATCCTTCTAGTACTGGATTGGACACTAGTCTTCTGCCTTTGTATGGTTATAGAGTATTCAGGTCAATGTGGAGAAGAGAAAATGACACATTTTTTTAAATTCTCTTGTTTTTGTTCCCAGACCTCTTTTATTGTAGGTTATTGTTTCTCTTTCAGTCTGGTACTTAAAACATCTTACAGTTTTCTTCTCGCTTTTATGTTAATTTGACAGATCCTTCAATCTAATTCTAGTCTTTGGAGTGTCTCCAAGATTGGGTTTACAGGAGACAGCCAGCACTTTAAACCAATTGTCCTCTTCAGAGAAACATGAATAAATTATTTTTTTTCAGAGAACAATAATTTCACTCAGATACCTAAGATGGCTATGCGAGTCACTACATAGCGTTTTTGTAATTATTTTATTTTTTGTTTCACACAGCTAAAAGACTATATTTGTAATTTTGTATTTCATCTTATTCTAAATCCACATTCTTTCAATTCTTATTTCCTGTTTTCTGTTTTAAATTACTTGTTTTTATCGTAGGGGCTTGTGATGAGTAATTTTATGTGTCACCTTGGCTAGGATACGGTGCCCAGATGTTTGGTCAAACACTAGTCTACGTGTTGCTATGAAGGTATTTTGTGTATATAGCTAACATCCGCAATCAATTGACTTTACATAAAGCAGATTACTCTTGATAATATGAATGGGTGCCATCCAACCAATTGAAGCCATTGAGAGCAAAACCTAAGGTTTTCCAGAAAAAGAATTCTGCCTCGAAACTGTGACATAGGATTCCTGCCTGGATTTCTAGCTTGCCAGCCTGCCATATGTATTTTAGAATCAAAACTGCGACATCAACTCTTGCCTGAGTTTCCAAACTGTTAGTCTTCCCCATGGATTTCAAATTTGCCAGTGTTCATATATAATCCCATATAACATTGATTCTGTTTCTCTAGGGAACCCTGACTGATATAGGGCTCTATACTACGATAAGAGATTGAATTATTTAAGATAACTTAAAATTGTACTCACAAAATCTCTTCTTTTAATTCCTCAACTTTTGATTTAATATTAGCTGGGACTGTCTGAGCATAGAGTAACACAAAAATAGATTTGTGATTCAGCAGAGAATCTTAAAACTTTTCCTTTTATTTATTTACAGAATAGAAAAATAAGATTATTAAGATTAGTTTATTTTACAATAAAAGTAATCTTAATTGAGGAGAGTAGGGAACAACTCTGGGATAGTAATTAAGTATTTTGCAGCCTCCATATAATTTTACTTTCGTATCTACTATTTTGCATATTTTTTTTCTTTTCAAATGCAATGGGACTATTTTGTTCACTGTCACTATCTTGTCTTCATTTCATTTCACAACATTCACAAAACTTCATTGTTCCCTTTCCTTTCCTTCCTTTAGCTTTTACTACATGACACAAAGTTATCATTACATTCTCTTGCACCAAACACCTCATTCACTTCCCCTCCATCTAATTTCCACTACTTATATGTGAGTCTTTCCCTGCCTGTGGATCCTTGGCTCTTTATCCTCTCCCAATTCTTTCTTTCAGAGACTTACTGTTCTAATTCTACTAATTTTTTCATGTTGCTATGTTTTCAGAATCATCTTCTAATTTTGGATGAAGAAATATATATACAAACAATTTTATTTGACAAGAGAAAATACTATTGATGTACTCTTGAAAAAGCAACAATCAGAATATTATTGACTAAGGAGGCTGGCAGCTAACACAAAAGGAAAGTTTATGGCCAACTCAAAGTAAATCTACCTTAAAATGGGATAACAGAATTACAGATTTAATGGATGTGTGGGGATTTTCACAAAAATGCTATTCTTGACTTGTACAAAAAATAATAAAATACCATACTTTTATATCTAGGAAGGGAGAGCAATTGGTACTAAGAAAACATAAAAGTATTTTATTTTTTGAATTGCAAACTATGAAGTCTGCCTCAAGGGTGAGAAATAATTCACATATTTCTAAAATTCTAAAATTGATATATTTCTCATGCAGCATAATTTTAATATAAAATGCCTTTTAGAACTAAAACTTATAGGAAGTGGAAAAATAACCCTTATAAATCTTATAACAAATGACAATTTTATATATACATATTTATATTTAGGTAATCAAGTAGAATGTTATTAAGCAAAATAAGTGCACAGAAAAGCAAGTGAGATTAAATTTAAAATAATCTATACAATGGTATGTTCTGCAGGGGAAAGTAATATGTTGTATCTCTCTAATGTTTCAAGAAATCCAGAGATATTCCTGATAAAATATATGATGATTTAATTCAGAGGAGAAATCTAGACAAAAATTTGGAAGCAGTGATATCAGACCAAGTTGAAGTCTATGTTGTATGCATTTGTAAATCCATATACATGTGTGTATACTATATGCATATGTTTATATATTTCTTTTTATAATAACTATGTACTTAAATAATTCACATTTAATGGAACATATTTCTTTCTGGTAATACTTCATGCATACTGAAATCAACATTTTATCACTGAACTGTCTTCAGTACAAAATGTGCCATTTTAATAGCATGGTACAATAAAGTCCCTATTTAATTTCAGGGACTTATGCATCTGATTTGATAGTACATTCTAAATTAAATAGATAACACAATTTTTCTTTCTTGTCTCCAATATAAAATGAGGCCAAAACATTTGCATATGAAATATATTAACTGTCATGAAATACTTATCTTCACAGCCAGTTTCAGCAGACAATATTTATTCAATCATGCAGTCAGAATTCGAAAGGAAATTTAGTGACAATTTTATTTAAGAACATTGTCATCCTGTTACTGGAAAAACAATTGGGACATTATTTCTGCCAAGGAGATTTAGGAAGCTCAAAGCTGCCAGTTACACAAATTCATTCCAAACAACAACTCAGACGTCATACAAGGACACTATATTTGTAATGATTTTATTCCACCATGACCATTTTTGTGCATTTAAAAAGGAAAAGTAATTTAAAAAGAAAAAGTAATATTTTCAACCTATTTAACCTCAGGAAGAAGATAAGAAAACTCAGTGGTGATTGTTTTGATAATATCGAAATCATTATAGATTTTGATAGAGAAATGCCATTTCCCCATGAAGCACTTTATTATTTTTTTAATTGCTTAATTTTTCTGTCAACTGTTTCAGCAGGGATGGTATAAAATATTGGTAATATATTATTATGAGATGACAAATGAAAATATTATAGACTTTTGGATTTGTGAACATCCAGTAATAAATGTTTATTTATGTTCTCCAAAATAATTCAGAACTACATGAAAGATAGATTCAGGATTCAGATTAAGATGTAAGCTTTATCTGTATTATTAAGTAAGTTGATTGAAGAACTTTTTTTGTATCTGAGAAGTGAATTTGCTACTATGTACTCCTGATATAGGCTTACTAACTAATAAAATGGCACAGCTAGAAAAATTACAGGATTTTCTTGCAAGAATAGTCTTATGCACTCTGTGGTCAGGCAGATTTTCTGAGAACAAGACTGAACAACACTTTCTCACTAACTTCTTCCAGACTTATTGTATTAGCTTTTTATCACTGCATAAAAATCAACATCCATGTATTATCTCACATACCTGAGATTGGAAGTCCAGGCATGGCTTATCTGAGTCCTGTGCTCAGTTGGCCAGGGCTCAGGCGCAGGTCCTCTTCCAAGCTCATGTAACTGTTGCCAGAGTTCAGTTTCTTTTAGCTATAGAATGCATCGAGGTTTGCGTTTTCAAGACCAAAGAGATAATCTCTCTGATCTTAACAGAAACCTAAGTAGGCCTTTAAGGGCTCACCTATTCAGGTCCACATACAGTAACCTCTCTTTTAATTAACTTAAAACACACTGATTCGAAACTTCACTTACATCTGTAAAATCTTTTCACTTACATCTGTAACATCATCATGGGAATGAATTTCATCATCTTCGTATGTTCTGCCCACAGTGAAGGGGAGAAGAGATACTAGAGTGTCTTAAAAACAAGGGAAGGGAAGTTTGGGGGTCATGTTAGAAATCTTCCTGTGACACTTACCAACCATAAAATTAACTTTCCTTTGAGCAGTAAATATGAGAAGAGAGGACAGAAGTTTGCCCTAACTAGATGTTTTTCACAACAATACATTAGACTAAGGGAGAAGTGATAATTTTTGTTATATGTTACTTTAAACATGTATTGAATTGAATTTATCTAGTAAAAACACATTCTTCCAGTATTTAACATATATCCAAAATGCCCCCAATTTGCACTCGATTCAAGAGGAAACAAATTATATTTTAAAATTTTCATGCACCTGTATTATTGCTTCAATATGGTTTGAGCTAATGATATGTGAAAATTTAAAGTTTCAGATGAAACCACTTAAAATTGGACTTCACTTTCTGTTTTATGAATTTTAATTCTCTGGTGCTATTCTCCATCTCTTATCTGATTTTTCCAACTCTCCCTCTACTTCACTAAAAATATTAAACATAAAATATTATAAAATTATAGTCTGTTAATTCTAATACGTAGATCATCTAGGGGTATACTTCTTCTATTACCTGTATTTAATATTTCTTTTTGGTCATTTATTCTATCCTTTGGCAAGCCTAGTGATTTTATTGAATATCAAATATTGTTTGAAAAGTGTAATGATTCTGAATTATGTTTACCTTAATTAAAGATGGTTTACCCCTCTCTCTGCTAGGAAGATAGAGCAGGCAATTGATGAAATTCATCTAATCAGGAGCTTGTTAAGTTTGGGATGGGTTAGAGTTGTAGTAATAATGTTTCTAAATCTGCTTTACACCTACTTCTCAGGCATGTCCGTCCAGTGATTCCCACTGAAAGCCTGAGATATTCATTACGATTGGTCCCCATGTGGGTTCTGAACTTTATAAACTTTGTCTATTCAGCACAGCAAGTCTGTGGAAAACTCTGCGTTGCTATTCAGGTTTTGCCTCGCCTTCTTAGCCTCTGATCTACACAGCAGCATGATCTTGAAGACATCCTGAAGGAAAATCATCTGTATTTTAAGGTTTATATCTATGACCCTCATTTTTATCAGAACTTCAGTTGCTTCCATCTCAAAATTTCATGTCTTCAGCCACATAACAAAATATTTGCTGTTTTTTTTTTACTCTCATCTGCAGCATTCTTCTTATGCCCTGTGCCTACAACCTCACCCTCTTTCCATATACCTGCAAACAGAAGTATTTTAAGAGAAAAAGTGGCTCCAGATATCTGTTTATTTCTCTACAGTTCCCCTCTGTGAAATGAGTTCTTTCACTATTACCTCTGCACCACTCCGCTGCCTTTAGACAAGCAAACACAAATAAGTAAATAAATACATTTGCAATTTTTCTTAGCTTCTCTTGTTTATTTCTATGGAAAGATTGTTTGGCCATGTGCTACTCTGTTTAGCCAGAAGCAAGAGTATTCTGCTGACCACATTTTGAAAGGGCCCGAATCCTTGACCTTGAGTTAATAAACAAAGTAATGGGAATACTGAATTTAAGGTACAAGTTCAACTATAGAGGTAAAATAATGAGTGAATTTAATAAACTTATCACTATGGCTTAGATATCTTTCCTCTATCACCAAAGTCACTAAGATTATATAATAAATCATCTGTAGAATGAAATCTCCAGATCATATTTTTTAAATTACATCTAATTTTCTGAAGTGTATGCTGCCAAAAAATTCTTAGGGAACATTCTTTAGTGGCAGGGTAGATGTTAGAATTTAGAAAGGCTGTAGAAAATTGTTATATTATCTCCAACATAATTAGGCATTTTTCTATAGTTCTAAAAGTTATTCTTTACTAATTATACATTATATAGGTTAAGAAGAAATTATGATTGAAAAAATCAGCAGGTGTTCTATCCTACCCAAGCATCATAAGTGTAATTTAAATCTAAATTTGGAGAAAAGCTTAACCATGATGCTTTGCTTTGTGTCAAAATGACACACAGAGGAAAGTTTGACTTAGGAGAAATTTTATTCAGAAGTCACCAAGAATTACATGCAATCACTTTCATCAGAAGGATAATTTGCATTTATGTGGGTTGTAGGTAAAATGGATTTCTTCTCAGCTCTTTCTAGCCCTGGTGTTTTATGTTAGATAAAAGTATCCACATTTTAAACAGAATACCTATTTGTTTGCTATACACACATAGGTACCTTTCTTATTGCAATATTAAGTAATAAAACATACATCTCATTTTAACCATCCCACATTAAATTTTATACATAGTCACATGCTTCAAAATGACATTTCAGTCAATAACAAACCACATATACTAAAATGGTCCCATAAGATTATAATTGAACTAAAAAATCCCTGTCACTTAGTAATATTGTAGATGTCGTAGCAGCAATTATGCTGTAGTGCAACACATTACTCGTGTTTGTGGTGATACTGATGCAAACAAACCTACTATGCTGTCAGTTGTATCAAAGTATAATGCATATAGTTATGCACAGCACATAACACTTGATAATGATAATTAATTACTCTGTTACTGGTTTATGTATTTACTACACTATATATTTTCATCATTTTAGAGTGTACTTCTTCTACTTATTTTTTTTTAAAGTTCACTGTAAGCAGCCTCAGGCAGGTCCTTCAGGAGGTGTTCCAGAAGAAGACTTCATTATCATAGGAGATGACAGCTTCATGCGTATTATTACTCCTGAAGATCTTCCAGTGGGACAAGCTGTGGAGGTGGGAGACAATGATATTGATGATCCTGACCCTGTGTAGGCTTAGGCTAATGTGTGTGTTTTGTGTCTTTGTTTTTAAGAAAAAAATTAAAAACTCAAAAAAGTAAAAAATTTAAAAATAGGAAAAAGTTTATAGAATAAGGATATAAAGAAAAAAGTATTTTTGTACAGTTGTACAATGTGCATTTTAATAAGTGTTATAAAAGAATCAAGTTAAAAAAATTAAAACATTTTTAAAGTAAAAAAAGTTACAGCAAGCTAAGGTTGATTTATTATTGAAGAAAGAAAAATATGTCAAAATAAATGTAGTGTAGCCTAAGTGTACCATCTTTATAGAGTATATAAAGTCTACAATACACTAACGGCCTAGACCTTCACACTCATTCACCAATCACCCACTGACTCACTCAGAAAAACTTCCAGTCCTGCAAGCTCCATTCATGGTTAAATGTCCAAGATAGGTGTACCATTTTATGCCTTTTATATCATATTTGTACTGTACCTTTCTATGTTTAGATATATTTAGGTACACAAATACCACTGTGTTACAATTACTTACAGTATTCAGTACTGTAACATTCTGTACAGGTTGGAAGCCTAGGAGCAATAGACTATACCACATACCCTAGGTGTGTAGTAGGTTCTACCATCTAGGTTTGTGTAAGTACACTCTATGATATTCATGCAATGATGAAATTGCCTAAAGATGCACTTCTCAGATCATATCCCCCATCTTTAAGCAACACGTGACTGTACATGTATTTGTTTAACTATACATTCATTTTCCTTTTACATACTGACATTCCAATTTGATTTTCTTGAAACATGTAAAATCAGATATACGATCTGCTACAGTGCTCTTAGAGTGGCATTAGCATACATTAGGATGAAAACATCCTAAATGCTGCATTAAGATTAAGAGCACTGTAGCAGCTTTTTTTTCACCGATTATTCTTAAGCAAATGTGTTTTAATGATTACATGATAATGCTAATTTCAGTTGCTTCACAGAAACGAAAAGCAATGAACAATTTTATCATGAATAATTTTGTGTCATGACAGTTAGCTCCCTAAAAATTAATTTCTAGAGATTATAGGAGAAAAGGGAGTAGTATGAAATTCAAAGCCTTTGTCAGATGGGCTTTTGTTCTGTTTCTCACATACACAGATATTCATTGAGCTTGTGTTGAGACATTCATGCCAATGTAACTATCAGGAATCACTTTACATTTTAAGAATGTTATTTCTTTTGAAAATTGTGAATAAATAGTATTTTAGTATATGGTACTAATATGTGTTCATTGACATGTAATAAATGCAATGATCATCCTAAATGAATATTTTATCATGTCACCTATTTTCTGCCAGTGCTTAATAAATGTTGAGTCAGATTCATATAACAGAATCATTTATATGCTCATTCTATATGTTTCATCAAATTACAAATTTGTTTAGCAGATTATTCAAAGAGCCAAGATTATGGAAAATATATTTGCTATTCATAATTAGACCATTTATTTTTTCTTATTTTCCATTTTAAAAAAAATTTTTATATGTTTTGGGGGTACAAGTGTGAATTTCTTACATGAGTATATTGTGCAGTGCTGAAGTCTGGACTTTTAGTGTACCTATCACCTGAAGAGTGAACATTGTACCCAGTAGATAATTTTCAACCCTCACCCCTCTGTTACCCTCCTACATTTTGTCTATTTTTCCATTCTCTGTCTCTGTAGTTTTTGACTTTTTGTTGCTGAGTTATTTCACTTTCATAATAGCCTCAATTCCATCCATGTTGCTGAAAAGGACATAATTGCATCTCTTTTGTGGCTGTATTATATTCCATAACATACATATACGAGATTTTCTTTGTCCATTTTTCCATTGATGGGCACTTAGGTTGATTCCACAGCTTTGCTATTGTAAATATTGTTGAAATAAACATATCAGTGTGTGTATCTTTTTGATGTATTAATTTCTTTCCCTTTGGGTATATACCCAGTAGTGTGATTGCTGGATCAATGGAACTTCTATTTTTAGTTCTTTGAGAAATCTCCATACTGTTTTCCATAAAGTTTTTACTAATTTACATACCTATCAGCAGTGTATAGGCATTCCTGTTTCTCCGCATCCTTCCCAATGTTTGTTGTTTTTTGACTTTTTAATAATAGCCATTCTGACTGGTTTAATTTGCATTTTTCATAATTAGTAATGTTGAGCAATTTTTCATGTTTGTTGGCCACTTACATGTCCTGTTTTGAAAAATGTCTGTTCATGCATTTTGGCCATTTTCAAATGTATTTTTCTTCATGTCAAATTGTTTGAATTCCTTGTACCTGCTGGATATTAGCCCTTTGGGATTAGACCATTTATTTTCTCACTGCATTTCTGATGACATAGAAGATTAATAGAAAATAGCTCTTGTACAATCATTAGTAAACAGAAAGGCACAAAATTCTATATGCTATTGGAAACATATTTGTATATTGGTTATTTTAAGAAAATTGTCCTCCTTTCCTTGTCCACTCACATCTCATGTGGTCAGAAATTTATATCCCCTCACCAAGAAGTTCAGGATAACTTAAAACATCTTTTCAATAATATTCCTGTTTTTAAAAGTTTATTCATGCAGATTGTAACTAAAATATAGTGAATTAAATCTAAATACATTACTGTGAAATATAAAGCTTAACTTAAAGCAAAGGGATTTGCAATATATATTTAGACAAGAAGTTTGACAGCAAAACACACCCTCTAAAAGATAGTGGGATCTAATATTAAAATATGCATGTGGCAGAAAACATACTGAATGCAACAGATACAAAAATAAAATATTGTGGCTCTAAGAAGCCAACCATCTTAAGTTTGGATGCGTAATTAGTGGGAAACCAGACAGAAAGCTTATACATATATAAAAACTAGCTTAACATAAAATGGAAAGTTCCCGCTGTTCATGAGAGTTATGGGCATATAGAGTGTCAGGTATTATTGCTCTGGTAGAAAGTCTGCTTAGGGAAAACTTTTCAATAGACCAAATATTTCATTTAAAACTGCAAGAACAGAAAAGCTTTCATTTTGTATGAAACATAAGAGCACTTCGAGCATAGAAAATGTAGGAGCCTAAGCAGAGATGTGAGTGAGTGGTAAGTAAGTGATATAGAGTATCTGTAAATGAAGATGGAAAGGTGAGTGTGTTGGAAGGCCGAGGCGGACGGATCACGAGGTCAGGAGATCAAGACCATCCTGGCTAACACAGTGAAACCCCGTCTCTACTAAAAATACAAAACAAAACAAAACAAAACAAACAAAAAAACAAACATTAGCTGGGCGAGGTGGCAGGTGCCTATAGTCCTAGCTATTTGGGAGGCTGAGGCAGGAGAATGGCATGAACCCGAGAGGTGGAGCTTGCAGTGAGCTGAGATCGCGCCACTGCACTCCAGCCTGGGACAGAGCGCAACTCCGTCTCAAAAAAAAAAAAAAAAAAAGAAAAAAGAAAAAAAGAAAGGTGAGCATGGCCAGGTTGTGAAGGGGTTTTGACATTGTGTAAGGCAAAAGGAATCATTGAAAAGTCTGGTATTTGGTATTATGTTTCAAGAAAGTGTAATACTGTATTCCTTAATAGTAGACTTTGGGAGTTCAGTTACAGATGGGAGAATATGCTGGGAGACCACTGTAAACTACTGGAATTTAGAGGCCATTGTCATAGTGCAGGCAAAAAGGAAGGATGCCTGAACCAGAGACTAGCCATAGAAAAAAACGCAAAAGGTCAAACTGATTAGTTAATGCATTGCTTGTTTCACAGTGCCTATATTTGCTTAGTTTTTCTTAGAAATGTATGTTTACTCATGTTAGAAAAGAAAACAAATATTCTAAGTATCTACTCTGCGACAGACTGCTTACATTAAGAATGTTTATAATTCTTAAAAACACTTAATCAGATACATTTTGAGGCTTACGAAACCAAGGCCCCAAAATGTCAAATAACTTTCCCAAGGCCAGGAATAGGGCTAATAGGCAGTATATGCAATTCTATTTCCTTTCAAACTTTTTACATCCCATTTTTGGGTAATTTTCTCAGAGGTTACTTATATGTTTTATTTAAAGAAAAGTGCTTTCCTTTTTTAATGATAAAAAAGTCTTAAAAATTTTGTTCTCAAAGCTGAGTGGCTTATTTTCACCACTTGGTTAGCAACCTAAAGGCTATGGATAAGACCAGTTCAGTAACATACACTAAGAAATAATTACTGCAAATTGCTAACAGGTAGCATTTCTTATGGAGGCCTGGCTGAGAATGTCATGACATATGGCACAGCACTTTCCAATAACGAAACTCCCATTCCAACATTTAAAAAATGGGTCAATTAAAAATGAAAATTAAAGAGTTAAAGGTATGAAACTGAAAGTGTGTCTGAAGAGAAAAAAAATGGCAAGAGCAGTGTCATAAAGTCAGAAAGAAAGTGACATGTGAAGGAAGAGCACCACTTCCAGTGAGCTGTGTCTCTCTCTGTGGTGAATAATTGGCTGGCTCTGGAGTCTTCTCTTCCCAAAACAGGAACGGACATCAATGTGTCAGAGGCAACCTAACCAGAGTGACTCCATCTTGAATAAAAGCTGGTTAAAACCAAAACTGCTCGGTTACATCCCCAGGGAATTAGGCACTCTTGGTCACAAGACGTTTATGTTTGAGGAAATGAATTAATGATACATAAAGACCCAGAATTTATAAAAATGTCCTGATATTTAAAGAACAAAAAGCATTCTTAGTTTAAAAATATGTTTCACTTTAAAGATAGTAATCATAAATTATTGCTGAAATCAATAGTTACTAGGAAAATAACAATGTTAATAGTCTGTCACAAGCTGATCACAAGCGTTTGTAATAAAGTATACCATTCTTAGCCTTACAGTCCTGTGTAAGCAAGAATTATGTTTAAGATAGGGGCGTTCCTCCTCGTGCTTTCTGAAGATGACTTACTCTGTAGCAGAGTAGTTCCTAATAAACTGTTTTATCTTAACTATACTCTGCAACTCGCCCTAAATATTTTTCCCAAAGAGATCCAAGAACCTCCTCTTGGGGCCTGGGACAAGATGCCTTTTCTGACAACAAATGTCCTGCACTAAAAAAACAATTTTAAGAATAGTATACTTAAATATCATGGTGTCTTCTAGCTCTACTCATTTTTCTTTTTTTTAAATTATACTTTAAGTTCTAGGGTACATGTGCACAACGTGCAGGTTTGTTACGTATGTATACATGTGACATGTTGGTGTGCTGCACCCATTAACTCGTCATTTACATTAGGTATGTCTCCTAATGCTATCCCTCCCACCTCCCCCCACCCCACGACAGGTTCCGGTGTGTGATGTTCCCCTTCCTGTGTCCAAGTGTTCTCATAGTTCAATTCCCACCTATGAGTGAGAACATGTGGTGCTCATTTATCTATCAAAAAGAAAAGAAAGGCCAGGCGTGGTGGTTCACGCCTGTAATCCCAGCACTTTGGGAGGCTGAGGTGGGCGGATCACGAGGTCAGGAAATCGAGACCATCCTGGCTAACACAGTGAAACCCCGTCTGTACTAAAAATACAAAAAAATTAGCCGGGTGTGGTGGCGGGCACCTGTAGTCCCAGCTACTCGGGAGGCTGAGGTAGGACAATGGTGTGAACCCGAGATGTGGAGCTTGCAGTGAGCGGAGATTGTGCCACTGCATTCCAGCCTGGGCGACAGATCGAGACTCCATCAAAAAAAAAAAAGAAAAGAAAATGTGGGTGAATGAAAAGAAAATGTGGATGAATGATAAGGGTTTACTCTTACAGCGATTATGCTGAGTGGGTGTTCTTTTTACCTGAGTGTTTACATTTGTGTCATATAGGAAAAAATAGCAGCTTTTTTCAAAACTTAATTTCTTTTTTTTTTTTTTTTTTTTTTTTGAGACGGAGTCTCGCTCTGTCGCCCAGGCCGGACTGCGGACTGCAGTGGCGCAATCTCGGCTCACTGCAAGCTCCGCTTCCCGGGTTCACGCCATTCTCCTGCCTCAGCCTCCCGAGTAGCTGGGACTACAGGCGCCCGCCACCGCGCCCGGCTAATTTTTTGTATTTTTAGTAGAGACGGGGTTTCACCTTGTTAGCCAGGATGGTCTGGATCTCCTGACCTCATGATCCACCCGCCTCAGCCTCCCAAAGTGCTGGGATTACAGGCGTGAGCCACCGCGCCCGGCCTCAAAACTTAATTTCTATCTCAATGTTTTGACTTATCTTTTTAACATGATAATATATGTGGAAAAAAGACGAATGTTATTGGCACACACACGTTCCTGTTTAGCTAATGACAGATTAAGTTGGAAAAGATGTAATAGTTCCTTTTAAGAATGTAACTTGATGACAACTAATAACAGCAAATGCAAAAAGCTCACTATGTGGCTGCCACTGTTCTGAGCACTTTGCATATGTGAACTCCTTTCATACCAATTCTTAGTCCTGAGGTGGGTACTATTAACATTATTTTTTAAAAAACTAGGAACAGAAAGGTTAGGTAATTTCTCTCAACTTATGCAGTGTATAAATTACAAAATTGGAATTCAAACCCAGGTGGTCTGACGTCAACGTCTGTGGTTGCAATCACAATCCTATCTTTTCTTTCATCGAAAAGCAACATTTTGGTAACTGCATTAGCTATTAATAGAAGATGAAAACTCAAAAACATTCAAATTTTCTGTTTCAAATTCTACTGAGACTGAATTGCCCAACTGATTCAATACAATGTCTTAGTTTAGGGGAAAAATCATAGAATAGGCATAAAACTAATTTGTTCTGATTTTTCTCTGTTAAAGGGCAGCCTGTTTGTTTATTGTGATTATTCAAACTAAGTTTAATACAGTATTTTTTCTGTAGATGCTTTGATTTTCTAGCATTTTAAAAATTATTAGTAAATATTTTCAAAAATATAGTTGTTTTCAAATATTATGTATATACACACTCACACACTTTTTTTTTTTCTTTTTCCATTTGATGCACTGGCATAATTGTTGGAAAGCCCTAAGGATATGGAGGCTTGGTCATGAAATCATAGACTTTGATTCATGACTGAGAGTTGGTCCTTGCCTAATCTGTTCTCTTTCTTCCCAGTAAAGTTGGGCTTACAACAGGTTAATGAATAACACCCTCATCTGCTTCATCAAAACAAGTACTGGAAGCTTCCTTGAATGCTCACACCTGCTCTTGTGTCATTCCTGTTCTTCTAAAGGCAATTTCTAAGTCATCATATCAATGGTTTAAATCATCACAGAAGTAAAAATCTGAGTATGCATTTTAGAATGACACCATTGAATCATAATTTGAGGAGGGATAATAAAATATTGAGTCTTACCATCATAATTACTGGCTAAATTAATTTCAGGGAAATGATAGCATAATTCACACAATGTATTTTACCTTAGAATATTAATTGACAAAACTAATATTGATAGTGTATTAGTCTGTTTTCACACTGTCATAAAGCAATACTTGAGACTGTGTAATTTATAAAGGAAAGAGGTTTAACTGACTCACAGTTCTACACAGCTGGGGAGGCCTCAGGGAACTTACAGTCATGGCAGAAGGCAAAGGGGGAAGCAAAGACCTTTTCACTTGGTGGCAGGAGAGAGAAGTGTGAGCAGGGGAAATGTTAAATGCTTATAAAACCATCAGGTCCCGTGAGAACTCACTCACCATCATGAGAACAGCATGGGGGAAACCAGCCCCATGATTCAATCACCTCCCTCCCTCCATATATGGGGATTAGAAGTCCCTCCCTCAACATGTGGGATTCCAATCTGAGATGAGATTTGGATGGGGACACAGAGCCAAACCATATCAGATAGGTACTTCAGAATTTTTATTGAAAAGATATTTAGTACTATGGTATATTAAAAATGGCGCCAGGCTTATATAAGTTATCATCAGGAAACCATAGAGGGAAGGGCCTGGCACAAAATAAATCCTCCATAAGGGTGTGTTAGAAAATAAATAAAATGTATGGTGCTTTGAAATAGCAATCCTACTGCTAGTTCCTGTCATACCAAGGTTTAGAGATTTTGGGAAATCCACTAACAATTTGGTTTCCTAATTTATAAAACAAAGGAGACATACTAAATGATCTCCAAAGTCACCATAGATTATAATCTCACTTTCCAATAACTTTGCAGAAAATTGCTGACATTTGAGAGAAAAGGCATTGATACAACTTTCTGATTCAAGGAATGGGATAAAAACTATTCTTTATAATGTGAGAATACCAGTAATATCATTTCTATAATTTAAGGGAATTGCCAAGATCCCTCTCTCAGCAATACATTTATAATTTTTACAAGCACAAATCTATCTTTTTGGAGCTAAAATTTATAATGTTAGGGAAAAGATACTAAAATGTTTTAATAGACAGACAACTGGTACTGATACCTCAGTCACTGAGAGCTTGAATACCCAGCACGTGATGGCTTGCTTTACTTGTTGGAAAAATAATTCATACTGGATTTATTTAAAAATTACATTCAGAATATAAAGAAATAAATGAAGTCAAGGGGTAGCTTGGGAATTGTAAATTTTGGTTCTGAGCTGATAATGTTATGTACATGAATGATATTTTATAAACTCCATCAACTTTTTTGTAAATCTTTATACGATTTATTCCTAGACATCTAATTTTTGGTCAACTGTGAAGGTTATTACTTTTATATATCACACATATTAGTGGTTATTCCTGAAATATAGGAGCACAATAAATTGGTTATTGATGTTCTATCTCTTTAATATTGATTTTATAATACATTTTTAATTAAGAAGGAATATTAAAGTTTGCTGGATGATTTTTTCTTATATTTAAATTACCATGCATTTTCTTTTGTTTGCTTAGTCTTTTATTTGATAATTGAGTTAGCTATATTTATAAATATTTCTAAAGGGAAACGTCCTTGTATATAAACTGTTTCATAAGTTCCATCAATTTCTTTTCAACACACTTTTGGATCAGGACTATGGTTATTTCAGTATTGTTTCATTAATTTTCAGAAGCCATATCAGTATGTAGTTTTCTAATTGATTGTTCCTGTTTACTTTGACAGTTACTTGAATAATCCAAGTTGGGTCTCTTTTTTCTCACTTACTACTATATGGCTTTTATTGGATAATTATCATTTTATCTTGAAAATAGGATAAAATTCACTTACTTGTAGGAATTCTGTTTGGTGCCTTTTAGGTGAGAAAGTATGCAGGAAAGATTTTGGAGTAAATATGAATGACAACGTGCTCATAATGTAGACAGGAGTGTAATACTTTACTCCAGGAGTATACCGCTGTATTCTAGGAATGTATAAGCCCTATGAAAAACAATTTATCATTTTCTTGTAAAGTTTATCCTTATCCCGTATGCTGTAGCAATCTATGCCTTGCCTTAATACCCAAGAAAAATACTTCCACATGAGTATCAGGAGATAGAAGGATGTGAAAATTTACAATAGCATACTTGCAGTAAGAAAAAACTGGAAATGGTTCTACTGCTCCTTGATTAAAATAAATTGACAATGTGTGCAAATATTCTTGTTGATGGAATGTAAAAGAATGCCTCAGTGTAATATTATACTGCAGTGAAAATGAGTGTTACTTCATGCAGCAGTATGGTGCTTATTGATAATATAATGTTAATCATGCTATTCTCTTGTTTTTTCTTTGGTCCTTTATTGGTTCCTCTCCCTGCCCCCATCATCTTTGATTTGTGTGTTTTTACAACAATTTGTTTGTGAATTCAATTTGATTGTTTGGGATTCAGAGTGCAGTCCATGTAGTCTTAGCTGTCTATATTTCTGATTCTGATAAACTATCAAGACTTAACTCATTGAATAGTATTTCAACTCCAGTATTTTTCTTCTTTGGAATTCCATCTGATAAGCCATCTGATCTAGTTTCTAGGACTCTTGAGAGCATTTGTTTGTTTGTTTGTTTTAACATTTCCAAAATTTATATCGGAGTTTTGTCTTGTGTAACATCCTCTCATTAATCTTTTTCCATTATTAATTCTGCCTTTACCAATGAATATTTAACTATTATGTGATGCGTTTATTTCAATGACTTATTTTTATTTCCAACATTTTAAAAATATTTTATTTTTTGGTTCAGTTTTAGGTTCAAGGCAAAATTGAGAGGAAAGTACAGAGAATCCCTATATATCCCCCTGTTCCCACACATGTATAGCCTCTACCACTATCAACATTTTTTGTGGTCCATTTGTTACTATCCATGAATCTACAGTACCACATCATCACACAAAGTCCATAGTTTACATTAAGTTTGACTTTTGGTGTTGTACATGATACAGGTTTTGACAAGTTTATAATGACATATTCACCATTGTAGTATCACACAGAATAGCGCACTGCCCTAAAATTTCTCTGTGCTCCATCTACTCACACCTCTCTCCCTTCTAACCACAATATTTCTGTCTCCATAATTTTACTTTT
This sequence comes from Homo sapiens, assembly GCF_000001405.40. Classification (NCBI taxonomy): domain Eukaryota; kingdom Metazoa; phylum Chordata; class Mammalia; order Primates; family Hominidae; genus Homo; species Homo sapiens. Next base: position 162,576,366 of record NC_000004.12, on the reverse strand, counting down.
TTCAGAATGTCAGAGAGTTTAATTGTACAGTATGTAGCCTTTTCAAATTGGATTCTTTTACTTAGTGATATGCCTTTAAGATTGCTCTTTTTTTTTTCATGGATTGAAAGCTCATTCCTTTTAGTGCCCAATAATATTGCATTGTCTGGATATACCAAGGTATTTATCAATTCACCCGCTGGAGGACAATTTGGTTGCTTCCATGATATGGCAATTATGATTAAAATTGCTATAAACATCTATATAAAAGTTTTTGCATGAATATAAGTTTTCAACTCACTTGGGTAAATACTAAGGAATGTGATTGATGGACTGTATGGTAAGAATATGTTTAGTTTCGTAAGAAACTACCAAACTGTCTTCCAAAGTGGCAGCACCATTTTTTATTCCCATCAGGAATGAAAGAGAGTTGCTGTTGCCAGCCTTCAGTGCTATGAGTGTTTGAGATTTGGGCCATTCGAATAGGTAAGCAGTGGTATCTTGTTGTTGTCATTTTCAATTCCCTAATGAAATATGATGTTGAACATCTTTCATGTGCTTATTTTCCATCTGTATATCTTACTTGTTGAGGGGTCTGTCAGCTATTTTTGCCCATTTATTTAATTGGATTGTTTCTTTTATTATTGTTGAGCTCTGAGAATTCTTTGTATATTTTGGATAACAGTTTTTTATCAGATATGTCTTTTGCACATAGTTTCTTGCAATATGTGGTTTGTGTCTTTGGCAGAACAAAACTTTTTAATTTTAATGAAGTTCAGCTTATCAATTATTTCTTTCATGGATCATGCCTTTGGTGTCCTATCTAGAAAGTTATAAAACCCAAAGTCATCTAGATTTTCTCCTGTGTTATCTTCTAGGAGTTTTATAGTTATGAATTTTATGCTTAGGTCTAAGATCAATTTTGAGTTAATTTTTGTGAAGGGTCTGTGTCTAGCTTCATTTTTTAAAATTTGTAAGTAAATGTACAGTTGCTCCAGCAGCATTTGTTGAAAAGATTATTTTCTTCATTGTATTTCATTTGTGTCTTTGGCAAAGATCACCTAACTATACTTGAGTGGATCTATTTCTGGGTCCTTTATTCTGTTCCATTGATCTATGTGTCTATTCTTTTGCCAATACCATGCTGTTTTTATTACTGTATTTACAGTATTTTTAATCTATCACTTTTTATGGCTCCTTGCTTATTTTACTTGAACCAGGTCACACCCCACCCCAGTAATTACTTGTTTTCTTATTGATAGTATTATTCCCTTATTTCTTTGAGGATAAAAATATATTCGTCATATAGGTTTTTGAATGCCGTTTTTGGGGGGTTTTATACAAATTTAATTCATCTCAAAATTTGTATTTGTAGGCTGGCTGTCTTACTGTCACATTTCAACATATATTTGGGATTGTATTTTATAGACTAATCTTAAATGGGTATTTTTCTACTTTTTTGCCAGTTAGATCATATTTCTTAACTCTAGAGTTTTTTTTTTTTCACCTTCACCTATTTCTCCAGACTTCTGAGGCCAGAAATAATATTTTTCAATGTATGGGATCCTATCTTTGGTGACATGGGGAATATTATAGATTTTGTTATAAAGGCATAGCCCAAACTGTAGCCTATAAACTCTATCAGCTTTTCCTTGTGTAATAGCGAATTTTATATGTCAATGACTTTCTATGTGTTATAGTGTGTTTTGTGTGTCAACTTGGCTGGGCTATAGTATCCAGTTCTTTGATAAAACACCAGTCTAAATGTTGCTATGAAGATATTTTTTAGATATGATTAATGCTGAAATCAGTAGACCTTGAGTAAACCAGATAATCCTCCATAAAGCAGGTATGCCTTATTTCATCAGTTAAAGGCATTAGAAAAAAGACAGGTCCCAAGGAGAAGAAGAAATTCTAAGCCATCTCTAGACTGCCTTCAGAATGAAGACTGCAACATTCACTCTTCCTTGGGTATCCAGCCAGCAGACCTTCTCTGCCGATTTCAGACTTGTCAGCCTCCACAATAGCATGAGCCAATTTCTTCAAATAAATCTCTCTCTCTGTGTATGTATATATAGAACAAATAGGTTGATCCGTTTCTCTGAAAAAACCTAATATATCATACACGGTGATTTATATTACCTATAGCCCCTAGGGATTGTTATTTATGGTGTTTTTTTTTTCTTTTTCTTTCAGAATAAATACTTTTTTTAACTTTCTTTTTTAAAACCTTTTGTGTTTGGAGCAGAGACAGAGGTGATGATTGGGAACACATCATCTTAAGCAGGTTTCCTCTGCTTTTTATCTTTGTCAAATTTTCAGAGGCAGAATTTTCAGACCAACCTTTGGTTGCTGTTGTAGAGTTAGGTTATTGAAAAACAATAGAGTTCTTCTCTTAGTTATTTTTAACTCCTGAAATTTTCCTTCAGAATAATTATTTCTATTTTATCTAAATAACTGTGACTTAATGTAGTTATTTTTTCTATATTTCTGTCAAACTTTGCCATAAAAATTTAGCTTATGATAGACAAATAATAAATTGATTGTTAATATTTTATCTAAATTTCCACTTACATAAATCTCTTTAGAATGTTTGTGTATTATAACAATGCAAGACTACAATCTCTCAAACAAGAGAAAACATTATAAGTTAATTTTGAGATATTTACAGAGAAACATCATGTCATTTTTAATGTTCTGAGCACATTAATAACAAAATGTAACTACAACTGCCAATCAAAACAGTTTAATTTCAAAAACTGTATGTTACTTTAGATTTATAACATTCCAAAATATGAAAATATTGTCAAAACATCTTCACATTACAAATTCTGAGTCTGTTCCATTTTGCCACATAAAATTCTCAGAATATATTCATTGCACTCACTCTAGCACAGTGGCTACTGTTTGCAGTTTCCCAACTTACCATTGATTCACTGTGACATAAAGTTTGATTGGTTTGTTACGTTTATCATGTGGAATAAATTCAAGGCTACACTACCAATAATGTCACTTTCAAGCACTTGCATTCTATACACGTTCTTTAAGAGATAGCAAGAGATGGATTTATAATTCATGCCATGAAAGTTATGATGGTCCATAGATGTACCTTTAAATGTTTGAATCAAAAAGATGGAAATTATTGAAAAGCGTTTTTCCAGACCATAGACATCTTTCTACATAAACTAAGTGGAAATCATGTGAGGACTTTTGAATTTTGCCATTTTTTTTTCCTCCAATACAAGACAAGGTCAGGAGGCATACTGCTAAGCTCAGTGTTTTCAGTGACAAAGACAGATGGTCCATTGGCATTCATGTGTTGTCAAAACATGATCACTGCTGCATACATCATGGGCTATCTGCTAGTATTGATTCCAATATTTCTTTTCCAGTGTACCCCACAAATCACAAAACAATCGATGACCAAAACAAGAGGTTTTACTCTTTGAGCATGGGGATTCAGTGATAAACAGTGCAAACAGCTGCCCAGGATGTCTGTGATTTAATATATGTGCATTGCCTATATGCTGAGAGTCATACTATGGTGAACCTCAGTCCTGACCCCGTTTTCCCACTTCATCAATGTTTCCTTCTGCACTGTATTATTCACAACGTATGATAAAAGTAGCCTCTGTTTCTCCCATATGAAAAACACTCATAAGCAATAAAAAACTCTTCTGACCTGACATTCCTTTCACTCTCATCCCATTACTTCACTACCCTTTGCAATAAAATGCCCAAGGAGAACTCTCTACACTTACTATCTCCAATTATTCCTCTTCCATTATCTCCTAAACATACTCCAACAGGCTTTTCCCTCACAATTTCACCCAACCTACAGTTATCAATGTCACTGAATTTTTGATCATTGCTAAATCCAAGAATCTGTTTTCTGGCCTCATCTCATTTTACTTCTCAGCAACATTTATATCTCTTTTCTCAAAACATAGTCTTTCACTTAGCTTTGAGAACACTGTACTACAATTTTCTTTATATAAGCGTAGGAAGACTCCCCTTAGTCTAATTTTCTGTTTAGCATGCATTTTACCGGTTCATCTTTTCCTACCTCGACGACCTTATCCTGTTAAATACTCTCTATCTGGCAATGAGAGTATCTTTAGCCAGGACTACTCTCTTGATCTGAAAACTTATATAATATACAGCTGTCAGGTGCTGAAAATACAAAGATTGGGAAAGAAATGAGCTCATCGTTTAAAACACTTTATCTAGTAAGAGAAACAAGTACTTCGCCAAGTGATAATTTTTTTAAGTTTGAATTATATAAAAGTCTTAAAATAACACAATATGATACATTGAAATATAAAAAAGATAGGGTAGGAATGTTGACAGATAGAGAGGACTTCAGCATGTGGAAGGGTGCTGGCAAATAGTTCCTTTAAAATATTCTATTGAATATTGCTTTACATAGTTATAACTCAAATCAAATATCTAGACTTATGGTATCTTTGTGGATCTAATATGTATACAGTATAATTTTGCATTGCAGAGAAATATACGTTCTGAATCTCATAGAGGGCTGATAAAATATCCATATAGATATGTATTGTCCTTTTCCCTACGGCCTCTTTCTCTCTGCTTTTTTTATTACATCACAGAATAATCATATATATATGTAATATATGTATCTTATATGTTTTACATATAAATATGATATAAGATTGTTTCTACAAGCACAGGCACAAATATACTCTTTACAAATATAGTTATTACCAAGTAAAGCTATAAAAATGATGGAAGAAGAGCAATGAGCGTTAACTATTTTGTATCATTATTATTTTCTATTTCACTAATTTCAATAATTTTGTTAGCTGCATATTAAAACCAATCTTTGATCACAGGGATTGCTTTATGAAACAAACATCTCAATTTTATGGACAAACCAAGGGAACAGCTGTCACATAATCTTATTCCAGGATTTGCAATACAGCATAGCAATTATAAAGCCGACACTCTGTCTAATGTAGCTGACATGTAATCAGTTTCCACTGTTGTTTTGGCCAAAATTATGTGCATTAAAATTTTGCAGGAAAAACATCTTTATTGAGCAGAAAATTATTTTTAAATGGATTTGCATTAGGTAAAACATTTTTTCTTTTATAATGATAGTGCCATTTTTGAAAGGATACCATAGACAAGTTTTGCTTGAGGAATATTATCGGTTCCATAATTTACTACAGTTAATTCAGAAGTAAATGTAAAGTCAAAAGTTTCTATTGACAGAAAAATAAATATTAGCTTTTCAAATTTCCAAATTTAAAAATTTCTGAGTATCCATTGAGAGCCCAACAAAAACATCAAATAAAAGTCTACATAAATACTGAAAAGCTACAGTATAAAGGTCAGCACATAGTCTTTTTTATATATTTGTATTTAACATGTATATAAAACTTACCATGTGCTATATTATTATTAATTCATTTAATCTTGATCTCAATACTATGAAGGAGTTATTCTTTTTATTTTTATTTACAGATGAGAAAACTGAAGCACAGAGAGGTTAAGTAATTTGCCCAAGGTTGCACATCTAGTACATGGCAAATGTGGAGCTTGAACTTGAACTAGACATTATGATTTCACAGTCTATGCTCCTAAATAGGACTTTATGCTACCTAAGTACTATGATAAATTTGAAGAGATAGCTTATCATTTTCTCATATGATTCACAATCTTTCTACATATTAGATGTAAATAAAATGTAAAGAATGAAAGAAAAAAGAAAGAGCGTGATTAATGAAACTTGAATGACTAAAACTGGAAAAAAATACCAAAAGAAGCCATTATATAAAGAATAAAAACTTATCTCTTTATCACAAAATAAAATAACCTTATTATATTTTATAGTTTGTAACAGGAAGCTTCTTTGTCATCTGAATACACACCCACACATACATATATACATTCAAAATATTATCCAGTCATATTCTTTTTCCTATGTGTAATAGTAATCAAAATTAAATAAAATTAAATATTTCCCAGAAAGTAGAATTGTATTAAAAAAGGTTTTTATGTGCCAAAATACTAAACAGATGATAAAGTTGAAAAATATATCTTGCAAATAACCTTTTTAATCTGGCTTTTTTTCTTCAGTCTCAGGGGAAAAATCTCTTCATCTCTTCCTTTTAAAAATAAAAGGAAATTCATCCTAACAGTAATACATTTTAAAATATGTTACATTTTCAGGGTAAATTTGATTAGCAAATTTCATAGTATTGTTGGCTTTCCTTTCCTTAGTTTGAAATGTAGAAACACTTGCTTATATTTAAGAAGTAATTTGTGTTTAAAATACGCTAATTATATTTAAATAATGACATGATTATACTCATTAAAAATTTGCAAAGGCCTGAAGCTAAAGCTTTCATCCTTGGCAAAGGTTCTTATCCCATTTTATTTATTATTTTGGATTTATAAATACCCCAGTAAGCAGAAAAAATATTAGATTTAAAGTTATTTATTGGTCAAATAATTCATTTTTCCAACTGTAAATTATTCAGCATGCTGTGGCGGTTAATTTTGTGTGTCTACTATTTTGGGCAGCAGTGTGCCAGATATTTGGCCAAATATTATTTTGCATGTTTCTGTGAGATTGTTTTGGGATGTGTCTAAATCTATAGTCTGGGTAAAAGAGATGTGTCCTTCCTAACGTGGATAGTTAGGCCTCATTCAATCAGCTGAAGGCCACAGTAGAACAAAATAGCTGGCCCTCCTGAGAGTACTAGGAAATTCCTACTGCTGCCTGCCTTTGAACTGGGACATCATTGTTTCCTGCCTTTGGACTCCAGCTGAAACATTCACTTTTCCTGGGTCTCAAGCATGCTGGTCTTTGGACTGGAACAACACTATCAGCTCTTTTGGTTCACCTACTTGCTGATGTTGATCTTGGGATTTGTCAGCCTCCATAATTGCATAAGCCAATTTGTTATCATAAATCTCTTCGTATATTTGCATCCTGTTAGCTCACAGTTTTCAAATTATGCAGGAAAATTTGTCTTAATGATCTTGATTATTCTTGTTTAGTCCAAAGCAAGAGTTTTTACCTTATATCTCCTTTGAGTGTTACCAAATGTAGGACATAAGAGATTCAAGCTAGTAGATCTAGTAACCACGACCAGTTCAAGAAAATTAACCACCAGTACCAAATTAAACACAATTCTTGATTATTTGAGTTAAAAAAACCCAAACTTTTATGAGGCATATAATAATGACCACTTTCCCTATATCAGAAGTCTTTGATTTCTTATTCATTTATAAAAGAACATGTCATTCTATGAAGAGAAGGAGCCAATTAACCTATCAAGGAGTTGACATAATTTTTTTTCTTAATTCTCTGATCCCCTACAATACTATAATTTTTTAAATATTCATTTATTTAGCTGGGTACTGTGGAATGCACTTGTAGTTCCAGCTACTCAGGAACTACAGGAAGCTGAGGCAGAGAACCACTTGAGCTTGAGACTGTAGTGTGAGACTGCAGTGTGCTACAATCGCCCCAGTGAATACCTACTGTACTCTAGCCTGGACAATATAGCAAGACCTATATGTAAAAAAGAAATCCATCAATTTTGATTTTTAACTTGAGAATATTTTTTTCTGAAATAATTATATAATTTTTCTTTTACACTCAATCTTTTTTTCCTGCTAAATTATCATTGTCCTATCTAAGGATGGACTTCATCTTGTGAAAACAAAAAAACACAACAACCAGAAATAAGGATTTGGAATTAACATCCTCTCAGTCTTAAGCCTATTCAGTCTGGGAATAAAGTAAAAAGTTGTAATTTTAGAATGTTTTAGTGCTTGAAATCAGGATGCTTTCACCTGATTAAAGAAATATCCTACTTGTGTGTGCCTTTCTTAGATAATTATATGATTGATACAAAATGTCTTAATTGTTAATGGAACTAGATGTTGGTTGCTATAAATGTAATGATTAGGAAGCTAATTAGGTTGGAAGTGGACTGTGTCATTTGCATTGCTCGTATTTTGAATAAGACAAATTGGACCATTGACATTGCTTTTACTCATCTCTTTAAGTCTAAAACAAATTCCTTAGTATTTAGTTCTCTGTCTCTTCTGCTACATACCATTCTCCACCATCTTATCTCTGTGTCCAGAATAAAAAGGCTCTAACAACAAATTAGAGAGTATAACAGGTTCAAATATAAAGAAAATACACACATCCATGTGTGCACACACACAGCAAGCAGAAGAAACAATACAGAGAGAAAAGTCCACAATTACATACATAGCCTCAAAATGTAGCCCAATCACTAACACAACCCCCAAACTATGTATTCTTTTGTTGTTGTTTGTTTTCTTTATTAATTTATTAAATGTAGATTCCACAAATATTAATTGTGTACCTAATATATGCCAGGCACTGTTGTAAGCACTAGGGTTTCACAGCGATGAGGATAGATGAAAATCTTTTCCCTTGGGAATTTGGAAGTTATATTTATGTATACCAATGCTTGTTGCGTCTTTAAGGAACTTGAATTTACCTACTTTGTTCTGTTTTTAAACTCTCCTTCATTAAACTTCTGTACAGCATGTAAAAATTTCAAATACACCTTCTTGCTATAAATAAATTCTTCATTTAGTCCTTTACTCCTGTGAGGTCATTATTGCTACCACCGTATGTTTGTCTCTAAATTTATTACCTAAAACACTTTCTTCTCATTTAGTTGTATCTTTCAAATTTTATTAATTTTTATGTAGTTACTATCATGGAAACCATTGTACATTTAAAAGCCAAATAGCCTACAGTTATATATGTGCATGCATGTGTGTACATGTGTGTGTATTATATTGTATTGCTTGTATTGTTTCTTTGTTTCTTCTGTTTGATATATGTGTGCACACATAGACAGGTGTGTGTTTTCTTTATAGTTGAGCCTGTTATACTTTCTAATTTGTTGTTAGAGCCTTTTAAAATGTGGACAGAGGGATAAGATGGTGGAATTGTGTGTATATGTATATATACACATATACATATGTGTATATATACATATACACACACACACACTTAAAAGAATCATTGTCAAACAGTTCTTACTCATCACCTAGCTCAAGACAATGGATCACTGGTATGTTTTTGAAAGTCTATATAGGGCCCCTTCTCAAATCAATCTGCCTTCTTTTCTACCTCATTTGTACCCATGATCCTGTATTTTATGTTTCATCACACTTGCATGCCTTAAATGTTTTATCACATATATTATTAAAAACTTATTGTTCAGTTTTTCAGATTTGTTTTTGTTCAGTCATATTTTGCATAGCCAACTGTTTCCCACTGATCTGTGATGCCTCCTCTGAAACATCAAGTTTCAATGTATGTGTGAGTACGTATGCCAGTTTTCTATCTGCTGACTGCTTTTGCCTATTCCTACATAGACCAACATCTCTAATAAGTGCTGTAACCTGGTATGGCATTTCACCCAACTTTTTTTCTTGTTGGTATAATATTGAATCTTTCTATTCAATTCATAAACATAGCATAGCTTTACATTTATTTATATCTTTGTTAATGTCCCATAAGAAATAGCTGTACTTTTTAATAAAATGAAATGTACATCTTATTTTGATTTTTTTCTAGGTACTTTCTGTTGTATCATAATTGTTATTTTAATTACATTTTCTAACAGATTGTTCTTCAATATAGAAGTAAAATTTTATATTGTTTATTAAAATTACATCCAGAAATTTATTCATAGTCTTTTGGCTATCATTGTGTGTATTCCATGTAGATACAAATTTGTGTCTTTTATTCAAAATTTTATTTATTGCTATTATTTTAATAGTCTATCCTGACAACTTAAAATTTTAGTGCAATGTTCACTAAAACAATTCTTATATTGTTCTTGATTCTAAATGAAGCACTTTTACTATTTCTGCATTAGTAATGATAGTAACTAAATATGGTTTCTGCTACTGATAGGTAAAGTACAATAAGGACTAACATGACCATTAGATTTAACAAAGCAAAAGTAAGTGGTGTCTTTGACAAAATATTTGTGATAGAATCATTAAGGCAAAAGCTTGATCACAATGACTTTAAGAGAAATCAGGAGTAGAGAATTACAGAGTTTTGTGTATTAGTTGTGCATTTCTGCTATAACAAATTATCACAAATTTGCTAATTTGGCCTAAAGTGACACAAATGTATTCTTTTACAGTTATATGAGATCAGAAGTCCCAAAATGGTTCAGTAGTGCTATATTCCGTCTAGATATTCTAGGGGAGAATCCATTTCCTTGACTTTTCCAGCTTCTAGACTCCTCCGACAGTCCGTGGCTTGTGAATTCCTCCATCTTAAAAGCCAGCAGGCTACATTTTTAATCTCTCTCTCTCTCCCTCAATTGGTTTCTCTTTCTCACTCCCTCTTTTGTCACATCCTTAAGGGATACAAGACGGAAACATTGGAGTCAGACAAAAGGCAATGTCTGACATCTGTAGGGATGCTTGTGATTAGTTTGGGTCTACCCAGTAATCCAGGATAATCTCTGCCTCTAAGAGTCTTAACTTTTTCACATCTTCTAAGTCTTTTTGCCATTTAAGATAATAGGTACATATGTTACAAGGATTTGGATGTGGACATTTTGGGGAATGGGCATTATTTAGCATGATACGGTCTGTAGAGATAATGCTTTTTAAGAGTTTTCCTATAAATGAAGTAAAGAAATGAAGAATACATTGCCAAATTTATCAATTATCCCCTAACATATACATTCAATGAGCAAAAATAATTTCCATCTTAATGTACATGGCCTTAGCTTTCTAAAGTGGCTACTTTTGAAACTCCGTTCTCCTTTATTTATTATTTTATTTATGATTTATTTATTATTAATTCAACATGTATTTACCTGTGTTTTCACAAAGTTTCACTCTCCTAGGGGCAAAATCATAAGTATTATGAACATAAGCCCTCTCTCCCAGAGAATCCAGTTTAGGAAGACAGTCTAACAATCATATACAAAACACAGCAATGCATTCATGATGTAGAAAACAATGGGGGCTGTGGGAGCACATTTCAAGAGTAACTCATACAGCCAGGACCAGGTAGAGGTATGGAAGTTCCTCTAAGTCTCATGACACTTAAACTGACACAATAAATACAAGTAGAAGTTAGCAGACAAGCAGTGGAAAAGAGTGTGAACTGTGGTGTGGTGTGAAGAAGAAAATTCATGGAACAAAAAAAGAGAAATGTACATACCAAAGACAGACATCAATGCTTATTTGAAAACTGAGAGAAGTCCAATATGGCTACGATGTGGGAAGATAGTATACGTCAGGGGAGGGGCAGGAAAGAAAGGCAAACAGAAAGAAAGCTCATGAAAGGTATTGTGGAAACATTTTGCCCTGTTGGTTTTTTTTGACTTTTCTCTGGCTTCTTAATATTCGTAGGGAAAAGAGTGGCTTTATTTGTTTCTTTTCCTTCCTTCCTTTCTTCTTTCATTCCTTCCTTCCTTCCTTCCTTCTCCCTTCCCTTCCTTCTTCCTCCCCTCTCCTCCCCTCCCCACCCCTCCCCTCCCCTTCCCTTCCCTTCCCTTCCCTTCCTTCCTTTCAACTTTAAGTTCTGGGTTGCATGTGTAGGACGTGCAAGTTTGTTACATAGTTATACACAGGCCATGGTGGTTTGCTGCACCCATCAGCCCGTCATCTAGGTTTTAAGCCCTCCATGCATTAGATATTTGTCCTAATGCTCTCCCTTCCCTTGCCCACCACCCTTGACAGGCCCAGATGTGTTATGTTCCCCTCCCTGTGTCCATGTGTTCTCATGAGAGGCTTTATTTTAAATGCTAATCCTCCATGTGACTTCTGACTAGCCCTAAGTCCAGGAATGCCTCCAAAACATCTACTTCATGTATTACTCTTTCTGTAGAAACACTTAGTCACTCTAAGTTTCATCCAAAACAACCCTCAATGCTATTGCAGAAATTGTAGGCTGTGATGCCTGTAGCTACACACATGTTCCGTCTAGAGCAAGTATCCTTTCCTCAAGGTAGAAGCCCTGGGTCTGGGGGTTGTGGTGCAGTGATCTACCTGCCTTTCAGCCACTCAAGACCACAGAATTTACAGACAGAAATAAATTATCTCATACAAAAAAAACCAAACCTGGATTTGTCTGTCTCCATCTTTGGTTTATTGGCTCCTTTAGCATTTAGGAGCATGTACAGTCCTGTCACAGAGCAGTATCCTTTACTTGTTCTTTTCCTTTTTCTCATCCATGAAACGTTAATGTCTGTACACATTAGTCCACTTTTCTTACTCTACACACTGTTCATAGGCTTTATCTGCAGCCACTATGCTTAAAGAGAATCACTATTTAGTTGACAACACTCAAATCTATGTCTTTAATCTTGGCTCATGTCCTCTCATATTTTGCCCATTTTCGATTCATTGCTTCTGTGTTACAAATTCGCCCTTCAGCACCTGGCATAAAATGGACCCTTTAAGCCTTTCTCACTAAATATTAGCAAAATGTTAAAGCTTTGTCAGTAGAGTGCACAAGAGAGACACTGCAAGAAGAGAGCTTCTCTTCCAGGTTCCAGGGTGCTAATTTTGCACTTCCTGTCTCCTGTTGAGTGGCTGGTCAGTGGAATGAGTGTGCAAGACTTGTGGACTTGCTCTATCTCAGCTGCATTCCCAAAGCATACAGTCTACCAATAACAGTGTAGCTCTCGCTTGGATATGGTGACCCTCTTTCTGAGAGGCTAGTAATGCAAATATCACAGACTCTAGGCCACTTGCCTACAGAAGCACTCCAAGCCCATCTGTGTGCCTGTATATCAGCCCACAGGTTCCTGATTCCTGGAGGATTATTTCTCATTGCCTATTGAATACAGACCAGCTCTAACAGGATAACCCAACAAATCTCTCCCCTATCCATTGGACTACAATCACATATTCTCCAATTGAGGCTTTTCCCCTGCCTCAGGCCCTCTTTCCAAGTTTGTGGTTCCTTGGGTGTTATCCTTCAGACCCATGGTACTCTTTAGAGTTATTTTTACAACTTGGTGGTTACTCTCCTATTATGGCTTAACTTTTTTTTCTATTTAGCACTTCTGTTCAAATTAATATAGAGTTTCTGTTGCCTGAATAGACCCATACTACTGTATATCTTACATCTATCTGTCAATGGATACTCAAGTGATTTGAATTTGAATAGATTAAATTGGAAGTCAGGATTCCTATTCTATTGTTAGTATTTTCTTTTTGCATTTCCTATTATGAAAAACAGTGTGGCAGGCCAGGTATCACTAACGCAGGCCTCCATCACAACTGTTTCAGCACTGACAGAGTGGTTAAGTTAAATATTAAAAACTAAAAAAAAGCCAGTGCCCTTATACAAAGGCTGAAATGTAACAAACGCCCATCAAGAGTTTTGCTTAGGCCTTTCCTGGACCTTAAAGCATGACAAAAATAACAAAGGAATTCTTAACAGGATCCTTTTAGGATTAAACAAGTTTTCTTGGGAGTCTGAAGAAACTCTCCAGGCCTCCACAAACAAGTTTATTGGAGGTCTGAAGGAATTCCCCAAACCCCCATGATGTAGCAGGAGACAAGATGAGGGTAATCACCGCAACACCTAGACTCATTTAGATCAAGTAAACTTACTGAGGCTCCAGAAGAAGGTCTTCAGGACTCCGACCTTAGTTATAGATTAAAAGAAGTTACTCACTTGTGTCTTTAGACGAATGCACACTTACACATAGACATATAGCTTAGAAGGTATATAAGCCCTGAAACACTTTCTAATTTTGAGTTGGTCTGGCGATAATTTCCAGACCTTCTCCCTGTAACGGGTGACAGAAATAAAAACTCTCTTTCTGCCCGGTTCATCTGCATCTCGTTACTAGGCCGCGAGAAATAGCAGCCTGACTTTCGCTTGGTCCTGGAACAAAGTTTGGTACACCAGCCAGGAGGTAAGGATGGTGCTGTTTTCAGCCGCTGGCAGCCTGTGAGGAGACAGTCTTCAGCAGGATCTCCCAGCTGCCAGGTGAGGTTTCCCCACGGGACCCTCCAGAGGGCTGTTCCCTGGACAAATCTGCATGTCCCTTTCACTGCTGGGGAAGAATGGAGATCGGGAGCGGATGCGCTCAAAGGGTGAGTTAACTGGATCGTTTGCCAGAAGCCTATTGTTTTCCTATGTGGGTTTGTTAAGCCATTTGTCTGGCACTACCAAGGACGCAATACGGTACCGCCAAGGGAAGCAACAGGGCTCGCTCATACACCCGCTTTACATTTGGGTTGAGATCAGGTTTTGAGTTCGTTTTGAGTCTGTTTGCCTGAGTGCGCTCCTCCTTGTGTTTGTCTGAAATCTGTCTCCACTTGTTTGTGTGTCTCTCTTGTTCCTTTGGATACCATGTAAACTTGAAAATGGGAAGCATTGGGTCCATTCCTGCAGAGAGACCTCTGGGAAGGAGAAAGAATTTTTTAGAAGCTCAATGGTCGAAAGTCAGCTTAATTAATAAGCTAACATCCAAAATATGTATGCGTATACGTGTGTGTGTGCTTGTTTGTGTTTAAAAGGCCATCGTGGTTTTGTTTTAGTATATTTCTCTCCTAGCACCTCGTCATTTTAAGCAAAAGTTTTTTCTTCTCAGTTGACTGCATTCCGTTTTCTTCAATAATGGCTGTTACAACAGAAGCTACTCTGCGGTTTTTAAGGAAGGTGTAATTTAGACACTTAGAAATGTTTTTGTTTGGAAATTTTTTTTTAAAGTGCACCATAAAAGCAACACATGGTCTAGCCTCATAGTAATTCCCCCTTTTTGAAAACCCAGGATTCAGTGTGAGCTCTTCCCAGAGCTCAAAGATCCAGTTAAAAAATAAGAAAAGGAGGTCTTATGAACCTATAAAATGTACTTCTATTGGCATGCCTAGTATGTCTATGTATTTATGTCTTGTGTACACCATGTTTCACTACCGAAAAATATAAAAAAGTTCTAATTAATTGGCTCAAAGAAGAATAAAATTGCTTAAATACTTGAACAGAAAAAAGGAAAGACTAGTCAAATGCTTTTTCAAATTTATGTGACTTAATATCTTTAATAAATAAGCTAGCTTTAAAAATTATTGGTAAAGTAATATTAGAAGACATTTCTTCTAATATTAACTAATATTAACTAATGTTAATATTAGTAATATTAGAAATGTCTTAAGGCTTGCCAGCATACATTTTTAGTTTGCATTTATTGATTAAGCAATTTCATACTTATCTCTACCAGATACTATAAGGTATCAACATTTGGCACAAAGGCTACAAAACTATAACTCAGCCTCGAACAGAATAATCTTTGCTTGTGTAATTTTTAATAAATAAAACATTAACATTGCTTTAATGAAGGTAGCTTCATCTTGAATTATTATATAAAATATCCTAACTTCTAATCATGTGGCCTTAGGCAGTCTAGTCCACAGACATGAAGGAAGTTTCTTCTGGGAAAGGACTGTTATCATCTTTGTTTCAAAGCTAAACTATAAACTAAGTTAATGAATAACAATAGCGTGGAGGTTAAAAGCAAAAATGGAGTAGGTTAGGTCAGATCATTTTCACTGTCTCAGTTATAGTTTTGCATTGGTGGCTTCAAAACTTTAAATGATGACTATTTCAGTTTTCATAAATAATCTAGTTAAATGATTAAAATAAATAAATAAATGTAATAGGATAAATACTCATAAACAAACTTGCCATAATTTAGAATCTAAAGTTAAATTAAACAACAGATATTTCATTATTTATTTCCCAATAAAAATATATTGTAAGAAAACATTCTTTCTACATATTGTGTCCTTTTTAAAGGGGAACTAACTTTTGTCTAATTCAAAGATTATTTAAAGGTTATATATAAAACAAGGTAAAAGAAACCAGGAAAAAAGAGTGATATAAAGAAAGTTATAAAAATAAAGACAGTCTTAAAGATTATTGGTAAAATAAAAATCTTCAAAAACGTAAACATTTGGTCTAAATTATGCAGGTCAAATATTAGGTTTGCTAAATGCTTTAGGTCATAAACTACATCTTTGACTTACAAATTGTTCAATTTATTTTAGAGTGTTAAATTATAGGTAAGGCCTGGGGACATGTGAAATTAGCTATGCCCCTAGCTATGCAAAAAGGTATTACAGAAAAAAGATTTTATATAAGAAAGGATCTTGCATGGTAAAATCTTGTCCTAAGTAAAATAACAGGCTGTTTAAAAAGAGGGATGTTTAGGACAAGTGAGAAAGTCAAGGCATGTTGTAACTTGTCTGTGTAGTCATGAAGGAATTTATGAAAGGAAATTTATGCAAGAAATGTTGTATAATTGAAAGTTGATTAGGCCTCCTAAATGCTTTATAAAATGCCACTATGACTCTTAGCTGTACAACTTGCCGGCTTTCAGCTGAGCAAGGCCTGGGACACATGGAGTTAGATGCTGGAATAAGTCAGACCTTATCTGCACTTCTGTCTAGGTCCTAGGCTCCAGGCCTAGTACATAATTAAAATCTCAAATTTACCAAGGTTTTCACCAAAAGTAAAGGTTGCTAAGAGTTAACAGTGTAGCATGTATTTAAGACTATTGAAAAAAGAGTTTACATGCAAGGTACGTAAGGAAAGTAAAATATACTTTGGTTAAAAAGATTATAAGGAGGAAGGTGAATATGGATTTTTACCTAGATTAAAAGGTTAAAGGATTGTTTTAAGTTGGATAAAATAGAAATAAAGGTTTACGCAAGCTGTGGAAGGTTAATAGTAAAGGAAATTCTGTGTGTAAACATATTGGCTAAAGTTGAAGGAGTATCATCCAGTTTTTCTGTAAATTGAGCATTAAAAGCACAATGGGTTTCTCTTAGAGCACTAATCTGCTCTTTAACAAAAATTGTTAAGGGTTATAAAAGGTCTATAAAAGTCTTACCTTATGGTCAAACATTAAAATTGGGTAAATATGTCTATAAAGTTTATTAAGAATTGGGTTTAACATTAATAGTACCCTAATGTAAAGGTAAAATTTGGCTTATTTGGTATAAAAATTAAACAGGAAGCATTGTCAAATATTAAATGGTGTTTGGCTTTCTTTAGATAAATATGTCATTGGTATGTGTTCCAAATCATGTGAAACTCCTATCATTTTGATATAACTTAGTGTACATTATCAGTAATAATTATAATCAGTAATAATTTATATTAAAATTATTGTGTGCCACAGAGGTAACAGATTTCCTTTTCAATTGTGTCTTTAACTATGGCTACCCTAAAACTTTTTGTCACCCATAAATAAACAATTCCTGTCTTGTTTTGGTCCTCTTTAGAAGGTAGTTTTATAATCAACTATAAAGCTCTAACAGGTGCTCTGGAATGCAGGTTCCTAATATCTTTGGAGATTGTGAAATCGGAATACAGAAAAAATGTTCAAGATTCTTAAAGAGCTAAAATGTTCATCAGTGTCAAGCAGGATAGGAATTAAATGCATAAACTGAATTAATTTTGGCTGCTAATTCTTTGTTTTGCTTTTCAGAGTCAAGGAAACTTTTCCTTTTAGCTATTAACAGCTTTTAACAATTTGGTATACAACTATGGACAAAATTTGGAGCATATTTGTTTCTCTCTACCTGATTTGTCCAGAATTAGAAACTACTTGTGGGTATGCTTAACTTATGGCAAAACGTTTATTTGCATAAGTGCCATAAGAATCTGTTTTCATTTGTTACTGAACACAATTGGAGAAACTGCTTATTTTACCAAGGCTTTGACTGGAATGGTGTGCTCTCCTTTAAGGAATCAAACTTGACTTATGGAGCCAAGAAAGCCCTTGGAAAAACTGGCTTCTCATTTTGTGGATGCAGTCCATGTACAGGGATTCTGACCTGTGGTAAGTAAAGAATGTCACTTTCTGACAGGTGCAGAAGCCCCAGGTTTATCCTGGAACCTGAAGAGGAAAAGAAGTTTCACCTAACTCCTAGGTATTTGATGGCACAATCCATGGCTGGGCTGGGCTTTAAAAAGTCTTATCTGAGATTCCTTCTATGGAACAAAGTTCCATCAAAGCCAATTTCAAAGACCTATTTAAAAAATAATTATTCTTGCTGCACTGTATACAAATAATTAGGCCAAGTATAATAAACCAAACCAGTCCTGCCATGATTTGTCTTTTAATGAAAATGGGAAACTGGAGAGAGAAAAATAATGTTTCAAAAACTGTGGTACACCTGTTGTTAAATTCTAGTCTTGCCTAATGTTTTGCAATTTTTATTATTTTCTACAGTTTGGATTAAATTCTAATTTTTGTGGCTACAAGTCTCCAAAATAATGTTTTCAATTTTTTTCTTTTTCTTTTCCTTTTCTCTCAATTTCCTAACTGGGAGTCACTAAAACCTGAGCTGTACTTTCTTAAAGCTCTGTGAATTGAAGACTACATGTTTCAGCAGGTGCTGCCCCTAAGCCCCCGAAACAGAGAGAGCTACTAGGAACAAATCGACCTCTTTCACTCCAGCGCTGTGTTCATTGCCCCATAACAATGACACTCTCTCAGAAGGAAGTAGCCAGAAAGGTTAGGATGCCTCATCTCCCTATGATTCTCATGATAAATAAACATACAAGTATGATAGGAATCATGCACAAATTGACAGTGGCGATTGTGGCAGGCCAGTTTTCACTAACTCAGGCCTCCATTACAACTGTTTCAGTACTGACAGAGTGGTTAAGTTAAATATTAAAAACTAAAGAAAAAACCAGTGCCCTTATACAAAGGCTGAAATGTAACAAAAGCCCATCAAGAGTTTTGCCTAGGCCTTTCCTGGACCTTAAAGCATGGCAAAAATAACAAAGGAATTCTTAACAGGACCCATTTAGGATTAAACAAGTTTATTGGGAGTCTGAAGAAACGCTCCAGGCCTCCACAAACAAATTTACTGGAGGTCTGAAGGAACTCCTCAAACCCCCATGATTTAGCAGGAGACAAGATAAAGGAAATCACCCCAGCACCTAGACACATTTAGATTAAGTAAACTTACTGAGGCCCCAGAAAAAGGTCTTCAGGACTCTGACCTTAGTTATAGATTAAAAGAAGTTAATCACTTATGTCTTTAGATGAATGCACACTTACACATAGACATATAGCTTAGAAGGTATATAAGCCCTGAAACACTTTCTAATTTTGAGTTGGTCTGGCGATAATTTCCAGACCTTCTCCCTGTAACGGGTTACAGAAATAAAAGCTTTCTTTCTCCTCAGTTCATCTGCATCTTGTTATTGGGCCATGAGAAATAGCAGCCCGATCCTCAGTTTGGTCCAGGAACAATAGTACCCATGTCCAGAAACCCAAGCATTATAAAATGCTATAGCTACCTCTGATTTTGTATTCAAATGGTCATTAGGCTACATCTATTCTATATAATAAGAAACTTCATTCCTTCTATCTACTCTATCATACCAGTCAGAGAACATGATTCTCTTGTACTTTCTTCACTTATAAACAGAAACAATAATTTAACAGTTTTAATATTATATATTACAGGACCTATATATCAGTTATATTGCAGATTATACCAGGGTGCAAGGAATTTTACACTTCTTTAGTTCTTAAAACAAATCTAAGTTTCTGATTCCCAGTCATCCTATATTGGTAAAATAATTCAGTCTCATCAATACTGATGACTCTTGCACCATCATCATCATTTTAAAAAAAAATGGCTTTAAGTGTTTGACGTATTACAACATATTTTAAAAAGGGTTCTGTCATATTTGATTTATATCAGATTCTATAGACATGTGCATTTTGTAGACCAAAATAATCCTTTAAAGTCTGGGAGCTGCTTGACTTTTATGTCAGACACAAGAATGAGCTCTTTTCCTGAAACATTCAAGATGAGAGCATTACTTATAAGGTGCTCAAGCCACATCCTATAACAATCCTTCATTTAGGGCATGTATGAAAATGTGTCCTTCAGCTGGGTGTGGTGGCTCAAGCCTGCAATCCCAGCACTTTGGGAGGCCGAGGCTGGCAGATCACCTGAAGTCATGAGTTTGAGACCAGCCTGGCCAATATGGTGAAACCCCATCTCTACTAAAAACACAAAAATTAGGTGGGTGTGGTGGCGGGTGCCTGTAATCCCAGCTACTTGGGAGGCTGAGACAGGAGAATTGCTTGAACCCAGGAGGTGGAGGTTGCAGTGAGCCGAGATCGTGCCACTGCACTCCAGCCTGGGCAACAAAGAGTGAAACTCTGTAAAACAAAAAACAAAAAACAAAAAAAAATAAAGAAAATGTGTTCTTCATCTCTCAACTCTAAAACATTCCCATTTTCCTTTTGAACCTGTTCCAAAAATTCTGCTCTTTCCTGTTTTGTTAATATATCTTACTACTACTGGATATAGCTATTGTTTGCCTCATAAACTCTAAGCACATAACTCAATCTTTTTATCAGCTACAATAATTTAACAAGTCCTTCTCACTTAGTCTAGAAATTCACTAACAAACTAAAGCACTTGCATACTTAGCAAGTGCTGCTTTTTGCTTCATAACATAAAAGCTACCAAAGCAAAAAAAAAAAAAAAGAAAGAAACAATGCTTTGGACAATTCTAGAGATGGAGTAAGAAAATAAATATAGTAGTGGAAACAGAAAATAAGCTATTATGTTAATATTTTTTCTGACATAGATATGAGGCATCATTGTTATTGTTTTTATTGACATGGATACCTGCAATGACTCATATTCTTTGGCTGCCTCTCTGTACTTAATAACGTCACATATGGTTTGGCTGTGTCCCCACTCAAATCTCATCTTGAATTGTAGTTCCCATAATTCCCATGTGTCATGGGAGGGGCCCGGTGGGAGGTAGTTGAATCATGGAGGTGGGTCTTATGCTGTTCTTGTGATAGTGAATAAGTCAAGTCTCGTGACTTGACTTATCTATGACATTTATTAATCTATATTATTTAGAGAAGTGTTCTTACAGCTGCTATAGTTTTTTTATGGGTAAAATGGATACCTTTTAATATAACAAACTGGACAGTGTATTAGTCTGTTCCCATGCTGCTAATAAAGACCTACCCAAAACTGGGTAATTTAGAAGTGAAAGAGGTTTAATTGACTTACAGTTCCACCTGTCTGAGGAGGCCTCACAATCATGGTAGAAAGCGAATGAGGAGCAAAGTCACGTCTTAGGTGGCAGCAGGCAGGAGAGCTTGTGTGGAGGAACTCCTTTTTATAAAACCATCACTTCTCATCAGACTTGACTTATTCACTATCACGAGAACAGCATGAGAAAGACCCATCTCCATGATTCAACTACCTCCCACCGAGTCCTTCCCATGACACATGGGAATTATGGGAACTACAATTCAAGATGAGATTTGAGTGGGGACACAGCCAAACCATATCAGAGAGTGTCTCCATATATTTGTTACCTCACATATTAGCAGCAAACAATGGTCATTTGGAGGCATTGATGCAGGGAAAAACATATCGACGTTGGGCTATGAAGCACCATAAATTAATCTGTCCCAATTAAGGGTGGCTCAGTTATATTTCTTCGGTTGTAAGCAAGAGAAAACAGGCCAAGTGTAGTGGCTCACACCAGTAATCCCAGTGCTTTGGGAGGCCACGGCAGGTGAATCACTCGAGGTTTCAGCATAGTGAAACCCCATCTCTACTAAAAATGCAAAAATTACCTAGGTGTGGTGGAGCATGCCTATAATCCCAGTTACTCAAGAGGCTGAGGCAGCAGAATAGCTTGAACCCAGAAGGCAGAGGTTACGGTAAGCCAAAATAGTGCCACTGTACTGTAGCCTAGTTGACAGAGTGAGACTTTGTCTAAAAAGAAAGGAGAAAACAACTTCATCCTAATTCAGAAAACATTTTTTTAATTTTAGGTAATACAGTGCTGTCATAAGTAAGCATTCCACTTTATAGAGTATGCATTCTTTGTGATATTTAACTTATTCCACAGTAGCAGTTAGAATTATCAGTTAATTCAAAGGATCCAGGGGCCACAGTTGACAGGTTCACGAACTGCTCTGATAATTCATATTCGGGGGAGTTACTATTTTCTCATCTCAATTTTTAAACTACAATCTCACTTCTGTTTGTTTACTCATTTTAGTGTGGGTAAATAATTCCAAATACTCAAATACAGAGATCTGTTGCTGCCTCCACCTCCACCCCAATGAAACCAATTTTTAGATCAATTGATGCTCTTTGAATACAAGCTGAAGAAACTGACTCTAATCAAATTGAGGACAAATGAACTTTTGATAGGATTCTATGTATTTTACAAACCCCAAATAATAACTGAACAAATTGGCTCATGAAAAATAGAAATTGGCCGGGCATGGTGGCTCACACCTGTAATCCTAGCACTTTGGGAGGCCAAGGTGGGCGGATCACGAGGTCAGGAGATCGAGACCATCCTGGCTAACACGGTGAAACTCCATCTCTACTAAAAAAAATACAAAAAATTAGCAGGGCGTGGTGGTGGGCGCCTGTAGTCCCAGCTACTCGGGAGGCTGAGGCAGGAGAGTGGCGTAAACCCAGGAGGCGGACCTTGCAGTGAGCCAAGATTGTGCCACTGCACACCAGCCTGGGTGACAGAGGGAGACTTCGTCTCGAAAATAAAAAAAGGAAAATAAAAATAGAAATTATAGCAGCTCTGATGTTGTAGGTCAGGAAGCAGCAAACGTTTTCATTATAGGGCCAAGTAGTAAATATTTTATGCTTGTGGACTATTTGATTTTTGTTGCAACTATGCACTTCTGCTATTGTAGCGTGAAACCCACTAAACACAATGCGTAAATAAGTGAGCATGGCTATGTTCCATTAAAACTTTTTGTGAGGCTGGGCACGGTGGCTCACGCCTGTAATCCCAGCACTTTGGGAGGCTGAGGCAGGCAGGTCATGAGGTCTGGAGATTGAGACCATCCTGGCTAACAAGGTGAAACCCCGTCTCTACTAAAAATACAGAAATTAGCCGGGCGTGGTGGCGGACGCCTGTAGTCCCAGCTACTCGGGAGGCTGAGACAGGAGAATGGCATGAACCCAGGGAGGCGGAGCTTGCAGTGAGCCAAGATCGAGCCACTGCATGCCAGCCTGGGCGACAGAGCGAGACTCCGTCTCATAAAAAAAAAAATACTTTTTATAAAAACAGAAAGCTGATTTTTATTTTCTGAAACCTGGTGTACATAGTAGCAAGTAACAAATGCACTCTTAATTTTCTCTGTGCCCCTCTGTCCAAGATTTTAAATCCCAGAGGAGAGACTCATTGGAATTAGTAGCTTGCCACTTTCTTGGATTTAAAAAATACTTTAATTGACTGTCCCTTCAACAAGGAGTATATTGAGGAAGGGGTAATGGAAATATTGGGATCATGTTTCTAATAGAAGAGGAAAGGAATACTGAGGCTATATTCCTATTATATATTTCCCTGGTAGAGAGTGCAAATTATTTGCAATTCTTAATGAAATAAGTGATGTAAAAGACTAAACACTGCATTGGTAGAATGTAGTTGAAAATCAAAATGCTGATTTTAAACTATTCATGAATGAGTCTGATGATCCATGACATGCTGCCATTTATGATGTGCCTGAGAATTAAATAGATGAGAGGCTGGAATTATTTATATCATGAAAAAACTTTACCAATGGCCCAACATGTAAACTTCAACAGAAGTTTATTGTTTTCTATCCATAATCAACACAGTAAGTTTTATCATCAATCTAATAAAGAACCTCTTAAATATTTAGGTTATGCTTAGTTGCATTTTAAGTAGGAAATTTTATATACCAGAGATATCTATAGATTCAGTAGCGGTGTTCAAGTCTTACAAAACCGCTACTCTAGTAGGTCTACATGGAATACTTTGCATTGCTTTTAGGCAGTCAAGCATGAAAACTTTAAAAATGTAATGATTGTCTAGAGACAAAGGTTGTATGATATAGCATCCCTCTATTGAATTCAATCAGAATTTTGCATTATCTAAAAAAGCTGTATCCTATTTAAAGAAGTTTTAATTACAAGGTCTGATCTAGATTGAAAATAGATACATGGAACCATTAAGAGACCTAATTATCTATAGCTGACAATTGGTCCAGATGTCAGATGCATCACACCAATAGTTTTATATACAATTTTTTTTTTTAGTTTAAGAGATTGATTTAACTATTTCAAGCAATTTGGGCACAAACAATATTTTCAGATGCCATATAAATGTGTAGTGTGTAGTGTCAAATTGTTCAAATTGTGGGTAATTTGAAACATGTCTTTACAGAGGAACAAGTACAATGTAGACAGATTTTGCTACATTATTACTGGTCAAAAAACTAACTCACAGATATTTTCCTTCCTATTTGAATTCTATTTATGGAGAACAGGAGTTCTCATAGGTTGAAAAATGGTAAAAAAAAATGTAGTGTAATTAACACTAAAAATCTTACTACTAGTAATTACTTATACTACTACTATATTCTAGTCCTGCCATTCATTGAGAAGACTAATTTTTAAAATCTTGAACTAGAATGAATCTACACGTATATGTCTTACATGATGTCTTTAAGATTTCATTAATCTAGTGTTTCTATGTATATGTGTTTGGAGAGTAGAAGTAGTTAGTAATTTCTATAATTATTGTCTGACTTTTAGAAGTATAAATGTTCAATACTAATTTCAATCAGTACAGAGAAAATGCTATTACATCCTTCCATCAGTACTTGTTTTAATCATTAATTTGTTAATTAATCACATTAAGCTCCTATGCCAAAATTTGAATTAGACATGATCTCCACTCTCAAGAAACATTTAGCTTCATGAGAGACCAAAATTGTGAACTTGTACATTGTTTATTTTATCTATGATTCCATAAGCAAAGTATATTTCATCTACTTATGCTGTATTATTTTTGTGTAGTAATATATTGGTCATCTTAAGAAAATTGTCTTTATGATTGAGCCAATTATATTCCATCTCAATATTATTGCTATTAATTAATTCCATATA
The DNA here is from genome assembly GCF_000001405.40 of Homo sapiens. Taxonomy (NCBI): domain Eukaryota; kingdom Metazoa; phylum Chordata; class Mammalia; order Primates; family Hominidae; genus Homo; species Homo sapiens. Next base: position 162,551,397 of record NC_000004.12, on the reverse strand, counting down.
TTTAATTTGCTTATGGCAATTCTTACTATTCTAGTTATTTATTGTCATGTCAAAAATTACCCTAAAATTCAGCAGTGCAAAACAAACATTTGGTATGTTCACAAATATAATGGGGCAGTCTAAAATTCAGGTGACAGAAGGGAAATGGTTGTATCTGTTTGTAGGGTCCAGCCCCACAGGGTTGGTGGGTTTTCTCCCTGTGTGCAGAGACGAGTGAGTGTAGAAATAAAGACGCAAGACAAAGAGATGAAAGAAAAGACAGCTGGGTCCCGGGGGACCACTACCACACAGAGACCGGTAGTGTCCCCGAATGCTGGGCTGTGCTGATATTTATTGGATATAAGACAAAGGGGCAGGGTAAGGAGTGTGGGCCATCTCCAGTGATAGGTAAGGTAACGTGGATCACGTGTCCACTGGACAGGGGGCCCTCTCCTGCCTGGCAGCTGAGGCAGAGAGAGAGAAGAGAGAGAGAGAGACAGCTTATGCCATTATTTCTGCTTATCAGAGACTTTTAGTACTTTCACTAATTTGCTACTGCTATCTAAAAGGCAGAGTCAGGTGTACAGGATGGAACATGAAGGCAGACTAGGAGCATGACCAGTGAAGCACAGCATCACAGGGAGACGGTTAGGCCTCTGGATAACTGCGGACGGGCCTGACTGATGTCAGGCCCTCCACAAGAGGTGGAGGAGTAGAGTCTTCTCTAAACTCCCCTGGGGAAAGGGAGACTCCCTTTCCCAGTCCGCTAAGTAGCGGGTGTTTTTCCTTGACGCTGACTCTACCGCTTGACCATGGTCCTCCTAGCAACGGGTGTCTTCCCAGATGCTGGCGTTACCACTAGACCAAGGAGCCTTTTGGTGGCCCTGTCCAGGCATAACAGAAGGCTCACACTCTTGTCTTCTGGTCACTTCTCACTATGTCCCCTCAGCTCCTGTCTCTGTATGGCCTGGTTGTTCCTAGGTTATGATTGTAGAGTGAGGATTATTATAATATTGAAATAAAGAGTAATTGCTACAAACTAATGATTAATGATATTCATATATAATCATATGTATGATCTATATCTAGTGTAACTATTCTTATTTTATATATTTTATTATACTGGAACAGCTCGTGCCCTCGGTCTCTTGCCTCGGCACCTGGGTGGCTTGCCACCCACATCTATTCAATGATGCTTGGGGACTCAACTAACAAATTAAAAGCTTAAGTTGATTCTACACGTGGGGGCTGAACTTATCTAAGGCTTTTCACTATCAGGAGTGGTAACTGATAGTGAAAAGCCAGGGGGCTGGTACCTTATCTTGGCCTTCTCCCAATAACTACAGTACAGGTAGTGTTACAATTAGTCTGAATTTTCCTACTACCAGGTAATTAGGTTCCAATGGTAAGCGTTCCAAGAAACAGAACCTGGCAGAAATTGTACTTTTTAACCTAGTCTTGTAAGTTGTGCCATACTATTTCTGCCATGTTACGTTTAATTGAAGCAGTTATAAGGACCCAACCAGTTTCACGAGAAGAATAAATATCTCTACCTCTTGATGGAGCAATGGCAAGTTTCTGGAAGAACATATTACATTCTCTCTCTCTTTCTCTCTCTCTCTCTCTCTCTCTATATATATATATATAGATATATATATATGTATATACATATTATATTATCTCTATATATGTGTGTATGTATATCCATATCCTGTGTGTGTGTGTATATATATATATATATATATAGAGAGAGAGAGAGAGAGAGAGAGAGAGAATACGCATATGTAGAGAGAGAGAAAGAGTGAAAGAGAGAGAAAAAGAGAGAAGGGGGGTTATAATATGTTATTAATTTAAATGAATCCACTGAAGTGGATGGTAGTGTCTGCTCATTTGAGGTGGTGGGGGCATTCCTCACCAATCCTTCAGTTTGGGTCTTTATTTGTGTCACTTCAGTAGTTTTAATCCAAGTTCCATGGCCCTGCCAATGCCATGGAACTGGGGTGGAACCACGTGGTTCTGTCTCTGCCTTGGTCCCACGCCAGCCAGAAGTTTCAGCCCATTTCACAGACAGAGCCACAGCAGCCCAACATAGGTCTTGGGATGGGTTTTTTCAAGCTTGGATCAGAAAGGCAGCTGAGGTGAGATAAGGCAGCTTCAGTCCCTGGAAGGCCAGGCACTTGCCAGTATCCTGCAATTTAAAAAACAATCTGATGTAAAAATGGGCAAAACACAAGAATAGGCAGCTTATAGAAAAGGAAATAATAATTATTTCAAATGTTTGCAAAAATTCTTAACCTCAGTCTTTAAAAGATGTATGTAAATAAAAATGTTAACCCTAAGCTAGTTTTAAAATTTATCATATAGGCAAAGATCAAATATGTTAATAGTATGCTGATTCAGATAGAGTATGAAGAAGAGCTGCTTTCTCCTTTTTGGTGGGTCTCTATGTTTGCAACTTTTCTCTTTATTATTGCCACTGAAGTTACCCAGCTGACAAGTGAGAGAGAAGAGACAGCAGAAACCCAAATCTTCTAGAATCAAAGATTTTATTTGTCCCCAACTTACAAAGTTTTCCAAAAGGTGTGACATTCCCTATAAAATATAGCTTTCTGTATATTTTATTCTGATGTGATTGACAAATTATAAAACTATCTCTGAACTTTACTCTTTTTGAACATTGGATATTTATTATTCCATCTTCTTGTATTTACCCTTAACTGAAAAATTAAAACCTTTAATATTTATTCTCAGTTGCACATTTTTACTCAACAGTTTCTTATTAATATATACTGTAAATATTTAGTTCTTTTACCTTATTACCATTTCTTTACCAACATCCAAAGGTTACTGACCACAACCTTGTAAGCCAAAATCCAACTGCAAAATATTGTGATATTTTTTGTTTGTTATTTGGTTAATTTTACAACTATTTAATTAATATATTTGTTTTCAAATAGAAAACCTAACATCTAATTTTAAGTTCTATAATTTTATTTCTTCAGAATCTTCTCTGTAATAACCACAAAGTGAGAATTCTTAAGCATATTTCATAGAAGTGAAGGACAGAGTGTGAAAAAATTTCAGAATAAGTAAGTTTAAGTATTAATACATATATATTATTACTATATATTATATATTATTATGTAATGATTTATATATTTTATACTGTAATATATAAATATATCCATAGATTTGTTTATTTTATTTATATTTAAGACATTATCTTAAGTAGATTTATCTGCTTCTATCTTAAAACTTAACTCCCTTTTTCAAATAAGCTTTATAAAATGGACATTTAGTTACTTGGCTGGGTGTGGTGGCAGGCGCCTGGGGTCCCAGCTACTCAGGAGGCCGAGGCAGGAGAATGGTGTGAACCCGGGAGGCGGAACTTGCAGTGAGCCGAGATCGCACCACTGCACTCCAGCCTGGGTGAAAGAGCGAGACTCCGTCTCAAAAAAAAAAAAAAAAAAAAAAAAAAAAAAAAAAAGAAGGCATTTAGTTAATGCTCAAGTTTCTATCAAAAATATATTTTGAAAGTTGTTATTTTTACATCATGACATTTAGATAGCTAAAACGAGATTAACTGTATTAAATAACACCACAATTAAAAATTTATAGCAATGTTGTTACTGAATAAAGAGAAAGAAGTTTTCATTTTAGAAAATGTAGAAAATCTTAAGAATAATAAGAAAAAATCCTACCATCCAGAAATAACCATCATTGATATATTGGTACAAATAATTTCTTCTGTTCATTTAAAAATACATATAAATCTGGATAAGATCAGAAATATAATTATTTCATACTCAATAATTATATCTGTATTTGAGTTTAAGCATGAATATTTCCCAGATATTGCCAAACTTAGAGCCAAAAGTAGAACTTATTAAAAAGTGCAAGAAATTTATATGCTTAAAACTTTTTCCATATGATAGGAATATATAAATATATTTAGAGAATATCTAAATATATAATACAAAAAATGCCCCTTGATAATACTAAATTTTTTATTTTCCTCACCACAGTTGTCTTAAACATCAACATTTTCTTAAAGAGAAAAATAGAGGCAATTGCTTTTAGCATTTGTAGCTTAATTGACATTCTGGTAAGCATCTAGATCTCCAAATAAACACAATCAGAAATGACAAAGGGGACATTACTCCTGACCCAACATAAATCCAAAAACCTCTAAGAGACTACCACAAACACTTCTAGGTACACACATTAGAAATCCTAGAAGAAATGGATACATTTCTGGAAACATACAACCTTTCAAGTTTGAACCAGGAAGAAACTGAATTCCTGAACAGACCAATAATGAGTTCTGAAATTGAATCTGTGATTAAAAGCCTACCAACCAGAAAAAGCCCAGAATCAGTCAGATTCATAGCTGAATTTTACCAGGTGTATAAAGAAGATCTGGTACCATTCCTATTGAAACTATTCTTAAAAAATTGAGGAGGAGGGACTCTTCCTTAACTTGTTCCATGAGGCCAGCATAATCCTGATACCAAAACCTTGCAGAGACAACTCTAGAAAAGAAAACTAAGGCCAATATCCTTGATAAACATTGTTGCAAAAATCCTTAACAAAATACTTGCAAGTCAAATCCAATGGCACATCAAAAAGCTAATCCACTACAATCAAGTAGGCTTTATCCCTAAGATGCAAGGTTGGTTCAATATATGAAAATCAATAAATATGATTCACCACATAAACAGAACTAAAAACAAACAACACATGACCATCTCAATAAATGTAGAAAGGCTTTCAATAAAGTTTGACATACCTTCATGTTTAAAACCCTCAACAAACTAGGCATTGAGGAAACAAACTTCAAAATAGTAAGAGCCATCTATGAAAAACCCATAGTCAATATCAAAATGAATTGGCAAAAGTGGGAAACATTCCCCTTGAAAACCAGGACAAGGATGCCCTCTCTCACCACTCTTATTCAACTAGTACTGGAATTGCTAGCCAGAGCAACCAGGCAAGCAAAAGAAATAAAATACATCAAAGAGGAAGAGACAAAGTCAAGCTATCCCTGTTTGCAGACAATATGGTTCTATACCTAGAAAACCCATAGTCTTGACCCAAAAGCTCTTTGATCTGATAAACAACTTCAGCAAAGTTTCAGGATACAAAATCAGTGTACAAAAGTCAGTATCATTCTTAGACACAAACAACATCCAAGCTGAGAGCCAAACCAAGAACAAAATCTCATTCACAACAGTCGTAAAAAGAATAAAATAACTAGGCATACAGCTAACCAGGGAGGTGAAAGATCTCTACAATGAGAATTACAAAACAATGCTCTAATAAATCACATGACATAAACAAATGGAAAAACATTCCATGCTCATGGATAGAAAGAATCAATGTAGTTAAAATGGCCATATTTCCCAAAGTAATTTATAGGTTTAGTGTTCCTATCAAACTACTAATGACATTCTTTATAGAATTAGAAAAAAGCTATTTTAAAATTCACATGGAACCAAAGAAAAGCCTGAATAGCCAAGGCAATCTTAAGCAATAAGAACAAAGCTGGAGGCATTACATAACCTGACTTCAAACTATACTACAAGGCTACAGTAACCAAAACAGCATGGCACTGCTGCAAAAACAGACACATAGACCAATGGAACATAATAGAGAGCCCAGAAATAATGGACACACCTACAACCATCTCATCTTTGACAAAATCAACAAAAACAAGCAATGGGGAAAAGACTCCCTATTCAAAAATGGTGCTGGGATAACTGGTTTGCCATATGCAGATTGAAACTGGACCCCTAAAGTCAACTCGAGATGTATTAAAGACGGAGAAAATGCAAATCCTAAAACTATAAAAATCCTGCATTATAACCTAGGAAATTCCATTCTGGACATAATTTCAATAATGATTTCATGATTAAGATACCAAAAGCAATTCTAATAAAAACAAAAGTGGATAAATGGAATCTAATTAAACAAAAGAACTTCTTCACAGCAAAAGAAACAATCAACAGAGTAAACAAACAATGGGAAAAACATTTTGCAAACTATGGATCCAACAGAGGTCTAATATCTAGAGTCTATAAGGAATTTAACTTTACAAGCACAAAACAACCCTATAAAAAGGTAGGCAAAGAACACGAGCAGATACCTTTTAAAAGAAGACGTATATGCTTCCAACAAGCACATGAAAAAATGCTCAACACTGCTGTTAGGAATGTAAATTAGTTCAGCCATTATGGAAAGCAGTTTGGTGATTTCTCAATAAACTTAAAAGAGAATTACCATTTGACACAGCAATCCCATTATTAGGTATATATCCAAAGAAATATAAATCATTGCACCATAAAGACACATGCACCTGTGTGTTTATTTCAGCACTATTCATAATAGCATAGACATGAAATCAACTTAAATGCCTATCAAAAGTAGACTGGATAAAGAAAATATGGTACATATACACCATAGAATACCATGCAGCTATGAAAAGAATGAAATCTTGTCCATTGCAGCAATGTGGTTGGAGCTGGAGGCCATTATCCTAAGTCAACTAACACATGAACAGAAAACTAAATACCACATGTTCTCATTTATAAATGGGAGCTAAACATTGAGTACTATGGACACAAAGAAGGGAACAACAAAAAATAGGGCCTACTTGAGGGTGGAGAGTGGGAGGAGGATGCAGATTAAAAAGCTACTTAGTAAAAGGAAAACTACAAAACACCACTGGAAGAAATCACAGATGACACAAACAAATGGAAACACTTCCCATGCTCATGGATTGGTAGAATCAATATTGTGAAAATGACCATACTGCCAAAAGCAATCTACAAATTCCATGCAGTTCCCATCAAAATACCACCATCATTCTTCACAGCACTAGAAAAAAACAATCCTAAAATTCATATGGAACCAAAAAGAGTTTACATGCCAATGCAAGTCTAAGCAAAAGGAATAAATTGGGAGGCATCATATTAACTGACTTCAAACTGTGCTACAAGGCTATAGTCACCAAAACAGCATGGTACTGGCATAAAAATAGGCACATAGACCAATGGAATTGAATAGAAAACCCAGAAATAAACCCAAATACTTACAGCCAACTGATGTTTGACAAAGCAAACAAAACATAAAGTGGGGAAAGGACAACCTGTTCAAAACATGGTGCTGGGATAATTAAGCCACATGTAGAAGAATGAAACTGGATCCTCATCTCTTACTTTACACAAAAATCAACTTAATGGATCAATGACTTAAATCTAAGACCTGAAATCATAAAATTTCTAGAAGATAACGTCAGAAAAACCCTTCTAGACATTGGCTTAGGCAAAGACTTCATGACCAAGAACCCAAAAGCAAAGGCAACAAAAACAAAGATAAATAAATGACAATTAAATTTAAAAACTTCTGCACAGCTAAAGAAATAATCAGCAGAGTAAACAGACAACCCAGAGAGTGGGAGAAAATCTTCACAATCTACAAATCGATAAAGGACTAATATCCAGAATCTACAAGGAAGTCAAACAAATCAGCAGGAAAAAAAATCCCATCAAAAAGTGGGCCAAGGAGATGAACAGACAATTCTCATAAAAGATATAAAAATGGCCAATGAACATATGAAAAAATGCTGAATATCACTAATTATCAGGGAAATGCAAATCAAACCAACAATGCAATACCACCTTACTCCTGCAAGAATAGCCATAATTTAAAAGTCAAAAAATAATAGATGTTGGCATGGATACAGTGAAAAGGGAAAACTTTTACACTGCTGGTGGGAAAGTAAACTAGTACAACCACTATGGAAAACTGTGGATTTAACTATTCAAACAATACAAATTGTATGTAGAAAAGTTGAATTATCTCTCCATTCTTCTCCTCCATATTATTTTCCCCCAAAGTACCAAACTTTATCAGGTAGTTGTGCAACTTTGAACAATTATCTCTGTGTTTAAATAAACATATTGAAAAGTGTGTATTACATATAAAGTTTTACTTATTGCTTTTTAATAGGAAATTTACTCCACAACTTATTTATTCATTTAATATTGCATTACCAATATGTCATCATGTTCTTTCTTTCTCTGTCTTTGCATGTGAGGTATATATGTATATGAATTCATGTAATTGTTTGTGATTGATTACAAACTATTTGAGGCATGAAATTATGACCTTATTAGAGAAAAGTTAGGTTGGCATGACAACCATATACCGTTTGAAATTGCAGGTTGTTTGGATCCAAATGTATAAACTTTATGGTTACTTCTTATATATTACACATATATATACACACACATATATATACACACACATACATACATATATATGTATCTCCACACACAAACACACACATTTTATATATATACACATATTATACCTATAATTTCAAATGTGTGTATTTTAAACACTATCATCACTATTATTTTAACAGCTGTAAAGTAGAAGATATATAAATATACTTTGCTAACTAATGATAATATTTAAACCACATAAACTCTCCTTCTCTTTTCAAAATATCTTAATATGTATATAACAACCATTTCTTAGAATTATATCATTGGGAATAAAGAATCCAGAACAGAAAAGGGAAATCTTAGTGAACACTAATTTTTTTGGGCAATATTTATGCTTTCTTACAAAAGCTCCAGTACTATTGCCATGGAAATGTGTATGAGTGTTTTTAGGGTAACTGTGAAAGAAAAACTAATGGGTTCTAATTTCAAACATTAAAATTGTGTAATTATTTTAAGTTTTTAAAATACTTTCTCATAATCTAATGATAACGCTAAAAGCTTTATGCTTTTTTTCATAAGTGACTGTAAATCTCTTTTAGTGCTGGAAGCAAAAATTAAAATGTAAATTATCTGCTATATTAAGTATTTTAATTACAATGAAAGAATGGAAACAGCTCTATTTCAATAAGTAGATTATGTTAAAAATGATAATGAACCTTTTGATAATGTGATTGTTAGTATATCAGGATCAGGAGAGAATTGAAGGAAGATGTACTGAGACTTATGATGTGCCAGACACTGTACTTTGAGTTTTGAATACATTGTCTAATCTAGACACAATAACAACCTTTTAGAAAGGAGCAATGCAGATGAACATCTATATTCATAAATAATGCACTCCTAAGAACTGCTTGGAAAATGAATATGAAAAGAGTCACTTTTTACTTACATAGTAAAAGTGTACCCAATTCTGAATATGAATAAAATATAAGATTAAATAAGATTTGCTTAACTCTTGTTATTATAAAGGCATAAATGGTAATTTAAATAATAAATATTTATTATATATCTAATATTTATGATGCAAATTAGTTTCTAAATTTATTTTTCTTTAACATTATATATTTTATAATTGGATTTGTGAATTTTTTTCTTCTCTTAAATGTCACAGCAAAGATCAGAGGAATTATATATTATGTTGTATTTTTATCTATAGGGAAATCTGACTTCTAGAATGAGCAATCAGAAACACTGGATCAAAGGAAATGAGTTAATGAAAATCCTCAGCTTGCAATACCATTTAATAAATAGAACTTTGCTATCAGGAAGAGGAACTTGGTAGTAGTAGATTGAGAATGGGAGGAGTCTGAGGATAATATAATATCATCATGTGGTCATAATTATTGAAAAAATATTGTTGTTTGAATGGTCCTCTTTATGACAAAACCACAGATAAATTGTATCAGTATCAAGAGCTATATAGACCAACCCATGTCATTTTACATTTGTATAATAGCAATTATTTAATGTGAATGTGATCTTTATTTTTTATCACTATCCATCATCTTCATACACAATTATCATAGCAAAATTGTACTATTTTAAATGTCTTATGTTCCTTCTACATGTGAGCATACTTTATACCTACTTACACACACAAAAGAAACCTGTCCCAATGAGAGCAAATATGTTTTTGTTTAGATAGTGTTTTTATATCTAATCATTTCTATCTTAAAAAAATAGTACTAGTGATTCAGGAAGACTTTCATTTCAATGTTTCCCTCTGTGTCACAAGAGCAAGAATCAGTAAAGTAACTACATAATCACTGCCCTGCATAAAAATATGAGAAATGTTTGAATTCATGTAATTGTTTGTGATTGATTACAAACTATTTGGGACATGAAATTATGACCTTATTAGAGAAAAGATAGGTTGGCATGACCACCATATACTGTTTGAAATTGCAGGTTGTTTGGATCCAAATGTATAAGCTTTATGGTTACTTCTTATATATTACTTTGACTTCTCGGCAAATGACATCCTTGAAGATTAGATGAATGAAGTATCCAGACCAAAGTAATACACTTTTCAATGGCTAGAGCCATGATTTGAACTTAAGGGATGGTGAATTCCAGTATTATAAGCTTTCTAGTATAACATCTTGTCTTTTACTTAAATTTCAATATAAAATTAATCTTCCTTTTTATATTGCTCTAGGTGCAATATAGGTGGTGATAACTGTGGTGGTGATAACTGTGAAGGTAGAGAGCATTCCTATCTCTTCCTGAGACTCCAAAAAGGTAGGGCCAAAACTCATCGTTGTTGGCTTTTGTCTTGTTGCTTTGTTTATTTTGTTTTGTTTTTTATTCTTTAGGAGTGTTTGCCTAGAGGATCAAAAAGAAGAACTTGCTATGGTTTGGATCTGAGTCCTCACCCAAATCTTATGTTCAATTGTAAATTTCCAGTGATGGAAGTGGGGCCTGGTGTGAGGTGATTAGATCACAGGAGAGAGTTTCTCATGAATGGCTTAACATCATCCCTCTTGGTACTGTTCTTGTGATAATTAGTGAGTTCTCAGGAGATCTGGTTATTTAAAATTGTGTAGGACAGGCCAGGTGTGGTGGCTCATGCTGTAATCCCAGCACTTTGGGAGGCCGAGGCAGGCGGATTACAAGGTCAGGAGATCGAGAACATCCTGGCTAACACGGTGAAACCCCGTCTCTACTAAAAATACAAAAATATTAGCCGGGCATGGTGGCAGGCACCTGTAGTCCCAGCTACTCTAGAAGCTGAGGCAGGAGAATGGCGTGAACCCGGGTGGCGGAGCTTGCAATGAGCCGAGATCATGCTACTGCACTCCAGCCTGGGCAACAGAGCGAGACTCCATCTCAAAAAAAAAAAAAAAAGTGTGTAGCACAGCTCTCCCTTTTCTCTCTCTTTCTCCTGCTCCTGTGATGTAAGATGCCTTGCTCTTCTTTTGCCTTCTGCCATGATGGGAAGCTTCCTGAGGCTTCCCCAGAAGCAGATGCTGCCATGCTCCCTGTACAGCCTGCAGAACCATTAGCCAATTAAACCTCTTTCATTATAAATTACCCATTCTCAAGTATTTCTTTATAGCCATGCAAGAATGGACTAATACAGAACCTATGGAATTGGAATGTATTGGAGACATAGTGAGAAGAAGGAGTGTGAGAAAATGTTTTTCAACTCTGGGGCTCACTACTAAATTGTCACACATGAACTTATTCTAATTACATAAGACTTTAAAAATTGAACTAATGGGTAGAATTGTGACTGGTCACAGACTGAGCTGTATTGGGTGCTCAAATATGTCACAAATCCAAATAGCACTGCAAAGTCTTTGAACATGCAGTTGAAATTGAACCCATAGCCCACAGATGCTTAACACAAAACTATCAACATTCTCCCTGGGATATAGATAGGACTCAGAATCTAAAAATGCAATAATCAAAATTCCCAAAGCAAACTAAAGTTACTCAACATCCATATAAGCATGAAAGTCTCAACCAAGAGGAAAAATGAAATCAAAAGACACCAAAGATGAGATGACATGGATGTTGAAATCATCTGACAAGGACTTTAATGTAGGTATTATAAAAGTGTTTTAAAATACTCTTGCAATGGCCAGGCATGGTGGCTCATGCCTGTAATCCCAGCACGTTGGGAGGCCAAGGTGGGCGGATCACGAGGTCAGGAAATCGAGACCATCCTGGCTAACATGGTGAAACCCCGTCTCTACTAAAAATAAAAAAAAAGAAATTAGCTGGGCGTGGTGACGGGTGTTTGTAGTCCCAGCTACTTGGGAGGCTGAGGCAGGAGAATGGCATGAACCCAGGAGGTGGTGCTTGAGTGAGCCAAGATCGCACCACTGCACTCCAGCCTGGGCAACAGAGCGAGACTCGGTCTCAAAAAAAAAAAAAGTACTCTTGAAACAAGTATTAAAACAAAGTATCAGAAAAAAGTATAAAATAAAGAAAAAAACAAATGAGCATTTTAGAACAGACACACACAATGACTTACAGAAAAATATTTAAAAGAATAATAACTGAAAACTTCCCAAGTTTGTCAAAAGACATAAGCTAACAAATTCAAAAGGCTGAGCAAATCTTAAACGGATATATCCAAAGAATTCTATGACTGGACACATTGCTTAAAATTGATCAGAACTAAAGAAAAAAAATCTCCACAGCAACCAGAAACAACAACAAAAAAGACTTCTCAGAGGAGTACAGTACAGATTGCTCATCAGAGGCCATGAAGGTTAGAAGAAGTGGCAAAGCATTTTTGTTGTTGTAAGAAAATTACTATATGTTAGTCCAAACTGCATCATTTTGTAAGCTCTCCCCACCACCATTTTGCAGACCTTGGTCAAGGTGAAACATTCCCTGGGGGTTTGGGCCGTGAGATCCTGCCCAACCACCTGACTTTCTTATCATACCCTGCCAGGCAAAGGACCAACTGAAGGAACATCCCTGTGATATCCTGCTGGGCAAAGGTCCAAGGAACATCCTATCACATCCCACCGAAAAAAGGGCCAAACTGCCTGATCATATGAACTTCTTATAAATATCCTCCTAGGCAGCAAGCCATACTGCTCAGACCCCTCCCACCCATACCTGTAAGTAACCCAGCCTGTAAGTGGTGGTGGGCTCTGGCATTAAGCTGGTACCCCACCTCTGCATGTTTTTGCAATATACCTGCATTTGCTGTAGAGACACCACTCTCTCTCGCTCTGTGTTTTTCTTTAACCCTCATTTTCCCTTCAAAACCTAACATTTTAGTGCTGAAATCCAGGACAGGGATTGGGTTCTAAACAGGCAAGTCTTCTCTTGCAACCTGGAAAGCAGCAAGCAGCAAAAACTAGACCCAGAACTGCTTTCAGATCCTGAGTGGACTTTCTGTTCCCAGCCCCGAACCCCGTATTCTCTCTTCTTCTCTGGCCCTGGGCTAACCTCCAGATCCTGATCAAACTCTCCATCCTCTTTTTCCTTCCTTCCCCTTTCTGGGCAGCTCTGGCAAGGATCAATCCCATTGCTGGACATATCATCCAACACTGGTCTCTAATTACTAGGTGAGTCTCCCTTTTCCTCCTTTCCAGATTTCTCTGATATTTCTGCCGGTTCACCAGAAAATCCCGGAGCTGTGTGAGAGGTCTCCAAGGTCACCAGGTGACCGTGTTCTGCCTTCTAAAGGGATGACCTCAGCACACTCGCCACTTCAGCCGCTCCAACCTCCAGGGCACAGTGAAGAGCTGAGGGGACACCCTGGCTCTCCTCCTCCTCTCTCCTCTGGGCAGGAATCGGGGTACTCACTCCCCTCTGGAGTACTCACTCACCTCCAGGGTACTCACTCCCCTCCTCTATATTTTTCACCCTCCTGGCCACCAGTATGGGGCAAGGCTCCTCAAAACCTCCTGGAAACATCACTCTCACATGTCTCAACCAAAACCCCCAAGCCCAGGGTTTGGCAGACTCCATTTAAACTGAATGCCTTACTTTCCTCTGTAATATGGCCTAGCCCAGTGTAAACTGACCAATAATAATCAATGGCCAAAAAACAGAACATTCAACTTCCAAATTCAATGCAATCTAGAAAACTTCCTTCAACTCAATGGTAAATGATCTGAGGTGCCTTGCTTATCTCCATTCACAGCTCTCTGTCTCTCTCTCTCTGCCAGTCCTGTTTACCTTTTCAAGTCCTCCTCCTCAATGTAAAACTCACAAAAATGCCTCCTCTGGACAAGCCTTCCTCCACTAATTTCATCACAGCCAACAAAACCCCTTCCTCAGTCCCCCTCCCAACACCATGCCCTCCTCCTACTCCATCTCTGGCTCCATCACCCACTTAATGTCGCACTCTGGCCCTCCTTCCTTTTTCACTGCATACCAGGTCTCACGCCCCATCCTCTTCCACCAAAAACCAGGCATACCCACAAAGGCCCTCCAAAGTCCTCCCCTGTGAGAGGTCACAGGGGGCCAAAGGCATAATTCCAGTTAATGTTCCTTTCTCCCTAGCTGACCTCTCCTGGCTCCTTTTCCACGGATCCCACCTCCTTCCTTAATTTTTTTTTTTTTTTTTTTTTTTTTTTTTTTTGAGAGGGAGTCTTGCTCTGTCATCCAGGCTGGAGTGACACAATCTCGGCTCACTGCAACCTTTGCCTCCTGAGTTCAAGTGATTCCAGCCACCTGAGTAGCTGGGATCACAGGCACCCGCAACCACTCACAGAAAATTTTTGTATTTTAGTAGAAACAGGGTTTCACTATGTAGGTCAAGCTGGTCTCGAACTCCTGACCTCAAATGATCCACCCGCCTCAGCCTCCCAAAGTGCTGGGATTACAGGCATGAGCCTGGCCCGTGTCACTCAACCTTATAACCTTACCTGGCACGACATATATGTCATCCTCTCCTCCACACTCACCCTGGAGGACAGGGAACGCATCTGGACAGCTGCCCAGGCCCATGCAGACACGCTCCACCAACAAGATGCTGCCCATAACCCAACAGAGACCCTGGTTGTCACCCAAACTGACCCCAATTGGGATTATCAGGCAACTTCTGCAGACAAACAGAAACAAGGCCACATGATAGCATGCCTTCTACCTGGCATGGATAAAGCCACCCCTGGCCTTTTTCTCTCCCACGTTTCAGAGGCCATAACAAAATACAGCACCTTAAGCTTTAATACCAATAAGGGCAGAATCTACTTCCATTTACACCTCATTTCCCAGTCAGCCCCTGACAATCAAAAGAAACTTAAAAAACTGGAAGATGGCCCTCAAACCTCCCAAAGAAACTTAATTAAAGTGGCCTTTAAGGTCTTTAAAAAATAGAGAAATAAGGCCTGGCATGGTGGCTCACGTCTGTTATCCTAGCACTCTGGGAGGCTGAGGCAGGTAGATCACCTGAGGTCAGGAGTTTGAGATCAGTCTGGCCAACATAGCTACCCTCCTCCCTATAAACACCTCCAACTCTGAGCTCTCTCACTCCTGCCTGGACCTCTCAGACTCCCTCTCCTTTCTCTTCCAACACATTTCGGAAGCCCGTTTGTGGGAAACACCCACATGATTCATTAACGGAAGCTCTTTTTGGAAACAACTCTGATCCTCAGATGACATAGCAGTCCCAGGTGACACCTTGATTTCAGCCTTATGAGACTCTGAGCAATGAACTTGGTTGAGCAGTACTCGGACTTCTAAACTACAGAAACTGTAAGACAATAAACAGCTGTTGTTTTAAGCCAATAATTTTTTGATGATTCCCACAGAGCAATGGAAAACTAACATACTTCTCTTCCATTTTACAGAAAATATTTTTTTTTGTTATTTCTTTAAATGTTTGCTAGGTTGACAATGAAAACTTCTGAACATGGAGATTTCTTTTATGAAAAAATGTATTACAAATTAAATTTATTTAATAATTAGGGAAGTACTCATGCTATTTCACCTTAGGTGGGTTTTCTTTTAGCTTGTCCTTTCATAGTAGTTAGTCCATTTTCTAAGATTTTAAAATATGTGTCCTCTTATTATTCTTCAAATGTCTATCAAGGCTATAGTGATATATACCTTTTTAAATTTCTGACACTGGCCATTTGTATTTTGTAGAAATAACATAGTTAAGATAACATTAATCCCATATGAACATCTCTCTTATTGTTTATTTAGTTATTTACATTTAATGCTATTATTTATATATTTGAGCTTTGGCCATTATTTGTTTTCTATTTTTCCCTCTCCTTTTTGTCACTCCCTTTCTATTCCATATATTCCTTGGGCTATTTGAACATTTTTAGGATTCCATTTTAATTTATCTACTGTGATTTTTGACTATATGTCATTGTATGTACATATATTTCTAGTGGTTGTTTTAGGTATTACAAATACCACTTAACGTCTTCAGCTGTATTACAAAAACTTCTTACCATAAAGATCCCATTACTCTTTCTCCTCTATGCTATAGTTACCTTATCTATCAAATGTGCATACACTGAAACCCCCATCTGACAGGGTTATATGTTTTGGCCATCATCCCTCAATCATGTTTTAAAGAACCCAAGCATAAAATAGGCAATTATGTTTACCCAAATAATTGTTATTTCTGTTGCTCTTTATTAATTTCTGACCTTTAAAATTGTCTTCTGGTATGATTTACCTTTCTCTGAGGGTTCTTTATTAGCAATTCTTTTTAAGCAGGTCTGACAACTAAAAATTCTTAATTTTTCTTTATTTGGGCTTGTCTGTTTTGCTTTCATTTCTGAAAGATATTTTTCCTGGATCTAGAATTCTAGATTGATAATGTTAGGTTTTGATTATTGACAGATGCAGGTTCTATAGTTAGAGAACTGAGATCCTGAACTCTTCAAGGCTACCTGCCATTTCCCGACGTGTAACCCTGCCAGAACAAGACAGTTTGCTTCTTCAAGCCCAAAAAAAGAACTTCTGTCTCTCCGTACACACTCTCTGACCAAGATTAGATCTCACCTGATTGTCATGTCCACCCAAAACAATCTCCATTTTTTAACGCAAAATCAACTTATTAGGCATTTTAATTACAAAGGCAAGTTTCCTTCTGTCATGTAAGATAACATAATCATGTAAGTGACATCAAATACTATCCACCAGCCCTGTATATACCTAAAGAGAAGGAATTATAGAGAATGTGTATAGAAGTGGGTTGAAATGTTGAGACCATCTTATAATTCTGCCCACCATAAAGAGCAACTATTTACCAATTTATTTATAAACCAACAATTCCACTCCTGGATATTTATTCTAGAGAAATAAGATTTATCTGCATACAAAAACCTGTTTATGATTGTTGATAGCAACTTTCTCATTAATATACCAAAACTGAAAATGACTTAAAGTTCTTCAGCGAGTGGATAAACAATACGTAATCATCTATTCAACGTGATAACACTCAACAATAAAAAAAGAACAAACTATGGATAAGTGCAATAACTTGGAGAAATTTCAAAGATGTTACACTTGGTGATAGAAGCCAGTCTTAATGAGTTATATACTATATAAATCCATTAACTGTATATGACATTCTTCAAAGACAAACCTGCTGTGACAGAGAGCAGGTCAGTGTTGCCAACATTATGGGTGGATAGATGTTATTATAGGGAAATAACATGAGGAATTTGGAAGAAATTATGGATGCATACTGTATCCTGATTGTGGAAGTGGTTACATGAATCTAAAATTGTGGACTGTTGGAACTGTCTGCAAAAAATAAGACAAAGGAAAACATTTTGATGTATAATAATTTAAAAATAAAAATAACACACCTTTAGAAAACAACTGCTTAGTGATTAAAAAAAAAAAAAAATTATCCGTAGAGCCATACATTATAAAACAAGATTTTCTGAGCTCATCCTGTTCCTTTTTCTTGTTCCAGACTTGAAGTCAGCATTTTCTCCAAGAAAGCTTGCTTTGTTTTAGAAGCAAATGGTATTTCAGTCTGGCTGCTACAGACAATCACTGATACTGGATATGTCATTGTTTCTAGACCTTTGATGTTGTCAGAGCTAGAAGAGCTTTTTTGTCTTTAATACGAAATAATTATTTTTTGAGATTTGATACATTGAGCTTAAATTGATACTCCCAGTTTAAATTCTAGTCTACTTAGTATTTACAAAGTTCTTCAGCTCACATCTATTATTCCTTTTTTTCCCCACAAAGAATCATGGTTCTCAAGGACAAAAGGGAAGATGAAGTTAAAGTAAGACTTTTTTTCTCATTATTCTACATTACACATAGAACATTCTCAGAATGTCAATACAGCATTCACCCATTTGATTTAAGAAAATATTTTAAAGAATATTTTGGATATACTTTTTCTGTTTTTTTAACTGCATCAACATTTGAGAAGATAATAGATATTATATAATTTCCACTCTCCTTTTTGTTCCTAATTTATTCTACTCTACATTTAAATATATATTTAAGAGATAACTACTATATCTCAATATTTCCCCATAATTTTAATTCTAAAATACTCATTCTCTAGAAGAATTCTGGGGAATATATTCCTGGAAAAATTTCATTTTGATGATAGGGTATCTGTAGTGTTTATACTTGAAAAGCAGGTTAAGAGGAATAAAAATCTTTGACCAATTGTTCTTTTGTATTATAAAAATGTTCATAGTGTTATTCTTATTCAGCTTTTGAAAGTTAATGACAATTGGATTCTCTTATCTCTACTAGCCCTTTCATTTACCTGTCTTCATGACAGTTGTTTTCTTTTCCAGTAACATCCATAATTTATTAGGATGTTTTGCTAGGGGTGGCAAATATCTGAGTCTCATGCCACCAAATATGTTACTGGTGGAAGGTATCTGAGCTATCAGCAGTGAGTCCATATGGGTCTGCAGCAACCTCAGTTCTTGCCGCCTCAGAAGAAAGAATTTGACTGAGGGGCATAAGACAGAAAAAGAGACTGAGGCAAGTTTCAGAGCAGAAGTTGAAGTTTATTTTAAAAGGGTTTACAACAGGAAAGAAAGGAAAGTATGCTTGGAAGAGACCCAAGGGGGCAACCTGAAGAACAAGTGCAGTGTTGAACTTTGATCCTAGGACTTTAGAGGCTTGTGTCTTTCCTAGGATTCTTTCCTTAGGGTGAGCTGCGTGCATGAGTGCCTTCCTTATGTTTGGGAAGTGAGCATGCACAGTGTGTTCAGGAATTTGTATCCATGCCTATCTGAGGGTTTCTTCCCTTTCTCGATGATGTGCCCCCCAGGAGGTCGTACTTCACCATTTTGTCTCTTTTTGTGTGTGTGTGAGACGGAGTCTTACTCTGTCACCCAGGCTGGAGTGCAATGGCGCGATAATGTGCATGTCCAGGAAGTTGCTTCTCCCTGGCATCTGTGGTCAATTAATATTTTAGTGCAACAGGTGTGGACCATCAAAAAATGGCCACTCCCTGGCGCTGGCTGCCAGTTTATCATTTGTAGAGAGAAAATCTGATAATTGCCAAACCATCGCCCGACATTCCTAGTGGATGAGGGAGAGCCCTCTCCTGCCCCCACTCATGCCTGTCTAACTACCTGTAACAGTTTCTTGTTAGGCATTATAGGTAAGTTTTTCCAAGAATGAATCGAAGTTTTTCAGGAATGTGGCGCATTTCTTCATTCAACATAGAATTTCAAATTTTATTTAATGTTGTTTTAATATGCTTTCTAAAGTTATAGTTATGATTACTTGCAATTTCTTTTTTGCTCAGATATTTCTACTATGGGTTAGTTGCATCTACTTTGCTTCTGTTCTATATTTTTATCTAATTCTTTTTTGTCATTTTTTTACATATTAAAACTTTCTTGTTGTAACTTCTCTTCATGCATAAATTGTATGTGTATTTGTTCTTATGTTCTCTCTGATTTAGACTTCTGTCCTTTTTAAATATATGAACATTGTATAAAATTTGGGTTTATTTATTTCCGTTTCTCATTTGTATGCAAAAGCATTTTCCTGAACTTTTAGATGGGAGACATGATGAGATTGTTTCCTAATTTTATAACTCCAGAGGTTTTTCATCTGTAAAGTGTTAAATATACATGGCTTGGTTTTTCAGACTTTGGCTCTCTTCCCTCCCACATTTTATCTGGACTTTCTTTTTCTCTTTATCTTCATTGTCCCTGTCCTTTTCCCCTCAGAGTCTATTTTTAACGTTTTTTGTTTGTTTGTTTATGTTTTTGTTTTTTGTTTTTTTCAGAATGGGCTGTCCTGAAAGTGTAATGTAGCTAGTTAGTTTTGAGGGCTCATGAGCTCAAATTATTAATATTTTATCTCTTTTAAACCTTATCCCAGTTCTTTGCACTTACCCATTGGAGTATGTTAACCCTTTACCTTTGTACTCACTGTTCTCAAACCAGCTCTTTCTGATTTCGAGTGAATAGCTAATAGTTATTCTGGTGATTCTAGGTCCGTTTGATATTCCATTACTTCCCCCTACTTCCTCATGTACAAATACTGATTCTATGTAGGTTTTGTAGTTGATAGTTTATCCCTTCCCACTCAGATATTGAGTTACATGAGAATATTTTCCTCCTAACTATTAAATTCATTTTCCATGACTTTTTAGTTTCATTGTCCTGTTTTTTTTTTCTCTCTTAGCTGTTCTGTTTAATTTTATGGGAAAAATATAAAAAATTTCAAGAACTGTGCTGCCACAATTGCTTTCTTACCAAAATCCTAATTCCAAGAAGTTTTTTTTTAAAGTCCTCCATCTCTGTTCTTGATGTTCCCGTAGTACAAAACAGCACTTACCTCAGAGTCACTATTTTATCTTTTCCATGTCTATACATTATATATTATTAATTTGTTGAGTGACACCTAAAACCCAAGTACTCTTTCTAAGTGCTAGCAGAACAAAGAAGTAAATTGTGATACCTATCTTTGCTCTCAGATTGAGGAAATATGAGGTAGATACATAAAGAAATATTTTTCATGTGATATGATAAATGCACACAGGTTCTTTTTACTTTGCCTAATTAACTCCTCTTTCTTCAAGGCTTGTTTCAGAAACCAATTTTCCTCTGAAAATGTCTTTGCAACCCTTTCTTCCAGACCTCATTACACCATCCTAAAAGGAACACTTTATAGTTAGGCCTCTATTCACATTTTTTTTTCTATCCATACTATTTTTTCACCCTTAGAATTTGTTTTTTTAAAGGCAGATTTAAAAATTTTTTCTGCATCTCTATCACAACAAAATGTGTGTGTTGATAAATATCTACTGGATAAATGATTTAATAGATAAAGTTATATTAAAAATCAGAAAAGAATAAATAATTTTATCCTGAAAAGAAAATGTAACAAGAAAGTAACATTTGATCTGGACCTTGAAATCTTGAAATAATCAATAGGCATTTGGCAAGGGGTGAAATTTCGTTATAATCATGATCTTTCTCCAGAAGTAGATGTTTTATTTCTAAGAATCTTCTCTACTCACTACTGCCCAAGCAAGTTAAATAAATGTCTTAAAGCAACGCTTTTTAAGTAAAGCTATGAATATGTTCTTGCTATAAATGCATTCTTGGTAAGAGTCATTTGTGAGAATCTGCGGTTGATTGCGTTATCAGAATAATGTCACTATGAGCAGCTACAGTCGTTTTATAAAATATTCCTTTTAAGCCTCTCAATTTTCAGAATTGCTTTTGGTTTTTAAAGGCTAAGATCATTTTTCCCCAAAATGGCTCAAAGCCATTATATTTTTTCTTTATAATATCTCTAAATTGCTGCTCTTCTTCTTTCAGCCTTTACTCTCTGTTGGCCAGTGCCTCCTCATTTTTTCTCTCTAAATTAAACATAAAAATTATTTTTAAAATTTTGTGCTTCAACCTAGGATTTTTAGGGCAGTGGACCTATTCTGCATGATAGTATAATGGTGGATACATTTGTCCAAACCCGTAGAATATACAACACCAAGAGGAAACCCTAAACTAGGGACTCTGGTTATAATGACATGTCAATGTGGAATAATCACTTGTAACAAATGAACCACTCTTGGGGGTGAGGTGTTCATAGCTGGGGGAAGGGAGTGTGTGGGAAGTCTCTGTTCCTTCTGCTCTATTAACCTAAAACTGCTCTAAAATATAAAGCCTATTTTAAAAGTTGTGCACTTTATATTTTCATATGTTGCATCATGTTCTGGCCAAGATCACCTCTATATCAACCTTTTTTTTTAATACTCAAAAGCTTCTTAAGTACATGTTTTATCTTATAACATGTTAATTTCTGATTCAGTATATATTTAATTGTTTATTTTACTCAGAGCCAAGTCGTAACTTTTGAGTATTGAAAAGCCTATGATAATTAATTTAGAATGGATTTATAAACTTATGGCATTACAATTCTATTATCTTTTAATATATTTTTTAAGAATCAAATATGAAGTCCTTTTCAACTATATTCACATCATCACTACTTAATCTCACTCCTAATCCACACCCGTATTACGTATTGATTTACATATACACTCTTTTTTTTTTTATTTAGACGGAGTCTCGCTCCGTCGCCCAGGCTGGAGTGCAGTGGCTCGATCTCGGCTCACTGCAAGCTCCGCCTCCCGGATTCACGCCATTATCCTGCCTCAGCCTCCCGAGTAGCTGGG
Organism: Homo sapiens; assembly: GCF_000001405.40. Lineage (NCBI taxonomy): Eukaryota > Metazoa > Chordata > Mammalia > Primates > Hominidae > Homo > Homo sapiens. Next base: position 162,529,056 of record NC_000004.12, on the reverse strand, counting down.
ACTACAGGTGCCCGCCACCGTGCCCGGATAATGTTTTTGTATTTTTAGTAGAGAAAGGGTTTCACCGTGTTAGCCAGGATGGTCTCGATCTCCTGACCTCGTGATCCGCCCGCCTCGGCCTCCCAAAGTTCTGGGATTACAGGCGTGAGCCACTGCGCCCGGCCCATATACACTCTTTTATATAGTCAGAAGCCAGAAATATTGGTAAAAGTTTTTATATTACTCATCAAACTTGGGCATGAAATACTGAGAATGTTGGTATAGTATATCCTGCCAAGAGCTGGAGGTTTCCACTCTGATTTATACATAATCATTGAAACTACATAAGCATTTTTTATGTATGTCAGTACGTATACTTTCTGACAGTTTTCATAACAATCACGGGATTCTTTTTGTCTTCTGAAAGTTAAATTTTTGATAAAGTATACGAGAGAGAAAAGTCCATATTATTTTTAAAATATATGTTTACCTAAAGATTTATAAACTTAAATGTAAATCAAATAACAGTTACAATGATAATAATTTATTTTATAATTTATGAAAACTATGGCATTTAAAAGGCACATAAATTATATTAGGTAAATAGTATCACTATTTTGTCTTTGTTTTTCTTGCCAGTGATATAATTAAAATTCATAAAGTTTAAGTGTACAGCTCCAGATGATGTAACTAGTAAACAGTGATAAAAGTTTTGGCCTCAGGGCTAGTTCATTACAGGGATCTTTCTGTGATAACATGCTAGATGTACATATAATACTCAGTGTAATGGAATCAATGAAGCTACTCAAACACATAAATCCAGGCCCCAAATTGCTAAAATGAAGTAAGACTTGCTTCATTTTCTCTAAGTCATTCAAAATTAGTCACATGAAATGTTCTGCAAAAGCAAATAGAGAAAACTAATGTTTATATTAGAAAAATATTTTATACTTTTATCACCCAGCACTTCACAATGTGATGTAATCACAAAACATTTATGTGTGTGTGAGTCTCTCAAACCAGTACCCCAAGTAGGTAGAATTCCCTAGAAAACACTGCAAAAGATCAGTCATCTATACCTTCTACTGAATAATCCCTCATCTTGAGTTTCTGTCTATTAATATGGCTTCTATAGTGTTCACCAACACATTCCTCTTTTAGGAACTGTAGTTAAAAATAATACCTCAATGACTCTTAAAAAACTTACTATATTTTAATTTTAGATTATATGTTTTTATTGATATATAATAATTGTATATATTTTTGAGGTATATGTGATTTTTGATACATGAATACAATGTGTAATGATCAAATCAGCTTAATTGAGACAACCCTTACCTCAAACATTTGTCTTTTCTTTGTGTTAGGAACATTCTTAACACAATTTCTCTCCTCTAGCTATTTTGAAATAGCCATTAAAAAATGAAATCCTGTCATTTCCAGTAACGTGGAAAGAACTGCAGGTTATTATGTTGAATGGAATAAGCTAGGCACAGAAAAACAAATATTACATATGTTCTCACTTATATAAGGGAGCTGAAAAAGTGGATCTCATGGAGGTGGAGAGTGGAATGGTGGTTACCAGAGGCTGGGAAGGGTAGATTACATGTTTGCTTTCAGAAATATCTATGCTGTTAGGTACCCTCAAGCCTTAATATAATTGTGCCATTTTTTAATCATTAGCAATTCCTTTTTAAGTTAATTAAGTTATGTTGTTACATTATTTTGAGTTGTTAGTTAAATGACTCTAATGCCACTTGGGGATAATATAAAATGCTACAGGAAGGCATTTCAAGACGAAAACTGCTTCTAAGAAGTAAAACAAGAGATCACTTTTAAGCTACATTTGATTGCCAGCTCTGAATTTGCTAAGTTAAATTTCATATAGCTTTATAATGTAGAGTAATTAGAGTGTCTAAAGAAAGCAAACACAGCACCTTCAGAATTAATGAGAACATATCAGTATATATCTTCATCTTAATCTTGCAAAGGAAGGCTTTTAAAAAAGCCATTAACAATAGCTGTTTGTGAGACACTGCTATTTTCAATAGAATAAAAAGGCTTACAGGATTAATAAGGCAATTACATTATCAGTGGTTATGCTGCTTTCTTTGAGTTCCTTGAATTATTTACACTATGAACCTGGAGCAAATTCCTTTTTGGAATTTTCTGACTTCCTAGAGAATTAATGGAGCATCAGCTTGAGACAAGATAAGTTACTCAACAACACGTATTTCTTAAGCAGCTAATATATCCAACACCTGCATTCAATATCATGGAGGAATATAAAAGGCATCCTAACTCCCAAGAGGGCAGAGGTATAAATTTGGAATTTAATATACTCCTTTTAATAGCATGAGATCTATTATCTACTAAAATATAAAAAAATGATGAGACACATATGAGAACATTTAAAACAGATCATTTGGAATTTACTCCTTAACAATTTTAAGATTTATAGAATAATTTCTGTAAGATTATGAGATCATAGGATGTGTGCAAGACCTTCAATATCAAAGAGTCCATTCTGCACACTGAAATTTTTTCTACCACATTCCCAAGCTGTCATCCAGTCTGTGACTGAAAATCAATAGCAAGAAATGATGAAAGTAGCTTGTTCCATATATGTAACAGACACAGGATATGTCCAACTGCCTGAAAGTTCATTCTTTTCTTTTACATCATAGAATTTTCTCAAATTATGGATTAATATTTTTGAGGTGAAATTATCTTATTAAAATATTTATCCTTTACACAGAAAATTGCATAAAGATGGGGGCATTTTTGGTTTAGCTCACACTTTATTTGTGGTACCTAGTACAGTGTCTGATACATAGTAGGCATTCAATAAACAACCTATGAAATGATACCTATTTACCTGTAAATTCACCAGTTAATCTTAATTTTATCCGTGAAAACTTTCAAAACAATTTTATCTTATTGTGGTAGCAATTTAAATGGAGTTATCTGTAGAGAGACAACTGATTTTCTTCTGTGTTATTTAGGGTCAGGTTTGCCTTTGACAGAAAACATAAAGTAATAGTAGCATTAAAAAAGACAGCAGTTAATTTGTCTCATGAGGAAGTCTGAAGGTAAACAATCACAGCCTGACTCCTTGTGACTCATGATGTTGTCCAGTATCTCTTAGAAGTTATCACAATAGCTACTCCTCCTAAATTCCGCTTATAGACAAATTTATTTTTACCAGCTTCAGTCACTCTGTTTACATTCTGGCCACCAGTAAAAATAAATAAATAAATAACATTTTCCCAGGAGTTTTATACACTACTTCTTTATGCACTTCATTGGTCATATGCACAAAACTAGATCAGAAATATTCCATAGTAGCCATTGTTTCCTCCTTCGGTAGTATTATATTCCTCAAGTTTTAGCCAGGAACATGGATAACAAAGATAAAGATTACATTTTAAATATAATTGATTATATTTCAATTATATATTGAATATATAATCCAACATATATTGATTATATTCAATAATATATTGAAATTATTCAGTAATATATTGAAATATCTATATTGAACAATTTCAATATATTTCTTTATTCTATTTTGAATAAAGAAGTGTTTCAATATTCTATCTCATGAAGCTAAATGCGTCCACATGACTAGGTTTTGGCTATTGCAATTTACATGAAAGTTATATATGCAAATCATGGAAATTTTCCTAAATTGAATGGTATGTTCTTTTTATTTTCTTTACTTCTTACTGGCTGGAATGATGATGTCTTTAAATCTGATATCGATCTCCTTGAGATTTTAACATAATAAGCATTCTTGCTCATTTTCCGTTTTTCACCAAAATATAATTTCTTTTATTGTTAGCCTTGATTAAATGGTTATATATCTGAAATGGTTGGCATTTAATTGCATTTTAACAAGATTTTAGTTTTTGACAACTTTATTGAGCATGTCACTGCAAGCCACGGATATTTATTAGAAGTACTAGTTTAAACATCTTCTAATTAGTCTAATTCTTTTTCTGCCTCAAAACAATTTTTTTAAAAAAATCTCTAATTAGGAAATTTCCATTTACATTTTTTCTTTGTTCAAATTATCCCACTGCATACTGAAGAATATCCAAAATCCTTACCTGGTAATTCAAAACCGTCACTGCTTCAGATCAAGCTGTTCTTTATAGCTTATTTTTCTTATTTATGCATGCACTCTACATACCACTCAGATTTCTTAGATGTATCTCCTATGTTCCCTGTTTTTCCCTCACCACAATCTCTACTTTAATTGCACATTTCATACAACACTCATTTTGTTCTATCATCACTCTTTCCCATTAAGGCTGAGATTAAATGCCACATTTCATAAGATGCGTCTATTTTGATCTTTTCAGCAAAAAACGATTATCCCATTCTCTGAACTCAAAATACTTAAGAAATTTATTTCCTTCTACTTGGCAATATATGTATGTATGTGTGTGTGTGTTGTTTATGTGTGTAAATATAGCTGTGTTCTCATTAAAGGCTTGGAACTTCCTCTGCACAACTCTAATAGCTTACCTTGCACAGAGTATATGCTCAGTTAATACTTTTGAACAAAATAAGGCTACATAATCTCACATCACTTGGATGAATACCCTATCATGTAGTACATTTCTTTAAAATGTAAGAATTCAATTCTGCACTCTATTGGTATGTTCACTTGCTATTTATCTTGATAACTGATTTCAAGTGACTTCACCTTTGTAGATAAACAAGGACTATGCCTTCCCCTATCAATTCATGACGGTATTTGTAGAAAGACAATACATAATTAAAATAAAATAGTATTCTCTTCTGATAATATAATTGTCATAGAAATGGCAATTACGGTACTGCTTACCCTACAGCCTTCTGAGAGAAAGCTCCTTGAGCTTCAGCAAGAGGCAAGCCATGGAACCAACCCAAATGCCCATCAATGATAGAATGGATAAAGAAAATGTGGTACATATACACCATGGAATACTATGCAGCCATAAAAAGGAATGACATCATGCCCTTTGAAGGGACATGGATGAAGCTGGAAGCCATCATCCTCAGCAAACTAACACAGGAACAGAAAAACAAACACCACAGGCTCTCACTCATAAGTGGGAGCTGAACAATGAGAACACATGGACACAGGGAGGGGAGCAACACACACTGGGGGCCTGTTGGCGGTGGCTAGGGGAGGAAGAGCATTGGCACAAATAGTTAATACCTAAGTGAGGGGTTGATGGGTGCAGCAAACCACCATGGCACATGTTTACCTATGTAACAAACCTGCACGTTCTATACATATATCATGTATCCCGAAACTTAAAGTAAAAAAAAAAAAAAGAGGCAAACCTAGATGGCAAATTTATTTTTATCACATTATCAAAAACACATTTATAAATTTGTAGGCAAGTGCATGTGTGTCTTAGAAATTCTTATTTTATAAGCATATCAGTATAATTCCTTTTCTTTTCCAAATTCATCTTTTTGATATTCATTGAGCCAGCTAAGTGTGAGCTACACAGTTGTGGTCCTTTGCCTCATATAGTTTGTTGTATTGTTGGGTAGAAACAGTCTACTAAGTAAGCAATTATGATGTAAGTACTTGATCGAGGAAGTCCTGAATGTTGATGCTCTGAAGCAATTAGAGAAGGCATGTAATCCAATCTAGAGATATCAAGGGAGACAACCTGAAGAATGTGCGTTTAGGACAAAATCCAAGAACTTTCCCGTATAATGGTGAAAGAGTGAATGGTCCATTAGAGAAACAGAAAGAAGTTCAGTGTACATAGAACCTGTTTTGTAATGAGAAGTGATAGAGGTAAATGAGGTGGAAAAAGTAACCAAGGGTCAATGAACAGGTTCAGAAACATTAATGCGTGGTTCAAGAGGATTACTAAATTAGTGTGTATTTTTATTTTCTTTTACAGAAACAGTATCTTTTTAAGTGTGTTATTTAAAAATTTGCTTAGATAAAATTTATCTCATAAATGTATTATTACATCTTTGAGGGGATAATGTTTTCCTCCTTTGAGAATTTTACAGATACATCAGGGAGTAATAATTATCCCCATGTAATAATTATTTGTACAATTTCTAATTTAATAAGTATAGATTGATTCACAATGATTTCATCATAATAATTCATAATAATGATGAGTCATGTTTATTTGCTTAATGATTCCCACAAGTGACTTTGTAAATTTAATTACGTGTCTAAGAACACTGTTCTGCTATACTCTAATCTCCCACAAAAGGCAACTATCATGCAGAATGCTTGAATTTTTGAGTCAGAGAATATAAGAATGGTAACATACTTTGTTTTTTCATTTCAGTTGGAATCATTTTTAATATTTAAATACAGAGCATGAGCATTGGCTTAAAACACACACACACACACACACACACACACAAACACACACACACACGCACACAGGTTCGAATAGCTGAAATATGCAGAGGAAATGAATTCCTGGTTTGTCCTCCACAGTCCCCATCCTGGGGCTGAAGCTGTAGCTGGCCCTCCTCCTACATAGAGAGTCACAGTGGCCACTTTCCACTACAGTTGTAATGCATGTTGTCTGTTTCATATTGAGGGCATGTCTCTTCCTGACAGCTCCATTCTTTTTTTTAAAAAAAAAGGCAGTCATTAATGGTTCAGGACACATCCCTCTCTACTGGCATCAGTTCCTGCCCCACAACAGGAGAGTAAGATCTTCCAGTTAGGAGCAATTTGGTGAAAGGAATGGGGTGGCCAGAGCTGGAATGACTACACTCTGGTATCAGAGTGAAAGACAGAAGTAAGTCAGGATAGCATGGAGGGCCCAGTTGCAAGTTGAGAGTCTCTCCATGAGACCATTTGGAGCGAATTCTCCCCAAGAAGTTTCAATAGATTAATGTGCCAATGTTAAATAAATAAATAAATATATATATATATATATATATATATATATATATATATATATAATCTCCAAATAATCAGCCATTCAAACACTATGGAATTTCAAACGTCACCCACAGACAGCTCAAAGATAGCAGTAATCTTCTGGATCTTTCCAGGAAGTGAAGGGTGAGCCCCTGGCATTCCTTCTGGCAGCCGTTTCGGTCCTGGTTGCTCCATTTGCAACTTCTCAGTCTCAAAAACAACAGAAAGAACCACATCATAAAGAAAGTGGTCCCGATCCATAAGGTTTCCTGGAAAACCTGTGCATTTTTTGAGCCACAAAGAGGGAGATCTCAAAAGCGCCTGCGACCATAGAGCCAGCCCTCTCTGGAAACATCTCCATCAGGCCCCACCCATAGTCTTTCCATTAGGGTATCATCCACAGCTCCCCTCTCTCATCCTCTTGCATCGGCTTTGGGAAGCAATTCCCCAGACAGGGGTTTCCTGGCCAGGTGGTGGCCACGATTGCGGGTATAGATAACCCCGGACTTCCCCAGCCCATTGTCTTGCCCAGGGCTTTAATCTACGTATGTAAATTTGCCTTCCTTCTTTTATTTTTTTCATCCTCCTTTTTTTTTTTCGTTTACTGTCATTCTATCTTTTGTACCACCTCTTCTGTTTTCTTCTCATTTTCTTCACACTTAATAACCCTCCTAGTTAAACTAACATGTTAGTAATAGGTAATGGTTCACCGGTTCACCTGGCATCAAATATGATCTAGGCACTTGACATAGTTCATTTCATATGATTGTCATGATATTCCTGTGAAACTATGGCCAGAATTTAGCAGATTTAAAAACAAAACAAAACAAACAAAGCTTTCAAAGAAGTTAAATGGTTTTCTCAAAAACTCTCAACTAGTAGAGGAATCAGAAATCACACATGTATTGCATTATTCAAAAATATCTTTTATCTTTTCATACACAGATCCCTAAATCATTTTAAGGTCAACATCAAATATCATTCTCTTATCCTAGCTATCAAGAAAAAAAAATCATCAGAAAATGCTAGGGAGAGTGTGATAGATTGCAAACATTTATTTGGAACAGAGCCCTAACAACTTTCTTATTTCTTCTCTGTCCCCAGACACCTATGATTCTAGAGAATGGTCTTGTCAGATACTTAATCCAAGTATCATATTGAGGTATTGTCAGATACTTAATCCAAGTATCTGACAAGACCATTCTCTAGAATCGTAGGTGTCTGGGGACAGAGATGGGGATCAGGAGATGTATCATATGAGAAGAAACCCTGCAATAGATAATTAGGGTCTACAGGCAGGGGAGTTACCCAGCAGCAGAGATTGGCAGTGAGATATGCTTTCCAAAATAGAGTTGAAATAAATTTAGAACAGAACCCTAATCACGTTATACTCTTTGTATTCAGCCTCAAGTCTCCATTTACTTATGTACCCTCCAACACATCTTATAGAACTGTCCTTTGAACCCGAGTTCTTCATGACACTGGACTGGAATGCCAAAATTCCAGAGAGAGAGGATGACTGGCACGGAGACATTGCAATGGGAGAGAACTGTCTAAAACAGAATTATTTTAATTGGAAAAGTCATGGAGAGTCAGGTAGCACTCTGGGAATTAAGGATTTACTCTCAGAAGTATAAAATGATATGAGTAAGCTGACATTGAAGTGCATAATGATTTATTTATCCAAGAAACATTTCATGAACAGCTACCGTATGCCATGCACCATTGCAGCTGTTGGGGATATGCAGTGGAGACAATAGAATGTAATGCTCATGAAGCTTATATGCTAGGGGCAAAAACAGTCAGAAGCAGGTTAATACATAATATAAGGTATTAATAAGTGCATTGAAAAAATAACAAAGCCATATCAAGAGATCAAAAGTGAGAGATAATGCTGCTTACGATATGGTTGGTGAAAGCTTCACATGAATTCGGTGATATTTGAAGATAGGCTAACATTACATGGAGAAGTAAGCTATGAAGACAGATGTCCAAACAGAGAAAGGAGAGTAAAAACACCATCAAATGTGATTGTGTGTCCAAAAGCTGAAAGACAGTGCTGTGATTGGAGGAGTAGAGATATGAGAGAGAAAGGCAGAGGGTTAAGTGGGGACCAGATTAAGTACGGGAGTATTGGCCATGGCAACATAATAAAGCTAATAAAGGGAAAATTTCCTGTAAAAGATTTTAGACAACTACATTTTTGTTGTTGCCTATTTTCAAATTTCTGCTAAAAAATGACAGTGGTCCATCCCCTTGTCCTAACCAATAGCATTAAGGTCTAAAATTTATGTCATATGTATCATATATAGGTGTAGTTGTGTACTTTTTTTTTTTTTTTTTTTTTCTGAGACGGAGCCTCACTCTGTCGCCCAGGCTGGAGTGCAGTGGCACCATCTTCGCTCACTGCAAGCTCCGCCTCCAGGGTTCACGCCATTCTCCTCCCTCAGCCTCCGGAGTAGCTGGGACTACAGGCACCTGCCACCATGCCCAGCTAATTTTTTGTATGTTTACTAGAGATGGGGTTTCACCATGTTAGCCAGGATGGTCTCGATCTCCTGACCTCGTGATCTGCCCGCCTCGGCCTCCCAAAGTGCTAGGATTACAGGCGTGAGCCACCACACCTGGCCAGTGTGTACTATTTTTTTTTAAGTGTAAAAGATAAGATTGTTTTAAAAGGTTGTGGACACTGTCATAAAACACCTACTAGAATATCTATGTATGAAGATTTTTAAGTACTTATAGTCGGCAAATTTAATCCACTTCCACTACAGAGCAGGTAATTTAAGTTTAACTCATCTATAATTAATAATCTATTAAACCATGTTTTAATCTTAGTTAATGTCCCCTGGAATAATGGGAAAATGCAGCCTATAATAGCTCCTTTTTATGTTTATTTTGCTAAATTTCAACTTAGCACAGCATTATTTCACTGCCAGATGTTTTTTATAATAATGGCTTAATTTGAAAGAAGAAATACTCCCAGTCAGTATTCTTACTTCCCTGCCTTTTTTTTTTTTTTTTTTTTTGAGAGTGAGTCTCGTTCTGTTATCCAGGCTTGAGCGCAGTGGCATGATCTTGACTCACTGAGACCTCCACCTTTCAGGTTCATGCAATTCTCCTGCCTGAGCCTCCCGAGTAGCTGGGACTGCAGACGCTGGCCACCATGCCCAGTTAATTTTTGTATTTTTAGTAGAGACGGGGTTTCACATTGGTCAAGCTAGTCTCGAACTCCTGACCTTAGGTGATCCACCCGCCTCGGCCTCCAAAAGTGCTGGGATTACAGGCAGCCCTCAGAAGTGGCTGGACTATTTTGTGTCTCAGTAATAGATTCCTACCAGGTATGCCTCTCTCATCCAGATTAATTAATTAAAGCAACTTGTAGCATGGTTACAGCAATGCTGCCCTTGCTGTCCGTGGCACTGGTGAGTCAGGTCTTGCTCTTCCTCATACCCTTCAGCTCTGCTCTCCCTTATTTGAGCTGAGTCCCTTCATGTAATGAGTCCTCCATGTAATGAAGAATAATCTTTTATAATAATCATGTTTTTATATATAATAATAATCTACAGTACAAGGTATTAAACAACACAGAAATAATCATATAGTATTAGAAATAAATAAGACTTCAGAGAACTTTAAGTCCAATACTATCTTTTACAGATGAGGAAACTGAGGCCCAGGGCAATTGAATGAGATCCTTGTAGTTTGGGGCTACTCTATAGCAAATCTTGTGTAAAATTTTGGAATTCTAATACATGTCTCTTATTTTTCCCACCACGTTATACAACATCCCTACAACCTCCACAGTTAAAAATATTGATCAGAACATAAAACCCATCCTGAAGTCTATTTTACATGGAAACCCTTTGCTTAAATGTTTGTAGCACAGTTTACAATTCTAGAGCACAATTCTCAGGCGGAGGATCACTGGAATTCAGGAAGAGGGTAGAGCTTTGTGAGTTTTTTAGATTTACATCCACTGGGGTTTGTATTCGACTACCTGATAGAATACCCAAATAATAGTGGCTTCATCACTTGTGGGGCTGTTTTTCTCACAAAGCGAGGGAGTCTAGAGGTATGAAGTCTGGTGCCAGTGCCATCAGTGAGGAATTCAGACTCTATCTTTCTGCTCACTCTTAGCATGTGGCTTGAATCTCATGCTTATCATTAATGTCTACATGTTGGTTGTTCCAATTCCAGTCTTGAATCAGTACTCTGAGCAAGATGTTGTCGAAAATGAAAGGCAAAGTCGATCCTGTCCTGTTCTAAAGAGATTTCATGAGAATTTGAGAATTCCATTTGGCTAGTACATCCCATGCACATTCCCATCAGCAAGGCTAGCTGGGAGATCATGGATTATTTTGCTGAGAGGTATGATAATATATCCAGTGATATTCTGCAGTTAAGTACAATAATTTATGTTTTTATATCCCATAGGATGTCTTTAGGAGGCTTACACTTTAAATGAAAGACTAATAAAAAATAGGACACATAGGGTGTTATATGGTAAGAATTGTCATATAGAAAATTAAAGCAGGAAAAAAAAAGATGAGAGTTGAGAAATAAAATTTACTTTTAATTAGAATACTCATGAAAACCTCATTGAGAGTAACTATTTGTGTCAAAGTCTAAGGTGAGTGAGGCAGTAATCCAGGTGTATATTTGGGACAGGGAATTCCAGGCAGAGGGACAGCAAATGCTGTGGTGACAGTATTCCAGGGAGGTTTAGAGAGCTAAAGAATGAATAGAAAATTTAAATTAAATTAAATATTTTCACTAAAGCAAACATAGCTTACTCAACTATGTTTTAATAGCTTTATTTCTACTCACCCATATAATCACACACACCACAGGCATGAAGCCAGGTGTGTACCTTGTGCATACCTTGGAAGATGTCACATTTACCTGAAGCATAACTAGCTCCTGCAATTTCAGTTTATTGAGAGAAGCAGAGCTATTTTTCCACAGCTGAAAATCTCTCAAAAAGTTGATATAATTGAATGACTTTCATTCAAGCTGATGACTTTAGAGATTGAAGGCTACAAGCTTTATCTGTCTATTAAAATGGAAATGTCTAAAGTTTCCTTAAAGAAATTCTGTCTCAAAGAAGTCATTTGAAGTTATGAGTAGGACTGGATGTTCAGGTAAAAAAATTTCTATACCAAAAAAGAAAAAATACAAGGCCTGAAGCATTATCTCTTACGATTCATACTTAGATTATAGAGTCTATTCAGGGATTTGCAACAGAATGCATATCAAATAACACAATTTCTTCTGGCAATTAAAGGCCTTGGACATATTTAACTAACTTGAGGATATATAAAAATACTAAAGTGATGAGTAAGGACAAGAGAGAAAGTTTATGTGCTTTTTAAAAAAGTATGCATGTATTTTAAACTTAGTTACTTTATGAAGGAAATTACATGAAGGAATTATCATAGCTATGAAAGCCATTCCCCCAAACTTGAGCAGAGTTGAATGATACCCTTAGTCTCTAGATGTATAGACACATACATAGATAAGCTGTGGTCATGGACAATCGGAAATAATTGATGTGTTTTATGCTGCTATAATTGCATGAAAAATGACCATTTAAACTGAAATTTAAACTTTTTCTTGTGTGTTTTCTTACTGTTCAATCGATATATCAGGAATAAACTGATTCCAAATCAATACAATCATGCTCACCATAGTAGCAGGAATTACAGTGTAAATGTTATTTATTAGATTATCATTTCCTAACATTATAGAACTATAAAAATAATAAAACAATAAAAATATATTGTTTTCTATTCCTCTGCATCAGCTATATCAATGGAACTTGTGCCAAACCCTTTAGTTCAAAATCTGGGGCCTTTGGTACATCTCATTTTCCACTGTAATCCCATATGGCCTCCTGGGTTCCAAGTTGAGCAGTGATCACACTTCTTGTTTCTCCTTATAGATCTACATACTTGACTACCTGGTCCTTCATGTGCAGCTGTTGCCATCAGTTCTGTTCTCGGCAGGGAATGCTTTTCCGTATTTCTTCTCCAGTGAGTCCCTTGTTGAGGTCAAAAATGAAAACCCACTTACCTTCTGTTTTTTTTTTTTTTTTTTTTTTCCAGTAGCCTACACTATTTCCATTTCCATCCTATATACCCTAATCTGGTCTGTCTGTTTTCACACATCCGTGCACTCTGTCCTTTCCTAGCTTAAGCATCTAGTACAATCCCTGAGGAGATTAAAGAAGTCCCCCTTTTCCCCCATAGCTGGGAGATCTTAGTCTGGGAGATGGCTGTTACAAACCCCAAATTGCCTACAAAGACAGTCTGAGTTTATGCAAGGTCTACGTACCACAGAAAGAACATGCAACATCCCTAGAAAGCTAATCCTGCCCCCACCAGCCCTCCTCTGGGCCTACTGGCCTGCATTTTACTCTTAAGGGACTTTTTTTTTCTATTTTTTCCCAAAGTCACTATGTGGATGAGTTGGACTATGGTAGGGCCTGGCCAACCTCAAGCAGTCATTGATTTTTATTTTCTTTCAGAAAGTATGTCCTTCATTTTGCATTTTAAAATAACTGTACGTAGGCCACATAAGCCAATAAACAAAATTAAACATCGGAATTCCTATAAAATCAGTCAGGGTACAGGGATTAGAGTGTGTTGGGTGAAATTTGGAAATTGCCTCCAAGAAGGCTAAGCCAGCTCCATTTCTTTTGGGGGAAGTAAACCTGTGACAGGACCTACTGTTTATAGGATTTGGTGTTTACATCAGTATAAGGATTTTATTCTCAAATATTACACATATTTTCCTAACTAATCTGTGTTTACCAATCACAGCTTTGTAATTTCGGTGCAAATAATGAAAGTTTGGAAAAATTATGGAGTGATAGTTACCAGCATTAAAAATGACCACCTAAACTGAAATTTAACCTTTTCTTGTGTCTTTTCTTACTGTTCAGTTTGAATCTTGGGCAAGCATTATTCATCTACACAATAACACACTCAAGTTGCAGTCCTTTAACATCATCTGAGTAATAGTTGGACTATCATCATCAAGTGGCCTATTTCTTGGAATAACTTGGGTATCTAAGTAAAATCTCTACTAACACTCTTATTTAAATTTTTTAGCTATGATAGCCTAACTGAAAAAAAAGGCGAAAAAAACCCTTTATTACACATGCGGCACATAGCAAGATAACCACTAGAAATGTCAAAACACTGACAAAAATAGAAGGCTTGTAATTATACTTCCAGTACAAATTTGCAAATGTCTCAAATTCTGGATGCCCTATTCTCAGAAAATTCCAGGACTTCTTGCACTTTCATACATAATAGATGTGAACTAAAACATGTTCTAAGAATTTGTATTTGACACAAAAGAAAATGTAATATACATACGTCAGATTTTTTTTAACTAAGTTAAACATGGGTTAGAGACCACACCTTTTGTAGAGTAGAATGAATGATATTTCTCTGGTGTTAAAATACCCACGAGGTTCCATGACAAATCAGTGTTTTAGGAATTTTTTTGAGTTACCTTGAAAATGTGTAATCATGTAAAAGAGTTTTAGAGAATGATAATACACTTAGATATCACTGTACTATAAAAAATACATAAGTCATATAGAAAAAAATACAAAAATGATGCTACAAGCTCATAATGTATTTCCATAATGGGCTTTGAATATTTGAATATAGTGCTGTGATAATAACATAGGCCCAGTTGCGTGAAATATTCATGTTTAAATTTTTTGTTGTTTTATTTATAAAGCATTGCTGTGAAGGTTTGAATGCAGACTTTCAAATTTTGAGAAATTTGAAAACAAATCACAGTGGTTTTGATAGCTTCTTTTGAATCATGGGATTGATTAAAGCAAGAGAATGCCAAATATCCATTGAAATTAAGTGAAATGAACTTAAATTGATCAGTTTTCCTCAAAGAGTTAGACGAGTTGCCTATGCAAGGTCATTTCTATTAAGTTCTGAAAGTAGTTGAGTCATTGACACCCCTGCTCAGATTTGCTGTTTGAATTGATATCGGGAAGTTTTGGCCAATGTGTGTGAGGTAAGGAAGAAGACATTTCAGAATTTCTTTTTTCTTCACTCTTGATTCATCAAGTACAGGCCTGAGAGATTCTGAAGAACTTCATCAAACCTGACGTTTATTTCCCACCCATTTTTTTAAACAAATACTCATGTTATGCTTTAGAAACATATAGTGTCACATTTTTCATATTTATTTTTTAAAAAATATGCATAGTCCCTGACTGAAAGATGCTATTAATCTATACAATGAATTAAAATAAAACCTCATTGCAAATATTAGTTCACAAGGTACAATCATCCATATATTCAGTAATGTGTCATCACTGTCAAGAGAATTCCAAGGATGCTTTTTGCCGCTTCTCTCTTCCAGAAAAGAGAACACTGATATAATATACAAAGTTGTAATAGACATAGACTCATCAATGATAGGATGTGGTCACCAGTAGTGGTTGAAAGTCTGAAACAAAAAAGATTAAAATTAAATGTGCTTGGGAAAATTCTCTCTCCTCTTCGATTGTGCTTTTCCTATTTTGGAACCATAATAAGATTCAGCTAAGAATGTGCTCTCCGCCTTAGAAAGACAAGTAGGAACAAAAACAGAAAGAAGTAAGAAAACATGGAGGAACAGGTTTATGTGTGGCTCAAATCTAATCTGTTTCTAAAAAGTCAGAATGAGCTTATGCATGATGAATGAGTCCAGCTCAATAGGGTGAGAGAACCTATAAGAATTTGGAGCCAAACTTCTACATAGAAGTAATATGTATGTATTTATGGAAATGTCCTTCTTGTAAATGTGTAGCTCCAAAGTGTATCTCTTTGTGGACATAGGGAATTGAAAAGCAATGGCTGTGTTAACTAGCTATTTGGTTTGCTCAAAATTCTCATATCAAAACTCTTGTGAATTTGGATGCTGCTTCTATTTTTAATATATTGTTCTCTGTGACATTGGCATAGCATCATTCCATAGATTGCAGTGACCAGGAAAGCAATAGAAAGCTTTTGATTGCTACCTAAGAATCATTGTGAATAAATACATTCAAAAGAAAAGAAATCATTATCAAAGTTGAACACAAAGCTAAAGACATTATAACTTAAAGACTTTCCATTTTTGTGTAAAGCACTTATTTAAATTAGATTTATGTGGACCTTGAATAATCCATTTCCTTTCTGGAGTCCATTTGGAATTTTTTCTTTGGAATCTGCTATTTAAATTAAGGCTGTCAGGAAACGTTACCATGGTTACTTGCATCACCTGAGCCTGAAATGAGAGTTTTTGAATATTTTCATTTCTATGCTATCATCACTGCCTTATGTACAAGGCAATTATATCTTTGGGGGTTAATAATACATTTTACTACCTTTATATGAAGCTTGTTTATAACCCATTGAGATACTGCAAATGTACGCGTCCACTGAAAATGAAACTCTGTGTCCATTTCATTCACGTGGGAGACAGGATAGGAGAAAAGGGCAACTTAACTCCAGAGGATGATTTGAATTTGGCATTTTCTTAGGGGACAGATATACAGTGCCCATTGTTTCTTCTGTCTACTATTTTTAACATTTTTATTTTGCTTATTCTTTTCCGTTATTCTATCTGTAGTAAATAAAGACCTGCATCCTAGACCCTTAAGTTTAGATCCTTCTTGACCAACCCAAGAGCTTTATTCCTTAAATTATTCCTAAGTCTTTCCTCACAGTCCTACTAAATCTATTCCCTGTAAGATTCCTTAACTGAATGTGGCAAATAGCCAAACATGGCCAAAGTCCACAGCTAAAGGTGATGGCTAATAGATTCATTGAATTTCCACACTTGTTGACCAGATTTCTCTATATTTTAACATGCAGAGATATAATGAAAACACAATTCTTTATACAGAATAAAAATGTGATACTTCCCATAAGAGATTGACATTAAAGGTCTTGCATATCCTGTCTTTTAGAAATACACTTTTAATATCATTCTTTGTCCACCTCACCCTAACAAGATAAGATTCACCTCAAAAGCTCGGGCTTCATTGTGCAGGCTTCAGTTCTTGCATTCATAGCACAGTGGTGAAGTAGCCACTTGGAATCCAAATTGCCATCAAGGACAATTCTAAAGAAACGTCCAATAGTATAGTATGTCCTGTGTTCTTTCAATTTCCTCTTCCACAAAGCAGTGAATAAGGCTTAATGATCTTCATAAATTTTTATGGCATCAGTATTTGCAGAGAATTGGAGGATCCCCTTCCAAACTCAGAATTAACACAATGATAATATAATTATTATTTGCCTAGTAATTTATAAAGAATTGCTACATACATTACCACATTTTATCATAGACTCAACCCTAGGAAGCACATAGGACAAGAATGTTCATTATCTCCATCTTATATTTATGGAAAACAAAAATTTAGACATGGGACGTAATTTATCTGAGATTACATGATTGATCAGAATATGACCCCAAGGTGATTGATGATAAATCCCAAGAGCTGTCTCTTATATATTACGGTCCCTTCTCTTTAATCTCCACACCCAAGTCTAAAAAAGTAAATAACTTGTGCTTAGGATCTAAAATAGAACACAATGAGAAAAGTCAGGTATGTTTGTTTTTTCCTTTTCCTGACTTTTATTAGTGTTTTTTTTTCTCATTTAAAAATAAGTATACTTTTTCAATTCTTCTTCTAGGTAAAAATTAAAACACAAAATGCTCATTTGTTCTAGTTTTCTAATTTTGCATGTTTCTTTGTATGACAATGTCTATAATTAGAGTTTAATTCTATCCATCTATTCTGTTTTTATAGATAAGAATGTTTTATATATTTTTAAATCTGATTGAGTTTTTTTCATAAGGCACAAATCTCTTTGTCTAATTCACCTAATAATATAGGAAAAAGCCAGATTACCCCCAGAACAGTAGATGTTCAGATGTCTGACAGGCAATTTCCTGGAATAGCCCACCTCTGAGAGGATAAGCACACATGATACGCCAGATAGAAACAACTGAGTGGTGGCAGAGTACAACTAAACATAGCATTAGAGTAAGTGGCTGCATTAGTTACAGTCAACGGAAATTTCCAGAAAATAGGTCTAGGCTTTTAGTGAGAGTCTGTTCTCTAATTCTACTCAACGCATTAAATTCATTTTCCAGAAACTAATTTGAAGTTTCTCTATCCAAACATAATCTATAGAGATCTTTAAGCATTTTGGTGAATTTTGAAATTATTCTAAGAATGAATTGTATTGCCTTAATATAGCATAGTATTTAAAGGGCATATTTTCTGAGTATACTTTATATTGCCACTGACTGAAACATACAGTTATAATAGTGGTTCTTCCTCTTTTAGGTATATATTTATTCACTTTCCAGCAATATATACCAAAATTATGCTCTTATTAGTATTGTATTATTACAAAATTTGTTTCATAGTGTATATGTGCTTTTTATCCTTTTTATAAATTTAATGGTGTATAAAACCCACATTATAGCTCACATGTGCTTTAATCAGCAATGTATAAGAGCTATAATGATGAAGAGGAAATGGAAAGACCTTTGTGGAAGAAGAAATGGAAAGAACACAGGGCATATTTTCCCATAACCTCACTAAACTGGTATATTTTTGATATATTACATTTGTGAAGTGTAGGACATGATCTTTATTTTTTATTTTGCATTTCTGAACTCTGGAGGCATGAGGATCAGGTTTGCGGTAGTTCGGAAGGTCTGGAAAAGCTTTTCCAAGGAATTGCTGACCAAGCTGACACCTGAAGGGGTCAGGAGAGCTGATTCACTGAGGAGTGAGAACACTAGAGCACAGGCAGAAAGCACAGCACACATTCGAGAAACAGAAAGAAGGCCCCAAGGCCTGGAGCAAAGTCAGGAAGGGGCGCTTTGTTTAGATGAGGCTGGCAAGATAGCTCAGCCAAGGCCTGTCAATACATGGTGTTAGAGGCCATTTTAAGAACTGTGCTCTTTATCCAAGAACAATGAGAGACATTGAAGAGTTTTAAGCTGAGGGTGTGAGCATATTCTGGTTTGCCTGCCCAACACTGATTCTTCATGTGAGGATTAGGGTTGAATGTTGGAGGAAAAGAGTGAAAGCAATAAGGCTGGTTTTGATGCTCTTGCTGTGCTGATGATACAGCACTGCTCCCTGCCTTCTTTGCTCTCTATCACCACAAAAGAAAAGCCACCACAGCTGTGTACTCAAATGTGCACACCCTAGACCTTGCCATGACCTTGACCCCAACCCTTGCAATTTATTATCTCTTCCTATTCTTGTGATCCCACTCCAAAATTATTTGACCTCATTAAGACCTCCAATTCAGTGAACTTACCATTTTTTCACTATAATTCATAATCTATTATCCCTTTTATGGCTTCATATTTGTCACCCAACTGAGATTTCATGGTCCAGCACTATAATAATATCATGGAAAATTTTCTATTCTTTTTTCCTTCTGCTATTCACACCTGTCAGGCCTTTGGCCAAACCCAACTACCTATCTACATTATAATTCAACTGAAGCAGCTGAGCACTGACAGAAACACACCACACAACCAGGTTCACTGGGCTCATATAAACTTCATGAACAAAACTTAAAAATGAATACTCAGCAAATATAGAGTACTTTACTTTCTTGGTAAATTCATTTTCTCTTTTCCTAAAATGGCTTTTTTATACCATATCCTCTTTCCTCAAGTTTCCTAAAATTCTCCACATTTCTCAATTTGAAGTGTTGCCTTTTTCACATTTCACTAAAAAGTAAGATCAGTGAAAAATAAAATCATCCTTCTACCACCAACTCCGCCAACCTACCTGCATCTGTAATAAGATAGTCCTTGTAGGGATTGACATGAAAATGGAATATTTCTCCTCTCTCTCTAGGGCCAATTTAATTTTGAATTAGACTTTGCTTACTATCACATTCCTAAGACTTCTACCTTGCATTCTGTCTTCTGCATAAAATTTGTCTTATCTCTTTTGAAATACTCTAATCAAAACACAAACATATTTTAACATAAATATCTTTAAAATAATCTCATTTGAGCTCAGATTTGTTTTTCAGCTACTCCTCATATATTTCTTTCCTTCCCGTAAGACTAAAACTGCTAGAAAAAAATTGTCTTTGTCTATTGGTGTCTCTCTTTCCGTATTTCCAGATTTTTCCTCAACCAGTTTTAATTTGGCTTTCATGCTTAACAGGAGTTCTAACCAAAGTTGGCAGTGGTGTATATGCCAATGGTCAGATATCTGTCTTAATCTAATAAACTTCAATAATGTTCAACACAGTTTACCGCAACCTCCTTGAATACAGTTTCTATCCTGTGCTTCCAAAACCTCTGGTGCATTAGATTTTACTTATACCTCACTAGCTTCTCTTCTTTGTCTCCTTACTGCTTTGTAAGGACTCTAAACACTGGCGAACCCTTGGGTTCTATCCTCCACCTCTTCTACTTTCTTTTTACTTCACTTCTCCTATGTGATCATATTTTGCCATTGGATTAAAATATTACCTTCATATTGGTTATTATATAATAGTTTCTAACATTATCTCAACCTAGGCATTATCCCTGAGCTTCAGACTCACATATCCAACTACCTTTATGACTTATTCACTCAGATATATTATAGCCTTTCAATATAATATAGGAAAGAATAAAACTACCAGTTTGCCTCCCCTGTTCACACCTCAAAAACCTTTCACATTCTGTTATGGAGCACAAAAATCTTCTCTTTTTTAAAAGGCAAAACTATAGAAAACATTCCTGAGTTTCTTTTCCTCCTGGCAACCCATATACTATATCTAATTCAACAAAGATTTATGAACTCTCTGAAATACATATGTATGAAATATATATATGTGATATCATGTATATATATGTAAAAAAGAAAATGATAAGCTCTCATCTTTTCCTTCATTACACCCCTTGCTCATGCCACCATTATGGCTTACCCCGAGCTCTGCGTAAGCCTGTGAACTGACCTTCTGCATTCCCTCTTGAACTTATCCACCTATTCCGCACAGCAGCCAAGTTGATTAAGGCCTAAGTCAAATCTTGTCTCTCTCCTGCTTAATGTTCTCCAATGTCTTCCCGTCACATGTAGACATTCAAAACTCTTCCGGTGGCTTTCAAAGCCCTATGACATTTGATCTCTGCTTATCCTTCTAATCTCACTCTGCATCCTCTGTGATGATTGGCAGCTGATGCTCTCTCTGTTGAAGGCCCCTTCTCATGGATCCTCACTTACCACAGCCTTTTCCATGGTCCCAGTTTCAACTCAAATGTCAGCTTCTCAGAGACCCCTTCTCCAATAACCTGCCTCTATCTCTTAGTCTTTCATATATTACCCGATTTTATCTTCCAAAAGTGGAAGACTTATTATTATTCATGGAGCAGAAATATATATTTGAGAATCTTCTGTGGAGAATTACAGTCATGGACACAAATGAGATCCTAGGGGAAGAGTGCATAGAAGAGAAAAGGAGACATCTCTGCTAGGTCATGAATAAATTCAACACATAATCAATGTAGAGAAATTAGCTGGCAAGCAAAATAGGAGATAAAGGATGTGGTAGGAAAATCAGGAGACTGTGGGGACATTGACAAATAAATGACTGGGGAATTTTTTTGTTGTTGTTGCTTGGTTGTTTGTTTGTTTTTTGAGACAGACTTTCGCTCTTGTTGCCCAGGTTGGAGTGCAATGGTGCAATCTCGGCTCATTGAAAACTCTGCCTCCCAGGTTCAAGCGATTCTCCTGCCTAAGCTTCTCTAGTAGCTGGGATTACAGGCATGCAACACCACGCCCGGCTAATTTTGTATTTTTAGTAGAGAAGGGGTTTCTCCAAGTTGCTCAGGCTGGTCTCGAATTCCCAACCTCAGGTGATCCACCCACCTTGGCCTCCCAAAGTGCTGGGATTACAGGCATGAGCCATTGCACCCAGCCCAGGACTGGAGAATTTTAAGAAGTTGAGCATAGTTATTGGTATTTAATGCCTCTGAGTAATCAAGTACGTAGACGAATTTAATATATCAGTTGGGTGTATAGAGATATAAGCCTTTGCAGCCTCATGAAGAAGTATTGTAGCAAGTGATATTGGTGACAGTCATATTGGTGTGTAATGCAGATAGCAGGGAAAAGGCATTAGTATATATGGAAAATACTTCTGAGGAATTCATATATAAATGGGAAGACACATAGGACTAAGAGCTGAAAAGAATTTGGTATAGGAGGTGGGGTTTCTTTTCAAAAATTAGAACAGTAATTTTTCAAAGAAGGTGAAGAAATATTAGTCTTAAAGGAACCAGGGTTATATGTGTGTACTTGCCAATTTATAGGCTTCCGGCAAGAGAGCGGCAAAAAACAATTGAGATGAAAGCAAACCAAAACTCTCAGTGAGTAATCTGGTTTCAGTTACGGTCAGGAAGGAGAGAAAATCCTTTGGAGAAGATAAGAATATAAGAAATTTACTGATTTTAGTGATAAGTTGCAAAGAGCCAATAGAAGGGAAGATGAAGAGGGATACAGGTGAACTCAAGAAAGTTCAGGCTTTTCTGTAATGATGGGATGACGGAGAATCCGCAGGAAAGAGAGTTTACAGAAGTGACCTGGGGAAATAGTTTGGAAGTCTCTTTGAGAAATGTGGGCACTTTGCCTAACATCCAGAGGAAACTTTGGCTGAAGGGGTGGCTGACTCAGAAACTGCAGATTCTACAGCCTACAGGAGCCTCCTACTCTGGACATGTGGAAATAGCAAGATCTATAATCTTGCACTATTTTTAGCTCCAGCAGCTTTAAAGTAGAATTATGTAAACAATGTGAAGAAAATCACATTTTTACTTGGTGCTATTGAACCAAATACCATGAAATCTGTATTTTAAGTAAAACAATATATAAAAACATTTCTCAAAATAATGTCCCATCGCCATTATGTCAATAAAATTTGGTCACTTGCTCCAACATGATTAATATTTGTTTTATTGAAAAAAATAGTTTTGAAGACATATATTTGACAGGGAGGGGAGGAAAAATAAGAGACTAATTTGCTGAAAAAAAATGCACAAGAGAGATTATTTGAAACCTGACAAATATACTAAACTATGTTTGAAATGAGCAAGTAAGCCAGTTATTATGATCTCTATTATATAGCTGAAGCAATTGAAGCTTGCAACAGTTAAGGATGAATCAAACTCATAATTATTAAGTGATGGAGACTAATTTTGAGTTCATTTTTATGAGTTTTTGCTCAATGTACTTTTCTTCTATATTATGCTGCTTCTTCATTGAGCCTTATATTATGAACCTGATTATAACCTTTGCTGAGGACAAAATTGCAGCCATCTGAACATCTGGTGCTTCTTTTCTGTTACACTAAGGTTTCTCTAAAGAGTTGGTGGCTGCAATACTAATTTCAACTCTAACAATAATTAACCATCAGCAGATATTTGTATAGTTGCATTGTACAAAAAGTTGCTACAGAACTAGAGATATTTTAAGTTTAATTTTAATCAAAGCAGCCATTTCTCTGTAATTTCCAAAAAATTACAATATTTTTTGGTAAGAATGAAAGTCTTTTTCAATCCGTTTTTTAAAAACATGCCTATGGTTACTTTGACATGTGTTTGATATTCTCCTTGAGGTATGTTAGATCAGGGTAATAAATGCATTTTTATTATAGGAACATTCAATAATACAGATATGTAAAGAATTTTAACATTAAAAAAACTCCTATAATTGTACTGCCTAAAGTCAACCTTGGTAGGTATAGTATTTTAGTATATTACTTTGAGCCTTGATGTATCAATCTCACATGCATGCATCTTTCCACACATAATTATTGGGCATCTACTTTGTGCCAGATATTGACTTAGGCTGTAAGACTACAGAGAGTACAAGATAGGGCCACTGTCTTCATTAAACACAATCCCCCAACTTTTTCTTTCTTTCTCTCTCTCTTCAATACAAATAGACATGGATGGGTGCATAGAAATATATGCAGGGTATACTTTCATTTCTTAGAATTATACTTTGAGGATTTCCCTCTTGTTAAATAATTGTTGTGGTATTCTACAGATCATGGAGTGTTCAAACCATCATAGATCATTCTCTTATCATTGGAGATTCAGATTCTGATTTATATTATATTACCATTGTAATGATGAAAATTCCTCAGGCATTCATGTTTATCTAATGAATTTATTGATCATTACAATATGTTCATTTATAAAAACCTGAAAAAGTCAGAAAGTGAAACAAAAATAGTCACTCATCCTGTCGTCTATAAATAATAATAGCTCACAATTTGATGAAATTCTATCTCAGCTATTAACAAACTTGACAAAATGCTTTGCACTAATTTGCATCCTACTACTTTAATTAAAATTATATCTAACACTTTGGATATTTATTACTAAATAGAATTCTTAAAAAGCCAGTGATATTAAATAACCATTTAATAAACCTTGAATTTGTTAATTAAATTTTGCTCAATTCATTTTTATATTTTTATTCTCATTTTCTTTACCATTGTGAGGGTGAATATGTTTAATATTTTATTAGCTGAGGACAGTTCCCTTTCTCTACTTGTGCATGTACACAAATGCATATGTGTTCTTTTAGAGCTATTTTTTAAATCAAATATGTTTAACTATGACCTGATGGCAACTGTATATCCTTATTGGTGGCTTATTTCTAAAAGTTTGGATAATACAATGTGGTCATGAAGTCACACATGCAAGAAAGCAGAGGCACTGTTGTGTAATTCCATTGTCAGCACAAAATAGAATTTAGATTTCCTTTTATGTTTTTAGGGGGTAATGATATCACAGCTATCTGTAAGAAATAATCTAAATTTATATTTGATATTTATTATTCACACAGACCATAAAGAATCTCTACCTACTGTACTGAGCCTCTACTTATATGTTTTACCATTTTTGCTATTATATGAGCTTATGTGATGTTCCCCTCATTGCAAATCACCTTTAGTCACGTACCATCAAATTACTTGTCAGTTTTGCAAAAATGATCTTGTGTCTTCTCTTTTTCTCCTGTGTCATCAAATCACAAGATTTTTCCATCAATGTACATATGTCAAAATATCATCCTTCTTCAGGCACAATGCATCTACCCTACATGTCTCTGCTTCTCTTTTTTTTTTTTTTTTTTTGAGACGGAGTCTCCCTCTGTCACCCAGCAGGCTGGAGTACAGTGGTGCTATCTGGGCTCACTGCAAGCTCCGCCCCTCCAGGTTTAAGCAATTCTCCGTCTCAGCCTCCGGACTCGCTGGGATTACAGGTGCGTGCCACCACGCCCGGCTAATTTTTTTTTTTTTGTATTTTTAGTAGAGACGTGGTTTCACCATCTTGGCCAAGCTGGTCTTGAACTCCTGACCTCGTGATCCACCCGTCTCGGCCTCCCAAAGTGCTGGGATTACAGGTGTGAGCCACCGCGCCCGGCCTCTGCTTCTCTTTATAACAAAATTTTCTTAATGAGTTGTCAGTGCAAACTGCATCCTTTTTGTACCTTTTAATCTTTTTCTTGAAGGTTCTTCAGTCTTCCCCCTCCACCCCGTTGCTCCAGTAAAATAGCTCTTGTTAAGGTAACCAATGTTGACAAATTCAATGGTAATTTCTCTGAGCATAAATGTTTTATCAGCTGTATTAGATGTAGTTGGTCACTACCTTTTATTGAAGCCCTCTTTTCACTTGATTTTAGAGGTTTTTCTCTTTTTTAATTCTGGATCTGCATATTTGGAAACTCATTCTCAGCTTCTCTGATGATTTCTGCTCCTCTTCTAGTCGTTTAAACTTTTACACATTTCAGACCTCAATCCATGACATAGGTGTTTTCTAACTTATCTTATTACTTAAGTTTTCTCATTCAATCTCTGTATACATACATATATATGCTTATATATATATACAGTATAGTACTACTATATATAGTATAGTACTCTTTCTGTGTATGTAATATAGCACATATATATATTAAACTATGGGATATAATTTATAAGTATAGACTATACTATATATACATATATATAGAATATGTATACTTTTTCAAAATATATATATGTATACACACATGCCAATCAATACAAATGTCTGTCTCTAAACCAGATTTCTTTCATAAACTCCAGGCTTCTTGACATTTCCAGTTGAATATTTGGTATCTCAATATTGGATTTCTGAAATTATACTTCCTAAGCCTCCCATTCTGGTTTTCTTTTCCATTATAATAAGCACCACCTCATTTATCCAAGTCAAAATCTTTGAATTTTCTTTGTCTTAAAACAATCAATCCATCAGCAAATCCTGTAACTGCTATCTTCAACATTATGTACGGAAAACTAATAAGCAAGTTATTGCAAGGTTAAACGATGCACAATTACTATGCAAAAGTCTATTGCTTTTCTGTATACCAGCAATAAGCAAGTGAAATTTAAAATTTAAATAATATAAGATTGGCAATATCACTAAAATATGAAATACTTCACCACAAATCTAAGAAAATACATAATGTTGGTAAGTGGAAAACTAAAGAAATGTAATGAAAGAAAAAAAGAAGCTCTAAATAAATGAAAAGATATTTTGTGGTCACAAATTGGA
This sequence comes from Homo sapiens, assembly GCF_000001405.40. Taxonomy (NCBI): domain Eukaryota; kingdom Metazoa; phylum Chordata; class Mammalia; order Primates; family Hominidae; genus Homo; species Homo sapiens. Next base: position 162,502,532 of record NC_000004.12, on the reverse strand, counting down.
AGACTCAATATTGTTAAGATGTCAATTTGTCCCAATTGATCTATAGATTCAAGAAAATTCTAATCAAAATCCAAGGAAGGTATTTGGTAGATATTGACAAACTGATCCTAAATTTTTCATGGAAAGTCAAAAGCCTTAGAATAACCAACACAATCAAGAAGAAGAGCACAGTTGGAACATTTTTAATGCCTCTTTTTATAGAGAGACAGTAAACAAGGCAATGTGTTATTGACATAGAATAGACAGAGAGATCTGTGGAACAAACTAGATGGACCAGAAAGAGATTCACACACTGATAGTCATATGATTTCTGATGAAGGATTAGAGTTGAAGACATCAAAATGACCTCATATTTAGTTTAATATAGATACAATGGCCATATGTAGAAATATTTACTATATATATGTAGTCATAGGATAGTATATATCTGTATTTCCTGCTCTATTAATTGAGCATCTCTGGAAACAATGACACCCCAGTAGCAACGAGCACACCTAGTGTCCAGATCTTGGTTTTTCATACCATTCTCCAGTAATTTTACTCCTTCACTGGAACACCTTGTAGCATCAAAAGATAGGTGCCCAAAGCACACAAACACACATGCACATACACACACACATACACACACACACACACACACACACACACACAATGATGAGAGTATGTCAAAGTGACACAGGATGCAATTAAAAGAGCCTCTAATGGCCAAAGCTGGGACAATTTGAGCAAAAATATAAAAATAAAGTAGTACTGGATTATACATCTAAATATAAAATAAATATTCATGAGCCAATACTTACATAAATAAATGATTGAATAAATAAATAAATGAAGAGAATAGGTGATTCTCCCATGCAGAAGAATTTCAAATAAGTAGATACTCTGCCCTCAAGGAAGAGGAACATAACTCTCCACTCCTTAAATGTTCAGTCATAGTGTTTAAGTTTTCTACCCGCCTCCCACATCATGGTGTAAAATACACATCATTTATAAATGCAATACCTTGGGTAGACAATCTAAGCATTATTCTTTCAAATATAGCCAATAACTCTTCTTTGTTCCAAGGCCTGTGGATATGATGTGGCATTATGATGACAATTATGTTCGTGTTGTCGTTATTTAAGAATCACTCCTAGCAGATGATTGTCTAACCACATGGTCAAAATATAAAATCATACATATGCAAGAGATTGCAATCCACTCTCCCTTCCCTCATGCCTGGGCAAATATATAAATTAGATTTCCAATTTGAGAATTGCCTCTTATCCACAGTTCTTTTTACCGGATCGACAATGCTTTCCTCTTCTACTGGGGAGTGCAAGTGCTTATTTTCATGTGAAGAACCAACTATTTCTCACTTTCAGGCAGTGTGATTTAGATCGCTTTGGTTTCACCTCCTAATTCTAAACCTAGTTATGTGATCCAGTGGAGATACTTAGGATTGCAGGAGTTGGTTCACAGAGAGGCGATGATTCAAGCCAAACCCAGGAAAACCAGGCTGGGAAACTAAAAATATATTTACATTCATGGAGACAAAACAAAATGTAACACTGGGGAAAGTGTATCTTAAAAAAAGCCTATAGGGGAAAACGATGTCCAAAGTTGAAAAGGTGTAGATTTGAAACATATTTTAATAATTGGATAATTGGGTCTAGTTGTGCTTAAAGCCAGACAGCTTTGACTTTTGAGTTAGGAGAATCCAGTGATTTACCTTTTCACTGGATAAGCCATTGTGAACTGGATCTTGATTTCTTGCCACCAAATGGGCCCTGCCCATTGCACCTCTCCACGCTCGCCCTCCCAACCCCCTCGCACTCCGCCATCCCCTGGAGGGGTGGGAGAGAGGAAATTTTTTTTTCCTGTTTTTATTTTACTTTGAGAAATTTAAAGAAAGACAACATTAAGACTAATTTTAAAAAATGCATTAGGCACTTGATTTTTCATTGATTATGAAAGCATTCTTTTATTATTAGGCTGTGACTTAAAAATTATTTTTATAGCAATTTAAACAACAGAGGTTTTTTTGAAATATCTCCCAGTTATCTGCTAAGCTACCATATCAGAGGCTTTGTGCTTGGCCTCTTACCTAGATGATTTATTGACCCCAAGTACATAAACAGATAGTGCACCATGCAAAGACTACTGACATTGAGAAGGGGACTTAATATTCACTTTACAAAAGTTCATGCTTGAATATAAATAATTATACTTTAATTATTCCTGCAATTCCCTTAGCACTCAACTCCTGCACACCCTCCACGGAGAATTAGTTCAGTAAATATAATTTGAGTAAAAAAATGATGAAAAACATCTAGCTATAAACAGTTATCCTATAACTGGAAGGATTTTAATCCTATGATTTGAAGGATTAAAATTTGTGCCCCAAATTTATTATATTTACTCTTAGATTTATATTTCATCATGAACATACATAAACCCCTAATGTCTAGCATGGAACACAACATTAGTTCAAAACATCATCCCCATGTCTACAAATTAAGGTGACTATGATTGTAAACTTTGAAATATACTTATTCATGTTATAGCTTCAGTAAAATAATCATGCCCCACAAATTCACACTATGACTAGAATGGTTTGATTGATAAGTACTGATTGGTGCCTAGGTGCCTAGGATACTATACATATATTTTAACAATGAGGGTCACACATGTTTATTGTGTGTATAAACTGTACTGTTTTCTAAGATTTATGTCTGGAAGAATCTGTAACACAGGAGTAAACTGAGGTGTAAACAAGCGATATGTTGACAGTCCCATAGCCCTTGAGGTGGAGTTGGTATTTGACCCAGAGAGCCCAAGTATAATACAAACCCAAGATTTTATTATACTGCCTCTAGTGGATAAAGGGCTACTCAAAGCATTTCTAATGAATTCTAAATATAATTCTATCAAATTTGATAATACTGATTTTCACCAAGGACTCCAAGAGTCTCAAAATAAACAAATGTTTGTTGTCCTGTTGGCACTGGGACTAGGTTTAATGAGGCATCACCTTTTTAAAAATGATGCCAATATGTGGTTTTAAAGAACCAGTTCCCCTTATCTATCTGATTTACTTCACATCCTGCTAATACTAGGTTAAAATTGCTTAGCCACTTCTAATCATTTTCACAGTATATTAATTTATAAATTGCATATTCAAATTTCCATTTTCAAGGGAATTTAACATTACTGAGGTAGAAAAATGAGCATCCTTTAATATATAAAGTAATGTAGGAAAGGACATTGATTTGAATTTTATGAGTAAAATATATTGAATTTTATGAACAAATTATGGTATAGTCACAAACACGTATATAGCACATTTTATTCTTATTGACAGTCCACATTGAGGATGTAATTCAAACTAACCTTCTGTGAAGTTTGTTAATTATATAGTTTGATTTACCAGAAGCTTTATTTTTTGTTGTTCTTTCAGATTATTTTAATATGTATATATGCTGAATTTTTCACAAAAATTATAATCATAATGTATTACATTAGCTTTATTGTTCATTTAATATATTTTAACCATCTTTCATTGGCAATATATAGAATTTTTCATTCTTTTGAATGAAGAATAGCTGTATCATGTACTCATAGCTGTACCATGAGTTTATTTAACCAATTCTGAATTGATGAATTTTTGGGATTTTTCAGTACTTTACTATTATAAACAGCAGCGCAAAATACTTGCGTACATATTTGCTTACTTGCTTAGATCTTTTTATAGTATTAAAAAGTCAGGAGTGGAATTGACTTCCTAAAAGAAACTTTATTCTTAATCACCAAAAACTGAAAGTTATCACGATATTTTTTGCAATAACAAAATCATGGGTTTTAATAATTAGTAGAAAAGGTTTAAGGATATTGAGAACATCCTTAAAGGGAATCGTGGATTCTTGTTATTGACAATGAGAATCAATTTCTGCCATTCCTGTCCCCATCCCTTTTTAGGGATTGGAATGATAAAATTACATGGCCATGTCTGGCTTGCCATTATAGTCTGAATGAATTTAAATTCCATAGTTTAATATAGTCCTACAAGTTTTTGAAGGCAGAAAGTCACTGGAGGCCATTTTTTTCCCTGATTGAAGGGTGGACTTTCTCATGTGTGCATGTTTGCCGTGGCTGGATTCCAGCCCTCCATTTCTGTCACTAACTTCATGGTGTTGGGCAGCTGTGATATTGACAGCGGACAGGAGCACTTAAAGTTCCTGACCTTCTTTGTAGTAGCCACAGAGTCTGGCATCTAGGTCACAAATGTGAGTGTACAACTTATGGAAAGAAATAAAATGTGTTTTAAAAGTAATTGAAGGCAGCACAAATAGGAAGATAAAATTCATAAGCTCTGTGTGTGTGTGTGTGTGTGTGTGTGTGTGTGTGTGTGTGTGTATACATATATGTATACATATGTCTTTGTGTTCATGACTACAATGATAATAAGTGGAAGAAATAAACTTTTAGGTGGAGAAAAGTTGAAAATGATAATTTAGATAACTAAGAATGGGAAACTACAATCCAAACGTATGGTTAAGAAGGTGATTAAATAGTCAACAAAATAACCACTGGTGGCTATATTATTCACCCATTAGAATTAGAAATAGCAAGACTTTTACATTTTAATAATAAGCTGAATGTTTCTGAGGGCTTATATAATATAAATTAGTTTTCTACGTTGGGACCGTTCCGTAATTGTGTACTTATTCTATAACTGTGTTTTTGCTTTTTATTGCGCAATGGCTGTATGCCTGTGCTCTTATCCTTTGCTGCCATCATGTGGTTACATGAAGAAATACCAGAAACAGTTTTATCCCACACAATACCAGAAACAGTTTTATCCCACACAATACCAGAAACAGCTTCACCCCACACAATTTTTGGGGGGTTAATCATGAAGGAAAATTTAGAAAAGCAGATATTTTAAAGTTAAATATTAGATTACAATCCTAAAAAATACATTTGAATACAAATAACTCGTCTCAAATATATATTCTTGTACTAAAACACACACACGAACATATATATATATGGAGAGAGGGCATGCTATCTTGTCATTTGTTAATAAATTCAGTTTCTCTAGGCTTTTTGTAAATGATTGAGAGCAGAAAAGTGAAAAGAACATACTTTTTAAATAAAGAGATCATTGACACTCCTTTTCTTATTCACAAGTGTGAGCTATAGCTTTAACCAAGAAGATGCTCCCTCTTAGTTCTCATAGTCTTCCAGTGATAAATGCATGAGATATTTTACCAAAATGGATAATTGAAAGAGAGAATCAGCCAACAAAAATAAAAGTGCAGTAAAGAAACAAAAAGTGATGAATGAAATGAAATCCAAATCAAGCATAAATTGACTTATAGAAGAAATAACTTAACTTGGAAACGTTCACATTGTCTCAATGACAAGACTTCAGATATACAACCAGAGGAACTTAGTGAAAGCAAACCTGATGTACATTTTCCCAATGTTGATTAAAATAGCCTTGTACATTTTAAACTTGCATGACTACTTTTATGGTTCTGCACTACCGTGCAATGTGAACACTGCCTTTATACAAAAATACTGAAGTGGTCAACATATTTTTATTAAATATTCCAACCTAATTTCTAAATGAATAATACTGATTGCAAAAACTCTTTACATGACCACCCATGATACTAAGCCAAGTGGGCATAACAGTATCGAGAAGATGTGAAATGAATATGTACTTCCTGCTCATTATGAAATATAAGCACACCCATTTATTACCCTTTCCAGAATTTTATCAAATTTTCAATTAGAAAAACAGCTACTGGTCAGAAAGATCAAGATAAGGGCTCACCAATGTAAAGGTACTATGGAGGAACTTGGGTCATGAGCAGTAGATGGAAGTTTTGTGAAGAGAAGAAACAATGCTGAGAGTGCACAACCTTCTCACGTGGGAAGAGGCTGTAGGTCGTTGGGGCGAGGAGGGCAGCCTCTCTGGGGGTGAGGAGGTCAGCCTCTCTGAGGACACAAGAGACACTGTAGTCACAGAGCTATGCAGAGCGAGGCAAGACAGAGGACAATTAGTTAAGGAGTCACTGATAGGAAAACCAGCCCGGAACTCCTCCCCAGCTCTAAAAATGCAGGGCAACATGTAGTCAAGCATTTTATCTGCATGTTCTATTTTTAAAATGAAACCCCTTTGGGGGCAGAACTATAAATTGTAGTGCAGGTTTTGATGACCCAAAATAAAGCCCCCTGTATTTTGCATTACAGAGCATGCATAGTGACGACCTTCTAATTTCTTGTCTGTGCACCCAAATTAAGGCCCATCACTTGATGTATCCTATTTGCCTGTGTGGCGATCTTATTTTGAGAACATGTAAGAAAATGGAAGATTAATTCAGAAAGGTTAATATTTTCTTACTAAAATCCCAGAAAATGGCAAACGACAAAATGGAGTAAAAAAAAAAAAAAAAGAAATAATTATTTCAAGTTTCTTAGAGCTGAGGAAAAAATATAAATTGTCATATTGAATGGTTCAACAAGTAAAAAACAAGATTAACTCCCTACTTTTAGCAGAATTAGTTGCTATTTAGTTAACCAGTGTTATTAATACTCTTTGTTGTCTTATTAATGAAGCCCTGTTGATTTTAGATGAATTAAACTATGTTAACTTACTTTAAAATAATATGCTTATATTATGGTTTTTAAACATTAAAATAATGAATACTGTATATATGTGAGGTATGTAACATGATATGTTGATATACATATACATAGTGAAATGATTACTGGCCAGGCATGGTGGCTCATGTCTATAATCCCAGCACTCTGAGAGGCTGAGGCAAGAGGATCATTTGAGGCCAGGAGTTTGAGACCAGCCTGGGCAAGATGGTGAAACCCCATTTCTATAAAAAATGTAAAAATCAGCCAGGTGTAGTCGCTCACACCTGTAGTCCCAGCTAGTCAGGAAGCTGAGGTGGGAGGATCGCTTGAGCCCTGGAATTCTAGGTGGCAGTGAGCTGAGATCACACCATGGCACTCCAGCCTGGGTAACAAAACATCATCTCTAAAAAAAAGAAAGACAATTTGAATGGAGATTTTTCTTATTAAAAATTATTTTATAAAGACATGATTACTACAGTCAAGCACATTAACATATCCATCTCCTCACACAGTTAACGTGTATGTGTGTGTGTGTGTGTGTGTGTGTGTGTGTGCGCGCGTGTGTGTGTGTGGTGGGAGCAACTAAAATCTACTCCTTAGCAAATTTCAATATGCAATACAGTATTATTAATTGCAGTCATCACACTGCACCTTACATATCTAGACTTATTTGTCCTACATAACTGCAACCTTGTACCCTTGACAAACACTGCCCCATTTCCCTTTCCTCCCGTCCCCTGCTAACCACCTTTTTACTTTGCTTCCGTGAGTCCAACTTTTATGGAGTCCACATGCAAATGAGATCAGGAAGTAGTTTTCCTTCCATTTCTGGCTTATTTCATCTAGCACAATGTCTTCCTGGATCATCCAGGTTGTCATAAATGGCAGGATCTCCTTCTTTGTAAAGGCTAAATAATATTCTATTATATGTATATATACACATATACAATACACACATATTTTATATATAATATATATGCTATATAGTATGTAATATAGAATGACAATATATGTAATATACAATATATGTATATTATATATGTATTATTTCTTTATACATTTATATATATGTATTAGTCTGTTCTCATGCTGCTAATATATACATACACAAGACTGGGTCATTTATAAAGGAAAGAGGTTTAATTGACTCACAGTTCCACATGGCTGGGGAGGCCTCACAATGATGGCTGAAGGTGAATGAGGAGCATCTTTTTTTTTTTTTTTTTTGAGATGGAGTCTCGCTCTGTCACCAGCGCTGGGGTGCAGTGGTGCGATCTCTGCTCACTGCAAGCTCTGCCTCCCAGGTTCATGCCATTCTCCTGCCTCAGCCTCCCAAGTAGCTGGGACTAAAGGTGCCTGCCACCACGTCCGGATAATTTTTTTTTTTTTTGGATTTTTAGGAGAGCTGGGGTTGCACCATGTTAGCCAGGATGCTATCAATCTCCTGGCCTCGTGATCTGCCCACCTCGGCCTCCCAAAGTGCTGGGATTACAGATGTGAGCCACCGTGCCCGGCCAAGCATCTTACATGGAAACAGACAAGAGGGTATGTGCAAGGCAACTGTCCCTTACAACACCACCATATCTCATGAGACTTATTCACTACCATAAGAACAGCACTGAAAGACCCACCCCCATGATTCAATTACCTCCTACCAGGTCCCTCTCACGATATGTAGGTATTATGGGAGCTACAATTCAACATGAGATTTGGGTGAGAACACAACCAAATCATATCATTCAACTGCGGCCCCTCCCAAATTTTATGTCCTCACATTTCAGAAACACAATAATGCCTTCCCAACAGTCCCCCAAAGTCTTAATTCATTCCAAATTTACTCAGAAGTCCAAGTCCAAAGTTTCATCTGAGACAAAGCAAGTTTCTTCCACCTATGAGCCTGTAAAAAACAAAACAAAACAAAACAAAAAACCAGTAACTTACTTCCCAGATACAGTGGGAGTACAGACATTGGGTAAATACAGCCATTCCGTATGGGAGAAATTGGCCAAAACAAAGGGGCTACAGGGCCCATGCAACTTCAAAATCCATTAAGGCAGTCATTAAACCTTAAAGTTCCAACGTGATTTCCTTTGACTCCATTTCTCACATCCAGGTCACGCTGATGGAAGAGATAGACTCCCATGGCCTTGAGAAGCTCCACCCCTGTGGCTTTGCAGGGTATCACTCCCCTCCTGGCTGCTTTCATGGGCTAGTGTTGAGTGTCTGTGGCTTTTCCAGGCAGATGGTTCAAGCTGTCAATGGATCTACCATTCTGGAGTCTAGAGGTTGGTGACCTCCTCTCACAGCTCTGCTAGGCAGTGCCCCAGTTGGGAATCTGTTTGGGGGCTTCCATCCACATTTCCCTTCTATACTGCCCTAGCAGAGGTTCTCCATGAAAGCCCCACCCCTGCAGCAAACGTCTGCCTGGACATCCAAGTGTTTCCATATATACTCTGAAATCTGGGTGGAGGTTCCCAAACCTCCATTCTTGACTTCTGTGCACCCAAAGGCCCAACACCACACATAACCCACCAAGGCTTGGGGCTTGCACCCTCTGAGTCAATAGCCTGAGCTGTATGTTGGCCCCTTTTATTCATGGCTGGGAGCTGAAGCAGGCTGGGATGCAGGGCACCGTGTTTGGAGGCTGCATAAAGCAGGGGGGCCCTGGGCTGAGCCCATGAAACCATTTCTCCCTCTTAGGCCTTCAGGCCTGTGATGAAAGGGGCTGCCACAAAGGTCTCTGACACAACCTGGAGATGTTTTCCCTGTTACCTTGGTGATTAGCATTTGACTGCTCGTTACTTATGCAAATTTTGGCAACATGCTTGAATTTCTTCCTAAAAAATGTTTTTTTTTCTTTTTTACTGCATTGTCAGGCTGCAAATTTTCCAAACTTTTATGATCTATCACCTCTCAAATGCTTTGCCACTTAGAAATTTATTCCACCAGGTACCCCAAATCATCTCTCTCAAGTTCAAAGTTCCACAGATCTCTAGGCCAGGAGCAAAATTCTGCCAGCATCTTTACATAGCAAGAGTGACCTTTACTTTAGTTCCCAACAAGTTCCTCAACCCCATCTGAGACCACCTCAGGTTGAATTTTATTGTCCATATCACTATCAGCATTTTGGTCAAAGACATTCAACAAGTCTCTAGGAAGCTCCAAACATTCCCACATCTGTCTTTTGAGATCTCCAAGTCTCTAGGAAGTTCCAAACTTCTCCACATTATCCTATCTTGTTCTGAGCCCTCCAAACAGTTTTAACCTCTGTCTGTTACCCAGTTCCAAAGTCGCTCAGACATTCTCAGGTATCTTTACAGCAGCACCCTACTCCTGTTACCAATTAACTGTATTAGTTGGTTCTCATGCTGCTAATAAAGATATACATGAGACTGGGTAATTTATAAGGAAAGAGGTTTAATCGACTCATGGTTCCACGTGGCTAGGGAGGCCTTATAATCATGGCTAAAGGTGAATGAGGAGCATCTTACCTGGCAGCGGGCAACAGGGCATGTGCAGGGGAAGGCCCCTTTATAAAACCATCAGATCTCATGAGACTTATTCACTATCATGAGAACAGCATGGGAAAGACCTGCCCCCATGATTCAATTACCTCCCACTGGGTCCTTCTCATGACATGTGGGAATTATGGAAGCTACAATTTAAGATGAGATTTTGGTGGAGAGACAGCCAAATTATATTAATATGATTTCTTTATATGTATTTTATATATGATTTCCTTATCTGTTAATCCATTCATAGGCACTTGGATTGTTTCCATATCTTTACTATTGTGACCAAAGCTGCAATGAACATCGCAGTGCAGATATCTCTTCAAGGTATTAATTTTCTTTCCTTTGGATACATATCCAGAAATGAGAATGCTGGATCATATGGTAATTCTATTTTTAATTTTTTGAGGAACCACCATAACATTATTTCATATAATAGCTTTACCAATTTACATTCACACCAACAATGTACAATGAATTGTTTTTCTCTAATCCTCATCAGTGATTGTTACTTTCTTGATAATCATCTTTTTGATGATAGCCATTCTAACAAGTGTGAGGTGATACCTCATTGTGGTTTTAATTTGCATTTTTCTAATGATTAGTGATGTTGAACACCATTTCATATACTCATTGGCCATTTGTCTGTTTTCATTGTAAAAATGCTTATTCATTTGATCTATTCTTTAATTAGGGTTTTGTTTGTATATTTGTTTTCTTGCTGTTGAGTTGTGTGAGTTCCCTATACATTTTAAATGTCAGCCCCTTAATAGACATACAGTTTGCAAATATTTTCTCCCAGTCTATAGGTAACCTTTTCATTTTGTTGATTGGTTCCTTATGTATTAATCAGTTTTCATGCTGCTAATAAAGACATATCCAAGACTGGGTGATTTACAAAGGAAAGAGGTTTAATTGACTCATAGTTCTGCATGGCTGGGGAGGCCTCAGGAAACTTACAATCATGGAGGAAGGGGAAGCAACCACATCCTTCTTTACATGGCAGCAGCAAGGAGAAGTGCCAAGTAAAAGGGGTAAAAACCCCTTATAAAACAATTAGATCTCCTGAGAACCTACTCACTATCATGAGAACAGCATGAGGGTAACCACTCCCATGATTACATTACCTCCCACCAGGTCTCTACCATGACATGTGGGGATTATGGGACCTACAATTCAAGATGAGATTTGGGAGGGGACACAGCCAAACCATATTATTCCACACTTGACCCCTGTCAAATCTCATGTCCTTATGTTGCAAAACATAATCATCCCTTTCCAACAGTTGCCCAAAATCTCAACTTATTCCAGCACTAACCCAAAAGTCCAAGTCCAAGTTTTCATCTCAGACAATTCAAGCCCCTTCTGCCTATGAGCCTGCGAAATCAAAAGCAAGTTAGTTACTTCCTAGATACAACAGGGGTACACGAATTGGGCAAATACATCCACTCCAAATGGGAGAAATTGGCCAAAACAAAGGGGCTACAGGGAGCATGCAACTTCAAAATCCACTAAGGCAGTCATTAAACCTTAAAGTTCCCACATGATCTTATTTGTCTTCATGTCTCACATCCAGATCACGCTGATGCAAGAGGTGGATTCCCACAGCCTTGAGCAGCTCCACCCTTTTGGCTTTGCAGGCTACAGCCACTCTCCTGGCTGCTTTCAAGGGCTGGAGTTGAGTGTCTGTGACTTTTCCAGGCACATGGTGCAAGCTGTTGGTAGATCTACCATTCTGGGGTCTGGATAATGGTGGCCCTCTTCTCACAGCTCCATTAGGCAGTGCCCTAGTAGGGACTCTATTTGGGGGCTCCAACCCCACATTTTCCTTCTACACTGCCGTAGCAGAGATTCTCCATGAATTCCAGCCCCTGCAGCAAACTTCTGCCTGGACATCCAGGTGTTTCCATACATCTTCTGAAATCTAGGTAGAGGTTCCCAAACCTTCATTCTTGACTTCTGTGCACTCACAGACCCAACACCATGTGTAAGCTGCCAAGGCTCAGGGATTGCACCCTCTGAATCAATACCCTGAGCTGTATGCTGACCCTTTTTAGTCATGGATGGCAGCTGAAGCAGCTGGAATGCAGGGCACCATGTCCCAAGGTCGCAAAGAGCAGGGGGGCCTTGGGCTGGGCCCATGAAACCATTATTCCCTCCTAGGCCTCCAGGCCTGTGATGGGAGTGGCTGCCATGAAGGTCTCTGACATACCCTGGAGATATTTTCCCCATTGTCTTGGTGATTAGCATTTGACTCCTTGTTATATAGGCCAATTTTTGCAGCAGGGTGAAATTTCTTCCCAGAAAATGGGTCTTTCTTTTCTATTGTATCATCAGGCTGCAAATTTTTCAAACTTTTATGCCCTGTTTCCTCTTGAAAGTTTTGCTGCTTAGAAATTTCTACCACTAGGTACCATAAATCATCTCTCTCAAAATTAAAGTTCCACAGATCTCTAGGGCAGGGACGAAAAGCTAATAGTCTCTCTGCTAAAGACTTATAGCTAGAGTGACCTTTACTCCAGTTCCCAACAAGTTCCTCAGCCCCATCTGAGACTACCTCAGCCTGGACCTTATTGTCCATATCACTATCAGCATTTTGGTCAAAGCCACTCAACAAATCTCTAGGAAGTTCCAGTCTTTCTTCCATCTTCCTGTCTTCTGAGCCCTCTAACTGTCTAGGAAATTCCATACTTTTGCACATTTTCCTATCTTCTTCTGAGCCCTCCAAACTGTTCCAGCCTCTGCCTGTTACCCAGTTCCAAAGTTGCTTCCACACTTTTGGGTATTTTTATAGCAGCACCCCACTCTCTGCAGTACCAATTTACTGTATTAGTTCATTCTCATGCTGCTAATAAAGACATGCATGAGACTGGGTAATTTATAAAGGAAAGAGGTTTAATAGACTCACAGTTCCACCTGGCTGGTGGGGCCTCAGGAAACTTACAATTATGGCAGAAGGGGAAACAAACATATCTTTCTTCACGTGGTGGCATCAAGGAGAAGTGCCAAGCAAAAGGGGGAAAGCCCCTTATAAAACCATCAAATCTCCAGAGAACTCACTATTACAAGACCAGCACGAGGGTAACAGACCCCATGATTAATTTACTTCCCATTGGGTCCCTCCCATGACACGTGGGGATTATGGGAACTATAATTCAAGAAGAGATTTTGGTGGGGACATAGCCAAACCAAATCACCTTCACTATATAAAAGCTTTTTAGTTTGATGTACTTCTCCTTGTTTATTTATTTATTTTTAGTTGCCTGTGCTTTTGGTGTCATACGCAATTATTACTGTGAAGAACAAGTCAAGAAGATTTCCTCTGTGTTTTCCTCTAGAAGTTTTGTAGTTCCAGATCTCCAATTTAAGTCTTTCATTCATTTTGAGTTGACTTTTATGAATAATGCAAAGTAATTGTCCTAAACACCACACACACACAAAAACACAAATTTTAAAATTAATAAATGGATTCTGTAAAGTTTCAGAATACTAAATCAACATAATAAATTAGTAACATTTCTATACACTAACAATGAATTAGCTGAAAAGAAAATCAGGAAAATTATCACATTTAGAACAGCATCCAAATCAATAAAATATTTGAAAATAAATTTTACCATGGAGTTGAAAGATCTGCACACTAAAAACTATGAAACACTGATGAAAGAAATTGAGGAAGACACAAGTAAGTGGAAAAATACCTCAAGTTTACAGATTGGAAGAATTAATTTTGCTAAAATGTCCATACAACCCAAAGTGCCATATATATTTAATGTAATTCCTATCAAAAATTTAAAGTCATTTTTTACAGAAATAGTAAAAAGCATATAAAATTCATATGGTACTACAAAAGAAAGTCCTCTTTTGCCTGTAATGTTCCTCCTGTACCCTCAACTAACAAAATAAAACATCAGGCTCACTGTAGAGAGGAAATACTTAAGGTCCATTATCACAGAGCAGATAAGGAAGGGATAATTTAGCTGACAGACAATAGAGGCTTTAAGTTAATATAAAACATACTATATTAGAAACTCATTTATTATGAAATTGGCTAATCACCAAAGGTTAAACATTTTCAAATAGGTAAAAAATGAATAAGTTTCCAAAAACTTTAAAAATAACAAAACTATGCATGATTGTTGTGGTTATCATAATGGAAACATACAGAAAAAAATTCTACCACTAAAAAGGGTACCACAAGTTTTTGGATTTATGATCAATGTATACAGAATTATTGTATTTATTTATACCAGCAAAGAAGAGCATGTGTAAATTTTACGAAAATAGAATCTTAAAAGCAACCAAAAACTAGACATCTAAACATCACTCTAACAAATTGTGAAAACTTTTTATAATTTTTTTAGAAAAACTTTTTATAATTTTTTTAAGAAAAATTATAAAATTTTAATGAATGTTAGGAAAAGAAATATAATTAAATGGAAAGGCATAATTATAATTCAAAAACTCACTAACACTGATATATCAGTACTCTCTTTAATATATTTCACAATTTAAATTAATTTCTAATCAATATTTCTAAAGATTTTCATAGACCTAGATTAAAAATATGTATAAAAAAACTAATTGCCTAGAATAGTAGAGATAATTATAGAGGACAAAGTAAGAACTTGTTGAATCAAATATCAAGACATATGAAAATGACAGTAATTTAAACAGTGTGGTGAATGCACAAGGAGTTATTTGTACAGGAATAAAAAATAGATCAATGAAACACTGCAAATAACTCAGATACAGAATACTTCCATAAATTTGCAACTTGATACTTGGCATGTGTAGCATTACTTATCGATGGGAAAAGTAAATGTTATTTCTGCTTTAATGAATGATCTGCATGGGAAAAAAGATGAAATTGTATTAGGTATTTATTTACTCAAAAAAATGATACCTGTGGATAGATTAAAGAAATATATGTGAAAATCTAGACTACAAAGATATTGGAAAAAATACTGAAGAATACTTTTATGATTGGACAGGAATATTTTTCTTTATAAAATACAAACACAGACATTCAAAAAATATTTGATGTGCTTTATGGTGTTAATACAATAATAATACAGTAAAGCATATCAAATAAATGCAAACATTTTGATGGACAATATGAGTATTTGTCCATGAAAATGTTTAAAACAATTCCTTTGTTTTTTTTTTTTTCTCGGTCCTGCTGCATGGTCCATGAGTGATACGTCATGTGTGGCATTGGAACAGAGTGCACCATCCCTTTGTGATCTTGCTTCCCTGGCCTCATTACAATGATCATCTTGCTGTGACTGTGCATTCCACACCTCTCACCGCATAGCTCTGATCCTCTGCTCACTCTTCTCTTTGTTCACCTAGATGCTAGAGAGTGATTCCAGCTTGCAAGGTGACTGTGGAACAGCTCTGATGCAGCCTCAGGAAATTACCCTTCTTGTGGGCTGCAACTACATCCCCAACAAGATCTGGCCCCGATCCTGGTGAAGGTCTACTTTTCTCTGTTTGTCCTTCTATGGGTGCTCTCCATTACCCCAGGGTACTTTATACCACATCTGCCTATCTTTTCATTTACCCTCCTATTCTATGCTTTATAATAATTATTATTTATTTTTGAGACTTAGTCTCACTGTGTTGCCCAGGCTGGAGTGCAATGGCATGATCTCAGCTCAGTGCAACCTCCGCCTCCTGAGTTCAAGTTATTCTCCAGCCTCAGCTTCCCAAGTAGCTAGGATTACAGGTGCCTGCCACCATGCCCGGCTAATTTTTGTATTTTTAGTAGAAACAGGGTTTCACCATGTTGGCCAGGCTAGTCTCAAACTCCTGACCTCAAGTGATTTGCCTGCCTCAGCCTCCCAAAGTGCTGAGATTACAGGCATGAGCCACTGTGCTCAGCTATATAATTATTTACATTAAACTTCCCCTGTGTAAATATTGTGTGATTCTGTCTCCTGATTGAGTCTAGACTGATAAATTCCTATTTTTTTTTTTTTTTTAGAGAACTTGGTTTACAAAATTTTAGTCAATAAGGTGAAACAAAGCAACCTTAAATAATCAGTCTGCCAACAAGTATTAAGTAGATGCTGTTTCTGTAATTGTAAGTAGATTCCCCCAAAGAATGAGCCATCTTAAATCCCAAGTTACTCCTATAAATTGATAGGAAGTTACCCTAACATTACCAATAATGATAATCTTGGTAAATGATACATAAATGAAGACAGATGTGATCACCACTGTCATGGCAAGGCCCAGAGACAGCACACCGGCAACTGCACTAAAGATAGTAACACCTCCTGCCTACTTTCTGTGGTCTCTCTCCTGTATAGAAATAAAGCTTTTCTGCCGGGCGCGGTGGCTCAGGCCTGTAATCCCAGCACTTTGGGAGGCCGAGGTGGGCGGATCACGAGATCGGGAGTTAGAGACCAGCCTGGACAATATGGTGAAATCCCGTCTCTACTAAAGATACAAAAATTAGCCCAACATGGTGGCGCATGCCTGTAGTCCCAGGTACTTGGGAAATTGAGGCAGAAGAATCGCTTGACCCCAGGAGGCAGAGGTTGCAGTGAGCCGAAATCGCACCACTGCACTCGAGCCTGGTGACAAAGCAAGACTCCGTCTAAAAAAATAAAAAAATAAATAAAGCTTTTCAATGACTCAATGATGACTCAGACCCATGGCTAATTATTTTATGTGACTAGCAGGACTATTCTAAGTGAATGACTTTCCTCTACCCTGAGTAGATAATGTCTCATTACTAAGGGTCTGAAAGACTATCACCCTGTCTAAACTATGGGTATCACTGAGTGAAACAAACTTCTAAGGATAATGATTCTATAAGTGTTGGAGGATTTGAAGTGGTCATCTATAACTTGTCCATCCATTACTTCGGCTCACATAGTAAATGATACAGCCCAAGTTCTAGAAACAGCATAAACCAATTTAAGCCTCTTAAGTAGTTATAAACAGTGGATTAGTCTTGGGTTTTTTTTTTTTTTCCTCTGAAAGAGAGTCTGTGCCATTGCTGATAATTCATGTGAACAGGAAATATGAAAATAATCTATATTTAAGCTAACAGAAAAAGAAAACCTGGCTAGATAAGACAGCACATCTTGGGGACTTACTTTCTCTGTTAGGCAAGGAAAGTCTTAGGTCATTGTTCCAAAATGTCTTGTCTTCTCTCCTTATAATGCTTGTAGTTAGGCTTGTTTTCCTTAGAATTATTTCATACTTGTCCAAAGTCGTAAATGTTTTCTAGATAGACATTGTCTTAACAAATGACCCAAAAACTGATTCAAAGGCAAAACCATGATGCAATCACACTGATTCATACTCAACTTGAAAATTAGATATCAGTAAATGAAATGTCGTTTCAAGAATATGGGCAGTCCCCGATAGTCTCTCCTGCAGCTTTGGCTACATGAAAACCAAAGGGGATACTGGGAATAATAATAATTATTATTAATAATAAAACAGGCTCTTAAAAAAGGCTATGGCACATTTATCAAGTAATCACTTGAATTGAATTTTAACCCATCCAATTGATTGATGATGACTTTTTTTTCTTTTTTTGCAGGAAAACCAATCATTAACAGCTTTCATTTCAGAAAGCCAAGCAATTTATATGGACTCACTCCCATAAACACAATTCTGAGTGTCAACCAATTGAGAACAATTTTGTTGGAGTAATCACATTTTGGCAGCGAATGTCAACCTACTTAAACTTCTGAAAGGTCACCAATCCCTGACTTTTAAGCTTCCAAAAATTCTGGTATAAATCCAGCAGCTTGCTCTTTTTAGAGAGGCTATACCTGACCAGCATATCTCTATTCACTATAGTAAGCAATAAGCACAACATGTTTTTTCTTTCAAATATTGAGTGGTGATTTCTTCATAATTTGACAGTATCATTTATCCCATGGAAGAACAAGTAGTTATATATCTTATTCTGGAATTCCTTTTGAGCATTAGAGCAATCTTCCCCAAAAACTGCGAACTTAAAAAAAATAATAATATTCTCTATTCAACAGTAGGTGGAAAATCAAACTCAGAAACATTTTAGCAGAATTTATTTTGCTGGGTTTTTTTCCTCCTAAACTTAGCATTGTTATCTGGATACAATCAAGATACTTTATTTCACAGCCAACGTCATGTAACAACTTTTTGTAACATTACTCAGCTCGTAGCTTTTCTCTTTCGGAAAAAGTGTTTGGAAAGCAGAATTAAAAACGAACTTGAGGGCCAGGCGCAGTGGCTCACGCCTGTAATCCCAACATTTTGGGAGTCTGAGGCGGGTGGATCACGAGGTCAGGAGACCGAGACCATCCTGGCTAATACAGTGAGACCCCGTCTCTACTAAAAATACAAAAAATTAGCCATGCATGGTGGCACGTGCCAAGTCCCAGCTACCGGGGAGGCTGAGGCAGGAGAATCGCTTGAACCTGGGAGGCAGAGGTTGCAGTGAGCCGAGATTGTGCCACTGCACTCCAGCCTGAGCAACAGAGTGAGACTCCATCTCAAAAAATAAAAAAATAAAATAAAAATTAAAAGTCAACATTTAAAAGACTTGGATTTTTCTTAGTTTTTTTTTTTTTTTTTTTTTTTTTGGCTTAATATAAGTCTTCCTCTCTCTCTCTCTTTTTCTTTCTTTTTTTTTGAGAGGCAGCCTTGGTCTGTCGCCCAGGCTGGAGTGCAGTGGCACCATCTCGGCTCACTGCAACCTCTGCCTTCTGGGTTTCAGAGATTCTAGGGCCTCAACCTCCCAAGTAGCTGGGATTACAAGTGTGCGCCACCATGCCCAACTAATTTTTGTATTTTTAGTAGAGATGGGTTTCACCATGTTGGCCAGCCTGGTCTCAAACTCCCAACTTCAAGAGATCTGCCGGCCTTGGCCTCCGAAAGTGCTAGGATTACAAGCGTAAGCCACCAGGCCCAGCCTACATTTTCTTTTATCTGTGTGTAAATATGTTGATGGTATAGTGTGCATAAGGGAAAATAAGCTTATTAAAAACTCAAGCTTCAGGGATAACTGGCTAGGCCTTACTTTTAAAGAAATAGTTGCACCTTTAACATTTTCTGCTATGATAGAAAAATATTATCCAATTAAAATGTAAGCAACCTAAACATCATTGATTACTCTAAAAGAATTATAGAATAGTAATATCTTGCCAATATCGATATTTGTGGTGCTACTCTGTTCTCATTGCATTAGCTATTAGACAATGTCTTATAGAGTTCATGGCCATTTTCTGCTTATGAATGAGAATAAATACTTGTGAAAACATAACGTGTAAGACATCAGGTATACATATATTAAAATATGTCAGTTGGCGAAAAGTAATAATTGTCTTACCAAGGAAAATTGCCTTTAGATTTGACTGTGTTCAGCTCTGGTACAAAACATAACAAACATTATGTTTCTACCTTAATTAAAAAGTAAATGTGGTTATTTTAAAAACTGTTTAAAATTAAAGCCTATTTTATAAGATGTTATATGAGACACTGCATTATTCCTTATCAAATTTATAAGGCTGTATATTCAAAATCTTGTTTTTTTTTACAAAAAAATATATCTATATAAACATATTCAGATTTATTCAGTAAAACTATCCTGCTGTGTTTTTGGTATACATTAGGAGTTTAAGTTATACATAAGTGAGACCTCTTTGAGAGTGAGTGAGTTGTAAGCTGGGTTTTAAAGCCATTTTCAGGGATAAGGAAAAGAGACAGTTTGCCAAATATAGCAATGGCAATGCAGGTTGCTCAGTTAAATTTGAATTTCAGGCAAAAAAAGTAAATGTTAAGAATCAGTTTATCCAAAATATTTTATTGGTTTTTATTATTTATTTTTATATATTTATTTATTTATTTTTGAGACAGAATCTCGCTCTGTTGCCTGGAGTGCAGTGGCGCAATCTGGAGTGCAGTGGTGCGATCTGGGCTCACTGCAAGCTCCGCCTCCCAGGTTCACGCCATGCTCCTGCCTCAGCCTCCCCAGTAGCTGGGACTACTGGTGCCCACCACCACGCCCGGCTAATTTTTTTTTTTTTTTTTTTTAGTAGAGACGGGGTTTCACCGTGTTAGCCAGTATGGTCTCGATCTCCTGACCTCATGATCCGCCTGCCTCGGCCTACCAAAGTGCTGGGATTACAGGAGTGAGCCCTTTTACTGGTATTTTTATACTGAAAATATTTATTATTTGTCTGAATTGAACTGGCCATCCTGTATTTTATAGGAGAATCTTAGCAAAGGGGGATATTATGATACCTCAGACAGAGGAAGCAACACATGACAAGGCCTGAAGATAAGAGAGATTGGGGTGCATTTGAGAAACAAAAATAAATGTATCGTTCTCAAACACTGGTTGCATGGACAGAAATTGGATTTGGAATTAGAGTAGAGAATGTCTGCCTTTTTCAAGAAGAGTGCAATAAACTAAGCAATGTACAGATGTCTCAGGCATATATATATGCACAATTTTTTGAAGTATATGTACCTATTATATCCATAGAGTTCCAGTGGTAAATATTAACATTTTAATCCAATTTTATTTTATTTTTCAGATGGCAATCCAGTAGCCTTCTTATTGAATTGTACATCTTTTCCACTCTGATGTGTGATACCACTTTTATCTTATATTAGATTCTTATATTTGAAATTATGAAATTTGGAACTTATGAAATTCCCCTTCCCTTTTTTTTC
The DNA here is from genome assembly GCF_000001405.40 of Homo sapiens. Taxonomy (NCBI): domain Eukaryota; kingdom Metazoa; phylum Chordata; class Mammalia; order Primates; family Hominidae; genus Homo; species Homo sapiens. The sequence goes on along the minus strand of NC_000004.12, from coordinate 162,481,695 downwards.
TAAAATTAGAAAATTTAAATTTTTTTCTAAAATCTTTTTCTAAAATTTATTCATATATTTTTAAGTTGACAAATATTGTGTGTGTGTGTGTGTGTGTATACACATATAGAGAGAGTGCATATGATGTTTTGAAAATGTACACATTTTGGAATGACTAAATTGAGCTAATTAACGTATAGATTGCCACACATTCTTATTAACCTTTGTAAGAACACTTAAATTACACTCCTTAGCAATTTCCAATAATACAATTCATTATTATTAACCATGGTCACCTTATTGTACAATAGATCTCTTGAACTGACTCCTTCTAAGTACCTGAAATTTTGTACCTTTTGACTATCACCTCCCCATTGCCAATATACCGCAGCTTCTGTGACCACTATTCCACTGTCTGCTTCTATGAGTTTGATTGTTTAGATTCCACATACAAGGGAGATCATAAAGTGTTTATTTTTCTGTGCCTGGCTTATTTCACTTAGCATAATGTCCACCAGGTATGTCCATGTCATTGCAGATGACAGGATTTTCTTTTTTTTATGGGTGAACAGTGTTTAATTGTGTGTATGTACTTTGTCTTTATGCATTTATGTGTTGATGGACACTTATGTTGATTCAATATCTTGACTACTGTAAGTAATGCTGAAATGAACATGGGAATACAGATATATTTTTGAGGTACTGATTTCATTTCCTTTGGATATAAAACTGGTAGTGGATTTGCCACCTCACATGGTAGTTCTACGTTTAGTTTTTTTAGGAAATTTCATACAGTTTTTCATAATGGTTGTCCTAATTTTCATTCCCATTGACAGTGTACAAGGGTTCCTTCTTCTCCACATTCTCACCAACATTTGTTATCAATTGTCTTTTTGGTAATAGCTATTCTAACAGGAGTAAGGTCATATATCCTGATTTTAATTTGCATTTTCCTGATGACTAATGATGTTGAGCAAATTTTTCTATGCCTGTTGGTCATTTGTATTTCTTCTTTGGGAAAATGTCTTTTCTTCTACTTTGATGAATCATTGTTATTTGTTTTCTTATTATTGAGCTGTTTGAGTTCCTTACATTATTTGGATATTAACCCCTTATTAGATGTACGGTTTGCAAACAGTTTTTGCCATTCCATAGTTTGTGTCTTTACTCTTTTGATTGTTCCTTTGCTGCAAAAAAGCTTTTTAGTTTGATATAGCCCCGTGTGTTTATTTTCACTTTTGCTGTCCATGGATATTGACTTTTAATTTTGGAAAATTAAGCTATGAACATTGGCCTGTTAACGCCCTCAGTGTATTTTGTTTTACTCTCAGGGCTTAAAAAAGATATAAGAAAACCCTGGGAAGAGACGCAGTATTTTTAAATTACTCCAAATTCCCCATAAAAGCTGACAGAGTAACTAGGGTAGTGAAACTAATACTCCATGACATTTACAAAAAAGATAAGTGATAACATTTCCCCAGAAAATCAAAAAGTGAAGACAAACTTCTGAGAGCTACCAGATTTGCATAGCATGAGAATCCATTTGGAAGAAATCTGAGGAAAGAGTCAGGGGATCTGAAAAGAGGAAAACTACAAAATAGCCAACAAACATTCACTGGAATTGGTGGCAAGGCAAGTTGTTAATAGCAGCTGAAACTGGGAAGAGTTTGCATACAAAAATTCTCAGGGAAATATGAGCTACTGAAGACATTCTGAAGAGTCTTGAGATACCTTCATCACATGACTTCTCATAACAGACCAATAACATTCTCTCCCTAGGCAACACTACTACTGAGTAAAATTAGTGGGCAATAGAAGTCACATTGAGCAGTACAAGAATAATAGGAGTTCAGAGAAAGGAAGTTCATATTGTAGTTGTGAGCAGGGAGACAAAGCCAAAAGTAGCCATATTTTTTAACACTTTATGTAAATAATCAAAGAGGAAACTTTAGGATTATGAAGCTCAAAAAGTTATTCTAACTAACCTCCCTCCTAAAATAATATAAACTTTTTTCTGTAAAAGTATGAGATATAAAAGTATTCCTCTTGAATTTCAGAAAAGCGTATTATAAAATTAGATAAACTGAATGAAATAGAATAAAAGTATCCCTAAAGTAAAATCCTCCCAGGACCAGATGGATTCACAGCTGATTTCTACCAGAAGTACAAAGAGGAGCTGGTATCATTCCTTCTGAAAGTATTCGAAAGAAGAGAAAAAGAGAGACTCCTAACTAACTCATTTTATGAGGCCAGCATCATCCTGATCCCAAAACCTGACAGAGACACAACAAAAAAAGGAAATTTCAGGCCAATATCCCTGATGAACATTGACGCAAAAATCCTCAATAAAATACTGGCAAACCAAATCCAGCAGCACGTTAAAAAGTTAATCCACCACAATCAAGTCGGCTTCATCCCTGGGCTGCAAGTCTGGTTCAACATATGCAAATCAATAAATGTAATCCATCACATAAACAGAGCTAATGACAAAACCCACATGATTATCTCAATAGATGAAGAAAAGGCCTTCAATAAAATTCAACACCTCTTTATGCTAAAAACACTCAATAAACTAGGTATTGATGGAACATATCTCAAAATAGTAAGAGCTATTTATGACAAACTCACAGCCAATATCATACTGAATGGGCAAATGCTGGATGTATACCCTTTGAAAACCGGCACAAAACAAGGATGCCCTCTCTCACCACTCCTATTCAACATAGTATTGGAAGTTCTGGCCAGGGCAATCAGGCAAGAGAAAGAAATAAAGGGAATTCAAATAGGAAGAGAGGAAATCAAATTGTCTCTGTTTGCAGATGACATGATTATATATTTAGAAAACCCCATCATCTCAGCCCAAAAACTCCTTAAGCTGATAAGGAGCTTCAGCAAAGTCTCAGGATACAAAATTGATGTGCAAAAATCACAAGCATTCCTATACACCAATAATAGACAAACAGAGAGCCAAATCCTGAGCAAACTCCCATTCACAATAACTACAAAGGGAATAAAATACCTAGGAATACAACTTATAAGGGATGTGAAGGACCTCTTTAAGGAGAACTGCAAACCACTGCTCAAGGAAATAAGTGAGGACACAAAGAAATTGAAGAATATTCCATGGTCATGGATAGGAAGAATCAATATTGTGAAAATGGTCATACTGCCCAAAGTATTTTATAGATTCAATGATATTCCAATCAAGCTACCATTGCCTTTTCCACAGAATTAAAAGAAACTACTTTAAATTTCATATGGAACCAAAAAAAGAGCCCGTGTATCCAAGACAATCCTAAGCAAAAAGAACAACGCTGGAGGCATAACACTACCTGACCTCAAACTATACTACAAGGATACAGTAATAAAAACAGCATGGTACTGGTACCAAAACAGACATATAGACCAATGGAACAGAAGAGAGGCCTCAGAAATAACACCATACATCTACAACCATCTAATCTTTGACAAACCTGACAAAAACAAGCAATGGGGAAAGGATTCCCTATTTAACAAATGGTGTTGGAAAAACTGGCTAGCTATATGCAGAAAACTGAAACTGGACCCCTTCCTTACACCTTATACAAAAATTAACTCAAGATGGATTGAAGATTTAAAGATAAGTCCTAAAACCATAAAAAGCCTAGAAGAAAACCAAGCAACACCATTCAAGACATAGGCATGGGCAAAGACTTCATGACTAAAACACCAAAAGCAATTTAATAAAAGCTAAAATAGACAAATGAAATCTAATTAAACCAAAGTGTTTCTGCATAGCAAAAGAAACTATCATCAGAGTAAACAGCCAACCTACAGAATGAGGGAAAATTTTTGCAATAGATCCATCTGACAAATTGGTAATATTCAGAATCTACAAAGAACTTAAATTTACAAGAAAAAAAACCATCAAAAAGTGGGCAAAGGATATGAACAGACACTTTTCAAAAGAAGACATTTATGCGGCCAACAAGCATATGAAAAAAAGCTCATCACTGTTCATTAGAGAAATGCAAGTCAAAACCACAATGAGATACCATTTCGTGCTGGTTAAAATGGCAATCATTAAAAATTCAGGAAACAACAGATGCTGGAGAGGATGTGGAGAAATAGGAATGCTTTATACTGTTGGTGGGAGTGTAAATTAGTTCAACCATTGTGGAAGACGGTGTGGCGATTCCTCAAGGATCTAGAACCAGAAATACCATTTGACCCAGGAATCCCATTAATGAGTATATACCCAAAGGATTATAAATTATTCTACTATAAAGACACATGCACACATATGTTTATTGCAGCACTATTTACAATAGCAAAAACTTGGTACCAAACCAAATGCCCATCAATGTTAGACTGGATAAAGAAAATGTGGCACATATACCCTGTGGAATACTATGCAGCCATACAAAAGAATGAGTTTATGTCCTTTGCAGGGACATAGATGAAGCTGGAAACCATCATTCCCAGCAAACTAACACAGGAACAGAAAACCAAACACTGGATGTTCTCACTCATAAGTGGGATCTGAACAGTGAGAACATATGGGCACAGGGAGGGGACCATCACACACTGGAGCTTATCAGGGGGTGGGGATAAGGGGAGGAATAGCATTAGTAGAAATACCTAATGTAGATGACGTGTTGATGGGTGCAGCAAGCCACCATGGCACATGCATATGTACGTAATAAACCTGCACGTTCTACACATGTATCCCAGAACTTAAAGTATAATAATAATAAAAATAAATAATTAATTAATTAAAAAGTGCTCAACATCACTAACCATTATGAAAATTAAATTAAAACCACAATGAGACATAATTTACTCCTGTTAGAATGGCTATATTCGGAAAGAAAAATGATAACCAATTTTGGTGAGAATGTGGAGAAATGGGAACCCTCGCACACTGTTGGTGGGAATATAAATTAGGATAGCCACTATGAAAAGTTGTATGGAGGTTCTACAAAAAAGTAAAAGTAGAATTACCATATGATCCAGCAATCTTGCTACTGTGTATATATCCAAAGAAAATGAAATCGGTACCACAAATAGATATCTGCATTTCCATATTCATTCTCGCATTTTTCACAGTAGCCAACAACAAACAAACAAACAAACAAAAACAGAAACATCACCATGACCATCAACAAATGAATGGATCATGAAAATGTGGTATATAGACACAAGGGAATACTATACAGCCTTAAAAAATAAAAAACCCTGTCATTTGTGACAACATGGATATACCTGGAGGACCATTAAGGCAAGTGAAATAAGCCAGGCACAGAAAGATAAATATTTTATGATCTCACAAACATCTGTGGAATTTGAAAAAGTTTGTCTCATAGAAACAGAGAGTAGAAAGATGGTTCCCAAAGGCTGGGGGATAAGAAGGGATTGGGAAAAGAAACATATTGATCAAAGGATGCAAAGTTTTAGTTAGACTGGAGGAATATATTTTAGTTATCTCTTGTGCTGCATAGTGACCACATTAATAATAATGTATTGCAATTACAAAATTGCGAGAATAGGTTTTTAAAGTTCCCACTGCAAAAAAAAAAGTTGGTGAGGTGATGAATATGTTAATTAGCTTCACTGAATCTTTCTACAATGTATACATAGATCACATTATACTTCATACAAAATTATTGTATATCAGTTAAAAATGAAGAAATTAATGTTTAAAATATGAAGAGTAAACTAGAGTGAATAAACACAACAGAAAGTGGTTATAGTAGATGCTCCAAGTATCACACTCAGATCCCCTCCAGCTGCTGGTGGCTCTACCCACTGTCAGCTGCTCATCTGAGCTGATGAGGGAACTGAGCTTCTAGGTGGCAGAAGACCCAGTTCAAGCAACAAGCCAAAAATGGAAGTGACAGTAAAACTTTTAATCATTTACTGCAATGGAATAAGCAAGAGTCTAAACTGGAGAAAGTGTTGACTTCTGTTTCATTTTCCTCCTTGAAAATGTTCATGGTACAGAGGTCAGGGCAGATGTGCAATTTCATATCTTTATTGAGGGAGCCCTGAACCAAAAGCTCTTGAATTTTTAGGGACCTTAGACATGGGGGAGATGTAAACAAAATATCTACTGGTGAAACTGCACTGAGTATTGAGGCAGAGTGGGGAAAAATGTCTGCAAAGTCTCTTTCTACTTTCCCAGATAAAGCAGCCTCAGCAAAAGTGTTTGAAGATCTTGGCAAAGGGCCCCACTTAAAGAGACCAAGGATTGAAGGCCTCTGGACGAAGACTGCATGTATATGTGAGTGCATGACCAGCCAGAGGGGCCTGAGTCCCTGACTCAGAGAGTGTGATGCATTGGCTGTGCACCAAGGCTCTTGCTGGGAGGGTGATTTTTTCCCATGAAGCTTGCCACATAAATCCTTTTTAATTACATATAGTAGGGCCTGAAAAGTCGTACACAGATTTTTATACAGGAGCCACACTCATCCACGGTTGACCCATTCTCCGGAGAATTTTCTTCAACCAAAGAGGGACTCCGTCTTCCTGGAGGCTATTCCCAATCACCCACATCACTCACATTGTCACCTACCCTCCAACCTCAGCCAAGAAGTAACTGACATGGAGCTATTATGCCAGCTCCATTGCTTCAAGGCGACACTAAATCTGTGGGGCATTTTGTGTTGTGGAGTCTCGCAATGGGACCAGACACCAAAAAATCTCCAGTTGAGACTCCGTTTTTACTGTTACCCACCCCATGACACTGCCTTCTGAGAGTGCTCACAAAGTAAATGCACTGCTTCCAGTAAACCTAACCTTATATTGTTACCAGGAGTAGACCAGGGAAGCAGACGCTAAGCATAGGACTATGAAGTTATCACTCACTGGCTAACGCTGAAGACCTCACTGGTGTTGAGAGTGGCATGCTGAGAGAGTGCCAAGAATTTCTCCAGTGTAGATATTTTTGTCCAAAGAAGAAAAAAGTCTTGAAATAATTAAGTATAAATAACAGCTTTTTTTAAGTTTAAACCAAAGCTGAGATAACTCATTAAAAACAGGAATGCATTATGAAAAATGTTAAGAAACACTGGAAAGGTGGGAGGAAATAATACCGAATGGAAATTCACACCTACACATATAAGTGCTGAAAATTATGAATATGTGGGCAAATATGTGGATATGTAGAAAAGAAATTCATGTCTTGCTTTTTCATCTTGTGAAAATTAGCTCTTTAACATAAAAATAATAATGATGCCTTGTCTGATTTACAGCATATATAGGGGGGAAATGAATGACAACAATATTATAAAGGAAAAGAGGTAGATAATGAAATTTTATTGTAAGGTAAAATGCTATCATATTATTTGAATAAAGACGATGATTATTAAAGATGCATATTTTAAACCTCAGTTGAATCACTAAAAATAAAAAAAAGAGTGAAAAATAAAAGGTAATAAGGTAATTAATAAAATTGGATCACAGTCAAACTCAATTAACCCAAAATAATGCTAAGGAATAGAGAAAAAAACAGGAAAGGGCAAATGGACCAAATGAAACACAAACAGGTAGATATTAGACTTAAACACTACTTTCTTCTTTCTCTGTCACCCAGTCTGGAGTGCAGGAGTATGATCATAGATCAATGCAACCTCAAACTCCTGGGCTCAAGCAATCCTCCTGTCTTAGCCTCCTGAGTAGCTAAGACTACAGGCACGCACACCAAATTCAGCTAATTTTAAATTTTTTGTAGAGACAGGGTCTTTCTCCGTTGCTCAGGCTGGTCTTGAAAACCTGGCCTCAAGAAATCCTCCTGCCACAGTCTCCAAAAAGTACTGGGATTACAGGTGTGAACCACTGCATTTAGCTTTCTTCTTAATTATAACAAATGTAAATGGTCTAAATGCCTCAACAAAAAACAAGAGATTATAATATTAAATAAAAATTTAAGAACCTACTATTGCTTTCAACATGAAACCCTCTTTAAATATACCTATATACACAGACTAGTAGTGAAAGAATGGTAAAAGATATACATGCAAATACTAACCAAACTCTAATCAAAAGAGATCTGGAGTGATTATACAAACACTAAATAAAATTGACATCAATACAAGAAATACTGAGATTAAGAAACATCGTTCATAATAATAAAGTGATCAATTAATCAAAGAAACATAACAACATAACAAGCCTATATATGCAGGTATTGAGGCTTTAAAATGTGAAAAAAACTAATAAAACTGAAATGATAGATATCTTCATAATTATAATTGGATATTTCAACTTTTTTTTATCAGAATGAGAAACAGATATCTCCATAATTGTAATTAGGTATTTCAACACTCTTTACCCAATTACATGTGTAATTGTTAACACAAGTGGATACAAAAAAAAGAAAGTATATAGGAACCTTCAACAACACTATCAAACAAATACACCTAATCAAAAACTATAGGACCCTCTGACCAGTAATAGAATACTTTTTTTGTTTTTTTCAGTCCACAATGACATTCGCCAAAATGGACCACATTTAGGCAATAAAATTAACACATATGAAATTAGGTGAATTTAAAATTATATAAAGTATGTTCTCTAAATTAAAAATCAATAACATAAAGAGATCTGGAAAATCTCCAATGTTTTGAAATTAAATAATACTTTTTAAAATAATCCATAAATCAAAAACAAAACACAAGAGAAATTATAATATATTTTGAAGAGCATGAAAATGGAAACATAACAATCCAATCAGAGGTATATTTACTATCACTTCCAAGTTTATTGATTTTTCTATTTTATCACTATTACACTCTCAAGTTATCCCATCATTTTAATTAACATATATTTTTCGTTAATATTAGGGTTTCTATTTTTGGTAGTTTATGTTTCCCTGCTAAGATTTTCTATAGTTTCATTTATTGCTAGAAATTTTTTAGCTCATTGAAGATCATTATAACAGCTATTTTAATATCATAGTCTGCTATTTACATGATCTCAGATTGGTTTCCCCTTTATTATCTTTTCTTTTTAGAATGTGGCACTTTTTATATTTCTTTATTTATTAAGCAATGTTGGTTTGTATCCTGAACACTGTGAATATTATTTTGTGAGGACTATAGTTTTTTTATATTTCTATAAATAATTCTGGCATTTTGAGGATGGCACCTCAGATCTCAAGTTTTTGTTTTTGTTTTTAAATTTTACCTGGGCTGTTAAGTGTGATTTTGGAGTCAAAAGGAAAAAATGACAGGGTTTATTAGGGGTACTTATCCTTGCTCTCTGCTTGATAGAATTCCCCTCCCCACCCAACCTATCACATTTTCCAATGGCTGTGGTTTTCCCTAAATGTGCCCTGTATTTCCGACCAGGCGCAGTGGTTCACGCCTGTAATCCCAGCACTTTTGGAGGCCGAGGCGGGCGGATCACGAAGTCAGGGGATAGAGACCTTCCTGGCCAACACGGTGAAACACCGTTTCTACTAAAAATACAAAAAATTAGCTGGGCGTGGTGGCAGGCACCTGTAGTCACAGCTACTTGGGAGGCTGAGGCAGGAGAATGGCGTGAACCCCAGAGGTGGAGCTTGCAGTGAGCCAAGATCGCGCCACTGCACTCCAGCCTGGGCCACAGAGCGAGACTCCATCTCAAAAAAAAAAAAAAAAAAAAAAAAAAAAAAAAAAAAAAAGTCCTGTATTTCTTCAAGTCAAACATAATCTGGGCTTTCTGTAGACGCAGTGCCAACTCCAGCCCATTCTGAAGCTGAAGGTCAATACATATAGGAAAGTTAACTCATGCATTTTTTTTTCTACCAAGGGTCATTTTCCTTCCACATTTTGCCAGCATGTGTTCATTTTTTATTTGCTTTTGGTATTTTTTATTTTGTCCATTTTTAGTTTGTATGTGTGGAAAAAGCCAATCTGGCATAAACTTACTTGTACTTACTAGGTACAGAACTCCAGTTATACGGTTTATGTTTAATAATTATGAAAATTAATTAATTAAAGCTTTAAATGTAGGACTACTGGTCCGATAAATCATAAAATTAAATTTTAAAGAAATCATTTGAAATAACATGGATTAATTTTGATTACTTTTTATGTCATCTCTGCCTGCCCTATAGTAGGTGTTCAGCAAAGACCCTTTGGACAAATTAGAAACCATCAATTCTAGCATCCTGTTGCTTAGGAATTCTAATCACTCTAAGTAGATGACGTGAAAAGGATGTGGTAGTTGAAGAGATAATAACTCTGCCCAGGTTTTCAAAGAGATTGATGGACTCTCCCTCCCGCATTATGGAGTGCTCAGCCTCTAATTACTCAACTGCCTATTTCTCACTCTTTTCCCTGAAAAGTGAGAAAAATTTTGCTAAGTGCGTGGGTTTTAGGTCCTTCATTTTCTGTATTATATGTAGATAATATACTCTTTTTAAAATTGTTTTTCATCAAATAATCTTATTTAAAAAAACTGTTTTGACTTCATTTAATTTTTCATACTTTGTTCAGTCACTCTGATTATTGCATGTATGTTTATTTGCTGTTTTACTAAACTACCCAATAACACACTTACAAGCATTAGGAGGGTAACTTACCAAAATAACTAATTTCCTCTATTATGTGTTGCTACTTGTTTCTTTTTTAAAGATTATCTTTATTTCCAAACTCTATAGACATATTTATTAATACTAGGGAACTTGAACAGAAACATCGGCTAGTCATACTTAAGAATAGAAAATATACAACATGTGCAGAATATGATGATTATTTAGCAATTAACACAATCTTATAAGGTCTTATTATGCTTTAAAAGTATGCTAAAATTTGCTCATTAATTTTATTTATAGACCTGTCTAAAACCTGTCACACAATTTCTATTACGGTGACTTGAAGCTACTAGGAGGAATTCAGTAGGCTTTATGGTTTAGGGACAATATTGAAGCTTTCAATTCTTTTATCCTTTCTTGTAGACCTGTAAAGAATATTACAAAGAGTGAGGGATTTGCAATTTACCAGGAAAGATCTCAGCCAAGTAACAAAAACAAGTTATTCTCTTGTGACTTGAAGAAACAAAGTGTATTATATTCACTAGTCCTTTCTCCCTATGTATTGCTTTTACAGGATTATATTATTTAAGATAAAGTGGTATTATTGTAAAGTATTCTGATAAGCCCTTTCTCTGGAGTCTACTCCCTGAGAAAGAATACATATCTTATTGTAGTTTCCCAGCATGTTCTTTAAGATATAAGACAGATATAAATCTAAACTCAAAAGAAATGTTAACTAAACTCTCAATCAGTACTTATCCTGTCAAATATCTTGCTAGAATTCTCAGTGCTAAGATTCGTCCTTTAATGGGGATTAGCAGAAACAGGCCTATTGAGTATTACATTATTTATCCTGTTATTATTCTTAAGACTTTGTTTATTGGTAACACTGTTATTCTGCTCTTTGATTTTCAACCAGCTCTTTAATGATCTCAGTTCCTCATTCATTTTTGTTAATGAAGGGCAAAAGGCAAGGGAAATGAATTTCCCCATAATACTTCACTCTTGCCTCTGGTGAATTGGCTTTTCCCATATTCATTGAAATGTGTTATCCCATTTATCTAAATATGTCAATGACTTGCAGAAGGGACTGCATCTGAATGTGACTTGGATAAACATGAGCTAGTAACCCAAAGCAAATGTCTTTACTTTTACTCTCTAGATATAATTTATTAGTATTAAATGACCTTTTATATTTTGAGAACATAAGTAGAGGAAAACAGATGCCACATGGAACATTTAAAAGCATAGATAAAGAAAGTAAAGCTAATGACAGGAAACATGTTATTTTGCTTTAGAATGCAAAGTTAGGAAACAAAAAGTCTGTGAGTGTGTGTGTGTGTGTGTGTGTGTGTGTGTACAGAACTAACGTTTTCTGGGAAAGTATCCCGTGCCAGACACTACTCCTATGTAGAATGTGCTTTTATTTTATCTTTTGTTTTACCATGTAACCCTCATAGTCACCTCTCTAAGAAGTGTGATTAAAAGAAGCAGATCCTCAAAGAAAATGTGCACTTAGACCTGGAGGCAGAATGTGTGGGATGGGAAGATATTTACTCTTTGTAGGTATAAAGCAGCTATAACGTCTTTCCTATTGTCTTTCAGAACCTAGAACAGACTAACACAGAGGAGAGGAAGGTCTTTGTAGAGACTTGATGACAACCAAATGTAAACATGTATGTTGTTTATTTCTTTTTGCCTTGATAAAACAGAAAACAGAGACATCCTGTTTCTGGGTCACCAAGCTCAGAGCTATTAGGACAAAAGAAGCAATTCTGTATCTCTCTTGCTGAAATCATTTTCTGCATTTAGTCTCAGATTGCTAATGGCCAGAGAGGCGAATTGTTTGTGCAGCTTTTAGAAATAAAGAATTGCTTCTCTATTGTCAGTTTTCCCACTAGATACTGCCTAAGAATGGGATTAACTACTAAATTGATATATGCCAATGGTAGTTGTGGATTAAAGTAAAATTCAGACAGACAAGAGTTCTTTAACAAAAAAAGTTTATCTGAGTAATGTAGTAGGAAAACATCACAACTAGGATATCCAATAGAGAGATTGGTAACATTCTAAAGGGGACACAATAGTGGGTGATAATGTTTAAATATAAATCTAATCAGAAGTCTTCGAAGTATAACTGTTCTTTTCCAGCTATAAGGACTAGCTTTAAACATATAGTTCTGCCTGGATACAAGTTGCAGATCACCTCATTGGGTCAGGTGCACCTCATCATTCTTGGAGTTCCACATTTGGCTTGGTTCCAAGTCTTTGCTATTGTGAATAGTGCTGCAATAAACATATGTGTGCATGTGTCTTTATAGCAGCATGATTTATAATCCTTTGGGTATATACCCAGTAATGGGATGGCTGAGTCAAATGGTATTTCTAGTTCTAGATCCCTGAGGAATCGCCACACTGACTTCCACAATGGTTGAACTAGTTTACAGTCCCACCAACAGTGTAAAAGTGTTCCTATTTCTCCACATCCTCTCCAGCACCTGCTGTTTCCTGACTTTTTAATGATCGCCATTCTAACTGGTGTGAGGTGGTATCTCACTGTGGTTTTGATTTGTATTTCTCTGATGGCCAGTGATGATGAGCATTTTTTCATGTGTCTTTTGGCTGCATAAATGTCTTCTTTTGAGAAGCGTCTGTCCATATCCTTTGCCCACTTTTTGATGGGGTTGTTTGTTTTTTTCTTGTAAATTTGTTTGAGTTCATTGTAGATTCTGGATATTAGCCCTTTGTCAAATGAGTAGATTGCAAAAATTTTCTCCCATTCTGTAGGTTACATGTTCACTCTGATGGTAGTTTCTTTTGCTGTGCAGAAGCTCTTTAGTTTAATTAGATCCCATTTGTCAATTTTGGCTTTGTTGCCATTGCTTTTGGTGTTTGAGACAAGAAGTCCTTGCCCATGCCTATGTCCTGAATGGTATTGCCTAGGTTTTCTTCTAGGGTTCTTACGGTTTCAGGTCCAACATTTAAGTCTTTAATCCATCTTGAATTAATTTTTGTATAAGGTGTAAGGAAGGGATCCAGTTTCAGCTTTCTATATACGGCTAGCCAGTTTTCCCAGCACCATTTTTAAATAGGGACTCGTTTCCCCATTTCTTGTTTTTGTCAGGTTTGTCAAAGATCAGATGGTTATAGATATGCGGCATTATTTCTGAGGGCTCTGTTCTGTTCCATTGGTCTATATCTCTGTTTTGGTACCAGTACCATGCTGTTTTGGTTACTGTAGCCTTGTAGTATAGTTTGAAGTCAGGTAGCATGATGCCTCAGATTTACCAAAGTTGAAATGAAGGAAAAAATGTTAAGGACAGCCAGAGAGAAAGGTCGGGTTACCCACAAAGGGAAGCCCATCAGACTAACAGCTGATCTCTCAGCAGAAAATCTACAAGCCAGAAGAGAGTGGGGGCCAATATTCAAAATTCTTAAAGAAAGTAATTTTCTATCCAGAATTTCATATCCAGCCAAACTAAGCTTCATAAGTGAAGGAGAAATAAAATCCTTTACAGACAAGCAAATGCTGAGAGATTTTGTCACCACCAGGCCTGCCCTAAAAGAGCTCCTGAAGGAAGCACTAAACATGGAAAGGAACAACCGGTACCAGCCACTGCAAAACCATGCCAAATTGTAAAGACCATTGAGGCTAGGAAGAAACTGCATCAACTAACGAGCAACGTAACCAGCTAACATCATAATGACAGGATCAAATTCACACATAACAATATTAACCTTAAATGTAAATGGGCTAAATGCTCCAATTAAAAGACACAGACTGGCAAATTGGATAAAGAGTCAAGACCCATCAGTGTGCTGTATTCAGGAGACCCATCTCACATGCAGAGACACACATAGGCTTAAAATAAAGGGATGGTAAAAGTGTTCCTATTTCTCCACATCCTCTCCAGCACCTGTTGTTTCCTGACTTTTTAATGATTGCCATTCTAACTGGTGTGAGATGATATCTCATAGTGGTTTTGATTTGCATTTCTCTGATGGCCAGTGATGATGAGCATTTCTTCATGTGTTTTTTGGCTGCATAAATGTCTTCTTTTGAGAAGTGTCTGTTCATGTCCTTCGCCCGGGACTGTAAACTAGTTCAACCATTGTGGAAGTCAGTGTGGCGATTCCTCAGGGATCTAGAACTAGAAATACCATTTGACCCAGCCATCCCATTACTGGGTATATACCCAAAGGACTATAAATCATGCTGCTATAAAGACACATGCACACGTATGTTTATTGCGGCACTATTCACAATAGCAAAGACTTGGAACCAACCCAAATGTCCAACAATGATAGACTGGATTAAGCAAATGTGGCACATATACACCATGGAATACTATGCAGCCATAAAAAATGATGAGTTCATGTCCTTTGTAGGGACATGGATGAAATTGGAAACCATCATTCTCAGTAAACTATCGCAAGAACAAAAAACCAAACACCGCATATTCTCACTCATAGGTGGGAATTGAACAATGAGATCACATGGACACAGGAAGGGGAATATCACACTCTGGGGACTGTGGTGGGGTCGGGGGAGGGGGGAGGGATAGCATTGGGAGATATACCTAATGCTAGATGACACGTTAGTGGGTGCAGCGCACCAGCATGGCACATGTATACATATGTAACTAACCTGCACAATGTGCACATGTACCCTAAAACTTAGAGTATAATAAAAAAAAAAAATTTAAAAAAAAAAATAAATAAATAAAGGGATGGAGGAAGATCTACCAAGTAAATGGAAAACAAAAAAGGCAGGGGTTGCAATCTTAGTCTCTGATAAAACAGACTTTAAACCAACAAAAATCAAAAGAGACAAAGAAGGCCATTATGTAATGGTAAAAGGATCAATTCAACAAGAAGAGGTAACTATCCTAAATATATATGCACCCAATACAGGAGCACCCAGATTCATAAAGCAAGTCCTTAGAGACCTAGAAAGAGACTTAGACACTCACACAATAATAATGGGAGACTTTAACACCCCACTGTCAACATTAGACAGATCAACAAGACAGAAAGTTACCAAGGATATCCAGGAATTGAACTCAGCTCTGCACCAAGCAGACCTAATAGACATCTACAGAACTCTCCACCCCAAATCAACAGAATATACATTCTTCTCAGCACCACAGCACACTTATTCCAAAATTGACCACATAGTTGGAAGTAAAGCACTCCTCAGCAAATGTAAAAAACAGAAATTATAACAAACTGTCTCTCAGACCACAGTGAAATCAAACTAGAACTCAGGATTAAGAAACTCACTCAAAACTGCTCAACTACATGGAAACTGAACAACCTGCTCCTGAATGACTACTGGGTACATAAGGAAATGAAGGCAGAAATAAAGATGTTCTTTGAAACCAATGAGAGCAAAGACACAACATACAAGAATCTCTGGGACACATTCAAAGCAGAGTGTAGAGGGAAATTTATAGCACTAAATGCCCACAAGAGAAAGCAGGAAAGATCTAAAATTGACACCCTAACATCACAATTAAAAGAACTAGAGAAGCAAGAGCAAACACATTCAAAAGCTAGCAGAAGGCAAGAAATAACTAAGATCAGAGCAGAACTGAAGGAGATAGAGACACATGTCTCTTCTTTTAAATGTACTGATCCCATTGATGACGTAAGCTCTCTGTGTCTCTTCTTCAAAAGGCACTAATCCCATTCATTAGGGCCCTGACCTAATCACTTCTCAAAGCTCCCATCTCCAAACACCATTGCATTAGGGATTAGGCTTCAACATATAAATTTTGGAGGGACACAAACATTCAGTCCATGTCATTTGGTATTATTTTGCAATAAGAGGTCTCAGTCATTTAGCTGTAGAGATGTTTACCTATACGTCTAGTTTCAGGGGATACAGTTCTAATCTCAACTAAAAAATTATAAATTAAAGAATAGGGAATTTGCTGGCCTCTTTCTGGCCTTGTCCTTAGGCAAGGAAAATGGGGACATAGGAGTAGGCTTGGACAACAGGGGAACATATACCTCCAGGTCTTTTCAAAATGTCTGCAATGGATCTCTCTCTATTTCCCCAATGTGAAGATTCCTCCACTTTGAGGTTGGAATTCTTATGTACCATGGACAAAGTAACTTTTCAAGATTATATAAGGAAAGTTACATCTCCAATACTGAAAGCCATTACTCTTCTGTGCTGAGATTAATGCTTTTACCAGGAGAAAAATAATGGGCAACAGAAACCCAGAAAAATGTATCAGATTTGGTGATTTGGGAAGCAGTCTGATTGAAGATGACATACACCAAGAGAGACCCCAAACTGAATCGATAAGCAGTTTACCAAAGGAGCTGCGTTATCAGAAATTCCAAAATAATAAAACAAAATATTGCAATTCATGTAGCTAACCAATTTGGAAGTGAATCTTCAAGTACCAGTCAGAAGTAGATTGTTGTGATGATAATGTCTCTACTCTTACACCCTTGCGGAAATTCTTCTTCATTACTTTTCTTAGTGTAACATTTAATCATACCTGACAAGTAAAACTCTTGCAGCATCAAAGACACCAGGATAAACTGAAAGCTCAGTGAAGGCAGATGTTTGTCTAATTTTGTTCACTGAAAAATACTCAATGCCTAGAACAGTTTTCAGAATACAGAAGATGCTAAATACCTGATTACTGAATGAACAAATGAAGAATAGAACGCACAAGCAGGTGCCAAGAAACAGTCCATTTCCAAAGAACTGAGTTCCTAAGCTGATTCCAAGGACATTCTTTGGTCCTTTTACTCACCTAACAAATCCTTACCCTCTAGGATTCACAAAATGCTATAGGATATACCAATATATTTTGGGAATATCTTTTCTTCATTGCCTCTTTCTAAATATGGGTGTTTTTTAGTTGTCTTCTTTTTTCTTCCATTTTGTATGTCTTTTTCTTTTTTGCTGTCATTTTAAGATCACAGGCAGTATTTCATTCCCTCATGTGTGAATACAGCTTCAAAGACCCTCTCAATCTCCTTATTTTGACTGAGTCTGTTTCTATAGGACATCAGATTCCATTTTTTGGAAGAATATACGAAGTTCAATAGACTCATCATGTACTAAGCAATTATTGGGCCATGTATTCAAAACAATGATGCATTAGCTTTGAAAACACTTACATGGATTAGAATAAAGTTGTGGCTTCCACAATCAACAGTAATTCCTATAATTTTAAAAAATTCTAAATATACATTAGTCAGTACAACACAATAATAATGAACAATTCAGTAAACTAAAATATTGTTTGTAAATATTTAATGCACATATGCATCACAAAGGTAGTAAATTTGAACAACTACATAAGGAGTATGACAAAATATACAGGTATAACAACTATTAATTTCTGTTTATATAAATTTACTCTATACAATTTTCAATGAAATATATACTGTAGTAATTTATCTTTACATCTCGATTTAACATGAAAAATTTTATAAAATATTGTGTCATTCAGCCACTAATGACTTTAGAATAACCCCTTTAAAAATATTTTCTTCATGGTTTTCATACACAAATTTGTAAGGTCAGTATGGTCACAAGAAAACATTTGCTAACAACGTCAAAATTAATCATAAACAGGAGAATAGAGTTTCCTTTGTAGATGATTTTCTGTATTATCCTACTTGTAAAGGAGCCATAAAAGAAAACTGCTCACTAATTGTACATTAAGAAATTATCCCCTGAGTCCTCGTTAATTTCTTCTTGACAGGTTCAGTCACAGTTCCCATAAGATGTCAGAAAAGGTAAGTCAAAAATGAGAAAATGTCAGTTGTGTTCTCATAAATTTCTTTTCAATCAACTCTTTCGTAAATACCTCACTAACTCTATCTCATCTTCAACATTAAAAGGAAAATAAATGTGCTGTGTTGCGCTGTAAGCTTGGCTTATGAAAATAAATTCTCACTTAAGAGAGCTTTGTTTGTGTCATCTACACAGAAGGGACTAAGTGATCAAAATTTTGAGCAGGAATACATGGATAAAAAGTACTAATGAATACCAGGTGGATAAAAAGCACTAATGAATACCAGGTGTTTGATGAGATTCATTTTTTTTTCTTAAATTACGCAAGTGTCAATATACTGCCTACGGAAAAAAATGCTTTAATAACAGAACTATTCTACTCAGCATGGAAGTAACACACTAACTAATTTTCTATAATGACTAGCCCACTGGGACAGAACGATTTATAGTCAGGAGAAACCAGTATAACAAAAGAATAAATTTGGTTTGTCTGAATTGGACTTACTACTGCTTTTAGAATTTTTCTTCTAATCTTTGCAAATGAGATCTATATATCAATCGATCAATCTGTTTATCCTTCTATTTGATATATTTCTATTGCGCTAATATATCTTGCTTTCTTCTTTTTGAGGTATTCATTATCATCATTATTTAACACTCTGAAATTACTTTGAATGTTATAATGTACAGAATAAAAGTAATATAGGAGATAAAGTATGGGGAAAAACAAACACCTACAGTAATTTGAAAGTGTGGAATGTAAACATTTATAAGGTGGCACCAGATTAGTTGTTCTAAAAGAAAATAATTTTGCATAAAGTGTTGTGTGAGCATTGCTAATCGCCTCCTATTTCTTTTGCTCAGTTAAGACAGTTGAAGCAGGGAATATCATGGGGAGCGTATGAGGTGAAAAAATGCAATGCACTTTACACTAAAACTATGCTGAAAGTAAGTTTTGCTGAAAGTAAATTATTAAGAATTTAGAAATTTTTTAAAATAAAATTTGAAAAGCATAATATTAAATATTTTATTAAAGGACACTAAGCTTAGAAATAATGTAGCAAAAAAAGAAGATTTTTAAAAACTTTTTATATTAAAATAAACATGTTTTCTCTAGGATAAGTGGTTATCTAGTGAGATAATAGGAATGATAAAAAATTTTTGTCAATATTAAACAGCTAATATTCAAGAGCTTAGAATATATCTGTGTACATTTCAAATATAGCTCATCCTTAAAAGAATAAAACTACAAAATAATCTGGGAAGTTATTCAAGTCACCAATAGATGGCAGAAGGAATTTATATTTTGGGTTACTTTAAGGACTCTGCCAAGCTATTCCAATAATGCACTGAAAACAATGTTGACTTTAAATTGTTATATTTAACTTTAGTCAGCAACATTCATCAAAGTTAATTGTAAATTTATATACACACATATACATACACATCAATGTATCTATATATTCACGTATTATCTCTCAATTGCTGTGTAACAAATTACTTCAAAACTTCAGAACTTACAACAAACATTTAAACATTTATTATTTCACACAGTTTCTGAGGGTTAGGAATGTGAACATGACTTAGCTGGGTGGTTGTGGCTCAGCATCTCTCATGAAGTTGCACCAAGTTGTCAGTCGTGACTGCAGTCATCTGAAGACACTGGGCAATCTCTTTTCAAACCCATTCCTGTGGCTGATAGAAAGAGGCTTCAGTTCCCAGCTAGGTGGGTCTCCTAATAGGCTATACACAACACACGGATGCTGACCTCACCCAGAGTGAGGGATGAAAGAAAGAGAAAGAGAATGACAGCATAAGCAAGCAAGAGCCCAATGACAATCTCTGCTCAGTGTTTATAACCTAACCTGTAAATTACACAGCGTAACTTCTGCTTAATCAACTGGTTGCATAGACTTACTCGGTGTAAAATTTGGAAGAGGAACTGTACAAATTACAAGGTGGCAGTGGAGAGATGCATCTTGGGTGCTAATAGATATCTATATCCATATCTATATCTATATCTATATCTATCTATATCTCCTCTTCATGTTCAGTTTTGTTATTCTTATACCGCATTCAATATTTCTCTTTCTGTAATTGAAAATACCCTTTTCCATCTTTCTACTCACTAGATTTTTTTCTGTTCTTTTCTTACATTGATCATTCCTTTCTTTCTTTCCTTTCTTCCTTTTGATCAACACTTGCCATGTCCAACAAAAGTGAAATGAGCACATAAGCATAAATATGTAAGAAAAATCCTGGTTTCTTGAATAGAACATTTTTAAAACTTTTGAGAATAGAATGTCAGAGGAAACATTGTTTATTATTCATGGATACAAATGGGCTTTTCTCATCACCAAGGACAATATTTAACATAAAAGTCTTCCTGGATTTCTAATTTACTTCCAGTAAATTCATGACGATCTTCACCTAAGTGTCTGGACATGTCGGACAGGGTCACTTTAGAGTGAGGATAAGTTTTTTTGTTAGAGATAAAGTCATTTCTACAGGTAAAGTCAGCATGTGAGAATTAGGAGTGTAGGGACAGAGATGCAAAATTTTTTAAAGCGTCAACTAATGTAAAACTAGTTTTAACAATGTTTTTAAAGCAGAACTATGAAGTTGAAGGAGTAGTAATTAGAAACAGAAGGGGCAGAGAAAATGGAGAAGAAGAAAGACCTTAACATTTAAAATAAATAAATAAATTGAATTTGAAATATCTTTCTGGTTTGCAGGTACTCTTCATGAGGGTTCAGTAGCGATAACCAAACCACTCTACATATTTCAACCACAAAAAAATTAACTCATGTAATTTGGTGTTTAAGAATTCATTGTAATTTGTCAGAGAGAGAGAGAGAGTTCTTGTAGTATGGTCTTCTTTGGTCTCCCCAGAAGGGTCCCCGGAATCTTTTAAAACAGACCCAGCAGAGAGGGGAACACCTGGGGCACCACTAAGAAGGTATCAGAAAGCTACCACAGGACTTTCCAAGTTTAAAAATTCACCACTGAATTTTTGATTCTACAATATGAAATGATTGCAGCTGTCAATAAAATTGCCTCTAAACATCTGTTAAGCGAGAGACTGGACACTTCAGTGACATGGTAGAAACTCCCTGTATCTGGACAATATTGCAGGTAGAAGGTATCTAAAAATAAAGGCAATTTCTGCTTTCTTTCCACATTTTAAATCTCATTTCAGTGTGCACAGAGAGCAGTTCCTAATACATGTAAAGAATCCTACTTTTATAGACTAAATATTTAGTTTGTCTTTCCCTCCCCCAAATTCATATGTTGATATCTACTCTAGACTTCAGAGTTAAGGAAAACATACTCCATGTTTTTGTACCACCCTTTTGTAGCATTGGACTCAAATAAAACACACTCAGAATAAAAATAAGTTTTAATATCCTCCACTGGAAAATAATAATCTTTGTTTCTGAAGAATTAAGTCAACTCCCTAAAATGAGTAAATTACACAAATATCAAATTAATCCTCTATGCCCAGGATGAAGCTCAATTCTACAGCAAAGATTCTCTCTTTAACAATACCTATACCTCAAGACATATGAGAAAAAAATATTAAACATACATCAGTTACTGAGCATGTATTATGGAATTATGGTCATCATTATAATAACTTTCTGACATAAATACTGTATTAGCAAGAAAAAAGCAAACAACCTCATTAAAAAGTGGGCAAAGAACATGAACAGACACTTTTCAAAAGAAGACATACATGTAGCCAACAATCATGAAAAAAAGCTCAACATCACTGATCATTAAAGAAATGCAAATCAAAACCACAATGTGATACCATTTCACACCTGTCAGAATGACTATTAATAAAAAGTCAAAAAATAACGGATGCTGGTGAGGTTGTGGAGTAAAAGGAATGCTTATACACTGTTGCCAGGAGTGTAAGCTTGTTCAACCATTGTGGAAAACAGTGTGGCAATTCCTCAAAGACCTAAAAACGGAAATAGCATTTGACCTAGCAATTCTACTACTAGGTATATACCCAAAGGAATATAAATCATTCTGTCATAAAGACACATGCACATGAATGTTCATTGCAGCACTATTCACAATAGCAAAGACATGGAATCAACCTAAATGCCCCTATAATTGTAGACAGAATAAAGAAAATGTGGTACATACATATACACCATGGAATACTATGCAGCCATAAACAAGAATGAGATCATGTCCTTTGCAGGAACATGGATGAAGCTGGAAGCCATTATCCTTAGCAAACTAATGCAGGGACAGAACATCAAATGCTACGTGTTCTCACTTATAAGTGGGTGCTAAATGATGAGAACATATAGATACATGAAACCATACAGATACACACATACACACTGGCACCTATCAGAGGGTGGAGGGTAGAAAAAGCGAGAGGATAAGGAAATAGTAACTAATGAATACTACACTTAATACATGGGTGATAAACTAATCTGTACAACAATCGCCCCCATAACACAAGTTACCTGTATAACAAACGTGAACGTGTACCCCTGAACTTAAAATAAAAGTTTAAAATAAATAAATATTGTATTAGCATTTGACAGATGAAGAAACAGAAGTTTAGAGACATAAAATAACTGCCTAATATTATGCCTTAATCAAACTGAGAATCAGTATCACAACCCAGTTTTCATTCAACAGCATAATTATCATCACTGTGCATTCTAGCTAGAAACTTCGTATCATATTGATAAATTTAAATTATTTAATATGTATTAAAATATTGTTTGTGTTTTTATGGAATCTTGAACTTTGCTCTAAACTGGAACTACTTCCTGTGATTAAACTTTTGTTTGCAAAAGGTGAAAAATGAAAAGGGGAATGGAGAGGTGAAGGGGTGGAAAGCACAGGTTTGTTGTGGTTTTATTAATTTTAGCAATTTATTTTTAAGATACATTATGTATTTAATAGATTTAAAGTGTTGATTTTCTCCCAAACTATGCAGAGAATAGTAAGTCAGTCATTGCTTTTGGCTTCATGTAACAGATATTCAACAATTTTGTTAATTGAACTATATAAGCAATTATTTTTCTCATGTAATAATAATTGCAAGGAAAATCATTCAGGGGTGGTGTCTCCATCCTTCTCTGCCATTTTTAGCGTATGATTTTTTTTTCCTCGCAGTGGTTATCTAGCTGCTCCTCTTCTGCTTATCCCATCTGTCCTCCAGTCAGGAAGCCAGAAAAAGGCCAAATGATGAAGAGCAAAGTGGAGGAGGCAAGGAGAAAAGGCAGCTGAGCCTGACCTCTTTTAAATAGCTTGTCCAAAAGTCCTACCCAGAAACCTTTTCTTACACAGTCGTGAGCTGCATGATGACGCATGAATCACCGACTTCTTGTATTTACGATGGTGGTCCCATAAGATTAAATTGGAGCTGAAAAATCCCTATTGCTTTGTGATGTTGTAGCCATTGTTAGATCATAGCACGACACATTACTCACTGGCTTGTGATGAAGCTGATGTGAACAAACCTACTGTGCTGCCAGTCACATACAAGTAGAGTAAATACAACTAGGTACAGTACATAATACTTAATCATGATGATAATTATGTTATCGGTTTATGTATTTACCATATGTTTTATCATTATTTTTGAGTGTACTCCTTGTACTTAGTTTTTCAGAAAGTTAACTGTAGAACAGCCTCAAGCAAGTCCTTCAAGAGGTTCCAGAGGAAGATATTGTTATCATAGACGATGACAGCTCCATACATGCTATTGCCCCTGAAGTGGGCAATTGAACCTTCCAGTGTGACAAGAGGTGGCAGTGGAAGACAGTGCTATTGAGGATCCTGACCCTACGCAGGCCTAGGCTAATGGGTGTGTTTGTATTTTACTTCTTAACAGAAAAGTTAAAAAAATTTAAAATAGAAGAAAGCTTATAGACTGAAGATATAAAGAAATAAAACATTTTTGCACAGCTGAACAATGTGTTTGTCTTTTAAGCTAAGTGTTAGTACAAAGGAGCAAAAAACGTTAAAAATTAAAATGCTTATAAAGTAAAAATATTATAGTAGCAAAGGTTAATTTATTATTGAAAAAAGAAACTTTTTAAAGAAATTTAGTGTAGCCTAAGTGTACAGTGCTGATAAAGTCTATAGTGAGTGTACAGTCTCGTCCTAGGACTCCCATTCACTCACCACTCACTCACTGACTCACCCAGAGCAAGTTCTATCCTGCAAGCTCCATTCATGGTAAGTGTCCCATACCATAAAAAAAGGTGTACCGTGTTTTGTTTTATACTGTATTTTTACTGTGTCTTTTCTATGTTTAAATACACAAGTACTTCCCATTGTGTTCCAATTGCCTACAGTATTCAGTAAAGTAACATGCTGTCCAGGATTGCAGCCTGGGATCAATAGGCTGTACCTTGTAGCCTAGGTATGTAGCAGATTGTACCATTTAGGTGTGTGTAAGTATACTCTATAATGTTCACACAAAGACAAAATTAGCTGACACGATTCTCAGAATGTCTTCCTGCTGTTAAGCATGACCGTGTTTTGTTCTCCAGGATGGCATATCATGGCTTCATATTACATGTGAGAAAATACAGTGAGGAAACACCTGAGAAACTTTCATAAATGAGTGTTATTCAGTGTAAAATGAATATTATTTACTAAATTATAACAAAAATGATTATCCTAAAATGTTAAGTAGCCAGCTTTCTAGGACCTTGGTTACCTGAATACTTTAATTGGCTATGTTTCTACTCTATAAATATGAAGATTTTTATAATAAGGCAAAAGAGAAAATGGATTTCAGTAAGGCTAGTAGCAATATCTATAAAACTCTTGTAGTATCGTGATGACCCCAAAGTGCAATTATTAATACAGTATTAGTACTTAATACTCCAATTAGAGCCAAAAAAACACTATCAAACACCATAAAATGCCATATCCAAGCCCCCGTTCTGATAATTGTGTTTTAAAAAGTGCTAATAGTCCATATTCTGTCATATAAATTTGATTCATACTTATTTTTAAATTACGTAAATAATTTCTTTAATATAAAGGAAATAATTTTTTGTTCAGTGAAAAACAGTTAAGCATTAAGGGCTCCATGTCAGTACAAGTTTCCATATTAGCTGTAGGTGGTGTATGACAACACATTGACTAATACACTGGCTATTAAATCATTCACCCAGAAACGATGCACTTCATTACTCCACACATTTCATCGTCCAAATCAGGTCATATAGTCACTCTAAACATCAAAGATGACACAAAAATAGATATGGAACCACCATAATAACTAAGCTATGTGCCTGCTTTTTAAATGCCACATATTACATATACATACATATTACATGAACATACATATACATGTTTGTAAAGAAAGTAGGGCTAATGAGGAAACATTTGAACAATTTAGAAAGTGATATAACTACTTTGAAAAAGAAAATTATTTTCAATAAATTAATAGCACAAATCATAATCTTAGGCAAGGCTCAGTGGCTCAAGCCTGTAATCCCAGCACTTTGGGAGGCTGAGGAAGGCAAATCACCTGAGTTCAGGAGTTCCAGACCAGCCTGGCCCACATGGCAAAAACCTATCTCTACTAAAAATACAAAAATTAGCCAGGAGTGGTGGCACTTGCCTGTAATCCCAGCTGTTTGTGAGGCTGAGGCAGGAGAATCACTTGAACCCAGGAGGTGGAGGTTGCAGTGAGCTGAGATCACGCCACTTCACTCCACCTGGACAACAGAGTGAGACTCTGTCTCAAAATAAATAAATAAATAAAAACAAATTATAATCTTAAAGTTTAAAGGAACTAGTTTTCCTTCATTTATATTTAAGAATGCAAAAGTGAAATGGCTTTAACATGCAACAATAGAGAGTCAAGTATATTCTAAGGAAAAAATGCTGACAAGCATGGCTAAATCATTGAATATAGTGCTGAAGAACACACTGTAATTAACATTGATAGGGCTGTGCAAAATCAACATATATAATAAACTAGGTATTGGCATAATACAATATTTCTTGGGAATATATTCATATATAGAAATAGATAATTTTAAGGAAGAATTTAAGTGAAAAATCACTTGGGTTCAGATTGAAATAAAAAAAGAACTTGACAGAAACCACAAACAAAAAGATGTTGCTGTTTAAATACAACACATACTAACAAGAAATGCAAAGTCATCTAATAATGTTACTAAAGTGATAATATCTAGATAGAGTCTTAAATTATCTAAGAAGCGATGAGCCAAGTGGATATTACTTTGTATGAAGTTATCAAAAGAAGGATCAAAGCGAAAGGAGAAGTGACAGAATGCTTAGAAATGTAGAATACCATACTAGGTTGCCGTGTTAACAGAATACAAAAACATTGGGAGAATACTAAACCTTGTTTAAACATATAGTAATAATTTAGGATTTTAGATGTTTCATGAATGTGAAGCAAGAATAAGTCACTGGCAGTTTATTAATTAAGTAATTTGAAGTAAAAGTTAAAAGGCAGATTTTATATTATTAAAAGTCAGAAGTTTCAGGGAGCTGAAATTCTCTGGATTTAAATAGACTCATTTTAATACAATGGGACAGATTTTTTTCTTTTAAGTAACATCAGTGAGAACTAGTGGGAAAAATGTATATAGGGATTATAATTTGGAGTGAAAATTAGACTAGATGACCCCTAAGATTACTTTGATAGCTGTAAATTTTTAAGAAATAATGTGTCATATGTCATGTTAATTAATAAATTAAAATATATTTGTGAGGCTGGGCGTGGTGGCTCACGCTTATAATCCTAGCACTTTGGGAGGCCGAGACATGCGGATCACAAGGTCAGGAAATCAAGACCATCCTGGCCAACATGGAGAAACCCTGTCTCTACTAAAAATACAAAAATTAGCTGGGCATGGTGGCACGTGCCTGTAATCCCAGCTACCCAGGAGGCTGAGGCAGGAGAATTGCTTGAACCAGGGAGTCGGAGGTTGCAGTGAGCCAAGATTGTGTCACTGCACTCCAGCCTGGTGACAGAGCAAGACTCCGTCTAAAAAAAAAATTATATATATATTTATATGTAAAAATTAGAAAAAAATGTAATAAGTGCTTGAACAGGATTTTTTTGCAAATGTATTATGAGCTACTATTGATTTTAAATAATAAAATAACATTTTAAAAATTAAAAACACCTTTTTTTCACTGTTCTTTGAAAAAATGCATCTGAGTCTGTTAATTTCTTCTCTACCAGTTCCGTGTTTCCCTGTAATCTTTTATCAATTGCACTTGAAATAATCCAATGATTTGCCACATTTTACAAAAGTATGTGACTCTCAACTGCAGTCAGTATGTCAGTCCCTTAATTAAAACTTTCAATAGGCTTGGGTATACAATTGTATTTTTACAAGCATTAGTACAAAATCCTAAGTGGTGAGTCCCTGCCTATTTTTTTTTCTGTCATTTTGTTGTTGTTGTTGTTGTTCACTGTAGTCAAGTCAAGTCACACTGGCCTACTTTTCCTTCTCTTTTCTTTTTTTTTTTTTCAAACAAGGTCTCTCTCTCACCCAGGCTGGAGTACAGTGGCATTATCTCAGCTTGCTGCAAGCTCCGCCTCCTGGGCTCAAGGAAGCCTCTTACCTCAGCCTCCAGAGTAGCTGAGATTACAGGTACAAGCCATCGTGCCCAGATAATTTTTGTATGTTTTGTAGAGAGGGGGTTTTGCCATGTTGTCCAGGCTGCAGTTTCTTATTTGAAATAAGATTTTTCCACTGCATAGGCCTTCCTATGTACATTTGAAAACTAATCTCCATCCCCTATTATCTGACAAATCCTTATCCTACAAATGTCTCATTAGGATACTTCATGAAATCCAATATAAATTATTTGCTTATATTGCATATATATATATATATAGCATATATATTGCATATCTATAGCATATATATTGCATATCTATAGCATATATATTGCATATATATATAGCATATATATTGCATATATATAGCATATATATTGCATATATGTAGCATATATATATTGCATATATATAGCATATGTAGCATATATATATTGCATATATATAGCATATATATAGCATATATATATTGCATATATAGCATATATATTGCATATATATAGCACATATATTGCATATATATTGCATACATATATTGCATATATATTGCATACATATATTGCATATATATTGCATACATATATTGCATCTATATTGCATGTATATATTGCATCTATATTGCATATATATTGCATATATATAGCATATATATTGCATATATATTGCATATATATAGCGCATATATATTGCATATATATATTGCATATATATTGCATATATATAGCGCGTATATATTGCATATATATTGCATATATATAGCGCATATATATTGCACATATATTGCATATATATTGCAAATATTTTGCATATATATTGCACATATATATTGCATATGTATTGCATATATATTGCATATATATATTGCATATATATTGCATATATATATTGCATATATATGGCATATATATTGCATATATATATTGCATATATATTGCATATATATGGCATATATATTGCATATATATATTGCATATATTTTGCATATATATGGCATATACATTGCATATATATATTGCATATATATTGCATATATATGGCATATACATTGCGTATATATGCCATATATATTGCATATATATGGCATATACATTGCATATATATGTCATATATATTGCATATATATACCATATACATTGCATATATATACCATATACATTGCATATATATGGCATATATATTGCATATACATTGCATATATATTGCATATATATTGCATATATATTGCATATACATTGCATATATATTGCATATATATTGCATATATATTGCATATATATATTGTGTATATATATTGCATATATATATTGTGTATATATATTGCATATATATATTGTGTATATATATTGCATATATATAGTGTGTATATATATTGCATATATAGTATTTATATTGCATATATATAGTGTGTATATATATTGCATATATACATAGCGTATATATAGCATATATATATTGCATATATATTGCATATATATATTTTGCATACATATTGCATATATATATTGCATATATATATGACTAGTCAAATGCATATGATAGGGGCTTTGGTACAACATGTGTTAGCACAGCACTTCTAAGCAATAAATATTTCAAATTATGAAAGGACCTGAGTTTTGGATCTAGAAGAGTAGAATAGTTTTTATAGACATAATTCCTCAAATGTAAATCATTATAAACTCTGGGCAGTTTTCTAAAAGAACTATTCAAAGGCACTAGGAAGCAAACAACAGCAAGAGAAATCTAAATGAGTGTATCTGCTAAAGGAGCAGTGCAAACTGTGTCATTCATGCAAGGACATAGTTTTCTCCTAAGGGCACATGTCAGTCCACATGTGGGGAAAATAGAACTTAAGCAGAAAGCCATAATCATACCGTGTGAAGGATTCAAAAGTTTGGGACCAATAGTCCTCAATTTGGAAACTGAGTGTGATCTGAAAAGGAGGAAGAAATAGAACGGGAATCCAAAATCTGTGTATAACCTCACCTCAAATCTTAGCTGAGCAATGAAGTATCCATGTGTGGATGAGAATTCCAGGAATCCAGGGGCGGGAGAAAACAGAATGTTGAAAGAGAAGAGCTGATGTTTTAGCTGCTGCTTAATGGAGAAGACACAGTGTTTTCCCATCTACTAAATTAGAGGGGATTGGTACAGAGCTTGGGCTTTGTCTTCAAACAACCAAAAAGGCTACTCTTTGAGAATAAAAGACTGAAAAAATTAATGACACAAATGAAATAGACTCAACAAAGCAGAGTCTGCAAGTTCAAGACTATTGATAATTTGTTTGGTTGAACAAAACAACACTTTATGAAGACGTTAACAGAAATAAACATTTTTAATGTGTCTTTTGCAATGTCCAGGTTTGTATTTATATAAAGTTGTAGAACAGGTAAAAACTAAGCTACAGTGATAGAAATTAGAACAGTAGTTTCCTAGGCAAGGGGGATTATTAATTAGAAAAGAGCAAAAGAGAATTTGAGGTGATAAAAGTGGCAGTCTTTATATTAATTTGGGTATTGGTTACATACATATATGCATTTGTCAAAATTCATCAAACTTTACAGCCTAAAATCTATGAATTCAATTATGTGTAAATCATATTTAAAATAATTAAACAAATAAATAAAAGTATCATTTCCTATTGTTTTTGGATAACATGTAAAAAGAATCTTGCATATTTCTTGCATATAAATGAGAAAAATATCTGAAATTACAATAATTCATGCAATGATAGTCAAAATTTATTTATGTGTATATGTGTGTGTATATGTTTCTTTTTCTAATGTTATATACACATAATTCTCAAAGGATCCCAAATTCCAATTAGGCATTTTTTGCCTTTAATATTATTTTTTTCTAATATAGAGTAAGATCACCATCTTCTCTCCTTGATTTGTGTGCAAGTAGCATGAAGGTCTGCCAATAAATATATTATGGGTCAGTAAGTCAGTGATTCTCACACATGCTACACTCTGAATCACTACACTACTAAGCATCAATTTCACAATAAACTGCCTTCTGCTTCATTTCTCACTCTTCAAGTCCTACCTCCTACACAGCAACAATAGAAATTAAACCTATTCCAGCTGAGCACATACATGGAATTATACAGAGTTCATAAAATATATCATTTTCTACAGGGAACCCTGTAGAGTTAAATCCTCCATTTTAAAAAGGAGAAGAAAAAAACACACAATTCTCTTCTCATTAAAAAAAGCAGCAGGATGTTTTTCAGATCCAAGCAAAAACCCTTCAAAATAGATCATGCACTTTGATTTACATATTTTTCATTGATTGAGGAACTTTAGGGCTTTCCTTCAGTAAACAGAAACACTGAGTTTGATGTTTAAAGAGAAATTCAAGTTGTATGTCACATAACAGAATTTGTCTCTTTAATCATACTTCACAGTTTCATATCAAATGCCTAATCTATATGTAGACCTTTTTTTAATAATTTTTATTTTAATATAAAAGCTATAAAGAGTAACAAATTGTTTCATCATCCTGTGTCCCTCTCAGAAATGAAACATTACAGCACTTTTGGTGAAAGTACATCGGTGTGCATATATTTATAAATCTTTTCTTTTGACACAAATCTACTGGGGAACAAAACTTCTGGGCAAACGTGAATGATTTTAGTTTCTTGACACCCCTCTTCCTTAGAATTAAAATGCGTTTTGAACCTCAAAAATCTCTCATGATTTTTGTCATCTTTTATAAATTACAGAACTTTGGAGATGATTTATACAAGGCCTTAACTTTATAAGAAACTAGCAACAGTAACCCAAAGTGGTGAAGTAAACTGCCAGCTCACAACTAGTTAAGCATAGTAAAATCAAGAGCTCAAATAGCACATTCCAATAACACATCTTAGACCCTGAACGGTTAAGCATTTTCTTATGTAATTCTCCATGCTTCAGGTTTTGTCTTTCAAATGAATTGCTCTGGGTAAATCCAAGCTTCAGCATAAATCTAGAATGAATTTACTTATGCAGGTCAACATTTTGATCTGGAACGTATCTTCTTAGATGAAAGAGAGAAACAGTTGGATATGGTTTATGCTGCATGAAATTTAAATAGAGATGCATCTAGGAATATTTCCTTAGCTTTAGTAAACCGATTATTGTATTATTTGACCAAAGACTCTTTTCTAATAGGGAAACATTTTTTGTTTTAATCTCTATCTGCAGACCTAGTTCTATTGTCAGCAACACAGAGCTTTCAAATTGCAAACTTTGGTGTTTTTAGATACACTTAGCACGAGCATTCTAAAATGTTATTCAAATCACCTTCACTTTAGTCCCCATAACACTCTTCTTAGAATTTTTATTTTTTAGTAGTGATCAGGTAATTCTTCTAAATTAAGATATGTTTAGATTGAAAAAACATACATCAAATGATTTTGTATTTGAAGCAAAATTTAATGGCTCCTTTCCTGTCTTTACCAGTTAAGTGAGGTGTTTGGGGATAATATTTCTGTTTCTTTCAAAAATTTAAATTACTGGAGACAGCCTGCATGCATTTATCCATTGAGAGTCAAGACTCAGGCCCTCATCTATAGGCCACTGCACTTCCATAATCCAGGCGCAGTCATTGACGTTTTCCTTAGGCTATTTAACGAGAAGACTATTTCTTACCATTAGATAAAGACAATATTTTATTCAACACTCATCAATTGGGACTCAAGTTATTTTGTCTGATATTTGTTCAATTACATGTACCATTAAATATTCTTTAATGTTACTTTTTACAGGCTGTGTCCTATTAAATGATACATAATTTGTTCTTTTTCTGGTATAATGAGATATGTGTTTATTTATTTTTTTCTTCTTCAATTCTGCATTCTCTTTCCTTGGTTAAATGAGCCCACTTATTCTTGAAATAAAAGCACTCACTTCATGGCACAAAAAAGCAGAATCTGAACAATCAGTTTTTTTCTTCAGAGAAAATTTAAAGAAAGGAATTGGAGCAGTCACATGACTTTTTTCTTTAATTTAAAGCGTTTTTTGAGTTGAGAAATTACTGTTGATTTTCTCCATCTAGTTCTCTAAGAAGGTAAATTATGCAGAAATGTAGCTGCTGCTATATGTATATTGTTATGCATGCTGTGACTTGACTTATTTTGAATATATATATGTGTATATATATATTAATTCCATTTAAATACTTGTGCCAGCCACAACTCTAAGAAAGTACTATAGTTAATTTTGTGTATCAACTTAGCTGGGCCACAGTGCCCAGATGTTTGATCAAACATTACTCTGGATGTTTCTGTTAAGGGATTTTTTTGGATGAGATTAGTATTTAAACTGTCAAACTTTCAGTAAAGCAGTTTAGCCTCCATAAGGAGGGTGGGCCTCATCCAATCAATTTAAGGCCTTAATAGAAAAAGATTGACCTCCCCTGAGAAAGAAGGACTTCTGCCATCAGACTGCTTTTGGACTTGAACTCTGACTCTTCCCTGGGTCTCCAGCCTGCAGCCTACCCTGTTGCCTTCAAGGGAGATTTTGGCCTTACAAAGCTTCCACAATCATTACCTGAATCAATCCCTTCACACACACACACACACACACACACACACACACACACACACATATATATATACACATAGATCCTGTTAGTTCTGTTTCTCTGTAGAACCCAAACACAGTAAGTCAATTTCACAATTACTCATTAAAAAAAAAATGTGTTGACTATATTAACACCTTCCTTAAAGCCGAATTTTTTTAATCTTCACATATTTAATGAGACATAACATCTCAAATACAAATAAGTATTCAATTATTTTTATTTGAGCTATAAATGTGTCCTGCAACTTCATTTAAACTAAAAGTTTAAATTCAAAGCTGAAAATCAAGGTATTTGTGTAGAATCCTCCTCAGTCCTTAAATGGCTTGGCTCCCGTCTTTTGATTCATGTTTCTAAACCTCTGATGATAAAGGAGCTTTGCATTTCACCAAAGGACTCAATAGAAATTGTTATTAGCAGGAATTTTCTATGAGAAAATTGCATTGAGCCATATGGGCCTTCCAGATTTCACTGTATTACAAATGGGGATTTTAGAAGGGTCGGGGGGGAAATAAACTCCTCACACCCACAGTGGAGAATATTTGAGACATCGAAGGAGGAAGATCGAGACAATATTTGTGTCAGTGTTTTCTCTTTCAGAGATCTTTAGATTTGTGCTGAAGATATGTGAGAAAAACAAGTGAAAAATGTAACTTATTTTACTGAACTTTTAAGATACCTTATTATACATAAATGAGATTTTTGAAACATTTGATTTAGCGGTAGATTAAAAGTTCCAATTTTGATAAGATAAAAAAGCAACAGCTAATACAATTAACTGTTTCAGGTGGGCCATGTACATGGCTAACAGCCTACCTCGCCTCCAGCATTTGCACAAGTAATTGCTTGCTTCACCTATGCCATAATGTGCTGTATTGTTATTACAATTAGAATCATCAATTGCCTATTTGGATGTTTCAATTTATACTGATGTCATAGCAGTAATGAATTGGCTATTCTGCCTAGTTTCCTCCACAACAATCTCATTTATGTCTTTAACTCTAATGTAAGAATTTAGGACTATCCTATTTGCCCAAGTCACACTCCTCTATTTAGTTAATATAATTAACTCGATAAGCACAGGTTGATTTAATTATCTTTTCATATTTCTTGCTGCTAATCCCTATAAGATCTCATTTAAAATTATTATTCAAAGGCTGTTTCTCACTCTAGATTGCCAAATAAACACCAAGTAGCAAAGGAATTCAGCATCAAAAGGATATTTAAGTGTCTACTAGTCATATTAGTGGTCTGATACTCTGCACTGGGCTGCAGAATTTCTATGCCCCCCTGTAAATGAAAGTGAAGTTTCTTGCCCTAAAAATTCAAGGCAGTGACTGCAAAGCATGAAACTAATCATAGGACCTTTCTGAGGATGGGGTCTTCTGAGACCGGCCAGTTCATACACATGAAGCCCACCTAACTAATGCTTGACTTCCTCCCATATCATCCTTACCATGTGGTTATTGAGCCTCTGACTGCACATTTCAGAGAATTAAACCTCCATAGTTCTCAAAGCCATCCATGTCTTAATTGAACTGTTGTGTCTATTAGAGAATTCTTTCTTATTCTTCTAACATACCGGAGGGAGAGAGAGATGACACATAACTAATTGCTGACACCTATTATTATTACTAATATTTATTACTTGCTTTCTCACATTTTTCTTGTATCCGGTTTCTAAAGGCAAAGTGGAAAAGGAACTAAAATGATTTCTCCATTCCTCCTGCCTTATTACCTTGACTTCCTTTGTCTTCTTTACCAAGAAGTCCTCTCCTCTCCCAAAAATAGAGTGAACAACATCTCCAACAATACCTCCAATATTGGTTTTGAAAAGGAAGTCAATACCATAAAAGATGAGTAAATTGTGATACAATGCCATCCAACCTAATTGCCCCAGGGAACAGATTGCTTATCAAATACTTAACAGCAGTTCTCCCCTTATTAATGATTTCACTTACATGGGTCAACTGTTGTCCTAAAATATTAAACAAAATATTTCAAAAGCAAACAATATATACATTTTAAGTAACTAATTATATTTTTATAATTGTTCAATTTTATTAGTTATTGGTGTTAGTATATTATTGTGTATAATTTATAAATTAAAATTACGTGTATGTGTGTATAGTGTATACAGGGTTTTGTAGTATCCACAGTTTTAGGCATCCCCATCTTGGAATATATTCTTTGTGAATAAGGGGGTACTAATGTAGTGTGAGAAATTCAAGCATCAACAGGAATTCCAAATGTAAGGACTTCATTATCAAACTAAACCAATACATGAAGATGTCTCTTATTCACTTTCTTACAGGCAATGAAAGAAACTGAAATCCTGTCCTATGTTCTACGGTCATTTTTGATATATCTTTGATTAGATAACTGAACATACCCTTTGCATGAGCCAGTGTTACTGAAAACACTGATTTTTAAAATTCTTCCCTTTAGTGACTGCGTAGGTAAACTATATCAGTGTAGGCACTTTAAGAAGACATTTGCATTCCATGTTCTCATTAATCCTGCTACTTATATTTAGCATGATCTCTTTCTTCACATTTATTTCAAGAAATCTTTTTATCTCGTAGGTCTTTCTTTGCCCCCTAATTCTGAAACTCTTTCTTTCTCTCCAATTAGATATAATCTCTCATTTGAATCCTTATTAAAATGTGGTTTGATGTCTCTGCATTACATTTATTTTTCATTCACTTTCTGTGCTGAAAGCTACTTGAGGGTCATCCTCACAGCATGTAGCATAGCCCTCACCAAAGGCTTATTACATTCAGTGAGCAGAAGATTATTAACTATAATTTTTCTTTTTCATTTTTACTAACACTTATTGAACTTGGTAACAATATGTGCAGAACAAAACCATACACACCCCAAATCATTAAAAAAGTGCTGCTACTATTAGACTTATTCAGTTTGCTATGCATGAATAATTTGACTTTAAAGCCAAATATATAGTAATCTTTAACAAAAACTTAATCCACAAATCATATCAGGATATTTTTTAAAAGGTTAAGATTTGTTGACTTTTTAAGTAATAAAACTCTTTATTATATAAAATACTCTGTAAAATACGATTTCTGACATTTGTATGATTTCATGGCCACAAGACGCAGAAGCTAAGGAACTATTAATATAAACAACGTTAGTCAAATGTCCTTTTTTTCTTTTGGGTAAAACTCATAATTTCAAAAAGACTTTTCATTCTGAATTAAAGAATAATTTAAGTATAAGTTATAAAGGAACTCGTGACCTATTGAGGTACCATGATAAATTTCTTTTAAATGGCCATAGATAGTAAAATTGAGAATTAGTTACTAAAGCTTTTGTTAAAACACAAGACATCTTCAAAACCATGAACTCGAATAATTTTATAAATAATTCCATTTTGATAAATTTCATGTTGGATGTGGCTACTTTAATTTTAAATCTTGTCTAGAAAAAATATATCCTACCTTTATTCTATTTAAAATAATGGTCTAATGTCAAAATTTTATAATTTTTAAACTTATTAAGTAAATACACATTTTTATAAATATATTTTAAATTTATGTAGATAATCTTAAGTGTTAACGCTGGGAAAACTTTGATGCTGTAATTATCAGAATAATCAGTTTTGACCTACTTTAATACAAGTTTCTTACAGACATTTACATGCATTTATTTTTTCTCATATCATGCAGGCACTGATTCTATTTGTCCTTTATAATAGATTAGTCATTATAGAATAAGGTCCTTAAATTAAATATTTTAATTCCATATTTGAAATAGCCATTTATTATATTTTCTTATAAATGGGAAACTACTGTGTGAGTTATAATGTGATAAAGTATTTATTATAGTATTTATATATATTTACTGATTCAACCACATTTATTGAGTTCTTCCTGTGCTCGCAAGTGGTGAAAATAAAAAGTAGTAATAAAATATTCTATCTGCCATAGCAATTTCTGATTTGTACATAAACAGATAAATAACAATATATGC
Source organism: Homo sapiens (assembly GCF_000001405.40). Lineage (NCBI taxonomy): Eukaryota > Metazoa > Chordata > Mammalia > Primates > Hominidae > Homo > Homo sapiens. The sequence continues at coordinate 162,444,285 of NC_000004.12, read as the reverse complement.
TAAACAGTACCATTGAAGATAATGTATAAATATTGTGAAAGCACAGAAAATAACCTCTTTTGCTGGGGAAAATTGAGAGAGAAAACAGTGTAATACATACTCTGTTAAAGGATACATACACCAAGTGAAAACAACAGCATGTTAATGTATTTATTTGTTCAATCAAACAGTAGTTATTCTCTACCATATACAGGCACAAGTAAGGCAGAGGGTTGCCAAAAGGGATAGAACATCAAGAAAATTCAAAGGTTAGTTCACTACGAGCAGTTAAGTTGGGAGCTGAGAGGGAAAGGTGTGAACATAAAATGAGAACGGGCAAATAGGTTAAGGGAAGATTGTGCTAATGTATAGAATTTGAAGTTTATATTGTATATAATAAAGTTCTTCAGCAGCTAGGTGGCATGAGCCATTTTACTTTTAGAAAGATAACTGTGACAGTTATATGGGGGATGAGCTAGAGTAAAGGAGGAACGGGGAGTCAGTTAAGAGAGTTATGAGGCTATTATTGTAATAGTCCAAGGGAGAAATGATGACGACCTAGACCTAGGCAGTGACAGTTGGTTTAGAGGAAAGGCTGAATTTGAGAGACATGTTTGAGGGAGAATTGACAGCATTTGGTGACAGAGCATTTTGCTGTCAATCATAGAAGTAATTTAGTACAAGAAATACATTAAAACATATGTACTATAATGATGTATTGGTATTCTTAATTTAAGAATTAATTTGATGAGTTTTGTAAATTCTATGTAGATAAGTATCAAGGAGAATGTGGATGGATGATATTGATAACAGGAATAGAAAAAATTAACTTGTGCAAATGGACTTTATGCTCCAGTCAATTCTCTCATTTTAGAGAGGATACTAAGGTCTGGAAACACAAATCCAATTAGTGGCAGATCTCGGGTCTCTTCACTCTGTGAACCTAATGCATAAAAATGGACATAAGTCCTTTAATTTTATAAATAAAGTATGTCCATATGTTTTGGGGGCAATCTCTACTCCTAATTTGTTCATTTCCAGAGTCCATCACCTTTAACTGCTGCATATAATGAACATGAATTAAATATCTGATGAGTAATAGCTTCAGAAAGAACCAACGGGTAGAATAAAATGAATGTATCATTTCATTTTATTTTAATTTACTCTTAATATTTTTAAGAGACTGTGGAGCTGTGACCAGTACTTCCTTTAGGATGTTACAAAAGAAATAGAATTATGTCATTGTTAGATTTTATATCTACAATGAACAAAAACTAAAAACAACTGTAGGAAGACACAGGTAATTGAGTCAGCATCTAATGGAGAAATGCAGAGCAAATGAAAGATATTCCTTGAATGTTCATAAGAAAATTACAAGAAAGTTAGAACATATCCCTCTCAACCAGAATGATAGAAATAAAAACAGAGATCAAAGTAGTCCGATGTTTGCAATGATATAAGATTAAAATACAGCTAATATGATGTTGTTTTAATACTTTTCAGTAAAACTAAACATTATTGCAATTCTACAAAGATTAGTAATTTCCTTTTAAAGAGAGAGATCAGAAAAAAAGTGAAGAATAAAAATATTTTAAAAACAAGTAACTTTCAAATAAAGGCAATGTCAGATAAAGAAAATATTTTTCCCCAGTTTCCAGATAAAGGTTTTCAAATTTTTGACACAGGCAATACAGATTGAAATATATATATTTCATATACATATATATATATACACATACATATATAGATATATCTATATATGAAGTTTTTTTGGGAAATGTAATCATGGAATCTATTAATGCTAGCTATATAAACAGACAAATTCTATGGTAGTTTACATACTCAAATATATTTTGATATTTACAATGCATGCAGTACTGCACAAACATGAGTTCATTCAGAAGCAGCACATTCTGGCTCTCTGAGTGCACTCCAGTGGATAATGCAGATCTGGTCTGTACTCCTTTGCATTCAGGACAGAATGAGGAATGATTTCAGTGTGACTAGACTTCTGAAATGGCCCTCTTAGAATCTGTGAGGTTTCAGTGTACAGATATTCCTGCTCAGTGGCTGGGCTGCTTTGATAACAGAATTAATTTGACCTCTAGAGAAGGTTTGTTCTCTCGGGAAAAGTATATCTCCGAGGTGGCCTTCCTCCAGTCCCTCATTTACCAACAGAAAACCAATAAAGAAGAGAAATAAAACTCATGAAATTACTTGTAATTTTTGGAGTTAGGTAGTGGAGACATCTGAAGGATTCTTAGGGAAAAAAATAGATTTCGATTAACGGCACTCTATGAGCATTAATAAAGGTTTGTAAAATTATCCCATATTTGACAGTTTGACAATAATAAAAGAGCAAGTGAAATCAAGAGAGTCTGGACATAGTCATGTTTTTTAAATGTTTATTTTATTACCTTTATACCCAGTTGTTTCCTTGGCTTTTCAAAAGTGCAATTACACCTTCTTGAATATCCTCTTTGGGTTTTCAAAAAAAGGAAAACAGAACAGAGATTGTAAACATGTCTCTAAGAGGAATAAGAAAGCCTAATGTCACAGATTATATTATTTGCTACAAAAATCCCCAGAAGATATGGAGTATCTTAAAGTAAATATATAATGTATATGTTTAAAGAATGAACAAAATTCACTGAAGGAAAACTGAATTGTGTATGACTTTACACTTTGTACTCACTTATCTCATTAATATAGACCAACTTTGGTAGTCTATTTTTGATAAAATAACTGGTAGAAGTTAGAAGGTTATTTTAGGCCTTGTAGACCTGACAGATGGAATCATAAATTTATTGATTTAATATTCTCAAATATGAAAATATTTAAAGTACTCCAGATACAGATGTAACATAATAAGGGCTTATGGCATAGTTAGGATCACTAACATATTGAAATACTTTAGTCCTTAGTACAAAATGACTAAAATACTTAGTCATTTTGGATCTCAAAATATTGTCATGGTCTTTTATAGAAGGACCTAAATTAATTTGATGAAAGCATCATCTGCCTATATGCAAATCTGAGGATGTTTCTAATTGACATGCCAAATTTCACACAGTGTAACTTGACTGCCACAGGAGATTTAAAGCAATTATCTGAGCAATCTGGTCAAGACAAATTTATAATCATCAACAAATATTATGGAGTGTCCACTGAGTACCTAGCTTTATATTAGTTGCTGTAAAGCTGTTTGCATTTCTAAAAGTAGAGCTGATGGTGAGGATTGAAATGGAGGAGAGGTAAGTACAGAAGGCAATATTGCCGTCAAAAAGAAATTAGAACCTTTAGTTTCAGCTGTTTGGGAGCGTTGCTTGAGCCCAGAAGGTTGAAACCATCCTGGGCAACATAGAGAGACCTCATCTTTCTAAAAAAAGAAAAAAGAAATTAGATTGTAAGTCTACAAAAAAAACCACAAATTCAAAAAGACAAATTCTTATTTGTATTTCTATTTATTATATCTCCTAGTAATTCCAAGAGATTGTGCCTAAATTAGATTTTTTAAAAGATCAATTAACTTTAAATTGTTTATTGTAAGAAAGAATGCAGCATTATGTAGGCCCATTTCGTTGCTTTAAAATTGACAAATTAATTTTGAAATGAAATATTCTAAAGAAAAAAGAGAAACAAACAAAACAAAGGTTATATGTGTTCTGATTCAGAAGACCTAATGTCATTTTCACTTACAGTAGGAAGAAAAAAAGAAAAAGAGAAAGGAAAACCTCTGACAGCAAAATTCATTTTCTTTTGCAAGTCTTTACCTTGTACACATAGATATCTAAAATGAAATCTTATATTTCTACTGCTTATGTTATCACTATTGTGGTAATCGACATTTGTAATTCTCTCCCTGAAACTAGACTACCTGAAGCTAATGAGTTGGTAGGGCTTTTTCTACTGGTCTATATGTTAATATTAGCTATGCTGTGTGAGAGGGTATGCATGTGAACCCATCCATACTGCTCAACAAAAGAGCAATCAATGGTATTTCCAACTACACGGATCAGGTTGGCCTAGGTGATCAGGCTGTGGGGCTGCATAGAACCCATCATTTAATAGGAGCCCAATTCTTAATTTAAGATGATGGATAAAAAGTTTGAATGCCAAAATATTTCCAAAGAAACATTTGTATGAATTCAGCACTACCATGACAATACTTTTCTTTTTAAAATATATATATGAGACTTATATATCTCTATAAATATACCCATATTAAATTAAAATGACCATAGAAACCAGGTATAAAATAAAATTAAGTGTCACTCTTTTGAACATTGAATTGAAAAATAGATTAGGTGGGAATATTGGCAACAAGATGTAGATTACCTCTAATGAACTCCAATTTATTGTGACAAATATTGAAGAGGAAATGTTGGTCCAGAATTTTTAGAGCTTCTTATTTTCCTACAGAATTCATAAATCTGGATGTAAAATACACTTGCTTAAAACATCAAAAAGAACTGTGCAGTCCAAATCAGAACTTCTGTGGTATGGATGGAAATAATTAGCAAGCCTCTGGGTTGTACTCTATAAGAATATGAAATATAGTACCACTTGAATTAATTATAACCTTGAGTAAAAGTTGAAACTACATACAAATTTTTTTATAAATTTTTATTTTTTCCAAAACAAAATTATTTTATTCTAAAATATTTCACTTGTTATTGTTTATACAATTTTTTTCTGAATGATTGCTTTAGTTGATGTTAGAGCATGGAGTTCCATGTTGAGTCATTAAAAGTATGTCATAATAGAGATATAAGAATAAAATAAGTATGCTTATTTGTAAGTCATCTCAAATGTCAATATATTCTTATTCATAAGTTTTCTAAAATGTCAATGATGGAGGGGAAGAGATGGAAGGTAAAATGGAGATGGCTAAAGAAATGTTTAAAGAGTTATGGCTGTTCAAAAAGCCAGACTGATCAAATGTCTATATTATCTCTTTCTAGAAAATTCACTAAAATGAGTAATGCTGCAATGAGCATGGAAATGCAGTTATCTCTTTGAGAGAGTGATTTTATTTCCTTTGGATTTATACCCAGAAGTGGAATCTAGATCATGTGGTAGTTCTATTTTTTAATTTTTCAGAAACCTCCTTTCTGGTTTGTTTTGTTTTAATAATGGCTAGATTAATTTACAATACCACCAGCAGCATTTAAAGGTTCTCTTTTCTCAATGTCCTGGCCACATCCAAGCCTCAACAACACTTCTTTGGCTTTTTAATAATAGCCAGCTTAACATGTATGGGGTGCTATCTCCTTGAGGTTTTGATTTGCGTGTCCCCAGTGATTAGTGATGTTGAGCATCTTTTCATATACCCATTGGCTATTTGTATATCTTCTTTGAAAAAAACATTTTTTCTATTTAAAAATTGGGCTACTTGGGCTTGTTTTCTATTAAATTTTATTAATTTCTTATATATCTTAATTTTTTCTCACACCTAACACCAAATCCTACTTCCCTCATGCAAAATTTCTTAGCCCCCTTGTTTATTCTGTTAGTTTCTCCCATATCTCTAACATGTTTATGCACATTTTTTAAGGATTTGGCAATTTTATACTATTTATTTTCTCCTCTCCTCCATTCCTCTTAACATATTTACATCATTGTTAGTAATTACTTCAAAGGACAGAGCTTTTGCTATTAGATGCAGAGAATGTTCATCACATGTTCTGCAATCTCAGGAGGAGAAGGAGGGCTTTGGAGTTCAAATGATACCCTCAATTAAGCAATCTAATTTCTGTCCCATTCTTCTCTTCTCTCTTCCAATATATCAAAAATGATTAAGTCCTGTTAGCTTCTTGTAAGTGTATGACACACTTAACAGAAAGAACAAGTGCAGTATACATGCCTTTTCTAGGTTTTGCTATCATAAGGGATTGGGCATGTCTAGGATTAAGAACAGTGGTCTAGGAAAAGACAAATTTCCCATAATATTAATATATTTCTTCACATTAAGGAATAGAGAATCATGGGCGAATAAAGAGGATAAAAAATAAGCTACAGGTCCACAGGCAGACAAGCACTGTTATTTTCACAGCACCACTCCTAAGCGGCAGCATGACTCTTGTGACAAATATCTGGTTGCTGTCCCAAGGCATACAAGACCATCTACGAAATTACAAAGGTAAAGATACTGTGTCTGAAGAATAGGACGAAAGCATTAGAAAATAATTTGACCAGAAAGATAAATGTATAAAAATAAAAATAAAGGACCGCTCTTTCTACTTCCACCACCACTGCTGAAGAGTTGAAATTTCAAAAGATACCATAATGGTGGCAAATGAAGAAGCATGTTTAAATCTAGTAAATGTTGACTATTTTACTTTTTATTCTTAAGAATAGACTCATAGTGAGAAATCAAGTTGAGTTATAGAAAATAAGATTGTGCTATTATAACAAATAAAACAGATTTTAACCCAATAAAAATTAAGAAGGACAAAGAGGATCACTACATCATGATGAATGGCACAATCCAACAAGAAGACCTAACTATACTACATATATATGTATCTGATATTGCAGCACTCAGATTTGTAAAACAAGTTCTTCTTGGCTTATGATAAGACTTAGACAATCAAACACTAATAATGGCTGATTTCAACATGCCACTGACAGCATTAGACAGATCATCAAGGCAGAAAACTAACACAGAAACTCTAGGTTTAAACATAACATTTGGCCAGTTGGACAAAATAGATACCTATAGAACACTCTACCCAAAAATTACAGAATGTACATTCTTCTCATCTGCAAATGGAACATTTTCTAAGATCAACCACATGCTCAATCATAAGGCAAGTCTCAGTGAATTCAAACAAATGGAAATCATACCCAAAACACACTTGGACCACAGTGCAATAAAAATAGAAATCTATATCAAGAAGATTTCTTGAAACTACAAAAATACATTGAAATTAAACAACTTGTTCCTGAATGACTCCTGTGTGAACATCAAAATGAAGGCAGAAATTCAAAAAATTCTTTGAAATTAATAAAAATAGGGACACAAAATACAAAAATCTCTGGGATACAGTTAAAGCAGTGTTAAGAGTGTATAGCCATAAACACCATCATCAAAAAGTTTGAAAAAATCTCAATTTCAAAATCGAACTTTGCACCTAAAAGAACTAGGAAATAAAAAAGAACCACCCAACCCCCAAGTCAGCAGAAGAAAAAAAATAACTAAAATGAACGAAGAACTAAGTGAAATCGAGATGCAAAAATCCATAAAAAGATCAATGAATTGAAGCACTGGTTCTTTGAAAGTATAAACAAGATTGATTGACTGCTAGCTAGTTTAACAAAGAAAAAGAGAGAGAATATTCAAAGAAGTACAATCAGAAATGACAAAGATGTCATTACAACTGATCCCACAGAAATATAAAAGACCCTCAGATAATACTATGAATAACTCTATGAACACAAATTGGAAAATCTAGAGGAAATTAATAAATTCCTGGAAACATACAGTCTCTCAAGATTGAATCAAGAAGAGATTGAAACCCTGAATAGACCAATATGGAGCTCTAAATTGAATCAGCAACACAAAACCTACCAACTGAAAAATGCTCTGGACCAGATGAGTAAAGAGCTAAATTCTACTAGATATTAATCTTACTGAAACTATTCTAAAAAAATGAGGTAGAGGGACTCCTCCCTAACTCATTCTGTGAAGCCAACATCAGCCTAATACCAAAATCTGGCAGAGACATAATGAGGAAAGGAAACTTCAGGTGGCCAATGCCCCTGATGAACATAGACGTAAAAATCCTCAACATAATAATGCTAGCAAACTGAATCCAGCAGCCCATCAAAAAGTTAATAACATACCACAGTCAAGTAGGCTTTATTCTAGGGATGCAAGGCTGCTTCAACATACACAAATTAATAAATGTGATCCACCACATAAACAGAATCAAAAGCATAAACCACATGATCATCTCAATAGCCACAGAAAAAGCTTTTGATAAAATCCAACATCCATGCATGATAAAATCCCTTGAAAGAGTAGACATCAAAGCAACATGCCTCAAAATAATAAGAGCAGTATATGACAAACTCACAGCCAACATCATACTGAACAGGCAAAAGCTGGAAGCATTCCCTTTGAGAACTGGAACAAGACAAGGATGCCCACTCTCACCACTCTTGTTCAGCATAGTACTGTAAATACTAGCAAGAGCAATCAGGCAAAAGAAAGAAATAAAAGGCATATAGATAGGAAAATAAAATGTCAAACTATCTCTTTTTCCTAACACTATGATTCTATATCTAGAAAACCCTAAAAATTCTGCCAAAAGGCTACTAGAAGTGATAAATGATTTTAGTAAGGTTTCAGAGTACATCAGCAATGTACAAAAATCAGTAATGTTTTTACACATCAACAATGTCAAGTCTGAGAGTCAAATCAAGAACATAATCCCACATTCAGGACCCACAAATAAAATGAAACACCTAGGAACACAGCTAAACAAGAAGGTAAAAGATCTCTGTAAGTATAACTACAAAACTCTGCTGAATGAAATCAGAGATGACACAAATAAATGGAAAAATATTCAAGGCTCATGGATTGGAAAAATCAATATGTTAAAAAATGGTCTTACTGCCAAAAGCAATTTATAGATTCAATGTTATTTCTATCAAAGTACCAACATTATTCTTCACTAAACTAGAACAAACTATTTAAAAATTCATATGGCACCAAAGAAGAACCCAAATAGCTAAAGCAATCTTAAGAAAAAAAGAACAAAATCAGAGGTATCACACTACCTGACTTCAAACTATACTTTAGGGCTGTAACCAAAACAGCATGGTACAGACACATGGATCAATGCAACAGAATAGAAAATGCAGAAATAAAGATGCAGACTTACAACCATCTGATCTTCAACAAGGCCAACAAAAAGAAGCAGAGGGGAAAAGACTCCCTATTCAAATAAATGTGCTGGGATAACTGGTTAGACATATGCAGACAAATGAAATGGGACTTTTGCAATATACAAAAATTAACTTAAGATGGATGAAAGATTTAATATAAGACCTTAACCGCTAAAAATCCTGAAAGACAACCTAGTAAATACTCTTCTCAGTATTGGCCTTGGCAAAGAATTTTTGGCTGTCCCCAAAGCAATTTCAATAAAAACAAAAATAGAGAAGTGGGATCTAATTAAACTAAAGAGCTTCTGCACAGCAAAAAATAAACAGACTATTATTATTGACAGAATAAACAGGCAACCTACAGAATGGAAGAGGTTGTTCACAAACTACGCATTCTACAAACTCCTAATATTCATTAATATAGTTTGAATTTGTGTCCCTACCCAAATCTCATGTCAAATTGGAGGAGGGACCTGGTAGAAGGTGATTGGATAATGGGATGGATTGCCTCCTTGCTGTACTCATGATATCGAGTGAGCTCTTACGAGATCTGACGATTTAAAAGTATGTAACTCTTCTCCCTTTATTCTCTCTTTCCTGTTCTGCCATGGTCAGGCATATTTGTTTCCTCTTTGCCTTCCACCTCGCTTGTAAGTTTCCTAAGGTCTCCTAGCCATGCTTCCTGTATGTCCTGCAGAACTATGAGTCAATTTCTTCATAATTTACCCAGTCTCATGTAGTTCTTTAAAGCAGTGTGAGAACACATTAATACATTCAGAATCTATAGGAATCTTAAACAAATAAACAAGCAAAAAACAAATAACCTTATTAAAAATGAGCAAAAGACTTGAACAGACACTTCTCAAAAGAAGACATATAAGAAGCCAACAAACATATGAAATAATGCTCAGTGTCACCATATCAGAGAAATGTAAGTCAAAACCACAATGAGATATCAGCTTACACAAGTCTGAATGGCTACTATTAAAAAGTTAAAAAAAACAACAACAGATGATGGCAAGGCATTAGAGGAAGGCGGACGTTTATACACTTTTGGTGAAAATGTAAATTCATCCAGCTACTGTGGAAAGCATTGAGGTTTCACAATGAACTTAAAAGAGAGCTACCATTTGACTCAACAGTCCCCTTGCTGATTATATACCCAAGGGAAAATAGATCATTATTCCAAAAATAGACATACACTGGTATGATTATTGTTGCACTGTTCATAATAGCAAAGACATGGAATCAACCTAGGAGCCCATCAATGGGGAAATAAATGAAGAAAATGTGGTACATATACACCATAGAATACTATGCAGCCAAAAAAAATAATGAAATCATGTCCTTTGCAGCAACATGGATGGAGATGGGGGCCATTATTTTGAGTGAGCTAATGCAGAAACAGCCAAATACCACATGGTCTCACTTATAAGTGGAAGCTAAATATTGAGCACACCATTGCCTTTTTAATTTGTCTTTTCCAGTGTTTATATAATTCCTGAGAAGACTTCTATGTACTTCTTTTTCATAAAATAAACTTAATCTGATATAAGGGCCCTGGCAATAAATTATGTGTGAATAAATACCAAACCTTAAAAATGTGACACATTTGAGTTTCTCTTATTTAGATAGTTATATGATTGCTGAATTTTGGGAAGTGTCAGATCACTATATCATAGCAGGTAGCTAAGCTAAGTACATTAAGTTAACTACAATCCATTTGCACTCAAGTAAATGATTTAATTTTATTTCGTTGGGCACACATAGCCTTTAAAGAACTTGTTATCTGTTATAAGGTTAATTTATCCTTCAGGACAAGTTTCAACATATTTAATAAGCAGAATAGCATGGGAAAGAACAATCAAAATATGCTTTAAATAGTACAGCTATTCCCTGACTTATGATGGTTCAACTTACGATTTTTCAACTTTACAATGCTGGGAAAGTGATAAATATTCAGTAGAATTGGTACTTCAAGCAGGCATACAGTGATTCTGTTTTTCACTTTCAGTACAGTATTCAATACATTACATCACATATTCAACACTTTATTATAAAATAGGCTTTGTTTTAGATTATTCTACCCAATTGTAGGCTGATGTCAGTGTTCTGAGCATGTTCAAGTTAGGCTAGACTAAGCTGGAATATAGGTTAGGTGCATTAAATACATTTTCAACTTAAGATGGTTTTATCAAGACATAACTCCGTTGTAAGTGGAGGAGGACCTGTGTTGTGTTTACCTATTTAGTTAAAAGTTTTCCTTTCCAATTCTGAACGCATCTAAGGCCGCTCAGAGATTAGGTTATGTTTGCTCTTACATGTGTAAATGAAACACGGAATGACTATAGGGAAATATATAGATACTTGCAGTAGAGACCAAAGTGGAGCAGAACAAAACACTGAGCCAATAGACTTGGTCATACATTTTCTTATATTTAAGGTAAAACAACTGCCATATTGGCTTATTTTTGCAGACAATAGCAAGCACATAATAAAATTTGAAGAAAATAAAAGAAGTAATGTATTTATAGATTCTTAAAGGAAAGGCACAAAATTAGAGGTAGAATATAAAAATGGCATTTATTAAATATTTAAAAACTGTAAAAATGATATTGTCCTTCTACACAAAATATATATTATTTCTGAGAATTTTAGAAAATATAGCAAATATATAGATTAAAGTAAGTTATTTTTAATTGTGGAAAATGAGTGATTACCACTAGAAACAGTATACAAAGACAAAATAAAAGGAGAAAATGATGTGATTTATCTCTTAGCTCTAAAAGTTCTAGGTTAAAGAAGATTTTTAATATGAAACTGAGGATAGGCCATGAGTTTATTAGAAAAATCATAAAGCTCTCTCCCTACTCCCTGCCACCTAGCAAAAAGAGAGTTGCAATTAAGAGGATGGAGGATATCTTAAGTATTTGATTTAACATAATGGAAATCATTAATAATTGTGAAAGTACAATGTCACATTTCCAGTGACTGAGATTGAATAATTCAGATTAAAATAGACTTCAAAGGATATGGAGATTTTCATTTAGGTAATATGGAGAATTATATCAACACATGGCTAAAAAATAGTTCACAAAGCTCAAACAACAGCAATAACATTTCTCTAATAAATACACAAACTTACACAAAAGTAGGGATATCATTAAGGGTCAAAAATAAAGGCAAAGTTGAAACACATAGGAGTTTGCCAATATTACAATTTTCATTGTCCTGGAGGCACTTGTTAGGCCCTATATCCAGGAGATTTGGGTTTCACGGACTGCAGTGACAGGGCTCATTACCTTGACCTATCAAAAGAGAGGGGCTGGAACTAAGACCCTTCAGAAAATGGGACACTAACTGTAAAGGCAAAACAGGAAGAAAAAGTACATTCTTAAAAGAATTTTTCAAAAAGTTAAAAAAAAAACACAGAAATTTCTTAGCCTTGGCTCATTCTCTAGGTGAAACAACAACAACAGCAACAAAGCAAAACAGTCTTTTCCAAAGTTTTATAAGTGCTGGGCTGTTCTCATGCAAGATTGTGTCCAAATTTATACTAAATGCATTACCACTGAAAACAGTGGCCAACTAGTTCTGATTTCTCCCAATTTTTTTCCCCGCAAACAACCCAATGACATCAAAACAACTATGTATATCTATATCTATATATAGGCATATATAGATATAGATATAGTTGTATATATATATATAGGTGTGTGTATATATAGGTGTATATATACAGATGTAGTTTTTAGAAAAAAATGGGAGTCTGAGGAAACCTCACATTATAACTTATTTATGTGTTGCCAAATAAATTCAGAAAATCAGATTATGCAGCAAGTCCCACAAAAAAGTGGAATAAAATATCAAATATCACAGACATTGCAGAGGGTTATAATGTCAGTTCTCTGAAACTGTCTTCTATAAGAAGAAATCACGCTGAGTGGAAATTTCTATGATTAGGGGGAAGAGAGCAGGTGCAAAAAGTGCTTAGGGGACCTCAGAGGAAAAGAACAGAGGAAACACCAGCTAACAAACAAATGAAAAAACATTTTCTAAAAGACAATGTGTTACTTTGTAAAGCAGGGCAGTGCCACTTGAGGGGCATTGCCCCTTGAAGAAATGGCGGGAACTCATAGTTGGCAGTAGAACTTCTTAAACCTGGTAAGTTCATAGAAGCATAAGAGATATGACCTCTCAGATATGCCAAGTATTAATGAAAGAGTAAAACAGAAGGGTTGGCCTAGACCTGGAGAGAACAACCCTTGGCATGAAGACTAATCTGGCTCAATTCCACTTCAAACAGAGACTCTTAAGAATAGTTAGTCAACAAAATCCGATTCTTACAAATATGCATAGCAGAAAGAATTTGCATAACATCCATACAAAGACACTAAAAGAGTGAAAAGAGTCTGTGTGAGAGAGAGTAAGAAAACTAGAGATAATAGCTAAAAGCTTAGTATATATCCAGGAGAATGATTCTGAACAGTGAAAATCGAGATGTGTTCTAGTAATATTATTGGACATCAGGGAGACTTCTTTTTTTCTATTTGTAAAGAAGTGCAATTATATTGTATTTTTCTATGCTAAAATATGTTGTCTTCAAGAAGATGAGATTATTGATAAAGGATCAAAAAGGATAATGGAATTGTAAATTCTTGATAAAGAAAATGGGAATTCAGTCTCCGTATAGAAAAAATGATCATTAAAAAGGTAAGGAATGCCTCTCACACAAATAGTAAAGAACAAAAAATAAAAGCACCGATATGTTTATAGAATTAGTCTCAGGAAGACTGAAACATATCTATCTAACAGTGTCTATTTTCTCAATAAATATGAGGTAATTATCAGCTCAGATTGTGTACTTCATCATGATAAGTAATGAGGAATGTATGAAGAGTGAGGATAAAGGTGAAAATTGTTCGAGAAAGTAGTGGAAATTTAATGATGTGTCATTTAAAAAATGATATCCAATGCCATGAGAAAAGCGTATAAAATGGTATGAGGAAAAACTCAAAATACATTGTGGTTTTTTTTTTTTTTTGAGACGGAGTCTCGCTCTGTCTCCCAGGCTGGAGTGCAGTGGCGCTATCTCGGCTCACTGCAAGCTCCGCCTCCCGAGTTCACGCCCTTCTCCTACCTCACTCAGCCTCCCGAGTAGCTGTGACTACAGGCGCCCACCACCACGCCCGGCTAATTTTTTGTATTTTTAGTAGACACGGGGTTTCACTGTGTTCACCAGGATGGTCTCGATCTCCTGACCTAGTGATCCGTCCGCCTTGGCCTCCCAAAGTGCTGGGATTACAGGCGTGAGCCACCGCGCCCGGCCCAAAATACATTGTTTTTATAGAAGTTGTAATGCTTATAAAAATTATAAGTAGCACATAAAGTTTATAGTGACCCATACTCCCAAGCCCACGTCTCATTGTACTCAAATAACTTCCCTTATAGCCACCTAGCAAATGTTAATAGTTTGTATGTTATGGCATTTGCAATTTTTTTCTATAAACACATTGAGACATATGTGTATACAAATGTACATTTTCTCTTTCTCTTTGTATCTTGAATTTCTTTCTCAAAAAGTGTTATCTATTTTTCTTGGTATCCCTTTATTTTACCTATTTTTCTCAGTATGTAAGATCCACTTCATTATTGTAATGGTTCTATGGTATCTATAACATGAATATACTAGGTTTTATTTATATATGTTCCTGTATTTGAATATCTAAATAATTGCCAGATTTACTACTACAAAAAGTGATATAACAAACAGTTTACATATATATTTGTAACACTAGTGAAAGGTGGATTAAACTGTCAGTTTCTGAAATCTATTACTTTTAAGCTTTTTATGTGGTGCTTATTTATCTAAGTGTGTGTGTGTGTGTGTGTGTGTATGTGCGTGTTCCTTCATTATAACTTTCTGTCATTTTCCGTAAAAATAAAAAGCATCATGACTGTTTACGATGCTTTGTGCAGAATATCTTATACTTTTTCTCTTAGCATATTTATTATTTATTATTTATAAATGTTGCATTTATTTCTTAAAACTGTTTCAAAAATGTGCATATGAAAGTATTAATAGACCTTAAGACTACATCTTGACCCAAGAATCGCTTTCTAAATGTAAGTGAGCAAGATGAATCTATAGGATCATTTGGAAATATTTACACCTGCATTCCAAAGAGCAGAATTATTAAATACATTAACATATATATACCATATATACCTACATAAAAATACATTACATAAATATATAACATATAGCAAATAATACCATGTGTATAGCCAGTTACATGAGACAATACAAATACATATGCTTGTGTACACATAATTGAGACAATACAAATACATATGCTTGTGTACACATAGAACATCTTTGATAGGACACAACAGAAACTGATAAGAGTTATTGCTCTCATGAAGGGAAAAACAGTGGAAATAAACACCTATTTTTATTTTTCACAGACCACTCTTTTGAACGTTTGAATTGTTAAATATCATGTATACATATTATTTTAATAATAAATACTTATAAAATACATTTAAAAACCAAATGTAAAATTTTGTTGATAATTTTATACTAATCCTACCTTTTAAAAATGTTAAATTGTTTAATCTTTGATGGAAAAATTTTAGTGTAAAAATAAGTCATATACAGTGCTAAACACTTAATATATGTTAACATATTTAATCCTCACGTCATGTCACCACCTTGTGAAAGTGGCATTATCTCATTTTGTTAAAGAGCACAATTGAAGGACTAAATAATATATTGAAGTCAGGGCAATTTTAACTTATAGAAGTAGGATTCTGCTTTCATTGACCTCAAAACGGTGATGCATGTACTATGTATAGATAACACTGAAAATATAGAAATAACATATTACAGGTAGACATGTGAGTGAAAAAGAGAATATATTCCAGGATTATTGGTATAAACAATAAAAGAAGAGGCTCATTCAGCAGAAGAGATATCTGGGAGAAAGAAAAATAACAAAGGACGCAAAATAAAAATAGAACAAGTTTACTGCTGAGACTGAGTATTAAAAACAAAAAGCATCAGATAATTATCTAGAAGCTGTTTAATTTTATTCTCTAAGTCAGGAAAAGAAGAAAGTAGCAGTAAATAGGAAAAATACAACTTTAGTGGGATTTCAAGGTGGGAAGGATATGAAATGAGAGATGAAAATACATTAGAGAGAAATGAAAAAGAAAGTAACTGGAGTTACATTTATTAAAGTCATAAACTTTCAAAGAATAATAAAAAATGATATCTGAATCATAAGCAGAAATTGAGTGAACCATATAACGAATATTTCAGAGTTGAATTACTGCCTGAATAATCACACAAATTCAAAAAGGTAGAAGAGAGTTAGCATAGATTATTAAGATAGTGACTAGGCTGTGGGTATAGGATGCAAACACCTGAACATGGGTAGCAATGATAATAAAAAACAAGAGCACAATTCCTAGTAGTGTCTGTGTGTGTGTGCACACAAGTGTGATAACTGATATTTGAGTATACAATGAAGAAGTTCTATTAAGACATGAAAGTAAATGTCATAAACTTTGTCAAGAAGTATATCAATGACAAAAAAAACCATAAGCAATTATCCATATTATTAAACCTATTAAAATAACATACAATGGTTAGGATGATATACTCCACAGTATGAAAATTTAATATTATGGAATTGCCAAGAAGAAAGATATTTGATAGGTTGTGGGTCCTAGTAACTCAGGGTGGAAGACTAGGATAATGCCCAGAGGTGAAGTGAAAATGATCATATTGCCAGCACAGCTTGATGTAATGTGTGTGTGTGTGTGACGAGAGATTTTCATGCATAATTCAAACTTCTAGGAAAACAGCATCTCTGCTATGTACCAGATCTGGCCAAGTGTAGGGAAATTATAATTGTTAGAAATAAAATTATGCAAAATTGAAGATTCATTAGTAGGTAAATCAGGACCCAATAAAGAGAAAATGAATTTCATGAATGACAAGGAAAGATGAGAGAAATAAAGGAATTAAATTAGAAGTGTTAGCACCAGTGCCAAAATAAGAATAGTAGATTTAGAAAGAGATAGAAATTTTGTATATAAAAGAGAAAAAAACAGTACAGTAATGTCAAAGGAAGATAATCCTGAAGATGAGAAAGTGGAAAACAGAGAGAGGAATAAATTTGAGGTTGGGTTCATTCTATGCATAGGAAAAGAAAATAAATAAATAACTGTATGAAATATACATGAGTTTTTAAAAAGAAAAAGAAGAGATGGAAAACAGCAATAATCTAAAAACTCAAATGATTCCTTCTTTGTAAATAAGCTATACAGCCTATCATATTCTAAGAACTCCTCATACAGAGGATATCAAATCTCATTTCCACAAAGGAAAGAAAATCCAAATATCAAAAACATGTGGGAAAAACTTTTCAGGTTTTCAAATATTTTATGTGTTGAAGAAAATGAAGCCTTGCATAAGCACAAAGATAGGATGGGCTAGGGAGGGGTGGGACTGTAGAGCCAGATCTGATGGGAGCAGTGCCCTACTCCAGGAAGATTGCGTAAGTGTCCACAATGGACAGCTTTTTAATATACACCATGGCGCATGTATACTTTTGTAATAAACCTGCATGTTCTGCACATGTATCCCAGAACATAAAGTAAAATAAAATAGATAAAAATATTTCTACTTCTTTAGTATGTTTTATATTATACATAATATTCCCTTTAATAGTACATTTATGACATATACACGTAAATTATTTATATTGAGGAATTGCGGGCAGAAAAGTTTGAAGATTATTCTTCTTAAGAGTTACTCACAAAGTTGTTAGGGAGAAGATAAGAGGAGAGCTTGAAAGTGAAAAAATATAAATACTATTTCCTTTCTTTCTTCCAAAGTGGAGATAGTGATGGATTATCACAAATTTAACCCATTCTTTTAACCCCTCCCCAAACCCAAAAGTAAAATATTATCAACCCCTGAAACATCCATGTCTCCTCAAGATTACCATCCTTCCAACAGGTAACATTATCATGACTTCTAAGATCAAGGATAATTTTTTTGCCTGTTTTTGAATTTTAAAAATTGTGTTGTAAAATATGAACCCTTTATGATTGACCTCTTTCACTTAATATTAGGTTTGAAAGATTCAGCGATGCTCTTAAATGGAGCAGTAGCTCATTATTAAATCATTATATAATCATATAATATTCCATTTAAAGAAAATTCCACAAGATAAATGTGCATTTTATGGTTGAAATAATTAGGGTGTTCACCTTTGTAGCTATTACAGATAATGCAACAAAGAAATTTCTAGGACATAACTTTGGGGAGAATATTATACATTTATGTTACATTCCTAGGAGAGTATCTGTGAGGTCATTATTTGTGTACATACTTACCTTATTAGATACCACCACCATTTTGTTTCTCTAACAGTGACTTTAATAATTTACTGCAAGAGAGGACATAAAACTATAAAGTATCTTCATTTATGTAGTAAGAAACAGTATCGCTAAGATGTCAGTCGTCTTCAAATTCATCTATGGATTTAATTCAATCCCAGATGAAATTCCTATGTGTTTTTATTTTAGTAGAATTTGACAAGCTGAATCCAAAACATATAAGGGCATAAGAATTCTTAAGCGGTTCATACCTACATTCCTAGTGCTTTGGGAGGCTGTGGTAGGAGAATTGCTTGAGCACATCCCAGGCAACATAGGGAGACCCTGTCTCTACAAAAGATTAAACAATTAGTCAGTGTGGTGGTGTGCACTTGCAGGTCCAGCTACTTGGGAGGCTGAGATGGGTGGATCACTTGAGCCTGGGAGGTGATCGCAGAACTGCACTCCAGCCTAGGCAACAGAGCAAGACTATCTCAAAAGAGAGAGAGAGAGAGAAAAAAAAAAGATGCCTTTGATGCCTACACTGTTGAGGGTTGTTTCTTTTCATGAAGGAATGTTAAATTCTATTAAAAGCCTTTTATGTGTCTATTGTTCAACAATACAAGAACAGTTAACTGAAGTTTCAAAATACAAAAAATGTCAAAAGACACATAAAACTAGGCATTGAAGGAACATACCTCAATATAATAAGAGCCATCTAAAACAATCCTACAGCTAATATCACTCTATGGGCAAAAACTCAAACCATTCCCCCTGAGAACTGGAACAAGACAAGGATGACCACTATCATCACTCCTATTCAATATTGTACTGGATGTCCTAGCCAAAGAAATCAGGCAAGGGAAAGAAGTAAAAGGCATCCAAATAGGGAATGAGGAAGCCGAAATATCTCTTTTCATTGATGATATGATTGTATACCTAGAAAATCCTAAAGACTCTACCAAAAGACTGCTAGAACTGAAAAACAACTTTAGTACAGTTTCAGGACACAAAATCAAAGTACAATAATCAGTGGCATTTCCATACACGAACAACATCAAGGCTGAGAGTGAAATAAAGAATCCCACATACAATAGCCACAAAGAAAATGAAATACCTAGGAGTCCAGCTAACCAAGGAAATGAAAGATCTCTACAAGAAGTACTACAAAACACTGCTAAAAGAAATCAGAGATGACACAAATAAATGGAAAAACAGTTCATGCTCATGAATTGGAAGAATCAGTATCATAAAAATGGCCTGAACTGAATCTGAATTTACAGATTCAATGCTATTCCTATCAAACTACCAATGCCATTCTTCACACTGTAAAATTCTTCACTGTAAAATACTATTCTAAAATTCATATGGAACAAAAAAGGAGCCTAAATAGCCAAAGCAATTCTAAGCAAAAAGAACAAAGCTAGAGATATAATACTACCTGACTTTAAACTATACTTAAGGCTACAGTAACCAAAACAACATACTGTTGGTACAAAAACAGATACATGGTGAAACAGAATAGAAAACTCAGAAATAAAGCTGCATACTTACAACCATCTGATATTTAATATGGCTGGCAAAAGCAAGCAATGGGGAAAGGAATTGAATTTTCTTTATTAAATTTATTGAATACTCCCTATTCAATAAATCGTGCTCAGATAACTGGCTAGCCATATGCAGATTGAAGCTGGATCCTTACCTTTCAACATAAACAAAAAATAACTCAAGGTGGATTAAATATTTAAATGTAAGATCTCAAATTATAAAAATTGTACAGAGATGCTATGGATATATATATGTGTATATATACATATATATGTGTGTGTATATATACACATATATACGTGTGTGTATATATACACATATATACGTGTGTGTATATATACACATATATACGTGTGTGTGTGTGTGTGTATATATGTATATATATATATATATATTTTTTTTTTTTTGAGAAGGAGTTTCACTCTTGTTGCCCAGGGTGGAGCACAATGGTGCAATCTTGGCTCACTGCCACCTCCACCTCCTGGGTTCAGGTGATTCTCTTGCCTCAGCCTCCCTAGTAGCTGGGATTACAGGCACATGCCACCACACCCAGCTAATTTTTGCATTTTTAATAAAGATTGCATTTCTCAGTGTTGGTCAGGATGGTCTCGAACTCCTGACCTCAGGTGATACATCCATCTCTGTCTCCCAAAGTGCTGGGATTACAGGCGTGAGCCACTGCACCTGGCCAGAAATACTCTTCTTGACATCAGCTTTGGCAAAGAATTTTTGGCTAAGTCCCTAAAAGCAATTGCAACAAAATGAAAAATGGAAAAGTGGGAACTAATTAAACTAAAGACCTTCTGCGCAATGAAAGAAACTAGCAGCAGAAAAAAACAGACAACCTACAGAATAGATGTTTACAAACTATGCATCCAATAAATGTCTAATATCCAGAATCTATAAGGAACTTATACAAGTAACCAAGCAAAAAAAACCCATTAAAAATGGGCAAAGAACATGAACAAACACTTTTCAAAAGAAAATAAGCAAGTAACCAACAAACATAAGAAATAATGCTCAGCATCACCGGTCATCAGAGACATGCAAATCAAAACTACAATGAGATACTATCTCACACCAGACAGGATGGCTATTATGAAAAACGTCAAAAACGACAGATGCTGATGAAGCTGCAGAGAAAAGGAAATGCTTACACATTGTTGGTGGGAATATAAATTAGTTCAGCCACTGTGGGAAACAGTCTGGAGATTTCTCAAAGAACTTCAAAGAGAGCTACCATTTGATTCAGCAGTTGCATTACTCAGTATATACTCAAAGAAAAATAAATCATTCTCCCAAAAAAACACATGCACTTGTTTGTTCATCACTGTGCTCCTCACAGTAGCAAAGAGATGGAATCAACCTAAGTGCCCATCAACTGTGGACTGGATAAAGAAAGTGTGGTAAATATACACTATGGAATACTATGTAGCCATAAACAAAATGAAATCATGTCCTTTGCAGCCACATGGTTGCAACTGGAGGCCATAATCCTAAACATATAACAAAGAAACAGAAAACCAAATACTGCATATTCTCCCTTATAAGTGGGAGCAATATACTGAACACACATGGACATAAATATGGGAATAGACTTTGCAGATTACTAGAGTGGAAAGTGAGAGAGGGAGCTGAGGGTTGAAAAACTACCTATCAGGTACTATACTCACTGCCTGGATGATTGGATCTGAACCCCAAACCTCAGCATCATGAAATATCCCACGTAACAAACCTGCACATGTACCCCTGTATCTAAAATAAAAGTTGAAGTTAAAAGAAGATACAACACTAAAGATGATATGTCATATCACTACGCACACATAACAATGCCTAAACAAAAGGAAGACAATAGCAAGAGATGCTAAGGATATGAAGTGATTGGAGCTTTGACATAATGTTCATGAGCACGTGAAATAGTGAAATTACCTTGGAAAACTTTTTACAAGCTTTGCGTAAAGAAAAATAATCTGACCTTTGACCAAGCAATAAAATGAGTAATGCAAACATACATCCTTAGAAAGGCTTTTAAGAAAACAAACACATAAGACTTATTCTTAATAGCCATAAGATTTGAGGCAATAGAATTTATTTTCTTGGACGAATAAATAAACATGATGTGGGTATTCATATGTTGATATACTACTGAGCAATAAATACTGTCTTGAGCAAAAAGCCAGATACAAAAAAGGTACATACTGTATGATTCCATTTATATAAACTCAGAACAGGAAAAACCAAATGACAATGATTGAAATCGGAGTCGTAGTTGCACCTGGGGGCGGTACAATCAATGGGAAAGGGCACACAAAAATTTCTGGGATGTTGGAATTCTATATTTTGATTAATGTGTACATTCAACAAAAATTATTGAGCTATATACTTAAGACTAATTCATTTTATTGTATGTAAATTATACACCAACTTTAAAAAGGAGGGGGGAACAAGATGTGGTGACATAAGTGGATGGTGAAGAATATTAATTTTATACTATAGCAAATGTGTTCCAATTTATATTGTTAAAAGTTAGTTTCCTCATCCTTTCCCAAGCCTGTTACTTAATTAGAAATTTATGACTTACATTGTTTCAAATTGAAACGATTATCTTACCTCTTTAAAGGATATTGCTGTAAATTGAATTGGGTTGTTACCATGATGGACCTCTTAATCTTGTTTTCCACTCCTTAGTTTTTAATGCCTATTTTCAATGTACAGTGTATATATTCTGGAATATCTGATGCTATCATGAATACTAGGTGCTTAGGAGAAGGACAAATTTGATTTTAAAGTATTATAGTGTTCAATCAAGATTAAGTGGTGTGGTATAAACTATAGTGCAAAGAGTGAATTTAGATATATTTCAAAGGTAAAAATCATTAAATATGAGATAGCTTAGATGATTAAGAAAAAATCTTGCATTTCTAGAATTCAACATGGCTTTCTCAACTTTTAAAGGATAACAGCCATCCGTTGGTCTTAGGCCCCAAAAATTTTGGTGCAACTCCAAATAAAAGTAATAACCATGTATGCCACTATAACCACCCTAGCCCTAACTTCCTTAATTCCCCCCATCCTTACCACCTTCATTAACCCTAACAAAAAAACTGAACAGATGGTGGTGACAATTAAAGAAGGGCAAATTTTGCAAGAAGTTCAGAAGATTGATACAGCATGTTTGATTTTGCACATATTAAAGTTGAGATCACTATAAGGACATGTCAAGTAGGAATTTAACATAAAGTATGTCACTATTAAATAAAGAACTAGAGAGATTAGAAGTCACCTATGAGAAAAACAAAATAGATTAAGGAGAATGTGTACAATGAGAAGGGAAGAGACCCTGGTATAAACCTTGACAAAACCTAATACTTAGTGGCATGAGTAAAGGAGGATGCCTCTGCATGGGAATTGAGAACAAGTGTCAGAAAAGATGAAAGGACTAAACGAAGAGTTTACTATCATGAAGCCAAGAGGAAACTGTCTCAAAACATGATTTTAAAGAGGTTCAGTAAAGGCATTTGTTGATGTATATACAGCAGATGTCATTAATGAGTGTATCAGGAATGTTCTGGTAGAATTTTAGTAACCTGCAAACTCAGGTCTCAGATGAATTAATAATGTTATGATTTTTAGATTGTTCATTTTTTCTTATTGTTCGGATTGATATGATGCTCTTTCTGCTTTCTACATCATAAGAAGCAGCCAGAAGTCCATTAATATGTATTTTCTTTGCAGAGATGACTCACTTTTAGCAGTAGACACTGCCATGAAGCACAATTATAACACTACAACAGCTACAAACTAGACTGAATGATTTGATCATGATCATTTCTCCCCTACATGCTTTTATCCCGGTTCCCGAAAATGTTAAGGCTGGATTCCATGTGTTAGTGTTTCCTACGTTTGCTTTTGACTTTATGTCCTTGAATATCTTCAAAGAGAAATATCTCTAGGTTGACTAATAAATTTTAATCTTTTCAAGAGATTGCAATATATTTTCCCATTTTTTAAATTCATTGACTGAGAGATTTGGTAAAATATTAATTCTCTGATAAATGCCAGGAGTGAATTCCTGCATGAAAACAGGAATGAAGTATAATTTGTGGAAGAATAAATCCTAAAGACGAACACGGCAATGAATGACAAGCTAAATTATTGGGATGGATTAACCAATGGGATAGCGAAGTCATTTAACAAAATAGCAGGATTAAAGGTAGGAGGTAGACAGAGGCATATGCTAAGTGTTCAGTAAATGAGGTAATGACCACAACACCTGTGGCTGAAAGCAAAGAGAGAAGAAACAGTATAATGTATCCAAATTACGTGGGCCTTAATGGATCAGGTTTTATCTTTCATTTTTACATTGATAATAACAAGGGAGGGGCACTAATGGTCTGGAATAATAGTATTATTCCACAATGTTTGATTGCTAATCCTGTGTTCTAGGAACTGTGCTAAAAACTGTACATAGATTACCTCATTCAGGTTCTCAAGGTGAAGGATTTATGAAGTGTATTTGGTTTAAAACCCCAGTAGACTGAGGGAAAAATCTATGGCTTAGTATATCATCCTGTTTGAATAAGCCTAAGTGGGGAGCCTGAAAGTCCTGGAGAAAAGATATTATTTTTAGAATGGAGCCAGTCTTCGGTTAATAAATAGATGTAAAGAAAAAATTCTCTGAAATAATGGAGTCAGTAGATGATGGAGAGATACAACTGTGGAGAGTAGAGTTGAGAGAATAAAAATGGCTGGGATAGACTGGGCTCAAGAACATGCCAGGACACTTGGGAACAAGACACAAAGGATACCAGGGGCTCTGAATTCTGAGGGCTGACTTTTGAAAATAAGGATAAATGGCATCCTGAGTTTAGCATCAGCAGTTTCTTTAGGAAATGGGCATTGGATTTAATGATCAGAGGAAGCGTCTCACTCAATTTCATTCCTGAAGAGGTACAAAGCAAAGGCTGAATTCTCTGTTCACTTTGCCTGTGATAAGGGTGAAGGGGTGGCCTGCCCCTCCACACCTGTGGGTATATCTTGTCAGGTGGGATGAGAGACTGAGAAAAGAAATAAGACACAGAGACAAAGTATAGAGAAAGAACAGTGGGCCCAGGAGACTGGCGTTCAGCATACGGAGGACCTGCACCAGCACCGGTCTCTGAGTTCCCTCAGTATTTATTGATCACTATTTTCACTATCTCAGCAAGAGGAATGCAGTGGGAGATCAGGGTGATAGTGGGGAGAAGATCAGCAAGAAAACATGTGAGCAAAGGAATCTGTGTCACAAATAAGTTCAAGGGAAGGTACTATGCCTGGATGTGCACGTAGGCCAGATTTATGTTTCTCTCCCCCCAAACATCTCAGTGGAGTGAAGAGTAATAGAGCAGCATTGCTGCCAATACGTCTTGCCTCCCACCACAGGGCGGTTTTTCTCCTATCTCGGATTAGAACAAATGTGCAATCGGGTTTTATACCGAGACATTCAGTTCCCAGGGTCAGGCAGGAGAAAGAGGCCTTCCTCTTATCTCAACTGCAAGAGGCCTTCCTCTTTTACTAATCCTCCGCAGCACAGACCCTTCACGGGTGCCGGGCTGGGGGACAGTCAGGTCTTTCCCATCCCCTGAGGCCATATCTCAGGCTATCACATGGGGAGAAACCTTGGACAATACCTGGCTTTCCAGGGCAGAGGTCCCTGCGGCTTTCTGCAGTGCATTGTGCCCCTGGTTTATCGAGAATGGAGAATGGCGATGACTTTTACCAAGCATACTGCCTGTAAACATTTTGTTAACAAGGCACGTCCTGCACAGCCCTAGATCCCTTAAACCTTGATTCTATAAAACACATGTTTCTGTGAGCTCAAGGTTGGGCTAAAGTTACAGATTAACAGCATCTTAGGGCAAAACAATTGTTTAGGGTACAGATCAAAATGGAGTTTCTTATATCTTCCTCGTTTACGTAGATCCAGTAACAGTCTGATCGCTCTTTTCCCTACAAAGGGGAATCTTTGTGACTCAGTCTCTGCATTCAGGAATCCCAGGCTGGTAGTGGCATCTGTTTACGAGAGATATTGGAAAAATATTTCACACATTTCTTGGAATATAATAACAATAGAGTAATGAATATAGAGACTTTTATATAAATATAAACCCACATTTTAAAAACAAACAAAAATATAATTTATGATATTTTGTATCTTTTTTATTAAAATTTTCTGTCATTTTTCAGACAAACATCTACTGAATGCCTGCAATTGGCCCAATATTACAATTCAAGGTGTGCATATAATGGTAAACAAAAATAAACATGGTCACAGGTGTTAGGATCTTAGGAGGTTTTTAATTTGGTGAAGAGATGGGAGACAGGCATTAGTAAAATAATCTTCAAGTGAATGTAAAATTACAAACTGAGATGCATGCTTGGTGGAGAAGAACATGAATCCGTAAGAGCATGGTGGAGAAGAACATGAATCTATAGTAGCATGTAACAACAGGAATAACAAGAAAGTGCTTATTCTGGTGTGAAACGAAAACGTCCCTAGGAGAATTACGTTTCTTGTGAGATCTGAAGGATCAATAATTGTTTTGTGGGGTTTTGGTTTTTTGTTTGTTTGTATTTTTAGACGGAGTCTTGCTCTGTCTCCCAGGCTGGAGTGCTGGAGTGCGATCTCCGCTCACTGCAACCTCCACGTCTCGGAGGAGTCAAGCAATTCTCCTGCCTCAGCCTCCTGAATAGTTAGGATTACAAGTGTGCCACCACACTGGCTAAAGTTTGTTTGTCTTTTAGTAGAGACGGGGTTTCACCATGTTGGCCAGGCTAGTCTTGATCTCCTGAGCTCAAGTGATCTGTCTGCCTTGGCTTCCCAAAGCGCTGGGATTGCAGGAGTGAGCCACCACGCCTGGCCCAATAATTGTTAACTATGTATAGTGGCTGGAGGGAAGTCATGAAACAGTGTGTCAAGCAAAGGGCACAGACTCTTCATCAGTCCTGGAATGGGAAGGCATGTGACATCTTAGGCCCTTGAAAAAGGCAATTCTAGCTAGAGAACGAACAGGGTGTGTCTGAGATGAGAATGGGGAGATAGAGGTAGGCTGCAGAGCCTGACAGGTCATGTTGAGGATTTTGGTCTTTTTCTTCAAGAGTAATTGGAAACCAGTTTAGGGTTTTAGAAAGAACTGATCTGATTATATTTGCATTTTGAAGAGATAATTGACTGCAGTATAAATTGAAGGATGCTAAAGTTGGAGGCCAGGAGACTAATTAGGAAGATATTTCCTAGCCTGGGCCAAAGATGATAGTAACTTGGACCTCTGAGTTGGCAGAAATGATAGAGATAATTGGATAATTTGAGATATGTCAACAAGAACTGGCATTCTGAATTCCATTAAAACTCTTGCAAATAGTGTCTTTAGCACTTCAGTACTTTAAAATATTAATAATTTGAACTTTCCTTATAAGTGTATTTTTTCTTGCTTATTTAGATAGTTTGTCTCTCCACAATATCACAATTAAATTGTAGTGATATTTTCATGGAATCAAAGTAAAACTACACTATTTTACTCATGGTAATATCAATTATATATTTTTTGCAAATATTTCTTGATCGTTAATTTTTCTTGTCCAATTTTTGTACACATTCAAATTTTCCCAATATTCTTCCCTATTACACCTGCTGGGGTGTGATTGACACAATAACTACTTTACATTAGAAACTAAATATTTTATTTAAATGAAATGTAGTCAACTTAGTTGATGAAATATTTCTATACCCCTGAAATCGTTCTTCTGAAAAGAATAAATGTTTTGCTGAAAACTGTTGTCA
Source organism: Homo sapiens (assembly GCF_000001405.40). Taxonomy (NCBI): domain Eukaryota; kingdom Metazoa; phylum Chordata; class Mammalia; order Primates; family Hominidae; genus Homo; species Homo sapiens. The sequence continues at coordinate 162,416,651 of NC_000004.12, read as the reverse complement.
TTCCTTTTCTTGTCATCACTTTCTTTTTCATTTTACTGCAACATTTAACACTTCATAGCCCATGCAATTTTGCTCTGTAGGATGAAGACAGAGTGTGCATTGCTCTGTCTACATTTGGATGGCTACTGCCCCATTTAGCTAGCTGCAGACAATTGGCTCATTTAGAAAACATTTCACCATCCAGGCAAAAATATGTAATGAAAGAACAAAAAAGGCCTTGAAGATATTTCTTTCTAGAAAATCTTGGAAAAAATGATACTGATAATTTTCTTATAGTAAAAGATATTTACTAATAAATTAATTTCATGCATGCCAGATAACCTGATGTGCGTGAAAGAACAAAGGATGTGTAGTCATAGTACTTGTGTTAAGGTCCTGGCTCAACAAGTTTCTAGTGTGTGTGAAGGTAAGCCAATCACTTAATATTTTGCCTCAGTTTCCTCATTGGTAGATAAGCATAATAGCATGTTCCTTCCTTACAGAGTTGTTGAAAAGAGTAAAGAAAATCAGACTTGTAACACAATCCTTAAAACTGTGACCTATCATGCATTTTAGAGCATCAAGAGGTTCCTGATATCTCATGCAAAATTGCAGGTTTTTGTGCATTTTCCCGTACAAAGAGTTAACTAAATTCTTAAACTAGTCCCTGATCACTTCCATGGAATATTAACAACTGCTTTATGCAGTGCTAGAGGTTGCCAACATTCATTGTTACTTTTACTATTGAGAAGTAGCTGGTGCAACAGAAGGAGCACAAAATTTAGAGCCATGCACATCAGGAGATGAAGCTGGACAGGTCTCATGTTTACTCAGCAGCAATGGCTTAGCCACTCCACGTCCAATTCCTTAATTCTTAAAATGAAATTTATAATTCTATTAATAAGAATGAGGATTATAAATTAGGAACTCAATTAATATTAATTCCTTGATTTCTCCCCTATATTTTTTCTTATGTCATTATAAATTTAAGAAAAATAATAATCTTGAGAATTCAAGATTCTCAAATGAAAAACCTTACTTTTTAAAATTTGTAATGACATAAGAAAAAATATAGTAAGTTACAGTAATTTATTTAGAATAAAGATTCAAATTGTTAAAAGGCTTTTCAACCGATTTTTACTGGTTTTAAGGATTAGCTTAGTAAGGTTTATTTAGGGATATTTCATGTCTTTTTTTTTTTAATTTTGAGAACTCTCTCTAAACTGATTATTTCTGTGTGAAATACCAATAAATCTTTGTTCTCTTTATTGTAAAACAGTCAAAGAGGTTTGTTTTTTTTTCCTGATGTCTAATAAATGTAGGCCTTGTTTATACATATAATCCTTTGCTGGAATGAAAACATAGTCTGCATTGTTTTCTTTGTGAATTTGTCCTTTTAAGTTAATTTATAAATTTAAGGTGGTCCTTTGACTGTCATGTTATTTAGTATATAATTTTCTATCTTGAATAAAGAACATCTTTAAAAAAAACATTCACAATATTCAAACAGTACATTAGATTTGTGGGATTTACTGTCTATTAGGAGTCATAGGGAAAATTGGCCAATATGTTTCTTCAAGAAGTACTTGCTAATGTAGTAGGTTCATGTACTTTTAGAGTTGGAACAAAATTTAAAAGCTATGCTCCAGCTTTTCCACTATGTATGGAGGGTAATAATGGATCTATTGCTAAGTATTCAGAGTAATAGCTCCAATCCTTGTCCATCACATAGCTAGCATCGATGTATTTCTTAATATATACTAGCGCTTGTGCTTAGTCCATCATTCCATCCTATTTAATTTTTACAACCATTCTGTGAGGTACTTTTATCTCCCTTTTAAAGTTAAAGAAGCAAAAGATTCTAAAAGCTTGTTAAAGGACATTGTATAAGACCACGTAACTAGTAAGGGGTAGAATCTGAATTCAAATCTAGGTCTTTTATATTTTAAACTTGTACTATTACTATGGTCACCATTATCTTATTCTAAGTCCACTCTAAATGCTGTCTATTGGAATTGTATTATAAACAAACTATACTGTATTTTTATGTATTTTATTCTACTCTGTAGGCATGTATTGTAGCTACAAGCCAAGTAAGTGATTGAAGACAGTAGCCATGGTAATTAAAGGGCTTTTTAGTGTATTTTATTTTGCTGTGCCTTGGTATTCAAGAATATGTGGCAAAGCTAATGCCTGTATTTTCTTTCAAGTAGGTCGAAGGACCAAATGGGAACTAGCTTGAGTTCAATAGCTTTTATATGTACCATTTTTATGCCTAATATACAAAATCTTTTCCGTTATTCATGAGGAGTCTCCCACATGAATAAAATAATGTCAGTTTCCTTTTTTGATTGAACATTTAACAGTCTATTTAGCTTTGTTCAAATCCTGTTGGATTTGTTTTTATTAATTAATCATTTTATGTTTTATTCTTTCAGTATTGTATGAGTATATGTCACTCATATTTAATTTTATCCCCTCAAAAATAGCTTCTTACACTCAGGCATCTTACCATTTGTATTGAATAAATTACAATGTGAAATGCATTTATATTGAATGTATTAAATTATAAATTAAAAACTCTTTGTGATGGAGGTCATCTTTATATTCTAACATTTAATGTGAACGACTGCATGTTTCTTAAATTAAAAGCACACTGATGGATGAATGCCACAAGCTTCTAGCCAAGAACATGCCCTTTCCTTGCTTTCTACAACATATTCCTCTTGTCATCCAAGTATAGAAGGACATTGTTTCAGCAATATTTAATACTCCCGCCTCCTCCACTTTTCTCTCCCTCTCTTTCTCTCTATATTAATCCTTTACCATTGTATCAGCAAACAAATATCCTATTATATGTCATGTAAAAACAAACACAATTTTATATTGGCCTCACATCCTCTTTCTTCTTTTTACTGTAAAAATCCTTGTATGTATTATCAATACTTAATATTTCCAACTTTGTTTATAATTCTCACTTGAAACCCATCCCAACTAGGTTTTTACCACTACCACTACTCTAATGAAGCACTTTTATCAAAGTCTACAATGATCTCTACATGGCTAAATCCATTGATTGGTCCCAATTCTCATCCTAGTTGAACCATCAGTAGTATTTGAAATGGATGACCTCTCCTTATTGAGACATTATTTTCATTGGATTTTTGTTTCAGTCTTCCCCATACTCTACCACTCCTCCTCTGCCAATTGCTTTTCATCTCCCAGAGCTGTGCAAGTTGAAGGGACTCAGGCTCAGGACTCTGGGTACCTTTTTTTTCCTCCTACAATTATGCACTTGGTACTGCCATTCAAAATAATAGCAATATAAGCCAACACCATGTCTATGCCTTCACAATCTCTATCTGATTATTTTGAGTTCCACAAATGTAATTAACTAATTAATATTTTCATGCATATATCTAACACTTAGGACAAACTTGACATATCCCAAACTGAACGTGATCTTTCAGTTCACAGGCCACACTTGGAGATTTCCTTCATACCATTTTTGCTCTCATATTTCACATCCAAATCCAATAGCAAATTCTGTCTATTCTATCACCAATATGCAAAATCCAACTTTTTCTTTACTACCTTCATGTTTACCACCCTCATCCACACTATCTTCATCTTTCACCTAGATTGCTTACACAGGTTCCTACCTTATTTCTTTGCTTCTTATAATATATTCTCAACCCATCTGTAAAAAAAATTATTTTACACATAAATCAGATGATATTGCTCTTCTTGTTGGAAACCCTCCAAAGGTTGACCATGTCACCCAAAAAGTAAAAGCCAAAGTCTTTGCTACAGCCTAGAAAACACTATGAGTTCTGGCCATGCTACCTCTATGGCATGGTTTGCTACTGTTTTTTCCCTTACCCAATCTTCTCTTAGTGTGACCTTGCTAATTGTTTGGAATGTTCAACAAGCTCCCACTATAGTGTTTTTGTATCTGATATTCACTCTGTTTTGATTACTTTCATCATGTTTTTTGTGCAAATATATTTTTCTTAGTAAAGCCATACCAAACCATCCCATGTAAAATATAACAAGGCACGTTCCTGACAGCCACTTTTGTTCTTTCTCTCTTATTTTGTGTTTTCTTGTGTATGTGCCAAAGGCAGGGAACTTGTTTTATTTGCTGTTTTATCACTAGGGTCTGGATCATAGTGGGAACTCCATAAATATTTGCTGCCTGAATGAATGAATGAATGAATGAATGAATGAATACAGTGACTCCCATGTATAATGCTCTTCTCTGTGCTGTCAAAGAATGGGCCTTCAGGCCGGGTGCAGTGACTCACGCCTGCAATCCCAGCACTTTGGGAGGCCGAGGCGGGCGGATCACGAGTTCAGGAGATCGAGACCATCCTGGCTAACACGGTGAAACCCCATCTCTACTAAAAATACAAAAAAATTAGTTGGGCGTGGTGGCAGGCGCCTGTAGTCCCAGCTACTCAGGAGGCTGAGGCAGGAGAATGGAGTGAACCTGGGAGGCGGAGCTTGCAGTGAGCCGAGATTGCGCCACTGCACTCCAGCCTGGGCAACAGAGTGAGACTCCATCTCAAAAAAATTAAATTAAATTAAACTAAATTAAATTAAATTAAATAAATACAAGAGTGGGCCTTCAGTGAAGTTTGAGCAATCACCTAATCACCTTAGATATAGACGCTTTGGGCTGGTCCCTAGGTTGCTCCCTGTTAAATCGAATCTGCTGCTATATCTTATTTTTGGCCACATATATTGTAATTCTGATTCCATTCTTAGACTCATTTTTTCCATCACTTCTCTGGTATCACACTCTATGCCATACCACAAATACTGTGCCATGGAATCATCTGTAATGGCCTTAATGACTATCTACTAATAAGATTTCACTGCTTCCCTATTAACAGCTACTGACTTCATACACAGCTACAGGAGTAAGTCTAAACTGGTCAAAGATAACCATTGTAAGATTATTCAGATGGCCACTGTGATTGCTGCAGTTAATGCAGGGCTAAGTTGTTAAGCTCATGGCATTTACAAAGCAGTGATGACCATTTCAGAATGAAGTTCAGGATATTGTCTAAAAATTTAGGCATATAGACAGTCTCCTTCTACATAATGTGGTTGATGTTGATGAAGTCTGCTACTACCGCTGTCTTTTAATACATGCCTGGGAAATACAACCAAATGATGAAATTAGCAAATGAGAAAAAACTGGAGTGCTGAAGAAATGAGCCAATGCCCTTATTAAAGTGAACTTGAATTTTCAGTTCCTTGATGAAATGAGTGTCCCTGAATTCTTAAGCAAAAATCAGGTTGCTTTTTGTTTTGTTGTTGTTATTATTATATTATTTTCTGCTTAAAAAATCATATTAAAATATACTCTTATTAATTTCAGACTACTCAAGGGCATGTAACTATTGTAACTGACAATTCAGAAGCCAACTGCTATTCCTGGTCAAGCATGTCCAGGAGAAACAACAACAACTCACGTTAAGGCTATTTGGAAGGAAGAGAGGGAAATAGAAGGGAGGAGAGGGGAGGGTATGGGAGGGGATGGGAGGGGATGGGAGAAAATACAGACTTTCCAAGGGGTCATGATATACAGAAATTAAAATGTTGGATTTATGCCCTTCAAAATGAAAAGGAATCTAGCTATTATATCATAGCCTTTTTAGAAATTTTCCAGGGAAGAAAAAATTAGAAACTTAATTTACAACCAATTTGATTGGCTTTTTCCAAAAGTAATTATAGACATTGTATACATATACAGATGCTCCTTGATTTATGATGAGGTTACATTTTGATAAACTTATTATAAATTAAAAATAAGTTATAATGCATGTAATACAGCTAACCTATCTAACATCATAGTAGGGTTTCTACTGAATGCATGTGGCTTTCACACCATGGTAAAGTCAAAAAATTGTAAGTGGAACAATTGTGGGGCCTGTCTGTACTAATAGCCATATTTAATCGTGTTTCCTCAAACAAAATGATGTTCAAAATTCTTAACACATTGGAGATACTGAGATACACATAACTTAAACTCATTCGGAGCCTGATACAGTCTTTCTTCAAAGCCAGGTATTACAGAGCTGTGTCAGAGAGACCAGGCTTTTAGATACCCCTGAATTGAAATGTCTAAACTCATTATTTATTGTTTGTCTTTAATTGTGATAAAGTACATATAATATAAAATATACCACATAATCATTCTAAGTGTACAGTTCAGTAGCATTAAATGTATTTACATTGTTGTACAAAGATCACCGTCATCCATCTCCAGAACTCTTTTCTTCTTGCAAAACTGAAACTCTGAGTCTCTAGATACAGGACCTATTTTTAATCACACTGACCTATGAATAAGGGGTATAAATATATATGTGTGTATTTATGTATATATATGCACACATATATATTTACATCCCTTGTAAATATAAATATATGTGTATGTGTGTATATATGTATGTGTGTGTGTGTGTGTGTGTGTGTGTACATATATATATATATAGAGAGAGAGAGAGAAACAGAGAGCCAGAGAGCCAATACTGAAATAATTAAGTAGGTGTGGCCAGGGGTGGTGGCTCATGTCTGTAATCCCAGCACTTTGAGAGGCCGAGGTGGGAGGATCGATTGAGCCCAGGAGTTTGAGAACAACCTGGCCAACATATCAAACCCCCCGCTACTAAAAATACAAAAAGTAGCCGGGTTTATTGGTGTGTTCCTATAATCGGAGCTCTTCAGGAGGCCAAGGCAAGAGAATCGCTTGAACTCAGGAAGCAGAGGTTGCAGACCTGAGATAGTGCCACTGCACTCCAGCCTGGGTGACAGAGTAAGAATCTGTCTCAAAAAAAAAAAAAAAAAAGAAAAAAGAAAAAGAAAAAGTTCTAGATGTGACCAATATCCAATAAGCATTAATTGTATAAACATCATTTAATCCTGTTTATGTAAAAATATAAACAGATACATGAGGGGCAGAGAGCCCAATTGGATTAAGAAGTTGTTTACTATGATATTAACATTGGTTTGTGTAGTCGAGTTCAAGGTGGTTTTTACTCTATTTTTTGTAAGCTTTTCTATTGGGAGAGGTTTTTTTTCTAAATTCAGAATAAGCAAGTATTATTTTCATAAATGGAATGAAGTTATTTTTAAAAGAAAATAATCTTGTTGATGGTAGCATCATGCTGGCTGCTTCAGGGAGGCACAGTGGATCATGGCAGGGGTGGCCGCCGTAGCGGCAGGGGCGCTGGTGGGACGTCTGTGCCCTGTTTCCCCAAGACAGCCAACTGTGCTACACCAACCTTAGCACGGCTGGGCAAGACCTGCTTCTAGGCCCAGAGCCTCAGCCACGGCCTCAACCTCCCTCCCTACCCTGTCTTCGAACCCACATGAACCTGGCAGAAGGCGCAGCCAGGACTCGTGGTGTCGACCCCGACAGCTGTGTCACCTGCATCTCGCCCACTGTTGCTGCAAGGAAAATGCAGAGAGGAGGCGGGCAGTCCCCAGCGCCTGCTACCTTGGGAGCTGCTACAGTGGGGCTGGGGCGAGTTCCCACAGGAGAGAGAGCAGCTCGGTTGGGCACGGAAGAGCAGGTGGAAAGGGTCCCTGAGGTGGAGCTGGGCCCAGGTGGTGCCATGCTCTGCGGAACTGGTGGGAGCCGGGGACAAGCAGACAGGAGCTACCCTTTTTGCTAAGAGCTTAACACTCATCAGGACATCCTGGTCATGGAGAGGAGCTACCCACTGTGGGTCTCCTCTGAGCTGTTCTACGGCTCAATAAAGCTCCTCTTCGTCTTGCCCACCCTCCACTTGTCTGCATACCTCATTCTTCCTGGACGCAAGACAAGAACTCGGGACCCACCAAATGGCGGGGCTAAAAGAGCTGTAACACAAACAGGGCTGAAGCAGGCCCCTTGCTTGCCATGTTGCAGGTGACAAGAAGGAGAGAAGAGCGAAGGCGAGAAGAGCTGTAGCCCTTCAAACAGCCCAGACCTAGGAGGTCCCCAAGTCGTGGCTGTGACACCCTCTGTAGGGCTCTGCAGTTCTTGCCATCTCCAAGACTCCGGACGCCACTGCGTTTCCCAGTATCAGCCACAGAGGCTGCTTATTACCTGATCCAGCCACAGCCTCTCAGGGAGGTGGCACCCCGTGCCATCGCCCCATGCTGTGGCCTGAAGGTGCCACCTCACTGCAGCTGGCATGCCTGGCTGCATGCAGTTGCTGGATCCCATGTTTGCTCACACACCCCTTGCCACTCTGCTCCTGGCTCGTCCTTGGCAGGTGTCGATCTGGGCCAACAGTGGGAGCCGAGTGCAGCCTGCCAGGCTGAGTGGGTGGAATGAGCCCAGTGATCCAGAGCAAAATTCAGGCAAAGGTGCCACTGGCCACAGAGGTTTCTGACTGGTGAAATGACACCTTAAACATCCAGTAACATTGACATGCATTCTCCATTGTTTTAGATATTAATGGAGTATTAAACTAAAAAATGGTTTGAAATGAATACCTGCTTCCAATAGCATGGGAAGTTAAAGGTTGTTGGGGAGGGAAAGCTACATCCAAATAAAATAGAAATTAACTTGGGCTCAGTTGTATGATTAATGATTATAATTTTAATCAGAATTCAGAGGACAGAAAGATCAGTGTAGAATAGAGTGTTGAAACAAGGATTCATGCAGAAAGCAAGGTTTTATCTTAGGACCTTTGATCTTGTGATCTAATAGTCCAGCATGAAGTATATGATAAATTCTAACTGATATACTGAATGAAAATATTTTCCAGTACATCAATTACATGAGTGAATATCTAGACAGGAACTTGAATAATTGCATGTCTGAAGAGGTTAACATAAATAGAAAAGTATCATTTTATTCCTGTGCTACATGTTGATATTTGGAGGAAAAAAATGCCAGATATTTAATTATTGTCATCTTATTACACTAAACACCATTTATTTGTCCAGGTGTCAATCTTGTAACATATATATGATGTCTATATTGGGGTATTAAATTCCCTTGAAACACCCATCATTTATGTTTATTCTCTTAGCTATTTGTTTTTCTTCTTGTCATCTCTGTATTGTAAAGAAGATAAAGTGAAAGAGATTTATGTCTGACTGAATTTTAGCATCTGTTCTCTCCTCCCATTATGTTGCTGTTCTATATGTAGTACCGTGCCTGAAAAATGGCCCCATCAGCAAGAAAAATTGCATAGCAATATGATCTAATATATTTCTCTTGTTCTTGAGGCAGGGATCTTTCTGGTAACAGTAGTATATGAACATGTTTATTGTAATGCAATTAACACTTTAGGAAACTACCATTAATTAGCAGAATGATTTAATATGGGCCCAGTAATTGAGAATCTACTTTTCTTTTCTACAGGTTCTAAGAGATATTTTATCTTAACTGACAACAAATGAGTTCCTAAGAAGGAAAGTTTGCATTAAACTCTGGGCAAGGTTGTTAGAGTCTTAACTGGTAAAACCAGGTCATAATGCAAAGGTATATGCACCTCACCCTTAACAAATACCCTGTGTACACAAAACAAGAATTTCCAACCTTTGTCCTTTGAGCAGGAATGGTGAGTTTAATATGAAAACCTGAAGTTTTTCCGTATTGGTGGAAAAGAAAAGTGATTTTTTTTTGTTGTTGTTGTTGTTTGGATGGCAAATGATCTCACTAAATAATTGAAGGTGGGTACGTGCGCAGAATGTGAAATCTCTATATTCTTGAGGGCTGTCACTCACGATCTCCCAGAGGGCCAAGGTGGTTGTGGAGTTGAGATCAATTGGCTTCCTGAGTATGGACAGTGGGTGGTGTGCACAGAGGCTATGGTGACGTTCTGCAGATTGCCATATGGCTTCAGCCAGCCTCTTTGCCTCTTTGTCGCTGCATCCACAGCCAGGGGTGGAGGTCATATGAGTACCTTATGACGATAGGTTTAATCTCTCTATTGAATGTTTGTTTATCTTTTCTTAAACTTGCTAGTGTACTAGGTAAATAAGCACAACTTGAACAGAAAGTGTGCAAATCTTGGACAAAAGTGACACCAACAAAGATAACTTGAGGAGAGAGGTAGGCAAATAATTAGCTTTCCCCTTCTAGGTAAGTGCTGTGTAAGACAGCACAAAATGAGGCGAGAGCATAGTTTCCAGCACATAGTATATTAAAAGAAAGGATAAATAAATGGATACTATTAGCTTTATGCCTTAGAGCATAAACAGCAAATAATTTTCTATCCTTCAAGTCCAAGGCATTTTCTTTCTGCGTTTCAAGTATAGGGTAACGATTCTGAGCTAGGGGCTATCCTATTAAAAACACACAGAAAGATTTTGGCAAAGTGCATAATCCCTGGAGTGAGTTAGGATTGAATGGATTAGAAGTTGTGAAGAGGTCAGTTGTTTGTAGAATGAAAAATGTACCAGTTATTCTGATATCCACCTTCTGTTCACACAGCCTTACTGGTGAGAATGCTTGGTTAAACAAGATAGCTTCAGACAACATTCTATCTTTAGGAATAAATTAGAATCTGAAAAACAGACAATCAACAAATAGCAAACCAACTTTTCTTTCAGCTGTTGCTGGTGTGCCTCATTGTGCCTTTAGAGAACTGGGCTTATTACAGCACCTACAACACTGATTTGAAATTTTTTATTATGTCTGCCTCTTAGACTAAACTGCAAGTGTCCATCTCACACACAAAAACAGAATCCATTAATAAACTAAATAGGCCTCATAAAACATCTCACTAAATTGTTTGTTTTAAAGCATTTACTTCTGAGGGGTAAAAAGTTGACATAACCTAATTCAAAAGTGCTTACCTCTTAAGAGGTGGCATTTAGATACAGAGAGGTAAATAATTCATTAATGCACTTACCATTTTTGACATGTGCATAGTTATTAAACAGTTTGTAGAATGTAGTTTTTAAAAAAGTGCTGCTTTCAGTGTAAACCAGAATTTCTTATTAATCAAAATACTGTACATAAGTTTATGTTTATATTTGATGATTGCTGGCTTTTTATCTTTTATGCTTTTTCTAGTCAATCCACATACAATACATATAGAATTGACTTTTAAAATGCTTGCTCCTTTCTAAGGTAAGAATAGTTACATTAATTTTAGGGTTTATTCTAAAAACTGTCTCACAAAGAAATAATCTAGCACTTTTCTAACCTCATCAGAATCAAACTAGACATGAACTCAGGCAAGAGACTCTCCCCTAACCACAAAAGAATAGATAAAGCATCTTATATTTCAGTCAAATGTTTACCCTTCAGGATATTGAGGAGAAGATTATATTATATATTCGTAATCTTATCTATAATTACTTTGTTTAGGAGCATAAGTAAGGATACTTAGGAGAAACAAAGTTGTTCATGTTATAAAAACAAAGTAATTTTATTACATGTGTTTATTAAATCTGCTGAGGTTAGACTACTGCTATAGTCTGAAAGTTTGTGTACCTCCAAAATTTATATGTTGAAAAGTAATCATTAATGTGACAGTATTAGGAGGTAGGACCCTTAGGAGGGTGGAACCCTCATAAGTAAGATTGGTTTCCTTATTAAGCAGACCCCAGAGAGCTGTCTTGCCCCTTCCACCATGTGAGAACAGTTTGAAGGTGCTACCTGTGAAACAGAAACTGAGCCCTCACCAGACATTGAATCTGCTAGTGCCTTGCTCTTGGACTTCCCAGTCTCGAGAACTTTGACACAAAGATTTTCTGTCATTTATTAGTTACCTAGTTTATGATTTTTTTAAAGCAGCCTAAATGGATTAAAGCAACTACAATATACTAAACTGTAATCTTGTGGGCAGAAGAAATTAACTTATAATGCTGCTAATATTGGTCATTTGAGAAGAAAAATTGACTATGAAGGAATTTGACAGAATAGTTAGGTTGACAGATTGCATGCTATTATAGTGTATGTAGCTGATAAAATAAGTTATATGTTAAATATAATACATATGTATCATAATCTAATTGCTATTTTTACTCACACACACACTCACATGCAGAATTCCAACGTTATCGCATCCATAACAGTTGTTCTCTTATCAAAGTAGTCATTAACATCAGAACTTCAAAACCCACAAAATCATGGAATTAAAAACTGGGAGCTGTCTTATAAAACAGTTCATTAAACACCAGCATTTTATAGATGTTGAAAGGTGTATAGAGATGTTAAGGAAGTTGGCCAAATGACCAAATAAACTGTAATTTAATAGACAGTAATCATATGTATTAGAACTTGAACAACATATAATATGATTTGGAACATAAAAAAATAAGGGAGGAGATTGTCATAATTATTTGAAAGTATCTGTTTGCTTTTTCCATTAGTTTGGCATTTTTGTTTGTTGGAATTACAGGGTATTTTATACATTTGGCAAATGCTTTAACCTTTTCTCCAGGTTCCCTATGGCTGTGTAATCATGTTTTCCTTCCTTCCACTTGTCCTGTCCTTGAATATGCAGTGGCAGACCTTTGCTGGCAGTGGTGTAACATTTGATTTGAATGTCTTCGTGTTACTCAACACATATTCCAATCCACTCCTCCCAGAGGTCATGTCTCAATGTCCCTCTGGGTTGTTGCTAACTCTGTGTCCCCTGACAGTCATTGCATTGCACACTGAAGCCAGTTATTCTTCCAGTAATTGGTGTAGTTTACATATAAGGAGTGTGTCCCCATTAATTTCTGCCTTTTGAGAAACTAAAAATAAGCAAAAGCTTTAGCAAGGATTAGTTATAAATTGTAAAAACACCTGTTTATATGATATACAGTGTTTTGCAAACAGCAATTTTTCTGGACAAAAGTTTTTACCAGCTGAAAAATAGGGCTTAGAGTGTTTACCATGTATACCTTTATGAAGAACACAGACAATGAGCAGCACTCAGCCAGGGCTCAGAGACTAGCAGAGCTCTATCTCTGTACCCTTTTCTTCTCCCATTGCTGCGTTTCCCCCTTCTTTTATATTTTCTTGTGCTTTCTGAGTGCAGTGAGTTGTGCAGTAATTAGCACAAGAACATCAGAGAGCAGCAGAATGAAGGGCGGACTGATGACAATAGCAAATGGCTGCAGTGGTGTTTAGTGACTACATTATTGGTGTGATGTAATGAAGGCCTGGCTACAGCAAGGGCAATGGAAATGGAAGGCTGAAGGGAAAACTGTGAGACAAAATGCACAGATAAAACTAGCAAGCCTTGAAGTTTAACAAGAGAAAGTTTCCATAATTTAGAATACTGTTTAGATAAAGAATATAAAATAGAGATTAGAGAGAAAACAAGACTTGTTGTGTCTATGTTTTTCTTTGAACGAATATTTTTTAGTGTCAGCTAGTACAATGCCCCCACCCCATGGCACTGGGAGACAATAATAAATGAGGTAAAGAAATCCTTGCCTTCATGTATCTTGTATTCAATGTCAGGTGTCCTCAAACACCTATTGTAAAGGGCCAGATAGCAGATGTTTAGGTTTTCATGGGCATAGGTGTCTACCTTTGTAGCACTAAATCAGCTGACAACTCAGCATGTAGATTTCTCAATTAAACTTTTGTTTATGCACACTAAAATTTAATTGTATATAATTTTCATGAATATACCATGAAATACTATTCCTCTGTTGATTTTTTTCCTCTCAGCCAGTTAAAAACACACAGAAAAACTGTTAACCCACAGGCCACCGAAAAGCAGGCAGTGGGATGGATTTAGCAGACAGCCTCAGTGTGATGGCCCGGATTCTGCATTCCGCATGAGAAGTTTGATTTAGCTCGGAATGAGTTTGAATGCTGCGGGACACTCTTGTCTAGAAAATATCTGGAAGAGTAGAAGCAGAGGAGGAAGGGGCAGGATTTGGGGTCACACATGTAGAGTTAGAAATCAAGCACAGAAGTGTTCAAAACACAGAAGAGGTTAAGTACAGACAAAGAAAGAGAGCAGCTGAGTACTGGGACTTAAATTTTCACTAGAACTTAGAAAACCAACTGATTTGCATTCCAATTAAATTCAAAATAGATTCCAGGGAAGGAAAAATCAGGCTAATGTTTTATAGAGAAGAAAAAATAATTTTTGAAAGTAAGACATATAATTTGATATCAAGCAATTCACTCAGAGATCAATACTATTTAAAACAATTTTAAATTCATGTTATTTTTTGCTTTCAACCTCTCATAGTGCCACATGAAAAGACATCAAAAACATCAAAAGAGAAGGAAAAACAGCATCACCATGGGCTGCTAAGCACTCTGATCTATATTTTAGACCTTAGAATAAAATTGAGAAAATCTAGCATATCATAAAGTATTTTTGAAAAAGAATCAGTTAACTGTTTACTATATTTTTGAGAACATCACTTCCATCCTAATATTTCTTATTATTTCAGCATAGATGCCTGTATAATTTTTTTTTTTTTTTTTTTTTTTTTTTTTTTTGAGACGGAGTCTCGCTCTGTCGCCCAGGCTGGAGTGCAGTGGCGCGATCTCGGCTCACTGCAAGCTCCGCCTCCCAGGTTCACGCCATTCTCCCGCCTCAGCCTCCCGAGTAGCTGGGACTACAGGCGCCCGCTACCACGCCCGGCTAATTTTTTTTTGTATTTTTAGTAGAGACGGGGTTTCACCGTGTTAGCCAGGATGGTCTCGATCTCCTGACCTCGTGATCCACCCGCCTCGGCCTCCCAAAGTGCTGGGATTACAGGCGTGAGCCACCGCGCCCGGCCGCCTGTATAATTTTTAAATTATTAGTTTATTAAAATTCTTTATGATATTCTTTATTACCATATAATTGCTTATTCAATGTTATCTGAAAATAATATTATTTGTTCATGATGTTTATTCAATTTGTAGTCATTTTAGACATGCTCTTCTCCCTCTTTCTCAATATATAAATTGTCTGTAAATCTGTAAACGGTACCCATTAATGCTGATCTAACGTTATAGAGGTTGTGGCCCCACTGGCTAGTACATACACTCACTCCTCTTGAATAATCAGTAACCTCTATCACCCTGAGTTTAACTGAAGTCCAGTAGAAAAGTGATATAAAAGTCTGAATTTCTACGAATCTTTTCTTGGCTGAGAGCTACCAGTGTCAGAGGTAAAAGTAAAATATTTTATGTTCATCCTATCTTTTTAGATGTGGTTTCCCCTTCTGAAATAGTTTTGGAAAATAATGGAGGAGATGAATGAGAAAGAGCATAAAATGAACATTTGAGTAAAACCAATGTTAAAAATTAAAACTCAACAGAATTCTTATAAAGTCCATTACTAACTTACAGTTACTTTTAAGGCTGACTTAAATTTAACTACGAAAAAATCATCTCCCACTTAAAAAGTTAGAAGCACCAAGTTTTAAAACTCTACATATTACTTAATTAAGACTTACGTAATGCATTCTGCAGTCATCACTGTACAAATGATGACTGAAGTGATAGTTGTGGCTTGAGGCCTAATTGTATCTCTCTTGCCAAAGGTCACTGTGAGCTTTGAGTCTATCGCGAATGCGACTTCCTGTAAAGACCACACCATCTGTAAAAACACTGATGCCATATTTCTAATCTTCCCTGACTCTTGCACTATTGGGACATTATATCTTCTAGAAAATTTAGTAGTTCTCTTGAAGACCTCAATATAAATCCACACTGACACCAACACCTTTGGCTGAGAATCATGACCAAGTCATGATTTCAGGTTTGCAGTCTGTGGAGTTGAGCCAATGAAGTCTGATTTATGCCTAATTAGAAAGAGGCTCTCACTTCAGTTGCCAAAGAAAGCACAAATAAAAGGAATAATAATATTATTAGATATGTAATTTAAAAAAATTATTTAGTGAACAAATAAATCCTTTTCTGGTAAACCACATGTTTCCTTCTGTAAATTTAAATCATCATTGTTTCATCTCACTTTGATATAAACCTTTATGTTACTGCCTAAAAGCCTTTCTTTCTTTGAAGCACATTTGAAAGGGAAGCTTAGGTCATAGTCTAAAGATTTATCAAAGTAAAACAGTTTTTAATAAATTTGGATTAATTAATTGCCAATATGGATAAAGGATTTATTTGTTAAAAAAAAAACACAAAACTGTCGGTTTCCAAGAAAAAAATCTACAGATATTTATTTATTTATTCATTTATTTATTTATTTATTTTTGAGACAGAGTCTCGCTCTGTTGCCCAGGCTGGAGTGCAGTGATGCGATCTCGGCTCACTGCAAGCTCCGCTTCCTGGGTTCACGCCATTCTCTTGCCTCAGCCTCCCGAGTAGCTGGAACTACAGGTGCCCGCCACCATGCCAGGCTAATTTTTTGTGTTTTTAGTAGAGACAGGGTTTCACCGTGTTAACCAGGATGGTTTCAATCTCCTGACCTTGTGATCTGCCTGCCTCGGCCTCCCAAAGTGCTGGTATTACAGGCGTGAGCCACCTTGCCCGGCCAAAAATCTACAGATTTTTAAGGAAGGATTTATTATATATTTCCTTATAAAGATAATTAATGTGTGTTATCCCAAATTATCTTTTTATTATATTTTACATTCCTTGAGATGAGAAGATTAGCAATATCCAGCTTTATTATATTAAATACACTTCATCAGTTACCAAAATATCAAACAAAAATAAGTATGGGAAGGTTTCATTTGATCTATTACAAGACCAAACATCTAGGAGGCAAGCAAAATTATAGAATATCCACACTACCCTTAGAGAGGAACCATTCATGCCTTATAGGAGGTACTGTGCTTTTACATTAAGGCTGGATGTTTTTAGAAGAGCAGGGCTCTTAAATTCAACCTGCTTAATCTCTTAGGTCTAATTTTAAGGAAACAAATATTACTTTTTGGGAAAGACTTAACTTTTGTTTATAAGAGCAGGCTCTTAATGTTAAATTCAAACCTGTTTAATCTCTTAGGTCTAAGTTTAAGAAACACAAATATTATTAAGTTTTGGGAAAGACAACTTTTGTTTACCGTAATCTGTCTGCTACAATATGCCATAAACATTTTAGGCCATTTATTATGTATACAAACAAAAAATTTAAGAGATAGGAATTTTAGAGGAAACAAAAACACATCTATTGTGAGGGATAATTTTATGTGTCAATTTGACTGGGCTGTGGGAGGTCCAGATATTTGGTTAAAGATTATTCTGAGTATGTCCGTTAGGGTGTTTCTGGATGAGATTAACACTGTATACTGTTATCAGTATGCTAAGTAAGGCATATTACCTTTCTCAATGTGGGTGGCTCTGGAACACACACCAGCTATGCTGGTTCTCAGTCCTTTGAACTTGGACTGGAACTATACCATCTGTTCTCTTACATCTCCAGCTTCATGACTGTGCATCTTGGGACAGCCTGCATTACAGATTATACTGTATTCTAATACCTTATAACAAATATTTTTCTCTCTCTCATATATAGATATATATGTGTATACGCATATATATTTATATATAAATGTTATTTTTCTCTGGAGAACACAGACTAATGCACATATTTTGAGACTTCCCAAATATATTTTATTTATTTAATTAACATTATTAATTAAATATTAGCTAACAATTATTAACAAATATTAATAACTATTTAATGAGGAATTGAATGCTTTCCATGAAGAGCATCTCAGAAATATTTTGAGTATTTCTATGAGTATGTAATTTAGAAATTGTCCAAAGAACCATGGGACTAGGAGTGGACCTTGATGGAGGATAATAGTCACATTGTTTCACAGGGATATGTTTATCTTGCCTATTTGCTCCTAAACAGAAAACTCAATGTAAGAAAGAGGACTTAAATCAGATACTTAAAATTATATGTCTATTTTAAAGTTCTTTCACTATTTTATTTTATTTTTTTATTTTTCCTTTGGTTATCACGGTACAGGTGGTATTTGGTTACATGAGTAAGTTCTTTTGTGGTTATTTGTGTGGTTTTATTTTTAGTTATTTATTTTTTTTGATACAGAGTCTCACTCTGTTGCCCAGGCTGGAGAGTAGTGGTGCCATCTCGGCTCACTGCAACCTTGGCTTCCCAGGTTCAGCGATTCTCCTGCCTCAGCCTCCTGAGTAGCTGGGATTACAGGTGCCCAACACCATACACGGCTAATTTTTGTATTTTTAGTAGAGACGGTGTTTCGCCATGTTCGCCATGTTGGCTGGTCTCGAACTCCTGACCTCAGGTGATCCACCCACCTCGGCCTCCCAAAGTGCTGGGATTGCAGGCGTGAGCCACCATGCCCAGCCAATCTGTGAGATTTTAGTGCACCCATCACCCGAGCAGTATACACTGCGCCATATTTGGAGTCTTTCATACCTTGCCCCCCTCCCAATCTTCCCCCGCAAGTCCCCAAAGTCATTCTTATGCCTTTGTGTCCTCATAGCTTAGCTCCCACATATCAGTGAGAACATAGGATGTTTGGTTTTCCATTCCTGAGTTACTTCAGTTAAAATGATAGTCTCCAGTCTCATCCAGGTCACTGCAAATGCTGTTAATTTATTTGTTTTCATGGCTCTGTAGTATTCCATCGTATATATATATACACCAGTTTCTTTATCCACTCATTGATTGATGGGCACTTGGGTTGGTTCCACGATTTTACAGTTGTAAATTGTGCTGCTGTAAACATAGGTATGCAAGTATCTTTTTTGAATGACTTATTTTCTTCTGGGTAGGTACCAAATAGTGGGATTGCTGGATCAAATGGTATTTCTACTTTCAGTTCTGTAAGGAATCTCCACACTGTTTTCCACAGTGACTGTACTAGTTTACATCCCCATCAATAGAGTAGAAGTGTTCCCTGTTTACCACATCCATACCAACATCTACTGTTTTTGGATTTTTTGATTATGACCATTCTTGCAGGAGTGAAGTGGTATCAGATTGTGGTTTTGATTTGCATTTCCCTGATCATTACTGATGTTGACCATTTTTTCATGTTTGTTGTCCATTTGTATGTTTTCTTTTGAGAATTGTCTATTCATGTCCTTAGCCCACTTTTTGATGGGATTGTTTGTGTTTTTTTAACTGATTTGAGTTTGTTGTAGATTCTGGATAATAGTCCTTTGTCAGATGTATAGATTGTGAAGATTTTTTTCCACTCAGGAGGTTGCCTGTTTACTCTGCTGTTTCTTTTGCCATGCAAAAGCTCTTTAGTTTAATTAGTTTGTTTTTATTGCATTTTGGGTTCTTGGTCATGAAATCCTTGCCTAAGCCAATGTCTAGAAGGGTTTTTCCAGTGTTATCTTCTAGAACGTTTATAGTTTCAGGTCTTAGGTTTAAGTATTCATTGATGGACACTTTGGTTGATTTCATAACTTGGCTATTGTGAACAGTGCTGCAATTAACATGGGAGTGCAGGTATGTCTTTGACATACTGATTTCAAATCTTTTGGTAAAATACCCAGAAACTGAATTGCTGGATCTTACAGTAATTCTATTTTAATTTTTGGAGGAAATTCCATATTGTTTTCAATAATGGCTGTCCTAATTTTCATTTTGACCAGCAGTATACAAAGGTTCCCTTTTTTTTACATCCTCACCAAAACTTGCTATTTTTTTAATTTTCTTGATAATAGTCATTCTAATAAGTGTGAAGTGATATCTCACTCTGCTTTTAATTCACCTCTCCCCAAAGAATAGCAATGTTGAGCATTTTGTATGTATATTAGCCATTTCTATGTCTTCTTTTGAGAAATATCTATTCATTTCTTGCCCATTTTAAAAATATTTATTTATTTGTATAAATTTTAGGGGTACAAGTACAGTTTTGTTACATAGATATATTCTGCAGTGGTGAAGTCTGGGCTTTTAGTGTAACAATCACCCAAACAGCATACATTGTACCCATTAAGTAATTTCTCATCCCTCACCTTCCTCCCACCCATACGCCATTCCGAATCTCTAACAATTATTATTCCGCACCTTATGTTCATGTGTACACATTACTTGGCTACCACTTATAAGTGACAATATGCTGTATTTGACTTTCTGATTCTGTGTGATTTCACTGAAGATAATGGCCTTCAGTTCCATCCATGTTGCTGCAAAAGACATTATTTCATTCTTTTTTATTGTTGACTAGTATTCATATTTTCTTTATCCAATCATCCATTAATGGACACTTAGGTTGATTCCATATGTTTGCTATTGTGAACAGTGCTGTGATAAACATACCAGTGTAGGTATCTTTTTGATATAAAGATTTATTAGCCTTTGGGTAGATACCCAGGGGCAGGATTGTTGGGTTGGATGCTAGTTCTATTTTTAGTACTTTGAGAAATTTTTAAATTGTTTTTTATAGAGTTTTTCTAATTTACTTTCCACCAACAATGTATAAGCATTCCCTTTTCCCCAGATCCTTACCAATATCTGTTATTTTGTTGTGTTCT
Organism: Homo sapiens; assembly: GCF_000001405.40. NCBI lineage: Eukaryota > Metazoa > Chordata > Mammalia > Primates > Hominidae > Homo > Homo sapiens. Next base: position 162,396,310 of record NC_000004.12, on the reverse strand, counting down.
TAATGATAGGCATTCGGACTGGTGTATGATATTATCTCATTGTGGTTTTAATTTGCGTTTCTCTGATGATTAGTGATCTGGAGCATTTTTACAAATACTTAGCCATTTGTATGTCTTCTTTTGAAATATGTCTATTTATGTCCTTTGCTTGCTTTATAATGCAGTTATTGAATTTTTGTTGTTGTTGCTCTTGAATTGTTGGAGTTGCTTGTAAATTCTGGACGTCAGTTTTCTGTTGGATGCATAGTTTGCACGTATTTTCTCCCTTTCTGTAGGTTGCCTGTACACTCTGTTAATTATGTCTTTCTCTGTGAAGAAGTCTTTTAGTTTAATTAAGCCTCACTTGTCTATTTTTGTTTTCATTGCTTGTGCTTTTGAGGTTTTAGCTATAAATTCTTTGCCTAGACCAATGTCCAGAAGATTTCTTCTGGTATTTTTATAGTTTCAGATCTTACATCTAACTCTTATCCATCTTGAGTTAATATTTGTATGTGGTGAGAGATAGGAGTCCAGTGTTATTCTTCTGAATATGGCAATTAAATTTTCCCAGCATCATGTATTCAAAAGTGTGCCCTTGCCCCAGTGTATGTTCTTGTTGACTTTTTCAAAGAACAGTTGGTTGTAGATAATCAGTTTTTTTTCTCTGGGTTCTTTATTCTGTTCTATTCAACTTTGCTTCTTTTTTGCCAGTATCATGCTGTTTTGGTTACTATAACTTTGTAGTATAATTTGAGGTCAGGTAATATGCTGCCTCCAGCTTTGCTCTTTTGCTTAGAATAGCTTTGGCTATTTGGGCCCCTTTTTGGTTCCATATGAATTTTAGAATTGTTTTTTCTAATTCTGTGAAAAATGATGTTGGTATTTTAATAAAGACTGCATTGAATCTGTAGATTTCTTTGGGCAGTCTGGTTATTTTAATGATATTAATTCTCTTAATCTGTGAGCATGGGATGTTTGTTCATTTATTTGTCATGTACAATTTCTTCCATCAGCATATTGCAGTTTTCCTAGTAGAGATTTTTCATCTTCTTAGTTACATGCATTCCTAGGTATATAATTTCTTTTTAGCTACTGTAAATGGAATTGCCTTCTTAATTTGGTTCTGAGCTTAGCTTGATTGTTATTGGAGTATAGAAATACCACTGATTTTTGCAGGTTGATTTTATATCCTGAAAGTTTACTAAATTAATTTGTCAAGCCTAAGTGTTTTTCAGAAGAGTCTTTAGCATTTTCTAAGCATAAGAGCATCTCCATTTCTAAATCAGATTATTTGTTTATTTCTATAGAGTAGTTTGAGTTTCTTATACATTTTGGATATTAATCTCTTATCAGATATATAGCTTGCAAATATTTTCTTCCACTCAGTAGGTTGTCTCTTCAATGATTGATGGAGTTTATTGTTTCCTTTGTTGTGTAGAAATTTCTGATTTTGTTGTAATCTCATTTGTCTATTTTTGCTTTTATTGCCTGCACTTTTGGGTTCAAACCTAAAAAATCATTGCTCAGACCAATTTCATGTATTTTTTCCCCTGTTTCCTTCTAGTATTCTTATAGCTTGAAGTCTAATGTTTATTTAAGTCTTTAATATACTTTGAGTTGATTTTTAAAAAATTTTGAGTATATGTATGAGATAAAAGTCCAACTTTATTCCTTTTATATTGATATCCAGTTTTCTCAACACCATTTACTTGATATGAAGTTAATCTTATTAAATTTAAGACTTGTTTTCTGTCCTAACATGATCTTTCCTGGAAACTTTTTTTTTGTCTGCTCTTGAGAAGAATGTGTAGTCTTTTGCTGTTGGAATGAGTGTTCTGTTTATGTCTGTGAGGCACTTTTGATCTAAAATATTCTTCTAGTCTAATGTTTCCCTATTAATTTTTGTCTGGATAATCTGTCCGTTATCAAAAGTGGTAAATCGAAAACCCCTACTGTTATTGTATTGCAATCTGTCTCTTCCTTCTCATTCTTTAATATTTGCTTTATATATTTAGTTGCTTCACTGTTAGGTGCATAATTTTCATTTATTTTCTGTTTATAATTGATTTTAGTAAGTGATTTGCTCATTTTTTTGCATTTAATCTTTTTTATGACTCAAATAAATATATTCAAAACTACAAACCTTTTTACTTTGGGCTGTAGCTTTGCATAAAGAGCTTTAAACAAAGCACAATGTTTGCACAATGCTAGTTAGTTAAGTAACACATACAAAAATTATCTCTACTTTCTGTGCAATTTTCCCTTAACAGTTGAATAAGTTACAACTTTATTTAGTCTCTATGTCAGCAAAATATCAGGACATATGTAAATTATATATACTTGCTTAGGCAGTTTTAATTAAAGCTATTAGAAAAAATAAGATAATTTAGATTACATTTGGGAATGCATAATTATCTTTTAATTCAATAATAAATTCTTAATTTTTTTTTTTTAGATGGAGTCTCGCACTGTCACCCAGGCTGAAGTGCAATGGCACGATCTCAGCTCACTGCAACTTCCACTTCCCAGATTCAAGCGACTCTCCTGCCTCAGCTCCTGAGTAGCAGGACCAGGTGGATCACCTGAGGTCAGGAGATTGAGACCAGCCTGGCCAACATGGCGAAATCCTGTGTCTACCAAAAATATAAAAAATTAAAAAATTCTTAATGCTTTAATGAGGGAATGAAGGATACCATTCTCAATAACAAAACTATTTGCTGAGTGTATGCAGTGGGCTAGGCACTGTAATAAGTGCTTATGTAATTTAGCTTTTTCAATATTAATCAAACAGCAACTCTATTGTATTATTTTTAACTGTTTTTACAGAGAAATTGAAGAGAATTTTACAGAGAAGAAAACTTGCCTAAGAAACTCAGTTGACTAATATTAGAACTATGGCTACAGGATTGATAAAGTTTCAAGAACTACAGAGAATCCAATTAGAAGATATTTAAATATATTAAAAGGAATTTTAAAATGCAAGTCCAACTGATGCCACATGAAAATTTATTTACAATCTAATAAGCAGAATTGCATGCTTCTCATAGTAGAAAAGCATTTAATAGTGATATGACTTATGTGAAATTTGAGAGCAAAGCTGACCAAAAGCTTCAAGGTTATGAAATTCCTGTTATTACATCTGCAAACAGGGCTCAGTGGGTCCAATCAGTATTGAAGGCAATCATGTACTTCTGCAACTTAAGCAAATATTGCGGTCAATAGGAAACCTAAGCTAACAGACAGGGTAACCTCATACTGCATGATTCTGTTTATTTTAAGTTCAAAACCAGAAAAAAACAACTATGATAACAGTAGTCAATATAATTGTTTCTTCTGAAGAATATTGACTGGGAACTTTATAAAGCATCTTCCACTTTGCTGATAATGCTATTTCTTGTTCTGTGTGATGGTTATATGGGCACATGGACTTTGTGAGAATTCATTCAGCTGTGCACTTAGGATTCACACAATTATCTTTATGTTTGATATACATTAATAAAGAAGTGGAGGAAAGTTGCTTTCAACAGTAACCACAAGCATATCATCTGACTGCTTTTATTCACTCAAAATTATTCTTCTTATAACACAGTAATTTCTTTGTTGCATAAATATTTTAGCACAAAAAACTATATTTAAATAGAAAAATGAATAAACAAATCAACAGTAGTGATAATTGTGTTACAGAATACTATGTTTTTCTAAAAGTATTTGCAATATTTAAAAATAACTGACCTAAAAAGAATAAGAGATTAATGTTATGATTCCAATTTAAAATGCTTAGTTGAGAAATTGATTTAAAATGTAATTTTATATAGTAATTATAAAAATGATGTAAACAGTCATTATAAACATTTAAGAGGCCTAAATCATGAGCATAGACTTATTAGTTTTATAAGACTTTTTTGATAGGCTTACCTATTAGTCAACTTAAAGTACTTATAAAGCAAATAAAATACAGCAAATTAATCGAGTTGTGAATTGTTGGTGTGAAAGAGTTAAAGGGAGCCAAGGATTAAACTAGTTGTTCAACTAAGTGAGGTTTATTCGTTTTCTGTAACAAGGCAGGTAACTCCGAAGTAACTGGAGGATGCCTCTCAGAAAGATGAGCTGGGGAGTTTTTTGCAAAGCATGGACTTGAGCTGAATGACTCCGAGTAGGATATGGAGGTGGGAATTCACACTGGAATAGTTGGTTTTTCTGAGGCAAGATGAAAAAAATGTTCTGGATTGATTGTTGTGATTAGTTGAGGGCAGTTTAGCAATAGGATATTTCTGATTTGTGCTCAAAAGTCATGATCAATGAATTGTAACTGGATATGTCAGTGTGAGGGCAGTATTAAGTGCCTCAAAGATAAGGGTTGCTATAACATTTTAAAACTGTAGCATAAACTTGGGAGGAGAAGTTTCCTGTTAATTTAGCAGCTGACTTTATCTTTGTTCATAATCACAGTCTTATTAATGCCATGCTTGATTTTTATGTTTGCAGGCCCAAGTTGATGTTTTTTACTCCAAGTCCCAGATTAGTTTTTACTCTCTCACAATACTTAATTATCCTTTAAAATAAAACTAAACATGCATCCAATACTTTCTCAATATTTACATGTAAAACATGCTACTCTAACCTTAAATTTATAAATTAATTTAAAAATTAAGGAAGAATTACAAAAATATCAATAATTATTTTAAAAATCTAAAGTAGCCAAAATGCAAAATATACCTTTCTGTATGAAGTGCTCTTCTCAATTACCCAAAAATTTCTTACTAATAAACCATGGCATTTACGCATTGATAATGATTTTAACTCATTATGAATGATGCCAAGGCCTGTCTCATATCTTGTGCACTCATCTACCATACATTTTTTCTAATAAACAGATTTTAATTTTAAAAAATAATTTTCCTGGTTATAGGAACTGTTCTTTTTCTTCTTTGACAGTTGAAACTTGTACATACTTTAATTTAGGCAACAATATTTTCAACATGAATTTTATACTTTTGCAAAAACTCTAATACTAACTCTATCTCAGTATAAGTAATTAAATTTTGGGGAATTTTCATTTGCTTTTTTGTGTGTTGCTTGCTCTTTTCTTCAGCATTTGAAATAATGGTCCTAAAAGTCATTATCTTTATTACACTGAGCATTTTTCCAAAGGAAAATTTTCTTATTCAAAGGAATTATGAAAACATGCATCCCAAAGCTAACTGATCTCCTGATGACAGCACAATTGTTTCCTCCTTCCTTTTTTCCTTTCCTCTCTTTCCCTCTTCTTCCTTCCTTCATTTTCCCTTTCTTTCTTTTTTTCTTTCTTTTTTTATTTTCTCTTTTCTCCCTTCCTTTATTTGCTTCTTTCTTTGTTGAGAGGGAGAATGAAAATTAAATACACAATTCCCCCCGGGTTTACTTCATTCTTTCAAAGCAAAGTAGATGACCCACCAGCATGCTTTTTGTCCTTTCCTCCAAATTCTGATGGAGCTCTGGAGAATCCAGGACAGTTGTAGTTGATTAGAGTAGAATCAGAAGGTTCATTTTGGTCCTGAAAAGTAGGATTCATTTTTGGCTCTGAAGAACAAGAACAACTGTGGCTGAATGATCAGTCTTCATAGCCAGAGTTTTGGCAGGCATCAAAACAAAAGTCTTTCTTGTATTGATTTATAATATTAATTTTATACCAAATCGTAATAACATGTCAGTTGACTAAATTCTCAAGCTACTTTTGACCTATACCACTCAGAATTTTAATTTTTTAAATTAAGATATAAGGAAAACCATAGAAAAATAAGGCTATGAGCACAGAAGAAGGAGAACACACTAAACTATGAACACTTAAGGTTTTTTGGAAGAGCAAATAGATGAGTGGAATCAATAACAGTGGAATCAATAACAGGTAGATGTTCAGTGAAGCCCTAAGCTCCATGGGTCAGAGGAAAGTCCATAGCCGACATAAGGCACTGATGAAAGCCAGCAACATACTGCTGACCTTACAAAACTTGCCATTTAGCTACATGGATGACAATAGGTATATTTAGCAATAAATTGTTGATTTATTTGTCCACCCATACATTTTTTTAAAGCTTTGTTCGGACAATATGGAAACTCCACATTATTATTCTCTTCTTTTTAAATTACAAGATGTTGGTATATCATAAAGATTAGGATGATCCCTATTTCAGTTGGGTGTTATTAGGTATCTATATCTAAACTATTCTAGTGTGAATAAAATTACTTTTCTATGTCTAGAACAGTATCATTAATTCTTCATATATACATATTCACTCAAGTAACATAATGTATGTTATGTAATGTGGTGGAAATACATTCTTTACATGAAATTACTTCAGTATAATATTTTAATCATATAATGTGTAAGATCTCTATAGTAATGAATATAAGCACTACAATTTCACATATATTTTATTTTTATTTATTAAATGTTGTTGATGCTGTTACCACCAAAATTGAAAAATCTGGTACACCTATTTTCTGCTAATTTTTATTTGTTTGATTTTTCTGACAGAAGGTCTATGTGTTCCTTAAGAAATTCAATTGACTGACATATTCAGATGGCATAAAAATCAGACCCAGAAACACAGAACGTTTAATTCCCCCAGCCACAGCTGCTGGTCTGCACATTTAGTGGGTAACCCAAGCTGGCTCAATCAGAACTAATCCTTAGCCATACTAAGATTTGCCTGATCTCTGTTTTTTAATTTTTCTCCCTCTCTTTCTCTCTATCTCACCAACCCTATGACTCCCCTTTGCTTCCTGCCCCTGATAGTTGTTCAGAAGAAAGGATGTTAGCCCAGATCTGCTGGTGATGCATGTCCACGATATGTGTAAAAACACACCAAAGACCAGAGGAAATATCAGAACTGATAAGAAAATAGAATTTACATATGAAAACTTGAAGACTAGGCCTAGATGAATTTTTTGAGCTTCTGAATCCAGCTATGTCTAATGACACCTCTAGATTTTTCAGGTGCGTGAGTTAATACATTTATTTAATAATTTTGAAAGAACCATTTTAAATTAGATTTTCTTTTCTTTATGTCAGAAAGAATGCTACTCACTGGAAAAAGTAACTTAAGAGCATTAGAGAATTACTTATGTTTATGATGATTGTCTTTTCACACAAACACAAAACAAATACTTTTAAGAGAAGACTAAAATACTTTGGTTCATGGTACGGTTTGGATGAGGATATCCTGTCCAAAACTCATGTTGAAACTGAATCCCCAATGCAACAGGATTAAGAAGTGTGGCCTTTTGGCAGTGATTAGGTCATGTGGGTTCCACCTTCTTGAGTGGGATGAGCAGACTTATAAAAGGGCTTGATGTTGAAGGTATTGCCCCCATGCCCTTCTGTCCCTCCTGCCATGTGAGTGCACAGTGTTTGTCCTCTCTGGGGGATGCAGCAACAAGACACCTTCTCAGAAGGAGACACAAGATCCCTCACCAGATTCTGAATTTACTAGTGCCTTGAATTTGGACTATCCAAAGTCCAAAGTTCTCCAGAATTGTGAGAAATGCATTCTTGTTCATTAAAATTTACCCAAGTCCAGGCATGGTGTCTCACGCCTATAATCCCAGAATCTCGGAAGGCCAAAGTGAAAGGATCACTTGAGCCCAGGAGGCCGAGACCACCCCAGGTAACATAGTAAGACCCTATCTCTACAAAACGTTAAAACATTAGCCAGGCATAGTGGTGTGTGCTTATTGTCCCAGCTACTTGGGAACCTGAAGTGGAAGGATCACCTAAGCCCAGGAGGTCAAGGCTACAGTGAGTCGCGATGGCACCACTGCACTCCAGCCTGGATGACAGAGCAAAATCCTACCTCTTACAAAAAATACCCAGTCTCAGATGTTTTGTTTTTATAGTACAAATGGTCTATGACATATCCCAAAAATACCTAAATAAATCTAAATTTCAATAATAATTACGCTGTACTCAAGTTTTGTAAGAGACCATGATTGATTTATCAAGTGCTCCTTAAAGGCAAACTATCATAATTTGTCCTAGGGAACAAAAATTTAAATAAAAAACATTTTTCTCAAGATAACAGTGTACTATTTGAGTCCTCCAAGAAGCAGACGACATAACAGAATTAGACCTGAAAAAGATCATTTGGAGGAAACGCTTAGGCAGGAAAGTGGAGAGAGATCCAGAGAAGAAAGAAAATGCACATCTGACCTCCCTGTGAAGCTGAGAGGGAAGGAAGAAGGATCAAGGAAGAACAGTTACAGACTTTTGCCAGCCCAAAGCTGTTCATTAAACAAATCTCTCCTCTTGGAGGAATTGGCCTGTGTACTCAGTCACTGGCTGTTGACAATCTGGGGGAAATATGGCTTCAGCAAGAACTTAGAGCTGATACAGAGGGCTCACAGCAGTACTTGTAAGTCAACTATGCTTCCTGCCCCAGAAGATTTGATGAACACCTTTTCAAGCTGCACATAAACTAACTGTGAAATGAGCTAGAGGACAAAGTAAAGTTTTCCTAACTTTACTAATGTTAAACTTTACTATATAAACTAATAAATCATAGTGTGACTTTATAACACACACACACACACACACACGGGAAACAAATTTAAAAGAAGATTATCATTAAGTGTTTAAAGAGAGCTTCAAAGAAAAAATAGCAATATTTCACCTGGCCTTTGAAGGAGGGGTGGGATTTCCGTAGCACAAGTGGAAGAATGGCTTTCCAAGCAAAGGAACCAGTAAACTACAACATAAAGACACTGAAATCTGGCCGGGTGTGGTGGCTCACGCCTGTAATACCAGCACTTCAGGAGGCCGAGGCGGGTGGATCACCTGAGGTCAGGAGTTTGAGACCAGCCTGGCCAATATGGTGAAACCCCGTCTCTACTAAAATACAAACATTAGCCAGGAGTGGTGCCGGGCACCTGTAGTCCCAGCTACTTGGGAGGCTGAGGCAGGAGAATCGCTTGAACCTGGGAAGCGGAGGTTGCAGTGAGTCGAGATCGCGCCACTGCACTCCAGCCTTGGTGACAGAGCAAGACTCTGTCTCAGAAAAAAAAAAAAGACACTGAAATCTGTGTTGTGTGTGTGTGGCATCCAGCATTTTGATGGTCCTGGTGTAGAGTTATGCGGGAACTAGGTTAGAAGAGATTGAGGAGAAAGTATCCTGCAGATCAAGAAAGTGACCTGATTTGATCATTACACATTATATATACATGTATCAAAATATCACACTATACTCAAAAATATGTTCAACTATTATGTGTCAATTAAAAATAATAAGGCCGGGCGTGGTGGCTCATGCCTGTAATCCCAGCACTTTGGGAGGCCGAGGCTGGTGGATCATTTGAGGTCAGGAGTTTGAGACCAGCTTGGCCAACATGGTGAGACCCCATCTTTACTAAAAATACAAAAATTAGCCCAGAGTGGTGGCATGTGCCTGTAATCCCAGCTACTTGGGAGGCCGAGGCAGGAGAACCTCTTTGAACTTGTGAGGCAGAGGTTTCAATGAGCCAAGATTGCATCACTGCACTCCAGGTTGGGCGACAGGGTGAGACATCATCTCAAAATAATAATAATAATAATATTAAAAGCAAAGACAAAGTGAGAAATGAAGTCACATGAAGGGGTTAATTCCAGTGTCAGCAAAGAGGCTGGGTTGGAAGTGGAGAGATAAGGAATGAGTATGAGGTGGCTCAGAAGCGAAGGTGAAAGACGATGCAAAGGCAATGGGAATGAGGACAAGCTGAAGATTGTCAGTATCTGGAGGAGCAAGGAGGAAAGAGAGAATGAGTCTGAAATCAGTCAGTACCCTTGTCTTGCAGGACTGTGCCGGTAAAGAACATAGAGGAAAGAGTTTTCAGAGAAGAAATGTTCAGATTAACACTGAGTTCAAGGCACAGTGCATAGTATATTGGATTGTCACTTCTTTATCTAGACTCCCAAGATTTGAATCTTGGCTCCACTGCTTACTATTTATGAGACCATGGGCAAGTCTCTTAAATTCTGTGCCTTAGTTTCCTCATCTGTAAAAATGAGAATAATGTTTTCTCTATACTTTGGAGTATTTTTTGAGTATTAAATAACATAATTGGCTATAGTTATTATTATTACTATTATTATTTTATAGAAATACTTAGCAGTCAATTATATAATTGATAGCTTTTGTTTCTCACAGACCCATAAAAGTATGATCAAATGAAAAGTAAGCAATATTAGGAAACTTAATTTGTACAAGTCTTTATATATATATTTATTACTTTTTCAGATAATAAAAAATTGCTTAATTACTTTAAACCTAATTTGTGCAACCTTTCATATATACATACTTACTTTCAATGGCAAAAACCGCATTTACTTTTACACCAACCTAATATAATTCTATAGTATCTTTATTAATATATAACATATGTATTTATCAGTATGTAAAGTATACATATTTAATTTGAGCATGTTGCTTTTTGCTGAGTAAATGATTCTGCATTCACCATTTCTAATCAGAATTATTTGGTTTGATATATCTCTGCTTTGCTCCATAGCTGACATCTTCAGAAACTCAGTTGGAATGGTTAGATAATACAGTCAAGTTGCTCAAATTAGAATATATAGCTGCTTTGTGTGTGTGTGTGTGTGTGTGTGTGTGTGTGTGTGACAGAGAGAGAGAGAGAGAGAAAACATAGGCTGAACTTTTCTCCTCATGTCTCCTCTCATGATAACATGACATCTTTATAGCTCACTTCATATTAAGGCAACAGATTTTATCTCTTAGCTGATTTTTTTTTCTTTGTGTTTTTTTAAATATATATTCCAATGAAGAATATTATGCTTTAATATATCCCAATGAAAAATATTATGCTTATGTTGCTATTTCTTGATTTGTACATTTTAGACCTTATCTACTTTTACTGACTGCTATGTTAGGATTACATGTATTACATGACATATGTAACACATTACATATTATTACATAATGTGTGCGGATTCATGAGAATTCAGTTCTTTTAACTCATCTTGCCACTTCCCAATAGAGGTAACCTCTATTTAGATAATCTATTAAGTGTAAAGTGTTAGCATTGTTAGAAATATACATTATTCATTGTAGATTATATAATATATATGTGAATGGTTTTTAAAATTTTTCATTGATACATAATATTTGTACAGATTTATAGAATTCATATAATATGTTGTTACATGCACAGACTAAGTAATGATCAAGTCAGAGTACTTTGGGTGTTCATCACCTCAAGTATTTGTCATTTCTATGAGTTAGGAACATTTCAAGTTTCTCTTTTAGCTACTTTGAAATACACAAGACGTTGTTGTTAACTATATTCAATCTACTCTGGTATTGAAAATTAGAATTTATTCCTTCCATTTAACTGTGTGTTTATTCCCATTAATCAATATCTCTTTATTCCCTCCCCCCAACACCCCCAAGCACACATACTCCCTTTCTAGCCTCAGGTGTCTATCATTCTACTCTCTACCTCCATATAGGATCCACTTTTTTTGCTCACATTTATGAGTGAGAATATGCAATATTTGTCTTTCTGTGCTTGGCTTATTCCACTTAATAGAAAGTCCTTCAGGTACATCCAGGTTGCTGTGAATGACAGAATTTCATTCTTTTATATGCTGAATAGTATTACGTTGCGTAAACAGAATGGAAATTATATAACACATTTTCTTTATACATTAATCCGTTGATGAACACTTAGGTTGATTCCATAGCTTAGCCATTGTGAATAGTGCTGTGTTTAACACGGTGGTGCAAATATCACTTTGATATACTGATTTCTTTTTCTTTGTCTAAATACCCAGTAGTAGAATTGCCGGATAGTATAGTAGTTCTATTTTGATTTTTCTGAGACATTTCCATACCGTTTTTATAGTGTCTGTACTAATTTACATTCCCACAAAGAGTGATATACTATGAATGATTTCTTTTATTTTAAACTTGTTAAATTTTTTAAATCTTTCAGTTATTTTGTAATCTGTCTAAACTTATTTTTCTTGATTTATTAATTGTGTATTCCCACTTCCCCAGAAATATCCTTCCCTCGATACTTCATCTTTCTATCTTTCTGCTCCAATCTGGACTGTTTTGTCCCAAGCACTGTTACAAAAGGATCCTCAAACTCTCCTATGATGTATATGTTGCTTCTTAAATATCATATATTTTTTCTGTTTTTGTTAGTTCTTCATTTTTCAAGAGTATTTCCCAAGGGACTACCAGGAAATTAACAGAACAAAAAGCTTAGAGTTTTTCTGAGTAGTTGCTAACTGACAATATCTCAAATTTAATTTTCCTCTTGGTTGACATCTTGATTGTGTGTATCATTCTAGGTTAAATTCATTTTATTCCAGAATTTTAAAAGCAGTGCTTCCTTATCCTTCATCATGTATTGCTGCCTTTAAGAAATCCAATATCATTCTGATTTTTTATGTTGTTATTGTTTTAATATGTGTTTCTTTCTCCCTCTTTAGAAGCTTTTTGTATCTTCTTTTTATTTTGAAGTTCCAGTATCTTCTTTTGGTATGATTGGTATGGTTTGGTGTGGGCCTTTCTCATTTGTAGTGCTGAAAAAATGCTTGGACACTTTAAAATTGGAGAAGGAAGTGCTTCAGTTCTGGATATTTCTGTGCTGGATTTTCTATAGTCAAAGTAATGTCATCTCAACCACCTTTTACGGTCTGCTCTGTTTTGCAGAAGAAAAGCCTGGAATCCATTTACCAAAATCCCCTTCCCTAGGTGGTCATCAGTTAGAAATTGTCAGTGAGCAATATTCCAAGGACAGTTGCATTCACACGTTTGGTAGTTGGTCCTCTTGAGATGAACCTCATTCAGGATTGCAAGGCACAGAAGACAGCAGTAATAATCCACCTCCCTCAGGACTTGACTTTACTGCCTGGAAAAGCTTCTGAGGATGACTTACTTTCACAGCTGAGCCTCAACAGAGACTGGTTAAAACCTTTCAGGTGCCAGATATTCTCTGGAAATTTCCAGCTTTGAGCAGTGGATAGCAAAAGTTGGTGGTGGTCAGGAGAATCCAGAAACTCAAAGTGGGTACCTGGAGAGCTCCTGAGTATCACCTCCTTCTAGACCACTTTCCTTCTGGACCACTTTCCTCCTCCCTACCTTTGTGTATTCATCCCTTTCAAGGGTTGTGCACATCTCAAATTTTCTGTATTGAAAATCTTCCCACCTGGAATACCAAGAAAGACTTCTTTCACCCTAATGAACTTAGCACAGGCACCTTCTTTTATTTCGTTGATAATGTCCTCTTTTTAACTCTCTCTGCCTACACTTTCTAGAACTTCTGCTATTCTATTAATGGAATTCTTATATTGATGTTCTTTGATTTTTATTTTGCTCTCTGAACTATTTTTTGCTTCTTTATCTCTTAGTTTTTTTTAGAGGTTTTCTTGATTTTTGTCCTTAAACATTTCACTGATTGCTTTATTTTAGCGATTTTATTTTTCATTTCTAATGGTAGTTATTTCCTGATCTCAGATTGATTTCCTTATTACTTTCCTATTATTTTATGAGTGCCAAATCCTTTTCAGGAAATTCAATTGTTACAGCTTTTATTTGAGTTTACCTCCTCTTTCCTGTATTGTTTCTTTTTATTCTCTTATCTCCCCCACCCCACCCCACAGTTTCTGTAGTAACAGAGATGTTCTACAAATCTGTGGTGACCCTTAGATTCACATTAAGAAGTAAAGTGCAAAAAAATCAAAAAAGCTCAGTGGAAGCTGCATCACTGAGGCAAGGCAAATAGATGGATTTTGATGAAAAGTTGCTGAGTTAAAGAGCTGGATATTTTTGAAAGAAAGATTCTTGGCTAACATCCAAAGAGCTTTTGTGGTGCTTCTCATCTTTGCTGAAGACTAATTTTCCATCCTCCCTTAGGAGCCAATACTTGGCTAGAAATATTCTGTGACTTGGAAGGAAGAAGCCTCCAATCTCCATTTTCCACTCCGTAACTCACTCCTTCCATCTGCCATGGCTGATGTAGATGAGAGAGAAGCAAGTATTGTTCAGTTTCTGCAAAGAATAAACTACTAATCTTACGCCTGAATATGTGACACTTCAGCCCAAACTCCTACAATGCCTGGGCCTGATATTTGCAATTAATGAGTCTTTATTTTCTTTAAAATCTCTTTTATCTATGAGCTCCCCTATCTTTGTATAACTGTCCATCTTTTTTTAATTTTTTTATTTTTATTTTTTATTTTTTAAATTTTTTTGACAGGGTCTTGCTCTGGCTCTCAGGCTGGAGTGCTGGAGTGCAGTGGTGCAGTGGTGTCAGTGGTGTGATCATAGCTCACTGCAACCTCCAACTCCTGGACTCAAGGGATCTTCTTGCTTCAGCCTCAAAAGTGGCTGGGACCACAGGCATGCACCCCTACCACACCTGGCTAATTTTTTTAAAAACGTTTTTTGTAGAGACAGTTTTGCCATGTTGCCCAGGCTGGTCTTGAACTCTTGGGCTCCAGTGATCTTCCTGCCTTGGCCTCCCAAAATGCTGGGATTAGAGGCCTGAGCCACCACACCCAGCCCCATCTTCTTTTTATCTTCTGAAATACATCTAATGTCTTTTATTTACGTCTCCTATTATATCTGAACTTGTAATTTTACACCTTTTAAATTCTATTTTGCTGTTTCATGAAGGTTTGGGGAGGCAAAGGATAAATATACATAGTTAATCTTCCATGTTCAGTCGGAAGCCCCAGAGCCCATAATTTTATTCACTGTAATACACTGTTTTGCAGTGTTATTTATTCTCAAGAGCAGTGGAAAAAGAATAGAACAAGGGCTGAATAGAACAAAGGTTAATCTTAACAAGTAAATTTTTCTTCCTGTCCATAATTATTTCCACTTCAGGCCAACTCCGTCTCTTCTGGGTAAGCGTGCAATCTTAGAGAATTTTTCTCTTTATTCTTATTTCATAAGACAACTGGATATAAGGTAACTAAGGGCAAGACCTATGCAGTTAGTGTCCATTTTGTTGTGTTATGACAACAAAATGCCTAGTTTACAATTTGCTAATATCAGTTGTGCATCCAAATACTGCTGAAGTCAAAGCTGATGACATTGGGATTGTCCTCTGTTCCCTTTCTGCATCACCACCACTGGGATCATGGAGGCCCTACCCCACCCACATCACCTCACATTTCTAGGTGGCTGTCAATGCCACATCTTGGTATTTGTGGGCCATGGGCGGCAGTTTCCACCTACAGTTCCAAACAGAAAGTTAAAAGAGCGGCCGGGCACGGTGGCTCAAGCCTGTAATCCCAGCACTTTGGGAGGCCAAGGCGGGCAGATCACCCGAGGTCGGGGGTTCAAGACCAGTCTGACCAACATGGGGAGACCCCATCTCTACTAAAAATATAAAATTAGCCTGGCGTGGCAGCGCGTGCCTATAATCCCAGCTACTTGGGAGGCTGAGGCAGGAGAATCACTTGAACTCGGGAGGCAGAGGGTTGTGGTGAGCCAAGATTGCACCATTGCACTCCGGCCTGGGCAACAAGAGTGAAACTCTGTCTCAAAAAAAAAAAAAAAAAAAAAAAAAAAAAGCAAGTTAGAGGAGCTCATTCTTTTCCTTCATACCTGATAGTGGAATCAGGAGCCTGACATCTCACCTCCTTATAATACTATTCTTTGATATATTGATCAGTAGTGGACAAATGTCTATTTCTCCTTTTAAATGTTTTCGGATAGATGTGTCTCATACATCATATGTTGCATTCCATCAAACTGTAACAGTAACTTGTAAGAATAAAATAAAATAATATAAAATAACAAAATAAATTATTATTACATTCTCCTCATGAAGTCAGCTGTTCTTCTGCATTCTACTAAATGCTACATGAGAATCAGGACAAGCTGTGAGCGTATATTGCCTCCCCTAACAACTCAATAATTCATGGATGCTTGCTTTCCTATTCCACTTAATGTTAAAGTGTTGCTAGTCTCCCTGCCCATGAGAACTTGCCATTCTTTTTTTTTCTTTTTTCTTTTCTTTTCTTTTATTTTATTATTATTATACTTTAAATTTTAGGGTACTTGTGCACAACGTGCAGGTTAGTTACATATGTATACATGTGCCATGCTGGTGTGCTGCACCCATTAACTCGTCATTTAGCATTAGGTATATCTCCTTATGCTATCCCTCCCCCCTCCCCCCACCCCACAACAGTCCCCAGAGTGTGATGTTCCCCTTCCTGTGTCCATGTGTTCTCATTGTTCAATTCCCACCTATGAGTGAGAACATGGTGTTTGGTTTTTTGTCCTTGCGATAGTTTACTGAGAATGATGATTTCCAATTTCATCCATGTCCCTACAAAGGACATGCACTCATCATTTTTTATGGCCACATAGTATTCCATGGTGTATATGTGCCACATTTTCTTAATCCAGTCTATCATTGTTGGACATTTGGGTTGGTTCCAAGTCTTTGCTATTGTGAATAGTGCCACAGTAACTTGCCATTCTTTTTGTTTGTTTGTTTGCTTTGTTTTGTTTAGTTGGGGGTGGGGGCAGGTTGAAGTCATGAAAGAGGTGAAGCAAAAACATTCTGCAATTTATATTTCATTTTAATTATATATAATTTTGTTTGTTTGTTTTGTTTGTTTGTTTGTTTTTGTTTTTAGACGGAGTCTCACTCTGTCACCCTGGCTGGAGTGCAGTGGTGCGATCTCGGCTCACTGCAACCTCCGCCTTCTGGGTTCACGCCATTCTCCTGCCTCAGCCTCCCAAGTAGCTGGGATTATAGGCACCCAACACCACGCCCGGCTAATTTTTTTTTTTTTTTGTATTTTTAGTAGCGACAGTGTTTCACCATGTTAGCCCAGGATGGTCTCAATCTCCTGACCTCGTGATCTGCCCGCCTCGGCCTCCCAAAGTGCTAGGATTACAGGCATGAGCCACTGTGCCCGGCCCGGTTGTTTTGTTCGAACTTAGAAACCAATTATTTGGCTTTTGACTGGTCTGGTTAATTTTGAGAGTTCTCTGAAAGGTACATCTCTAAAAATCTGAAAGAAGAGCCTGGAGTGAGAAGAGCATACTCCATCAGTATCCCCAAATTATTACCCTAAAATGTGCCTATTCATTTTCTATAATCAATCCCATATAATGCATCAATAAAATTCAATTTAATCCTATTTTGTTTTAAAATTCAGTCTTTTTCCATGTTGCTAATGTACTACAGCTGAGTCACTTGGAAGGCGGATATAAGGAGGTAAGAAGTTCTTGTCCCTTAACTTCCTCAACTTGCTTGATGTAAAAAATTAAATAGAAATGGTTCCTCAGCTTGAAAATTCTTCATAAACCACTGTTTTCTGCATCCAAAAACACATGTAATAGAGTATACAATGATTATAATGTATGATTTTAATACTGTTGGCATTTAAAATGTATGAGCACAATGTCACATTTTCATTCATTCTCTTTTTTTCTCATTTTCTGTCTTTGTGCAATTTTGATTACAGTAAATTACATTCTTTATGAATTTCCCCTTGACTTTCTAGTGGGAAGAATGCCAATACTACAGTTTAAATAAGTGAAAAAGTTCTCTCAAAGTGAGAAAATCAGAGATACATACTGTGTCTGGTGGCAGAATTAGAATCTTTTAAGTGTAGAAGCTGAATTGCTTCTTTCCTAATTGCAGTGTTAAAGTATGTGCAATTATTAAGTTACACCTGAGTAGATATGAATATTTTACTTACATCAAATACCACCTGCAGTGTGCTTGAAGAGTTATTACTGAAACATTATGCAAAAAAAGCACCTAAATTATTTATTGAACTCTTGAAGTGTTTAGTGTCTCTGACTGTAACAAGGCACTATCATTTATTCACAGCTGTCAATTTTGGATTAATTCAAGGGTTAATTATCCATTTTATGATTTTTCCATTCCTCCTCCCTCCTCTCTCTTTCTGTCTGCCCGTTTGCCATCTTCCTATTTGATGGCACGTGAGCCATGGCATAGAAAGCAGAACTAATGTTAGATGAAATGCAACATGTCTCTATTAAATCCAAAATGCCTCTTTGAAAAAGGTTTACCAGTGCTATAATTATTTTTTTAATTTGGATCTGTATTAGCCTGAAGTCATTAGTTCTATTTCATATCCAAGTACATATCAGCTAAAAGTACCCTATAAGAAGATCTGTTATTCTAATAATGACAATAAATAAGTTGAATTTGGTTTCAAGAATAGAGATGCATCTTGATATACTGTAGCACTATAAAGTAAAGCAAGCTATTCAGAACCATTTAAAATTATACATTGCAATTAAATCATAAGACAATGATTACAGTAAACCTTATCCCTTAGTCATGTGTTGGGCTTTCAAAAAATTATTTTAGAAAATATTTTTAAAGTCCGTATGTGTAGGAGAAAATATAGTTTTGTAGCATGGGACAAATAAAATACAGATGTTCTTTCTACAACAGAAAGAACATGAACACAGAATTGCTACAATAATCATATACATCATTTGGTGGCATCTTAGTATCCATATGGCAATGGACTGAACCCTGGAGAAAAAAATGACAAACTTGTAGTCCATAAAAATTTCTGTTTCACCAGTTATTTGTCTTACATTAAAAAAAAGCAGTAACTAAATTGTTGTTTTGCTTTTTCATATCACAGGCTGTGGGTGCTGTGTTAATTGGTATTTCAAACATGGATTAAACTAGCATTAGAAGAAATACGTAACGTAGGTGACGGGTTGATGGGTACAGCACACTACCATGGCACATGTATACCTATGTAACAAAACTGCACGTTCTGCACATGTATCCCAGAACTTAAAGTATAATATAAAAATGTAGACAAAAAAAAAACTCCTACTCCATCCAGACATTTGAGTTTGGTACCTCAGCTTCAACCACTTCTAAATCAGAATGCCAGAAGATAATGTGCATTCCTGTTTTTAGCTCTTATATTTTGAAAGAAGAAGGTGATTTTCTTCTCAGCAATTATATTTCTCATGATTTAAGTATGTCCCAGTACTAGAAAATGGTGTTCTCCTTAATATTTATCTATTCATTAAATTATACACCCAGCAAGGAGTTATTTTGCATCAGCTATGCATCAGTATCATATTATTGAAAATTAGCTAATATAAGTTCAATACATGTCTCTGGATTTTATTTTATTTGTTAATGTGAGGAAATATCCCTCTTCAAAATCATTTCAATTAGAGAAAGGCCAATGGCAGTGAGATGATCTTGCCTCTACCCTCACCCTAAACTGATATTTACTGAGGGTTAAAACAAGCTCTTATACTTACCTTTTCTGTATTTCATACTCTTCTACTGTAAGATGAAAAAGTCATAATTACTGCCTGCCTAACTTAAAGAGTGTTATAGAAGTTCATGAGATGAAAGCCTTAAAACATTTTGATCTCTCTAGATCAAAGGTGCTTTGTAAATATGAAGTAGTTTTATTTTTATAAATTAAGTTGAATAAGATGTGCATTATATCTAAGGCAATTGTAGCTCATCACTTGCTATTTCTTATAAATACAAAATAATCTCATTAGCACAGTGGCCCCTTCTACTTGAAATTGCTTTGCAAGATATGAAAAGACGAGAACATCCTACAGCGGACATAGAATTAATCTCCTAGAGTTTATGAGGGGAAACAGCACTCAGTTTCCTGCTACTCATACTGTATTTGTGAGATTAACATTCCTTTGCAGTTAAATACTCTGGCCCTACAGCAAACAAAAGAAAGAAAGAAAGAAAGGAAGAAAGGAAAGAAAGAAAGGAAGAAAGGAAGAAAGAAAAAGAAAGAAAGGAAGAAAGGAAGAAAGAGAAAGAAAGAAAGAAAGAAGGAAAGAAAGAAAGAAAGAAAGAAAGAAAGAAAGAAAGAAAAAGAAAAAGAAAGAAAGAAAGGAAGAAAATATTCTACGAATTGAAAGGAAGAAATATTTTATTTGCTTACAAAGTATATCTTTCTACAAACACAAGATAAAAGCAAGGAACTAACAAATTATTTTAAAACCAATTTAATTATAGTTACCCACAATAAACTAATTAAAGAAAAAAAAGTAGAAACATTAGGAAGGTCATTGTTATTTACTATGTGGAAACCACGGCTATGGTGGTGATTATTCCTTGTTTTAGTCGCAAAGTACCTGAATCTTTTTTGGCATTTTGGGCTCCCCCCATCATGTAAGTCCTGCTGGATAGCAAGGTATACCCACTACTGGAGAAGTTGAAGCAACAGAACTTACTTTCCAGTGTCCCTTGTAGCAAAGACACAAGCACATGACCCACGCTGTGTCACTGAACTACATGGACCCCAGAATTAAAGTGGGAATCTGATCAAGCACACACACTGTGACTGAAGGTACTCTGTCTGAAGAGTAGTTTCTTGGGCATCAGCTACAGCACTGGTGTCCTGTAGCGTAGAACTGACCATGCCAGTTACAATATTTAACATCCTGTTACCAGTGGCAAACCATGTCTGCACATGACTAATCATGGTGCAAATTTGGATGTATTGTTCTTCTTTGTGTAGTCCCAAGCTTAAATTTCTAGTTGTTCTAGCAGTTATGTGAATGAACTAAATTCATTTTTTAGAAACCTTTCTTCTATAATCAAAGTGAGATAATTTCTTTTTTTTTTCCATGTTTGGTGGTTGTGGTTTATTTATTACCTCTTAGGAATTGGTACACAGGATTTCCCCTTTATTTCTGCTGTCCATGGCCAATTTGAAGTAAGGAGAAAATAATGATACCACTGTTTTCACAGATATTGGTTTTAGAATTTATTAAAAATAAAAAGAAAAGAGTAATTTCTACAATTAGTAAATTGCCATCAAACTGAAATGCCTTAAAATAACATTTTCTCTTCTTCCCCTGCCAAAAACGGCAAAAAAAAAAAAAAAAAGTAATTGCTCAACTTCCACAGGAATTTGTTTTTAAAAATCTCTTTTTTTCTTCATCAGAATTGACAAGGAGGATATAGTAAACTGAGAGAAACATAAAATAATCACAATAATTCTCATCAACACAAAGACAGCATAGAATCTTAACTAAGACCTCTCCTTGAGGAATCCCACTACAAAGGAAAAGGAATTCACCCACAATTACCCACTTCTCATGCACACTAAAGGTATGTGACATATATTAGCCAGCTCTGCATTCAGTCATACTACCAAATTTCACCACTCATACTTTTCAGTCAGAAGAATGATCTTTCAAAAAGACTGTTGAGTTCTATGTTGTGTATGAGAATCTTCTCTTGTCCGTTCTTCCGTCCCTCCCTCCCTTCCTTCCTCCCTCCCTTCCTCCCTTCCTTCCATAAGCACCTATTGATCACCTTTTATGTACCAGGCACCATGCTAAGTAAAGGTGAATAACATACATCTGTTAACTATAAGATGAATATTTAAACCATTCAGGCGGCAGATCTTGATACTTTTGGATGGGCAGAGATGCACCTTGAGAAGAGGAGATTGTCTTCTACATATGGGAAGGAGGGGTAAGGAAGGAGCAGGAAGGGGTTGCTGGTAAGAATGATTGCACTTGGAAGACAAGTTTGTCTTCAGACAAGTTTGAAAGGCATAGTTACAATCCACTGCTAATATTCTTACCGTTTTACTTCCAGAGAGAGATAATTTCATGTAGCTTACAAATTAGGTTCCTAGCTGACGCAAAGCTAAACTAGTAACTATTTGGTAATATTAACCACAATAAAATCCATTCAATATAAAATATTAAGAAAAAATATCATTTAAATACCCAAAAAGGGGAAAGGTTAGCAAGTTATAACTTATACTAAAAAAAAAAGAAACCAGGATATCTTTATCAACTCTTAATAAATTAAATGGTTTCATTCAAGTTAACGATATTTGGGATATTGTATTTTATAGTGAAATACATGTAGACCTCAGAGGCAGTCAAATCTGAATTGATAGCTGTCTTTCTGCTTTGGGTAAATTATTTCAACTCTCTGACTCTTGGTTTCCTCCCTTGGGTGTAGCATCAGAAAGATACTATTTATGTTATAAGATTGATTGTTAGGTTAGAGGTGATATATTTCAAATGATTATCACAGTGTCATGGGCAGAATACGTGGCTCACAAAATTATGTATTACTTGATATAAATGAATTAATTTCTCCAGCCTTTTGTCTTCTAAGGTTTTAGCTTTGTGTGACACTGAGCCAGTCAGCCCCTGTGTGGCACTACCTGACAATTACAGTTTGTTTCCTTCCTGATGGTTTTGAGTCTCTAATCCATTGATGGTTAAATATTTTTTATATCCCTCTTGGTCATACAAGAAGAAGACGATATTGAGAAGAAATCTGTTAGCTTCTCTAAATTGTATTATGAAACAAA
This sequence comes from Homo sapiens, assembly GCF_000001405.40. NCBI lineage: Eukaryota > Metazoa > Chordata > Mammalia > Primates > Hominidae > Homo > Homo sapiens. The sequence continues at coordinate 162,373,989 of NC_000004.12, read as the reverse complement.
AATTAAAAATTTTTTCTAAAATGTGAGTCTTTATTAATGTTTGTGTTCTGTATCTTTCCTGACCAACTATAACAGACTCTGTAGGCTGGCTACCCTAACTTAATTTTCCAACATTTTTCTCCTTGACTGCTTAAGCTCAAGCTGAAGAGTTATAAGATAGAGACGTAATTTGTTTCCAAACTTTTAGCAGGCCTCTTCACATTGGTTTCAGATACTTTTTGATACAGTTGTGATTTTTGATAGTTTTCTTGCTGTGTGGTCTGACAAGAGGCTCAGACCTGAAACTTCTGCCCCAGATACTTCTACATCTCTTTCTGTACACCAAAGAGTCTCATTTTCAAGGACACATGGATATTAGAATTAAAATTTCACATAATTAATTATTCACCGGCTTGAACCTACTTTTTAAGTACACTATTCTCATTCAACATTATATTTACTACTACTATTATGATTACAAAAAGAAATGAAGCATTTTTTCATACACACTTCCCATTTCACCCTGTTTTAAGTAGTTGTATTATCTACTTATCAGAGCCTTATCTTTACATGACAGTTCTTCTCTTTTATAGCCCTCGTTTAGTTTTGGTACTAAGTGCAAATTTATACTGACTGCTCACAATAAGTTGTTTTTTTTTTTTGTCAGTGTCCAACAGGGTGAATTGTTTCTCTAATCTCTACTAGACATTGCTCCCAAATGGTCTGAAGCTTACATGCTTTGAAAGTCAGTTTGGCCTAATAAAATGCTTGGTTCACATTTTCATTTCTGATAGCTGATTTCTTATAGATTCATTTCTTATAGATAATTTCGTATAGCTTACGATTTAGGTTCTTAGCTGACACAAAGTTAAAGTAGTAGCTATTTGGTAATATTAACCACATTAAAATCCATTTAATATAAAATATTTATTCCAGCATAATGCATTATTCTTGAAATATTTAATCTTGTATTATTCGTTGCTGTTTGTTTGTTTTTCCTCTCATAAGTGATTTGATTTTTTACTGAATATTTAAGTAACGTTTCTCTCTTCTCTCTCTCCCCCTCCCCTTTAAAATCTAATAATTATACTTGAATTTATCTTGGTGTTAATTTTTCTGAGTCAATAATCTCAGAAGATATTTCAAAATGAATTTTCAAATCCTTTTAGAACCTGTTTTTACTGACTTCATTTTGCTTTGTTCTTTAGAGACTCTAATTATAAATGTGTTTTATCATTTTTGCTGAACTTCTAAACTTGGCATGTATTCTATGGATATAGATTTTTATCCTTATTTATTTTATGCTATTGATTTTAATTTTAATCATACTGATCACATTAATATTTAATCATATTGATATTAATATCCTATTCCTTTGTCCAGTCAATCTTTGTCCTCATTTCTTTTTCCTTTTTACCTTCTACTTCTCTTAAGACACATGTATGCCTATTAATATTTATTTTTCTTTTAGTTTGGTCTTCATTTCTGAAATAATGTTTTCTTTTTATTTATATCACTTCAGAGTTTCTAATTCTGATTTTTAAACAATTTTGTTTTGTCAAATCTTCTATTGTTTAAAAATATACATTGCTTCATGTTGCAATAATGCTAATCTGTTTTGTGACATTATCATCCTGGAAAGTTTTTCTTATCTATAGCAATGTTGTTCTGTGCTTCATTGTATTAAATTCCCTAGTGAAGTTCTTTTCTCCAAAAGCACACATTCAAGTTGACACCATTCATGCAGGAGATCCCTAGTTCATTGCTAGGGTGCTTCTTTAATATCATCTATAAATAGGTTTTATATCTTGGTGCAAATTATTCTAAGCTGTCCTGCATATACGCCCACCTCTCCCATCCCCCCAAAAGAAGAAAAAATAAATAATCAAATCCATACAAGCAGAATCCATTTAACATTTTATAAGGGGGAGGATTGGAGAGAGCATTTGCCTTATACATCCTTCAGGAAATTGCTTTAAATTATGTATGAGATATATCTGATACTCCAGGTAGTTTTATGTGACATAAGAAGTAAAGGGAACAGAAACAGTGGTGAGTATTTTCTCCATGGAGTTCTCTATCTCTCCATATCTTTTATCTATTAAAGATGGTCTGTTCATCATCTGTTTAAAGAAGAAAAATGCTTTCGCTGAAGGCAGTTCCAGCTAATACACTGTTTTTTATTGTTATTATTTCTGATCTCATCACTATTTTAAACTAAATTAAAAACACAGTGCCTACCTGAATTCCATTGCTTTGCTAATATTTCATACATAACACAGAAAATGTAAAATGGCAGGATACTCCTTAATACAAACAAAGAGGAGAAGAATGATTAAATATAAATTAGAATTGTATTCCCTACAGTAATATTTTACATCTTTCTGTGAAAAGCACGTCTATGACTGACTTGTCAGTTTAATTACAATGTGAAAAAAGACTTTTATTTAGTTCAATATTCTTTCATCAAAAATACAGTATTTGTTTTCTCTCTTTTTTCAGTCTGAGTTGTATTACATCATGAAAACGTCTTACTGATGTTTGCATATTGAGTTTGTTTACATACAAATACATACAGATGTCCTTGTACACATATATTCCATATTTGCCTATAGAACAACATACACAAGCACAAGTATTCCTCTATCACCACAAGGGAAGGAATGCTTTTTTGGTTTTCTCACTAATTATATCGAGCTCCAAGAACAGCATCTGGAACATATATAAATAAATAGCTCCAGAAATAGTTACTGAATAGTTATTTCTGACATATCACTTCTCTCCACCAACCTCTTCTTTAGAGAAAAAATTGGATATAGCATTTGATGTTGCAATATATTGTGATTAATACGTGATTTGGATGTATGGAAGAATAATGATATACAGAAGAACATCGTATAGTATCTATGGAAAAGTGAAATGTATGTCACATAAGTTTTGCATAAATATTTTTTAATATATTCAGCTTTGTCGCAAGCTAAAATACCCACTTTCTTGAGGATTTATATTGAGTACTGAAATGGGGAGGCGTGAGGCTTTTTCATATTGTTAGAGAATGAGCTTTGTAAGCAATATTGCCATGTTTTTGATAAAGTCCATGACCGTAATCACATATTTCCTTGGACTGAAAAATTGGCTATAAAAACAAAAGAGCAGTTTACACCAAATAATAACTATTCCCCAATAAATATATTTCTGCTTTATTGTCCAGGGTATGATCTTGCCTATTTTTGTGGCTCAAAATCCAACCCTCATTCCATGATAGGACTGGTATTTATGTTGTGCAAGGATATTCTGGGTGCAATAAGATGCCAAAACATTGAGCCTGAAAAGAACCCAAAATTTTTCTATCGTTGCATGATAGTTTAAATTATAACTCATACAACTTCTGAGTCTCCTTTTGCTTTGACCATATCATTGAAGACTTTACTGGCTTAGGTTTGCAAAAATCTCTTCCTGATATAGGTCTTTCACCCAGAAACCAAATCAGGTCAGATGCTGGAGGGTTTATAAACAAAAACATTCTTATCTAAAACATAACTACTTTTACTTCAGCTCTCGAATGGAACCTTATTTCTCTGTTCATTTCAAAATAATTATCAACTTATCAGTCATATCAAACTGACTCTACTTGTCATTTTGCCAGTTATTTCCACATCTAGCAATTTTATCAGAATCTGCCAATTTTAGCTGTCCAGAAATTTGTAATTTTCTGTTTTCGGTATCAGTCAAAGGTCGTTTGGGGTGTTTTCCACAAAGAAATTGTCATATCAGTATCTTAAGCACAGAAGAATGAGAATTCTTGTTCTAAGACAAAAGTTACTGGAGGAGTTGGCACCCCAGGCGCTTGCTTCACAATAGCTGAAGCTCCGTGGCATTTGTTTTCATAATGCTTTATCCCCTTACCCTATTACTGATGGACATAATGTCAGTTTTCGCTGGCTCTTGGTGAAATGGTTGGCAATTTTTGAATGTACTGGGAACTTAATGCCCTTCTATGGGTAGGTATAAATGAGAAAAACTGTTGAACAATTATTTTTATAGAGAAGAGGACCTCACTCTTCCTACAGTCTGCCTGTGATTAAGGAAAGTAGATGTTGAAAAAATGTATTTTGAATTATTTTTATAAATTACTAATAAGATGATCCTCTGACTCTCTTTCAGCTCAGAATTCCAAGTTCATGAAGTTAGCTATAGGGGTAATTTGTTTATAAATTACCATTTTCATGATCCTCCTGTTGTTTATCTTCAATAATATTTCCTAATTTTTAGATAGATTATTGAATATGCATTTTTTTTGCATTTACTTTTCTAATCCTTCACTATAGATACAAGAACAGATGTCCCTTTTTTTTCTGAAGTTACAGATGAAAAAACAACATCTTTGTTTATGATGCAATATACTGACAGGACTATTGTTGCTTCCCCTGTATCTCATATTAGAAGAAATGTTGACTCAAATTTATAAGGTTATCCATTCCTCTCAGGATGCAACAAATCCTGAGCTCAAGGAGACATGTTCAATACTCTTCATTTACTCACTTCCACATCACTGTACCTCTGATGTGCAAAAAAATTAAAAAATATATATATTTCTAAAAGTGTGATTTGAGTAACTGAATTTTACAGTAATTCGCCACAGCAACTACCACAACTCTTATACTGAGGGGAGCCTGTCATTCTGAGCCTGATGGCAACAAGGAAATATGTTCCAATGTCCACTGTAGTAGACGGTATGCTGTTAATAAAACCTACTTCCCTTCTCTAAGGAAGGTTTTTATTTCCCTTCCCCTGCTGGAACCAGGCTTGGTCATATTACTGTCTTTGGCGGATGAAATGTAACAATCAATTCCTGGAAGAAATTGGGCATTCTCTTCTTCTCTATGCTCTTACAGACTGCAGCTCTCTAGAAAGAGACATGATATTGGCGTGGGCCCTCAAGAGAGGATAACTGTGAGGATTTGGTTCCTCTTATGCTCACAGTACTAAAGATGAGCATGCAGTATAAGTGAGAAATGAGCTTTTATTGTTATTGGCCACTAAGATGTTTGCCTGTCTGTTTGATTTTTACAAACATAATTTACAGCTAACTTGTGTCAGGGGAAATACTTTCTGCCTCACGGTTCCCAATTTACCAACCAAGGTATTCCCATGTTCTCTAGAGCTCTCTCATCACTTTGTTGTTGGTTTTTAATAGGCCATTTTAAGGACTTAATCTACCATCACTTTGTCTACATCTTAGTATGTAGAAAATTATTACTTTCTATTGTGTAATTCCTTTTGTTTGCCTGTTTTCTCCACTCCCAACATATAACATATATCCTATAATTTATTCTGATTGTTGACAATTGTGACAGCAGATAAGGTATCCTTACTTTCTGCTGATTCTCAGCCACAATTGTATCATTATATAATGAGAGGACTATGTTGGAAATCATATAGCTCTCTAGAGTTTGAGACCAATTAACACCACAACCAGTTTTCCAGTGTGTGTATGGGGTGATTCAAAAACAGCAATTGGAATCTCTTCACTAGGCAGAAGATTGTCTAATCAGGGTTCTTGCTTCCTTTTGTGGAGATCTTGTAATCAATCATAGATACATTATTTCAATTTAGTAATGAAATAATTTTGTATGTGCTCCAAGGATGGGATAGAGACCATAAAATGCTCAATTTATAATTGATTATATTGGGAAAAACTAACTAAATTGAACCTGATGTTCAATTTTTGAACTTACAAAAGTCCAGTAGAAGTTGCAGTCATTGTTTAAAATTTAAAATATTCAAGGCCATTAAAATTTTGATGGAGGGGGGCTTCTATTTTAATTTCCAAGCAATATATTGAGAAATTTTAGACAATTCCAATGTCATATGTCTTTCAGTATATGCTTTTACTTCAGTTTGCTCAGAAACTATAGTTGAGGACACCTCTGCACTGAAATCTGTGGTTGTGCTACAGCAACTGGTTATGAAGGGCATCAAGAAGGCTCTCAGGTAAGGCTATATGTTCTATGGCCAGATGAAAAACAACCATATTGGACACTTGTCTTCCTTCTAAAAGTTCATGTATGTTGAGGAAGGGGACAAAGTATAATATGAACAATTTTTAAAATAATTTTAAGTCTTCCATTGGGCCACTTATACAACTATAGAGGCCAGGTCTGCTGCAGAAATGGGCCTACTAGAGTTAGTGGGAGGATGCCATTCTGAAAGATCGGCAAAATTGGGTTTACTCACCTGCAACGATCTAGAAAAATGGTTAATAAACCATGGTGTTCCTAGGATACAGTGGGAACCCACAGTAGGCAACTCATGAAGACGTCACTTGATTTATAAAACCAAAAAGTCGGAGTTAGTGAGCAAAATATTGAGGTCAGCTGCTGTAATGCTAATTCATATTGTCTCAGACAGTTTCCAGAACTAATTGATTCTCAGACCGAGAGCTCAATGATTGAAAAGGACTTCAGGTCCCTTGATAAAGAACCCTTCAATGCCACAACAAGTGTTTAAAATAAATATTAGCCCAGTTTTCCCTCAAAAAGAAACTAAAATGGTTAGGTTAAAGATTGATCCTTATGAGTAGCTAATGTAAAGGGAGAATCTTAGATCTAAATAAAGAACAAATTAGCTAGATAGGTTGGTTTGAACAAAAAATAATTCTGATACATTCCAATCTGCATTACAGGTGGTCCTGAAAAATAGTAGTAAATAGAAATATTTTCATCAGCTAATTTGGAGCCATATCCTGGAGCATTCACTTTGAGTGGAGGAAAAAGTTGTTAATGCAATGGTGTATAGGGCCTTCGGGGCAGCCACAAATGGCTTGGAAAGATAATTACAGTCTTGGAAGGTGCAAGGGTAGAAGAAAAAACTCAAGAAATTCTGAAAGATGTATTTATGGATGGATCTCTGCTAGTGGGTTCAAAGGAAGCAGGTCTTTGTGTCCCATATTAACTCAGCTATTGAATGTCTGACTTGTCATCAGCAGGAACCAGTGTTGAAGCCACATTAGAGACACATTCGCCCTATTATATACCATGTTACTCAGAAGTTACAGACCTTAGAGAATACTGGAGTGGCCTCTTAGACATGTAAATATGACAACAACACTGGGATAACACCCTATAGGAGGTTGTTGTATACTCCCAGATGACATACATACATTGAACTAATAGCCATTACAAGATGCTATGTTCCAAAAATGTAAAATATGAGTCCATGAGATTTCTCAAAGAACTAAAAATGGAGCTATCATTTGATCCAGCAGTCCCATTATTGAGTATATACCCAAAGGAAAATAACTAATTCTACCAAAAAGACACATGCACTCACATGTCTATCGCAGAACTAGTCACAACAGCAAAGACAAGGACTCAACCCAGGTGCCCATCAGCCATGGATTGGATAAAGAAAATGTAATTATACACCATGGAATACCATGCAGCCATAGGAAAGAATGAGATCATGTCCTTTGCAGCAATGTGGATGCAGCTGGAGACCATTATTCTAAGTGAATTAATGCAGGAAAAGAAAAACAAGTATTGCATGTTCTCACTTGTAAGTAGGAGCTGAAAATTGAGTATGCATGAATATAAAATGGGAACAATAGATGCAGGGGATTGCAAAAGGAGAAGGAGGGTATTATGCTTACTATTGGGCAACAGGGTTATTAGAAGCCCAAACCTCAGCATCCTGTTATATTCTTGTGTAACAAACCTGCATGTATACCTCCTGAATCTAAAATTAGAAAAAAAGAAAGCAATTTTAAAAATAAGAGAATATGAGTCCATGAACCAAAGGGTGGAAGTAAAATTGGCTTAGCTTGTTATTATTCTCAAAGATACTTTGGAGAAATTTGTTGTTTCCAGCCACAACGTTTAGTTCAATTGGACCAATATCTTGGTTCTGAGTGTGAAATTATTCCACCAGTTGACACAGTAGAATTTTCAAAGATCCTAGTAGCAAGTAGCTGTTCATTTGGGGTTTCTCCAGAAACCCCACTTAACGTGGGAAAACAGTAAAACTGAGTCGGGCAAGTGGTATAGTTTGGATATTTGATGCCACTCAGATCTCATGATGAACTGTAGTCCCCAGTGCTGGGCGTGGGGCCTGGTAGGAGGTGTTTGGATCATGGTGGCAGATGCCTCATGGCTTGGCACTGTCTTTGTGATAGTGAGTTCTTGTGAGATCTGTTCATTGTAAAGTGTGTGGCATCTCTCCCTACACTCATCTTGCTCCTGCTTTCGCGATGAGATGTCCCTGTTCTTACTTCATCTTCTGCTATCATTTAAGCTTCCTGAGGCCTCCCCAGGAACAGATGATGCTATGCTTCCTGTGCAGCCTGCAGAACGCTGAGGCAATTAAGCATCTTTTCTTTATAAATTACCCAGCCTTGGCTATTTCTTTATAGCAGTGCAAGAAGGGCCTAACACAGCAAGGCATTGTCACAACTTAGGCCTGTTACCTGGACTATATTTTCTGTCTGTTCTGGATTCAACTGAAGCTTCAGAGAGTTCCTGTGAATGGTGCTTGCTTTCCACCTCAAAATTCTGTGCCTTCTTGCTTGAGGACTTGTGAGACTGCTGGAGGTTGCTTAGAAGCTTAACAATCATAGGCAGAAATATCAAATGCTTGAAAATAAGATAAAGAATGAAATAGAGTGAACCCTTCATTCTCTTTTACATGACAGTACTATTTTAAAACCCAAACATATTTTGTCAAATATTATAGATTTAAATTCCAAGAGTATCAGTTGTGAATTTCAAAATAAATGTATTAGACTTAGTTATGAGATTTCCTAATGTTATATTTTTAAAAACACCACACACATTTTAATCCACACAAATTATTTTTAAATTTATTGAGTACTAATTCTATTTATTTGATTCACTTCTCCACCTCTATATTTAATTACAAACATTTCTCAAGATAATTAAATTCATTTTCTAAAGTAAATAAGCAGCAAACTATCTCAGTTTGAGATATTGAAGTTTCTATTTTAATACTTCGAAGCATAATGGAGTTGAGAAACATAAAGATGATCCACCAGGATATAGAATCTGGGTGCTACATGCCTCCAGATTAATTATATCTGAGTCACAGTTGGGGACACTAAGCATACTTGACAATGGCTAGTTTACCAGTGTCTTTCTACATTCTTGACCTTAGTTTGCCCTGTATTGTAGGGCATTTCCTGGTATTTCAACTGTCTTCCTTCACTGTCCCAGACTTTGGCTGTATATTCTGCACCCTATGGTTTGTGAATAATTGGCTAACACTCTGGTTCTCATTTTCAGAAAAGTCTTTGCTTTTCTCTTCAGCAAATGGTGTCATATGGATCAGGTCTGTGTCACATGTAAGTCATAAAAAATTCAAGAGGGTTTTCTCACATATATAAATTTGTCTATGCAATTGTCACAGCCTGTTCATGGAGGTTTTAGATTTGATGCTGAGTTGGTACAGCTTTCTTTCTCAATACCTTTATTTGATCCATTGCAAGACTTAATCATAAATCTTTTAAAACCTCTAGAATTCACCCACCTCAATCCCTCACACCATCATCCTAATCCAAGCTACCATTATCTCCTCAATACCTTGCCTTTCTGCCCCCATTCTTATCTGCATCCACTCATTAGCAGCCGGATGCCATTTTTGAAATGTAAATGCAATTATGTCAGTCTTCCTCCCCTCCTACCACATTCATTCACACTCAAATCATTCCATGGGCTCTGCACAGTGCTTAGTCTTTCGTGCTTTCAGCACCTGGTGCTCTCTATAATTTTTTACTCTGATAGCTCTTCTATTTACAATGATTTCCCTCACTCTCCACCTGTAATTACCTTCTATTTATTGTACAGGTCTCAGTCAATTGTCAAACATACAAGCAAGCCTTCTCTGCAGTGCCCACTTATGCTACCGTAGCTCTGTGGCTTTATTAATTTTATTTTATTTTATTTTTGTATTATGGTTTACCTCTCAGTTCTGTGTGCTTAAAGGCTAGGTTCGACATTGTATTCTCAGCACTTTCCACATTTATTCAACAAAATATTCCATACTAATTCAAGAAAAGTTTATTCAATACACTTTTGTTGAATAAATACATTGCCTACTAACTACTAAGTTCCATCTTGGAATGGCAGATATAAATATATACTCTCACTTCTACACTTCACTTAAACTTAGAAAGCAAGATTGAGAATTTTTCTCCCTTTGTTTCCTCCACACTTATCAGGAAGTAGTAAGGTAGGTTTTCAGAGTATTGTAACCACAGGTATCTGAAACTTGAAACAGGGATCAAGTGATTCTGGATTTTAGAGGATGTGAGAGGCTGGAATAAGGATATTAAATCTAAAGAATAAAGGAATGTGATATCTCATTAGCAATCATCAATATGTTGGCCCATGGAGTTAATAAAAGAAAGTAATATGATGGTGTTTGGTCTCATTTTTTTTCCTCTCCTTAATCTTACCACTCTTCTGCTACCAGCAATTCGTTGTTAACTCCTCTCAGAGATTGTGAAAATCAGGCAGAAGTGATTGGTCTGCACTGAGGACCTAGATACTTCTTATAACATTGATTCTACAGGAGCATGCATTTCAGACTTTAAATTGAATAAATTGACTAACCAAGAACTCCTGGTACACAATTCATTCACAACCTGAAGACTACGTATATCAAAGACAAGTTACTTGACAACAGTTTTCAGTATTATATCTCAAAAACATCTGTTTTTGAATGAGCAAAGAAAATATATTACTTTTGAAGAAGAGGCACTATAAAATTGTGCTTTATATACATTACTGAAAATTGTTGGATTTATTCCATATAAATTATTCATCACTTTTCCTGGGCAATGTTAAGATTTTAAAATAATGGCTACGTTTTTGCTTCATCTCCATAATGTAACTTTTAAAATACTTCCAGTTATGCTTTTTAAAATTTATTTCAGCATTAATGAGTCAGCAATAACAGCTATTCAGATAGCTATTGGACTACCAAAATATATTTTGATAACAAGTCATCCATTCTTTTACAATTATAATTTTATTATCTAGTTGCAAAAAATATTATTTAAAAAAAGTTACTTACACATATCCTGAATTTGCCTAGATCTCAACTGCTTGCAGTTTCATTAGCAATTTTATCACAAAACCATGGGCATTTACTTACACCTTATCATGGAGGCCTTTAGAATCAAATATATTTTTGCCCAAATATTCTTTTATTATTCTTGCTCAAAAAAATTTTGGAGGCCCCAGGAGCTGTCCCATTTGTCTTTTATAAGGGTGTTCATTCTGCTTGGTGCTATTCTTCCAGTTCCTTGGTAGTTTCGCGATCTTCGGCAGGCACTACAGTGTTCTATCTGGCCAAAGTGGGTCCCTTTGAAGTATTTCCATCCTTCTCAGCATTCCCCCATATTGTCAGGCACTACTATGCTTCTGTAGGAAGTGTGGACTCTTAACAGGTGATGCCACTGCTCCCCTGAATACTCTGGCCTCTCTGCAGCCATTGTTCCTTTTTACGCTCCCAGAAATGCCTGGAATTAGTAGTGGTTCCAAAGCTGCTTCACTAACTGCTGGTAAAGTACAGAACAATGCATGGCTTTTTTTGGTGATACTTCTCTTAGACTTAGAGAGATACACATGCAGAACTCCTTGCGCCCCGTCTTACATAGTTTAAGCAAACACTGTTTTTCCCGTGTTTATTCTTTTCATAGTCATTCCTCGGTATCCATGCTGGATTGGTTCCAGGACCCCCCATGAATACCAAAATTCACAGAAGTTCTTGCATAAAATGGAGGATGCCCTTGTATAAAGTAGCAGAGTATTTGCACATTACCTAGCACATCCTCTAGTACACTTTAAATCAACTCTAGATTCTCAAGATGACTTATAATACCTAATACAATGTAATTGTTATGTAAATAGTTGTTATACTATAATGTTTAGGAGATAATGACAAGAAAAAATGTCTATATTTGTTCAGTACAGATGCAATCATCCTTTTTTTCCGCAAATATTTTAATCTGAAGTTGGTTGAATCCACAGATGTGGAATCCACAAATTTGGAGGACTGAATGTACTTTATTTATCATCTACCTATTTTCTACAGTTCTCAGCCACGAATCCATTAGAAATTATGCTGTGATATAAATCTTGGCATTTCTGGAAAGTAATGCTTCCTATGATTGTGCTTTTAATGCAAAAAGCTTTTGGTCTTACCAGATCATAGCAAAGGTTCAAATTCTACTTTGAATCAATCAGTGGATTCCTCTAACCCCAATTACTATTAGTTTGCAGCAACAACAAGTTTTAGAACATTCTCTTACTTCCAAATTCTGATGATGAGGGTACCAGACTAAAATGTCCTCTTCCAAAAAATACCATATTGATTTTTAAAAAGGATATAATATAATATAATATATCATGCAAAATAAATAGATAAAAATGAAATCAATAGCTCATATGTCTTATAATGCAATTTATTTTACATAAACAAGTCTTGAAAATCAAATGAAGACTGCTTTGTCTATTGTCCACTTGCCACCATTAAAAACCCTGGCTTACTTGAACACAGAAAAATTACATGTTATATAAATTACAAAATATAATAATTGCAGCAATGCAACAAATGCAATTTATTCATTGATTGTTCTATTGACAATCAGCATTTTAAAGTCATATACATTTCCTTAAAAATATAAAAAGCACCACACTGTAATGTAAAATAAATTTTAAAAATCTAATTACTAAAAGATCCTTCTGGACTTGTAGATAGCATGGAAAAAAATAACCTCAGGATTTATTTTAATAGCATTGACCAAAGTAGCATCAACCAAAGCACTTTTAGAAATGCAATGACTTTGGATGCTGCCTACTTGGAGTTAGGCCAAACTTCACAAGTTAAGGGCACATTTTTCTTCAAGACTGCTGTCACTTCAGACAATAGCTGCATGCTCAGGGATTCTGGGGTACTCACCCTTCTAATCTTCTAGCTACAAATTTCAGGGCTCCCACTACCGGTTTTAGTTTAATTATTTGCTAGAAAGACTCACAGAGGTCACTGAAAGTATTATACTTATGAATGCAGTTTCATTATAACAAAAGGTTACAAATTAGAACAAGTCAAAAGAAGAGGCAGAGAGGGAGAGGACTAGGAGGGTCCCAAATGTGAAACTCCTATGTCTTCAAGAACATGTCACCTTTCTTGCGCATCAGTATGCCAGAAAGGTGACATGTGCCAATACCCACAAAATATTATTTCCAGCAAACCTCACCCAAGTTTCAGTGTCCAGAGATTTTGTGGGGTTTCATCATGTAGGCATGACTGAATGAGTTATTGGCCACAAGATTTAACTCAGTCTCCAGCCTTCTTCACTCCCGGGAGTTTAGGCTGATAATTTCATGTCTGAAAGCCCCAACTGTCTAATCATTTGGCTTGTCTTTCTGACATGGTCAGCCCCAATCCTGAATCTCATTAGCATAAACTACCTACGGGCCCACCAGGAGCCACTTTATTAGCATAAACTATTAGGTCACATTATGACTAACAAAGACAGTACTAATAATTTTAAAACCCCAAAGATTTAGAGGCTTTCTTCCCAAGAACCAGGGAGGATCATTAACCAACTTGTTCATTATAGGATAGAAAAATCTGTCCATGCCATCTATTTCTTTTGTTTAGACTTTCCTTTTCACATTTCTCTTTTAGCCAGTAATTTTGAAGTGCCCCTTGCTCTGTGTTGAACTATTTTATTCATGTAAAGTTTATTACATTTTTAATATATTAAATTGCCTCTTGAAGACCCTTTTTGATCTTTCTACTACCATTTTCATTTCCTTTTTCCTATCAAACCAATTGTGCTACCGTATTATAAATTAGTAGTTCCCTAGACAATAACATCTTCATCACTTATGCAACAAACAGGATAAGCCCCCAAAGTCCATGCCAAAATACATCATAATTACATTTTTGAAAACTAAAGACAAAAAATAAAATCTTGCAAGCATTTGAGGAGAAATGACAAATTACCTTCAGGGAGACACCAATCCAAATGAAATCTGATTTCTCATCTAAAACTATGGAGGTCAGAAGAAAGTGGTATGATACATTTTTTAAGTGCCAAAATAAAAGACTTGTCAACCATGAATTTTATACCTGGTGGGTGACATTATCCTTAAGGAATGAAAAGTAAAGAACATTCACACACAAAGGAAAATTAAGATAATTTTTTAATGAATGAAACTACTCTTAAAAACTGACCAAAGGAAGTTCTTCAAACAGAAATAAAATGATAAAAGAATAAATCTTGGAGCATCAGGAAGAAAGAATGAACAATTGAAAGAGCAGAAATATGGATACATACAATACACTATTCTTTTCCTTATGAGTTTTTACATGAGTATTTACGTAATATAATCCTGAGTTTATGTACGAGTGTGTAAATACATTGGCCATGTGCAGTGGCTCACAGCTGTAATCCCAACATCTTATGAGGCCAAGGAAGAAGGATCGCTTGAGCCCAGGAGTTCGAGACCAGCCTGGGCAACACAGTGAAACCCCTTCTCTACAAAGAAAACAAAAAATTAGCCAGGCATGGTGGCATGTGCCTGTGGTCTACGCTACTTGGGAGGCTGAAGCCAGAGGATCGTTTGAGCCCAGGAGGCAGAGGTTGCAGTGAGTTGAGATTGCACCACTGCACTCCAACCGCAGTGACAGAACAAGACCCTGTCTCAAAGAAAAAATAAACAAAATAAAAATAAATATACTATTTATAAATAATATTTAATGACTGAAATAAAAATTAGATCATATGATCCTCAAGCCAGTGATATTTAAAATTTGATAAAGTGTAGGCACCTAAATGGAGGTCAGGTTTCCACACTTCACTTGAAGTGGTAAAATATTGGTACTAATAGACTGTTAAAAATCAGATATATACATTATAATATACTGAATGAGATGGAAAATAACTGAAGAGTTTTGTCAGAGAAGGGATATATTATGGCTTACATTAAAAAAATAAAACACTCATGCTACTGGATGGAGAATTATTTCCATAAGGATAAGGATGACTAGTTAGGAAGTTATTACATTAATTCAAGTGAAAGGCTTGGCATAGAGTAATAATGTTAAAGACAATGAAAATTGTGGATTCTGAATGTATCTTTTCTTATTAATTTATTTTTAATTGATATATAATAATTATACATATTTATAGGATACATAGTAATGTTTGATACATACAATGTATAGTGATCAAATCAGAGTAATTAGCATATCCATTACCTCAAATATTTATCAGTTCTTGTAACAGAAACATTCAAAGTTCTCCCTTCTAGCTACTTGACAATTTATAATAAATTATTGTTAACTATAGTCACCCTACAGTGCTATATAATGCTGGAACTAATACCTCCTACTTACCTGTAGTTTTGTATTCTTTAACCAGTTTCTCCCTATTTCTCCCCACTACCTTTCCTAGTCTCTAGTAACCAGTATTCTATTCTCTACTTCTCTATGGGAACAGCATTTTTAGCTTCTGCATTTAAGTGAGAACATATGGTATTTGTCTTTCTGTAACATAATCTCCTTCAGGCTCATCCATGTTGCTGTGAATGACAGCATTACATTTTTTTATGGCTGAATAGCATTCTATTGTGTATACTGTCACATTTTCTTTAAATTCTGGATATATCTTGAAGGTAAAACTGTCAATGTTTGTTAACTTATTGGATGGTGGTGTCACTTTATAAAAAGGGATAAGGATGAACCAAAATATGCAATTGGCTTAATTCAAATAGAGCAACTCCATGAAAAAAATCAGGACAAAATTATTTTACATTGGAAATAACTACCAGATGTCTCTTTTGAATTAAACTCGTCAAGTCTTTTCAGCTTAGCTGGTAGCTACTTCCTTCAGCAGCCACTAGAAGCTCAAGGAAGCACCAGCGAGGCATCCACCTGCCTGGGTGCCCTTATGGTAGCCTCACCAACTGGAGTCAAACTGGAGACAAGGCTTCAATGGCACTACCATAGGGTGAATGTTTAAGAGTTGTTAGTACATACAGACCATGGAGGGTGCATAGCATTCCTGGAGGCCACAAATGCGGAGTTCATAGAGCCTTGCTTCTCAGAGAGAGAGAGAAGAGGCCACTCTCAGCATATGCTGTGAAGTACAGCGTGAGTCACTTTAAATTTGTGGACAAATGCCTGAATGGTCCTATTAAAGGCAGTGGTGAGAAAGCTAAACCCGCACTCAAAATGGATGCTGAAGCAAAATAAAGTTAAAAGCATTCAATGCAATGTTATTTAAAGCTTTTGTGTAGAAACGTATGTGTGTATATATATATGCAACATATATATATATATAAAATGTAAGTTCCGAGTAGAAAATATGTAGTGCGTATGTATACAAATATGCAACATATGTATATGCCACATATATATATGCAACATATATATATATAAAATGTAAGAATTTAGGGTAGAAAATATGTGTGTACATATATGAAACATATATATATATAAAGAGTTTAGGGTAGAAAATAGGACTAGAGCTATACATAGGGAGTTGTAAGTGTATGAATACTATTAAAGTCATTAGACAGGATAAAGTCACATTAAGATTTAAGGTACAGAGAGAAGAGGAATGGCATGTGAACTAATCCTGGTGAAATCCAAAATTAAGAAGTCATGAGTATGAGGGTAAACCAGCAAAACACACTGAGAAGGAACAACAAATAAGGCAGAAAAACTGAAAAACAGATGTCTGGAATCTTAGCTTAAAAAAAAAAAAACCCTCTAGAGGTAAGTGGTTAACCCACTGTGACAAATGCTGCGGAAAGCTCAAATCAGATCATGATTGAGACTTGGCAATCATATTGGTCATGCATCTTTGTCAGGATCTAAGAGTAATTTCAGTGCCCATAAATCTCATGAGATGTCAGTAAAGATTAAATGCTAGTTTCTATCTTGATAAAGACATATGAAACACCACACACCTGAAAGGAGATAAAAGAGGTAAAGATATTTTCTATCCACATCCCCATCTTCACTTCATACATACTCTGTTTCTAGGCTCTCAAATCTTGGGTGTAATCAACCAGAAAAAGCACAAAACATCTCCTTAATTCATAGGTGTTGCATCTGAAGTAAATATAACATGTCAGCTGTGCTATATTAAGAAACTTTTGAAGATCAAACTTCATAAACCAATAGTGCAATAAACAAGAGCAAGGGGTAGTCAAGGGCACAGTCCTTTCCATTTGATATTTCACATTCCTTCCACCTAAGTGAAATGTTGGAAGCAAGCTTTAAAGAGAAAAAAATAAATAAATATCCATAAAACTCGGGGTTTTAAAATCCACATAAAATCCATCACTTCTCTCTGACAAAGATCCAAATATGGTGAAGATGCAAAGATCCCAGGAATGTCAGTAAAATCAGGCAGTGCTTGATAAATGGTGACTGGTTAATGAGGATTGTACTGAGAATTGTATATATCAAACTTTAAATCTAAGAAGTGAATTAAAACATCACTCAAGCAGATAGGTAATG
The DNA here is from genome assembly GCF_000001405.40 of Homo sapiens. Taxonomy (NCBI): domain Eukaryota; kingdom Metazoa; phylum Chordata; class Mammalia; order Primates; family Hominidae; genus Homo; species Homo sapiens. The sequence continues at coordinate 162,356,451 of NC_000004.12, read as the reverse complement.
AAGCCAAGGAAAGTCCACATTCCCTTTCAGTTGAAACACTGATTCTGGGTAGATTGCTTCCAAGCATGTGGTTTACGGGAAAAAATGCTGCAGAAATGAGATCAGCAAGTCATTCTGAAGGCACGATGGACTCAATGGGAAAAACATAACTCTGGAAATGATCAACAGTAGGAATCAAAAAGAAAATGACTTAATCTTTGTTTTAAATAAAAGCAGAAAATCATAAGGATAGTGAAAGCTCAAGATTATATGTAAAGACAAAATGATAGCAGGGTTACAAACAGAAGATTTGAATAAACAATACAAGTGGAAATGGGAAACGTATATTGATAGTGCTAAAAAGAAAATGGAGAAAATAGCTAAAGAAGGTCAGCATGTTACAGAAAAAATAAATGGAAGGGTGGATGCAATCAGAACTGTCCTATGAAGAAAACTTACAAAATAAATAATAAATAACAAATTATATAATCACTAAGCTCTCAAAAGAACAGCTGCTAAATAAACATATAATAAAATTAGAGAAGTCTTTCTATGTTATCAAAATCATAACAGACTTTTAAGGGAAATAAATTTGAGTCAGAGAATTTTGTGTAACTAAATAGTTTTCATAGAATGTAAATACAGACTCAGATGTTTAATGACTCAGAAATTTTACCATACATGTCTTAATTATTATTTTAAAAAGCAGGTATATAAAGCAATTATGTATATATATATGTGTAGACACACACACACACACACACACATCCTAGGTGGCTGAGAGTTGGATTGAAATTTACACTTTAAGAATGGTGGGGTCACTGCAAAAAAAAAATAATAAATTGATAGTGAGCAATGTAGCTCAGTTAATTCTCAATATGTTTTACAACTAAATACAAATATCAAAATAATCTTTGAAATAAAGCCTAAAACATAAGTTATGAGAGTGTGATAACAATGACCTCTTCTCTAAACTTAGCACAGATATAGTTTTGGTACAATGATAATAATAAAAGATCTCAAGTGAGACAAAACTGTTTGAAATTCCAACTCTACCACCTACTATATATGTACTATAAAATATCATGTAAACTTAGTCATTCAATTCTTTTTTTTAACTTTTATTTTAAGTTCAGGAGTACATATGCAGGTTTGTTGTATACATAAACTTGTGTCATGGGTATTTGTTGTACTGATTATTTCATCACTCAGATATTAAGCCTAGTACCCATTCATTATTTTTCCTGATCCTTTCCCTCCTCCGACCCTCCATCCTCTGATAGGCCCCAGTGTGTGTTGTTCCCCTCTATGTGTCCATGTGTTCTCATCATTTGTCTCCCACTTATAAGTGAGACCATGAGTTATTTAGTTTCCTGTTCCCACATTACTTTGCTAAGGATAATGGCTTCCAACTTAATCCATGTCCCTGAAAGGGACATGATCTCATTCTGTTGTAGTAAATTATCACAAAATATCATAATCGCTACCACCAATATCAGAATCAAATATATGATTTTTTTTGGTCTAGGAGGTATCTCTTACCGTTGAATCTCATCTGTGTCACTTGGTCATGAAACACATTTATTTAGGACGCACTTGATGCCTTTCTCATATATCTACATCCATTTAATTATGGTATGCTGTGATGTATGTCCAGATTTATGGCTTGGTAGGTAAGATATCACTCAATTAATGATGGTCAACTCAGGTTGCATAGTGGTCTGTTGTCACCTGGCCATGTCTTCAGTCTCTACCAAGGTATTAAGCCTTTTCAAAAGGAGAAGAGTTAACTGCAGAAGATAGAATCGCCTTATTCCAAAACCTTAAGAAGTTGTGCTGCGCTGTGATTCACTACAGTGTATTTCCAAAGGCTCCACAGCATTCTTATTTGCTGTATAAACTTTAGGCAGCATTGAATCTACTGGGTCACATGGTCCACGTGGCCAAACAGCTTTCATGGCAGTGTGGAACCAAAGCAAAACTCTCTTACTGTGTGCCTACTCAAAATTAGCTTCTCAGGTTACTCAACAAAATGGTTATGGAAATTTGCCCAAATAAGTCTAGGCTTGGCCCCCAAAATTGCAAAGAGGCCATATGTCCTTGTACTTCTTTCTTAGATGTAGGAAGGACAAGATTTAGCAACTTTTCCTTTAATTTAGAAGGGATATGACAATATGCCCTATACCAAGTCTCAGTAAACTATAGCCTGTGGGCCAAACCCACTTCACTGCCTATTTTATAGATAAAGTTTTACTGCAAAACAGCCACATGTATTTGTTTACATGTTGACTGTGCTCATTTCATGTTGCAATGACACAGTTGAGTAGTTGTGATAGAGATGTATGATACAACTTAAAATGTTTACTACCTGTCTCTTTAAAAATTGTTTGCCAAACCCTGCCCTAGACCACTGAACACCTAGAAATTTCACTCAGTGACAAGCCATTGAATTTTGTGGGATTTATTTTATACCTTCTGACATCCACATGTCTTACCAATATATCTATGTAGTTGCTACTTTCTGCTCACCAGATGAATAAGCATATCATTAATTTAATGAAGCAACTTGATATCTTCTAGAATGGAGATATAATATTTATTCTTATGACTAAATTATGTCAATGGCCTGGGCTGTTGACACAACCCTGAGACAGAATAGTGAAGGTGTATTGCTGGCCACATCAGCTGAAAGAAAATTGTCTCATGATGTTTACTTACAGCTATAGGAAAAAATGTTTTTCTATTTAGCAGTTGTATATATGTGCTAAATAATGTATTTATTTGTTCCAGCAATGAAACTCTATCTGGCACAACAACTGCAATTGAAGTCATCACCTATTTAAGTTTACAATAATTCACCCTCATTATGCAAGATACATCTCTCTTTTTCATTGTTCAAAAAGGTATGTTGAGTATGAATGTGGTATGAATCACTATCACCTGCTTCTTTTAAGTTTTCATAGTAGCACCAATATCTACATTGTTTCCCAGAAATGCAAGTGCTAAGATTTACTATTTTGGCAGATTAAGGAAGATCTTATGGTTTCCTTTTGTTTTTTGCTACAATATTAATCCTCATGCTATACATCGAGGCACAAATGTAAGAATCTTGACAGTTAATGTGTATGTCTATTTCTATTAAGCATTTCAGAACTGATAATCACAGGATAGATCAAGGAGTACAAGGGAGAGAAATCGTAACTAAAACTCAATTGATCTCTTAAATGTCATCTGCCCCTTCTCTGACAAGTACACCAAGGTAGTGTTTTGGTCTTCCAAAATTAGTGTAGATATACAGAAAATATATAACTCCCAAAAAGTCTAATTATTTTTCATTACTCAGTTATCGGTGCTATGGACCGAATTGTCTCACACCAAAATTCATATATTGAAGACCTAACCCCCAATGTGATGGTATTTGGAGATGGGGAATAATTATCTCTATAGGAGATAATTATGTTTAGCTGAGAATCCTACTCTCATAAAAGACATCAGTAGAGCTTGAGGGTGCTCTCTCTCTCTCTCTCTGTGTCTGTGTCAAATGAGGACACAGTGAGAAAGCCATTGTCTACAAGCCAGGAAGATAGCTCTTGCCAGAACCTTCCAGCCTGTGAGGAAATAAATGTATCTTGTTTAAGTCACCCAGTCTATGGTATTTTGTTGTGGCAGTTTGAGCTGATTAAACAGAATTTGGTACTGAGAAATGGAGTGCCGCTGTAACAAATACCTAAAAGTGCACAACTGGCTTTGGAGCTTTTCTGAAAGGCAGAACTTGTGAACAATGAAATTGACTATTTAGCCAAGGAAATTTCTAAGCAAAGTGATAAAGGAGTAGGTTAGTTCTGAGCATATATTTTGTATGACTGAATATACAGAAAATTGGGAAAGAATGAATTAGTGCTATATATAACAAATGGATAAATCTGAAGCAATGCTTTTTAAAAAGGCGCAAATTGTAACATAATATCACAGATACGATATATGTAAACTTTGAAAACATACTAACAGTGACATATTCTCTTGGTGAGCCCATGCATATATAATATAATTATAAAATACATAAATAGAAAAAAATGCACCATCTTCTGGGAAGTACTTGTTAATGGAAATAAAAATTAGCAAGAATAAGTTTGTTATGAATCATTACACAGGACTTCAACTATGTCAGTAAATTTTTTCGTGAAGGAGTTTTGACCAAATATGAGAAATGTTTAGTAAACTTGGATGTAGGTACCTGGGGCTTTGTTACTCTACCTTGTATTATGTATAGATCAAATATTTCTTTTAAAATTATATGAGGACCAGGTGTGGTGGCCCGCATCTGTAATTACAGCACTTTGGTTGGCTGAGACAGGAGGATTACTTGAGCTCAGGAGTTTGAGATTAGCATGGACAACACAGTGAGACTTCATCTCAGGTATATATATATATATATATATATATATATATATATATATATATATGTGTGTATATATATATGTGTGTATATATATATGTATATATATATGTATATATATATATACATATATATATACACACATATATATATATATGCCAGGCATGATGGCATGTGCCTGTAGTCCCAGCTACTCAGGAGGCTGAGGCTGGAGGATCGCTTGAGCCAGGAAAGTCGAGGCTACAGTGATCTGTGATGATGCCACTGCACTCCAGTTTGGGTGATAATGGGAGACACTGACTCAAAAAGAAAGAAAAATTATATGAGAAACAAACCACAGCGAAATTTTTTAAATACTACAACCCAATGAACATCCCATAATATTTTAATCTTCAATCTTGAATTACATTTAATGAGAAACTTAAGAATCAAATACATGCTTAGAGCTTGGGCAGGCATAACAAGGACTGGAAGAACAGATACAGTCATGGGCCATAGAATGACGTTTCAGTCAATGGTGACCGACATGTAAGATGGTGATCCCGGAAGATTATAATGGAACTGAAAAATTCCTATCAGCTAGTGACATATTAGCGCAACACATTACTCACATGTTTGTGGTGATGCTGGTGTAAACAAACCTACCGGGCTGCTAGTTCCATAAAAGAGTAACACATACAATTATGTACAGTACATAATACTTGATAATGAATGACTGTGTTACTGGTTTATGTATTTACTGTACTACACTTTCAAATTTTTATTTCAGGGTCTACTCCTACTACTTACAAAAACAGTTAATCATATAACAACCTCAGGCAGTTCCTTCAAGAGGTATTCCAGAAAAAGGCATTGTTATAATAAGAGATGATAGCTGCATGCATGCTTTGCCCATAAAAACTTTCCAATACGACAAGACATGGAGGTGAAAGACAGTGATATTGGTAATGCTGATGCTCTATAGGCTTAGGTTAATGTGTGTGTTTGTGTCTTCATTTATAACAAAAAGTTTAAAAAGCAAAAAAATAAATTTTTAAATAGAAAAAATCTTATAGAATGAGGATATAAAGAAATAAAATCCTTTTGTAAAGCTGTTCAGTGTGTTTTTGTTTTAGGCTATGTGTTATTAGAGAGGAGTCAAAAAGTTTAAAAAAATAAAAGTTTGTAAAGTCAAAAAGTTAGAGTAAGCTAAAGTTAACTTATTATTGAAGACAAATATTGCTTTATAAATTTAGTGTAGCCTACATGTACAGTGTATATAAATTGTGCAGTAGTGAACACTAATGCCCAAAGCCTTCACATTCGTTCACCACTCACTCACTGACATCCTGAGCAACTTCCAGTCCCACAAGCTCCATTCATGGTAAGTTTTGTATACAGGTGTACCATGTTTAATCTTTTATACCATATTTTTACTGTAACTTTTCTATGTTTAGATGTGTTTAGATATGCAAATACTTACCTTTGTGTTTCAATTGTCTGAAGTATTCAGTACAGTATAACCTGCTGTACAGGTTTGTAGCCTAGAAGCAACAGGCTACGGCATTTCTCCTGGGTATATAGTAGGCATCATCATCTAGGTTTGTGTAAGTGCACTCTATGATGTTTGAACAATGATGAAATCACCTAAGGATGCATTTCTCAGAACACGTTTCCATAATTAAATGGCTGATCCAAATGGTAAAGAACATGTAGTCAATCTACATGGGCCTCCATACTTTCTTGGAGACTTCATTATAGAGGCTGGGGAAAAGAAAACTTTTAAGTTAAAAGGATATGCTTTTTTATTATTAGAACAAGATATTGTGTCTTCTTTAAATGTATCACCCTAGAATTAATAAAATAAAAGCATTATACATTTTAAAATAAACCTAAAATCATGGCAGAAAAGTTTTATAGATTTATATAATAAAACTTTTTTTCTAAATATCACGTCACGTCTCATTAGGTTTTTGAATTTAACTTCATGCTGTAGGTTAACTACTTCTTTTACTTTCGACATTTTAAATGAGTGAAATTTAATAAAACAGTAGCCAGTTGACACACACAATATTTTTCCCAGTCCTTACAAATGTGGTGTAACATGAGTATCAATATAAAAGTCAAATGGCAACACACTAAGTTTAAATCACATGCTTTTCTTTTGAAGATAAGACTTTCAATGTACTTAAATTCAAGGCTGAAAATGTTGATAATTCTGAAAGTAAGATTAATAGATTAAGTGATGGCGAGACAAGAAGTCTATCAGACCACAAGTTAGGATATGACAATTAGATGCCATTTTCCTTAGCAACTTCACTTTTAACGCTACTATGAAATGAATAAAATAGTGTGCTTCCATATTTAATATTATAGTTGGAAAATAATTTACAATAAATGGAAGCTATACCAGCAGTGTCCACAGTTACCATTATCACTTCATAGAAGAGATTTTTCCCATCAAAATTTTAGCATGCTTTACCAAATATTTATTTTGTAGTGAGTATGGAATGACTAATGACAAAAAGATTTTGAAAATGTCTTATTCTTTCTCTCATACAATAAGATGTTCTATACAAAAAGGAAAGTAAAAAATTTGAGAAGACGACAATGTGAAATACCTGATAGACCTCAATCATCTGTTTAAGAGCATGTTTAGTGCATTTTGTGCAGCTGTAAACTAAGGGGGAGTCAATTGAGATGCGTGAGGAGAAGGTGGTCAGGAGAATGGTGAAACAAAACCAGGAGAACCACACATGGAAGACTCAATATAATTGCCATTCTGCCACTTCTTTGCTTTTGTAATTGTGCATATTGTTTATCTTCTCTCAATTTATTTTATTTAATTAATAAATGCAACAAAATATTTTTTGTCTCATGAGGTTTTGTACATAGTTGCTGTAGGGATTCAATAAGAAATTGTATGAAAATGTTAACAAATTTTGAAAGCTACACAGTGTTTTGCACAAATATAAATTAACATTTTAATTTTAATCTTATATGATATTGGTGACATGACATATACACAAAAGTAAATAATATGTTTCAGCACAAAGTGGCTGGGGTTAGCAGATTAGCTGTGTAATCTATTCAGAGGGAGAAATTTGTTTTAATAATATCAAGGAGATTTCATTAAGCATCAAAGCATCAATAACATGACTGTATATTTTGCTATGAGGGTGCTGAAGATCTGAGATGAATGTTTCTGGATGCTATCATTTTGAAGATGTATGCAGAAAGTGGCAGATTTGGTTTGGTAACACTACTAAATAGAGCAAGAAACAAATTTCCTTTCAAATTCTTCCTCAGCCATTTACCATCTGTATGACCTTAGGGGAACTTAGATTTCTCAGTACAATGTTCTTAAATCTCTAAAATAGAGATGCTAGGTACATAGCATACTAGTAGTCGGTAAATTAACCTCTGTAAGCCTCAATTTTCCCATTTCCAAAAGATGAATAACAACAGCAACTAAACATGTGGAATGAGTCTTATAATATTGCTTTTTCATATTATCTTAAAGACTTAAAATAACTATTTGTATGTTATACAAATTGAGGTATTGTTTGGGCTCTACACTTTGAGACAATTTGGAAAAAATCAAAGATTAATCGGTGCTGTGCTATTGTACTAAATTTTAAGCTTGATCCTGTCATGAAAAGTTATACAATATAATTTTTTGATGTGATAGATTGTTTAAGACGGATGAGCAGTTTCACTTGAAATCAATAATACTTTGTTTTCATTTCATTTTTGCATTTTTGACAAAATGGATCTCTTGTTTGTCAGTTTATTCTTTAGTGATGTATTGAATACATTTAAATCTTTAAGATCAGGAAAAAATTACTTGGAGGAAAAAATTTAGATAATTTTCATCTTAATATTAATTCATCTGTTTTCCAACCAAAATATTACTCTCAAAAAATAGTACAGGATTATTAAAAATAAAGTGCATGATATATATCAAGGTGGTGTTGTGCAACACTCAGTCATCTGAATATCTCAGCAGCCCAGATTCAAGTGTAACTGAGAGATAAGCCCAAGCCTACTCTTCTGGTTGCAGGTTCACAATTGGAAAGCCATCTGGAGTGCTCTGAGTCCTGAACAATGATTGTTGGCACATGTACACGGGCGCACTGCACAGAGAGAGGCAGATTGACCCAGTTGGCTAATAATAGAAAATCTAGCGAGGAGTGAAATCATGTTTATTTCATTTTCTAATTTTAAAAAAGATTTAGAACACTTGAATGTATATAAGGTGCAGAATACTCTGCTATATGTTATAAAGAAAGAAGTATTGTGAGGTAAATCAAATACAGACCTGATGTTTACCCTTGAGAATTTTCCTTTGTAAGATAGATAACATTTGTGCAGACACCAAAAATAAAATACTTAAAAGAAGAGGACATGTAGGCAGTCAGGCAATCCGGGAAATAATTTCAAAGATGTTTCCTCTGGCCCAAAATGTGCACCAGAGTTTAGTGATATGTCACTATTGATGTAGTAGGTTATTAGTCAAAGTGAATTGACTGAAGCATGGATCAACAAAAAGACAATTTCTAGGAGGAGAAATGCACATTGAAGCATTATCTGTTCCTTTTTTTCAGTGTTGGATAGTTATACACAATTTCTAAAGCTTTATTTCTATATTTCTTTCAGTTTCAAAGTATCCTAAATTTATTTCCTGTTTTGTATGCTGGTTGACTTTTTAAATTTATCAGATCAGGGGATTTCCTGCCAACGTGCCATTCATTCACAAAAGAAGTACTTGCTATTTCTTTCTCTATGTGATGCTGGGCCAGAAATATAAAGATGGTAAAATACAGTCCTTTTCTCCTAGAAATCAATATAAGTATGTTTACTAAAGAGTATTCAGTAAAGTTCCAGAGAAGAGAGAGAAGTCTTTAGAGACAAGAGCCTTTTTAGTCCTGTTTTGATAATTAAGTAGGTCTCATTAAGAAGAGAAGGAGAAAGTATCTCTAATTTAAAAAAAAAAGAAAGAGAAATTTGAAAAACGTATTCAGTCTTAAAAGTGTGTGATATCTGAGGCACCTGTAAGACTGCCAGTACATTATATAGCTGGAGCACAAGACTTTTAAGGAAAGGCAGGAAATAAAGGCTGAAAGAAGTTCAAATCATATATTAGCTATTGCTGCTATAAAATATTATTATAAACTTAAAGAAACAATACAAACTTATTATCTTAGAATTTTCTAGTTCAGAAATCCAACAGTTACCACGATGCTAACTTCACGGTTTCGGCTGGGCTACTTTCTTTTGTGGAGGCTCTAGAGGAGGCTTGTTCATTTGGATTGCTGGCAGATAGCAGTTTCTTGCAGTTGTGGGACTGTGTTCCCTGTTTCCTGGCTGCCTGTTGGTTCTAGAGACTACTGACAGTGCCGGGCTCATGATCTTTCTCCAGCTTCAAAGCCAGCAATGGTGGGTCAAGTCCCTGTCAAATTTAGAACCTCTTCTGCCTTTTCTTTCATTGTTGTTTCTCTCTAATTAAGTCCTATTCTTCCTCTTCCACTTTCATAGGCCCATTTTATTTCACTGGATCCACTGGATGATGGAGGATAATATCCATACCTGAAGGTCAGCTGATTATTAAACAATGCTCTTTTGCAATATAAAGTAACAAATTCACAGGTTCTGGTATTTCAGACTTAGACATCTTTGGGGGGGCCACTATTCTGTCTACCATGCGTTGCATGTATCAAATTAGCTTGAAGAAAATAAAGAGAAGTATCTTTTATTTCATTTTATATTCCTTAGTGCACACCTGCCGATTCAAGTTTCCTAATTTTCTTCGTGCTGTTTTAGCATATTATATTTTTTCTAAAAATTCTTCCATTTTCTTTATATTACAAAACTAATTAGCATGTAGACTTTTATACTATTTTGTAATTATTATTTTAAACATTTATTTTTAGTAAATATTTAGTTCTTTCATTCACATATTTTCCCCTTCCTTATTCTCCATCAACATCACTGGAAGTTTACCCTTCTCATTAATCTTTTAGAAAAAGCTGCTGTTGATTCTCTAAGTCTTATTTACATATTATTGGTTTTTATACCATTAATATTTATAATTTTCATTATTTTATTCTTTGTTTTAGCTTTCTCCATTCTTTTTTCATCTTAAATGGTTGCTAGTTTATTATTTTATTTCTCTAATTTGTTTTCTCATGTGTCTAAGCTACAAAATTCTATGTACTTTTTTTAATGCAGATTTTGACAGCTCATGTTTTCATTGCCATTTAGCTGTATTTTTAATTTCTCTTATAATTTGCTTTTTTAACCAAATAGTAAATTGTATTTTATTTAGTTTGCAGAAATGTTATATTCTTTGCAATATTTTGAAAACTTGTTAACGTGTGTATTTATTACATTTTAAATAAAGGGCATATGCTGTACATTGTTGATTCTTTGAGAAAAATAAGACTTGTTTTGTAGATTATTTTGTGGTAAACATTAAAATTTTCATTGGAACTTAATGCAAATGTGCATTTTCTGCATATATATATATATATAGTTTTCTCTCTCATTTTGTTTTTTTTTTTTTTTTGAGACGGAGTCTCTTTCTGTTGCCCAGGCTGGAGTGCAGTGGCGCGATCTTGGCTCACTGCAAGCTCCGCCTCCCGGATTCAGGCCATTCTCTTGTCTCAGCCTCCCGAGTAGCTGGGACTACAGGCGCGCGCCACTACGCCCGGCTAATTTTTGTATTTTTAGTAGAGACGGGGTTTCACCGTGTTCACCAGGATGGTCTCGATCTCCTGACCTCGTGATCCGCCCTCCTCTGCCTCCCAAAGTGCTGGGATTACAGGCGTGAGCCACTGCGCCTGGCCTGATATATATATAGTTCTCTATATACCTATTGCTTAAAGTTTTATACCTGGATTATTCAATTATTTATTTTGGATTATTTATTGTGTTCTTTATCTTTCAAGAAAAGTAGTAACAAGTTCAATTTAATATTTTATTCTTGTTTTAATATTTTGAAGCTTTTTTTTCTTGTATGTGACATTATAGGTGAACTTTATCAAATTTATAATGAACAAGTAAACATTATCTCAATAAAAGTTTAAGTAACTATGGGGAAAAAATAAAAAGTGGAAAACTGTTCAACTAATTTTATTAACTTGTTAAATATAATGAAATAAAAAACTAGTATTTAATTTATGAATACTAGGAATATGTGGTATATAATTTTGTGAAATGTATATTACTGATAGATACAGCAAATAATATACGTAATGGAAAGACTTTGGTAACATTTTTATTAATATATTTAATTTAGTACATTATCAGTGAAACTTTACTACTCCCTCTAATGTTTAACAGATTATTGAAGGGGAAGGATAAAGTTATAACAAAAATGCATAAGAAGCATGAGGATAACAAGAGAAGAAAGTTTTTAAATGCAATATAATAATCTAAAAAGAGAACTCGAGGGAATAATAAGATGAGAAAGTTCATGAATGTGCCTAGATGAAACACCAGCTTATGGCCATCAATAGCATTTTGTTATAGCAGCAACAGTCAACTCATAGATGTTATAAAAAACAAATATTACTCATATTAACATCAAAAATTAATTAATTAACATCCTAAATTAATACTTAGGAACCAAAATAAAGAGCTAGCATTGTTATAGAGAAAATTAAAATTATAAAAAAGTAACAAAAATACATTTAAGTAAATGGAAAAGCATACCATGTACAGGACAGATAGCTACATTTTATATCCAACCTTTTTAGTTTCTCCAAAATAATGCATAGAAAGTAAATTTTCCAGCTGGGTATCCTGAGACATTTGACAATCTTATGCTAACTTGGATGTGAAAGTATGCTGATGCAGGTGTTGCAATCTTGCCAATGCACCTTAATATAGCAGTTTCTTGCTTGAAACTATATATAAATCAACTTGCATAAAGCGGCTTAGGGTAATTTCACTGACAGATGTTGAAAGTACTAAGAAACCATAGTACTTGCACAGTTTAGTACTGGTGCAAGAAAAAAAAATTTGACTAAGATAATGAAATAGAAGGCACAAAAATGTATGTTGTGTGTGAGAGAGAGATAATAGAAAATGGTTTATAACAAATAGGGAAAGACTGTGCCACATAGAAAGTACTGTTGAGAAAAATAGCAACTCTTTCTACAGAGAAGAGTACAGCTATGTTACCAATTTATTCCAAATAATGTTGCACTTGACATGTATTAATGCCACGAAGATGCAAGAAATAATAAGCATAAGATGATAGAAAACAATAGGGAAGAATTTTTTTTTGTCAACAAGGGCAGGAGAAACTTCTTAAATGAGACCTATAAAGCACAAACAAGATAATAAAAAGGCAGATTTGACTACACACACAAAAATAAAAACTGTATCTTTATAAACAGTCATAACCAAAGTTTACAGATAAATAACCATTGAAAGATATTTCTAAAGATCTAAAACTAACAAAAGATTAATGGTATAAATTTTGACACTTCCTAGTTAATGAACAATGGAAAGAAACATATTGCAATAGTAAAACTGGCAAAGAGATGAACAGGAAGTTTACAAAAGTTATAACCCAAATAGCCGCACAAACTTTCTAAGTAATCAGACCAAAGTGTAAGTTAATATATCAAAGTAATGTGGATACAACCTACTGATGACAAGACTGTGAAGAAAAGGAAACTTTGGCAATATTTAGGGAAGCTAAGCATGTGTATACTTTACAATTCTGGGATGCTACTCCTAAGTATTGTTTCTGTTGGGTGGTGATATGGTTTGGCAGTGTCCCCACCCAAATTTCGTCTTGAATTGTAGCTCCCGTAATTCCCACATGTAGTGGGAAGGACCCAGTGGGAGATAATTGAATCACAAGGGCAGCCTCTTCCATACTGTTCTCGTGGTAGTGAATAAGTCTCAGTTTTATATGGGGAAACCCCTTTCACTTTGGTTCTCATTCTCTTTTGTCTGCCACCATGTAAGGTGTGCCTTTCACCTTCCGCCATGATTGTGAGGCCTCCCCAGCCACATGGAACTGTGAATCCATTAAACTTCTTTTTCTTTATAAATTACCCAGTCTGGGTTATGTCTTTATCGGCAGCCTGAGAACAGACTAATACAGGTGGGGGTGAGGGAGTTTTCAAAGGCCCTGAGAAGACATGAGCAGGATTTGTATAAAAACTTTGTCATGGCAGTGTCTATCTCTAGATACATAGATAACTGATGGGTAAATACTATTGAAAGCTAGAAGCAGTAAGAAGCAAGGGACTAAAGTACATGCAGCACCATGGGCAGATCTAAACTTCTAATGATGAATGACAATAGCAAATAGAAAAATGGAGTAAGAAGTTTTGTATTATAGAAAAAGTTCATGAACTTCTTGCCCCTTGGTTTGATTTCAAACCCCACAAATAGCTCCATAATCTTGATGTTCATCAAATTTTTCTCAGTCTCATTTTTTTCATCTGGAAATTAGGAGTAATTATACAGATTGCAGTGACAAGTAAGTGAAATAATGTTTGTAAAATTATCCAGCAGTGTAGCACTTTTAGAATAGACAGATACAAACTTATTGCAAATGATATCTACTGGAAAACTTTAAGAAATATACTTACTGATAAAATACTGCAATTTTTCTCATTAAAGGAACAAACAAAGTGAATGCCACTATATACTATATTTTACATATAAAGCCTTTTTTTCTTGGCCAGTAAAATAGGACAAATAGAAAACAAAAAGTAATTAGATTATACTTCTAAACTAATTATTATATCAAAGGACTAATAAAAGCTACTCTTCTCATAAATTCCAATGAGAGTGTATAGAAGACAGATAGAATTCTAGTCCAGTCACAATTCACAGTGAGCCCTGTTAGTCCTCAAAGCCATCCTCCAATTATTTCCCCACTTGAATAAGTTAGACTCAAGAATAGGTTTCTCTCCACAAGCTGATATCTGTAAATTATCCCTAAAACAATGTATACCCTACTTTGACCATTGTTCTTAGAAGTCAGCTATTACAGAATGCTAACACCTCCAAAGTGTCCCCAAGTATAGCAGCATTGACATTGTGAGTGCTGATAGACTTCACACAATGATAATTGAGAAGATAAGAATGTATTTAAGGTTATCCACTCTAGAATATTGTTTATCAATGATCATTGGCAAGCATGAGTTCTTTTTTAACCTCCTTCCCTCCCACTGAAATTATGCTGCCCTCTTTCTACCCACAAAACTAAATAAACATGTACACTTGGGAAAGACATATATGACAAATATCGCCTTTGTATATACAGTCATGCACCACATAATGATGTTTGGTCAAGGATGGGCTGCATGAATAACAGTAGTCCCTTAAGATTATAATACCATACTCTTACTGTACATTTTTATGCTTAGATAAACAAATGTTTAGCATTGTGTTCCAACTTCCTACAGTGTTAAGTACAGTAATCTACTGTACAGGTTTGTAGCCTAGGAGCAATAGGCTATACCATATAGGCCCAGGTGTGTAGTAGGCTCTGCCATCTAGGTTTGTGTAAATACACTCCGTGATGTTTGTATAATGATGAAGTCACCTAATGATGCATTTCTCAAAACATATCCTCAACCTTAAGCAATAAGCGACTGTTTATATATAAATATAAATGTATATATACATATATATGCATATAAAATGAGTATAATCAGACATCTACAAAACCAATAGAATTCTCAATAAAGAGTATATCCAGATCATTAAAAGCAGGCCTATGTGAAATCATTCTCATCTACACAGTAATATTTTGGCAATTATGGTGCAATCTTGAGGATGATGAAACCCGCAATAAGTCTATCATTTAATTTTCCTTGTTTTGGTTTATTGACTCAATGAGGCCAAAGTTTTGTCATTTTATAAGTGTTAATTAATAAATAACAAAAACTGTACTGATTACTGTAAAACTAGTATGCATTCTTATTTTAACAAAGCATCAACAATTTCAATTATGAATAATTCAGCAACATTTTAAATTAAGCATTCTCATAACACCGCAAGGACTTAAAATCTTAATTTTTTTGCAGAAAATCTCATAAATAAGAGAGTATAAATTTATTATTGTAACGTATTTACATCAGGGTCTTCAGATAGCATGCTGAAACACATACTGATTTTTAAAATGATAGCTTGGTTTCTTCTTTTAAATCTCATTGTATGGAATTTTATAGAAAACCAAACAGACTTCTAATATGTATTGATCTCTGTCTCAACTTCCTAATATACATTAACCCACTGAATCCTCACCAAAACCTTTTGAGTTGGGGCTATTATTTTTCCTACTTTACGGAAGAGAAGATTAAGTCTGAGAGGATAAATAACTTGCCTGAGCTAAAGAAGCTGGTTGGCAGTGGGGAGAGAATGAACCTCAGAAATTCTAGCTCCAAGCCTTGCTCGCTTAACAACTAGACAATAGTATCATCTCTCAGAGATTTTCTTTATTCTCTGCTTGAATTGTGGTTATGTCTTGACCAAATGTAGCACTTGAATATGAGACTATTAGTATATGTGCCAGTGATTGAAACCTGTGTTTAGTTCCAGAGCTTTTTGCACACCATGAGTGTAAGAGCAGAGTTATATGAAAGGAATAAAACAATTGTTCACTTAGGGCACAAACAGATTGCCTTCCTTCTGGGCCCTATATAAACCTATGGAAGGATTTTTCTTCATGAGTTTAAAGGTATCTGGCTTCTTATTTGTATGTGATTTATGAAAATAGGCTGAATGAATTCCAAAAAACAAGTGATTTGAAAGCTTTTTATGTGCTTCTATGGGAACATAACACAGAAGCCAGAAGCAAGCAAAATAAGTTTATTCAGTTGCTTGTATGTTGGAAATGCCCCTGAGGTGCCTTATAATAATGCACTATGAATAATTCTGTCTTAACAACCCAAGTTTAATAAGAACAAATAATTCTTTTTTTTCATATTGAGAATTGAAAGAATGTTCTTTGGTCTAACATTCTAAAAGTGGTTTTCTATATTGAACAAGAGAGAATGATATTAAAACTGAGTAATGGATTGATGCACTTCTTTTTCTATGGTGGTCACCTTTTCAAAAACAATTGTTCTCTGGTAATCTCTTAAAACTACAATATTTCTATCAGGTAAAGTTATACCTTTATTAACCATCATAATCTGGCTCTTGTTTATATTATACTTGTACTTCCTGCTATAATGTCAAATATTTGAAAACATGGCTGAGATATAAGTGATATTTAATCTTTTTCTATTAGAAATTATTTTAATTATGCAGATAAAGGTAAAAGTTTTAAAGTAACAGTATACTCACATACACCTTCAATAAAATTGTTAAAAGTAAACATAATGTTTAATTTTTTTCAGTGAATTCCAAGATTAAAATAGCTGCTGGAATCATAAAAAGTAAATAAAGCCATGCATTTAATTGCCTCCAATCCACTGTATAACATCAACTCAATACATAAATTAGCTATATTTAGCATTATTTCCACCAACAAATTTTGATGAGATGGTCACATCCATATTTTTATGAAAAACCCCAATGGGAGTGAAGCTTAGTATTTAAAATAATTTAGGTGCTTACAATTTCCAAACAAAGTAGACCATGAAATGGAACTAAATTTCCCACAGGAATTTACTTTTCTTCACTTTCCTTCAGGCCACCACTGAACCGGGGACTATCCTTTCTGGTTGCTGACGACCATGTGTAGAGCTGCCTGTAAACCATCATCAATTTTACTCAATTTCAGTCAACAGATCTAAAGTAATTTCTTCTAGTGAAATGAGAAGTATAGTGGTGAGGTAGGAATAGACACACTGGGAATATATGCAATTTAAGTGTTCCTTTAGGACCCATGTGAAGATAATCCTTTTCTCTACCACTTCTGTTTAATAATCAAATATGTTACTGTGAAAGCCCAGCTATATTTTTATAGTATCCTCTCTGTAGTGACACATTCTGAAGTCCTATGGAATTATGACAATGAGTGTCTATTTAGACTGAATTACGGTATGCAAGAGAACTGACACTTGACAGATTTGCTATTTGAAATACCACTTTATTAAGTTTATGATAATCCACTTTTATCTTTTAAGACCTATCAATCTCTTTCAGAATACAAATAGGTAGATTAAATGATGGTATTATAGGCATAACCACTCTAAAACTTTTAAATCTTGGATGTGATTCTAACATTATGATTGCCCCAGGGTAGGGCAGTAAGCCTGCTTACTTGTTTGATAGGGAAGATAATTTCTAAGCACATATTCTTGGCTCTTTATACCAAAAGTTTCTTTATGCCAAGGATCATGGAACCAATGAGTGAATTTTAAATTTTTGTAAATATCTATTCCAATGACATGCTCAGTTGAAAATTAACCGTTGTATGAATTTGGGGTCCCAATGTATTGATCAAGAGGCAGATTCATGCTAAAAATCCACTTATTAGCATACCAATATTTATACATTAAACTTGATAGCAGGATCCTTCTGAGAAGTATGCAGACTCCAATTCCCTCAAAGAACACTCAGTGTATGTGGTTCACAAATGGCAAACAGAGGGTGTGAGATATGGCAGGGCTCTCTTCAAACAGCCTGCTCAACTTCTTATTCTCTAATTCCAAGTACCCGCCCCCTGCCCACCACCTTTCTTCTCCTTTTCTTCTGATTTTACTACATGCCCAGACATGCCACAGCCCCAACTCACATTCCTTTCCTTATTTGAAAATAGACTGGCTCTCTAGTCCTCTGTAGACGACCCTTTCCTCCTCTCCCCTCTCTCCCATTAGGTGCCCACCTTATCTAAAAAAGTTTAAATGCTTAGCCAATCGAGTCCACTTTAGATTGTGCAGTCCAACCCCAGCTAATGAGAAAAGGACACAGGGTCAAGAGTCGCGGTAAAAATAAAAGCTTCAGGCCGGGCGTGGTGGCTCATGCCTTTAGTAATCCCAGCACTTTGGGAGGCCGAGGCAAGCGGAACACCTGAGGTCGGGAGTTCAAGACCAGCCTGACCAACATGAAGAAACATTGTCTCCACTAAAAACACAAAATTAGTCATGCATGATGGTGCATTCCTGTAATTCCAGCTACTCATGAGGCTAAGGCAGGAGAATCGCTTGGACGCAGGAGGCGGAGGTTGCGGTGAACTGAGATCGCGTCATTGCACTCCAGCCTGTGCAACAAGAGCGAAACTCCCTCAAATAAATAAATAAATATAAAAAGAAAATAAAAGCTTGTACTCTCCTTTGTTCAGGGTGCTTTCGTGCCAGCCAGCCTGATGAGAAACACCCTTCTGCGCAAAAGTAAATTTGCTTTGCTGAGAAATCCTTTATTTAAGTGCTGTTTTTCTTTATGACTCCGAACTTTTTTTCTAACAGAGGGGCTCTAACTATTTATCATCATAGCCTTAGTCAGTTATCCAGGCCTATGATTTAAAAATCCAGTAGTAAATGTCCTATGGATGCCATCAACAGTCTCTTAAAAGGTTTTATAATTAGACAATTTTTAATGCCATTCCCATTGCCTCTGACAGACAACTGTCATGTTTTGCCTTTGCTACCTAAGAATCTTACCAACTTCGTTGAACTCAGGAAACCTGTTCAGTGGCCTAATCTTCTACCTGCGTCCTCAGGCTACACATAACAACCAGTAAAAGTATGTTTTGTCATATTGCTACTTGCCTCTCCAATAGGATCCTCGAAGTGGTATTCCATGAAAACACTCAGGGGACATGGTAGGCTATGGTTGAATAAAATATAACGATACAGGATACAGTTCCTCTAACATTTTTAACTTCTTTAATTAATTCACTTATACAAATTCATTTTTAGCATCCAAGTTCCAATTTTACCAGAGGCCACAGTGAAGCTCAAGTTCTAGTCAACCAAACAAATTAATACCAGACCACTTAAGAATTCAAGGTTTATTTTACTGAGTACTTTATCCACCAATATGTCCTGATGTATAATAATACTCTCAGAATACATACAAAAATCTATTCTTCATATATATTGTCCATATGGACTATAAAGTACTTGGGGTTATTTGATATGTGTTTGAGCATTTTGAGAGGTATCAAATAAATAGCATGTCTCTTTTCTTGAATTCTGAAACTCTTGTGAATTAAAATAATGAATAAGTTAGATGGAGCAAGATGTTTTCTTTAAAATTGTGGAAGCCAATTAAGATTCTAACTATTAACTCCCATCATTAGTCAGAAACACAATCAGTTTCCCCGTATCAGATGCCTTAACTTGAGGAACAAAGAGAACTTTTACTTTGTGAAAGTAATACTACACCCTTCCAAAAGGAAAATTTATGAGAAGCTGATCTAAACATGTAAAATTCATTGTTTTTAATTTACTAATTAGAAAATGTACACTCTGGGGACAGAGTTTTTAAATTCAGCAAACTGTAGGAATGGACTATTTTAAATTTGGCCCTGTTGGCTGTATTGACCCCGAACCTGTAGGAAAATAAATGAAAAAAGATGAAAAATAAATGAGAGAAGCTAAAGATGCTCTCTAGTTCTGGCATATGTGTATTGAGGTTATTTTTTCTATGTATGTTTTCGAATAAAGCAACCATGCCAGCACTCAGGCTGTGTATGAGACCCAGTAAAGATTCATTTATTTATTTTATGTTTTTTGTTTGTTTGTTTTTGAGACAGAGTGTCTGTCGCCCAGGCTGAAGTGCAGTGGTACAATCTTGGCTTACTGCAACTTGTGTCTCCTGGGTCTAAACAATCCTCTTGCCTCAGCCTCCTGAGTAGCTCAGCTAACAAATCCCTGCCACCATGCCTGACTAATTTTTGTATTTTTAGTAGAGATGGGGTTTCACCATGTTGGCCAGCCTGGTCTCGAACTCCTGAACTCAGGTGATCTGCCCTCCTCGGCCTACCAATGTGCTGGGATTGCAGGCTTGAGCCATCGTGCCTGGCCCCAGTAAGGATTTATTAGTGGCTATTAGGTAACTCACAGAAACAACTGGAGGATTAGGCAATGACCAAACTACATAGAAAAACTAGCATGATTACATAACTTACTCTGAGTAAAAAACAATAGATCACCATTCTTACCTCTCAATCCAGGGTAAGCCCAGTCTTTTAAAAGCCTTTTTCTAAACTACAGCCTAGACAAGAATGTGGTTTAATAGAGATAGTTGCATATTTCTTACTAATTTTTGCCATTGCTAAAATAGATTGTAGCAAAGACCATTCATGCATTTACTTTTTTTGTAACTCATTTTTATCAAAATTTGTGCAGTTGTAAAATTTTAACAGAAGAATTTCCAAGTTGAGTGCTCAAAGTGACTATATATGTACACATATACACACTTTCTTTAAAATTAAGATAACATGTGATCCTATATTTTCCTTGTTTATTAAAAAGTGTTTTTCTTGGGTAACTGTAAAAAAAATGAACACATCTGGGCTTTAATGAATAGGTGTTGATTTTTGGAGAAAGAATCAGCATTTCATTGAATATTTTTGACACATTAAGACAATATATAGGCTAGGCATGGTGGCTCACTACTGTAATCCCAGCACCTTGGGAAGCCCAGGTGGGTGGATCGCTTGAGGTCAGGAGTTTGAGACCACTCTGGCCAACATGATGAATCCCCATCTCTACTAAAAATACAAAAAACAATTAGCTGAGCATAGTGGCGTAAGCCTGTAATCCCAGCTACTAGCAAGGCTGAGGCAGGAGAATCGCTTGAACCTGGTAAGCAGAGGCTTCAGTGAGCCGAGATCATGCCACTGCACTCCAGGCTGGGGGACAGAGACTCTGAAAAAAAAAAACAAAATATATACATTTTAATTGAAATTTTTACTAAGAAAATTGTAGATTCATATGCAGTTATAAGAAGTTCAAACTACAACAGAACTCTGTGTATGTTTTATTCAGTTTCCACCAATGAAATACATAAAACCATTGTATATAGATCTCAAAACTGAACTGTGACTATTTTAAGTCAATTTTAAATTGAAGAGTACTTATCATAGAGAATACATAACTTGTTCTAAATAACACAGTGAGCCGTACTGTGCATTCAACCCCAGATCTGTCTATTCACAAAACCCATACTTTTTCTAATGGCACAATTAGAATTTACAAAGATAGTGTATGATAGCCTTGCAACAAGAACTTGATGCACCCCAAGAATACGTCAAGTATTATGTGTCAATACCAACATGGTCAAAAAGGATTTCACACAGTCCTTATGAAATGAGTTAAACAATTGAGGAACAACTTGCCTTCAGATATCAGTTGCTAAAATACCTTAGTTTAGACATTAGAATGCACAAAAATTACCTGGGAAATTTGGAAAAAAGCAAAATTGAAGTAATTCTTTGTTCACAACTACTAAATAGTCTATCGTAAGAGATGATAATTGTTGCTGACCCTTGACCTGTCCTACACCTACAAATCCCTTAAAATCTTTGCATGTAGGAGTGCTTTTCCATCCACATTGCCAGCCGTCTGTCCAGATTGACTAAACTTGGGAGAAAGCAGTGAGCTCTACAAACCAAAACAGAGCTTCCATCTTCATGGTCAGGGGCGAACTGCAAAATCATTGTGGAAAAAAGACAAAATCTTTAATACTGTTTGTATGGGGCTGCTACTGAAAAGCATTTATCTAGGGAATTTTATACAATTCACAAATGTTGATGAAGCTCACACTGGGAGTTAAAGCCAAGTCTTTCGTCCTGAGAATTTCACAACTATCAAGAAAAATACAGTCAATTATATGCTCTTGGGTCTTTTGACATGGCAATGAAATTACTGACCATTCTTGAAAATAATTCACAATCTGGTCAGTCATTGCTCAAGTTTTCAGGGTTTCTTTATTTTCCATAGCTTCAGGATACGTGGGTAAATAGTTGTAGACTTGTCTTTTTGTTAATTAAAGGGCTTTTTTTCTGTTGATAATGGCAAGAAGAAGAAAAAGAAAAAAACATCTCTGGGAATAAAAGTCCCGAAATGACTAACAGAACAGGATGAATGTATACCCAGATAAATTGACATAGAACAATCAACTCTGTGACATATTCTGGAAATTCTTCAGACGTTAAAGATATTAAAAATATCTAAGAAGCCCCTGCGCAAAACCAAACCAAACCAAAACAAAAACATAAGCTGCTTACCAAGGAAAAAAGATAACACTTGTTGGAATTAGGCATCTGAAAAGTAATGAGAAACAAAACAACAAAGAAAACAAAAACAGTGGAGCATCATTCAAGAAACACAAGGAAAGGAAGCTCGAATCCATAATATTATAGCTAGGCAATAAGAAGCTGTAGAAAAATTCTATATATTCGAAAACACTTTCAGTGATGTAAGCATGGAATTTCCTTCAGCAATGTACTAGAGGATGAATTTCATCTAAGAAGTAATTAGGTAAGTACTAGACAAAAGATTGCCAGTAATTTTATTCTAAGACAAAAGCCTCAGAGCCTAGCTGCCATTCAAGTGATTTGGGAGGCTGGGGCAGACTGCATTTGAGCCTGGGCAACAGAGTGAGACCCTGTCTTTGAAATAAATAAATAAATAAAGACAAAAGCAAAGCTGTGACAAGGATGGAAAAAAGCAAAATAAAAATGCCATATATTATGTCAAAAAGTGAGAACAGAAGGAAAATATTAAGTGGGAAAATGGAAAAACTTATTGAATGTCAAATAAGTGGGTCAATCAGTAAGTAAAAGCTTAGCTACAGAGAACAAAAAGGAAATTAGTGAATAGATAAGAGTTAAATCACATGTTTTAAAGCTGAAAACAAACTAATTGAAAGGAAAAAATAAGGATACTATAAAGATGTTAATAAGAAAGTAACTGCTAAAAACAATGAAACTTTTCATTGCTTCTAAAATAAATATCAAAAAATAGCAAAAAAGATATACCACCTAAAGAAAAACCCACCTGTATCTCTTTCTCTATCACACAAACACACACTCACACACACACACACACAATAAATATAAAATAACATGCGTAGCATGTAAAAAATAAAAAGGACCTCAGAAGACTCTCTTGTCTTCTTTTCACCATCTAAGGATACTAAAAGTCACTGCCTGCAACTTGGAAGAGACCCGTCATCAGAACCCAAACATGCACCATGCTGGCACCTAGATCTTGCACTTCTAGCCTCCCAGATTGTAAAAAATAAATGATTGCTGTTAAACCACCCAGTCTATGGTAATTTGTTATAGCAGCCAGAACTAAGACACATGAGAAACGTCTATCTAAAAAAAAAGTGATTCAGAAATGAGAGAGAGGAAGGAAGGAAAGTAAGAGGAAAGGAGAAAGAGAGAGAAAGAGGAGCAACAAGCTGTCAGGCAAATGGAAATACTACTAAGCAGGCAAGTTTGAAGTCTTTCATCAAACAAGGAAGCACTCAGGCCTCAATACATTAGACAATAAAGTTTATTTATGATGCAAAATGATACAATTAACAATCAAAATCTATTAGACATAGATAGCTTCATACTAAGTAACGTACAAACCACCCTTATACTGTAGAACCTAAAGGATACAGAGAGATAAATAGAAAAAAACACTAGGAAAGTTTATCACTCTTTGCAAGTTTTTGTGAAAATAGCTGAAGAGGACAAATAAGTAAGCAAGCATATAGAACATATAATCAATATCAATAAGGTAGATAATATAGAGAAATATCAAATATTACATTCCGATAATAAAGAATATCCCTTTTCAAGAGCAAATGAAACATACATGAAATGTACTGTATATTAAAATGCAGCAAGAAGGCAAATACATTTAACAAGATGGAATTTTTATAAACAATAGTCTCCAATCAGAATGTAATAAAACCAGAAATCAATAACAACATTGAAAAGATTCTTCTCATGGAATTTAATTATTTTATTAGGTTAGGTTTATTGTGGTATAATTAAATACAGTAGAACTGACTTATTTTAGGTATACGTTTTCATGAAATTTTTAAATTTTAATTTTGATATAAGTTAAATTTGATAAAGTCTAATTTATTAAGTTTATCTTCTGTGATTCATGTTTTGCATCCTAACACCTTTTTGCCTAACCAAAAACTGCAAGAGTATTCTTTTCTTTAATACTTGAAGGTCTAACATTTAGGTCTATGAATTCATGTTATTTTTTTAAAGTAATATAATGTATGGGTACAGTGCTATTATTTTTCATACTAACACCCTCATATTTCAGAACCATTCTTACAAAAGTCATCCCATTATTCATTGAATAACCTGGACACATTTGCCAAAAATTAGTTAAAGTAATTATAAGTGTGGGTATATACCTGGTGTGAGTCTCTCTTTGGTTCCTGTCTTTCTTGATCTTAGTTCATGCTTTATAAGCACTAAGACAAAATAGAGTGACACTTTAACACCTTGCTAAGAAATATTTTTAGCTAGATCACTCAGATAAGTTAGTTTTCTACTTTCCACCTTACCATAGGTGACAATATTGCCAAACGTTCTTAATTGTATTTTAAAAATCCCATTTCCAACAGTTTCCGGTAAGATTTTTCATACTTTCTTTAAGCCCTCATCTGCGGTATTCTCAAAGCTTATAAAATTTTCAGCTTCTTCAAGGATCTTGATGCTTTCACATATACTTTCTTCAAACTCTTTTTGGTTTCTAAATCCACTCCAATATTGCAGGATTTGGATTTCTTTGTTTAGGTTTGTGTTTTGCTACCCTAACACCCACTCCCAGGATAAAAATAGCTATTATCTAAAGCTGTGTAAACAAGTGCCTTAAAACATAGTGACTTAAAATAGAAAACACGATTTTTGCATATTGGCAAGTTGAGAGCCAAATCACAAATGAAATCCCATTCACAACTGCTGTAAAAAGAATAAAGTACCTAGGCAGAAAGCTAAATAGGGAGGTGAAAGATCTCTATAAGGAGACTACAAACCACTGCTGCAAGATATCAGAAATGACAAAAACAAATGGAAAAACATTCAATGCTCATGGATAGAAGAATCAATATCATTAAAATGGCCATCCTGCTCAAAGCAATGTATAGATTCAATGCTATTCCTCTGAAACTATCACTGACATTCTTCACAGAAATGGAGAAAACTACTCTAAAATTCATATGGAACAAAAAAAGAGCCCGAATGGCCAAGGCCATTTTATCTACAATTTTACTAAGCCAAAAGAACAAAGCTGGAGGCATCATGCTACCAGACTTCATGTAGTATGGTAGCTACTATAGTACATAGCTACAGTAACCAAAAAATCAGGGTACTGGTACAAAAGCAGACAAATAAACCAATAGAACAGAATAGAGAACCCAGAAATAAGACTGCACACCTACATCTATCTGATCTTCCACAAAGCTGACAAAAACAAGCAGTGGGAAAAGACTCCCTATTCAATAAATGGTGCTGGGATAACTGGCTAGCCATATGCACAAGACTGAAACCGAACCCCTTCCTTACACCATATACAAAAATTAACTCAAGGTGGATTAAAGACTTAAATGTAAAACCCAAAACTATAAAAACCTTGGAAGACAACCTAGGCAATACCATTCAGAACATAGGCATGGGCAAAGATTTTATGAAAAAGATGCCAAAAACCAATTACAACGAAAGCAAAAATTGGCAAATAGAGTCTAATTAAATGAAGGAGCTTCTGCACAGCAAACGAAACTATCATCAGAGTGAACAGACAAACTACAGAATGGGAGAAAATGTTTGCAAATAAATGCATCTGAGAAAGGCGTAATATCCAGCATCTGTAAAACAAATTATTAAACAAATTTACAATAAAAAGCAACCGCATTAAAAAGTGGGCAAAGGACGTGAACAGACTCTTTTCAAAAGTTGACATATATGTGGCCAACAATCACATGAAAAAAAGCTCGATATCACTGATCATTAGAGAAATGCAAATGCAAACTACAGTGAGATACTATCTCACACAAGTCAGAATGGCTACTGTGAAAAAATAAAAAAACGCAGATGTTGGTGAGGTTTTGGAGATAAAAGAATGCTTATACACTGTTGCTGGGGAGTGTAAATTAGTTCAACCATTGTGGAAGACAATGTGGTGACTCCTCAAAGACCTCAAGACAAAAATACCAGTGAACTCAGCAATCCCGTTACTAGGTATATACCCAAAGGAATATAAATCATTCTACTATGAAGACACATGCACGCTTATGTTCACTGCAGTACTATTCATGATAGAAAGGACATAGAATCAACCTAAATGGCCATCAATGATGGACTGGATAAAGAAAATGTGATATATATACACCACAGAATACTATGCGGCCATAAAAAAAGAGTGAGATCATGTCCTTTGCAGGGACATGGATAGAGAGTCACAACATTATCCTTAGCAAACTAACAGGAATAGAAAACTAAATACCTCATGTTCTCACTTATACGTGGGAGCTAAATGATAAGAACACATGGGCACATGGAATGAAAGAACTCATGTTGGGCCTTACCAGAGACTGCAAGGTGAAAGGACGGAGAGGATCAGGAAAAACAACTAATGGGTATTAGGTTTAATACCTGGTTCATGAAATAATCTATAAAACAAACCCCCATGACACAAGTTTACCTATGTAACAAACCTATACTTGTACCCCTGAACTTAAAATAAAAGTTAAAAAAAAGAATACATGACTTATGTAAGATTTCTGTAGGTCAACAATTTAGAAGAAGCTTACCTGAGTAATTTTGGCTCAGAGTCTCACATCTGGCTGCAGCTAAGCTGTTGATCAGGGCTGCAGTCATCTGAAGGGTAGACTAGGACTGGAGGATTAACTTCCAAGTACTCAACGGTACTTGGCACGAAACCTTAGTTTCTTTCCAGGCATATAGGACTCTCCATAGGTCTGACTGGTTAATCTCATGACCAGACAGCTGGCTTCTCACAAAGTGAGTGATCTGAGAGAAATAAAGGGGGACGCCACAGTCCCTTTCATGACTTAGTTTTGGAAGTGATACACTATGACTTCAACCACATTTATTCATTAAAAATAAGTCATTGAATCCAGTCCACACTGAAGGGGAAGAAGTTAAGCTCACTTATTGATAGGTACAGCAGCAAAGAATTTGTGGACACATTTAAGATAACCACAAGGCAGAAGGAATTTTTTATATATACTGGATATATTGAATGCTATGGCAGAGATTTCAGGGGTATAACTGGTTATAGTGTCATGACCATATAAACAAGAGTTAATTAGTTTAGGAGGTGGAAATATTGATGTATAGGGGCTTGGAAATTAGGAGATTTTTGTGGTAAGAAATGTAAATGGACATTAAATAATAAACATTATTTATTTTGATTCAAGTTCTTAAAAAGATTTCAAATCCCTAAGAACATTTCAACTTGTTTGTGTCAGGGAATACTCAGCTTGTGGCCAAGAGGAATACACATTTTCTCTCTTTCTGTATTAGATTTTTCTTAAGCTTAAATGTATTATTGAATAAAAGAGTAAAACACATAGAAAATGATATTTAAGAAACAAAATCACTTGGGATATATAAGGTGTATTTTGATATAAACTGTCTTACACTTCTTCAATAAGTTTCCTATGAACAGTGAAACAAATACAATTATTATGGTTTGAGCAAAGACTGTACAAAGATTATCCATACACAGGGAAAATAATAATGATGATAACACTGAAGATAGCCTAATGTACTGAGCTAAATACTTATTTGTTAAGCACTCTGATAAGCAATTTATATGCATTGCCTCATTTAGTTATCTCCAAAATCACATGAGATTGATGCAACAAGGAAGTAATTATTTTCCTTAGGAGAATTACGTTCTATATTAATATACATGGATATGAATCCAACTTCTCTGAAGTTTGTGGAAGCACTGGGTTTTCTTACTTACATTGCATCTCCTTATTGAAGTGTTAATTGATTCAAGGTCTGCTGATTATGATGATGATGATGATTATTATTATTATTATTATGCATTATCATGCTTTTGCATTCACCAAACCTCCCATGTTTTAAAAACAAACAAACAACATGTTTTCTACAATTTCAGGCAGTTAAAACTGAAACAATTTTGCAAAATTTTTATACAATGAGAGAACAAATTTTGCTTTTCTAGTGCTTGAACTATGTGGTTTATTCATCTCTCTTAATTCATATCTAGTTTTCCCAATATCAGTTAATTTTATTGTTCTTATTATTTTTAATTCATTGACTAAAGCTTAGCTGATTTATCTTCAACAATTCCAGTGAAACTTTAAAAATAATGATTTTTTTCAATTACAGAATATATAGCATATATGAAAAAGTGCATAAACTTTAAAACAGTATTCAAATATAAAGCATGATCAAGGTATTATTCTAGTCCTGCATATTCCTGCATATTCCCCACAAGTGGGGAAATATGTTTTCAATATTATTTTTCTCATGAATGGAAAATATGTATTAATTATAGACTTCAGAAAGTATTTTTAAAAGGTCTCAACAATAAAATATCTACAAATTAACATGGTTAATTTTCTCCAGTAAGTTTCTAGTTATATCCATATCTGAACACATATTTTCAAATATATACATATATGCATTCACATTAATATATAACTATTTTAAAAATAAGATCATACAATGTAAAATTATTTCACTTAAGGTTTTTATCTAAAATATTCCTCTGTACCATTAAATATTTTTTCAGAACACAATTTAAAAACCTGTACAGCATTCTTAAAAACATATATACTGCATTTTATTTTATTATTTTTCTATGGTTGAAATTATAAGTGATGAAACTTGATCACTTTAAACATATTGAAAATATATCTTAAAGGAATTCAAAGTGTTGGTATATGAATGTGGTGGGATGTCTTCTTAATATATTCCTCAAGAGAATTCATCAGCCTTCTTTAAGATTGGTCTTCTGTGTCCCCAAGGTTCTATTTTTCACTTGGAAATGTTTTAATATCTAGCTACCAATTATAATGGCACTATCACAGTACCTGAGGCATTTAATCATACATGATTCTCCCTTCTTTGCCCAACTATATCTGAATTATCTTGGAGAGAAAAAAATCGTTATTCTCCGCATGGTTGCAGTAAAACTGGTGGAAAAAAAAAAGTAATATAAAAGATCAAGAGAAGGGCCCTGCGAATTGCAATAGAAATTGCACCTAGATGTAGGAGATTGGTTTCTACTCCCTGTTGAGCACTCAGATATTTTTGTGCCCTTGGGAAAGTCACTTAAATTTTCTACACCTTTGACTCCTCAGCTGATAATTTATCTTAAATAGTAATTTTTGACTGTGAAATTTTTAAATTTTTCCTTAGAGGAAATAAATGTCTCAATAAATGCAATCTAATTTCCAGGTGATACATCTGAAGTCAGGTAAAAATTATACAAATTAATTCTATATACTTGGCTAACTTTACCACTGAGGCTTTTATAATTAGAGTCTGAGTTACTTGGGATGATTTATCGTCACATGTGGTTAGAGTTCAGAGAATTTTTCTAAATGTTATTTTTCTACAATTAACTTTTTTACCCCTCCATTCACCTCAACACATTTGTTGTAAAGTCTACAATCTTAATATTAGTTTTCATATGAACATTAGATTTCTATTTTTATCTCTAAAACAGTCCATTTTATTGGTGAAAAGTGTATTTAAATTAGAAATTATGTTGGAAAAAAAGTATGTTGTTGTAATATTCAGTCTCATAAGGATGAGATTTTAAAATTGCTTTGGAAAAAAGCATCTCCTAATATCTGATATTTTCCCTTCTCACAAGATATGCTAAGCTTGAAGAGGCTCATTCTGCCAGTGTGTCTTGGAAAAATAAATGGATAAAACTAGCTCAGTTTATCGTGTATGAGCAGTGAAGTGAAAGGGATCCTGTCCTAACAGATATTAAAATATATTAAAAGGCTATAGTACTAAGACTGCTATTGGCCCTGGAAAAAAACTGAAACCAAAGAAACAGAAATCAAAATCTAAAAACCAAAAAAAGTCCAACATTAATAGAAAAAAAATTAAATATTCAAAAGTGAGATTAGGGCACTCATTAGGCATTGCATCTGAAGGTTATATGCTTTCCTTCACAATTTAACCAAAATGAATTTGAGATGAATCAAAGTTAAAACAAGGCTATTTATGTAATTTAAAATAAAACTCCATAATTAGTATAATAAAGTTTAATGTATTTTTATCACAATTACTACCATATAAATTTTTTTAGCAAAACATGAAAAATAAAAATCTGCATAGAAAAAACAGTAAATGTGACAGCAAAAGCCACTGTAACCAAAATGCAAGAAAGAAACAAAAACTGAATAAAGCAACTGCATCACAGTCAGTATCACAGGTAAAGCATTACTTAATATCCTTAACAAATAAGGAGATTTTATAAGTGAATATAAAAATTTTATATGGGATAAGAGGGAAATGACATAGGAATTGGATTAGAAAAAAAAAAACATGTAAAAGACAAATAAACACATGTAATATATTTGACCACACTTGTAAGCTTATATATTTGTCCACATTTGTAAACAAAATTAAGCAAAGAAAAAATAGTTTTGCCTGCAAAGTTTCTGTTATAAATAATGTAACACACTATCATAGATTATGGTGCAGAAGTATAAACTTCCTTTAGCCTCATTTATTGTTAAAAGCTTTCAAAGTTCATGTCTTTCGTTCTAGTAATTCGCTTCCAGCAATTTATCTCAAGCTAAAAATGGACAAGTGTGTAAAGGTGTTGTTAAAAGGATATATTGGAATAACTTATATCAGCGAAAAACCGGAAGCAACTTAAATATCTTTCAATAGGAGACTTATTAAATTAATCATGGTATATTTCTAAAAGGAAAGCTATATTGGTGAAAATAATGGCAATTAATTAATATATTCATTAACAGGCAAAGAAGTATACAATATGTATTTATAGTACTTTTATTTATTGTTTATTTAATGTATTGTCTGCACTTTATTTGTGTGTGTGTGTGTGTGTGTGTGTGTGTGTGTGTATTATTAAAACATTAAAACCCTCTACTCAGTCGGAAAAAAATTCAATATTAGTTCCAGCTCTTAAAAGTCTTTCGGGGAAGTCAGTGGGGTACATCACTGAGAAACAGACGGGTGCTGACAACTCTTTGGTGGAAAAATAAGTTGCAGACTTATACAAGTTGCCCAAATGATTATCAAGCCGAGTTTGTTTTTCAGAAATAGGTTTCAAGAAATTTCAAAGAAGCTATACAAATACTCCCTAACAATACAAAAATTTAACAATAAAGTTTAAATATATAGCAAAAGCCAAATAGGATAATAAACATGAATAATTTATGAAACAAGCCTTTTAATCCTAGAAAACTGAAATGGAGAGACTACACACTTAAGGGTAACATACCTAAAATGAGGACTAATAGCAAATAAAACAACTCTAAATGTTTCCCCAATGACTAAGCCACAAAAAGAGAGCTTAGGAAAATTATCAGCATTTTTTCAACTTGGATGTGTTGTTTAATGCATTTCTCTTTTTCCCTAGCTGATTTGGTTCTACTTGGATAAATCTGGTTATATATATATATACACATATATATATATATACACATATATATACACATATATATTCATATATACACATATATATACATATATACATATATACACATATATATACACATATATACACATATATACATATATATGTGTATATATATACATATAAAATGTTTTTTCTACTCAGTTACTACCATTTTTTTTTCTTTACACCTTTTCCCTAATTTTCTCCAGAAACATTTTTCTTTTGGTTTGAGCAGTTGAACTGACAAGGTTTGGAAACTAGAATGAGTATTAGCTCTTATTGGAATAGCACTTGAGAAATGCAGTCCTAGAAAAGGCCAATTTTGAACTGAAGTGGCTTGACAAAGTTAAGCGTCCATTCTCAATGTGACAGTGACTCCCATGTTACTAACTAGGTCAATGGCTGCTCTTGACTAGATCGCATAGCCCTGCATGATACTGGAATGTTCCGTGGTGAGGTATTGCAGAGTTATGTGCTCAAACACCCAAGCACTTAAGTTTTCAATGAATACAAAGCATCATTTTAATCTATTTTAGCATAAAGGAAACAAAAAATACTGCTGACCTGCTTTGCTTCTTGAACTGGCTTGGAGTGCTGTTCATGACATAG
This sequence comes from Homo sapiens, assembly GCF_000001405.40. Lineage (NCBI taxonomy): Eukaryota > Metazoa > Chordata > Mammalia > Primates > Hominidae > Homo > Homo sapiens. The sequence continues at coordinate 162,323,919 of NC_000004.12, read as the reverse complement.
AAGACACAATAGTTAATGAGTAGCTACTACAAGCTCTTTAGACTTCAGCACTTACTGCTCTCCAGGCCTCAACAATGTTTTGGCAGTAATAATCATATTCTTCATTAACACCACAACTGTCCTGGGACGAACACCCCAAGGAACTGGAATGATGTAATCAGCTTTTTCGTGATTCCTTCAAAATCCACATCTCCAACCAACTTGGGTTTAGCAATTATGGGATCTTGAACTCTATGTATTCTCATGTCAATGATTGCTTCTCCTCCCTTGATATCTGCTGTGATCAGATTTGGAATGCCTGAGGCAGATACTACAATATCTGCAAGAATTATATTTTTCTTCAACTGCTCTATGGGAGTGTACTGATGAGATATTGTAACGTGGCATCACCTCCAGGACTTTCATGTGCCCCATCTGTGTTTAATAACATTAAAATGAGCATCCCAACATTTTTTTTATTTCCCAGCTGCAATCACATTCTTCTCTAGGGCTGGAATGCCAGTTCACTTCATCATTTCCCACATACCCTATGAAGGAGCTGGTAGCATGGAATACTGGTTCCATGAAATACTGGTTCCATGGAATACATAGAGTTCTAGATCCCATAATTGCTAAACCCAAGTTGGTTGGAGATGTGGATTTTGAAGGAATCACGAAAAAGCTGATTACATCACACCCAACATTAAGTACATGAAAGCAATCAACATCCCTGTCTGGAGAAACAGCGTTATGGGTCTTTCTCTCATGGATGTGATCTGGAATAAGCCCCTGAACAAGGAAGCCATCTACATTATCATCATTCTTCAGTTTATTGATTAAATTCAACAATAGCTTCTTTGAAATTGAAGCTGATTTTACAACTGTCTCAATGTCAATTTTTACATCTTCAGCTGTCCTGGTTTTGTTGAGGACATAGGAATGACTTGCAGGATTATTATCGACCAGAACCAGGCTCAGGTGTGGTCCTTTGTTCCCAGAAGCCACTCACTCTTCCACCTGCTGCACTTCCTGTTTGATCGGCTGAGCCATTTTCTTTAAGAAATGACAACAGCTTTCTTTTATTATTATTATTATTATACTTTAAGTTCTAGGGTACATGTGCACAACGTGCAGGTTTATTACATATGTATACATGTGCCATGTTGGTGTGCTGCACCCTTTAACTCGTCGTTTACATTAGGTATTTCTCCTAATGATATCCTTCCCCGCTCCTCCCACCCCACGACAGGCCCCGGTGTGTGATGTTCCCCGCACTTCTCTTGGGTTTATGCAAACATACACATACACACACACACACACACACACACACACACACACACACGATGCATAATAAATATATTTACACATAATCATCCTTGATATATAATAGATATATTTACACATATCCATAAAGAGATATATATATATAGCCTTATATATGTATATATACTGTATATATAAATACTCAGAGAGAAGGACTTAACTTGCACTTAATAAAACGTTTCCTTTGAAAGCAATACACTTAGAGAAAATGGTAGCTGCACATTCAGATAAAAATGATATAGTAATGTTAAGGCATCGGGTTCTGGGAGAAGCCAGTGTTCCAAGTCTTAGTCTTTGCTTCCAAACACATGTTCTCTGTGTTAGGCCAACTTGTGAATTCCTGCGAGGTGGAAGGGAAGATGGCGGAGGTGACAGCTCTGCGCTGCGTGAGCACCAGAGTGGTGGAGGAGGCAGACATTAGAGCAGTTGCTGGGAAACTACTGTCTGTACTTTTAAAAAGCCCAGTTGTATATCCATCTGTTTTCCCCTAAATGACATTGCTAAAAATGCCGCTGTCAGAAACACTCAATTTATACACACACACACACGTATAAAATTATAAACATATCCTGTCATTATTTTTACAATTTAAATAGCTCACATTTTTCTGTGAACAAGTTTCTTTTTTTAAACTTTTATTTTAGATTTAGGGGGTACATGTGACGGTTTGTTACCGAGGTAAACACGTATGTATGGTGGTGATTTGTCGTACATAGCATTTCATCACCCAGGTTTTAAGCCAGTGCTAAAATGATTGGCAAAGAAGCTAGAGAAGGTCATGTTAAAAGGAAGTAATATTAACAAATGTTGTAAATCATAACTTGATATAAAATAACATTACAAAGTATTTTGTTATAAACTAATAAAGTCATTTATATAATTTAATAAAAATATTTACAATTTTCGCTAAAAAGTAACCTTGAAATGTTGATCAATATATTCTGTATTCCTTACATATTTAATATGTAGGCTTATAGATGTTAACTTTTACATACTCCAGTCTGTTAACATGTGGTCCTTGAACTTGAATTAACCCAAGACTCTTCTGATGCTTTTGGAACTAAATATCTCTTAATGTTCACAGTAAGCTACCTTTGTAGTGAATTTCACAGTGTAAATTAGTTAAATGATTGTATATCCATTTTTATGCCTTGTGACATTTCATTAGATCCTGTATGGTGATGTAAAGTTTGTATCTTTAAAAATAGTATTTCTGAAATGAATTTGAAATTCATTACTGCTCAGAAAAGGGAAAAAAATGGTTTGAGTTGGGGTTACTCATTCTCACATTGCTTCACAGCCTTCCTTCACTAATATTGATATTTAAAAATATATTCACACATATCATTGGTTTGCATGTATGTTCCATTATTAAATAGATTCTGATTAGGCTTTGTATATCTAGAAGTTTTTGATATATATTTAAAATATGTTTGATTTATTAACAATTAACTTTGATCATCATAGCAGATTACTGAGTAAGGGTTATAAGATAATTTGATGACAAGAAAAGTGATAAGTGTATGAGTGCATGATTAGAGACATCCAAGGTTGGTTTCTTTCAAGATGCAAAAAGCAAAGTGAGGAAAAAGCCCTAGGAAAACTACATAAAAGAGGCTTTATTTCATTATTATTACTTGTTTTAAAAGTTACCAAATATTATCTAAATCTGCTCTAATTTAAGGTATTTAAATTTTTCAATGGGACTGGAATTACCATGTCCCTTATCTTTCAATATAGTCCTTGTAGATAAAATGGAGCATTAGTGACACTATTTTCAAAGCCACTTTGGTGAATGTTTACAAAACATCGTAATTTACATAGCACAAAGAAGGTTTTCTGCACTTAATGTCTGTCTTTATCTTCTGGATAAACACTTGTCCTCAGATTTAGCTAGATCCCCTGGTAAGTTTCTGATGATCTCAGATATTTTCATTTTATCCACATATCCAGATGAACTTTTTGGTTTTCTTATTTAACAAAATGCTGCCAGGAGCTGCTTTACAGTCATACGACCTGTATAGTCAATTTCACACAACTCTACCTTTGGAATGATCCTACACTTGGTTAAGTGCCTGCTGTTGTTATCCTAAAAATCTTAATTGTTTTGTACATAGGCCTCTGAAGTTCCATTTTTCACTGGGCTCTCAAAATTAAGTAGCCAATCTGGCTTATTCCTATAAGGTATCAAATATAATGAATGATACAGAAAACCGGAATTGTGTTTGTGACTTTTCTAGATTCTGTTTTTAACTTATTATTTTGAAAACATTATTTCAGTAATTTGAATGAGTTCCCCCAAAGTTCATGTGTTGGAAACTCAATCTCCAGCACAACAATGTGGGGTGGTGGGGACTAATGAGAGGGAACTGTTATATTACAGCCAAGTCCTTATGATTAGATTAATGTTGTTATTGCAAGAGCAGTTTAGCTATAGCAAGAGTGGGCTCCTGGTGTCTCTCTCTTTTGCATGTGCTCACTTGTCTTTCCATCTTTCTGCCATGAGATAACACAGCAAGAAGGCCCTCACTAGATGTGACTGCCCAATCTTGGACTTCCCAGTTTTTAGAACCATGAGCCAAGTATACCTCTATCCTTTAGAGGTTATCCAGCCTGTGGCAGTCTTTTGTAGCAACAAAAAATGGACTAAGACAAATATATACTCACAGACGTTTACAAAATTAGTATAGAGAGGTAATGTATAATATTCACCCAACTTCCCCCAGTGATAAAATCACACAACTATAGTGCGATATCAAAACAAAGAAATGGACATTGATACAATCTATAGACATTATCCACATTTTAACAGTTTTTATATACACTCAATTGTGTGTGTGTGTGTAGTTTTATACAATTTTATCACTCAAGATTCATGTGGCCACCAACACAATAAAAATGCAGAACTGTTTAAGCATCAAAAAAGAGCTTCCTTGTACCCTATAAAGGGGTACCTTTATAGGAAGAGGTATTATTTTAAAGACATGACTTCATTTACCAAATCAGAACAACACATTGTGCATTACATCTGACGTTAAGTATGCACTATTTGCTAAAAACCACTTAGTGCTTTCCACACATTAACTTTTTTAATACATGTAAAAACCCTATGAAGTAAATATTATCACTCACATTTAACAGTCAGTATATTGATGAGTGAATTGTCAGAATATGTAAGGTACTGATTCCTTAACAATTGTACTATGCTGACTTTCTAAATAATAAATATATTTCTAAAACTCACTTTTGCTATATATTTATCTTTAAAGTTGTCCAGGTGTTGTGTTAATTTTAAATTATAAGCATTATTTTTCATTATTATTGGTAAAACATTTTCTTATTTATGACCCCTGCTTCCAATCCTACATTATTTAGTAAATGTTTTACCCTAAACCCTCCCAATTTTTAAAATAACATATACTTTTAAATGAGCAATTGTTTTGAAAAATATTAATGTATATAATTAATAATTTTATGAATCCTAAAGATTTTTATAATATTTTAAATTTGTGAAATCAGTTTATGAGACACTAATTTCAGGTTTTGCAGTAAAAATTTAGCCATCCATTTCCAGCAAGTCAAGATTTATGGAAATAACTATAAATCAGGCAATTAAAATGAAGTTTTAAGTTATTAAATATGTTAATTACAGAAAGTATTTTTGCCTTTATTTAAGGACATTAATTTATAATTTAATGTGGAGAAATTAAAACATATAATTTCAAATGTATTACTGCCATTTATTAGAAATACCATATCTAAGTGAATTTCTATTCTTAAAAAAACCATAAAATAAATGATCTCTCATGGGCTAAACTTTAAGTTTCATTATTAGATATTGTTTATGTTATATATGAGCATGTACAACTGATGTACTGTACTATGTATTTGGGTTTAAATATTTCACAAGAACTTTTCAATTAGATGTGTTGTGTGTGTGCAGGAGTGATCTTTTATTTTTATTGTTTCTTTTAGGAAATGATGTATGACAGAATGATCTGGGAGCGCTGGGTTCTAATATTGTTTGCTGTAAAGTAGGGTTGTTTTGCTTGAAATTCTGATTATTACCTATCAATTTTATTCATAATAAATATATATTTTTTGCTATAAATTTGATTTGCTATAAAAAACACTTTAGTTTCTGACTAGAAACTGACTAGAAGCAGTTAATGGTCACCTCTCTCCTGGAAATGAATCAAAACAGCAAGTAAATATTAGCACTTCAAGGAGATCATCTTAAAAAGTACACTGGAATCAATTCGAAAGTGACAAGAACATGGAAAGCAGAGGAAAGCAAAGCCCGGTAGCCTGCTGAGCTGGGATCAGCATGGAGCTGGGAGAGGCTTCCTAATGTGAAGAAGGGGTGAGTGAGGGAGAGACCTCTGGGGTTCCACACTTCCGCCATGGACATTTACAATCCTAGACACAGAGTAGAACCCTTGGACCTCACAGGTCTCCAGACCAACAGATAGCTGCTTGGAGACTATTCAGAGGCACTGCTAGAGCCCTTGTTGAATCCCACAGTAATCTTATTCCTGAGCAGCCTGGTGCCAGCTGCTGCCACCCTGCCAGGGGTGGAGCAAGGAAGCCGGGCACTTTTACGTGCCACAAAAACAGATACTGCAGCCATGGTATGGAAGAGTAGGCAGACTACATACCACACAACGCTCTGCCTCCCCTGCTCCTCACTAAACAGTGTCTGCCCACTTCAGCATCAGGTCCCCAGCATAGCCACCTTGCCCCATGTGACAAGTAGTGCTTTGGGCCAACATTATTCTGAGAGCCCTGCTCCCAGAGGCTGGTGATATACCCTTAGGCTCCCACGGTACCTGCTGCCACTGCTTCTATTGTCCTTGCCAACCCTGGGCCAAGGAGGGAGTTGGTAGGCCAGGTACCTAAGTGTAGCCCTAACAGCACAGTGCATTGCTACTTATGTGTGGGGGAGTGAGTGTGAACAATCCATTTACCTTGCAGCTTCCAGACTCCACAGTTCCAGTTGAGGTGACCCTGGCTTTCCCAATGAAAGGCCTATAATGCAGCCACCTTGCTCCTACCTGACCATTTCAGCTGTGGCCCAAAGCACTTCTCAGAGCCCAGCCCACATAGGCCTGTAATCACCTGAATGTTCTGCCATTCTGCCACCAGCTGAGCATTCTGTCTGCCCCTGCCTGAGAGTTCTGCTGGTGTCTTGAGGAATAGCCCAACCTTACCTATCAAGCCAGTACCTGAATTCTGGGACCCTGAGAACAAGTCCACTAACCTGATATTTGTCTAGTCCCTTCAGGACTTGCACATGCTGTTCAGTTGGCTATCTAGGGGCCTGAGAATTGGAGTATTACCTAGCTCAGTCCAAGGTTGCTTGCACCTGATCAGTCCCTTGGGGCCTAAGGATAGGCCAACCCAATCAGCTGAAATCACCACACCTGACACCCACCTGCACATGCCAGAAGGTAGAGCTTCTGCCCTTCTTTATACAAAGTAGCAGTGTTACTTCATTGGAGAACAGGAAGTCACAAATATCCCTGTACGGGGCTGAGTGAAGAGGTCCTTGTCCCAAAATCGTTTCTGCGGAGTGCCTCAGGGCAGTCATTTCCTATGGCTCTCATCTACACTGTAGCCTGGAAGTAGACAACAGTGTGTGTCTGAACCAAGAGCCAAGAGCCCTGGGACAAGGTTGTGTTATGAAAACAGATCATGTTCCTGACAATCTAGGATGTGGAGCTTGTGCCACCTCAACCTCCACAGAGACCTTAGCACATTTTTTCAGTAGCTTTCCCAGCTGCCCTGTCAGGGTTGGTGGCTGTGCTCATCATTTGGGTATTCATATGCAAACCAGGTGGCCCAGCTCCACAAAACCATCCCCACAACCCCATCACTGAAAATGAAGCTCAGGGCACCAGTCATTCTACTGTCCAGCCTATTATCTGAAACAACAGAGAGCACCTCATGACTAACAAAGACCCAGTATATATTAATCTGCTTTTTCTATAGCTGGCTGTTACCCACAAGCACCACCTACTAGTTTGTAGGCTGAATAGCACAACCCAACATAAAACTGGCCAACAGACATGCATGAGGCTATAGAAGCAAAGTCAAAAGACTCTATCCAATATACTCTACTCTACAGTCACAACTTCATGGAGGGTTGAAATAAAATAAAATAAGAAGGGAGGAACAAAACCAACCACGTGAATGTAAATTCACCAACAAGAAGTGTAAGTCAGATAAAAAGGAACCAGTGTAAGAATTTTTAGCACCATGAAAAATCTGAAAGCTGTGGCCCAACTAAAGGACCACAATAGCTCTCTAATAATGGACTTTAATCATAAAGGAAATTCAGAAATAACTGATAAGGAATTCAAAGTGTGAATTGTAATAAAGATCACTAGGGTTCAGGAGAAGTTTCAAAACCAACACAAAGAAACCACAAAAGCAATTCAGGAAATGAAGAGAGAGAGAGATCTTAAAAACAAACAAACAAAAAGAATTCACTTGAGAAATTTCAAGGTACAGTTGAAAGCTTTAATGATAGACTAGACTGAGCAAGAGAAAGAATTTTAGAGCTTTAAGACGGATCTCTTAAATTAACCTAGTCAGGAAAACAATAAAGAAAAAAGAATTTGAAATAGCAAACAATGCCTTCAAGAAATATGGAATTATATAAAGTAACCAAACCTATGATTTATAGGCATTTCTTGGGGATAAGAAAAAGTAAGACATTTTCAGAACATATGTTAGAGAGTAATGGATGAAGTTTCCTGATATTGCTAGAGATGTAAACATCAGATATAAGAAATTCAGAAAACACCTGAGAGATACTATGTAATATGAACATTACCAAGGATAATAGTCATCAGACTATCTGATATGGTTTGACTGTGTCCCCACCTAAATCTCATCTTGAATTTCCGCATGTTGTAGGAGGGTCCTGGTGGGAGGTAACTGAGTCATGGGGGCAGGTAAGATAAAACAGACTTTAAACCAACAACAATAAAACAAGAAAAGACAAGACCATTATGTAATGACAAAGCATTCAATATAATAAGAAGATTTAACTATTCTAAATGTGTATGAACCCAACACCAGAACACCCGGATTTATACACCAAATACTACTAGACCTGTGAAAACAAATTGATACGAATGTAACAGTGGGAGATTTAAGCACACCACTGACAACACTAAACAGGTCATTGAGGCACAAAATCAACAAAGAAAGCCTAGAATTAAAGTGGGCTATAAAACAAATGGACCTAATAGATATTTAAAGAACATTATACCCCCAAACTGAAGCAAATACATTTTTCTCATCTGTGCATGGAACATTCTCAAAAATTGACCATATGCTTGGCCACAAAGCAAGTTTTAAGAAATTTAAGAAAAAAACTTAATCATGCAGTATCTTCTTGGACCGCAGTGGAATAAATTAGAAATCAACAGCAAGATTAACTGTCAAAACAACACAAGTACATGGAAACTAAACATGTCACACCTCAGCAAACTAGAAAAACAAACAATACCCAAATTTAGAAGCAAACTAGAAAAACCAACAATACCCAAATTTAGAAGCAAAAAAAACAAAGATCAGAGCATAACTAAACAAAATTAAAACAAAAAATGATATAAAGGATGAACAAATGAAACAGAATGTCAAATACTGCACATTCTCATACGTGGGGAATAAACAATGAGTACACATGGACATAAAGATGGAAATAATAGATGTTAAGCATTCCAAAAGAGGGAAGGATGGGAAAGGGATGAGCTGAAAAATTACCTGTTGAGTACCATGTTCAGTATTTGGGTGATGGGTGCACTTGAAGCCCAATCCCCACCAGTATGCAATATACTCATGTAACAAACCTTGTACATGTACCTCCTGAAACTAAAATAGAAGCAAACAAACAAAAAATACTTTCAGAATTAGATAGTTTGTGCTTCTCAAGGTAGTAGGTAAAGTTTATTTAATAGTATATCTTATGTGCTTTCTATTTATATGTACATAAAAATCTGAGACAGTAAAAGTATAGTCTTAAAACATAGCAAGACTAGTAGGACTAGAAAATAGTTAAATGATAAATTGTCATCAAGGAAATATAAAACTGATTCTGAATTTGGTTACGTACCCTAGGAATATGTGAAATTTATTGAATTTTTAGTGCAAAATAATGGGCTTGAGGAAAAAAATCCTAACTTCTGAAAATCCAAAACTCAATGATAAATACGAAAATGACTTTATGACTCTTCAATTCACCTACTAAGAGATGTCCTATTGAGGCCATAATACTCACAATGTATGTACCCCAAAATATACCTTCTATGTTTGTCAGTTTCACTCATTGACAACTCATATTTTAAAATGTGACATTGTAGATGAGTTCTGTAATTCACATGCTATCTCCCGTCACTACTCTAAACAGGAAAATCAGTAGCCAGAAAAATTATCCTAGATATTGTCCAGATTCAGTAGTCACTTCTGATACCAACTAGTCTATACTGAACCTAGGATGTTTGAAACTAAACATCTCTACCTAGGTTTCTTACCTTGTAGTCTTTTGTCAGTTGCTAAAGGCAAAGACAGCTTCCTCCTTTTTCTAGTTTTCTGATATGTTTATTGTCTGTTTGTTGCAACTCTGTATTTTCTAATACAAATCTATTCCTTTTCTATTTGCCAGTGAAACAGTAAATATGTACTAAAAATGTATTTAATAATTAATTTTATTAAAGATCAATTTGTAGAGGATTTATACAACTTTTTTTTATTTTATTAAGAAATTATATAAAGTAAAAGTTGTAGATAATAATATAGTGAGTACCTGCATATTTACCAACCAAGTTAATGTTAAAATATTACAATTATTAGTTGAAGTTTTCTGAATTTTTCTTTCTCTCTCGCAAAGGACATCACAAACATTAATTTAATTTTTATCATAATTATACACATTTTACACTTAGGATTTCCATGCATATGAACTATGTAATATGGAATATTGTTTTGAATGCTTTTGAGATATAAATAAACTATGTCATACTCCACTTATAAGTTTGAAATCTTTCCCACCTGTATGTTAAGGAGAGTTCAATCAAATTAATTGTTTTTTATTGTATAAATATCTCTTTTATTTATTCTTGTTTTGATGAACATATAGGTCATTTTCAAATTTTACCTATTCTGAAATAATTGTTATAACAACAATTTTTGTTCTAGCCTTACATGTAAAAAGCTAGAAATCACCATTGTGTCCTAACAGCAAACAAAAAGTTAAACAAACTGAAAAATCAACAACTCTTCTTCTGTTTGACAGGTAGGGTCACAGGGCAAATGATTGCTTCCAAAATTGGAGAAACCAACAGGCAAATGCTATTTTGTGTTCTATTTCTTCCTTTGTCAGTTTGATAAAGAACTTTTACAGTTTTACGAATTATTTTTAAAGAAAATTATCTACTAGACTGAATGATTTTATGACTGGGCAATAAGTTTATCTTGAACCCTAGTCATATCTGTACTCACCATGGTTTTACAGTAATGGCATCTTTCCTTTCTTAATTTCTATTTATGCTTTTCCTGCTTTTATGTTTTTTCTTGATTAATGACTTAGAAAGCTTATTTTTTTATTTGTTTCCATGAAACGTCTTTTACCTTTGTTGATATTCTGTATTCTATCTAGATCTTAGGATTTACTAATTTATATTCTCAAAAATATATTTTTATGTATTTTATTTATTTGAATTTATCACATTAGAGTTTTACAAATTGATTAAGCTGTATGCTTAGCTTAGTTCATTAAACCTACATATTTTTAAATCTTAGCCTTGAGCACTATGCATTTTACTTTCTGTACCTAACACTTTACTAATCTTACAAATGTTCTGACATTTCATATTCTAAATATCATTCACTTCTGATTATTTTATAAGCTACATCTTTATTACTACTTTGACTCACAAAATATTTAGATGTTTTCAAAGGTCTCAATTATAGAATTTTCTTTTCACTTGTCATATTTTTGTCCTCAAATTCTAATTTAAAGGCATAATTGTAACAAAAATCTCAGTCTAAAAATCTCCAGTTTTAATATATTTTGGGTCCTAGTACATAGTATTTACTAAAGTTGCATGTACTTGAAAAGCTTGTGTATTTTCTAATTTTGTGATTTAAATTTTTATATTTGACTTTTGGGAGATCAATTTTGCTTAATTTTTGTTTTCAAAAATGTCTAAATTTAATTTATATTTTTGCTTATTTGATCTATCACTTAAAGAGAGCAGTGTACTAATATCTTACATTATGAAGGGGAATTTGATTTTTAGCAGTATTCTTTCCTTTGTTACTTTACTTGTTTTGAAACACAAATATTAGTTAACAATATAATTGATTATCATGTAAAGCTTGATATACCTAAAAATGTTCACTTTTCTTTAAATCTATTTTTGCCTAATGTTATCAATTCATGCTCATTTTTGGATTTTGTTTGTTCCCCAGCTAAATCTGTTTTCTTTTTATCTTTTTGTTTGTTTGTTTGTTTGTTTGTTGAGATGGAGTCTCACTCTGTTGCCCAGGCTGGAGTGCAGTGGCATGATCTTGGCTCACTGCAACCTCCAACTCCCGAGTTCAAACAATTCTCCTGCCTCAGCCTCCTGAGTAGCTGGGACTAAAGGCGCCTGCCACCACACTCAGCTAATTTTTGTATTTCTGGTAGAGACGGGTTTTCACCATGTTGGCCAGGATGGTCTCAATCTTCTGAACTCTTGATCCACCCACCTCGGCCTCCCAAAGTGCTAGGATTACAGGCATGAGCCACCGTCCCTGGCCAGTCTTCTTTATATTGATTGAGTGCACCTAGTAAAATGCGTTGCTATTTCTCTCTCTTTTTTAATTTATTCAATTGTAATAATTTTGATCATTAAGACAGACATTTAGACCATTTCTAATATAGTTTGTCTCTTGTTATACTTAGATTTCTTTTGTGCTTTCTGTTTACCTGATTTACCTTTCTGGAAGATACTCATTATCTTTCTGTTAGATTTTACAACTTAAAATATATATAAGATTTCTTTTTTTTTTTTTTTTTTTTGAGACGGAGTCTCGCTCTGTCGCCCAGGCTGGAGTGCAGTGGCGGGATCTCGGCTCACTGCAAGCTCCGCCTCCCGGGTTCACGCCATTCTCCTGCCTCAGCCTCCCAAGTAGCTGGGACTACAGGCGCCCGCCACTACGCCCGGCTAATTTTTTGTATTTTTAGTAGAGACAGGGTTTCACCGTTTTAGCCGGGATGGTCTCCATCTCCTGACCTCGTGATCCGCCCGCCTCGGCCTCCCAAAGTGCTGGGATTACAGGCGTGAGCCACCGCGCCCGGCCAAGATTTCTATACTTAAAAGTTAATCACAATTTTTTTCTTCCATCTGAGTAACATATATACCTTAGAATCATTTAAATGATATCACTCATTGCCATTCAAATGTTAGGGTTTTCCAGTATTGAATTCCAATTTTTTTGAGTAATTTAGTCATTATTATTATCTCACATATTATCTGTGTTCAGTTTTCTTCTTCTAGAACATTCTTTAGAAGTTATTTGAACAAAAATACTATTTGTCCAAGCATGCTTTCAGCCCATTTCTTGTAGCTGAATGATACTTTGGCCAATTCAAAATTCCAATTTGCCAAATTTGCTCAGAACTTTGAAAAACTTTATCTACTCAACTCTAGCTTCAATATTTTCTCTTTAAAAGTTTTCTAAACTGTATAATAGCAATTATTTGTGTGCCTCTAATTTTATTTTAAATATTTTATTTTTTTTGGGTGTTTAGCAGTTTCATTTCAATTTATTTAGATGTGATTTTTTTTCTTTATCATATTTGGAATTTATAAAGGTTCCTAGTATCTGGTGATATATGCCAGTTTTCTCTTGAATATTTCCTACACATTTTGATCTTTTTTTCCCCTAAATTTCCTATTTGTTTCATTTCATATAACTTGTTTAAAGCTCTCTTAAATTTTTCCAATTTGCAATTCCTTTGTTTTCTATTTTGAAAAAAAAAATCTTTTATATCTATTTTCTAACGTATAGGAATAATTAAAAATAATTTCCTTAATTATATCGTCAGTTATATCTAAACAGTTGCTTAATCCCTGCATTCATTTTTTGAATTTCAATGATCAGATGTTTTATAGGTACAGATTATATGTCTTTTTAATACCTATCACTTTATATAGTATTTTACTTTATCATGTTTTATATATTACTAATGTTTAAAATTATTTTTATATATTGATCTTTTTCATCTATAGCCAATATTTTTATTTGTTGGACTTTGACATTTACAATTCAGCTATTTCGTGTTTACTCTGATTCCCTTTCATGGTGGTATGTTTTATTGTTCATTTTGTAATTCAGAACTGTGATATTATATTTTGTTGCTTTAATCTGTGGAAATCCTGTGAGATCCAGTAGAGATGTTTGCTTGCTTCTACCAGGTGATCTAGGGATTAACTGGTTTCTTACTACATTTTTATGTTAATTTTCTAGCTTTTCATTTGATTGATGACATAGACGATATAATTTGTAATCCAAAACCCATTTGATGATAGACTCTGTGATTTTGAATTCTTACTAAGACTTTTTTTTTTTTTCTCACTAAGATCTCAGGTCAAGACAGACTTGCTTTAATTCCACTTCCTTTTTTTTTTTTTTTTTGTAAGCAAGTTTAATTTATATTCCCCTTTCACATACCCAGTAGCTGTTGAGGATCCTAGCTTTGGTTCAAGTGGTTCCAAAGCATTGTCTTCCATACCTGCACGGCCATTACATTTTCCACAAAATCCCCAGGAGGCAGTTAAAATATTGTCAAGGATTCACCTCCATAATTTTAGCAGCTTTTTTATTTTTGATCTCCGGAATTTCACTTCTTTAGATTTCCTACCATCTAAAATAGTGTTTGCCGTATATTTTTAATAGTTTCTGAAGTGTTTGGATACATTCCTAGCTGATACCTGGATCTCTCCTAATGAGTTCACTTGCCTGCCAGCTCGCTCTAGCAGAAATTTTTATTCATTTTAACATACCTTGATTTAGAGCCACAAGAAAAATTTTCATTTATTTTTCCTTTTTAACCTGCTTCCTAATCACTTTTACGACTTCCTATTAAAGCCCTCTGCTTGGAGCCCATCCAACCTTGACAACGTAGCACTATTATTATTAATAATAATATATTCAGTCCCTAATACGAACCTAGGTGAAATTAACCACATTGCACATACTGAGTCACTTAATCCTAGGAAATAATTACTATTATGTTCAATATAATAATAAAAATTCTGAGCTATAGAGTAGGTGATAAAATGAGTAAATGATAAATTTAATATATGAAGCTAGGAGATCTGCCTTCAGAGCCCAACCCCATGATCACTATCCTACGTGATTTACTACTTCACATTCTACATTTTTTGATCTCCGATATTAATTTGATATTTAGCTTTCCAGTTAATCACTTTCCTTTTAAAACCAACTTCTGCCATCATAACATAAATTTCAAAATATACAGGACAACTCATCAAAAACACTAGGATAGCGTCCATTGATATTTTTTCAATAGCTCTAATTTTTACATCTAATTCACTCTATTACATACCTCAAAAATTCTACTCTGGACCTTAGTTGTTTCCTACATTTCTGCTTCTGGAATCATAAACTCTAAACATATTCCGCTATTCTTTTAGTGCTTTCAATATCTCATCCATAACAAACCTCACATTTAAGATCAGAGAAACTTTCACATGCAGAAGACTCATTACCTCTCCTTGCCTCAGTTTCCTCATCTGTAAAGTAATGCTCCTTCTCCAAATATTTTATAACCTAAAAAGGTAGTATGTGTAAAGCTGTAACAATAACCATAGAGAATGCATCTGATTCTGATTAAAGTCCTAAAATGTATTCCATTAAAGTCCTAAAATGCACTCTGATTAAAGTCCTAAAATGCACTAACTTGTCTTTCTCGTACTTTAGCTATGTTTCATATTTCTTCTTTCATTGACTAATTCTGACTGCCATAATTATTTAATTTATATAATTATTTAATTTATATAATTGTAATCATTTACTTTATATAATTTACTTGTTTATATTCTGACATTGCTGGCTCTCAGAGAAGTATCACAGTGTTACTGCCTAAAAAGCAAATTGTACCAAATGGTTAATGAACAGAAAATACTTATTTGTGAAAGTGTTTTTCATACTAGCATGATAGATTTTGTATTTATATGTTCTGTGTTTTACTTACTCTGTAAATTATTTGAGGCTTTGGGTTTAAAATATAACACATTATAATTTCTTCCACTTAAAATAATGTAAATAACATCTGGTTTGTATTTTTTGCAGTACATTTGTTTTCAGGAGCAGAGTATTGATTTTAAAGTATTTGCCTATATTTGAGAAAATACCAGTATGGTAAAGCAAGTCTAGATAATAAAACAAATGCCTTTGTATCTCACTCTTTGTATAATATCAAAAAAAGACAATCATGTTTTTTATAACAAACATTTGGAAATTTGACAAGTATGAAACATTTGCCTGGCATGACGACTGGTTTTTTCCTTGCAATCAAGTCAAATATTTATAGCAAATATACCTTGTAGTTAAAAATAGTTTTAAATTCTTTATGTTCCTAGCATAGAAATACTGTGTAACTTTAGTCCTGTAGTTATTTAAATATTTTTAAGTATTTATCAAATTTGTCAAATTATACTTTTTTCTTGATTTTTTGTGGCATATTACTGACCTATTTAAAAATTTTGACCCATATAATCTGTCAGTTTATACTAATTTTGAAAATAAGGATTATATTTTATAATTCTCAATTACATATAGTGGGAATTATGAGAGTGTTTTGGATAATAGAAGGAATGATCAGAGGATTTAAGTCTGTAACATTGATTTATTCATTTATCATGGAATTTTATTCTTATTTTTATAAAACGATATTAGCTGGAGTGCAGTGGCATGATCTTGGCACACTGCGGCCTTGATCTCCCTGGCTCAGGTGATTCTCCAACCTCAGCCTTCCAGTAGCTAAGATTACAGACACATGCCACAACATCTGGCTAATTTTTCTATTTTTAATGGAGACAGAGTTTTGCTATATTGCCCAGGCTGGTCTCGAACTTCTGGACTTAAGCAATCTGCCCGCCTCAGCCTCCCCAAGTTCTGGGATTACAGGCATGAGCCACTGTTAGCCATTTTTAATCCAAAAGGGAATATCAACATAATGGAAGTTTTGTGCAACATGGAGAAATTGTTTTTATCAATTATCAGGATGCATTTAAATCTACTTGTACTCATACCCCAGTTTCACAGCCTACTGAATATAACAAGTCATAACAGAAATTCAGCACTTCAACTCAAATATCCCTTAGACTACTCTACTGGGGCTAGTAACATCAGCATTCCACCCATCTATTCATTTATTTATTTATCTGTGACTCTGGGAAAACATGATTCTTCACTTTCTAGGGAGTTTTATTTTGTGATATGAGATATACTTAGTTGCATATTTTACTTTTCCCCGAGGAAGAAGCTAGACTGATTAAAATCTTGCCTACAGTAGTCTCAAGAATGTCATTTTTGGTTTGCTTTTCTCACAGTGTTGTGCATATACCTAAAGAAATACTTGGTGATTGATTTTTTTTTATAAAGTGTGGCTTTTTCCCCCATGATTTAAATGCAATAGTTTAACTCTGATTTGTTTCTGTCATAACTTAAAATTGGTCCCCAAGTAATATTTCATTACTGCTGACATTGGTAACAACAATGAAGGTAGGTTCCAAACTTTTTTGTGTTGTTTTTAATTAATACATTAAACCCAAAGTATAGGGAAGTGTATATCCTGTTGCAATACAGTAAACTGTATACAGATCAGAGTTATATAAAACTGCTAAGACTGAGTTTACATATTTCTATACATTTTATCTATTTCCATCAAAGTTAGAACAATTTTAGGCTTCCACTGGTTTTCTGACAATGTGATAAAGTGATATTTAGCCTAACCAGGTCTGTGGTCAGGCAGAGACCCATATTTATAATTACATGTCATTGTTTGTGGCTTATATCTTGTGAGACATCTAATTTGTTTGAAGTCGAATACAATTGCATTCACCTAAAGCATTAATTTTGGATTTTTATCATTTGCAAACCTACATAGTGACCTAGGTGTATAGATATTTCTGACAGCATATAAGCTCACCTGTAATTTCTCTAAGTATGATGGATACAGGTGAAATGGCAAATGCAAAATGTAATGCAAGGTGTTTCTATCAGCCTCAATTCATGTGTAATTACATATGTATGTACTGTAAATTACTGGACTACAAAGTTTTGAAGGGAAGAATTGTTACTGAGTTTTACGTTCCTAGCATCAACTTCTTCAGGGCCCTGTAGACAGTTGTAAGAAAATAATGGTATTTGTTATATATTACAGGACTCATTGCTCTTCACTGGTTCCTTTCTTTAAATTTCACTCAAGGTTTGGTTTATTTTAGAAATTGAGAGAGGGTGTTGTAGAAGATTTTATTTATAGTCACGACTTCATTTACCACCTACACATGAATGACTTTTGTATTTATAACTCCACCCCACATACCTCTTCTGAATAGGATACCTATATAGCCAATGGCTCCATAAACTTATCTCTAGAATATCTCAATGATTCTAGCCACATTCTATGGTTCACCATAGCCAAAACTATACCAATGAATCAGGAACACTGAGAGGGTGCTTCTCACCTCAGTGAAGGTTTGCTTCGCCAACTGTTTTTCAAGCTAGAAACCTTATAATCCTGATGATGGTCTGCTTATCAAATGAGCTGCCCTCATCAAGTCCACTCTATCACATTTATTAATACCTCTGAAATTAATCAACTTCGCTCTCCTTACGGCACCACTGTGCTAGTTCAAAGTTTCATCAAGGCAGATCTCCTCTTAATGCTAATAAACTCCTACCTAGTTTAGGAGGTTACGAAACATATCTTTATGTAACCTCCAAACTAGTTAGGTTACTAAACATATCATTATCTGTTTTAACCAATACCATCATTACACTCAAGCCATAGAGATCTAATGAAAATGTGAATCTGAGCATGTCAATTTTCTTCTTTTAACTCTCAAAGCTTTCTCATGACTTACAGAATAAAAATGCAAACCTTTACCTTTATTCAGAATTCTATATCAGGTGGCCAATTTGGGTTTATTTTCCATATGCTCTCCTTTTTATTTTTTAATTTACAAAAAACTCTTAGAAATTTCTCAAGAATGCTGTGACCACTGCAACTTCAAGTCTTTACAAATATATTCTTTACCTCCATGGCGGTAATGTATAATTTTCCCTTTGGTAATTTTACCCAGCCTTCAGTTCACAGCTCAAGTGTAACATCCTCAAACGGGCCTTCATTAAGCTTAGGACTGAAGCAGGTGCTCTAGTCACATGGCTACATAGTTTCCTATGGCTTTTCTTCATAGCTCTCATCACAGTTTGCAATTTAAACCTGGCATTTTTAAACAACTCTGTTTATTATATGTGGCTTTAAATTTCCTGTGGCCTGGGATTCTATCTGTTGTATCCACCATTGAATTTTTGGCTCCAATTAATTGCCTGGAATCGACAAATATGTGTTCACTGGTAAATATTTTGCCTGAAAAAAATTCTTGAACTGTTATTGGCTTGGAACCTGTTCACAGCTACCTACATGCCACATATCCGTAAAATTAATGACTGGGGTCCTGAAGTTGGCCATGTGGACTCTCAAATGACCTACAAAATGATGATTATTAGATTGTGCCAGGTCAGAATATCATAAAGTGATTTTCTCTTTTCTCTCATATTGTTTCTTCCTAAAATCACTGCTTTATCTCTTTTTATATCAGCATAGAACCATATGTGCTTATACGGTTCTGTAAAAGTTATCATTTTATATCTGATCTATTTCTTCTATTTAATTTTCAAAAGGGAAATATTTTGTTTAAAAAAGAAGAGGGAAAGAAGATGGGGAGTTGAGAAGGAATTTTTTAAATGCACGATACAAGTTTTGTATGCTATTACTTGATTAATATTCTTGTGAGTTATTCTCCTCGATAATCAGATCCCAAACCAATTTTCTACATGAACTACACAGCAAAGGTCATAAGAAATGTCCTCAAAGCTCTACTTCTATCTCACAGTAGTAAAAGAAGGGCAGTGCATTGTGATGCAGATTTGCTGCAATGTTCACCCTAGTTCTCTAGCAGACACTTTCCAATGAATATCATTATCCTGCTCATAAAAAGAAGCACACCTAGTAATGGGTGAAAAACTACCTACAGTAAGATGAAAACCCCTCCCAGCTAGGAAACCCAACCACCTGACATCTGAATGTTTGGAAATTACCAACAGGTGCAAGGAAGCAAGACAATAAGGATATTAAATTACAGTAAGGAACCAGGAAGAGAGAGAGTTTCGTATTACCACTGCAAGATGTTGAACTGAGCTTGGTATTTAACAAATATTATATATTTCAGAGCAATAATAAAATATAGAAGGCTATGGAAATGAGTATACTTTCTAGAAACATTACCAAGAAAAAATCTTAAGGGTATCTCTCTAAACAGAATACAGTGAATGAGGCAGTTTCATATTATTATGGGCTTTCAAAAAAGTATTGAAGTGAAAATGCATGTATTTTATACCATTTGATATATATTAGATATTTTGCTAATTATTTTACTTACTAAGACATTATTCTGATATGAAGTCAAGAGTCTCAGATTCAAGTTTATAAGTGATCCCCAATTAAATATATTTGTATAATCTAATGTATACTAAATAATAAACCTCAAGGATTTTTAACAAGTAACTTTTGACATCGCAAGAAAAATACAATTTAGACTTAAAAATCTAGGATAATATAATGTTCTGAAGGATCTTGGTATCTATTTGACTTTTGAATGAACAATAAACATACAAAAGGCAGAATAACATTGTTTCCATATAATTTCAAGAGGTATATCAAGATGGGCAGTCCGTATGTAATATTTTGTTATTGCCAGCATTCATTAGGTTTCTATCATTACATAAGAATATTAATTTTGAAGTCATTGTCCTTTATTGATTTTTAAGAAATCAGTGATCACTTATTACTTATTTTAAACTGAAACTCTATTCCTGTCTAAAATAATAGTGTATTATTCTGATATTTAAAATGTTACAATCGTTTTGGATGGCGATACCAATTATAAACTCTGGACAAAATGTAAAATAAAACTACTTGAGGGCTCTGAAGATGGAATAAACACCGATTCTGGAGAAGAGTTAAACCTTAAATAAAATCAATCACGTGAATATGTTTCCCGTTTTAAGACACCGGTGACTGGGTGGCCAAAATAACAATAGAATCAAGCTGTATTTCTGACTGGAAGAACCAGAGAAAGGAGCCTGGAGAACCAAGGTCACTAAAATGATCAAGAAACCTTGGAAAGGAGAAAGCGCCAAGGAAGAAACTCCAACAGTTTACCCAGATTGTATGCATGTGTAGGGTAAACAGAAAGCAGTCCGATTTGAGATCTGAGTTCCTACCTACCAAAGGTATGGCAGGATTTTTGCTCTACTGTAGATTTCGCTAGACAAAAACATCAACTTCCTTCAGAAAAACATAAAACAATTCAGAATACCTGCAATGCAACATTCACAAAGTTGAGGATATAATCCCAAATTACCCAACATAAGAAAAGCCAGATAAGTAGAATCATTATCAAGGAAAAAAAAAAAATCAACAGACTTCAAAATGACCTATGTTGATGTTATCCAGATGAGGAATTTAAAGGAGATCCTAGTATTTGTCATCAAGGAAAATGAATTAAATATTGAAAAATATTATCAAAGAAATAGAAACAATTTAAAATATTTTAAAATGGAAAATTTTAAATGGAAAAATGAAATTTCTGAAATAAAATCTTTAGAGCCAGAGTGTAATGGGAGAAAGATATGTCAGACAAAAGTTTCAGTAAGTTTGAACATAGATTATTTGTGATAATATCATCCAATCTAAAAACAAGGGAGAAAAATTAATAAAATCGTTGCAGCCCCTGGAACCTGTGAATATTTTGTCTCCTGTAGGTTTTGATTATTTATTCATTCATTTATCTATAAATAGGCCATTGAAGGGCCAAAAGAGAAAAATGAGAGAATTGAACAAATTAAATGTTTCTATAAACAATTGATGAATATTCCAATATATGAACAAAAACAGACTTACAGATTCAAGAATCTCAAGTCTAAACTGAAATAATTAGGAACACACACACACACCTACACACACATACACACCCCTACACACACACACACACAAACACACACACCCCAAGCACATATGGTTAAACTGCTAAAAACCAACAACTCTTGAAATCAATTGTAGAAAACAATACATGTTAAATATAAAGAAGCAATGATTCTATTGATCTCTGAGTTATCTGAAGAAACTCTGTAGGCCAAAAGAGAGGGAAAAAACATTTGATGATTTTAAAAATATAAATAAAATGGAGGCTGGGAGCGGTGGCTCACGCCTGTAATCCCAGCACTTTGGGAGGCAGAGGCGGGCAGATCACGAGGTCAGGCGATCGAGACCATCCCGGTGAACACAGTGAAACCCCGTCTCTACTAAACATACAAAAAATTAGCCGGGCGCGGTGGCGGGCGACTGTAATCCCAGCTACTCAGAGGCTGAGGCAGGAGAATGGCGTGAACTCGGGAGGCGGAGCTTACAGTGAGCCGAGATCGCGCCACTGCACTCCAGCCTGGGCGGCAGAGCGAGACTCCATCTCAAAAAAATATATAAATAATATATATAAATAATAAATATAAATAAATAAATAAAATGAAATAGGCAAATTCAAATAAAGAATATCCGAGATAACTTCTTGCTACCATACATACACTATGAGTAAAAAGGTTAAACTTCTTGACACTGAATTAATTATACCAGAGAAAAATTATCACCTTCAGGAATGCCTAATGAACATGACAGGTTTTATATATATAACCTGACTATAACCTGAATATATATATAATATATAATATAATATATATAATATAATATATAATATAATATATATAATATAATATATATATAATCTATAATCTATATAATCTTATGAAATGAAACTGTAAATAAGAGCCAAAGCACTCCAGATGAGATGGACTACCTGTCATTGATGAAGCCACCCAAATTTATGGAACAGAACCAAGTGGACATGGGGGTGGCGTGTTGAGACAAGAGTAGTTGAGCAGTTGCATGACCTTTGTTCTCAGAAAGGTAGCTCTGGACAAACTTTCTGCTTTATGTTCCTGGGCCAGAACAGTTCTTGTAACCCAAGCTAAGATAAACCAGGAAGAAATCCCCACTCCCCATAGCAAGTTGTTTGGAAGAAACATCTGACAGCGACTTCTGGTTTGGGACTTGGAAACCACCCAATCAGGGCTCAACTACTGTGACTAATTTGAATCCTTTATTTGCACAAACAGACCTGATTAAGAACAGTGGCAGAAACTTTCTCTATTTAGGCCAGACTCTTTGTACTTTGGAGAGCACACTTTCACTTGTCCTCGCCCTCTTCAATCTGCAGATTTTTTTTTTTATAGAAAATATATCTCTTCCTTTTTCCTCCAAAAACCTCAGAATCTTTTCTTAACAATCCCAATCAGAATAAAACACACTTTTTAAAAAGTGATAAGTAAATTCGAAAATTGATATGGAAACACGTAAACTTACAACTTAAAATCAAGAAAGTAAATTTAGAATAGAAGAACGAAGTTGGAGAAAAAACACTACATATGAGTTTAAGATAGAAAGTTACAGTAATCAAGGCTGTAGGTTCACAGACGTTTTCTGAAAGGAAGCATATAATAAATACTTTAGATTTTGCAGGTCATCTGTACTCTTCACAGTTACTCAACTCTGTCATTGTAGCAGGAAAGCAACATGGACAAATGTATAAACAAATAAGCTTATTTTCTGATACAACTTTATTTACAAAAATTGGCAGCGGACCCAATGTGCTATGGGCCATAGCTTGCTGCTCTTGATTAAGACTGTGGAATTGACAAAAGAATAGACCTAAAAGTTGGTGAAAAATGTACAGACTCCAGAATAGACCCACTCTATATAGTCAGCTAATTTTCAACACAGATGCTAAAGCAATTTATTGGTAAACATTTGGTAGTAATGTCTCTATATAGTTATATTTGCTTTTCCTAAGTAATGGTGTTGAATATCACTTGTCTTTCAAGGACTTTATTGAAATATCTGGTCAGATCTTTTTTTTTTGATGAAAATGTAAAGAGACCGACAAGACAAATATTTGATATAGATGTGGAGCAACTGGAACTCTATGCATTGATGGTGGGAATGTAAACTATTCACTGTTTTAAAAAATGTTTTGGCAATTTCTTAAAATATTAAATAAACACCTACTGTATAAGCTAGCAATTCTACACCTAGCTACTTACCCAAGGGACATAGAAAAGCTCTGAAACAAGCACAATAGGGATGAATGTCAAAACTGTTACACTGACTGAAAGAAGCCAGATGCATATAAATTTCTAGAAAATGTGATGTGATCTATAGTGACAGAAGGACAAACAGTTGCTTATGACTCAGGCTAGAAGGAGGGTGGTTTGTAATGAGAAATAAGGGATTTTTTAGGGGCACAGGACATGTTCTACATCTTGTGTGGTGGTGGTTTTATAGTAGTAAACAAAAATAATATTCCTAACATTTTTCATCTTAAATGGATGTAGCTTCCATAATAAATATATTATTTCCATGCAAATATGGTTTAGGAAGATGGTAATAACGTAATTTGATGCAACATAGATAAACATTTTTGCAGTTATTTCTAAGGTAGTATTTGAAAGAACTCTTGAGTAGCAATCCAACAACTCATAGTGGAATAAAATTTGTTGTTCTAAAATTGTGAGTCTGGACTTTATTGATTTCATTGGTAATAAAGAAGGTCCATTTGTGTAACAGTATGTGTCCAGGAAACAAATTTAGGAAACAAATCACAGTATAGTCTTCCCGTGGTATTCATGGGGGATTGGTTCTAGGACACCTCATGAATACCAAAATCCATGGATCCTCAGTCTCTTATATAAAATAGTGTAGTATTCACATATAACCTATGCACATTCTCCTCTATATTTTAAATCACTTCTAGATTACTTATACTGCCTAATACAATGTATGTGCTATGTAAATAGTTGTTACACTGTATTGTTTAGGAAATAATGGCAAGAGAAATAAAGTTTGTACATGTTTAGTATATATACAACTAACCACATTTTTTTCTGAATACTTTTGACACATAGTTGAATTTATAGATGCAGAACCCAGAAAGAGAGGTGGTTGATTGTAATTTGGAAAAGGAACATTTAATGTAAAGAATATTTAGCTTGTAACAGGAAATTGGACTATTATTAACTAGTAATGTAATTGGTTACGATGACAAAGAAACTCAATACAGCAGTAGCAGTTATACAGAAAGAGCAGTGGGATCTTATAGAACAAGATTTTATAGAACAACAATCTGATGGCAAGAATTTTCTGACCTAGATTGGCAGATAAAGACAACAGAGTATTATGCCAATTGTGTGATTAAAAAACACAGTTCAATTTTATCTTACATGAGAACTTAAATTGTGTGTGTATATATATATATATATATATATATACAATTAGTAGAAACGGGGTTTCACCATGTTGGCCAGGCTGGTCTCGAACTCCTGACCTCGTGAGCCACCCACCCCAGCCTCCCAAAGCGCTGGGATTACAGGCGTGAACTACCGTGCCCGGACAGGATTTTTTTTTTTAATGATGATTATTGCAGGTAAGGCAGAGAGATAGATGGTAAATGAGAGATAAATAAGGGCAATTGCAAACATATCCAAGATTGGTAGAGGTGCAAATAAGAGGAAGGGGGAAAACGGTCTTTAAGAATACATTTTTGACAGTTCTGAAGGAACTGTGGGAGTCAGCTTGAATTGCTCTGGTATTTTGTTAGTTTGTTTTGTGTGTTTTCTCTGATTTGGAAGTAATTATGATTAAAGTCATAGACATTGAGGAGAGAAGTTAGAAAAATTCCCTAGATACGTAAAATGAGGGCCTTATTAAGTTGAGCTAAGAAAACTTTACTTAAGTTTAACCAGTGTATGTCAAAACTTTCAAGTCATTGTGAGCATCCATTATCTTAAATATATAGAGTTAAATATCATAGACCTCTTTTTAGATACTTTTCTCTGGAAAACATACTTCTCCCCTTTTAAAACACATTATCAATATCATAAGTGATATGGAAAAGATGAATGGTTAAAAATCCATGGATAAGTCATAATTGTGTTTTTAGAGAAAAGCATTTCCACATTTATTTCAGTTCCTGTCATATTAAATTGAATTGTTTTTATTTTCAAATTAATACTTTCATACTCCTTGCTAGAGCTAAATACCTTGAGTCTTAGTCAGAAATTGCTCATGGGTGATTTGTTTTATTTTCTTCACTTATTAGTTTGACAGTCAAAGTTTGGAAATTTTATTGTCTTTCATACTTCTTAAACTAATAGTCATCCCTTAGAAAATAATTTTCTCCCACTTTCTGCATATTGGATGGCATGGGACCACTAGGTGGGTCAGAACAAGTGTAATTGAGGCAAGAAAGAAATATTATTGGGTAAGTCTTGCACATATCATGCTGGATAGGTATGTATTCATCTGTGGGCAGTAATTAAATCTAGAAAAATGATTAATGCATTTACTAAACAACTATTTATAGACAGGCATCCATGTATCAGGTATTTTTCTGGATGCTGGGAATAAACAGAAAATGAAATACACAAAAATTTGGGTCCTTATGATGCCACAAAGGTATTTTACTTGTATTGTTTTCTAAATCCAGGTTCACAAGGTAACAGGAAATCAAGAGATTGGGCATAGAAAATCTAAGGGAGTTTTGGGAAATTTAAACCAATTTTATGGAACAAGGGTTTATGCAGGATGGGGCAAAGAAAAATCCAACCCAAACAAATATTACAAGGTAAGAATTACTACTGGGTTAAAAATGCTGGAGCGGGATAAAAGGGAAATGAGTCCTGTTCAAACAAAGAACATGGAACAAAGAATATGGAATGCTCCATAACCTGTGCCTTGGTCTTACTCTCCCTAGGAGGATGATAATTCAGAGTAAAGTGTGGTTTACCATTAAGCTTCCTAGACAATTGAAATGGCTATTTGACCAAAGACAAAATCAACTTGCCATGCTGAAAAGTAGAATAAGATAAGTTATATACACAGTTCTTTTAAGCCAAATTTAAAAAATCAATTATTCTGGACAGTGTCCATTTAAGAGAATAAACTTTTGATTTAATTTTAATAATAATTTTAGAAACTAGTAGAATTTGTCAAATTTATTTTCTCTGTTAAGTTATAAGTGAAAGAGTACTAGCATTTATTTCTGCCTTATGTCAGAGAAGCCTAAATGTACTAAGAAAGCAGATTCATCCCTAAATGACCACAGTTAAAGAAGCTCTGCCTTGGAGGTTTCAAGGTAAGGCAAGATTCACTTTGCCCTTCACATTGTTTCTTTTGTACAAAAATGACATTTTGGTTGGAATTTGTGTTTGACAGCTCTATAATGTAATTTTCCAGAATGTGTTGAAGTGGAACCAAATGTCACTGGCTTCATTCACTATGTTTTCTGCCTGGTGGAATATACCATTACTATTCTATTTATTTTTACAACTGATCAAAAAATGGATTATTTTGATTTGTGAAGTTTTTTACACACAATTTTCCAGAAGATAAAGATCACATATTAGCCCCTATACATGCCCTAGATTGCACATTAATTGACTTTGACCTTTAAGAAAGTGCCTATGTTAATTCCATTTTGGCATTACTTACACTAAGAGTCAATAGGCTGTATATTGGATTAGAGTATGAGTGGACGGTGGGAGAATTCTGTGTAATGATTTAAAGGGTGGTCATGTAAAAGACATCCAGAAATGCTGAGAATTAAAAAGGCATTTTATAATAGAAAACCAACTTGTGGTTTGAGAGTAGAAGTGAAGCTGAGTCAACTATAAGCTCTGAGTCAAAAACACTAGAGTCTTGAACACATTGCTTCTCAGGAAGAGAAGTGGAGATAAGGGCAAAAGTATTAGAGCTATGTTAGAGTATCATACAGACTTGTTTTTTTCTAGGCAGGAAACTATCCCGGAAAATAAATGATATATAGAATTTAAGGTACTGGAATTAAGAGGCCCAGGCCGGGAGCAGTGGCTCACGCCTGTAATCCCAGAATTTTGAGAGGCCATGGTGGGTGTATCACCTGAGGTCAGGAGTTCAAGACCAGCCTGGGCAACATGGTGAAACCTCATCTCTACTAAAAATACAAAGATTAGCTGAGTGCGATGGCGCAAGCTTGTAATCCCAGCTACTCAGGAGGCTGAGGCAGGAGAATCGCTTAAGCCCGGGAGGCAGAGGTTGTAGTGAGCTGAGATTATGCCACTGCACTCCAGCCTGAGTGACAGAGTGAGACTTCATCTCAAAAAAATAAATAAATAAATAAATAAAGCCCAGACAGACAGACATGGAGACTTATTTGTGGTTGTTAATGTTGTTTTTTACCACTAGCTAAATTGAAATTAAAATTTTAAAGTAAGATTGTGCTTAACATTTTTATCATATTAATCAAAGTAACATTTGTGACTCTAGGGAATCCATGGCTGCTTAGAAAGAGGATATTACTAGACATTGTTGTCATTTTTAAATTTTTTAAAAGGACATTTAGCTGCTTATCAATATTCTATTCATAAAAGGAGGAAAATCCACCTCTTAGCATACAAATTGTAATTTTAATCTATCTACTTATCATACTGAATTTGAGAATTGAATGAAAAAATAAAGAAATTTTCTCAGTATAAAAGAAACTTAAAATCATACTGTTTGTGATTTTAAATTTATAAACTTAATTTCTTATTTGCTTTTGTTTTCCACCAATGCTTTTTGGCATGAAGATATTTTATGTCAATAAGAAATCAAGATGCTGAAATGGTAGGTGGGTTATGCAATAAAATGGAAATCAGAACAGCAACATAAAAGGCCATCATATGATATGACTGCTCATTTAACAGAGTGGGAACACAGATATAATGTGTTAGGAAAAAGTGTATTGTGAATCAGGTATGTGGGAAATATCCTGCGGACCCAGACTATACACATTAATTATAACTTTTTTTCCTCTATTTTGCCGCCAGTCTTCAGGAAGCTTAGACAAATGTAAAAAGCTATTCATAGGAAGCCTGTTACAAATGAAGTAAACATAAACTTCTGGGCTCTGGGTCTTTTTAAAGAGAATAAAAAACAAACATTCACTTTCCTTGAGTCAAAGCTGGCTTTGCTCCCTCCTTAAGACTGTTGTGTTATATACGAACTGATATCCCAGCTTGTCCAAACCTGTGAAAGTTATCTGACCTTCCTGCCTTAGCTGTCTCTCCATGGGGCAGCCTCACTCATTTCCAGCAGCTATACCATTTCTGCTTCTTAAAACTGAGTATCTTTGATTGCCACTGGCAGACCAAATTTTTTCAATTTGATTTTTGACTTGGTTATGCTACATCAAATCTACTAGGGCTGTCTTTTCAGTTATCCTGTTATGATCCTATGACTACAGTCTTTCTCAATTGATTAGTTCTCCTTCTTGCATTCTACAACCTAGAGTAATCTAACTTGGCGATATCTTTTATTAATCAACAGTCTACCTCATATCGTTTCTATGAGCATTAAATGAGAATGCAGTTAGGGGCATAGGATATTACCTGGTACCAAGATTTCTATTATAGTTATCTTGGTACCAGGAAATATGTTAATTAACACTCTTCCTGTAACATAAAGTTTTATGCTAGAACTGTCCATAATAAATCTAATGTGTCATATACGTAACTTTAATTTTTGTTAATAATATTAAAAACATGTACATAAGAAGGTGAAATCCATTTAATGATCTATTTTGCTTAACTAAACACAGTATATTCAAAATATAATTATTTCAACATATCAATATGAAAAATATTAATGAGCTATTTTACTTATTATTGCTAAGTCTTCAAATCCACTGTGTTTTTAACACTTACAGACTATCTCAATTCAGAGCAGCATCATTTCAAGTGTTTAATAGCCACATGTGGTTTGAGACTACCATATTAGATAGCACAGCTGCAAAGGTATATGGATCTGAATTTCCTGCTATGACCAAATACTCATTTTTTGAATCAGATCACTAAAATGCTGTATCTTTTCAAATGATTCCTATCACCCTGAGGTGAAAGTGTAAGAATTATATCATTGCATTCAAAGTTTTATATTGACTAACTCCTGTTAATTTCTTGACTCTGATCATCTGTCACTTTCCTTTTTATCTGTATTTCTCCAGGCACACTGCCTTTCTTCCTTCTTTTCAAATACCTTAAATTTTTACCATCTCATGACCTTAACTTGCTATTTCCTCTGTTTAGAATACTCTTTCTTCAGATTTTTCTTTACATAAGTTGCTATTCACATTATTCACATCTTTGCTAAAATGTCCAGTCATTACAGAAGATTTTCACAAATTACTTCATCTGTAATACCAAACATCTCTCAATCCATATCCAATATTCTGTCCTTTCCCACTACTCCCATTAACATTACACTGCACCATTTTTCTTCTTTGTACTGTAATCATCACTGATGTCACATTTTTTAAAAATTATTTTTCTATTTCAGTAGGTTTTTGGGGAACAAGTGGTGTTTGATTATATGAATAAGTTCTTTAGTGGTGATTTCTGAGATTTTGGTGCACTCATCACCCAAAAAGTGTACACTGTATCCCATGCAGTCTTTTATCCCTCACCACCCCCACCCTTTCCCCCAGTCCCCAAAGTCCAACGTATCATTCTTATACTTTTGCATCCTCGTAGCTTAACTCTCACATATGAGTGAGAACATATAAAGTTTGGCTTTCCATTCCTGAGTTACTTCACTTAGAATAATAGTCTCCAATTCCATCCAGGCTGCTGAGAACGCCATTTGTTCATTCCTTTTAATGGCTGAGTCGTATTCCATGGTGTGTGTGTGTGTACATATACACACACATATACATATATGTGTATATGCATGTACACATATATACACATATACATATATGTGTGTATATGTATGTACACATATACACATATGCATATTTACATACATACACATATACATATATGCATATGCACACATATGTGTATATACATATACGCATATGCACGCATATGTGTATATACATATACGCATATGCACGCATATGTGTATATACATATACGCATATGCACACATGTGTATACGTATACACACATGCGTGTGTACATATATACACACATGCTCATATATGCATATACACACATGTGTGTATATACATATATACACATATATACACATATATATGTATATGTGTATATATGTAATAATATTAAAAACATGTACATAAGTAGGTGAAATCCATTTAATGATCTATTTTTCCTAACTAAACATAGTATATGTGTTTATATATACATGTATATATACACATGTATACACATGTGTATAAATACACTTGTGTGTATACATGTGTATATACATATGTATGTGTATATATGTCTCTATACATATACATATATACACATACATATATGATGTGATATACATGTGTATATATACAGTATATGTATACTATATACATACACTGTATATACTGTATGTATACTGTATGCATACATATATACTGTGTATACATACATATATACTGTATGTATACTGTATGCATACATATATACTGTGTATACATACATATATACTGTATGTATACTGTATTATACTGTATACATACACTATATGTACATATACTGTATGTATACAGTATACATACAGTATATGTATACTGTGCACATACATATACATATGTATACAGTATGTGTATATATACATGTATATATACATGTGTATACACATACATGTATGTGTGTACACAGTATATGTATATATACTGTGTATGTACATATATTGTGTATATATACATGTACAGTATATGTACATATACTGTGTATATACATATATGTATATATGCTGTGTATATACATATATGTATATATACTGTGTATATACATATATGTATATATACTGTGTATATACATATATGTATATATACTGTGTATATACATATATGTCCATATACTGTGTATATACATATATGCACATTACTGTGTATATACATATATGTACATATACTGTGTATATACATACATGGATACTGTGTATATATACTATGTATATATACTGTGTATATACATATATGTCCATATACTGTGTATATACATACATGGATATATACTGTGTATATACATATATGTACATATACTGTGTATATACATACGTGGATATATACTGTGTATATACATATATGGATATATACTGTGTATACACATATATACACAGTATATACACATACTTGTATGATGTGATATATATACACATATATGTGTACATATGATGTGATATATATACACATATATGTGTACATATGATGTGATATATGTGTGTATATACGTGATGTGATTATATATGTGATGTGATATGTATGTGTGTATATATATGCTGTGATATATATGTGTGTATATATACACATATATATGATGTGATATATATAAAATATATATGATATATATATCACATT
Organism: Homo sapiens; assembly: GCF_000001405.40. Taxonomy (NCBI): domain Eukaryota; kingdom Metazoa; phylum Chordata; class Mammalia; order Primates; family Hominidae; genus Homo; species Homo sapiens. The sequence continues at coordinate 162,291,823 of NC_000004.12, read as the reverse complement.
TTCACACATACATATATATATCACATTTTCTTTATCCACTCATTGATTGATGGACATTTGGACTGATTCCATATTTTTGCAATTCCAAATTGTCCTACTATAAATATGCATTTGCAAGTATCTTTTTCATATAATGACTTCTTTTCCTCTGGGTCGATATCTAGTAGTGGGATTGTTGGATCAAACCGTGGATCTACTTTTAGTTCTTTAAGGAATCTCCACACTGCTTTCCATAGTGGTTGTACTAGTTTACGTTCCCACCAGCAGTGTAGAAGTGTTCCCTGTTCACTGTATTTCCACCAACATCTATTACTTTTTGATTTTTTGATTATGGTCATTCCCGCAGGCATGAAATGGTATCACATTGTGGTTTTGATTTGCATTTCCCTGACAATTAGTGATGTTGGGCATTTTTCCATAGGCTTGTTGGCCATTTCCACATCTACTTTTGACAATCGTCTATTCCTGTCCTTAGACCACTTTTTGATGGGATTGTTTGTTTTATTTCTTGCTGATTTGAGTTTTTTATAGATTCAGGATATCAGTCCTTTTTCAGATATACAGATTGTGAAGATTTTCTCCCACCCTGTGGATTGTCTCTTAACTCCGCTGACTATTTCTTTTGCTATGCAGAAGCTTTTTAGTTTAATTAAGTCTGATCTATTTATCATTGTTTTTGTTGCATTTGCTTTTGGGTTCTTGGTCATGATGTCTTTGCCTAAGCCAATGTCTAGAAGGGTTTTTCCAATGTAATCTTCTATAATCTTTATGGTTTCAGGCCTTAGATTTAAGTCCTTGATCCATCTTGAGTTGATTGTTGTATAAGGTAAGAGATGAGTATCCCATTTCATTCTCCTACATGTGGCTTGCCCATTATCACAGAACCATTTCGTGAATAGGGTATCCTTTCCCCACTTTATGTTTTTGTTTGCTTTGTCAAATATCATCTGGCTGTAAGTATTTGGCTTTAGTTCTGGGTTCTCTATTCTGTTCCATTGGCCTATGTGCCTATTTCTTATACCAGTACCATCCTATTTTGGTGAATATGGCCTTATAGTATAGTTTGAAGTTGGGTAATGTGATGTCTCCAGATTTGTTCTTTTTGCTTAGTCTTGCTTTGGCTATGTGGTTTATTTTTTTGGTTCCATATTAATTTTAGGATTGTTGTTTCTAGTTCTGTGAAGAACAATGGGGATATTTTGATTGGAATTGCATTAAATTTGTATATTACTTTTGGCAGTATGGTCATTTTAACAATATTGAATCTACCCATCCATGAGCATAGGATGTGTTTCCATTTTTTCGTGTTGTCTATGATTTCTTTCAGCAGTGTTTAGTAGTTTTCCTCGTAGAGGCCTTTCATATCCATGGCTAAGTATATTCCTAAGTATTTTATTTCATTTTTTGCAGCTATTTAAAAAGGGGTTGTGCTCTTTATTTGATTCTCAGTTTGGTAGCTGTTGGTGTAAAACAGAGCTACCGATTCGTGTACATTAATTTTGTGTCCTAAAACTGCAGAATTCATTTACCATTTCTAGCAGCTTTTTGTTTGAGTCTTTGGGGTTTTCTTGGTATACAAAATATCATCAGCAAACAGCAACAGTTTGACTTTCTCTTTACCAATGTAGATGCCCTTTATTTATTTCTCTTGTCTAATTGCTCTGGCTAGGACTTCCAGTACTATTAGTATGTTGAATAGAAGTGATAAAAAGTCATTCCTTGTCTTGTTCCCGTCTCAGGGGGAATGCTTTCAACTTTTCCCTATTCAGTATAATGTTGGCTGTGGGTTTGTCGTAGATAGCTTTTATTATCTTAAGGTATGTCCCTTCTATGCCAATTTTGCTGAGAGTTTTAATCATAGAGGAATGCTGGATTTTGCCAAATGCTTTTTCTGTGTCTCTTGAGATGATCATGTGATTTTTGTTTTTAGTTATGTTTATGTGGTGTATCACATTTATTGACTTGTGTATGTTTTTTTGTGTTTTTTTTTGCTTGTTTATTTTTGAGACGGAGTCTAGCTCTGTCACCCAGGCTGGAGTGCTGTGGCGCGATCTTGGCTCACTGCAAGCTCCACCTCCTGGGTTCACGCCATTCTTCTGCCTCAGCCTCTCCAAGTAGCTGGGACTACAGGCGCCCGCCACCACGCCCGGCTAATTTTTTGTATTTTTAGTAGAGATGGGGTTTCACCATGGTCTCAATCTCCTGACCTCGTGATCCGCCTGCCTCGGCCTCCCAAAGTGCTGGGATTACAAGCGTGAGCCCCCACGCCCAGCTGACTTGTATATGTTTAACCATCCCTGCATCCCTGATATGAAACCCACTTGATCATGGTTGATTATCTTTTTGATATGCTATTGGATTTGGTTTACTAGTATTTTGTTGAGGATTTTTGCATCTATGTTCATCAGGGATACTGGTCTGTAGTTTTCTTTTTTTGTTATGTCCTTCCCTGGTTTTCATATGAGAGTGATACTGGCTTCATAGAATGATATAGGAAGAATTCTCTCTTTTTCTGTCTTCTGGAATGGTGTCAATAGGATTGGTACCAATTCTTCTTTGAATGTCAGATAGAATTCAGCAAATCTGCTTGGTTTTGCACTTTTTTTTTGGTATTTTTTAATTACAATTTCAGTCTCACTGCTTGTTACTGGTCTGTTCAGAGTTTCTATATTTTCCTGGTTTAATCTAAGAGGGTTGTGTATTTCAAGAAATTTATCCATCTCCTCTGTGTTTTCTAGTTTATGTCCATAAAGATGTTCATAGAAGCCTTGAATAATCTTTTGTATCATTGTGGTATCAGTTGTAATATCTCCCATTTTTTTCTAACTAAGCTTATTTGGATCTTCTCTCTTTTCTTGGTTAATCTCACTAATGGTCCATCAATTTTATTTGTTTTTTCAAAGTACTAGCTTTTTGTTTTGTTTATCTTTTGTATTTTTTTTGTTTCAATTTCATTTAGTTCTGCTGTGATCTTCATTATTTCTTTTCTTCTGCTGGGTTTAGGTTTGGATTGTTCTTGTTTTTCCAGTTCCATGAAATGTGGCCTTACATTTCTATTCATGCTCTTTCAGACTTTTTGATGTAGGCATTTATTGCTATGAAGTTTCCTCTTAGTACTGACTTTGCTGTATCCCAGGGGTTTCAGTAGGTTGTTTCACTATTATTGTTCAGTTCAAAGAATTTTTAAACTTTCATCTTGATTTCATTGTTTACCCAATGATCACAGGAGCAGTTATTTAGTTTCCATATATTTGCATGATTTTGAGGGTCCCTTTTGGAGTCGATTTCCAATTTTTTTCCACTGTGGCCTGAGAGAGTACTTAATATTATTTCAATTTACTTAAATTTACTGAGACTTATTTTGTGGACTGTCATATGGTCTTAGAGAATGTTCCATGTGCTGATAAATAGAAGGTATATTCTGCACTTGTTGGGCAGAATGTTCTGTAAATATCTGTTAAGTCCATTTGTTGTAGGATGTAGTTTAAGTTCGTTGTTTCTTTGTTGACTTTCTGTCTTGATGACCTGTTTAGTGCCATCAGTGAAGTATTAAAGTCCCCCACTACTATTGTGTTGCCATCTCTCTCATTTCTTAGGTCTAGTAGTAATTGTTTTATAAATTTGGGGCTCCAGTGTTAGGTGCATCTATATTCTGAATTGTGATATTTTGCTGTTGAACAAGTCCTTTTACCATTATATAATGTACCTCTTTGCCTTTTTGTTAACTGCTTTTGCTTTAAAGTTTGTTTTGTCTGATATAAGAATAGCTACTCCTGTTCGCTTTTGGTGTCTATTTGCAGGGAATATCTTTTTCCACCCATTTACCTTAAGTTTACGTGAGTCCTTAGGTGTTAAGTGAGTATCTTGAAGACAGCAGAAACTTGGTTGGAGAATTCTTATCCATTCTGCCATTCTATATCATTTAAGTGGAACATTTAGGCCATTTGCATTCAATGTTAGCATTGAGATGTGAGGTAGGATTCTATTCATTATGCTATTTTATGCCTGCATACTTTGTTTTATATTTAATTGTGTTATTGTTACATAGGTCCTGTGAGATTTATGCTTTAAAGAGGTTCTATTTTTGGTGTATTTTAAGGATTTGTTTCAAGATTTAGAGCTCTTTTAGCAGTTCTTGTGGTGCTGATGGGTAGTGAGAATTTATCTCAGCATTTGTTTGTCTGGAAAAAACTATCTTTTTCTCATTTATGAAGCTTAGTTTCACTGGATACAAAACTCTTGGCTGATAATTGTTTTGTTTAAGGAAGCTAAAAATAGGACCCAATCCCTTCTAGCTTGTAGAGTTTCTGCTGAGAAATCTGCACTTAATTTGATAGGTTTTCCTTTATAGGTTATCTGATGCTTTTGCCTCACAGTTCTTAAGATTCTTTCCTTCATCTTGACTTTAGATAACCTTATTACTATGTGCCTAAGTGATGATGTTCTTGCAATGAATTTCCCGGGTGTTCTTTAAACTTCTTTTATTTGGTTGTCTAGATGTCTAGCAAGGCCGGGAAAGTCTCCTTTAATTATTTCCTTGAATAAGTTTTCCAGACTTTTCGATTTCTCTTCTTCCTTGGGAACACAAGTTATTCTTAGGTTTGGACATTTAACATAGTCCCAAACTTCTTGGAGGCTTTGTTCATTTTTTTAAATCTACTTTTTCCTTTGTCTTTGACACATTGGGTTAATTCAAAAGCCTTGCCTTTGAGCTCTGAAGTTCTTTCTTCTGCTTGTTCGATTCTATTGCTGAGACTTTTCAGTGCATTTTGCATTTCTCTAAGTGTGTCCTTCATTTTCAGAAGTTGTGATTTTTTTTTTTTGCTAGCTATTTCACTGAAGAATTTTCCTTTCATATCCTGTATCATGTTTTTGATTCCTTTAAGTTGGAATGGAATGGCATTTAATGGAATTTCTTCACATTTCTCTGGTGCCTCCTTGATTAGCTTAATAATCGACCTTCTGAATTCTTTTTCTGGTAATTCAGAGCTTTTTATCTTGGCTTGGATCCATTGCTGGTGAGCTGGTATGATCTTTTGGGGTTGTTAAAGAACCTTGTTTTCTCATATCACCAGAATTGTTTTTCTGGTTCCTTCTCATTTGGGTAGACTAGGTCAGAGGGAAGATCTGGAATTCAAGGGCTGCTGTTCAGGTTCTTTCATCCCATGGGGTGCTCCCTTGATGTGGTGCTTTCCTGCTTCCCCTAGAAATGGAGCTTCCTGAGAGCCAAACTGTAGTGGCTGTTTTTGCTCTTCTGAGTCTAGCCACCCAGCAGAGCTACTGGACTCCTGGCTGGTACTGGGGAGTGTCTGCAAAGAGTCCTGCGATGTGATCTGTCTTGAGATGTTGCAGTTATGGACACCAGCATCTTCTCTGGTGGAGGAAGCAGAGGAATGAAGGGCACTCTGTGAGGGTCCTTGGTTGTGTGTTTGTTCAGTGTACTCGTTTTGTGTTGGTTGGCCTCCAGCCAGAAGGTAGTGTTTTCAAGAACGTATAAGCTGTGGTCCTATAGGCAGGATGCAAACTTGCCCTAGGAATACTTGGTTAAGTATTCAGGTTTCTAAGCCAGTGAACAAGGCCATAGATTTCCTAAGAGATTATGGCTTTTGTCTTCAGCTACCAGGGCAGGTAGAGAAAGACCACCAGATGAGGGCAGGGATAGGTGTGTCTGAGCTCAGCCTCTCTTTGGGCAGGGCTTTCTGCCACTGCTATGGGTGATGGAGGTGTCATTCCCAGTCCAATGGAGTTATATTCCCAGGGGGATTATGGCTGCCTCTGCTGAGTTATACAGGTGGCCAGGGAAGTGGGGGAAAGCTGGCAATCACAGGCCTCACACTGCTTCCAGGCAGCCCACAGTCCTAACGGCCGAACTCACTCCCACCATGCCCTCCCAACAGCACTGAGTTGATTTCCAGGAGCCAGTGACCAGAGCTGAGAACTGGCTCCAGACTACCAGCCTCTCTGTTGAGAAAGCAAGCAAACTCACAGTTTTTTGGCATCTCAGGAAGCCTGCAGTGGTGATCCAGTTCCTTCAAAGGGTCTGTGGATTCTCTTGGCTTTCCTGGTATGTTCTTGTGGTAGTTCTTGGAGCAAAGATGCATGATGTGAGTCTCCGCACACTGCTCTGTCCATCCAAGCGGGAGCTGCAAGCTAGTCCTGCTTCCTATCTTCCATCTTAATCCCTGATTCCACGTTTTTCAGATTAGAATTTACATTCCATAAATAAGATTATCTGTTTTGTTTACTGGTGAATCTCCAGTACCAGGCTTAGCATCTGTCTCACAGTAGGTGCTCAATAATGTTTACAGAGTTGGTGAATGAATTATCGAAACACACACATACACAAACACACTCTCACACAATACATACATATATGTAGACACACATATACATCTTTAAGTAAAACTGTAACCTTTAATAAGTGAGGTATTTATCTGTAATGCAGGTGAATACACACATACACACACACACACAAAACCACACACACGAAAATTACGCACAAATCTGTGGGGTCTGGAAAACTGCCCTAAAAGCACAATGTCCAAAGGTTAAATAAAAAATGAAAATATGCAAAATGTGTAGCTAAATACAAACTAGCTAAATATTAACTTTCTTTCATCACACAATATTATATAGTAGTTTTTAAAAATATGAGTAAGGTTCTTTATCATTTGTACAAAGTGGTAAACAATATTTTTTTCACAGATTATTATAAATATTAGAATTTCTGAATCTGAAATGCTAGAGCATGATCTAGTTTTTAAAGAATACATTTGACTGTATTACATATTAACAACTTTTGATACCAGTGTGCTGATGCAGAGCATTTATTTACTTCTTAGGATTTTGTGTTTTCATTTTCTATTTTTCTTTAAGTGCTCAGTTCATTTTTGAAAAATTTTCGCCGAGTTTGCTGAAGAAATTGTATTTCATCCACATCCATTAAAATAAAACGCCCTCCTGTTGTGGTGTGGATGGTGAGCACTGGATGCCGTTTATTTGCCGTGAGTTTGGATGGCACCCCGGCTGGTGTATAGTGACACTGTGGAGTTTTCCATTTGTTCAGCGGTACGGTGTCCAGAGCCCCAAGAAAACAGCAGAATTTGACTTTCATTCATTCACTCTTTTTTTTTTTGAAACAAGAGTCTCACTTTGTTCCCAGGGCTGGAGTGCAGTGATATGTTCGCAGCTCACTGCAACCTCCGCCTCCCGAGCTCAAGCGATTCTCCTGCCTCAGCATCCTGAATAGCTGGGATTACAGGGGCCCACCACCACACCCAGCTAATTTTTTGTATTTTTACTAGAGACGGGGTTTCACCACGTTAGTTGGGCTGGCCTTGAACTCCTAACTTCGTGATTCGCCCATCTCAGCTTCCCAAAGTGCTGGGATTACAGGCGTGAGCCACCACGCCTGGCCAGAATTCGACTTTCTAAACAATAAACAACATCAATCTTATTCACTTTATTTTCCCTTAAATTATATTGACTGTTGTGATTCCATCAGATTTATACACTCTTTTCTTTCCCTATTTTGCAGCAACAAATTGCAAAGCGCTTTTGTTTTGTTCGTTTTTGTTTTGCTTGGTTAAAGCTTATTGCCACGCTGGTGCGGCTATGGAGACTGTCTGGATGGCTTGGAATGGTTTATTGCTTATGGTAAAATTTGCCTGATTTCTTACAGACAGCTTTTGGAAACCTTTTATTATATAGTTGTTTACATACCTGTAAGTCTATAATTTAAAGACATGTACTTGAAACAAATGTATTTGTTTCATAAGCACCTTCCAGTAATCCACTATACAATTGAAATTAAATATAGAGAATGTTTTAACAATTTTAACTCAAAATTTGTCAAACATTTTTAATAGTTTTTTTTATAAAAAGAAAAAGGAATTTAAGACCAGGCAGTAGTCTCTTTTAAAATTTATTCACAAATCCCTTTACCTGCACTGTTGCTATTAGCTGCCTGTTCTAAAATGATAGTATTTTTATTGAAACACAAATAAACTTTTCTGTAATATTTTATGGAATATGAAGAGACTTTAATTGTCTGACTTGTTTAACTTGGCACTGTTAGTTTTTATTAATAAAATGCGCATGCGCCTTTAAAAAACCAAACAACTTTTATGCTTGAAAGAACACCAATAAGGAAATAAAAATACAAGCCATAAACTGGGAGAAATATTTGCAAGTTATGTATTTGAGAAAATAACTATATCTGGATATTAATAGTAAAAAGATTAATAATACAATTACAAATTGACAAAATATTTGAACCGGCATTTCGCCACAGAAAATATATGTATGTTTGATAAACACTTAAAAAGATGTTTAACATTATTATTCATTAGGGAAATGCACATTATAAGGAAAATCAATTACTATTTCATACCACTCAAATGGCAATAATAAAGAGGACAAACAATAACAGGTGTGGTGAAGAGGGGGAAAAGCTGGAACTCATCCAGTTCTTAAGAATGCAACATGGTGCAGCCATTTTGGGAAAGTATTTGACAGTTTCGTAAAAAGTAAAATATGTTTATCATACCACCCTGTGATCTCACTCCTAGGTATTTGCTCAAGGGAAAAGAAAATATAGTTTTCACAGCCACATACATGCAAATATTTACAGCCACATTGTTGATAATAGCCAAAAGCTGGAAATAATCCACTTGTACATCAACTGGTGAATGCATAAACAAAATGTATGTACTGGGTTGAATAATATCTCCTCAAAAAATCCATCTTCATTTGGAACCTTAGAATGTGATTTCATTTGGAAATTGGGTCTTTGCATATGTAATTACTTAAAATGAAGTCATACTCGATTAAAGTAGGCCCTAATCTAATGACTGGTCTCTTTATAAGAAGAGCAAACACAAGAGACACAGAGACAAACAGGAAGAATACCATGTGATGATGGAGACAGTGATTGGAATGATGCCTTTGCAAGCCAAGAAACGCCCACGGATTACCAGGAACTATAAGAAACTAGGAAGGAGTAAGGAAGGATTTTCCCCTTGGACTATCAAAGAGAGTATGGCTCTTCTGATGCTTAGATTTCAGACATCTAGCTTTCAGAAACTGTGAGAGAATAAAGTTCTGTTTTCTTAAGCCACCAAGTTTTTGGTACATTTTTATGGCAGCCCTAGAAAACTAATAAAATGGAATACAATGGAACACTATTGAGCATAAGAAGGAATAAACTATTGATATATAATAAACCATGGATGAATTTCAAAATATAATGCTAATAGAAGCCAGACGCAAGAGATCATATATTCCATGATTCTATTTACATGAAACATCTGCTGCTAGAGGCAGAAAGAGGATTAGTGTTTTCCTGGGGTTGCCAGTAAGAAGAAGGATTGTCTACAAATGGTCAGCAAAAAGCTCTTTGATGTAATGGAAATGTTTTCCAACTAGATTGTTCTGATGATTGTACAACTCTGTAAATTTACTAATAATTGTTGAATAGTATACTTAAATGAGTAAATTTTATTGTATGTCTATTATACTTTAATAAAATTCTTTTTAATAGAAAGAAGAAAAAAATGATGTTGTGAAGAATGGTGATGGGAGCAATTAAAGTGAAATTCTTGTAGCCCTCAAGAATGCAAACATTAACAATGGATTCAGAAAAAAAAAAGAATATGAACAGCTACACTTTTTATCGTGGACATAGTTCCGGTTTTATTCTTTATCTTTAAAAATATATTTTGTTGGCCAGGCACGGTGGCTCACGCCTGTAACCCCAACACTTTGGGAGGCCGAGGAGGGCAGATCACAAGGTCAGGAGATCGAGACCATCCTGGCTAAGATGGTGAAACCCGGTCTCTACTAAAAATACAAAAGATTAGCTGGGCGTGGTGGCAGGCACCTGTACTCCCAGCTACTTGGGAGGCTGAGGCAGGAGAATCGCTTGAACCCAGGAGGTGGAGCTTGCAGTGAGCCAAGATTGTGCCACTGCACTCAAGCCTGGGTGACAGTGCAAGACTCCATCTAATATATATATATAAAACTATATATATATATATATATATATATATATATATATATATAGTTTTTTATATGCATCCTATAATAGGTGCAATAGATTGGAGAATTATTTAAAAGCAATTACATGTCTGAATCTGCTTATGTGAGCACATAACTCTAATTCCAATGATTTCTAGCCCAGAGGCTTCAGGTTCCCATAGTGCATTGAAAAGAATAATGGATATTCTCAAAGTACTTTCAGTTCAATAAGCACAATAGAAATAACAAGGTTGTTATAAAGGCCACATTTTACACTTTACACTTTACTTTTACATGTATATTTACTTTTGTTTGCAAGTATATTTACTTCATGCTGAGACACATTTTCTTGGTGATCAGAGTTTCCATATGATATATGCTACGATTCATAGAAAACTATTAAATTATTACTTGGCACATGCTATTGTTCAATCAAAGATATGCTTTAGTACCTAATATATAAAAATAATGAAACAGAGCTTATGATGTTAAATAATTTGAAATTAGTTTGTTCTCACATTGCTATAAATAACTACCTGAGACTGGGCAATTTATGAAGAAAAAAGGTTTAATTGACTTGCAGTTCTGCAGGCTATATAGAGAGCACGGCTGGGTAGCCTCAGGAAACTTACAATCACAGCAGAAAGGAAAAGGGGAAGCAAGCACATTTTCACGTGGTGGTAGGAGAGAGAGAGAGCGAAGGGAAGAGTGCTACACACTTTTAAACAACCAGATCTCCTGAGAACTCTATGACAAAAACAGCAAGGGGGAAGTCTGCCCCCATGATTCAATCACCCTTCTGCCAGGCCCCTCCTGCAACACGTGGGGCTTACAATTCAACATGAGATTTGGGTGGGGACACAGAGCCAAACGAGATCAGTAACCATTGGCTCAACTTTTATTTACATATTTTATTTTTCAAGATTTTTCTTATGGAGAAAGAATAAATTTTTTTCATGAGAAACAAAGATCTCCCAGAGATCAAGAGATCTCAGAAGTTATGTGTCATTTCTAGTGAATTTCAATGTAAGGTTTATAATTTTTCTTTAATATAAATATTTGAAGTTGCTTGTTTGTTTGCTTTATTTTGTTTCTTGTATTTGATATCTTCTTAATTTAAACAATCTTCTGTATTCTTCAGAGTGTCAGTTAGTAACCACAAAAGGAATGATGGTTATCTGTAGAGGTTTTGCTTACTCATGATTATACCAAATTTAGGAATGTCACTGAATCATTGATACATATTCACACATTATTTAATACATCAAGTGTGTTGAACATATACAGAAAAAGAAAAGAATTGATGAGCAATAAATACAGTACTGGCAACATACTTGGACCAACAAAATTATAGAAACTGTTTATTAATATATTTTAACTAATAAACATAACTAACAGCATTTATATTTAGTATATATATTTTTAAATGTATGAATGCAAGTAAGGGCCCTGATTAATCTGTATAAATAAAATGATTTATAAGCAATCTAAGCAAGAGTTATATAACAATTTTTTGGATGAAAACTTGCAGGATAAAAAATAAAAATTATATGTTTTCATGTTCAATGTTTTATCTTAAAAATGAAAAGACATTATTTTCAGGTACTACCAAATTACTATTACATATGGTTTTGTGTGGGATTTACATAAAACATGCAAATATAAGGCAGTAAGTTAAACAATATTTAAATATACTTGTGGAAAATATCATGAAATGACTTCTATAGCTTTCAATACAAAGAGAAATCAAGAGAGTATTTTAGCCATTTTTATTATTTTGGACAGAGGCCTTCCATTTATTATATGCTTATTTGCTGGAAAATCTGGAGCATAATAAAATCTGTGACATGTGAGGAGACTGCTCTGAGTGGTAAAAGTAATCACACGTCAAGTCAGCTAGATAAACAGAAAGGGTTTCCTTCAGGTTATCAATGTTAAATATGAAGCATGATTTACATAAAATCTCAATATCCTTTGCCTTTCAGTATTGTCTATATGATATGCAGCTGTTCTTCAAAATAGCTACTTGATTCTTGCTTACTTTTACCAATCATCTTCTTCCAAGGCAATCTATAAATTGGACCCAAATACAAACTTCTCTCTATCAAGGCATGCCCTTCTTCAACTCTACATTTTAGGTATATTAATACACAATACATATGCTGTATTAGGCCAGTGCAGTAAAACCTCGATTCAGTTTTATAAAGATAAATATTGGCCACATAATATTAATGTGCTGGCACTGTATATATAATTATTTTTAGGAAACTCAATTGTACGACAGCATTTTAAGCATTTCAATCAGATTTCATGGTATTAAAATAAACAAACTTCTATTGTTAAAAAAAAAAGTGGTTCCTTAAAAACATAAACACAGAATTACCATATTATTCAGCAATTCCACTTCTGGGCATATAGACAAAAGAATTGAAAACAGGGCTAAAACAGATATTTGTACACCAATGTACGGAGTAGCATTATGCATAATAACCATAAGGTGGAAACAATCCAAATGTCTATTCCCAAATAAAAAGATATACAAAATATGATATGTACCTACAATTGATTATTATTCAGCCTTAGGAAGCAATAAATTTCTAATACATGCTACAACACAGATAAAACTTGAGGACGTTATGATAAGTGAAATAAACAAGACACAAAAAGATGTTATGTGATTCCATTTATATGAGGTACCTAGAAGAGTGAAATTCATAGAGACAGAGAGAACAGTGGTTACCAGTGGCTAGAGGGAGGGAGTGTGAGGAGTTATTGTTTCATGGGTACAGAGTGTTAGTGGGCAATGATGAAAAATTTCTGGACATGTATAGTGGTAATGATTGCACACCAATGAGAATGTACTGCATATCAATGAACCGTATACTTAAAATGGATAAAATGTTACATTGTAAGTTATGAATATTTTACAATAATAAAACTTAATTTGCCAACCTGGGTTTTACTTCCTTTTCACTTCCTGCTTCTTGGATCTTCCCTAGGCTAAAATAAGGGATTTTTAAAAATGGAACTCAAATAGCATGAAGGAGAGGTTGTTTTATTATAGTTAGATGTAGGAAAGATTTAAGCTGGAGGTTTCAAAGATTTTAGATAATCTGTACTGTAACCATGGCTTTGCCCCTTCATTTCCTCCACATGTCTCACACTATCTAGTCTAAGTAGAACACAGAGTGATCCAAATACTACGTTCCAAGCTGGGCATGATAGAAACTGGGGTCTTAAAATAGAACCCAGTCTTGCCACAAAAACTTCATAAGAAAGGCCAAACATTCATTATAATATATATTAGATTACCAAACAATTTTTATAACATTAACAAAGTGATTTTTTAAACTTGTAACTCACATTCTCTTATATTTAAACTTAGAGAATATATGCTGCCAGATATCATGTTTGTAGAATTTTCAATGATTTTTTTAAATTTATGAATTATCTCATAATGCAATTTAATGCTGCAGTAGTGAGGGCTGTTCTGAGCATAATAGCAACACAGTTTGAGAACATTACATACAACAGTTTCTATACACACAGGAAGGCCGTTTTGTAAAACCATTCTATTAATAAAGTACAAATTAGCTACTCAGGAGACTGTGGCAGGAGAATCGGTTGAACCCGGGAGGCGGAGGTTGCGATAAGCTGAGATCGTGCCACTGCACGCCAACCTGGGTGACAGAGTGAGACTCTATCTCAAAAATAAATAAATCAAATAAATAAAATAAAGTAGAAATTAGAGGTCATGTTTTACTTAGTGTAGAAAAATTTAAGGACACTAATATCCATAGAGAAAGAAAAGTTAATAAAACAACTTGGCAATGTGATTATAGTCTATAAGTTGCTGATTTGGTGTGAAGACAGCATCTGTGTCACTTTATTGGGGAGGTCAAGGAGCTGGACTTGTTTTTATACTACCTGGAGAAGAAGGAGGCAAATGACCAGCTGGCATCAAAGAATTTTAAAAAACGCTGTGTGTGTGTGTGTGTGTGTGTGTGTGTGTGTGTGTGTACAGGAATTAGAAAGAAAGAGAGATAGCATATTTCTAATTTTATGAAGTTTGGTGTATTCTATTAAAAAATATCACTTTAAAACACACTATGACTACAGAGTACTTCCAGAAAAGAAAGCAATCATCATTTCATAATATCTAAGGTTTCTTCTCGCTCAAAAAGTCTATAACTTCATGTCTTTTAATTGAACAAGCTTTATTATTACATTCTTATTTGTATAAATACATATATATAAATTACAATAAACTTCGGATTTGAGAATAGCTTTATTAATATAATTTTCTAGGTCACTATGTTAAGTCTCTTTTCAATTAAATTATATCCCCTTCCTCAAACATGGTCAAAAGTATAGCCACTATTTTGAGGAGATTCTCTATAATAATGAAACAAACAAACAAAATACCATAATGAAATGGTTTAAATAAGAAATTTCATTAGACACTGTCAAGGAGACAATGAACTGAAAAAGTTTAAGTAATTAAATAATCATAAATTATAGTTCATGCAAAATAATCATTTGTATACACTTAGATTATGAAAAGTAACTTGAATTTGCATACAATGAAATAATTCATTAAAGTTGGTTATATTTAACTAGAAATAACTCATTTTACAATGCTTACACAGTACCGTATGAAGGCATTCTCTTTCTCACTTATTTTACTACTGTGTGCCTTTTCATTTATTTCAATTTTTGGAAGCCGCAATTTAGAAAATGGTTGAGACACAGTAACGCAGGATCTAAGTAAATTAATTCTAAAGATTGAATTAGTTCTGTATAAAACTCTTACCATTATTCACTGTGTTATAAATCTAAATCCTCTGCATTTCACTTTCTTAATTTTTTTTCTGTTTTTGCTTATTCATGCAAAGGAATAAATAAGCAAAGTTTTTTAAAATAGAGGCAACAATTCATCTATTATTGCTTTATCTTGATCATTGTTCTCCTTCTCCCAATCTCTAGCAATTAATTACAATATAGCATGTTATTTATGTTTTGGAACAAAACATAATAGTAATAAGCTTCATATATTTTAGCTTTATTGTTAAGAACCCAAATGTTAAATAGCAAAAGCAAGCACAACACGTATTCTACAACTGTGTTGTGCAACCCCTTTTCATATGCTTTCTCTTTACACTTGCAAATTGTATAAATGCAGCCATAGGTATTTTGACAGCTAACTAAATGTGAAGATGTGTGATTATATCTCAGTTAACTACTAGTATTTGATGAATAGTAATAGTATATTCTATCATCTAAAATAAGATGAGATTGGTATAATTTGCAATGAAGTACTTTGAATTCTGACACTTACATACCTGATTTCATGATGCTTACAAAAACAATCTAACTGAAATTTCATATATATACACATATATATATATATATATATATACACACACACACTCACATCGGACCCAAATACAAATGTATATATGCATGTATGTATGTACCTATGTATTCATTACTGAATTGAAGGCATGTTTTTATATATCTCATAAAATGCTGGATCTGTGAAAAGTAAATAATGTTAGTTCGGAAATAAATTTGAAGGCCCTGGATTTTTTATTATTTTAGCCTTTGCCTTTTGTGAAATTATTGTAGAAAAAACATATTGTCAGACTTTTAGAATGTCTAGATCGATGAGAAAAATCTATCATTATTGCTCATTCAGTTCAATAATCTTGGGTTAGACACAAGTAATAGTCTAGCCTTGAGTAATAGTCTAGCCTTGAGTAATAGTCTTGAGTAATAGTCTTGAGTAATAGTCTAGCCTTCTGAGTTACAATGGAAGGTGAGATGCATGTGACCCAGGGTGATAGAATATTAAAATATCCCCGAAAATTAGTCCAAATGCAATAGAATATCTTATATTTCCGACAGCCTATACTTTAACTTTGTTCTTACATCTTGCTTTCCCCTATAAGGTTGATCATAAAATATTTAAAGATACAGCTAACATAAGATAATCATACAAAGAAGAGGAGGTGTTTTAAAAAGTGGGGCATCAATCAGGACAGTCACAAATGCATAATATAAATTCAGTATATAAAATGGACCACAGATTTGCCTGTAGGTTTTAGAAATCACAGCAAAATGAGAAACTGAGCAGATTGATAATGCCCAATGACTGTAAAACATAAACCAACTGCTCATTTTAAGGTGAGAAATTATTTTTTTCTCAAAGTTACCTACTAAAAAAGATGCTTTTAATTAGCAATGCCTTTAACAGCAGGATTACAATAAACACTGTCGCTTTTCTTCTAACTTCTCTCAATAAAATGTTGAGATTCATATTTTATTCAATAAAAACGTTTCCAAAGGGCAACCATACATGACGAAATCTGAAACTCTCTGCTAGCCTGGCTAAGTTCTGATGTAGACTTTTAGTTTATGTCCATGAAGCATTTCTTCATAACCAGGACTGTTTTTCAAAAATTTCACATCCTTTAGCCCGCTTTTCTTAGTTTTCTGACCTAACGTTGGTTAAGTCACTCCCAAAAATGCCTTTGGAAAACTGTCCATATGACTTGTTGGTGTCTTCCCACTCTGCCATTTCTCTGGAGAGCAGTGATTGGTCTTGACCAGTCAATGTTCACATTCCATTAGCTAAGAAGGGAGGTGCAGGAACAGGAAAGTTTCCACAGCAAAGCCCATGAGACTCTACGGGCTCTGAGGCAGAAAGAGTATAGGTGTTTTTATTGGAATCTCTTAATGTTTCTCCCAACGCTAATCAATCTTAACACTAAGTAGTAATTTAAAAAGTATTCTACACATTTATTTTATGAGTCTGTATTTTTTTTCCAACAGAAGGGTAGACTTTTCTCCTCTTAAAAATATTCTTTCTGTTCTACACAGTAGCATGTTAAAGACTCTTTATAATGCTATTACAAATGTCTTAAAGTTATTCTTAGAAACTTTAACATTTCTTCTTGTAAATAAGCATTGTGTTAAGCAGCATTCTAAGATGATCACAATTATCTTCTACTTTGTATAATCCCTTCTCACCTCCTGTGTGGAGCATGTGAATATGATGAGTCGTTACCATCATGATTTTATTACATTATATGGCAAAAGAAAGATTAACCCAGGAGAGAAGGCCTGACTGATCAGATGAGCCCTTGAAAAGCAGAGAGTTTTCTCTAGCTGTCACAGAAGGGGAAGTCATACATTTGAAGTATCAGGATTTGGCACTGTGTTGCTGGTTTCAAGATGAAATGGCTCATCAGGTAATGATGAGGAACTGAAAGTGGTTTCTGGCCAAAGGCCAGCAGGAACAGAGGGACTTTCATAAGTCAACTCCAAGGAACTGAACTCTGCCAATAACAGGAATAAGCTTGCACAAGGATCCTGAGCTTTAAATGATAATGGAGACAGCTGACCTCTTGATTTTAGTCTAAGCAGGGAAGCCAGCCATGTTATGCTGGACTAACAAACAGAAGTGTGAACTAATAAGTGGGTGTCATCATTAGCCACAAAGTTTGTGTTAATTTGTTATGCAGCAGTAGAAAACTAACACAGAAATGTCCATTCATTTTATCTTTGAAGAGGCTGTTGTTACTTATTTCCAGGGCCCATTTTTGTGCCCAATTATTTCTCTTAATCACCTCATAATGAGCAAAAACAATTAAATTTCTTTTTCTTTAGATTTTCAGGTACACAAACATACCATCTGCAGATAAGAATGAGTTTGCCACTTGTTCTCACTCACATATGGGAGCTAAAAATATTTGATCCCATGAAGGCGAAGAGTAGAATGATGGTTACCAAAGACTCAGGGGAAAGGGCTGAAGAGAGATTGGTTGGTGTTAAATTAAACATTACAGTTAGATTACACATTAATCTAATGTTAGATTAAAACATACAGTTAGAAGGAATAAGTTACAGCATTCAATATCACAGTAGGGTGACTATAGTTTAAAACATATTGTATATTTCAAAATAGCTAGAAAAAAAGATTCAAAATATTCCCAACACAAAGCAATAACAAATGTTCAAGGTGATAGATATGCTAAATAACAAAGGTTTGATCATTATACATTTTATGCCTATATAAAAATATAATATGTACCCCATAGATATGCACAATTATTATGTAACAGTCAAAATAAAAACTAATGAGTTTGCCTTTTTCATTATTTCCTCCTGTTTGACCATTTTGACTGTTATTACAAAATAATGTTAACTCATAAAAATAATTATAGGCATTCATATTATAGTAAATAACTGTTGTCACCCTATCTATGATAAGCTTTTTTTCTGGAAGGACCTGAAACTGCGTGAGAGCTTTCTCTGGCTGCAGAAATCAGTACAGTCATCGTGCAGAGAAGAACGTAAGTATTGGGGATTGTATTATTTTCCTATTGTTTCTATATCAAAATACTTCAAATGTAGTGGCTTAAACAATACAAATATATTATTTTACACTTACGCAGGTCAGAAGCCTGACACAGTCTAACTGTGCTAAAATCAATGTGCTGGCAGTATTATGTCCCTTTCTGGAGACTATGGGGCTAATCTATTTCCTTGCCTTTCCAGTTTCTGTGGGTTGCCTACATTCCTCAGCTCATGCCCTCTGTGCCTCATCTTCAAATCTAGCAAGAGTGGATTATGTCCTTCTTACATCTCATAACTCTGACCTGACTGTCCTCTTCTGCCTGCCTCTACTACTTCTAAGAATCCTGGTAATTGATTACACTGGACACATCTGCATAATCCAAAATGATCTTCCTAATTTAATGTGATTTAATTTCATCTGCAATTTTAATTCTTTTTCGTGTAATTTAAAATATTCACAGATTAGAGGGTTACGACTTGAGCTTTTTTGGGATTGGTTGTGGGGGGAATTATTCTGCCTAGAAGAGGAATATATCCCAGCCTCCTCACCATTTAGACACACAACTCTAAGGTGTAATTTGCTGTGTTCCATAGAGTACAAGTAGGACTGAGCCTCAGTTGCACTTATTCACGTACTCAGTGTTTTCAGATAAGTGATTAAGATCTGTCTCTTTTTTCCCCTTTATTGGGATTGAAGGATCTGCCCAAGACACTTAGGAAGAGAAGTGCCTTTAGAAGCTAGACTCTTACAAAGAAATTGTAGAACTAGATTACTTACTGACCAAAAGATAATAAGGAACCCATTGCCTTTTATAACTGGGGTGATGATAATCCCTAATATACATAAGCATCATCATTTATTAAGATTTTTGCTTGAGGAGAAGATCAAATACAGAAAATGATGCATTATTTTATGCAGTAGATTGAGAACTTGACAGTTATGGGGGACTGGTAATTATAAGCATTGAGAAATTGTTTGACAGTTGTTAATGGCCAGGTTTTTAAACTTCAAAGGAAGAAAGTAACAGTCTGCAGTCAGCAAACTATCAATCCAGGATGCACTGTGAAAGCTAAAAGACCATGATTGCACTGTTTAAACTGACACTCATCTCCTGGAGGCAGGTGGGAGACTATGATGGAAATCTGGCCCGGGATTTAATAGCGAAAGTTGTGGAATTATAAAGGAAGCTAAAGTCAAATCTCTGGCAAGATTTTCATGCTAACATCCCATAGAAAAAAGGAGAACTCAGAGACCTAGAACTTGTATTTTGTGAAAAGTGCTTGAGAATCTCGAACTCACAAATTCTCTGAATCTTCTGAATTAGCAGAAATAGCTCTTTCCCCCTTGCTAGAGGAAGCCTCTCGTTGCCTGAAGACTATGCAAAGTTTTCATCTGAGAAAGATGCCTTGCATGATTATATTTATCCTCTTCAAGATTTTCCACTGTCTTCCTTATTTCTTCATCAATGAAGAATGAAGCTTCAGCATCATCAGGCCCTAAAGTGCTGTCCCAGTTATAAGAAGAGAAAGCATTTAATAAAGAGCTGAGGAGTGTGGTTAATAGGTACGGACGGGAACTGCAAGATAATGCCTGGGTAAGAATCTTAATGGGACTAGACCAGAGAAGGAAGAATGTAAGACTGGAAGAGAGAAAGTTTATCAATATGGGGCCACTCTCCCATTACTCAAAATTGAACTTATTGGCAAGGCCTGAAGTATCTGGAATAACTATTTGAATTTTGGGAAACATGATGGTTTACAGTAAATGAGTTGGAGCTGCCAGAACAAAATAGGTGGATAATTAGGGGTTCAAATGCCTTTGAGGTGTGTGCATGTGGAGTGAATTTGTTATGTAAGACTAGAGAACCCAGTGGCAGAGAATGATGTTCAAGATGACCCAGAAAGCACTCCTTCACAACAAGACAAGAAATGCACTAGCAAAGGAGGTATTGATATATCTGAGAAACTTAGTGGGGGCAGTCCTCTTGGGCAAAGATTGATGGTAAGATATACAGCCTGAAATGTGTCTACCTAATGTCTACAAAGATACTAGGATTCTGGGAAAGCAGAAGTTACGGGTCAGTATATAAGCTCACTAGGTGTAAGATGAACTTAATAATATAATCAGCAGCAAGACCAGAATGACAATCATGCAGACTTTAACTATAGGCATTACTGACACAAGCTAAGAGACTATGTTGTTTCTTCTAGTGGCAAAATAGATGGGAATTCAATGAAGTTATTGTTTGACATAAACAACCGTAAAAGATGACAGGTGAATGAATGTGAAGAAAGTGAATGAAGAGTGAAGGCTGATGTTTAAACATCATAATAAAAAATCACAATTTATCAAATGTTTTCCAGACTTAAACCATTTTTCAGCCTAGAGTCCATTGATTGAACTGGAACCCAGGTACTTTTGAGGAAATATTAACACAAAAATGTCACATCAAGTATTATAATCACTATTCTTCTAAACTATCCCTCAAAGGGAGATAAGCCTATTTTTAAGAGTAGAAAAATATTGGGAAAGGAAAATATTCAGAACTTTCATGGATTTTTAGATGTAGAATATGCCTTGATATTGTTAACAGAGGGACAAGATAACACAATGCCCCTTCCCTATAAAATCCAGGTGACAGAGTCAATACACACATCTATCTCACCATAGAGCCTATGGGTTTACTGAAACACCTGGTAATTATTCCTCCAGACCCTGATTTTATAATAGGAATATTTATACTTAAAAACAGATTTCTTACATGAGCTCCCTGACCTGTGAACTAAAACCTATCACAATAAAAAAAGGCCAAGTGGAATGGCAAAAACTGCAATTACTTTCTCACCAACATAATATTTGGCCATAGTAGAGACTCTGACCTTCACAGGTCGTTTGACTATGTACCAGAGTTGGCCTTCGTGAGCTGCATATTGTAAGACACACCATTTCATAAAATAGAGTACAAATAGCATCAATTTCTTGCAAAATGGAATTGGGGTATTCAGAATAGAAATCAAGCAGGTTCAAAGACATAATTAAGCTTCAGAAATAAGAAGCCCAGATCCCATGATGCTATCCTGTTGAACAAATGCCTCTATTCTGGTAGTACCTGTTGTGTTTGTAGAATTTCCTACAACCAGAAAAGGAGAAGCCTGAGGTTGGTTCTCAATATGCCAAAGTGAACTGAAAACGATTGCTGTTCCTTTACACCCTTCACTCAGTGTTTGGCCCCAAAAGGCTAAGCATGAGGGAAAACATCTCCAAATCTTTCAGCTACACAGTTGGTCATCATCTTTACAGGGAGAGAGGAGTAGTCTAGAAGAAGTATATGTGTTAACTACTGATTAGGGGGATGTTGCCTTATTAGATTGTCAGGGAACCAAAAGCAAAGAGGTCTGGGAGGATTTTTGAGGATAGACCCATAGAAATTAGCACAAATATAGTAAACTCCTGTGTCACTTATCAGAGTCCATGAGGCATTGCTTTTTCAGCTGTGACAGTAGCTAAGTCAGTTTTCATGCTAGAGAGCCACAGCAAATCCATCACCTTCTGTCAGGACCAGAATCTACTTCTGAGACTTTGATGTGGTACCATTTCTTAGGAGACCAATCAGCTCTTGGTGTGAAGTTAATTTTAATATACCTTGTCTATCACGGAGAAGGCAGGGATTCATCTTTACTGGGATATTCTAGATTTAGCTTTTCCTTTTTGTCTGGCTTAAGCATTCTATGAAACTCTTAGAGTGTCTTATTTAACGACATAAAACGGTATATAAAAACACTTTGAATAAATGGAATAAGACAGAGGAAATGTGACAATTGGCTTATGTCATCTGCATTTCCATATATATATGTATATGTGTATGTATATGTATATAATTTCAACTTCTAGATTCAGTGGGTACATGTGCAGGATGGTTACCTGGGTATCTTGCATGATGCTGAGTTTTGGGGTATGATTGATCCCATCACAGGTACTGAGTATAGTACCCAATAGTTTTTCAATGGTATCATTGCTGGCCCCCAACCTCACTAGCAGTCCCCAGTTTCTATTATTTCCATCTTTACGTTCATGAGTACCCAGTGTTTAGCTCCCAATTATAAGTGAGAACATGCGGCATTTGGTGTTCTATTCCTGTGTCAATTCACTTAGGATAATGGCCTCCAGCTGCATCCATGTTGATGGATTATTTCATTATTTTTTTTATGGCTACATAGTGGCCCACGGTGTATATATACCACATTTTCTTTATCCCGTCCACCAGTGATGGGTGCCTACATTTATTCTGTATCTTTGCTATTGTAAAGAGTTCTGCAATGAATATGCAAGTGCACATGTCTTTTTGGCAGAAAAACTTATTTTCTTTTGCATATATACCCAGAAATGGGATTGCTGCATTGAATGATAGTTCTGTTTTAGGTTCTTTGAGAAATCTTCAAACCGCTTTCCACAGTGACTAAACTAATTTACATTTCCACC
The DNA here is from genome assembly GCF_000001405.40 of Homo sapiens. Classification (NCBI taxonomy): domain Eukaryota; kingdom Metazoa; phylum Chordata; class Mammalia; order Primates; family Hominidae; genus Homo; species Homo sapiens. The sequence goes on along the minus strand of NC_000004.12, from coordinate 162,268,965 downwards.
AACAGTGTATGGTCATTCCCTTTTCTCCATACACTCGCCAGCACCTGTTGTTTTTTTCCTTTTTATAACAGCCATTCTGACTGGTGTGAGATGACATCTCATTGTGGTTTTGATTTGCCTCTCTCTGATAACTAGTAATGCTGAGCATTTTCCTCATATGTTTACTGGCTACTTGTATGACTTTTTAAATTTAATTTAAGTTCTGGGGTACATGTGCAGGATGCGCAGATTTATTACATAGGTAAATGTGTGCCATGGTAGTTTGCTGCACCTATCAGCCAATCACCTAGGTATTAAGCTTGGCACGCATTGGCTATTTTTCCTGATGCTCTCTCCCCTGCCCCCATTCTCCCCCGACAGGCTCTAGTATGTGTTGTTCCCCTCCCTGTGTGTATGTGTTTTCGTTGTTCAACTTCTGCTTATAAGTGAGAACATGCCGTGTTTGGTTTTCTGTTTTCATGTTAGCTTGCTGAGGATAATGGCTTCCAGCATCATCCATGGACTTTTTAACGAGAATTGTTTTTTCCCATTTATGAGGGGTTATTGTTTTTTTCTTGTTTAATTGTTTAGGTTTCTTATAATTTCTAGATATTAGACCTTTTTTGGATGCATGGTTTGTGAATATTTTCTCCCATTTTAGAAAAGTTTCTTCTAATTCTGTGAAAATTACATTGGTATTTTGATAGGGATTGCACTAAATCTGTAGATTGGGCATTATGGACCTTTTAATGACATTGATTCTTCCCATCCATGAGCAGGAAATATTTTTTTCATTTGTTTGTGTCATCTCTTATTTCTTTCAGCAATGTTCCATATTTCTCCTTTAAAGATCTTTCACATCCTTGGTTAGATATATTTCTAATATTTTATTTTTGTAACTATTGTGAATGGGATTGCATTCTTGATTTTATTCTCAGCTTGAATGTTATTGGTGTATAGAAAGATAAACAAGACCAATAAATTAACAAAGAAAACAAAGAAAGAAAATCCAAATAAGCATAATCAGAAATGACGAAGATGACATTACAACCAATTTCACAGACATACAAAAGGTCCTCAGAAATAACTGTGAACCTTCTATGTACACAAACTAGAAAATCTAGAAGAATTGAATAAATTCCTGGAAACATATAATCTTCCAAGATTGAATAAGGAATAAAGTGAAACTGAGCAGACCAATATCAAGTTCAAAAACTGAAACAGTAATAGAAAACCTACCAACCAAAGAGGGCCCTAGACCAGACTAATTCACAGCCAAATTATATAAAAGGTACAAGGAAGAGCTGGTACCAATTCTACTGAAACTATTCCAAAAATCAAGGAGGGACTACTCCCTATCTTGTTCTAAGGAACCTGTGTTACCCTGATACAAAACCTGGCAATGACACAATAAAGAAAGAAAACTATAGGCCAATATTCTTTATGAGCATCAGCAAAATACTAGTAAACAAAATCCCATAATACATCAAAAAGATAATTCACTATGATTAAGTAAGCTTTATTCCTGGGATGCAAGGTTTGTTCAACATACACAGATCAATAAATGTGATTCATCACATAAATAGAATTAATAACAAAACCATATGATCATCTCGATATATAAAGAAAAAGCTTTCAATAAAACCCAACATCTCTTCATGATAAAGAAAAGTCAACAAACTAGGCATTGAAGGAGCATAATTCAGAATAATAAAAACCTTCTATGACAAACCCATAGCCAACATCATACTCAACAGGCAAAATCTGAAAACATTCTCCTTGAGAACTGGAACAAGACAAGAATGCTCACTCTCACCACTTCTATTCAAGGTAGTACTGGAAGTGCTAGCCAGGGAAGGAAAAGAAATAAAAAGTAAACAAATAGAACAAAAGAAGTCAAACTATCTCTCTTTACATACAATATAATTTTATATATAGGAAACCCTAAGGATTTCACCAAAAGGCAGGTGGAACTGAGAAACAACTTCAGCAAAGGTTAAGAATATAAAATCAATGTACAAAAATTATTTTTTCATTTAAGTAGACTATAATTTGCTTCATCTGGAAGATGAAAGCCTGAAAAACATTCTAATGGACACTTAAAGGGGCGAGCTTGATGCACAAGCTTGGGGATGACACTTTGCATGATTCAGAAGGTATATATGTGTGTGTATATATATACATATATATGTGTATATATATGTGTATATGTGTGTGTGTATATATATATATATATATATATAGAGAGAGAGAGAGAGAGAGAGAGAGAGAGAGAGAGAGAGACAATGTCTAGTATATGGTGCTATGACTCCACCAACTAAAATATACTTGTCCAGAAAAAAAAAAAAAAGGTAGAATTTGGTGTGGCTCTATTAAACATTAATCTCAATAACCCACTTAGACAATTTGTACTAGAATCAAGTTTATTGAATTATATGTTCTGGATCTTGGAGCGGGGATTAGGAGCTGGGGTACAGAAACTTCAACCCTGCAACAGCAGTTGTTGCAGAAGGATGGGGTAGAAGGTTGGGGGAGAGTGGTAGAAGCTTTCATTCCAAAAGAAAGGAGTATTTTATTACTGATATTGCTTAGAAATGCTGGTACATTTTGATAATAAAAGTAGTAAATGTAAATAGCTTATTATTGTTTTTTAATTCTATACAATGCACTCTCTTATTGCCCGAACCCAGAAATAAACAAGAGCACTCTACATCCTTCACCTTGGTGCACCATTTGTTAGCAGTAAAGTTTCCACCAAATCTAAAGCTAGGATTACCACCTGATCATTTTGCAGTTTTTATGCTTGTGGACCAGCAAGGATTGAAACCTGTCACTGTAAAGGCAGGTAAAAACCAAATGTGAGTTTCATAAGGAAATAGGTAATGAGCTCATAATGGGAGCAGAAGAGTTAACTCTAAAATTCAGGGCATTCGCTAAGTACATGCCTCCTGGTGTTTTGTGTTCAAGAATAATCATTAACAGGCAAATGCAGCAGCCACATCCTGACAAGCAAACAATAGCCACAGGCCAAATTCCTCAGGGATAGAATTTTGGGTTACTTACATGAGAAGACCAATCTATACTAGAAAAAGTAGTGGTGTGACTGGAAATCTAAAATGTGTTGTAGAGAAGGGAGGATGTTTATAAATGCTGGTTTTTGGAAACAACTAGATCAATGGTGTCTATAGCTGTACCTTTTATCTCTAATTCTTCTTTTGTAAGTCTTCTTTTTTCTTTTTCAACTTTTATTTTAGATTCAGAATGTAATGGTGCATGTTTGTTACCTGGGTATATTGCATGATGCTGAGATTTGGGGTATGAATGATCCCAGCACCCAGGCCCTGAGCATAGTGTCCAACAATTTGTATTCAACCATTGGCCCCTCCTTTCCTCAACCCCAGTAGTCTCCAGTGCCTATTATTGCCATCTTTATGTTCACAAGTACACAATATTTAGCTTCCATTTATAAGTGAGAATTTGCAGTATTTAGCTTTCTGTTCCTGCATCAATTCACTTAGAATAATGGCCTCCAGCTGCATCCATGTTGCTGCAAAGGGCATGATTTTGTTATTTCTTATGGCTGCATAGTGCTCTATGGTGTATATGTACCACATTTTCTTTATCTAATTCATCTTTGATGGGCAATTAGATTGATTCCATGTCTTTGCTACTGTGAATAGTGCTGCAATGAACATGTAGGTGCATATGTCTTTTCGGTAGAATGATTTATTTTCTTTTGGATATATACCCAAGAATAGGATTTCTAGGTCAGTTGGTACTTCTGTTTTAGGTTCTTTGAGATACCTCCAACTGCTTTGGACTGAACTAATTGGCCTTCTCACCAAAAATGTCTAAGTGTTCTCTTTTCTCTGCAGCCTTGCCAGCATCCATTGTTTTTTGACTTTTAAACAATAGCCATTCCGACTGATATGAGATGATATCTCATTGTGATTTTGATTTGCCTCTCTCTGTAATTAGTGATGTTGAGCTTTTTTTCATGTTTGCTGGCTGCTTGCATGTCTTTTTTTGAGAAGTGTCTGTTCATGTTTTTTGCCCATTTTTAATATTTTTTACTTGTTTAATTGTTTATGTTCCTTATAGATTCTGCATATTAAACCTTTTTTGGATGCATAGTTTGTAAATATTTTCTCCCATTCTGTAGGTCATCTGTTTACTCTCTTGATAGTTTATTTTCCTGTGGAGAAGCTCGTTAGTTTAATTATGTCCTACTTGTCAGTTTTTGGTTTTGTTACAATTGCTTTTGAGACCATAGGCATAAATTCTTTCTAAGACTGATGTCCAGAATGCTGTTTCCCAGGTTTTCTTCTATGATTTTTATGGTTTGAGGTCTTAAATTTAAATCTTTAATTCATCTTGAGTTATCTGTACTTTGTAAACAGTAAAGTTTCGGTTTTATTCTTCTGCATATGATTAGCCAGATATCCCAGAACAATTTATGGAATAAGAAGTCCCTTCTTCATTGCTTATTTTGTTGATTTTGTTGAAGTTTAGATGGCTTTAAGTGTGGAGCTTTATTTCTGGGTTCTCTATTCTGTTCCATTGGTCTATATGTCTATTTTTGTACCAGTACCATGCTGTTTTGGTTACTGTAGCTTTGTAGTATAGTTTGACATCAGGTAATGTGATGCCTTGGGCTTTGTTCTTTTTGTGGTAGGATTGCTGATAAATTATTACTGGATACTGACAGATCAGTGATAGAATAGAATAAACATATTGTGGGGGCACAAGGGGATCTGAGATATGCAAAGAATGGAACATAAAGGACAGTATCAGAACTAAATAGTCTCTTTCTTGCCTTTCCTTTTTAATGCAGGCATCTGAGACTTTACACAAAATATTCATCTTGCTACAGGGTATATTTAGATACAGATGGGCCAATATAAAATTGCCAATGAGTCATTATATTTAAGAGAAGTCCCCAAATAATTAACTACCAACAGCCCAAGGATGTCCAAATTCTAATCCCAGGAAACTGTGAATGTGTTAAGTACATGGCAGGGAGAAACTCAGGGCATCAAATTAAGTTTGCTAATTAGCTGACCTTAAGGAGATTATTCTGGATTATCCAAGTAGGCCAAGGTAATCACAAAAGTACTTTAAGGAAGGTGGCAGAAGGGTGAGTGTCAGAGTGATTAGATATAAACAAACCATTCCTTGTTGCCTTTGAGGGTAGAAGGGGGAGAAAACAAAGATATGGGGGCAGCCTCAGAAACTGGAAAAGGTAAGGAATCAATTATCCCCCATAGCATCCCTAATTGGGAATACAATATCTTGATTGTTGTCCATTGAAACCCATTTTGGACATGCAACCTCCAGAAAAGTAAAAGAGTACATTTGTGTCTTCTTTAATCACTAAATTCATGGTAACACATTATGGCAGCAATAAGAAACTAATACACTTGCCCCTTTTGTAGGATGTTGACAACCTTGGAGTCCCTGTTCTGGGATGCCACTTGTTACCATCCTCGATCCCTGGTGGACTGAACAAAGGGGGGTGAACATGGGAATAAAGACAAAGACAAAAGAGTATGTTTGGAAGAAGGGGTCGGGGGCACCTTGCCTCTAGTGGACAAGGGCCCAGACTTTCCACAGCCCTTTGTATTTATTGGTAAAAGAGATAGCTAGAAGAGGGAGTGGAAGAAGAAATCAGCTGCTGGGTCCAGAGTAGGCTTGCAAGACTGCATTCCTCTAACAATAGGCTCTAGATGTCTCAGTAGATAACCTCAAGGAGCCCGGCGCCAGGGACTGACCACCCTCAGCAAATCTTCTGGTGGCAGGCACAGCATGAGTTTGTCCACATCCTGCATTCATGATAAACAGTTTGCTGTTTGATCATATAGCCGCCAGTGGAATGCTGAGTTGGTCATGACCCCTTTGGCCTTTTCGGCTCCCAACAGTAGGACAACTTCTGAGGCTTACAAATATCTCCTGTTGGTTCCATTGGGTAAACTTGCTCATTTCCTCACCCTCTATTAGCTCCCTTTTCTTTGCAGGTGTATTTCCATTCTGCACTATCAATGCTTTCCAGGATTATCTTCCAAATAAACTACTTGCACCTAAACTCATGTCTCAGGCATTACTTCTGAAGGAATTCATCCTAAAACACAAGTTTTTATTTCACTGTCCTTAATGGAAATCTTTCCATTGTTTCACCCTAAGAATGGTGTTGGCTTTGCGGTATAAGAGTCCTTTGACTCTTGGAACCAACTGAAACAAATTGTCATTATTTTGTGAGAGGCCCCAATCTGTGGAATTAGCTAAGTGACAGATGTGTGTGAGAGTGGTCCGGGGAGCTGGTGAAACACAGCTGGTTAAAGTTTGAACTAAATGACTTGAGAATCAAACTGTCTGTCTACCAAGGTGGCATCCACAGCAGACATGAAAGATAAAATCAAGATATATCGTATTGTCTACTTATTGTGCCTTTCAGTAAAATGCTGCGTGTGTTAAATTTTAGTCGAAGAAAAGGAGACCCAGGCCTTGTCAGCAGTTCTCCATAATTTGAAAATCTTAAAAATCATTCAAGCAATCTCTAGCCATACGGATTAAAAAGTACACTGAAAAACGGGTAGGAATTTGAAGAGTCATCTTTCTGTTACCGGCTCATATCAGTTCCTGAAGTAAAGTGAATAACAGAAAAATTCTCAGACGGCAGATTTACAAAATATGAAAGAAAATGTCTTGAAAGTCATGACAGTGATCACTGTGTTGCTTCCCATTTGATTTTTTCCTTCCCAAATGGGTCTTTTCACTGCAATCATTATCTTCTCTCTTCAATACAATGAGCGGAGGGTATATTCCAGAGTTAAGAGTGGGGTGTTGATTACACCTGCTGTTGATTCACTGGTTGCTATATCTAGTTATTCATCAGTAAATCTATCTACATGTTATGGTAATCATTTTCTATCTGTCAGTCCATTTCCTTTTTCTGGAAAATCCCTAAAATAGACTGTTGTTAAATTTTCTTTGCCTGAAGATGTAGGCTAATCTGAATGTCATCCTGTTTATATTTATAATTTTAGTTATTTCTGTGGAAGTTTCTGTAATGAATGATGATTCTATCAATAAGAAAAAAGAAAGGTTTGAGAAAGTGGAGGAAAAAGTATGAAATAGCAAAATTAACCTTCTCTAACTGTCATTTACTGTACCACATTTAGCAACTGTAGGAACAATACAACATTAACTCCAGAATAAGATGTCATAGAAGGACAAGAGCTTTTTTGTCAATATTACTTTAATACATATTTTATTTTAGAAAAAATTTGTACTACAGAGAGTAGTTGTTCAGTGTTATTCTTCCATTCCAATAGATTACAGGATTCTTTGCTCTAGGCAATAATTATCGAAATTTGTTTCCTTCATGTCTTGTAAACATGCTTTACTTTACAAGTCTCTTAGTAATAATGAAAACTTTTCTGTTAGAAAATCGAGAAACTATAACATAAACTTTTAAATCCTATTTTTAAAAGCCTGGAAGACATATGCAGCTTTCTATAACAGATACCATTGTTTAGAATATATTTATGTGAATTACATATTAGATCTATACGAACATAATTAATTAGCATTATATATTTTCACATTTTTATGCATTGAATTGAATACTGCAGGTGGCATAAAAATGAGGTTTTGTAAATAACATCTTTGTTTATCAAGAATGTAATTGTTGTCATTTACTATTGGTTTTAAAACTTGCTTGTAAAAAGCTGTTTCATTTTACTATTACTCAATTAATTAGCTCCTTTAGCTAAAAATATTTCATGTACAAATAGAACATTACATATAGTCTACACCCCTCTTTTCATTGTTGTTCACAACTCTTTCACTTTCCAAACATTTCCTATTCATGAGCTATTATAGTAATGTCCATTTCTGAAACTCGGAGGCTATAACTTTCACAAAATGATAATAGATGTAGTGGTGATATTTAGATACATATTACAGTATTGTAATAGACATTGGCTATTTTCTAATTAAAATAAGAATCTTAATTACTGTTTCACTCTGAGAATGTGAATTTGTGCAGTGAGATTACTGTCTCACTCTGAAAATTCTGGGTTCTTTAAAAATCTGTTGAGGTGATGTGAAGAGACTGAGACAACCATTATCTTAGCAAGTTTTGTAGGATAGTAGGAGACAAGGCAACTAGCTGAGTGAATTTCTTAAATTTTCTGTCTTAGTTGACAGGTAGAAGAGAAATAAGTAAAACCTACCTTATGGTGATATTATAAGTATTTTTTCAAAACAGTGTATTTAAAGCTCTAAGGCATAAAGCCTGGCATGAAATAAGCAGACAAAATTTGCTTATTTCTTTAAAAAAATTTTTAATTATTATGGATAGACAACAGTTGTACATATTTATGGAGTACATGTGCTATTTTGATAGACACATGCACTGTGTAATGATCAAATCAGGGTAATTGGGATATCCAACACTTTAAGATACATTACTATTATGATTATACTATTACATATTCTATATTTTATATAGAATATATATTTATAGATTTTATGTAAATATAATTTTCTACCACTATTTATATTATATATAAATATAGTAATATAAATAAATGTTACAGAAAATGATATTGATAAAAACCTCTTATCCTTCTCTGACCATAAATTTCTATCGTGTATTTATGGTGTTACATAGATTATATATTTATGTTTAATATTTTATTTTATACTAGAATATTAAATCAGATATAAATCTGATTATATTACATATGATTTGAGGAAATAAATGGGTTTGGTTTAATAATATTTAATAATGATATTCCCACTTAATAATGGGCCAAACTGCACATGAAATTAAATTTCTCATATTATTTTTGTAGAAGTAATTACCTAACCACAGATTGCTATGAAAAGAAAAAAAAATCATCGTACTTTTTAAAAGACTTTTCAAACTGAAAGCTAATATTAGTTTGAAGGGCAAAGAATGATAAATACAAGGAAAAATATATTTTTGTATTTCCAAAAACAAGAAATCAGAGATCTTCAGATGTCCCTGAGTGGTAAAAAATATGGTGTGTGTTTGTGGTGATGGTGTGCGGTGGGGGGTTATCTTTTTTTCAAGATGCTGTTACTTGAAATGTAAGACAGATTTTGTTATTAAAAAAAGTAGGGGAGGACAGTTGTAAAAATTAGATAGTAATATTTTTTCTTAATTTTTAAGTTTATGAAAGCTTTGTGTGAATTAAGTATTATACAAAAATCAGAAAATTAGATAAACTTGAGACTATAATGATTTAAGGCGGGGTTGATGTGGTTAGGGAGGAAGCTCCTCTGTCATCTTCTCATCCTTCTGTCTCCTCTTTTTCCAACCACACATGTCTATCTGCAAACACAAAAACTGGGACTTAACTGAAATTAGCTGTTCACAAAGTAGAATGATTTTGAATTACAGTGAACATTAGAGTAAAAAATAAATAAATTAGTGTAATTTTCGGTCACTTTTTCGTAAAGTTCTCTTCCAAGTATTTTTACTGTAGTTCACAAGAAAGATTCTGGTCTCTATTATTGTAAGTCTTGAATGGCTATTTATGTCTTTTCAACTTTTCAAAAACAAAGAAACACACACACACACACACACACACACACATTTTCAGACTTATGCACTCTGAATTTCTGTCTTGGATTTCTGAGCTTATTCTGTCTTGCGTGAGTTAAGAATGCTTGTTAACTGGTAAGTTTTTCAGGTCATTATTCTGCCTTAAAGGATAAGGCAATAAATCTTGCCTTCTCATCTTATATTCCTGAAAAACAAATTATTCTCTTCCTGCATACACTGTAAATCTCTAATTTTCCTTGTTTCATTTGGATGTCTTTGTAGTTCCTTGTTTAGTTTTTAATTACTTGGCGAAATTCCCTCTGAGGATTCTAAAATAGGTTTATATTTTGCATTTCTAAGGCCTACACTTAAAATGAATGATAAAATTGGACTAGGTGGTCTTTAAAATCTATTCTAATACTAACATTGTATAATTCTGATTTTTAATTATTTTATTGGAATAGAAAACAATATGTATTACTGTAAACTATACCATATTTTTTCATGGTTAAATAAATGTCGTCTTGTGAAATTATACTGTTCATTAATGTGTGTTTAAGGGGACACCATTCATTTATCTAAGTTCCAAAAGTATAAAAATATTGCTGCTTAACACCAATGTTGTCATTCAGTATTCATGAACACCTTTTTGCTCAATCTGATACCCCTAACATAGGATTGCCATCCTACACAGGTCAAGGAAGAGAAACTCTTTTGCCTGCCTATATTTTTCTTCATTGCTGCAGCCACATTTGTATTCTAATGAGTGAAACATTTTGGAAATCCATATTCCACATTCCCATTTGTACATAAAGGAATTAATTAAAACCCAAGAAGTTAAAACCAGATTTACTTTTTGTGCCTTATAACATGATACTCCTATTATGTTCACTGTCTAGAGGAATGAAGTAACAGACTGAACAGGAAAGTAGGCACTCAAGCTGTTCAAATTCAAACCTTAGCTTTGCTGTTTTGCCACTCAATAACTATCTGTGTGTGGACAAGTTACTTATTTCCTTTTTGCTTCAAGTTTGTTATCCACAAACAGTGATAATGACAAGATCGACTTCAAAGCTTGTGAATTTCTTTCCCCTATGAGGAGTAAATTAATTAATATAATGCACTTAGGCAGTTTCCAGGACATAGGAAGCATTCAGTAAATATGCAGCGTTAATATCAACCCATTTGCCCTATGGGATTATAAATGTAGATTTTACATGAAAAAGCGCAAAAAAAATTACAGCTTGTTTATTTTCTAAACCTAATCTTATTTTTCTCATATATCACCCTCACAATCTCCTATTGTAATTGTAACTGTAGGAAAAATGCAAATAAATATATGAATGTGTTGTTTTTTAATTAACTGTAGATATTAATATTTTCTTCGTCTTTTATGACCTCAGATGGACTTATTTAAGTAGCTAAATATCTTTAAAATGTCAGTTTCCTTTTTCTCCACAGATTATTTTCTTCTTCTTCCCTCTTCTCTCCCCTTCCCTAAGTGGAAGGTGAGTATATGAAGCATGTATTCTGGTAGCAAAGGAGAGAGAGAGGGAGAGACATCCTTTCTGATTGTGCAGGATTTTGTACTATTATCTTTTGACAAGTGTCTTATCTGTGATCATCTCTCTGAATTGTTAGCTGCTAAGGTGCTAAGGTACAACTATTTCCATCTGGTTTTAGAGTGCTGTGTTAACGCTCACAAGAAGAGACATTGTCTCTTTCTTAGCCCCAGTGTGCCCAGCCATTTACAAGTCCACAGGCATTCAGGACATCTGAAAGGCAATCTGGAACTCCAGATCCTCTGCACATCATACACAGACTATTTAAAACTTTAATCAATCTTATGCTTATGCTTACATGACACATAGAGATTATTAGCACAGCCAACACCAACACTCTTGGACAGGCTTTGCAATAATTTCTCTCTATGAGTCAGAAAGCAGAACTGTATTCTCAATATATATTTTTCTCTATTTCCAAAATCATCATTTCCAATGTTTGTGCCCTAGCGGAGTGACCAAAAAGTAGGTTGTTGGTAGTGAAGAAATTGACACCTTTTATTTCTGTAATACCTTTATTTCTTCTTCATGATGTAACTTATATTTATTTTCCCCTTTTTGGAAAGTACTTCTCTGTCATCTAGTGCTTTGTTCTTGGGCTGTTAAGACATAGTTTATATTTAATGGCCGAATGGCCAATGAACATGTAAGGACATATCTAAACATAGCTTTAACTTGGTCATAGTTGTCTCTGATACTCAAGAAACCTCTGAAATAGTCTTCACTGGGCAATCCTTTTTTATACAGCAGGCACAATATCCTATTTATTCTTTATCATATATGTCTTTGCACTCCATTTGCTTCATTCTGTTCACATTTTCATTGCTATGTCACAAACCCGAGTTGGATCTTAGCTATAATATTTTACTCACTCTATTTCCACCAATCCACCTTACTTCCAATGTCTCTGCCTACTGAACAATGTGTTTATTAACTGACTTAACACCCTATCATGTACAGCAGGGAAAACTGACACAAATGCCAATAAGTGCCAGGCTAGTAACATAAATGAGTGTTAAGATCCATGTAATAGAGAGTGAGGAATGCACACTTTACCTTACAGAGTGAACATCATACAGCTCCTGCTGAAATATTATGAGACAACAGTGTTACTAGACTTTCTGATTTTTCAAGATTAAGATTGGCATTCTGATTTTTTGAAATAATTTCCAATGCTTAAATAATTGCAATAAATTCAAAAATTGTTGGACACCTTTGGTAAGTCAATGAAGTGTCTGTAGCTAAAATTCAGCTCAAGGATAAGCAGTTGTCAAAAATTCAATATACAGAAAAAAAGATTTAATCATTTAACCTGCCATTTGAGGCATTATTCCTTCAACTTTGCTTCAATCTACATTTCCCAAACCTCTTCCATCTATTCCTAATGTATATTCTACACATCATGGTTCAACTCAATCATTTCCTGTTCTCATAATTACTTGCAGATATATGATATTTATACATATTGATCTTTTTGTCTATAATGTATTACTCACTGAAGAATTCCCTCTAATATATTAAGATTGATGTCAATGATTGTCTCCTGGTAGCTGTGTTAACTAGCTATTTATCTGTGATCCTAAGATAGTTTTCTAGAAAGCTCTATTATATAACAGCATTTATTTGAAGAACAATTGCATGTTAACTTCACTGGAGGATTAATACACTGTGAAACAGAAACCTGCTGTATTCATTCATCTTTATTTCCCAACTCTCAAATAACATCATATAGAGAAGAAATGCTCATTCTGATAAAAGGAAGCAGATTCCCTATGATGCTTGAGCATGGAATAAAGGCATAGAAATGCTACCATCCTTAAGTGCCTTAGAGTAAGCCTTAACTTGCCCCACATGCAAATGCTGAGCCCAGGCTTCCCCCGTCCCCTGTGGGATTAGGTTGCAAATTTTGGTAACTTTTCATAACATGTATGCATCCCCTTGTTCATTCCCAATGCCAGCACCCTAGTTTAGTCCCCAACTTACCTCCCTTATTCCAGTCTGCTTTAGTTTCTAACCTCCTCCACAATATTGTTAGACTAATTAATACTATTTGTGTCAATCTTGACTCTAAAATTATCTCTAATAAGACTTGAACTCATTGCTTTGTGACCTTGACCTTGGTCCAAGACAGTAGTGTAAAAATCTGACAGACTGTGCTCTGCACAAAAGCATCTGCCTAAAGTGGAATGGGTAAAAGTGCAGCTTAGAGCAGTCATCTGAGAATGACTTTTGTTAATCAGTCTGTGCAAAGGGGGTACCTGTATCTAACAACTTGGGAAAGGGTGCTAATTATGATTTATCCATGGGGTAGGACATAATTATTAAATTTGTATAATGGCATAGCTTATGCCAACCAGGGGAATCTAGTTTGACAGAATTCCTAGCATTTTTTTTACAGACTAGTATCTAACCTCTCCCCTGCCCCCCAACTCTCTTTTTTGAGTTACAATTTATATATAATTTATACATAGTAAGTGAACAATTCAATGAGCTTGGACTTATGGATAAACAACATTTCAAGATGTGCAACATATCTGTCAACTCGGAAAGTTCTCTTTTACTTCCTTCTAGTCAATTTCTATCTTCCACAGATAATCACTGTATAAATCAGGATTCTCTAGAGGGGCAGAACTAATGGAATATATTTATTTAGTTTAGCACAGGAGAAAGATGTAGGCTGGGAGGCTAGGCCAGTCTCTCTTTTTAGATTTTTCTGCCTGCTTATATTCTAGCCTCGCTGGTAGCTGATTTGATTGGGTCCACCCAGATTAAGGGTGGGTCTGCCTTTCTCAGCCCACTGACTCAAATGTTAATCTCCTTTGGCAACACCCTCACAGACACACCCAATATCAATACTTTGCATCCTTCAATCCAATCGAGTTGACACTCAGTATTAACCATCACAATCATTATTCTGATTTCTATAGAAAACCTTTACCTGTTCTTATTCTTTACTTAAAAATCATATAATATTTATCTTTAGGCTAGCTTCTTTCATTCAGCATATTTTTGAGATTGATCCATGTGGTTTCATTTATTAGAACTCCATTTATTTTGATTGTTGTGTAGTATTTATTGTATAAATATGCTTAAATTTGTTTATCTCTTCTTCTGTGGAAAAACATTTGGGTTGTTTTCAGATTGGGGCTCTTAAAAATAAAGCTGCTGTAAACATTTGTATGTGAGTCTTTTGTGGACATATATTTTCATTTCTCTTAAGTAAAAACCTAGGAGTATAATTGCTGGAGTACAGAGTAAGTGTGTGTTTGTGTTTTACTATATAAGAATCTGCCCAACAGTTGTTAAGAGTTATGGAACCATTTGATATTCCCACCTACAATGCATCAGAATTGAAGTTCTCCACGTTTACCAACATTTGTCCTCAGTATTTTCAATATTAGACACACCAGTGGGAGGGCCTGTGCAATTATGTTTTTAGCAGTCATTTGCCTGATGATTAAAGACATTATACGTCACAATACATTATACATCACAATAGTGTTTTGTAAATTACAAATTACAAATAATTTATCCCATAAATGGCTTGCCTGTTTTTATGTAGTAACTTTTGATGGCGAGGGGTTTTTAATTAGAATGAGGTAAATTTTTTAAACTTATATTTTATGATTAGTGCTTTTTATGTTCACTCTAAAATACCTTGCCTACACCAAAGTTGAAAAATATTTTCTTAGGTTTTCTACTATAATTTTTATAGTTCCAGTTTTGTGTTTAGCTTGATGATCCATCTTGAATAAACTTGGTATATGGCATGAGGCAGAAGTTAAGGTACATGTTTTACACATTTTTATTCAACTTCTCCAACAGTTTTTTTGTTTCTTTGATTTCCACTTTGTAGTTGTTGTTGAATGACATCTTAACCTTTGACAAAAAAACCATGGCTTTGAACGTGTAAGGCTATTTTAGACATTCTGTATTGTTCCATTGATCTATGTCTGTTTATGCCAATAATGCACTGTTTTATCTACTGTAGATTCATGGTAAGTTCAAATTTGTTACTCCTTTACGAATATGTTAGGTGTTTTTATCTCTTCATAAATTGAAGTAACTCAGGAATGGAAAATCAAACATTGTTCTCACTTACAAAGAGAGCTAAGCTATGAGGATGCAAAGGCGTAAGAATGATACAATAGACCTTGGGGACTCGGGGGAAGCCTGAAAGGGGGGTGAGGACTAAAAGACTACACTTTGGGCACAGTATACACTACTCAGATGATGGGTGCACAAAAATTTCAGAAATCACCACTAAAGAACTTTTCCATGCAACCAAACATCCCCAATAGTATTGAAATAAAAATTAAAATTACAAAAAAATTTAGAGTCAGCCTGTTAACTTTTATAAAAATAAAACAAAACTGTAGAGATATGATTGTTATTACATTGACTCTATGCATCAATTTGAGGAAAGCTGAACTCTTAATGATGGTTCATAGTCTTTTTCAAGAAAATGGAATATTTCTTAGTTGATTTAGATTTTCTTTGATGTCTCTGAGTAGTGTTCAATGATTCGTAGTTTTCAATTTTTGAATCTAACATATTTTGGTATGCTTATTTATAATTATGTTTCAATTCTATAGTAAATAGTATTATAACTATATAATACTGTATAAACAGTATTAAATAGTAGTATTTTCAATTAAATTTCAATTGTTGCTTTTTTAATAGATATCCAATTATTATTGTTGTTGTTTTCTTATTTTTATTATGTTCGTATATTGATCTTATGTGCTGTTACCCAGATAAATGAACTTATTAAGCCAGGCATAGTGGCTCATGCCTGTAATCATACAACTTTGGGAGGCCAATGCAGGAGGACTGCTTGAGCCCAAGGGTTTGAGATTACAGAAAGCTGTGATTGCACTACTGCACTCTAGCTTGGATGACAGAGCAAGACCTTGTCTCTAAACAAACAAACAAACAACTTATTAGTTCAAGTAAATTTTTCTCAATTTTTTCAGAAGGAGTTTTATATATACTCTTATTATCTGTGGATGAAGACAGTCAAAATCTTTCTTTGTCTGTGTTTTTAATATGCTTACTTTTACCATATTGTATTGGTTGAATTTCAGTTTAATGTGGCATGGAAATGGTGGTAACAGACATCTTTGTCTTTTTCCCCTTATAAGGGAGAAAGCATTCTACAAGTATTCTGTATTTTATAATGATGTAAGGTGTTGGCATTAGTTTTTGTTTTTTTCCTTTAAATGATGCTCTTTATCAGACTGAGGATGTACAGTTTCATCTTGAATGGGTAGCAAAGATTGCATTTTCTGCAGCTATTGAGAAGATCACTTGAATTTGCTCTTATAATTGTTAATGTGATAAATTACAGTTTTTCTCAATTTTAAAACAAACTTTCCCTCCAAAGTAGACTCTACTTGGTCATGATATACATCCATTTCTATATATTGCTGAATTTTGTTTTGCTATGTAATTAAGGATTTTTGCCTCCTTGTTTATAAAAAATCTATAATTTGTTTTCTCTGGTGTCCTGGTCAGGTTCACACAGGTGTTATATTAGCTTCTTAAAATAAGCTTGAAATTTTTCCCTCCTCCTCTATTTTTCAGAGATTTTGTGTAGAATTAATATTAGTTTTTCCAAAAATAGTTAAAATACCACCAATGAAGCACTTGGGCCTGAAATTTTCTTCAAGATGAACCTTTCTTTTTCTTTTATTTTTGTTTCCTTGCTTGCTTCTTTTAATTTATAAATTGAATTTATTTTATAAAGCATATCAATTTCAGTCACTTCTTGTGTTCATTTTTATAATTTTGGTTTTCACAGAAATTGCATATTTCATCTAAGTTGTTAAATATATTGGCATAAGATTGTCCTTAAGGTTCTCTTCTTATTCTTGTGTCATATACAGTGTCTCTAGAAAGATTTCTTCTTTCATTCTTAATATTAGAAAGTGATTTTATTCTATTTTCTTGAGTAGCCTTTTTTAGGAGTATATGGGTTTTCTTCATCTTTTTAAAGAATCATCTTTTTGCTTTATTAATTTCTTCTTTGTTTTTCAGTTTTATGTTTCATCGATTTCAACCCTTATCTTCATTTTCATCCTTCTAATTTCTCTGAGTTTAATTCATTCTTTTTTGCAGAATCTTAAAGTTGAGGCTTAGATAATTAATTTTAGTCTTTTACATTTTTTCTAGTATAAGAATTACATTTAAAACTAAACACTTTCCTTTAAGCTCTGCCTTACTACATTCTATAAATTTTGGTGTTTTGTTTAAATATCTGTCTACTTTGAAATAATTTCTATTTTTCCTTGGGACATTCTCCTTTGACATTTTATTTATAGAGAAGTATGTGATTAATTTTCAAATACTTGTGGAGATTTTTTTAGATATTTTATTGTGATTGATTTTTAATTAATTCTGTTCTGCTCAGAGAATATGCCCTGTAAGATTTCAATCTTGTAAAATTTATGGAGGGTTATTAAATAGCTTATTATATGGTGTATCTTAAGGAATGCTCAGAGTGCACTTGAAAAACATGTATATTCTGTAATTATTGCATGTTATGTTCCATAAATATCAATTAGATTACGTTTCAGTAGTTAATGTTGTTCAATGTCTACATCTCTACTGATTTTTTTTCTACTTGGCCTATCAATTAATGAGAGAAGGGTGTTAAAAATCTGAAATTATAATTGTGGATTTACTTATTTCAATCTTTAAGTCTTATAAATACAAGTCTTCGTTTATTTAGATTTTCTGTTATTATTGACTTTTATATTAAGGATTATCTCTGCCCAATGACTACATTTTAATGTTATAAAATTTTCCTCCTTTTTTTTTTTTTTTTTTTTTTGAGACAAAGTTTTGCTTTGTCGCCCAGCCTGGAGTGCAGTGGCACCATCTTGGTTCACTGCAACATCCACTTCCAGGGTTCAAGCGATTCTCTTGCCTCAGCCTCCCAAGTAGCTGTAGTCCCAAGTAGCTGGGACTACAGGCACATGCCCTGTACTACATGTCCCAAGTACTGCAGTCCCAAGTAGCTGGGACTACAGGCACAGCCTACAAGTCCCAAGTAGCTGGGACTACAGGCACATGCCACCACACCTGGCTAATTTTTTTGTATTTTTTAGTAGAGACAGGGTTTCACTGTGTTAGCCAGGATGGTCTCGATCTCCTGACCTCATGATCCACCCACCTCAGCCTCCCAAAGTGCTTGGATTACAGGCGTGAGCCACCGCCTGGCCCCTCTTTTTAATCTCAATAATATGTCTTGTCTTGAAGTCTATTTTATCTGACATTAACATTATCACACCAGCCTTCTCATGTTTATTGTTAAGGAATATATTCATCTATAATTGGAAAGTGCTTACCAACATGCCTGGTGTGTGGTCAATGCTATATAAGTGGATAAATAAACAAATCCATAATTTCCAATGACAACACTATTCCATATAAAGCAATCTACATATTAGCCTCTTTATATGCTGTTCTCCCTCATAAAAACTATTCCCCTTGCATGAAGTGCCCTTTTACTTCTGTGTTTTTTCTATTACCTATTTTTCAATATATTTTTTTTCTGCCTGAGAAGAGCACAAAAAGTAGGCTTGCTTTCCTCTAAGTTCCTATAGCCCCTGCCACCTCTTTCTCATGACACTTGTAAAGTGCTTCCTTATAAAGCAAGTTAGGTTTTATGTTTCTTTATACTCACCATTAGGCCATATGTTAGGCTACACTCTTATTTTACTTGTGTCCTTCTTTCCTCATAACAACTTAGGTAAATGCATTTTGTGCTCTGGATCACTTACATTTAGGGCTTCTCCTAAGAATTGCTGTTGGCATACGGAGTGGGACAGAACAGCAAGAGGGAACAGTATGGCAATGAATAACTGGACTCAAAGAGGCACCACGGGAGGAAAGGAGCTCTGACAGGACCCGCTGCATGTTGCAGAAATTATCTTAGTCGGGCTGACTTGGAATAATTTTGATGGAGTAAGCTGTAAAGAATCAAGTATATGCAGAATCAGGACATGGAAATTCTGGGGCTTTCTACAATGATTTTCCTGCTTATTACTACAGCCAATATTGATGATAATAATGATAATCTCCTATGCAACACATACCATGTACCAGGCCCTTTCTAAGTGGTTCCTATGCATATTAACACTTTAATCTTCATAATGATTCCATTGTTTAGTTTTTATTATTCACTTTTTAAAGAGGCAGAAACAGAGAGACTGCAATACCAAGTAACTTGCCCAAAAACTGTTAGCTATTAAAATCAAAGTGAGATTTTGAACCAAAGTAGTTACACTGTGGAGTGAATATGTGTGAGTAGGAGTTATCTTTCTTTGATTTGTCACAAATATAGCAGCAGCATCTCTGATCCTCTAAACCTTCATGAGTAAGGTAGAGAGAGGTTAGTATAAGAGTTCTGATTTGTCTTGGGAGGCTGAGGCAGGTGGATCATTTGAGGTCAGGTGTTTGAGACCAGCCTGGCCAACATGGTGAAATCCCATCTCTACTAAAAATACAAAAAAATTAGCTGGCCATGGTGGTGGGCACCTGTAGTCTCAGCTACTTGGGAGGCTGAGGCAGGAGAATCGCTTGACCCGGGAGGCAGATGTTGCAGTGAGCCGAGATTGCACCACTGCACTCCAGCCCAGCCTGGGCAACAGAGTGAGACTCCATCTCAAAAAACAAAAATTAAAAATAAGAGTTCTGATTTGTCCTATTAACCTGCCAATGCCTTCCCTGTGTCTGTATAGATGAGATACAGCATTAGTCTTTGATAACTACTACAGGCACACTTTTTAAGATAAAAGATAAATAACCAATGTAAATGCCATTTATGCATTAAAATTCTACACAGCACAGTATCTACTCATTATTGCAATGACTAATATACACCAATGTCTTCACGTATATCATAAAACACAATAAAATAGATAATAGATATATCCCCCTTAATAATATTGCTGCAATTTAAATTCCTCTTTAATGACATAAAAAGGGGCACATTTCTGTAAAAGTCAGATTATAGCTCAATAAAGGACTGCATTATTACTTAAAGAAAAATTAATGAATCAGCCAGTATATTATGTAATAATTTTTCTCATATCTGTTTTTATTTGAATTATTTCTTTCTACTTCAAGAACAAAACCAGTATATCCTACATGTTCTCAGAGTAGATTTCCACTAGAATGGTAACAAGACATATTTTAACAAATTGTTACTCATAGATAATTTTTCATGATTCTGACATAGGACTCTCCATTACATTTTAAAATGAGCTTTTAATAAGAGAAAAATGTAGTATGATAAAAGCGGGAGTTTTGTGTTATCTATTATTTAACAACAAAAGGTCTTATAGTTGTATAATATCAAAATCTACCACAAAACAGCTCTCCTAAAATGACAACATAGTACAATACAACTTAGAGTTACCGCACTTCAAAAGATAAAATCAAAGAAAATGCTCACAAATCCCAAGTATGATATCCCAGGGCAGACTTCATTCTGTTTCTGTCTTAAATGGAACATTAAATGCATATCTGCAAAAGAAATCCATAGCATTCAATCTAAGTAAACACATTTTCTGGGAAGCATTATAAAATTGAGTGAAGCCTATTGCTATGAAGTCACCCAGAATGAAATAGCAACTTTAAAAATTTTTATGAAGTTTTCTGTTGTAAAGCTTGACTAATGGTATATAGGAATGTTTTACTGGTATCTCTCTTTCCTCCCTATGTTCCTGCTTATTCCAAGAAATGTTCCTAGTGCCTCATAAATTGCAGAATAAAATAGTTCACTAAATCACTGACATTTCATTTCTAAATTTTAAGAATAGCTAAATGTTTATAAATGCATTGGTATCCATAGAAACACAGGTAGTGTAAATGTTTCTGCTTTATTTCCAAGTTCTGAAACTGAATATTACCTTTCTTAGAACTATAAATTAAGCAAAATATACAGGTAGCAGCAAAATAATATACAACCTTGAAATTATTCTTTGGAGTATAATTGCTTGTGATTTGAAAACAAAGTAGGATTAATCATTCTCAAGGTCTAAGGCAATTTTTAGACCTGATCACTTTGTGCATATTTAGAGTCATTAAAAGGTATTTAAGATCTACTTAACTGTCAGTTATGTTCTGTTTATTTTATATGAATACATATCTGTCAGACTCAGGCCTTCAGGATTAGTTTTTAAAGACTTTGGGTAAGTAACCTTTAACTTTTATTTTAACAGTGTCATAATACATACATTTCACTGAATTTTTTTCTCCAGTGTTTCATTTTATAAATCTGGCTTGCATCTGCTATTGCAAAGATCAGATGGATAGAGATACAAATGGGGAGGTGTGCCCTTTCTTCCTCACACTAACAAAAACTAAACTTAAAAGAATAGTAAATATAATTTCCTAATTTCAAGCTTAGTCAATGTGTCTGTACAGATAATTAAGAAAGTGGGTGGCTCACTTTCTTACAGTGAGCCTTTCTTACAGTGGGTGGCCTGTAATCCCAGAACTTTCAGAGGCCGAGGTGGGCGGATCAGGAGGTCAGGAGATAGAGACCATCCTGGCTAATGCGGTGAAACCCCGTCTCTACTAAAAATACAAAAAATTAGCCGGGTGTGGTGGCGGGCGCCTGTAGTTCCAGCTACTAGGGAGGCTGAGGCAGGAGAATGGCGTGAACCTGGGAGGCAGAGCTTGCAGTGAGCGGAGATGGCGCCACTGCAGTCCAGCCTGGGTAACAGTGTGAGACTCCATCTCAATTAAAAAAAATAAAAAAAGAAAGAAAGTGGGTTTTATAGTGATCCTGAAAATTTCTTTATAAAAGAAACCCAAAGATGCATGTAATAAAGACTTAAGTGCAAGATCTAAAACCATAAAAACCCTAGAAGAAAACCTAGGCAAATCAGGACACAGGCATGGGTAAAGACTTCATGACTAAAACACCAAAAGCAATGGTAACAAAAGCCAAAGTTGACAATTGGGATCTAATTAAACTAAAGAGCTTCTGCACAGCAAAATAAACTATCATTAGAGTATACAGGCAACTTACAGAATGGGAGAAAATTTTTGCATTCTATTCATCTGACAAAAGGCTAATATCCAGAATCTACAAGGAACTTAAACAAATTTACAAGAAAAAAACAACCCCATCAAAAGTAGGCAAAGGATATGAACAGACACTTCTCAAAAGAAGACATTTATGCGGCCAACAAACATATGAAAAAAAGCTCATTATCACTGGTCATTAGAGAAATGAAAATCAAAACTGCAATGAGATATCATTTCATGCCACTTAGAATGGCGAACATTAAAAAGTCAGGAAACAACAGAAGCTGGAGAGGATGTGGAGAAATAGGAATGCTTTTACGCTGCTAGTGGGAGTGTAAATTAGTTCAAACATTGTGGAAGACAGTGTGGAGATTCCTTAAGGATCTAGAACCAGAAATACTATTTGATCCAGCACTCTCATTAATGGGTATCTACCCAAAGGATTATAAATTATTCTACTGTAAAGACACATGCACAGGTATGTTTACTGCAGCACTATTCACAATAGCAAAAACTTGGAACCAACTCAAATGCCCATCAATGATAGGCTGCATAAAGAAAATGTGGCATATATACACCATGAAATACTATGCAGCCATGAAAAAGGATGAGTTTGTGTCCTTTGCAGGGACATGGATGAAGCTGGAATCCATCATCCTCAGCAAAGTAACACAGAAACAGAAAACCTAACACCACATGTTCTCACTCAAAAGTGGGAGTTGAACAATGAGAACACATGGACACAGGGAGGGGAACATCACACACCAGGGCCTGTCAGGGGTGGAGGGCGGGTAGGGGAGGAATAGCATTAGGAGAAATACCTAATGTAGATGATGGGTTGATGGGTGCAGCAAACCACCATGGCATGTGTATACCTATGTAACAAACCTGCACGTTCTACACATGTATCACAGAACTTAAGGTATATTTTTTTAAAAAAACTTTAACATTTAATTCAATAGATTGTTTATTTTCCCGATTTCTCAACCATACTGTGTATGTTTTGCCTACTTTCCCCAAATGGTAAACATATATTGAAAGCTGTTAGGAAAAAAACCATTTTTTAATCCCACTTTCTGTATTCATTTTCATTATGTTGAAATAAGTATGGTTTGTATTTTATATCAAACTAATTCACTCCTTTTTTTAAAAACATATACAAAAAGCATAACCCCTAAAACGTCATTAGGAAACTGCACTTCAATGCTTTTTTGAGGAAACTGCACTTCAATGCTTTTTTGTAAGGAGATTGCTAGAAAAAAAGCCCATTTAAATTTTTCTAGTTCTATATTGAGATCTCCACCCTCTGATAGCAATGCAATAATTTGATGATTTGTCATCATCTATTCTCAATATTTAGAGTGGGTACGATATAAGTGATATTATTTCATAACACTAGTTGTGTTTTATTAAGACATGGTTGAACAAGTAAATTATAAAAAGTAATAGTAGTGAACAAATTTAATGTCTAAAATCACCCTGCTTTCTCTTAAAAGCCATTCAGGAGTCCTATCAAAGTGAAACCAACATGTATTTCTCCAGATTCCAGATCTGTTCACCAGGCAGTTGACGTACTTGATTCTTTCTACATCTACTATGTCAACACCACTTTTTCTCCCCTTCTGCCCTTCTGACCCTTACATTTACAGTAAATGACCCCATTGCTTTAGTGTCGTTGAATCCATAGAGGTCTGCAGCAACCTCGATACTTGCCTTCTCAATTCTTGCCTTCTTTGACTGAGGGCCATAAGGCAGAGTGGGAGACGGAGGCAAGTTTTAGAGCAGGAGTGAAACGTTTATTAAAAAGCTTTAGAGCAGGAACCAAAGGAAGGGAAATACACTTGGAAGAGGGTTAAGTGGGCGACTTGAGAGATCAAGCGTGCTATTTGACCTTTGACTTGGGGTTTTATATGTTGGCATGCTTTCCTGGGGGGTTGCCTCCCTTCTCCCAGATTCTTCCCTAGGGGTGGACTGTCTGCAAGCACAGTGGTCTGTCAGCACTTGGGAAGGGCTGCGTTCACAGTGTGTTTATTGAAATTGTGCACATGCTCACTGGAGGCCATTCGTCTCTTACCAGTTGAGTGTTCCTAGTGGAATGTCATATACAAATTAAACTCTGCCATTTTGCCTCAGAGTATGCATGCTTGAGCCCACTCGCCCAGTTCCTGAGATCTTATAGGGAAGTTACTGATCACCATCATGAGGTGTTTCTATCTATTGGGAGACTGCCTTTCCCTGGTGCCAACTGTGACCAATTATTATTTTGGAGAGGCGGTTTAACAATCACCTGACCATCCCCTAATTGTTGCCTGACATTCTTGGTGGGTGAGGGGCCCTCACTTGCCCTGCTCCTGTCTGCCTGATTACTTACTGTAACATCAGAATTTTTCATAGTATATCTTTACTTAATTAGGGGGCACTATTTCCATTTTGTTCTCTGGTCACGACTCCACAATAAAAATATTAACCAATCAGAATCACTCTAAGCAACAGTGCTGGGGTCCACTCTTGTGTCAGTGAGGCTTTCACAGGGAGATACTATACCAGTCTCCCAGTGTGGGGAGACCATCCGGAGGGTTTTGTTTTGTTTTGTTTTGTTTTTGATTTCAACTGACCTGATCCCGAAAATATTCAGGAGACTTGTAGCCTGGTGTTCCCCTGGAACGTGAGATAAATGGAGCAGCACTTAACAAAACAAACATAAATCTCATTTCTGAATCCCAGAAGCTGGAATTATTTCTGTCTGATAAAGTTCAAAATGATTTAAAACAGAACAAAAAAATAAAACAATAACTCTCAGAGGATCTCTTGTCAGTAAATAAATGTTACCAGACCAATTTTACAGATATGGTATTGGTATTTTTAACTAATTTCCTGAAAAGTCACAGAAAATTATGACTATTACTGGTACATAATGATAATACTCGTGACTATATAAATTTTTATCTGAGATGAATAATAAAATTTTATGTGTATGTACAGTTACATTAAACACCAAACTATTAGTTTTCATCCAATATTTAACTGTCTAGGTATTATGATATTGGTCTTTGAATATTTTTTCTACTGACAACTTAAAATAATTTTGTAAATCTATGAAGCCTGTCACACATTTTTAAATTGACATCTACTATTTTTCATCATAAGTTTAAATAGTTGCAACATTTTTTCTAGCATACTTTGTGTCATATATATCCATTGAATATATTTTCCTTTAAGTTGTGAAGCTGCAAATTTATCTTATTCACCTTATAGATAATGTCACAGGGTGATTTAATTGGCAAAGCCAGTGCTTATTGTCAAAAAAATCAGCCAAATCAGACTTACTTTCTGTCATGAAAAAAATAATCTGAACTCATTTTCAATCCAAATAATCTTGCTAATAGGCTTCCCCTTAAACAATCATCTCATTTCTGAATTATTTCTAATGTATGCCTCATCTTCAGTATCTAGATTGAATGAAGTAGGTCACATACCCAGCACAAATGCTTTCTAAAACCTCAAGTATTCTTTTGCCCTGAGTCGGCTTTTGGTTTTGTGATTTGTGACTGGAACTTTTTTTTTATTTTTTATTTTTTTTGAGACGGAGTCTCGCTCTGTCGCCCAGGCCGGACTGCGGACTGCAGTGGCGCAATCTCGGCTCACTGCAGGCTCCGCTTCCCGGGTTCACGCCATTCTCCTGCCTCAGCCTCCCGAGTAGCTGGGACTACAGGCGCCCGCCACCGCGCCCAGCTAATTTTTTGTATTTTTTTTAGTAGAGACGGGGTTTCACCTTGTTAGCCAGGATGGTCTCGATCTCCTGACCTCATGATCCACCCGCCTCGGCCTCCCAAAGTGCTGGGATTACAGGCGTGAGCCACCGCGCCCGGCCGGAACTTTTTTTTTTTGAGACGGAGTCTCGCTCTGTCGCCCAGGCTGGAGTGCAGCGGCGCGATCTGGGCTCACCTCAAGCGCCGACCCCCGGGCTCGCGCCATTCTCCTGCCTCAGCCTCCCGAGTAGCTGGGACTGGGGTTTGACAATCCATGTGGTTTTAGCCGCCACAACGCCTGGCTAATTTTTTTGTTGTTGTTGTATTTTTAGTAGAGAAGAGGTTTCACCGTGTTAGCCAGGATCTTCTCAATCTCCTGATCCGCCCGCCTGGGCCTCCCAAAGTGCTGGAACCACAGGCGTGAGCCACCGCGCCCGGCCTGTGACTGGAAATTTTGACCTGCATAATGCATTTGAGCAAGCTTCTGGATGACTAAAAGATAAACCTCTTCTACTGAAAAGTCAGGGAATACCTATTGTAAAAAGTGGGAGAGCAAAGAAAACGCAAATAGTGGGGTGGGCAGGAAACTTTGTCAGCCAGGCAACTTTGAAAGGCAGATTTAAAGTCCAGAATCTGGAAACTGATTAAGATATGCTGCATACGCTCTGGAAAGTTTGTGTGTACCTTCATGCCTTTGCAAGCCCGACAGCAAGGATCAGTGCATATAACATATCCAACGTATGTTTTAAATTTAAACTACCATGAGCAATTTTAATTCTATTTAAACTGCTTACTTTTAAAATTGTATTTTGTTTTCCCTCTGGACTATAATTATACCCCAAATTTAGCATGCTAAAACGATAACTGAGCTTTTGCTTACTAAATGACAGAGTTACATATTTACTTGTGTAATTTCTAAGAATTATCACACCAACTCTAAGATGTAAAATATGCTGCTTTTTAGATAAGGGGTTAGTTAGAGAAGTTATGCAACTTGGCAAGTTGCCTAAATTCACAAAGAGAGCAAGGGTTGAAGCTAGGATTAAAATTCATATTTGTCTTACCTTAACAAATGTGTACAGTTTGTCCTAGTCTTGAATTGATTTTTTTTAAAAAGTACACCAACAATTTAATTTGAATATAATTAAAAGTCTTTGTATATTTACACTACCTATTTTATCAAAACTAAATTTTAATACAAATTCATGTGATGTTAAATAAATTTCTGTATGAAGGTTTCTAAATCCTCAGGATTTGAAGATGAGTCATATTTTAAAGTAAAACTAAATTTGAGTTGTATCTAGATTAGAAATGTTATCTGTTTATTATTAATAGAATAACTGATTATTTTGTAGTTTTTTAAGATAATTATTACATATCCTTAATTTTCCATCTAAACCTAGGCTGCATTCAACCACAGTACTGTACAAAACAGGATCATGCAGCTTTCCAGTTGCTGAATGGATGCAAAATTATAATACCTTTGTAAGATATCTCATACTCCATGCTGAATTAATTAAATTAATATCTGTATGTTGAGTGAAAACAAGGTATACTAATGAGAAGAGTTCAAATGATTCTGGCACCTCAATGGCAGATAATTGAAGTGGTGATTTATAAGGGCTGTGAGTCTAAGAGACTATGTAATTCATGTGCTCTTGCCTATGATGTATCAAAGATATGTCAGAAGAAAGTTTACAGAAGGCAGCTCTGAATAGATCCTAGGCTGCAGTTAACTAAGAAACCAAGACGGCATCAAACCTGACCCTATGTCAATTGGTTTACACAGATTATAGAATCTGATTTCACCTTGAAATTAAAGATAATTATAAACAAGGTATAGAAGACAAAAAAGGGAAGTGATGTGCTAGTAAATTAAAAATAATGCTCACTCCTACAAAAGAGCCTATTTTTAGTGCTTTACATGGTGAAGTACTCCTATTATAACCAATCTTAATCCACTAAATGAAAAGTTGTTAAGAAATGTAAAGCAGTTCTCCACTATATAGCACTTCACTTTACAGATAATAATGGACTTAAATGAACTCAAGAGCTTCCCAGTGATATAGTGAAATGTTACATTAAAAAGGAAGTGATGTATTTTGAGTATTTAGTTTTTGCATTTAACATCACTTATTTAGT
This sequence comes from Homo sapiens, assembly GCF_000001405.40. Taxonomy (NCBI): domain Eukaryota; kingdom Metazoa; phylum Chordata; class Mammalia; order Primates; family Hominidae; genus Homo; species Homo sapiens. Next base: position 162,240,913 of record NC_000004.12, on the reverse strand, counting down.
TATAATTTTAAAATTATTTCTAGTAAATTTTTAAAAAATATTTTTAAATTGAGAATAATTGTGCAAATTGTGCATATTCGTGGAGCAGATAGTGATGTTTTGATACATATAGTATATAGTAATTAAAGTAGGATAATTAGCATAGCTATCATCAATTTTAATAACTGCTATACTTAACAACCAGCTTGCAAAATTTCTGAAAAATTAACCATCTGTTCTCATGACCTGTATAACTGGCTTCAACACATCACTGCTTGGTTCATATATCGCAGCATGAGTCGGTTTGCCTCCACTTATCTGCCTAGGAAACAGAAAACTATTTTATGTATTTATTTATTTATTTATTTATTTATTTATTTATTTATTTTTGCTAAGAATAGCTCACACATTTCAGTGGGCAGCCTAAAATATGGGTGGGTGGATGAGATATATAGCTTTACTTGTGAGTTGAGGCTGACAAACATGAGTGATGCCGAGAGCTTCACACTGAATTGATGTGACATCTTCACCGGTAAGCCCCTTTAATCACATAGCATTTAAATAAGTTGTTGCCAATATAAGAATGATTAACTAGCATACATTGTAAATCGAATAACCTTTCAGCTGAGATAAACAAAATTAAAATCAGTGACAAAATAAAACTATAAGTTCTGTGTCTTTACAGGTACTTAAGTACAAATTATATGATTTTTAAAATTAAGACAATAAAATGCAAAGGCAGCAAAAATTTCAGGCTCCAATTGAAGAACCACCACAAAACACTTATTCAGTCAATACAAAATACAACCAAATATGAAGTGAGTGAGAAAACCCTGGAGAAGTTACAGAACAGACACCTGAAAACATGTTATTCAGCACAAGCACAAAGAGGATGTATATGTATCAAGAGAAAGATTTGTGAAGAGAGCTTCTCTGAAGAAACTTACGCCCAAAAGAGTTCCCTTCAGTAGGGAGAAATTAGAACTGCTTCTTCTGGGCCTTCCAGTTAAAGAGAAGGATTTACTGGGACTATTTTGGAGAATGTAATGTGAGTCTCATGAAGTTCTCATCAAAACTCACCAGAGAAATAGAACCAGCAGAGAAAGAGAGAAAGACTATAGAGTAGGCCTGTAGCCTGGAGACTCAGGGAAGAATTGATACTTCAGCTCAATTTCCAAGGTAGGCTGGAGGCAGAATGCTTTCTTCAGAGGAACTCTGACCTCAGTCTTTTTCTCTTTATTTTATTTTATTATTTTCATTATTTTTATTTTTATTTTACTTTAGGTTCTGGGATACATGTGCAGAACATGCAGGTTTGTTACATAGTTATACATGTTCCATGGTGGTTTGCTGCACCTATCAACCCGTCATCTAGGTTTTAAGCCCCTCATGCATTAGGTATTTGTCCTAATGGTCTCCCTCCCCTTGCCCCCCACCCACTGACAGGCCCCGGTGTGTGATGTTGCACTACCTGTGTGTATGTGTTGTCATTGTTCAACGCCCACTTATGAGTGAAAACATGTGGTGTTTGGTTTTCTGTTTCTGTGTTAGCTTGCTAGGATGATGGATTCCAGCTTCATCCATGTCCCTGCAAAGGACATGAACTCATTCTTTTTTACGCTGCATAGTATTTCATGGTGTATATGTGCCACATTTTCATTATCCAGTCTATCATCGATGGGCACTTGGGTTGGTTCCACGTCTTTGCTATTGTAAATAGTGCTGCAATAAACATACTTGTGCATGTGTCTTTATAGTAGAATGATTTATACTCCTTTGTGTACATACCCAGTAATGGGATTGCTGGGGCAAATGGTATTTCTGGTTCTGGATCCTTGAGGAACTGCCACACTGCCTTCCACAAGGGTTGAAGTAATTTTCACTCTCTTTAGGCCTTCAACTGATTGGATGAGGCACCCCACATTATGAAAGATAATTTGCTTTCTTCAAAGCCCACTAATTTAAGTGTTCCTCTTATTTAAAAAGCAATGTCTAGACTGATGGTTTATGAAACATCTGGGTCACCTAGCTGAGTTGACACCTAACATTAAACATCACAGACCTCAATCAAGAAAATCTTAAAACCAAAGTGTACTTCTCTCAGCATGTTCAAAGGAGATTTGCATGTATTGGGCAGCCTGCACTTCCCGAGTTTATCCCTGGCAGGAATTTGGGTACTTTTAAAACAGCAACAAGATATAGTGTCTCATGAGTGAAAGGCTGGCTGACATTACTTAAAATTGTACCCAAGAGTGTCACCTGGAGTGACCGTAGGACTTTAACATAGTTTCTCGGTAAAGTGAATTACCAAATGAAGCAATAATTGAAAAGGAGCAGGAAGCCAGATGAAAACCTGGCTGATGTTATCCAGGAATAAGCGCCTTGAAGGGAAGTGTCAGCTTTACTATTCTGTCAGATCGAAGAATAACCAAATAACCATTCAGTATGGGAAATAACTGGTTAAGAACTTCCCTATTCCTCTTACCTGTCCTTTCTCCCTTGCTCCATCCCAGAATGGTCAGAAATCATGAGAAGCCAAATGAGGGAGGAGGGATGGAAGCGAGACAGTAGGGAAACTAGACTGACCAAAGCAGTCTTGTAGATTTTTCTTACCTGAAGCAAGCTCCAGTTGGGTAAGGAGTAGCTACGGCATAGTATAAGGTTGAAAATTCTTGAATAGTAAGTGCAACTGAACTCTAAGTAATAAATCAGTTCCATTTCTATGTCTTAGGCAGTTATAGACTACTATGTATTAAACAAATGTGACCAGAGAAGGTGTGAGACTTCATCTAAGGAAAGAGGAAGAACTTGCTGCATTGAAAGTCAGAGTAGGAGACCAAAGAATGCTTTCTGATTGTATACTATAAATTGTTTGTTCAAAAAAATAGAAATTTAAGTAAGGATGTTTTCTAAAGGGTGATGATGCCATATTATGCAATTTCCAGCTGCATAAAATAACTTATACCAATAAGGAACATGAGATTGGAAAACAAAGCTCTCACAAGAAAAGTTGTAAAAAACATTCATGAGCCTCCCTCACCCACAAATAATGCTGATTCGTGAAATAATGTGTAAAACAATTCTAATATTTAACCTTTTAAATGATTATTTCTGCTGACTTCATCATACGTTAATGCTAAATGTTTACCTATTTTTCAAAATATTCATTTGCCCTTTGGTATATAAAAACATAATTAAGTATTTTAAATGAAATAGTTATGTGTTCTGTACCTTTAAATAAATGAGACCAAATAATTTGACTGTAAGAATGTTAAAAAAGAAAATTTTTGGAAATAACATGGTAAATTGTACTACCTAAAATTTTACCAATACGCTGTTCTTATGACATTGCACATTTTGCAGTGAGAATTGTAATAATTTATAGACAAAATAGCAAACGTTTTTAATGAAGAAAGCATGAAATAAAACAAAAATAGTATAAACTTTTAGTATAAAATACTAGTGAAAACGTGGAAATATGAAAAAAGAGACCCTATACCCCACATATCTTATCTTGGAAAAACATTATTGCTTATAATATTCAATACCTCATATTACAGTTAGTTACCTTTTGTGTAATACTCTATGCCCTAACATCATTGGACACAAAGGAATGTTTATATATTTCCAAAGAGGGAACATCAACTATATAGAGAAAATACATACAAATTTGAAAACATCCCTGAGTTTGAAAATTGTAAATCTTCCTGGACTTTGTCCTTAAAATCATCTTCCAGAATCTCATATGCCCCATCAGGATGTGATTATTCTATCATGCTGGTAAGATAAATGATTCCTATCAGCTTCAGTAAGTTCCTGCCTACCATTCATCTTCTTGATTTCCACCTCGAATGCCAATGTGTGATGTACTCAACAAGCTTAAAATTGGTCAAGGTCACTAAATAAATGGTCTTTGGAGATGAGTGCTGCGATGGACAATCGGATTTTGACAGTTGGCAAATAAAGTACCTCAGATTTCCGACAAGTGACCACTGTCCACATAAAATTTTCAGGGTGGAAATTGCTGGAAGAGCATCATCAGCTGAAAATCTAATTTTGATCTTAAGGTCATTATTATTACCTTCAGTAGACACAGTTCCTGAGGTATTAGTATGTATCCACATCACAAGTTACACAACAATATTGAACTGGAATAGAAAACCTAGCATTGTTTTTATGTTATTTCTACCAACCACCTGCCATAAAGTGCCTTCTTTTATAATTATATACGTGCCTGTTTTTCTTAATAGAGTTGGAGGACCTATTAATAGTATATTTGTTCCACTTAGCTAACAAATATTGAAGATTCAGTAATTGTACCTAGAGAAAAGGGATCTTTTATGTCTCTTGCCATATTGCTCCTGCATACACACAAAAAAAGAGGGTTTATCGTGGATTGATTAAAGGACATTCTGTCAGGCTAAATATTAGAGTATTAAAACTTTTAATGGGGTTAGACTATCAGTGTTAATGAAATTGGTTCCTTTCACTGTCTTGTTTCTGTATGAGCAAAATTGTGAGTACTAGCACTACTCACGTGGTAGACCAGGGTGATTTCTCAATATATACATATTTTATTCTCACTCTCAGCATCAAGACATAGACACAGAATTTCTGCTGTGACCTGAGAAGGTCTAAAGTCTACAGCGTGCAGCTTCAGCCTACTCAGTGGTAGGCGTCAAGGACAAATTGTGCTATTGTTGTTGCTTGATTTTTTTTTGCCAACTACTAGAGCATGTGCATTTTCATGCCACTAAAGTGTTAATTTCTATTATATGAATTTATATATTGGTGGTGGCATATAAAAACATAACTTAGTATTTTAAATGGAATAGTTATGTGTTCTGGGCCTTTAAATAAATGGGACCAAATAATTTGACTGTAAGAATGTTAAAAAAGAAATTTTTATTGGAAATAACAAGGTAAATTGTACTAAAATTTTAACAATACACTGTTCTTATCACATTGCATATTTTGCATTGCAAATTGTAATACTTTATAGACAAAATTGCGTGGTGGTGGTGGTGGGTTATGGATGTACAAAGGAGAGCTGACTAAATGATATACATGGGTTATCTGTTTTGGTATTTTGGTATTGAGGTTTGGTGCTGGATTCTCAACTAACAAACTACCACCTTTTCTGCTTTTCTGTAGTTTATTCATTTGGGAACAACATTGGGTTGGGAGGTAATTGGACCAACTTAGGTTTAGGGATTCCTGAATTTTCTGGCCCTTTAATACTTCATAATATACTCTTAATTTTATACCTTAATAACACCCTAGTATTACTTGAACAACATCTATTTTTATATTGGGACCTCTTCCTTAGCTAGTAGGAGTTCTTTAACTTCCTTAGCTTCACTATAAAGTATATCTTTTCATGATTTTTACATAAATTTGAAAATAACTTATCCTGTTATTCTAATTTATAAACCTCAAAGGATTGAGCACCTTTTCATCGCCATAACAACCAGGAGTCTAATCAGAGAGAAGGTTAACCATCTGAAAAACTTTCACCTGCACTTAGAGATATCTGTTGCAGAAGGTTTTCTTTCTTTTCGATTTTATTTTTTCTCTTTGTGAGCAACTCATAATTCCAGCTCAACATCTTAGCACTTGTCTTCCTCCCCTGGGTCCAAGATCAGTAGCTCAGAAAAATTCTCACAAATACAAATCTTTGTAACACCTAAGAAAAAGTGAAAAATTCGAAGATACTAAGGGTGCAGGTTTTCTTGGAGTGGATCTATTTGTTAATTTAAGAAATCCAGATTGGCAAGTATAATGCACGTAAACAATGGGAGAAACATTTTTATCGGGTCTTGTGTAACTTCAGTTCATGATTATTTTATGTCACTTGAGTCAAAATTGGGCCATTTCTATCTAAACTACATTGACATCTATTTTGTGCCCATGATCATGCTAAACTTGAGGAGGGGAGAGGGGAAACAGATGAATAGCTCTAATTCCTGGCATTGGTGAGAAAGATATAAACACTGACAGGCCATTTCAGTATAACAGGAAACTTGCTAAGAGAAAACAGCCAGAGAACAGGGCAATTGATGCAGCATGAATTATCATGAAAGGCTTCCTGTAGAAGTCATCACCTCGAATGAGTCTATGATCACAGGAAGCAGTTACCCAGCCCAAGAAAGAGAGGGTTGGGAGTGAAGGTAAAGAAGAAGGCAGAGACTATTCAAGAGATCAGCTGGCTGCCGAGTGCCTTCTTTCCTGTTGCCTGGGTTACCACAGCTCTCTCATCTCATGATGATAAGAGTCAATTTCTCCAGAAAATTTGTTGACTCCTCTTGTTACACGTTGACCTCTTGGCACAAGAATCCTGGAGTGAAAAGGTGGTAGTCACAGCTTAACATTCAATATGATATTTCTGTATCTCCAGGTATAAGTAAAGTGACTCCCCTCTGGAAACCATGGGTTTTAGACATAGAGTAAATATGTAAGAGTAGAAAGCACATGTCACCAAGATGGGTTACCGGAGTGATGGTAATTGTGACTACTTCTACTTCCAGATCTATGTATTCTATTTAGGAGACAAAACACTAGGTAATTATGATTAAATTAGGATGCATACCACATCTTAAAGGATAAGAATCCCATCACTAAAGGATTATATCATCTGCAGACTGGTTCCTTGGATCCACATTTATTCTCTATCAGGCTGGCAAGTTATGATGCAGTGGTGCAGAATGTGATACAATTGCCAGATTCTATTGTCATATATTCACTCCCCTCCTTTGTTGTAGAGTGAGTATTTTGTTTCAAGTTTAGGCTATCAATTTAACCTTTACAGTGTTTTATACATCCCTTAATGCTCAGATAATATTATTGAAGGACATACAGGCAGGAAAAGCAAACTCATTTCTGCCATATAGATTGATTCCAGTCAAGACAAAATGCTGGTCCTATCATGGTGTGAAAGAATCAATGTCAGTACTTGTTACAAAGAGGAAGGTGGAACTTCTCAAGGTGTGGTGCTCTAGCGACTACCCAGTGTTGAATCCTCTTGCTGGTAGACTTGATATTCAACAGTGACTATAGTTAGAGTAATGTTGCTGTGTGGGAACACAGGCTATGCATGGGCCCACCTTGTTTTTAATACCTACACCCTGTTCCCTGGCCACTATTATTTCAGGGTGCTATCATTCCCATTGTTATGATATAACCAGTTTTATAACATTTCCTATCATCTACATAGAACAGCCATCATTGAGTTTCTTAATGATATATTTGTCCCTCTCACTAACACATTCCCCCATTGCTTTATAAATGCGCTGTAGTTAAGGTTTGGCTGTGACCCCACCCAAAATCTCATCTTGAATTGTAATCCTCATTGGTCAAGGGCAGGACCAGGTGGAGGTAGTTGGATCATGGGTGCGTTTTTCCCCAAGCTGTTCCTATGATAATGAATGAGTCTCATGAGATCTGATGGTTTTATAAGCATCTGGCATTTCCCCTGCTTGCTTTCACTCCATCCTGCTGCCTTGTGAGGAAGGTGTCTGCTCCTCTATTGCCTTCCACTACGATCATAAGTTTCCTGAGGCCTCCCCAGCAATGCATAAATTAAACCTCTTTCCTTTATAAATTACCCAGTCTTGGGCAGTTCTTTATGGCAACATGAGAATGGACTAATACAGTAAATTGGTACCAAGAGTGGGGCACTGCTATAAGGATACCTGAAAATGTGGAAGTGACTTTGGAACCAGGTAACAGGCAGAAGTTGGAAGAGTTTGGAGAGCTCAGAAGAAGACAGGAAAATATGGGAAAGTTTGGAACTTCCTCGAGACTTGGAGGGCTCAAAAGACAGGAAGGTGTGGGAAAGTTTGGAACTTCCTAGAGACTTGTTGAATGGCGTTGACCAAATGCTCATTGTGATATGGACCATTAAGTTCAGGCTGAGGTGGTCTCAGATGAAGTTGAGGAACTTGTTGGGAACTGGAGTAAAGGTCACTCTTGCTATGCTTTATCAAAGAGAATGGTGGCATTTTGCCCCTGACCTAGAGATCTTTGAACTTGAGAGAAATGATTTAGGGTATCTGGTGGAAGAAATTTCCAAGCAGCAAAGCGTTCAAAATGTGACTTGGATGCTCTTAAAAGCATTCAGTTTTATGCATTCACAAAGATATTGTTTGGAATCAGAACTTATGTTTAAAAGGGAAGCAGAGCATAAATGTTCAGAAAATTTGCAGCCTGACAATGTGTTAGAAAAGAAAAAACCATTTTCTGAGGAGAAATTCAAGTGGGCTGCAAGAATGTGCATAAGTAATGAGGAGCCAAATGTGAATCTCCAAGACAATGGGAAAAATGTCTCCAGGGCATTGTCAGAGGTCTTCACAGCAGCACCTCCTATCACAGGCCCTGAGGCCTAGGAGGAAAGTATGGTTTTGAGGGCCAGGCCCAGGGCCTTACTGCTTTTTGCAGTCTCAAGTCTTGGTGCCCTGCATTCCAGCCATGGCTAAAAGGGGCCAATGTATAGCTCAGGCCATTGCTTCAGAGAGTGCAAGCCCCAAGCCTTGGTGGCTTACATGTGGTATTGGGCCTGTAGATGCACAGAAGTCAAGAATTGAAGGAGTTCAGAGGATGTATGGAAATGCCTGGATGTCTAGTCAGAAGTTTGCTGCAGGGGCAGAGCCCTCATGGAGAACCTCTGTTAGGGAAATGCAGAAGGGAAATGTAGGGTTGGAGCCCTGACAGAGAGCCCCCACTGGGGCACTGCCTAGTGGAGCTGTGAGAAGAGGGCCACTGTCCTCCAGACCCCAGAATGGTAGATCCACCAACAGCTTGCACCATGCACCTGGAAAAGCTGCAGACACTCAACACTAGCCTGTGAAAGCAACTGGGAGGGGTCTGTATCCTGCAAAGTCACAGGGATAGAGCTACCCAAGGGAGTGGGAACCTACCTCTTGCATTGGTGTGACCTGGATGTGAGACATGGAGTCAAAAAAGATCATTTTGGTGCTTTAAGATTTGACTGTCCACTGAATTTCAGACTTGTATAGGGCCTGAAGCCCCTTTATTTTGGCCAGTGTCTCCCATTTGGAACTGGTGTATTTACCCAATGCCTGTACCTCCTTTGTATCTAGGAAGTAATTAACTGGCTTTTGATTTTATAGGCTCATAGGTGTAAGGGATTTCCTTTGTCTTAGATGAGACTTTGGACTTGGATTTTTTGGGTTAATGCTGGAATGAGTTAAGACTTTGGGGGACTGTTAAAAAGGCACGATTGTGTTTTGAAATGTGAGGACATGAGATTTGAGAGGGGCCAGGGTTGGAATGATGTGGTTTGGCTGTGTTCCCACCCAAAATCTCATCTTGAATTGTAATCCTCATGTATCAAGGGTAGGATGAGATGGAGGTAATTGGATCATTCAGCAGTATCCCCCATGCTGTTCTTGTGATAATGAGTGAGTCTTATGAGATGTGATTTCTCCTTTGCCTTCTACCATGATTTTAAGTTTCCTGAGGCCTCCCCAGCAGTGCATCAATTAAACCCCTTTCCTTTATAAATTAGCCTGGGACAGTTCTTCATAGCAGCATGAAAACGAACTAATACAGGTGTCTTTCTAGATATATTATGGAACATACTTATTTAGTAGTTTTTCTAGCATTATGTGTTTAAATATTTGTATATAAACATATAGTGTAAGCATATATTTTCTGTCCACTTATATGTCTTTTGATTTCTTCCTCTATCATCTGTCTCAGCAGTTCTGCCATTTTTACTTCCTTAGGCATGACCGTTACTTCTTCAGGATTTCAAGAGCCATCCTAGAATGTCTGCCACTTCTGGTCTATTGTCATGATGGCAAATTACATATCAATGAAGAATGCTTCCATAGGGATACACTCTCATTTTACAAATTTTAAATAATAACTTCTTCAATCCAATATCCTAGAAATTCAGTTGTATTTGTGTTTCCCTGGCTCCCATTCCTACATTGGCTAGGTCACACAGGTCCTTTGTATAGAGCCATTTGTCTCTTAACAGAGTCAACACTTCTGTGACCAGGTTAAATTTTAAGCTGCCTTTATTGGTCTGGCAGCCAGGAATGGGAGGTAAGGGCAGATACTGAGGGGGAGATCACACGTTTTCTTACAATTCATTTTCTCACATAAGGGGATCCACTAACCTGTAATGGGAATGGGTAGTCTACTTATGTAGATCCAGAATGTTTAGGATAGTCTAAGTATTCAAGAGTTGAAGTGCATATGTCCCCATGCAAGTTTAGAGCCCCATACCTTATCGAACAGGAGCTCAGCCTTGATGTAACAGACTGTTTGGCTGGAGAATTAAAATTTCTCTGGTAAAATGCTACCCTAATAATTAAATCTTGGGCTTAATCCACAGTGGTTGTTTTTAACTCTGCAAGGCAATATATAAGAATCTCCTTACACATCACTTAAGCACTTAAGACATCTTCTGCTTTCACTCATATTAAAGTAATATTTAATTACCCTAAGCATTTAATCGTCCTTCTCCAGTGCATCACTAACACCCACTAAAAGCCATTTAATTTCATAGTCATTATAATTACTATTTCCCTCAATCCCCTGAAAGACATGAGATATTGTACTTCTTAGGAAACTTCCTCCTTATGACATCCTGTATACCACTACAAGTATATGGTTTATTGTGTCAAGAGTACAGCATGCCATCAGCACCCACCTCCCACCAGTAAAGGGATCTTGCTTGCTGCACGCGCGGTGGATGACACAGCTACAGATCCTATTTTAGAGGCCTTCTTAGGACCTGTTTTGATACCAAGTGTTTAAAATTGTTTCCAAGAAAATTATGTTTCCAAATTTATGAAACAGTAATTTGTGTGGAAGAGAGTTCTATAATGAATAAGACTCACATAAAAATGAGAGAAAAAGGACTGGTCAGAGTAAAAAGTGTGTCTGGAAGCCTTTCACAACACAAACCAGCCAATTCCACAGGGAGCTCTGGATCTGGGCTGACTCTCCAGAGATTTTCTGAATCAGGGCAAGTCTTTTAACCTTTGTAATAGTGATGCGTTTTGACTTCCCACAGAGAGAAGTATAATCTTTGATGAGGCAGGTCTCTTTCACAAAGATAAATTTCTAGAGAATGACTAGAATGTGAGTCATCAAAAGCCAACAGTCTCAAGAATTGGAAGAAGGAAGACATAGGTACCGAGAAATTATAAGGGTGGCACACCATGCCATCCCTACATTGAGGGGTATAGGAAGAATAGATTTGAGGAAAAATAAACTTCTATTTCAGAGGAACATATTGCTTTTCATAATCCCTTATACTTGTCAAGTCATTTTTGGAGTTAGGATGCAAAACATTATTATAATAAATTGCAATTCATTTGTTTGAAAGGTAAAGAGAAAATGATGTCTGGTCCTGAGTTTGTGTGAAAATAAGTAGAAAGCAAATTGATTTGCTTAAGAAAAAAATATGGCATGCTAAAGTAGAAAACCATCACTCTTTTATTAGTTTATATTTTTATATTTTCTACTTTATACTTATGGCATATTTGAATTAAATTTATAATAGTTTTGAAATATACTTAAGGAATGCAGCCAAATATTAAAAATTACCTAACCCATGGGAATTTTTTTTATAAGAGGTTGGTTATCTATACAACTTGCAAAAATATTTTATCCACGTTTTGGATCATATACACGAAACTTATTTAAACTGTACTATTTATAGCTGTAAGTTATTTCCTGAACTGTAAACTCCTTCAGGACAGGATACATGTTAAAATCATCTCTCTAGCCCTGCTAGCACATTCTTCAAAGGCATGTACTAAGCCATTCTTCACTATTATATTTTGAGTGAGTGAATGAATAAAATGTATCATTTTTTCTAGATATCAAAGATCGACATCTGTCAAACATAAAAATAGAAAAATATGAAGAATACAATAACACAACATACATGCAGCCATTGAAAAATTATCTAGCAGTACATATTTTAAAATAAATTCAGAAAATGAGGGGGAAAACTAAACTTCACGTCATTTCAAAAAAATTTAATTTGTAAAAGTCATGAATATTTCTTAAACAAAATATTTAAGTTGAAATTATATGTCCAGGAAAGTCTCAGTTATCTGAATGAATAGATTTGCAGATCAATCAGCTAGTTTATTTTAAACTTGAAGATTGGACAGTGTGCAGTAATATTTTAAAGTTTGTTTTTAGGCACTACTGTTCAGTGAATCTCTTTTATGACAAAAATTATAATAAGCGAAGTGTGATACAATAGATATTTCTTTTAAGAAGGATAGAACATAGCATTAAATGTTACCATCCTCATTACCGTCCTAAGTCAGTCACTTCACGTTACTTTTTGCTCAGGTTGATGTGCGCGTTCACAGTCATTGCCACACTCCCATTACCACCTTCCCTGTCATTTATCATTAGTGTAAGATAGAAAGCCAAGAAGAAACTTAACATGATAAGGAATATGTAAAAGAAATACAGCAAATAAAATGAAGTGGTCCAAATAATATTCTTTGCATAATCCTGTATAGTGCAAGTTAGAGAAGTAATATTATTTTTGTATTTATTCCCTTTCTAATATTGTTATATAACATATATGGTAAATATGCTAATGATATATGATTAAACAACAAGTATGCAGAAATTTATAAATTAGTGAAGTAAATTAACAGTTGTCTTCTCATCCCAGTTTCCTTCTCATAATTGATGAAGAAGGTGAAAAGCACAGATTTGTGATTCAAGATTTTGGTAGATTACAATATGGGGAATTTGAGCTAGACCTATGCCACTGTCCATTGATGAGAACCATGATCCCAAGAGTGAATCCTTTCTGTTTATGAAGTTCCTACCTGGGTCAAAACTAATTATTGAAAAACTGAAATGTAGAAATATTTTCTGAATATATAAATATATCAAGAGGCTAGTTAACACTGTAAGCTCTTGGGAGTTGTCTATCATAATCAGGCATGTTGAACCAATCTGTCCTCCAGGTGAAGTGCTCTGTCTTTCCATACCTTTAGCTATCAATTCACAGAACCATGCAAACAATTGCTACAAAACCAGCAAACTGGATTTGATAGAAAAACAGTAAAGTAAGGCAATGAATCACATAGATCCTCTCCTTAGAGCTGACAAAAAAATGTCCATTAGATTACCAGAAAAAATCAAGTCTACATAAATAAGAGAGGCATACAATAAAAGTAAAAAAGATTGAATTGTCTCAATTATATTTAGACTCTCAGTCATTGGTTGCTTGCATGAAGATTTTAACAGTGCTACAGTGCTGTGTATACATCAAAACATAAGATTAATTACAAGCTCCTGACCTGAAAGGAGTACATAGTCAATGATATTGCAACTGGGATATAGCTAGAATGTACCTGACAATTAGACCAAAGTCCAGTGCGAACCCAAGGCAAGATTGTTGCCAATGTCTTTATTAGTGATTAACAAAATAAAGAAATCATTCTGAGTATGTTTTTTCCCTCTAAAATGGAGAAAAATACTGACATTTTTCTGTTAGACTTCCTCCAACAGGATTTGTGAAAGGGAAAGCATTTTCCATTAAATTAAAATGGAGACATTTTGATCATGTTAGATAGGGTTGCTTAGTTCTTAACATCCATTTATGCCTCCTGCGTGTCTTGCTATTTTGCAGTAATGGCAAAGCTGAAAACTATATTTCCAAGAATCTCTTGGTAGATGTTCTAGATGCAAATTAAGTTTTATCGATTATAGGAACTTAAAAGGTTTACAAGATAAAAGAGAAGCCAACGTCAGCTTACTAGTGTTTTTTTTTTCTTTATTTAGCAAGAAAAGCCAAGCTTGTGAGGACCTAGGTGTCTCTCTATTTCAGTCAACAGCCTCATGGATGTGTAAGGCAATATCATAGATTCAGTTGCAGCTTCCTGATCCTGGTTTTCTTATCCTTAGATCAATAGATTTAGCAGTGGCCATGTGATTCTCACTTATCTAGCCTTTCCAATACTTTATAAAATTGTTGCAGCATCTGCTTTTCTGTTTAAAATAGCTAGAAGGGTTTCAATTGTTGGGACAAAGTGTAACTGTTGTCAGCAATAGAAAGTAGAGATGGGGAATAGAGATTAGTTTGTTTCTTACGTCCAAAGCAATAATAAGGCAGAGGTATCAGACATGTAAACACAAACACGAGGTCAGGAGATCGAGACCATCTTGGCTAACATAGTGAAAACCTGTCTCTACTAAAAATACAAAAATTTAGCCAGGCGTGGTGGTGGGCGCCTGTAATTCCGGCTACTCAGGAGGCTGAGGCAGGAGAATGGTGTGAACCCCTGGAGACGAAGCTTGCAGTGAGCCGAGATCAGGCCACTGCACTCCAGCCTGGGCGACAGAGTGAGACTCCATCTCAGAAAAAAAAAAAAAAAAAAAAAATGGAAAAAGTCTTTCTTCAATGTCCTGGTCTCATCATCTTCCAAAGTGACAACCTATGATTGATGAATTCCCTATGTAAACATTAAATCTGAAATGTCTTAATCATTGGACATTTGGAAAATGCCTTCAACGTCACATCCCATGAGATCCATTCTCTAAGGTTCAGCCAAAGAAAAGAAGCGGTTATTTAAACATTTCAGAGAAAAAATGTATGATGTGTGCACCACTGAAAAATTACTTTTAAATTTTTTATTTCTAGTGATTACAGATACATAATAATTGCACATATTGATGGGATATATGTGACATTTTGATAGAAGCATACAATGTATAATGATAAAATCAGAGTAATTGGGGCATCCATCACCTCAAGCATTTATCATTTCTTTGTGTTAGGAACATTCCAATTCTACTGTTTTTGTTATTTAAAAATATAGGATATATTATTTATATCATATATTTATATGTAAATATATAACAATATTAATTATATTAACTATAGTTACCATATTGTGCTATTAAATACTAGATCTTATTTAGTCTATCTAATTGTATTTCTGCCTCCATTAATCATCCCCTGTGTATCACCTCCTCCCCAGTACCCTTTCCAGCCTCTGGTAAACACCATTCTACTCTCTATATTCATGACTTCATTTTGTTTAGCTACCACATATGAATGAGAAGATACAGTATTTGTCCTTCTGTACCCAGCTTATCTCAGTTAAAATAACTTGTACCCAAAAAACAGGCAATGACAAATGCTGGCATGGGTAAGGAGAAAGGCAAACCCTGAAACACTTTAAGGGGGAGTGTAAATTAGTACAGACATTATGCAGAACAGTATGGAGGTTCCTCAAAAAACTAAAAATAGAACTACTATATAATTCAAACATCCTAATTCTGGGTATGTATCCAAAAGAAAGAAAGCATTATATTGAAGAGATATGTGCATTTTCTTGTTTATTACTGCACTCCTCACAGTAATCAAGATATGAAATCAACCTAAGTGTCCATCAACAGATGAATGAATCAAGAAAATATGATATATATATATGCACAATGGAATGTTATTCAACCATAAAGAATGAAATTCTTTCATTTGCAGCAACATGGATGGGACTGAGGAATATAATATTAAGTGAAAATTTTGTTTTTTAATTAAAGAAACAGAAAACATAACATCACTGATTTTATTCCTTACTTTATTAACTTAAGAACAAATCAGCACTTTTCAGGGAAATACTCAGAAGTGTCAAAGATACTACCCTGATTTGATTATTACACAATTTATATATGTATCAAAACATCACATTGTACCTTATAAACATATACAATTATGTGTCAATTAAAAACAAAATAAAACCTGTTTCTAAGAAAACATCATCATAGAAAGTTCTCCTAACACAAATTGTTCAAGTACAAGCTGATTGATCCTCTACCGTTTCATTTTTTTAATAGTTTCTAAAAAATATTATAAAATGCCATATAGGGTGTTATTAGATATCAAATAAATGCTCTGTTCAGAAAGTGACATACATTATTTTTGTTCACAATCCTTGGACAAAACTAGAAAAGGGTGTTACCTAAAATATTAAGAAGCCCCAAGTCCTATCCTTCCATAGGATAGACATGGGCACAACAAGAAATATTTGGAAAACATGCGACATATAATGCATATAATGCATATAATGCATCAGTCTGTGAGGCATAGGATTTTCTGCTACTTCAAGTACTCCCTCTAGAATTTACTTTAGTGTGGGTCTATTGCTGATTAATTTTCTGCTTTTGTTTGTCTAAAGGATATTTTCATTGGAAGTAGAGTTCTGAGATGATCCTTCTTTCAGCATTTTGAAAATGTTATACTTTGTTTTCTTTGGTTGAGAAATCAGATTCAAGCTAATTGCTTCCAAGGAATTTTATTCTTCCAAGTTTCTTTACTCCACAAATTTCAAAGGATATAAAGCATATGGATACATCTTTGACTGCAATAGAATTAAACTGGAAGGCAGTGACAAAAAGATAGCTAGAAAATATTCAATGCTTAGAAACTAAGTAATATATCCCGATGGGTCAATGAACACATCGCAATGGGTATTAAATAATACTTTGAAGTGAATGTTAATAAAAGTGTTTCATTTCAAAACTTGGCAGTTGCAGCTGAATAATACTTAATGGAAAGATAATCTCTTTAAATGCATGTAATAGAAAGCAAGGCTGAAAATCAATGTACTAAGCTTTCTTCTTTAGATTTTAGAACTAAAATAGCAAATTAAAGTAAAAGTGTGAAACATGAAATAATAAAGAAAATAGCAGAAATTAATAAAGAAACATACCACAGAGTTATTAAACCAAAAAATGGTTTTGAGACTAATAAAATTGATATATCTATAGAAACAAATCAAGAAATGTACAAAGTAGTTATACATAAACTAATACATAAACAATATTGGTTTTTAAAATGTTAGCACTAATATAGAACCTACGTTTATTGCAATGTTAATAAAATAGTTCTAAAACCAACATTATGAAATAAATTTGAGCAATATAAATACAATGAACACGTTCTAAGAAAAACAATTATAAAACTGACACAAAAATAAAGGCTGAACACACACACACACAGAATATATATAATTTCTTGCAAAGAAAACTCAAGACTTAAATGGCATCATGGTGAATGCAACTTGGCGTCATTTTATGACTTGAGATAAAGGAAGCTCACAAAAATACTTCCCAATCCCTCCCACTCCCCAGACTTTAAGAAGAAAATTCAAATTCACATAAGGATGCTCTAGGTCTAAATTAAGAAGCACAGCATGCTAGGACAGGCTCTAATACAAGCTGGGTATTATATTTAAATATATGTTATTTGGGAGGTATAAACGTATTTTATTACTGGGTTCACATGGAGTGAATATCATTAATAAATAAATACCCTCTCCGAATTAAAATCAATATTACTAGACAGCAATAACAACATAATTATAATTATAGAATATATACAACTTGACAGGAAATATACTAAAACAAGTATGAGGTAGATATTATTATCATTTTCACTATTTAAGTTAAGCTTTTCCACATTTAAGTATTTCATTTATTCTGAGATTGGTACTAGTAATATCCACATTTGATGAGAAAGCTGTGTGACTAGAAGAATAGTTAACACACCCAAGATTGCAAAGTTTCTTTTTTTTTTTTTTTGAGACGGAGTCTCGCTCTGTCGCCCAGGCTGGAGTGCAGTGGCAGGATCTCGGCTCACTGCAACCTCCTCCTCCCAGGTTCACGCCATTCTCCTGCCTCAGCCTCCCGAGTAGCTGGAACTACAGGCACCCGCCACCACGCCCGGCTAATTTTTTGTATTTTTAGGAGAGACGGGGTTTCACCGTGTTAGCCAGGATGGTCTCGATCTCCTGACCTCGTGATCCGCCGGCCTCGGCCTCCCAACGTGCTGGGATTACAGGCATGAGCCACCGCGCCAGGCTGATTGCAAAGTTCTTAAGTGCCAAAGATATTAATCCCAGATTTCTCGGCCTCCAAAATCAGTGGTCTTATTCACCACCGCAGCATGCTAGCTTACCCACTTACGTTATTACTTTCCTCAGTTCATGGTAAGTAGGTACTAGCCTCAGGGATTTTGATCTGGTCTCTTGGTAGCCTTCTTTCTAGAGATATACACATAGCCAGGTGTGGTGGTCCACTCCTGCAATCCTAGCAATTTGGGAGGCTGAGGCGGGTGGATCACCCGAGGTCTGGAGTTTGAGACCAGCCTGCCCAACATGGTGAAACCCTGTCTCTACTAAAAATACAAAATGTAGCCAGGCATGGTGACACACGCTTGTAATCCCAGCTACTCAGGAAGCTGAGGCAGGAGAATGGCTTAAACCCAGGAGGCCGAGGTTGCAGTGAGCTGAGATTGCACCACTGCACTCCAGCCTGGGTGAAAGAGCAAGACTCCATCTAAAAAATATATCTATAAATAAAAAAATAAAGATATATACATAAACACACACACACTCTTTTCTTTCATATATATTTATATATACATATTTTTCCTTTATATATACATATTTTTTCTTTTCCACCTACTGTGTTATGTAGTGATCTTTGAATATAATAAAGCATACCAAACATATTTGGAATACTGAGTGATCTATTGCCCACAGGTGACCATGTGCATCCCCGTGGTTTAGGTGTAGCCACAAGGAATCTGATATTTTTTTAGGGCAAGTAAAAAACCAGGCATGATACAGTCATTTACAAATACTCTTCATTTAAGCTAATGCAGGTATGAGGCAGGGTCGTATCACCCTTGATTTATAAGTAAACACATTGTGTTTGACAAAATTAGAAGAATTGACTAGGGCCATAGTCAGTTATTAATAGAATTAGTATTCAAATCCTGGTTTAATCCAATTATTTTTTCTGCTACTATTTTATGTCATATATAGAAGGAATATGTATACAAGAGTCAAAACAATTTGCAGATTTTTAAAAAACAATTTCCCTTGGTTTATCTAATATTATGAATGCCTTTGAGAGAAACAAAACTTTCCCCAAGTGTGCGCAGAAAGCCATTAGTGACTTTCACAAACCCCGGCTCCTTCACTAGATCATCGGAGTCCAACAGTCCAAATTGCTTTTCATTACAAGTTTTGTCACAGCATTGTCTTTATTGTGCCAATGGAATCACCTTGTGGCATACTTTCCCTGATTTTTTTTTTCTATTTGTAGTTTACTCGAATGAAAAGAACAGCCACACAGGAGAGTGCCAATTATTTTTTATTGGTCTTTTACTCATATATCTTACTTTTAGACTAGAGGGAAAACAACTGGATCTGTAAACATCAAACTCACATTAGAGTTCTGCATTTTCTTCCAATTAGGGTTTATTTTCCTAAAATTCTGGTGATTCATATCCCTATTATGCACTGTTTACCAGCATCCGTGTCCTCATTCTTATTTATTATCTAACCATGACCCACTGATACCACTTAATATACTACTCCAGGTGTTGGAGATTTTTCCCTTCTTGGCTTTATTGGGCATCGAATAAAATAACAAACCTAAAGATATTTCCAAATTCTCAGCTTGCTCCTTCATGTGAAAGAGGGACTCGCACATGTCTGAACTATCGGGAGAGCTAATTTGTATTCCTTTCGTGCTGAGCAATTCCCTGCAGAGTCCTGAACAATCAATTGTACATCACAGCAGTGAGACTAGCAGTATACTCCTCCCATATCTGACATTCACTTGATTATCTCAAGAATGTCCTTGTATCACTTTCTATTCTTGTTGATAAAACATTAGACAAATTGTTTCCCTGTTCCATTTGTTTCATCCTTTTTCTTCTTCTTATTTTAATTAGAAACAGGAGATAACTTAAATTTGTTATGTAATTTACTCCTCCCTTGATTTTCCTCTTTAATATCAATAGCAAATGATATTTTTCCTTTTGTTTATGAGGTTTTTTATAGATATATTTAGACTCTGTCTAAACTTGCGATAATTGTTTAATGTGATATGGAAAAAAGCATACTAGTAACTAATTTCAGTTAGGCATTTGCACTATTAATACTTCGGGTAATTCTTTCATGGGATCATTTATTCTTCCTTTAATTAGGAAAGAAAATATTTTTAAATTGGTAACAACTGCAATTATCTTTCCGTGGCCTCTCTTAACATCTGTTTACAGTTGTATGTTAATGTATCCTATTTAGATTGGAAAGCTTTTTACTTCTCTTGACAATTTGAATAAGAACTTTAATATTATTTATGCAAATGTATGTCAATTCATGTTTACAATGAGAAAAATATTCAAGATTTCACTATTCAAGAACCATTAATTTTAATGAGATAGATATAGCTAATGCTGTAAATATTAAAATCAAGATGTTTTCCTACTTAAGTATTAAATTACAGAATATTATACTATGTCATATAATTAGCATACAAACCTTTGAACATATGTTATAATGAATGTTTTAAAAATTATACCATGACTATTAACTTCAAAATACTACAAGTCTGTTTATGTGGTAAGTTCAAACAATGAAAACACATGAGAATTGGGAAATGACATTCATTCTGTCATTTACTAGAACTTATTGCACAGTTGTCATAAGAATATTTTCTTGATAAGATAATTTAGCAGTGAAATGTTAATATAACATTTATAATATAAACAACTTAATATTTTTCAATTGTTTTCATAAACGACTATATATGTTTTCAAAGAAACTCATGTATGAGAAAATAATACCACCTAAGAGAATCATGGAAATTCGGCCAGTGTTAATAGTTGAGCTATGACATAGAGAATGTGAACAATGACATTTCAAGCAGGGGTCCAGAATCAAAGACATGTAAAGCACACGGCTGGCTTAGGAGTAGGAAAAAAATCTATACTAACTTTCTAGGGTTGCCATAACAAAGTACAACAAACTGAGTATTTTAAAACCACAGAAATTTATTTTATTTTATAGTTCTGAAATGTAGAATTCTGAAATCCAGGCACGGCCATGCCTCTACAGGAGATTCTAGGGAAGAATCCTTCCTTGCCTCTTCTAGCTTCTGAAGGTTGCTGGCAATCCTTGGCTTTCCTTGACTTCCAGCTGCATCATTTTAATTGTTATGTTACATGTGTAATTGTACATATGATACATATATATGATTAAAGGTCATATGTTAATATTAATTAAATATTATTTATTTAATTAAATATGTAACTCGATATACAGGTATATAGTTATATATATTAAATATGGGCTTTAATTAATGTATCATGACATCTTAATTAATATATCATGTAACTATATACATGTATATATAGTTACTATATATAGCTCCCACTATCCACCATCCACTTACTTGGTAGTTCAAATTCAGTAGTTCAATTTCACATGTATAATGTTTTCAGAACTGATAACCAATATCCCAAATATATATATATAGTTGTTACATGATATATTAATTGAAGCCAAAATATTAAATATCATTTAAAGCCCATGTACTAAATATTAAATATGGGTTTTATTAAATATTAAAGCCCACATATTAATATTAAATATGGGCTTTAATTAACAATCACATAGCTATACATAGTTACATATATAATCATATGTACATATGATTTCCTCAGCCTTCCTCTAATATATTTTTATTGTTCCAGGGTCCCATCCATAATATTAAATAATATTTGATGGTCATGTTTCCTTGAGCTGCTCTAACTCTAACACGTTCTCAGATTTCCATTATTTTTTATTATTTAGGCCATCTTGAAGAATGCTGGTAAGACAGTTCATAGAATACCACCAGTTAGGATTTCTCTGATGTATTTCTCATGATTAGACTGCAGTTACAGGTTTTGGGGAGGAAGCCCTCAGAGATAAATTGCCATTTTCATTGCATCATATCAAAGGTCCATGCTATCAAAATGATGTTCACTGTTGTCATTGACTTTGATCGCCTGCCTGTTTAGTGTTTGCGGAGTTTCAACACTGCAAAGTTACTTTTTTTCCCCTGTAAAAACTTTGGAAGAAAGTCATATACACAAGCTACATTTAAGGAGTATAGAGTTCTGCTCTCTCTCCTTGAGAGCAGAATATCTATGTGAAATTTATATGTACTTCTTCCATATCGGACATTTATCTCTTCTCCCTTACTTATTTAATCATTATTTGTATCAATACGGACTCAACTGTGGATATTTTTGAGAACACTCATACCTTCTAGCAGTACAAGGTGGTGCAGGTTCATCATGTATTTCCTTCCTTAGTCCTAAAATCAATGATTTCCTAAGGAGCCTTCATTCCTATTACTCAAGAATGGTATTAGAAACCAATTCTTGTAGCTAAGTATGCTCATCACTATGAAGTGTCATTGCTTTTGGGCCCTCTCAGATGACATAGCAACAAAATATATGTGTGTGTACTGACCTGTGTATACACATACCTATAAATGTTATTTATGTAAATATTGGAATCTATATTAAGCTAAACATGAATTTATATCCATAACCAAATATATTATTTTAGCCACCTCCCCTTGTTTTTCTGTAATCTCCCAACCTAACAGTGAGAGACCTAGCTCCCACTCTTCACCATCCACTTACTTGGTAGTTCAATTTCAGTATACATGTATCATTGTTTCAGAATTGTTAACCAATATCTAATTGAAAAGCCATTGTATCAACTAGAGTACTGACTTCAATCATATTTGAAGTTACTTAGGTTAGTACCTTTTCCCCATCCCCCCTCAGTGAAGTCACTTAATACACCTTTACAGACTTTAATATTTTAACAAAAATTATCTTAAAACAATTATTAAATTCATATATAAAGGTTTTTTATTTTTACAGAAAAAAATTTTTACAGAAAAAAGACACTCTGGCCACATTTGTTAATTGTCAGTAAGTTAGAATGACTGCCATAATAAAATGATCCTTTTTTTTTTGAAGGCAAAATATACTTTTTAACTGTTCCTATAAGATGCTTACTTAGTATTATTTTGAAGTTATCTTTGGCAGGGTAAGATATAATGTTGCAAATACTTTACTAAGTAGGAGTTATCCACATTATTTTTCAAAAATTTTAGGACTCCAATAGGGATTTAATATTTATGTTACCATTTTTATACAATTATATTTCTGAAGTTTTTTTACAACTGAAAATGAAATGCCATCTATCTTGAGAAAAGCAAACCAATTTGTGATGTCTCCAGGCAAATTTTACATATCCCATTTGTTTAGATTACCAGTCAACATTTTGTACAAACTAAACCAGCTCAGAATCTTCTGAGATTACACTAGCAAATTTAATTAAAGAATAGCTCTATGTGTACAAAAATCTCTCCTCCTAAACTGTTAGCATGGTCCTAAAGTTGAGAGAAGCAACAATTAAATATTGTACTGTTTTATATCTTTAACCTATCTTTCAAGACTACTTTGAAACCAAGTATAATAACAATCTAGGCACCTGAACACACCATCAAACTTGTTGCCTTCAGTAGCATAACATTCTTCCTCATCAGTGGCCATCTTTGACAAATTACTCTTTTGAAATCCTACTCATTTCCTGAAAAACAACACCTAGGGTATGATACTGAGGAATCAAACCAACATGTAGGAAGAAACATAAAACCATTTATCTTTAGCTGAGAAGATATATGTCCCAGACCTAGAGTTTTCATAAAATTCCTTGTGATCTTGAGCGCTCCCCTTTATCTCTTTTCTCTCTATTTCTTTATTTAAAAGTTTATTTGCTTAGATGTACTTCAATGAATCCTCTAACTTTAATATAATATGATTTTCTATTTAAAAAATCACATGACATTCCCTATCCCTCTAGCCACATCTATAAATGTATATAACCTATAGCATGGCTTCCCAGAAACAAATGATGTAGAAAGCAACTGAAAAAAAAACCTAATAATCTGTTTCATTTTAAAATTATTGTTCCTGAAATTTTATCAAAACCTACAAAGGGACTAGTAGTAATTCTGAATATGGATCTAATCATTAATCAAAATCTTATCCATAGTTGGGGCAACCCCAACAACCCAAATATATCTTACTGGGATGATCTTTCACCAGTATACGTACTACTTCATAAAGGTGTTTGGAAACAATAGGCAAGAGTTTCAGAACAATTTAGTGAGAAGCATCTCAATAAATCATTGAGGATTCTGCTCCTCACACATAGGATTTGCTTTGGAGTCAGCTTTTTACAAACTGTACTTTGAAAATATAGAGTATTCTCACTCTTCAACACTTAAGTACATAGGAGATATTTATAGCCCCTTGCTTAGCATCCGGTCCATGTCTATATCTTGAGTCTCGTGGCCCACTCTTCCTTAGAGTCATCCATGCCACAGCCCTTGCCAACTACTTGTAGATGCCCAAATGGGATCTTCCACCTAATGCATCTAATATGTCTTCATGCATGCTGTTCTTCTGAATGTAATTTCCATTTCATTCTGTTTTCTATTTTCCATTTATTTCTGAACATTTAATAGACTCATGCATTTTCTGAATCTCCCTACTTATTTGGAGTTTAACATAGTTGTTCATTTCCTGATTCCAAAGTCGAATTTTATGCATATTTGCATGCACCGCATTTTGTATTGCTGAGTTACTAGGTTTCTCCCTTTTAGATTGTACTTTTTTAAAGACCAAGGACAATGTCTTATGTTATTTGATATTAGCAACATCTAACTAAATGGGGTAGTCACTCAGGAGATGCCTCCTGACCGAATCAGTGAAAAGTCACTCTTAATTTTCTTAACGTACATTTTAAAAAATTCATAATAGGTCTATTGGGTTTATGAATATAGCCGTTTGCAATTTATCTAATCTTTTAAAGTTAAAACAGACCCCAACAAGAAAAGTAAAGGAAATTAACTTCTGATTGAGCTGAATTTGATTAATCTTGGTTATGGCCATTTATGAGTAGATTGACCTTAAACAAATTGCTTACATTTCATGAGACTTAGTTTTTTTTTTATTTTAAATAATTGAATAAAAATAGCTATATATCCTGTATTATTAAGAGGTTTGAGTAAAATAAGAAATGACAATAGTCCCTACTATATGCAAGAAATATCGTGAATAATAATTATATTCTTCATATGATTAATTTGAAGTTTAATTACTTTCTAAAAGATTTAAATAATGATTAGATCTGTATATAAGTCCCATAACCATGGAAAACTATCAGCCAAACAAATCCTTAGATATCAGTTTGGTTTTTTATCTTAAAATTTGATACATCAATATTTTTGCAAGTTACAGAAACATCATTTTTTAAAAACTTCATTTAACCTTAAATTAGTATAAAACTAAGTAAATGACCAAACAAAATCATCAGGCACGTTGGGCATATTTGACTATCAATAACATAATAAAGATAGTCAGTACTTGTATCAAGGGTAAATTACTGGCATTCAAATTTCTACTAGGTTCCAATTCACATTTATCAAAATTATATGCAAGGTATGAGTCCAAATGGGACCTAATTGTATTAAAAAGTGAAAAACTAACAAAAAAGAGACTATTTTCACCACAGTCAATATCAATACAGTGTGACAGATATCTGCAGTTAGGAGTGATAAAATTATATCATACTATTATGCCATAAAATAACCAATTAAAAGTGGTTGATTACTTTGTTAACAAAAACATTAGATTAAAATATCAGATATAAAAACTAAATTTATTTTTCTTCTATCCTAGACTTTTTCAATTATAGTCCTAGTAATAGATGGTTGAACAGTTAATGCCACAATAATTCATGCAGTTAAATACTAAGAGAAAAATAAGTGGCAATTATTCTGAAATTGAACTTTGTGTTGTTGACTTTTTAAAAATTCTAAACTAATACTTTGGACGTGTAAAAGTAATTTCATGACATTAGTACAATTCTAGATATTCTCAGTAAGATATCTCGTACAGAGACTGTAACGTCTATAGTATACAGATACAATCTAACTAGAGCTATAAAATCACAGCAAATCATGTTGGAAAATATTGATACAAGAAAAATACAGTCACTCCCTCATTGACATCTGACAGTCTCATGGCTTTAAATATCATCTATACTAGGAGAACTCATAAATGTACCTTTCCAGCTCAAACTTTCTTTTGAATTCTATACTCACATATTAACTGCTTACTTAATATCTTCACCCAGATGCTTTGTCAGATTAAAGCAGAACTCAGTTTTAAACCTTCTTATCCTACATTCTTCTCAAGTAAGTGGCAATATTGTCCTTCTAGCAGTTTAGGCTCACTCTTTGGACTCATCTTTGACTCTTCTTTCTGTATGTTCATAAGCAATCCATTAGGAAAGGCTGCCAGCCCTGCCTTTAGATCTATCCGCTATCCAACCACTTCCCAACTCTTTGGCACTAGCACTATAGTCAAAGCCATATTATCTTTCCTCTGAATTATTGCATTAGTTTTCTAATTGGTTTGCCTTCTTCTGCCTATGTTACTCCAGTCAACTCTTAGCACAATAGCCTGGATTATCCTGTTAAATGTAAATTATAATATAACTTCTCTGTTCAATACTGCCTAATCCCACCAGTAACACATTTTTAGTCAGTATTAAGTTTATCTAGTTTGTTGCAGCAAGAGAAAGTTCACACCAGAGGAAACCTAGGGAATCTCAATAAGACAGGACTTAAAGGGAGGACCTTATTATAAGATTCTAAAGAAGAATTAGGAAAGCAAAAGTCTGTTTTGGAGATATATTGTTAGTAAGCAGGGCAGTTAGCAATTAGGCAACTTGGTATAGTTGTTCAGAAGGCAAGAATAATGTGAGGCTTTAAAGGAGCAGCAGTCACAAATAAGGAAAGCTATTAGGTATGTTGTAGCTGTGATGTAGCCTTGGCTGTGTCCTTTTAGAAACTTTGTTGATGTTATGATAAGTAAACGCAGACTGATTACCAGTAGGACTCATTTTCACCTTCCCAGAGCTCATGGATGTACCATCTACTCATTTTAGGGAAAAAAGAAAAGAAAAGAAAAGAAAAGAAAAAGAAAGAAAGAAAGAAAGAAATAAAAGAAAGAAAGAGATAAAACAGTATTATCCCAGTGAACAACAAGGCCCCATTAAATTTTATCACACCTCTCCGACCTTATTTATTCATACTTTAGTCACTTTTCTGTACACACGTTTTTCTCGGTGTTTTGTTTCACTTTTTGTTTTTCAACAACCAGATACATTTCATCCAGGTAATTTACACTTGATCCTCTTCTGCCTAGAATGATTTTCTTTAAGATACATGAATAGGTTCACTTCTTCTCCAGCTTCAGATCCTCTCAAAGGTCACATTCTTTGGGCTGCTTTCATTTTCACATTGTTTTAACATTGCAAATCCCACCCTAAATATATTCTCTATCTCACTTTTTTGCCATATTTTTTTCTTGAGAACACTACACAATCTGGATTGCTATATATTTTATATATTTCCTCTGTTTATTGCCTGCTCAATTGTACTATATGCTAATTTTTGTGAAGGCAGTGATTTTTGTCTGTCTTGCTTGTTGATGAGCTTAATGCTTAGAACAGTGTTGAGCACAAAGTAGGTGTTTAATAAAGATGTGTTAAAAGAAAAAAAAATGAGTAGGACATTTTTTTGTCTGAAACTTAATCACAATTGTAAATTTCAGGAGGCTAAGATTGTTAATTTCCTACATCACTGCTCATGTTTGTGATCATTTGAACAATGATAGGTCTTTATCAGGATTATATTAATTTTGAAATTAGAGTGTCAAAAAGCCCAAAGTAAATACAAGTTTTAATAGGTTGTTATAAATCATGCTATAATTTAGTTTTTTATAGTTTTATAGAATTATTTTGGAGACATCTTTGAAAATTTGGAACGGAAAATAGTGCAGCATCTGTGGAGGTATGACAAAGCAAATTTACCCCATAAAAATCCTGACTTAAGACATTAGAAATAAATCGAGGCTGCTATCTTTTAGGTTTGGAAATGTTAACATACAAAATTATCAATTTAATAATCATAATAATATTTACTGTGACAATAAATCTAGCATTTTAAATATCCACATTTTTATATTACAAAATAAAACATTTGTCTTACCTTTTTCAGCATCCCTAGAATGGAACTTCTAAACTTTTTGCATTTCTCCAGTAATAAGAGTGACTTTGTTATTGATAGTGGATGCCTAGAAATATGCTTCAGTTTATGCTACTACAATGAGTCAGGGGCCCCTCAGTAGTTTCAGGATGGGGGCTAGCTATGCCGGAAAGACAAAGTGTATGATTAGTGGGTTGGAGCTTTGAGCAAGATGATATGAGCTTGACATTTGGAGAGGAAATGAGGGCTTGGTCAATTATTTCATCAATCAAACCTACAAAAAAAAAAAAAAAAGCCAAGAAACGCAATGGAAACTGAAGCTCCCTTGACTTGTCTGGGTGGTGAAGGCGTTGATGTGCCAGCAGAGCAATGCATCCTGATTCCATGAGGAAAGGACACAAAAGCTCCGTGTTTGGGGCTCTCTTAGATCTCATGCCATACGTTTCTTCTTTCAAGTGGTTCTAATTTGCATCCTTTACAGTAAAAGCATAATAAAAAAAATAGCACTTTTCTGAATTCTGTGACTTGCTCTTGTTAATTACTGAATCCGTAGGGTAGTGAGAACCCTGGATTGGTAGCCAATTGGTCAGGAGTGCAGGTATTTTAAAATTTTTGGAGCTTGCAGTTTGTCTGAAGGCCTAATAACCTCTTAAAAAAAAAAGGAGAATCTTATTAAGGACTGTGCCCTTACGAAGTCTGCACTAACTCCAAGTAGTGTCAGAAGAGTATTGTGCATATTTATTCTTCATTCAATTTAGTATTTTATAACTGCCATATACAGGAACTATGATAGGCACAGAGGATGACACAAAGATAAAAATACACATGATCATTGTTCTTGAAGAATTTATTGTTCAATGATGAAAAAAGACTGTAAATAAATAATTGAATTGGCAGATGCAAATGCTTCCATTTCTTTGTAAACACACAAGGGCAACTGACTTGTCTTTTTTGGGAGGAGAAGAGAGTGAGGGCGAAGAAGCAACCTGTGGAAAATGAGGAAGAGACATTTAAGAGAGGTGAGGTTTGACTTGTTTTTGAAAGGTGTTAAAAAATTATAATCTGAAATTGGGGAAAGATCTTTTAGGTAGAGGACATCATATATGCAAAATGACTTAAGGACCTCAATATGAACTTTGCAGAAGTGAAATTCTGGAGATTAATATGCATCTGGAGACTAAAAAAGTCTTGATATGTTTTTGGTCTTTACTTAGTAGGCGTAACAATGACCAGCCATTGGAAGTTGTAAGTGCAGTGATATTGTCTGGTATGCACATTTAAACTTTAAATTGGTAGCAAAATGTAAAATGACTGGAAGAGAAAAGAATGAGATAGGAGGCAAGAAAATCAGGAGGTTATTATAAGAAGTCAGGATAATAAGAAGTTATGAGATAATGTAGACATGATTTCAACAGCAGTGAAATGGGAGGACTTAAGAGAATTTGGAGGTAGAATTTACTTTATTGGTTTATTAAATATTAGATATGAGCAACAAGAAAGGGGGAGAAGTTTGCCAGGTTAATAGGTCAGAGTTCTTAACCTAGGTCTACATAAGGGACAAACGGAGGCACCCGGGTACCTCTATATGGGCTTAGACATGTGTACATGAATGCAAAACTTTCTATTTTTGGAGAAATATCTGTAAGTTCCATTATTTTTTTCAAGAGCAATGATGATCCAGAAAAGATCAGAAACCATTGCAGCAACATACGTGAAGTATTATTACATGAGGGAATGAATAAACAAATGATATCTTGTTTGGAATAGGAGAGAGGGGGAACAGATAGGCAGAGATGATCCCTGCTTGTGGAGAGAAGTGTTTTAAGCTTCCTACAGAACAAATATTTTGAGGATCATGTATATTCACCAAAGGCAAGTAGAAGCATTAATCATATTAAGTGCATAAAAAAGATTAAAACTTGGCAATCATTGATGTACATGAATTTATTTATTCCCTGATATGAATTTTGATATAAATTTTATGGATATTTACTTTATCATATAAGTATACCATCGAGTAGATTCCAAATGTTAACTTTCCTGCTTTTAACTGAAGAAAATATCTCCATTCAAGCACTGCATCACCCATTATAATATATTAAATTTCTTTTTTTTTTTTTTTTTTTTGAGACAGTCTCACTCTGTCGCCCAGGCTGGAGCACAGTGGCTCAATCTCGGCTCACTGCAACCTCCGCCTCCCAGGTTCAAGCGATTCTTCTGCCTCAGGCTCCAGAGCAGCTGGGATTACAGGCATGCACCACCACACCTGGCTAATATTTGTATTTTTAGTAGAGATGGGGTTTCACTATATTGGTCAGGTTGGTCTCGAACTCCTGACCTCATGATCGGCCTGCCTTGACCTCCCAAAGTGCTGTGATTACAGGCATGAACCACTGCACCCGACCATTAAATTTCTAAATACTTAAACATTTTAAAAATGTAATCACAAGACTTAAATGATTGCTCATGAACTTTTGCACACTGATTTAATTCCTTCAGACTTACTGTGTCTGTGTTTTTAAAACTGAATGTGTGCATTTTTAAAATTCAACAACCTCATTTTTAAATCTTTGATAAATTTGAACATGCCAAAATTTGTAGCCTAAGAATGTGTACAGGTAATTCGCTAAGAAGCCTAATTCACATTATATCAAAGAAAAGGGGCAAAAAAGAGACTGATAAAACATGCCGTGGCTTCCAAGCTTTCATTACAACAATCCTGGGAGCATGAATAGCTGAAATAAGGCCTTTATTATGTCAAATAAAATACCACCTCAGAAGGATCAATATGAGCAAAATACTCATTAGCAGGAACAAAATCCTAGTGTAAACAGCTTTAAATAAAACAGAAAGGGGCATCAAAAAACAAAGAAAGAAAAGTTCAATCACTGTCTTATATGGATCACTATGATTCAAATTTCTTCCTGATCAAAATGAGTAAATTCGTCTTTTTATTTTTTCTTCTCTTTGAAAAATATATTCACATAAGCAGTTAAGATATGCTTTGTTTTCCAAATCCTCTTCATTTCCCAGAGTCAGCAGTTCTTTGATTATAACTTCTTTTTTTCTAATAAATTTATTGAGATACCATTTACATATTAGAAAACGCACTCTTTTAAAGTGTACAATTCACAGAGCTGTGCAACCATCATCACCATCTAATTTTAGACATTTTCTTTACTCCAAAAAGAAACCTTGTACTTAAAAGCAGTCTCTGTCCATTTTTTCCTTCTCCTAACCACTGGCAACCACTAATCTATTTTGTCTCTATAAATTTGCCTAGTCTAGATTTACCATGTAATTGCACAATATGTGTTGTACATGGCTGTTTTCTTTCACTTATAACATTTTCTAGGTTCTTCCTCATTGTAAAGTGTATTAGTCCTTAATTTATTTTTATTGTCAAATATTATTCTATCATTCGTATATATCATATTTTGTTTAACCATTCATAAGCTACAAACATTTGGCTTATTCCACCTTTCAATTACTATAAATAATAAATATGCTGATTTGAACAATTGTGTCAAATTTTTTCCTGGGCATATGTTTTCAATTCTCTTGGTTATGTTCTTAGAGGCAGAATCTCTGGGTCATATGGCAATGCTTATTTAGCTTTTTGAGTAACTGACAATGTATTTTCCAAAGCGGTTGTGCACTTGACATTCTCATCAGCCATGCATGAGGATTCAAATTTTTCCACAGCAGCAACAGCACTTGTTGCCTAGTAAATTCATCCTAGTGTGTGTGAAGTGGTACCTCGTTGAAGTTTTGATTTACATTTCACTAATGACTAAATATATTGAGCATCTTTTCATGTGCTTAAAGATTACTTGTATATCTACTTTGGAGGAAAGTCTATTTAAACCTTTTGCCCATGTTTGAATTGGCTTGTTTGAATTTGCCCATGTTTGAATTGGGGCTGGGTATGGTGGCTCATGTCTCCAGGACAATATTGTCACCACCAGGACAACATTGAATAGAAATGATGAAAGCAGATATCTTTGTATGATTCCTTACTTTAATAGTAATGCATTCAATCTTTCATATTAAGTAAGATGTTATCGTTTTATAGATTACAATTATCAGGTTGAAGAAGCTCCCTTACATTCCTAGTTTACTGAGTGTTTCTATCATAAAAAGGGTGTTGAATTTTACCAAATGATTGTTTATGACTCTATTGAGATGACCATGTTGTGTTTGCCTTTTGTTCTATTCGTATGATGTATTACCTTGATTGAACTTTTATACATTAAACCTGTTGCATTACTGGGATAAATCCTTTTTGGTCACGTTATATAATCCTTTTTTATAATCCTTTTATATTATGCAATCCAGTTCATTAGTATTTGGTTGTGGATGCTTGTGTCTATATTTATATTGCCTACTTGTTTTTAGTTGTTGTTTGTATTTCTTGTGAAGTCTTTTTCCAGTGTAAGGATTCAGGTGAAATTGGTGTCATGGAATGAGTTGGAAAGTATTCCCTTCTGTTGTATTTCTCTGTTTTTGTGCATGAGTTTGTTAAGGATTTATATTAGTCTTTAAACATTTGGTAGAAGTCACCAGTGAAGTCATCTGTGCCTGAACTTTTATTTGTGAGAAGTTTTATTTTTTCAATTAATGTACTCTCTTTGCTTGTAGTTGCATTCAGATTCTTTATCTCTTCTTGAATCAGTTTTGGAGTGTGTCTTTCTAGGAATTTGTTTCGTTTGTCTAGGTTATTTACTATACTGGCATACAATTGTTTATAGCCTTATCTTATTTATAATCCCTTTAATTTCAGTAAAGTCAACAGTGATGTCCTCTCTTTCATTCTTGGTTTTAATAATTTAAGTCTTCTTTCTTTTCTTGGTTAGTTCAGCTAAAAGTTGGCTATTTTTTTTCTGTTCAAAACACAAACTTTGAGTTTTGTCAGTTGTCTTTATTATTTTTCTTTGCTCTGTTTCATTTTTTAACTTACTTCCTTCATTCTTCTTGTTTTGAGTTTAGTGTACTCCTCCTTTTCTAGTTTCTTAAGGTTGGTTGTTACAGCTGTAAATTCCTTTATAACCCCTGCCTTAACTGCAGCCTATAGGTATATCATGTTGTACTTTTCACTCATAAAAGTATTTCATAATATCCTTTGTAATTTTTAAAAAATCTATTGATTAAATAGGAGTGTCATATCATTTCCATAGATTTTAAGTTTCCAAAATTTACTTCTATTACTGATTTTAATTTAATTCAATTATGGTCAGAAAATAACCTTTCTGTGATTTAACACTTTCCATTTAATATGGCTTTTTAAATGCCTAACAATCTAGTCTTTCTCTGAGAATGTTTCATGTGTATTGGGGAACAATTTGTATTCTGCTGCTTCTAGGTTAATTATTCCATAGATTTCTGTTAAATCTAGTTTTTTTATAAAGTTCCTTACGTTTTCTATTTGCTTGTTATATTTCTGTCCAGTTGTTCTATCCATTATTGAAGGTGAGGTGCTATGGTTTGAATTTGTCCCCATCAAAACTCACTTTGAAACTTGATTTCCAATATGGTGCTGTTGGGGTTATAGGCCAAGTGGGAGGTATTTTGGTCATAAGAGCAGCTCTCACAAAAATGGCTTGATGCTGTTCTCACAAGAATGAGTGAGTTCTTGCTCTGGTGAGACTGGATTAGTTCTTACAGGAAAGGATTAGTTCCCATGAGAGTGGATTGTTCTAAAGTGAGGATGCTCCTCAGGGTTTGCCCTTCACATGTGTCTGCTTCCTCTTTGACATTCTCCACCATGTTATGAAGCAGCACGAAAGCCCTTGCTAAAGCTAGGGCCATGACCTTGAACTTCCCAGCCTGTAGAACACTAAGCTAAATATTCAAAGTATTTAGAATACTCTGTAGGTTTCTAAACTTCTTTTCTTTGTAAATTACCCAGCCACATGTATTCTATTATAGCAACACAAAATGGACTAAGACATGAGGTATCTAAGTATCTATTATTACTAAATCATGTATTTCTCTCTTCAAAAAAGATTAAAGCTGAAATGACAAGATACTTCATAATGAATCAGAAAAATAAGCAATCATTGATATTGAAATATTACTATACTTCTTTTGTAGGACCAAGCAACTCTTTTCAGAAGATTTTCTGTATGCATTTTAAAAAGTAATTCTCTAAATAACATTTGATACACTTTGTCATTTTAACCCCATATTCATCAGTTTAACAATACTCTGATCATATAAATGTATAGCTGTTTTGGCCTAAACCTCATTTATAAAAATTACATATCTATTTTTAATAGGGCTATTATAAAAGCATGCTATCTAACTAAGAAAACAAACAAAACCCCCAAAACATGTAACCATGTTTTTTATTCATTTAAAAATATATTTGTAATATTTGCTAGAACTTAATAATCACTCAACAGTCATTTTTCTTTCCCAAAACAGCAACATGTTTTTGATTCTCACAGAAGTAATTCTAAACTTTCAACTCGATTTTGAAATCCTTACATTTATAACAATGTCAATTGTTCTCATGTCCTTTTTAAGAAGTTGTATTATGTTTGCCTGTCATAATTTTTCTTCTACCACTCCATATTGCCTCAAAATAACGAACATGCATTAAATGATAAATATCACTTGCAACTTCTTTTTAAGAATACTACAGTATGATTTTGGAAGTCTGCAGGCTTGATCTAATTTAGGAGAATTGATTCTCTTTTACAACCCCTTTAAAATTGTCAACTTCAGGTCCTACTAATGTATATTAATTCTACATTTTTTGAATCTTCATATCATTCATTATAATTGAGAATATGGTCACAGAATTGGGGTTGAGAAGTAGAAATACTAGAGTAAATACGTAGTGAGAATATTGAAAATCTTGTTCCTTAGACTTTTTCATCTGGACAAATTGGTGGAAATATTTTCAATGACAAATTTCAGAAAAAAAGATGAATAGCTTCACTATTCTACAAAGAAATAGAGTCAAATAAAAAAAAATCTTGCCAAACATTGAGGTCATCACCTTTTTAACTCTTCATGGTTTTAACAAGGCATAAAACTATGAGAATCACACTTAGATTTAAAATAACTAAAAAACATTTGTTTCCACATTAATTTTTAGAGTAGAATTTGCTTAGTTCACAATCAAAAGAACAAATCTATTTTATGATATCTGTTGCATCTATAAAAATAGCTGCATCACTGTTTGGTTGATGCTTTTGATAGATAGGATTTTGTGTTGAAAAATTATTATTATCATACTTGAGAAGCTTGTCCTGAAAGCTGTTTAGCAGAATTCTCCAAATAGAAATGGTATTATTTTTTAAAGAATTACATTAAATGTTTATTTGTCTCGAGTGGCTTACTTATTATCCAGAAAGAAACACCTTATACAGAATACTTTAATAATGGTCAGCGATATTTTATTTATTTACCTTTGACCTATTAATCCCACTTCTGGCAATATATATTGAAGATATGCCTCTAAAATTACAAAAATGAAGATGAACATGATTATTCTTTGGCATACTGTTTGGAATTGCAAAATATGGGAAACATTCTAAATGCCCATTCATAGGAAAATGGTTGTGTAAACTATGCAACTTTTACACAATGGAGTATTATGCAGCTGTAAAACGGAAAGAGGAAGATTTCTGTGAACTGATATCCAGTGATTTCTAGGATACATGATACACTGTTAAGTGAAAAAGAGCAGATCACAAGAAAAATCTATAATCTATTACTCTCCATGTAAGAAAAAAAAAGGATGTGCTGCCATAACCCAAATGTCCAACAATGATAGACTGGATTAAGAAAATGTGGCACATATACCCCATGGAATACTATGCAGCCATAAAAAATGATGAGTTCATGTCCTTTGTAGGGACATGGATGAAATTGGAAATCATCATTCTCAGTAAACTATCGCAAGGACAAAAAACTAAACACCACATGTTCTCACTCATAGGTGGGAATTGAACAATGAGAACACATGGACACAGGAAGGGGAACATCACACTCTGGGGATTGTTGTGGAGTGGGGGGATGGGGGAGGGATAGCATTAGGAGACATACCTAATGCTAAATGATGAGTTAATGGGTGCAGCACACCAGCATGGCACATGTATACATATGTAACTAACCTGCACATTGTGCACATGTACCCTAAAACTTAAAGTATAATAATAATAAAATAAAAAAAAGAAAAAAGAAAAAAAAAGGATGTGAAGAAAACACGTCCATGAACAGTTAGGTGGTTTCCACAGCTTGGATATTGTGAATAATTCTGCAATAAACATGGGACTACATATATCTCTTCAAGATCCTGATTTCTATTTTTTTGATATAAAACCAAGTGTGAAATTGTTTGATCATATGGTAATTCTATTTTTAATTTTTTTTAAAAAATACTGTTTTCCATAGCAAATGCACCATTTTACATTCTCACCAGCAATGTATAAAGGTTCCAATTCCTCCACAGCCTTGCTAAAACTTATCTTTTTAGATTATGCAAATTAAAAGATGTGAAGCAATATCTCACTTGTAGATTTAATTTGCTTTTCCCTCATAATTAGTGATGCTGAGCATTTTTTCATGTACCTATTGGCCATTGGTATGCCTTTTACAGAAATGTCTATTCAAGTCCTTTGCCCATTAATCAGTTATTTGGATTTTTATGCTATTGACTTATAGGACTTCCTTATGTATTTTGGATATTAACCCTTTATCAAATATATTGTTTGTAAATATTTTCTACCATTCCATAGCTTGCCTTTTCACCTGTTGATTATTTCTGTTGCTGTGCAGAAGCTGTTTAGTTTGATGTAGTCCCACTTTCTAATATTGCATTTATTACCTGTGCTTTTGGTGTCATGTCCAAGAAATGATTTCACAGTTGACAGGATATAGGAGCAACCTAAATGTCTGACAGATGAATGAATAAAGAAAATGTAGTATAAACAATTCTGCCATATGTGATAACATGGATGAACTTGGAGGATATTAGGCTAAGTGAGATAAGGCAGTGTAGAAACAGTGAGTGGAGTAGTCATTTCCAGGATCCCTTTGGGGGGCGGTAGCAGACTCAGGCATGGCGGGCTGCAGGTCCCAAGCCCTGCCCCGCGGCGGGGCAGCTGAGGCCCGGCGAGAAGTCGAGTGCAGCGCCGGTGGGCCAGCACTGCTGGGGGACCCGGCACACCCTCAGCAGCTGCTGGCCCGGGTGCCAAGACCCTCAATGCCCAGGGCCGGCAGCGCCGGCCGGCCGCTCCCAGTGCGGGGCCCGCCAAGCCACGCCCACCCGGAACTCTAGCTGGCCCGCAAGCGCCGCGCGCCACCCCGGTTCCCGCCAGTGCTTCTTCCTCCACACCTCCCTGCAAGCTGAGGGAGCCGGCTCCCGCCTTGGCCAGCCCAGAAAGGGGCTCCCACAGTGCAGCGGCGGGCTGAAGGGCTCCTTAAGCACAGCCAGAGTGGGCACCGAGGCCGAGGAGGCACCGAGAGCGAGCGAGGACTTCGAGGGCTGCCAGTACGCTGTCACCTGTCAACATCACTAGTAACAACAGGTACTGACACCTTAACCCTCCACATTATGATGCACAGAGGTGGTACAATATACTTTTCATGGCATTCCTATAAAAATGCATAACCTTCAATGAATCGTGAAAAAGTGTCAGATAAACCCAAATCAAGGAATGTCCATTACCTGAACAAAAGCTTTGAAGTATGAAAGACAAGAAAAGACTGGGGGATGCTGTGGACTGCAAGAGGTAGTCTATAAGGAATGTGGGATCCTTAGAGAATCCTGCAACAGAAAAAAAAAAAGCAGTGAAAAAAATGGTGAAATTTAAATCATGCTTTTGTTGGAAAATTAGCATCATTTTAATTCCCAGGTTCAGATCATTGTACTACAGTTACTTTAGATGTGAATGCTAGGGTTAGGTCAGTAAAAGGGTACATGAAAATTCTGCATGATTTTCCCAGTCTTCTGTAAGTCTAAAGTTAATTCATTCAAAATGTAAACCTAAAAAAAAATCATTAAACTAAATGACACAGCTAAGCCATTGGTAAAATAATGGAAGTCTGTGGTGGCTGGAAAGGAGTCAAAACAAATCTAGGGAGAAAACTGCCATTTGCCATGGGTATTTGTTGCTGTCTCCAGGTGGCCTAAAGCCATGCTTTAATAAGGTTTTACTTAAAAGGCACAAAATAGCCAGGTAAACTTTCAAAACAGAGGACAGATCAGATATTATATAATTAATAAAGGTCTACACCTGAAATGAGAACACTAGATAATTTTCCACAGTGCATAGGAAAATGGTGATACTTGCCTGTCTCTCTTTTGTTTTGGGGTGGATGGAAAAACGAAACAAAACAAAGAAAAAAAACAGAAAAAAGGAAAAAAAAAGATTTCTTATTTCATGGCCACTGTCCTACTAACAGAGAAATAACGAGGCAGACATTTAAAATGGTCTCAGGTTGACATTATCCAAAGTTTATGGTACAACCAAATATTTAAGAAAAATAAGTCTGAAAGATTTATTACAGATAAATGTATAGAGATCACACCAAACAAAACAAAATGAAGCAAAACTCACAGATGGACTTGGAAATGAACATTCTTTAATGAAAGCCAGCCAATACACAAGTAGAATATATCTTAAAATGTATATGTATATTTAATATGTTTAAAGACCGGAAAGATAGTATGAAAAGTATTATGAAGGAGGAAATAGATATCAAAAATGACAAGAGAATTTTAAAAATAACCAAATCTAACTATATTAAATTGTAGTAGGAATGAAAATGATTACTTGAAATTGGAAACCCAACAGACTAGATAAACAGGAAGAGAAAATTAGTGAGCTGGTAGAAATTGCACAGGAGGAAGGTGATGTAATTTATGCATGTTAAAAAATAAACATTTAAGTCAAAGCCACCAAAAATTTTTCACAGTATATGAAAAATAATGCTTAAGAAACTCCAGTGTAGCTGTCATATGCGGTTGTATTGGAGGGCAAAAATAGCAGATGAAGTCCTACTTCTTGTGGTCTACCACAATAATGCAAACGGGAGGTAATGAAGGCATGCATTAGTGTAGTGACCATGGAGATGGGATGAATGAAAAGAATGCAAAGCCATTTTGAAAAAGACACATTAGTACATGATGGTTTTTTGATAAGGTTTTCAGCATTTCCTTCAGATTAATCATCTGTATTAATGAAAGTAGAAAAACTTGGTGGACATTTTTTGAAACTAAAAATATTATAAATCATATTAGATTGTATTTTGACAACCAGACTTTTAAGAATATAATTTGCCTAATTTGATATGATTGTCTTGTTAAAATGCAGATGCTATGCCATTTAATTCGGTCTCTGCAGCATTTCCAGGATGCATACATAATTTTGTTGACGTTTAGAGAAATAGGAAAATCACACATTCCAACAAGGGAAGTTTAAACAATTCAACATTAAAATACAAATACTCAAACAGCGCTAATACATTTTAGCTGAACAATGTACTTTGCATGGTGTTTGGAATATGGTTTGGAAACAAGTTTATTTCTCCATTTGGGAGATAAAGCAAAGCTCTATTTATAATCAAAAGTAAAAACAAAAATCAGTTTTCCGAAATCTATCAAGTATGTATTCAGTGTAGGTTAAACATTGGTTGACTTATTTACTGTGGAATGGAATATAATAGTTGGAAGGCACCTTTGACACGGTCTGGGTTACAGACTGTGGTGTTATGATATGTGTTGGTTTTCATCCAGGGTTCCTAGTTCATAACTCCCATCTCCCTTTACAGTATTTTGTTATAATGTTGGGTGTGTTAGGCCTCAGGAGCAGGCTTCAGGAAACAGAATCTCTCTCCTGCCATCCTTCCACCTGACCCAAGGCAGGACTTTAATCTTTCTCCACCTTTATGATTGTGAGTCTTAAGACCCTTCCCAGAGAGAGTCCCACCTTATACTCCAGGGGGTGGGGGTAAGGAATGCTAATGTCATGAAGCTTCCATAAAAACCCAAACGAGGCCGGGCGCAGTGGATCATGCCTGTAATCCTAGCACTTTGGAAGGCCAAGATGGGCAGCTCACCTGAGGTCAGGAGTTTGAGATCAGCCTGGCCAACATGGTAAAATCCCATCTCTACTAAAATTACAAAAATTAGCTAGGGGTGGTGGCACATGTCTGTAACCCTAGCTATTCGGGAGCCTGAGGCAGGAGAACCCCTTGAACCCAGGAGGCAGAAATTGCAGTGAATAAAAGAAAAACCCAAACAAACTGGGTTTGAAGAGCTTCCAGATTGCTCCTGGAGTGGGGAGAACCCAGGGAGGGCAAGGAAGCTCCCTACCCTTTCCACCATATTTTGCCCTACACATCTCTTCATCTGTATCTTCGCAGTATCCTTTACAATAAGCCAGTAAACATAAGTAAGTGTTTCCCTGGGCTCTGTGAGCCGCTCCAGCAAATTATTCGAACCCAAAGAGGGGGTTGTAGGAACCTCAACCTGAAGTCAGTTGGTCAGAAGTTCCAGAAGCCTTGATTTGAGACTGGTGTCGTAGGTGGGGTGGGAGTCAGTCTTGGGGACTGAGCCCCCAACCTGTGAGATCTGATGCTATCTCCAGGTCGATAGTGCCAGCATTGAATTGGAGGACAACCAGCTGGCATGCACTGCTTGATGGTGGGGAGAAACCCCCGTGGATTTAGTCATAGAAGTCTTCTGTGTAGGTGATTGTTGTGGTGTTGGTGTGAGAATACAGGAAAACCCGTGTTAGATGGTTATTCTCCAGCCACAAACCTTATATAACTTTCTTAAGATCACACAAATAGGAAGTGGTAAAAGAAGGATTTAAAAAAGATCTTAAAATGGCATAAAACTGTACTCTTGTCACTGGATAATATTGCCTCTCTGGCAATTTGACCAAATCACAGCTAAATTTACACTTAGAGGATAAATCTACATTTCATATTTGTTCTCATTGTGTTCTGATAGGCTTGAAATGTCAAGCACAATTTCATTTAACTTGAATTTAATTTCAAACTTAGAACATAAAAAATTATATAAGCTTCAGAATAACAAAGCCTCTTTTAACAGTCTTCTATTCAAAGGGGAAGCAAACTAAATGGTTACACTTTTTCAGTGAATTAATATATAGCATCCAATGTATGGCCATTCAAAATCAGTTCCCAGGCCTGGCACGGTTACAGGCTCATGCCTGTAATCCCATCAGTTTGGGAGGCCAAGCCAGGCAGATCACCTGAGGTCAGGAGTTCAAGACCAGCCTGGCCAATATGGTGAGACCCCGTCTCTATGAAATATACAAAAACTAGCCAGGCATGTTGGTGCATGCCTGTAGTCCCAGCTACTCTGGAGACTGAGGCAGGAGAATCACTTGAACCTGGGAGGCAGTAATACTGCCCAGATCACGCCATTGCACTCCAAACTGGGTGACAGAGCAAGACTCTGTCTCAAAAAACAAAAACAAAGACAAAAACAAATCATTTCCCAAACTACCTTTTTCATTTTATCCAGGGCCAATAACGCTCATATATTTCACAGTGAATTCATTTGGAATACTTGAACACATCATACACTTCAAGGTTGGAAAATACTTTCACCTATTTCAGTCCTTTTTATATTTCAACTATTTTTTCATTGATCTGTTAGGTCAATTTTCTAAATTTATTCTTTTTCATGTATTTCCATGATATTTATTAACAACCTATCAAAAAACTATATCCCAAATTATACATTTATGCCAAGATACAAACAAAGAACACATGAAAAGTAAAAACTTTAAGTAGCCGTAAGCATAAATAATGTTCAGTCTTATTAGTAAACAAAGGAATGAAAATTGTAGCACAAAAACACCAGTTTTTACCTACACAAGTGGAAGAAAATTTTAAGTCGTTATGTTGATAAGAATGCAGAGAAACCAGTGATGATACTCTTAAATAATACTGGTCAGAGTGTACACCGTCATCTCTTTTTTGGAAAGCAAATAAGTAATATGTGTCAAAAGCTTTAAAATATTTTGCCATCATTCATAATTATTTTTGGAAAAATAAATAATGAGAAACCAATCATGATATATTGAAAGGTTCCAAAAAGGTTTAAAAATATCCAGAAACAAAAACAAAAACAAAACAAAACCCAGAGAAACATTATTATCCATCATGTTTTTAGATGGTTAAGTAGTTAGAAGACAAGCACTGGCTTAGGTGCTAGGGATAAAATATGAATGAGATAAAGTTCCCATGCTCAGAGGACTAAGAGAATTAAATAGCAAAATATTGCAAATGGAAAAAATAAATCACAAAAAATAAGATGTAGCTTTACAAAATACTCACCCTGGCTGGGCACAGTGGCTCACACCTGTAATCCTAGCATTTTGGGAGGCCGAGGTGGGCAGATCACCTGAGGTTGGGAGTTTGAGACCAGCCTGACCATCATGGAGAAACTCAGTCTCTACTAAAAATACAAAATTAGCCAGGCGTGGTAGCGCATGCCTGTAATCCCAGATACTCGGGAGGCTGAGGCAGGAGAATCGCTTGAACCCGGGAGGGGGAGGTTGTGGTGAGCCAAGATCATGCCATTGTACTCCAGCCTGGGCAACAAGAGGAAAACTCCATCTCAAAAAAAAAAAAAGTACTCACCCTCACCCTACAATGGGTTTTGCGCATGTATCCCTTACCCATGTTCCTAACATTCAGCTCT
Source organism: Homo sapiens (assembly GCF_000001405.40). Taxonomy (NCBI): domain Eukaryota; kingdom Metazoa; phylum Chordata; class Mammalia; order Primates; family Hominidae; genus Homo; species Homo sapiens. The sequence continues at coordinate 162,198,231 of NC_000004.12, read as the reverse complement.
GATCAGGCCGCTGATGTCAACATTTTATGTGTTTGGTATAGGTGTTTCAAACACATTCACTCAAGAAGTGAACAACCTTTAATGTTTCCTTGAAATATAGAAAATTTGTTTTGAAACTTAGTATGAAATACTTAGACATGAAAAGGCCATTCTTATGCATTTCTTTGACAATTTACATGCACATGAGGATTCTTTTTATTTTATTTTATTTTATTTTTGACATGGAGTCTTCCTCTGTTGCCCAGGCTAGAGTGCTGCAATGCCATCTCAGCTCACTGTAACCTGCTGGGTTCAAGAGATTCTCCTGCCTCGGCCTCTCGAGTAGCTGGCATTACAGGCTCCCACCACCATACCCAGCTTATTTGTGTATTTTTAGTAGAGTCGGTGTTTCACCATGTTGTCCAGGGTGGTCTCCAACTCCTGACCTCGTGATCCACCCGCCTCGGCCTCCCAAAGTGCTGGGATTACAGTCTTGAGCCACCGCGCCCGGCCGAGGATCCTTATATAAACTACTAAAACCTGTGTTTTATTTTATGTTACTAAATAATACTAAAAATAAACATTTTTATTTCAAGCATTCCTGAAACTCACTTCATTGTTAGTTTTACTAAGGTGAAATAGCATAGATTTTGTATTGTACATATATCATAGAGGTGCTATATGGGCGAAAACAGACTTTTAGAGTCTAGCCCACTTTTTATAGATTTCTTTTAAAAATCAGATTTGTGTTTCAAATAAATGCAATTTTCAAAAAATACATTAGTATGTAAGATATGTTCATTACAGGCAATCCCCATTTTGCACAGTAGTAATGGACTGTGAAAGTGACCATCAAATTAGACCCATACAAAGGAATCTTAATAAACAATGGGACAAAATATGACTCTTTAATGACCTTTATATAGTTTTCATCAAAATCTTCAACATTCTTATTTTCACTAATGATAAATTAAAAAAATAAATTATTTAGTATTCTTTAAAATATTACAAACATTGAGAATTAAAGCTTTTTTGTAAAATACTTATAAAGTATAGCATCAACAGTATTTGCCTTCTTTTCATTGCAAAATGCACCATGAAGCAAGTATCTTTCATATGCCTAACTTTTTATCAGTTTTCAACACTTTATCTTTTGTGCTTTCAAAGTGATGAAATATCTTCTGGAGTTCCCTTAATGTGAAGCTTTTGCCAGTGTCACTTCCTCTGGGACATACTCATCATTTTCATCACCATCGCTTTCCTCGTAATGTCAACATGATCACCTTGACTAAGTTCCTCTGGCTGCATATCTAGATTTTCTTGAAAAGTGGCACTGCCAACATCGCCACACCCAGGTCTTTATCTTTTGTAACTCCATTTAGGTTTGATTCAAATATCACTACCACTATCATCACTCTTCCAATTTTTTAACTGTTATTTTAAGTTCAAAGGTACATGTGTAGGTTTGTTACATAGGTACACTTGTGTCATGGGGGTTTGTTGTACAGACTATTTCATCACCCAGGTATTAAGCCTAGTACTCATTAGTTACTTTTCCTAATTTTTTTCTCCTTTCACCCTTTATCCTACCATAGGCCCCACTGTGTATTGTTCTCCTCTATATATCCATGTATTTCCATCATTTAGCTCCCACTTATAAGTGAAAACATGCAGTATTTGGGTTTCTGTTCCTACAGCAGTTTGTTAATGACAGTAGCCTCCAGCTCCTTTTATAGGATGTGATCTCATTCTTTTTTATGGTTGCATAGTATTCCATGGTGTATAAGTACCACATTTTCTTTATCCAGTCTATCATTGATGGGCATTTAGGTTGATTTTATGTTTTTGCTATTGTGACTAATGCTGCAATGAACATTTGTATGCATTTGTCTTCATACTGGAATGATTTATATGCCTTTTGGTATATACTTAGTATGGGATTGCTGGGTTGAATGGTGTTTCTGTCTTTAGGTCTTTGAGGAATCACCACACTGTCTTACACAAGGGCTGAACTAATTTAAACTCCCAACAGCTGTGTATTAGTGTTCCTGTTTTTCCATAGTCTTGCCAGCATCTGTTATTTTTTGACTTTTTAATAATAGCCACCCTGACTAGTGTGAGATGGTATCTCATTGTGGTTTTGATTTGCATTTCTGTAGTAATCAATGATGTTGAGCTTTTTTTCATATGATTGTTGACTGCATGTATGTCTTCTTTTGAAAAGTGTCTGTTCAATAATCCACAGAGTCAGAGGAAATCTTCACAAGCTATACATCTGACAAAGGACTAATATTCAGAATCTATAAATAACTCAAATAAATTAGTAAGAAAAAAACAAACAATCCCATTAAAAAATAGGCTAAGGACATGAATAGACAATTCTCCAAACAGGATATATAAATGGCCAATGAACAAATGAAAAATTGCTCAACATCACTAATGATCAGGGAAATACAAATCAAAACCACAATGCCATACCACCTTACTCCTGCAAGAATGGCCATAATCATAAAATCAAAAACTAATAGATGTTGGTGGGGATGTGATGGAAAGGGAACATTTTTACACTGCTGGTGAGAATGTAGACTAGTCCAACCACTATGGAAAATAGTGTGGAAATTCCTCAAAGAACTAAAAGTAGAACTACCATTTGGTCCAGCAATCCAACCTCTGGGTGTCTACCCAGAGGAAAAGAAGTCATTATACAAAAAAGATACTTAAACATAAATGTTTATAGCAGCACCATTTGCAATTATAACAATATGGAACCAGTCCAAATGCTGATCAGTCAATGAGTGGATAAAGAAATTGTGAGATATATATACTACTCAGCCATAAAAGGAGTAGAATAATGGTATTCACAGCAACCTGGATGGAATCAGAGATCATTATTCTAAGTAACTCAGGAATGGAAAACCAAACATCATATGTTCACACTCATAAGTGGGAGCTAAGCTATGAGGATGCAAAGGCGTGAGAATGACACAATGGACTTTGGAGACTTGGGGAAAAGCGTGGGAGGGGGTGAGGGGTAAAAGACTACAAACTGGGTACATTGTATAATGCTCGGGTGATGGGTGCACCATAATTTTACAAATCACCACTGAAGGACTTACTCATGTGGCCAAACACCACCTGATCCCCAAAAATCTATGGAAATAATAAAAAGGGAGAAAATGTTTGTTCATATCTTTTTCCTACTTTTTAATGGGGTTGCTTGTTTTCTTGTAAATTTGTTTAAGTTCCTTATAGATGCTGGATGCAGAGCTCTTTAGTTTAATTAGATTCCATTTGCCAAGTTTTTGCTTTTGTTGCTATTGCAATTCATATGGAACCCAAAAAGAGCCAGTAGCAAAGGCAATCCTAAGCAAAAAGAATAAAGATGAAGACATCACACTACCCAACTTTAAACTATACTACAGGGCTACAGTAACCAAAACGGCATGATACTGGTATAACCACAGATACATAGACCAATGGAACAGAATAGAGAACCCAGAAATAAGACCACCCACCTACAACTATCTGACCTTTGACAAACCTGACAAAAACAAGCAATGGGGAAAGGATTCCCTGTTCAATTAATGGTGCTGGGATAACTGGATAGCCATATGCAGAAGAGTGAAACTGGACCCCTTCCTTACACCATATACAAAAATTAAGGTGAATTAAAGACTCAAATTAAAACCGAAAGCTATAAAAACCCTAGAAGACAACCTAGGCAATACCATTCAGGACATAGGCATGGGCAAAGATTTCATGACAAAGATGCCAGTATTATCACTTTTTATTGTTTTGCTGCACTTTCCTCTCTATTGGCCAATTCCCTTTTTTATTATTCATTTTAGGAAAATGTTACATGGGCTTTTCATCGGGTGGGTAGGAGACAACCTAACTAAATGCTTTGCTGTCTGTGTGAGAACTGAGTAACAGATGCACAGAGAACAGTCTCAGACTTTGAAAAAAAGTGACTCAACTGGTCACAGATCATTATATACATCTATTATTTGCTTGGAGATTGTGTACTGAGGAGCTAGCAGAAAATTTTGCACTTTACTTTCTTACTCACAGTAAATAGACCATAATAACTGAAAATTGAATTATCTTGTTAGGAACTAGGATTATTTAAACAAACCATGGTAACTAAAATTCATGCAGATCAGAATCATTTAAAGTAAGTTGTGCCTGTAATTTTTACAACAGAAAAGTATATGAGATACAATAAAAATGTTATTTTTGATGAACATTTTCTAATAGGGATTAATAAACAATATATCTATAAGCCTTGGTGAGATAGCTTTAAACATGTGATGTTGTGTGCCTGTAGAGCTCAGAATAGTGATTTAAAAGGCTCAATATAATCAATATTATGTCTTTTGTTTACTTGACTTTTGATGTAAAAAGATTACTATGATTCCTATCAGTGAAATATTATTAAAAATAATATGGTTTTGACTCGTAAAAATTAAAATTCTTGTTTTTAAATGACTTGACAAAAATGTGTAATCTGTTGCTGTTGCATGGAATGTTCTGCACATGGGTGTTGGGTCCATTTGGTCTAAAGTATAGTTCAAGTCCAATTGTAGTGGTTTGAAATCCTTATTGATTTTCTGTCTGGATGATCTATCTCTTGCTGAGAGTAGGGTATTAAAATTCCCTAAAATTATTGTGTTACAGTCTATATCTCACTTTGAATTTCTTAATGTTTGCATTATATATTTTTGTGTTCTGATGTTGCATTCATATATATTTACAATTGTTAAACCCTTTGGATGAATTGACCACTTTATTGTTATTATGACCTTAAGGGTTTTTGTTTGTTTGTTTTTTGAGACGGAGTCTTGCTCTGTCACCCAGGCTGCAGTGCAGTGGCACGATCTCAGCTCACTGCAACCTCTGCCTCCCGGGTTCAAGCTATTCTCATGTCTCAGCCTCCTGAGTAGCTGGGATTACAGGTGCCCACCACCACGGCCAGCTAATTTTTGTATTTTTAGTAGACATGGGGTTTCACCATGTTGGTCAGGTTGGCCTTGAACTCCTGACCTCGGGTGATCCACCCCCTCCTTGGACTTCCAAAGTGCTGGGATTACAGGCGTGAGCCAGCGCGCCTGACTCACCTTAAGTTTTTAACCTAAACTCCATTTTTTCTGAAATACATACAGCTACCCCTATTTTATTTTGGTTTTTATTGGCATGGAATATTATTTTCCATCCATTTACTCTCATTCTATGAGTGTCCTTTGGTAAAGTGAATCTCTTACAGAAAGCATATAGTTGGGTCTTTAGAAAAAATAATTCATTCAGCCACTGTATGCATTTTTATTGGAGAACTTACTTATATTCAAATAAATTATTGATAGATAAGTACTTACTAGTGCCATTTTATTAATTGTTTTCTGATTGTTTTGTAGATCCATTGTTATTCTTTTGCCTTCATTCTTCGTAGTATAATGATTTTCTGTAGTGGTAAGCTTTGTATCTTTTTATCTTTTTGTGTTTTTTATGGGCTTTTATTTGTTGATTAGCTTGAGATTTACATAAAACATCTTAGACTTATTACAGGATAGTATAAATTGATAAATTAATTTTGATCACATACACAAAATTTACATTTTTACTCATTCTCTTCCCACATTTTATGACTTGATATCACAATTTACAACATTTTATTATTTGTATTTTTTTAATTTTCCATTCAACAGCAACAAAATACACATTCTCCTCAAGTGCATGTGGAATATTCCATAAGATGGATTGTATGTTAGGCCAGAAAACAAGTATTAATAAGTTAAAGAAGATGGTGATAGTATCAAGTATCTTTTCCGACTATAATAATATGAAACTAGAAGTCAATAAAAAGAAAAATTATGGAATGTTAACAAATATGTGGAAATGAAACGATATGCACCTGAACAACTATTAGGTCAAAGAAGAAATTAAAAGGAAAATTTAAAAAATATTTATCTTGAGCGAATTAATATGGAAACATAGCATACACAAATTTATGTGAATCAAATAAGCAGTTCTAAGATGGAAATTCATAACATTAAATGCCTATGATAAAAATGAAGATAACTCAAGTAAACAACCAAATACTAGAGGTCATGGAATTAAAAAGGGAAGAATAAACTAAGCCCAAAGTTAGCGAAGGAAGAAAATACAAATCAGAGCACAAATAAATAAAATAATGATTAGAAAACAATAGAAAAGATCAACAAAACTAAGAGTTGGCTTTTTGAAAAATCTAAAAAAAAAAATTGTCACGCCTGTAATCCCAGCAATTTGGGAGGTCAAGGCAGGCAGATCACTTGATGTCAGGAGTTGGAGACCAGCCTGACCAACATGGTGAAACCCTGTCTCTACTAAAAGTACAAAAATTAGCTGGGTGTGGTGGCATGTGCCTGTAGTCCCAGCTACTTGGGAGGCTGAGGCAGGAGAATCGCCTGAACCAGAGAGGTGGAGGCTGCAGTGAGCTGAGATCACACCATTGCACTCCAGCCTGGGTGACAAAGTGAGACTGTCTCTCAAAAAAAAAAAAAATTGTTAAACCCTTACTAGATTAATTAAGGAAAAAACGAGAGTAGACTTCAAAAATACAATCAGAAGTAAAGGAGGAAAAATTACAGCTGGTAACACAGAAATAAAAAAAATAGAATATTGTGAACAATTATTTGACAACAAATTAAACAATCTTAAAGAAATGGATAAAATTATTGAAAGCATATATTGCACCAAGACTGAATCACGAAGATATTGGAAATCTGAATAGATCAATAATAAAGAGATTAAATCAGTAATTTAGATCTCTCATCAAAGAAAAGCCCAGGGCCACATGGCTTCAAGACAGAATTTGATCAAATATTTTAAAAAGAACGAATATTCATTCTTCTCAAACTCTTCCAAAAGATTGAAGATAAGAAAATAATTTCGAACAGATTTTATGAGTCCAGCATTAGCCTGATGCCAAAGCTAGACAAAAGCAGTATAAGAAAATAAAACTACAGGTTAATATTACTGATAACTATATATGTGAAAATCCACACAAAATAATATCAAACCATATTCAACAGAACATTCAAAGGGTTATTCAACATAATTGACATTTTTCTCTGTAATATAAGTCTGACAGTCACAAATCAATAAACGTGATTCACCATATTAAAATAAGGAAGGTCAAAACCATATGATCATCTCAGTAGGCATAGGAAAAGCATTTAACAAAATCCAACATCCTTTTATGATAAAAACTCTCAACAAATTATGTATAAAATAATGTTCCTGACCACAATAAATAGCAAATATGACATGCCCCTAGCTAACTTTATACTCAACAATGAAAAGTTAAAAGGCTTTTCCTCTAAGATCAGGAAAAAGACAAGGATGCCCACTCTTACCGCATCTGTTCAACATACTACTAGAAGTTGTAGACAGAGCAATTAGGAAAAAAAAAAAAAAAGAAATTCAAGGCAAGAAAGAGAAGTGACAACATGATCTGATATGTATAAAATGCTGAAAACGCCATCAAAAACTGTTTGAATTAATAAATTCAGTAAAGTTGCCAGATACAAAATCAACTTACAGAAATAAGTACCATTAGTACACATTAGCAACAAACTACCAGAAAAAGCAATAGGAAAACAATCCCATTTAAAATATCATTAAAATAAATAAAATACTTGGGAGAAAATTTAACCAAAGAGGTAAAAAATCTATATACTGAAATCTATAAAACCTTGCTGATAGACATTAAAGAAGACACAAGTCAATACAAAGTTATCCTATTTTCATGGATTGAAAGGATTAATACTGTTAAAATATTCATACTACCCAAGATGATCTATAGATTCAATGCAATCCCTATCAAATTTCCAATGTCATTTTTTAAAGAAATGTAAAAAATATCCTAAAATTTTTATGGAACCACAAAAGGTCTTGAATAGCCAAAACGATTATGACCAAATAGAACAAAGCTGGAGGATTCACACTATCAGATTTCAAAATATATTACAAAGCTATAGTAATCAAAACATCATGGTACTGGCATAAAAACAGATGCATCAAGCAATAGAATAAAATAGTAAGAACACAGAATTAAACTCACATGCTATGGTCAAGTGATGTTTGACAAAAGTGTAAAGAACACGCAATGAGAAAAGGAAAGTCTCTTCAAAAAATAGTGTTGGCAAAACTGGATATCCACATACAGAACAATGATAATAAGCCTTATCTCACCCCTTTTACAAGAATCAACTGAGAATGGATTAAATATTTAAACATAAAATGTAAACCTATAAAATGACAAGAAGAAAACATAGGAGGAAAGTTCCATGGCATTGGTCTGGGCAGTGATCCCTTGATTATGATCCCAAAGGCACAGGCAACCTAAGCAAAAATAGACAAATGGAATTGCATCCAACTAAAAGCTTTTTTCACAGCAAAGAAAACAATAGTGTAAAGAGATAGCCCACAGATTGAGAGAAAATATTCATAAATCGTACATTGGATAAGGGGTCAAAATCCAAAATATGCAGAGAACTCAAACTACTCAATAATAGGAAAACAAATAACCCCATTAAAAATAGGCAAAGGACCTGAATAGACATTTCGAAGTGAAGACATGCAAATGGCCAATATATGACAAAATGTTCAACATCTCTAATCATCAGAGAAATGCAAATTAAAACCATAGTGATATATAATGTAGTACCTGTTAGTGTGGCTAACAGAAAATGATGAATGATAACAAGTAGAAAATAATATATTAAAATATTGTTCAATAAAGACAGTGTTTCATTTTAAATATAGTAAAATCAAGCATGTGAAAACCATGTGTTATGGATTGGGGTTTGGGTTAAAAACATAATACGAGATCGCAAATAATATTTATAGAGAAAATAAGCAAGATGAAAGTCAATACAAAAATGCAAAGTTTTTTTTACTTTTTAATTATAACACAAAAGATGTGCAATTGTCAAGAATTGCCATTGTACGCTCAATGAATTTGCAGAAATTAACCCTTTGGTTCTACCTTCTTAGAGAAGAGGAACTTCGTCAGCATGTTATACATACACTACTGGGGCTAGGCAGTCAGGGTTTAGAAGCCACCTGTTTAGAGTATTTTCCTGGGAATCACAGCTTTCCAGCACCTTTCATGTCTGAGAGAAATTACAGCCTCCAGGGCCTGTGAGAGTGAACCAGTGGCCCTATGGAATGAGTTGACTGCATCTTATTCTGGTGGAAAATGGGTGGGGCAGGGTAATTCCAGCTGTTTTTGTAAATGGAGGCACAAAGGAGACTGCAAGGCAGGAGCAATGGAGAAGTACCTTCCTTTCTTTTATTTTTTATTTTGTATCCCTGTTAGCATCACTCCAGCACCATCATTTTACCCAGCATCCGGCTTCATTTAGAATGCCAAGAACTAGGGTTCCAGTAGCTTTCAGAAGGACCATGGTTGGTGCTCCCTTTTCAGATGTATAAACCCCTTCTCCAAGGGGTTATGTCTTTGAAATCCTACCTTACCTCAAGAGCATTTAATCACTGAATTTTAATCTAATCAATACTATAATTAAAATATATTGAAAGCATAGAAACTCATGTGTGTGTATCTGTTTAGGTTATAGGGTGAGTAATAGTAAGCTAAATCTTCAATGTCCAAAGGAAGAGGTAAAATTTTAAAAAGCTAAAACAGAAAGAAATTCAATAAATAACAATATAAATCTATATAGAGATGTAGAAATTAACAGCAAAACATCAGATCTTTAAAAAGGAAATAAAATGTCTCTGATAAATTATAAGTAGAAGGGATGCAGTGGACATACCTTACTGAATTATTTAACAGTTTATAGTAAATACATGTTACAATTTAATAAAAATAAAAACAAAACTATCAATTCAGAAAACCAGTTCTATATAATAAAGCCCATTACTCCAAATAACAAGAAACATTATATTAAATATTATAACCCTGAATTCATTTCCATTACATTCCAGAAAAAGATACTAATAACAGTTTTCATTAATCTTTTCAGCAGTATTTTGGAGGACTTAGCTAGAACTTTATTAAAGTATTTTTGAATGTGTATGCTGTGAAACAGTAGATAAAAATCTGATTGCATATTATAATAATAGACTTTTCTAATCAGTCAGCCAAACAGCAGTCATAATGCAATTGCAAATACTTGTGTATACATCATGTCCACAGCTGTTAATATTATCTTTATCTGAGTGATGCTTTTGGAACCATGCATAGTGAGTTTAATTGTCGTTTAATATACCTTATAAAAAAGAATATACTAGGATTTGACATTGACACAGAAGTTATCTTGTACACAAAATGGTTTGGAAAAAGTAGTGGTGATCGACATTTAATATAGAAAAACAAATATTTGTTATTTGAGAAATGTTTACAATTTCATGTTTTCGTAAAGGAAAAACACAATGGCCTAAGGGATCTGAGAAAAAAGACACAGAAGGCTGGGTGCAGTGGCTTCTGCCTGTAATCCCAGCACTCTGGGAGGCTGAGGTGGGCGGATCATGAGGTCAGGAGATTGAGACCATTCTGGCTAACACGGTGAAACCCCGTCTCTACTAAAAAAATAGAAAAAATTAGCCGGGCGTGGTGGCGGGCGCCTGTAGTCCCAGCTACTCAGGAGGCTGAGGCAGGAGAATGGCATAAACCTGGGAGGCGGAGGTTGCAGTGAGCCGCGATCGCGCCACTGCACTCCAGCCTGGGCGACACAGCGAGCCTCAGTCTCAAAAAAAAAAAAAAAAAAAAAAAAAGACACAAAAATACTCAAAGCTATGTTATATTTTGTCATTTACGTGTGGACAAAAATTTTTCTATTACAAACCATGTAATGCCACTGTGGCTAGAGAAATTGCTAACTCCTTGGAATAAATGAAAATAAGTTTGAAGCAATGAAAGGCTGATTTGACCAATTTATGATTTGTGCATGACTCTTGTCAAGGAAACAAATATCATGTTGTTAGAAACATCCTGCTCATTTTGAACAGAGACTACTTAACTTCCAGCAATACATGATCCAAATGAAGAAAAAACAAAATTATAATTTAGTCAAAGAGGAAATGCAGATCAAACTCTAGTGCACTTCAACATGCCTAAAGAGTACACCTAAAGATGTCAAAGAGGTCAAGATCATCAGCATAGGTTGCAAAAACCATTACTTCATTGTGATTATATTGTCGCATTGAATTTTAAACTGCAGAAGAAAAAGGACATATCCAAAGATTTTATCATAAGGAGAAGAAAGTTTTTATAAAGACTAAAAAATAAGGGTAGAGAAGATAAATGTAATTAGGAGTGAGCAATGATAACATAATTAGAACTATATCTATTTAATAATTGCATTTGTATTCAGAATATTTCTTACAATGAAGACTTCAGAATAAGAAGATCTCATTGTTGACTTCTGGTCAATATTTCAGGATTTCAAAACGTTGTCCTTGGCCAAACTCTTAAAGTAGAAAGAAAAGAACACTAAAGCCATACTGTAAAGACCAGAATCATCCTCTTTTCAATGCTGGGAAGAACATTACAAAAAAAAAAGAAGAAGAAAGATAAGTATCTTTTATGAACACTGATACAGAATATTTCACCATTTTATAACAAATCACATTCAACAATACACAAAAACATTACACAACATGGTAAAATGGGGTTTATTCAGGGATTGAGTGGTATCTTGTGACAAAATCTCACTTTCACTTACTACTTAAAAAAACTTTCAACAAAGTAGTAATAGAAAAATACATTCTTAATTTTCCAAAGGACATTTACAAACGTCTTACAACTAACAACATGCTTAATGGTACAAGTTGAATTCTTTCCTCATAAGCTAAAAAAAAAAATGCAGTGATGTTTATCCTCACATCTTATATTCAGTGATTAACCAGAAAAATAAGTAGAATGTCTGAATATAAAGAAATTGCTGATGACATGGTTGTTTACATAATCCTAAATATGTATACAAATGTGCTAAAACTAATAAGTGAGTTTATCAGGTTCTTAGGAAAATAAGTCAATATGCAAAAATCTATTACATATGTATATATTAACAACAAACATTTGAAAAATAAAATAAAAATTATAGATATAGTAGCAGTGCTAAAATGTATCCCCCACTTAGCTAAAATATAATACAATTTAAGCATAATTTCATACTGAAAACTACAAAATATTGTTTCAAGAAATTAAATAATACATCAGTAAATAGACAGAACCAAATTTAGATGTCACCTCAAACTTGCTATACGAGCTTTGTGAAATTGGAATTCTCATTCATTTTTCATGGGACTGGGATTGTAAAGTAACACACACACACACACACACACACACACTCTTCTACCGTATGAGCCAGCATTTCCACTCCTGGATATTCGTTAAGGTCGAATTGTGTTATTCCAAAAAAAATATATGTTAAGGTCCTAATCCCCAGTACTTCAGAATTTGACTTTATTTGGAAATGTGGTTCTTGCAGATATAATTAGTTAACCCAAGATGAGGTCCTACTGGAGGAGGCTGGGCCCCTGATCCAATATGACTGGTGTCCTTATAAGACAACTGCTTGCAACAATAAAGACACACAAGGGAAACATCATGTGATAACAAAGGCAGAGGTTGGAGTTATGCAGCCACACATCAAGGACTGCCAACAATTGCGAGCCAACTACCAGAAACTAGGAAGGGGCAAGCAACGATTCTGCTACAGTGTTCAGAGAGACCATGGTCCAGCTGACAGAACCTTGATTTCAGGCTCCTAGTCTCTAAAACTGTGATACAATATTTCTATTGTTTTGAGCCACTTAGTTTGTGGTACTTTGCTACAATAACCCTAGAAAACTAATACAAATATAAGTCAAGAAAAAATAAAAATATATGTCAACAGACCAACTTGAAGAAGAATATATCAGCTTTATTCATGATAACTTTCAGAGGGGAAACAATATGCAAAGGTAATGAACAGAAGAATGGAAAACAAATTAAGATAATAATCCTGCAATGGAATACTTACCCATCAACAACAAAGAATGAATTATAAAAACAGTAGTCAACATGGGCTAATCTCACAAAGATGGTGATAAAAAGAAGGCAGGCAAAAAGGATTAAATGGTTTATAATCTCATTGATATGCACTTCAATACCAGGCCTAAGGGAATTTTCTCACATGGTAAAAAAGGGAGAGCATTAGCACAAATACCTAATGCATGTGGAGCTTAAAACCTGGATGACAGGTTGGTAGGTGCAGCAAACCACCATGGCACAGGGATACCTATGTAACAAACCTGTACGTTCTGCACTTGTATCTCAGAACTTAAAGTAAAATTTAAAAAAATAATGGTTTCTCCCATCCTCCCACTTCCCAGTGCATCTCAGTTTTTGTCTCCTTCACTATATTCACTTCTTATACTCCCATCATACCAGCCTCTTCTGTTTCTGAAACTTAGTAAGCAGACTGTTCCTCAGACCCTCTGCACTCACCATTCTTTCTGCATGGAACCCTTGCCCTCAAGAAATCGTGTGGCTTTCTCATACACAACTTTCAGGTGTCTACTGAAATGTTTAATATTCAAGACATCTTCCCTCATTACTCTGTCAAAAATAATAATTCTTGTAACTCTGTTTTTCTCTGCCTGTCACACAATAAGTTGTCAATATTTATTTGAATGACTAAACAAATGAATAAGCTCAGTTGAGTGATTAACTTCTAGAGAAACAGAGAAAATATGTTTAGCTTTAGATTCATTCACTTGCTATAAAGTAATCAGCCTTTATAACCTTATAGGTTATGGTGTTTATTTAGAAACCACAAGGAATCATGTGAAAATGGAACAAATTATTTTGTTTTATTCTTTTTTTAAAACCAAAAGTAGCACCTTCTTGAATGTAGATACATAACTTAGCTCATCAAAATTAAAAGAGCACACCTCACATGAAAATTAAATTGAATTAAAATTAATTAAATAGAGGCCTGGAAAAAAAAAGTTTATTTGATTCCTCATACCAAAAGGAAAAAAATATATATATAGAAATCACAATAAAAAGTAAGCAGGAGCGGACATACTAATTATGAATAATTAATCTGATAGTTTTGATTGCTTTAAGATACTCAATAACCTTGTGAAGAAAACTATTAATGGATTTTAAAACAGTAAAATTACACCAAGCTAAAACTTTTCATGTAATATATGATTTTATACCTTTAAAAATCATTGCTTTGAACTTGCCTATGTCATGCAATTTTAATAACATTGTTTTCAAGAGGATAGCAACATTACTTCTATTTACCTCATATTCTTAGAGTGTTCCAACATTGCTAATAGAAAAATTAAAGAACATGTGATTTGACATATATATATACATATATGTATATAACTACAACATGAAAGGTGCAGAAGAAATAAGAAATAACTTATTCCTTAAAAAACATGAGTTGTTTGATAAAGTGTAACCAGTACATTCAACCTAATTAGAAATAAAGAAAAAAAAAGACCATTAAGCACAGAGTAATGAGTGATTAAATTTAAAATACACACACATCTCAGGATAATGTTTTCATTTTTGGCAATTCAGATTTTAATGGCAATAATATTTGGAAGAATGTAGTCCACATGCTTCTCATTTCCAGATTATGTAGAGGAAACGTGTGTGTGTGTGTGTATGTGTGTGTGTGTGTGTGTGTGTAAATAGGCAGGAGGCTCTTAGTCTCAGGCTGCTGAAACCTTACTTAGGAGTATATATATATTTTTATAATGAATATATAGGCTTCACACAGTCACAAACAGCCAAGATTCATCCAATCATAGGCAGCCAGTTAATCAATCCATACCCAAATAAAACAAATGCTTAGCTATAGCCAATGTGATGATTTGTCTACGTTGCTTCTGTGTTCACCCTATACAGGTTAACTTCTCACCTTGCTAGGTGGAGCTCTCTGAACATTTTCTGGTTCTGAGTGCTGTCTGACTCATGAGTAGTTCTTTGATCAAATTAACTTTGCTAAATTTAATTTGCCTCAAGTTTTCATATGTGTGTGTGTATTCGCACACATACATACATATGTATATATGTATACACAAACACCCATAGACTCAGATTTGAAGAAGTATAGTTTCTTATTAACTTTGTGGGTCAAAAAATCATTTAAAGTTTGCATTTATTTGAGTTTAAATTAATTTAGGTGAAATTTACTACCATATACAAAAGAGATTTTTTTCATTACCCATGAACATGAAATTCCTTATCTGTCATAACATTGTCTTTGCCATCTGGTTAACTGCAAGTAGCATAGTACATGGAGCCATAGTCCATGGGCTCAAATCTCAGCTCCACACTGACTGACCTTGGACAAATTAAAGGTTATCTGACCTCAATTTCTTCATCTGTGTAATTAGAATATACCAATGATCACCAAAAAAGCATTAGTTCTTTTTAGGTTTAATTGTACACCTTTATTATTTTATTAAAATATTGCATTATTGTTATTCTTTGTTCTTTTCTTTGACTGAGGGAAAAATTATACCTTCTTAGCTTAGCACAATGCTTAGAAAATGAAATGACTTTGTTTAATGTGTGTCTAATAAATGATTTATCAATTTTTCTGGGTATATTTGTTCTTAAGACAAAGAAAAATGTCATAATTTGGGCTCTGAATATTAGATACTAAGGACAGTCATAACAGCTCTCAGAAAATTTTGAATTAACATAAAGCTAATGTTTAAATGCAAGGTATGACCTTCCTACTCAGTACTACTCTCAAGTGTGGCAGGCTTGAAAGTGTGATTCCATGCACACACCAATGTATACCTACCGTGACACATTTCTGCTCTAAGTAAACATTAACTCGAAATAAGAATATGTTAACATCAGCAAAGTGCAGACAAAGGTCATTCCCTTCACAAGTCAAAACTTTTAATAATCACCTTGCTAGATAAATCACAAGGATTTCTATACATTTCAATAAAACACCATGAGATCATCAAAATTAATTAAATCTCACACAATAGACATAAAAATGAGTTGAAATATCAATAATTCTTCATACTTGAGTGAAAAATCAACCTATATTAATCAAATCAGTAGAATGGACATACTGAAAGCAAAATGAACACTAATTTTTCTTCAATGTTGTAGGCCCATTTAAAGATCTTATTTTCTTTTCAGGTAAACAACATGTGTCTTGTATAATCCTTAACATCCTGAGTTATGATTGAATGATCTATGTATGTTTTGTGTGATGAATGCTGTCTAATGTATAAAAATTGAGAATAAAAGTTAAATATGTCTTTTTATTATTTTATAAGTGAAATCAGTATATGCCCATATTCTTTGACATTCTAAATAGTCAAGCCAGGTGTTAGTTTTGAGCTCCAAGTCATTTCAGTTACTTTTTCTTGTTACTTCAATAATTACATTGAGAATTATCCAACATTAAACTACCTTGTGTGACCTTGCTCCTTGGCTCTTTAAGTAGAAGTTTGGATGGCCATACCTCAAGGATGTGGTAGGAAAACTTCTTCAACAAAGCATCTTTAAGGCACCTACTAAATCTGGAATTCTACAGTTTAATTAAAATAAATTTTTAGAATGAAACTTCACATTTATGTTTTGGCCAGAAACTACATTACTCTGTACATATTTATTGTAATGATGATAAATTCTGGTTCAGAAAGTATAAGTGTCAATAATTCTTAGTCTGAAAAGATGTGGCCGGGCGCAGTGGCTCACGCCTGTAATCCCAGCACTTTGGGTAGCCGAGGCGGGCGGATCACGAGGTCAGGAGATCGAGACCATCCTGGCTAACACGGTGAAACCCCGTCTCTACTAAAAACACAAAAAATTAGCTGGGCATGGTGGCAGGCACCTGTAGTCCCAGCTACTCGGGAGGCTGAGGCAGGAGAATGGCGCGTGAACCCGGGAGGCGGAGCTGGCTGAGGCAGGAGAATGGCGTGAACCCGGGAGGCGGAGCTTGCAGAGAGCAGAGGTCGCCCCACTGCACTCCAGCCTGGGAGACAGGGCGAGACTACGTCTCAAAAAAAAAAAAAAAGAAAAGAAAAGATGTAAGTACAGAATTCTCATATATAATTCTAACTAATACATTTCCAAGAAGTAAATATTTGTATTACACCAATATAGTTTTTTGTACTAAATTATACTATAACTTAGTGAAGGTGAGGTTTCAAGTATACAGTTTGAACCAAGGGATTTTAGACTTTTTAAAAATAAGATTACAAGGATGTAATCAATATTTAAAGCATTACTAATAAAAACTTGTGATACTGCAGACAGAAGTGGGTTAAAGTTACTTCGCCAGTAAAAGAAAATTCTAAACAAATTAATAGTATTCCAAAATTACTGTATGCACTATTCAGATCGTTCAACTATTCATGGTTAAGAACATTTTAGATTTTTAAAATATCAATATAACATTTGACAAGAATTTATAACTGATTACACTTTTCTTTGGGAAGCAAAGTACACTGTGAGTGAATTATAAAAATTAGCATTATTTTAAACAATATATGCAAAATATATCTTATTTATAATTCTGAATGTATATTTGAGGGAGAATATCCATCATGGAATGAATAATAATAACTCCTACTAAATTAAAAATATTGAATAAGTGCAGTTGAACCACAAAAATAAAAGAATTTAAATAATTAAACATATCAAAATCCATAAAAATCTCTGTTGAAAATATATAGAATGTAATATCATTGGGGATTAATGCTCTGGTAATATGTACATCATATGGCAAAAATTAAAAGACTGAAAATAAGATGCTAGAAGTAAAGTTTATTCTGCTAGATTAAATATTTAAAGGAAGAAACAAACATGAAAAAACTCACCATTAGTATCACGAAATTTAATTTGATAAATTATAGTACAGGGAACAGATTCTTGTTAATTTTATTTTAATCTATGGAGAATGATATCCTAATATAGGCCACATTCATAATACACTGACTCAAAGTGATCAAATTTATCTCATTAAAGACCATTTTACATATATTTATTCATGAAATAATGAATTGCTTATAGTTTATATAGAAGAATATCCTTCTGACATATGCCCAAGACATTCTTGAAGGCAGAGTTTACTTTCTACATCCTAATTGAAATATAATTTAACATTCCTGAATTGTTCAATGAAGGGGACATCAAATTTCGTTTCAAATTATACAGTAATCGTTCAAAAAACTAAAATTCTAAATTGTTACAGAAAACATGATATAACAATTTAAATAAAAAATTAGTTTTACCTTATGCGTGTGTGTGTGTGTGTGTGTGTGTGTGTGTGTGTGTGTGTTCATTCCAAAATATAACAAAAAAATCAGAATGGTTTATAATGGGGTTATGTGTGCATGAGCCCAAATGTTACTGTTTTATCAATCCAAATTTATATTTATCATTGCTGAAAGGTAATAAAATTTTTTTGCAGAGACTTATCCAAAAAACTATAAGAAACATTTTGATTAATTAGTGTTTAACAATGTCAGCAGATGTAAAACTACCAACCTGATATTTATTGCCAGTGTTCTATGTTAAGAGTGGATATTCTGCATATATTTTAATGACATTGATTAAATAAGATGGGCAGAAACATTCTTTGAGTGCCCAGTGTGTTCCATGTATTTATATTATCTAATTTAATCCTCAAAAAATCTGAAAGCTATGAATCCACAACTAAATAATGGAAAAACTAAAGTGAGTAGTCAAGATTTATAGTAATTCAGTTTGTCTGAATAGGATTAATGAAAATTTTGGAAGAAATCAAAGAAGGGTTGCAGGAATGGATAGAAGCCAGGAGAATCCTGGTTTACACCTGTTGACTGAGAGTGATTATTAATCATGCCTCTTTCACTCTCAAATGTCTTCCAGTTTGGATGACAAATTATATGGTCACTGGAGCAATGGAAAACCATGCCAGGCTGTTTAGTGGATAATGACATGATGTGGGCAATCCTTTAGAAAGATTAATCTGGAAGAAATGTGTAGAAAGGAATGAAGATAAGAAAGACCTGAAGCAGAGAAACCAATTAAGTGTCTACTTCAATCATCCCAGGAAATGTACTGAAAATCTGCACTAGGACAGGGACAATGGAAAGGAAAGAAATATATATTTGACAAGCCGATCAGAGCAATGTTATGATATGTAATAAAAAGAGCTTGGATGTTAAAAACTTTTTATTAGGAAGATTGAAGAATTTGCACTGAATGCACGGTTTGAATCCCGAATGACAGAGAATGTCACAATGCCAATGACGTGTGGAAAGTGTTGTGATTGCATTCTTGGCCTGGAATTTTTTTTTTTTTTTGAGAAAACTGCTTCAATTATTATGGGTTCTGTGACTTAATGCTTTTCGGGAAATTATTCCACTTCAAACACTAAGATGCCAGTATACATTTGTCTGTAGAATTTCTAGCTATGTAGGTCACTTATGTGTATAGTTGATTTTAAAAACTGTTAACATAAAAACCCATATTTTCCAAATTTTTCACAATTGATTATGCTTTCCTGTTTCTGTATATTATCCTGTATAACAACACCTCACCCTAGCACAAGCACTATGATAGTTTTTAATACATTAATTATTATGGTGTCTATCATATTTTCGCATACAATCAACATTCCATATAATGAAAGTTATAAGCAATGATTGTCACTTTCCAGCACTTTTTGCCCACCTTCTATGCTTACTATCCTTTTAGATAAAAATATTCTGTGGAAATCCTTCTTAGAGAAATAGAATTTGGCTAGACTCCAAAGATTTTTTAAAAAAGTATCTTTTAATTCAGATTACTCCAACTCTAAATAAACCTCTATGATAGAAATTTAGTAATCAGTTAATAAATAAATAAATACTCTAAAGGCTACTGAGAGCGTGGTGAATATTTTTTTCTGCCCCTCCATATGCATCTCTAGCCATCTCCACTCCACTCTATGCCTCCCAGGACTGAAACATGAGAGGATAATATCACTGGCTTTTCAGTTGAATTCATCAAGTAGGTGACTCAGAAAAGACATCTGTAAAGACATCTGTAAATGGGAACTGGCAAAGCCAACTTAAGGTATTTTCCCCCATTCGGCTTAAGCAATTTCCTGGACCGGCTGCATCCCTCTAAGTAAAGTGTCACCTCCCTACAGTCTTTCTTTTCTGTAGGGACCAGTAACTTTTCCTCATCCCTCTGACCCTTCAGATCTGTGTGTTAACAGGTGCTGGGAATCCAGGCAGCAGTGTCTCTTGTGCTTTTCCTACATTGTTTGTCTTAGTTTGCTAGGGCTGTCATAACAAAAGAAGGCACATTGGGTGTCTTAAACAACGAACATGTGTTGTGTTTGAGTTCTAGAGGCTAGAAGTCTGAGATCAAGGTGTTGGCAGGGTAGATTTCTTCTGAGGCTGTGAGGGAGAATCTGGGCCATGCTTCTGATGATTTTCCAGCAATCCCTAGCATTCGTTACCTTGCAGACAAAGCATCCTACGTTTCAGTTCATGTTCACATGACATTCCCCTCTTCAAACATTTTTGAATGTAAGAAATACCTATTTTTAAATCTAGGACTTTAAATGCTAAATTATTTACTTCTTATGTGCAATATGAATTTAGAACACAGATCATGATATTTTACAGAAGTCCAGATATAAAATAATTTCCCTTGGTTTAAATTCCAAATTGCTTAACCAAATTTTATGAATTCCCAAAACAAAATTTATGCAATTTTGGAGTAGAAAAGAAAGTGTGGTTTTAGCCACACTACTAAAAATTCTTATGTCTTAAAGATATTTATATTAAGTAAATTCCATTCCTCAGTTATTTTTGCATAACCATACACTCATGGACTAATGGGAAGCATCCATGTAATATCAGTTTTATAATTCTTATCACCTTTCTCATTATTAAGACATTCCTTGCAAAATACATTAAACAGAGAATCAATCATTTAGCAAACATAAAACATATGCTAACAATTGCATAATTCAGTATTAACACTGCAGTAGTCTGACAAATATGAGCATGAGGGCAATGCCAAGGGTAAGAAATTGTTCCAGTTAGGTTAAAAACAGGAGAACTTTATCAGAGAGTAGAAGAGGTGACTTATACTGACAGAAATGTGTGTGGAGCAGAAGTTGAAGTAAAAATCATCCTAATGCAAAAAAAAAAAAAAAAAAAAGAAATTAAACAAGCTAGCACCCCAGTGTATACTCTTTTCCATTTTTTGGTAATAAGATTTCCTGGGGATTAAATATATGATAATACATTTTATATGATATTGTTCTTCCAAGACATTCAATATCTTAAAAATAAATACTAACTTGCATTATAGGTGTACACTTAGGAGTAATAAAAAGAAGAAAGAGGGGTTTAGTTTCAGACTCTGTTTTGCCAAAAAATGTTGATGCTACACATTGGCTTTTGGCATTATGAAAAAGGAAGGGTGTCTGCAGCCTAAATATTTGCAATAATAATAAGAATGTCCTAATTCTTAGAGGATGCCCATCATTATTTTGCCATTTCCTCTGCTTGTGTTTTTCAATGTCATGCTCAGGGAAACAGGAGAATGAGCATGTGTGAATGCAGAGGAGGAAATCTCCAGATCACAAAGTTGTGTGAGCAATAGAGGGATGCTAAAATGAAGGTCAGGAGTCCATCAAAGTCATGGTTGAATCAGGAGAGACAGAGAAAGCTACAATCTTGGAGAAAAAGGAACATATAACTTTATAACTTTATGGAGCAAAAGAAAGAGAGAAGAAATGAAAATAGGTAAGTTGGAGAATCAGAGAAATTGTATGTTAGATTGAGAAAAATTTAATGGAAAGAATAAATGTTAAATTGACAAAACAGAGTCTGATATGAGGAAGATGATGCTAAACTTCGGATACATGACTTTTTATTGCCCAATAATTTAAATTAGGAGTTGCTTTGATCTTATAGTTGCTTCTATTGTTCTTAAGTCCTCAAACACAGATCCATCAAAATCTTACATCTATTTGCCTGTATTTAGGAATCAGTCTTCGCCAGAGCAGAGAACATACCAATGTTATCAGCTTCTTCCACTTATGAGGTTGAAAATTACTTGTGATCCTCAAATCTGTGTGCAGGTGATTCATCACTAATAAGCATATATTTGCCATCTGGAAAAGTTTCTGCTACAATACAGGTACCTATAAACCTGGTCTTTTTTCTTGGAGAAAAAAGATTGAAGCTACCAGTATGGAAGGTGGAAAAATCAAGGTTGTTAGATTGTGGTAGGCGGATGTGAATCCCAGTTTTGCCCCTTCCTAGTTACTATACTTTAAAATATCAGTTTGCATCTCTAAGATGGGGATAAACTTGAGAATGAACCTCTTTAAAATTATAGGTTAAAGAAAACTACACAAAATTACTATTTGAATCATTTTAATTTGCGATACAGTAGTGTTAACTCTATGTACATTGTTGTGCAACAGATCTTTAAAACTTTTCCATCTTGAAAATCTGAAACCGTACTCACTGAATAGCAACTCTCCATTTTCCCTTCCCCCAGCCATTGACAACCATCATTCTACCTTTTGTTTCTCTGAGTTTAAATAGTTTAGATACCTCATATAAATGGAATCATACAGTCTATGTCTCTCTGTGAGTGACTTATTTAACTTAGTATAATGAATTTCACTTAGTATAATGAATGTCCTCACAGTTCATCCATACTGTAGTGTTTGACAGGATTTCCTTTATTTTAAAGGCTGAATAATATTCCATTGTATGTACATGCTACTTTTTAAAAATGGATTCATCCATTGATGGAGATTGGGTTTACTTTCACCTCTTGGCTATTGTGAATAGTGCTGTAATAAACATGAGTATGCAATTATTTCTTTGAGATCTGCTTTCAATTCTTTTTAGTATATACTTTAAAATAGAATTGCTGGATCATACAGTAATTCTATTTTTAAGTTTTTGAGGAATCTCCATACTGTTTTCCATAGCAGCTGCACCATTTTACATTTCTGCCAACAGCCATCACTTGCTTTCTTTTACCTTTGTCTACTGTATTCCCAGTAACTATTAAAACATCCAACCCAAAGGAGATTCTCAATACATATTTCTTTAATGATTAAAGTGATAAATACATGATGAAATTTCTTCTTTACATTTCGTATCAACCTCTTCCACTAAAATCTACAACTTGCTTATTTAGCTTCACTTATATGACTATATTAATCTAATTTATGTGTATATATCAGGAAGATATACACATTTAATTTAGAAGCAAATCCATTGACAATGTCTTCTTTTTATATTTAGAAAAATGGACTTGAAACACAGTTAAAGTTGAGTTACTATCCAGTAATCAATCTTTGTCAAAGAATTTTATGAAAGTGTTAAGTTGGAGCAAATGCAATGAACATTTGTAGGAAAAAATAAGAACTTCTGTAATAGATGAGGTGGAGTGTGTTGAGAATCTTCAGCTCTCGTTTAATTAGGATTGATTAAATGTTAAAATGATAATGAAACAAGGGAACTGCAACCATTAATTGAACATGAAGATAGGTAATAAGGCAGGTTATCTGTGAAGTGAAACTAAGGAAGCAGCTTTGTGAAGTTGCCTGCGATTATTCTGGGACATCTATTGTGTAGCTAAGTGAACCTTGTCACTTGATCAAAGTCAGCATAAAACAGTGTGCCAGTAGCAGGGCTTGATTTGAAGTAAAAATACATAAATAACCAAACAAAACATTGCATTATGGGTGCACTGAATTGTTGCATAAGTCTAGGGCATCTGATTATTTTAATGTTTTTCATAAATTTTCTTTACTAGTTAGTCTTGATATTTTATGCTCAAATAGTAAACATAGCCAATAGAACACATTAATCTTCAAGATGCATTTTAAAATGTGTTATTTCTCTTTGTTTATAACTTTTAATTTCTTTCTTATATTTCACTGGCTAACAAAACACTTTTATTTATTCAGTATAAAATGTCCTCATAGAACTATTTTCAGTAATTTAAGCAGCATTCTGTAAAATAAGTGATGCTATAAAACTCTTTGGGCTAAGGTTTTATGAAACAATTTAGTAACACTGTATTGTTACTCATAATTGCTATGCACCATTGAGGATAATTTAGATATGATTGATTTTAATGTATGCCACCTATATTATATTTGTCCTAAAATATTTTCTACAATAATTATATTACTTTAATCTCTATTTTTAGGTGAAATAACTGGAATTTGTACATAGTATTTAAATCCTATAGTACAAAATATTTATCCTATTTGCTGCTGGTTTACTTAGGTAAAATACTAGGTAGAAATATTAGGCAAAAACCACAATTACTTTTGAAGCAACCTATCCCTAAGTTACCCTTGTTTACATCTCTCTTCTACATTTAGGAACAGTAAGTATAGACTAAGAATCTACAAAGTGCTTTACAGAGTAAGCTGAGACACCTAAGTCACTGTTAGAAAGTTGAAACATATAAATCAGAGTGTACATTGCTTACTCTCAGATAACAAATTTTCTATCCACACTATACCTAGAACTTGACATATATATTTTTGTAAATATTTATAAAATATTAAATTAACTATTTGCAGATAAAATTAGGCATAATTAAAATTCTAGTAATGTTAAGACTGCTTGATAAAATAGACATTTAAATGACTAGTGAAGTTATAGCAAGCTTAAAATAAATTTAACAGATGATATTACTAAGATTCTCACTGACAAGGTTTAAGAATATTTTACGAAATGTTATATTTAGTGAAACAATATTTAGATATTCTTTCTTTCAGCAGTTATTTATTAGGTTTCTCCTACTTGCCAGTTCCTCAGTACGAGATGAGGATATAGGGTTGAATAAAAAATAAGTCCAAACTCTCATTCTGAGATAGACAACAAACATCAATAAGTAGATAGAGAGCAAAGACATAAATAAGTAAACATACATGCTTTTAGATTATGTATTTACTGTGAGCCAGAAATTCACATTACATTATGGATATCAAGCTCATAAATTTTAGCTGTTTTCTCTGAAGTTATCGCTATCTAGTTATTAGACAGAGGAATTGAAAAAATATTTAAAATCAGAATTAACATAATGATATAATTCTACAGTGGTTAAAAGAAAGTGTCACAATCAGTTTGCAGATAAAGTTCTGTGAAAGAAATAGCATTCAATATACTCTTTAAAAAAATGAATAGAATCTTAAAAGGCTAAAAGGAATAGTAAATTAATGCATTGCCAAGTTCATTAATGTATTTATTCAGTAAATATATATTGATCACTTATATTACGGACAGTTCTCTAAGCATTCAGAATACAGGTACGAAGAAGTTGGGCCTTACACTCAGTGATGTAAGATTTGGGTGAGAGAAGACATGATATTGACAAATGAATGAATGAATAATACTAAGTTGGTGCAAAAGTAATTGCAGTTTTTACCTTTGAAAGTAATGGCAAAAACAGCAATTACTTTTGCATCAACCACATATAATTTCAGACATTCATGTATCATTAGCTGAAGAAGCAGTACGAACATAATGGTTAAGAATTTGTGTTATGGTGTATTGTTAGTCAGGAAAAACCACTTCAGAGAACTAAATGTTATGGTGTCATCCATGGGAAAGTCTGAGGAAGATAAGTCATTATAATAAAAGGATATTTGCACATGTATGTTTATAGCAGCACAATTCACAATTGCAAAAACGTGCAACCAACAAAAATGCCTATCAATCAACTAGTGGATAAAGACACTGCTGTACACACACACACACACACACACACACACACACACACACACACACACATATATGACGGAATACTACTCAGCCATAAAAAGGAATGAATTAATGGCATTTGCAGCAACCTGGATGAGATTGGAGACTATTATTCTAAGTGAAGTAACTCAGGAATGGAAAACCAAACATTGTATGTTCTCACTCATAAGTAGGAGCTAAGCTAAGAGGATGCAAAGGCATAAGAATGACACAATGGACTTTGGGGATTCAGGGGGAAATGGTGGGAAGGGGGTGAGGAATAAAAGACTACAAATAGGGGGCAGTGTATACTGCTTGAATGATGGGTGCACCAAAATTTCACAGACCACCACTAAAGAACTTACTCATATAACCAAACACCACCTGTTCTCTAATAATCTATGGAAATAAAAATTTTTAAAGAAAAAGCAATGGAGGCTAATTGCTGAAATTCAGTTATCTGGATAATCACAATATTCAAAAGAGTAGGTAATTCGGTTGTTTTTAGGTAGAGAGAATAGCATAATATGCATTTAACAACTGTTGCTCAATCTAGTGTATGGAGGATGGCATCTGAAAATAGGCACAGGCAATACCCTAAAATCTGTAGTCAGGTATTTGATATCTAGGAGCAATATCCATAAATAGTTTTCGTCAGTGCTTCAGAATGACTTTTAAAGGCAAAACTTTTGTCCCTGGTAGAAACAACCTTAAGGCTTATCAGACTGGGATGATTTTAGGTATATCACACTAATTGCATACTTATTACATTGTATTGTAATGGCTTGGTTGGGTCTTATTTACGGTGTTATCTATTATTTACTCTTGAATCTCTAATTCCCAGTATATCTCTGTCACAGTAGACACCTGATTTCTATTTGTTGAAAAGATCATTGAAGGCATACTTGAAAAGAACTAAGTCGGTTCCTATTCTTGGCAAATATGGGTAAGTGGAAATGAAATTCAGATAACTGAAGGATAGAGAGCCATCACTAAAAGTGTAGAGTGAAACTCAGATAATTAGTTTTAGAGTAATGCATTTGGGCCAGAATGACAGAAAAGCTAAGCTGGTACAGCACAATACAGAGGGATCTAGCACCAACAACTAGATTTTCAGCCCCAAAGTGACTTGTGTCACTTCTACTCCTAAAAATTCTTTGTACAGAAGTGGGCACATGGCTCCACTCAACCATTGGAGACCACAGAATGTGATTCAAACATGCACAGGAGGAAAGAGGGTAGTTAAAAGATGAGATTCATTTTATCTGATTCCAGGTAAATATGAAATGTATAGAATAAATAAGACTTTATCTTAGGAGATCAGTGAGATCTATCATGTAAGAAGCTAGAGAACTCAGAAAATGTAAAACTAAGGTGTTGGTGAAGGATTAGTGCATACACAACTATTTCAAAATTAGTTCAGTTGCTGAAACATATCAATGTCTTTAATCTATTTATGCTGTGGCAACAGACCAACCAAGTTCAAATCTCGGTGGCCTAAAACAAATTTCAAATCTCAGTGATGTAACACAATCAAAGTTTATTTCTTGCTCATGCTTTGTGTTCATACTGGGTCAGCAAAAGCCTCTTGGTTCATAGTTGTCCTTCAGGAGTCCATTCTGTCTAAGCAGTCACTATTTCAATTGTTGCCAGTTACTTTGACAGAGAGAAAGGAGTTGCAGGATCTTGCATCAACAGCTAAATTCTCAACCCAAAAGTGACTTGTGTCACTTCCACTCACAATTCTTTGTATCGAAGTGGGCACATGACTTACTCAACCACTGGAGACCACAGAGCATTATTCAAATATGTGCATGGGAGTAGAATGGCCATGACGTGGTAATCAGCCGTGATAAATACAAAAGAAGTATATTGTGAAATGCTAATCTACTACATAGAATTGTTTTCATGTTTCTTTTTCAACAGTGTTGGCCTATTTAAGTTCAAATAATTTCTACATAATATCAACAAACAGCAATCAACATTTTAAAAGTGATACTTTAAGAAAAGTAACATAACCATTTCTGTTGGGTTCCTTACCACACTTCCTCCCAAACAGTTTTAGTGCTATTCTTGGGTTCAAAAACTGGAACAGTTACTTTGGGTCATACGGTTTGGAAGGATCTTCTGTACAGGAAAGGTTAAAAAGCATAAGGGAAAATCGGTAGTAATTTCTCACTTTGCCAAACTCTTTTCTTTACTTCACTTTGAGGATGTATCACTTCGTACCTGAGATTTTACTGATTTTGACCTGCTATACTTTCTCTATATTTCTAATACTTTTCATTTATAACTTACTTATAATAGAGTTTTACTTATAGAGTTATTAATTTATGTATTATTACATGCCTACAATATTTGTATATTTTTCACATACAGATACAAGAACTTAAATTTCAGATTTTTCTCCATCCTTTCTCATAGCTGTGACTTTCTTTTTTTTTTTTTTTTCCTAGCAAGTACCTGTGATACTTGGGGAAAAATTACTTCTCTGTCTGGATAAATATGCAGATTATTTTCATTAGTAACATTATATTTCCTTACACATTATGATATTTCTGAACTCAAGACTTAAAGCTATATTCTCTATGTCCTTTTACATTCTGCTGTAAAGGTTATAATGTAAAACATGTTACTGTGTTTACTTCTTTTGAAACTGAAAGAACCATTATTTTGTCTCTCCTATAAACCGAAGTGTGGCCGGGCCCAGTGGCTCACGCCTGTAAACCCAGCACTTTGGGAGGCCGAGACGGGTGGATCACTAGGTCAGGAGATGGAGACCATCCTGGCTAACACGGTGAAACCCTGTCTCTATTAAAAACACAAAAATTAGCCAGGTGTGGTGGCGGGCACCTGTAGTCCCAGCTACTCTGGAGGCTGAGGCAGGAGAATGGCGTGAACCCGGGAGGCGGAGCTTGCAGTGAGCTGAGATCGCGCCACTGCACTCCAGCCTGGGCGACAGAGCGAGACTCCATTTCAAAAAAACAAAACAAAACAAAACAAAAATTCAGAAGTGTAAGTAAAATGGTGACGGCAACTAATATGAACAGGGACATTAGATTCTAAAAAATAATTAACATACATTTTTTAGATGTTGAAATAGCTGATATCGAAACGCTTTTAAGACCAACTCCCATACCATATGTGTTTTATGCATTTGCTTAATACTTTAAATTCAACAATAGATATTACAGATTTCCAACATAAATCTATTCATCAGCAGCACGTATTGTAATCATTGTGGGCAAATATATAACTCAAGTTGTGAGAACTGAAATTCTCATATGCAATACCAACATAGGCCAATAGATGCCCTAAGAGCTCTCTTAAACACAAGCACTCTAAGAACGTAAGTTGTCTGTCTGAGCATCAGCAAGTCTCATGCTTTTTTTTTTTAAAGTTCAATTAAGAAATAGCATCATAGTTTTAGATTCCAAAGAATCTTAATATTACCGAACTTTAAACTGCCTCACGAAGTACTAATTTCTATTCTATTAAAGTAATAGAAAAAAGAAAGGAAAACTCAATGAATTGATTTAAAAATCTATTAATACAATGAAGGTAACAATATATCTGATTCACATAATTGATTATTTCTAATTTTATAAATGCAGCCAACAATATTATTTATTACTGTGGTACATAAATGTAATTCTAGGGTTAATTTAATCACAGAAGCAGATCAGATTGTGTTGTAAAGTATTTCTTGAATTAGCTGATACTTTTAGGGTTTCCTGCTTTTACTATAATTTCAATTTTTTTTCTACAATATTGCTATTAGTATAGGGTACTTAAAGGCTTATTAATGGATGATATTTTAATTATGGTTACTACTTCTAGATTTTTTTAACACCGAAGTTAATTCATAGAAAATAAAGGATACTTAAATATGTTTGTTATATAAATCTAGCAAAATAAAACTATGTTCTTATCTCGCCAAGTTTAGTTTATAAAAAATTACATTCAGATGCTTTTTCCTAAGCCAAGGAAAAAATGATTTACTTATAGGTTTATGTCCACATTTAACATCCCTAAGGAGGATAGCTCAAATTGTGAAGATACATAGCTCTATAATAACAATTTTTAATTCTTATTTAATTATACTTACTAAATTTTTAAATCAATTCATCATTTCAATCTATACTTTTATAGAGCAATATTTTTTGAATCCATTCATATGAGCTCGAAAACTCTGTGCATTGACACGTTGATAGATGCTTGCTCTTATTGAAAGTTAATTCCCATTGTTTACTAGTGTGGGAAAATCAAACATTTTTACCAAGCCAAAACAGAAAGGCAAAATACAGCTTTAGGGGGAAACTCATAGCAGTATTACTTGGAAAGCAGGATGAGGGTGTCTGTGAAGTTGACAACTAAATAAAAAAAATACGAAAATGCATAAAAACTAGAATAGTTAACACAAACCTGAGTCTGCTAAATCTGTATGTTAATGTTCATTCCCCATGATGTGGCTATATAAAGAGCGGGTTTTAATTCCCTTCAATTGAGAAGATGAAACTTATAACATTAATAATCTATATTTATCATGGAGAATAAAATAGGTTTATTTGGCTTTGCACCCTCAGCATTCATGGTACATCCTTTGATTATGCAGTGGTTCTTTAAGTGGCCAGTTACTATAATTCTGAGTTCATTTTGACCCCAAATTATTGATGACAATGAGCAAATCTTTTATTTAAGGCCAAACCTAGGTTTCTGTATTAAATGTGGTAGGTTTCAGCTTTCCAGTTAAGCAGCATTTATTAAACCATGTTCTGTCTTTCTCCAATTAATATTACCTCAATAAATATTGATATCAAACAATTTCTTAAACCTATAACTTTTATTCATACTATACATTTATCCAGGTTCTTGTAGAATTTAAGAAGCCTGTTTACACAGTGAGAATTAAAGTTTATATGTGCATTAATCTGATAATTTGAGGGGTAGAATAGCAAAAAGTTATAGTCAGCTTTTAGCCAGTATTTCTGAAAAAGTCCGCCACTCCTTTATGAAATGTGCCATTTTGATGGTGGATTTATAATTACAAATGATAAAAATTGTCTCTCTTAGTGTATCTTTCTGTGTGTTAATGTAAATACTAGCAAGAAAAGACCTTTCACAGTAGTCTTGATTAAATTTAACAATCTTATCCAAAGCCACCAAAATGCCTATGCTATGATATATAATAGAGAAAATGAAAAACAACATAATCTCAATTTTAACATATATTGAGATTTCAAATAATTCCAATGAAACTAATTGAGATTTAAAATTAAACTGATATAATCTCATGAAAATTGTAATTGCTGCTTAGATAAAATACGTGTGTGTGCATAATGAAATAGTGTTCTTTAATTTGCGGGTTTATTTATTAGTAGTGAGTTTTTAATTCATATATCTTAAATTTTATTTCCATAATTTTAAGAAAACATATTTGAAAATTCTCTTTAGTATATCCTACCCACATAAACACACACACACACACACACACACATGCACACATATAAATTTGTTTAAGGTCACAATTTGGAATTAGCTAAGAAATTTAATATAAATATATTGTGTCAATATTTCTTTCAATAACAAAATACTGTATTTAAATGCCCTTTACCACAGTAGACATATACCTAATAGACATTTTAAATAGAACATTACAATGAAATAAAACATATGTGGAGAGCACAAAAGGGCCCAAGGGAGCAAGAGATAGAAAGTAAGAAAGTAATGGAAGTAAAGAAGATGCCATATATATATATATATATATATATATATATATATATATATATATGCTCTTTTTTGTGTATATGCTGTTTGTATTTATATATGCTCTTTCTTTCTATTATATATTTTTATATATATGCTCTTTCTTTTTAACCTTTTTATAGTGATTCCAAATTATATATATATATAAAATAGGTTGAAGTCTAATATAAAATTACAGAATGACAAGCATGTAATGAATTTTGGAGATAACAGGATAACCTATATATTTTACAAATGATGTGTGTGATGAAAAGGTTTAAATAACTTGCCCTCAGTCACATTGCCATTTAGGACAGTACAAAACCAAGAATCCGCTAGGAGGATATTCTCAATGCTTTTCTGCATGTATTCATCTTTGTTCATGCTTCCCAAAATAGCTCTTTTCCTTTTTTTTTCTTTTCTTTCTTTCTTTCTTCTGTCCCTCTTTTTAAAGACAGTGAAAAAATGAGAAAATGATTTGGCTTTCCTTTCCATCTTTCAAAGGAAGGTTTGTTTTCTAGTTTTATTCCCTCAGGTTTTTCAATAATATTATGACTGCTTTAATTGAATTCATAGTCCAAAACATTATGATCACTGGAGTAAACTGAAAAATTATGTCCATTATACAAACAACATAGGTCTTGGTGGAATTTTATAAGCATACATCATGTACTCTCTATATTGCTAAAGTGAACTATCAAGATTTCTCTGACATTTCAGCACATTGGCATGAAGCAGACCAAAGTGTGCTATGCGATGTTCCCAAAAGAAGCATATCATGTGCGCCGTAGCCAGCCTAAGTTCAAGTTATACAGTTGGCTCCATTGTAATTGTAATTGTGCAACACCCATCTGCCCCCACAGATCATCTTTCCTGACATATCATGGTGTCTGCCACCTTTATTAAAATGAC
Source organism: Homo sapiens (assembly GCF_000001405.40). NCBI lineage: Eukaryota > Metazoa > Chordata > Mammalia > Primates > Hominidae > Homo > Homo sapiens. Next base: position 162,165,831 of record NC_000004.12, on the reverse strand, counting down.
TTTGGGAATTGAAGAACTCATAATACATGCATGTATGGGTATATCTGTGCAAAAAGTCATGGCACTTGACACTTACAAATGCAAAATCAGTAGTTGTCTGAGAAAACAAAAACATTGCAGATTACCCAAAATGCAAAACTTGTAGTCAAGGTGTGTTGGAGAAATAGTACTGGGGATTGTACGTTCAGAAAAGAAATGGGCAATTTCTGGAATAAAGCCATAGAGAAAGTTTTATGTGGGTGTGAATCAGAATAAAAAAATGTTCCTTCCCTCAAGCAAAAACACCATAGTTTTTTCCTCTGTTATTTCTTCTTTTTTAAGTAACTAGAAAGAAGCAGTTTGGGGGTATGGGTCCACAAAGTAAATAGACTTCCTCAAATAACTTCTTAATATTAGAGAAAATAAAATGCATTATTTTTCCTGATGGGGAAATAAGTAAGTGTATTCCTTTGATTAGAGTCCCTGAAAAATGCTTGTGAGTGGATCCAGTGCTAGATGATATCAGACTCCTGGCATATGATGACACATATCAGTGTGTATGCATTCTGATGGAAAGCAATGTGTGAAATGCTATGACATTATTTGAATAAACAACCTTTTTTATTAAACATGCTTTATCCAACTTAAGAAAATTTAAGCTTAGTTTTAGATACCCACTTCTCTGTCCAAGTAAGTCATGATAGCTGTAGGTGGGACATGTGCATGGAATGTGAATAATCACCCTTCTGGATGATTGATTGCTTCAGTTCACTGAAAGTGTTTGTTTACAAGTTTAAGCAGTCTGTGGAATTTGGCATGACAGGCCCCCTTTCTCTTGCCTTCAAGGAGGCTAGAGCTTCACTGGGACAAGAAATATCACAAATACTGAGAGAATTGCTAAAGGCTATGTAAAGCTTCCAGCATAGCCCATCTTTCATAGAAATATTGATATAGTAGACATAATAAATATTGCATAACCTTCATAATTTTGGCAGTGGAAGTTGAAGCTGATAACTTTCACTTTTTATTATTTAATTTTTTTCCCTCTGGAATCTCCAAGTCTATACAGTTTGAGGATTTGTTTAAATCATGAGAATGAATAAGGAAGGTTCTGTAGGTTTTATAGGAACGCATATGAAGTATAATATATACTATGGAGCACTCGTATTTTTTTTCCTTAAGATTCTGTTTAGAAATGATGGTTAGCGCTGCAAGCTTTCACGTTTTCTCTCAGTGCTCAGAATTTTTTTTTTTTTCTTCCAGGCAAGTTTCTGCAGCAGCGACTCCCTCCAGAGGCTCCGTGAACCGAGGGAAGGGAGTAGGAACACCAAATACGGATCCGTTCAAATAACCAAATGGCAGGGAGAGGCAGCAAAGTTTGGGCAGGAAGATGAAAAGGATTGGAGATGTTTTCAAGAATGGTTGAATAGATTCATTCTATTTCTCCGTCTCCTCCCCACCCGCCTCCCACTCGGTCCTCTCCGTGCTCCACTGCCCCCTCTCTCCGCCCCGTCTTCCTTCCAGAGCTGTGCCCGCAGCGATCTTAGAGTGCGCAGAAACGGCAGTCCCCGCGAAGGCAAAGGCTCCAGCACCGTCAAAGCGTTTAGTTTCTACTGGACTGGTTGAGAATACATCCTGAAGTCCAAAGATGCCCACGCTGACGTTAAGCCTGAATTTTGTTGCCCCGATTGCCGCAGCTGACTCTAGCAGAAGCCCAGTCAAGGGGGCGGCCCCTCACCTCTCGGCGAGTTGATATGCAAAATAGTTACGTCAGATGGTGGGGGCGGGGCACCCCCGGGTTGAGTGGCAGCAGCTCCTGCCTAGGGAGGAGGAGCGAGAATCAGCCTGGTTCAGTGACTGAGACAAACTGGAGGTGAAAGGAGCTGGTACTGTCCACTGTGCTGTCGGTGCTGAACCTGAGACGCGAGCGGACCAGTTGCTCCAGCACCTGAAGGCAACGCCCTCTTGCACCCTCTGTGCCCTGTGGGACCCGCTTCACCAACAGGACCCATATCAACTTGACAAAGGAGTGTGGTATCGGACGTGGGAGAGAGTCCTCTGTTTGCCACCTGGGCGCTCATTCAGGCGTGACTTTGGAGATTTCTATAGTTTTAGACCAAACTATTTTTTTTTCCCCAGCTAAGACGATCTTTTGAGAGTTTTTTTTTTTTATTGTGATTTATATTTCCACAGCGTTTAGGAATCTTTCTGGGGGACTTTTGTGACTGTTAAAATAAGGTAAGAAAAATAATATTGTTATAAATGATTACAAGTGGGGGAGAAATACAGACTGCCATACAAAAATTTAAAAACAAGTTATGCTTATTTTTATAATTTGAAACTGGACTTTTGGCAATGATTACAAAAATATTTTAATAATTACTATTATTATTATTATTATTATTATTATTATTACAAGACAATCTGTTAGTGATTATGCACTAAATTCTAGAGGGGAAGTTGAGAGCTTTGCTTTTTGTGAAGTTGATGTCATTATGTTATATCTTGCTTTATAAATATAAATATTTTAGAGCAATACTTTCAGCAGGGTTCAAAGGATAGGAACCATTCCAGGAAACCCCCCAAATATATTAGCAAATGATGTTAAATAAATCAACCAACAAGTTGTTTAGAACAAATATAATCAAATAATTATTTGAATGGACTAGTCTCTGGTTAATCATCAATATTATTCCTATATCTAAAGCATAGACTTCAAAGTGCAGAGCTCTCTTAACATTTTTTGGAAGGGAGGAGGTAGGTATAGAAACATTTACATCATGCTGGGTCCATTTAGATGTGTTGTTATGCAGTAGATCCAAATAAAACTTGTGAAACTCAGTCTCTGAGCATTCCACACCCCAAGGTCATGTGTATTTCCAAGTTGGGGGCTGTTTGTTCTGCTGTTGACTAGCAAATGTCATCCCCTTGCAACCCCCTCAGGTTAGAGGTGGATGTAAATGGGAAGTTCTGATTTAATAATACAGTATTCGCTTGTATTATAGTCGCTTGTGCTGTTGGTAATTGAATGGAACTGGGAAGTGTGGGCTGAGAAAATGTCTCACTATTTCAGCAATGTTTAACCTCTTGCATGCTTAACAGAGAGCTTTTCTTTACTTAGAAGAATTTTCTTTTGAAGCTATGTTCCTTTTATCAATTGGCAGTGTGTTCTGAGTGTGTACAGAGAAAGAATTCAGTGTGGAAAACGACTGAACAATACTTCTCATAGTGAGCAATTATTAAATGATAGAAGTTATCCTGTGCTCTTTGTATTTCTTATTACTATTCATGACTTTGACAGGTGTGATGGTTTGCCTGATAAATGGAATTGTGGTCTCTCATTTATGTCATTTAGTAACATTAGATTAAGTATAAATGATGCCTGGAAAAGGACGGGGGTGGGGGATATTTCCTTTACATTCCAGAGAGAGAGAGTTTAGGTTGCAAGTAGATGTCCAATATTAATAGGAATGAGTTAAATATAAAGCTGTTTCGTACTTAATAAGTATTATTCAACTGAATAGAGCTATGCTTTTCAGCAGGCGTACACTAAGTTAGGTTTAAATATTTGTATATTTTAAAATATAAAATTTCTACTCTAGTTGCATTAGAGTTACTAGGATGAAGTTTAGCTTTAGAATTTTATGATTTAAACTAAATCCTCTAGGTAGAGATTTTTCATTGTATTTACTACACAGCCCTACAAGAGAGTGATTGTCACAAGCAATGCATATTGTTGCAAATACTAAAGGTCAAATGTAAATCTTTTGAAGTTGTTCACATGTTTTACCCTAAACAGATATTCTTTGTAGGATTCATGTCAGTCATGTGATCTTAAATTAAATATTCATACAAATTTTGAAAGCCTGGATTGGGTAGAGGGGCAAAAAAGAATATATAAAACACTGAGCTAGGAAGTTTATACAACATAATCTCCTTTAAATACACAGAGAATCATTCTTTCCACTACAAATTTTGAAATGTTCTTGTTAAAACTAATTATGTTGGTATAAATATTTAGGCTGTGAAATTTCTAACAGAATTATGGCTTATTTTATTTTCAATTTTATTTATTATCTTGAAACATGAATACATATCTTAATTTTATAACTTATTTGAAAGGCATACTATATATAAACATTATATTTACTCAAAATGTACCTAAGTGTGTCATTGACTTCCATTTGCACAAAGTTTTCCAAGATGTATGTCTTTATTCAAGTATAAATATTTACCTTGAACTACCAATATCTGGAATTCTTTAAGATGAAATTTAATGTTTCATCTAACAATAACATATTTAAACACTGAAGTCAAACTATGCTACTGGCAATAATAACCAAAGGTTGACTCAGTGAGATTGCAAATGTAAAACATTAGCTGCATTTTTTTTTCTGATTTTTCTACACTTTTAGCTTTTGCATCTTAGTCCTGAAATAAGGTAAAATTAGATTCCCATCATAAGCCCAAATTTAGCATATAGGGGACACTACTTAAATGCAGAATAACATTTCCACTGAAACTAATCAAATTGCCAACTTTGAAGACACTTATGAAAGATATTCAAATGTGGTGGCCCCTTATTAAGTCTTTGATCCACAAAGAAATGACCGTATTTTGGAGTTACAATGAATTCATGTAAAATGTAAAGGATTATTCAGTAACACAACACTGGATGTCTTGTTAAGACATTAACTCATTTCATTACAGACACACTGCAAATATATACAGCACCGTTTGCAGAAAAGTGATGAACTTCATAAAGTCTACAGAAAATTATCAAAATAATTTAATTATATATTACATGACGTGCTCAATTTGTCTTTTTAAATTGTTTCTCAACCTCTTGAGGGTTATCGATCAAACTAAAAATTGAGTCAAAAATGAAATTTATAGATAGATTATTTCTTCTTACAAATAAAATGCATTCCTGTTTATGTTTTGTGAGATTTAAGATAAGGGTGAATCAATTTGGAATTTTTATTATCAAGGCTGTATATTGCTTGCTTGCTTTTTTTTTGTTTTGTTTTGTTTTCTAGTTACTAACATGGGCGATAGAAAAATACAAGTCATAATAAATCTGAAATACTCTAAAAAGTTTGAAAAAAATAAAAATACCTTTTAAAATAATATTTAAGAAGTTATTTGCCTAATAATTTGGATAGTTTTCTTTGAATAATGACCATTTAAAAATAATATTTAAAGCTCATTTATCAATAAGACCCAAAGGCCTTGAATGACATCTTTCTATTAGTTCTTCATATTTGCCCAAAATTGACATAGTATCTCTCGTATTTTTTACTACTTAATATATTATGAAGCTCAAAAGACTCTTGTGAACTAATAAACTAGAAAAAAATATTTCCTGTTGTTAGAGTAGTTCTAAGAGTCAAGTGACCAATTATCCTTTACCAAACAGAGTTAATCACCTTCTGCTTCAACGCCTCCAAAATCTTTTGGGTATATCCTACTTTAGGTTAGCTGTAGAATCCCTTGTGGAAATATCCTAATTTTCCAATTAAATTGGTAACCATACAGTAAAGCAATTAGTCCCCCTGTGTTTTAAATCACCTTAGTATTGATGAATTGATATTATTATAATGGATGGGACCATGTTTTGATAAACTCAGAGTTCCAATGGGTTTTCTGAAAGAGGATGAATTAAATAATAGTATAAGTAATTGAGACAATTAGAATGTATATACGTGTGTATGAATTTATGTGTGTACATATATATTTACACATATATGTATATACACATATATATGTAAATTCTACTCTAGAATAAACATGCAAGGGCATGGCCTAGAACATGCAAGTTAAAGACATGCTAGCTATTACAAAATAATTTAGATAATAAGCTGTAATACAATATATAACTTTTAATGGCAATTTTGTCTTCTAATTACTGTTATTTTTTATTTCGGCTAGAATGCTTGTGCACATACCAGTTTTTTTGGCATTAAAATGACATTTAGAACCTCTCATGCTGATTGGCAAGGCAAGGAACAATTGAAAATGAATATTTGCCAGGAATAAAAAACAAAATGGATGTGTGCATAATGAAGAGTTTATAGCACCACATTAATTATTTAAAAATATGAGTTCTGATAAAGGATTTGGAAATTACAATCTATAAAAGTAAAACATCAAGTTTACTTCCTACAAATCTTCAGATAATAAGCCATGCACCTCTGTAGAACACAGCCTGGATATCCCTGCGCATAACATATTTTTATTCCTTGTGTACTAATGTTTTCACACATAAATGTGGTAAAATAAGAGAACAGCTTCACTCTGAACTTTCTTGGTTTAAAATCAAGTAATTAATATTAATTTAATGTGGCTTTTGGTATTAAATTACATACATCTCTAAAGCAAAGTGGTTGCTTAGTGAGTTCATTTGTATGTCAATACATAGAATATTATTTCAACTCATAACTAGTTCATTGCACAAGTAACAATTCCAAAGCAAAAGATTTAAAAATACTTCTTCATTGAGTTGTATTTAAATATACATTGTAATAGAGAAACTTACTTTACTGATGTATTTTCTCTGTGAATGTAGCACCAAGGTAGCAATTAAGACATACATACAGTAGCAATTAAAACATACACACCTGAACTATATTCCCCAAAGATGATGATGAAATGGAAATAATTTACCTTTTGTAGTTGGACCACTAGATATTGTTTTTTTGTCTCTTGAGTTATTATTATTTTTAAAATTCCAAAACCCTAAAAGTAAATGTCCTTACATGAAAACACAAATGCCTACCTGCCCTCTGTAGTTACATGTCCCTTTTCTCAAAGCCACAGCAATTGCTGTGACTCTACTGTCAATCAGACTCTGAGCTGCCTCACTTAGGATTATGGAATCTGGCTCTTCATATTTCTAAAGAAAAAGAAGCAGTGAGTTGGTACTAGTAAAGACATTTGTTGCTTCATAATGGAGTGTCTATTGGTATCATTTGGTCTTTGATCCTGAATTTGCTTTTTCATCTGGGAAAAGGAATAAGATAGACATAGATACCATTCAAAATATTAATAGGTATTCATATATATTTTATTGATATCAGGCCATAAACCCATATTAAGTAATGTAACATTTGCATGGCTTTGTAAAGATTGATACTATTGAATTCTTAATTACTCATATGAATATAAGAAAGCAGAAATTCACATCAAATCTCCATACCACTGTATCCTATGGTCACACAACTAGGAATAGATGAATTAGGGAATCAAACCAAGTTTACATGTCTAGTACCTCTATTTAGGTCAAAAGTCCAGTAACTAGCTATATCATTTTCAAAACTAATCATTTTTACTATGATAATCTCTTTACTATATGTAAATGCCTCTTATTATTTCCCCAAGACTATTCCTTAATTATTAAGTCATTGAAATTATTTTATAGCGTATATTCTTTAGTATACACACTTTAGAATACATAATACCAAAGACCTTAAGGGGTTTTCCCTCTGTATTTAATGTTATAAAGATGCTACATTAATTGACCTCATAGAATATTCAAAATTTTAGCAGCAGCCAGTGTTTCCCTTGGTGCCTCAAACAGCATAAGAAACAACAGAATAGAGTAGATAATGTTTCCTAGGAGTTCAAGTTGTTTTTCTTTTTCCCTTAAAAGTCCTACTGGAGATGAAATTCAAACACTTGGTGAAATTTAGACCATTTCAAGCAATCAGCATTTGTGGTATCAACTGCTACTCATACGTAATCCTTCAGATTACTTAGCTACTAAAGTTTTGAACAGTCTGTGAGATTAAATCAAGATTAAATAAAATAATCAAAACAAATGATTAGCTTTGAGGCACAGCACTAAGGAGGTAATCTAAGGCGGGCTCTTGAAGGCTTTGGAAACATTAAATACTTTATTCTATTGTTTCTATCTAATTGCATTTGATGTAAAGGGAAATACTGGCCACTAGCTGTTGCTCTTTGTTTTCATATAGCATTTAGGGTGACTGAGAAAGAGAAGAGGTGACTGCTGTTAGCAGTAATTATAACACAGCTCCCAGGTGTGCCAGAAAGTTGCATCAGACTCCCTACTGAATCCCCATTATACAAGTTTTTGGTTGTCTTTATTAAGTGGATCCCAAAGGAGATAGAAAAGTTTGATTTTCTTAAGAATGTTTAACTTTAAAGTGGAAAGCGTATAGGGCCTTTTATTTTATATTTTACATATTGGTTAACAATAATCAATGTTTCACTTTTGACAAGAAGTCTGGCATAAATGTTTTTAATCTTGGAATTTTTACGAGATTGTGTATACCATTCGTGTAACTCATTGTTCCTGATTCTCTGTGGAGCCCTAGGAAGTCTATTCACTCCAGCAGCTACAATTATCATCTCTTCACAGATATCCTCCAAATCTGTAGCTGTGACCCAGATTTGAAGTCCATTAATGTATTTACAAAGGTCTGCTGGACATTTTAACTCTGATTTCATGGTGACAGCACAAACCCCATGAACTCATGATCTCATCCCTAACATGATCCCCATTCTATTTTTTTTCTGGCAGTCAGTTGATGACAAATTCTCCTTCAATTTACTTTGGTCTAAAAATTTATAAATATTTAAAAATTACATTGTTCTTCCTATACAATACGCAGCAGGTACACAACTTTTACATCCCTCACTTTATCATGTAGCTTTGTCTGATTCCCTATTCTCTATTTTTCTCTTATCATTTTTACCTTGACCCAGACTGTCCAAACTGAGACAAAATTATTTTGACATTCTTTGCACTAGTCTCCTTATTCTTGTTTCTTCCTGCTGTAATAATGAGACAAAATTTCTGATGATTCATAAAATCCTGTGCATAGTCTTAAGCATTTATAAACACAGTTTCATTTTATATGCATAACAGTTTATAATGTAGATATAGGGAAACCATCTTTTTTTAAAAAAAGTTAAATTATTTTTCAACTGTTATTTTAGATTCAGGGGATATATGTGCATGCTTGTTACCTGGATATATTCCCTGATGCTGAGGTCTGGGGTATGAGTGATCCCACCACCCAGGTACTGAGCATAATACCCAATAATTAGTTTTTCAGCCTTTGCCTCCCTCCCGCCTCTCCACTCTTGTAGACTCCAGTGCTTGCTATTGTCATCCTTATGTCCATGTATATACAATATTTAGCTCCCACTTATAACTGAGAACATGGGATACTTGGTTTTCTGTTCCTGTGTTAATTTGCTTAGGATAATGGTCTCCAGCTGCACCCACATTGCTGCACAGGACATGATCTTATCCTTCTTTATGGCTGTGTAGTATTACATGGTGTATGTGTACCACGTTTTCTTCATCCAATCTACCATTGATAAACACCTAGGTTGAATCCATGTCTTTGCTATAGTGAATGGTGCTGCAATGAGCATGCAAGTCCATGTATGTTTTTTGTAGAATGATTAATTTTCTTGTGGCTATCTACCCAGTAATCGCATTATTGGGTCAAATAGTATTTCAGTTTTAAGTTATTTGAGAAATCTCCAAACTGCTTTCTTCAGTGGCTGAAGTAATCTATATTCCCACCAATAGCATATAAGATTTGCCTTTTCTCTGCAGCCTCACCAGTATCTGTTGTTTTTTGACTTTTTAATCATAACCATTCTGACTGGTGCGAGATGGTGTCTTACTGTGGTTTGATTTGCATGTTTCTGATGATTGATTTGTGACGTGGAGCATTTTTTCATGTTTGTATGTCTTCTGAAACCAAGTCTTAAGGTATTGCCCACAGAGCTGAGACTTAGACCAAGTTTTGTCTGAAGTCAACTGCATGATCAGATCCTACTCTTTATGTCCTGCTGTTACAGATTTCATATCTTCTCTGGATTTCTCTTGATTAAAATATGCTTTAAAATGCCACTGTGTTCAGAAATCATCATTAGATCTCTAATTTTTACATTAAGTTGACACTCTCTGCTGCTTTAAAGATTCTTCTAATTGGTTCTACACCCTGCAAGTAGTCAGCCTGCTTTTCCATTTTCTGATATGTGAAATGCACACATGCAAAACAAAGATAAGTTAAAATCTAAACCATCACATAGTTCCTTACCTCTGTATAAACACAATGTCCTGTCTGGACTGTTGTACTTTCAAGAATCCCTGTTTAGGTCCCACTCTTCTGCATTCAGTCAAAAGTTCTTATAGTTTAAGAGCATACTGTGCTCCCATGTGATTTTCAGAGTTGTTGCAGTTTTTGTTGCAGTAAATGTCATGTCAGTGTCACTTTGGATCTCATCAAAATGTTCATGTTTTTAAAACATATGTATGTTTTCTGTTGTGACATACAAATTATCACAGACTTAGCCACATAAACATTTATTATCTCCGGATTTCCATGAACTGTGAGTCTGGGTACAGGTGAGCTGGCTCCTCTGATCAGGACCTCACCGTCAAGGTTTCTGCCAGCCCTGGGTTTTTATTTGAGGCTTGAGATTCTCCAAGATCACCTAACAGTTGGCTGGATTTGTTTCTTTGCGGCTCAGAACTCATGGAGACTTGCCTCTTCAAGGTCGGCAGAAGAATTAATCTGACTGCTTCTGCTTCTGACCTCTAACCCGGCTTTTAAAGGCTCACTTATCCAGTCAGGGCCAGCTAGGGTAATCTCCCTTTTGATATACATTTAATTACATCTTTAAATCCCTTCCTTTTTGCCATATAATGTGACTACAAGAGCAATAGCACATTACCTTTGCCATGGTCTATTGGTCAAAAGCAAGTTATAGGTCCTGCCTACACACAAGGTGAGGTGATTATACAAGAGTGGGTGTCACTGGGATTCAGGTAGTGTTCTGCCTACTGTACCTGGTTGAAGTTTTACTTAAACCTTGGTCTTTATTGCTTGAATGCCACTGGGCTTTTCTTTCTAACCCTAAATTTATCACCTAAACTGTGTAGTAGACAGTCTGGAGTGGCTTTTGGATTCGTTAATATGTCGTAGGCTGTTCTTCCTAATTAAATCTTTTATAGGAAGAAGCCTAGAAACTTCTTCTGTGTGTAAAAAAAAACCTGCATAGTTTACAATTACTTCATATATATATAAATTAATTGATCCACATTGGATTTTATTCTCTTTTTATGCTTGCATTTGTTACATAATGCTTTGTACATTTAGGACTATAATAGATTTATAATGATGGATTTGCTTAATGTTTTTTGATATTAGAGTTTGGTCATCTGCTGTGTTTTCCCATTTTTAACTTTGGTCTCTGACTGAGAACCACACAAAGGATATTTTATTATGAACTTATTGCATGCAACATGGACTATTTTCATGCAAATCAGAAACTTGTATTTAACATTATATTTATGCTCTTTTATAGATAACATAGTAATTATGTAGAAAGTGAACATGATATTTTACACTTGCTATTTAGGAAAAGTGCAAGAAATATACTTTAGATTTACTTTAAAAGAAAAACTTCAACATTTGAAAAAATGTCATGTTCATAAGATCTTCAACAAAAGATTTACATGCTATGGATACTTTTTTCTTGTTTATGTAGTCTAAAGATTAGTAAATTATTGGGCAATGATTTTTACTAACATTAATTACACAGAAAAAAGCCATTGCACTTGCATCTTTTATATACAATTAAAACAATTTTATTTTGACAAAAGCTAAATAAAGATAACTAACTAAAAGGTAAATTCGATTTTTCATTCTTTTATAAGCAATACTTTAAAAAATATTATTGAGATTATAGCTATTTTGGCTGGGTGCAGTGGCTCAAGCCTGTAATCCCAGCACTTTGGGAGGCCGAAGCGAGTGGATCACCCGAGATCAGGAGTTCAAGACCAGCCTGGCCAACCTAGTGAAACCCCATCTCTACTAAAAATACAAAAAATTAGCTGGGCATGGTGGCAGGCACCTGTAATCCCAGCTACTCGGGAGGATCAGACAGGAGAATCACTTGAACCCAAGGGGTGGAGGTTGTGGTGAGCCGAGATCATGCTATTGCACTCCAGCCTGGGCAACAAGAGTGAAAGTCCGTCTAAAATAAATATAAATATATATATATACATATACATATATATGTATACATATAATATACATGTATATATACATGTATATTATTATATACATATATACATATATTATTATATACATATATAATATACATATATATTATTATATACATATATAATATACATATATTATATACATATATAATATACATATATTATTATATACATATATAATATACATATATATACACACACATATATATAGTTATTTTAAGAGAAATAAATTAGTTCAATAAATATATTAAATACCTGCTGTTTCAGGTACCCTTTCAGGTGCTGGGGATGGGTAGCAATGAGAGAGACAGAGTACCTGCCCTACCCTCTCTGTAGTAAGATAGACAATAAGCAAACTAATAAGGCCAAAGTGTAATATAATATCTGGCATTGATAAGTGTTCAGGTAAAAAGTAAAACAGGTAAAGTATTACTAAGGGATAAGAGTGCTACCTAAGATTGGAGTTATCATAGGTTCCATCTTCATGCCATTCTGAGGAACCCATTAAGTAATTTCTGATTGAAGTTAAGATTCCTTATCATTCTAAAAAGGGTATGTTTTTATCCATAATTATAACTGAGAAGACATGACATTAGTAAACCTCAGGGACTTTAACAAAGAGTTTATCATCCAGTAAGAAGTCAATACATTTAGGGTGGAAGAATGTTGAATACTGAACATCTACTCACAAAATAGAAGTTTATGATTATCAAGTATTGATGGGATATAATACCTTAAAATCCTCTTGAATGAACTTCAATTTGTAAAATTCTATTCAGTTTTAAATGACAAATTGTTGGCAAAAACCGGAAGGCACATATCATGAAAAAAGTAATTACTTTTTGTGGTTTTCTTGTTAATGAAAATTAGCTTTCATTTTTGTTTGGCACTACAATGTATTTGAAATATGTTGTCGGTTTTTTTTTTTCTTTCCAGTTTTAAACATACTATACAGAGCATGTTGCAACTAAATTCTGGGACTTAAAGCTAATTTCTGAGTATAAATTTAGACCCTTTTAGCATTGTGCAGTTTGTTTGTTCAGAACTTCACATTTTTTCATAGAAAATTTAAGTTCTCTAAAATGTATGTTCCTTTAAGGCAATGATTGAGTGAGCTGGTATTTATGTCAACGATTCATTATCCCAGACACTATGGCATTATTAGGGAAAGAGAAATGCTTACAACACTTTTTGGGTTTGTGCACATGCTTGAGAAACTACAGTGATTGTTTGTTATTATGAAATTGCTTTGTTTATTCAAATAGTGTGACATCATGGGACTATGTAGGGAAAAAAGCAAAAGAAATAATAGTAATAAAAATACATCTATACCTTTAGAAAATAAACGCAAAAATTAAATGCACAATATCTCAATCCTTTGGCAGAATATCAAGAGTTAGTGCGCTTACAAAGAAAATAAGACTTGAAAGAAGTGCGTGAATTGTGCCAAAGATTTTCCTGAATTATTTCCTTGGTGAGATTTCTCATAAAGCTATAATTAATTGGAGTAAAAATCATTAAAAACTGAAGAGAAAGTTTCTAGAAAATGCTTTGCATTTAAAGTCTACTTCTTTACAATTCATGACAACAACGATTTCAAATTAATACCCTCTGCAACTGTTTATTTTCTTTTAGCCAGTGCCCTGTTTCTCTACATGTCCTGAGGCCTGAGAAAGTCGAAGGGCTTTCATTCTGTTTGTTTCCCTGTCTGTGCACAAATAGTACAACTTAATTGATAATGTCTGTAGTCGGACTGTGTGCCCAGCTGTGAAAACTGCTCTGGATGCTACTCTACTGGACTTCTGGTTAATTATACATGTTTTGCTGAACACTTCGGTTAAATTAAAAACTGTCTAAAAATCAGTAGAGGGAGCTCAAGAAGGCATTAAGAATATTCTGATTCTGGCCTTCTAGTGCTGCTTTGTTTTGCCTCAAAAATAGTCTTCAGGTAGAGCAAATAAAGGTATTTTTAAATGCAAAATAACTTTTTGAAGTTGCAAAATTCGGAATTGTTTAAATATTTGAAGAAGCCACACTGTTTCTCTTGAAATTGCTGTGTCCTATTTATTATTGGCCTTAAATGGATTTGATTTATAAATGGTTAGGACACTATGGAAACCCTGCTGTGTGATACTCAGGCTTTTACTGCCCCAGTTTCTAGATCTTAACACTGGGCTCTTGATCCAGAAAATAGAATGTGACAAGATGCCAAGTATACAAGAGACTTCTGTAAAGCACCAGCAGGCTTAAATTAATCTGTGATAGTCATTAGAATATGGCAGGTCACATCCTAAAATTTTGCTGTTTAGCTCAACTACAATGGACTTAAACATCATTTTTTGTTCTATTTCAGAACCTTTCAAACTTTTAAAACTGGCACAAAGTTAGAGAATATCAGTCTTCAGAAACTGTTAAACAGACAGTAATGTTTTGAGTTAGCAACTTCATACCAAGGACCGTGTCTCATATTTATATACCTTACATATTTGAAAATAAAAACTATCTCAAGTTATTTTTGATTGGGAAGTTGCTACATGATTTTTAAACATTCTGCTCAAAATATAAAACCTGCTAATTTAAAAACTTTTTCCAATTAAATTTTTTTCTTTTTTCTTTTTATCAGAGAGAAAGAGTATCATATATGCCCTAATGATTCAGTTGAATACCTCCATTGGAGCATTCTGGAAAAAGAAACAAAACTGGATTTCTAATGATTTAACATAGCTTCATGTGATAGTGTTATTCATTCCTGATTTCATACTAAAGTAATTGATTTCTCTATAATGGCATTTTTGCAATTAGTTGATCTTTCCTATATGAAATTTAAATTTAACTGCAGCACATGTGATTTATTGAGATTACATTAAGGCCAAATTTTAGTAAAATTTGCTATTATTTGGCATGCAGTTTTTATGTAAATGTCTAGTGATCTACAAACTTTTGAAACGTATATTTGAAATTCAGTTATGCTTTTATTATTATAACATTTCCCCAGAAGTTGAATTACTTGGTAAAATCACATGAACACTTTTAAGTAATAGGAATAGGTATTGTCATATTATTTTCCATGATGATTACATCAATACATTCAGACTAGCAATGGTTGAGATATTATTTAACCACAGTGTTGGGTGCCATGATTTTGTTGAGTAAAAATGCACTCTGGATTTTTATTTACATTTGCTTATTAGTGAATGTGATGTTTTAATGTTTTTTTCTGGTAGTAATTCTTCTGTTGTAACATTTCTTTATGTCTTTGAACATTAACTTAAAAGAATCTTAACTTCATTGTACAGAATCAATGAAAATAGATGCCAGAGAATAATAATAATTGTTTATTGAACAATTATTGTACCTCAGACACATTTCTAGACACTGTTAATTTATTTTGATAAAACTTTAGAAGAGCATTTAAGGTAGAACCAAGCTGACATCAAGGTTTCTGGGAGGTTACAGCCCATACTGCCTCAGACAGGAAGCACACATGTTTCTCTCTGGCTCAAAAGGCTCCAATGATCTCTGTCTTATATTAAGAACTCTGTGGCTTTACTGTTATATTTTCCATGTAAACTGATTTTTCTTCCATGTCGAAAGTCTTCCTTTAAAAACATTAGGCCCAGTATGTCTTTCTAGGAAGCACTTGGCCTTCTCAAGTATGTCAATATTTATTCAACATAACTTATCTCTTGAATATCTAGGATTCCAAACAAAATATATTATTCTGATACAATCCTGATTAGCCAATATTCTTTAGGAAGTTCTAAACTGTTAGCAAAAACCAAAAGCACCACAAATTAAAAATTTCCTTAATTTAGAGGAAAAATAAAACAAATTTTATTAATGTGGTTATATATCTGTTTTTCATTCAAGACTTACCACTAAATGGCAGAATAGTGAAACTTCTATTTCAGGCATACTCCACATGTTTTTTCTTAGTAACAGATGTCAAACTGAACGTAGTATTGAAACTGAGTTACAAATTAAGTAAAATCATAAGGTAGCATTTCTACCAGGAACAAAAATATTTTTCAGAAGCACGCTATATGTGTGTGCTTATATATATACATATATACATATACACACACAGATACAAATATATAGACAAATTGAAACTACATGGACTTTTTTTATTTTTTATTTTTTGAGAGACAGGGTCTTGCTCTGTCACCCAGGCAGGAGTGCAGTGGCATGATCGCAGCTCACTGCAGCCTCCACCTACTGGGCTCTAGCGATCTTTGTGGGGGATGATGCACATTAGCCCTTCAAGTAGCTGGAACCACAGAGATGCAACAACACACAGAACTAATTTTTTTTTTTTAAATTTTACATTTCTTTGTAGAGATAGGGGTCTCTCTGTGTTGCCCATGCTGTTCTTGAACTCTGGGCTTGTGAGCCACCACACCTGGCTAAATTTTTTAAAAAATATTTTTATATTTTGGACAGATGGTTGGTCGGCAGGGTACAGTCTCTCTATGTTGCCCAGGCTGGTCTCGAACTCCTGACTCAGCCTGGATTACAGGCTTGAGCCATCAAAGTGCTGGGATTACAGGCGTGAGCCACCGCACCCAGCATACATTGACTTTTAGTGGGAAGAATCTTTTGTATGGGTTTCATTTCAATTACTCAACACTTCCAGATTTGATGATAATTCTAAACAGATAACATTCAGACACTTCAGTTTTTGGGAGTGTTTTCAAAACAATTTTTGAATATTAGAACTCTGTGGGCCACAGAGCCATGATCACATGGTAAATGACACACACATACAAAAGATTTTGGTTTTGACCTTGCAGTATTTTTCCTCAAACAAGTTTGGCTAGAGTAATCTCACACTGTTTTGTTTGATTGATTGCTTGGCTTGTTTTACATATAGTCCTTTCAGGGTGCCTACTAAGTCTGTTGTTTCTGAAGAGTTCACTCACTGAAATCACTATAGCACTTAAAATTCATTTAGAATTATAGATGCTGCATTCATTGAAAAATGGTTGATCACTTCTTATTGAAATGCAGGTTAATAATGCCTGACTCAGAAAATACAAAGTACAGTAATAAATCACGTGCACTTTCATATCATATTTAGAAGGCATTATAAAATAATGTTACATGTGTAAGATTAACACAATAATCTTTTTGAGGGTATGAACTACAAAGATGATAATTTATTATTGACAGTGGACATGCTAATCGTTTATTTTGAAAACCTATTTTTATAATGTATAAATGTATATATACATCATCTTTAAAACTTCTAATTAAATTAATAGGTGTTTTTAGACCTATTAATATGCAGATAAGTACATTTTCAATAAAGCATTATGTTGATATATTAAAATTTGAGGACTCACTGGAATCATAAATATATTAGATATAATGATTGAAAATGCATTAAAGGTCCAAATTCAAGACACAAAAGGAATTTAGGATGACACAATAATTATCACACTAAAAAACACAAATAGTGCATTTTTTTCTCAGTGTATTTTGGATTGTGTTCAGCCATTTTTCAGTGACAGGCTAGTTGAGATATTCAGAGGGAAGATTTGGTCAACCAGCTTGGAATTGTCTAATTTATTCACCAAGTCACCTAACATGGGAAGGTTCAAATAGCTTCAATGTTAATATATTTATTTATTAGTTGGAGATATCAAATTTCACTAAATATTGAATAGTAATCTGCCAGATTCAAGGTAACTCAGGTTGTGGCTTAAGTAAAGGTGGGTTGGTTGGCTAGGTATAAATGTCTTTTATTTGCCTGAGTAATCTTCGTATTTCAAACATTAATTGTTTTTTTGGAGGCAGAGTTTCGCTCTTGTTGCCCAGGCTGGAGTGCAATGGCGCAATCTCAGTTCACTGCAACCTCTGTCTCCTGGGTTCAGGTGATTCTCCTGCCTCACCTTCCCGAGTAGCTGGGATTACAGGTGCCTGCCACCACGCCCAGCTAATTTTTTGTAGTTTTAGTAGAGATGGGGTTTCACCAACGTCTGGTCTCGAACTCCTGACCTCTTGATCCACCCACCTCAGCCACCCAAAGCGCTGTGATTACAGGCGTGAGCCACCGCTCCTGGCCCAAACATTAATTTTATAGATACAAATGAATAAGAAGTAGAAAAACTAAGGAAACAATGCAAACAATAAAAACTTTCTGGAAAGCCTCTTCAAAGAAAAGATAGTAAACTGATCTCAAGGAGAACTGTAACTTACAGAGTACACAAAAATGTGACCTGTATGAGGATTTATCACTTTATTTTGTATTTTCTTATAGCAATAGAGTGATTGTATAATTCTGTACTACAAATAAATCTTACTGCTTTTGTTATTGGCCATACTTTAAAAAATCAAGCATGAAAGAACAATTGTAGATTTAAAATCTACCTTTTGCCTGTTGTGAAGACAGCTTCTTGTGAAATGCTTCTTGATGTTGAACTTGTTCAACATTTTTTGAAAAGTAGTATTTTTATGTTAAGTTAGGGAATGTTAACTAAAGAGAAATAGGAGAAACTATTTCTTAGTTTCTTAACTTAGAAACTAAGAAACTAATTTCCAGATTAACTAAGAAACTAAGAAACTAATTCCCAGATAAGAATATTTATAAAATTTTGAAGGAAATAGAAATAAGAAAACAAGTGAAATCATAGTTAAGAAGAGCCTAGAGAAACAGGATAACTAAATTTCATTTTATGTTCTGAATGGGATCTTCAGAAAGAAAAGGATGTTAGGACCAGGTGCGATGGCTCACACTTGTAATCTCAGTGCTTTGGGAGGCCGAGGGGGGCAGATCACTTGAGGTCAGGAGTTCGAGACCAGCCTGGCCAACATGGTGAAACCTCATCTCTATTAAAATACAAAAATTAGCCCAGGCATGGTGGCGTGCGCCTGTAGTCCTAGCTACTTGGGAGGCTGAGGCAGGAGAATCACTCAAACCTGGGAGATGGAGGTTGCAGTGAGCCAAGATCCCACACTGCACTCCCGGGCAACAGAGCAAGACTCCATCTCACACACACACAAAAAGAAAACAAAGAAAGAAAGAGAGAGAGAGAGAGAGAGAAAGGAGAAAGAAAGAAAGGAGGGAAGGAAGGGGAAGGGGAAGGGGAAGGGAAGGGAAGGGAAGGGAAGGGAAGGGAAGGGAAGGGAAGGGACATTAGGTAAAAAACACAGAAACTCAGAATAAGGTGTGCCTCAGTTAATAGTAAGGTATTGGCATTGGTTTATTAGTTGTGACAAATGTGTCATACTAACATGAGATGTTAACAATAGGGAATACTAGGTGTTGGGTATATGATAACTGATATATAGTATATGTACCATCTTTGCAACTTTTCTGTAAATCTAAAGCCTATTATAAAATTTAAAAAATGAGTGAAACATAAAAACATGTTATAAAAAGGTTCTTTTAGCTATAGATATAGTGATGTCAGTATGGTATTAAGGAATTTACTCTAGAAAGGAAATTCTATTTTTGATCCTTCTGTTGGAATAGATTCACAACAAAGTGACATGGATGTTTCAGTTACAAGGGAAATATTCTTCAGATGGATAGACAGATAGATGCATAGATTCATAGATAGATATATAAATACATAGATATGGACATTATATTTACATAGATATCTCCATTCAAGTGTTAGAAAGAAAACAACATTGGGTGCTTAATTGGTTAAGCTTTAGGTTCCACAAAAATCACTATTATTTCCTTTACTATCATGCATATAAATAAGAAATTATCAAAACAGGAATCTTTTAGTTATAAAAAAATCAAAATCTTAACTATTATTATGAAACTGTGAAATAGTTTTAGTCTGTTTATCTCCTCCTAAGTATTGCATAAACTACTGTTTCATGATCTGGTCACAGAGATTAAGTGAAAAACATTCCCACTTAAACAAATCACTTTTTTAGAAAAAAGTTTAGGAAATTCAAAATAGTCTCTCCACTGGCCTTGGAGAATCATCATACACATCAGGACACTCTAAGCTTTACCACATTAAACTTCCTAAAGTTTGGTAGAAATTATTAATACTCACCAATGTTTTTGATTCTCTAAACTATCTGAGCATATGGAAATATTATCCTAATTCTTCCTATGTTAGGTATGGCCATGTGACTTGTTTGTTCAGTAAAATAATAGAAAAGACAGCATTATCTCCATCTGGGAGTATTTAAGAGCTGATGCATGATTCTCCGTTTTTTTCCCTTATTATGGAATATCCTCATGTCCATGTTGAGACAGGGCTGTCATGAGATAGGCTACTCTTCATCAGTTTGTTTTTAATAACTTCATGGAAAGACTTTTCCTTGCCAACCTTCAGTGCATATGTAGGGAAAACGAGAAATACACTTTTAGGTCCCTGAGATTTGGGAATTGCTTGTTGTATAAAATAGACAATTATGACTATAAATATTGTATGGAAACCTCTTTAAATTTGCATTTTATAGATATTTTGAAAATAGAATTGTATTTCTATCATACCTATCAGTAACATCCCACTTACGCTTTGTGTGTTTTTAGATATACATTTTGATTCTTATTTCCTAAAGCTCATCATGTTGAGATAATTTAGATATTTCCTTTTCACTACTTAAAAAATAAATTCTCATATTTTATATGTTTATGGCTATCTTTATAGGTAAATATGCATGCCTATAGAGATTTACATTTGTGTATGTGTGTGCACTGGTAATGAATATGTGTGTATTCATTACATATTCATTGTATGTATATGAATATACATTGTATATTGTATTCATTGTATATGAATATACATACAATGAATATATATTGTATTCATTGTATATGAATATACATACAATGAATATATATTGTATTCATTGTATAATGAATTGTATAATATGGAAACTTATTTTTTAAAATTTAGGGGGGAGTCTCACTTCTTAATTTACCACCTACAGGAATAATTTTGTGTGAATGTTTACCATTTAAAAGTAGTTTTACATTAGACAGCATACGTTTTTATAAAAATTTACATAAGAAAATTCCAAACAAATAACAAATTAAAAAAATTTAATGAACCACATTATAATTATATGTATACACCATATTTCACCTAATTCTCTTTGCTTTTCTGTATTGGTATCTTACTGCAATATGTATTCACTTTTTTGTGGATCATTATATTTGTCTAATCAATTTTTCAAAAGAACCATGATGTTCTTGATGTTTACAACCTCATCACCAAGAAGCACTGCTTTGTATTTGGTGTCATCATGCAGACCTGACAAGGCTGTTTAAAATATTAAGTTGAGTTTGATTCCATACTAATCACACACTCTGTATTTGAGTGATTGCATGCATCATAGCATACTCTAACATGTCTGATTGTAGTGAATGGAATGAAGCTCAAATAGTAACTTGGAAATAAATTTCCATTTGGAATAGCCTTGTAGGAGAAGAGTTCAAATTAAATCCTCTTAGTGCATTAAAATGCAAATATAAGAAGGCAATCCAATTGAGTTACATCGATAATAGAACATATAACACAAATGGAAATTCCTCCCAAATAATTAAGTTATAGCTATATAAATCACTGATGTGTGCATTTGAATTTTGTTCCTTGCGTACATGCTTGAAAGTTCACTAACTTTGGATCACATTAGAATATGTTTTGTTTATCTCCCGCAGACCAGTCTCTAGGCAAGTTCTTTTCTCCACTAAGGCCAATGAAGCCTCGTCCCTGTTCTTCACTGTGTTTGCTGTGCTATAACTAAAGCTTTAAGCTCTGCCAGCAGGTTTTGTTTTAGACATAATTATAGAAGCTCTTTACTTGGGCCATCACCCTGCGAGGTTCAATATCTTGAGCTTTTTTAGTAAATAATTTTGACTCTAAAATATGCATTATCATGAGAAAAATAATGTTTGTACTTCTGTTATATAATCTTGAAGGGAAAAATACAAAAAACTTGAGATAGTTCTGCTTGGAAACTCTGCAAAGGTATTTTTTTTCCTGCCGTGTGTGTTTGTATGTGTGTGTGTGTGTGTGTGTGTGTGTGTGTGTGTATTTAAAGTCAGATACAATGTAACCTTTTTTCCTGGGTGTGTGTGTGTGTGTGTGTGTGTGTGTGTGTAAAGTCAGATACAACGTACCCTTAGCTTTTAGGATTTAGGATTCTAAGCCTTAGTGTTTTAAATAGTTTGTAATGATTTAAAGATCCAGATGCCCTAAAATATTCAACTTATAACAATTATGGAGGGCAATTAATATTGCAGTAAAAAGAGAAAAACAGAAAATAATATGCTTTGGACATTTAAATTGATAATGATGCTAATTTTATATGCAATTAGCATGGAGCATTAACAATGGTGTTCACCTGTAAACATATGAAGGATTGCTTTTGGTCTTGCAAAACAATCATTTGCTCTCAGCTTTAAATTATGTAAGAAACACTTTTAAGTGATAGCATACATCCATAATTAAATATTAAAATAAAATAAAATTGAATTAAATCAAATGGAATTTATTTAAATTTAGAACACTTATTCCAATGCCTAAATATAAATCAAGGTAAAGTCAATAATCTTTACAAGTTAGTTTTTATCATTGTAATTTAATATCTCTACAAGAAACAAAATGACCTAAGTAAATAAAAATTACAGATGGCTAATTATGGAAAAAAAATAGAGGTATTGTTTGAGTTAATTTTTCTAATGTTACCTATAATCAGATATCAGCATTTTTTAGCAGGAGGTATCTCTCTTAAGATATTGCTACACAATTACAGACATAACATTTAAAGCTTTAAATGATGATGACAATCAGAAATATCCCAAGAACGAAGTAGTTGATTTTCTCATTAAATAATAATGATAGTAACAGTTGTCATTACTTGAGAGCCTAGTGTGTGTCAAAGCAATGTATTAGGTATTATGCATACATAATCTCATTTAATTGTTAAAACAGCTTCATATGAAGGAAAGATTACACAGATGAAAGCTGAAGTAGAAAGACTAAATAATTTGACTAAAGTCACATAGCTAAAAATTGACAGTCAAAATAAAATTCATGCAGGTATGCATGTTTATGACTGAGAATGCTTGTTCTGTCATCTTTTACCTTTCATAAAAATTGGAGTATATCAATAACTATATTATATCTTCTCTTAGCTACTCAAAGGCATTGCTCCAAGGGTCCCCCATTCTTTTTCTTCCTTATCAATTTGTATCACTGTCCTGGATCATTTTTATTAGCATGAAAGAATGGTGCTATTGTCACTGTCTTTAAACTCAACAAACTAGCAAAACTCTCTAGATCACGATTATTCTTCATCTGTCATTCTGTTTCTCTTCTTTATTTTATGCCAAAATTCATTGATGAGCTGTCTCTATCCACTGTCTCAAATTTCTCTCTATATATTCTTTCTCAAATCTACTAGACCATTTCTTTAATTCTATTTCCATCAAGGTCAGCAATAATTTACAGATTATTAAATACCTTGGGGTCAATTGCTAGCTCTCAATAATGCTTGAACTATTAGATGATTGGCCATAGCTGAGATAATTTTCTCATCCTTCAAACATTTCCTTTACTTGCCTTTCAGGACACCACACTCTCATTTCCTCCTGACCCTCAGGCCACATCAACTCAATTTTCTCTGCAAGATCTTTGCCCCAACTCCAAAGCCAGGTTTCTTAACAAGGTCCTAAATTTGGTACCACTGAGATTCTGGGTGGGTAATTATTTATTGTGGGGGTTGCCCTACACATTGTAGGATGTTAGGCAGAATTTCTGACCTCTACCCATTAGATACAATAGCACCTTCATTTCCCATTGGAACAACCAAATATTCAGGACAAAATTACCTTTGGTGGAGAACCACTGCTCTCAATGATGGAATACTCTCAAGCTCTTCTTTCTACCTGTGTACACTTTTTTCTACCTGTGTACACTTTTTTCTACCTGTGTACACTTCTTTCTACCTGTGTACACTTCCTCAGTACTCCCATTCATGACTTTCAATACTTGCTATTTGCGGCTTGACCTCTCTCTGTACTTCCACACTTGTATATGGAACTGCTTTCTCTACATATACATTTGAATATCTGTGAAGCCCCTCAAACATAAGTATCACAATCTGAACTGGTTATCTTCTCCTCTTCCCGCCACCGCCACCAAAAACATGCTTGTCCTGCAGAATTCTCTGCTTTTCTAAATACTTGTCTTAGTTCATTTGCATTGCTCTTCAGGAATACCCAAGCCTGGATAATACGAAGAAATAAGGTTTATTTGGCTTACGGTTCTACAGGCTGTACAAGAAGCATGGTGCTAGCATCTGCTTCTGGGAGTTATCTAAGGAAGCTTACAATCATGGCAGAAGACAAAGACAGAGCAGATGTATCACATAGCAAAAGAGGGACCAAAAGAGAGAAGGGAGGCCGGGCGCGGTGGCTCACGCCTGTAATCCCAGCACTTTGGGAGGCCGAGACGGGCGGATCACGAGGTCAGGAGATCGAGACCATCCTGGCTAACATGGTGAAACCCCGTCTCTACTAAAAATACAAAAATTAGCCGGGCATGGTGGTGCGCGCCTGTAGTCCCAGCTACACGGGAGGCTGAGGCAGGAGAATGGCGTGAACCCGGGAGGCGGAGCTTGCAGTGAGTCGAGATCGCGCCACTGCACTCCAGCCTGGGCGACAGAGCGAAACTCCGTCTCAAAAAAAAAAAAAAAAAAAAAAAAAAAAGAGAGAAGGGAGGGAGGTGCCACACTCTTAAGCAACCAACTCTTGAGTGAACTAATTAGCTAGAATTCACTCATTACTCCCATTGACTTCCAATTTGAATGGCCATTCTTAAGAGATCTACCCCCATGACCCAAACACCTCCCACCAGGCCCTACCACCAACATTAGGGATCAAATTTCAATCTCAGATTTGAAGAGGACAAATATCAAAACTATATAAATACTTATGTTAACATCTTGGGGTCATATTAACCTCCTTTCTTTCTTCTACTCCTCATATCAGATTCTCCAGCAATTCTTTAAGGTTAACATCAGAATACATGTCAAACCTGTATATTGTTTTATCACCTCCACTGCTGTTACCTTTGAACAAGTCAGCGCTATTTCTACATCGATTATGTTACTCTTAAGACTGATCTCCTTGCTTTTTTATCTCTATCCTTAATGTATTATCAATACATCAGTCTGAATGATCTTATGAAACCTAAGTCAGGCAATTTCACTCATCTGTCAGATCCTCCAATGTCTTCCTATTTTATTTAGAGTAAAAGCCAATGTTATTAAAATGAGCTGCAATGACTTGCTCAAACTGGTCCTCACCCCTGTTAACTCTCTGACCTCACTGGATTCTTTCCTTATGATGACTTGCAGCTTTCATACATTAGTTTTTACTGTTGTAAAGATTCAATAGTTAAAAATAAAACCAAAGTTTCCTTATCCACTAAATTAGTGATGGGCTCTTGGGTTGTTACTGGCAATTTACTATTAAAAACAATGTTACTATAAATATTTGTGCATATATTTCCTTGAACACATGTGAGAATTTTCTAGGGTATTCCCACAGGAGTAGAATTGCAAAGTAGGTGAATGTTCAACCTTACTAGACATGGTGAATAGCATTTTAAAGTGATTGTGCCTATTTACATTCTCATCAGCAGTATGTATTTTGGTTGCTTCCTATTCTCACTAGTACTTGATATTATCATGCTTTTTGAAAAAAAATGCCAACTGGTTAGAGTGTAACAATATATTCCTAATATTTATTGGCATTTACCTAAAAATAGTGAAAGTGAACATATTTTTAGATATCAATGAGTTTCTTTTACCGTTTTCTTTTTTACAAAATTCCTGCTTAGGTCTGTTGTCCATTTCTTCATGGAGCTTTTTGATCTCATGCTGTTGATACAAATTCTTTGCTGATGACAAAGATAAAACAAAGATCTTCCAGTTGTACCATGTCTTTTTACTCTCTTCATGGCATCCTTTGATGTAGTGACATTCTTATTTTTGTCACAATATAATTTGCAGTCTTTTATGATGTGTGACTTTTGTTCCTTGTTTGAGAATTCCCTCCTTACATACATTATAAGGAAATTTTGCTGCATTATGTTTTAAAAGTTTCATAGTATGGCTTTTCATAGTTAATAGATGAAGACTAGATTTTATACCTTGTGTCAGAGAGAAATTAATTTTTTTCATATAGCTATTCAACATTCCTTGCACAATTTGTCAATCACATAATTCATCTTCTGACATTTATGTGCAAAGTCTGCTCAGGAAAAAGGTAAAATTTTATGTATGCTGCCTCTAACTTTCGCCTAATGTGGTGTATATGTGTATGTGTATGTGTGTGTTTGTGTGTGTGTGTGTGTGGGCGTGTGTGTATACTTTCATGATATGTCTTGAAATATGGTTTGAAAAATCATCTCCCTATTCCTTCTTCAGGAATTTCTCAGATGTTCTTGGCCCTTCCAATTGTCCTTGAAATTAAAATCTGCTTATCAAATCCTACAAAGAACTCCATTAAGGTATATGTGGCCATAAAGATAGAGATAATAGATACTGGGGACTCCAAAATGGTTTCCAGGAGTTGGAAGGGAGGGGAGCATTAAAAATTATCACCTGGGTACAATGTTCATTCTTTTTCTGATGGGTACACTAGAAACCCAGACCTCACCATTACACATTATATTCATGTAATAAACCTGTACATGTACCCCAGAATGTAAAATTTAAAAAACAAGTAACTGAAAAGATATGGGGAAAAAAGAAACCTATTAAGATTTTAATTGGAATTGCACTAATTCTATAACTCAGTTTGAGGAATATTGATAAATTTATTATAGAGAGTTATTTCCAAATGTTTCCATTTATTTAAGTATTATTTAATGTTTTCAATAAAATATTTAATTTCTTCCGTAAAGGGCTTCTACATATTTTTTATTGGCATTCTTCTGTCAATTGAAAATACATCAAATACGTTTTCTGATGGAATGTGGTAGTCTAAAGATTTTCGATTTTGTGTTGCATGTCAGATTTCTCTTTCTTCTTTTGTTTCATCAAATCTTACTTATTCTAATAACAAAAATACATTTAGGATTTTCTTTGTAAACAAGTACTTTATTAAAAATAAACAGGGTTTGTCTAAACTTTCCAATTATTACAGATTTTATTTTATTATTTTTTTAACTTCACTGATTAGGACTCCAGTACAATCCTAAACAGTATGGGTAATAGCAAGCATTTTCCTTTGCTGCTGGTCTTATTAAAATTTATCTCAGTAAGTATGAGAGTCTTGATATTTTTTCTTTTTACATTAAGAAAAATAGATGTCTTTTTAAAGATTAAGGATTTTCCTTCTATTCTTAGTTTGGTAAGAGTGTTTATCATACGTTGACTTTAATTTTATTAAATGCATAGTATCTGCATGCACTGAGATGTGCTCTAGTATCAGATTCACTGTCCTTTAATCTGTAAATGTGGTAAATTACAATAACTACCAATCAAACTAATTAATTCAGCTAATTACCTAATAGAAGTTCTGTAACTCTGAAGAGTTTTCTCCATCACTGTAATTTCTCCAAAACTGCTTCAAATTCAGAATAGAGCTGGATTATTGAACTTCACATATTACTTAGTACATTGAAGAGCAAGAAGGCTTCTGTAGATATAAATATAAGTAATATTACATGTATATATATTTTACTTTCTTATTTCTGCTTTCATGGTGTTGCTTTTCAGCTATCAATGACTTAAGCAAAATTTTTAAAGCTTGCTACAGTTCTTATCTTTTGCTTCTCTTTCTCATACCCCACCTTCCCACCAGCTCTCTGAGTACCCTTGGAACACAGGAGTCCCCCAGCTTGCCAGGAGACTATAGTCACTGACATATGTTTCACACTTCCATTACCCCTAAATGTACTTTTTATCCTCCCTAAAAGCTTAGGTTAATTGACCTTAC
Organism: Homo sapiens; assembly: GCF_000001405.40. Classification (NCBI taxonomy): domain Eukaryota; kingdom Metazoa; phylum Chordata; class Mammalia; order Primates; family Hominidae; genus Homo; species Homo sapiens. The sequence goes on along the minus strand of NC_000004.12, from coordinate 162,137,866 downwards.
TTTGTTAATGAATGTGTTAGTTTATGATATGCTAGCTATGATATTGCTTTTCGATAGAAATATAATGGTATCATATAGTTATAATTAGCAACACCTCTGGAAAACAAAAGCGTTTTTTGTCTGTAAGTTGTGAACATGTTGGTAGACAGGATAAACCTTTTCCAAATGCTATTTGTTCCAACTTTTTCTTTTTTGCAAATTTGTAAATAATACAAATGTCTACTGCCAAAGAAGGACAACTTATTCAATCCATCAGTTAATGAGCATTTGTTGTGACAAACTGAACTAGTCATTCGGGCAAAAAAGGCAAAGAACAGTCTCTTATAAAGAAATCCTGTAGTGAGGGGACAAATTTCAGATGTGGTTCCAAATGTTAAGACAGATTTTGTTATATATGTGTGTGTGTGTGGTATGTGGCCACTAGCCACTTTGTTCTTGTGTAGCTAGAATTCCTTGTTCCTAAAGCAAATATTACCTTCTAATTATAATCTCTGTAAATAATCCCCCAGGTCCTGGCATATTGGATGACTAGGCAGTCTTTAGATTTTTAATATGTGAACTTTGCTAAGATGTGACCTAGGAAATGGCTGATAGAGATTTGACATTAATAAACTATTAAATGTGCATATTGAGATATTTTGGTACATATTAAAAGTATTTATTTTGTGGAAAATATTTATCAGTTTTTGTTTATTTCTTGCTCAGAGAATTATGATGATGACTATTGATTTATAGCCAAGGTAGGAAAATAGCTGAGAAAAAGTTAAAGTATATTTTAAACATGTATTCTCTCTTGTTTAGTATGGTTCATTTTTTTCAGTTTTGTTTTGCTTAATACCCACTATATGTAACTGGGTTGCCTGCATATATTTATAACAGCCTGTTTCAAAGTTTCATCACAGGTCTATTTATCCCTTAAAATGTTCTTCTTTTAAAAAATAGAAATTTTTGTTAAATATGTTTAAGAAATTCTGCATACTACAGCTTCCTTTTGGTGTTTCCAAAACATATTATCATACTAAAGTCTCTGAGAAATGTTTCAGGATTTTTTTTTAATCTCAGCATTTCCAAACCTTATTTAACCATCTAAGTCTGTTTTCTTTCTATATAAATATCCAACTAATACATCACTAGTGTTCTGCAGAATACACTTTGGATAATATAGTTATAGGTAAGAAATGTATAATTTTGCAATAATACTTTAAACTGAATTACTTCCTTTTGGTATATGAATGGCTATATCTACAAGCTGGATTTTTGGCATGGATTCACAGCCTTTTTCTAATGTTTTGGGCTCATTGATCCACTGTTGTAGAGTTCTGTCTAGGTTTCTTGGTTAATTCTCCAACCAAGTCCCCATCTCTATTCCAATGAATTTTATAGGAACCCTTATATCTACAACTCCCCCCACTCTAAAGATGTAAAATCGAAATTTGACACACTCTCAGTAAGTAGTTTGGTTTTCTCATGCATTTACCTCCAAAGTATTTATCATGACCCTGTGAATCCTTCAGACTGATCTTCAATTCCTCTCCTTTTCCTCTAATAACCGGGTTCTCATCATCCCTTACAGTCTTGCCCACTTCGGTATGACTATTCCTAAAGATCTCACAGCAAGATGTTAAATATGCATGTTGAGATGTTTTGGTACATATTAAAAATATTCATTATGTAGAAAATATTTATCAATTTTTATTTATTTCTTGCTGGGGGAATTTTGGGGTGTGGGAGAGAGTGTATTTTTTAACTTAAGACATGTTTCTGAGATATGGGTGTATCACAGTGGAAAACTACAGTACTCAGTCACATTTCTGAATTTGGGGAGAGAAGATCTGTAAAGGATTTTGATTTAGGAAAGATAATATATATGGCAACCAGAGTCACAAGAGTGCATGAAAAGCGAGATAGAATGTGAAAGATGAAGATCTAAAACAGAAACTCATTAGCATAAAATGTGTATAGAGAACAAAAGAAAAATGAAAGAGATTTTTGAACATCCTTCCGAGAAGTAGTAAAAAATCCAAAAATTTTAGTGCCATGAAATAAAATTCAGACATTGTTTTAAGATTAAAGACTCGATCATTTATTCAACAAAATATCTAGAAAGCCATTTTATCTGCCAGGTACTACACTGGTGCTAGACTACAAAGATAAACAATACAGTTATAATCTCTGATCTCATGGAGCTTAAAATACCTTATACCCAAATATTTGGGAAAAGCCAAGGCAGATGAGAAAGTAGTAAGAGGGGCCATTCATTAACCTTAACAGCAATGAGGCTAAAAAGGACCCAGGGAGATAACTTTTTATGGAGCAGAGGTGGAATAAGCCATATTGAAATTGATTGAATGGTAAGGCATTTTTATTTTAGGTTATATGTATGAAGAAAAGATGTAAATATACCAAACTATGAGCTTTCATTGTCTCTAGGCTGTGAGATTGCAAGTTATTATAGTTTTTCTTATCTGTATTTTTCTCACATGTATTTTATAAATGCCTACAATGAAGGTATACCCTTTGTATTAAAAAACATATAATTTATTATAACAAAAGAAAAAAGAAAAACTACCTTATTGAAATAAATTATTATGTTTTAAATATAAATAAAATTGAGGTATAACATCATAGACTAATAGTTTGATAAACATAATGAGTTTAACAAGAGTATTCAAACAAATAATAACAATGAGAAAACTTGAGTAAACCCACTCTGAGGACCTCATTGTTCTGACTGGCTCCATAATGAGCTAATTAAGTGGAGAACTGCAGAAACTCCACTTGTACTATGCTGACAATTCACATTTACCAAACTAAGAGCTGGTAGTTTTTAAAAAGTAGTAATCAAAGCACTGATTTATGTAGTTTCCAAGTTAGCACATGCAAATGCTTTCAAAACGTAGAATAGCTTCAATTCCCACCAGTTTAGCAGCTGACATGATTATGTTCATGAATCCTCTAGGAAATTGAGGAAACGGTAATAACAACCCTACTTAACAAGAGAAGAAAAGGACTGCCTGGCTGACTGTATAAGTTTCCTGTGTTAACACTGATTATAAACATCGGTGGTGGTAAACACAGCCATTGCATAAGATTGAGTTGTGAGCATTTATGGGAAAATGAGATCAGCAGCCATGATTCCATTCTATTAAAACAACTCCTCCCAGAACTATGTAAGATAATACCTTTGTTGTTCTCTCTTCCCTCTAGCAAGTGAATGGGACTATGAAATTACAATCTCCATGAGCTAAATGAGAAAGGGTTAAATTGTTAATTTTTCTTCCAATGGTACTGTAGTGTTTAAAAAATATACCTTGGAAACCAAAGAGTTATTAAGTTGTTTTGTTTTGTTTTCCAGGTATATTTCATGAACAAATGAAAATATTTTTGAAATATTCTCAGGTGGTCTACCATGTCATTTAACAGAAAATAGTGTGTAATTGCTAGCCTGAAGCTCATCAACCAATTACACATTAATATGCAGCTTCTAATATATAAGACCGCAGGGGCAGTGAAATCACATATTTTAAAACTGATTACTTTGAGTTACTCAGTACACCTCTAGGTCCCTCTGACAAAAATTATTCTCCCTCAGGTCACTTCCACTAAGCCTCCATGGCCTGAGATACCACCGTGCTTAAAATATCCAGGATGATTCTTATTCCTCAACATTTTACAATGCAATAGCCCAGAGATGGAGGTGAAAGAAAATAAACTGGATATAGTAAAAAGGAAGAATCACGGGAAGTATCAACTAGAAATTAGAGCTCTAAGAAACCATGGCGATCACCCATTCCATGTTTTAAAGTTGACAGACAAACACCAAAACAATTTCAGTGATTTACCCAGTGAGGCACAAAGTTGGGGCCAGATCACAAGTCCTTCAGTGCTAAGATTAATTGCCCTTCCAATGGGAGCATCATGACTCTAGCTGTCGAGAGAGGCAAGGTCGTCAGAGAATCTCAGAGAACAACTGGTTGGCATTGGCTATCCAGGTAAGAGAGAATCCTTACTGAGAAGAAAGGAAGTTGAATTTCTCTAAATGTATGCTAAGATCTCTATCCTTTATCATTATAAAGCTGCTTTCTTAATGTTCTTTAAAAACAGACACAGAAGAATTGAAGCATAATTTTATGGCTCCAACAATAACACATTTAGGAAGTTTTGTCATTTTATGGTAGACTTTCATTCATTCACTTATTAAATATATATCAAGAGTCTACCATATGACTGGCACCAGCTGAAATACTCACCTTATGTACAATAAGGGCTATATTTTAAGGTGTCTGAATGTTACCAGTATTTATATTAAACAAAAATCTTACATAGAATGCCAAAACTAAACAAAAACAAAACAAAATGAAAAACACGACTTAGGTGAGAAGAGAAAGAAAGCATTGAAAGTTAAAGAAAAAGCCATCAATTAACAATGACTGCCTCTCCTACCTGGTGTGCTGTAAAAACATGAGTAGGAACCAAAAGAGCTGAGTTTTAGGGTGACCTTGTAACATACTGTCTGTGTGACCGTGGAGAAGGTACTCACCGACTTCAGCCTCACTCGTGCAATCATTTACTGCAGACTAGACTTTTTGTTCTTCCCTCACTTTCAATGCCATTTAGACTCAGAATACTGTTAGAAGTTTAAATGCATATGAAAATAATTGATTGCGTTCAACACTACAACCTTCTGAACAATATTAGAACCATCCTGGCTAACACAGTGAAACCCCGTCTCTACTAAAAAAATACAAAAATATTAGCCAGGCATGGCGGTGGGCGCCTGTAGTCCCAGCTACTCAGGAGGCTGAGTGAGGTAGGAGAAGGGCGTGAACCCAGGAGGCGGAGCTTGCAGTGAGCCGAGATTGCGCCACTGCACTCCAGCCTGGGCGACAGAGCGAGACTCCGTCTCAAAAAAAGAAAAAAAAATTACATTACTACCACTTTTTCTGCTTAACTTTGAAATTTCTAATAATTAACAAAGGTCCGACTTCTAAAAATTAGTTATAATCACCTAATACCATGTGAGAGTTTATAGTTTCCAGGCTGACAATCTGGGAGCCAACCTCCTCCTCTAGAAGATAAAATGGAGGTAGCTTCACCTGGAGAGCAGATGGTAAAAATTCAAAGATAAATTCAAATTATCTGCAATTTTTTTGAGTGCAGCTTCTTCTTCATGTTCTGAAGATTATTTCAAGAAGCAAAGATAGTTTGCACATCTATGCAGTAGGCATAGATGTCCTATTGCCAAACTCTGAGGAACAATGTGAAATGTAGGTATTTTTGTGTCCGGAATTGGTGGGTTCTTGGTGTCACTGACTTCAAGAATGAAGCCACGGACCCTCGCGGTGAGTGTTACAGTTCTTAAAGGCGGCATGTCCGGAGTTGGTTCCTTCTGATGTTCCGATGTGTTCGGAGTTTCTTCCTTCTGGTGGGTTCGTGGTCTCGCTGGCTTCAGGAGTGAAGCTGCAGACCTTCGCGGTGAGTGTTACAGCTCACATTTTTAATGCCACTGACAATTGCATCTCAGTTTAGAAAGAATGGATTTTTAAAATTCTCAAGTGTGCCATATTTTGCCTCTGATGGAGCACTGTAGTGCCTACAATTGTTTTCTGGCCCCAACCCTATAAATGAGGGTACTTATATAGATAACAATTCTGCCTGCCCCTGTTTAAGTAGAGAACACCTAAACTTAAACACTGAAATCACACTGTTTATTTCTTAATGTTTTAAGAATGCTGCATAGTCACCCACAGATAATCTGCTAGACTTTGGTATAGAAGTTTTAATTCAAACGCTTTGAGGTTAATCTATTATTCACCTGAGTATAGCAGATATGATAGAGCAGTGTTTCACAAGTCTGAGGCTTGCGCCACCTATATTGCAATCACCTGTGATCCCTGTTTAAATTGTAGATTCTTGGATCTCATCTAAGACCCCTAGAATCAGAATATCTTTGGTCTGGCCTAGGAACTTTTATCGAACACTCTCTACCCATAATTTTCTTGCCTGCCAAAATCTGATAAGTGTAAATATGGTATAAGGTCTGCTGGTCTATGACTGCGGAAAAAGAGAAGGCAGGCTAGGAAAGTTAGTGAGGTGGAAACTAGCATCGAGCAGTGTCATTGCAGACACCAGTGGGCTCTCACTTTGTGGCTGAAGTTTCTGACTCATTCTCATGCTACTTATGTCTTTCTAGCCCAGGGAATCTTCTCTCAGTGAGAAGCCCCTGCTGCAGTAGGTACTCTCCAATTGCATGGGGTAATTTTATATCATTGTGCCATTTGATTACTATAATCTCTGTAAATAGAGTTGAATCGTTTAGCCACATCCTCCAGAGATCCAAAGTATATCTTTTGGAACGTGAATGCAATTTGAAATGAAGCCACCAGATGGCCAATTTTAGAAATGATCAATGAACTTGTTCCTAAGTGGACAACAGGTCCACACATTTTAAAATTTTTTATATAAGCAACTTTGATATTTTTATACCCACAATCCATAGTTTGTCACCATGTGAGTATAAACAAATACATTCATTCATTTAATATAAAATATGTTTAGGGCTTTATTAGTGGCTTATAAGTGAAAAGATATCCTCCAATGAGAAATCAATCATGTCCTATGGGCACTCAAATTACTCAGATAATACCTGAGATTCTAATTCTATTCAATTTAAGGGTGACTGTTTTAGTAAAGTATTTTTGCTTTAAATATATTCTTAAGTCTTCTAAAGGGATATTACAGCTTACAGAGCAGACAATGATCTATAAACCCATTGGACCACCACATTTGCAATGAGCATAATTTGTGTTCTAATTCAAATGACATGTTTATATAGGCTATAAGTATTTGGGCCAGAAAATATGACTCTCTAAAATAATATGTGATTAAAAGTAATTTTTATTTTCATTTAATATTCTTCACATATCTAATATGTTCAATGTGTTATTGGCCATATTTAATATCTATATTATAAAAATATTGATAAAGTTAACATTTAAAAACTATATAGCCATGTGAATTGTAATTAATTAGAATCTCTTGATTTTTGGTCATCATGAATAACAGTGATCCAAATCTTTTGTCAATGTGTTCATCTTGGGCAAATCACTGCACATTCCTAAGCCTCAGCTTTTTTTGTTGCTGTTATAAGTTTAATTATTCATATAAGCTATGTAATATAGAGCCTCAAATAAGGTAATCACTCAGAAAATGTTTGCTATTGTCATTATTATATTGTTTTTACTCTGTGGGGCTTGACATATCTGGAAAAGATTTTTCTACAGTTTTCTTTGCCCTAATGCAGCTTGTATAAACACAAAAAACTAGGAATGAAAAAATCACTTGTACTTGAAGTTGTTTCTTATTTAATATAGACTAATAGTCATTTGAAAAAATATAGTTGTAAGGATAATAAGCTTTTGTTCACATAGGGCATGGATATTTAGTTCTTACGCCTTTCTAATCACTTGCGTAGGAAACACAACATTCTTGTTTGATTGAGCTTGTTTTAAAAGACTATATGCAATTTTCAAACTCATGAACCTCTTTATTATGCACGTGATAAGGGTTAAATGCATAGTTATCATGAAACATTTAACACTGTATTACTAAACCTACGGGTTTAGGAATATTCCTTCCTCCTAAGAATGAACCCACATAGACAGTGAAAACAAAAAGAGAGTTTTTCCACTTTCAGACACATGATTTTTTTCCTAAACTCTTCATCAAGTGCACAGGGATGGCAGACTACAGTCATTTTACAAGACCTCCACTTCGTTGCTTAAAATGGCAGGGCGATTTCAGAAAATGAAAAATGCTCAATATCTATGTGGACTTTATCCCTCTAGGCTCTTTAGAATTCTATTGCTTTATATTTGTAATCTCACTGTGTTGTCTTCCTAGGATATATTTATAGTGCTAGCATGTTGCTTCTTTAAAAAGAGCACATTTAAAATCTTGTGATGAGTAAATCTCAAAGAAATGATGCCTCTCTTTGATTAAATCTTTCCTATCCTTCCTTCATATTATAGATATTTCTGACTACTATCTCTAAAGCTATACAATTTGGAAAACTGTTCTGATTACTTATTTAAATTTAGCATCTGCATAAAACAGACAGAATAAAATTGTTTAATTTACATTGAATTATTGTGTAAGACAAATTTGAGAGGATTATTTTTTCATTTTGTTTTGTTTTCAGCATTGGAGCTGTGAGATGCCTTCTCTTATTAATACTGCTATGATATATTTTGGTGACTATTTTGGAAAGTTTCACCATTACACAGCAAGGCTTAAGTCCCTTCTCTGGGACAGATTGTAAACAATGTTCTGTTGATATTTTTGATTAGTGTTTGTTGATTACTGTGCTTTAATTAAGAACTTGCTATGTAACATCAAGTATATTATCAAAGTTTTTTCTCACTTTATCTTTTTGTAAAGAATATGACAATTTGCAGAGATTTGTTTGGAGATATTAAATTCCAGATGAGTTTTCTGGGAGATATTGTTTTAAAGCTTAACATACAAATGATATGCAGTAGGTTATCATTATAATATTTGAAGGATTACACTTTAGGTAAGGTGTGGATTTGAACAAAACTAATGAGTTAATTAACCATAAAAATAGAAAGTCTCGGCCAGGCGCCGTCGTTCACACCTGTAATCCCAGCACTTTGGAAGGCCAAGGCGGGTGCATGACCTGAGGTCAGGAGTTCAAGACCAGCCTGGTCAACATGGCGAAACCCTGTCTCTACTAAATATACAAAAATTAGCTGGGCGTGGTGGTGGGCGCCTGTAATCCCAGCTACTTGGGAGGCTGAGGCAGGAGAACAGGAGAATCGCTTGAACCCGGGAGCCGGAGGTTGCAGCGAGCCGCCCAGATGGCGCCACTGCGCTCCAGCCTGGGCAACAACAGTGAAACTTTGTCTCAAAAAAAAAAAAAAAAAAGTCTCAAACAGTAAGGTATTATAGCTGAAATTAACTTGGGATAACATGCTGCCAATATGTGACCAATATTTTTTATATGAAGTCTTTTACAATGAGAGTCATTTTAAGAAAAATATTTAATTTGCAAACATCATTGTAGATATATGCATACTAAATAATGAAATACATAGGAAGATCGGGAAAAAGAAAATACCAACAGCTTTTTTCTATTTTCTTAATCTTTCTTCCTCATCTTCTATGATATTGGAATAATCAGGTGGAGTTATTCTATTAGAATCTGTCTCAGTCCATTTAGGCTGGTATAACAAAATGTCATAAGCTGGGAAGGTTATAAATGTCAAGAATTTATTTCTGGAGGTTGGGAAGCCTAATATTAATGCAGATCTGTTGTCTGGTGAGGGCCTACTTTGTGGTTCAAAGAAGGTGGCTTCTCCCTATGTACTCACATGGTGGAAGGGGCAAGGGATCACTCTTAACCCTTTTTCATAAGGGTACTGTTCCCATTCTGAGAGCTCTGCTCTCAGGACCTAATCACCTCATCCCAAACCCACCTCCTAATATTATCACCTTGGTTGTTAGGATTTCAAAGTATGAATTTGCGTGAGACAGAAACATTCAGACCACAGCAAAACTTCTGATGAAAACTTGAAAAGACTCTGGGTTTTAGAAAACTTTATATCTAGACATATTGCTCTACAAATATGTAAAAATACTACAGACATATTACTAGAAGTAATTAGTTATATACAATCAGAGTTTAGTTCATCATGCTGATTCTTTTTATTTATCTGTGAGAAAGGTCTTTGGACTCTATAAATTCTAAGGTGTCTTTCAAATACATATAAAATTCTAGTTTTACATGTTTCATGAATTGGATTTATGTTGCCACCAAATTAACTTTAGCATATTAACTATTTGGACCATAGTTTTTGAAAATCTGTACAACTGGTGGGATTTCTTTTAAAAAGAAATGTCTTTAATAATCATTCCCTTAGTGAATAATTTGAATTACTTATAGGCTGTGTATCCCATAAATGTGTATTCCATTAATGATCTTCCAATGTTATCATCAATTTTCTTCACCCAAGGGTTTCTGTTAATGCATATATAAAATAATCACATGTCAACCCTTGTTTATAAAAGATCTCATTCAGATTGGCATTTTTTTTTCTTTTCTGTCTTCCAGATTTTCATAGTAATGTCTCAGTTCTATCCTTAAACTGTATATATATTAGTATTTTCAGTTCAAATTTGCATGTAACAAAACTCATGAATGCACATAAAAAATTACCTACTTCACTTTTATCACAAGAAAACTTTATGAAAATCCTATCATCTAAGTAACTTCAAAGAAACAAAGGTTGCAAGATATATGTTGTCATTAAATGCCTTACAAATGGTATTTCTGTGAAACTTAAAAAAATGCTTGAATGACTTTTAAGTTTATTTTTGGGCTCTACCCAATAAATAGTTAATGTTTGATTCATCCTTGCAGGTCTAATAGATACAGATGAATTATAGTGTGAGCATGCCTCAGGTACACCAGCAATTTTAAAACAGAACAAAACATACTGGTTACCTTACTTAGACTTTGAGGCTATTACAAAGCATAAACTATAAAACAGTAATAAATAAAATATAAAAGGGGAAATGAAAAAGGCATAGCTTTGTGGGGGTGTACGAGGCATAACTGGCAAAAGTCAAGGGTTTCCGAGGAAGTAGGAAAGGCAGCCTGGAGATTTAGCTCTTTGGGGAAAATGGGGAAGACAACTTTCTATTACAAGTTCTTGGAAGCTGCCACAATCAAACCAGTCCCTCAATCCAGGGACTAGGACAGTATTGATTTGAGGTGGGGTAAAAGGCTGGTCAATGGTGCGGCTTAAATAAAGCTGTGTGTTGAGAGAGGTGGATGCTTAAAAAAACCACGACAGTCAGGCAAGCTGACCACTAGGCTGGTGACTGAATCTGCAATGCTCTCAGCATAGTCAGATGGTGGAAGACAAAAGTTGCCAGTATCAGCATTGGAGGTAGACTTAAAAACACAGACAAACACGTACCATCTGTCAGGCCCACATGCACACATGCACACCCACAACCACCAAGTAAATACATAAGTGCATAAGATTATATTCCAGAGGAAATAAAATTTTGTAAAAGCCTGAATTTTTAAAAATGCATAATGCCCAAAAATCACAAGAAATTACAAAATGAAATCAGAATAAGTTAAATATAAAATAAGTTGTTACTTTTAAAAGACAAAATGATGTAAAATCTTGACAAAAAATCTATAGACATTTAAGTAAAAGTTAAATGGAGAGGCTACACATTAGATTATACACATTAGATTATAAAAGGAAAAAATGATGAATTGTAAATACTACTGGAAATTTCATCAAAATAATATGCTAGACTCCGAAGAGAAAAAGTAAGTTTAATAAAAAGGGTGTTAAAAACTACCAAATAAAAGACACATTGCCTACAAAAGAATCATAATTAGATTAACAGGAGACATCTCATCATGTTTTAAATGCCACAAGACATTTGAAAGTGTTGGGAGAAAGTTCTAGAATTATTCACATATCTAAGATTTTAATAAAGTTATTATTTCAATTAATAATTTTAATATTAAGGGCTAGTCAAAAATTTTAAGATACAAAGAACGGGACATGTTGCCTTTTATTGGCCCACATTGAAAAACTATAGAAAGGTTTATTTCAGCATAAAAGTAACCTCTTAGAAATGTATGGAATACAAGGAAAAATGGCAAGCACAGCAGTTAAGTAACTATTGACTTTAATTGTAATAAAAATTGATTTCTTATATTTTAAAGGTAGAATTATTATTCTTATTAATTTCATATGTTTGGTAAAACATTTTTAAAGCTTAACATTTTGTCTTCTTCAAAAGAAAGATACATTGAATATTTTAGACTTTGTAGGCCTCTACAAAGAGAAAAAAGGAGATAATACTGAAAATGTTAACAATCCAATATAAAGTATGAAAGAAAACAAAAGAATCAAAGATATACAACAGTAAACACACACAGGCACAAAAGTACATGTAGAAATATGTTCAAATATATTAGCAATCTTAATAAATGTAAATATATGAAATTTATCGCTTAAAGATAAATTTTTGTTATAGTAAAAAAACAACTTTATACACTGCTTAAATAATAAACACCTAAAGTAAATTACACTAAGGATTAAAAATAAATGCAAATCAAATATGAATTACAATGTCTGATGAAGACTGTATGCGTTCATTCTAAAGTGAATATGGAAGAGAAAAGAACCAAGGATTTCCTTATTGAATATCAAGAATTATTATCAAACTCTAGTAGTTAAAAGCTGTGGTATCTGCATAGGAATAGATAGTTTAATGGAAACAAATAGAGAACTTAAAAACATAACCACAGATACAGGTAAATCCCACATCTAACCAAAAGAGAATTATAAATCAAATAAACTTTTCAAGAACCATAGTTTACTTTCTACAAGAATAAAATAAAATCTTGTCATTATACTGTGCCTCAAAATTAATATCAGGTCAATTAAAAATTCAAATAAAAAAATTTAGTTACAAATATACAATAACATTTTTTAAACTGCAAAGGTAGTTTTTCTCAAACATGACAGCTTTATCATAAACCATTAAATAAGTCAGTGAATTGATGCATTATAATTAAAAGTTGTATAAAGTAAAAATTAAAAATATAATTAAAATTTCATTTTTATAAGATAAAATGTCCAGAAACCAAAATTGATAGAAAGCTGTGTCCCCTGGGCTAACGGCCCTACTTGCTTTATATGTAATTTTACTCCTTAAGGGTTGGCCTTTGCTATTTTTGTGTTTGCTGTAGGACAATCAGTGGGCTGAATCAAACTTACAGCTTGCTTTTTAAAGAAAAGTAGTGAAGGCCAGGCGAGGTAGCTCATGCCTGTAATCCCAGCACTTTGGGAGGCCAAGGCGGGCGGATCACGAGGTCAGGAGATTGTGACCATCCTGGCTAACACGGTGAAAACCCGTCTCTACTGAAAATACAAAAACAAAATTAGCTGGACGTGGTGGCGGGCGCCTGTAGTCCCAGCTACTCTGGAGGCTGAGGCAGGAGAATGGCGTGAACCCGGAGGGCCGAGGTTGCAGTGAGCTGAGATCGCACCACTGCACTCCAGCCTGGGCGACAGAGCGAGACTCTGTCTCAGAAAAAAAACAAACAAAAAAAGGAGTGACCTAAAAGAAGCTTTTGAGTATGTTTTGATAGAGTCTCCAGCCAGCGTTCAGTATTATTTTGGCTGCTCTCTGGCTGTTCAAGGGCTCATTTTTCAATAGATTATCTCATTAAAGAGACTTTTATCTATCTCATCCTCTGCCCAGAAGAAGCCATTATGCTTTCCGGTTCTAGTCCTTTAAGAACAGAGGAAGGGAGGTACACTTCACTATCAATCTGGGCCCAACCAGTTATACTGGGAATTTTATATTCATTACCTAGAGAAGAGGAGAGAATGGAGAAAGAAAGTTGCTAAAAATTACTGGTGGTCAGGCTTACTGTGTGGATTTTACAGAATTACAAGGGTTCTGAAGCAGGCCATAAATGGGTTGGATGATACTACTAAATTTTTTACACCTACCCTCAGTCTAGAAACAGCATCTTGATGGAGTTGCATATAAATTCTAATTCTGTGTTTCTTAAATTCAATGTAATAGCTATCTCTAAATTTAATTAGAGGCGTCATTTCAAAAGTTCACTTGTGTAAGCTTCTCAGATATCATACTAGTACCAATGTATTGTCTTTATTATCTGTTAAAAGCATTTACTTCAAAAGACATAAGACATATAATTTTAAGTGTTGTTATGGATATATTTTCTGAACTCATCTGAATACTCTACCTAGATTAGTGTATTTTTTGTTGACAGATTATCAAGAATTTGAAAGCTCATGGTGTAACTGTGCCTGGAACACATTATATATCCAATAAGCACTTTTTACTGTTATATTATAAAACACTATGTTGCTGCTTTCTTTTCACCTTTCTTCAGTTTTTTTTTTTCTTTCAAAATCTGATACAATTTAGTTAAAAAAAAATCTTTTACCTGTTGCCTCTTTTTCAAACTTGAGACACTGGTCCAAAATAAAATGTAAGTTATATGTCTCTTGCTGAAAACAAACTCAATTTCTGCAGTATTATTTGCTCATGACTTGGGTTCTGACCACTGGCTATGATTGACCACATAACCAGATGAAATAGTTCCAGTAGCTTTAGAGTTTTCTTGCAGGGTTTCAGCTCTTCTTGTCTGTTTTGGTTAAACCACTAGGAATGTCCTCAAGTCTTCAGTTGAGTGAGCAAACGTTCATCTACAAGGATAGTTTACTCTCCACTTTCCATATTTTCTAAGAAAACATGGAGACTTTGATTCTGAGAAACTTTGTGAGAATCTTTATAGTGCAACTAAGCATTAACCTATCTTCCCTCTTTCCCCTGCACACCAGGATGGCCACATCTCTCTTTCTGGGATCTCTCTGGAAAATATCTTGGGTCTTAATTACTTCTACTAACTGTGGACTATTCTCAGACTCTCCACAGTATTCTGAGAATGAACTAGAATTCCTCTGAAACTTAGCTGACCCCTATGAATGGGCAAGTTTTCCCCGTGGCATTTCAGTTTTAAATACAGAGGAAATTAAGTTGTTCCCTGTGCAGCACTTCATTGTTAAACTGTAACAGATTTTTTTTTCTTGTACAATAAATGTAGGTCCAGATTTAAAGAACACAGGCTGCTGGAGACCTTGGTATGGAATAGGTTGAATTTAAAATCTGTCTGACATTGACAAAATTGCAATGATTTTTTTTAATAGCAAATAAAATCTGTAACATAGTACCTCTGGGATTTTAAGCAAAGTCAGTCCTAAGAGCTGTATTCTTCCTTAATTTACATTTTAAGTGCTCATCAAGGTAGAAGGCAATGAATTCAGAAGACAGAGCCTATAATAATTTTCCCTTCTCTTGAACCAGGGAAAGATCTTCAAGGTCATATAATGTATTATGATTTTCAAACTTTTAAAACATCACTTTTCCACATTACACTACGCAAACTTAGGTGTAGCTTACGTACAAAGTAAGGCAATAGGCCTTTTATGCCACACACATATGAAATGTGCAATAAAGTACATAAAGAGTGTTTAGGAGAAAAAGTTTTAATTTGCATGATAACATCCATTTGCTACCTACTTTGAGAAGTAATAGAATATGTTTTCTTAACTTTCAGCTTATATTACTATGACATACAGATGTTGTTCCTTAAATTTTTATTGAAGATAGTATTGAAAATAAATTTAAAAAAACAAAAATTCAACATTGTCAGTCTGATTATTTCTGTTTTCAGAAATTTAACATAACAAACTTGTAGTTTTAAGAGAGCAGGTGAGAAAAGGAAGGTGGAAAAAGAAACTACAAGACCATGACTAGGAAATGAAGTGAAATCATGAGAATATTGTTTGTGTTTGAAACTAAAGGGAGGAAAGATCAAGTACAGTAGTGACCTCCAAGCAAACAATTTAAGTGGATTAGTTAGTGGTAGAAGCGGGGAACAGTGGGTTGAGAATGTTAATGCAAGTGTTAAGAAAATCAGTTTATGAGCCCAGCCACAAGTAGAATGATGTCTTTTGACTTTTAACCTATTGTTCTTTCTACTATAGTATGTTGCTGCTATTAAAAGTACTTTTTCTGAATTGGTACAGTTTTGAGAAATAAAGTTAGCCCTTGAATGACACAGGGTATAGGGTGCCAACCCCGTGCACAGTATAAAATTCAAATATAACTTTTGACTCCCCCCAAACTTAACTATTAATAGCCTACTACTGACCAGAAGAAGCCTTGCCTATAACATAAACAGTCAATTAGCAGGTACTTTGTATGTTATGTTAATATATGTTATATTCTTACAATAAAGTAAACTGGAGAAAAGAAATGTTATTAAGAAAACCATAAGGAAGAAAAATATATTTACTATTCATTAAGTGGAAGTCAGTCATTATAAAGGTCTTCATCTGCATCATCTTTATGTTGAGTAGGCTGAGGAGGAAGAAGAAGAGAGGTTGGTTTTGCTTTCTCAAGGATAGCAGAGGTAGAAGAAAATTTGTGTATAAATGGAACCGTGCAATTCACACCAGTCTTGTTCAAGGGTCAATATTGAAGTAACTTTTTTTTAGATACTGTCATATATAAGCAAAGCTGATACACAGTAGAGAAGAGCTAAGTACAACATACTGAGATATATCACATTATTTTGGCCATATTAGGACATCATTTTAACCAGTCATTTTACACCATGATACAGACCTCCGCTTTCAGCAAGGTGGGAGACTGATGGTCCATTCTGTGTGTATACCAACATACATAATCCCCAGTTCTGAAGGCAGACAATATGTTTTTTAGTTTAAAAATGGACATGTAGAATTAGTTTCAATTCAGTCAATATGTAATGCACCTTTTCACTATTGAATCATGAATATATTACAATGCAGTCCAGGGACTTGTTTTGAGAGGTAAAAAATGAGTCACTATATGTTGTATTGCTTTTTTGGACCTAAATTTGAGATATTAGTATATAAGATTTGAAGTCCCAGCCTACTGTAATATTATGCAACTTAAAAGAAATTTCCTTGGCTAAGTTTTAGTAAAGGTTTGTTCTGTTTCAAAGTTGTCAAAAATGCTTTAAAGTATATATGCTATACTATATATAACCATCTCTGTATAGCTATAATTATAAACATCTATATGTTTATATATCTATATATCAATAACTAAATGTATATTTACATACAAATTCAAAATTATATATATTTATATACAACCATAACTGTAACCATCTTTGTATATAACTAGAACCATAACTATATATAAGCATACTCTCAGTGAACATCATTGTGAGAAACCAAATGTATGAACCAAAAACTCCAAAACTTCTACTCAAATAGATGATTCTATAAAGATGGTTACTATGATGTCCTTTCAGTTGACTTTAGAAATTCTAGTGAGTAGTAAAAACAATTTTACTATGCTTCACAGAGACATAGCTGTTAAAAAATTTCTTAGACACTAAGCACTTGTACATGTGTGTTTTTTCTTTCCATAGTGAAGAGGTTATAGTCAGGTATGCTGTAGTATTTTTTAAAATACTATGCTAGGAATAAGGACAGCTGTATTCTAGAACCACTTTTTATCATGAGCATACTGTTAACTTCACTTTTTGTGATAACTGCAACTTAATTTTTTGACTCACTTCACAGTCAATTCAAATATTTTCAATTATGTAAAGAATAATAAAAATCACTTAATGTATACCTACTCTTTCAAATTAATTTCACTTGTTCTCATTTACTTCAAATATTAAAAGAAGGGGTTGGACTAAGTCTCTAGGATGGTTTTCAGTTCTGTTCTCTTGTGTTCTATGATGTATTATGTTGTTCTTAAACATTTTGCTTTAAAATGTGTTTTTGTGTACCAAAGGAGTTAATATAACTACAATATAGTTTTTCAAGGTGTGGATGGTTTTGGACAACAAATATTTACCACATAACATGGTTCTAATAATGTGGGGCTTTCGTAAGTACCATTTGTTTAAAGCAGAGTATAAACATTTCTATTTGAAACAAAATAATGGAACTAAGAGTGAATACTTTCTCCTAATGCAAGCTCAAATTCCTGTACGTTTTACATCTCAGTACCTCTAAAATAACAATGCAATTATTTTATCTACATTTAGCCTCAAATTAAGCTGGTGATTGAAAGGTATAATTGATTACAATTTGGAAAGTTTGTTCCTCCAAATTAATGACTGAGATGTCACTGAAGAAAAATTTTCTCCTTTTTTGAAAGGGTAAAATTAAATTAATGGTCTTAATTCTTTTTATTTATTACTTAAAATTATATTCTTATCCCACATACTAAGAAAAAAAGTGTACTGTGTATGTTGTAATCTTTCAACATGGAGCACTGCATTGAAAAATGTTGGATATTTTCACAGTATGGACCAATAAGACAAATAATTTAAAACTAGAGATGGAGGATACTAGAGCCTGGGAAGGGTAGGGATAAGGGGGCACAGGGACAGATTTGGTAAATGATATAAAATTAGAGCCAGATGGGAGGAATAGGTTCTAGTGTACTATAGCACTGTAAGATGATTACAGTTAACAGTAATATATTATGTAGTTTCAAACAGCTAGAAGGAAGCTATTGAATGTTCTCAACACAAGGAAATGAATGTTTAAGGTGATGGATATGCAACTTACCCTGATCTAATCATTCTACATTGATATTAATATTATGCCTATACATTAAAAATGTACCCCATAAATGGGTATAATTTTTGTCCCAATTTAAAGCATAAAATCCTCTGTAAAAAAGAACTGAAAAAATTACCATGTTTGCTAGTGTTTTCATATAGATTTGGAAGGCCTTTTACATACAATCTGGACATAGCAGTCACATGGCTAGTTGCATTCATTATTACAGCATTTGTTTAACTTGTATCTTCACTTACCTTGATCTAAAGCAAATTTAAGTGAAATGTTCCCTCTTCCAGAAGTATTCAGTATGAATAATTAGTTGTTTTTTCTGTGCAGATAGTTCTTGTACAGGAAGTATCTTTTATCTGATTCATTGTGTGCACCTTTTTTTTTTTTTAAGAGAGATAGGATCTCACTCTGTTGCCCAGGCTGCAGTGCAATGGTATGATCATGGCTCACTGCAGCCTCAAACTTCTGGGCTTACGCAATCCACCCACCTAAGTCTCCCAAGTAGAGTAGCTACGACTATAGGTGCACACCTACATTTCTGGCTAATTTTAATATATTTTTTAGAGAGGGGGTCTTGCTATATTGCCCAGTCTGGTCTTCAACTTGAATTTCTGGCCTCAGGAGGTTCTCTCACCTTGTATGTGTGTCTTAAAAGTAGTATTAAATAACAAGAATAAATCAGATTTTATTATAGTCAGCCTTGCTACTAACTTTTTAAACTTGGACATTTCATCTGTATAAGCTTTTATTTTTCTTTATGGTAGTCATATATAGGCAATAATACTTACTGAAAATATTTTTGGAGAATTAAGTACCATCTGGTACTACCCTACTATATCTAGTAGGATGTATAGGATCTGTTTTCCCTTTCTTGCTCTTCTTTATGGATATACAACATGAAAGGCAGTAATTCCTTGTTTTTGTTGTAAATGGTGCTAGTTAGAAAAAGTATTTGCAGCTGGTACAATGACGGGGCGGCAGCCAATTCTCTAATGAGGAGAATGTGCTGCTTAATGGAGAAAATCCACTTCTCTGAAAGAGGGAATCCATTGCTCTTATAAAACTGGACTCTTCTCACGCCTGTAATCCCAGCACT
The DNA here is from genome assembly GCF_000001405.40 of Homo sapiens. Taxonomy (NCBI): domain Eukaryota; kingdom Metazoa; phylum Chordata; class Mammalia; order Primates; family Hominidae; genus Homo; species Homo sapiens. Next base: position 162,118,522 of record NC_000004.12, on the reverse strand, counting down.
TTGGGAGGCCGAGCGGGGCGGATCACGAGGTCAGGAGATCGAGACCATCCTGGCTAACATGGCGAAACCCCGTCTCTACTAAAAAATACAAAAAATTAGCCAGGCGTGGTGGCGGGGCCCTGTAGTCCCAGCTACTCAGGAGGCAGAGGCAGGAGAATGGCGTGAACCCGCAAGGCGGAGCTTGCAGTGAGCCGAGATCGCGCCACTGCACTCCAGCCTGGGCGACAGAGCGAGATTCCGTCAAAAAAAAAAAAGACTCTTTGGAGAATGCTTTTTCCTAAGAAAAATATTAAATTAGAATTCAACCACAGAGTTCACAGTAGTAGGTGTGTAGTTAAAGTGTCTCAATAGATGAAAATAACTGTTACAACAAACAAACTTGCCTGATGGATGTTAGAGAAGCCACTCCGGTCCTTCCAATTCCGGTTAAGGTAAGGAATAAAAAGCTTTTCTGTCCTTGACAAGGGAGGTTTTTCCCAAAAGAACTTCCCATTGAAAGCCTAGTTTTGATCCAAGTGTAAAAGAAAGGGCTTTTTGCGATAACTGCAACTTAATTTTTCGACTCACTTGTCAATTCAAACAAATATTTTCAATTCCATAAAGAATAATAAAAATCACTTAATGTGTACCTACTATTTCAAATTAATTAATTTTTATCAATTTATTCATTATTTTATTTACCCAAAAATATTTATTGAGATTATACTGGGGGCCAAGTACCACTTTAATTTACAGAAATGATTAACATAGTTCTGTCTTTACTGAGTTAACTTTGTGGTTGGATACAGAGAATAAACAAGCCAATAGCCAGGTAGCAATTCAGATGATGAGGAGAGCTGTGGCTTCCAGTCATTTCATTTGAATAAAATTTTTCATCTCTTATTTTTCCAAATTTACCATTTCAGTATTCTTATTTTCTAGAAATATATAATGTGTTTCGACTAAACCTGCCTGACAGCATAGTCTTTGGACCTCTTCTCCTCTCTAATCACATCCTTCTCCTGTCTCGCACCTAGATTGGATGATTTATAAATGTTAAGAACCCCAAACAGGTATCTCTAGCCCATATCTCTTTGCTAAACTCCGGGTTCCTATATCCCAATGCTTAGCTAATATCTCCATTTGGACTACCAAAAGGCATCTCCAAAAAGAAAATGCCATTTGCTCTCCCAAACCTGTTATTCCCCCTTTCTCTTCTCCAACTTGATAAATCTACTCAGATGGAATAATCTGGTACAGGTGCTACACTATATTGGATCGTAAATCCCCTCTGACAGATGGGGCCCACCCAGGGTAATCAGTTTTGCTTAGGTTACACAGTAAGACCCAAGGTAGTCTAGAAGTCAGTTTTCCTGTCTCACAGAATTCTAGGATACCAGAAAAGAAAAAAGGCACTAGTGAGCATTTACAGCTCTTTTCTGCTGCATAATAAAGCCAGAAGTCTGTGGAATGTAAGAAACTTGCTAGACTGTGGGTACTAGTTTAGTACATCTAAACTACTTTCTTTTACATCTTTGTAAGAGTGATAGCCTTTCTAAAAGCAATAGCCACAGTGTGAGGTGAAGTCACATAAGAAAGATACAGAAAAATTGCAGCAGAGAACAGAAAGCCTGGGTAATGTCAGAGAAGGTCTCACAAAGAATCAGGTTGGACTTACCTCTGAAAAGACCCATAGAATTTTTCTAGGACAGGGTGAGGAGTTTTCCATTATGGAGTTGTGGCAGGGTAAGTAAGGCTAGGAGGCCATACCGATGTCTCCCTTGTGTGAAGCCTCGCGGGCTCTTTTCCCTTGCACCTTCCTGCATCAGCCTCTAACTCTTTTAAAAGGTAAGCGGTCCTACAGGATACCAGCAGACCACCAAAAGACTACAGCTTCCTGATATCTAGCACCGCCTGGGAAAGAGAACAAAAGCCCCTTATTCCTGATGTAGCCTCCCCAACCTCCAGCCAATTAGCACCAAAAGCCCAAGAAGCTATTAGCTACAAATTCCTGCCTGCGGGTGGGAGTTGGGTGGCAGGGGGCAGGGACTTCTCTGGGGTCTTGCATGCACAGCTAAGCTCAAGATTTAACTTATAGTAACCCTTTCCTCATTTTAGTGGTAAAAGCCCACACCTACGTGGAGATTTTATATGCTAACGGTACATGCGAAGTGTGTTACAGCATGTAGATACTGAGCGCATGAGCCAATTAGAGGTCGGCCTTGGCACACGTTACTTCAGCAGTATTTTATGAATATTCACATACAGCTCCCATAAAAGAAATTCCTCTTAAGGCACTAGCTGCAGCCTCACCCTTTGAGCAGCCTGCTCTACGTCTCACAGTGCACTGCTGCTTTGCAATAAACTTCTTTGCATACTCTTACTTTGAATTTGCTCTCAAAGTCTTTTGTGCCATTAAGTCAAGAACCTGAAATGGCCCACTCACAACAGAGTGAGAGGCAGGTGAGGATACTTAACCTCTCTGCAACAATTGATAATGTTGGAGATTTTGCTTCATCTCGACACTCTTTTCATTCAAAGGCATGCTACGACACTTTTCTTCTTCTCAAATGCTGCATTTTATTCTTAAGGCAATGCTTCAGTGGTCTTAGTTTTCCCAAGTGATTAGAAGTGACATTCTGGAGAATATGTAAACATATCAAAATCCCTCAAATTTGAATCTACTAAATAACGTAATTACTCTAAATCCTACCCCCAGCAAGCAGCATGGCATGTTTTGCCATGCGGAGAAAATAAAAATGGCTTGATTCAAAGAAACATATTATCTTTTGAAGAAGAGAGATCTCTGCCCACCCCCTCACCATTTTAAAGTCTCACTTTGTTAGATCTGAAGTTAGGCAGATACTTTTAGATACACATGCATTTTGTTTTCTTCAAGTTAATAATGAGGTTGTTTTCTGATGCTTTCCTGTGAAGATGGAGGTTACAAGGAAAAGTCACAGGATCATTATTGCACCATCTGTTCCAGCTGGTTTGTTTTAGTCACGTGCTTTTCAGTGTTGTCAGTGAGCTGTCAACAAACTGCCAATTAATTCTGAAAACCTAACAGGTTGTCAGAGGTTACTATACTAAGAAAGTGAGATTACGACACTGTTTATGGTGGGATCGATTACTGCTGATTTACAAAAAATTTCCAGAACACTTTCTGTGGATGAGTGAACTTTTAAAGATATAATAATGATATATTTGGATTTTGTATCTAAAGAGAAATAAGAAGATGATCATGATTCTCTGAGCATACATTGAGAAGAGCCATTTTTTAATTTAGGTTACTGTTTGATAACTATATAATTGGATTCATTTGTTTTTCTTAGTAATATTTCAATGAAGAAAAAAATTACAAAGTAGTTATTTACAAAAGAGGAGCACAGAAACTAGGTTTTGTTCTTTCTCTGGTCTTTTTTGGCTATTACCTCTGCACTGCTGAGCTCAAATGCCTATGTGTAACAGAAATCAGAGTTTTCCTAAGGAAAACTGACTTCTGACGATCTGACTTTTAATATTAGTTCTGTTTAGTTTTATTTGTGATACCAGTAAATCAATCCAGTCATATCATAAATTTTGCTGAGGTAAAGCATATATGTATATTTATTTTTGTATAACTTTGTATTACTGAGAAATTTGGGACTTGGAAATCTTAGGACTATCAATGAAAACAATTAATTATGATTAATCATATAAGAGATGTAGATGAAAATAGCACAAATAGGTTGCCTATACAGCCTTGAAGATTTACACACTGACTTATTTGTATCGACTTTTAGTGAAATGTAAGGTAGATATTTCTAGCTTACTGCCTTTGGGTAGATAAAATATTTCAGGATAATGTTGATCTAAGTCTGAATGCATGGGATCTAACAGAAGCTTTATAAGATTTTTAGTAACTTATTAAAGTTAGTTGTTAATTTGCTCTATATTTTATAATGCATGAAATATTTGTAGTCATATAGAATATGTGTGTGTGTGTGTGTGTGTGTGTGTGTGTGTGTGTGTCCACACACAAAGAGAAAGAGAGGGAAGAAGAGAGAGAGAAAAGGAGAGGGAGGGCAGAGAAAGAGAAATCTTAACTGAGCACTTTAAAGAAATTTCTGACCTCACTTGTACTCAGTCAGGGTGGAAGGAAGTTGTTTTCATGCCTCTTTCTTGACTCTCCTCGTGGACAACAGAAGCAGCAGATGTATTCAGAACCTTGTGGAAAATATCTCTTAACTTGAGCTGGTCCTTTTTGCTTTATTTTTGGCTCTATCTTGGATTTAATATCTTCCATCCAGATGTCTTATAAACAAATATTTACCTCTGAGAAAAGGATTAGGCTATACATCAAAATGACAAAAAAAAGGGGGATGGGTTGCAAATGAAAATATTTAGTTTGCTCAGGTTAGTTTTCAGAAGCTTTGTAGCATCAGTGGAAATAGGAATTGCATTCAACATTATCAGAATGTAAGGAAACATGATCTTTATTTTATCCTTGAATGCAGAATGACATTTATGCATTCATGTATTGTTCTGGGCTATTTGCTAGGCCCAGGTGATGTAATGCTGAAGAAAACAAAAATAAAAGCAAACAATTTCCTGCATTAACAAAGTTTGGATGAGAAAAAAGATATCTAATGGAGAAGACCCACATTTTTCAAATAATCATGGTTATGATTTATAATTACATCCCTGAAATGAAGGAAAACTGATCTATGGGAATGCGTAACTAAAACAAGTAACTCAGGGAAGGGATTCTTGAGAGAAATGTCTGATGTGTGAAAGTTTTTGGGTGATAAATGGGGCAGGGGGAAAGGGCCATATTTCAAGTGGAGAAAATACCTTACAAAAGCCTTATAGCAGAGACAGGCAAAATAAGTTCAAAAAACTGAATGAAGTTTAGTGTCGCAGGAGGTGATATCTAGAGGGAGAGAGAAACACATAGAGCTCAGACACTGGGAACTTGTCAGCTAGGTCAGGGATTTTGGTTTTTATCTTAAAAGTACGTGAAAATATGCTAAAGTTATTAATGAGTGCAATAACATGATCACTCAGGCTCTTGTGTGGAGAGTGGACTTAAGATGCATATATAGAAATGTGGAAGACTAGCGAGGATGTGGTTGGGGCAGTTTAGGTGAGAAGCGTCTTGACAGCTTGCAATAGAGTGGGGACCGTCAATTTGGAGGGGAAGCAAAGTTTGGGAATGTATTTAGAAGGTAGATATAAAAGAATTAATGATGAGTTTAATCTAAAGGGTAAACAAGAGATATCAAAGATGTTTCCTTGGTTTCTGGTTTAAGTACACAGATGAATGAAAATCTGGAAAAGTGTGGTGTTATGTGAAGGTGTGCATACTACGAGGGCTGTTTTTGAAACATGAAGGTGGAACTGTTAAGTAAGCAAGATATACCAATCTAGAGGTTGGGTGTGAAGCAATATATATAATTAAGACCAGAGATGATGTTGAGATAACCTGGGCTGAATGAATGAAGCAGGAATACAGGTAGCTAGCAATGAGATTTGATAAACCACAATATTTAATGGCAAAATAAAGCAATAGGCTGAACCTACTAAAGGACTGAGGAGTTTTCACAAAATCTACAGAAACAGAAGAGAGAAGTGTTATAAACACCAAAGAAAGTGACAATTTCTTCCACAAAACAACAACAAGAACAACAACAACATGGAATGGCCACCATACGTCTTGTAAGAATGGATTAGGAATGCCCACTGGTGTGTGTGTGTGTGTGTGTGTGTGTGTGTGTGTGTGTGTGATTGTGTCGGTTAGCTTTGAGAAAGCTAAAAAGTCAGTTTAATGGCCTGATGAGGTCAGAAGCGTGACTGAGTGAACTAGGGTAAGAAAAAATGGATGGAATGATGTATATATAACTATTCCAGAAATTCAGAAAGTAGAGGAGAGAAGTTACCTTCAAACACAGGCCATTTCTGCCTGTCTAAAGATGGAAGAAAATAATTGAGAAAGGGAGTTTAAAATTCAGTCAAGAACCAGACTCAGTGGCTCATGCCTGTCACCCCAGTGCTTTGGGAGGCCACGGCAGGAGAAGCACTTGACACCAGGAGTTCAAGACTAGCCTGGACAAGATAGTGAGAACCTGTCTCTGAAAAGTAAAAATAAAACATTAATTCGGCCTGATGGCACACGCTTGCCATTCTACCTACTGGGGAGGCTGAGACAGGAGGGTCATTTATGGTGCCATTGCACTCCAGCCTACATAACAAAGTGAGACCCTGTCGCTAAAACAGACCCAAAATACAGCATAGAGCAATGCTAATCAATTGATTAAGTTTCCCAAGAAATCAGACATAACAGATTGGCTTTGACAGAAGAAAAAGCTGCTCTCTGTCACAGTAGGGAAGGAGGTGTGTTGGCGAAAGTGATAAAGCAGGATATACTTGAACTCAAAGCTTAGATTTGTATGTTTGAAAAGGACTTAGTATTTATACAATAATGAGTTTATGCCATTTTACAACTTATTTATATCCAAAAACATAGAAAGGCTGAAGTAGACATAAAACTTTTAGTTTAAAGTGCTTGTAAAGCAATTTTCTAGGAAATGCCTTTTTAAATACTGAAAAAGTACATTAATAACTAAATATAATCCACCTGCATAACTTCTGTTGTACTCAGTTAATTTATTAAGTACTACCTATCATAGACTATCTTATTAACTTCTCATCAATATTTACCAGTGAATTATAATAACGGTAAGTCTATTAAGATTTGTTCATCAAACATACTCAAAGTTCAATATTTATATATTAATAATTGTATTCTGTACCGATAATTAGAAAATTAAGTATAATGCAATATTTTCTCTATTTTCCCCTTTTCTTTCAACCTTTTTTTATTAACTTTTTTCTTACCACATTTTTATCAGTCCCTATATTTCTTCTCATTCCATATTTTATATAGCTGTCTGAATGAAAAAAAGTATTTGTTATGATCAAAGGAATAATCCGTATTTGGAGATACTCACTTCTCATTTCCCTTGGCAACTACCAGCAAGTTTTGATTAGATTAATGGAGATTTATATGTGATATTAAATATTTCATGATACATGTTTTTTAATATATAATTCATTTTCTCTGATTCCTTGCAATTTTAATTTTGACAGGTGAAAAGCAATAAGGATGTTTAAGTGCTGGTCAGTTGTCTTGGTTCTCGGATTCATTTTTCTGGAGTCGGAAGGAAGGCCAACCAAAGAAGGAGGATATGGCCTTAAATCCTATCAGCCTCTAATGAGATTGCGACATAAGGTACAGTCAATATTCTGAATCTGCTCATAGTGCCTGCCAATTATAAACTAAGCTATTAGTTTTCTGGTTTATTATTCACTTAGGAGCACTTATTTCAGAATATGCTTTCAGTAGTTTCCATATTATTTTTAAAATGCACATTTTAATACATGAAATAGCAGTAAATTTGGAAATTTACAATTTCGAGAACTACTTCTTGACAAAGAATAGAGATAGCCCATTAAAAACATAATTATTAGAATTTACCTACAGTAATACTAATAAATTTATAAAGAAGTAAATATGAAACCCAATCTACCAGATAATTTATATTACTCCCATATTAATTGTGATTTTAGAAGATTTTAAACTAAATAAGTGTTATGTCCTATGCTTAGCTTTGTTATAAGATAAACAAAAAATTATCTACACTGTCTGCAGATATATAGGTTAGCAAAGGATTTCTTTCCATAGAAATTTTTAGAAATTTTCACAATATGGGGTTTTCTAATGTTGGACAAATACTCCACTTTTTATGTTAAATGTTTTGAAGTATAAAATAAACTGATATTTAGGCATATAATAAATTATAAACATTAAATACTTATAATAAATTAAGCTAATGTTTTAACAGCAGTCCATGATACTGAAAATAATATTCTCAACTTTTTATTAAATCACATAAAATTTCATAATACATTTTTGAGTTTTAAGAAAGTAGGAAAAACATCAAAAATAACATACTAATTATTGGAGAAAACTTTATATATTTGTAAAATTTCGTATTCAACTTGTCTATAAGAAAGACTTTTGAAATAAACAAATAGATTTTTTTTCCCCTTGGAATTAATATATGCATTTACACTGCATATATTTTTGCTGAAATTATTTTGTAAGTATCAAATATTTTGATAAAATAGCCAATCTTTACTGGGACTTTTGTGTACCAGACATTAAGCTAAGCTCTTCAATGTATTATCTGATTTAATCTTCAAAGCAATCTTATGAAGAAGTAACTATTTTCATTTTATAGGCAATAAATTAAGTCACAAAAAGGTGAAGGAATTTTCTAAATGCACACATTTATTAAATATATTAATTGGGATAATATGAAGGATAGATTCGATAGTCAACAAAAAAGGAAGTAAGTATAATGTAAAAATATACTTTAATGTCAAAATCATTGTAAAAATTCAGTTACATGTGAAAATAAATAAGTTTTTAAAGTATCTAGTCTTGACATATGCAATTGGAAAATTGCCCTTAACCTACCACTTTTCAATTATCAATGCTTTCTCCTACCTCATGGACTAATAATCAGTTTTATCCCCAGCTGAAGTTTAGAAATAATAACTCTTAATGTTCTCAGAACACATTATTAATATAGCAATTTGGTATATATTGTTATGTACCCATTGAATATTTATTCTGTGCTGTTTGTCTGCCCTAAGTTATGTGTCTTGAAATGAGGAATTATGCTTTTCTTTCACATCCTTTTATTTCTGGTGCTGTGAACATAAGAGACACTGTTTAATTAAATCAACGGCAGAAAAATGAATGCATGATGATGCTTTTCTGATTGTTCCCTTGCTAAATATCATACCACCGGTTTTAATGTGTTAGTATATACCTTTATAAACAAACTATTTTCAATTATGTTTGGATGCTAAAGAAAAACTTATGTGTTGAGGTTTAGTAAAGCTTTAAAGAAATAACACACTGAGTTAAAGTTGTTCGAGAAGCACTAATACCTACCAAAAATCATTGAAGTCACCTTCTAATATTTTATATATCTGTATGTCTTTATGGCTAAATAGAAATAATAAATGACTGTTGGTTTTAAAAGTAGAGACAGAGAATGCCTGGTCATATCTAACTTTCAAACAACTTTGAGCAGAGATGAGATTTGGTGAATGTGTGTGTGTCTGTTTGTGTGAGAAAGTGTATGTTTGACAGGAATGACTAGGAATCCTGGGTTGTACAAGTCCCTGTAAAAACCCCATCTTACACTTTGTACTCATTGTCAACCCTCATATTCAGCCCTCAGGAATTACCTTCTTTTCTCTGACACCTTGAAGATTGTATTAGAGCTTTTATTTCTGTTTGTGTCAGTCAAGATTAGGATCCCAGAAATTTCTGGCCTTCCTTTTCCCACTGATTCCCATTATGAACCCACTGGGTCCATACATCGCATTATTGGTGAGACCTTACCAAACAATGATTGAAAATGACAAGCCAAAAACATTCCCTATCAATTTCTTTGATTTGTTTTCATCCACAAAACTCGACACCATTTGTCAAGACATATACTTTACGTATTTTTTAGTTTGTTGGATGTTTTCTTTCATTAGGATGTGAACTACTTTTCATCTTGCTCCAAAATAAGGATAGTATTGGGCACATGGTACACGTTCAATAAATTATGGCGAACAAATGACTTTATCAGATGGCTCTAATAAGGCTGAAAACAAGATAACATATGTATCATATATACATATATATATTTCTATTTATCTAGTTAATAATTAAAATAAGTAAAATTTCTTTTTATTTATCAAACTAAAGTCAACAGCAGCACAATACTTCAAATTTTAAAAATAAATTATTTTAATAGCATCATACAAATTAATTTTCTCTTATTCATTATTTTTAACCTATATGATTTATTTAAATTGCAAAAATGTAAATATTTGTATTTTAAGACAAATAATGCAAAATCCATTTAGATTATATTTTGCTAATGTTAAATATTACTTATTGACTAGAAAAGTATAAAATAAATAATATACAAAATAGATCTTCAGGTCTGATAAGTCACATTTTACATTTTTCCTAGAAGAATGTAAGTACTTTGAATCTGAACAAAGAGATATATAGAGCTCATTTTTACCAAATATTTGTGTGCCAGCCATATAATGAATCCAATTTTGGAATCAAAAAGGAAAATATGAGACCTGTTTGTCAGATTACATTGAAATGTTGTAGATACAAATATAAAAATATGCAGGCATATCATTTACAACTATATGTAAACATAAATGTAATTGAAAATTTGTCTGTATCTTGAGATAGAAATGAATGACACAACAATCTATCATGCTAATTGTAGAAATCTTACTTATAATCCACAGATAAGAGAGGAAACCGATCATATGTTTTATCCCATGTGTTTACTTAACAAGCATGTATGGAACATCATATGTAGGAATTCATTCACTCTCTAGATTTGTAAAATACAATTACCAAATCCAAATTCCAAAAGTGGATTTTATTTACCATTTTAACTTAAATATTGCATACTCATATCATGCTAGGTGGTTTCATATACATTAATTATTGTAATTTATATAATAATCCTGGGATGTAGGGAATATTATTCCTGTTTATTCACATGGCATTATTAAAACCCAGAGAGGTAAAGTAACTTTACCAAGGACAAGAGAGAGTGAGAACTAATGAGGTCCTTAAAGGCAGGTAAAAGCAAAGGTAGGGCAGACATAGGGACGAAAAGGCCAGAAAATAAATAAAGACGATGATGATAGTAAAGCAAAATGACATTGACCTCAGGAGAAATATCTTATGTTCTTTCAGTTTGTTTTTCTTGTTCCTCCATAAGCACAACCATAGAATCCCCATGTCCATTTCTGAAATGAATGTCTTCTCCTGATGGTTGTTGCAGTCCTCATTTAGGCCAACCTCCCCATGAAGACTCACGAGGAAGCAATACTTAACCATCCTAATTGCAGGTCTGTGACCCAAAATCTGTGTGTGAGCACAGTGTAGTGACTATTGACAGTCTTGTGCATTTGTGAGAAAGTTCCTTGGACACTGGCAAATTTTGAGCCGTCTTTAGAATTAGTGTACTCAGAACAGCCATGATGAACTTGACTTAACATGTCACTGGGCATTGATTGTATAGCGGGTACTCTGTTAGCTATATTCCATACATTAGGTTACTTTATTATATGAATATTCTCATGGCATAAGTGATTTTATTGCTATTTTGTAAACGGGGAAACTGGAGTTCATAGATATTTACTAATTTCTTAATGTCACAGCTGGAAAGCCAGACAGCAGTATTTGGAGATACGCAGTCTAAATAACTTAATAGAGGTTACAGAATGAGTACTTTTGTAGTAATTTGGCCTGTATGCAATGTATTTCCTGTTCTCCCCACATTCATGTGATAGTAACATAGGCTTACATGTCTTGGCACTTTTGTGCTTGGTTAGGACCATGTGTCTAGTTCTGGCTAATGAGTTGGGGGCAGAAGTGCCATGCAATGCATCTGGGCTGAATTATATCATAATTCACATTGGATCACAATTGTAAAATCTTCCAGAACTCTCTTTTTTCTGAAGCATTGCAAACAGCGTCTGTTCAAGGTGGGGGCTACTTAAGTATTCCAAACTGCCTAAATAACTATGATGAGTAAAATGTCCTAACAATTAGAGATTGTCGTGGAATAAGAACTGAAGGGTTTTAAATCACTTCATTTTGTACATCATTGAGATTTGGGAGTTGTTGGTTATTTCATTAAAACCTTAGCGTTATCTGCAATCAAGACAGAACTAGAACTTAAACCCACATTACCTAATTACAAACCCTGTGCTCCTTTTTCTTTACCATTTTGGCTCCCTGTTTCATTTCTATTCTTGGCCTTTTCTTATTCTCATTTCTCCATTATCCCTTTCTTCTCACTACTTGCTTGGTTGTAATTTTCCATCCCAATTTAACCCCTGGCTATATTTATAATGATGTAATATGTATGTATTAATAGTTCAGCATATTAACGTGTATCTAATTGGTTGCTGGTTAAATCCTTTTGGGGTCAGTTACATAGCTTACAACCTTTTTTCTTAACTACAGTGCTGATCACACTGCTACATTGTTTGCTGATGATTATAATCAAAGTCAGGCTTGAGGGAAGATCTTATGAGGACAGACAAGAGTATTCTTTGAGTATACCTAGTGGGACCACTTAAAGTCCTTAAAATGCTTTTATCTCTATTTAACCAGATACTACTATGTCCAACTTTGTAGTGCAGAGCTACCTCCACAAATCTAAATTGACTTATGGTTCTCTTACTTACTAAATCAAAATGTTTATCTGTAAAGGTAGTTACTGAGCAAATGGGGCAAAGGGTGTACATGATTTAATAATTCCTAAGAGGGTTGCTATTTATGATAGTACAGTATAATTCAAAGAATTCCTTTGTGGGATGTGATTTTTTTAACTTTCGATATTAAAGAGTGATAGATGTGGATTGGTGAAGAGTGGCAGTAGAGAACTCTAGGGAAAGAGACAAACATTAAAGAAAACATCAAAACTTTGACTTCTTAGAGGGTGTGAACCTTCAGGCAGACCCAGGAGCATTATTTCCTGACTGAGGAAAAAATTTGCTATCGCTTCTGACGTATGTGATTGCTGGCAGCATATTCAAGAAAGGTCCTTTAAAATGTTAATGTATTTTGCAGAGGTCAGGAAGCAGTTTGGACCACCATCTGAGAGCAAATATGTCCTCGGTCAGAGGAGTTAAAAGAATATTAGTTGAAGAATTAATTAACTAAATAGTAAGGATTATACCAATTAATATATTGATATGTTTATTCTGTATATACCAAAAAGGCTGAATATTATTGATAAATCTCATAATTTTTCTAATAAAATAAATTATGTTTGAAAAATTTTTTATTTTTTTCTGATAAATTATATCTCATTATTAACTGACACCATCCTACCCGTTTTTGTGATTGTGCAAGAACTATTGAAGAATAATTAAAAAATCAGAGTCCTAGGTTAATAAGATCAAAGTACATGTAATAGTTCCGTATATTTTATAAATGGGAAAAATGAATCTAAAAAATATTTGAGTTTTAGCAAAAATGCTTTCTTAGTCATTTAAGAGGCCTAGGCAAAAATCAAATCACGAAGATGTTTGTAAAAGTTTCAGTTATGCAAGATGAATAAGTTTTGCATATCTAATGTACAGTATGGAGGCTATAATTAACACTATTGTATACTCAAAATTGGTTAGTAGGGTAGATCTTAAGTGTTCTCACCACACAAGCACACAGAAAGAAAATAAATGGTAAATATGTGAGGTAATGGATATGTTAACTGATGGTGATGATCATTTCAGAATGCATATGAAACATCAAGTTGTACATTTTAAATATATACAATTTTCTGTCAGTTTTACGTCAATAAATCTGGGGAGGGGAGAAAATACTAAAAGCAACTCGTTTTATTAGAAATACTCTCTACCTGGATTACCCATAGGCTAGATGCTTTTTTATTGTTAAAATTAACATGCTAATTGCCTGAAAGGAACTCTGTATTATAATGATGATTCTGTTGACAAGGGGTAGTATTGTTTTTTTCCTGAGGTCCTCTGTCCTCTTTTTACCTTCCAAGCTCTAGTCAGGCAGGGAAACATTTAAGCAAGCTTTACTTCAGTGAATGACTCTGAATAATATCAAGAATTGTGAAAGGTCTGAGATTTTATCCTCTTTGCAAGCTCTAAAGATAGCCTGTCACACATAGTTTCATGAGTAGTGATAGAAAACAGAAGACTCCTGGGTCAAAGACAAAGGACAGTTCATTCTTCACAGTAGTAGCGGTAGCCAGAGTGTCATCATTTGGGCTAGTTTTGTTAAGCCCAGTTTCCACAGGGCAATGCAGGTTACACTAGTGCACACCATAGAGTATGTTACACGAGAAGACCTGTGAGTTGAAGAACACCAGGTCTGTTGTATGAGCCTGTTTGTTCTTTGCTCCAGAGAAAAACATTCTCTTTATTATAGTGTTACAGGGGTCGGGGAGTGGGTCCTTGCTCTCAGAGCTCCCAAGATGGTGGCGGGCCGCTTCCAAGATGGTAGCCGGAGGCTTCCAAGATGGTGGCAAGCCTCGTGTTCTCTGACCTGGGGTTCTTGGCCTCATGGATTCCAAGGAATGGAGTATTGGGCCATGTGGTGAGTGTTATAGCTCTGTTGGAAGCCATTGGTCACGGAAGAGAACTGTGGAACCCAGTGACTAGTGTTCAGCTCCATTAGGATGAACCCAGGCACTTAGCCGTGCAGGAACAATGGCAAGCCTTTAGCCCAATAGGGAGTGGCAATAGGCGCCTCGCTGGATCAGGAGCACAGCAGATACCTTGCTGGATCCGGAGGGATGGAAGTCAGCAGTGGGTCTGCGATAGTGGCAAACAGCAGTGGTGGACGGCGAGCGAAAGCTCAGCTGGAGCCATAACAAACGCGGATCAGAAGAGTGCAGTTGCAAGATTTAATAGAGTGAAAACAGAGCTCCCATACAAAGGGAGGGGACCCAAAGGGGGTTGCCCTTGCCAGCTCTAATGCCTGGGTTTATATCCCGATCCTTGTCTCTCCCGCTGTGCTCTCAGGCAATAGATGATTGGCTATTTCTGTACCTCCTGTTTTTGCCTAATTAGCATTTTAGTGAGCTCTCTGATTGGTCGGGTGTGAGCTAAGTTGCAAGACCCTTGTTTAAAGGTGGATGCTGTCACCTTCCCAGCTATGCTTAGGGATTCTTAGTCTGCCTAGGAAATCCAGCTAGTCCTGTCTCTCAGTAGGGGACAGTAAGTGGTCATTTCCTTTGTTCTAAATGGAGATACAATTTCCATCTTACAAGGCTATGAATACACTAGCCTTTTGCTTCAGAGAGAGACATTTTCTGTATGTTCCAAGACTTTGCTATGTAAGCATCCTTGAACAGAGAGATGGTCCAGAACAAATGGAGGTTACTATCTCTGCTCACAAGATGTGCAGAAACTAATTATTAGAGACCCATGGAGAACTGGCTACCAATACACATTGAGAGTACCATGTATTACATACTGGAGGTCACAATTGCCACTAAATACATTTGCTTAAGGCCAAAGCTAAATGCTGTGTGCACAGAGTTAATCTGAAAACCAGGTATTTGTTTATAGCTTCATTCTACCTTTTACCTAGTTTTGTCCTTTTAAGAGTTTTAAGAAAATACAAAGTTTTGTTGACCTTTGAATGTGTTGTTTGCGTGTTTATTCCTTCAAAAAAACTTTATTTCCTATTCTAGAGAAAACTGGCATTCACTGGACTGAATTGCTTTGCTTAACTAAAGCAAGTAAATAAAGGGATATATCTGACTTCTAAAATTCTCAAGATAAAGACCTACTACAGAAAATCGTCTTTTGATCTTTGACAATGAGTCCCCAAAACAATATGATTATTATAGATCTGTAGGTGGTATGCAAAAACAGTTGCTCTTTTACACCTTTGTGACCCTACATTAAAATATTTTGCTTAAAGCTTTAAAAGTAACCATAACTTGACAAAATAGAGCTGCTTTCCTTGGCAAGTTTGAACTTTTGAAATGCTAAAAAAGTGTTGCATCAGCATTCTATTTACATCTATTCAACACAAATAAGACAAAGTAGGCAAATAAAGTCAAATGTCTATAGTATATTAAAGCCAAGCTTGTCCAGGAGTCCAGATCACTCCATATATAAATATATATATAAATATGTTATACATATTTATATATGTGTATATATGAATATAAATATAAATAAATATATATAAATATATAAATATTATATAAATATAAATATGTTATACATATTTTTATATATGTATATATAAATATACATATTTATATATGTTATAAATATTTTATATATAATATAATATTAAATATATATCTATTTTATATATATAAATATTATAATATAGATGGAGTGGGGTAAGAGAAAGTACTGTGTTTCAGGTCACTTGAAAATATATATTTGGGTGGTAGAAAACATCATATGTGCCAAAGGCTGGCACATAATTGGAGTGATCTGGACTCCTGACAAGCTTGGCTTTAATATACTATACACGTTTGACTTTATTTGCCTACTTTGTCTTATTTGTGTTGAATAGATGTAAATAGAATGCTGATGCATATTTATATATATAATTGTTTCAATAGTTGAAAAACTACATGGATTTAACCTTGTTTCCAGGAAGTCAGTGATCCTTTTATAGATAAAGAAGCATCAGAATATTAGGACACAGGTGAGTTAAGCAGGCTACTGTTTATTTTTTTTTTCTGTTGGACTTCCAAAGTCTTTTTACCATTAGATCTCTTTGTCTTTTCTCACAATTTCTGTGGAAACAGTAGTGCTAGATCATAATAATTAGCTAAAGAATAACAATCAACACACCTAAATCTGCATTAATTAAGTACTTTGTGCTTCCACCTATTCAAAAAATAAAATATAGGTGTGGTTGTTTTCAAGAGGCCTCTGTGGATACTCCAAATATGTATATGTAGGAAAAAGGGTTATGAGTTAAAAATAGGTGAATGACTAAAGATATGTTTTCTAATCATTGATATTGATCCATTGGCAAGTTGGCATTCACTGTCACTACTTCAATGTGTGAATTAATTATAAGTTATTTTCTGCATGTTTTATTATTAAAAATTCCATTGTGACTTCAATTAGCAAAGCTCTGTGTTACAAATGAAAAGAAATATTCTGGTTTATGAGCTTGACATTCGGCATGTTTAGGAGATTAAAAACCCTACAGTATACAAGCCACAACTGGAAGGGTTTTATTTGTATCCAGTATTACTTATTCCATTATTTCTTGCCTTAGTTCCTTCACATATGAACTGAGTTTTATAAAATAGTAGAAATATTCTTCTATTTTTTTAATCTAATACAGATGGCAAAACTGAGAGCCTGAGAGGCAGAGATTTTTAAGTTGATGATGACACAGCCACAAACTTTTCAGCCGAGAATGGAACCCAGATTTTCTGTCTTCCAGAACAGTTGTTTTCCTTTAAAGCTGTCTCCTCAAATTAATGCTTTTCTTTAAGTTCAGCTTTTAACAATGAACAATGCACATTCACTCATTATTTCAACAAATATTTATTAAGTACCTACTACACATGAAGTACTGAATAAAACAGTTCAAATCAAGTTCTTAAATACACAGTTTGACTTACCCTGACTGCTGTTGAAGCAAACATCTCCAATGAATTTACTGAAAACATACCTTAAAACCTTATTTAGATGTGCAACAGAGGGATAGTTCTTCAGGGAGAGCCAATGCAAAGTTTGCTTTATAGGAGGTAGTCTCTATGAAAATAAAAGCAGGTGATTATGTATGTTTGCCGGACTAGGTACAAGAAAAGCATGCTTAGTCTAAGACTTTGAGCTAGCCACCTGGCTGTCTGAAGGCGATTGTGTGTTTATCACCTGTGTGGATTAAAACCATGGCCCCTTTCAAAGGTGGGTCTGTCACTCATTATACAATCAGTAAGTAGAAGCACCCAACAATAAGTATCTCTTTCCAACAGGCTGTCAAAATCGTGCTCTCGTATGTTATCAGAAATGCCAGCAGTGTGGTTTGCTTTCTCTTGAGTTAAGGGCCTCTTTTCTCTTTCTCACTGCTTTTTTCTAAAACAAACATTATTTTTAGAGAATTTTAGGTTCACAGCTAAACTGAGCAGAGTACAAAGAGTCACTCTATACCCCCTCCCCCACACATGCACAGCCCTCCCTTTATTAACATCCTGTATCAGAGTGGTACATTTATAGTCAATAAATCTACATTGAATATACATTATCATCACCCAAAGTTCATAGTTTGTAATAGGTTCACTCTTTGTGTTGTATATTCTAGGGGTTTTGATGAATGTATAATGACATGTATCCACCACTATAGTATCAGACAAAATAGTTTCATCGCCCTAAATATCTGTGCTTTGCCTCTTCATCTTTCGTTTTCACCAAACATCATATAGTTGGAATCATACAGTATATACCCTTCTGAGATTGTCTTCTTTCATTTAGTAATATGCATTGGAATTTCCTCACCACACCTGGATAATTTTTTGTATTTTTAGTAGAGTTGGGGTTTCACCGTGTTAGCCAGGATGGTCTCGATCTCCTGACCTTGTGATCCACCCGCCTCGGCCTCCCAAAGTGCTAGGATTACAGGCGTGAGCCACCGTACCCGGCCTCCTCTATGTGTTTTCATAGTGCAATAGCTCATTGATTTTTAGTGCTGAATAATACTCCATTTTCTGAATGTACCACAGTTTGTTTTTACATTCACTACTGAAGAACATCTTGGTTGCTTCCAAATTTTGGCAATTATGAATAAAACTGCTATAAACATCCCCATGCAGATTTTTCTGTGGACATACATTTTCAGCTCTTTTGGGTAAATACCAAGGAGCATGATCGCTGGATCATATGGTCAACATATGTTTAGTTTTGTAAGAAACTGCCAAACTGTATTCTACAGTGGCTGTATAATTTTTCATTCCCACTGGCAATGAATGAGAGTTCCTATTGCTCCACTATCCTCACCAGCAT
Organism: Homo sapiens; assembly: GCF_000001405.40. NCBI lineage: Eukaryota > Metazoa > Chordata > Mammalia > Primates > Hominidae > Homo > Homo sapiens. The sequence goes on along the minus strand of NC_000004.12, from coordinate 162,099,919 downwards.
TTGGTGTTGTCAGTATTTTGCATTCTGGCTGTCCAAATAGTGGACGCTGTAGTTTTAATTTGCAATTCCCTAATGACATATGATGTTTAATATCTATGAAAACAGAAAATGTATTTTGTCAATTGTGTATCTTTGAAGATAGTGTCTGTTCAGCTCTTTTGCCCATTTTATAATTGGGTTGTCAGTTTTCTTTTTGTTGTGTTTTTCATGTTCATTGTATATTTTGGATAACAGTCCTTTATCAGATATATCTTTTGTAAATATTTTTTCTTATTATGCAGTTTGTCTTCTCATTCTTTTGACAGTGTTTATTTCTATAGCAGAAATTTTTAATTTTAATGAAGTCCAGCTTATCAATTATTTCTTTCATGGACTGTGCCTTTGTTGTTGTATTAAAAAGGTCATTACCATACCAGAGGTTATCTAGATTTGCTCCTACATTATCTTATATTTTTGTGGATCATAAATTTATTGTGAATCCATTCTTGCCATGAGAGACATAACATTTTTATTGTAAAGTGTTTGTATTCTTTTTTAACAATACAAACTATGAATAATTCATTTAAATTAATGCTGATAATTTCAAATTGGATTCTGCTTGAAACAGTAGCTTTATGCAATAATTGGACATTTTATACACTTTAGTATTTCTTCAATTATTTTCCTTTTCTTAAATCCCTTGGATGTATGTAGACACTTAGCGTGCTATAGTTAACAATAACTTATTGTGTGTTTCAAAATAGCTGAAAGAAAATATTTAGAATGCTACTACACAAAGAAATGATACATGTTCGAGGTGATGACTATCCCAGTTATCCTGATTTGATTATTAAGTGTTGTATGCATGTATCAAACTATCACATGCACCTAAAAATTTATACAATCATGTCCTAATAAAAAAAGAGAAAAAGAAGAAAAAGATCTTCTATTTTATAGTCTTTAAGTTTTATAGTTTTGTGTTTTGCATTTAGTTCTATGATCCTTTTTGAGTTAATTTTTGTGAAGGATTTAAAGTCTGTGTGTGGATTCTTTTTGTTGCTGTTTTTGCATGTAGATGTGCAGTTGTTCCAGAAGCGTTTGTTGAAAATACTATCTTTGCTCGATTGTATTGCTTTTGCAACTTTTTCCAAGATAGGTTGGTTATATTTATGTGATTTTATTTCTGGACTCTCATTATGTTCTATTGATATGTTTGTCTATTCTTTCATCAATACCAGCCAGTCTTATTTACTATGACTTTGTATAATAGTAAGTCTTGAAATTTAGTATTGCTAGTCCTCTGACCTTGTTCTTTTCTTTCAATATTGAGTTGACTATTCTGGGGGTTTTGCCTGTCTAAACTAAGAATCAGTTTATTGATATCCACAAAATAACTTTCTGGGGTTTTGACTGAGATTTCACTGAATCATTTGCATTAACTCATTGCATCCCAATATTTTTTATACAATGGACAGCCCAGATGTTACATGCGTATTCTCTGAGTCTTGAACAAAAGTGTATATTTTTGCAAAATACATCAATATATAGATGCATGAAGATATAGAATGTCATCATCCCCTCAAATGTTTCTCTCAGGCCTTTTCTCTATCAATCTCCGCTTCCATTTCTTCTAGGGCAACCAATGTTCTGATTTTTTTTAACCATGATATAGTTTTATCTGTTTTAAGATTTTGATGTAAATGGGATCATACCATATAGCAGATTTATGTAATACGTTTTTCACTCAGAATAATATTGAGATTCATCTATGCTATTTTGATTATCAGTAGTGAATTCCTTTTTATATATCTAGTTAGAGGAATACTACCCAGTGTAGATAACTATGCTTTTTGTTTTTTGGTTATTTTTTATCTTCAGTTCCTTTTACTATGTTGGAAACCAGATTGGGATTCTTATAAATAAAGCTGCTATGGACATCCTTATGCAATATTTTTGTGATTATTTCAGTTTCCCTTGGGTCGCTACTAGGAGTGGATTGCCGGCTCATAGTGCAGGCATTTTTAAAAATAAGAAACTACCAGACCTTTTTCTATAGATGTACAATTTTCCATTCCCAACAGCAATGTATGAAATTTCCAGGTGGTCCACATTTTTGACAGTATTTGCTGTTTTGGTCTTTTTAATTTCAGACATTCTGGAGAGTGTGTAGTATTATCCATTGTAGTTTTAATTTAATTTTCTTGTTAACTAGTGACTTTGAGCTTTTTTCTTTTGCATTCTGACTTTTTATAAATTTTCTTTTGTGAAGGGTCTGCTCCAATTTTTGCCATTGTTGTAAATTGCTTTTCTTTTCATTTTTAAGTTGTTGAAGTGCTTTACATTTTATTAATACTACAAAGTATATATAATTAGCTTATAGGAATACTTACATCATTTATAGCTAATTAAAGCTACTGTTTTCCAGTTTAATATAATTTTGTAGAAAATGGTGTTGATTATGACAATAAAAGTCCATACTTGGGCAGAAATTTCAAACATTTAATAATAAAATAATTGAAAGTTATAACTTGCTACAAGTTACATATGATTAAAATAATTGTATATTTTATTGAAATACACAAGTATTACATATACACACAAATATATGCGTATACACACATATATATACACACCATATTTATTTCGCTAGCATTTCATTGCTAAAAAAAAATGGAAATTCCTCTCCTCTATTGCAGTCAATTTATCAGACACTAAGGATAATCAGTTACACCCAATTTAAGATTTAAAACAGTATTTCCCTAATATATTATGCCTATAACTCATTTCTCTGAGAAGATTAAATATACACAAACTAGAAATGACAGAAATAACATTGAAAAGAGTAAATTAAATCTCTAGGAAAAGCAATAGTAAAAAAAGATATAACTGTTGTAATGAGAAAGTATCTCTTGCTTTATCATCTTGTATTTTAGACTTTAACAAGTCTTAAAAACAAACTGCTATTTCATCTTAAAGAATAAAACAACAAAGGATAATCAATCCTACTGAGTTCTACATTTCTGTTAGTATGATGGGTGGCAAGTGTTAATATAGATTCAATCATGTATCACGCATTGTATCATTTTCATTTCATCAATTGAATATTGTTAACGTTAAAAAATTTTTGTATTAATCCTATAACTTTATTTTTGATTTATAGTTATATAGGAGATGTATGTGAATACCTTTTATAACATATAGTAAACTTGTTCATACTTAAGCAATATTATTTTGGAAAAAATTAAAGCTACATTACTTGTCCACAAGAATTCTTTCTTTCCTTTGAATGGAGAACACACATTAGTCGAGTTGTAGAGATACTAAGGGAAAGGGTATGTAGGCATCTATGAGTCACTGCACCAGATTTCTAGTTTTCATTCTGTTTTATGTTGAGCTTTAAGATTACTTGGGTATGACCAAGAAATTATACAGGAAAATGCAAGACAAACAGAAGGTTGAGCAGCCAGCCCTCTTGATTGCCTACTCCCATTTCACTTAAAGCATTTCTGATTATATATCTATTACAATATATAAGTAATAAATATTTATATTTATATATTGTGACATAAATTTTGTTGGAGGAGAATGTTTTCATTGCTGAAGAAAAGTTAAATTCTTGGATGATTGGTCTTAGGATTCTGCTGCAACAACCTAGTGATTTGTGAATTTTGATTTCAGATGGTTTTTAGCTAGTTCCATGAATCAAGTCTTTGAAGGATGAAGACTTGCAACAAAGAAATATATATTTAAAAATTGAGGATGATTCAAAAATTTTTTTCAGGATAGCAAATTAAATATTTGGAAGCGTTATTGCATTAATTTATAAAACTACTACAAAAGCATCACTGGAAGTTAAAGTTGAAATGTAGCTTATCTGACCACAAGGGTAATATCTTCATTTTACTAATGAAAAATTTAAGTCATTATATGCATGTGTCTGGGTTGCTACAATCGGGTAGTAGTAGACTTGGAAGTAAAACTCTGGTCTTCTAACAAAGGGTAGATAAAGATTTCACACATTAAAGATATATTTTTCTAATGTACTTGTTTAAAATGCTTGATCATCGTACTTACACATGTAACGTGTGTATTTTAAGTACACACATTTCTACCGCAAGCATATTTCTATCAATTCTACTAGAATTTCAGCTCCTATATAAACATTTTTTTCAAAACTTGATGTTCTAAGTAACTATGTGTTCTCCAAAAGTAACTACAATATCATTTAATTTTCCCCATGAAATTTCAGCCATTGTTTAAGTCCATCATTATAGTGAAAAACACCCTCTTTAAGAACATAAATAAATTTGGTTTATGTGCTACAGTTAAAAACCCATTTTTCTGCTTAGTGTTCCTCTCTTTGAAAAACCGTTCCTCAAGATTTCATGAATTTTTCTTTTGATTGTTACAATAAAGTCCCTTATTCACCTCCCAGGATTCGACATTCATTGCTCCAGAGAACATTATTTCTGTGAAATGTTCTACTGAAAAAGGATTCTAATGACTAAGTCATTTGGAGAAAACTGCATATTATGCTTCTGTGGAAATCCACAATGCACAAGAGCATATTAAAGTCTGAGAAACATTATAAACTTTGTTTAACCTAGAATTTCCCAACTAAATGGACTATAGAAATTTTTGAACACCTTCTTATATTCTGGGAAACACAATTTGGGAAAATCTGCTCTAGGCTTTAGAATTAACTGTTGCTATGCATATCAGCAGACTTGGCCTCTCTTGAAACCCACAATGTTAAGATATTATTCAATGTAATTTTATAGTTATACATAATGAAGTATAATAAACTCATTTTTGCTTTCTTATTAATCTATATTTTAAAGTAATTTTTTTCTAGTAAGAGAATATTGATGCTGGCTTTTTTTAAGAATTGTAATAGAGAATTTAAATCATGTGTTGGCCATGTATATGAAAAGCCATTTTTGAAAATATTGCCATCAGTACCCAGAATGTATGACTAAAGAAAAATATTAAAACATACCAATTTTTAAGTTTTAATTGAATTTCTTTATTTATTTCCTGCTCCTTCCTCTGAGGCAAAATTGAAGCAATATAGAGTAAAGTGCTTCATTGTATACTTCAATCCATATTTAGATTTGTATATACTTACAGTGCTACCACTCAGATTATGACACAAAATATCTCCTGTAATTCAGAAGTTTACTCTTGCCACTTCTGACTAATTACTATATACTGTTGAAATACCATCTTCTGAGGGCAACTACTCTTTCATATATTTCACTATGAATTAGTTTTGCCTTTGAAATTTATATAAATGGAATAAATAGAATCCTACAGTAGGTATTCTTTCATGTCTGTTGTTTTTATTTTTATTTTATTTTTTGCTTAATACTATGTCTGAATGTTGCAGAAACCTATTGTATTTATTACTCTGCAGTGGCCCATTATACAAAATTCATGCGCAATTTATTATCCACTCTACTATTGATGGAAATTTGGGTTGTTTCTGGTTTGGCACTATTATGAAATTCTCGTGTATGCCTTCTGTTGGGTATTATATACTCATTTCTCTTGGAATATAATTTTAGGTCCTAAAATTTAGGTCAAAGCTGACATGTTTAGCTTTAGCTTACTGCAACCTCTGCCTCCCAGGTTCAAGCGATTCTCCTGCCTCAGCCTCCCAAGTAGCTGGGATTACAGGCACCTGCCACCACGCCCAGCTAATTTTTTGTATTTTTAGTAGAGAAGGGGTTCACCCTGTTAGCCAGGATGGTCTCAATCTCTTGACTTTGTGATCTGCCTCCCTCGGCCTCCCAAAATGCTGGAATTACAGGCATGAGTTACCATGCCCAGCCTTTAGCAGATAATTCTTGAGAGTTTAACAAAGTGTTTGTGCCAGCATATTTGTTTTTATAAAATATATCAAAATGGTTCTTAATAATTATTTTAATTTTAGCTTTATTTTGTCTACCTAGAAACGATGAGATGTGAGCAGATGATATATTATTGCTGCTGTGACCAAATTTTGAACAAGACACAGAATGATTCATGACTGAATGCTTATAATCCAAGTGAAAAAATACTAATATTGACTCTCTAAAATTTCCTATAAAGTTCTTTTTTGAATGGTTTATAAAATGCGAATTAGTATGTAATATCTAATTTAGAACAAGAGTCATTATTCGATTGTAAATTTGCCCAAAATGATAAACAAATCACAGAAGTTTGTGGTTAAAACTTTTCTTAATGACATTCCCCTCTTTAGATATGTGAGGAAACATAGTGATTACCAGTTTAAAGTTTTTATAGCTTTTGTTTAAAAAAAATACACACCAAAGTTCCTAACATCTAATTATTTTATATAAAAATAGTCTCTTGGGTATGGCATTTCATATTTGTGTATTTTTTAAAGAAGGAATGTGAACCAGCTTTTATCTCTCCTTAATCCCAGCAGGATTGGCTCCAATATTGTGTTTTTCCAATATTTTCTGGTAATTGGTAAAATGATATTTTACTGTGGAAACATTCATTCCTTCTGGTAGAGATTATGCCACTGGAAAACATAGTAACTTCATCTCAGCGAAGTGTTGGGATTTCCCAACAAACATTTGACCTGTTATCTACTATTGCTTAAGTTAGTTAAAATTTTCCAGAGGTGAAAAATTCCTGAAAATTAGAGATTAGTATAACATTTAAGAAATAAAGAAAGCAAAACACACAAAAAATGAGCACTGCTGTATTTCAGTGGTTTTTCTTTGTATCTATTGTAACACTGAAGTCTTATGCTATCACTACGCTTCTCATTTGCCATTCTAGTTTATCTCAGTGTTTAATGACATTTGATATTCACTTGGTCCTGTACTTTTCTTGTAATTTTGTCTTTATTGATTACAGACACTCACTGAATCTAGGAGTTTATTTCAATTCCCTATGCTTATAAGGTATAAGCCCCTATACTACTACTGGAAGACATAGCCTCGGCTATCTTTCTTTTTTTTTTTTTTTTTTTTTTTTGAGACAGAGTCTCGCTCTGTCACCCAGGCTGAGTGCAGTGGTGTGATCTCGGCTCACTGCAACCTCTGCCTCCCCGGTACAAGTGATTCTCCTGCCTCAGCCTCCTGAGTAGCTGGGATAACAGGTGCGCACCACCACGGCTGGCTAATTTTTGCATTTTTAGTAGAGATGGGGTTTCACCATGTTGGTCAGGCTGATCTCGAACTCCTGACCTGGTAATCCACCTGCCTCAGCCTCCCCAAGTCCTGGGATTACAGTCATGAGCCACTGTGCCTGGCCTCAGCTATCTTTTGAATTACGTGCCAGTTGTTAGAATTTTTGGGTTTCTAGATAATGTAGCTTACTTATTCTACTTATCAAACTTTAGGAAAAGGATCTCAAAATGAGTTACTTTCAGTGTTGTATTATTGCTATTCTGAAGAATGTAATTCAGGTGAAATAATTTCTAGCAGCAAAATGATCATCTGTTGGGAAATTTATCTCTTACCAGTTATAAATAATAACAAATACTACTGGCTCCCAACAGAAAACTTATATTTAGTATCCTCATGGTTAAACATTATGTAAACTTGTAGAAAAATATTTTCTTTCAAACTTGTTTCTTTTTAATGATTTAAGAATATTTCGTGAAGGAATTCCAGGTGTATAATGACTCTAAGGGCTTCTAACACAGTGGTTATCAATCTTGGCTAGACATTAGCATCACCTGGAAACATATAAACATGCAGATGCCTGGTACATTTCAATAAAAAATTATATAAGCAGTTCTAAAACTGGAATCCAGCATGGATATTTATAAAAGTTCCTAGATTATTCTAAAGAGCTGTCAGAATAGACAACCATTGTATTAATGTACCTTAGGATTGAATATTAAAAAGTTGTGAAAATATTGATTTGTGTTTAAGTGTTTTAAATTTGGAAATATTACAAATTCTATATGTAATATAGAATTCTATATTTATATAGAAAATATATTCTATAAGGTAATCTACATATAGATATACATATATTGTCTAAAATATAAAATATACATATATTCTATAGATTACCTTATAGAGGAATATATATAATTTCTCTCCCTATATAAATATAACTAATAAAAGTAGTTCCACATAAAAGGAAATCCACTTTGATGAGAACTTTGTGTTGATTATAATTTTTTTTATGGATGCCGTTGTTGGAAGACCAAAGAAAATAATAGCGCAACAATATTGATTAGAGAGAGAATCAACTTGTGGTGCATGAGACAGGGGTGGCAACAATATGTACTTACATTAGCAGAGGACAAACAAACTTAAAACTCATCAGGCCACAAATGAAACCTTGGAGGATGAACTCCAATAAGTAATAAGAATAGAACTTCTAAAGAGAATGTTTGGATCATATGTTTCATTAGCATAACTGTTTGCCAGGTTAACTGGGGAAGGAGGGTTGGAAATTTTTAATGAAAACTTGAAGTAACCCCCCACCCCAAAACCCCAGACACTTGTTCAGACTGAGTTGGGTATACTCCTAACTAAGAGAGAATATATTAGTTTAAGTCACAACTGATAGTAGTTGAAGATTATGAAGTGAGATGCCTATCCGAGGTTTAGATATTTAAAACCTCCCAATACTAATATCATTTATGTAAGTGTGTAGCAGTGCAGAGATTTCAACAGTATACAGTAATTAGTCAGGAAAATGGATAATCTATCAAGCAAGAATCTTGAGGTAATTGCAGAGTGCAATGGAGCATATAGGATGATCCTCAATCTGGTCTTAGGGGGCAGGGTGGCTGAAGTGACAATTTAGCTGAAACCTGAAAGAAATGATTTTGGAGTTACTAAGAAGAAGGAGTAAATGTATTCTAAGTGGAAGGCAAAACTTATATTCACAAACTGGATAATCACTTCAATATCGTCAGTGATTAAATGTATTTAACATATAGAAGAAGAAGGCAGAGGCAGTGACTCAGTTTAAAAACATGAGGAGCAGAAAGGTGATGGAGGGCTCTGTAAACAAGAGTACAACTTTCAGATCTTAGTCTATGATTGACAAGGAATCTTTGGAAAGGTCTTAAGAAAAAGGAATGTAAAGATGTTGGTAAATGTTTTTAATACTGGTGTGAGATGGTATCTCGTGTGTGTGTGTGTGTTTCTGGCTCTGTTGCTCTGGTTGGAGTGCAGTGGCGCAATCTCGGCTCACTGGAACCTCCACCTCCCAGGTTCAAGGGATCCGTGCCTCAGCCACCCAAGTAGTTGGGATTACAGGCGTGCACCACCACGCCCAGCTAATTTTTGTATTTTTAGCAGAGATGGGATTTCACGCTGTTGGCCAGGCTAGTCTCGAACTCCTGGCCTCAAGTGATCCACCTGCCTCAACCTCCAAAAGTGATGGGATTACAGGCATGAGTCACCGCACCCGGCCTTGATTGTGGTTTTGATGGGCATTCCTCTAATGCTTAGTGATTTTGAGCTTTTATTTCACATGCTTGTTGGGTGCATCCACGTCTTTTTTTGAGAAATGTCTATTAATGTCATTTTCCTGCTTTTTAATGGGGTTGTTTTTCTTTTGTAAATTTAAGTTCCTTATAGATGCTATGTATCAGAACTTTGTCAGATGCATAGTTTGCAGAAGTTTCCTCTCATTTTGTAGGTTTTCTATTTATTCTGTTGACAGTCTCTTTTGCTGTGCAGAAAAACAACCCCATTTTAATTGGATCCCACTTGTTAATTTTTGCTTTTGTTCTGATTGTTTTTGGTATCAGTCATGAAATTTTTGCCTGTTCCTATGTGCAGGATGGTATTGCCTAGGTTGTCTCCTAAGGTTTTCATAGTTTTAGGTTTTTACATTTAAGTATTTAATCCATCTTGAGTTGACTTTTGTATATGGTGTAAGGAAGGGGTCCAGATTTAATAATTTGCATGTGGCTAGCCAGTTATCCCAGCACCATTGACTGAATAGAGAGTCTTTCCCCATTGCTTGTTTTTGTCAGCTTTATTGAAGATCGGATGGAAAAAATATGTAATAATAAAAATAAAATATGTATCCACAAAATTTTTTAAAAAGACATTGGTAATTTTATAAACCTTAAAGTTTAATAACATTTTGCAGATTTTTAATGAAATGTAATTTTATAAAGAAGCAAATTTTTATCAAGCATTGGTTAATAATACTTTGGGAAGACTAGCCATTTTGCACAGTAATCTGGAGTTCAAATTGTACTGTTCTGTAGGCAGAAGTTTAACTTGATTTTTAAGTATAGCAACGATACTACAAACCCAATTAACCCAATTTCTTTCTTTCTTTTTTTTCTTTTTTTTTTTTTTTTTTGAGACAGATTCTTGCTCTGTGGCCCAGGCTGGAGTTCAGTGGCTTAATCTCGGCTCACTGCAACCTCCGCCTCCAGGGTTCAGGTGATTCTCCTGCCTTACCCTCCCGAGTAGCTGGGATTACAGGTGCACCCCACCATGTCTGGCTATTTTGTATTTTTAGTAGAGATGGGATTTCACCATGTTGGCCAGGCTAGTCTCGAACTCCTGACCTCAAGAGATCCACCCGCCTCGGCATCCCAAAGTGCTGAGATTATAGGCGTGAGCCACTGCACTCAGCCTACAAACTCAATTTTTTTAAGGCAGTGATTCAGAAAATGTGGTCCCAGAAAAAACTCCATCAGCATCCCTTGGTGTCTTAGTCGGTGTTTTGCTATAACAGATTAGCAGAGACTAAGTAACTTGAAACAAATTTCTCACATTTCTAGATACGGGAAGTACACCGTTAAGGTGCCAGCAACTAGCAAGTGCCTTCTTGCTGCATCATCCCATGGAAGGCAAGAGAGCATGAGAGGGTGAGAGAGAGAGAGAGGGAAAGAGATATGCAACTATTCCCTTAATAAGAAACCCAGTCTCATAATAATGAAACTGCTCCTGTGATAACATTGATCTATTCATGAGGGCAGAGCTCTTACAGCCTAATCATCTTTCTTGGATCCCACCTTCCAACACTGATGCATTGGGGATCAAGTATCCTACACATGCTTTTGCAGGGATACATTCAGACCATAGCACTTGGGAAGTTGTTAGAAATGCATTGACACCCCACTTATACCTATTAAAATCAGTCTTCCTAGTAATTCTAAGTAAATCTGAGAATCACTTAAACATTTGAGAACTATAAATGTTACTCATTTATAGTTCTGGAGAAAGCATAAGACAAAATGTTTCAGTTTTCCTTACTTAAAGATTTTAACATAACAAGTAGTTACTTTTTTCTACAAAATTAAATCTGTTTCTAATAAATATCTAAGTGTCTAAATCATAATTCTTCCTTCTCTCTTAAGTAGCTAACTTACAGTTATGTATTTTGAGGGTGTTAAAAATCATCTAGTCTATGAGAAGATTGTTTCTATTTTGACTGAATACTCTCAAATATGCATGAAAATAGTCAGCTTATAGTAAATTACTTCGACTAACTTATTGAGGATGAAGTAAAAATGTCGCAGTTATATGTCATTTTTCTGATCCTAAGTCAATGGCTCTTTTTTGAGAAATATTTAGATATATATAGATACAAAATGACATTTGAAAGAAAATTTATAATTTTCCAAGCAACTTCAAAAATCTTGAAAAGTTAATACTTGAGTTATAATTCTATACATTTCTGTATAAAAAAGATGAGTGGGGCACACAGGTAACCTAATATTCTGTTAGGCACCAAAAAATCTAGATTTAAAAAAATTATATATTATTAATAAGTCACAATTTGCCACATTTGATATATCTTGTGATTAGAATCTTATTGCTAAACTTTAACTTGCTTGTAATGGCACACATATTATTTAAATATCATAATTTGGGCAATTCACAAAAAATGGGGGTGGAAGAAAAAAAATCTAGCAGTTAACTAAAAGTGCTACTCATGTCTTGAAGGCTTTTTAAAAACTAAGTATTATTTTTTGAATATTTCCCTAATCCATTCACAATAAAGAAACTGATCATTACAGTGATAAAGTGTATCATAATCCATAATCCAAGAATGACTACAACAACTGTGACAAAGCAATTTATTTTTTGTACTCAAAATGGCTGTAACCTCAACTGAATGTATCTCATTGATTCATACACTTAAATAGTGATTCTGTCAAGTACACAATTGATTCATAGGTAATGTGAGCTCTGGGATTGTGAGTTTGAACTGTGCAATGATATTTTGTCACCTCCAAAGCAGCACTGTGGTGGGAAGGTCCATAGTAATTCAGAAAGCCTTGGTTAGAATATGTCAACAACGATCTACAAAGTCGAATGACGATGGAATATTTAACTTGTGCTTATTACACAAATGCCCCAGAATTCCAGTGGCTCTCATGATTTCTACAACAAGTGAGGGCAGAGGGTTAGAAGATTAATTAACTTTGTTAATAAGAGTGTTAGACAACCTCTATTGGTACTTTTCTTTCTTTTTCCGTTAAATACACTGTATTTTTAAAAATCATTTTTAAGTATGAGATATATTCACCCCTGTACATTTTCTCCTCTTTCCTCTTTATTCTCTATGTCATTATACGAACTGAGAATATTTATATAACACTTCATAACCAAAATTAAGTTTTCTGTGCTTTACAGTTTGATGCAGAAAATTATGAACCCATAAATAGTTAAACATTTCTTTGCTCAACCTAACTTTCATTAATTGAAGTAACCTTATGTAAGCCCCACTCAAATAAATTGCAGTGTTTCATTTGGGTGGAATTTGAATTACTTTTTTTCATTCTCATATTCAAAAATAATTAAAGTTTGGTTTATTTCCTTTTGGCAGAGATAAGGTAGTCGTGTTGGTGAAAAACACTGAAAATCTAGAGAAGAGTTCTGGCATCTCTCTCAGTAGCTGCATTTTATAAGAAGCTTGCATTTCTTTATGGATTTTCTCAAATTTGACTCATCAGTAAATTAAGATTTGTGGCTATAAATAAAACAAAATGTTTATCATCATATGAAGGTTATCTCTTTTAAATACTCAAATAGTCATATTGATATTCACAAGATCATATGTAATTGTAAAATATTATTTACACACTTGGATTTAACCAAACTATCAGATATACTTGATTTCATTTTCCTTAACTATTGAACATTATTGAAGCATTAACTTCTTTCTAAATCTAAAATTTTGTTATTATTTTCCTAAATAGAAGTTCAATAGAAGTTTGTTGAGTATCTAGAAATGAAGTTTTAAGCTCTTTTTTAAAATATACAAATCTATAGCTCTCAGATCAATAAACAGTATGAAAGACATAGAGAAACCAGAAGAGGAAAAACAAATTCCCTGGGCAAAGTACACTTGAAATAAACTATAAATTTGGCATTAAAAAAGTAATAAAAAAGGAAAAACATTTTAGATGGCATCAATTTTCCAATGCATCCCACAGAGATGTAAGCTTTGATGATTAAAAAGTAACGGTAGTGCATGACATATTCATTATGCCAGAACTGAAGGTTTTATAAATATCCTATAAATTGTTAACGTTGCCATGGCATACTAGGTCAAGACATAATCGAGAAAATAAGTTTATTATCAAAATTGAAGTTTGAGAAAGAATAGCAAAAATAAAGGAGGGAGGAAGAGAATGAAATAAAGAAAGATAGGAAGAGGGAGAAAGGAGGGGGGAATGAGCATGAGAGAGAATATAAATGCAATGGCAATAATATGTGGGGTGGGAATTACATAAATAAAGACATTCAGAGAGTGTATTTTTTCTAATCTAGGTTACAGAAATTTTGGATTTAGCCTGGTGCCTGGAGAAATTAGATACTTCAAGAATGCATTCTGATAATGGCTGATTAAAAAACACATTAAATATATTAAATATTAAGGGAGAGAGGGAAAAGAATATTAAATATTACATCTAGCTTCCACATTGACAATGCCCTGTGGCTACCAATAAATTCAACTTCAGAGACTACCTGCTTCATGTGCTGTAAATTTTTAAAACACTGACTGTATTTACATTTGTTTTACCTTGCTCAGGAGCCCCTACGTAATGTAACTGTGACAGTTTGTGATATAAATTAAACTGTGAAATTGGCTTAGAATAAAATCACATAGCATAATAGTTGGATAACTCAAAGGTATCAAATCCAAAGCTCTGCATTTTAGTATCCAAGAGACTGAATCCTTGTAGGTATAGAAAAACCACCATGCAAATGACAGAGCTATTCAATGGCAGGGCTACCATGACGAGGAAATGAATTGTGGGTGTCCCAGTCCATACTTTGTCAAGTATCATTATCTTTATTTTTCACATCCCTCTCAATAACATTTCTTGTTAATGAAACTGGTGATGTAACACCTGGCTAATGATTAGATATGTGTGCACCAGATACGTATTGGATGCTGGAGATGTCTCCATACATATATGTGTGTGTATATAAACACGCAAACATGTATACACACATATGTTTGAAATACTGGATAATTGTAGCAACTGATAAATATTACATATTTGATTTTTTGAAAAATTATTATAATTAAAATTTATTTCACTCAAACTTTCTTATACTGAAATTGAAAAAAATCTCCTGATTGTTAAGTACTTTTTTAGTGATTTAAAGAATTTATATTTGTTGGGTAATTGAATTTTCTTTGTGATTTTTCACTGTGGGAATATTATCTTTTATAAGTATACAACAGTACTTGATAATATATTGAACACATTAACATTTTAGTCCTAGTTATTAGAAAATTTTCACCAGTCTATTCAATAGCCTCAAAAGATTTTAGTAAATAGAATATTCAGGATGAAAATGTAAAATATTTGTTGGGACAGAATAAATTATTTTATGTCTTTAAAAATATTTTGTCTTATTTTTATGGGAAAGTTTCCCAATTTTTTAAACAGCTTGTAACAGCTGTTATTTAGTATAGATTTTTTTCCCGTCCCTATACTGGCAATGTGCTAAGGACAAAATTCCATTCTAGAATATTTATCCTAGAAGTGATATGGTTTAGTAATTTACCTTTACATTTAAAAGTTTAAATATGCATTCTATTATACTTTAAGTTCTGGGGTACATATGCAGAATGTGCAGGTTTGTTACATAGGTATACACCTGCCATGGTGGTTTGCTGCACCCATCAACCCATCATGTACATTAGGTATTTCTCCTAATGCTATCCCTCCCCTAGCCACATGCCCCCTGGTAGGTGCCGGTGTGTGATGTTCCCCTCCCTGTGTCCATGTGTTCTCATTCTTCAACTCTCACTTATGAGTGAGAACATGTGGTGTTTGGTTTTCTGTTCCCGTGTTACTCTGCTAAGAATGATGGCTTCCTGTTTCATCCATGTCCCTGCAAAGGACATGAACTAATTCTTTTTTATGGCTGCATAGTATTCCATGGTATATATGTGCCATATTTTCTTTATCCTTTCTATCATTGATGGGCATTTGGGTTGGTTCCAAATCTTTACTATTGTGAATAGTGCTGCAATAAACATACATGTGCAGAAGTTTGTAATACATTTTGTTGTTGTAGTTTTATACTGATATTTGGGTCATGAATCTTTATTTCTTTTTTCCAAATGATTGACTGGTTTTCAAATGTTATTTATAAATGAGTTGTGATTTTTTTCAACCTTTTAAAATCCTATTTAATCATAAATTAAATTGCAATATAAACCTGACTCCAGGTGATGATACTCTGAATATTTAACAATAAGTATTGTATAGACGTTGACCAATCAGGATTATTTTGTGTTTATATCAGCTAACAATCAGCTCTACAAAACTCTGGTTCTATAATTTATAATTTGCACCACTGATGCATCTGTTCATTCTAGCAAAAGGGCTACAATTTTATTTATTATAATTTTATGATATATTTTAATATTCGAATGGGCATATATCATCCCTGTTAGTTATATTCTCTAAATTCATTCTGCCTATTTGATATTCTTTTTTTCCCACAAATACACATTGAGATAATGTCTAAATTATAAAATGATTTATTGTTGCATTGCATTAAAATTATTAATTAACTTGTTCTCACATCAAATATTCATTGGTAGTCATGCCAGTCAATTTTACATTAAGAAGCATCATCTCATAATAATGAATTTAATTTTTCCCTTAAAGAAGTAAAATGTCTTTTAATTAATGTTTTCTTTATGTTTTCAGTAATGTTTCATAGCTCTCCTAACGTTGATTGTGCCTATTTTGTTAGGTTGATTTCTTAAAGTTTTACATGTTCTGCTATTATAAATTGATGTTTTGATAATATTTGAAATTATTCCTTGCAAGTATTTCAGAAGTCCCTAGATTTAGTAACCAGCTAGTGACATGGATTTTCCTATTGAAAAATTATATATTTTCAGTTGAAAATCTTGTTTTCCAGGGAGAAGATCTCTTCCAAAATAAGTGATTTTTTTCTAAATTATTTCATTTTCTTTTAATAAAGCTGTGTAATTTTGCAAAAACTTTTTTAATGAAAAACGTATATTTATCTAACCCTAAACTCTGTGTTCTTAAAGAGAGTCAATATTTTACACCCTAAAGTTGAACTATCTAATTTTTTCATACTTTAATAAAGCCATGTACATATCATTCATCCCTGTGAGAATTAGAGCATAGCATGTGGTAATGATCATTCATTAGTTTTTATGAATTTAACCTTGTGAATACTTTTATTACATTTTCTTAGCCATTAAATACAAAACAATCACAAAATGTTAGTACTTGTATGTTCTCTGCATGTTTCCAATAAAACTATGTTAAATCAATATTGTAAATGATACTTTTCAGCCATTTTGTTCAAAGTGCAACAATGGATAAAATAGTATATTGTCTCTGGCATGAATATTCTTATTATAAACTATTTTCCAAACAAATGTCTTTCAAAGCACTTGCCATTGAGTAAGCACTAAATACTGGCAGCTGGTTTTACTGATATCATTCATTTAGCAAGCTTATAAAATCTCAGTATGAAGTGGCTTCAAACTTACCATTCAAATTTGTATTTGATATTGATTTACTTTATGGTATGTATGGAAGCATTTATTCCGTGATTAGTTGCTGAATGTGTTTGGATGCCACTTGAGATTGAGATTGAACAGGTGAGAGTATTTATTTTATACCTTGTCTCCAAAAAAAAAAAGAGAAAAGAAAAAGTTTTATGTCCTTGCTTAAGTATCTGTGGGTTAAATTTAATATGATCCTGACATCAGAAGATGTATATGTTTATATTTAATATACTGTGACCTGAGAGTTTCCACAAGTTGATGTGTTGATATTTAGAGGTTATAAATGCAGTAACTTTAAGAACCAAGTAAGTAACATAAATAAATGAATTGGGCCTAGTGAATGCTGTGAGAAACTAGAAAACATAGAGAAAGAGATATACACTTAAATATCTTCATGATCAAAGAATTTGAAAAAAAAAAAAAGAATTTGTTTATCCTCAAATTGAACAAAGAGTAAATCAAAATCAGGAATAAGGAACTAATAAAGTAAAAGCAGACAATAAACATTAATTGAACAGGTAAATAAATCCCAAAACTCTTTTGTTAAATTACCAATAAAATATATAATCTTCTTTTAAGCCTAAACAATAACATACGTGAACAATAATAGGAAATACCAGCAAAGAGGAAAATAATCATAAGCAATTCTTATAGCAATTCAGTTGCAGCAATTTGAAAATTTAGACTCAATGAGTAATTTCCTAGAAAAATGCAAACTCTCAAAATCAAACCAAATGAAAGTGGAAATGTTATTCTCCAACTACTATAAAAGGGATTAGAAAGGAGATTAGAGATCAACACTGATAAAGGCACAAGAATCAGATAGCTCCACAGCTGAGTGTTATCTGTCTAAATCCTAAAAATCAGATAATGCCAATGGTATTAAAATAATTCTATTTTTAAAAGAGA
Source organism: Homo sapiens (assembly GCF_000001405.40). Classification (NCBI taxonomy): domain Eukaryota; kingdom Metazoa; phylum Chordata; class Mammalia; order Primates; family Hominidae; genus Homo; species Homo sapiens. The sequence goes on along the minus strand of NC_000004.12, from coordinate 162,082,045 downwards.
AGCCAACATTTTCATATTGGTATGAAATACCTTAATTTTTAAACGTTGGAATCAATGCACATTTAAAATCCTGTGTGTTCTAGACATTTTTGAAGAATCCATTGGTCACTTGTTTAAGATGTTTTATTAGGATTAAGGGCTGATTTTTGTTTACTGAGCTCTGTTTAGAAATCATTGAAGTAAATATTCTTATAAATTTTGTCGGCTTAAGAAGGTGTGTGTGTGTGAGAGAGAGAGAGAGAGAGAGAGAGAAGCAGTTTTCTAATTTTCTTTCTGGTTCTATTTTCATATTATATATATTCTTTGTTTTACAATATCTATGGACAGGGTGTCATATTATAGATGAGCTCTTGTTTGCCAAATTATTTTATTAACTCTAAGGTGTTGTTAAATAGTAACTGGAATACTTTTTGCAATGCCATCTTTAGAAATAAAGGAATACACTAACCATTTTTCTATGGCTTGATTCCCATGGCAAAAGCATGAGCTCTTTCTTTCTTACCTATGTCTATTTGGCCTTTGGAGGGTGAAGACAAAAGTTTGACTGTGATTATTATTTTATATATATATTGTTTAATTTATCAGGGCTTTGCTCACTAACAGAATCACTTTGCAAACTGGCCTTTGAGTAACGAAGTGCCAGGCCAGAAATAAATGAGAATTAAATCATTCTGACCAAATTTTTGTCTTTGATCTGCTTCATTAGCAAAGGGCCCTCCCCTAGTGCCCCTTGAACGCCTAGTTTCACTGTGATCCATTATATTGTGTCAGTTCTGATCAATTCTAATGAGGACTGCTTGTTAAGAGCATTTTGGTGCTACTGACTCTGGAAAACTCTGATTTTGTATAAATCCCCATATTGCTAGTATTCGAGAGATTGGTATTACATGAAGAGTGATTAAATATTCATCATTAAATAATTAGAATACTTCCTAAAGTAGAGTTTATTTAGAGGGCGTGGATAAAAATATGCCCTAAAATAAACTTTTCTGCTTAGTTAACTGAATGGTCTATTTCACACTTGGAAATTGCAATTATTATTTTTGGAAAAAATAAATCCTTAGAGAATAATTTGCATAGAATAATACTTTTTAAACCAACGCAGCTTATTAATGCTTAGTTCACAGCAATAATTTTAAACTTCAACAATTTAAATACACTAGAATCCTTTTAGTCCATTTATTTAGGATTTGTCTGTTATGAAATTGTGCTTTAGAAGCACCTGTATTTAATCTACTGCATAGTTTGTTTCTCAAACTCACATCAATAACCTCAATAAGAAAAAGAACACATGAGCAAATTTGAGGGTATGGGGGCTTTTATCCAGATTCAGTTTCAAAATATTGATACTCAAACTGAAAAGCAACATTTTAGAGACAAGATAATGAAATTAGAAATACGTCATACAAGGAAATAGTGAAACTTTAAAAATGGATTGCTTTATAACTAACTTTAAGGAAAATACCAATCTATGGTATATGTATAAATGGCACAGTTTATAAAACTTTACAAGTATTTCTAGGACTACTCTCTCACTTAGAAATTTCCAGAGAAGTTTTTATGTAAGTACCTACTGAGTAATGGACATCAGATTCATTCTTTCTTTCTCTTTGTGGGTTTTAATTTGTCATTACACAGTTTTGTGCACAGAAGGAACACTCCTTCTTAAAACCCTCTAGCAATCAGCTTATGCCCTTCAGCATGAGGCTTAATTATTCATATCAGTGTTAGGAGACACATTAAATACATTAAGCCAGAATAAATCCTTACACAATTTGTCATAGAAAAGTAAAAGTTGTAAAAATATAGGTGAAATTATTTCCAAAGCTGATTGAAATAAATTATATTGAAAGAGGCACTAGACATCCATCAAACATACAATAATCTCAGTACTATGTTGTTTCAAGAGACGTTGCTCAGTATGTGATAGACCAGGCAGAATAGTTAAAGGCTCATGTGAAGTAGCACAAAAAATATCATTCTGGGGAGGTGGATACACTTTTCCTGATTGAAGTTGGTATCATATTATTTTGGAAAAATTTGTAGTACCTTCAGGCAAGTACACAATTGCCTTTTCTGCCAACTAACATTAGCTTTGGCTTGCTATAATCCCTTCATTATTGTTTTCCTGAAGTGTATACTATATTTCTTATATATATATACAAGAAACAATAGTTTCTTGCTCCTCATCCCACATTCTAGCATTACCTTGAATCCAAATTCTACTTTATTATCCCAAAAGCTCTTTCCAGTTTGATGTGATTGAATATTCTGATTATGTAGTTTTTTTCTTCTATTTCATTTTTCTTGAGTGAATTGAGCCTTCCTAAATCCTTCTCCTATTCTCATTATAAGACTTTTTTCACTTTGCAAACTAAAGTACTTTGAAGTTGCTCTGATCCTACCCTGAAGAATTGTATCATATTTTAACAAATTCAAGGGATTTTTACCATAATCAAATATTTACATATGCGAGTTTAAGGGCAGTATATAAAAATCCATCCTTATATATTTGTTATTGAGTTTTTAAAACTTTTAACACATAAGACATACAGAAAAGTCTATAATAGAAACCCACATGCTCATAACCATTTTATAGATATTAACATTTTCCCATGTCTTTCTTTTTGTGAAACATGAAAAAGAAAGAGATACAGCTAAAACCTTCCATACTTTCCTCTTCCCTTCTCTACTCTATCTCCAGAAGTCATGTTTCCATAATGATATGCCCAGAAATAGACATGTAGACATGCTGAGCTGTATTACTTATGGGATGCGTCTTGAGAGGATATTCATTGCACTAATTTTGTTATATAAATTCTACCTGATATGCTCTAACCTGAAAACTAAATTAGAAAGCTAACCACCACCTACACTTGTTATGTAAACCCATAGGAGAAAAGTAGATTAATATTTTTCAAATAGTTGATATTTGCAACAGGTATAGAGTAGAGAAAAGTGGAAATCCAAGTGTTCTCCATAATTTATAACTTTCATCTGGATCGTAAAACGTCCTTCCTCCACTAACCATTATGTGTTAGACAATACCTCAACCATTGCAGTTTTCTTGTTGTTACTGATGTTTTCTGCAGTAGAGCATGCCCAAGTTTCTCTCCTGAAATTTGTCCTGAGAGTTTAGTGATTTTGCTTATATTAAGTTTCTCTAATCTTCCATCAATATTTACTAACACATGTAAAAATACCATGAGTTAGTCCAGAGAATCTCTTGAGTTTCAGACAGATGTTTTGTGCCTGTGACTTGGTTCCCTTGACACTCATAGTCAGTTTCCTTATTTACTTCTTTCAATTGCTTAAAGGTGTAAAATTGTCAAATGGCTATTTAAACATCCAGGTCAATGAAAAGGTTCTTTGATCCTTAAGTGGGAGCATTCCTCCTTTGGATACTAAAGTAACAAAACTTGAAGCTGAAGGAAAAGTGAGCAAAATTTGAGAATAGTTTATTAATGTAGTAATGAGAAATACTTCCACCACTTCTACCACTTCTCTCTGTTTCCTGGCACTCTGGGAGATGGGAGAACGGCATCATGTATTGGTTACCAATTTATAATATCTATCTCATCTTGTACCATGAACTTACAAGCAATTATTTCCTTCCAAATGGCAACATAACTGAAAACTAAATAAATTAAACCATTACACTTATTTGTAAAGTCAGCCGCTTCTAGGTGTTGGGATTCATGGTAAGACCAGTGAATTTCATTGTCATATAAACCACTTATCTTATCTAAAAATGATTTATTTGTTCCAGGAGCAATATTTTATGGTATATATAGCAGTACATGCGGCACTTGATAATCCCATAAAGGAGAGACCTTCAGAAATGTTGCCAACAGGAAAGGTATATCCGCATCCAGATTACTGTCTATTCCAGTGTGGAAAACTTCTACCTTCTGTGTAATGGAATGTGACCCATGTAATCAACCTGCCCTAGGAATTGGCTGGTCCATCTATGTACAGATGCTAAATCAAACATTTAGAGTTAGTTTATGCTGTTAACATAACTACCATAGTTTTCATGGGTGCTGGTGATCAACTCACCAATGCCTTTATAAAGATATTACAGTCTAGTATTTCAAGGGACATTATTAAAGAATTTGAGTATGTAGCTAAAGGTGAATCTATTCTAACTTGACTATCAACTTGAGTGCTTTGTTTAATATATTGCAATATATTAAGAAACTTTAGAACTCTCAGTATTAATTAATTTAGGACACTGTTGAGTTTTATTTTGGTTAATAAATCAAGCAAAAGAATCCATTGTTATATTCTGAAACTGGCCTTATAAATCCAGAATGCTCATAATTACACCTATATTGATAACTATGGTCTAATCTAAAGTTATTTTTCTTCCTCTCTAGTTATTTTTTTAATTATCACCACATATGTTCTTCTGGGTTTTAGTGAGGGGTACAAATTATCAAAATCTTACAAGTATTTTGGTGTGTTAGCTACCTCCTCCTTAGTCAGGATTTGTATTTTCCCCACAGGCTATGCTGGATCTGACACTGAGGAGTAAGAATGGGGCAGAACAAATATCAGCATATGATTGTAAGATAGCTACATTAAGTGAGGTTATTACAGTGTCTTTAAGCAAGACAGAAATAGTTTGATTAGACATATTACTATGGTTTGCATGTGGTCCCCAAAGTTTATGTGTTGGAAACTTGACACACAATGCAGTTTTCTGAGGAGGTGTTTGGGTAATGGGCACACCACCCTCATGAATGGATTAATGCCAACATCATGGGAGTAGGAGTGGGCTCATTATAACAGGACCAGTTGGGCTCCCTCTTTCTTTATCTCTCCCTCACTCTCTTGCCCTCTCGTGCTTTTCTGCCAGGGAAGACCACAGCAAGAAGGCCCTTGAAAGCTGCCAGCCCCTTGATATTGGACTTCTTAGCCTTCAGAACCATAAGCCAACAAATATATTTTGTTATAAATTACCTAGTGACAGGTATCCAGTTTTTAACAACAAAAAATGCATTAAAAGACAAGTATATGCAGCTGATTCTACTGGCAGTGGAGGTTCTGTATGCTATATTTCAAGGTATCCAGTTAGATCCATTCTAATTTTCAGAAACTCATGTTTCCCTAAGTGGTACACTAACCCATATGTAAGAGAAATACCAAAGTTATAAATTTAATTTATGTTCAGTTTCAGCAACCTATATGGTTCAATTGTACAAGCGATTTTTTTGATACATCAGCCCCGTGTCTGAGAATATAAGACATAATTTTAGGGCCGTTATAGAACCTGTTTGGGCCTCTCATCTGAGCATATGAAGCCCTTAGCTTATAATTTTCTGTATTACAGTGCCGATTGAAGCAGCCATTGCCCCACCCTCATATTTGTATTCTTTCTCATCACAATGTTGGATCCCAGCATCCACTTTATCCACAGAAGTCTTGCCTTCACTGGCACATTATCCCAAATAACCTCAGATGGTAATCTATGTAATCATATTTCATCGAATAATTGTGGGTTTGTCTCACAGCTGAATTACCCAGAGCTGAGAAATCCCAAATCAAATTTTGAAATAAGCTGCAGCAAACCCATTGAAGCTTTACCTAAATAAATGTAATGCACATTATATTTTTTATACTGAAAATCAAACAGACCTGCACTCTACCCCAGATGTAAATAGTATCTTTATCTTCCACAACTGTGCGTTATACAAAGATTCTTGACAAGACAGTTTGGGAAAAAGAAGGCAATTAATGCTTAGCTCACAAAAATGTGCAGAAACATCAGAGACACTTGGAGAATTGTGTCCCAACAACAGACTCTGAAATTTTAGCCATAGCTATAGCGATATGATGGTTCTGAACTGGTAGTTCAGTTGTGGCCTCAGACTTTTACTCCTTTAGCCACCTCAAAGATTTTGTAAGCATTGGATACCAGTATTCAAGTATTTGTGCTTGAGATTCCAAGAATCGTTTCTATTTTCTCCCATCTATAGTATATGCCTTAAATTGGTTTCCCAGAAACAGAAACTAAGAAAGAGATTTGGATTCAGATGTCTTATTGGGAATACTCTGAGGAAATCACTTTTATATAATGAGAGAAGCAGGAGTGTGCAGAGGAAGGAATTAAGTTACAATGCAGTTGCAACAGAGATTCCAGCCACCCACACAGGGACTTCTGAAGCTGGGATGATCTTTCCAGAATGACTCAACTGACACAGTTGTGACAGCCTTTGTAACTCAGTTTTTAACCGATCACCACTTGTGGCTGTCCCTAAGGAAAGTGTGCAGCATCTATATGGGTGTCTCTTCACTGCCTTGGTGTGATGATGGGACATTATCTCAAAGGAAAAAATTAAGCTTTCTGCTCTACTATTAGTAATAGAGTCATTTGCCTATGATTCAGGAGACTGATGTCCTCTATCAGTATCCATGAAACTGTGCAGACTAATTTTCTAGTGTGCAAGTAGTGTAAATCCTCAGATCCTCCACTTAACATCAGGAAGCTGTTGGTGCTCCATCACAGCTGACTCTCATACTCATGAACATTGATGACCAAACACAGGAATGTAGCATCTGTCTCTACATCTGCCTCAGATCATCATGGAGCTGACACCTGGACACTGGAATGCTAATTCAAGCCACAATTATCTCTAACACTCATTGTTACTACATTGTTTTCTGACAGCTGTAGCATCAGGAAGATGGCCTCTGTCTCAGTGACTCCAAATCTTATGCAAATTCATCTAATTGGAGAAACCCAACTCACATCCAAACCCTTGAGGAAAAGGAAGTTTGGGAAATGTGAATTTTACCCTCTGTCTATCCAATCAACAGAATGGACAAGGGGTTGAGAAATCAGGAGGTTGAGAGATGCCATTGATGGGACACATCCTAGGGAAAGCTTTGGCTTCGAGTCTTCATGGGGCTTCAGCAGTATGTCCAGTTGGCCAAATTGTATATTAATAACTTCCCCTGGGTTTTCCTATGGCACAGATACTGCATATTTAAAACTACCCTTGTGGGCTTGGGGTTGTGGTTATAAGTTATGTTTTTTACTTTCAGTAAAAAACAGTATTCAATAAATGACATGAGCTATTCGACACTTTATTATAAAATGGGCTTTGTGTTAGGTGATTTGGGCCAGTTGTAGGCTAATGAAAGTGTTCTTAGCACATCTAAGGTGGGCTAGGCTAAGGTATGATGTTTAGTAGGCTAAGTGTTCGGTATTAAATACATTTTCAATTGTGATATTTTCAGCATATATTTATCAGTATATAACCTCATCGTAAGGTAAGGAGCGTCTGTATGTGAGGTAATGCGTATGTTAATTAGCTTGATTCAACCATCCCACAATGTATACATATATCAAAACATCATATTGTGTACCCTAAATATATATGATTTTTATTTGTAAATTGAAGTAATAGAAAAAGAAAGATCTGAGACTTGCTTACACAAAGTTCATATGATGATGGAACAATTCCACAGTGCACAGTAGGTGGAACAATTAAGTCTGTTATATTATTGAAATTTAATATGTTAATAAGTTTGATAATGATGTATTAATGTCAATTCAAGATGATTAAATCCTTGATACGTAGTACCACTGGTATCCCATTTTGAAACATAATCTTCAGTGAAAAAATCCTTTGATCAAAGTTATAAGTTTAAAACCAAAAAATTTAGGAAGAAACAAAAGACTCAAATTAAAAAAAATAAAAACCTGGCAAACATTACTAAGAATGTGGTAATTTAAACAATAATAAATATTCAAAGAAAAATGCATATCCATGATTATACAAAAATAATAAATGTAGCTAACAGTAAAAATTTTAAGACTTTCTTTCAGAAAAGGGGAAATGATAAATCTATAAGTTACTAAGTGGTGAGCAAAATACTTCTGTCCTGGGAATTACTAGGTCACTAAAAGCATAATTCAAAATAACCTAAAATTGGAAAGTAGCTATATATAACCCAGCTGACTTTGCGAAGGGCTAATTGTGCTGAACTAATTTAATTTCTTTTTATAGTAGAATAAGAGTTTTTATGAACAGTGGAACAACTGAGAGATGTGAAAATACAAGGAAAAAATTTCAGTTTTTACATGTATTACTTCCTATTGCCAAGCTGAAAAGTATAAAATGCACCATATTTAATTTACTTTTAAAATGTATTGGCCTGAGGATGTTAACGACAGCATCTGTATTGCTGTGGGAATCACCTGTGAACAATACAAGCATTTTCTTATCAATGCTACCTCATTTCTGAAAAGGAAGAGTACTGTAAGAATATTCAATTTCATATGCAATTATACCAGAATAAGTAGATATTCTGATTTAGAACTATTAATTTCCCTACCAATTAAATATTACCCTGACAAAAATTAGCTCACTGAAATGAACTATAATCACTGTACAATAGATATTTTTTATACTTGCTGTTATAGTTAAACATTATGTTCTTTTTAGTCAGGAGCATATTTTCAAAATATAGCTGCTTAGAGCCTACAATTTTCTGCTTCTTGAGACATTTCTTGATGTAAAGTTTTCCTGTTTTTTGCAAAGATTAAAGGTATATCACAAAATATGTGATATTTTATGATATCTGTTTCTTATTGATATGTGTTTGACTTTATTTAAAAAACTTTACTGTGGTGTTTTCAATTTATCAATCAGATAATTTATTGTAAGACACATATCAATAAGAAACAGATGTTTCCTAAACTAGTCAATTTAAAAGCAGTTATTTTTTAAATCAAAATAGTATTATATTGAGTTCATACCCATAAAAATATACATACACACACACACATACACATGATAGTATTAAAAACATATAGTTCTACAGTGAAACAGATATAATAAGATAATGGGATGTTAATATGTATGTTTATATGTGTCTATATACATATGTAGATATATAAAAATATTTATTATAATTATTGGCTCATGCAGATTAGAGGCCAATCATCCCAAGTGCAATAAGATGAATCACCAAACTGGACACCCAGGCTTGCTGATAGTGTAGGATTATTCTGAAGGCTGGCTTGCTTGAGACCCAAGAAGAGTCAGTGCCTCAGTTCAAGGTCAAAGGCAATAGTCAATTTCCTAGTTGAAAGGCAGTTAGGCAGGAGAAATTCTCTCACTCAGGGGAAGATCAGCCTTTTTTGTTCTACTGAGGATTTAGTGTTTGCTTGAGGTCCACCCCAATTAGGGAGAGTAATCTGCTTTACTTGGTCTACCGATTTATATGTCAATTTCATTCAAATACTTCCTTACAGAAACACTACCCAGACTGATATTTAAATAAATATTTTGGCACCATGTGACCCAGTCAGTTAGACACATAAAATTAACCATCACACATTTTAAATTTTAAAATGCTAAGTAGGCTATAATTAAATATATCTTAGATTTTAAGTGTTTGCTATTGTATTAGAATGAAACTATTTGTTAATAATGTTTTCACTGAGGGGTGCCTATATTTGTTATCTAATTATAAAACTTTGTTCAAATAACTATTCTCATACTTAGAAAGAAATTAATGTAGTATATGTATTCATTAAAGTAGTAGATAATTACTTGTGAATTCATTTGTTGATATGTTTTCCCTTATAGTATTCCTAATAGATTTCAGAACCTTGTTATCTTCCTTTAAAATTACTTTGTTTTGTATTTCATTTCACCTTTATAGTCTGGAAGAATAACAAAATGAGAATTCTCTTGATATAATTTTATCTTTGTTCTGTGTGTTGGTGGTGGAAAGGAAAGATATACTTTAGTAAATAAACACACTTTGGCTTTGCAGATGTGAAGGAAAATTATGAACTCTGATTAGATGTTCCTTATTAACTGTGTATTATTTTGTACATTGAACTAATGTCAATTAAACTGACATTCATCAATGGATAACAGATAATTATATATGCCTGCCATTTGATTTAAAACTCCTGCATATTATCTATTAGTATCCCTTTGCATCAGACTTTCACTGATCACTTACTGTAGATATTGACGTTATATGTCAATGACACATCTAATATATAAGCAGTGATACCATTTTATCATAACTGATGCCAATTAGCACCTAATGTTTGTGTTAAAAATCTAATATTAAGGAATTTTTTATTTTCCTATTAATTTCTTCACTGACCCATTCATCATTAAGGAGCATGTTGTTTAATTTTCATGTATTTGTATATGTATTGTACAGTTTTCAGATTTTTTATTATTGATTTCTAGCTTTATTCCATTGTGGTCTGAAGATGCTTGATATAATTTTGATCTTTTAAAATGCGTTGAAACTTCTGTTGTGGCCTAACATATGATCTATCCTGGAGAATATTCCGTGTGCTGATGAGAAGAATGTGTATTCATCAGCTGTTGGATGAAATGTTTTCTAAATGTCTGTGAGGTCTGTATGGTCTATAGTACAGTTAAGTTCAAGGTTTCTATGCTGATTATCTGTCTAGATGATCTGCCCAATGCTGAATGTGAGGTGTTGAAGTCCTAAACTCTTATTGTATTGGAGTCTATTCCTTCCTTTAGCTCTAATAACATTTCCGTTATATGTCGGGGTGCTTTGGTATTGAGTGCATATATATTTGAAATTGTTATATACTCTTGCTGAATTGATTCCTATATTATTATATAATACCTTTTTGTCTTCATTTGTGTTTTTTTACTTAAAGTCTATTTTATGTGATATGAATATAGTTACTCCTGCTTGCTTTTGATTTCCATTTGCATGGTATGTCTTTTTTCCTCTCTTTACTTTTAGTCTATGAGTGTCTTTTTGGGAAGAGAATTTCTTATAGGCAGCATACAGTTGCATCTTGTTGTATTTTATTTCATTTTTATTAATTCAGCCAGTCTATATTTTTTAATTGGAGGAATTTAAACCATTTGAATTCAAAATTTTTATTGATAGTTGAAGAGTTACATGTTTCATTCTGTTAATTGTTTTCTGGTTGTTTCATACAGCCTTTGTTTCTCTCTTTTAATTTATTTTTGTGGGTTGATGGATTTCTATAGTTATCAGATTCGATTCCTTTCTCTTTCTCATTTGTGTAACAGCTTTATTAGTGAGTATTATATTTTTGTATGTTTTCATGACAGTATATATTATCCTTTTTCTTCTAGATGTAAAACTCACTTAAAAATTTTTGTAGGGTTAGTCTAGGGATTTTGAATTTCCTCAAGTTTGCATGCCTGAGAAAGGCTTTATTTATCTTTTATTTCTAATGGATAGCCTTGATGGGTATAGAATTCTTGGCTAGCAGGTTCTTTTCTTTTTCTTTCAGAACATGAATACATTATCCCGTTCTTTTTTGGCCTGTAAGGTTTCTGCTGAGAAATCTAATATTAATCTTTCAGCGATTCCCTTATATTTGTATTTTCAGGCAGCTGATTTTCCACAAAGGTGCCAAGAATATACATTGGAGAAATAACAGCCTCTTCAGTAAATGGTCCTAGGAAAACTGGACATATATATGTCGAAGAATAAAACTAGACTCCTATATCCCACAATATTCAAAAATCAACTCAAAATGAATTAAACACTTACATGTAAAGCTCAAAACTATGCAACCTGTAGAAGAAAACATAGAGAAAATTCTTCAGGAGATTGGTCTGTGTGAAGATTTTATGAGTAAGACTTCAGATGAACAGACAAAAATAGACAAAAGATATTATATCAAACTAAAAAGCTTTTACACAGAAACTATGAAATGATTAAGTAGATAACATGTAAAATAGGATAAAACACTTGCAAAGGGTTTGTCTAATAACAAATTAATATCCAAAATATCCAAGGAACTCAATGCAACATCTAACAGAAACAACAAACAAACAAAAAATCCCATTAAAAAGTGGGCAAAGGATCTGCATAGTCATTTATTAAAAGAAAACATACGAATCCCCGATGTAACTTATCATCAGGAAAATGCAAACCAAAACCACATGAGATATTACCTCACCCAAGACAGAATGGCTATTATAAAAAAGACCAAAAATAAGAAATGCTGGTAAAGATGGGCAGAAAAGAAACTCAGCCATTGGAAATGTAAGCTAGTGCAGCCATTATGGAAAATATTATGGAAGCTCCTTTAAAAATTAGTATAGGAATATGATATGATTCATCAATCCTCTACTAGGTATTGACTCAAAGAAAAAAAATTAGTATATCAAAGAGATATCTGCATTCCCATGTTTATTACAGCACCATTGACAAAGGCTAAGATATAGTCAACCAAAGTGTCTGCCAACAGATAAATGGATAATGAAAATGTGACATATATGCATATTGGAATACTAGTTAGCCACAAACAGGAGTGAAATCTTGTCATTCGTGACAACATGGTTGAGCCTGGAGGACATTGGAGTAAGTGAAATGGGTCAGACACAGAAAGATAAATACCACTTGCTCTAACTCATATAGAGGAGCTTAAAATGTTGGGCTCATGGAAATAGAGAGCAGAATTGTGGTTATTAGAGGCTGGAAACGGTCAGGGGAAGGGGTGGATAAGGAGAGTTTAGTTAACAAACCAAAAATTACAGCTAAATAGGAGGAATAAGTTCCAGTGTTCTTCAGAACTGTGGGTTGACTATAGTTAACAATAATTTATTGTATATTTTAAAATACCTAAAAGAGAAGATTTTAGTGCTAATAATACAAAGAAATAAAAAATGTTTAAAGGGAAAGATATGCTAATTACCTTGATTAGGTTATTACATGTTGTATACATATATTAAACTATCACTCTATACCCAATAAATATGTACAATTATTATGCCAATTTAAAAATAATTAAAAGGAAATTTAAAAATAGAATATCAAGGGAAGATGCTTTAATGAGTACAGTTCATTTTAGATGTGTTATAGAAAATCAAAGGACTAATGATTCTAGGTCTTTGAGGAATTACCACACTGTCTTCCACAATGGTTAAACTAATTTGCATTCCCACCAACAGTGTAAAAGCACTCCTATTTTTCCACAGCATCACCAGCATCTGTTGTTTCTTGACCTTTTAATAATCACCATTCTGAGTGGTGTGAGATGATATCTCATTGTGGTTTTGATTTCCATTTTTCTGATGATCAGTGATGTTGAGCTTTTTTTCAAATGCTTGTTGGCCACAAAAATGTCTTCTTTTGAAAAGTGTGTGTTCATGGCTTTTGCCCACTGTTTAATGGGGTTGTTTGTTTGTTTTCCTGTAAATTTAATTAAGTTCCTTTTAGATTCTGGATATTAGACCTTTGTCCGATGGATAGATTGCAAAAATTTTCTCCCACTCTGTAAGTTGCCCTGATGAGGGTTTCTTTTGCTGTACATAAGCTCTTTAGTTTAATTAGATCCCATTCGCCAATTTTTGCTTTTGTTGCAGTTGCTTTTGGTGGTTTCATCATGATATCTTTGCCTGTGCCTATGTCCTGAATGGTATTACCTAGGTTTTCATCTGGGTTTTTATAGTTTTTGATTTTACGTTTAAGTCTTTAATCCATCTTGAGTTAATTTTTGTATATAATGTAAGAAAGGGGTCCAGTTTCAATTTTCTGCATATGGCTAGCCAGTTCTCACAGCAACATTTATTAAATAGGAAGCCATTCCCCCATTGCTTGCTTTTGATAGGTTTGTCGAAGATCAGATGGTTGTAGATGTGCGATCTTATTTCTGGGTTCTCTATTCTGTTCCATTGGTCTATGTGTCTGTTTTTGTACCAGTACCATGCTGTTTTGGTTACTGTAGCTTGTAGTATAGTTTGGAGTCAGGTGCCATAGTGTCCCCAGCTTTGTTCTTTTTGCTTAGGATTGCCTTGGCTATATGGGCTCTCTTTTGGTTCCACATAAAATTTAAAATAGTTTTTTCTAATTCTGTGAAGAACGTCAATGGAAGTTTAATGGGAATAGCATTGAATCTATAAACTACTTTGAGCAGTATGGTCATTTTCATGATATTGATTCTTCTTATTCATGAGCATGGAATGTTTTTCCATTTGTTTGTGTCATTTTTTATTGTTTCCTTGAGCTCTGGTTCATAGTTCTCCTTGAAGAGGGCCTTCACTTCCCTTGTTAACTGTATTCTCAGGCATTTTATTCTCTTTTAGGAATTGTGAATTGGAGTTCATTCGTGATTTGGCTCTCTGCTTGTCTATTGTTGGTGTATAGGAATGCTTGCAATTTTCCCACATTGATTTTTTATCCTGAGACTTTGCTGAAGTTGCTTATCAGCTTAAATGCTTTTGGGCTAAGACAATGGGGTTTTCTAGATATGGGAGCATGTCATCTGCAAACAGAGGCAATTTGACGTCCTCTCTTCCTATTTGAATACCCTTTATTTCTTTCTTTTGCCTGATTGCCCTGGCCAGAACTTCCAATATTATGTTGGAGTGGTAAGAGAGGTCATCTTTGTCTTGTGCTGGTTTTTAAGGGGAATGCTTCCAGCTTTTGCCATTCAGTATGATACTGGCTGTGGGTTTGTCATAAATGGCTCTTATTATTTTGAGGTATTTTCCCTAAATACTGAGTTGATTGAGAGTTGACCCAGCAATCCCATTACTGGGTATATACCCAAAGGAATATAAATCACTCTATTATAAAGATACATGCATGCAAGTGTTTATTGCAGCATAATTCACAATAGCAAAAACATGGAATCAACCCAAATGCCCATCTTTTAAAACTCAACAATAAGAAAACAAAGAATAGGCCAAATGTGGTGGCTCATGCCTGTAATCTCAGCACTTTGGGAGGCCAAGGCAGGCAGATCACTTGAGCCCAGGACTCTGAGAACAGCCTGAGCAACATGGTGCAACCCACTCTACAAAAGAATACAAAAATTTGTTGGGTGTGGGGGCATGGCCTTGTAGTCACCTGTAGGCCCAGCTATTTGGGTGGGTGAGGTTAAAGGATTGCTTGAGCCTTTAGGGCAGAAAGGTGGAGGCTGCAGTGAGCCATGATCACAACAGTGCACTCCAGCCTGGGTGACAGAACAAGATCTTGTCTCAAACAAACAAACAAACAAAGGACTTAGTTCAACCATTGTGGAAGACAGTGTGGCGATTCCTCAAGGATCTAGAACTAATACCATTTGACCCAGCAATCCCATTACTGGGTATATAACCAAAGGATTATAATTCATTCTACTATAAAGACACATGCACATGTATGTTTAATGCAGAACTATTTACAGTAGCAAAGACTTGGAACCAACCCAAATGCCCATCAATGATAGACTGGATAAAGAAAATGTGGCACATAGACACCATGGAATACTATGCAGCCATAAAATAGAATTAGTTCATGTCCTTTGCAGGGACATGGATGAAACAGGAAGCCATCATTCTTAGCAGAGTAACACAGGAACAGAAAACCAAATACCACATGTTCTCACTCATAAGTGGAAGTTGAACAATAGAACACATGGACACAGGAAGGGAAATATCACACATCGGGGCCTGTCAGGGGGTGGGGGGGCAAGGGGAGGGAGAGCATTAGGACAAATACCTAATGCGTGCGGGGCATAAAACCTAGATCATGGATTGATAAGTGCAGCAAACCACCATGGCACATGTATACCTATGCAGCAAACATGCTAGTTCTGCACATGTATCCCAGAACTTAAAGTAAAGAAAAAAAAAAGGTGAAAAACTGAAAAAAAAAAGGAAAATGAAGAAGAAGAAGAAGGAGAAGAAGAAGAAGAAGGAGAAGAAGAAGAAGAAGAAGAAGAAGAAGAAGAAGAAGAAGAAGAAGAAGAAGAAAAGTAGGAGGAGGAGGAGGAGGAGGAACCCAATTAAAAATAGGCAAAATTCTTAATAGATACTAACCAGAGAAAGTAAACAGATGACAAACAAGCATACAAAAATATATTCAATAAATTCAGAGATAAAAAGAGTGGAAAAGAATCAAATAACAGAAAACACAATTGCAAAAATATAGCAGGATAATAGATTCAAAATAAATATGTTCATAATCACATTAATATAAATGTTCTAAATCTTGTAATTAAAAGGCAGAGATTGTGTGATTTTACAAGAATCCAAGAATAATATGCTGCCTATAAAACTGTACTTTATATATACATATTCAAATACAAGAAAAGTTAAAGCATGGAAAAGATATAAGATGGTAACCCTACTTTTTTTAAAAGTTGGATTAGCAAAGTCACTCTCAGACAAAGTTAATTTCAGGGTAGAGCATATTACAAAAGATAAAGACCGTCATTTCATAATGATAACATAATCAATTTTGGGTAATTTTTATACTTTGGCTGTTGTGAATAATGCTACAGTGAACATAGAGTTGAAGATATTTCTTTTAGATATTGATTTCATTTATTTTGGCTATGTACCGAGAAGTAGAGTTGCTGGATTGTATGGTAGTTCTATTTTTAATTTACTGAGGAATCTTCACACCTTTTTCTATAATGGCTATACCAACTTATCTTCACATCAATGGTGTATACCTTTTCTTTACACCCTTTTCTCCATACCCTTGCAAATGTGTTACCTCTTGTCTTTTTGATAATAGCTATGCTCGCATGTACTAGGTGATATCTCATTTTGGTTTTGAATGGTATTTATCTGATGATTAGTGATGTTGAGTACCTTTTCATATATCTATTGGCTATTTGTATGTTTTTATTGGAAAACATGTCTATTCAGGTCATTTTCCCATATTTATTTAGGTTTTGGGGGTTCTTTTTTGCTATTGAGTTTTGTGAGTTACTTATACATTTTGGTTGTTAACTGTTTATCAGATATATGGTTTGTACATATTTTCACCCATTATATAGGTTGAATTTGAATGTCGTTGTTTCCTTTGCTGTGCAGAAGATTTTTAAGATACCCTAAAAAATCATTGCCAAGATTAATGTCAAAGAGATTTTTTCTAAGCTTTTGTTTTTCTAGGAGTTTTATAGTTTCAGATCTTATATGTAAGTCTTTATTCCATGTTAAGTTAATTTTTGTATATAGTGTAAGACATGGGCCTAATTTCATTCTTTTGCATGTGGATATTCAATTTTTTCATCATCATTTATTGAAGAGATATTCCTTTCCCAATCGTGTATTCATGGCACTCTTCCCAAAGATTAGTTGACAATATATGCATGGGCTTATTTCTGGGATCTCTATTGTGTTTATTTAGCCTACAGCTCTGTTTTTTATGCCCTTTTATGCCATACTATTTTGATTACTATAATAACAGAGTAGAATGGTGGTTTTCAGGAGGTGGGAGGTGAAGGAAATTGGAAATGTTGGTCAAAGAGTACGTAATTTCAGTTATACGATGAACAAGTTCTTGGGATTTCTATTATGGCATGGATGGTGTACCCATAGACACAGCTTGTATATATATGAAATTGGCTCACACAATTATAAAGGCTGAGATTCCCTAAGATCTGTTGTTGGCAAGCTGGAAACCAGAATTGTTGGTCTGTAGTTCCAGTCTGAAAGTTGGCAGGTTCAAGACCTAAGATAAGCCAATGTTTTAGTATGAGTTTGAAGGCAGGAAAAGACCAATATCCTCACTCAAATAGTAAGGCAAAAGAAACTACTTTTTACCTTTTTTCTTCCATTCATGTCTTCAATTATTTGGATGAGGTCCGTCTATGTTAGAGAGAACTATCTGCTTTATTCAGTCTACCTGTTCTCACAGACACACAGAAAATGTTTGACTAAATGTTTGGGTAGTCCATGGCCCAGTCAAGCTGATGCATAAAATGAATCACTGCATGTATCATTTTTGATAAAACATTTCACATCCCTTCTAGTAAGTAGCCACAGATGCAGTTAGCAAAATATCATGCAGGTACCAAAGGTTATTTTTGGTAAAAATTCTTATCCGTAAATATTAACACTATTCTAATAAGGTAACAAATGGTTTTAAGGATGAGCAGAAATGCATACAAGCATAGTAGAAACTGCTGAAGAAATTTATTCGGGGAGACCAAGAGAAGGTAGATGAATATACAAAAGAAGAAACAGCTAAATAATTAACAGAGAGAAGATAGAAAAAAAATGTAAGTAAGGCAACTTATGGCCAAGAGAAGAAACAGGAGTAAAGTGTATTTCTTCACATGTTTGTCTATTTTTTAAATCATCTATACCAGATAAAAGATGGATTTAGAAAATTTGCACAAGCCTCTGATAGAATTACTACAGGAGAGAATGAAACACTTTCAAGGAGAGCTTACTTGTAAGAATTTGCTTTATAAGTAGCAAGAATATCTTGCTAGAAAAGTATTAGGAGATGGAGACCATTATTAATTCAAGGGAAATGACCTGAAGAAGCATTATTGTCATAATTCAAATCAATCAAAATAAGGAGTTTGTTGTATGTTTTAGGGAAGCACAAAAATTGAATTTCTAAGGTAGCTTTGCTCAAACAATAATAAATCAACAGGAATTTATGAAAAACAAATCAATGATTTAACTGTACAGGTCAAATTTAAGATAGCATATTCTCATATATAATAATGTATGCTGTTTTTCTTTTAGAAATAATCACATGAATTTAGGAATTTTCACTATACAATATAAGATTTGAAAGAATGGATTTTACCATGATCTTTCATTTCAGTACAAAGAATTTTAGTTGATACAGCATATTGATCAATACAAGCTATCAATAAAACTTAGGAAGTGATTAAAATAGGGCTTTTGAAATTAAAATCGAATCACTGTTTTGTATGTGGAAAATGAATATGCAAATTTCTCTTGTATAAGAGAAGTTTATAAAACTTCATTGGAAAGGGGCTTTGTTATTTAAAACTATGTATATTTTTGAACAAAAACAGATGGAAAAGAAGTACTTCAAAAATAGTTTAGAATTTCACAGATGAGAAAAAAGGGGAAGAGGGAAAATCTAATGAAATGAGACAATAACAACAAATGATAATAAACATGCAATAATTAAAAGGCTAAACCCAGAAGGGCTAGGGACCTATGAATTGATTAAATAATGTTAAGATGTCACAATAGATTGAAGAAGTGAACAGGATATTGAGATAAGGTATTCAGAAAATATCTTGACGGACAAAGGAAAAAAGCACAATTTAAAATAGTAGCATATAATACAAATAATAAATAAATGAATTATTTGAACCTAAGGCAAGAAACCATGAATATTATTTATAAAATACTGGGTATATTTCAGAAAACACAATATTTTGTCTATATAGAAATTTGATTACAAGGCCCTTTGCAATGTCTTTGAGAAGAGAATCATATGACTTTTATTATTCTGGGTTTTTTTAATAAAATATAATGAAAAAATTTGAAAGTATTGCTTACAGTGAGCAAAAAGGTGTGTGTATATACATATATATATTTTTAACATTCTTTAAGTAAATTTTACTTTATCTTACTCTTTAATTTCAACTGGAAATATGAGAAAGATATTTAAAATATTATTAAATAATTATAATAATTAAATCAATCCAAATTGGATTCTTATTTAGAAGATGTTCTATATGGATATAAAGTAAGGATGGGAAATGTCAGGCCTGTGAATGTAAATTGTTCCAAGAAGAAATGTAAGAGGGAAGATAAGTAAAGGGTTCATTTGTTACCTTTTCTAAGGCAGGAAGGCCGGTACTGTACTGGATAGGAAAGACGACTTATTTTAATTTATTTTCAGGAAATTCCAATAGAAATTGGACTAAGCAAAGAGCAGAATAAGTATCCTGAATCTCTCAACAAGTACACAATGTTAGGAATTTCTCTTTCTGTATATACAGATGGCCTGGCTAGTATATATTCATATTCAAAATAACACTATTCAACTGCTATTTAGAAATCTATCCTACGAAAAAGAGTAAACTCATAATAAGGTACAAACTTGGTTTTTATTTTATTAATCTATAATAAAACATCACCAACTTTGTATTAATGTTGCTAATCAGAAATATTTGTTATATATAAATTATTGTCATATAATATATGTTATATATAAATTTCGACATCATGGACACAATTCAGATCGTTTGGAAAACATTTCTTGAATAACTAGTCCTTTTGATAATGAAACTAAAGAATAAGCTCTTAAAATTATGAGTCATTTATTTAACACTTTAAAACATTTATTAAGAGAGATGCTCTTAGTACATGCACTATTTACATTTTTTAAATAAAAGGAAGTTAAAAACAGAAAATTTAAAAATTAAACTTTCAAAAAGCTACCATACTTAATAAATGTAGGAGTAACAGAAAATTGATTACATATTTAACCACAATTTCATTATGCTAGTAGTACTATATCATGTATGTCCCTGTGTGCTTAAGCATGAATCATCTTCAGGTAGGGCTGCCTTTATGCATATGTAACTCATGCATTTGCATGGGACCCTGTGTTTAGAAGGACTGCGTGCTTTGGTTTAAAACCCTGCTGTCATCATCTTAAAATTCTTAATTTTTGAACAAAATGTGTTACATTTTCATGCTGCACTAGGCCCTGCATGTTATGTAGCTGGCCCTGTTTCTAAGCCACAGATACTGCCTTCAGTTATTTCTGAGAGTCATCAGAGTAGGAGTGGTGTCTGCTGCTTTTGCCTTTGCATGAGAACAGAAATGAAGATACTGAAAGTACTGTCGCTTGATACTCCTAATACCATTTCCAACACTCTGGGTGTCTGAGGCATCCACTGACCTGGAATGGAGAGAATGAGTCATTGCACATGCCACTTGTATTCCAGAGGACATCAGAATCTCAGAGAGTTGCTTCTCAAAGCAGCTTCTTTAGATTCAGCATTCCCTTTGTCTTCATCATTCCCTATGTTTTCACTGGGAAGGCTTGGTAGGGAAGTGACCGTCTTTACATCTCTTCCATTGTCTTAGTGACTCCTTGTTTGTCTCTCAACCTATCTCCTATTAATGTCACATTCTGAGGTACTGGCTTAGCATTATAACTCATCTCTTTTGGGGGGCACACAATTCAATGAATAACACAGCCAACATACATAAAGAAGGAAGAAAGCAAAAAAATAAAGTTAAATATACATTTTAATACCTTATTATGATGTGGACTTGCCCTTATTTTAAAATAAATCATAGGTAAAAATAAGTAGAGATTTACAAATGCAGCGTCAAATGTTTTGTCTTTCTGGCATCTGATTCATAATTTTGATTTTGAGAAATTGAATTTGGTTATGTTGAAGGAAGAATATCTCTTTCAGAAATTTCTGTATATTAAGACAGTTGTCAATAGAAGAACCTTTGGTTTTTTTCATGATGTCAAAGTGTGGTGCAATATGTTGAAAATATTTTTAAATAAATTTTTCTCAAAAATTATGTCAAAGGTTTTAAACAGAATACATGATATATCACTTGGTAGAGTATCTCATAAATTATAAAACCAAGCAATAAAAGTGAAATAATAAAAGTTTCTGAAAATAATAAAAATCAAATAACAATCCAGAGAAGTTCAACAATCTAGTATTGATCTAGTAAGAAGAAAGCTAGATCAAAAAAGGACAAAAGTAACCAGTATCAGGATATCATATGTAGAATATACTATATAGGAACAATATTAGCATATGAAAACTGAAGTAAATAATAGTTTTTTAAAAATGTTTTAATTTTTAATTTTGAAGCTTAGATAGACTCATACATTATTAAACTAACTTTATTCTAATCATATAAACTAAGCAAAATGCTCTAAAATTATATTAGAGAAATAGAATCACCATTTCACAACTCGAAGGAAATACTGTGATTTATAGAAGCTCTACTATGCTATGTTGGCTTTAGTTTCACCGACTGAGTCACTGATTTGAGTATAAACCGGAGACTGCTATTATTTCTAAAATTTTACAATAATATATCTCAACTATAATTTTTAAGAGAGTTCTGTATCAGATTATGGAAGATAGAAGTATAGACATAAGAGAAATGGCAGAACTGAAAATAGGGAACTAATTTAATCCCAAATAAACACAAACCGACTGATTATTAACTTCAATTGTGATGTGTGTTTTTGATTCCTTATTTTCAATACAATTTTGAGATCAATTGTAAGAAAGGACTCCCATGATGTGTTTATTTTTAAGATATGTTAGACAGAACATATTGAGTCAATTCGTTTCTCTTCAAGTAGAATCCAAGTCAGCAGTTTAACAAGTTCCCTGGTGATTCTTATGCACACTAACATTTGAGAAATTCTGAAAGATTTTTTCCAGACCTGTGACCTTTATCCAAAAGTCAGACATCTGTGTGTCAGTTTCTGATCTCATAACCTTGATCTTCTTTGCAGTCCATCTTTTCCCACAGAGTCCACTTAAATTTTGAGCATGATCCTGCCCTATCTCCTTCATCCTTATAAACATAACTCTTTCTCATTTGTATGAGTTATAGATTATGCTATTTATAGACTATTATTAACATTTCTATTCCACTGTGCCTTTGGACTTTTCCTGACCTTTGTGATTGTGCATTGGCTTAGCAGACTACTGTGATATTACCGTGTTCTGAAAGGAATGAAGTGAAATGTGGCTTTCATATCATCCTTGAAGATACTGATGATATTACATAGTTTTGATAAATAAACACAAATAGATATTATATTTATTTCAATTTTCTTCTGAATTCCCAATAGGATGGTATAATTCAGAGCCTCAGACCTAACTTCTACTGCATCTAATTTTTATTTGACTCTAAAATAAGTTTAAAATTTGAGTGCTTTAACACAGCTACAATATTAACACGTAAGAATGTATGCTTTCTACCATGCGTGATGTCCTATGGCTAATATTTCAGTTTCAAGAACTGAAAATTTTTGACTATCAATTGGTATGAGAAATTAGTACATGATTGCTGTGTTTTTCTCTTGTATTGTATCAAAAATATCAGCCACTTAACACTTGTTGGGATAGAAATATCACATAATTTTAGGTTATCTCAAACTTATTTTGATACATACTCAGACTTTCAGAAATTTGTATTGTTGTTTAAAAGATATGCCTATGGCCCTTTAAGTATTAATCATTTTAAATGTTGTGGGATTTCTGCCTTATTTATTAAAGTTTCCTCCATTATTTTGAAATGGTATTTCTTTTCTAAAATTTGGAATTAATTGAATTACACTAGTCCAAGGGTAAAGAATTAGTGAATTCACATTTTCAATACAATTATGCCATTGTTTTAGCTGCAATAATGAATTATATAATTGAAAGTCTTTAGTTCATTAATTTTTTTCCTAATTGTGTGAATAATTTTAATACAGTTCAACTTTGATTCAGAGCAAGTACTATATCCTCCTTGTTATAATTTTGAAATCTAACTCCATTTTAATTGCATGTCAACCATAAAAATTTCTAATTGAATAGATCAGTTGCTGCCAGGCACGATGGCTCACACCTGTAATCCTAACACTTTGGGAGGCCGAGGCAGACATATCACTTGAGGTCAGAAGTTCGAAACCAGCCTGGCCAACATGGTGAAACCCCGTCTCTACTAAAAATATACAAAATTAGCCGGGCATGGTGGTGCGTGCCTGTAATCCCAGCTACTCGGGAGGGCTGAAGCAGGAGAATTGCTTGAACCTGGGAGGCGGAGGTTGCAGTGAGCTGAGATCATGCCTCTGCACTCTAGCCTGGGGGACAGAGCGAGACCCTGTCTCAAAAAAAAAAAAAAAAAAAAAGAGGAATTTATTAGTTGAAAGTGTAACATTGATCAGAATTATTCTCCCTTTAAAAAAACTAACATCACAGGCTAATCTATTTCTTGTCATTTGATATCCTTGCTTTCCTATATGGCCAGAATATAGCGGTTTCCAGTTGAAACCTTCTATTCCCATTCTAGCCTTGTCCCTAACTCTTAGAAATTGAATTTGCTTCCTCATCACTGATATCAAAGAACAGATCATTTGGATTCCTCCTCTAATATCATATTCATCTTCAAGCATTTCATTACCCACACTCACCCTTATAACCATGTACATGTATCTTACTATCCCATAATTATAAATGGAATCATTAAATATGCACACACACATGTAATTAATTAGATACTAACATTTACTTTTAACATATTACACTATCCTTCAGAATATGTGTGTGACATACTATCTTGCCGTTGTCCAGTACCCCAGAATTATTATTATTATTATTTTTATTCTTTTGAGATGGAGTCTCACTCTCTTACCCAGGCTGGAGTGCAATGATGTGATCTCGGCTCACTGCAACCTCCGTCTCCCAGATTCAAGTGGTTCTCCTGCCTCAGCCTCCCAAATAGCTGGGACTACAGGCATGTGCCACCACACCCGACTAATTTTTGTATTTTTAATAGAGATGGGGTTTCACCATGTTGGCCAGGCTGGTCTCCAACTCCTGACTTTAAGCCATCTGCCCACCTCGGCCTCCCAAAGTTCTGGGATTACAGGCATTAGCCACCACACCCGGGTGAAATATGTCTTTCAAATATAAACATACATTGAATATATAGTAAAATTAAAACTAACTTTTAAAGAGCAATGATAGGAATGCTTAATAAATTCACAGGTGCATTTTTATTGCCTCTAAGAAAAGTAGTGAAAGCAATTGTAAATATACTAATCTTTGCATACTGTACTGCATTATGCCCAATGCAAAAACTATATAAAAACAGGAAATATTAATTCTTAAATCTGTTAAAATACCTTTAGCAGTATGAGTAATTTCTAAGTTATCCTTAGACACTGTTTTGTTTTACTTTTAGCTCAGGGGATTTTCATTTCAACGTTGTAATGGCAGGGGAGACGGAGAGTTTATCAGAATAGAGCCTTCCATGAGTAGAGCTCTTGAGAGAAACCTAGATTAAAAAGGAATGAGCAGAGGGAAAGCTTTTACAATCCTACTCGAAAGCTATGATTTAGTGAAATGAGGTTCCTGGAATTTAAAGATTAGATAAAAATAGAAGCTGCTTGTCAGCTCCTTTCAGCCACGGTGCTAATCGGGCAGATGGGCCACACGCTCCAGCTGGGATGTGCCGTCCCTTCAGGACCTGTTTGCAACCTGCTGCACGCAGGCCTTTCTATGTGAAACAGCAGTTTCAATCACACTCCTGTGAAGACACACAAAATCAAATGTCTCCATGTAGCAACACATTCTCCTCTGTGATAATGAAATTCACAACAGATGTCTGAAGTTAAATAATAGTATTTTTATTAGTTTAAGGTTGGAATTTGGCATTTATATATACTTCCTTTTCCTTCCATTTACTATAAAATATTTCAGATATGCAATAATATGTATAAATAATTTAATAAAGCTTTGTGAATCCAATAGAAAAGTAAGAAATAAAATGTTGACAATGTTAAGTCTCTACCTCTCCCCAGTTATATTCCTTACTTGAGCACTGTTTAAAAATAAAACTTTAAAAAAATGTTTTATTAAGGATTCCTATTATATTCTTTTTATGTTTGATATGTATGCAAATGCTGATAAACAATAAATAGTGATTTTGCATGATATAAAATGTTATATAGTTGGAATGTATTTATGCATATTGATTCCAATAGCTTTAATTCATGTATTTCCTCTATAATATCCCATTTACAAATATACCGCATACATCATATAAAGGACAGAATGTTCATACAATGCTGCTAGGAACATTCTTATACATTTTTTCAAGTGTACAGAAATTACCCTAGGACACACCCTCATAACTGGATTTGCTATCTCCAAGAATACCTGCATGCTAAAATATAGTTAGTGCTTACAAATTACTCTAGAAATGGGTTACTGATTTTTCTCCAACAAAAATATTACTCATCATCTGATGAAAATCATCAGCATTGATTCTAGTTTCTTTCTTGGTCCCATTCATATATGTAACCCATTTTTGTTACCATTGGATTCTTTGTTTCTAAATTGATTTTTAGTGCTTTATATATTCTGAGAACTAAAGCTTTATAGTGACATTCATTGCAAATGTTTTTTTCCAATGTATGCTTGTCTTTTCACATCATTAATTCACACATATTTTTAAATTTGGTAACTATCAATATTTCTACAGGGTTTCATTTTTAGTATTTGTTTACTAAATTATTTCTTACTCTTTGGTTATATAGAAGCATATATTAGCTTTCAAAAAATTTAAGAGTTTTGTTTTTTATATTTGGATCTTTGAACTAAATATTATTATTCTGTATTGTTTGATGCAGAAGTCTATTTTATTTTTATCTACATGAATATATAAAAGTTCAAGTGCCATTTATTATATAATTTATCCTTTCCCCAGTGACTTGCAGTGCCACATTTGTAACTTGCATATGCCATATTGTATTTCTTGTGTCTCCATTTTAGCAATCTGTCTATCTGCCTATTCATAGTAGTAAAAACTATAAGAAGTTTTGATACATAGTAAATCTCTCCACCTTTTTTTCTCCAAAATTGTTTTATCAGTTCTTAGTCATCACACTTCCAAATGTTTCAATGAAAAAATTAACATTCTGTTTGAAATACAGTTGGATTTAAGGAGAATTAAGATGCTTAATATATTGATTGCCTTACAATTTGTCTATCTATCTATCTATCTATCTATCTATCTATCTATCATCCTCTATCTATCATCTATCTATTTATATATATGGGTCAATAGATACATTTTTAAATGTCTTTCAGTACTATTTATTATACTTTCCATAAAGAGTATTTTCACAGAGATATTACAGATACTTTGCTAAATGTATTCCTGTATATAGTATTACTATTATAATGGTATTTTATTTAGAGTTGTATTAAATATATACTTTGTATATAAGCATGTAATTCATTTGTATATATTGATCAAATTGCTCTTTGAATTATAGTACTAATTATGAGAATTGTTAAGAAAATATATATATTTTTAAATCTCACAACCAGGCAAAACTCTATACAAAGTAGATGAAAAAGAAGTGGTTTTATTATTAAATAAGCATTAAACAACAATTTGATGCACATCATAGGCAATCCACTAAGACATGAAAAAGCAGAAATAAAATTTACCCTTTTCTATAACCAAGCAAATACAGCCCATCTCATACATGCTATCCACAAAAACAATAACTAGTTATCAAGTAACTGGATTTGACAGCACCATTTGTCACAGAGTTAATCCACAATTGAGTTGGTGACTACCTGTGTTAACTAATTGGCTTTATTAAAAGGAAAAAATGATTTCTTATGTCTTTAGGACAAAAGGTAGTTTTGCAACTTGGAGGTAGTTTTGCAACTTGTAATGAAGTTAGGCTCCTCCTCTCCCAGAGGAACTGGGATACAGGTACACTGTATCCCTGAACATTACATTTCAGACACGTTACCCAGGTCCTTGAAAAAGATACTCCTTTGTCTTCAAGCTGGCAAATGGCTTATTTAGCTTTTAAAAAGAGTTGTACACACTTCAAAAAGACACAAAAAGAACTTATGATTAGAAGTTTCTTTAAAGTAAATGCTCTAAGAAAAGAGAGTGATGGGAAATCTGTTCCATTATTTTCAACAGGGAGAATTAAGCCTCTTGTTTTCATTTTTTTACTTGCTCTTACATTTAAAGTTTAAAGTTTAACTCTGTTTTCTATATTAACAAGTATATACTTTATCAAATAGTGGTAATGTCATTCGTTTTTTCTCTGTCCTTATACAATTTATTTATTTATTATCATTGTAATGTTTGAAATTGCCAGCAAGTTGTTTAATGGAAATATGGATTGTGAATATCATGGCCAGATTCTTGATTTTAAGTGGAATGCATCTAATGTTTCATCATAAAGTGAAGTGTTTTCTGCAGGATTCTATTCACACGTTGACAAATGTTCTCAATAGAGTGTTACTAGTTTGCTAATTTATTCATATTTTTCAGTGAGTAGATATTTACTTGTGCATATTTGGGCATATATTAATATGATCAATTTCTTTTTTAGATGGTGAATAGTAATACTAAATTTTCTAATATAAATGCATCCTGAATACTTACAGTTAACCTAAGATTGATGTAGGTGTATATGCATATTGTGCTCAAATGTGTGTATCAGTGCATTCATTTTGCTAAATATTTTATCAATTTTGCATCTATTTTATAAGTAAATTGATCCATAATATTTTACTTTGGGTTTTATTACCTTAATACTAAATACCAGATTCATCAAATGAGATGAGGAAAATTTGCCCTTCTTGTTTTTTTCCTCTGGAAAAAATTTGCATAGAACAGGAACTATTTTTTCAATGATTTATTGAATTATCGTGGGTACATCTTAGGTATTTTTGAATTTTTGGACAGAATTTTATAAGAATGTTCACTTTTAAAAAATAAAGGTAAAGTTATATTGATAATCTATATCTTCTAAAGTTGGATTTGATGTTATATGTATTTTTCTAGAATATATCTTTTAAATTGAATTTTAAAATTTATTTTCAAACTATCCTAATCATTCATATAAAAGGATCTTATACCTTACATGTGTTAGTAATTCTCTGTATCTCCTTAAACATTTTTCATCTTATCAATTTATATTCTATATTCAGGAATTTCAATGTTTGAAATTTGGGGGAGCATAGTCTGTTGATTCCACTGCCATCCATTCTAGTAACTTGTTATGCACACATGTTTTATACATTTGGACTCTGAAAATGTGTTTTGTCTAGTTCTCTTTGAGAATTTTGTGAGGCATGAGTCTAGGACACAGATTCTCAAAGATGAAGCGCTTCTCTGCTGCAAAGGACCTTAAGGCGTTACTAAAAAAAGACCATTTTAACTTATTTCTTGAGTTTTTGTGACTATATCCACAGTATAAATTTGCACTGCAACCCTTAAGAGGACATACTGTGGTTACAGATACTCTGAAAAACACTCAGAAAATACTCAGGAAAGTATTTTTCCTTTACCTAGAGCACAAGTTGAAAATATACATTCCTGTGTTGTTTCCGTTGGCCAAAAAATTATTTTTAAACAATTTTATAAATGTGTATCAATCTATATCTCCTGTTTGCATCCCAGACACAGACAAGTGTCTATAATAATTAGCCTTTCAAAATTAATTTTTTACTTCATTTGTAACTATTTATCAACCATTCCATCCATTTATTACTTTTTGTCACAATTCCCTATGTAACTCTTCTTCCCATTGTCAACTATATCAATTTGTTTCATGACTTGTTTTCATTAGTATTATTATAAAACATATTTTCTTGTTCTGTGTGTGTGCTTTTTAACAACAATTAGGGTGAATAAATTCAAGAGATCTATTATACAACACAATGACTATAGTTAGAAACAATGTGTTGTTTACTTGAAAACTAAGAGAGTAGATTTTAAGTGTACTCACCACAAAAAAGTGTGTGCTTTTATGCTGTTAATTCACATAATATCATGGTTTTTGTCACACGCGTTTGCTTAATTTTTCACTCAGCACTGTATTCTTGGAGATCTTTCTGTGTTGTTTGATTTGTGCTTCTAATTGTTGAATTCTCCATTGGTACAAATCAATGACGACATGAATTGCCACAGAAAACTCTGATGGTCATCCTCTCTCTGGATCCCTTAGGGAACTTAGAAGAATTTCTAAGCTTTCATAATAATGGGTTGCAGGGGATTATTCCTACTCAAATGCTCTAGTCTCACACAAACAGCAGCATATATTTTGCTATTTTATATTTTCTTGAAAAGTATTATAATATAGAAACCATTTATTTTCTGACTTTCTGACTGTATGTTATAGTATAGAAACTGTTTATTTTCTGAAATCATCTACAAAAGCATTTGGGTGCGGCCATCAAAGGTAGCCACTTAAGGCTTTTTTTTTGTTATGATTGATTTTTTTGTTGTTGTTTGTTTTGTTTCAAATTTTACTCATTAATGTAAGTTTTATTTTTCTTCTTGTCCTATTTTGGCATTTTGTGTTTTTTCAGAAATGTATCATTTTACATGTAGAATTACTAGACTAGACTTATTAGAATGTAATAACTACTCTTTACATCAAGTCTCTGTTGTATTTCCAGTTATATTCATTCTACATTTTGTTTATTTTAAAATTCTACTTTTATTTTTTTAATTCAGACTTGAGACAGGTTTGGCTATGAGATTTTATTAATGCTAATGACAACAAATTCTAATTCAAATTTTGTTTATATTTTTTATTTCTTTTTCTTCCCTATTTCCTTCTTGTTTTTCTTTGCTAATGTTGTTACTATCTTGCAACCTCTTACACCAGATGAATAGTTTCTATTCTATAACCTTTCTTGTTTCATGATAATTAAAGCTATAAGTTTCCCACAAATACTGTTTTTTTTCAGCGCTCCATGAATTTCATCATGTGGTGCTTTCCTTTGGTTCAGTCTAAATATTTCATAATCACATTATGATTTTCTTTTAGGGTTATTGAATAATATTATTTAGTTTCTGTTTATAGTGTGCTACTCTCAGCAGCCTATTGATATTTATTCTAATATTACTGAATGATATCTGATAAAATTATATGTATAATTTCTCCAATTGTTTTTTATGAAGCTGTCTTTATGGCCTAATGCACTCATTTTTTGTTAATGTGTGTTTAAAAGAATGGGTTGCAGGGGATTATTCCTACTCAAATGCTCTGGTTATTCTTTATATGTCTAGTAGGGTTTTCTATTTTTTTTATATTTCAAATAGTTTGAGCTGCTTCCTTTTCATATTATTTATATCTCAAGTGATTCTTCTGTTGAAGTTTTTGTTTTTTGTGAGATATGTTAGATTACAAAACAATTTGTTGATCTATTCATTTATCTACCTATCTCTCCATTAATCAATTTAATTTATATAATTAACTTATATATTCAGTGTTAAATCTCTTATTAGATGATTATATGTTGATGATGCTTATATCTTCCTGTTCTATGATACCTGTTACAGATATATTCCCCCCAATTCTCTACAATATTTTTAATCAACATTTTATCTGAGATTTTAGTATTGATACACCAAATTTATTTTGTTTCCTATTTGAACCAAGTACACATACACATCCTCCCCTGCACACACATACATTTTTGTCCTTTTGTTTTAAGTGTTTCTTGAAGACAATACATTACTAGACCATATTTTTGACCCATAGAAGAGGTTTAAATGGTAAATTTAAAACATTTACAATTATTATTATTATTGTTACATTAGGTTTTATTTCTCTCCTCTACAATGTATATTTTTACTGTGCTCTTATTTTTCCTATTTCCTGCTTTCATTTTATAGGCCTAATTTCTTCTAGTTAATCTACAAATATAGTTTTTCTCTTTATTAATTTATTAACTTCATTAACATTTATATCTTCCCATCAAAGGACAAAGTTTTAGATAAAATTCAAATTCCTTTGTTTTCTACTCCCCCAACCCCAAACATGTCTTTCCAGTTCCCTTCTTATGGAACTAGTTTCTCTCTCTGTCTCTCTTTTTTGTTTTTATGCTATTTAAGTAAAATATATCTGAAGTCATAAAATTATTTTCTTGTCAAATTCTCCTGGAGTTTTTTTTTAATAAAGTCTTTTTTTCCAAGAGTGATTTTCAAGGTGAAAAGGAAAAATGGTTATTAATGATTAAATACTGTTATTTAATTTATTAATTAAATTATTATTAAATTATTTAAATAGAAATAGTTCAGAACTATCCTGAATTATTGACAATCCATAATATTGAAGCTATTTTTGTTCCTTTTATTCCTAAGAATATTTATATTATAAAATGACATATAAATGTTTTAACATTTAATTACTAATTTTAAAATATTCAGTTGTCATTATAAGCATTTTGCTATTGAGAATCTGATGTCAATATAATTATTTTTCCTGTATGAGTATTATTTTTTCCAGAATATATTTGTAATTAGTCTCTTTAAATTTTGTTCTATGCAAGTATTTGTGAATTTATTCTTCTACCCTAATTGCCATTTTAAAAAACCTTTCAATTCTAGATTGTGTATTCACTTGCGGAAAATTTATTTTACAACTTATTTAACTCTTTTCTACTTTCTGTTTTTATGTTTCTATTTTTCTGGAGTTCTTATGAACTGTTAATGGATCTGCTACTTAAAAACCTATATCACTTAACTTTTTTGATATATGTTCTTTCTTTCAAGAATTATTTGCCTTAATTTAATCTTCTTCTTTACTAATAATTCAGCTTCATTTATCCTGCTATTTAACTCCTATCTCATATTCATTATGTCAACTATCGTTTTCTCATGCCTGATATTTTCACTTGGGTTTTCTTTAGTCTTTCTTGTTCTTATTTCATTTTGCTAAACTGTTTTCTGAAGTATAGTCATCATGCTTATTTTAAAATTATAATTTTTTCAGATCTTTTAAGTTGTTCGTGTTGCCTTTGATTTCTCTTGTATGGAAATTGTACTTCTGATTGATCTAGTTATTTTCATCTGCAAGGTCAAGTTTCACAGAAAGATTAGCTATTCTTCCTTTTTAGCGGCATGGCAGATAGTCAACCAGTGTTCCTTGTTAATCCTAACTTAATTCAAGAGAAAGGAAGGGAAGAGACTACAGGGTTGAGAACCAAAGGCACCAAAGAATCGCCTCTGATCTCCCACATGATGCAACTCTCCTACTGAGAAGTGTACCTTTGAATTCTTTCAAACAAACTATATTGTGAAGATGTAATGCTTTTGGTTTGTAACCCATACACTTTTGTTATTTTGAAATAGAGTAGGTGGAAGAATACGTGAGCAAGTATATGTAATCAGTCAGTTCACTCCAGCTAGGGATTTGGGTTACACTAAAATTATCTTGCTAATAGTGGGCCTTCTTTTGCAAACATAAATGTTACATTCCTGATGTAAAGAGCATCCATTGATAAAGCCTTTAGAGTTAGATGTTGAGTCAAAAGCAAATCTTCAAAGCTTTCTCTCACTCTGGTGTTCAACCACTTCCCATTGGCTACCTGCACTACTTGTGAAGATCTTTTATCTTCCCATAGGTTTATCACTGAATTTGTGATAATCTCTTTACTTGCATGGAAACCCATGTCTATATTCTCTTTATTGATTTATTAAACTCATATATATATATTCCCCAGAGATATAAATTTGTAGCTTTTCAAGGAATTACCATATGATCCAAATATACCACTTCAAGAGTTTTAGCATTATGCCAACATCTCAGTTCCAAAACTTCAAGTTGCACTGTCTTAAGACCCTTTGTCTACCCTCACCTTATAGGATATACTGAGTGAAAAATGTCTACAGTTTCAGCATCAGCTGACTGTTTCAGTTTTCAGCTACCTCTTTTAATTTGGAACCCCATAACTCCAAGAGGATATCTTCTTCAGAATATCTAATTTATAATATTACCATAAGCCAACAGCTCCAACACATTCCATCATTTATTATTATTTCTTATTGACATCTATGCATCCATTTTCTTGATGACTTTATTCTACTTGAAATCAACAAAAGCTCTGGAATAATAATATACTTATAAATTCAATCACATTTGTCTCATTCGTGTGTGTGTGTGTGTGTGTGTGTGTGTATGTGTATAATGGTATTAAATGTACATGTGCAGTAAGTCAACATTTTCCCAAAGAGGAAGAAAATAATACTGATAGTAGTGAAGGTCTTATATGACTGATTTACCACCATAATTATATCTTTGTTTATAACATGTTCTTGAGTGTTACCAATTTAAATTATTCTAAGGTTTTCTTTTTTCTAAATCTTGCATGTTTTAGTCCTGAGAGCAGATTGTATGTTTTTCAAGGGAATAGGTGTTTTTTTGTTTGTTTGTTTCTGTTTTTGATACTGAGTCTTGCTTTGTCGCCCAGGCTGGAGTCTAGAGTGCAGTGACACCATCGCCGCTCACTGCAACCTCCGCCTCCCAGGTTCAAGCAATTCTCCTGCCTCAGCCTCCCCAGTAGCTGAGAATACAAGCACGTGCCACCACACCCAGCTAATTTTTGTATTTTTAGTAGAGATGGGTTTTCACCATGTTGTCCAGACTGGTCTCCATCTCCTGACCCCAAGTGATAGTCCTGCTTCAGCCTCCTAAACTGCTGGGATTACAGGCGTGACCCGCCACACCTGGCTGGGAATAGGCTTTAACATGAACAATTGTAAACATAATGCTCCAGGCTCACTCAACTTTTGGTTAAAATTAGGCTGATTTATATGATAACCTTTACTATGTACCTGCCAAAACAGGAATGAAAATCCTGTCAAATATTCTTTTACTTATTTTAAGGACATACTATATGGCGAACTCATAGTTTTTTGTTGTTGTTGTTTGCTTTTGTTGTTTTTGTTTTTGAGATGGAGTTTCTCTCTTGTTGCCCGGGCTGGAGTGCAGTGGTGCGATCTCAGCTCACTGCAACCTCCGCCTCCCAGGTTCAAGCAATTCTCCTGCCTCAGCCTCCGAAAAAGCTGGGATTACAGGCCCCTGCTACCACGCTAATTTTTGTGTTTTTAGTAGAGATGGGGCTTCACCATGTTGGCCAGACTGGTTCCAAACTCCTGACCTCAGGTGATCCACCCACCTCAGGCTCCCAAAGTGTTGGGATTACAGGCATGAGCCACCGCACCTCGCGGAACTCATAGTTTTTTTAATGGAAATTTGACTCGTGTTTGGCTCTACTCACATGAACTCACACTTGCTTAGAAATGCTGCTCTGCATGGCACAACCGTCATCCCCTGGAGAGCTCCATGAACCCTCCAGTTGTGAGGGTGAAAGCAGGGAAAACTAGACCATGATTTTTGGGCACCTTAAAAGAGATAATAGGTAAAGAACTTAAAAATTGCATGCTACATAGTAAGAATGATATGTGTTTTCATCTTATCATTATTATTTTTATCATTTCCCAACTAATAAAACTAGTCTCAACACTATTTTCATAGATCTACAACCAATTCTCTGTCTCCCAGGGTGAGCACAGGTTGTGTGTCTGTACTGAGACTCCATGCTATTGACCTACTTTCTGTTTATCTCCTTATGAAGAAGCTTAGTTGCCTGTGCCCAGAGTGTCTTGTGTTAGTTTGGGCTTACCTGGGGGTATCTGGAAATAAGTCTTTGTATTTTCTATATCATAGAGTATAGTTATTTTTGTGCAAAGCATATTTTCAATAATATATCTTATTTATTTGTTGTCTGTCTAAAATTTATATTACTAGATAAGGCATACTCTACTCTCAGTCACTGGGAATTCACAAACCAAATAATTAGATTCCTATGACAACTCTTACTTATGGGCTGTTTGCAGACTTAATAAATTAGAAACCCAAATCTATTAAGGGATAAACATATTATAGAAGGAATTCTTACATATGTGTACATGTCTACATTTTAAATCATACAAATTCACTAGTTTTCATAACCAAATCATTAATTCATTATTTATATTTCCATTAATTACAAATCTTTTCATTAGTGATTTATGTTTTTAAAAATCATCATTATTTATCACTCTAAAAATACACTGAAAATACTGTTATAATAATTGGCATGTTTATTTAATTTATGTGGCTCTTTACCAAATAGCTTCAGCTATAATATTTAGCCAGGCATAAATTTTCTCCTGGAACCAGGAGAAAACTTTCTTGAATGTATTTTTATATAATCTTCATGTCCAAAGAAGTATGCAGTTGGTTATGCTTAACTGTCCACAGTTTCTCCCAAAAGATTAAAGAGTTTACAACTCTGTGCCTTTGTGCAGCTTAATGCTCTTTTCCCCGAGTAAATTACTTTGCCATCCTTTAATTCTTAGCTCAAGTAACAGTTTCGCTTGGAGACTCTCCCTTTACCCCATAACTCAGCAAATGCAGCTGCTCCTCACATCCTTGTTTCCACATCACCCTATAAATTCTTTAACATTGTGTTGTAAGTAATAGCTATTTGTCTTTCCAGATAGAATATGAACTTCAGAGGTCAGACATCTACGTTATTTATAGTTAACCCCTATTTAATAGCACAGTGCTAGACATGTACGTTCCAAATAAAAAAACCCGTGTTCCAATAGTGAGTGGTTATTTAGTGTGTCAATAGCCTACTAAAATGGCAAGATGATAATAAGAAACTTAATGTGTTCCAATGATATTTAAAATTTCTGCAGACAAAAATGAGATAGACAGGATATCTAAAAGTGAGTTAGTTAGAATGTGTCTCATATATATGAAAAATGCTGTCTTCCTCATTATCCTCTTAAAAAACTCGTAAAATATTGTAAAATTAAATAGGTACACCCTTTAAATGTTTCCAAGTTAATTCTTTCACTAGGGAATGTTGCCTAAGAATACTAACAAACATTGTCCAGTCATTTAAAAAATTATTTATTTTATTTCCATTTCAGTTAATAACTGGAAAAGTGGCCTATTAGCAACAAGCATACCTCTTTATACTGTACCTTATCTGATTGCACTTTGCAGATACTGCATTTTTTATAAATGGAAGGTTCGTGGTAGCCCGGTGTTAAGCAAGTCTGTCGGTGTCATTTTTTAAAAATAGCATGTGCTTATTTTATATCACTGTGTCACATTTTGATAATTCCCATAATATTTTGAACTTTTTCATTATTATTATATCTGTTCTAGTGATCTGTGATAAGTGATCTCTTTAAAAATTTTTAATTATTACAGGTACATAATATTTGTATATATTTATGGGGTACATGTGGTATTTTGATAGAAGCATGAAATTGTGATGATCAAATCAGGAAGAGAGCTTGATGTTACAATTATTACTGTTTTGGAGCACCATGAACTGAACTGCACCTTTATGATATATTGAAATTAATCTGTAAATGTGTGTGTTGTGACTGCTCTGCCAGACCGGCTGTTACCATATCTGTCTCCCTCTCATCAGGCCTCCCTATTCCCTGAGATGCAATAATACTGAAATTAGGCCAATTAATAACCATACAATGGCCTCTAAGTGTTCAAGTGAAAGGAAGAATTGTATGTCTCTCACTTTAAATCAAAAGCTAGAAATGATTAAGCTTACTGAGAAAGTTATAACAAAAGCCGAGACAGGCTGAAAGCTAAGCCTCTTGCACCAAATATTTAGCCAAGTTGTGAGTACAAAGGAAACGTTCTCGAAGAAAATTAAAAGTGCTACTTTAGTGAATGTATGAATAATGAGAAAGTGAAGCAGCTTTATTTCTGATATGAAGAAAGTTTCAATGGCCTGGCTAAAAAATCAAAACAAGCACAACCTCCCCCCAAGCCAAAGCATAATTTGGAGCAAAATTCTCACTCTTTTCAATTCTGTGAAGGTTGAGAGAGGTGAGAAAGCTGCAGAAGAAAAGTTGGAAGCTGTCAGATGTTGGTTCACATGGCTTAAGGAAAGAAGCTGTCTCTATAATATAAGAGTGCAAGGCGAAGCACCAAGTGCTGATGCAGAAATTGCAGAAAGTTATTAAGAAAACCTAAGATAATTAATGAAGGTGGCTACACTGAACAAGAGATTTTTCAATTGGACGAAACAACCTCCTATGAAAACAAATATGCCATTCACCACTTTCTTAGCGAGAAAGAAGTCAATGTCTGACTTCAAACCTTGAAAGGACAGGTTCACTCTCTTGTTAGGGGCTAATGCTGCTGGGGAAGCAGCATTTAAGTTGAAACAAATGCTCATTTACCATTCTGAAAACCCTGAGGTCCTTAAGAATTATGCTAAATCACTCTGTGCTCTATAAACGAAAGAAGAAAGCCTGTATGATAGCACACCTGTTTACCGCATGGTTTACTGAATATTTTAAGCTCATTATTGAACGATTGCTCAGAAAAAAGATTCCTTTTAAAATATTACTCCTCTTTCACAATGTACCTGGTCATCCCTTAAGCACTGATATAGATTTACAAGGATACTGATGTGCTTTCATGCCTGCTAACAAAACATTCATTCTGTAGCACATGAAGCAAGGAATAATTTTGACATTCAATTCTTATTATTTTAGAAATATATTTTGTAAAACTTTAGCTGTCATAGACAGTGATTCCTCTGATGGATCTGGATCTGGGCAAAGTAAATTAAAAACCTTCTGGAAAGGATTCACCATTCCAGATCTCATTAAGAACATTCATGATTCATGGAAGGAGGTCAAAATGTCAACTTTAACAGGAGTTTTGGAGAAGGTGATTCCAGCATCATAGATTACTTCCCATGATTCCACCCTTCAGTGAAGGAAGTAACTGCAGATGTTGTGGAAATAGCAAAAGAACTAGAATTAGAAGTGAAGCTGAAAATGTGACTAAATTGCCACAATCTTACAGTAAAATTTGAATAGATAAAGAGTTGCTTCTTATGAATGAGCAAAGAAAGTGGTTTCTTGAAATGGAATCTACTCCTTGTGAAGATGCTGTCAACGTTGTTGAAATGACAACAAAGGGTTTAGAATATTACATAAACGTAGTTGATAAAGCAGTGGCAGGCTTTGAGAGAATTGACTAATTTTGAAAGAAGTCCTACTCTAGATGAAATCCATGAAATGCATTACATGCTACAGAGAAATCTTTCATGAAAGAAAGAATTAATCAATGCAGCAAACTTCATTTTTTTTTTATTTTAAGAAATTGCCACATCCACCCTAACCTTCAACAACCACCACTCTGATCAGTTGACAGCTATCAACACTGAAGCAAGACCTTCCAACAGCAAAAACTTGTGACTCACTGAAGGCTGATATGATCATTAGCATTTTTTAGCAATAAAGTACTTTTGATTAAAGTATGCACATTGATTTTTACACATAATGCTCCTACACACTTAATAGACTATAGTATAGTGTAAACATAACATGCACTGGGAAACTGCAAAATTCAGGTGACTCACTTTGTTGCAATATTGACTTCATGGCAGTGGTCTGGAACTGATCCTGCAATATTTTGAGGTATGGTTGTATATTAATTTTAGATCTTCCCCATAGTTCGTGTCAAAGCTTAGTAGTACAAAACAATAATGCTGTAAGAAGGATGTACATAACTTTTAAAATCTTATATCACACATTAAAGAACATTTTCTTTTTTGTTGTTTGTTTTGTTTTTTTTATTATACTTTAAGTTTTAGGGTACATGTGCACATTGTGCAGGTTAGTTACATATGTATACATGTGCCATGCTGGTGCGCTGCACCCACTAACTCGTCATCTAGCATTAGGTATATCTCCCAATGCTATCCCTCCCCCCTCCCCCCACCCCACAACAGTCACCAGAGTGTAATATTCCCCTTCCTGTGTCCATGTGATCTCATTGTTCAATTCCCACCTATGAGTGAGAATATGCGGTGTTTGGTTTTTTGTTCTTGTGATAGTTTACTGAGAATGATGATTTCCAGTTTCATCCATGTCCTTACAAAGGATATGAACTCATCATTTTGTATGGCTGCATTTTCTTTTCCATAGTATTTTTCAAATCCTCAAATTAATATACATTGAGAAATAAATGTTTCTAATTTATTATGGAGAGGAGTGCCTATATGTGTGGGTACCATGGATAGGTTTTTTAAAAGTATATTATATAATTTCCCTTTTCACTATTTCAATTATCTGTTATGCTTAATATGAGACTTTGTGTTATTTTCTAACATATCTCACTACCTGATCCATCCCTTATCCATGCTATCTTTTCTGCCCTAAATGACCGTAATTCCTTAACCCAGTCTGTTACACAGCTTCTCACTGTGTAAAAGTCAGTGTGTCTATGTCTTTCATGAGTCCATGAACCAAAGATGTCCATTTTGACACTGGGAAAATTCTTAAAGACTCTATTTGACACTGCATGTTTTGATTGAGTTTATATGTCATATTCATTGGATTTGAACATACATGATCTTGGTGAAAACAAGCAAACAACAACAACAACAAACTTTCTGATGTTTCCAACTACTTCTAAACCATTAGTAATATTTCCCATAATGGGAAATATATTTTCCCATTATTTTCAATTTAGACACACATGAATTTGCTTCATATAACATTTTTTTTTTCTTTTTTTTGAGATGAAGTTTTGCTCTTATTGCCCAGGCTGGAATGCAATGGCGTGATCTCGGCTCACCAAAACTGCCGTGTCCTGGGTTCAAGTGATTCTCCTGGCTCAGCCTCGTGAGTAGCTGGGATTACAGGGATGCGCCACCACACCAGGCTAATTTTGTATTTTTAGTTGAGATGGGGTTTCTCCATGTTGGTCAGGCTGGTCTCAAATTCCTGACTTCAGGTGATGCGTCCTCCTCAGCCTCCCAAAGTGCTGGGATTACAGGCATGAGCCACCGTGCCAGGCCTGCTTCATATAACTTCTAAATGTAATATGTAACATCAGAATATGTATGCAATAAAATAAAAATACAACTTTTTAAAATTCTGGTGGTAAATTCTGTCCTAGTTTGATTTTTTTTTTGTCAAGTGCATGTCATTGATATCTTGTTTATGGTCTTTATAATTTGGGGCAATACTGAGAATATCTCAACCCAATCACAAGTTCTCTCTAGATTTTCTTACTGAAAATTACATAAACACAGCAAATACAATATGAATATACAATAAGAAGCAACTACAATTTTAGCATTGGAATGAATAACTTCACATCAAAATATTAAACTGAAGGAGAAGTTGGTTGACTGTTGACTGACACTCTATAACTTTTCCAGATTGTGTTATATATATATATATTCATTAGGCTACTAATAAATCTAATGACATTTCTTACCAACATAAGAAAATTACTTTCATTTCTCCATGAATCATTGAAACATACTACTTGCCCAACCTTATTTAGTAACTTAACCATTCCAACTCTGCACTACTGCAACAACACTATTTGCTGTTTTGCAGTCTTATCATGCACTCTTTTGAATCTATAACTTTGTCTATGCTATGTCCTCTAGACAGAATGTGCTTTTACACTTTGCTATGGAGATAAACTCCTTTTTTTTTTTTTTTTTTTTTTTACCATCTCATCTTTCTCTATAAATTCTTCAGTTCCCACCTTCTCACAGCTCACCTTCAGCTGCCCAAGTTAAGAAAGCCTGCATTCCTCTCTGGACTGTACTATCTAGATTTGATACATAATTCCACTATTGAATATCACATTTTATGGCATATATCTGTGTGTGTCTCTGCCTATCCCTCCACCTGACTATTGAATTCTGGAGTTCAAAGACTCTGTTGGAAAAGTGTCCACTCTTGCAGGGGCTAAGACATTAAGGATATGTCAGTTGAGACTGCAGAATAGTTTTCTTCATGGAAGATACAATCCAGTGGGAGGAACAGACAATGGACAAGCATATATTATTCTTAGAAGTAGTGACTTTTGTGAAAAATGAAAAAAAAAGATAAATAATAATGGGGGTGCTGATTTAGATAGAATGTTCAGCGAAGGCCTTGTTGAGGAGGTAAGACTGGATCAGGGATATGACTCAAATTCTAAGAAAAAGAATTTTAAATAAAAGGTGATAAGATTTTGATTAAACAAAGTAGAACTGAAAATTTAGCTTTATAGTTTACTGATAATATATGTATGACTCCAAGTTTGAGTACACTTGATATAGTGGATTCTGAGTGACCATATCTCTATTTTTCAGGCATTTTTTTCTATGCCCACTGTCTCCCCTCTATTTTTGAGGCATTTTTATAATTTAATTGCCACCGCCAAAATAGTTGTTTTTGATAAAGTGTGTGCACGTGTGTGTGAACCTATATGTGTGTGTATGTATGTGGCTTTGGGGAGGGAAGCTCACATGTTCATGAGTATTCATGTGTCAGAATAACACAGAATAAATTTGTTGTGGGATTATTGGAGACTGGATCTACTGAGACATTCTCCTATTCTCAAGTTCCATGAATTTCCAATCCATATTACTTAGTGGGTCTAACAATATCTTTTAAAACACCTCAGTATTTTATACTTCTCCCTTATAGCACATGAGAACAAATTTGTGATGAATGTGAGTATTCTGCTGCAAATTATCACTTTTAAAACCATTTTTAATTGGTAGCATTTGTCTGGGAAGTAATAATTACAATCAGAGAGAAGGGAAGAGTTCTGAGAATGAAATTCAACTAGTCAGCCTGCTAAAATTAGTAAGGTTTACCTCTATGTATATTTCCCACAAAATTTATATTTTTATAAACTTTATTTTTATCCATTGACTATTTTCAGTGTTAGGATCTATTGACTATTATTCATAAGTTTAAAATCACCTACTCACAACTAAGCACTGAAGTATATATACATAAGGACACTTTGGTGAATTATATCATCAGTTTACTGTAGGAAGACCTATGGATAATATGGATTGATAGAAATATTACTTTAGCTAGAACATATCACTTTTGACTACTGCAGAATTTATTTCTATCTTTTGCTAATTTGTAAATTTTATGTTTATTGATTTATTTTGGGCTTTATTCGATATACCAGTGAAAGTCTTCTACACATTTGAGTTTTCTCAAATCCCATGAGAGAAATGAACTTATTTTCAGCATTTAGCCAAGCTAAACACAGCTTGAATGTGCTTTATTGTACATATTAGTCAAAGAAAAATCACAAGTAGTGCGTTTTTTTCTCCTGGACTTTATAGTTTCTCAACTTATGCCACCTATTCAACTAAAGGAAATGCTGTGTTTGCATAACAGGAAATTTCTTAAAAAGAAAATAACTTTCCAGTATTGCTGCAATGAGATAGAAGAAATTTTCACAGGGATTTTCCTTTTAATTTTGACTTGTTTTTAAAAATAGTCATGTTAATTCTGTTAATTATCTAGAATAACATCGTCTTACTATATGTTTTTTATTAGTGACCAAATGCAAACAAGTCACATGGGGATCAGGAAAAACAACAGCAAACTAGATTTTTTTTTCCTGATTACTCCCATACTAAAAGGGGAAAGAACCTTGCCTTATATCTACTTGATATCTTCTACTTCTTTTTTTATATAAGCAAGTTATTTTTATGTATAGTGAAAAGTACTATGTATAGTCTCTCAGAGTCAGAGAGCATCAGTTTAACTCTTTAGGAGACCAACTCAATTCTGTCTGCATGTGCTTCACTCTTATGTCTCTCCATGTGAAAGGAAGTCTGTATTAGTCTTGGTATTGATCAGAGAGCACATGACTAGTCTCATTCGTGTAACATCATATGTATATATATTATAAAAGAGTATTTGTGGGTATTATCTGTGTGGACTTTATGGCTCTCCCTTAAAATAGTTTAAGCTTATAGTATGAAAAGGGA
The DNA here is from genome assembly GCF_000001405.40 of Homo sapiens. NCBI lineage: Eukaryota > Metazoa > Chordata > Mammalia > Primates > Hominidae > Homo > Homo sapiens. Next base: position 162,038,916 of record NC_000004.12, on the reverse strand, counting down.
GGACAATTCATTGATAGTCTAATGTTTACTACCTCAATGCTGTTATGGTGGAGATGATGCACTTAGCATTTAGCATTTAGATGATTTCTTCACTTTCCAGAGAGCATTTGCTTCTCAGTGAGAAGGAAGGAAATAGGTAAATTATGTTTGAAGATATTGTAGCCAGAAATTTTTAGTGTTTCTTCAGGAGAAATCCGTTTTCACGTTATAACATAGCCATCATCAAATGTTAATAATCATTATGTCATAAATCCAGATACTGGAAAAGAAATATCCTTAATATCTCCTAGTGTGGTCACATTCAGCCCAGTTAAAAGACTAGCAACATGGTACTTTGGTGTTATTTGCTAAACTCCAGTTTGTTTAGATGCTTCAGAACCACTTACAGCTCATTTGTACAACTACTGTGTATCCCAATTTGACTGAATTTTACATTGGTTTAGTTACGTTACATTTACTTTATTTCTGTTTAAAAATATTTAAGATACCATATTGTTGACTCTTGTATTTATTATAAAACCGTACTTCTTCCCAGATTGTCTTTGCTAATCTTTATCATACTGTCTGCTAAAGCTTTTAGCCATCTTACATTACTGGACTGGATTTCATGAAGTATGCTGATGTAATTAATATACAGCACTTTGGAATTCTTCCAAGAAATAGCATAGTACAATGTAAAACACGAATAGTTTGCTATTATTTAGCTTTGACACATAACCAAATATATTTCTTATTTTAAGTCAAGTTCACTTTATTAGAAAATCTTTTGAAAGAATGTTAAAATTAAGTTATACCTAGAAATATAAACATTCTGCTATTATGGACAAGACCTAAGTCTTCCTAATGTAAGAATGTTTTTCAAATGAATCGTGTGGACAGAACAACAAAAGTTTCTGGTCACTCGTGAGTTCTCACATAGTTAAATAATCACAATTTTCTTTATAATGTTTTCTCATTTAAAGTAAATATTTTGAACATGAAGTTATAGTTTGTAAAATACAATTGTGGCAAATCTGTATTGCCATTGTGAATAATGTAACATTAAAGTAATAGAAGCAAATTGGAACAGTTATTATTTGCAAATCCTAAATAAGTCTCCAGTGAAAGGGGTTTATACAACTTTGACAGTAATGCGGGAGTTTACCCTTAAGTTTTCTTCTCACTTTGCAAATCTATTGTCATTCTTTCCAGTCCACTAATTAATTACTAGTTTCCCTTCTCCAAATTCATGCTTCTTAAATATTTCTTGTTTATAGAATATTTAGACAGATTTGCATTGGTAATTTATAATTATATAAAACTGTATGGGAGAGAACTTGATTTTAGAAAACAAATACAGTGAAATATAATATCAATAAAAAGCCTACTCAACTATAGGTAAACTAAGCCTAAGATTGTTACAAATTTATGACGACAAAACTCAACTAGGATTGGCTCAATCATACCAAGCTGTATGTGTGATTCTTCTCACCTACTCTCGCAAAAAGCCATGCACTTAAAATCTTCTCCATCTTCTCAAATTTCAGACAAAACACTCAGCTTCCACAATTAGCCAACCACCTTTCCTTCTATTACATAAAGAAAATAAATCAAGATTGAATATGTTTAATTCGTCATATCAAACCTAGAAACCTCCTGCATCTATGACTAAGCCTTCCTGTTCCCACCTGTTCTATTACAGAGACTGGTCTTCTTTCTATCTAAATTTTGCCCCCAATTATATTCTATCACACCCACCCTTTCAATAACCATATACAATCAGTCATGCTGTCTCTTCTTTTTATCCTAATCCTCTCAATTTCTACCAGGTATATTCCATCATTTATGTATTCTCAAATCTCAGTGATATAAATAATAATGTAATATTACAAAACTAAACAAAATAAAGCAAAAGGCCAATAAACAACAAACATAATATCTATGGACTTTAGTTTCCAGCTACACTCCATAACAGGCTTTTTATTCCTAGTCATATTTCCATCATGTAATTTTTCCCACTTTGTACAAATTTCAATCACCCTCTTCTCCTTCCTTAGATAACTTGAACTGGACATTTAATCCCATATGAGCACCAAAAAACGTTTTATCTAAAGTCAATGATTCTATCTATGTCAATATATTGAATGGGCATTTTCTTAGACATAATTGTACTTCACCTCTCAGAATAATTCTGTACTATTGAAAATTTCCTTCCAAATAATATGTTCCTTGGGATTTCATAATTCCTTGATCTCTTGATTTTTCTCCTGTAATTTTTTTATGCTTCCATCCTCTTTTGTTGGTTAATTCAACTTTATATTTTTCTTATACATTTTGCAATACTCAGTTATAGATCAGTGAGTTCTACTCTATGTTCTAATTTATAGAGTGATAATTTATGCATATGCTAGTGGCTTCCAACTTTATGTATCTGGTTGAAATACGTCCTGTGAGTTTTATCTACCTACTTTGAATCCTTGGAATTATAGTCAAAGTAATTTCAAAGTCAACATGTTTAAAAATCATACTAATGAAAATTTGAGGTTTATTATCTCTCAAGAGACAGAGTAACACAGGGTGACACTAAGGATATGCACGACTAGAAGAATGGAGTTACCTACAACTAAGATGAAAAAGATGGTCAAGAAAGTAAGGGAAGGTCAGAAATTCAGTTTGAAACATTACAGATAGGCCATGTTATTAGAAATCCAAGTACGGATGTCAAAAGACAGTTGAATAAGTGAGTCTGAAGTTCAATGGTGAGGTTGGTTTAGATATGTAAATCCTTAGCAATAGAACGAGACTTAAGGCTAAGAGATTAGACGAGATTGCTAAAAGAATGAGCTATATGGAAGAAAGATAAGACCTCAATGCCTAGGACACTAGTGCTTAGGAAAAGAGGAAGCAGTAAAGGAGACTCAATAGGGTTAGCCAGGGAACTAGAAGAAAATCTCAGAGAGTGTGGCAGTGCTGCAAGACAGGTGAAGAAGGAATAAGTACATATCTCTATCCTTATAGCAGCTCAGACCCTTGGAGTCATCTTTGTTGGCTCTCTCACAGCAAAACTTTAATGTATCAGCAAACCTTGCTCTAAGTAGGTATTCCAAATACACTGCTACCACATTGTTCTATGTTTTTGTCACAGCCCACCTGAATTACTGCAATACCTTCTTTAATGGCCTCCCTGACTTTGCCCTTGCCCTTTCAACCTATTCTTAATAGACAGCCAAAATGATTCTATTTAAAAGTAATTCAGATAATATTACCCCCTGAGAAGAAATGTATATGTATTCTCAGCTATGTCAGAGTAAAAACCAAAGTCCTACCAAATGCCCCAAGTGCTAGTCTGTCTGGCTCCTATTACTGCCCAGATTGTATTTCCTATTAAATTTCCTTCCTTTGATCCAGTCCACACACAGTGATCTCCTTAATATTTTTGACAATGCTAAGAACTCTTGTATGTAACTCAGGACAATTTGAAATTTTTTTCTCCCCTAGGACATGTTTTTTCACATATATATGCTTGGATCATGCTCACCTCATTCAGAATTTTATTCAAAAATCAATTTATCCCTGTGGCTACATGTATAATTTCAGTCACTCCACTCCAACACTGTCACCTTCTGTAGCATATCTTTTCTGAATAAAATTTATGCAGTCTGCTCCATGAGGACACAATTTTTTTCTGTTTTGTTCATCCTGTATAGTCTCATCAACGGGAATAGTGTCTGGCACATAAAAAAGTGATCCATACATATTTGGTGAAATAATGAATGAATAAAAGACTGACTGACTGAATGAATGAATGAATGTTAATAGAGGAGAGGGAGGGAGAGAGAGATTCTCATTAACAAATGTCCTTTCGGAAAACTTAACCCTACTAGTTATAGAATTATGAAAAACTAATGTATTTTTAATACAAGTAATGTACATTTAAATTTTAGTTTAAGTGACCAACAGATACTCTAAATTAAACAATTAATAAAGAGCAGAACAGAATTCAAACACAGAGGTTGGGTGAGTTTAGATGAGAGAAATAGAACACCAAGTTTTAAAGTCTAACAGAATTATATCACTAAGTTAGCTGATTCAATAAATACACATTTGTCATTATGCATTTTATTCTCAAATTCTAAATTGTGGATTAATTTTTGCAGCAAAATCAGTTCTTTATATTTTCCTACTCTTTTGCCAAAATATATTGGCATTCATACAGTTCTGCAGTTCAGTTTATATGTCATTGTCATTTTTTTCTTAGGAACATATTTCGAAGTTATTTTCAGTGTGAGACCCTGAAACTTTTAGACGGAGTAAACTGTGCTTGCATATTAATTGAGAAGTTAGTGCACAATATTCACTTTAAAACTTGAAAGCAAGCTAATTCTTTTGGGGTTGCCCGGTAACTAATAAGGAGAATGTCAAACTGAAAGACAAGTCTGACTGGAGCAGCCTTTGAATAAATCATAGAATTGTTGTCAACTTTAGCCTTAAAGAATTGAGATGGGGTCCAATTCTAAGTTAAACTAAAGCAAAGACAGTTGAAAAGTCTTTTGTGTTTTCTTAGTAAAATTCTCCCCGATGTTTGTGCCTAAACTTATTCCTTCACCAACAATTTATGATTAATGTAGAGCCATTGAAAGCAAATTCTGAAGGCATTATTTAATATCTGTTAGAATTAAATGGAATGGCCTAAGGCATTTGAGAGGCATGATTATTTATTATTCATTAACCATTTGTTTATTTATTTATGAATCCATATTCATACAATTTAGTGATTTCTTAGAGAATTATATGCCCACCAAGAGTTATTACTACTCCAATAAAATACTTTATATAAGGCAGGGATGGGGACTCACTCCTCTAATCTTAGCATTTTGAGAGGCTGAGGCAGGAGGATTCCTTGAGCCCAGGAGTTCAAGACCAACCTGGGCAAAATAAGGAAGCCTCGTCTCTACAAAAAATAAAAAAGATATTAGCCTGGCATAATGATATGTGCCTGTAGTTCCAGCTACTTGAGAGGCTGAGGTGGGAGGATCACTTGAGTCTGCGAGGTTGAGGCTGCAGTGAACCATGTTCATGCCATTGCACTCCAGCCTGGGCAACAGGGCAAAATGCTCTCTCAAAAAAAAATTATATGTAAATATTTTTTAAAGGCGAGAATCATGTTCCTGGGAATATGTACAAAAATCATTTTGATACTTCTATAGTGAAACTTTATATGAAACAGTTGATCACATATTTACTTACATATTTTGACCTATTTTCTGTTTTATTTCCAGCAGGAAAAAAATCAAGAAAGTTCAAGAGTCAAAGGTAAGAAATGATTGCTTTAAGATAACAATTATATAAGTTCATAACAGAAAGAAAAAAGATATGTGATGCTACTTTGAATAAAAAGTCAAAAATGAGAAAATAATGATAATTAAAAATATTCAGTGTGATTTTACAGCCATTTTGAGCCCTATGAGGATTCCCCAGGGCCAAAGGGTATTCTCTGTTGATGTTTTCCATCTTCATACTGTGCTCTTGAAAACGTCAACTTTTTTGTTGTTATTGTTTTTTCCCTATATTGTGGTGGTTGAACTCCTCCACCAACCATTGTCCCTACGAGTTGGTGTTGTGTCACTTCTATGTATTGGCAAATGGACTTCCTCAAAATGTGTCTCATGGAGACCCAACTATTTAGTCACTGCCATCTAGTTAATTTTCTACAAAAAGGCTAGAACATATTTATGCATTAAAAGTTGGCAATAGCTCCTAGTATGGCATAGTCCACATTATTCTAATGTTGGAAGACTCTTTTCTCTATAGTCACATTCTTAAATTTTGAAGTTTACTCATTGAGATAATAAATTACTCTATGTAGATTGTCATCCTTCAGTAAATGACTTCCATTAACTTGTGCTTCTGCTGATTATAATGATGGCATATCACAACCTTTTCTTAGGTTGATCCCTCTGGCATCTCCATTCACTTGTTGGCTCTTCTTAGTCTACATTTTGGGCTTCCTTGCTCACCTTTCCCTTCCCAAAGGCATCCCGGCCCCAAGCCTGTCTATGAAGTGAAGCACAATTGTCCAGTTTTTTTCCCTCCTTTTTGAATAGAAAGATATATATCCTGTTTTTACCTTTTTCAGTGTTCTACAAAAATTAAAAAATAAATATGAAGTAGTTTAATAACTTACATGGTCTTCTGAAATGCTGAAAGGGTAGTTACACTTCAGAGGCTCTCTAGATTGTTGATACAATCTTGCTTATTTATAACAAGTCCAAATAGAATCCTCTCTGCACATTTCCCCACAACTGAATGACTTTTACAATATATTATTTTCCATGTTGGGTCATCTGTGTGTCTATATTGCTGAAGAATAAAAAACACATGCATTTGCGTTTTTAAATAATTTTGCTAGATATATTTTGTTCAAATGAATTATGTAAGACTGTTCTTCCAGGGATTCCCAAACTATTTCTGTGCATTTTCAGCAAACTGAAGTATCGCTTGTTATTTTATATGCGAAATTATTACACTTATTTATACTCAAAGCACTCATATTAACTCCAAGTTTTATACTATTGTGTTGAAAAGGGGAATTTTTACTTCAAGATGTGCTGTATGATGTGCATTTGAATGATATATGCATTTAAACTTACTGAGTATGCATCTTCCTTCTCATGAAGGGTTCCAGGGTTTCAGGTTTATCTTAAATCATATTTGTATTCTGTTATAGTAAAAATACAATAACTTATTTTACTTATAGTAAAAATAAGTGTAGTGTAGCTTTCTACTTGATACTTTATTGCCTTGGGGTATATAAATCATGTCATCTGAAGTAGTAGAAATTATGTTTTTCCAACTACTATCTAGGAATATGTTTTCTTTTATAATGCAATAACAATTTCAAGATGATGCTTGTCACTCCTTTCACTATTATTAGCTAGCACATGGTTCAGAACTTTCACACACATTGTGGCTTTTAGACTTCTAACTTTTTTCTTTTTTTGACATGGAGTCTCGCTCTGTTGCCCAGGCTGGAGTGCAATGGTGCTATCTCGTCTCACTGCAACCTCTGCCTCCTGGGTTCAAGCGATTCTCCTGCTTCAACCTCCCAAGTAGCTGGGATTACAGGCACCTGCCACCACGACCAGCTAATGTTTTTGTATTTTTAGTAGAGACAGACTTTCACTGTCTTGGCCAGGACGGTCTCGATCTCTTGACCTCATAATCCTCCCTCCTCGGCCTCCTAAAGTGCTGGGATTACAGGCTTGAGCCACCGCGCCCGGCCCTAGACTCCTGGCTTTTAAGTAAATCAGAGATACATGTTTACATGAGGACTTGTTGCTTATCTCTACTTAGAAAAGCACTACATTTTTCTTGACTATTTATGGGAATCATATTGAAATGTTATTTTACTAGAAATTAGGAATGACCTCTTTAAAATGTTTTCAGATGTTAATATTAAAAGATTAAAAACCCATTTTCAACCATGAAAGCTATAGCTTACTCATTGGCAAATGACAAAAATTCTGAAAATCAAATATTTTATATTCATTGATTACTAATTATTGAAATGTGAGCTATGTCCTCATTTGATATTAGTAATCAGTTATCAGCTAGTAATTCTTTGAAGTTCCTGGCTATTTGTTAACTTCATTTATTCAAACACATTTATTACATTGTCAGGAGTATGTCTAGAAGTCTTATTTTCTGCATTCTGTGCCTATTTCTGCTAATGACAGCAACCCCAATGTAATGATACCAGTGCCCTGAACTTTTATTAACACATAAAACATTTGTTAAAGATAACCTTCCATAAAATTGCACTGAAGATTATAATAGAAAAATGAGATAGTCCTACAGATTTGAAAGTAAGGGTCAACTACCAGGTAGCCATATTTAGTAAAGTGTTCTTCAGTAACACAACAGATAAAACATGTTAAAATATTGTACATTAAGTGCTTAAAATGCATTGAGAATTTTGTAACTATTATTAGACAATGTTTTCCTTTGAGGAACATACCTAGAATAAGAAACACAATTAGTTCACCCCTAATATTTTTTACAGAAGTATTTAAATTTATGATTTCTTTATTCACTTATATTTGAGAGCATCTCTCTAGAGTTCTCAGAGAAAACAGTAGTAGAGTTTGAGATTTCAGTAATTATTGGTTTACAAATAACTTACAGAGTCTGCCAACTTAATAAAGTTTTTAATTTTTGAAATAATTTAAAAGATTTATGACAACCATAATGATAATATCCTTTGTGGAAAGTGCCTGTGCTCTTGCACTCTTGCATGCTCCTCAGTATCAGCCTTACCCTTCTCCGTAAATAAAAGGATGTTGGACTGTCCATCCACCGAAAAAGTTCAGTTGCTTTTATTGCAAAATTTTCTCCTCCTGTTTTTTCAAGTGGACACTCTTGCCTTTATGCATTCAGAAGTGATAAAAATAAAGTATGTTTTTTTCATTTCCAGTTATATTTTGGTTAAGACTCTGCAATTAAGAGACACTGACCTCTAAAGTTATTTCCCTAATGACCACTTCCATATAATGTATTTTAATACTTATATTTTCATAAGTATCTATTAGATTTCAGACATTGTATTGAGTTTTCTACATATATCATCTCATTTTAATCTTCAAATACATATTATTAAATAAGACTTAGCTTTCATACATGCCAGCATTTTGAGAAATCATATCCAAAGTATATAATTCAGACCAGGCATGGTGGCTCACACTTGTAATCTCAGCACTTTGGGAGACCAAGGTGGTTGGATCACTTGAGGTCAGGAGTTCAAGACCAGAAGACCAGCCTGGCCAACATGGTGAAAACCAATCTCTAGTAAAAAAATAAATAAATAAATAAAAAATTAGCCAGGCGTGGTAGCGCATGCCTGTAATCAGGAGGCTAACACAGGAGAATAGCTTGAAGCCAGAAGGAGTTTGCAATGAGCTGAGATCATGCCCCTGCACTCCAGCCTGGGTGACAGAACAAGACTCTGTCTCTTAAAAAAAAAAAAAAAAAAAAAGGAAATAATTTAGATCAATATTGCCATTTTTGTTCTTTCCTAAAATAGATCATGTTTTATTTAACAAATTACCAACTGTACATTAGGTACATTTAGCATACTGTTATTAGTGATACTTTTTATCATAAATTTTATAGATATGAATTTTATTATTTATGTGTTAGTTTCCTTTAATCTTGTGGTTACAAATATTGACTCTCTTGCAAATTTACATAATTACTGTTCAGTGCTTCATAACTTTAAGAAAAAAAATCGATGATGATAAACACATCACAATAGTGTTCTAAGAAAGTGTCTAGGACTTTTGCCAGGTTGTTTACTAATTACTTATCTTTGAGAAGTGACTTAACCTCCCTTGATATGATTCATCTTTTTTGGTAAATATTAGCACAACATATCCATGATGTTAAAAGTCCTTTACATATAAGATATTCTAAGGCTTATAATTTTACAAGGACATTAAACACTGGTATTATTATAAACATTTATCATTCAAAACTCTATAATCCTCTATAAGCTCAATGAGACAAGTATTATGTCATATATATTGATGTACATGAAAAGGGGAAGCCACACAGTTGTTCTTCGTATAAAGCAAATATTCTTATGTATATGAAACCATAGGAAAATATTATGTTAAGACTATATCTAATCAAATTAAAAGTGTGTATTTGGGACAATAAATGTATTATGGCGCCTGCAGTCTACACACACACACGCACACACACACACACACACACTCTCTCTCTCTCTCTCTCTCCCTCATGTACATATACACTGCTTTCAGTTTATTTTTTTGCAACCATGTGTTCAGATTCTCCTTTATTTTCTTTATTTTATATTGGCACCTCAGAGCACTGAAAATCGCCTAATGTATCCGGGGACATATATTTATATCAATCAAGTCAGAGGGGTGTTGCTGTGAGAATGGAAATAGTGAACTCCAAATCTGGAATGCTTGAATATTCAGAGCTCTTTCTAGTAGATTAATCTCACAGTTTCTGAGGTTGGCTCACTACTTCAAGGTCAAGTAGCCAGTCAGAAATGGTGAATAGATAGAAATGGGCCTTCAGATTCTTAGTACTGAAAGCCATTAGCTATATTACATTGACTGATTAAAATGTCCTGTAAAACTGAAAGATGGCAATTCATGTATTTTAGCCCTATATGAGACTCTCCAAATTATTGCATGTCTTTATATTTACAAAATACAATATAGCCAGTAGCATAAGTAATACCTGAAATGGAGTTTATTACAATTTCATGAAATGCATAGTCACTATATTTTTAGTGAACTGCAATACATTCTTTATTTGTTTATTTATTTATTTAGACAGAGCCTCACTCTGTTGCCCAGGCTGGAGTGCAGTGGCAAGATCTCAGCTCACTGCAACCTCCGCCTCCTGGGTTCAAGTGATTCTCTTGCCTCAGTCTTGTGAGTAGCTGGGATTACAAATGCGTGCCAGCACCCCTGGCTAATTTTTGTATTTTTAGTAGAGTTGGGGTTTTGCCATGTTGGCCAGGATGGTCTCGAACTCCTGACCTCAGGTGATCTGCTCTCCTCACCTTCCCAAAGTGCTGGGATTACAAGCATGAGCCACCTCACCTGGCCAATACATGCATTATTATGAATTATATGTTTGTTAACTTTTAGTCCAAAAAGTTATTTTTGAAGTTAATCATTGTTTGTAAGATTTATGAAAATTAAGTATTTTTGTCTATTATACTCAATACTTATAATCCTCAAGTACCTAGAAGACGAGAAAACTTACTCCTTGAAAATATCAATCAAGAGATTCGTGATTTATTTTCTTGGTTGTTTTTATCAAGCAGTAATGCTGAATAAACATCAGACAAGTTTATTTATGGTAGATTTGTAATAATAATTCTTAAAAAATAATTAAGTGTTGTAAAAGAATGTGAGAGGACAACAAATGGTTTATACTATAATTTTTATGTCATAGCAATTGCATTCTATGAGAACAATTCTATTTTCTCGGATTTATTTTATTAAAAATCAATTTTCAAATTAAATGAGGGCAGAATGCACTCTCATGAGTATTACTTACCTCACAGCAAAATATCAGTGTCACATATGCATAACTTGATAGTAGATGATTAACTGGCAACTCTTTAATTACCAATAAGAGAATCTAAAACATTTCAAAATACTTAACTTTATACTTGACTTAACAATACAAATGCAAATTGTTGACAAATAAATCAATTAAAAATGTAATTCTCAATTATAATGAGCTCATTGAAAGATTTTCTGATTTCATTAGCTGACATCTGTTCCATTTATGATCTTTACTATTTAAAAAATATGTCATGTCTTTATGTGAGTGAGATTTATGTTTTTGTGATAATGCAAGTTTTTGAAATAAAAATAGTAAAACGTTGAGTACAAATTCTGAAAGCCATTATATATATAAGATAATAATTGGTACTTTGACAAACATTCAAAATTATAATTTCAGTTCCAATAAACAATTCTATAAAACCATGAATAATTAGCAATTGTTCAAAATTAACAATTCTATAAAACATTAACCAATTCTATAAAAGAAAATTAAGTAAATTAAGTAAATACCTCTCTAAATTGCTTTCAAGTAGTATAGATCTCAATGTAAGTAATAACTTTTTCTAGGTATAAGGGTAGTATTTATTCTCCATCCTTTAAAAAACTCATTGAAATAAGTTGTTACAATTTAAAATGATCCTGATGGATGTCCTTCTGCCACAGGAAGCAGGGAGAAGAACATCCTTCTCTATCTAATAATCCCATTTTCATCAACCAGAAGAGTTTTCAAAAAGTAACTGGTCATGTTTCTTATTTATTCTAAGAAGGGCTCAATTCATGTTATGCAAACACATAATCTTTCTCTCCCCATTTTGCATATATCCTCTAGTTTTCAAAAGGTTACCACCAATAAATTTTCTTATCCAATGGATCATTTGTCTGGGTTTCAGTGTGATTTATTTTGCAGCTCATTTTGCCCACCAGAAGGCAGTGCTATTAAAAAGATATCAACACATTAGCGATGTTGGGGGAAACAACACAGAATAAATTGATTTAGGTTTTTTTCTATTAATAATAAATAATGAATTTGTTGAAATCTGCATTGGATATAAAATGAATGGTATTCAGATGCTTAAGTAGGCTTTTATTTGCATAAATCAATATTGTCTTAACCTACACACTAACATCGCAATATTGTTCTTTCAATCACCAAAACAAGATTTCTTGATTCTAGACTTAACAGAGAGCTAAATGCTTTCTAGTGGAAGGTTTGTAAAAAAATATATATAAGCTCACGCCTATAATCCCAGCACTTTGGGAAGCCAAGGCAGGTGGATCACTTGAGGTCAGGAGTTTCCAAACAGCCTTGCCAACATGGTGAAATTCCGTCTCTACTAAAAATACAAAAATTAGCCAAGCGTGGTGGTGGGCACCTGTAATTCCAGCTACTCAGGAGGCTGAGGCAGTAGAATCGCTTGAACCCAGGAGAAGTAGGTTGCAGTGGCCGAGATCACACCACTGCACTCCAGCTTGGGGGACAAGAGGAAAACTCCGTCTCAAAAAGAAAAAAAAAAAAAAAGAAAATACATAAGCTGTCTCCTGAAATAATTGAATGTCATGTTTGAAGAAATATCAAGTAATAATAACCAAAATGTGTTTGATGGCTTCATTTCTTTAGCTTGAAGGAATAACTTCACTTACCTAGAATGGTTGGCCTTTATGAAAGAGCAGCTCTTGAAATGTTCATATGAATATTGCATTTTTTTCTTACAAAAATCCCTGTTTTATTTGCCAATAAAAATTATACATTCTATCACATTTCCGTTTTTTTTTTTGCTTTGTCTGTCCAGACACTATAAACATGAAATTTGGCTTTATAAAAGAGTATATTTGCTTGGATTTTTTAGAATATCCTTCTTACCTAAGAACTTAGCATTTAGTTAAGTGCATTTTAAGTATTTTTATGTTATTTGAAATATTTTTAGAATTATTAATGTAAAAATTTCATATAAAAAAGTTTGCAATTCTGTAAGTGGTATTATACCTATGACTTCTATGATACTAAGTAGATAGACGGATTTTTTTGTTGTTTAAATATGATACACTAGAGTTTTATCTATTATGCCAAAAAATAAATAATATCCCTTTTAAATAATTATAAGATATATTTCACAGTTGCAACTCATTACATGGGTAATAACTATTTTGAATTACTTAGACAATAAGTAATAATATCATTCTACTAAAATTTATGTCATTGTTTCTTAAATTATTGGTGCATGGAATCATTATCCACAGGACACTTGAAATGAGTGGAAATTCTGCTCAAATGTGCTCTGTGCTATTGAAAAATTTCTACATAATCCTTTATCCCAGAATTTAGACTCTGAATACTAGACTCAGTTATTTATCCCCCACTTAAGATTTCTTAATCTCCCTTTCTAACCTGTAATGTAAATATAATATGCCACAAAGTGCTGTTTGAAGTATTAAATGAAGTTAACTATAACCCTTTTGAGTAAAATGCAAAAAAATCATGTTTTAAGTACATCCATGATAGAAACATATTTATCAAAAGCCTCAATTTCATATAATGTTAAAATTAGAGTTCAAGAAGTGTTGACTTCTATGTCGAATCATTATTTTACAAAGTTATAAGTTACAATTCACATATTTTCCAAACTTGAAGTTACCTGACCTACCAATATTAAGTATCCTCTAGTTGTCCTGTCATATTTATTTTTAGACTAACACTATTCTTATCTTGTTTTTACCATGATGCATGGAGCACTGTAATGAAAAAAAAATACAGTAGACAGTACTTTGACCATAAATATATATAGAAGATATTTTCCTTATTTTGGGGGAAGTAAAGCGTTATTCTCTCAGAGTACGAATTTGACGTTATAATAATGACATATATTTAAATTTAGGACAAGTTGCAGTGGCTCGTGCTTGTAATCCCAGTGTTTTGGGAGGCTGGAGGATTGCTTCAGGTCAGGAGTTCAACACCAGCCTGAAAAGCATAGTGAGACCCTGCCTCTACAAAAAATAAAATAAAAAAAAATTAGCCTAGCATGGTGGCAGGTGTGTAGTTTAGTCCCTCTAGAGGCTGAGGTTGGAGGACCACTTGAGTTAAAGGCTGCAGTAACTATGATCATGCCACTGCATTCTAGCCTGGGTAATAGAATGTGACCCTGTCTCTAAAATAAATAAATGAATAAATAAATAAAGGAATTTATCTGACATTCTTAAAAAAAACACAAGAAACAAACTTAATTACTTAATTTAAACTATTGATTGTAGTTAACTACTGCTACATTTAGAAACAACTGCTGTGTGCCCCAAATGTTGTGGTAATGTTAGCTTGCCAGAAGAATTCAGAAAAAGAAAAGGTAATGATAAGCTCAGCTGCATCAGATAATGAAGGTTACTTAAACAAATGTGTATTAATTTAAATATTAGAAACAGTGTTAGGTGCCAGGGAAATAAAAAGTAAAGACAAAATATCTGTCAGGTCCTCTGTCAAGTGCTTTCCAAGTTCTGTGTTATTTTATATAACCCTCAGAAGAATTGTATATATTCACAAGAAGGTAAATATTGATGATCTATGTATCATGTAAAAATGACAATTGTTACCATTTTGGTATATGTGAATTCGGAATATTTTTACATATGCAAGTATATTTGCGAAAAACTTCCAGTATTGCTTTAGAAGTGTTAGTGAATATCCTTTTTTAAATAAAGTTTGCATATGCTCTGTGGTGGATTCTGTGAAATGGTTCACTTAACCATTTCAAACACCAAATGGCATGCTTTCCTTTTTATAGGCTTTTTTTACAGGGCCTAGTAAATTAAAAGCTACATTTCCCAGATCCCTTTGCAGTTAGCCTTCTAGATTTGCTTGACATTTCTCTTATCAGATTTATGCAAGCAGGGTCTTTTATGGAATGACTTACTGAAATCCCAGGCCATTTTTGTGGGATACCCATTTTCCTTTCACAGATAATGGCAAAGGCAGTGTGGCTCTGAAGCCAGAGGCCAGAAGGTAGGGGAAAAGTCTTCCCCTATGGTTAATTCTGATAATGCAGGGGCAGCAAATCCTTTGATGTCCCAGTTCTATGATGGACCTTTAAAAGCTATTTCTAACAGCTCACTACACAAACCTTTTCTTCAATCCTATCAGCTATTTTCTACATCCCTTAATAAATCTCTTTTACTTAAATAGTGCAGATTCTATAGTCTGGCACAAAGATCTTTGATCAATGTGTCAGTTCATTCTAGAACTAAGAGCAACTAGGGATTGGGTATGGAAATGTAAAGTACCAAGGTATGATCAGAGATTGATAATACTTTGTTCTTTTGGTAAGATTCTGGGAAGCAAATTCATCTGCAAGACTGATGCAGACAGTGACAACCAGGAGGTACAAGATGTTAAGCCCAAAGGGTAGAGAAAACATGTGTGTGGTTTAGGCACATATAAAAACCAGACGGTGCAATCTAGCTTGCAAACATAATTCTAAGAAGTTTTTAACTTAGATGTAGTAATGCTTCATACAGTCACTTATTCAGACTTAAGTGTTGAACATCAACTATATGCCATTGTTTTCAGCACTGGAGATACACTACTGAACAAAATTAAAAAATCGTTTCTTCCTGAGTCTTAGATTGCAGGTCCTAGGAAATCTTACCATACCACACGATAGTCCCTGTTTTCCGGAAAGTAACGAAAATCACCTAAAAAGATCAGGTAGCTTTTCTTGTAAATCCTGAGACCATGAGAGGTCTCTTTTAAAAAAATTGTACAAATGTATGGGGATACACGTGTAGTTTCGTTACAGGCACAGATTTCATAGTGGTCAAGTTGGGGCTTTTAGGGGGTACCCATCACTCAAATAATGTAAATTGTGCCCATTAACTAATTTCTCATCATCCTCCTCCTCCCATCTTCTAACCCTTTTGAGTGTTCATTACCTGTCAATCATTCCATTCTCTACATCCATGTGTACACATTTTTTAGTCCCTACTTAGGAGTGAGAATATGTGATATTTGACTTTCTTTGCTTGGCTTGTTTCATTTAAGATATGACCTCCAGTTCCATCCACCTCTTAATCTTGTGCCTAAAACTCTTTCCAGGGGTTTAGAATCCTGGGGATTAAGTCATAATTGTCATGATGTAATTTGCATGAATTCATAAAGGGAAAGGGCTCTGTGTCACCTGTTGGCCCTATTTGGGGTTCATAAACATTTTATTCTCTCAGGGATATGAAGCAGCAATGACTTTAATAGGATGACTTAGAACACAAAGGAGTCTAACTTATGGTTTACCCTAGAAGGTACCATTACGTTTTATTTTTTTCTTTATATGGCAATCTTTCTAATTTGCCATACAAATTGCTATCCTTTCATGGACAGCGTAGAACATTATTATCTATTATAATTTTTAATAAATTGTGTTTTAAGTTTCTTTAAAACTCTTGGTATGGAGGATATATGTAAATTATATACAGTGTTAATATACAATATTAATATATGAAATGCAATATTATAGATTGTATGACATATCATGTTTAATATATTATGTAAGTAATATATAATTAATGCAATTGTAATATGAAGCTATAGATGTGGTTTTTTAATTACTTGTTTAAATGTAAAATGTAGAAATGCTGTTTTGTTACATGAATATATTGCATAGTGGTGAAATCTAGGCTTTTGGTGTAGCCATTACCCAAATAGTCCAAATAGTCTACATTGTACCCATTAAGTAACTTTTTTTTTTTTTTTTCCCTGAGACAGAGTCTTGCTCTGTCACCCAGGCTGGAGTGCACTGGTGCAATCTCGGCCCACTGCAATCTCTGCCTCCCAGGTTCCAACAATTCTCCTGCCTCAGCTTCCCAAATAGCTGGGATTACAGGCACCCGCCACCACACCTACCTAATTTTTGTATTTTTTAGGAGAAACGGGTTTCACCATATTGGCCAGGCTGGTCTTGAACTTATGACCTCGTGATCCACCCGCCTCGGCCTCCCAAAGTGCTGGGATTACAGGTGTGAGCCATCGTGCCCAGCCATAACTTCTTATCTCTTACCCAGCAAACTCCTACCTTTCAAAATCTCCAATGTCTATTATTTCACACTCTATGTCCATTATTTAGCTCCCACTTTAAGTGAGAACATGCTGCATTTGACTTTCTGTTTCTAAGTTGTTTCCCTTAAGATAATGACCTCCAATTCCATCCATGTTGCTGTAGAAGACATGATTTCATTCTTTCATACTAAGGCTGGGTAGTATTCTATTGGTTATGATTTATTTGTGTGTGTATTTGTGTTTTTGTTGTGTGTGTTATAAAGGATTTAAAGGAGAGCTAATATTTATAAATCTCTTACCATGTTTCATAAACCTATTGTTTATTTCTTCAGCTTATTAAATATTGAAAAATATCTTTGGGAAGGAGGTATAATTTTACATATAAGGCAAATGAGTCTTGGAGATTAAATACTTGGCCAAGATTGTGCTGTTAATAAACGCTTGAAGCTAAATGTAACTAATTGTACTGCTTTTACTTGAGATTGTCATTCTTAAAATTATCCCTATGAATCCTATTTCAATGCAATACAGTTAAACCTTTCTATTTTGGGATAGACCTATATATAAAAAAATGCTTATTTGCAGTTGCCTAGTAGTAGCCAGTATAGACTATACTGTATCCATTGCAAGATGGGAAGTTCTGTCTTCTCAACATTTGAATAAATAGGTTAATAATTTAGATGCCAGGATTCAATTGAAAAATGTATTTATCACAGCAAATAAAAATGTAAACAACTTGAACAATATAAAATGGGAGACAGACTTAAACTTTTTCTAAAATACAAGCAATAAAATTGCTATTTGATTTAAAGAAAAGATTAATTTTACTCACTTTTATAGCAATTTAAAACATTTAAAAAGTAAAATTAAAACATGAAAGGACCTTTCATGAAGTGACTAATAATGCAATAATTATTTGGTTCAATCAGCACAAGGTACATGATATTTGCTGAAAAATCATAAATATTTGAAATACTTTTATCTTTGCTTGTTTTTGTTGTTTTCTGTTTTTTCTTTTAATTAAATAATAAGTAACTTTTTTCTGTTTTTTTTCTTTTAGTTAAATAAGAAGTAAGTTAATTTTCATCTGCCTGGTAAAATAGAGTCAAATAATTATGCCATGTGATGAACAGTCAAATGGCCTACCTTAAAACTTGGCTTTGACATTCGCTAGCCAGGTGACTACAGGCAAGATACCTAATTAGTCTAAGACTCCATTTTCTCTTCTCTAATTGAGAGTCAAACAATAGTCCCCATCTATTGAGGCTATGGTGAGTGTTAACTATGGTTATCTACAGAAGTATTAGAAGCAGTTTTAATTTCATAGTTAATACTTAATAATTGCTAACTTAAATATTTTATAATTTATTGAGTGCCTTAATATGTGAACGAAGACTGAGGGACTCCTTAAATAACTATTAGAGGATATCATTTGTAGCATTAAACCTAATTATCTATTTTTTTAATATTGAATTTAACTTTCACCAAACAGACTTACCTTGAATCTGTTTTGTTCAACAACTTAAGTATTTAAATTTTGTCCATAGCATAAATTTGTCCATGGGGCCTGTGTCCCATGACCCTGGTTAATCGAGGAATGAAAGTGCAGTGCCATTTATTCAAATGGATAATCATATATTTTTTCATTTGCTATAAACTTTCTCATTTATAATTTGAAGATATTTTTGGAAATTTTTTTGTGAACCTCAAATAAGATAATGAATGTAATAATATATGAGACATTATTTAGCATATTACCTGGAATCTTGTAGGTACTCAATAGATGCTCAAGTCTAAATCAAATTGCAGTTTCTGAATATCTGTCTTATATATATATATATTTATATGTATACATTCATATTAAATTCACAACAATGTCTCTAAAGTTTTGTAAAAATATTATAAAAATAAATGCATATATATTTATATATACTTCTATATGTAAATATATAAAATTAATTCACTTTCCATCTTTTGAAAACCATATCATAACACACACATACACACACACACACACACACAGAGAAAGAGAGAGAGAAAGAGAGAGAGAGAGAGAACCAGTTTATTTAATGGCTAAAACCAAGAAATCCACTTTTGTATCTTTATAAACGCTCCGACAAGTGTCTGCTTCATAAAAGATATTGAGAATATATTTGTGAGTAGGTGCTGAGTGAAGGAGTAAGATGTGTTTAGGTACAAAATGCCATTATACAATCATATGAAAGTATTTAATACAATCCACCATAAATTATATAGGATATTTCTAAGTAGAAATATGATACATTTTTTAATCAAAATTAATTACATTCCACCATGTTCTATGTATAAATAATAGGAAATATATTCTCTTTCAGTCATTTTTTATAAGGTATAATCCAGAAAAACAATGTAGCATAGACTAATGTTAATTTTTTACATTTATTGTCATCTATAACATTTCAAGAATTGAGGTTGCAAATCTGGAAGTACACATTTTCATAATGAATTGAAAAATGAGTTGGTATCTAGATCATATGTTATGATTAGCTAGAGTTTTAATAGGTAGCATACATATATCGTGATTAGTGCAAATTATTTTTATTTGTTAAGCAGCTTTAGGAATTACACATGTATTACCAAAATTTCATTTCCCTCAATTGTGGAAAAAATGTGTGCTGTATCACACAAACAACCAAATTTCAGATGTGGGGAGAAAAAAATCTTTCCTTATAGGTGACTGACAAAGTCAAATGTATAGTCCCAAATAACACGAATAATATTATCAAAGGGCTGCAGATCCTGCAACATGACATTAAGTATTTTATTAAGATAATATATTTAGTTATCAGTGGATTAGTTACTGCAGTGATACTATAAATAATATATGGACAATTCAGACATCTAATATTGTTTCCAAAGTTTGTAATTAAAATGTATTCAGCATGTAATTGATGGAGATAGTGAGTGAAGAAGACAGATCTGTCTACACTGATATGCAAGACAGAAAAATATGTAACTCCTTTAATATAGAACTATTAACTGTGTAGTCCCAGAAGAGCAGGAACTGACTTGGGTCTTATTTAGGGCACAGTGTTTTCTCAAGTTTTCTGGAACTTGAGAAAAAATACTGAGTTAGCAGATGGCACTGATTTTTTTTTTTAATTAAAGAAATGTAAAGCTATCGGACACAAAACACAAATATTATGTAGGCAGAGAAAAAAGTTATGACAAGTAGGCTTTACTGCCAACAATGGTGAAGGAAGAAAGAATCTAAAATAATATTACCAGTAAGCATCTGACAATTATTAAATCGTTACTCTTACACAATATGCTGCAAAATGAGGAAATAATTATTCACAAATTCAAAGTATTATCACCAATTAACTACAGTATTAGGTATCAATAGGGTTTTTGACAATTTAATGGAAAACAATATTCTAACACTGTAAAACTTATGCTGTTTGGGTGAAGTATGCTAACTTACATAATCTTGCTTAATACATTTTTAACCAGGCCTAACTCTAAAAGTGGTAAGTCCTGAACCAAGAGTATAAATAAAGCACTCCACCTGCCCACACACCTTGGTTTGCCCTACTTCTCTTCTCTTACTCCTAACCACATGCCCTTTCTACCATTTACCCCCTAGGAAAATTAAAAACAAGCATTATCTGAGAAGGGGCCTGTGTAGGACCTGGAAGCAGGCACAGGGCTATTGTTAGGGAATTCTGGGGTCTGATTACACGGAGCAAGACCCAGAGGAGGGCAACTCACAGAACTGGACTTAGCCCCAGGAACTGCTTGCCTTGCAAGGAGGGGAACAGACAAAGTCAGGCTGGAGGGGTTCTAGCAAAGCAAGGGGCTCGAGATAGGAACCCACAGTATAATCCTGGGCAGCAATGCATTAGAAGGTATAATGAGTTGGACAATATGATCTAAGAAAGGTAAAAGGAGTAGGGAAATTTGCATTTACGGAAGTTTAAATAAGGGACTCTGGAAGAACCATGACTTACGTGAGATAAAATTACATTTTGAAAATCTTGAGTGTGATGAACTTATCAAACCTTTATATATTAGGAGAAAGTGCCATCCATTTTGTTGTCTCATTCTCAAACATACTTTAAAGTTCTGCTGATCCCATTGTTCTCTGATTTTAATATGCTTAGTGGTCTGCTGGAAGTATGAAAATAAACGAACAACGTGAAAGCCAGAAAATGATATGCCTTCCAGTTGAATATTCTGCATTGTTGTTTGAAAATTAGCCTGCTTTAAACTACTCTTCAAAATGGCAATAGACACCCAGTACTGAAACAGAGTACTTTCTGTTGTAAAATTAACACATCTGCCACCTTATATGGTCATCTCATAGGTACCAGATAACATTTATAATAATTTTAGTATGATGTAATAGAAATACCAAGAATCAGTTTATCAGAGAACAATGCATTTACTTTTATTTTAGGGCTCATATTAGTCAAATAATTTATCTGAAAAAACAAAAACAACTTAGGTAGAGATGTTGTAAAGAATTTGGCTTTTCTCTGCTTATTCTGAGAACATGCTTGCAGATAATCTACATGATGATAGCATTCAGCCCATCTGTTATGTGGTCTGCACACCACAGGTCCGATGATCATAATTACAGCAGGACAAACCTGCACGGAGTAACCACAGGGGTACTTGCAAAGACTGACTCTAAGGGAAAATTATAGAGAATAAGTACAGAGGGAATGTCTACCACCTTTATCCATATTTTTTAAAACTTTACTTTTAAACCATTCAACTAAATTATTAAGCCTATGTTTAATCTTGTGTGTGATCAACCTCCTTGGAATTTATCAGGACAGTTGTAGGACTTCGTAAATTTACAAATCCTGTTTCAATCAAGACTACAGATATCCTGATGGTTAGTGTAGATATCTGTCTCCAAAAGATGCTGAAATGGGTCAGAAAAAAATAGCTTTAACTCTAAGACTGCTGCCTCCAAATTTGACAATCTATTCTAATTCTCTTTGACTTCCCAAATTATGTCCAGTCATGTTGTGAACTGTAATTCATCCAAAGTTCTATACTGATGTAGTATAACATTATAAAGATGCTCAAAAATGCCAGGAACATGGAGATACTCCAAATATAATTAGAAAACTCATTCTTATTTGAAGCCTGGGGAAGCCATTAGAGAAATTTAATAAGAAGACTAAATCCCCACGTAAGTTAAAATCTAGAGACACTAAAGTCCAAAGGAATTAAAACTCAAAAAAAATCCATTATCAAGCTCCTTTAAAGAAAATCAAATTTTCTCCACTTCTTATCCTGCTCAGAATGAGCCCTAGGGAATGTCAGAGCCTGGTTGTAATGTTGCTTCCTTCAGCAGCTGCAGCCCTGCCAGCTGTTTTCCATAGGGTTGATGTGATTCTCTTACAACCTTACAATTTGAATTACTTCAATACCAAATTTTGTGTGCCTCTTTTTCAGAGAGTCCAAAGATTATCACAGTCTATTTTTATCAAGCAAGTTCTGAAAAGAAGCTTATTTCCAAAACCTAGACAAAGTTATTCCACTCAAAAGTATGCTTTTAGAACCCAGAATTTAGTTTTGGCCAAAACCATGACAGAAACTCAGTGCTATCTGAGCAAATAAGGCTAGAGAATGAGAATATACTTTATTTCAGACACTTTAGGATGCCCGTAGGTGGATGCCAGTTGCCCAGATTCATGAGCTTTGAGAGTAAGTCAATCAGAAGACTCCCAACAAGAGGTTAATTATGGCAGGGTATTTACTGTATCTGTGAGAAAAGTAGTATCTAATGAACATTCCCTCCTTTCTCAGAGAGTGGCTAGTGAAACATGACCACTTTATTTTGAAATTGAAGAAAGTAGAGTAAAAACATCCTTGCCAAGTCTTAATTTGTATAGTTTGTCTTCTCATCCAGCATATGAAACTCCTTTTAAGCTCCTGTCTCAATTAAACTTTCCTTTAAACCAGAGACTTTGGAAAAGCTGACATGCTATTTTATGGCAAGTACAAACACGGAGATTGAAGAGTAAAGAAAAAAGTAGAAAGGAGGAGAATGTTGAAGAGCCATAGAGGCAGTGCTTTACCAACCTGGCCCTCACAGTTTATGACTAGTTAGTTATTTGTTTTCACAGGACATTTTTAACAAAACTGTATGAAGCTACTTGGTCAGTGAATAGTTCATCCATCATAAGGAAGGGAGAAGAATTAATCTGAAATTATCCATCACCCCCCATATCCCATTACACTGCAAGGTTCTTTCTGGGTTCAGGCTAAGTTATATCTGTGCTTTAGTGGGCAGCGTGTGGTGTGGCATGGCACGTTACTGGGGCATACACATGAATATCAGAGAAGAAGCGCATATTCCAGAAACTATTTTGAAAATGATGGAAACTTTTTGATTTGGCTCCATGACTGAAGGAAGAGCTAAGCTGTGATTTGAGTCATACAGTCAGGAATCAAACCAAGTAAGCAGATCTGGAATGATAAGCAAAACTAAATCCGTCACACTTCCCTTTTTTCTTGAGTTCTGTGTTTCTGCTACACTAATGTTGCAATGCATATGACTCTTTAGTGACCCAGCCTCCCTTCCTTCAGTGGACTAACATTTATAGCCCCTTGCCAGAGTAACTCATTATACTGCCTTACTGTGGTACACTTGTTCATATCTGTAAGTTCTACCTCTGTGGGAAAGTTTTACTCCATTTTTGATTGTAAAATCACTCTAAGAAGATTTCTAAATTTATCCAGCCATTGATGCTTCTGAAAGTTTGCACTAGGAACATAGTGAGGGCAATTGATCTGCAATGGGTTCTTCAAGCCACTATCTCTTCTCAAATTTTGAATTTTTAACCTTGAGTAGCATTTCTAGCTGCTGTTTTTAATGCAATAATGGAAAAGAACTTATCTTATTTTCTTGCTTTCCTTCTTCTTTTTTTAAGAAAAGCCATTACTAACGTGTTTATAAAGTTAGTCTCTTCTATGTAAAAAGATAGCAGTTTTCTGGATCTAAATGCCTTGCTTCCTTTAACCATCTTATATTTTTATCTAGACTTTTAAAAAAAGATTTTAGGGTCAATATGTTCTGAGCCTGTCAAATGCATCCATTCAAACAAATCATGTTCACCTTCACTTTCTTGACTTGGATAATCTCACCCAGGAGAACCACAGCATGGACTCAGTCTACCATCAGCCCATCTGCCTTTCTATCATATCCCTTTTGTGTTATGCTTTCTTTTATGGTCTTAGTTCCACAAATTTATCTAACTCAAGGCACAGGAAATTCTTGAATAGCCAACTAACTATAACATCATCATCTAAATTATTATTTTTCAAATCTCTGAATACAAGCTAAGTTCTTTCACCATTTCCCTTTTAGCCCTGAATGCAAAGTGGAATTTGAAACATCAGATTTAAGCTTGACAATAATAAATTTTAAACCAGAACCTCAGTAGTATTATGTAGCATGCTTGGACTCCAGCTGCCTTGCAGTATAAAAGTCATTCCTTGCAGACAAGGCTGAAAAGCACATTGCAAATAGCAAATAACTGTTCTGTTCTTTAAAATCTAAGTGGTAGGTATATATGAAGATGCTCTTTTCCATACAAATGAATTCTTGATTCAGATAAACCTGATGACTCCAGCCTCTGCAGCTCACTGGTGGTATCTCCTGAGCCTCCCACTTGCCTCCACAGATGCAGGGTGGAGCAAGTCAAGCTGCCACAGACTGCACTGGAGAGCCAGCACAACCCAGACCTCCAGGCCTGCCCCTTTCCTCCTCTGTGAAGGCTCTGCGAGTGATGTGGCATTGGCTGCCCTCATACAGTGCATTTTGGCTTCTGAGATCCATGAGGCTCTTAGTTTGCTTAAATCCAGGATGTTTAGCACCTTTATCAAGCTCAATGCACTTTTGCTTAAGGCTTGAGGTTTGTAGGCATATTTTTTTAATGCCTATGGATAAGTTTTTCAAATGCCACCATTACCAACAGAAGTAAAAAAAAAAAAGTCACCATACATGTTTGATTTAGGCTGTTGACAGCCTCAAATTTATTTACATAATTTAATCTAAACCCTTAAAAAACAAACAAACAAAAAGACTGGGTTACTAATATTGCTTACTAATGTCTGAAGTCAAGCCATGTGCCATGATCCCAACCTGTAAAACCTAAGTCATCAAGGCAGAGAAGAATAATCTTAGAACAACAACAAAGGACCTATGGAGAATAAGCCTAGCTTCTATTTTTTCCTTCCCAAATTCTACTCTCAGAGAACTCCTGCTTTTTCCTTTAGAAAGAATGTGCTCTGCCTTCCCAGGGGCATCTATAAACTATTCTAGTGTTCCTGGATTTTATTTTGCTACGTAACATTCCTCAAAAACTTTCTGTAAGGAAACAGAAAGAAACCAGGAGTGTTATGTGTTACACTAATGTTGTTCCTCCATATAGAAGGAAACATCAGGAGAGGAAGAAAGTTCCTCCATCTAATCTCCACTTCCTGATCTTCAACACTGTCATTCCCAAAGACCTGGGTGAATGGACTGAATATTGAAGTGATCTTGAGAAATGAGTCAATTGTAATAGACATTGTGAAGGTATACTGAAAATTTTTTTTTTTTTTTAAGACAGAGTCTTTCAGTGTCGCCCAGGCTGGAATGTGCAGTGCAAGATCTCGGCTCATTACAACCTTCACCTCCTGGGTTCAAGCAATTCTTCTGCCTCAGCCTCCCAAGTAGTTGGGATTACAGGTGCATGCCACCATGCCTGGCTAATTTTTGTATTTTCAATGGAGACAGGGTTTCACCATGTTGTGCAGACTGGTCTTGAACTCCTGACCTCATGTGATCTGCCCACCTTGGCCTCCCAAAGTGCTAGAACTACAGGAGTGAGCCACGACGCCCAGCTGAGAAGTTGTATTTTAATAAGTAAATTTCATAATGCTATAAATTTCAGAATTCTAATTAAATATAATGTCATATACAGGAAGGGGTGAAAAACTTAATTTTGCAAAAAAATTTCTAATACTCCTTCAATATTATATTATTAAGCACTCAGATATTTGATTTTCTCTCAACATGTATTTCATATGTCTAAATTCTTCCTTATATAATTTAACTAAAAGCTATAAAATAAATTAAAGCTTTATGAGAATTTCAAGTATTGGCAAAGGGGGATATTTTTCTACCAAAAATCATTTGGCAGGGTAGAATTAAAATTCATATGCTTAGGATTATTTACTTTTACTTAAAATTTTTCCATAGATTTTATTAATTGAAGAAATACTAGGAATGTTTTGAAATACGGTTGAATTGAAATTTGGGTTATATTATTTCATTTTCACTGTAATTTTCTATTCAGTAATAATCCATGTTTACTTGAATAATTTACATATTCTCTTCAGATATCTAAGGTTATATCAATGCAAAAGAATAAAATTCTAATAACCTGAACAGTTGGAATAATGATTATTAAAATTCAGTATTTTTACAGCTGAAAAAGTATCAAAATTTCTGTGGTAGCATGTTCCTCAAAATAAACTATATTTTTTCCTTGTCCTCACCTGAAAGGTGACATTTGACTTTATGTCTCATCTCTGTCTGTTACCCTGTAGGGATACACACACGAAGGGTTTGCAAAAGTTGTGTTTCATTTTCAGATATAAACCAGACAGTATATTCGTGGATATTACCGTTGGAACGTAGTGCATCACATGGAGATTTAGAGCTGTACGCGCTTACTGAACATCAAGGCAAGTGCAAAGTACTTGCCTAGGTATAATAAGAATATACAATTATGAAATACATCACCTGCCCTCTAGAAGCTTGTGAATTGCTAGATAAGTCAAAAACACGCACAGAGAGAAATGTAATGACAGAATAAACAAGACTCTAGAGAAGAATAATAAATAGCAGGTTTTAGGAAGGCTTTCAAATGAATGAGATTTGATGTGGCACTTGAAAACAAATGAAACAACTGAAACTAAGTGTAAGGGTTAACAGAGTAAACTGATGGCCGGGCGCGGTGGCTAACATCTGTAATCCCAGCACTTTGGGAGGCCGAGGCAGGCAGATCACCTGCGGTCAGGAGTTCAAGACCAGCCTGGCCAACATGGTGAAACCCCGTCTCTACTAAAAATACAAAAATAATTAGCTGGGCATGGTGGCAGTTGCCTGTAATTTCAGCTACTTGGGAGACTGAGGCAGGAGAGTCACTTGAACCTGGGAGGCAGAGTTTTCAGTGAGCCAAAATCGCACCACTGCACTCCAGCCTGGGCGACAAGAGCAAAATTCTGTCTCAAAGAAAAAAAAAAGTAAAATAACAAGCACAGGTTCCTTGAGAGGGCTGGACAGAGAAGAGTCAGGAAACACAGGAAAAGTATGTCTTCCAATTTTAAGAAAAATATGATTTTTGTTACTGTTAGCCCATATGTTAAACCATATGCTCTGGTTTTTGCTTTGGGAAATCTGATCTTGGGAGTGGGGGCCAATTTGAATTCCAAAAATTCAAGTAATATCTTCTGGCATATAACTCAATATGAGCCTGGGAATGGAAAACTTAATGGTTTGACGATAAAAGGAGCAATGACTCAGCAGAAAAATGCCACTGGATATGTGAGTGTTCCCCTAACTCCAAACCCCCAACCTTCCAGGCATCCTTGCACTCTAGTTTCGCTGCCATGTACACTTCTCCTAACAATTAGAGGCAAATAAAAAAACATCAGATGTGTTCTGCCTTCGTGGGGCATCTGTAAACTGTTCTGATGTTCCTGGATTTTATTTTGATACACAGAATTCTTCAAAAACTAATGATCTTTAACACAGAATTACCATATAGCCCAGCAATTCAACTTTTAGATATATATATAAGAGAAATAAAAACATATACCCACACAAAAAGTTGTACATAAATGTTCATAATAGCATTTGTAATAAGAAAAAAATGAAAACAATGAAAATGTTTGTCAACTGGTGAATAGTTAAGCATATATGGTGTATTAATTCAATGGTATAATATTCAGTAATAAAAAATGAGGTACTGACACAGGTTACAACACAGATGAACCTTTGAAATGTACAAAGTGAAAGAAGCCAAACGCAAGAGGCGACATTTTCTATGGTTTTGTTTATATGAAATGACCAGAATAGGCAAGTCTGTAAATACATAACATTAAACAGTGGTTACTAGGCCTGGAAGTGGTGATATGAGGTGGAAGAGAGAGAGAGACTGCTAATGGGTGTAGAGTTGCTTTTGAGATTATGAAAATGTTCTAAAATCAGATTGTGGTGATGGTTGTGCAATCCTGTGAAAGTCACTGTACACTGTAAAAGAGTGAACTACATGGTGTGTGGATTATTTCTTACATGTTCATCATTTTTTTCCTTTTAGCATGATTATTAAATTATTTAGGACAATACATCCTATTAATATTTAACTTCTCTTGATCTTTAAGAATCAAATGTATCTCTGAATTACTTTTTAATAATTTTCTTAAGTGAGCGTGCTTTTTATTTTTATTTTCTCTGCATTTTTAAAATTTTATCATCTCAGAGTGCTTTAAGAAATTTCTAATTTCATAGGTATACCAATGCACTAGAAAATGTAAAGAAAATAGTTTGTGATACATTGCCTGATACAACCTTGTTGTTTTGAAATAGTGCTGTCTCCTGAACTCCTAAGTTCAGTATGTTGAACTCTATAAAAAGCAAGTTAACCTACAAGTAGAAACAAAGCATCAAGAAATCATTCAGAATCTCTACTTATGTTCATAGTGTGTACAAGGGGATAAGGAAATTCTGTAAAGATTAATAGGTTCTTTTTTTTTTTTTTACAAAACAAACAAAACAAAAGCAAACAAAAAATAAACCAAGAGACTTTAGTTCAAATTGCATGTCACAACCAAAGAGCAACAATTGCATGCTATATTTCATCTTTATAGCTTGGTGCTACTACACGTAATTTGTAGAAAATTGATTAGAAGTTTATTGAGTTGAATATTTACATAATGTACATAGGAAGAAACACAAAATACCAAATGATGTTGAAATCTTTATGCATTCATAGAATAATGTAGGAATGAAAAATAATAATCCTTATTTTCTTTGTATAGCAGTTTTATTATTTTCATTTTATGCCACCTATTAGCTTCGAGTCTATGAGTTAATACCTTTAAGTGTTATTAATTATATATTAAGATGTATTATTTTCTCTTATATTGTCCACTGGTAATTTAAAGGGCAATCAGAGGTCATATAACCTTGAAATATGAATCCAAGGAGTGCTTTTTGGGGTGGCATATTTTATAATTGTAGCCTTTTGCATTATGCAGGTTCCTACTGAAACAATTATTGTATTCATTTTGTGCTTTTGCCTTTTCATGGAACTGCCATGTTTCATTAACAATTAAGGTCATGTTCTGATTCTCTGTAAGACCACTCCTTTGCCCCTGCCCCAGATCCTAGCTTGCTATTAATAATGCCAGCTCTAGTTAACATTTATATCAAAGTTGAGAAGAGATATTACAATGAAGTGCAAATTAGTGCCTTCTAAAATGCTGCTGCTAACAATTATACTGGGGCACTAGTACATTTTCCATTTATTTCAATGGGTCAGATTAACAAGGCTGCATGCCACTTTATCCTAAAAGGTGGACAAGGCTTTCGGTTCTGATTATTGTTGAAAAAATGGCATTTCTAAGAAGGCTTTGCTAAAAGAGAACACAACTATTACTAACTGGTAGTTTAAACATATGTAATTTTTGGACACTTTTTGTAGGACGTTAGGAACTTATGTCAATCAAAGATTAATTTTTAAATTTCTTCTTCCATTTTATTTATTTTTAATTTTCAACTTAATTTGTCTACACAGTTAAGTATCTGTATATAAGCTAAATAGTAAGTAGAGAAACATTCTTACATTTTAATAGCTTCTTGAGTAACTAAGCCTGTTTAATTTAAAATACCATAAAGCAAATTGCTCTTCCTAGAGGAGTACTATGTAAATCAAGCCCAAGTTTAGGCAATCATCCTTCATAGTAAATATTTAAAAAGAATGGCCTAAAGTCATTTATGCTAAAGGAGATCAGAGCCCAGCAGTTTTTTATCTAGTTCATTGTGTTTTTAATAATGGTGTCTATTTCCTATAACACAGATAAAAACTCTAGGTAATAACTAATTATTTATTCCTGAATAATATGAGCTCAGTGATTATGTCATTGTTTCTACAGAAAAAGAACATCAAATCAGATTTTGTCAGCTGCCTCAGGAGAATGGTGCATGAGTTTTAGACCATCTCCAGATTAAAAATTAAAATAACGTGATTTCCCTATTGCATCCTCCTTAATCAAATAAATATCCTTTATTAAATAGCAGTATTTCTTATCAACATTAGATGGGCCTAAGCAATCTGAAGTATTAAAAGGTGCTTTTGGAAATAAGTATAGTAGTAGATCTTAACATTGGCTCCTAACATCTTCTACTATGCCTATGGTTCTTTGGCTTACATTGAACTATTATTATAACTATATAGAACACCTGTATTTTCTTAATTTTATACAGTATGTTTAAGTTTTTTAAAGATCAAGATGAAGATTTGTTGGCAAGACTTGTTCTCTCATTAATGGTCATTACATTAATCTGGGCAAACAGTTTAAATTTCATAATGTCCAGCAATATACATATAGCAACTTTCCATTTATATACAATTTTCATTATTCCTTTAAAAACAAATACTTTATCATAGTATATTTTACATAACAAATTATAAGTACGTATTTTGATATATACCATATCAATAAATAGAAACTTCCACACTGTCCAAAGTTCCTCTTATACTTACTGATATTATCCATTCTCCCCATCACTGGAAACTTCAAAAGTTAGCTACTATCATGACTTCTGACAACTAGTTTAGTTTGACCAGTTTTCACTGTATATATATGAATAATGTAATATAGATTGTTTCATGCTCAGCTCATCATTTCATAATATTTATGCCCGTGTTACTTTAAGCTGTAGTTTGTTCTTTATGTTTTGCTAGACAGCATTGCATTGTATGAATGTGCCATGATACATTTACCCATTGTATGGTTGTGCAGCATTTATTTGCCTATTACACGGCAGAGAGTCACATCAAATTTGCTAATCTTCTGACAGTGTACTATTTCTACTATGCTTTTTTTTTAATAAGTTGGATATGATGAAATATTGTGTTCCAGGTGCTGCAAAGTTAACATAATGAAAGATATGTAAGCACAATACAAAATTTACCAAATGACATAAAATGTATTAGGCCTAATATTTTCTCTGAAATTCAAGTATGTAAAGAGTTGCTGTTTATATATATTTTTATCATACTTTTCTCTATTACATTTTTATTTGAAAAATACATTTACTTGATTTTAAAATATTTTGCTGTTATGCTTATACATCTTGTAATTACTTATAGCTCCTTTATGTTAGTAACTCAACATAGAATGTTAATTACAACTCAACATCTACCTAAATAAATGCTGGACTTTGATCTCCTTTGGCATAAATAACTTTAGGTCATTCTTTAAAAATATTTAATATGAAGGATGAATTGCCTAAATTTGGGCTTGCTTAACATAGCACTCCTCTAGGATAGCAATTCGCTTTATGTCATTTTAAATTAAACAACTATCTTTTTAAAATTTTCTTTATAACAACTTATATTTTATCAACCACTGATGAATTCCTGGTAATTGTGGATCTGGCAATAAGTCACAGATTAATAGACCCACCTTCTTAAATCTCTTAGTGCCCAACCATCTAATAAGATTTTGATTATCAGAAAGTCACAATATCTCAAGGACTAACATGGAACGTTAGCAGATGCCTTGTGCATCTATTTTTTAACTTAACAAAATAATATTTTCTGATCCACCAATTTAATGACTTGAGCAATTCC
This sequence comes from Homo sapiens, assembly GCF_000001405.40. Classification (NCBI taxonomy): domain Eukaryota; kingdom Metazoa; phylum Chordata; class Mammalia; order Primates; family Hominidae; genus Homo; species Homo sapiens. The sequence continues at coordinate 162,006,880 of NC_000004.12, read as the reverse complement.
TCTCCAAAACCATGTGACTATTTCATTGTTTTTGCAAATATTCATTATTTGAAAATATCTACCACAAAATTAGTAAATTTGGAACTGGTTTATATTTTCTTCGTGATGTTGAATAGAGTCCATTTTAACTGATAATTGTCAAAGCAGGAAATACTACTTGGAAAACAATACAAATGAGGCAAAATAAAAGAAATTGTGTTGGTTAATTAAATATTTAGCTATTTAGAGCAATGAGTAATACCGGAGATTTAGAAAAATTGAAATTTTTCTTGTTACCAACTGGATAATAATGCTAATTATTGAGTACTCATTCCAGTGTAGAAATGTAGGAAAGTTTTCATTAATGACAAATTTGTTTTACCTGTACAACAACATATAAAATTTCTTTACAAGAAATATAGAACACTTGTATTGCCTATATTTTCAATATCACTCATTTATCTGTTTATCATTTCCCTAGTATCACAAGGCATGCATATTTACCAGTTCAATTTTCAAAATGAAAGGAAGGTGGTTATTTTTAAAAGCTCTAGTTTTACTCATTTTCTCTTGAATCCACAAGTGATCTAGGTGACTAGGTTTAGAATAAAACAGGGAAAGTCCTTGTATACACTTACTAAAGATATAAATGTTATTAACAATAAAGTTGAATATGTAATAAAAGGGTAAGAATCTACCCAAACAAGTATAAAGCATAAGCAAATTAAATTTTTGCTTTCATATCAAGACACTCAAGCATCTCATTATCTTTTGTATTTCTTACTTATAATATTTTAAAAAAAAAGCCTATGTTATCATTTGATTTATGCAATGAAAGTTGATAACATTTAAGATGTGTGTATAGCTGTCACTAGTTAATTGTAGGGTGAGGGGAGATGGGAGGTAGTATAATGTGTGTGCATACACACAATTTGAGACCAAAACATAAAAACAGCACAATTGATGGACTTAGAATTTTGTAAATATGTGGTAGCAGAAGAGGCAGTAAACAAAGGAGTAGGAAAGTGGATTTCTGTGTTAATCAGCCACTTACTAGAGTTATTTCCTTGGAAAGTTCCTGAGTCTGTTTATGCCTTCGTCAAGTTGCAAAGAGTGCTTATCCCATAGTGTCCATACTGAGGATGAAATGGAATGGTGTATAGAAAGGGGTCAGAATTATGCTTGACACATCACCAATGTCAGTGTACCTTAATTTACCAAAACAGATGGAATAAAGGAAACAAAAGAGAAAGGAGCATGGGGCTTGCAGTATTCTCTTCCCCTAATACCTTTGTTTTCTCCCCTTCCCCTTGATCTCTTTCAGTGGTTTTACATTCCTCTCCAACTCTGAATTTTCTTGGGATCCCATTCCCGTCTCACTGGTTTTCCCATTTGACTCACATTCTCTGGCTTTCTTATTCAACCACATGGTTTTCTTTACCACCATCTATTCAATAATGCATAAAATAATGCAATAATATAGGTGGCGGGCTACCAAAGACACCAGAGTAGAGAGGACATAACTCATTGAAAGTATAGTTTAGCAAGAAAGAGAGAAAATAAACATGTAAGCAGAGGGTGCTATGGGAACATTAAACCTAGGGGCATAATCTAGTCAGAGAACGAAATGCTTCCAAGTGAAATTTGTATTTCAAGTTGTGTCCTAAATAATGAGCAAACAATTGCCTACAGGAAACAGAGCTGGAAGTTGGGAATAATTTTTTAGGTAGACAGAACAACACAGGTGAAAACACAGAGGAAGGAAAAATGGGACACAATGGAGCGAGAGAAATAGGCCAAGGCAGCTAGAGCAGAGATTTCTAGCAGGGATACATTACATTATTTTAGAGAGACAGACACAGCATCTGGCAGGCTATTTTAAAGAGTTTACAAATTTTATAAGGATAATACAAAACACATAACTGACACTTCAATCGAGTGTGAAGCGTGGTTTGAAAAACCTCCCTTAGTGTGTGAATTGGATGGGGCAGGAACAAAATCATGGGGACAGTTGGGAGGTTGGTATGGAAATCAGTAAATATTTACCAATGTCCACTGTATGCCAGGGACTGTTGCAGGCACTGAAGTTAGTTACATAGTGATCATTACTACTTTTATAGAGGTTATTTTATAGTGTAACAAAACTGAAATCAATAACTAAATACCCAAATAAACAAGTTTACTTCAAGTAGTAATGTATTCAGCACAGAAAATAAAAATAATTTTATTTAATAAAAAGTCTGGGAAAGAAAGCAAAGATGTGTGGTAGTCTAAGAAATGTGGTCTGATGGTACGTACTTGATATGATAATATTTGAGTAGTTCTAAATGATAAGCATCTAGAAGGAGGTGTGGCCAGTTATAACCGCAAGAGCAAAAACCCTGAGGAATGAACTTAATGTGTTCAAAAGATGAAAAGAAGACGCATGTGACTGGATCATTTTGAGTGAAGTGGAGGTTGGTATGAGGTCCAAGAAGTAAGCACAGATGATTATGCTGGAGTTGTGGCAGCAGCTATAATAGTAAATTGCAGTGGCCAATTTGAATTTTGGAAGCAGAGTCAATGGGACCTAGTAATGGATTGGTTGTAATAAGTGAAAGAAAGTAGTTAAGAATAGCTATTATACTTTTGACTAGACAATTTAGGAGGACATTTCTACATTGGCCACACAAAAGGAGGAAAATGTTTAAAGAGAAGAGCACGAGTACAGTTTGGGGTGTTTGAAGTTGTGCTGCATGATATCCATATGAATAGGGAAATTTAATACCTGGATCTAGAGTTTAGAAAATAATAGAAATATTCATTTCTATAAAGAAAAGAACACAATATGGAGAGGTTGCTTAACCTGCCGTATTATGAAGCTATTAAGTGGTAGAAAATGATGAAAACAACATTTTTCTGACTTATGAATTAGGTCTAATGCTAGTAGTCTTGATTCTGCTACCCAGATGCTTTTGGAAGACTCCCTTCATCTACTCAGGATTATCCTCATTTGCCAGATGAGCACAATCATGCACAAACTACCTATATCTATATTATTTGTGAGGAAGTAAAAAATGAAGCAATATGGGAAAGAGCCCTGTATTCACATAAAATGTTAAGTGAATAAAATACATAACTTGCACATATATCATTGCATTCAATAGTTTATTATTTTTGTGCTTAAAGATATTACATTTATGCCACCTATTATATTTACATACACATTTACAATATATATTTACACACAAAAATTACACTACATTGGCCATTCCTATGGATGATAATTATACATTTTTTTCTATTTTCATCATGTCATTCGTTGTGAGTAAAACACTAACCTTTCCTCTCTACCTTCCTCTCTGCCTGGCTGCCTTGCTGTGTTCTTTCTTTCCTTCATTTCTTATTTTATTTCTTCCTTTCTGTGCTATCTTCCATTATTTATTTAAGCATTTATTTATTATTACAAACTCTGTTGAGATACCAAAATATAATGATTGAGAGTCCCAACTTCAAAGCCAGGAATCTAGGATACATTATGAAAGGCTTTTGTTGCTATGACTTGGTTACCCATCTCTTCAATGGGAATGACACAACTAACCTCATAGTACCACTGGGTAATGGAATGAGTAAAGCGCATAGAACAGCATCTGGCACACAGAAAATGTAATGGAAATGTAAGGGTAATGCATTATTATTCTAGTCAGAAACTATGATAGGTATGAATTAAATTGAGATAAATAAAATAATAAATGGCTTCTGCTAATTTCTTTTTTTTTGAGACGGAGTCTTGCTCTGTCCCCCAGGCAGAAGCACAGTGGTGCGATCTCGGCTCACTGCAAGCTCCACCTCCTGGTTTCACACCATTCTCCTGCCTCAGCCTCCCGAGTAGCTGGGACTAGAGGCGCCTGACACCACGGCCGGCTAATTTTTTGTATTTTTATTAGAGACGGGGTTTCACTGTGTTAGCCAGGGTGGTCTCGATTTCTTGACCTTGTGATCTGCCCGCCTCGGCCTCCCAAAGTGCTGGGATTACAGGCATGAGCCACTGCACCCGGCCACCTCTGCTGATTTCTAACAACCCAAGGTCTATGGAAGCAAAATTAGAGTCATACATGAAAAAAAAAACAACAATAATAAATGTGGTATTTGATTACCAATATAGCTAAAAAATGCAGTAACATAGAAGAGAGGCTGTTTAATATAATAGGAAAAAAGCTTCACAAAAATAAATATATTTGGGTCTATGTAGTAGATTGGAGCTATTGTTTTATCTGACTCTACTGGAATCTCTTTGTAAGTAGAGAACTAGAAACTAGCATTCCTCTATGTGACTACCATGAAACATAGCCTGAAGCAAAACATTCAGTTTTGCATTGTTAGCCAGTTGTTTGGTCAATAGGACTGCCAACAAGATATATATAATCCCACAATTAAACTAAAACTAATGACTGCAAACAAATAATAGGATAAGACAAGATATTGTGGATAGCCTAAGAGGAGTTCCTATCCTACGGAGCCCCAGTGCGGTGATTAGATTCAGTTCAGGGGGAGCTTAGAAAAAGCAAGGTTAATCAGAGACCTGAAATATACATGGAAGTGAATCATAAGATTTACAGCTGGATTTAGGGGAAGACATTTACAGATTTTAAAGTAAATCCCTTTCTCTGAATTTTTTTGAAAACTGAGTATTTTTGTGTTAGTGTGCTAATTGTAGCTATGAAACAAAGCATATACTCGCATTAGTTACAAAGGTTGTATATGAAATCATAAAATACAAATCTCTTTCAGTTTATAGTAGAGTCCATATTTATATAGTAGGTCTATATTTGAAGGTTTTTTATATAATCAATTAGGTACAATATTCCTGTGTAAAATGCTAAACTTTTAACTCAACTAACCAAACAAAATAATGATACTTAAAAAAAATAAAAAAAGTAGACAGGTTCAATCTTACCTTGCAACCTTATATTATTTAGGACTAGGTTTTCTCTGTATAACTCTTTGAACCATCATGATGCCTGAAATGAAATCCCTGATTACACACAGAATTTTAAAGAAAAAGAAAAGAAAAAGGAGAAAAAATCATTTTTTTGTACTCTGTGTCAAAGCAGTAAGAGAATGAGAAGCCTGTGACTTTGGCCCTAATAAGGTGAGAGCACTGGCTTTGGCATAAACAAAATCCTGGGCTTGAAGAGTCACTAACACTTAGTAATAACATTATCATTTGTTAGTGTACTAAACATGTATACATCACTAGTTGAATGTTACACATGTATATACACTCTTACACTTACACACACACACACACACACACACACACAATGCATGTATCCTTAGCAGAAGGCACTTTATGTATGTTATCCAACTGACAACTCACAACATATAAATCTGCTCACTATCAGACCCTTCATGTACAATGAGGAGAACTAGATCTCATAGAAACAATGTTATTTGTCTAACATCTAATGGCCAGAAAGTGATTAAGTTGTTATTCAAATTCATGACTGTGTGACTACTATTCAATGATGCCTCCTTTTCACAGTTTTTACTAGTTGCTAAATATCTCTTCAATTTTACTCTCTAGATAGATAGATAGATAGGAGGATAGATAGACAGATAGATATAGGTATATGATGTTTCTCTATCTCTACAACAGGAAATAATATCAATTACCTTATAAGAATATCATAAAAATGGAATGGGATAAAGAGAGACAATATTCAGTTGCTGGCATATAGCTGGTAGCTGCTAATTCTTATTTGTGATTATGAAACTAAACGGTATCAAAATGACAAAAACTACAGGGCTTCTTCTTGTCATTGTGCTTGCATTTTTGAAACCTAATTAAAAACTGTTTGTGCTGGTCCACTTAGTTTAAGATGCATAGTTTTTAATAGATCTGGATCAGTGAGATATCAAATTCCATTTCATATACATAATTAGATGCTACTTTTAGTAATCCATTTCCAAAACTTACAGTTTTAATACCTTGGCAAATTTTCCAGGCATTCCTTCCCTCCCTCTTCCCTCCATCCCTTCTTCTCTCTCCCATTTGGTGCTTCCTTATTTTGTGCCAAGGGCTGTAATTCTTATTTGAAGTCTACTTCCCCAATCCATGTAAGATAGTTTATAATTATGACCTTGTTGCAGAAGATACTAGCATTTCTTTTAGTAATACAACTTCTCAATCCTCCCATTAGATTAAAAGGTCATTGTACAGAGGTAATTTTGCACAATTATCTGAGTTTTAACCTTTTAACCTTAGTTTTATCATTTTGTATATATATTTTGTTGTTGTTGTTGTTTTTGTTTTTTTTTTTTTTAGACTGAGTCTCGCTCTGTCACCCAGGCTGGAGTATCGTGGGGCGATCTCGGCTCACTGCAACCTCCACCTCCCTGGTTCAGGCAATTCCCCTGCCTCAGCCTCCCAAGTAGCTGGGATTACAGGCGCCTGCCACCACGCCCGGCTAATTTTGTTTTTTTGTATTTTTAGTAGAGATGGGGTTTCATCATGTTGGCCAGACTGGTCTCAAACTCCTGACCTCAGGAAGTCCGCCCACCTTGGCCTCCCAAAGTGCTGGGATTACAGGCGTGAGCCACCACACCTGGCCTGTTATATTTCTTAAAAGTTTAAATAAATATATATATGTAGGAAGTCTAGCATTTTCAATTTTTAAAGACTGTAAGTGGTTTAATAAAAAAGAAAATTATTCAATCTGCAATTTTAGAGCATAGACTATTCAACCTTATGGACACCTGTGTCTTTGTGGCTAGCAGGCATGAGTGTAAGCACAGAGTTTTTGACTGATTTTGCCAGAAGCCAAACCTCTTGACATCTTTTCTCCTGATAGCCCTTAAGCAAAATAACCTCAAATCCAATATATCAGATTAGGCCATCAAAATCAATTTCAATCTTCAGTCATTTAGTACAGGCTGACCTTATATGATACCTGTAGAATTCACCAAAAACTTTTACTTGTGTTTAAAAATCTGCTTGTGTTTTACTTGGGAAATCGGAGGTGAATTTGACCTCTGAAGTCTTTTCTAACTTTTGAAGAGACTAGAGATGACTTTGATGGTTTTCATGTGAATTGTCCAAGGAAGCATGGCGGGGAGTGTGCATTATGTATCATGATTTCATGTGGTGTATTCAATTTATAAAATGTATAGGTTGTCCTTGAATTTTTCATTTCTAAAATTAAGAGATAATTGAAGTATAAATGAAATTTATTGGCTATCATGGTGACAATTTAGCCACATCAAACTGTCTTATTTAAATGATCATTTACATATATGTAAGGTATTGTGATTTTCCAGAAGACTTTTATAGACACTATATTTGCTGATGAGTACAAATATGTTAGTGACACCATGAAGTGTTTATTATACATAGTCAATTAAAAAGAGATTTACTCTACACGAAAGGATATTTCAAGATCAATTAATATGAATTTTTCTTATCAATATAAATGTATATTATTGGTTTAAAGTAACATTCCAGTTTCAACTTACAATACAAATTTACAAATTACAATTTACAAATTACAATACTAATTTAAAGTTTAACTTTAATTTCAGGATATTGTTGTTTATTTTCTATCAGTATTTTAAGTAGACCAGATACTTTATAACTTTTGGTTCACATGTCATAGCATTTATCCACATAATCAGAGAATATCTATAATATATTTTTATAGCAGCATATAATATTTCCATTAAATAGCTAATTTCATATTCCTTTCAATGTGGAAATAAAAAATTAATGTATTTTTTAAACTAAAAATAAAATTCTATGCTCCTTATCCGACTGAATGGATCCTACCCTTGGTCCTTGGCCTAGTTTCCCTTAGAAACCTGAAAAACTAGTTTAGAGCACGACTGGAAAGTGGGGAGGTTAGACAAGCCTTATTAGACCCTCCTCCCTTTGGAGTTTCGGCACAACTAACCAGCATCACATTGAAACAGAGATCTTTAGACTGACAAAACAGACTTTGTAGAAATAAGATACCAAATTCCAACCTGACTCGTGTGTGTGTGTGTGTGTGTGTGTGTGTGTGTGTGTTGTGTGTGTGTTTAACTGCTTCACCATGCAAAACAAAGGCAAATAGATGATCAAATCTGTCTATGCAATTCCTTTTGTATAGCAGGAGACATCAATGACCTAACTATTTAAGTTTCCATTTGCATGGTGAATATCTTAATTGAATTGATTGATTATTGAACCCAAAGCAATTCAGTCAAATTCTCTTTCAGCTATGTATGTTGAATACATATTGTAAGAGAAAAATTGTACTAGACACTTGTTAAAAATGTCAAGGAAGACTTCATTCAATATTGTTGGAATAGGAGTGATGAATATTGAAATAAGGGAGAGACTGAACTCAAGTCAAGCTGAAACAAAGGTGAAGGATTTTAAATGCTGAGATCAGTTAAAGAAAAATTACAGGAGAGTCTTCCTAAAGGGGAAGATTGGTCAATGTGATCAGGTCCCAGTGTTTGTTAATTGCTGTTCTTTGAAGGTAGGCTCTTACCTTCCCACAGAGACTGAGAGATAGGGGTACTATCTTTTTTGATGGTTATATTTCAAAGGGATAGTTCCCAGCTCCTTGAGAAAACATCCCTGGCTTGTGGTGGGATTACAACTCAAAGAAGAAGAGACAGTATTTACAATAAAAAAAAGAAACAAAGAAAGTCAGGGGGTATACAATTAGGTGAAAAAACTCTTTAAAGTTTAGTCAAGCTGAGGGAGACCTTAAGGCATTCTTGGTCACTAAGATGCATAGATAGAACCCTGTAGAAATTCTAAAGCAAAGAGTAGACAGAATCTTTTCCTCCGTGTAGCTTTAGATGAAGTACTGTTACAGGCATACAACTCTATTTCTTGTATTCTCCTAACTGGTGGCATTTGAGGCCATTGTGGCTTTAGTCTTGACTGTCAGAAGCTGGTACAGACATTATAATCCATCCTCACATTCACACACCTCTATATATTCATATAGATAACATGTACACACTTGGCCGGGCGCGGTGGCTCACGCCTGTAATCCCAGCACTTTGGGAGGCCGAGGTGGGCGGATCACGAGGTCAGGAGATCGAGACCATCCTTGCTAACACAGTGAAGCCCCGTCTCTACTAAAAATACGAAAAATTAGCCGGGCGTGGTGGCGGGCGCCTTTAGTCCCAGCTACTCTGGAGGCTGAGATAGGAGAATAGCGTGCACCCGGGAGGCGGAGCTTGCAGTGGGCAGAGATCGTGCCACTGCACTCCAGCCTGGGCAACAGAGCAAGACTCCGTCTCAAAAAAAAAAAAAAAAAAAAAGATAACATGTATACACTTATGCACATGCATATTTCATATAAAGACTTAAAACTTGTCATTTGTAGTAAGGTGTATTTGATTTGTATTCAATTGAAAGGAATGTGCACTGTAAAGTGCATATATAGAGTAAATCTATTTTAGACAGTATTGGTACATATGGAGAAGATAGTCAACCGTTATGTGTAAATTACCTAGGTTCTTTAAGGAGTGATGTTAGTTATGTGTGCATCTCATGTTTCCTCCTCAATTCTTGATGTAAGTCATTCCTTTGTCAGTTATGCCCATTTTGCTATACATCTTAAGATATATTGGAAAAACAATAAGGAAAAATCTGCTAAAACATAAAATTTCTATAAGAAAAATTTAATTGTGTTTAAGTTCTGTGATGAAAATTATGTGTCTAGATGTATTTATTTGTCTAACCTTTGAGGAACTTATTAGTTCAAAATGTTGCTAAACATTTAATTTAGCTACTTCATTTGCTCCTCACCAAGGTAGTAATAAAAAGTTAAAATGTTGTAAAACAATAAAATAAAAACAATATACATCTGTCTGACTCATCCCATGGAAGATCTAATTAGCATATGTTTTGACTATATTCACATAAATTTCATTGGAGTGGTGATTTCACACTTCAAATATAATTGCCCACTAAAATGCAGTACAAATTTTCAACTATAAAAAAAGATTTCCCTGTCATAACATCTATCCCGAGAGAATGAGTTTTGCAGCTTTAAAAATATTTTCTAATTAGCAATAGATATTATACTTAAAGTACAGATGGATTCCTTATTTGTAACCAAATATTCAAGACATGCAAAAATACAGCTACATAGAGCAATAACTGTTGGAAGCAAATAAAGTTGGGAGACTTATCAAACAGTCCACTGGGCCAACGGTTCCAAAATGGGAAAAGTGAACACCAGGTGGTGCAAAATGTGACACAACTGAAGGCAGGAAAAGTATTAGGCTGTAGGCAAAGGCTATTGAATGACATTAAATTTGATCAGTTTTATATTTCAGAAAGAATGCATTGGCCACAATATAGAGCATGGATTGAATGAAGGAGACAAGACGGGCAAGGGGAACTTGTGAGAAATACGGATGCCTAAAATTATAGCAATGACAATGAAGTTTGAGTGGTGGGGGAGGTTTGGGATAGGTGAAGGAGTTAGAACTGATGGTGAACATTTGGTTGTGAGAGGAAAGGAAGAGATGTAGATGACTCACAAGTGCCTGGATATTTGTTATGTGTTGCTTAGAAGAATCCAGAAAGAAAAGCAAGTTCTGCCAGAGCAGAGTATTTCACTGGTGAGCAACCTTTGTTTTAGGTGCCTGCAGCCACCCACTGGAGTCAGATAGCTTATGGTTAAAATGGGGCTTTGCCATGTGCAGAATAGATTACTTTGGGCAATTTACTTAATGTCTTTGAATTTCAGTTCTTGTTGTAGAATGGAGATTGTAATAGCTAATTCATACAATTATTCTCCAGATTGAATCCATTAACAAAAGCTATCTTTTCCTAGGAACCAGGCTTTACCTTTCTGGTTTGTCTGGGCCTTAGTAAATAGTTGTGTAACTGCATTAACTCCAGTGTTCTTTTATCTTGCTAATAAAGCGCTTTGTATCCTTTTAGGTGATGGCTGTTTAAGAGTATGGCCTTTTTAGGACACTGATGGTACTTTCTGGAGAGTAACAAGATTTAAGTTTCTGATGGGTGATCTGAAGAGTGTGTAGTCTCCCTGAGAGTTCTCTTAGTTAACTCAGAGAAGCAGTGTGTTTTCATTAGACACTGAAGAGAATATAAATCCAATCATTAAAAAAAAAAAAAAAACTCATTACATGTTAATAGACACTTTAGGGAAATGTTAATTTATTCAGGGGCATAGTTGGAGAACAGAAATTAATTATTTATTAATTAACAACTTAGTGACCCATATCATAATGTATACTTCCGATGTGATACAGTGTCTATCCTAGGAAAGCACTGATGCGGAGTGCTAATTATTGCATTCCTAGGTACTGACAAATGAATAACCCTGGTCCGTCTGCTTAAGGCTGATAAGAACAATCAAAATTTTTCCTTTGTGTACCTAAAGGGCATTTCTTCAGAGAAGGTCAGTCGCTCAAAGGGTATAGGTAATACATAGAGATTTGACATATTAATATCAAGCCAAGCACAAGCTCTTACGTCAGACTGTCTGGTTTGGAATTCTGATTCCATTGCATCTTCACTATGCAAAGTTCGGCAAGTTACTGCACTTCTCAGTTTTCTTATTTGTAAAAAAGTATAATTTCAGATTATCCAATAGAGTAGTTCTAAGTAACTAATGCTATGGATGTAAAAATCTAATATAATTTGCCTAATATATGGCATAAAAACACCATTATTATATTAACATTATCATTTTTTAACTACAAAATAAGCATTTCATTCCCCTCCATAAACTTGCATTCTATCAGAGTACACCTCTATTAATAACCTGAAATCTGGCTAGCCATATGCAGAAGATTGAAGCTGGACCCTTCCTTACACCATATGCAAAAATCAACTCAAGACGGATTAAAGACTTAAATGTAAAACCTAAAACTGTAAAAACCCTGGAAGACAACCTAGGCAATACAATCCTGGATGTAGGAATGGACAAGTATTTCAAATGACAAAGACACCAAAAGCAATCACAACAAAAGCAAAAATTGACAAATGGGATCTAATTAAATTTAAGAGCTTCTGCAAAGCAAAATAAACTATCAAGAGAATAAAATAGACAACCTACAGAATGGGAGAAAAACTTTTGCAAACTGTGCATCTGACAAAGGTCTAATATCCAGCTTGTAGAAGGAACTTAAACACATTTGGAAGAAAAAAACAAAACACCTCATTAAAAAGTAGGAAAAGCACATAACAGACACTTTTCAAAAGAAGACACACTTGCTGCCAACAAGCATGTGAACAAAAGCTCAATATCACTGATTATTAGAGAAATGCAAACGAAACCGCAGTGAGATGTCATCTCATATCAGTCAGAATGGCTATTATTAAAAAGTCAAAAAATAACAGATGCTGGCAAGGATGTGGAGAAAAGGGAACACTTATACATTGTTGGTGGGAGTGTAAATTAGTTCAACCATGTGGAAAGCAGTATGGCGATTTCTCAAGAAGCTAACAGCAGAACTGCCATTCGACCCAGCAATCCCAATATGGGGTGCATACCCAGAGGAATATAAATCATTCTACCATACATGCATGAATGTTTATTGCAGCACTATTCACAATAGCAAAGACATGGAATCAACCTAAATGCCCATCAATGACAGGCTGGTTAAAGAAAATGTGGTACATATACACCATGGAATACTATGCAGCCATAAAAAATGAGACCATGTCTTTTGCAGGAACGTGGATGGAGTTGGAGGCCATTATTAGCAAACTAACATAGGAACAGAAAACCAAATACCACATGTTCTCACTTATAAGTGGTAGCTAAATGATGAAAACTCATTCACACAAAGAAAGGAACAACAGACACTCTGGCCTCATGAGGTTGAAAGCGAGGAGGAGGGAGAGGAGCAGAAAAGATAACTATTAGGTACTAGGCTTAATACCTGGGTGATGAAAAAATCTGTACAACAAACCCCCATGACACGTTTATCTATGTAACAAACCTCCACGTGTACCCTCAAGCTCAAGATAAAAGTTGAAAAAACAAATTGAAATGTTCCTGTGAAAATTGTCAATATTTTTAGTCAATCATATATTCCACATTAGACAACTATTTTTACACACAGACACAAACACATTGACAAAAACTAAAAATCAAATGAAAATAACATTGATGTTACTTTTATCATATTAACCTTCACTTCCCTCTCCCCCAAATCTACACAACAAGCATGCTAGAAACGTACCTTTAATTCAAAGTCAACGTTTTTAAAAGTCTTTCTTTGTGAGCCTGTAACAAGGGATAAGTCCTATATTTACAGTTTTAAAACTTTTGATTTCAATGTACACCCAAAGCACAAAAGTATATTATATGCATATATCAAAATACAACATGTACCCTATAAATATATACAATTATCACATATCCATTAAAAATATAGTTTTCCATTTACTGTTGAGTAATTTATATTATAGTTAAATATCATACAAAAGTAAAAATCATACTTCTCAAAAGGATATGAATTTCCACTAAACTATTATATTCTAATTTTTCAATGATTATATGCCCTTATTATATTTCTCATAAATATTGCAAATATTTTACCTTTTTCTTTCTTAGTTGATCTTGTCATTATTCAGTTACAATTCTAATTTATAAGCCTTGTCATTTTTAAAATGGAGCATGATCTATGAATGGCCTTTGAAAATGAGTTTAGTTAGATGACAGTATTGTGATGTTTTTGATTTGTATACAACCATATCCCTGAATTATTAAAAAGATAAATAAGTATTGACAAATAAATATATTTTTAAAAATCCTTGTTTACATTTGATATTCAGAGCCATGGGGTGACCATTCAATATCAAATAAGGCATCATTTGTTAATAAAAGGAAACAATATGCCCCTCCACACCCCTCCGCCTTGTGCAACCTATTGAAACATGTCACTACTTGCATATATATATATACACACATATATATATAGATATACACACATATATATATACACACATATATATATATATATATATACACACACATATATATATATATATATATATATATATATATATATTTTTTTTTTTTTTTGAGATGGAGTTTCACTCTTGTTGCCCAGGCTGAAGTTCAATGGCACGGTGGTCTCAGCTCACTGCAACGTCCAACTCCCGGGTTCAAGCGATTCTCATGCCTCAGGCTCCCGGATAGCTGGGATTGCAGGCGCGCACCACCACTCCCAGCTAATTTTTTGTATTCTTAGTAGAGATGGGGTTTCGCCATGTTGATTAGGCTGGTCTCAAACTCCTGACCTCCAGTGATCCGCCTGTCTTGGCTTTCCAAAGTGCTGGGATTACAGGCGTGAACCACCGCGCCCTGCTTCCACTACTTGCATATCTAAAGACCTCTCACACCTTCCAAAACAGAATACTTGCTCCTCCCCCTGTCTTTCCCTTCTCAATTAATGGTTACTCCTTCCTTCTCTGTGCTCAGTTAATTCTTGTAATCAGCTTTGACTCCTCTCTTTAACTCATCACATTTCCCGGAAATCTTAGTCTCTACCTTCAAAACATATTCAAAGCTCTAGGTTGTCCCACAGTTTCTGCTTCTACTGCTTTTGTTCATGCTACTTTTACCTCTGCCTAGAAGAATATCCCATGTAGTTTCCTTTTTCCTGCACTTTTCTCCCTGGAGACTCTTCTCCACCCAGTAGCCAGAGCCATTCAGATAAAGTCATTCCTCTGCTCAAACCACTCTCTTTCGTGACTCCTACTTTATCTTGCGTGAAATTTGAAGATGTTAAAATCACTGGCAAGATTCTGCAGGATATGTTCCTGCCTTTTAATCTCTCTGACCTCAATCAGTACCACTTTCTTTTCCTTCACTTTTTTCCTGCCACACCGCCTCCTTGATGCTTCTTGAACAGGAACACCGCAGGTGGCCTCTTCCTGGGATTTTTGCACTTGAGGCTCCTTCTGCCTGAAAGTCTCTTTGCCCAGTTGTCAGCATGGTTTATTCTCTTATATCCTTCATATCCGTTCTGAAAGGCCATCTTCTTTGTAAGGTCTACCCACCTATTTAAAATGGAAATCTCTCATTCTCCTAGGACTTCCTATCCTCTACCCCTTCTTTTTCCTTCATCATAGCCTTTTCAACTTCTAACAAACTGTAGGCAGTCATCCCTCCGCATTTGCAGGGGATTGGCTCCGGGACACCTGCATGTACCAAAATCCATGCATACTCAAGTCCCACAGTTGGCCCTGTGGAAACTGCATATATGAAAAACCGGCCCTCTGCATACACGGGCTTTGCATCCCACCAATACAGTATTCTTGATCTGTCTTTGATTGAAAAGAATCCCTGTATAAGTCAATACATGCAGTTGAAACTCATGAGTTTTACACCCTGTCCCTAGAATATTTTGTTGGCACATAATAGATCTTTAATGCACATTTTCAAATGAGTTAATAATATGGAGGCTTGACTTGTATTTATATCTTAAAATGTTAGACCAAATCACTATCTTCCAGCAGAAGTATTGACCTGAGTGAAAGGAAAAAAAAAGACTAGAAAATAGTTGATGCTGCAATGACCAAACAACTTCGTGATTTTGATTATTTCCTAAGTCTCTAGAAGCTCAGTTATTTTTGCTTTCAAGTTCAGTCGTTTCAGATATAAAATTATGTGCATCGTATGAAATGACACCAATTATTCAGTAGGTGCTAGACAAACCAATGAGTTATGTGAATTAATTTACATTAAAATGAAATGCAAAGTTATATGAAATTAAAACATGGTATTTTGAGTTTGACTATCTTAATAGTCCTTTCATTTTTATGTCGATGATATTTCTGAATTAATGGTGGTATAATAAGTGTTAGGAAATTAGTGCTGGGATTTGGTTCATATCTAGAGAATTTTTTTTAATCCAAGTCTATTACTATTTGCTTACTTCTGGGACTCCATTGCTAACATCCTGCTAGTAGCTGCTGTGTTTTAATCTTCAGGTGAGTGGAGACAGCAAGTTTGGACATGCACACCCAACACCTAACTAGAGAGAGTCATGATTAGGTCTCCACAGTTCAATTTCAAATTGTGTGTGTTGTAGCTCACATATTTCATTTAATAGAGAGAGTTCAGGAGTGAGCTGTTTCAATCTATTTCTAGATAAAGTTATTATGCTTCATAGAGAATTAAGCTGAAAATGTCTACCCGAAAACCACCAAGATTATACCTTAATATAAATGCCAAATATCCTTATACTGTAGAGTCTCTGTTCTTATCAAACTATAAATTTTCATATCTAATTGCACACCTGCTTGTATCTTCTTAATGCCTTTCAATGAAAATAAATATAATGGTAACGTAATTTATGTGCATATAAGTTAACGTTGAGTTTATAAGAGAATAATTGATATATTTTATATTTTCAGCTATGTATTACCATAATTTTATCATTAGACATATTATCTAAAAGGTAGTATTCTTTAATAATTTATTCATATTTAAAATGCTTTAAATATCTTTTAACTTTTTATAAGATTATAAAATTTGTCACTTTATTTGAAGATGCAACAAACTACTTTTAAAAAGCTATCAAAATTGAGTAGCTTTTGTTTCAAGGGTGTTTAGATAAAGAAGGCATTTTGTTAGAGTCTATTATATTTTTCCAGTGTATTTGATTGTCTCATTGTGATATGAGGGAAATCATATAGAAACTGCTTTAATATTGGTTGTATAGTCTAATTTTCTAAAACAGAGTGGGCTATTCAAAAACCTAGCACCACTAGTTTAGATAGAATTCACTAACTGTGTAGTACCTCAATTTGATCTTGTTGAGTGTTTAAATTTACATTTAATTTAAAATGCTGGAAATAGATTTTACAAAGTTATTTCCTATGCATGTAAATTTATTTAACACAAGTCAAAAAACAACTTTATTGAGGTATACTTAAATTGTAAATGTCCTAGGAGTTTGGACAATGTATTCACACATGCAACTACCACCACCAACGTAATCAAGAGAGGTGTAAACAGCTATTTATATTGATCTATACACATGCACACACATGTATTCAATTTCATATTTTTGTACATGGTTCTGTGAGTTTTAAGACCTATTTAGTATCCTGTAATCCCCACTACAATAAGGTTACTAAAGATCCATCACTGAAAAATATTCCCTAATTCCTGTCCTTTTTAGTCAAAACTTCCCAATGCAACCTCTGCCAGCCACTCACCATTCTCTGTCCCTATACTTTTGCTGAGTATCATAGTAGTGGACTCACGTAGTATGTAACATTTTGAGACTGAACTGGCTTCTTTCACTCTACCTAATACATTTGATATTTCAATAAAGTCGCATTTGTTTTTAATTTATTAGGATGCATGCATAAAATTCAGTTGACAGTTAGTCATCTTTTTATTTAAGTTTGATTCCATAGCTATGCTTTGTCTAGTATTTGAAGCATGGTAAGTCTACATTCATCAAATATAAAGCATGCTGTAATATTTTTGATATCTTGATTGAAAGTACTAAGACATTTTCATTTTAAAAATATTAAATAATTAAATCTAAATTGGGTGTTATGTTTCCAAAGCATATTGATTACTGGGAATACAATGGGCTGACCTTTCCTATTCTCCCCTCAGCTTACTCAGAGGGAGGAAGTTTTTCATGTGCTAGTTTGTCTTTTTGAGAAGTCAATTGCAACCTGAGGCTTTCTTGCCTTGGATCTCCTGAGAAACATTATGAGACACAAGGCCTGTTTATTTCTTCCAAGCTTTTATTGTTCTGGCAGAGACTGCCCTTTTCCAGATGTCTATTTTATTTCTCAAGTTGTGGAAACTGTTTAAAGGTTAGCAGAATCAAAGATTTAAGTAGAATACATCCTTGGCATAGGGGACATGAAGGTCACTGTCACATTCCACAAAATGATTACAGTTTCCCATCAGACACTTTGTCAATCTGCCCCACTTGCTATCAGGAAAGTCAATATTTGCATTCTGTTGAATATGCATGACCACTAGTGTTTGAAGAAAGGGCTACTTGATATATGCACTTCTATGATTATCTTGTTTGCATTCACAAGAAATTATCTGAAAATCCTCTAATGATTCAAAGACTTGCTGTAAGGGGTTATTTCATTATTAGAATTAGTTGTACTGTAACTTTAAATTAGACTGACTTAGCATCTTATATTTCTTAATTTAAAATAAATCACCAGAAAAGGGAAAAATTAAAGTATGTGAGAAATAACTTCTTTGCTCATAAAACACTGGATTATATGCGTAAATACATTTTCAATTTTTATCATATTTCTGATTTATTTAATCTCTGAAGTGTATGCATTCAAGGATTTTATCTTCCCTGGGGGTTTCTGATATTTTAATCACATCCAACTAGCTTCAATTGAAAATTGTTTAATGTGGAAGTTTTTAACTGATTAAAAATTTCCTATCTTTACTTTGTACAGAAATTTCTTCTCTTTAAACTTTTAGCATCTCTTTGAGAAGTATTGACTAATACTGTAATTCTTTTACACGTATTCTCCTTTGCTGTAGTTGTCTTTCCTGTATGAACTTTTATTTAATGACCCATTTTCTGTTTTCAGTTATTCTGTTACCTTACATACAAACAAAGATGCTTTCATCACATTGCCTATCTGTGATTTTCCCATTTGAATCCTCATGTTTTGTGATTTCCAGGCTATGAAAACAAATAAATCTTGCTGAATACGATGGGACAAAAAAACTCCTGCACTTCTTCTAAATCCCATTTACCTTGCCAATTTTGCAAAATCAAAGAAAATGCTATAGTTTATCTAGTATTAGAGAGATCTTTCCTCTCCCATTACTTTTCTCTGTTTTTTTTTTAGTGGTTTTTTTAGTCCAATCATTTATTCTCTCACAATAAAATTTGTATTTTTTTTTGTATTTTCAATTAGAAATTTTAAACTGAAATAAAGTAAGTTTCTTTACCTCTCTGAGACTCACTTTCTAAGTCTGTAAAAGAAAGAAGTTGGACTAAGATAAAACCTAAGTTTTTTTTATTTGGTAGACTCTGTCTTAGTGGTCTCTTGAAGTCAAGTAAGATGGCAGATCTCTAACTCAGGTGACATTTTAGTTGAAGGTGTGCTCAGACATGGTGTTGTCCTGCATTCCTGCATTGAGAAACTTCAGCCTGCAAGTTAGCATTTGTTACAGTCATTCGGTAAAGAATGTTCCTCATGATTCTGGCTTCCACTTTTAGTTTGGTAAGGTCACTGGATTTCATTATATATATATTTCAATAAAATATATATATACTTTCATTATATACATTTATTATATATATTTCATTATATATTTTATTATATATTTCTTTATATATATTTCAATAAAGTATATATACTTTCATTATATATATTTCAATAAAGTAGCATTTGTTTTAAATTTATTTTTTATATATGTATGTATATATATATATATACATATATATATAAAGTGAGCTGTTAATTAGGAGTTATGAGCCCATGCTTGTAGTTGTAGTTGAAGAGTTTTTTCTCCTTCCCCGCCATTCTAAAATATCTTCCCTCACTTCTTTATTAACTATTTTTGAAAGCCCACTAAAAGAGATACATTTGTTTGAGTTATAGGAGTGTTTGTGCTGAAAACAAACAAATAAAAACAGCCACCAACAGAACAAAACTCTATAAGCCATAAGAAAGAAAGTCATCTTAAATAACAAAAAAAGAAAGGGAGCAGGATTCTTTTAAAATCTGATATCCTCCCCATGAAAGTAAGTGGATTAGGTTTGATAAGACAAAACTAGATGTCGAGAAAGGGTTAGATTGGGACAGGAAGGGGAAATGCAGGGAATGCGTGACTGTCTTGGAGCTACTATAGATTTAGGGGAAAGTATGGCTTTGGTTCAGAGTACAGTGAGAAAAGTATGAATATGACCAATAGGCCTCTCCTTCCACAGTGGTCAATTTCACAACTTCTAGTTTTGAATACCATACTTTTAGGATTTAGTTTTCAAGGTTTGTGATCAATCTGCGGTAGTTTTCCCTAAACCTCAAGTGCTAATTAAACCTAATCCTTGTCTTCAGCAGTTATCTGAGCAGGAATTCCTAATAGCAAGGATTAGAGCCATCAACGTCAAACATGGTGATCTGTGCCACCCGCTTTCCTAGCTTCTCTGACTCTAACACCTCCTGCCTCCTGCTTTTCAGAAAGCTGTTAATTCACAAGGTGAAAAAATTGGCCTCCACTCTCCATTCAGTTATCCTATTCTAGAAACTAATATTTAAATAATAATGTGCATATATTTGAACTAATTACAAAATCTCTCTTTCAAAATGCATTTAATCCATATACATATTCCTCTATTTTATTATTTATTTTTTGAGACAGAGTTTTGCTTTGTAGCCCAGGCTAGAGTGCAGTGGCACAATCTCGGCTCACTGCAACCTCTGGCCCCAGGGTTCAAGCGATTCTCCTGCCTCAGCCTCCTGAGTAAATGGGATTATAGGCACATGCCACCAGGCTCAACTATTTATTTTATATTTTTAGTAGAGACAGGGTTTCAGCATGTTGGTCAGGCTGGTCTTGAAGTCCTGACCTTAAATGATCCACCTGCCTCGGCCTCCCAAAGTGCTGGGATTACAGGCGTGAGCCACCGTGCCTGGCCTATATTTTATTTTTTAAAGAAATATATATTATTTGCTATATACCATGTTCTTCAGTGAGTACTGAAATTACAATTGTCAATTGTCAAGTGCCCCTTTCCCTACCCTCAAAACCATTACATTCTAAGAGAATGAGGTGTGCAGATATGACACTGTGATTTAATTACTTTAGGTGTAAGGGTCTGTGGGAACATAGGAGGAATATAGTCACATTTCCCATGGAAAATACCTCATTCCATGTATGTCTACATGGAATTTTTATATAGTGTATAAAAGCTTTATAAAAAGTGCAGCTTAAATAAATTGTGACAGTTACACATGATTATGTCAGGTAGTCAGGAAAAGTAGTTCCATAGAGGACTCCACATTTCAAGGAATGCAATCAAAACAATGCCTGTTTCATATGAATAAATACACACTATTCAAATTATTAGATATATGTGGAATGTAGGTATTTGAGTAATGATAAATATATATGTATGTAAATGTTCAACTTTCCCTTATGTAATTTTAATATTATTTAATTTATAAAAAGGAAAGTATAATGTGTCATCAAAAACTAAGTAGTAGTATGTGTTCACATATAAGTATATGGATATTTAAAGTATAAATATATATACAAAGTATATTAAAGTATAAGTATTCATATAAGTGCATGGATATTTAAATAGGCAAATTCAAAATTAAATTCCACTGTATGCATTGAGTTTGTCCTTATTTTAGTGAAACTTGGAGACATTGTATTTTTAAGAAACTTATCTTGTTCAAAAACAGATTTCTTTATGTCAAGATTTATGGTGAAACTATGTAATATTAATAGATGGAATAATTGGGTAAATCACAAATTTGTCTTATGAATAATATAAACTTTTCAAAAAAACTAGTTCTACTTCATATACAACTATGTGATGTGACATATAACAATATGATATAACTAACATATTTTAATAGAGTTTTTTATGAAGTTTCATGAAGAATGTTAATGTCCTCAATAGTGAGACTGAAGAATCTTACTTTTTTTAATTTTATAATGAGATATAAAACAACCAAATCAACCCTGATGGCATTTTGGCTTGCAAGTAATCTTGGGTAAATATAAGAATTACTCAGAGAGGTGAAATCCCACCTTCACTAAAAATATGAAAATTAGCTGGGCATGGTGGCACACGCCTGTAATCTCAACTACTCCGGAGGCTGAAGCACGAAAATTGCTTGAACCCAGGAGGCGGAGGTTGCAGTGAGCCATGATCACGCCACTGCACTCCAGCCTGGGCAACAGAATGAGACTATGTCTTAAAAAAAAAAAAAAAGTATTCAGATAATATGTTCGAGAGAGAGCAAGACATAAGACAAAGATATTCTAAAGCCCATTTCTAGAGATTTTGATTTAGTGGTTCTGACTAGGGCCAAGGAATCTGAATTTTAAAAAACTATTCTGATCATTTTGATATATAGCCAAATTTGTACCACTGCTATACTAGTAAAGACAGTACAAATATTTTTACCTTAATTTTAGATATTAAAATAAGCACACATTGATTATTGTTAACATCATTGTAATCTTTTGGAAATGACTGATGATTTGTAAGCTAAAGTAAATTAAAAATAATGGAACTCTACTGGGGAGGCTAAGGGGGAAAGACTGCTTGAGCCCAGGAGTTAGAGAGACTAGCCTGGGCAAGAAAGTGGAATCTAAGTTTCCAAAAAAGTAATAATAAATAATGAAACAGCATTATAGAAACCTGATCTTAAAGTGAATGGAATTATTTCTAATACATTTTTTATACCTTCTCGTCGAGATTTACTTGCACCAATTGGGAGAATAAAATAAATACATGTATAACATTCATGCAGTAGGTGCTGATAAAGTATATTTTTAACATGAATACAACATATATATAATTTATGTACAAAAATAAATTTAAAGCTACTGCAGAAAAACTTATAGCAAAAAAAGCAAAGATCTATAGCAGATAAACTTGAAAGCTAATCAATTTCTAATTGATTTCACTTTACACATTACTCTGTTAGAAAAAAATTATTAGTAATTTTGATAATGGAAATAAAAAAGTATAGAGAAACCCATATTTCAAATAGCATGACATGAAATATAAAATGAAAGTTAAAGCCACTTTGCAACCATTAGAATATTGTATTTTGTAATATTTTAACTTAATTATGAAAGTGTCAGGAGAAATATGTTTATCAGATTAAGTATTTAAAAGATTTAGGACTTAGATATTGTCTTCAATAAAAGTAAAAGATAATAGAAGAGAGAAATTTTGTATAAAATTTTTTTCAGGAAAGTTTTTTACCGATATTGTGTATTTCATGAAATCCTATGAGCAGACATGGAATATTTTTCAGGATCTAAAAATTCAACATAGAAATTCAACATTGGAAACCAAGAAGTATAATATCATGTTTATAGGACCCAAAATCATGTGAGTTTAATTTAATGTGAATCACATAATTTTGCACTCTTTGGTTTTAAGAAGTTTTATTTGCATGCCCTAAGGTTATTTTGGTGAGAGACATATTGAAAAACATGTATTCATAAGATATGTCTCTAATTTTTGATGTATAAATGAGTGTCCTGGTCTTTATTTTAATCCTTCCTTTGTCATTTTCATGAAATGCATGATCTTTAAAACTCTCTTAAGGGAAGACACGTATTTCATATTAATGATAAAATTGCAAGTATAAATCTCAAACCACAGACATAAGCTTTAAAAAATTATTCCTCTAATTTATACTTCAAAGTAACTCTTATATTGGGTTAGCAGGAAATACAAGTTGTTCTTGCTGTCTGCCAGCAGTCCGTATTTCTGCTTTCGTCCTTAGAGGAGTCTAAACTAACTACATAACTTGACTGGTTTACCTTTGTAAACAAAAGCTAGGAAGGGAAGAATATTACATGCAAATTTTGCTGTCTTGGCTGCCTCAAAAGTCCATTGGAACAAGTAGGCACAGCTTGCTACCTGCTTGAGTGGAAGTCATAAAAGACGGAAAGGAAACACTTCACACAGACACACCCCTGACTTGGCAGAAAATTATTCTATCACTTTCTAATGTACCACTTATAATTGATGTGAATGACATATGGTTTCCTTAGGAGTTCCTATTTCTTCATGCTGTAAAAACCTTCTCCATGGTGTTTTTTCTCCTGGTTTGTCAGTGCAATGCGTACAAAAACTGGAACTTTCCTCGATTTCTCTGATTAAATTATCACTTGCTCTAATGATAACTTCATTTTTTTGAAGATTTAAATAACAAAGTACAGCATGTGGGTTGGATTTGAATATGATAATATTGTAGAAGTTTCCAAAACCTAGGAGATGCATAGTATATTTTGATGGTCATTAAGTTCAATTGTATCAAGTGTCATGATATAACTAAGACATTGTAGGCATTATCAAAATCTTAACTTCGAAAGAATAATACATAGACCTAACAAGGAGTCCATGAATATTTTTAGTAAATCAATGAGTCAAAACACTGGTAGTTTCTTTTGTAACTTTTCTTAATTTATTATTGAACCATAGTCAAAAGGACATAATTGCTGTGCATATACATGAACACCATACTTGAATGTACATATGTTAAATCAAATATTCAAATATTATTCATGTATTCAAAACTACATAAGAGAGGAATTCTTTTATATGTATTAGATCATTTCTTGTTTTCCCCAAACAAGGAAATAGGTAACACAAGTGTGGCCAGGAATATATGAAGAAATTAGTAGAATTCAGCAAAAACACAAGAGTGGGAAAATATTTGTATTTCTAAGCATAACTTTGTTTCCCTTACCTGTAACTATATGTTTAAGAAAAATGTCACTTATACATAGAGAACCATTCTATTTTCTAATTGCTAAGTGCCTCTTTATCTTTACAACAGACATTTTTACAGGTTTGGTTTCAATTTCCTATGAATACTGTTGGCAAGAGGAGGGTCCACAGCAGTTCCTCAAAACAAGTCTTGACCCCAAATGAACAATCAGTGGGGAGTATCTCTTGTGCAGCTCATTCTCACAAGGTGACCTCCTAACACAGACCGTCATAACACAAACCAGGGCTCAACAAGTTGCTATTTCTGTTGTTATTTATGAAGCCATGGGTCATACTTGAAAATCATAGCCTAACCCTCAAGTAAGTTGCTGTAGCTCTAATTTGGTCTTTAGGACCCACTGGAGCCAGAAGCATAACAAATTGGGCTCTAAGATTTCATGAATCAAGGAGGAATAAGAATTAATGAACTAGATTTTTTGAGAATTTTATAATAAACTTTTCCCAAAATATTATCTCTTCCTAACAGAAGAGAACTTGGATTAATTTGAGGTAACTAAAGTTATTTTTATAAAAATCAATTATGTTAACCATTATTGTATAAATGTACAGTTTAAACATGTAAAGGTAGTATGCTAATTTTACGAGTTTATTTTAATGTCAGTATTTACAATACATACGCTGGAATAAATACTAAAATGGAAGAAATGTGCTTAAACACTAAAATATTAAATTGAAGGCAAAGTCCAAGAACCAAAAGGCAAAATCCAAACTTACATTTCAAAGTACATTTAAAAAGTACCTACATTTGCAAAGTATCTGAACTAGCCATGTGCTGTGTGTTGAGAATACAATCATATGTCATTATGGAAACACAAGAAAGTATAATGCCCTTATCACTAGGGTAAAAGAGGAAAATATGGGAGAAATATGGTCAATATACATGTCAATTTCAAAAGTACAAGTGGTGTTTTACACCAGTTACCGACACCTCCAGAATTAAGGTCATGAAATGGTGAAAATTTTACATTTCTGGTTGCAGCATATCAAAAAACACAGAGCTTTGCTAGATAATCCCTGGAAGTCTTTTCATTACTCTGCTTTCTTATTGGAAAGTTAGTATAAAATACATGATTATCATTATAATAGCAAAGCATTTTCTTTATCTTTTAATGGATCTAACTTCTGGTAGAGACCATGTGCTGTGCATGCTAGTGAATTTCAATTGAGAAAGCTAGGATTTTGTACCTGTGTTTCAGCAAGGAAGGAGCACATGAAATTTGGTTGTCTCATCAAATCTTTTCCTGTACTGACTTTTCAGCAATAGGTATCTTAGAACTATAAAGTGTTCCTTTGCATTTGGCAGACAAAAGAATGAAGGTTACATATATGCTGTTTTGCAAAAATTACTTGAAGAGTGGCTGGGCGCAGTGGCTCAGGCCTGTAATCCCAGCACTTTAGGAGGCCAAGGCAGGCAGATCATCTGAGGTCAGGAGTTTGAGACCAGCCTGGCCAATATGTGAAACCCCGTCTCTACTAAAAGTACAAAAATTAGCCGGGCGTGACCCCAGCTACTTAAGAGGCTGAGGCAGGAAAATTGCTTGAACCCGGAAGGTGGAGGTTGCAGTGTGCCGAGATCGCGCCATTGCACTACAGCCTGGGTGACAGAGTGAGACTCTGTCTCTAAAAAAAAAAAAAAAAAAAAAAAAAAAAAGTTACTTGAAGAAAGTACAACTGAGTTACATTTATTATTAAATTTCTTTTATGTTTCCCTATGTTTAGGAGAAGACACTGGTCTCTCTAGTAGATGAATTTTTACATCAAGTTAGAAGATAAAAATACTACTCACTTTCCCTTAATTTCTATATGATATAGACTACAAATGAGAGGCAAAAGACTAAATTGAGGATTATATGAATAAAACAAGGAAGAAAGAGAATATGAAAATGTAGAGAGAGAATTACAATAAGGAAAGAGAGACAACTAGGAAGGAAAAAAAAAGCAAACTGCTGTATTTATGAATAAGGGAAACAAAAGAACATGTGCCAGGGTGTCATACACAGAACTTGTCATTTGTTCTTTGGTCTTAAGCAGCTGCTACTTCTTTCTCAATTTTACTTTTCAAATCCTTCCGTCTCTTGATAATTTATGCAGTTCCATAAATTATCTTCTTTCCTTTCTTTCTTTCTCTTTCTTTCTTTCTTTCTTTCTTTCTTTTTTCTTTCTTCCTTCTTCCTTTCTTCTTTCTTCCTTTCTTCTTTCCTTTCCTTTTTCTCTCTCTCCTTCCTTGTCTCCTCCTCTCTTTCTTTTTCTTTCTTTCTTTATCTTTATCCTTCTTTTCTCTTTCTTTCTTTTCCTTTTCTCTCCTTCCTTCCTCTTTCTTTTTCTTTTTTCTTTCTTTCTTTCTCTCTTTCTCTTTTTCTCTTTCTTTCCTTCATTTTGTATTTTTATTTTTTTAATTTTTTGGTGGGAAATAATTCGAGAATTTTAGGTCTTTAGATAGAAGATACATAATGTTGAATTTGCATTGGAGGCATCTGTATTAAATCATTATATACATTCCTTAAATCTGTTCAGTCTGTCCCCCAATAAGACCAAGAAACAGTCACTCATTATGGAATTGAACATGCGTAGAACACATACCTTGGTTTTTAAGTACCAATCCCCACCAAAATATATCAGACATAATTGAAAGAATGGTTGATTCCAGGTTTGGGCAGCAATAGATATGTTGTTATCATAGAAAATAAATAAATACTGAGAGAAAAGTAACATCATGCCAAGGGAACATAATAACCAGTGTTATGGGTACCCCTTTGTACAATTTGATATTATTTACATTTCAAAAAGAATAATGATGGAAATATAGTGTAAGATATTGAATAAACTCAAGTATCACTCATAAAAATGAGGAAATGAAAGAGGGAGAGAAGACAGAGAGAGAGAGAGACAGAAAGGAAAGGGGGAGGAAGATTTTGTTTTTAAGACAAGCTAATAAATGGTAAGAGGACAATATCAGAAAATCATTATTTTGCAAACCACAAGATAATAACTGAATCAAGTAAATGTCAGTATATTTTATATTCCAGTCTTATACACTCTTATGTAGTGGCATATACAAAGCACATTTATTTTTCCCTCATATATCTGTGGGTAAACTGATATTGTGATTTACTCCAGGCTGCAAATTGTGTTCAAATCTATGCCACATGTTTCTGATTCTTCTTGAACCAGTGTATATCACATCAAGTCATATTCTTCTTATGGTGAAAGGAAAGAGTCCAAAAGAATAAGCCAATATGGGCTAGGACATTTCAAGCCTCTGACATCCCATAGACCAAAGTAAGCCACATAGCCAAGACCAGATTCAAGAAGCAGGGATAAATACTTCTCTCATGATTTAATGCATTAGCTTGATCTAATCTTTATAACAGTCTGATAATGTTTTGGACATTGGGATATTCACATTTAAATTACACCCTATGGATGAGGTATCTGGTTCAAAGACAAAAATAATGTGTTTATTCCATGAATAAATCTTGTAGTTACGGTTTAAACTAAGTGATAAAACTTAGAATAATCAGTGATTAAAAACCTGATGTTATGTGTCTCCTGATATGAGGCAATAATATCACTTCTATAGTAATCTTGCCCCAAAATAATTAACTTTAAATTTAATTATGAGATAACAATAGGCAAATCTAGACTGTAGAAAATTCTAGAAGACAAGTGGCTTTATAATCTCCAAAACACATACTGAAACACAAAGGGATTATACTACAGAAACTAGGGAGCCGTAATGGTGAAATTTAAAGTGTATTGTTAAATCAATATGAATTTTCTATAATGTTATAATAGTACTGTATGTAGAAGACCATCGTTATTCTTAGAAGATAAATGCTGAAATATTTAAGGGTAAAGTTCATGACGTCTGCAGCTTATTTTCAAATAAATTGATAAAATGTTAAATTTAAAACTATTCTTACGTTGTAAAATAATAAATAAAACAGCATGAGTGACGTATTTTTCATAAAAATAAAGCATATTAATCAGTTTAATGTAAATATTTAAACAACAAAAAAAAGTTATGTCTGAATAACCTTAAGTGCCCAGTAAAAGGGTTTTTTGTTTTGTTTTCTTTTGTTTTGTTTTTCCAATTGAAGTTATTTTAACATTTTAGAAAACATCAATACCTTATAATCAATTAGTTCACAAGATACATAAAGCACATATACATGTAAATATACATTTGGATATTTCATATTGTACTTTACTTAAATGGGACATAAATAATGTTAGGTCTAGAAAATTATTATGATTTGTGTATAAATAATAGGAACTCTTATAAGCCATTACTTTGGCTGTTATATACAAACTGCACTCTGCAGGCACAGTAAGTTGCATCTGGATGTTTACAATTTAAATGAAGGTGGAAAGGCCAATACTGTTAGTATCATTTTGATATTGTCAGTACAATGACATAAGTAAGAAATGGATTTTGCATCACTATGACAGTGTTAAGATAAATTGCAGATTTTATATGGTAATTTCTTGTGGTAATATAAACAGCTGCATAAGAATTATGAATTATCAGTCCCTGGATTGACATATAGATTAATATAGAATATTTCACCAATGGAACCTTTTGGTCAGTCCACTTCTGCTTTGGTGAATTGTGGCTGATTATAAAGGGATAGTGGGTTCACTTATAGTTGGATTTGAATTCCAATTTCTTGTTGCCAATCCCATGATGGGCTCAAAATAACTTGATAAAACAAATTATTTTTAGCCAAATTTTTAAAAAAATAATTTATTATTATTATTATTATTATTATTATTTTTTTTTTTTTTTTTTTTTTTTTTTTTGACACGGAGTCTCGCTGTGTCGCCCAGGCTGGAGTGCAGTGGCGTGATCTCGGCTCACTGCAAGCTCCGCCTTCCATGTACACGCCATTCTTCTGCCTCAGCCTCCCGAGTAGCTGGGACTACAGGTGCCCGCCACCAGGCCCGGCTAATTTTTTCTATTTTTTAGTAGAGACGGGGTTTCATCGTGTTAGGCAGGATGGTCTCGATCTGCTAACCTCATGACCCGCCTGCCTCGGCCTCCCAAAGTGCTGGGATTACAGGCGTGAGCCACTGAGCCCGGCCAATAATTGATTATTTTCAAATTGTGGTAAAATATGCGTAACATAAAATTAACCATTTAAATGAATTTTGAATGTAGGGTTCCAAAGTGTCACATATATTCATTTTTTGCTTTATAAAGTTTGTAGCCATGGTAGATGACATTTGCAGTTACCAACTTGCAGCAATTATAACATTTTGATCTATCATGTCCCATTTCTTCTCAGGCATTGTAATTTCTTCTCAAGGAATGTAATTTCTTCTCAGTTTTTAACAATAACATGTCATGAAATATTTGTACAATATCAGTGATTTTTCTTCCCATTACTTTTATAACTGTCCTTATCTGAATGGATAAAATGAAGATAGCCATTATAGTCACCATGGAAAACAGAAAAGATGCCGTGCAGTTCCAAACAAAATTGGTTTTCTTGATATCAACAAAGTTTCAATCATAGAAACTTAGTCTTGAGAGAATTTGTAATTCTCATTTATGTAGAATACTTTCCTTTTCTTTTCCATAGGTCCTGTGGGGTTGGCTGGGCTCCTAGACTTATAAAACCTAACTGCACCTGGCCAGGCGCGATGGCTCACGCCTGTAATCCCAGCACTTTGGGAGGCTGAGGCGGGTGGATCACGAGGTCAGGAGATCAGGACCATCCTGGCCAACAAGGTGAAACCCCGTCTCTACTAAAAATACAAAAAATTAGCCAGGCGTGGTGGCGGGCGCCTGTAGTCCCAGCTACTCGAGAGGCTGAGGCGGGAGAATGGCGTGAACACGGAAGGCGGAGCTTGCAGTGAGCCGAGATGGCACCACTGCACTCCAGCCTGGGCGACAGAGCAAGACTCCGACTCAGCAACAACAACAACAACAAAACCAACTTAACTGCACCTTAAAATCACCTGATAAATATTTAAAAACGACTAATGCCTGAGTCCCACACTGAGAAATTTTGATGATGATGAATTGGGAGAAAATATATCTTAATTTTCCTTTACCAGCCCGTATGCATATCTTGAATTAATCACTCTCAATACAAGGATCATCAAAGAGAGATCTTCATGATTTGATGTAGTGAAGAAAGTCAGATGTAGTAGCACTAATTCCCCATCTCTGTAATCTACTGCCTTTCTGCCAAAGGAAAGAAGGCTTACGCTCTTAAGTTTCCCACTTGAGATGAAACGTGAGTGGAGATGAAATGCTTGGAGGTAATCTTTTTTTTTTTTTTTTTTTTTTGAGGCGGAGTCTCGCTCTGTCACCCAGGCTGGAGTGCAGTGACGCGATCTCGGCTCACTGCAAGATCCGCCTGCCGAGTTCACGCGATTCTCCTGCCTCAGCCTCCCGAGTAGCTGGGACTACAGGCGCCCACCACCATGCCTGGCTAATTTTTTTTTGTATTTTTAGTAGAGACGGGGTTTCATGGTGTTAGCCAGGATGGTCTCGGTCTCCTGGCCTCGTGATCCGCCCGCCTCGGCCTCCCAAAGTGCTGGGATTACAGGCTTGAGCCACTGCGCCCAGCCTGCTTGGAGATAATCTTTTTTTTATTTATTTTTTATTTTATTTTATTTTATTTTATTTTATTTTATTTTATTTTATTTTTATTATACTTTAAGTTTTAGGGTACATGTGCACATTGTGCAGGTTAGTTACATATGTATACATGTGCCATGCTGGTGCGCTGCACCCACTAACTCCTCATCTAGCATTAAGTATATCTCCCAGTGCTATCCCTCCCCACTCCCCCCACCCCACCACAGTCCCCAGAGTGTGATATTCCCCTTCCTGTGTCCATGTGATCTCATTGTTCAATTCCCACCTATGAGTGAGAATATGCGGTGTTTGGTTTTTTGTTCTTGTGATAGTTTACTGAGAATGATGATTTCCAATTTCATCCATGTCCCTACAAAGGACATGAACTCATCATTTTTTATGGCTGCATAGTATTCCATGGTGTATATGTGCCACATTTTCTTAATCCAGTCTATCACTGTTGGACGTTTGGGTTGGTTCCAAGTCTTTACTATTGTGAATAATGCCGCAATAAACATATGTGTGCATGTGTCTTTATAGCAGCATGATTTATAGTCCTTTGGGTATATACCCAGTAATGGGATGGCTGGGTCAAATGGTATTTCTAGTTCTAGATCCCTGAGGAATCGCCACACTGACTTCCACAATGGTTGAACTAGTTTACAGTCCCACCAACAGTGTCAAAGTGTTCCTATTTCTCCACATCCTCTCCAGCCCCTGTTGTTTCCTGACTTTTTAATGATTGCCATTCTAACTGGTGTGAGATGGTATCTCATTGTGGTTTTGATTTGCATTTCTCTGATGGCCAGTGATGATGAGCATTTTTTCATGTGTTTTTTGGCTGCATAAATGTCTTCTTTTGAGAAGTGTCTGTTCATGTCCTTTGCCCACTTTTTGAAGGGGTTGTTTGTTTTTTTCTTGTAAATTTGTTTGATTTCATTGTAGATTTTGGCTATTAGCCCTTTGTCAGATGAGTAGGTTGCGAAAATTTTCTCCCATGTTGTAGGTTGCCTGTTCACTCTGATGGTAGTTTCTTTTGCTGTGCAGAAGCTCTTTAGTTTAATTAGATCCCATTTGTCAATTTTGGCTTTTGTTGCCATTGCTTTTGGTGTTTTGGACATGAAGTCCTTGCCCATGCCTATGTCCTGAATGGTAATGCCTAGGTTTTCTTCTAGGGTTTTTATGGTTTTAGGTCTAACGTTTAAATCTTTAATCCATCTTGAATTGATTTTTGTATAAGGTGTAAGGAAGGGATCCAGTTTCAGCTTTCTACATATGGCTAGCCAGTTTTCCCAGCACCATTTATTAAATAGGGAATCCTTTCCCCATTGCTTGTTTTTCTCAGGTTTGTCAAAGATCAGATAGTTGTAGATATGCGGCGTTATTTCTGAGGGCTCTGTTCTGTTCCATTGATCTATATCTCTGTTTTGGTACCAGTACCATGCTGTTTTGGTTACTGTAGCCTTGTAGTATAGTTTGAAGTCAGGTAGTGTGATGCCTCCAGCTTTGTTCTTTTGGCTTACTTGGCGATGCGGGCTCTTTTTTGGTTCCATGTGAACTTTAAAGTAGTTTTTTCCAATTCTGTGAAGAAAGTCATTGGTAGCTTTATGGGGATGGCATTGAATCTATAAATTACCTTGGGCAGTATGGCCATTTTCACGATATTGATTCTTCCTACCCATGAGCATGGAATATTCTTCCATTTGTTTGTATCCTCTTGTATTTCCTTGAGCAGTGGTTTGTAGTTCTCCTTGAAGAGGTCCTTCACATCCCTTGTAAGTTGGATTCCTAGGTATTGTATTCTCTTTGAAGCAATTGTGAATGGGAGTTCACTCATGATTTGGCTCTCTGTTTGTCTGTTGTTGGTGTATAAGAATGCTTGTGATTTTTGTACATTGATTTTGTATCCTGAGACTTTGCTGAAGTTCCTTATCAGCTTAAGGAGATTTTGGGCTGAGACAATGGGGTTTTCTAGATATACAATCATGTCGTCGGGAGATAATCTTTTAAGTGACTCTGACTTGGCCCCTACCTTTATTTGATTGCTCAATAGTAGAAGCTGGGTCTTATTACAGCACACAGAGTTAAGATTTTTCCACTCTCTTGTCATCAAAATTGACTGTCTCTTCAGTGATGTAACTTTCCTAACATCACCGCAAGTGGGAGAATTTCTCATGAGACTGAATTACATTTTGAACATTTTAAAAAACACTCTGTAACAGGCATAAAACTGTTTTTCATGCTTTAACTCATTTAATCTTTCTTATAATCTTATGGCATTATACATAAATACAGTTATTTAGGATTGTTTCTATTGCTAGCAAAGAATTAGTGCTAATGAAGAAACTGAAGCACAGTTTTGTTGATTTCAATTGTCCAATCATTTGAAATACTTAAGTATTCCATATAATAACTACCCTTAATGTTGTGCTTTCTGCAACTGAAATATGTATTACTTCTAGTTTCTCTTACACTTGTGATCAAAATATTTAACAGAATGGAGCTATCATAGAGCTCAGCAATATTTACAGACCTCACAGCTTCATTTGATGCTATTTAAATATACCTATGTCACCTTTCTTTGTTGGGTTAAATCTGTGCAATTAAAACTGTCATGCTATACCTTTCACTACGTAATACAGAAAAAAAAACATGAAACACTTCACCAAATACTGACTTCATCATCAAATAGTGATTTCATAAGTAATAAGGGAATCTGAAGAAAAACACTCCCTAAGGAGAATGATGGGAGACTGGAGAGTTAAAGGGCCATGCATGTAAGTTTTCTAGGCCATAGTAAAAAAATACCAATTCCTAAGAATCAATGAGAAGCCACTCAAGGAAATATTTTAAGCAGTGTATGCAGTTGAAAAATAGAGGCAGCGATATGATTATTTGCATTTTTTATAAACAAGTGTGTAAATTGTGGTGAATGTTTTAGATGGTTGTCAGAGGAGATGCTATTAAAACAGTAGTAGTCCATGTGAAAGTGATGGCACCCTATTTTCTATTTCTGGTAATAAATTACCACAAACTTAGATACTTAAAACACATTTATACATAACAGTTTCTGTGAATCAAAAGATGTGGCAAAGTTTAACTGGGCTCTTTGCTTTGGATCTCTCACATCCAAGGTGTTAATCATGGCTGTGGTTTTATCTGAAACTGCAACCGGCAAAGAAGGATCCACTTACTGGCTCAGTTGGTTATTGACAGAATTCGGTTTCCTGAGGGCTCTGGGGCCTGTTCCACTAGGGGCCTTGGTTCCTTGCTGGCTGTTGGCCAAAGGCATCCTCAGTTCCTTACCACATGGGTCACTCCATGCAGCAGCTCACAACATGGGAGCTTGCTCCAGCAAAGCAAGCAAGACAAAGTCTGCTAGAAGACAGATATCAGAATGTTATGGTGTCCTATTACCTTTTCTAAATTGCATTATTAAAGAATCATGTCGGGGCGGTGTGATGGCTCACGCTTGTAATCCCAGCACTTTAGGAGGCCGAGACATGTGGATCACCTGAGGTCAGGAGTTCGAGACCAGCCTGACCATCACAAAAAATACAAAAAATTAGCTGGGCGTGGTGGCAGACACCTGTAATCCCAGCTATTCGTGAGGCTGAGGCAGGAGAATCACTTGAATGGGGAAGCGGAGGTTGCATTGAGCCCAGATCCCACCACTGCACTCCAGCCTGGGAGACAAGAGCGAAACTCCCTCAAAAAAGAAAAAGAAGCACATCACAGTTTCTTCCCAAAATTAATCAGAGAAGTGGAGCAGTGGCCAGAAGGAATTATACAAGTGAGTGCATACCAGCAGGTAGCAATCATTAAAGACCATCTTAGTGTCTGTACACCACAGTAACTTTGACTTGGTATGGTTATTGGTGGTAGAAAGTTGGTGGACATTTGAGATAATTAGAAAGCATCATCAACTGGGAAACAGACTGGATGAGGTAAAAATGAGAGAATAATTTCAATACCCTACAATCAACTGGAGAAAAGATGTTAGTATTTACTAACATAAAATCATTATTTGTTTATACTATTGTTTGTTTGGATTTTGGGGATATATTGAAATTAATATGTCCACATAGTCTATAACTAGTGTCTTTTGCATTATGTCAGTTGATAGACCATGACTGATGTCCTTGTGTGCTGACATTTAAGCTCAGGAAATTTATAGTTTTTAAATAATTAACCCATATTACATATTTAAATATTTTACCCAGGAATGTTTAGGTAATTACAATTCATATTCCATGTTCCTGGTTACTCCTAGTAGTAATGCCTTATAATAGATCTACTTCTTCAGAAGGGAGAATTTCAAGTATGAGAATGTATTCTCTGGGATTGTTGGAGAGAGGAAACATGAATATAATTAATAGATGTGAATATAAGGAATTAATCTTATATTAGTCTAGAATTAAATGAAATGTGTTTGAATTTTTAAAACATCTTCTGGGAATACTTTACTATGGGATTTGTAACATAAATTTCTGATATTTTAAAGTAGAACCATATAAAAATTCTAATATATCAATGTTTGTGACATAATGAAAAGGGCAGTTTTATAGCGTTCAGTGTGATAACACGTTATCAGAGATGACTGACAATCTGCTATAAAAAGTTTAATTTGAGAACTCTCCTCCATTGATCTCATGAAATCTTCAATCTGTCATTTTATATGAATGAAATATACAAAAATAAGCATTGAATATTTACTATGGCTATTATGATATGGCAGTAACTGACATCTACATTAAGTAGGAAATCATTATTGTTTCCTAATAAAATAATTTATATACCCAGATGAAAAAGTAATTCCTTAATGATGAGCCCAGTCTCCTTTTATGTAGTTATATCACATAAAGAGAGTACACAAATGAAATAGAATACATACCAGGTATGAACTCTTAATTTCTTCATGATTCACTTAAAATTCATTGTTCAAATATAACTGATACAGTTACAATTGCTTAGAATACAAATAAATTTTCAATCATCTATTGAAAATTTTTTTTTGCAATTCAGAGACTATATTCTGAATATGTGTGTACTTTCCCATAGGGATTTTATTTCTAATCTTCTGTTTTTAATGGCCTTTTTCTTGAACAAGGATTACATTTTTATACCTTTTAGAAAACTTGGTGTAATAGTCTAACCTTAGAGAGTTTTTGTGCAGAATGGAAAATCTCTGTTTTCCACTGCACAGATGCCTTCTCCATAAGGCAGCATTTTACTTTTTTCTCTTAGTTCAATCTGGACAACCGATTCTTGAAATTTGTAAGTTAATTTTAAGTGAAGTAAGGCTTTTTAAAAATTTTATTACCCAGTAAGATGTAGTATGCCCTAATGACACTTCTCAGTATTGCATTTCAAAACATTACATATAGGTCACAAATCTGTATTCCTCCCCATAGCTCTTTTCATCCTAGACCTGAACTCTTACTGATATTCAGAATCAAAGTGTTTCCATATTGCAATGGGTCCCTTATAGTCCTGGAAAATATTATTACTGATATATCAAGATAAACTTGCTAAATATAGAATGAGTCCTGTGATTTTAAATCCTTAGCGTTTTAAAATCTGTCTCTACCTTTTCATTCCTACTTAAATGATCTTACCTCAGGTCCTCATTACCTTCATCTGGACTATTTTGATAGTGGAAACAAGGCTTTAATTTCACTCTTTTTTCCTGAAAGACACCTTCTACATTATTGTAAGTGTTCTTAAACAAATCAATCAAAACATTACATAATTTTCCTTAATGAGAAACTTAGTGACTCCCCATCAAATCCAGTTCGATTTTTTTAGCCCAGAACACAAGGGTCTGGTCCTCACCAACCTCTTTAGCTCATACCCTTTCACCCTCTGCATCGAATCCCACACACAGTAATACTAAAATAACTGCATTTTTCAAACATACACCATATTTTTTATCTTCTCAAATCCTCATTTCCTCTGCCTATATTATTATTATCATCCCTCATTTCTTATTTACCTTTTTAAATTCATTTT
The DNA here is from genome assembly GCF_000001405.40 of Homo sapiens. Taxonomy (NCBI): domain Eukaryota; kingdom Metazoa; phylum Chordata; class Mammalia; order Primates; family Hominidae; genus Homo; species Homo sapiens. The sequence goes on along the minus strand of NC_000004.12, from coordinate 161,969,811 downwards.
TTTAAAGATTGGGGTCACAAATTGGTTCCTCCAAAAAAAGGTTCTTATTCATCCTAACTTCTGTTTCTTCTATTTCCCTGCAGCATACCACAATACATCTATATTAGCAGGTTTGATCTTTCTCATTTGCACAGGAAATACGTGTGGATTATACAACTGGTTGCATTTCATATCCAGTGGAATACAGGATGAGTTCGTTTTTGTTTTAGTATTTTGAGATATATTTTGTATCACTGTATTTTTTTTCTTTGGAACTAACTTCCCAGACAGGTGGAAATGTGATAACTTGATTTTTTTTCCAAAACCAAATACCTAAATTGGTATTTTGATCTCTCTATCTTTTCTAACAAATTCTGCTATTTATTTTTGCACATCTAATTCTTTTACATGGTTCTATAGATAGATCGCTGCTCTCGCCTATATTGTCTTAATTTGCACTTTTTGTTTCCCAAAAATGTTGAAAATCAGATAAACCAGATAAAATATGTTATTTTCAACACTTGGGTGGATAAAATCACTTGAGAGATGTAGGGAAAGGAAATAGTAAAGTAATGGAGACAGTATGAATTAAACGTACTTGTCTATACTTAGTAGATCATATGACAGAAGAGATAAATCAACTAATAACTGTACTCTCTACCAAAACTAAATATGGAGTGCGTTTTTCTTTTTCACATCTAGGTAGGGTATATAATTCCAAAAAATAAAGCCCCTCCAACCTGTACAGTGGAATCCAGTCAATGCGGTAAAAACTTTCATGGCCAGGTCATCAGTTCATGGCCCTTGGAAATTTCTTTGAATAGGGACAAGGCCTTGGGCATGTGTGTGTGTGTGTGTGTGTGCTTATGTGAGTGTGTGTGTGTGTGTGTGTGTGTGTATGTCTGTGTCTTGGGTGGTAGTAGCAGACATAATAATCATCTTTGCTTCTTAAGGTCTTTTATGACAAGAGGTATTCTCCTGTCTTTTAATGTCCAAAAAGATGAATAAGTTGAGGCTAAAGTGACCATATTTGGCTCAATATAAACCAAATATTAACTTTGAATAATCAAGATGTTTGCGACAATCTTGACTGGCAATATGTGGTGTTACTTGTCACAACAGGTGTTCAAACATACATGGAATTATTGCTTGGCTAGGATACTGTTGAGGAGATTAAAATATATCAAAGGAATGGTTGTTTTAGAACATCTCTGGGATCCCTTCTAACCTCCAGGTTACCAAATTTTTAAAATATCTTCTTCCAAATGTCTAGTTTAAATATTAAATGGTGGAGTTCTGTCCTATTTTTCTTCTATGATAAAAATAACATTTTATATTTCTCCATATAAGAATGTGCTCTACTGCATATAAAAGTAATGCAGTTATTTGATTTATAAATCAAAACTGCTTTTCAACTCTGTGTGTTTTTATCTCTTTTATAGACATAGTTATCACAAAGATAAGGATGACTTTTTTTTTAAAGACATTGCATTTATATTGTCCATGTGTATTTAATTTTATTCACTTAACTAATAATGAAGACATATTTCTCTTTCAACCAATTTTGTTTTCTAACATTCTTCTGCCAAACACTGAATTTTGCATGTATTATATCATTCAGAACAAATTTCCTTGTATTTCACATTCAGAACAATATGTTTTACAGATGAGGAAATTGATGTGTGGCAAAATAAACTGATTACTAATAGTTGCAAAGTTAATAAGTGAAGGACCAGAGTATTTAACAAAGTCAGAAATACACCAAAGCTCTTCTTCTAAACAACTATAATCTATTTAAAATAAACAAATTAAAAAAAAAGAAAATACACAAGTATTTATTTTCTTTTTGAAATATCTTTAAGTGCAGAAGATGTTAAAGGCAAACTCCTGGGGGAAATTATCTAGTTTATTTTCAACACAAAATATTATCACTTTCAAGATTTGTTTGTAAGTTATATTGAGACATTTCTTTAATTATGATATTTGAGATTCCTCAGTCAGCATTTTAATCACTTTTATTAGCTTGAAAACATAAAATATGTGAACTTTTATTTTAAATAAATAATACAGAAAGCTCTTTAAACCTACTAATATCAATGATAAATGACTTTAGAAAGAAAAGCCAATTTATTCTACAGAAACTATCACTCCAAATTAATAGTTTCAGAGAATGTTTTTGTCTGCACCTAATTTTCAGAATACTTTCAATATAACAAAAAAGATAGGTTTTAGGTTATCTTTACATCATTTAACAAATCAACAACTTACAAAGTTATTTCATATTATTGAATATTTTTCTCTTTTCCTTAAATCTAGGCACTATCCTTTTTAAACTTTCCTCTTCATAAAGTTTTGTTTTGTTTTGCTTATTATTATTTTTTAATTTTCATCCTTTTTTACCTTTCTTTTCTTCTTTTAATTTTTTTCTATTTTTGTGGTTTTCTTTTGTATCTGTTTTTTGTTGAGTAAAATATTGGTTCTTTTGAAGGTTTAGGAAGATAGGCTGTTTTCTTGTTTCTTGCTCAATAAACCTTCCAGATGAGTCAAAGAAAATTTTGTAAAGTGGAGTTTCTCAACAATACTCAACAGGAATATGTCAAACCCTTCATCAGCTGTGCCTCTGGACAATTTTAAGATGATGTAACAAGGTGACTATCTCAGGTAAACTAAACTAAAATTAAAATTTTTATCAAATTGTGATATCTGAGTAACGTTGTAAAATTTTATTTTTATGAAACAGTTTTTTTTTTTTTGTGAAACAGAAATCCCATATCATTTAATTAGTTAACTTTATGGTGAGAGGTTTACCAGGCTCGTTATGTCTAAGTTGTGACTAAGTCCATCTTGCGTAAAATATGTTCACTGTAAAAGATTGAGGTTTTTTTTGTATTTAAAGCGAAGTTGGTCATTAATTCGAGTTAACTAAAGCATGATTTGAGAAAGATGGAATAGATATACCCAAGTAGAATCATGAGGGCAAGATTAAGGAAGTGTCTCCATGTTTGTTTGCTAGGGCTACCATAACAAAATACCAAAGATGAGGTGACTTAAACAACAGAAATTTGTTTCTCACAGTTCTGGATGTTTGAAGTCCAAGATGGACGTGTCAGCAGGGCTGGTTCCTTCTGAGGGCAGCGAGAGAAGGGTCTGTTTCAGACCTCTCTCCTTGCTTAACAGATGGCCATGTTTTCTCTGTGTCTTCACATCAGGATGATGTGCACATTATTTTTTATGTACATTATTGTGTTCAAATATATTCTCATAAGAACGCCAATCATATAGGATTAGCATCTATTCTAGACCTCAAAGTAACTTTATCATCTCTGTAAAGACCCTATCTCCAAATACAATCACCTTCTCAATCCTGGGGTTTTGTATACTTCACATTTGAGGAATGCAATTCAGCCAATAATAGGCTTTTTAATAGAAATTTCCTTAAGTGTCCATGAAAATGTCTCACAGAAGATTTCCTGAGTAATTCGTTTAGTGTTTTTTTAATAGTTAGCTGTACTAAGTAAGAATTTAGTGAAACTGAAAATAGACAGCTAGAAATCAACAAAATCAGGATGGGTGGTCTGCAATTGTAGAGTTCCAAGCCAAGCTTCAGTATGAACTGAAATTTAGGTTCCACAACCTCACTTACTTGCTCATGCCTTAGTAAGAAACTAACAATGAATTAAACAATATACATTGTTTTCTTACTATAACTCTGTGTTTCTTACCATACGACTTCATTGCAGCCAAGTTGTCTTTGTGGCAATAAGAAACTTGTATATATAAACAAACTCAGATATTCTCACACAAAATTAGAAATTTATACACATATTCATACATACTATGATGTACTAAGTCCCAGCTGTTTTAAATATCATCTATCTTACCTGGATAGTCAATAGTCCTTAAGTTTATAAGCTAAGTATGTAGGAACTTTATAAACCATGACAGATTACCCATACTCTACTGGTAAATGGTGAAAAGAGAAAAATTCCAAGGAATTTGGTTGAATTTCTAAAACACTTTACAATGGGACACTAACAGAAAATGACAATCCCTGCCGTCTTCTCACCAATTAAGTGCCTCAGCCCAGCACAGCATGAACAAGGGCCCAGTGAGCACTATGCCAGCAGTAAACAAGTTGTGATTTATCACTTTTTTATACATTTAAATATCCTGTCTAAGGATAACAGGAAGAAAATAAACCAAAATATGATAGCTTCCACTGTAGATTTGTAGGTCACAGTCCTTCCTGGTTCATTTCTACTAGACATGAAAACCCATGTGTTAAGTCAAATTCCATGAGCTCTTCCTGGAAACTCTCTGCCACCACATAGTTTACTAACACTAAATACTTAAATGAATAAATGATTACATCAAAAGTAAAAGATAGGAGACACAGATCAATTGTCACCCTTTCTCTAGTCCAGGCAAAAATTTCACTTACTTTTCCAAGGGGAAGACACCAAAACTCTTTGAGCCTGTCTTGGGCTTCTTCCAAAGTGGGGTTGCTGGATGATACATGTCCATAAGATGTAGAAGGGGTACAAACATTCTCTAGTCCTATTAATTTGGATAACTTGTAAAAGTGTCCAGAGAGTGGTCAGGTGCTGGAGATTTTGAAAAGAATTTTAAAACAGGTCATGGATATTGAAAGGAAGTTTAGGTCAAACATTGGAGATATAAAGGTATAATAAAACTTCAGTATTCACATGAATAAATATATGCTTTAGGAAAAATATTGAAAACAATTAATGTATGCTTACGAATTATCAGTTCCCTTTTAGCTGTAATGATGCTTTAGGGAAATCTTAATAGTTTTATATCAACTCTAGGTCCTTTCTTGATAATTAGGTAAGCATTATCTTGCTCTAGAATAAAGTAAAGTAATGGAATGATAAACCAACAATTAAGGAGAGTCTAATGTGTTATAAATAAATTATTATACTTTTCAAGAAGCTCAGGAAAAAGTAAATAAGGAATTGTGACCATATGTGTTGTAAAATTAGAAAATGTTTTATTCCAAAATGTAATGGTTACATATAGAAGCCAAAAATCATGTTTCATAAATTTCTGCTACTATCATGCTGCGTCCTAGAAGGCAAACACAGGAAACTATTAATATTTATAGACTAAGAATGAAGCAAACATTATAAATTAAATACGACCTGTTTTCATGAAAGAACACCATAAACCGACCAAAAATCTGATAGTTGATTTCCTATGGTAACAGAAAAAGAAAAGCCATGGTCTTTAAAATAGTTAACCTTTGATATTAAATCTCCCACTCCGCTATATTAAAAAAGCTTGAGATTTTCTGAAGTAAATAATAAGCAACTAATCCCTGTTATTTCTGCTAAAACTCTGTATTCTTCAACATAATGTAGCCTCATTGCACTATGTGATTTTGAAAGGAAAATTTTTAAGATTCTACATGGTAATTTGTAAACCATGTTTAAGGAGCTGCTGCACCGCTCTATGGAGTCTAATAGATAATTTGACAAATTGATTGTTAATTAAATAATCTAAAACCAGTATCATCGAGCTGAAGTGTGAAGATGTCATTTTCTGCTAGAGGTTAAATCTGAGTGGAAATTTTCCACCTCAGGCAGATGACTGCCAATCCAGAACATACTCTCAGAGACATTCTTAATATTACAATAAAAGCCACCTCAATTTAGTGTCTTTATTTATTATCCGTCATATTTCAGGATCACATCAGAATTCAGTAGAGGCTCAAATCATCACAAGTATGAATAGCTAGTATTTAGCATTCATAAAGCCTGAATAAATCTAGAGAAAAAAGGGTATTACTTAAAATTACTTTTTATTATATTATCTGAAATCCTTTGTTCCAGTAATTCAATTCTGTATATAACCTCAGAATTCATGGAGATATATTCCTAAATGTAAGTACTCTTATAAGATCACTATTACAATCAGTTTCTGAAGTATTTTCATAGATTCAGAAATTACTCAGATCACTTCTCAGTGTATTTTACAATTACACATGTATCAAGCATGAGCAGGAAAGATGCCTTCTTAATTTGTTTGGCACAGCATAGTGTCATATTTATACTTATCCAAGGCCATTAAGTGGTAATCATAAGTATGTACATTATGTTGAAAGCAGTAATAGTTGGGCAAACTTTTGTAAAAGAGAAATCTTTTATAACTCTTTGTACTGAATTGCATCAATTACTCAGAAAAGATCAGAGTTATTAAAAGTGAAGAGTACATAGAAGCATACAGGTTAAAGAAATCCCATATTTTTTGTTATGATTTTCTTTGTTTATATGAGTGTTCGGTCACGGTCTTGAGTCTCTTAAAATCTGAGATATATTAGAGGAAAATCACATTATCTGTGATACAGGAACCAAGGTTACTGTAGTATTTCAGTTGCAGCAACCATTATGCACAATAGATAACCTTGCAATTGAAGAAACTAGGTAAGAATGCTTTAATTGCTTTGATTTATATTTTTAAAACTTCAAAACCAACTTCTTAAAAATACTCATCTTGTAACTATATACAATATGTGAGGAATTTAAAAATATATTATTTTAATAAAGAACATTTCTGTGTCTTAAGAACAAGTCTACATAAACTTGCTAGAACAAAGAAATTATTTCATAGATATTTTGAATCAAATTACAAGAAAGTGAAAAAAAAGCAGTAACTGTTTTCCATGGTATTCTTATTTTGCCAGGTGTTTTGCATAGTATTTAACTTACATATTTTATTTAAATTTATAGCAAATCTGTGAGCTCTTGTATACTTCCTATATTAGTTGTAAGTTTGAGCTAAACAAAATACAGCTAGCAAGTGGCAAAGCTGGAATTCAAAGTTAGTTCTGACCCCAAAGCTTGTGCTTAGAGGTCTGGTTGGAAGAAAGGAAGAATGGATTCTGCTGTGAAAATCATGAATCTAGCATATGAAATTTTTATATTAATTTTCCTCATCTACAAAATGAATGTATTTAAATTAGTCCTTACAGTGTCTTCAGAAATAAAAGTTCTTTAGTTCTATGAACATGCCTGAAACTTCAATTAGTAATTATATAGTGGCTTAAAGAGTATTAAGAGCTAAGTTAATAAGCTTTCTCAGTGGCAAAATTATACTTAATTCATGGTGCCTGCCCTAAAGGAACTTAAAAGACAGGGCATCAACTTATGAAAATTAAATGACAGATCAACACTAAAGATAGTAATAGAAGATGCTATCATACAATGCCTATAATTCCATTTTCAAATGAGCAATGCGGGCTCATTAATACTCCGAGGAATTAAAAAAAAAAGAATCACAGATATATTAGCAGCAACTACAAAAAAAAATACTCTGAGGAAGTACTATTGTTCTCAAGTTCATAGCAAGGTATCAATTAGAGGGTTCCAGATGGTTACGATAGAAGAAAAGTGATTTGCAGATGTCACAACAAGAACCATCTTGGCTAAAGTAGCAAACAGAGATGATTTTCCAATTCGTATCAAAATAATTATACATTGAGAGCCATGCAAGTTTCTGAGACAAAATAATTGAAAAGGTAACCAGAACAATACTCTTATAGCACTGACAATCTTACTAATGTTTATATAAATAGTCAAAATGTAAATCTGGACCTTTCTTAATACTAACATATTAAATAATACTAGGAATAATTATTAAATGTGATAATAGAGTAGAAAAATACTTAATACTTTATTAGATTGTACTCATATTTAATATTCCTGCAAGTGCTTGGGAGTCAATTTTTATGAAATAAAAATTATTTTTAACAAATTATAATAGTTATACAACATTATGTGATATTAATATAGCTATAATAATATGGTCAACACATAATATATTTGCATATGTCAAAATAATTGATAGATAACTAATCTGCTTAAATTTACATAGATTTATCCATTTGAGTTCATAAAACACATTTCATAATTTCAATATCTTCTTTCTAATTGTTTGTTATCATAGCTTTTGGTCATGTAATACATATAAGGACATTGATACAATTCAAATCAACTCAAGTTGGTAGAAGTTAGAACATTTAAATGATTATTCAGGTATTAACTAGGATTTATAATTTTTAAAAATCTAACACCAAATTTTCAACTTCGGAGAAATTGATATTGTTCTTTTTTTTCTATGGAGAAATCTATTGCTAACAGTAAGTTTTTGGATTAAATGGAGAATGTCTAATTTTAAAGAATTCCAATTTATTATGAAGTGATGTTTAATATAAAGAAAGAATGCTCTTCAGAGCTCAATTATTTATATATCTATGCATATATATGTATATGTATATATATATATATATTTTTCTAGAGTAATGTGATGTATATAACATTATTTGATTACTAATTACTTCTTTGGGACCAAGTATACCAGTTCAGTTAGTCATAATGCAGTGATATTTAACATTTTAAGATAAACCGGGCATGGGGGTCCTTGCCTGCAATCCCAGCAACACAAGTGCCTGAGGTGGGAGGATCAGTAGAGACTAGACGTTGGAGACCAGCCTGGGCAACTTAGGGAGACATCGTCTCTACAAACACAAACAAACAAAACTTAGCAAGGTGCAGTGGGCACACCTGTGGTCCCAGCTACTAGGGAGACTGGAGTGAGAGGATCAGTTGAGCCCCATAGTTCAAGGGTACAGAGACAGTGTCATTGCACTCCAGTGTGGGTGACAGAGAAGCCCTCATCTCTTTAAAAAGAAAGAAAGAAAGATATAATCGAAGTTATCTATTCTCAAATTTGCTCTTCTTTTGAGAATAAATATCTAAATAAAACAAATTTAAAGCATATTTAATTAAAATAGTATAAATTAAATTTCTTAAATGGTTATATTTAATGAGATATATATTTAGGATGAGAATTTAAATTTTAAAGTTTTCATATTCACTTACAAAGGAACTCATTGCATTTCCTGATTTATTTTCGTTATGGCTCTTGACTCTTCTAAATCCTGACTTGTTAGTTTATTTTTCCTATTTCTATCTGATCCTTTTGAGGTAATTATTATTTTAAAGTGTCTTCTTTGGGTCTCCTTACTATTTTAATGCTATCAGACTTGTATTGGTGGAAAACAGCTTAAAAGTTTTCACTTCTGTTATGAAATAAATAGTAAGTATTGACATAAGTAAATCAAAACTATAGTTAAGAAATTTGAAATAAATTATTGTAAAACAATAATGAAATATATCAAATTTAACATAAGTTGTTTTTAGCCAGTTATATAATATAAATGTTTCTACATAACAAGCAAACATATTGCATATCAACTAGACACATCTTAGTACTCTATAATTTGGTAAGATTTATGCATATAATTTCATTGGTTACAATTATATTAAAATGGCCAGGCGTGGTGGCTCACACCTGTAATCCCAGCACCCAGCACTTTGGGAGGCCAAGGCAGGCAGATCATCTGAGGTCAGGAGTTTGAGACCAGCCTGACCAACATGGTGAAGCCTCATCTCTACTAAAAATATATTTAAAAAAAAAATTAGCTGGGCATGGTGCCACATGCCTATAATCCTAGCTACTTGGAAGACTGAGGCAGGAGAATCTCTTGAACCTGGGAGGTGGAGGTTGCAGTGAGTCGAGATTGTGCCATTGTACTCCAGCCTGGGCAACAAGAGCGAAACTCCATCTCAAAAAAAAAAAAAAAAAAAAATTACATTAAAATTCTGGTTTTCTTAATCTGTTTATTGATTTTCAGCATAGGAATAAATATTGAAAAAGCAAACAAGCTAATTAAACAGTTAAGTTCTGAACTTATTTTTATTTAATAACATTGTATAGATAATAAGCATGTATCTACCTTATTTTGCTCGAATTGGTGTTTCAACATGATTTTAGTTTGAGGTCTGAAAATGCTTTGAAATACTTGCTATGTCTTGACAGGAATAGGAGAAGCCAGAATTGGTCTTTTGTGCAAACTGCTCCCAGAATGTAAATTTGAAGCATAGTTCATTCTTCTAGACAACCAAGACACCACTTAGTAAATTACTGTTTGTATTAAAGGCTAATTCAATAGCACACCTCTGAATTAGCTTTCTCAGATGTCCAATTCTCACCCAATAAATTGTAAAGCACAGAACTCTAGAGAGCAGAAACATTATTAACACAACAATGTCTAAAAAAATCTGCATACCAAGAAACATCTCTAGTCTAAATATATAATACTTCTCACACATACGTTACTTTTCATTCATGTAGTTTAAAATTGCTTATATTATTAAAATATATTAATTTAAAAGCATGACTAAATGTCCTGCTATCATTACCATTATCTCAATTAGCTGTTATTAGAACTTCTGTTATGTAAGAGCTCTACAGTTTTAACATGAAAATGTAGTCATTATACATTAATTCATTAGAAACTATTTACCTAAAGCATATGTAACTATCTGAGGTAACAAATTACGCTGAGTGATGTTAGCTGTAAGACTTTATTTTGGTACTATAAAATAAAAAATAACATCCTAAAATTAGCATGTTATACCTATGTTAAGACATGGGAAATATGTATCTTAAATCAATAAAATAAATATATGTCTTTGAAAGTTATAAAATTTTGCTCATCGTAACACAATAAATGTTCTTGTCACCTTTTATGTAATAATGATTTTACAATAAGAAAATGTCAAACTCTATTAAACATGGAATATATTCTTTCTCCTAACCAAAACAACTAAAATGTCAGGATAAGGTACTTAAAACATATGTTAAGACATCAGGTATCAAGGAACAATGGACAGTGATCCCTAAGAAACATGCAATCATCAATATGAGACCTATGCTTGCCCCAGGTCATTGACGGGGAAATTTCAGACTATAACATAAGAAGAAGAATCCTAGAAAGAGCACAACAGTCTCCCTGAATTGAAGAGATAGAACTGAGAATCTAGGAAGGCTAAGGCTGCAGTTCAAAGGACAAAATACTGGAAAGGAGAGTACTACACAGCAAAAAATACCAGACAACTACAGAAATTATTTCTCAAGTCTTCAGCTGAGTCTTCAATGGCTTCAAAGTTAGCAATCTTTTCCTCTGCAGGATTTGATCTACTGTCAACCCCTCCATTGCACTGCGCAGCATAAGCATGTGAGAAAATTATCAGTGGTGGGAGAAAAAAGATCAGTGAGAACAGTCCCTGGAGCTCACATAGGGTTAGGAATGCTTTTTCCAGCATCCGGCATAGAATACTTCATAATTCAAGAAGCAAAAGATTGGAGAGAGTACCCAAGAGGGTCTTGCCTCATTAGTGGGCCAAATTTCACATTGTTCTTGTTCCCATCAATAAAACTTAAAAAGTAATAAACAAAGAGACCAAATTGTGTCTATGCAACTTAATTTCATTCCAGAAAATGCCCTCAATAATATTTATAGAAGTACACAAATATGGAATACCTAAGAAAGTAAAACTTTCAATTCATTCTATCAAATCAAAATTCAGCAGACATGGAAAGAATCAGGAAAGTATACCACACAACGCAAAGAAATATCAGTAGTTACAATGAACATAGACATGACAGCAATGATAGAATTAGTAGATATGGACATTAAAGAAATATTATAACTTATTTTACATGTTTAAGAAACTACAGAAAGAATTTAATATATTAATTAGAAATATAGAAGATATAACTAAAACCGCAAATGAACTTCTGCCACTGAAAACCACAACGTCTGATAGGATAGATACAGTGGAAGAATAAACAGCAGATCAGACACTGTAGAAGAAAAAATTGGTAACATTGAAGACATGCTAATAGAAACTATCTAAAATAAAGCAAGGATAAAGATAGTGAAAAAAATAGTATCAGTGAGTTGTGGGACAACTTCAAGCAGCTAATATATATGTAATAGGAACCTTGGAAATTGAAGTTAAGGTGGACAGCAAAAATTATTTTTTAAATTTGAAAACACTATAAATCAGCATGTCCATGAAACTCAACCATCCCCCAAAGCAAGAAAAATCAAGATAGCTTTATATGGATCTCAACAACTACACTTTAAATTGTAACTTTACCATTTTTAAAAGGCTGCAAAAGCTTTAAATTGTATACTTTAAGTATGTGTAGTTAGGTATGTCAATTATGCCCAAATAAAGCTAATAAAATTAAAACAAAAAGAAGAATGAGGATTCTGCATAATGTTTATCTTAAATACGATATTTAATGGAAAAGGACTCGGTCTGGCTGGTCTAGGATGGCTCTGGCTCTTTCTGCATGTCTGCCTCCCCCCTTCAGCAAGCTGTTGTGGGCATATTTCCATTTATTAAGAAGCAAGAGTAGCAGGAGAACAAGAATTTTTAAAGTTTCTTCTTCTACCCTGATTTCTGACATTCTATTAGCTACAGAAAATAACAGATGAAAGACAACACCCCACTTCCCAGGAGAGAAGCAAAGAAAAGAATGAATAAAACATATTACCTACTTATTTTGTGACTGACATAAGAATATAATTATTATAACTGTGATTTATAAAATGAGAGAATAATAAAGGTTTGTGTAGGAGTCTAATATTTAATTTACATTAACTCAAAAGTTAGGGTGCTATAATTTTGAATTGGTATGTACTTTTATGTAGAATATATAAATTATATTTGCCCAAATAACTAAACATTGAAAAAAAATCACTCTATCTAACCATTAAATCCCAACCATGTATTTTCAGGGTTTTAAATAAATGCTGTCATTTTATAGCCCAAGGATCTTTATATCTTTGCACATTGGTGTATAAAAATTAATTTATTTTTGTTAGCATCTGCATATTTTACCTAACTACTCACTTTTCCATAGTTTTCAGTATTAAAAACCATACTGCAATAAATAGCCTATACTATGCTAATGTAGCTGAACTATTTTTTCTTTCAATAGGTTTTTTAAAAGTATGCTTATAAATTTTATGTATGTAAAATTTTGCAAGGTAGTACCACATCACTATATTAAAGAATACCAACTTAAATGAGCATTATCAATATCAGAGATATTTTAAATAAATATATTTTCTTCAACAGTTACTGTTAAAACTTTTGAAGTTTTAGCTAATCTGTTAGGTCAAACATCAGTTTGCATTATTTCGTATATATTTTTAATAGAGAGTTTCAGCTTTTTTTACATTAACCCGTGTCTCTTCCTCTATCAAGTATTTTCCCAGAGACATTTGCATCATTTTCCCCAAGTTATATGCTGTCATTTGTTTGTAAAAATCATTTATATACTGTTTTAGGTCAGTGCAAAAGTAATTGTGGTTTTTGCCTTTACCAACCTAATAGATACTAATCTTTTGTGTCTTTAGTGTGTTGCAAATATTTTCTGTTTCTGCAATTTTTGAAGTACAGAAATAACAAAATTATTTGTAGTCAAATCTCTCAGTATTGTTCTTTTTAATTGTGAGGCTTTGGATAAGACTTTCATACCTTTACAAAATTTGCTTTTTAGTATTTTTATATAATAGGTGCAAAGCCATTTTATGTGTCATACGTGCATTTTTCTGTAACTTATTTGTATATATTTTCTTTTATTTATTCTTATTCTTAATTGGGCAATCTCTTTACTTACATTTTTAAAGAACTAAACTTGGTTGTAATAATTCTGTTTACTTTTGAAATTCATTTATTGCTATTTCAGCACTTATCCCTTCCTTAGTTCTACTGTATTTATTTGGCAACTTGTAGTAGAAATCCTGCACAGGTTTAAAGAAAAAATAGATTTTTAATTTGATTTTTTCATCATAACAAGCAAATTGGGTAACTGGTACAACAGCTTCACTATGACAATCAATATCCTATGCCCTTAATTTCTTTCTCTGCCATCAGTAGCATGTGATTCTCATTCTTACAATCTCAGGACTATTGCATGTTTAGGCATGTCTCAGTGTTCCGAGAGTGTAGAAGGGTAGAGAACAAGTGTCAAAAAAGCAAAAATTAAACAACAAAAAAAAACCACCTCTCTCCTTGAAAAAATGTTCTCTTCTATTTTATTGGTTAAAACGTCTAATTGTCTCATTTTTACATTAGTTATTATTAATTAAACCCATGTCACATGGTCATTGAAACTGCAAGAGTTACAGATGCTGAATATACTAGGCTAGACTCACTTGCGCATTCCAAAGGAAGGTTCTGTTTGCAAAGAACAGGACAATACTTTTTAACTAGGCTGCTAGTCATGTATCATACTACTATTACATTTTGATGTATTTTGTTGCTTAGTTTTTGATTTGTTATGCTAAATGCTAAGGTTAATATATTTTAAGAGTTCTGCTTAGTATTGAAACATATGAGGAGATGATAAACATTTTTTCTTCTGTTGAGTTTCTGCATCTATAATTATTGGATATACTGATACTGCTTTGGACTGATTTCTCAAACATTCTTATTTTAGTTTTTATTTTTATTTAGCACAAGATTTACTTAAAACATTTTTTTTTGTTCACATTATACACTTTGGAGTTATTCTTTTGTTATTTATTTGCTTTTTTGTTACCTTAAGGTCAAAGAATGTGGTATGGAAGAGTACTATTCTCTGGCTTCATTGAGATTTCCTCTGTGTTTAGGTACATAATCTCTTTTTGTTACTGTTTCTTAAAGAGAAAAGAAGGATGTCCATTATCTGTAGGGGACATTGTTTTTCCCTCAGTTACTCTGTCTCTATCTATACAAGTATAGAAATAAATATTACCTATAGAAAATTATACATTTCATAATTTTTCTCATAAATTATATAACTTAAGTCATTTTTATATCAACATGGCACAAAAGTCTTATAAGAGTAAAATCTGCGGGTACAATTTATTGTTTTAAATGTTTGCATTTCTCAGTAAATTTCCCTCATGCATTTTACTGTGTTTTTCAATGCAGAAACATGTTGTCATTATTACTTTATTGTATATTACAACTTTTATCATTGAATTTTGCTTGTTTTCCCATTTAGTATCTGGTCTTAAATTCCACATTATTTTTCACATTATCTGAATTTATTATGACCATCTTCAATTTAGTTCATTATATGATTATTTATTTTTAATTTGCTAAAGACATTTGAAACACATTTTAATGTTCTGTGTTTAGTGATTTTGGTTCTGACAGATGCATGCAATGTGTTTGGTATAGGTGAATAAAAATGTGATAAAAGAAGGAAGGAACAAAGGACAAACTTGCCTTACTGGAATATGAAACCAAGTGTAGCATGATGATAGATGATAGACAGATAGGTGATAGATGGATATATACACATGTAAATACATACATACAGACATACATACTTAGAATGTAAAGATATATTTTACAAACATACACACATGCACACATACTTTACAGGTATATCCCGATATGCAATGGGTGGTCTGAAGGGATGAAGAGAAATAAACATCTACAGGCACTAATTTCCAACTAGTTCATAAAATTATCTGTGCTAATTATATATAGCAAAATACTGGAGGCATTTTTGTCCATAATTTTTTGTGGAAATTTTGAAATGGCCTCTTAAAAACATTTTAATAGCTTTACATGTATTTTGATTCATAGGGTGTGAATATCTTTACTCTCATTTGAAAAAGTTATTTGCTAACATTAAGAAAAATGCCACTTGTTTTTCACTTTTCAGAATTTGAGATGACACTCTAATTATTAATGTATATTGTGGATCTGTCCCTTAGTGATTTAAATCCTTTAAAAAATTGGATACATCTTCATTTTTTTGTTTTAAATGTTATTCTAGGGTTTATCTATAATAATAGCTGGATTTTGTAGTATATTGCAATATTTGGCAACATTATCCTCTAACACATAATACTTTGTTGAATAATGAATGCTTATTCTGTGGTCCATTTAGCATATAATATCTCAGTATATTATGTTGTGTAGTCAATCAAAAATTGTTTCATTTGCATTTGTGTCTTTACACAATGGATATAAATTACTCTTTGGCAAAACCAATTTCAAATTTAAATGCATTTTTTGGAAGCTGTTACCAGAATTTACCAAGTTATCTAACTTATAATTATACAGAAACATTTGAAAGTCATTGAAAAGAAAATTCTCCGTGGGATAATTGCAGGGTCTGAGATACACAAACTGAAGCTATTTTGTGCTTTTTGTTCCCTCTGGGTTTAAAATATTTGTTCTCATTGAAAAAAATATGTGCTTGCTAATTCTATGGCTAACTAAAATTGTGTAATCTTATTTAAAATAATATAAAATGATTATTTGCCTTTACCAAGGCAAAGATAGCTTATCTACTTAAAAGAAGTATGCAAATTCTATGAAATGTGTGACTAATCAGTGAAATGAGTTTATATTTGGTTGCATACAACCTATAAAGTAGCAATCTCTATTATGTATCTTCTATATGCATGAAACAAATATCTTGCGCATAAAGCAAGTTGTCCTATATTTTATAGTATTTTTTTCCAGGTTATTTAACCATAACTCATTACAACTTAATGGAATATGTGATTAAAATTAAAAGTATACATTTAAAAGTTTTATAATATTTATAATATTTTATAGTTATCTAGTCTTACTAAGTTTTACATGGGCTAATTGTAAAGTTAAGCAAACATTCAGTACTATTCTTGAAGTTGTGTATGTGACTTGAATTCACAGACTTGTATAGTATATTGCAGAATACAAATCTTATAATACAGAGAGCAAACAGACATATTTTAAAAATATGCTCTGAAGGACCTACTTAGATTGCCTGAGATAACTGCTAAGGGGAGAAAAAGAACTAAAATAATCCTTTGATCCAGCCATCTATCTTCAGGGCCTTCAGGAACATAAATGTCTAAAACATTTCTAAGAATTGTGTCTTGTCTTCATGAAGATAAGGAACCAAGCCTTGAGCCAGTAGTAAATGATCATATAATTTAATGTATGCTTAGTTCTCTACACACCCATCATATTTTTGTAACTTCTGAATGTTTGTAATGATAAATTTTATGTTTTTAAGAATAAAATGATATTTCTTAAAGTTATGACTATAATGACTAAAGTTGAGTTACATAATGATAATTTCAGAAGCAATTAATGGTGAGATTTCACTTACCTGGCCAGATAGAAATTAAAAGGTCTCAATTAATACCCGAATCATTATTTTATTCTCCAGTCTAGCACCATGCTTTGGCATCCTTTATCTATTTGTTAAATTAAAAATGCATTTAATTAATGTATTGAATTTAAATATTAAGGTAAAACACTAACCATGTTTATTTTCAAAGCCAGGTGGCGTGCCTTCACTACATAACAATTTTATGAATCCAAATAAGACATGATTTCTTACACTTTTTAACAAGCTATCTGATACCTAAATTAAAGCTTAACTAGAAATTTCAGACATATTTTGAAGCTTTGGCTAAAGGTACCATGCAGTATTATTTTTCCTACTATTATATGATGAGTTAAACTATTTTCTGCTGAACTCAAATTAGTCTATAATGATTACCTGAAAACCACTGCATCATATTCCACCTTCTTTATTTCCCCTGTCCTGATTTTTATCTTCTCTCTCACTTTTCATCCCTAGTTCCCTTGAGGCATATTTTTCCAATAAGGTAAAAAATAGAGCTATCGATTGTGGCTGACAAGTGTCAAAAGTTTTTTCTATCAAAAAGAGAGAGAAGAGAGCAGCTGATAGTCTGATCAAAGCTGGTGAGACAGATGGTGTCACATTTTAAAGAAAGATCCATTATTTGACTTCTTATAACCCTTAAACTCCCTTATTTATTTGTCAAGTTATATTTCTGGAAAGCTTTCTTCTTTCAGAGATTATTTTTAATCATATTATATCAAGATACTTATATTTTCATTACCATCACTGAGTAAAGACACAATACCTAGAAGAATATTTCAAGTGAGTTAAGGAATCAATGAATTTGTTTATAGTACATCTAAATCTTTCTCGTAAAATGTGAAGCTATTTTTATCTATATACTTGAGAATTATGCTAAGATATTCATACAAAAATTTGTTCATATAATGATATAATAATATATGGAAATTCATATGTACAAAGTAGGTAACTTTAAAATCTCAAAGTACATTTCAACAATTTTGCAGCAAACTATCATACAAAGCTTTTTAGTCAAAAGTAATAGATCTTAATACATTGTGATATTTGACATTTAAAATTTAGTTATACAATTATGTATAATATGTGTAATTTCTCAAATAATTTAAATATTAATAACTAGGTTAATTTCAAAGCTATCTCTTTAGTTCAGGATTAGTTAGTACACATGTAGTATCAAGCATTACATACTTCTGCTTCTAAGATGTAGAACGTTGCAAATAATAGTACTTTTTACTCTAATAATGATAAAAAGACAGAGAAGTGACTATATCATTGTTAAGAAAACCCAGCAGAGGTTTGGGGATGTAAATCACCTTAATGAACTAAAATCTCAAAGAGACAAACATTTTTTAGTAGAGAAGAGATTTCTGACTGCTTTTAATCCTGGTGGAATACTTGAAGGAGGAGAAATTCACCAGAGAATAGGGTTAAGAGAAATGAGTTAAAATAGAAGCAGTAGTAGTAGTGTATTAGTCTGTTCTTACACGCTAATAAAGACATACCCAAGACTGGGTAATTTATCAAGAAAAAGAGGTTTAATGGACTCAAAGTTCCACATGGCTGGGGAGGCCTCACAATCATGGTGGAAGATGAAGGAAGAGCAAAGGCACATCTTATATGGCAGCAGGCAAGAGAGCATGTGCAGAGGAACTCCCCTTTATAAAACCATCAGATGTCATGAGACTTATTCGCTGTCATGAGAACAGCACGGAAAACACTGGCGCCGTGATTCAATTACCTCCCACTGGGTCCCTTCCACAACATGTGGGAATTACGGGAGCTACAATTCAAGATGAGATTTGGGTGGGGACACAGCCAAACCATATCAAGTAGTAATAATAATAATAACATCAATAATAATAATAATGGCCAAGTATTTTCTGGCATGATTGTTTAGAATCCTGAAGGGCCCCCATCTCCAAGCAGATGTGTATCTACCTGACAACTCTTTCCAAATTCTTCACTGAATAACCTGGGCTGTAGCCAGCAGGCCAAAAGACAGAGTAGAAGAGGATAAAGAGAGCTTCCTTGAGGCACTTAGAGCCCATTGTAGGCTGAGAACAGGTCAGGATATTTGAGAGGAACCAAACTGAGGCATTCTGTGCCTTCAGTAAGCTGTGGTTTCAGAACACTGAAGAGAGAGCAGAACTCATGCGAGGTAAACTTCCTGATCCCTAGGAAACAGGAGGCCTGACTGCTACAGGCTGTGCCACAGCAGATGAACTGGGAAAGATGCCTGGAGGCACCTGGTACTTTCCAGAGTATGAAGCACTGCAGCGCCAAGGATATGGGCGGATGGGAAGGTCGAGAGGAATTTTCCTAAGTCTTTTTAAGGTTTCATTGAATCTTG
Source organism: Homo sapiens (assembly GCF_000001405.40). Lineage (NCBI taxonomy): Eukaryota > Metazoa > Chordata > Mammalia > Primates > Hominidae > Homo > Homo sapiens. The sequence continues at coordinate 161,950,409 of NC_000004.12, read as the reverse complement.
AACTGCAGTCCTTCAAAGGCATAATTGCTCAGGACAGCAGAACAGAAAAAGAAAGCACCTAAATGCCATCAATTGAGGAATAAGAGTGGACAGCAAATAGAATTCCTCAGGAATTAAAATAGGTAAGAGTTAAGTCTCCCATGTTAAAACATTCTAAAGAATGTTGGCAGCTGTGCTGTAAAGCAAAAAGAAATTCTTTGAGTAACCTTAGTACTAAGATCCCAGGTCCTGCTGAAGAGAATGTGCCTCATCAGCACTGAATTCATTCTAACTGAATCAGTAGTCCAGCTCAGAACTATTTCAAAACAGATGTATTGACTCAGAAATTCACATTATTGCCCCAAAAGAAGAATGAGTGTGCCATCACTGAAGATATTATTTATCTTATTAATTTTTAAAAATTTTGAGACATACAAATGAGTCATAAACTGTAACTAATCATCAAGAGACAAAACAATTAATAGAAGCAAATGTAGAAATATCTTAGATTTACCAGATGGAGAATTTTAAATATTTGTAAAAAATATGTTAAAAGATGTAGTAGAAATGAAACAACTTGAGTGGGCAGATGAGGAATTAAAGCAGAGAATTCCAATTATTTTTTAAAAATCCAAATGTAAATGTTAATTTAAAAAAAAAAACTTTTAGCTTGGACTTATCAGAAACATGAACACAAGAGAGAAAAGAATCCCTGAAATTAAATACTGATAAATAAAAATGATGCAAACAAACATATAGAAAAAATATAATAATTACTATAAACAATACGTTTGAAATCTGCAGAACAATAAGAAATGTTCTACCATATGTAAACTGAAGTTCAAAAAGGAGGAAAGAAAGGGGTTGGACCAGAAAAAAATTGAAGACATAATTGCCAAGATTTTTAAAATCTGGTAAAATGCAGTAAACCATTGAATCAAGAAGTTCAGAAAACCCTATACAGAAGAAAATAAAAAAGAAAGCCACACTTAGGTATGTTAAAGTAAAACTAAAGAAAATCAAAGATAAAGAGAAGATTTTTTAAAAGCGTATGGTAGACTTAATAGTAGCTCCCCAAAGATGTTTCTGTCCGAATTCTTACATGACTGAAGGAACTTTGCAGATGTGATTGAGTGAAGGATATGGAAATGGGGAGATTATTCTGGATTATCCAAGTGGGCCCGATGTAATTACAAAGGCCCTTATAAGGGAAAGAGGGAGACAAGAGAATGACAGCCAAAGGAGAAAATGAAAGCGGGAGAAGAACAGAGAGTATTTGAAGGTGCTAAGGAACCACACGCGAAGGAATGCAGGCAGCCTGTGGAAGCTGAAGAAAGGGAAGGAAACAGATTCTCCCCTAGAACCTCCCAGAAGGAACACAGCCCTGCCAATGCCTTGATTTCAATCTAATGAGACCATTTCAGACTTCTAACCTCCAGAGCTGTAGGAGAGTAAATGTGTGCTGTTTTAAGCCATTGCATTTGTGGTAATTTGTCACAGCATCAATGGGAAATTAATACAAGCTGTGAGAGAAAATAGCCACAGGGCATACTGGAAATAATTTTAAAAATCACTAAATTCTTGTCAGAAAGAATGGAAGTCAGAATATGATGGAATAAGGTCTTTTAAAGAATAAATACATTATACATGAATACAAATTCAGTAATTAAATTCTGTTCATCAGGCCAGGCACAGTAGCTCACATCTGTAATCTTAGCACTTTGGGAGGCCAAGGCGGGCGGATCACCTGAGGTCAGGAGTTCAAAACCAGCCTGGACAACATGGTGAAACCCCATCTCTACTAATAATAGAAAAATCAGCTGGGCATGGTGGCGGGTGCCTATAATCCCAGTTACTGAGGAGGCTGAGGCAGGAGAACGGCTTGAACTGCATTCCAGCCTGGGTGACAAAGTGAGACTCTGTCTCCAAAAAAAAAAAAAAAAAAGAAAGAAAAGAAAAAAATTCCGTTCATGTAGAATTCAAAGTGTAGCAAATGTCCCTCAAAAATTGGAAACAAGAGCTGAAAACATTTCTCTCCACCTGACTTGCACTATAAGTATTATTAAAATAACAATAATTTAAAAAGCTGTACAGAGCCAGGATTCATCACTCTTTTTCAGTTTTTTTTTTTTTTTTTTCATTTCTTTAGGTACAGGATCTTGCTCTGTTGCTCATGCTGGCATGCACTGATATGATCACATCTCACTGCAGCCTCAAACTCCCAGGCTCAAGCAATCCTCTAGCTTCAGTTTGTCAAGTAGCTGGGACTATAAGTGCACACAACTACACCCAGCAGCTTTTTTTTTTTAAATTTTCTGTAGAGACAGGGTCTTGCTATGTTGTCCAGGCTGGCCTTGAACTCCTGGACTCAAGCGATTCTGCCACCTTGGCCTCCCAAAGCTCTGGGATTACAGGTGTGAGCCACCATACTCAGCATTCTATTTCTTTCTTGATTAGAAAATAAAATAAGGTAAAATAACATTTAAAATGGCTTTAACATCAAATACCTAAATATAAGAAAAGCTGTTAAAAGGTCTCTCTATGGAAAGCCTAAATAAATAGAAAGACACACCAAATCATGGATTTGAAAACTGAATATTGTTAGGTTGCCCTTTTGTCACAAATTGATTATAAATTTAACTGAATTCCAATGAAAATTCTAGAAGACTTTTTTTGGTAGAGCTTTCAATATGATTCTAAAAAACGTGGAAATTCAACAGATCTCGACTAGCCCAAAGTATTCTGAAAAACATATAATGAAGAAATAAAAGAAAATGATTTAACCCTCATATTATCTGACTCCAAAACTTATAACAAAGCTACAGTAATTAAAAAATAGATATTTATGTGGGAAACAGTATGAGGAATCTGAAAATAAAGCTACACATTCATAACTTTGGGCCAATGCACCAATTAATCACAAGAGAAAAGGAACGTATTTAAAACACATATGTCTGGGGAAGATGATTATAGGGTGAAAAAAGAATTTCAACCTTTCAACTCACTCCATGAATAAAAATTAACTCAAGATGTATCATAGTCTTAAAACATAAAGTGTAGAATCTTAAATCCTCTAGAAAAAGCATATAAAATTAGCTTCACAATTTTGAAATAGGCAGAGAAATCTTACATAGCACACAAAAAGCAACATCAATAAAAAAATAAAAGATAGATAGAACTTTAAAAAATAAAATTTCTGCTCATCAAAATGCTCTATTGAGGAATTTAATAGGCATAGGCAAACCACAAGCAGTAACAGAGTAAGATGCACACACACACACACACACATACACACACACACCCCACAAATATCTGCCAAATGTCTATATAACAAACTTCTAAAATTCAGTATAAAATGATATCAGACCCAATACATCTGGACAAAAAAGACTTGAACTAAAACTTTGAAAAATGAAAATTTAAATGTCAATCATTACATTAAAGGTATTCAATATAATTTTTCATCAGGAAAATTAAAATTAACACAACAGTAAGATACCGTGCCACATCCACTACAGTGGCTAAAATCAAAAGAGATGGCAAGTCTAAGATTTAACAGGTGGCACTCACATGTGGGAGTGTAATATAATAAGCCACTTTAAATAAAAGTTTCAGTTTGACAGTGTATTATAAAATTAACTGTCTTATGACCCAGAAATTCCACTTCGAAGTGTTTACACAAGAATAATGAGAACATACTTCCACAAAAATATGTGTCCATGAATGTTCCTAGCAGCTTTATTCATATTATCCCCATGCAGTAAACAACTGAAGTAATTGTTAACAGGAGAATGGGTAAGCAGATATTGATGTTGTCATGCAATGGAATAATGCTCACCATGAAAAATGAAAGAGCAACCTGAATGATTGCTAGTCACATGATGTTGAATGAAAGGTGACAGGCACAAAAAAATACATATTGTGTGATTGATTTCAATCACACCTGAAGGCATCCTTGATGGCATCCTTCCCCAAAGGCAACACAGTAAGAATAAGAATAATTTATGACTTTCAGTATAATGGCAAACATAATTATACATTATAGATGATGTGGATTTGCTCACTGCTTAACATAACTGAGTAACTTTGTTAAAGTTTCATGTCTTCTGAAGCCATAATAACAGAAGTAGGTGGGAGAAGGACAGCAATTAATGGATACAAAATTAATCACTATGACTCAAAGTTCACAAGGCACCAGACAAGATTGGAGAATGTACAATTTAGAATCATCACTTTTTAAAATGTTAACGAATGAACATATGAGACTGGCTTATAACTACTCTGATAAAGAAATTTGAAATATGGTTACTTTATATTGCATAGGAAAAAATATGTGGTGAGTCAATAAAGAAATCATAGACAAACTTCTTTTTTATTTTTGTGGAAATATATACCATATGTTATTTTATGCAAATGAAAATGCAATATTGTTGGTCAGAACCAGAAGAAGATCATTAGGAAAATTTAAATTATAATTATAATAAGAAAGTTTTGTAAAGACTTCTCATTTTTTATTTGTGCAGATGTATGGGGTACATGATAAACTTTTACATATACATATAAATGTATAGTGATCAACTTGGATATTTAAGGTGTGTATCACCTGAGTACATTTTTTAAGTATAGTTGCCCTACTCTGCTACAACACATTGAATGTATTCCTTCCTTCTTTATTTTTTGAGACAGAATCTTGCTCTGTTGCCCAGGTTGGAGTGCAATGGCACCATCTTGGCTCACTGCAACCTCCACCTTCCAGGTTCAAGCAATTCTCCTGTCTCAACCTTCCCAGTAGCTGGGACTACAAGTGCATGCCACTACGCCCGGCTAATTTTTGTATTTTTAGTAGAGATGGGGTTTTACCATATTGAACAGGCTGGTGTCGAACTCCTGACCTCGTGATCCAACTGCCTCAGCCTCCCAAAGTGCTGGGATTACAGGCGTGAGCCACTGCTCCTGGCCTAGTAATTAATTTTATGTGATCACATTTATTGTAAACCTACATCTTCTTTCATGCTAGCTCAATAAAAGGATCTAGAGAAAATCTATGATAACATGTCAAATCCTTATGTGCCGTCAATCCCTGAATTATTTATAGAGTTCTCAACTATAGCATGCAACATATAACACATGTTTTCACAAAACAACTTTACAAGTTGCAATTAGATCATTGTGGAGCTTAATTCACACACAAAAAAATGATTAGCCTGAAATTTAGTATAAGTAGTATTTGTCTGGGCAGTGGAAGAAGAGAGCAGGAGGAAGAAGTTTTCCTTTTTTGTGGCTGATAGCCAGTGCAAATAAAACTTACATAGAGTTATTATAAGTAGACTGAGATGCTTACCTTTTACCTTTAATTCATCCAGTGTATACTACCTGAGATAATAAAACACTTACTGTATGAATCTTCTGCTGTCATGTATTTTCTGAGATTATGCAATCCTAAAAATTTTCTGTGTAATTTTCCCAAAATGAATATAAAATATAAATATCACTTTATATATTAAAATTATTAAGGGGCCTTTGAATATTATAAACATTCACCTAAATTATTATATTTTAATATAAATCTATAGCTAATTATAAACTTCATATATGAATAACTATTCTAAATACATAAAAACAAACAAAATTATAAATTAAATACTAACCAAACTATAAAGCTAGTAATATCAAAAATTACACCATTGTCTTACCTTAAGAGGTATTATTTTGCTAAAACCAAACAATTACTTTAAATGTATGTATGATACATGTTACTGTGATAAAGATATTGAGTTTAAAATATACATATACATATATATAGCAACTTTTTATAACGTAATTTTCTATCCAATTTCTCTGTACAACTCTATGATAAATAATATTATAGCATAGTCTGACATCATTTGACCTTGCTTGGCTAAAATATATAGTATATTGTTTATGTCTGCTTGTATTCTTTTCTAATTAACCAACAGTTACTCAATTACACTTCACCATTATATTATTTTTATGATGTGAACTATGTTTCACTTTATGAAATAAATTTAAAAATAAAGTTTTAGTCTTTTAAATTTTTTTCTAATTTTTAATTATAAATGTAAAATAGATTTTTTTTATACTGGCAATATATGTTAACATGAATCTGAGGCCAACACAGAAGACCATTGGGAGTTCACATTAGGATGTACCAGTAAAATGATAACTATATTTAAATGCTAGAATCTTCTTGCAAAATAGTAGCATATGTTGTTATCAACAAGCAACTTCTAGCTATAAATACATCCAATTTCAGAATTAAATGCAAGCTGAAGCTAGATAACTCAGCAGAGTTTCGTATCCAGATAGAACTTGGAGGCTGAGCATTGGCATTGCAGAGAAAGGAGTAATTAATTTACACATTAAAAGGTTGGAAATTATTTTAGAACCCTGCAGAAACACGAGCCTTAAATTGATGCTCTACCTATCAAAAGAGAACTAGGAAAACTTTATCCAGCAACTCAAGGCAGTGGAAAAAGGAAGCCAACAATTTGTCTGAGAACTTAATGGAAAGGAAAATAATATATTTACAGAGCAGGTAAAGATACAGTGGTTATGGGCCAGGCGCAGTGGCTCACGCCTGTTATCCTAGCACTTTGGGAGGCCAAGACGGGCAGATCACGAGGTCAGGAGATCGAGACCATGCTGGCTAACACGGTGAAACCCCATCTCTACTAAAAATACAAAAAATTAGCCGGGCATGGTGGTGGGTGCCTGTAGTCCCAGCTACTCGGGAGGCTGAGGCAGGAGAATGGCATGAACCTTGGAGGCGGGGCTTGCAGTGAGCTGAGATTGCACCACTGCACTCCAGCCTGAGCGACAGCAAGACTCCACCTCAAAAAAAAAAAAAAAAAAAAAAAAAAAAAAAAAAAAAGATACAGTGGTTCTGATGTAAAAGTCCAATAAAAAACTTATAGGAGTTCTGAAACACGAGTCAATAATTTATCAGAATTAAATACCAGTCACTTGAGTAATCATTAAAATAACATGAGCAGAATAAATGGAAACAAATTCATAATTAATCATATTATGTTAAAACTACAAAAATAGCCAGAACATCTTAAAACTAATAACAAGTATACTGTTTGTAAGCAAACTTCTTAGCATTGAAACTATCAAAATATAATAATATATTACTATTAGAAAGCTATAATGAAAATTTGGGGTAGTATTGCAGTCTTAATATTTAGTCTTCAAATCCATGAGCATAGGATTTTCTTTCATTTTGATAGGTAATTTGATTTTTTTATACAGTGTTATAATTTTCAATGTACAGGACTTGTACCTTCTCATTTAAATTTATTCCTAGATGTTTTATTCTTTTCCATGCTACTGTAAATGGGATGGTTTTCTTAATTCCATTTCCATTTTGTATTATGTATCACTAGTTTGTAGAAATACAATAGACTTCTCAGTGTCGATAATGTGTTCTGCAGCTTTGCCGAATTGGCTTATTAACACTAATTGATTTTTATGGTTTATTTAGCATTTTGACATATAAGATCATGTCATATGTGAATAATGACAGTTTTACTTCTTCCTTTCCAATTTAAGTGCCTTTTATGCCTTCCCTCTCCCAATTGCTTTGTCTAGATCTTTTAGTGCAGTGTTTGCTGGAACTGGTGAAAAATGGACACCAATGTCTTAGGTAAAAACATTGAGATCAAGAACAAGGATTAAGATTTTGCATCTATATTCATAAAGAATATTGGTCTGCAGGGTTTTTTCCCCCCTGGAATTTGTGTGACAGTTATTCTGGCTTCATAGTATGAGTTAGGGCATATTCTCCTTTTTTCCATTTTTGGAATAGGTTAAGAATTGAGTAATTCTTCCTCATAATTGGTAGATGTAACAGGAGCAATCATGAGCTCCTGGGCTATATTTGATTGGGAGGTCTTTGATTACTGATTTAGTCTCTTTATATGTTATTTCAGTAATCCTTTTTATTTCAGTAAGATTATACTAATGATCCCACTTTATCTTTTGAATTTAATAATTTGAATCTTCTTTTTAATTTTTTCTCTTAGTGAGTCAAGCTAAATTTTTGTCAATTATGTTGATCTTTCCAAAGAACCAACTTGGGTTTAATTGATTTTCTCTATTTTTTTTTTCTATTCTCTGATTTATTACTGTCCTAATCTTTATTATTTCTTTCCATCTACTGGATTTGGTTTTGTTTTGCTTTTTCTAGTTTCTTAAGGTGTATAGTTAGATTATTGATTTGAGATCTTCCTTCTTTTTAATGTAGGCATTTACAGCTATGAGTTCTTAGTCTTCTCTCTCTTCATCTCATAAAATTCAGCATGTTATGCTTTCATTTTCTTTGTCTCTAAGTATTTCCTAATATCTCTTTTGATTTCTTCTTTTAGCCATGATTGTTTAAGAATATGTTGTTAAATTCCTACATTTCTGAATAGTCCAGGTTTTTCTCTTATTTATTTCTATTTTATTTCATTGTTGCTAAGATACCTTGAACTATTTAATTTTTTAATTGAATGTTTTAAAATACAAGTATTGAGATTTGTCTTGTGGCCTAACATATCCTGGGGCATGTTTTCTGTGCACTTGAGAAAAATGCATACTCTGCTGTTTGAGGTGAAGTTTTTCTTATATGTCTATTAGGTCTATTAGGTTTGTAGTGTTTGAAAAGTTCTTTATTTCATAATTATTTTTTATATAGTTGCTTATTCCAGTATTCAAAGTGAGGTATTGAAGTCTGCAACTAGAACTGCAAATTTCTGTCTTCAATGCTGCCAAGGTCCCTTCATGTAGTTTAGGGCTCTGAGATTTGGTGCATATATGTTTGTAAGTATTATGTCTTCTTGGTGAATTGATCCTTTTACCAATATATAATGTTCTTATTTGTCTTCTGTAACAATTTTAGATGTATTGTCTACTTTGTATAATAATCATACAACCATCTCACCTCTCTTTTGGTTATTGCTTACTTACACAGAATGTTTTCTCATATTCTCACTTTCAGCTGATTTTTTACTTCAACCTAAGGCAAACTACTTGTAGATAGCATATAATTGAATCACCATTTTTATCCATTCTGCCAATCCCTTCCTTTTGAATAAGACTTTAATCCATTTAGATTTAAAGTAATTAATGGTAAGGAAGAATATGCTTCTCTATTTTTCATACATCTTACATATTTTTGTTCTTCAGTTTTCTCCATTATTGCCTTATTTTGTGTTCAATTAATGTTTATAGTATACTGTTTTCATTTGCTTCTTGTTTCCTTTTATGTATATTTTTAGATATTTTCTTAGTGCTTCCCCCAGTTTTAAAAATTAAACTCTTACATTTATAACAATTTAGTTGAATTAGTATCATCATAGCCTTAATAGTATACCAAAACACTTTTTCGTACAGCTTCATTCCTCTCCCTTTATGTTGTTTTCACAAATTACATCTTTATATATTGGATGCACATTAATATATATTTAAAATTATTGGGTTTTGCTTTTCATTAAGACATAATGAAAAACAAAAAAGGGAACTACTACTCTCAGTCCAATAATACTGGTTTTGTATTTACCTATGTAGTTGCCTTTATCAGTGTTTTTTGTTTTGTTTTGTTTTGTTTTTTTCATGTTGCTTTGAGTAATTGTCTAGAGTCCTTTCATTTCTGTCACAAAATTTCCCTTTAGCACTTCTTGGAGTGAAGGTCTACTAGCATCAAACTTACACAGCCTTTATCTGAAAATGTTTCCTTTCCAATTTCATTTTCAAAAGGTAGTTTTATCTGATACAGAATTATTGGTGGACATGATTTTTATATCAGCATGTTAAACTTATCTTCCAACTACCTCTGGCCTCTGTGTTTTCTGCTTAAAAATCAGCTGTTATTTGTATTGAAGTTTTTTTTTTTAAATAGGGCAAGTTGTTTCTCTCTGTTTTCAGGATTCTTGCTTTGTAAAAAGTTTCTTTATAATTGGGCTCAGTGCAGATGTTTTTGTGTCCTTCAGAACGTTCATTGGATGTGTAAATTAATGTATTTTATCAAATTTGGGGAGATTTTGCTTGTTATTTTTCAAATATTTTCCTTCTTTTTTTCTCTCTCCTCTTCTGGGACTACTGTTATGCAGATAGCGTATTTTGATGGCATTCCACAGATCTCATAAGGCTTGTTCATTTTTGTCAATTTTTTTAAATTTTTACTCAACAACGTGGATAATTACAATTGACTTACCTTCAAATTTTCTAATTATGTTTTCTGCTTGCTAAAATCTGCTTTTAAAATCCTGAAAATAATTCTCAGTTATTGAAAACTTTATTAGAGGATAGAATTTTTTAGAAATTCTGGCTCTTACAATAACTGGTAATAATTTTCAGCTATTCTAAGAGCCAGAATTTCTGAAATCATGGGCTTATGTCTTCAGCACCACTGCTGAGCTGGGAAAGGGGGAGTGCTAAGGTAAGTAAAAATGTAGCAAAGTTTTTCTACCATTTTTAATTTGCCTTTTTCTTGACTTAGCATTCTCTTAGTTTGTTAGCAGTTTTGACTGTTTTTTGGAGCTATCTAAAGATTATTCTGACAGTTTATGCTTGACTTTTTGGTGTTTCCGTGGTAAGATAGGCTCATGGAGCTACATCCTATACTAATATCACTGATAACATTTTGGACATAGCTTTAAAATAAACATTTTTGATTCACTGTTATCCTCATGTTAGTGCTTGTTCAGTAATTCAGAATGACACCTTATTTCCTGTCAAATGGAACTAAATTGTCTGAATTGGTAATAAGAATTGCTGTACTTTTCCCTTTTGTAACAAAAATCAATTCTTCCTCTACAGTCCTTCTCATTATTTGATCATTTTCAAGCCAGAGTTATGAAGTGTGTCAGCCAGCTTAATGAGCCTGATTGCAAAGTGCACGAGAATCAGCTACAGGTTATCAAGAAGAAAACACTAAAACCACTGCTTAGATAACCTTAAAACAGAAATAAATCTTATTTTAATTATTTGGGACTTAAATAAAAATATTCTAAAGAATGTAATATACAGAGAGTAAAAAGAAAGCTCTTATATTTACAAATATTTCAATATGATTTCAAGTCATAAGTACCATAATATAAGCAAAAATATGCCTTTTAATCATTATATTTTTTGCTCACTGTTCCAATTTAATACATGGAGATATTTTAAAATTATTTATTCTAAGAAAATCAGAGAAGCTTATTTTTTAAATGAATCTTCCTTATTATTGAATGTTTTTACAATTTGCTTGCCAATATAGAAAATAGTGGCATGTAGTACAATGTAGTAATTAAATTATTTTATCAACATCCTTTGCATTTCTTGGATAATGTAACTAATGATATCAGTTAAAACTAGAAAAGTGATATACTATACCCAATGTCATTCTCTTTCTCTGTGACTACATTTTCTTCTAAATATATTTTTATGCTAATTGCCCTTTTAACTGAGGACTAAAGCAACAAATATGATTTTTAAATTATTGATTAATAAGCTAATTAACATTTGATGCTGGAAACCTGTTCCGTGCCTTATGTCACCAATTAAAAAAAATACTTAAGTTTAAGGATAAATTAAGAATAACCAGTTCCCTATACAGAAAAGTTTAAAATAAAGACAATGCTTATTCATAAGAATACAGCTAATAAATTATTAAAAGGATCTTATAACCAAGTGCTCTGACAAAGTAGAAATCAAAGGCAATTATTTCGATATGTAATATACATTCCAATATTTCTTTAGGATGCCAAATTTAATAAACTATGCATTATTTGACCAGTTTATTATTTTTCAGCTTTGGAAATTTTACTATTCCAACCACCCAATTGTATCCATTTTAATTAACCATCATACAAAAAAGATGAAGGTGTACACCAGTGTTTCTTATGACATATTTTTTGCGTAATATTTCTCATAGAAACAATTCTCTGCCCAATTTATGGTATTTTAAAAGAATCATTTTTGCTGGATATCCATATCTACCTATATGTTTATATATAACTTTTAAATGGCATACATCTATAAAACTGTAAAATATTTTAAATTTTAGTGAAATTTGATAATACATTTTTTATTGTTTTTGCATAAAATAAATAAATTAGTGTATGAAGCATTTACTTATGCCCTTATCAAGATCACCAGAGACTCTGCTAGTTACTGATGATACAGTTTTTGAACAAAAAGATGGATCTTTGCTCTCTTGGAACACAGATTTATTGAGTGTCAATAGTAAACAAATATTTAAACTAGTAGCTCTCTAATCACAATTTTTTAGGTGTTATGCAGAGAAAACACAGAGTTCTACAAAAGTACATTGATATTGATGAATGGTGGTGGTGAAAGGGATCTACTTTAATATTAAAGTGATGTAAGGAAGAGTATAAAGGAAAAGTGTAAAGGAAGGTCTGTTAAAAGAGAAGTCATGTAAGATGAGACCTATATGATGAGTGGTAGTTAGACAAAGAAACTGGACATGTTGCTAGAAAGGTGAGATGATGTCAGAGGAAAACCTCATTAGAATATCTGAAAGTTCAGGAATATTTCAATAAGCAGGGCAACTGGCAGGGCTAAATTGTGGACCAGACACCAAAAAGTACAGCACACGTATATGAGGAGGAGAGATGCTGATCTTTGGCTTCTAAGTTTGCCATTGCTTACCTCCAGTGCTGAGGAGCATGCTAAAGCAGAAATACCTCTTTGGGGAGAAAAATGTATTGGTAGCTGACTCAGTATCAGGGCATGAAAAGGAGAGCAAGATTAGGGCCATAATCAGCACAGAGTTCTTTCCCCCAGAATTGTATACTGCTTTATGGCCTTCTAGACTTCCCTGTTGCTGCTGAGAAGTCAGAATCAAATTTAATGCCTAATTCATTTTGTATGATAGAGCATTTTATTTTTCTTTCTGGAGGCTTGTAGCAAATTGTTTTTGTCTTCAATATTTTTAAATGTTACAGTGTGCCATGATATGTGTCTATTCTAATTCATTTTACTGTGCACTGGGTGAACTCTCTCAAGTTGGCAATTCATGTCCTTCAGTTCTGGGAAATATTTTAATAATTTTATTAATTATGTCCTACCATCTGTTTTCCTTCCCTCTCCATCTGGACCTTCTATTATTTGGACTTTGGAATTCTGGAAGTGATGTCTATGTTGTTTTACATTTTTTTCTCCTATCTGTTACATCATTGATTTTTATAAAGTTTCCTTTTGTTTTTATTTCATTTATTGGCTATTATCTCATTTCTCTGAGGATATAAATTACAGGTTTTGTTATGTTGTGTTTTTACAGTATTTTTTAACTGCATTGACTCATTTCACATTGTTTTAATCTGTTTGTTTATTTTGGTCTTATCTTTCATGTTAGAGGGTTTACTCACATGCCTACTTAATGCTGGCTTTTTGTTCTTGATTAAGAAAAGGACATTGAAAATCTGACTTAGAATTTCTGAGCACTGAGTAAGGTTTTTCAACCATCACCTTTCCTGTGAGTGACCTGGGTGAATCATTTTTAGGGAACTCCCAATTTTACATAAAAAGTTCTTCAAAGAAGAATCTGAATAATCTGCCTGATGGCTAAGATTATGGCTTTCAACATTCCTGCCAGAGGCTGGGGTGGAATGCACTGTGGTAGAGGGCTGCTTTTTATGGCATTCAGCTTGCGGTACTCTCCAGATTCCATATGGTTTAGCTGTGTCCTGAAAGAATAAACCTGCAGGTTTCTACCAGGATTGCATAAGGGAGGGGATCTGGCAATTTATTGACTTTGCACATAATTTTCAACAGGCCTCCATATTTTAGTAATCACTGTCATTTTCATTTCCTGCGGTACTTGGTATTGCTAATTTATCTGAGGAAACTGTGTATAAATAAGGTTTGCAGCTTTACCAACCACAAAGTTGGGATTCAGCTTGCTTAGTGCCACTAAGACAGTTCCCACCTATCTATATTCTTACAAGATTCCAATATTTTGTTTGTTTCCTCCAGTTCTCTTCATCCTTGCAGATCTATTTTAAAGTATTTTTAGTTGTCTCAAAGGGTTTAAGAAGATAGCAAAATAATGTTTATATCTTCAATATACCATAGTAAATTAGCAGTTCACTTAAGAGGAAAACATATGTATAGTAGCATATACACATACATACACACACTTAGATTATGTAAATTATGTATATGTGTAGATATATGCAAAAGAACTTTCATTGCTTTCTTTATTCCTACAATTACCTAAATTCACAGCTATTAACAAACTAATCTCTATTCCATTGAAGGAAGCTCTGTATTGGGTAAAATAGTTGATCTCAGCTGAATGCAATCTCTGCCTCCTGGGTTCAAGCGAATCTCATGCCTCAGCCTTTTGAGTAGCTGGGATTACATGCATGATCCAGGCCCAGCTAATGTTTGTATTTTTAGTAGAGACAGGGTTTCACCATGTTGGCCAGGCTGGTCTCGTCCTCCTGACCTCAGGTGACACTCCTGCCTTGGCCTCTTAAAGTGCTGGGATTTCCAGGCATGGGCCACCTCACCTAGCCTGCTTTTGTTTTTAATAAAATGAATAGGAGAAGGTCTTCAATTCTGTGCTTTCTCATTCTGTGCATTTCTCATAAAATGATTTGTGAAGCATGTGTAGATTCATCCTACCATTGGAAACGTAGAGAGGTCAAGGAAGAAAATCTGTTAATTGGGCAGAATGGATACAAGTTGAATATGGGGACCATGAGAAAGAACAAAAAGGACTCTCAGAAGCAATGGAGACATGTGCAAAGGAGGAGGAAAAATTTGATATCCACGAGCTTTAAAAAAACCTTCATATTCTCTAGAAGATTTCCATGAACAGTCCTGCCAAGATGTCCAATTTTTAATTACCTCTCTGTGGTATTTAAAGAGATCTTTGTCTAGGTAGCACTAAATGTCAATCAAATTTTTTATGATGGAAGTGCATTCAATTAACACTAACTTCCTTAGTTCTATGAGGACAGTAATCAGTAAGAAGATGGAACTGAATCAGTATAAATCTATCTTTTCAGAAAGACATCACAGGTGTTTGACCTTTTTGAGCACCCATTGTTGAGGAAAGGCAAAGATTCTGCATCACTGATGTTGTGTACCTAACACAGAGAATAAGTTGGTAATAAATATCCTCTTGAAAGCAAAAATGATAGGAATTACTAGTGTCCAAAGGTTTCTCTCCCTACTGCCTTGGAATCTCATCCTTCTCTTTACTGACCCCTTACAACTGCCCTGCAACACAAGAGCTCTCGTGCTAAATAGAATCATTAACTAGGAACTGGAGCAGTTCTAATTTCCATTACCATACAAGTTTACAGTGAGCACAGGAAATTGCCTAAAATATATGAAATATAGTTATGAGATTTAAAAGTAAATTGCTGGTCATATTTTGTTAAAGTTACATTACATCATCAGTATGCACCATAATTGAACCATCTAGGTTTAAGTAGAGTTTGTGGGCTAACCTGAGAATGTATCATTTTAAGTATTGTTTCAATAATTATTAAATAGCACACAAACTTTGGATTATAACTTCTTTGCAGATTGCCTACTTCTTTGGTTGTTTTTTAGAATGAAATAAAATAATAACAGGGGCATGATATTGATGTTAATGATAGCAGACATTAAGGTGCTGAAAGACACTATTTTATAGTCTGTCATAATGTCTAACATAGCAGTTGTAATGTCTGGCAGACACTATTTTAAGAGATTTGCATACATTGATTTATATCTATGAAATCAGTTCTATTAATATCTCCATTTTACAGATGAGAAAATTAAAGCAAAAAGAAAGAACGAAAAAAAACCCCACAAAATTCTAAAATTACACAGCTAGTTACTGATGGAACCAGGTTTCAAACTCAGGCAATAGAAGGTCAGATCAAATGCTTCTAAACACTACTGATCATATGAGGTTTTTAAAAAGTTACATATGAGTTATTTCATGACTGAGGGCAGTCCAATTTTTTTTGATAAACTATTTGAAAGGCCAGTTGCTATACTTCCCAACCTTCTTTCTATAAATACTTTCTTTTCTTCTATCACATTAACTCATGTCTTCACCTATGATTTTATATACAGCGATGTCAAATTAAGATCCCCTGAGTTTCTACTGTGCTCAAGTTTTATATTTCCAATTGTCTATAATAAATATCTTCCATATTGTTTGCTAGAACTATAAACATTGATAGGAGCAAAGTACAGGCAGAATAATGTGATGGTTAATAGTTCAAGAAAGCATAAGTTTGAAGCCTGGCTCCATCACTTACTATGCTTAAGCTGGGACATGATAAGTAACTATTTGGAGCTAGTTTCTTCTTTATTTGTAAAACAAGAAACAAGTAGCATTTAAGATTGTTACAAAGATCAAATGAGGTCTTCCCATCAAATGATGGGAAGAAAATGCTTAGGTCAGTATAGAAAAATGGTAGTTATTAGTATTAGAAGACAGACTTGTTTAGGAGATATGTTTTCTTACTCTTCCTACTTCAGTGCTACCACTTAAAGAGCTAACTACGTAGAAAAAGTGATTTCAGTGCTGTTTTCAATGTAAGCAAACATATGTGGTAAATAATAATTTAAAAATCAGCTAAAAGGAGACATAGTAAGTTTTGCTAGGTTTCTTTTATTGGGATAACTGTACAGATTGGCTTATTGATTTAGGGAATTATCACTCTGAAACCACTTATAAGGGTAATATAAAAATGATAGACGAGTTGAGGTTTAGGGGACAAAGATTACTGGTTTTCTGTATTTCTGTGTTCTTCTTTTGTAACCATTTTCCACCTTGAAAATCCTAATCATTAAAAAAAAAAAATCCATGATCAAATCTGAGTTCTATTAGGAAGCTTTTTTTTCTCTCAAAATAGATGTTTTTCTCCTACAAAAATTTATATAATTCTGTATCTCTCATGTGACAACTTTTTTAACTTATGAAATATTCATGTTTTAACTATCTCATATCATTACTAAAATATAAGGCTTCAGGACCTAAGCACATGACATGTATCTTAGTATCTTTTTCAGTGCTTAGGTGATTATTTTTCTGTAGAGACTTTTATAACACAACCTCAACATGAGCCAGAATTGAGAAGGTGGGCAGAGGAAAGAAACAAGGACAGTCACCAAGGGTGACACACCATGAAATAGCAATCTAGTGGGATCCTGTGGCTGTGCTGTCTGAAAGGCATAATCAGAGAAAACCGGCAAAGACCAGCAATGTCCAATACATTGGCAGTGTAGGGAGAGTGAGGTGCCAGACCATGTCACACTTTCCTCTAAATATATACCTAACCCGCCATGCGTGTCGGCCAACAATGTAAAATGGACAGTAAAATAGCAATGTTATTATCTAAGCAATTTACACAGGATATAAAAGCAAGTGTAGAGAAGATTATCATACGCAAACTAAAATGTTTATGAAAAGATAATTTCTTGATGTATTGTATTGTTTAGCTTTGTTTTATTTTATAACTTGTAGAGAATTTATCAATAGCTTGAATGTGACCAAAAGCTAGTGATGGGAAGAACAATCAAACATTTAGAAGCCTAGGAATTTCAGCTAACCAATAACATTAATAAAATAATATTTAAAAATAACTGGGAAACTTTTACTTTGGATAAGTAATGAGTTTAAAAATATTAATTTTATTTTATGAATGAGTGAAGATTTCAAATTTGCAAAAGACATAAATATGGAACAACTTGAAAAATCATATTGGCTCATCAGAAAAGTATGAAATAATAAGCCAAGTGATATAGTTCAAAAACAAAAGTTATAGAGCTATAGGATATAAATAAATCAATAAGACACAAAGATGGAAAAATCACAGTGGTCCAGGGGCTACATGAGATTTTAAAATACAAACATACATATATTTACATATATGTATGTATATATTTATATATACACATTCTTATAGGATAGCCATTGTTATTGTCAGGATAATTAGTTTTAAGACCATTAACTTATGTATATGCAATGGGGAGCTTAATTTTCAGACATATGAGGAAGGCAGATAAGTATCAAAGCTTATGAATAAAAAGACGATAAACAGTATCTAACAAAAAACTAAAGATCTTGGCAATTTTAGATTTAAAAATAGTCTCTTGTTATGGGTGGAAAGAAAAATTTCTTATTTTTATATATTAGAGAACCATCACAACAGATTGTTGCTTCAGTTGAAAAGAATATGTTGGACTTAATTATTTTACTGTAAGTGACATTAATATACTAAATTAAATTTACAGGCAAGAATTTGAAAAACTATGCTTTGTTTACCCAACTTGAACCCTATTTTTTGTGTCCAGTCTGCAATACATTTTTTCTTAATTGCTTCTGCTTTTTATCTATTCAAATACTGCCACTACACCTGACAATTAGAACCGTTACTCTAAATAGTCCCGTAACCTTACTTCTCTACCATCATACTTGAAATGACTGAGTTTTGCTGAAAAATAACATTATAACTTGGCACACTGGTACAATTGAAGATGTTTGGACTGTACCATTGGGAGTGATGCCATCTTAGTCCATAGCCCATTATTTATCTTCTTTATACTAAAAATGACCATTTTAGAATGTTGTTGCTGTTAACAAATGACTTGTCTTCCACAGGAGAGAGGAACTTACCACCTACTGCAAAGAAAGCATACAACATTAAGACTGAAAACATGCACTTTTAATCAGTCAGACCTATCTGACTTTAAGGCTCAAATCTGGCATCCACTTTCTTTGCAGTCCAAAAACTTAAAATTTGTGACCACCAGTTTATTCATTTGAAAATGTGAAAATAAAATTTTCATATTGGTATATTGTTAAATTAAATAATACATGTAGACCACATAAAATGCTCATTAAGCAATAATATTATCACATTGTTATTATTGTACAAGAATATTGAGTCTACTGTCCAAGAATTTCCTCCACTTCTCATAATGCTGCTTACAAAAATTGTCTTTATTTATAATCACTCTTAACTCCTTTCCTTTTGTGCAAAACTACCCTCTTTGTCTCTTCTCTTTCCAACTTATACTATATTGCTCCATAAATTGATTTCTTATAGCTGTTCTTGTTTGACTCACACTATATTCACCTAGACCAAGGTAGTGGCTTCCTGACTCCTGTTGTTTTCTTTTCTATCCTCCACAGACTCCTTAAAGCTATTAAAGATCAGCTTCTACGGTCCCAGTGACACATCCTAAACATATTGTGCAAGGCTATTATCATCTTCTCCCTAATTCTCTAACATCTTGTAACAATCATAATCATAATCTCTCCCCTTTGGCAGCATTAGATCAACCTACTCATATATTCATACCTTTGCTTAAAATATCCTTTTACGCATCTATTGTCCACATCCCTAATTTCTATGTAGTGCCAGACTTTTCTTCTTTAGAATGCTTTCTGGGAGCCCTACTAGACAGAGTTAAGTTCCCTTCTTTTATCATAGTGGTATAATACTTTTGAGGTAGTATTTATTATTTCCCCCTTCGCCTTTGTCTAATTCAGGCAGCAGATTGACTCCGTGTCTTTTGCTCCGGGAAAGGAATATAAGCACTTGGAAATCTGAAAAAGCTTGCAATTATTCCAAACACCTAAGCTAGGGGAAATGAAATAATTCAAGGGATAAACAAAGTTTTTGGAGAAATTAGTTATGAAATGGATTTAAAACACATCTGTTGGAGCAGAGAGGTAGAGAGTTGAAGCAAATGAGTTTACGAGCATAGATAGAGCGCTTTGCATCCTGATTTTTTTTAACTATCCAAGGAACTTGAGTGATCATGTGACTAGCAACCAGAATTGTATCAGTGGTGAACCCTGTGTTCTGAACCTGAAGACACTGTATTTACTTCTTATGTTTTGCTATTTTGAAAACGCTACTAACATTGGTGTAATCCTCAAAAGAGAAAAAAAAAGCTTTAAAAATGACTGATATAATATTTTTAAACTTTCTCATGGAAGCATAGTGCTTTGCATATGGTAATAAGTTGATTCTTAGAAAATAAGGTTCTCTTTATTTCCAGTGCAAAAGTTTGTTGAAGAAATTAATGAACTAATCAGTATTTTAATTCAACCATAGAGGGGTTTGGGGAAGAAAACATTGTTAATCATTGACTCTATTTAGATTTATGCCAAAGCTAAGAATTTAGTTTTGCTGGTTTATACTGGTTTATAAGAGCTGGCTGCCCACATGTCTTCTTAAATTCAGCTGTGATGTCTTGTTTGTAGCTGCAGATCAGACACTGTGGGAGTATTTTACAACACAGAAACCAGAGAATGCTACAAACACAGTGCCTTTTGTTAAGCACTAATCACTACATCACTGATTATGACTCAAGGCCAGAAAAACTCAGGAATTTAAAGGATCTTTCCCCAAAACTGATGTTAAGGCAACTATTATAAATATGGCTCTTAAAAAATCTGACATTGTTTCTAATGCATTAGGTGTGAAGAAAATGTGGAGTAAAAATAACCAGCCACACATCAAAAATTATAAATTTGAGGGAAAAATGAGACATCATTTAGTCCAGCACTCTGTAGAAATCCTGAATTTTTCACTTTTTCCTTACTGGATGTCAGAGAGACTGAGGGAAGCCATACCTGGGACTCACTGTCACCCCTGCTTTAATCAGAATGGTGACACTTTTGATTATTTTGTGTATTGGGCTTTTGCACTAGATGTTTTTCTAAGCTATAATTTCCAAGTTTAAACTATGTACACACACACACACACACACACACACACACACACACACACACGTGCCTACCTACATCTGCTAGAGTGGTAGTTAAGATTATGATTGAGTGTATTGTTCCAGTAATTTAGTTCACTGGCAACATTTAAAGTCACTTCCAGTTATGTACATTCCACAAAAAAATTCATAAAAATAAATATCACACAATTGAAAATCCCAGCTTACTTTTTAGATATAGACAAACGGATTCTAAAGTTTATATGGCAAAGCAAAAGATTTAGATGATCTGACAGAATATTGAAGGAGAAGAAGACAGGCATATTGAGCTATCTGACTTCAATATGTACTTTAAAGCTGCAGTAGTCAAGACAGTATGGTGCTGGAGAAAGGAAAGACAAAAAAAGAGTGATGGAACAGAGTAGAGGGCCCAGAAACAGACCCATACCATTAGAGTTAACTGATCTCTGACAAAAAAAAAAAGCAAAGCTAATTAAATGAAGAAAGGATATTCTTGTCAACAAATGGTGCTGAAGCACTGGATATCCATATTTAAAAAAGAGAAAGAAAGGAAAGAAAGAGAGAGAGCAACAGAGGGAGGGAGGGAAGGAGGGAGGAAGGAAGTAAGGAAGGAAGACAAATCTAGTCACAGACCTTATGTAATTCAAAAAAAATTCAGCTTGAATCACAAATTTAAATGCAATATGCACAACTATAAAACTCCTAGATGATCTCTATGGAGGACATCTAAGAGGCTGAGTTTGGTGAAGACATTTTAGTTACAATAACAAAGGATAATAAGTGAAAGGAAAAATTGATGAGTTGGACTTAATTATAATTAAAAATTTCTCTGCAAAAACCACTGTCATGAGATTGAGAAGACATGCTACAGATTGGGAGAAAATATTTGCAAAGACACATCCGATAACAGACTGGTACACAAAATATACAAATTCTTAAACCTTCACAATAAAAATGGGTAAATACTAAAATCAACATCTCACTGAAGATGATTTGCAAATGGTAAACAAACATATGAAAATACGCTCAATCAATCTTATGTTATGATTATGGAATTGCAAATTAAAACTTCAAGATACCACAACTACCTAATTGAATGGTAAAAATCCAAAACATTGCAGACACTAACTACTGATGAGGATATAGAACAACGAAAAACTCTCATTCATTGCTGGTGGGAATGCAAAATGGAACAGTCACTTTGGAAGACAGTTTGGTAGTTTTTTATAAAACTAAATATGACCTTGCCATCCGATCTATAGTAACAATAGTATATTTTAATATTTACCCAAATGAACAGAAACTCTGTGTCTTACACAAAAACCTGTACATAAATATTTATAGCAACTCACTTTATTTACAATGCCAAACCTGAGAAGCAACTAAGATGCCCTTCAGTAGGTGAATGGATAAATAAACCATGGTAATCCATACAATGGGATATTTTCCAGCAGTTAAGAGAAATGAGCTAGGAAGCCAAACATGGACAAGGAGGAATCTTAAATCCATATCATTAAATGAAATAAGTCCATGATAAAAGCCTACATATTGTATAATTCCAACTTTATGATATTCTAGAGAAGGCAAAACTATTATAGAGCCATTAAATATATCAGCAATTGCTGAGGGTTCAGGGTAAAACTTGGAGGGATTGACTTGAGCTCATAATGGTCTGGAAAAATTGATTAGTGGATATTAACGAAGTACCACACTAGGTACTAGTGTGTTAATGGTGTTAATGTTAGGGTGTTAATGGTGGGGAAGGTTGTGTGTTTCTGTGGGAAGGGAATATATGGGAACTCTGTACTTGCCATTCAGTTTGGCTGTGAACATTATATTGCTCTAAAAAACAGTCTCTTAATTTAAAAAAGTAAATATCAATGTATTACACTTCATCATAAAGAAAAAATACATTTCTTCTGAAGAAATTAAATGCATTTTTGCATTTTAATGCTTAATATATTTGGAAAATCTAATTCTTCTTCATGAAAATAATAGTTTTAATGACCAATATTTACTTTTTAAATTAATACACTATTTGGTTTCAATTTTACTCTAATAAAGGAAAAAAGTATATTGTAAAAAGATAATTTACTAGCGTTGATTTTAAAGTTAAAACTTAAAAAATATAATATTCCTTTTCTAGCAGCCGTTTATTTTTATAATTATAACAGAAATTACTATATCTTCATTAAAAAATATATTAACCATATTGCTGGACTGACTTTAACAATAAACATTATAGTCTGAAGTTTGGCTGGACAAATCTACCCTTGTATTACAATGCTTGACCTTCACTTAAAAAATGTTAATATGCTGTTTAATTTTTTAAATCATTGCAAAAAATGCCTTTCTCATTTGAGAATATCTATCTGCTATTTTAAATTTTAATAAGAAATAAGATATTTTTTAAGTGTTGGGTTTATTCCAAAGCCTGAAATATTTTAAGTCTTGCAGATGATTTAGCATATGCCTTTTCTCTCATTGCATAGATTTATATAAAATAAAATACTATTTTTATTTATGTTAATTGATTTATTTTCCTATTTATTATCTAGATCAACATGGTTTATAGATGACAGTGGCAGCTAACTATTT
This sequence comes from Homo sapiens, assembly GCF_000001405.40. Classification (NCBI taxonomy): domain Eukaryota; kingdom Metazoa; phylum Chordata; class Mammalia; order Primates; family Hominidae; genus Homo; species Homo sapiens. Next base: position 161,927,108 of record NC_000004.12, on the reverse strand, counting down.
AGCAAAAAAATCACTTTTTTCTGAGTGTCACTCAAATAATTTACTGAATTAAAACACTTTAGAACAAATATTTTGTTTCTAATATTCACAAATCTTAGTTATCTAAAAGAAGACCTTAAATATCATAAATTCACATATGGTCTACGTGTCTTTCTGTCTCTGTATCTACCAATCTATTTATAATGTTAAAGTAGTTCTAAGGGAAACAGTGAAATTTCTTTGGCTTCTAACCAACTTATCATCTAAATAAGTCCTTTCACTTTTAGCCAAAGTGTATAATGATAAGTACTACTGTAATTTTTCAATGGGATGGAGATATTAAGATAATAAGAGAAATCACCGCTTTAGATAGAACTTAGAAAGGAAAAATTAATAATTAGAAAATCCTTTGTGGAATTTGTTATCAAGTTTAAGCATTGAGGTTGGAAAGAGTGTTGAGATTGCATCACACTCTGTTCTGCTTTCAGAATTATCACACTTCAGTTGAGAACATCAAATAAGAAATAACTGTTGCCATATTAGGTACTGATCTCAAATCACTTAACTTCTTGAAATGACACATCAAAAATTATATCTCCTAGCAAACATTCATTAACATGAAACAGAAATTATAATTTGGATGGGTGCAAATTACCTGGATCTCTGGCTTTTTTCTACTTATTATTTTCATACGGCCTCTTGTAAAAAAACAAAAAACAAAACAAAAAAAAAAAACCTTCTTCTGTTGCAGAATTACATGAAGAAGCTTGCAGAACCAATGGATTGTCTAAAATAAGGGAGAAAAGAAGGGTTCAAACTCACTGAACTACAGATTATGTGACCGTTGAAAAGGATTGTCGTTCAGTAGTGGCACACTGGGCAAACTTTTAGTCAGGCAGCCTTTTTTGACCGACTGCAAAGTAGCAGCAGGAAACACACATCCCAATTATTACAGGTCATGAAAAGATTATACTGTGCTCAATCTTCTGTGGGCATTCCAGTATTTACTTGAACTGCCCCTTGCCATGAAGTTTGTGAGGTTCGAATGCATTTTGTTAGAATTTACAGTGTGCAACAGGAAATTGTATTTTTTATGTAATAGTTTCACAATTTTTCCATTTGTGGGAATCAAAACATCACCAAAATATTATACTTAATTCTAAATCAAAATATTTAATTGTGTAATGTAATTTTGAATTTTTCCTTCTTCCTTTTTTACTTTTTGCAGCTGAAGTAAATTCTTATACAGTGAAAGTCCATGAAAATTTTAAGAGTATATTTTGAGAACACACATGCTGCCACACTCCCCTAAATGCATTTCCAATGCTTATAATAATAACAAGAGCTGTAGAGGGCAGTTATCTATTTAATTCAATGATTCTAAGTCAATATGTTCTATGTACCAAATCTGTAATAAATGATAATTCTTAATAACAGTAATGAATACATTTGTTAAGCAGATACTCTATGCCAGGAATTTTCAGTGCATTATTCTACTTAATATTCTTAACAACCACATGATATCATTATTACTGTAATTATTATTATCTTCATTTTATATATTCATGGAAGTAACAGTTACTGAGTTCCTACTATGTTCTAGTTAAATGAGAAAACTGAAGCTCAGTGATTTTAAGTAACTTGCCTAAAAATCATACATGTAGTCAAAATACAAATAGAGGATTCTGATTTTAAAACCCAAATTGTAAAAACCTATTGAAAGTAATGGCAAAAACCACAATTACTTTTGCACCATATTAGCATGAAACAAAAAGTAAATCAAAATCTTAGAAGAGTAATTTAGAAAGTCAAAGTCAAAATTCTTTTGCATTTTGTATAGCCGAGGCTATTTCTAGAGTATGTAAATATGATTTAAATTAAGAAGTATATGATTGTTCAAGGCAGGTGAACTATAAATAATAGATATTATAGAGAAAACTTACTAAATATACTCACCATACATTAGCTTTCATTAGAACTGCGTTTTGCTGAGCATTATTACATTAAAGGATTTTTTGGATGAGAGCAAATCCAAAGATAAATTGCTGGTTACCTCTTATTTTACAACTAGAACCCAATAAGGCCCAAAGGGATTGCAGCCTGGTTGAGGTCACACCAGAGTGGAACAGAAAAGCAAAGACTCAAATTCTGTTCTATGACCAAAATCTGTTGTTCTTTTTAACCAATAATTGTGAACATAATACTTACATTTTTTACTTTAACATAAAACATTTTTATGAGATAATGAACACCTCAAATAACTTGACGCTTTAAATACAACAATATATTAATATTCCATAATAATAGTTAAAGGCAGCTAACTTCAAAATCTGGTTCTTCCCTCCCTCTTTATTATTGTTTTAAATCCTGCTTCTGTCTCTATTCCATGCCCTGTATATCCTTTTATCAGCCATTAGACTCTTAACTCATTCTTTAAACACAGCCTCAGTTATTTGTATTACATGGTACATTGTTTGTGAGGTCTTACATGATCTCAATCTCCTTTGTGCCCTTAAATGTCCCCCTAAATCTTAGTCTCTCTACTTAAGCATGTTCAAGTCCTATCTTACGCTCTTTGTAAGCCACTTGAAGAGTCAAGTGTCAATGATTATTCTTTTTATGTATCATATACCAACCAATATACCACCTTGCTCATAAAAATAATTGTATATTATTAAAATTAAAGTTTATTTCAATTTAGATACACTCTATAAGTATCAGCTGATATATTAGATATACATATAGACAAGAATATAAATATAAATATATATTTTAAGATAATTTTATTCATTATTGAGAATCTGAAAATGCCATCTTAGAATAATAGGGAATGATTTTGCTTTATTGCTTGGTATGTTTAGTCTTTTAATATTTTTATCTCTTTTTAAATTTGTGGAATTTTTCTAATATTCTGAAGGAATAAAAATTATAAAATATGAATTTGTTAAATATATAATCCTTTTTTAGGAGTAAATGCTATTTGATAAAACTATAAGCTACCAGGATATAAGTTCTTGATTAAAATTCATTTAGTGTGTTATCTGACTGAATGTACTTAGAAGAAATCTTTGACACGTTGATCAGATTAAATTGATTTAATCTCAGCTGAAACTTAAGTTCGGCATTAGTCATGGATAATTACTGTCAGAAAGGGTATGTTCTAGCTATTCATTTACATAATATGAGCTTTCTTTGGATTGCATATGAATTAATTAAATTTCGTTTAATTGTAGCAGCTACATGCAACACACAGCTTCTAGCTAGTGTAAAATAGTTCATTAACTTCTACAAAATGGAAAATATCCTAATATAAATCTCTGAACTAGTGTAGAGGCTTTAAGAGAAAGGATTTAAGAGAAAATATGGGAAATATTGTGACCAACCTATATATACTAGATATGACATGTTATAGGAGAGCATTCCCCTAAAAATTGGAAAATTTCACTGATTCATAAAGCTACCTCAATTTGTGACTAAAATGTAAAATGATCAGACTCTTAAAACATTAGCTCATTCTTCAATACTAAAATAAACAAAACACTCTCTTGAAAAATCTTAACTCATTATTTGATGGAAAAAATATGACATAAAATTATACAAAATATAAATATGTGAGTCAAATTTATCTATTATAATGGCAGCCCCATATAGACTCTATAAACATTGAATTAACAATTTGCTTAATTAAAAACTGGCATAAGGATGGGGAAATATTTTTCTGTTTTGAAATCAGTATTTTTATACTTTACATTAAAGTATTTTTCTACTTTATTTTATAGTAATAATTGATATAATTTTGGATTTTCTTTCAGTACATTAATTTTTTTTAAAGTTTAGATAAATTAAATTTAACAGAGTTTATTTGCACAAAGAACAATTCAGGAATCTGGCAGCCCTCAGGACCAAAAGAGATTCAGAAAGCTCCATCTAGCAATGAGCTATTATAGGCCAAACATAGAAGCAAAGTAAATAAATGACCTGCTTGGCTACCACGAGGCATCTATGTTATTTGGGCATGGTTGGAAGAAGCATTTGCCTTTTTGAAACTGATCTGATAAATTGATTTCCTGTGATTGGCTGAAACCTGGTTATTTGTTATAACAATATATTCTTAAAATCAGTTTTGGCTTGTTTACTTACTAATAAGTTAGGGTACAGTTTCTCACTTAGGAACTCAAAATACAGAGACACCTTCAAACTAATGGACTCCTGCTTATTTAATTTAGCATAATGAACATTAAAAAGCAATCATGTAAAAATAGCAAAACTTGCCCAGTACCATATCAACCTTGCTAAATCAACTATATTCATTTTTAAATTTCTTTTCCTAGTATCTTCCAAATAATTGCATGATTTTATAAGGTTTTGATGATAGCATTAACTTCTCATCTTTTTCCACTTAAGAGCATTTTAAAATTATTCACCTAGTCTTTCTCTTAGTATATATATTTTAATTATAAGTTAGGATTTCAGTAAGTCAGTGCCCTAAAGTTTGATCCTGGAAGCAGAAATATCACCATCACCTGGGAACTTGTTAGAAATATAAGTCTTGGATTAGACTTGAGATCCACTGAATCAGAAACTCTGGGGTGAGGTGGAGAAAAAATTTGTATATTAACAACTTCTCTGGGTGATTGTAAGCATGCCAAAATTCAAGAACTACTGCATTACATAAATTTTCCAAAATTGATTTTTTGCTAAGTTTTTTAAATTTTAATTTCAGGGGTACATATACAGGTTGGTTACATAAGTAAATGTGTGTCATGAGAGTTTATTATACAGATTATTTCATCACTCAGGTATTAAAATATTTCAGTGAGTTATCAATATTTAAAATAACATTGGAGATACATCGGAAATATCTTTTCAATAAATTATTTTTCCACCTATTTGTTTTAAATTTCATGGAATCCTTCATCAATAATTATAATATTTTATCAAAGAGTCAAATAGTTTGAAATTTTTTACAAGTAGATTTGTTCTAATTTTCACTGCTATCAGAAATATAAATTAGTTTTTAAAAAATATGCCATTGGTACTGTTGATCTTTTTGTGTAATTTTAATTTTGCTAATTTAAATTCCATTTGAGAATTCATGCATAAATATGAAAATAAAATTAATGTATGAGCTTCCTTTACAAAAGAACAAAATTGATTACTTAAATACATTTCCATTCACATATTTATGTCCTTTTGAAAACCAATTTTTGAAGAGCTGTTAATAGTAAGTAACACAAGGAGTTTTATATGTGCCAATTGCAACCCTTTAATCTTGATAAAACTATGAGGATACACTATTGTTATCCCTATTTTACAGATGAGGAAACTGAGTTACACGTGAGTTACAGATGTGTTAGGTAGTCACCTAGGGCCCTAAAGCTTGCAACTAGGGATTTAAACTCTGGATCAGAATCCATGTTCTTAATTATTATGATGCTGTTATGTAGAGATGGTTTAAACAAACAGCTGAGAATATTAATACATACTAACTACTCAAAAAATTACTGTAACTTATGCTTGTAACCTTTCAAATATTTCTTTTTTGCAATACATAAGTGTCATTGATGCTAAATATATATACAAATGTATGTGTGTATACATGTGTATACATATCTATGTGTATCTATGTGCATATGTATATTCAATTTACTGCCATTTTTCATTTTCTAAAATTCTCAAAGCTAAATCTGCCTAGAAAAGCATAAGGAATTGAAGTTGCTAATTTCAGCCTTAGTACAAGATTGGTGGATTCACTTAAACTTTTCTGATGCAAATTGAGTTTATTAGACTAAATAAGTAACAAGAAAATATAATTCTTCATGATTTGTTGATTTAGTCATGATATGCATCAGTGATTGTCAGGTGGCAAAGGTCAAAACAAGAAAGGATCATGTATCAAAGTTTTCAAGAGACAGTTATTTTCCACTCCTGTCTTCTTAACATTTTCTGCCTTGTATGCATACATTACTTTCTCCTATCTACAATTCTGTTACTGTAAAAGCTAACATTTATGGAACATCTATCATGTGCCAAGGATGTGCTTTCTGTGGATTATCACATGTAATAGTTCGAACAACTGTAGAGATGGTCCATACTATTATTCCCATGTTACAGATGGGACAACTTGGCACAAGGAAGGAATTTATCCAAAACATAAAGCTAGTAAGTGGTCAAGCCAGGATTTAGTCTCAGGCAGTTTATTTAGCTTTACAGACCTTGTCATTAAGCACTACACTTCTCTGGGGAGGGAGAAGAGAGCTCAAGTAGAGGAGAGGAAGAAGGGAAGAATACTGAAAGCATTTTGAGAAAGTTCATGTGCAGTTATTTATATAAGCATGTCCACCACTGAAAATTGAGCCCTGAATACACTATACTATACTTTTCTTAGAACACTTGTTTTCCACTTGATACTCTGAAATATATATATTATTTGGACAAATGAACCAAACGATTTTCAATTTTTTTTTAATTCTTCAGGATTTATGATTCAGGATGGCCCTTTTGGATCTTGTGAAAATAAGTACTGTGGTTTGGGAAGACACTGTGTTACCAGCAGAGAGACAGGGCAAGCAGAATGTGCCTGTATGGACCTTTGCAAACGTCACTACAAACCTGTGTGTGGATCTGACGGAGAATTCTATGAAAACCACTGTGAAGTGCACAGAGCTGCTTGCCTGAAAAAACAAAAGATTACCATTGTTCACAATGAAGACTGCTTCTTTAAAGGTAAATGAAGGGTGAACCTTAAGTGTCACCCCACTCTATTTCTTTTCTTTCTCAACTAGTGCCTTTAAACTCTAGCAATTTTATATCAGCAAGGGTCTAAAAAGGAAAAGAAACACAAAATAGCCTAAGTACTCCACTAAGTAGCAGTGTGTGGAAATTTACATGGAAACAATTCTGATATTCAGTTATGAGAATAAAGCTGGCCAAAATATGACTCAAAATTTAATATAGCTTTCAGCATTGCACCATATGGCTTCCCAATCATGGATTTTCTTAGGGACACAGGGTGGCCAATTCAGTCTACAGGCCAAATTCACCCAGTAAAAAGCACCTGGAGTGGAATTGAGGGACTAGTGAGTGCCAAGCCATGCTGTGATAACATTTCATTCCTTCCTGATTAAAAACGATGGTTTCAGTTTGCACCACATAATTCAAATTATAAGGAACCAGTAGTTGCCCACTGAAATAACTAGAAGAACTCATGCTAAATCTCATTAGTGAATCAGAGATAACCATAGTTAAATTTTTTTTAAAGTACTGGTATTCACTTTCATGCATTTGAAAATCATTGGTTTAGAAAAGTACTGAATTTGTAATTCCATACATTATTTTTACATGCCACATAAATAAATCATTGAACAGTTTTAACATCATTCAGTTTTTATACATTTATTTGTTGTTTACTTGTTCATGCTGTTGGAAATATTTTCTCGTTTATAGTCATGACTCAGTCTGAAATTCTAGAGTTAAATGTGTAGAACTTCCATCAATAATTAATCTGACTTCTAACCTTTGGTCAGTGCCAAGTCCCAGTTTCTCAGAATATTTCTGAAACGTATTTACACTTAAAAACCTGTTTAATATTTTTACTCCTAGCTTAAATTTATGGCTGAAAAATAATTTTATTACACTCCACTCATCCACCTATTAAGGTAAATTGAATAATTAAAAATTATCCTTTTTCAAACTTTCTCTAACACAATATTATTTCCATCGTGATTTAAAAATGACATGTAGAGCTTTTCAGATGATGCAAGATGCAATGCTCTGTTATTGTTGCTGCTAGAAATCCTTTAACACATTTGAAGTAAAACTGGGATAATTTACTTACCATAGTGTACTGTGTGCCTCTTACATACATGTGCAGAGAATTTTATGACAGTTCTTTTACCAAAAGGATAACAGATACTTAGATTTCAAGTTCAGTTTAGTTCCCTTTTCTATCAAATCTATTTTACAAATAATATTTGTAAAATATTAGGGAATTTTTTTCTGTCATTTTGACACAAGATGGTATGGTGGAAATTATACTATTGCACTGATACTTGACACTATGAAATTATGTACATAATATATAATATGTAACTATCAAAATATTTTAACTTAGCATCATATTCTCAAATTGAGGGTTTGTTCACCTGACATCCATATGGAAACACATAATATTTAATATCATGTGGGGTCCTGGCATGGTGGCTCACCCTGGTAATCCCAGCACTTTCGGAGGCCAAGGTGGGCAGATCACCTGAAGTCAGGAGTTCAAAACCAGCCTGGCCAATATGATGAAACCCCATCTCTACAAAAATACAAAAATTAGCTGGGCATGATGGCGGGTGCCTCTATCCCAGCCACTCGGGAGGCTGAGGTGGGAGAATCTCTTGAACCCAGGAGGCGGAGGTTGCAGTGAGCCGAGATAGCACCACTGCACTCCAGCCTAGGCAACAGAGCGAGACCCCGTCTCAAAAAAATAAATAAATAAATATAAATAAATATCGTGGGAAAATAGTTTGTTGTATTTAATGTTCTGTTTTGTAGCTGTATGCTTAGGAATAATACCATTCAATGTCAGGATAGGATGCATGAACAATAGATTGATTTTATTATAAAGTAAATGTATAAAATAATGGTTTGAAGAACTTTTGTTCTTTGAGCTTATACCAAACATATTTATGAGATCTATTGTTACTTAAAAATACTTTCTCATCATGTGTAGTGTTAAAATTTCATTTATACTGTCTGGGTTATTTACCAAAGTTTAGCGTATTTTCCAGGTCTCAGAAATTATGGGTCTTTTGTTTGCTTATGTACTTAACTTGGTGTTTTGCCTAAAATACAACTAACTCATAAAATTACTTTATTTCATCAGAAAGGAGTAAATAATATAAACCAAAACAATAAATTGCCTGTCTTATTAGTGTGCATTGGGCCAAGTTTTGATTGTAAAAGAAGATTCTGTAAAGCTGAGGCCTGATATTATTGTGATAGCTAAAATTAATTTTATAATTGTGAATTATATTTTTTGTGGAGTTTCAGCAAGTTATATTACTTGCTATAGTGGCCCAATGGAAGAAGCAAATCGAAATATTAGGTTAAAGAACTGCAAAACCTTATATTCATTTAGGGATTTTTTAAAGAAAAAATGAAAAGTTAAATAAAAAAATGGAAAATATATTTGCTACTTTTAGATTTTTAAAAGGTGATTATGAAAACCTTAGAATGGGAGTTAAAAAACTATTGGCCAAATCCAGGTCACAATCTATTTTTCCGTAATGTTTTACTGAAACACAGCTACACCCATTGGGAAAGGAGAGTTGAGTACTTGCAATGGAGATTTTATGGCCTCTAAATGCTAAACATCTTCTTATGTGGATCTTTTCAGAAAAAGTTTGTTAACCCCTGCTTTAAAAGTTTATTGGTACTTTAAAATTTATTTTAAAAATTATTAGCAGATCTTTACTATTCTGTATCTTCTTGACTATCTTGATGAATACAGAGACTTACATATGTGGCAAAATTAAGTAGAACTAAATATATACGCAAACAGTGGAAATAAAACAGGAAATCTTAGTAAGACCCAGGGATAGTATTAAAGTCAATATCCTGGTTAGGATATTGTGCTATAATAATACAAAATATTATCTTTAAGAGAAACTAGGTAAAGATATATGGGATATGTCTGTATTATTTCTGACAAATGCATCTCACAAAGAAAATTTTAATTAAAAAGTCCTGGAAAAATATTGGAAAATACGTAAAAGCTTTTAAAGAAAGCAAGATTTGCATTATTCCTTACTGATTTGCACTTCAAGGTAAGTCCTGTTTGTTTATATCAGATTTATATTTGGCATTTATGTTTAAACTTATTAAAGGTTGGGCGCGGTGGCTCATGCCTGCAATCCCAGGACTTTGGGAGGCCGAGGCGGGTGGATCACGAGGCCAGGAGTTCAATACCAGCCCGGCCAACTTGGTGAAACCCCGTCTCTACTAAAAAAAATACAAAAAAATTAGTCAGGTGTGGTGGCAGACGCCTGTAATCCCAGCTACTCAGGAGGCTGAGGCAGATAACTGGTTGAACCTAGGAGGCAGAGGTTGCAGTTGCAGTGAACGGAGATTGCATCACTGCACTCTAGCCTGGGTGGCAGAGCAAGACTCTGTCTCAAAAGAAAAAAAGAAAAACTTATTAAAATAATTTGTATTTGTAGAATCAGGTGTATTGATGCATTGTTTTAAAGTTAAAATCCATGTTAAATCATCTACATTTCTATATAAAATATTTTTTATATACCTATATCTGTATATCCTCTTTCTATTACTTGTGTTACATATTGAAATACCTCTGTGTTAATCTTAGCATTTTTTATTATTATTGACTTTTAAATATACACGTAAATTTACCAATAATTTTTTTAGTGATTTATGATTTGTAGAACTATAGATAAAATAAACAATATACCTATGAATATAATATTTGTCTAATTTATTCCTATTCACATTTATTTGATTATGAAATAACAGGCTATAATCGGATATAGAATATTGTAGCATTTGTTTATTGGCGTCAGATACTTTGTGATGATGCTCAACGTAACATAAAACATTCTATTTTTATAAAATGCCTAGCTGTTCATTTTTGTGATGAGACAGTTCTGCCTTAAAGTCATTTCTCTCACAAAGGGCTTTCTAACTGCAGCAATTCACAACATCCCTTAAAGCAAGTACAATTTCCTTTCACCCTGGCATCAGGTCATTCCCTCATACAAAACATCTATACTACTCAGAGTATAGATGTAAACTGGAGTAAGAAACTTAAGATATAACCTATGCCAAAATGAAAAGGGATTTAAACCTTTTATGAGAGTCAATTGAACAGAAACCCTTCTGCTATTTACTGTGCTGAGAATAAAACTGCCATAAAGGTAAATGTTCTGTGCACTTAAATGTGCATCACAAGCAATAACAACTTGAGAAATATGGTTGTCACAGCGATCTGTGCACTGTTAGCATGAAATCTGACATTGTTTCCATTTTTGAGGCATAATCTGAACAGACTTTTGTATTACATATTTAAATTAGTTATTTTACCTGACTTTTTTCTTTTCTTCTTTCTTTTTTTTTTAAGAAGGAACTTGTAGAATTTAGGCTAAAAAACTGGCTGCCAGATATATTTTAAAATATATTAGTAAATGTCATGTGCTAATCCACATGTATTTTTTAAATAAGGGCACCTTTGTAAAGCTTCTGTTTTATGTTAATACAGCCTTTTATACCATTTAAACAAAAATAGCAGCCTGAATAAATCTATATACATTGAAAAATGATATCCAGATTTTTGTTTGTTTGTTCTGTTTTGTTTTTGTTGTCAGTATTAGACAATTGAAACTGCATGTTGATGATGAAATACATAATTTGGACAATAAGAAATGTAGATAAAATTTTCGAGGCCAGAATACTGTCACACAGTGTTTCCAGTTCCTCTGAATTCCCTTAGTACCCACAACATCAAAAACAATTTTATTAATCCCTTATGTTTGGTACATCTATGTTAACATTTTTTAATTCGGTGATGTGAAACCTTACATATTTTATATGTTTACCTGCCATTTATAAATACATAGGAGACATATGATAGATGTTTTATATATGTATAATAAAATATAATAAAATCTAAAAAGGTGATTAATACTTAGGCAGACTCATCACTCATTTTGGGATTTTGGGATATTAGACATTAGGACTATTCAACAAATGTTACCAGAGAGTGGGAAGGTGGGAGAAAGGAGACAAATGGAGAGGAAGAGAAGAGAGACAGGTAGGGAGAGGGGGAGGGGGATGATGGGGGGAAGAGATACAGAGAATGCCAGCAGGACTAGTGATAATAATAATAACAAATTGAGTATTATTTATTTCAAAACAATTTCACAAATGTTAAATTATTAATTAATCATTCTAAAAAGCCAATATACTATAGTGAAGGCAACAAACTTACAGTTTTAAAAATGGCCCATCAACATTCTCACAGTAAGTTAACCTGAACTGGGACAGGAACCAAAGGGCAGAGGCTTCCCATCTAGTGCATGTTTGTTCCAAATATGTCTGCCTAAGGCTACAATATTGTAATATCTCACTTGCCTATGTTTCTTAATACATTTTACTTTTAATAGTGATTTCTATATGAATACTTGACATCATTTAGAAACAATCTACCATCTATGGTATTGGTGAAGATTAAATCATGCATTTAATGTAATTCTTGGCCAACAGAAGAACACAATAAGAAATTATTATTGGGTTTAAGACTAGAACTTTAGTAAATGTACACATTTGATTATAATAAATTTTCAGACTTGAGTCTGTGAAGTCATCCATATTTTCTTTTGAGTTTATATTCAGTTATAGTATTGTATCTGGTCAAATTAACATAGAAATGAGTTTACAAGATTATAATAGGCTAATTGGTGGTGATCAATTTTCCAATTTTAGATAATTATATTTAAAGAAAAAATAACTACAATGAGTTTGGAAATATATTTGTTATTGATTGACATTTGTAAAATTCATTGTCATTTTTCTTACTGATGATTTATGCAGGTTAATTTTGTTTATCTTTTATGACAAATAGAATATCTATTAGATCTATAACTTAATATTATTTTACTACCCCACTACATTTCTCCCCCAAAAAATATTTTAGTGATTATGAAGTGGGTTTGTTATTGCATTTAATTTCTGTCAAATTTTCCCCTGTGATATATATATAAGAATTAACTTTAACATTCAAATCCTTAGACAATTTTATCTTGTTTTTATACATTTTCATGCTATTTCTTTTTTCTTAGTTTCAAGGTGTGAAATATGTGTTTGAGCTTACTATTTTATTTTGTGTTTTTTGATAGATTTATGGATATTCCACTACTAGTCATGGGCACAATAGTCAAAAGTGACATAAAAAAACAAGAACATTTCGTCAGTTCAAATATTTTTTCTTCTACTTTGTCTCTCCCACAGCACGTGGAATTCTGGGAGATACAATTCAAATTGAGATTTGGGTGGGGACACAGCTAAACCATATCATTCCACCCCTGGTCCCTCCAAATCTCATGTTCTCACATTTCAAAACCAATCATGCCTTCCCAACAGTCCCCCGAAGTTTTAACTAATTTCAGCATTAACCCAAAAGTCCACAGTCCAAAGTCTCATCTGAAACAAGGGAAATCCCTTCCACCTATGAGCCTGTAAAATCAAAAGCAAGCTAATTACTTCCTAGATACAATGCGGGTACAGGTATTGGGGTAAATACAGCCATTCCAAGTGAGAGAAATTGGCCAAAACCAAGGGGTTACAGGGCCCAAGCAAGTCCAAAATCCCGCAGGGCAGTCAAATTTCAAACATCCAAAATTATCTCCTTTGACACCAGGTCTCACATCCAGGTCACGCTGGTTCCCATGGTCTTGGGTAGCTCTGCCACTGTGGCTTTGCAGGGTACAGACTCCCTCCTGGCTGCTTTCATGGCTGGCATTGAGTATCTGTGGCTTTTCCAGGTGCATGGTGCAAGCTGTCAACTGACAGCATTTCCATACATCTTCTGAAATCTAGGTGGAGGTTCCCAAACATCAATTCTTGACTTCTGTGCACACGCAGGCTCAATGCCACATGGAAGCTGCCAGGGCTTGGGGCTTCTACCCTCTGAAGGCACAGCCCAAGCTGTATCTTGGCCCCTTTCAGCCATGGCTGGAGTGACTGGGACGCAGGGCACCAAGTCCCTAGGCTGCACACAACACAGTGACCCTGGACCCAGCCTACCAAACCACTTTTTCTTCCTGGGCCTCCGGGCCTGTGATGGAAGCGGCTGCCATGAAGGTCTCTGGCATGGCCTGGAGACATTTTCCCCATGGTCTTGGAGATTAACATTAGGCTCCTTGCTGCTTATACAAATTCCTGTAGCCGCTTTGAATTTCTCCTCAAAAATGTGCTTTTCTTTTCTACTGCATTGTCAGGCTGAAATTTTTTTTGAACTTTTATGCTCTGTTTCCCTTTTAAAATGGAATGTTTTTTATGGCACCCAAGTCAGCTCTTGAATGCTTTGCTGCTTAGAAATTTTTTCCACCAGATACCCTAAATCATATCTTTCAAGTTCAGAGTTCCACAAATTTCTGGGGCAGGGGCAAAGTGCCACCAGTCTCTTTGCTAAAACATAAAAAGAGTCACCTTTGCTCCAACTCCCAAGAATTTTCTTATCTCCTTCTGAGACCACCTCAGTCTGGATCTTATTGTTCATATCATTATCACCATTTTTGTCCAAGCCATTCAAGAAGTCGCTAGGAGTTTCCAAACTTTCCCACCTTTTCCTGTCTTCTTCTGAACCCTCCAAACTGTTCCAACCTCTGCCTCTTACCCAGTTCCAAAGTCATTTCCACATTTTCTGGTATCTTTTCAGCCATGCACTACTCTACTGGTACCAATTTACTGTATTAGTTCATTTTCACGCTGTTGATGAAGACATACCCGAGACTGGGAAGAAAAAGAGGTTTAGTTGGACTTGCAGTTCCACATGGATGGGAAGGCCTCAGAATCACGGTGGAAGGTGAAAGGCACTTCTTACATGGCAGCGGCAAGAGAAAAATGAGGAGGAAGCAAAAGCATAACCCCCTGATAAACCCATCAGATCTTGTGAGACTTACTCACTATCATGAGAATAGCACAGGAAAGACTGGCCCCCATGATTCAATTACCTCCTGCTGGGTCCCTCCAACAACACATGGGAATTCTGGGAGATGCAATTCAAGTTGAGTTTTGGGTGGGGACACAGCCAAACCATGTCACCTCCCATAGATATTTCACTTACCATATTCATTTTCTCAGTATCCTCTTGTCAAATGCTGAATGCAATATTTCTATAACTTACAAAATATTGAAAAGCAAAGAATGCTTTTTACAACTATTTTTCAATATAATTGATTTTTCTTCTATATTTCTATTCAAAAACACAGTGGTAAAAAAACCTTTTCATTGATTACATTCAGAATATGTAATTGAGGATAAAATGTTCTAGAAAATGCCGTTGAAAATTGTTCTCTATTAGTCTGATTTATATTTCACTTCTGAAATTCTTTCTGAAGAGCACCCACAGATATTTCACAGAGCATAGGAAAACTTATTGTTGATAAAAATTTTAAAACCAAATGAGAAAAGTGAAAAGCTTTGTACCTTATCATCCAGATAGTTATGTGAAAAAAGTGTTTGGATGGAATTACATTAAATAAAGGAAATTCTGCACTTTCCAGAATGACGAAAAAAGCATGAATAATTAGCAATATTGCTCTTTTCACATAGGTTAAGCAAAGTTTAAAAAAGTATTCAAAACAATTTTTAAAAAATTAATTTAATGCAGTAATATGCTAATTGTTTTAGTTTAAGACATCATATCATCTAGCTAGAAATTATTTATTGGCCCTCTCGTTTCGATAAAGCATTCATCTATTGACTGCTATGTGGTCAGCAGAAGCTCTACCTGTCATGTCTTTCTTTATGTGATAGTCAATTTAAGAACTTGTTTCTTTAAGTGCCTTTAGTCAATGTGTGAATTTCTAGTAGTTTGTACAATATCTTTCCAAAAGACCCCCTGAAATCTGAACATGCATTGTAATCACGTTTTTTTCAATGCTTTTTGCTCTTTGCCATACCTAAAGAGCACACAAATAATTGCCAAAGTTCTTAAATAGATTTACTCTCTAGACCAAGATGAAATAAAGTCTTCAATATGTAGAAACAATATTGAACCATAATCAGGTTATAATTTGAATATGTACCCTGAATAAGACGTTTGGCTCCAAATTTCCTCAGAATTATATATATATAGAATAATAATTTATAGAGAAAAGAGAATTACAGATTGTTCTAGCATAAAACTTTGTGGTAAGGGTGGAGATACTGAATGGAAATTTTCACTTTGCTTATTTCTAACATAAATCAATAATGACTTTCGAAAATCCATAATAATTTTACATAGAGATGTAATATACAAAGTGGTATCATGGTCGATTCAAACAGCTGATACTTATTTCCAAAGATTCTTTTCCAATTACTGTGATTTGAAGTTCACAGGCAAAAGTGTGGAAATACATCTGTAAGTAACATTTAAAGGATGAGGATAACAACTTAGTTGCTATCAGGTGACAGATCAGGAAAAAAATCAAAATGTAGCAGTCAATTCATAATTTATATTTGAGTTCAGAATAATACATTAAGAATTGTGGCAGATTTATAGAAAAATAAATAAAATGTTTTTACTTGTAGTCCAGTTAAGTGGAAAAAATCTGCCAAGTCTGGACATAAATTATTTCTATGTTTAGATTACATTAGAATTCATTAGTATGAAGAAGCAAGCTGGGAGAGGGAAGGTCAATTTGGGCCTTTTTGTGATTGTCCAAAAGAGATATAGAGATGATGGTAATTTCAATTAAGATGACAGAAGTGCCACTGATAAAATGTTGTCAGACTATCTGACCTAATTTGCCACAGATTGAGTATGGAGTTCATGTAATTAAAGAAACTAGCTAAGCAAACAGAAGACTGGGGAGCTATTCACTGAAATGCAAAACACTGGAATCTCCTTGTTAATGTATGCAAGGAGAGTATATATACAGGTATATAGTGATTTAAGATTGGCTTTTTAGACAAGCAAAAGAAAGTGTCATTTGTGCAGTTGGATATTCATGTAGAAATCAATACAGTTTGGATCAGGAAGGCATATATTTATGAGCTATAAGTATGACAATAAAGAGAAAATGCCAAGGGACTGTATAGTTAAGATGAAGTGAAGAATGAGTGCTGATTGAGAAGAATGAAGAGTTGAGGATAGAGAACTCTGGTGTACTTCAACCTTCGGAGGTCATGAAGAAGAGCAGAAGCAAGCACAGGAGACAAATGCATAGCCACCAGTGTTACAGAAGGAGAACCAAGCCAAGGAAAAAAGTCGTAAGGAGGACAGAAGATTGGGCTGAATTAATCGCTGCTGAAATCAAGTATGATGAGGATTTGAGAAATGAACATTGATTTGGAAAGTTTAAGGCTATGGGTAGCTTTTGGTAAAACAGAAAATAAGAACTAAGGAAATGAGATACCAAGCTCATTAGAGATTTTTTATTCTAAAAAAATTATTCCCATTCACTTCTTCCTCTTGATAACTACACACATATATTCAATATTCAGTATTCAGTATTCAATATATGTGTGTAATTGCCAGGAGGGAGAGGTGGATGGGAATAAGGAAACATAGAAGGAAAAATTATCCGGCAAGAGGAACAGGGCAAGTGCAGGAGTAGAGCCTCTGGATGTGGTAGAGAGGATGAGACCCAATACACAAGTGGCAGATTTAGCTTTAGATGAGAGCATGGCTTCTTCCTTCATTAAACAGAAAGAAAGGAAAAACAAGACTGGATGCAGGTAGCTGAGTATATTTCATGGCATAAATATGTGTTATTCTCATCAGACTGCTTATATTTTTCTCTATGAAATAAGAAATGAAGCATCAGTTGCAAGTAACAGAGAAGGTTTGGGAAATTTTAGGAGAGAAAAAAACATGAGATAACAGAGAAGAAGAAAAGACTGCTGGTGTAGTGTAGGAATTCTAGCAGTGCTGAGGGAGTATGATACTGCTGTTCACAAATTTAAAGTGACAATAGACTTCCACGGTGGTGTCCTTGTCTCCAAATAGAGTTAGCTGCTTAGATTAATGCACTGAGTAATTGAAGAATTAGTTTTAACCAGGAGTTTTATTTTTCCAGGAAGAAAATCTAATTAAGAAAGGATCCAAAGCCCTATTTTTCATCTCTCATAGATGCAGTATTATTATGTTATGTCCGCTTTATTGTAGAGACTCTAGGATCCACAGAGCTCCTGGTGGGGATCTTCAGCCTCAGCTTATGTATGGACCAAAATGGACTCCCCAGCCAGCTCTACATCCTGGAAATTTTATGACATATTTTTGAGATAACTTCTTAATGCTGGCATTCACTTTACATCTGTGCCTCTTAGTTAAACCATTAGTAATGGACTGTGCTTAGGCTGGCAAGCCAGGACACACCTTTCCTGGGTATTTGGGAAGCATATAGGCCTATTGTTGAATTTCAATGAGTTTTCCATTTCCGGTCAATGAGCGGTCACTGAAGTAGGCATAGGACAATTTATACAAAATTTTTTTATTTATGCCAAAAAAAGGAGATTGACAACTCTTCAAAACATGGTATGGATGGACAGTTACCTTGAAACATATCTAATACTATATCACTTTATTACTAATTCTGTAGGCAAGCCATAAGTAAACATTATTGAGACTAGCCATTGTGCTGTGGTTAAACTTTGGCAAATGAAACTGCTTTGAGTTAAACAAAGTGTATAAAGTTTTGGGCAGCTAAAACATTTTTGACTTAATTTCTAAGTTATGCATATTTTAATTTTGTGTATGCTTTAATCCATCAGGCTTCCAATCATGGAATATAGATTGACTTAGCCAATGTGATATTTGTAGGGTCATTGGTGTTTATATTTTTAATGAATTTTTTCCTGAAAATAAAAGAAAGTGCTATTTTAAAAATTGAGAAACATAGATGAACAATGAATTAATTTAATTGAGCATCAGTATAATTAATTGAAAGAAACAATTTATATATTAACTTTATAAATTGATTAATTTTATAAATGCTCAAAGTGCTACATGCTTGTCAAAAAGATTTTAGGTAGTAATTCATGTAATGTATCTAGAAAGATAAAGTATGTTCGTATGTGTGTCATGGACAGATATGTATGAACAAATATGATTTTTTTTTAGTTAATACATGATAATCATGTATTGGAACCTAATCAGGTGACAGATCTATTCTTAAGGTTCTCTGTAAAGATGGAAATAGAACACAGTCTTAGTTTTCCCAAATTGGTAGAGGTAAGTGGTAAGATAAATCAATTCATGGCCAATGATATATGTTTTTTTTCCATTGCAGGGACTCTCATTCTTTTAGGTTAGATTAGCATTGGTCCCTGATATTCAGGGACATTGAAATCATTCTATGTCAAAACAAACCTATTTGCCTTTTGTAAATGAAACATGTTTCCCACAGTATATATGTACCATATTATATCTAATCATTATTCATGGACATCCAATTTTTTCTCTTGCCAGCTTATTATTACTGAGTATGAGGTGCAAATTAAAAGATGGAGCAGGTATCCATGAGAACCATATATAGCAGCAAATGTGGTAGTTAAGAAAACAACAGCATAGATGTTAGAACTCAAAAGGAATGTGTGGATAATTAATTACACCTTTTGTCATGCACGCTAACCTCCTGCAGCTTTGAAAGATACTGCATATTGTTTTAATAAGTAGGCAGTGCTCCATAAAAAGTCCTCATCGTCAACCTTACTAAGTTTACTCTGAAAACCTAGAGAGATGCTTTTCATTCACCCTGACTTTCAGATAGTAAGTGATAGTATCAGCACCCATGTATGCAGAAGTTTATGCACACATTTAATAATTTAGAAAACCATGTCTGGTGAATAGCAGATTTTGACTACAGTGAATATTATAAGGAGAAAAACTTTTGGAACTTCTCATTTGCATTATATCTGTCTGGTCATTGTGCATGTATCTACTCCCAAAGGCAGAATATTAACCATACAGCTGTAGCCTTGAGGTGGAGTTTTTATGCCCCATGAAAACCCATAATGTCTTTTGCATATCTTCACATTTACATATTTTCAAAATAAAATCGTGTGTGTTAATTCCCTGTATAAGGCCATAGAACTGATTCTTGTTTAACTTTTACTTGAAAAAGGCAGATAGACCCATATCAATTGCACTTTTAGTGAAACATAAAAGAGCATGTAAGTTTGTAGAGAGTGTCTTTTCCATATTCCGAATAATAACTATGGCATTTAGCTGTGATGACAGTCTGTAAAACATTAGAGTGGGATTTGGGGATTTAATTAAATTTATGTCAAAATTACTTTAAAATCCTAGGGAAAAATATGCCTGAGTAACATAGCACATGTTTTGGCCTTTAAAGATTTTAACAAGTGGAAACATTTACACGACACATTGGCACAATCTCTGTAGCTCAAAAATAACTAGTATATCACACAGCAACAGCTTTGTTCATTAATTCCATAGTAAGTATGCATACCAACCTCCGTATAAATTTGTTACTGCTGTGTCTACATCTACTGGAAGCAGCAGGCATGGAAGCAAATTCCATTTAAATATATCTATAAATTTATAAAATAAAGAGTATGTCATGCCCTTTCCATGTAATTCTAATTATTTCAGCAACAGGAACAAAAAATAAATAAATGAAGAAAGAAATACAAATCTTATCTAGACATCTGGACATTATCGTATAAGCAATATTTGCTGTATTTGACTGCAGGTCATCATAAATATTTATAAAATTTTCTTCCAGATACTTGCCTTTGTTATTCATAGGCAAATCCCTCCCTCACTTCAGTTTCCCCCTCACCAAAGAGGAACCATTTCATCCGTCTTTGAGACTTAAAAGCAGTAACCCTGACAGAAGTACATCCTTACAGAGTGGTTTTTTGAAGAGGCTGGGCAGGGATGCCATTTATAGCCAAATCTACTGACTCCTTTTTTTTAAGAAAAATTCAAGACTCAACTGTTAAGCGCATAAAAAGCAGCCATTTTCCAACCTCATTTCCAATCAAATTAGAGCAACTGGAACAATTTTAGCGAGCCTCTAGCTATTTCAAAACCATATCTTTTCACCAAACTACTTGCCCTGAATCTTGTTGTTCTGGTCATTCCAATGGTGCCGTTGTTCCTCCCTCTGGAGACTGGTGAATTTCTTTACTTTAACCGCCGATAACTAGTACTAAAGAAAGAAAGTATGGTTATTATTCCTGATATCAGTGAAGATTTGATTCCAACTGGTTTCTTATAATCTTCCTGGGAGACTTAGGTGTGCTACCTCTGGAGACTGGTGAATTTCTTTACTTTAACCACTGATAACTAGTACTAAAGAAAGTATGGTTATTATTCCTGATATCAGTGAAGATTTGATTCCAACTGGTTTCTTATAATTTTCCTGGGAGACTTAAATGTGTCTTTTCTTCAGGGCACTCAAGTCTCTTTTCCACACTTCTGTGCTAAAATTTATGTCTTTTATAGTCACTTGGCAGTTTAGAAGTTTTGATTCTGAGAACTACCACAGATTGAAACATATTGGACATTAACTTCAGAATTTGTATGTCAAAATCATAGATTAAAACATTGCTGTTTCAAGGTGGGGCCCAGAGAAGCTTCCAGGCTCAGCCACATACTGAATCAGAAGCCCCATACTGGTCAAAAGAAATCGTTCTCACAAATTTGTCCTCTCTTCTGCTTAGTTGCACTTGGAAGGTTCAGTGTCTTCTGTCAAGCAGTCTCAGTGAGGTCCCTACTGGTCTAATTCGCAGTTTCCTTAGCTTTGAACATCAGTGGCAAAGGTTATGCTCTTCATTCTTACCTACTTGTGAGTCCCCAGAGTCTTCACATCAACAGAAAAAAACCAGTATTTTGTTTGTTTCTTGAATTTTTTTTCTAAGCAAATAAATAAATAAATGAGCACATACTCACAAAATCTGGTCATAATCGTTTTCCAAAATAAAAAGTGGCTCGTCATCAGCTTTATAGTGATATTTTTTAATGGGGCCATTCAAGGAACTCTTCCTTGAAAACAGAACATCTACAATGTGGTAATGACATCTCTAGGTAAGCACAGAAGTTCAGTTCCTTCTAACTAAGCACCAACTATAACATATGAAGTGCCTTGCAGATATAGTCTATGGTTAAGCAAAGACAATACTGTCCAACATTGTCTATGAAATTGTATATAAATTAAATCTTTTTTTAATTTTAAAGAAGCTATAATGTGAAAGAACATCTATAAAATAAAATTATTTAACAAAATGAGAATTTTTCCTAATTTAATTTTGTATAAAGTGTGTTTTTATATTTTAGGTTTGTTACAGCATAATATCTTCCAACTGCCCATTTATATGATAGTTGTACAATGATAAATTCATGATATTAGGCTTGTTAAAGCATAATGTCTCCAACTGCCCTTTTATATGATAGGTGGATAATAATAAATTCATGATATTAGGCATGATTTAGGTAATTCATAAATATACATTTAAAAATATACATATACATATACATAGATTTACATGAAACTTAATAGTAATATTATTTTTATTTTCTCAAATATTATAACAAAAGACCAATTACTTTTTTAAAAGCCTGGCATTCATGTTACACTGATATGTCTTCATACTTGATTGGCTGAGGAATCAATGATTTTATTATTAAATAACAAATTAAATAAGAAGGCACATTTATATTGGTGTTAATTCTCAAATCATTACTAATTTTAATATTTTTTTCTTTACTAAGTAAAGATGTTTACATATTTTGGGGGATTATTGTGATTTTTTTTCTGTTTTTGTTTTCTAAAAATATGAATATCTTTTATAATCTGACTTCCTGCTGAATATGTCTTAAAAAATACATAAAGAATTTTCATGGAAATTGTACACTTCCAGTGTGGTTTTCATAAAAATTTGGAATAAATTTCAATAGTATGTATTCTTATTCTGAGAAAAATAAATTTATTGGATAATTTATATATTAGTTCTTAGCACTAATCAATATTGGGTTGCATTTTGAGATAATAGAACATTCCATTTCTAATTACAAACTCCTAAAATAGTAGAATAAGTGAAATTAGGAGCCATTTTAAGTAATGATCCTCTTGAGTCCTTAGCTGTTTCAAGATATAAAATCATCACATTCATGTTTTGCACCTGCAATTTCATGCTAAGCCTTATACTTAAGGGCCAAGTCCTGTGAGCTTAAAAGTAAGTGCTAGAATCCAAGTGATTTTTTTCTCTTTTTTTTTGCTTGTGAGTCTCTGTTATTAAATCTGAGAATTCTAAGAAAAACTGAGAAAAACTATTCTTTAAAGTTTTAGAATTTGAGTCCATAGAAAAAAATAAATAAAATATTTTCCTCCATGTATGGCTATTATAATGCATTTTAGGATATTCAAGGAAATTTTTCTTTTTACTAATTTTTTTTCTCACTAGATAGGCTTGAGTTTTTCTAGTAGTGTAGTTTATGTCACTTTTATAAGTTTAGGTTTCATTTTCTGCTACAGTTATACAATTGAAACAAGGACTGAAGACTTGAAAAATTAGCAGGGGCCTCAGAGGAACAGAGTAAGGATGGCCAAGGACATTCAGTCTTTGCCTTTCAGTTATAATTGATCTAGGCATCTTATGCTTTTAGAGAAAAAAAAAACACTAAATGTACTTTGAAAAATTCATATAATATCCCTCCAAGTGGCTTACTGTCTATAGCTAAATACCAAAAAATGCTCCATGGGCCTCAATTAAAAAACCTATGAATGTCTGATTTGGGGGAAAATCTGATGGAGCTCCCATAGTTGACTTGTCTGGCTTTTGTTAAGAATTCTTTAACAAAGCCTAGGGTTTTAAACATAAAAAATTTATGTTGTGAGACTATAATAGTTTTAAAAAACTTTTTATCAAAATTCCAATATAATTATAATAATGATATTTTATTAAACTATATTTAAATTGGAGCAAAGGTAGAGAAGAAAATCAAGAAGTGGTTTTATGCAATAATAATTGAAGAAATAAATGAAAAAAGTGTTTTTTATTTTCTTTTTATTTTCATGGGAGAGAAGAGTAATAGTTTTTGATAGGGACTAAAGAAAGAAGATTTTTAAAGTATTTCTTGGTGCCAGAAGGAAATGAAAATTATATTTGAATAGAACACTCAGGGACAGTCACATCGATAGTGTCTTTTAAAATGTGCTAAAAGAGTTGGCACATAACATAAGGAGACTGATTTATAAAGGACTTAATAACCCTAGCTGAAAAAAATGAATGGATGACATGAAAAAAAATGTTAAAGCTTAGATTTTGACATCCTGTAAGGATAGCACCTATTAAAGGGATAACATTTCAAAAGTCTTGAAAAGATGTTTAATATAGTCTACATTCAACTCCGTTTCTAGTATGAGTAGCCTTACTGTGCTGATTAATTAGACCTTACCATTCAAACATCTAAAAGCAGTTATGAAAATCTTAATATTGGTGGGTAAGTTAACAACATAAGATAGCAGATATGAGGGTAGGCAAGAATTAAGTATACCCACAGAAGTTTTTATTTTGGAAATTATTATTATTGTTATTATTTTGAGATGGAGTCTTGCTCTGTCGCCCAGGCTGGAGTGCAGTGGCGCGATCTCGGCTCACTGCAAGCTCCGCCTCCCGGGTTCACGCCATTCTCCTGCCTCAGCTTCCCGAGTAGCTGGGATTACAGGCGCCCACCATCACGCCTGGCTAATTTTTTTTGTATTTTTAGTAGAGACAGGGTTTTGCCGTGTTAGCCAGGATGGTCTCGATCTCCTGACCTCATGATCCTCCCGCCTCGGCCTCCCAAAGTGCTGGGATTACAGGCGTGAGCCACCGTGCCCGGTGGAAATTATTTTTAAAAAGAAAAATATTATGTTTTAATCCATTCATTCTCACTTTAAAAAGACACACATTCAATGAAGAATTTGTAAAAAGTAGAATCACTGATTTATTCAAGGTTAGCCCTATTTCTTTTATTATTAAATGTGTGCATATGCCCTTTCCTGATAATTTAAAACATTATGTATTTTACAAAACTAAACACCTCTCCTTACTACTATAGCAGAAAAAGAAAGATACTTTGGATAAGGCTTATTACTACTTAAAATCATGTCAGTGGGATTCTCTATTTTCAACTCAGTGAATTAATATAAATAAATGCTTAGTTGATAGATTAGGTATAATATAAATTTACATATTAACCTGATTTTACAAACTGCCTTTTGGGTAGGTACAGTCTTCATTAAAGTAATTCAAAACTAGGCAAAGTATCATTATAGATAATTTATAATATAAAGTTGGTAAGTATTTTAAGGAACCAGGAACAATGAAATATCAGAATACATGTAACAAATAATATCTAGGTGAAGAAACTAAAGAAATGGAAGAAAACTAAAATGTTCCACATGTATACTAATCTTTATTTGGCTTTAATTTTTATAAACCCATTCTTTTTGTATTATTTATTTATTTTATGGAGATGGAGACTCACTCTGTCACCCAGGCTGGAGTGCCAGGGCGCGATCTTGGCTCACTGCAACCTCTGCCTCCCGGGTTCAAGCAGTTCTCCTACCTCGGCCTCCCGAGTAGCTGGGACTACAGGCGCACCCCACCACGCCCGGCTAATTTTTTGTATTTTAGTAGAGACAGGGTTTCACCATGTTGCCAAGACTGCTCTGGAACTCCTGAGCTCAGGCAATCCGCCCCACCTCGGCTTCCCAAAGTGCTAGGATTACAGGTGTGAGCCACCATGCCCGGCCTAAACCCAGTCTTACCCTTGTTTTTTTCTAACCACACAAACATTTGACAAGGATTTGAATACCATTTATAAAAGACATACGCGATTATCTAACTCTCCTTCTCAAAACACCAAAAGTAAATTTTAATACCCAAAACGAAATTCATTTTGTTAATCACAGCTTAGAAGGTTTCATATGATCTGGCCAAATCTGTATCTTGCATCACTCTTATCACTCCCCCTCTCTGCTCACTGTATCTGCATGATAGGAATCAGCTCATCTTCCTATACATCAGTACTAAAACAACCTCACTCCTACCTGAGGCCCTGTGTGCTGTCTGTAGATGGTCCATCTTCTCACTTCACTCAGGACTCAAATGTCTCCTCTTCACAGGCTACGCTACTTAAAATATTTTTCTATATGTTCTTTCAAAATTCTTATCAAAAATGTTACTAGTAATTTAGGTGTTCTGTTTTTTTTTTTTTGGTCTAGATTTCCCATTAAAATGTAAATTCAGAAAGGGCAAGGACATTGTTGTTATAGCTCAGCATCTGGAATTGCGGTGGCAGCTCAGTAAATATGTGATGTATGAGTGAATAAACAAAAGTTGAAAAGTCTATTAAAATATCTTAAAATTTGACAATAAAAGTGGTTTAGAAAAACAGCCACAGATTACAAATAAATGACCGAGTTTACTAGAGTTAAATAGCATCTCCAGGTGGATAGTGTAAATAAAAAATAATAAGAAAAAAGTTAAACAGTACTGATATTTACAAATACATTATTAAACATGTTTAACTATTGTAATAATCTTGGTAATAAGCGTAATAATCCTGTAATAAGAGTTGGTAAGTGTTTTCTAACCAAGTATGACCAAACAAGTACCACCCTTCTACTATTCTGATGTGTTTTAATCTTCTCATGTTTTGAGGTATATTCAGGCACCTTGGCAACCTTGGCAATGACTTTAGGTCTGCCATTCTTTTTTTTTTCTTTTCTTTCTTTCTTTCTTTCTTTTTTTTTTTTTTTTTTTTGAGATGGAGTCTCGCTCTGTCACCCAGGCTGGAGTGCAGTGGCTCAATCTGGACTTACTGCAACCTCCGCCTCCCGGGTTCAAGCGATTCTCCTGCCTCAGTCTCCTGAGTAGCTGGGATTACAGGTGCCTGCCACCATGCCTGGCTAATTTTTGTGTTTTTAGTAGAGGCAGTGTTTCACCATGTTGATCAGGCTGGTCTCGAACTCTTGATCTCAGGTGATCCACCCACCCCTGCCTCCCATGTCTGCCATTCTTATTAACAAGTTTCTGTTCTTGCTGAGAACCCGAGTTACTAACCACTTCCTTAGTTGTTCCCGTTGCTCTTTATGCTTCATTCACTGTATTAGTTTTTCTGCTCCAGTGGTGTCTTTTGTCTCCAGCATTACATGCTTGTTCAGCTACTGTGTAAAACTAAGGTTTTCCTTTCTTTTCTTTTCTTTTTGAGACAGAGCCTCGCTCTGTCACGCAGGCTGGAGTGCAATGGCACGATCTTGGGCTCACTGCAACTGCTGCCTCCCAGGTTCAAGTCATTCTTCTGCCTCAGACTTCTGTGTAGCTGGGACTACAGGTGTGTGCCACCACACCTGGCTAATTTTTGTATTTTTAGTAGAGACAGTTTTCTCCATGTTGCCTAGGCTGTTCTCGAACCCCTGACCTCAGGTGATCCATCCGCCTTGACCACCAATTTTGCTGGTATTACAGGAGTGAGCCACCACGCTCAGCCAAAGCTAAGATTTTCTAAGTTCACTCTACACCCTCAGTTTTCCAGTAATGGGCTCAGAACTTCAGAGATACTGCTGGTTACATGTTCACTAAATACAATCTGTTAGGTGTAGTTTTCTTTGGTGTTTTCTTCACAAATATCTGGCTGTACTAGAAGGAGTTCACTTTGTCTTTGGTTTACTTACTTGTCAACATATATTGTCTGTCTTTCTCTGTCTCCCCCTTCCCCAAAATGGCATTTCAGGGGATCAGGGCCATTATTTGATTTTTCATCACTATATTTTCAAATCCTAGAATAATATCTGACACATAGTAGATATGCAGTAAATAAGCACTAGCTCAATATACTGTTGAATAAATAGGAATAGAGCAGCTCCCTGGCAGTTCACTAAGATTGGCAGAAGAACTGTAGGCCTTTTGATGACACTTGTGTGTAAATGTATTAGTCAGCAGACTGAGATCCTAGGTGACATGAAGTCCAATAGATTGAATTAAACAAAAAGTAGAATAGTTACTGGCACCTATAATTAAAATGACAAGGGTAGAGTACAGCTGGGCACTAGGGCCTATATAATATCCTATGAATGTGTCCTCTATCCACATTTCTCCTTCTTTCCTTCTTTTCTTCTCTGCATCAGCTCTACCATCGGGATGATATTTTTCTCATGTAACCACAGCACCCTGTGGCTTACTTTTTCCCATGTCTCTGTCTAGTGGAAAAACTTCTTTTTCAAACAAATTCTGATTAGAATCCCATGGTTGATACAGCTGGGTAGCATGTCCATTCCTATTCCTTTGCCTATTGACCCCACGGCCCCATCCCAGATCTCCTTCAAATATTGATGATGGAGTTACTCTATTCAAGAGGATATGGTATGAGGGAGAAGCATCTTCCCGAAAGAAAACTGTAGTGCCCTTACCTATAGGAAGGAGATGGAGACAGAGGAGTGATGAGCATCTCACTAAAGAATACATCCAGATGCCAGGCTGGGCGCGGTGGCTCAGGCTTGTAATCCCAGGACTTTGGGATGCTGAGGCGGGCGGATCATTAGGTCAGGAGATCCAGACCATCCTGGCTAACACGGTGAAACCCCGTCTCTACTAAAAATACAAAAAATTAGCCGGGCATGGTGGCGGGCGCCTGTAGTCCCATCTACTAGGGAGACTGAGGCAGGAGAATGGCATGAACCCGGGAGGCGGAGCTTGCAGTGAGCCGAGATCATGCCACTGCACTCCAGCCTGGGCGACAGAGTGAGACTCCGTCTCAAAAAAAAAAAAAAAAAGAATATAATACAGATGCCAAATATATTTATGAAAGAGACTGAAAATTTTTCATTAGGAAATTGCAAATATATAAATGACAATTAGATACCAAAACATACCTAGTAGAAAGGCTAAAATAATAATAATAAATGGACAATACTAAATGCTGGTGAGGACACAACAGTTTGGCACTTTCCTATGAAGCTAAGCGTAATCTTACCATATCATTTTTCCTTCCAGTTTTCACACAACTGAGTTGAAAATTTATGTGCACAAAGAAAAAAACCTGCACTCAAGTGTTTATAGCAGTTTTATTCAAAATTATCCTAAATTGAATGCGATGAAGATTTTTTCCATAGGTGAATGGGTAAACAGTGATATATTCTTACTATAAATACATACATGTATGATATGAATGTTAAAATAAAATATAAATATACTGTGTGATAAATTAGTATTTTAAAATATATTTATATATACACATCAATATACCTATGGTATATTGAATATATTTAACCTTATGTTTATAATATTAATATATTCATAAAATAAAATATATATATATAAATATAAGTAAATACAATAAAAAATGAGCTGTCAATTCACAAATAGACAAATGGAGAGACCTTACATTCATATTGCTAAGTGAAATAAGCCATTGTGAAAAGGCTATAGACTGATTCCAATTATATGACATTTTAGAAAAGGCAAAAGTATTGAGACAGTAAGGAGATCACTGGGTCTCAAGGTTTTAGGTAAGGGGATGAATGAATAGCTGAAACACAGAGTAGTGTTAGGGACCTGAAACTATTCTGTATGATACTGTGATGATGTATATATCACATTATACATTTACAAAAATCCACAGAACCAAATGTACAACACAAAGAATGGACCTTAACATAAACTACAGACTTTAGTTACTAATGTGCCATTATCAGCTCATTACTTGTAACAAATTTGCCACATTAATTCAAGATGTTAATAATAGGGGAAACTGGGATTTTGTGTGTAAATGAAACTCTCTGAATTATCTGCATATATATATTTTTTTTCTTTTTTTTTTTTTTTTTTTGAGACGGAGTTTCGCTCTTGCTGCCCACGCTAGAGTGCAATGGCACGATCTTGGCTCACCGTGACCTCCGCCTCCCAGGTTCAAGCAATTCTCCTGCCTCAGTCTCCTGAGTGATCTGCTCATATTTTTCTATAAACATATTCTAGGAATTAAATTTTATCAAGCAAAAACTCCCCTTTTGTGAAATATAACAAGTTGTAGGTATCATATCACAGAGAACTCAGGAATTTTAGTGACCTAAGAGAAAGGTATAAAAATAGTGATGAATTACTTTCAAAAATATACATACCATTAGAATATATAAATCTCTTAGTATTCCTCCAATTACCTATTATAAATATGTAAATTAAATTGAATAAAATACATAATTTATTTTCTCAATAATATTTTTTATTTCATGAACAGTATGATCTAGTTTAATTTTGAATATTAGGCTTCTTCTTTTTAAAGATATCTAATATTATTATATATTTTTTATTTTGTGTGGCGGGTACCTATAACCTCAACTACTTGGGAGGCTGAGACAGGAGAATCACTTGATTCTCCGCCCAGGAGGCGGAGGTTGCAGTGAGCCGAGATTGTGCCACTGCATTCCAGCCTAGGTGACAGAGCAAGACTTCATCTCATAAAACAAACAAACAAACAAAAGATTTGTTTATTATATATGCCAATGGTATCTTTAGTCACCTAAGGAAAGAAAACTCTGCACTTTACACTAAGATAGATTTATTTATCTATGCTTTCAAAAGGGAATTAAAAATGTAGGATATAAGTGTACAAAATGAAATGATGTATTTTCCATAAGGTCTTAAGGGAATAGAAACACCATCTTTTGAATTTGTAAAATAATTTTTTCCTATGTAATTATGTAAATGTCCGATTACCTTATTAGAAAAATATAATAGTTCTTCACAGGTTTAAGATATTACAGATTTCTTATGTTATCAGCTTCCACACCTGTAGCACTTTTAGATGTATACTGCATTTTATATATTATAATCATTGTTATTTATGGAGGAATAGTATATAAAAACAAAACTGAAGACATGAACTTTCCTCAGTTCCATTAAGCTACTTTAATACTATCTAATGTAGGGGTGTGTGTGTATGTGGAAGGGGGGCATCTTTCTAGCATTAAAGTTAAAATTTTCATCTAAAGTATTAATACATTGATGTAGGTAAATTAAGGAAAGTATGACCTGATAAGCAAGGATAGCATGATAATTTCTGGAAATAAGACTATTAGTTCAAAGCATAAGAAATTGCTAACATTTAGCCATATTCATGTGTAGCACAACTATTTCATGTGTTTCATTTAACATGCAATCTATCATTTTTAACATTAATTAAATAATGAAATATTTCAGATAGCAAAACAATGAAGATACAATAAAGGTTTATGTAGTTATTGGCAGTCGTTTTGAGAGTTTAGAAACATTATGGAATTCAGGAATAATGACAATATATCAAAAGTATGAAGGCTAAACAGATATTTGATAGATTAACTACCTAGACATATACTGATTCCATATAGCAAACATCTGCTTCCATGATCACATTGGTGGAAGAGGAAACTTACTCTTTTGTCCTGTGACTTTGGTAAAGCCCAATATCATCAGATTTCTAATTGAAAATAATATAGAAGTAAAGCAGTAGATATGCCCCCCTATATTTTTGTCTGTGGTGAAACAGAAAGTGTAAGCTCTGGAATCCTGAATACTGATTTTGAATCCCACCACTGCCACCTAGAAACCAGTGGTCTTCTAATCACTCACTAACACATGCAAAAATACGTTGTGATATGCAAAAAACAATCCTAATGGTTTTTTGTGAGGATGAGATGCCACATGTATAAATGTTTTTTATCACAGTGGTTGGCAGAATTAAGTACACTCTGAAATAAATTATAATCATTGACATTATTATTTTATTTTCCACTGCTTGCCATGCTATTTCTGCCATGACATATCATTCATAGCATCAAAACTACAACTGCTGTGGATAGAATCATAGCAGATGATTCCAAAAATTCTGAACCTAACTCCAAAAAATCTGAGTATAAAGTCAGCTTCATTTTCCTCCTATTGAAATAGTTCTGGGCTTCAAATCAGAACACTGGCCTCAATATCTGTTCCTGTTATTTACTAACAGCGAGGCAAGTCTTGCAATGTAATTGAGCACATCAGTTAAATGTGAATCCTAAATATGATTTCAAAAGTGGTTTTGATTTAAAAAAAGGACATTTGCATTTTTAAATTAATGTTTTCTGTAAGGTAGAAAGAACTGTAAACATACATTATTTTTTCTTTATACAGTAGAAAGAGCATTTCTCATATTATTTGGAAATATAATAATTAAAAGCAGTGTAGTTAAGTGGCTAAAACAAGGGGCACGAGAGTAAGTTTAAATCTGGTTATTGTGTTCCTGCTACTTATTAGCTGTGAGACTTTGGGCAAGTTATCCAAACATTCAGTTCTGAATTTTCTTATCTAGCAAATGGATAACAATAATAGCTACCTCACAAGGCTGTTGTGTTGATTGAATGTTCTAAAGAATGTAACTCCCAAAGCACAGTACCTGAGACATAATAAGTAGCATGTGTATGATAGCTATTATAATGATTGATTTTTCAAAGCATTGATTTGCTTTTGACAAGTATGATATAGCTGAGAGAGCTTTACTAAGTAATGTGCACATTCTTGAAGAAAATAATTTCCTGTCTTATAGAAGCTTCATGTACAATAAGGGATCTGGTATAAATATGCATCAAACATAACGTGTGTATATGTCTCCATAAAAACATTTTGACTGGGCCGGGCATGACGGCTCATGCCTGTAATCCCAGCACTTTGGGAGGCCAAGGCTGGTGATTCACTTGAGGTCAGCCTGGTCGACATGGAGAACCCTCATCGCTACTAAAAATACAAAAATTTCCCAGGCATGGCAGCACATGCCTGTAATCCCAGCTACAGGAGAGGCTGAAGCAGAATCGCTTGAACCTGGGAGGTGGAAGTTGCAGTGAGCCAAGATTGAGCCACTGTATTCCAGCCTGGGCAACAAGAGTGAGACTCTATCTCAAAAGAAAAAAGAAAAAAGATATATATAGAGAAAGAAACATCTGTATATTTTTTGACAGGTCAACCCATAGAAATGACCAACAGAGGATTTTGTTTGTTTTGCTCTTAGCTTTTCAAATACAAAACAGAGATGGACATTGGTGGTGATTCTGTAGGTCATGTGAGCATGAACTAAAATTACATAGTATTGAATTTACAAATTTTGTCCTTGATTTTTTTCATGCCAGGACTAATACCATTATCACGTAATAGAAAGGAAATGAAACTCTGGAGTCAAAGAGGCCTGATATTAACCTGTGCTCCACCTCTTACTGTATGACCTCATCCAAACACTCATCTAAGACTTATATTTCCTCATCTATGGACATAATGTTAAATTAGATAAATTGATAATACTCATTACATTTAAAATTCTAAAATGAGAACTGTATACCAGCCCCCAACTTTGATCATTTTATAAAACAACCTATATAAATTGGATAAAAACCATACCTATGTTTCTACAATGGGCAAAATTCCAGGTCTTCAGGCATTCCTTCGGAAATCCTTACAATAAAGTTTGCAGGAGTAAAAATTTGGTTTTGGCTGCCAGTCTGAAATGCAATGAAAATATTTAGGCACCAGGATATTGAATCTTTAGGGAAAGAAAAGAAAAAGTCAGTTAATAAAAACTGCTGATGTCAATTTAGAGAACTGAAAATTCTTAAGGGTGATTTTTAAGGGATTACTGCTGATACTGCAAATCAGTCAGCAATGTGCTATGCTCATTTGTTCTGTTTTAATAGACCTTATATAGCTATTTAGGAATTGCCCTGTTAACAGAGACTGCAATAAATATCCAATGTTCAAAAACCATTTTGAATTACCTGATGAGAAAACAAAAGAGTATGTCTGCTCATTTTTCCTAGGCAAATGACATTTAGTGACTTTTTTCTATTGTTCTGTTTGATTGGAAATAGTATGAAGCATTCTGATAATGCCAGTGGTTTAGCTGTTAAGGATAATGTGATGGCTTTAGTTTATATTGATGAGAACATTAGAAAAATGAAGCAAAACCACAATCAAAAAATTATGGTAAGATGACAAGTTTAAAATATTAGAATGGAATATAGAACTTGAAAACAATCTTTCTAGTGTTAAAAGCTAATTATGACTTTGAAGTTCCATTATCTGTCTTAAATTTAAAACAACTGCTAAATGGATCATTTCTTTGTTATTTAGCCATTTGAGCTTCTCTTTGATAAAGGTCCTTGCCATCCAAATGGAACATAAAGTTTTTATTGGTCCCTAATGATGCCAACTACAGCTGTACAATCATCATTTTAGAGTCCAAGCTCTGTCTGCTCTTAGATCTGTTGTCACTTGATCACAAAAGCAGAAGTATCTTTAAGTATATTTGCTTAACCAGATGGTAAATGGCTGCACAGGAAATGCATCCATCTTTTTTACTGTATGACTAAGTGTTAAAACAGAAATTTTAGCTCTGGTGGGAAAACACTCACTTGTATCTTTCTAAAAGTAGCATTTTTCCTTTATTGCAAGAAAAAGATATGAACATACAAACTAAGAAAATACAACATTATGGCAAATATTTTTGAAATGTGCATGTAACTATTTGAATAATAGTTGTAATTAAAAGTTAAGGAAAGCATTGACTAACGTGTAAAATATTCAATTTCTGACATTTCTTTCAAAATAGAACCTGAAGAACATTCACTTGCTATATTTTTAAACTACTAATTAAAATAATGATATTCAGAGGCATTTTAATTTCCTGTATATAAAATTAATGATATTTTACATTTGGAAAAGTTAATAAATCAGATTAAACTGTGATGTGGAAATTACTGAATTTTTATGGAATACTTTGAGTTAGTTTGGGAGTTGATTCTTCAAGTTTGAAAACCTGTGAAGAATATTTACAGAGATACAGTCAACATTTATTTGAACCTATAGACTTCTACAAGGTTTACACATTTAGAGAAAGTTGGGATCAAAATGTCTTTTGCAAAGAACTTTGATGGTGTTCCTATAGTAGTGAGTGTGAACTGAGAAGAATTATAAAATATAAAATTAACTAACTTTTTCTCTGTTTTATTGAAACTACAACTAATAGAAATATAGTGTATTTGGTAAAAATGACTTCATCTTAGATTATTTTAATCCCTAAAACAATTTAACCTTAAATAACAAAATGAGCATTTAGATTATATGGGACTGTCACTAAGAAGGGAAGCCAATGAAAGCAGGCCTAAGTTGAAAAGTTAGTAGAAAAAAGCAAGTTATTTATTGTCGTATGGAGGTTGAAGCTGATAGTTGTTCAAAGAATGATATTATTGAAATGAGATCACAATGATTTATTTCAGAGAATACTGGATTATAAGATGTTTGAAATAAGTACATCAGGAAAACATAATTCTAGATGCATGCATAAACATGAATAGCTAATATTAATTGGAAATAAAACTCCCCATATATACGAAAGTAAAAAAAAAATTGAAGCAAAACTGTCAAAGCTAGTCATTCATATGGACTTCCATGATGGCAAAAACTTATTTTGAAGAGAAAGACTAATATAAGCCTCAATAGTTGTGAAGAAAATGAGTAGGATGTCCACAGAACAATAGAAGAGTCACATCTCTGTTTTCTTCTTGATGAGCATTATAAGATCTATAATAGTCCAGGGCATCTCATTTGCTTTTCTCTAACATTACCTAAAGTTTTGCTTTAAAATTTGGACATAATGAGATTCCAAGCTGGATAAATTATGTGACATGAGTGTACTATGCAATCTTAATCCACTGCTAATTCAATCATAGTTATAACTGGCATAAAGATGAAATATTTATTTCAAAATTTTCCTCAATAATATTACATTTGTCACTTACTGATTCCTAACTTTACATTAGTAAATGTGATTTAGCCAGAAATTCAAAACATTGTAATAGACTAGGTATTAATATCTTATGAGACGTGATTTTATTTAAATTAGATAACATCAGCTAGTAACTAGTGAAATATATATTTGAAACCAGATGGGTAAACTGTCTTTGTTTATTCTACCAGACTATGTTTTTTACCAACTAAGTTGTCTTTCTGATTGTCCAAATATTCCTGCAAATAGAGTAACATTTGTCTTAAAGGAGAACAAAGGACAGAGCTTTCTTTTGATCCTATTGTGGGTATGAAAAAGAACAATAGCAAAAGTAAGGAAATAAAATTCTGAAATAAGGAGCAAATTTCCTCAGAAATGACATGAAGAAACAGTGAATGAGTTAAAACAGGAGATTTTTAACAAAATGTGACAAATAAGGATCAAAATAGGAAAACATAAGAAAAAAAATACTTCAGAAGCAGCAAGATACATAGTTGACAACTGGAAATACAAATAATAATGTGACAATAGTTAATGATATAAAAAGTCAAATTGATTAAAAGAATTCGAGAACTATAGAATTTTTGACTGACAAGAACATAGGGTTCTAGGGAAAAGAAATCAGGCAGAACCAGCTAATTTTTTTTTATGAACTCAGTAATATCAGTGCCTTTATTTAAAACTAGTTGCCTTTGAGTTAGAGACAGTATATAATTTTAACGTTCAATCAAAAGAGGCACATGGGGAGAAAGAGATAAATGGACACAGAAGGTGAATAGTAACACTTTTTTATAACTGATTTTCTTATGGTTTTCATTAACTGAATTTTATGAATATTTTTACTGATTCCAAAGTATTTCCACATATTTTTCCTCATTTTACACAAAATAACACTAGAGATAAGAGAATAGACCCTGTTTTTTTTTTTTTTTTTTTTAGACAGAGTCTTGCTCTGCTGCCCAGGCTGGAGTGCAATGGTGCAATCTCGGCTCACTGTAACCTCCACCACCCGGGTTCAAGCGATTCTCCTGCCTCAGCCTCCTGAGTAGCTGGGGTTATAGGCACACACCACCACGACTGGCTAATTTTTGTATTTTTAGTAGAGACGGGGTTTCACCATGTTGGCCAGGCTGGTCTCAAACTCCTGACCTCGTGATCTGCCCACCTTGGCTTCCCAAAGTGTTGGGATTACAGGTGTGAGCCACCGTGCTCGAGAACAGATACATTATTTTTAAGTTGTTTTGTTTTACACTATAATTAATAGAGGAAAAAGGGACTTGCACTATCGTCCATCCAAATTTGAATTTGTGCTAATTTAACATGGATAATTTGACATCATCCTGCATCTAAAATTCAATGTACCATCAACCCAACGTTTAATCATGTGTACCCATTAGGTGCCAACCAAGCAAATTATGGCATATGAACTTCCTTTCTTTTATCCCTATTGCAGTTTATTGAAACTGATTTTAAAGATGCTATATAGACTGACTCATTTACATTCACTGACACAGATAGAAAAGAGGAATAAAAATAAAGATGTACTAATTTTGTAAATCTTACATGATTCAGAACCATATCAGACAGATGGAATCTCCTCCCAATGTCTTCATTATTGGCACTGATTTTTCTAATCTTCTAATGTTTTTCAAAATTATGATACCATATTACAAAATATTATAACATTAGTTAAAATGGAAATAACTCAACTTTTGTATTCCTGTAAATAAACCATACGGTTTTAGGAGAAAAGCAGTATAAAACATAGAATGTTTATTAGAGAAAAATTTTTGTAAATAGGTGGATAAAGATGGCCTGTATTCTTTGGCCATTTAATTCACAAGTTTCTATCATGTTTCAATTAGCTGGATTACAGTCATGCACATCAGAAACTGGAGAGGAGGCAGTTTATTTACATTCAAGTAAATTTACTTACATTTCCAATAAAGTTATAATAATTCGTGTTATTTATTTATTTATTCGACAGAGTTTCATCTTGTCGCTCAGGCTGGAGTGCAATGGCACGATCTTGGCTCACTGCAACCTCCGCATCCTGGGTTCAAGTGATTCTCCTGCCTCAGCCTCCTGAGTAGCTAGGATTACAGGCATGCACTGCCACACCTAGCAAATTTTTGTGTTTTTAGTAGAGATGGGATTTCACCATGTTGGCCAGGCTGGTCTCGAACTCCTGACCTCAGGTGATTTGCCCAACCACGGCCTCCAGAAGTTCTGGGATTACAGGTGTGAGCCACCACACCTGGCCTATTTTATGCATTTACAAGCTGTTCAAGGATAAACATGGATTACCATTACCCTGCACTTCTCGCCAATCAAACCATATCCAAGTATTCCATAGTATTATAATAAAATAGGATCTTCTATCATTAAACAAAACTAAATATTGTTTAAAGCAGAATTTTCAGGCTTTCTCTATTTTGTGGATGATCGTAAATTGCTACTCAAAGCTTGGTTGACTCTAGGATATTTAGACTGCTATTCTAATTGTGGAAGAAAAAAGGATACATTTTAAAAATAATTCATTTTTCTCAGTTATACACGCAAAGTAACTTATATATTTTGTATGTATGTCAATAAATGAATTCTTAATTCCTAACACACCTAATATCAGAAATCCAAGTAATAATTTACAACACAAGAATGTCCATCCTCCTGCCATGTTTTGTGAAATGCTTAAAAAATAAAAATATATGTTGTATAGATAGATGACTCACGAAGAAATCCTGAGTTAATTCTTTAATAAAGAAAATATGAATCAGAGTTTTAAAATTAATATTTATTTTAAATTTAATAATTGAAATTAATCATCACTGTCATGATATTTTGGGTATTATTATTTGGTTAAAGTAATTAAATGAGGAAGAGACAGAATCAAATCATGACTTCCTAAAGTATAAAAGTTGATTACTGAAATCTAATATATATTAAATATAATTTCAAGTTCTTATCACCCATTACCACTAGAATATTCATTATGTTTGAATAAAGACAGCATTTGCATTAATGAAAATGTCAGTGAAATTTCTGATAAAACCCTCTCCTGAAAATACCAAGGGTACAATTGCAAAATAATATATGTATAATACCAATGCAAGTTTATTAGTCAAGTATGCTACTTGCTGTAACAAACAATTCCTAACTCAGTCGTGATGTAACACATCTAAAATGCTATTTCTTGCAGTCCAGCATGTGTTTTCCAGGTTTGGGTGGGCTCTATGTTGTAGTCAGAAACCCAGGCTTCCTTGGTCTTGGGCCTCTACTTTATATCAAGAACTATGGGTCTTCTCCATTCACCAAGTGAATGGGCAAGGGAAATGAAGATCACTCCTACAAGGCTTTTATGAACCAAGCTGGAAGTGGCACACATTACTCTATCAATTTTCACCAGCCAAAACTCAGTCACATGGCTACACCTAACTTCAAGGGAGGCTGGGAAATGCAGTCTAGTTTTGTGCACAGGAGGAAAAGAAATGGGTTTGGGAAATGTATTAGTCTCTTTTCACACTGCTATAAAAACATACCCAAGAGTTTTATAAAGGGAAGAGGCCTTTATAAAACCATCAGATCTCATGAGAACTCACTCACTAACATGAGAACAGCACTGACAACTTCCAGTTGGACTTTGGTGAAATCAATGCATTAATGGGAGAAAAAAGGATAAAGAGAAAATAAACTTGAATGATATTGCACATGGGGACTAGATGAATCCTGATTTGCTTGGCAAGG
The DNA here is from genome assembly GCF_000001405.40 of Homo sapiens. NCBI lineage: Eukaryota > Metazoa > Chordata > Mammalia > Primates > Hominidae > Homo > Homo sapiens. The sequence goes on along the minus strand of NC_000004.12, from coordinate 161,887,879 downwards.
TGTTATTCTTTTTAGACTTCAGTGTCCTTACTTGTAAAATGAATGAATTATATTAGGTTTGAGCATTTTCCTATGGAAGATTAACTGTAGTTCCTTAGACTTAAGAAGACTAGTCTTAAGGAGAAAATGAATTAAATTGTAAGACTGGCAGTTGAATAAGAGAAAATATTTGATCAACAAAAGGTATTGCTTATCTATGAATTATACTTACATATTTTAGGTAGAAAAATCACGGGACTAAATCCTAAAAAATATGAAGAGAGATGAATTTAAGAAAAATTAAAAGATGCTAAAGGTACCATTAAGGATATTGTAGCAAAAGATAAAATGTCTGAGAAACATTGAAAATTTAGAAAGTATAGAGACTCAGTGGTATAAATATGAGAGATGATAGAAGTAGATAGAAAAACAGACAGATAGACTGATAGATTATAGATGATAGGTAGATAGATGATAGATAGATAGATAGATAGATAGATAGATAGATGATAGATAGAGATAATACAAAACAGAGATTCAGAAACAATAGAGAATTATTTTGCTTTCTAAGTGTTCCTAGAGATATGACTGAATTATGATGAAACAAACTTAACAGTAGTGGATATAGCAACACTTTTTTGTCATTGTGTCTGCTATTGTTATTTTTTGTTCTTTTCTGAGCAGAGGTCTCAATGTTTAATTTAATTTATTTGTGCTTAAATAACTGGCTGATACCCTTGAAAACATGTAACATTAATTTAGTTTAAAATACTATTGGTCTTCCCTTCTAATGCTGTTATGTGATTTGAGATTTGAGAATTTGTTACACAGACATTCTTCAGAACCATTAAATATTGCATTTCTTGTGAACTACCAAAGCAATAAAATGTTAACAGTCATAAATGTAGCTATTTTAAAGCTTAAGTTGACCAAGCTTGAAAAATATGTTTAAACAGTAAAGTTTATAATCAAGGTTTACAATCATTTTGTAGAATATCGCTTATGTCAGAATTGTGTTGACATTGCAGGGATTCCTGAATTGCTATAGAAATATTTGTGATGTATTTCAATATCATATTTAGCATGTGCATTTTCTAAAATGAGGAGTGTGCTATATGTTTTTCTGTATTAGGAATACAACACTAGAATATATTACAAACCTGGTGGACCTTTCAGAGTATACTAAGCTTTCTGATAAATGAATTATTAATGTTGACTTTCTAATACAGATAAAGGTAATGATGATATGGAAATGAAATCCGTTGCTGTTGTCTACTCTGTAGTCTATTCAACACTTTGAAAGTACTGACTCCTTTTGTATCCAAATATGATTGAAGAAATATGGCAGATGTTTATCTAATGCCTTTTATTTATTGAAATCAAGTACATTTCTTCTAATGTAGAGCTCTTTCCATCGACTCCTCATGAATATGAATTCGTGTGGAGAGTGCTGGTCATCTAGCTTCTGAAAATTACAGTAGTTCACTGAAGAAGACTCTAGTTTATATCACCTTTTAGAGAATGATGTTATGTAACAGTTTATTCTAAACTCCACACACACTGCAATTTGCTTTCTGTCTACTAGCAGCTTTTCCTATGCAACTGCTACTCATGTCACTTGAAATGTCCACACTTTGAGAAGGGCTTCACTGACCTCCCAGGTTTGAGTTAACTGATTTTTCTATGAATTGTAATGACACAGGAAGCTGCTCCCTAGGACAATTTCAAATTGTGTTGTATTTGTTTTTCTCTCTCCCAAATCAGATAGTAATCTCTGTGTAGGGAGGAATTCAATAGTACTGCGAATTGCTTCAGTAGTGTCTGGCTCAAGACCTGGTATGCAATGTGTTTTCCTTCTTTTTATTTTTTTTTAACAAATAATTGATGATTTGTTGATTAAAGTAAAGAAAAATAAGATCTAGTTAAGTCTGCTGTCAGTTAAGTCTACATCGATCACATTATTTTTAATTCCTTTCAGTAACTCTTCATGTCATTCCTCTAACACAGTTTTGCCAGTTGTCTATCTAACCAACCCAAATCTAAGGATTTCTGCCAAAGGAAAAAACATACACACACAATACTATCTCCCAAACCACACACTCAAACCCTAAAACAAGGAAAGAAGCAAAGAAAAATGAAATCACTATGCAGGGTCTGCGCACAGTGGCTCTCGCCTATAATCCCAGCACTTTGGGAGGCTGAGGCAGGTGGACTGCTTGAATACAGGACTTCCAGACCTTGATGGGCAACATGATGAAACCCTGTCTCTACTAAAATAATACAAAAAATTAGCTGGGCATGGTGGCCCATGTCTGTAGTCTCAGCTACTCAGGAGGCTGAGGTGGGAGAGTTACCTGAGTCTGGGAGGTTGAGGCTGAAGTGAGCCAAGATTGTACCACTGCACTCCAGTCTGGGCAACTGGCTCAGCCCTGTCTCAAAATAAATAAATAAATTTTAAAAATATGGATATGGTAAGGCTTTTTTTTGCCATTGTATGTATACACTTCTTTGTATACACACATTCATTCTTAGAATTTAAAATGCAGTTAGATTTCCAAAACAGAGTATACCATCAAGAATGTATTGAGGAAAGCAATGTCTGAGTATCTTCCCTTCACTTGATTGCTTTTACTCGTACTCCAGTTTATGTAAATATGAATCAAATACGATTTTGTGTTTATTTAACTTTTAAAATTTCTGGCACACAGGACAACGTAAATGGCAAATTTTACAATACACAAAAGAGTTATTTTGTGTGTATTTAAATATGTTGTTTTTAGACTACTCTACACCCTTCAAGTTCTAACACCAAATAACTTTTGATAATATCTATCTTTTTACTTTGATCATTTTGGGGATTAGCTGTCCACCAAGAAATGTCTCCCTAATGGTGATTTAAACCCTTCGCTCTGATGGTTTTCTGTCAATAATAGGAACTATTCAAATATCTAAAATTGAGATGAAGAGCAATGACTACCACCAGAATAATTCATCTAAATTTTCCTGATATTTCTCAATTTTCAATTGCAGAAATTGAATTTGGTCTATGAGATCTCAAAGCAAGACGAACATCAGTTTCAGATTTTTAAAAAGCCGGATAGTCTGCTATTCATGTAACTGAGCTAAAGACCTCTCTGTCTTTATCACTATCTTTGACAAATATAACTGCCATAATATTAAATTATTAGTTATAAATTAAAGCTCTATAGTTTCACATCAACAGTCTGTTTTGTTTAGCACAGCAGCTCTCAAGCATAAAGGTAATTTAAAAAACAATAGGAAATATAAACCCAAATTTTAGTTTCAATTTCTACCTGAAACTTTGTAAATAACTATAGAAAGTCCGTATCTTTTCATTGTTGTTTTGCAGATTTTTTTGTGTGAGTAGTTTTCATAACATACTACTTCTCTTTAAAAAATAGTGCTTAGAAACCTAATGAGACATAGGGAGGAAGACCTTTGTTATCCTTTTAATACTTGCAGTATTCTGTTGTCATAGATATATTAATTCCTTATATTTGTATAGTGCAGGATATGAAATTAATAAGCAGTAGTGTAGTGAGCACTCCTGAGACTTTTAATTTAAATGGGAAACACCAGTTTGAAAAATGCTGAGGCAGGCAGATCACGAGGTCAGGAGTTTGAGACCAGTCTGGCCAATATCTCTACTAAAAATACAAAAAATTAGCCAGGTGTGGTGGTACATCCCTATAGTCCCAGCTACTCAGGAGGCTGAGGCAGGAGAATCACTTGAACCCAGGAGGCTGAGGTTGCAGTGAGCTGAGATCGTGCCACTGACTGCAGCCTGGGCAACACAGCAAGACTCCGTCTCAAAAAAAATTAAATTAAAAGAACAACTAAAAAGATTTAAAAATCATAAATTCAAAAGAATGTATAAAATTCTGACCGCTAAGCATAACTTCACAGAAAAAAAACTGAATACATTCTCAAATATGTAAAATTTTCTTTTAAAAGCATTAAACAAATCTCACAGAAAATATTCAAAGAGTTGAGGAAATGACTTTTTGTAAAGAACATAGAATAATGTATCCTTGCCTGTCAGAAAACTGTCAACTTTTGAGTCTTCCGCTCTGCCGGTAACATCATTAGATGAATTAAGGGAGAATCTCAGACGTGTGAAGCTCTGGTCTCTGATCTCAGGGAGCTTTATATTTTCCTTTACTTACTGGCACTTTGTTTAACCTACACATTAATTTTTATATCAGTTTACTTTAGTTATTAGAAATAGGTACCTGATAAAATTTTATTTAAATAAAATGTTAACATAGCCTAGGATTATTAAATCTGAGATTAACCATATTGAAACACTTTTATTATCCCAGAGGGCTCATTTTGCTTTCCCTACTTATTGGAATACGTATCAAGGGAGATTTCATTATATTTGAATTTTAAATTACTTAGTAAAGAACTGCATGAGACTAATATAAGATTGACAGTAATGACAGAGTTAATGTGACATTGAGAAATGTGATGAATAAAAGACATAATTTATACATCGTTATTATAACAACATACATCATTGATAAGTTAGGCACGTAGAGAATGTTTTGTTAAAGAATGTTTTTGAGTGAATAGAGCTTGTTCAGCCGAATGTTCTTCACTCTGTTCAGATCAAAACAAACCCTTCCTGACAGTCTCAGCAGGAGCTGAAGAGTTTATGGATTAGAGATTACAGTATTACAGGTGTGTACACTTATGCTGTTTTAGAGTTTATTTTTTATCTCTTATTTTCAGACTTTTATCTTCTGGTTTATGAAGGAAAACAAAATCACACTTCCCAGAATACTATATGGTTTCCAAACATCCTAAACATATCTTTAGCTGACTCAACACAGAATTAGATGAGATATACATTTTTCAGCAATGATCACTGAAAATCAAGAATTCACTATTGATCCCAATGAGATAATATATGAAGGTGTTGGAGAAATGTCTTTTTGGGGTAAAATAAATCCAAACTATTCATATATTGCAATGAATCATTTAACCATTATCTTCCTACATGCATCACCAGAGAATGCTACTGCTAATGCTGCTTGCTCTACTATGTAAGGGGTCTGTGGTTCTTTCCTCAGCTGGAAAGACAACTCGAGTTCTGTAAAATAATTATTCCACTGTAAATGGAAATGAAAATGTGGTGTAAAAGAAAAAATGCAGATAAAATATGTTTTAAAACTCATTTTTATTGTTAGTTTTTAAAATCCATTTAAATGGAACATACTCTAGATGTATTATCCTTAGTCATCCTTTGAAGTTTTTATTTTTCCTTAATAAAGAGCTTGTCATGGTTATTTTGAATTTATGGATAATACATTGTCCCTACATGTTTATTCTGGATTAAAAAATAATACCATTAGAATAACCATGTGTAAAATAACAAACAGATAAGAACAGAAAATCTTTCAGTTAAGAGAGGTGGCAAAAGCGGTCTGAATGTTTCAATTTTCCAAGTGATACAATTTTGCTTTGGTACAACAGATGAAGTTTCCCAGTAATCTGCTGTGTCGGGAATTAGTTGAGGATTTGTGGTTTTCAAGTAGTAGGTCAGCAATGATTTGAGAAAATCCTGAATTAAAGAGAAACAATTTAAGGTTAGACGGGTGATCAGCTTAAAGTCCATTACTGCTGGCTTAAGTCTTAGAGAAGAAAAAGAATGTTACACTGTAGTGCTCACAGAATCTGGAAAAGAGTTGACCAGAGGCTAGGAGGAAAGAGGAAATAAAAAAGAAGGGCTTTAATATATTAGATTGAGTATTATTTAATCAAATGTTAGAAGAATATTTTGATCATTTGCAAAGTTATTATATATTTTTGTCTTAAACTGCCTCATCAAATAGAAATCTTAAGTAATCAGAAGGAAACAGTCTGACCTCTTTGGAACTAACCTCAAATTGCAGTTTGAGATCATTTTATAAAATCCACTGGATAACTGCTGACATGGTTAATAAATATCTTTGAGGGTTAATGCTAATTAACATTTAAGAAAGAGAATCAGTGAATCAGGCAAGAGAAACAATTCAAATAGAGAAAAAAGTCTTTTAAGGCCCAAATTGTAAATGATCACAAAGTATTATGCTGCACATGTAACTCCTCTTGAGACTGGAATGGAGCCAGATGGCCTCAAATAAGCCTGCGTTAGGGAAAGTAGATTTATTTGTTTGTTTGTTTGTTTGTTTTCCATAAAAGCAAAACAAAACAAAAGTGCAGTGTCCTAAGTCCTTCTTGTTATTAGTAGAATGCACTTTCTTCACTGGAGTTTGTAGAGCATCAGGACAATGCTGACTGTTAGGAGAAAAATAACAATCAGCAAAAAACGCGCTGGAGTTGAAATCTGAAGAAAGAAAAATCAGCATTAAACCATGATTTCGAGAACTTAAATATGAATAAGGGATAGTTGTTTGTATGCCTATTTTATTTTCATTTGTTTTTTATTGTATTACTTGGTGACAGAGGTAATTAGTTTGCCATGTTCTTAAAACTCTAAGGAATATTTCCCAAATACCCTTGCATCCTCAAGTCCTGAAGTTCATTGATACAACTGTAGTATCTAATTTAAATCCACTCCAAAAAAGAAAAAGGAAAAAAGTGTGTGTGTGTCTTCAAAGAACAAAATGTTGAATTGAAATACAATTATCAAATGATAAACTAGATTTATTAAAATATTAAATATATTAATATTATTAAAATGTTAAATATATTAATATTAATATTAAAATATGAAAAAATTAAACCAAAATAATTTGCTTTCACAAATCAAATTTTTTGGAATAAAGTTTTGTTAATCAAAATATCACAAATTATTATATCATGTAATACCTAGAGATGATTTTTTACATTTATATACAGTAAAATTTACCTTTATCGCACCCTTCTATTGCGCTTTCTTATATGTATAGATTTGTGTAACAGCCATCATATTTAGGATACAGAGCAGTTCCCTCACTCAAAAAAATTTCCTTTGCTGAGGCTTTATGATCACATCTTCTCTTTATTCCTGCCTCATGGCAACTACTGGTATAATCTCTGTCCCTATAGTTTTGCCTTCTCCAGAAGTCATATGGATAGAGTCCTACAGTATGGGGCCATTTGAAAATGGCTTCTTTCACTAAGCATAAAGTATTTGAAATTAACTTACAGTGTGTGTCTACCAATAATTTGTTTCTTTGCATTGTTGAGTGGTATTTCACTGTGTGAATGTTGTACAGTTTATCCATTCTTTTGTTGAAGGACAGTTAGGCTGCTTCTCTATTTTGTCAATTAGGAGTAAAACAGCTATAAACATTCATGTACATGGTTTTGTGTGGACATACATTTTTATTTGTCCAAGGTGAATGTCTTGGAATGTTTATGCTAGGTCAAGAAAGTATACGTTAAGGTCATAGTAAGTTTAATTTATTAAGGAACTGCCAAACTGTTTTCCAGAGTGTCTGTACCAGTTTCCAGTTCAATGATATATGAGTTTGTTTTTTTATGAATGACAAATATTATGTAGACAGAACTCCAAGTTCTGTTATATTTAATAATTATGGTTTCTGAGTGTGGTAAATGAAATAATGTTAGATTTATTAAAATATTAAACATTAATATTAATATTAATTTTCTTTCAAAATCAAATTTTATGAAGTTTCATTCATCAAAATGTCACAAATGACTATATCATGGAACACCCAAGGATTAAATATTTAAAATTTGCATGCAGTAAAATTTACCTTTACCATTACCACCACTCCAGTGCCTCCTTTTTCTCCCCCACACCTAGCCAAATATACCTAGGACTTAATCGTGGAAAGTGTGAATGTATGGAAAACATGGAATATCTCAAAAAAGGGGCTTGGCTGATGTGACTAAGCATCTTGAGAAAGATGTCTACTGACATGATTAACAACTCACCTTTAAGTAGTAATTCAAATTAACATTTAAGAGATTAACATCAGAGAATCAGGTGAGAGAAAAAATTCTGTTGCTCCCATGGAGCTATCAATCTACTGAGAGAGAATAGATTTAAGGAAATATTATAGATAACTATAAAATATGCTGGATAGTGGTAAGTGTAAGCAAGGGGAAGTGATAGGGAAGTGTCCCAGGGTTGGAGGAGGAAGATAATGTTTGTAGTTCTCAGACGGTCCTTCACATAAGATGACACTGGAGCAGACTGAATGAAGTGAGGGATGCTAGTCAAGTCACATACAGGAAAATAAAGTTCAAGACATAAGGCAGAGAGCTTGAAAAGGTTCTGAGGTGGTGGCATATTGGATGTATTTGGAGAATAACTATGTGTCTGTGTGGGACAAGAGTGAGGAAGGAGAGACTGAATGGAGATGATGTTCCAGAACTGACAGAGACAGGCTCTTGCGGAGATTTGCATACTTTGGTATGAAGTCTGGATTTTATTTCTTTACGTGAAAGGAAGTCACTGGAATGCTTTGCCTGGGAAAGTATGCTAATGCTTTGCCTGGGAAAGCATCGTGAAGAAATTTAGGCTTTAAAACAATTGTTTGGCTCCTGTGTCATGAATAATTTGCAGATTGAGGAAAATGAGTGAAATGGCCCAGGTAGGAAGCTATTACAGGGGTTGGTGTAGACACTAGGTGAGAGATGGGGCTTGTTTAAAGCAATTTTATAGCAATGGAGGTGTGAAGAAATTCTTGGATTATGGATATAATTTGAAAGTAAATCCAACAGGATTTGCTACAGGTCTAATGAGGCAACAGATGAGACAGAGAGATGTTGGTAATATCACCAAGGTTCCAGATCTCAGAAACTGGCCAGCTATTCACCTAAGTAAGAAAATGAGAAAACTCAGGAGAGGAAGAAAGACATAGTTTGCTTTTGGGAGTGAGTATTAAATAGTTAAGTGGAGATTTTGAGTGAGAAATACAGTATGTAAATTTTACATTTAGGAGACAAGTCATAATTGCAGACAAAAATTGAGAATCACCAGAATATAGAAATTTCTGAGCCCAGTAGCATCATATGTAAGCTGGGAATGATAACATTCATATTAAACAATGGATGGAAAAATTAATTGTGATTTTATATAGACAGAACATTTCTAGAATTTGCTATCGTTATCATTAATTGTATTTAAATATAATAACCATAGAAATGGGCATTTAATTTCATTAAAATGTGATCTTTTCAGGAACACTAATATATAGTAAACCTGATGTTTCACTTTTGGTGTTGGCTACTAGGGATATTCTATTTTATTTTACAATTCATAATCAGACCTTATTACCCTTATTTTTTCTTACTCTTAAATTTCACAATTCTAACGTTGTATTTTCTTATTATATTTAAAAATATATCTTTTAGGATATGAAATGTAAATAAACAAAGAAGGTTGTTTCCTTTATAAAGTTTAGCTTATTATCTGTTTATCAAAGTCAGTAGGTCCTATAATCATCTGATCTGCGGTATTATATGAACTAGCAAATAAAGAATTGATGAAATTACATAGACTATTAAAGTAAAAATAATTCCCAACAATATTTGCAAAGCTCTTGGATTTGAGCTTCTCAAATCGTCAAACCATAATACATATGCATATTCATTATTATTCTCATAATCGCAACCCAAGTAGAAAAGAGAAGAGAGGAAATAACATAATATTATTCGTGGTTACGGAAGTACAAATAAACTGTGACTCATAATTTTAAAAGGCAATTTAGGAAGTATAGCACTTCTCATTTAAATGGTTAATATTCAAATAATATCTAAGTAATATTCCAGATGTTACTTAGTTCCGTGTGTTGAATATATCTGTTTATTTTCTTTCAAGAGCAGAAAATTTTTTATGTGGGATTCAAACTTTTTGCTGTACTTTAATTTGTGCTTTAAGACACACATAAATACATTTGTAAATCTATATAAGTAAAAAAAAGATTTTTAATATAAATATATGCACCTAAAAAACAGAATATTGGTGCCGGGCGCAGTTACTCATGCCTGTAATCCCAGCACTTTGGGAGGCCGAGGCGGGCAGATCACGAGGTCAGGAGATCGAGACCATCCTGGCTAACACGGTGAAACCCCGTCTCTACTGAAAATATAAAAAGGGGAGTCTCGCTCTGTCGCCCAGGCTGGAGTGCAGTGGCGCGATCTCGGCTCACTGCAAGCTCCGCCTCTCGGGTTCACGCCATTCTCCTGCCTCAGCCTCCCGAGTAGCTGGGACTACAGGGGCCCGCCACAACGCCTGGCTAATTTTTTGTATTTTTAGTAGAAACGGGGTTTCACTGTGTTAGCCAGGATGATCTCGATCTCCTGATCTCGCGATCCGCCCTCCTCGGCCTCCCAAAGTGCTGGGATTACAGGAGTGAACCTGGATTAATTTTTAATAAGTTGTATGTCAAAAATATTACTGAAGTTTTTTTAAAATTGTGAACTATGCAAAATTTAAATGTATATTATAGGAATAGTTAAAATATTTTTCCACTTAGTAAAAATATTTTTTCTATTTTATCTGTAAAATAGTCTACTATATTATCATAGTAATTTTTAATATAAATATAAATACAATATTACATATGGTTCTTGTTTATGACAACATATTATATTATCATAGTAATTTTTGTATTATCATAGTATTTATAAGTATACCATATTCTACTATATTATCCTAATAATTTTTACTATATCTTAGTAATTTTTCTATATATTTTCTGCTATATTATCATAGTAATTTTTTTTTTTTTTCGAGACAGAGTCTAGCTCTGTCTCCCAGGCTGGAGTGCAAGGGCGCGATCTCGGCTCACAGCAACCTCCACCTCCTGGGTTCAAGTGATTCTCCTGCCTCAGCCGCCCGAGTAGCTGGGATTACAGGCATGCGCCACCACGTCTGGCTAATGTTCTATTTTTAGTAGAGATGGGGTTTCTCCATGTTGGTTAGGCTGGTCTCAAACTCCCGACCTCTGGTGATCCGCCTGTCTCGGCCTCCCAAAGTGCTGGGATTACAGGTGTGAGCCACAGCGCCCGGCCTATCATAGTAATTTTTAATACAAATATAAATACAATATTACATATGATTCTTGTTTATAACAACATTGTGCACTTTCTGTAGTAATATATAATAGGAAATAATGAAGCTACTATTAAAAAATTAAATAAAATAAAACCTCTATATTTTTCTCTTTTTTTAAAAGAGACAGAATCTTTCTCTGTCACCCAGGCTGGAGTGCAGTGGTGTGATCATAGCTTACTGCAGCCTTGAATCCCTGGGCTCCAGCAGTTCTTCCATTTCAGCTTCCCACGTATCTGGCACTATAGGCATGAGCCACCGCGTGTAGCCAGTACTCTCGTTTTTTAAAACACAAGTTACTGTAATATGAAGGTTTGATTAGCCATCTTTAAAAACAAGAAATGTAAAAACTACATTGTAACAAAGTAACTTTTTGTGAGGCGTTATTTTAAGATGAATAGCTGTCCAAAAGTGCCATTGGCCCAACATATTTAAGTATGTTACAAAGGTATACAGTGCTAATCTAATAATCACTTGAAATTTTTTCTCTTTACTTAATGTTTCCTCATTGATAAAACATAATTTAATGTTTCCTCTTGATTATAATGTAGAAAATACAGTCAAACATTCATTTGAATGATGTATGCATATTCTACAAAATATTCAAAATAGAGTGATAAAGGTTTCCTAAAAAATGTCATTGGGGCATTTTTGAGAATTTATTTAGTAAATTGTAATCCACTTTTCACATTTTAATGTAGCATTCAAGGAATGAGAAGGATATTTTTGCTTGGATTTATGTCTGATAAATACGTATTTTTATCAACATTTAATTTGCAACAAATGTATAACAAATTTTATATCTTTACATCTTTATGAGTGTTGTTATACTAGAAATGAGAAGATATGCATGGATTAAAAAATTTCTAAGGTTTAGAAAGAATGACTTTCATTTGTGGTTGTATGCTGTGGTTGTTGAGAAACAATTGTCCAAATTAAAACCTAATGCCACCTAAAACCCAAACCACTTTTGTAGATCAAACAGATTGTACAAAAAAAGCATCAACCAAAAACAAAGTAATAGTGAGAATTCAAAATTGTGAAAAAAATCTCTGATGCCCCCAGTATTGGCCAAAGCCTGGTGACATTGAGCCAATCAAGTTAGGGGAAAAGGTCATGTAAAAAGGAAAGCCACATAAAATCAAGAGTCATACCATTAAGAATTGGTCAAAACATCCAGGAAAGCAAAGAAAGAATGAATGAAGCAACAGAGGAACGAAAGCAGGGATTTATTGAAAACGAAAAGTACACTCCACAGTGTGCGAGCGGACCCGACCAGTGGCTCAAGGGCCCGGATACAGAATCTCCTTGGGTTCAAATACTCCCTAGAGGTTTCCCATTGGCCACTTCACGTTCATCTCATGAAACTGAAGTGGTAGTCTGCCATCAGTCTGATTGGTTGCAGAAAGCAGCCAACCGGAAGATGAAGAGAAGTTACAAAGGTCACACTCCTGTGCAAGCATCTGATTGGTTGCAAAAAGCAACCAACCAGAGGCTAGGGTGAAGTTACAAATTTGCAAAGGAAGACTCTACCCGCAATCAGCCTGATTTGTTGGGGACAGCCAATTTCCTATTTGCCCTGCATAAAAACTCAAGGGGAGTAGCCTCTGGCACTTTTGTTACTTAGGCGTGGAAAGTTAGAGTTTTCCTTTCAATTTAGTTCTAGGAAGTTGGCCTTAAACAGCCTTGGGTTCCCTGCCTCCAAATAAAAGAATATATTCCAAATACTAAAACAAGAGAATCTGAACGGGAACAAACAAGACAAGGGAAAAAGTAATAATATCTGTAGATATACAGTATCAAAGTATACTTTTCATATATTCAAAAGGTTTTTAAAAATGTGATGAAAGAACAAAAGTTGTAGAAATAAGCAGTTTTAAATTACATAGAAACTCTAGAATTTATAGATGGCGTGTGTGTGTGTATATATGTATGTATACATAACTCATAGCAAGAAAATAATATAAAAGTAATAGACAAATATTCAACACTTTCTGGCTTGAATAACGAATATGTTCATTAGTTAGCTTCACCAATTATGAATTCATGCCTGGGAATTTATGCCTAAAATACATTAATTTGTTTACATGATTTATGGGATGCATACTATAATTAATATTACAAAAAAGTTAATGAAAAGGTTAAATGGCAGTTTAAACGCAGCCGAAAAGAAGATTCATCAACTCAAACGTATACCCCAAGGTACTACCCTGAATGTAGCACAGACAAAGAGATGGAAATCATCAAAGATTCTGAGAGAAGAAAAATAGAGTAAGAAAGTAAAAAAAAAAAAAAATCTAAAATATATTCTGGAAGGAAGCTGTGGAGAGCATGAGGGATATAATATTCAGAAATAAAATGGCTAATTTTTTTCCAGAATTTAGGAAAAGCAAGAATTATCAGATTCCAGTAGTGCAATATCCTCCAAAAGAATTAATAAATGAGATCCACCCCAAAATACATGATTGTGAAAACTCAGAAGAAAATATTAAAGTTCTAAAAGCAGACAGAAATATAAAACATATTAACTGAAACAGAACAGCAATTATTATTAATAGGTAGATTAATGTCTCAAGAGTAAAAGTAAACCTAATTTTAAAAAAGCCTTAAGAGAGCTAAGAATGTCAAACATTCTTAATGTCTATAACATTAAAAATAGCAAAAGTTTGAGACGATATAGATTAATGATAAATTATATTCACTGCTGTTAGGAGACTAAATTAAACAGCACCTTTAGAACATAAGTTTGTATCATCTAATATATTTAAATATATTCATACTCAATAACACAATAGTACCATATCAAAGCATACAGTACAGAGAATAATACCTTCCATATACTAAGAGAAATATGCAAGAATGCTTATTCTAAAATTGCATATCATAGCAACAACAATCTAGAAAGAATCCAAATATAATTTCACAACACAAAAGACAAACTACAATACAGTCACACAACTAAAACACTGTACTGAAGTGAAAATGAATGCACTATAGCCACATTCAATAAATGAACGAGCAAAAAAGTGGTGAACAACAAAAATATTGTGTGGTATGATTTATTTTCCATAAAGTTAAAAATGCAAAATTAAAACATATCTAGTATATTTTTGCGTGAGAAAGTATGAATAGAAGCAAATGAATTAAAAATAATTGATAATGCAGGCATTGAGGTGCTTCAAAATATAGGAAATGTTTTAAAGTTCTCTTGTTTAAAATAAGTAGTGGACATATGGCAACTAGATTATACAGTATATATATATATATTTAAATATCTTTTATTATGGGAAAAATGGAGGAAGAGAGGAAGGGAAGGAAGGAGTGTGGGATGGAGGGAGGGTGGGAGGAAGGAAGGAAAGAAGGAAGGAAGGAAGGAAGGAACTAAGGAAATAATTTTATTATTGTAACAAAATTATTGCAATAATTTTATATTTGAGTTGGTAATTTTATATGTCGCTCTTGTATGTCTATTTCTTTTCTTTTTGACTGTTAACCCTAAAGGGCGTACTGATAGTAGGTTCTTTGGAGTTTTCTGCATAATATTTACTACTGTTATTCATCATTGTGAAATCTGCTTACAGACATTTATAAATGCACCAAGCAACTATTCTATCCTTTTCCCAAAGAGGCCATATTAGGTGTGCAGGGTCTAGGGCCCCACCTGATTGGGCCAGGGCAGGGCACCTGACCCAAGGTTAAATAGGCTACACTCCTTGCTTCTTAGGATGAGTGTGGCTATCTTTTGCCTCTTAACAGTTAGACTCTCAGAAAAATTTAGAAACCTGCAAAAATACTCTGGTGAAGCACACATTTTGTCTCTAGCCCCAACTTTTTTCTATAGTTCCAGAATATTTTTGTCTTTAACATTACTATATGTATTTCTAACATGTTTCAAGCACAGTGTGTTCAAAATAGAGTCCTTTTTTCCCCTCTCATTCCAATCTATCCCATCTTGAGTCTCCTTTATTTCAGTCAATAAAACAGAATCATCAAAATTCATACATGTACATATAATTAATTGTTTCTCAAATAAAAAACATAATCCTTATAGTTTTTGTTCCTCAGTTTCTCTCAAACTTCAATTCTTTTATAAAACTTTACATGCAAACAGTAGCAGACATCTGTATATTCTTTCTGTTTAATGGCTACTAAGCTGGTCTCAGCCCTTTATCGCTCACCTAACTTCAGTCTGAATTTGCCTTCGTCTGTCACTCTTGATACTCAATACGTTTTGTCTTTCTTATTCGCCACTCTTATCATAAGTGCCAAAAATAGTGCCTGGCGTGTAGTAAATGTTCCATCGTATTTGCTGAGTTATGAATGAACCAGGAAGTTGAATACTATCAATATAGCCTTGGCCAGTACTTCCTGGATCAAAAACTTTTGGAAAGGAGTCCAGAAATGTGAAAATTTTTGAAGGTCTCTAGAAGACCATTAGGCATTTTTAAAGCCACTGCATTAGGGTGTGAAAGACACTTCTAAAACTCAATATATTTTATTTTTCAACTAAGCAATATATTCTGGTAAAAACAAAATACGTAGTTGTGAAATTTACAAACAAAATCAGTTTAGCAGTTGAAAAGTTAACTTTAGGCTGGGCACAATGGCTCATGCCTATAATCCCAGTACTTTTGGGAGGCCAAGGCAGGTACAGCCCAGGAGTTCGAGACCAGCCTGGACAACATGATGAATCCTTGTCTCTACAAAAAAAAAAAAAAAAACCAAAAAAAAAAACAAACTACAAAGCCTAGCCAGATGTGGTGGTGTGTGCCTATAGTCCCAGCTACTGAGCAGGCTGAGCCGAGATCACACCACTGCACTCAGGCCTGGGTGACAGAGCAAGACCCTGTCTAAAAAAAAAAAAAATTAAAAAAATTATTTTATTATGTTTTTGAATTAATAATAATAACTTTCATGACTATGCATTTATGATGTGTCAGATGTGTTTCTGTGCTTTCCAAGAATACAGTGATAGATTTCATGCAAATACCTTGTGAGATAGACACTATAATTATCTACCTTGAGGTATGGTAAAATTTATTCCCTGCCCAAAGTCACACAGTTAATAGATGCAGGAGCTATGATTCAAATCTGTTGCTTACTCATAGCTTCAATACACATATGCTCATTATATTAACAAATAAATCAGTTTGGAAAAGAAATAATCTGTCTGCAGATGGTCAAATAAGCCTTTGATCAAACAAGCATTTGTTCAACATTAAATAGGTGGTTTCTTTCCTTGAAAATGAAGAACATTAATTCCTATGTACCTCATAATATATTGTGAAATATCATGAATATTATATGTGATAATATATGTAGGTTTATGTTATCCATAAAATGAAACTAGGTACCTATTTGGTTTGCCGGGTTGCTTTTTGAAAATTCAGAGAAATTAACAATTTTGGTTGCAACAATTATTCTGATAAAATACATGACATATAAAAATGTGAAATACTGAAATTTCCACAAATTAATAATTAATTTATCTACAAAACAGACTCAAAAACTATCTCTAATCTTGAAAATTTTAAGTATGTCAATAAGTCTATGGAACAGTTTTTTACTAAGTGCAAATATATATAGACTGATTGGCTAATATCTATGTTATGTTCTATGTTAACTATGTAAGGTAAAACTATTAATTTCAGTAATCTGTGTTAATGGCATGTTATACAAATTCTTTATAAAACAAATAAACTGAAGTAGAGTCATAAAGTATTTGGTTTTATGAATTAAACAATTGTGCATTACCTCTTTGATAGACTGATCAGATATTCATATAATGCATATTCAATTGTTCTTGACCTGGAAAAAAATATTATGAAAGTAGTATGTGTTTACTGCATCCGTGGTTTTCAAAGAAGTGGCTATATTTTTAAAGATATAAATAAAATTACTGATTTAGATGTATCTACATATATTAAGGAATCTTTTTGCCTCAACAAGCTTTATTCTCTTCCCTACCTGTCATTCCTTTTGGGTTTGTTTTCATTATGCAGATAATTTGACCCATTTAGTACACTTGATTAGTATCCAGCTGTCTGGGATGTTTCCTAGCAGAAAATTATTTGGGAAAACAAAGAAAGAAAATAAATTAATGTGTATTGAACATTTGTAATGCATCCAACACTTAGCTTACTTTATTTAATTGAATTCTAATACAACCTTAAGGTAAGTATTATTAACAATTGTAGCTCTGAAAAGGTAAGTGATATTTACTCATTCATTAAGAATTTATTGAGTGTCATTAAGAATTTATTGAGTGCTAAGTATATGCCAGACTTTCCTTATTCTGGAACTTGGAAAACATTGCCAAATAGAAAAATATTCCTGCATTCATGGACGACTCTATGATGTGATATAAAATAGACAGGGTCAAGATTAGAAGCCAAGATTAAATTAGGCTATTATTCAGATATTTTGAACTTCCACTATACCATGATACTTGTTTTTTCTTTTTTTACTGTCTCTCCTCTCGCTCTCTCTTTGTGTGTGTGTGTACGTGTGTGTGTGTGTATGATTGAACAAATAATATTTAATCTTTGTGATGAAAAAAGGAAAATTCTTAAGTAACTTACTCTTGTGAAAAGACAGACACAAAAGCAAAGCAGAAGAACAATTATTTATCATTTCTACATCACTTATATATGCCATATACTGTGTTATGCACCACGTGGTGAACAAATTATACATGTTTTATCTTATGGGGTTTGTAGTCTAGCAAGGGAGATAGTTCAAAAAGAAGCCAACACAGTAATCAAATTCCAACACTCATTCTATCACTTTCTCTGTTGTCTCTATTACAACAGATTTACCTTGCAGTCTTAAGATGACTGTTGATATTAATCAGAGCTACAGACTTTTTTCTTCAGTTTCAGTGGGAGAGTAGAAAATGGGAAAGTGAGATAGGAGGAGGAAAGGAGAGGTAAAGAGATTGAAGGTGGGAGAAGAGTGCTGAAGACAAGGAGAAATTTTAATCTTGAATATGATTTCTGCATTTAAGTCCAATTATATCAATGTAAGACACATACACCCTGGACAAATACCTATCTGTAGGAGAATGCCATATGCTAATGTATTAACACTGGCACAGTGCCTGGGATATTCATGGTTTGTTATTAGGCCAAGGTTTCTCAACATTGACACAACTGATATTTCAGCCAGAGAATTCTTTGTTCTGGAGGGCTTTCCTATGCACTGTAGAATGTGTATCCGACAGTGACCTCT
This sequence comes from Homo sapiens, assembly GCF_000001405.40. Classification (NCBI taxonomy): domain Eukaryota; kingdom Metazoa; phylum Chordata; class Mammalia; order Primates; family Hominidae; genus Homo; species Homo sapiens. Next base: position 161,869,632 of record NC_000004.12, on the reverse strand, counting down.
ACCTATTAGATGCCAGTAACACTCACAATTGTGACAATCAGGAAGGTCTTCAGACATAGCTGAATTTTCTCTAGAGGGCAAAACTCACCTTTGCTTTAAAACCGCTGAAATTAGCATAATCTCTACCTAGAGCTGGGGAAGGTGGAATGGGTGTGGGAGTCAGCCATAATGTCAGCTACAGTGGTATTATTCTCATTTTGCTGCTAAAGGATCTGATATAGATTAAGAACCTTATTTGTGATCGCACAACTAGTAATCTGGATCTGCCTGAATGTGAAGCCGATATTCTAACAACTTTAATATACTTTCTCTCCTTAATAGTTATTATCACCCACTGAGTATCTTATGTTTAAAAGAATTTGCATACATCACTACATTTTTTCTCATAGATGTTCCCTGAGATATGCATTATTTATTTCTTTATTTATTTATTTTTGAGACGGAGTCTTGTTCTGTTGCCCAGGCTGAGTGCAGTGGCGATCTCGGCTCACTGCAACCTCCGCCTCTTGGGTTCAAGCCATTCTCCTGCCTCAGCCTCACAAGTAGCTGGTACTACAGGTGCCCACCTATTTTTGTAGAGACGAGGTTTCACCATGTTGGCCAGGCTGGTCTCGGACTCCTGACCTCAGGTGATCCGCCTCTCTCGTTCTCCCAAATTGCTGGGATTACTGGTGTGAGCCACCGAGCCTGGCCTTTTGTTATCTTTTCACAGTAACAATATTGCTGCATTAGATGACTTAGTATATAAGGATACGGCTTTCTAAATACGCCCAAGAGGCATAAAGAAGATGGTTAAAGGAAATGATAGTTTATGAGACTGGAGGAATAAGAATGGCCTGGAACATATCTAAGGAGGGCACATCAAATATCTGGTCTAACTTTTACAAATAAACAAAACTGTGAGATAATGTAGCATTAATGAACTACAATGGTTTAAGTGTTATTATGGATAAAGTAGCTGGAAGTGACAGAAGGTACAACCACTTATGCTAATGGGTCTATATACAGTCAATGATAAGTAGTCATTGAAAAACTGTGGCCAGAAAAATTAATAGTAGTACAAACTTGTGAGAAAGATAACTCTGACAATATTGTGGAGATCAAATTGACAAAGTGGGAGGAGATTACTTAAGACAGAGAGATGAGGTCGTTCGGGCAAGGCTGGGTGAAAGACACGCACCTAAACTAAAACAACAGCTTGAAAGTTGTCTTAGTTCCAGAGAGTATCAGAAAATGAGATCTACAAGAGATGTTAGCTGATTTGAAACGGTAAAAGGGAAGGTGACAACCGTATTTTTGTCTTGGCTATTTGATTAGTACAATACTGATAAATAGAAAGCCAGGAAAAAATAAAAAGAGGAAAGGCTCAAGAGAGCAAAGGGATTGTAGATGACGAATAGAGTGAAGAAATGGTAGACTAAATTCAACAAGTATTTCTATTTCATTTCAAAGCTATGTTTATTTATTTCCCTAATTTTAAAAAAATCCTGTTTTAGTTAAAATTATGCTATTGCTATTCCTCAAACATTTACATATTTAATTAAATTCTAAATTGGTTATCTTTATATTTCTGATGCAGCTTTTATCTATATAATGTGGTTGAGAGCATACTGTAGATACATTTGTATCATGCTTCTCTCATTTTTAATTTTTTATGTGTTCACCTATGTTCTTTATAAACAGACATAACTGAATGTCTCCATAATATTCTATTAAATTGACCTAATTGAATTAAACCCTAACTACTCAATAATCAATCATCTATAATTTTTTATTATAGATGATTGATGACCATCTTAGATGTCTGAAATGATGACTGAAATGATTGAAATGAAGTCTGTAATAGATGACTGAAAGACCATCTTAGAATGTGATTTTTTTCTCTATATTTAATTCTTTGGTAAGAATAAGGTCTTATTACTTTGTTTATGGAATCAAAGTTTATGAATATCTAATGCCTCTCTTAGATGTTCCTTTCTTTCTTCCATAATGGACATTACTAGATTATTTTTACACAAGTAATATTTAAGTATGCTAGTTTACTTGGATCTTGTCAAAAATTAACACACTTATTTTTCATTGCCCATGTAATATGCAAATAGTTATATATGTAACCTTCATATAATTTTGATGTATTTTATTAGGTCTAAAGTTAACCATAATATTCATACACATTTAAAATATTTGCATTTCTTTGTCTTTATATTGCCTATTTATGCTTTGTCTCAAATATCAACTTCCATCATGCAGAAAGTGTTTATTAAATTGATTAGTAATTAGTAATTTGAGATACTGATAAATTAAATATATCAATACCTTGTACTGCTTAAGGCATTAACTTTAAGAGAGTATATAGTTTATTTAGAGAAGTAATTTCAGTTAAAAGCCAATTTCAAGATAGTAGGTAAACATGCAAATATAATAATATTATGTAACCTGCAATATATATGTGTATGAATATAAAATATATATGTATGAAACTGAACCCATTTGATAAAAGCCCTCAATAGATGAAGCAGGGAGTTGGAATTTGAACTGAGGCTCTGAATATATCATTCTATTTTCCTTTATCTTTGAATTAACAATAAACCTAAATATTTCCATAGGCAAGTATGTGAGAAAGAGAAGTCATTTTACTAGCCAATTACAAATTACATTTGATGCTGTCTTTCCTGCTTTTCTCTTGTGGAAAAACTTAAGGATAGAGTGAAAAAGTTACCACTTAATTGCTGCATATAAATTAATAAATTATAAAAATCATCATTTATTTCTTTATTTCCTCAAGGGTATGTAGTTCCAAATGGGTTCATCTCTCATTAGTCTTATAGGGCAGAAAATAACAATTATATTTTAGAAAGCTACAGTAAAAACATTTAATATGCAGAAAAATGTGTATGTAATACATATATTTTATATTTTAATTTGATTGCTAAATTTAATCAGAATAAAGTATAATTTTATAAAAATTATAATTGTTGTTAAGGCTACACTGAATAATTCACTCAGTATTCAGGTAATATGTGAGGGCTAAAATATTGAAAAGATTCAGTCCCTATCTTAAAGAGTTGATACTGTAGTAAAAACCTGAGGCAAGAGTTTTGGAGAATTGAGTGAAGATTGAAACCACACACACACACACACACACACACACACACACACACACACACTACAGCTTAGAACACTATAAAACACCCAAATGAAAAATTTAACACCTCATGATACATCAAATCAAAAGACCTATGAAATGTCTCAGCAGGCATACAAGTTCTACAGACATCTAGGTCTGGAGAGAGAACAAAGGAAAATTAGGAAAGGCATGTGTCACAGAAACCAAGAGAAGAAAGAGTTTTTCTGAAGAGACAAAAAGTTTTTGGGTTTCATAAAAATAAATTAATATTTCTGGTAAAGTTCCAGAAAGTAATTTCATAAAAACTGCCTAAATCTTGGGGAATATTGTATGGACAATGTTGGGTCTGGAGTGTAATTTTTAAAAGGGAACCATCATTCTGGAGACAAACTAATAACAACTCCTAAAATACCTTCCAGGTAAGATGTGAGCTAGAAGTAAATCCTTACTCCAGTAGCCAGGAAGAATTTCTGGAAGCACTTAGAATACTTAAAAGTATTCACACCAGTGAGCAGTTCTGCCCCCTCTTTTCTAACTACGATATTTTCTGTGACCTGTACATTTTGTGTAGGATAATTTCTTTGACATAGCTGGCTAGGAAAAAGATATGCAGCAGCTGGAAAGAGAAGTCCACTAAATATTCTTGTAAAATAATTCCTGTTTGCACTTCCAACATGTTTCAAGCAATGGCAGCAAAGAAAATTAAAGTTTTTTTATTGCTATTCTAGAGATAGTAAATTTCAATATAATATAGCAATCTAAGGAGAATATGCAGCCTGACAGGTCAAACCAGCCTATTTTTTTCACTGTAATTAAAATCAAGGCAGAAGGCTTTTAAGACTTTTGAAAGGTTATGGAAATATCCTGTAAAGAAAGCAAATCTTGATATTGTAACGTTATAGTAACAAGGTAATATTTCACTGCTTCTATGTCTTATCATGATTTTTCTGACATCCCGGTGTATTATAAGTAGGAGCTTTCAAAATCATACTGTGGTTAGAATATGATTAATAAATGAGTAGAAATAGTAGGTGCTTTCATGCACATCACTGATTGTATGTTTATATTTACTTTTATATGTACTTCATGGTGATATTCTTAAACCTATGATTTGCTTCAAATTATTCTTCAACTGACTTATAAATTGAATAATGATCTTTGCACAATTAATTTTAAACTGCATAAGGGATATGTGGACTTTTCCCCATAGTTTTTACAATTATTTCTCTGTAGAAGTACTTAAAACTCTTGGTCGCTTTTTATCTCTTGACAGTCTCTGATTGTTTTCTGCGATTTTGTGGTTGTCTTCTGAGCATTGTGTATTTTATTAGTGTCTCTTCTCTTTTCACTTGATACATACAAGTGCCCTCCAGGGGATAAAATAAAAACTGGCCCTGTTTTCATGTTGTGCTCTATCCTTTGGTCCATTTATATAAATGCATAGGTTTTTTTTTTATCACTCTGCTTTTCTATGTAACTCTGCGTATCTCTGATTATTACAACATTTCTTCCTTTACACTATGTCCCATAGCTAGGTATCTATTCCAAGATAGTTCACTAACATTATAAACATAATACAGTCAGAATTGCACTCATTATTCACTACCATTAATGCTTTTTTTTTTTTTTTTTTTTGAGACGAAGTCTTGCTCTGTCGTCAGCCCGGAGTGCAGTGGCACAATCTCGGCTCACTGCAACCTCTACCTCCCGGGTTCAAGTGATTCTCCTGCCTCGGCCTCCCGAGTAACTGGGACTACAGGTGCACACCACCACACCCAGCTAATTTTTTTGTCTTTTTACTAGAGATGGGGTTTCACCACGTTAGCCAGGATGGTCTCAATCTCTTGACCTCCTGATCTGTCCACCTCAGTCTCCCAAAGTGCTGGGATTATAGGCATGAGCCACCACACCTGCCCTCATTAATGCTTTTAAAATAATTTCAGTCTAATATTGCACCAGCTTCCCAACTTTCCCACTACATTTAGCTTGGCTCCTCACATTAATTAAAACTGCCTTTAATTTAATCTATTTTCCCAGCCCTAGAATAATTGCTACATTTATTTTTATGTTATTTAATCCTCACAACAACCTGTGAGGTTAGTCATAATATCCCTATTGTACAGATTTATAAACTGAGCTTCACATGACTTAGATATTGTCTCTAACCATACGGCTTTTAAGAATCAGGGATGCGATTCAAGCCCTGATCCACCTGACCCCAAAGCCAGTGAATAAATTATAAAATCGGCCACCACTACACATTGCTGTGAGAATGAACCTGAAATGTGTTACGTTACTTCCTTCATAACATCATTTTGTGGCTTCTCTCAGGATGCTAGTATAAGTCCTGGGGTTACAAAGTATTTCAGGATGGAGCTTGATGTAATCTGTTTCTAAAGGATAAGTTTAAAATAATGTGTCCAACACCAAACTAATCCACAGGTCCGCAGAAGAAACAAAAGTTGACACTACTCTTGGAGCTTTATGGGGGTTCCAACTAAATAGAACACCTTGAGTTATAACAAATGTCAACAAAAACAATAGACAATGACAAGAACAAACAAGCACCATTTTTTTCACTGATAAAATCAAGGTTGGAAGACATGGCTCTAAATTTGTTAGCCTGTCAGCCTCAAAAACTCTGACTCCAGAAGTGGCCAGACCCCTCCCAGCGGTGCTGAAGTCCTTCTCTAGAAGAAATAAGGCTCCTGGAGAAATGGCTGTTGGCTCACTGGTGGCAGGTCTGTAGCCGTCAAGGGAAAGTTAGGTAGAATTGTGGCAAGGTTATCAAATTATACTTTGCAAATTTTCAAACAAGATAAGTAACTATTAAGTGTGGAACCAATACAAGTGAGGGAGGGTGAGGAAAATCACTTCTTGTGGAAACCAGGAATTGGAAAAGGCAAACTCTTTTATGCTATTTACACAGGTTGAGTTTATGATGCAGATATTCTCTTTTCTTTGCCCGCATCATATCCAGTCTGTCAATTCTGCTACCATCATGCCTCGCAATGTTCTCTATTTCTGTTGTTGTAACTATTGCAACAAACTGATTCTCCTGCTGCTTTATTTTCCTTTTTGTGTTGACTTTCCCCATGACCCGAATAAAAGCATTCACCCTCCTGCACATCTTTGATGATAAAACTTCCCTTGCCTGAAACTAAACAAAATGAATATTTTACTGTATATAGTAAAAAGTAGTTGGCAACCCAAGGTCTTCTGTCCTCTTAATTAAACCTACCTTGTTCATCATGATTATACACTGTTTACATCTAACAAGATCATTTGCCTATCTCTAAGCACAACCATAAATTTCCTAACACTACACTTGTATTGTTCTTGCTTCATACCTGTTAACAAAGATAGCTATAATTAGAATGCATTTGTTCATTGAAATATGAATAGTTAAATGTTATAACTGATAGAAAAATGGAAGACTATTTTGTTACTGATGAGTAGAAATTTCTGCAAAAAATGGGCTTTCCATATGTTTAAGTATTATTTTATATTATTTGTAGCCAATTTGATCAAATCAGACTGCAATGTTATCACTGATATTTGATGAGGAGAATATTTTATACTTAATGGAGAACTAGCAATACATATATTTTTTACTCATCCATACATTTACAGCTTTTATTTTTCAGATAGTTTTCATTATAACAAAAGTACATTTGTAAATTATTCACCTTCTTTCAGAAAAGAGACAAGGGACAACTGTTGAGGATTTCCAGGTTCTTTATCATTTCTTTCTCTATTTATTTATTTATTTTTTGAGATGGAGTCTCTCTCTGTCACCAGGGTGGAGTGCAGTGGCTGGGTCTCGGCTCACTGCAACCTCTGCTTCCTGGGTTCAAGTGATTCTCCTGCCTCAGCCTCACGAGTAGCTGGGACTACAGGTGCGCACCACCACACCCAGCTAATTTTGTATTTTTAGTAGAGACAGGGTTTCACCATGTTGTCTGGGATGGTCTCTATCTCTTGACCTGGTTATCCGCCCACCTCAGCCTCCCAAAGTGCTAGGATTACAGGTGTGAGATACCGCACACGGCCTTCATTCTCTCTTATAGTGACTTCTTGTAATCATTCCAGCCTACACTGAATATGGCATCATCTCCAATATCAAGACTTTGCCTGCCTAATTTTGGTAGTGATGTTATTACTGCTTTAAAATTGAAATTGTAAAAGCAGCTGAATCTTGTATATTTTACTATAGGAAAGCCATTAATTGCTGAATAATTATAGGCTCACAGTCTGTCATATTTACTCATAAATACAATAATCATTTATGTTGGTGCTTATTACATCTTATTTTAACTACTAAAAAGCAATGATGAAGTATCACAAGTTAGTAAACAATATTTGTTAAAAGATTATCAAAGACACTTTATCTATAAATACAGAGTTTTAAAAATGTTTTTCTACGGTTTATTAAATTGCAAGTATTTGCATAAAGAATTCATTCCCATTGAGGGTTAATTTGATCTCAATATTACAGTTTCTCCCAAAGAGGGAAACTGAAGTCTCTTGAGTATGCTGTGTCAGTTTTACAAGGTGAGGAAAGAGTAATGATGTTACATTACTTTTCAGTGAGATGGAATGAACTAAATTTGCATCAAGGGAAAAATGATTTCTTAGCCACAGACACATGCATTGATCAGATTTTCTGTGAGTAGTTTATTCTATGTATTTATATATTTTCTTTCCATCTTGCTGTCAACTATTATTATACCACATTTATCATCAGAGAATTAAAGTGAAAAAGCGGCTTCCAAAGATTGCTTGAAATAAGTTGAATCCTGCCCAGTAAATTCTTTAGCTGCTTCTCTAGCAAGAGTCTAAAAGGGAGTCAGCCTCTACCTATCAAAAAATATAATGCTACCTGGATTTTTCATGTTACCCAAAATTGGACTGCTGGATTTTTGTACCATATTTGAATGAGGATCAATATCAGAAAATTTCCTGTAATTTGAGTGATATTACTCAATTAGCATTTAGGCCTTCCTTCCCTCCTTCCTTCCTTTCATTTCCTTTCTTTCCCTCCCTTCTTTCTCTTTCTTTCTTTCTCTCTCTCTCTCTTTCTTTCTTTGAAGACGGAGTCTCACTCCCAGGCTGGAGTGCAGTGGAGCTATTTCAGCTCACTGCCACCTCTGCCTCCCGGGTTCAAACGATACCCCTGCCTCAGCCTCCCAAGCAGCTGCGATTGCGGCACGCACCACCATGGCCTGCTATTTTTTGTATTTTTAGTAGATACGGGGTTTCACCATGTTGGCCAGGCTGGTCTCGAACTCCTGACCTCAGGTGATCCACTCGCCTCAGCCTCCCAAAGTGCTGGGATTACAGACGTGAGCCATCATGCCTGGCTGCATTTAGGATTTATGACAAGAAAAAAGGATATAATACACTCTAGTAGGATAATATCAATACAAATATTTACAATATGTAGCACACAATTCACTGAATAAAGATATGTAAATTATGTTTTAACATGTTTTCTTGTAAAGGAACACAACGTATTTTCTTTTAAAGGTATTATCTTTTTGTGAAATATATGCTGTGCATTTTGTGTGTGTGTGCATGTGTGTGTGTGTGAGAGAGAGAGGGGTGAAAAGAGAGAGAGGGAGAGAAGTAATACTTGTCCAACATCTTTCCAAGATTTCTTGGGCTATGAGGTGAGTACTTGTATTACAGGGTACACCTAGGCATTTACCCATAACTAATCAACACTTGGTTCAACATTTCTTGCAATGTGGACCATGTAAGTATAGTGTTATGAGATGGTCTATAAAAAATAAAGGCTTTACTCCCTTCTCAGAGAATCACCAAATAGAATATAAATGTAAAAAACTAGGGAAATGGTTAGATTAATTTTTACATATCCATAGGACAAACAATTGTAGAGCTCCAGTGTCTATACCTAGATGTGTGTTACCATCGCGTGTACATAGATTCCTGCTAATTCAGCAACTTGCTTTCAGTTTTAAGCCGCTGGAAATTTTCTCGACCCTGGAAGCAGATTGATATGAAAAGTTTAAGTCTGACCTATTACCTTTGAATTCTTCAAAGCTTTCCATGCTTTTGTTGTAACACCCAACCTCCTTAATATGGCATATGATAACGTTATTACCAGTTCAACTTAATCTCTGACCCATCTTCATAATTAGCTCTACATTTCAGCCAAACAAGTTTTGTTTGTTTGTTTGTTTGTTTGTTTGTTTGAGACGGAGTCTCGCTCTGTCGCCTAGGCTGGAGTGCAGTGGCGCGATCTCCTCTCACTGCAAGCTCCGCCTCCCGGGTTCACGCCATTCTCCTGCCTCAGCCTCCCGAGTAGCTGGGACTACAGGCGCCCGCCACCACGCCCGGCTAATTTTTTGTATTTTTAGTAGAGACGGGGTTTCACTGCGCTAGCCAGGATGGTCTAGATCTCCTGACCTTGTGATCCGCCCACCTTGGCCTCCCAAAGTGCTGTGATTACAGGGGTGAGCCACAAACAAGATTTTAAATTCCATGCTCTCTATTACTTCTGAGAAAAGCATTGCATACATTGTTGTTTTCTGCCTACCATGTCCTTTTCCATTTAATACATTCATTTCGTTCTGTAGTCCTTAATTTAATTGTTATCTGATCTTCAAAGCCTTCCTTGAAACCCCACCTTAATACTTCACTCTTGAGTCCTACTTCCTTCCAACACACTCCAGCAGCCCTCTGCACATGAACATAATAGCACTTAATCCGTGGTATTCAAGCCTCTGCTACCTCACATGGGTTGCTATACCTCCCTTCTATTCCTCTAAGATAGAAATAAAGGCAGTAGGAATGTATGGTGATAAGGAACAGGCCTTCTTTATTCATTATTTTTTTCCAGCAGTTAATACTCTACGTTTTACATAGCTGATCAGTTTGAATTCATTTTCTCAAATTTTGGAAATTGAGCAAGTATATATTTTTTTAAATATTGAAAGATGCAGAATGTTGGGAAAATAATGTATAAAGTAGTTCCTATTTTAGAGTAACAGTTATTACCATTGAGTTATGTTTCAGAGAGCTTTTAGTAACCAAATGAAGAAACTGGAAAATTCACTAAAGACTGAAAGAAATGTTTGGAAGTCTTTGGAAGTGGATATAACCCAATAAAATGTGGTTTTCTAAAGCTAACCTGGTGGTGAAATGTATAATGAACCTAATAGAAAAGATCAAGTGCTGAGAAAGGTTTGTAAATTAGCATTGGTTTAAACCACAGGAGGGTGATAGGATGTGAGACAGAGTAGAAGTTCCCATCTATTCCTCTAAGATAGAAATTAAATAAGTAGGGAAGTTTGTGACTATAGGTAAATTTCCAGGCACCACAGTACTAAGTCAAGGGTTTCATTTTTGATAGAATGAATGTTTTTAAAAGTGGAAGACTATCGTCTGCTAAGGAACTAGGAAACAGTACTAAGAGAGCTGCCTGGAGAAAATGGAAATGGGAGAGAGACCTGACCAGGACCACATAAGACGTCTACTGAGACATTTTCCCAGTGAAGATGTGAAACCATAAATTGCAAAGCCACTGATTAAGACTTATATGAGATTTTTTTTTCCCAGCAATATTGGACTATTCCCACAGGCACAGAGAATGCAAGATACATAAATGTATTACAGAATGGGGTTTAACAAAAGTTTGTGACTGAAAGCAATTGTTAAGGGAGATAAAGCTCTAGGCAGGAGAGAGGCTCCATGGAATGCCAAGGAAAGAGACAGGAAGGAGTAGAGGCAGAAGCAAGACACACATCTAGAAGTAAAAGACATGGTCATGTATTGGAGTCTCTTTATTCACAGTGCAGAGCTAATATAATGAGAATGGAGCAAGAGTCAGATTTGTTGTCTGAGAAAAAGAATTAGAATTACCATTTCAAAGGTGGAGAAGTTTAAAATAGTATATTTAGAAGAGGTTAGCTAAAGTAGACTGCAGATAAGTGTATTTTATGGGAATGTAGGATTGATATCTGTCTCTTCCATTGGATTTTGATTTGCATAATGGAGAAATCATGCCTGCTTTTGCTCACTATGTTATCATCAGTGTCTATCATAGTGCCTAGGTATAGAAAGGGCTCTCTAAGTATACCTTTCATGAATTTAATGATACAAGTAAGTCAAGGACCTTCAAGGTGGATGTCTTAATCTATTCAGGCTGCTATAACAAAATACCATAGCCTGGGTGGCTTATAAACAGCAGAAATGTATTTCTCACAGTTCTGGAGGTTGAAAAGCTCAAGATCAGGTGCCAACATGGTCCAGTTCTGATGAGGGCTCTATTCTGGGTTCCAGACTGCTAACTTCCCATTTTATCCTCACGTGGTGGAAGGGGATAGGGATCTCTCTGAGGCCTCTTTTATTAATATAAGGGCCCTCATCCTGTCCGTGAGGGTTCTTGTCTCATGACCTAATCACTCCCCAAAGGCCCCACCTCCTAATACTATCACCTTTATGGTTAGGCTTTCAACATATGAATTTAAGGTGGGAGACATTGACATTCAGATTTTAACAGTAGGGAACTTAAATTGTTGCCCAGAACAACTTTGAATTTGGTAGTTTGCCGAAAGTTAGGCTAAAAGCCTCTTCCCCTCAACAGTTAACTGACTAGTAGTTAACCAAAATAGGGAAAAGCATAAGGTGATGAAAGAAGATTATATAAACCCCCAAATCAAGGACTGGGGAAAAAAAGAGACAAGGAAGAAAAAGAGAATTAGCTACTCAATAAAAATGTACTCTTTCCATAGTCTTCCAGGTCCTAGTAGTGCAAATAATCTGTGAATAAAACAGACATAATCTTTGCCCTTCTGGAGTTTTCATAGTGGGGATGTGATAATTAAATTAATAAACTTAATATTAAATAATTAAAATAGAGATAAATTTGTTAAAATCTACTCATGTAGGCTTGCAGAGATATATTTGATGGAAAGATGTGTTTATAATAAGTAATGAAGAATGAGTAGCAGTTAGCTCCATGAAAAGACTGAGTGATGAGTTGGAAGGGGTAGCATTCCAGCCAGATAAGTATAATGTAGCAGTTAAGAATACGACAAATAATTGATCCCCAAGAACTGTACTTTGGTGTTAGAAAAAAATAATTCCAAATGGATTTAAATACATTTTCACTAGGTTACTCAGACCAAATCACAGAAAATACTGATTTCTCCCTTCTTTCCCTTCTATTTCACGTGCAATCTGTCAGCAGATACATTAGTCAACACCTTTAAAATATGTATCTGATTTGAGAATCTGATCAATTCTCAGCATTTTCACCATGATCACCTAGTCCAAGTAACTTCCACCTCTCACCTTTACTGTAGCAGTGTCTTTTGACACCCTCTGCTTCCAACTTTACCATCACAATGACCTTGTCAAAAGGCAAGTCAAATGCCCCTGCCACCTTTGAATATCCCAATGTATGGCTTTCCAGTTGCTCTTAGAGTAAATTCCAAGCTTCACACAATAATCAACCAAGACTATACATCTGGCTTCTGTATCTATCTTGCCTCTCATCTCATTATTCCACATTTACTCTGCATTACTCAAACTAGCCTGTTTTTTCTTCCCTTCAGCATGCTAACCACAATCTGGCTTCACAGCCTTGAGTACTCTGCCTAACCCTCTTGCCCCATGCCTTTGCAATTCTCATTTCTTTAATCATTCAGCTTTCTCAACTCATCCATGATTTCCTTTTTACCTTCTACCCAGATCTACTGTCTGACTTCTTGGTTTTATTTCCTTATGATGTTTATTACTATATGTATTTACATTATTTGTTTACTTGCTTGCCATACACGTATACATATATACATATTTATATATATATATATACACACACACACAAGTATGCAAATAAATGAGTTACGGATGTAAATAGAAATACATTTTCTTCTCTGTTAAAATATAAATTCTATAAAGAGAGACAGGCATTTGGCTTTTTTCACTTTTGTATCTCTAGGTTGAGAAGAGTACCTAGCAAAATACATGCCCAATAAATGTTTGATGGTTGCATATAAGTAAACCATAGTGTTGCTTCAAAATGGCTTTTTAAATATGACCACATTTTGATGCTATGCAGATGCTCTTAGAAATCATTATTTATTTAATTTTATAATTAAATCATTAATATTTCCCTTGAAAAATATCACAGAAAACTATAAACTACTTGTTTGTGATATTTTCTACCCTTTTATACAAACACATTTGCCCACCTCTATGCCTTTTCTCATGCTGTTTCTTCTATGTTCAATATCAACAAATTAAGCCCAAGTGATCTTTCAAGAAAAATTCATATTGCTTTGGGTACACAAGAATTGTCTAATTTTCAAAATTGAACTAAGATCACTGTTTCCTCAACCTCAAAAGATTACATTCTTGCTTCCATTAGTAATTAGTACTTGTTATTATTGATATATTGCTAATTATGGTTTATATTTTATCCCTATAAGACTATAAGCTCCTGGATGGCATGATGCATATAAACCCTTAAAAATAAAAGAAACGCAACTAAAGGGCAAAGTTTTAAATATCTTGGTTTTATTCCTTTTCCTTATTGCTTTTTCAAATTTAGATGATGTTTCTTTAGTGATATTTCCTCACCCTCTTTGAACCATTTTTTCCAACTCAGCCCAAATAGTACACACTTTTGTAATACAGGTTGGAAAAAATGTCCAGTAACTGGGATTGCATTTAATTTTGACGTGTGGTATTTTACCAGTCTAAGTGAGAAAGCTAAATGTGATAAAATTAACTTTAGTGCAACATGATTTGTTTCTCTAATAGCACTGTATTACACTCCATATAAAATGACTTAGTTACCATATGAAGAGGAAAAAAGCCTACAATTAAACAAGATTCAGAGAAGGTGGATTTTCTTACCTTTTCTGTAAATTTTAAGTATAGTCCTAGGACCAAATATGGTACCTACTTATCTATTTCCTGCACTTCCTATATTTTTGGCATTGATACAATGAATACTTAATAGCAAATTTCTGTCTTTATCTGAATTTCAATTTAATAATAAATTCTATAACAAATTATTATTTAGTATTCTGATTGCAAACAAGAACACTGACATTATATTGAAATAAATGTGTCTGTTTTATGCTCAAAGGAGAAGTTTGTTTTGTTTCCATGTATTCCTATGGACCTGAATATGTAATTTTCTTCTCTTGTGAAATTTCAAGGGAATACAGAGTAGCTCTGAATGTACCAGATAGAAAGCTCTCCAAGGACACCTTATGGCAGTATTGCCCTATGTTTACACAGCCCAGAGCATAAAACTTTGCTAATCTTAATTTTTATATTTATTGTAATATAATTAATTTACCCCTAATACCACAATTAGAGCTTAATCAGACTCTCTTCTCTTTAATATTACCACCTGGAGCCACATTTCTGAGAATATTCTCAATCTTTGTTTCCAAACTGTAGAACTTAATAGAACTTAATAGTAACAAGGCTAGAAAGCAAAAAAAAAAAAAAAAAAAACCTCTCAACCATATCCTCAAAATATCCTCAAAAGAATTGTGAAGATTGACTTAACCAACATTGTTGTACACACACTAATTATGATTAGGTTTATATTTAGGAAAAAATAATTTTTTTAACATTATTAAAATCTTTTTAATTTGGGTAATATATTTGTATGAATATCTATATGGTAAATATAAGTTTAACCTTAAAAAGTAAAGGTATATATATATAAAATATGGCACATACTGAATTTTGTGTATCATAGTTTATAGAGTTCATCCCTTATTATATATTTTGTACATTTCTCATGACTCCTCAATTTTCATGAAGCCAGCTAGTATTTTGCACAGTAGTTTAACCTAACTTATTTATTCCTGACATTTCTTATTTGTGTCACACTCTCTGACTAAAGAATCTACAAAATTATTTTGTTGTTGTTGTTGGATTAACAGCAGTAATCCCTATGGATAATCAAAACCCCATCACACAGTATGTAATAACGCATCTTTTGTTCTCTTAGGCTGGTGAAGATATATGTAATTGTTCCAATGAATGTGAATGCTTACCATCAAAACCTCTATCAAGGGGCATTATCATGTAGGGACTTCACAGTAGTTCACAATACTCATTGAGATAACTGATATTACTCTTTCCTGTGTAAGCAGCCTCTATGCCAAGTGCTCAGTTTATTTCCTGGAGGACTCATTGCATGGCAGAAGCCCTTTCTAAGGACAGAATATACTTTATTGAGCAACGGTTCTCAGTTGGGAAGTGAATGTTAGTCATCTTTTTTCTTTCCTCAGTGAAAAATATACCCGATCAGCTCATCACCAGAAGTCCTTCCTAAGATTCCAGTAGAAAGCTTTCCCTGTTCCTCCTGGCCAGTCCTATACTCCTCCAACTTTGAGTTCCAGAGTAAACTTGCCTTTAAAGTTATTACTACAAAGCAATATATATAGGTTATGATCTACATATATAAATAGATGCTGTTATGATAGCTTTTATTATTTACTATGGTGGTAGATGAATTCTTTCATTCAAACCTGAACCTGAGCCTATGAAACAGAGATTATCATCTTTGTTGTATTGATAAGCAAAGTGAGTCTAAAAGCCATATCTAATTTTGCATAGCAAGTGAGTGGTAGACTCTAGATAGTCTTATCTAATTCCAGAATGCTAATGTCCCCCCAGTCTGTTTTCTGTCAGAACCTGGGTAAACCATTTTTAATGAATAAGGACATCTGAAATCAGTTGTACTGTATTTTTCTGATCAGGATAAAGAGGAGTAAATACCTACCCAAGAAAGGTTAACGTTTTTCTCTTGGTTATGCCAATAATATCAAACTATTATAGTGTGAAAATTCTAGCAGAAGCAAACATGTATCCAAACAAAAAGCAACAAATAAATGATTAACTTTTAGGAAAGTTTAAGATTTTCCTTTTTAAGAGTGAAATGTTCATTTAAAAAAAAAAAGCCACTTGGGAGGCCGAGGGAGGCCGAGGCAGGTGTATCACCTGAGGTCAGGAGTTTGAGACAAGCCTGGCCAACATGATGAAACCCTGTTCCTACTAAAAATACAAAAATTAGCTGGGTGTAGTGGCAGGTGCCTGTAATCCTAGCTACTCAGGAGACTGAGGCACAAGAATCACTTGAACCCAGGAAGCGGAGGTTGCAGTGAGCCGAGATCGTGCCACTGCACGCCAGCCTGGGCAACAGAGTGAGACTTCATCTCAAAACAACAACAACAACAACAACAAACAAGTCACTTAACATTTATTAATCTACATGATCTACATGACTACAGCTTTCATTGCAAAATTCCTGTTGGAGAATTATATTATACTGATACTATTTTTAGAAAACAGATAAGCTCAACAAAATAAGACTGAAGTATTTCTATGTAATTCTTAAGGGAGGCTATTAGGAACCCATTTTTGCTCAAGTAAATGATAAAATAATACATAAATGAAAAATGTGAGAGAAGAACAAGGCAAGAAATTCTTTCTTTCCCTTCAACTTTTATTTGAAGTTCAGGGGTACATGCACAGGATGTGCAGGTTTTTTACTTAGGTAAATGTGTGCCATCGTGGTTTGCTGCACAGATCAGCCCATCACCTTGGTATTAAGCCTGGTATCCATTAGCTATTCTTCCTGATGCTCTCCCTCCTCCCACGCACCCCAACAGACCCCAGCTCCATCCATGTCCCTGCAAAGGACATGATCTCATTCCTTTTTATGGCTGCATAGTATTCCATGGTGTATATTTATGACATTTTCTTTATCTAGTCTATCATTGATGGCCATTCAGGTTGATTACATGTCTTTACTATTGTGAATAGTGCTGTAATAAACATACAGATTCACATATCTTTATAATAGAATGATTTATATTCTTTTGAGTATATATGCAGTAATGGGATTGCTATGTCAAATGATATTTCTGTCTCTAGATATTTGAGGAATCACCACACTGTCTTCCACAATGGTTGAACTAATTTGCACTCCCACCAACAGTGTAAAACCATTCCTTAGTCTCCACCACTTCACCAGAATCAGTTGTTTCTATACTTTTTAATAATTGCCATTCTGACTGGTGTGAGATGGTATCTCAATGTGGTTTTGATTAAGGCAAGAAATTCTTAATTTCACCTTGTTTATTCTAAAGAGTAGGATGCATGCAATGGTTTGTTTACTTTTTGAATTTTTGTTATTTATTTGTTAGTTTTTCAGTAAATTCTATCATTTTTAAATATGCTATTTTAGGTCCTTTAATAGTTGGCAGTCATTTTCCTTCAGAACTTAAATGTATGATTTCAAATAAATATATATATATATATTTTATATCTACCTATGTTGAAAGAGTGTATTCAATTAGTACTTTGAAAGGGTGAGGGTCAGTGTCATTAACCTCATTTAACAAGATGAACTGTGGTGATCCTAAAACAATAGTCTTCTGGAAGATGGCATAAATAAAGTAATTTACAATGCATTTTCTGATAATGCTATGACTTACAAAAGCAACCAAACTGTCATGAAGATAATTACTAATTAAATCAAAATGCAATTAAATTAAATGTGATAAAATGTGTTTACTTGTGTGTGTATGTGTGTGTGTGTGTGTGTGTAGGGATGAGATCAATTGGGTTTTCCTTTATTCTATTTTACTTTAACATTTAAAATGGTTGTAGAATAAACTGAAATTATTCTTAACTTACATAACTTTAAGAGAAGCCAAAGTTGTAAGTAATATATTATCAAAAAAAAAAAATTCTCTAAATAATAGAGGAAATATCTATGACTCTAACATTTATTTTCAGAGTTATTATAAAATTTCCTGTTAACAACAAAATATTCTAATAGTGTTTAAACCAACATCCAGAATTAAATTATTTCAGATGTGGCAAAATATAACAATGTTATAAATTATATATACACATATTTCATGCATATATATTAAATGTATGCATATACATATGTGCATATATTTAGTGTATATAGACACATACTTTTTGTTTCATTTTGGCAGTTTATCATTACGAAAGATACCTGAAATCGTTTCCAAAATCAGTTGTATGATTATGTGCACCTGTGTTTGTGTCGTCAGGTAGTTAACCAGACACAACTGAGAATAAACAACTAAACAGATTATTCTAATAGTGGCACTATAATAACACAAACTCTGAAAGAAACCCACATTTAGATATATGTTGTAAAAATCTTCTGAGACAGTAGCTTCTATCTTTATATATTTCAATTAAAAGAGAAAGATGGTGTCAGGATAATCAACTTCCAAATCTTGGCTCTGATTAGGTATTAGCTAATTATCATGGCCTAAGGATTTAAGTTTTCTAAACTTTGTCATGTGTAATTAATAGGAATAATAATTACTAGAGAAGACCAGATTTTGCTTAAATCATTGTTATCTTTAGAGATATGGGGAAACTTAAATAAAACCTCAAAATTTGTATCTTTGTTTCTGACCTTATTTGCTTACAGTCATCTTTGTCTACTTTTACATTAGTAGATAGATGCCATGGTGGTTTGTTGCACAGATCAACCCATTACCTTAGTATTAAGCCCATTGGCTATTCTTCCAGATAGTCTCCCTTCTCCCACCTACCCTGACAGACCCCAGCTCCATCCATGTCCCTGCAAAAGACATTATCTCATTCCTTTTCATGGCTGCATAGTATTCCATTTTGTATATGTACCACATTTTCTTTATCTAGTCTATCATTGATGGGCATTTGGGTTGATTCCATGTAATTGTTGGTTCCAAACGAAAATATTTTTTCTTTTATAACTTAATCCTTGAAGATCTGCAGGTTAATGGAGAGAAAAGTCACTTTATGTGATGTACAACCAGCTCCCATCAGCCTTAGACAACAATTCCTTTTTGTTATCTAGTGATAATTGACAGATGCCCCACAGCCATGCAAATGTGTCTGGGCCAGAAACATGATTCTTCTCCACTGGGAAGAATATTGCTAACCCACCCTCTTTGCCCTCACCCAGCATACGCACACCTGCACATGCACAAGCACACACGTATTTTTGCATGAGACAATTCAAGTATGCTAAAAAGCAATTTTCAGTACCTTGTCTTATCATGCTGAATGGCTACTCCAATAATTAAATGGCTGAATGTTTTAAAAATCCATGACAGTGCACAGTAATACAATCAATGAATTTTAGTTTCCTTCCCTTTCGACATTGCAACTGTCATTCAACAGTGTTGATTCTAAAAACCCACGGTTATTATTCCGTATAAATAGTAACTTCTACCATTTTCTGGATAAAATCCCTCTAAACCATAGCATCCTTTCCCTAAGTTATAGTCTACTTTTTAACTCTGTGTTTGCTGGAACTAAGAGATTACATGCTTCAAAATAATGATAATTACAGCCTTAATTTCTGTAATACATATTTTCCCCAGGCCTCAAAGGGTATAAATACTGTACCATCTTTCATGCAAAATTAACATTTCCTTTGAGATCTTGGTAACATCAAGCAATTCCATTTTAATGGAACAAAAAAGTACTTATTTGTTAAGACATAAATGGATTTCCTTGATTTTGTCATGTTAAGACCTAGAAGACCTGATTTTGCCTAGGGATTGTCTATGACAGCAGTGGTGATATCAAAGAAAACAGCAATACCAATTTCATAATCATTAAACAAGAAAAGCCCTAGAAGTTTATAGGTTATATAAGTTAAATGTAAGTAGATTGACAGTATCGCTAAAGACATTAGGACTTCATATTTTTCATTATTAGTAGATAGTATTTGTTTGTCTCATATTCAGTCTCTACTTGGAACATTTTTACTCCTATAATTTATATAAAGAGGTTATCTAATCTTCACATGTCGAGTCATTAAATGTTGCCATTCATTTTTAAGCAAAGAAGATGAACAAAAAAGACAGGGAAAATATCCAATAGAATTTGAGAATTCTATGTGTGTGTGTGTGTGTGTGTGTGTGTGTGTGTAGGTCGAGGGCAATGATGAAACATTTGAAGTAGTTTTGAGCCATTAATAACCATATGTAGTGTAGTAGCAGATACTGCTAACATCGAAGATATGCCAAAGCTTTAGAGGCTTTTTTTTTCCGGCAGTTTTAACCAGTGTGAATAGCTTCCATGCTGTTGTTATGGCTAGCTAAACATTCAGTGTATTGATAAGGACTCAAATAGGCCAGACCTTGTACCAACTGATACCACAGGATGTGCAAGGAGGCAGAAAACCAAAAAACACAATCATGCCATTGGTGGTTATTGGTGCTTCTTTCTGAAGAAATATTCTGGTTTCTTCTTAGTTTCAGATTTAAAAGTGAGTGGGCACTCTTTTTAAAGATTTGCCCAGGAAAATTTATTTAATTTTGAAGTAATTTTACTTTATTTAAAATTCATGTAAAAATATTTATGTAGCAACTACTATGTTCAGTAAAGTAAATGATTGGCACTGATCCCTTTATAGAGACCCTGATAGATCATAATACTTTTCCCATTTTCTCATTCCTTCCCCAAGGGAGCCATATTCGCCCCTGCCTCACTTATGGCAGTTTTCACCACATGACTTGTAAGACCCCTCAAGTGTAGATGGCTATGTTTCCCCAGCCTAATGAACGCAGAGTGCCTATACGACTTACTTTGGTCAATTGAATGCAAGTAAAAGTGAGATGTGCATCCCTTTTAAATTGATTAAGAACCAGTTTATGGTTTGTCAAGACTCTTTTCCCTCTTTCATGAGGATCAGAACATTTCCAAGTAGAGGCAGCGACAACAGGTTGACTCCCCAAATGACGACGATATGGAGTAGAGTTTGAACCAACACATTGTAAAAGTGAACCAACACATTATAAAAGTGTAGCTAGGGCTTTTCTAATTATTCGCATTGCAAAAAAAAATTATGCTTTCCTGATTAATCCATGAAAAAATAATGCTACATATAATATGCAAATATGCAGCATAATATATTAATTTCCTGAAACTTTACGTGCTATCATATTAAATATTAAGAATTCTTTAAGCACTGTTTATCAACATCTTTTAAAAAACATTATAGAACATTACTTCTTTTTGGTAATTCTCATGACAAAAAAGGAATTTAGGAGACTATTAGTTTAGAAAAGTGTTAAAAGACTTAAATAGTGAGAATATAATTTCAAAAATAGTAACCATCTCTCTCCTAAATCAAAGCTAAAATAATCAAGAAATCAGCCTCCTGAAAGTTATAAGGCTGATGATCCTTTCATTGTAGCTATTATATTTATGAAAAGCCTAATCATG
This sequence comes from Homo sapiens, assembly GCF_000001405.40. NCBI lineage: Eukaryota > Metazoa > Chordata > Mammalia > Primates > Hominidae > Homo > Homo sapiens. The sequence goes on along the minus strand of NC_000004.12, from coordinate 161,848,229 downwards.
TCTGAGATCACTTTTATGGATTATTTGTGGAAAATCATACATTTCTGATAAACAGTAAGTCATTTTAGTATTCTGAAATTACTGTAAGTTTGCAATGCTGCAGACGATTACCTTTTCTTAAAACAAGACATCATGAAAGAAATTCATGTGCTGTTTGATATGTCTTGTTTTTTTTTTTTTTTTTTTTTTTTTTGAGACGGAGTCTTGCTCTTGTCACCCAGGCTGGAGTGCAGTGGCGCGATGTCAGCTAACTGCAACCTCTGCCTCCCGGGTTCAAGAGATTATCCTTCCTCAGTCTCCCGAGTAGCTGTGATTACAGGCACACACCACCACACCCAGATAATTTTTGTATTTTTAGTAGAGACAGGTCTCACCATGTTGTCCAGGCTGGTCTCAAACTCCTGACCTCAGGTGATCTTCCCGCCCTGGCCTCCCAAAGTCCTCGGATTATAGGAGTGTGCCACCGCACCTGGCAGTGTCTTGGATTTTTTAAACTAGGGAGTGATTTTAATATTATGTTGAGATTAAAATGTTAAGGTTATAATTACGAATGCTGAAGTAAACTTGGAAGTTATTTTATTGTTTATTAGAACTCCACTCAAAGAAAGGGAGAAAAAAGACAAAAACAGAAACAAAAAACTGGAAACTTGCCCTTTGAAAAAACAACTACAAGTGACTCTAAAGGTGCCTTCGCTCTAAAGATTCAGTAAATAGTGCTTTGGAGAGCCAGCTCTGGAGCCTTGTTAACTGGCATCAAATCTCAGCTCTTCCACTTTTATATATATGTGACCTTGAGCAAATTACTTAACCAACCCATGTATGCTTTCTCATCTGTAAAATAGGGATAGTAATGGTTTCTCTCTAATAAAATTATTGCATTGTATTCATTAAAAATGCTTAGATAATGCTTTTATATTGAAAACACTCAACAAAAGTTATTTAGTGTAATTATAAGAATAACCAATTTATCTTTTTCTTTCTGTAATGATCCTTTATAAAACTTTGGATCAAACTTTGCATGGGACATTTGGATTTATTTTACCCTGATATTGATGTTTTCTAAAAATTATATTAATACATTTAACATGTAACTTGAATGCACATTAAAGTAATATAACTATTCTGACATTAAATAGTATTTATTTTTCTCAGTTTTAAATACTATCATTTTAAGGAGACAATTCTATAATACTACCATGTAACTCCAAACACTTACTTGAAATAACAGCAAAGTCAAATATAGATTATTAGAACATCACATGTGGTCTAGACTTAAGGGTTAAATATATGTTTTGAATTATATTCAAATTACATAGTTGCATACATATGCATATTTATCAAAAGTATTTATTTTTTTCCTAATCAGCTACAAAAAATATCATAGTAAATGCCTAAGTCAGTAATACAAGACTGCATGGCTGCATAGAGAAGTGGTAATGGTCCTGGAGCAGATAATATGTTGGTTCTAATCCTCCATTCAACTTTGACAAACCTTTTGACCTAGATAAATGCATAAACTCCCAGTGCCTCAATTTTCTTATCTGTAAAATGTCAATGACATAAAAACTACTTGATATTGTGGTTTTAAGAAAAAAAATGAAACAATGAGAATAAAATCATTAGTAGAGTGGATTGTGATTGGTTAATGAATGTGCATTCTCTTCATAAAAATTTATGGAGTAAGTTACTATTCATATAGTATTTTCTCATGTAAACATATAGCATTTTAAATAGTCATTACTAACATTTAGGTACCTGTAAAACTGTATAAATGCCTCAAGATGTTATCTTAACTCGTAACTCTAAAAAATACATTCAAGATTTATTAAGTCATTAATATATTGTCTATTATTTTATTAATGAGAAGAATTTGTAACACAAATTTAAGTACTAAATTGTTGATTATATGATTATAGAATTTTAATATATGGTAAAATTACATAATTTTGAACAAAGAAGACACTATGAAAATACAAATATGTATATAAATACACACATTTATTTTTTAATATTTCACTTCATTATAGCAAATAATTTAAAGTTTACCCAAACAATAATAACATTATAAACCAGAAATGTCTTGTCCTTTGGTTCAGTACAAGCACACATACTTGTGCGTGCACACACACACACAAACACACACACAAATACACACACAATTCACAATTTTTTTTTTTTTTTGAGACGGAGTCTTGTTCTGTTGCCCAGGCTCCTGGAGTACAGTGGCATCATCTCAGCTCACTGCAACCTCTGCCTCCCGAGTTCAAGCAATTCTCCTGCCTCAGCCTCCTGTATAGCTGGGATTACAGGCACCTGCCACCATGCCCAGCTAATTTTTGTATTTTTAGTAGCGATGGAGTTTCACCATGTTGGCCAGGCTGGTCTCGAACTCCTGACCTCTAGGGACCCTCCCACCTTGGCCTCCCAAAGTGCTGGGATTACAGACGTGCGCCTGGCCCACAATTCACAATTCTTGACGTCAGATAAAACACTTAAAGATACCAGCTAAGAATAACATGACAAATTTGTGAAGCAATTAAGTAATGAGTTACATTATAAACTAATATCAAATATCAAATGAAAATCTAAAGATGTTGGCATTTCTGAAAACATGTCTTGAGCTTCTTTGTAATTACATTTGTATTCTAAGGCAAAAGTTTCCAATGTATTCAGAGGTTATAAATATGCTGCCTTTGAAGGCAGAACTCTTTCATGTCTAGTGAATAAAATGAGTAATCAACCTTGATAATATCACTTGCAGTAAGAAATCCAATTGTCTATTAAACAGTGAGATGGATTTTCCAGTGTGGTTGTAAACTGGTTCTGAAGGCAGCTCCCAAGTACTCTGAAGCCTGAAAAACAATATCCATGCCTGTTTTAAGAGCCTGTTATATTTCTGCAACAGGAGAGACAACGTAAGTAGAGAGAAGCAACAGTGCTAGTTAAAACAAAACTCAAACAAAAAAAACAACAATGTTTTATTTGGTTTTAAAGATATTTAGCAATCAGTTATCAAAACTGAGAAGAGTGCATTAATCTAATAGCCAGTAATGCTAAAGTACATTTTAAAAGTTTCTTGGGTATGCAATTTGAAGATCTGGACACTTCAACTCAGGAAAGAAATAGTGTAGCATAGTGGAATTCATAGAATATTGTTGTTTTCTGTTCTATTTCTTTTTAATTACTTTTAATACCAAATCAAGCAATAACTTCCCAAGTACACTATTATCACCTAACTTTTTTTACTCTTTGTTATTTTTATTTTTATTATTTTTGGTGTAGTTTTTTTATTATTATTATTATACTGTAAGTTCTGGGATACATGTGCAGAACCTGCAGGTTTGTTACATAGGTGTACAAATGCCATGGTTGTTTACTGCACCCAAGAACCTGTCATCTACATTAGGTATTTCTCCTAACGCTATCCTTCCCCAAGCCCCCGACAGGCCCCAGTGTGTGATGTTCCCCTCCCTGTGTCCATGTGTTCTCATTTGCTCAACTCCCACTTAAGAGTGAGAACATGCAGTGTTTGGTTTTCTGTTCCTGTGTTACTTTGCTGAGAATGATGGTTTCCAGCTTCATCCATGTCCCTGCAAAAGGACATGAACTCATCCTTTTTTATGGTTGCATGGTATTCCATGGTGTATATGTACCACATTTTGTTTATCTAGTCTATCATTGATTGGCATTTGGGTTGGTTCCAAGTTGGTTCTTTGCTTTTGTGAACAGTGCTGCAATAAACATACGTGGGCATATGTCTTTATAGTAGAATGATTTATAAACCTTTGAGTATATACCCAGTAATGTGATTGCTGGGTCAAATGGTATTTCTGGTTCTAGATCCTTGAGGAATTGCCACACGGTCTTCCACAATGGTTGAACTAATTTACATTCCCATCAACAATGTAAAAGCATTCTTATTTCTCCACATCTTCTCCAGCATCTGTTGTTTCCTGACTTTAATGATTGCCATTCTAACTGGCATGAGATTGTATGACATTTTGATTTGCATTTCTCTAATGACCAGTGATGATGAGCTTTTTTCATATGTTTATTGGCTGCATATATGTCTTCTTTTGAGAAGTGTCTGTTCATATCCTTTGCCCACTTTTTGATGGGGTTGTTTTTTTCTTGTATATTTGTTTAAGTTCCTTGCAGATTCTGGATATTAGCCCTTTGCCAGATGGATAGATTGCAAAAATTTTCTCCAATTCTATAGGTTGCCTGTTCACTCTGATGGTAGTTTCTTTTGCTGTGCAGAAGCTCTTTAGTTTAATTAGATTCCATTTGTCAATTTTGTCTTTTGTTGTAATTGCTTTTGGTGTTTTAGTCATGAAGTCTTTGCCAGTGCCTGTGTCCTGAATGGTATTGCCTAGGTTTTCTTCTAGGGTTTTTTTATGGTTTTAGGACTTACGTTTAAGTCTTTAATCCATCTTGAGTTAATTTTTGTAAAAGGTGTAAGGAAGGGGCCAGTTTCAGTTTTCTGCACATGGCTAGCCAGTTTTCCCAGCACCATTTATTAAATAGGGAATCCTTTCCCCATTGCTTGTTTTTGTTAGGTTTGTCAAAGATCAGATAGTTGTAGATGTGTGGCAGTATTTCTGAGGCCTCTTTTCCGGTCCATTGGTCTATATATCTGTTTGGGTACCAGTACCATGCTGTTTTGGTTACTGCAGCCTTGTAGCGTAGTTTGAACTCCCATTCACAATTGCTACAAAGAGAATAAAATACCTAGGAATACAACTTACAAGGGATATGAAGGACTTCTTCAAGGAGAACTACAAACTACTGCTCAAGGAAATAAGAGGACACAAATGGAAAAAACATTCCAAGCTCATGGACAGGAAGAATCAATACTGTGAAAATGGCCATACTGCCCGAAGTAATTTATAGATTCAGTGCTATCTCCATCAAGCTACCATTGACTTTCTTCAAATAATTAGAAAAACTACTTTAAATTTCATATGGAACTAAAAAAGAGCCCATATAGCCAAGACAATCCTAAGCAAAAAGAACAAAGCTGGAGGCATCATGCTATCACCTAACTTTTTAGAACCTGTGACAAGGAGAATAAGTAGCATAACAATTTATATGAATAATGTGATGGTTATTCAATTCTGTATTCACAAAATGTGTAAATAAAGTCTCTGGAAAAATGATACTGCTCAGCAAACAATAAAGAACAGGTCTTATATTGCAACAGCTTAACAATTTTAGAAAGAAATACTAAATCACATGAAATAATTTACAAATGTTAAAAAATATAGTGGGGCAAACACCATCAAGTTAGCAAATAGGTATTCTAATTTTTCTCATTTCCTTAAGGTAATAAAAATTATTTATTACCTTAGATCACCAGTAATTCTTTTGGATAATTCATGATGAAGATGGCAAAGGATTGTCATGTCTTATAAAATATGTTGATGTTTTATACTAATAATACTTGAACTTCAGAGAAAAGTATTAGAATAAATAAAATGACTACTTATTGCTTACAGAAATATGATATAATATTAAGAAGCCACTTATATTTGCCAAAAATCAATAAAGCAGATTGCATATTGTTTCTTTTTGACAGGATGACATTTTGATAGAGAAGATAAATAGACTATTTTTTAAAGATTTTTGGGACATAGGAAATTATTACAGTAACATATAATCATTCAATTTAGTGACATTAATTAGGGGCAAGTTTAGAGTTATACTTAAAACAGATGATAGACTTGAAATAAAATGTATGGTAATTATTAAGTAGTGTAATATATTCAGTAGCATATTTATCACATATAAAGAGATACCAATTTTATTTTAGGTGAAAGTGTTTATGCTTTGTTACTGGATGATTTGTAACTTGAAAAATAATCTGAAAGAATGATTATACTGGTGTTCATTTTTATAAATCACTCTTAGTCTCATAGTTAGTTTGCTATAACTGTAAAAATGAACTGCATAGAAGAACAGATGTTTGAAATTATATAAGCAAGCATGGGGGCCAACTTGGTACAATCATAGATATGGGCTGGAATGAGCCTATAGCATTTATATTGCAAACGGCCTTCTTAATTACACACGGAAAGGTTCACAGACTGTACCTTCAAAATACAATAATCACCATCACATTTCAGTTCAAATTTAGCCACCTGTTTTTGATTATGCGATACCAGCTGTCAATTTGCAGCTATTTATATTGATGTCACAAGGTGTCCTCGCTCTGTTGGAGTCCTTCAGCCAACACCCTGCAGAAGCTCCCCTAGTGTTTTCCCTGAAGCTCACTGTAAAGACAGCCTCACATCCTTCAATGCCAACACACACTCAAATCTGAACAGACCGGCAGCCCAGCTGGGAGCCGATCTTAAGGCCCATAGAGAGGATGCCAAAGCCTCATCAACATCAAAAACAGTTATTAAAGAGCCAACTAGTGGAATAAACAATAAAATATTAATTATGCTCTGATTCACCATGCAACTACTACATGGGCCACCTTTCTACTCCTAAAATAGCTTCTTTAAAGAATTAGGATCAGCAATTAATACTACTTAATTAGACACTTAATACTACCAACGATTTTTATATATTTATTTTTATCTATTTGTTGCCTGTCTTCCTTTGCCTAAATATAAGCTCTGTGAGAGCAGTGGCTTTGTCTGTTCTGTTTAACAATATATTTTTATCTCCTAGAAAGCTACTCAATAAATATTTGTCAAATAAATGAATAGCATCCCACATGTCCATCTATGGGATTTTGATTCCAAATATTATATAAGGAGCCTTAAAGCACATTTTGCACATACCTAATGGGACTGAAGAGTTATTTTAATATCATCAGATGAAGGTGCATACATTCTACTATATTTCCTGTGGATCTACAAATATGTATTTTCAATATATTTTGTACAATACTTTTTATGAGACATGGCTAAGAAATTGCAACAATAACATATGGTTTTCCTTTTCTATTTCATTTAGAATATTTTTAATCAATGAAAGAGGTGAATCAATCAGATTCTGGCAGGAAAAATAAATGGTGTATGCACTTTGAGCAATTTCATGAAAGTTTAAATAAGGAACTGTTTATAGAAGTGTGAACAGAGCCTACTAACAGTAAGGTCCCATTCTCAATTTTAGGCCTGAAAAAGCTAAAGAAAGCAGCTGTTATAAGAACACTGAGAAACAGAGACATGAGAAGAGCACCTTTGACAGAAAATGTGATGTTAGTTCAAGGGATGCAGCCAACATTCAGTAATGCTTCCAGGTGTTGGGGGAGAAATAGCGCTATCTCTATCTAATTCATATTCTGTCTGTATCTCTATCTATTATCTATCCCATCTCACTCTCCCTCCTCCTTTGATTTCTTGCTTATTTCCTTGCATACTGAACTCTACCAGAAGTCAGACGAAAAGGCAGCTTCTCAGAGTCATTTCATTCATACGAGTTAATAAAAGATCTGGAAAAGGCCCCAACTTGGGGGATAAACACATCAATTGCCCAGTTCATCCTGTACAGTAATTTTAGGAATACATTGAAAGAAATTTACAACATTTGGTTTATCAGATATCACAGATTAGGCGGGAGTGAGATTAGTTGAGGAGAAATATCCCGGAAGAGATAGAGCACCTAAATTAAATTTGAGGGTTGCCCAAACAGTTCTCACTTTTATTACTGTTCACGTCTGTAGATATCAACAGGGTTTGGGACTACTACCTGAGGATTAGTCTTGAGAATGAAAATCTTGCTATTTATGCTTTTTAATTTTTATGCAAATAAAATTATATTATACATTGAGAAATAAGCATTATAATATAACCCTCTAAACAGAGTATAACGGTTGTTTTAGATATGTAGATAAAGCATTGAATCCAATTTCTTCTAAATTTTTCTCAAGTCTGAGTTTCTTTGTAAAATTTCTCTCTTCTTCTCATTTTAATGAAGTCATTTGAAAACATAAATTCCACTTTTATCTTCACCCTTTTCACTCTTTACTTCCCAGTCACACCTCAATGCTGTGTTATTTGACTTGTGCTCCCGAGAGTACATGGAATCACTTTCCTTTAGATCAGCCATATCTGCCAAACACGGTGACGCTCTTCACTCATTCCCTAACAGGGCTTCTACAAATAACAGGTAACACTGGTGAACAATCATTACTACCAACATTATCAACAGTATTAAAAATCTATAATCTCCTGGCTTTTGTAACATCATACTTTTCCTGTAAGTATATTTTGAACTCTAAAACATTTTTAACCGTCTATCTGTCACTCAATATTCCAGCCTTTGCTCAATGCTTTTCTTTCTACATGCTCTCCTGAAGCAAACTCATTCACACTTACATTTTCCTTTAAAAATTTCTTTTAATCTATATGAACTTAAATAACAATGAAACATACACTAGATTTAAGTGTTTAGTCCTTTGAATTTTAGCAAATGCATACACTATGTAATCACCACTCCAATCAAGATATAGAGTATGACTATCACTCCAGTAAAGTCTTTCATTCCCTTTTTAAGTGAAGCCTCCTTTCTCAGCCAAAAATACCACCACTTTTTAAATGTTGACCACTTAAAATAGATTATGTTTTTCTGTATTGGAATTTCACATAAATTGAACCAACAGTATATACATGGTTTTTGTCAGAATTATTTTATTTAATATATAGTTTGTGAGATTCACATATGTTTGTGAGATTCACATATGTTTTGAGTGCTTCCGTAGGTTTTACTCCCTTTTATTGTTGAGCATTAGTGTATTCTATGATTATACCACAATTTGTTTATTCATTCACACATTTGGGTTGTTTCCCATTTTAAAGAATTAGAAATTAGATCTTTGGCAAAAAAAGTGGTTTATAATAATACCTTATCTGTTGTGTCTATACAGTCTGTAGAGTGTATTCTTTCATTTAATTACTAAATATTATTAAGTTGTGGTCTCTTTCTCTCTTTCATTCATCCCGTAACAGAATAGATCATTGCATTAATATTTTCAAATAACTTTTGACTTTTAAATTATACTGCATTTTGTCTATTTTTTTGATGTTTGCTTTTATCCTTATTATGTCCATTCTTTTTTCATTTTTACTTCTAGCATCGGAAAATAAAATTATATCATTTACATTAAATCTCTCATTTATTCTCATGTAAATATTTAAATATCCAGTTTCCTCCTATAATCACTGCTTTAGCTGCATCCTACAAATTTTGTTTTATCTCCATTATAATTTGGTTTGAAGATTTCTCATTTTGCTTTTATTTTTTGACCTATGTTTTATATTAAAAAGTGTTTAATTTATAATTATTTAAGTCTTTCTATATATTTTATGTTTAATAATTCCATTGCGTTCAGAGTAAATACTTGCTATGATTTCTGGCTTTTAAATTGATTGAGATTTGTTTTACAGCTCAACATGGTTTCTTTTGATGAGTATTCCATGTGCTCTTAGATATAAGTTTGTTACATATAGCATTCTTAAAATGTTTAATTTGGTCAGACTGTTTCTCTCTCTCTCCCTATATATATTTATATTTTGGCACCTAATATTTGATATAGGTAACACTAGTTTCAAAGAAGGATCATAATGTCGATACATGTCAACCTTTGATCCTCTTTTCTTATATGGATAAAATTTAGGAATAAGAAAACATTCCAGGCCAGGCACGGTGGCTCACGTCTGTAATCCCAGCACTTTGGGAGGCTGAGGTAGGCGGATCACGAGGTCAGGAGATCGAGACCATCCTGGCTAACACGGTGAAATCCCGTCTCTATTAAAAATACAAAAAAAATTAGCCGGGCGCGGTGGTGGGTGCCTGTAGTCCCAGTTACTCGGCAGAGTTACTGAGGCAGGAGAATGGCATGAACCTGGGAGGCGGAGGTTGCAGTGATCTGAGATCACGCCTCTGCGCTCCAGTCTGGGCAGCAGAAAACATTTTAATATGTTAAACATTAACAGAAAACATTAACTTTTAATACATAAAGGTAAAGAGGTACAACACCAAAACATACAATTTCTTACCTTTGTCCTTATTTTTTAACACCAGTGAGTCAGTATTATTTTAGTGTTTCTGTTTGCTGTCTCATTTTGCTTTAGTTGAGTTTTATTTTGATTTTTTGCTTCAGTAATTATCTATCATTATTATTCATATCTGTGTGAAAATTCTGGATATATCTTGTTGAATCCACTTTTACTTGTCAAAATAGAAGAAATACATAGAACCATAAAATAATACAGTAAAGTCAGCTGTTTAAGCATAGAAGCCCGTTAAGTCAAATGGTGAACATTACGTGATTTCCTTAATGATTTACTAACATTTGTATTATTGATCCTGAAAGTCAAGTATATATATTTTATAAATAGAGGTATTCAAAATTTCAAGTGAGTCAGCATTGCTTTGATGAGTAAAGGGTATTAAATGCATAATAGAGAAGATGCATCCACTTCATAGGCCATAAATTTTATTTTTGAACTTATTCCAAGCCTTAGCAAAAGCTAACCTTTATAAAGCATTTTGTTTTTATTTAAGTATATCAAATATTAGGGTTTCTTCTATAATTGGATTTCCTTTTTTATGAATCATGAACAGGCTATGATAGAAGACACCTCATAGATTAAGTAGTATATTACTTTTATTTTATTAATGATTTTAAAGTGCTTTACCTAGTTGAAAGGCCTTGTTTAATTTCATTATTTTAAATTTCTTGCTATTTTTTCACCTCAAACTAGTGAAATGCCCTCTCTTCAGAAAAATTCACTGAGACACTTTCCCCTAATTTCAATGGCATCCTATTTATTTACCAAATATAATAGGCATATTTTCAGAACTTATTTCATTTAACTTTTATAGTATTTGAGATTTTTATGCTTTCATGTATCTTTAAATTGTCTATAGGTTTTTTTCTAAATTTCCCTAACACTTGTTAGTCAATTTCATGGACTCCTATTTCTTGTTAGTCAATTTCATGGACTCTTCTTTCTCTTTAATTGTTTTTAGGAAAGCATCTTTCAAATCTCATACTTAGTGCTCTTTTCTAAAATATACTGTCTCTTTTGATGACCTCAACTTCACTTCTGTTGATGTTCTAAAGAATTTTCCACTCTTTTTAAACCCTATTTTCAACATAAATACTTTTCTCTATGGCTTCACCTATCACTGCATTTTAACAAACTCTTAAATTAAAAACCTGTTCTGAGTTTTTAGACTCATAGGTCCAACTACATATTTAGTGCCTTCAATTGGATGGCACATAGATGTCTCAAACTCAACACACCCAGGCCCGACTCATTACCATTTCACAAAACTATTCTTCCTCTTTTTGTTCCTATCTCAAAGAATGAAGTCAACATCCACTCAATTATTCAAATCATAAAATAAGGAAATAGTCCAGATTTTGAAAAAAATTATTTTCTGCCCTCTTAAATATCTCTTCATATATCTCCTTTTTTGCATCTCCATTTTTGCTCTATTTTTAATATTTAAAAAATTTATTTTTAATAAAAAATTTCACAATATCTTTAATTTTGCTCTTCAACAACGTATCCTCAACATTGTTTCCAGGGTGTTCTTTCTAATATCCAAATTTGGATTTATAATAGCCTTCCTTAAAATAGCTTCCCTAATACACTCCAAACTCCTTAAAAGAGCATGCAAGAGCCTCCATGACCAGCTCATCACCACTGGGACCCTTTAGCAGCCTCTCCCTGAGGGATGCTGCACTGTGTGCTTGTGCAGGAACATTTCTTACTTTTTTTTTTCTTTTCTTTTCTTTTTTTTTTTATTATTGTTATACTTTAAGTTTTAGGTTACATGTGCACAATGTGCAGGTTAGTTACATATGTATACATGTGTCATGCTGGTGTGCTGCACCCATTAACTCGTCATTTAGCATTAGGTATATCTCCTAAAACTGTCCCTTCCCCCTCCCCCCACCCCACAACAGTCCCTAGAGTGTGATGTTCCCCTTCCTGTGTCCATCTGTTCTCATTGTTCAATTCCCACCTATGAGTGAGAATATGCAGTGGTTGTTTTTTTGTTCTTGCGATAGTTTACTCAGAATGATGATTTCCAATTTCATCCATGTCCCTACAAAGGACATGAGCTCATCATTTTTTATGGCTGCATAGTATTCCATGGTGTATATGTGCCACATTTTCTTAATCCAGTCTATCATTGTTGGACATTTGGGTTGTTTCCAAGTCTTTGCTATGGTGAATGGTGCTGCAATAAACATATGTGTGCATGTGTCTTTATAGCAGCATGATTTATAGTCCTTTGGGTATATACCCAGTAATGGGATGGCTGGGTCAAATGGTATTTCTAGTTCTAGATCCCTGAGGAATCGCCACACTGACTTCCACAATGGTTGAACTAGTTTACAGTCCCACCAACAGTGTAAAAGTGTTCCTATTTCTCCACATCCTCTCCAGCACCTGTTGTTTCCTGACTTTTTAATGATTGCCATTCTAACTGGTGTGGGATGGTATCCCATTGTGGTTTTGATTTGCATTTGTCTGATAGCCAGTGATGATGAGCATTTTTTCATGTGTTTTTTGGCTGCATAAATGTCTTCTTTTGAGAAGTGTCTGTTCATGTCCTTCACCCACTTTTTGATGGGGTTGTTTGTTTTTTTCTTGTAAATTTGTTTGAGTTCATTGTAGATTCTGGCTATTAGCCCTTTGTCAGATGAGTAGGTTGTGAAAATTTTCTCCCATGTTGTAGGTTGCCTGTTCACTCTGATGGTAGTTTCTTTTGCTGTGCAGAAGCTCTTTAGTTTAATTAGATCCCATTTGTCAATTTTGGCTTTTGTTGCCATTACTTTTGGTGTTTTGGACATGAAGTCCTTGCCTATGCCTATGTCCTGAATTGTAATGCCTAGGTTTTCTTCTAGGGTTTTTATGGTTTTAGGTCTAATGTTTAAGTCTTTAATCCATCTTGAATTAATTTTTGTATAAGGTGTAAGGAAGGGATCCAGTTTCAGCTTTCTACTTATGGCTAGCCAGTTTTCCCAGCACCATTTATTAAATAGGGAATCCTTTCCCCATTTCTTGGTTTTCTCAGGTTTGTCAAAGATCAGATAGTTGTAGATATGCAGCGTTATTTCTGAGGGCTCTGTTCTGTTCCATTGATCTATATCTCTGTTTTGGTACCAGTACCATGCTGTTTTGGTTACTGTAGCCTTATAGTATAGTTTGAAGTCAAGTATCATGATGCCTCCAGCTTTGTTCTTTTGGCTTAGGATTGACTTGGCGATGCAGGCTCTTTTTTGGTGTCATATGAACTTTAAAGTAGTTTTTTCCAATTCTGTGAAGAAAGTCATTGGTAGCTTGATGGGGATGGCATTGAATCTATAAATTACCTTGGGCAGTATGGCCATTTTCATGATATTGATTCTTCCTACCCTATGAGCATGGAATGTTCTTCCATTTGTTTGTATCCTCTTGTATTTCCTCGAGCAGTGGTTTGTAGTTCTCCTTGAAGAGGTCCTTCACGTCCCTTGTAAGTTGGATTCCTAGGCATTTTATTCCTTTGAAGCAATTGTGAATGGGAGTTCACTCATGATTTGGCTCTCTGTTTGTCTGTTATTGGTGTATAAGAATGCTTGTGATTTTTGTACATTGATTTTGTATCCTGAGACTTTGCTGAAGTTGCTTATCAGCTTAAGGAGATTTTGGGCTAAGACAATGGGGTTTTCTAGATATACAATCATGTCATCTGCAAACAAGGACAATTTGACTTCCTCTTTTCCTGATTGAATACCCTTTATTTCCTTCTTCTGCCTAATCGCCCTGGCCAGAACTTCCAACACTATGTTGAATAGGAGTGGTGAGAGAGGGCATCCCTGTCTTGTGCCAGTTTTCAAAGGGAATGCTTCCAGTTTTTGCCCATTCAGTATGATATTGGCTGTGGGTTTGTCATAGATAACTCTTGTTATTTTGAGATACGTCCCATCAATACCTAATTTATTGAGAGTTTTTAGCATGAAGGTTGTTGAATTTTGTCAAAGGCCTTTTCTGCATCTATTGAGATAATCATGTGGTTTTTGTCTTTGGTTCTGTTTATATGCTGGATTATATTTATTGATTTGCATATATTGAACCAGCCTTGCATCCCAGGGATGAAGCCCACTTGATCATGGTGGATAAGCTTTTTGATGTGCTGTTGGATTCTTTTTGCCAGTATTTTATTGAGGATTTTTGCATCAATGTTCATCAAGGATATTGGTGTAAAATTCTCTTTCATGCCAAATTGTAAAGACCATCGAGGCTAGGAAGAAACTGCATCAACTAACGAGCAAAATAACCAGCTAACATCATAATGACAGGATCAAATTCACACATCACAATATTAACTTTAAATGTAAATGGACTAAATGCTCCAATTAAAAGACACAGACTGGCAAATTGGATAAAGAGTCAAGACCCATCAGTGTGCTGTATTCAGGAAACCCATCTCCCATGCAGAGACACACATAGGCTCAAAATAAAAGGATGGAGGAAGATCTACCAAGCAAATGGAAAGCAAAAAAAGGCAGGGGTTGCAATCCTAGTCTCTGATAAAACAGACTTTAAACCAACAAAGATCAAAAGAGACAAAGAAGGCTATTACATAATGGTAAAAGGATTAATTCAACAAGAAGAGCTAACTATCCTAAATATATATGCACCCAATACAGGAGCACCCAGATTCATAAAGCAAGTCCTGAGTGACCTACAAAGAGACTTAGACTCCCACACAATAATAATGGGAGACTTTAACACCCCACTGTCAACATTAGACAGATCAACGAGACAGAAAGTTAACAAGGATACCCAGGAATTGAACTCAGCTCTGCACCAAGAGGACCTAATAGACATCTACAGAACTCTCCACCCCAAATCAACAGAATATACATTTTTTTCAGCACCACACCACACCTATTCCAAAATTGACCACATAGTTGGAAGTAAAGCTCTCCTCAGCAAATATAAAAGATCAGAAATTAAAACAAACTGTCTCTCAGACCACAGTGCAATCAAACTAGAACTCAGGATTAAGAAACTCACTCAAAACCGCTCAACTACATGGATACTGAACAACCTGCTCCTGAATGACTACTGGGTACATAACGAAATGAAGGCAGAAATAAAGATGTTCTTTGAAACCAACGAGAACAAAGACACAACATACCAGAATCTCTGGGACACATTCAAAGCAGCGTGTAGAGGGAAATTTATAGCACTAAATGCCCACAAGAGAAAGCAGGAAAGATCCAAAATTGACACCCTAACATCACAATTAAAAGAACTAGAAAAGCAAGAGCAAACACATTCGAAAGCTAGCAGAAGGCCAGAAATAACTAAAATCAGAGCAGAACTGAAGGAAATAGAGACACAAAAAACCCTTCAAAAAATTAATGAATCCAGGAGCTGGTTTTTTGAAAGGATCAACAAAATTGATAGACCGCTAGCAAGACTAATAAAGAAGAAAAGAGAGAAGAATCAAATAGATGCAATAAAAAATGATAAAGGGGATATCACCACCGATCCCACAGAAATACAAACTACCATCAGAGAATGCTATAAACACCTTTACGCAAATAAACTAGAAAATCTAGAAGAAATGGATAAATTCCTCGACACATACACCCTCCCAAGACTAAACCAGGAAGAAGTTGACTATCTGAATAGTCCAATAACAGGCTCTGAAATTGTGGCAATAATCAATAGCTTACCAACCAAAAAGAGTCCAGGACCAGATGGATTCACAGCCGAATTCTACCAGAAGTACAAGGAGGAACTGGTACCATTCCTTCTGAAACTATTCCAATCAATAGAAAAAGAGGGAATCCTCCCTAACTCATTTTGTGAGGCCAGCATCATCCTGATACCAAAGCCAGGCAGAGACACATTTCTTACTTATAATGAACTCCACGATTTCTTGCAGTTCTTGCTATCTGGAAGGATCGTCTCACCTCCCAAAAAATATCACTGCACTGTCCTATTGTACAGCTCATTCGTTTGGTTCAGATTTCATATCATCTGTGAATTCTTCCCCTGTCCTTTCCCTGGGAACTTCGTTAGTCATTGTTCATTTGAAGGGTCCTTAAGTCTTATAAATATACACCACACATAAAACTATCATAACATTTACCATGCTGTAGGAAAGTGGTTTCTTTATAGGTAAGAATTTTCCATAACCTTCTTTTAAGCATCCCTTATCTCTGTATTACCTGTCCCTAGCACATAGCAAGAATATGTTCAGTGAATTCATGGTTTTAACTGGTCAATGTCTCTTATTAGTATCTGAATCACTTAATAAGGTTAAAAAGCCACAAGTCATTATTTTCATTGATCTTGTGGAATATAGTTTTCAGCAAATTTTCTCTAAAATCCTAAGAATGAAATTTAAAAATTAAAAGTCTTTAAATTTTTCAGAATGGCATATATATGTATATATATGCTGTTATATATTATTATGCTGTTCCAAAATATGATATATTACAAATACAACAGAAGTTATTTAATGAGTGACATTATTTTGAGAGGTATTCCTAAAAAGTTCTTACTTTTTAAAACTAAAATCTTGTGGAAAAATATATTAGAATAAAGATTCTATTTAATTTCAATAGCAAGAAATTGAAATTTATTTAATCTCAAATACATATAATGTAACACTTTGAAACTGGGAATTAAAATTGATGAGCGTGATGTGTTTTTATATTTTATATGCTTTTTTTTGTAACAAAACAGCAAGTAACCTTGGATATTTAAAACTTTCAATTTTATTTCTAAGTTTTGTATTACTGCCTCCTCAAAAATGCCACAAAAATGCATTCAGGTGATGAAAATGTCAATTTAATAGCCAGGCAAATGGTGCTTGCTTGTCCTATCAGACACGTAATTAGAGGTATGTTTCATATGAGAAACAAATTAAAATTTAAATATCCAAAGAAAATTTTATATTATATCTATTAATTGGAGTTTTAGAATGACTAAAAAGTTAAAAATTGTTTTAAATAAAATTTATTGCATATATTTAAGGTATACAACATGATGTTATAAAATATATATACATGATAAAATGGTTACTATAGTGGAAGAATGAACATAGCCATCGTTTCACATAGTTACCAATTTCCCCCACTCTCACCGCAAGAGCAGCTATGATTTATTCATTTACCAAAAATCTTGAATACAAGAATACTTTTTACTGGAAGGACATGAAAGTTTCATTTAAGCTTCTAGGAGAACATTTGAGTTGTGATTTTCAAGTATTCTAAGTATCATAGCTAAATATCACTAATAGGGACCCACACATCATTTAATACCACTATTAAAATAACAATGCAGAATCCTATGGGGTCTGGGAGATGGCAATACGTTCTAATTCTAACACCTTCCAACCCCAATTTTTTTTAGCATACTATGATCAAACAATTTGAAGAAATGCTGGTTTACTTCTCTATTTTTATATTTTTTGTTTTGCTGCAAAATTCTTTGACATGTTTAATATTCTGGGGTTCATGATGTCTGTTTGTTGAGAGGCAATAGAATAACTTTCACAAGCATTTCATCAAGGGACACTTTTTATTTAATTGTATGTTCTGTTAAACAGACAAAAGCATGTTCAGTTTGCAATATATACTTATGGTATATACTTATGGTAGACAGAGAATCTGAAGTCTCAAGATGCTAAGTATCTTTCCTAGGCCACAACATAAATGAACAGAGAAACTAGGATTTTTCTTACTCATAATAAAAAGTTCAATAAAAAGTATGCCTGCAAACATAATTTCATTTTTAATCAAAATCTTTAAGCAAGGCAATGCAAGTTTGATCAACTTAAATGTTAAAAAAAGAAAAATAAACACTCATTAAAAAATCCAATTATACGTATGTTTACTGTTAATCCTTACTATCCACATAAGAACTTGGAAATTACATCATAACAGGAAGCAAAATCTCTGGAATTAGTTGGCAGCCTGTTCATTGACTGTTGAAATGTACCCTCTTTAAAGCATGCCAGGTGTTCCAGCAGTGCAAAGAAAAAAATGTGTCTGATAGTGATGGACCAATTGTTTTGTATACCATAAGTGAAGACCTTAAGTAACTATCAAACATTTTATTTGCACAATATCAAATATATTTACCTAACAAAAATCCCTTTGAATGTTATTACATCAGCCAGGAAGTCCATATTTTTTTGTTTCTTATTCATTTATTTTAAAAACAGTAAGATGATTCTGAGATTCTGTTGGATCTTTGCATTCTAGTATATACATCTCAAAAAATGGTTCTGATTCTAGTCTTTCCTTGTTATAAACTTAAGGGTTGCTCTTTCCTTGCAAACAAAATTGCAAAATGTGTTTGTTCCTTGTCATTGATGCATACAATCATTTAAGGAAAATTGGCAGGATGTGTCTGAGATTTTGGCTCTGTGATTTGAAGACATTCTGTGTATGCTTGTGTAAAGGCAGGTGGCAAAATGTGAATCCAAAACTATATCCATTATGTTCATTTACTTTACCATTTAGAAAGCACAGATGTTAACTATATAACAAGGTGGTTTTTATTGTAATCACCTGCTGTTAGGGTCCCTCTTGGCATAGTAGCCAAACAGATTATTGTTTCCTTCTCATTTACAAAGTGTTTGCTATTTGATGGCTCAAAGCAAACCTGGAAATTATTTTTCATTCCTAAGAAATACTTAAAACAAGACAATTTTGAAGTGAAATGATTATAAATTTGAATTGCATACTATTATAGATAATTACATACATTAATTATAATATGATATGTGTAGATTTTTAGCTTAAAAATCTGGTTTTCCAGTGGTTTATTTTTTTATTTGCTATTGTTTAAGCAGAACTCCTTCTATTCACTGACAATCTTGAAAAAAAATTACTTCATTTTTTTTCTTTTAGCTTTTACCCATAAAAGGAAATAGTTTAATATTTTCCTATTTTTGCTACTTAAAATTAAAACTTTAAGAGCTTTTCCTCTGGAATACCAGATCATATATTTAAATATACACTCAGATGAATGTATTTATATAACATAGACTATATTTAATATATATACAGTGTGTCTGTGTACATATATATATATATATATATATAAAATGTGACTGAAGCCCTTTTAACTTTGTCTAATTTTTTTTTGAAAAAATTACATTTATCAAGTATCTCATAAATTCGCCACCATTGACACATATAAAGCTCCCAGTCTTAAAATTTAATTCCTTGAATAACTTAATTCTTAACCTGAGACTTGGTCAAAGACAAAACTCCATGTTTTGCTCTACTACCATAGCCTTGGAAAAAAACTTCTTTAGTGGTTTTATACCTGTCTATAGCAGAGCAAATCAAAATATTTACCTCTATCTCTCTGTTCTTTCTTTGTATGCAGGTTGCATTTATAAAGCACTGTAAAACTAATAAGCATGTGTTGTACTAATAATATGTAATAAATATAACTGTTAAATTTAGAGACAAAGTACATACATTTATTCAATTAAAGTGTTTAGACCATCTATTATTTATTAAATATCACTAAATCTTAGCCTAAGTTAATGATATATGACTCAATCCCCAGAGGAAAATAATATAATCTAGTAGAAGAATTCACAGATTCTAAAATTTTCAGATACTGCTCTAAAACATCAATGACATTTTCCTAAAATTAAATAATAGCTCTTCCCAAGTATAACACTTTAAAAAATATGAATCTTAATATGATCCCAAAGAACTTATCAGACTACTGAGAGAGGAAAATGGCAGATAGAAGGCAGGACTAAATTGCAGCTCCCACTGGGACAGATAGAGCAACATGTGGAAACACATACATCTAGAACTTTTACTCCAGGAACTGCAGAAACACACCAGGAAGGCTGAGAGAATCCACAGACTCTTTGAAGGAAGTGGATTGCTCCTACAGGCCCCAGGAGACAGCCCCAAAACTGTAAATGCTCAAAGAGTGAAAGTGAAAGAGGGATTGTCCACCCCCAGACACACACCCTCACTGCAGAACCTGAAGGTCCAGATCATGGAAAAAGTATGTGACCTTACCAGGAGCTGAGACAATTTTAGAGAGCCAAGCAAAATATAGTGATAGAAGACCCGACAGGAAGTGCCCCTGTGGGCTCTCTCAGTCCCCAGGGAAGCCATTTCTGACTTTATCTCACAGAGGTCCTTGGGGAGGGCTACCAGAGGAACCGGGAAAAGTCCACATGATAAAGGAAACTTCCAGCTGAACTTTGTAACAATTTCGACTGAACTCATAGATTCCTGGACAGAACTCAGGGGATGGTGTGAATCCAGAGTGTAGACACAGCACAGAAGCTGCGGCAGGCAGGGTGGTACGAAATCTGAAAACCATACCTGCTTCACAGTGGGGAGGCTGGTAGCATGGGGCAAGTTCTCAGCATGCCCGGAAACAAACTCTGTGCTGTTGGGAGAATGATGGGAGTGAGACCAGCCTTTTGGGCTGCATGGGAGCTGGGTGAGGCCTGTAACTGCCAACTTTCCCCCACTTTCCTAGTAACCTGCATAGCACAGCAGAAGCAGCCAAAATTCCCCTGGGAACATAACTCCATTGGCCTGAGAACCATGCCCCCATCTTCCACAGCAGCCACAGCAAGCCCTGCCCAAGGAGAGTCTGAGCTCAGACACGCCTAACCCTTCCAGAACCTGATGGTCTTTCTCTACCAGCCCTGGTAGTCGAAGACAAAGGGCGTGTTCTCTTGGGAGCTCTAAGCCCCCACTCACCACCTGATCCTCCCTATGCTACCACATCTGATGCACTCTTGAAAGTGCCATCTCCTGGCAGAAGGCCAACCAGCACAAAACTAGTGCAATAAACAAAACTACAGCTAAGGACCCTCACAGAGTTTACTTCACTCCCCTGCCACCTCCACCAGAGCAGATGCTGTTATCCATGGCTGAGAGACCTGAAGACGGTTCACATCACAGAACTGTGCAGGCACTCCCTAGAACCACTCCCAAGCCTGGTAGCTCTGCTGGCTAGCTAAATCCAGAAGAGAAATAATCACTACAGTTCCGCTCTCAGGAAGCCGCATTCCTAGGGGAAGGGGGAGAACACCACATCAAGGGAGCACCCTGTGGGACAAAAGAATCTTAAGAGCAGCCCTTGAGTCCCAGGTCTTCCCTCTGACATAGTCCACCCAGCACTACAAGAACTGCTAAAAGGAGCTCTAACTCTTGAAACAAATCCTTGAAATACACCAAAATGAACATCTTTAAAGCATAAATCTCACAGGGCCCATAAAACAAAAACACAGTAAATAAATTTAAAAAAATGTTATTCAGGAAACAGAATGATGAATAGAATAGTACCTCACATCTCAACGTTGAACATAAATGGCCTAAATCATCTACTTAAAAGATAAAGAATGGCAGAATGGATAAGAATTTACCAACCAAGTACCTACTGTCTTTGAGACTCACCTGACACATAAGGACTCACATTAACTTAAGGTTAAGGGGTAGAAAAAGATAGTCTATGCAGATGGACACCAAAAGTGAGCAGGAGTTGCTATTCTTATGTCAGACAAAACAAACTTCAAAGCAACAGCCATAAAAAACACAAAGAAAGGCATTACATAATGATAAAAGGACTTGTCCAACAACAACAACAAAATGACAATCCTAAATAAGTATGCACCTAAACATTGGAACTCCCAAATTTATAAAACAATTACTACCAGACATAAGAAATGAGATAGATGGCAACACAATATTAGTGGGGGACTTCAGTACTTCACTGACGGCAGTAAACAGGTCATCAAGACAGAAAGTCAACAACAACAACAAAAAAAACAATGGATTTAAACTATACCTAGAATAGATAGACTTAATAGATATTTATAGAACATTCTACCAAACAACTGCAGAATATACATTCTATTCATCAACACATGGGACTTTCTCCAAGAGAGACCATATGATAGGTCACAAAATAAGCCTCAAAAAATTTAAGAAAATTGAAATTATATTACTCTCTCAGACCACAGGAGAATAAAATTGGAAATCAACTCCAAAAGGAGCCCTCAAAACAATCCAAATATATGGAAATTAAATAACCTGCTCCTGAATTATAGTTGTGTCAATAATGAAATCAAGATGAAAATTAAAAACTTCTTTGAATTGAACAATAATAGTGACACAGCCTATCAAAACCTCTGGGATATAGCAAAGGTAGTGCTAAGAGGAAAGTTCACAGCTTTAAATGCATACATCAAAAAGTCTGAAAAAGCACAAATAGACAATCTAAAGCCACACCTCAAGGAACTAGAGAAATAAAAACAAACCAAAGACAAACCCAACAGAAAAAAAGAAATAATGAAGATCAAAGCAGAACTAAATGAAATAAAAAAATACAAAAGATAAATGAAACAAAAAGCTGGCTCTTTTAAAAGATAAATAAAATTGACAGACCATTAGTGAGATTAACTAGGTAAGGAAGAGAGAAGATCCAAATAAGCTCAAATAAAAATGAAACAAGTGATATTAAAACAGATACCACAGAATACAAAATATCATTCAAGGCTACTAAGAACATCTTTATGCGAATAAACTGGAAAACCTAGAAGAGATAGATAAATTCCTGGAAATATACAACCCTCCTAGATTAAACCAGGAATATATATAAATTCTGAACAGACAAATAACAATCAGCAATATTAAAATGGTAATAAAAAATGCCAACCAAAAAGAGTCCAGGACAGATGGATTCACAGCTGAATTCTATCAGACACTCAAAGAAGAATTGGTACCAATCCTATTGATACTATCCCACAAGATAAAAAAAGAAGGAATCCTTCCTAAATCATTCTATGAAACCAGTATCACCCTAATACCAAAACCAGGAAAGGACATAACACAAAAAGAAAACTACAGACCAATATGTCTGATGAATATAGATGCAAAAATCCTTAACAATGTGCTAGGTGGCCAAATCCAGGAGAATATCAAAAAGATAATCCACCATGATCAAGTGGGTTTCATACCAGGAATGCAGGGATGGTTTCACATACACAATCAATAAATGTGATACGCCACATAAACAGAATTAAAAGCAAAAATCACATGTTTATCTCAATGGATGCAGAAAAAGCATTTGACAAAATCCAGCATCCCTTTATGATTAAAACCCTTAGAAAAATTGGCATAGAAGGGACATACTTTAATGTAATAAAAGCCATCTATGACAACCCCACAGCCAACATTACACTGAATGGAGAGAAGTTGAAAGCATTCCTCTGAGAATTTGAACCAGACAAGAATGCCCACTCTCCCCAGTTCTATTCAACATAGTACTGGAAGTCCTAGCTAGAACAATCAGACAAGAGAAAGAAATAAAGGGCATCCAAATAGTATACCTAGAAAACCCTAAAGACTCATGCAAAAAGCTCCTAGGACTGATAAATGAATTCACTGAAGTTTTATGATACAAAATTAATATGCACAAATCAGTAGCTCTGCTATACACCAATGGTGACCAAGCTGAGAATCAAATCAAGAACTCAACCCCTTTTACAATAGCTGCAAAAAATCACAAACTAATTAGGAATATACCTAACCAAGGAGGTGAAAAGCCTCTAAAAAGAAAACTACAAAATACTGCTGAAAGAAATCATAGATGACACAAACAAATAGAAACATATCCCATGCTCATGTATGGCTAGAATCAATATTGTGAAAATAACCAAACAATCCTAAAATTTATATGAAACCAAAAAAGAACCCACATAGCCAAAGCAAGACTAAGCAAAAAGAACAAATCTGAAGGCATCACATTACCTGACTTCAAACTATATTATAAGGCCATAGTCACCCAAACAATATGGTACTGCTATAAAAATAGGCACATAGGCCAATGGAACAGAATAGAGAACCCAGAAATAAAGCCAACTACTTATAGCCAACTGACCTTCAACAAAGCCAACAAAAGCATAAAATGGGGAAAGGAAACCCTATTCAACAAACGGTGCTGGGATAATTGGCAAGCT
The DNA here is from genome assembly GCF_000001405.40 of Homo sapiens. Taxonomy (NCBI): domain Eukaryota; kingdom Metazoa; phylum Chordata; class Mammalia; order Primates; family Hominidae; genus Homo; species Homo sapiens. Next base: position 161,824,229 of record NC_000004.12, on the reverse strand, counting down.
ACATGTAGAAGAATGAAACTGGATCCTCATCTGTCACCTTACATAAAAATCAACTCAAGATGGATCCAGAACTTAAATCTAAAACCTGAAACCATAAAAATTCTATGCAATAACATTAGAAAACCCCTTCTAGACATTGGCTTAGGCAAAGACTTCATGACCAAGAACCCAAAAGCTAATGCAACAAAACAAAGATAAATAGATGGGACTTAATTAAAATAAAAACCTTCTGCCCAGCAAAAGAAACAATTAGCAGAGTAAACAGACAACCCATAGAGTGGGAAAAAATCTTTGTAATCTATATATCTGACAAAGGACTAGTATCCAGAATCTACAAGGAATTCAAACAAATTAGCAAGAAAACACAAACAATCCCATCAGAAAGTGGGCTAAGGACATGAATTCTCACAATAAGATATACAAATGGCCAACAAACATATTGATGGCAGTGGTGGCCCATCTGGAGCAGCTGATGTGAAGACAGCAGCTGCAGCAGTGGAGTCACAGCTGAAGTTTCATGCTCTGTGATGCCTGTGGTAGCCCTGCCCCTACCAAGTTTGCAGGGCAGGAACCCCATGATCCTCAGCACAGTTGCAGCCACACAGCCATGGATCCAGACTTGGACATCCCTGCACTCTTGCAGGCCTGCAAAGCCCCTTCCCCTTCAGGCTCAGAAGTCCCTGCTCCCAAGATCTGGTGTCTCCCCATTGCCAGCACCTGCTCTGGTGTGGAGCAAAGTTGCGGCTAAGCCTGGCTGTTGTTGTAACCTGGTTGAGTGTACATGAACTCGGGGCTGTGCTGACATGCCAGCCCCACTGCTGTCTCAGTCCCCTCTGAAACTTTTGGCATTGACGAGGGAGGGAGGCCAGGGGGCTCTGAGAGCACCTTGGTGACAGCCTGCAGACGCCCCTTGGGATGAACAGCTTGGGCTCTGTGGATGGCATGTTGATGTTGCCAGGAAGCCATCAAGCTCTTGGGTGAAAATGGGTGGGTCCCTGGTGAAACAGGACCTTCAAGCGAGGGACGGCCTAAAGCCTGGGGGCTGGCCTGCCATTTCTGGGTGGAGTCAGTGATCCAAGGTAAGAACTTATGGTGCTTTTTTTCATACCTGCCAATGGCCAGCCATAAATCAGTCAGCATGCACTTCCTCCCTTCTGAGACCATAAAAACCCCAGACTCAGATGTCAGGACAACCAGCTGTGGAAAGGAGCTACCAGCAGTAGGTCTCTTCTCTGCTGAGAGGTGGACACTCATCAGGATAGCCTGCCTGTGGTACAGAGCTACCCACTACAGGTCTCCTTTCTGCTGAGAGCTGGACACTCATTAGGACAACCTGCCTGCAGAAAGGAGCTAACCACCTTGGGACTCCTGAGAGCTGTTCTGTCATTCAGTGAAACTTCTCTGCCTTATTCACCCTCTAGTTGTCCATGTACCTCATTCTTCCTGGACGTGAGACAAGAACTCAGGACATGCTGAATGCGGGCCTGAAAGAGCAGTAATACAAACAGGGCTGAAACATGCCCCCCCGCTCACCATACTGTGGGTGACAATGAGAGAAGATAAGTAGAGAAGAGCCATGGCCCTTTGGGGAGCCCAGACCTAGGGCTGGGCCAGGGCTGTGACACCCTCTTTGCAGCTCTGCAGTTCATGGTATCTCTAAGATTTTAGGAGTCACTGCATTCTCTGGTGCCCACAGTGGAAGCTGTTTGCAGTATACTTGGTCTAGCTGCAGCCTCACATTTAGCCAGTGCCTGCACCAGTGCCTGGAGCTGCCTGCCCTGCTGCAGCTAGCACACCTGGCTGTGCACAGTGGCCAGACCCCATGCTCACTCACACACCTCTCATCACTCTGCACCTGGCTCATCCTTGGCAGGCATGGAATCTGAGCTGGTAGTGTGAGCCAAGTGCAGCCTACCAGGCTGTGTGGGCGGAACAAGCCCAATAGGCCTGTGCAAAACTCAGGCAAAGGCACCACCATCCACAGAGGTTTCTGGCTGGAAAAGCAACACCCCTAAGGATCCTGTGACATGAAAAAATGCTCAACATCACTAATGATCAGGAAAATGTAAATCAAAACCATAATGCAATACCACCTTACTCCTGCAAGAATGGCCATAATGAAAAAAAAAATAGTAGATGTTGGCAGGGATCTGGTGAAAAAGGAACACTTTTACATTGCTGGTGGGAATGTAAACTAGTACAACCACTATGAAAAACAGTGTGGAGAGTCCTTAGATAACTGAAAGCAGAACTACCATTTGATCCAGCAATCCTTCACTGCTGGGTACCTACCCAGAAGAAAAGAAGTCATTGTATGAAAAAGATAGTTGCACTCACATGTTTATAGCAGCACAATTTGCAATTGCAAAAATATGAAACCAGCTCAAATGCTCATCAATCAACAAGTGGGTAAAGAAATTGTGGTATTCATATATATATATACACACACACCATGGAATACCATGCAGCCATGAAAAAAATGAAATAATGGCATTTGAAGTGACCTGGATGGAATTGGAGACCATTATTCTAATTGAAGTAACTCAGGAATAAAAACCAAATATCATATGTTCTCACTCATAAGTGGGAGCTAAGCTATGAGGATGCAAAGGCATAAGAATAATACAATGGACTTCAGGGATTTGGGGGTAAGTGTGGGAGGAGGGTGAGGGATAAAAGACTACAAATTAGTTACAGTGTATACTGCTTGGGTGATGGGTGCACCAAAATCTCACTAAAGAACTTATTCATGTAACAAAACACCATGTGTCCCGCAAAAACCTATGGAAATTTAAAAAATAATAATAAAGAACTTTTTTTTAATCAAATAAGAACTTAGTATGGAATCTTCTCCATGTAACTTGTCGTTGTCCTTCAAGAAAACCTGTTTCTGGCCATGTGCAGTGGTTCACACTGGTCATCGTGGCAATTTGGGAGGTTGAGACAGGCAGATTGCTTGATCCCAGGAATTCAAGACCAGTCTGGGTCACATGGTGAAACCCCTTGTCTACAAAAAATACAAAAATTAGCCAGACATGGTGTGCTGTGCCTGCAGTCCCAGCTACTCGGGAGGCTAAGGTGGGAGGATCACCTGAGCTAAGGAGTTCAAGGCTGTAATGAGCCATGATTGCACCACTGCACTCTAGCCTGGGTGACAGAATGAGACTCTGTGTCAAAACAAACAAACAAACAAAGAAAACTTGTTTTTAATTAAATACTATCTTAAAAAATGTACAAATATATACATTTTTTATTTGTAAAGAGTTTGGTGGTTTTTTTTTTTTTTGGACAACCAATCTTTGAAATCTGATTAAGAATTTTTGAAATATCGTATTAAAGAATACTAAGTGTTGTAACAAACATACAAAATCATTTTTATGGCTCAGATTATCATTGACATCTTTTTAATGCTCATATGAAAACCAAAACATATTTCTGTAGAGCTGGTGGTTCTCAAGTAGTAATATAGGGACTCAGATTCCTTCCATCTTCTGGCTCCTTTGTTCTCAATACATGACTTTAAAGTCTCCCCTGCTCATCTGTGCCAAGTCCGTGAAGGAAATGAGCATTGAGAATCACCTCTGGAAGGCTCTCATGGTCCAGGCCTTCAATTTTCACGCATCACTACTGCTAATTTTCCATGTGCTAAATATCTGTGATTTGACCGTACCCTACTATAAGAAACATTGACAAATACACATTCACATTGATCTAGGAAGAAAAAGAAATGGGTTTGGTGAGCAGATATTCATTATATGTTTCAATGACATATTTTTCAATTAAAATTAGTATATGTGTATATATGTGTGTGTTCACATACATGTAATATTAGAGTGTCTCTCTATTGGAATTAATCCTTAATATATGCCTATTTGAATTCAGGAATTCCCTGGAAGTTCTTAATGGTATTTTTGAATTCTTACATTTTTCTCCCCTCATTGTTTCCATTTGTATTTAACTTGAATATAAGTGGAAAATATGGAACACATGACTTCCTGTAATCTTTATCTTCCAATAATACATTCGAGCTTATTTTTATTTCAATTAGAAAATATTTCTATCAATTGCTATTTCTTGAAATAGTAGACAACGCAAAAATAAAATTCTGGTGAATTTTTGTGAATGGGTTACACTTCTGTTATATTGCAAACAAATTTTGGAAAACATCATTGGACAAATGTTTTCCACGTAAAAACTTTGCATAATAAAGTAAAAGTTTAAAGAAACTAAAAAGAGTCTTCAATATATTTTAGAGAAAATTACTGAAAAAGTTAAAAAAAACTTAATTTTTTTTTACTTTTTCTCATTATGTTGTGGCAAAACCCAAAATAACAGTTTTTGATACAGGCATAATATTTTGAATAAAAATACTTGATGCAGAAGATGTGAACAAAATTTTCCTTGGAATTACTATTACTAAAGATGAGTTAATCATATATTTTTTACCCCAGTTTTATTAGAATATGCTATTTATGCTTAAATTTCAAAGGAGCTTGCAAAGGAGATTATTTTTAAATAATCAGCTGATTTTAGGTTTCATTCATGAATTTTGAGGTGGATTTTTTTTCTAGCCCCAAATTTTCTTCATTAAACTAAAGAACCATATGATGCAATAGCTTGAAAATTAGTTATAGTATATCAGATTGATGCACTTCTGTGAAAAAGGTCACACTCTATGTCTATTTCAAAATGCAGACCCTGCATTTTGGTAATGTTTTAAATCCACAGAGAGACAGTTAGAGGATGAAAACTGGAAACTGAAGAATAATTTTAAGAATGCTAAGCTCTCTGCTTTATTTATGTAAGTTACATGACATAAAATGTCAGGGAAGTGTTTTGACTATTACTGTACAAAATAGGAAGAACCAACTCAGTGAACAAATTTGCCTTCTGTTTGTTGAGTCAGTTATTTTACAAAAAAAACTATTGCTTATTTTCAGTAGACATTTTTAGTTTTCCATGAATACTGAAAAATTAAAGACTTTAAGTTCTGATCATGAAAAACAAACAAATTTATTTCACCAAAAATATTTTCAACTTAGTTATTATTAGATAAACATATAACTTCATATATTAAAATAGTAGAAAAGTAAGGTTAATAGTATATTTTATTACATTAAGCAAATTAATGTATATATGCCATAGGCATCAATATTTAGAATGTTTAATTAGCACTACTTTTAATCATTTTATTTATTTCAGCTTATGAATTTTCTTTTACTTACTATCAGAAATTAAGCATTTATTAAGCCTCAAGAGAGTGAGGCTTAAGTTATTACTTAAGATGGTTTTAAAAGGAAAATAAAATTGCAGCATTTAAAAAAGTCACAATTTATCTAGTAAACCAAATACATTCAGAAAAATAAAATGCAAAAACACTTTTAAAAGACACCTATCTGTAGATACAGAAATCATACTGTGAAGGTTGTTATAATTACTGAGAAGAGGTTTTTTTCAGTATGGAAGTTTCCCAGTAGTTCAAAATACATTAAGTTATAGAAAACTCTTAAAAGAAAAGGAATCGTTCCTTGAATAGTAATCAAAAGTATTATTGAAACGGGAAAAGCTCCCTTGTCCCCATCGCAGTGCGTGCAATGGGGGTGTGGCTCACTTCTACAATGCCCCACTGCTCAAACCTCTAGGGGAGCATATAGACAGGTAGGCTGTGGGGCTCCCACCCGATGGTGATGTCTAGAGGTGGATGTTCACAGCTCCCAAAGCCCCACTGGGCATGTGTTACAGGGTGCTCTTTTAGTTTTACAGTCCATAGGCGGCTTGTGTTGACCAGCTGAATTAGAACCTCTACCTTGTCTCAAGGACAGAGGACTTTCTTTATCCCCGGGTTCTTGCCTTGATGTCTGGAAATAATCGGATCACATGTGGGCTTGGAGAATGAGTGCAAGGTTTTATTGAGTGGAAGTAGCTCTCAGCAGGTGGGGGAGCCGGAAGGAAGATGGTTTTCCTCTGGAGTCGGGCTGCTCAGCGGCCTGGGCTCTCCTCTGACTGTTCCAGCCAAACTCCGTATCTACTGCTTCTACTGGTGGGGTGGCCTGCGGGTGTGCTGGTGCCTGTCGTTGCATTCTTCTTGATGTCCAGCTGCCTGTGTGTTCCTCCGCTGATGTGCTCCTCTCCACATCCAGCTGCCTCTGTCTCTGCCTTGCTGGAGTTTCAGGTTTTTATAGGCACAGGATGGGGGCATGGCAGGCCAGGGTGGTCTAGGGAAATGCTACATTTGCGCAAGACATGCCTGTCCTCACTTAGGTCCGTGGGGGTGGACCCCGAGCCAGGGACTACGCCCTCCTTACTCAGCACTTCCCTTTCCCTCCCAACTCCAGTATCATTTAAAGGGACCACGCTCTTCCCTTCCCAGTACTTCTATATAAATATTACTCTAAGATTTACAATACAAATTAATATCCAATTGTTTGAGAGAATTGCAATAACTAAAGAATGCTTATGATCCCACATATTTTAATCTGAAAATACACACATGTGTGCACACAGGCACACGCACATGTACATGACTTCAAAATAAATTCTCAGGTATACTATATGACTATCAAAATTGAAATCTCTGTAAAACTTAAAAATTGTGCTGTAAAAATAGTATTAAATACTCAAGAAAAAATAAAACTGCTAAGAATTGCTGAGGGTAGTTTGGCAAAAATGAGAATACAAACCATGAGAATACAGAGTGATTTTTCTTTTTTATTTACCCTGAGGAGCCATTAATTTATTTTTCTGTAACTGAACAACACATTTTAACTTTCGTGCAGCCTCTCCACCAGTATATTGAGAATTTTGAAAGAACACCCTTGAGCTGTTCCTTGAGATTGACTTTTCTAATTAGCTTTTGGATAACAAATTTGTTCTTGGTTTTATACTTCATCTTCCACATTTTCCAACTTCATCACTGACCCTGAATGTATCTTATCTTCCTTGTTATGATCTAGGCCTTTAACTTAATTATTCAACTTGTTGCATGTGTTTGACTTGTGAACTCTTGGTTATAACAATGACACACGCATGTTTCAGCCATGAGTTCTCCACTAATAAAATATCATTATAATTTTGGCCTGTCTTCTTACATGACTAATCATATTTGGATAGCCACAAAGTTGTAGCATCATCCTGGATAGTTAGAAGCTTTAAACTTAATCATTGTTAGTATATATGTGATATGTCAATTTGCTTACTTGATTTGATAATTAAAATTATTTTTTTGTTCAACTCTATGAAAAGTCAGTCAAAATGTATTTAGAGTGTTCAGCACTCTAAAAGGCCCTCTGAGGGGAAGAAAAGGAGGGAGATAGACACAGATTAATTACATAAAATATAAGAAATCACAAATAACATTGGACAATATTGTTGCTAGCAATTCTCCCTTTTCATCAGCCTTTCATAACTGTAGCTCAAGGAATAGTTTAGGGTCCCTTGAAATCTGGAGACCAGTTATTGCCCTTTGACTCTTGTCCCAGGCTTTATCTCTCTCTGTCCTGTTTGGAAAGGATGATTCATTTTCACTTTGTTTGCCTTTTTAATTTCTAAAATTGTATTTTCATCTGATGTCTTTTAGTCTGGGCCGAAAATTTTTTATGTGTTATTCACATTTAATTTCTCAGAAAGAGTTCCTCAAGCTTTTACCCCTTTGTAAAGTGGAACCAAGTAAGGCGAATGATACCAATTTTAGGTTGTACTAGCAAATTTATAAGTCACAAAATAAGTTTTAAAGAAGTCTCTATATGATTATGTATAAATGTTACATCGTGTGGTAGGGAATACCAGATGACTACTTCAACAGCCACATGAATTTTTATACACGAAGATATAAAACTATGAAAATTAAATTTTAAACATTAACATCAGTGACATATTTAAAATTGTTTTTCACCCAATGAAGAAATAAATATGTAATTAACTACATAGTACTTCATAAAATTACACATTCTATAAAACCCAAATATGAAACATTTCAAATAAGTACCCATCTTCACCTGCACATTAACTAATATGTGCACCTGTGTAGAAGTGAGTGACAGCCACGTGGTATGGTATTACCTCAGTTTATTTGCCAGGGTCCAGAGTCAGAGCCCACCCTGAAAGTTCATCTGCCTGATTTAGCTCTGCACTCCAGTGGATTCATGTATAAGAAAATAATTCACATTACTCTAGCCCACAGGACTGATGCCAATTTTCTAATGTTCTGTGTAGTTAACTGTGTGTTCCATACAAGCTGCTGCTTCAGGTAAAGCATCTGCTTTCAAGACACTGTATTTTTTTATTTTTAAATTTTGGTGAGGCAAAGGGAGAGAAGACTTTCATTTGACTTACTTATCCTTATTCAAATTAATACATTTAACAAACTATCCTTCAATAGCATATTAGGTAATTGTAGCAAAGTCAATAAATAATGAAATTTAGTAATATTTTAAAACTATTATACATATAGAAAATATATTACTAAGGATTATGCTAAATTATTCGCTGAATATACTGTATCTACCTTTTAGTAATGTGTAAACTATAAAATGACTCCTGGCCAGGAAATTATTTTTTAATAGTACTGATTGTATAACTACTGACTTAACTTATGTGGGTAGCTGAATAAAGGGTCACTTAAATTAGGATGAAATAGGTAATAAATAGATCTATCTTTGGCAAACTCAAATTACCAGGATTATGACATTTTTAAAGTGAGAAGAAAATTAAGGCTGTCTGTATTTGCAGAGTGAAGATTCTAGACAAATATTTTGCTATACATAGAATAATATATAATTGAAATGGCTATTTTCATTTTTAGGATACAAATATTTTCTTAATTAAATATTGTCTCTCTCTCTCTCCAAGTGGATATATCTCATCAATGAAAAGAGGCAACACACTATTTTCCAGATATTTGAAAATACATATCAGCTGAAATTATCATTTATCACATAATATTGTAAACAATATGCTGTTTATACCATTCTATTTATAGTATCCAGTGTTTATAATACCATAATATGTGTGATCATTTAATAAATTCTATACAGTAATACATTTGAATTTAAATTTAAAAAATATATTTAAGAGCTTAGAAATGATACGGACTTGTTAACCTTGAATTTTAATATAAAGATTTTTAAAATATAAGCTATTAGATACAGTCTAAAACTTCTTCAGACAAATAATTTTTAAGATGCTATTTTAACATATTGCATGATGGCAATGAGTATCTGCAACAGCAGTCTTTAAATTTAAAATATAAAATTCAATCAGAATTGTATGATCCTATAGATGTATAGTTGGCATCTATGCACTTAGATGCTAGTTATATGCATTATAAACCCACAAAAATCAGGACTATATCTTCTTTTTGCACTGAGACATTCTACAGTGTTAGGAACATACTATCTCATCATGGAGAATTAATAAAGGCCTATCTTATAAAGTGGATAAAGTATAGAGTATATATTTGGCTCAAACCTACACATCTTTTTGGCAGCAGGATATGAGATATTATGCTAAGTATAAGAAGACAAAAGCTATTAAGGTGGGAAATGTTTCAACATTTTAATCCAGAGATTGAAACATTTTAGCTTTAGAAAACCAATGCCATATGTACCAAAAATTCTATTATATAATGTAAATGTTTCTATTGCACAGGAGTCCATCACAGCCTAAAGTTCATTGTGAGGTTTTATCTTAGTTTCCAGTTGTTTTGTAGAAATAAAACCTGAAGCTAAGGTTAACTAGCACTTTATATACATTTAAAATAAATAATGCCAATGTAATCAGTTCAAACATTGAAATGTTAATGAACACAATAATGTATCAAGAACTGAGCTCAAGAAATTCCTTTTCAGGGCAGTTTGAGCCCTTCCCTGTATTTGTTCCATGAATTGTAGGAGAATAATCTTGGCTGTAATTTAGTTGAAGAAATTTATTTATACTAACTTGACCTGAGACCCAAGGCTTCAGGATTAATTGTTTAATGAGACTTTCATAGAGCAGCAAATGTCCTGATGTTTTATGTACTTGCTAATTTTCTCTCTACTTTCATTTTCTTATCCTTCTCTGTGTAATTTCTTCCCCTTCTTTCTGTTCATCTTCCTGCATATTTATGCCTTCCATCTTTCTCTTCCCCTTTTTACTCTCTTTCCCTCTCACACTTACTTTCATTTTTTAATGGCATTTGCATTTTCTCTTTTCCTCTCTTCTTTTTCCTTACTGATTCACTTACTGATTTTTTTCATCTTTGAATTCCTATATTAACTCTTCATTACACAGAAACACATTTCCTTATTGATTATGTTTATAAAATAAAATTTCCCTTTTCTATTTAAATAAAATTTTAAAAAGAGACACAGAACTATTATAAAATATACTTTGTACTTCATCTTTCTTTTCATTTCCAGTTTTTGTTGGAGTTAGAGAATTTTGCCAAGAACATGTTCTTTAATTCCCAGTTCATCATATAGAATAATGAAATAAACAATTAAGAATATGCTATCTTCTCTGTACTCTGCTAGCAGTAATTTTCAAGGACGTCATTTAGATAAAATAACTAAGGCAAAGAAGTCAATTTCTAGAGATGCTCTGTTTTTGAAAAGTAAGCCTGTGGCGATACAACACACCAGTACACAGCCCACAGAATGCTGACTGTGTGTAAACGAGAAATGTCAAGTAGCATTCTCACAACAGCCTGAAACTGCAAGTTAGAATTCAAAGAAATTAAACAGCTTTTCCATGATCGTTTCATAATTAAGTGGCTGATTCAGAATTCTACATTATCTTTCCACTACAACATGCTCCCCGCCCCCCAAATTTTTTTTATTGTTACTTTTTTAAATTATTACCAGGTTAGTATGTTGATTAAATGTGGCAATAGAGTTGGCCTGTGTGATTCTAAAGAATCTTTCAGCCAGGCGCGGTGGCTCACACTTGTAATCCCAGCACTTTGGGAGGCCAAGGCGGGCAGATCACGAGGTCAGGAGATAGAGACCATCCTTGCTAACACGGTGAAACCCCGTCTGTACTAAAAATACAAAACAAAAATTGCCGCGTGTGGTAGCACGCGCCTGTAGTCCCAGCTGCTTGGGAGGCTGAAACAGGAGAATCACTTGAACCCAGGAGACAGAGGTTGCAGTTAGCCGAGATTGCGTCACTGCACTTTAGCCTGGGCAACAGCGCGAGACTCTGCCTCAAAAAAAAAAAAAAGGGATCTTTCACAGTCTCATGTTCCCATTCCCTTAACTGCCAGAATCTCCATGATTTATGTACATGTTATCAGTGACCTGAGAAGAGATTTCTTACTGGCTCTTATTCTTCTAAAACGTAATCTTTTTTTTTTTTTTTTTTTTTTTTTTTTGCTGGGATTTAGGATCTTGTTTGGATAAAATTGTTCCCTTATACCTTAAAGATTTACCTCCACTGTCAGTCAATAAATACCTAATCAAGGTCTCAGAATGGGCGGCATAAGGAATAACAAACACTGAGCTAATATTGTTGAAAATGTAGACTAGGATGGTAATGAAATGTCCTAAACTGGCATTCACCTTTGGAAGCCTGCTCAACAGAGATTATCTGAGGAGTCAGTGACAACAGCCAACAATTGATGGGGACTTCCTATGTGCCAAACACTACTTTAAAGCCTCAAAATACTATTTTTTTAGTCTTAATTAGAACCACATGTGGTAGTTTTGTTTGTTTCATTTGTGTGTGTGTGTGTGTTTTTCTTAACTACAGATGGGCTATTGAGACACAGAGAGGTTGAGCAATTTGTACAAAGTCACACAACTGAACAATGGCAGAGATGGGATTTCTCCCCAGTCAGTGTGGCTCCAGAGTTCATTTCTGAGCCACTTCTCTGCAGTACATGCACAGGGGACTGTACTTGCACAGGGACTGTGATCCTACGCATAAAATGAGAAAGGCTTCAACTATGTGATTCTCTCTTGAAAATTCACAGTGCTTTCTTAAAAGGCCTAAATATCTCTAAGAATGTTTGCTTCAGTATTTCTAAATACATTTGTCCCAGAAACTATTTTTTAAATGAAACATCTGTTAATATTTTATAGAACTAATGTTGCCTAAAATGCAATTCGGGGACCAATGTCTATAACCTCTATTAAATTTTCAGCTGCATTGCCATTTTATGTACTTTAATATAAAAACAGAGGTTCTAGGATTCTGGGAGAAAAATATCTCTCATTAATATTTATATTATATTCACATATTTCCCAGCCATTATTGTCAAGTATTACTTCAACACTTAACCCATTGGTTAGAAATATTTTTTGAGTAGTAGTAAAAGTCATTTTGGGAATAGCGATCCTCGGAACATTCTATATGTATTCAGTCATGCAGACCTGAGATCCGATTGGAAATGGCTGCTTATTTGAGATAAATTCTAGTTTATATTTAATTCCTAAGACAAATATTTGATGCTAAGGCACACTGAATGTAATATTAAATATTTAGATGAATTATTGCGCATAAAATTTTCTGATTTCACATAGAATGGCATCTCAGTACAGTATTGTGTTTTTGATGGTTTGATCGATTTAGCCAAGATTAATTACATATTTTTTATTTTTTTCAAGCCCGCTTGATATAATCAACAAGTAGGCTTTTGGGTAAACTATTCACTTGTGATTTCATTTCTATGCTTTCAGACATACTGTATGCTGTGCAAAATCCACTCACTCCCTACTCAATAGAGTCATTTTAAGATTAACTCTAGCTTTTTTCAGTGAAAGGTTAGTGAGGGAAATTTAGATTCAATTTTGATGTGTGTAGAAGGTCCATTAAAGTGCTGTCACAAGGTACAAGTCACTCAATAATTCAAATGCTCGGCATCTACATGAAAGGAAAACATTTTAAAATATCACTATAAAATAATCTTATAATTTGATTATCCAGCAAAGAAAAGTCATATGATTTGTATATTTTTAACTCTCTCTTGCTTCGGCTTCCATAAAATTGTACTTCTCCATTCCTCCTTTGGCACTCTGGTTGTTTCTTCCTTGATTTTTTCGTTTTGTTTTGTTTTGTTTTTTGCTCCTCTCACTTTTCTTTTCAATCAACAAAAAGGTGTTCTCCAATGTAATGCCACATTTCTCCTCTCTTTATTTAGTCAGTTTGTTTATATTTGTATTTATTTATGTTCACTATTTATATAGTCACTATCTATAATAATGGTAGGGGGTTGGGAGCAGAGGGATCTCTCAGAAGTTTTGGGAAGATTAAAGGAGGAAATTCATGTGAAACATTTAAGGCGAGGCTGACGCATAGTTACTTTGTGAGTGCTCCTTGCTTTAAAAACAATAGATCTTATTGGTGGTGTTACTCATTTGTTTGTTGCTATGGTTGCTTTTATTATTGGGTGATTAGGTGTAATATCTATGTCACCTGACTTTAATGATAATGACTATTTTTGTTACAGCTACAATGCCTGGGTATCTTCTATATGTTGAGTTTATACAAATTCTATCAATTATTTAATGATTAACATTATTATAGTTAATTATATAAACAAACTTCAGAACAATGCTATGAAGTAAGTGTTGTCTTTCTCACTGAGACTTTAAGTAACATGCCCAAGGTCACAATGGTAGCAGAGTTGAGTTAAAGTCATAATCTATTTCTTCCAGCTGCATAACCTAGCTTTGTAGGAAATGAAAACATTTTACTGCACCAATTGCCAAATTAATGTCTCTTGTCAGGAACTTTCCCTCACAAGGTGGTCGTCAATTCTCAATTTCCTGTTAAACATTTCTACACCCTTCTCGGCTGCTTAAAGTGAATATACACATTATTGTGACCATCTTTTATAACATTCATTTTTCCCCTCTTGCATTCTCTAATTATGTTAGTATTTATTATAATCTTACTCATCACTGACCTTAAAACTTGAAATATTAGTAGTATTACACTAATCATTAAATTTTGATGATGATTTTCTGTGTGCCACAACTTAGGCTATATACTTCATAGATATTATCTCATTATATCTAACAATACTGTCATGATTTAAGTTTTAATATTGTTCTTACTTTAAAATGCAGTAACTGAGTTTTTTTGCAATTACTCATATTTTTAATTTTTTTAATATACTTGTGATGACATTTCATCACAACTACAGGTTCATATAACCATCATTATAATTAACATCTAAAATTGTTCCTGTCTTAATGAGACTATTTAATTTGTCTAGGCTCACCAATTTGTAAGCAATGAAATTTTGATTCAAACCATGATATCCTGACTCCAGAGTCTATTACTCAATAATCAAAATATTCTGTGGTATAAGTACCTTTACATTGTTGTGTGGCTATCATCACGCCTCATCTTCAGAACTTTTTCATCTTACTCAACTGAAACTCTATACCTATTAAATATTAATTTATCATTTTCTTCCCCCCACCTATCCTAGCTGCAACCATTGTACTTTGTCTTTATGAATGTGAACTATTCTTGGTAGGTTATATAATTGTAATCATACAGTATTTATTCTTTTGTGAATGGATATTTCACTTGGAGTAGTGTCATCAAGATTCTTCCACGCTGTAGCGTATGTCAGAATGTTCTTCTATCTAAGGCTGAATAATATACCATTGTATGCATATACCACATTTTGTTTATCCATTGACCCACTTCCATTGATTGCTTTCATCCTCTGGCTGTTGTGAATAATGCTACTATAACTGTGGGTGTACAACTACCTCTTTGAAACCTACTTTCAATCTTTTTGGAAATACTGTATGACCGGAAGTGAAATTGCTGGATCAAATGGTAGTTCTATTTTTAATTTTTAGAGAAACCACCATAGTCTTTTCCATAGCAGCTTCATCATTTTACATTCTAATAGGCGTGTACAATGACTCCAAGGATTCCAATTTCTTCACGTCCTAGACAACACTTATTATTTCACTCCCCTTGAAAAATAGTGGTCATCCTCATAGAATTCTAATTGGTGTGATGTTATAGCTCATTGTATTTTGGATTTGCATTTTGTTTTGTTTTGTTTTGAGATGGAGTCTCGCTGTGTTGCCCAGGCTGGAGTGAAGTGGCGCCATCATGGCTCACTGCAAGCTCCGCCTCCCGGGTTCACGCCATTCTCCTGCCTCAGCCTCCTGAGTAGCTGGGACTACAGGCAGCCGCCACCAAGCCTGGCTAATTTTTTTGTATTTTTCGTAGAAACGGGGTTTCACTGTGTTAGCCAGGATGGTCTCGATCTTCTGACCTCGTGATCTGCCCGCCTCGGCCTCCCAAAGTGCTGAGGTTACAGGAGTGAGCAACCGCACCCGGTCATGATTTACGTTTCTTTAATGAATAATTTGTTGAATACCTTTTTGTAAGCTTGCTGGCCATTTATGTGTCTTTCTAGGAAAATGTCTATTCAAGCCTTTTGCTCACTTTTTAAATCAAGTGATTTAATTTCGTTTTTGTTTTTGAGTTGTAAGGCATCCATACATATTTTGGATATTAACCCCTCATGAGAGAAATGATTTGCAAATATTTTCTCACATTCTGTACATTATGTTTTCACTCTATTGATTGTGTCCTTTGGTGAACAGTTTTCAATTTTGATGAGTTTCATTTTATCTGGGTTTTTTTTTTGGTCTGTTTTTGGTGTCATATGCAAGAAATAATTGCCAAGTCCAATGTCACGCAGGTTTTCTCCTTTTTTTTCTTCTAAGAGTTTCACAGTTTTCGCTCTCATGTTTACATCTTTAATTCATTTTAAGTTAATTTTTGTTTATGGTAAAGGTAAAGTCAAACTTTTTGTTTATTAATCCATTAATGGACACGGGTTATTTTCCTGTTTTGGCATTTGTGAATAATGCTATGAACATGAGTGTACACTTATCTGTACAGGGACTCTGTACAGTTCTTGCTTTCATGTTTTTTTGGAGGGCAATGTATGCCTATAAGTGGAGTTGCTGGATCTTATGGTAATTCTATGTTTGATTTTTTTTTAGAAATCCCTGTCTAATTATTTTTACTTTGCAATCATACATTGGCCATCTATCACTCAATCATCTATGTATCCTGTTATTATTTTCTGCCAACAATATTTAAATTTTCTCACAATCTTTTCTCTAAAAACTATATCACTTGGTTTCTTTTTTTCTACATTGCCCCCAAAATATTTTATCCTTTACATTTGTTGAAAATTGCTATAACCTGGTCTCAGTATATTACATTTCAGCCAGTTATTTTTTCTTCCTTTTCTTCTACTCAGTAACCATACCACAAATATTATTCGTGCTCTTTGCCTTTTGATTTCTCTGATTTCTCTCTGTTCATTAGCTTCCTGATTTAACTACCTATCATTCCCAGGATAGTTTATCCAAAATGGTTTAGGACTTCAAACACTATTTTTCCTGTATTTTCAACCACCATGTCTTCTTACCCAACCTGTCCACTGACTGGGAAATTCAACCCAGGGACAATACTCATATCTGTCTTCTTTATTGCAAGCAAATTAATATACATTCCTGCAAGCCAGTATCTGTAAACTTTGGCTTATGGGCCAAATCCAATCAATCATTTATATTTCTAAATAAACATTTTTGAAACATAGCCATGTTCGTTTTTTCATTCATTTATGTATTGTCTATGGCTACAATCATGTTAAAATAACAGTTGAGTACTTGCTGCAGAGACCTATGACCCACCAAGCCTAAAATATTTACTGTCTAAAATTTACAGAAAATATTTGCTAAACTCTTCATGCACAGTATTACAAATACTGCAAAAAAAATCATCATAATTTCAGCCACAACTTGAATCTCAATTCTGTCCAGCAATGATTCTACATTTTCCAGGTCAACTGTATCTCCCATACTTCACAATGACTATTTAAAATGATCTCCTGGGCTAGGAACCATGGCTCATGCTTATAATGCCAGGAGTTTGAGAGGTTGAGGCAGAAGGATTGCTTGAGCCCAGGAGTTTGAAACCAGGCTGGGCAACACAATGAGACCCCATCTCTGCATCTCTACAAATATATATGTGTGTGTGTGTGTGTGTGTGTGTGTGTGTGTATTCTCATGTGTTCTTCAAATAGTCGTAGTAGATGGCCTTGATTTATCATTCAAATTAATCAACATTATGTCTTTGAAAAAAATGACCAACCTGTATCCAGACCCAATTTTTTAGAGTACCTCTTATTGTAATAAAAGATATTCCTGTAGCTCACACCCCTTTCTGGTTGTTTATATACTTTACTCATTACTGTACTCATTCATTAACTTCTTCCATTTTTCTTCCCATTAATAACTAAACATGTTAATAGGTCTACTATGGTTTTCATCTATCTATCTATCTATGTATCTATCTATCTGTCTATTTATCTAATCTATATGTGTATGTATGTATGAGAACTTTCATGAACCTATCTCTGTATTACCTGTCAGACTCTCTTTATCTTTTACTTTGCAGTCATACACCGATTTTATCTATCTATCTCTATTATTATTATTCTGTCCACAATATTTTAATTTCTTAACAATTCATTCTGTGAAAGCTATATTACTTGATTTCTTTTTTCTCTTCTATGTTGCAAAAAGCATAATTTATTTCCTAATTTTATAGCCACTATCTTGTTTTCTACTGACTATCTAACTCAGGGCTAACTTGAATTTAGCTTTACTTAGACTATTCTGAGGCATTTTTATTGTCAACAGTGACTTGCTTATTGCTATATCTGACAGGCATTTTTAGCCTTTTTCTACTTATAATATTTGCCCTTCATTGTTGGATACTTTTCTTTTACACTCATCCCATGAATTTTCATTTAACATGCATCTCATTTTTCCTCCAATCCCTCTTGATCCTTATTAGAGTGCTTGAGGCACTATATGCCCAACAATGGTATATTGGTGGCAGAAATGGACACACTCCAACATACTCTGCAGAAAGATTCTATATAACTTAATGGGAAGGGTGTTTATCCAGGTGCTACCATAACTCACTGTCTAACTCAAAGAAACTCTCTCAACTTGTCTTTGACTCAGTTTTGTCATTTATAAAATATTGTTTAATAATTTAACCTATCTCATTTTTTAAGACTAAGTTAATTAATGTGCATAAAGTGCCACAACATTGCTGTGCATGTAGAAAAGTAGTCCTTTCTTACCTATGGGGCATATGTTCCAAGACCCCCAGTAGATGCCAGAAACCCTATGTGTACTGTTTTTCCCTATATGAACATACCTATGACAAAGTTTAATTTTTAATTAGGTATGGTGAGAGATTAACAATAACTAAAATAAGATAGAATTGTAACAATATACTATAAAAAAGTTATGTGAATGTAATCTCACTCTCTCTCAGAATATCTTACTGTATGTAATATTTTTGGACAAGGGTTTACCATGGGTAACCAAAACCATGGAAAGTGAAATCATAGGTAAGAGAGGACTACAGTCATAATTGTATACTGTAAATGGTAGGAATCGTCTCCAAAGCCTCCCTCTGAGCACCTCCAGGTCAATAGATCTTAAAGGTTCCATATTTTATGGTGATAATTCTTTCATCAATATTTTTAGTTCAGTGACATGTATTGCCTCTAATGTTATTGTGAAAATACTTGTCCTGATGCCCCAAACACAACAAAGCCAAGCTTGAATTCATCATATGCTGATACAAGGTTGCCTCATTGTTCTATCATTCTCCCAATTGTCTGAGGAAGGAATCTGGATGTCATTCTTGTCTTGTTTCTCTATATCAATGCAGTTACCAAACTCTGCAACATTTGCATGCTACATATCTCTAAGATGCGTCTCTTTTAATCTATTACCATACCATTCTCCTCTCTATGACAAACATTTCTCTTATCTGAAATGCTTCAGTGGTTTTCTAACTGCATCTGATTTTATAATCTTGCTTTCTTGGAATAATTTTCTCAGCAAATAAATCTAATCAGAACACATTTTAGAATATCTTGAAGAATTACTATTTATTTCTTAGTTGTTGTTTCTTGGAAAGTTTTCTTGCAAACTCATGTGAAAATTGTATCAGGAATGCCCTTGGTATAAAGAAAGAACTCATGCAAAAATTATATCAGGAATGCCCTCGGTATAAAGAAAGTAGCTATTGACATTGGAAGGTATTGAAGTGTGAGTCAAAGATGTTAGGTGAAACAATGGTGAGCTGCTGAAATGGGATGGTCCTACAGAATTGTCCAGTTTTGAGGCACAGGACATAGGACTTTATTTTTCCATGCTGTATTCACTGGTCATTAAATGCAGGTTGCCTCAAAAGAGCATGTATTCTGGGATGACCTATCTGTCTTTGGCAACAGATAATTCTTACAGGGGTAGTTAACTGAAAAATCAGTAACAGCATTTCCAGGGGGCTGAGAAATTGTTGTTTCAGACCTTAAGGATCTTATTGGCCAACTATATCATCCACAACAATTGCAATTTAGATAATGTTCAAAATATTTTAAAGGTCTTAAGAGTCCCTTCGTAATTACCTACATTCTCTTCCCCAGTCTCATCTTGTACTTAACTGAATACATGATTAATCTTTTTATCTCAAGAAGTTGAATTTGATTTTTAAAAATTTCGTTAGGCACATCTCAAAACCGTCCTTATTAAATTTCTATTGATTTTAATTTAAAAGGTAATATAAATTCATCCATATTTTAATAATTATATAATAAATAGGGAAAGTATGATAGTTTTTTAACTTTGAAAAAACAGTGGTTGTACAGAACATATTTGATCATATAGGAAATTGTTTAACATATTTGCCCACAATTTTTTCAAGGAACATCAGTGTTTAACTGGAATTTGAAAGTAAAATGGAATTGAAATAACTCAATATTAAGAAAAATAAGATATGAAAATAACTCAGAACACATCTGTGGTAGGCAGAACCTGTCCCTGACTCCCAAAGATGTCCTTATCACAATTCTTGGCATCTGTTAATACATTATATTACATGGCAGACAGGCATTGAAGGTAAAGTTATGGGTAGGGACCTTAAGATAGAGTGATTACCCTGTATTATCTGAGTGGCATTAATCTAATCACAAGAGCTCTTAAAAACAAAGAGCTTACTCTTGTTGAAATCAGAGAGATGTGACAGAAGGGAAAGTCACAAATATTTGAAGGATGAGGAGGATTTGATGTGCAGATGCTGTTTCTGAGATGTGCCACGTGTAAGAACCACAGAGGAGCTAAGGGTGTTCTCCAGCTGATAGCAACAAAAAGAGACTCCAGAGCAAAACAAAGGGACTTCAGTCCACAATCTCAAAGACTGAATTTGGCTAACAACCTGAATGAGCTTAGGAGAAGATCTAATCTTAAAGCCTCTAGAAAAAGAAAAATGCATCTCAGCGTATACCTTTATTTTAACTTTGTGAAGCTCAAAGCAGTGGCCCTGTTTGTGACACAGTGCACCAGACTTCTGATCTTGAGAAACTATCAGATAATACAGTTGAGTTGTCTTAGATCAAGTTAGCAATAATTTGTAGGGCAATAATTGGAAACCACTAAACATCTAGTTATTACAATTTTTACATAAATTTTTGGTCAATATCTTTACATATAGAAAAACATCTGTGCAAACTTACTTGGTGTAGTAAAAGTGATATATA
The DNA here is from genome assembly GCF_000001405.40 of Homo sapiens. Classification (NCBI taxonomy): domain Eukaryota; kingdom Metazoa; phylum Chordata; class Mammalia; order Primates; family Hominidae; genus Homo; species Homo sapiens. The sequence continues at coordinate 161,803,633 of NC_000004.12, read as the reverse complement.
TCAATATGAGTATTTTGGGTAATCAGATAATACAGTTGAGTTGTCTTAGACCAAGCTAGCAATAATTTGTAGGTCAGCAATTGGAAACTAATAAACATCTAGTTATTACAATTTTTACATAAATTTTTGGTCACTATCTTTACATATAGAAAAACATCTGTTTGTGCAAACTTACGTGATGTAGTAAAAGTGATACTTATCACTATGAGTATTTTTAATATTTCAAAATGGGAAACTTTGAAAATTGACAATTATGCTGAGTCAGTACAGGATATATTATCTTCAAAGTTTTGTAGATTTACAGATATTAAAGACAATATAGATTGTGTATTATTTGTCTACAAGAACTTGTAGATGCTTGAATGCCAATTTTTAAATACAGAATCTTGTAGATATAGTCGTAGCATGAACCTGAACCTATTATGCTAGAGAATGAATTTTACCCAACTGATAAATCACAAAGCCAGTGATACACACTGAGTTAGTATCACGCACAGAAACAGAATAAAAGTTTAAGTAAGTTTTGGCCTTATGCAGAAATCATGTAGTGGTTTTTTGTTTGTTTGTTTGTTTCTTAACACAGCGGCAAATTAATTCACTTTTAAATTTTTAAAACAAGAACACTAAATACCAGAATCCCAAAAAGCTCAATATGTGTGTTTTATATTTTAATTATTTCTGTAGTTTCTTGTCATAATAATTAGAGAAAATTACTTTTCAAAAACAGTAGATTGCTGTTTTGGAAATTATTTTCAAGTGATTGCATGAAATATATCCAGCTCAACTATCTTCCAGCACAAAGTTTCAGGAGGCATTCTTTTATTCTACAGCATGGCAAATGCTGTCATTGATGCAACAGAGTAATTTTTTTCAATCTTGTTATCCACATATAAATGGAGCTCCTCTGTTCAATAGCAGCATAAATATTCTTTGTCTCTTATTTTTAGCGGCAATGATAGATAAATTGAAGATATACCGAGACATAACACCTGCCAACCATTAAATCGTATTCAAAATGCAGAAGAGCATCCTAGGTATTAGCCTAATACTAAATACAATTAATGCTATGGGATTGGGAAGGATGAAATATACAGACTTAGGAAGTTTGTTCCTATAGTAATGTGTATTATCCTTCTTTCCTTAACTAGATGAATGTATATGCGAGTAGAACAGAGTTCTACATCACTTTCCCTGAGTGCATTGCCTATCTCATCATTTGCCAGTGTCCTCTGGATTGGATAATTATAAGGGCACTCACTGTGTTCGATTCAGACAAATATACAGGCACACACATATACCCCCATATATATTACCTTTATATTGACTGGTTAGACAAATGCTTAGAGTGGTTATAATCAAAGTCCCAGAACTAACTATTATAGGAGATAGTTAATTTTCTTTCATTCCATGACCAATGACTGCACCTATTTTAGACATAACTGAAGCAACATAAGTATGATGTGGTTTCATCTTCAGGTACATGTGAAGGAAAATTCAGATAATCCATTGTTTTTCAATGGAGAAAATACTAAAAGAGATCAAAATAGGCTTCTTTTCATGAACAGAATAGCACATTACTTAACTATTTTTAAAAGATTACAAAGGCATGAGACTTTTCAATGACTGAATAATTCTATCCACTGTCATGGCTTGAGTATCATCATAAAGTTAGATTCTATTCTTAAATACTGTGAAGACCAGGAGAAAGACATTTTCAAATAATTCCATATTCTGCAATTTATTTGCTAAGAGAAAGGAAGCATAGTAGTAATAGAGACACAACTGGAATCTCTTTTTAATTTGTCTTTCACACATTTCAATCACAACTCATCAGGTGTTCCAGAAACTTGATAGAATGCCTACTATGTAGAGACAATTTTCTCAAAAAGCTTTATTATTATTATTATTATGTGTATTAGCTAGATAAGATACTTATAAATATTTATATATAATACAGAAATAAAATAAAATATTCACCTACAGTTTTACAAGAATGTATCAGTCATCTTGAAAATTCTGAGTGTTAATAGTATGTTTAGGGCTACATAAGAGATAAGAGATTTTAAATGTAGGACATAGAATTCCTGAAAAAGAGGATTTTGCTTTCCCATTAGGAACACAGAATGATAAAATAGAAGGCTCTCATGAAATTGCCAAGATGATTCTTTCTCATATTTCTCTAAGGAGGTTTTTCTTTAAAGAAAATCCCAGACCACATGAAGGCATAAAGCTGAGAACGACTTTGTCAGGCTCCATTCGTTCTTCTACAAAATAAATATGCATTGAATGAATAAATAAGCCTAAATACAACCCCTACTGTTTGCCAATTATGCTAGATACTAGCCACAAAAAGATTAAAGAGAAGAAATAATATAGTTCATATAGGAAATATGCAGTTTTGTACTATTCTTGTCCTCCCAGAACTACTTGCCCCCTTACAATAAATGCATGAACAACAAAAATGAAAACATTAAGATGTTTGCAACAGTATTTTTTAAGACTGAGATTGCAAAATGCTGTTTTATTAATTTTTTATCTTCAGAATATGACAAGTGTAGCACTTTTCACCGTCTAATACTAACCTCTAAGCTGCTTAGTGAAACATATTCACTATCATTTGTCATTATTTTGTCATGGTTCCTAGTACTTCCAAACTCCCGTTGAAAGAAACAGATATTAATCTATCCACATAGACTACGATAAACTTGTCAACTACTTAAAATACGACAAAAATATGTTTCATAATATTCACCAATTTTATTGTAAGGGATTGTGTGGGCTCCTATAAGAAGTCATAAAAATATTTGTTTATATTAAAGATATTTATACTTCCTGAAGAACACTCTATTATAACTACTTACACAGTTTTTAGTTCACATTTTTTAAGGTAACAAGTTTCATGGTACTTTCTGAATTAAAACATCACTCAACCTTAATAGAAATGAAATTTCTACATTTCCAATTACGTTTCAGTCACTTAGAAGGGGTAATTTATGAAAACTGCAACCTAACAAAATCTAAATTAAAAGTTAGCTTTACTTAAGAGGTAAAGAAATCAGGGCAATTCTGTCTCAATTGAGAACAAAAGGAGGTCTTTGTATATTCATTTCCATCTGCCAGCTTGAGGAAGATTTTCTCTTTTCAAAGACTCTTTAAAAAATTAAATTTAGACTATATGAAGACTCTGAAATGTCCTTTGACATAAATAATGAAAGGTGAAAATTGGCCAGGCCATGTGGTGAAAGCTGCTGACAGTGACAGTTGCTGTAGTTCTTATATTCTAAAGGAGGCATTAACTTGTCATATCAAAATTTTTCTCTAGGTCTTTTCTAGACATGCTTCTCTCTGGTTTGAACGGGTTTTGTATAACTATATTTATCCCATTATGTGAAATTAATCATTAGAGGCAAGATTTTGTAACTTCTTTCTAGCCACTTATGGAAAAATAAGAGATCACCTGTTTTCAGTTCCTCAGAGACTACATATGGAAATTAAACTTAGAACTAAGCAGTCAGGATGAAGATGAGAAAGGAATCTTACCACAGTGTTAAAAAGAAAATGTATAATTAGTGCCTTAAGAGAGGGCAACACTATTTGAATAATCAGTTAGCTAAATGTAATCTTAGCATCTATGGCATTCTGTACTACATCTGTGTGATGTGGTAATCTAAATTTGAACAGATGCCCCGCATGTTATGTCAATATTTGAATTGCTATTATGGCTATGAATCAATATTTCTTTGTAAACATCCTTATTTCAAGTGGCTTGAATCACAGCCCTATGGTTAAATACACAGACTGTAGTTTAACTGCCTGATTTCATAACCCAACTCCAGCATTCACGAACTTATCTTTGGTTACTTACTCAACAACCTATTGTCATAGTTTTTACCCCTTTGTGAAAGAAAATGTAGCCGTTGTCTTATAAAATGGTAATGATGAATAAATATATTAATGCTCTGCTTGAATATTAATTTTAATTGGCTGTTGTTATCTTCTTGTATACATTAGATCTTGCTTTCCCATTTCTTTTTTGGAGTCAAGCAAGTCATATAGTACTTTAAAATACAGACTAGGTGAATAAGATGTCAAGTGAAAAATAGAGATAAAAAGTAAAGTAATTTGAGTCAAAAATCTCTTTGCTTCTAGCATCAAAACAGTTCAGGCAAAAATCTTTTATTTTTTTTCATGTATTTTTCCTTTGCAAACATCAGGGCATCATAAAGGGATATCTTCAAACTGAATTGATACCACTTAGTATTAAACTCAAAACAGTTGTAAGTAAAATATTAATATTTTATTGGATCTCTCATAACTCACTCATCACTACCGTGGTGTGCTATGTTTACATTAAAAGGAGAATCTAACACTTGGCGGCGGGGAGGGGGCAAACTAGCTATGTGCTATAAACTGCCGCAAGCTCTTCACATGTAATTTAATCATTTCAAAAATGCACGAACCAGGTTTTGATATCACTGTATTAAAACACCAAGTCATGGAAAGATCAAATGACTCCTCCACACTTTCACTACTAGTATGTATTACAGTTAGTTTCTAAATCTAGGCACCTTGCTTTTCGGTAACTGTGAGCAATCATTTAATAATAAGTAGTCTTAATATCAAACCTAATATAGGGTTTACCTTTTTGATCTTTCAGTAGGGCTTTACTGTAACGACTTCTTAGCGCCTCATAATTTCCCTTGGGCCTCAAATGTGTCTAAATTCCCCCTCACCTTCCACTTTTCTTCCCATTTCACTCAGTTTAGAAATTCTAATGTTTTAGGGTTTTTTTCTTTATTAAAACAGATTATTAAAACAAAACACTTTGCATTTGGCATGAAATGCTAAAAATTAGGCTCGTCTCATCTTTAAGAGAGTTAATTTTTTTTTTAGATTTCCAAATGGGTCCTATCACCAGATTATATTGTTGGAAGTAAAAATCAGTGGTTGTCAAATTTGAGTGTTCACCTGAAGAGCTTGTTAAATCAGTTTGTTGGACCAAATACCAGGAGTTTGTGATTGATAAAGTTTTGATTGGGGCTGAGAATTTGCATTTTAACTGTAATGTGAGAACCACAGATGTAGACCAATATTGTAGATTTTGAAGATACTCTCAATTGCTGTTTTCCCATGAATACTAAATACTTTAAAAAAAAAAAGTATTACAATGGGCATTTCTTTATTTTTTCACCCTGCAAAAAAAATCCTAAACTAACAAAAAGTCTATAAAGATAGGGGTTGATAAACTTTCCATATTAAGTCAAGTGTTTGTTCTTTCTACATTTTTTAGTTATGTTTCTGTATTTTATAGACTAGAAAGTATGTTTTTTTGGAACAGGGGGCTGTAATAGAATTTGTAAGTTACAATGATTAATATTGTTCACTCTCCCTTGGCAAGCTGGAAAGTAGCATAGATTTCTTAGCCAAACTACCTAAATTCAAATTCTAGCTCTACCATTTCTTAAATCTATGAACCTATGATTAAATTACTTAACCTGTATGCCATAAATTTTTCATCTGAAATAGAGAAATAAGAATAGAGCTATTCCATTAAGTCATTTTAGTATTATATAGGTTAATATATTGAAGACACTCAGAGAAATAACTCAAACACAGCATGGGATAAATGAGGTCTAACTTTTAGTTTGATGATGAGCATTACTCTTTCCATGATGTAAATGTTTTGCTTGGTGGGTTTATTAACTGATAAGATGTGATGGACATAACATTCATGGGTCAAAATGAAATTCAAATTTTGGCTAAAGATATTTTGCATTTCTTTCACATATTTTAATTCATTTATAATATTCCTGGCAGGTTTATAATTGAAATATTTCTAATAGAAAAGCTTCAAAAATATCATATTAACGAAGCATCAAATAGACTGCTATTTATGAGAAAAATGATGTCTCATTCTTACTAGAAATATATGTGAATCCTTTAATAAACAGAGGACTTGTAAAATAGCCTACAGAATCCACCTTTGTTTTTAAATCCATTTTTTAATAGTGGTTCATGTACATTATAATTGAAATATAATCATCAGAAATCAATTATTTGACTGCATATATATTTCAATTTCTAATTTTGGAGAATACTTGTCATTTTTCTGCAAGAATGGCTAAGACTACAAGTGTAGTAAAGAGTAATGTTTTAAGTGATTAAAACAAAACTAATATAAACAAACTAGGAAGATTAAATGCTGTACTGAATATCAATAAGTGGTTTTCAGAATGTTACAGTTCCTAATTTACTGTAATTGTATTATGTGTATGGGCATTTAACCCAATTGAGAGAAACATGCTTAATATGAATCTTCAATATTCTTTCTGTACCATTATCCTGCTGAATAGATAGCAGAACATCTTTGCTAAAATAGCCAGTAAAAAAAGTCAACCCTCAGAAATCTCAAAACATCTGAAATAAACACATTAGAAATAAAGAGATAGGCAGTATTACATCTTGTGTTTATGTTGAGACCTAATATAGAAAGGCATAGTGACCCATTCAAAGGTTTAAAACAGAAAAGAAATATTATTCTAAAGGTGAATTAACAATAATATAGAAATTAGATTGAAGTTGGCAAGATGGAAAACAAAAGGAGTTAAGAGTTTCCCAATTCAAAAATTAATGTTTGAATCAGATGAGGTATAAAAGAGTCCTGAGATAACTTATTTAGTAGCAGTATGGATGGAGAAGAAATAAAATAGATATTAAGAAAGCAAGACAGAAGACCATCAGATGAAATTAAGGATTTACTTCCTCAACTTATGACTTTGAGAAATGAGAGTAAGATAATAATTTCATGAAATACTTGGCTATTAATGAATAGGATTTTAAGTACACTTCTTAAAGAAATAAAAGAATAGCATGTATTTCTATAATAAATATGTATAATAAAATATTCAAGGTATGCATTAAAGTAAGCAAAAGAGAGCACATACATTTCGAACTGGTTAATAGAAAAATGATGAATTTTTAAAATAAATGAAAAAAACTTTCTGGAAAAAGAACATAAAAAAGACAACAGCAAACAAAAGTACACAAGTAAAAATAATTCCAAAGATTTCAATAATCAAAATGAATATGAATGGACTAGTTTCATCAATTACAAGACAGAGAATCTCAGATGTTAAAAATCTGTTTATGTAGGATTAAGATAACACAATTTACATGATAGCAATATATTCATCATGTTTTCTCACCTTACACAATATCCTTCATATTATACATGCCTTCTTTCACATTTAGACCTCAAACTGTAGTCAACCACTGAGAAGGCTTCCTAAGAAGTCTTGGGATTCCTTCCATTCTTCAATAAAATTATTCATCTTTCTGTTTGAGAACTACAATTTGTGCTGATCAAGGAGTTCAGGTGAGGGAAACTTTCGACTAAGTTAAAAGGAGATTTAGAAAATATATGCTTTATCATTTTAGTAGAAGTAGATAGAGTTCTATAGCATATTCTACTTATAATTAAATCCAAACTTGAATGGGTACTTTAAACAAAACATTGTTGAGTTTGGTGTTAAAATAAGGTAGAAGGCTACACATTTTAAACTATTTCCTCAAGAAAATGACCTATGAGACAAAATTGATTTTCGAATGAAAAAAATCTGATATTGTATTTTTGGCTGTGCATATGTAGGTTTTCAAAGAGGGTTTACAACACAAAGATTTCTAAAATTTTTATGGAGCCAAAAAAGACCCCCAAAAGCCAAATCAATGATGATAAAGAACAACAAAGCTGGAGGCATTACACTTCCTAATTTCAAACTATAGTATAAAGCTTTAGTAATCAAAACAATATGGTACTGGCATAGAAACAGATACATAGACCAATTAACAGAATAGAGAGCTTAGAAATAAATTCAAATAATTTTTGGAAAGAGTACCAACACAACACAATGGAGAAAGAATACTCTCTTCAACAAATAGTGCTGGGTAAACCGAATTTCCTCATGCAAAATAATGAAATTAGGTCCTTATCTTAAATCATAAACAAAAATAAACTCATATCTGTGTGGGATGATGGATTGTTTGTTTGCTTCGCTATAGTACCAATTTCACTCTGTGTATATTGAAACATCATGTTGAACACATTAAATATATACAATCATTTTTTCAAAAGGAAGGAAGGAACTGGTCCGCTGACAGGAAATAAAATCTCATTTTATTTCATTCAGCTCAGGAAAACAGTAGGGTTCTTCCGGGCCTTCCTCTCATGAAGTGCTCAGCCTGTTGGTGTCTGTTTTCTTGGTATTCTTTCTGGTCTTCAAATTACTTACCCCTTTGGAATACAGATAATTTAGTGCCATTTTAAATAAATTTAGACAATTTGGGGGAGATACAACAAGAATTGTCAGATGAAATACAATGTAATGTTGTGAAAACTTTATACTAAAAAATAATTCATTGTTTATATGAAATTTTAAAATGTCTTCCATTTTTATTTTCTAAATCTGCCACCATAGTAATAATTGAAATGCTCATTTTTCTGCACTCCTTTAGTCATTTGTATTCTTCTCTTTTAAAACTAGATATTAAGGTATTCAATAAATATTTAATAAGAAAATAGGCGCCTGGCACTCAGATAAGCACTAAAAATACAAATATATTGTGTATATATATGTAAATAAAATATATATTCATGGTTATATACATAGATGATTGATAGGTAGATACAGACATAGGTATAGTTTCTTCAATAAGCTAGTTACTATGTTTATGTGAGTATAATAATATAAATAGATGACATATGATGAGAGATTAGAGAAAGGTGTAATGGTTTTTTATCTTGGTATTTAATTTGTGACTATGTCTTAAAACTTAATTGAGTACAAAATCCAATTCAAGAAACTGCAGGTAATAGATAAATGAATCATAAATGGGTCTTACCATTAACATGACATGGTTTAAAAGAAGGGGAGCACACATTCTAAAACTTAAAAGGTAAAGACAGAGAGAGAGATAAAATGTGATTTAGGAAAAGGATGTTAAAGGGAAAAACAAAGCATTGCCCTCTGAGCCCAAATGGAGGGGGACACTGACTAGTTTGTCCCTATATGTATACAGGGCATTAAAAGTGAATGATACCTGTGAGGCAATTCATTGATAAAAGCATATTTTTCTTCAGCTCCTCTAAATTAACTCAAATTTACAATTACCTTAATATGCACAAACAATAAGCCCTAAATGCTCAAGGAATGTTTTGCTACATAATCTACTAGGCCAATGTGAGTGAAGAAGCAACTAGGAAATTGTGGTCTAGATTTAACACCCGAACTAATGTCAAGTCTCAGCTTTTCCTCTTATAGGGAAATGACCTGAGTCAACATATTTAAAGTCTGAAACTGGGTCTGTATCTTGGCTGTACATATAAATCATCTAGAATGCTTTGAAAAAATACTGATGCCCAGGCCCCACCCACAGATTAATTAAATCAGCATTGCTGGGAATGCAGCCCAGGCATCACTTGTTTCAAAGCTCCTCAGGTGACTATAATGTGAAACACAGGCTAAGAACCACTGCTTCTGAGAGACCTATTTTCTCATTCAGTATGCCTTTAAAGCAACTTCAAGCTGTGCCCAAAATACTCTTTGTGGTCTGAATTAACATGTTTGTCTTACTTTCCTGACCACTCTCACTAGGTAACTGATAGGCCTTTCTTATATATACCAAGTAATGTAATATCCGTATTATATCCATATTATAAATGGTTTCTTGGCCAGGCACAGTGGCTCACACCTGTAATCCCAGCACTTTGGGAAGCCGAGGCAGGAGGGTCACCTGTGGTCAGGAATTCGAGACCAGCTTGGCCAACATGGTGAAACCCTGTCTCTACTAAAAATACAAAAATTAGCCAGGCACAGTGGCACGCACCTGTAGTCCCAGCTACTCTGGGAGCTGAGGCAGGAGAATTGCTTGAACCCAGGAGGTGGAGGTTACAGTGAGCTGAGACGGCACCACTGCACTCTAGCATGGGCAACAGAGTGAGACTCCATCTCAGAAAAAAAAAAATGACAACATGGTTTCCCCAAAAGCAACCTTATTTGACAAAATGTTATTTCAATAAAAGAAAAAAATTCCAATCCATTCTTTCATCACATTAGAGTTAAATCAGTGACTTTCCCAGGATATCAGTGTTACATCAGCCTCCTTTGTTCTGACACTAATATATCCTGAATTTACATAAAATATTAATTTCTCACAGTATATTTGAAATGCATTTATATGAACAAATTTAAGTGTTACAGGATCATTAGAGTGTTACTTCGCCAGCTGGAAACCTCTGTTGCCATGGTTTGCTCGGGCCTGCTAGGCTTGTTCTGCCCACTAGGCCTGGCACACTACCAGCTTGCATCCCATACCTGCCAAGGGTGAGCCAGGCATGGAGTGGTGAGGGGTGTGTGGGTGAATGAGCACAGGGTCTGGCCGCTGGGCACAGTCAGGCACATTGGCTGCTTCAGCAGGGCAGGCAGCTCTAGGCACTGGTCCAGTTGCCGGCTCCATGCAAGGCTGCAGCTGGAGCAGATGTACTGCACACAGCTTCCACTGAGGGCAACTGCATATGGATGAGGGAAATGCCATAGTGCCCAGAAGCTTGGAGATGACAGGAACTGCAGAAACCCAAAGAGTGTCACAGCCCTGGCTTGGGGAGCCCCTAGGTCTGGGCTCCATGAAGGGCCACAGCTCTTCTCTCCTTCTTGTCACCAGCAACGTGGCAAGTGGGGGAGGGGATGTTTCAGCCCTGTTTGTGTTACAGCTCTTTTAAGTCCCTCCATTTGGTGGGTCCCAAATTATTGTCCCACATCCAGGAAGAATAAGGTACATGGACAACTGGAGGGTAAGCAAGGCAGAGAGGAGTTTCACTGAGCAGCAGCAGAATTCTCAGGGGATGAGAACAGGAGTGGGTAGCTGCTAGTCACAAGCAGGACATCCCATCGAGCCTGCAGCCCTCAGGGGAGAGGAGACCCACAGTGGGTAGCTTCTATATGTAGGCCGGCCTCCCTTCATCTTCTCACATTTGGCTGAATCTGGGGTTTTTCTCGGCTTCACAGGGGAGAAAGTGTGCACTGATTGGTCCATTGGCAGCCATGGGCAGACCAGGGAAAAGCACCATAAGTTCTCATTCTGGTCCATGAGACTGGCATCCCAGTCCCCAGGCTTCAGGCCATTCCTGGGTTGAAGGTGGGGTTTCACCAGACACCAGCTTCTTTCCACCCAGAAGCCTGCCTTTTGCCGTCATCAACCTGCCATCCATGGTGTCCATGCACCCAGGCTATTCATGCTGCGGGGCGCCTAGAGTCCCATGCCAAGTTGCCCTCAACCCCCCATCCCTCCCAGCCTCTTCCCCTGCTTGTTGTTGTCCAAAGCCCAGATGGGGCTGAGGCAGCAGGGGGCTGAAGTGTCAGCACTGCCTTGGACACGCGCACACCCATCTGAGTTATGATAGTGCCTGGGCTCGGCTCAACATTGCTCCAAAACCAGAGCAGACACCAGGAGTTGGGAGAGCCCAGGCAGCAGGAGCTGGCATTTCCAAGCCTGCGGGGGATGGAGGAACTTCTTGGGCCACCAAGGGTGCAGGGATGCCTGGGTCCACAGCTGCAGCTGGGTGACTGTAGCTGTGCCTGGCAGTGCGGGGCATCCAACCGGCCATCTTGGAAGGGCCCTGGTTCCTGCCTGTTCCCAGCTCCCACTGGCTCTGCGGAGCGCGCAGCCCCGGCCTCACCTTCTCCACTGCAGCAAATGTCTTTGCAGCTGCTGCTCCAGATGGGCTGTTGCTTCCATCAAAAGGATCTTTTCAATCAAGATAATAATGAAAGCAATGCTGTCTTGGAATTCAGCATTGAATGTATCTATAGCTACCTGATTTTCACTCATTCTCAGAAACTGTACTTAACATGTCAGCAAATCAGATCAGACTGCTCCCACCAAAGAATAACCCAGGAATAATGTTAATGAATTTTCTACTGATACCCACCGCTGTCCTACCATTATTGTATAAATCTGAGGTCCAAAGACTGTGACCCACGGCGTGCTATTGTAAATAACATATTATTGGAACACAGCCATGCCCACTGGTTTATGTATGGCTGATAGCTGTTTTGGCCCTACAACAGCACATCTGAGTAGTGGTAACAAAGATTATATGGGCCAGAAAGCCTAACATATTTACGCTGTTCCTTTACAAAAAGTATTTGCCAAAACCAGCTATAGATTAATTTTGTTTCAATCTGTAATTTAAGATACTTGAAATTACTAATTGTCTCAAATTGTTCTTTACCAATATGTCTAATAAACAAAGGGAGAAAAACAAGTATTTTGTGAAACAAGTTTATTCCTTAGTGTGTAAATGATCGCTTTTGCTCACTTTCTTTTCTCTCCATCACCCTCCCTTCATTTTTCACTTCCCATTTTTTTTTTTCTTCTATGGTGCAATTTTCCTGTCTCCCTAATTCTTTGGACTTCTCAAATGCTTGCCATCTTTTCACAAATTAAGTGCTAAATTTTTCTTTGCTTCTCTGGGACCAAGTCTGGGAAAGATCATTTAAGGATGATTTGAAGGGTCATTAAAATATGATAGAAATGCAGATCATGCCTCATGCATCTTGCTGTTTTGTCTCTAGATCTAGATCTTTCAAAAAGATGGACTCGTGCTAGGGACATGGTCATGAGCCACATACTGAGTATGAACCCAAATACTGTCAGTTTTTTAGGGTGCCATGATCAGATAATAGCAAGAATTAGTCCATGGGATCAGGTGCTCCTTTCTTTAGAATGTTAGTACAAAATGCATTCTATGAATGAGAAAAAAGTGAAATATAAAAAGAGCACCTTCATAAGTGGGCATGTTATTGACTAAATCTGACACCATTTCCATTTAAACTGTGTCTCTGGTTTACTTGTCTAGCAATTTTTTTCTTTAATAACTGTTTTAAAGCAGGATGTTCACAATATTTTCATTACTTTTTAAATGTTATTAGCTGACCTCTTTACATTAGTTATGCAACACTATGGTACAGTAATATATATGGCAGTATAAAATATTAGAGGCATCCTCATGAAAAATCCCCTCATTAGAATTCATAATAAAAAGCTTTCTTCCTAGTATGAAAATGATGAAGGAGAGTTACTGTAACACTGTATACACTGTGCAAAGGCACCTGGTCAAGGCAGCACGTAAGTGGGGCTGCAATCCAGGCTGCCCTACACTTGTCAAGCTAGAAACCCTAGGGTAGGTTTGTATTCACTGGAGGGTAGCAATGCTTTCTTCTTTCCTCAAAGGCTATACTTGCTCCCATAGCTTTGTACCCATGTTGTGTGGACTCAGGTGGACACCTTTCTTAATTCACAGTAAGATGCTGTAAAGTCTTAACTACCATGTTAGAAGTGCATGGCAATTTGAAAAAGATATTTCAAATCTAAACAATCAAAACATTGTGTCTTCAATAAATAACAGAAGCCAGATCCTGATATTTTTGTTTACTCTATGGCCTTGTAAGAATTTCTACTTATTATTTCTCCACCATAACACAAAGTGACAGTATTTTCTCCTTGAGAGGATGTTGCAATAATAAAAATAATAACATCCTATTTAATGTAAACTGGTAGTATAAATATGCATGTTTAGAAAGGTGAAAATTAATTCGGTTACTGAGCTGCACTTTTTTGAAGCTTGTTTTGTGTAGCAATAAAGAATGGAAAAATTAAAACAAAAATTTGCTTTATATGCTTTCTATCTGGATTACCTTTTCATTTTACATACTTTGCTGAACTTATTGAAAGTATATTCAGATTGACCTCTGTGAATTCCCTTCTGTACATTTACCTATATATCATATAATAAGAGCAGTTTGACTCTCTATTAGGCCTTCATTCTTTTCTTAAACAAAAGAATGATGTATTTAGAGTGGTAAAGAATAATTTTTAAGGTAAAATCATGACTATCATGTGGATAGAAATGAACACACGTTAAATATTAAATTAGCTCATTATTTATAAAGCAACGAGGCAGATGTTATAATCAGCTCAAAGAAGGCAAAAAGCCACAAATGTATATGGAAAAAATAATTGTGGTAATGAACTTCCAAATAGCTATGAACCTGGCTTTTTCATGGAGTGAGGGAGAGAAAAGTCAATTGAATTTCTTCCCATCAGAATTCGTTCGCACATCTATAGACAATAATTTTTTTTATTTCTATCTGTTATTTGAAATTTATAGGGTAATAAAATACCTCAAAGGCCACAAAAGGCTAGAATGGAAAAACCCAGAAAGCCATGCTATAAATAATGAATTTTTTTTTATTGGCAACACCTAGTCGTCCCTTTGCTTGCTCCAAACTTACTTACCAAATACTAAGAATCAGTATATGATCTAAACAACGTTCAACTAACACAAAATGACAATCATAAGTTACCATATTTTATTTTAATTATAGAGCCTAAGAGGAAAAAAAAGTAATTTAAGAAAATAAAATATTACTAAGCTATATATTTTTGTGTTAGTGTATAGATACAAATATATAAAAAATAGGTATATAAATATTAATCTGTCATCTTCAAAGAGAAGATATTTTTGTTTCCACTGCTCATAAACAGGTAACCAAATCAGTAAATGAAATAAGAAACAATTCTGGTGTGTATGTGAAGGGAAAATCTTAGTTTTTCTGTTTCCTCAGAAACTTTTGAAATCCAGGCATTGTTTTGTTTTTGTTTTTATTTTTGTTTCTTTTAGAGACAGTGTCTTGAACTGTCACTCAGGCTGGAGTGCAGTAGCACAATCGTGGCTCACTGTAACCTCAAACTTATGGGCTCAAGCGATCCTCCAACCTCAGCCTCTTGAGTAGCTAAGACTACAGGTACACATCACCACATTCAGCTAATTTTTTAAAATATTATTTTTGGAGAGACAGGGGCGGGGTCTCACATTATTGCCCAGGTTGGTCTTGAACTCCTGGTCTCAAGAGATCCTCCTGCCTCTACCTCCCAAAGTGTTGGGTTTATAGGCATGAGCAGTGATGCCCTGCACAGGTGTTGTTTCAAAGTGTTTTTACTAAATAATTCTTCAACGCACCTGTGAAACTGAATTACTAACAAAGGCTTTGTCACAGAAGACAAAATACTGCATGTTCCCACTTAGGTTATCCTTTAAAAGTTGAGCTGATAGAAGTAGAGAATAGAATAGTGGAACAACTATCAGAGGCTGGGAGCATTAGGCTTGGAAGGGAGGGAGATGGGAAGATTGGTTAAAGGGTGTAAGTTACAGATAAAAGGAATAAGCTCTGGTGTTCTATTGCACAATAAGGTAACCATAGTCAGCAATAATGTATAGTATACTTCAAAATAGCAAGAACAGAGGATTTTGAATGTTCACATCATAAAGAAATGACATGTTTTTAAAGTGATGGATATACTACTTACCCTAATTTGATCATTACACAATGTATATATGCATTGAAACATACCCATAAAGATGTACAATTATTACGTGTCAATTAAAAACCAATAAAACTTTAAAAAGAGTATCCGCAATTCATTTTCATCTGACAACATACATGAAAAGGGCAAATACTTAAGTAATTATCCTCTGCTGTTTATGCACAAGGTGAAAATTAGAAATTTTACATCTCCCTACTGACATCAGAAATTTCACACATTTTAAATGAATTTTTTTCTTAAATATATTCATAAGTTGTATGCTTTTCAGTTGCAACAAAAGTGACTTGAGAAAAGGCAAATTAATGAAAAAGCAACTATTCATAGTACAAGTTATCTTGAACCCTATCTTTGTTAATGTAGCTTATAAACTATTTCTGAACATGTCAATACCATATCAAAGGAATATATCTCTACATGAACTGTCGCTACTGTTATTAACATAACCACAGATTTTGTTCTATGTATGTATGCACACACAGACACTCAAACACACATCCTTGCATATGGTAAAAATCAAAATGTCAGCTAGATTTTACAGAAAACACTTTTTATTTCAGAGAAGAGCAACGTCTCTTTTTCATCATATTTTTCCATCTAATTTGCAATAGTTATATACTTTCCCGTATCAAGAAGTAGACTTTAGCATCTAAAGTTGAATGACTAAACCATCTTCATTTCTTCTTTCACCAAACTAATCAATGTTTCAGCAGCCTCTTTTTAAGTAGTCTGTGGAATATTACTCCTTATAAAATGTGCATGGTCATAATTCAACCGTAATGACCTTCACTTCACACTTTACAAATGTTCTCTTTTATCAATCTCATTTACAATCATGGCTTCAACTGTCAAGCACTCACCAGTCACTCACAAATCCAATTCATCAAGCACTTCCTTTCTTCTAAACTACAGAGCTTCAAAGCAACCAAATTATATTTTCTGTTCTCTTATCAAGGCCTCTACCAGGATATTCCACAGTTACCTTAAACATCTCATTTATAAATTATTTTGTCATTTTCATTATATTTATCCACTGAAGATATATTGAATATCAACATTAGAAACTGAATTTCTATTGATGGCATCACAGTCACTTAAAGTAGAAAATGTCAAGTATCAATTTACTCTATCTCCTATTATTCACCTCTACTTTTCTACTTCCTTAATATCTTTGGTCAAGGTCATAATAAGCTATTGTTAAAACATGATGCATATTCATAAGAAAGTGCACAATTAAACATTTATTTGTTTATCTTGCAAGTGTGCGAATAAAAAAAGTCAAATATGCAATGTGTAATACTGAGAAATTAATGTTGGCATTTATAATCTTCTAGAAAAAAAGTGATGGACATTGGCAGATAGGTTACACATACCAGAGGTTCTTAATACATAGTATTTGTATAGGAGGTGTTTGAAATTTCATGGGAAAATAGAGGTTACATTATTGGGAAATATTGCAAAGAATCATCATATAGTAGAGAATGGTAGATACATGTCTAGCTGAAGAAATCTTCTCTTGACAATTTAACTATATACCAGAACCAAGTCTTACTTGAAAACACGGAGTAATCCTCTTTTCTGGAGGGACAAAGATTCATAGGATTACTTGTATTTATTTGGTCGGTTTGGGGACAATTAGGAAGAATTAAGGCTAGCATCCAGGCTATGACTGATTGAAATAAGAACTCTCATAGGACTCTTACAGAACAATGTCTCTCAAAGGTTGACTGTGCTTAAAAGAAGTAATCACAGTTAACAAATAGTTGGGATAACCTAAGGGACATGGCTTTCTGCAGGTTACATCTATTCAGATTACTCATTTATATGTTATTATTGAGTTGGTATAAGGTCAAATAAGGCAACTTTGCCCACTTACATACAAGATATTTCTCCCCAGTGTAACATGCTATGAATTGTTTTATATATTAACCCACTACAACGATTGAGCCTACATAAAAGCATCTAACATAAAATAATAACAATGCTATGAATGTTGATATTATGTTTAATATTATATGCTAGTATTTTAATATTTACAATTATATAGAATAAATTAGATGTATTTTGGAAATAATTGTCTTGGTGTTAAATCTGATAAAGACAAGGTCAGATGTCAATAAACATTCATAAATGTATTATCTCTTGTTTGGTCAAAGAGAATGTATTATCTTTTGTTTGGTCAAAGAGAATGAATGTAAAAGGAATATAGATGTATAAACTGTAGAAGAAATCCTGTATTTCATTACCACTTTTGCATTTTTCTTGTGATAAATGAGACAAAGCATGACTGAGATATTGAGGCAAGGCATATGTAAACTCTTGACAGATACATTCATTGACAAGAAAAAAATATATAATTATGTTCATAAACATGGACTTTTAACACCAAACTGGCCAAAAGTCCCAGAGCTTGGGAATACACTTCAGAAAAAAATTAACCTGAACCTCAATCTTTAACTATATGTAAGGTCAGCATTAAACATGCTTAAGGAAGAGTACTATATTCCTATAAATGTAGATTTCTGGGTTTAGTCCAAACCAAAGTATTATGCCTTATGGCTGCTTGATATACATTTCTCATATAGCTGCATTGCAGTTTTTCTCTATGACTGTCGTTTATCAAACTTGCCTTGTAATTGTATCATCATTTGATTTACAACTTTTGAAGCTATAAGTTATATTGTTAGATGAATACAAAACCATGAGATTTAGACAGTCTGGAGTCATCCCTTTCATTATTATTTAGTTGCTCTAATAATTTTTGGAGAAATTAAAAAACCTTATCAACCAAAGGTTCTTTCTGTTCCAGTGTAGATGATAGGGGAAATATGATTTATTATTGAATATGCATATCAGATTACATGTAGGCAGGCTGTCCTCCTGAGACTGACTCCTGGATAGAATTTCACATAAATTTGCAGAAAAAATAACAGTAAAGCTGTACTTTCACCCAAGACAAATGGATGCACCTTGTAGCTTCTGTACCTCATGTGAAACTTTTAAATTTATTTTTGAGATATGTGCTTACCATTCTATGGTGAAAAGTTCCTCAGATCTTCACGTAAAGTCGAATGTTGAGTCTATTATTGGGTCTATTGTGTTTTCAAAGTTATGCTATGGCAAATGACATTTACTTCTTAGTGTCATTATAAAGATTAAATGAGTTAAAATCTGTAAAACACAACAGTGCCAGCAATGTGATTACTGTGTAAGTATCGGGTTAAAAATGTGTTAGATACCTATGATTTCATAGATGTGGATAGCATATCTTCTTTTTTTTGTTTGTTTGTTTTTGTTTTTTTTGAGACGGAGTCTTGCTCTGTCGCCAGACTGGAGTGCAGTGGCGCGATCTTGGCTCACTGCAAGCTCCGCCTCCTGGGTTCACGCCATTCTCCTGCCTCAGCTTCCTGAGTAGCTGGGACTACAGGCGCCCGCCACCACGTCCGGCTAATTTTTTGTATTTTTAGTAGAGATGGGGTTTCAGCGTGTTAGCCAGGATGGTCTCGATCTCCTGACTTCGTGATCCACCCGCCTCCGCCTTCCAAAGTGCTGGGATTACAGGCGTGAGCCACTGCACCCAGCCCGTGGATAGCATATCTTCTATAACATGAATAGAAATAATAACTTTCTCATTGGCAGTCACATATTTGAATGATGTGACAAATTAGTGGAGAAGATGTTTAGTGTTAAAGAGCACTAAGAGACTTGTTCTTAATAGAATCACATGCATCTTTTGACTATATTTGATGCAGTCATAGATTTACTTTTTTGTAATCTGGTTATTTTTTTAAAAAAAGGTCAAATTTATAAAAAATAAAAATATATATTTCATATATTTTTACTACCAAAAGTCATATAAATTCACAGAATTACAAATCAAAATTAACAATGTCTGTAAAGCACAGGCTGCTACAATCAAAACTGTTAAGGCCTATGTAGCATAATATATAAGACATAATTGGCAAGGCATGGTGGCTCACACCTGTAATCTAAGCACTTTGGGAGGCTGAGTGGGGAGGATCACTTGAGGCCAGGAGTTCGAGAGCAGCCTGGCCAACATGGCAAAACCCCATCTATATTAAAAAGACAAAAATTAGCCTGGCATGGTGGCACGTGCCTGTAATCCCAGCTACCTAAGAGGCTGAGGCAGGGGAATAGCTGGAATCTGGGAGATGGAGGCTGCAGTGAGCCGAGATCACGCCACCGCACTGTAACCTGGGCGACAGAGTGAGACATCATCTCAAATAATAATAATAATAATAATTAGCCAGGCATGGTGGTACACACCTGTAATCCCGGCTACTCAGGAGGCTGAGGCATGAGAGTCTCTTGAACCCAAGGGGCAGAGGTTGCAGTGAGCCAAGATCATGCTACTATGCCACTGCCCTCCAGCCTGGGTGACAACAGTGAGAATCTGTCAAGAAAGAGAAAGAAGGAAAGAAAGAAAGAAAGAAAGAAAGAAAAGAAAAGAAGAAAGAAAGAAAGAAAGAAAGAAAGAAAGAAAGAAAGAAAGAAAGAGAAAGAAAGAAAGAGAAAGAAAGAAAGAGAGAGAAAGAAAGAAAAGAAAGAGAAAGAAAAAGAGAAAGAAAGAAAGAAAGGCAAGGAAAGCAAGGAAAGCAAAGAAAGAAAAGAAAAGAAAGAAAGCAGACATAATGCACTGAAAGAAAGAAAGAAGACATAATGCACTGAAAGAAAAAAGAAAGAAAGAAAGAAGACATAATGCACTTAAATTTTACCAGCAATTGTAGTATTGTGAGAAGACGGAAGGCCTTGCATGTCATGTGCAAATCATTTATAGATAGGTTACCCGGAAAAAAATAATTAATTAGGGAAATCACTTAATTTACAAACTGCTTAAGAGCATTAGCTCTCATATATTCTGTAAAAGGCACGTCTTTTCATATGAAGTGTATTATATTTTCCTGAGTTTTACTCTAAGGATAATGATTTAAAAGACTATTAAATTCACTAAACATTAAAATAATGCATTTGATGAGTTATAATAGCTAATATGTTAAATTGTATTTTTGGGGGGTAAAATAAATTTGCGTTTTTTATTTAGGTTGCTACACATTCCATATCATCAATTTCACCATTGTATCGTGCTTTGTTTTATTTTGTTGTGTTTTCTGCTAATGTTCTCTGCATCTTTATGATTTGCTTTTGTGTTTGTGACAGTGGTGGGAGGAGATGAAGAAAGGAAGTAATGGCTAAGTTGCACATATGATCCAAGTGTGTTGTATTTGATGAATATAATTGCAACCCTCAGAAATATTTTAATTAACATTCTCTCAGGGTTAAAAGAGCAAAGTTACCTGGATACTAGAACATCTTTATTGAAATTCTAATACATAATCACATTTGCTGAACTAGAATATCAAACTATGTTTTTACTACTGCTTAGATAGATTTGGAGACAGTTGCCAATTACAATGTGGCATATAATTGACAAGTTATATCTTAAGTAGCAAAGTGTTTGGGGAATGAATTTTTAACTCACGATACTTCCCTTTTATTTCCAGTAAGATTAATTCCCAAAATTAATCAGTAAGCATGTCAATCAACTTAATCATGTTTTCACTCACTTTTTATTTAACTATTCAACAATGCTTAGGGCAATTATAAATTAAACCAATTCAAATTTTCTGTGTGTAGAAAGCGAGGGTAGGATAAAGGAACTAAGGTCTTATAAAATATAATCACTTATGAACTAAAATAATCCGCTCTAAAACAGAAGGAACTACCACTACACAATTATTAGACTGATGAAAACTCAAAACACTGACAACACCAAATCCTGGCAAGGATATGGAGCAATACAAGTTTCACCCATTGCTTGCTGGAATACAAAATGGTACGGCCACTTTGGAAGAGACTTTGACAGCTTCTTACAAAACTAAATATATTCTTACCATATCATGCAGCAATCATGCTTTTTGATGTTTATTCAAATGAGTTGAAAACTTAAATCCATACACAGAAACCTTCACACAGATGTTTATAGCAGCTTTATCCACAATTGCCAAAACTCAGAAGCAGCCAAGTTGCCCTTCAACAGGTGAATGGATAAACTGTGGTACATCCATACAATGGAATATTATTCGGTTCTAAAAAGAAGTGAGCTATCAGGTCATGAAAAGACATGCTGGAAACATACATTCATATTACTAAGTGAAAGAAGCCAATTTGAAAAAAATCTACATGCTGTATGATTCCAACTATCATTCTAGAAAAGATAAAACTGTGGAAAGCATAAAAAAAATCAGTGGTTGCCAAGGGTTACAGGAGAAAGTGATGAATAGATGGAGTACAGAGGATTTTTAGGGCAGTAAAACTATTCTGTAAATTATAGTATAATGGTAGATAAATGTCATTATACAATTGTCAGAACCCATAGAATGTACAACATCAAGAACTTTAATGTATCTAAAGTAGCATAAGTTAAACTATGGATCTGGAGTGATAATGGTATTCAATATTTGTTCATCGATTGTAACTATGATGTGGGATGTCGATAGCTGGGGAAGAGCTGCATGTGTTGGGGAAAAAGGGTATATTGGAACTCTATAAGTTCTGGTCAATTTTGTAAGCCTAAAACACTAAAAACCAAAGTCTTAAAAAATGCCCCTGTATTTACAATAATCACGGCTCTTTAAATGTACTATGTTCTAATGTGGTGTGTGTAAGTGTATTTGTACTAGTGAATCTCTAGAACTAGACTAGTACCTGAAACATAGTAAGCTTACTTTATTATATATACCTGTAGTACACTTAAGTAAAGTTCAAAAAACACAATACAATTGACACTTTCAATCTTTTTGAAATTTAGGTAGACATTACAGTTTAGATTTAAATTTTTTTTTTTAATTATGTTCAGGCTACCTTTAACCAAGATAATTTTGGTTCCTTCATATACATAGTTTCACTACTTATAATTAATATAAATATGATAGCTTTCCACATTGAATTTGATTCATATATGCATATTAAATACATCAACTGAAGTTTTGACATCTTTTTTATGCTTTAAATACAAAATATTTATCTAAAATATTTGTGTTTTATTAGCAATTATTGAGTAATTTGAGGAAAAACAGTTTCTACATACATTATAATATACAGATAGAATTTATTCTAAATAAAAACATTTTTATTCTTTGAGTTTCTAAGATTTCAGCTTATATTGGAATCAAACTAATCAAATTCTATCAATAAATGTCAAAAAGATAAAACATGGTTTCCTTTTATGCTTTTGATTGAATCTTTTGTGTTGAAGGGAATTGGTACTTTTTACTGGAGGATAGGAGGAAAGGATAAAAGTGTCATTTCAAAGAGATAAGAACAAATTGCAGCCTTTACAAAAACATATTTTACTAAGCATAATTGGTATAATCTATAATTTTTAGCACTTATCATGTACTCAAAACTGATGGTTGTACTCTCAGATGTGTAAGGTGTCATTGTCCTCAGTTCTGTGTGACTTGGAGAGGCACTGCCAGCTATACAGGTGCAGGCATTTGGATGTCAGTGATTCTGCATCCTTGCAGGACCCACAAGGCCAGATGGATTTTCCCTGCCCTTAGAATGACTCTTGAGTCAAAGGTCAGCACAGCCCTAGTGACGCTGTATCCATGGGAAGGAAGATAATCTACAGTTACCAATAAATAAGGATTTTTTCATTTTCACTAGTATATTCTTTGTGTCTAGAACAGGAACAGCAGAGGAGATTTCGCACTGGTCTCCCAGAGCATGAAGTGAATCCAGGAAATTGTTTCTTTTCTTTAGCTATGCCAATCTCACTCTGCCTGTCAATTAACTTGAGAAAATGATTCTATCAAAGTAACCATATAAGCAAACAAAAACTTATTTCCTTCCTGCTTGGTGCTATTTTTGGACTTGGGGAGGGGGCACAATTTCTAAATGTCTCTTCTTCTGTATTAACCGTGCTAGATGTTTTTCTTTCCTATCAATTATTATTAAATAATTATTAAATAATTATACAATTATTTATTTATACAATTATTTATTTATACAATAATTATTAAATAATTATACAACCAATTGCAATGTAAAATTTGCACCATTTAGTCACTAGCATTTTTCTTTAAAGTTACTAATTACCTCCAATTGAAGGACTCCGAGGGACATATTTTGTTTACCTTAATTTTACTCTCAAATGTTTTACATTTCATCACACTCTGTTTCTTGAAAAGTTCTCTCCCTTTGGCTTTCTATTCAATACATTCTAATAGTTTACCTGTTACCTCTTAGATACTACATTTGTGTGTGCATGTGTGTGTGTGTTCTTTCTCCTTCTGTAATATAAACAGTGATATTGCCTAGGGTTTATTTTATATACATATATATATATATATATATATATACATATATATATATATATATATATATATATATATATACATATATATATATATAACTTTACAAATAATCCTTGGACAAATTACAGAATTCATGAAATATTTAATTTTAGCTATTAAATAAAATAGTTAAAAAGAAAAACTGAGTTCTGAAAATGAGAGAAATAAAGTTAGTGGATAAAAGGGAGATATGGCACATATGTAAAAATAATTCTGCCCTTCCTAGTTCTATAACCTTGAACAAGTTATTTCACATCTCTGTGCCTTAGTTCCTCATCTGCAAAATGGTAGTAATCATATTGATTTTCTTTTTGGGTTGTTGGGAAGATTCAATATGTATAAAATGGCTTAATATGTGTAAAGTTTCTGACACATGGGAAGCCTTCTTTACCTGTTATCTATTATTAATAACATACACATATTTATAACTAAAAAGTCTATGACAGAAATTTTCTAAACTAATAAATTCACAAAAAATTATATAATTGCATACATATTGTACATATTTATAGAATATGAATGCCTTAACTGCAATTTTTTTTGGTTATTTTATTTGGATTTCCAGCAACTACCCCAATTTCTGGACTGGAGAAGAAATTTACAACAATTTGGGGAAGGAAAGCATTAATGAGAGTGTTATGATGATCACACTGACTAGATTAGATCAAAATTTGAGTGGGGCAACCCAAACTCTATCCCTCTCCCCAGTTTTAAATACTGGTTAAAGGTTTTCAGTGTTTAACTCCTATTTCCCATCCATCTCTCGCCAACATTCAGATCTCCCCAATGCCATTGGTCTAAGTTCAGCCTCCAGTTCCACATGGCTTCCACTGGCAGTTGATAGAAATGAAGGCAATACAGACCCAGGGTCATGTACAGAAATCCAAGGAAAGGCTATTGGAATGGTGTATAATCCTTTTCAGAATTTTTTTCATCACACATTTCTCTCCTTCCTGATGCACACCTGTGCACTCAGATAAATACATGTTTGCTATTTGAAGGTTCCCTTTGTGCTGCTTTCCCCGATACCAAAATTGCTAGCAATGGCTACGGATTTGATTACTTCTCTCATTTGTCAATGAGTTTCTTGCTGTTATGAAAACATATTCTTATTATTATTCTTTAGTGAGAACAGAATGATACAAAATTGACTTAATCTGCAGCACAAAGTTTACATTTTGTTGTGAAAAAGAACTTGTTGACAGGATTGCTAAAAACCAAAGTGCTGAACAACAATAGTAATTTCACTGTCTTTGAAAAATAAAGACAGTCTATCATCTCTTTGGAAGAGATTGTTTTCCATTTTGTCTCGAAAGAGAATGAGATTCAGATATTGTTTTGCAGCCCCATGCTTCTCAGACACATATTTAAATATCTTTAGACATTTTCTTTTAAAATTGTACATGCTCTTAAGCCTAATTGTCAAAATTGATCATAATTATAAAGTTAGGATTTTTTCCTAAAAATATGTTATAAAAAATCTCAACTAACATAAAACCTATTATGTAATTTTCAAATTATTTATGCACTGCATTTTTTGTAATATATTTCATATCGCATTTGCTGTAAGCAGTATACATGCCATTTCAATATGCCATTTATAAAGACCTCATCATGAGGCCATTGTAAGTAAAATTATTTTCCTTCACATAAAAGAATTGTGTGAAAATATTAGAGAATTTTTTCTTCCTTTTGTGTGTGTGTGTGTGTGTGTGTGTGTGTGTGATACGGAGTCTCACCCTGTCATTCAGTCTGCAGTGCAGTGGTGCAATATTGGCTCACTGCAACCTCTGCCTCCGGGGTTCCAGCGATTCTCCTGCCTCAGCCTCCCGAGTAGCTGGGTTTAGAGGCACGTGCCATCGTGCCCGGCCAATTTTTTTATTTTTAGTAGAGACAGGGTTTCACCATGTTGGCCAGGCTGGCCTCGAACTCCTGACCTCAGGTGATTCCCCTGCCTCAGCCTTCCAAAGTGCTGGGATTACAGACATGAGCCACTGCACCTGGCCGTTATTTACTTCTGAGAGACAGTAATCCAAGAAATTATTTTCACTAACTATGATGTTCCCAGTATTGTGCTGTTATTACATGGCAGGTACTAAATATCTATAACACAGTCTTGCTTCAGTAAGCTTATGATTTAGCTGTGGAGAGGCAAACTTAATGCTTAAAAATAAAAAGTGCAAATATATATCACATTATATACCAGGGGCCCTAAAAAAGAGATGAATGAATATCAGAACATTAAGAAAACACTGTTAGAAGAATACTAATATGATCTTAGTGCTATTAAGAAGTCAGAATTAAGAAAATACATTTATTTTTAGTTTTTTGAGATGCTTCATACTGTTCTTCATAGTGTTTGTACTAATTTACATTCCCACCAGCAGTTTACAGGCAATCCCACTGCTGGATATATACTCAAAAGACAGGAAATTAGAATATCAAAGAGATATCTGCACTCTTATGTTTATCACAGCACTAGTCAAAATAGTCAAGATATGGAATCAACCTAAGTGTTCATCAGCCAATAAATGGATAAGGAAAATATGGTGTGTGTATATATATATATATATACACAATGAAATATTATTCAGTCATAAAAATGAATGAAATACTGGTATTTTCAACAACATGCTGGAACTGGTGGATATTATGTTAAGTGAAATAAACCAGGCATAGAAAGACAAATATCACATGTTCTCACTCAAAGGTGGAAGCTGAAAAAAATAATTGAAGTCATGGCTGTAGAGTAAAGTGATGGTTACCAGAGGTTGGGAAAGATAGTGGCGGGGGTGATGGCGGGAGAATAAAGATGGGTTAGTTGGTTGGGTACAAAATACAGTTAGAAGGAATAAGATCTAATGTTTGGTAAGAAAACAGGGGAACTGTAGTTAACGATAATTTATTGTATATTTCAAAATAATTAAAAACTGGGTTTGGAAAGACCCTAACCTAAAGAAACCATAAATGTTTGAGGTGATCCATATCCCAATTACCCTGATTTTAATCATTGCACATTGTATGCCTGTCTCAAAATACCACATGTAACCCATAAATATGTACAGACATTATGTACATATTTATGTACATAATGTATTTGTAACATTATTTATTTGTAACAACTAAAAATTTTTTTAAATAATAATATAAATGTAAATATATATGTGTGAATGTCATCAATGCAAATCCAAATGTCTAAAACACATTTCAGATTTAAAATGTGGTATCATCTTTTGGAATCTCATATGTATATATACATATATACATACGTATATGTATGCATATACGTACATATATATATTTCAATACAAAATCCAGCACAATCTAATCCTTTGCCTTCAGCAATTGATTTCACCTTCTTGTACTTCATTTTCTGCACCTATAAAACTATCAATACAGAAATATAGAGTAAGGATAAAAACTAAGACAATAAATTTGAACGTTGAAATAAATTTCCAGCTGGAGCTATCATGTTTTTCTATGTCCGTTACAGCATCTATGCCTTCCTCATAAACAAACTACAAAGAAATATGTTGTTATCAGATTTGATAGAGATAAAAGTTTTCTATCCTACCATGGAACTAGCCCATTTTTTTCTTGTACAAGTTGTAAATCGTAAAACACCAGAAAAGTAAAAATTATGTACATAGTATGTTATTCATAAAATAACTTCTAAACCTTAATTAAATAAACTATTTCTTTTCAATAATATTGCTTGAAAATAACTAGTTCTTTTGTTACAGGAGATAAGTGCAAGACTACTGAATACAGCAAGATGAAAAATATGCTATTAGATTTACAAAATCAAAAATATATTATGCAAGAAAATGAAAATCCTAATGGCGACGACATATCTCGGAAGAAGCTATTGGTGGATCAAATGTTTAAATATTTTGATGCAGACAGTAATGGACTTGTAGATATTAATGAACTAACTCAGGTATGATTAGTGACTATATTAACAAACTTACTGAAATATAGCATGCACAATATATTTACTTTTTCTAAATTTACTCTATAATGAAAAAATGTATATTTGATCCATATTATTGAAAAGTATATGAATAACAACATTTTTGTAGCAAACTTGACTACATCATCAGCAATATTAATTTCAAGTAACATTTATATGGTGTTTGACAGTTTAAAAAGAGATATCTACTTCTGATAGATATCTATATCTTAAATACCTAAAGGAATTACAAGTTCTTTATCTTGTAGAATTTATAATATCTTTCCTAATGTATTCTGGAGATCATGCAATGTTTAACTTTCTATAAGTCAATAAAAGCTGATTTATCCAATATTCAAGGGCACTACCGAACAACTGAGCACATTTATAACAAAGTGTATATAAATGATTTAAGATAGTGTTGAATCACTGATGTATTCCAATATTTCTTCAATAATTAAGGACCAATTACTGCATATTCAGTTTGTTTTAGTAGTAGAAATATAAAATAAGAGACATGGGATTTCTTCAAAACTATACACTGATTTTAGAGAATAATGAAGAGAAGAAGCCCAATTAGGCAGCAGAAAAATGATGACAGCACTGATGATTTTGCTGACTTCTTGATGATCCCTATAACATATCTTGAGGTGGATTTTGCTCCTACCCTTAACAGTGAATATAGGTTTGGGGTGAGGGAAGTAGACCATTTTTATAATATGCTATTCATTTTTTTCTGGTTAATTTTATGGCTTATTTAAAAAATCTGGCATTGTGGAGTATTGGTCTTATTAAACAAGTATTTCGAAGCTTTGCAATAGTGTAACTTAATTTAAAAACTTTATCTCAAAGTAACATTGTGAGCAAATTGATTATAGTTATCATCATTCAAACTAATTAAAATTCACATCATTTTTATTGTCTTTTCTAATGCAGCCTCACATTTATTTTGTAGTTACCAAATCCTAGGCATTGGAATTTAAGGAATTCAGAGTAAAATTGGAAGATATTTTAATTAGGATATCTATGCTGTCATACACCTCATGATTTATTTCTTAAGAATAAAATTTATACTTTATAGTAATAAGAATAAATAACTAGTTAATTAAATTAAAATAAATTTCTAATTTAAGCACTTTTATCTATGTGTGCCTAACATATATATTGTTATTTTGAGAGTTTTTTTTTCACTTTTTATGCTTTTAATTTTTATCAATTGTTTTGTTGTTTTTGTTGTTATTTTAGTTTTTATTAACATATCTGCACCACCATAGCCACGGACTGGATTTTAAAAAAGACATCAGATCAAGTCGATCTGGTCTGGATTTGGACATCTAAATCCAAAGGAAAGATGGCTAGTCACTGGACAGCACTTTACTCATACATGTTTCAAGCTTCTGCCATGTTCAAGTTTGTATTAGTTTCCTAGGGCTCGCATAAGAAAATACCACAAACTGTGTGGCTAAAACAGCAGAAATTTATCCTCTCAATCCTGGAAGTTGGAAGTTCAGAATTGTGGTGTTGACAGGGCCATGCTTCCTCTGAACTTGGAAGTGGGGGTGAGAGAAGGGTCCTTTCTTGCTTCTTTCAGCTTCAGGTGGCCCTAAGCCTTCCCTTGCATTTGTGATGTTGTAGGGAAATCACACCAATCTGCTTCTATAGTCACATGTTGTCCTCCCTGTGTGTTTATCTTTACCTAGTCTTGCCTCCCAAGTAGCTGGGACTACAGGCACCCGCCACCATGCCTGGCTAATTTTTTTGTATTTTTAGTAGAGACGGGGTTTCACCATGTTACCCAGGATGGTCTCAATCTCCTGACCTCGTGATCCACCAGTCTCGTCCTCCCAAAGTGCTGGGATTACATGCGTGAGCCACCACGCCCGGCCATATCACAATTTCTTTATCCACTCATTGAATGATGGATGTGGGCTGATTCCATAGTTTTGCAATTGACAATTGTGCTACTATAAACATAAGAGTGCAAGTATATTTTTCATATAATGACTTGTTTTCTTCTTGGTAGATACCCAGTAGTGGGATTGCTAGATCAAATGGTAGTTCTATTTTTAGTTCTTTAAGGACTCTCCACACTGTTTTCCATAGTGGTTGTACTAGTTTACGTTTCCCACCAGCGGTGTACAAGTATTCCCTTTGACCACATCCACATCAACATTTTTTTTAAAAGTTTAGATTATGGCCATTTTTGCAGGAGTAAGGTGGTATCACATGGTGATTTTGATTTGCATTTCCCTGACCATTAGTGATGTTGAGCATTTTTTCATGTTTGTTGGCCATTTGTATATCTTCTTTTGAGAATTGTCTATTAATGTCCTTAGCCCACTTTTTGATAAAATTTTTTGTTTTTTTCTTGCTGATTTGTTTGAGTTCCTTGCAGATTCTGTATATTAGTCATTTGTCAGATATATAGATTGCAAAGATTTTCTCCCACTCTGTGGGTTGTCTGTTTACTCTGTTGATTGTTTCTTTTGCTGTACAGAGGCTTTTTAGTTTAATTAAGTCTCATCTATTTATCTTTGTTTTTGTTGCATTTGCTTTTGGGTTCTTGGTCATGAAGTCTTTGCCTAAGCCAATGTCTAGAAAGGTTTTTCTGATGTTATCTTCTAGAATTTTTATGGTTACAGGACTTTGATTTATGTCCTTGATCCATCTTGAGTTGATTTCTGTATAGGTGCGAGATGAGGATCCAGTTTCATTCTTCTCCATGTGGTTTGCCAATTATCCCAGCACCATCTGTTGAATAGAGTGTCCTTCCCTCACTTTATGTTTTTGTTTGCTTTGTCAAAGATCACTGGCTGTAAGTATTTGGCTTTATTTCTGAGCTCTCTATTCTGTTTCATTGGTCTTTGTGCCTACTTTTATACCAGTACCATGCTGTTTTGGTGACTATGGCCTTATAGTATAGTATGAAATCAGGTAGTGTGATTCCTCCAGATTTGTTCTTTTTGCTTAGCCTTGCATTGGCTATGCAGGCTCTTTTTTGGTTCCATATGAATTTTTGGATTGTTTTTTCCAGTTCTGTGAAGAATGATGGAGGTATTTTAGTGGGAATTGCATTGGATTTATAGATTGCTTTTGGAAGTATGGTCATTTTCACAAAATTGATTTTACCTATCCATGAGCATGAGATGTGTTTCCATTTGCTTTTGTCTTCTATGATGTTTTTCAGTAGTGATTTGTAGTTTTCCTTGTAGAGGTCTTTCACCTCCTTGGTTAGGTATATTCCTAAGTATTTTATTTTTTGCAGCTATTGTAAAAGGCATTGAGTTCTTGATTTGATTCTCAGCTTGGTTGCTGGTGGTGTATAGCAGAGCTACTGATTTGTGTACATTAATTTTGTATCCTGAAACTGCTGAATTCATTTATCAGTTCTAGGAGCTTTTTGGATGAGTCGTTAAGAGTTTTGTAGGTATACAGTCATATTATCAGCAAACAGCGACAGTTTGACTTCCTCTTTATCATTTTGCATGCCCTTTAATATTGAATTTTAAAATAATTTAAATTAGAATAAAAAGAGAAAGGATCTTAACAGTGTCTGTTAATAATTTACAAACTATTCTTAGCAAAGAATGTAATATATAACTCTAAGTTACAGCCAGTCATAAGTAAAAGTTAAAGAATATAATTTGTCCCTGGGTTTTATAAATGCAGCAGGAAAACTGGCTGCACACATTCTATAGTTAGTCCACATAATGAAGATGTATTCTTGAGTTTCTCTTCAAGATTTTCAAGTAAATTAGAACCTAGAGGCCTGTCTATTTGAGAAAAAAAAGACATAAAAAAATCAGTGGATAAAGAAGGTAGGCTCTTTAGAATCTCAGCTAGCAGGTTGTCATAGCAAAAAGGTCTGCTAAAATGAACTGACCAGTTATAGAAATAGATCTCATTCAATCCACCTCTTCATCATTCTAACTTAACAGAATTGTCCATAATTGCACAGTTAGTCTTTCAGTCTGAGACCTATTTTTGTGTTTGGAGAATATCTAACAAAAAATGCAAATGTATATCAAAGTGAAATTTTAAACTCCCAAAGTGTGAGGATCACAGGCGTGAGCCACGGTGCCCAGCTGAAATTTTAAACTTTTACAAGAACTGTGTTTTATGAAGTTGACAATATTGATTTTAAAACACTTAGTATCAATCAAACATATGGAAGGATTAAAACAGGTTATAACTGAAGAAGGGACATCAACAAAGATTAAGATGGAACATACATTTCATTTTCAAGACCAAAAGATAATATTTCAAGTAGCAAAGGAGTAGTGGCCCTAAATTGATGAAATCCTAGGATATTTTTTATAAGTTATCTTTTTGATGCTCATAACATAGTGGTTAAGAACTTTTATTATAAAGTCTGGGTTCAAATCACATCTCTACTACTTTCCAAGTAGGATGGCTATTTACTTAAAGCTTCTGTGTCTTAGTTTCTCGATATATAAACTGGCAATGATAATAGTACCCAGTATGTAAATTTCATGTGACACTGTTATTATTTAGAACATGCAAGCTTATTGGAAACATTGCTAGCACATAGAAAGCATGATGTACTTGTTACTTATACGTACACTTTCATATCATTTGTGAAGATGTAGTAGATTATAATAGAGATAAAGGGAAGGCATATTCTTGAAATAGTGGATGAGTGATTGATAAATATTTTGTAATGCTTACAGTTGGATAGTGCATAAGAACAAAACAAATACTGTAAGCAGCCATTATAACCCAGAAATCTATGTGCACAACTTTATGCTAGTAAAAACTTTAGCATTGATTTTTATAATAAAATAATTGTCCTGCCATAGAAGAGGAATAATTTTTCTTATTTCAAGAAATTAGAAAAATAAACGATAGCACAATATTCGTTTTGTTCATCTCATTTAAGGAGCTTATCTACCTGTCTCATATAGCTCGCATGAGTGTTCCTAATCCTAAGAATTCTCTCCTAGAGACAACTAAACATTGACATTCTGCGACCACTGTAATATTGGGCTGTATCCCCCCAGATAATGTAGTGTCTATGCCTTTATAGATAAAATGTTAAATTGAACTGAACTTAAAATAAATATTATATATATTTTGTTTTAAGATGCTAATAAATATTACATTACAATTTGTCTACATATATTGAAGTATTATATACTTAAATTCATGCAGTTTTTTTCTTGCCCATAAAATTAAGTTTTAAAAATAATGAAAACGTTGTCTTGAACAAGAGGACATACATATGTGATGAAAGAAACAATATATTTTCATTAGTTATATTTTACAATTTAAATACTTAAACATCTGTAAGTCCTCAGATATGCATGACTATAATCAAGATTCTGTCGCTTTTTATTTATTAATTTTTAATTTTTATGAGTACATAGTAGGTATATATACATAAGGGTTACATGAGACACTTTGATATAGGGATGCAATATACAGTAATCACATCATGGAAAATGGGGTATCCATCACCTCAAGCATCTATCCTTTTTGCTACAAGCAATTCAATTAAATTCTTCTAGTTGCGGAAAATGTACAATATTAGCATTGTCTATAGTCACTCTGTTGTGCTATAAAATACTAGATCTTATTCATTACCCATTGACCATCTCCACCTCCCACCAACCTACACCCACTATCCTTCCCAACCTGTGGTAATCACCATTCTATGCTCTATCGCTGTAAGTTCAATTGTTTCCATTTGTAGCTCCCACAAATAAGTAAGAATATATGAAGTTTGTCTTTCTGTGCCTGGCTTATTTCATGTAACATAATGATCTCCAGTTCCATCCATGTTGTTGCAAATGACAGGATTTCATTCTTTTTT
The DNA here is from genome assembly GCF_000001405.40 of Homo sapiens. Classification (NCBI taxonomy): domain Eukaryota; kingdom Metazoa; phylum Chordata; class Mammalia; order Primates; family Hominidae; genus Homo; species Homo sapiens. The sequence continues at coordinate 161,770,032 of NC_000004.12, read as the reverse complement.
ATGGCTAAATGCTACTCCATCATGTATACAGGCCACATTTTCTTTATCCATTCATCTGTTGATAAACACTTATGTTGCTTCCAAATCTTGGCTATTGTGAATAGTTTTTTTGGTGGAGTCTTTAGGTTTTTTTTTTCAAATATAAGATTATATCACCTGCAAACAACAGTAATTTGACTTCTTTCTTTCCAAATTTTATTTCTTTCTCTTTTCTGATTGCTCTAGCTAGGACTTCCAGAACTATTTTGAAAAGCAGTGTTGAAAGTGAGCATCCTTGTCATGTTCTAGATCTTAGAGAAAAGGCTTTCAGTTTTTCTGCATTTAGTATGATGCTAGCTGTGGGTTTGTTGTATATTTCTTCTATCCCCAGTTTTCTAAGCTTTTTATCATGAAGGGTGTTGAATATTATCAAATGCTTTTTCAGCATCAAATTGACAAGATTATATGCTTTTTGCTCTTCTTTCTGTTGATATGATATATCACATTGATTTATTTGAGTAAGTTGAACCATTTTTGCATCACTGGGATAAATCCCACTTGATCATGATGAATGATCTTTTGAAGTTATTGTTGAATTCAGTGTGCCAGTATTTTGCTGAGGACTTTTGCGTCAATGTTTATCAGGAATATTGGCCTATAGTTTTCATTTTTTGATATACCTTTTTCTGGTTTTGGAATCAGGGTAATACTGGTCTCATGGAATGAGTTTGAAAGTTTTCCTTCCTCTTCTAATTTTCAGAATAGTTTGAGTAAGATTAGTATTAGTTCTTTAAATGTTTAGTAAAATCCAGCAGAGAAGCTTGGGTCCCAGTCTTATTTTTGCTGAAGGAATTTTTATTACAGCTTCAATCTCATTACTTGTTATTAGTCTGTTCAGATATTGGATTTCTTCCTGGTTCAATATTGGTAGGTTACATGTGTCTAGAAAGTTATCCATTTCTTCTAGGTTTTTCAATTTATTGGCATATAGTTGCTCATAGGGGCATCTAATGATCCTTTGAATTTCTGTAGTATCAGTTTTAATGTCTAGTTTTTCATCTCTGATTTTTATTTATTTTGGTTTTCTTTCCTTTTACCTTAATCTGGCTAAAGGTTTGTCAATTTTATTTATCTTTTTAAAAGACCAACTTTTCATTTTGCTTATCTTTTGTATCATTTTCTTTCTTCAATTTCATTTATTTCTGTTCTAATTTTTATTTTTTTTTATTCTATTGACTTTGGGTTTGGTTGGCTTTTACTTTTCCTTGAGATTCATTAAGTTCTTTAAGATTCTTTATTAGGTTGTTTATTTAAAGTTTTTCCACTCTTTTGATGTAGGCGCTGTTGCTTCTTTTGTACTTCCCTTTGAGCTCTGAAAAAAACATCCATTTGCAAAATGGCATGAATATTTGATTGAAGATGTATAAGAGAGATAGACGGTGGGTTTACATTACATATTACACAAATCACACATTGAAATACAGTTTAGATTGAGTACTTCCTTTATGTTTTATTTCCTTGTATTCTGTATAGAATATAAGAGCCTTGCCTTCCTTACACCCTAGATATAATGGATAAGTCTGTCTCTCAAGTCGAATTTCTGTACTTTTCCTGGGGCTCCAAATTCCTTATTATGCAAAACAGTGTGATTGTATTTTAGATCCTCCTCCTAAATTTGTATAACCAAATATATCACATTTCACAGTTACCAACATCTACCTTCCTTGAAAACGAATGGCAAGGTATATATTCTGTAAGTTGCCATTCATTTTTAAGGAAGGTAGAGTTAATAACAATATCAAGATTAATAGCAGTATCTATCATAGACTTCCCTTAGGGGCACAGATATTTGAAGTTCTAGAGGCTAGTGGAAATTCCTGGTCTCTGTCTTGTGCCATATATTTTACATCTTCAGAGCCAGATAAAATCCTCATATTTTTCAATTTCCTCAAGTGTGTATCACACCCACTTTTAGCCCTCTCTTGAGGGTTTCTGCCTCTCCAAAAAAATACAGACGTACATGATAAGATAGGGTGGGGAACTTATCAAATGTGTTTCTTGCAGGAATAGAACAGAAGGTTCTCTCTCGCATATGTGCGTTAATTACCATCTGAAAAAGTTAAAGTTTTACACACACAGATTTTTTTTCGTTGGTGTGTCTTTGTTTTTCATTGCCTATTTTCTCTTTATTGAAAATGCATAGATGATAATTTGATTCTTTAATTCTGAGTGGCTCTCTTTTATGTTGTTTTGAATAAATCTGTGCTATATTGTCTGAATCCTATTCAGAATGAGTATGTGGAACTCTGAATCGTCCTATTTCATCTACCAGTAACCGATTCTGGTAATGAAAGAACTAAAAATACTTGCTATTCCATTTGCATAAGGTGTGAAATCTCTACCTTAGCTTTTCCCTTTAAAATATAAACAGGTGTCTGAGGTTCATCTTTGTTATCTAGATCTTTGTATTCCTTCTCTTAAGCTATCTTCTCCAACAGTAAGAATTCAGCACTCTCTTTGGGGCTGTTGTAAAATCTCAGTTTCAATAAAGCTTGCTTAAGTGAAAATTGTGGTTGAAAAGCTACGGTCTAAATTGACTTAATTTTACAATGTACGTCTCAGAGAATAAATCCCTGAAAAGCCTCGACAAACGTGTAAAGAACTTTCTTTCTTGAAAGAATGTCACAAACTTGACCAAGGCATCTTAGTCTCTCCCATAAGTATTGTAAGTACATCGTGAGTCACTCAGCCACACAACACATTTGTGGTTTTGAGAACATAGATTATGACTAAAACAGACCTGGATGTGCAATTCTTGAAAGCAAAATTCTGAATGAAATAACCTAAGGTATGGGCATATTCTTTTTGACAGGCCAACATGTAGAAAAAAAGTCACTGCAAGAAAGAAGGTTAATGATAATTTCTTATGAAAAGGAGCATAGAGCTCTTCTGGGTGGTTTATTCACATTGTTATTTAAGTCACTGGGAATATTGAAAGACTATGGGTAGACAGAAATACTGAGAAACAGGAGCTAAACTTTGGGGAGAGGATAGGAGAGTCATGTAACCGAATGGCCTGAGATTCAAAGGAGTGAGATCTATCTATCTATCTATCTATCTATCTATCTATCTATCTATCTATCAATCGATCTATCATCTATTGTCTATCTATCTGTATCTGTATATCCATCTATCTTTTATATCTGTATATTTCTAATTATCTATCTGGAAAACGACTTGCTTGGGAAACATAAATAATCCAGAAGTGCCTATACAGCCGTTGTCTACACCTTTCTTACACTGAAGTACAACAGATATGAGAAAAATTAGCCTCTGATTAAATTCATTAAAATTACTGAACGAATAATTTTAAGGGGAAGCCAGATTTTTCTAAAGTCAGTATGGTGAAGAATATATTTGTATAAGTAATTGAGGACAAAAGAGTTTTCTGATTGAGCAGGATTTCCCGAAGACACAATGATGGGTTTAGGTTGGAGAATCATGGGTTTGGGGCCAAACTGGAAACTGTGCAGAGCAATATGGGGAACCATCGATTTCACTGGGTCACAGAAATAAACCACGGTATGAAATACAAATGCATTTTTGTCCAGAGTGTTACTTAGAGGAGCATAGGCAACTATTTCTGGCATCGTGGTCCTGCATATTTGGTTCACAGTGTCAGATGAGGGGAGGCACAGCAGGCTTCACTTGGTAGAATGGCGGCCTCAGTTTGTCAGCAGCAAACAGAGGACTTGAAATGGTACTAACAACATGAAAAATCTGCTTCTTAGCCCTTTCCCCATTTGATAAAATAACACTCATAGAATTTAAGTGAGCAAAGTCATTCCCTTGTGATTCTGAATTTAGATAAGCAGCTGCGTTGAGTATATTGATTTAGGTTTTTCTCCATTTAGATTCTGTCATCTTAATAAACTGATTTACATTAAAAATGCATATTAGGAGCTGGCGCGGTGGCTCACGCCTGTAATCTCATCAACTTTGGGAGGCGGAGGTGGGTGGATCATGACGTAAGGAGTTCGGGACCGGCCTGGCCAAGATGGTGAAACCCCGTCTCTACTAAAAATACAAAAATTAGCCGGGCATGGTGGCGAGCACCTGTAATCCCAGCGACTGGGGAGGCTGAGGCAGGAGAATCGCTTGAACCCGGGAGGCAAGGTTGCAGTGAGCCGAGATTGTGCCACAGTACTCTAGCCAGGGTGACAGAGCAAGACTCTGTCTCAAAAAAAAAAAAAATGCATATTAGAATAAAATACTTCCCTTATATAAACATATGTCAATTCTTTATTAAAATAATGAAAAGAACTACTTATTCACAGGATTTAGATTATTATGTTATACGTATTTGACTTAAAATGCCATTTGCTCAATGACTGCCATGTGTGAATATACTTACAGAATTAAATTAAAAGTGAGCATGAATAAGAGTGTATATTTTCAAGCTTACAAGATGGGACTGCCAATAGGTTTTTGCAGCATTTTTACAAATGAAGTATTTTTCTTTAAAAATCATTACAAATGTTACAAGGGGAAATGAACAGTTAATCTTTACGCTGAGTTCATAAACTCTTTCACAATTATAAGTATTTGTAAAAAGGTTCTGATTTAGTCAACATATTTATTTGCTATGAGATTTATAATAGCCGTTTTATCTCACAGATAAAATGCTGTTTCAGTGGGACAAAGTAAATACAAATAAATAAGCACTTGTATGGATAGAAGAGTGAGATTAAGTGAGAATTTCCAGGGAATGCCATGGTAATTAATCCTATTTAACATCAGAGAGTGTAAAGCATAATGATGTTTGTCCAGATCATCCCTTAGAGCAGAATGGACAACTATTTCATGCATTTAAATGCCCATAATTCCATCAGTAATACAAAATAAGGCAGGAGAAACCAGGTGTTTGACTTAGAATGACATTGTCAATGCCAGTGGGTGGATCTTAGTAGTGTTGGCAATTTCCCTGCCATTAGCTAAAGATTTGAGAATAATAAGAGCAACAATGATCACTTAACAGAGAAAGATAAAGCCTGTAACTGTTGTTATATGCCCAGCTCAAAGCTACAATTACAAAATTAGTACTTTCAATTGTACCTGGAAATGTTAGTAACTAGTTTCAGTTATTTTTTAAGCGCTGTTCGTAACAAACACAAGGTAACTATAGTATTAACATTTAGGCTTTAAAATATTAAACATATTATTTGTAGTATCTTTACTTTAGATGGTCAAGATGCATTTAAAAACTTAGTATTCATGTTCAGAAAATCCTTGTGAGCCATGTAGGATACCTTAAAAATAAAATACTTTTCTTTCCACCAGTGGTTTAATGAAAATAATGATATCTCTTCAACTGGTCTTTCAAAAAAATTAAAGTTGGCTATATTGATTTTTTTTAAATGTTATATTAGGCACTTTAGGAAACCTAAAAGAAAATGTAATTATTTCCATTCAATCTTTTTAAAAATACATCTCCAGGCCAGATGCAGTGGCTCACACCTGTAATCCCAGCACTTTGGGAGGCTGAGGCAGGTGGACAACCTGAAGTCAGGAGTTCAAGTCCAGCCTGGCCAACATGGTAAAACCCCGTCTCTACTAAAAACACAAAAATTAGCTGGGCGTGGTGGTGGGAGCCTGTAGTCCCAGCTACTCGGGTGGCTGAGGCAGGAGAATTGCTTGAACCCAGGAGGCAAAGGTTGCAGTGAGCCGAGATCGCACCACTGCATTCCAGCCTGGACAACAAGAGTGAAACTCCCTCTCAAAAACAATAACAACAAAAATACATCTCTTGTAGGATAGCATTTGTTATATATAACTAAACACATAAAATGTGTAATATTAGTTATTAACTCTGTCCTTTCACATGATCTATTTTTTAGAGTACTGCTGATAATATGTAATTATCTCACTTAATAATTAGATTGCTGTTTCCAGTGATCATCTCTAGAATAAAAACTCAATGAGAGCAGGGACTGTGACATTCTTATTAATTCACCTCCAGCACTTAGTATAGTTTTGGGCACGTGTTGGTTGAAAATAAGGAAAAGGAAAGAGAGAGGGAAGAAAGGAAAAAGAAGAAAGGAAGAAAGGGGGGAGACAAGAAGCTGTTCAGACCAAGTAGCCCAAGAACCAGCTTATATTGACTGTATGGGAGAAGCATACATCTAATACCCGGAAATGTACATTCTTCTCACCGAAGGGGTATACTTATTTTCTTACCTTTAGTCTTTGAAGTAATGTACATATTACCTCAAATCAAATGGGCTTTCTTTTGATTAGAGGAGCACTGGGCACTGAGCATATGACTTCAACATGATCATGATTAGTTTGGGAAAAATATTTTTGCAAAGGATGGAGAAGAACTCAAATAACTCAAACATATGAATGGTACGTTACTCTATGAGTTCACAATTGCTATTTCTTGCCTGTCTCCACCAAAGAGAGTAAATAAGTGGACATAGAACTAGAAGATCCTACTTTTCTGTCCTTCTCTCCCCTACACCCATAGCTTCATAGCCATGACTTGCCTTCACATTATCAAAATCAATCCCATGTCTTGTATATCTTCCATGAAAGTCAGCATAAAAATCTTGTACTTCCAAATCATCCCCTAATCCCAGAAATCTAACACCCATACCTCTCTATACTTGGGAGACAGTACCTTTACATCCACTTCTGGCACATTCAATTTTTCTTCTCATTTTTATTTATTTTTATATCACTTTTCATTCTATGGCAAAATATATATATTTACTACTATATTTCTTTGCTCTCCCTTCACCAGAATATGAGTTTCATATGGGAAAGATTTTTGTCTATCTTGTTGTCTGCTGTGTTTTCAGAGTTTTGGACAATGCCTGACACATAGTAGGCAGTCTAAAAGGATTTGTTGAATGGATGATTGAGTTAGTGAGTGAAGGAGAATAGTAAAAACAGTAAAGAGAATAGTTCATTTTGCGGATGGTCAAGTTTTTTTATTGTTTGTTTTGGAACAAAAGAGAATACAGTACCAAGACAGTGAGTCATTCCTGATTTGTTACAGTCCTTGTGCAACTTTGACATTTCTATTACATTGAAGTTCAAAATGTACTCCCTGTTCCATGCTGTGTGTCTGAACTCCCCTGATGCCATCCATTCTGCTAATACTTCTGTTTTTTCACACTGAACCAAACCATTGGAGGGCCCAAGATTCATATAACTTGACTTCTGATCAGTGAAAAAAAAAGTGTAAAAGATTTTATTTTGATAGCCTTAAGGCTACCAGACTCCTTGAGGAGTTTACCAACTTTGGTAGGCTTGAGAAACAACCTCACCATTTTATCCGAGGTAACAAGTGAAAATATGATTGGTCTTTTTGACCAATCAAGATCATAAGATGGTATCTTGTTATCTCTTATACCACTTATACCACTTATTACCTTTTATATCATTTTATAAGAGGTAAAATGGTATGAGATAAAAAATAGCATGAGATAATGAAGTATCATCACAACATATTTGAATACGATATATTCAAATATATTTAGTGAATCTGGCAGTGTCATGAATTGCTAGTTAAGAACTAACATGTGCCTTTTGAGAAGTCTACAGTGAGTTTTTGGAACCAGTGTCAAACACTAAATGAAAGAAGTGCAAGGAACTATCAGAGCCCTACAAGTTTGTGCCAACGAGTGGTTACTGTGGACTGAGGAAGGAAGTCTACTTGTGTAGTTTTTCATACTTTCTTTTTGACCATCAAATACTCATGACTGTAAAGCTATAAAAATTCTGGTATCTGGGAGGCAGACGTTGCAGTGAGCCGAGATGCGCCACTGCACTCTAGCCTGGGCGACAGAGCAAGACTCCGTCTCAAAACAAACAAACAAACAAAAACAAAAACAAACAAACAAAAATTCTGGGTACCTAAACCAATTTTTCAATGCTGATTGAAATGTCCTGTAAACACATAAAACATTCTACATTAAATATGTGCCATTTTTATATCAATCATACCTCAATAAAGATGTGAAAAAACAGAAAAGAAGAAAAGTCATAGGAAAGTACCTCCCTCATTAGTAAACACCAGAATGTGACAAAGCTTCCCCTCAGGACACATGAAGGAGAGAAATAATTACTAAGAATCATGTTTTAAGTGGGGTATTTCATTGACCCACTTAAATGAGATAAAAGAGCAAATATTTGAAATATTTAGAATAAGAAAATGAATCTACTTTGTCCTATGCATGGATATGCTTCAGTATAGATGATAAGGGCTTAAAAAATAAGAAGTTTATTAGCCAGGACTGGCTTCTCAAGGTCACATGCATTAAAATGGCCTGCCCAGCTTAAGTTGTATCATCATGACCAAGTGAAGGCCAAGATCAAATCAAGATCAAACTAGTCTTATGCAAGAGCCAGTGATAAGTATAAAGTGGGAAGTCCAATATCTTGGTCTAATACATTAAGTTTGTAAAGTATTAAAACAGAAATAAACATGAGACAGAAAATGACAAAAGCTTTTCCCCATCTTTGTGCTCATCTCTATTTACAAATAAATGAGAGACTAAAAGTCATTAAAATGTCTGAATAAAGCCTGGTATCACTGCATCCTAAATATTACCACAATGCTAACATTGTACATATTTAGTGCATAGGGCGGTAGAATCGCGCACACTGCCCCTTCTCCCAGCCCCCAGGAAAAGTCAAAAGTCATTTTCTATGATCTAACCAATAGCAAATGGAGAATGACTGAGAGCTCTGTTGCTTTCTAAATAGAAAAATTGTAATATATGTATTTTTATTAGGCTTATAGAAGAGATGGCTTCAGCGTTAGGTAGTTTTGTTAATCCATCCAGCTGGACTGTGCAAAAGTTTAGGGCTTGCCATCTACAATTTCTATTTATATGGGTCAGTTAAACCAGATAAGATTTTGCCTTTTTTCTTCCTCAAGGTAACAAATAATCAGCTTAACCAATATAATTTTAACACTGATACATACACAAAAATAAAGAACTCACTGAGTTGCAAAAGTTCTATTTAGCACTGCATGTGCTAACATTACATATCACTGCTTAGCTGACTAGAGAGGGTGCTGGAGGCTCCAGTGACCCAGATGCTTAGCTCCATTTTCAGAGTTATCTCCTCAGTCTATCTACACTCAGACATCATGAAACGTTCAACACAGGAGTGTTCCAAAAAAGGTGAAAAAATAGCTCAAAAGCATCTGAGGATCTTTAGAAAGTAGCATCACCAATCTGCCTTTGCTGTACTAAAGAAAGTCCAAGACATTCTGCTCCACCAAAAGAAATGATAATTCATTGTGAATGTGCAACCATAACATGCACGAGCTGATGTCTGGAAGTCTGCAGTGAATTATTTAAAGAAGCAATGCATTATGTAAAAATTACTATTTTTAATGTTAAATGATCACTTTTGAGTGTATGCTGTATGTTATGTCTTACACCTGACTCTGTGTGTGCATGTGTGTGTGTGTAAATCTTCACATTCATTTTCTAATTGAGGAAAGTGTAAATGATTTGCCAGAAATTATTGAGGTATTAAATGGCATTGGCAGGTCCCGAACCCAGAGCCACCTGATTTTGAAGTCTTTGTTTTCTGATTATACCGCACCACTTTTAAAACAAACAAACCAACCAACCAACCACTGTGATGCACAGCTTCAAGCAGTATAAATCCCTGCCTTTGTATGTGAGAGAGTATGAAAAACCATGGTCACAGCTATGCAGCTACCACAATAGAAATGTCTGAAAAATCTTGGTAAGCTCTGTTATATGACAATAAATAGTCAAAATCAGTAGAATACCAAAAAGCTGCAGCCGCAGTCCATAGACTAGAGCACAGACTAGAATAGAAGTTTGATGATTTTCTTCACTCACGCCTGGATAGATTTTCATCATCAATCGGTGCATTAATTCTATCTAGCTCCTGGAAACAGTCATTTGCTTAATAGCTCTTTTGTGACCAAGGGAATTCATGCACAATCCCAAATGACTTAAATTCCAGCTGGGGAGGAGTTCAGGCAGAGGAGAAAAAATAACCTAACTTCATTATTTTACAAATCATATGAGGAAGAAAGTTGGGACAAACTGTCTCACTATTTTTGTTGGGAAAGACCACTGTTTTATTTTGACATAGGTCACCGAGACACAGGAGGCAATTTTCATGCAGAAGTATTTCCTTGAGTCAGTATAAATGGAGCAAAGAAAATGCATGAAATACAAAATGTTCTTTAAATGTTCAGATTTGTTGAGTTCCACTGTGAAACTTTTATATTAGAACGTTTGAACGAAATTGTAATTACCTATCTTAACATCATAACTTTATATCTTTGAAAAGGTTAAAAATGATTGTTCAGTAACTAAAAACCTGGATTTTTCCAAAATTGAGTTTTTTGCCCTGCTGCAGACATGAAATGAACTATTATGTGATTATTACATATAATAAATTATATTATAGAAATTTTAAGACACAAATCTAAAGGTATGGTTTATAATTTTCTTGTTAGGTGATAAAACAGGAAGAACTTGGCAAGGATCTCTTTGATTGTACTTTGTATGTTCTATTGAAATATGATGATTTTAATGCTGACAAGCACCTGGCTCTTGAAGAATTTTATAGAGCATTCCGTGAGTACAAGATTCATTCTCCAATTTCCCTTTGTTCTTTTTCCTGTTGCTTTACACAATATGGTCTATTTGCTTGCTCTCATAGTACAAGCTGTTTCTTAAGAAAAATTATATAATTTAGTGAATTTAAGTTTCAAGTTGTATTGAAACATATGAAAAAGCTAAGGGATTCAGTAGTTCTGAAATGAACAGTTAGAAATATTTGATAACCACGAATATCATCAATTCTCATTGATTATAGTTTAAGACATTAGTTCCTCAATGCTGCTTTCAAGGTTATTTTAGAGCAGGAGGAGCTTTTGACTAGTTGTCACCATGTATCAAAAACAATTATTTACACACTCAAATATTTTAACTTCATTGGGAAACCAAAATGGATTAACAGATGTAGTTTGAGTGTATTTGAAGGGCAATGATTGGCATTAGAATCAAGAGTTATATTTTTATTAAGGTATTTTGGAAAAATTGATACATGTTTGAATTGCCGAAGTGTGTCTTCAGAGTGACTAAATGTATTTTTTAGAACAGTCATAAAGATGACTTGATTAACCAAAATTACTTATCAGGTTATTCTTTAAAAATAATTCAAAGAGGCCGCTAATGGGTGCCTTATGCCTGTAATCCCGGCACTTTGGGAGGCTGAGGTGGGTGGATCACCTGAGGTCAGGAGTTCAAGACCAGCCTGGCTAACATGGTGAAACCTCGTCTCTACTAAACATACAAAAATTAGCTGGGTGTGGTGCTGCGCGCCTGTAATCCCAGCTACTCAGGAGGCTGAGGCCGGAGAATCACTTGAACCCGGGGGCGGAGGTTGCAGTGAGCCAAGATGGCGCCATTGCAGTCCAGCCTGGGTGACAGAGCAAGACTCCATGGCAATAATATTAATAATAATAGTAAAATAATTGAAAGAGAAAGGACTAAGAAACAATAAACAAAAAACAAGGATTTAGGAGCTACGTGTAAAAAGAAAGAAAGACAAAGTAAATTTATTAGTTGGTATTAGAAAATCACCAAAGAAGGAAAATTAAACAGGACTCAGTTTAATTCAGAACTTGAAACCAAAATTTCCATTTTTTTTTCAGAAAAGATAGGAAGTAGAATACGTACTTGTGTAAAAAGGTCTTTTTTGAATTATGCCCCTGACTTTTAGCCATTTATCAGCTGTCTGATGTTGGAGAAGTTATTTAAATGTATTTTTCTTCTTAAAAATTCATGTAAATAAAGATAATTTTCTTACTGCATGATAATTTTTATTAAAACACTGTATTATATTTTATGTGATAATTTAAGCAAAATAATATATGAAAAAAGTTGTAGCTTATAAATTTTTAAATCACGATAAAAATACGCTCTTTGGATATGGTTAAGTTGTATTTTCACTTTAAGTTACTAGGCAGAATGCAACACAGGATGATCCGGTAAACTGTTAGTTCTTTAGAAGGGTGTTGTTAGATTAGCTACTTTTCAAAAATGATAAAATGAAAGCAGCATTGGCAGGGCGCAGTGGCTCATGCCTGTAATCCCAGCACTTTGGGAGGCTGAGGTGGGCGGATCACCTAAGGTCAGGAGTTTGAGACCAGCCTGGACAACATGGAGAAACCCCATCTCTACTAAAAATACAAAAATTAGTCGGGCTTGGTGGCAGGCGCCTGTAATCCCAGCTACTCGGGACGCTGAGGCAGGAGAATCGGTTGAACCCAGGAGGCAAAGGTTGAAGTGAGCCAAGATCACGCAATTGCACTCCAGCCTAAACAACAGAGTGAGACTCTGTCTCCAAAAAATAAAAAAATAAAAAGAACACAGCATTATTATTCTACTTTATATGAAGGAGGTGAAATACACAGAAATTAACAAATAGGTGGCTGAGTTTCTAATCAAACTCATGTTGACCTAATTATGAAGTCTATGTGTTTTTCCCTATGCTTCCTGCTGTAGTGGGCATTCTTTTGTGTACTCATGGTGGCAAGGTAACAGGGAGAAAATGTGGTTTGTCAGGGAAAAACTTATGTTTACATATAATAATGTGTGTGTGTGTGTGTGTGTGCATATGTCGGTATGAATGATACTATCATATAAGATAGAAGGAAATAGGTGTTATTTACAAAGCCTACAAAATATTAAGTAAGTTGAAAATACGATATTTAGTTTTGGAAATCAGGGATACCTTATGAAGGTGGTGGAAATTAAATAACTAAATTAATCTTAAGGACAAGTGAATTTAAACTTTTGGAGATGAGCAAAGGGTAGTAGATAGAAAGAATAACATAAATAAAAAGTCAGATACTTGACATATTAGGGCATTTAGAAAAACCTGGCCCAACTGCATTATCTGTTGCAACCTGAAATTTTATGAAAATGTAGAAATTATTTTGGGCATTTTACTAAATAGTTTTAATAAATAAGCAGTCTAATCTCCTAACCACTACCTCCATCTCTCAATAGAAAGATACATAGACTTGACTAACAGAAGTAGGCAACTTCTACAGCCATGCTTGGAAATAATTTCAATCGTATATAGTTTACCCAGCATCAACAAGAGTATTAAATGGATATGTTTGTGTAAGATATTTATTCAAAATACAGTTATTGTTGGTGGTGCAACAGTGGAAGAGAAACAATAGAAATATGTGAATGAGTAATCTGTTATTTTTATGATAGCCAGCAAAGACACTGAAAAGCAATCCCTGGCCCTATCAGTAAAAATAATTTTGCCTAAAATACTACTGCTTGCACCTGTCAAGGGGAAAAATAGTACTGCGTTTTGGGATGTAATTTGATGTTGCTAAAGAAAACAAGGTACATCAGTGCATCGTCCTTATAAATAACATTTTACAAGTCAGAAATCTAAATAATCAATAAAAAGTTTTAATAAAGATATAGTAAAACAGATTACACATAAAAGTACTAGGGAATATTGAATTTGGATAGAAGGAAATATATATGGGTTTCATTAACTATTAGAAAGTAGTATGTTAAAAAATTTTATGGAAATTGTTTGTAGTAAATACAATGAATTTAGTGAATATAGTAATGATTCTGCCATTAGGTCAAATTTATGTATAATACAAAGGGTCTACATTTTTAATAGTCATAAAGAGACGTTAGTTGGGTAATGAAATTGCTTGGCAATCAGCAATCATGAGATAATTTTTTCTTTTTAGATAATCAAAACTATCCTATAACAATGATAAAATGTTGTTCACAACATCATTTAGTGGAAATAATGTTTTTTCTAAGTAATGCTGCAATTACGGGAAATATTTCCATATTCTTTTTGGTGTCACCAAGCAAACTTCTTGTAAGGTATTACATTTTCAGTGCTTCACCCTTATTTAAACTAGGCGTCAAGCTATATAATGATCCCTCAGAGATACAGAACTGACCTGTGTGGATTGTATCTGCATTAGTGAGAAGATATTTATACTTTAATGAGAATTATAAATACTTATCGATTTCTTTATCTCTCTCCATAAAATTACCTGATAATTAAATCCACTTGGGTTTTGTGAAGTTTAGTGACAGGCTTTGTATAATGACATGATTTTAGAAAATTGTAAAATACTAAGGTATCATGAATAAAAAATGTATAACACTAATGGGAAAAGAAATCTATTCAAAAATCATGTATTATGTACCTTTGTGTATAGGGTGTTGTGATAGTCAAAGCTACTTACAAAGATAGGTTTCCTTTCCCCTAGGAATATATAATCTCAGACAGACAGTGATCAAAATGACAGATGTATTAAGACTAAAAAGGAACCATTTTTCCACATCCAGGATGCCTTCCTCCACATACTTTATAAAAAGAAGCTCAGAAAGCTAGAAAAGCCTTAAGTGAATATCCAGAGGGATAAACTAAGGCAGAAGAAGTTAGAAATCTATCATGATTCATTAATTGTTTTCTGGTCGATACAAAGGTAAACAGACTTCCTGAGTTCCAGGTTCTTTCTCTCTGCCATGGTATAAAATGGAAGATAGTAAAGGGTAATCCGCAAACAGGAAAAAGTTAATGGTAAAAAAAATAGCATATTATCAAGTGTTTTTATATTATTGCAGTGTTATTCCAGTAGACATAATGTGTTTTTCAAAAATACCTTTTTTCTTTGTGGATTAGATAAGTTATTTTAATATTTTATCATAGGTATTGAATGGTCAATTATTTAATTTTTCTTCATAATTTTTAGTATTGTTAATAATTTGATTTTTACTAACATATTTAAAATAAATCCTTATTGTGTGCTTCAAGTATTTCATATCATGCCTTGTCTGATTAACAGACTTGGAAAGCTATTTAATAGGATCCAATAAATAATAAGTTTAGTGACATACTTTTGAATATAGAGAGGAAATACCAAATTCTCTGGTAAGGTAGTGTACATCCTTCACCCTGGATTTTGTTGTCATGAGTATATTCAGTAAAGTGTGTTCATTTTCCAGGACAAAAGTTTCTCGTAGAATTAAAAATGAGTTAATAGTGCTATTATTCTATACCAAGTGCTAAATATTTCATTGTCTTCCAATTCAAATTTAATCAAATTATAACATTAAGTATGATTTGCATGGAATACTATACTTCTGATTTAAATCTGTCAGTAAATATAAGCGATTTGCCATCAGACAAGATAACCATACACTAATTGAGGCATTTAACTTCAGAAGTGATGCTCAAATAAATGTCTTTATTTGCTTAGGTTATGAAACTCAATTGAAATGATGAAGTGATGTTATATGCTTATTGATTTTAGAAATGAGTTACTTCATTTAGAGTTTCTAGATAACCAAGAATGGTATAAATGACTACCCAGAGATAGAATTTTTGTTCTGAAACTGCTTCCTATGTACTTCATTTCCTGAGTTAAATAATAAATTACTTTGACTGTAGTACTAAACCTTAAAATTGTGTGAAATTTTATGAGGATTATGAACTTTTAAAACTGTATGAGACGTTCTGGTAAATGTGATAGATTTTTGAAGTGTTACTAAACTGTTCTAAGTTGTAGCTCCCAAAACCATATACATATATATGTACTTTAAGATGTGTATGTATTTTTGTGTGTTCAACTTCTAATGTCACACTTTTAAAAATTTCTATTAATTCAACATGATCTTTATATGTACAAATATCCAAAAGAAGGTACGTTTCTAGCAGGCATAAAAATAATTAAGTTTTTGTCAGTAAAACACATCAACTGTGAACATCATATTAACACTAATTGTGTAATAGCTCTATTGTTCTTTAAAAGAGGTAACTATGATTCTAAAATTCTAAAATATTAAAAAAAATTTAAATCACCTAATTATTAACTTTTATATTGAAAATGTCATCACTCTATATGAAACAGTTCTTTTTTTTTTTTTTTTTTTTAATTGAGACGGTGTCTTGCTCTGTCGCCCAGGCTGGAGTGCAGTGGCGCGATCTCGGCTCACTGCAAGCTCCGCCTCCCGGGTTCACACCATTCTCCTGCCTCAGCCTCCGGAGTAGCTGGGACTACAGGCGCCAGCCACCACGCCCGGCTAATTTTTTGCATTTTTAGTAGAGAGGGGGTTTCACCGTGATAGCCAGGACGGTCTCGATCTCCCGACCTCATAATCCACCCGCCTCGGCCTCCCAAAGTGCTGGGATTGCAGGCGTGAGCCACCGCGCCTGGCCGAAACAGTTCTTAATGCAATATAGATTTGTTAATGACATTATGAGGAAAATAGAACTCATTCTCCAGGGAAAGCAGAACTGCTACACTAAAATATTACTTATCGAAAGCTTCTAATAATTAGAACAATAAAAATGAATATTACATTAGCATTCATAGATATTAGATCATTAGTATATAAAAACCTTTGTTTGAGAAAAATAGCAGAGTTTAGTGAACAAAATTAAGAATGTTGCACTAATATAGGCTAAAAGTGATGACGGGGCCAGAACCAAAGAAGCAACAGTAAAAATGCAGGAATGTGGCCATATCTGAGAAATAACTTATGAACAGAATTAACTTGAATTGGTGAGTGATTACATATACATGACAGGGAGAGGACTTGAGTCAAGGATAATGCCCAAATTTCTAGCTTGCCTACTAAGGTGAATGGTGTTTCTGTTTATTAAAGCAGGGGTCACGGGAAGAGATGCAAATTTAGGGAAAGACATTGAGTTAAATTTTGGAAATGTTGGTATATTTTTAAAAAATACACAAACTTCTGTTTGGAGAATATTGTGGTTCAAGTAGGTGACCTCAGCCAGAAATAAAGATAGGGAATATGTAGGTAGAAACTGAAGATCTGTCAGAAGGTTGGGTCATTCAAGATGAGCAAGTAAAGAGAGAAAGAATGAGCAAAAGTGGAGGACTTCAGAACCGTCTTAGTGGATATCATAACAAAATATGTTAGACAGGTGGCTTCAACAATGGAAATTTATTTCTCATAGTTCTTGAGATGGGGAAGTCTAGCATCAAGGTACCAGCCAATGCAGTGTCTGGTGAGGGCTGTCTTCCTGGCTTATAAACTAATGCCCGCCTTCTTGCTGCATTGTCACCAAAGAGAGAGAACGCTGTCTGGTGTCTCATAAGGACAAAAAACCTATCAGATTAGGACCCACCCTAAAGACCTCATTAAACCTTAACGTTATTTTAGGCCCTATCTCCAAATATAGTCACATTGAGGGTTAGGGCATTAACATATGAAGTTGGAGGAGACACAATTCAGTCCATACCAGAATTAAAACTGAAATGCATTTTAACAGGTGGTGTCCAAAGCAGGGCACCACCATGACATTTTACTAAGGAAGAATTGATGAACATTTTTCAAAGCTGAATCCAAGGGAAAAAAAAGTGAAGTCTTCTTGGCCACTAGATTTGGCAGAAAGGAACTTACTAGTAACTCTGGTCATGAGACTTTCAATATAGATGTAAGGGCAGAAGCAAAAGTGCTGATGATTGAGAGGTTGGATGTAAGAAAACTGAAAAATAATAATGCTGGATAAAGAAGCAGAACATATAAGCATCCATCAAGTATGAATATATTTAGATAAAATACAAAACAGCTAAAACTCCTCTATGATTTTAGAATTAATATGATGGTAGCCTTTGCGAGAAAGGAAAAGGAATGGGATGGAAACATCAGGTCATCTATGGTGCTGGAAACATTCCATCTATCTATCTATCTATCTATCTATCTATCTATCTATCTATCTATCTGTCCATCTATCATCTGTCTATATTTAACATCTATAGTGGTTTCACAGGCATCCTTACTTTGTTCAAGTGTACTGATTTATACATCATAATGTGTCACTATTTTGTATCTCTGCTATTTAAAAAATAAAACAACAAAGTTTACCAGAGCAACTGAATTCACCTCTGGCCTAGAGCTCATGAATTATCTCTGAAAGACTAAACCTTGCATTCAAACACAAAGGCATTGATAATTCTAAGCTTACCTTGATTTGGGAATCATTGTGTTATATAATGTTATAGCTACTATAAAATAATCCCATATATACAGATCATTATAATATGAAACCTTGCAGCAACTTAATCACCTGACATATTTGGAGAATAATTCCTCTATTACATGCTAGCATTACAAAATTAATAATGTGCATTTTAGTTTGTATGATCATCCTTTTTTTTTCTTTTTTTTTGAGACAAGTTCTCCCTCTGTCACCCAGGCTGGAGTGCAGTGACACTATCATAGCTCACTGCAGCCTTGAGCTCCTGGGCTCAAGCAATCCTCCCATTTCACCCTCCGAAGTAGTTAAGGCTACAAGAGTGTGCCACCTCATTTGGCTAATTTATTTATTTATTTTTTTAGTAGAGATGGGACTTTGCTATGTTGCCCAGCCTGGTCTCAAACTCTTACCTTCAAGTGAGCCTCCCAAAGTGCTGGGATTACAAGTGTGAGTCCCTGTGCCAGGGCTGATTATAAAACATTTTATGTTAGAGTTCATAGCTATCCCCTGGCTATTTTGGGAAATACCACTCAGCACCATTTCCTTGCTTTCTAGTCTGTGTTGCTGTTGCTATACGGGTTCTTAGGGAAAGGATTTTCCAAAATGATTGCTGAGACCCAGCCTATAAACATGTATTCAAAAAGGACAGTTTTTTGCTCCTAAACATAGTAAATTATTTTTATACACCAAGTGTAATGGAAAGAGAGAAAGAGAAGCAATACCAATTTCAACTGTATTTTTTTTTAAGTCTTAGGTTTTTCCCATGGTAAAATAACTCCGTCCTTCATTTTGTCCTTTAATGTCCCATTTGTAAGATTACCTTAATGGGATACCACTATTGTGCCTTTAGGGTTCTTTTTTTCACCTATAGTATCTGGCATTCTTCACACTCTGATCTCTAACTGG
Organism: Homo sapiens; assembly: GCF_000001405.40. NCBI lineage: Eukaryota > Metazoa > Chordata > Mammalia > Primates > Hominidae > Homo > Homo sapiens. The sequence goes on along the minus strand of NC_000004.12, from coordinate 161,751,066 downwards.
TACATTTTGCTTGCTAACATAATGATTTATAATCCTAAAAGCAGACACAATTAGACAGTTCAAGTGAAACATTTATCATATTTATTTTTTAAGTATTTGCTTTTTTTGTCATACAAATATTAATAGAGTAAGGTCTTTTCTGACTCTAAGTGTAATTGCAGTGCAATAAAATGAGAATTGACCAATCATTCTTATTTTCCACACTGTACCATATATTGTCAGTCATAGCTTAGTGCATCTAACCTAAAATTTCTTTCCACTGATTACAGTATAGTAATCTTAGGTAGGATTTGCCTAAGGATTATGTTTTTCAGACCTTTTTAGATTCCACATATAAGTGAGACCATACAGAAATTTTTTAAAATGCAAATGAATATCATCTTTTAATGGCTGCCATTGTTTGAAAATCATAATTTTTAAAATTATGAAGGTAACACTCTATGTATTATCATGCCCAAACTATCACTTTTATACTTAGAGAAGCACTGTCTAATGAAACATAATATAAACAAAAAATGCTGGCCATCCTAATATTTTGAAATTTTCTAGCAGTCACGTTAAAAAAAGAAAAATCAGGCAAAATTGATTTTAATAACATTTTATTTACTTAAACACGTCCAAAATATTATTATCATACCAATATGAGCATTAAGTGTATATTATTCATTCTTTTTTCTTACCAAGTCTTTGAAACCTGGTGTATATTTTACATTATTACAGTACAGCATATCTCAATTGGATAAGCCAAATGTTCAATAGCCACATGTAGTTAATTACTGGCTACCCTCTTGGACAGTGTAACATTAGAGTGTCAAATTATAATGACTTCTCTATCTAAAATTTTATTCCAAGTATTTTAAATATGAATTTAAGTGCAAATTCCATTTGTACATAAATCACATGGTGTGAACTTTGTATTAATATTTACTTTTCAGAAATTCAAAAAAACATATACTAAAATGAATGTGATTTCATCTAAGGGACAAACATACTCGTATATATTCTCAACATAAATAGAATATTTACTTTAGAAAGAGTTACATCAAATGTATTTATCGTATTGTATTTTTTGGATTCAGAGATGTGTTTGTCACATGGATATATGCTGTAATGGTGGGGACTGGGCTTCTAATGTACCCGTTACCCAAAGGGAAGATTTTACCAAATAAGTAATTTTTCAACTCTCACTCCCCTCACACCCTCCCTTTTTTGGAGTCCCCAGAGCCTATTATTTTTATTATTATTTATTTATTTATTTTTATTTTTATTTTTTTTTTGACGGAGTCTCGCTCTGTCGCCCAGGCTGGAGTGCAGTGGCACAATCTTGGCTCACTGCAAGCTCCGCCTGTCGGGTTCACGCCATTCTCCTGCCTCAGCCTCCCGAGTAGCTGGGACTACAGGCCCCTGCCACCATGCCCGGCTATTGTATTTTTAGTAGAGATGGGGTTTCACCGTGTTAGCTAGGATGGTCTTGATCTCCTGACCTCGGGATCCGCCCGCCTCAGCCTCCCGAAGTGCTGGGATTACAGGCGTGAGCCACCGCGCCGGGCCTATTATCTTTCTCTTTATGTCCATGTGTATCCATTGTTTAGCTCTCACTTATAAATGAGAACATGTGATACATGATTTTCTGCTTCTGTGTTAGTTTGCTTATGATAATGGCATCCAACTTCATCCATGTTGCTGCAGAGGACTTGATTTCATTCATTTTTATGAAATACTGCATAGTATTTCACGGTATATATGTACCACATTTTTTTAAATCCAGTCAACCATTGGAGGACATTCAGGTTGACTCCATGACTTTGCTATTGTGAATAGTGCTGCAATAAACATAGGAATGCAGGTGTCTTTTCAATATAATGATTTCCTTTCTTTTGGGTAGATAGATACCCAGTAGTGGGGTTGATGGGTCAAATGGTAGTTCTACTTTTAGTTCTTTGAAGTATCTCCATACTGCTTTCCATAGTGGTTGAACTAATTTACATCCCCACCAACACTGTATAAGTGTTCCCTTTCCTCTGCATCCATGCCAACATCTTGTTTTTTGACTTTTTAGTAATAGCCATTCTGACTGGTGTAAGATGGTATTTTATTGTGGTTTTAATTTGCATTTATCCGATGCTTAGTGATGTTAAACATTTTTTCATGTATTTTTTTTTGCCACTTGTATGTCTTCTTTTGAGAAACATTTTTCATGTCCTTTGTCGAGTTCAATAAAATGTATTTAATGCCACCATACATAAGTGTTTTTCAAATGCCCTTATTGATGGTCATTTAATCATACATCTTCTGTCCATAGTTAGTACCTTAAAAATAGCTTTTCTAATTTTTAAAATAATCTTATTTTAGTAACTAATGACTCATGTCTTTCCTTTCCTTAAAAGAAATTCGCCAATCGTGTAAGTCTTTTCATGTGAGATACTGTTCAGTCTGAGAAAAAAAAAAAAAAAAAAAAAACGTGCTTCCCCTTTGCATTATTTCAGTCCAGCAATTAACAGTGAAACAGCTTTAGGGAGCTTGTACAACCTTATATACCACATGGATTAATGTTTTACCTTCCACGTTTTGAAGTTTTACAAATAGCTCTAGAATATTGTTACCTCTGAGAACTCTAGGGAAATTACTATGATACATGGAATGTAATAATTATTTAAAGGTTTGAAAAATGCTAAAAAAACTTTTTCAGGATCATCACAGTAAAAATAAATATATGTACATATGTACATATTTATGTTTAAAAAGGTATGTGCAAAATACTTTAACATGTCATAGTAATTCAGTGCATGATACTTTTTGTGGCAATTTCTTTTATAGGCATTTCAAAAACAGTAACAAATCTGTTTTTAACATTTTTACAAGGAGCAGAATAATTTGTTAATGCACATCCATCTTTATACTTTTATACAAGTAATTAGTTTGATGATTATTAGCTATTTATTGCATGTATGCCTGATACCACTCATTAGTACTCATCAATGTTTTGATTGTTTTATTCGATTTTGTTAAATAACAAAGTTGAATTTCTTAAGGATATTATATTATACATTCTTTTTAAATTTATAATCTACCTCTATCCATATAGTGTTAGCACCATCTACCATTGTTATCATCCTTAGTAAATTTGGAAATAATTTTTTAATGATAAAAAGTAAATTTATGTTAAATTTCCAATATATATTTGCTATATCCTTAGGTAACAATTAAAAATAGATTGAAGTTAAATAAACATCAACAAACATAGAAACAAAGTGTGTACACTAAGTGCTGTGTAGCTGCCTGAGTGAGGATTTTGTTAGGGCCTGAGTGCTGCATATCATCTGCAATGCACTCATTGTAAAATGTGTCCTTCCTAGTGGGAACTGTTGCTATAACAAGGAAGGAAACTACAGTAAACTTGTTACTAATCATTCAAGTAAGGTAAACAGACCCTAGTTGTTGCCCCCACCATATGGGACAAACAAATAGCATCTATGTTTAAAGCTTTACAGAAGTTGCAGATTACAAATCACATTGAGAGGATATGCACATTTGCAGGTACCGTCTAGAGAACTTTGCAAGATTACCCTCTTTCTTTTCAGTGTTGCTTAATTAGCATTAATGATAATAACACTTTATTGAATAAACAAGTAAATCAGGCATTTTAGTATATGGCATATTGTACTTGTCTACTCCAAAAGAAGGAAACTTTTCAAATAAAAAATACACAAAGTATGTTGGAAAGGTGGGGAGAGATTGAAGAGAGAAGAAAGCCAGGCAAAGAAGAATAAATGTGGTATATTTTATGTAAGTATTTTGTAGCTTAAAATTTATCAGCTGTGCAATGATTCACTTATGTAATTTTACCTATTTAGATTAATATTTCAAGTCACATTTAATTTCATAGTCAACAATCAACATTTGTTATGTTCTTATTACATGACATTATTAAGGCTAGTTACTACAAATACAAAAATGGATGAGAAATCTTTTCTGTTATTTAGGAAATTAAACAGTAAAAGGCAATTACAATATAGTATCTCAAGGGGCAATGGAAAAAGACCACCCACAGGGATGAATTCTAAGCAGAGATCACTTTTGAATTACATACGCCGCTGAATAAGAGTCCTTGGGGACAATATCCAAGAGGACAGGTGCTTTTCTGCTATGGGGGGCCCATCAGCAAAGCCAAAAGTGTGGGAAATTGCAAGCATTTGGGGGACTGGGGGAGACAAAAGTGCAAACTAGAAATTAGTGAAAAAAGAGGCTTAGGAGGAAGGGGTTAGAGTTTGAAACTTAGTGAACATAATAATGAGAAATTGGATAATTCATGTAGGTATAGGCAAGACACCAAAAGTGACACAGGGATTGTAATTTACATTTGAGAGGTCATTTATGAAACTGAGTGCAAAATGCCTTAAGAAATAAGATGAGAAGCAGAAAGAAATGTAGATAGTGCAATCAGTGGTATTTTGGGGTCAATGATTTCATTTTCAAGAACTCTGCTATCATGTTGATGTCACATTGGTAACCTGAAATTGGCCCATGGTGGGAACCTTTACAGCACAGATATTGTCAAATGCTACAGTCAAGCCCCTTACCCCAACCCATTACCACTACAGCTTAGAGAGCTGGCTTGTAAACATTCACCAGGGCACTACTAACTCAGGCTGCAATTCTCTAAGTGATAAGTTTTGAGGGCTTGAACAAGTGGAGTTGGGTAAATCAGAAGTTATGGATTTAAGGAATATTAGGGGAAAAGATCCAACAAAATTGGTGATGGATAAGGCTAACAATTTCTAGAAAAGATTCTTAGAATATTTATATTGTGCAATCCAAAATAAATTCAAAGTTAGTAATAATCCTGTCAACAAATTTGTTGTGACTTTTGAGGGTGCACCTAAATAAATTGGTGACAACTTCAAACCTCAAATTAAAAAAAAAAATCACACTATCTCCAGAAATTTTATTTAACAATGTATTGTAGCAAAAATAATTTATATATGTGATGGGATAGATTTTGGTAAATAAAATAATTTCTGATGAATTTGTTAAAAACTTTCTGAGCTACTCAAGGATAAAAAATTGAACTTGTCTAAAGTTTTAAAGTTAAAATTTAACATTTGTTTTTTACTGATGAAAAACTTAGATTAAAAGAATATCAAAGTTAGTTGAGCAAACTAAATATTCGAGCCTGTAGTCATGTTTAATGGTGTATGTACGACTCATATTTCCATTGACCATAATTCATTTTATTATAATCATATTTTGTAAGAACTATCTATATTAGCATTCTGAAAATGACATAGGTGACAGCTCAACATGTTTTTATGATTACACATTTGCTAGGATATATAAAATGGTAACACTTCTGAGATCAGGAATTTATCTTATTGCTACAATGAGTGATTTTTTTTTTTTACTTATAGTTTGACACATTTCATTTAGAAAGAATATAATTTTTGTGGAGCCCCATCAAAAGTGTAGGTCCTTTTCCTGCTCTTTGTAGACATTTTACAGTCAACTAAAACTGTGTAATTAAATATTTTAACATCTTTTAAATATGTTTAAACAACAGGTGAAAATGCTATATACCCCACTGCCTATATATTGCACTGTTGTTATCACTCCATATTAAACAAATTTATCCTAATATGATGTTAGAAAAAGATTTTGTATTAGCACTGTGTTTCTGGTATTTATTTCTAAGAAAGTAGCACATTTTTGTATATAGTTACAGATGTACAAAATAAACAATGCCAGTAAAAGATTTTTATATGAGATCACACTGCCTCTTTCATCTGTGTTTTCTAATCCTTTGAGGTGTACGAATATTTTTAAATATTGATTTCAAACTGAACTCATCAAGTTACTACTTGCTGAAATATTAGAATATTTAAGGGCTTTTTTAATAGTTTATGGAGATAGTGGGACTTATCAGCTTCAATCAAGATTGTTTCCCCAAAGCCAGGCTATATTATCACTGTGTTTATTTTTTGTTGTTGTTTTATTTTTTTTATTTATTTATTTTGCCTTTTTAGGAAAGTATTTCTTTTTTTTTTCCTCCGGAAACTACTCACTTTTGCTTCTGGATCCGATAAAGCAGAATAAATTGATCTGAGATTTCCTATCCCTAAAACTAATTTTATAATTTGTATTACATGGCCTTTTACCATTTTTCAATGCATAGACAGCTACTGAAAAACTACTAATACCTGAAAGCATTAAAATTTGGTTCTATATTATGTAACTGTCACCACATAAATAAAATATCAATTAGGAAATTGTCTTCACATTTGCATGATAATATAATTCTAAAAGTGTTAGTTTGAACCGAAAAAAAAAGGTTTCTGAACAATTTTATCAGGCTTTTCCTCTGACTTTAGCTGAGACATGATTTCAGGGTGTTGAGAACTGATCTATGCCAATTTGGTCATTAAGAGCCATTAAGTTCCTTTTAGTGACTATTAGAGACTTTAGCTAGTTAGCAGTGGATGAATTCCTTGTCACATCCCCAACAGAAACTGCTTCTGCTGCCAGGTGGTATTATATGAATATTTATATATGGTAGAATTAGGTGTAAGACTTGCCTTTCTCATTTACCACACCTTCGTAAATGTATAGACATAAAATTAGGGAAAGATGTATACCACTATTGGTGCTAAGCCATCTTATAGTAAGTCATAGAGAATATAATTCAACATCATAACAATGTGAGGATGGTACAACTCATCTCAGCTTTGGCTTTACCAGTTCACTGGGCCCTGAAATCTATGTATAAGTGTTGAATGTATAATTATATCATAATCATACATTTGTGGTGCAGATAGATTTCTTAAGTTAGCTGGACGGGAGCCTCAGAGAATGTTACTGTCCAAAAAAGTCGTCATAGTGATGTGCTCATTCCTTATGCATCCCTGACCATACATACGTTCAGTATTCTTGCTTGTAGTGTGCACAAAGCATCTATCTTTGAAAAAAACAGGATGATTTAAAAAAAAACACCTTCTGTTGTTCATGTTCTTGTAATAGTGTTAGAATTTGCAACTGGTTGAGCATAACTGATTAAATGTTTCTGAACTTGTCAGCAATCTAGCAAGTAAACTCACATATTGAATTCTACTAGAAGGAAGAGTGCAAGCATATTTGAATCTAAAAATTCTGCTACATTTTGTTTAAAATAGGTTTCAGCTAAAACACGATTGCAGATGCAACTGCATAATTCTTCCTGTTGAAAACTTGTGAAGCTTATTATACTCATCTCTCAGCTTAAAATGATCTGTGAATACATAATTTTATAACCAAAGTATATTCATATTATTTTTAAATTTGTAAGCATTTCTGATCTATGCCAATTTTTTATTTGTAAGCATTTTATGGAGAAAGAAGCTGCAAATGTGGCAGATTTAAAATATATCTGCAAGACTTAGTATTGTTAAAATAACAATACCATTCAATGTAATCTACAGATTAAATGCAATCCCTATCAATATCCTAATAGTGTTTTTTCAGAAATAGAAAAAAAAACTAAAGTTCATATGGAATCGCATGGAGTCCTACATAGCCAAAACAATCTTGACAAAAGAAAAGCAAAGATGGAGGGGATGTCATTCTTTCTTATTTTAAAGCTTAGTACAAAGCCATTAAAATCAAAACAGTATGGTACTGGCACTAAAACATATGTAGACCAATGGAATGGAATAGAAGATAAAAGAGATTCTAGAACTAAACCTTCCTATACATTGTCTAACAGTTTTCAACAAGAGTCCCAAAACCATTCAATGGAGAAATAACAGTCTTTTCAACAACTAGTGCTGGGAAAACTGAATATCCATTTGCCTCCAAAACCAAAAACAAAACCCTTAAAAATAGATCAATGACCAAAAAGTAAGAGCTGAATCTATAAAAGTCAGAAGAAAACATAGGAGGAACTCTTCATAACATTGGCTTTGGTAATGTTTTATGGGCTATAACAACAAAAACACAGGTAAAAAAATAAAATATAGATACATTAGACTTCATCAAAATTTAGAACTTTCATGCATCAAAGAACACTATCAACAGAGTGAAAAGACCACCCAAGGAATGGTAGGAAACTGCAAATCATCTACATAACAGATTAATATAAAAATTGGCAAGGTAGTTGGATAGATTTTTTTTTCAAAGATATACGAATATCTGCATTTTATATATTTAAAGATACATCAATATATTCTTTGAATGTACTTTTTGGTCATCTGCCAAAGAAGATGGCCATCGGCTTTTATTGTTATTTTTTCTATTTCTGCAAAAACACCATTAGGATATTTTAGGATATTTGAAATAGGTTTCTGCTAAAATATGATAGCAGATGCAACTGCATGATTGTTCATGTTGAAAAGTTGTGAATCTTATCATACTCATCCACTAGTCTCTTCAACCCATCCTTGGCCCACTGGACACTGTCACATGGATTCTCTTCTGGCGCGTCACTGCCATTTGTTCAAACCTAAACTCACTGTTTGCCACATGTCAAAGGCTACTCATATTTCTGTTTTTCTAACTGAGAGCGTTACATTACCCTATTTATACCCAGTTGCTACAGCAATAATAATATTTTAAAAAATTCTCTCCCTTGCCTTCATTTCTGGAGGAATGAAAAGTACATCTTGAATCGTTCCCCTAAACAATTTAAAAACTGGTCCCCTCTCTCTGTCCTCAATATGAGTCTTCATAGTTCAGCCCAGCATCATTTCTAGATAATAATGCAGCTTTGTACATGATCCCGCTGCATTCATTGTTGTTGACTCTTAATCCAGTCCCTTTACAGGGCAGCAAGAATATCCTTCCTAAAATGCAAAGCTCAACCTGAAATCATTTTAATGGTCCTTCACTCCCCTCAGGATATCAAATGGACCCTCCTTAACAAGTTTTCTCTCAAATAACTAGTAGTTTATTTCCTCCGTTGTTTTATTTGCATTGTTTTTTCTTTTTTTTTACTCACAAACTACAGGCTTGCTATACCAAAGTATTATCCAAAAATGCCCCATTCCTTCTTGCTTCTTGATCTTTGTACCAGCAGTTTACTCACCTTAAGTCATAACACTAACTCACACTTACCATAAGACACATTCTTCCTTCTTATTTCATGTCCTTTCTAGTCTCTAGGCTGCGTTTAATGGACTTGCCTACTTATTAAAAAATCATACTTCTTGGGCAACGTGGTGAAACCGTCTCTACTAAAATACAAAAAATTAGCCTGGCGTGGCAGTGTGTGCCTGTAGTCCCAGCTACTCAGGGGGCTGAGGCAGGAGAATTGCTTGAAACCGGGAGGCGAACGTTGCAGTGAGCCAAGACCGTGCCACTGCGTTCCAGCCTGGGCGACAGAGTGAGACTCCACCTCCAAAAAAAAAAAAAAAAAAAAAAATCATACTTCTCCACTCCATCACTTACCACAGTCTTTTGTAATTTCCTGTGTATTTTGCTTCATTCTTCATTAGGTTGGAGGATTCCTTAGATCTGGAATGCAATCTGTATTCACTCTTAGTTGCTCCCATAATAAATTTCTACCTTGGCTTAAAGCAACACTAAGTTATTAACTTAGAGGCCTTTAGGTCAGAATAAGGTAAAAAATCAAGGAGTCAGTACCAGGGCTGCGTTCAGCTTCTAGAGGCCACCACAGAATTACTTGGCTCAACCCTCTACCTTTAAAACCAGTAACATTGTGCCAAGTCTTCCTAAAACCACTATCTTTCCAGTTCTCTTCCTTCTGCTGCCCTCTTTCACTTGTAAGGACACTTAGGATTACATTTGACCTACCTAAATAGTCCAGAATAATCTCTCCATCTGAAGGTCAGTTAATTAGCTGTCTTAATTCTATCTGGTAAATTTAATTCCCCTTTGCCCTGTAACTGCCGTTTACAAAGATTCTGTGGACATATTTTGGTGGGGGTCATTATTCTTCCTACCACACTGCTATGGTCTGAATGTGTTTGTCTCCACCAGATTCATATGTTGAAACTTGATTATCAGTGTGATGACAATAGGAGACAGGTCTTTTGGAAGGTGATTAGATCATGTGGCAGAACCCTTATGAATGGGATTAGTGCCCTTTTTAAGGAAGTCCCAGAGAGCTGCTTTGCTGCTGTCATGTGAGAAGACATTGAGAAGGAGCATCTATGAACCAGGAAGTGGGCCCTCACCAGATGCTGAATATGTCAGCACCTTGATCTTGGAATTTGCAGCCTCCAGAGCTTTGGGAAATAAATTTCTGTTGTTTATAAGCTTCCTCATTTATGGTGTGTTGTTACCGCAGCCCAACAGACTAAGACATACACTATTTGAGTACATAATATGATCCAAATACCTATTTTATGAATGAAACAACAATCAATCACTGAATTCCAAAATATGTCAAATTTATAAGTGTAAAACTTAATGTGTGTTCAATATCTATGAAAATTATTGCACAGACATAGCTTGACCATGTGTCAATATAATGTGATATAGCATAAATAACATGGAAATTCAAAGCAAGAGATGCATTTTTGTCTCAACTATGCTTCTCACTATTCTTTCTTTGAAGGGTTTAGTTCTTGAAGAATCATGTTTTTGTTTGGACTTGCTTTTTTTTTTCTTTTATAATATGGGGGTTGAAATGGGGTCAGATATACTTATCTCATAAAAATACACTACTCAAATTAGATAGTATATAAAAATTCTCCTTAAACCTCCATAAACAATTAGAATATTGTCAATCAAATACTAAAAGCGATACTATACTATTTCAGGCCGGGCCTGGTGGCTCACACCTGTAATCCCAGCACTTTGGGAGGCCGAGGTGGGCGAATAACTTGAGGTCAGGAGTTCAAGACCAGGTTGGCCAACATGGTGAAACCCCGTCTCTACTAATAATATAAAAATTAGCCGGGCATGGTGGCACAAGTCTGTAATCCCAGCTATTCAGGAGGCTGAGGCAGGAAAATCGCTTGAACCCGGGAGGCGGAGGTTGCAGTGAGCTGAGATTGTGCCATTGCACTGCAGCCTGGGCGACAAGAGCAAAACTCTGTCTCAATAAATAAATAAATAAATAAATAAATAAATAAATAAATAGATACTATCCTATTTTGAACACATTAATTACTATCTGGGATTATTTATCCTCAAATTACCTTTTGAACTTAAATATAAGGATGCTTTAAGTTTTAGAATAGTCTACAAAAGAAACCAGATATTATCTCAACAATTTTTTTTTTTACTTCTGTGGAGTCCAATTATGCCCAGTTTTAAAAACAAGTGTATTCATCTGGCTACTCATGTTTTAAACTTGCACGAAACAGAGATAACTTTTACATATTTTGTTCTACTGCCATTCCTCCCCTCCTTTCACATTTCACTGGACATCTTACTAAGGTGTTTACCTTTGCCTTTGGGTTCTCATCCATGTGTGTTCCTAGAGTCACATTGGGCACCAAGGAGTCCCCAGTTTTTACCCTCTGCTGTATACAACTAATCCCCATATAAGACAGCTTTGTCCAAATATTTGATTCAGTGTGTAGAAAATGTGCAGTTCTACAAATGTTCTAAATTTGTGGAACATTTTACTGATAAAGAGATATAAGCAAATTGTATTAATTTGCTAGGGTTGTACCATAACAATGTATCACAGATTGGGTGGCTTGAACAACAGAAATTTGTTATCTCACAATCCCAGAGGCTAGAAATTCAAAATAAAGGTGGGTTCCTTCTGAGGCATGAGTGAAGGATCTTTTCCAGGCATCTCTCCTTGGCTTGTAGGTTGCCATCTTCATGTCCACATGGCATTCTCCTGATATGTGTGGCAAGTTTCTGTGTCCAAATTTCCCGTTTTTATTAGGAAATCATTCATATTGAATTTAGGCCCACCTTAATGACTTCATCTTAACTAATTACTTCTGCAGCAACACTGTTCTAAATAAGGACACATTCTAAAATACTGGGGATGAGAATTTCAACATATGAATTTGGGGAGGAATACGTTAAACACATAACACAAGTAGTCACATCAAACATTTTTAATAACTGAAACAGGAATTATGTGTACAAAAATAAGATAAAACAATTGTTGGAGTTTTCCTTTACAACTACTGTCTTATAAAAAATTGGACAAGAATATTTTTCTTTGTAAATTTTAGAAATAATAAAGCACTTTAAAAAGAGCTTGATTGCAATCAGTGTAATTAAGAAATTGTGCAAGTGATTTAACCAAATATGTAAATATGTGAGAATAGCCAGAAGAAACAATGAAAATGCTTTTAAGTATTATAAAAAATATGTGAATAAGCAAAGGTTTATTTTGTAGTTTAATATTTTGTTAAGCCAAACAGTTTTGATTTCCCATGCAATTTTCCAAGTATGTGAAGCATTATTATTTGAGTTTGATCAACACCAATTAATGTGGTTACCTTTCAGCTAGGTGTCTCCTTTTTATCTTTATTTAATTTGAAAAGTTTTGACATAATTCAAGCTACAGTTTGATCACAGTTTATTGTATTAATTATCCTGGTATCTGGGTCATTTTTAATCCAGCTTTTCTGATTTTTATCTGACTCTTATTTATATAGTACATTTTTTCAATTGCTTTTTTGAATGTTTTATCTGGAAGAGTGATTGAACACCCTTTCTCTATAACCATTCTTGACCTTCTTATTTTGTCATTGAGGAAAATTATCACTAATTATAGGATGAGATATTATTTTACAATTATTGAGCTAAATCATATGTATTGTAAAGGCTTTCTAGGCTTCTTAAGCCAGCACCATAAGATGGTGTATTGTTAGGATTATTTATAGGTTAATGGCTACTCCTGAGCACAAGAACTTTGTTTAATGAGCCATCTCCATTTTATTTTCTTTACGTAAAATTGACATTGTGAAGAAAATTAAGTGTTGCCCAGAAAACGTAGTTTATTAATAGTAAAAGAATATACATTCCTACTCAGTGCAAGAGGAGAAAATGTGTAACATAATTACTATTAGACAATAGTCATCCTCTTTAAGATATTGTATATATAATCACTCGGAAAAAACAGTAAAATATGAACATCCCCATTTTTATTCATAGTCTTAATTTATATGATCATCCTGCTCATTCTTTCTTCAAAAGCCCTAAAACTCGGAAAATCACTGGTCTTAAATTTTTAATTCTCAAAATGAGTAAGAATGGTTACACTGAAATACATATTTGACCATTTAAAAAATTTAAGTTGTAGATCTTATTATAAAGTAGTTGATTCAGAAAGGTCTGAAAACTGCTCCCCAACATTTTTTTTTCTTTATCTCTAAAATCTACACAATAAATGGGGGTCAACAGTGGAAGTTATACAACATAAGGAACTAAAGGTTAATGGTGTTTCTCAGTTTGGAAATGATTTACATACATAGGTTTTGCTTATTTGTGAAGGTAAACTGTATTTGTTGATTTTCCTTTCACTCTTTAAATTTAATATGAAATATGTCAAAAATAATGCATGAGAGCTACTTCATACTTGTGCTCAACTGGTGAGAAATGGGCACTAAAAGGTAGTGAATTAAGATTAATATATATTTTGAAATGCACGTTATTCTTGCAGAATAAAGTTATAAAGTAGCATAGTTGATCTAAAGAAGATAGTTGATCTTCTTTAGATCAACTATGTGGTCTTCTTCCCCACATTACGTGATCCTTCCTACTATTTCTGCTCGATTTTATAGGATCAAATTTCCTTTTCAGCTCATCATTACAATTGCATGTATATTCCTCAGTACGAGACCACAATGGTTGACTGTGGGTCAGGTTTTATTTCCCTTTCCTCTCCATTTTCCTCATTTTCCATAAAGCTAAACCACACTGCTTTATGGACATGTCAGATATTGATAAAGGGTTAGATTTACTAAAGAGAACTAAACACTGGAATAGAAAAAGCAAAAATCTGAACTTTAAATTTGACATTTCTCATAAAGCAAAGCTAAAGTACTTGGAGTAGATTCTTTCGTGGCTTCCCCTGGTCTCTGCCCTTCCTTGCTCTTCCTGTTTTCTAACTGATGTCTCTCTGGGAAGTTTCCTTATTCTTCTGAGATCCATTTTGTTAATCCTCACTCAACATGTGGCAATCTACATTTCAAATATCATCCAGGGTATATATGGACATTGCAAATCCAAGTTACTTAGAGTATTGCTCACTAATTTGAGGTACAGATATGGCTCTTTATTATTTACAATTTCCAGGAGTAGTAGTTTAATTCAACACACACCCACACACCCTAGATAGACAAACAGGATCACGTATCCACAGACATCTTCTGCAAGTACAATTTAACCCCATACAGAGGAATCTGTTTTTAACTGCCTCTAATCTGCAGGACAGATTTTCTTATTATCCTTCTTCAGATTATGCAGCCCCCTCACCTGGCTCTCTAGAAATATTAAAGGAGCTCTCATAATGACAGTTCCCAAGCTACATACCGGAGAAAACTGGAAAATTCGTTTGCATGATCATAATTCTTTCTATTTTCTTCTGGAGGGCAATGTGAAGTCACTTTTTCAGTTACATTTGATTATCCAATACTAAAATGTCATTTACAAGGTTTAGAAAGGCAATAGAATATTTGTATTTTATTTAGTGCAAAATATATTAGATGGCATTAATAGAGCCAAAACTGCTTCTTAAGTGGTAGATTCACTTCATTAAATCGCTGTTTTGGGACCTTCATTTTATTACTCTAAATTCAAATTTAGAGTAAATTTATGTAATAATAATACATTTTCTTAAGCAAGAAGACTTAATAATGTGTGTTTTTATTAAACAAAATGGTGATAAAAAATGAGCTAGATGACACAGTAAACTATCTTCTAAATAGTCATATAGCATTGAGCTTTCATTTTGGTAATTGTAAGAAAATAACATTCTGTAATCAAATGTGCAGTTACAAATGTTGGGATAGGATTCAATTTTAAACTTTAAGATATGTTAAATTTCATAAATAAAGTCACACATACTCATCTAATGAGCTTACTGAGAGAACCCTACTTTAACAATTGCAGAAATTTGACCTCTATGATTCCTGAACATGAAAATAGATCAGCCCATATCAGTTTTATCTCTCACTTTACACTGATTTTCTTCTCTTTTTTCTCTTCCCTTTTCTTTCTCTCTTTTTTTTATAAAGTTGTTTTGATTAATCCATTCTCTTCAAAAATAAAATAGTTTTAAGGAAAAAAATAAGATTTATAACCTGCACTCTTTATAAGAATCAACATATATTACCATGTAAATCTCACTTCATTACAAAATATCCTGGCGAGTCTGTACATTTGGTTAAAGGTAAGCACAAAAAAACTACAATCTCTTAAGTGTTCATAAACCAATAGTTTAAAAATATCCTCAAATTTTTTTACTGAAGTTATATATGCATTAATAACAAATGAAAGTATTTATACTATACGCATGATAAATTCTGAATAAAATGTAAAATTTTCTTAATTAAAACATGTCTGGCATTAAGTGATCCAATTAGATCTTAGCTAACTGATCTCAGAAGAATCAGATGATAATGGAAAACAGGATAACCTCATGGTTTTTTAAAATTATGTATTTAACTTCATTTACCTAGGTTTAATTTGATAGACTACCTGTCAAGGAAAAGCCTCTGGGGAGGAGAAAGAGGGGCTAAATCTCAAGTTGATCACCAATGGTCAATGTTTAATTAATCATGCCTCAATAATGAAGTCTCCATAAAAACTCAAAGGCACAGGGTTCAGGGAGCTCATGGATAGTCAGACACTGAATGTTCCTGGGGAGTGGTGTGCTTGGGAAGGCATAGAACCTTCTCGCGCCTTCCCCATACCTCACCCTATGCATCTCTTCATCTGCATACTTTGTAATATCCTCTATAATAAACTGATAAGCATTAAATACGTTTTTCCCTGAGTTATGTGAGCAGTTCCAGCAAATTAATTGAATCCTAGAAGAAGGTTATGGGAACCCTGATTTATAGCCCGTAGGTTAGAAGCCCAGGTAAAACAACATGGAGCTTATGATTGGCATTGGAAAGTGGGGGGCCAGTCTTGGGGAATGAGCCTTCACCCTGTGAGCTCTGCCACTGTCTCCAGGTAGGAACTGTTGGAAATGAATTGAGTTGGAGGATACCTGGCTGGGGTTCACAGAGTTGCTTGCTCTCTTGGTGCATGGGGAAAAGCCCCTAGACGTTGTGTGAGCTCTGCCACTGTCTCCAAGTAGGAATTGTCGGAAATGAATTGAGTTGGAGGATACCTGGCTGGGGTTCCCAGAGTTGCTTGCTCTCTTGGTGCATGAGGAAAAGCCCCTAGATATTGGTCACAAATGTCTCCTGTGTTGATTGCTTTGGTGTGACAGCAGGGGAAACACAGTTCGTTGAAGTTTTTTTGTTTTGTTTTTGTTTTTTGTTTATTTTGTCCCATTTAGTTTCAAAGAATCAAAAGGAATTTAGCTAATGGGTAATAAAACAACCACATTGATTTGAGGTACACATTAATGTATATTCTTAAGCTGTCTAATCAGAGATTGCAAAAATTTTGAACCAAAACATCACTTACATTTACATCTCTATTAAAATATTTTTAAAAAATTAAGGCCCAGAGATAAGAGACATGTTGTCCAAGGCTTCAGAAGGCATTAGTGTCAGCCAGTGAAACTTGATTACAGCTGTCTGGACACTAAGCACATCCTTTACTTTGATACTACAATATTGCTTCAATGTGGTGTATATTTTACGTGTCTCAATTGTAAATTATATAAGCTAGAACTCCTTTGAAAATATTTTATTTCTGTTTGTAAAGGAACTTTAAGTACTTGGAGTTACATTTTTGGCATCTAAATTTTACTTATTTTTTTATTTAAAATCCCATTAATACTCACAAAATTAACATTTATGAAAGTGCTCATGTGCAGTGTGTTTAAAATAAAAATTATTTCCCTCCTATTAAAATGCTTTTGTATTAGCGTTATTTACTTCTCAAAGATCTTTTCATACTTTCTCATTGAATATGAAATGGAGCTTAGTAAACAGATTAAATACGTAATTCAAAAATATTATTCATGTATTTTAATGAAGAGAGGAAATGAAGAAAGAAAAAAATTCTGTATATCTACTTTTTAATTTTGAGTGACCTTGAGACAGTCATTTAAACAAACTGGAAATCACAATCCTACTGTCTAAATATAAGGTTTAGTCTAGATAACTCCTACAACTCCCTACATTTCAAAAAGATGTACCAAGTTTATATACAAGAAAATATAATCAAATATTTTAATAAGTTTTGATTATAAAAGTAAGTAAATACAGTAAAATATTTCATAATTGTACTAAAGCAATAAATATAAAAATAATTTTAATATATCAATATCCATTACTGATATAAAATGTCAGCAAACTTAAAAAAGGGGGAAACTTCTTAACTTGTTAGAAGACATCAATGAAAGACTTTAGCAATCAGTATACTTGAAATTGACAAACTCGATACTTTCTTTCTACGACTGAGAAGTAAGCATCTGCTCTCACCACGTGTATTCAACACTACAAAAAGTTCTACAGTACAAAAGCTTTGATAGTGCAATAATAAGGCAATAGAAAGGGACATGAAAAGCATACAGATATGAAATTAAGCAAAAATGTTTTTGTTTGAAAATAACACTCTTATCCCAACAAATCTACAAAAGAAAAGAAAAATAAAAAGCTACTAGGACTTATAAGTTCTGCAGGAGCACAGAATATAATGTCAATACAAACATCAATTGATTTCTATAAACTGTCAACAAACAACTGGAAATTAAAATTTTAAAAATTACAAACAAGAGCACAAAAAAGGTTTACAAAAGCAACAAAAATATAAACTGTATTAGGACAAATCTGACCAATGATGGGTAAAACAAGTGCAATACAAAGGCCAATTTTTATGAGAGAAATTAAAGAAGAAACAAATGGAGAAGTAAATCATGTTCAGGAAACAGAAGACTCAATATTATTAAGATATCAGTTCTACAAAAGTTAATCTATGGATAGATACAATTTTAAATAAAACACCAGGAGGCTTTTCAGCAAAAACCAATGCTCTGACTATAAAATTACATGGAAATAAAGAGTATATAAAATAACCAAAGTTATTTTAAAAAAAAAAGAAAAGCTGAAGAATTAATATCTAATTTTAAAACATTATAAAACTACAGTAATAAAAACAGAGTGGTATGTACATGATGATAGACATATAGAATAATAGAAGAGACTAAAGAGTCATTAAAAAAAGCAGATAACGTCAGTTGATTTTGACAAAAGTGTGAAGACCATATAATGAGGAAGGAGTAATCCTTTCAACAGAAGATACTAGAACAAATAAATATGCATAGACAAAATAAACAAACACACTTTAATCCTTACCTCACATCATAAACTAAAAGTAAGTCGAAGGAAATTATAAAACTAAATTTAAGAACTAAAACAATCAAACTTTTCAAAGAAAGCATAGAATACAATTTTGCATGCCTTGTTTTGGCTAAGCATTCTTAATTATATATAAAAATTACTAACTATAGACAACAAAAATTATTCAAATATATTTTATCAAAATTAAAACTTGTTTATTGAAAAGCATCATTATAAAAGTGAAAAGGTCCCCCATAGAATGAGAACACATTTTTTAAAACCATGTATCCAACAAAATACTTCATTTAAAAAAGAATAAAGAATTCTTCCACCCAATAACAGGGGAACAAAAACACTTCATTTTAGAAATGAGCAAAAAAATTAAAATTTTTATAAATAAGCTATTCATAAAAAATGTGCATATGACAAATTTCTCAACACCCATATGTATTAAATAATTGAAAATTAAAACCACAATAAGCTATATAATCCTACTAAATTACATATTGGCTATACCTTTTGTTGGCAAAGATATGAAGCAACTGAAATTATTATGCACTGCTGAAGGGTGTAAAATGGAATAACTGCTTTGGAAAACAGGTAGTTTCTCAAAGTTCGGTATAGAACTGCCCCATGACACAGCCAATCCACTCCTGGGATAATGAAAGAAGAATGAAGATGAAAAATGAAAGAAGAATGAAGATGAAAAATGAAAGTCAATGTCACACAAAACATATGTTTATAGCAGTTTTATTTGTTTTAGTCAAAAACTGGAAATAGCTCAAATGTTCCCCAGCTGTTAAATGGATAAACAAATTGTGGTATATCTTTACAACAAAATGCCACTTGGCAATAAAAAGGAATCAACTACCGATGCACACAACAAAATGGATTAATCAAAATTATTAGACTGAGTAAAAGAGGGCAGACGAAAATTAGCACATACTAGATTCTATTCATAAAAATTCTTTAAAAATGCAAAGTAATCTATAGTAATCAAGAAACAGTCACTGTTTTCATTAGTCTATTCTCATAGTGCTATAAAGAACTACCTGAGACTGGGTCATTTATGAAGAAAAGAGGTTTTAATTGACTTACGGTTCTGCAGGCTGTACAGGAAGCATAGCTAGGAGGCCTCAGGAAACTTACAATCATAGTAAAGGTGAAGGGAAGCTAGTACATCTTACCAAGGCAGAGCAGGAGAGAGAGTAAAGGGGGAGTTGCCACACACTTCTAAACCATCAGATCTCGTGAGAACTCACCCACTATCATGAGAACAGCAAGGGGGAAATCTGCCCCTACGGTCCAATCACCTCCCATTAGGCCCCTCGCCCAACACATGGGGATTACAATTCAAGATGAGATTTGGGTGGAGATACAGAGCCAAGCCATATCAGTGTTTGTCTGGGAAGGTGTGACGTTGGGGATAAATAGTGCAAGGAAAGGATACCTAGGAGCACAAAAAGCTTTGGTGTGACAGATTCATCATCTTGAGTGTGTGACATTTCGTGGATATGTATACACACCAAGATTCATCAACTCATACATTTAAATATGTGCAGTTTAGCCTACATCACTTTTGCAACTTAAGGGTGCAAAATAGATATATTGATTAACAATAAACAGAAAACCTCATTTGATAGTGACTGGTAACTACAAGTGTTTTAAAGATCTATAATAAAAAATACATAATCTTAAATGTTAATTTATAGATTTATATTTATTGCCTTTGCATGGGCACTGTCAATCTGTTTTTGTTTGTTGTGGGGATAGATATATCCCAATTAATTCTCAATTTACACTCTTTTGATAAAAGAATATTCGTGTTTTTATTAACAATTTCCACTTAGCATTCATGAGATACTTGGTGTTTCAATGTTCATCTGTAAATCTAAACTACTCTAAAATCTCTATGCTTTAAATATTCAGTTGCAAGCAGACATGTAGATTAGTGTTGAATCAAACTATATGGTCTGTAGACCCTGCATTCTGGGTAATGGACACTGTATCATTTCAGAGAAAGGACTAGATTTGTGAGAATCTGGCTAAAAGGAAAGTGAAAAGTCAACAGTTGAACATAGATTATAACAGCAGCAAATGTTCTGTACTAGCTTTTCATATGAAGAGTAGAGGCCATTTACTGTAGATACCATTGCAGGAAAATCTTGATGTGTTCAATAAATTTTTATGCAGCATTAAAGTATATAGTAAACAAATAAAATTAAAAATAATTTTAAATAAATAATTCTATGTTAAATAAAATAAAAAACAAAATAGGAAATGCCTTCTTATATAACATATTTTTCAATTAAATAAGAATACTTCCTATTTCATATTTGTTGTAAATGGGTTCAGAAGAGTACTATATAACTGAACACTGACTCAAAACAACTCATATTTGTAATTTCTTTGACACTATATTTTATTACTAGAGTTTCCAAAATAATAGATGCTCACCAATCCTCAAAGAAAAATTAATTTCATTCAAAGCTCTTCTGTCATATAAAGTGCAAACAAGCTTAAATACACACAGAGAAGAGTTGAAGCCACAAAACTCAGAAACTTAGACATGAATAATACTGTCATGAAATAAAAGCATTCATCTTTATAAAATGAATAAAACACACACACATACAAACTTCCAATAAATGCTATTTAGAACGCTCTAGGCTGACATCACCTATACTTTCATGAAAAATATACATATACACTAGTGTGTTTATAATAATAAATTACTAAAACACTATATTTACACATAGATGGAAGTAGTGATCAGCATTGCCTGGCACGTAGTACACTGATGGAGTCCAGCTGCAATTTTTCTCTTTGAATCCTCTGTGAAGTACAGAAGAGCATACAATACCCCTCCATCTTTGCCATCTTCCTGTACCTGAATTGAGTTCAGTTTTAATCATAAACGAGTGTTATTGCCCACCTTCTTCGTAAACACCTGTGGAAGTCAATGAATAGTTGTACACAGAAGGGTCAGATTTTGCTTGCTTTATTTCAAAGCTGAGGGAGGTAGTGTCTTTCATATTTTTCAAGAGATTTTCATAATTCAGTATCGTTTTTGCTTAAAATATCTACTTTTGTTCTTCCTTCCAAATCTTTAACCCACTGAAAAGAATAAAAAGGAGACAAAAATCATATATCACTGAACATGATGAAGTGGTAATTACCATCTTTTTTAAGACTGCTGGGCTAGGAAGGTCAGGTATGAGGGCAGAGTCATTCAGAAGTGTGTGTTTAAAAACCCGTAAAGCTTAAAACTGGACATGATCAGCATCATAAAATGTTCTCATCTGCCTATGCATTTTGGTCTCGCACACTTCCAAACTCACAGGAAAATTGATGGGAAGAAGACAGTAGAACATTTATTTTATGGGAATTATTGAGGGGGTTCTAATAATGAAGGTTGTGGGCTAGATTATGCTCTAAAACTTTCTTAAACGTAAATTTAAAAAAATCATTTGTTATTCTGGCCACACTCTCTAAAAAAGATACCTTGAATTGTAGGGGAGGCGGTAAGGGTTCAGTGTTACTGAAAGTAAAACCACAGGAAATAACAAGTGAATACATATGCTGCCCTTTGAGTTGAGAGCCAAGAGGTAAGAGTCAGGCTCAGCTGGCCTCAGGAAGAGTTGGTCTCTGTGGCAGTGCTTCCAGAAAGTAATCATGGGTGCACCCTGCTTTTGTGATGGATTTCCAGGGCTTTTGAGGCCATTCTCAGATTAGTGATAAGGTAGCTACATATGGCAGCCATTAATAAGTTGTAGCAGTGGCAACGTTAACTGCAGGTGGTAGCGGCATCTTTCATCATCTCACAATGTGAAAGAAGACTTCTAAAATAATACCTATTAATTTGAAAATTTTCATTGGGAGATCTGAAAGGACATGATGTACCATCGCATACCCCTCATATTCTACTCAGTCACAGAGAGGTTCTCCAAGTCTTTATTACATTGTCACATCTTAATTACACCCAAAATTTTAATTTTATTATACAGTTTTCCTAGGAAATAACTTTTGCCTGGTATATATTACCATATTATGTATTCAGTATTAGGGTTGAATATTGATTATCTTCTTTGTCATCATATATATATGTGTATATATATGATTAGATGAATTCTCATGTATGTTCCCTCGAATGGTCCTATAAACATTTTAGCTCAAAATAAATCAACATTATCATCATCACTCTATGCTGTCATTACTTCCTTAGTTCCTTTATTAAGTAAGCAACAATTTTCCAGGCCCAAATCTTTGCACAGCCCTTAATATCTTTTTCTCCTTACCTTTTGCAATTGGTTATCAACAGTAAAATTCTGTTTAGCTAAATGTGACTCCAAATGCCCCCGTTTCCATCTACATTTTAACCAGCTGGCTAGATATTGAGTGTTTTTGTCTTTATCATTAAAAACACCCCATGTTAATATTTCTGTTTCAAGAATTCTCAACTTAATTTCTGTTCTTTAAGCTGCTAACCCAGAGATATTTTATAACTTCAAAACTGTTAAGTTACTACTCTTTATAAATCTCTCCATGGATCCGTATTACTCCGGGAATCAAGCTCAGACTTCTTATCATCTGAATTCTGCTTACCTTTGGAGCATCACTTTGTTTTTCTTTCTTACCCATGACATTTTCCATCCTCATAAATTTTGATTCAACACATTTGGACTTTTCCATGTTTTGTTTGTTTGTTTGTTTGAGACAGAGTCTAGCTCTGTCGCCAGGGCTGGAGTGCAATGGTGCGAACTTGGCTCATTGCAACCTCCATGTTTTGTTTGAATCCATGGTTTTAAGAAAGCCACTCTTGAACACCCTTTCCTCTCCTTTCTCTATTTCCAGTTAGTGCAAAACTAAGAAGTCAGCTTTCCAGAAAGCCTTCTCTTATATTTACACTTTTTATTTGTTGCCACTTTCCTACTGCTGCTTTAAGGGCAAATAGAGGCATTTCATTCAGAAGTGGGCAATGGTAGGGGTGTAATTGTACAAAGGCCTATGTTTTCAACACAGTAGAAAATATAGCTTATATTAGGAAAAAATGGCACCAAATTCCATGCAAAAATGCAGGGTTAGGGTCAGGGGTTAGAACTGGTCAGGGAATACATGAAAACTTAGAGAAGCCTCTTCAGCAATTTTGCAGGTTGGATATTCAGTAAAATGACTAAGGTGAAATGGTGTTTGGCAAATTGACCAGCTTCACTCTATTCAATGATTTGCCTCCCTTTTAAAACTACTGAAGCAGAATCATATCTGTCTGCCTGGGAATATGGAAATATATCTGATTCTTGTTGAATCTAAATTAGGAGTAGATTACCACATAATGTCCTTGCTCTCTCATTTTGGCTCCCTACTTGTGAAGGACTAACAACAATTCAAATCATTTTAGAATATATTCAGACAAAGAATAATGAAAGGCAACTATTATCACAAAGAACTTAGTCTAATGATAAAAATAAGGAAGTCAGTTGTCAAAAAATATGTATAAGGTCAAGCAACAGCAGGATTCTTCACCTGGGTAAATGTTCAGCCATTGCAATTTTCACATTTGATGCAGCACAAAAGAAATATATTTCTTTCCCAGTTCAGTATCATCATCAGCAGATGCTGTTGCTGACCATCAGAATATCTCTTTAAAATGCCTCAATTTTCTGAAAGTTTTAAACT
This sequence comes from Homo sapiens, assembly GCF_000001405.40. Classification (NCBI taxonomy): domain Eukaryota; kingdom Metazoa; phylum Chordata; class Mammalia; order Primates; family Hominidae; genus Homo; species Homo sapiens. Next base: position 161,727,019 of record NC_000004.12, on the reverse strand, counting down.
AATACTTGCACATGCAATTTTAGAAATTATACTTTCTTATTATATTTTAATGCTTTTCTTTATCAGTAGACAATGTAAATTACATATACATATATATATATATATATTTTTTTTTTTTGCTCTTTGGGATATCTTGCTAGAGCATTGAGTGACTCTTGACAGGTTAGAATCCCTTAATCAGTAATTACTCTACCTTAATCTGAAAAATTATGAGGTTATCTGCTTTCAGAGGAAATATATATATGTATATAGTTAGTAAAGTTGTTAGCTAATTATTTATTCTCAAATAATGTACTTTTAACATTTCTTATAGTGAAAGGGATTACTATACGTTTTAGTCTTTGTAACAAAATGGTGTTTTACGTAATAGTCCTATGTGATGCAAATACAGTTAAAACCCCTGTAAATATTTTCTTCCAGTTAATTTTGTGTGCATAATGCACATGTGATCTTTTTTCAGAACTAGGTTTACGGTATTGAGAGTTGCATCCTGTCCAGGCGCGGCGGCTCATGCCTGTAATCCCAGCACTTTGGGAGGCCGAGGTGGGCGGACCACTTGAGGTCAGGAGTTCCAGACCAGCCTGACCAATATGGTGAAACCCCATCTCTACTAAAAAATGCAAAAATTAGCCGGGCGTGGTGGCATGCTCCAGTAGTCCCAGCTACTCGGGAGGCTGACACAGGAGAATTGCTTGAACCCGGGAGGCGGAGGTAGCAGTGAGCCGAGATCTTGCCACTGCACTCCAGCCTGGGTAAGAGAGTGAGATTCCGTCTCAAAAAAAAAAAAAAAAAGAAAAAGAAAAAAGAAAAAAAAAGAGTTGCATCCTAATTTTTTTCCAAAGATCCTCACATCAACACGTTTCATGTTATAATATAGTTTTTTGTTTTGAATTCATTGTAGAAGCAGGATAGCTTAGTGCACTGTAGAACCAGATAGCTTGTGTTTACATTTTAATTCTGCTCCTCACCAGCTTTTTTACCGTAGGTTAAGTTCCTTAACCAATTAGCGTTCCTCTTTCTTTAGCTGTGATATGGGGATTTTTATATTAGGTTGATGAAAAAGTAACTGTGGTTTTTGGCATTAAAAGTAGTGGCAAAAACCTTTCATCGTTAAAAGTAATAGCAAAAACCTTTTGTCGTTAAAAGTAATGGCAAAAACCGCAATTACTTTTGCACCAATCTAATAATACCTCCTACCTCATAATGTTGTAATGGAAAATAAATGAACTAATATATGGGATTTTTAGGCCATTGCCTAGTGCACTCAGCAAGCATTATCATTATTTCTATAATTGAGGTGGTCTTTCTCCTTGAATATCCAGATGATGCCTAGGATTAAAGAATTGACTCTTTTATGTTTTTTAGACAAAATTGAAAACTTGTCTTTTTACAGATGCACTGAATAACAATACTAAAAATGACTGCTGTCACTGAAGCTTATGAAGAAAATATATTTTTTCAAAAGTATGTTTATGTTAATTATATATAGTTTTTATATATTTCATAATATTTTATTTATATATTCAATTTTCCCGCAAGTAACTTTTAATATAGTAAATGTTTTAAATTCTATATTTGGATTTAACTATTTTAAAAAATTGACAGTATTTAAAGACAGTCAAATTATTATAATATTCTCAAACTTGATTTTCATTTATTTTTAAAAACGATATGCACATTGTACAAAATCAGTAATACTGAAGAATTTGTAGAGTGAATGGTATTGAAGAGTTTTGCCCTTATCCCTTTTTCTCAAATCATAATTCACCTTCGTGGAGGCACCCACTTCCAAGCCACTTAAGTAAATTTTCAGAGTTATTTTTTTTTATGTTTATTTTTTGAGACGGACAGGCTGGAGTGCAGTGGTGTGATCTGGGCTCACTGCAACCTCTGCCTCCCCGGTTCAAGTGATTCTCCTGCCTCAGCCTCCTGAGTAGCTGGGACTACAGGCACGTGACACCACGCCCAGCTAATTTTTGTATTTTTAGTAGAGACGGGAGTTTCACCATGTTGGCCAGGCTGGCCTCGATCTCTTAACCTTGTTATCCACTCGCCCCTTGGACTCCCAAAGTGCTGAGATTACAGGCGTGAGCCACTGCGCCTGGCCAATTTTCAGGATTATTCTAAACACACCACAAGCAGTTATGAATTATGAGCATATGAAGTATATGGGTTTATATCTTGATTTTTGCATTGAGTACTTTTATATTAAATCTTATGTTTCTTCCTTACTTAAAAAATGCTCAATATTCCTTTGCCCAAATGACTAAGCATTTAATTTTGATTTATGCCATTTAGCAAGGGTATATCTTTAAAAAGGTTTTATAGCTAGGACATGTGATTGATATCTTTACTGAATAATTGTATATGTGTGATTGTCTTTCTATTGCATTCAGACATAGAAACTAAGGCAATCAAACAAACGTGAAGATATAAAATCATACATCACAGGCAAAGTATGTACATCCTTCAAAGCAGTCCAGAAGAAGTCTTTAGAATGATTCATAATTTTATTTCTTCATATTATATATTCCTTCATATACATGTACAACTATTTTGTATATATACATGTACATATATGAGTGAATGTTTTGTTTATATGTCTTTTTAGTCACTTTTCCATTTATTTTGACTAGAACATGATGCGTTTTTTTGATCTATGTACATCGGCCTATTAGTTCCAGGAGATCTTTTTTGCTATTAATAATTGCATTAATTGCTAACAATGCTTATTTTATTATTCTGGTGTTGGCTCAGGAGCAGGAGTAATATTTAAGACGTGTTAGCATTATGTATCACCTCTCTTCATTTGCATTTTCTTTTAGTTTTTGTAAATATTCAGAAACATTTTTGTAATTTTTCCTCAACATTATTTATTTGATTTTTGCATTATCAAATCTATTTGTGTGCCTTGCATACAGTTTTTAATCTACTAATACGATTTAGCTTTTTCTGTGATCCTTTCTTTCTAAGGCCTTATTCATTTTAATCTCATCTGGTTGTACTGTCATTTTACCTTTTTATTCTTTCAAAAAGACTTTATGCTCCTTATGGCTTTCAACATTTAATAGTTTTAATATTAATTTAAATTTGACTGAGCATCCCAAACAGCAAATTTTTTTTGTGTGTAGAATTATTTTCAAATATATGTTACTTCTTCTTGGGTATCTTTTCCCACTTATTAAATACCTTTTCTCAAATCTGATGTTGGTTTGTTTTCTTTAAGGTTTCGTTCTTCAATTTACTCTTCTTAATGAAAACATCTGTGTAGAAATCAGTCCTATGCAATGACACTGGATAGTGTTAGTTTCCATTTTCAAATCAGTAGGTGTATACACTGATCTTCACAGCTTTAAGCATACTTCTCAGTTTGCTGGCATTGTTCTAGTTCTGAAGCCATTCCATCTCCCAGGATGCAATGCACATTTAATATTCCTCTCTCCAAATTCCTATTTAATGCATTTTAATGTACCTTTCATAAAGAGATATAGAAATATGAATGGGGAGCAAAGGAAAATAAAGTCTAAATATTCAGGTTGCCCTGAAGACGTTGTGCCCTGCCTAATATTCTGTTCAGTGCAGATTGTTGATGTCCTTGAGAACAGAAATTCGGAGAGGAAACAATTGCCATTTTTTAAAAAGCCTAAGTTGTCCACTGATTTTTTTTTAATTTTTTTAACCAAGGGTAATACATTTATAGTTAGTGAAAAATTCCTCCATACTCTGACAACAAATTTCTTATTAGTGTAAGTTTTGATTTAGATAATTTTACCTTTACGAATATTTTAGTGGATGGAGAAAGTGTCTAATCAAATCAATTTATAAAGCCTGACTTTTAGCTAAAACTCTTTATAGATATCCATACATTCCCTCATTTCCTTACAAGTAGCATTTCAGCAGGCAAAAAAATTCCTTAAATGTGCACATTAATTATAAAGATGCATTCTTATTTCAGAAATGTACTTTCTGGCTGGCCCCTTAGATGACTTGGCCTTGCCGATTTCTGCTCTTTTAAAATTGTATATCCTCCAGAAAGAAATGTAGCTGGTCCCCTATAAATGTAAGGGTGACATTATAAAAAGCCACATATTGCTTTTACTGAATACTTTTAATAAAGACATATTTCAACAATAGTTATTCAAGGCCCAGAAGTCTCAGTGGCATTCTTAGTGGCCCAAAAGTATTATCATGCCTCCATGAACCTTCTAGTGACATTTAGCATATTTAGTTTTAAAAGGTAATCAATCATGCCCTATGAGATATGCCATTTAAAAATAGTTTGGCTAAGAATATAATTCAATGTATTTAAGGGAATAAAAGCTGTGAGAATGATTCAAATGGAAATTGTTTAGATTAAGGAAATAGCTAGTTAAGTGCCACAGGGTTAGTTCTGCATATAGATAGATCAGCAGTGCCATTATAAGGAAATACATCATTGCAATTTACATACATCAGAATATTCAAAGGTGCTAGAAACTCACAGGTAGGGTAAATCACCTAAAATAAGTGAACTGAAAGAAGATATAGGAAATGTGAGCTGAACATCAAATGAGATTTATCTGTAAAGTAGGAGAAAAAAATATTTGAAATTGAGTAATGTGATAGACAAAGAGAACCTGGATATAATCATTCTGAAAAGACTTAGATGACCTAACTCTTTATTTTGAATCAGATCCATGTTGTGAATTAATTAAAACTTAATGACAAATTTTGAATAGTATTCAACATTAAAACAAATAGATGTAAGAGGTTTCTTACAAGAGTAGAAAGAATTTTGCTAAGGAAAATGTTTGCATTTGCATTTAATTCCCCAGCTGTGTTTTCACATCATTGAGAGGATGAAAATAAAGTAATATTAACATTTCTGGGAACTAATCCCAGACACACACATAATCCTTAAGGCAAGGATATAGAAGCTAGGCATATCATTCCAGAGAGAAATGAAAGAAAAAGACATCTTCAAAGTCTTTTTTTTCCATTTGTATTTGCATTCATATTATGTATAAGAAGATGTTATCACTCTCCAATTATAATTTAATTCACTAGATAGCCTTTGTGTCATTTTACAATTTCAATTACTTTGACCTCTGGCTCACCACTACAATGATACCTAGTTATGCTTCTTAAAACTATCCCTTTGCAAACTATTTTAAAATTCACTCACTAATTTCTTGTATAATCTTTACCAAAGGAAGCGTTTGAAGAATTTCTATTAAGTAAAGTAGTTTTATTCCAAAGAAAAGCTTGCCTATATGGGACGGTGACTTTAATTTTTTCTCTCACTTAATTTTTCTGACGCAGTGTGACTTATATCCTAGCCCATGAGGTCAAGGTTTTCAAAATTTGATCCCTGGATGCCTTGCATTACAAGGAAAGAATGAAGAAGTTGACATAGGAAGTGGGGGAGCCTGGCTTGTGGGGTTTGGGCCCCTACTTTCTGCCTCAATCTGAGCAGTTTGGCATTTTTGAAACCCCTTTTTCATGTATGACTGACATTCAAAAAACTGTATGTATGTAATATACACAACTTCATGAGTTTGGAGATAAGTATATACGTGTGTAACCCTCACCATAACCAATTTTATTAATATATTAATCAACTCCAAAAATTTTTTCCAGGACCTTTTATTTATATATTTGTATTTATTTAAGCATTTTTAAAACCTTTTGTGATAGGAACAGTTAACATAAGATCTACCTTCTTAGAAAAATTTTTTTTTTTTTTTTTTTTTTTTGAGACGGAGTCTCGCTCTGTCGCCCAGGCCGGACTGCGGACTGCAGTGGCGCAATCTCGGCTCACTGCAAGCTCCGCTTCCCGGGTTCACGCCATTCTCCTGCCTCAGCCTCCCCAGTAACTGGGACTACAGGCGCCCGCCACCGCGCCCGGCTAATTTTTTGTATTTTTAGTAGAGACGGGGTTTCACCTTGTTAGCCAGGATGGTCTCGATCTCCTGACCTCATGATCCACCCGCCTCAGCCTCCCAAAGTGCTGGGATTACAGGCGTGAGCCACCGCGCCCGGCCAGAAAAATTTTAAGTATACAGTGTGGCGTTGGTAACTACGGGTGCTATGCTGTACAGTACATCTCCAGGACTTACTCATCTTGTACAACTTAAATGCTGTACCCTTTGACCAATACCTCCCTGTTTCGTCCTCCCCACAACCCCTGGCAATCACTATTCTACTTTTGGCTTCTATGAGTTTGACTATTTTGGGTTTGTCTTATAAGTGGAATTATGTAGTATTTGCCCTTGTGTGTCTGGCATATTTAATGTAGCATAATGGCCTCTGGGATCATCCATTTTGTGGCAAATGGTGGGATTTATTTATATATTAGGGCTGAATAATATTCCATTGTAAGAATATACACTATTTTCGTTATTTACTCATCCATAAATGATGGACATTAATGTTGTCTCCATGTCTTGGCTATAGTGAATAATACCATAATGAACATAGGAGTATAGATATCTTTCCAAGATCCTGATTTCAATTCCTTTGGATATATACTGAGAAGTGGGATTGCTAGATCATGTAGTAGATCTATTTTTAATTTTTTGACTGATCTCCATGCTTTTTCCTAGTGACTACACCGATTTACATTCCCATCAATAGTGTACAAATGTTTCCTGTTCTCCATATCCTTGCCAACACTCATTATCTTTTAAAAAAAATAATGCTATCGTAACAGGTATAAGGTGATATCTCATTGTAGTTTTGATTTGCATTTCCCTGATGATTAGTGACCACAGCATTTTATTCATGTATCTGTACGCTATTTGTATGTCTTTTAATTGGATTTTTTTTTTTTTTTTGCTATTGTGTTGTAGGGCTTCATTATATATTTTGGATATTAACATTTTATCAACTATGGGTTTGCAAATATTTTATTCCATTATTTAGGTTGCCTTTTTCTATTGTTGATTCTTTCCCTTGCTGAGGAGAACTTTTTAGTTTTATGCAATTCCACTTGTCTATTGTTGCTTTGTTGCCTATGGTTTTGGTGTAATAGCCAATAAAGTTTGCCAAGGCCAATGTCAATAAGGTTTTTTCCTATGTTTTCTTCTAGAAGTTTTAAAGTTTTGAGTCTTACGTTTAAGTCTTTCAACCCATTTTGAGTTGATTTTTGTGTATCGTGTAAGATAAAGTTCTAAAGAGTCCCAAAAACATTGTTAGAATTACTAAACAAATTTAGTGAAGTTACAGGCAACAAAATCAACATACAAAAATTGTTTGCATTACAATACACTAACAACAAACTATGTGAAAGGGAAATTAAGAAAACGATCCCCTTTACAATGGCATAAAAAAAATTAACCAAGGAGGTGAAGGACTTGTACACCAAAAACCATAAAATACTGATGAAAGAGATCAAAGCGGACACACATAAAAGGAAAGGAATCTTGTGATCATGGATTGGAAGAATCAATATTGTTAAAATAGCCATGCTACCCAAAGTGATCTACAGATTCAGTGAAATTTCTATCAAAATTCTAATGGCATTTTTTACAGAAATAGAAAACACTATTCTAAAAATTTCCTAAATAGCCAAAGCAACTTTAATCAAGAGCAAAACTGGAAGTATCGTAAGTCCTAATTTGATTTTTGTCAAATTATGCCATTAAATATGACATTTGATTAATGTCAAAAAATGCCATTAAAATCCATTTCAAAGCTACAGTAATCAAAACAGTATAGTCTTGGAATAAACCCAGGCATATAGGCCAATTAAATAAAATAGAGATCTCAGAAATAAAACCATAAAGTTGTGGTTAACTTCAACAAGGCTGCCAAGAATACACAAGGAAGAAAGGATGTTGTCATCAATAAATGTTGTTGAGAAAACAGGATATCTGCATGCAAATGAATGAAATTGGACTCTTATCTCATGCATTTATGTAAATTAACTCAGGTTTTAATGATTTAAAATTTCAGAATTTTGTTAGATGAAACTACAGATGAAAGTTTGTATATTAATTATTTCGATCAATATATCCCAACTGTTACCAATGGGTTTCTAGTGGTTTCCAAAGAATTTTGAAGAGTTTTGGCTTCTTCTTCCCATTTAAAGCAAGAACTGTGAATTTTAATTTGTTTATCAAGTAAATATCTGTGTTAGTTAGAATAAAATAAGTATACGATGATTCAGATCCCCCTTGACATTTTTGGTTTGTTCAGTATAGTTGCTGTGGTGTTAATGCATTACCATGTTTTGATTTATAGATATATATATAGAGAGTAAAACTTATACTTTAGTGAAGCTCCATAGTTTATATTAAAATGTGTATTTCAGGCAGGACATGGTGGCTCACACCTGTAATCCCAGCACTTTGGGAGGCTGAGGTGGGTGGGCCACGAGGTCAGGAGATGGAGACCATCCTGGCTAACATAGTGAAACCCCATCTCTACTAAAAATACAAAAAAGTAGCCGGGCATGGTGGCACGCACCTGTAGTCACAGCTACTTGGGAGGCTGAGGCAGGAGAATTGCTTGAACCTGGGAGGCGGAGGTTGCAGTGAGCTGAGATCTCGCCGTTGCACTCCAGGCTGGGTGACAGAGTGAGACTCCATCTCAAAAAAAAAAATGTATTATCATATTCTCCATCTCTACACACTCCATGATCTAAAGTAAAAATTAATATAAAACAATTTAATGAATAATATAAAAATGCTAATAATTCTTCCAAATTGCCCCAAGATGCTGTTCATAAATTAGTAAAAATCATTAAGCAAAATTAATTCTTTACTTACTATATAAAGCTATCTCTTAGACTTCAAACATTACTGATAATAAACTGAGAGTATAGTGAAGTTCATTTCCAATTTCTCTTTTCAGTTATTAAGCTATAAATTAGTCAAATCAACTATATGTAAAGAAAAGCACTTTAAAATGGTAGTGAGAATTTTCAAAATTTATATTTTTACAAATAAAACATGAACATTATTATAAAAGTATACCAGTTGAATTTTATAGACAGAAGAAGCAGTCTTTTCAAATATTAGGTGATAAACATAAATAACTTTTTCTTTTTGACTCCATAACATACAATAAGTGACTGCACATATTACAGAATGAATATTTCCCAGACCTAGTTGTGTTGCATTATCAAATATGTGATTTTTTAATAACTATAACCTATTGTACAGGAAAAAATGATATATCTTTAAACATGTAAATATTATGTCATTGATTAAATAACCTTTATACAAAAACTGAATTTTTCTTATAATTACATCTTTATCAAAAAATGAAATGATTTAACAATATCATTTCATGCTAATATTTTGGTTTATAATGAAAACACATTTATAACTTCATGTTAAGAACAAAAAAAGATTGAGTTTTTTTTACATAAAAGTTTACTTAACCCACATCTAGCTGATCACAAGAAGTGTATCCTTCCATCAAGTGGACTCTTTTGCAGAATTCAAAGACTCCAAAGATTCAGCCCTCTCAAGAGGTCAGTCTTGTTTATTTGACCCTACTGGAGTTTGGATGTGAGGATGACAAAAATGTCTTCATTTATGCAAGGGGTATGATTTTTAATGTTATGGCAGTTGATTTCCAGGCCCTATCTACTTTGGCATACCCCAGAGTTGCTAAAGCCCACTGCCACTGGAAACTCTAAATTAACATAGACTTGCTACTGACACTGAAACCAGCTATAGTTTCACCTAATGAAAAAGAGATGACCTTTCCTATTGATCTACTCAGATGTGGGAGCTCCACAGTCTAAGTATTTCACCCAGTCTAAATATTTGCTCAGGAAATAAAATCTCTAAAGAAAATAGAATCTGCATACCTGTAGATTTGCCAGTTTCCCTTAATAAAAAGACCGTTTATCTTTTCAGTTTGAATTAAGGGCATTTGGGTCTTGTCATGTCAGTACATTTGTGTCTTAAACAAGAATCACCACCTACCAAAAACAATTATCTAAAACAAAGGGAAAGTCTGTCTCCCTCAAATATGAATTGAGATCCCAGATAAAAACCAACAATATTTGTATATCTAACCTAGGAGTTTTTCTCTTTTCTAACCATAAAAATTTTCAAGCCATTTTTAAGTCTATATTGAATCTACTACACAGATATTTTTACCTAACCACTTCTCTCTATCCTCTCTGCCCTGACCTGGATAAAATTAACGTTATCTCCTTTCTAGACTTCAGCAATCATCTCATTCATTCATGTTGTGAACAAATATTATACCTTAGTCACTGTCCAGGTTTGTACTTGGCACTGAGGATAAAAGAGTCAATGAAATACATAAAGTCTCACATTCTACTGGAGGGTGGAGAGAGTGAAAGAAACAAATAATCATGTAAAATATCATGTGGAAATAATATGAAGAGAAATAAAGTAAGGCATTTGAGAGTGATGGAAGGTGCTATTTTATTTTATTTTATTTTATTTATTTATTTTTTGAGACAGGGTTTCGCTCTGTTGCCCAGGCTGGAGTGCAGTGGCATGATCTCGGATCACTGCAACCTCTGCCTCCTTGGTTCAAGCGATTCTCCTGCCTCAGCCTCCCTAGTAGCTGAGACTACAGGCACACACCACCAAACTCGGCTCACTTTGGTATTTTTAGTAGAGACAGGGTTTTGCCATGTTGGCCAGGCTGTTCTCGAACTCCTGACCTCAAGTGATCAGCCCACTTTGGCCTTCCAAATTGCTTTCATTAGGGTGTGAGCCACTGCGCCTGGCTGGAAGTGCTATTTTATATAGGGGAATTGGGAAAGGCCTGTCGGAGGTGGAGACAAACAAGAGAGTTGAATGCTGTGAAAGAAGCCATGCACACATCTAGGATGTTGAGGAGGAGACAGCATTATCAGATAAAGAGAAGAACAAGTATGAAATCCCTATGGCAGGGTCTATTTCCTGTATTCAAGGATCTGCACGGTGATGGAGACCCGTGTACCAAGGAGGGTGGTGGGGGAATTTTGTCAGAGAGGTGGCCAAGGCATAATGTTATGTAAGACTATTGCAAGGGTTTTGGATTTGATGCTGCGTGTAATGAGCCGATTATTTACTTTTTATTGTGGAATTTATTTGGCTGTAATATAAAGAATGCAGTCCCTGGAATAGGGAGAGAGCAAGATTGGCAGTGGCCAAGCAAATGCTGGTTTTCGGCACTACTACGGGCTAGAGAGATTATTCAGATTTTTATTTCAAAGGCAGAACATATCTTTTGATTGGATGTAGAATAAGTAAGAAAGGAAAATCAAGGATGACTTAGAATTTTGCTCTAAACCCTTGAATGAACATAGCTTCTGTACATCACAGGAGGCTAAGGAAGGAGCAAGTTTTGTATCTAATATGTACAGATGCCTATCAGCATCTAAGTGGAGCTATTGAGATGGAACTTGGTTGTAGGAGTTAGGAGTTTAGAAGAGGAATTGGCTTTGGAATTATAAGTTCGAAACTTATAATTCTTTTACGGGTGATAAACCATGGAACAGGAGATAGTGGAGGGTGGAGAGCTCACATGCTTATTCTCAGATGTGAGTGCTGATTCTCTCCACTGTCTAAAAGTCAGGAAGATGAAAAGCACCCAGCAAAGGATATAGGCTAAATGATCACAGAGACTGGAAACAAAATGACAGGGTGTGTCATTTAAGAAGCCAAAAAGAGTATGTTATTAAAGACAGAACGATCCACTATTATCAAACATTTGGGCAGTAGACAAATCTGCTTTGATTTCTGAACTATGGGTAATTGCCTTTTTTTGTATATGAAATACATGGGCATACATCAACAGTATTGCATGGCTCACCTTAATATGCTTTCTGCACTTTGGTTTCTATGTTCAAATGGAGTGTAAAACCTACATATATGGTAAATGCTTCACAAGCAGTGGTTTTTCAGTATTTGTTTTTCTTCTTTTCCCTCACCACCCTCCTCCTTAAAACATGTGTTTCTCATCATAGCAATTTTGGCTCGATTCATAATGTAGCTCCTATTATTATTTTAAATAATCAAAAATTATTAGTTGTTCAAATATTTTATATGGTTTGTTTTATATAAAATAGTCCTGCTCTAAATTGAGTAAAACTTTAAAAAATTTACTATTTATTAAGTGAACTTCAAACTTGGAAAGAAAATATGTATATTAAGATTGATACTGAAATGCTTACTTTTCATACCTAGTACATATAGGATAGAGAAAATAACCCCAGGCTTTTATGAAAAAAATCTCAATTAATCTACTAAAAGCCAGCTGCACCTCTTTGCTTCTATAATCAAACCAGTGCAAAGTAAAGTTTATTTCTTTCTGAGCAAAAACAATGGCTTGTATGTAAAAAAATCCTTTAAAATGAGCTGGTATTTTTCTGTTTGCTTCTTTCTAGAAGAGATTGGTTAGTATGTAAAGGTGACATTGGGATAACCATAAATCTAAGCAGATGACAGTGTCAGACTGAAAGTAGGAAGCAAGGATCCAGTTAGCAGCACAGCAAATCCAGCTTAGAGAGTGAACATTCATTACAAGATAGAGGCTAATGGATTAGATTTGTTAAAGGATTAGGAGATTTGAAACCCATTTTTAAAATTATTTTTCTATTACTCACGATAGCTCTCACTGTGTATATTATTTCTGGAATGTTTTATGTCTGTATATTAAGTAGAAAATAGAAGCAGAATTAAATAAAATGGAGATCACTTTTAACCGAAACAAACAAAACTCATGATACAATACTCTGATGTGCATACTGGTTCTGAGTTAATGGAATATGAATTTCAGGTTTTGATTTACATTCTCCTTGTGTGAGAAAGCATGTCATGAAGTGACCTCAGATCATTCTACACACTTTAATGAGTTTCTGCATGTCCTCTGAGTCATCTAGCCAGATGGAAGGCTCCTGAAACAGCTCTTCACAAAGAGTGTTTTGAGAAAGGAAACAATTCAAAAAAGTAAGAATGTGAGTGACCAACAAACAGAAAAAGCTATTAGCTTACTAGTAAACAGTGAAAGAAAATTTAAAACAATGAGATTGTTTCAAATATCTACAAATATAATAGGTTTTAAAAAGTGGAAGCACAGGTTTCACACAGTTATGGGTAAAGAATACTAATTGAAAGTGTAAAGGGCATATTTTTGAGGAACAATGTGACAATAGATGTCAAAGAATTAGAATGCAAACACTTTAATAAGCAATTAAAAGTCCAAGTGGAAAAATGTAAAACAATCCAGTAGTTAAAATATATTACAGAAACCTATGAGGCTACAAAAAATGAAAATATGATCACAGAAAAATATGCCTATTTTGTAATGTTAAGAAAAAAATTAATTATAAAACACCATATAGAGAATAATGTAACTAATACAAAACCCTAAATATATGTAGAGTTACCTGTAGGGGTGTGTGTGTGTGTGATTTTGAATGGATAATAACTTTTTTGTCATTATTGTGTGATTTCAGGTAATACTTTTTTCATTCCTTCTGTAGGGCATGTACTGTTTTTGCACGCTGAAAACAGTTAAAGTGTGTTCTGTGAAAGACAATTTTTTGATTATATGTTGTACAACATTACCGTCTTAGAAAGTTATGGTGAACATTAGCTTTTCAAAGTAAAGTCACACAGTAGGAAAACACATTGGACCTTGTGTTACCCAACTTTTTCCTACACTACTTAACCAGGAAACTCCTGGTAACTTACAGCTGTCTCCAGTGAGCATGGACTGGGAAACACTCTTCTAGACACCTCCATTGTTTATGCAGTAGCCAGCACATTTCCAGGCAAAATTATTAACAGCATGTATATGTGTAAAATATGTTTTAGTATTTTGTTAGTCTGTCATGCTATTAGCTATTATTATTGACAATTCTTTTTGTAGCAAGACTAGAAAGGAGACATTCATTTAAATCACAAAGTTGTTTAGGAAGAGCTCGGACTTACCACCTGTACCTGGATTAATTAACTATGCCCTATACCTCTGAACACTTACTTTGTCTGGACATGGCAACTGTGTTAGTCTGTTTGTGTTGCTATAAAGGAATACCTGAGACTGGTTAATTTATAAAGAAAGGAGGTTTATTTGGCTCACAGTTCTGCAGGCGGTATAATAAGCGTGACACCAGCATCTGCTAGTCTTCTGAAGAGGCCTTAGAAAGCTTACAATCATGGTGGAAGGCAAAGGAGGAAACAGTGCATCACATGCGAGAAAGGGAACGAGAGAGAGGGGGGTGAGGGGTCAAGCCCTTTTAAGCAATGAGATCTCCAGTGAACTCAGAAAGAGAGAGAGAGGTGAGGGGTCAAGCTCTTTTAAGCAACGAGATCTCCAGTGAACTCATGGAGTGAGAACATACTCACTAATGTGAGGACAGCACCAAGCCATTCATAAGGGACCTGCCCCCGTGAGCCAAACCCCTCCTGCTAGGCCCACCTCCAATGTTGAAGGAGAAAACATCAAAACCATCTCAGCAACCATGTATCATTTGAAAACAACATTTTCCAAGTGTTTAAATATCAATATAGGCAACTACTTTGCATTGATTACCTGATTTTGTCATTTAAACCCAGTTAGTCTTGATTTATTTCTGTAGATAAGACCTTCCTCATTTTGTGAAACTGGTACTTGCTTTTAACAGAGTCACTACTGGGAGGGTTAATCCCATGGTCAAATTTGACCTAGGTGAATTTCACAATGTTTACTAGCATTAATTTTTTTCTACATAGTAGCAGGTCTTATCTCTATGTTATTTATTCTTTTTATTATTTATTCTTTTTAAACACTTTTATTAATATTTAATTTACATAAAATTGAATTCACCCATATGAAGTGTACGAATTCAATGATTTTTAGTATATTTAGGGTTGTGCATCCATTCCTACAACCAATTTTAGAACATTTCTACCCCCAAAAAGGAAATGCCTTATGCATTGACAGTCACTCCCCATCCAACTCAAAGTTTGGTATAATATGGAAGAGAGGTAGTAACAAACACATGTTTTTTCTTATTCTTGATCTTTGGAGGAATGCACTCAGCCTTTCAAAGTAAGCATGCTGCTAGCTGTTGGTTGTTCATAGACGACCTTTGTCAGGTTTAGGAAATTCCCCTCTATTTCTAGTTGCTGATTATATTTATCACAAAGGTTTTGGATTATGACAGATGCTTATTTGGCATCTACGGAGATAGTCGTGTACTTTTATTTTTCGTTCTATTGATATGATACACTATATACTAATTGCTTTTAAGATGTTGACCCAACCTCAGATTCATGAGATGAATCCCACTTTTTCATAACATATAATCATCTTTATATATTTCTGATTTGTTTGTTTGTATTTTGTTGAGGATTTTTATATTAATATTCATAAGGGATACTGTTGTTAAATTTTCTTTTTCTTCTGTTATCTTTGAATAGTTTTGGTATCAGGGTAATATTGACTTTATAGAATGAGTTAAAAATAGCTTCTAAAGAATTGGTGTTAATTCTTAAAAATGTTTGGTAGAAATTTTTAGTAAAAACATCTGATCCTGGCTTTTTATTGTAGGGAGTTTTTATATTACTAATTTAAACCCTTTACTTTTGATGTATCCATTGAGTTTTTTGTTTCTTAATTGATCTGTTTCTGTATTTCAAGTATTTCTAAGCAATTGTCTATTTCATTTATTTATCTAATTTATTGGCATACAGCTGTTCATAGTACTCTCCAGCAATTCTTTTTGTTTTCTTTAAGGTTGTTAGTGGTGTCACTTCCTTCTATTAGTAGCTTGAGCCTTTTCTCTTTTTTTCTTGGTAAGTCCAACCCAAAATTTATAAACTGTATTGATCTTATTAAAACATTTTTGGTTTTCTTAATTTTTTCTATTTTTTCCACAGCTATATTATTTATATCCTCTTCATTCTAATTTCCTCGTACCTGTCCCCTTGTCCCCCAGGACCTTTAGGCAGAAGATTAGGTTATTAATTAAAAATATTACATAGATAATATGTATTTCATAAGCATTTACAAATATAAATTTCTCTCTAAGCACTGCTTACCTACATCTTATAAGTTTGATATGCCGTATTTTTGTTTTCATTCATCTGCAATTATTTTCTAGAAATGTTTTTTTGATTTCTTCTTGAATGCATTATCTATTTAGGACTGTGCTAATTTATACATATTCGTGAATTTCTCAAAATCCCTTATGTTGTAGAGTTGTAATTTAATCCACTTGTGTTCAGAAACCATATTTTGATAGTTATTGATTGTTCTAAGGCTTATCATATACATATAAATTAATCAGATTATACTTCAGATTTATAACTGAATTCCAGTAAGATAGAAGCATTGCATTCTTCCCCCACAATGATGGGAACATGACTCAATAAAAGGCAGAGGAACAATGGGATATTTTTTTCTTTTGCACAATTGGAAGAAAGGCAAGTGTTCCTTTGATGCTGTGTCTTCTAACACTAAGAATACTGTTAACCTAGAATGGCTGACACTGCCTAGTTCTAGGCTGACACTGCTTAATGGTGCCAGATAATGCAGATAATACAACAAAAAAGGAAGCCATATAAAGGAAGAACTCAGATTAAACACCATGGTTTAGAACATTTGAACATGCAAAATCTAAAGCCAAACCAGATCTCGTCCTGACCTGCCTTGTAGAAAGCAATTCTTCCTATTTTTGTATGCCATTTTGAGTTAATTCTGCTATAGAATCAAAACTGATGTGCTGATGTTCTTAACCTAACTAATCATCTTTTACTTGTAATATTCTAAAAAGTATATTATTTAGACTATCAAAAGTCTGTGTTTGGCCAGGTGCAGTAGCTCATACCTGTAATCCCAGCACTTTCCAAGGCCAAGAAAGGCAGATGGCTTAAGACCAGGAGTTTGAGACTAGCCTGGGCAACATGGTGGAGCACTGTCTCTTCAAAAATGTAAAAATTAGCTGGGCATGGTGGTATATTTCTCTGGTCCCAGCTACTGGGGAGGCTGAGGTGAAAGGATTGCTTGACCCCAGGAAGTAAAGGCTGCAATGAGCCATGATCACGCCGCTACACTCCACCCTGGGTGACAGAGGGAGATCCTGTCTCAAAAAACAACTACCACCAGAAAAATGTAAGTTTTTCAAACATGGAATACTAAAATGGTCTTTGCTATTACTGCCACCAAAATTCCCATTTAAATATTAATATTCTTTTTTATTTTTGTTCCACTCTAGAGGTTCAAAAAAGTAAATCAATAGAATTCCAATTTTTAAACCTTTTTTTTATTTAATTTATTTTTTTAAACAGGGTCTTGCTCTGTTCAGGCTGAATTGCACTGACGTGATCATGGCTCACTGAAGCCTCAACCTCCTGGGCTCAAGTGATCCTCGCACTTCACTCTCCTGAGTAGCTGGGACCATGGGTGTGTGCCACCACGACTAGCTAATTTTTTGTTTTTGTAGAGATGTGTCACTATGTTGCCCAAGGTAGCCTTGAACTCCTGCATTTAAGCAATCATCCTGCCTCGGCCTCCCAAAATGCTGAGATTATAGTTGTGAGCCACTGCACCAGCCAACGTTTAAACTTCTTATTCAAGATGATCATCATTTCAATCATATCTATTTGGGAATTTATTGTATCTCTCAGTTGATTTTTTACCTCTTCTGAATGAATATCTCATGAGAAGAACTTTAAACAAATGAAAGCTTATATAGTTTAAATAATTCATTTTATAATTCAATAAGATTATATTAGAAACAGAATATGTCTGATACAATTCTCCAAATTTATATTCATTTATGCCTTTGAAATTATGTATCAATATTGAATTTTTAAATTTATGTGATATATGTTAAGTATTAAATGATTTTACGTAAAATAACAAAAGGAAAATAATTTTTTATTTACAAAATAAAGGTTGCCTCCAGTCCACTAAAACTGTTCCAGCTATGTAATAAAAATAGCACCACTAACATAAGTCTACTATATTAGGTCCATTTAGGACCACTAAAATTATTCAAGCCATGTTAGAGGCAAAATAATCACAACTTTTGTGTTACTTTAGATTTTAAACAATCAGTACTTATTAGATTTTGCATAAATTTAAATGGTATTACAACAGTTATGATATAAAACACTAAAGCAGAAAAGTATCAAATTAGTGACATTTTATTTGACATTTCCCAAATATTTTGTATATTATTGGACTGTTTTGTAAATGCCTCATATGAAAAATGTTTTTAGAATAAATACCCCAAACATATATTTTCATAGATCTAGAACTAGCATCACATTTGTGCCTGGCAGGCAAACAATAAGATAAGCCATTGTTTTCTAATACATAATTCATCTTTGTAGCTCCAATTACTAAAACAATGTATATTCACTAGAAATGGGTAAAAACATCACGCAACAAAGTCGCAGTCATGGAAAGGAGGGAAAGATAAAATGAAAGTTTTTTTTTAATTTGGAAAATTTTTAAAATAATTTATATAAATGACTTTAATTTAGCATAAGTAAAGACTGAAGGCGCTAAATGATGCATATAACATGAAATATGCTTTAAGGGGAACATCCAAAAATAGAACTGTTTTCCCCTGACTCACAGTGCAGGTTTCACACTTGTTCAAGTTTTTGGGGATTTTTATTTTTGATTTCTTTATTTATTAAAGTATTTGATTAAAGTATAGCTATGCATTACAGAAAATATACTGATGCTATTTTAGAAAATATTGAGTGTAAAAATGTAAACTGTAAGTGCCTCTAATTTTAGGTAAAATGTAAGTAAAGAAGTGAGACAGGGCAGCGGAATAATTTATGTTATAAAAGCTTAAAAGTAAAGAGATCTGTAGTTTTCAACCTGAAACAAACGAAGGTGAAAAAAACATGATAGAGAAGACTTCTTGGACATCCTACAAGGAGACAAGATTTACAATGTTTTATTTGCCTCTTATTTAGGGACAGGACACTGGGTACCTTCTGTGCCTAAATTTTAGTAGAGTAAGGAAACATCCAGCTTTCCACATTGCATATAAAATTCCATATTGTAATACATGCACTCAGTAGAATGTTCTACAATCTGTAACTTTGTGGGCAGTCATTCAATGTCTATAACTGATAAGCAATGCCTTTATAAAATGTGGAAGGTATTTTGTGGGGGAAAATGAGTATCTCTTAATTTCTAATGCTTTGCTCCTTTTTTGGTTGGTTTGTCTGTTTTAATATTATCAGATTTAAATCCCAAATATCAATGAAATGAACACATTATCCAGAGACCAAATTCTGTTAGTTTTGTTTTCTTCTGTATTCATTATATACCCTGTATTGTGTATCACCATTAAAAGATGATTAGTTATGATTGTTTACCATTTTGTAACAAAAATTAAATTGCAAAATAAGAGGAAAATGTCCTAGCAAATTAAGTATTTGTGTATATCAATACATTTGGCAGAATAATACTAAAATAGCAAGATTTCGTGAAAAAATTGGAAGAAAAATGTTAGAATAGACATGTTAAATGCCTTCATTTTCATTAGTAAGCTTTGTTAACTTATATAGAAGTATTATATGCAGTGCATCCTCCGTCTTTATGCCGTAACAAATTTTATGGCATAAAGACATTTGTAGCATAATATATGATGCATGATTTCAAAGTTTTATCATACTTTCTCTTTGCAGCATATTTATTTTCTAATAACAGCATCATGCTAATTTTTACATTTTATAAATAACAAAATAGGCATTAATTGCATCAACATAGTTTCTCAATAGTGCATATCTTGTTTCTATAATAGGAATTTGTCCAAGAAACTATATTTAAATTTCATTTCAAACAATGTTCTCCTGATCCGTGAAAATTAAATATTTTGTTTTAAAAGTGAATGCTACCATGTAATTCTTAATGCAATTGTTTATACAAATTATAAACAATTTGTATTTCTAGAAAGATGTTTTTCTCTGAAAACATTAATTTACAGAAAAAAACAAATTTGTGTTTGGTTTAGATTTTTTTCTGAAATAAGTGCATTACAACAGGTACACAGTAAAATAAATTATATTGTAACTCTAACTACAGTCTGAATAAAAGTAATGGTAATTTAAGAAGAGTTAGCAAATAGTTCTACATATGTAAATATTTTGCTGTTATTTCATGGCACTTTTCAATGAAATATTGTCCTATTAGTTGGGTTATGTTGTTAATGAAATGATCCCAATCAACAAAGACTACTTTTGAGAGCATAATTTAGAATCTAGAACTGGATTACTCTGAAATATGATATTAACTAATCAATTTCAACAATCTGGTTCATTCAGATTTCTCTTTTAAGTAGTGATAACTGTGATCTCCTAAAAGGTCGCTGTGTACATTTTCTTATTTAACTCTAAAAATCACTTTTGTTAGAAAATAATAAATATTTATAAACTGCTTTTAATCTACAAAAATATTCAAGTGACATACATTTAAAGGAAGAATTAAAGAAGAGGACACCTCAGTATTAACAAATATCCTGTAACAGCTTTCACTAATTTTCCTTTCCGGATTGTTAAGAGTTATCCTAATGAAAAAAGCATTCGATAGGCAATAGGACATTTAGTTTCCAGTCTTCTTTCTAGCACTTATTACTTCTGCAAGAGTGGATAATTCAATAACGTTTTTATATATAAACTCTATTCTCAATAAGAATTAAAATATTGAGGATAAATTATTTCTACATCTAAAGTTAAATAATTTTGTTAAATAATAAATGACTTAAAAATCATGACATTTCCCTCCTTCCTACCTATAAAAGGAAATTATTATCAACTGCTTTCCTATTTAAAGCATACAGACAGTGGCTTCCTCCTGCTTACTACAGGCTAATAGATAAATTCTAACACTAACATATTTGCCAAATGATTTGATAGATAATGCAGTTAAGTCTCAAAAGGCGCCAGTGACATGAGATATATATTTTTTACTTGTTCGTCATTGTTTCCTTGTTTGTATCCAAATTAAACTCAACTTACTGGCATAAAGTCAGTGGTGTATGCTAGATACCTCCATAAACCTATTATTAAGAAGTAAAAAGGTATAGTCTGTGTGTGTGTAGATGTGTGTATATATATATATATATATATATATATATATATATATATATATACACACATCTACACACACACATGCATATGTATTTTTCTTTTGGAGATAAGCTCTCACTTTGTCACCCAGGCTGGAGTGCATTGGCATGCAGTCTTGACCTTCCTGGGCTCAAGTGATCCTCCCAAGTTTACCTATATTACAATAAAATCATCATTATAGTAACTATTTTAAAATATTTTATAATGATGAAGTATTTTCTGTACCTTTTAACTTTTGGTATTCACAATAACTCTGTAGGGAAGATTGGTGAACCAGGTATTATCTTAATAATTTTTAGGTGAGCAAACTGAAATTAAGAAAGAAGAATTTGATCAAATCACAAAGTACAGAGTAGCGCAGGCAGTAGGCAGTTGACCCGGAATTCAGACCAAGATCTTTTGTATTTAAGCAAAAAAGAAAAAAAGAAATTTCCTTAATGGTTTTCTAATATTGTGCTTATTCTCCCTTCCAATTTGAACTGAGGCCACTTTAAAACACAGATATTTCTTAGAAAGCACTAAGGACATATTTTTCCTCTGATTTCCTAAGAGACTTCTCATTTCTTTTAAATTCAAAAATCAATGCTACTGTTAGCTTTTGCTGACTTTTCTTTTAGGAAAAATATTTCCCAAATCTCCTCACTAAAATAAATATGTCATCCTCTCTAATCAGTTGTCATAACAGGTTTAGTCCATTTTAACGTTTATTTAATGTCTACTTAAAATAGACTACTTTGTGTTGATGTAGTTGCCAATATAAATCTAAATACATAAATGTATATGTACATTTATAAACATAGAATTGCAAATATGAATAAGATGTTATTCTTGTATTTGAGGAGTATATAAACTATTTAGAAAATTATTTCAAAATAATATAATTTTAGAACAAAATGCAATATTTTAATTATTATAAATAGAGACATAAATATGATGCTATTAAAGAATACAGATGTATATACCCAATTTGGAATCCACAGGAGGCTTTTTTAAGTAACAGATGTCAGGGTTTTAAAAATAAATCATATCTGAATTTTAGGAATAAAAACGAATAAGGCAGAGAAGAAAAGTGCCAGAGGGAATAATGCGAGCAAAACACAGAGGACTGCACCTCTAGTGGCTCGTAATGAGAAAGAAGATGGTCTCAAACCTGAGAAAGATAATGTGGAGTGGACCTCTGTTGTCTCAGTATTAACAGTCCCTTCTAGGAAGTAGGTAGCATTTCTGAAAATAGAGTGAAGCAATTGACTGATGGATTTAATCTTTAAACTGCTTAGGTAACCATCAATCTGTAATGAGCTTAATACTCTTAACTAGGTGCTATTTTTCATGTGTGCTACTTTGCCAGTGATAAAGGATTACGAAAAATTCTTTACCAGAGGAAAAAAAAAATTGAATGACCTTTCTTGGAAGGTGGTCCCTTGTTTGTGATCAAACTTTGACAAGAACTGGTAATTAATTCCTCTAAGAAATTAACGTTCTCATAGTGTGTTTTAAGAGTGAGAACCTCGAACATCTGAGACAGCTCTCAGTTAATTTAGAAAGTGTATTTTGCCAAGGTTGTGAACACAAACCTGTGATACAGCATCAAGAGGTCCTGAGGATGTGTGCCCAAGGTGGTCGGAGCACAGTTTGCTTTTACACATTTTAAGGAGACATGAGACATCAATCAACATATGCAAGATGAACATTGGTTCTATCTGGAAAGGCGGGACAACTCGAAACAAAGGCAGGAAGACTGGAAGCAGGGAGGGGGCTTCTGGGTCATAGGAAGATAAGAGACAAATGGTGGCTTTTGTGAGTTTCTGATTAGCCTCGCCAAAGAAGGCAATTAGATATGCATTTATCTCAGTGAGCAGAGGGGTGACTTTGAATAGAATGGGAGGCAGGTTGGCCCTAGCAGTTCTCAGGCTGAGTTTTCCCTTTAGCTTAGTGGTTTGGGGGACCCAAGATTTATTTTTATTTCACAAGAGGTTGTTAATAAGTAATATGTAGAGTGGGGTCTTTATGGTTGAATATGCTTAAAAATTATATGTTGGATAAAACAAAGTTTATTTTCTATGAAACTTTATTTGTGTTTTTAACGTACAAAGCTAATACTACATTTCCATGTTCAAAGAAAAAGATGAAATATAAATGGAATAAAGGTAGAGCTAGATTATGGTATATATCATAAGTCCCAATATTATAGCAGGTAACTGAAAAATTAATAAATTTTATGACTGTCTATTCTATAGACTCTTCAATGAAATATTAAAAGTTATATATCACTTCTCCTATATGTTGTTCAGCAACATTGGGTCTGAGATTTTCAGAATCAATTTCATGGTTGGAAAACAGAGTAATTGCCAAAGTGAGTCATTGTCCCATAAGGCAATTCATAGAAAGGCTGTTATTATAAAGGTCTACACATATGGAGGGAACAAAACTACATCGATGGAAAGGGAGAGAGAGTGTAAGTTTTTTGCTTCAAGAGGATTTACCTGAGCTCAAGGGTAATTTTGAATCTCAGGAATTGGATGAGAAAGCTCATCACTTAAAGACCACCAGGAACAAATCTTGGGTCAAACAAATTTAAATTTATTAACTTGGTGCAACAAGGAAGAACATAGAAGGAGAACTACGTAGCATGTAAGTTAAAGGGAGAGAGGCATGAGTGGTGAAGTTTGGACTTAGGTTGAAAGATTCTGGGAACAGGCTTGGGAGAGGCAAGGATCAAGTACTGCAAGTTTGCTAGTGCTGTTGTAACAAAATGCCACAGACTGGGTCGTTGAAATAAGAGATATATATTTTTCTCACAGCTCTGGAGGCTAGAAGTCCAAGATCAAGGTGTCAGTAGGTTTGGTTTCTCCTGAGGCCTCTCTCCTTTGCTTGTAGATGACCCTCTCTCTCTGCGTCCTCAAACAGTCTTTTCTTTACGTGTGCATATCTCTGTTGTCTTTTGTTATGTCATAATCTCCTCCTCTTATAAGGACATCAACTAGATGGATTAGAGCCCACCCCAATGTCTCATTTCAACTTAATTACCCTCTGTCAAAGCCTTTTGTCCAAATACAGCCTCATTCATGGGTAGTGGGGATTAGGACCTTAACATATAAATTTTGTAGGGGACACAATTCAATCCATAGCACTCACTATCAGGTTGTTTTTTGAGTGGGAAGAGGGGAAGTGGAGCTCAGCTTTGTACTAGTTGCTGTCATAAAGGAAGGGAGGCTCAGCAATAAGTGAAGTCAATAATCTTTTAAGGAAAACCAGAACACTAAAGTGCATCTGGGGGACATGAGTGCTATGACACGAGAAATCACTCAATAGAAGGTAGACACTTATAAAAGCATTCTACAGCTGTGGCAACCTGGGAGAAAAGTGTGTATTTGTTAGCTTTGGAGTTAGTCATATCTGTTATTATCACAATGATCACAGTCTGATGAAGGGCAGGTGGTAAAAACATTCTGAGTTTACTCTAAAGCGATACCCTGGTATGGCACCCCCTTTTGGAGGATGACTGTATGGCTGCTAATAGATAAATGGCCATTAATGTGCCATTATCTATGGAAACCTCCTAAAAGTCTCCATAACTATGCTTAAGGCAGAGAAATTAGAGTTATAAGACATATCTTCAAAGAGATTTCAAATGAACTAAATTGACCTGGTAATAATTTTAAAACGTCGTTATCAAAATGCAATGTTCTGTTGACCCTTCTCATCATCTTCATGCAGACCTTAACTTTCATTTGATTCAAAAGATTTTTAAATTTTAATGTGGTTTTACTTACAACTTGAGTTTCGCTAAGCAATGAATTTCAATAACATAAAGTAGCTTGTATTTCATGTTGTAAATCAAGAAAAAAACCTTAATAGTTTTAAGTAGGAGAATGCTATGATTAGATTTTTAAGGTCCCATTAATGGTACCCATGTCAGAACATATTTATATCCCTTTGAAATGGGTTTAAATGTGTACTAAATAAGTACATAATAAGATAATATGAATAAACCACATAATATTTATAAAAAGTATATCATTGTAATGAAGTAAATTAACATATTTGTATGTAGGTAATACATGGAACAATATAAATCTAATAAGACACCATTGCAACTGACTATATCAAGAATCAAAACATAAGTAAAACCATTTTTGAACTGTTTCATGACCTTTTGTTTTTGAATACACAATCAAACCTAGTTTAAATGTAACATCTGAATAAGCCACTTAATAAATATTTAAGTCTAATCAGTAGTCCTCTAACTACATGTACTTTTGACAAAGTCTTTAACATATTTTGAATAGCAAGGAGCATTTGCTTAGAACATTACCATTGGTCAGGATGAATGGTCACTACATAAATACAGATATTATTTAATAAATTAGTCATAAAAGTCACACTTCATTTTATCTAAAACTTGTTCTGACTTTATACTAGATTATAAAAATGTGGTTAACTGGTTTCTTTTCAATTCTTATAACCAGATATTAAGATAGTTCTGTTTCTTTTTAGGGAAAAACAGCCTCCTTAGTTTTACTTGTGAAAGTTACTTTGGGAAGATGTTTTAACCTATATCTACTATTTTTTCTAAGTGAGAATAACATTTTAGAGAATGCAAAATAATAATTTCAGTGAGTATCAAGTATCTTTGTCACCCACATGAATGAAAGTGAAGCCATTGAGAACAAATATTATCTCTTAAAGTACATATTATTATTTTTTCTTTCTTGATACTTGAATGCGTCAAAACGCATCAAATTATGCATAGGCATAGGATGAAATACTATTAAATGTGAAACATAGGCTGTAGACTGAAGGATGTTTTGTGTGGGTTTAAATGCTGATTGCTTTAAAATTATATTCCAAAGGGACAAAAAGAATAAAAGCTTAATTCAGTTTTAATTTCTATTCTAAAGAGACAAAAAGAATAAAAGCTTAATTCAGTTTTAATTTCAGATATAAAGAATATGCCTCCATAGTTATTATTAGTTTAGACTCATTAGTTTAGAATTTTAGCATCATTTTTTGGAAAACCGTGAGGCAGAATTTGAAGAAAAATGAGAAGCTCCAAACTACATTATTGTTATGCAAATATGTAATTGAAACATATTTTGAGTAAAAATCTTTCTGTCTTAATGATTTTGTAATTTGTAAATGCCATATGCATTATAAAAATACAGACATATAAATGTACCAATTAAAATAAATGTATATTATTTTTCTCTACAGAAATTCAGTATAATTTTTTGAGTTAATCATTCCAAATTCTTAGCAGATTGTCAGTTTCTGCAGCAGATAAGAAAATTTTACTCTTGGCCAGGCACAGTGGCTCATGCCTGTAATCCCAGCACTTTGGGAGGCCCAGGCGGGTGGATTGCTTGAACCTAGGAATTCGAGACCACCCTGGGCAAACATAGCAAAACCTCATCTCTACCAAATATACAAAAATTAGCCAGTTTCATAACCCTGTCTCAAAATAAATAAATCGATAACAATTTTTTAAAAAATTAAAAAAAGAAAAAAGAAAAAAATATACTCTCATTCTCCCCCTAGAAAAACGAAGATATTTGACAAGTAGGCATATAATTCTTTTTTAACACTTCATTTTATATTATTATTTTCATTTATGGGAAGAGAGGAATTATAGCATAGTGATGATGAGCACAAACTCAGGAATTGGACTACCTGGAATTGAATTATGGCTTCAGCATATATTAGATGTGTGTGACTCTGGGCAAGATACTTTACCTCTCTGTGCCATAGTTTCTTTATGGTAGAATGAGCATAAGTATAGACCACCTTGTCAGCATAATTTTAAGCATTAGATATATTGATTTTTATACATATTAAAATAGTTACAAGCATATGGTAAGCAATATGTACTCATGTGCTATTACATTAATACTTTTTGCTCCATGCAACAAGAACTATGTTGTCAATGTTTATGAAAAATTCCATAAAGTGCCATAAAGATAATGACTCTGCTGTTAGAGACTAGAAAAATAATTTAAGAACTGGAACACTTAAACAGATAACAGAAATCCAGCGGTAATGATTCTACTAAACATTTTGAATGTTGGTAGATTTTGACATTTTAAAAACAACATGGAACATAAAAAAGAGTAATAGAGGATCTTGGTTGCTGTTTCATTTCCTGTTCTAGGTTCTAAATCATTCTTTGCCCCCATCAACTCTGGCATCAGATACAGACCCCAAGTCCCACAAAAAAAATACGTGGTAACACCATGGGAATGCTCTCAGGATACGTAGTCTGGGGTGAATAATGCAAAACTAATTTTGTCCTAACATTTAAAAATTTGTATTTTATGCCCAATTAGAAAATGGCAAAAGTTACATTCTCATTGTAATTCTTAAATGAAAGTTAATTAATGTGTGTCTTATAGTTTAATTTTCTATGAAATAATGAAAAGCTATACCTGAAAACAGCCTGCAATTCATACAGTTTCCAAGGTATCACAACACAAGCTGCTACTTCTTAAACACAGTGGTCTCTAGAAAATACAAGGAATGGAAGTCGCTGGAATCTGAACACTGGCTGATTTTGCCTTGTCTTTGGGCTGAAAAGACTATGAACCCATGTGACTAGTGAAAGATAACACATGTTCAATGTTCAGCAAATGTTGAATATTATATAATTGATAGTGAAAATATTTCTATAGCCATTTGCATGAAATCTTTTTATGTATACATCATAGGTTCACAAAAAGGCACGATTTAATATGAAAAGTTTTAAAAAATAACACTTTTGGTTTTTATGACCGTAAATTTCAAAATTTTAGAGGCAAAAAGAATCACAGAAATCATAATTCCCTTATTCTAAAAATAAGGAAACAAAGTTTTCAAATATTAAATGATAAGTCAAAGTCACCCAGCTAGCTAATTGCAGGCCCAGGAATTGAAATTATGTTTCCCTTTCATTTTTCTATGCCTCATGCTTTTCACATTTTTATTGCTGGTAATTAATTAAATTATTCATCAAATTATTTCTCCTATTTTGTTTTGTTTTGTTTTGTTTTGAGACAGAGTCTTTCTTACTCTGTCACCCAGGCTGGAGTGCAGTGGCATGATCTCGGCTCACTGCAACCTCCGCCTCCCGGGTTCAAGCAATTCTCCTGCCTCAGCCTCCTGAGTAGCTGGAATTACAGGCACATACCACCAGGCCCTGCTAAGTTTTATTTGTTTGTTTGTTTGTTTTTGTATGTTTAGTAGAGACAGGGTTTCACCACGTTGGCCACGCTGGTCTTGAATTCCTGACATTAGGTGATCACCCGCCTCGGCTTCCCAAAGTGCTGGGATTACAGGCGTGAGCCACTGCGCCTGGCCTTCTCCTCTTCTTTAGATTCACTCTCTCTTACCCTTCACCTTCTCCAAAACTTTCATTAATGCTGTGAATTTCAATTTTTAGGTTTAGCTATCAGCTGTTGTTTCTCCACACTAATTTCAAAACAGCCCCGTCACATCAACTCACTCAGCATTTTTCAAGAATACAATACCTCATCATTGACTATAGTCACAAGTCTATGTAGTAGCTCTCTTGAACTTATTCCTCCTATCTAACTGTAATTTTGCATCATTTAATTAACATCTCCCCAACCCACCTGCCAGCCACTTCAGTCTCTAATAATCACCATTCTGCTCTGAATTTCTGTGAGATCAACTTTTTGTTTGTTTGTTTGTTTTAGGCCTAAACAACAAACATTTATTTCTCACATTTCTGGAGGATAGAAGTCCTAGATCGAGGTGCCAGCAGATTCAGTGTCTGGTGAGGGCCCACTTGTTTCACAAATGGCCATCTTCTTGCTGTGTCCTCACATGGCAGAAGGCAGAAGGGGTGAGGGAGCTCTCCAGGGTGTCTTTTATAAGGGCACTAATCTCATTCATGAGGGCTCTGTCCTTATGACCTAATCACTTACCAAAGGCCTCATCTCCTAATGCCATCACATTGGGGGTTAGGATTTCAACCTATGAATTTTGGGAGAACACAGTGACTCCATAACACACACACACACATACACACACACACACACACACCTTCCCATATTTTGTAACTGAATGGACAGTGTCCTCATTCTTGATAAATTATGGCAGCAGGCGTTGGGGGGCAATAATAAACTTCAAACCAAGGAAACTCCAAATAGGCTCTAGAGATTTGTTTCATCAGAAGAGATCAACTTTTTTGACTTCCACATATGAGTGAGAACATGTGGTATTTGTCTTTCTGAGTCTGGCTTATTTTACTTAACACAATGCCCTCTAAGTTCATATACATTACAGCGAATGACAGGATTTCATTCTTTTTATGGATGAATAGTATTCCATTGTATTGATACCACAATTTCTTTATTAATTCGTCCATTGGCCGGCACTTACGTGGATTCTATAACTTACCTATTGTGATTAGTGCTACAATAAACATGGGAATGCAGACATCTCTTTGATATGTTATTCCATAATGCATATATACTTCAAAACTTTATGTTGCACACAATAATATATACAATTGTGTTTGTCAATTTAAAAATAAATAAATAAGCTTGGAAAAATAAATGCCCACTAAAATGTCACAGAAGATGGTGAAGTACAAATCTCCAGGAAATATTTTTTCCCCTGAAACAGATATTGAGCTGACAAGAATTGTCAGAATCATCTATCTCACAGCTCCAGAGTCTAGTTAAACAATTGTAGTGATCAGGACAGGGCTTGACAAAAAAAGTCTGGTAAATTTTGAGGAATTTTGGTATTTCCTATAGCACTTCCCGTCCCCATTCCTCAGTCCCATGGCAGGCAACCTTGAGGATGGCATTGCATATTCCTGGTGTGACTCACAGATGCCTAGGTGGGCAACAGCACTTTGTGCTATGGAGATCTGAGTTGTGTGTTGACAGGGCTGTTTGTTTGCTCTTGCAGAGGCTGACTTAATGGCTTCCTAGGCAGCATTTGTAAGAAAGAATTTAGGATATCCACTCCCACCACTCCTCTTCAACATAGTACTAGAAGTCCTAGCCAGAAAAATCAGACAAGAGAAAGAAACAAAGGGCATCCTAATCGGTAAAGAAAAAGTCAAACAGTTGTTGTTTGCTGATGAGAGGATAGTTTACCTAAAAACCCTAAAGACTCCTCCTTAAAGCTCCTACAATTAATAAAAGAATTCAGCAATGTTTCAAGATACAAAATTAATGTACACAAATCAGTAGTGCTTCTATACACCAACAGCAACCAAGCTGAGAATCAAATCAAGAGCTCAACCCCCTTTTACAATAGCTGCAAAAAATATAAAGTATTTAGGAATATACCTAACCAAGGAGGAGAAAGACCTCTACAAGGGAAACTATAAAACACTGCTGAGAGAAATCATAGATGACACAAACAAATGGAATCACATTCCATGCACATGGATAGGTAGAATCAATATTGTGAAAATGACCATACTGCCAATAGCAATCTACAAATTAATGCAATTCCCATCAAAATACCCCATTATTCTTCACAGAAAAACAATCCTAAAATTCATATGGAACCAAAAAGCACCTGCATAAACAAAGCAAGACTAAACAAAAAGAACAAATATGGAGACACCACATTACCTGATTTCAAACTATACTATAAGGCCATAGTCACCAAAACAACAGGTTACTGCTATAAAAATAGTCATAAAGGCCAATGGAACAGAATAGAGAACCCAGTAATAAACCCAAATACTTACAGCCAATTGATCTTCAATAAAGCAAACAAAAATATAAAGTCTGGAAAGGACACCCTATTCAACAAATGGTGTTGAGTTAATTGGCAGGCCACAAGTAGGAGAATGAAACTGGATCCTCATCATTCACCTTATACAAAAATCAACTCAAGATGAATTAATGACTTAAACCTAAGACCTGAAACTATAAAAATTCTACAAGATAACATTGGAAAAACCCTTCTAGACATTGGCTCAGGCAAATATTTCATGACGAAGAACCCAAAAGCAAATGCAATAAAACAAAGATAAATTGCTGGGACTTAATTAAACCAAAGAGTTTTTGCATGGCAAAAGGAACAGTCAGCAGAGTAAACAGACAACCCACAGGATGGGAAAAAATCTTCTCAATATATACATCCAACAAAGGACTAATATTCAGAATCTATAAGGAACTCAAACAAATCGACAAGAAAAAAAATCCCATCGAAAAGTGGGCTAAGAACGTGAAGAGACAGTTCTCAAAAGAAGACCTGCAAATGGCCAACAAACATATGAAAAAATGCTCAACATCACTAATGATCAGGGAAATGAAAATAAATCAAAACTACCATGCAATACCACCTAACTCCTGCAAGAATGGCCATAATAAAAAATCAAAAAACAAAGGATGTTGGCAGTCATTACACGAAAATGATACTTGCACATGCATGTTTATAGCAGCACAATTTGCAATTGCAAAAACATGGAACCAACCCAAGTGCCCATCAATCGACAAGTGGATAAAGAAACTGTGATATATATATATATGATATATGTCTATATGTGATATATATACACACACACACACACACACACACACACACGTACACCATGGAATACTACTCAGCCATTAAAAGGAATGAATAATGGCATTCACAGCGACCTGGATGAGATTGGAGACTATTATTCTAAGTGAAGTAACTCAGGAATAGAAAACCAAACATCGTATGTTCTTACTCATAAGTGGGAGCTAAGCTATGAGGATGCAAAGGCATAAGAATGACACAATGGACTTTGGGGACTCGGGGGAAAGGCTGGGAAGGGAGTGTGGGATGAAAGACAACAAATACGGTGTAGTGTATGCTGCTTGGGTGATGGCTGCACCAAAATCTCACAGATTACCACTAAAGAACTTACTCATGTAACCAAACACCATCTATTCCCCGATAGCCTATGGAAATACAGAAAAAGAAAAATAAAATAAAAATAAAAACAGATGATTAAATTTAAAAAAAGAATTTAAAGGGAGAAAACACATTTTTTTTCTATTTTTTAATAGGAGCCATGCATTTAAGAAAATCTCTGTCAGGTTCACCCGTTGACTGGAGTGATAATTGAATAAAGACTTCAGTGATTACATGTGACAGGGAATACTACATCTTTTTGCAAAAAAAAAAAAAAAAAAAGGCATTTAGAAAACAAACACTAAGCAAATGAACAACTGCACCCATTAACAATAACACCAGCAATCCCTGGGAATAGAGAAAAATCTGATTTCCAGAGATAGCACATTGCAAAATTAAAGATGTTCTGTTGTTTAAAAAATTGTAAAACATAAAAGAAACATAAAATTAATGCCCATTCATGGGGAAAAAAATAACAAAAATCATTTTTGAGAAAGCCTAGGTGTTGAATTTATTAGATGAAGACTTTAACATTCTTAACTATTTTAAAGGTAACCATGAATAAATATTTTCAAAGAGCTTAAGAAAACTATGGATATATAAATAATGAAAAGCAGGGTATGATGTAAGAATAAGTAGAGAATATCAATAACAAACAGAAATTATAAAAAAAACAGAAATTCTGTAGTTCAAAATACAGTGCCTGAAAAGAAAAATTTACAAGTGCTTTTAATAGCAGATTTGAGCAGACAGAAGAAAAATACAACATTCACTGGGAAACAGAAAATAACAAAGCCTAAGGTACCTACCATCAGATATATTAAAGTAAGATTTATAGGAATTGCAGAAAGAGAAGAAAAGATAAAGGGGCAGAAAACATTATTTCTTTCTCTATATAGTTCTAAATATCTACATTTAAAAAGAAAATTCTCAATTACTTAACTTTACACCTTAAGCAAGTAGAAAAGCAAGGGAATAGTTAAGATTAGACAACAGATAAATGAAATAGAGAACAGCAAAGCAATAGAGAGAACAGATAAACCTAAAAGTTGGTTCTTTGTAAAGATTAATAAATTTGATAAACTTTTATCTAGATTAAGAAGAAAAGAAAGAAGCAAATAACTAAAATAAATAAAAATGGAGATATTACCACCAAACCTTTACACAGATTAAAAGAATTACAAGAAGGCTGGGCACAGTGGCTCACGCCTGTAATCCTAGCACTTTGGGAGGCTGAGGTGGGCAGATCAAGAGGTCAGGAGATCGAGACCATCCTGGCTAGCATGGCGAAAACCCGTCTCTACTAAAAATACAAAAAAGTAGCCGGGCGTGGTGGCTGGCACCTGTAGTCCCAGCTACTCGGGAGGCTGAGGCAGGAGAATGGCGTGAACCCGGGATGCAGAGCTTGCAGTGAGCTGAGATCGCGCCACTGCACTCCGGCCTGGGCGAAAGAGTGAGACTCTGTCTCAAAAAAAAAAAAAAAAAAAAGATTTACAAGAAAATACTATCAACATTTGTTTATCAACAAAATAGACAATCTAGATGAAATGGACAAATTTCTAGAAACACACAAATTACTAAAACTGACTCAAGAGGAAACAAAATTCTAATAGATCTGTTACAAGAAAATATATTGAGTCAGTTATCATAAATCTACCAACAAAGAAATGCCAACACCAGATGCTTTCATTGTTGGATTCTCCCAAACTTTAAAAGAAAAATTCTCCCCAGTCTTAAAAGAAATATTATCACCAAAACTACTCAAAATCTTACAAAAATATAAGAGGAAACACATCATAATATTTTCTGTAAGACTAGAATTATTCTGATAAAAAAGCCAGATAAAGATATCAAAAGAACAGACAACTACAATTTAATATTCCTTATGAATGTACGCACGGAAATCTTTAAGAAAATGGTAGCTAACCAAATTCAACAGCATGTTTGTACACCACGAACAAGTGGGATTTATTCCAGGAATCCAGAGGTGGTTAAGGTTTGTTAGAGCTGCCATGACTAAATACCATACACTGGATGATAAACAAATAAACAAAAATTGTGTCACAATTCTGGAGGCCAGATGTCTAATATTAAGATACAAGTGGCTGGGCGTAGTGGCTCACACCCGTAATCCCAGCACTTTGGGAGGACAAGGCAGGCAGATCATGAGGTCAGGAGATTGAGACCTTCCTGGCCAGCATGGTGAAACTCCTTCTCTACTAAAAATACAAAAATTAGCCAGGTGTGGTGGCGTGTGCCTGTAATCCTAGCTACTTGTAAGGCTGAGGCAGGAGAATCACTTGAACTAGGGAGTTGGAGGTTGCAGTGAGCCGAGATAGCGCCACTGCACTCCACCCTGGAGACAGAGCAAGACTCTGTCACAAAAATAAACAAATAAATAAATAATAAAAAGAAACAAGCAGTGTTGATTTTCCCTGAGGTCCCTCTACTTCACGTACAGGTGACTGCCCTCTTGATACCTCCTCATAGGGTTGTCCCCCTGGACACATTCACCCAGGGGATTTTTCTGTGTGTCTTAATATCCTCTTTTTATAAGTACACCAATCAGATTAGATTAGGGCACATTCTAATAACTTCATTTTAACTTACTTTTGTAAAAGCACCTTTTGTAAAAGCACTAAGGGTTAGGGTCCAAACCTGTGCATTTTGAGGGGAGATAATTTAACCCATAAAAGGCGATACAAGTAAAAGAATAAATCAATGTCATACATTACACTAGTAGAATTAAGGGAGAATACACACACACACACACACACACACACGATCTCCATATCTCAGTAGACGTGGAAAAAGCATTTGATAAAATTCAACACACTTTTATGATAAAAATACCCAGCAAAATAAAAATGAATGATAGCTTCCTTAATGTGATAAAGAATATTTATGAAAATCCCACAGTTAACATCATACTCAATGGTAAAAGATTGAAAGCTTTTCTCCTAATGTCAGAAAAGAGACAATTTTGCCCACTTTCACCACTGCTAGTCAACATTATACTGCAAGTCATACATGAAAACAGTTAGTCAAGAAAAAAAAACGTACAAAAGGAAATAACTATTTCTCTAATTTTTAGTGATTTGATTATATATATGTATTTTTGTAGGTACATGTATATATTTATTTTGAATATACATATTGTGTATATACATATATGTGTACATATATATAGTCCAAAGAATGCACACTCACACACACCACTGCTAGAGATAATAAAAAAAATCAGCATAGATGCAGGATAAAAGATCAACACACAAAAATTAGTGGTGCTTCTATACACCACCAATGAGCAGTCCTCAAAGGAAATAAGAGAATTCCATTCATGATAGTATCTAAAAGAATAAAATATCTAGGAAATAATTTTATACAAGGAGCTAAAAGACTTGTATGCTTAGAACTACAAAACACTGCCAAAAGAAATTAAAGATGTAAGTAAATGGAAACGACATCCACTGTTTATAAATTGGAAGACTTCAATATTGTTAAGATGGCAATAGTGCCCAAACTAATCTGCAGATTAAGTGGAATTCCTATCAAAATCTCAATGTCCTTTTTTCTAGAAAATTATTCAAATTCATATGGAATGTCAACATGCCACCAATAACCAAAATAATGTTGAAAAGAAAAACAAATTGGGAAGATTCACATGCCTCAATTTCAAAACTGCAAAAATATAACAATCAAGTGTGGCACGGGTAGAAAGATAGGCATGTAGAACAATGCAATATAATTAAAAGTCTAGAATGAACTGAAATATCTATGGCCAATTGATTTTGAACATGTGAGTCAAGAGTATTCAATAAGAGAAATAATGGTCTCAATAAATATTTCTGGGACAACTGGATAGGCACATGTGGAAGAATGAAGTTGAATACCCTACCTATTCAAAATTTGACTCAAAATGAGTGAATGAACTGAATAATAAAGTTAAATCTATAGAATTTTTAGAAAAAAAAACAGGGGCAAATATTCCTGACCTTAAATTTCACAATGTATTATTTGATTTTACATAAAAAGCATGAGCGATAAAAGAAAAAAATAGATAAATTGGAATTTGATAGACTGGGTAAAGAAAATGTGGTACATAAACACCACGGAATACTATGCAGCCATATAAAAGAATGAAATCATGTGCTTTGCAGGGACATGAATGTAGCTAGAGGCCACTATTCTTAGCAAACTGATGCAGGAACAGAAAACCAAATACTGCATGTTCTCATTTATCAGTGGGAGATAATAATTAGAACACATGGAAACATAGAAGGAATAACACACACTGGGGCTTTTCATAGGGTGGAGGGTGAGAGGAGGGAGATGGTCGGAAAAATGACTAATGGGTACTAGGTTAAACATGAGAGCAATGAAATAATCTGTACAACAAACCCCCATGACACAACTTTACTTATGTAACAAACCTGCACTTGTACCCCTGAACTTAAAATAAAAGTTATAAAAACCTAAAAATCCTTTAATGATCCAATGTTATTAAGACAACCTGCAGAAAGGGAAAAAATATTTACAAATCATATGTCTGATAAGAGTTTTGTGTCTAGAATACACAAAGAATTCTTGCAGCTCAACAACAGAAAGACAACCAATTCAATGAAAACATGGGCAAGTGACTTGAATAGTTAAATAGAAATTTACCCAAAGAAGACATGCAAATAGTCAACAAGCATATAAAAATATGCTGAGCATTATTTGCTATTAAAGTTCAATTCAAAACCAAAATAATGCACAACTTCACAAGATGGTCAATTTTATATGTATATTTTACCTCAATAAAAATAAAATAAAATATTATCTAACAACATGTTAAATACAAGATGAAAACATAACAGGTATAGACAAGGAGGTAGAAAATTGGAACCCTACTGCTATTGGTAGAGTAAAATGTTGCAGCCACTGTAGAAAGAAGTTTGGTAGCTTGTTAAACATAGATTCACCATATGCCCCAGCATTCGGCTTCTACTCCA
The DNA here is from genome assembly GCF_000001405.40 of Homo sapiens. Classification (NCBI taxonomy): domain Eukaryota; kingdom Metazoa; phylum Chordata; class Mammalia; order Primates; family Hominidae; genus Homo; species Homo sapiens. The sequence continues at coordinate 161,690,130 of NC_000004.12, read as the reverse complement.
CAGAATTAAAAACAGGAACTCAAGTAAATACTTGTTTATGTATGTTCCAGCCAAAATCTGGATATAACCCAAATTTCCACCCATCAATAAATGGAAAAAGGAATTGTGGTATATACGCAGAGTGGAACATTATCCAGCCATGAAAACAAATGAAATACTAATACATATTACAACTTGGATGAATCTCGAAAGTATGATAAGTGAAACAACAAAGACGAAAAGGTCATATATTGGATGATTTCTTTTATATGGAATATCCATAGTAGGTAAATCGATAGTGACATAAAGCTGATTAGTAGTTGTCAGTTGATGAGGGAATTGGAAAATACTAAGTAGTTGCTTAATGGATACAAAGTCTTCTTCTAAAGTTATACAGAATTTTTGAAACCAGAGTAAGGTGGTGGTTTCACAGCATTGTGAATATACTGAATGCACTAAGTTGTATACGTTAAGGTCATAAATTGTATGTTATATGGATTTAATCTCAGTAAAAAAATGTCCTCTAAAATAGTGCTGTAAAATAAAACTATACTGCAAGCCGCAAGTGTAATTTTTGATTTTCTAATAGCCATATTAAAAAGGCAAAACAGAATGTATGAGATTAAATTTAAAATGCATTTTAATGAATCCCACATATCAAAAATTACTTAGTATATGATTAGTATAATAATTTAAATAAGATTTTTATATTGTCTATAAAGTTAAGTATTTATTATATGCTCACAGCACATCACAATTCAAACCAACCACATTTCAAGTGCTCAATGATCACATGTGACTATTGCCTACTGTCCTGGATTATGCAGCAATAGAAACTAAAAGCCCTTTCTATAGAACTGAGCTAAAGTCATCTCCTTATAAAGAAAAAAATGCTTTCTCTTATAGAGTTTGTTCTATATAGAGTTTATTAAACATGGAAAAAGAATAATCTGTCCTTCTATCCCAGGAAAGTGAAGAGGGCTTTCTTAAGCAAACGTTTCTTTTTCCTTCTCAAAATAGTACCTCCCTCTTTCCATAGTCTTCACTTACAAAATACCAAAAAGGATGTTGTATGAGCAGAATATATACAGCTGTGTATAGCGACATAAATGCTTCCCAACAAAACTTAGTGCTGCATGAAATGAAGTAATTCATGACTTCAAGTAATTTGTTTATTTTGAAATTAACTAACCATAATAGGGCTAATAAAATCAGTAAGAAACAAGGGCAGAAAAAGTCAATTATTATTTGCAAATGATGTAATTGCATATTTAGAAAACCTAAAATTCCAATTAAAAAGGATTATAATTGAGAAGGCTGTTGGTTTCAAGGGGAATAAACAAGCAGTAGTAGTCTTGATTCTGGCAATAAACATTAGAAAACATAATGAAAGATGCCATTCATTATATAAAGAATATAATTAAATATTTTCCATTAACTTATCCATAAAAACATATTAACTATAATAGGAAATGTAAAATTCTGTGGAATTGTAAGCATATAGTAATATTTCTATAAATGAGAAACCATAACACACTTTTTAAAGATATGGTGAAATATAAATGGCCCTAATCTCTTTGCCAACCTTCCATTCCAGAGGTGTGGTATATTTCTTTTTCCATTGAATAAGGACTGGCTCTGTGACTGGCTCTGACCCACAAAATGTGGTAGAAATGATTCTGTATAGCTACTAATGCCAAGCCTTTAGAGAACTGCAGTTTTGTTTTCATCTATTTTGTGCTGTTATAACAGAGTATGACAGACTGGGCCAGGAGGCAAGGTGGCTCATGCCTGTAATACCAGCACTTTGAAAGGCCAAGGCAGGAGGATCACTTGAAGACAGGAGCCTGAGACCAGCCTGGGCAACAAGGCAAGATTCCATCTCTATAAAAATTAAATATATTAGCTGGGTGTGGAGGCGCTCACCTGTAGTCCCAGCTACCGCAGAGGCTGAGGTGGCAGGATCACTTGAGCACAGGAGCTATAGGTTGCAGAGAGCAGTGATCACTCCTCTGCATTCCAGCCTGAGTGACAGAGGGAGACTCTGTCTCTTAAAACAAAACAAAACAGAAACAAAAATCACAGATTGGGTGATTTATAAAGAACAGAAATTTATTTCTCACAGTTTAGGACGCTGCAAAAGATCAAGGTGCCAGCCTCTCCTTATGGCCTTCTTACTGTGTCTACACATGGCAGAGGAGCAGAAAAGAAGGAACTCACTTCCGTAAGCCTTTTTATAGAAGCATTAATTCATTCATGAGGGCTGAGCCACCTCCCATTAGACCCCACCTTCCAGCACTGTTGCATTGTGAAATAGGTTTCCAACTTGTGAGTTTTGGGGAACACATTCTAACCATAACATTTTCCCTCTGTTGATATTCTCCTTGCACATAAGCAAGGTGTAAGAAGTCCAAATACTGAGAGATCACTCTGTTGTGAGGAAGCCCAAGGTAGAGAGAGAATGGCTTAGTGGAAGAGCACTGAGGTGACACATATGCCCCCATTAAGATGTGAGTGAGGCTTTCCTAGACCTTCCAGCTTAGTGCATTTACCAGCAAAATGCTACAAAATGAAAAATTTAAAGTGAAATAATTGCCTAGTTGAATTGAGGCTGAAATACTGACCTAGACATTCATGAGTGGATATGTTTGTCTCCATAAGTCACAAGTTTTAAGGTAGTTATGCAAAAAACATAATAAATTTAAAAAGATACATTTTTTGTCAATTAAAAAATAAATGTATGAAAATATATGCATAAGGGTAATAAAAATATTGAACAGGAGAATAAAGTAATTAAAGAAATAGTATAAAGATGGGTCTTATATGAGAAGAGCACCAATGGACTGTATCCTGAAGCACATATGTTAAGTGAATTGCATTTTATTAAATATGACTGTATAGTATAAATGAATGACAAAATTATTTGTGACATTTAGGGCACATAAATAAATGTCACTAGCCATTGTTCTTAAATCATCATGAATGTAATATTTAACCATTTAACCGTTGTTACATCATTGTATATTTAGTTTGTTTTAAATCTTGTATTTTAAATAATAATGAAAATGCAATTTAAAGCAATGAGGCCCAATTTTTCACTTATTTAATTTTCAAAATGTGTATGTGTGTTTGTGTGTGGGGTGTGTTTTTTGTTTCATGATAATACGCAATGTCGGCAGGAGCCAGAGAAACATAGGATCATTGTCCAGTTTGTTAAATTAAAAATTTAAATTCATTTTAACAGGTCACATTTCAAATATAAATTAAATTATTAAATTTGGCACAAAATTTGTTTCACATATTCTACTTTTAGGAATTTAATCTATAAAATAATTTTATTTAAAAGTGTGCCTATTGCACACAAGTTACAATTTAGAACAAAATCTGATAGAGATGGAAATGAGAAAAACACCAAAAATATGATATTGACTAAATAAATTATAAGTATTTTGCATCTACAGAAGGTAATACAATGCAGTTATCAAAAAAGGACAAAGAACTATTGACAATGATACAAATATATGTCCACTTTGGGAGGCCAAGGTGGGCAGATCACGAGGTCAGGAGATCGAGACCGTCCTGGATAACACGGTGAAACCCTGTCTCTACGAAAAATACCAAAAAAATTAGCTGGGCATGGTGGCGGGTGCCTGTGGTCCCAGCTACTCAGGAGGCTGAGGCAGGAGAATGGCATGAACCTGGGAGGCGGAGCTTGCAGTGAGCTGAGATTGCGCCACTGCACTCCAGCCTGGGCGACAGAGAGATACTCCATCTCAAAAAAAAAAAAAAAAAAAAAAAAAAAAAATATATATATATATATATATATATATATATATATATATATATGGCAAAGGAGAAAGAGGGAACCCCTCCTAAATCATTCTGTGAAGCCAGTATCACCCTAATACCAAAACCAGGAGAAGACATAACCAAAAAAGAAAACTACAGACCAATATCCCTGATGAACATAGATGCTAAAATTTTTAACAAAATCTAGCTAACCAAATCCAAAAACATATCAAAAAATTAATCCATCATGATCAAGTGGGTTTCATACAAGGGATACAGGGATGGTTTCACATACGCAAGTCAATAAATGTGATAAAACACATAAACAGACTAAAAAAAAAATTACATGACCATCTCAATAGCTGCAGAAAAAGCATTTGACAAAATCCAGCGTTTCTTTATGATTAAAACTCTCAGCAAAATTGGCCTACAAGGGACACACCTCAATGTAATAAAAGCCAACTATGACAAACTCACAGCCAACATAATACTGAATGGGGAAAAGTTGAAAGCATTCCAAAAACTGGAACAACATAAGGATGCCCACTCTCACCACTCCTCTTCAATATAGTACTGGAATTCCAAGCCATGGTAATCAGATAAGAGAAAGAAATAAAGGGGATCCAAATTGGGAAAGAAGAAGTCAAACGGTCTTTGTTTGCTAATGATATGATTGTTTACCAAGAAAACTAAAGGCTCTTCCAAAAAGCTTCTAGAACTGACAAAAGAATTCAGCCAAGTTTCCAGATACAAAATTAATGTAAGCTAATCAGTATCTCTTCTATATACCAATAGCGACCAAGCTGAGAATCAAAACAAGAACTCAACACCTTTTACAATAGCTGCAAAAAGTAAAAAATAAAATAAATAAAACACTTAGGAATATACCTAACAGAGAAAGTGAAAGACATCTACAAGGAAAACTACAAAACACCACTGAAAGAAATCATGGATGACACAAACAAATGGAAACACATCCCATGCTCATGGATGGGTAGAATCAATACTGTGAAAACGACCATACTGCCAAAAGCAATCTACAAATTCAATGCAATTCACATCAAAATACCACCATCATTCTTCAAAGAATTGGAAAACACAATCCTAAAATTCATATGGACCAAAAAAGTGCCGGCATAAACAAAGCAAGACTAAACAAAAAGAACATATCTGGAGACACCACATTACCTGATTTCAAACTATACTCTTAGGCCATAGTCACCAAAGCAGCATGTTACTGGTATAAAAATAGGCATAAAGACCAATGGAACAGAATAAAGAACCCAGTAATAAACCCAAATACTTACAGCCAACTGATCTTCGACAAAGCAAACAAAAAAATAAAAAGGGGAAAGGACCTATTCAACAAATGATGCTGGAGTAATTGTCAAGCCATATGTAGGAGAATGAAACTGGATCTTCGTCTCTCACCTTATACAAAAACTCAAGATGGATCAAGGACTTAAATCTAAGACCTGAAACTATAAAAATTCTACAAGATAACATTGGAAAAACCCTTCTAGACATTGGCTTAGGCAAGGATTTCATGACCAAGCAAATGCAATAAAAACAAATATAATTGCTGGGACCTAATTATACTAAAGAGCTTTTGCACGGCAAAAGGAACAGTCAACAGAGTGAACAGACAACCCAGAGAGTAGGAGAAAATCTTTGCAAACTGTGCATCCTACAAAGGACTAATATCCAGAATCTACAAGGAACTCAAACAAATCAACAAGAAAAAAACAATCACATCAAAAAGTGGGCTAAGGACATGAATAGGGTATTCTCAAAAGAAGATATGCAAATAGACAACAAACATATGAAAAAATGCTCAACATCACTAATGATCAGGGAAATGCAAATTAAAACCACAATGCTATTCAACCTAACTCCGGCAAGAATGACCGTAATCAAAAAACAATAGATGTTGGCGTGAATGTAGTGAACACGGAATACTTCTCAACTGCCGGTGGGAATGTAAATTAGTACAACCACTATGGAAAGCAGTGTGGAAATTCCTTAAAGATCTAAAAGTAGAACTACCATTTGATCCAGCAATCCCACTACTGGGTATCTACCCAGAGCAAAATAAGTCATTATACAAAAAGATACTTGCACACACGTGTTTATAGCATAACAATTCGCAATTGCAAAAACATGGAACCAACCTAAATGCCCATCAATCAACGAGTGGTTAAAGAAATTGTAGTATACCATGGAATACTACTGTATACCATGTGTACATGTGTACCATGGAAACTACTCAGCCAAAATAAGGAATGAATTAATGGCATTCACAGCAACCTGGATGAGATTGGAGACTATTATTGCAAGTGAAGTAACTCCGGAATGAAAAGTCAAACATCGTATGTTTTCACTCATAAGTGGGAGCTAAGCTATGAGGATGCAAAGGCATAAGAATGACACAATGGACTTTAGGGACTCAGGGGGAAAGACTGGGAAGGAGGTGAGGGATAAAAGACCACAAATTGGGTGCAGTGTATTTTGCTCGGGTGATGGCTACACAAAAATCTGACAAATCACCACTAAAGAACTTACTCATGTAACCAAACACCACCCATTCCCCAATAACCTATGGAAATAAATATAATTAATTTTAAAAAGTTACTAACCTGTAGACAAAATTTTACTCATGTAAGTTTTATATTATATGCATGCATGTAATGATATAATGATTTATACTCACACACATACATTTAGCAAAATTTTCATATAATTATTGTACATATATATCAAAATATTTTGGTAGAGGATTATGGACTTTTCCATAGAGGATTTTTAAATATAGTTTTATTTTTGTTTTTTTCTCAAGTATTACAAAAGTTATATACAGTAATTTCTAAAATTATTAAAATGCTAATGTGAAACAGTAATAAATTTCATTAATACTGTCCTTGCTAGAGAAAAATAAATAATGCCAACTCCAAAATCACATATCTAATGATATATTATCTATTATGTATTTTATATATGTTAATATCAAATCACCCACCACATAACAATGCTTTGGTAAATGATGGACTGCATGGACACAGGTGGTTCCTTAAGATTACCATGGAGCCAAAAAATTCCTAGCACCTAGTTGTGAATCACAACGCATTACTCATGTGTTTGTGGTGACATTGATGTAAATAAATCTACTATGCTGACCATCATAGAAAAATATAGCACATACAATTATGTACAGTACATAACACTTGATAAAGATAATAAATATTACTGATTTGTGTATTTACTATACTTTTCATTTTTATTTTAGAGTGTACTTCTTCTACTTATTAAAAAAGAAAAGTTGGCCGGGCACGGTGGCTCACGCCTGTAATCCCAGCACATTGGGAGGCCGAGGTGGGTGGATCACGAGGTCAGGAGTTCGAGAACAGCCTGGCCAATATGGTGAAACCCCATCTCTACTAAAAATACAAAAATTAGCTAGGTGTGGTGGTGCATGCCTGTAATCCTAGCTACTTGGGAAGCTAAGGCAGAAGAATTGCTTGAACCCAGGAGGAGGAGGTTGCAGTGAGCCAAGATCATGCCATTGCACCCCAGCCTGGGCAAAAGAGTGAGACTCCATCTCAAAAAATAAAAAAAAAAGGAAAGTTAACTGTAAAACAGCCTCAGCCAGGTCTTTCAGGTCGAAGAAGGCATTGTTATCATAGGAGACGACAGCTCTATACCAGTTTTTGCCCTTGAAGACCTTCCAGTGGGACAAGATGTGAACATGGAGGTGGGAAGATGGTGATAATGTTCCTGTTCCTATGTAGACCAAGGCTAATGTGTGTGTTTGTTTCTTCTTTTTTAACAAAAAGTTTTCCGAATTTTAAAAATGATAATAAAACATTTTAAAATTAGAAAAATGCTTATAGGTTAAAGATATAAAGAAAGAAGATATGGTTGTGCAGCTGTACAATGTGTTTGTCTTTTAAGTTGTGTTGTTACGAAAGAGGTAAAAAGTTTTAAAAAATTTAAAAGTTCACAAAGTAAAAACTTACAGTGAGAGAAGTTTAATTTATTATTGAAGAAAGAAAGTTTTAATTAACTTTGTGTAACCTAAGTATACAGCGGTTATAAAATCTATGGTAGCATACAGGAATGTCCTAGGCCTTCACATACACTCACCACTCACTCACTGACTTACCCAGAGCAACTTTCTGTTGGGCAAGCTCCTTTCATGGTAATTTTCCCATACAAGTGAACCATTTTTTAATATTTTAAGCAATATTTGTATTGCACCTTTTCTATGTTTAGAAATATTTAGATACACAAATGCTGTCCATTGTGTTACAATTGCCCACAATACTACTCATTACTGTAACATGCTATACAGGTTTGTAGCTTAGTAGCAATTGACTATACCATCTACTGCAGGTGTATAGTAGTCTGTACCATCTAGGTTTGTGTAAGTATACTCTGTGATGTTCACACAAAGATGAAATTACCTAATGTTGCATTTCTAAGAAAGTATCGCTGTCATTAAGTGATACATGACTAAACATAACACCTTCCCGCAATGATTTTTCTTTTGTAAAGCAATTTGACAACATACACAAAGTCTTAAAATATTCTAAAATTTAACCTTTCAATTTATCTATTTTATTAAATTAAATTTAGGTGAGATAATATGAGGGGAAAATATAGTTATAAGCATATACCCTATTGGATTATATTTATTACTCTTAAAGATAAATATTTAAATAAACTATATATATTCCTTACAATATGTTACAGATATTTTTTAATAATGATTACGAATAGGATTTCAATGTTTATGTAAACCCTGCTTATTGCCAGGGCTATTAGGAGACTGTCATGGGCAGACCTTGGAGTATCCCTTGCACTGCCTCTTGTTATTTGTCAGTGTCAATGCAATATATATGTTTAGTATACCCCTAATGACAATCATGGAAAATAACCACAAACATATTTGAGACTTACAAACATCCATCCCATTAAAAAATAGCTAGAAAAAAATTGACAAAATGCTAGTTATGCTGTTAACTTGTTTCCTAATTAGATTTTATATTTCTCAGTTTTTCAGTGATGTAGTTTTTTCTTTTGATTTCCCTTTTATAGCAGAGAAAACAAAGCAAAACAAAAACCAATGGTGATCTAAGATGTCTGTTTTCAGTCACAGTATTTAAACATATTTAGTTTAATAATTTCTGTTTTATAAGATTATATTCAAATCACACATTCACATGCACACTCAGAGGCTATTTTTCTGAATTCACATGACCCAGGATTAAATTTATCTGCTTCATTAATTGATTTCCACAGCTACTCGCTCATGTAACGGAACTTTTGCTTTGACTCTGCAATTCAGTTTGATTTCTAGACTGCATCTTCACATCATTACCATTTGCAGTGTTACACTTCACTGAACTGAATGATTTATTATGTTTTCCTTTAATACCAAAAAGGAACTTACAAACAGTAAAGAATAGAAAACATGGAATTCACTTGAATCTTGCTAGTTTCAGTCTTTTAATGTGCCATATATTTTTAAGCCTCCATAATGCTACTGTTATTGGGTGTTCTGAAATGTTTACTTAATCTTTCATAAATTTGTTACTTGACAAATGTTTTCCAGATATTTTCTCACAGGGAAAATTTAGAAGGGCATATAAAAAAATATATTTTACTATAATTATTTCCCTAAATTATTCCTTATGTAATAGAAATAAAAAAAAACACAAAATAAGAGCAAACTCTAATCTCTTAAGAAAGGTGGCATAAATCATATCATTTGGGAAATGAATGTGTATACCACATTCTTGTTCTTCCAAAGAAAGCTAGCAGAGGGAGAAAGACAAAAACAAACGAACAAAAAGAGAAAAGTTAAAGTTGTTGTCACTTTATCTCAAGTGCTTTGGGATAACCCTTTATTAAACATATTAAATAATAAGTCAATCTAACGTTAGTGAAACTAAAGCTGAATAGGGAGATGGAAAGGTTGTAGGAGTGAGGAAATGCATAAGGGAAGTAATAAAGAATAGCTTAGATTGAGACAAGATGACTAGGTGAACCCAACACTGACCTCAGTAAGTAGATTCAGAGCTCAGGATGCAATGTAACAAGCAAAATATATGACATTGCACTTTGTATCCTGTTAAGTAAAATAATTTCAATTTAAAAGCACTAGGTACTTAAACTGAGACTTGGGTTATATTCATTTTTAGCATATTATTTTCTTCTATAAACAAATAATTATGTAAACAAACATATTTAAAGATAAAATTGTATCTTTCAATTATCTTGGTATAATAATGGATTTGACTTTACATCATGAAATTATGTTTTGATTTAAAAATAACTGGAAGAATACAATTAAGAATAAAAGTGCAAATGTTTAATATTGTTTTGTACTTTTTGGAATATAAAACTCAGTTTAATATTGTTTAGTATTGTTTTGTACTCAGTTTAATATTGTTTTGTACTCAGTTTAATATTGTTTAATATTGTTTTGTACTTTTTGGAATATAAGCTCTGTGAGGGCATGACCCTTCATTGTTTCAAAAAATTGATTACACACGTGAGAAGAGTACCTAGCACATAGTATGTGATCAATTAATATTGTCAACTGAATGAAGAAAGAGATCATATTGGCTATTAGTTTTAATTTCTCAATGAGATGTTTATCTCAAATTTTACCTAATTCACATAGGTTATTTTCTATGTATTCAATAAATGCCTATTAACAATTATACTGTGTACCAAGCACATGTTTTCAATAATTCTGTTTTTGTATTATTTCTATACTTGTATTCTACTGTATTTTTCCCCCTTTTCCAATACAAGAGCCAACATAGTGTAGGAATAACTAGCACATGTTCATGCGGCTGGAGTGGCAAGTGTGGAATTTAAATCCCAGCTTTACCACTTAATAGTTATGTGACCTTAGGTAAGTTACATACTTTTTTTTCCTGCTTCAGATTCCCTAATATTAAAGTAGAATAATAATCTTAATTCATATCATTTTTGATTATTAAATAAGTCAAAACCTGCAACGCATGAAAAAACAGTATGTAGCTTATAGTAGATACTCAATGTATGTTAGCTATCATTGTCATTTGTGAACATTATGTTTCAATGAAACTATTTATTCCTATATATTAATTTCCAATGCTTTTGCAATATTTATTTTATTTCTTCTTCTTTAAGTTTTATCCTATAAGTTTTCCAATTTTGCATCATCCATGATCTCCTCTTTATAATTTTACAATCTTGAAAAATTACTTAAGATCTTTAAAATCTAATTCTCCATCAATAAAATAGGGATAATAAGAGTACTTGCTACAGTATTTACTAAAGTGTTCAATACTAAGATAAAGAATTTAATATATCTAGCACATACATAGTGTTTAATACATTTTTGCTATTATACTTACCATTGTTTGTTTTTAATGATATCGCCATTTGATAAAAATGGACCCTACGTATATAGATAAAAAGACATTAATACCCCTTCATGTGCTAGAACTAATGTTTTATTTAGCATTTACTTCACTCTCAGGTATCAAAATTCTCTCCCAAAATAATCTACAGTAAATCTCCAAATGATGTTCTCTTAACAATACTCTTCAACTTCTTTCTTTCTTTTGGCATTCCTTCTGTGTATTGCCTTACATTTATCTAAATTAAATCTCATCCTGTATTGCTGCTTTCCCATTTCTCACTTTTCATCATGCTGAAACTTTTTCCACCTTCACTGAGTTTGCAGTTTATTTTGAAAATATATCTGCAGCTGTGATAAATGCATATTCTTCTTTCTGTTGATCAAAAGTGATGATAGAGCTCCATCTGAAATCCAACTTGACTCTTTTAATTGTAATATTCTTTTTCTATATTTTCAGTAATGTATTTGTGTAGGTTCTATTATCAACAGCAGCAGTAATGCTGAAAACAAAACTTGAAAGAATGTAGGCCTTAAAAACCAAAAAGATTATTTCACTCTTCTTTTGTCTCATTTCTCTAAGCAAAAATGTCAAAAAAATTTTGACACTATTCTGTTTTTCCTGATGAGGGAAAAAGCACACCTTTAATTAATTTAATTGTTTTCTATAAGTGTGGACTCTGTGAGCTTGATCACTGGGGTTTATTTCCAAGTGTGGGGGCTGTATATATACACATACACACATATGTGTTTGTACATTTACATATTATATAGTAAGTATCATATATGCCACATAAAAATATATCATAGAATATACATATTTACATGTATAATATATTATTGCATTCATCACAGATATGTATATTTACCAACCTGCTTATGAAAAGTGAAGTTTTTGTTTATTATTTTTTCATCATTCCATTGCAGTCTTCTTTTGAGGGGTTAATATTTTTAATTAATTCATATGTTTTAATTGACAAATAAAATATATATATCTATGGTGTGTGGCATAATATTTAGACTATGTATACATTGTGGAACGGCAAAATGAAGCTAATAGATATATGCATTAATTCACATTATTTGTGGTGAGACTGGGGAGGTGTTAGTCAAAAAAACACAATTTTAGTTAGACAGCAAAATAAGTTTGAAAGATCTATTTATTTTACAACATAATTGTAGTTAATAACAATATATTATATACTTGAAAATTCCTAAAGAGTACATTTTAATTGCAGTCTTCTTAGTGTTGAGAAAACTAAAGTGCAAACTGTAATGTCAGCTCTTTAGAGAAGAGGAACACTCTTTCGGTTCTCACACAGAAGCAACATGGGCCAGAGTTTAGTATTGATATCCTCGAAACTTTGTAGCTAATATTTTTTTGTGCTGTGATTTTCCAATACTACTAATACGATCATGAAGAGAAGGAATAAGATTTCCAAATGTGTGATACACACAAACAGGCAGACATTCAATACTTGTTAATTAAATTATGGCCATTAAAAAGGAATAAAAACAGCATATTATAAAGTGGTACCTATTGATTTCAATCTTAGATTATGCATTTTTCCCTGAGATGCCATGCTTTATTTATTCCTGTTTTGTTTTACTCTTCTAACTTCTTTCTCTTTGTTTCTATCTGCCTCTCTCTGACTCATTCCCTCTCTCTCTCTCGGGCTCTCTTTCTGTCTCATTGTATTCTTTCTTTATTTGGAAATATATGCAAATTAAATGCTATAAATGACCAAACATTTCTCAAAAAAAAAATTCTGTAGTTTCAAAAGAGCATTTTGTAATTTTATGATCAAAATGCAGTGTCAGTTACATATAAATTCCCTAAATTGGGGTCAATCATTTAATTTAAGAGATGTTTTAATATTTATAAAATTGCATTGCACATGAAGAAAGAAAGGGGAATTGTACATATAGATTCATTCAGTAAAAATATATTGTTATTTTTAACAGTTTATTTTAAATGTGTTTTAAAATATGGCTAACTTAATATAGTTTAAATATTAAAAAGTATTTTAAATGTCTAATGTTGAAATTAATATGTGGAATAAAACATGAATGAATTGATGTATGGTTATTGATATTCTTGGAAAACCTGAAAATAATCTTAAAAACTACATTGACCTCAAGGAAAGCAATTATTTTTGTATATTACTCTGTGTGTATGTGTGTGTGTGTGTGTGTGTGTGCGTGTATGTATTTTCCAAATAGTGAAGCGAATAATTGTAAGTTTGTTTTTTTAGGAGTCTTTAATTTATTTACTTTATTATTTTTTAAAAATTTATTATACTTTAAGTTCTGGGATACATATGCAGAACGTGCAGGTTTGTTAACATAGGTATACACGTGTCATGGTAGTTTGCTGCACCCATCAACCTATCATCCACATTAGGTATTTCTCCTAATGCTATCCCTCCCCTAGTCCCTCACCTCCCGACAGGCCCCGGTGTGTGATGTTCCCCTCCCTGTGTCCATGTGTTCTCATTGTTCAACTCCCACTTATGAGTGAGAACATGCGGTGTTTGATTTTCTGTTCTTTTGTCAGTTTGCTGAGAATGATGGCTTCTGGCTTCATCCATGTCCCTGCAAAGAACATAAACTCATCCTTTTTTTTGACTGCATAGTATTTCGTGGTGTATATGTGCCACATTTTCTCTATCCAGTCTATCATTGATGGGCATTTAAGTTTGTTTTAAGCAAATAAGGTATCATACCATAAGATTGGAATTACTTGGATTGGTAATGTTTGGTAGTTTAATCATATTCATAACTTTTGTTTGTGGAATGCCTACTAAACATTTTATGTTAATTAATCAAGGTTTCTATGATATAGCTATTACCATTACCTTTACTTTCCAGATGATGAAACTAACATTCTGTAGCTAGCAAGTGACAGAATTCAAATTCAGAATTATACCAGAAACCAGCTTGCACTTATCTGATGTGATTCGTTTCCTACAATTGTATCATACAAATTAGTTTATATTGGGTAATATGCCACATTGCAAGGTAATATCTCATTTATAATAATAATTCATGCAGTTAAAATCTAGTACATCTTTTGTAATATTTCTTTTTCTACAAAAATATGACTTTTATTATCCATATAAGATATACATTAACAATTTTTAGAAAATTTCTATCAGATAGCGTCTCATTAGCATAAATTATATTATGGTTCCAGGTTTAAGTAAAAAAACAATTTCCTTTAAAGCACATTACAGAAGTACTTCTTAGTAATTTATTAAAATCTAATTATAAAGCATGCCTTCAGGAGAAAAATATAGTTTCTTGTCTAACTAGAATTTTAAAATTTGAACTCCTGAGGAAATTAATGCATCCAAATTTATGTTTTCATGATAATACAGTAATTCTCTGTTTTTTAAAATTACTGAGAATTTTGATAAATAAAAAATGAATTATATAAAGATAATTTCTCTGAACTCAGTAGGTTCTCAGGTTGTTATATTAACAAAATGGTGAACTTAATATATGAGTTATATAATATTAAATTGATAATTAAGCAGTTTTAGATAAATATTGTGTTATGTGTGTTCATTTCTATTATGATTTTGAAAATAAATAGAATATAAGCTGATATGCATTTATTAGTAGAAAATATGATGTTACAGTTTTTATAGCCCAAATTCAAAGATAAAATAACAAATGTATTTATCATTTTTATAGAAAGAATAACACTAGTGAAATATGTTGTCACATAGTTTTGTGTGACGTTTCTTAATGAGAGTAAGTAGTTAAATAATCACTGATCAATTGTTACGTTTTTTAGTTTTTATTGAAGTGATTCAAAGGATTCCTATTAGAGTCATACCTATCTGGTGAATTGAAATGCTTATAAACTATCCTGCTTTATCTATATTCTTGTTTTTTGCCTTTATGTCTATTGGTATGCTATTAGTTTTGTAACTGATATCTCAATTGAGTCAATTCAGATTATAAAGCCAATCTCAGATACTGATCCATAAGACCTCTATGTGGAAGAGAGGTTCTCCATCCCCAGTGGAGCCCCCGAAGTGTGGCAACACTGCACAGGAAAGCCCAGGAGAGTTCTCTCGGAGACAGAATTTAGATGCAACTCTCTGCTAAACAGAGTAGGGTATGTCTTGACTGAAAAGCATCTTCTTCATTTCTCTTTGTGCCTACTGCACACTGACAGCCTTTGTTACATTTTTCCTGATAAAATGTTAAGTTACAGACCTTAACTCCTAGCATGGTCACTACGTACCTCTTAAATGTGCAATGTCCCAATCAAACAAGCCCGTGAGGGAGACACTTTGCAGTGTGACATAGCCATATGACTGCAGCGTCATGCCTCAGTGGGACTGGAGAACATCCAAAATACGTTGATATACTATGCAGTTCTGACTGTTGAGTCTTGGAGTGTTTTTCTTCTTTCTGCCAAGAAGGGATGTAAATATAAAAGTGATGCAGACAATGTATTATTTTTAGTATGTTTCACATCAAAGACCAGGGCAGCAATGAGGAAAAGAAACCAATGGGTGATGTGATTCTCCACAAGACATTTTTCCGTCTTTTATTCTGTACATAACTTGCACTGAATCTGCTGTATCAAATCTTCCCTTTTTTTCCCCCTCATTTCTATTCTTTCCCATTTAGGCTTTCTTGGCAAATATTTTCTTTTAATTACAATGTAAATTCTTTAAAACATTAAATTTTAGCTTCTTACACATATATGTGTATATATTTGTGCTTTTAATATGTTTATATATCTGTATATCTGTGCTTTTAAAGCTTCTTACTAAAATACGTTTTTAAGTATATTATCAAAATATGTTTTTAAAAACACTTCTATTAATAGTGAAAATCTATATTGTTTTTATTTTGCAGTAACCCTTCTGTTTCCTTTAATGGTATGCTGAATAGTACCTAGCCCAAATAAAGTCACTCTTATTAACAATTTTATATGTAATAAAGTGTTTGATTATGTCTTAAAATGGCCTTAATTTTAAATGAGACAGATTACAAAGTTTTGAATGCTTTTTTATTGACATTTTTTGAATTTATATTGAAATATCCTGTTAATTCTACATGCACTGTAACATTTAAAACAAATTTTAAGCATTTGTATTACTAATAATTTAATATGAATATAAAAATATATCCTTAAAAATAATCATTTAAAAATGTAAACAAATTCTGTCTGGTAAAATAAATTATGTACTTCATATCACAAAATTAATAATAAACTCAGGCTTAAATATAAAAATAGTGACATTTGACACTAGAACTATACTTTGTTAACATTTATTTATTACAAAAAGAAATTAATATAGTGTCAGAGGCTAGAATGGATCTGCATGTGAGTTGTACTCATTCTTTTGTCTACTTAACCGAAAATAACTGTTTGATTTGTTTTTCACAAGATGCTATAATTAGTTTAGATTTTTGTTACTCAAGGATTACTGAAATCATTTTGGATTTGTCTCAGTAGCTTATTTAAGGAAGAAATGTATTTAATTTTTCTAATAAATACAGTTCATAAAATTACTTCAAATGAGCAGGATATATTACCATAGTAAAATATTTACAAAACTGAGTAACTTACTGCAACTATTGAATTAACATAAAAGTTTGAAAACTTTTACATGTAAAAAAATGCCACAAAATGTCGATGCCCAAATTTATTGTACTGAACTCCTCTTCTAAATAATCAAATGTCCCATAGAAAATCTGAAATAGGTACAGGCGGAATCATGTGCATTATAATTTATATAAATATATTTTCAAACCCTGTAATTTAAATCCAGTACATTATTTTTAGCAATAAACGTACAGAGCATTTTTCCCACTGAGTTAACTGTATAATTGTTCACATGTCTTCTTTGTTTTAATGATAAAGATAAATTGCCCAAAACCTGAGTTCTCAGGCATTTGTATAGCATTTAATTTCATGGAAATCTTCCAATTGTACTGTACTGCATAGGACATTTAAAGACCTGCAGTTTCAAGGCAGTGATATTTTAAAAAAATTATGTCTAGATGATGGTATGAGAAGTACATATTTAGAGTAATTAAAAGTCTATTCATTTGTAGAAAAGATGTATTCCTGGCTTTATAAGTGATATAAAATGATCACTGTATGGCAACAATTGTAGGCTTAAGAAATGTTCAGTTTCTAATTTAAAAAATTACTTAAAATCAATAAACACCTTACTTTTTTTTTTTAGATTTTTGGGTTTTTTTTTTTTAATTTCTTAGATAAAATCGAGAGAAAATTTTATGTTTATGGCTTTTTACTTTGGGACAGGTGAAAATAAAGAGAGGATAATTTGTATTTTTCTTCAATTCTATATATCTCTAGAATTATAAACCATAAGTAAATGTTACTGGTCATCTCATTAATACTTTGTAAACTCTCTCTTAAGCATGAATGAAATGAATGTTGGAGAAATGCAAAATTTGGCCATTCTTCCTACAAAAAAACAAAAGCAAAAAGCTCATTTCTAATTGTGTTTGTTAATTGGCACTTAATGAAGTTAGGCTCCTGTGCTCTCACACAGACTGAGATGGGGCGTTGTCTTCCTTGTTGACTCTCAGCACTTTGAGAAAGATATTCTTGGGTCGTAAACTGTCAAGAGGCTGGGTGAAGATTTATATGTTAAAGGGGCACAGAAAGTATTTATAATTGCAAACTTTGTAAACTAAATACTCTGGGAGGTCAGAGGAGCAAACCTGTCTGAAGTTGAGTCAGGCAGAGGGAAATACTTAGGAAGTCTTGGTCAGATCTAGGTCCCTCTGATTTCTTGGAGAGAAAGTCGTGGCAAAGAGTTGACAATAATTACTTGGTAGGTTTCCTTCTCAAAAGCATTTCTGTGTAAGCAGTTTACTGGTTAAAGATACATTTGAATTAAAATGTTCCCTATTAAAATGTAAATACTCTCTTGGAGAATCAAACTTGTTCACAGATTAGTACTGTGAATGATTCACATGGGATAATCAGATTGCTTTCCTTCTGGCTGAGAATGTGCCCTGGGAATTCGTATTTTGATCGGATGTTAAGAAGAGAGAAGGAATGATAGTTCTTCTACATGCCAGACTTAGGAAGTCAGACCTGGTAGGATGCTACTGTCACGGACTAGAAATTCCATTTGGACAAGACAAACAGGACTTACTTTCATGTTGTTTTGGATTCTGGGTATAGCAACTGTTACAGTTGTAGAAATTCATCCTGTGTCATTATTTGCAGAAGGCTCAAAGATTTTTTTTTTAAGTGGTGGAGTAGTTTATGAACTCACTCATATCTAAATGAGAGCAATTTTCATGCACTCTCTAATTATCTTAGGTTTAATGTTCTGAACCAAGAGAATGAGCAGAAATAAACAGATCATATTTTTAAAACTTACATGTGTCTAAGGAACGTAAAAGCAGCAAAGTAATGTTTCAATGAATAGGCAACTTTTCGTAAAAACTCGGAGAAGAAATATTTTAGGCTTTGCATACCGTAGGTCTTAGCGGCAACTGCTCAGCTCCGCATATATAGAGCTGAACGCAGTCATAGACAGCAACAGAGGCAATAACAGTAAGAAACGGGTATGGCTGTGTTCCAACACAACTTTATTTTCAAAAACAGGTGGCAGAACAGATTTGGTCCAGGGGCATAGTTTGCCAAGCCTAGGTCCATGGGAACATTTGCTGATGTAAAGAAGGTTCTAATATACTTAACTCTTCTGCAATCTACCTGAGTTAGTGCTCTAGTTGCACACGTGTGGTGATATGCACAATGTAAAAAAAGGAGCTAAGAATTTGTCAATAAACTTGAAAGTGACAAGAAAAGAAAGTCTCTCTAGACAGAAATGTCTTTAGAGTTGAAAAGGGCAATTCATTAGCTGATTAGAGCTGGACTGCCTTGAGAATAGCCAACTCTCTTTTTTGTAATTTTCTGTTCATCAGTGTTGTGAAGCTTTTGACCTGTGCATTAGAAAGAAGATTCCCAGGCTCACAGCTGACATTCCTTACTAAACCTGATGCTTTTCCCATTGTAAATGAATAAATTGATATTCCAGAATAAACAAAGGTATCCTGTGATTTTGATTAGCTGAGTTAATCCCCAGTAGCCTAATTAATTCTGGATGAATTGTTAAATTTGTTTCTAGATTTGCATAGTTAAGGCCCAGTCTTTGGACCCTGTGAAGAATTGCCAAAATGAACAGCCAGTGTTCAATTCCCCGTATTTTACATCTGTTTGCTGCAAGCTCCTAAAGGGACACTCACTGTAAAACTTCGTAGTGAAGGCAAATTCTCTGGATCCTAGTTTCAGTTTTATCAGTAGTAGCAGTTTGTTATTAGGCAAATAGCAATCTCTTTTAGCTGAATTGTTTTAATTAGGCAAACAATATTAAAGTCTGTTTTAGTCTATAAGGCCCAAATTCTATTACACCACATGGAGGGATTAGTTCATTAATTTAGCTCTGACTGACTGTAATCTAAAACATAGTGAAAAATGTTCAGTTTATTAAAGACAGAGCAAATAATGTGTCATTTGATCGACTCCAACATTAATGTCCTGGGGTTTCCTTGAGGTAAGTTGAAGAAATGCACACAGGTTAATATTCTTCTCTTATATCTGTAATAGCTTTTCAACATGGCACTGAACACATTTGTTAACATATAGGAAATGGGTATTGATTAACTGATTGCTTTATCCTGTCTGACAAATGAAAATTCGCTGTGAACTCTTCTGATTAGATACCTTCCTTCATATGTATATGCAATTTCTCTTCCCAATCTACCACACTGAATTTCGTTAGTAAGTGAAAATACCAAAACTTTAAAAATATATTAAAGATGGTAAGTTAATTCTGCATTTCATGCATTCAATATTTCACAAATTTAGAATATAATGTCTTTTTTTTCAAATCAAACATAGTATTTACACCAATAAATCATACAGGAAAAAATACCTGACGTTTTTTAACATTTAGTTGATATTTTTGTAAGTAAAAGAGTGCTCATCATTATGTTTGATGTCTTTTTTTCTTGTGTACATATATTTAAATACAGCCTTAAGGACACTTAATTTCTATGTAATAATATAACCAAAGTATAAACACCTTATGATCTATCTTACCTAAGGTTTATAAATGGTCTTGGTTTTCCTCTTGTTATTAATTAGTATCTATGAAAAATAAACCAATATTATTTTTTGAATGTAAAATATGGTCATCACCAAACCTGAGGTCATTTAGTTTTCTCCAATTATCATCTAGGATTTTTATAGTTTTTTGTTTTATATTTAAGTCTGTGATGTACTTTTAGTTAGTTTCTCTGAATGTGTAGGGCTTCTGTCTAGTGTCATTTTTTTTTAAATGTGAATGTCCATTTGTTTCAGAACAATTTGTTTAAAATTTTACTTTTCTACCTTGCATTGTCATTTCTCTTTGTCAGAGATCAGTTCACTATATTTATTTGGTTCTATTTCTGGCCTCTCTATTCTGCCCCATTGATCTATTTGTCTATTATTTCACCAGTGCCACACTGCCTTGATTATTGTAGCTTTGTAGCAACTCTTGAAGTCAGGTAGTATCAGTCTTCTAATACTGTTTTTCTCCTTCAACATTGGTTCATCTTGATCTTTTGCCTCTCTAGACACCTCAGGATTCATTTGTTGATATCCACAAAATGACTTGCTGGAATTTTGACTGGGATTGCATTAAATTTAAAGATGGAGTGGAGAAAAACTGATATCTTGATAATACTGAGTTTTTGTTTTCATGAGCATGGATTATCTATTTATTTATTTATTTTTCTTTTTCTTTTATTTTATTTTATTTTTTTTTTTTTTTTGAGACAGAGTCTCACTCTGTCACCCAGGCTGGAGGGCCGTGGCGGAATCTCAGTTCACTGCAACCTCTGCCTCCTGGATTCAAGCAATTCTTCTGCCTCGGCCTCCTGAGCAGCTGGGATTATAGGTACGCACCACCACACCCGGCTAATTTTTGTATTTTTAGTAGAGACGGGGTTTCACCATGTTGACCAGGCTGGTCTTGAACTCCTGACCTCAGGTGATCCACCCACCTCAGCCTCCCAAAGTGCTGGGATTACAGGCGTGAGCCACCGCGCCCAGCCTCTTTATTTACTTCTTTAATAAATTCATCCAAGTTTTAAAATTTTTTATATAAATCTTGCACGTTTTGTTTTCCTCTTATCTTGTTGATGTGATGAGTACATTTAATTGATTTTTAAATGTTGACTCATTCTTGCATACCTGAGACAAACACCAACGTGTCATAGTGTATAATCATTTTCATATGTTGTTGGATTCTATTAGCTAATATTTTGTTGAGAATTTTTGCATCTATGCCTAGAAGAGATATTTTTATGCAGCTTTCTTTTCTTGTAATGCTATTGTCTGGTTTTGGCATTAGGGTAATAATGGTCTCAGAGAATGAGTTAGAAAGTATTTCTTCTGCTATCTTGTGAAAGAGATTGTAGGGGATTGATACAATTTCTCCCTTAAATGTTTGGTAGAATTCATCAGTGAATCCATCTGGGCCTGATAGTTTCTGTTGGGAAGGTGATTAATAAGTAATGTGATTTCTTTCATAAGTATAAACCTATTCAGATTGCCTGTTTCTACTTAAATGAGTTTTAGCAGATTGTGACTTACAAAGAATTGGTCCATTTAACCTAGGTTATCAAATTTGTGGGCACAGAATTTTTTGTGTAACTTTTATTATCCTTTAAATGTCTATGGGATCTGTAATAATACTGTATTTTATTTCTGATATTGGTAATTTTGCCTAGTGTCTTTCTTCTGAGTTACTCTGGTTTGAGGCTTATTGGTTTTATCTTTCAGATAACCAACTTTTGTTTTCATTGATTTTCTGTATTGATTTTTTGTTTTCAATTTTATTTTTTTCATGTTCTAATTTTCATTCTTTCTTTTACCCTGCATACTTTGGATTTAATTTGCTCTTTTTATTTAATTTCCTAAAGTGAAAGCTTAGATGATTGATTTCCAATCTTTCATCTTTGTTAATATATGTATTCAATGCCTGAATCTTTTTAAAATGATTGTTTTCTCCCTTCTCACCTATTAAATGAAGGACTTGAAGTCCTTCCATCTTTGCATTTTTCATCTCTAATGTGTTGAGAATGTTCCCATTCATGATCACAAGATGGCTAATAAAGCTTTAATTATCTCTTCCTCACATGAGATAAATAAACAGGTAGAAAAATAAAAATAAAAATCAGAATCAGTATGTACTTCACAGGGCAGTTGGGAAAGTTAAATGAATCAAATACTTTGAAAAATCCTTAGCAAATGATATGTATTCAGTTAATACTCACAATTATTTTCTTTTACCTATGTCCTACAAGGAGTAACTCACTTGTAATGAGATTTTAAACTTAATATAACAAGTCTTGCAATGTCAATACCTTACTATTCCAACATTATAATGTTACCTACAATGTACTTAGAATGTACTTAGAATGTTAAAGTCATTCTGTTATCTGCATTCTTGAATTTTTCAAAGTCATACAGTTAATATTAACTTGACTACTTTGAGTGGCCACCCAATTCTTTCTGTTAGTACAGTTTTTGTTAGGTCAGGCTTCACATGGAAACTATTCTGCATAAAAAAGAATTGTTTTCCAAGTTGTGTGTGTCACACATATCACTGAATAAATAGACTCAACCTTTATTATTTTAGTTTAAAATTCAACTTTATATAATTCATTTGAAAGATAGAAATTAAATGAAAGTTAACAGAACCCTTGAAAGATAATTGTACATTTATAAGACCACTAAAAGAATGTCAAAGTCATGAATTAAAAAATAAAATGAGATTCACTATTGTCAATATGTAAAACTGCTTGAATTAATATAAAAATATAGTTTTGTCTGTAGTATTGTACTGTCTTTAGTATACAAAAAGAATATAATGAGAATAAAAAACAATATTTCAATTCTGCACAAGAATTTTTTCTGCGTTGTTTTACAGAAAGACTTTCATTGAAAAGTCTTTTACTCATATATTTCTATAACTTCTCAATCTCACTAACAGCATAGGAAGAAACTACCATTTTGCCCTAGTAGCTAAATGCTTTTATTTGTATTTGTGATTATAAGTTCTCCTAATTACTTTCAGAACTTTTGGCAGAAATAATTATTTTCTCAATTTTATATTCAGAACTTTTCTTTCTACTGGCCCCTTTTCCTCAGAATAAACTCCAGATTATTTTATCCTATTTGTTATCATACTGTTCTCTCCCCATATAGGGGTCTTCTCTTTTCTTCTCTGTCCTGTATATTAAAGGTGTCTTAAAAAATTATGTGTTCTTACTTCTGTTATCGCTTTATAACAGCTAAACTCTCCGCCTTTTCTATGTCATAACTCTAAGCTTCTACAAGGGATATGGCTAACTTGGTCCTTGGAAATGGGTTGACCAGAAAAGTTTGCTAGATGAGGCTTCCTTTACTAATGGAGCAAGTTTATGTATACATTTACACTCTTGTTCATGTTATATAAGAATTTATGTTGCTTTGTATTTTTCTCAACAGTTATTCTCATTAGACTTTTAAATTCAAGCCAATTTGAAGGGTTTTGGCTTAAATTTTCATTTTCCTAATTGCATAGATAGTTCAGCAATTTTCAGATTTTTCTTAGCCATATAGACTAATTCATAAAGCACTTTTTCAAGTCTTTTATTGATTTCTTGATTGTTTTGTTAATGAGTTGTTTAAATTTTTCTTAGTGATGTGTAGAATAATTTATTTGAAATATAAGATTTTTGTCAGTTTTGTGGGTGGCAATTATCTTCCGCTTGGTGACTTGTGTTTTTGGTCTTTTAACAATATCTTTTGAGGAATAGATATTTTAAATTTTAATGTTGTCAAAGTTATAAGTCACTTTCTTTATGGAGAATTCATTTGTGTCTTGTTAACAAAATCTTTCTCTACCCAATGTTATGGAAATATTATTTTATATTATCTGGCCTTCTTGAACTATCAAAGTTTACTGTTAAACTTTAACATTCATATTTAAATGCTTTTTCTTCTTCTTCTTCTTCATCTTCTTTTTTATTTTTTTGCTGTCCACTCCTTGCATCTGTGAGTGTTCATCTAGAATCATTTTTCTTCTGTCTGAAGAACATTTTTAGAATTTACTTCAAGGCAAGTTTCCTAGGCATGCATGTTCATTCTTCTGTTTTTTGTAAATATGTTAATTTTATTATAATATTTGTGTATTTCTATAAAATTCTAAGATCAGTTTTTATTTTGTTGCATAATTTCCAATATATCATCTTACTGCTTTCTTGTTTCTACTTTTGCTGATGAAATCAGTTATGTGTCTAACTCTCCTCACCATATAGGCAGGCTGTATCTTTTAATTTGCAAAATTTTAAGATTTCTCTCTGGGCCGGGCGCGGTGGCTCACGCCTGTAATCCCAGCACTTTGGGAGGCCGAGGCGGGGAGATCACGAGGTCAGGAGATCGAGACCATCCTGGCTAACACGGTGAAACCCCATCTCTACTAAAAATACAAAAAATTAGCCAGGCGAGGTAGCGGGCGCCTGTAGTCTGGGGAGGCTGAGGGAGGAGAATGGCGTGAACCTGGGAGGCGGAGCTTGCAGTGAGCTGAGATGGTGCCACTGTACTCCAGCCTGGGTGAAGGAGTGAGACTCTGTCTCAAAATAAAACAACAAAAAAAAGATTTCTCTCTGTCTTTGATATTCTTTAAAAAACAAAAACAAAAACAAAACAAAACTTTTACTTTAGGTTCAGGCGTATATGTGCAGGTTTGTTACATTGGTAAATTGAGTGTTCCTAATTTTCTTTAATTTCATTGTTAAGTGACTGACATGGTTTAGCTGGGTCTGCACCCAAATCTCAACTTTAATTGTATCTCCCAGAATTCCCATGTGTTGTGGGAGGGACCCAGGGGGAGGTAATTGAATCACGGGGGCCGGTCTTTCCCGTGTTATTCTCGTGATAGTGAATAGGTCTCATGAGATCTGACGGGTTTGTCTGGGGTTTCCGCTTTTGCTTCTTCCTCATTTTCTCTTGCGCTGCCATGTAAGAACTGCCTTTCACCTCCCACAATGATTCTGAGGCCTCCCCAGACATGTGGAATTGTAAGTCCAGTTAAACTTCTTTTTATTCCCAGTATCAGTTACATCTTTATCAGCAGCATGAAAACTAACTAATACAGTAAATTGGTACCAGTAGAATGGGGCATTGCTGAAAAGACACCTGAAAATGTGGAAGTGACTTGCACTGGGTATCAGGCAGAGTTTAGAACAGTTTGGAGGTCTCAGACAAAGACAGAAAAATGTGAGAAAGTTTGGAACCTCCTAGAGACTTATTAAATGGCTTTGACAAAAATGCTGATGGTGATATGAACAATAACGTCCAGGCTGAGGTGGTCTCAGATGGAGATGAGGAACTTGTTGGGAACTGGAAAAAAGGTGACTCTTGTTATGTTTTAGCAAAGAGACTGGCAGCATTTTGACCCTGCCCTAGAGATTTGTGAAACTTTGAACTTGGGAGAGATGATTTAGAAAATCTGGCAGAAGAAATTTCTATGCAGCAAAACATTCAAAAGGTGATTTGGGTGCTACTAAAATATTCCATTTTAAAAGGGAAACTGAGCATACAATTTGGAAAATTTGCAGCCTGACTATGCGATAGAAAAGAAAGATCCATTTTCTGGGGAGAAATTCAAGCCAGCTGCAGAAATTTGCATAAGTAGCAGGGAGCATAATGTTTTTCCCAAAGACAATTGGGAAAATGTCTTCAGGCCGTGTCAGAGACCTTCACCGCAGCCCGTCCCATCACAGGGCCAGAGGCCCAGGAGGAACAGGTGGTTTCCTGTGCCAGGCCCTGGGACTCTGTGCTTTGAGCAGCCTAGGGACTTGTTGCTCTGTGTCTCACCGGCTCCAGCTGTGGCTGAAAGGGGCCAATGTACAGCTTGGGCTGTGGATTCAGAGAGTGGAAGCCACAAGCCTTGGCAGTTTCCACGTGGTGTTGAGCCCGTGGGTGCACAGAAGTCAGGAATTGGGATTGGGGAACCTCTGCCTAGATTTTAAAGGCTGTGTGGAAATGCCTGGATGCCCAGGCATAAGTTTGCTGCAGGGGCAGGGCCCTCATGGAGAACTTCTGCTAGGGCACTGTGGAAGGAAAATGTGGGGTTGGAGCCCCCACACAGAGTCTCTACTGGGCCACTGCCTAGTGGAGCTGTAGGAAGAGGGTCACTGTTCTCCAGACCTCAGAATGGTAGCTCCACTGACAGCTTGCAACATGCACCTAGAAAAGCCACAGACATTCAATACCAGCCTGTGAAAGCAGCTGGGAGGGAGGCTGTACCCTGCAATGCCACAGGGGCTGAGCTGACCAAGACCATGGGATCCCACTTCTTGCATCAGATAACCTGGAAGTGAGACCTGGAGTCAAAGGAGATCATTTTGGAGCTTTAAAATGTGACTGGCCCCCTGGATTTTGGACTTTTATGGGCCATGTAACCCCTTTGTTTTGGCCAATATCTCCCTTTTGGAATGGCTCCATTTACCCAATACCTGCATCCACATTGTATCTAGAAAGTAACTAGCTTGTTTTGATTTTAAAGGCTCATAGGAGAAAGGGACTTGCCTTGTCTCAGATGAGACTTTGGACTGTGGACTTTTGGGTTAATACTGAAATAAGACTTTGGGGGACTGTTGGGAAGGCATGATTGGTTTTGAAATGCGAGGACATGAGATTTGGAGAGTCCAGAGGAGGAATGATATGATTTGGCTGTGTCCCTACCCAAATCTCATCTTGAATCCTATCTCCCGGAATTCTCATGTGTTGTAGGAGGGACCCAGGGGAAGGTAACTGAGTCATGGGGGCCGGTCTTTCCTGTGTTATTCTCTTGATAGTGAGTAAGTCTCACGAGATCTGATGGGTTTATCAGGGGTGTCCCTTTGCTTCTTCCTTATTTTTCTCCTTCTGCTGCCATGTAAGAAGTGCCTTTCACCTCCTGCCGTGATTCTGCTGAGGTCTCCCCAGCCTCAGAATCTGTGGAACTGTAAGTCCAATTAAGCCTCTTTTTCTTTCCAGTCTCAGGTATGTCTTTATCATCAGCGTGAAAATGGACTAATACAGTGACTCAGTGTGAATTAGCCTAGTTTTTTGTTCGCTTTGCTTGAAATTTGATGTGCTTCTTCAATCTATTGATTGGTGTCTTTTACATTTATGGAAACCTGTCAGCTGCTATTTGTTCAAATATTACTTCTCCTCCATTTTTTTCTGTTTTCTCATTCTGGGATTCAAAAGAACCCTGGTTTCATTAACCGTATCTGGTTTTGCTTTTTATTCAGTAAAGTTTCATTTAATCTCTTTTCTAGCTTACTATTTCTCTTTTTTGCTGTGTCTAATCTGACCTTAAGTACATACATTTAATTATTAATTTCAGTTAGTATAGCTTTTACTTTTATAATTTCTACTTGATTTTTCACAAACTTGTAATGTTTATAGTTCTATTATTTATGGTAAAAATGTCTAACCTGGAATTTTATTTTCATAAACATAATACATCTTACAATCTTATTGGATTATTTTTAGTGTTATGTGTTATTTCTGCTCCTTCTCATCATGCTGTCTTCTCTTTTGGTGGGCCATATCATAGTTATGGTTTTCTGGGTATTGTAAATACAAAATTGTTTATAACAAGGATTGGATGAATATAATGATATTAACTTACTCCAGAGAGATTTTGTTTAAGACATCTAGGTAACAGCGTGCTGCAGTCCATATATTCAGTTTCAGATCGTGGCACCTTAAAGTCTTAGCACAGAGATGGACACACTCCATTATTTTCCCTATCCCTTATGCCTGGAAAACAATAAGCCACATAAGAACATCTAAGTATTGCTGTTATCGCTTCAAAATGAAAAAAAATCCTCAACAGAATGTGCAATTCCAGGTGTAATCTCATCTCTGAGTTACAGTTCTCTTCAGAATATAGACTGGGCAGTTCCTCATTATTCTGATATTTCTCTAATGCTTTTAAGAATAAATGATTTGTATTTAGTTCATGCTGTTTATGTGTTTGTTTGCTGTGGTGTCACTTCTGTGAATGTATTAGTCCAATTTATCCAGTCCATTGTTACCAAAACAAAGTTTCTAGATCTTTTAAATTTTGTTTTAATTTTATAAGACCAATTATAATAAAAGCTATAATATTTAACAGGTAGACATTTAGTCTCGAAGATTCTAAGCATTTCATCATAATAAATTTATGAATATCTTGGCATGTCTAAATTATGTAAGCATTACCATTTATTTTGAAATCACCTATTTCCTGACAAAATATGCCATCAGAATTTCCTTGTTAGTTAAAAACCTTGTTATTAAGTAATTGTGGTTATCTTATATGAGAATAACTAATTTATTCCATTTACAGTTTCTAAGTGATTTTCTTTTTTTGATCTATTTCTGGCTTAATATTGTATTACTATCTGCATTTAATTAGCAATTTCTTTACTGAAGTAGAGAGAGGTAAAATACCCATTATTAGGAAACATTACTGATAAAATTTATTCTAGGCTTCATTCCTATAATGGAAATGATAGGCATGATGAGGATAATAAGATTATGAGTCTAGTGTTTAAACAGATTTAATGAAATATTTAACGTAAGTCTATAGTTAGAAACATCAAAGATGTCGATATTTAGAAAAGCAGAATCTTGGTTATGAAAAGCTTGCTCTTCTTATGATTTTAAAAGATATCTTTAGTCAAAGTTCCTAAAATCATCCTTTTTAAACTAATGTTTCACAAATATTCATAATATTTCGTTTTTTCTATATGTGTTAAAATCACATAATATGAGGTCATTGAGGAATTGCCATACCGTCTTCCACGATGGTTCAACTAATTTACACTCCCATTGACCCAGAAATCCCATTACAATATTAATTATCCTATTACAATACAATATTAATTATCCTATTACAAAGACACATGCACACGAATTAAAGTTCATTGCAGCACTATTCATAATAGCAAAGACATGGAATCAGCCTAAATCCCCATTAATGATACACTGGATAAACAAAATGTGGTACGTATACACTATGGAATACTATGAAGCCATAAAAAAGAACAAGATCATGTTCTTTGCCAGGACATGGATGGAGCTGGAGACCATAATCCTTAGCGAATTAATGCAGGAACAGAAGACCAAATACCACATATTCTCACTTATAAGTGGGAGCTAAATGATGAGAACACACGGACACATAGATGGGAACAACACACACTGGAGCCTATTAGAGCATGGAGGGTGGGAGGAAGGAGAGGATCAGGAAAAATAACTAATGGGTACTAGGCTTAATACCTGGGTAATGAAATAATCTGTACAACAAATCCCCATGACACACACTGACCTATGTAACAAACCCATACATGTATCCCTGAACTTAAAATAAAACTTAAAAAATATGACATATTTTTACCCAAATTTATATTATTACTGGTAGGACCTAGTTGCTATTGAAATCAATGCCTCATAAATACCCACTAATCACGCTGCAAGTTGTACTAAACTATACTTGTGTCTTTGGCTTCAGATTCTTCTAGCAGACACTTCAAATATTTCATTCCTTTAAAGCAAGCTCTTAGTTTTTCTCTAAGCCAAGTTGTAAAAATGAGAAAGCATAGAGAAGGATTCACAGTGTGAAAGTATTTTACTTGCCTCTTGACTTCCCTAAGTAATCAAAAACAAAAGCTGAATTAAAAAGGTAGTAATAGTCCTCATAATGTGAGATCAGAAAAAAATCATTAAAATTTTGCGTTAAATACTTGAGAGTGCTTCTAAGAGGAGGCAAAGTTTACAGATGAAAGAATTTTTGAAGTGTGTCAAAACACTCGGTACCATATGTTACACTTAGCCTATATGTTTTTACCTTTTGCTAGGGCACCAGGTGACTCTGGACACATGATACATGTTGAGGTCATTAGAGCAGAAAGGATGCAGAGGGGTATAAAATGATTGGTGCTATTTGTTGCAAAGATAGTTTCTGTACATAACTAGCATAAGCTGTTTGCATATAGGATGCTATAAAATGAAACAAGTCATTATTAATGTATATCCAAGAAAACATGGATTAACCATAGTTAATAAAAGATTGTTTTCAATATTTTGTTTCAAAATTCTTGTTTTTAAAGTAGCAACTGTAGTCACTAAAATGTACACACACACTCAGAGGCAATTTACAGTAATAGATATAAAAATCGTTTTTAAATTGGATTACAGCTTGATTCATAGCTGTTGTTTTACATAGTAATGCATTTCTAGAAATAATGATCATGTATCTATAAAACTTATAATTTTGGCATTTTATAAGCATTTCACTCAACATTGAAACATTCTTGATATAATTTAAGAATAAAAATGTTTAACATTTTTAACTTGCAATATTAAATCTGTGCTAATCTGTGCTTCTTAATAACTATCACAAGACAAATAAAGATGGGCATGGCAATTCTGTAGCTAAAATAAATTGTGCTGCTAAATTTATTTCAGGAAAAGCCCATTTGATTTTGAGATGTAACCAGTGAACATAATTGGCTTGGTGTATTTTTTCTATACAACATAGTAGGGAAGAGGTGAAACATACAGCATGAAATATGCAGAAAACAAATCTAAGAAATTATCAAATATATAGTTACTTAATAATAAGTATTACCACGAAATATATTTGAAGTCATTTTAAAATGTAGCCATAACATGAAAAAGTAAGTTTTTCTGTGCATGTTAATATTCCTAGTGAATAGTAATTCTTTATTCTAATTACACATCTTCTAAAAAAATACATTTTAGAAAGATTGCCCACATAATGTTATGCCAAATCTCAGCATTTATTCTAAGATGATTATATTATCTAATTACCATTGTAATATATAACTATAAAAAGCACAACTAATTCAAATGGCCTGGGACCTAATAACAGATGCGGAAGGGTTAGTGAAGAGATTCCAGGGTAACTTAGTAGCAATTGTATTTCTAAATGGCAGAATAGCCAATGTTTACATGCTGTTTTTAGAACCAGATGTCCCATTATCTCCTCTGTAATTTAATGAGGAACCAGAAGCTGAAATTCAGGAATGTAAATGGGAAATTATTAATAATTCTTACGTGATACTGTACATGATGCCATTACTTTTATAATGTTCTCACTTTCTGTAAGTTTGTAACATTAAAAAAGACATGAACACTGTGTATGCAGATTTCAACTTTTAGTGTTTCGAATTAATTGAATAATTTTTAACTTATTTATGTATATACATGTCTCTGTATGAGTGTATATGTGTGTTTATGTTTCTGTGTATGTATGTGTGGTTTTATATGTGTACACATATGTGATATATAACAGAGACATGTCATATGTATATGACAGAATATATATTAATCTAAAACAGACCGAAAATATTCCCTATTTTTTTTTTTTTGAGACGGATTCTCACTGCGACACACAGGCTGGAGTGCAGTGGCATGATCTTGGCTCACTGCAACCTCTGCCTCCCGGGTTCAAGAGATTCTCCTGCCTCAGCCTCCTGAGTAGCAGGGACTACAGGCGTGAGCCACAATGCCTGGCTTTTTTTTCTATTTTTAGTAGAGATGGGGTTTCACCATGTTGGCCAGGCTCGAACTCCTCACTTCAAGTGATCCGCCTGCCTCTGCCTCCCGATGCTGAAATTACAGGCGTGAGCCACCGTGCCTGGCCTTCCCTATGTTCTTATTACTCAGGAAGCATTGAAATAAATGGGAATATGGATAAATCTGATTCAAGGTTAGACTCTTCACACAAAGAAATGGACAAGATGTTTGTTATCCATTTCTAACTGGTTACTGTCTCTGTTTTGGGTGATGTAACAAACCAAACAATGAGTTTGGGCTGAGCCTTTCTCTACTAGGATTTTCCAATTTCAAGAGCATTCCTGTTCACTTTGGACAACACAAAACAATGATAACTTAAATAAGCGTGACTTTAGGTTTAGAGATTAGATGCTACATAACAGAATAGGAGTGTGAGTATATTTCTGTTTCATTTTATCAGATAATGAGGTGTCAGCCAGTGGTGAAAACACCACAGATCACTCAACATTTAACGTGTGTGTGTGTTGAATTATATGTTTAATCCAGGCCTTAATCCAAACACATACGCCATGTTTGGCATTGCAATTTGTGATGATGCCAAAAACCAAATAACTCTTTATTGGATATTTGCATTCTATAAAACTCACTTGTTTAGCATCTCAAGGGGAAGACAGGATTAAGAAATAGAGACAAAGTGGTAGAATGCTGAGAGGGAGGGAGGGGGCTTTCTCAAGAAGAATGCAGCCATTGCACATGATCATATTTATTACAAGTTAGGACACCACTTTCCTCACTCAACCCCAGTGACAAATATCACAACCTTAACAAGGGGACAGAGGACAATTATTTCACTCCTCTACATCGACATTTAAGTTAGAATTCGTGGTGTTTCGTTTGTGGTATTTCTAACGTGGTCAAGACTGTGAGCAAAGTCAAAATACAAGACTCAAATCATAATGTAGAAAACTTCATGTCTGTGAATGTCAGCAGGAAACAAAAGGTCAGTTTTTACATGGATGCAGAATTGGCAGACATTATCCTAGTCATCTCTCATGAAAATTGACAATGATACAGTTGATAATTCTCCTAATTGGTAAGGATTATCTGAAAACCAAAAAGGAAAGCCATATGCAGATTTCAAATAATGTTGTCCAGCAATAGACAGAAATGTGTACTTTGGCAGATTATCAGCAGAAATATGCACACTGGTTAGTTAAAATATGATATGTATCTTTAAGAATCATGAAATAACTATTCAATACCAGTGCGATCTGGTAAAGACAGCTGATGGAATTTTACTTAATTGCTGTTTGGTCAGCGAACTTCAGATTTTTACTTCTTCAACTTCCCAAACAAATCTTATGCCTTCAGAGTCAATAGGTTTCCCAGCAAAAAGATGCATTTTACCGTCTACTGCAAGCCAGCAGTGATCTCACCTAACCTACAGTATAAATCTATCAGTGAATAAACAGCATCATTTTTATTTCAATGCTGATGACACACTACATGTCGATTTGGCAGTTAAGTAATTTATCTCTCTTTTGGGTGCAATCTGCCAGGCTTATTATAACTCTACTTCTGATATTCATTTCATGCTTAATAGTTCTGTGCCTCATGAGGATGCTTGTCAATCAATTAAATTGAAATGTCATTCTGACCTTTTATTGGAAACAATTTTCTCTTTTTTCATTTCATCACAAGCTTTTTTCCCTTTTATTCAAATTAAAAGCCTTAATTACTAGTATTCAGAAATTTTATACTATTAGCCTTACAAAACTAAATGCTCATCAACATTACTGACACTTCATCTTTACAGAAGTGATCCAGTTGAGTCTGCCAGAAGATCAGAAACTAAGCATCACTGCAGCAACTGTGGGACAAAGTGCTGTTCTGAGCTGTGCCATTCAAGGAACCCTGAGACCTCCCATTATCTGGAAAAGGAACAATATTATTCTAAATAATTTAGATTTGGAAGACATCAATGTGAGTACATAAATATAGTTGCTTTATAATATATATATTTCATGTGATATACTCCAGACTTTGTGATGTCAGGGGAGCTTAATGAATATTGGATGCAGAGTAAAAGAGAATTATTGGGACATTGCTATATCTAATCTACGGAATGAGAGGTGCACTATAGGTCCTTTGGAATTTTCCAAATCATTTGTATTGGTATAGCAAAATGGTTGTGTGGCAATGTATTGGTGAGAAAATAAATTGGTTCAAAATCTTTACAGGGAATATCTATTAAGTTTTAATATGTAAATATTCTTATTGTATAAATCCACATGTAGGATTTATTCCTATTAATATGCCTATATGCGTGTTCAAGTACATATGTATGAAATTGTTCACCTTCACAATTTTGTAAAAGGAAAAATTAAAATGCCATCAATAGGAAATGTGATGGTATGGATGAGTGTATGTTTGCATGTAATAGGAATCTATAGCCATTAGAAATCAGTGAGGGGGATTTATATGTGCTAACATGAAAATATAATATTTATATGTGTTTATATGAAAATATCCTATTATCTTACAGAACGCTTCTGTGCATCTAAAAATATATGTTGTTAATTTATAGAACATTTCTAAAACTATTTATATGAAATAATTCACAGTGTTGGTTCTAAGGATAAGGATAGGATCAGGATAGAATTAGACTTACTTCTAATAGATATTCTTTTTTACTTTTTGCATTTCTAACATGTGCATATATTAATTTTCAATAAGAAAGGATTTTAAAAACTAATACTTCACATGGTTACTTACCAATAATGTTCTAATACCTATGAAACACATTCTAGAAAGATCACAGATTTGTATGACTGGCATCACGTGGCTTTCGCTGAAATAATTACAGTAAGTACAAGAATGTAATACTCTGATTGGTCAATCTGGGGTCATGTGTTCACTGGACCAATAGGGACTATACCAACTCCCATGAAGTCATCTATGCTATTACTGAGTAAGAGCTGGATAGTTTCTCAATAAATGAGTAGGTCAAGAAAAAAAAAAGCTCTCAGAAGCCTTTGTACTCTACTACTCTTGGTTAATCATCTCTGAAAATAATGTTTGCCTGTCAAAGATCTGACTGTCAGAATATCTATAATTATCAATAATATCTATTTAATGCCCTTATGGTTGAGAAACAGCCTATAGCTTGTGAAAAATCAAAAGACAATAAAGACACTTTTTGCTTTCAACATGTCATAATGTATTCGAAATAAGAAATATTAATCAAAGCAAAAAAATATTTTCCTAGCATGAAAGAACATGTTTTTCTACTCAGGCTCATTTTTAGAAATTTGGAATTTAAATTCAGTTCAATAAAGTACAGCTTCAAAAGTGCAACCAAAACAGAAACAAACTCAAGGGCAATCACCTGTTCCTTCTATGCTACCTGTTTAGAGTGAGCATCAAAAAGTGAACATTATCCTACAAGATGAAAAGTAAAAATTGTGTGCTTATGGGGTATCTGTGGAAATGAGGTGGGGCAATCCCTTGCTTTAGTGATTTTGAAGTTTTATGTTCTCTTTCATATTTTTTATCCTCATTCAAGAAAGCCATCACCTTTCCTCTTAATCTTGGCTGCTTCATACAGAACCCCTAAAACACAGGCCTGAGATGCAAGCCCAAACTCCTATTGGTTACATTTTCCTAATGTTTTTGTTTAATGTCCCAGAATATATCAAAAACATAGAGCTTCTTCAATTTTTATCTTTTTTTATTTTGATAGAGCTTTTCTAAGTTTGCATATATGTGGAAACTTTTCTTAAAGACTATCTGGAGAATAATGCTTAATTCTCTAAGATGCCAAGAACATTGAGCACATATCTCAGGTGCATTTAAGATACTTTGAGAGACAAAGCCCTTGACAGCATCATTGTGGATTTGCATTATGGGTTGTCATTTCTATACTTTATCTTTTCTTTTTTTTACTGCCATCCATACTCTTAAGCTTTCCACTACTGTTTTTAATAGGCCCAGTGTATTTGAGGGTGCTGTGGTCTGAAAACCATCATTGTAAACTCATTTAAATTATTTCAAGAATAATTTGAAAGTATATGCTATGATTGATACTCTCTGGACAACTTGCAAAAGTGGACACATTCTTGTACATGGATCTGAGAAATTCTTTTGTTTCCATCCTAATACTTCACTCTGTTTCAGAAATTCAAAATTTTTGGAAAAATGATCACTGGATATGTCAGGTCTCTAAAATATACATAAATATAAGATAAGTTCTTGCACAAATACACTTTATTGGATAAAATTATTTTGTATAAACTTTATAGAACAGATACATTTTGAGAATTTTAAAAATGTTTTCAATATTTAGAAAGTTTCAGTTTCATTTTGAGCCATATTTAGTTAAGCTGAACAAACATTCCTAATCTATAGTGTACATAGAACTATCAGCTTCTCAAAATTAAAATAGCAGAGTGCAAAGATATCTTTCAAAGAGGAATATTTATTCAAATTTCCAATATATTCCTGGTGTTTTTGTTTAAGTACTATAGTTTCAACAGTCAAATTATGAAAATACATTTTGATGCATTTATCGATATGACTATGTAATGTGACAAATGCAAAATATCAGTTAAACTGTCTTTCATTTGATACTTATTTATGCTTAAAATTTGCTAATAAGGACTTTACTGTGTAAATAAACAACATATATATATTTATTTATTCATTTTTCAGCACTGTCTAATGGATATCTGATGTGTTTTCTGGTTACCCAACACCTTTTGAACAGCCTGTCAATGTTATGGCAATTCTTACCCCATTATTTTTGCTGGCTAAGTTGGAAATCAAAAATCTTACTTGTTTAGCCCTCCTTGTAGTTAGGGAGCAGATACGTAAATAAGGCTGTAACACAGAAACCAATAAACAAGATTCCATTTCATGAATAAGAACAGGAAAATGCAGGTGTTCTACAAAATTTATTCTCTCCACCATTCTTCCTGTGACAGAGGATACTATTTTCAAAGACAACGGTGACAAAAGTTCTGGAGTTTTTCAGTGTTTAGCTACAATGGGGTCTCCAATAGGCCAATTTCAGTATGTGCCTTGGGCATCTTTGCTGGCATTTTAGACCCCAGGCGTGATACTCTGCTCTCTTGAATGTTCTACAAGCTTCCTAATAGTCTTTATTAAATTTCTTGCCTGCTTAAAACTACCTGGAATGGGTTCTGTTGTCTGCCACTAAGAATGTTGTCTAATTAATTTGGGGGTCTAATTACATTAAGAAATGTCTATAATTCCATTTGCATAAGATGAGCTTTTCATTGTTAGATATGGATTTCTGATGTGTTGAAAGACTTTCAAAAGGGTCATATGTGAGTCAGTGTATATACCCTAGAAGTACATTATCTATTTTTACAAAAGTGAATTTAATTCCCATTAAATTATATAAAATTAAATTAATAAGTGCCTTTCATGTCAAAGGAAAGCAATGACAATTTGCAATATCCTTTCTGACTTTTGAATATGTATATTAGGTAGGATTAAATGTATAGTCACCTAGATAACACATAAATACATTTTAATTGCGAACAATTACAATAATATAGATGTATTTTAAAAACATAACTGCCCTTCATTTTTGTATCCCCTCATTTTTATATTTGCTATATTTAATTAAAATATATTTTTATTTAATTCTTGAATGCAGAAGAAATCCCGTGTGTATACATGTACTCTTTTCATGCATTGCATATATAATTTTATTTCTTTAATAGGATGGGTTAATATTACCTCATGATCTCATTACCTCATTATCTCACTGGCCCTAAGAACAACTCTATGAAGCAGGGAATCTTATGCCCATTTACATGGGTGAATTTTTGTTTGCTTGTTTGTTTGTCCTATAGATGGTCTGGTTTGTTGTACAGGCTGGTGTGTAGTGGTAGAATCACAGCTCACTGTAGCCTTGAACTCCTGGGCTCAAGCGATCCTACCACCTCAACCTCCCAAGTAGCTAGGACTACAGATGTGAGCCACCGCACCTAACTATTTTTTAAATTTTTTGTAGAGATGGGGTTTCTGGGCTGGCCAGGCTGGTCTCGAAATCCTAGCCTCAAGTGATCCTCCTGCTTTGGCCTCTCAAAGCTCTGGGTTTACAGGCATGATTCACCATGTCCAGCCTGAAAATTGATGATAAAAGAGATACTTAACTGTTTACCCAAGGTCACTGAACTAAGTGGTATCAAGTGCTGGGATTTTTACGTAGCCCGATTGCCTCAAGAGCAGGAGTTTAACCACTGTGTGCAAGTGAGGTAATCCAGTTTTCTGGTGCTCTTTGGAAAATACATCCCAAATAATTCTAACCCTTGTATGTTACAGCTAGATTTGCTTTACTGTGCTATTATGTGTGGGACTAATTGATATTCAATTGATGTTTGAAGACTTTCATTTCGTCTGTTTTATATTTTGCACCAAATGAATAAAAGCATACCACCAAACTGCAGGAGCCATTATGACATTGTTTTGCAACATGGGCTATGGATTCAAACCATCTGGATTCCAATTAATCTTCAGTCACATAGGAATGATGTGATCTCAAGAAAATTATTTAAACCCTCTGTGTCTCAGCACCCTTATCGGTAAAATGAAGATAACACTAACATTAACTCATATTTTTTGGTGAGAATTAATGAGAAAAAACACTTTAAATCTGTTAACACTGTATGAGGCACATTGTAAGTTTTCTATGAAACGACATCTGCATTTTCTCTTCTCTTTCTTTCCCTTTCTTCCCCTCCCTTCCCCTTTCTTCTCTTCCTTCTTATATTTGTTTCAAAGAGTACATATACCCTGAACCTACCTAAAAAAATAGTAATTTAGTATTAGGTTACATATAGTACCAAGAAAGATTGGGAATTCACAGGAAATGCTGGAACCAAATTTTATCTAGTTATAATAGCCACTGTAAATGGAGAAATGGAAGAATTTCTTTTTTTTTTTTTTTCAATTCAAGGAAGGTTTAGGAATCATG
Organism: Homo sapiens; assembly: GCF_000001405.40. Classification (NCBI taxonomy): domain Eukaryota; kingdom Metazoa; phylum Chordata; class Mammalia; order Primates; family Hominidae; genus Homo; species Homo sapiens. Next base: position 161,651,304 of record NC_000004.12, on the reverse strand, counting down.
CTATCTTTTCTCTTGACTAGCAATCTTTTATTAATCCCTGTTCTAAAAAATCTGCCATTATATTCACTCAGCTGGATGAATCTGCCTGTATCTGTGTCCTGGATCCTCTGTATGCCCACATTTCTGAAAAAGCTAAATGCCTTATTTTGATTTGGTTCCTGGTTTGTGAGTTCCTTTGGTAAAGGAAACTGAATTAAGCAAGCTGAGGCGAGCATAAAGACAAATATAGAGTATTGAGAGAAACCTGGAGAGGAAATAAAATAGAATTGGTTGTCAGGATTGGCAGTCAGGGGTGAAAGAAAAAGAGAAGTTGAAATGCGGAACTGTTTTGGATGTGTTAACGTGACCGAGAAAGTTGTCAGGAAGGAGTTGCATAGCAGAATTTGTTTTGCTTTGTTTGTTTTTACTTGAGAGAAAGTAGGTCTAAACATTTTAGACATTATTGTCTACATTATATTTGTAGTATCTAGAGTTGCTCACCGTTCAGTAACTTATATATAGTCCAGTCTAAATTCAACACATAAGTCAAATTATGTCATATTAAACTAGATTTCAATTTTAGTTTTGCCACTTCTTAGCTACATGCCTACAATGGATTTATAAAATAAATTTAAACTTTAGTTTCTTCATTTGTAATAAGGAGGTTGTCATAAAATTCAGTGGTATACCATGTTTTCAATGAAATGTATGTCATTTATTCTATTCAATATGGCATTGTTGATCATGTTCGATACCAAATGTAAAGCTCCCCAAAATATTATTTCTTTGAAGAAAGCATTATGTAATTTATATTATTATAACTCAACCACTCTACAGGTAGGGTTGCTAGACAAAACACAGAACTCCCAGGTAAATTTGAATTTCAGATATACTATAAATATTTTTATTGTATTATACACTTTTACAAAATCACTTTGTTGATCTGAAATTCAACATTAATTGAATTTTTCTAATGCTATATTTGGTAAGTTTGGCACTTTATTTACGTGAAACTCAATAGTTTGATTACTGTGTATTTTAAGTGACTTTCCTACGAATGATAATGTGGCTTATACCACCAGGATCAAATGTTTGAACTGTGAAGATATCATGTGAATTTTATCTATTATGTTTGTACATTTCTATTGTTTTCTCATTGTTCCTCTTAGTATTTTCTTCTCTCCATCTATCTAAACTGTGTTACTATTAACTTCCAGCACAGAGTAGAATAGATTGGGGGAAAATTAGTTAAAGTTCTAGGACTTTACTATTTTATAAAACATACTATATACAGCTTTCATTATTTTTGCTCCATAAAGCACATGGATCTCAATCGCTTATCTTTTTCTCTAGCATTCCAAGACCATGGCTTCCATCCACAAGGTAATCTCAGGGTTCAAGCAGGCTGCTGGAGCTCCAGCCATCAAACTATATTCCATCAATCTGTATTCCAGTTCCGTAGCGGTATAAAGCAGGTGAAAGATAAATGACACTTATTGTTGCTGTTGTAAAGAGTCTTCCTGGATATCCCACAACCATTTATAGATCTCTGGCATGCAATAACTACAAAAATCATAGCAGGGAGGCTAGTAAATAGAATCATTTAGTTCGGCATACTACTCAGCATTCTGTTACAAAGGAAGAACAGAAGAATGACTATTTGGTGACAACAAACAATGTTTACTACTCTATATAAGGTCATCTAAGAGAGTATAAAATGTTCTATTTATTTTTGTTTTTCTGAATTGATTAGATATTATTATCTATTGTATTTCAAATTTAACCAACTCTGCGTATCATTTTTATACCTTTGGTAAACGGAACCAGCCTTCAGTTTGTTTGTTGTTTGTTTTGCTTTTATAGGCCTCTTCTTAATTATGCTTTATTTATTTGTTTATTGACACTTAGATTGATGTGTTTTTATGCTGAACATTTCTTTTTGTAAGGATTGAGTTTAATTCTGCTGTCGAGGAAGAAAAATATAACAGGTTTCATAAGAACCTCAACTGTCTTAAAAAGAAGTATAAACATCAGTTTCGTAAACAGTTTGAGAAAAGGAAATTTGCAGGCATACTAATTTAAAATTGAAATGCTGGGTCCACATGTAAATTACAAGATCTTGAATTATCTTTCTCATTATATAGGTTTTCAGGGTTTGAATTAGACCAAATTTTTGCCTCTAGTCATCTGAACATCTGGTTCAGGTGTTCAGTTGTGTAGTTGTCCGGGCTGTTAACAGGTCAATATAGTTTGCATTAGAATTTTTGTTATTTGCATATCTGACACTAGTAGCTATATTTTACCTGTGCTCACCAGCCTGCACTTGTTGATTTCTCTGTGCTTATTGAAATTTTCCATAAGTTATAGAAGATCTGAACCATTGCCCGAAGAACATGTTCTTCTTAGTTTTTGTCCATAAAATGTACTGTTATGTACACATTCAGGAGCCAATTAGTATCTGAAAAAGATGTGGCATGTGTGAATTTAGACCCTCACTTTCCAAGAAATCATGTCTCTAATACCATAAGACAGACAGCTTTTTAGTATTGCTAATAGAACCTACATTTAGGGCCCTTCAGTGCATAGATTGTATGTGTCACAGGAGGGGCACTAGCAATTTTGTATTCAGAGTTTTGCATTATTTTTTTTAAAGAGGACCAAACCCAAATTGTGTAAACAGTAGACCTGACAAATCTTGGATTTATTCCTGTCTTACAGAAAGTTATTGTGTACTAGGTGCCATTTTTAGAACGATGAGAATTAGTAAATTCATGAAAGAAGTGCTGAAGAGATGTTTGTCTCCCCGATTCACTTCTTCTTTCTTTTTCAAAAATTGAGATAAGAACACTTAACATAATTTCTGTCCTCTTATGAAACGGGAAAAGTTCCCTTGTCCACTTAACAGGGTGTGCGATGGGGCTGTGGCTCACTTCTTCATGCCCCGCTGCTCAAACCTCTACAGGAGCATATAGATGGGCAGGCTGTGGGGCTCCAATCCCCTGGCAGTGTCTAGGGGTGAATGCTTACAGCTGAATCCCCCGTAGCCATGTGTTACAGGGTGCTCTTTTAGTTTTGCTCTTTTATTTTGCAGTCTATAGGCGGCTTGTGTTAACCAGCTCAATTAGACCCTTTACCTTGTTGCAAGGACAGCGAGCTTTCTGTATCCTGAGGTTCTTGCCTTGGTGTACCGGAAGAATCGGATCACACATGGGCTTGGAGAATGAGTGCAAGGTTTTATTGAGTGGAAATAGCTCTCAGCAGATGGGGGAGCCAGTAGGGAGATGGCTTTCCCCTGGAGTCGGGTCATTTGGCGGCCCGGGCTCTCCTCCAATTGCCCCAGCCAAACTCCGTGTCGTTCTGCCAGTCGGTGGCTGCTAGTGTGCTGGTGCCTGTCAGTGTGTTCCTCTCGACGTCCAGCTGCCTGTGTGTCTGCCTGCTGGGATCTAGGGGGTTTTTATAGCCACAGGATGGGGGCGTAGCAGGCCAGGTGGTTTTAGGAAATACATTTGGGCAGGAAAACAAAAATGCCTGTCCTCACCTAGGTCTGTAGGAGTGGAGCCCTAGCCACGGACCATACCCTCTTCTACCCAGCGCTTCCCTTCCCCCTTTCCGCATCATTTAAAGGGACCATGCTTTTCCCTTCCCATCACTCCTGTATCATTAACACATTTTGAAGTGCACAATACAATATGTCAACTATCAGCATGATGTTTTATAGCAGATCTCTAAAACCTATTTATCTTGCATCACTGAAACTTTACAGAACCAGTTTAATCCTTACCAAAATCTTGGCTTTTTTTTTTTTAAACGAAATAAAAGCAACAATCCTGAAATTTATATGGAACCACAAGAACCCTGAGTAGCCAAAGTAACACTGCAAAAGAAGAAACAAAACTAAAGTATTTCATTTCCTTATTTCAAAACTTACTACTAAGCTACAGTAATTAAAACAGCATGGCACCAGCATAAAGACAGATATATTGACCTATGGAACAATATACACGGTTTGTGCATAGATGTTCAATTGATGTTCTAGAAGGGTACCAAAAATACACAGTGGAGAAAGTATCATCTCTTCAACAAATCTTGTTGAGAGGACTGGATATTCACATGCAAAAGTATCAGGTTGGACTTTTGTCTTACACCTTATACAAAAGTCAACTCAAAATGAAATAAATACTTAAATAAAGACCTGTCACTGTAAAATTCCTAAATGAAAACATAAGGGAAAAGCCTCATGGCATTGGTCTTGGCAGTGATTTCTTGAATATGACACCAAAAGCACAGGCAACAAAAACAAAAATAGGTAAATGGGAATACATCAAACTAAATAGTTTCTGCATAGCAAAGGAAACAATCAAAAAGTGGGGAGGCAATGTATGGAAGTAGAGAAAATATTTGCAAACTGTATATCTAATAAAAGGTTACTATTAAAATAAAGAACTCATACAACTCAATTGCAAAAACAAATAAAAATAGTAATAATAAAAACAATAGTAACCTGATTAAAAGATGATCATTTGTATGGTAATTCTCTTTCTGCAAGTTATGTGGAGTGGCTCATAGCATATACAGTTGATCTATATTTAAAGCAAGGCATTCTGTTGAAGAGAAAAACACAGACAGATAATAAACAACTGAAATTATAATTTTAATTCAACCAGAATTCAATTGCAGGTGTGGCAGCTTGCCATAATAATTTTTTGTTTGTAAAAAGATTTTCTGCAGTGCATAGCTAGCTAGCAAAATTAGCAATGGGAGAAAATATATCAAAACATAATGCAATTTTCATAATATGTCTGGATTTTATATGTCATTACATTCTTAATAGAGAATATTATATCTTATAAAAAAGGTTTCAGAATATGTACTATACTTCAAATTATAAGTAATATACTCAAATCATATCTAGATTTCAGAGACAGAGATTTTAATAGTTGAGGCTTCTAACTAAACTGCTGAATTTTTAATATTTAAAGCAGTGAGAAAATACAACTTTTCTACTTAAAAGTATAAAGTTAAAGTGTATACACATGCATAAATATATATAATATATGAGATATATAGAGAGAGAGCTAGAAAAAATATATATGAGATATACATTGTACATGATATATATTATACATGATATACATTATATATGATATATTATATATATATTATATATACAAATATATGAGAAAGGGTTTTTGCCCCTTAGGCTATTCATTGCTAACAGAACCCAAATTGTATATCATTGATAAAAATAATTTAATCTGCAAAATTTTTTTTAACATTTTAGAAAGCTAGAGTGTTATTTTTTAATATAGAGTGTATTAGAGGATACCATCAAACTCAGATATTTAAAAATACAGCTATTGACTTTTTTCTTCTCTAGACTATAAATAATGCACTTCTTATTCCACTTCAACTAAAAACGTAGAAATTTAATATTTTTAATAGAATACATCATTCACCGCATAATTTTTATCACTGATTCATTTTTAATATAGGCCTGAGGACATTGTGGCTCTTAAAATCCAAGTGGAATCAGAGAATATTTATGATCCAAAAGCTTCTAAGCCAAATAAAGCAGGGAGCATTGGCATAGCTGAGGAAGTTGGATTTCTGTCACAAATATAAAACATGGAACATGCATTAATTTTCTGCCTAAATACAAAAAACTAACGCAGGTCGTGTAGGTTCAATAGTAATTATTAAATTAGAGACATGGCATGTAATCATAAGTATTGTCAAACAGTGCACTGTTTTAAAATGAATATTCTTTCTAAATAACTTTTTACTCCTGATTTATTAGAGTACTGCATATTGTAATTCACTTCACAAACAAGTCTTAAAATCAGTAATTTAAAACGTATTTTTAAAGGTCTTTATTCATATTATTTTGGAACTTATTGGTGAAGATAACAATATATAAAAATACAATGTCCACGTGTAAGTGAGTGGCAGAAATATTTACAAAGGAGTTTGTGTAACTGGTAATTTTAAGTTTAGTTTCTAAAATCGTTTTTTAAAATATTATTTACATGTTCATAAGGAATATTAACATAGAAACATAATTTTATCATGACTTTCTTTAAATAATAATTTTGGCTAAATATCTATTCATATTTATTTTTAAATGTATAAAGCATGTGTTTCTAATTTTTTTTTTGGCATTATCTTTCTGAGCTCATGGCTACAACTGCTATGTTTACCCTGAGAAATTCCAAAGTTAAGTTCTACTTGCAATTTGCCTTTTGAGTCTCAAATTTTTTTATTTGAATATGCAAAATTACTAGAAATATTTTTATCTTAAACCCTATGTACTTGCAGTGTTTCTTAGTTAACGTAGGTATAGCTAGAAAACCAAGTCTGGCTAAGTTTTAACCCTCATTTTATCCTCAAATCTAATCTGTCACAAAATCTTGTGAATTTAACTTTTTCATTTATCTCAAATTCATTATGTCCTCTTATTTCCACTGTAGCTGCCTTAGTTTAAGGCCTGTCATTTCTCACCTTCAAACTATCCTTGCCTATGGAGACTTCTCCTTCGCTTTCAACCTGCACTTTATATTATAACCAGAGAGGTCTTCATAAAATTTACATGTGACCATTTCACTTTCCCTTTAAAATCCCTTAATGGCTTCTTCTAGCTTTCTGAGAAAAAAATAAACTCTTTAGCTTATTCTAGAAAACTTATTTCTCTATTAATTCTTCCTACTATTCTCCCATGTTCACACTTTACTGCAAGTTCTCCATAACACAAGCTGTTCTCTGATTCCATTGTTTTATTACTACTGTTCTTTTTTTTTTTTTTGAGACAGAGTTTCATTCTTATTGCCCTGGCTGCAGTGCAATGGTGCGGCCTCGGCTCACTACAACCTCCACCTCCCGAGTTCAAGTGATTCTCCTGCCTCAGCCTCCAGAGTAGCTAGGATTACAGGCATGGGCCACCACACCCAGCTAATTTTGTATTTTTAGTAGAGATAGAGTTTCACCACATTGGCCAGGCTGGCCTTGAACTCCTGACCTCATCTGATCTGCCCTCCTTGGCCTCCCAAAGTGCTGGGATTACAGGCTTGAGCCACCGTACCCAACCATTACTACTGTTCTTGAATACATTCTTCTCTCCCTCTCTACTGAAAAACCTTCTCTTGTCATTTTTATCTACCTAAATCCAGTGTGTCCTTCAAAAGTAAACAAACGCCTCTTGTGCCTGAACTTACTCTTTTTTTTTTTTAAAGTTCCTCATCAAAAAACTAAAGTACTTGTTACATCAGAATAAAACTGACTGTTCTCACTTTTCTTCTCTGGACTACAAACTCTGTGCAAAGGACCTTTACCAATTCAACTTTGTGTTATGATGTTTGCACTGTACTGACACATGGTAGGTACTCAATAATTTTTAAATGTGCAAATAACAAGTCACGTAATGGTGGTTCTTATATTTGCAGTTATGCATTGTTCAATTTTTCTGGACTATCTTATTTAAAATTTTGCTGAAGATTTTATTTTCTTACAGTAGCCACATGCAGAATTATCAATCAACTGATGTTTATTGGCAATCAATCATTTAAACCTAGCACAGTTCAACAATTTCTAGATTCAATTTCTTTAATAACAGTTTTCATTAAGCATATTGATTTTTTACTACACTTTCAATTTAATCTCCCATCATATGCAATAGAGTAGGCAAGAAAAAGATGAGGGGAAGTACATACATGATCGTTGTTTAATCTTCATGCATTTAACAAATATTGATTTAACTGCTATGTTTTTCTAGGCATTCAGCTAAATACTAAAGATACAACTGTAAGAGATAATATTCCAGTCTTCAAAATCTTACTGACTGAAAAGGGGAAAAAAAAAAAACTCCGTTACATTTAATACTGCAATATAAAATAATTTCAGAAACATATACACTATGGAATAATCAGAAAGGGAAGTCAAATATAAATGCTGAAGGCCATAGGACACTTCTAAGAACACACTGGTTTTTCAGTTTAGGTGACAGCCAGGTGAAAGAGTGTTCCCAGTAAAGGGAGCCACAGACTTGAGAGAGAAAGGTACATTCAGTGAAGTTCAAAGTCTCTTCTTATGTCTAAGAATAAGCTAAGATAGTGGAACAAGAATGGGCTTGGATATGAGAAATAAACTCATTTTTGCATCTGAGTATTGAACTGTACATCTATATTTAAAACATATAACACAATAATAGCACTTAATGAATACTTAATGCTTTTCAAACATTGTAAATTGCCATTTAAAAAAATATTAACTCATGTATTTAGAACAAGACTTATATAAACCAACATGTTTATACCCATACACAAGATGAGGTTTAAATTGATTTTTTCTAATTTTTAAATTGTGGTTGAATACACATAGCATAAAATTTACCACTTCATCATTTTAACTATAGAGGGCAGTGTTATTAAATACATTCATAATGTTATACAACCATCTCCAACATTCATCTCCGTAATTCTTTCCATCTTGTAAAACTGAAGCTTTATACCCATGAAACACAAATGCCCATTCTATCTTCCTCTCCACTCCTGGGAACCACCATGCTGCTTTCTGTCTGATTTTGCATACTCTAAGTAGTTCATATGACTAAAATTATACAGTATTTCTCTTTGGGTACTTATTTCACTTAGGATAATATCCTCAAGATTCATCCCTGTCTTATCAAATGTAAGTATTTAGTTGTATCTCCTTATTGTACTGAAACTTTTATTAAAATATAATTTTCTTCCTTATATATCGTAACCTTTTTAAATTTAATGTCTGTTTTGTCTAATATTTGTATATCCATCTTGCTGTATTTTGGTTACTATTAGCATATCTTCTTTCATATTTTCATTTCAATGTATTTGTGTCTTTCTAAAGTGAGTCTTTTATAGAAGGCATACAGTTATCATGATTTTGTACTTTTGCCAATATTTGTCTTTTGATTGGATATTTAATTCATTTCCATTTAAAGTAATACTTACATAGTAAAGGGGTACAAAATTTTACTTAGGCAAGATAAGTTCTGGAAATCATTTTTGTATATTGCCAGAACAATATGCTTATAGTTAACAATATTGTATTGTATACTTAAAATTGGCTAAGAGTGTCTTCGCAAAATTTAAGAGGCTTTATGTGTTCTCACTACACACACACAAAAAAAATAGTAGCCATGTGAGGTAATGGATATGTTAGTTAACTTGATTGTGGCAATATTTCACAATGTACACATATATCGAATCATCAAGCTGCATCTCTTAAATGTATAAATTTTTTATTTTTAACTATGTCTTTGTAAAGTTGAAATAAATTACTGGTAAGGAGAAACTTTATTTCTTTCATTTTGCTATTTGTTTTCTATATGCCTTAGAGCTTTTTTGTCTGTCATTTCTTGCGTAACTATGTCTTTGTGGGTAGTTGATATTTTGTAGTGAAAAGTTTAAATTATTTTTTCATTTTCTTATATATATAATCAGTACTATTTCCTTGTGGATACCATAGGAAGTCCATTTAACATCCTCAACTGAAAACTCTCTAATTTGGGCCAGGTGCGGTGGCTCATGCCTGTAATCCCAGCATTTTGGGAGGCCAAGGCGGGCAGATAACGAGGTCAGGAGATCGAGACCATCCTGGCTAACACGGTGAAACCACGTCTCTACTAAAAATACAAAAATTATCTGGGCGTGGGGGCGTATGCCTGTATTCCCAGCTACTTGGGAGGCTGAGGGAGGAGAATCGCTTGAACCCGGGAGGTGGAGGTTACAGTGAGCCGAGATCGCGCCACTGCACTCCAGGCTGGCAACAGAGTCTCAAAAAAAAAAACAAAACAAAACAAAAAAACCCTCTAATTTGGATATCTACCAACTTCAATCACATACAAAATTCTGCTCTTTAACAGCTCCACCTACCCTTTTGGTTGTTGATGTCATAAAATTACATCTTTTTACATTCTGTACCCCAAAATATAAACTCATATTTAGTTCAAATGAAGTAGTTTCCGTAAGTTATATGGAAAACGAAATGTGGAGTTACAAACCAAAGTTATGATAATTGAGCTTTTATCATGTAGAAATTAAAAAGTGGAGCTACAATGTCCTTGCATTTACCTTTATTGAGATTCTTATTTCTTTATATAGCTTTCAGTCACTGTCTAGTAACCTTTTTTCACCCTGCAGAGCTCCCTTAGGTATTTCTAGCAGGGCAGGTGAGCAGGTATCAAATTCCCACAGATTTTATTTATGTGTGGATGTCTTAATTCTCCCTTATTTGAAGGAGCTAAGCCAGATATAGGATTACTGGTTGGCAGCTTATTTCTTTTAGCACTTTGAATATATTAGCTTACCACCTTCTGGCCTCAATGTTCCTGATAAAAATAGCTGCAAACAATTGTACTAAGGATCTCTTGTATGTGATTCATTGCTGTTCTCTTGCTGTTTTCAAAATTCTCTCTTTGGCTCTTAAAGGTTTGATTGTAAAGTGTCTAGGTATGTGTCTCTTTGAGTTCATCTTACTTGGAGTTTGTGGAGACTCTTGGATGTTAAGATTCATGTCTTTTATTAAATTGGGAGAGTTTTCTGCCATTATTTTTTCAAATATTTTCTCTGCTTCTTCTCCTTCTGGAGATCCCACAATGCATGTGTTGGAACTCTTGATGGTATTCTACAAATCATGTAGACTTGGTTCACTTTTGTTCAATCATTTTTCTTTCTGTTCCTGAGGCTTCATGATTTACTACTATCTTAGGTTCAAGTTCACTGATTCTTTTTTCTTCCTGTTAAAATCTGCATTTGAATCCCACTAGTGAACTTTTCATTTTAGTTGCTATATTTTCAGCTCCAGAATTTTTTTCTGGTTTCTATTTAGGTTTCCTAATTCTTTATGGATGCTTGTTTATACATGCTTTTCTTCACGTTCTTCACATCTTCCTTAGTTCTTTGAGAAACTAGAAAACAATCGTCTAAAACCTTTGTTGAATAGATCTTATATCAGGTCTTCTTCAGGGACAGTTTCTGTTGATTTACTCTTTTCCTTTGAATGGGCCAGGCTTTCCCATTTCTTCATATACATGTTAAATTTTTAAAGAAAACTAGACAGTTAAATCTAATACTGTAACTCAAAACCAGATTCTCTTTCTTCCCCAGAATTTTCTTCTTTTTAATGTATTTATTGTTTTAGATTTATTTATTGTTGTAGGCTGTGTGCCAAAGATCTGTCTGAGATATAAATTTAAGATTTTCTAAGAATTTTTCTGAGCTTGTGCATTCTCCTAGGCACATCCAGACACTTTCTAGTTTTCTCTGTATGTAAATTTCCTTTGAAAATTCTTATCTTTAAAGTCTTGTTCCAAAAAGGTAAAAAAGAAAAAAATGAAGGAAGCAGGGAGGAAAAGGGCACTGACCCTTTAAATTATCTGCAAGTCACTTTAGCTGAGGAAGGGGGAGCTTGCAACATGGAGGGAACAGTGGCCATCCACTTCTTCATCTAAACCTGTGGGATCAGAAGCACGATTCAGAGTACAAATCCCCAATATTTCAATGACAGGATCCCCTTTCCCAGCCATGGCTCCTGTAAGCTGTGTGCAAGCTGCTTGTAGTAGAAATGTTCAGCTGCCTGCCAGGGAAGGGGTGGCTGCTATGACAATATAGCTGAAATTGACTGAAATTCATCTCAAATTGCTTTCCAAGCCTTCTACAGACTCTAGAATTTAAAAACAGTTCCATCAGACAGAGGCTGCCAGTGCAATTATTGTCTAGGTGTAGAGACAGGTTCCTGGTGCTTTGTACTCCACCATCTTCTCAGAATCCATTTAAATTGATTTTTAACTGTGTAATTGCAATAATAATTTATGTTTTTGTAGCTTATCTTCCTTTAGACACTTGGGTCATATATTTAGATGATAATGTAATTAAATAAATAATACACCTATAACGTTTTAAGCAATTTTTCGGTTCCATAGCACAGAACAGCAAGCACCATGGGAAGGATAGGTAGCTTATGCAAAGTGATCTTGCCAATCCCATCAAGTACATAATAATCATTTCACAATAGACTTTTCATTACCCTTTAATTACAGTTAGCTTTCTGCCTCACATTTTTAACAGTACCTAGATTGGAAGAGATGTATCTGCTCCAATTTTTTTTTTCAGAACTAAGAGGAAATTTATAGTGGTTTAATTGCTTAACAACTGCCAGAATTCCAACACTATGTTGAATAGAAGTGGTGAGAGAGGGCATCCCTGTCTTGTGCCAGTTTTCAAAGGGAATGCTTCCAGTTTTTGCCCATTCAGTATGATATTGGCTGTGGGTTTGTCATAGATAGCTCTTATTATTTTGAAGTACGTCCCATCAATACCTAATTTATTGAGAGTTTTTAGCATGAAGGGTTGTTGAATTTTGTCAAAGGCTTTTTCTGCATCTATTGAGATAATCATGTGGTTTTTGTCTTTGGCTCTGTTTATATGCTGGATTACATTTATCGATTTGCGTATATTGAACCAGCCTTGCATCCCAGGGATGAAGCCCACTTGATCATGGTGGATAAGCTTTTTGATGTGCTGCTGGATTCGTTTTGCCAGTATTTTATTGAGGATTTTTGCATCAATGTTCATCAAGGATATTGGTCTAAAATTCTCTTTTTTGGTTGTGTCTCTGCCCGGCTTTGGTATCAGAATGATGCTGGCCTCATAAAATGAGTTAGGGAGGATTCCCTCTTTTTCTATTGATTGGAATAGTTTCAGAAGGAATGGTACCAGTTCCTCCTTGTACCTCTGGTAGAATTCAGCTGTGAATCCATCTGGTCCTGGACTCTTTTTGGTTGGTAAACTATTGATTGTTGTGTTGGAAGTTCTGGCCAGGGCAATTAGGCAGGAGAAGGAAATAAAGGGTATTCAATTAGGAAAAGAGGAAGTGAAATTGTCCCTGTTTGCAGACGACATGGTTGTATATCTAGAAAACCCCATTGTCTCAGCCCAAAATCTCCTTAAGCTGATAAGCAACTTCAGCAAAGTCTCAGGATACAAAATCAATGTACAAAAATCACAAGCATTCTTATACACCAACAACAGACAAACAGAGAGCCAAATCATGAGTGAACTCCCGTTCACAATTGCTTCAAAGAGAATAAAATACCTAGGAATCCAACTTACAAGGGATGTGAAGGATCTCTTCAAGGAGAACTACAAACCACTGCTCAAGGAAATAAAAGAGGATACAAACAAATGGAAGAACATTCCATGCTCATGGGTAGGAAGAATCAATATCGTGAAAATGGCCATACTGCCCAAGGTAATTTACAGATTCAATGCCATCCCCATAAAGCTACCAGTGATTTTCTTCACAGAATTGGAAAAAACTACTTTAAAGTTCATATGGAACCAAAAAAGAGCCCGCATCGCCAAGTCAATCCTAAGCCAAAAGAACAAAGCTGGAGGCATCACACTACCTGACTTCAAACTATACTACAAGGCTACAGTAACCAAAACAGCATGGTACTGGTACCAAAACAGAGATATAGATCAATGGAACAGAACAGAGCCCTCAGAAATAATGCCACATATCTACAACTATCTGATCTTTGACAAACCTGAGAAAAACAAGCAATGGGGAAAGGATTCCCTATTTAATAAATGGTGCTGGGAAAACTGGCTAGCCATATGTAGAAAGCTGAAACTGGATCCCTTCCTTACACCTTATACAAAAATCAATTCAAGATGGATTAAAGATTTAAACGTTAGACCTAAAACCATAAAAACCCTAGAAGAAAACCTAGGCATTACCATTCAGGAGATAGGCATGGGCAAGGACTTCATGTCCAAAACACCAAAAGCAATGGCAACAAACGACAAAATTGACAAATGAGATCTCATTAAACTAAAGAGCTTCTGCACAGCAAAAGAAACTACCATCAGAGTGAACAGGCAACCTACAAAATGGGAGAAAATTTTTGCAACCTACTCATCTGACAAAGGGCTAATATCCAGAATCTACAATGAACTCAAACAAATTTACAAGAAAAAAACAAACAACCCCATCAAAAAGTGGGCGAAGGACATGAACAGACACTTCTCAAAAGAAGACATTTATGCAGCCAAAAAACACATGAAAAAATGCTCATCATCACTGGCCATCAGAGAAATGCAAATCAAAACCACAGTGAGATACCATCTCACACCAGTTAGAATGGCAATCATTAAAAAGTCAGGAAACAACAGGTGCTGGAGAGGATGTGGAGAAATAGGAACACTTTTACACTGTTGGTGGGACTGTAAACTAGTTCAACCATTGTGGAAGTCAGTGTGGCGATTCCTCAGGGATCTAGAACTAGAAATACCATTTGACCCAGCCATCCCATTACTGGGTATATACCCAAAGGACTATAAATCATGCTGCTATAAAGACACATGCACACATATGTTTATTGCGGCATTATTCACAATAGCAAAGACTTGGAACCAACCCAAATGTCCAACAATGATAGACTGGATTAAGAAAATGTGGCACATATACACCATGGAATACTATGCAGCCATAAAAAATGATGAGTTCATGTCCTTTGTAGGGACATGGATGAAATTGGAAATCATCATTCTCAGTAAACTATTGCAGGAACAAAAAACCAAACACGGCATATTCTCACTCATAGGTGGGAATTGAACAATGAGATCACATGGACACAGGAAGGGGAATATCACACTCTGGGGACTGTGGTGGGGTGGGGGGATGGGGGAGGGATAGCATTGGGAGATATACCTAATGCTAGATGACGAGTTAGTGCGTGCAGCGCACCAGCATGGCACATGTATACATATGTAACTAACCTGCGCAATGTGCACATGTACCCTAAAACTTAAAGTATAATAAAAAAAAAAAAAAGAAAAAAAAAAAAACAACTGCCAGAATTCAAAAAGTCAAAATCTTCTTACATGATTGAAGGGGCAAGAGATTATGGATAATGTTTAATATAGAAAGACACCTAATTACTTTAACAGTTATATTTGATTCTTATTTGCCTTATCTTGCTCCTTTGGGTACAGTTTGACTCAAACTCAAAATAAAGAAACAGTTTCATAGATTTTTATGTTCTTTAATAGTATCCATATACACCATTAACAGTATAATTCAGAGTGTTTTGATGCTTTGAGACAGAAATTTAAAACTATTAGAAGTGATTAATCAGAAGAGAAAATAAGTTATATAATGAAATTCAATTTTACCTTTCCTTCAAGGATTTTTTTTTTTTTTTGCTGTCAATTACCAGAGTTTTGGAAGACATTGGGTACTATCATATCTTTTCTCCGTAACTACGTATGTTACTAAAATTACACAAGGGAACAAAAACACAATTAACAGAAAAAAGGATTGTTTTTCCCAGTTAAGGAATTTGTTGATGCAGAGGTATGTGAAATCAAAGTTGTATTAGAAATATGTTTGTTGGCAACTGTTTACAAATTACTGCTTTTTACTCCTGAAAATGAATTGCATTTATGGTGGATATATCTAGTAAATGTTCTCAAATTATAGCCAATATTCAAGCATCTTTATACTGACATTATCATGATATATAACATTTCTTTCAGTGGAGAAATTGCAATATTTTGTTACAACTTTTGTCTAGACGTAATGAATCAGTAGTTGTTCATAAGAAAGATAGCCATCCCTCTTTTACTTATTTCTATTCTACCATGCTGTAGTTAATTCTAATGAGTTAACTTGAATGGATGTTTTAAACAACTTTATCAATGAGTATTTACAAAGAGTCAACAGATATGTATAAGTTTATGGTGTGGGAAATATTTTGTATTATATGATGTTAGATTTGCTAGATGGATTTTTTTTTTTTTTAATTTGTAACAAGAAACAACTCCAACATCAAAAACGAAGCTAATTTTCAGTGAATTGACATTTTGTATAGCAGGTAGATATAATTTTGTTTGTTTGTTTGTTTTGAGACAGAGTCTCACTCTATCGCCCAGGCTGGAGTACAGTGATGCCATCTCGGCTCACTGGAACCTCCGCCTCCCAGGTTAAAGCAATTCTCTGCCTCAGCCTTCTGAGTAACTGGGATTACAGGCGCCTGCCACCACGCCCGGCTAATTTTTTTGTATTTTTAATAGAGATAGGGTTTTACCATCTTGGCCAGGCTGGTCTTGAACTCCTGACCTTGTGATCTGCCTGCCTCGGCCTCCCAAATTGCTGGGATTACAGGGGTGAGCCACTGCGCCCAGCCAGTAGATATGATTTTTAGGAGA
The DNA here is from genome assembly GCF_000001405.40 of Homo sapiens. Lineage (NCBI taxonomy): Eukaryota > Metazoa > Chordata > Mammalia > Primates > Hominidae > Homo > Homo sapiens. The sequence goes on along the minus strand of NC_000004.12, from coordinate 161,635,084 downwards.
AAATCAAACTGAGACAAACATAGTTTCAATTACAAGATTTTTTTTCAGCTTTATTGAGGTATAATTGACAAATAAAAATTGTAGTATACATTTATGACATATAATGTGATATTTTGATACACATATACATTGCGAAAGGATTACCACAATCAAGCTAATTAAGATATCCATTACCTCACAGAGTTACCATTTTGTGTGTGTGTGATGATAATAATTAGCATATTCTCTTAACAATAAAACATGATTACCTATAGTCACCAATCTGTTCATTGGATCTCAATAATTCAATCATCCTGCATAATAGAAACTTCGTACCCTTTGAACAATGTCCTCCCATTTTTCTCATCCCCAGTTCCTGACAACCACCATTCTACTCTCTCTGATTATTGGTTCAGCTTTTTTACATTCCACATATATGTAAAATCATAGGGTACTTGTCTTTTTGTATCTGACTTATTTCTCTTAGCATAATGTTTTCCAGGTTCATGGATATTGTCACAAACAGCAGGTGTTCCTGTTTTTTTAAGATTGGATAACCTATCATTTAATATTTATACTGTATTTTCTTTATCCATTTGTCAGTTGATGGATATTTTGTTGGTTTACATACCTTGGCTATTGTGACTAATGCTGTAATAAACATTGAAGGTGCAGATATCTTGTCAAGATACTGATTTCACTTCCTTAGGATACAAATTCAGTAGTGAGGTTGCTGGATGATTGATTTATAGCTTAGGTTAGAGCAAATAGAGGGCTATCTTTTGGCTAATGCCTTAAAGTCAACAGCTCTAAATAATGTCTCTCCCTTTCTTTAGGAAAGGAGGTCTTGATACTTGAAAGTTTTGTATTATTATCTCTCCTGTTCACCTGCAAATTTTACTAAGAAAACATCACCACTTGGAAATGAACAAATGGGTGACAAAGCTTTCAAAGTCATATTGGAGCATGGTCTAACATTCCCATCCAGAAACTATTTAATTGTCTAGGGATATAGCTTTGTTTGGACATTAACTTTTGATTAGGAACAGATTCTGTGAATAAGAATGTTGATTTGTGTATACGTTGTCCAACAAAGATTTAAATGATCCTATTCTATAGAAAGGTAACTCCAAAATAATTGTTACATTGCCCTGTAGGACATTAACCAGCTTTGTGTTTAACATAACAAACTTACTTTAACATATCTTTTTCAAATTACATACATCTCTGCTCCTCAAAAAGACTTTGAACTAGCTTTATTATCTTGCTAGTGTTCTGATTAATGAATTAAATAAACTGTTGTCTCATGCTCATTTTATATTTGCTTTGCATTTGTGTTTTTACTGTTTTAAAATTTCATTTCAACAATGTTTTCAGCTCCATACATCTAGTTACTAAACACTCTAGCATGATATTTTAGAAAGATATACTCTTAATTTAACTGAATAAAAGGGGAAGCTAGGCTGGGTGCGGTGGTTCACATCTGTAATCCCAGCACTTTGGGAGGCCGAGGCAGGCGGATCACGAGGTCAAGAGATCGAGACCATCCTGGCCAACATGGTGAAACCCTGTTTCTACTAAAAATACAAAAATTAGCTGGGTGTGGTGGTGTGTGCCTGTAGTCTCAGCTACTCGGGAGGCTGAGGCAGGAGAATCACTTGAACCCGGGAGGCAGAGGTTGCAGTGAGCCGCGATCGCGCCACTGCACTCCAAACTGGTGACAGAGGACAGAGCGAGACTTGGTCTCGTTGTGCACATGTACCCTAAAATGTAAAGTATAATAATAATAATAATAATAATAATAATAATAATAAAAAGAATTAGTTTAAAGACACAGAAAACAAAAACAAAAACAAAAGTGGGGGGGAAGCTGTATAATTTAGTAATAAAATTAAGTATTGGGAATAGTTTTGAGGGATGCTAAATATTTTTGCTATTTTAATAAATTTAGCAACTTCAACGTGACCCCGGGCCTAAAAGAGATATGCACCTATGAAATACCTATTTTAGAAACATTGTGCTATCATTTGCTAGGTAACAGGATGTTAGCAAAAGAAACAATCATTCTAAATAACAACCTTCTTACTTATAAGGAAAACAAAATCCATTCTAGCCACTTGCCTTAGAGATTTGTGAACAAAAAATATATTAAATGAAACATACATCTTTAGAATAAAACGAGGTAGATAGTGAAAATTTAATAAGATTTAGTTTTCTGTCCCTCATAAGAACTTTTACTCTATTTCTTTGGTCCTCGTTTAAATTCCCTTGTTTATTTTCTAAGAGTTTAACCTATTTTATTTGAATATTTTATTAATGAAAATACTAACAAATCAACTTGTAAGCAAATTAGAAATAGTGTATATAACTCCAATACATATTTCATAAGAATATGTAATATTCACCTTCTAAAAAACACAGAAATCAATAAAAAACTCTTTCTTTTAACTCAGACTATTAGTTTTAGAGAATGTGTTTTCTTGACATAAATTCACAGAGTTAAATGCACAAGTTATAATTGTAGAAGAATAATCAATAGAATACAATTGCATTTACACAAAGTTATATGTGGCCAGGTTATTTACTTAGCCATGTTATTTGGCCATTAAATGATACATATTTTTAGGACTTTGAAAAACTACACACCAATGTCTAAATGTATTATTGCCCCCATGTTAACTTGAATCTATTTTTCTCTCTTTTTGTTTTGTTTTGTTTTGATTTTGGGGGCGGAGTCTCAGTCTGTCGCCAGGGCTCGAACACAGTGGCGTGATCTCTGCTCATTGCAACCTCTGCCACCCGGGTTCAAGAGATTCTCCCGTCTCAGCCTCCCAAGTAGATGGGATTACAGGTGCCCGCCACCACACCCAACTAATTTTTTGTATTTTTAGTAGAGATGGGGTTTCACCATGTTGGTCAGGCTGGTCTCAAACTCCTGACCTCATGATTCGCCTGCCTCAGCCTCCCAAAGTGCTGGGATTACAGGTGTGAGCCACCATGCCTGGCTGAATCTATCTTTCTCTTAAAAATTTACTTCTGTGCAGTGGAAAAGTCACTCAATTGAAAATAATTATTAAATTTGGAGTTGATTTTCTATATGCTAAGATAAATTTTACATGAACCAAATATAGCTTCAGTGTACTTCTAAATTGAAGGAACTTTAAATGAGAAATGGTAGGAAAATGCTTTACCTGAGTTCCCACATAAATACTATACTAGAATTTCTTGTAAAATGTCCTTAATTACCAACTCTATTTAGGTACTTTTGCAAATTTGAAACTATTTTTCTTCAATGAATAATAAAAATGTAATTTAAACCTTTTCATTTGTTATTAGTGTTGTCCAGTCAAAATTTTGTAGTAATTTGTGTGTCAGAAGAGGTTCTATGGCACCCTGAATACTAGTCATATAACTAAATAAATCTAATAATATAGCATCAAGTGCCAAATTAGTGTTATGTGTCATCTGAATTATTTATTAATTTATTTAGAGACAGAATCTCACTATTTCGTCCAGTCTGGAGTGAAATGGTACGATCTAGGCTCACTGCAACCTCTGCCCCCTGGGTTCAAGTGACTCTCTTGCCTCACCCTCCTGAGTAGCTGGAATTACAGGCACCTGCCACCATTCCTGGCTAATTTTTGTATTTTTAGTAGAAATGGGTTTTTGCCATATTGGCCAGGCTGCTCTCGAACTTGTGACCCCAGTGATCCATCTGCCTTGGCCTCCCAAAATGCTAGGATTACAGGCATGACCGTGCCGGGCCGCATGAATTATTAATAGAAGAACAGATTATGAACTGGGGACTAAGCAATTTATTGATGAAATTCAAACTTTATTCTTGAAAGACAAGAAGAGGTAGAATAATTCTAAAGGAATATGAGAAAACTCTAATTTTAGGGACTTTGTTATGAAGGTAGAAATGGGCATATATTATTCTCAGGGCATAGAATCAACAATTACATTGCTGTAGTGGATCTTGGTATAAGGCACCGGTGAAGAATCTATTTTCTTGAACCTAAATCAATACAAAAAAATGCCAGGTACATTGAATCAATTAACATGGCATATAATGAGTTAATTTGCTTATATTTTGCTTGATTATTTATCATTGAACAATTACATTATGAGAATATTGGAAAAACGCAGAAGAGCATTTGTGTCAGATTCCTGTTAAGAAAACAGTTAAAAGTTATAAGAAAGAATTTGTTTCTATGACAAGTTCATGTAAAGCAAAGTTCTGTCAACAGATGAGGACAAAAGCAGACACAAAATACAAGTAAATAATATTTTGGGGCCATGTGACTCAAAGAATGATAGCACCATTGGTAGAAATAGAATAATTTTGTTAATTGGTTTTCTGTTGGAATCGTAATATAGTTTTCTTACGCATATGTTGACTTTGAGGCAATTGAGTAAACCATGTGTAGTTTGAAGTCATAATATTTATTATTCATCTTTGTGGAGACATACTTAACCAATATTTAAAGTTAGTGATATAGCCAATCACTGTCATTAACTCTTTTTCTGATCCTTCAAATTTCCAGTTACAATTGTGGTTTTGAAATTACAGTGCCAGTTTTATCTTAGGAAATCCACATATATCATTGGCTATACTTATGATGAGAAAGTTATTGCTGTCTCTACTTCACAAACAAGAAAGGCTCATAAAAGCACATATTTTCAAGGGCTTGAGCTGACCTGGAGAGAGCTGTACTGCCAGGTGCCATAGTAGCTGATAGAAAACACAAACCAAGACGAAAGCAACAGTCAAGACTGTGATCATTTAGTACGAAAATATGAGCCAGAGGCTAAATGAGAGCTGGCAGTAACTCACCGCACTGTTCATTTTCCCACGTGAAACAGCACCAGTAAAGGGTAAGCTGGATTAGCATAAACATGGTGAGTCACCTCACTGCACAGTGAAGCTGAACAGAAGGGTCCCGCAGTTTTATGGACCTGGAACGGAGGGGCAGGAAGGGGAGGGGAAGAAGGAGTAAGGGCTAGGAAAGAAAAAGTACTGAAACCTAGTGGAGGAAAGTGTCTCCTAGTTCTCCCTGATTCCCCCATTAAGAGGCCTCGGCTGCAGTGTCTGAGGAAGACTCCACTATAGGCCCCTGGGCTAGGAATGAAGATATGCATAAGAGAATGGCCGGCCAGGAGGTCCTGAGCCTCCGACTGGAAGTCCCATCATAGACAGCCTCGCACTGGCTGTGCGCCAACTCTGTCGTTCAGGGGATAGCTTTCCCCTCTGAGACCTGCCAGGTAAAGCCTTTGTAATTTCCCGTAGTCAGGCCTAAAGGTTCACACATGAGTATTTGACCAGGAGCCCAATAATTTGGGGCTGATAATAATTTTGGTGTGAACTGACTCGGCCAAAAACATATATAGCTATGGCTTAGGGGAAAAAAATCCCATTTTCTTCCCTCCAAGATGCTTCTTTCATTAAAAACATTTTATGGGCCGGGCGCGGTGGCTCAGGCCTGTAATCCCAGCACTTTCAGAGGCCGAGGCGGGTGGATTACCTGAGGTCAGAAGTTCAGGACCAGCCTGGCCAACATGGGGAAACTCTGTCTCTACTAAAAAATGCAAAAACTTAGCCAGGTGTGGTGGCAGGCACCTGTAATCCCAGCTACCAGGGAGGCTGAGACAGGAGAATGGCTTGAACCCAGGAGGCAGAGGTTGCAGTGAACCGAGATCATGCCATCGCACTCCAGCCTGGGTGACAAGAGCAAAACTCCGTCTCAAAAAAAAAAATTATCTAATTTACTATAACTTCATTGATTTTCATTTTGTCTCTTGTGTTTTCACTCTTCCTTACTAGTAAAATTATGTTTGGAAATGTTCATTGTAACTTGGAACAGAAAACAGAGCTGGAGTTAGAGTAGTATGTGGTAGTAGGTCAGTCAAAACATGAAGGAAGCAGAAACAGCTTGTGGTGAGACTTATGTTGGACAGCCACAGGGTTCTGCTGCCTGTGTGTACCATGAAAATCACTGCTCTTCAGGGACAAAGCAAACTTAGTTTTAAATAATAATTGATGTCATTTCTTTCTACTTTGTCTAACACATACCTATAGATGTGTTGCTTTAGCTCCTCCACTAAATCTCAGGCTCTTTGAGAAATTATAACCCTATAATAAATACCAAAATTATAAGTGTATAGAAAGTTTTTAATAAATACTATTGAGTTGAATATGCTAACCAATTAATAAAATATACAGACCTTTATTATTCCTGGAGATCAGTGACTTTCATAGTACAGCCAGGCAGCAGAATTTCATGGCTGTCCATTAGTAGTCTGAATCTTGACATTAGAAATGAGCAAGTGAAAAATTGTGATCAAGGGAATAAGATTGGCAGGGCCAACCTGATAGGAAGTTAAAAGGAATAAATTACCAATTAGTAATGGAGGTTTCAGATTGAGATGCATTGTAAAATTCAAACCTAAATTTCATTGGGATTTAATGTTACACTTAACGGGCTAACGTGATCTCAGATGTCCTTTTTGGCATCTCTCTGCACATTAAAAGTAATATGACTATCATTCATCCTTGGTTAATCTGAAAAAGTAAAATAATTATACTCTGATATTATGTTATATATATTAATTTTTAGACATAATTTTAAAAATGGAGCTGCAATTTGTGTGTTTCCTTTAAGCCGTTTTTATCAAGGCTGTCATATTTCTGGTTGGAGTGTAACATATCCATCTAAGACCTTTAGACTAATCAGGACCCCACTGATACTTTAATTTCAATTTTTTCTTGCTTTTTAAAATAATTTACTACAACTAGAATAATCTACACAAGTAAAAATATAGAGATTATAGATTTTTCAATTAAGTCTGTATAAAAATGTTAGAAACTTATGGGGAAGAGAATTAACATTTTTGAGTGCCTATCACATGCCAGACACAGTGTGAATGTGTGCTATATTGATTTGTTCCTTTAATTATCATACAAATATTGTATGGAAAGGGGCATCTTTCCCCATTTATGTCTGAGAAAACTGAGGCTCGGGGACTTATTTAACCAAAAGGAAAGCAAGAGGTAAAGCAAGAATTAAAAGCTAGATTTGTTGGTTCCAAAATTGTACTATTTTGTCTGTGTGGGAATGTTTCCATTCATGGCTAATTCTTTTGTGTGTATTGGATTTGAATGAGAAATGAGTTATATTGACATATGTTACTATCATAAAATTATTCCAAAGTCTGTGTCTGTATGACCGTGACAGTATATATCAAAATTCTTCTTAATAATTTTATATCAGATGTAAAATTATAAGATTTTTTAATATATAGACTAAAATGCTTTTATTTTAGTCAACTTTCACTTTAATATTCCAGAAAAATATTTCATGATATTCAAAATTGTCATATGGGAAATTATCTGGTTGTACACTACTTTTGACTTAGGCAGTGTAGTAATGGGTATAAATATATGGTGAATTATTAAAAGTTAATATTCTGTAATAAACCATTAAGATTTTTGAGCTTCTATACTTTTGTAAAAAGGTATCTAACAAAAACACATTTTCTAGACTTTCAGGCATGCCTCGGAGATCTTGAAGGTTTGGTTATAGACCATCACATTAAAACAAATATTGCAATAAAGAGAGTCACACAAATTGTTTTGGTTTCCCAGTGCATATAAAAGTTATATTTATACTATAATGTATTCTATTAAGTGTATTAAGTACGATGGCATTATGTATAAAATATAAATGTAAATGCCTGAATTAAAAGTATGTTATTTCTAAAGTGGCTGACAATTATCTGAGCCTTCAGCAAGTCATACTCTTTTTGCTAGTGGAGGATCTTGCCTCAGTGTTGATGGCTGCTGACTGAGCAGAGTGGTAGAAGCTGAAAATTGGGGTGGCTGTGGCAATTTTGTAAAATAAGACAACAGTGAAGTTTGCTGCATCAATCGACTCTTTTTGAAAGATTTCTCTGCAGCATATGATACTTTTCATAGTGTTTTACACACAGTAGAATTTCTTTCACAATTGAAGTCAATTATCTTAAACCCTTTATCAACTAAGTTTACATAATCTCCTAAATCATTTTTTGTCATTTAAACAATTTTCATGCATCTTCCCCAGTAGGTTGCATCTCAGGAAACCTCTTTGTTTGCTCATCCATAAAAAGCAAGTAATCTGTTCAACTTTTATAGTGCTACTGTAGCAACTCATTCACATCTTCAGGCTCCACTTCTCATTCTAGTTTTGCTATTTGCATCACATCTGTAACTCTTGAACCCTTTGAAGCCATCCATGAGGATTGGATTCAACTTCTTCCAAACTCCTGTTAATATAAATGTTTGACCTTCTGGCATAAATCATGAATGTTCTTAACGGCATCAAGAATGGTGAATCCTTTCCAAGAGATTTTCAATTTATCATGCCCAGATGTTCCTGTGGCAGCTGTAGCCATACAAAATGTGTTTCTTAAATAATAAGACTAGAAATGAAAAATTATTCTTGATCCATGTGTTGCAGAATGAATGTGGTGATTGCAATCATAAAAGCAAGATTCATATCCTTGCACATCTCCATCAGAGCTCCTGGATGACTAGGTGCGTTGTCAATGAGAAGTAATATTTTGAAAGGAATCGTTTTTTATTTTTTTATGAGCAGTATGTCTCAATAGTGGGCTTAAAATATTCAGTAAGCCATGCTTTAAACAGATGTGCTATGATCCAGGCTGTTGTTCCATTTAAGAAGCACAGGCAGAGTAGATTTAGAATAATTCTTAGGGCCTTAGGATTTTCAGAATAATAAATAAGCATTGGCTTCAATTCAAAGTCACCGAGTGCATTAGCCCTTAACAAGAGAATCGGCCTGTTTTTTAAAGCTTTAAAGACAGACATTGTCTTCTCTCTAACTACAAGTCCTAAATGGTATTTTCGCCCATCACAAGATGGTTTTGTCTACATTAAAAATATTTTGTGTAGTGTAGTCAGCTTCATCAATGATCTTAGCTAGCTCTTCTGGATAACTTGCTGCAGCTTCTACATCAGCATTCGTGTCACCATGCACTTTTACATTATGGAAGTGGCTTTTTTCCTTAAACTCCATGAACTAACCTCTTTCTTACAGAAGAAAAGCTTCCAAATTTTCTCTGTGCTTTCATATATCTCAGCCTCCATAAAATTGAAGAGATTTACAGCCTTTCTCTGGATTAGTTTTGTCTTAAGGGAATGTTGTGGGTGGTTTGATCTTCTATCCAGACCACTCAAACTTTCTCTATATCATCAATAAACCTGTTTCGCTTTGTTATTTTTTGTGTGTTTATTGAAATTGCACTTTTAATTTCCTTCAAGAACTTTTCCTTTGCATTTAAAACTTGGATGTTGGGCACAAGAACCCTAGCTTTTGACCTGTTTCGGCTTTCAACATGCCTCTCCCACTTACCTTCATCATTTCTAGTTTTTGATTTAAAATGAGAGGTGTGTGACTCTTCCTTTCACTTAAACACTTAGAGGTCATTGTAAGGCTATTGTTGGCCTAGTTTTAAAATTTGTGTCTTAGGGAATAGGGAGGCCTGAGGATAGTGAGAGAGATGAAGTATTGGCCAGTCGGTGAAGCACACATTTTTCAATTAAGAACACACGCAATTTTTACCAATTGTTTGCCACATTTTAGGCATGTAGTTCATGGCAACCGAAAACAATGACAATATTAACATCAATGATAACTGATCACAATCATCATAATATAATAATAACAAAAAAGTTGGAGATATTGTGAGACTTATCAAAATGTGACACAGAGACATGAAGTGAGCACATACTGTAGGAAAAATGGTGCCTATAAACTTGCTCAAGGCTGAGTTACCAGAACCTTTTCGTTTGTAAAAATTGCAATATCTGTAAAGCATAATAAAGCAAAGTAAGCTTGTACTGTGAAATACTGATATTAAACTAGTACCTATAGAAACATTGTTAATTTATTGACTGTAAATTTGCATGTGATTAAAAGGAACTTTTTGAGTACTATTGTTCCATATGACAGATATTTTCTTCTGTTATCCCATTATTGAACAATACTGTATACTATTAACCATCATAGAATCCTAGAATGGCAAACTGGTATTTCCTAATACAACACCTAGTTCAGCTGCTGTTGATGCTGGACAAAATGGTCCCCAAAAAAGGGTTTACATATTGTTCACTGTAGCACCGGCTTCTCTGCTGCTTCCGGTAGGACTTCTGCATAGAATCTGGAACTAAAGTTTGGCATACAGCAAATATGTCCAAATTCAGCAGTATCTACAAAACATATACTGGTTGATAAAGATAAAAATATGTGCACTAAAATGCAAAAATATATTAGAAAAGGTAATACTTATTTTAATCTTGGAATAGTATCGTTCTTCCTCATTCTAGATGCTTAACTTATTGCAGAGTGGTAGATAATATTTTTTTTTCTCAAACAGTATAAGGTTTTCTATTTTGAAATGGAGTATTTTAAGGTTTTTAATATGAAGAGCATACAATCATAATAAATTTACAATCATGTATTAAAGTTTTTAGTATTATAATTAAAAAATGTACACCTATAATCTGTAGCTCTATAATATAAAGGAACTTTTAATAAATTTATATTATAAATGATAAATATACATTTAATCAAAATTGTCAAATTGTAAGTTTAGATAATTTTGTGTGTTCTCAAATTATTCCCTGAATTATTATTCAGAAGGTATCCTAAACTCTAATTCTTAAAATCAAATTAAATTATTATCTATGGATACATACGTAAAGGGACAAATTAAAATGTCAAAAAATAGTGATCCTGTTTGGTTTTTGGAATCAGAAGTCATTTAGGTTTTCAAATTTGGCATGTATTTCTATGATATAAGAAATTGTAATAATAAAGGGATGTTAGGTCAGTACAGTGCAGAGGTCCACACTTCAATTTGGTAGGCAAGCAAAATTCAGACTATGAATAAAGTGGCTGTTGTTATTCTTTACTAATTGCCTCAAATGTAATTTCTTAATTGGTTATAGCTATCTTTTCTCTCATGTGGAAGCATTTTTCTCCATTGTCTTTGTCTTATGAAAAACAGTATATAAATAGTATTGGAAATTTTTACTTTCATACATTCATTAATATGGTGTTCTAAAGTTTGCCTTGCAAATTTAACTGCTAAGAACTATATAAATTTCTTTAAAAAGAATTAATAAATTATCAAATGTATAAGCAAGTCCTGGAAGTTTTACTATGTCAAATATTTCAAGTATGTTAAATTAAAACATTTTGAATAAAAAATGCAAGATAATTCACAGAACTCTTCTCTGAAGTATGGATGCTACTTAATGAAAAAGCGGTAGGCTTTTTAAGTAGAAATAAACAGATATTTATCACTGATTTGAAGTATCATATCATGCCAGAAATAGTTTTAGATACTAAATACAACACCATAATTTAATTTTTTCTTTCATAAGCAGTTGTGTCACAGAAAAAAAAATCACTGATAAAATCTAAACCTAAAATTAATCTAGAGAAAATGTTATCAAAAATTACATAGGGACTGACCCCACTAAATATATATCACTTCATTGTATAATAAAATTTTAACAAACAGGAAAATTATTTAACCAATATGAAAATTGTAAATAATATTAACAATAATCATAAAATATTTGAGTACAAATATTTCATTAAAAAATTAAAATGTAGGATAATTTATGTAATCTAATTCAACATAAATGTTGAAATAAAAATTGCAGTGAACATGTGTCTTTAAATAGTGATAACATCTGCCAATACTAATATGGTTGTTTCCTGCCTGTCTCCATACTTTTATTTATTTTCCTTGACTTATTGTACCACCTGGAAAATCCAGTACAAAATTCAATGAAAGTTATGTTAATGGAAACTTTTCTTTTCTTACATATCTCAAAAGTAAGTTTTCAGAGTTTGTCTCTGAAGTATGATGTATACTTTAGATGTTTTGAATATACCTGTTGGCAGATAAAAGATGTTTATTTTATTCCGAGTGTGCTAGAATGTTATCATCAATGATTCTTTTCTGTCAAAAGTGTAATTTTTTCAGCAGTTATTGAGATAGTTTATGACTTTTATTGTCTTTCACTGTAGTTAATTATTTTTATAATACAAGGCAACCTTGGCTTCCTGGATAAAAATAAGAAAGCCTCACGTCTGTTCCCAGCTTTATATTTATAGATTGTTCTGATGTCCTTCACAGAAATGTCAAGCATCACAATGTGAGGGGTGGGGAGTACAAATTGTACTACTTAAATACACACACATATACTCAGGTTTAAGTAATGTGGAGTATACCTGGAATTGATTCTTAAATAAAAATTTTCTAAACTTTTTTGCCAGCTTTCTGTTTTTATAATATATTGAATTACGTAACAGATTATATTAATGAAACACCATTATCAAATTGTTTGCCTTCATCTGCTAGTGTAATTAAATCATTCTCTTAACTTAGAAGATTAAATTGTACAGTTTTCAAGGATTAAACTAACTTTTCACCCCAATGGTAACTCCACTTGGTCATTATATATATATATACACATATGTAAATAAATAAATACATATTTATTTACTTACATATTTTGGTGCTTTCAATTGCTAGTATTTTATTAATGACTTTTTTCTGTATTCAGGAGAGTTATTCATGAGGGTCTATAATTTTCTATTGTAGTAATGTGTTTGTTATGTTTTTACGTCAAGCTTTCACTGACTTCATAACATATGTTCAGAGGTAGCCCTTCTTCCTCTGTTTTACAAAAAAAGTTGTGTAACATTGGTATGAATTAATTTCTTAACCTTTCCAGGATTCACCAGTGTAAACCTCTGAAATTTTTGTGGGGAAAGATTTTAATAATAAATACAATTTATTTAAGAGATAAAAGGCTGTTAAGATTTTGTATTTAATCTCATGTTTATTGGTTTAACTTGAACTTTTCAAACAATTTGTCCATTTTTCTAAATTCCTGTTTACAAATTTATTGATCTGAGTGTTTATACCATGAATTCATTATCAACTTCTAATGTTTTTAGCATATGTAGTAATCGCACCTATCTCAATTCTAATACTAGTATTTTTATTTTATTTTATTTTATTTTTTTGAGAGGGAGTTTCGTGCTTGTTGCCAGGCTGGAGTGCAGTGGTGCGATCTTGGCTCACTGAAACCTCCACCTCCTGGGTTCAAGGATCCTCCTGACTCAGCCTCCCGAGTACCTGGGAATATTGACATGCACCACCACAGCCAGCTATTTTTTTTTTTTTTTTTTTTTTGTATTTTTAGAAGAGACAGGGTCTCATCATGTTGGTCAGGCTGGTCTCGAACTCCTGGCCTCAGGTGATCCACTGGCCTTGGCCTCCCTCCCAAAGTGCTAGGATTACAGCTGTGAGCCATTGCGCCTGGCCTGATATTGGTAATTCCCATTGTCTTAATGTTTCCTTTATGAATCTTAGGGGAGTTTATCAATTTTAACAATCTTTTCAAGTAAATAAATTTTGCTTTGTTAACTTTTCTGTCTTTATTCTATTTTGTTGGTTTCTTCTATTGTCATTGTTATTTCTTCTTACATTTATCATGGGTTTAACTTGCTGGTTTGTTCTAAAACTTTGTTGAGAGGAGATCTTAGCTAGTTTAAGTTAAATTTCTCTTGCTTTCCTGCAACCTTTTAAATTTGTATGTACTGTATTAGCTGCTGCTTAAATATTTTGAAATCTTATATTTCAATGATTATTTAGTTTGACATATTTTCTAACTTCACTTGTAATTGATTTCTTCTTTGGCCAAATTTTGTGTTTGTGTGTGTGTGTGTGTGTGTGTGTGTGTGTGTGTGTGTAGTCTTTACATCCCCATATCCCTACTATTTAGAGACTTTTCAGATAGTTTTCTGGAAATGATTTTTCATTGAATTCTTCAGTGATCAGAAAATACCCTTTGCAAGATTTAATTTTGTTCATGCACTGGAATTGTTTTATGGCCTCCATACGGTACATCTTGTGAATGTCCCATGTGACCTTGCAAGAGTATGTTTTCTCCAGTTTTGGAGTATACTGGTCAAACTGGTTAAGAGTGTCATTCTGATATTTTATATTCCTACTGTGTTTCTTTTTTCTTTTCCTCTATTACTTGTGTTATTCTAGAGGGAGGAGTGATACCAATTATTGATTATGATTATGAATCTATTTCTCCCTGAGGTTCTGTCAGTTTTTGCTTCATATATCTTGAATCTCTATTATTAAAGGTTTTCATATATTTGTAATTTTAAATCATGAGATCTTTCTGTTATATTCATCATTTTAATATTGATCATTTATATTTACCTACATATTTACCATTTTGAGTGTCTTTATTCATTTCTGTATATCTAAATTATCACTTTGTGCCATTGGCTTTCATCCTGAAGAACTCTGTTAGCACTTTTTTGTTTTTGTTTTTGTTTTTGTTTTTGAGATGGAGTTTCATTCTTGTTGCCTAGGCTGGAGTGCAATGGCGCGATCTCGGCTCATCTCAACCTCCACCCTTCGCGTTCAAGCGATTCTCCTACCTCAGCTTCCCGAGTAGCTGGGATTACAGGCGCCTGCCACCGCGCCCGGCTAATTTTTTGTATTTTTAGTAGAAAAGAGGTTTCTCCATAGTGGTCAGGTTGGTTTCAAAATGCCGACCTCAGGTGACCTGCCCATCTTGGCCTCCCAAAGCACTGGGATTACAGATGTAAGCCACTGCTCCTGGCCTCTGTTAGCATTTCTTTTTTCTTTTAAATTATTATTATACTTTACGTTTTAGGGTACATGTGCACAATGTGCAGGTTAGTTACAAATGTATACATGTGCCATGCTGGTGTGCTGCACCCATTAACTCGTCATTTAGCATTAGGTATATCTCCTAAAGCTATCCCTCCCCCCTCCCCCCACCCCACAACAGTCCCCAGAGTGTGATGTTCCCCTTCCTGTGTCCATGTGATCTCATTGTTCAATTCCCACCTATGAGTGAGAATATGCGGTGGTTCTTTTTTTCTTCTTGCGATAGTTTACTGAGAATGATGATTTCCAATTTCATCCATGTCCCTACAAAGGACATGAGCTCATCATTTTTTATGGCTGCATGGTATTCCATGGTGTATATGTGCCACATTCTCTCAATCCAGTCTATCGTTGTTGGACATTTGGGTTGGTTCCAAGTCTTTGCTATTGTGAATAGTGCCGCAATAAACATACGTGTGCATGTGTCTTTATAGCAGCATGATTTATAGTCCTTTGGGTATATACCCAGTAATGGGATGGCTGGGTCAAGTGGTATTTCTAGTTCTAGGTCCCTGAGGAATCGCCACACTGACTTCCACAATGGTTGAACTAGTTTACAGTCCCACCAACAGTGTAAAAGTGTTCCTATTTCTCCACATCCTCTCCAGCACCTGTTGTTTCCTGACTTTTTAATGATTGCCATTCTAACTGGTGTGAGATGGTATCTCATTGTGGTTTTGATTTGCAGTTCTCTGATAGCCAGTGATGGTGAGCATTTTTTCATGTTTTTTGGCTGCATAAATATCTTCTTTTGAGAAGTGTCTGTTCATGTCCTTCGCCCACTTTTTGAAGGGGTTGTTTGTTTTTTTCTTGTAAATTTATTTGAGTTCATTGTAGATTCTGGATATTAGCCCTTTGTCAGATGAGTAGGTTGGGAAAATTATCTCCCATTTTGTAGGTTGCCTGTTCACTCTGATGGTAGTTTCTTTTGCTGTGCAGAAACTCTTTAGTTTCATTAGATCCCATTTGTCAATTTTGTCTTTTGTTGCCATTGCTTTTGGTGTTTTGGACATGAAGTCCTTGCCCATGCCTATGTCCTGAATGGTAATGCCTAGGTTTTCTTCTAGGGTTTTTATGGTTTTAGGTCTAACGTTTAAGTCTTTAATCCATCTTGAATTAATTTTTGTATAAGGTGTAAGGATGGGATCCAGTTTCAGCTTTCTACATATGGCTAGCCAGTTTTCCCAGCACCATTTATTAAATAGGGAATCCTTTCCCCATTTCTTGTTTTTCTCAGGTTTGTCAAAGATCAGATAGTTGTAGATATGCAGCGTTATTTCTGAGGGCTCTGTTCTGTTCCATTGATCTATATCTCTGTTTTGGTACCAGTACCATGCTGTTTTGGTTACTGTAGCCTTATAGTATAGTTTGAAGTCAGGTATCATGATGCCTCCAGCTTTGTTCTTTTGGCTTAGGATTGACTTGGCGATGCAGGCTCTTTTTTGGTGTCATATGAACTTTAAAGTAGTTTTTTCCAATTCTGTGAAGAAAGTCATTGGTAGCTTGATGGGGATGGCATTGAATTTTAGACCAATATCCTTGATGAACATTGATGCAAAAATCCTCAATAAAATACTGGCAAAACGAATCCAGCAGCACATCAAAAAGGTTATCCACCATGATCAAGTGGGCTTCATCCCTGGGATACAAAGCTAGTTCAATATATGCAAATCAATAAATGTAATCCAGCATATAAACAGAACCGAAGAGAAAAACCACATGATTATCTCAATAGATGCAGAAAAGGCCGTTGACAAAATTCAACAACCCTTCATGCTAAAAACTCTCAATAAATTAGGTATTGATGGGACGTATTTCAAAATAATAAGAGCTATCTATGACAAACCCACAGCCAATATCATACTGAATGGGCAAAAACTGGAAGCATTCCCTTTGAAAACTGGCACAAGACAGGGATGCCCTCTCTCACCACTCCTATTCAACATAGTGTTGGAAGTTCTGGCCAGGGCAATTAGGCAGGAGAAGGAAATAAAAGGTATTCAATTAGGAAAAGAGGAAGTCAAATTGTCCCTGTTTGCAGATGACATGATTGTATATCTAGAAAACCCCATTGTCTCAGCCCAAAATCTCCTTAAGCTGATAAGCAACTTCAGCAAAGTCTCAGGATACAAAATCAATGTACAAAAATCACAAGCATTCTTATACACCAATAACAGACAAACAGAGAGCCAAATCATGAGTGAACTCCCATTCACAATTGCTTCAAAGAGAATAAAATACCTAGGAATCCAACTTACAAGGGACGTGAAGGACCTCTTCAAGGAGAACTACAAACCACTCATCAATGAAATAAAAGAGGATACAAACAAATGGAAGAACATTCCATGCTCATGGGTAGGAAGAATCAATATCGTGAAAATGACCATACTGCCCAAGGTAATTTATAGATTCAGTGCCATCCCCATTAAGCATTTCTTAAAGTGCAGGCCAGCTGACAGTACATTCTGTTTTATCTAAACATGTCTTTATTCTACCTTCATCTGCAACAAATATTTTCACTGGACATATAATTCTATAATCACAGTTTTTCTTTCCTTTCTATGAATGAGTTAAAGATGTCATTTCATCATTCTCAGGTCTTTTTTGTTTCTCCCTAATGGGAATGTGGTGGTCAATCTCATTATTGTTCACTATATGCAATGTGTCACTTTTATTTCCTTCCGGCTGTTTTAAATATTTTCTCTTCATCCTTTAATTTCAGCAGTTTGATTATGATTTGCCTAGGTATGATTTTCTTACTGTTTGTCCAGTTTCAATTTTCTTCAGCTTCTTAGGTCTGTAAGTTGATGTCTTCCTTCAAACTTGAGACCAAGAATGATTTTTCTATCTCTATTTTATCTTTGTCTCCTTTGGTATTATAATTGCATAGGTTTTGTCACTTTATATTGTTCCTCTGGTCTCCAGCACCCCATTAACTTTTCTTTAGTACTTTTTCTCTTTGTAAGAATAATTTATTTGTGGCATAATTTCTATTTGTCTACCTTGATGTTTACTGACATATCTTTGTGACATCACCAATTTACACTAAATACTTACAAGGATATTTAAGTTCCCTAATTGACTTTTAAGCTCCAGAATTTATCTAGCTATATATGTTTATACATATGAATTTATATAAATATGAGTTTATATTTATTTATTATTTATTTTTCAGCTGAATCATCCATCTGTTCTTTATGACTATATTTCCTTTAAGTCCTTGAACCTATTTGTAATACTTTATTTAAGGTCTTTTGGTACTTATTGCAATAGCTAAATCATCAAAAGTTAAGTTTTTATTGACAAATATTTTGTTCTTTTTCTCCTGAGTTTGCACACATTTTCCTGTTTGCATGTCTGATTGATTTGTAATTGGATACTAGATAATAAGAATTATACGTTATAGTTACTCTGGTTTCTTTTTGTTTTTTTATTTTATTTAATGTTAAGTTCCAGGGTACCTGTGCAGGATATGCAGGTTTGTTACATAGGTAAACATGTGTCAGGGTGGTTTGCTGCACCTATCCACTCGTCACCGATGTATTAAGCTCTGCATGCCACCTATTTATCCTGGTCCTCTTCACCCCACTGCACCCCACTCCCACCCCCAATAGGCCACAATCTGTGTTATTCCCTTCTGTATTAATCAGGATTCTCTAGAGGGACAGGGATAATAGGATTGATGCATATATAAAGGGGAGTTTATTCAGGAGTATTGACTCACACAATCACAAGGTGAAGTCCCATAATGGGCCGTCTGCAAGCTGAGGAGCAAGGAAGCCAGTCTGAGTCCCAAAACCTCAAAAGCAGGGAAGCTGACAGTGCAGCCAAAGGTCCAAGAATCCAAAAGCTGAAGAACCTGGAGTCTGGTGTTCAAAGGCAGGAAGCATCCAAAATGAGAGAAAGATGTAGGCTGGAAGACTAAGCCAATCTAGTGTTTCCACGTTCCTCAGCACTTTGGGAGGCCAAGGTGGGTGGATCACCTGAGGTGAGGAGTTTGAGACCAGCCTGGCCAACATGGTGAAACCCCATCTCTAAAAATACAAAAAGATTAGCGGGCATGGTGGCGAGGGCCTGAATTCCCAGCTACTTGGGAGGCTGAGGCAGGAGAATTGCTTGAACCCAGGAGGCAGAGGTTGCAGTGAGTCGAGATTGCGCCATTGCACTACAGCCTCGGTGACAAGAGCAAAACCCCATCTCAAAAAAAGAAAAAATAAAAAAAGAAAAAGAAAAAAAAAACACTCAGAAAAGAAAGAGCAAGTGTTGCTCTTTTGTAAATCATTTTGCTAGGAAAAATTATAGAATGTGTTGCTGAGTAGCAAGTGGAATCCAAGTAATTTTAAAGGGTTTGACATAATAAAATAACTTTTGGCAGAAGAAAAATGAATTGTGTTACATTTTAAAAATAGATTGTCACATTAGCCTATTAAAGGGTTTTATATTTTTTAGAAAATATTGATAGTGTCAGAAATATAATAATAGTGTAAATATAACAACCCTGTGAATAATGAAGAATACTTGTGCATTCGTTCTAATGTTTATTTTATATAGTGAGGAGAATTCAATCTCATTGTCATTTTAGCATTTAACACCCACAATCAAACAATTCATGTTTTTGTGGGAAATAAAACTCTTTAAATCTTTTTCGTGTTTAAAGATTTTAATATTTAAGGAGAAAAA
The DNA here is from genome assembly GCF_000001405.40 of Homo sapiens. NCBI lineage: Eukaryota > Metazoa > Chordata > Mammalia > Primates > Hominidae > Homo > Homo sapiens. The sequence continues at coordinate 161,615,623 of NC_000004.12, read as the reverse complement.
AGTTATAATTTTTTCACCCTAGATATAGTTATACCATTTGATAAATGCAGTTTGTGTGTGTGTGCGTGTACATGCATGTGTGTGTGTTTGTAGAGTTGTACATAAATTTGAAGGAAGAAGGTGCATATTTATTTAGAAGGCCTGTATTTCTTTTTCTTTCTTTTTTTTTTTTTTTTTTTGAGATGGAGTCTCGCCCTGTCACCCAGGCTGGAGTGCTGCAAGCTCCGCCTCCCTGGTTCATGCCATTCTGCTGCCTCAGCCTCCCAAGTAGCTGGGACTACTGGCGCCTGCCACCATGCCCAGCTAATTTTTTTTTTTTTTTTTTTTTTTGAGACAGAGTCTCCCTCTGTTGCCCAGGCTGGAGTGCAGTGGTGCAATCTCTGCTCACTGCAAGCTCCGCCTCCCGGGTTCACGCCATTCTCCTGCCTTGGCCTCCCGAGTAGCTGGGACTACAGGCGCCCGCTTCCACACCCGGCTAATTTTTTGTATTTTTAGTAGAGACGGGGTTTCACCGTGTTAGCCAGGATGGTCTGGATGTCCTGACCTTGTGATGCGCCTGCTTTGGCCTCCCAAAGTGCTGGGATTACAGGCATGAGCCACCGCGCCCAGCCAAAGGCTTTTATTTCTTTACATGTTCTGCCTGATCACTTCATCTTTGTTGATTGATTACAGTTTCTGTCATCTCAATGAATTTTTCTATTTGAGGTTCCATAAGAGGTAGCAATAGATAATTAAGCGTTCATATATTAAATTGAAATTCTCCTTTTCAAAAAGTTGTTAATTATTTTTTAATTGTGAATACTTAATCCTTGAGAATAAAATTATTTTAATTACAATGCTTTGTATAGTGTTTAGAATATAGTAATAAGTTGCTATGAGAGTATAGATGGAAAATATATTAATCAGCATAGATAGTTGGAATATAATTGTAAATTATATAATTGCAAATTGTAAATTATAGTGATTACTTGCAATGTTCTGGAGACCTCATGTGCATGTATCATGCAACATAAGCATTTTTCCTCTTAATAATCAATGAAGTCATTTAATTTTTGAAACATACACAGTGAGTACACTGTATATGAATTCCAGTTCTCTCTAAGGTTGTTCTGATTTCGGAATCCTTGCTTCTTTTGCCACTCTGCTAAATTACTTTTCATACTTCTGATTTAATGAAGGCCTGTTTTGTGACAGGCAGTATATTAGAAGATTTACTGACTGCAATTTATTTATTTAAAATGAAGGAAGTTTTATTAACCTTATTTTGAAAATAAGGAAACAGATTCAAGGAGCTCAATTTATCTTCTCAGAATCATACAATTGTTAAACATCAGGTATTTGGTTCATACTAGAACAAGATTGAAAATTTTTTCCGAATTCATACAGAAACCTAAGCTTTAACATTCATACCAATTATATCAGTTTGTTTTTTGTAATTTTGAGGTACAATAATTATTAGAGTTTCAAAATATGACAGAAGATTTTAGAACTGTCCAAGATAAAACTGCACTATGAACCCCCTACTTTAGGGAGATTAAATAAATTGTAAAAGAAAGTATTTTAAATAGAAATAATCTATTCTAAGCCTATTGTTTTTATTATTTAAACCCTCAGAAATTGTATATCTTCAAACATAAAATGTATTTGGAAATGTAATATATAGTGATTCGAAATAAAATAAACATAACATGATTTCGTCAGTGATGTATATAATTAAACTATATTAGAAATTCATGTTGCATAGTTTGTTTCAAAGTGTTTAGCAGAAAATAAATGTCAAACATGACTTTTAGATTTAGGTACTTTTTTTACTTTCATATAATTATAAATTTAGTCAGTCACAAACCAAATATGTTCCAGAAATTTTACACAATGTGTAATTCATAATTTAAAAGATGCTGAGGGAAAGTGATCCTTAAAGAAAAGATCAGGTGAATAGATGTGAAATGTAACGAGACTTTTTTGTTTGGGTTCGCTCAAGTGTTTTCTTATGGTGGATGATATTTGAAGAAGTCATTGGAGATTTTTTTCTTCGGTCTCCCTGTCTCCTGGTCCTGCACTCCCATCCTACACTATCTAATCGCCCTCTTCCTGCCTTTCTCTAACCATCATCAACCTTACCAACTATTGAGTACTTATTAAATGATTAGACAATTATCATTTTTTTTTTTTTTTGAAACGGAGACTCACTCTGTCGCCAGACTGGAGTGCAGTGGCACCATCTCGGCTCCCTGCAACCTCCGCCTCCTGGGTTCAAGCAATTCTCCTGCATCAGCCTCCCGAGAGCTGTGACTACCGGCGTGCGCCATCATGCCCAACTAATTTTTGTATTTTTAGTAGAGACAAGATTTCACCATTTTGGCCAGGATGGTCTCGATTTCTTGACCTCGTGATTCCCCCGCCTCATCCTCCCAAATTGCTGGGATAACAGGCGTGAACCACCGCGCCTGGCTGCTATATTGTTAAATGTTGGAAGCATTATGTGAGGTGCCGCATTAGTGAATTATCATGTATTAGTCCTAGATTCCAAGAAATGCTGTGATTATCTTTGGGGTTTATTACATATTAGCCACCCTCTGAGGTGGCTAAAAGATCTCTTACTATCTAATTTAGTTCCAAGCTTGTTTGAATTCCAGTATTCGACCTATCTTAAGATACAACTGTTAAACTAGTAAAAAAAAAAGAGCACTAATATACCATTGTATTACATTTACATTCACAGACACATTTGTATTTTATGCAAATTAAATCATTCAATCTTGTAACATAATTGATACCACTGAGGTCCCTATTTTATAGAAGGTAATTCTGAGACAAGAATCACATAATTGTTTCTATTGTGTATCCCACTTCAATACTGTTCTCTACAACTCCCAATCCCTAAACTTCATGTTAACCAGCTTCTCAGTCCACAAAAGAAATTTCTTCTGACGTTTTATAGCGTCAACATGGCCTCACTGAAGTAATACGCTAATGAAGGAACTTGGTCCTTAATACTTCTCATCCCCAAGTGAATTACATGACTTTTTGTCTCTGTTAAAATAATTTAGAAAATTATATCACAAGTCTATTTTAATGTGTTAATGGAGGCTAATGAATGTCAGAGCACAATAGTTGAATTTAATAGTGTGGATTTGAAGCACCAAATTAACTTATTCTTGTCACAGAATAGTTGTGTTGAAATGCAAAAACACAGAAATCTGACTTTTCTAGACCTCTAAACTGCCACTAACTTTATTTTCCTTGACTGAACAACACAACAATGGATACTTTGATTGAAATAAATCTTTGTTATTTTATTACTTTGCTATTAAACTACATTAGTAGGAATAAATTTTTATTTATTCACATGAGTACAATACTTCCATTCATTAATGCAAAATTCATTTCCTCTATATTTTATCTTATTGCTTTCTCTTTATTCTAAAGTAATGTTAAAATTGATCTTTGTTCTTTGAATGACTATTTTCTTCACTTGTTTTGCAATTGGTTGAAATTCTGCAATATAAGTTGTTAATTATTATAAAGAACACAATGTGAAGAAACTCTTTTCTCTCTTGGCTTCCCACACATGGCTGCTACAATTTCTGCTCTCTGGCTTTTGCCAGTGGATCCTCCAGTAACAACCACTGGATTTTGGAGGCTTTGGCCTTGACCCTCTTCACTTCCTCAGATGAACTCATCTAGCCCTGAATTAAGTGCTCATGACATCCGCAGTTTTAACTACAGCAGCTCTGACCTTTTCATTCGCTCCTTTTGGGGATTAGAGTTTGGAGGGCCTTCCCCAGGTCTTTGCTTTCTGACTCCTCCCATGGCTGTTTTCTTTTCAACATTTCTATTTCTGTTAGAAAGTTACCTCCTGATAGAGAGACCTTTTATCACCATTGCATCTAAGGTAACATTCCTACCCTATTTTTTTCCTACCATAATTGTTGCACTACAAAATTAGCATTTCTATGTGTTCACTGTATGATGCTCCTCCCTGGAATATGCTTCCTGATGGAGGCAACTCATTGGTTAGTTGGTTCACTTCTATATACAGTGCCTTGAATAGTGTTTATTCCCAAATAGGTATTATATTATATAAATATTTGGGAATTGATGTTAAAACTTCATGCATAAATGAAAACATGTAACACATTGCTAAATTTTAGCTATTTAGTGATAAGGCTTTACTATAAGAGTGTACGTAGAAGGTTATAAATTAATATTTGTTAGGTGTGTGCATAATATATGAATGAAGAAATGTAAAGAAAATAAAAATATCTCGATTTTCTTGATAAATTAATGTAAAATTGCAGGCAAAAACAGTCCTTTACGTAATAAATGACATAATCTACTGATTCAGGAAGTTACATATATATATATATATATATATATATATATATATATGTATACACATACACACATATACACATATATATACACATATACACATATATACATATATACACATATATATATACACACACATATATATAGATACATATATATATATATGTATCTTTTCTTTTCTTGTCCTCACTTCCTCTGAGACCTTGGGCAAATTATGCAGATCATCTGTGTCTCAGTTTATTCTCTGATAAAATGAAGAATGCTGAATTGAGTAATGTTGCCATTAATTATATATCCATGTTCTATAAGCTTAAGATTTAATTGTGGTGGCCATTTTGCCTTATGAATGAGAAAAGGTCTGTGAAAATTAGATATAATAGCTTTGGGCATCTAGATCTAGCATAGTTGATTTTTTGTTGTATCTGCACCTGAAATTACCAGATATAAATTACAGCACATAAAATCTCCACAGAAAAACTTCATCTACAACCAAAATATAAAAAAAAATTATAGAGGAAATCTATTTAAGTATGTTAACAATTTCATATCAATGTGTCAGCAGGCTCCCTTTATCATTTCAAGAAAGAAATTTGCAGCAGAGTCCTAGTTTTCAATTTCAACATCTCTCCATTTGATTACTAATTTAGGTTTCCACAGGATAAGGAAACTGTTGCCTGTGCTGAAATGATGCTCCCCACTTTCTTGTTCAGCTCAGTCTTTTATTAGATCTTAGAAACCTGGGTTTTATATATTGTCCTTGGTCATGCAATCACCACAGGTTTCTCAAATTTAAAGCGAAGTTAAGCTATAACTTTGCTGTAGCAAAGGGATAGAATCAGTTTCCTTCTTAGGCCGTCAACACCTGCTGGGAATGAAAAAGCGATATAATTGATTTTCATTGCTATACATGGTGTGCCATTTTTGACTAAGTCATCTTTATCTCTGTTGCTAGCTTAAAGATTCTATAATAAAGACTACAGTTTTGTGATTTACAGCATGCTTTATTTTTACACATACAACAGGGCACTTTACAAATGTGTGCAACATGATTGATTGTAGAAATATAATCTGAAAGAAGTAAAGCCAACCTTCAATTTTTTAAACCTCATATTGTTATCCTTTTTTTTTTACTAGCAAGAAGAGTTTCAATAATCCAGTATAAAATTTCTCTAGTACAGTATTTAGCAGGTTCAAATTTACTCTATTGAAATTAAAAATTTTTAATTGACACATACACGTACTACTCAGATAAAATGAATAAAGTGATTATTCCAAAGTAGAAACTGCAAAATTTACATTAATGTCAAAAAATACATTAGGAGACAAATTTCCCTGAGTCCCTCATGTTTTTGCATGTCTGGTGAGCAGAGCATTGACAGTTTTAGTTCTGGACCATATTTACGAGAATATATGTGTAGCAAACAGTCTTTGAAAACAGAAATATTATCTCCCTGAGGAACAGAGGACAGGTTTGTTTACTGTAGGCAGCATTCACCTGAGCTGCTTTGCACTGCCCTAAAGGGACTTTTGGGACAAAAAGAATGATACAAGTATGAAGCTCATGCTGCTTGCTATACCTTGTCTCTGATCCATGAATCTCATGTCTTCTTCCAGTACTCATGAAACTGTGTCAGGATAAATTATTAGCTTAAAAGTAAAAAAAAAAAATTTAGACCATTCATAGTTCTTGACAATTTGAACTGATTTAATCTGGAAAATTAACAGTGTGAGATATTAAAATCAAATTTAGTTTGATAATCATCTCTAAATAAAATTTTTGCTACATAATCCAATGAAATACATAATTTAAGTGTTTATGGATATTTGTTGGTTTGGAAATTGGAATGCTACAGCATGATATTACATAATAACACAAATAATCACACACATCTATGGAGGTGTTATCCAAGGAAGTCTGATAAATCTAAATGGCAAAACTTATTGATATATCGCTTAGTAATAAATCTAGTCAAAGATAAAAATAGGCTTGTTTTCAGCATTACGTATTTTTAAATGTTTTTAAAGAATACTTTTTCCAAATAAATCCCTGTGAGCTAAAACAAGAAGACATTATAATTAATGTATTCATTAATTTATTCAAATGCCCATTGAACACTGTGTATGTGCCAGGCATTGTGCTGCATGCTGAGACTAACACAGTGAACTAAACAGCATCTACCTTCATGTATAAGGCCTTCAAGACAGACAATTAACAAATAATCACACAAAATGTAAGTTAATATAATTATATTAAAAATAGAATAAAATTATAGGTTAATATGATAAAATATACAAAAGGGACCGAATTTATGTTATGCAACAGGAGATTTAATGTAATATCAGAAGGACATAGAAGATATTCTGGAATATATATACCAGGCAACAGGTGTGAAAACTCCAATATGGAAAAGACTGTGGCTAGTTGAAAGATTTGACAGAGACCACTTTGGGTGGAGCCTACTTGCAGGAGAAAAGTCTAGGGAGTCATCAAATATGTTTTTTAATGTGAAATTTAAAACTCTCATATGACATTTCTATTATTACACCATATATCCTCTTTTCTCCTTCAAATGTTAAGCTGAGGTGTAAAATATTTTATAGATATTTACATTATTGTAAATTATACTGCATTTACTCTAGAAACCTATTATATTATTTTTTAAAGATTCATAGTCATGATTTTTCTTTATCGTTTTTTGTAATTTTAGAAATGTGTAGAAAATTTCCAAATTATGAAATATAACTTATTTGCAATTACTCTTTTTACACATTTTTCTTAACAAAGAAGATTTCTGAGCCTGTTTATTTCCCCCCAAAAAAGACAATTAAAGAAATAATCCTTTCATGTGGAAGCAAGAATATCAACTTTCACTTATAAAAGAACTCCAGAACATCTTAAATTTACCAGTCACATTAAAGAAAACATGTTGACCATTGGTACCGAGGTGAACTGTTAGAAGCAATTATAAAATGGCACCCCTTGTTACTTTAAAAAGTTTATTCCCATTTAGAAATTTTTAATATGTGCAAAATTAGATGTGCTGATATACAAGTTATATATTCCTTATGATTAAGAGTCTTCTGCTTCACATTTTATTGTAATTTACACAGCATTTTCCAAAATGTCATTTAATTTGCTCCTGATATCTACTTGTGAGGTAGAGTGAGCAGATGTTTTAATTCCCATTGGGCATATTTGGAAATTGAAGCTTAGAAAAAGGAAACAAATTTCTCCAATTTCTTAAAATGAGTCAGTATCAAAGCTGAGTTTCAGATCCAAGTATTTATTTTCAAATACTTGATAACCTAAGTACTTGCATTTAAATTGTTATAAAGGTAACAAAAGCAACAACAACACTTCTTTAAGAAGCACAGTATTGATGGAAAAAACATGCACATGTGGTTATAGAATTTCATCCACTATAGCTTAAGGAAACATAAATAAAGAATAGGAAAACAAACATTTAATGATAACAAATATTCAGCATCCAGTGAATACTATAGATAACTTTTGTTTGACATAAGCATACATTGAACTGGTGAGTTGACTGATTTAAGATTAGAAGCGGCACAAAAACCAGCTTGCTTTATTCAGGTTCTCAAAACCAATTACACCTTTCTCTGCGTGATTAGTTAAAAGAAAATTATCCATTCCCATAGGATATCTGAAAATATAGCCATGCAGTCTTTATTAGTGACCAGTAAAGAACAGGTGCCCAATAAACATTTTCTGACAAAAAGCAAATTGTCTTAGAGAAAGTTTTTAATACTTTACATTTTTAAACTTTTAGCTATTTTTATCGCAGAAACAGACAGATAACATAAATATGAAAAGAAGCCATAGTTTTATAGTATTTTATAGTATTATATATATTTCAGCTGTCATGTGTTGCAATTAGCACAGCAAAACTCCCAATTCTCTCCTGACTTAAAAAAGGCAGCTGGGTCAACAACAGCAGTGTCATCTAGCTGCACACAGAAAAAAAGAATTATAAAATTTAGCAATATATTCCTCATATATAACATATTTATGGACTAATCACCAAGTCTTACGATTTTTTTCTCTACATTTTCATAATAATGGAGAACATGGACAATACAGTTTTCTGCAGCTGTTTATCATTATTACCTAATTGACAGTCTTCAGACTCATTATATTACTAATAACTTGTGGGTTAGCGCACTGTTTGTGAAACCAACTGTCAGTATGTATACATTATTGAGTTATCACCTTTTTTTGTTGTAAAACATTTCTGAATAATCTTCAAATCATTTCATTTCACCCTTGCAGCCTCTCCTAATGAGGAAATCGAATAACTAGTATTACTTCTTTAACTCTTATTTTTTAACCAATTATGTCATTTGGTGGACTCAATATTTATAAAGTTTTAAATTTAAATTTTTATCTCTTCCCATATAACCCTAAAAGTTTATGGTACATCATATTCTGTATTTTGCTTGTAATGCAATTTAGATTCACAGTCTCCCATTGCTGGTATGAAGAAAAATGGTCTCCAGATATTCAGAATCCAATTGACCATCTTATATTAGAATCTTAGGTTTTTGGTTCTTAATTCAATTTTCCAATGCAATGACTCCTATGAATTACTCTGAACATTATTTCTTAAGAAAACGAAACAAAATTTAATACAAAATTAACTTTTAAAAGGTGATCAACTGAGAAAGAAATCTCAGCTTAAGGTAAAAAATGTACACTAGTTTTTGCTACATACATGACACATTACTTCACAGATAATCGGGCCGGGCGCGGTGGCTCATGCCTGTAATCCCAGCACTTTGGGAGGCTGAGGCGGGCGGATCACGAGGTCAGGAGACTGAGACCATCCTGGCCAACATGGTGCAACCCCGTCTCTATTAAAATACAAAAAAAATTACGCCTGTAGTCCCAGCTACTCAGGAGGCTGAAGCAGGGGAATCACCTGAAGCCGGTAGTCAGTCGGAGGTTGCAGTGAGCCGGGATCGCGCCACTGCACTCCAGCCTGGCGTCAGCGTGAGACTCCGTCAAAAAAAAAAAAAAAAAAAAAAAATCACAGATAATCATTATCTCTGGAAAATTTGGGGGTCAGCTTGGAGGTTCTGCCGATCTCGATTGAACTTCACTGATCTTGGCCGGGTTTACTCATTTACTCATTCCTAAACTGATGGGTAACCTATGAGCCAGCTAGTCTTGGATGGCCTCAGCTGAGATACCTTCGCTGTACTCCACGTGGTGTCTCATCTTCCAGTAAGCTAGTCTGAATTGATTTTCATGTTGATGGCAATCATCCAAGAGAGAGCAGGCCATGTCACGCAATAATAGAACAAGGAGAAATGCACACTTTTCTTTTTCCATGTCTCTGCTTGCATTACATTTGCTAATACCACTTTAGCCAGATAAATTAACACAGCGCAGCACATAGTCAAAAAAATAGAAGACCAGAAGTTACAGAACAACTGACATGGTTTAGAAAAGCAATTAAGACCATCAATGAAATCAGTCTACCACAAAAGGTAATTCATTTGTTCACAACGCTGTTGAAAAGACTTATCTTCCAAGACAGGAAATGGTTCTCCACTGAAGGGTGAAGACATTTCAATTTTCAGTCATTTGGGGAAGAGTTGGATCTCCAACGAGTAACTTTCATGCAAGGACAAGAATTTAGTAGTGAAATAGAGGTTATTCGTTTTTTTACCATAAAATAATTAATAATCTTGGAGGCAGTTTCCTCATAGCAGTTATTATGGCAGTTGTGTTCATTTACAGGAAAACTGAGAAACTCTAAGATGTTTTTGGGAAAAAAAAGTATTTTGAAAGCTTGCGAGTGTTAACTTCCACAATAGATATACTCTTCAATTTTTTTTAACAAACATGTATTTAAGATATACATATCTTTAGGGCCTAGAAATAAAATTATATGTAATTAAATCATTGCAATTACAGTATAAATAAATAAATGTATCAATGTGGCTCAGTTCATGGATACTGTGGAAGGCTATGTGCTATGGCATGTTTTACTTCACAAGTTTTTATTTAAGTATAAAAACAATACAGTCATGTGAATAAATGAATTTTCACAAATTGAAAACACTCCTGTAACCAGCTCTGGCATACTTCTGAATTTATTTTCTGTATGCTAATCCCTTTTCTGTCCCCTTCTTATTGGTGGGTGAGTAGGATATAAAATGAGTACAGAGCAAAACATGTGGCCTGCAGTAAACCACATAGTTGACCATTTGTTTTCTTAGCTTGGCATTTTCCCTGCCATATATTGAAAATTTAGGTACTCGTTATAATGCATTGCCTCTATCCTCTAAATCACCTTGAAATAACTCCTATACAATAATATGTAAGCATAGATTCTGTAAATATTTCACCTATTTAACCGTGGGTGAGAAAGGAGTTTCTCTTTCTGGTTCTGCTGTGTTCTTTTAGGCAGGCTCCCACACTGTGTGCAACTTCCTCAATGCTCAGGCTCTAGCAGAACATGAAACCTAGGCAGTCCCTAGGCTCCAACAGTGCTTGATAAAAAGCAGTTTACAGCAGTCCCCATGGGCAGATTTTCCCAATAACACGATGAGTGGCTTCTCATTGAAGGGTTTCCAACAGGGCATCTCCCATTAAAAATGTCCTCCTGTACCACTTTGGGTGGTTTTGTAACCCCAGTGACTTTCTCTACTACCCGGTGAGTCATAAATATGCCCACTCTCATCAAAGAAGTTTGGATCTCAATAGTGCTAGAGAAGAGCCTGTTCCTTGGGAGTACTATGTCATTCCAAGGGATGGTGGTTTGCTGTATATCTGTTATTTTTATATTTTTTAGAGTACCCTTCACTCTTTAGTATATAACTTTCCATTATTCCAACTCTCTGTTTTAGTTAATCATTTATTTTTATTTAAAATTTTTATGTTCAAGTTACTGTGTGGTTTTGATCTTCTGATTGATTGGTTCCTAAATGATGTGCTTGCTTTATTCAGGACCCCAGAGTTCTTCTGATTCAAAACTGATAATCCATGATAACAGTGCTAAGAGTAGGTTTTTGCATAATAATGTATTTATAATCAATTCCATGACCCTTAAAATATCTATTAAGAGAACTGAATATTAAAATCAACCCAGTAACATGTTGAAAAGATGATTATCAAAATGAACATTGAAAGTAAGAAGCAAATACTATAGAAAAAATAATGAGAAATTACATTATTGGAGCACAAATATCAAGAGTTGGTTAGTTTTATGATTTGAAGGTATAATGACATCAGAATCTTATTATTTTTAAAATTGCATTTATTTGTTATTGATCTATTCCTGTACAATTAATTAATTGATTGATTAGTTTTTACAAAGTCTATAAATGACCGAGTGATCCAATTTCCCTTAGCCAGGTAAAAAATGCATTGTACTGGGGAACTGACGTTGTTGCCCCACATCCTGATTTTTCTTAATCTTTGGGGCATATCATTGCTTCTTCTAAATTATAAGCAATATTTTTCAGGTACGTTGACACCTTTACTTTGGTTATTGTCTCGGAGACGTTCTGTCTCTCGAACATGATTCTGGATTCTCTGCTCTCATCCATGTCATGTATATTACACAATTTAAGTGCAATTCTCTCATTCTTCCCTACACTGAAAAATATTTTAAAAAAACAAATGTATTATCTTAGCTTGAGCTGCATAACAAAATCACACAGACTTGGTGGCTTTAATAACAGAACTTTATTTTCTCTCAGTTCTGTAGGCCGGAAATCTCAGATTAGGGTGCCATCATATCAAGATTTTGGGGAGGGTTGTTTTCCTGGATGGCAGAAAGCCACCTTTTCTTTGTGTTTGCACGTGGCCTTTCCTTGCTGCTTGCAAGTAGAGAAAAATAGAGAAAGAGAGAACTCTTCCTCTTGTTATAAAGCCACTACTAATCCTATCCGATTGGGACTCCATCCTTATTTTTAAACGTAATGCTATTGCACACTTACTAAACTATAATATAGTGCAAACGTAACTTTTTATATGCACTGGGAAACCAAAAAACAAATTGTGTGGGTCTCTCTATTGCCATATTCACTTGATTGCAATGGTCTGAAACTGCACCTACAATAACTGCAAGGTACGCCAATGTGTGTGTGTATAATTACTATTTATTGTCATATACTGTTCCACATGAAGTGACATGTCAGCTCCTTAGAGCTCTGTACCCTCAAATACTTCCTCTCATCTTTTTTCCTGTTGTTGTTATGCATTTTACTTTCACATTGATATAGGTACACAACTACCCTTTTTTGTTTAATGTAGTAAATTATAAATATACCAAAAAGTGAAGTTGTTATTTATTTGTACACATCCAGCTTTCTTTCTGGTATTACATTCCTTCTTCCTGAAGAGTTTCCTGTAGGATTTCTTACAATGCAGATTTGCTGTTAATGAATTCTCAGTTTTTGGCTGAACAAAATTTGATTTTCTCTGATACTACAAAGGTACTTTTGCTGTATATGACATTCTGGGCTGACAGCTCCTTAATTCTCCCCACCCCCTGCTTCATCCATACCCTAGCAGTTTGAAAATGTCAGTCTTTATTGTCTTATGACTTTCAAAACTTCTGATAAGAAGCCTGTTGTAATTTTTACATTTGCCCTTCTGTATGTAATGTGTGTCTTTTTTCTGGAAATCAAACATTTCTCTTTATCTTTGGTCCCCTGTAGTATAAATACATTTCTGGCTTTTTAAAATATTAATTATTCTTTAAGAATTTAAGAATTTCTAATCTCTAATCTCAAATATTCCAATCTCTATTTTCCCTCTTTTGGTGATTCCCATGGTACGTATTTTAGACTGATATTGACTGATTTCTTTTGGATACCCTGTTCTATTTTTTTCCTACTAATTTGCCCTTTGTGTTTCAGTTTCAATAATGTCCATTCACCTATATTCAGATTCACTGAGTCTTTTCTTCAATGTGTCAGGACTACTGATAAGTCTTCCAAGGGCATTAATGCATTAATCCTCTCTCTCTCTCTCTCTCTCTCTCTCTCTCTCTCTCTCTTTCTCTCCCTCTCTCTCACTCTCTCACTCTCTCTCTGTGTGTGCATGCGTGCGCACACGCTTTTTGTTTTCTTTTTTTTTCTGTGTGTGTCTTATTTATTTATAGCATGTCCTTCAACACTTTTTTGCTTTTTCCATTTCTCTGCTAACATTACCCAACCATTCATGGATTTCTTCAGGTCTTTCCACTAGAAATATTAACATATTAATCATAGTTATTTTAAATCTACTTTCTAATTTTTTCAATAATAGGACTGTATTTGAGGTTAGTTCCATTGATTGTTTTGTCTCTTAACAGCCTATTATTTTTTCTTTCTATTTTATGTGTCTCATAATTTTTAGTTGAAATGTACATATTCTGTGCAAGGTAGTGGAGACCAAGTTTAAAGTGTTTATGCCTGGAAGTAGGCATGCCTCTTTTTCTGGGAGATCTTCATTGAAAAGTTAAGCTTGTTTTGGTTTTGTTAGCCACTATGATTACAATGTACTTATTCCTTTAGTGTTACTTTGTGCTTGTGGTGGGAGCTGTATTAATTGATAAAATTCTTGATTGTGCCTGGTCCATCCTCAGTTTTAAGTGTTCCCTGTGAGCCTGCACCCAAGAGAAGTTGTTTCTTATGCTCTTGTCCCTCTACCAAGGGTAGTTTGCTGTTGCTTGCTTGTTTGCTGGTTCTTTGCAAGCATGGGTGGTGCCAGACAAGGGGGTATTATACATTTTTTCATTCAGTATCAACCTTAGGTAGTTATATGGCTCTAAGCCTGTTGAGCAGAATTTTCTCAGTGTTCCTACCTTGTTCACATCGGTAAGGGTTTTTTAAATTTTCTGGAACAAGGAGGGTCTTTCTCTTTTTTAAAAACTCAGTGGGTTTTCACCTGTGTTTTGAAAGGGACAGGATTGGCTGCCTTTTTTTTTTTTTTTTTTTTTCCAACTATTTAAGACTTTGTGTCACTAGGGGAAAGGATGCAGGTAAGAATTGTTTTTTTGTTTTGTTTTGTTTGGTTTCTCACCTCAGCATGAGCTGTTACTCAACACCAGGCCTGTATCATGAGGAATGCCTCTCCTGCCCCCAGTCTTTCTGAAGAGCAAATTGTGAAGTCCATTAAGAAGATGCTGCAAAAGTGACTCTTCTCTATGTCTGTGCTCCCAGGGTTTTATACTCTCACAACTTGTGCAAGTTCAGCTTTTAAGCTATTTTTTAAAAATTAGATGATTTTTTTTGTACTTACTTGTATGGTTCCTTGTTTTCTTCCAATGCCCTAGTGTAGGTGAATAATTGCCGGTGTCTTGTCTCTTTCTAGAGGCACCAGGGTTCCTGGGATTTGAGGATAGTCAGTTGATCTGCAAAGTTAGCACTCTGATTGATTCCAGAAAGAAATTATTGTGTAGATTATTTAGCTTCATCTCATTGTTTGGATAGAAACTCTTTCCATTTATATCCCAAGATAAGGCCAGAAGTCTGGAATGTGTATTCATTTACTAATGATACAAGAGTTACCAGGATTTTAGGTTTTTTGGGCCATTCGATTATGAATATTTTTGATGAAACCAAAATAAAATTGTATTCGCTTTCAAAACTTGACTAATATAGTTTAAAATCTAAATGAGATTTTTTTGCCTTAATTTTTAAGAAGTACAATCCAAGTCGATTTAGGAAACAAGAAACTGGGATATTCTGCATATACATAGGGGAAGCTATTTACTTTGAGATACTTATGTAAAGCTTACTTTGATTTTTTTACTAACTCAGTTTTTATTGCATTTCAGTATTATACAAACCCAACGGTTTATGTAGGTCACTTACAATTAAAAAAAAGAGATATATCTATACTTTGCAACCATTTAGAAAATATGCCCTTACCAATGAATCTGAAGCCTCCTGTAGGCTTCTCTTCATTACACTCTCCTTCTTCTCCTGTGCATGACTCCTACTGTGAATTATATGTTAACCCTTTTTTTGCTGCTCTTCGTATTTTTACCATAAATGTATACATCCCTAAGACATATAGCTTATTTTTGGCTGTTTTTGGATGCTACATAAATGGAGGCATACTGTTTGTGTGTGTGTGTGTGTGTGTGTGTGTGTGTGTGTGTGTGTTTATTGACATTGTGCTTGGGGATTCATTCATGTTGATGTCTGTAGCTATGTAAATATGGAATTTCAGAGCATGAAATGTAGAGCTAGATGACCTAGTTTTGAATTTTGTACTGTGAAATTAGTAACCTTCATAGGGAAGTTACTTAAACTTTCTGAAATTTGTTTCTTTATGTGTAAAATATGGCATTGTCAATACATAAATAATATAGATAGGAATGATTCAAGGTTATATGGGTCGTCTTGAATTTTATTTTTATTTTATTTTTATATTATTTAAGTTCTGGAGTACATGTGCACAATGACACCTATATTTTGGAGAAAGAATACAAATTATAAATAACAGTTAGCTATGTAAATGGATATTTATTTCCAAAGAGAAAAGAAATTATAGCAAATCTTAATATATTTGCAAATTTTACAGAAATATATGGCCATATACACACATTGCAAAGCTGCTATCAGATCTTTGGAAAGGGCTTGTCCAACTGAGGAGCTCTTAAACCTGGACATTATTAGCTTCATGGCAAATCTGACTCTGCATATATTTAAAACACTTGGAATAGTGGTTTTCTGCATGTATTTAAAACACTTGGAATAGTGGTTTTATAAAAGCAGTGTTTAATTATTCACCATGATTGTGTTGTGTGATTAATCTGTTGTACTTGGTGTTATTTCCAGAATTGTATTATTAAAAATGATGCTATAAACATTACTATAGAAAAATTTATGTGTGTACATTCATATGTCTGAGTTTTAGAATATGCTCATATTTGAGTTTATATTTTACAGATTGGTTTTGCCAATTTACAATTTCACTGAGTTTATGAGACTTTTCATTGTGCTACATGTCAGTCAGCACTTGGGATTAGGCATTTTAGTTTTGTAAATCTAGTAGATGTTTACATGGTTTCTTCGTTGTTGCAGTAAATTTAATTTTAATGATTAGTAGTGATATTGAACATCTTTTTACAAATCTAAGTGATATTTGTGATTTCATTTTCAGTACATGACTTTTCAAATCTTCATTTTTCTATTGAATTGTTAGTCTTTTGTTTTTCCCTTTATCAGTTACAGATAATGGGTTGCTTTGTCCAATTATGGCTTGTAGTTTCACTGTTTTGATAATGTATTTTTACAAATAAGAATTCTTAATTTTGATATAGTTTAATTTGTAAATTACTTTTAAAATGATTTCTTCATTTTGTCTCTCAATTTAAAATGTCATCCAATATCCAAATTCCTGAGATTATAAAGATATTTTCTTAACATTTTATATGAAAAGATTTAAAGTTCTGTCTTTTACATATATGTACTGTTTCCTTTGCTCTTGATTTTTGTGTATTCTGTGAGGTAGAAGTCCAGTTTAGAATTTTCTATATGTCTAAACTTATCTAGTTGCTTCAGCCCTGTATGCTTAATAGACCAATCTTTCTCTACTAATTTGCCATGCTATGTCTGTCACATATCATACATGTGACATGGCTATCTAGGTATCGTATATATACTTGTCATTTATCTATTTCTTGGGACAGAGAAAGAAGGGAGAGCTGAGAATATTGGTTGTTTCCAGAGACACTTTATCTTAATACATCACTTCATCTTAGTTTTAATCTTGTAGATGAGTCTTGATATATGATAGAGGCAAATCATCTTTGTTTTCTCTTTCTATTTCAGGATTGTCTTGGCTTTTCATGCTCTATTACACTGTCTTACAAATCTAAATCAACTTTTGATTTCCTCAAAAACATGCGTTTTGTTTGTTTGTTTGTTTGTTTGTTTGTTTTGAGACAGGGTCTCACTCTGTCACTGAGGCTGGAGTGCAGTGGAGCAATTTTGGCTCACTGCAACCTCTGCCTTCCGGGTTCAAGCTATTCTCCTGTCTCAGCCTCCCAAGTAGCTGCGATTACAGGTGCATGCCACCACACCCAGCTAATTTTTGTATTTTTAGTAGAGATGGAGTTCTGCCATGTTGGCCAGGCTGGTCTCAAACTCCTGACTTCAGTTTGAGATCTACCCGCCTCAACCTCCCAAACTGCTGGGATTACAGCCATGAGCTATTGTGCCCAGCCAACAAGTTGATTTTTATTAATTGAAATTGTGTTGAGATTTTGGATTAATTTAGGAATAATTGATACCTTTAAAATATTGAGTTCTATTCATGTTTTTCAACTGAGTAAGATACTCTTTAATACCTTTCAATAAACTGTTATCATGTTCTCAATGAATATTGTTCATGTCGTATGTTGTATTTGTGATCTTTTTGTGATCTCTTATAGCTATTGTTACAAATACCACTATTCTCATTTTGCCTAATCTACTTTCCTTTACCTTCTCCACACTAGAATTTGAGGGACACCTCTTACCCCTTTTGTGTAGCTTTTCATAACCTATAAACACTCCATAACCTATTGCATTGGGTCTACATATTGTACAAGTATCTACTCAGGACAACTGCCATAGGCTTCTTCTGCTTGTCTCCTTTTTATTCTTTTTTTTTGTATTTATTTATTTTTTGTTTCATATTTTTTTTATTATACTTTAAGTTCTAGCGTACATGTGCACAACGTGCAGGTTTGTCACATATGTATACATGTGCCATATTGGTCTGCTGCACCCATTAACTCGTCATTTACATTAGGTATATCTCCTAATGCTATCCCTTCCCCCTCCCCCCACCCCACAACAGGCCCCGGTGTGTGATGTTCCCCTTCCTGTGTCCAAGTGTTGTCATTGTTCAGTTCCCACCTACGAGTGAGAACATGCGGTGTTTGGTTTTTTGTCCTTGGGATAGTTTGCTGAGAATGATGGTTTCCAGCTTACAACTATCTGATCTTTGACAAACCTGAGAAAAACAAGAAATGGGGAAAGGATTCCCTGTTTAACAAATGGTGCTGGGAAAACTGGCTAGCCATATGTAGAAAGCTGAAACTGGATCCCTTCATTACACCTTATACAAAGATCAATTTAAGATGGATTAAAGACTTAAATGTTAGACCTAAAACCATAAAAACCCTAGAAGAAAACCTAGGCAATACCATTCAGGACATAGGCATGGGCAAGGACTTCATGTCTAAAACACCAAAAGCAATGGCAACAAAAGCCAAAATTGACAAATGGGATCTAATGAAACTAAAGAGCTTCTGCACAGCAAAAGAAACTACCATCAGAGTGAACAGGCAACCTACAGAATGGGAGAAAATTTTTGCAATCTACTCATCTGACAAAGGGCTAATATCCAGAATCTACAAAGGACTCAAACAAATTTACAAGAAAAAAACAAACAACCCCATCAAAAAGTGGGCGAAGGATATGTCTTCTTTTTATTCTAACAGGAGAAATACCTGCAGCTCATTTTACTCCATTCAAAACTTTTTCAAGAGTGACTGTAAAAACTTCCATATTCCTAAGACCCTTTTACTTTTAACGAATTACATTGTATTCCAAACCACATTTATAAAACTTCGTGATCCTCAACAACCATTTAGAACTTGTAGGGATTTTCATTAATGTTCCCCTTTTCCGTGATTATTCTGAGATGTAGTTATTCCTAAATTATTATGCTAACAATAAGGAATTCTGAGAAGTGTGGTCAAGAAGAGAACATATCAATTAATTTGAAGTTATTAGAACCTTTTTGCAGGGTTATTTTCTTAAGTTTAATAAAATATAATTAAATTATTTTACATTTATTATCTAATAATATTTGTTCACAAAGTTCTCATCATTTTGGTTTTGCTTTCATACCAGAGAATGCAGCTGTTTTATTTTTGTTTGCTTAATAATTTTAAGCAATAGTTTCAATTCGTGTTAGTTGACATTTCTTTTCTATTGCATATTTAAATCAATTTTAAATTGATTCATAAAATGATTTACTTTAGGGAAAGCAGTTTTTTAAATGATGTATTTACCAAATTAAACATATTATTTAATTTATTATTTTCACAGTGTTATTTACTGATTCTGTATTAAGTATGTCAGTAAGTAGGCTACTGAGAAAAATCCATAGTTTCTAGAAAATCTTGTCTACTGTGAGATAATATTGCTTTAGTCAATCTCAATATGTAGAAGTTTGCTTAGATTTATTTTATTGTTATTTTATGAAAATATATTTTGTATACATAAAAAGCTAGGAAAATAGCTTTTACACTATTGCAAATTAAATGCATACACTAGAAAACTCAGAATTTGAAAATAAGTTACTTTAATGTCAGTGTATATCAAAACATATTTTATACAGAAAACTGTATTTAAAGTGCAAATAATATTGGTACCATACAATTTAGAACTATAAGGAGGGACATAATATGAAAAAGAAAGTGGGCTAACATTTAAAATTTACCATTTTATAACAGATGAAATATCTTTTATATTGAAGCAATCTAAACAATATGGTTAAAAACCTGTGGTTAAATATAGGCCAGAAATTCAGCTGTTATGTACTGATATAATCAGTACCTGGTTTTTACTGCCTTGTACATTCTGATTAATCAGTGCTCATCATCTATAGGTTATTAAATGTTTTGTTACTCTTACATAATTGATTATAATCAATAGGTAGTTGCCAGAAAAATTTTCGCAATTTTACATATGTGCTACAGATGTTCTTTCTTCCAAAGTTCCCATTTGCACTACCTTGAAAAATATATAAGCAATCAACTCAACAAAATAAACGATTTTGTGTTTTTTCTCCTATCAACTCTTTCCAGACATCAATGCCTTAAGGCAACTCTGTAATGGTGTAGAGGCTCATAAAGATTGAATCTCTGATGAAATATTTATGGAGTGTCCATTGGCAGTAAGATTATAAAGGTGTAACAGGGGTTCAGAACAAGTGCAAGATTTTGTCCCTGAATTCAGAGTGTCTGTTCTAAGGTCATAACTCTCAACCATGGCTGAGCCTCAACATCATACATTTGTTTTGATCTATTTAAGATTAGAAAACTGCTGAGGAAATAAAAGATCAGAAATGCTGTATCAGGATGGAGGTAAAGAGTAGGCTTGATATGTCTTTATACATATAACAAAACTCAAAACGTAATTTTGAGGCTTGGCTAAGATTAATGGAGAATCCTGAAAAAAAGAGAATGTGTTAAGAATTATATAAACAAGAACAGCTAAATTCTGCAGTCTATTTGGATGCTAATCTGAGACCCCTCACCTTGTTTGGTGACCTCAACCAAGTTACTCAACATCAGTATATTTTAGTTTTCTTATCTGCAAAATGGGATTAATGATGGGGCCTTTTTTACGAAGTTGTTTAAATGATAAAATTTCATGTTTCATTTAAATTGTTCGGCATAGCACTCGACATATTTACATGCTCAATAAATATTTATTATTTATTTTAAATATACTGAAATATGCTGTTTTATTTTAAATATATTGAAAAGGTCTATGCTTTATTCAAACTGATGAGAGGATTAGTTAAAGTCTAGCTCATTCAAAAAGCTGCCTGAAAAGGAGTTTATAAAATTGTTTATTAAAGAAAATTTTGGCTGGAATATTTTAATTCCATTTAGAGGAAAGAGAAAAACATGAATCAACAAATATACCTTAGAAATGGTAATGGTAATTTAGATATGGTAATTTAGAAAGAAGGGCATTGTAACTAAAAGAGATTTGGTGTTATGGAATAACACAGATTTCAATAAAACACTTTAAAAGTTGCAGTCTTGGATAATTTTTACATCATTGGGTGAAGGAATCTTGATTATACTAGAAAGGGAAAGACTATATTCTCTAGGTAGCTACATAGAACGTATGGAAAAGTGGTTTATTTCAGGTTTTAAAGAAATTTTAAAAGAATTATCTGAAAATATACATTAAAATATGAATATACCATTTTGCATATTTGAATATAAACAATCACAAATGCCATTCACATATATTCAGAATTTTCACTATTGTTTTTAATTATTCTTGTCCGTTGAAAGAATTCTCTGTTGTGATCTGGTCTCCATGATATTTTCTGGTTGTAATGAGTTTTACACGTTCTTGCCCTGTGTTTATGTCTATGTTATGGAGACTAGATATCTTGCTGTTATTTTTCTGGCCATCGGTAATTATTTTTTTTGCTCAAAATCTTTCTAAAAATACTCTTAACTCTAATCTTTCTCAATTAATTTCTACAAAAGTTTGGCTTTCCCCCCATTATACTCTACAACATGTCAAATATCTGCTTACTGTTCACGTGAGGTACAGCCTTTTGTCTTTTTATTTAGCATTTCAGTTCCTTAACAGTGTTCTGTCTGTATGAGCCCTGTTTTTAATGGTAGCCTGTGGGTGAAGGCTGGAGTTATGTTATGGAGTTTGTATCAGTAGTTACTTTTTGTGGAGGTTCAAGCTCCAAATCCTCTCCTATTGTGTAGCTCATAAGGCTTTCCCTCATTAAATCAGTGAGAGTGGCACCATGACAATTTCCTCTGGGAGCTGTAGAAATGTGGTATGATTGATCGTATATAATATGATATTGAGGATTTCTATTTTATTGAGAGTTATTAAGGAAATATTCAGTTAAACTGTATGACAGCCAGAGTGTACAGTATGATTCCCCTTGCCTCCCTTTCCTCCCCTTCTCCCTCCCCCTCCTCATCCCTTCTTCCTTGACTCCTCCTCCTCCTTCTCCTCTTCCCCCATTTATCTCTTTCTCTCTTTCTCTTCTCTGATCTTTTTTTCTCTGTCAGAAGATTTTTATCATTTTCAAGGTCAGATTCAATAGCTCCATAATCGTGTTCTTGTTTTCAATAAATCCGTAGTGGGTATCAGTTTGAGGGAAGCTATTTTTAACAGAAATTCACCTAGCATAAATATAGGTAAAGCCAGAAATATATAAGATATGCTTTTTGGAGTACTATTATGTGAGCATTGGTAAGTCAGTGGATACTATCCTATTTTAAAGATATAAATATTTTTAAAAAAATCACAATTCAGAGGGAAAACAGTTTCTTTACCAAAAGATGCTGACACAAGTATTTACATTTTACAAAAATGAAGTGAAGATAAATGCTTGCTTTTTATTGATAAATATTGTATATAAAATTAAGAACTGAGCAACACATTAAAAATTTAGAAATAAACATGAAAAATTCTAAACCCAAAATTAAAATTGGGAAAGGGCAAGGAACAAAAAACTCTTAGAAGGTAAATCCTCAGAGCAAATATATGGGAAAAAATATTTAAGACTCTTTATAGTAAAGTATATTTAAAATTTGCCAATTACAACTTAAAAAGCTAGAGAGGATGTGGAGAAATAGGAATGCTTTTACAGTGTTGGTGGGAGTGTAAATTAGTTCAACCATTGTGGAAGACAGTGTGGCGATTCCTCAAGGATCTTGAATGAGAAATACCATCTGACCCAGCAATCCCATTGCTGGGTTATACCCAAAGGATTATAAATCATTCTACTATAAAGACACTTGCTCACGTATGTTTATTGCAGCACTATTCACAATAGCAAAGGCTTGGAACCAACCCAAATGCCCATCAATGATAGACTGGATAAAGAAAATGTGGCACATATACACCATGGAATACTATGCAGCCATAGAAAAGGATGAGTTCATGTCCTTTGCAGCGACATGGATGAAGCTGGAAACCATCATTCTCAGCAAACTAACACAAGAACAGAAAACCAAACACTACATGTTCTCACTCATAAGTAGGAGTTGAACAATAGAACACATGGACACAGGGCAGGGAACATCACACATTGGGGTCTCTCAGGGGTGGGGGGCTAGGGGAGGGATAGCATTAGGAGAAATACCTAATGTAGATGACGAGTTGATGGGTGCAGCAAACCACCATGGCACGTGTATACCTTTGTAACAAATCTGTACATTCTGCATATGTACCCCAGAACTTAATGTATAATAATGATAATAATAATAATGGTAATAAAAAGAATTTTCTGTACCAGCACCTCATATCCTCATTCTCTGCAGCTGAGAAAAGGAAGAAATACAGGGGTTGACATGTTTCACAATGTTGTCTTTTGACTCAAACTTCAGTGGATCTACCCAGCCTTTCTTCTATGGCACATGCACTCTCAAAACACTTCCAGCCTTTTTTCTTCAAACCTGGTAGTGTATTTGACCTCTTTTGTTTTGAGCGTTTTGTCTCAAATTTCCTCTTTGTTCCCTTTTCCTGTCTTTATCCCTGAGTTCAACTTATGACTGACAAGGAAGGCAGTGTGGTGTGGGAGCATGAAACACAGACTCTGGAGTAAGCCTACCTGGTTTCCAATCCTAGCTCCGCTAATTAGAGGCCAAATGGAACTAGTAGCTTCCTTGACATCTTAGCCTCCCCAGCTATAAAGTGAGAGAATATTAATAGATCTTGTTTTTTAGGTTTAGTATATAGATGAAATGTGTCCATTTTTGTGAAGTGTTTATAGTAGTGTCTGGCATACAGATAACTGCTTTATAAATAAAGATTAAATGTATTGAGTTTTGTCTTGATAATCTGTGGTTAATTAGCTCTCTGTTACTGATTGCAATGTTTTAGAATGCAAGAGTGTTTCTTCTTCATAAAAATATGTCAATTATTCTTTCTTTTTTGATTTCTAATTTTTTCATACTCACAAAAGATTTCATTAACTAAGAATATATATAGTTTTATTATGGCATATTTATTTTTTTGGATTTAAGTATTCCATATAGATTTTATTTTAACAACAGCTTTACTCTGATATTCTCCACAAACCATAAAATTAATCCATTCGAAGTGTGCAATTCAGTGCTTTCTAGTATATTAGCAAAATTGTGCAGCCATCATGGCTGTCGAAGTTTAGAATATTTTCATCCCTCCAAAAAGGACTTCAGACTTATTAGCAGTTATTTCCCACTCCCCCATTCCCTCAGTCCCTGGTTACCACAAATCCGTCTTCTATGTCTATGGATATGCTCATTCTGGACATGTCATATAATTAGACTCGTAAAATTTGTGGCTTTTTGTGTCTGGCTTCTTTCACTTAGCATATTAATTTCAAGATTCATGCAAAGGCCCTAAGGCTGAAAAGAAAGGTTTATTCATGTTGCAGTATATATCAGTACTTTATTCCTTTTTATTGTCAAATAATACTCCATTGTATAGATATAGTACATTTTATTTATCCATTCATCCATTGATAGACATTTGGGTTGTTTTCACTTTTTGCCTTTTATGACTAATAAATATAGCTATGCACATTTGCATACATTTGCATACAATAGTATACAGCTATGCACATTTGCATACAGTTAGTATTAGACATGTTTTCAGTTCTTTGGGGTAGTACATAATGAATTGCTAGTCCTAAGTAACTTAGTTTAGCTTTTTGAGGAGTGGCCAAACTGTTATCCAAAGCAGAGGCACCATTTAATCTTCTCACTAGCAATGTGTGAAGGTTCCAAACTTTCCACATCCTCTCCAACACTTGCAATTGTCTCTTTTTTATTTTAACCAATGTAGAGCATATGAAGTAGTATCTCACTGAGGTTTTTATTTGCATATCCTTAGTGACTAGTAATGCTGAACATGCTTTTATGTGCTTATTGTTCATTTGTAAATCCTTTGAGAAATGTTCATTTGAATCCTCTACCCATTATTTTAATCAGACTATTTGTTTTGTTTTGTTTTGTTTTGAGATGGAGTCTCACTCTGTCACCCAGGCTGGAGTGCAGTGGCACGATTTCGGCTCACTGCAACCTCCACCTCTCGGGTTCAAGCAATTCTCGTGCCTCAGCCTGCTGAGTAGCTGGGATTACAGGCATGTGCCACCATGCCCAGCTAATTTTTGTATTTTTAGTAGAGACGGGGTTTCCTCATGTTGGCCGGGCTGGTCTCAAACTCTTGACCTCGGGTGATCTGCCCGCCTTGGCCCCCAAAGTGTTGGGATTACAGGTGTGAGCTACCATGCCCAGCCTATTTGCTTTTTGATTGTTGAATTGTAATTACTCTTTATGTATTCTGAATAGAAGATCCTTATCAGATAAATTTTCTTCAAATATTTCCTCTCCTCTATAGGGTATCTCTTTACTTTCTTGATGTCTTTTGAGCAGCAAAAGATTTTAATATTTATGAAGTTGAATTTACCTATTTTTCTTTGGTATGTTGTATGTGGCTGTTGGGATTCACTCTTAGTGGTGAGCTAATGATTGAACAGGGATTTAATTAAATGCCTTGCATCAGTAAGTCTCCCAGGCTTTGTTGAGGTTTCCTATCTCTGTTTTGTGTTACGGTATGAGTGTTCCTATATAGTTCACAACTCTGTCTTAGCCTTCAATTTCTGCTTGTGTAGAGTCTTATGTGCAGCTAGAGATGAGATAATAGGGATTCACACATCTCTGCTGAGCATTCACACAGTCCTGCACGTTTGTGTGGCCTTCTAGACTCCTAGGAATATATGGAACTCTTCAAACTTCTCTACGGAGAGCCCATTCCTCAGGTTTATCTTGTAAGGTTTTTTAGTCAAACTGTTGCTCTCTACAACTAGTATCTCTGTTGCAGAAAGTTGTAATGCGAAACAACTGCTGTTGTTTCCTGATTTCAATAAAGACTCTAGGGGGCAGGTATGGTGGCTGATTCCTGTAATCCCAGCACCTTGGGTGGCTGAAGCAGGAGGGTCACTTGAGGCCAGGAGTTTGAGATCAGCATGGCCAACATAGTGAAAACCTGTCTCTGCTAAAAATACAAAAATTAGCTGGGCGTAGTGGCTCATGCCTGTAATCTCAGCACTTGGGGAGGCTGAGGCGGCCGGATCACCTGAGGTCAGGAGTTCGAGACCAGCCTGGCGAACATGGTAAAACCTGTTTCTACTAAAAATACAAAAAATTAGCAGGGCGTGGTGGCACAAGCCTGTAGCACCTGTAATCCCAGCTACTCAGGAGGCTGAGGCAGGAGAATCACTGGAACCCAGGAAGCAGATGTTGCAGTGAGACGAGGTCATGCCATTGCACTTCAGCTTGGACAACAAGAGTGAAACTCCATCTCAAAAAACAAACAAACAAACAAACAAAAACCAACAATTAACTGGGTGTGATGGAGTGCTCCTGTGGTCCCAGCTACTCAGGTGGCTGAGGCAGAAGAATTGATTGAACCCGGGAGGCAGAGATTGCAGTGAGCCAAGATCATGTCACTGAACTCCAGAGCCTGGGAACCCTGCCTCAAAAAAAAAAAAAAAAAACATTAGGGATAGGGCTCTTTACACAGAGTGAACTTTAAGTGTTGCTCAAAGCTCAACTAAAAAGAAGTCATGAAAATGTATGTTCTCGAGGAGCTGCTAATCTATCCAACAGGTACAATTCTCTCAGGATAAGGTCTTGGAGGAGCTTCAGACCTGCTCTTTCCCTTCCAGTGTCTTCTAGAATGATGATTTTCATAGCTGGCATAGTTTTAAGGAGGCTGGTTCAAGGCCACCATGCAGCTGTGGAGAGCTGTTGAGGAAGTAAAGTTAAAATGCCACATAAATTTTGCCATTCTTACTAAGAGTCAGCCACTTTTTGAATAAATACTCTGTGGGCTATTGTGAACCTTTCTCTATTTCCAGAATTCTGAAAAAAATTGATTTTGGCAATTTTTGCCAGAATAGTCATTACCATAATGGAAGAGAAAATTTTCTGGTCTTTGCTATTCTGGAGGTGCTTCATGGATTTGATTTTAACGGTGCAAGTTTTTTTCTTCCTTTCTTTTTTTTCAAAATGGTTATGCATTTATCTCCACTATTTTGAAGTGGTATGGTTATTGTATTCAAATGTGTTGATGGTATCTGGGCTTGGAAAATAAATGCTATTCTATGTTATGGCTATAAATGTTATCACTGAGATCACACTGCTTTAATAATTATTTTTATTGGTAAATATATAATTAAATAATATACAAGTAGTAGATAACTACCAATGTGAAGAATGCAGTTAACAGGTATTTGTTTTAGCCATAAATAAGAAGAAAACACATTATAGCTATGCTAATCTTTTTTTATTTTTTAATTTGTAATTATTTATTTATTTAGAGACAGAGTCTCACTCTGTCACCCAGGCTGGAGTGCAGTGGCACGTTCTCAAGTCACTGCAACCCCTGCCTCCCAGTTTCAAGCAATTGTCCTGCCTCAGCCTCTGGAGTAACTGGGACTACAGGTGTGTGCCACCACACACAGCTAATTTACGTATTTTTAGTAGAGACATGACTTCACCATTTTGGCCAGGCTGGTCTTGAACTCCTGACATCAAGTGATCCACCTGCCTCGGCCTCTCAAAGTGCTGGGATTACAGGTGTGAGCCACCGTGCCTGGCCTGTTCTAATCTTAAAAATGGGAACTAAATTAGAACACATATGTGGAAATTAAGTTACTTTATATATTAAACATGCATTTCAAATAAATATTAAAAAGCTATATTTATGAGTGATATGATGCTTTTTAAACAAAACATATTGTTAGAAAATTATAATTACAGATCCTTTACGCTTATACACCCAACAATGCTCATTTTGATAATTTTAAAACAATATTTGAGTCTATTTGTTTTGTACCTGAATACACCTTTTAAAAATTGAAATTGTTACAATTAATTCAAAATGCAAACACCTTGTTTTATTTTATTTTTAATAGGACTTTGGAGATGATGGGTCCTTGTATATTACTAAGGTTACCACAACTCACGTTGGCAATTACACCTGCTATGCAGATGGCTATGAACAAGTCTATCAGACTCACATCTTCCAAGTGAATGGTAAGAAGTGATTTTTGTTACCCTAACTATTCAAAGAACACCATAGTTTACTAGGAAGTGAAGCCTTCAATTTTTTGAGTTTTTACAAGGTACTAATAATATTTCAAGTTTTGAGACTCAACTGATAATGTAAAAGTTTTTTAAGTAAAAAAAAAAAACACAAAATTTCCAAGTAAATAAGCACTATAAATTAGTACTATTTTTGTTATAAAATATTAGAGTAACTCATTTTAATTGGAAAATTAGAACACAAGAAATTTACATTATTTTTTCGTTTAGAATATTAACAATTAGGCAAGCATAAATTTTAGAAACAAAAATTTTAAGCAGATCATCTATTTAATTGATTGTTTTAATGATATAGACTACTGTTATTCATGTATAGCAAGTTTTATACTCTTGATGGTTAATTTAATGTCTACCTATGAATGTTGACCAGGTGGGCTGATATCACTCCTACAATCAGAGCTTTTCTTTATTCTTGATTTAATTCAAATTTTAGTTATTTACTAGCATTAATACAGGATTACACATATGACTGATTAGTAAATATTTCATTTCCATAATTTATTGTAACATATATTTTAATATACTCTGATTTATGAAAAGGAGGCAGAAACTTACATGGCTTTCTGTAGGAACAGCAAGATGGCTAGTGTGATGGGCATGAATTTAGAGGAGAGTGGCAGATAATGAGCTTGCAGAGGTAGCCTTGGGGCAGATCACATGGAGCCCTGTAGACTCAGGTAAATATTTGGATTTCCATTCTAAGTGTAAGGGGAAGCTGTCAAAGTGTTTAGTATACAGAGTAGCACATTCTGATTTATTTTAAAATAAATGAATAGTTTAAAGACTATTTTAGTGTCCAAGTAAGAGATAGTGGTAGCTTAAAATATAGTCTTAATGGTGGAGTTATAAAGAAGTGGTCACATTTGGAATATATTTTAAAAGTACTTCTGTCAGTATCACTGAGGAATAGCATGTGAGTGTGAGAGAGAGTTAAAAAATGATGCTAAGGAATTTGAAGGAAACAGGTATATGGGTGTGCCATTTACTACTTTGAAGAAGGAACACATTTTGAGATTGGATGAGATTAAATTTTAGCATGTTAACTTAAATATAATTATATTATCGATGAAAATGTCAAGTATTCAATTGAGGAACATGAAAGCCCAAAGTTGTATGTTCAGATAATATCAATATGTATACATTGCATTGAAAGTCATAAATCTGAGCTTAATTAGGTCACTTTAGAAATAAATATAAATGGATATGAAGTCAGAGGATTGAGCCTTGGATCTGAGGTTAACAAGTGGAGAACACTGAGAAGGAGGACCCTGTGATGAGAAGTACGTGTACTGGAAATCAATTAATAACATGTGCCAAAAAGTTTGAAAATATTGGGTAATCTGATTTGACTATTGTTGACGCTCCAGGGGAGCAGATCTAGTTCTTGGTTTCTGGTGAAAATACAGTTGGTATCTAGACATAATCAAGTCTTTGAATCCAACTTTCAATGAAACCAGGGAAGAAAGCAGGCGAGATGCAAAGTTGATTCATGGTGTTTCCAGTGGCCTCAGCTGTTTGGAGATGGACTTTCATATATAAAGTAATTGTACCTGCTGATACACAATCTTGAGAGGGTAGGACAAGTCTGTGCTGAGGATGCTCGTCCCTATAGGTAAATGCTGCATCCATGGGGAAATTGTTCTTGCATGTCTGGTCCTCACCCTCTAGGTAAATGCAGCATCCATGGGGAAATTGTTCTTGCACGTCTGGTCCTCACCTTCTATTTTGTGGTAAATGCTTACTGACTGTTTGCCTATTCAACAAGATTAATGCCCTGCCTTTTTTTTTTTTTTTTTTTAGCATTAGGGAGAGAATGTCTCCAATTTCATTTTTGGCTAGCAATTAATTCTGTCTTTTATCTCTTATCCTCATTCCCAGTCCTAGATCTTCCATGTAAGAGTTCTTAGTAGTTTTTAGAGTGTATGGTGCATGTTCTCCACCTGCATCAGAATCACATAAAAGAAAAGATCACAAGTGCAGAACCCTGGACTTCACCAGCACTCTCAGGAATTCTGACTTGAAATTTGCATTTTGAAAAGCTTCTCAGGAAATTGTGATGCGTGGTAAAGTGTGACAACTATTCTAAACGGCTGCTCTTCAGGAGCTGCTGCTCTTCATTCATGTCTGATGTAGGTTTCTTACATAACTTACTCATTTGCCATGCTCCAGCTGGGAAACCCATGAAGGAGACTTTGAGCCAAACTGCCGGCTTTATGTTGCAAGGTTGCATTGAGCAGCGCTGGTGAAAGGCGGCTTCCCTGTTTCATCCCCTCCCATGAATGAACTGCTTACTCTCTGATCTCGGGTTTTTCTGAAGATGGAATATGGAAATAAAGAAATAATGAGGTCTCAGAAACAGAGTGCTCCCCATCAGCCTTAGCATTATGAATTAATCAAGAGGAATTCAATATTAGCAGTGATTGCTTGTGCTGAACTCTAATGCTTTTCCTTTTCGAGGTACAAGGGTCCCTGAACCGATATCTCACAGGGAGCAAAACCAGTTTCTTTCCATTATGTCCCATAACATTTAAATTGCTCTGACTATCTTGGTATAAAGATTTTCAGGAAGGGATGGGGTTTGGAGAGAAAACCAATGATATTATCATTGCTGAGAAGGCAAACAAGATGAGGAGTATAATTTAAGCACTAGATTTCAGTACTTGTGTGCAATTATTAACCTTTCCAAGACCAGCTTTTGCCAAGTATTGGTAATAAAACTATGATTATAGTCAATTCAAGAGAGAAAGGAAAGTGAAAAAATCAAGAACACTTCTATCATTAACTCTTTTAAAGGAGAACATTTGCTGAAAGTAAAGAGAGAACTTTGCAGTAGCTGCAAAGCACCTGCATTCAAGGGAGTGAATTTTATAAAAGTTACAGATATGATCATCTTTTATGCTGATGGGAATAATCCAGTAAAGATTAAAAGCAGATAATTTATAAGACCAAAAGGATAATTATAGTAACAAATCAATTAAATTTAAAATTGATGTGATCTAATTCACAGAAGGACGGACTGATCTTTGGAAGATGAATAGTCCCTGTGTTGAAACAGAGAGAAAGACAGACTGTTTGGGAAAAGATTCACAGTGTAGGAGCATGAGGACGTCCTTTTTGCATTACGTAAAGTTTCTTCAGGGAAATGAATAATACCATTGGTTGAAAGTGAAGAGTTTGTAATAGCTTTAGTGGTTTGAGGAGGGGAAGACATGTCGAATAATTATCTTGCAATGCAGGAGGGCAATTGAAATAATAATATGTAGTTGGTGTGTTGGGGAAAGCTTGGAGTATTCATGAAGTATGTTTTCCTTCTGTTGTGGTTGACTGTAAAGTGGCCATGAGAGAAAAAAAGATTCTGATTTAGCTAGTGTTTTGTTTGTCAGGTGAGTAAGTAGGGGAATAGTTAGGAGAGAAGAAGTTAAATAAGTTTACAAGGGAGTGATTACAGTGGACTACAGACTAAGTGTGAGATAAGGACACAAGAGAGGACATGATAAATGTGACATGAAAATGGACTGGTGTTCCCAAGGATCAAATATTACTAGAATGAGGTACTAGAGAGGAAGATATGCAATACCTCAAAGCATTTTCTCAAAGCAGCTGGCAATTTCAGTTTCTAAAAAAAATGTTTCTAGTTAGGTCAAGTCTATATAAAGGACTCTGTGGACCACTAAGGTTTGCTAGGGTTTTAAGCAGCCCAAATGTCCTAATCTAATTTGCCAGTTCTAGTCTTAACCACAAGGAAAAATAAGGTATAAAATAACACTGATTTATCAAAATTCAACTATCATTGGTCAAAAATTTGTTCTACTGCATTTATATCAACAAGGGAAGGCAAAAAGTGTGTTTCAAAGTTCATTTTATATTTAACAGTGAGGGATTAACTATTAACTGCTATAATACAGACCCAAAAGGACAGGGGCTCAAAGGAGATACAGTGTATTCTTCTAACACAGAAAATAAGACAAGATAGGGCGGTTTGGGGATGGCAGATCTATAATGTCATCAATATCATAAGCTTCCTCTATTATGATTAGCACACAGTTTCTACCCTCAGTCTCATCCTGTGACTTCAAAATGGCTGTGGAAATTCTGTAGACCTTTCAACAGGGAAACAGGAAGAGGGAGGAAGGGGAAAATGACACCTGACACATGAGAAAGAACTTTTATTTATTTATTTATTTTGAGACGGAGTCTTTCTCTGTTGCCCAGGCTGGAGTGCAGTGGCGCCATCTTGGCTCCCTGCAACCTCCGCCCCCTGGGTTCAAGCAATTCTCTGCCTCAGCCTCCCCAGTAGCTGGGATTACAGGTGCCCGCCACCACGCCTGGCTACTTTTTTTATTTTATTTTATTTTTTATTTTTAGTAGAGACAGGTTTCACCATCTTAGCCAGGCTAGTCTTGAACTGCTGACCTCGTGATTCACCCGCTTCAGCCTCCCAAAGTGCTGGGATTACAGGCATGAGCCACCACACCCGGCTGAGACAGAACTTTTTAAAAAAGTTTTAATGAAAGCACCAGTGATAACTTCCACTGATCCTCCCTAAATGCAAAGACATGGCACAATATATTTCTCTGACTGTGACGTATTGCCACCCACAACAATATAAAGATTATGTTAACTAGAAGAAAGGGGAAAATAAATATCAAGTAGGTAACTAGCCACCTTATTTGCAAAGTTTCTGATGTATCAAAATATTTTGCCAAACAAAAAATAGAATAATGACACTTTATAATAACATATCTAGAAATGGTGGGGTAAGTTACAAAACCACAGCCCTAAAATTGGTACTGTCTCTTTTTTAGTGTGTTCCTCTCCTTTGGTTTTATGGTGTTTTGTACTTGGCATAAGAACTTTAAACGCATGTTTTTTATGTCAAGAAGTATAACAAACTTGGGATTACTCAAGTGTTGTAAGTCAACAACAACAAACAGTAGTTGGGAACGAGGAACAATACTGGATAAAAATACAACAAAAATGCGAGAAAATGCAAATTATCTACCAAATAGCACATTTATGGAATTCAACAAATCTCTAAAACTGGTTTAACTCATCTTATATTTTTCATTCACTTTTAGAAAAAGTTAAAAAGAACTTTAGAAAATCAGGCTTTCAGAATTTAAAATATTTATCTTAACAATTTGTCAATTCATAATAAAAACAAAATATGTCATTGATTACCATAACAAGCCCGGAAAATACCACAAGTTACTGGAATTTGTAAAAGAGTCTTTTTGAAGTTCAAAGTCTGTTTAAATATCCTAGAGCATAAGCCAAATAAAAGTCTATCTATAGCCCTGTTCCTTTTCAAACAATGCAAATTAGATATTGAAATATGAGAGTGCTTCTGTGCCATTGTCTGAAGAAACATTATGTATAAATCAAAGTAGCTTGACTCTACCAGGGGATTTCATTTCATGCTTTTCTTTCTCTTTTTACATAAAGCAAATCGTCTTTAGATCTTATGATACAGAATGTTTGAAATTTTTAAAAGTCATCATTGTTTACACGCCCCTCTGGGCAGAAAGCTTGTCCATATTCACAGTGAAACTATATGTACACTGTTACTTCTCTCCCATTCAAATTATTTAAGCCCTCATACATAATATTGTGCGGATGTGTTTTCTACTGAAATAAGAAAACTTCTGCATAAAGTGGTTGTTGTTTGTTGGTTTTACCAGATGTCTATATAAAACACCCTGATTTTTCTCCTTCAAAGTTTGGAAACATCTGTACGAAAGACACAAAAGCCAGATATACAGATACAAAGCATGACCTTCATTACTGACAGAGCTATTATTTAGAAAACCCAGCTTAAGTCTGGGGCAACAATAGCTTTCTTTCTTGCATCATGTAATTCAGCTTCCTCATTTGGTCATAGGGAACACTGGAATCTCTGCACTGGGTGTGGTAAACCGTCCTAGCTAAACTTGGCCAGACTGCAGAGAGATCTAGAAAGTGAGACAGTGAGATCTACAAAGCAGGAAGAGGTCTCCTTCACCCTCTCTTCTCCTCCCACTGTGAGTTAATAAATGAGAGAGTGAGAAGCTAGAGGGTTACCCTAGCTCAGTGATTGTCAAACTGTGGTTCATGCACAAGGAGCAACAGCGACATGTTTTAAAGGCAAATTCTCAGGTCTCATCTGTGGCTACAAATCAGAAGCTCTAAGTAGGGCATAGAACAATGTGTGTTCTAACAAACCTTCTGGTAATTCTGGAGATAAGCTTTGAGAACTACAGTTTCCCTCCTAAAAAGATGACAGGTGGGAATATGTTTCCCTTCTTCATATTCTTCAACTCTTTATTCTTTTAATTTTGATTTAAAACTTTCAGTTGATTGTCATCTAGGAGATTGGCTCTTGCTTGGGGGGTGGTATTGGCCATGTATCATTTCAGGCTTTTGCCTCATGAGGCCCCACAGCAGACAGTATTCATGTCTTGCTCCATAGCCCACACAGGCCTCCTCATCTATGGTGAATATCCCTTGATAACTACTTACTGCCAAAGCTTGTCTCTCTGCCACTGTTCCTTAAGATTTTACTTATTAGTTAGTTTAGTGCAAAAGTAATTGCTTTTTTTGCACTTACTTTTAATGGCAAAACCACAATTACTTTTGCCCCAATCTAACTGCCCAAGAATCTTTATCAACTACACTCAAGGAAGCCCTAATATGCCAGGGAGTTGATGTCCTTAGGAATCATCATTAACCAATGAGGGACACAAATCAGTGGGTAAGAAGCACAGCTACCCACTCACTCAATGGGAAGCTCCTGAGGGGCATTCAACATTGTTCAAGGGGTCCACACTAGAATCCATTCCTTTTTTTCCATAGTTATGAATCTCATGAATGCATCCCCCTTCTTCTTTGAACTTTTATTGTAGTTTTCCTTTCATTGTCTAACTTTTCCCATTTTTACACTTGTCCCTCCTGGGATCACTTGTCAAATCAAAACTAGTTGAACCTAGGGTCTTTTCTCAGAGCTGCTTTTGGAGATATTCATATTTTAAATAAATTTAAAGTTCTTCACTTAATAACAATTGCTGCTCTATTGTAGCTTCCCCTAAGAATTACTAGTGGGCACTATGTTTGTTTACAGAAGACTTTGAACTATAATAAAACAGTACAAAAATTCGTTAACTTCAAAGCCTCAAAATTCCCTCTATATACTGTTTCTCATGTCAAATTATGTTCAGTTACACTGTTCAATAGAGTTCTTCAGAGGCTCTGTGATTAAATTAAATCATGACGTCAAGATGCTTCAATTATTGAATAGCAAGAATATAGACATGTTCAAAAATTAATATATAAATGTTCTAATTATTAAATTCTGA
The DNA here is from genome assembly GCF_000001405.40 of Homo sapiens. Lineage (NCBI taxonomy): Eukaryota > Metazoa > Chordata > Mammalia > Primates > Hominidae > Homo > Homo sapiens. The sequence continues at coordinate 161,580,054 of NC_000004.12, read as the reverse complement.
GAGAAATAAAACTGAAGAGATTAAAGTTCCAAAAAATTAGTCCAAAGTAATTAATATCCAAAATTAAATTCTTCTGCCCTTATAATTTAAAGTCTAAAGAAAGTCCAAAAGTTTAAACTACATGCAAAGTCCAAAGAACCAAGTTTTTCCCTGATTCTTTATTATGGTCACTTTCAGGGAAAGAAGTCCTTGAAAATGTATGACTTTGGGGTAACTTAAACATTTGTATCCTGGGCTTATTCTCACTGGGTTTTGCAATCCATTTTCAAATGATCACATCCATTTTTTTTTCTTTTTTTCTTTTTCTTTCTTTTTTTTTTTTTGTTTGTTTTTGTTTTTTGAAATGGTCTTGCGCCATCGCCCAGGCTGGAGTGCAATGGCACGATCTTGGCTCACTGCAACCTCTGCCTCCCAGGTTCAAGCAATTCTCCTGTTTCAGCCTCCCAAGTAGCTGCAATCACAGGTGCCTGCCACCATGCCCAGCTAATTTTTATATTTTAATGGAGAGGGGGTTTCACCATGTTGGCCAGGTTGGTCTCAAACCCCTGACCTCAGGTGATATGCCCACCTCGGCTTCCCAAAGTGCTGGGATTACAAGTGTGAGCCACCGTGCCCAGCCTCATTCATTCTTTATTCAATATTTCCTTTTTTGTACTGACTTCTGGTGTACTCCATAACATTTAGAATTCCATTTTATCTCTACTACTGACTTATTAGTTATATCTTTTTTTAAAATTTTTGTCAGATATTGCTATAAGCCACACATACGATATGAAACTTAACATATTGTCATGTATTTTTAAATAATGTTTTACTACTTCATGTATAAAGAACCTTAAAACAGCATGCCTTGATCTCTGCCATTTTCATCCTTTGTAATAATATTATCAAACATTTAACTTCTACGTATGTTATAAAACACACAGTATATTGTTCCATTTTTGCTTTAAAAGTTACATATCTTTCAGAGAGGTTTTTAAAATTAGGCAAGAGAACAAAACATTTGCATTTCTGATCCTCCTCATTTTTTCATGTAAAACTGAATTTCTGAATTTTCATTTACTCTAATAAACATGCTTTAATAATTTGAAGTTCAGGTCTGCTCCTGATACATTTTCTTGGCCATTGTTTGTATGAAGATATTTTTACTTTTTTTTAAATTAAATAATATTTCTGTTGGATATTAAATTCTAAGTAGGCAGTTTTTGGTTTTTATTTTTCTTTCAACAATTTATAGATGTTCTATTGTCTTCTGGGTTGCTCTTGCATGGTTTCTAACAGGACATCTGCTGTATTTCTAGTATTTCTAGTCTCTTTTTTTCATTTATCTGACTGCTTTTAAGAGTTTCTCTTTATCATTGGGTATCAGCAATTTATATATGGTAAGCCTTGGTTTGCTTTTCTTTACTTGGATTTTTATTCTGCTAGAGATAACTCAGCTACTTGGACTTTGGGATATATATTTTTAAAACCTTTGAATAAACGTTTGGCCATTATTTTTTTCAAATAGATTTCTGTTTTCTCCATCCATTTGGACTCAAATTATAGGTATGTGTGTCTGATTGATATTTTCTCATAAATCACTGAATTCTCTTCCTTTTTTTCTCTCTGTCTCTTCAACATTTGTACATACTGTACTTCACTTTCAATAGTTTTTATGCTCTGACTTTAAGGTCACATTTTTTCTTTTATCTGTATGTCTAATCAGCTGTTATTCTCTACCAGAGTTCTTTTTCCTAAATTTATTTTAGATATTATATTTTTCAACGACATAAATTCTATTTAAAAAATAATTCTTACTTATTCTTTCATTGTATTTGTGTTTTCCTTTAAATCTTTAAACCTATTTATACTGGCTACTTAAAGTCCCTGCTTGCAATTTTTATCATGTCTGAAATTTATTGTCTCTTCCTATTCGCTGACATTTTTCTCTCATGAGTCATATTTTCCACTCCTTCTCACATCTGTTAATTTGTGTATTGAATGCTGAACATTGTTGAGAGGATAGATTTGCCGAAGCATTGAGTTTTGTTTAGGCATCAGTTTAATCTTTTTGAGACTTTAAAAAAGAAAAAAAAAACTATATTTGAGTCTGTCTAGAGTAGCCTTTACAGTGGGATCTGTTTCACTCTCCTTCTGATATGCAGTATGAGATGTTTTATGAAGTCTCCCTAGTCTGCTTTTTTCAGTTAAGTCTCTCCATTCTGGTTAATCCAACTCATATGGCACCTATCCTTGTGTAAGCTCTTGTAGCTTTTAAATGTAAGCTCCCTGATTGTAGTGGTTTCCGTAGTCATAAAATTTTGCCTGATTTTGAATAGTTTCATCCTAGGCATTAAGCCAAAGCCTCAGCAGATCTGTATTTAGATTCCCGTAGCTGTCTCTGCAGAGTTCTCTACTTTATGCTTTTCTTCTCTAAAAATTCCAGCTGGCAACTTTTTGTGAATTCCAACTTCTCGTATCCTTAGTTCAGTGAGACCTTTCAGTTCTCTCTTTCTGCATCAATGTCAATGGATGCCGCCAGGAAGAAAGCCAAGACAATTATACACCACATCTTGTTTCCTTTTTTTTTTTTTTTTTTGTCTTTTTTCTTCTCTTCTTTCAGGGATTGCCATCCTTTGCTGCTGGTTTTCCAATGTTTCATGACACTCATTTCATATTTGTTCTGTTTATTTATGGCAAATGGCTTACAAGTTTTAAGTTACAAGTTTTCTACCATAACCTTCTCTATCATGTCAATTTTCTTAAAGGCCTTAAAGTTGTATGGGTTAGAGGAAAGTTTTCCTAAGACCCTCATTTGTAAAAAGTTCTGAAAGTTAGTACACATGACTAATATTGACAGCATCAGCCCTACATACAATAAATTTAGAAATTTTAAGTAATACCTATTTTGTTCTCTGAGTCTGGTACATAATTCTGCCAAAAAAACATGGCAAATACTCACTAGAACAAGAAAGGAGAATGAATCCCTGTTCTAAAAAGAAGTGTTATTTTTGGCTGTCCTAAGATATAGATTTCCTATAACAATTGCACAAATTTAAAGAACTTATATGACTGGATCATAACTTCTCATAAAAATGTTAATTTTGTCACTATGTATGGAGAAAAGACTATTTGTGGTCTACCACATAAATTTTGATAGTTTTCCTCAGTAATTGAAGCTCAATATTAGCCAGCCTATGGATGCCTACCTAAAGATTACCTTCCTCAGTCCTCCTTGAAACTTTTTTCTATGACAAATTTTTGGCCAATGGATTGAGAAGGTAATTATTGTTTTTCATATCTCAATTATGATACTAGAAAAGATATATGTCATCTATTTCTCTTTTTGTTTGTTGAAAAATGAGTGTGATGATGATAGTTGGAGGAGCTATTTTAAATTTGAAAAAGGAGAGTCTAATGTGTTAAGAAAGGGATCCAGTTTCTATTTTCTGCATATGGCTAGCCAGTTTTCCCAGCACCATTTATTAAATAGGGAATCATTTCCCAGTTGCTTGTTTTTGTCAGGTTTGTCGAAGATCAGATGGCTGCAGATGTGTAGTGTTATTTCTGAGGTCTCTGTTCTGTCCCATTGGTCTGTATATCTGTTTTTGGTACCAGCACCATGCTGTTTTGGTTACTGTAGCCTTGTAGTGTAGTTTGAAGTCAGATAGCGTGATGCCTCCAGCTTTGTTCTTTTTGCTTAATATTGTCTTGGCTATATCGGCTCTTTTTTGGTTCCATATGAAATTTAAAGTATTTTTTTCTAATTCCGTGAAGAAAGTCAATGGTAACTTGATGAGAATAGCATTGAATCTATCAATTACTTTGGGCAGTATGGCCATTTTCATGATATTGATTCTTCCTATCTATGAGCATGGAATGTTTTTCCATTTGTTTGTGTCCTCTCTTATTTCCTTGAGGAGTGGTTTGTAGTTCTCCTTGAAGAGGTCCTTCACGTCCCTTGTATGTTGTATTCCTAGGTATTTTATTCTTTTTGTAGCAATTGTGAATGGGATTTCACTCATGATTTGGCTCTTTATTTGTCTGTTGTTGGTATATAGGAATGGTTGTGATTTTTGCACATTGATTTTGTATTCTGAGACTTTGCTGAAGTTTCTTATCAGCTTAAGGAGTTTTGGGGCTGAGTCAATGGGGTTTCCAAAATATACAATCATGTCATCTCCAAACAGAGACAATTTTACTTCCTTTCTTCCTATTTGAATACCCTTTATTTATTTCTCTTGCCTGATTAACTCAAGATGGATTAAAGACTTAAATGTGAAACCCAAAACCATAAAAACACTGGAAGAAAACCTAGGCGGCCGTGCACGGTGGCTCACGCCTTGTAATCCCAGCACTTCAGGAGACCAAGGTGGGTGGATCACAAGGTCAGGAGTTCATGACCAGCCTGGCCAAGATGGTGAAACCCTGTCTCTACTAAAAATACAAAAATTAGCCAGGCGCAGTAGCAGGTGCCTGTAATCCCAGCTACTAGGGAGGCTGAGGCAGGAGATTCATTTGAATCCAGGGGGCAGAGGTTTCAGTGAACCAAGATGCACCACTGCACTCCAGCCTGGGCAACAGAGTGAGACTCTGTCTCACAAAAAAAAAGAAAAAAAAGAAAACCTGGACAATACCATTCAAGACATAGGCATGGGCAAAGACTTCATAACTAAAACACCAAAAGTAATTGCAAGAAAAGCCAAAATTGACATAGAGATCTAATTAAACTAAAGAGTTTCTGTACAGCAAAATAAACTCATCAAAGTGAACAGGCAACCTACAGAATGGGAGAACATTTTTTGCAATCTTCTTATCTGACAAAGGTCTCATATCCGGAATCTACAAGGAATTTAAACAAATTTACAAGAAAAAAACAACTCCATCAAAAAGTGGGCAAAGTATATCAACAGACACCTCACAAAAGAAGGCATTTATGTGGCCAAAAAACCTTTGAAAAAAATTTCATCATCACTGGTTATTAGAGAAATGCAAATCAAAACCACAACAAGACACCATCTCATGCCAGTCAGAATGGCGATTATTAAAAAGTCAGGAAACAACAGATGCTGGCAAGGCTGTGGAGAAATAGAAATGCTTTTACACGTTGGTAGGAGTGTAAATTAGTTGTTCGACCATTGTGGAAGACAGTGTGGCAATTCCTCAAAGATCGAGAACTGGAAATGCCATTTGACCCAGCGATCCCATTACTGCATATACCGAAAGGATTATGAATCATTCTACTATAAAGACACATGCACATGTATGTTTATTGGAGCACTATTTACAATAGCAAAGACTTCAACCAACCCAAATGCCCATCAATGAAAAACGTGGCACATACACACCATGGAATACTATGCAGCTGTAAAAAAGGATGAGTTAATGTCCTTTGCAGGGACATGGATGAAGCTGGAAGCCACCATTCTCAGCAAACTAACACAGGAATAGAAAACCAAACACCGTATGTTCTCACTCATAAGTGGGAGTTGAACAATGAAAACACATGGACACAGGGAGGGGAATATCACACACTGGGACCTGTCAGGGCTTGGGGGCAAGGAGAGGGAGAGCATTAGGACAAATACCTAATGCATATGGGGCTTAAAACCTAGATTATGGGTTGATAGGTGCAGCAAACCACGCTGGCACATGTATAACTATGTAACAAACCTGCATGTCCTGCACATGTATCCCAGAACTTAAAGTAAAATTTAAAAAAAAAAAAGAAAAAAAAAAGAAAAAGGAAAGTCATGTTTTGTAGTAGAAGAAAAAGATAGAAGTTGCCTGGGTGTGGTCAGGTGAATATTCTCTCCAAAAGATTTCCACATCCTAATTTCTGGAATATGTGAATGTTACCTTATATGGCAAAGGGGAGACTTGCACATGTATATAGTTTAAGGATCTTGAGATAGGAAAGTTATCCAGGTTGGTGCTAAATATAATTATAAGGGTCCTCATCAGATGAAGGCAAGAAGATAAAAGAAGGAAGCAGGATATGTGATAACAGAGCAAAAGGTTGTAGTGACTTGAGGAATGAGTCATCAGCCAATAAATGCAGACATCTTCAAGAAGCCAGACAATGCATGAACGTGGATTATCCCGTGTACTCTCCAAACCCAACTAACTCTACCCACACCTTGACTTTAGTTCAGTGAAACTGATTTTGGTCTTCTGGCCTCCAGAATATAAGAGAATAAGTTTGTGTTGCCTTAAGCCACTAAATTTGTGGTCTTTTATTCTTTTCTTTTCTGTCTTTTCTTTTGTTTTCTTTCTTTTCTTCTTTTCTATGTGTCTTTCTTTCATTTTCTTTTCTTTTTTTTTTTTTTTTTTTTTTTTGAGCTGGAGTTTCTCTCTTGTTGCCCAGGCTGGAGTGCAATGGTGCAATCTCGGCTCACCACAACCTCCTCCTCCTGGGTTCAAACGATTCTCCTGCCTCAGCCCCTGGAGTAGCTGGGATTACAGGCATGCACCACCATGCCTGGCTGATTTTGTACTTTTACTAGAGACGGGTTTCTCATGTTGGTCAGGCTGGTAGCGAACTCCCGACCTCAGGTGATCCACCCTCGGCCTCCCAAAGTGCTGGGATTACAGGCGTGAGCCACCGCTCCTGGCTTTATTTTCTTTTATCTCTCTCTCTCTTTTTTTTTTTTTTTTTTTGACAGGGTTTTAGTCTGTCATCTAGGCTGGAATCAGGGACAGTTGTGCAATCAAGGCTCACTGCAAGCTCCACTTTCTGGGCTCAAGCAATCCTCCCACCTCAGCCTCCCAGGTAGCAGGGACTACAGGCATGTGCCAGCACACTTGGCTAATTTTTGTATTTTTAGTAGAGATGGGTTTTTGCCATGTTCACCAGGCTGGTCCGAAACTCTTTGACTCAAGCAATTCGCTTGACTCAGCTTCCCAAAATGCTGGGACTACAGGCGTGGGCCACCACGCCTGACCAAATTTGTGATATTTCTTAAGGCAGCATTAGGAAACAAATACACTAAGTTATGCAATAAGATCTAATTACTAAACTGTCCTTTGACCATCTATAAGGGCTTGTTTACTTACATCTTGTTTAGGCCACCGTTCTAAGGGTCTCTTTTTTATAATAGCTTACCCCATACCCACACCATCAAGCCACCGTATCACTTTTTGATTAAATATCAGGATTTATGTCTTTTTAATGCTCTATGTTTTTTCTTACTTTATTGTAGCAGTTTAAACCATATCCTACCTTTATTTGTCAAGTTTATTTCTCACTTCTCCTACAGTCTGATTGTGGGTTGGTAGAGTTCTGTTTCATTCAGTCACCCAGTGATGCAGACATCTTCTCTCTTGAGGTCACAGTATCACATAGGACAATGCTATTCCATGTTCTTGCTCCAGTCTGTGCACTACTTGTTACTTGTACATGAGATAAATTATAGAAATTATAAGCTTTAAAAATTTTCTAGAAAGTTTATATTGCTATAGTATCTATGTAAGTAATCTTATTTTCTGGTAACTATAAAAATTAGAGGGAAAAAGATTCCCACCACAAATCATTTTAGCCTCACTTCCCTAAAGCCTTGGAGCCCTTCAGTGAGTCTTCTGTGTCTGTTTGGAAGACACCAGAACATGTGAAGGAAGGTGTGCAAGCTTTTATAAGGAAGGCCTTGTGGCAGCCAACAGCACTTTTGCCACTTGTCAGGGGTCATAATCAGTGCATTCTTCTTCTTTCTCTTTCTCTCTCTCTCTCTCTTTTTTTTTTTTTTTTTTTTTTTTTTAGACGGAGTCTCACTCTATCACCCAGGCTGGAGTGCAGTGGCACAATCTCAGGCTCACTGCAACCCTGAACTCCTAGGTTCAAACGATTCTCCTGCCTCAGCCTCCCAAGTAGCTGGGATTACAGGTGCCTGTCAACATGCCTGGCTAATTTTTGTATTTTTAGTAGAGGTGAGGTTTCACCATATTGTCCAGGCTGGTCTGGATGGTCTTGAACTCCTGACCCCAGGTGATCCACCCGCCTCGGCCTCACAAAGTGCTGGAATTACAGGTGCGAGCCACCATGGCTGGCCCATAATCAGTGCATTCTACTACAAGAGAGCTAGTTGTGTATTTAAAAAAGAAGAGGAAATACGTTTATTGTGTCTCTAGCCTAATTTTGTCACAAGATCACAATGCTCAGAAGCCTTTTGGGGGAAGGAAAAATTATGCACAGAGTCACTTCTCTGAGAAAACATTAAAGACACTCACGATGCCTCTTGGGAACAGGCAATTTTGGACCCAGCACCACAACAGAATTACCTGTGTTTACGAAATGCACTCCACAGGGATCTCACCAAGGCTCCACATTGCTTCAGTTGCCATATATTCTTTAGCTGACTCTGAATCTAAAATTGAGATTAATGTTTCTGAAGACTGTATCCTCCGGGGGATCCTGCTGACATATACCTCACCAAGAGGTCGATAATGTATTATTTCCTCTATTTATAAAGGTTCTCAATCTTGCGCAGTATTCAGTTTTTTGTTACATTTTCCCCCTCCTTCTAATGCTCTATTTTTCTTAATTGTTCCATTCTTTATTTTGTGAGAATTCAGTCACTTTATAACAGTTTAGCCTTCTTTTTGATGTGGACTTTTTTCTTTTTTTTCCTTTGGGAGGGCCGTCTGCTAGAAATTTGTCTTCCTTCCTTTTTATTTCTCTCTCCTTTCTGGCCCACACATTTTTGTTCCCATGTATTCTCCTCTATATTTTTCTGTGGGGTTTGTCACAGTGAGAGATATGAAAATATGATCTCTGTCTGCCAAAACCATCCACTGTTCAAATATTTTCCACCTTTTCCTTAGTGATTTGGCAGATCCCACCTAGGGGCTTTTCTCCCATTAGAGCAACATCTAACCTGTGCCTTAACATAATCCATTACTTTCTTTCCCAGATTCTTTTTACTATGTTTCATCTTGGCCGTGTCTTCCCTTGGAGTCTATTTTTTTTTTTAAACGGAGTCTTGCTCTGTCACCCAGGCTAGAATGCAGTGGCGTGATCTTGGCTCACCGAAACCTCCGCCTCAAGTGATTCTCCTGCCTCAGCCTCCCGAGTAGTAGCTGGGACTACATGCACCCACCACCACGCCTGGCTAATTTTTGTATTTTTAGTAGAGACGGGGTTTCACCATGTTGGCCAGGATGGTCTCGATCTCTTGACCTCGTGATCCGTCTGCCTCAGCCTCCCAAAGTGCTGGGATTACAGGTGTGAACCACCACACCCGGCTCCCTTGGAGCCTTAACTCCATAGATTTCCTGGTCATATCCTTTTAGGTCCAGAGCATAGCTGCAGGCTCACCTGCAATAACTGCTACTTTGAAATACATTAAGAGATGCCATGAGAATTTTAGTGTTCTTTGTCTTTCTTACACAATTTTATCTACGATGTTTGTAAACACTTGATAAAGATCTCTGAACTATTAGGAATTTTTCTTAATTATTTTTATTTTTATGTGTCCCCAACTTCATGCTTATGAAGTCAAGTCACATCCCTCCTCTACTTAAAATCCCATTGGCTCCCAATGTCTCTCAGATTAAAAGCCAGACTTTGAATCCCCTAAATAACCGTAAATGTTCTGATTTCTCAGTTTTTGTGGTATCTTCCTACCCTATTTCTCTTTCCTTTTCAGAAAAGAAAGTGTAATCCAGCTGCATTCAATGTACACTTCCTTTTGGACCTTATACATAACAAACATTTACACTTGGCTGTTTCCCCTGCCCAGAAGATTCTTCGCCAGATCTCCATAAGTCTCAGTTTCAAACTCTTTCAACTCTGCTTAAATGTCACATTTTCAATGAAGCTTACCCAGACTACACTATTTAAAATTTTAACTATGCCCCCACCTGCTCTTCACTCACTCACTGTCCTGCCCAGTCTTCTCCACAGCACAGTTTTTTCACCTTCTACAAAACTGCACATAGCCTAAAATACTCTACACACTACTTTTCTTCCTGTATTAATGTCTTTGAAATAAGGATACATTCCACTGTATTGTTACAAAAAAACAAGGGTATATATTAAAGAGGCAGCATTTTTAAATGTACATGAGTAGATGAATAGATGTTTCTCATTAGCTCCTGGTTCTGGAAAGCTTTGACGTATCCATTCTTTCTCCTCCCTCCCTGAGGTTTTTCATGTTCTTCTGTTGTTAGATTGCTAGGCCCCAACTCAGGTTTTATTCACTAGACAACTAAAACATTTCTTCATTGTCTAAGGATACTGTCCTTAAAAGAATTTAGTCCTTAGAGCCACAATGTGGGGTGTGTGTGTGTGTGTGTGTGTGTGTGTGTGTGTGTGTGTGTTTGTGTGTTGGACTTAAAGATCTCATTTTCCTTTTCATATCTGGCTGCTGTGTCCTCCAAGATGTCCTCTTAAATAAACTTTATCCAGCATAATCAGTCTTTCTTCCTCTATTTTCCTTTCATTTTCTACTATTTATGTTGTGATGGAAAATCAAAGGTATATGTTTTCAAACCACTTCAGTTGCTACTTGGTATCTTGAGCAAACCCAATTCTCAGAGACAGTGGAGGAACAGAAATGTAATTGCTGTCTTAGGCTTTAAGTTGGCAACACCTCCTTTGAGTTGTTTTTCTACCCCACCCTTGAAATTGATTTCTCTAAAATAAGACACTTTTTTCTTGGTGTAATGGTTTGAGACATTCCTTGGCTTAATGGTGGCCTTCACAACTTCCATGATGTAATTCTGGTATTTGAAACAGGTAACCCTTGGGCCCAGATCTTGGATACCAAGAAATGTTTATGGCAGCCATGGCTTTTTACTTTGTATTTGTTCATTAATTGCTCATGCTTGTAATCCTAGCACTTTGGGAGGCCAAGGAGGGAACATTGAGGCTAGTTTGATACCAGCCTAAGTAACATAGTGAGATCTCATCTCCACTAAAAATTATCCAGGCATGGTAATGCACACGTATGTTTTTGTAGTCTCAGATACTAAGGAGGCTTGAGCCCAGGAGGTTGAGGGTGTAATGAAATATAATACAATATATAATCTTTCTTTGGGTGAAGACACATTGTAGAAAGCCATGATAAGAAAATACATAAATAACAGAACTGGGGTACTTGCTACCTTTGAACAAGCCTCTCTTTATAGAAAGTTAACCCTGCAAGATTCCTTCTATATAACTAAAGACAGTACATGTAATTTTGTTAGTCAGTTTAGTACTGCTTAACTATAGCTGCTATTAATAATTTAGAGTAATAACCTATATTTGTGCTTTGTATTACTAATGGAAATTAGCTGCCTATGCATTAGGTAAACAACAACAACAAAAAAACTGCTTACAGACCTGGTTAAGAAACATAGCAAAAGCCATTTACTGATACATAAAATAACTTATCTCTGCCTTAGCCTTGATTTTTAAACCAGGCCAAACTTGATCTGTGTAATTCAAAGCTGAATAATGACAGCTCCTACATAGGGTGACCTGCTTCCTAATGTGTATATTTGTTAGACATAACTCTGCCTGCATAAACACAGCTATTCATTTATGGGGAAAACTTACCCAATAGGATAACATTAAATTATGCCATATTTAGTAAAGCTTAAGACCCAAAGCCACCTGCGGAGGCTGCAGCATATAAAAGCTAACTTCCCTACTGTAAAGAAGATCAGCTCTAAGGCATATACCATCAGGGCTAAGTTACCCGCTGAAGCTATTTCAAAAGCTTTGATTCTTCCTGGTGTTACTGTGTCAACTGCACTTTATTCTTTGTAAGTTTCTAGAGCGTTCTCAAAGCATCAGATGTTGCACATATAGGAGATCGGTAAAGAACACCACTCTCTTCTTCCTCCTGATCCTTGTCTTCAGAACCAATTAAGAGAAAGATGCAATAGTGATTGACATAAAGGACAAAATATTACCTGCATTGTGGGTAAAGCTGCCTAGAGAAGGTGGTTGAGATATATGGCAAATATGGACTCCAAAATTTGCCAAGTCATGGGCGTCGCTGGGCAACCCTAGACTTCAGCACACGGAGACAGAGCCAACACTGCTGATCTCGTATTGCCAAGAGAGCAGAATAGAATGCATCCTCTTTTCAGGCAGATCCAACACATGAGAAAGGATGAGTTCCATGTGCTCAATCTTTCTAAAAACACACCAAGCCAATGATTCTTTCCTCTTCCTACTTTGACCAAATGGGAAGATCGTTTTAGAAATTAAGTTAGCAATAAAACAGAACATCATTTTAAGGGTTGAAGGGAGAAACAGTCCTCTACATGAATCAAAGACGTGTAGATTCTCTTGTTTATAGGAGCAAATCTCAGATAGGTGACTCATTCTCAGATACTATTATTTTTTATTCACCTATGATTGACTTAGACTTAAATTCATTCAGCTAGAATTCTTTTACATAGGTAATTGAATGTACTGCATCTTGTTTTTGATATTACAAAGTTGTTTTCTTCATAAAATTATAATCTGGTTATATCTACACATAGATATTTAAATTAGCATGATATGGTTTACTGGACTAGGAGTGATATATCATAGATTACTTCTATGTATACAAGTACTGGGTAATGTTACAAAATGCTCATGAGGTGGCCAGCACTTAAAAAACAGTATAATGACTAATTAATGTAATGACACTTGTATAACAAGAGAGTGGAAAGAAGGTTAATGTGATAATGAGGCTTATTTGATCTTAAAGATTTAACATGAGGGCACTCTCAAGATAGCTTAATTAGATTTTAAGCACCTTTTGCAATTTGCATGTGTACTTGTTAATCCATATGTTTTAAAAATAAATTTTATTTTATTTAAATTAATGAATTTATCTAATCTCTTTCTCTGTGTTGTTTTACTGCTAGATGCTTTCTCAGATCTTTATTGTGTGTAATTTATGATTATTTCTTCCATATTATGTTTAAATTGTAGTTCAATTTAAAATAGTACAATGACATTTCTAAAGTTCAAAACAATAGCTTCAGATGGTTCGGGCAGTGATCACAAGTTATGACTGGAATTATCTAATTAGTCTTTATGTTATTTAGCATACTTTATTGTATCATGTAATACATAGTAAATTTGATTTCATTCATTGACATCTGTGTCATTTTTAAACTTGACCAAATGGGAAGAATGTTTTAGAAATTAACAGTAAAACAGAGCATCATACGTAATAGTAATTCAGAAAATAATTTGCTGCCTCTGGTGCACTGGGAAAATATAGAATACATTTTCACATGCTATACCTAGGCTTTTATGAGTTCTCCAGATTAATACCTTTTAACGCTTTTCTTATACTTATGAGTAATTATTATAATTCATTTCCTTGATTTTTGCTACTCCCTCCTTCCCTCCATGAGATACGAAAATATGTTAGTCATCACTAATCATCAGGGAAATGCAAATCAAAACCACAATGAGATACCATCTCACACCAGTTAGAATGGCCTTTGTTAAAAAGTCTAAAAACAACAGATGCTGGCAAGGCTGCAGAGACAGGAATACTTACGAACTGCTGGTGGGAATGTCAATTAGTACAGCCACTGTGGAGAACAGTTTGGCGATTTCTCAAAAAACTAAAACTTGAACTACCATTCAATCCAGAGATTCCATTACTGGGCATATACCCAAGAGAAAATAAATTGTTTTTTCAAACGATATATGCAGCCCTATGTTCATTACAGCACTATTCACAATAGTAAAGATGTGGAATCAATCTAGGTGCCCATCAACTGTGTATTGGATAAAGAAAATGCGGTACATATACACCATAGAATACTATGCTTAGCTTCCACTTATAAGTAAAAACATGTGGTATTTGTTTTCCATTTCTGAGTTACTTCACTTAGGATAATTGCTTACAGTTCCATCCAAATTGCTGCAAAAGACATTATTATGTGTGTTTTTTTTTAATGGCTGAGGAGCATTCCACGGTGTGTGTGTGTGTGTGTGTATATATATATATATATATATATATATATATATATAGTCCAAAAAAAAAGAAAAAAACAATAGATGTTGGCACAAATGCAGTGAAAAGTGAACACTTATACACTGTTGGTAGGAATGTACATTAGTACAACCTCTATGGAAAACTGTGGCGATTTCTCAAAGAACTAAATGTAGATCTATCATTCAACCCAGCAATCCTACTCCTACATATATACCCAAAGAAAAACAGGTCATCATATAAAAAAGACATCTGCACACATATGTTCACCATAACACAATTCACAATTGCAAAGATATGGAACCAATCTAAGTGTCCATCAACCAATGAAGAGATAAAGAAAATATCATATATATGTGTGTGTGTGTGTGTGTGTGTGTGTGTGTGTGTGTGTGTCTCAAGTTATACTACGTTCACAAGAAGGAAATCAGCACTCAGGCTAATCTTATAACAGAATAGGTTAACAATTAAGTGTTTTCATGCCATAGCAAAGATATTTTTCTGACCCACATGGGATTTTTGACATTTAAGTGGCGGGCAAACAGCAAGCTTTTGCATATTGCAAAAGGAAAACAGCCTGAAAAGGTACCAAGATTTCATTTCTGGCCTGCTTAAATTTTCTTTTAATAATCAAGACTGCCACTTGTGTAAGATAAATAATTATATATGAGGATCAGAGAGAAAAATGTGTTAATGCAACTAGCATTTTTTCCCTCAAAAACATATATATGTATTTATTTCAATATATTTATTGAGATTACATTAAGTTTATGTGGATTTCCATTTACTTGACATTTACTAAGCAAACCTACTTCTAAGAATTTAATGCCAGTCAAACATTTCATATTAATCAAATGCAAAAAGATGTTCTTATGGCTAATTATAATAAATATGATGATGATGATGATGATGATAGGCAAGATATGTCAAATGAATCCCAGAAATCTGTATAGATTGGAGGGCTTTGATTAGTTTTCTGTTAATACGGAGGTCTGAGAGGCACTTATGAATTCTTTGCTTTCGGCCCCACATTTTCAGCTAACACAAATCATTTTAAGTAAACTTTGCCAGAGGATAAGTAGAAGGTTCCCTGTACTGTGGCTTCTATGATAGTGATTTGGGAGTGTGTTTTATAACAAAATACATATAATTTTGTGCATCATATAGTTTTATAAAATATTATCAATAGAAAATATATCATTTGTGACTATCAGTGTTCTATCACTATTATAGATAATTTATGCTATTGAATTGGAAGTTTCCTCCAGCTCATTTTTTGATTTAACACCAGTGAATTTTAGAATAAAAACAAATAGTATGCAAGCAGAACACCTAGTGATAACACCACTCCTGACACCCGCAATAGGCATCTCCCCTACAAATGCTACTCTGAGTTAGAAGGCATTAAATAATAATAATAATTATGTCTTTGGAAGTATCTAAAAGTTTATAAATAATAAAAATGCATTTAACAGTAATTATCATGTATTAATAAAAGATTAAAGATTATAAGTATCATTTTGAAAGTGAATATTTACAGGTGATACATTACTATGTCAAGGAAATAGTAAATTGTTTATTGAAAGCAAATTTTTAGGAATAAAAATTAATAAATTAATTATATGAGTTAATTAAATAAATTATATTAGTTATCAATTAATATATTTCAGCAAATATTGTTATATTTTAGCAAAACATATGGTAAATAGTAGTGCCATCTATTGATAAAACTGAAAACTGCAGTTTCTCCTTAAGAAAACACTTTTATATATATATATAGGAATACAATTCCAAAGCTAATGATTCCTTATTGTTATGGCTATTATTATTTTATTATAGGATCAGGTCATATACTGGAACTGTGTTAAAAATGTTTGTGTGTGTACTTGCATGTGTACATATATATGTACACATGCATATATACACATGCATAATTTATAATTTGATGGTTCTGATAATATACATCAAGTATTGTTGTAGAATTAATTAGGCTGGCTGAGATTTATCTGAATAATGTAAATTTGAATACAAATATATTATTCACTCTGAAGAAAATTAATATCAAATGTTTATAAAATGTCTAGACAATAAATTTCAATGTGGATGAGGGGCATAGTTTTATTTTTATTCCTTTTATTATAATATGCAGATAATATTTTAACGCATAAGCATTTACATATCTTCTTTTTAGCACCCTACTATGACAATTTTTGTGTTGTTTTTTCTTTTCATTTTGGCTTAATTACATGTAGTAAGGCGCTACTACTTAGAAAACTTTCAAAACAGGTTGGCACTTCTAACCAATTTAGATTATAGTAATGTTATTCCCAATAATTCTAAATTATACAATAACTTTTCCAAATTTGCCTTAGTATAACTGACAAGAACAATATGTGCACTTTCTGGCCAAATTGTTGGGGAGAAATAAGACTACAGAAAAGATAGCAGTAGAGAGCAGTGGTAATATCCATTGACTGCTACGGGGTGATTAGATTATTTGTTGCAGGGACATATATGCCACAACATTAATAGGTACCATGGAGGAAGCAGTAAGATTGACAAAAGCAGAAATAATAATAAAGAAGCACAGCCTAAATAGTGAGGCACAAAAATGGAGGCTGACATGAATTAGAGCCAACTTTGAAGTACAATGACCACTATCAAACAAAGCCCAGGAAAATAACGGATGGTCAGAATGTGGAGAATTTGGAGCCCTATTCACTATAAGTGGAAATGTAAAATATTAGCACTTCTGTAGAAAACAGTATATTCATTTCTAAAAAAATAGCAATAGAATTGCCATACGATAAAGCAGTTCCACTTCTGGATATATAGCCAGAAGTTTTCAAAATAAGATCTCAAAGTAATATTTTTACACCCATATTCATAAGAGTATTATTTACAATAGCTAAAATATGGAAGCAACCCAAGTGTTTGTTGATAGATAAATGGAGAAGTAAAATGTGGTATGTCCATAAAATATGTTTCCAGTTAGGGTGAGTCATATTTAATATTGTTCACGGTTTGGAAGGCAGAAAGAAATGAAAAGCCACTTTTGAATGCGGGGACACAGCCACCATGTGACCTTGTAGCCCACACATGTTGATGCTAATCTAGGGCTCATGTTGTTGTTACATCCTTCAGACTTAAAAAGGAAGACCATTATGCAATATGCTACAACATGTATGAACCTGGAGGACATTATGCTAAGTGAAATAAGCCAACTACAAAATGATAAATATTGTATAATTCTATGTATATGAGGTACTTTCAGGAGTCTAAAATCATAGAGGCAAAAAGTAGTTATTGTGTAGTAGTTATGGAATTTCAACAGCAAGAGTTATGGAGATGAGTGATAGTGATGGTTGCACATTATGAATGTGTTTAACACCACTGCACTGTATACTTAAAAGCAGTAACAGGGTACATTTTATATTATGGGTATTTTGCCACAATAAACAAGGTTGAAAAAAATCAAATAGATCTGCATACACTAGCAATGACCAATCAAAAAAACAATATTAGGAAAAAAAACCATTTATATTAGTATCAAAAAATAGGTAATTAAGAGTAAACTTAACCAAATAAGCAGAAGACTTTTATACTGAAAGCCAAATTATAAATTATAGAAGAATTATAGAAATAAATTATAGAAGACCTAAATCAATGGAAAAACATACTATGTTGATAAATTTCAATACTTAATTTTATTAAGATGGCAATACTCCCCAAATTGATGGGCAGATTCAGTGCAGTTTCTATGAAAATCACAGCTGTCAGAAATTGACAGGCTAATCCTAAAATTTATGAGGAAATTCAAAGGATCTGGAATTGTCAAAATCATCCTGCGTGTGAAGAACAAACCTGGGGAACTCACACTTCCCAATTTCAAAACTTCCTACAAAGTGACAGTAATGATAGTGGTGTGATACTGACACAGCATAGACATAGATCAATAGAACAAAACTGAAAGAATTAGAGGAGGGAAAATGAACGTCCAGTGGGGAAGAGCAAGAAAAATTGCAAAACCATGAGCATGAACTGGAGTCCATGAGATTGGCTTAGTACCCATGTCCATTCTCATCGCCTCCACTCTCAGTAAGGTGGGTGTCCTGAGATTCTGGCTCTCATTGGACAGAACCAGATGCATGCCATGCCCAGGAATTGGCAAAGCTGAGGGAAAGTGGAACACTTGCAGACTGTTGTTCCACACCTACAACACGTGCCTTAGCTTTGCAACAATGTGTGTGGGCTACAAGGTTACATAGTGACTGTGCCCCAGCACTCAAAGTGACTTTAATTTTTCTTCTGCCCTCCAAACTTTGAACAAAATTAAATATGACCCACCCTAAGTGGAAATGTAGAAGAAAAAGAATTCTGGGGAATATAGTTCAGCCTAGCCAAGTTGAGACATTTACAAGCTACTATTATTTTTTGCTTTTTCTTCACACTAATGAAAACATACTGTATACACTTTTCTTTCTTTTTTTTTGCCTTGTTATTATTGTTCAGTTTTTTGAGCTACAATTTTTACCCCATTAAATTCCCTGTTAAAGTGCGCAATTTAGTGTTTTTTGGAATATCCTCAGAGTTTTACAATCCTCACCACTATCTTAACTCGATAACATTTTCACCAAACCAAAAAATAACCCAGAGCCAATTAACAGCCACCAGGCATTCATCTCAAACCATGCAGTTCCTGGAAATCACTAATCTACTCTCTCTTTCTGTGGATTTACCTATTCTCTCACTTTCCATTTATCTTCCCATTTTGACTGCCAGTTCTGTGAACTTCAAGCTCCAAAATCAGACAGGAAGATAAGAGTCTTACAGAGATACTTTTTCCAGCTCCTGCAGTTGAATTCTGTAAGGTCAAATTCCTGTAACAAATATTTATCTGTCTATCATCTATCTATCTATGTATCTATCTATCTATCTATCTATCATCTAAAATACAGTTATGCACTGCACAACAACATTTCTGTCAATGATGAACCACATGTAAGATAGTGGTCTTATAAGTTTATAATGGAGCTGAAATATTCCTATTCCCTAGGGACGTCGTAGCTATTGTAATGTCACAGTACAATGCATTACTCACATCTGTGGTGATGCTGGTGTAAAAATTCTACTGTGCTACCAGTAATACAAATGTATGGCATATACAATTATGTATACTACATAATACTTGATAATAATAATAATAAATGACTATGTTACTGGCTTATATGTTTACTACGCATTTTAGTGTCATTTTAGAGTGTACTTCCTCTATTAATTAAAAAAATGTTAACGGTAAAACAGCCTTAGGCAGGTAGTTCAGTAGGTATTCTAGAAGAAGGCATTGTTGTCACAGGAGATGACAACTCCATGTGTGTTATTGCCCCTGAAAGACCTTCCAGTGAGACAAGACGTGGAGGCGGAAGACAGTGATATAGATAAAGACAGGACCTACACAGGTCCCCTGACCCTGTGTAGGGCTCAACTAATGTGTGAGTTTGTGTCTTAATTTTTAACAAAAATGTTTAAAAAGGAAAAATTAAAATTAAAAAATTGTATAAACAGAAAAAAAATCTTATAAAATAAAAATATAAAAAATTTGTACATTTGTACAATGTATATTTGAAGCTAAGTGTTATTACAGAGTCAAAAAGTTGAAAAAATTAAAAAGCTTAAAAAGTAACAAAGTTACAGTAAGCTAAGGAAAATTTATTATTGAAGAAAGAAAGTTTTTTTATAAATCTAATATAGCCTGAGTGTTCAGTGTTTATAGTGTACAGTGGTGTATAATAATGTCTTAGGCCTCTATATTCACTCACCACATACTCACTGACTCAGCAACATCTCATCCTATAAGCTTCATTCGTGGTAAGTGCGCTATACAGGAGTACCATCTTTTATATTATATCTTACTTTTACTTCACCTTTTATATGTTTAGATATATAAATACCATCATGCTACAATTGTCTACAGCAGGGGTGTCCAATCTTTTGGCTTCCCTGGGCCACAATGGAAGAAGAATTGTCTTGGGCCACATATAAACTACACTAACACTAATGATGGCTGATGAGCTAAAAGAAAAAAAAATCACACCAAGAAAACTCATAATGTTTTAAGAAAGTTTACAAATTTGTGTTGGGCTGCATTGAAAGCTGTCTTGGGTTGCATGTGGCCTGGGGGCTACAGGTTGGACAAGCTTGGCCTGCAGTATTCAGTACAGTAAGATACTGCACAGGTTTGT
This sequence comes from Homo sapiens, assembly GCF_000001405.40. Classification (NCBI taxonomy): domain Eukaryota; kingdom Metazoa; phylum Chordata; class Mammalia; order Primates; family Hominidae; genus Homo; species Homo sapiens. Next base: position 161,559,896 of record NC_000004.12, on the reverse strand, counting down.
GGCCTGGGAGCTATATTGGCTATACCATATAGCTTAGGTGTGTAAATAGGCTATAGCATCTGGGTTTGTGTAATTACAGAATGAGCTTCCCATGGTGACAACATCACCTACCAATACATTTCTCAGAACGTAGCACCTTCATTAAGTAAGGCATGAACACATTTTACATGCATATGATATATATATTATGCATAATTATATTTATAAGTTTATACATAAAATCTCCTTCAAAATGCATGAGAAACCATTAACAGTTTGCTTACAGGAATTAATTTGCTTACAGGAAGAGAGAGAAGTAGAAAACAGTAAGATAGAAATGAGAGGGAGACTTTTCACAGTGTACTTTTTGTATGTTTTAGCTTTTCAACCATGTGAATGCATTGTCTGTTCAAAAATAATGAAATTAGAAGTGACAATTTTAAAACTAAAATGTACATTTGAAAAGTGGAAAGAGTAGAGGATGAATGAAGAGATAAAGGACAATGAAGAAAAGTAAGAAAAAAAGAAGAGGAAAGAGAGAAGAAATAGAAGGAGAAAGCAAAGGAGAAGAAAGAACAAGGAGGAGGATGGAAGGAAATAGAAGGAAACAGCAGTTATTTTAGGAGTCATCAGAAAGTTAAGAGTTATTAGAAAGAGGAGTCTAATTAGGAAGAGGAAAAAGGAGAGGATATAGATTAGAAACATCAATGCAGGCTTTTACGAAGAGATTCACCATATATAAATCTTGAGAAGCTAATACAGACCAGGTAATGAAGGATATTTTAGGTTGAGTAGTTTGGATATTAATCTGAGAAACGGAGAATGCAGTAAAGGATTTTAATTAGATTAGTTGCAACATAATACTTTCAATTTTAAAATAACTTTGTCGGCAGTATGAAGAATGAAGAATGGATTTGTGCAGGGCTGTTGAGAAGAAGAGCAGTTCACAGGTTTTGCACAAAGGCTAGAAATAGTGAAGGCCTAAACTGAAGGAAGAAAAATGTGAAAAATTGAGATCAAATTGATAATAAATATGTTGCCATAAATAACTGGATTGGGGTTGGTTGGGAGAGTTACTAATGAGTTAGAGTGAAAAGTCACAGAGGGCTACCAGTTTACTAATTGGGCTAGATAAATAGTGACTTCATTGCTTTCAAATGAACTTATAGGAAGCATGCTATTTTTACTAGAAGGTGGCATATTGAGAGATGACCTCTATGAATTGTTGGTGCCAGCAGCCACTTTTCCACTAATAGTGTGGAATAGCAGTGAACTATATTAAATACAATCAGAGGGAACCAGAACGGTGTGGACGCAGAGAGTATCTAGGGACCAGGAACAGAGGATTGAGTGAGAAAGTTAAGAGTAACATTTTGAGAGTTCCAGTGGGGTGGCATTTTTCTTTGAGCTACTCAGTGTAGACTTGTCTTTACTACTGATATAAATTATGTTTCTTTAAAGTAGACCAAAAATATTTAATTACACTTTTTAATTTTGAGATAACTGTAAATTCTTATGCAGTTTTAAGTAACAATGCAGAAAGATCCTGTAAAACTGTAGCACATTAGATTGCCATATTGACATTGATACAGTCAAGTTGCAGAAGAGTTTCATCACCACAAAAGCCCTAGTGACACCCTTTTGGAGCCACACTGAGCTCTCTCCTACTCCCACCAACTCATTAACTGCTGACAGCCACTAATCTGCTCTTCCTTTCGATAGTTTATTATTTCAAGAATATTATATAAATGGAGTCATACACTGTACATCCTTCTGGGATTGTTTTATAAAACGTTTTTCACTCAGCATAATTATCTGGATATCCATCTGCATTGTTGCAAATATCCACAGTTCATAGCTCTTATTGCTGTATAGTGTTCTATGGTATGTACGTAAAAGAGTTTGTTTAACCACTTATTTGCAGAGGAACATATGGGCTTATCTCCTAAGGACACATTCTCAGAAAACATCCCCATCTTTAAGCGACACATGACTGAACCTTAAGGTTCAGTTTATATAACTTATATGAGCACATATAACACATATGCACGTGTTAGATTCTCAAATATGGGCTTATTCTCTATAAGTTACTCAGGATTTTTCTCATTTAAGATATCTTAGATTTATTTTTGGGCAATATATGCAATATACGTAACTTAGCTCATTCTTTTTTGTTGTTTAATAAAATTTCACAGTATGATAGTATGATAATCTGTTCAATTTTAATATTGATGACTCAGATTTCACAAGTTACTCTTATATGCAGTGTGTACATAATCATCCTTGTACTTACATACTGGTGCTTTAATTTCTTTAGATTAGCTTAATCAAAGAAGAATCACTACATTAAAAATCACATGCATTTAAAAATGGGTAGATAATGCTATATTGCTGTGCTAAAATTTTGTAGCAATTTATTCTCCCAAAATTATCTATGGTAATGCCTGTCAAGTTAGGGAATATTCTAAACATTTTTAATTTTACTAAGTGTAAAATAACAGCATAACTCTCCTGTATTTGGAGTTAGTTTAGTATGCTTGTCATGAAATTTTTTATAGATTTGAAAACTGAAGATTAAAAATTCTAGCATACTTAATAATAAAAAATGAGGAAAAATTACATAAATTGTGTAAAGGTGCAGAAATATTTTATCTTTGTTTAGCAAGTTTTAGGCTTATTATGATTTATATATAATTTTTAAGGCTGCTCTTTTATTTGTAGTTTTGTATTTTAAAGATTTCTTTTGAAAGTTGTTGGTTAAAGTATAAAGTGATGATACTCAAACAAGGGTACTATTGCTTTATTTAAGAGTGCTTTTTCAAAAATTAATTATCCACACGACTTTATCAAATTAATTTTGTAGCTCAGTATTACATGAGAACTTCCAAGTACAAGTAGAGTTCATTTACAATTCCCATTAAGAAGCTCATTCTGAAATTAGGAAACTATATTTATAACTCTCGGTTTATCAGTTTATATAAAAATTGTTCTAAGACAAATTAGGTAGTTTCTAAAGAAATTACTTCATTTTGATAAAATAAACTTAATCCAGGATTATATATATATATATACACACACACACACACACATATATATATAATCTTTTACCGAGAAATACGAACTAAGTTTGTATAAATATGGATGACTATAACCCGCTAAATCTTAGTGGGTTTTTTTTGCTTTTTTACATATATTAGTTTGCAATAAAACTTCCTGAGCAAAATTATCTAATATTAGTAATTTTTATCATCTACTCTGTTGAAAAGATCTTCAACAATATTGTCGTGAATTCATTTCTATCTGCATAGTTTTTATATTTTAAAGTGTTGTCTTATTCTTTCCTCATAATGTTCATTTTACAAATGAGTAAACAAGCACTCATAGAGTTGGAGTGAGTATCCCAAAATCACAGAGCTAGTCAGTTATAGCTTGTAATCAAAATCTTCGTCTTGAGTAATCCTGTCTGATGCAAGACATGTTATATTTTATAGTCTTACATGTTGTTAAAATTCTTCTGTTTCTTACACAAACGGTGGTAGAAAATAAGGCTAGCTAGAGAACTAGCTGTAAGAAAAGTTATAAACAAAAGCTTCCAGAATCATATATATTTTGCAACACATTTTAATATAATATTGAAAGACAAATGTTTTCTTTATGTTTAAGCCCTAATGCAATGCTTTCATTACCTTCTAGTTGCAAAAATTGGCTATTTACAGGGTATATATATACAAACACACTATTGAGGTGCAAATGTGAGTTAAAAAAAGAGCTGAGAAGGTGTTTGATCTGTTTAAAATGTGTTTAGACACAGCTTTGACTAAATCTATTCCTAGATTGTATTTAGACAGGGTTTACATTTGCATCTGGAACATTTAACCAGTTTGGAATACGTCATGCTTCCACTTCCTCCCTCTAGTCTTGACAAACATTGTTGATCAATTATAGTTTTCTTGCGTGTTGAAACAGTTCATGGGCTTAGACAGGTTCAATTCCCATCTAAGTTCATTTCTACTAATCAGTTGGTATTGACAAGTGAAATTAAACACATTTTCTGTTCCTCTTATTAAGTCTTAGACATTCTCTGTGTAGCCAGCAGAAAAACCCCTCATATTTTCAAAAACAACAAAACATGTGAGTAGACACCAAACCTTTGCTTGCTGACTCATGCCTAGCAATGGGCTGGGAATTTACCAGAGAGTGTTTCCTTTAGTCCATTTAATCCTCAGAAGAGTTTCAAATTTTACAAATGGAGAAATCAAGACTCAGAAATGGGATATTTTATCCCTTACAGCATAGCAGAAAGTATTAGAGATGCGTTCAAATTTTCTGCTTAGGAGGAGGTTACTGTAACATATCAGCTACACAACTCCTGCCTCAAATAATCACTTTGAGAACTCCTGATCTCTAAATTAGATATACATTAAATAAAATTAAATAAAATCTGTCAAAAAGAAACCAGCATCATCCAGCATGTGCCAGGCTATGTTTTTTTCTCATTTATTCTTTCTTTTCTTTAGGTTTAGAGAAACGACATCTTGTGTATTATCATCTGAAACGCTTTTGTTATATTTTCTTTTGTGTTTCAGAGAGCATTTCTTAAAATGGTGACTTTTGAGACTTTGAAATTGAGGATTAAAAAGGCCACTAACTTTAAATATTAGTAGACTACATCTAAGTTAATTAAATTAGGGTGAACTGTCTCTTTCAAAATAGGTTAAAGCATTGTAATTTCTTACAATGTCATATGATAAATAGGAAGACCCAATTAAAAAAACTCACCGAAGTTTATGACCCTAAGAATGTTGCTCTTAATTTATATTTTGCCTCCAACATTTGTTGCATCCTCTACACTTTCATGAAGACTGCAATAATGTGATCAGAGAGTTTTGTAATATTGACAAGAGGCAGTGTGAAAGTCATGAATATAAAAAGACTGCTTTGGGACAAAGTTAAAGAGAAATTGATGGCTTTAATAATGTCAGACAAAAGGCATTGGACAAGCTCAGTAGCATTTAAAATATTTATTAAACCGAGTCTGTAATTTTTCATAGGAAAGTTGCTTTAATGACAAAGGAAGTCATAATACAAACAGAACAATCCAGCTGCCGCTGTGAGTCAGCACTACTTCAGAGACATTTATATTCTTACCCTCAAGCTTTCTTAGAACCTTTTCGAACAGTTGCAGCTGTGTGAATAATTTGTGGAAGAGCCATGATAGAATTCTTCAAAAGAATACAAGATAATAGCATCAAGAAAAAGGAAAAAATAGTCAGTGCTTAGTTGTTTACTTACCAGTGACCTGACGATTCACCTTAAATTCATTTTTGTTTTCAGTTAGAATGAAGTCACTGTATTGGGTCAGTGATCCCTGCCTCTTGACTAAATTCAGGCTTCCAAAACAGCCAGTTATGCTGTCTCCATACTCTGCGGCAATAATGCAGAAACTTCTAAAGAAAGATCAGTGTATGAAAGTATGAAGAATGAGAAAAAAGTAAGACTTAGCCTTACAGAGATTTTTTTTTCACATTAGAATCTTTCTAATATTGGATTAGAAGCATCATTACATTAAATAAATTCTATTAGATTCTTCCTAATGTAGAGAGAAGTACTGGTCTAGTCTAATGCAGTTAAGTTGCTGTGGGCCTTTGAGAAATATATCTATCTACCCTTCCTTTTTTTTTCCTACTATCATCATAAGACACATCATGGTTTTCGGATGATAAATGTTTACAAGGATTCCATATAAACACCAAAGTTTCCAGAAAGAAAAACCTGTGTAAATGTAAATATACTTTATTTTATTTAGTTTCCTCCATTTTTCATTTCTACTTTTTTAAGTATCAGAACCTCACCTTCATTTCTAAATTTGTGTAATGTTAAAATGTACTAGTCTTATGTATTCTTAGAGCAATTGGTCATGTGTATATAGTATCTGATTATTTACATTTGATGCTCTAAGAACCATCAGATGAACTAAATAAAATTTTATTAGATTTGTTTGATTTATTTAAATGATGATGTCGTTTTTAAACTGAGCAATAGTTCAGTTTCCTTGAAAAGTTACATATATTTGAGATGCATTATTAATACTGCTCTGAAATACTATAAATGCACTAATTTATTTGACCTTTACTTTTAAAATATGATTTTTTTCCAGGATCTCTAATATGCCTTATACATTATAGCTAACAATCTAATTCATAATTTAATGAATGTGGATGCCAAGTAGTCAAATTCCAGTAGACACTTTTATAAAGACATATATTATATTATTAGGACCATATGAGACAATTTAAGCTAAGAATGTATTTTTTTTTCAATGCTCCACTTGGCTAGTTTCAACTCGAACCTATCACTCATTGGATGTGTAATATAGAAAAGAGAGCAAGTGAGTGATGGAGAAAGTTACCAGCACAATGTATTATGCTCAGGAGTTGCTCAGTGAATAGCTATATATTATTATCTTAAAACTCAAAAATAAATCAAATTTTATACTTTACCTAATTTTTGAATAAAATATATATATTTACATCCTTTGGTATCTCCTTCCATTTTAGGTAATAGAAGTTTACTTGATTACATTTTTGTAGAATAAATTTTAATATGTAATGTCAACTTTTTATAATGTTCCTGTATTAATATATACATAATAAATTATTTGATGTTTATATTATATGATTGTATTGGATATTATTATATAAAGTAACCCAATTAGTTTAAACTATTTAGGTTGAAGGCATTTCCTGAGCTATATTAGCAAGACATCAAATATCATATGGAATTATTTAGTGTATAGAAGCTGATCTTTAAATATCACATTTTCATAAAATGTTAGGAGCCTATTTAAAGCTTTTCATGGTAGTCCATGCAAATTGGATCCTAAATCCAATGTGACAACACTTTGGTAGTCTTTATCAGTTTCTTTTTTTCATGTGTTGCCAATAGAAAGAAAAAGACAAGTTTATAGAGTGCACTTCCTAGCTAAAAATGCCTGTAACAAATGGTTTGAAATGTTCTGTGGAGGATTATTGACTTTTTTAATTCAGGCTGCCATCAGTCCTCATTTATATTTCATAATATGTATCCTGGGAAAAGTAAGCTACTTTTAAATGTTTAGCTTGTCACTGAGGTTAAATAGTTGTTATGCCAATCACTTATCCTTCAATTCTATGTGAGTTAAGAGACACTTTTCAGAAAATCATTTAACACCAATAAACTAAGTGAGACACATGTCGATTACATGAAAGTATTATTTTTTCATATATATAATCTATATGAGAATTAAAATTTCATGTGACAAAAATTATTATTCACTAGTTTTCTTTCTGTCCCTTCATAAGTACATCAATAAAGTAGAAGTAGCTTGGAATGCAGGAGGAAATTGAACATCTCATCTAAAAAGTTTTCCTTTGGGGAGTATCAGTGACCATGTAAGTGGCCCATATAATATATATATTTTCCAGTATGAATAATGTGTTATCTATTGCTCTTATTGAGGTGATTGATGTGCTTCCTTCCAAACTAATTCTCAGATTTAGGCTGTCTCAATTTTTTGCTGCTCCAAAGACTGTTGCAAGAAGAATTGATGCTTACAAATCCTGTGGCAAGATAAACTTTGTCTTATTAAATACTTATTGAGAGTTGTTATTAATATCTATTCTGATTCCCTGTCTTTTTTAAAAAGCTCATCTCCTAACTGTAGTTGTTAAGAGATTAGAGATTAGTCAGATTAGTCTAAATATTTTAAACAGTGTTTTTACTCCACCCCTTACAGTGATGTGGGTTTACCATAAGTACATTAACATATCACTTTAAAAAGTTATTTATTAGATGAGTAGGTTGCAAAAATTTTCTCCCATTTTGTAGGTTGCCTGTTCACTCTGATGGTAATTTCTTTTGCTGTGCAGAAGCTCTTTAGTTTAATTAGACCCCATTTGTCAATTTTGTCTTTTGTTGCCATTGCTTTTGGTGTTTTAGACATGAAGTCCTTGCCCATGGCTATGTCCTGAATGGTAATGCCTAGGTTTTCTTCTAGGGTTTTTATGGTTTTAGGTCTAACGTTTAAGTCTTTAATCCATCTTGAATTGATTTTTGTATAAGGTGTAAGGAAGGGATCCAGTTTCAGCTTTCTACATATGGCTAGCCAGTTTTCCCAGCACCATTTATTAAATAGGGAATCGTTTCCCCATTTCTTGTTTTTCTCAGGTTTGTCAAAGATCAGACGGTTGTAGATATGCGGCATTATTTCTGAGGGCTCTGTTCTGTTCCATGGATCTATATCTCTGTTTTGGTACCAGTACCATGCTGTTTTGGTTACTGTAGCCTTGTAGTATAGTTTGAAGTCAGGTATCATGATGCCTCCAGTTTTGTTCTTTTGGCTTAGGATTGACTTGGCAATGCGGGCTCTTTTTTGGCTACTCATCTGACAAAGGGCTAATATCCAGAATCTACAATGAACTCAAACAAATTTACAAGAAAAAAACAAACAACCCCATCAAAAAGTGGACAAAGGACATGAACAGACACTTCTCAAAAGAAGACATTTATGCAGCCAAAAAACACATGAAAAAATGCTCATCATCACTGGCCATCAGAGAAATGCAAATCAAAACCACAATGAGATACCATCTCACACCAGTTAGAATGGCAATCATTAAAAAGTCAGGAAACAACAGGTGCTGGAGAGGATGTGGAGAAATAGGAACACTTTTACACTGTTGGTGGGACTGTAAACTAGTTCAACCATTGTGGAAGTCAGTGTGGCGATTCCTCAGGGATCTAGAACTAGAAATACCATTTGACCCAGCCATCCCATTACTGGATATATACTCAATGGACTATAAATCATGCTGCTATAAAGACATACACACACATATGTTTATTGCGGCATTATTCACAATAACAAAGACTTGGAACCAACCCAAATGTCCAACAATGATAGACTGGATTAAGAAAATGTGGCACATATACACCATGGAATACTATGCAGCCATAAAAAATGATGAGTTCGTGTCCTTTGTAGGGACATGGATGAAATTGGAAATCATCATTCTCAGCAAACTATCGCAAGAACAAAAAACCAAACACCGCATATTCTCACTCATAGGTGGGAATTAAACAATGAGATCACATGGACACAGGAAGGGGAACATCACACTCTGGGGACTGTGGTGGGGTGCGGGGATGGGGGAGGGATAGCATTGGGAGATATACCTAATGCTAGATGACGAGTTAGTGGGTGCAGCGCACCAGCATGGCACATGTAAACATATGTAACTAACCTGCACAATGTGCTCATGTACCCTAAAACTTAAAGTATAATAATAAATAAATAAATAAATAAATAAATAAATAAATAAAAAAGAAGTTACTGAAAAAATAAAATAAAATAAAATACAAAAAAAAGTTATTTGTTTTAACCTTCAATAAAATAAAATGCTGCAATAACTACTCTGTTCTAAATACATTAGGAGAGCCTAAACGTGTGCTTTATGTCACCAGGAAAGCAGGCACAGAAATACTAGGACAATCATTTTTGAAAGTGTATTTTGTATTTCAAAAAAATTCATTTAAGTAGTCCTCAAGGAAAAGAATAAAATCAGAACTTGGTTTTGCTCCTTGTCACTGTGCAAGCTTGTGTATATTGTAATACTTTTGAATGAGAAATGGCAGAAAGGGTGCAGCAGATTTCTTTTTGTACTTAGAGCTTTGAAGGTCTATTATTTTTCTGCTTCTAAAAATATTAAGGGCAATGTACAGGATACAGTCCCAACTATGGACACTAAGGGTTATTAGGCCTTTCTGAGGACACCCTCCCCTGCCTCATTTTTCTCTGTGTAGTTAACATGAAGCTAGTTTAATATTCCCAGAGTATAGCTGGGAAAGGGAACTAACAGGCCAGTAGGGTGGTCGGCTGTAGTCCTGACGTGACGGCTTTAACTAGTCTTGGTTTGCATTACTTTTATAGTTTTAGTAAGTCTGGAGGATTGACACTTATTCAATAGTCAGTGAAATTTGTATATACAATGGATCCTCCAGACACTAAAAAATAAGAGTGGTGAAATTAACTTTGCACATATTTGAATCACCAAATAGAGTCTCAGATTGGTTTTGGACCTTAAAGTTTTTTATTGGCATTCTGATGGCTGAAAGAAAAGGATGTCAGGTAGTTCAAAATACATGCATTAACCGGAGAGCAAATGGTCCAAGTGAACAAAACTTTTATGTCCTGTCTTTTGATATCTCCTGCAGAAACTTTTTTGACAGAGAACTGGAGTCCTCTTCTTTATTTACCAAGTCATATTCTTATCAAGGACAACGTATGTTACATATACTCTCATGGCCATTTTAAATAGCAAATGCTAAATTGTAAATGTCAGAAAGGAATCAGTGTGGTAAGCCTGTAACATACATCCTGTGGAACTCTTCCACATGGTCTTCATTACACAAGTCACCCGGCTACATCAGGGAATTTAATGATTAAATAAGGCAAAACCTCTTCTCTCAAAGAGCCTATTATTAATCATATATATCATATTATATATAGCTGTCTGATATATATTGTTTTACAATATATATTGCTTTGCAATATACAACTCTTTATTTTTATAATTCTTTTGATTTTCAAAACCTTAAAATATAGTACAATATTTATTTTACATATAAGAAAACAAAGACTCAAAAATGTTTGAAAATGAACTCAACATCACAGCACTATTAAGCAGCAAAATGAAGACCCCAAATCTTCATTTGTCTCAATCAAAATGTCTAAATGACGACAAATAAACATATTTTCATTAGCAGGGGATTTTCCAAATCTGAGGTCTAGAATTCACTTGAGAAACACTTTCATAAAAACAATATTATTCTCAATATTAAGTATGGAAAGGTACCACTCTCTACAATTAAGAAAATTCAGCCATCCAGAACTATTTGCTTTCAATGTGAATAGATTTAATATTTACATTAAAGATAGCATGTTAATTTTTGTTGGAAAGGACATTATGCTTTTTGGTATTGGAATTAAAATGTCTAAACCATTTGTTCTAATATATTCAAATTCTCATCTAACCTCAAAAATTTACATAGCACAATCATTTGAAAATTATACAATTAATAGTCCATCATTGCATAATTCCTGAATCATTTCCCACAAAGCTTAGTACATTATAATGGCAATTATAATGTTCTTGGAATGCCTGGCACTTGTAGATAATTGATACATGTATATTTACTGAATGAATGCAGGATTTCTCTCCCAGCATTTTTGGTGGTAAACTGGCTAATTGACTGTCCATACAATTGCATGTGACATATATCTAACTACCTATGACATAACTCAAGTTCAAGAAGTATACACTCATTGGAAAAATATAAAAAGTTCAGCATGGTGCATATACTGAAAATGTCTTCCCCACAACCATATTCACTACACTGTCTATCATACTCCCCTAAACACTTCAAAATTCAGTTCATTTTCCTTTAACGAACTTTGTGTTGATAACTCCCATTTTTCTGTAACTACCACACCTCTTTCAACTCTATTACAGGACATAAAGTGTTCTGTTACAATTATTGTTTCCTGGTTTTCATTATTGAACAGTACATACGAGACATATGTTGTCCATCTGTGTCAACCTAACAGTTTACAGTTTATCGCAGATACTAAGTAATCAATATATGACTAATTAAATGAACAAAAGTGAGCATTTTGGTAAGTGGTACCATATTTAGATTGTTTCTACAAAGATGGGTTTTACCAGTTTTGTGGAATGGGAATGCAAATGAAAAAAGATTTGATGGATAAAATTAATATAATTGTAACTAGAGGCAATAATAACTAAAGGTACCATGAACATGGTTTATTACTCCACTGATTTTAGTCTTATTTCATTTTTATCAATAACATTTTAAATAATGTTTTAGAATGTTTCAAAAAGGGTTTGAGCACCACATGTTAAATATATTTGTAGATAGTTAATATATTTGTTGCTTTATTAATCTTAAAATATATGAAATATTTTGTTACTGGTATTTACAAATATGCAAACTTGTATCATGCACACATACCAAATTCACTTATTATCACAATTCATCTAAAGAATCTTTTGTATTTTAATTTACTCTATGCCATCTACAAGTGCTTAAGATAACCCTTATCATACTGAAGAAAATATTTTCTTGTTTTGTTTTCCAAAGGTAAATGACTTTTCTGCAGTTTTGGAAAAGATCATACAATTTTACTTCTTTAAACTGTTAATATGATGAATTACATTCAGTGATTTTTTGAATGTCTATAATTAACTCAATATATTATGGTATATTACCATTTTAGTATTCTGATAAATTTTGTTTGATAATATTTTATACGGGAATTTTTCATCTATTTTCATGAGTGACACTGACCACTAATTATTCTTTCTTCTAATGCCTTGTCACATTTTGATATTAAGTTTATGCTGACTTCATAAAAAGAAGCTGGGGATTTTATTAGTTATCTATGCTGCATAATAAATTAGCTAAAATACTAGTTGCCTAAAACAACAAACATTTATGCTCTTTGAGATAATAGGAAAATCAAGATATGCAATAATAAACAGAGAAATGAAATAATCAAATAATTTGAGAACAGCTTAGCTAGGTGATCCTGGCACAATCTCTTTTCTGAGATTTCAATCAACATGTTGTTCAGAGCTGTAGTCATCTGAAAGCTTGATTGCGGCTGGCATAACTACTTCCAAGATTACTCACTCACGTGGCTATTGGCAGGAGGCCTTAGTTTTTTGCTGGCTGTTGTCATGGGGCCTCTCTCTGCCCCTTGGCATATAAGCATCCCCATAAGAGTGATTGAGTATCTTATGACACGGCAGCTGAATTCTGCAAGAGCAAGAGAACGATGAAAATATTGCAATACCTTTTATGACCTAATGCTGGATATTATGCACCATTACTTTGCCACAGCTCTGTTCATTAACAGCACGTCATTAAATCCAGCCCACAGGTCCCATGTGTAAAGTGAGAACAGTTAGTCTCTATCTTTGGAAGACAGGAGTGTCAACAATTGATAGAGATATTTTAACACTACTAAAGAGATGCCTCCAGCCCCATTTTATTTTCTAGAAGAGCTTGTATAAGATTGGTGTTATTTTTACTTTATTTTGGAAAAGTTCTAAAGTTTTCTTTGATTAAAAGTTTTTAAATAAATTAAATGTATTTAAATGTTATAAGACTTTTTAGATTTTATACTACTTTTTGTGTAGGTTCTGCTAGATGCTTGCGTTTCCAGAAATCTGTTCATTTTATTTAAAGTTACGTGTTGGCATAAAGCTGTCTATAATGTGTTCTCTTTAGTTTTTACCATTTCTGTAAGAATTTAGCTCTCATTCTGACTTTCTTGGTATGCCATTTTGTTTCTTGGGGTTGCTTTTTATGATTTGTCTTTTTTTCTTTGGTGTTCTATAGTTTTACTGTAATGTCTATGTGTCACCTTTCTTAAGAAAGTTCATCATCTTTAGGCTTTTGGAATCACTGATTTAATGTCTTACACAGAACTGAGAATATCACAATGGTTACCTCTTCAAATATCGCTCTCTTCAGTTTTATATATGTGTATATATATATATATAATATGTATATATAATATGCATATTTATAGTATTCTTAATCTATTCTATATTCACTTACTCTCTCATCTGTATTTTCTATATTTTATACCTCTGTGCTTTATTGTGGCTATGATTTTTTTCTGACTTAACTTTCTATTATCGCCTTTCTTCTTCAGCTGTATCTAATCTGGAGTTAAATACAAAGATTGAGTTTATAATTTCAATTTTTGTTATTTAAAAATATAGCATTTCTAGTTGATTTATTTTAATTACAACATTATGTTTTATAGCTTCCTAAATTTTTATGTTTAGCTATCAACTCTTTAAACACAGGAAGCCTAGATGAATAACTCCAGTTACCAGAATTTTGTGGCTTTTTAAAACTTGACTGTTGTTTTTATTTTTATTGGTTAAGTTTGTATTTTCTTAAGGAAAGCCTTGAGATATTTTGTTGTATTCAGCAAATTTGATTTCATCAACCATTTTCCAAATTATTTTAATTATAAAGATAATAGGTTCTTTAAGAGAGGTATTCCATCTATGACTGTCAGGCACTGGGGGGTACCAGAGATTCTGCAATGAATCTTTGGACATTTTGTGGCCACTTAAATGGAATGCAACTAGTAACCCAGTACAGAGAAAGAGTTACTATGCCAGAATCTCCAGCCACAATTATTGTGGGACCACAATACTAAGCCCATTTACTTTAGTTGAGGCTGCCTACCAGAATCAGCTGATTCCCTGATATTGGCATGTATTTGTAAACCAAAAATAAGTACATAATCCTGGCTTCCCAGAAGTTTTGGAGTCTGGTAAGGTAGAAGAGATAAATCACTATATTTGATTCAATGTAGCAACGCGCCAGATCTTAAAGAAATACACACTGAATTAATTAATGGCTAAAAGAAAAATACAAAACCTCTCAAGTTGTCTTATTATTTTTTAAATTACGTGTGCACACACATGCATATGTGTATATACATGGGAGAGAGAGACAGAAATAAAATACCTTTGATTAGTAATCAACTCTGACTTCAGAATCTTCACCTGCTTTGGGAACTATTCTTGAGGGAGAAACAGTTGTAGCTCACTTCCATGAGCCTTAAAGTTTCTTCTGTACTGATTCTGCCATTCCTCATTATATCCCTAAGTTACTTATGATTTCTGAAAATGCTTTCTGTAAACTTTTCCAAGATTTTAAATTCTAGTCAGGAAGATAATCAGAATCAGTCATTATCATTTTTTCAACATTACTAGAAACAGAAAGTTATCAATTAATCCACATCTCACTTTTAATTGAGTCTTTCTATAATTATGCCTAATGTTGTATTTACGACATCTCATTTTAATATCAATGATTATATAATTGAAAAAAGTTTCAGATTGTATTCATCACTAGTTAATTCAGTGAGTGACTTTTATAAAGAAAATTATTTTACCTAATCAAAGTGCAATTATCAAATCAGGAAAGGTAACATTAGTAGTATCGCAATATCTAATACAGGGACCATATTTAAATTTTGTCAGTTCTCTTAGTAATATACTTTATAACTTATTTTTCTAAGTCCAGGACCCAATCTTGATTTGCATGTTTTATTTATTTCTTATAACTCATCTTTTTTTAGTCTAGAGTGTTTCATTAGCCTCCTTTGCCTTTCCTTTCTTTTTTATTCAGATAAAATCCACATGCCATTTAACTGTGTCAAAATGTACCACACAGTAGCTCATAACATATTTACAATGTTGTGTAACCATCACCACTATCTAAGCCTAGAACATTGTCACCCCCAAATAAACCTCATATCCATTAAGCAGTCATTTCTCATTCCTCCATTTCCTCAGTCCCTAGCAACAACCAGTCTGCTTTCTGTCACCATGGATTTGCCCATTGTGAACGTTTTATAAATGGATTAATATAATATGTAAACGTTTGTGTCAGATACCTCCAATATTCATGTTGTAGAATGCATTAGTATTTTCCTCCATATATTGCATGGCTGCATCATTTTATATTCCCACCAGCAATGTGCAAGAGTTCCAGTTTCTCCACATACTCAATCAACAACATGTTATTTTCTGATTTTTGTTTATCTGTTTAAATAGCCATTCTAGAGGGTGTGAAGTGGTATCATGTAGTGGTTTTGATTTGCATTTCCCTCTTTTTGATTTTTTTTAATTTTTTAATCTTTTCATATGCTTAATTAGCCATTTATACATCTTCAATAGAGAAATGACTATTCAATTTTTTCGTCTCAAATTTTAATTGCATTGTTGGCTTTTTAGCTGCTGATTTGTAACAGTTCTCTATATATTCTGGATACTATCAGAATTTTCAAATATCTTTTCCTATTTTGTGGGTTGTGTTTATACTTTTTTATAGTGTCATTTGATGCACTACAAAATCTAACATATTTATTTTGTTTTTGTTGTTGCTTGTGCTTTGGGGTCATATCTAGAAGAAACAATTGTCCATTTCTAGATCAGAAACATTTACTCAATGTTTTCTTCTGATAGTTTATTGTTTTAGCTCCTACATTTAAGTCTTTGATTTATTTTGAATTCAATTTTGCTTATGGTATGGGGTAGGAGTTCAGGCTTATTTTCTTGCATGTGGTTTTCCAATTGTCCCAGAATAATTGGGAAAAAAAATGACCATCAATGTATGTTTATTTCTGCACTCTCAAGTCTATTCCATCTTTGTGTCAGGATTGCACTGCTTTGATTACTTCATTGCATGTTTTGAAATCAGCAAGTATGAGCCCTCCAGCTTTGTACTTTTTCAAGATTTTTTTTTTCACCACTTGGGGGTCTCCTGTAATTTCACATTTATCTGAGGATAAGTTTTTTTAATTTCTCGAAAAAAATGCAGTTAGAACTTTGATAAGGATTACACTGTACCTTTGTTTTTCTTTTACTTGTCTTTGTCAACTTGGGAGTATGATCACCTTACCAATAGCCTTTACCAGTTTGTACCATGTTACCAATCAATTCTTTCAATCCAGGAATACAAAGTGTCTTCGGATTTATTTAGGTCTTCTTTAAATTCTTTCAACAAAGTTTCATAGTATTTAGTATGAAAGTTTTGCATGTCTTTGGTGAACTTTATTCCTAAATATTTTATTTTTTGATACTATTGTAAACAGAATTATTAATTTCCTAACAGGCTATAATAAAAATATTTTATTTTCCTTCCATTATATACTCATTTATTTATTTATATAACTGAATTCATGATTTTATTTAATTCCTTATACTCCTTTGTAATTACTAATTATTTCAGTGCTCAAATTGTCCCATATTTAGCAAATTGGAGTCTCTTTTAACTGGTTTCTGTATCCTTTTGGTATGCCTCATCATTCTTTGAGGACTTGTTTAATTTCTGAAACAAGATATTCCAGGCTCATCTTATGTTTTCCCTAGCAAAATCCCAGAATAGTTTTTATACAGGTAACACTGGTACATTTCAGTGGATAATGCTATTTGGAAACTACAATCTGTAGAAACGTATAGCATCATTAAAATATATAATTTATTATTTATCTTATTGCAATTTTTCTTTTGGAAAATTAAATAGAAAATATGAATCACTAATTCACTTTCTCTTTCATTTTTTCCTTTAGTTCCTCCAGTCATCCGGGTGTATCCAGAGAGTCAGGCTAGAGAGCCTGGGGTAACTGCCAGTCTTAGGTGCCATGCAGAGGGCATACCAAAGCCTCAGCTTGGCTGGTTGAAGAATGGAATTGATATTACACCAAAGCTTTCCAAACAACTCACGCTTCAAGGTGCTTTTTACTTGCTTTTTTTTCTCTTAAATGACCATGTTGAAAATTTATACTAAAATTTATAACGTTCTTTGGAAAATAAAAGAAAAATGAGTGTTGGTGGCAACAGAATGTCACAAATATGAAAAAAAATGCTCATATCTAAGAAATTATATGGGAAAGATTCTTTTAACATTTTAGTGTTTTTAATAATAGTCTTGTCATAATGATTAATTATGTCATTATTTTGGTGATAAGTAAAATATTAAATTATGTATCTTTAAAATACTTGTCCTGTGAATTATAGCAGTTATGCTGAGCAGAATAATTAGATTCTTTTATAGAAATTCATTTCTGAAGTTACTTTTTAAGTGTTTAAATAATACCTTGAATATATATTATAGAAGATTTCAATACAGAATTTTTAGTGGATTTTTTAGCATATTTTGTAAATGAAGGGAGAAGAATATCAAAAAGTTACTAAATGTTTTCCATTTACATTTTTTAAAGTTTGTGTTACATTCTAATATATAAAATATTGTACATATTCTAATCTTCTAATGTGTAGACATGAATAAATTACTGTATATTAGATAATAATAATCCCAAATATGTGGAAAATAAACAAAACCAGGCAAGATTTGTAAGGTCAAATAATTTAAGTAGTCTAAAAGCAGTTGCATATAATATATTAATTATACTAGCATTAAAAATAAACCACAAACCTTTTTTTCATTGTTAGGGGTAACACACAACACTCATTTTACTGGAGTATCTTCTTCATGGGCATTATAGTTCTTATTTTATGACTTTAATTTTCTTTATATTATTAAACATGAACATATTTTGTCACTTTATTACATAGAGTTCTATTATTATTCCACTTTAATAGTGGATATATATAATCATTATACATTTTTAAATAAAACTTTTTAAAACTTCTACTTATTCTTGCAAGTCAATAGAGACATGTCTGTGAAAGTGTCCTTAAACTTTAAAAACTTTAATCCTAGAAATCACTAATGTGCATACGTAGGTCAGACACATTTGCACACATATCTAGTGATTACCTCAAGAGGTCTATAATCTGAGAGGAGAAGACTTATTAACAGAAATTAAATGAATAAAAGTCTAAATAGCTTCTGACTTTGTCTCTTGCCCATTTAATAGCAATAAACCATATTATAAAAGTATATCAAAATTTTGCTTTCAGGAATATACATGACAACAAATTTTTGAAGTTGTTACACTCCAGACTCAACATTTGAAAAGAGAAGGTGCTTGCAAAGAAATTACTGTAAATTTTTACAACAGGGAAAAACAGTTGAAGTTTTAAGAGAATATGACAAAAAATAAAAGGAGAGAAGAGATAATTCTACACACATAGGGGTATAAAACTCCATGTGGCTTAATAACTGTTTAATTATCTACTCATTCATGAGATGCTTCTTTAGTGTTTGTGTGTGAAGTCCAAGTCCAGACACTAATTTAGTATCTGTGGCAATGGCTGGGATAATATGTGAATTAGAGAGAGTAAAATCCCAAGAAAGCACAAATATTTTATTAACAGGCAAATGAAGAAAATAACAGTAAGAGACTAAAATTCATCAAGAGACAGGAGACTAGGTGATAATATGGAAGAAGAGAAAGTTAAAAATAAAGAGGTCAACAATGGCAAATGCATAGAAAGTTCAATAAAAGGCATTGATAAGTGTTTACTTCAGGTGATGAGCATGTTCTTGCGACATTTAGAAAAACAGTATCAGTAACAATCAGTTTTCAGTGTGTTTAGAAACAAAAAGGAGACAAGAAATACAAAAATCTTTTTTGGCCAGATTCTGAAAGGAAAAAAAAATAGAAGATAGTAGCTCCTGGTGGGGAGGCTTAGAACTGATGGAGATATTTCTTGGATAATTCATCAATCTGAGAAAGTATCAGTAGGGAGAAATGAGAAGGATGAAACCTGCAGGAAGAGTCATAGAAATCAATAAGAAATAAGGGGAGATTTGCCTTGGAAAGAAACAGAAAATTTCCTGTGAGAAATAAATCAAGGTGAAACTAGGAACAGAAAGTTTTGAGGTTGCTTTCTGATCACTTCTATTTACCTCACGATTGAAAGAGCAAGATCACTTGCTGAGAGTGAAGTTAGTATTATGATGGGAAACATCAAACAAAGTATATAAAGATTTGAAGTAAAAGTAGAGGTGGATATGAAAGGTACCTAACTGGAAAGGTCAAGTGAAATGAATAGCAAGTAGTTTTGAATGTCCTAGGAATTGAAAACTGTGAATCTGAAAATTATAAACTCGCTTATGCAATAGTCTTATAACTTACTCAAAGAACTAGGTGCAGGGACACCAGATGCAGAGATGGGTTAGCTTATTCTAGTTCTAGAGGTTAGGAAGGCAGATGTGTCAGGATGATAAATAGATAAAGGGATTGGTAGTTCTGGCAATAAAGTGGTAACATCTAAGAATGCTAGATTACATAGGAAGAGAAGGAAAGACAATGGGACATATAGGTTAGGAGAACATGTAAAAATATTGGGAGACAGCATTTAAAGAAGGAAGAAATTTATTTGGTATTTCAAAACAAAACCCAGAGAATTTAAGCTGTTAAGTGTGTGGATCCTGAAAAAAAAAAAAAAAAAGGTATGATTTTGGAGGAGGCCGTATCTTATATAAAACAAGAAGGTGAAGCAAATGTAAATACATTGTTTACTACCTATCTTTAGAGCAGGTTCCTATAAACTAAGACCCACAGACCATATCTAGATAGCTGTCTGTTTTTTTAAATAAAGGTGGGTTTTTTTGTTTTTGTTTTTGCTTTCTTTTTTGTTGTTGTTGTTGTTGGTTTGTATTTAGAATACAGTTGCACTCATTTTTCAAAACGTATTGCCTGGCTGCTTTAATGCTGCTGTGGCAGAGGTGAGTAGTTGCCACAGAAATTGTGTGGCCCACAAAACCTAAATTATTTACACCTGGCCTGTTGCAACAAAATGAAAACCTGCCAACCCCTTTTTTGGAGTAGTGATTCTCAGTGAATTATGTGGGGAATGAGGGTGTGTAGTAAGCATTTGCAAATAAAGAAACAACTTCAAGTTATTCAAATGATTATGTCTCTCAAACATCCACATCCACTGCCTGTCCATATCTCACATCCCTTGAGAGCTACTGGCTCCTAGCGATGGCAATCAAGCTGTTTTCTCATTGGCTTTCTACCCTTGTTTTCCCAAACCACACTGATTACGTTGCCTTCTACCTGTCACAGATAGTCATTTCCCGTTCTACTGCTTGTGTGGTTCTTGTAACTGAACAACATGGAACACACAGACACAAATATGTACACAAACACACACACAGTACCCACACAGGCATGCACACACACACATACACACAGAAAGAAAACAAAAGGAAAACAAAGAAAAAGAAAAGAAAGGAAAGAGAAACTTAAACAAATGACTATAACAAACACTCAACTGCCAGGTGGGGTGGCTCACGCCTGTAATGCCAGCCCTTTGGTAGGCCAAGGCAGGCCTATACCAAAGATAACCTGAGGTCAGGAGTTCGAAACCAGCCTGGCAAACATGGTGAAACCCCATCTCTACTAAAGATACAAAAAATTAGCCCGGGGTGGCGCAGTGGGCCTGTAGTCCCAGCTACTCAGGAAGCTGAGGCAGGAGAATTGCTTGAACCCGGGAGGCGGAGGTTACAGTGAGCTGAGATCGTGCCACTGTACTCCAGCATGGGTGACAGAATGAGATTCTGTCTCACAATAAAAATAATAATAAGTTTGATGAATGGCAATAGTATACCTGCATGATTTAGCTCAATTAATTACTCTATGAAAACATCTTTCATATACATTTACCTGCAAACTAATCATATTGCTATTATTAGATTTCTGAAAAATCTTAGGGGAATGTAGGTTCTGAATATTATAAGTAAATATATAAATGAAATTATACTTATCAATATGAAATACCTCATATACAATGTAGAATATAGAAAATGATACAAAACATAAACTATGCATTTGATATAGAGTATTGGGCTCTCTTATAGAATGACAGCACAGTTTATGAACATTTGAATGCTTCTGGAATAATTTGGCATGCCTTCAAAGTATGGAAGTAGGAAGGGAAACAGTTTAATTAGGACAAGCCAAGAGAACTGTTTGACTGTGTAATCAGAAAGCACTGTTCCAAAACTGAAATTGTAGTTTACAAGTTGCATTTCCCTTCTTTTTTCAGCAAATGGCAGTGAGGTTCACATAAGCAATGTGCGCTATGAAGATACTGGAGCATACACTTGTATCGCAAAGAATGAAGCAGGAGTGGATGAAGACATCTCTTCTCTTTTTGTGGAAGACTCTGCTAGAAAGACCCGTATGTATAGAACCACCCAACAGCACACACACACCATATTCAACGTACTTTTTTACAGCTTTTTTTAAAAAGTAAAGGCACCAGAAAACTGTGAATTGCACAATGCATTATAACAAATAGATTTTATACGTAGGAAGGATAGAAATCTTGAAATACTAAAAGCAGATTTAAAGATGAAAAAAAGTTGTGAAATTTTCATTACAACACTAGATTTTATTTTTTTGCAAGTGTACATATGGTGTTTCAGGTCCTGTCTTCCCATTTGCTCTTGGAGGAATTTATATCTCTTGCAAAATCCCTCTCCTCAATTAAATGTGGGGAATTCAAGGCCCCCAAATGTATCCAATGTGTATCTTCTAGGTAGAATAAATTACTATATTTGTTTTCCTGTCAGTTACATTGCAGTCACTGGATTAAGACCTGTACAGCATCCTTCTCTACAGAAGGTTCAGTGGTAACTGCCACTCTAAGGCACTCACTGCCCCTGACACAAAAACTACACTGTTGCTGTTCTTGGTTTAGTGCTAAAAATCCTTTGCCATCATGGTTCATGTTGTCTGATTGTCTCCTGGAGTTATACCCCAAATGTCTTCTTCTCTTTTATTTTGTTTAATTACTTGGCAAAAGGGGTAGAGATAGGGTGGGGATGCTGAGGATGGATTGCTTTTTATGATAGCCGAATTGTTTGGAACTCAAACTACTATTATAGCATTTATCAAGTGCATTCTTTGCAAGCAAACAAACAGCCATTTTATTCCCTTGGTATACACGTGCCACAGTGTGGCTGTTTTGGGATAGGGCCTGGATGTGCTTGAAATGACTACTCCCCTTGTTCTCTGCTCTTCAATCCTACTTGTTACGCTGTTATTAATATATGTTTTGCAAGAGTCTGACATTATTGGACCCTCTAACTTGACAGGCCCATTTTTCTGAATCCAGTGTTTGAACAAGGTTAAAGCATTGATCCAGCCAGGGGTCTTCCTATTACTTCTTAAGTCACTTAGTGCATATTGACATGAGTGGATCCATTGAGAAAGAAGGACCTTACCCAGGTCCCAACTACTAGCATATCATTATCTTCATTTTGTCTGGTTAGGACAACCATCATTATAAAGAAATATTTAAGAAGGAAAGTCTTTAGGTTGAAAAAAGAGAAAAAAAGCTGGATTTAATGGCCTGCATAAGGTCCACCATAATTCCTTTGCTCTATTCCTTTTATGTGGTACAGCCAATACTAACTTGTAATTCACTTTCTGTTAAAAATTAATTTGAAGTGACAAGTAATTAAAAATGTTTGTTTTCTTTGTCCTTATGATGATGTTTGTGAAACAGATTTTAATATCAACTCTATATTCTTAATTTATTTTAATGTTTGTCAAGTACTTTTTAATATGTTTCCCTAGTTACAACAGTAAAACACCTAGCCAAAGCTCCCTTAGTCAACAAATCATACAACCTTTTAGTGTGTGAATTCTAGGAAAATTTTAGGAGAAGGTTTAACAGGATTAAATTTTCGACAAGGTTTAATCTTGTTGAAGTAAAAGTGCCCATTTAAAAAATAATCATGCATGTAATTAAAATCAGGACAATACTAAATAAGTAAACTGAGTAGAATATTAGCAACTACGGAAAAGTATAAACAGAAAATGTAATAACGTCTACTTGATAGAAGATAGTTTCCCTTGGGATGCCTCCTAATAGTTAAATGCCAGAATTCTGTATAACAAAAGAAAACCAAAATCGGGTGGATTTCATAGTAGTGAAAATTACTGCCTTTTGTAACCCCCATCTTAAGGATTGTGGATCTGGGTTCTTTTCTAGTAATTTCATGGAAAGAGACTGATATTAGATATACATGGCACATTTGTATTTTGGAATGCTAGATATTTTCTTTCTTTATTATTTTTATGTTTTCAATAATTTCAAATTTTATTATAAAGAGTGCATGTGCAGGTGTGTTACATGGGTATATTTCTTGGTGCTGGGGTTTGGGGTACAAGTGATCACATCATCCAGGTAGTGAGCATAGTACCCAATAGATTATCTTTCAGCCCATGCCTCCTTTCATACTTCGCTCCTTTAGTAGTTCCCAGTGTCCATTTTTCCCATCTTTATGTCTATGTGTATTCAATGTTTAGCTCCTACTTATAAGTGAGAACATGTGGTATTTGGTTTTCTGTTCTTGCATTAATTCACTTACGATAATGGCCTCCAGCTTCATTCATTTTGTTTCAAAGACTATGATTTCATTCTTCTTTATGGCTGAGTAGTATTCCATGATGTATATCTACCACATTTTCTTTAACCAGCCCACCATTGATAGGCACCTAGATTGATTCCATGTCTTTAGTATTGTGAATAGTGCTGCAACAAACATGCAAGTGCATGTGTCTGTTCGGTAGAATGATTTATTTTATTTTGGATCTAAATCCAGTAATGGGATTGCTGGGTCAAATAGTAACGTCTGTTTTAAGTTCTTTGAGAAATCTCCAAACTGCTAACCACAGTGGCTGAACAAGTTTGCCCTCCCACCAACAGGATATAGGCATTCGCTTTTCTCCATAACCTTGCCAGGATCTACTGTTTTTTGACTTTTTAATAATAGCCATTCTGACTGGTGTGCGATGATATCTCATAGCAGTTTTGATTTGCATTTCTCTGATGCAAATCAGAGTGATGACGTGGAGCATTTTTCATATGTTTGCTGACCATTTGTATGGCTTCTTTCGATAAGTGTCTGTTCTTATGCTTTTCCCATTTTTAAATTGGATTATTTGATTTTTGCTTATTGATTTAAGATGTTTGTAGATTCTGGATATTAGTATTTTATTGCTTGCATAGTTTACATATATTTTTTCCCATTCTGTAGGCTTTCTGTTTACTTTGTTAGTAATTTCTTTTGCTGTACAGAAGCTCTTTAGTTTAATTAGGCACTTCTTAGGCACTCTTGTCAATTATTATTCTGTTGCGATTGCTTTTGAGGACTTAGCCATAAATTCTCTGCCAAAACCAATGTTGAGAAGGGTATTTCCCACTTTTACTTTTAGGATTTTTATAATTTAAGGTCTTACACTGAAATCTTTAACCCATCTTGAGTTAATCTGTGTGTATGGTAAGAGGTAGCGGTACAGTTTCATTCTTCTGCATGTGGCTAGCCAGTTATCGCAAGATGATTTACTGAATAGATAGTCCTTTCCCTGTTGCTTTTTTTGTCTATTTTGTCAAAGATAAGATGGTTGTAAGTGTATGAGTTTATTTCTGGGGTGTCTGTTTCATTCCATTGCTCTATGTGTCTGTTTTTATACCAGTACCATGCTGTTTTGTTTACTGTCTCCCTGTAGTATAGTGTGAAGTATAGTGTGATGCCTATGGATTTGTTCTTTTTGCTTAGGATTGCTTTGGCTACTCATACTCTCTTTTGGTTCCAAATGAATTTGAGGATAGATTTTTCTAATACTGTGAGATACAACATTGGTATTTTGGTAGGGACATCTTTTAATCTGTAAATTGCTTTGGATAGTATGGCCATTTTAACAATATTGATTCTTCCAGTACATGAGCATGAAATACTTTTCCGTTCATTTGTGTCATCTCTGATTTCTTTCAGCAGTGTTTTGTAGTTATCCTTGTAGAGATCTTTCCCATAATTGGTTAAATAAATTCCTATGTATTACATATAATTTTAGCTATTATAAATGGAATTGTGTTTTCAATTTGGTTCTCAACTACAATGGAATTGGTATATAGAAATGTTGCTAGTTTTTGTATATTGGTTTTGTATCCTGAAACTTTGCTGAATTTGTCAGTTTCATGAAGCTTTTTGCAGCATCATTAGGGTTTTTTATGTATAGGATCATATTCCCAGCAAAGAGAGATACTTTGACTTCTTCTTTTCCTATTTGGATGTCTTTTATTTCTTTCTCTTGCCTGATTGCTCTGGGTAGGACTTCCAGTACTATGTTGAATAGGAGTAGTGAGAGTGGGCATTCCTTTCTTGTTCCAGTTCTCAAGAGAAATACTTCCAGCTTTTGCGCATTCAGTATGATGTTGGCTGTGGGTTTGTCATAAGGTGGTTCTTATTATTTTAAGGTATGTTCCTTTGATGCCTCTTCTGTTGAGGTTTTACCGTGAATGAATATTGGATTTTATCAAAGGCTTTTCCTGCATCTCTTGGGAGATCATATGGTCTTTGTTTTTAATTATATTTGTGTGGTGAATTACATTTGTTGATTTGCATATGTTGAACCACCCTTGAATCCAGGAATAAAGCATACTTGATCATGATGAATTAACTTTTTGATATTCTACTGGGTTCAGTTTGCTAGTACTTTATTGAGGATTTTTGCATCTATGTTCATCAGGGATATTATCCTGAAGTTTTCTTTTTTGTTGTTGTTGTTGTGACTCTGCAAGATTTTGGTATCAGGATGATGGTGGCTTCATAGAATAAGTTAGAGAGAAGGCCCTCCTCCTCAATTTTTTTGAATAGTTTCAGTAGGATTGGTATCCATGCTTTTTTGTATGTCTGGTAGAATTTGGCTGTTCATTCTTCTGGTCCAAGGCTCTTTTTGGTCGGTACATTTTGTATTACTTACTTACTCAATTTCCAAACTTATTGGTCTAGTCAGGTTTTCACTTTCCTTCTTGTTCAATCTTGAAGGGTTATGTGTTTCCAAGAATTTATACGTTTCATCTTGATTTTCTAATTCGTGTGCATAGAGGTGTTCATAATAGTCTCTGAGGATCTTTTCTATTTCTGAGGGATCATTTGTAATGTCATCTTTGCCATTTCTGATTGAACTCACTTGGATCTTCTCTTTTTTTTCCCCCTTAATTAATCTAGCTAGTGGTCAACGTTTTTATTCTTTTAAAAAACAAACTCTTGCTTTATTAATCTTTTGTAAGGACTTTTAGTTCTCAATTTTGTTCAGTTCTTCTCTCATTCTAGTTATTTTCTTCAATTAGGTTTGGAATTGGATTGCCTTTTTTTTTTTTTTCCTAGTTCTAAGTCTGATGTTGGATTGCTAACTTGAGGTCTTTCTAACCTCTTGATGCAGGTATTTACCACTATGAACTTTTCTCTTAACACTGCTTAAGCAGCAACCCAAAGATTTTAAATTGTGTCTCTATTTTCATTAATTTCAAAGATTTTTTTTTATTTCTGCGTTAATGTTATTGTTCACTCAAGAGTTGTTCAGAAGCAAGTTTTTTAATTTCTCTGTATTTCTGTTGTTTTGAGAGATTTTCTTGGTATTGATTTCTATTTTCTTTGCAATGTGGTTTGAGAGAGTGCTTGATATTATTTTGATTTTTTTGCATTTATTAAGACTTGTGTTATGGCAAAGCATGTGGGCAATCCATGGGCAAAAGAGAAGAATGTATATTCTGTGGTGATTCGGTGGAGTATTCTGTAGCTTTGTATTAGGTCCCATTGGTCAGGTGTCAATTTTAAGTCCAAAATTTCTTTTTCAGTTTCTGCTGCAAAGATATTTCTAATGTTGTCAGTGGAGTGTTGAAGTCCCCCCACTGTTATTGTGTGTCTGGAAAGATATTTTCAAAAATGCCAAAAGAACCAATCAAAGACCCATTAGTAATAAATATACTTTTCTTATTTGCACATATTAAGAAATTATTGACTTGTATAAATCTACAAAAAATAATTTCAGGGATTGTTTTCAGTAGTGATAGGATACAATTTTTAAATGAAAAAGCAAATTGTTGTAACTGAAGAGTATAAATTTTGCAAAATGTGTGTTGGAATCACACAACACCTCACTGATGTGGGGGTACTACATGACCTCTCTGGGCTTTAGTTTTCTTATCTTTAATATGAAATAAATACTAATACATCGAGAGATTTCTGTTTCGATCTTACGTATAAAGCACTTGTCATAGTGCAAGACATAAAGTAGCTCTTCCTCTGACTCACATTTGTTTTCTAAAAATAATTTCTTTTTTTTTTTTTGGAGATGGAGTCTTGCTCTGTTGCCCAGGCTGGAGTGGCGTGATCTCCGCTCACTGTAAGCTCTGCCTCCCGGGTTCATGCCATTCTCCTGCCTCAGCCTCCCAAGTAGCTGGGACTACAGGCGCCCACCACCACGCCCGGCTAATTTTTTTGTATTTTTAGTAGAGACGGGGTTTCACCATGTTAACCAGGGTGGTCTAGATCTCCTGACCTCATGATCCGCCCGTCTCGGCCTCCCAAAGTGCTGGGATTATAGGCGTGAGCCACCACGCCCGGCCCTCTAAAAATAATTTCTTATTGCTAAAAACACTGACAAAAATCTATTTCTCAAAAGCCTAGAAAACCCAATAATTGCTACAAATCAGAGTTTTATAATAATGCATACAAATATTGATAGCATAGCTATAGGCAGATATGAGTATGTAGGGGCATCCATTTTTATGCATTCAAATATTAAATATTATCTCTCTTAACATTTAAAACATGGACTCCACTGATTGAGTATACCTTTTATTATTTAGTGTATATATTAAGATACTTTAAATAAATTTCAAAATCTTTTTCTAGAGTTCACTTTTGTCACAATCAAAGCAGAAGCTACACTTTAGTCCGCCTTTACATTGAGTCAATTTATACTTCTATTATATATTTGAGAATTATTCTGTAATGCGCTTTTCTTCTGTTTTTGAAAGATGCAGAGAAGAGAGGTATTGAATCCCATGTAGACAACAATAAAAATGGGGAAAGATTTGTAACTTTGGGGGTAAATAACACAACAAAGACTCACTTTGTCTGGATACAGCTTCGGAGTAATCATCCAGCTATTTTCTACATAATAGAGAGCTCATAGTAGTATCAATCACATTTTTTCCTACACTACATTTGCCAGAAATATGATACTATTGAGAGAACAATCCATGCAAAGCATCATATGGCTAAGGAGTTTGTGTTTTGCTTCTACCCTAATCTTTGAAGTGGGAAACTTTGATTTACAGTGTCTAACTTTGTCAACAAATATCACTGGAAGTTTTCTCATGTGAGAAATTGAATGACAAAAAATATGTGCTTCAAAATAATATACTCTACAGTTACATTAGAGATAGGTTTTCATAACTAAGATTTAATAGAGTGACATACAGGGAGGATTTAAATGTAAAGAACAGTAGAACTGGACCATAGGGGATTGTGTGGTTGCTCACAACAGGGAGTAGGAGAAGATATAAATTATGTGAAGGGATTTAGATAGAGGTAACACATTATTTATTTGAAAACGTCTTGTACATAGCATAAGCACTTGACACATTTTCATTCCCAAGGGAAGTCAATTCCCAGGTAATAAAGGTTCATCCTCAATATGAAGTTAAATAAAAAGTGATGTGAACATAGGCTTCTACAGGAAGCTTTTAAGCTACAGGCTGCATTAAGTGCTAAGAACAGATTGATTCACATCTTGCTATGATTTTAGTAAGGAATATGATTAATCCAGCTGTTTGAGAGTATCAGAGTATGTCTAAATATATTATAATAGAATTTTACGGTCTAAATATAATAAATATACTATAAGGCTAGATACACCATTTTTAAATTATTGTCACAAGCAGTTGGAAATCTTACCATATTGCAATAATTCTTACTTTAGAATTAGCTCCAATAAATTAACATTAGTTGGCTGTATTTCTAAAAAATTAATATTTTGATAGTTCATACTTTATTATAAAATAAAACAACTTGAAGATTTTTTAAAAAACACATTTCAAATGGCTAAAGTCTACAAGATTATTTGCGTAAATAAATTATATAAACATATACTATTTATGTAAGTTAATAATTATTATCAAAATGAAATAAGCATAATTGCTAATACTAAGATTTAGCAATATTGTAAAATCCAGCCATTTGTTTCCAACTATCTTGAAAAAAAATTGAAAAACATATGAATAGTTATGAGGTATCTTCCTATTTTAGAAGTAAAAGAAAGGGTCCTAAAATAGATTAAAACATGGTCTTTTTACCTATAAAGATCGTATGAATATGACTATCATAAACTTTAGAAATAGAATAGATTCTGATAACATAAACAAATTAATTAACCTCTTTAGTCTTCATTTACTTTCTATTTCTATAGAATGAGGAAATACTTCAAAAGGCAGGTTGCATAGATTTAATGAGATCACTTATGTAGGATCTTATTAATCTCTACAGAGGCTAGGAAGGTAATATAAACAGTTGAACAATATAGTCTAAAAAGAGGTATAAATGAAGCCAAATGCAAAAGTCATCGATTAGTAATTATTTCTAGACTCAACCAATATTAGGTGCAGCAGTAATCAGATTAATAATTGTTTTGTTTTGTTTTTACACTCAATAACTGTGAGATAGATAGAATAATAACATACAGCAAAAATCCATAAAGATAAAGTGCAGACATCACAGCCGGGTAGGATTTTATCCTGATAGTGATGAGCTAAGAGCTAGAGTCAAATAGAACCAAATAAAAACAAATATTTATGGAAAAAATAAATCAATGAATAAAAATATTAATTTTCATATATTTTATTAAATATAATTCTATAGAGAATATATACTAATTATAACTTAAAGCAGAAATTAACAATTTGTATTTCTTTTTGAAAAGCCCCAAATTACTTGTTTAATATTTGATATAAGATTTATATAGCAATAAGGTTATTATGAAATAAAATGTCTTAAGATGAAGAGTCATGTCGAAGTTAACCATGCTTGATAAGCATTTATTATTTTATAAACTTTCATTATTTATAATAAATTCCAATATTCATGCTTCTCAATTTGGCCAATGTCATTTCACACCCTGTGAGGTAACTTGTTCTATAAGTCTTTTCATCTTTTTACCCAGAACATACCGAAAATACCTGTCTTGTGACTTCTATATGAAGACTATATTTTTAAAATAATACCCTTCAATATCATTAAATAGATCTGTTTCTAACATGTTGCCACTTTTTGCACAAAAGCAGGGCTTTATTAACTAACAAGATACTATGTGATCTGAATGTCACTAAAATTGACAGGTTTTCAGCAACCGTAAACTACTGGGCATCTTTATTGTCTACACAACAAAATAAGAAATAATGCTTTCTTATTTTGATCTACTGCCTGAATTTTCTCTGCAAGGCATTATATACCTTTAATGAACCTCCTAATTCATATTACACAATGCCAATGTGACTAATTTATTTTAGGATAAGTTGATGATGATGATGAAATTTTATTTATATGACTTTAGGCATGTGGACTGAATACACTTAACATATAGTGACAGTGCTGAGTATACAGTCTCTATTGAACTTAAAAATATGTACATACTAACGTTGTATTTCTTGTGTTCAGGAGAAAATGTTAGGACTCTCTTTGAGGTTTTCTAATTCCAAAGGCTTCAAATATAGTTAATCCTTTACCAAATAACTGTGTTCTTAAGTTTAACAAAAGTAGAATTATCATCACTTTATGATTCTCTTAGTGTTCTCTGTTGCAGGAATTCGGTCAGATAATGGCATAAATGTGCAAAGAGTTAACAAAACAAATGTATCTTTGAAATGCCCAAACTCTGGGGTAAGGGGCTGAAGTGGGGTGTTTTCTCAAAGTTTTGTGAAGTCTAATTTATGCCATATATTTCTATTAACTCTGTGCCAACAGCCCAGATTATACAACTGTGTTTCCTATTGTCCTCTATTTACCCAAATACCAGAATTCTGATAAAGGCTGACTGTGTCTGAATAAGTCAGATAGAGTAAATCAGACAGTTTGATTATTGTTCTTCCTCCTTTTTTGCTTTATATCCCAACTATATGTGCATTTTATATTTATGTTAAACATGAAATGTTGTTAAATGTGAAATTTATTTATTTTTATTTTATTTCATTATTATCATACTTTAAGTTTTAGGGTACATGTGCACAATGTGCAGGTTAGTTACATATGTATACATGTGACATGCTGGTGTGCTGCACCCATTAACTCGTCATTTAGCATTAGGTATATCTCCTAAAGTTATCCCTCCCCCCTCCCCCCACCCCACAACAGTCCCCAGAGTATGATGTTCCCCTTCCTGTGTCCATGTGTTCTCATTGTTCAATTCCCACCTATGAGTGAGAATATGCCGTGTTTGGTTTTTTGTTCTTGCCATAGTTTACTGAGAGTGATGATTTCCAATTTCATCCATGTCCCTACAAAGGACATGAACTCATCATTTTTTATGGCTGCATAGTATTCCATGGTGTATATGTGCCACATTTTCTTAATCCAGTCTATCATTGTTGGACATTTGGGTTGGTTCCAAGTCTTTGCTATTGTGAATAGTGCCGCAACAAACATACGTGTGCATGTGTCTTTATAGCAGCATGATTTATAATCCTTTGGGTATATACCCAGTAATGGGATGGCTGGATCAAATGGTATTTCTAGTTCTAGATCCCTGAGGAATCGCCACACTGACTTCCACAATGGTTGAACTAGTTTACAGTCCCACCAACAGTGTAAAAGTGTTCCTATTTCTCCACATCCTCTCCAGCCCCTGTTGTTTCCTGACTTTTTAATGATTGCCATTCTAACTGGTGTGAGATGGTATCTCATTGTGGTTTTGATTTGCATTTCTCTGATAGCCAGTGATGGTGAGCATTTTTTCATGTGTTTTTTGGCTGCATAAATGTCTTCTTTTGAGAAGTGTCTGTTCATGTCCTTCACCCACTTTTTGAAGGGGTTGTTTGTTTTTTTCTTGTAAATTTGTTTGAGTTCATTGTAGATTCTGGCTATTAGCCCTTTGTCAGATGAGTAGGTTGCGAAAATTTTCTCCCATTTTGTAGGTTGCCTGTTCACTCTGATGGTAGTTTCTTTTGCTGTGCAGAAGCTCTTTAGTTTAATTAGATCCCATTTGTCAATTTTGGCTTTTCACAAGCATTCTTATACACCAATAACAGACAAACAGAGAGCTAAATCATGAGTGAACTCCCATTCACAATTGCTTCAAAGAGAATAAAATACCTAGGAATCCAACTTACAAGGGACGTGAAGGACCTCTTCAAGGAGAACTACAAACCACTGCTCAATGAAATAAAAGAGGACACAAACAAATGGAAGAACATTCCTTGCTCATGGGTAGGAAGAATCAATATCGTGAAAATGGCCATACTGCCCAAGGTAATTTATAGATTCAATGCCATCCCCATCAAGCTACCAATGACTTTCTTCACAGAATTGGAAAAAACTAAAGTTCATATGGCACCAAAAAAGAGCCCGCATCACCAAGTCAGTCCTAAGCCAAAAGAACAAAGCTGGAGCCATCACGATACCTGACTTCAAACTATACTACAAGGCTACAGTAACCAAAACAGCATGGTACTGGTACCAAAACAGAGATATAGATCAATGGAACAGAACAGAGCCCTCAGAAATAACACCGCATATCTACAACTATCTGATTTTTGACAAACCTGAGAAAAACAAGCAATGTGGAAAGGATTCCCTATTCAATAAATGGTGCTGGGAAAACTGGCTAGCCATATGTAGAAAGCTGAAACTGGATCCCTTCCTTAAACCTTATACAAAAATTAATTCAAGATGGATTAAAGACTTAAACGTTAGACCTAAAACCATAAAAACCCTAGAAGAAAACCTAGGCATTACCATTCAGGACATAGGCATGGGCAAGGACTTCATGTGAAATTTATTAAAAGATACTTTTCTATCTCACGCAGTAAAATGGTATGCCCATTTGTATATCTTTCCCCTAAATTGATGTACTGTCTGTTTAATACATATGGTAATACTCAACTCTGGTGTAAAGAATAATACATCCTTTGGAAACATTCTACAATAGTGAAATTTTAATAGAATCAGATTATTAATGAATAAAATATTTCTACTTTTATCTCAAATATGCCCTAATAGGTCAAATTGTGTTTGTAAATATAATTTCTTACTATAAAGTAAGGATTCTGTGTGTGTATAATATACATAGTTCAACCATTATCATACAAGTTATACTAATGTTAATGTCAAAATGTAATTTCAGAGTTATGTTTCACAAAGCAGAATAAAACAACAGAGGACCCTGTATGATTAAGATTAAGAAGTTGTAATCCTAAAAATTTGCCTAAAGTTATTGTCAGCGCAAATAATTGACAGAAACTCATTATCATAAATAAATAAAGTCAACCCCCACAAAACTAGCCTATAGGTTTAAGAAGGCATTTCAAAGACAAGGAAAAATGAAGTATCAGTATGAATTATGTAAAGATGCTTATTCTCATTAATTATAAAGAAAACATACCTTAAAATAGTAGAGAAATACCTAAAATAATAGAGAATGCTATTTCACATCCACTATAATACCAAAAGTCAAAAAGTTGCATATTACCAAGACTTGGTGAGATATGAAAAAATAGGAATTGTCATACATTACCAGCAGTAGTGTTCGTTTTACTGCCCTTTGGAAAGCATGTTGACATTATCTGTTAGAGTTAATTTTTCCTATGCCTTGAGAGCCAGCAATGTCACACATTAGAGTCGCATTGAATTCCCATACATCCAGAAACTGTTTAGGAAGAACCTCCCATGGATGGAATATTTTTAAAAAAATTTTTTTTTAATTTGAATTGAGTATTTGTATTGAACCAAACTGATTTAATTTCATGCATACACTTTGAAATGGCTATAATTTGACTGCTGTAATTCAAATGTGTGTGAAGCTAGTTACCTTACAAAGTATGTGAACACCAACGGAGTATTACCTCTGACTTAACTATTTCTTAATTGTACATTAGAAAAGAGACATTTACATAGTTTAGAAGGTGACAAGAGCTTTTATTGTTAGGATAATAAAAGTTCTGCAGAGAACAATGGGTTTGTTCATTCATGCTTTCACCTTTTAAGTGTTTCTTGAGGAACAAAGAAACATGTTGCTAGCATGTGGTCAACACTGAATACATCAATTCTCTATTTTTAGAAAGTCTTGAAGTCCTTTCAGAAAGAAAGTTGAGTGCAGGTAGAAATGAAGGGCAACAATAATATATAGTAGAATAAAATAATTGCTGTTAATATGCACACAAGCAAAGCGCGATGAGACTGCAGACACAGAAACAAGTAGTCTCTATTGAGGTAATGAACATAGAGCTGATCTTTGATGGTTGTAGTGACACTTCCATAGCTGGAGATTTAAGAGAATATCAAACCTAGGAATGATCCAGGAAACTTTTTTTTTTTTTTTGAGATGGAGTCTTGCTCTGTTGCCCAGGCTAGAGTGCAGTGGCGTGATCTCAGCTTACTGCAACCTCCCCCTCCCAGGTTCAAGAGGTTCTCCTGCCTCAGCCTGCTGAGTAGCTGGTATTACAGGCGTCTGCCACCACCTCCGGCTAATTTTTGTATTTTTAGTAGAGACAAGGTTTCACCATGTTAGCCAGGATGGTCTCGATCTCCTGACCTCGTGATCCGCCCGTCTCAGCCTCCGAAAATGCTGGGATCACAGGCGTGAGCCACCGTTCCCAGGCCAGCGAATATTAATACATGGTGGGTTTGGTTAACTTTGTGTAATATATCATCATAAAAAATATTTACAATACTAGACAAGAAGGCATTGTGACGTAGAATCTGATTAAGAAAGACATTGAAGTGTATGCATGAAAAAAAAGCCAAATTAGAAAAGACATACAAGCTTTGACAGAAGAAATTCTGTCAATGAAAAGAGTCAAACTCTGTAAAATATTTGTAGAGATTTATTCTGATCTAAATATGAGTGACCATGGCTGTGACACAGCCCTCAGGAGGTCATGAGAAGATGTGCCCCGGGTGGTCAGGATATAGCTTGGTTTTTTACATTCTAGGGAGGCATGAGACATCAATCAAACACATTCAGGAAATACATTGATTTGGTCCAGAAAAGCAGGACAATTCAAAGTTGTGGTGGGCGGGGTGGGCTTCCAGGCTATATAGGTAAATTTAAATATTTTCTGGTTGTTGGTTGAGTTTGAAAGGACTGTCTTTGTGGTGATAAGAGGTTGTAGAGACCAAAGTTTTACTATGTAGATGAAGCTTTTAGCTAGCAAGCTTCAGAAAGAATAGGATGTAAAATGTTTCTTACCAGACTTAAAGTCTGTGTTGACATTAATGCCAGAGAGGTATAATGAGGCATGTTCCATCCCCACTTCCCATCATGGCCTGAAACAGCCTCTCAGGTTAAATTTTAAGAGTCCTGGCTTAGGAGGAAGTCCATTCAGATGGTTGGGGACCTTAGAATTTTATTTTTGGTTTACCCTTCAAAGGTAAAAATTATTTTTTACATATTAATTATTTAGTTTTTATCCTGGAGATACCACAATAAGCATTTTTATGCTGGATTTTATTTTTTACATATAGTAGGCATTTGAGTATTTTATTTATTACCAAGGGAGGTTTAATTCAAATTCCAATTCCCAGCAAAGTTTATAAGACAAATTGTCTTGTAGTTTACTATTTAATCTTAAGGAGAAATACGTATTGTGGAAACTCACTTCACCATGCTGCTGGAACTCAGTTAATATGGGTTTTCAATTATCTTCCTTTATCCGTGTATTGGATAATAATAGAATTTCCTAAAAGATAGTGTTACTTGGCTTACCAGCCTATGTGAACTTCCAGGAATAAAACCAGTGCATTCACAAAATCTTATTTTTCATAGTATATAATTATATCAAAATAAAGACTAAATTATGCCTTAGGCCTCTTAGGCCTATTAAATTATAAGCATTAAATTGGAGCAAAACTGGCACTGGAAAGAACTTATTATAATAGATAGAAGGTAATCTGCTGTCCATTTTTCATGCCTTTATGGTTCACAGAGCATCATTTCCTTCCTGCCTATATATACATAAGACTGGTACAGGTTTGGCCAGAAAGACAATTTTGGCTACAGAGCCTAACCTGAAAATATTTTGTGTAGTACTTAAAAGAAGTAGATGTTCTGCTTGTCAATTTACTTATAGAACATTATTATCTAACTATACCCTATTTGATTACTCTCATTTTTAACACATGCTTGCTTTATTTTGCTTTTGTATATTAAGCTATTATAGAAATTAACTCTATTAGAGACGTTTATAAAAGTGAAATTTTAGTGGATCCAATGTTATAAAATACTTGGCAATGTCTAGCACATAATGAGGGCTCCATAAATGTTTCTTCTAGTTATCATTATTGCTATTATTCCTTTGATGATTATTAGCTTTAAAATTTTCTCAAGTGTATTAGAGGATAAAAATTATTCAAATGGGCAAAAATAATAGCACAATATTCTAGATATAGGACTATTTTAGAAAATATAATAAATGAGATATTTTTTATTTATATTTAATGTTAAAATATTTTAAACTTCAAATAATTTCGGAATCACTTATACTTTTATTAGCAGTATGGCAATCGACTATTTGACTGTTTATTCTTGTATCTAGGTATTATTTTACAATGTCAAATTCACATGAAACATTTCATCCTCCAGTTTGAAAAAGATTCTCCAAGAACATAATATCTATAATTTTATAAAAATCTGATAATTTTTCTTTGCTGACTATCTTGTAGAGTGTGGGAAAGATAAGTTTTCAGGAAATGTTAGAAAAAAATTATATATGTATGTAATATGTATTTTATTAGTTATATATATTAGCAAAATATATTTTTATTAGTAAAATGTATATTAGTAAATATGTATATATTTTATCAACATTATATAATACGGGAGGAAAAGCCTTTCTATATCCTATTCTCAAAGTCTTGCTTGACCACATTTTATTTTCAAGAATGAGCAGTAATTAAACATGTGTGTGGAGTCTCTGTGATATCAGAAGGTGTCAGCTGGAAATGCTCTCACATTTCAGTGCCTACGTTCATTCTTACCACAGCCACAGTTGGCTACACTGCTGCTACTTGGCCTGATTTTCTTGCTGTCTCTGTCACTTCTCTGCTGAGCATCTTTGACCCCATTCTCTTTTTCTCTGTGCCAATAACTGCAGCTGCTATCTGTTGTTTGTTCTGCCCTTGTTTCAGTGTTGACAATGGAAGGAAGAACAGCTGGCATCGCTCTGTCTTATTAATATAGTAACCTTCTTGTATGGGGGTGGGGACTGAAACGAAGGGGAGAGAGAGGGAATGTAGGACTAGGGGAGAACAGGCATATTTGTCATATTCTAGCATGTGTTTCTCCATTGTAACAATTTGAGTTAGTGAGACAGCCCCTAGTAGGAGCAATAATGTTTCAAAGAAAGAAGACAAGAAGTGATAAAATAATGTGGACAGTAACTCCAAATTCATAACCTTTTTTTCTTTTTTTTTCTTTTTTTTTTTTTTTTGAGGTGGAGTCCTGCTCTGTCATCCAGGCTGGAGTGCAGTGGCGCGATCTCGGCTCACTGCAACCTCCGCCTTCCGGGTTCACGCCATTCTCCTGCCTCAGCTTCCCAAGTAGCTGGGACTACAGGCACCTGCCACCAAGCCTGGCTAATTTTTTTGTATTTTTAGTAGAGACGGGGTTTCACCGTGTTAGCCAGGATGGTCTCGATCTCCTGACCTTGTGATCTGCCCGCCTCGGCTTCTCAAAGTGCTGGGGTTAGAGGCATGAGCCACCGCGCCCGGCCACCAGTTTTTCTTTAACCAGGCTTAGATATTGATGTTACTTTTCTATGCTTTAATTTTTCCTTCTAAACTAAGGAGAAAAATTGTGGTTCTCAAACTGATTTACAGGCACTTAAACATATAAAGAAGACTTAAGGCTTCTCACAGAATAGAGATTTAAAATCAGGTAGCATTATGACCAGAGGATTTAATGTATTAATATTAATGTAAGATGTATGTGAGTAATTACAGGAAAAAAAAAACACTGTGGATGACTTGAGACATTTTTATAATTTCAATATTTTCCTCTCTTTCAATATATTGAACTGATTTGTAATATTCAAATCACCATGAGTTTCACTTAATTCATCTAGCAAGATAGGTAAATTATACTAAATAGAAGCCTATCCATCAAATGTTTTAGGAGAACAGATACTGTAAGTGGTAACACTGAAGAGTTGGGATGAAAACATCTAGAGCTTATTATGTCATTTTAAGCAGAAGCTGCCATCCCTCCCCATTAATGCAAGTAAAGCAAGGATATTAATGTTTTTTGAGTAAGTGCTACATTCAAAATGAAATCACAGAGAAGGAAAAAATATCCAAGGACAAAAGATTCAGAGACACCCCAGGCTAAAGATGAGTTGGCCAGTGCCAAATATTCCAATTCAACAGGATGACTTAACAAATAAATAAAATAGCAAATTAATTCTACAATTAATCCATCTTCTTGGGACCACCAGGATACATTTTAATTCAAGATCCTAAATTCTGCCATGCTTAAAGTTTGATTGTTTATGAAAGAAATTATTGTTTTGTAATTCTTCAATTTTTGATATCAAAATTCTTACTGCATAACTCAGATTTCTGGGTGCTCTATCACAAACCTTTTCAAGAACTAAGATATATTTAAAGTACTTTAAAGAAAACTTCAGTTCTAGGGTTAGTTTTTCCTTTGTTCCAACCACATATAATTAGTTGGTATGGTAGAGTATAGGATATATTTACTCCTACGTGTCTTTAAAGATAAGCCAATTTAGTTGAATTATAAACTATGTGTTTACTTAGAATGCCTATATACAGCAGCATATACGATGTCTTTGATGTTTTTTGTTATAATTTATAATTTCCCTCACAAAATATCTAGCAATTTTTATCCTGATAATAAATATTGTTTTAAAGTAGTCAATTTCCTTCAAATATGGGCTATTTTATTTTATATTATAAATACAATTATATTGATATGTTAACCTTATATATATTATACATTTCAAATACACTTAAATATTAAACAGTGAGGAGCTCAGAATATGTAGTAGGAATATAATTATTAGAAATAATGCCCCTTAAAAAATGTTGTGGTTTATTACAGCAACTTTAAAGAAAGCTTTAAAGCTTTACCATCTTAATTTTTTTCTTGAACATATGCTAATTAATATCTAAGTAGTCTACTTCTCTAATGATTCTGTTCTCTGCAATGATAAGGAGAGTTCTCATATAGCCCTAACTAAAGGTTAAGGTATACTTTTTTGCAATGTTTTATTTTGGATACTTTTCTATTAATTTAACTTTATGTGTATGATCATCTTGAGTTCCGCCTAGGATATATATGGCTGCAAAACCAACATCTATTGAACAACTGATTATGTGCCAGGCACTTAATATATATTATAATCATTTTATTTTTAAATTGTCTTCTCCCTATGGTATATTTTCTAAATGGGGAAGTTAAACCAAAAGAAGAAGCAACTTTGCTTGCCACATACTTAAAATGATACAGTATGAGTGAGTTAGAAGGCAATGTTTCTTCCCTATTTATCTGTAGCTAATTACTCACAATTATTTAATTATGTCACTGTTTATCATTTATTATGTAAAAAATCACACTCATTTGTGTGAAGAATTGTCAAAATCAAGTCACTTTCTGACAGCGGTGGGCTTAGTATGTATATATAATTAGAAGCTTAGGTGTTGCCAATCTGGCTAGGAGGATGTTAGCTAGAAAAGTTTTTATGTTTTCTTATTAGAAATTTCGTTATTTTTTGTTTTGTTTTGTTTTGTTTTGAGATAGAGTCTTGCTCTGTCGCCCAGGCTGGAGTGCAGTGGAGCGATCTCGGCTCACTGCAAGCTCCACCTCCCGGGTTCAGGCCATTCTCCTGCCTCAGCCCCCCGAGTAGCGGGGACTACAGGTGCCCACCACCACTCCTGGCTAATTTTTTATATTTTTAGTAGAGACAGGGTTTCACCAGGTTAGCCAGGATGGTCTCGATCTCCTGACCTGGTGATCCATTCACCCCGGTCTCCCAAAGTGCTGGGATTACAAGCATGAGCCACCATGCCACTCTAAGACTGTGGTGTCCAAGATTAACTAGTTACCGTCATCTCTTGCAATACACACCCTTGCAATCTCTTCCCACGTTGAAACAGTAAATGTCTCTATCACACATAAAGCAGGGTGGAAGTGAAGATGAGTGTCTTCCGATGCCAGGTCATAAAGGGCATTATGGCCTCTGCCTTGGTTTTTTGGATCACACATTTCTGGGAGAAACCCATTGACACAATGTGAGGACACTTAGGCAGCCTTGGGCAGAAGGCCAGGGAATAAAAAACTGAGACCTCCTGCTAACAAGCAGCACCAAATTGCCAGCCATATAAATGAGCACCTTAAGAAGTGGATCTTCCAGCACAGGACAAGCCTTCAGATGAATGTAACCTCATGAAATACCCTGAGCAAGAACCCTCCCAGCCAAGCTACATTTGCAAAGACCATAAATGTTTATTGTTGTTTTAAGCCACTAAGTTTGAGACAGTTTGTTACACGCTATGACATAACCACTGCCTACTTTGTTTACTTGGTTTGAAGGAAAGATGGATGTTGTTTTTATTTTTTTATTTTTGCGGTGGCTTTAATCTTTTGACTTAGCAACAATTCTTACCTTGTCGTGGATTCAATGAGACTAATTTGATTGTCAGGAGTAGACTTATATTGTTTGATTAAGTAATAGATTATTTGAAAACTAAGGTGAACTTTAAACTGGCAGTGTGAAGCAGCCAGAGATGCATCCACATTCAGAACCCAGAAATCTGCATTACATAGTTAGACAACTTCCGACTTTTCTTGCCTCTCTCCTGGGTTGTGTGGACTCTTCTTCCATGTCATACCTTCTTAAGTCACAAGTTATCATAGTCCTGACTATACCACCCTATCGTGCCTTTTGCTATGCATCCTTAAAGCTCCTGTTCTCTCTGATCTCTGCTTTCCAAGTGTCATTTCTTGATTCCAGTTACCTCCCAAAAGAATATGATTATCCCATCTCATCACTTTTTCAAAATTAAGGTCACAGTTTTCTGGCTAATTTCTGTATTACGTGCCCTAATGTAAGCTGGGCACTGCAGCCTAATCAGCTTATGTTAGACGTTAGGTTAAAACCCTGTGTGGTCACAGGAGGAAACAATCTTCAATTAATTTCCAAGAATGACAGGTTCATTTGAAAGTGGCTTTAAATTTGGCATATGACCGGCAATGTACTTGACATATCAAATGTTGTTTCTAGCCTAAAAATAGCATAGGTTAAAGTCTTAGTTCATTCTCCATATGTATATTCAAAGAAATTTCAACTACCATAGAACTAACCATAAGTTTTTACAGATTACACTTTATCCACATTTTTTATTTTAAGGTTGCCCTTTTTTATTTAGCTGCTGAAGTTAAGTCAGTTTCTTAAATCCAAAAGGAAAGCAGTCAATAAGACATCTAATTTAAATGTTATCATTATATAAGTTCATTTTATCAAAAAATGATTTGCAATGGTGAAAACCTGAAACTTTCAGAAAAGGAGAAGGACAAGCAAAAAAAAATTATTTAATATAAAATTCAGGCAATTTACACATGAATAGCCAAGAAAAGTAGCTCTGCAATAGTACAGCATGATGTTATGTAGGTAACTACCTTATTGCTGTTGCTTATATAACATCATTCAACTCTCCACATACGTTTCTTTATAGAGGTAGCATATTTAATATGAGATCCATCATTTTGAAAATAAGTGTAAGATCCTAACACAGGAAATAAGGCAATTTACTAAAAAGCACTAGTAAAGGTTTCAGTCACTCCTGTCAGGCATCTATTCCACTGAGCACATTTTCATTATAAGGTGTATATTATCTTCAAAAAAAATTTTACATTTCAGTTATGTAGTGAATACATATTAAATTAAGTGGTTTATAACTTTGAGGGTTTTATTGTTCAATTATGAATAAAAGATATCAAAGCAGATAATTTTTATTGTATATTGAGTACATTAGTTGTTTCACAGGGCTCCATGTGTGAAAGGAAAAGTTATTTAGTCCAAAGTCTTGGTTCCAGACAGACTAACTATAGTTTAAAAACTAAGCTGGGTTGGCCAGGCATGGTGGCTCATGCCTGCAATACCAACATTTTGGGAAGCCGAGGCAGGCAGATTACCTGAGGTCAAGAGTTCGAGACCAGTCTGGCCAACACAGTGAAACCCCATCTCTATGAAAAATATAAAAATTAGCCAGGTATGGTGGCACACTTCTGTAATCCCAGCTATTCAGGAGGCTGAGGCACAAGAATCGCTTGAACAGGTGGAGGTTGTGTTGAGCAGAGATCACACCACTACGCTCCAGCCTGGGCAACAGAGCATGGGTCTTACTGGAGAGAAAACTAGGTGGAGATTTCTGGTAAGGATATCCCTTAAAATAAAGAGATTCAAAAAGTCTTGATGTTTGGAATGTGAGTTGAAGATGACAAGGACATATCATGGAAGCCCCTATGTGCTATACTAAGGACATTGAGGAAAAAAAAATTGTGTGTGTGTGTGTGTGTGTGTGTGTGTGTGTGTACATATATATATATATATTTACATATAATAAATTCACTATACATATATACTTAGTGTGTGTATATATAATTTATTATATAAAATATATAATTTATTATATAAAATATATAATTTATTATATAAAATATATAATTTATTATATAAAATATATAATTTACTATATGAAATATATATAATTTACTATATGTAAATATATTTTTATATATGTGTGTATATATATAATAAATTACATATAAATTCACTATACATATATACTTAGTGTGTGTATATATACACAGACATACTAAGGACATTGATAAGAATATGTAAAAAAATATATATTTACATATAATGAATTCACACATGTATATATATAACAGTAGTGGCATATTTAAGCCTGAATTTATTATATGTAGCTGTTTATATTGTCTGAAGGATAAATTAATGTGGTGAAACTAAGCCATTCCAATATAGAAGCAGCTGTTAAAAATGTAAAATATATATATTACAATACCCTAATAGAAATAAGGAGCTGAGGACATAAGCAGAAGGTAAAAGTTTTCTCCAAATATTTCCAAATATATTCAATATCACAGGTAACCAAACTAATATATATATAAGAATATAATATATAATACATTATGTTTTTAATTTATATATATTATATATGTGTATATATATATTCACATTTAGTAAGCTTGTTCACAAGGTCATGCACACACGCACATGCATTCAATAATAGTTCACCTGAAGTGTTTGAAATGAATAATTTCACAGATTGCTGGTGGTGCTGGTAACAATCTTTTGGAAATCAACCTGACATATATCAAATGTTTTAAAGGCTTTCATACCTCTTGCAGGAACATATACTACTGGAAATAACTACTTAGTGGGATGGTCATCACAGTAATCACATAGACACACACCACACACATACACATACACCTGTATGACTGATAAAGGCCAATGATATTTATTGAGCTTCTATTACTTATGCTAGCATCTGATATTGGTA
Source organism: Homo sapiens (assembly GCF_000001405.40). Classification (NCBI taxonomy): domain Eukaryota; kingdom Metazoa; phylum Chordata; class Mammalia; order Primates; family Hominidae; genus Homo; species Homo sapiens. Next base: position 161,515,730 of record NC_000004.12, on the reverse strand, counting down.
CTAGGTTAGAATTAATAAAGTAAATCATAATACTTTTAAAAGGCAGAAATTCATATGATGAAACAGTATTTGAAACCATGTATAAAGACTATATTAGGCATGTTATAACAAATGAATAAAAGGAATGAAAAATTATATTTATATATTATATATTTATATATTTTATCAGATAAATTTCCATATATGTAGGCATTTATATGAAAATCAGAAAAGTAATGAAAAGACATGAAAAAATGCATTATATGCTTGTAATCCCAGCACTCTGGGAGGCCAAGGTGGGTGGATCACCTGAGGTCAGGAGTTCGAGATCAGCCTGAACAACATGGTGAAATGCCATCTCTACTAAAAATACAACAACAACAAAAAATAGCTGGGTGTGGTGGTGGGAGCCTGTAATCCCAGCTCCTTGGGAGGCTGAGGCAGGAGAATCTCTTGAACCCAGTACGTGGAGATTGCAGTGAGCTGAGATCTCACCATTCCACTCCAGCCTGGACAACAGACAAACAACCCCCAAACAAACAAAGAAACAAACAAAAAGAGAATGTATTATTATACCAGGGCAATTAAATTTGAGGTTTTTTTTAATTTAATGTACATTCTAACTTTGTATATAAAATGGAATATGTTTTAAACAGATAATAACAATATATATAATTTTTAAGTTAAGTAATTGCAAAATACATTTTATCTACATAGTATTCATTATCTTCATCTAGGAATAGTTTATATTCCCATCTAGCTTATTTTTAGTGGCTGTTACATTTAATTTGCTACACTTTCTATATTCTAGTAAACCATCAATATATTATGCTTTTAAGCTATTGCAAACAAAATTTTATTTTGCATCTTATTCTTACAGAAGAAAAATATAGAAATTGGATATTTATCTTGTAGCTTGCTAAATAATTGATCTTATGAACTTAATTTGTACTTTTACTTTAATCTTTTGGGACTGATTTTACCTTCAAATTTTGATTGTCTTCTATTTATACTATTTATACAATTTATATTTGTTTCTTAGATTAATGAATTGATCAACCCATCAAAAATTAATTTTAAATAGTAATCACAATTCAATATTTTGATTCTCCATTTATTTATCTATTTAAAAAATTTCACTTTTATAGATTTAGGGAGTACAAGTGCAGTTTTGTTACATGGATCTATTGACTAGTGGTGAAGTCTAGGCTTTTAGTGTAACTATCACCTGAATAGTAAACATTGTACCCAATATGTTATTTTTCATTCCTCACCTACTTCCAACCCTCCCACTAATGTCTATTGTTTCTTTTTTATGTCCATGTGAACCCATTTTCTAGCTCTTACTTGTAAGTGAGAACGTTCAATATTTGAATTTCTGTTTCTGGGTTATTTCATTTAGGATACTGGCCTGTGGTTCCATCCATGTTACTGCAAAAGACAAGATTTCATTTCTTTTTATGGCTGAGTAGTATTCCATGGTGTGTGTGTCTGTGTCTGTGTGTGTGTATGTGTGTGTGTGTGTAATACTTTATTTATCCAATCATCCATTGATGGTCACTTATTTATTATTCTGGTGTATGTTAATTTTTTATTAATTTAAATATCCCTGTATTCTTAGTTTATTAGTTTACTAAGAGAATTTATATTATACTTAGTAATATGCTATGTATTTTATCAGATTGCATTTTTGTTTGGTTAAATTATATTGACGGTCCTTAATTGACAAACTAATATCATGTATTAAATTAATTTCTTTTTGTTAAAATTTTAAGTTCAGGGGTTCATGTTCAGATTTGTTACATAGGTAAATGTGTGTCATGGGGGTTTGTTGTACAGATTACTTCATCATGCAAGTATTAACCAAGTGCCCATTAGTTATTTTTCTTGATATTCTCTCTCCTCCTATCCACCACACTCCAACAGGCCTCAGTGTGTTCTCTTTCATGTTTCCGTGTTTTCACACCATTTAGCTCCCACTTATAAGTGAGAACATGTGGTATTTCTTTTAATGTTCCTGCATTAGTTTGCTAAGGATAATGGCCTCCAGCTCCATTCAAGTTCCTGCAAAGGACATGATCCTGTTCTTTTTATGGCTGCATAATATTCCATGGTGTATGTATTCCACATTTTCTTTACCCAGTCTACCACTGATGGGGATTTAGGTTGATTTCATATCTTTGCTATTGTGAATAGTGCTGCAATGAATATATGTGTGCATGTGTCTTTATAATGGAATGATTTATATACATTTATACACATTTGGGTATATACCCAGTAATGGGATTGCTGTGTCAAATGGTATTTCTTGTTTTTAGGTCTTTGAGGAATCACCCTGGTATTAAACCAAGTACCCATTAGTTATTTTTCCTGATCCTCTCCCTACTCCCCTCCACCCATCAAAAGGCCCTCTTTCTCCTCCTCCTCCTCCTCTTCCTCTGTCTCTCTCTCTCTCTCTCTCTCTCTCTCTCTCTCTCTCCCCCTCCTTGTTTGGTTCAGTTCAGTGCTTCAGTTCAGTCTGTGTATTATCATTTGCTTAAAACTCTTTGGGACCACATGGTTAATTTTCTTTTTTTGATATGTTTTATATAAATTGTGGTTATATTTGGTTTTTAAAAATATTCAATTTATTGGTGAATTTTATGGGCTTGAAGATTTGTATATTTGCATTTTTACTTCTTGTCTGAAAATGCAGAAACAATCTCTGCTTATTGGAACAGATTTACAGAGTAGAGCCAGGCTTTTTGTTTTGTAGTTTACTTCGTGGCCACCCTTGAAGATATGTCAATAAAATTGGAAAATGCTTTCTGTTTGTGTAGTAAAACAATCATTATAAATACAGTAATTCAATCTTGATAATTGTATTGTTAAAACTTTGTCTTTATTTTTCTTCATTTTTCAAATATTGAGAGTGATATGTTAAAGAAACAGACCGAGATTGTGGATTTATTTATTTTACATCCAACTTTAACAGTTAAAACATAATACTGTGTTTTAGCTTATGTAATTTTAAATTCATTATGTAGTGCCTTGATTTTTATCTATTACAAAGTCTGTAATTTTTGGTATTTATTCCTAAATGACTGCCAGTCTTAAAAATGTCTCTGTCCTTAGTTCTAATGTCCTTACTCCTTTAAAATAGTGGTGCTTTGATATGCCACTAGAATTTTTCACATGCTTTTTTTCTATCTGGAAATTGAATCATACCCTTCACTTCATTTATTCTTACTCATTTCTCATACTTCACCTTGATCATAATTAGAGAAGTTCCCCCTGTTTAACAATGTCTAATCCACCCAACAAATGCATTCACATTACTATGTTTTTCTCTTTATAACACACTAAATTCATAACTTTGAATTTTTTTCTGTCATCATTTGATTACTTTTTGTCTCCCCAATTAGAATATAGGTTCTATGGGCACAGAGATTGCCTGTTCTAACCTGTGTATGTGAGTGCTGAATACATCTAACACATGTTAGGTACTCAATTGGTACTCACCAAGTAAGTGGGTGGAGATATAAGGAAACACATGCGTTGTTATTTTTGTATAGGCCAGAGAAAGATTTATAAGTCTAATCATAGTTCAACCATTCCTAAAACTACAAAAAAATCCACTTCTTTTGCATTGTGTGTGCAGACTTACTTGATTTTATCATGAATAAATTCTCCAGCTTTATTTTTTTAAACCAGTCTTACCCGCCAAATATACCAAATTACTTGACACATTCCCTCAATATGTTCTGATGCTTCTGGTTGATATACCTTGAACATATTTTCTTTTTTCCTCATGTATGGAATAACCTCTCTAGCCCCCTACACCGCACAGCACTCTTGTAAGCTTTGGTAATATTACATTTCTTGTTCAGCACCATCTCAATGAAGCTGTCCCTCCAGTACCCATCTTCTTCTCATAGCTGATCATTCTGTCTTGTCCACATTTGCTGAATTTGAAATTTGCTTCTTCCCTTTCATTTATTACATGTTTGTATTTATTTGTTTTCAATGTTCTCTTTCCTCCTATGTCTATAACCTCTCCTTGAGAATAAGATTTGTCTTTTTATCATCTTATAACATATTTAGTTGACAAAGATTGAATATGTTTAAGATGAAAAGATGATGTATATATTATGTAATGATTATCACAATCATTAACACATCCATCACCACCCACATTGTACATTACATGTTCAGAACTTACTCATCTCATAATTGAAAGTTATACTTTTTTCGTATTTGTTCAAAGTGCACTGCTGGCACAAGAACAACAGCATAAAATGTGCTGCAGGAATGCACACATCATGTATTTATGTTTGAATAAATGTCATTAAGGAATTAAAAATCTAAAAATTGCAATGTTTACCATTAATAATTAATTTTTTAAAGAAATATAGCAGATGCTGAAAACTGCATGACTTGGGCCTTCAGCCGTAGGTGAGGAGTGCTAGACTTCATTCTTGGCTCTAAAACATACACATGTGGGTTCAGTTGGAAAAAAAAGTCATTAAGTTTTAATATGGTCAAAATACTGGAAGTAATTGCTGTGTATGAGATTTTCTATTAGTTACACTTTTATGATTTTGCTTTAAGAACATATAGTGTTATTGTAACTTTGAATTATTAAAGAAGCAGGCATTTCCTTCAGAATAGTTTCAACTGGATTTTTTTCTTAATTTCTATCTTAATATATTAGCTCTTTACTGATTAAGTCACTATATAATATTTTTAAAACCTGTGGTTCAAGAACAATTCAGTATGTACTAAAAGAAGCGAAGTATACTTAGATCTATTTTCTGTCTGTTTTAAAACAGTAAAAACATATACTCTTTAAAAATAGGCCAATTTGTTGTTCAAGATCTTGGATTTACAAGAACTCTTCTTGTTCAGGAATATTTCATATTATGTGAAAATATATATTGTGATTATTGCAAAATTTAAGAGTGTAACTTTTTCTATTAGCAACTTAAATAAACTGTCAACCTAATAGTTTTAACTACTAATGCTTGCTCTAAAAATACATTTCAATTAAACTAACTTATAAACTTCCTATTCTTTTCAATGCAGAGTAAAATGTTCTTTGTTTAATAACAAAATCTGTATTCCAAATAAGAATTGGCTATATCAAAAAATGTACAAAGCATTATTAGCTAATTCCAACATGCTATTGTTTTGTTAATTTAAAGTAGCTCACTGAATTAACTTCACTACGTTTATATACACATTCTATCATAGATATTTGACATCTTTAATAATATTTATATTACCATATAGCAAAAGCTCTCTTTACTCATTTTTCTTTTTCTTCTTTTTCTTTCAACATGCTGCAGTAGCTAACATATTATGGAGAGAAGAAGGTACTAAGTTGAATTATTTTTATGTTGTGACAATTTTGCTTGATTATTATTAGATTTGTTGATTATATTTTGTATCATTAATTACCTTCTTTTTCATTTTGATTCAATATTTTAATTGATGGTATTTCAATATTTTTGTGTAAGCCTGCTACCATTACACATATTTATCAGTTCTCATCAGCTTGATTAAATATTGATACATAGCCAGAAAGTGTCATTGCGATATATTGAAATACTTTAAAAGTATGAAATTACACCAAAGAAACAAAAGCAATCTCAGTTAAACATAATTTACATAATGAACTCTGATTAATGCAGAGTAAGAATATTTATAAAAACTGTGCCTTATCAAGGGGATATAATAAATTATATTAAAATCTGAGCTACATACTTGAAGGGCCTGGATTCAAATGTAGTCTTCAAGTTTACAAACAATAGGGCAAGTTACCCTGCACGATCTTCTTATCTCAAAAAGGAGTATAGTAGTTGTTAATACTCAGTAGGGTTGTTATCAGTTCTTTAGTTATTAACAGCACTCAATAAACAGTATCCATTTTCATATATTATTGCAGTTGTTACTGGTTTTCCTCATTTAGTCACAAAGGCTGGGAAGAATGCGTTTGCCCCAGTACTTAAATAGTCCATCAATTGTGGTTAAATGAAATTCTTAAGAGAAAAATGTCTAAAAGCCATCATTACACTCCTGGTGAGCAATGGCCAAAAATTGTCTTCAAAACCCACCTTAAACAAAATTTCTCTTCCCTGATTATAGCTTCCTGTAGGAACCCAAGTCACTGTACCCTGTGAAAGCCAGTCTCAAAGCCTCAAGTAATTCTGGAATTTAGCCATCTCAATTCTGTGCTCAAGGATGAAGCAGTCCACTTATTTTTTTTTTCTCTCTTAGATCCCGTTGCTCCTTAAATCTTTTGTATGAACTCCATTAAAACCTGGGTTTATTAAAGAAATTCTGGTATAACTATACCCTCTATTTTTATTCCACTTCAAATATTTCACCTTTAAATGTACATAATTCACTCGTTAATGAAAGTAGCCTTGACATATCAGTACTTACTTATTTATATATTTATTTATTTGAGATGGAGTTTCACTCTTGTTGCCCAGGCTGGAGTTCAACGGCGCGATCTCGGCGCACTGCAACCTCCACCTCTCGGGTTCAAGCAATTCTCCTGCCTTAGCCTCCCGAGTAGCTGGGGTTACAGGAGCGGGCCACCACGCCCGGCTAATTTTTGTATTTTTAGTAGAGACGGGGTTTTGCCATGTTGGCCAGGCTGGTCATGAACTCCTGACCTCAGGTGATCTGCCCGCCTCAGCCTCCCAAAGTACTGGGATTACAAGAGTGATAATATCTATCAAACAACATTTCATTATATTGTCTTCTCTCTGGGCAAGATTTCTCTGAGCATTTTAAAAATTGATTTTATTTTATCATTGAAATGGAAGGAATAACACTTAACAAGTCTGAACCAAGTACTACAGATCTGGCTTTGACGGTTAATTGCTGGGAAAATTTGTATGAAGCTTTGCCATACAAAATTTGGAAGCTAAGCCAGATGCTTCCAATACAATATTTGAAATAGATTTGGCACTCACCTCACAAATCTGTGCTATGTAAATCAACTTAAAGTATGTGGAACAACTCTTTCTATGAACTTTGGTAACCACCGTGAACATTATTAATTCGTAGTAATTTTTAATACATAATAATAACAATACTCCAGGCCACCCTCTAAAGTATAGAATAGAAGCTTTCAGATTAATTAAAATCATGATGAAATTCATTATATAAATCCAGATTATTTTCTATTTAAAAATGTATTCTGTTAGTTTTTGGAAATTTATACCCTCAGTAATTATTCTCCATCAAGAATAATGTTCTTATGCATCACGATTTCATTTGACATATAAAATGTGCTTGACAAAAATAGATATATGATACATTTTACAGATACTTTAAGTCACATAAAACAAGTGTGCGTCTTTGGGTAAATTATTAAAGTCTTTTTTTCTACATACAGTTATCATAACAGTACTTGTTGTTTCTTGTAATAGGAAACATTTTAAAAATAGATTAAAGACAGCACATTTGATTTTGATTCACAGACTTCTGTAAGTTATTTTTATAATGCCACAATTATTGGCAAGGCATTACAATAAAAATGATTTCATGTACTAATAGTAATAATGGTGACCAGAGAAAATAGACTGGCTTGAGGAATCACTGAACCCCATCATTGGGTATAAGTATTTCATACAAATAATTAAAATTATAGGTAACTAAATTTTCTAAGGAAATTGTCTCTTCATTTTTACAATTTAGAATAAAATAAATATGAGCTACATATTTCTGAGATACACTTTTATTTTCATTCTAGCAGTGTTTTATATTTATATATTTACCTCTTTACCATAGCCAAGAAAAATCTATCTTAGAGAGAACCAATTATAAAACCTTAGAATGTAGGTCACTTAAGGCCAATAATGGAAAGAGTTGAAATGATAATTTCTCTCATAATGCCATTGAACTCATCTATAAATGTTAAACCTATGTTATTTTTATATTAATAATTACAAAATTATTTTTTTAAACATGAGCATCAGAATCTAGTGAAGAGTTTATAATCTAAATAAATTTAACTGAATTTAATATGTATTATCTTACCAATCTCATCAATATATAAACTTGGAACGCAATGTCCTCTACTTCTCTGGGCTCCACTTTCAGCTTTCTACTCATCTTTAAATTTTACAGGAGTATAAAATGACAATACTAATAGAGGAAAATCTCACTTATTTGTTGACAAATATTTTAAAGAGCCTATTAAAACACATTGAAAACATTGGAAATTCATAGATGAATAAGATCTAATATCTGCTCTAAAGAAACTTTCAATCTAGAAGGTTCAAGCCTGAACCATTCTTACTGAAAAGTAGTTTTACTATATATTAAATTATAGATATAATACATTTAAATATACATGCACTAATATGTATTTTTACATACACATTAAAATATTCAGTATGATTTGTTTTCATTTTCAGTATATTTATGATACGTATAATTAAATATAATTTAATAAAGTATTTTCTAATGTTTATTTTGTGGCAATTAGATTATGTTATGAGGTCAAAGTTTATAATATATGTTTTGGATTATATAGGCACTGAATTATACTTACTTAAATTATTTGATTCACTGAAGGATTTATATAAATTTTACATATGCTAGTTTCAATCTCCAAGGAGAGATTTAGGATGATTCAGTATATAAAATGGGATTTTTAAAATTTATTGGCACATGAATTACTTTGATGAATATCTCCAGGATCAATATTGAGTAGAACATAACATACTTTGGGAAACACCAGCTTCATATGATATGTGAATAATTTAAAAGCAGAAAAAAAGTTTCGTATTCAGGAAAATTGCCTTTTTTATTCTTTCTAAATTTATGTATCTATTCACACAAAAATATGTTATAGAAACATTTAAAATAAATCACTATTTAGTTTGACTAACACCAAACCAAAAAAATTACAAATAGAAATGTAGTGAAATTATACAACAAAGTTAATATTACATTACACTTCATGATTAGTTTCATAATCTGTAATACAAGGTTTCCAATGTCATCCAGTTGGGGGAAAACAGATTTAAAAACAGGCCAGCTTAGCTTCTTCAGCCTAAAATTATTTAAAATTTCATTACCCACAAAAAATGTACACTGCCAGGGAGGTTCGGAAATACAGACGAAAATACAGCTTCTAAGTGTGGTTCAAAAACCTCTGGTATAACTATTATTTTACAGAAAAGAATAAAAGACTACAAACTGGGTTCAGTGTATACTGCTCAGGAGATGGGTTCAACCAAAATCTTACAAATCGCCACTAAAGAACTTAATCATGTAACCAAATACCACCTGTTCCCAAAAAACTTACGGAAATAAACAAAAATTAAAAAAATTACTACTTCAAAATAATACTGAAATAATATTTAAAATGAAAAAGGTCAGGATGTGGTGGCTGATACCTTTAATCCTAGCAATTTGGGGGGCCGAAGAGGGAGGATTGCTTGAGGCCAGGAGTTTGAGAACAGCCTAGGCAATATAGCAAAAACCTGTCTCTACAAAAAATTAAAAAAAAAAAATGCCGGGCGTGATGGCTCATGCCTGTAATCCCAGCTACTCAGAAGACTGAGGTGGGAGGATCCCTGAGCTCTGGAGCTCAAGACTGCAGTGATCGCTCCACTGCCCTCTATGCCACCCACACCACTGTCCAAACTGAGGGACAGAGCAATATCCTGCCTCAGAAATAACAGGGCCTATAAAAGTAATAATATAAAATAAATAAAAAGAAAAAGACTTCTCACAGAATAAGTCTTCTGAATACATGAGATTTAGTCATGGCATTGGGGGGAGGGGAAGACTATGCTTTCTAATGGCGAGTACGTGATGCAATTAAATTAAATCACAATCAACCTGTTGTTATTTCTACTGGCCAGTTCACTAACTGGTCTGCTAAAAACTTACATCAGTCTAAGCTTTTTAAATCATTTTACAATTTTTTTCATCAAAAATTTGATCTTGCAAGAGATATCCATTTGTAGCGATATCTATATATGTGCACATGTACATACAAGTATATAATGACATTGGCTTAAATTATATATATGCATGTGTGATACACATATGTGTGTGCATAGATATAATTATGTATGATTTCAACCAATGCCATTTATTATGAAAACAAATATTCTATTACATTATAACATTTGCCCTGCTAATTAGTGTGTGAAGTTAATAATGAAGATTTCCATTCAGTGTTTTTCAGTACACCTTTGGAAGTTAAGGAGATTGTATACTTACTCAAAATGACTGGTTTTAGATACTATCACTCTGGCCAATATACATAGTGGTCAGACGGTACCCACTTCCTGGATTAACAGGGCCTAAAAAAGAGCTTGACACACTCACTCCTAAAAAACTTTCTAGCAAGAATGAAAGGATAAGCAAGTCTTGTTCTAGTTGAACTTAATATAAAGACTTTATTGAGGTGCAATGGTATGATTTTGCTCTGTGTACAAAGACAATGTTATCTCCAAAGTCAGGATATAGTGAATGAGAACATTCATGAACCAAAGATCTATCCGTGCTGAGTTATTCAGTGAGAAAATGCAACGCAATCTATTCTTGCCTATATTATTCTTTATCTAAAGATGGGAGATTTCTTCCATATTTCAAAAATATGCATACTTTTAGGATCACTTGAAAGTAAAAAGGATAATATCAACAAATGAAGGATTCTGTATAACACCGTAATTTATTGAAATACCTTTGATTGGCTACCAAATCACTACATCATACACTTATAACTTCTCATGGACTATAATATGAATGCAAAACTAATGACAATTAAGTCAGAGGAAGAAAAACATCACAAAATCTTTTTTATGATGCACATAAACATGCATCCAATGATCAGAAATTAATCAAATTGTATTGCTAGTGTAGATTACATAGTATATATCCACTGTATATAATAGGTAGTATAACTATATTTCACAATACACTACTGTTCTTGAGTGGTTCCCATTCCCAAAGGATTGAGATAGGAAAGTGCATTATATCCATTTTTTTCTCAGTCCATTTCATGTATTTAAGGGTACAATATTGATTAGAAAATCCTCTGGGAAATACTTCTGTCTTGTAAGACTGCAGGAGTAATTCTTGCTTATGTCTTTTCTGTGTATAGAAAGAAAAAGCAGAAAGAAAGCTCTTAAGGAACAAACAAATTATGGATAACTTCTAGAGTCACTATACTCTGTTAGATTAACAATCAACCCAAAAAAAAGACTAAGCGCTTTTGCCTGCCTTCACCAGAGCTTGAAAAAGGAAAAAAAAAACAAAAACGAAAAACAATCTGCACATGTTCCCGATCTTTACCATGTCTAGAGTAGTGTAGAATCTTTCACTGAAGTCAATAATGTTTGTAATATACTTCACCACAATGCATTCATGAAGAGAGAAGTAATGATCACCACTACTCAAACTTTTTGAGACTCAGGACCCCTTTACAAACTTAAATATTGAGAACTTAAAGAACTTTGTGTTTGGTTGGGGAGAGGTGTATCTCTATCTACTAATATTTAGTATTAGAAATGGAAATAGAAATTTTTAAAATATGCATTCATTAACTTGTTAAAATAGCCCTAATAAACCCATTACATGGAGCCATAAATAGCATATTATCTTTTTAAAGCTAAGTTTTCAAACAAATAAAAGGTAAAACATTGTTTACATTTTGCAAATCCTTTAGCTTTCAGGCTTAATAGAAGATGCTGGATTCTTACATCTGCTTCTGCATGAATTGTGATATCCCACGTAACATTCTACTTCATGTAGCCTGTTGAAAACTAAACCCTACATTAAAAGTAATAATAATACAAGAAAAAATGTGAATGACATCTTAGTAGTATTAGGAAAACAGTTTGGGCTTGGCCCAAAATCATATCATTGCACCTCAATAAAGTCTTTATATTATGTTCAACTAGAACAAGACTTGCTTATCCATTCATTCTTGCTAGAAAGTTTTTTGGGAGTGAGTGTGTCAAGCTCTTTTTTAGGCCCTGTTATTCCAGGAAGTGAGTACCATCTGAACACTATATATATTGGCCAGAGTGATATTATCTAAAACCAGTCCTTTTGAGTAAGTATACAATCTCCTTAACTTCCAAAGGTGTATTGAAAAACACTGAATGGAAATCTTCATTATTAACTTCACACACTAATTAGCAAGGCAAATGTTATAATGTAATAGAATATTTGTTTTCATAATAAATGGCATTGGTTGAAATCATACATAATTATATCTATGCACACACATGTGTATCACACATGCATATATGCCAAATTTAAGAAATGCTTTACTAGAAAATAAAGTTGATCTTTTAGCTGGCTCAAGGATTCTGGGAAAACAGAACTTAAAATTTTATATCATAGAAAATTAAAATTTAGCATATATGGGTTTGAGGAGAAATGAGAATAGTTATCAAAGTCTGGTTATATATCATGTCACCATTTGCTTTTTTCAGTAGTGTTATAATGAATAGATACCTGCAAAACATAAATAAATAGGTTACCATTTCTTTGAAATCTTGCTGTGTGTGAGTTACTCTGCTAAATATTTTACATTCTCTAACTAATGGAAATTTTACAACAGCTGCATGACATAGTATAATTATTATCTTTAAATTTGATATGGGGAAATTATCACACTGTCTAACATTCTCACGGTAAAAGAGTAAGTGCTATAGCTATTATTTGCCTCTGATCTGTCTGAATGCAGAGAATGAAATTTATCATCCCTCTTTGTCATATTTTCTCATCCCTACACTTGTCAAAAAATATAATATATATAAATTTAGTAGTTAGTAAAAATCTATACAAATATATTATTTTCTTTTTACACATAAAGCTAATGAATGTCCCCAATGAAAATGTGCATTGTGTCTTCAGTTTCCAACATCTCCATCATCAGGTCATTTATATTCCTCTTTGCTGAGGATAATCTTAATAAATTTATATGTGCACAATATCAAAGCAGCAAATTGAAAGAGAAACACATCAGGTCATATGTTCAGATCATAAATTCTGCTGCAAAAATTCTAAATAAAACTTTTGAGGAAGAAAATAATGCCTTGCAAAAATGTAAATGGCAAAATATCTAGTCTTATGAATGAGGAGGACTCGCAGAGACCATTAAAGGTAGTGGAAAAGTTTTATTTCATAAGCTGAGTTACCAGTATATAGGCATTTATTTTATAATCGCTATTTTAATTAATCTAGTTGTATTTAGTAATTTGTTGGCATTACTGTTTCATAAGCACTAAGAATTTATATTCTCATTGAAAACAGTCAAATAAAAAACTAAATCTTGACTAATAATATCTGTATTTCTTCAGTAACTTGTAACCTGAAAAGTAGTTTATGCTTTGTAAAAACGTTCATGTGTAATTCATATTTTAAAAGACAAGAAAATATGCTCTAGAACCTGAAAGAGTAATTTGGATGGATTAAGTGGTATTTAGTGGAAAATATAGCTCACAAATTCCACCAGTGCAACAAATCATAGTGGAATCCCACTGACTCTTTTCTGTGTAGAATATGGTAAAACAACCTAATAAAAGTATGCATAGTGGTAAGGGAAGGAAATATTTCAAGAAACATGACAAACAATCTGGACTTAAAGTAGTTGTCAGGCCCAAACACATTCAAATTCATAATTTTCGAACAGTATTTTGGCAAAGTTAAAGAAGGGTAGTCATATTCACTGAAAAATGTTAAGAGCTTAGTAATAAAAATCAAACATAGTATGTAACAGACACAAATGAAAATCAGACACCACATTATGGTTTTGTTATGTTCATAAGTTTCAACAACAGTATTCAGAAACCAATAATGTTAAATTGATAGTTATTTATATGTTAATGTTTACATGGAGGCTTTGCTGATACAAATCAAAAAGCTTTGGCATAAATACTTATGTGCTTTGTTTCGGCTTTCTCTTTTGTGCATGTAATATTTATATTCCTTTAAACACAACTATGATTATAAATAATAGCTGACAACTACTAAATTTTATTTTATATAAAACGTGACTTGAGTCTATTGCTTGCCACTTCTGCTTCTGTTCAGGAATATTCCGTCTTTATGCATTGCTCTCTGGAATTATAATGGATAATTAACTATTAAAGATTACATCTATTAAAATAGAAGTACTGAGAATTATTTATAAAATAATAAGATGTATCAAACAACCTGGAGTAATTTAAAGTGTATATGTATTATTATAAATAATTTCATGTGCTAAAAGAAAAATTGTATGCACACTATATATAAACATGAATAAAGTAATAGTTTAGTTTATATACATTTTTCTCTAAATCTTAGGAATATATGGATACATAGTTATATGGGAAAAATTGTTGACTATTTATTCCCTAGAAACATATAAGATGTAAGATTAAATATGACTGAAGTTCAATAAACACATATTTTTTACAAATCAACAAACTGTTTTTGTGATTCTCAATAGATGGAAAGCCCAGGCTGAATCTTCCAGGAGATCACAATTGAAAAAAATTAATAATGCTTAGAAAATTATTTTTTATTTAAATAAATTATCTTTCTCTTTACAGATGTTTTTAGAATGTAAACATTGTAAGAACAATGGTTTGATTTTCCAGTCAAGATTTTAATATTATTGCTGTCTTTTAAAGAGAACATGCTATCACTGAATTATGTAAGATATAATTATACTGAATAAATTTGACTGTGTAAACCAATATAACAGGTCAAAAGAGCTATATAGGCAAGGACCAGAAAAGGAAGGATTACAAGAGCTCAGGGCTGGCCACATTGGAACAGGGGAGAAGCAGAGGAAACAAAGAGAACAGGTGTTCATGAGTATGTGGAAGTTCCCTGGGCTCAGGCTTTGATTAACCTACACAGGTTTCAAACTAGCCTCCTGCACCCATTTAGACATGGATTTAGAAAGTGGGGGGAGATGAATTTCTGAGACACCACACATCCAGATCCGTAGTGTGAAAAAGAAAAGTATGATTTAAACATTAAATTAAGATTTTTCAGATACCTTAATTTGTTTTGAGGTATAGAAATAGACTTCCCAAATTGCCAATATTAAAACTAATATGTAAGACCTCTATTTAGAATTATTTTGACAAAAATTAGTTTAAGAAAATTTATATTCTACAAAATCTAGGGCATTTGGTCTTTTTCTTCCTAAAAATCTTTATATAAACCAAACTCCTGCAAAGAAATTAAACTTTTCCTAGTGAACTCTAATAAAAGTAGTAAAACAAATTTGATTCTTCAGAAAGTACTTTTACTCCTTAATCAACATGTACATTAAGTGGGGAAGGTATCCAAGATAATCTATGTATCAAGAGTTTATATCCCTATTTATAACTGTTTTAAACTATGAAACATTTATTTAATTATATTAAAGAAACCACTAAACTGCAGCACAGGAAGAATGAAGTGTAATGTCTGCATAATATCACAAAGTGGTGCGAGTATACAGTAAGGGTCCCATATGGTTTGCTTTATTAACATTACACAACTTCGAAAATTGGTCTCCTGCTAAAGATATGAGAGGCACTGAATTTTGGTTGTAAAGGTTTATGATAATTATATTTTGAACATTTAAATGTGTTTTTATTCCTAAGGTCTGGGAATTGGGAACATGTTCTATGTTTTTTATGAAGATGGAATCAAAGTGATACAACCCATAGAATGTGAATTTCAGAGGCACATTAAGCCTAGTGAAAAGCTCCTTGGATTTCAGGCAAGTATCTAAAAAGTTCCTTTGACGTTTTATGCAGAAATTTTGTTAAGTAGAATTACGTTTTGGAAATATAACAAAACCTATACATATATGAGACTCGTGTTGGAAGAAAATTATGAAACCCATGATATTCGGTGTTATTCTTTTTAGGTTTTATATCTGAGGAGGAAAATAATATATTATGTATTCCTAAGAATTTGCTAATATATTATGTATTCCTAAGAATTTGCTAAAATGAAGGTAAGAAAAGTGAAATACCAGGGATGAGCACGACCTGCAATAGCTTTGCCTGCTCTCCAATTTAGAATACCTCCTGTATTTGTAGGTTATATTTAAGAAAATAAAATAAAATATCCTGTACATAATCTGGTGGGAAGCTGGTGTATATTAGATGCTTTATAAATGTAAAACCACTTTTATTCTTCATCTCATTCTTCATGAGGTCTCATTGGAATGGACAATTCAGATAAATAAGGGAAAATATCAAATTTTTTCAAATCCTCATTTCAGCCTACCAGTAGGCAGTGTTGCTGTCATATACTAATACATGGAGACAATAATTTATACCTTAAATCTATGCCCTAGAATGAAAAAAAGGAAAAACATTATGAGAGGAGATAATGACCAGGAGGTCAGTTTCCTCCTGGATATTTTGTAGGACAAAGAAATCTAATGTCCTTTTATTTAAAAATATTTCAGCCATAGGCTAAATTATTAAGTAAAATTCTTACCATTTTGGTTAAGTTATAACTTAATTATACATGTAAAAAATCTTAAATTGCACATGGAATTTTATTTTATTTTATTTTATTTTAAGACAGAATCTTGCTCTGTCACCCAGACTGGAGTGCAATGGAGTGATCTCGGCTCACTGCAACCTCCGCCTCCTGGGTTCAAGCAATTATCCTGCCTCAGCCTCCCAAGTAGCTGGGATTACAGGCGCGTGCCTCCAAGCCCAGCTAATTTCTGTATTTTTCATAGAGACGTGGTGGTTTCACCATGTTGGCCAGGCTGATCTCGAACTCCTGACCTCGTGATGCACCCTCCTCGGCCTCGCAAAGTTCTGGGATTAGAGGCATGAGCCACTTCACTCGGCCCTATTTTCTTTTATAATCTTAAACGTTATCATTATTAAGTCAGTCTTTGAATAAGTTGTGTTTATGTGCATATATGTATGTAATACATAAGCACATGAATAAAAACAAATTATTGCTGATAAAAGAAATAATTTAAGCCACACTCATATTCTTACAAAAATATTCTGAATAAGAAATATGGACTAACATGCAGATATAGGTAGTGTGGTGTTCAATACAAATATTATTATTTAAATCAGAGCAAAATAATTTTATAGGAGAGTGTTTCTCTCTGATTTCTACAGGACTAGCAGTTTTGCAGCTAACGACACACATGTCTTGGCTATATCACAGAATTTGAAACTTCAATTACTAATACTAATAAGATAGGCTGTGAAATCCATACTCTTCATCACAAAACTATCACTTCAGGAATCTGATTTGCAAATTTAGAGACAAAGAATATTTTTCCTGCACCACATGTGTGCTATTTCAGGGTATCAGTAAATGCTTCATTACTATGTGACTCAAGTCTTAAAGAGCATGCTTTCCCAGAACATTTCTTGACAGCTCTGGGTGAGTTAATTTAATCACTTGGAATCTCAAGTTAAAAAAACAAGCAAAAATTTGATGTGACAGTTTTGCAACATGTCAGGGCAACAAGGATGTGAGCATTATTTACCTGCATTTCTCTCTCTTTAAAGCTTTATAATACTCAGATGTCCTCCTAAAACAACTAAAGAAAAACAATGTAGAATTGTGTATATTTATTTCTCTATGTATACACATATTATTTCTCTATGTATCCAATTAAATATGTATATTTATCTATGTATACATATATATGTATATGTATATATACATACATAGAGACATAGAGATGTAGGACAAAGCAATGTGATGTATCCAGGTCTCTATGTATACATATATGTTTATGTATGCATACATAGAGAAATAAATATACATAATATATTAATAGATACAGAGAAAAATTATATATGCAAACTATGTATAATTTTCTGATAAGAAATTAAATATTAAAGAGGAAATAGAAACCAAATATGAATGATGACAACTTTAACTTATTTTCTTCAAACAGTGAACCCTTATCCACAAACATACACCAACGGCGACAAAGTAGAGATAACTAGTTACTAATAACTAATCTGCTATATCAGATTTTTAAAGTCACAGCCCCTGGAAATCTACAGTCATATTGCATGTGAGATAAATATTATAGAATATGAAGTTATTCTAGAAACATATACTTCAACATAAAAATACATGCAAGGATAGAAAGTTTGCATTCTTATACTATATTAAAAAGTTTATAAAGGTTTCTGTACTCTTATGGAAGAGTAATAAAAGGATTAAAAAGAAAAGCCTGTTGCATTTTTAAGAAAGGAGAAAACTATCAAATAGTATTTTGGTTTTGAAAACATTTATGACATTTTTACTGCATTGGATGTTGAAATTAAAATACAGCTCAAAATTTAAGGTGACCAACATTTTGTAAAGAACTAAGAATAATATTTAAAAAGGGAATTGTTATAACTAATTTCCGCTTATGATTTTTAAATACAGAATATATGGAGAAACTCATGACATGAAAGATATTTCTTATGTAATTATTATATGCCACATATATGAAAAAAGGCTAGAGTAAATTAAACTCATTTTATATTACTCTGTCATTTTTCATTCCTTAATGTAAAATAAGCTTAAATAATTGGAATATATATACACAAATACTGTCATGTACATGCAAGTATACAGCAATAGAATGAGAAGCGCATTGATCATGTTATGCTTTGAGAATAAGTGTTGAACTAAATAATTTTTACATGAAGGTAATATTTTCTACATTTAAAAACAAGATAGATGGCAATTCAGAGTGTGGAAGCTATTTAGTGCTACATTCTCTTAATAATATATTTCTAATTCCAAAGTAATTTCGTGAGAAATTTGTTGAATATTATGCAATCAGAAAATATTTATCCAGAAAAACAGAATCAATAAGTTCTCCATTTCTATCTCTGTCTGTTCCTCTACTGCTACCACTACCTCTGTCGCCACGTTTCCCTCTATTTCTCTCTTTTGATCTCTATCTCTATCTCTATCTCTATCTCTATCTCTATCTCTATCTCTATCTTTTTCTCTATCTATCTCCTATATAGAGAGTTTTATTTTAAGGAATCGGCTCACACAACTGCAGGTGGGATATGTCAAGTCCAAAATTTGTAGGGTTTGCCAGGCAGCAGGAAATTCAGATAAGAGTTGATGTTGCAGTCCTAAGTCCAAAATCTACTGTTGAGGCCATCAGTCTGGAAACCTACACAGGAGTTGAAGTCGTAGTCTTGAATCTTAAATTCATAGAGCAGGCTGGAAACTCAAGCAGGATTTCTATGTTGAAGTCTTAAGGTAGAATTCCTTCTTTTTGAAAAAACCTTAGTCTTTGCTCTTAATTCCTTCAACTGATTAGAGGAAGCCCATAAACATTATGGAGGGTAATCTGTTTACTTAAAGTCAACTAATTATAAATGCTAATCACCTCACAAGCATCTTCACAGCAAAATCTAGACGAGTGTTTGACCAAACAACTGGGCACCATAGGCTAGCCATGCTGACATATAAATCAACCATCACATCTTCCTATCACTTGTAGTCAAGGATTAAGTTTGATTAGTGTTTGTATTCTCAACATGCTCGGTACAATGTCTTACATATGACAGGCCAAGAAACATTTGTTAAATGAATTTAACAAAAATTCCATTGCTTTGAGCCTTAGCTATTCATCGTTTTATGCATTCTCTAAGTTTAAAAATGTATACATCTAATTCTCTCTCCACCTTAGTATTTCTCCTTAATTTGCAATTGCCATGAAACAGTATTCTTCTTTCAATGTGTTTGTGAAAAATGTTTCATAGAGTAATTTATTATTGAATTGTTTCAGAGTGACTCTAACCTCATGGATCTATTAATTCAGGATTACACAGTGAAAAGTTCCTGTGTAAATGCACTGTATATGAGTTTTTAGTACAGAAAAAACGCTAATGTGTTTCATTTTAGAAGACAGATTTCCTGAGTACCAGTGGTGGAAATGAGTCTTTTGGAACCATTTTTCCCATGAAAAGGGATTAAATATGAATATAATATTTTTCAAATTCATGGTCGACATTAAGAGAGAGTAGTAGTATACTTCCCAATATAACTCATTGATCAGTAAAGTTTAGATAAGACCTGATATATTTAGAGTATAGAATCAAATCTCTCAGAAAATGGTATTTGCTTGCTGTAAATAAAAACTCAATTTTGGTGCAATGTCAGATTACATTAGGTTTCAGCTTTTGATAGTGAGTTGGTGAGGATATATACAACAAACTTTTAGCTATTTTTCATCTTTTATTCCATCTTGTTATGTAGCTTTACTAGATACGATTATTTCTATATTTATCCTAGTTGTACACATGATTTCATCTTGTCACCTGGAGTATGAACTTCAAGCAAATAGAATTCTATTTCAGACTTATGGATTCAGAAGTCAAACTGAAAAGGAGTTTGGAAAAATGTTTAAAATTACAGGCTCAAAAACAAGCTTTCCCAAGATTACCAACTTTGTCACTCTTCTGGTTTTCTACTACTGTTCCATCCTTATCTATCACTCTTTTATTCTTTGATACTTTTACATTCAGCCACCTTCTTTGCTTGTTATAGATCTAGCTGCTGCTTTTCACATATGCCATGGTATTACTTATTATTTAATGGGTCCTAAAATAACTTTAAAGAAAACCACGTGTCTTATTATGCATATGTCTTATATTGTGGAACCTGAAAGATCTATTACTTATCTGTTGTTGTTGTTGTTGTTTTGTTTTATTGAAACAGGATCTCACTCATTCGCCCAGGTTGGAGTGCAGTGGTGCATTCGTAGCTCACTGCAGTCTCAAGTTCCTGGGCTCAAGTGATCCTTCTACCTTAGCCTCATGGGTAGCTGAAATTACAAGTGCACACCACTGAATCTGATTAATTTTTTTCAATTTTTTGTAGAGACAGGGCCTCGCAAGGTTGCCCAGGCTAGTCTCTAATTCCTGGGCTCAAGAGATTCTCCTCACTTAACCTCTGAAGCTCTAGGATTATAGCCATGAGACACCTCAGCCAGCCTATTCCTGGTTTTAGTGCTAACTTAAATGATACTGAACTGTAGAACTGAACTCATTATACTTTATACAGGGAGTCTGATGTAAGTCTCCTCTAAAATGTCTGTTATCCAGGTTTGGCATTTCCACAAACCAAAATTATTTTACCTTTATAAACTACTGTTACCAGTCTGTTAGAAAAGAATTCTTGCTTAGGAACAGGTTGTTTGTAATGTCCAGAATACTTACGTTTCAAGAAATTGAAACTGAGATTAGAAATTGGGAAGCTCAATGGTCCACATTTCTTTCTCTGCTGTTGTTGTCCTTTATCTCAAACAAAGCAGCCTTCAGGGTGTTCATCAATTCCCTTGTTCTGTTTCTAGTCCACTTATACTTCTGCAAACTTGGTCCTCAAAAATAGTCATTTGAAATACCAGCCTCTTTACATGATGCAAACAATTCATTTCCCCATGAAGCCAGTGAGTAACCTTTTGAATACAACACCACTGTCTTTCAGAAAGGGAATCAAAATGTTTCCCCACTTATTTTTTTTTCTCAGGGTGTCTCTTTTCAAACATGGCTTAACTTACAGAGAGTTATACAGTGATAAAAATGTGAGCTTTATTCCCTTTGTGGTGACAATGATATCCTGCAAAGAGCTTCCTGAAGAGAGGAATGTAAACTACTTCTAACTATTCCTTAGAAGATTATTCTGTAGATTTAAAAAGAAATGAATTTAAGAAATCGGTGCTTGACATCGTAGATGTAAAGAGGTCTTATAAAGCTTCCTTAGTAATCACACTGTTTTATAATTCTCACTTCGTGTTTCTCTTAAGCTTTAATATGTAAGCCTAAAATTGGGGGTAACAACAGTGGAAAGCTTATAAATCTAATGGAGTTACATAGCATTATTAAGTGGGCCAAATAGCATATGAAGTCCTTTCAAGAGATTATCGATAACAAGTAGCCAAGGTGTTTGGATGAATACCATCAGAATGTTGTGTGTCTCAGATAATACATCGACAACATTTTTATATGACTAATAAGGGCTCACTTATACACATGTAAAAGTGCATTCCGCACGCTTTACAAATAAACGTGTTTAAGGTTATTTAGATTTTTCAACAGAAACTTCCTAAAGGTAAAATTGAAGATTTTGATGGAAAAAAATATTGATACAAATATATTTAAACATCAAAACATTTTACTTGAGATTTACAAAATCACACAAATCTATCATATTAGATGTGTCTTAAAGAATACTTAGTCTTTTCATCTAAGAT
The DNA here is from genome assembly GCF_000001405.40 of Homo sapiens. Taxonomy (NCBI): domain Eukaryota; kingdom Metazoa; phylum Chordata; class Mammalia; order Primates; family Hominidae; genus Homo; species Homo sapiens. The sequence continues at coordinate 161,493,520 of NC_000004.12, read as the reverse complement.
TTATTTTAACACAAAAAAGTACCTATCTTTTCAAGGTAATATATATTCACGGCAAATATAAAATAAAATAAAAGATTTTATTATAAAATATAGTAGATTATTCCTTCATGTCCCCCTATGTCTAGTTCCAGCTCATACAATCAATTGCTACATTTAGTCACTAAAAAAAGGTAGTTAGTGATGATATTTCTTGTATTATCAATATTAAATATTATCTGTTCGTGTTCTTCTATGAGAGACAATAATTTTGCTTATACAATTCTAATAACTTTTTCTTTCTAAATATATTGAAATATATATAATTATTTTGCATACTCATGGATTAGATTTACAATTTTAATGATTAAATCTTTATCTTTTATTTTTCTCAACATTTCTAAAACTTTTCATTTAACTATAAGTTTCTGAACACTGGCTTAATTTCTCATTGTTTACTTTTGATATTTCAACAATAGTTCTCACAATTTCAATTTAACAGTGAAGACATCCATTTCTTTAAATTTTTTTCCATATTTTAAAAAAGTCACAAATATCAGTTTGGAGGTGGTGAGGGAAGGACAACATACTACAGGAAATAGTGTTTCAATTTTATTTTACTAAATGTTTGTATTGGTAAATATTAAAAATTAACTCTTCAGTATTTAAAAATATATTTACATTCTCCATGTACTATATAATTATTTTATATACCATGTTGTCCACATGGAAATTAAGAAAGAATTATATAATAAGAATTACAATGAAAATAGCTTAAACTTCAAAATTATCATTCGTATTTTAAGTACTTAAGCTACCGACTTATTGCCCATTACAACTCGTTTTTTCTATGTTAGTCATTTATTTTCAAAATGTTGTTGATTCAATTTTAGAAGACATATGATGGGTTGTTTGGCAAATTAGTGGCAGAGTCAATATTTCTCTAGAACTTGCCAAACAACAACATAGTTGTACCATGAGCTATGCTATCTACCTATTTTTTAATTTTAGAAAACAATAGAATTAAAGCAGCTGCTGTTTTCATGTAAATACATATTACATTTATATGCATATATACATGTTAACAGAAAGTTATACTAAAAGTTAATAATAGACATACATAACATTTATGTTTCTGGCTATATTTTAAAATAAACATTTCATGGTATACCTCTACAGTAGTTTACAGATGAGATCTAAATTTGACCCATTTAATATTGACTTCCAAACTATCACTCGTGCACTGAGGTTTGTTTACTAGTTTATCCATATTTGGAATTTGCTTTGTGTCAAGCATTGTGATAGGCAGGGGAGAGAAAATTATAACATAACAGATACATAAATTTTAAGCACACTCAAGTGTAATGGTTGCCCTTGTAGACAGATGTACACTGAGGACACAAAAAAGGAAATAATACTACTGAATTTCTCCTAATTTAAATATTTTTCAAAAGATCAGGAAACTAGGCTGTTTTAAAGATATAGAAGGATAAAATGGAGATGAAATTGACATGTGGCTGCATATTGTATAATCCTATTATAAATCTCATTTGTACAGCTTTAAAGAAAATGTAACATAAAACACATTTGAAGGGTGCAACTACTGGCAGCAGAACTATATTGCCTGAAAACTCTACCAAGGTGTTTCTGCTGGAATGGGGAATGGGACCTATTTGCTGGCTCTCTCTCTTTTTTTTTTTTTTTTGAGACAGAGTCTCCTTCTGTTGCCCAGGCTGGATTTCAGTGGCATGTTCTCAACTCACTGCAACCTCTGCCTCTGGGGCTTAAGCCAGTCTCCTGCCTCAGCTCTGCAGTAGCTGGGATTACAAGGGCGTGCCACCACGCCCAGCTAATTTTTGTATTTTTAGTAGAGACGGGGTTTCAGCATGTTGACCAGGCGGGTCTTGAACTCCTGACCTCAGGTGATTTGCCCACCACAGTTTCCCAAAGTGCTGGGGTTACAGGCATGAGCCACCATGCCCAGCCTGTTGGCTGTCTCCTAAGTGTTATTGCTTCCATCCTGAAAAAGAAGCGATCAGTTCTATCCCATCTCTATTTTAAAGTGAAAAATTAGCTCCTTATGATAGGAGCAAAGGAGAATGAGATTATATGTTTAAAAATCTATGTATCTAGTATCATTTACATTCAAAACTTAACTCTGTAATCTGTGATTTTCACTAAACAGTAGGTAATATAATTTCACAAAAGATATCTAATAGCCGATAGCTCCCTTTTGAACTTATTTGAAAAATTAAAAGATAGAATTAAATAATAGCATACTGATTATATAATCTGTATATATTTCTAACGGTGGACCTTGAACTAAATCACCGGCTCAGGTTTTGTGAATTCTCAATATTGTTTTCAAGTTCTTACTCTGAAAAATTTTCCTAAAATGGATAATGTGGCCTGGAACCCTATTTAAATTTTTAGTAAAAAAGAGCCCAGATGAAATGTAATATTTTATAAAATATGATAATAAATATATAGTTATAAATGTAATGGACAAAGATAACGTGCCTTTTATTTCTGTTTTCATGTAAAATGAAGGTAGGTACAGAGCTAAAGTCTTTAAGTAACACTTATTTCTAAAGATTTAAAAAGATTTTTTTAAAAAACAAATCTTTTTTATGGTTTTCCTTTAATTGATAAAACATAGCAATGGTATACATGTATAACAATTCTTTGTCCAATATTATTTTACCACATAACTGTAAGAAATCAAATGCGAAGCTCTTTGTAGTCATTCTTATGTAGAACAAATTTATGTGTGAATTACAGTAATGCTTAAAAATTAAACACATATAATTATCTCTGTAAAACATTTATAGTTTTTAAAGATAAATTGATTGCATTTCAGAGTAATTTTTTCAGTCAATAGTAGTCTTGTAAACCTGTTAAGCCTTTGTTCCATATAAGGCACTTCTGTGCTAGACAATATGGAAAGATGCAAGAACTAAGCACCATCTGTATTGTAAGATTATGTGCCACAGGAAAAAAAAAAGTTTTATTCCTAAGTGATATACTGTACTGAATCAAATGTGGATAATCCAGCAGTCACAAAATCCACCTGATTTATCCTTCCATGTCAACATTTTTTAGTTAGTAGGCAGAGTGAGATAATCACAGGGAAAGGCTACATATGCATATCTAGAAAAGTAATTAATAAAACCTGTCTCACTCTTCAACTAAGGTTTCCAAAAATAGAAATTGTACAACATGTGTTATCAGAACTCATGTGTCATTACTAAAAGGAGAGAGAAACATTTAAGGGGGAGAAAGGAGAACTTGTATTATATCGGATGTTCCATCTTCAAACTGTATGATGCTTTTCCTTAAAAGTTTGTTTTCGATTTTTTATGGATTTGTAATGACAAGAAATAATGAAATTTATTCCACAATAATATTAGAAATTCAGAGGATCAGAGTGAATTAAATCCAACTAGAATTCATATAAAATGTCTTTTAATAACTAGAATTTTTATTTCAACAGAATTCATGTCTCTGTTTTCCACTTATATGAATAAAGCAAATATAATGCAGATTTTGAAATAAAAAATACCCACTAAATGAAAAATCAGGCTGCGAAAATGAATTCTACAAGATAGGACTGAAGTACAAAAAAAATTCTGCATTTTAATTCCTGCAGCCATGTTTTAAAAGCTGCATTAACAAAGTATCCTAAACTCCCTCTTTTCAAAGTTTAATGAAAAGGTTGAATATCTATTGTCAGGAAAATTGTACAGAAAGGTGTACTTTGGGCATTTAAAACAAATATTTTATTGATTTTTCAATGATAAGAATTTATTAATCAATAGTTGGGGGTCAGTTAACTTCATGTGTTATGTGGTAATTATTTTCTTTAGTTTTAATTTTTTTCCCTCACTAACCAATCTACTAATTGTGCTGTGTGCCACAAGTTAAAGAAAGAAAATCACTGCTCCTATACAATTCAAAACTGAGGAAAGTTTAAACACATCTAATTCTTTGATTCCAACTTATCCATACTAGGTTTAAATTAGTTTCATCCATAAACCCTCATTGTTCATACAATTTGCAATTACTGATATACATCTAGTAGTTGTCCTATTTCTTTAATGCTTTAATATTGGCTTTCAATTCCAACACCTTTTTGTCAAGCTCTATTTTCTATTTTTTGGACCTAACTCTAGACCTTTTCTTGATATTTAATTTGCTTTCCCTACTATTCAAATGTTTACCTTTCCCAACAGACATTAAGTGCCTGCCTCTCCTGTTCTCAGTGTCTAATGGCCCCTGGACCTTCCCCCTAGCCAGGATTTCAGCTCCTTTACAGTAACTGTAAAAGCCAGGAAAGCAATCATCTAGTCCTGCATTCAAGAAGCATCTAGAATTTGGTTTTTATGTTCTGTAAGCATTTGAAATTTAACACCCTACAGTTGTGTCTTTTTAAACCAGCTTTTCTCATCTAATTCAATATTTTTAAAAACCACTATAACATTTTACATTTAAGCAGAGTTAAAATAATTCAAATAATTTTTTTCATCAAAAAAATTGACAAACCTCTGATTTAATCCTCTCGATTTTCAGGTAAAGAAATGAGAAAGATCAAGTGATTTGCTCAGTCACGGGACTGCCAAACGCCAGATAGAGAGAATAAAATTCTCCTTGCCCTATATGCAATAATCATGCCACATTTAAAGTAGCTCTCTGAATCTCTTGAACATGCACAGCAAACTTCCTTCCAAAACATTTGGTAGAATTTAAAAAAAAGTTTGCATCAAAAACATGTAGACTGTTATAATTTTTGTCAAATGTAGTACATCGATAATTTCCTAGATGAAAATAAGTGGTAACTTTTATTGATCACTTCACCTTTTCAAATATGATTTTATTTACTTCTCACAATAACGCCATGTGATAGGTAATATCATTATACCCAATTTACCAATGAGTTAACAAGCCTCAACAGGTCTACTTGCACAGATAATATAAGTGCACCCTTGGACACTACATTGAGGTCTCTTTGTCCTCAAAGCCTGTTTTTTTTAACCTCTCTAATACACTATTTATAAAGAGAAAACAATGCTCAGCTTATGATAGCATAGTGTCATAAGCTTTGTTTTTATTGTATAGCTGAAAGACATAATATATTAAAAGAAAGCATAAAAATTTCTGTAATGTAGCCTTTGGACCTTTGATATCCTAAAGCAAAACCATGCTACCTAACAGTGTGTCAATGTGGCACAAATTAGGCAAATAGAGCCCCCACGTTACCATGACTACCTATGTTCTGACTAATATGAGAAAGACTACTTATGATATTTATAAATGAAATCGGAAATTGAATGGGATAAATTTAATATATCTCAGTTTAGAAAAAAAGTATTGCTTTGGTTATAAGCAGTAATCTCAGTTAAAACTTATGAAAGTATTTTATCCTCAGTGCTTTAAAAAATGGTCAAATTTGGAGGCTATTCAATGCTACCAAATCATTTAATGTATTTTTGTAAGATTTTTTTCCAATATTGCAAAGCAATATTGAAGGGAACTTTATATCTAGCATATTCACAAATAGCTCAGACTTGATCATGTGTGTATAGAGATAAATATTTCTACATGACTGTAAATATATCCTAGGAATCTAAACCTGAATATTCTAATTCAGTACAAAAGTAACTGTGTTGTATTTGCCTTGATTTATGACAAACTGAATAAATCCTCATTCAGAATAATTATTTATATTCCTTGCATTTGATAAACTGAACATTATATCTCCAAGTATTTTATTATTCACTTTTAAAATTTACAGCAATAGACTCAGATTGTGACAGGTTCGGTTAAAAATACATACTTAAAAGAAAGAAATACTGAAAGAGAGAGAGAGCGCTAGAATAAAAAAGCATGAAATCAGTGCTTCCTAAACTCTGTGGGAGAAAAAAAAATCACTGATTTTTGCTCATTCTGTTTTTCTCTTGTAAAACCAGTAGGTAGTTTTCACTACATGAAATCCTCCAGGCAAATTTGACAATACCCAAACTGGTTTAAATACTGTTAAAGTAGATAGGTCTACTGATCACATACAGGGATATTATGGCAATGTCAAATTGCTATAAAAGTTTCTAAATGGTTATTTTCAATTTCTATGGAATCCTCAGCTTGGTAGCAAATTGTATGCCAACTGGCAGCAGTTTACAGACCACATTTTGATTAGTACTACTCTAGAATTCAGTTTCTCAATGATTCTGCATGACATTGCATAGTGTTTAACATCGTGATTGAGTAACATACACCACTTCTTGACTATTTTTTCTTTTTGGCTATTATAAGTGATATTTAAACACGTATTTACTAAGCAAATATTGCACCTTCAGCATTATGTTTGGGAAATGTAGAAATACTGGAATAGCAAAGGCTAACATTTTAATTGGAAATATAATATATGATTCATTGCCAAATTATATGTCACAAAATAAAAATTCTGTGAAAATTCAGACAAGAAAAAAATCAGTGAAACACCTCAAAGTTAGGAATGAATTATGTAGGTGTTGGAAATTTGGCTGCCAAATATAGATTGAAAATAATTTGACAAAGTATTTTGGGGTGCTTTTCAATAGCTGTGGAAAATCTTTTCTTTTCATGAAATATTAAGTAGAGTGCTCTAGCTAATGGACAGGACATTTGTTGATAAACAATGGATATAAAAGTTATACATTTGTAATTAATTAATTAAAATTCATACCAAAATGTATTAATTATTTTTTTACAAAAGAGGGGGCACTAGGAAAGAGTAATTAAAAGAAACTCTGAAGAAAACAGAAGACTGTGTTGACGGTTGTATTTCCTATGATGCAATCTTATACATTATTTGTGGCAGGAAGGAGCAGAGAGAGTGGTTAATTTACACACATTGGCAGCCCAGAGAACATCCCAATTCAATTTTCAGTTACAACAAGTGGGTAGGGACTCTCTGCCTGTCTTAGGAACCTGATTGGTAGAGAAGCATAAAAGTAAAACAATGCAAAACTACTAAAATATGTTTATTTTTCATAACTACTAACTAGATCAGTGAGAGACCCAGGCCTGCAGTGTTTCCACAAGTTTTCAGACTTACATGCCTTTATTTAATGATATATTAAGACACCAAACCCTCTCTCCCCTCCTTTGTCTCAACATCTGTTTTCTTTCAGTACTTGTCTAGCAGTGTCTGCCTAAGAAACATGGGTGAATCTCCAAGGCTCCCTATTTTGGAACCCAAGTTGGATGTATACATGTTAGGCCACCTTATTTATCACATTTGTATTTCTGTGTTCTTCATAATACCAGCGACAGTTTGTTTTTATTCACATAAATTACAGAATGCATTGTAATCCAAATTACGCAGAGAACCAGATATTTACTTTTTTTTTTTTTTTTTTTTTTGAGACGGAGTCTTACTCTGTCGCCAAGGCTGTACTGCAGTGCTGCGATCTCGGCTCACTGCAACCTCTGCCTCCTGGGTTCAAGCCATTCTCCTGCCTCAGCCTCCTGAGTGCCTGGGATTACAGGCGTGCACCACCGTGCCTGGCTAATTTTTGTATTTCCATTTTTGGTAGAGATGGGGTTTCACCATGTTGGCTAGGCTGGTCTTGAACTCCTGAACTCAAGTGATCCACCTGCCTTGGCCTCCCAAAGTGCTGTGATTACAGGTGTAAGCTGCTGCGCCCGGCCTCATTAGCATTTAATTAATGGCTCTTTCAGTGCTTTAGTTTCACATCTTCCAAAGTCCATACGTTTACTCTTTTTTTTCTAAAAGACAAGATATTTGACATATAAACTATACTTATGTTCAATATATGTTTGGAATATTTTTATTATGAATTTTACTTTGTTATGTTACTATTCAATAGTCTCCTGTTGTATAGAACTACTCAGTTTTTTTAAACTTTTGTAATACAAATCACTTTCTTCGTGTTCACGTATGCAAATATTTCATTCTTTCTTTGGTTTATTTATTTCATTAAGTTTTGGATCAACTTTAATGCTTCCTTTAAGATAGTATACTTTTTTGTTCTATATTATCTCTCTCTTTGAAACTGCCTGTTCAACAATTTTCCTAGAAGGTGACAGCGGAGGAAAGCCTGGTGAATGACAAAGCCATAGATTAGTGTCTGGTTGTTACCTGACCATGATAGTAATTAGGCAATCAGAATGGATGAGTTTTCAGAGGAATTTAATGTAAAAGAATTACAGCAGAAAACTAAAGTCTGAGCCTTGGCTTTTCTGAAGCCACATCCAGGGAACTGAAGATAAAGGAGCTGCCACAGGCAGAAATAATTTAAATAATAGGACAAAAATGATAATTAAGGTCAGAATGTACACTAACATGGGATCAGCAACACTTTTTTTCTGCAAATGGCCAGGTAGTAAGTAAATATCTTAGACTTTTCAGTTCATATGTCTGTCATTATAACATGAAAGATGCCATAATATTTAAATGAATAGTTGTAGTTGGGTTACAACACCTTCATTTCTGTAAATTTGAATCTCATATAATGTTTACTTGTCATGAAATTGTACTCCTTTTTCTTATTTTTTTCCAACCATTAAAAGATAAGAAAACATTCCTAGTTTCTGGATCATATCAAATTAGGCAGTGGGCCAAATTTGGCCTGGGGGACCATTATTTGCCAATCTCTGCCTTGCAAGAATGAAAGAACCTTTTATGACAAATCAAGTGTCTAAAACAGCTAAATGCGGCAGAAATTACAGGCAACTTGAAAGCAAGCGTTCTCTCCTATTCATGTTTTTAATTTTCAAACATAGCTTTGCACAATATTCTTCACATAGTAAGCTCTCAATAAATGCTTTCCAATGAGAAATAAAGGATAATAATTAGAAATTCTGAGGCCACTGGTGACCTTGAAAATATATCTTTTAAAAGAGATGATGTCATGAAAGCCAATGTGAAGCATGGTTAGTTTAGAGCGAAAGGTTGGGAAATGGAAGTAATGTTCCAGAAAGCTTGCTCAAAAGTCTGAAGATAATTAGATGGATGATTGAAATGGAAATATTAATTCAATTGAAACTGTTTTATGAAGTGTTTCTTAAATTTATGGGGCAATGTGAATGTTTGAATACTTGAATAGTTAAAATTATAAGAAAAATTGAGGGCAGATATTTCTGAAAGTAAGGAGTAGTGGACACATCTTTTAGATAGAAGGATGAGAGGAGGTAGTCCTGACAGCAACTTATTGAGGTGAAAGCAAGGAGAATAGACATGTTTGTGAGAAATATCTGTCTTTAGGAATGATGCCGGATGACCTGAGAAGGAGAATAAGAAAAAGAAGGAAGGAAAGATTGGAATTTAAAGATTTTAGGGCAAAGTATTTTTAATAGGTAATTAGTCTAATAAATGAAAATGGCAACATCCTAGTAGAAGACAAGTGTATATATGATTCTGTTTGATTTACTTTGGCTTAGCAAATCAGATATGAGTAACATTATTTAAATTGCTAATTAAAATTTATACCATCAGTAGTGATATAACTTGTACTCCTTAACATTTTGGGAAAGTATAATACATATGTAGGAAATATGTGATTAAATATGGAAAAGATCCAAAAGAAATAAATTCTAATTATAAATTAGAATTGTCTTTTCCAGGACTCTCATCTCCATTAGTTTAATATCTTATTTATTCTGTTCACTCTAAATGTTAGTATACATTTCTGTAAAAGCGATTTAATAATACTCTTTGATATAATCCCTGGCAGCTTTCTTCATCAGTATGTATTATCTTAATCTTATTTTTCATCTCTGGATTCTGTGTCTCCTTTTTGGCCCATTAAATCTCTAATTCATGCTTAAAAACATTCCTCTACTATTTTTCTTCCATAGAAATCAATGTTAATCTGAGAAAATAAAAGAGTGCTATTGTAAAGTGAGAAATAATATAATATAATCAGAAATAATAGCATAAACCAAAGCAAAGAAAATCCAGGATGACTGTCAGGAAACTTTTAATGGCTTTGTAAAAATGCTTGTAAGTCTGGTCAAGGATGTCTTATAGGGACAGCATCCAAACAGAAAATAATTTCCAGCAGAGCAGTTTATTTTACTGTTGAATAGTTCTGTAGCAAACAAAGGGGTGGAAATCTTTCGTGTTTCAGCAGTTGTTTGGCTGACAGTTATTTGTCAGGTCACTCACACTTTTCATTACTTTGGCAGGTTTTACGCAATGGCGAAGAATTTGTAAACAATTTCCCTGTATTCAGAGCCTTTCACCAACCTTAGTTCCCACTTTTTTCCCACTTCTTCATGCCTCTCAAGTACATATTTTATCGAGTGTTTGTTTCTCGCAAAATAGATTCTTGTCCTTGACATTCAGTATATTTCTGAAGAAAAGGTTGACTTAGAAAACAGTGTGTCAGTAGGAATTGGTGAATGAAAGTGTAATACTGCATTCTAAGCATGTAGTGAAGACAGACTTCTGCCTTTGGGCTGCCTCCTTAAGAGTGCCAAGGACTTTACTCAGGTTGACCTCCCGAGTAGTCACCTGTAATGGCCATGGTACATAGAATTAATTTCATAACTCCAGGACTACCTGAAACACCATACATCTCATGCTTCATTTTCAGACTTTCCGCTTATGTCTTAGAAGCTTAGAACAATCTGTGCTGTTTAGAAGAGAACACTATTGTTTCATGTTCCTAAACCATGCAATACTGAACCAGATCTTAAAAATTAATGGACACTCCAGAGCCTTCCTGAATTAGATCTGACATTTGGAGAACATAAACAGCAGGCCACACACTGGATGTCTCATTGCAAAGTGCTTTGCTATTTACATTAATTTCCAAATTTTATGCAAAAAGGAAAACCACCTATGATGGTTATGCAGCCTGAGAAAGGTTACATTTTTAGTTGTTCAATGTGGTTACTCAATGTCAAATGTGGTATATCTGCCATCAGTATTATCTTTAAAAATAAACGCTTGGTGATAGTGATGATGAAAGTGTGGTTGATTTTTGTCTTATGAGTATTAAATACATATGAATGGTATCTCTGCTGAAAAACTAATGGTTTTATATAGATTAGAAAAAATAGTGTTCTAAATTAGCTTAGAGATAACAACTGGAGTATACAAATAAATGAAATTAGACGTTGTTAATTGTCAGACAAAAAATCAAATGAAATACTGGAATAATTGTTTATCATTACATTATTATTATGTAAATAACATTTTTACTGCACATAATTTTTTTTTTTGAGACGGAGTCTCGCTCTGTCACCCAGGCTGGAGTGCAGTGGCGCGATCTTGGCTCACTGCAAGATCTGCCTCCTGGATTCACACCATTCTCCTGCCTCGGCCTCCCAAGTAACTGGGACTACAGGTGCCCACCACCACGCCCAGCTAATTTTTTTGTATTTTTAGTAGAGATGGGTTTTCACCATGTTAGCCAGGATCGATCTCCTGACCTCGTGATCCATCTGCCTTGGCCTCCCAAAGTGCTGGGATTACAGGCGTGAGCCACCACGCCCGGCCTGCACATACATTTTATGTACATTTTAACCAGTCTCTCTTATTAGTGGTTTTCCTAACTGTAATGGAACAGTGAATAAAAGAAAACGTGAAAACATTTCATACGCTTTTACTTATGCTGTGACTCCCAGGATAAATCACAAGGGCTTGCATATCTCCTCCACAATCATTTTTTGACAATATGAAGGAAAAGAGGAAATAGAGGGGCTTTCTTGGCCTCATTTATGGTCATCTAACACAAAGTATGCAGTCTTCAACCAGAAGGCAGTTCTAAGGTAAGGAAGCAGAATAAGAAGCTTTGGGAATATTGAAAGATTTTATACAATTTGACCTTGATTGAAAAATAAAATAACCATTGTGAATAACTATCTTATTATAATTTATTTAAGCCTCTGATTTATTACAAATTAAAAGAACCCTGCAGTCTTTTCCACAAGATTACATGACTCTTAACAAAACTATGAATTTGCCATGAGGACAGCCACCAATGTTGTGTAAAACTCGGAATATACTTTAGTGTGACATTTATTCTGTTAAAGAACCTTGAGACTGAGAAAATTTGAGGAAAGATGTTGGACTTTCTGAAGTTGCTGAGTTATAACCAAGTAGGAAAAAAAATGAAAGAACTACATTTTACTAGAAAAATAAGTAATTAAGAACATAAAATTTATTTTAAAGGAATCTCATTTACATTGCTTTCTATACATATTTAATGAACTGAAATATGTTCTATTAATTAAACTTTATATATATATATTTAACATTTGATGCTGAAAGTAGTAAAGTATGAAACATTAATTTTACCCATGATATTGTCAGGCATGTGTTATAATTTAAGGTATAAATTTCATTTTCTCTTTCCTAAATTACAGGATGAAGTCTGTCCCAAAGCTGAGGGAGATGAAGTTCAGAGGTGTGTGTGGGCATCAGCTGTTAATGTCAAAGACAAGTTCATTTATGTTGCACAGCCAACTTTGGACAGAGTCCTTATTGTTGATGTGCAGTCCCAAAAAGTTGTTCAGGTATGAATAATTACTACTTTTTAAAAAGTAAATCTTTAAAAAATATTTATATCATTGTAGTAATCTTTACCAGGTAACTTGATTGTCACTGATAATGTGTTTCCTTACTTGGATAACTAGAAAATTTATGCATTTTCTGCAAACTCTTCTCTCATTCTGTTCCTTAAGCCTAATGAATTCAGGAGATAATTTAATTTTTTTGTTTTCAAAAATTAGATCCATGAACACTTTGTAATATTAACCTGCCTAGCTCCACACAAATCTCCCTCCCAGCTGCTTATTCTGTCTAGAGCAAGGAAGGCACAGTCGGAGCAGGCAGAGGCCAATTAAGACATTCCTGCTTATCATTACAGAACCGGAATTGAGGTCTCCTTATTTTATTCTTAACAAAGACCAAGACAATTGTAGGCTTCACTAGATGACAGTAACCTAGTAGAATTTGCTAGGTAGTAGTAAAATAAATAATATGTAAGTAGGTTAGAGATAGAGAAAGCAATCTCTAATAAACATTGTCATCGTCATGCTTTCACAGTTCTCTGAATTCATACTTCAAGTTTGAGCCACTGACTGCTGCAGCCCATGCTCTTTACCTGAAATCAGTTGCACAACAACCAAGGTGAAGTACAGGGTTGGTGTCCAGTCAGTCTGGCATTAGAGTCTACTCCCTTAATTTTTTTCATCTTTTGCTTCTCAGCTCAGAGGAAATTAAGTTAACTAGCTTTATGAGATATGTATAATCTGTCAAATGGGAATAATAAATATATGTATCTTACGAAGTTATTTTAAGAATTAGATGAATAATGCATGTAAAGCATTTATAGTAGACCCTGGCATGTGGAAGTGCTATATGCCCGTTTCCTATCAAAATTTCTGGGGAAACTGGACCCAAAACATTCTTTTCATTTACAGAGAATGTTTTCAGTCAATATTGGTTTGAAATTAACCCTCTAATTTTGATTTCTGTCTAGCACTACAAAAAGTGTTAAGATGTTCAAAGTAGGACTACACATTCTAAAAGTGATTAACAACTTCACATGGATCCATTCATTCATCCATCCATCCATCCATCCATCCATTCACTCACCCATGTAGCATTTCATCCATATATTCTGTACTTATTTAACAAATGCTTATTTTGTGTTTCTTATTTCACAAATACAAACATGAAAAACATTTCTTCTATGAAGAGCTGGCACTTCCAGGTTTATAAATTGACAGTGAATAACTGGCCTAATGTTTCAATTTCTAATATGAGAATGAGCAGTACAACCATGAGTAAAAGGAAGAAGTTATTCTAATAGAAAACCCTAAGGCCCTGAGGTTACACATTTTTTATGAATATACAATCTAATGGTCTGATATTTATTGTGAGAAAAAATTTTGCTGTATATTTCACTTCTTTTGTTTCCGATTTTTGAGACTGTTGGATTTTGACTAGATTGGCTTTTTATTTCAGCTGCAACATAGGCCAACACAAATGACAAGCATTCATTTTGGGATTATCAAAACTCCTTGCTGGTGGATTAAAATTGGAAATATATTTTAGAAATAACCAGGCTGGTTTTTAAATTGAGTTTTCAAACTAGAGAACTATACTCTCTGAATATAAATTATCTAAGTGATGTTCAAAAGTGGAAAGAGCTAACATCACTTATTATTCATATAATTCCACCTTCAAATAATGGTGAAACATTTAAAATTAATAGAAAATATTAATAATAAAATGTTCAAGTGATATGGTAATAATTACATAAACTGTATTATTTTTCAAAATGCCTATTATTATGAAATACTAAGGGAACTTAAAAGACTTCACAAATTGCTAAAGCAGATAATAATATGATACAATCATGATTGTGGAGATTTTTCAACTTAGTATCTAAACACATTTTTATAGGTTGATAAATTGGGGCACAGTCCAAATGCATTCTCCTTATGACCATGTTATTATAATAATAATTATTTGTATTACTCCTTCTAGATACTACCTATTTGAAGGAAATTATTGTGTAGATTTCTATTACCACATGTAACTACTGACTGATTTTGAGCATAAATGGATATGTATGATATTCACAATCTGAATCTGGCTATTTGTGCTTTACATGATGATTGCAAGATCATTTTGTTTGTAGCTGTTGCTAGGGTAATTCTTTCTTTTATTGCTGTGGAGAAACTGATTACAGTTGATTCTCATTGTGGATTCTGTATTTGTAGTTACCTACTTGCTTAAATTTATTTATAACCATGGCATTTTATGGTCATTTGTGGGCATACCTAGATGTGAAAACTTTTTTATTAGTAAATATACACATGCCTCTGTGTATTTGAACAAGAAGATATTCTGCCTTCTTGTTTCAACTTTCATACTATAAATGAATATTCTTTCCATGTTCAATTTAACACCTTTAAAAAAAAATCGGTGATTTTGACAATTTTGCTGTTTAAAATGTCCTCCACACATAGTGTTGAAGTGCTGTCTAGAGTTCCCAAGTACAAGAAGGTTGTGATGCACCTAACAGTAAGTTTTGTTAAGGCATGAGTTGTAATGCTGTTGGCCATGAGTTCCATCTTCATCAGTTAACAATGTATATTAAATAAGGTGTCTTTAGACATATACATACATAAAGCAAGGTGATGTATTGATTGGTTGATTAAAATATTATGAACAAAAGCTCAACAGATCATAACTTTTCACTTCCTTTATGAAATCAGTATTCAGTAATTTGGTGTTAGTGATGATTTATAGAGGAACTATCATCAATAAGTATAATTTACTATATTTGAGTATCAGAATTGTATTTATACATTCTACTGCTAACAGACATTTAAAGTGTATTTAAATTTGTACTATGGTGAATAATACTACTTGCTACAATTTTGTACACTTTATTTCTGTGTGCAAAATATGCAATTCTTTTGGTATATACATATATGAGTTGAAAAGTGAGACCGAATATTACATGTGAGTTTATGTGTGTGTATGCATATGAAGCTATCCAAGGTGCATCATTTTCCAAATTATTATATTATATTTAACTTCCAAAAATAGCATATGTGACTATCAGTAGTGAATTTCTATACATTCCTGCTAAGTTTTTAACTAATACTACATTTAATCTACTGATGAAATTAGAGAGAGGCAAAATGTATACACTATTGAGACTTTTTCTATATTTCTACATTGATGATCATTTTGTTTATTATTTTACTTTCAAGTTTTATACTAACCCTGTATTTCTTGAATAAGTTCCTAAAATTGAAAAAGCCAAAATATATCTTCTAAAAATTAAAAGTGAATTATTAAAATTAAAATTGATATGTATATGTTAAATAATAGTTTAAATAAAAGAGGAGGATGATTAAATAAGTTCAGAGATAGACCTGAATTATAAATAATGGAGTCAATCAAATAATGCAGTGTATTTAGGAAAAGAGAAGGAAAATATAAATGAAAAATTAAGATATAAAGTCAGGACTAACATATATGCAACAATATTTCCTAAAGTAGACAATAGAAAGAGAAGGGAGAAGTTAATATTTTGGTCAAAATGAATAATAATTGCATAAAGTGTAATAAACTATAATAATTAATAATTTATATAATATAAAACAATATAGAATCACTTATGTAAACCCTCAGATTTAAGATGACAATGAAACTCAAATGGAAAAAAATATATATACTTTAAAAAGGCAGTAATTTATCTGCCTTTTTAAGATCTTCCTTTTGCCTTTTGGTTGTGTCACTTCAAAGAGGAAGATCTTAAAAAGGCAGATAAATTACTATGAGATGGTAGCAAATTTCTCAGTAGAAATGATGAATATCAAAATAAAGTAAAATATTACAAAAAGACTAAGTGGAAATTTAAAAAATAATTATAAAACTAGGGCACGATTTGTTTATTGTGTCAGACACACAAAACATATACTTTATCACCAATGTAAATGGAAACAACATGGAAACAAATTGTTTACTTCAGGAATCAGGAAAATTAGCTGTAAATTTGATGTGATAGTGAGCAAGGGAATTGATAAACATATGGCCTATTAAAATATTAACTGTCAAAAACAGGAGAAGCTTGCATGCAGAATGCAGGAGCCAGGGTAAGCAAAAATGATGCTGTCCTTTACATTTGGGGTATCTGTTCTTTGATTGTTGATTGACACTTCTGATTTCAGAGCTACAGACAGAGGTGGGTGAACATTGTTGCCACACCTTGCTCATTGTTGCAAGCTCCTCTTCCTTTGGCAAAAGTGACTTCTAGGACATCTAAAGGCCTAGTGTCTGTTTATACTCCTCTTTCATTTTTCTCTAGTTCTTCATTTTAGAACCAAATATTAAATACTAGTTTATTCAAAAACAAGTGCATATAGGAGAAAAATTAGAAAGTGACCAGTTGGTGCCCAGAGAAAGGCTCAGAAAAATACCTTAGAAGACTTTAAGTTTGCTTTAGGCTGAACCTTGGAACAGAGATGGCCTACAATAATAAACAAAAGCAAAAATTGCAATTAAAAAAACAGCAGTGGCTGGGCATGTATATATGGCTCACGCCTGTAATCCTAACACTTTGGGAGGCCAAGGTGGGTGGGTCACCTGAGGTCAGGAGTTCGAGACCAACCTAACCAACATGGAGAAACCGTGTCTCTACTAAAAATACAAAATTAGCCAGGCGTGGTGGCGCATGCCTGTAATCCCGGCTACTTGGGAGGCTGAGGCAGGAGAATCGCTTGAACTCGGGAGGCAGAGCCTGCGGTGAGCTGATATTGCACCATTGCACTCCAGCCTGGGCAACAAGAGCAAAACTCTTTCTCAAAAAAACAAACAAACAAAAAAAAAAAAAAACCAGCAAACTTGAAGAAGGAGAAGAATCTGATCTCTAGAATTATCACAATTATTAGATTTGAATGCTTAGTCTTCAAAAAAAAAAAGTCACAAGGTGTACAAAGAAACAGGAAAGTATGGTCATTTAAAGAAAACAGAATCACCTGTAATCCCAGCATTTTGGGAGGCCCAGGCGGGCGGATCACGAGGTCAGGAGATCAAGACCATCCTCGCTAACACGGTGGAACCCCGTCTCTACTAAAAATACAAAATAAAAATTAGCTGGGCGTGGTGGTGGGCAACTGTAGTCTCATCTACTCGGGAGGCTGAGGTAGGAGAATGGTGTGAACCCAGGAAGCGGAGCTTGCAGTGAGCTGAGATTGCGCCACTGCACTCCAGCCTGGGCAACAGAGTGAGACTCCCTCTCAAAAAAAAGGAAAACAGAATCAACAGAATGTATTCCTGAACAAGACCTGAGGCAAATTTACTAGATAAAAACATTAAAATAACTATCTTAAAGATGCTCAAAGTACTAAAGATAAAAAGGAGTTGAGGAAATAATGTAAAAACAAAATGGAAATGTTAGTAAAGAATAAAAAATATTTAAAAATTTGAAGGATGAAAAGTACAATAATTGAAATGAAAAATGTACTGGAGGTATTCCAAAGCAGATTTCAGCAGACAGAAAAATCCACTAACTTGAAGATAGGACAATTGAATTATTGAGTCTGAGGACTGGAAAGAAAAACAACTGAAGAGGAGTGAACCAAGTCTAAGGGACCTGTGAGACTCAGTCAAGTGTACCAACATATGCACTGCGGCAGTCCCAGAAGGAGAAGAGAGAGAGAAATGGCCAACAGAATATTTGGAGAAATAATGGCTAAAAACTTTCCAAATTTGAAGAAAAATAAGAATATAAGCATCCATGAAGATCAACAAAGTCCAACTAAGATAAACAAAAGTGACCAACATCAAGACATGTTGGAATTATACTTTCAAAAGCCAAAGCCAAAGAAAGAATTATGAAAGCAGCAAGAGGGAAACAACTCTACACATACTGTGTATCCTCAATAAGATTGCTATCAGATTTATTACTAGAAACTATGGAGGCCAGAAGGCAGTGGATCCATACGTTCGGCATACTACAAGACAAAAAAAAAAAAAAAAGCCAATCAAGGATCCTATATCCCACAAAAATTGTCCTTCAAAAGCGAAGTAGAAATTAAGACATTCCCAGATACACAATAGCTGAGTTTGCTTGCCATAATTAGACTTGTCCTGTAAGAAATGTTCAACGTAGCCCAGCAAAGTAAATGAAACAAACATATGAATAAACCAAAACACTACACAGGCCGAGCACAGTGACTCATGCCTGTAATCCCAGCACTTTGGGAGGCTGAGGTGGGTGGATCATGAGGTCAGGAGATTGAGACCATCCTGGCCAACATGGTGGAACCCCATCTCTACCAAAAATACGAAAAATTAGCCAGGCGTGGTGGCGGGTGCCTGTAGTCCCAGCTACTTAGGTGGCTGAGGCAGGAGAATCACTTGAACCTGGGAGGCAGAGGTTGCAGTGAACCGAGATCCTGCCACTGCACTCCAGCCTGAGCGAGAGAGCGAGACTCCGCCCATCTCAAAAAAAAAAAAAACCACTACACAATAACTTGAAGTCATGTGAAGAAATACAGATCTTTATAAAAGCAAATACATGGACAATCACAAAATCTAATATGATTATAATAAAATTTGGTAACTACACTTTTTGTTTCTTACCTGATATGAGAGTAATGCATAAATATTATTAGTCTAAAAGTTATTATTATTGTAACTTTGATTTGCAAAAACCCTTTTTGTTTTCTACATAATTTAAGAAAATAATGCGTTTAAAATAATTATTTGTTTATTTTTTTGGCACGTGGTGTACAAAAATGTAATTTGTGACATAACCGAAAGAGATCAGAATGGAGCTATTAAAGGAGCAGAGTTTTCTATGTTATTGAAGTTTAGGTATTATAGAACTGCTATAACTTTAGGATATTAAGTGTAATCCCCATGCTAACCACAAAGAAAATAGCTGCAGAATATAGACAAAAGAAAATGAGAAATTTAAACATTTCATTACAAAAAAATAACTAAACATGAATGAAGACAATAATGCAGGAAATGAGAGGGGAAATCTGTAAGGCATATAGAAGACATGTAGCAAAATAACAAAAGGAAGTGCCTTCTTATCACTAAGTACTTTAAATATAAATGGCTTACATTATTTAATCAAAAGAGATTGACAGAATGGATTAAAAACAGGATCAAACTATATGCTATCTACAAGAGGCTCACTTTAGGTAAAATCACACTAAAAGTCTGAAAGATAAGGGATTGAAAAGGATAGTCCATGCACTGAGTAACCAAAACGGAGAGGTAACTATACTAATATATGTCTCCATAGACTTAAAAAGTCACAAGGGCCTGGTGTGGTGGCTCACACTTCTAAAACCAGCACTTTGAGAGGCCAGGACAGGGGCAGTGTGTGGCCCCAGGAGTTCAAGACCTACCTGGACAACATAGTGAGATGGTGTCTCTCTATATACACATTTTTTAATTTGCTGGGTGTGGTGACACGCACCTGTAGTCCCACATACTTGGGAAGCTGAGTGATGTGGGAGCATCACTTGAGCCTGGAAGTCAAAGCTGCAGTGACCTTTGGTTGTGCCACTGCACTCCAGCCTGGGAGACAGAGTGGGACTCTGTCCCAGAAAAAAAAAAAAAAAAATTACAAGAGACAAAGAGGGAGATAATTTATTAATAAAAAAATCAATACAGCAATACAGCAAGCAGATTTAAAAATTATAAACATTCATATAGTTAATACTAAATCATCAAAACATATGAAGCAAAAGCTGACAGAATTGAGAAATAGGGAGTTCTACAATGATAACTGAAAGCATCAATTCCTCACTGTCAATAATTGATAGAAATACCAGACAGAAGATAATAAAGGGAGTAGAGGACTTATCACAATAAACCAACAGATCTAACAGACAAATACAGAATACCCTATCCAATGACAATAGCATATATATCTTTCTCTTTCAAGAGCTCATGGAACATTTTCCAGGATAAATGATATGTTAGGCCAGAAATTAAGTCTCAATAGATTTTAAAAGTTAGACACAGCCAGGCACGGTGGCTCATAGCTATAATCCCAGCACTTTGGGAGGCCAAGGCAGGTGGATCACTAGATCAAGAGATCGAGACGATCCTGGCCAACCTGGTGAAACCCCGTCTCTACTAAAAATACAAAAATTAGCCAGCCATGGTGGTACACTCCTGTAATCCCAGCTACTCAGGAGGCTGAGGCAGGAGAATTGCTTGAACCCAGGAGGCAGAGGTTGCAGTGAGCCGAGATCATGCCGCTGCACTCCAGCCTGGCAAGAGTGAGACTCCGTCTCAAAAAAAAAAAAAAAGTTACATATAATAAAAATTGTCTTATCTCAGCATAATGGTGTGGAAGTAGAAATCCATAATAGAAGTAAAATTGGAATTTTTTTTAAATTGTGGAAATTAAAACAACCTTAAACAATCGATTAAAAAAATCATGAGGAAAATTAGAAAATACTTAGAGGCAAATGAAAATAAAAGCACAACAGACCAAAACTTATGGGACATGGCAAAACCAGTGCTGAAGGATGCCAGGGGAGTGGAATTTAGAATGATAAATACTTACATTTAAAAAAATCAAGAAATATCTCAAATCAACAACCTATCTTTACAACTTAAAAAAACGGAAAGAAAAAGAAAAAGAGCTAAAGTCAGAGCTAGCAGAAAGAAGGAACTGATAAAAATTAGACAAAAGATAAAATAGAGAATAGAGAAAACTATTGAAACCAAAAGTTAGTTCTTTAAAAAGATCAAGAAAATGGCCAGGTGCGGTGGCTCACGCCTGCAATTCCAGCACTTTGGGAGGCCAAGGCGGGCAGATCACGAGGTCAGGAGATCGAGATCATCCTGGCTAACACGGTGAAACTCTGTCTCTATTAAAAATACAAAAAAATTAGCCGGGCGTGGTGGCCAGCACCTGTAGTCCCAGCTACTCTGGAGGCTGAGGCAGGAGAATGGCGTGAACCCGGGAGGTGGAGCTTGTGGTGAGCCAAGATCGTGCCACTGCACTCCAGCCTGGGCAACAGAGCGAGACTCTGTCTCAAAAAAAAAAAAAAAGATCAAGAAAATTGACAAGCTATTAGCTAGATGGGATAAGAGAAAGAGATTTTAATTAATAAAATCTAAAATGAATGCGGGGCCATTACTATTATACCAATTCTATAGATAATGCAAAGGATTATAAGAGAGTACCATGAACAATTGTATGTTGTCAAATTGGATAACCTACATAAAATGGACAAATTTATGGAAACACAAAATGCAGCAAGACTAAATTAAAATAGAAAAAAATAAATTTACTTACAAATGCTAGGAAAATTGAATCAGTAATCAAAAATAGCTCAAAGAAAAGCAGTAAATCTGATGATGTCACTGCTGAATTTTACCAAACATTCAAAGAGAACTAACACCAATATTTCTCAAACCTTACTAAAAATATTAAAGGAAGTAAATTCTGCCTAACCCATTCTATGAAGCAAGCATTGCTGTGATACTAAAGCCAGACAAAAACACTACAAGAAAACACACCCACAGCTCAAGATGCCTTATGAACACTGATGTAAAAATACACAACTAAATATTAGCGAACCAAGTTCAGCAGCACATAACTACATCATACCCATGACCAAGTAGGATTTATTCCTGGAATGCAAGGATGATTCAACATATAAAAACAGATCATTGTAATAAACAGACTTAACAAAATGAAAGAGAAAAATTACATGACCATCTCAATTGATCGAAAAAAGCATGTGATAAAATTTAACACTCTTTCATAATAAAAATACTCAAAAAACTAGGAATGGGAAGAAACTATGGCAACATATAAAACCCATGTGGGAAAAAATTCAACAATGAGAGATTGAGCTTCTCCTCTAAGTTCAGGAAAAAGACAAGGATGCCCACTTTTGCCACTTCTACTTAACATTGTATTGGCTTCTAGCCAGAACAATTAGGCTAGAAAGATGAATAAAAGCCTTCCAAGTTAAAAAGGAATAAGCAAAATTATTTGCAGATGGCATGATCTTACATGTAGAAAACCCTAAAAATTACGCAAAACACTATTAGAACTAATGAATGAATTCAATAAAGTATCAGGATAGAAAGGAACATGCATAAATCTGTTGCATTTCTATACACTAATAATAAACAAATTGCAAATAGAATTATGGAAACAGTTCAACTTGTCATAGCATAATAAAGAGTAAAATACGTAGAGATTAACAAAGAAGGTGAAAGACATACAAGGGAAATTACAAAATATTGCTGAAAGAAATTAAAGGAGATATATAAATGGGAAAACAACCTATGTTCATGAATTGAAAGACTCAATATTGTTAAGATGTCAGTAGTACTCAAAGCAATCTAGAGATTCAGTGAAATTCTTATCAAAATCCCTAAGACTTTTTTTTTTTGCAGAAATAGAGAAGCTCATCTTAAAATTCATATGGAATCTTAAGGGACCCTAAATAGCAAATATATTCTTGCAAAAGAAGAACAAAGCTGGAGTACTCTCATTTTCTTGTGTCAAAACTTACTGCAAAGGCTACAATAATCAAAAACTGTGTAGTACTAGCATAAAGACAGGTATACAGAATAATAGAATGGAATAGAAAGTTCATAAATAAACATATATAGTCAATTTTTTTTTATAAGGGTGCCAAGACCATTCAGTGGGGCAATGGCAGTCTTTCTACAAGTGATGCTGGGAAAACTGGATGTCCACATGCAAAAGAATGAAGTTGGAACCTTACATAACACCATAAATAAAAACGAACACAAAATTAATAAAAGACCTAAATTTCAGGTGCAAAATTTAAACTGTTAGACGAAAGAGCAAAAAATTTATGCTATTGGATTTGGCAAGGATATCTAAGATGTGACAACAAAGGCACAAGCAATCAAAGAAAAATTACATAAATTGGACTTAATAATTTTTTTAAAAAATTATTCATTCAAAGATAATATTAACAGAGTGAAAAGTAAAAGGACAACCCACATAATAGAAGAAGATATATGCAAATCATATATCTGTTAAGGGATTACTATCCAATGTATATAGAGAACTCCTAAAACTCAACCACAAAAATCACCAAAACTGGATTCAAAAGTGGCAAATGTAATCCCAGCACTTTGGGAGGCTGAGGCGGGTGGATCACAAAGTCAGGAGATTGAGACCATCCTGGCTAACACGGTGAAACTCCGTCTCTACTAAAATCAAACAAACAAAAAGTAGCCGGGCGTGGTGGTGGGCGCCTGTAGTCCCAGCCACTCAGGAGGCTGAGGCAGGAGAATGGCGTGAACCCGGGAGGCGGAGCTTCCAGTGAGCCGAGATGGCACCACTGCACTCCAGCCTGGGCAACAGAGGGAGACTCCGCTTCAAAAAAAAAAAAAAATAGATAAATAAAGTGGGCAAAGAACTTCAATAGACATTTTTCAAAGACGTTATACATATAGCCAATATGCATATAAAAAGATGACCAATATAAGTAATCATTAGGGAAATGTAAGTCAAAACTCAATGAGATGTCACCTCATACCCATTAGGATGGCTACTATCAAACAAAAAATAAGTTTTGGCACGGGGTTGGAGAGATTGAAACCCTTGTGCGTTGTTGTTGGGAATATAAAATGGTGGAACTGCTTTGAGAGACTGGTGGTTATTTAAAAAATTAAAAGTAGAATTATCATGTGGAAGTAACTCAAGTGTCTGTTGACAGATGAATAGATAAAATATGCTTTATAAATGCAATGGAATATTATACAGCCTTACAAGGGAAAGAAATTCTGAAATATGCTACAACATGGGTGTAATCTGAGGACATTATGATAAGTGAAATAAGCCAGTCATAATAAGACAAAAACTGTCTGATTCCATTTATATGAGGTAATTAGAGTAGTGAAAATAATAGAGACTGAAAGTAGAATAGTAGTTTCCAGGGCTAGGAAGAGGCAGAATTGAGGAATTGTTGTTTAATGACTATAATGGTTCCATTTTACAAGGTAAAAAGAATTATGGAGATTCATAGGGATGATGATTACACAGAATTATGAACATATTTCAGCACACTTAAAAATGGTTAAGATGGTAAATTTCATGTCAAATTTATCGACCAAAGTTTTAAAAAATGAAAAAAATACTAATGAAATAGATAAATCTGGAAATTTTGGCAAAGAACAAGAACAAAAGTCACAATTAATACTATCAGAATTGAATGAAAGAAAAGGTATACACACAGTCTTACAGATAATAAAAGCAACTAAGAAAATATTAAGTTAAAATCATGCTAGTAAAATTTAAGAAGAATATGAGGGGCCAAATTAAAGAGAAAATATAAGTTAATGACATGAAACACAAGAAGAAATCAAGAAAAAATGATTTTATGACTGACCAAATGAACTGACTTAGGAATACTGAAACAAAAAACAATAATCTTGTTAATCTAAAAATGTGTATCTTCATTAACTAAGCAGTTGATTTCCCATTTTTTCTTTCCACATGCTCTGGGAATAACAGTACATTCTCAACTAACCTGAGGAATATGCTTGCGGGCAGCAATCTAAAAAGCCAGTGTAGACCTGCTGCTATAATTCAGGTTTTTCTAATAGTCACTGTGTATTCTCAGATATCCTACTATCAAAGACAAATCCTAACCTTCTCTTGATACATTCTGTCCCATGCCACCCTTTATCAGCCTTATTGCCTCACTTTCTATAGCTGCCCTCCATTAGGAAAACAGAACCAAAAGCAACATATCAAATATGTTCCTATTGTAAAAAAAAAAAAAAAAATGTAGGCACTTAATCCTTGAAGCAAAACACAGAGGCAGTAGTATGTAGTGGGGGTCGCTCACTCAGCTCTGGAGAACTGTATGATGGGGTTGATTAGTACCTGTCAATTATAAAAAAGGGTTTTCAATTATGAGAGCTATTAAATACCTTGCTAGAAAGAAGGAGAGTGAAATAAAAACTGAATTATGTGGGCCATTCTGGACAAACTATTCTATAGAAATTTAGTGATCTCCTGAGTATATGGAATGAAAATTTCCATACTGGTACATCTGTGTAGTATTCTTTCTGAGAGATAAACTACTTTTGAGGCATGTTGTTGACTGTAGATAACTACCTCAAGCTTTATATATATGCTACCAAAATACATACATTTATCTTTTAAAAAATGTAAGTTTTGCTATTTTTGAATTTACCTAAGCTCTCTTTTTTGCAGCCACGTATAATTTCAGCCTGTGCGCCTCTTTAGATAATGAGTTCCATAACTCTCTTACCTGCTGGGTGAAATAACACACCCTTATATTTGTCTTAACATTACCTTAGGAGTATGTGAATTTTAGTCCTCAGAGTACATGCTTAAAGTTGAATTATGAATAAGCTAATGACTCCATTTTTATACTTGAAAATCATTCATCTTTTAGAATTTTAAATCCTCTTGAGGTTTTTCCCGAATTTAAAACAACATGTAAAATGGTCAGTTTTACAGACAAAGATATTGACTTCTGTTTTATAAATTGATCATCCTAGTAACCTAAGTGTATAAAGACATCACACATTTACATTTATAGTGAACTGCAAAGTACAAAGTTAATTTTGTAAAAAGTAAAGCATCAATTCTCAATTTGACCACTTTTGTCAACTAAGCCTAGATTCAAAGTTAGACTTTTTTGTATCCAAATGATGTTTTACTTCCTTACTGTATGATGTGCTTTTATTTACCTATTTTTTCTAATCTGAGTATATTATACAGAGGCAACTAAGAATACTAATTGTAATCAAAATTTAGTTAATTATTTCCCAAACATTATAAAAAGTGGTATACATTATACATAGTATGGATATAGAAATGAGGCAGTGAAGTCCAAAAATCAAAATGCCTTCTTGAAAAAAATAACAATAAAGAAAATAATGTTACAGTTATTGAAATGTAAACTTTGAAGTTTTCTTTTTCAGTCCAGTCCAACTGATCCCCTAGTATTTCATGCTGTCCTCATCCATGAACTGATATTTCTGATTTTTGCATGTTTTTGACTGTGTGGACTGGTATTAAATGTGTATTTTGGAACTAAACATTTTTTAAAATTTAAACTGAATATTACATATTATTATTAAAATGAGAAATATTTTATGACAATATAATATTTTAAAAACTATAATAAATTATTAGCATTAGGAGATCATTGGTGTATTTGTTTTCAGCAAATACATCAGTATCATTTTTATCTGCAGCTAAAAAGTAAAGGTCACATTTTTTTAATGGAATCTATAAACTTGGTGTTCCTTTAAATGTCAAATTGTTTCAATTATTGCTTTTCTCACCATCAAAGTTTTTGTAAGAATGTCATACAGGTGATGTTGTGTAGTATAAAAGATTAGCTGGTAAACAACTGACCTCATTTTATGGTCTATGGAGTACGATCAAGTTCTGCTTGGATGCAGAAGGGGCTTATTGTAACACCCCGGGAGTACTCTTAAGTATTATCAGCAGTCTCCTCCAGCCATTAGCGTATTATCTTGAGAACTGCATCATTATTTTAAATTAGGTTCACTTAATTAGCCAGCTGGTACTTTCCTTGTCAGACTGATAAACAAGCTGTGCTTCACTGTTCCTTCATGTCAAGACCAAACCGCAAGTTCTGTGTATCTTTGCTGCTATTATCAGTATTTCAAATTTAGAAGTTGATACAACTTGTCCATGACTAGGGTATCATGTGTTTTAACTTTGTTGTATATGCACCCCCTCAAGAAATATTGATGAATTTTTTAATACTGTGTATGTTGGGATTGTGAGGGAGTTTAGATAGCAACAAAAGAAATAAAAAATCTCATAATGTAAGTAAATTGAGTATCCTTCAACAATGTTTTAAAATGTTAAAGAAAAATTGCTTTTATCAATATGTGTATAAAGCTACAACAAATCACTTTTTTATTATTTCACTATATATTTTATGTTAACATACAAAGCAATAGGGTAAAAAGTTCATTCATCATGACAATATAACACTGAAAACAGTGCTTGTCTGAGAAACTAAGAAATGTAGATTCTAGAACTTCAATGTATAAATCACTACTATTAATTGAGTACAATTTTAAAATTATTATTCGAAACTTTTTTGAAAGTGTTTAATAATTCAATAAAACTGCAGAAGAGGGATTGTAAATTAATAATCTCAATATCACCAGGCTAAGCAAAGGCTACAGTGTGAACAACTTTTCTTTTAATGATTATTATGTAGGAGAGAAATTTCCAATATATAATTGGAAGCTATCACTTAAATAAAATCTTACAGAATAATTCAATAGATGCAAACTGATCCCCTTTGTTCTATTATGATGGGGGTTCAAATTGCCAGCTACAAGTAAGTCTCATTTCCATAGGCTTCTCAAGACAGTTTGAAAACAACTTTTCTAGCAAAATAAATTTGGGTAGTCAAGTGTAAATTATACTGCCGGTTGTGGTGGCACTTGTCTGTAGCTGCTTGGGAAACTGAGGTGGGAGGATTGCTTGTGACCAGAGTTGGAGGCCAGCCTGGGCAACTAGGAAGATCCCATCTTTATTTTTTTAATGTAAATTACAGTAAGCAATAAATGAGCATTATATAGGTTAATTTTGAAATAAAATATGAGCACATAACTAATGCTTTTTTGTAATTATATATTCCTGAATAATGCATTTACTTCATGTCATTTTTCCTAAATTAAGTGGTGACTGCATAAACAAAAAATGTGCACACCAATGGTCTCCAAAGTGGAGCACATGAAACCCAAAGAACTTACAGGTGACTAGTTACAGGAAGAGAATCCTATGACATCTGTTCACAATTTTTTAATCTTAAAAAAATCTTATTTTATTTAATAAAAAGCTACTATAAGGACCAATATTGAAGGCCTGAATTTATCTGTATATTGGATGGTCAGGTAACATATAGTGAACTCTAGTGTCTTGAGAAGAAAGTGGGAATTTTACAATATGAAGGCATCAACAATAGTACTCTTAGTCTTCTGTTTACTTTTATCCCTATAAAAGAGATGACAATAGTGCATACTTCAACAAAAAGATTGTTATGAAAATTAAATTTTTGAAATTTGTGTCTCGTACAAATAAGGTGTCTGTAAAATACCTCATTAAAAGAGCCAGGTTGTATAAGCCTGGTGCAGGAGTACAATTATTTTTGTTAAATAAAATAATAATCTCAATTTCAACATCAGAGGAGAAATTTTTTAAGAAAATAAATAATAACAATAATGATCATGATCTTAATAATAATAATTAGTTGCCATGCTACAAAATTTTGCAACTTACGTTTTACAATTAAGTAGACTAAGAAGTTTATTAATTATAAATTGAGAATACTATTTCACTAAGTATTATTCTAAGTGCATGGTTTATTTCATTGACCTAAACAAACACAAAAAGCTTAACTTCTGGGAGCATAGAATCTATTAGATGAGGCAGACAATAAGAAATAAATATACTAAAATACAAACTATGCCATATATAAGGAGGTAAGTGCTTTTGGAAAATGTAAAACTGCGGAGCAAGGACAGGAGGGCTTGGGAAAGCTGAGGAGAAGAGGTATGCACACAGGGAAGGAGGGTTTGATTATTAAATAGGGTGATCAAGCTGGCCGTGCTGAGAAAGTGAATTATGAGCAAAGATGTTGAGGAAGCAGGCATTGGGATTCTATGGAAGAACTTTTCAAGGAAAGACCCTCCAAAAGGCAGAAGCATGGCTGACATATTGGATGAACAGCAAAGGAGGCCAGGAGATTCTGTATCAGAGACATCAAGGAAAGTGTAGTCGGCGACAAGGCTAGAGAAGACTGGGGAGGTGTCAGTTCAGGTAAGGCCAGGTGGTCATTATAATGACTTTTGGCTTTCACTCTAAAAGAAATTAGAAGAGGCTGTAAATTTCAAGAGTATCCTAGCCGGTATTTTGTAAAACCCAACACACAATTTGTCTATTCCAAAAACTGACAGTTTGGAGCTGATTACTGTCATGACTTGCCTGATGCTTAAAGAATGAAAAAAAAAATCACTCAGACAAATTTATGAGAAAGACTGATGAGTATAAGGTAAGAAGTTAGACACCATGTGATAATGATAATGGTGACTGTGTTCATGGGGATAGTAGAGATATTGCAAAGGGATCATCATTTAGAAGGTAGATTCAATTGCATTTCCTGAGGATGTGAAGTATGGGAGGAAGACGGCAGTCAAGGATGACAGACTCTTTGTAATCCTTTGCATAACATGTGGAGAACCATTTCAACACTTGTGACAAAGAAGTTCAGAAGTTGTCTGTGGCAAAAACAAAATTTTGTAAGTGTCAAAAATATTGCCCTTCTGTTCTATAAAAACCAATTGTTCTAAATTTACTGATTCTTTAAAGTCCATTTCAAGAGCATACGAGCAGGTATTTTGTAAAATCCAGTGTGTTATTTATTCCCTTGCCAAAGTTGATGGTATTAATAGTAACATACTGGCTTTTCTGACTGAAAATTGGGTCATGGAAGTATTATCCTGAAGATAGTCATTTGGAAATATTTTTATCATTAATATATGATTCTGTTGATGAAAATCATATAAATGTTTCTTGTATAAAATGTGTTATTTTATACATGAAAACTTATAAATAAATTTTCTTGAAAATTACAATTTTTCCAAATAAAGTATGTTATATTACTTTTTTTATTTTGATCTGCATATCTTTTTCAGTTCTGGTGAACTTTTATAACCAGACAGCAAAATAACTGAATTTAGTGCAAAGCTTTTGAAAAGCTGAAACAAAATGTTCAAAACTTTTGGAAATCGTTGAGCAGACATTTTTCAAAGTCGGAAATTATTTTGAAAATTGGCTGATATTTTTTTCCTCCAAATAGGTATATCCTAATTTATTTGAAGGCAGTTCATCATGAACTGCTTTCTGACACTTCCTGTAAAATATTTCCATAAGTTAACTTTTAAAAATATTCTCTTTCCATTCATAAAAATATTCGTTCTTTAAGGCTCAATGAAAGCCTTACCTCTTTTCCTTATATTTTATCCTGCATTGTACTTCTTCCTCTGAGCTTTTGTAGTGCGTGGTCCTTATTTTTTTATTTTTTTTGTGACACACATCAAGTTATTTTAAGTGCTCTTTTCACCCTCTAGTCTGTAAATTCTTCAAGGACAGAAACGGGTTTATTTTCTCTTCTAGGTCTCATTTCTTTCACTTACTAAAGATATTGCACATCTAACCTTGAAACATTATGATGCTAACAGTCACTAAAACATCTAGCTCAATTACTGTTTCTAATGGTAGTAGTAGTAGTAGTATGAGTGGTATTTCCATGGTACTTAATATTCACCAGGCACACGCTAAGTACTTTACTATCTCACCTAATACTCACAATAACCCTTTGAAGTAGGTATTATTACAGTCTCCATTTTATTGTAGAAAAAAACTGAGCCACAGAAAAATTTAGTAACTTCCCAAGGTACTATTATTATTGTTGTTGTCATTATTATTTTAATGTAAGTGAAAGAGTTAAAGTTTGAAATTGGCTTCAGAATAAATGCTCATAAACATGATCTATACTGACTTTCAGTGATTCTCCATTAGGATTTTATTGCTTGCAGAGATGACGGCATGTATTTGAGCCCGTTGGTTTTCTTGTTAACCTCCAATAGAGGAAAAAGACCCAAAGCAATGTTTTTTATACATGAGGCATAAATAAGAGAGCAACATATCCACACATTCCCAGGAATAAACAATCAACTAAGAGGGAGTGTCTTTCATATGCAGAGAGGTTCCCACATTGGAAAGGAACACAGACTATCAGATCCCAGATGTCCTTGTTATTGGCTGGAGGACCTCCAACAAGACTGATTCTCAGTTTCCTTATCCCATTAAATGTAGGTGTTAGCCTAACCTATGCTTTGTAGTATGTCTCTATAAGATAATACTTATGAAAGGCCTGGTGAAAAGAAAAGCAATTTGTGAGAGCTGGCAAACTGGAAATTTTCATTCAAATTGTTCCCAGATCCTTACCATTACTTACAGACCTTTGATATAGTCTTACAATTAAATAACAATGAGATTTTTTTTTTTACTGTTTCTTTTTTCATTTGTGTTGAGCTATCTTATCTTTAACATTTTAAAGATCTAAAGATTATTCCATTTAAAGCTGCATGCAAAATAGGCTATTACATTCACACATAGATTAAGTTTAACATAGAAAGGGAAAATATGAAAAATCAAAGGAATCTTATGGCTTTGTCATTAGTGTATTGATTAATGATGACTTTTTAGGGCTATATATGCACTGAAATTATTGATTAGTACATGAAAAAATTTAAATGAAACATCTGGCATTCTAACACAATTAACAGAATCCAGATTAACTATTCCTTAAGCAATAAAGCTATTTAATTACCTAAATAACATCAAGTCTGGGAATAGCTGTTCTATGTTTGTGTAGCAACTCAAGGTTATAAAGAATTCAGTTTCCTTTTATTTTTCTCCTCTGCACCCTCAAAGTATTGGGTTTTCCTCTTTTTTTTTTTTTTTTTTTTTTTTTTTTTTGAGACGGAGTCTTGCTCTGTCACCCAGGCTGGAGTGCAATGGCGTGATCTCTGCTCACTGCAAGACCGCCTCCCAGGTTCATGCCATTCTCCTGCCTCAGCCTCCCGAGCAGCTGGGACTACAGGCGCCCGCCACAGCTCCTGGCTAATTTTTTTGTTTGTTTGTTTTTTTTGTATTTTTAGTAGAGACGGGGTTTCGCCGTGGTATCTATCTCCTGACCTCCTGATCCGCCTGCCTCAGCCTCCTGAAGTGCTGGGACTACAGGCGTGAGCCACCGCACCCGGCCTTTTCCTCTTAACCTAATAGCTTCATGGCCTCAAAATGACTTTGGAAACTAGAGGCTTAATATCCTCATAGGACAGCACTGGAAACTGGAAATAAGAGAACATGTGGTGGAAGGAAGCCTTCTGTTATCTCTGTTGATGGAATGGAGTATTATTCTCAGAAATCATGCATCATACTAATCTTTACAATACAGAAACTACAATACATACAGAGTATGCAATACATACAGAGTATGCAATGTGACCACTCTTAAGCCTCTGAAGAGGCTGGGAAACTCAATATCAGTCAAAAGGAAATAGAATCAGTCATTTCCTTGGATCTGTGGTGCTTGCCAAGTGAGCTACCTTCCCTGAGGATATTGCTGCACATCTGATCCCAAAACAGTATAGTGACTCTCTTAGCGAGGAAAAAAGGGGTAAAGACACTAATATAAAAAATGGTTAAGTGAGTTTCTTTCGAAATCCAATAATTATTCCAGTAATCCAAGAATACTGAGAATGTTAAATAGGCAAAATGAAGGGCATTATTTTCGAAAAGAGATGCCTTAGTGAGACTTGTTAACATTTAATTTAAAACATGCATTTCCATATTTCCAACCACAACAATAGTTTACCTGTTACTAATGTGCTGAGAAGAACATTGCATTATGGATAAGTACTTAGAAAATTCTCTAAGGATGATGGTTTCTAGCTTCATCCCTCACTCATAGGTGGGAATTGAACAATGAGAACACTTGGACACGGGGTGGGGAACATCACACACCCGGGCCTGTTGTGAGGTGGGGGGAGGGGGGAGGGATAGCATTAGGAGATACACCTAATGTAAATGACAAGTTAACGGGTGCAGCACACCAACATGGCACATGTATACATATGTGACAAACCTGCACGTTGTGCGTATGTACCCTAGAGCTTAAAGTATAATAATAATAATAAAAAAGAAAAGAAAAAAGAAAAAAAAGAAAATTCTCTAAGGATATTTAATAGAGCTTTGGGAAGAAATGCTTTCACTGTTGGATAAAGTTTACTTTACTGGATACAATTTGTTTTATGCTACATAGTTAGAAAATATATAAGTACCTACTCCTGGAAATTAATTTTAAGTGGTGTTAGCTTGTAATATGAATAGCATAAAATTAAGGTGAGTGAAATAACTTCCTGGCATCACTTTGTTTTCTGAGAATTTTGTTTTAAGTAAATGCTAAATATTATAAATATTATACATATTATTATAAATATTAGCAAAAAAAACACATTTTCATACCAAGCATGGTGCATAAAAAAAGAATTCTTTTTTCTTCTGTGGTTTTGAATTTCTCATTAAGGAAACTTAACTAGCTGATCATTCGTTAGAATTACAGCCATATATCAGATTGTTGGCATTTTAACATTACAGATAGTGAAATCTTGTAATCAGAATTGGGATAAAATAAATCTAATAGTGTAAACATAGTTCTCACCTGTATTCAACACTTAATTAAAATGAATATATTAATCTTTTATATCTTGAGTTTCTAAATAGCTTCTCCCCACCTCACAATGTGCATAGGTAATGAATGAACTGAAAGCTGTGTACAGTTGTGCAAATGATAAACAAAATATTTATCATGTATATGATAATTGTGATCATAATTGTATATGATAAAAAATTTAGAAAGATAATACTTTATTCATGTATATGAATATACATGAGTAAAGTATGATATTTTCAAATATCAAATAAGGGCTAAGGAAATTATATATTTGGCAAATTAAATTTTTAATCTGACATCTAAATTAGAATCTTCATAATTTCTGGCCTAGCTTTAAACTAATAGTTTAGTCTAAAACATTTTTTTCAATTCTTCTTTATTGTAGGCAGTGAGCACAGACCCTGTCCCAGTTAAATTACACTATGACAAATCACATGATCAGGTCTGGGTGCTAAGCTGGGGTACCTTGGAGAAGACATCACCAACACTACAGGTAAGTACATTTCAGTATATTAGAGAAAATAACAATCTTTAAAGCTTTCAACATTTTATTGGATATTTGTGATCATTTAACCATGATATTTTTCCATCTGAGGACTACAGCTTTAATCATAACTAGATAGGCACAGAAAAAGGCAAAAAAGTTGGCATTCATGTACTTTTGGACTGGGAAAAATCATAGATAATGTGTATTAAAGGTTATATTTATATGCGAAAAGAATAACCTATAGTGACAAAGCTGATGCCATTAGGAGGAAAAGAAAGTCATAATTTACTTTTTAACAATTTTGGTAAGGCAAGTACAATAGAGACAAAGAGAATTCGACAGCAAAAGCTTCAAGGCCTTCTCCATTTTTCTCTAATCAGATAATATTCTGTTATCTGAGGAGAGGCTTATTTCTAAAGGAAGAATAGTGGTGTTATTCTTATGGATTTTGCCTCTGCCTTGAAGTTGTTTATGTGAGAACTTCACAGATACAGAAAAAGAAAATCTGCATTTTGGTCATGACCCTTTGGAGCAGTCCTTAGCCTTACAAGTTTAAGCAGAAACAGAAAGAAAATGGGAAGGAGTTTTTGGCCCTGGAAATGTGCTTTATATTACAGTATTTTTCAAAATGCTTTGCGATTTTGCTACTGCCTTGAATATCCCCCTCTTAACAAGACCCCAAATTATTAACTTTTGGACATTTTAAAATAAATTCTTTTAAATGAAATAATTTTATTTTAATCAGTTGTCACTACCAAGACTTTTAATGTTTCTGAGTTATTTTCAGTATTGCAATATTTAACTTACAAATGACAGTTTTATGTAAATAGAATATTTTAATATAGCTAGCATAATGATGGATCATTTTATATTCACTAGAAATATGTGTCATTTGAAACATTGAAAAAATATTATAGTATTTTGGTTATTTATTTTGCAAATCAATCCACTCTCAGAATGTGAGGTCTTAAAATTAAAGGATGACTCAGAATTCTGTGAGTTGGCTACCTGGGCAGCTCTGCTGATGTGATCTGGGAGCACTCATGGGCTCCAGTTACCTGATAACTTGGCTAGAGTTGGAAGGTTCAGAATGGCCTCACCCTCATGTCTGTCGCATGGTGATGGTGCTCAGCTGGGTGCCTTGTGTCCCCTGCATGTGACGCTCACACTGCATCTTCACAGCATAATGGTCTTATGTTACAAAAGTGGAAGCTACAAGACCAGCTGAGGTATGGGCTTCAAAATGCATATAAAGCCAATTTTGCTACATCATATTCATCGAAGCAAGTCACATTGCCTGCCCAGATTCAAGAGGATGGAGTGATAGAGCCAATCTCTTGATTGAAAAAGCACAATCTTCACAGTGGGCAACTTTTAGAATCATCTATCACAATATGGTAATAGGTGCTTGTTAATTGAGATTTTGTATTTAAGTATACTCTTTGCAAGATAAATAAAACAGGTCAATATATATATGATTTTTTAGAAAATATTCTTATAAAT
Organism: Homo sapiens; assembly: GCF_000001405.40. NCBI lineage: Eukaryota > Metazoa > Chordata > Mammalia > Primates > Hominidae > Homo > Homo sapiens. Next base: position 161,457,714 of record NC_000004.12, on the reverse strand, counting down.
TATTTTAATACTCTATTAACTTTAAGATTAGTATAACATAAAAGTTTAATTTTTTCATGTCTTTTTTTTTAAAAAACTAAAGCTGCATATATTTTTATTATACAATTTTCTTCAGAATTGATCCCTTCCTCTCCCCTTTGATTCATGCTACTTGGATAGATTAACAACTTTCCCAGCGTTGCAATTCCACCACAAAATAGTTTAGACAAATTCCTTTGACATTGTACACAGAAAACAGCCTTCTGGAGGTATTCTTCCCACACATTATTCAACCATCTAAAAATGGGTTCTTTATTTTTCTCTGGATGCCTAATAAAACATATTTTGTGCTGATAGAATATGGTAAATTATAAAAATATTTGCCAGGTGGGAGTGGAAGGTAAATGTCACAAGTGAAAATATAAAATAAAGTGTAGGAATTGAGAAGTATCCTTTAAAAAGGTATACACAAGAAGATTTATTTACATAAGGTTTATATGTGTGTATGTTATATGAATATAGATATAAGCTTGATTAGATAGGTAGATTGATTGATTCATTGATTGGCAAACAATATGATAGGAAACACAAGATCTCTGGATCAGAGAATAGGCCATTTCTCACTCATGGATCATGTTAGTGTTTATGCCTCAGCCATAATCAACTTTGGGTCACGTGGAGAGCCTAATGCTACCCTGAATGTTCAGCACAGTTGCACGAAAGAAGTGGGACCCTAGAATTATAAGTCTCTACGTTTTTTTAGGCTGCTAGCATATCAGCCTATCCTCTGTCTGGAGAGATAATCATCATTACTCTAGAATGTATGAAAATCTTCCCCTGGAAGAAGAAGAGTAGGTCAATTCCCTTGAATGTCAGTAAATGGTTCAAAGGAGATAATTCTCTAAATCTCTCATGAGCAAGCCACTATCACTAGTCTCCAAGGCATTTTTGCTATGCCATTAGACTTAAACCAAGTTTGCCAATGCTCTTTGCTATGAAAGACCTGACTCTGCAGAAATGTCAAAATGTTCATGGATAATTGTCTCCCAAAAGATTATCAGGAAACATTCACAAAGGAAGTGGAAGTTAAGATATGCTTCCTTTGGAGAAACTGAATTCACAAAACCAAAAATATGGGCAAGCCCTCATTGTGGCTATAGTGTTTCCCATGCCATCATGTTAAAAGATTAAGCTGGAAGAGAAATCGATGCTGAAGCATGTTCTCAAGGATCAGAAAATTCTACTTATCTTTTTCTTTGTGTTTTAATTTTTATTATAATTTTATCCATACGTCTTCGTCAAATACGAAAGCAAAATATGTATTTTCTGAGATATTTATAATTAATAGAGACTAGGTGTCATAATTTTAGATATATGACAATATTTTCCAATTAGTGTCCTCAGGTGGATTCTCAAGGATTTATCATAATTTATTTATTTTACTTTTAAAAGTCATATGTGTCTTACAAAAATTTCAAAATACTGCCTTAAAAATTATAATGAATCTGTAATCCACAAATTTCACAATTGGAATATAATTAATGTCTTATCAAATGCACAATAATTAGAGAATAAAATATTCCCAGGAAATAACTTGAAATAGAAGCCTTCCATTTTGCTATTGTTCAGGAAGTGGGCCCCAGCCAGGAGGGATTCCGATGGAACTCAATGAAAGTATATTCATTTAGATGAAGAAAAATTACCCTTTAGGAAAAACAAACTAACTCTAAAACTAAAAATTATAAAATAAAATCTTGTCATAAAAACCAAAGGAGAAGTTTTAGTCTTGAGGGAGAATTACTTTAACTTAGTCAGTAGTTTAGGAAGTTACTTTGATGGCCATATGTAGAAAGTATTTAAAAGTGGATAAAGTAAAGGCAGGAAAAAGGCCCTTTAGAAGGCTACCAGAACAATGGTTGTGCAGTAGGAACAATGAAAGTTTACAGGGGTGTAAACAGATCTGAAGAAAGAACTAACAGGATTTGGTAACTAATGGAATTAGGGAAATAAACTAGTTTAAATGTAGTTGACCTTTTCTTTAAAGGACTATAAAAGTTTAAAAAACAATTCATTATTAAAGATGAAATCTCTTTTATTAAAACACGTAAACCGGTTATTTTTCAATGATAGGAGGAAAACGTTTTAAAATATGGTTTTATGTATTCCAAGATTTTAAAAATTTAAAATGTTTCATATGATTTATTTGGAGTTTTTAAAACTATGTTGCCAGTTATGTTATACTGGAGGGATTTTGTCCTAATATCACACATTACTTGTATGTTTGCATTTATTTTTCTCTTTGTAAGAAGATTAGGATTTTTGTAATGAAGAAGTTGCTTACATGCCTATTTATTTTATATTTTAAGCTGAAATTGTTCAAGGCAAATATTTTTCTATTTTTTTCTTTATAGAAACAAGTTTCTATATTGAAAATAAGCAAAACAGTCACAGAATTGTAATTTGTGTAATAATATATTGATTTTGAGGATGGCATAAAGTCTATGCAAACAACTGCCAGAAACATTTATTTCATCTCTAAATAAAATTAAAGCTTATACTATGAAGTGACTGCATTGTTGAGGTCTAACCAAGGTGTGTTCTCTTTAGGTAATTACCCTGGCCAGTGGGAATGTGCCTCACCACACGATCCACACCCAACCAGTGGGAAAGCAATTTGACAGAGTGGATGATTTTTTCATTCCCACCACAACACTCATTATCACCCATATGAGGTAAGTGCTAAGTTGAGTGATCAACTTTTTAAAGATTTGTCTCTATTATAATAGAAAGCCATGTGAAATCGTAAAGAAACTTAGATATGAAACAAATACACATGTACAATTGAACTTGCTTTAGCTTTGTCATATCTGCTTACTGAACCTTTGTTTATCAACACTAGTGATGAATTTCCCATAAAATGTTTCTCTTTATGCCTAACAGAGGTGTGAATTTGTGAAAATACAGTTTTATTTTTAAAAATCACTTTAACGATGTTTTTGCAAATTGTCATTAAGATTTTTCTTACTGGGCTCTTACAAAATGCTGGCATTTCCCCCAAAGATAACTAATTTAAAAGATAAAATCACTTCTCAAATGGAGAGAATGTTAACTGAAACTTGGTATGGAGAAGCAGCCACAGTCATAGAAATATATTCAATGTAAATATTTTGTTCACTCTCATCATTTTTTGATCATATTGTAATTAATATAAAATTGTATTAGGAAATACAAGAAGTTGAAATGAAATGTTTCAGGTCTGCACTTTGAGAAAAGATGTTAGTGTGTTTTATCTCTTGATGTATTTACAAGAGGCGGAAAAGTAATATTAACTTCTAGTTATAAAACTGCAAAGCTTTATAGAAGAGGTTTAAATGCTAAAATGAGGAGAAGGTTGGGATATCATGATATTTAGTATTATGTATCTTTAAAATCTGTTGAAACAATTTAAAAATATTTGCTTAGCAATGTTAAAAATGAATCTGAAACAAAGATTTTGTCCTTTTACTCAAGTGAATTCTGATGTGTGGAAACTGCTCCAGCTATGTTATATGAGCCATTATTGGATTATTGTGCGTATTTGTTTCCTTATTTAAATTAAAAATTATATCATCTAAAAATTGCAGTTGTGAGAATTATGAAAGACTGCATAATTCAACTTTGCAAAAATAAAAACGGGGATTAATAAATCAGAATTATAACTCATAGTCAAAGATAGAATAAATTATTCCTTGCAAAGCCAAGCATATTTTCAAAGTTTGATATATTTGTCAATCAATTAGCCATTATTTTCAGAATGCCTATTATGTGCTCAGCAAAAAAGTGATTAAATAACATAATGTGCAGGCTGGGCATGGTAGCTCTCCCATGTAATCCCAGCATTGTGGGAGGCTAAGGCAGAGGTGTAGCTTGAGTACAGGAGTTCGAAACCAGCCTGGGCAACATGGCAAAACCCTGTCTCTATTAAAATTACAAAAATTAGCCGACATGGTGGTGCATGTCTGTAGTCCCAGCTGCTCGTGAGGATGAGGCGGGAGGATTGCTTGATCCTGAGAGGTGGAGGTTGCAGTGAGCTGAGGTCACACCTTGTGCTCCAGCCTCGGCAACAGAGCCAGACCCTGTCAAAAAATAATAATAGTAATTATTATTATTACACATTTTGTGGAAAACAAATTATTGAAACTACAGAATATCTGATGAAATTAACAGTTTTTTAGGTTCTGATTGTAATAGCTCAGGGACTTAAAAATCAGAGTTGAACTGAAATGGTACCACTTAAGATGCTGTCTGAAAAATATATGAAGTTCTTATACATATTTAATGAGGATAAAATTTAATGTAATTGGCAATTGGTGTTATGACTAATAAATATTCTTTTGTTATTTTCAAGTTATTGACAAAGTATTAATAACCAATAATTAGATATGTAACCTTTGTTTTTATCTCACTTGCCTATTCCCTATTACTGTATTTAATATGCTATTATCAACCTTGCTTATTTTTTAAAAATGTACTATTAATACAATTTCTTTGAGAAAAATTTTAGTGTGTATGACACTACTAGGTATAATTGTGTATAGTTGGGAGTGGTTTCACCCTATAATATGTAAAGTTATCATTATGTTAAAATACCTACCGGGGTCAAGAGTATAGACTTTGGTGGCATGCAGTAAGTGCTATTTGTAATTCTGTGTTTGTAGATATAATTTATATGTTGTCAGACCACAGCATCTCTTTGGGTTCTAAATGATTACCTCAGAGCTGGAGTTGGAGCTAATACTAATTTGAAAAACATCTAACTATTGTGAACAACTATAAGGCACACATTTATTTTAGTTCTATATATTATGAAAAAGAGTAAAAAGTATAACTGAGGATATTTTTAAGCATCATTTTATTCCTTTGAGGAATGTGCAGTGAAATGCATGGGTATTTTGTCACTACTTTATTTATACGTATTTAATTTAGTAAGAGTAATTTAGTAAGAATAAAAATTAAATTATAGCAATTCTACCTGCATGTAGAATCCCATTTTAATGAACATGAATGATCATCAAATTTCTTGGTGCAGTTCAAAGTAATTACTCATTTTACTACCGTGAATGCGAGAAGTAAAAATTAACATGCGTTTCCAAAAATAAACTGTTAACTATGTAAGGTAGTTTTAACATAATGAGGATTTATTCCACATCAGGAACACCTGAGCAATGAATATGGTCTTTTCTCCTATCAATTTCATATAGTATATTTCTTTTTTTTTTTTGAGACAGAGTCTCCCTCTGTCACCCAGGCTGGAGTACATTGGCACGATCTCAGCTCACAGCAACCTCCACCTCCCGGATTCAAGCAATTCTCCTGTCTCAGCCTCCCTAGCAGCTGGGATTACAGGAGTCCTCCACCATATCCAGCTAATTTTTGTATTTTTAGTAGAGACGGAGTTTCACCATCTTGGTCAGGCTGGTCTTGAACTCCTGACCTCAGGTGATCCACCCACCTTGGCCTCCCAAAGTCCTGGGATGACAGGTGTGAGCCACCGTACCTGGCCCATATAGTATATTTCTAAGCAAATTCAGCATGTAGTTAAATATGTGCTGCTGAGATTGAATCGTTATGAATTGTGTTTTTCAGAATTTGACACTACATTCTAACTGTTGGGCTCAATAGAAGTTTTCCATGCCAGGCAGAGGGTCTGAAACATGTGTTGAATTAATATTAGTTTTCTTTCTCTGACTCTACATCACATTAATCTGCTTTTCTCTCATGCTGGTACACTTATTTCAAATAATTTATATCTTCAGTGTCTGAAAAGCTTCTTGACACGTGTCAGGCTTTTATATTCTTAGTGCCTAAAAACCACTGGACACTTAATTTATGTTTCTCATAGGAATGGAAGTAAAGAAGGAAGAAAGTGCTACACTATTTCCTAAACCAGACTAGCTGGTACTGAGGGAAGAACTGTGTTTCCTATATATGGATTTCTCAGCCTCCAACACATTATCAGCATTAAGCAAATGCTGTGTTCAGAGTACACAAATTTGTGGAACCAGTAACTACAGTAATAAGAATTTACATCTGCTGTCAGACAGATCTAAGCCTGAATATCCCAGCAACATCATTCACCATTGACTCTGGTGACCTTAACCAACTTACTTCATTTCTTTCTAAGGACTGGAATAAAATAATGTTTGAGTATTCAGTTGCTCACTAGTTGTTGTCCAGACTTCGTAATCTCTACTGGGAAACTGGCTCCCTGTTGATTATTTGCAATTTTCCTAAAAGTCTGTACTTTTCCCTGCCTGGCTTCCTCTCATTTTTCCTCCAGTTTTTCTGTTTCTGTGCCTGTAATTTTCAGGCTTCTTTAGTCTTTAAGCATATCAGATAAGCATGCAGTGTCATAAAGTAAATCATGACTGAAGAATTTAAGAATACCATTTAAGACACATTCTCAGACTTGAAGTTAGTAAAAATTTTTCTTTAAAAAATTTAAACTTAAGCAAGAAATTAATAAATTATGGAAACCATAATTTTAGTTTTAAAGTTGAAGAGATTATGGAGTGCAAAAGGAGTATATTTTGGAATGACATAAGAAATATAAATTTGTTATAGGATGAATTTCAATTTAGATTTTTATTTTTATAAATAAAAATATACAGATAGGTAAAATTAAAAGTGGCTGTTAAAAATGAAGATGAATGGGCCGGGCTCAGTGGCTCATGCCTGTAATCCCAGCACTTTGGGAGGCCGAGGCGGGCAGATCACGAGGTCAGGAGATCGAGACCATCCTGGCTAACACGGTGAAACCTCGTCTCTACTGAAAATGCATAAAAATTAGCCAGGCGTGGTGGTGGGCGCCTGTAGTCCCAGCTACTCAGGAGGCAGAGGCAGGAGAATGCCATGAACCTGGGAGGGTGGATCTTGCAGTAAGCCGAGATCGTGCCACTGCACTCTAGTCTGGGCAACAGAGTGAGACTCTGTCTCAAAAAAAAAAAAAAAAAAATGAAGATGAATGTAATTCTCGTAATAGTCAATTATGTCTAATAAAATTTGAAATGATAATACATTACCTTCTAAAATCAATTATAAACAAATATAAAGCAACGCTTCATTATTCTATGTGTAATTTGTATCCAAAAAAATAAGTTATACAACTCAGTTGTTATATTAAATTGAAATTACAATATCATTACATGTAAATAGATATACTTGAATATTTGAATAATATTGTAATTCTACTATTGTTAACTTTTTAAAAATTACATGGCTAATGCATAGGAGATTTGGTGAAACAGTTTTCGAAATGCTTGTGTTAAACTTCAAAACAAGTAATTCTCATAAAGCATGAGGATTTACATAATCAATTGTTTTATTTTTGCTGCCATTGTGAAGAGAGAAAAATTTAAATATCAGTTTCTTATGTGTGAACATTGCAGCTTGCTGTGCAGGTGCAACTAGAATTTGCATAATAAATTAAGATCAATAGGTCTGGCAGTTACATGTTATATTTTCTTTTATATGTAAAGATTCTAGAAAGGTAAGGAGAATTGAGAAAAGAAGAGGAGAAGCTAAGGAGGTAGCAGACATTAAGCAATGAGTAATTTCCATGAAATTTTTCCATGAAACCTCCCTCAAAAAATCTTCATTAATCCTTCCTGAGAATTATTTGTTTGGGGCAGAAGGGGGATGAAAGTGAGAACTACACGGAGACCAACGTGGTGCAGAGCAGGGAAATGTAAGAAATCTGAGTGCAGGATACCAGGAAGGCCACAAAGTGTAATCTACCACAAATGCAAGAATTAGCAGAAGTCTTTCCTAGAGCTTTTGACGTAGCACGAATAAGATGTGTTGGCAAGAGAATAACAGCAAGATATCTTCACCTAGATTGCAAGGGAACAGCTAACATTTGGGTTATTTGGTGTTATAAGTAGAAATCCTTTAAGGTTCTCACTGACTAAAATAATACCTTTGATACAATTTAAAACAAGTGCCATTTGATGAAAAAAAAAAGATGTATTATGTATAACCTGCACTTTGTAGCACCTGCAAATCATTCCTTTCCCATTTCTTCTCCTATCTCTCCCAGTTAGAGTTCAACTACAAACAGATTTAATCCAATCTAGCTGAAACATGCTGATGTCAATTGGCATACAGGGCACTTAGAGTAAATTCAAGGAGATGACTTATGATTTATATAGCCACTCCAGGGCTAGGCCTGTGAGTAATAAGAGAAGGCATAAACTTGGGTGATGCTATTTGAGATGTCTTGAAAGGCTTACCTACTCTTGAAACTATCCCCCCCAACCCAAACTACCATTTGATTATATTGTTTGGAATTTCAAACCACTTTTCTCATTTTTTGAGTTATATTTTTATAGAAATCAATCTTTAAATTGCTCTTATTTCTTGAGAGGAAAATGCAGCAGTTAGGAAATTGATATACTTATTATTGCCATTTTTGTCTAGGGGTTCATTGGTTGATTATGTAGTGTCTTAAAATGAATGTTTGTACTTGGGAGGGTGTGTGTGTATGTGTGCATGCAAGTGTATTTATTTCAGTCAGTGATTACATGATAAGCAGTAAGATGAATAGAGATATTTCTAAATCACACTGACAGGGAGACTTTAAGCAACAGGCATTTATATAAAATCCTGAAAATGCCAGTTCCCACAGCTTTTTCCTCCTCTGTTAGCTTGCTTCATTTGGCATGGCTTGACCTGCTAAATGAAACAAGTAAACAAACAACTAGTGTTCAAAAGGTTTTGTTATAACATGCCTACCCTCCCCAGCACCACACCCCAAGATGGTACTGGTTTGGACTTGAATACCCTAGGGTAAATCAGGAATTCAATGAAGTGGACCTCAGTGTTACTCTTCAATTTGAATGGACTGGAAAGGACAAGGGTAGCTGGAAGGCACTCCTTTAGGATCCTCAACAGTGAAATAAGTGCTAAGAGTGTAAGAGTACTTGGAGCCAAATGGGGGTAGTAAGGGGCTAAGGATTTATCTTGTTTCCGATCAGCAGTAATCCCTGCATAGCCAATGGCTATGGCTCTACTACACGGATGAAGTAAAATGAGAGAGTAAGTAGCGGACACCGCTCCGGCAGTCTGGAGAGTGGTCTATAGCACTCATTTTGGCATAAATTCAGCAAGGAAATGATTAAGAAGGGATTGAGTTTGATATATGTTTCCTTAAAACTCCTCCAAGGGAAAAATAAACATTCTGTGAAAGTGAAAGTATATCATTCTCCCCCATATTTTATCAAATCCGTTAAAGCAAAAATTATATATATGGCTAACCATATATCAAGACAACTCATCTTATGACTTGATTCATGGACAGGCCAGGTGTATGGAGATACAATTTTAGCACTAAAATGCTGTGGTTACGTTGAAATCCCAGCACAGCAGAAATTGAAAATACCTGCTGTTCCATGGCATTTAGAGAAAAGTAAAATCTTGGGATGATGAACTGCAATTAAAATTGTTTCAAAAAATGTTTTGTAGATGAAAATCTCACAAAAGTCACAATTCAGTGAGGTGCGTTTTAACTCCTTTCATCCTCACATGCTAATTCCTCCCACAAAGAGAAATAAACTAACAAAGAATTCCAAATATCCCAGGAAGCCAACTCTGTCTACACTCTCTCAAAAAGTGAATATTGAAATACGCATAAGTTCTGAAATTGTGACCTTCCCTTTCCACAGTTTCTTTACCTTTTTTACTCCCCCTCTCCACTCCAAACAAACACAAACTCTGTATTTTCAGAACCTATTATCTCATGGGATCGTTAGATTCCCAGAGCTACTTCACTATCTGAAAACAGAAGATATTCATAAATTGTTTGTCAAACAAAGTATATACGTATACTTTTATATATGCCTGTGTGTATATATGTGCAAACCATTGTTAGCAAACCACCCAGCATTCTTACATGGGTGCAAAGCTTCATCTACGTAACATAAACACTGGATAACTTTCTTAATCTTATTTCTAATGAAGTAAACACACTATAACTGTCAAGCTTTGATCTATAATGCCACTCTCTTTTTTTCATTATGGTTACCTGATTGGCTTTTATTTTAAGCAATACTTTCAATCTTCTTTAGCATATTAATACAGGCCACACGTTGAGTGTAAAATGCTTAGATAGAAAAAACAGAGTGCTATTCAGTGTGTTACCTTTATTATTTCTTGAGTTAGAGAACCCTGTCTGCTTCCCTTCTTGGTCTTTGTTCTGTGTTAACTGTGCTCTGCTCTGACACTTGTAAGAAAGGAGTCTTGTGTCCAAAGTGGAAGAACAAAATAGACCTGCACCTCTTTTCACAGAATGTCTTATTAGTCATGTTGCTAGCCCACATTTGCTATGTAATGTTCTTGATGTATGGGTCAATGCGATTTGATTTAAAGAACAAGTTATTTTTAATATATATATATGTAATTATTTTAAAAAGGAAGAGTTTTTATAGGTATTATTGGTAGACTCTAAGCTCTGTAATTTAATAAAGACACTAAACAGACTCATTCTACAACAAATTTTTACTGAAGAAATCAATGGAGCACTAATAACACATAATTTAGAAACACTCCACATTGCAGATTTGACTCTTGAGTTTTATTATGCAAAGTAAAATAGCTCTTGCTTCTTCTCTCAGAGGTCCTTATGCTAACTCATCAAAGTGTTCAGTAAAACAGGATTGTCCATCTCACAGGATCCAGTATTCTCTTAAGAGACAGCTATGGTATACAAATATAAGCGAATATATATGCATATATAGGTACTTTTTTTTCTGTCTTACATATGATTCTGGGTTTGCTGATAATGGTAAATCACACTTACTTTACCCTAAACAAGTCAATTATGTGGTTGCAGAGATTACTCCGTTTCCTCATTAGTAAAAACACTCCCAAATATGAATTAAAATGCATGAAGAAATATGTCAGAAGTTAAGATACGATGTAATGAATACACCACAAGAGAGGGGCAGAGCTCACTGTGAGAATTTAAGCATTTTCTTACATGAATTGAAAGTGTACATTGCATGGCCTATTAATACATATATTTAATACAGTAGACTGCAATATTTTGAATCAATCATATATAGCATTAGCTAGTTCTCATAAAATTTTGGTGAAGAAAAAGATAATGTACATTGAGGTTTTTAATTCTTTGTATCATTAAGTGGATATATTATTTTTCTGTCAAAGGAAAAGGGCACATTATATATTTTATTATAGCATCTTACTTTATGAATTTATGAAATTTTTCTTGATGCAACTGTTATTAAAATGATAAAACTTCAAATACAGGAGTATATAACTTAACAGAAACTCTGAAAGCATTCTACTGTGGCTTAACAAAGCAATACCATTAAATAAATAATTTTATCTTTGAGAATACATACATAAAATAATGGTAAAACATTTTGGAAATTTTCTGTGAATGTGGCTAAATGCTTATTTTATATACACATCACTTTTTTATTTTGTTTGACCATAAAAGCAAGATTAATTTAAATGTAAAATTAGTGATGGTGGCTGTGCAGGCAGTTTTGGGTGGGCATCAGTGGTGGCACTGATATGCTCTATCTTCACAATGATCAGAGGCTGTAAAAAATATTCATTGTGAATCCAACCGAGTTAATATTTTGTATCTTTTTAGTTGAGTTGTAAATCTGCTGATATATCTTCACTGTAGCTATCCATGTACAATAAAGAAATTACCAGTTATTTTGAGTCAAACAGATAATATTCAGATAATCACATTACTCTTTTCATTTAAATTAAATTACATTTTTATGTTATTTAATTCAGCTATGATTACTCTTTCACATTTACTTTTTCTAGTACAATGTTTTATTTCTTGCTTTTCGTTTTGAACAAGAAATAATGCAGTAAAATGTCAGGTTTTAGAGTTCTTTAAGATATGGTTCAAACAAAACTGAAGCACATGAAAAGGATGACATTGAGCCTTTAAAATGAACCATAACAAGGAAATCCAGCAAATTAGTAGATATGTGGAGAAACTGTATTATATCTAAATTGTCATCTGTCATGGATGAAAATGACGTATTGATAATCCTTTTGATACTTTTACCACTAACAGATCAATTTTAACAGATAAATTTGAAATTAATCTGTTTTAACATCTTTTAATATTTTAAAATACTTGAAAACCATTTTTGGACTATCGTAATATTTGGTTTACAGAAGGAGAATAAACAATATTTATTCTTATTAATAAAGTCATTGTTAAAATTTCAAATTCATTAGGGAAACAAGTTTTCTAACTATATGCAAGTAAAAGATTAAAAAATTCATTTTTTATTTTAAGTCTATAATGTAAATAATTGAAAGATTAACTTTTTTATTATGGTAAACAGTGATTTTATAAGTCAAGAATACGAATTTTAGTAAGAAGTAAATGAATGACAATTTTAAAGAAAAGTGAACTAGATATATGAGAAACTGACTAAAAGTAGAGGCTCTATACTACCATTTATTCGTATGGTCCAACATAGAGTTTCAGTAATAATCTCTAACTTTCCTTTTGTCCTATGCACAATACTCATTGAAAGCGTTTCTCTATAATTTCCTTACTTTAATATCGATTTTAAAGTCTGAATTTACAAATCAAGTTTAAGTTTACCATACCACTTCCATGCTTTCAGATTGTATTGCTCAATTGTAGATTTTGTACTTATTGCTAAGGTTATTATATATGTTAATAGTGATTAACAAACATTGAGTACTTACTCTATGCCAGATACTGAGCTAAGCAATTTTTATGCTCTGTCTCATTTAAAACTAGCAGCAACATAAATTTTTATTCCCATTCTACAAATGGTGAATCATTTCATATGTATTGGAACCAGCTATAAACTCAGTTCAGTCCAAATTTAGACTTACCACTCAATACATTCTAGAATTCAAGTTATTTCCTCATTCTTGGGGTAAAACCTAACGACTGATGTGCTCTACAAGTTATCCCAAGCCAACCTTTGCAACACTCCCTTTTATCCCATTTACATGCTATTACTACAACAAAACTCAACTCCTCATAACAGATCTACACCATATTTTTGTGCCTATCTGTATTTACTTGCAGAAAACTTTGTTTTTCCTCTCCCCAATATTAATAAATCCTTCAAAGTCTACCTTAAAGCCACTGTTCATAAAATTTGTTGAAATTTCCCTAATTGAAGTCCTCTTGGCATTTTGAATTTTCATTATTTTTCATTTGTATGAGATACAAGCAGAAGTGAGAATTTGAGACCACACAGACCTAGCCTGGAAACTAGATTTCCAGCTCCTTTGAGACCTTCAACAAAGTATTTAATATCTCTTAGATCAGTTTGATTTTCCTCTTCCAAAGGTAAATGATTTCAGAAGGGAGAGAGAAAAAATATAGTGTTGTGTCAGTAGTCCCTGCAGACCCTACAGTAATTTTTGCTGTCTGCTCATGTCCAACTTCATAAAGTCTGTTCATTAATCTGTTCCTCCCCAGTCTCACAGACACAGCCCTAAGCTGAGGCCCCTTGCCTCTCAACTTCTAAACACAATTTACTCTTTCCTGTTTTCCATATTTATCATTTTTGCCATACGGTTCTCTACTCTGTTCACCAAACAGAAAACCACTAGATTCCTCTTTCTATGTTATATCTAGAATGATATAATACTCCAAGGAAAGAAAATAAAAACTCAGATTTTTGTCTTATTTTGCTACAGTGCTATATAAATAATATTATAGTTTTTTGAAATATCTTTTAAAAATAGAAGATTTTTTTCTTGTTGCTTATAGATCATGTCCAAACTACATTGAAGCTCCCTCCTTCAGCAGCCTTATATCCTAATGTTGATATGCACACATCTTATGGTCCAGCCAAGAAGAACCTGAGTAGCCCCTATACTTTCCTGCTTTCACATAATTACTCATTTTGTCTACAGTGCCCTTTCCAATTCTCATTTAGATCCTCTTAATTGTTATCAATCTCCTAGCCAAACTCAGTATCACTCTTAATTCATGCAACTTTTCCTGCTCCTCTAGTCGTTTAAGACAGCACCGCTCTCAGAATTTACTTTGTGTTGAAGGCATTCAACCTTACATCAGTTGTAAACATACTTCATTTATTCAATAAGATTGCATTAAATACCAACTTTTCAAATACCAGACACAATTCCAGGCTCCAATAGGAAATGTCATACAGATTTTGTCTTATTTTGCTACAGTGCTATATAAATATTATTATAGTTTAGTAAAAGTTTAAAAATAAAAGATTTTTCTTAAACTCATACTTTGGAGTAATAAGGATATAGATCCAAATTCATGTTCTGCCGCTTACTACAGTGTGATTCCAAGTAAATTAAACTGTGGAATAAGCTTTAAAAAAATTTAGTATGCTAAGGAATCACCCTCCCTCTTTGCAGGTCTGTGTCTTTTGCATAAGTTTTTTCACTTATCAAATGAAGGAGAGCGCTTGACATAATCCTAGACAAATTTGCCCTTGAGTTCTCTCTGGCCACAATGTGTAGTTCAGGCATGGGCATGTACTCCATTCAGAGACCATATGTTGCAGTGAGACTTTTACTGGGACTTTTGGAAAGAGACTTGCTTTTTGTGTTTACTGCCTTAAATCCTCAAAAGATGGCAATCTAGAGCTGAATAGCTATTTTCACAGCACTTGAAGCCTGGCTTTGAAGCTAACATTGAAAATGCAGGAGCCATTATTTTTTCCTCCAGATTAAGAAAAAAATAAGTTATGATTACATTACTGTAGACCAAAATTCAGCTATGATTTAGCTAGTCCTAACTCCAGAATTTCCACCAGTGAGCCCCAAATTCCATCTGGCTTTAAAAAGTTTGGAATGGATTTCCTATTATTTATAAGAGAAAGAGTCTAAGATTAGTTTCATATTTCTAAAGCATGCATATTATCCACTTTACACTAGTTTGGTTTGATTGCATCCTCTTGTACAGTTCCTGGCACACAATGAGTGATTAACAAACGCTATTTTCCTTTTCCCTTGGGATGATGAATTGTCGTCATAGTATTTTTCCTATAACAGTTATAATAATTAGCACTCAGTGAATTTTCATTGAAAAATAATGCACTTAGGAAAGTTTCTCTGAATATCTGGCTAGCATGGTAATTCTTCATAAAAGAAAAATTTACACTGAACCAAGTCCCAATTTTTATCTTACTGAAAACTTCGCCATGGCCTTAGGTGTTGTGGACACAGAGAATTGCCAGTTATCAGCCACCTGAATAATACCATATGATGGTAGCTCATTTTGAAGATATTTGTGGCACTTGAGTTACCTCAAAAGTAACAATTAAACTAAGATTGCACTTTTAGAAGTTTTTTCAGTGTCTTTTAAATTATAACAGTTATTGATGGGGCCACTGGTTTACTTAATCTGGGCATCTATCTCTATGGCACATAGAAATTCACATTTTCTATAAATGCTTTTAAAAGGTAAACTAAGGCACAATGAAATCTTTAAAGAGTGTATTTGAGCAAACGGTGAATTAGGAGGCACCAAACTGAAGGTGGTTTTTGGCCTCTGCTGAGGGAATGAAAAAAAAAAAAAAACCTTTTATAGAGTGAACTGGAAGCAAAGCAAAGCAAATACTTGATTGGTTACAATTATTTAGTGACCTTTTTGGTCTATCCCATTGAAAGTCCCTAGTTATATAACTATAAATTAGTTGGTAACTATAAATTAGTTGGTTAAGCTGAAGTTTCACTTTTCTTTAATATAAGAAAGCATTTGCAAGAACTAGCTCAAGTTAAGTTTCACTTATGTTAGCGAATAGCCCTAGTTAAGTTGTGCTTATGTTTGCAAAAGGTCAAGGTTGCCTCCATGGCTTAACTGGCCATAGTCGGCTCAGGGGATTCACTGTTTTATTGTTTAACAGTCCTACCAAGAAGAGAAAATTCACTAGGACTTTCCTCAAAGGGAAACATTTTATTTCATTTAGGATTTGATGGAAACTTATGATTCAAAAAACCTTGAACCCTGGGAGTAATAAAATTCTTCTAGGGTTTAGAGAACCTATTTTTTCCTCAGGTAGATTCTATTTTAAATCTCCTAAATTGCTTGTTCAAAATTTGTCTTTCACACAATTCTGAAGATGCCGTAGAGACTTAACTCAGTGAAATTTTCCCTGGTTCAAAGCCATGTATATTGAAGGAAATATTTCATTAGGCTTCTCAGTTTTTATTTAGCTTTAACCTAGTTTACAGAAATGTTTGTTAATTGGTGAAATTTGTAAGTTGGAATCTCAACCACCTCATGGCTGATATTTCGGCATAAATTATAATGCTTTTTTTGTAAACTGAACTTTATTAAATTGTAACAATGAAGGGCAATATCATCTGCAGTTGACATTAAATATACTTATTAAGTAATTTATAAAGCTCAAGAAGTCTTGTTCATTCGGTTTAATTTGGAGTTTTAATATTGGTGTTGTAGAGAAAGCAAATCACAGTCTTCAGCAAACAAAACGTGGAAGAGATTCAAAATGTAGGATAGTTTTTGTTTGTCTGTTTGTCAATCATGAGCACTGATGATTCACACTACTCCTGGGATGTGCCTTAGCGCCACTGACTGCCTTATATCTTACCAGAAATATTTAGAGAAAAAACATCCTGTAACAAAGATGATATGGAAGGTTTCTAAATAAATGACTATTAAATGGAATGCTGGAGGATTTTTTCTAAATGTCAGTAATCAAATAATAAACTTGTGTGCTTATTACCTTATAAGTATCAGGTAGGTAAATGTTTAGACACTCAAAATTTATTAGGCAATTTAACAGGAATATCAATATGCATGCAAAATAAATTAGTAATGGACTTCACAATGATTTCTATCATGCTCAATGGGTGCCACTGGTCTAAAATGTAAACATCAATCCTATAATGTAATTTATCTCAGCACTTTGAGGAAAAACAGCATCGAGGGTTGAAATCATAACTGTGATGGAGACCTTTATTTCCTCAAGGCCAAAAGGAAAATGTAGTAAAAACAAGAATATCTAAAATAAGAAGTCATTGAGATGTGTGATTATCTAGCAAATCCAGAAGCAGGTCAGTATTACCAACAGAACGACCAAGTCAGAATCATAGTAGGTGTTCATTAGGAAAGTCAGGAAAGCATGAGGAGAGCAAAACAGAACCACATTCTTCTGGAAAATGAAGTTGTCAGAGACTATCTGTAGGTGTAAAACAGCCATGTCTAACCCTTTGAATGCGGGACTTTTTTGCTTATCTGTTGTGGGAGATATCACAAAATTTATGCACAGACCTTTTTTTTTTCTTTTTCGGCTCATCAGCTGTCATTAGTGTTAGTGTATTTTATGTGTGCCCCAGGACAATGCTTCTTCTTCCATTGTGGCCCAGGGAAGCCAAAAGTTTGGACACAGTGGTGTAGGAGGAAAAAATACTCTATCAAGTCCAGATATGTGATATTGGTCTCATTACGTTCTGTACAAAAATTTATGAAACTAAGCCCTGTGTGTTGGCGAATCTCTTACATGTTTAATGATGATTTGTTCACTTTTAGTGCCTTTTGTGGAGGATTAAGGTTATTCTTTTTTCTGCTCAAAAGGGAAAAATAAATAGTAGCATTTCATTGTGAGGTGACCTGTAAAGTCACCTTATTCTTCTCTACGACTCTAGTAATTTTATCAGATGTTGTATTGTTTGGCATTATCTGCTTCTGTCAGACCCTGCAACTTCCAGATATGGCAATACTCTATTCTCAATTACTTACAGAAAATGTGCCTGACCAGGGGATGAGAAAATGCTTAACTCAGACCCCATTCACTTTGGCCATTCACTTGGGGAACTACCTGAAATAATTCTTAGATGCACAAAAATGTACCTCTGTAACTTGATGTCTATATAACTTAATTTTGCATAAAAAATTTGAAAGTATCAGTTGATTTTAAATCACCCTGTATATACATATATTTGCAGAAAGGCACACGTGTGCGTGTGGGGTGTGTGTGTGTGTGTTAAATAATCAGGGCTCATCTTAAGCAAATGTATACCAAATTGTCAAAGATTCTAATTCTTGATGCTTGTTACCTATCAATGGTCAGATACTTTTAATATCACTTCACAAATAAGTCACAATTAAGTGTTTTATCTGTGTTTGTAATGATGATGATGCCTATTCTTTGCATATTTTAGCCCATTTTTAATCATAACAACCATATTAATCATAGCAGTCTATTTTATGAATTAGAAAACAGACTCATAAATTAAAATGGTTCACACAAGAGTACATGGTTATTGAATTGCGGAGCTGAGAAACAAACCGTAGTCTGGTTGGAGTGCTACATGTAAATCTTCTAAGGCACTTTGCTCTGCTGTGGGCACTACGTGCCTCCAACTCACTCATCCACAAACACCAAACATACACACTCGACACCATTTAAAGTTTGCCTTCCCTTCGTTTACATAGCCACCATTTGTTTGTTTGTTCTGTAGAGGCATGTTGAAACTATTATTTGTTAAGATATATTTCTGAAGTAATGGACAGGCTTTTGAGATCTATCATTAATGTGCAATAAATATTACATCATTTTACAAGACACCGACTGAATAAAATTATATTGATTATGTGTTTCATAATAATTCAGTAGTTACTATGTTCTGATATTTTAAATGCTTATATTATTTCCAGGAGAAAATAAGCATGCTCATTTATTATTTTCAGTATCATCTAAGATTGTCCCTTACAGTTGTCAATGTGTTAAAAAAAAAAAACTATAATCATCAATATTTGTACTCACTTTCATATAATACCAGCATAGACTTTAGAAGGGATATAACCTATACTTACATTTTTACTATAATGGAAAATAATAACTATAAAACATATTTTCATTTCTAATCGATTATATCAGATTATATTGCTTATCTCTTTACAAAATGTTACTTCATATATAATAGTTAGTTTGTAAAAAAATTAATCATTTGCAATATCATAGTTACTTCATTACATTTGATTCATCAATTTAATTTTAATTTTGAATCCTTGTACAGTATTGATATAGTTTAGTTCAATTCAATTATATTTTGTTCATTTACTTTTATGAATTATAGAACTGAAAATAATTTCGGGTGTTCTTTAGAATTTTATAAATACTTTTATCATGAGAAATTGTAAAAACATCATTCTGTAGCTATATGAGAAGCTAACTGGGCAGCTTTTTTTAATCATCAGCAAGACATAAAAGGGAAAATTAAAAGGCAATAGATTTTAGATAAAATACTTTTGTTGAGTGGGATATTCATTTTCACTATGAGTGCATCTAGTACAATGAGCTGCTCACTTATTTCTAAGTAGCAGTTTTTATTTTCTCTCTAGTACATGAAGCACATAAAAGAAAAAAAAATAGTAAGAAGAAGCTCTGGCCCACTTACAGATAAATAGGAAAACCTCAAATGGCCAGATGGGCTCATAGGCAGAGAATCACTTCAGATGGCTCAACATTATCTCACTTTTATAGACAGCTATTTAAGTTAAATTTCTTTACATCCATAGCCTTTTCCCAGTATTTCTTCACCCTTCCTGCCTTTAATGAAATTCATTCTTCTTTTCGACGGCTTCTTTTTGCACATATGCTTGGTAGTCTTTTCTAAACAGCTTTGACTTGTGCGGGAATGAGGGGAGGAATTGTTTGCCTTGCCCATCTTTGCCTACACTGTCATTTATAGACCATTAATCCTCCGCCAACATGAGAAAAAGACAAAAGCATCCTCTTCGGAGGAGTAAGTCTTCCGTCTCAATTGTATCACTCCCGAGTCTTCTTACTTCTTGTTATCTCACAGCATCCAAGCCACCCCTTTTAAGGAAATCCTCTCGAGGACTTCAGGAACTTCCTTTTTCTCTATGCCAAGCCCTACCAAAGTGACTTCTGCTTCCATGTGGAAAATCCATCCACCATCTCACTTCTCACATTCAGAAAATTCCCAATTGCTAACAATTCTATCACCAACACATACATTTTAATTTGTTGAATTGCCTTCTTGCTTATATTGCATTTGTAATTAAGTCATTGCTTCAAATATGATAAAGTGTCCATTCTCTTTAAAAGAAATAACAAGATACTTTCATGGGATTAAGACCTTTTCTGACCTCGTTTTTTTTTTTTTTTTTGAGACGGAGTCTCACTCTGTCACCAGGCTGGAGTGCGGTGGCGCCATCTCTGCTCACTGCAAGCTCCGCCTCCCGGTTTCACGCCATTCTCCTGCCTCAGCCTCCCGAGTAGCTGGGACTAAAGGCGCCCGCCACCACGCCCGGCGAATTTTTTGTATTTTTCAGTAGAGACGGGGTTTCACCGTGTTAGCCAGGATGGTCTCGATCTCCTGACCTCGTAATCCGCCCGCCTCGGCCTCCCAAAGTGCTGGGATTACAGGCGTGAGCCACTGCGCCCTGCCCGTTGTTTTATTTTCTTTCTTTTTTTCCCACCCTCACTAGCTGTTACCTCCTACTGTCAAACCCGCAGTGATCTCTCCTTCCACCAAACTGCTCACAGTGCCTCTACCATGCCAGGCTCTCTTAATGCTTCAATATCTCTTCCACTAGCCTTGCCTCCTCTGTTGAACCTATTCCAATGCCTCCAATTTCTATTTTAATGGCGTTATATGCAAGCTTTTATAATAGCATAACTCATTTTTTCAAACATTTGTTGACATATTTGTCTTCATTATGAGAATAAGGCCCTTAATAACAAAATTACAATCATTGTATTGTTATTCCCAATACATAGTTTATTGCCTGGCATATGGTACAAATTCACAATGTTAAGTGAAGGAATTATTGAATATACTCGTAGAAGTTACTTGCTAACTTCTTTGAAAACTTTCCCCTGCAATCTTAAAACTGCTGAAGATTTTCTTTTGTTTTCTCTATTGCAAGCAAGAGCTGATAATCATAATTATTCTGAATGATATAGATGTTCCAAAGTTGTGACAGGCTCAATCTGACCATCTGCGGGCATAGATGGGACATAGGCATAGATGAAGGGTTTTGATACAGATATTACAAATACCTACATTTTAATGAATACTGTCCCTCACTATTAAAATGGCTTAATACATAAACAGAGTTTGATACCTTATGTTGTGTTATAATAAATGTGTCAATGAGACACTTCATACAGAAGTGAAGGTGAACCTATTCTGGAGAAGTCAGAAGAAATGCAGCCGAAGCAATGATGCACAAAATGGATGTTGGAGAAATGGAAGAAAGTAAAACATGGCACATGAAAATGTCCAGGGATAGTTTGCCAAGAAAATTGAACATTAATTCACCAATAAATACTCAGGAATGGTTATGGTTTTCACACATTAGGCAGGCAAGCAAGCAGCAGCCAAAACCTCCCTAAAAGTTAGAAGAAACTAGGAAAGTATGTAAATCTCCTGAGAAAGGGAGGAAGAAAAACGTGTTTAGATTTTTATCCTATTTAAAGGCTACCATGAGTAGTTGGGTGCTTTTACGGGGACTTGAAGGCTTAGTAAAATTACCCCTCCAACTGGAAGTATGCTGCTGTGTCCCCTGCCTGAATTGGTGACTACACAGCGATCTCTTAAATATTTGGCCTCCTTTAAAAGGATAAGTATCTTTTGCTTGGTTCTCTTGGAAAATTTTTACTCTATGACAACCACAAAAACTTGCAGAGTAATAGATTGTCAGCCAATCAAGGCAAGAAATGTGAGGAAACTTATAGGTAGAGAAAATAACACATATAAAGCCTGGTTTAAATGAAAAAGCATGGTGTACTTTATAATAAAATAAAATAAACTTTAAAAAAAGTTTTAGTTCTTTGGGGGGAAGTCCAGTTGTTTCTTTGTGGTAGAATTATAAGTGCTACATTTATTGACAAATTTGACTAGTGTTTTTGAGAGTTGCCAAGGGACCATCTGGTTTTGATTGCTTATTATGAAGACTCAACTCCTTTTACAAAAATGTTTTTAATTTTTGTGAATATGTTTTTTATATATATGTAATTACATATATAATATATACATATATATGGATTACAGGAGATACATTCATACAATGCATAATAATCACATCAGGGTAAATGAAGTATTCATCACCTCAAGCATTTGTCCTTTTTTGTGTTACAGACAATCCAGTTATACTCTTTTAGTTATTTTTAAATGTGCAAGAAATGATTGTTGACTGTAGCCACCCTGTTGTGCTATCAAATACTAGATTTTATTCATTCTAACTATATTTTTGTATCCACTAACCATCCCCACTTCTCCCTCTTCCCCTCCCCAGTTACACCTTTCAGCCTCTGTTAACCATTATTCTAGTCTCTATCTCCATTAGTTTAATTGTTTGAAATTTTAGCTCCCACAAATAAATGAGAACATGTGATGTTTGTCTTTCTGTGCCTGTCTTATTTCACTTAACGTAATGACCTCCAGTTACATCCATGTTATTGCAAATAACAATATCTCATTTTTTTTATAACTGATTAGTACTTCATTGTGTATTTGTACATTTTCTTTATCCATTCGTCTGGTGATGAGCACTTAGCTTGCTTCCAAATCTTGGTTATTGTGAACAGTGTTGCAAAAAACATAGGAGTGTAGGTATCTCTTCAAAATACTGATTTCCTTTTTGGGGGGTTATATGCCTAGCAATGGGATTTCTGGATAATATGGTAACTCTACTTTTAGTTTTCTTGAGGGACTTCCAAACTATTCCCCACAGTGGATTTTCTAATTGCATTGCCACTACCTGTCTAGAAGGGTTCCCTTTTCTTCCCATACTCATCAGCATTAGTTATTGCCTGTCTTTTGAATAAAAGCCATTTTAACTGGAGTGAGATTATATCTCACTGCAGTGTTGATTTGCGTTTCTCTGATGATCAGTGTTAGCACCTGTTATACTCCTGTTTGCCATTTGTATGTCTTCTTTTGAGAAATGCATATTCACATCTTTTGCCCAGTTAGTTTTAACTGGATTATTAGATTTTTTTTTTCTTATAGAGTTTTTTGAGCTTCTTATATATCCTAGTTATTAACCACTTGTCAGATGGGTAGTTTGCAAATATTTCTCCCATTCAATACATTGTCTCTTCACTTTGTTGATTGTTTCCTTTGCTGTGCAGAAGCTTTTTAATTTGATGTGATCCCATTTGTTCATTTTTCCTTTGGTTACCTGTGCTTATCGGATACAAAAAATCTTTGCCTAGTCCAACTTGCCTAGTCCAAACTCAACTCCATTGAGTTTCCTCAATGTTTTATTGTAGTAGTTTTATATTTTGAGGTCTCATATTTAAGCCTTTAATCCATTTTGATTTGATTTTTGTGTATGGCAAGAGATGGGGGTCTAATTTTATTCTTCTGCATATGGATATCCAGTTTTTCCCAGAACCATTTATTGAAGAAACTGTTTTTTCCTGAATGTATGTTCTTGGCACCTTTGTTGAAAATGACTTTACTGTATATATGTGTATGACTTTGTTTCTGGATCCTCTATTCTGTTCCATTGGTCTATGTGTCTGTTTTATGCCAGTACCATGCTGTTTTGGTTACTACAGCACTGTAGTATAATTTGAAGCCAGTTAATGTGACTCCTCCAGTTTTGTTCTCTTTGTTCAGGATTGCTTTGGCTATTCTGAGATATTTGTGGTTCCATATACATTTTAGGGTTTCTTTTTTCTGTTTCGAGAAGAATGTCATTGGTATTTTAATAGTGATTGCATTGAATTTGTAGATTGCTTTAGGTAGTTTGGAGATTTAAACATTATTGATTCTCTCAATCCATGAACATGGACTATCTTTTTATTTTTTCTGTCCTCTTCAATTTCTTTCATCAGTGCTTTACAGTTTTCATTGTTGAGATCTTTCATTTCTTTCATTAATTCCTAGATATTTAATTTTATTTGTAGCTATTATATATGGGATAATTTTCTTGATTTCTTTTTCAGATTGTTTGCTGTTGGCACATACAAATGCTACTGATTTTGTATGTTGACTTTTTTATCCTGCAACTTTACTGAATTTGTTTATCATTTCTAATAGTTTGCTGTGGAATCTTTAGGTTTACCAAATATAAGATTATATCATCTGCATACAAGGATAATTTGACTTTTTCCTTTGTAATTTGAATGCCCTTTATTTCTTTCTCTTGTTTGATTGCTTTAGCTAGCAAATCTAGTACTGTATTGAATAACAGTGGTGAAAGTGGGCATTCCTGTTGTGTTTCAGCTCTTAGAGGAAAGGCTTTAAGTGTTTCCCCACTCAGTGTGATGCTAGCTGTGGGTCTGTTGTATGTGGCTTTTATTATGTTGAAGTATGTTCCCTCTAAAACCAGTTTTTTTAGGGTTTTTTTAATCATAAAGGGATATTGAATTTTATCAAAAGCTTTTTCAGCATCAATTACATGATCATATAATTTTTGTCCTTTATTCCATTGACATGATGTATCACAGTGATTGATTTACATATTTCTGGGATAAATCACACTTGGTCATGTTGAATAACTTTTAAATTTATTATTGAACTTAGTTTGCTCATATTTCATTGAGGATTTTTACATCAATGTTCATCAGGGATATTCACCTATAGTTTTTTTTTTTTTTAATGTGTCTTTGTCTGGTTTTGGTAACAGGATGATGCTGGCCTTATAGAATGAGTTTAGAATTATTTTCTCATCTATTGATTGGAAAAGTTTGAGTATGGTTGGTATTAGTTCTTTCAATGTTTGGTAAAATTTAACACTGAAGCCATTGGGTCCTGGGCTTTTCTTTGCTCAAAGACTATTTATTACAGCTTTGGTCTTATTGCTTGTTATTAGTATGTTCAGGTTTGAATTTATTCATTGTTCAATCTTGGTAGATTGTATGTATCCAGGAATGTATCCGTTTCTTTTAGGTTTTCTAGTATATTGGCATATAGTTGCTCACAGTAACCCCCAATGATCCTTTGAATTTCTGTGCTATCAGTTCTAATGTCTGCTGTTTTTTAAATCTCTGATTGTATTTATTTGAGTCTTATCTTTTTTTTTCCCTAATCTGGCTAAAGATTTGTTACTTTTATTTATATTTCAAAAAAAATTGTCATTTCATTGATCTTTTCTATTTTTTGTTTTAATTTACTTCTGCTCTGATCTTTATTATTTCTATTCTACTAATTTTGGATTAAGTTTGTTCCTGCTTTTCTAGTTCTTTAAGATGCATCATTAGTTTATTTGAAGTTTTTCTACCTTTTTGGTATAGGTGCTTATAACTATATACTTCCCTCTTAGTACGGTTCACATTGTGGATTTAGGTATGTTGTGTTTTCATTATCATTTGTTCCAAAAATGTTTTTAATTTCATTCTTAATTTCTTCATTGACTCGCTGCTCATTCAGGAGCATATTGTTCAATTTTTATGTGTTTGTTTAGTTTTCAAAATTCCTCTTGTTACTGATTTTGAATTTTATTCCATTGTGGTCAGAGAAGATCTTTGATATTATATCAGTTTTTTAACGTTTTAAGACTCATTTGTGACTTAACATATAGTCTCTCCTTAAGAATGATCCATGTGCTGAAGAGAAAAATGTGTATTCTGAAGCCATTGGATAAAATATTCTATAAATATTTATATGGTGCTTTGGCCTATGTTACAGATAAGGCCAGTGTATCTTTGTTGACTTTCTGTCTGGATGATCTGTCCAATGCTGAAAGCACAGTGTTGAAGTCTCCAGCTATTATTAGGGTCTATTTCTCTTTTTAGATCTAATAATATTTGCTTTATATATCTGGGTGCTTAACTATTGGATACATATATATTTACAATTATTAAATGCTCTTGCTGAATTGCCCCCTTTATTATTATATAATAATCTTCTTTGCCTTTTATAGTTTTTGCTTTGAAATCTATTCTATCTGTAGTAAGTTTAGCTACTGCTGTTCTTTTATTGGTTTCCATTGGCAGAAAATATCTTTTTTCATCCCTTTATTTTCAGTCTATGTGTGTCTTTATTGGTGAAATGTGTCTCTTGTAGGTAATAGATTGTTGAGTCTTGTTTTCTTTATCCATTCAACCATTCTATGTCTTTTGATTGAAGAGTTTAGTCCATTTACATTCAATGTTACTATGGACAAGTAAGAACTTACTTCTGCCATTTTATTGTTGTTTTCTGGTTGTTTTGTGGTCTTCTCTTTCTTCTTTCTCCCTTTCTGTCTTCTTTTAAGTGAAGGTGATTTTTTCTGGTAGTATGTTTTCATTTGTTGATTTTTACGTTCTGTTTATCTGTTTTTTTTTTTATTTGAGGTTACCATGAGGCTTACAAATAATATCTTTTAACTCATTATTTTAAACTGATAGCTATTTAATACTGACTACATAAATAATCAAACTAACAATCATAGAGAAAACTAGTAAAAGCCTTACATTTTAACTTTGCTTTCCTTTTTTAAAAAACTTTTTGTTGTTTCTATTTATATCTCATTGTACTATGTCTTGAAAAGTTGTTGTGCTTATTATTTTGATAGGTTCATTTTTTAGTCTTTCTAGTCAAGATATGAGTAGTTTATACACGACAATTACTCTGTTACCAAATTTTATGTTTTTCTGTGTACTTACTATTACAGTATAGCTTGTTCCTTCAGATGATTTCTTATTAACATCCTTTCATTTCAGATCAGATAACTGTCTTTAACATTTTTTGTAGGGCAGGTCTGATGTTGATTAAATCCCTCAGCTTTTTATTATCTGGGAAATTCTATTTCTCCAGGTTTGAAGGGTATTTCTGCTACATATACTATTCTAGGATAAAGCATTTTTTTTTCTTCAGCACTATTAAATATGTCATGCCACTCTCTCTTAGCCAATAAGGTTTCCACTGAAAAGTCTGCTGCCAATGTACTGGAGCTCCATTATACATTATTTGTTTCTTTTCTCTTGCTCCTTTTAGAATCTTTTCTTTATCCTTTTCCTTTGGGAGTTGGATTTTTTTGTTTTTGTTTTTGTTTTCTGACGGAGTCGCGCTCTGTCGCCCAGGCTGGAATGCAGTAGCCGGATCTTGGCTCACTGCAAGCTCCGCCTCCCGGGTTCACACCATTCTCCTGCCTCAGCTTCCCAAATAGCTGGGACTACAGGCGCCCACTACCACGCCCGGCTAATATTTTGTATTTTTAGTAGAGACGGGGTTTCACCGTGTTAGCCAGGATGGTCTCGATCTCCTGACCTCGTGATCCACCTGCTTCGGCCTCCCAAAGTGCTGGGATTACAGGCATGAGCCACCACACCTGGCCAGGAGTTGGATTATTAAATGTCTAGAGATAGTCTTATTTGGGTTAAATCTGCTTGGTGTTCTATAACCTTTTTGACTTGAATATGGATACCTCTTTCTAGATTTGGAAAGTTCTCTGTTTGATGACTTTGAATAAACTTTCTAACTGTATCTCTCTCTCTCTACCTACTCTTTAATGCCAATAACTCTTAGATTTGCCCTTTGAGGATATTTCCTAGATCTCGTAGATGTGCTTCATTCTTTTCATTTTTTTTTCTTTTTGCTCCTCTGTGTATTTTCAAATAGCCTGTCTTCAAGCTCACTAATTCTTTCTTCTGCTTGGTGACTTCTGCTATTAAGAGACTTTGATGCCTTCTTCAGTATGTCATTTGCATTTTTAAGCTTCAGAATTCCTTCTTGACTTATTTTAATTATTTCAATCTCTTTGTTAAATTTACCTGATAGGATTCTGAATTCCTTCTCTGTGATATCCTGAGTTTCACTCAGTTTCCTCAAAACAGCTCTTTTGAATGATGTGTCTGAAAGGTCACATCTCTGTCTCTTCAGGAGTGCTCCCAGGTGACTTATTTAGTTTGTTGGATTAAAACATTTTTTTCCCGTGTGGTATTGATGCTTGCCAATGTTCTGGGCATTGAACATTCAATGCAGCATCTGGGCATTAAAGAGTTTTATATATATTGTAGTTTTCACAGTCTGGGATCTTCGTACTATCCTTCTTGGGAAGGCTTTCCAGATGTTAAAAGGGACTCCTGTGTTGTAATCTAAGTTTTTGTTCTCTGCAGCCATATCTGCATTAGAGAGAACCCCAAGCTCAGTAACACTGCGGCTCCTGCAGACTCAGAAAGTTACTGCCTTGTGGTCTTAGATAAGGTCCTGAAGAATTATCTGATTACTGGGCAGAGACTCTTTCTTTCTTCCTTACATTCTTCCAAACAAAGTCTTTCTGTGCTGAACTCAATGGAGCTGGCGGAGGGGTGATACAAACACCCCAGTGGCCAACACCACTGGGACTGTGCTAGATTAGAGCTGAAGCCAGCACATTACTGGATCTTGCCCAAGGCCTGTGGTAAGCACTGCCTAGTTAGCACCTATGTTTGCTCAAGGCCCTTGGGCTCTACAATCAGCAGGTGGGAAAGCCAACAAGGCTTATATCCTTCCCTTCAGGGCAGTGAGTTTCCCCCAGCCCTGGGCAGGTCCAGAGATACCATCTGAGAGCCAGGGTCTAGCATGGAAAACTTTAGGAATCTGCTTGGTGCCCTATTCTACTGCAACTAAGCTGCCATCCAAGCCACACACACACACAAAAAAGCCCTTCCCAGTCTTCCCTCCCATTTTCACTCTTCTCCTTGTGGTCCCCACTGCCCCAGGCCTGCAGTGAGCACTGCCTGGCTACACTCAATCCCAAGAGGGCTTCAGTAAGCTTGTGGTAAGTGCTGCTAGGCCTGGGACTCTTACTTCACAGCAGTGGGCTCCTCCCTGGCCCAGGGTAGGTCCTAAATGTCATCCAAGGGCCAAAATCTAGAATCCAAACCTCAAGAGCCTGCTTGGTACTCTGCTCCACTGTGGCGGAGCTGGTCCCCAAGCAGCAAAACTAAGTCCCCTTTACTTTTTCCTCTCCTTTTCTCAAGCATAAGTAGTCTCTCCCTGTAGGCACCACAGCTGGGAATGTGCTTCGTCACACTTGAAGCCAGCACATCTGTGAGTGTCACTCTGAGCCCATGGTGAGTACTGTCCGGGTATCACTGCTCCTTATTCAGGACTCAATGGCTCTTTAGTCAGCAGGTGATGAGTCTTGCCCAGACTGCGTTCTTCCATTTAAAGCAGTGGTTTCCCTTCTGGCCCAGGGTGTGTCTAGAAATGTCATCCAGGAGCGAGGGCCTGGAATGGGGGCCTGAGAGCTCTGCCAATTGCCCTAACCTACTCTGGCTGAGCTGGTATCCAAGTTACAAGACGAAGTCCTTTTTAATTTTCTTTCTCCTCACCTTAATTAGAGGGAAGGAGTCTGTCCCGAAGCTGCAAGCTGCACTACCTGGGGTTGGCGGAGGGGTGGTGCAACCACGCCCTAGGTCGCCTAGGCCAGTGTCTCACTAGGTCACGTGCCACCCTATTCTGCTGGCTCTGAGCCCAATGCAGCACCCAGATGTGCCCAAGAATTGCAGTCCTTGTGGCCTAGACTGCCTTTCAATTTATTTAGGACCCCGGAGCCCTTTAGCCCGTGGGGGTGAGATTTGTGGAAACTCAAGTTCTGACCCCTGGGATGGATGAAATACTGGGTTCAATGCTCCCTCCATAGGTAGCATGTGAGTTCTGCTTGATGTTGCTTTCTGCTCTGACAGAGCAGCACTGAGTTCCATTGCAAAGTCCTAAAACCACTGCACTCTCCTTTCCCAAGAACACCGACTCTCTCTCTGTGCCATGTGGCTGCTGCTGAGGGATGAG
The DNA here is from genome assembly GCF_000001405.40 of Homo sapiens. NCBI lineage: Eukaryota > Metazoa > Chordata > Mammalia > Primates > Hominidae > Homo > Homo sapiens. Next base: position 161,428,020 of record NC_000004.12, on the reverse strand, counting down.
GGAGGAGCTGCCTTGGAATTCAAGACTGTCTTTTCTATCCTCTTCAGTGCCTCTTTTAGTGATAAGAAGTTAAAAATAGGTAGAATGATTACTCATCTGATTTTTGACTTTTAAAAGGGTGGTATTTTGTATTGATAGTTGTTCAGTTTGGTGTTCCTGTAGGGAGGACAACTGGTGAAGGCTTCTATTCAACCATCTCACTCTTCCTCCTCAACTTCTTGATTAAAAATAATTTGTTGTTTCTGTGTACCATTTGTCACATTCATAATATGGCTAATTGTTATCAGACATTGTCTTTACGTATCATTTATATATGTGTGTTTTATTCTGAGTCCATTAAGAAGCAGACACCAAGCTGATTTCAAGCAGTTTATTTAGGGACACACCTTTTTGAGAAAAAAATGGAGAGGGAGCTGAATAATTCTCAGGAATTTGTCTGACCGTGGTGCTGGTCTGACCCTGAGTTAAAAAGATGGTAACAAAGGAAGTTAGTTTGGGTGAAGGCATCTTAGACTGACGTAGAGTCTAAGGAATACTTAGCAATGCTGTTGGAAGCTCCAGAGCCAAAATCCTTATGCAGTGAATCCTCACATCATCTCTGCTTTAGTATCAGCACTAGATTCAGCCACTGCCTCAGAGCAGCTTGTGAAAAACAAGGTCATTTCACAAATGCAGCTATAGGTTTCAAAGCAAAGGTGTGGGACCCTTGTCAAATTAAGCTCCCCAGAGGAGAAGATCTGTTGAGCTCATTCCCATGGCTGACATAGCATATAATATGGCTGCTACAGAAGTTAACATTCAGCAGAAGTTTAATAAAATAAATTTAATTATACTGAATTAAAAGTAAGAATAAAAAGGGAGAGCCTTTTCTAAGGAAATTTATTAACATCTGGACGAAACTGTAAAGTTGCCTTCTATTATGAAACATTAGTGTCTAATATAGAAGTTCTCTAACTCTAGCTAAATTCTATTTTGTATACTTATAATACCTGCATATTAGTAACACTTGGTTTTCTATATTAGATAATATGTTATTTACATTTTAAGCTCAACAATTGATTTAGACCATTAAAATCTGTTGTCATAGTATTGATGTAATTTATATTTAAATGATCTTTGGTAAAAAATATGTGTATTTTAGAAAACCATATTTTGTTGTTTTCTCTGAGATAGTTGGCAAACGTTTTAAGTGTGGCTAGAGACCATTAGGTAAACAAATAAATATTACATAAAATTATTTTAAAGTCACTCATAGCAAGAGATCAGACAAAGTAAGGTTGTTTTACTTTTCTTCACAGTTACTCGGGAGGCTGAGGAAGGAGAATCACTTGAACCCGAGAGGCAGAGGTTGCAGTGAGCCAGACTGTGCCACTGCACTCAAGCCTGGGCAACAGAGTGAGACTCCACCTCAAACAAAAAAAATTATCTTCTATTAGATGATTTGTTCCCTCGAGCTTTGAGAGGAGGAGGGGCAAGTGGCAGAAGTGGACTCTGAATAATTTCTGTACCAAAACACTCATCTTCCTATCTGCTATCTGCTTACAAGCTCTGTCTTTTGTTTAAAATTCACACTGAATCATGTCTGTTAGTTCTGAGAATCTTTCCAGATTTCTCCTGTACCATTGCCTAGCTGCATCTATATTACCCTGACTCTTTCTTATATTCTCAAGACTTATTATGATTACAGCTATTGAAGCATTTATCATACTGTTTATCTTTGCACTTGTTTAGATATTGAGATTCTAGAGGTTAGGTATTAGAATTTGTTAAACTCTTCACACAGTGCAATAACGAGCAAACAGTTATTGTTAAATAAGTGTTATTTGAATAGAGTTGCTACATATAGTTAATTCAAAAATTTAATCATTATATATAATGAATAATATGCAGATACAAAAATGTTTATGAATTACACAGTATAAATAATATTAAGCAAGTAGTATGGATTGAGATATTAACTAGAAGATGTTCATTTTTTTCATTAAGCATATTTTCCAACCCTTTTTAAAGTTTAAAACCTTTGATAAACTCCCAAATAATCTGTCCTTTTTTTCTATGTGCCAATTTAGAATTAAAAAAAAAAAAATCCCTACAGCACCTTTAAGCTCTACCCTCACTCTTGAGAGAGAAGCGGTTGCCTCACTCCTGAGAGAGAAAAAGAGAGAGAACAGAATTTGGGAACATAGGATCTAATCCAAGCTCTTCAATAAGTGAGCTGTGTGATTTCAGGCATATCCTTTAATCTCACTGGGTTTCAAGATTTTCATCTGTAAAGTGAGGGGATTGAACCAGATCATCTCCAAAGTCACTCCAGCTCCAAAGCAAACTCCAGGGTCTTAAGATTGCCTCAGACCAGAACATCCAGCTTTCTGTGCTATTCTTCTCTCTAATGCCTTGTGGTAGTGCACAAGGACTACTAAGTGTTAATCATTCTCTTAAAGGAGGCAACAATTCTTCAGAATAGGAATTTCCTGGGCAAAAAATAGCTATGAAAATGTGATACACGAATCATTCAAAAACCTACTGTATCTAAAATATAGCTCTATTCACCATACTGCCAAGTGTACCCTTAAGTATAAATAAATCCTAGGCTCTATAAACCTGTTCTGCTGACATTCTGCCAGAGACAGACACACCCATATTCTTTGGATCTGTCGTCTAACATACCTCGATATGGCTAATATCTAAATATGGAAAACTTGGACATTAAATCAAGATGGTAGATTTTCTGGAGATATATATATATTCTTTCCTAGCTCTCAGTTTATCCCTAACTTTAGTGTCAGCCTCTGAAAACTTTTAACAGCATATAATCTTTTTTAAAAAAATTCGTAAAATTGAAGCTCATTTGCAGTGTGTTATTTGCAAAGATCCAAAGTAGTATTCTACCACATTCTGACAATTTCTGCAAAAGACAAAATTACAACCAATTTATTTATAGATCTAATGGCTTTTATTTGCCCTTCATGAATTGAGGCTGGCTCCTTCCAACAAAATGTAATGAAGAGCTCACACTGGGCAATGGCAAAACAGTGAATTTTGTAAGGTGGGAACAAGAAAACAGAACAATGGGGAAAAAGCCAATTGGTTAACATTCAGTTATTTGAGTTTGCTTTTCTTTGAAGGGTTAAAGCAGAGAGGACTCTCCTATTATGCTGACTCTGATTTCAAAACAACTGGTTTGTTTTTAGATCAATCTACTTCCATAAAGTTTTAGTTTGATTATCCGATATTTAGTATAAGTGACTTCATTTTCATTTGGACTGGTCTGCTAGGACCTAGTACAGGAGCTCAGTCCAAAATAATGGCCTCCCAGAATTCTTTAACATTTCCAGTCTCTACATTTTGAGTCTGGTTATTTGCAAAATCTTATCAACATAATGAATTTTGGAGAAAAATAAGAGAGAAGCAATATTCCCTTTCTTTAGAAAAAAATATAAAAAGAGATAGATGAGGGAATATTACAAAAGAAAACCATTTTTTTTTTTTATTTAAAGGAGGAAAAGGAGATGTAAGCTTTTATTTAAGTAAACAAAAATGCAAGTCTTCTACAGGAAACATTTAAGAAATTCTTTTCCTGTTCCTCAAAAAATAAAACCTAAAAAAAAAAAACTAGTTGCCTTAAAAACATTATATCATTTAACACTATGCCCTATGTTCCCACTAAACAGTAAATGATTATTTTAATGAAATGAACAATATATATGCAAAGACAAAATAATTATATTAAAACCACTTCAAGAGTTACTCTTATTACATGGATAATCTGAGCAATCTTTCAAGGTCAGCACAAACCTATTTCCCCTCCCACTGTGATGATAAGCAATATAAAATACTAGGAAAGGGCTGGGCGTGGTGGCTCAGGCCTGTAATCCCAGCACTTTGGGAGGCCGAGGCGGGCGGATCATGAGGCCAGGAGATCGAGACCATCCTGGCCAACACAGTGAAACCCCTTCTCTACTAAAAATACAAAAAAAAAAAAAAAAAAAAAAAAAAGAATGATGGGCGTGCTGGCAGGCACCTGTAGTCCCAACTACTTGGGAGGCTGAGGCAGAATAGCTTGAACCCAGGAGGCAGAGCTTGCAGTGAGCCCAGATTGCGCCACTGCACTCCAGCCTGGGTGACAGAGTGAGACTCCATCTCAAAAAATAAAATAAAATAAATAAAATAAAATAAAATAAAATAAAAATACTAGGAAAGATCAAGCCTTGTCCACTGCCTCAAACCACTTTCAAGTTGGCTTTGGATGAACTGCTGTTATTTCATTTGCAGGACTAATGCATCACCCTGGAAGAAGGTATTTTCATTATGGCCTGTATCTGTCCAATTATCTCAATGATGAAATGCACAGTGCTTTATTTCACTAATATCTCAGTCTCCGGAAATTCAAGCTAATATTGAATGAAAAATATAGTAGGCCTAAACAAATAAAGTCCATAATTAACTTTAAAAAAAGAAAAATAGTGAGCTATCATGCCAAAAAAATAAAAGATATGAAGAAAACTGGAATGCATAAGAGAATTATCAGAGAATTATTCCATTTCAAAAAACATAACGAAAAATTTTAAAAAATCTAAAATTCAAACACATATAGTCAATGAAAGCAATTGAGAGGATTTTTCTCATTAAAGACTCAGTCAGTTGTTACTTTTGATAGCCAGCATTTCTGAGATAAATCACAATGTGTTTTACTAAAAATTACTCTTCACAGGATATTTTAGAAGACTATTTCCAGGAAACCTTTAAAGAAGGATCATAATATTTTATACTAAACTCAACACTGTTTTTATTTATTTATTTTTACTAGTCAAGTCATGAACTTGGAAAGAACTTTCCATATGAGGGAAATGGTGATTGTCCCATATGGCTTTGAAATCTGTTTCCTGTAAAGAAATGGAGTTTTAAGCCTCATCAGTTTTTAAACATAAAGGAAGTACTTGACATAGTGTAGTGAAAAAAAGTTATAGTCTCTCATTATTAATTCACAGATCAGCTGTTCAAGCAAAATTGTTTCTGAATTTATAGCAAGCTAAAAGAAGCATAAAAATTATTTCTTCCTTGTGGTCTCCATAAACAGCTTTAACAGGTACTAGGTAATAAGTGTAATATAAATGCCTTTCCAAATAGATAAGTGAAGCTGTGATTGGGTTGTATTATGCTGTAATGTGTTTTCGGTCCATAGGCCCATTCCAAAGCAACGCTGACTTCTTTTGTATTCTCTTTTCCTAAAGAAGAAATGTGATGCATTGTGGTATGATTTATCTCAGAAAAATAAAGCAAACTCCCTAGGGTATTTTGAAGAGTAGTACTTAGGTGTCCTGCAGGGAATGCTTAAAGCACTTGCTGTTTTTGTTGTTGCTGCACACAGTCTGCTAGAAGAAAGCAAGGGTTAGCGATACATACAGCCCTAAGGTCCAGCGTGGATGCTCAGGTTCTCTGAGATATGCTAGCACTTCCATGCTTTTAGTTCTCTTGGCACCATCATCACCTTCTCTATGATCATTCCAAAACTTCCTAGTTTCCGAGATATTCAAAGGTAATCAAAATAAGAAAATTGGTTCTGGACTTTTAAAAAGATTCTCACTAGCTCAGGAGAAAAAACTGTTTTTCTGTTCAGAAATATAATGACTCTCATTAAAATATCAATAGTAGTAATAGTAGACGCTCTTTACATCGAAAGACATTTTTTTAACACACACAGACACACACATTATTTTGTGCTAGGCAATCTACTGGGTACTTAATTTATAACATTTACAGTGTTCTAAACAATCCTTTACAACAGAAATTTATAGATATTAATAAAAAATGAAATACGGAAATTATGTAATGCCAACTATATTAGTCTGGCTTCTCTAAAGAAACAGAACCAATACCATATATACAATACCCTATATATATTATGACCTATATAATATACATAATAAATCTCTTCATATATTCATATATTCAATACATGAAAATATATATGCCGTATATAATATACATAGCACATATAAGGTATTGAATATATGAATATATAAAGAGATTTATTATAAGGTATTGGTTCATGCAATTATGAAGGCTGAAAAGTCCCACAATCTGCTGTCTGCAAGCTGGAGACTGAGAGAAGTTGGTGGTATAGTTTGAAGGCCTGAGAGCTAGAAAGCTGATGGTGTAGGTTCCAGCCATTTTCTAAAGATTTGAGAATCAAGAGCATTTACGGCAGTAGAAAACCAATGCCCCAGCTCATGCAGTCAGGCTGAAAGCAAATTTAAGCTCCCTCCTCCTTTTTGTTCTATTCAAGCCCTCAACAGATTGGACGATGCCCACCCACATTAGGGAGAGCCATCTGCCTCATCCAGTCCACCAATTCAAATGTGAATCTTTCAGAAACACTCTCACAGACATACCCAGAAATAATATTCAATCAGCTATCTGGGGATCCTGTGTTCCAGTCAAGTCAACACATAAAATTAAGCATCACAGGTCCACTCCTTTTCAACTTGGAACCCATGCACACCTCCTTAAACCCTAATCTCCAAATGAAGGCAATAACAAAGTTCCAGCTCACCTGATACAACTATCTTGTGTAGAACTGAAAATGTAGTAACCTTACACTAGAAGAAGAAATAATGTCTTTGATACACGCACATTATTTTGTGCTAGGCTATCTACTGAGTACTTTTTTTTTTTTTTTTGAGACAGTCTTTTGCTCTGTAGCCCAGGCTGGAGTGCAGTGGCGCGATCTTGGCTCACTGCAAGCTCCACCTCCCGGGTTCATGCCATTCTCTTGCCTCAGCCTCCTGAGTAGCTGGGACTACAGGTGCACACCACCACGCCCGGCTAATGTTTTTGTATTTTTAGTAGAGTTGGGTTTCACAGTGTTAGCCAGGATGGTCTCGATCTCCTGACCTCGTGATCCGCCTGCCTCGGCCTCCCAAAGTGCTGGGATTACAGGCATGAGCCACAGTGCCCAGCCTCTACTGAGTACTTTCTTTATAACATTTACACTGTCTGTAATAATCCTTTACAATAGAAATGTATAGATATTAATAGACAATGAAATATGAAAATTATGTAATGCCAACTATATTAATCTTGTTTCTCTAGAGAAACAGAACCAATACCATATATACATATTTATTTATTTATTTATATTTAATACCATACACATAATATATATGTTATGGCCTATATAATAGATATAATAAATCTCATGTATTTATATATTCAATATTCATATATTCAATACATGAAAATATATATGCTATCTATATAATATTATGTAGTAAGGCATATATATGGTATTGAATATATTCAATATGAATGGTATTCATATCCTCAATACATGGAAATATATATGCCATATAAATAATATTGCATATACAGCATATATATGGTATTGAATATATGACTATATGAAGAGATTTATTATCAGGTATTGGCTTTTACTCTTCCCCTTGATATTCTTTAACTCAAATACTGTGATATAAAATTGACAACACTTAAATACTTAATATTATAATAAAGTCAATATATCTTATGTTGCATGGTAAGGAAATAAGAGAGGAAAGAAAACAACCCTCTCTTTAAATCAAAAGATACTTAAAGATATTTGCTTAACATACACACACACTGACACACATGCACACCTTACATACAGGCACATTTTCTTAACAAACTAAGGAGGAGATACTTATGACAATTGCTAGTCCTTGTTTTTGTAACTGGTCACATGGCCGTAGCTAGTATTTATAACTACCTTCTTCCACTACTCATTCTGTATCCCCTTTTCCTTCAGTAAGCACCTTAGCTGGTTGTGGTTCTTTACCTGGTGGGGTTACCCAAACTTTGGTTCCTGGAGAGTCTATATCATTAGTAGTCCTATCAGGAATAAATTGTAGTTTTCTGTTGACCTTAATCATAGGCTACTGTAATACTAAGAGACGCCCCAAGGGGCCCTCTTTGTTCCAGACATATTCTTTCTTACCTCCATTGCAGAGCAGCAGTTTCCTGTTGGTGATCAAACTCAATTACCCCAGCCAGCACCATAACTCTCTTCTTTGCCTGTTGATTCAGAGGCATGAGGAACTCAAACTGGCCTTGTGACAGTTTTAACTTCCTCTTCAGCTGAATGGTTATTGTGTCTTCTGGTGGAAGCATTCCTCCCTCTGCAATTAAGACCTCTAGGCCAGCAGAACATAAAGTTGCAGAAATAGGAAATTCTGCTAATAGGTCACTGGTATAACAGTGACTGGGGCCACTCCAATTTCCACCCTTTGATTCCTGAACCTATGAATCTCATCTTTATAGTTAGGAGATGAGTTTGGAGAGACAGGGCCAGTTGCAATTTATTCTGAGTGAGGTGAATGCCATTGGAAGTTTTGACCAGAGATGTGATAGAATCTAATTTTCATTAGAAAAGTGTCATTACTGGTTGTGGAGATTAGATTCTCAGAACAAGGGGGTTGGCAAACTGTAAGGTAATGTGGAAGTCGAAATCTAAGGACAAGACCTCAGGACAGACATTCCTTAAGGACATGGTAGTCAGAAACAGTATTCAGAAACTTACCTCTTTTCTTTAGGAGTATTTTCTTCCTTTTTTCTTTCTTTATTGGCTGGTGCTTTGCCTGCTTATCCCACTACATTTTTTTAATGTCCTTATTTTTAAAATGCTATGCAAAAATACATATGTAATTGGTAGGAAAATCATGTTTGTTGCAACTATTTGGCAAATATGTATGGTTTAGACAGAAGAAAAATGACTTAAATGATTACAAAGGCTGGGCAAATAATAAAGAGGACATAAACTATGAAAAAATATGACTAGTGCCAGAAGAGAGACTATGGCTTCAATGCCATTGGTAAAAAACAGCAACTGAAGTTCTTCAGTCTGTCCTTCTTTTAAGGGAGTATGTGTGTATTATAGGTTATCCTGGAAGCTCTACATGAAATAGATTGAAATGTGATTGAGAAGTGTGTTTAAGATGTTTAGGAAGCTGTTTTGGGAATAATGCATGAGATGATGAGTGACTCTTATATTAAAGCTCTGTGTTAGAGACTACAAGTACTGCAGATGGGCTAACCGAAGACTTATATCTCAAGGAGCTTAAAAACAAGAATGAAATACATCTTTGCTATACACATTTCACTTGTATAATGCAAGGCAGCTTGTATTTGATATTACAGACTATGTTGCCTATTTTGTTCCCAACATTTGGATGGGTTTTGTCCTGTCTTTATCTGACTAATATTTTTCAGTACAGTAAGTCCTTACCATCATTAATAGGTTCTTGGAAATTGTGACTTTAAACTAAATAACATATAAACTAATGACATAAACCCAGTTTTACCATAGACAAAGTAATATGAACATCACCAGTCTTCTAAATAAAAACCCAAGACACTTTTAATAATAAATATTTTGTATTAAATGTGAGCTATACATAAAGATTAATAGAAAATAGCAATATAATTATTTTATTTATCAAACTTTTGGTGAATTAGTGAGTGATCACTGTCGTAATGGTGGTGGTTTAAATCAAGAAATAAATATTTGCAGATCAAAAATTATAAGGAGCACCACTTCCCACCTTGCAGTCAAAAACAAGCAGTAACAAATAAGGTGGGCTCGCTGAGTGCTTTTGTACTGTATCATTTATTGTCATGCATTTGTATGATTATCATCTGTTTTACAAATTTTTGTTTGTCAGTAATTTATATTCATTCATTTATTTATTTTCTAACGCACTAATTCAAGTTCAGGGTCATGGCGGACAGAGATTATCCTGGCAGCTTGGAGTGCAAGGGAGGAACCAGCCATGGACAGGATGCCATCCCATAGCAGGGCACACTCACACACATTCACCCACACTCACACTTAGACTGGTGCCATGTAAACACACCAATGAACTTAATGTACGCATCATTGGGCTGCAGGAGGAAAACAGATGAATTGAGCTAAACCCACCCAGACATTGGGAGCACTTGTAAGCTTCACATAGTCAGTAGTCCTGGCTGGGAATTGATTTTTTTTCTCATCAATCTTATAATGAAACGATGTTGAACTAAACAACCTTGTTGAAGGACCTGCTGTACTTAATTTCCTCCAGAAAGACTTTCATAATCTCCATCAGTCTGTGTAAATTGTTCATTTTCCAATGGAACTTCATGACTAATCCTAACACCAAGTACATGGTGCCAAAGTAATTTATGTATCCATTAGCATCTCTTTTAAGTGTTTATTTAACAAACAAACGTGGAAGTATGTGCAAGATGCTGTTCTATTTGTGTTATGTGATTTAACTAATTTCCTTTGCACAAGACCCCCATGAGTAAATGTTATTTATATTCGTATCTTACAGATGAGGAAACTAGATCCCTGAGGGATACGTAGTATTTGGTAGGATTTGAAGGCAGGTAACCTGGCCCCCGGGCCCAAATCTTAATTCTTAATCAACTGTAAATTCCTCAAGTATAATGACATTTCACATACAATACCTATTTCTAGTATCTAGGCTGGTTTTTAAACAGCACACTATGAAAAGAGGAAATTGTAAATGCCAGGAAAGAATAAAGCATGTTAAATAAAATAGCAACTCTATAAATTTAGCTGAAATGTAAGGTGACATTACTGCAAATTAGAATGAAATAATACATACAAATCATTTTATGAATGGCGTGATTAAAAGAGGGAGTAGTGCACTCAGGTTGCATTAACAGGAAGAGTTATTGGTTGTTGTGCAAAATTAGCTAGAGTTAAAGCAAACAAACAAAAACAGTTAAATATCTATTTCATATGCTACTTCAGAATTAGGCTACTGTTGAAGCATAAAATAGCGTTATTTCTGCTTGTTAAATAAGCAACATAAAAAGAGACTGTTGAATGCAGAGATTTTAGTATAGCATACTGCATATGTGACTTTAAACTAAATAACATATAAACTAATGACATAAACCCAGTTTTACCATAGACAAATTAATATAAATATCACCAGTCTTCTAAATAAAAACCCAAGACACTTTTAATAATAAACATTGTATTAAATGTGAGCTATATGTAAAGATTAATAGAAAAGAGATAGGTAGAGATGAGCTTCTTTTAGAATATAGTCAATTTATTTACACAGAGTAGAAATTGCATCAATAATGGGTAATGGTTTCATGAAGAATCTTTCTTTTTTTTTTTTTTTTTGAGATGGAGTCTCGCTCTGTCACCCAGGCTGGAGTGTGGTGGCATGATCTTGGCTTACTGCAAGCTCCACCTCCCGGGTTCATGCCATTCTCCTCCCTCAGCCTCCCGAGTAGCTGGGACTACAGGCGCCCGCCACCACACCCGGCTAATTTTTTGTTATTTTTTGTAGAGATGGGGTTTTACCATGTTAGCCAGGATGGTCTCCATCTCCTGATCTTGTGATCCCCCCACCTGGGCCTCCCAAAGTGCTGGGATCACAGGTGTGAGCCACCACGCCTGGCCCATGCAGAGTATTTTTTAAACTTACAGAAATTAATTCAGAAAAATGTGCTGGTGGATTAACACATTGTATGTATCTGAAGCTCTCATGATGACAGAGCAAGTAATGATTTTATTCATATTTAAAATAAAATAGCCAAATAGTAGGGAAAGAAAATCTTGCATAGACATAAACACAACAAACAGAAAAAGCTTGTGAAAGATATATTATGACTATTTTAAAGTTGTTAATGGCACAAATAAATTAAAGAAGTTGAATGAAAGGTCATTGGCTCTGTCAGTTGTCTAAACTGAATTGTTTATTCTGATGAGCCATGGCAATCTGACAATACATTTAACCTTTCATACTCATCAGAGAAAAAGAACAGCATTTGGTGACCCTTCTATCACATGGAGCTTTTTAATTTTTCTCTTGGGATAATAACGACAAAATTATGTGTTGCAGTAGATCATTGTGCTTTAGGGAAAACACTTGCCATTCCATCTATATAGGTTGATGAATTGGCCTCAAAAAGCTCATCAACGAATAAAGATGTGGAATTAGAGTAAACATTGTCTTATGTATTGACTATGCTGAAATATTTCTCCATATGGCATTTTAAAAAATCTGAGTGCTGTGAATAAAGAAATGATCTGCGCAGGCTATCATCACTCACTTACCCGTTGTAGACATAAATTAAAGAACAATGTCAAATAGCAGCTGGTGCTTTGAAATGATATATATATATATATATATATATATATCCCCTATATGTATGATATATATATGTGTATATATATCATATATATATCCCCTATATGTATGATATATATGTGTATATATATCATACATATATATATCTCCCATATATATATATGTTCTCTCTCTCTCTCTTTCTCTCTCTTTCTCTCTCTCTCTCTCTATATATATATGTATCCCCTATAATACAACATATCTCTTTTTGAGTAGGTAAAAGATGAGAAATTATTTTAAAGCCAAAGCAGCTAAGTGGGGCTCAAAAGTGAAGAGACGGCCGAGCGTGGTGACTCACGCCTGAAATCCCAGCACTTTGGGAGGTTGATGCGGGTGGATCACCTGAGGTTAGGAGTTCGAGACCAGCCTGGCCAACATGGTGAAACACCATCTCTACAAATCTACAAAAATTATCCAGGCATGATGGTGGGTGCCTGTAACCCAAGCCACTCAGGAAGCTGAGGCAAGAGAATCACTTGAACCCGGGAGGCAGAGGTTGCAGTGAGCAGAGATTGCATCATTGCACTCCAGCCTGGGCGACAGAGTGAAGCTCCAGCTCAAAAAAAGAAAACCAAAAAAAAGTGAAGAGACAAACAATGCTGGCCCAAGCTGGGGGTGGGCAGCATTGTATATTGTAACTCTTAAATATATTTATGTATCTTATTTTCTCAGTGAAATGATATAAAGTTTTGAAAAGAATAAGCTGGTGAGTGATATTTGTATTTTTGTAATTTTAATGTATTTTCTTGACATCGTACCATTATTCTTAATGATAATAGGTATAATTTACTAAGCACCTACAATATATCAGATTTCAAACATACCTTTCCCTAATTTTCACTGGTTATGCATTAGTAGAAAGGAGTCAAAGAAACATTATTAAGAAAGAAACAAAGAAAAGCAGTAAAGTTCAGATAAAGTCACTTATTCAATATGTCACAAACTAAGACATAGGAGACCAGGACTCAAAGCCAGACCTAACTCCAGAACATGTGTTTTTCACCATACAAAGAATCATTAGAAACCTGAATCAGAATATTCTCTTTTGACATTAGAATTCATATCATTGTTTTAAAAAGAAAATAATGTCTGTTAATTTTTTTTCCAAATGCAGAAGGAAATGAACTGCCAGTTAATTTGCTTTTGGGATTGCTGATTTGTTGTTTTTAATGGGCTTAAATGATAAATACATTCATCTAGGTTGGACCTACATTGATTTTCCTATGTGAATTGCTAAGGATAAAAAGATTCAGGACACCAGACTGATATTCTAATGTTAAATAAATGGCCCCTTTGAACTCAATACTAAAATTACACCAAAGATTCTAGAGACATGACCCTCTGACGCTGGTAGACTCAGAAGATCTCTAATGGCACACATTTTAATTTATTTTAACTTATTTCAGGTGAATGATCTAAATGTATGAATAATATTTTGTCTCGTTTTATTTCTACTCCTAATGACTATTATGGTCTTCTACAGATGATTATGGTTTTTCAATCTGTTAATTAAAATTAAGAGTGGATTGAAGATGTGGTAAAACTACTATTCAAATGTGCCACAAGACAGAGACAGGATTCTACATCATCAGTGTTATCTTGAGTTAGAATTAAACATTGATTTCTACTTGTTTTCACTATGAATTACTTTTAGCTTAATCATTAATTAATATTTAAAATTAAATTATTTACTTTAATTTTTTATATTGAAGTGAAATTCACCTAACAAAATTAAACATTTTATTTATTTTTATTTCAACGTTTTATTTTAGATACAAGGGGCATATCTGCAGCAGATATTTTACTTGGGAATATGGAGTGACACTGAGGTTTGGAGAATGGGATCCTGTCACCTGTAGCTAGCATGGTACCCAGTAGGTAGTTTTGCTAACCCACTCTCCCGCCCTCCACCTTTTAGTGTTCATCAGTGCCTATTGCTCCTGTATTTACGTCCACATGAAATGCTTAGCTACCGCTTACAGGTGAGAACATGAGGTATTTGGTTTTCTGTTTCTGGATTAATTTGTTTAGGATTATGGCCTCCAGCTACATCTATGTTGCTGCAAAGGACATGATTTCATTGTATTTTATGTCTATGTAGTATTCCATGGTTCGTATTTACCACGTTTAATTTATCCAATCTATCATTGATGAACACCTGGGTAGCTTTCATGTCTTTGCTATTATAAATAGCACAGTAATAAACATATGAGTTCATGTCTTTTTGGTATGATTGATTTATTTTCTTTTGAGTATATGCTCAGTAATGGGATTGCTGGATAAAACGGTAGCTCTGTTTTAAGTGTTTTGAGAAATTGCCATACTGCTTTCCACAGTGGCTGGACTAATTTACATTCCCATAAAAAGTGTATAAGCATGCCTTTTTCTCCACAACCTTGCCAGCATCTGTTGTTTTTTGGCTTTTTAATAATGGCCATTCTGACTGGTCTTAGATGATATCTCATTGTGGTTTTGATTTGCATTTCTGTGATGATTAATGATGCTGAACATTTTTTTTCATATGCTTCTTGGCCACTTGTGTGTCTTTATTTTTTTTTTTTTTTTTTTTTTTTTTTTTGAGAAGTGTCTATTCATGTCCTTTGCCCATTTTTTAATTTTTTTCCTATTGATTTAAGTTCCCTATAGATTCTGAATATTAAGCCTTTGTCAGATGCATAGGTTGAGTTATCTTCTCCCATTCTGTAGGTTGTCTATTTGTTCTGTTGATAGTTTATTTTGCTGTGCAGAAGCTCTTTAGCTTAAAAAGGTCCCATTGTTCGTTTTTGTTTTTATCGCAATTGCCTTTGGGGACTTAGTAAAAAATTCTTTGTCAAGGCCAATGTTGAGAAGAGTTAGGTTGTTGTCCAGGATTTTAATAATTTGAGGCCTTACATTTAAATCTTTGATCCATTTTGAATTAATTTTTGCATACAGTGAAAGTTAGGGATCCAGCTTCAATCTTCTGCAGATGGCTAGCAGTTATCCCAGCACTGTATATTGAATAGCAAGTCCTTTCCACGTTGCTTTTTTGTTTTCTTGGCCTTGTTGAAGATTAGGTGGTTGTAGGAGTGTAGGTTTATTTCTGAATTGTCTGTTGTGTTCCATTGATCTATGCGTCTGTTTTAGTGCCAGTACCAAACTATTTTGTCTACTGTGTTTTGGTTTTGTTTTGTTTTGTTTTAAATTATACTTTAAGTTCTAGGGTACACATGCACAACCTGCAGGTTTGTTACATATATATGCATGTGCCATGTTGGTTTGCTGCACCCATTAACTCATCATTTACATTAGATATTTCTCCTAATGCTATCCCGCCCCTATCCCCCTACCCCACGACAGGCCCCAGTGTGTGATGTTCCCCACCCTGTGTCTAAGTGTTCTCATTGTTCAGTTCCCAGTGTGAAGTCAGGTAGTGTGATGCCTCCAGCTTTGGTCTTTTGCTTGAGATTGCTTTGGCTGTTTGGGCTCTTTTTGGTTCTATATGAATTTTAGGTTAGTTTATTTCTAATTCTGTGAAGACTGATATTGGTAGTTTGATTGGAATGGCATTGCATTTGTAAAATGCTTTGGGTAGTAAGTCCATTTTTATGACATTGATTCTTCCCATCCACGAGCATGTAATGTATTTCTATTAATTTGTGCCATCTCTGATTTCTTTCAGCAGTCTTCTAGTTCTCTTTGTAGAGGTCTTTCACCCTCCTTGTTTAGCTGTATTACTAGATTTCATTTTCTTTTTGGCTATTGTAAGTGAAACTGTGCTCTTGATTTCACTCTCAGCCTGGATGTTGTTAGTGTATGGAAATGCTACTGATTTTTGTACATTAATTTTGTATGGTGAAACCTTAATAAGTTGTTTATCAATTCTAGGAGCCTTTTAGCAGAGATACTAGAATTTTCTATCTGTAGAATCACATCATCAGTGAAGAGAGATAGTTTGAATTATTTTCCTATTTGGATGCCTTTTATTCCTTTCTTTTCTTTCTCTTGCCTGATTGCTCTGGCTAGGACTTCTAGTACTATGTTAAATGCGAGTGCTGAGAGTGGGCATTCTTGTCTTCTTCCAGTTCTCAAAGGGGATGGTTTGAGCTTTTGCCCATTCAGTATGATATTGGCTATGCTTTGTCATAAATGGCACTTGTTATTTCTAGGTATGTTCCTTTGATGCCTAGTCTGCTGAGGGTTTTTAATCATGAAGGGATGTTAGATCTTATTGAAAGCTTCCTCTGCCACTGTTGAGCTGATCATATGGTTTCTGCTTTTGATTCTGTTTATGCAGTATATCACTTACTTATCTGCATATGTTGAATTAGCCCTGCATGCCAGGAATAAAGCCTACTTGATCATAGTGTATTAACTTTTTGATATGCTACTGGATTTTATTTGCTAGTATTTTGTTGAGGATTTTTGCATCTATGTTCATCAGGGATATTGGTCTTAAGTTTTCTTTTTTTTTTTTCCGTCTCTGCCAGATTTTGTTGTCAGGCTGATACTGGCTTCATAGAATAAGTTAGGAAGGAACTCCTCCTTCTCAATTGTTTGAAAACTTTTAGTAGGATTAGTATCAGTTCTTCTTTGTGCATCTGGTAGACTTTGGCTGTGAATCATCTGGTCAGGGGCTTTATTTGGTGGGCAGATTATTTTCTAACGATTTAATTTCAGAAGTTGATATTGGTCTATTCACGCTTTCAATCTCTTCCTGATTCGATCTCGAGAGATTGTCTGCTTCTAGGAATTTATTCATTTCTTCTAGAATTTCTGTGCATAGAGTTGTTCATAGTAGTCTCTGAGGATCTTTTGTATTTCTATAGGATCAGTTGCAATATCATCTTTGTCATTTCTGATTGATAGCTAAAGGTCTATCAATCTTATTTTTTTTTTTTTGAACAACCAACCCTTGGTTTCATTAATCTTTCATATGAATTTTTACATTTCAATTTCATTAAGTTCTTCTCTAATTTTAGTTATTTCCTTTCTTCTGCTAGCTTGGGGGTTTATTTGTTTTTTTCTTTTTTCTTCATTCCTTTAAGTGCAAAATTAGATTTTTAATTTGAGAACTTTCTAACTTCTTAATGAAGATATTTTAGAGCCATAAACTTTCCTCTTAACACTCCTTTGGTGACATTCTAGAGATTTTGATAAGTTGTGTCTCTGTTTGCATTGATTTCAAAAATTTTTTTCATTCTGTCTAATTTCTGTTTTCATCCAGAAATTCTTCAGGAGAAAGTTGTTTAATTTCTATGTTTTCATGTAATTTTGAGAGATCTTCTTGGTATTTATTTCTATTTTCATTTCACTGTGGTCCAAGAGTTTGCTTGTTACAATTTATATTGTTTTGAATTTGTGGAGGCTTGCTTTATGACTGAGCATTTTGTTGATCTTAGAATATGTTCCATGCACAGATGCGAAAAATGTATACTCTGTGATTGTTGGGTGGAGTGTTCTGTAGATGTTGACAAGGTCCAGTTGGTCAAGTGTCAAGGTAAAGTGCACAATTTTTTAAGTTTCTTGCCTTGGTGATCTACTTAATGCTGTCAGTGGGGTGTTCAAGTCTCTCACTCTTATCATGTGGTTGGCTAAGTCTTTTCATAGGCAAAGAGTATCTTGTATGAATCTGGGTGCCCCAATTTTGTTTGCATGTATTTTTAGAATAGTTAAGGCTTCCTGGTGGATTGTACCTTTTATCATTATGTAATCTTCATTATTATTCTTAATTTTATTGGTTTAAAGTCTGTTTTATCTGATATAAGAACAGCAACTCTGGCTTTTCTTTTGTTTTCTGTTTGCATGGTAGATCTTATTCCACTCATTTACTTTTAGCCTGTGGGTATCAATAGATGTGAAATCGGTCTCTTGAGGAGAGCAGATGGATGGGTCTTGTTTTTTTATGCAACGTGCTACTCTGTGTCTTTTAAGTGGCCATTTAAGTAAGCCTATTTACATTCAAGGTTAGTATTGATATGTGATTTTGATCCTGTCATGGTGTTGTTAGCTGTTTGTTATTTAATATATAGATGTGATTTGTAGTTGCTTTATAGTGACTATGGGCTATGTGTTCATGTGTGCTTTTGTGGTAGCAGGTTTGTTCTTTTGAATCCATGTTTAGCACTCCCCTAAGGACCTTTTGTAAAGATGGTCTAGTTAAAACATATTCCTGTCTGGGTGCGGTGGCTCACGCCTGTAATCGCAGCACTTTGGGAGGCCAAGGCAGGTGGATCACGAGGTGATGAGTTCGAGACCTGCCTGGCCAACGTGGTGAAACCCCATCTCTACTAAAATTACAAAAATTAGCCTCATGTGGTGGCACATGTCTGTAATCCCAGCTACTCGGGAGGCTGAGGCAGGAGAATAGCTTGAACCTGGGAGGCAGAGGTTGTAGTGGGCCAAGATCACGCCACTGGACTCCACCTAGTGACAGAGCAAGACTCCATCTCAAAAAAATAATAATAATAATAATAAAATAATAATTCCCTCAGCATTTGCTCTCAGGGAAAAGTTTTATTTCTCCTTAATTTAAGATGCTTAGTTTGGCAGGATATGAAATTCTTGATTGAAATTTCTTTTCTTTAAGAACACTGAAAACAGGCCCCAGTCTCTTCTAGCTTATAAGGATTCTGCTGTGTGGTCTGCTGCTAGCCCAATAAAGTTCTCTCTGTAGGTCTCCTAGCCTTTCTCTCTAGCTGCCTTTAAGAGTTTTTTCTTTTGCATTGACCTTGGTGAATCTCATGGCTATGTGCCTTGGAAATAGTCATCTTGTATAGTATCTGTTTAGGATTCTCTGTATTCCTTAGGTTTGCATGTTGACCTCTCTAGTGAGATTAGGGAATTTTTCATGAACTATATCCTCAAATATAAGTTATTTATTCTTTCTCCTATTCTCTCAAGAATGCTGATGTGTCATGGATATGGTCTCTTCACATAATCCCATATTTCTCAGAGGTTTTGTTCATATTTGTTAATTCTTTTTTATTTTTGTCTGACCAAGTTGATTTGACAAACTGGTCTTCACGCTCTGAGATTCTTTCCTCAACTTCCGCTGCTAATACTTCTGATTGTATTATACAATTCTTGTAGTGAATTTTTTAGCTCAAGAAGCTCAGTTTGGGTACTTCTTAGAAGAGAAATTTTCTCTTTTAGCTCTTGAGTTATTTTACTGTATTGATTGGCTTCCTTGGACAGAGTTTTAACTTTCTCTTTGATCTCAATGAGCTTTCTTGCCATCTGGATTCTGAATTCCATATATGTCATTTTAGGCAATTCAGAATAGTTCAGAATTATTGCTAGGGAGCTAGTGAGCTCATTTGGGGATAAGGGGATACTATGACTTTGAATTGCCAGCATTCTTGAGCTTATTCTTTCTCATTTGGGAGGGCTGGTATTTCTTTAATTGTGATTTAAATTGAGTATCATCTTTTGACATCATTTCTGAATGTTTTCAGAGGACTAAAGGTCTGTACTGGGTCTTCTTTGATTGTAGAATTCTTGTTCTTGGTTTTGCAGGAGGGGGAATTAGTAAAATGATTTTTGGTGTTGAAGTTTAGGCTGTGATCCAATAAATGCTGATTGAGAGCAACGGGCAGTAGATAGGTTCTTACTCAGTCACATGGTTCCTTTGTATGTCTTTGCATTTGAAGTTGTGTTCTGTGGTGTGAGGAGAAGAGAGGTGACCCTCTCACCAGGTCTGTTCATGGGCCTTGGGAAAGCCACCTCCAATGCCAAACTGTTACCAAACAACCCTGCGGATGGAGGGACAGTTAGGTCCCACACCAGCCCACAAACCTGTGTGACTCAGTCCTCTCAGTTTTCTGAGAGTGTGGGCTCTTCTTCCATTCAAGTGTCAAGCAGAGCTCTGAGTGAGGCCCTTCTGAGCCACAGGCCACAGCTCTCTGGTACTAGGACCTCCTCATGTTTACCCACTCTGGTTGCTCGGGACTGGGTTCTTTCTGTGGTGTGAAATCTGAAAGTTTTCCAAGCTGTTGGAACACATTGAGGTGGAGCAAAGCACTCAGGCTGGGCAGTGGAGGCTGCACTATATACATGTTCCTATGAGGCAGCCAGGACCCAGGGAGGGCTGTAGGGTAGGTGGGCCTGTGGGATAGATGTGTCCCAGTCCCATGGGGAAGCAGGCCCTACTTTCTCCCTGGAGGTTAGCTGGGGCTAGAGCTGACCTATGCCAAAAGGTCCCTGGCTCTGTGCCTGCTGCAACTGTCTCCCCATCTAATCTCCAGGGAGATCCCCTTGCCAGCTCATAGGTCTGTGGGGGTATGGGGTCCCTGCAGCTAGGATTCCAGAGGTCCACAGTGAGAGTAGGCAATCCTCCATTTCCTTCACTCACCCCTTTTCCAGGCACTGTTGGGGAGGGGAACTAGCCATAGTGTTCAGGCATCTCATGCTAGGTTTCTAGCCTCCTCCCTCTTCAGGATCGGCGACTGCATCTCCTCCCCATCCTCATTCAGTTTTCTCTCTTTAAAGATCTGTTCAAATTATGTTGGTGTAGTAGAAATCTCTGTTTTTGTGGGAGCAGCACTTCCTGTATGCATCTACTTGGCCATCTTGCTAAATAATATAGTGTATCTGCTAGACCATCACGTGGCCTCCTTCTCCAAGGAGATTCTAGAGGGCATTGTTGCTAAGCCTGAAATCCAAAATCAAAAATTTTAAAGTGTACAATTCGTGACAATAATACATTCACAGTATTAGACAACCATCATCTCTATCTAGTTTCAAAATGCTTTGCTTACCTCCAAAGGAGAACCTGTATCAGATTAGCAATTACTTCCCATTCCCCTTTACCCCAATTCCAGGAATTTACTACAAAAAAGACAGTACTAGAGGAGAAAGGAGGAACAAAAATGACATTAGACATATAAAAAACAGTGAATATAAACAAATTGAACACTGTAATAGGCAGTTACGTACTTGTTCTGGAACCTTAAAAAAGGCGGGTGTGGGCAAAATTGATTAAAATTAGACACTCTATCCACCCTATTCTATGTATAAGAGATTGACATTAGATGTAAAGACATAAATAGGTTGAGAAGGAAGAGATGGAAAAAGATATTCCATGCAAATAGTAACCACAAAAGAGATGGTATAGCTGTGCTAATACCAGACAAAACACATTTTACGTCAAAACTGTTAAAGAGTACTAAAATATGTGAAGCAAATATTGACAGCATTGAAAGGTGAAATAGACAGCTCAACAGGAATAGAGACTTCAATACTCTTATTTTTGATAATGGATCAAAACTCCAGACTGTTTTTTAATAAAGAAATAGGAGACTTGAATGACACCATAAACTAACCAGACCTAACAGACAAATTTAGAAAATTTCATCCCCCAAACAGCAGAATATAAATTTTTCTCAAGAAAATATGGAGCATTCTCCAGGATAGAAGACTTATTAAGCTACAGAGCAAGTCTCGATAAATTTTAACAGATTGAAATTACGCAAAGTATCTTCTTCATAAACAATGGAATGAAAATAGAAATCACTAAAAGAAGGAAAGCTGGACGATTCACAAATAAGTGGAAATTAATACACTCTAAGTAAAAAATGACTCAAAGAAAAAATCAAAAGGAAGTTTGAAAATACTTTGAGGCAAATGAAAACAAAACACAACATAATAAAACTAAAACACAATAACATTGACTTCATTTTTTACCCATGTAATTACATTTACATGTGTCTTTAAATATTCATTATTGCTTTACATGAATTGTATAAGTTTGGGAGTTTCTGTTTTTATAGGATTTTGTCCAAATTCTATCTAGTGTCTTTTTACTTCAGTCTTCAGGACAGCTTTAAGAATTTCTTATGTGGTAAGTCTAGTAATGTGAATTCTCTCAGATTCTTAAAATCTGAGAATGTCTTGATTTCACCTTAATTTTTGAAGACTAGTTTTGTGAGATATGGAATTCTTGGTTGACAGATCTTTTCCTTCAGCACTTTGAAACTATCATCCTATTGCTTTCTGGCCTTTGGTGATAAATGTGTTGTTAATCTTATTTAGGATCTTTTGTTCATGATGAGTCGCTTCCTTTGTGGTGCTTTGGTGATTCTCTCTTTGTCTTTAACAGTTTGGTTATAAAATGTTATCATGTGGCTCTCTTTGCATTTATTCTTCTTGGAATGTTTAAAGTTCTTAGATGAATAGATTCATGTACGTTAGTAAATTTGGAAAGTGTTGGCCATTATTTCTTCAAATACATTTTCTGTGATCTCTCCTCTCTTTTTGGAAAATTGCGTAACTGGTATTTTGGTACACTTGTTAGTGTTTCATAGGTCTTTTAGCCTCCATTTAGTTTTCTTCTTCCTGGTCTTCAGAGTAATTTCATTTACCTCTGCAAATTTTCTGATTCTTTCTTCTGCCTGCTCATATCTGCTACTGAAACCTTTCAGTAAATATTTCATTCCAATTATAATTTTCAACTCCAGAATTTTTGTTTTACTCATTTTTGTATTTATAATTCTTTGTTAATTTTTATTTGTTTATATATCATTCTCCTAGTTTCCTTTAGCTTTTTGTTGTTGTTGTTGTTGTTCTTTGATCCATGTTTTTCTTTAGCTCTATGAGCAATATTTTCTCTTTTTTTTTTTTGAGACAAAGTTTCACTCTTGTTGTCCAGGCCAGAGTGCAGTAGCATGATCTCGGCTCACTGCAACTTCTGCCTCCCGGGTTCAAGCAATTCTCCTGCCTCAGCCTCCCAAGTAGTTGGGATTACAGGTGCCCACCACCATACCTAGCTAATTCTTTTGTATTTTTAGTAGAGACAGGGTTTCACCATGTTGGTCAGGTTGGTCTCGAACTCTTGACCACAGGTGATCTACTCACCTCGGCCTCCCAAAGTTCTGGGATTACAGGCATGAGCCACCGCCCCCAGCTACGAGCAAATTTTTAAACAGCTGAGTCAGTTTTTGTCTTGTAATTCCAATGTTTGTTCTTCCTCGGAAAGTTTTTGTTAATTTCTTTTTTTTTCTGGGTGTGGTCCGACTTTCCTAGTTTTTTTTTATATATTGCATAACTTTTTGTTTTAAACTCAACACATTTAATATATAATGTAGAAACACTAGAAATAATTTTCCCCTTCTTAAATTCTATGAGTTATCATTGTTGTTTTTTTTTTTAAGTCACTTTTCTCAAAGGCTTTTGAAAATTTTTTTTTATTGTTACGTACTGTCATTTAAATCTTAGTTTCTTTAGCTTTTGACCAGCTTGTGGTTTAACAAAGATTTTCTAAATGCCTGAAAGCCAACGAATAAATAAAACAAAAAAGTCATCTGCTCTGCTGGCCAACACAGGATTGGCCCTATGTTGAGGCATTCTTTCCACTGTTAGTGGAAAACTTAGAATGCTTCCTTAGCCTTTACTTCCTGTTTACATGAGTCTACAGGATATTGGGAGATAAAAGCTTAGGATCTTCTAGGTCTCATTGAACATGTGTCCTGCCTCGTTTATCTGGGATCTCCACTATACATTAAGAATTCTCAAAGCTTTCATTTTTCGAAATAATCCTCTCCTGAGAATTTTTTGTCAGGGCTTCCAATGTGTCTACTGATTGGCCCAATTGTAATCAATTGACCCACGCTTCAGTAGCTTCATCATTTGCCTCTTGATAATTTTTCAGTAATACCCTCTGCTTAGCTGTTTCTCCTCATTAAGAGAGTTCTATTTTGGTGAGCAAAACAGAGGCAAGCACCTTGCATTATTACTTCAGGGAACTTCAAGACTAGTAAAAATGCGCAAACACAGTCACTTGGGAGCAAATTCCACTCTGTGAACTCTGAAATCAGGTAACCACACTGGGAATGTGGACTTCTATTTTCAAGACTGCTACCACTCAGGAAGAGGGATGAAGCAAGGCTAGGCGAAATTGAAATGCCACAGAGTTCACTTAACATGCTTAATTAGCCTTTTTCTTGACTCAGTATATAGGCTTCTTTGCTGTCAACCTTTGACTGTTTTCCCAGACTCCAACAAAGTTGACTCTGGCAGTCTTTGTTCCATTTGTGTGCCCAGATAGACCTTTGACGTTCACTACCAGATTGTTTTTGCTGGTGTCATTTAGTGAAATCTGTAGATATTTTTAAAATGGAATGAGTAGTGATGTGCTTTTGCTTTAACCATATTTTTGGCATATGATTTTTCCAATAACTAGACCATTGAAAAATGCTTTGGCTCCTATATAGGTTATACATATATCCCTCTTGCTGGAGAAGACATATGTGCAATTTTCTATTATAAAACCTGAATTATTTTTCTTATAAAAGAACAAAAGGTAGAATAAATTATATTCTCAAACACAGATTAACAATAGCATAAAAGCAGAAAAAATTCTGGTGAACACTGTAGGAAGGAAATGCAAGAAACTAGCCTCCTTTGGATACATTTCCATAGTGATAAAGTAGGTCATATCTGCTATATTAATTGGTAGTTCTTTAAATTTTTAAAAGCCTTTTCAGACTTTTTAATTTTTTAAAAGATTCCTCTTGTTTTTTCGTTAGAAAACAAACAAACACACACACACACAAAAATGGTGTTAGTCTTGTGAAGGCAGCAAAAAATTCTAGTGGCTAAGAAGTTTGTAAATCAGGAAATCCTATAGGAAGAATTAAGAAAAATGGTAGTGATTTTTATGGTGTTCAAGTATTTAAAGCTTTGAGTCAATATTTTGACTGTTAGTAATGATTATTAATAGTTCTGGGGGCCGGGCGCCATGGCTCACGCCTGTAATCCCAGCACTTTGGGAGGCCGAGGCAGGCGAATCACGAGGTCAGAAGATCAAGACCATCCTCGCTAACACGGTGAAACCCCGTCTCTACTAAAAATACAAACAAAAAAAAAATTAGCCGGGCGTGGTGGCAGGCACCTGTAGTCCCCGCTACTCGGGCGGCTGAGGCAGGAGAATAGCGTGAACCTGGGAGGCAGAGGTTGCAGTGAGCCAAGATCATGCCACTGCACTCCAGCCTGGGCAACAGAGTGAAACTCCATCTCAAAAAAAAAAAAAAAAGTTCTGGCAAGTAACTAATTACTATTTTGATGTTGTCAGAAAAACAAATGGGGTTCAAAGAAGAGCTAAATCACTTGCCTATGATTGTATAGTAAATGGCATAGGTGGGATTTTAATCTACATCTTCAAAGCTCTATAAAAGGTGTTGCAATTGCTATAAAAGTGATAGCAGATCAGACCAAGTCCAAGGACCTAACATTGCACGGGGAGTGTGTAGTGTATGTATAGCCAACACAAGGAAGAACACTAGATTGAGAATATAAGCAAAGAGAATCTGAGTAATTTCCTTACAGAAACAAACCTTACTGAATCCCATCACTCAAAGCAAAAGGAGTTATGTAATCTATAGATGCTACAAATATATTCTGAAAAGAAAACACAATGTGGCATTGTTTCAAAAATGCACTACTCAGATCCTAATATTTTGAGTATTATCCAGTAGAGCTCAGCTATGTAGATCCTTCAAGGGAGGAATTAGTCTAAAATGAAGAATAATTTATATTATTAATAATTCAGATTATTAGTGATAACATTCATTTTTATTTGAAATAACTCTAAAAATAAGTTTTACACATAATTTATTAAATGATTGCTTTTTGTTGCAAATGATGCATTTGTTGCAAATGATGCATCTGAAGTGTGTGCGTTTGTGTTTCATTTTCTTTTCTGCCAGGCTTCCATTAAAAGTGTTAGCTAGATCCCTCTAGCTAGTTCCTTCTGGTAACAGTTCCTTTGTGCCTTTCATCTACATTTAATTGACTGATGGTCATATAGAGATATGAAAAAGCACTTTATAAATCCTTTGGCTAAATGAAAAGATCAAATCTAATAATTATAAGAAATTTAAAATCAATTAGTAAAATAAGAAAAATAAGAAAATTGAGTGTTAAATTAATTAGCATTAATTACATATTTTAAACATGTAACAGCAATATAATTTCCATTCAAGTGAACTGCAACCAATTTTCAGTTTGCTATTATAAACAATCTAGGTATAGGCTGGGTGCGGTGGCTCATGCCTGTAATCCCAGCACTTTGGGAGGCCGAGGTGGGCAGATCATGAGGTCAGGAGATGGAGACCATCCTGGCTAACACGGTGAAATCCCATCTCTAGTAAAAAATACAAAAAAAATTAGCCGGGCATGGTGGCAGTCTCCAGTAGTCCCAGCTACTATGGAGGCTGAAACAGGGGAATGGCGTGAACCTGGGAGGCAGAGCTTGCAGTGAGCTGAGATCGCGCCACTGCACTCCATCCTGGGTGACAGACAAGACTCCCTCTCAAATAAATAAATCAATAATAAAAAATAAACAACTAGGTATATGTACTTTTCCATTTGTAGAAATGTTATGATTTAAAACACTGAGATTCTTAAAACTAATTTATTCTCTGAGTATTCTTGGATTTAGCATAATCACACAAAAACCAAACCAATGAAATTACAGTATTGAGGTAGACTTACAATATAAGTATCATCAACATACTTTGGCTTTTCTATTTCTACTTTCTTCCTCATAAAATTTCTCAACATGTTTCTCTATAGCATCATTGTGTTAATTAAAGAAGTAGACATCAGAGAAAGGCTACTAAATTGAGTAAGATTAAGTTTTCAAGAAGAATCAAAGTAGCTATAAAATTCAACTACTTCAACCTTGTTTGTCCTCACCTCTGTATTTTGTATGCTTAGTTCAATCTCTAAAATAACTATACCTTTTCATCAGTTTGCAATAAAACCACATTCAATGTTAAATTCTAAAGTTCAGTCACTAAATTGCACATGATAAAATTCAAAATGGAAATCATCAAATATTGTTGAAAATGAGAGTCAAGACAATTATCAAAAGTGTCATTTTGAGTACAGAAGTTGTGAAAAATAATTAGTTAATGCTGGGTTGGAATTCAAAACAGATTTTCAAAGACAGGATAGTTTATGGAACTATAAAAAATGATCTCTGATAACATAATAACATAATGTCCTAAGAGGAGAAATAGTTTATTCCAATTTTACCATAGAATTGTTTTCTCATGTACACTGCTATTTACTAAAATAATAGCTGCAAGCATTTTATCCTGGCAAACATTTAGTGTCATTGTACTACAAACATTTTTTGATGATATTATACAATAGGTTATAACACTGTCAATGTTTCTATATGTAATATTTAGTAACTATGCCCTTTCTTATACTATTTACTTATAGTTCTATCATTACCTCATTGATTCATTTATACTGTAAGGAATCTTTTTATTTACAAATATTTGTATTAAGTTTTATATCTAAACATATCCTAGTATTTGTTAAATGATTCATCATGTCTATCTTGCTCCGTACTTCCTTGAAGATGGGTCTTTATATGGATGAGTCTTTTTACTGAAGCATCAAGTACAGTCTGCACATATATCTGGATTCTTAGAAATGTATATTTAAGATTAAAATGATGATAAGCAATTCTTATGAGAACTATCTGAAATTTTATCTAGAGCTCATATATATTTTTATATTTCTATCTACTCAACTATTTATGTACCTATCTATATATTTTTTCTCAGTACAAAAGTAATTTATATCCACTGAACAAAGACTGCAAATGTAAACCAAACAAGACAAAATGCAGTTGACCTGAATAATATAGGTTTGAACTCCACAGGTTCACTGATTTTTTTCATAAAAATATGGAAGTTTATTTTGGAGATTTGGACAATTTGAAAAAATTCTCAGAACAACCGTGTAGTCTAGAAATGTGAAGAAATGAAATAAAAGTTGTGTATATTATGAAGCATATAATAGATTTAGATACTAGTCTATTTTATTATTTGCTATTATTAATTATAAACAAATCTATTATAAGAAGTTAACATTTATCCAGACTTATTCACACAATCGCTTACATACTGTACATAGCGCCATTCACAGTCCAGAGAAATGTAAACAAACCAAGATGCAATATTAAATTATAACTGCATAAAATTAACTGTAGTACATACTGTACTACTTAATAGCCACCTCCTATTGCTCTTGTAGTGAGCTAAAGTGTTGCAAGTATCCTCATAAAATGCAATCATCTCCACTCCACGTGAGCAGTTCGTCTCTCTATTAAATTTTGTATCACAGTAAAAAGTCTCACTCACGGTGCTCAAGTATTCTTGACCATGTTCAATGCAATGCCATAAACTTTGAATAACATTATGAGACGCTTACAAAGTACCACTAAGTGATGTGGAAATGCTCCCAAGGATCAGAATTAAGTCATAATATGAAAAAAAAAGTTGGTTGGCTCGATAATGTACCATAGATGGAGGTCTACAGATGTGGTTGCCTGCCGTTTTAGACTATTCATCTTGTAAACAGATGATGCAAACTTATGGCAATGAAAAATATAGTACAGTACTGTAAGTGTATTTTCTCTTCATTATGATTTTCTAAATAACATTTTCTTTCCTCTAGCTTACTTTATTGTAAGAATAAATTATACAATTTATATAACATACAAAATATGTGTTAATTGTTTATGTTACCGTAAGGCTTCAGGTCAGCAGTAGGCTCTTAGTAATTACGTTTCTGGGGAGTGAAAAGTTATGAGCAGGTTTTTGACCATTCATGACATCAGTGCCACTATCCCCTATGTTGTTAAGGGGTCAGCTGTAAAACATAACAAAACAAGTTTAATGCAGTTTTCCATAACCACAGTTAACCTCTGAGCATGTATCTCTTCAGTCCATGCACAGACTTCGCTTATTTTATTTTTAATGACTTAATTATACCATTCATACAGTATTGTGCTATGTTTATATAATTTATTGAATCTTAAATTAGTGTTTTATAAACATTTTTTAACGTGTATTCTATTGCACCAAGTGGCTATATCATTTGTCATTTACATAAATATTCATTTATGTCTGGGCTTTTAAATTGCTTAAAATGTTTCCTACAACATAATAATGTGAAGATTGTATTCATGCATAAAGCTTTATTCATATTTATTGTTATTTCCTCAGAATAGTTGACCAGAAGTGAGTTAGTATCACAAGGGGCAGACATATGTGGAATAACCTTCATGCTAATTATTAATTATTTTGTACATGCAAGTTACACTGCCATTAGGAATATAAGAAAGTGCCTATTCCATTGAGCACTCTTTAAAATTATGTACTTCTAATTTGTGAAATTAAATTGAGACTAACTGATACAATTTCATTTAGTTAAAACATAATGAAGTTGAAAAGTTGAGTATTTTCTTTATATTTTTTGATGCACAGAAGCAATATCCAAACAATGCAGAAGTGTATATGGTAAGAAGAAAAGTCTCCTTTTATAAGGGCTCATAGCTCTTTCTCTTTAGGACGATGGAGCAGGTTGTTGAGTAATCTCTCAGATTATTTACTGAAGCAATTACATAAAAGAGCATTAAAATATGCAGTAGTTTTTATATCTGGAATATATTCAATTTAAAATGAATAATTTTGGAGACATCTCTGTGTCAGTACTAATACACTATCATTTTTACAACTGCAGCGTGGAATTTCATTTGGTGGAAGGTTCATTGTTTAAGCACTTGTCTAATGTTTTACATTTGAATATTTCTACATTTTCTTGTTGCAACCAGTGCTGCAATAAATATCCTTGTGCATGCTACTTTGTGGTCATTTATGAGCATTTATTAAGGGTAAATACTGAGGGACATTATTGCTTTATTAAAGCAGAGTCACAACTTAACTTTTACAGAATAATGCCAAATCGTTATCCAGAAAACCTAAAACAATTACGTTTCTACCAATACTATATGAGAGATTATATTTGTTCACTTCCTTAGCAGTCTTGGATCTTAACACACTTTATTGTTGTTGCTAATTAAATGGTGAAATACATATAACTTTTTAGGGATTTAATTTACATTCATCTAATTATTTATAAGATTGTGAATCTTCTGATGTTTATAGATCATTAATTCCTCCCTTATATGAGTAATAGCCATTTGTTACATTTCCTTTTCAGTTCTTTTCTTGTTTTGACTATTAATAATTCATTTTATAGTCAGAATATTGACCTTTTCTGTCATATTTTCTCTCATTTGTTAGATTACCTTAACCATTGTTTATTTTTAATATAGTCACCTTTGTCAAGCTTTATGCTTTTAACTTATATGACTTTTATCTTGCTTTAAAAAGTCTCTTCTTCAATATGTATGTTTTTTGTTTCTAATAGCATTATAATACTATTAATACCAATCGTCAAATACTATATATAATTTTATTCACTTCAATTTTTTCATCGATATAGATATCATTTTATGTTAAAAATTATATATACATGTGTTTAATATTAAATTACCTCAATACTCTAGATTATACAGTGTTTAGCTCAACCCACTATATTATATAGCCTATATTTTCCCTACTGATATAAAATGCTACCTTTATTCTATTATTAATTTTATACATATGATATGTTTGCTTCTAAAACCTTTATTCTATTCCACCAATATTTTCTGTCTTGTTAAAACACCACTACATTGTTTAAATTTATAACAATGGAGTGTAGTATGTATGTGCGTGTATATAGAGGTTTTTATGTGCATGTATATATACATATACAAGGACTATATAAAATCAGGAAATTTATATTATATTTAGGAAAATATCATCGAATAGTTTTCTTTGTGTTTTTGACCTAGAACAAAATTTGTTGCATGGGTAAGACATTCACATTGTTAAAGGCATACAAACAGAAGTTATGTATTTTGAAAAATCTCCCTTTTATCCCCTGCCTTTCACCTGCACAGTTTCTACACTTGTAAAGTGCTACTCCCATCCTTAAGATAAGTAACTGATCTTTTGATTTGGGGTAGAAGAGAGTAAAGAGAGTTGAATTAATTCATTATACTCCCTAGTTCACAGAATACCACAATTATTTATATGGACAAGATCCTTCTTTTATTAGTTTATCAATTGTCTTTATTTCTATTCCACACTTTAATTTTCCTTCTCCAAACCGTGTAGTCAACAACTCTCATGTTTAAAGTATCCTTTGCTTTGTATTTTTCTTATAAAATGGGTATAGCTTTTGGGCTTGTTTGTGTTTGCTGTTTTTTTTTTTACAGTTTTCATTTATGTAAATGATAATATGGCTTATATCCCATATTGCGTCTTACTTCTTTTCTTTTTTTTTTTTTTTAAGACAGAGTGTTGCTCTGTCACCCAGGCTGGAGTGCAGTGGTGCGATCTCAGCTTACTGCAACCTCTGCCTCCCAGGTTCAAGCCATTCTCCTGCCTCTGCTTCCTGAGTAGCTGGGATTACAGGCACATGCCACCACGTCTAGCTAATTTTTTTTTTTTTTTTTGTATTTTTAGTAGAGATGGAGTTTCACCATGTTGGCTAGGATGGTCTCGAACTCCTGACCTCAGGTCATCTGAGTTCCTCGGCTTTCCAAAGTGCTGGGATTACAGGCATGAGCCACTGTACCCAGCTGTGTCTTACTTATTTTCTTTCAATCCTACATTTTAAAGAAATATTCTTGTTGCTCTGTGTATATTTAGTCTACTGCTTTATAATCATCCATAGAAATCTATAGTGTGGCCCACCACATTTTACTTAATCAGTCATGTGTGCGTTCATGTAACTTCGGTCACTTTTGGATTGGTTGATGGCTGAGCTCAGCTAGGGTATCTGGGATGGGTGGGCTTCTCTCGCAGTGTTTTTTTTTTTTATGATCAATGATCCTATACAACATTCTTCAAAAAGTGACTGCAGTACTCTAAGAGGGAAGGCCCTAACTGGTCAAGTCTCTGCTTCCTCCTGTTTGCTGATATCCCATGGGCATAAACAAGTCACATGGCCAAGTCTAGGGTCAGTGTGGGAGAGGACTACCCAAGGGCATTGATACTGGCAGGTAGGATTAATTGGAGGCCATTGTTATAACAATCTAGTATTTAAGGTATTAGTTCAACTGTTTGTCTCTCTCTTGAGGTAGCTTTATATTTGTCCTGATTTTATGAATAGTCCATTACTTTCCACTTGCAGCCCATATACATGTAGTATATTTCTGAACAGTCTATTTATTTCACTGGTCTTTCTCTTTCTTAATAAATAAATTCTTCACTGATTTCCTTCTAGAACCTGTATAATATGTATAAATATGCAGGAGAAAAAAATCTCCCACAGTTTTTCTCCTCAAAACCTATTGGCTGTCTTTTATGGTAGGGTTTCCATAAAATTTACAGTCAGTTTACCAAGTTAAACAGCATTAGTATTTTAATTTTAGATTTTAGAATCAGCCAATCTAATTATAAAATGTTAATATTTTGAAAGAGTATATTAAATTTATAGATTGAGTTTTAACATTTTAAAGGAATATGATAGATTTCTATTTATTTCAGTCATTTTTAATTGCAATAGAAAGAAAAATTTATTTCTGCTTCTGCGTGTTCATAGATATTTTACCTTTTTAGTTGCTAATAGTCATTTTTCCAATTCTCTCTCTTGTTTTTGTTAGTATATATAAAATGTATTAATTTTATATTATTTTGTGCCCCTTGACATTTCAAATTATTCTAGTTTAACAGTAGGTTTACAGTTTATTTTCTAGTGTTACCTATATTCTATTATATCATCTTTGCCCCTATGTTTGCAATTTCTAATCTGCTAAATATCTTCATCTTTTATTGTTCTATTGGTTACTATTGTATTTTTAGTTCTGAAATATAATTTTGATGATAGGCCTTGACCTGGAGAATTTGTTCACTCTCAGGTTTTTAGAATACCTGCTTCTAGAATCTGTTTGTTATTTAAATCCCTTCAGGATTTATCTCTTGTCTTTCATTTAAAATTTGGTATCTACAAAAAGGCTATTTCTTCTTAAATCAATAATAGTTAAATAAATCCAACCATTAATTGAATAGCTCAAGGAAAACATAGGAGTCAAAGGCTAAAATGCTTCCAAATGTTTATTTAGAGATAATTTGAAGACCCTAAAAGCAAAACACAACTTTGACTTTATTTTCCCTAATTTGCACATATCCCAAAACATGCAAACCAAAATATAAACTTTTTTAAAAATAGCAAATCCAGATAAATTTCTAAACATATATTACAACCTATTTTATGTATATTACATAGTCTGGTAAGCAATAATTACTCATGCAGTTTTAATGTGTCTGGAGAAATTGTAAAGGGTAATTGGAAAATAATAATACATTAACTAGTATTGATCATATGTGTAACCTTTACTACATGGTTATTAAAATTACGTGTATTGGCCAGGTGCAGTGGCTCACGCCTGTAATCTCTGCACTTTGGGAGGCTGAGGCACACAGATCACGAGGTCAGGGGATCTAGACCATCCTGGCTAACATGGTGAAACCCTGTCTCTACTAAAAATGCAAAAAATTTGCCGGGCACGGTGGCACGCCTCTGTGATCCCAGCTATTTGGGAGGCTGAGGCAGGAGAATCACTTGAACCCAGAAGGTGGAGGTTGCAGTAAGCCAAGATTGTGCCACTGCACTTCAGCCTGGGCTACAGAGTGAGACTCTGTCTCAAAACAAAACAAAACAAAAAATGGGTATTTTACCTATAATTAAATGTTAAGAAGCATTTTCTAAAACTTTACCAGAAGTAAGAAAATGTTACCTAAATATTCATTTCAGGTAAAAACAAAAGTTAAAACAATTTATGTTCCCCACTTGCAAAGTTGATACAATTTTTCTTTATCAGCTGTCAAATGAACCCTATTAGAAATTAAATATACATGTCACGTCCTCACTCCATGTAGCTCTATACATTAACTAGACTTTAGTTTTTCACACTCTTTAGCTAAGGAACTCTGTGACTGCTGTTTTGCGTTTCCATCCCCAGATACACTTGCCACTGCTCTGCACCTTGCCCTCCATCCCAAAAGGCTCGCTAATATGGTTTCTTGTTGGTTTGGAAAATGAGAGGCCTGACTGGAGATTGCAAGGAGTGGGACCAGAGTACTAGCCCCCACCATTGGCTCCTTGTCTGCTCATTTATAGGAGAGCAGTGGTTTCCTCAGATCAGAATTCACAGCTCCTCAGGAAGCATACATTTGCAAATAGCTCCTTTCTTCCAGGACCAGCAGTGGTAACAGCTTCATTGTTACTCTCCTCATATTACCGCATTACCCTTGTGGTCAGTTGACACTTCTCTGAAAATAGTCACTTTATTGTGCCCCTCTTGATTTATTCCAATTAGAATTTGCCCTTTCCTTCTGGCATCTAGACCAATATAAACTCTCTCTTCAAATGAAAGCCTAACATAACAAAAATGTAATTTACTAGCTGAAGCCGGGATGTAGCTACATCCATCCCTTCTCCCATCTTCGAAGAGGTTCCGGAAACACTCTTTGAAAGTCAGGGCATAGGAATATAAGCACCCTTCTGCTTGACTGTAGTTTACCTTAAGGATAAAGACCATTTATTTTCTCTCCATTTCCTTCATAGTGTTTTACACAGTGTACACACATAGTAGATTGTGCATAATTATTGAATTTGGTCATATGGTATCTAGAATCCAACTCATGCAAAACCTGTTTCTTCATAAATTTTTTTTTCAGTTACTATCTCTCTCTTGCATGTATAAAATGAACACATTGGTAATATTTTTTGATTAATTAATAGATTTTAAAACTGCTTTTCCTTTTCTTTTTTTGAGACAGATTCTCACTCTTTTGCCCAGGCTGGAGTGCAGTGGCTTGATCTTGGCTCACTGCAACCTCTGCCTCCCGGGTTCAAGTGATTCTCCCACCGCAGCCTCCCAAGTAGCTGGGACTACAGATGCATGGCACCATACCTGGCTAATTTTTGTATATTTAATAGAGACAGGTTTTTGTCATGTTGGCCAGGCTGGTCTTGAATGCCTGGCCTCAAGTGATCCATCCACCTCAGCATCCCAATGTGCTGGGATTACAGGTGTGAGCCACTGCGCCCGGCCTTGCGTTTGCCTTTGTTTCATCTTACTTTTCTGTTTTTACCTCTGTACTTTATAAACATTTTCTCATTCTTCTAATTGCTTACTCTGTTTCTTCTATGCCACCTCTGACCCATTTATCAACTCCTGCATAAAACACACATTAATCAGAAAAATGAGTGACTTTAGGGAAGCTACTCTTTTCAGATTTTCAGGTTATTTTTTCAATCCCAAATTAGGAAGAACAACCAATTTTATAAAATGCCACCTTAAGACATAGTTGTCAGTTTCATGTCCTAAGCTCTTAATCTCCTGAAAAAGAGTTAGAGGGCTTTAATATTTGAAATACAATCTACAATGTATATGATGTACACAGATTTTACCTGAGTACAGTGGTTTATTTCTATAATCTCAGCACACTGGGAGGCCAAGGTGGGAGGATCCTTGGAATCCAGGAGTTCAAGGCTAGCCTTGGCAGCACAGCGAGACCCATCTCTACAAAAAATACGAAAATTAGCAAGGCATGTGGTATATGCCTGTAGTCCCAGCTACTCAGGAGTTTGAGGCAGGGATTCCCTTGAGCCCAGGAGTCAGAGGCTGCAGTTACCTAAGATCTGGCCACTGAACTCCAGCTTGGGCAACAGAGTGAAACCCTGTCTCAAAAAAAAAAATTAATTAAAATTTAAAAATCTGATTTAGCCATATGTCCCAATTACTCACTAGAAGTGGTAGACCTTTATACTGCAATACTAATCCTGTTAAGCAACTGGACACTTTGAATGTACTATAATTAAATTATGGATTTCGGTTTTGATTTTGCCTAGAACAATTAGAGTCCCTACATATCAGAATAAATAGAATACTGAAAGAAAATAAGGACTTCCATGTTTAGAAGCACATTCTAGTTTTTTAAGGAAAAAAAGTCTAAAAGTGAAATTTAGGGAAGAAGTAATATAGCTAAAACGTTTAATGTAGAATTTCTATGATGTACTTATTCAGGTGGGAGAATAGCCTGTGGTTTATTTTAGCTTCTTTAACCTATGCTTTGGAAACAGAAAACTTCAAAGTGCTATCATTTCTCAAACACATCTAAGCATTAGGACCATTCAGAAACTGTCCTTGCTCTTGTAATAAATCTTTACTAAATGTGGCAATTCCAGTTCTCTCTGCTTCCCCTCTCACAAACATGAATGTGACCACCCTTTATAAACAGGTATGTTTTACTGAACTATTTATGTGATGATGTTCAGATAAAAACTGAATCCTCTGGTACTTGAGTAGGAAGGACATTCAATCTTTTCTTACAAGGGTTGGTGTGGGATAATAGAAAAAACTAAATATAAATTCCTTTATATTCATTTATTCATAAATGAATGATAGCTCATGTCAGATTTATGGTTTATGTCCATGAAAATACTGTGTCAGCTATAACATAATGGAAGATGTCATTGAAACAGCGTATTTTGAGTGGGTTTACTTATTAATTATGTGTAGGGGAAGAATTATGATTATAGCATCTTATATGTTCAGCATTTACCTTTCAGTTAGAAAACATGACATTTATAATCCAATTAGAAAAGCTAGATATTAATAATATGACCCACACTTATTTATAAAACACTAACCACTTAATCATGTGTTTTGGATTTAAGCCTTCACAAGTAAAATTCCCATAATACAAATTCCTATGGCTGTTCAAATTCTGTGGTTCTGGAATTTTTTTTCAAAGAATATGACTTTAATAATTGGGACATCGGAACAGCTTTCAAAATGCTTTTGTTTTAGATGTGAATTGCAGCACAGTTGGTTTTTATAACAGGATAGAGTGTTTGGCTAACCCATTCCTCAAATACACCTAATCACCCCTCACTACTTTTCATTTGCAACAATTAATGCGCGTGCGAAGGCTTGTTTTGAAATCTGAGGTGGTGTAGATGATGGGGTTGGAGGAGTAAGATCATGCAGGAATGGAGAGGAAGCATTTGGTCCTTTCCCAGCTGTTTGTATGGAGATTGAGCCTCAGTGGGTAAACATTGAAAGTCAGTAGTGAGAAGAACTGTTGAGATGAGAAGTTCTAAGGACTCTGGAGACAGGCAGTGCTATGTTAAGCCAGGAGATAGAATAATTGTTATTCTGCAAATCTTCCAGAGTTCTATACTTACGAGCTTTAATGTATCTGGGACCATATGAGGACATTGCTCTTGGTGGTGACCATGACAAGTTGACACAGGGAATTGCTTGCAATCATGAGATTTCTTCAGTAGCATCTCAGGTGACTAATTTGAAAAGAGAATAGGAGCATTGTAACGTGGCAAGTGCTCAGGTGACAAGGCCTGGAACCCTGTTTTATGAGACTTTGTGACCAGGGACTGAGTAAAGGACTTGGGAAACCATCCATTACTCAATTGCAAGAATTGCTGCCTGGCTTTTGGGGATGTGAAGACCTTCAAGCACTGACTCTATCAGGCTTTGTGGTTTTCAACCATGCATCCCTAAATACTGTTCTCTTCCTTCCTCGGCCAAATAACTTCCCTTACAAGTCTCCTGAATTGCTGTGACATAAATGCTGACTGCAACCTCTCCATATCCTTTGATATCCAGGTCCTAAAGTAAGCCACAAAATTTTCTGTGACTTTTAGCAAAAATTCTTGGGTAAGCCGAGGATCTATTTTAAATCCCATCATCTGTGCAGAGCTCAGGTTCACCTAGTACCCCATAGCCTACTGCTCCATGTTCTCAGTAAGTACTGAAGCAGTGCCTCTAGTGAAGGTGGAGGTAGAGTGAGCTAGACTGTCTTTATTTTTAACAATGTGAGATATTTGGTGATAAACCAATATGTGGACTGGACATAGACACTGTTGGTACAAGTGAGAGCAAGAATAAAAACATGTGTTTTTATTGTCAATGTGATCTCTCTAATATACATGAATGGAAAGTTATAGCCACACTTGGGTAACACTATTTATTTTTAACGTTGTAAGAATATTACCTGCACAGAAAAATTGATAATAAGTTTGTGGTATTTTTCTCATCCTTGGGTTATAATAATCTGTTGTCCCACAGAGAATGTTTTATGTGATTAATAATTGGAAAATAATGCTACTCATGGTGTAAAGGACTGGCAGTTTCTATTTATTGAGAATCTACTGCATGCCTGGTAGTATACATACATTTACTGTCATCCTCAGAGCAAGGTAGTACTTTTATCCTCTTCCTGCTGATGAGGAAATTGGAACTCGTGGAAGTCAAGGACTTTACATAAGGTCACATTTATGTAAGGTCTATTATTTTGAAAATCTGGATCATGAAAATAAGTTAGCTTGGAATGAAAGCCCTTACTTCATCCAAAACAAGTCTCTTCAAATGAATCATTTCAGGATCTTAGCTTAAATCATAAAAGCAGTAATTAAAGTTGAGCCTTTTTATGAACTTTATAATAAACTACTTTGATTAGACATTCAGAAAGAGAAAATGATTTGGAAAGAAGAAATAACTATAACTCTTTTCACCAAAGTTGACAATCCATACCATGCTATGCTGAGAGCCCACACTTTTCTATTGGCATTAATTTCCTAGAAAAAGCAGTAATTTTGAGAGTCAATTTTAACTCTCTTATTTCTCAGTCTGCAACTTTCTGTACACATTCTGACAAATACTAGACAAACTATGTTAGGCCTAATACTGTGCAGGATTTTATTATACTAAGCAGGCATGAAAGTTGAGAGCCTCGTAAATATTAATCAGAGACTAATGAACAGTGGGAGACTTCTGAATATCAATCTGTACTAGGGGAAATTTTGAATTAGAGACACCACTTCCTAATCAATAAATCAGCAGTGAAAAATTGCAGGCATTCTCATGCATCTGCTTATGTAGCTACATCTCCAGCCCTAAAGGAGCATACAATGCAGATGCTAAAATAGATGTAATTTTATCACCCCACAAAGATCTTCTGCATTTTTAACTGGACCATTTTTTTAAATTTTTAATTACTTCCAAAAGTAGCTAGATTGTATCACAGAAAACTTGAGTACATTCGGTAGTATCAAAGTTAAAATTGTTCAGGAGTAAAGAGAGCTTGTCTCATTCTTCCTCATTAGCATTTGAAAATCTAGCCTAAAGGGACTAGAAGACTCAAGGTTAAGAGGAGAGCTGAAATGCCAAAGCTTGATTGGCTTATTGCTTTTATTCAGTGAGCCTAGTACTGCTTTTCCTCTGAGCTCATGTACAAATTATAACAGAAGGATATTTTTCAACATAATTCATAATTTTGCAAATAATGCCAATATATTTACACACCTATACATCCTTAATGGTTGTCCATTAATAGAAAAATGTTATATGTTTGTTTATAGTAAATGGAGTTCATTAGTTTTTCAGACAAATCTGAGATTACATAGTGGTACTTATGATGTTTATGATTTTTTGATGCAGAGACACAGAAATATGGGACTCAGTTGACAGTTTGAAGCTTTTTTATTCCTTATGATTCAGATAGGATTTTAAAACTACACTATGTTTACACACAAGGCATTAATATTTTAATGAAAATATAAGTAATTATCAACAGTATGAATGTTTCTTCATACCATCATAATCAAGACTGAAATTTATCCTGAATGGGTATGGTATGAGCTGGGTTTACTGAAAGGACACAAACACATTTATTAAGGACACAGAAAAGATAAACAGTTAGCAAATAAGCTACAAGTGGTGGGCATCATTCAGAAATACACTCAAAATATTATTTTCAAATATATTGCTTTATGCCATTTCAAATACATGGAACAAGAAATAGTTACAAAATTAGGTAATAGTATAGCAGAATGCTATAATCAAGCTTTATTCACTAGCCCTGTTTCACTTTTTTATCACTCAAAATGTCTAGACTCATTGGAGACAGGGAGAGTTATGTTGATCTGCAATATATTCCCAGTGCCTTGCATTTAGTAGTTGTTTAACAAATATTTAAGAAAGTTTTATAAAGGAGTAGCTATACACTGTGAATTTTCATTCATATAGAAGAATTTGTACTCTCTCCAATGACAGCAAATAGTCTCCTCATAAATTTTAAATGTAGCTAAAATTATAATATGGTTTGTCAACTATATTTAATGTAAGAAGAATGGAAACAATTACAATTTTATGTCTATTTTCGTAAAACATCTGTGTGTAGGCACTCCCTTTCTTCTGCAATTGCAAAACGGGACTGATTTTGAGAATATTTTATTTTTCTATGATATTTAATATATGTTTATTTATATTTTTGAGCTTGCTAAATGCTGACATTTAAAATTTTAAAGAGATATTACTCTGATTGCACCATATTTTGTACTATGTGTAGAAATGGTCATTTTTTACATAAATAAAACTACATGTCATAATTATGTGTGATAATTAGCATAAAGATAATTACACAG
Organism: Homo sapiens; assembly: GCF_000001405.40. Taxonomy (NCBI): domain Eukaryota; kingdom Metazoa; phylum Chordata; class Mammalia; order Primates; family Hominidae; genus Homo; species Homo sapiens. The sequence goes on along the minus strand of NC_000004.12, from coordinate 161,387,485 downwards.
GTGATGATAACATAATTGGCTCTCTTTAGAGTTTTTGTTTTGCTTTATCTTAATACTCATAATAAGGTAATTTCATTGTATTACTTATGAACACAGTGAATGGAAAAATATTTCTCTTATTTTTATTATGAGCTTTTAGAACTATTAGAAGGTGACAATCAATATTGTTAATGCAAACATAAATAAAAGTCCTTTACAATTCTATTGGCCAATATCTACTTTGGATATAATTTTGTTTAATTTTGTTTAATAGTTTCTATCTCATTGTATCTTGTTTAACTTATTTTTGCTAGAAAGTTGCTTGTGTTCTAGGTGAGTTTAAAAATATATTTATACTTGCCACAGGTATCTCTGATAATTCTCAAGCAATATTTAGCAAATATGCTTTGAAAAGTTCTGAACTAATTTAAGGTCAACAAAACAAACAAACAATTGTTTAATTGGCTTTAATATAAAAATAAAGTTCTTCATTATTCAGTATAGGATAACAAATAAAATGCAGGCATATCATTAAAAATAACATATAAACATTGAAAGGTTGAAAAATGTTATACTTAAATTTATCTAAATAATGATGAGTGTCAGATTTATTTAATGGTCAAAAAACAATATAAGAAGTAAATGAAATGAGTGAAACCAATATATATTCGAGCCTTTTACTCTTGCTGGGTTTGGCAATAGTTAACCAAGCTTATTTAATATTACATGGTCTAGAGACTTACAGAATAATGTATACTTCTTCTTTCCACTATGTTAAAAGCAAAATTTGTTGCTGCAATTAACTAGATGTATTGCTTTTAATTATTTTTCTTTCTACAGCATGAGTTATGATGATTTGGATGTAATGAAAGAATGACCTAGAGAAAGAAGGAGAGTGGCACAATCTACAGATTAATTCTAGCACAATTGTAACACAAATTGCTGCCTCGCCTGACAATTAGAGCCTGCGATGGACCTTTCCACCTGTATCTAGTTTTTTTCTTACGGCTAAAAACTCCATTGCTTCCTGTCTAACTCTGATTTTCATTTTTTTCAGGTTTGGATTTATTCTTCATAAAGATGAAGCTGCACTACAAAAAATTGATCTTGAAACCATGTCATACATCAAGACAATTAACTTGAAGGACTATAAGTGCGTTCCTCAGTCATTGGCATATACACACTTGGGAGGCTACTACTTCATTGGCTGCAAACCTGACAGCACCGGAGCAGTTTCCCCACAGGTCATGGTGGACGGTGTAACTGACTCAGTCATTGGGTTCAATAGTGATGTGACGGGCACTCCATATGTCTCTCCAGATGGCCACTACCTTGTCAGCATTAATGATGTGAAAGGTCTTGTAAGGGTTCAGTACATTACCATCAGAGGAGAAATACAGGAGGCTTTTGATATTTACACAAATCTGCACATATCTGATCTGGCATTTCAACCATCCTTTACTGAAGCCCACCAATATAACATCTACGGTAGTTCAAGCACACAAACTGATGTGCTCTTTGTGGAGCTCTCTTCTGGGAAGGTCAAGATGATAAAGAGTCTCAAGGAACCACTCAAGGCAGAAGAATGGCCTTGGAACCGGAAAAACAGGCAAATCCAGGACAGTGGCTTGTTTGGTCAATACCTGATGACACCTTCCAAGGACTCTCTCTTCATCCTAGATGGACGACTCAATAAATTAAACTGTGAGATCACTGAAGTTGAAAAAGGAAATACAGTCATTTGGGTTGGAGATGCCTAAAAACCCTACGATACAATTATTGAATGAAGCGTTTTACAATACATTGCACTTAATCCATTGTTTAAATTTACAACTTAACTTTCCAAGTTTATATCCTAGTCAAACAAAATTTACTTGGTTGGTCCAAATAAAATAAATTGTTTTTGACTAAGTGACTAAGACATACACAATTAATTATATTGGTTAATTAGAAATACTCAGCACAATATTTAATGAGAAATCACATCAGTCACAAGAATCAAATATGTAAATTATGCTTTAAACAATAAAGTAGGATTTAAATCATTTAAAAAACTAAACTGCAGGGAATTTCAGATGACATAAAGCATTATTTCATTTTGAGGGTAGTTTATTTTTTTTCTCTGTCCTTTTGGTATGATTAAACAAGAAATAAAAGGTGTTGTGGAAACTTAAAATTCTTAATTCAAAATATTCGGTCCTGTCCACTGTTTATAATATTTTGTGCCTTGAAGGGAATGTCACAGGAGGAAAAGGAAGACTAAAGCCTGCATACTAAATGCTCTCATAACTATAAATCTCTTGTTGTTAAAAAACATCTCTTGCACCAAATCCTGTCTTCAGTCTTTTGTTTAACCCTCAATGAACTACCAATTGAAGGCATAAGTTGGTCTTAGGTTGTATACAGGTGTCAAACTCCACTTGACATTTACTGTATAATCTGCAGCATGCTATAGAAAGTGGGGAGGAAGGGAGGAAAAATAATTACAGTCAAAATATTTGCAATCTATCTACTCATTTTGCTTTCAATCACTAGAGTGCATTATGTTTTTAATGCAAGTTTGTCTGGGATGTCAACTGCCTACAGATGTTTATTACTAGCAGAATAGATTATTTATTAATAGATTGTTTCTTTTCATATAGTCCAATGTTTCATCATCAGGAACTTTCGGTTTTAAAAAAGAAACATTACTTTTGTCTGCTAAAGTAAACCATATATAGGGAAATTAACACCTAGGAAAAGAAAACTGGCAAGAGAATTGATGAGGTATTAGTGGCTTAGAAGAATTAGTAATATAAGTTGGGAATAAAGGGGTAGCCCGACAGTGGTAAGTAAAAATGTAGTACTCCATTGTTTTTGCTATTTAAATATAATGTATCAAAAACCTTTATTCTAAAATTTCCACAAATGATTCCTTTTATCCATCTTCTTGTAATCCTAAAAGCATCTTCTCACTATGTGCTGTAGTTTGAAACCTAACGAATCCTCCTACTTGAGACACTGTAGAAAAGTAAAAATTGTTGCTTCTGTTTTGTTTTAAGAGGAAATGAGAAGGCCAGCAGAAGTAGATTAAAACTAGAGAGCTGGTTTATTAAAATAAGCAGATAATTATCCAGGCTTAAAGTAATAGCTTACATGTTTTGAAAATCCTTGTACTTATTTTTGTTTTTATTGTTGCAAAAAAATGTTAATGGGCTGTTGAAATGACCTCCATTTACTTAAGGTAATCCAATAAGGTCTTTTTTAAATATACAAATTTTACTCAAGTTTAAATTGTATAAAACTGCTTAGAAACCTGAAATTTTATAGTGTGTAATATCTTATGTGTATATAGCATCCTGAGCTGTGTGATACAGTAGATTTCTTCTTAGCAGAAACATGCGAGGTAGATTTAATAAACAACAAAAATCAGCTTATGTTTCTACTTATTGAATCTGCTTTACTTTTTAGCAATTTTCTTCCTTGTGAACATGAACCATATAAAGTGTCTGTGACTTAATGATTTCATGTAAGTCTGTCGCATACATCCTTCTTTTGTAGCTTACACCATGTGGATGCTCTGTCTGTAGACACTGCTTGATAAAAGGAGAATAAACCTCTTACATTTTAACCCTTGAGAGTTCAGTCAATGATTTAATATGCATACCGTTTTTAAAAAATTTCTCCCAATGCTTCAGATATAGTGTGATGCTCTGCATTATTCTGAAAGTGATGAGATCAGGTGAAGGTAAAGTAAACTGAGATCAATCAAGGAAAGAGAAGTTAGTCTGTCTTTTAATATAAAATCTAAATTGGATATCCTTTGATTATTCAGTGTTTACAGCAAGGCATATATTCTTTACATGATGTCTATTTCTATAGAATCCCTTCTTTTCTTGTGTATTCAATGAAAATATAGCACTGGAATATCAAAATTATACTCAAAAAAGTAGGCTTTTCTTTCCATGATCTTATAGCATTAATCATACAAATATTGAGTCACTTTTTAAAAACATTCTGATTGTTAAAATACTGATATTTGTGAGCTTTAAAAAAATCAGATGAATATTTATGTTACAATTATATTTGAAGTAGATATTTCTTCAAAAACAGGGTAAAAGGTTGAGTAAGAAATAACATACAGGGAATCAGTATGACCCTATGCACACCCTGATTGAAGTGTACTGTAAATACTCATATTAGCAATAATGTGAGTGTGTGTAAAAAGTGAAAGTGAAGAAAAACTAGGATAAAATGATGAGTAAACTGCTTTAAAAAGAAGCTATAACCCCAAAGAGTAGATTTTTTTGTTCGTTTGTTTTTGTTTTTTTGAGACGGAGTCTCACTCTGTCAACAGGCTGGAGTGCAGTGGTGCAATCTCGGCTCACTGCAACCTCCACCTCTCGGGTTCAAGTGATTCTCCTGCCTCAGCCTCCCGAGTAGCTGGGATTATAGGTGCTCACCACCACACCTGACTAATTTTTGAATTTTTTGTAGAGACAGGGTTTCACCATGTTGGCCAGGATGGTCTTGGTCTCTTGACCTCGTGATCCAACAGCCTCGGCCTCCCAAAGTGCTGGGATTGCAGTGAGCCACCGTGCCCGGCCCCAAAGAGTAGATTGTTAACAGACAGAAAAACAAAATGAAATTATAGCAATGACAGGCACGGAATGAGTAAAGGTATGAAAGCAAGTATGGAAATACGATGTGGGGAGGTCATTGAGCAAAACTGAAAGAAAGAAGTAAATGATTGAATTTAAAATTGTTGATATAGGTAAGACAAGAAAGTAGGTCATAAATAGTTTTTAAAGGAGAGAGGTGAAAATTGAAATTAGTTTAAAAACTTGGAATTAATCCAGGCAATAGGGACCTAACTATAATCTGTCACTGCTTCTGTAGATACTGAATAACGAATTTCCAAAAAGAGAAATGATAGTGAAAACGATATTTTTAAAATTTATGATCTTTTTAGTGGAATGAAAATTTAACCAAAGAATAGGGAAATTGGGGGAAATTGAATTACTTAGATAACTTTTGTAAAAATGTGAGTTTATGACCTTTAATGCACGACAATTAAATTGAAAACATATTTTAAAAAATAAGACTTGTTAAGGAACCATACCTGGAGTGGCAATTGAATAAATATGGATAATAAAAGGGACAAAAATGATAAGACTAAAATATGACACCATTGATAGAAGTAAGAAAGCCTTGAAGGAGCACTAAATTGGAGTGACAGAATGAAGACATGGATAAGGGACAAACTAAATGGAAATATAGGGCAATGGATATACTCCCAAGGAAGTGCCATCATATACAGCAAATAATGTAATTTTTAGGGGTCATTCTACCTTCTGGCTAATTATATCCATGTAAAATTGAAGCACTTAAAATATTTGTGATTTAGGGCCTAATAACCTTTCTGATTCCCACTCAAAAGGTATTCACAGAATTTTATTTTATGAAATAAACTAATTCAGTTGAATTTTACTAATCAGGATATTTACATGATAAAACAATATGTTTAATACTATCAGACAAATTATTATATTGTGTAAATATTTGAAGACAGAAACAAGAACAATATTGATATTCAGGAAAACATCTTTGTATGATGTTTTCACTATTTATGGAAACCAATAAAATGAAATAAAAATGTACAACCCAATGTTGCAATTTTAAGAACTCTTAAGGGGCCCTTCTATTTTCACTTGCTACATTTAGCATGTTCCTTTATGAATGGGCAAAGAGAACAAAGGAAGCACCTACCAAATATCTATGTTTACGTTTCTTTCAATCACAGTCTAATACCATTTACTTCTCCTGAGAAACTTCAGAGGCAGAAATGTATTCTGAAATTCATGCCATAGAAATTCTCATCTGCTGTCTTAAGTCATGGTAAATTTTCCCATCTTTCTAGGAGACTAAATCTTCACCATATGAGCATAGCTTTTTGTTTGTTTGCCTTTATAAATTGCATAGTCCTGTTAGTAAATGGAAAAGCACTTAGCTTTTCAGTAATATTCAGCAGCAAAATGAACCTGTCTCTGTGGTATTTAGTGGATACTGCACAGCTATTTTACAGTAATTTACAGCTACAGTTGGTGACGTGGAAAAGTTTTAACAGTTGTTCTTTTATACTAGAGTTTACCAATAATAAAATTCTCTATTTTGGGACTTGTTTTCAGGGCTGTAATTAAGTTTGGCTGAAATTGACAAAGAACACACCAAAATACCAAACATACTCTGTTTTGATGTTTTGTAAATGTATTGAAAGACTGTCTCTAAATACACATTTTCCTCCTTTTTAGAAGAAGAATCAAAATCACCTCAGTGTCAAAAGAATATTGATATTTCAATGGGAAAAATGTCCACCTTAAGTGGGCAAATTACTCAGTTATTCAAATATTTGATAATTATTCAAATATTCATTATTCAAGATACTTTTTGCATTTCTATTAAAATGAACAGTGTTATTTTACACCTGGACCCATAAACTTGTTCAAAGTTACATAGTCCAAGTAAAATATCTCATGATAATCAAGGCAGATAGGTGAGAAAATATAGCTCTTTAAAAATGGTTAAATATGGCCAGGCGTAGTGGCTCACGCCTGTATTTCCAGCACTTTGGGAGGCCGAGGCAGGCAGATCATGAGGTCAAGAGATCAAGACCATCCTGCCCAACATGGTGAAACCCCCGTCTCTACTAAAAATACAAAAATTAGCTGGTCACGGTGGCCCATGCCTGTAATCCCAGCTACTCGGGAGGCTGAGTCAGGAGAATCGTTTGAACTCGGAAGGCGGAGGTTGCAGTGAGCCGAGATTGCACCACTGCACTCCAGCCTAGTGACAGAGCGAGACTCTCTCTCAAAAGAAAAAAAAAAAGGTTAAATACTGAATACTCTGCTATGACTCTGCTCATCCACCTGCTTTTAAACTACTTCTGCTGTTCAGTTTCTGTCCTTTCAGAACTATTAACAAAGACTAGCCAAAAAATCAACATTTGACCTTATAAAGTATAAATTATCATTCTCTCTTTATTAATAAACATTATCTTCAAACATTAATTATTCTGTAGGGTAATTAAGTTGAGCAAGAGTGAATATTTTGATAAGTTACTAACACATAGCATGTTAATTTTATAGCGTTTTTAAAAGTTGCTTGCTGATAGAAATATCATTTTTAATTCGTCTATTTCGGTGCAAATCTGCCATATGACATGCAGTTTTCCACTTTAAAGCAAGTAAATACCTCACTGAGTGTGTGTGTGTGTGTGTGTGTGTGTGTGTGTGTTTTAATTTGAGCATACAAAAGTGAAAATACATCTAGGGACATTGGAGGATGAAGTTTGAATATTCAAACATATCCCATTAGTATTTTGGAATGCCTATTAAATCTAGAACCATGATAGTGAGTTACATAAAAATTATTATAATATAGGATTCCTGTATAAATTTGCCGAATATGCCTATGGATCACAGAATCTCATATCTCTCATAGCATCCAAATAGATAAAAATATAGACTACCAAGATGTAAGCAGAAATCAAAGAAACACAAAGTCAGTGGACCTTCACTCTGGAGACGCTACAAGATCAAGTAAATTAGGATGTTTACCTATATACAGACTTTCAATAATGTAATACTAAGCTCTAATAAATAAATATACATATACCTACACATGTATACGCATTAAAATCGCTTCCGTGATATATTTCACGATTACTAAAATATATTTTAAATCAATTACAGACACAAATTCAATAAAGGGAAACTAGAAATCAGTCTCAATTCATTGGAATAAACTGAGAAAAATTTCAATTACTTAACAAATAATATATATGTGAACAAATATATAAGCATGTATATGTAAAAAATATTCACAAATAGCCCTTTCAAGATGAAACCAAATTGAGATCTGTACAATCTGCAGATTCTCTAAATAACGAAAGTGCTAACATTATTCTGCAAAAATAATATGAAAATCCTTACATTGCTTAGAAAGAACAAAGCTGCAAAGAAAGCCATCCCCTCCCCCATACACACACACTGTAGCAGAAAAAGCTGGAAAATCCACAAAATCATATTGTTACTTGAGCCTCATAGACAGCTGGGGTTAGAAGTTCACCAAGTAAACTAATTTCCAATGAGGGACAAGGAATAATTTCACCTTGGCACAGCACAAGAGAAAGAAGTGGCCTACATAAATGTATGTAAAATAAAATCAGCTAACATTTTAAAAACTTCTTCACGGGAATGTCTAGGCTAGCTTATCAGTTTGGAAAGACTAGGGGCCTCAGACACAAGAAGAGTTTATACTCACAAAATGTTTTCCACAGATCTTCACCATGTGCTCAGAAAAGTCAGGATGGGAGACCAGAAATGGCTAGCTTCATTGGTAGTTTGGTGTGCAAGTGGGGATCAGCTGCTTTGGGGAGATGGGTCTTGTCCCCTTGCCCTTACTCTTCTGTCCGGAGAAGCAAAAATGTTAGGTAGCTAATGTAGGGGCAGTCATCCGTCTCACCCCCAGGGAACAGGCAAGGTTCCATTGCTTCTAGGAGGAGTAAAAGCAAAACCTGTTGCCTCTGAGGAGGTGATGGCAAATACTCTCATCTTCATCGAGAAAACACACATCAATATATTGCTGCCAAATGAGAGTAAGACTCTCACTACTGTGGGAGGGGCAGTGAACCATTTCTAGTGAAATGTGAGAAAAAGTACAGCACTTAACTTTTAAAGAGATACACTTTAGTAACACTTTTTTTTTATTAAGTCTAATTTGTCTGACATTACCAGAGCTACTCCAGCTTTCTTACAGAAACTTTTTGCATAATTTTTTCTCCTTCCTTTATTATCTATTTGAATTTTTCAATCTGAAATTTGTCTCCCTTAAACACCATATATTTGGATATCTCTATACTCTCATCAGACTATATCTGTATTTTGATTGGATTGTTTACCCCATTCACATTAAATGTATTATTGCTATAGTTGGATTTAAATCTTCTACGCTATTTTTTATAGGTATCCTGTTTTTCTATCCCTCATTTACTGCTTTCTTTGGAATTAAGTGAATATTTCCTGGGGTAATATTTCAATTCCTTTAATGATATTTTCACTTTTTAAAAATTGTTTTTGTAGTTGTTGCTCTGGGGCTTACCATATAAATCTTAACTGATCAGAATGAACTTCAGATTTATACTAACTAACTTCTAGGGAGATACAGAAATTTCAGTCCTATGTAACTTTCACTACTGTTTCCTTATTTTGTGCTATTTTTGTTATATTCCAAAAATGCCTAATCCTAATTATTACTTCATATAATATTTTGTTTTTTAAAAATGAGAAAAAAGGAGAAATACATATATTTATTGTTACAAAAATGTTCTTATTTACTATTTATCTTTGTCTTTATAGGTTTCTGTGGATTTAATGCTTTTTCTCATTGCAATACAAGGACCTCCTTTTTGCTTTCATTGTCAAATATATAATTTTGTGGTAGGTCTGCAATAAAATACACATTTTAAAACAAATTATTTTATTTCAGTTAAAAAGAGGGAAAGAGAAGATATAAGCATTTATAATGTCTTCTTAATTGCATAATTATCATTGTTGGTACTTTGTGTGCACCTGTGTGTGTGTGTGTGTACGTGTGTGTGTGTATTCACATTTTTCCTATGGTCACTAAAGAAATTTGTTTAGCATTCTTATGAAGTGGATTTGCTACCAAGAAATTCTCTCAATTTTTGTTTTTCTGGTAAGGTATTCATTTCACCTTCATCTACAAAAGATGAAGTTTCCAGACGTTAGATTGTTGATTGCATTTTTTTGTTTTACCAATTAGAATATGTCATCCCATTACCTATTAGACGTCATTGTTTTTGATGATAATATGCTAGAATTCTTACTGAGATTCCCATAAATGTGACGTGTGGATATCTTGCTACTTTCAAAATTGTCTATTTGGCAGGGCGTGGTATCTCACGCCTATAAACCCAGCATTTTGGGAGGCCAAGGCGGGTGGATCATTTTAAGTCAGGAGTTTGAGACCAGCCTGGCCAACATAGAGAAACCCTGTCTCTATTAAAAATAAAAAAAATAGCCGGGTGGTAGTGACATGTGCCTGTAATCCCAGCTACTTGGAAGCTGAGGCAGGAGAACTGCTTGAGCCTGGGAGGTGGAGGTTGCCAGTGAGCCGAGATTGTGCCACTGCACTCCAGCCTGGGCAACCAAATGAGATCCTATCTCAAAAAAAAAAAGTCTATTTGTTTTTGTCTTTTAATATTTTTACTATGACATGTCTGGATTTTGATCCTTCTAGTTTATGTAACTGGGGATCACTGAGCATTTTCAATGTTTAGAATATTATTTTTTAAGTTTGGGGAGTGGTCAGCCATTATAATTTTTAATACATTTTCTGTTCCTTTCCCTTTCATTTCTTCCTCTTCTATGGTAATTAATTATATGTATGGTAGTATAATTAGCAGTATCCCACATTTCTCTGAAGCTTATTGCATTTTAAAAATAATTATTTCTTTTGGATTTTAGATTTTTTATCCATCTACCTTCAAGGGCATTGATTTTGTCTTCTAGCAGTTCAAATCTTCTGTTGAACAACTCCAGGAAAAATTTTTTCTTCTTTATTATGACTTGAAAACCCAGGATTATGTTTGTTTCTTTATATCAATTCTACCTTTTTACAGATATTATATTTTTGATAAGCCATTGACCTCTCATCTTCCTTTAGTCTTTAAACAATTTCAGTTAATTCTTTGAACACATTTATAATGGTTTCTTTGAAGCCTTTGCCTATTAAATGTAACAACTGGACCCTCTAATAGGTTGTTTGGGGTGCATGATTTTTTACCCTGTATGGGACACATTTTTTGGTTTCTTTGCATGTATCATATTTTTTGTTAAAATCAGGTCATTTTGGATAAGACATTGTGGCAACTCTGAATATTCTCTCTCCCTAGTCCTTTTGTTATTATTGCATTCCTGTTTATTTGTTTAGTGACTTAGCTGGACTACTGTAGTGAAATATGAATCCCACATATTGTGAAACTTTGATATCACACCTCAGTGAGTACAGCACTGGACATGTGTGTAATAATCCTGGGATGACATTACTTTTAGAAGGGCTTTCTTTGACTATCAGTTTGCCTGATCTTTCTGTTAACCTGTCTGCCTCTTTCACATTACACCCACCTGTTTGTCTAATTGCTGACTGAATTTGTTATTGGTTTCAAGAATTTTACTGTTATCCCAGATGTTATTATTATCTGGGAAACTAGTTTCTCCACAGTATGCTCCAGTTAAATTCAGACTCCTTTGCAGATATCGTTTTGGTCTCTGCCTTACAGATTTGTTCTGACCTTGCTTTATTTTGCTGTCTCTTTTTCTGCTCATCTCTGGCAAATTGGCTGCCCTAAGATTAAACTTCTTGCCCACATAGAGCTACCAGCTTATTTTCACTTGACTACCACCAAAATATCTACTGTTTTAAAGAGATCATCGTAGGCTTGAATTTCTTCACCTTCTGTTTCAAATAAGAGTTGTTATAAGAATAATCTGAGTTAACTCAGTGTTTTTATAAAAATAATCTCTTGATTTTTTTTTCTTATGACTTACTTCCCCCTCTGTTATTATTATCTGCAAAATATCTTGGCCACAGCTCTTAAGCTGGTAGTGAAGATCGTTGCCCTCTACTCTTGAAGTGACGCCCTAGTTTTACGAGTAGGACAAGGTAGGAGACGGGAAGTCCCCATTTTTCTGGGCCTACTTCTCTGATTATAAAACCCTCTTAACATTGTCTGGGCTGGGCGCATTGGCTCATGCCTGTAATCCCAGCACTTTGGCAGTCCGAGGTGGGCGGATCACCTGAGACCAGGAGTGGATCACGAGATGAGCCTGACCAACACGGTGAAACCCTGTCTCTACTAAAAATAAAAAATAAAATAAAAAATAAAAAAAAAAACAGCTGGGCTTGGTTGCAGGCACCTGTAATCCCAGCTACTACAGAGGCTGAGGCAGGATAATCGCTTGAACCCAGGAAGCGGTGGTTGTAGTGAGTCGAGATCACACCACTGCACTCCAGCATGGGCGACAGAGCAGGACTCCATCTCAAAACAAAACAAAACAAAACAAAAAAAACTCTACATGGAACTATATGGTGTAGCATCCCGTTAGCTCTCCAAACACCTGATCATCTTTCTTGCACCTTTCTCCCTCACTCATTTCTTTGCAGTCATATAACTTCCCTTCTCTTCTCTTAAAGGAACATACATACTCCTGACTTGGGCTTTTATATTTGCTGTTTCTTCCACTGCAAATACACATTCCCCAGATATCCTCATGAATGGTCTCTTTACCTTCTTCAAGTGTCTGCTTCCCAGGGAGAGTTCCTATTACCTTATGCAAAATTGGAAATCACCTTCCACAAAATCCAAAATATGCCTATTCAACCGTGCTGCTTATTCATTTCCATATTTTATAGACACTTAACATGTTATAGGTTTAATTTTGTTTATTACCTACATCACCCCATTCAACACATACAAATAATGCAATTTAATAAGAAGAGATGTTTGTCTGTTTCATTTATACCACATCCAGAACAAGGCTCTGTATGTAGGAGGTACACATTAGGCAGTCACTAAATATATGAGAGATGATTGAATTACTATTTTTTCAACTCTTGCCCTCTTTTTTTTGTCCTCTATGTTTAACTTTTTGAGATTCTCAAATCATGGCAAATTGCATGCCTTGAATGTTATTAAACTGTGATAATTAAAAGTAGAAACATTCAGGCAGGTGTTTTCTATTTAATATTCCCTAATTCTCTAATGTATTAGAGCTAATAGACACATAATGAATATTTGAATAGATGATGTCTTTTTAAAATATTTGCCATTTCAATGTAAATGTAATTGCTTATGTAAACATGATGTTTGTTATGTTAAAAATTAATCTCTTTCATATATTATTAAACTCTAAATTAATATACATAGTCTTTTAGTTATTTATAGAGGCAGCGTGTTCTTTACATATTAGTAACACAAGAAGCATGCTTATATGAAACAAAGAATGTTGTATTTATTGTAATCTACAGCAATATAGGATGATAATTCATATTTCTGTCTTGAGATTAATTCATCAAATAAGAATTATACCATTCAATGTTGAAAATAACTACAATTTTATTGAAACCTTTTTAATTGTTTGATGAATTTCTACTTCCCACACTATCTGACATGACATCTTTATCTTTGAATTATCTTACTCTAATGTATTATGCATAAACTGTACATTGCGTTATCCAATTCTATCTAATCTCTCCATCCATTATTGGCCAATTTTCTATTTTTGCTAATATTATTAGTTATAGTTATTTGGACTAAGAATCACCAACCACAAAAATCATACTGCTTTAAAGACAATTATAATGGAAAAATAAATGTATTTATTATGGTTGTAGTGCTGATGTATGTCACTTAGAATTTTTTTTTCAATTATCTCAGAAACTTTCTTAATTGAATTTTTGCTCTTTAAAACATTTATTATTTTAAAATCGTCCTAAGATTTTTGTTTATAAACCTGTTATTTTTATCCATTCTTTTAATTTGTAAAAATCAAGTGTAGCTAAGTTTACTAGTCGAAGTCTAGGAGAATTACACATAAAACAGAAGACTGTGGGAGAAGTGAGTAAAGTATGAAGGAAGGTCACTTATAGAAATTAAGGCAAGTAAATTTAAAGTTCAGAGCATACTGTTATAAAATTTTAAAATAAGCATTGTTAAAAGAATAAGATATTTCATTTTTAATAGAATGAGGTGGTAATTTGATTGATAAAAAGGTCCAATTGACAATATCAGGTACCCTGCTACTTCAGTATTAAACCAATACTAATAGTGCTACTGGAAGAACTTCTAGCAAGTTCTTCTGTGCTTTGGAGTATATTCACATCATCTTCTGCCAGAAAGATTTATTTAAATAAAAAGTAGCTTCTTCTTTGCTACTGGGTGCAAGTAGAGACTAAACGCTTGACCATGTTGGACAAACTTACTATTTTACTTAAATTGTATGTCATGAAACCAGTAGTACCTGATGTGTTGAACCATAAAACTCCATGTTCATAGCAACCCACTTTTAGAGCAGAGCATCTATGTGATTCAAGACAAATGGAAAATACTGAGACCTTGATTAACCATGCTATAGCTTACTTGAAAGCTGGAGGTTAATGAAAGGAGAGGAAATTCAAGAATACCAGTGTCTACAATCCAAGTTCAGTGTTCTGCTCTTCAAACATGAGTGTCACCCAGAGAAAAGTGGGTCACTTTCCCCATCTTTACTTCCAGAGCAGTAGCCAGGTATTTTTCCCAGGAGGACAAGCAAACTATAAGAGCAGAGTTCTCCAAAATTAGCCTCAAAAGAACAGAGTGTTTGAAACAAAGTATGAGGAAATTCAAGCCTAATGGCATTCCTGAAAACTATGAAGATTTTGGTTGTAAGCAATTAAGTTAAGGCTAACAGCTCCATGACAGCAACAAGGTAAGTTGTAAGCTAAATAGTTTACCAGAGAGAATCAGGGAAAGAGACAGTTAGGAAGAGCCCTCCTGGTGTCACAATTAACCACAAACATAGGCATCAAATACTATACTTGCAGAGGGACAAGCATTTAATTTGACCAGACTGTGGAGTAATTTGTACTCCAAGGCATTGTTGAAAACAATAGCAAATTCAGTCAACTGTCAGTGGAGCCTAAAAACTGGATGTTACATTGACAGAGAGAGACAGCTTAACAGAGAATTCATGCAAAGAAATAGCTAAAGAGAGCCCTGCTAGAACCAATCTCATTTTATAATGATTATAAAAATACCAAAGGCCACACCAAGTAAGTAGTGATATTAAAGGCTTAACGGTATGGGAGGATTATATTTCACTACAATAATCTAGCTAAATCACTAAACAAGTAAACAGGCAAACAAGCCAGCAATAATAAGCTCTATTTAGGGGTATTCAAATTTTCCAAACTAAGTTATCTAACACACACTACTTTTAACAAAATAAATAAATACATTGGAAATGCAAAAAAAGCAAACAGCGGAACAGCTTGTGAGAGAGCCAAGCTGTTGCATTGAACAGCAAGGACTTCAAAGCAGTCGTCATAAATATGTTCAGGAAACTAAAGGAAAAAATGCTTAATGAAATAAAGAAAGGTATAATGACAATGTCTTATCAAAGGATAATATGAATAAAGAGATGGAACTTAAAAAGGAAAAAACTGAAATTACGAAGATTATTAAGTTGAAAAATATAGAAACTGGAAAGAAAAATTCATTAGAGAGGCTCAACAGTAGATTAACATTGACAGAAGATAGAATCAATGAACTTGAAAATTGATGTATAATGATTATTTGATGTAAAGACAAGACAGAAGAGAATAAAGGCCTAAGAACAGAGCCTAATATAAGTGTAGAACATCATTAAGCACACCAAAATGTATAAAGGGAATACAGAAAGAGAAGACAGAAGATTTTAAGAAATAAGAGCAGAAAGTTTCACAAATTTTATAGAAAATATTAACATATACAGCCAAGAAGCTCAATAAAAATAAAATAAATGCCAAGATATCCACACCCAGACATGTCACCGTAAAAATGTTAAAATCAAATGATAAAGAGGAAATCATCCTAACAGCAAGAGAGAAATGATTGTTAGTTCTACATACAGCAACAACATTAACAGTGGATGCATGATCATATACAGTGGAGTCCATAAGGTGGTGGAATCACATACTGAAAGAAAATAACTATTAACCCATAATTTTATATCCAGCAAAACTATCTTTTTAAAGGAAAGCAAAATAAGATATTCTCAGAGAAACAAAACAGAATGTATTGCTTTCAGGCTTGACAGAAAATAAATTCTAAAGGCTCTTTAGTCTAAAAGTATGGGACCTCAGAGAGTAATTTGAACGTATATTTTTAAAAAGGCTGGTAATTGTTATTATGCAATTATAAAAGACAGTATAAATATATATGCACTCTCCTTTATCACATTTAAAAAGAAATTTCACATATAACATGCTTTCAATTTTATTTTTAGTTCTATAATATAAAGAGGTGTAATATACAATAGAAAAAATAAGTTGTGTAAGCTGTATTTGGATAAAGAACTGATAACAGATCATAATTGAAAATTAACCTTTCATGACAAAAATATTTGAATTCTTCAATATGATAAACAGCATGTATGAATAACTCACGGCTAACATAATATTTAGTAGTGAATTATTTCATGCTTGAAACCTAAGATCAGGAATAACACAAGAATGTTCACGTTTGCCACTTCTATTCAACATTGTAATGAATGTTCTAGCCAAGGTAATTAGGTAGAAAAAAGAAAATACATTAAACTGTACACATCAATATTTGAACACATCAATATTTAAATTTATTTTGTATTTTCATTTTTATTTTTTAAGACATAGTCTCACTGTGTCATCCATGCTGAGTGCAGTGGCCCAATCACAGCTAACTGCAGCCTTCACTTCCTGCTTCCTGGACTCAAACAATCCTCCCAGCTCAGCCTCTTGAGTAGCTGGGACCAAAGGCATGCACCACCATGCCCCGCTAATTTTTTTAAAAAAATTTTGTATAACCAGCCTTGCATCTCGGGGATGGAGCTGACTTGACCATGGTGGATAAGCTTTTTGATGTGCTGCTGAATCCAGTTTGCCAGTATTTTACTGAGGATTTTTTTTTAATGGAGTCTCGCTCTGTCACCCAGGCTGGAGTATAGTGGAGGGATCTCAGCTCATTGCAACCTCCGCCTCCCAGGTTCAAGCGATTATCCCACCTCAGCCTCCCGAGTAGCTGAGATTACAGGCATGTGCCACCAGGCCCAGCTAACTTTTGTATTTTTAGTAGAGACAGGGTTTCACCATGTTAGCCAAGATGGTCTCGAACTCCTGACCTCGTGTTCCGCCCGCCTTGGCCTCCCAAAGTGCTGGGATTACAGGCATAAGCCACCACCCCCGGCCTTACTCAGGATTTGTGCATTGATGTTTATCACGGATATTCACCATCATTCTTAGTAAACTAACACAGGAACCGAAAACCAAATACCACATGTTCTCACTTATAAGAGGGAGCTAAATGATGAGAACTCATGAACACAAAGAAGTGAACAACAGACACTGGGTCCTACTTGAGGGTGGAAGGTGGAAGGAAAGAGAAGCAGAAACAATAACTAATAGGTACTAGGCTTAGTACCTGGATGACAAAATAATCTGTATAGCAAGCTTGTGTGACACAAGTTTACCTATATAACAAATCTGCACATGTACCCCTGAACCTAAAATAAATGTTTTTAAAAAGAAAAAAAATGAATTCATAATTTTAAAAATCCTATAAAAGCAATCTCCAATCTCCAGGCCAAAATGTTTTCAATGGAGAATTTTACCAAATATTCAAAGGATTAACAACAATTTTGCATAATGTCTTTCACTATGCAGTAATGCATAATGCTTCCACTGGCCCCATTTTATGAGAAATCAGAATTATACTTGGGCCAAAATCAAAGGCAAAGAAAAGCAAAATGAAGCAACAATGAAAACATTCAGAACAAAATCTGGCATGAATTTAAATCTCAACTTTTTATTTTATTTATTTATATATTTACTTAGTTATTTTTTGCCTTTTCAACCCAGCAATGTACACAAGGAATAATACACCAAGATTTAGTGGACTTTATTCCATAGGCATGGCAGGTTCAGAATGTGAAAGTCAATCAAGAGTCATTGTGCAAATAATCATATTAACTTATGTAGACAAAAATGGACAAAATTTCTCATAACTCTCAGTACAGGCTCTGAACACAATTTAATAAAGAGAATCTACAAAATTCTATACCTAACATCATACAAATGGTAAAAGGCTAAATGCCTTATCTCTAAAATAGTGAAGAAAGCAAGGATGTGTGCCCTTACCATCAGTCAACATATTATTGGAAGATGTATAGAAAGCAATTAGGTAAGAAAAATAAATGAAAGGCATACAGATTGAAACAGAATAAAACTCTTTCTATTTGCAGATGTCATGATATTCTATTAAAAACTTCCAAGGAATCTACAAAGAAAGTTTCTAGAACTAATAAGTTAATTCAATATGGTCATGAGATACAAAATCAACACACATAAATCAAATACATTCTCATGTAAAAGTGCAAATAAATTTCAAATGCAAACCATTTATAAGTGTTCCAAATAAGATTAAATATTAGGTATAAATTTAACTGAAAATATATACAGGATCTCTATGATGAAAATCGCACAATATTTAAGAAAGAAATCAAAGAATCCCTAAATACTTGGAGAAGCACACTGTGTTGACTGACTGGAAGGCAAAACATAGTAAAGATATCAATTCTTACATCGGTTTGTGGGCTTAATGCAATTCTTAAATCTCAGCAAGATTTTTGTAGGCACAGACAAACCTACTCTAAAATTTCTATAGAAATTCTCTAGGATAGACAAAACACTTGAAAAATAAAAGAATAAAGGGGGAGGAACTATTCTACACAATATGATGGCTTATTTTAGAGCCAGAGTAATCAAACCAGTATAGTAGTGCTGGAAGAATAACCACATAGATCAATGAAACAGAACAGAGAAACTAGAATTATTTGTTGACAGAGGGTAAAAAAACAACTCAATTTAGGGGGATAGTATTTTCAAAAAGTGGTGTTGAAGCAATTATACAATTATTGGCAAAAAATAAACCTGAATCTAAATCTGACACCTTATAAAAACTAACTCAAAATGAATAATGTATTAAATATAAAACTTCTAAAAAGATAAGAAAAATATTTAGGGCCTGGGACAAGGTAGAGGTTTCTTAGACTTAGCACCAAAAGTATGATCCGTAAACAGAAATTTGATAAATTAAACCTATTAAAGTAAATAATTTTGCTCAGTAAAAGACCCTAAGATGAAAATACAAATTATAGACTAGGAGAAAATATTTTCGAATCCCACATCCGACAAAGGACTCATGTAGAAGGTGTAAAGAGCTCTTAAAATTCAATATTAATAAATAACTCAATACAATTACAAAATAAGCAAAATACATGAAGAGACAAAGCAGGAGGATCTTGAGCCCAGGAGTTCAAGACCAGCTTGGGCAGCATAGTAAGACACTGTCTCTACAAGCAATAATTTTTAAAAAGTTACCTGGGCATGGTTACACATGCATGTACTCCCTGTGACATGGGGGGCTGAGGCAACAAGATTGCTTGAACCCAAGAATTCAAGGCCATAGTAAGCCCTGATTGAGATCCTGCACTCCAGCCTTGGTGACAGAGCAAAACCCTGTCTCAAAAAAAAAAAAAAGAAAAAGAAAAATACGTTAAAAGCACAATAAGATGTTAAGATATCAGTACACACCTCACACCTATCAGAATAACTAAATTTAAAGATGGTGATAACACCACAAATGCTGTCAACAATGTGTCAAAACTAGGTGACTCATAACATTATTAGTTGGATGTAAAATGGTACAGCAACCTCAGAAAAGAGTTTGACAGTTACTCTTAAGACTAAAAAGAGTCTTAACATATGACCCAGGAATTGCATTGTTGGCAAATATCCCAGAGAACTGAAAGTTTTTGTTTGTTTGTTTGTTTGTTTTTTGAGACTGCATCTCACACTGTTGCCTAGGCTGGCGTGTAATAGTGCGATCTCGGCTCGCTGTAACCTCCGCCTCCCGGGATCAAGCAATTCTCCTGCCTCAGCCTCCCAAGTAGCTGGCACTACAGGCACACACCACCATGCCCAGCTAATTTTTTTGTATTTTTAGTAGAGTCAGGGTTTCACTATGTTGGCCAGGCTGGTCTTGAACTTCTGACCTCGTGATCGGCCTGCCTCAGCCTCCCAAAGTGCTGAGAATACAGGCGTGAGCCACTGCGCCCAGCCTGAAAGTTTTTTACATACAGTCACTTATACATAAATGTTCATAGCAGCCTTATTCATAACTGCCAAAAACAGGAAACTCTTAAAATGTTCATCAATGGGTGAATGGTTAAACAAACAGTGGAACATCCAAATCATGGAATCCTCCTCAGCAATAGAAAGGAATAAACTATTGACACACACAACTTGGATGAACTTCAGGAAAATTAAGATGAAGAAAGCCAATTACAAAGTGATACATATTGCATGAATCCATTTATATAACATTTGTTAAGTCACAGAACTATAGAGACAGGGACAGAATGGTGGTTGCTGGGTTGGGGGCAGGGTGGAGGGGGACGTGGCTATAAAGGAAGAAGCATATGGAAGTCCTGTGGCAGTACCATTAAGTATCCTGATTAATGGAGAGCACATGTAATAAAATTGCAAAGAGCTCCATGAGCACGCACACACACATACACACGAGCTCATGGGTAACTGCTGAAATCTGAATAAACTCTATATTTTGAATTTCTAATAATTTCTGGTTTTTGATATTGTGCTTTCCTACGCAAGATGTTAACATTGATGGAGGTTGGGTGAGGAGTACACAGATCATTACCACATATATTTTATAATTCCCTGAGTCTATACTTATTTTAAAATAAAATATTTTTAACATTTGTATTTATATTGAAACAGAGTACTATATTTATATGCACATCACGTTTGGTTGTTTCTTTGTTTCTTTGTTGGTTTTGAGACTGAGTCTGGCTCTGTTGCCCAGACTGGTGTGCAGTGGCGCGATCTCGGCTCACTGCCACCTCTGCCTCCTGGGTTTGAGAGATTCTTCTACCTCAGCCTCCCAAGGAGCTGGAATTAAAGGTGCCAGCCACCGCATCTGGTTAATTTCTGTATTTTCAGTAGAGACAACATTTCACCATGTTGGCCAGGCTGGTCTCAAAATCCTGACCTCAAGTGATCTGCCCACCTCGGCCTCCTAAAGTGCTGGGATTATAGGTATAAGCTACAGCGCCCGAACTAATGTCAGTTTTTATGAGTAATATGGATAAATAATACACTTGCTAATCATGGCAAATCTGTTTTATGATCAAGTTCTACAGATTCTTATTTTGTGATTTAACTCTGGATGTGTGTCACTATGTGGAAATATATATATATGTATATTTATTATATTTTCATATACACACACATATGTGCACACATGCCCATATATATATATATAAAAGTCTATAAGAAATTTTGTAAGAAACTCTTTTGGGTTGAATTTTGTCCTCTCAAAAAGATAAGTAAAGTTCTAATACCCAGTACCTCAGAATGTGATCTTATTTGAAAATAGGGTCATTGAAGGTATGGTTCGTTAAGTTGACGTCATACTAGTGGGGTGGGCCCTTAATCCAATATGACTGGTGTCCTTATAAACAAGAGATGAAGAGGTACAGACAGAAGAGAAAAGAAGACCATATGATAAGGGAGGCGGGGGTGCGATTAAAGCGTTATAGCTACTAGCCGAAGAATGCCAAGGATTGCTGAGAACTACTGTAAACTAGGAGGAGGCATAGAATAAATTATCCCCCTACAGGTTTCAGAGGCAGCATGGCCCTGTTAACACCTTCCTTTTAGATTTCCATCCTCCAGAACTTTGAGACTGTATTTCTGTTGTTTTAAGCTACTCAGTTTGTGTTATTTTGTTATAGCTGCCCTAGAAAACCAACGTAACAACATACCATAAATAATCAACTAATGTAGAATAGATCATTTATAAGCAGGATTATGGGACCATCCGGGGAGAAAAAGAAACAAAGTCAAACAGTTGCTGTGATATTACATTATTTTAAAATCATTTTTCTGTGAAATTCCATGTGGAAATCAAATACATGAGGTTTGAGGAACGTGCAGAATTACTTAATACTTTGCGATGAGCATGAAATCGAAAGCAGCAGTCACTGGCAAACAAAATCTTAGAGTTGTGATGCTCAAAATTGCCTTCGGCACTGATGGGAAAGTTCTGTGCCTTCCCTATCCTGTATTTAGCCAACATCTAGTATGGTTATTGGAAATTTGAAATGTGGTTAAGGTGACTGAGGAATGGAATTTTAAATTTTATTTAATTAATTTAAATTAGTTTCAATTACATGACACTAGTTTCTACCATACTGAACAGCACCAGACTTCTCAAGGTTCTAGTTTGAAAGCCTTTAATTTAGAGGAAACTATTCTTTTAATTTAACCCACAGGATATATGACTTCTAATTCACAGTCTTATTCTTACCACTTCTTATCTACGTAAAGCTGATGAGACCATAATCCCCTCAGAATTATTTACTTATCATTGAAATATATTAGAACACTTTAAGATCCCATGTTTCTATATATTATCTTACCTCCCACTGTTAACTGTTTTGTTTAAAATATGTATGTCTGCTGTGTTGCCTAATGTACTAGTCTCCCCAGTCTCAGTTGGATCATATTGATAATACTTTTCAACACAAATCAAATTGTAGCCCAACGGACTGGAGTACAAGGTTTTCTTATTGTCTAAAAGCTGTGCTCTTTCAGAAGTGGTGCTTTCCAAAATCAATTGATTGAATCATCAGAGGTATAAATGCTTTTTCTCTGACAAAGCCACCATCCTCTGAGAAGCTGACAGGCAGTGGGTGGCAACAGTTGTCTGACAAGACAGATTTGCAGTGTAAGCCTCAAGTGATGGGATTATATAAAGCAAAACATTTAAAAAAATTAAATTAGTGTCAGTGCAACTGTTCTTTAAAACCAGAGGAAGAATTTCCTAATGTTACCTGTTTTACAGAAGATTTAACAACGTAACAACGCTATCTTCCTTTGTTTTCACAGATTAGGAGAGGCCTTATTTGATCTTCCAGGATGTATGTTTTGCTGAGAATGTTTCTTGGGATTCAGTTCAATTAAATTAATAAATGCATGGCTACTCAGAATCAGATAATGCCAACTACCGGGGAACAAAGATGAATGAGATACTGCTGTCCATAAGAAGTTACTCGTCCAGCAAGGAATAAACAACCAAATTAAGCAAATATTTTTAAATTGTTGTTTGATGATGTTTTAACTTTATCACTTCAATCATTTACATTTGTGCTTTGCAGCACTGTTAGTTTGGGAAGTTGATAAGAAGGTATTATATGAGTGTGATTTTATTGTGCTTTATAGAGTGAAGCTTTCCCCAAATTAATACATATTTACTATAGGAATGATGGGCATTGCCTGTATTACCAACTGGAGGCTTCTAGCAGAAGGGTTCTCAATTTACTTAGCTACGTCGATACTCTAATCTTCAAATTCTGCTTTTTCTGTGCTACTTTTGTTCTCTTGTTCTTTCACTTATGAAATATTTACTAAGTAGCTATTGTTAGGCTCTGCTCTAGGTGCTGGTTGTATAGGAACAAAACCCATATGGCTGCTTGTATGGGAACAAAAGATCTCCCTTAACAGAGCTTGCTTTCTAGTGGGAGAGAGGCAAGGAGACAGGAGGAGAAACTTCTGTTATTCTTGTCTCTTAACTCTTTCACTTTGACTCCCTGCCCCACTCCCACTGTATTCATAGTGGTTTCAAAAGCTGTGCTTCAGCCAATTCCCATTTCTACTTTCTGTGCTTTGTTATTTACCCCTTACCAGGTGATTCTGTCATCCTTCTTCTGTCAACCAGTGCACAGGGCTCCCCGAGGAAAGGGATAGAAGAATGGAGACATATATATATATACAAATATACTGCTGCTAAGTTAAAACATAGAGAAGGCACGACATTTCACAAAGCTAGCCTTGGCACTTTTTTCCAGTCACTAATAATCTCTTTATCAAGATTGTCATGCCACTGTCAATTCAACTTAGAGTCACTGAATGTCTTCTAAATGCAAATGTCATAGTCACAGTTCATTAAAATCATTACACACTAATATGACTTTCCATCTTTTACTAAATTTTTAGAAATTGCAGCACAAACATGTCATTACAAAATAATTTGATAAACATATGGCTGAGTCTGGATGGTTTACTTGAGCATCCTGGAGATCTGATGTAATTCTCATGTTATTACCTCCTCAAGCAAATGAGAATTTTTAAGTTTTAGAACTTTGTACCATGATTTCTTCTTTTTTTTTTCTATTTTGTAAAGATAGGGTCTCTCACTATGTTGACCAAGCTGGTCTCAAACTCCTGGCCTCAGGGATCCTCCTGCCTCAACCTCTCAAAGTACAGGGATCACAAGATGAGCTACCATGCCTGGCCCAACATTATATTTAATAATTCTCAGCATTCCTTATTTTTACAAAACCAAGTACCGCTATTTCTTATGAAGAATAATGATTGTCTCTGTCACATATCTTGACTGCACTAACTTATGTATGTATAGTTTAGATGAATTGCTATGAAAACTATAGACCATTTAGGACAAATCTCAGTAGAAAAATTCCAGGGTGATAAAAGGAATGGAGCGGGTGAAGAAGAATGTAATGCTTGGTTGGACTGATGATCTCCTTTGACTCAGATATTAAGATATATCATGACAAGTAGGATTCCCAGTGGAGTATGACAATTACACTCATCTCTTAGGGGTCTGGCTCATTAGATTACATTACAATTTATAAAAGAAAGAATTACTGCATTTCCCTGGTTACTGGTAACTGCTCCGGAAAAGACTGAGACAACATAGTTTGCACAAAAACCATGGATGAAACTTATGGTTCTGTGGTTTATGCCATTATTTCTAAATTGTGAGACAAGGCACTTGTTGTAACATTTGACAGATGTAGGGCTGTAGTAGTTAAAGGTCAAAGATGATCACGGGAAAGTTACAAATGTTTAGCATGATATCTGTTCTGAGTGGCATGATGATGATTATAATACAGTCATGTGGAAATTATGACTAAATGCTAAAATCTCGCTGATGTATAGGGTGCCTGCCCCTCTCTCAGGTTTAAGTGGTTAGATTAATAGAAACCCCTGATCTTTTTTGCCTAAGCTAAAAGCAATGGAAAATTTTAAACCGTATTGACTTTCAGATTGACCTAAGGAAATATGACTTCCAATTAAAGGAATAGTATATACCAAAGTTTTGGGTATAAGAATAATAGCAAACACTTATTCCTTTATGTTTCCAGGCTCTCTATTACATGTTTTACATGTTTTAGCTCCTTTTATGCTCACAGAAACCCTATGAAGTACATACTATTAAAGCTCACTTTACTGATTAAAAAAAAATAAAGCACAGAGAGATTAAAGAATTTGGCCAAAGTCACACAGCTAATAAGAGGTGAAGCTGGATTTTGAATCTACAATGTCTGGTTCCAGAGTCCATGCTTTTAATCATGAGAGAAGTAGAAGTTCAGCAAACTAGAGGAGTAGAATATACTGTCATTAATCCTGCTAATGCTTGCTTTTCCACTCTACTACAAAAGATAATTAGAAAGTTTACATTTATTTGGGAAAAAAAAAGCAAAATACCTTAGTATGTCATTCTAGCAATAGGTGAATTCTACTTCAATGGTAATAATCATTATCATTAACGATAATGATAGTGATTTAATGATAATACTGTATGAAGAGGAGTAGTCTGTCAGGTAAGATCATGGCAGTCACCACCTGTACTCTGACAAATTGTATTGATGACTTAATGTACAAAGAGAAATGATTTTTCAATTTGAGAAGACACATGACCTACTGAGATAGACTATTAAAGATAAAAGAAAAAAAGGTTATTTTAAAATCTGTCCTCACTTTTATCAAGAAATTAAAATTATTTGGACTTAAACTGGATATAATTTGAGGACATATGTGTCAAGTAACATATAAAAAGGATGTTCTGAAGATATTAATAAAAATTCATATTTGTTCTGTGACATTTTAAGTGTCAACCATAAAGAGTTACACAGAGACAGAAGCCTCTGGAAAAACTTTCAGAAGTTTCTCTGCAGTATCCATAATTTTTGGACAAAGTGATTGTACTTGTCATTTATTCCCTTTTAGAAAGATAATTATTAGGCAGCTGCTTGGCACTGGGTGAGACTCATTACTGAAGAATATCAAATAACTCTATGAAAAGAGGTCCCAAGACTGTACTTGGTGATGTCTCAAATGCATTTAAACAAGAAGGTTAGTACTCAGTAGAGCCAATTGTTTACACGTAAAGAGTACATGAAATGATATGATAAAAAGGGCAGAGGAAATACCCAAAAATTCTAAGAAAGTGTAGATGGATACCTGCTCTTGGCACCCATCACTCCTTGTCTTCCCAGATGCTGTACCCTTCAGAGATGACCCACATGGAATACATCAGTGAGCACTCAGCCCTCTGGTATCTACTGTGAGGAACCAGAATATGATAGCGAAGGCAGAAAGAAAGTCAAGTCAGCATTATTTCACTGGCTCCCCGTCTACTGCACCACCATGACGTGGTTCAATAACTCCATCAAAGTACATAACTTAAGCCAGAAAGGCTTCTCCATTCAGCTGTCTCTTAAATTCCGGTAAATGCACCTTGCCTTGCTCCTATAGGCCCAGTGTTAGTGACAGTGCCCTAATGTTGCTACAACTAGAGAACTGTCCATCTCTTCAAGCTGTTTTTAAACCCTGCCTACACTTTTTTAAATGGTGCAATTTTTTTTTTCAAATTATACTAAGAAATATTTGTTTCTTAGCAGTATCCTGGCTAATATTGCAAATGGATTAGGAAATGGCTCAAGGAAAATAGAAAGTCAAGATGAGAACCTGGGTTGGTCTTCCTCATCTCAATACAAATAATAGAATTCTTGAATGGCAACTACAAATAAATATCCTCAAAACATTAGTTAATTTTATTATCAGCAAGTGATTTTACTCAATTTACCAAATAAAATAGTTGCCTCAAGAAAAGACATTATATTCATTCCATGGTGTTAATTGTCTTAGCTATATTATTAAAGTACTTATATATCAAATTGAAAAGCATAATTTTAATGCATCTATTTATCATTATTGTTTTATTGTGTGATATTATGCAGACTTTTTCTCTCACAGTTTTTTGATTTTTTTCTTTTGTAACGTGGCTCATCCTTTCTTCATTTATCATTGAGAATGCATGCTAGTCCTGAGCCTGCCTCTTTGAGACTTCCTACTTTGCCCCAGATCTTTTTCTCCCTTTGTATCTAGTGCTGAATTCCCTATGGGGACTATACTCATAAATAACAGTGATAAATTTAGTCATAAAATGAGAGCATCCAAACATCTAGAAGTTATACACACAGCAATAGTTAAAGCCCTTACGTAGTAGGTTGAATAGTGGCAACCAATAATCTTCAAGTCCTAATCGCTGGAATTTGTTAATGTTTCCTTATTTGAAAAAAACAAAGTTCCTTTGCAGATGTGATTAAGAATCTTGACATGAAGAGATAACCCTATTAACTGGATGAGCCCTAAATGCACTCACAAGTGTCCTAATAAGATAGAGTCAGAGGAAGATTTTACACAGAGAAACACAAAGGAGGAGGTGATGTGAGGATGGAGGCAGAGATTGGAGTGATGTGGCTGCAAGCCCAGGAACAATGGGCAGCACCAGAAGATGGAGGAGACAAGGAACAGACTTTCCCTTACAGCTACCTGAGAGAAGGCAGTCCTGTCATATTTCAGACGTCTAGACTCTGCAACTGTGAGAATAAATTTCTGTTTTAAGCCACCGCGTTTGAGGTTCTTTGGTACAGCAGCCACAGGAAACTAATCTGTCCTTATTATGTATTAAGTACAGTTCTGTGCACTGTTTATGCATAAATAAGCTACCAGTAAAAACCCTGTGAGGTGTGTGGTATTGTTAGGTACATCCCTTTTACAGATGAGGAAACAAAACTGCAGAGATTAGTAAGTTGTCAAAGTCTCAGTACTGATAAGGAGCTGAGATGGGGTTCAGGGAGTCTTGCTCCAGAGCCTGCACTCCTGACCTCTGCATCACACTGTGTTTCATAACAAAAGCAGTTGGACAAGCTCAGCCTTTCTAACTATCACAGTCAAACAGTGGAGCAGTCCTTGCTTTAAGTATCCAGAAACTTTAGTTTTTATGCCATGTTGATGATCCTGGTGAATCACTTAACTTTAGGTTATAAAATGAGAACATGAACTGCTCTGTTTACCGTAGCCCAAATATTCCTCAACTCTTCAATCTTGTGACATTTCCTTCCCTCCTTACATATAATGGGATTCTATCCGTCACTACTCTCCCATATATTTTTAGATATCAGTCTAAAACGTTTATTTTCTTCATTACTGGCATTTATATTTGTGTTTACTTTGTCTGTTCAAGGCTTTTCCATTAAATAGTATTTCACCTCCTCCTCTCCCATACTGAAGAATCAGAACTTTTTTCCCTGATGAATATACAAAACCCATTCCTGATGAACATACAAGCTTCTTAATTTTCATCAAAAAGCAATGTTATATATCTCTGCAACTACTTTAACAAGAAAATATCACTGTGTTTTTAAAATGGCATAACATTTTGCATTTAAAAAAACCTAAAGGAGGAGAAAATTGCACAAAATTTGTTGACTTTATGCCCCCTGATATATCATGTTGAGTAAAAGGCATGAATCATCAAAGAGTAAATAGTCATCCCTACATAAGTGAACCATCTTTTCCTTTTTATTCATTTCCTTTTCTTTAACATTCGCACCATTTTAGCCAATTGGGATTATCAGTCCCAGAACTTCAAGAGACTCAGACAAGTATGTGATTAGAATTGAAATCCTCTTTTGCATTTTTATTTTTGTTCTATTTTGACCTTTTGATAGGATGGCGTAAACCACATGTTAAATTACAAATGGGTAGTTATGAAAGATATTCTTGGTAGTATATTTTTCTTCTTTCTAGTTACAATGACATCGTTATTAATTGTGATATCATCTTTCAGAATGTTAATGTAGACCCAGTAAATGAGAGGCAAATTATTCTGATTTAAATATTTTGCAATCTCAATAATTTCAACAAAACTCTAAGAACTTTATTTCAGGTGAAAAGTCTTACTTCTTTGTAAATAGACTATGCTCTATATTTGTTAGTAGCTTTTCTTTTTCTCTTACTATACCACAATTTTGTCAGCATCTTCATATCTCCATTCCTCAAGTTTTCTCAAGATAGCCTTTTTTCTTTTCTTAAAGTAATATTGACATAAATATGTCTCCCAGATATGGTGATAACTAAGGACTTATTCAAATATTTTAGGTGGTCCTTGATGTTTTTATATTTCTATTAGTTGTACCAGACTCTAAGTTGTTGCATTTGTTGAATTCTCTACCTCTAATGTCCTAAACTACCACTGATTTGAACAGGCTTGACTAAAGCTTTTGTATTAGTTCATTCTCATACCGCTACAAAGAACTACCTGAGACTGGGTAATTTATAAAGGGAAGAGGTTTACTTGGCTCATGGTTCTGCAGGCTGTACAGGAAGCATGGCTGGGGAGGCATCAGGAAACTTACAATCATGGCAGAGGGCAAAGTGGAAGCAGGAATGCCTCACGTGGCTGGAGCAGAAGCAAGAGAGAGAAGGGAGAGGTGCTACAGACTTTTAAATAACCAGAACTCATGCTAACTCACACACTAACACCAGAACAGCACCAAAGGGGAAATCTTCCCCCATGATCTAATCACCTCCCACCAGGCCCCACTTCCAACACTGGGGATTACAATTTGACATGAGATTTGCATGGGGACACAGACTCAAACCATAGCAGGCTTGAAACATGAAATGAGATGGTTACAAAGCAGGGCAATAATTCATAATACTTAAAATTAAGCAGTAGACATCTCTGTCCTTTATGAACCATAAATGTCACAACTTCCCAAGATCGCACGTGATATGACCATATGACAGAACTAGTATTTACACAGGCATTCCATCACTCCTTAGAGCATAGTACACTGGACTTTGGTACTAGAAGCAGACATAGTTAGAAATGATAATATTAGACCTTTAATTTTAGGAATTTCACGAATGAGTTACCTCTTTCCATGGATATTCTCTTCAAAATGTGTGTTGGCAATATTTGTGGTACCAATTTACATTACATATGTTTTTTAAAAATTATTAATGTTTATGAATACATAGTAGGTATATATATTTATGAGGTACATGAGACATTTTGATACAGACATACCATGTGTAATAATCATGTCAGGGTAAATGGTGTATCTGTCATATCAATCATTTATCATTTCTTTGTGTTATGAATGTTCTTTTAGTTATTTTAAAATATACAATAAATTATTGTTGATTATAGTCACCCTTTTGTGCTGTCATACATTAGATCTTATTCATTCTATCTAATGATATTTTTGTACCCATTAACCATCCCCACTTTTCCCCTCTTTCCCTTCTCCCCTTCCCAGCCTCTGGTAACCATCATTCTACTCTTTATCTCCATATGTTCAATGGAAAATTATTCAACTATAAAAAAGAATGAGATCCTGTCATTTACAACAACATGGATAGAACTGGAAAATGTTATGTTAAGTGAGATAAGCCAAGCACCGAAAGACAATCTTCACAAATTCTCACTTATTTGTGGGAGCTAAAAATTAAAACAATTAAATATATTACATAACTTTTTATCCTTGAAATCTGGCAATTTACAACTCAGACTATTTTTATTATATCTTTGTTTTCTGTTTCTAACATAGCATAGTTACTCATATTAATTTTGCAAATCAGCGATGAAATCTACATATTAATCTACTGATTAATTGCATACTTATGCAGTGGCTATTATATCTATAGCATGGCTATTTTTAACAATCAGGAAATATAACAATAAAGCAGATCCTCTGCTTTCTAATAGTTTACAATCTTGGTGGTGAGAAAACTGAAGAGAGACATTTAATACTAAGAAATGATGTCCCGAGTGCTCTAATAGCTATGTAAACAAAATTCTGTGAGTGGCATAGAAGAAGTGGGATTAAAGGCCTTATAATTAAACAGCACTCTGTAGATTTCTTGGCACTGTCACACGCATTTGTTTATTTAATTCTTACAACAACCCAATGATATAGTCAATGTAAATATTACTTTTAACACTTTACAAGGAAAAAAATGCTGTGTTCGAAATATCAAGGCTCTGATGACAGAACCATATTGAGTCTCTTCTGATTCCTAATAAAATATTTGTTTATAGTTTTAGTTTACCTATCCTAGTTTATCTTTATATCTATATTTAAAGCAGTAGAATATTAATGTTAGTTCAATTTAAAATGAAGGGTAGTATTACCCTTGGTCAAGTGAATATTTACAAGTAACAAATGATCCAAGGTAAGCATTCTATTTAGGGAGTGTCAGTAAGCACCAGATACATAGCATTGTACAACTACTTTAAGTTTAAAGAGAAGAAAAAATGAACACTGGATCTCCAGAACAATATTAGAAACCCTGTCCTGGATAGTTTCAACATGTGCCTGCCTGAAGGCAAGAAACTAGAGCAGATGATCTCTGATATGGTTTGGCTGTGTACTCACCAAAATCTTGTCTTGAACCATAGTTCCCATAATCCCCACATGTCATGGAAGGGACCAAATGGGAGGTAATTGAATATTGGGTGTGTTTACCTCCATGATGTTCTTGTGATAGTGAGTGAGTTCTCATGAGATCTGATAGTTTTATAAGGAGTTATCCCCCACTTCACTCTGCGCTTCTCTTTGCTGCCACTATGTGAAGAAGGACATGTTTGCTTCCACTTCCACCATGATTGCAAGTATCCTGAGGCCTCCACAGCCCTGTGGAACTGTGAGTCAATTAAACGTCTTTTATTCATAAATTACCCAGTCTTGGGTATGTCCTTATAGCAGTGTGAGAATGAACTAATATGATCTCCAAGGATTCTTTCTAACTCATTCTGTTATTCCTTTTCTCTGGTACCTTAGTTGGGCCCTATAAGTATTTTTGGCATCAGGTACATAAATTTTTTTAGTCACCTGGGTTCTGTTTTGAACATTATTCATGCATTGTAGGTGTTAATGTTCTTCTCTAAGCACCTAATTCACTCTCAGACAGGGACTTGAGTCCACAGAAGAATAAAGTTGTGGCTAAAACCTTTAAGATTCATTCGGACAATGGAGTGACAGTAAGTTTTTTTTTTTAACAGCTAAAAGAAGCTATACAAAATAATAAGAAGGAAAGGAGTAAACTATACTAACAAAAAGTTTATAATTTTTATTATAGTCTAGAATTTTTAAAAATGGTGATTAAACAGAACAAAGTTACATTTTGTATAAAGTAAAAAAGGAGGAAGGAATATTAAAAATTTACATCTACTTTTAAAGTTATTGAACAGATATGTACTTATTAAAGAGAAATTCACAACCCACCAAAACAAAGAAAAAGCTTTTAAAAATACCACAAATGGAGGTTTTAGAGAAACATCTTAACATAAAGAATGAAAATTAGAGGTCAAAATGTATAAATTTGAAAGGACCTTGTGAGTAGAATAGGAATGGTTTGAACAGTGACTTTGAGAAAGTTTCAATACAAGCCTTGTGATATAAAAGGGACTTTTGAACAAGAAAATTGTCAAAAGATAATAATAGTATTTGTAACTCAAAACAGCTGGATTTGTAGCCACAAGATATGTGAGATATAATCATGAGAATATAAGATTGAGGAGAGACATGTTTTTATTTTGATCACAGATATTTACCAAATACTTTGGATTATATTCTATTACAAAGGGTTTCACAATAAGAACTTTAGATCTTTAAAATAAATACTTTATGCTAGACAAGGTACATTAGGAAAGTGCAAATTTAGTACTCCAAATGGAAATAACCTAATGAGGTTATGGTTTTTGTATTAACAAAATGAAAGTTTAAAAATAATAAGGTATTTACATACAAAGGTTTTAACGTTCACAGTGAAGATTACCAATAAATGTTTATTACGTACACTTTAAGAGAAAAAAGGTTATGAAATCTGTTCCATAATAATTAACCTAAGACATTAATATTCTGAGTTATCAGGCAAAAACTAACCTAGATCGTATAAAACACCTTAAAATTTCACCTTTAGATGTTAGGATCACCACAGCATCAATCTTAGGGTTAGAAGATGGTATGTTCTATGAGAAAAAAAATTTAGAGCAGAGTGAGGAGTCAGAGTCTTGAGAAGAGTTGTAGATGTGATGGCTGGTGCAGTATAAAATAGGGCTTGACTGAGAAAGTGTGATTTTAATGATGCCTTGAATGAGGTAAAATCTTTTGGCAAGCGAATGTCTTCCAGAAGATTATTCTGGGCAGAGCAAAGAGTTAGAACTAGATCTGAGGGGCAGGGTTTTGCCTGGTGGTTTTATGAAGTTAAAAAAAAAAAAAAAGGCTGTGGTTGGAGTAAAGGAGATAATAGAAGGATATTTCAGAAAGTTAATAAAGGTCTTTATCAGTCAGCGTTTGCTGCCATAATAAAATACCATAGACTAGATGCATTTAACAACAGAAATATATATTCTCAAAGGTCTGGAGGCTGGGAGTCTGAGATCAGGGTGAGAGTATGCCATAGTTCTGTTGAGGGCCCTCTTGTTGAATTGTAGTCAGCTGCCTTCTCATTGTGTTGTCACATGGCAGAAAAGTGAGAGAGCAAGATCTCTGGTGGCTTTTCTTATAAGCGCACTAATCCCATCACGAGGGCCATACCCTCATGATTTCATCTAAACCTAATTGTCAACCAAAGGCCCCTTCTCCCAGTTACCATCACATTGGGGTTTGGGCTTCAACATATGTATTTGCAGCAGGGGCACAGTTCAGTCCACAGCATGGGTAGACCTTGCAAGGCACTCATGTTGAGGTATTTGGTTTTCACTCTAAGAGAAATGGAAAGTCATTGCTTGGTTTTGATTAGAGAGGAGACCAGATTTGCATCACATTTTATAGGATCCCTGCAGCATCAATCTTAAATACAGACTACAGGGACAAGAGCAGAACCCCTAGTGGTTACTGCAGCAATGAAGACTTGATAGGACAATGAATTAGACCAGGGTTAAGAGATTAAAAGGTTAAGAGACAGACAGAAATCATTGAAATATGAAATCAAGATGATAACAATATTTCCTGATGGATGTGGTAGGTGAGAGTAGCATCGGGAAGGACTATGATTTTTCTAACCAGTAGATAGGAAGGTTGGCGTTATCATCAGCAAAGAATGGGAAGGCTAGGCTAGGGAAGGCTAGGCCAGGGCAGGCTTGGAGGAAAATAATTAGGAGTTAAATAGTGGATTCATTGAATGTTAGATGTGTATTTGACATAGAAGTTAGAATATAAATGTGTAAATTGTCACTATTTGTCATATTGAAATTCATGGAACTAAATGAGATCACCAAGAGAATGTTTATAAATAGAGAAAGGATGAGGACAAGGAACCAACATAAGGAGGTCTTGAGAAAAATAGAAAGAACCAGAGCAAGAGAAGTGAGGTAGATGAAAAATAATTCAATATAATATTACAAATGCAATTTTAAGAATGACTCTCAATGGCAATAAATATGCTCAACATGACTAATGTGTGATAGAAGATACTTATGAAGAGCTGACAGCATGATTTATCAACATGGATATTGTTAGTGACCTGGAGTAGAAGAGTTTTGGTGCAGAGTTGAGTTTGAAAGCCTGATTATATTATGTTTAAGAGGGAATGAGAAGAGAACTGGAGTCAGCAAGTTGATCATGAATAGCCAAGTAGTGAAATGGGGTAGTGGCTAGCGCTAGCAAATTTTGAATTTTTTCCTAAACATGGAGAAATAATATTATGTAAATTAGCTGATTAGGAAGATATAAGAATTTTTTTTAATTGCAATTAGAACAGACAAAGGAAAATTGCTAGAGGCATATCCTTGAGAACATGAGCGCAGATGGGATCAAGAACACAGCGGAAGAAGCCAAATGTTGAAAGGAAGATAGAGTATGTGTATAGGTGCTCAAAGTGTGGCAGAAGTCTGAAATTTCTCTTCTTAAAATTTCAGTTTTCTAGGGAAAGTAACAATTGAAATAATTAACAAAATGTGAAGATCAGGAAGAGGATCTTGGTTTCACCTATATAAATAAGCCATATGCATAGAAAAGGTAATTTTGAATAAGATCTTAATAATATTTTGAATAAGTATAAAATAAAAATTAATTAGCCATATATAAATATTCCATATAAGATACATTGATACAAAGAATAGAATGTAACCTAGAAGGTAAAGTTGGCCACTGATATATGAAATAATGTTTGAAAAACAGTATGGACTGATTACAATAAACACATGAACTCAAAACTAACTCCACTTCCCAACTAGGAATCACTTATTTATAGAATACAGAAAGTAATTTTTGTTTTGTTTTGTTTTTTGAGATGGAGTCTCGCCCTGTCACCCAGGCTGGAGTGCAATGGTGTGATCTTGGCTCACTGCAACCTCCGCCTCCTGAGTTCAAGTGATTCTCCTGCCTCAGGCTCCCAAGTAGCTGGGATGACAGGTGTGCTCCACCATGCCTGATTAATTTTTGTATTTTTAGTAGAGACAGGGTTTCACCATGTTGGCCAGGCTGGTCCCAAACTCCCGACCTCATGAGCTGCCAGCCTCGGCCTCCCAAAGTGCTGGGATTACAGGCTTGAGCCACTGTGCCTGGCCTGAAAGCAATTTTGTTTCTGAAACGTTATTTGAGATGTGGGGTGAACCTGAGTGTAGACAACAAGGTTGAACCTGCGTATAGACAAAGATTTCTTTATACTTTTTAAACTAAGCTTGCAGCTGAATGACCAGAGAGGCAATATAGTGGATAGAAAAGGGAATGTTGAAAAATCTTGTTCCAGTTATTTTCCTCTATCCACCAATAAGGTTATGAAAGTCTGTTTTGTTGAACTAAAATTTCTTTCTTTGTTAAAATAATTTGATTGGAGAAATATTTTTCTAGAGGCTGACCTTTCAGTCTTCAAGATTTATAATGATATTAACTAATGCTTTACATTATTAATCATTAATATTATAACCATGAAGTTAGGCATAAAAATCATAAAAGTATTTTGTAAGTGTTGCAATTGCCTGTATACACATGCAGGATGCTACATGTTTTAGAACTGTCTACTTAGGAGTGAAACAGCACGGACACAATAAAGACTACACCTTACCTTCTGGGCTTTTCGTCTATTATTTCCTAAAGCACTCTCTTTTTTTTGAGGATGTCAGCCTAGGGAAGCTACAAGTGTCTATCCTCCCACAAATTTCTATTATAAGTATTTCAAACGACAGTCTCTAAACCTCCTATTTCTGAAAATTGAAGCTTCTGAAACTTTTAAACTCCATCCTTTTTCAAAAATTCAACATGATTTATCTCTAACAATAGCAGTAACATTTTATTGAGAACCAATTGTTGCTCAACCACTGCCTTTGATATTTGAATCACCGGGATGACTAAGACCACACTTGTATGTCCCACGTAATAGCCTGTGAAGTGCAGGGATAGAGAATACTTGGTGATTCCTGAACACCAAGAGAAGGAGATGGAAACTAGATTGAGAAAAGAAATATCTCATGACAGTTTCAAGTAGAAGACAACCCTTGAGCTTTGAAGCTAGCAATTAAGAGGAAAATGGAAAGAATCCCAGGCACAGAGAAGAGTAGAGGTGAAGAGATTGATGAGAAAGATCAGGTTATATTTTTAAAACTGCAAGAAATTTGAGCTAGGTTCAGATTAGAGTGTCTGTGAGGGCAGTAATAGAAAAGTTGGATGAAACACAGCCAATTGCTTGAAGTGTATTCTATGTGAAATGTGAGAATTATTGTAGAAATACATTTCAGAGAGTAATTACACACACACACACACACACACACACACACACACCAATATACACATACTTTCTAAGAGTCAGGGACAGGTAAATAATACATTCATTATTTAACATTGATTTACTTTTAAAAAAATCACCTAAAAATGCATATGAGTAATTTTGCACATAAGGACTTCCTCAATATTCTTGATATTCTTTACCATCACTTTACCATCACTTTACCACTTTGAGCACATAAAAACAGAAAAGTAGATTGGAAAGCAGAAAAAAGACAGGCATCAGAGGCAGAGTGATCAGAATCTGAATCTCACTTCATTTCACATTTTCTACTCAGGATACACCTAGGAAAATTGACTATTTCCTTTGGATATTATAAAAATGCTACTCGTATCTATAACAACACTGGCTATAGTAGTATAATTACTTCAGTAAATCTTTCATCAACCTATGTTGTATTATTTACTGAGTAATATTACTGAATTTTTTTTTTTTAGATGAAGTCTTGCTCTGTCGCCCAGGCTGGAGTGCTGTGGTGCAATCTCAGCTCACTGCAACCTCCACCTCCCAGGTTTGAGCAATTCTCCTGCCTCAGCCTTCTGAGTAGCTGGAATTACAGGAGCACGTCACCATGCCCGGCTACTTTTTGTAGTTTTAGTAGAGACGGGTTTTCCCCATGATGGTCAGGCTGGTCTCGAACTCCTGACTTTGTGTTCTGCCCTCCTCGGCCTCCCAAAGTGCTGGGATTACAGGCGTGACCCACTGTGCCCGGCAAATATTACTGAATTTAAGCCAAAGCCAAAGAAAATATTACCTGAAATAATTTAAGCTCATAAGAAATAAATATGATTGTGTGGCCAAGATAGCCAACTAGAAGCAGCTAGTGTGCACCACGGTCACAAAGAGGAATGAACGGGACAAGTAAATCCAGCACCTTCAACTGGAACATCCAGGTACACGCATTGGGACTAATCAAGGAAACAACTAGATCCATGGAGAATGGAGAAAAGTAAGGCAGGACAACAGCCCACTGGGGAGTGACATGGCGCTGGGGAACCTCCCCCAACAAGGGAAGCAGCGAGTGAATGTGTGACCTATGAATACACCTACCCAGGGAGGTAAAAGTTCTCTACAAGGAGAACTGCAAAACACTGCTTAGAGAAAATAGAGAAGACACAAACAAATGGAAAAACATCCCATTGTCATAGATGGGAAGAATCAATATTGTTAAAATGGCTATACTGCCCAGAGCAATTGATAGATTCAATGCTATTCCTATCAAACTACCAATGACATTCTTCACAAAACTAAACAAACAAAAAAACAAAAAAAATTTTAAATTTATACAGAACCCAAAAACAACTCAAATAGCCAAGGCAATCCTAAACAAAAATAACAAAGCTGACTTCAAACTACACAACTTTCTTCACAGAACTAAACAAGCAAACAAACAAATAAAACTATTGTAAAATTCATATGGAACCCAAAAATAACTCAAATAGCCAAGACAATCCTAAACAAAAAATAACTAAACTGACTTAGAACTATACTACAGGGTGACAGCAACAAAAACAGCATGGTACTGGTACAAAAACAGGCATATAGACAAATGGAACACAATAAAGAGGCCAGAAATAAGGCTGCACACCTGTTACCATCAGATCCTCGACAAAGATGACAAAACAATGGGCAAAGGACTCCTTATTCAATAAATGGTGCAGGGATAACTGGGTAGCCCTAAGCAGAAGATTCAAGCTGGATCCTTCCTTACACCATATACAAAGGTCAACTCAAGATGGATTAAAGACAAAAATGCAAAGCCCAAAACTATAAAAATCTT
This sequence comes from Homo sapiens, assembly GCF_000001405.40. Taxonomy (NCBI): domain Eukaryota; kingdom Metazoa; phylum Chordata; class Mammalia; order Primates; family Hominidae; genus Homo; species Homo sapiens. The sequence goes on along the minus strand of NC_000004.12, from coordinate 161,348,925 downwards.
GAAAGACAACCTAGGTAATACTATCCTGTAAATAGAAGTGGGCAAAGATTTCATAACAAAGACACCAAAAGCAATTGCAACAAAAGCAAAAATTGACAAATGGGGTCTAATTAAACTTAAGAGCTTCTGTGAAGCAAAAGAAACTATCAACAGAGTAAGGAGACAATCTACAGAATTGCAAAACATATTTACAAACTATGCATCCGACAAAGGTTTAATATCCAGCGTATTTAAGGAACTTAAGCAAATTTACAAAAGAAAAACAACTCCATTAAAAAGTGATAAAAAAACATGAACAGACACGTTTCAAAAGAAGACATACGTGCAGCCAATACGAATATGAGAAAAAGCTCAATATCACTGAGCACTAGAGAAATGTAAATCGAAACCACAACGAGATAATAGCTCACACCAGTCAGAATGGCTATTACTAAAAAGTCAAAAAATAACAGGTGTTGGCAAAGTTGTGAAGAAAAGGGAACATTTATACACTGCTGATGGGAGTGTAAATTAGTTCAAGCATTGTGGAAAGCAATCTGGCAATTCCTCAAAGAGCTGAAAGCAGAACTACCATTTTACCCAGCAATCCCATTACTGGGTTTATAATCAGAGGAATATAAAGCATTCCACCATAAAGACACGGGCACATGAGTGTTCACTGCAGCACTATTCACTATAGCAAAGACATGGAGTCAACCTAAATGCCTATCAATGACAGGTCGGATAAAGAAAATATGACACATATACACCATGAAATGCGATGCAGCCATAAAAAAAAGAATAAAATCTTTTTTTGTGGGAACATGGATGGAGCTGGAGGCCATTATCCTTAGCAAACTAACACAGGACGAGAAATTCAAGTAACACATGTTCTCACTTATAAGTGGGAGGTGAATGATGAGAACTCATGAATACAAAGAAGAGAACAAAAGACACTGGGGTATACTTGAAGGTGGAGGGTGGGAGGAGGGAGAGGATCAGGAAAAGTAACTATCAAGTAATAGGCTTAATACCTGGGTGACAAAATAATCTCTACAACAAATCCCTGTGACATGAGTTTACCTAAAATTACAAACCTTCACATGTACCCACGAACCTAAAATAAAAGTTAAAAAAAGAAAAGACATATGATTATGTGCCTGCATATCCTACATATAAGAGTTATTTATGAAGAAAAACGTTTGATGAGTGTGATAAATTGGTGTGCTAGTTATAAGCAGTGTGGCCCATTAATAATTAAAATGTTAGCTGAATTCAATATATGTGTGTATATCTGTGTATATTCAAGAGACTACACACTATTCTCACTTGTATTATGTCAACTCGAAATTATAACAGAAAATCTTTCCTTCCCTTCACATTAATTAGGATGGAACTGCATGGAAGAAAATTAGGAAAAAAAATATTATTATGGAAACATGTCCAAGAGTCAAATGTTTTATTCCAAACACTTTTTCTAAGAATAAACATTAATAGCTTAAAGTGCATAAATTCACATTTTCCTTAACTCATCATTTATATTTGTATACTTATTAATGAAGAACTTGTCTAAGAAACATAGTCATGTTCATTTCTAATTAGCTCCCACAGGAATGGCTTTGAGTGGATAGCACAGACTTTCTATTCAGGGCATTTTGAGGGACATGGGCATATTACATTACAGATTTTCTCAAGCAGCACATTCTCTAGTTGAGGGAGAAGCATAAAGAGTAACTGGGAATCTACAAGGTAAACCTTTGTGTAATTTAGTAATCAGGAGCTATAAAATAGCAAAGTATTAGAATGGTGGAGGTGGTGAATGTTAACCTGGACTTTAGTGACATTGGGATTTGAACAGGTAGAGCACAGAAAGCTTAGCACTTCAATCAAGCAGTGGGTCACAAGGAATCTGGTCTGAATAATAACTAGGAAGGGTGGACCTATTAGGAAAGTGGGTCCACAACACGGAGAACTTTAAAAGACTAGCTGACAAAGTTAGATTAAATGTGATAGAAAACAGTAGGGCAGATTACAGTGTGTGAGCAAATGCCTTAAGAAATTCGTTGTGTTTTCCTGGCAATGCTATTCAGTATGGATTGAGGCAGGAATCAGAGTCCAGACAAAAAGCTATCTCTAAAAAAAAAAAACACAAAATAAAACAAAAACAAAAACCCCCCAAAAATCTAAGCACATTATGATTGTTAGTGGTCATCTAGGAGCATATAGTTTGAGAGATTGGCAGTTCTTATATAAACACAATTTTTTGTCTCTACTTCCAAGTTTACAGGATATTGTTTTTCCTTCTTATTGCTTACCTCTAACAATGTTTACTTCACTTTGCTACAGCTTTGCTATTTTGATTCTGCCTGTCTCAAGTTTTTATTCTCAGATTGTAAGCTTCAGGGCAAAGACTATCAACTTTTTATTTTCCACAACGTTCAGTGCACTGTATTCCAGTGACGGAAAAAAAAAAACAGAGAGAGAGAAAGAAATGGAAGAGGTAAACTAAATGAAAACCGAATTTCACCTTCCAAGGCATCACAAATCATTACTTTTTACACATATTAAAAATAAAAAGTTTATTTTAATTCATTAATGTAAAAATAACTATGTTTTGTTTACTGCCATCCATAAAGTAAAAGGTTATTGTTACTGGGAGATCAAATGCATGCCCCATAAAGAAAGTAGAAACACGGTGAGAGAATGATCTCCAGAGATAGATTTCCTAACTGAATTTGGAGAGTATGTTTAACCAAAACAGATGGACGAAAAGCTAAAAATAAAGAAAGAAAATAAAGATTTTCTTGCAAAGTGACTAGATCTGTGTAGGTTTATAATTTGTCATTCTTCTCCCTCTTAATAAATTGTACATATGCATTAGCAGCTCATTGCAGTAAGACAGATTTAAACAACAGTATGTTTTGCCACGCAGAATGTGTTGCTACTTTTATGATTCCAAAATGTACTGTGCCCTCAGAACTGCAAATGTTGTCATATTAAAGCAGTTGTCATTTGGATTTGCTGAAACAATAGCTTTTGCCAGAATTTGCTCTTTCTGGAAATGATTGCCTTTTAGGAGTTCTCACAAATAGATTTATTAGCTTTCACACTGAATAAACAACCAAGAGTTTGCTATGCAGATCAGCCCCAGAAGCTGTTATAGAGGAAATATTTCCAACTTTTATGGCAACATCCTTTACTTTGATGTTCTACCCTCTCTTGAATTGATAAATTGAGTTTTGTTTAAAAAATACAAGAAAATGTAACAGAACGAAGCAGGACAATTTCTTTTGTTTTTTTATAAACCTAATTCTTGGAGCTCTTTGATTTTAATGTATAGGAAATTTTACAGGAGGAGCAGAAGTTTTTGTTATAATATTTCTAGAAATGGAGATTCAACAGGGATGGATTGAGGCAAATGTAGAAATTAGTAACAAACAACAATTTAAACATCATTTAGGAACGTAGCTTCCCTGTAACTTCCTCTTCCCACTGGTTTTTGTTTGTTTTTCTTTTGAGGGTGTTGGTTGCTGTTCTTAAAAAATAAGCATATAAAAATTGTATATTTTGGGAGAGCATGCTGTTTTGTCAATTAAAATATTATTACATTTCACATGGAATAAAAATGCATTTAAAATATAGAGAAAATGTTAGATACATAGAGAAGAGAAGAGGGAATCAGTGAGAGAAAGAATGAAGTCTAGAGACAGAGGAAAAGAGAGATTTCTAGGATCACGGTGACTGATTTTCACTGTGAAAAGGAAAGGGGTATTAACTCCAGTGATGATTACATTTTACACCAGATAAAAATGCAGGTATTAATGAGTCACATTGTGATATTACATGTAAGTAGGCTCCACACCTACACCTCTTCACACTTTCTTTTTTAATAACTAGGAGTCAGATTAACTCCATATGGGAACACATATGATATTTCCCTTCATGTGCTGTGTTGTCATAGCTGCCTGTTCCAGGACATAGCTCTGTTCTGAATTAGAAAGGCTTTTCATGATTAAATATTGATGAACCTACTGCTTCATGTTTTATATTTCTCTGCAATATATTTTCCTCAAAGGATAATGTAACACACTCAAATAACTATTTTCCATATTTTTGGTTGAAAAAGTTTCCATTAAAACAACAAAAAAACAGTATTCTATTATTAGAATCAGATTGGCAAAGTTGATTTTTTTAATGTATTTTCTCTGTTTTTCCACACTCAAACATCATAACAATAGTTATTCTGAACTAAATGTTCATCGTCAGAGAAGTCTCTTGACAGGAGGATCTGCACAGAAAATGTGGAAATATGAAAAGTCTTTTTAACCTGAATTATTTGGATCCAATCTTATGGGATTAAGAAAATTGTCTAAATAAAACAAATATACCATTTGTAGTTAATCTGCAGTCATTTTCTACAAGTAGTATGAAAACTATCCATGCTGTTGGTATCTGCCCTCACATTTCTTCTGAAAACATATGGGACTGATGAAATGAGGGATAGAAAGTTGAAGGAAGTGTTTTCACACTTCTTTTGACCTGAGGCACTCTATTCTCCAGAAGTGTGAAATAGTAATGCATGGGTTAGTTCTACCCATTAGTAAACCAAGCATAAGGCAAACATTTGTTAAATTTATACTTTCTATATTTTTAAGCAAACTCTTTATAGTTTAGACATTTTCTGCATGTGTTTTAGAATATACTTTTTTTGTAATTCATATTTCTTCAGGCTATGTAAGTCTAGGGTACAGTATAAATAATAATAAAAAAATTAGTTGACACTCATTTAGTAATTGTCATATGATAAATCCGCTCTAAGCATTTTACATTTATTAACACACTTAACTTTACAATAATCCTTGATTTTGGATACTTTCAAAATCTCCATTTTAGAAATGAGGAAACTGAGGCACAGGGAGTTTGAGTAATTTATTCAAAATCCAAGGACTAGAAAATGACAAAGCCAATTCTGTCCACCTGTCCAGTGTGGTTAAGTCAGATGGTTCAGCCAGGATGGACTTAAAATTGGAGATTACCAGGCATGTAGGATCAACATCAACACCCTCTGTCCCCCAACACACACAAACATGCACACAGACACATTCCCTCTCGCTCTCTTCTCTCGTCTATCTCTCTGCTCTATCATAATAATTTGCTATCTTAATGTCTCAAAATGGAGTCACTCATGTCCAGTAGCATTTTAAGCTCACAGTGAAGTTGTTCTCCTCTTCCATAAAACAATAAACTGAGCTGATAACACCTGCAGCTGCCTGGTACCATCCTAGACCTGGAATGAACCCATAGCCAGTGCAAGGTGGCTGAAATCATAACAGACCCATCTGGGAGGATCATAAAAGCAGCCAGGACCTGGCTGTATTCGTGATGCCTTCAGAGGGTCTGCCCATGAGAACTCCTGAGCCATAGCTTCGGTGTGTTACCCCCATTTTATAACTGCCGGTGTGTGTTGAATACCAGTTGCATGATTGCTGGTGTGTAAAGGCCTCTCAATAAACTGTAAATTCACACATTGCTAATTGGCTACTGAGTCATTCTGAAACCTCCAGTGTTTGAAGTTGGCATATCAAGCCCTCAGGAACACATTAACATAACACACACTCTCTCTCTATTTCTATGAGTTATTTTGCTTGGTAATGCTTAACTTCTTTTAAATCTTAGCCATGGGTTCAGATTTTTAAAATGAAATGTCATGGGAAGGTAAGGAGTTGATGCAGGGACGGCAGATATTGGCATAATTTTTACTGACGGAGAATTGCACTTTTGAAATATATTGGCAGGTTCTGAGTACAAGTAATATTGGTCAGAACCCAGGAGGCCAAAGACCACACAGAAATGAGCATGTGGGCATGCTACATACCCTTTCTAGCTGGCATGGGCCTTGGCACTGTGAGCTGTCAGGTCATTCCCATTACTTAGTTGACTGTTATTCTCAGCCAGGTTGCCAGAAGCATTTGCATTTGTTTATACCAATAATTATTCAAAATAGCATAAAACGTACAATTTACTTTTCACCACACAAGGTACTTAAATTAGGAGTTCTAACATTAAAAAGAAAGAATGGTGTCACATGCCTGTAATTCCAGCTACTTAGGAGGTTGAGGGAGGGGGATCTCTGGAATTCAGGAGTTCAAGGCTTTAGTGAGCTGTGATCCGGCCACTGCACTGCGTGACACAACAAGAGTGTCTCTAAAAGTAACATAACATAACATAACAACATAACATAACATAACATAACATAACATAACATAACATAACATAACATAACATAACATCGTATCGTAGCGTAGCGTAGCGTAACGTAACGTAACGTAACGTAACGTAACGTAACATAACATAACATAACATAACATAACATAACATAACATAACATAACATAACATAACATAAACAAGAAATGAACCAAGAGAGTTTATCAACCAGGAGGCTGGTAGGGAAGACAGAAACCCTACTATATTTGAAATGAAGGAATTTTACAAAGAGTTGGTTATATAGGTGCTGAATAAACTAAACGAGAAACAGAAAACACTAAGGTGAGTCAGAGATAATAACTTCAAGGAGAATCTATCACCCTTAAATCTGGGGGAGTAAAGAGAAAAGGTTTGGATTATCATAATGCAGACTGTCAAAAGAGTGGTCCTGCGGAGCTGGAGATCAGACCTCTAAGGAGGGATCATGAACCAATTGCTACTCATTCCAGGAAAGGTTTCCAGGACGCTGGTGCTGGAGAGCAAAAAGGATCTGGAAGCTAGAACTGACTGCTAGTGCTGGGGTGGACTGCTTCCATTCAGGTGATGGTGACAAAAATAGAAAGCACACAGGAAAAAAAAATCTTTCTTTCTTTTGTTTGCCTTATAGTTTCTTTCTTGTGTTACCATCTATTGTCAGAATGTAATAAGAAGTCACTTGCAATGAGAAATGTTTGCAGAGCTTCAAACTCAGGATCGATCGTAAAATAGATTAGCAGGGTAGACTTGATGTAATGACACACTAGCTTAATAACCAGGAAAATAGGCCAGTAGGTGTTAAATTTCATTATAACTCAGTTTTCTTATTCATGAGCTTTGGAATTTAATAGCATCCAACTGAATGTGATATTATAAATATTTAATAAACATCTATATCCTTATAGCAATAATGGTATATAGTAAGTGCCCAATAAATGTTAACTATTCAAGTAATTTTTATTGAGTTATCTAAAATACATGAAGATATGAGAGAGTTAAGAAAGAAGAAAGTTTTAACTTACACTGTAGAGAAGGAATAGATCAGTATTAAAATTCTAAGCACTCACAAAGAAGCTTTCATCTGACAATGCCTATAGTGAGGTAATTAACCATCTACCTACATGTGAGTATTCAGCCAAGACGTCAGAAAAATCAAATGTATGAAATTTGTTGAGAAGACATTTCTCAGGTATTATTAATTCCTGAAGATTCTGTTAAACTCTAGGACGAATATTTACATGACATTCCTATTCAAGAGACAACCCACCAATTGTACCTCTGATTATTTCTGTTAATTAAAGTTTGAATGTGGAACGGATGTTATGTTTAATAAATATTATATAATAGATAAGAATGTTATACATAATATAAACCCTGTTTTCAAGCACTGCCAAGTTCTTATTAGAAAAAAATAATATTTCTTAATATTTTTCATTGATGGTCGACTCCAGGATCATGAAGAAAAACAAAACAAAACAGAACATTCCTGTTCACTATCACGTATATTTGGAATGAACATATGGCTTACAAATATGATAAGCCACAACTATAACAAATTAGTCAAGTGGTTTTACTAAACACATTAAACCATATTTAAAATAAATAATTTACAATAAAGTACTTATTTAGTTTCTCTAGTAAGCAGGAAGGCAACTGATGTTTATTATGTCTTACATTTTATATGTTATTGCATTTAATAAGCATAATCACCTTATAAAATAAGTGTTTTTCCAATTTATAAATTAAAAAAGAATTTCAGAAGGAAATTTTCCAGGGTAGTTATTATTATTATTATTATTGAAACCAAGTCTTGCTCTGTCGCCAGGCTGGAGTGCAGTTGGGCAATCTCGGCTCACTGCAACCTCCACCTCCTGGGTTCAAGCAATTCTCGTGCCTCAGCCTCCTCAGTAGCTGGGATTACAGGTGCCCACCACCACGCCCAGCTAATTTTTGTATTTTTAGTAGAGACGGGGTTTCACCATGTTGGCCAGGATGGTCTCGATCTCCTGACCTCATGATCTGTCTGCCTTGGCCTCCCAAAGTTCTGGTGTTACAAGTGGAAGCCACCTCGCCCGGCCCGGGGTAATTATTTTTAAGTGACAAAAACATTTACAACCAAAAGTAGTTATCCTCTAGTTTATCCTGCTGTTGATGTTAGATCATACTTTAATATATTTTATATCCCCAATCAATAAATGTTATCTTATGAAAGTAAGTAACTAAAAGTCTTGGCTATTGAAACTCTAAATTTTTTGAGCCTTAAAGTCTCATAATAGACCTCTATAACCAAGGAAGCTGTAAACTTTGTCTGATTACAGATTAATCTTTCTCCCTTATCTGTATCATCTTGTAAGATGTAAATGACTGAAGGGCACCAGGGAAGGCCCCCTTCCTTCTACATTTTTTACCTTCATAACAGATTAATCTCCCTCTTAACGTTTCTCACAGGAAGACTTCATGGCTATCACATTGTCTTAAGGTGAACTGTTAAATACATTCTTTAAACTGGAAAGAGAATGACAACCAGCTGTAAAGAAAGGAAAACAAGTGGTAGAGAACAGAAAATGAACTGTAACTAATTTGTTGCAACTTTTAAACCAGCCATGGCTAGGAAATCATGTAGTCCTGTTAAACTTCTTTGTTTTCTGCCGATATAAGCAATAACTTAACTTTTAACTTTTGGGCACTGACCCCATTTTACTGGAGTTTTTATCTCCCAGGTAGCCATTCCCAGGTTTTGCTTGAATTAACTCTTTAAAACTAGATTCTGACCCTTTTTATTATTTCAGTTTGACAACTTGGATGTGTTTTCATTTTCTATGAATTAACATGCTGAGAAATTTTAAAAATTTAGGCTTCATTGTACTAGTCCATTATATGTTGCTATAAAGGAATTACCTGAGACTCGGTAATATATCAAGAAAAGAGATTTAGTTGGTTTATGGTTCCACAGACTGTACAGGAAGCATGATACCACCATCTGCTTCTGCTAAGGCCTCAGAAAGCTTCCAGTCATGGCAGAAGACAAAGGGGGAGCAAGCATGTCACATGGTGAGAGGGGACAGGAAGTAGAGGGAGAAAGGCCATGCTCTTTTAAACAACCAGCTCTCATGTGAATGAATAGAGTGAGAACACCCTCATCACCAAGGGGATGGCAGCAAGCCATTCATGAGAGATCCACCTGGATGACCTGCAGACCTCCCAGTAGGCCCCTTTCCCAACATTGAGGGGTCACATTTCAGCATGAGATCTGGAGGGGACACACATTCAAATCATATCATTCATTCTTTGGAAGATGCATTTCTCTTTTTGGGAAGCTATGCCATCTATCATAAAGCTAAATAAACATTTAATAAAACCATTTAATTTTTAATACAGATACAGTGTATTGTCAGATAGTCTACAGATGAGTGTTTACCAAAATCTCTTCGTAAGTAGTCTGCTTATGAGGAAGAATTTGAATTAAATATAAAATATAGATCGCATTTGATATATACTAAAGAGGGGAACTCTCAATGAGCTCTTGTTAATTTGTTTGCAACTAAACCTTTTGAAGTGTAGAGATTCTTGCCTTAAGTCTGAAAAATTTTTATAGTGTTTTTCATACATACTGTTCAGACATGTGGATGCTAGTGAATGACACTCATATTTCTTGGCTATATCCTGGACCAACTGAGATACAGTGCCTAAGACATGTGGACTCACATAAAACATCAGTTTGATTACAGAGAAAAAAAAATGGGCAGAATTGTCTGGGCTATATGAGGTCTGCAGGCAGGCCCAGAGAGACATCAGTATGAGACTATAATCATGCTCCTGGTACCCATGCCATGGGCAATTGTTTAAAGTCATTTTGTTCCTGACTAGCTGCCTCACCCATTATCTTCATGGTGCTGGAATTTGTGATAAAAAGAATGTAGAGTCAATCAATAGCTTATGTTATTTTAATGTAAATTCTTGTTAAACAACTCAGGAACTGCCTTGTCTCTGCCTTTAAAAATCTGCTTATAACTGCAACTAATTAGAGTGTATATTCAGGGCAACTTGAATCTAGGATCCCTGGTTGCAATTCTCAAGATTGTCTCATGGAAACTCTCTACTTTCCAGGTGTGGTGGCTCACGCCTGTAATCCCACCTCTTTGGGAGGCCAAGGTGGGCGGATCACCAGGTCAGGAGTTCGAGACCAGCCTGGCCAACATGGCGAAACCCCATCTCTTCTAAAAATACAAAAATTAGCTAAGCGTGGTGGCAGACACCTGTAATCCCAGCTACTCGGGAGGCTGAGGCAGGAGAATCATTTGAACCCAGGAGATGGAGGTTGCAGTGAGCCAAGATCGCACCATAGCACTCAAGCCTGGGTAACAGGGCAAGACTCCATCTCAAAAAGAAAAAAACCAAAAAAACAAAAAACAAAACAAAACAAAAAGAAAACTCTCCACTTATATTAATTTTGCCTCAGCCTCCCCCATTTAGGTCAACAGGATTATCTGGCGTAAGTCAACAGGATTCACAGAGACTCCTCCTGAAAACCTTGTGTTTCTCTGAAGTTGGGGCTTGGTACCAGCAGGAATTCTCTGTCCTCAGAAGTCTCATGGGTTGTTTTGGGTGAGTTATCCTGAATTTGGACCTCCCACTCTTTGGTTGAAGGTCTAGACTTTATTTGGACTGTTTTTCCAACCCTGTATTTCCTTTAAGAGTGAGGGCTTCAGTCTCTGTCTTTGAACAGGAGAATGAGGTAAAGATCTCCTCAGAGAACTGCCTCTGTTTCCACCTTGGTCTCACAGCAGAGGTTCAAGTCAAAGGACTGGCAATTAGGCACTGTTGGTTTTATTTTATACAACATTTTTTTAGGACTACAGCTGTCTTCTATAGCTGGAAAATTCAGACTTAGTCTTTAATTTGTGACCCATTCCTGTTAGTTCGTAAATGAAATGTGTACCTTGTTTTTTGCTCTTCTAGACACGTATAATATTGGGGTCTTATCCCTCATACCTTGAGCACTCTGCTACCACTTGGCAGTTAGAGACAGTCTGAGACATGTCACACTTCAACCCAAAATACATTCCCAGCCTTGATTACTTTCCCTAAATTATGGAAAAATCAAGCCTTAAAATCTGAACACTCTTTGTAGAAACATCAGATGGATTTATATATACCACTTATAAGGCAATCTCTTGTAAATATCTAGGAAAGTGGCCCTGCTTAACCTGGACAGTCACAATCAGTAGTAGCCAAAATAGGGATTCTTTGAAATATTTAAAATAATTCATTTGCATGCGTAATTGAAATAAAAAAAGCTGTTTTAGAACCAGGATAACTAAATGACAGACCTACTTCCTGTTTGTCCTGGCTGAAATCCAGTAAGTTGAGATTTGAAATGATTTCTTTTTAGAGCACTATGACCAGAGGTCAGCTTAATTAAAAGTGGATATTTAGAAGATATATATCGATATATATATATATATATCAATATTTAGTATGTAGATAGTATAGATAAATATCTTCCAAATATCAACTTAAAATACATATATTTATTTAAGTAATGAGATAAATGCCAGGATCCCAAAGAAGGCCTTAAATATATTACAGGCCTTCTTAAATATATTATTGGTAAACAACTCAGGAACTGCCTTTTATTTCTTGAAAATTCTACTTGTAACTGCCACTGATCAGAGTGTATATTCATGGCAACTTGAATCTATGGTCCCTGACTGCAATCCTCAAGCTTGGCCCAAAGCTTTATTTTATTTTATTTTATTTTATTTATTTTTTGAGACAGAGTCTCACTTAGTCACCCAAGCTGGAGTGCAGTGGCACCATCACAGCTCACTACAGCCTTGACCTCAGGTGATCCTCCCACCTCAGCTTCCTGAGTAGCTGGAATTATAGACTTGCACCATCATGCCCAGCTAATTTTTGTATTTTTTGTAGAGAAAGGGTTTTACCATCTTGCTCAGGCGGTTCTCGAACTCCTGGACGCAAGTGATTTACCCAACTCAGCCTCCCAAAATTTTGGGATAACAAGCCTGAGCCACTACGCCAGGCGTGATATTTTCTTATTCATAAAAACAACAAGGAAACTGGTCAAAAAAAATAAAAAAAATGAAAATCAATTTTTTCAGATCTCTGGAAATTTGCCAAAAACTTTCAGCAATCTGGTGAGCATGTATTCAATTAAAAAAAAAAAGCTGAATTAAAAAAAGAACAACTAGCTTTGTGATGTTTTAACTTATCCTCATCCCAACTTCCCCTTCTCACCTCTGGTTACTTTGAAAGAAATCAATGGATCACAAGCACAGTAAAAGCCAGTCACCTGGCATCCACTAGAGGTTATAAAATTGGATTAGAGCCCCTTCAAAACCGCATTTTAAGAGATTTTAAAAACTATTTTATGTGTCTAGTGTTCTCTGGAAACTCAATTCACAAAGCTGGCTTTATTTAAACTGTCTGAGACTTTTCTAGTGCTAACAAGCTGGCCGCAATGTGGCAGCTGCCCAAGGTGGTGAATAACAAGAGGGGGAACAATAGGCTAACCAACATGTTTAGAAGAAATACATAGGGAATTGAGTGTAAGAATCACTGACTGCTCTGGGACTCAACCAACTGGAAGTCTCTCCTGGTGGACAGAGTCCATGAATGTAATTAAACAGTCTATGCAGAGTTGGGGATGAGTATGGCAGAGGAGAAGACTCTTGCTTTCATGGACAAAATAGCCCCAGTGTTGCATCCCATGCCCCCTCCTCCAGATGTTCAGTTGACCCCATTGCCAGAATCTTTGATAGGAGATCGTTGATATTTAGGAAGGTGTTTTATTTCTTCAGTGACAGAGTCCAGTTGCAGTAATTCATCAGGTCTAAATTAGTAAGGTTAGGACACCTGGGATAGTAGAAATTTCTATGGCTAGAGAGATGTCCATTTGTGATATACAGTGACATAGTTATAAGATGTTTTCCTGCAGGATTAGGCAAAGGTGGCATCCAATAGTTCATCAGATTCAGGGTGGTGGTAACTGTCTAGAATAGGCAGACCAAGAAATCTGGCAAGACACAAGTCACCTGGGCTACCTGTCCTGTCGGAGAGAGATAAGAAATGCTTGATTTATTCTTTTCCCTCAGAAGTGAGCTCTTCAGTAGGAATGTGCTCGTACCCTATCAGCTGGTTGGGATGGGGATTTTCCCCACTGACTGTGACGTGGGCAGTCTGTCCTGTACCATTTGTAATGAGAGAACCCTTGACCTAACCTCCAGGGTGGCAAATTCATGTAATTAGGCTTACATTCTCTTATGTATTGCACGGTAAAACTTTCTGTTTTATATGTTTTCCCCATGGGGCTATACTGGGTAAAGTGGAAGGGCCACATTAAGGAAAATGCTTAACTAGGGCTTTTCAATATACTTACAGTAGTTTAAATTTTTGATTACACAGCCTATTCTAAATAGCAAGGGGCCTCAAATTGATGGTCTTTATTTTTGTGGTCCTTGTAGATAAAAACCTATGCCATGCACCTGGGGGTAAATGAAGAAGGAGTTCATTGTCTCCCACCTTGTAGACAAAAACCTATGCCTTGCAACTGGGGGATAAATACAGGAGTTCATTGTATTGCTTTTTAATGTCCATCTTGATCTCCCTTTGATTTGAGTCTTCAGCAAGGGGCCAAAGATGATAGAAAGTCCTTACAGAGTACCCAATGGAGACTGAGATGTCAATAATTGTAAAAGAATGATGTACAAAATGAGGAACAGGGACGACAGCCTGATCAAACAAGGGGCACAAATAAGAACAACCTTTTCAGGGAATCCCTGCATTGAGATACAAGGATGCTAGCTTGAGATGTGTAGTTCAGGCCATGGTTATCTCATTTCCTCTTATCAGCAGCTTCAAGCCTGCCCTTCAATTTTTCATTAAAATGTTTAACTATACTTTTTGCTTGAGGATAATATGGAGCATGTAGAATTCATGGTATAGCCCATGATTGGGTCCAGTGTTGTGTAGCTTGAGCTGCAAATCTAGGGCCATTATCAGATAATCATTTGCTCAGGGAACCTGAATAGGAAATAAATTTGACCCTCTAGGACCTGGATAATTTGGCCCCAGTCAGAGGACTATAGAGGACTGACTATGTCAATTCTGGAAAATTTGTCAGTTGCAGTCAAGATGCAGTGAAATCCTCTGGATGGGATTCAGGGCCCAACAAGATCTATCTGTGAAGAATTCCCTGGCCCCCTGGTTGAAGTCATTTTTTCCTTGGACTGTATCTTTAGCTTTAGCTAGGTTTTCCAGGTGGGACTGGTTTTTCATGCTAGTTCAGCATCTTCTGATGACAGTATCAGTCTGTGCATGTACGCATAGCCTAGGACATTGTCAGAATATCCATGGCCGCTCTCTCACAGATCTAGCAGGTATGGCTCTAAAGGTGTACTGCAACCCATTGCACATACAGCCAAATTGATCTTAATCATTTAAGTGCAGAGAGATGTCAAAATAGTGCATTTGCAATATCAGTGGCTGCATACCAAGTTCTCTCAGTTTGGGCAAAACCTCTATAGAGTCAAAATATCAAGTGCTGCCAGTGCTAAGGGTAGGAGAATAATGTTGAACTGCTAAAATCAGTGGTGGGTCTCCAGCTACTCATAGGCCAGACAGGACTGTGGAATGGAGACTAAAGTAGATAAAAGGTAATTTCATATCTGAAGCACTTGAGTAAATTATTATTATAATTTATATTACATTAATTGTGTATGACTATGTTTTATCCCAATTTAATCATTCATATCTTATTGTTATTTTAAATCAATGAAAACCCCTCTGATGTTAATGATAAGCTTTCAGTTTGAACTTTAAGAGTAAGTTATTTCTCTTTCTGGGAATAAAGTGGTGGACATTTGAGTTGGGTTAATTTAATCTGTAATGAATGTGCTCATCCTGGAAGATACAGAGATATTTATACAACACAGCAGCAAACTAAGGAGCTGAGAAAGAAGATGTGCTTCTATAAGGTCATAGTGCACAACCAAATAAAATTAAGAGTGAACATTATTATTAAAATTTCCCTAGTGAAAGTGACACCTTTCTCGGATCAGCAAAAGTAAGTATTTTTTTAAATATATGAGAATTTTTGGTGACTTATTGTTAGATTGAAATCTGTTTGTCAATATAACAACCTACTAGCCAACCAAACCACAAATTTAGATATTTACTCCTTGCTAATTAAAGGGATATACATATATATGTATATGTAGATATATACAGATAGATATATATGTATATGAGATATATATGTATACATATATACATATATGTGTGTGTATATATATATCACTCTCATATACATTCACATTCACACTCTAACATATTCATAATCACACAACTCACACCCACAAAAACGTAATCATACTTATAAATACAAACTTAACAGTCAAATATTCACACAGATATACACATGCCTATGTCTTGTGTGGAAGTAATCTGAATAAGAATTACTGAAAAGTTAGATTATTATTGAAAATATGCTTATTTACAAAATATTGGTTTTTTTCTATAAAAAGCTACAATATAGAATTTCATATATGGAAAGAAGTTAAGGAAGATTTCTTAAGGGATTTTTTCAATATACTTACAGTGGTTTAAATTTTTTATTACACGGCCTATTCTAAATAGCAGGAGGTCAAATATACAAAGAATGAAATAGAAAAAAAAGTACCTTGAGAGATAAATGATAATACTTCTAACTGCAGGTATTTATTTTTCAGAGGTTTTTTTTGGCCTAATGTACAGCTAGGTAAGAGGCATACTGATTTGTTTAATGACGTAATCTTTTATGTAAAGTAAACTCTAATAGTCAAATTTTACGACAACATTTAAAATCAATAAATATTTAATCCTTTCAGATACCTCATTCAATTTCTCTCATAGAAACATATTTGCTTCTAAGAGGGTTTTTATTTGAAGCATACCTTAAGAAGGTATATAAACAATACATAAAGTACAAAAGTTAGAAAAATATACAGCCTGTTTAGATAATAAAGGCATGATAAAGTAGTAAGCTCTGTGTTATAGCTACATCAGAAAATATTGATTAAGATGAAAAAACATTTACTCTGATTTAAAACAAGAACAGATGTGACAGACATGTTGTTACTGGAACAACTGTTACTAAACACAAAACTATTTGCTTTGGCAATTTTTAATGTATGAGGGGAAAAATACTGGTTATAAAGAAACACCATATTGAAATAATCAAACACAAAGACAAGTAAAAAGGAAGTAAATATCAAAGTGGAAGAAAATTTCAGAATGTTTAAAAACACTTTCAGGCCAGGCACGGTGGCTCACGCCTGTAATCCCAGCACTTTCGGAGGCCAAGGCAGGGGGATCACCTGAAGTCAGGAGTTCAAGACCAGCCTGGCCAACACGGCAAAACCCTGTCTCTACTGAAAATACAAAAATTAGCTGGGTGTGGTGGTGCACGCCTATAATCCCAGCTACTCATAGGCTGAGGCAGGAGAATCACTTGAACTTGGGGACGGAGGTTACAGTGACTGAGATTGCACCACTTCACTCCAGCCTGGGTAGAAGAGCGAAACTACATCTCAAAAAAAAAAAAAAAATCAAATCTAGTTTACTTTAATAAAACTCAGTATTTATTGATGTAAGAAAAATGACACAGTGAAGACTGCTTCTAGGGACTGTAAGTAGAACATCACACCCAAATGGCCCAAGCCAGTGGTCAACGATAAGAGCTTAGAGGCATCTCTCCCACCTGGCAGACTGGGCTTTCCCATCACTTCCTTTTCATGGACCGTTCAGGCATTTGCCTGGGAACTTCGAGTGACCTGCACCCTGCCATATACTGCTAGTTGCCATGGGCATTTTCTGTCTTTTCGTTCTCTGCCTGACTTTTCATGCCTGCCTCATGTGACCCGTGGATAGAGGACTATCTTTCTTATAATTATGCCCTCTCTGCCCAAGATCGGTAAGTAAAAATCTTTGAATTTGCTTCCTATTGTGGTGGTGTATTGAATTTGTGCCTTCCATCTGAACAACCTGGGGATACCCCAAGCTGAATTTTCCCTGGACTTACAGATTGAGGAGACAAGATAAGGCTCCTCATGCCAGAGCCATGGTCAGGCAGGCATAAACTGGTTATGGGTAGACAAACCTGTAAACATGTCTGCCGATATAAACAAGCTACCTGGTCAAGGACCCACTGGTCACTAGTTACACTACTAGGCATTAGACTGTCCATTTGATAAAAAAAAAAAAATTATCCCACACAAGGCACACAGTAAAACACTCATATCTAGTTCTTTATTTTCTGTCAGGGCAGGTTGCCAGCCACTCTGGTACCGGAACCCCAATTTGGCTGGGTGCTCTCAAAACAACTGAGTACTGAGATAATTTGTGAGAGGCAAATGAAATCACCATCAGTATAATTCTGACTTCAAGTAGCTTGCTGTTGGGAAAGAAGTTCCATGTGAGTTTCCTAATGATAATAACAAGAGAGCAATTAGAGAATTTGAGAGCGACAGAATCCTAGAGGGCTTCCTCCATAGCTAAAGACCACATTTTAAAGGATCTGGAAGACCTCCAGAAGGGACTAGAAAACTATGGAGGGTCTGAGATCTTATGCTACTTGCAAGTTAACAAGTGGGCCTGTCACAGTTTTATATACATATACTGAGAAAAACTAAGAAATCTGGGTCACGGTTATAACTCATGATAAAAGCATCAAACAGAGCTATATCTTCTTGCACTTGTTTCCTGTCCCAATTTCCACACAGTGACCCAGTGAAGAACAAATGACATCCACATATGCAGTGGGGTGCATAAGAGAAGAGGAACTCAGAAATTAGGAAAGCTAGCAGTCTGTTCATATTTTCCTCTAATGAGAGAGTGAGTCTTTATATTTACTCTGAGAGGTAAACAAGGATATTTTATTGTCTTGGAAAGGTTGCTGGTAGACATTGTCTATCTTTGTTCTGCTGATCATGAAGCAAATGTCCTCTAATCTGGAAGAAGACACTATATCTAGCTTCCAAGAAAGATTTTCCATACCCTTTGCTCACTGGAGCCAGGCCATGTACAAACATGAAATATTCATAAAGTATTGTCTCCCAAAATAGAAGTTGAATTGGCTAAAAAAATTGGAAAGCATCTTCAGATGGAAGATATCCTTTGAATTAAAATATTCAGTAATGCAAGACAGAAATGCATCTATTCAATCATATAATGTTGGTTTACTCAACTGGGTTAGCTAATAGAAGAAAACAAGAGGTAGCTGGAATGTGCAGAGGTAAGAATAGAAGGATTTATGCTTTTACTAACGATTCTGTCTTCGACTGATGGCTCTTCTATTTCATATGGTTTCAGATATGATTACATTGAATATGGGCTGCTGGTAAACATCAGGTACAAATGTCTAAATGTCTGGTATGAATTGAAAATGTCAGTCTGCAGTTTGAATAAAAATTAAGATTAAGAGACACAATTAAAATCTTTCACGTAGGAGCTATAATTTTGTATCCTGTAGTTGATCATGAGGTTCTTGAGGCAAAAATTATATATATATCAAGGCCTACTAGATAACATGACATTAAATGGAGACTTGATTGACAATAAAGTTGCTGCTTCTGAGTGATGAAAATGTGTTATTATCAGTGGAATCCATGAGCACAGTGTCATTGCCAGATTCTTTTGCAACACAACATGCTTCCTGAATGTAAAGGACACTGTGTCACACAACAAAGGAAAGGATGAGAGATTATGATGCTGGCAGAAGCCCTGTGGAAAGGGGAGGCATATTCTTATCTGGAATATTTTTCTGTCTCTGTAGGAGGACAGTAATGTTCATCCATGATAAGAGAGGGTCAGTATAATGCAATTGATACCAGGTAGCCCTCTGGCACCCTATCAGAAGCTCGGTGGTGGGTTGTGTTCTTAGAAAATTGTGCATTCATTCAATAGCGTTGGTAGACCAAACAGTCTCCTTCAAGAGAAAAGTTTGTCACTGTTCTCTGATAAAACCTCCATTCCTGCCACAAAAGTCATGTTATTTATGAGAGTCATCTTGCCTGTAATTAAAGCCAAGAGAGTCTTGTCCACAGGGGATGTCTTCTGATGGGCAATTATTATGTGACACAAATATCTACACAATCTGCCTCATCCAAGTGGTCCATCAATATACCTTTTCTCAGACATATTTGCCACCAACTTTTCAGTTTTGTTCTTTCAAATTTCTGTCCAATTAATTATTGGATCTACACTAACTAACAGGCAATGGCTATTTGATGATAGATACTGAAACTAATATTTGGCAAGTCTTTTTAACTCAGTCACTACATTAAAACTTTTCCTGTAATACTATAGTTTACCCTCATAAGTATTCAAAAGGATACAAGAGAAATGATTTTTCATTTTATAGAAGAGAAAATTGAGGCTCAAGATAATCAAATATTTCACTAAGGCCATACATTGAATAGATCGTAGAAAAAGAATTTAAATCAACTTCTGACTCCAAGTCTCATCTTTCTTCTATAACCAACTTTCTTTGAGTGTGTTGAAAACTAACCTATTAAAATTCTTCTTGAGTGTGCATGTGTATATGTGCATGTGTTCTGGTATACACAGAAGCAGGTTTATACATATTAAATGCATTAATAGCATGTCCTTTTGTTGTAGTATCTTTCTGCTGACATCGTTTTTTGGTTCAAATTTTATCTTAGGGAATAAAAAACAATCTAATTTTTCTAATATTTCCTTTTTATTTTAGAATCTGACTGGCTTACATGAGAGTCAAAAATAGAAAAAACAACAAATAAAAAGAAATAAAAATGAGGAATTATAAGTGCAGAGCCAGGGCTAAATGCAACTGTCTAGGTCTAAGATTTGAATGAGTACAAGCCTGTTTTGATCTACAGTTAATCTGTGCACAATTAACTCTAGATTTATTTTCTTTAATTTACCATTGCATGACTGTTACTACTTCCCCAAGTACAGTGAGACAGAACACTCAAACACACAAGTTGTAAGTGGGTTTATTACTCACAGATTGTCAACAACAGACAACAGAAGGATTCTGGGTGAGCTGGTCATCCACAGCTCAGGAAAACTCCCCAGGCAGATGGAGTCTTGTCTACAAATTCCTCACTTGCACCACAGCTGAGGAACCCTGGAGAGCAGCCTCCATGGCTTTTATACTGTATTAGTCCATTCTTGTATTGCTATAAAGAAATACCTGAGACTGGGTAATTTATAAAGAAAAGAGGTTTAATAGGCTCACAGCTCCACAGGCTGTACAGGAAGGGATGTGGATGAGGAGGCCTCAGGAAACTTACAATCATGTTGGAAGGTGAAGCTGGAGCAGGCATTTCTTACATGGCAGGAACAGAAGCAAGAGAGAGAGAAAGAGCAAAGTGGGAGGTGCTACACACCACTCTGGTGCCAAACAACTTGATCTCATGAGAACTCACTCACTATCATGAGAACAGCACCAAAGGGATGGTGTCAAACCATTCACGAGAAACAACTCCTTGATCCAATCACCTCCCAAGAGGCCCCACTTCCAACATTGGGAATTACAATTCGACATGAAATTTGACTGATGACCCAGATCCAAACAGTATCATATACCAAGGGGCAAAACGATACACTGGGCTGAAGCACTGAAAAACATCCTGTTTTGGGAGGGATGGAAACAGCGCATGAGCTGTTCTAATCACTCCCTATCTCAAGATGCTCCCAGCACATTCTACAGTTATTCTTAAGAACTTTAAGTGAGAAAGAGATAAGCACTAGATTGGTCCAAGGCCATCTGGAGAAATGTCCTGTAATAACCACGTTTTTATTAACTAAAAAAAATATATTAATATAGGTGTTCATAATATATACCATATTTATGCCAGGCCAGGAGCAAACATCTGTACACACTCTGAGTTTATGCCCTCAGTGAACTTACAATCATATGTAAAAAGCTTTTAGTAGTAACAAAATACTCTGTGGCTTTTCTGAGTTGTTAATGTATCTACAATAATCAGCAGTAGAAAACTACAGGAATTTATGTTTTGGAGGCTCTTAGTCTTTCTGCAAAATACTAATTTTAGTACCACTTCAAAAATAAAATGAGCATACATGCTCTTCCAGCCAAAATCATATTTAGATCTTCAAAGATGTACTGGTAGGTTGTATTAAGATCTGTTCATCTTCTTGGGACATTTTATCTTTTGGCTATATAGTACTCCATGTAATTCCAGAAGAAAAATCAAGAATTCTCTTTTCTCTAGTTGCCTTCCTGGCAACTTCTCTATACCACTTGCTCTTACCTTCTTTACTTGAAAAAACCTCTACTCAATGTTAAAGTGTCAAGTTAAAAACTCCTTGGCACAGCACAGTAGTCACGCCCTTAACACTTCAGCCTTATATTCTTCCTCTTCTCACCTTGCCTATTTTAAGTTCTAGTAGATGCAATTCATTTGAGGTCACCATTCAGTGTTCTGAAAATTTCATGCTGAAGCCATCTCTTTAATAGGCAAAAATATACTAACTCCTTCCAATATATAAGTGACATGGAGGCAAAATCTCTCTAGTTAAATTAATGAAAATGTGTTGGCCATATAGTGATCATATACCCATAAATGTCACCCAATAGAGCAAATTTATCACAGAAAGTGATGTTGTCTTCTCCAGTTTCCTCCTAATTGCTCTTATCACCCATAATGGCAAACTTCTATGAAAGGTGGAGAAAAATTTCTTTTGCTTATTGCACGGGGTTTTCTTTCTTTGCCATTTCATGTTTTGTAACACCAAATATGATCAATGGGCAACCTTCTAATTACTTCATGCCATACATCAAAACTTTAAAATTACCTAGATATGTTATACCTAAATTGCATAATACTCTAATTCAACTCCCCTCAAAAAATATTTTCTTACCTTAGCAAAAGTGTTCATACAATATTTTTACTTTACTTTTCTAAAACAATAATAAAAAAGAAAAAATCACAGCAAAGCCATTTACCTTATGATATAATACATTAAGCAAATGGTATTAAACACTTTGAGAATGGAGACAGAAAAAGATTCTGACGTTTTCTGTTAGGGTAAGTTTATTCCAATCCTGCCTGAATATTAGCTATCCTTATGATCACTTTTACATTTTTACAGATCATACCTCTTCACACTTAAGTTGTTAATATTCCTTTTAGACCCTGTTCTTTCATATACAATTTTCCTTCAGCACAGACTGAAATTCTCCTATATTTTGCTCCTTTCCCTTCAAAATATGTGTTCATCAT
The DNA here is from genome assembly GCF_000001405.40 of Homo sapiens. NCBI lineage: Eukaryota > Metazoa > Chordata > Mammalia > Primates > Hominidae > Homo > Homo sapiens. The sequence continues at coordinate 161,326,415 of NC_000004.12, read as the reverse complement.
CTTTTAGATTCAGATTCAATCACATCCTCATAAAACCTTATTTTCTCACAGGTTAATTTGGTCTTACAACTAATATTTCTGGGTTATCAAATATGTGACAGGCATTGTACTACATCTTGAGGATATAAATACAAATAATGCAGACTGTGTACTAAAGGAGCAAGGAAATAGTAATCATAATGCCATATGCTAAATTCAGTGGCAGGCTCAATATGAGACAGACACAGAAAAAAGTAAAAAAAAAAAACTTACTCTTTCTCTATCAAACAATATTTTAATAACTTGTCTAAATCTCTTTGCTGTCTTATGGCACAAGTAATATCTTACTCATATTTATGTGCCCAGCTTTACACAACTGTTAATGAATAAAGATGTGCTTAATAAAAAAGGAAATGAAAACTGTATCAGTGGAGGTCCTGGAAGAGCATCAGGATTACTTATGAAAGATACTGCAGAGAAGACCTTTGTAAAGAATAGATTTAAAATGAGGTGATCTCTGGATTTTTACAATTGTAACAATATATGGTCCCATTTCAGAATTAACCTTTTCCAGGTTCATTTTAATTGCCTACATTGAAAATTGTCTGACAACTTTTGTGCATCAAGGTGTAGTTTATCAGACCTCCAAAAATATTCTCAAAGCTTATAATTGCCTTAGGAGTAGTAAAAAATACAAAAGTCATTAGAAATGTTGCCTTTATAAGGTTTGTCACTATATGTTTGGAACTAGAAGAGTAAACAAAGGTAGATTGTAGTTAATGCCAGCTGTGGTTTGAATGTGTCCCCCAAGAGCATGTGTGGGAAACTTAATCTCAAATGCAACAGTGTTGGAAGGTGTGGCCTAATGAGAGGTGATTAGGCATGAGGGTATAGTGAATGGATTCAGGCTCTTATTAAGACAATAGCTTCCTTAAAACGGAAAAGTTTGCCTTCCTTTTTTGCCTCTCCCTCTCTTTCACACTGTTTTGCTCTTCTGCCCTCTACTATGAAACAATGAGTCAAGAAGGCCCTTGCCAAGTGGCAGCCCCTTTATCTGAGAATTCCAAACCTCTAAAATGTCAGCTAATATATTTCTATTCATTGTAATTTACTTAGTTTCAGGTATTCTGTTATGGCAGCACAAAAGGGACTAAAAACATTGCCTCTCACTGAAACCCTCTCTCAAAAATCTTTGCATGGTAGAAGTTAATCTATTGTCAAGTAGCTCAAAAGTTATCTCTTTCATAATATATTTTCAGAGATTTCAATCTTATTTGATCTGAGTTTTCTGTGTTATCAGTACAAATTATAGGAGATGCTATAGATTATAAACACGCTCAATATAAATGTATTTTACTAAGTGTGCTGTTCCCATATCTATCTTCTGCTACAATGGAAGCTTCTTGAGTACAGGTCTAATTTGGTTGGGTTTCCCTCTCTCCAATAATTTCTCATATAGGTATATATATTTGGGAGTAAAACAGTTATATAATGTATTCAGTACAGAATAATATGTATCCTCACTTAAAGTGATATTCATACCATCTCAGGAAAGACAACACTAAATATGAAAATAAAAACAACCATAATAATGAAAATGCTGAATGTTATTAACAAAGTCACAGATTCAAGAAACAAATATATGGAGGGTGTCCATCAGCAAAAAAGTAGACTTTAGAATGGGAAGAAATTGTCATGATGATATTATTTCACTCAACTCCACTAGCGCTCGCTGTCACTTGAAAAATGAGATTCAGCAAAGAAGAAAGTCCTCAACAAAATCACTCAACATGGTTAGCCCTTGGACCTATGTCTTTTCATTCTACACTGATTTTTTTTCTATTATACGAAATCAAGTTTGAGAGAAGACATAAAAGAACTATTACTCTATAGCTTATGTAGTAAATAATAGCTGGTGCCCAAATGAAAAATGAATGTTTACAACATTGGTAAGGAAAACATTAGTGGATGAATATTTAATAGTAGTTTATTAATTTATAATAGGGCTATTCGGGCATCATTTTAACTTCAGAATTTAGCAATATCTTATAAATACAAAATTTATAATTGTAACACAAAAATTGATGTATTATTATTCTAAATGTAATACAGTCATCTTTAAAATGTGTGGTATATTTCCGAATGTATAATTCAAAGACAGAAAGAATTGGAAAGAAATTTTGTAGTGAAAAGTAAGAAAACTATATTGATGATTGTAGTTCTCAAAGCAATAAGTTTCAATTATTATGCCTTGAAGTTAAATATGAACAAAGTACAAAGTGTGACATACAGCTTTCTAACTTCCATATTTTATTTTAAAATATAGTAAACATTCATAATATTCATACTTTATACTAGTTTTTAAAGCTACAATAGTTATTTGCTGAATCTCATATAATCCTGCAATCTTATATAATCAGACACAGTGTTTATATACTATCATTTCTAAAAATTGGACTTACTAAAAATGTGCAAATTATAGGTAACTCTACTGATGAGATATAAATAGTTATCTATCTTCCATATAGAGATCTCTTGTCATTCATGAGAAATAGAGGTTATAGAAATTTCCATGAAAGATAGAACTGAGAAATGTCATTATTTAAGTACATATTATAGATGGAGGATCCCCAAACACAGAAATACAGTACTTGAAAAGCATATTTTGATAATATTATATATATAATGATGACTACTAAAGAAATAAATAAGTTGAGAAATATTGTAGGACCACATAAAATAAATAAACGTTAATAGTAAAACCTTTCTCCAGTATTTTGAAAGAGAGCATTCAGACAATGACAGAGTCAGTACAGTTCTGCCTAAACTATCTGAAAATATTAATATAGCCACATTACATAGGATATATTGTATTTAAACTCTTAAATAAGTTTTCACAGTGATATTAAATAGATCTGTGTATGATAAGACAAAATTAATTGATGTACTAAGCATAATTTCAGTGCTGTGTGTGGATAGTTTATTTCATGACATATAATTCAAATATGTATAAGACTATTTTTACTTTCCTTTAATTACTAGATTTCAAATCAAAATACTTGTTAGCATTTGCTGCAATGGAAAGTTCACTATTTTTCTCCATTCCCTTAATGTCTTTTAATATGAGGATTTTATAAACATATATACTGTACCACCACATTTACCAAGTGTCTTAACCTGTTCCTGATGCTATAACAGAATACCACAGAATTTATAATTTATAAATAGTAGAAATTTATTTATCCATCTCTGGAGGCTACGAAGTACAAGATCAAGGCACCAGTAGATTCTATGTCTGACGAGGGCTACTCTTTACTTCCAAGATTGTACATTCCTGCTGCTTCTTCACATGGCAGAAGAGATGGGAGGTCCAGCAGTTCTCCAAACCCTCTTTTTAATGGCATTAATTCCATTTTTGAGGTCAGAGCCAAGAGACCACACTTGCCAAGAGACCCCACCTCTTAAAACTATCACCTTGAAGTTTAAGTTCCAGCATATGAATTTTGCAGAAACACATTCAAACCATAATACCAAGTATATCTAGTCAGTAGCCTTGTTCATTTTAATTCTCATCTCACAGGATAGAAAGAAAAAAAATCCTGCACTTCCATTGATTTGCCCTGGAAGCTATTATATGTAAAAATAAACAAATCCACATCACAGTCATAGTAGATCATCCTGAACTAGAGTTTAAGAGATAACATGGATGCTGGTTGGAATGGTACAGTGTGGGTGGTAAAGCTAGCATATTTCAGGGCTGATAGTAGTAAATAACATTCGCTGGTGATATTTAATGTCTCCAGCAGTACAACTGCAAATAGTTAGGAATAATTTTATACTGCTACATTTTAAAAGCTGTGTTTTGGTAATCTTTGATATTTTCAATGATTTAAGGACAGAGGAATGAGTAATACAGTATTAAATTTAGACGCAAACTATTTCAGTTACATGCATTTATAATGTTGATTTTGAGCATGTCAAAAATATTGCTTTACAACATAACATATTGTGGTAAGTTTTTACGTTGTTCTCTATGCCCTTGGTGTACCCATTTCTGGTGCATATTTATTTTCAGTCAAGATCAATTTCTGAGTTTCAGAGAAGCTATAAAATAATTCTGCTTAGCACTTCCACAGTACTAATATGTAATTCTTCTTAATACATCCAAAACTTAATTCCAACTTCTATTTTCTCTAATTCAATAAGTAACATCATGCCAGAAGCCAGAAGATCTTAATTAGTTACATCCCATTGTGAGCATATTTATCCATCAATCATGAAATGAATAACCTTATCCTATTGATATTTCCTCCAACTCTTGAATATGGCTGCTTTTCTTTTTATCAAATATTCTTATCTTACTTCAGACACAAATTCTCCTGCATACAAACTTTTCACATTTTTTTTGTATCCTGAATTCAGACTCAATTCATTGTGTTTGTTTATTCAGGCTGCAGTAACAGAATACCATTGTCTGAGTCAATTATAAACAAAAGAAACTTATTTCTCAAAGTTCTGGGAGGCTGGGAAGTCCAAGATCAAGGTGCTAGCAGATTGATTATCTGCTGAAGGCCAGCTTCCTGGTCCCTAAAGGCCATCTTTTTTTCGCTGTGTCCTCACAGAGTGGGAGCAGCAGGGAAACTCTCTGGAGTTTCTTTTATAAGGGCACTAGACTGATCTAATCACATTCCAAAAGCCCTGCCTCCAAATACATCCCATTGAGTGTTAGGATTTCAACATAAGAATTTGGGAGAGACCTAAGCATTCAGTCTATAACACACATTTTGATCCACTGCAAAATAGGTTTACTATGTCCTGGTTTCTGGCTTGTCTGAGTTCAGTGAGACAGACACACTCACATGCAACAAGTTATATGAAGCCTGTTTATTTCTTACAGATAGGGCTGTAAGGGACAAAATCATCTTAGGATCCATTGTGAGCTGGTCCCCCAAGGCTCCAGAAACATTCCCAGTGTAAATAGAGTTTGTCACACGTATTGCATATGACACTCCAGCCATAGATGCTCAATCTCCACCAGTGTCCAGCAGTGAGCAAGGAGTTAATTTTCAAAAGGGGTATATCTTCTGGCTGCCTCAGGCAATTTATGTGTTTAAATTCAAGAGGCTTGTGCACCCCACTGGAAGTTTTGTGTTGCCACAGACTCTAACCTGCAGGCATGGAGATTGCAGACATCTGTAATTTTATTGGGTTAGCAGCCTCTAAAATTTTAAAGGTAGTACTGGAACCACGACTTGTTGAATGCTTTCAAGACATGCTGCTGCAAAGAGCCTCATCCAAAGTTGGTGGTGTTGCTGGTAATCCTGACAAAAGGGACAAAAGGAACACTCAAGTGAAGTATATGCTGGGGCCAGTACCCAAAGGGGCTTTCCAGCTGTAGGACCTCCCTTTTATTAGTGAATGCTGCCAGAGTTAGCCATAGTTAAACATTTTATTTGATTGTATCTGGAAGATTTTTGGCTTCCCATCCACATAGCCTTGGCATTCAGTCTGAAACAATCCATTGTCAGTCTCCACGACCTGAAGACCTTTTTGACTAGCCAAAGTGTGCTGTTATGCTATGACAGAGTAATTTGTATCGAGTCCCGAGTTAACAAAGTAATGTCTTTTTCTCCACTTAATATGCAGTACTACTTTTGTTGAATAACCCTTTGAGTAATTTAGATAGAAGACAGGAGTGGATTTTTTCCCTGCTGTTACGACTCAAATTCTTACTTGTTAGGGGGCATTCAGGCGGCAGTGATGTTCTGTGCCACCAGTAGCCAAAATGTCAATGCTGATAATGCACTCAGCAGTGGGAACACATGGTCATTGTCACCTGAAATGGCCTAAAGGGCTCCACCTGCTGGCAGATAAGGACCACAAGGCAGTAAATATCATGGGTCGCATGTTCGTCCCAAAACCTCCAGATGTCATCATTTAATTTTTTCTCAAAGGGGACCTAGTATAGTGTCATATGGATTCCCATGTATAAGAACCACAGAAAAGTCTCAATTTCTCTCCTTTTCCCTTTTCCCTTGACAAGAATATATGGTCCCCACCAGGGATGGGGTTCATGGAAGACAATTTTTCTACAGACTGGAGCGGGGGAGATTGTTTTGGGATAATTAAACACATTACATTTATTATGCACTTTATTTTTATTATTACCTCATTGATTGGCTGTGTCCACACCCAAATCTCATCTTGGATTGTAGCTACCATAATTCTCTCCTGTTGTGGGAGGGATGCAGTGGGAGATAATTGAATCATGGGAGAAGTTCCCCCCATACCATTCTTGTAATAGTGAATAAGTATCATAAGATCTGATGGTTTTATAAGGGGAAACCTCTTTCTTTTGGTTCTCATTCTCTCCTCTCGTCTGCCACCGTGTGAGATGTGCCTTTCGCCTTCTGCGATGATTGTGAGACCTCCCTAACCACGTGGAAATGTAAGTCCATTAAACCTCTTTCTTTTGTAAATTGCCCAGTCTTGGTTATATCTTTATTAGCAGCTTGAAGACAGAGGAATACACTTGCAATATATAATGAGATAATTATGTAACTCACCATAATGTAGGTTCAGTGGAAGCCCTGAGCTTGTTTTCCCATAACTAGATGGTCCCATCTGGGGGTGATGGGAGACAGTGACAGATACTCAGGCATTAGATCCTTATGAGGAATCTGCAATCTCCCTCACACATACAAATCACAACAGGGTTCACACTCCTATGAGAATCTAATTCTGCTGCTGATCTGATAGGAGACAGACTTTAAGGCGGTAATGCAAGCAGTGGGGAGCAGGCATAAAGTTGAACTTTTGCTCACTCACCTGCCGCTCTCTCACTTCCTGCTGTGTGGCCCAGTTTCTAACAGGCCATGGAACAGTTCCTGGCCCAGGGACTGGGGACCCCTGGTATAGCCTATTGCTCCTAGGCTGCAAATCGGTACAGCATGTTACTGTACTCAATACTGTAGGCAATTGTAACACAGAGGGAAGTATTTGTGCATCCAAACATATCTAAACAGAAAAGGTACAGTAAAAATATGGTATAAAAGATTGAAAATGGTAAACTTGTATAGGGCACTTTCTGTGAATAGAGCTTGTAGGACTAGAAGTTGCTGTGGATATGTCAGTGAGTAAGTGGAGAGTAAGTGTGAAGGCCTAGGACATCACTGTGCACTACTGCAGACTTTAAAACACTGGACACTTAGTTTGTATTAAATTAATGAACAATAGTTTTTCCTTTCTTCAATAATAAATTAACCTTCACTGACTGTAACATTTCCTTTACTTCATACACTTTTTAAGTTTTTTAAATTTTTGACTGTTCTTGTAACACTTAGCTTAAAACATAATCACATAAAAGCAATGGCAACAAAAGCAAAAATTGAGAAATGGGATCTAATTAAACTAAAGAGCTTCTGCACAGCAAAAGAAACTACCATCAGAGTGAACAGGCAACCTACAGAATGGGAGAAAATTTTTGCAATCTACTCATCTGACAAAGGGCTAATATCCAGAATCTACAATGAATTCAAACAAATTTACCAGAAAAAAACAAACAACCCCATCAAAAAGCGGGCAAAGGATATGAACAGACACTTCTCAAAAGAAGACATTTATACAGCCAAAAGACACATGAAAAAATGCTCATCATCACTGGCCATCAGAGAAATGCAAATCAAAACCACAATAAGATACCATCTCACACCAGTTAGAATGGCAATCATTAAAAAGTCAGGAAACAACAGGTGCTGGAGAGGATGTGGAGAAATAGGAACACTTTTACACTGTTGGTGGGACTGTAAACTAGTTCAACCATTGTGGAAGTCAGTGTGGCGATTCCTCAGGGACCTAGAACTAGAAATACCATTTGACCCAGCCATCCCATTACTGGGTGTATACCCAAAGGATTATAAATCATGCTGCTATAAAGACACATGCACACGTATGTTTATTGCGGCATTATTCACAATAGCAAAGACTTGGAACAAACCCAAATGTCCAACAATGATAGGCTGGATTAAGAAAATGTGGCACATATACACCATGGAATACTATGCAGCCATGAAAATGATGAGTTCATGTCCTTTGTAGGGACATGGATGAAGCTGGAAACCATCATTCTCAGCAAACTATCGCAAGGACAAAAAAACAAACACCGCGTGTTCTCACTCATAGGTGGGAATTGAACAATGAGAACACATGGACACAGGAAGGGGAACATCACACACCAGGGCCTGTTGTGAGGTGGGGGATGGGGGAGGGATAAAATTAGGAGATATACCTAATGTTAAATGACGAGTTAATGGGTGCAGCACACCAACGTGGCACATGTATACATATGTAACAAACCTGCACATTGTGCACGTGTACCCTAAAACTTAAAGTATAATAAAAAAAAAACATAATCACATTGTATATTGTACAGCTATACAAAAAGATTTTCTCCCTTTATATCCTTATTCTGTAAGTTTTTTTCTATTTTTAATCTTGTTTTTTTAGTTTTTTGTTAAAACTAAGACACATTAGCTTAGGCCTCCACAGGGTCAGGATCATCAATATCACTGTCTTCGCCTCCACATCTCACTCCACTGGAAGGTCTACTTGCCCCACTGGCAGTAACACCCATGGAGCTGTCTTCTCCTTCTTTTGGAATGCCTCCTGAATGACCTGCCTGAGGGTCTATTACTATAATATTTTCTTTAAAAAATAATTAGGAGTATACTAAAAAAAAAATTAAAAAGCATTGCATCACAAGTAAGTAAACCAGCAACATTGTCATTTATTATCAATACCAACAGTACATAATTTTATGTGCCATACTCTTTTTTTGAGATGGAGTTTTGCTCTTGTCGCCCAGGCTGGAGTTGCAATGGTGCGATCTCGACTCACTGCAACCTCCGCCTCCCAGGTTCAAGCAATTCTCCTGCCTCAGCCTCTTGAGTAGCTGGGATTACAGATGCCCGCCACCTGGCCTGACTAATTTGTTTTTCTTTTTGTATTTTTAATACAGACCAGATTTCACCATGTTGGCCAGGCTGGTCTCGAACTCCTAACCTCAGGTGATCTGCCCGCCTCAGCCTCCTAAAGTGCTGGGATTACAGGCGTGAACCACCATGCCTGACTATGTGCTATACTTTTATACAACCGGCAGCACAGTAGGTTTGTTTACACCAGCATCATTACAAATGTGTGATAATGTATTGCACTATGATGATATTATGATGGCTATGATGTCATCACTAGGGGCCAGAAATTTTTCATCTCTATTACAATCTTATGGGACCACCATCATTTATATGGTCTGTTAATCACCAAAACATCATTATGTGGTGCATTACTGCATTTACCTAAGTTCTTCTGGACCATAAGTTTCTTCAAGACAAGATTATTGTCTTATTCACTGGTTTATCTCCAGTAGTAGCTCAGCATCACACATAAATGGTTACTCAGAGCTATTTGTTTAATTGAGTGAATTAAATTGAGATGATCTGTGAAATAACAAACTGATTAAACCTATAAATAAGAGGCAGATGTACAAATTATATGATATACGCATAAATTATATCATATTGTTATGTGACCTATGTCTACTCGATAAAATAAAGCTAGAAGATTGCAAGTAAACTCAAATATTTCTAAAGGTTTATTTTAAACAAGAATTACATTTTGTTATGGATTAATTTATTTTTTGAATCCTATAAAGACTAATATGCATGTTTCTCTGAGTGATGATTCAAAGAGCAAGGAAATACCATCTTTTAGGTCCATCATCTTCATCATGTGGTTTTTAAAGTTGCTATGCTTATCTAATTCAGCTGGCAGGGAAGAAAAATCATGAAGAGTATACATAGGAAGTTTTTAAAAGCCAGTCCTAGGAGCTGTTCACATCAATTCTGCTTATAGTCTATTATCTGTAATATAATTACATCCAAATGCCAAGGGGACCAGCATATACACAGTAGCTGGATCTCCAAGAAGAGGAGGTAGTTTTAGTAAACACATATCTTGTCTCAGCAACGGTCAACCAATCTAGTATTTTCAGATAAGATAAACCAAAGTCCTGTCCAATTGCTGCACTCAACTCAGCGTTCAAGATCTCTAGGTCATTCACTTGATGTCAATGGATCCCTTATTGTCTGATAACCCGTAAACCAAAAGACATTTTGTCTATCTCCTTATATGTCTCATTTTATATCTGTGCACTTCCACAGAGGAGAAGGGGATGAATAACCTTGACAAAAAGCCCCACTTGGCAAAGTGGAGAATGAGAAACACACCGAAATCACTTTTCCAGAATAATAATAAAATGTTGGAGTCCAGACATTATAGGAACTTCTACTTTGCTGGAGAAACACCTTAATCAGACCATCCTAATTTTCCCTCTTCATGCATTGTTCTTTGACTTCTTGTTTTGTCTTCTCAGATACTCCTTCTTGTTTGTTACCCTCTATAGGCATATCTGAAGTGAGTGTACTTTGGAAGGAAAACGATCAGTTTGGTGGAGTATAGTCTTTATCATGCTCTTCTTACTTGTGCAACTCTAAACACAAAGGATTGAAGTAAAAACGTCCAAGTGTTTCTTATACTTGATTCGTTGCTTCTTTGACAAAATAATTCCCTCAAAAAAATGTAGTAGGTTTCTGATCTGTTTGTTGCAGGCATTTCAAAATGTCAGTAAAATCCTACAAAGTTTTCTTCATGGATAATTCTCAGGTCGGCTTTATTTATTTGATTCTTAAAGCTTATGCTTTTCTTCCGACTTAATTGTGGCTAATTTGTGGTAGACTGAAGAAAAATATTCAGGTGGAACAGTATTAGCTTCAAAGATGTTTATCTGAGGATTAAGGCACTTCTTCAACTAAGGAGTCTTATTATTATTATTTGTATGTATTTTATTTTGGGGAGGGGACAGAGTTTCGCTCTTTTTGCCCAGGCTGGAGTGCAATGGTGCCATCTTGGCTCACTGCAACCTTTGCCTCCTGGGTTCAAGTGATTCTCCTGCCTCAGCCTCCCAAGTAGCTGGGATTACAGGTGCATGCCACCATGCCCAGTTAATTTTTTGTATTTTTAGTAGAGACAGGGTTTCACCATGTTGGCCAGGATGGTCTCGAACTCCTCGCCTCAGGTGATCAGACCGCTGTGGCCTCCCAAAGTGCTGGGATTACAGGCATGAGTCACTGCATCTACCCTATGTTTTTAACATTAAGTCTTTTTCTGTCTCCCATCTTCTTACTTGGATCCAGAAGTGGCTGGTGGCTTTCCCAACCCCATAGCTTTCTTTATTTCCATACTCTCTCTATTTGTATCTATGTTTGAAAACCAATCAATTATTGCATGATCTCATCACTTTTCATATTTTGGCTAAAAGCTGCCAGTCATAGCTAATATACAGTATATTTGTTTTAAATCTCTCTTTCTGAAATCAGGCTCAGTAAACATATAGTCTGTTTTCAAAATTTTCAAAATCTTTATGGGTGACAGTTTTACTGAATATTTTGGTCATTGTTTAACAGAGATCTTAAGTTTTACAATGCATAAGATCTATTTTCTTGCCACCTATCCTCCAACCACTGGGCCAATGCCACATACCTTAGGTGCTATAAAGGCAGCAAGCCATTTCCAGTTACCAATTCTATTATAAGTTATGTAGTGCTAGTTGCTATACTCAGTAAATATACAAAGGACTCAAACATGAGAGAAGTTCATTTATCACACAGGCAAATTCCAAATCTAGTGTTCCTAAGCGGCTTGTGGCTCACGGTGGATTTACAGATCTGGGTTTCTTCCATTTTAAGCTTTACATATTTCAGCATGTGGGCTTTCATGAATATTGGCTTATGTCCAAAGAAAAGCAAAATAAAACACGAAGAATTTTGTAGAGGAAGTTTCACAAGTCAAGCCTAGAGGTAGTGTCCAACACTTGACATTCTGTTGCTCAATCACAGTGCAAAACTATGTGCAAAATCAGTGTAAAAATCTAGCTGTGGATAGAGGAAGAAGAATAAACAGTTTGTATCCATTTTCACAGCAGTCTCTTATTTAATAACATAGTTTTTAATATCCAGAGACAGAGGGATTCTATCTTTCTAATAACACTTTTTTTGTGTGTGATACTGGGGGTAAAAGCCTGAAAGTTTGGAAAGACATTTTTATGTTATAGAATTGATGCCACTTTATATAGCTGCTCTCTGACAAGGAAACTAATAACTGGGAATATTTGGATAAGTGCTGATAGACATATAAATTACATCTTTCAGCAAGAAAGTGTTCCAGGAGAATCAACATACTTTTCTAATATGGCTTTACCTTAAACATGTCAATTCATCTGGGTATTTTATTCTAAAAAGAAATTTAAAGCATTAATTGAGGGAAAAGGGGGCATATTTTTGGATAAAGTGTACTTAATTTTGTTTAAGAACTACTTCTGTCTTATACATGGAGGTGGTTTGCTAAGTTGGAGATGGAATGAGTAGTTCTAGACTTTGACTGAAATAAGTGAGTGATGGAAAAAAGTGTGTTGAATATTGTAACATAAATCATGCAAAACTTTAAACTTCTATTGATTATATATTTCTCAAAACTGCAAGGTGGGCATGGCATTGGAATGATTAATTTAGAAATATATTTTCCAGACAAACACATTTAATTAAATCTTTTTGGGTATGAAATGCATCCTTCTTCCAACTCTACATCTAGGTAATGTCATGACTATGCACATTTAACATTTACATAAATATGTTTATGCTTCAGAGCTTTTCATTTGCTTGTATTATTACTCATTATAATTTTCAAATCATATCATCTAGCAAACCATTTTAAATTAAAAAATAATCAATGGCAAGTGATTGTGTTTTCTGGTTCTCAAAATAATATACAAAGGAGAGTAGTTTTAACTATAATTAACTTCAGGTTGCCCAAGAGAGTAAGAGATAATTAGTTTGTATTGTTTATATTCCTTTTCATATATGCTATATTTTAAATTCTGTTTTATCTAGGCACTTTTCATTAGAATAAATATGGTTAGTATGCAACCACAGTTTTTAAAGTTTAAATTTCCTTTAGATACATTTAGAATTAAAATGCATTTTGAATTTAATTAGGAGCTAGAATAAATGCCTTGCCACTATAACAGTTTCTATTATTATTTTCAAGTTGGAAAATGAGCAATTATTAGAAACTTGCTTGTTTATAGGCCAAATAAAGTTACATAGTCAACTGCTTCCTGCTTTTATGTTTTTAAAGTTAGTTTTTATTGGCACTTGGAAAGAACATGACAATGAAAATTAAAGTCATAAATGTAAGCCCTGTAGAATTCAGAACACTTGAAAATAACACGATAGATCAGAACTAGCTGAGAACAGGGGAAGCAAACTCTTCCTTAGAGTGTCTTAAATTGAAGGGAAACAAATACATAAACAAGATAACGATAATGTGTTCCAGGTTACATAAAGGATTCTAATGTTTTGATATTTTAGAACTATTTGAGGAACTATAATATTTTTTAAAACGGTCCCTCATTTTGCAACCTGAAGACAAACCATCTTAGTGCTTAATTTTGTCTGGTAGCCATCCTCCCTAAAATTTATCCTATTTCTTTTACAAAAAAGAAATCAGTAGAACAATCTCATGGTTAGAAATTTGCAATAATGGTACCAATTTTGCCAGCCTAGACACTAAAAGGTACTTTATTATGCCCTTTAGTGGTTTTACCATCCTTTTTAAATCATTTTGTTTTTGCTATTTGCAGGCATACGGGCTTTTAGAAGCTCAGTATAACTGGAATTTTGTGACATTCTTCAGGGTCTACAGCAATGTATCTTCGTCTCTTCTATTGGAAGGTTACACAGCTGAATTTGTTAATTTTCTTTAGCAAAGTCCCTCTGTCAGCAGATTTATCCTTGGATTGTTTAGAATGTCACATCAATAAATAATTTTTAGTCAGTTGTCCTTTCAGCATTTAAGAGTTAAATGACAAAACTGATGTCATATTAAATCGAATGGTTAGCATGCCGAATTGTAAAATATCTAAATGAGGGTGGAAAAGGAGGCTTTTGTAATATACAATCTTGATCACTGTCAAATGATGCCCAGAGTTCAACCATCAAGTCGTGATTTTCATATTAATTGATCTCCCAGCATTTCTTAACAACTTCTTCCCCATAATACATTTCCAAAAAGAAGAATAAGAGATTGAAATTAATAAGATTATGTTTTGCATTAAGGTTTTTTCCTTGATTCTTTGTCTATTGACTGATAGCAGATCATATCTATAAAGATAATTGTATCATGCTATTGTATCACATTTAACTAATTGTATCATACTAAAATGCATCATATTTAACTACGTCCTAAACATAAATTACAAAGTATTTCATGTCTTGCTCTATAAAATAAGAGTTTTCTCCAGAATTTAGGAGGAAAAGCTGAAGAAATGTGAGAACACAAACTTTGCTAATTTTAGGAAAATACAAAGAATAAAAATTTGGGTTCATGATAGATTTCACATTTAAATTGAAGTACATATGTGTTACTCTAAATGCCACAATTAGACAAAACTTATTCTATGGAATTTTACCTTGTTTCATATAAAAGAGTTCATTATTACTGCACTGTGTCATAGATAATATTAGCGTATGAGAGCAAAAAAATGATTAATTAAAAATAAGATGTGCATAATAGAACAGCCATGATAAAGAATAGATGTGTACTGATTTTTTTTTAATTCTTATACAATTTTAAAACACCTCTGTTGTTGAGAATGGTTTCTAAATAGTAGATACACACACAATATATAATGTAATATAATGTATACAATATAATATGTGTTATTTTAAGTAGGTGCATATTTGCATACTGACACATTCCCATGCACGGTCAAACATAATACGTATGAAAATATCTAAAGTTCCTTAGTGAAGATTGACATAGATAGCAACACTCAAAAATTTTATATTGTGGCATGCTGGACACTTTATTGTGGCAATAAGTCCCTGATTTTTACTGTAATAGAACTGGCAATATATTTTATCCTCAGGAATGGAGTATTTGTGGTATGCAGAATAATTACACCCTTTTTCCGCAGATGTTTATATCTACTCTCTAGAACCTGTGTAATGTTCTAGAGGCAAACGGGAATTATGGTTGCATGTGCAATTAAGTTTGCTCATCAGTTTATCGCAAAATACAGAAGTTATTCTAGATTATCTCAATGTAGTCACAGGGGCCTTTAAAGTGAAAGACAGTATTGGAATTAAAAACAAGAGCTGTCAGTTTGCTGTTTTTGAAGATGGAAGAATGAGTCCACAAGCCAAGGAATACGTGCCATCTCTAAATGATGGAATAGACAAGGAATCAAATTTTCTTCTAGAGCCTCCAGAAGGAACTCAACCCTACGAATACCTTGGTTTTAGTCCAGTGAGACTCATTTCAGACTTCTGACATATAGACTTTCAGATAACAAATTATATTGGTTAAGCTATTAAACTCATGGCAACTTATTACAGCAGCAATAAGAAACTAATACAGATCTGGACATTTTTCCACTCGGAAATTTTGAAGTCCTTCTCTATTGAAACATTTGTGGCCATGTTATTTAATTTTCTCAATAATATATTGTAAGATCAAAAAATATCAAAATGTATTAACTTTTTTGAGCCATTGCAGATGAATCAATTACTTATCAGCTACATCTAGGATTTATACACACACACACACACACACACACACAGTTATTATATATGAACTTTCAGTTAGCCTTGTTATTTATGTCCAGATACTGTGAGTTAGTAATCCTTTTTTTAAATAAAGACCATCATTCTAAGTGAAATTATATAGAATTTTAGGTTGTATTAACTATTGAAACTTATTTACATTTCAGATGCTTATATTCCAGGTTTATCCTAAACCCATTATATATCCCAGTTTATCTAATTCTAACAATGATGTTTTAAGTGTATTTATATCTCCTTTGCTTAAAAGAAGATCCTGCAGGCCAGGTGCCATGGCTCACGCCTGTAATCCCAACGCTTTGGGAGGCCGAGGTGGGCAGATTACGAGGTCAGGAGTTGGAGACCAGCCTGCCCAAAATGGTGAAAGCCTTTCTCTACTGAAAATACAAAAACTTAACTGGGCATGGTGGACGCCTGTAATCTCAGCAACTGGGGAGGCTGAGGCAGAAGAATCCCTTGAACCCAGGAGGCGGAGGTTGCGGTGAGCCAAGATAGAGCCACCGCACTCCAGCCTGGGCAAAAGAGTGGGACTCCATCTCAAAAAAATAAAAATAAATAAATCCTGATAACTTAACCAATGTTATTCAATTAAAAAATAGGGTATTAAGAATTAAAACACAGGCAGTCTGGATCCAGAGTCTGACTCACTCCCCAAAGCCTTACAAACTGTATTATCAAGCAATTACTGTGATGATGTTGTATAACAAACAATCTTTAAGCTCAATGGCATACAACAACAAATATGTATTTTTCTTGCTTATCAATCTGTTGGTTGGCTACCGTACTAATCTCTGCTGGACTTACTTGATCTTAGCTAGACTCAAGTTATTCTTCATTCCAGGGAACAAAAGTTAGCTAGAGCATATTCTTTTCACAGAAGGTGGGAGAAGCCCAAGTGACTGAGTCAAACAACACCCATTTTGAAACCTCTGTTTATAACACATCTGTTAATCTTTTATTTTCCAAGCAAGTTACTTGGTCGATGGTGTGGTCATATATACTATGCCTGCTCTATTGAGGTTTACTGTAAAGCCAAGTGGCAAAACAATGTGTATGTATCATACATTAATGGAGAGGTAGTGAAGGATTGAAAACAATTACTAAATTTATAAAGTCTCCCATTAATTCTATTTTTACTTCTGACATTTTAACTGTCTGTTATTCTCTAAGGTTCCTTTTTTTAAAAATAAGATATCATTTTACTCACAAAGGAAAGAGTTTTAAGCAGAACACTTGAAAACTACCAATCTGAGGTTGTCCCTACTCAAGTCTCAAGGGAGTATAAAAGCTCAAAAGTGTTTTATTGTTACATTCCTCACAGGAGCAATTGATCCTTCTATTACATATTTGCAATGAGCAAGAAGAAAAGTATCCTTTATAGTCATATCCCTTATCAGTTTTTCAATAAAAGTTGGCAGCTTTTAAAAATGTACTTATTTATATTAAATTTCCTTACATGCTGAGGTTTACATATGCTATTCATTTTATACTTGGTTCATTTAAACAATTAATTTTCACCGTAAGTGCTATTTTGATAAACCAACGCAGAAGATAGTAAACTATTTTTGGAGAGAACATTAGTTATACTAACAACCTAATTTTAGCATGACCATTTGAAACTTAGCTCTTCTTGTAGACATCTCTAGTCATAGAAAAATAAAACAATAGGCCATGCACGGTGGTTCATGCCTGTAATCCCAGCACTCTGGGAGGCCGAAGCAGGCAGATCAGGAGGTCAAGAAATCGAAACCATCCTGGCCAACATGGTGAAACCCCGTCTGTACTAAAAATACAACAATTAGCTGGGCATGGTGGCATGCCCCTGTAGTCCTAGCTACTCGCGAGGCTGAGGCAGGAGAATCGTTTGAACCCGGGAGGCAGAGGAGGTTGCAGAAGCTGAGATCACACCACTGCACTCCAGTCTGATGACAGAACAAGACTCTGTCTCAAATAAATAAATAAATAAATAAATAAAAATTTGTACACGAAAATGTTTTGAGAATTTTTCTAGGTTGTATGTTAACAGAAATTTATTTTTTGTTTATGTATTTATAATTTATATAATTTTTCCAAATGTTTACATCAATTTATAGGTGTCGTTTTTCTCATAAAATGTTTTAAAAATCTCTAAATGCAATTAAATCATGTAGTTAGTGCATTTCTTACATACTTTACCATATAAAATAGTAAATAAATTTGCTGTTTAATTTTCCAGCCTAGCTTAATGTTTCCTTACATGTTAAATAGAATTTTGCCTTTTTTCATAAAGTGGGAAGACTTAGTGAAAAGTAGCTTTCCAACTCTGTTTCAATGTCTGTTATATCAGAGTGCTCAAGGGTAATCACAAGTAGAGGTAAGAAAATGTCTTTCAAACCATAACTTAGAAGCAGAAGTGGAAAGCCATAATTCTCAATGAGAAATAAATATTCATGCTAGAATGTTTTCTAGTGTATGCTTTCTAAGGATATTTTTAGTGCGTGGTTACAAGAACAACATATATTTCCATGAGAATGTATTATAATAATTGTATTCAATTACAGAAAAGACTTTTCTTCCTACATGTTCATCAGAGACAGAAAGAATAGCAAGGTATCTGCTTAGTAAATGTTCATAATTGATGATTTGATTTAAATGTTTATTTAAATTAATATTATATATGAGATCCTGCTAAGCATGCAGACTTCGAAGTCCCAGGAAAGTATCTGAGTGTTCTTTTAGTTGTCTTATATTACAAATTAAGCACAATACCCTCTATTTTTTATTTAGTTCACTGTCTAGGTTTCTCATAGGAAGAGTGATATTAAATTTGACATCCTATGTGCAGAAAAAAAGGTGTTTTCAGACAGTTAGGCCCTGAGCAAAACTAAAGTCCCCTCAGGAAAACATTCAGCATGACAATTTGAGAGCTCTGCTTCTTGTTTATCCTAAAAACTATCTGAGAGATTTTCTTTCCCTAGTCATATTT
Organism: Homo sapiens; assembly: GCF_000001405.40. NCBI lineage: Eukaryota > Metazoa > Chordata > Mammalia > Primates > Hominidae > Homo > Homo sapiens. The sequence continues at coordinate 161,307,737 of NC_000004.12, read as the reverse complement.
AACTCGTATAGGTGTTATGATAGACATTCTTAAATACTCAATGGAGCAAGCTGTTCGAGTTTATTTCATGCCAGTAATCCTTTCTTAGACACTAGAATTATGATAGGCAGAGCTCTTTTGGTTTTATATGAAAGCTCTTAAAAATAACATGTGTTGGCTGCTTCTATATATTATGAAAACAAATGTTAACTTTTATAAATTGTAGTAGACAAGACACGTAGTGCTACAGTATTGTAAAGACTAAACATTAGTTTTCCTGAGTGAATTTTAATTTTTATTCCAAAATAGCATTGGTATTTGTAATAATCAAGACTTACAAATCTTATAGGTGTGAATGTAATGGTAACAATAGCAGGAGCAATAGAAAATAATATTTTATATGTAGATAATCCTAGAAAATCTGACACAATTGATCATGAAAATAATAGTCTATTACATTTAGGTTATTAATAAAATAAAGTTATCCTAAATAAGATCAAAATTACAAAAGTTCAAAAGAGTTTGGAAATATATGTATTCACACACACACACACACACACACACATACACACACACACATTTTATAGTGATACCAGTTTCAATTCTGAGTATGTTGTTTAGGGTTATATAAACAACACTTCAGGTAGACCCCATCATAAGTTTTTGTTTGTTGTTTGCTGTTTGTTTCTCACCAAGGAAAATAATGGCACAGAGAAGTTAAAATAAGATTACCCAAGGTCAAAATTTATCAGTGTTGAAGTAGGTCTTAAACTGAGGCTGCTGGTCCTCTTTAAATTTTATATACTACACAATGTTGTTTCTCATTAAAAGAGAACCCAAAACTAATATTTAAAATAATTTTCATTCTTGTCCAACATTTTGTCTCTATTAAAAAGAAGAGGTCAAATGATAAGTACTGGTTTTTGTTTTGTTTTTTAAGTAGGAGAAAAGGCATATACATTTATTTAACATTTATACATGAGAGCCTTCAGAATGAAGACCCAAATTCTCGATGAGTTATAGAATCTTATCTAGCAACTTGAAGTTACAGAAATAATGGGTGGCTTGAATTATGGTAAAACAGGTTGTGAGAGTGGTGGAAAAAAAGGAATTCTCTTGAGGGGCAATAGATTATTGCTATGAAGAAAGACTGAGTCAGGAAACTGAGACTAACTTGTAAATAGTTGATATGATTAGGCTTTGTATCCCCACCCAAATCTCATTTTGAATTGTAATCCCGTAATTCTCATCATCCCTGTATTAAGGGAGAGACCAAATGGAAGTAACTGAGTTACGGGGATGGTTTCCCCCTGCTGTTCTCCTGATACTGAGTGAGTTCTCATGAGGTCTGATGGTTTTATAAGGGACTATTCCCCTCTTCACTCAGCACTTCTCCTTCCTGCCGCCTTGTGAAGAAGGTGCCTTGCTTCCCTTTTGCCTTCTGCCCTTTTGCCTTTTTCTTTATAAATTACCCAGTCTCTGGCAGTTCTTTAGAGCAGTGTGAAAATGGACTAATATAACAGTATTAAAAAAACAAAACAAAACAAAAACCAGTACTTATCATATGACCTGTTTTTCTTTTTTTTTTTAAAAATGGACAAAATGTTGGACAAGAATGAAAATTATTTTAAATACTACTTTTGGTTTCTCTTTTAATGAGAGGCAACATTGTGTAGGAGATAAAATTTAAAGAGGACCAGCAGCCTCAGTTCAAGACCAAATTCAACACTGTTTTCTTGGAATTTAAATGATCCTTGAAAACAGTCATTATACTCATAAAAAGATCCGCTTAGGTGTGGTCACATCTTGGTCTTCTCTGCAATACATAATGAGATAATAAGGAGGGTAAATGAACAATTGTTCTCCTCAGTGAGTGTATTAGTCTGTTTCATGCTGCTAATAAAGACTTACACAAGACCAGACAATTTACAAAATAAACAGGTTTAATGGACTTACAGTTCCACATGGCTGGGGAGGCCTCACAATCATGGTGGAAGGCAAGGAGGCACAAGTCACGTCTTATGATGGTGGATGGCAGCAGGCAAAAAGAGAGAGCTTGTGCAGGTCAACTCCTCTTTATAAAACCATTAGATCTTGTGAGACTTGTTCATTATCAGGAGAACAGCATGGGAGAGACCTGCCTCCATGATTCAATTACCTCCCATCGGGTCCCTCCCACAACACATGGGAATTCAAGATTAAATTTGGGTGGGGACACAGCCAAACCATACCATTCTACCCCCGGCCCCTCCCAAATCTCATGTCCCACATTTCAAAACCTATCATGCCTTCCCAACAGTCCTCTAAAGTCTTAACTAATTTTGGGGTTAACTCAAAAGTCCACAGTCCAATGTCTCATCTGAGACAAGGCAAGTCACTTCCACCTATAAGCCAGTAAAATCAAAAGCAAGTTAATTACTTCCGAGATACAGTGAGGGTACAGGCATTGGGTAAATACAGCAATTCCAAATGGGAGAAATTGGCCCAAAACAAAGAAATTGGCCAAAACAAAGGGGCTACAGGCCCCATGCAGGTCTGAAATCCAGCAAGGCAGTCAAATCTTAAAGCTCCAAAATGATATTCTTTGACTCTCACATCCACGTCACACTGATGCAAGAGGTGGGTTCCCATGGTCTTGGGCAGCTCCACCTTTTGGCTTTGCAGGGTATAACCTCCCTTCTGGCTGCTTTCATGGGCTGGCATTGAGTGTCTGCAGCTTTTCCAGGTGCACGATGCAAGCTGTTAGTGGATATAACATTCTGGGTTCTCGAGGATGGTGGCCCTCTTCTCACAGCTGCACTAGGCCGTGCCCATAGAGATTCTTTGTGGGGGCTCTGGCCCCCCATTTCCCTTCAGCACTGCCCTAGAAGAGGTTCTCCATGAGAGCCCTGCCCCTGCAGCAACCTTCTGCCTGGACATCCAGGCATTTCCATACATTCTCTGAAATCTAGGCACAGGTTTCTAACCTCAATTCTTGATTTCTGTGCATCCGCCGGCTCAGCACCATGTGGAAGCTGCCAAGGCTTGGGGCTTGCAACCTCTGAAGCCATGGGCTGAGCTGTACCGTGGCCCTTTTAATCACAGCTGGAGCAGCTGGGATGCAGGGCACCACGTCCCTAGGCTGCATACAACACAGGGACCTTGGACACAGCCCACAAAACTATTTTTCCTTCCTAGGGCTCCAAGCCTGTGATGGGAGGTGCTGCTGTGAAGAACTCTGACATGCCTTGGAGACATTTTCCCCATTGTCTTGGGGATTGACATTTGGCTCCTTGTTACTTATGCAAAATTCTGCAGCCCGCATGAATCTCTCTTCAGAAAATGGGATTTTCTTTTGTATTGCATTGTCAGCCTACCAATTCTCTGAACTTTTATGCTCTGTTTCCCTTTTAAAACTGAATGCCTTTAACAGCACCCAAGTCACCTCTTGAATGTTTTGCTGCTTGGAAATTTCTTCTGCCAGATACCATAAATCATCTCTCTGAAGTTTAAATTTCCACAAATCTCTAGGGCAGGGGCAAAAATGCCGACAGTCTCTTTGCTAAAACATAACAAGAGTCACCCCTGTTCCAGTTCCCAATAAGTTCCTCATCTTCATCTGAGACCACCTTGGCATGGACGTTATTGTTCATATCACTATCAGCATTTTTTGTCAAAGCCATTCAACAAATCTCTAGGAAGTTTCCCACATTTTCCTGTCTTCTTCTGAGCCCTCCAAATTGTTCCAGCCTCTGCCTGTTACCCAGTACCTAAGTTGCTTCCACATTTTCAGGTATCTTTTCAGCAGCACCCCTCTCCCAGTACCAATGTACTGTACTAGTCTGTTTTCACATTGCTGATAAAGACGTGCCCAAGACTGGGCAATTTACTAAAGAAAGAGAAATGGACTCACAATTCAACATGACTAGGGAGGCCCCACATTCATGGCAGAAGGCAAGGAGGAGCAAATCAGATCTTATGTGGATGGCAGGAAGCAAAATGAGAGAACTTGTGCAGGGGAATTCCTCTTTACAAAATCATCAGATCTCTTGAGACTTATTCACTATCACAAGAACAGCAGGGGAAAGACCTGCCCCCGTGATTCAATTACCTCCCACCTGGTCCTCCCACAACATGTGGATATTCAAGATGAGATTTTGGTGGGGACACAGCTAAACCATATCAATGGGTCTGGAACTTAGGCAGATAAAGGAACTTGGGCTTCTTTGGGAGAGATATTGTGTGTGTGGTGGGGGAGATGATTAGAGACCTTGAGGGTTTTTCAGTTCAGCATTTCAAACACCATATTTTGACATATTTGTTTCTGAGCCCCAACATTCCCCTTTTGGAACTTCCCTAGAAGTTTCACACACTAAAAGCTGAATTGGTGGCCGTGGAAGAGAAAAACTGAGTTAAAAGCTCACTGGAAAAGGATTCCGTTTAACCAATCTGGGAAAAGGCAAATCCCATTAAACAGCTGCATCTGATGTAGGAGAAGGCATTGCCGGTGAGCTTTAAAAGAGAAGAAAAACAAAGGTTAATATTGGGAACAATGTATAAACCAGTTTCTTCTGAGGCTGGAGGGCAGTAGCTGAAGTGTCCAGGTGTTAAACTCAAACCAGCTTTAGGAATTATAATAATTTTTCAAACTAAAGGCTTTAAACACCTTTTCCGGTTTGGGACATGTGAAAAGGAAAGAAGTAGTCTGAAATGAACCTCTGAAATGAAAATGGAAAATCCATATGTTGTTTGATATAAATAATATTATATAAATAGAAAGATAAGACCTAAAAAGGTAAAACTACTAGAATAAAACGCAGAAAAAAATTCTTGAGATTAGTTTTGGCAAAAATTATTTTTTATATGACTCTAAAAGCACAGGGAATGAAGCAAAAATAAACAATTGGCATTGCATTAAACTAAAATCCTTCTGTACAGTGAATGAAATAATCAATAGAGTGAGGAGACAACCTCTGAAGAGCTTGGAAGAAAATATTTGCAAACCATGCATCTGATAAGGAGTTATTAGCAAAAAAATTATATATATATATATATATAACATATATATGAAACTCAACTTGATAGCAAGAAAAAAATAATCCAACTTAAAAAATGACCAAGGGACCTGAGTAGACATTTATCAAAAGAAGACATGTAAACGGTCAAAAGTTATATGAAAAATTGCTCAACATCACTAATTATAAAGAAAATGCAAATTTAAACCACAACGAGGTATCACCCCACAATGGATTAACTGAAAAGATAAAAAATAACAAGTTTTGGTGAGAATATGGGGAAAAGGGAAACCTTGTACAACATTGGTGGGAAAGTAAATGGTATACTTATTATGGAAGATAGTATGGAGGTTTCTTAAAAAATTAAAACTAGAACTACAATATGATCCAGCAATTCCATTTCTGAATATATCGAAAGAGAGTGAAATCAATATGTTGAAGGAATATTTTCATTTTCATTTTCACTGCAACATTATTCACCAGAGCCAAGATATGTAATCAACCCAGGTGCCCATAAATAGATGAATAGATACAGAAAATGTTGTATATATGCACAATTGAATATGATTCAGCCTTAAAAAAGAAATTGTGACATTTGTGACAACATAGATGAACCTGGAGGACATTATGCTAAGTGAAAATAAGCCAGGTGCAGAATGACAAATATGGCACGATCTCACTTATATGTGTAAACTAAAACATCTAAATTCATAGAAGTAGAGATTACAATGGTACTTACCAGAGTTTGGCAAGGTGGGGAAGGATGAAAAGATGTTGGTCAAAGGGTTTGAACTAGACAGAAGGAAATAATTCTGCATATCCATCACACAGCATGATGGCTATAATTAATAAAAATGTGAAATTAAAAATTGCAGACAGGCTAGATTTTATTTATTTATTTATTTAGTTATTTATTTATTTTGAGATGGAGTCTCACTCTGTTATCCAGGCTGGATTGCAGTGGCACCATCTCGGCTCAGTGCAGCCTCCATCTCCCAGGTTCAAGCAATTCTCTTACTTCAGCCTCCCAAGTAGCTGGGATTATGAGTGTGTGCCACCATGTCCAGCTAATTTTTGTATTTTTAGTAAAGATGAGGTTTCACCACACTGGCCAGGCTAGTCTTGTACTCCTGACCTCAAGTGATCCATCCACCTTGGCCTCCCAAAGCACTGAGAGTACAGGCGTGAGCTAACAGACTAGATTTTAAATAGTATCATCACACACACACACACACAAAAGGTTAGCATGTTGGGCAATAGATATGTTAATTAGCTTAATTCAATCATTTCACAAGGTACAGCTACATCAAAACATCATATTGTGCTCCATAAATATATACAATAAAAAAGTAAAAATGAATAAATATAAAACTGCTATGTAAAGAAAACACAAAAAGAAATAAGCGTCCCACATTGTTGTTATCCACAGAGACTCTTTTTATGGTAAAGTTATGATAGGCTGAAAAAAACAGTGAAAATTATAAATCAATGACCTCAAGTTATTATTAAGATTTTTTCAGGATACTTCTAGTTGATATATAACGATTGGAAAGTATAGTCTTTCAAGTTTGTTTTACCAAGTTTACTTTAAACTCTAGGATTCACCTTAGTAGCTCTCACTATTATGTGAACTGGAATGATTTGCCAGTGATTGATGTAGAACCTCACTGAGTGTCCTGCTGTCAAAGTCTCTTGAAGAAGACCATTCAAAATAGCTGCCTAAACTACAGAAACACTGCCTGTAAAAGATTCCACATATTGATTGTTGAAACTCTGAAGGATTTGATTCATCACATCAGTTTTGTTCTTGAAATGCTTGTTTGCTTATACATTTTTATTTAGAATCCATGAGGCCTGTCTTTAAAAAGTAACAAACCGGCAACAGACTGATCAATGAGCAACTTTCTTTTATTGAAATATTTAATTTGAGAGTGCTTGCCTTATTTATTTATTCATTTACTTCTTGGTTTTTGGTATGGCGTTTGAAAGTTAGTTTATTTATATAACTCACCTATCTACATTGTTTCCATTTTGTGTAAGATATTTGCAAGTAATCGAATATGCCTTATGTTCTTGCCATCTAAGTTGCTTAAGGACAGCACTGATGGGGGAAGATGCAATTACAGCTTTATGAGAATCAGGTGAGGGAAGACCAAGGCAAATACAGAAAGCAACCCTGTAAGTAATACACAGTTTGCATTTAAGACTTTCTACTTCCCACCCTAACTTCATACCACCAAGGCAAATCTGACATCTTTAAGTAGCTCTAAGACTCCAAATTTTCAATAAGAACTGCTCATAACTTTCTTTTAAATGTGTTAACCTTGTTTCTTAAACACTGATGGTGTCAAAGATAGCTTATCATATAAAAGTAGTTTAAAAATATAAATTTCATTCTGAATAACTGTTTTTCAAAAGGATTATCACTGGTTTTCTTTTCCTAGATGTCTTCAACATGGCATTTTAAAAAGTTTTAGTACTGCTTATATCAAGCAATGCATCCATGTAAACAATTTTATAGCTGGGGTCAGGTACCACTCCTCAAGCTATATGGGACAATTATTCCTTTCTGCCTAATTCTTTATAAATTAACATGTATTTCATAGTTCAGTTGAAATGCAAGACTTCAGTGATTTATAAGGTGATTCAATGTGGACTTTAAGATCTATCTACTGAAAACTTCTGCTAACACAATCACCATTATATTTGACAACATATTTTATGAAATAACAATTCTTTGCTCACCGAAAAAAGAGGAGTATACATTTGGATAATGGAAAGAAAAAATAATCAGGCAATTTATGTAACTAAATTATAAAGTCAAACTTTATAACTAAATAAGTAAACATCTAACAATATAAAAAAGTAGGGTGTATTAATTTATTCAACCATGTATTTAATAAATATGTATTAGCACCTACTTAGTTCTAGGCACATTTCTTAGCTATGAAGATACAGAGCACAACAAGATTAAATCACTCCAGACCCCAAACATTTAAATAACCATGTGTTGGGAGAAAAGAAACAATAAACAAGGAATTATATGAATTCTGGTGAAAGGTGCTATAAAGGGAACATAAATGAAGTTGTATAAATTGACTTTTTGGATAAAGATCTTGTGCAGACCTGTCTTAGGAAGGGACACATGTGAACAGAATTAACCTATGAAAGTGGGCCAAATATGTAAAGAGTTAACTATCAAGGATTCTAGATAGATGACAGAGCACATAAAAATGACAGGGACAATGTGTCTGACACCAGCAGGAGGCAACTGATTTTGAAGAGTGAAGAGAGGTTGGCAGGACCCAGAGCATTCAGGCCATTTATAAACTATGTGTGGATGTGCATATGTGTGTGTATTTCTGTGCAGAGAGAATTTTTTTTTTTTTTTTTTAGATGGAGTTTTGCTCTTGTTGCCCAGGCTGGAGTGCAGTGGTGCGATCTCGGCTCACCTCAACCCCCGCCTCCTGGATTGAAGCAATTCTCCTGCCTCAGCCTCCTGAGTAGCTGGGATTACAGGCATGCACCACACCACATTGGGCTAATTTTATATTTTTAGCAGAGACTGAGTTTCTCCATATTAATCAGGCTGGTCTTGAACTCCCGACGTCATGTGATCCACCCGCCTTGGCCTCCCAAAATGCTGGGATTACAGGCATGAGCCACCACTCCTGGCCAAGAATTTTTGTTATATTATTTTTGCAATTAATAGTTTTATTAAAATCCAACAAATATTTATAATGTTAATGTTAAAACCATGTTCAAGTTACTGTTTCCTCTATATCAATGGTATAATGTACGAAGGGGAGATTTTTTTCCTCCTGAAATAATGAAAATGAACATTTACTTAGTATATACTATTTGCTAGTGTTGTAAATTGTTTTACATGTTTTATTTAACTTACTACTCATGAAAACTCTAATATAGCCATTATCATTACTCGTTTTACACATAGGAAAAAATATGCAGAAGAGTTCAGTAACTCACCTAGTTACCACTGGAAGTACCAAAGACGGAATGTCAACCCAGCCTATCTGGGTCCAATGTTCCTGCTCACTATCCTTTTTCTTCTGTTTCTTCCTCTCTTGCCCCATTTTTTTGTAAATATACATAAAAAAGAATGCATAAAAAGCCTAGAAATATTTTGAGACCTAATAATAAAATAAATACCCATAGCAGCCAACAACCTTGATTGTAATATTACCATTACAATCAAGTTTTTCTTTGTCTGAAGGCAATCGCTATCCAGAAATTCACTTACCATCTATTATTTCATAGTATTACAGTATATGTATGTATCTTTACTAACTTCAAAATTTTATACAGTTGATCATTATTTCAATGTAATTATGCATACTGACTTTGTGACTTGAATTTTTCATTAAATAACTTTAAGTTCATATATGCTGATGAACACGATGGCAGTTCATTACTTTTAACTGCTGAATACATCATTGTATGAATTTGTAAAAACCGAATTGTACATTCAAATACCAATAGACATTTCATATTTTCTGGTGTTTTATTTCTAGAAATAAAACTATTATGTGCATTCTTATCCGTATCTACTGGTACAGATGTGTAAGAATATTTCTAGGAATGAAATTGCATATATTGAACTTCACAGGGTAATCCATAATTATTGTCTAAAGTGTTTGTTTCCATTTATATTCCACTGAGAGTATTGTTCTAGCCATTATTAATGCTTGGTGTTTCTCCAAGTTACTAGCTTTGGGTGCTTATATGTTTTGTTTTTCAATCTGGTAAGTATGAAATGGTATTCAATTGCGTATTTACTTTCTACTTTTCATACTAATAAAGATGCTGAAATTTCATAAAATCTTTATCAACTAGTTTTATTTTTTCTTCTGTGAAATATTTGAACATGATTTTACCCCAGTATTTTGTTGCAGTGCTTGTGTCTCTTACTAATAGATAGACAATCTTTACACATTCTGAACACTAAAACATTTCTGGCTGTATGGGAAGCAAATGTTTCCTGCCAGTTTTTCCCTTTCTGTTTATCCCTTATGTTGTTATTTTTAGTTGTATAAAGATGTTCTTCATTTGATGCAGTCAAATTTATCAGCATTTATTTTTATGATTTGAACATTATGTTTTCTGAAGATGTTTTTAGAGAAGTTTTAGGTTCAGAGTAAAAGGGCAAGGCATAGAGATTTCCCCTATACCCTTTAGTTTGTCATTATCAATGTGCCCCACTAGAGTGGTACATTCTTACAATTATGAGCCTATACTAACACATCATATTTACCCAAAGCCCATAGTTTACATTAGGATTCACTCTTGATGTTGTACATTCTATGAGTTTGGACATTAGCATAATGTAAAATCCAACATTATACTACCAAACAGAGCACTTTCACTGCCCTATAAATCCTCTGTGCTCTGCCTATTCAGCATTCTCTCCTCCGTAACCCCTTGGAACGACTGATCTTTTCCCTCTCTCCATGGTTTTGGCTTTATCGTAATGCCATGCAGTGGGAATAATACAGCCTGTAGTCTTTTCAGATTGGCTTCTCTTGATAATATGGATTTATGATTCCTCCATGACTTTGTGGTTTGATATCTTCATTTTAGTGCTGAATAATGTTTTATTTTTTGATGCACCACATTTTGTTTATTCATTCACCTATGGAAGGAATTTTAGTTGCTTCCAAGCTTTGATAATTATAAATAAAGATTACATAAACATCTATGTGTGGATGTTTGTGTGGACATAACTTTTTAACTTCTTTAGGTAAAAATCAAGCAGTGTGATTGCTGGATTATATTGCCAGAGTATGTTTAATTTTGTAAGAAATTGACAAAGAGTCTTCCAAAGGGGCTATATCATTTTGAATTTCCTCCAGCAATGAATGAGAATTTCTTCACATCCTTGTCAGCATTTGGTGTTATTAATTTTTCAGCTTTTGGCCATTCTAATAGGGATGTAGTCGTATCCAATTAGGTTAATTTGCATTTTCCTGATGATATATAATGTGAGACATCTTTTCATATGCTTATTTGTCATCTGTGTATCCTTAGTTGTCTGTTAAGGTCTTTGGTCCATTTAAAAAAAATAGATTATTTGATTTCTTATTGGTGAGTTTCAAGAGTCCCTTATATAATTTTAAAAAGCCTTTATTACATGTGTCTTGTGCAAGTATTTCCTCCCATTCCATTATTTTTTATTCTCCTAACAGTATCTTTCACTGGATATATTTTTAACTTTAATGAAATCCAACCTATTAACTTTTTCTTTAATAGATTATGTTCTTGATATTATATCTCAATTGTCATCACTAAACCCAGGGAAGATTATCTAAATTTTCTACTATATTCTAGGAAATTTGTAGTTTTTTGTTTTACATTTAAATATATGACCCATTTAAGTTAATTTTTTGAAAGTTTAAGATCTGTTTCTAGATTCTTTTTTCCCATGTGGATATCTTCTTTTTGCAGACCATTCGTTGAGGGAAAAAAAAACCAAAAAACAAAATGAAATAACCTGTCCTTTTTCTGTTGAATTGCATTTGCCCCACTGCCAAAGATCAATTGACTATATTTCCGTGGGTCTATTTCTGGGCTCTATTCAACTTCATTAATTGATTTAGAGCTTCTGAAATTTTCTTGTGCGAGATCTGGCAAATTGTGTCTTTCAAGAAATTGATCAATTTTATCTTGGTTTTCATGTTGGTGGACATAGAAATATTCATGGTATTCTTTGACTTTCCTTTTAAAGTCCATAGAATCTGTAGTGATGTCTTCTCTTGATTTCCAGTAATAGTAATTTATGTCCTCTCTTTTTTTTAACTAGCTTCAATTACAGTTTTTCAATTCTATTGGTCTTTTCAAATAAGCAGTTTTTACTTTTATTGATTTTTCTCTACTGATTTATTTTCAACTTTATTGACTTCTGCCCTAATTCTATTTTTTCTGCTTACTTTGAAATTAATTTTTTTCTTCTAGTTTTCTCAGAGGAAACTTATTTTTCTTATTTTCTAATATATTTATTCAATGCTATAAATTTTCCTTTAAGAATTGTCTTTTGCTTCATCCCCCAAATCTTGATGTTATGTTTTTATTTTTATTTAGTTCAAATTTTTTTTATATTTCCTTTGAGATTTCTTCTTCTTTGGCTTGTGTTATTAAAAAGTGTGTTGCTTAATTGCTGCATATTTGGTGATTTTTCTGTTATCCTTCTAACACTGATTTCTAGTTTAATTCCATTACGGTCTTTGAGCATACATTGAATGATTTCTATCTTTTAAATTTGTTAAGGTTTGTTTTATGGTCCAGAATGTGGAATACATTGGTGAACATTCTTTGTGAGCTTGAGAAGAATATGTATTATATTGTCCAATGAAGTAGTCAATTGATGTCAATTATATCCAGTTGCATGATGGCAGGTTGAATTTAGATATGTCCGTTCTGATTTTCTGCCTGCTAATTTTGTTCATTTCTGATAGTGGGGTGTTGAATATGATAGGGTATTTATCTATTTCTCTTTGAAGTTTTATCAGTTTAATGTTCTGTTTTTACACACATACATAATAAGGATTATTATATCTTCTTGGAGAATTGACTCTTTTATCATTACTTAATGCCCTTCTTTAATCTGTGATATATATATATATATATATATATGTATTTTGCTGTAAACTATGCTCTGTCTGAAATTAATATAGCTACTCCTCTTTCCTTTTCATTAGTACTATTATGGTATATGTTTCTCCATCCGTTTAGTTTTAATGTATAAGTGTCGTTACATTTGAAATGGTTTTTTAGCAGCAGCGAATCAAATGGGTCTGCGCAAACTCGATTCTTGCCTCCTCAGACAAAAGAATTCAGTTGCGACGTAGAAGGCAGAGTAAGAAACCGAGGTGAAGTTTAGAGCAGAAGTGAAAATTTATTAAAATATTTTAAAGCAGGAACAATAGGAAGCAAAGTACACTTGGAACAAGGCCAAGTGGGTAACTTGACAAATCCAAATGCCCCATCCAAACCTTGACTTGGGGTTTTAAACATTGGCACTGTTGCAGGGTTTGCATTTCTTTCCCCCTGATTCTTCTCTTGGAGCAGGCTATCTGCATGCATAGTGGCCTGGCAGCACTTGGAAAAGGCTGCATGCCCAGTGTATTTACTGAAGTTGTGCACATGCTCATTTGAGGCATTATTTTTTCTCTTACCAATTGAGCATTCCTAGAGGAAGGTTATATACCAGTTACACTCTGCCATTGTGCCTCTTAGTGTGCATGCTTGAACCTGCTTGTTCAACTCCTGAGATCTTATCAGGAAGCTGATTACCAGCTTCAGGTGTTTTCTTTTTCTTTCTTTCTTTTTTTTTTTTTTTTTTTTTTGAGAGGCAGTCTCACTCTGTCACCCAGGCTGGAGTGCGATGGCATGATCTTGGTTTACTGCAACCTCCACCTCCCGGGTTCAAGCGATTCTTTTGCCTCAGCCTCCCGAGGAGCTGGGACTACAGGTGTGCACCGCCACGTCCAGGTAATTTCTTTTGGTATTTTTAGTACAGATGGGGTTTCACCATATTGGCCCTGCTGTTCTCGAACTCTTGACCTTGTGATCGGCCTGCCTTGGCCTCCCAAAGGGCTGAGATTACAGGCAAAAAAAAAATTATTATATTATTTGTGCAATTAATAATTTTATTAAAATCCAACAAATATTATCATATTAATGTCAATACCGTATCCAAGTTTCATCAGGAAAATGCAAATTAACACAATTAGATACCACTACACACCTATCAGAATGGCCAAAATCTGAAACATTAATAACACCAAATGCCGGCAAGGATGTAAAGAAACTCTCATTCATTGCTGGAGGAAATTCAAAATGATATAGCCCCTTTGGAAGACCGTTTGCCAATTTCCTTTTTTTTTTTTGAGACAAAGTCTCGCTCTGTCACCCAGGCTGGAGTGCAGTGGTGCTATCTCGGCTCACTGCAAGCTCCGCCTCCAGGGTTCATGCCATTCTCCTGCCTCAGCCTCCCAAGTAACTGGGACTACAGGCACCTGCCACCACGCCGGGCTAATTTTTTGCATTTCTCAGTAGAGACAGGGTTTCACCATGTTAGCCAGGATGGTCTAGATCTCCTGACCTCATGACCCACCCACCTCAGCCTCCCAAAGTGCTGGGATTACAGGCATGAGCCACCCAATTTCTTATAAAAGTAAACATACTCTGACAATATAATCCAGCAATCACACTGCTTGGTTTTTACCTAAAGAAGTTAAAAAGTTATGTTCACACAAAGATCCACACACAGATGTTTATATAATCTTTATTTATAATTATCAAAGCTTGGAAGCAACTAAAATTCCTTCCATAGGTGAATGAATAAACAAAATGTGGTGCATCAAAAAATAAAACACTCTTCAGCACTAAAATGAAGACATCAAACCACAAAAAGTCATGGAGGAATCATAAATCCATATTATCAAGAGAAGCCAATCTGAAAAGACTACATGCTGTATGATTCCCACTGCATGGCATTATGATAAAGCCAAAACCATGGAGAGAGGGAAAAGATCAGTCGTTCCAAGGGGTTAGGGAGGAGAGAATGCTGAATAGGCAGAGCACAGAGGATTTATAGGGCAGTGAAAGTGCTCTGTTTGGTAGTAAATGTTGGATTTTACATTATGCTAATGTAAAATGGGCATTTTACATATGTCCAAACTCATAGAATGTATAACATCAAGAGTGAATCCTAATGTAAACTATGGGCTTTGGGTAATTATGATGTGTTAGTATAGGCTCATAATTGTAAGAATGTACCACTCTAGTGGGGCATGTCACTAATGACAAGCTAAAGGGTATAGGGGAAATCTCTATACCTTGCCCTTTTACTCTGAACCTAAAATATTTCTAAAAACATCTTAAGAAAACATAATGTTCAAATCATAAAAATAAATGCTGATAAATTTGACTGCATTTAAATGAAGAACATCTTTATACAACTAAAAATAACAACATAAGGGATAAACAGAAAGGGAAAAACTGGCAGGAAACATTTGCTTCCCATACAGCCAGAAATGTTTTAGTGTTCAGAATGTGTAAAGATTGTCTATCTATTAGCAAGAGACACAAGCACTGCAACAAAATACTGGGGTAAAATCATGTTCAAATATTTCACAGAAGAAAAAATAAAACTAGTTGATAAAGATTTTATGAAATTTCAGCATCTTTATTAGTATGAAAAGTAGAAAGTAAATACGCAATTGAATACCATTTCATACTTACCAGATTGAAAAACAAAACATATAAGCACCCAAAGCTAGTAACTTGGAGAAACACCAAGCATTAATAATGGCTAGAACAATACTCTCAGTGGAATATAAATGGAAACAAACACTTTTATTTATTTATTTATTTTTGAAATGGAGTCTCGCTCTGTCGCCCAGGCTGGAGTGCAGTGGCGTGATCTCGGCTCACTGCAGGCTCCACCTCCCTGGTCACACCATTCTCCTGCCTTAGCCTCCTGAGTAGCTTGGACTACAGGCACCCACCACTACACCCAGCTAATTTTCTTGTATTTTTAGTAGAGATGGCGTTTCACCGTGTTAGCCAGGATGGTCTCGATCTCCTGACCTCGTTATCTGTCCGCCTCAGCCTCCCAAAGTGCTGGGATTACAGGTGTGAGCCACCACGCCTGGTCACAAACACTTTTGAGAACGATTATGGATTAGCCTGTGAAGTTCAGTATATGCAATTTTTTTCCTAGAAATATTCTTACACATCTGTACCAGTAGATATGTATAAGAATGCACATAATAGCTTTATTTCTAGAAATAAAACAGAATAAGAAAACAAATGTCTATTTGTATTTGTAGTCGATAATAAATGACTATTGGGGGAACCAGCCCCAATATTTCATTGTAGGTTCTTTCCTATTTTCCCTAAGTGTTGGCCAGTCTGAGAAATAAAGAGAAAGAGTACAAAGAGAGGAATTTTATAGCTGGGCCTCTGGGGGTGACATCACATATTGGTAGGACTGTGATGATGACCCTGAGCTGCAAAACAAGCAAGTTTTATTAGGGATTTTAAAAAGGGAGGGGGTGTACGAACAGGGAGTAGGTCACAAAGATCACATGCTTCAAAGAGCAATAAAGATCACAAGGCAAAGGCAAAATTAGAATTACTGATGAGTGTCTATGTCCCACTGTGCTGATGAGGGTCTATGTCCCGTTGTGCACGTATTGTCTTGATAAACATCTTAACAGGAAACAGGGTTCGAGAGCAGATAATCGGTCTGACTAGAATTTACTAGGCTGGAATTTCTCAATCCTAGTAAGCCTAAGGATACTGCAGGAGACCAGGGCATATTTTAGTCCTTATCTCAACCACA
This sequence comes from Homo sapiens, assembly GCF_000001405.40. Lineage (NCBI taxonomy): Eukaryota > Metazoa > Chordata > Mammalia > Primates > Hominidae > Homo > Homo sapiens. The sequence goes on along the minus strand of NC_000004.12, from coordinate 161,291,399 downwards.
TAAGACAGACACTTCTAGAGTGGCAGTTTATAGACCTCCCCCCAGGAATGCATTCCTTCCCCAGGGTATTAATTATTAATATTCCTTGCTGGGAAAAGAATTTTGCAATATCTCTCCTACTCACATGTCCATTTATAGGCTCTCTGCAAGAGAAAAATATGGCTGTATTCTGCCCGACCCTGCAGGCAATCAGACCTTATGGTTATCTTCCCTTATTCCCTGAAAATTACTGTTATTCTGTTCTTTTTCAGGGTGCACTGATTTCATATTGTTCAAACACACATGTTTTACCATCAATTTCTACAATAGTCTTCCTGAGGTGACATACATTCTCAGCTTATGAAGATAACGTGATTAAGAGTTTAAAGTAAAGACAGACGTAAGAAATTATAAAAATATTATTAGGGAAGTGATAAATGTCCATGTAATCTTCACAATTTGTGTTCAGAGATTGCAGTAAAGACAGGCATAAGAAATTATAAAAGTATTAATTTTGGGAACTGATAAATGTCCATGAAATCTTCACAATTTATGTTTTTCTGCCGCGGCTTCAGCTGGTCCCTCCGTTCGGGGTCCCTGACTTCCTGCAAAAAATGACTATGTTGCTGGTTTACTTATTTATGATACTATGCTTTTTAATCATGTTTTTTAGTGTACTCCTTCTAATAATAATAATAATAATTATTATTATTTTTTGATACAGAGTCTTGCTCTGTCACCCAGGCTGCAGTGCAGTGATGCCATCTCGGCTCACTGCCACCTCCGCCTCCCAGGTTCAAACAACTCTTGTGCCTCAGCCTCCTTCAACCTGGGACCACAGTTGCATGCCACAATGTCTAGATATTTTTTTTTTTTTTTGTATTTTTAGTAGAGACAAGTTTTCACCATATTGGCTAGGCTGGTCTTGAACTCCTGACCTCATGATCTGCAGGCCTTGGCCTCCCAAAGTGCTGGGATTATAGACATAAGCCACCGCGTCTGTCTGCTTCAGGTGTTTCCATGTATTGGGAGACTGCCTTTTCCTGGTGCCGGCTATGACAAATTATTATTTTAGAGAGACAGTGGTGGTGTTCTGCCCTGCTCATGTCTGTCTTGCTACCTATTCTAGTAGTTTTCTAGTAGATAATATATAGTTGGATCTTGTATTTTAATCCACTCTGACAATCTCTATCTCTAAATTGGTGCACTTAGACCACTGATGCTCAAAATAATTATTGAGCTGGGCACGGTGGCTCATGCATATAATTCCAAAATATTGTGAGGCTGAGGCAGGAGGATTGCTTGAGCCCAGGAGTTTGATACCAACCTGGGCAACGTGGTGAGACCCTCATCTCTACAAAAAGTTAATTTAAAAAATTAGCCAGGTGTGGTGGTGTGCAGTTGTGGTCCTCACTCTCAGGTGGTTGAGGCAGGAAGATCCATTGAGCCCAGGAGGTCAAAGGGCTGAAGTGAGCCATGATTGCACCACTGCACTCCAACTTGGGCAACAGAGCAAGACCCTATCTCAAAAACAAAAAGACACAAAAAAGAAAATGATTGTTGATATACTTGGATTAATATCCACATTATTTAACAGATTACAGTTACTATTTTCTATTTCTTGCCTCCTTGTCCTTTGTTCCTATTTTTTGTTTTCATATTTTTTTCACCTTTTGTAGTTTGGATGGAATATTTTACATAATTTTATTTTCTCTTCTTTCCTTCATTGGTATATTGTTATTTTTTTCTTTCTTTTCTTTTCTCTTTTTTTTTTTTGAGACAGTATCTTGCTGTGTTGCCCAGTCTAGAGTGCAGTGTGATCATAGCTCACTACAGCTTCTAACTCCTGGGTTCAATCAATTCTCCTGCCTCAGCCTTCAGAGCAGTTAGGAAAACAGTGTGCACCACCATACCCAGCTAATAATTTTTCATTTTGTAAGTGGTTGCCCTAGAGGTTGCCATATACATTTATAACTAATCCAAGACACTTTCAAATAACAATATACCACTTCATGGATAATTTGAGTAATATTATAATAGAATAATCTTAGATTTGATGACAAGAAATTCCCTCAATTTTTGTTTGTCTGAGATAGTTTTCATTTCTCCTTCAGTTTTTGAAAGATAATTTCAAAGAATATATAATTCTAGATTGATGGTTTTTTATTTTTTCACTCAATGCTTTAAATATTAAATATTTCACTCCACTCTTACTGCTTGCATGGTTTCTGAGAAGAAGTTGGATGTAATTATTATCTTTAGTTCTCTATAGAAAAGGTGTTTTTATTCTCTGGCTTCCTTTAATTTTTCTTCATCATTAATTTTCTATAGTTTGAAATAATATGTCTTAGTGTAGCTTATACTAGTGTTTATTCTTCTTAGTGTTCTCTGAGCTTCCTGGATTTGTGTTGTGCTGTCTGACATTAATGTGGTGAAATGTATAGTCATTATTGTTTCAAATATTTCTTGTTTTCCTTTTTCTCACGCTTCTTCTGGTGTTCACATTGTGTATATGTTACATCTTTTGTAGTTGTTTCTTAGATATGGTTTTTCTTTCTCAGTCTATTCTTTTTACTTTTCACCTTTGAAGTTTCTGTTGATAAGTTCTCAAACTCAGAGAATCTTTACTCGACTATTCTCAGGCTACTAGTAAGTCCATCAGAGGCATTCTTTATTTCTGTTACAGTGCTTTTGATCTCTAGCATTTCTTTTTGATTTTTCTTTCTTTTTTTTTTTTTTTTTTTTTTTGAGACGGAGTCTCGCTCTGTCGCCCAGGCCGGACTGCGGACTGCAGTGGCGCGATCTCGGCTCACTGCAAGCTCCGCTTCCCGGGTTCACGCCATTCTCCTGCCTCAGCCTCCCGAGTAGCTGGGACTACAGGCGCCCGCCACCGTGCCCGGCTAATTTTTTGTATTTTTAGTAGAGACGGGGTTTCACCTTGTTAGCCAGGATGGTCTCGATCTCCTGACCTCATGATCCACCCGCCTCGGCCTCCCAAAGTGCTGGGATTACAGGCGTGAGCCACCGCGCCCGGCCTCTTTTTGATTTTTCTTAGGATTGCCACTTCTGATCATATTGCTCATCTGTTCTCTCACACTGTCTACCCGTTATAGATAGTCTCAGCATATTAATTATGTTTGTTTTGAATTTCCAGTGTCATAACTTCAACATCTCTATCATGTCTGGTTCTGACGCTTGCTCTGTCTCTTTAATTTTTTTTTTCCTTTTGGCATGTCTTGTGATTTTTTCTTGTTAGGCAGACATGCTGTACCACATAAAAGGAACTAATGCAAATAGGCCTTTAGTAATGTGGTGGTAAGGTGTAGGGTAGGGAAAACATTTTATAGTCCTATGATTAGGTCTCACTGAGGCTTTCAGTGAGTTTATGCCTCTGGACTGAGAACTTCACAAATGTTTCTGTTTTTTTTTGTTTGTTTGTTTTGTTTTTTCTCTCCCTGTAGGTGGGCCAGTATAGCTTGAATGGCTGGGGTTGGGTATTTCTCATATGCAGAAAGTTACAGCTGAGTGGAGTTGGGTATTTTCCCTCTTGAGGTAATTTAGTCTCATAATATCTCAGCAGGTTAGACTCTAGTTAACTTGTTTCCCCTGAGGGCAAGGCTTGTTAGGAATAACACAGTGCTCTTGAGTATTTCTGGTCGGGCGCGGTGGCTCAAGCCTGTAATCCCAGCACTTTAGGAGGCTGAGGTGGGCGGATCACTTGAGGTCAGGAGTTTGAGACCAGCATGGCCAACATAGTGAAACTCTATCTTTGCTAAAAATAAAAAAATAAAAAATAAAAATTAACCGGGTGTGGTGGCAAGCACCGGTAATTCCAGCTACTTGGGAGGTTGAGGCAGGAGAATCACTTGAACCCGGGAGGCAGAGGTTGCAGTGAGCTGAGATCGCGCCACTGCACTCCAGCCTGGGCAATAAAACGAGATTCTGTCTCAAAAAAAAAAAAAAAAAAAAAGATTTCCTTTCCCTCAGCCAGAGGCATGAGGCAATTTAGTCTGTAACTCTCATCTTGGGGATAGCGGTTTGTCCTGGGTCCTCCCATCTCTTATGAATCCAAGAAGAGTTGTTAATTTTTCAGTGTGGTCATCTCTTTACTTGTTATTAGGACAGCTGTTGACTTTCAAGCACCTTACATGTAAAACTGAAAAATGGAAGTCTAATAATGTACATGAAGTTTAAAAAAAAAATTCTTCCATAGTCTTCCATAGACTTCTAAAAAGTCATTTAAAAATATTGTCATTTGGAGGAAATTTTAAAAATTAAAAAAATTTTAAAAATTGTTTCCTATATTTGTTATTAATTCACTCCAAATTATTAATATTTATCATGTATGATGTTAGATAAAAATTAAAAAGGAATTTAAGCACAATAAAAATAATAGGAAAGGAAAAATAAATTACATTCCGATAGCAGTGGATCTATTATTTGGACTAAGTTAATGGTTATTTCATGAGATATCAAAAAATATGTCAGGGAGCTAAGTGGGATTGTAGTTTTGGTCTTTTATGTAAGATGAGGAGATAAAACTTTCTATTTTGAATGTTTTGACTAGTCTGCATTATAATTAGAATTCTTTCAAGAAGAATAAAATAACTCTACAAGTTGCATTTAAAAACAAATTAAAAGAGAGAAAAATCAAGGGACTATTCCAAAATTCAGAAAAAAACCTAAAATTAACAGTGAAATTGAAGAGAAAAAAAAAAGAGAGCAATTTTAGAGGAAGTGAGGAAGTACAGATCCAAAGCGAATGTGATTATAAATTAGTAGTAAGAGACACGATAAAATAATGTATATTTACTAGGATTACAGGTTTGTGTAACCAGCAGAATACAGAGTAAATTAAAGCAAGGGTCAAGGTTATTTTCCTGGAGTATTTTGTGGTGAATATTAAGAGAAAGAAAGGAGAGTGGAGGAGGAATGTCAAAGAGTTAACCACAGATAAATGACATGACTCTCAACTATCTAGGGCAGTTTCTAGGTGGTATCTAGATAGTCTAGTATCTAGGGCAGAATTGTTAACCTTGATGAAAATTTTAAACATCTGTATGCTAATTATCTTGTTTTTCTTGGAAATATTGAGGCAGCAATTTTCAACTCTTTAAAAATAGTTTAGAAAATGTAATAGTAGTTAAGATAAAATCTTTCGTGGTTAACATAGCAAAAATTTAAGCAGGTGCTCCCACCATAGGACTCATTATACCATTTAATATACAGCGCACATAAGGCAGGGTTGTAAAATGCAGCATTATACAATGCATGTGAACCATTTGTTACTGAACGATTAATAATAAATCTGGGAATATTAATTTATAGGAACATAGTTTGGTTGTGTCAATGTCTAGAAGCGAGAATAAAAAAGAATTAATGGTTGGTATGACCACATCTAGGTAGGGTATAAAGTATGAAGGACACAATTGATCAGTGATTAGCTACTGTTGTGAGAGAGAAGGTGAATATAAAAATAAAAGTAAATCTAGACTTAGATAAGTAGAGCCTTCATTTTTTTTGAAAAAGTGCACCACAATAAGTAGGATGCCCTGATCTCAAAAATTTGCAAACATATCTTTTATATAAATGGATAAGTAGGACTAGCAGGAGCTTTGTGGGAGAAGAGGGCAAGTGTGGGTGGTGACCAGTTGGTAAATCAGAATGCTTCAAAAGGAATTGTTTCTCTGTGTGATTGGGCTGATTGTCAGAATGAGCTACTAAGAGCAGTATTCTACCCCATAGTGTTTTGCTGCTTGCACAATCCTGGGAACAAGCCAAAGTGTGAGAACATATGGATCATAGAGAAGGCTGATTACAGTCTGGTCAAGCCTAAGTTCAGTGGGTAAGTATGGGCAGTTGTGAGCACTGGGGTAGCAGGTGATAGAGACTAGTGACAAAGATTGTATTTAAGGAGGGTAAGTGCCTAGTCTGAGGTCTTGAAAGTGAAATAAAATAATGAAGCCCATGGAGGGTATGACTTTGAGTGAGGAGGACAAAAAGCTTCTGTTTCCTAGTACCAATGATCAGAATACAAAATCCTTATTTATAGAATGAGTGGCAGTATCCACATATGAATTTCAATTACTTGCTTACTATTTAATTCTTTAGATTTCTATCATGCTGAATTGATCTCAGAAAGTTTCTCACATAGATCCAGAGAACTTTCAGCCATAATTAAAATAAGTTAATATAAAATAATTATACTAAAAGTTATTACATATATATGCTTACATATTTATAGTTTATATGTATAATATAAATTAACTCAGGAAAATGCAAAGTATGTGATTTCTATAGAACTAAAAAAAATTATAGCACAATTTATAAGCATGAAGAAATTATCCCTATATTCAAGAATGATTGTTAAGGAATTGTTGATTTTAAAGTTAGTAATCTATTGTTTGAAAATTTTAGAATTAAAAAAATAGAAATACATGAACCATATGCATTATTTACTGTATTAGACTTTAGATTTGGTAGTTATTTGAATTTATTTTGAATAATTTTTAAAAAAATTCTCTGTAGATTTGGACACGAATATTCTAGCTTTTGAAATTGTGAAACTGTGAGACTAGAAATATTATTATCTATACACCAAACTAAAATGCTGTGTATAACCTCACTGTGGTATTTACACTCCAAACTTCTCTGTTCAGTCTCTTCAGCTTCATTTACATTCAAAATGTAGTGAAGATGCATGTTATAGTAACCTTCAGTTCAGTAGAAACTCAATTCAAACTGTAGGCTGTTTGTTCTATTAATTCTCATTGACCTTATCTCTTTGCTAATGTGCTATTTTCATCTTACCAATGTCCTGTAATACAAAATTTGTAATTTACACATCTGTGAGAGTTTCACACAGTCATATACTTATTTGATCCGGGAAATCTCAGTTCAAATAAATACAATCAGATAGTCAAACAAGGTAACCAAACAAGCTATACGGGGTCAAGTTCTCTCAAAAAGAAAAAAAAAATCAAAGAAGATCTGACTGACAAAAAGAAAATGGTCATGTTTATTTCAAGAGAAATTATCATTCTAATGGGAATACCTTATCTCAAATGAGTAGAACAGAATTTACCAGAGTGTCACTTTTACTCATTGTATAATGAATCGAAATTACAATATACAAATCTAAACATAACAAGCCTTTATTCTGGAGTGAGAATAAGTGGTCAGATTGAAACACAAAAAGCCTTCCATTTGGAGAAAACCAGCATCTGAGGAGGGGTTTCAGTAATGTCATGTAAGACCTTCCTGAAATGGCAATTTAAAAAAAAATGTGTAACTGTGTATGAATAGTGAAATAAGAAGAGTTTGAGTAGAAGCTGTATTGTGAAATATCATAATTATTTTATTTTGAGCTCAATAGGTGAGAGTGGGTAAATATTGACTATATTTTTTAACAGAATAGGCATGTAAACAGAGCTAGAATTTGGAATTATTTACTGGATCAAAAGGAACAGCTGTTATTATATAGACCTGAAAATAAATTTTTAAAGTGTAGACACATAATAAAGAACTGACCTGAACAAAATTGTTTGGGATATAAATGAAGGAATAATTTAAATGAATATTTACAGAAAAATATACACATACAGGAAAGAGGGCAATGTTTATTTAGCAATACTATATGCTTATTGTTTTACTAATAACTTTATATATCTTATCATATCAAATTTTCATAAAAAATTCATCTTGCTAGATATTATGTCCATTTTAAATATTCGGAAATTGAGATAGAATACATATATGGGTACCAAGTTGACAAGGAGTAGACTCTGATACTTGGTTTAATGTGTCAATTTGGCTAGGCCATAGTGCCCAGAGATTTGGTCAAACACTAACGTGTGTTGCTGTTAAGGTATTTTGTAGATGTAGTTAACATCTACAGTCAGGTGACTTTCAGTAAAAAATATTCTCTATAATATAGGTGAGCCTCATACAATCAGTTGAAAGCACTTAAGAGCAAAATTGGGGATTTTTAAAGAACATATTCTTCCTGTAACATAGCTCTTGCTAGAGAATTTTCAGCCACCTGGTCTGCATGTGTATTTCTGATTCACCCACTTCCAAAATTATATAAGCCAATTCATTGTAATAAATCTTTTCACATACACACGCACACAAACACACACACACACATTTTGTTTTAACTGGTTCTATATCTTTGAATAACCAGATAACCCTGACTTTCTAACCAAGGAAATTAAGAAAGAAAAAATAAATAAAAGATGTTCACATTCAAAAGAAAGTAAACCCTATCTCTGCTTGTGGATAACATGGTGCTATATAGAGAAAATTCTAAGGAATCCACTAAAAGAATTAGAATTACTAAACAAATTCAGCAAGATGGGAGAAAATACAGGATCAATATATGAAAATCGATATTTCTATGCACTTGCAATAAATATTCCAAAAAGGAAATTAAGAAAAAATTTAATTTACAGTAACATCTAATAGAATAAAACACTTAGGTTTAAATTTAACAAAAGTGCAATGCTTATTCTTTGGAAACTAAAAAACTTTGTTAAAAAAAAGGAGTTCTAAATAAATGGAATAAAATTCCATATTTTCGGATCGGAGGACTTAATATGGTAAAGATAGTGATACTAGCAAATTCATCTATAGATTCAATGAAATCTCTAACAGTCTCAGCTGATTTCATCATCATTGCATTATAATATCAATTTTCTGTAAGATAAAATCTGTTTTATAAAATAAAGTCTATTTTTAAAAATATACCTCTTTTAAAATAATATTTTTTATATGGCTACTAGAATTTAAAATCCATATGTAGCTCACATTACATTGGATCAAAAAAACATTAAGAACAAGGTGAGAGACCTAAACATTTGTGGCTTTCTGCATAAGATGTGAACTTGGAAGCTCTGTGATTTAGGTTAAGCCAGGAGATGAGTGATAGTCTATACTGCGAGTAACTGATTAACCGAAAACAATCTGGCAAATAATTAAAAAAAATTTTTTTTTGCTTACATTGCTTAAGGCTTCCAAAGTTAGGAAAGAAAACAAACAAAAGTATTGATAATGGATTCTAAAATATGCAAGAGCCCAAAATTTGGAATTTACATCAGGAATAATTTAATTGCTTAATATAGTATAGTCTCTTTTTTTAAATAATTGTGTGATTAAAATGTATTGTCCAATAACCAACTCTGTACAAATATTAGACATACTAGAAATTAGAATGTTATTTATTTTAGGATTCACTGTTAATATCTTGTTACCTAGTAAATTAAAAAAAAATTCACAGACAAAAAATCCCTTGAGGTTAGGAATTTTCAGGATTCTAATTTAGAATTTCTTTTCTGTCAGTAAATTACTAATCAGTCCTGACTTATAAAGGGCAGAAATATGACAATATATTTTTTCTGTCTGATAATTTTTGGTTCATATGCTGAACAACTTGAGATACTTTGCCCTGTATGGTGTCTTCCCTTTAAAGGATTTAATTTCCTTCTATTTGTGGTCCAAGAGCTTTAGAGGCCAGAAATATTAATCATAACATTTTTATTATGTATATATTTTATTCATCCATTCTGCAAACATGAGTGGGTAACAATTCATGGTGTTTGGTAAATGATTTATCTGCTTAATTTTGACAACAAATGAGACTCATTAATGCTAATAAGTCTGGTAGTATGACCCTTGAATTCTGAATTAAACTTCCTCCCATTTACTGCAGAAGCTTGCTTCTTTTTTCTTTTGTACTGCTGACATTTCTTTCTACTCACTCTTTTCTAAAATATCTTTCATTGTCATCTGTATCATCAAAATTTTTCCTTTAAATTACAACTATATCTTCAAAGTATCATACCTTTTGTCTTATTTTCTCAGCCAAGCTTCCTTAAATATTAGAATAAATTTGTCTCTGGGTAAATTCAAAAAGCAATGAAGTTAATTAAGTAATTTGAAATAACTCTTTGCTCTTATCAGTACCCCAACATGGGCCTAAGTTTTAGACATGTGTAACAATAGTTTGCTATACACATCTACCTCAGGTACCTTGAATGCTACATTCCCAAATTCATCCAGTTAGAAAAATGGGACTAAAAAAAAAAGACAGTTACTTCACTCAACTTTCAGTGCTACCTCTTTAGTAAATGCATCAAAATAAAAAATTATGTAGTGTCTACATTTATGATATGTGTTTGGAAAGATTATACATTGTGAGAAGGAGAAGAAGTACATTAAACTAACTGCTTCTTTGGTATAATCAAGAAATGTAGCAGTATGCTACATTTTCAACCATTTATGCTGCCAATTATTCTCACTCGAAGGTTACATCATATTCTCACCATCACTCAAAGCTCTAATAGCAGTAATTTTCAAAAGAGACAGGGCAAGATCTTGCAATGTATCACATAACACTCACCAGAGAGTACAAAAAGCGCCCCTGAATTTGAGAAAGTTCCACAGGTTATTCTGATATGCAGCTAGTGTGTTTTTGTTGAGGGTCACTTTTCAGAAATGACCGCACAAAATTTGGCCACAAGAAGTTTCAGGAGTTTATATTTGCTCAGGTGACTTGTTTTTATTTTAAAAAGTCTTTTCTGTCAGCCAGGTCAAATTGATATAATTTAAGATGCTTGCCAGTGAAGCAATCTTCTGCTGTCTTTGGTGCAAGACTGTACTTAGGGACAATTGCATGTGCAAGTTTAAAAAAATTAATAACGGGCATAGACCATGCTTAGACCAGGACACAGAGATGTCAGATGGGATCAGGGACCATAGGCCAGTTACAACATAGGGACAAGTTTGCATGCATATTCCTCTCTCACAATGTCTTCTCTTTAGAATCCACCCTGACACTTCCCCCTTCATCAAAACTTACTGTTGGGAAATCATCCTAGCCACAGTGTGGGAAGGATAGAGAGTGGGAAGCAGGGACGCTAATATTTGCTGAGTGCTTATGATGCTCTGGGTACTGTGATACCACTCTTTCACATATATCATTTTGGCATCTCAACCACATCTAAACTGCTTCTCACAAATGGAAAGAATACTGAATTTCATCAGGAGATCACATGCCCTGATTTTTGGTTTAGAAAGCAATTCCAAAGGGAACATCTGTACTTAGACTCATAGGAATATAGGATTTTAGAGTTGAAGTGGGCTATGTAGCTTTTTCAGTTTATCCCACCCATTTCATTGAAGAATTGAGGTCAGACTTCTTAAAATAATAATCAAGGTCATACAGACAATTAGGGATGGAACCCAAACTAGATTTTTGTCTACTTTTCCTACACCTTATATTCCCCAACTATACCTGACTCCTCCTCAAGTAAAACTTATTATTAGATTATCCCGGAGTCCAAGTTACAGATAATTACATTGTATTAACACTATATTTCCTTATATGACATTCATGGCGATTACATTATGGTAAAAAAAAAGTAGATTAAAGAAAAACATGTTTTCTGAATTTTAACATCAAGCTTAAAATAAGTTAAATTTAGATTTAAGGACTCACATTGAGGAGTATCTATTTCTCATTATACATCACAATAGGGCAATTACTTTAACACATTTTTAATTTGTTTTTCTATAATATATTCAAAGTATACAGCTTTTAAAAAGGAGCCTAAATGTTTTATTTTCATTAAAGATAATTTGGTGCTTTAAAATTTTAAAACAAGAGTTTATTATATTGACTTTCAAATAAAACAGTTTTAAACTTGAATATAATAGTAAGAAAACAATTTATTATTTCAGAAGGCATTATCTTTTGAAGCACCTTTTCTCAATTAGGTTTATGAGATCTGGGCTTATCTTGGACTTCCAGAACTATAGAATTTCAGTACTTTAATCAAACATAATTTTTCTAATTTATTGAATTTTATTTATTTGTTCATTTATTCATCCTGCTCCTTGCAGAGCAGGGCTGTCATAGAACATGCACCCATAGTTAGCCAATGTATTGAATTTTTTAAAATAAGAAAGGAGTACCAAGAAAATAGAATTAACAAAGATTATTTTTAATTGTGCAAAATATTTATGTGGTAATTGAACATTCATGTGGAGCTAATAAACATTTTGTCTATTTTTTTAAATAAATGTACTTTGTTTTCAAGTTTTTACTTATTATTCATATGTCAGCAAAATCAATTCTCAGTATGCCAAATATAGCTTTAACTTAAACACAAGTAGCACTCGTTACGATTTACTTCAGTTAATATATCATATGGGGATTTTCCTTGCAAAAGAAAAAACATGTATAAAGAAAGCAAGTATTACACATGAGGACATCTAATACTTCTTTATCCTGTGTTTTTGATCTATGTAAAACTCCTGGAAAAGCTATTTATATTGAAATAACAGGTCAGGAAAATTTGTTGAGAAATCAACAACAATAAAAAGAGTGTGTGTTGCACAACAGCTTGGAAGTCCTTTTAATCAATATTTCTTTTACTGCTAGAATGTGGAATACTCTGATACTATTTATTGATAATTATTTAGCTTCCCTATAAACTTCCAACTCTTCAGAATAAAAAGCTACACATCCAGAAAAACATCTAAATAAGTTTTTAAACACTTGAAAGCTGCTTATCTTGCTCTCAAAGAGTAAGATTTATGAGATCTGCAGAGTGTGACAGAAAAGAAAAACTGAAATGCTTTCATCATGGGTAGCATAGAAAAGCTGAGCTTTCAGACTATTCTGTTAACAGAAGGGGAGAGAGAGGCGCTAAAGTAGACAAGATGGAATGGCAAAAAAGACTGATCACTGTAACCTGACTAAGGAGACCATGTTCAGCAGAAAGGTAGGGCACTTCAGAGCCGCGCTGCATCCAAGAGGTCATGCTTAACTCTGCCTGGGTTTGGAAAGCCCTGGAGAGCTGAAGGGGCCCTTTAAGTTGGTTGAGAAACAATAAAGTGAGAACACAGATGACATGCAATTTTTGGAAGAATACAGGTGTGTCCAGAATTGGTGGGTTTTTGGTCTCACTGACTTCAAGAATGAAGCTGCAGACCCTCGCGGTGAGTGTTAACAGTTCTTAAAGGCGGCGTGTCCGGAGTTTGTTCCTTCTGATGTTTGGATGTGTTCGGAGTTTCTTCCTTCTGGTGGGTTCGTGGTCTCGCTGGCTCAGGAGTGAACCTGCGGACCTTCGCGGTGAGTATTACAGCTCCTAAGGCAGCGCGTCTGGAGTTTCTTCCTCCCGGTGGGTTTGTGGTCTCGTTGGCTTCAGGAGTGAAGCTGCAGACCTTCGCGGTGAGTGTTACAGCTCATAAAGGCAGCGTGGACCCAAAGAGTGAGCAGCAGCAAGATTTATTGCAAAGAGCAAAAGAACAAAGCTACCGCAGTGTGGAAGGGGACCCAGGGGGTTGCCAGTGCTGGCTCCGGAAGCCTGCGTTTATTCTCTTATCTGGCCCCACCCACATCCTGCTGATTGGTCCATTTTACAGAGAGGGGATTGGTCTGTTTTACAGAGAGCTGATTGGTGCATTTACAATCTCTGAACTAGACACAAACGTTCTCCACGGCCCCACTAGATTAGCTAGATACAGAGTGTATACACAAAGGTTCTCCAAGTCCCCACCAGAGTAGCTAGATACAGAGTGTCGATTGGTGCATTCACAAACCCTGAGCTAGACACAGGGCCCTGATTGGTGTGTTTACAAACCTTGAGCTAGATACAGAATGCCGACTGGTGTATTTACAATCCCTTAGCTAGACATGAAGGTTCTCCAAGTCCCCACCAGACTCAGGAGCCCAGCTGGCTTCACCCAGTGGATCCCGCACCGGGCTGCAGGTGGAGCTGCCTGCCAGTCCCGTGCCCTGCGCCCGCACTCCTCAGCCCTTGGGTGGTCGATGGGACTGGGTGCCCTGGAGCAGGGGGCGGCGCTCGTCGGGGAGTCTCGGGCCTCACAGGAGTCCAAGGAGGAGGGGGAGGCTCGGGCATGGCGGGCTGCAGGTCCCAAGCCCTGCCCCGCGAGAAATCGAGTGCAGCGCCGGTGGGCCGGCACTGCTGGGGGACCCAGCACACCCTCTGCAGCCGGTGGCCCGTGTGCTAAGCCGCTCATTGCCCGGGTCCGGCAGGGCGGGCCGGCCGGCCGGCCGCTCCCAGTGCGGGGCCCGCCAAGACCACGCCCACCCGGAACTCCAGCTGGCCCGCAAGCGCCGCGCGCAGCCCAGGTTCCCGCTCGCGCCTCTCCTTCCACACCTCCCTGCAAGCTGAAGGAGCCGGCTCCAGCCTTGGCCAGCTCAGAAAGGGGCTCCCACAGTGCAGCGGTGGGCTGAAGGGCTCCTCAAGCGCGGCCAGAGTGGGCGCCAAGGCCGAGGAGGCGCCGAGAGCGAGCGAGGGCGCACGCTGTCACCTCTCACAGGTAATAGTGGACCAGTCTGCTTAGAATAGGGCCACTGCTGAAGAAACACAATTTTGGGGAAGCGGCTGGCAAAAGGAAGATTGAGGGTTAGAACTTCAACCAGCTTGCCTTTGATTGGTGAAGTGTCAGAATTTGAGCATACAAGTGCTGAGTAGAGAAATCCAAGCTGGTAGAAATCCAGTTACGAAGATGTAGCAACATGATAGTGAGAGGGGTAGTGGTGGAAGAGAGAAGGAAAAGGTGGTAGACCAGGGAGGGCTTTTCTTTTTTCTTTTTTTTTTTCCTTTTTTTTTTGGAGACAGAGTCTTGCTCTGTCCCTTGGGCTGGAGTGCAGTGCAGTTCAGTCGCGAGATCTCAGCACACTGGAACTTCCACTGCCCGGGTGTAAGTGATTCTCCTGCCTCAGCCTCCCAAGTAGCTGAGACTACAGGCCTGTGCCACCAAGCCCGGCTAATTTTTGTACTTTTAGTAGAGATGAGGTTTCACCATGTTGGTCAGGCTGGTCTCAAACTCCTGACCTCGTGATCCGCCCGCCTCAGCCACCCAAAGTGCTGGGATTATAGGCGTGAGCCACCGCGCCTGGCCCATGGAGGGCTTTTCTATGCATCAAATACCAGGGCTTCAGCGAGACTAACTGCATAGCCTATCAGCGGCTATGTATGAGATATCAGTGTGTTGAGTACCTTGCTCAGGATGTGGTCAGATGAAGTCTTTACTTGATAAACATTATTAATTTAAACTGAGGGAAGCCAGAGAGTAAGGCAAGTGGGGACATTGTATGCTGTGTAGAAATAAGCTTATCAACAATATCAAATGAGTTATTAATACTAAACCTAAGTAAAGCACAATAGTAAAACATATAATTGACAAATAATTGATTTATTTTAAATATGTTTTACCAATTTCTTTCCATATTTACAATTGCAGAGTTAAACATATATACACATTTTTTGGGGGGGGTGGTGAGAGGTACTATCACATGACCTTTATATGCCTGCAAGTATAATTGTTGAAATTCACTCATAATTATTGCTTAGGAGTGTTCCAATAGGCTTGCACATATCTTGTCTTGCTTATAAGATAAGGAAGGCACAGGTGATTTGGGGAAATTGAGGAAAAGTAACATTAAGTTTAAGGCAAGCCTTATTGTTTACGTTCTTAGGATACTTTGATGTTTGAAACGTACTACTGTATAGTCACTATCCTACAGTCCAGCGGGACCCTTTTCCTCTCAATGAAGCAAATAATTGTGTTAAAATAATTATAATTTAGTTTCTCCTGTGGTAGTTGATTAGGATTCCAGTTGACATATATGTGACCTAGTAGTGATTCAAAGAGGCTCATGTGTACCTGTCAAAGTTTAATGTACGAAACTAGTGTAAGAATGCCTTTCAGGTATTTCAATCAGGAACAAGCCAATAGAGGAAGTATTTGGTTACAATATTGGTTGAAAGATGGGGAGCCCACATGGCTCAGGTATAGCTATCACCATTGCGTCTTCTATGTTTGGCTCACAACTATGAAACTTGTGGCTAAATACAAAAATATGCAGTCAGCTACAAATATTCATATATGCCAGATCTTACTTGCTAGGCTGTTCTAAGCTTTACTTTCTTTCAAATCTCATGAGTATTTCTTATTTATAAAATTTCAATAGATATTGAACTCTGCCTGCAATGGAGAATGACAATGTAGCATTAGTCTTCCAACTTCTGTGATGAAGGAGGGGAGATAGAACAGTTGGAAATGTTTAAGGAAACTGCTAGTAATTTTCTAACAGTATGCAGCAACACATATAAAATTGTATTCTAAGAGAGACACCCATTATGACCAGTTCATGTTTGAGTCAGCTAAATGTCAGTGAACCAGTTGGTAAGCAATTACCAATAAGTACATCAAGATTATTTTGAAATGGTTATTTCCACTTGGATAAGGGGTTTTGTATTTTAATAACAAATGGATTACTTCAAATTGTACTTCATAATTAAATGCAAATTCTAAAATAATCTGTAATAACACAGTAAGTAAAATATCATGAATTAACTAAAAGGTTAATATAGAGGGATATTTATTACGATTTTTTTCAAATAATAGTCTTCTTCTGTTTAGTGGCTCATTTCTCTTTATCAAGAACTATTCCAATGTTGTAGCAAAAGATAGCTAACTAGATGCCCTATGCTCTACCAGTTGTCTGTTTTGTCATTGTTCAGTCCGTGGAATCTGTATTGTCCTCCCATGCTAGTAATTTTCTTCTCAGACAATGATATTTAAAAGTGTGTCATTCCAGGCTGAGCGCAGTGGCTCCGCCTGTAATCCCAGCACTCTGGGAGGCCAAGGCAGGCGGATCACCTGAGGTTAGGAGTTCAAGACCAGCCTGGCCAACATGGTGAAACCTAGTATCTACTAAAAAAATACAAAAATTAGCTGGGCGTGGTGGCACACCTGTAATCCCAGCTGCTCAGGAGGCTGAGGCTGGAGAATCGCTTGAGCCCGGGAGGTGGAGGTTTCAGTGAGCAGAGATCGTGCCACTGCACTCCAGCCTGGGCGACAGGGCGAGACTCCATCTCAAAAAAAAAAAAAAAAAAAAAAAAAAAAGGTGTCATTGCAGTCCCTCTTGAATCCTCTATGCAATCTCTATGCAATAATTTCTTTAAACCGTAATAGCTACTACTTTTCTTTAGTTTTTCTGTGACTACTCTGTATCTTTCATCTATCTCAGACTTTTTGCATTTGTTCATTCATTCTTTATGTTTTAATGCTAAATACAAGCAGCTTTTCTTTGTCTAGTCAGGAAAACTGCTCTTCTCTAATCATTTGTACTTTGGTTTTGTGTGTGACATTGCCTTTCCTGGAGTCAGTTTTTATGAACAACACTTTCATAGTCACAGTCAATAGCTATACATATATAAACACCAAAATTTTGGTCAAAATGGATTGTCTTTAGTCAAGTTAAAGTGTTGTATATATCCTCTACTCGGTATGTGCTTTTCTGCATGCATTGTTCAAGGTTATACACTCCCTTTGGTTGATTTTCTTCTCTAAAGGTCAGTTTTAGACAACTTGATATTCAAACCTTGGTCATGTTTTGGACTCTGTTGATGTTATTAAGCTGGAACTATGTTTTTCAGAATCCCTTTCCCTGTAGGGTTCTAGGTTAGAGTTGGCTAAAAGCAATGTGTACATAAGATTTGGAAAATGGGAGAGAAGCAGGGATCCTTACTCCCTGAAGGTTGTCACACACCGATGGGTTCCAACTTCTCCTTGCTCTTCTCAGTTCTTCTTTCTAATTGCATCAACCAACATGGCTCCAGGCCCATACCACATGCTTAGCCATGGACCCACAGAGATGACAGCTACACAGAGCAGCCGCTTCTTGTAGATCTCACCATGAGGTTTTCTTTCTCAGTCCCACATTTGTGCCTGGACATGCTTATCTTTTCAGATTGATTGGTTAGCAATTTCTCTGTTTCTCTAATTTCTCTCCCAGCCTTTTGCTGCCCCAGCTACTTCCATAAAGGTAAAAGGTCAAATTTATATAGTGAATCTCTCATCCATAATACTCATAGTGATTCTGTTTCCTTGACTGAATCCTCACTGAAAAATCTGGCTGTAGAAATATTGTATTAAGATCTTAGCATATCTCATTTTCTCCCCAAACCATATGCCTGAATTGTACTATCCTTATCAGTTTAGATACAACTACTAAAAGCATATTTCTAATGATCTCATATTTCCACTGTGCTATAAGCTTTCTTGAAAAATTAGTCTTTAAGTCCAATTGACTTATTTCATCTTTCCTCTCAACATTTTTCGAAAGTCAATTCATTCTAATGCCATAGTCAGGGATAGAAAAGAAATATCTGAGGAGACTGGCCTCCTTGGAAACATTATATTACTTTCTTTGTGATTCCTTTATTTTCTTTCCTTTTCCCCCCATCTAATCTATTTTCTTGAATCCATCTCCCATTACCAGAATTGCAGAATAAGATATAAGAATTCTATGCAAAAGCACCTAGGTAGAACAGAAACTGGCACATAGGAAACCCTCATTGAAAGTTTTTGTTTCCAAATATATTTACCTTAACTTCCCATTGCTGTTGACACAGTTTATTTTTAGTCAACAAAAGCACTTAATTTTTTACAGCCTATTGCTTGAAAAATTTCCACACAGATACATAAAGGAAACAATGAAATATTATTATCTACATGTTCATTGTAACAATGTCTATATTTAACAATATCAATATGCCATGGCTGCATTTGCTAGCTGAAATTAGCAACAAATATTCTAAAATTAGCAACAAATATTCTAAGTACATTTGATCCAGCGATTATGCTCTTTTCTTTTTTCCTTTCTTTTCTTTTTTTTTTTTTTTTTGAGACAAAGTCTTGCTCTGTCTCCTAGAATGGGATGCAATGGCAACAGAGATTATGCTCTTTTCAAAGTGAGTAGAAGCAGTACAAACATAGAGATCTCAAAGTGCAGTAATAAAGTATATCACTGAGCTCATATTGGTACTCAGTAAATATTAAACAGTCAATCAAGGACCTATGTTTTTTTTAATAGGAAAATACCACAAACACCATAAAAATGAAATGTCTATGTCTAATTGTCATTTCCATTCCTTTACTCATACGCTGTAAACCTGCCGTATTTCACATGCAAATCCACTAAAAGGAGGTTAAAAGACAGATGTGGTTACCAACTACTTTTATCACCATCTGAGAAGAATGCTTTGGAAAATTCTTGATCAGAGAGATCAAATAAATAAGTATAAAATTTATATTTTATATGCTACATTTTTTAAAAGAGTGCATTTACACACCTTTCCTCAAGATGTTCAAGGTGAGTAATTTATCTCTTTAGGCCAAAAGTGTTGTGTTTCTCCATAAGTCGCAAGCTGTTCTTACCAAAATGTATGAAATACAGTGGTATTCTTCATGAGGAAATACAGATGATGCCCAACAAGAGTGATAATTGGGTAACTACATGTTTAAAAATCTGTATTTGACATAGGGAAGATCTAACAATGACAGCTTGGGAGCACCATCTTTAGAATCAAAACAAAGCAAAAAACTATCTTTTCTCACTTCTTGGCTCATATTCCTGGAATTCCACATATAAGTTTAATTCCTCTTTCATTACACAGTGATTTTTCTTTATAAGTGCCAAAATCCTGAACCCATGTTGCTTACACAAGTAGAGTATATATTGCGCTACATAAACTGAAACCTCTAGGAGACTTCTGGCTTCAAGGATAGCTAAATTTTAGTCAGAATCTTGGGATCAAGTCTAGATTTCTCTTTTTGTTCATACATTTGACCAAAAAAAAAAAATAGGACTTCACTACAAAATAGCCAAGGAAGAAATAATTATTTTGTGTCTTGACCCAATTTTATTCCTACCCTGGAGAAAATTACTGTGGCGAGGTATACTAGATGGCTCATTCTGGGTCACGTACTTACCACTGGTGCATGAGGGGGAGGAGAAGGATCAGCTCAGATGAATATTATTTCTTATAAATAATATAGACTTAGAATTCATGCTATTAGACAAATTAGAACGTAATCACTTTTAAGATGTTTTATTTTCCATAAAGCCTAAATGTTAAGTATCTCTATAATTATGAGCAATGCAGTATTTAAAATATATAAAGGAGAAATGTTTCAAGGAGGAGATATATAACAAGGAATGGATATTATAGAAAGTAATTCAGATAATGTAATATGAGTTTAGTTTATAATTATACTGCCAAGTGGTTTCTGAGAAATGCGCAGCTCAGAGTTTGAGATTTGGAAATATATATTGCATTTTTCACCTCTGAACCATTTCAAAACAATGAATTTCTCTACTTCTTACATATTGTTGTGAAGACAATCTTAAAAGATTTTTTTAAAATTTACTTAAAATTATTCAGATATCACTTAAACCCATTTGTTTTATCTAGTTTTCTAAGAAATATGGGCCTGTTAACTCTCCAGTGCTAAGCATCACTACTCTTCCTTTAACAACCATCATATTTCATCCAAAGACCGAAAATATTAACCCCTTAGTTGGAGTTAAGGTTTATTATTCAACAGTTCTCTCAAAGCATCATATGAAGGAGAAATTCTTAGTTGTTGTTTTTTTTCCCTCAAAATGGAAAAAAATAAAGAAAACATTTATTGGAATATTTACAAAATTAAATTATCTGGTTCAAATATTATCTGGTTCCAGCTTCACTTTGTGCTGCTAGAATGAAAGAAAGTAACTTCCTGATTTGGCTTGGGAAAAAAATGAGCTTATTATCTGAATGCTCATTAATTTTTCAGCAAGGAGTTAGCGAAAAATCCTACGCTTATCTCTACTCTGTGAACATGCAGGAAAAGGAATTCTTGTTTGATAATCTTTCACAGGGCTTCTGTGAACATGAAGTTAGCTGTGAAGTGATTTACTGTCTACTGACTTCAGATTCTGAATCTTTGTATTTTGTTAATGGAATTGATAAGAAAAGTGGTTCTCCACTGGCTTTTCTTTCCTATTTCCTTCCCACTTCACCTTGGCAGAGATTTATCTGTAGGCAGGAAGAGGAGCCAGGTATACGAACTGCAGTGGTGTTTATCTCCCTCTGAGGTCACTGTAGTGTATGCCCTTTCCTCTATAACAAGAACACAGTAGATTGATCATAGATACATGATAGTGAATGGGTGTTGGTGGTGAAGTTATTGTTTTTTCACAAGCTATATGAAGCCTGTGGAGAAAAATTACAATGATCTCTGATAGATACTAAAAACCAAAGTAGTTTTTTATTTGAAAATATACATAAACTTAGTTAAGTGAATATAATAAATATGTGCTGTTTATTGAAATATGCAAAACTATCTTAATTAACTAAGTCAGTGAAAATAAGGTTTAAAAGAAAGTGTGATCTTAAAATAAATATACTGATAAATCACATTTTGTCTTAAAATATTTATTTTTATTGTGAATGAGTACACTTTTGGATTAGCTAGTAGAATATGAAAAGAAACAAAAAAGGATGAAGCTTCCAGAAATTACCTCAAAATTCTTCTCATTTTGCGACTTCCAGTATTACTTTCTCAATACATTTATTCCTTACCAACCACCAGATCTAAAATATATGGTCTCCTGAATTTTCTAAGTATTTTGCTTCCTTTCTACACTGTTAGTAAATAAATTATACTTTTCTCTACATATAAAATGAATTAGGCCTCTTTTATGCTATCATATTTAAAAATTTATTCCCTTTCCTTTGGAATTCAAGAAAAACTAAGAACAGCTCTCAGGTAACAATAATAATATGTAAATGACTGCCATAAAATTAAGCATCTCTGTTTTTATCTCAGTGTTTTATATTTAAAATACCATTGATAGAAATGTTTAATTGGAAACACAAATATTATTCCTTCTTGGAATATTTAAAAATATTATGGTATAGCGACAGGTTGGAATCACACACATTCATGATTATTGAAGTTAATGTTATTAAATGCCTTGCAAAATATATACTGTTAAATGCTATGTAAAATATAAATATGCAATGTAAACTATATTATATGCATGTACATGAATCTAAAAGATACATGTACTTAGAATAAAGCCTTGGAAGAAAAAAAATGAGAATAGGCTGTACAATTAAAATAACCTTTAATTTTCCTTTTTATAAGTATTTTACTGATATTTTATAGTAAGGATATGTGACTTTTAGAATAAAATATAACAATTTTTAAACATTCTTGCAACAAGTGCATTAAAACAACAACAAAAAAAGAGTTATTTTACTTTTTCCTCTGTTTCCATGTTTTCTTTATTATATACCTTATATCAGTCAATAAAACGCAGCGTGTTGATTTTGAGAGTAAAAAGAAAATAAAAAGTTTAAATCAGCAAAAATGTTGACTCACTTGTCTGAAACAAGTTTCTATATACCAAATTTGGTGAAAATATATTTTTAGTTTTAACATTATTATATGAATATTTCCTGATATTTCCTCACAATAGTGTTTCTTTTACTTTATTTTCTCAAGGCAATGTATGATATCTACATTACATTGATTTTTTAAAGTATTTATTTTAAAAAAGTTTATTGATACATAGTATTTGTAAATATTTATGCAGTCCATGTGATATTGTGTTACATGGGCCTGTTAACTTGATATGTAATGATCAAGTCAGGTGTTTAAGATATTCATCACTATGTACATTTATCATTTCTATGTGTGGAGACCTTTTGAAGTCCTCACTTCGCTATTTTGAAATGTATAATACATTGTTGTTAACTATAGTCAGCCTACTCTACTATTCAACATTAGAATTTCTTCCTTCTACCTAACTGAATGTTTGTACCCATTAACCAACCTCTCTTTATATCACACCCTGATATGGTTTGCTGTGTCCCCACCCAAATCTCATCTTGAATTGTAGCTCCCATAATCCCCATGTGTCATGGGAGGCACCCAGCGGGAGGTAATTGAATCATGGGGCAGGTTTTTCCCATGCATTTCTCATGATAATGAATAAGTCTCACAAGATCTGATGGTTTTCTAAAGGTCAGTTCCCCTGCACATGCTCTCTTGCCTGCCACCTACTAAGATGGGCCTTTGCTCCCCCTTGACTTTCCGCCACGATTGTGAGGCCTCCCCAGCCATGTGGAACTGTGAGTCCATTAAATCTCTTTTTCTTCGTAAGTTACCCTGTCTTGGAAATGTCCTTATAGCAGTGTGAGAATGGATTAGTACAGTAAATTGGTACTAAGAGCTGTGGGGCACTGCTGTAAAGATACCCAAAAATGTGGAAGTGACTTTGGAACTGGGTAACATGAAGAGGCTGGAACAGTTTGAAGGGCTCAGGGAAGACAGGAAAATGTGGGAAAGTTTGGAACTTCCTAGACACTAGGAGTGATCAGAAGACAGGAAGAAGTGAGAAAGTTTAGAACTTCCTAGAGGCTTGTTGGATGAAATGCTGATAGTGACATGAACAATAAAGTCCAGGATGACATGGTCTCAGATGGAAATGAAGAACTTGTTGAAAACTGGAATAAAGGTCACTCTTGCTATGTAAAGAGACTGTCCCTATTTTGCCCCTGCCCTAGAGATCTGTGGAACTTTGAACTTGAGAGAGATGATTTAGGGTATCTGGTGGAAGAAGTTTCTAAGCAATAAGCATTCAAGTGAGAGAAGAACATAAAAGTTTAGAGAATTTGCAGCCTAATAATGTGATAGAAAAGAAAATCCCATTTTCGGCCGGGCACGGTGGCTCAAGCCTGTAATCCAAGCACTTTGGGAGGCCAAGGTGGGCGGATCACCTGAGGTCAGGGGTTCAAGACCAGCCTGGGCAACATGGTGAAACCCTATCTCTACTGAAAATACAAAAATTAGCTGGGAGTGGTGACAAGTGCCTGTAATACCAGCTACTCCGGAGGCTGAGGCAGGACAATCACTTGAACTTGGGAGTTGAGGTTGCAGTGCGCTGACAGTTGTACCATTGCACTGCAGCCTGGGTGACAGAGTAAGACTTTGTCTCAAAAAAAAAAAAAAAAAAAAGAAAAGAAAAGAAAAAGAAAAAAAAAGAAAAAAAGAAAAACCCATATTCTGGGGAGAAATTTACATAAATATCAAGGACTCAAATGTTAATCACCAAGACAATGGAGAAAATGTTCCAGGGCATGTCCAAGATCATAATGGCAGCCCCACCCATTACAGGGCCACAGTCCTAGAAGGGAAAAACTATTTCCTGGGCCGGGTCCAGGGCATCCCTGCTCTATGCAGCCTTGGCACCTGGTGCACTGCATTTCAGCTGCTTCAGCTCCAGTTGTGGCTAAAAAGGGCCAAGGTACATCTCAAGCTTCAAAGGGTGCACGCTCCAAGCCTTGGCAGCTTTCACATGGTGTTGAGCCCGCAGATGCACAGAAGTCAAGAATTGAGGTTTGTGAACCTCTGCCTATATTTCAGAGGACGTATGGAAATGCCTGGATGTCGAGGTAGAAGCTTGCTGCAGGGGCAGTGCCCTCATGAAGAACCTCTGCTAGGGTAGTGCCCAAGGGAAATGTGGGGAAGGAGCCCCCATGCAGAGTCCTTACTGGGGCACTGCCTAGTGGAGCTGTGAGAAGAGGACCTCCGTTCTCCAGACCCCAGATGGTAGATCCACTGATAGCATGCACCATGTGCCTGGAAAAGCCACAGACACTCAACACCAGCCTGTCCAAGCACCTGGAAGGTGAATACTTATATATTCACACACATACTGTGCAAGGAAATATCTTGGGCCCCCAAAGTCACTAAGCTAAAGGGAAAATTCAAGCTTGGAACTGCTTAGGGCAAACCTGCCTCCCATTCTATTCAAACTCATCCCTCTGCTCACTGAGATAAATGCATATCTTATTGCCTCCTTTGGAAAGGCTAATCAGAAACTCAGAAGAATGCAACCATTTATCTCTCACCTATCTGTGATCTGGAAGCCCCCTCCCTGCTTCAAGTCGTCCTGCTTTGCTTTTGCTTCGGGTGGTCCCACCTTTCCGAACTAAACCAATGTTTATTTTACATATGTTGATGGATGCCTCATAACTCCCTAAAAATGTATAAAACCAAGCTGTGCTCTGACCACCTTGGGCACATGTCGTCAGGACCTCCTGAGGTTGTGTCATGGGTGCATGTTCTCACTCTTGGCAAAATAAATTTTTTTCTTTTTTTTTTTTTTTTTTTTATGAGATGGAGTCTGGCTCTGTTGCCCAGGCTGTAGTGCAGTGGCACGATCTCGGCTCACTACAAGCTTCGCCTCCTGGCTTCATGCCATTCTCCTGCCTCAGCCTCCCAAGTAGCTGGGACTACAGGCGCCCACTACCATGCCCGGCTAATTTTTTTGTATTTTTAGTAGAGACGGGGTTTCACCGTGTTAGCCAGGATGGTCTTGATCTCCTGATCTCGTGATCCACCCGACTTGGCCTCCCAAAGTGCTAGGATTACAGGCATGAGCCACCGCACCTGGCCTTGGCAAAATAAACTTTCTAAATTAACTGAGACCTGTATCAAATTTTCAGGGTTCACAATACAAATATGCACAGGATATATCATGGACTTAGAATTAATGTGAATTACTACCAGCCACTAAACTTTGGTTACCAACTCATTTCAAATTCTATGTGAATTCTTCATAGGCACTATGATTAAAATGAGAAAAGAAGGTATACAAAAGCATAATTACAAATTGTAATGACTTTTAGAATTTGAGTAGAACAAATTTTAGTCAGTGACCCTATGCACAAATGTCAACTCAAGCAAGGATTATGTCTACCATGAAAGCAATTAGACATCAAGAAATAGATGGATTTTCCATTAGGAAAAGAGTGTTAAGTGATGAAAAGGCATGTGAAATGCACTGGGAATGGACAGGTAGGCATATGACACTCAGATGTTTAATTTACAAAGTGCTATGATTTATAGTTGGTTTTACAGGATGAAAATATTGATGAAGTTTTTAAATTATCTGAACTGATTATTGGGGACATTTTAGTTTAAATCTTATTTTACAAAATATTTAATAATAGATAGTAAAGATTAGGTAAATTTTCCAAAGCCATGTTGCTAGCTGATGCCATAAGTAGGACTAGAAACTTGTTTTCAGGACTGCTTGTGCAGTTTTCCATATACTATATTCAATTGAATTTGAATAAGGTGAGGTAAGTTGCAGCCTAGAAAATAATCCTTCATAGTAAGTGAGTTGCTGAATCTGTATTAATAATGATAGATTTCTGAAGCTTAATAAGGTATCTAATTACTTAATTATGAGAATTATATTTTTGTACTGGTGATGTAGTAAAATGTAGTGGAAAGTTAATGGGTTTGAAACCTAGCAAACTATAATAGGAAACTTGAATATACTACTGAATATCAATGTGACCTTGAGTGAGTTACTAAGAGTCCCTGAACTTCAGTTTAGTCTGAAAATGGGCAGGGTAATTCCTATCAAATAAGACAGTTATGCATATTAAATGGCACACAAAAGAGAGATGTTGAATACATCTTGCCAGGCATTCCATAAATGTCTGTTTTCCTCCCACTTTTCTTACCTTCCTATATATTCAGTGCTTTATTCATGCATTTGTTTATTCATATATGTCAAACATTTCAATAGATTTTATGGCCATGAACACATATAAAATGTAGCTTCTGTCTTCCTGGAAACTATATTCTGTGTTTTGATTCTTATTATATGTTTTCTCCAATGATTGAATCAAACTATATAGAGATTCTCTGGGTTTTCTTTTTTTTCCACTGCTGATAATAATTACAAACATGACCTTTGCTGTAAGTTCAGACAATTACAGAATAGGCAGTAGAAATAAATTAATACAACTGAATTTAAAAAATTGGCCAGTTAGGTATAATTTGACCTTCTTAAGAATATACATTTTAATGTTTTTTTCTTGTAAAAGTAGATATTTAAAATACTAAATATTGTTTTATATAATTGAATTATATAAATAGAAAAATGAATTGAAGAAGCCTGTAATAACATTCATAAATAATTGAAAATACTTTAGAAATAACCTGAATTCAAAGAAATGTTATAATCAGTGATATTTACTTTTTTTTGAAACCCAGTGACTTAAGTATAAATATTTACAAATATAATTCAACTCAGTACCTACAGTCTCTCACTGCCTTCTTATTTTTCTCTTAATTTGTTTCTCCGTAATTCAGTTTTCCTTATTTGTATCTGCTCTATTCTGTCTGAACCAAAAGACCTCTTTTTTGCTATAACTTATTTCAAGAGCCTTTATGCTTGTTTATGTTTCCTTTTATCTCTCTGTTTCTCTCAGTTTCCTGCTCTCTTTTTATCTTACACCACATACAACTGAATTTTTGTTCCTGATCAACTTTCTTGCTGTTCTGGTATTCTCCCTGTTCTTTCCTTTTCTTATCTCTGCATTATCTAACAAGTAATGATAATAGTGACAAATAATGGCTACCCCATATTGAGCATTTACTAGGTGGAACAGAACTGAGAACAAATATAAAATAATATAAGTTGTGTATTATTAGTTTCCCCATTTCAGAGTTCTAAAACCAAAGCTTACAGAGGAAAGTCAATCGCTTAATTTTAGAGAGAGAGTAACCAAGGAAGTAATGATCTCACAGTGTCATTTTGTAACATTCAATACTACTTCTGAATTTTATACTGGGTTAATAACAAATTTCATTTGTTAATTATTTCTTCTACCCTCATTTATATAAAAGTCAGTATCTAAGGTTTATTATGCTTTGCCTTAAAAATAGTTTTGAAATAACATTTAAAATAGATGTTCTTAATAGTCATTTACACTGCAAAAACATAATTTTCATTGTATTCCATTGGTAACAAGAAATAAATATCAAAGAAGGAGAGAAAGAGTGGAGATGAAAAATGAAATCGGAGAAGTGATGGCATCTGAGAAGTGAGGAAACGTACTAAAAATAGGTTTCCCTGAAAAAACAAGTGTGTATGTCAGTATTTCAGCAATGAAATGAAGTATTTGGCTAGTGGATAAGGCAGACGAGCAGTATCTGAAATCTTCAGATTAAGCCAAGGCAGATGCAAAGGAGATAATGTGGTCCTGGCTTAGTAGTTACTTTTGACTTCTAAAAGAAACAAATGCAAAATCCATGTAGAGGACAGAGTCTGAAATTTAGACCCTGAATTTCCACTTATAAGATCAGCCTATTAAGAGTTCATAACCAAAAGGTATCAAAGAGTGAAGGATGGATCATTAGTGAGAATTAGTAGAACACAAATAGTATAATTAGTCCTTCAAAGATGTCAGATATCAGAATTATCAGAGAGCATAAAATTAGCATTTAGAATGAATGTTTTTAAAGAATAATGTAAAAGAAGACATATTATTGTAAAATGAAATTATTAAAAACAAACAGTGAGAAAGAATAGAAGGCACAAGAAAGATTTGGCAAAAAGCCAGATAGATACTATTTTAAAATTTGGAAAATGAATTGAATGAGTTAAAGAACAGATTTCAGAGAGCTGAGGAGGGGTTTAGGGAAATGAAAAGAAAATGTGAAGAAGTTATATAGAAGGTACTCCAGGAACACCAGAAAATTGAAAATATGAAAAAATGGTAAGGAGTATTTAGAAAGCCTCACATTCTCTACTCTGAGTTCCAGAAGGAGAAAACAGGAAGATGACAAGATAAAGAATTAATGATTGAGGAATTTCCAGACTCAATGAAAAGCATTAATAACTAATACGGAAATCACAATTTGTACCAAGTAGGATGAATGAAAATAAATTTGTATGTAGTAAAACTGTGAAATGCCAAAAACAAATATAGAATTATGAAAGCGCTTAGAAAAAAGACAGGTAATCTACAATGGGATAACAGATTACAGATTCCTGGATGAAGATTTGTGAAGTGTGACAAAAGAAGACAAAAGATAATTTTTAGTCAAAGGGAAATGAGAATACTAGAATTTTCTATAGAGCAAGCTATCTTTCAATTACATGAGAAAAATACACATAAAAAGGGGAAAATAAAACTATAAGCAATTACCAGTAATAGATCTATGTTAAAGGGAAGTTTTCTTAGTAATAAAACATACTATAAAGGAGGCTAATATACTGGAAGGAAGGGTAAACAGAGAAATTGGTTAACATGTAGGTAAATTTAAACAAACAAGCAGAATACTAGTAATAACAATTACAATATTAAATTATGGTATTAAAGACTAAATCAAAATACTGAGTGTGGTAGCATTCAGGTCGGGTGATGGATACAGAAACTTTTACTATTCTGAAGGGCATTAAGTTATTGTTATGCCTTAGAGACTATTCAGTTCTAAATTATTGGGTAATAATCAAAATTATG
Organism: Homo sapiens; assembly: GCF_000001405.40. Classification (NCBI taxonomy): domain Eukaryota; kingdom Metazoa; phylum Chordata; class Mammalia; order Primates; family Hominidae; genus Homo; species Homo sapiens. Next base: position 161,262,216 of record NC_000004.12, on the reverse strand, counting down.
GAAATAGTATATTGTTCCTATATCATAGTTAGAACAAAAGATTTTAAAAAGCACACACTCAATTCACAATAAGACTAGAGGTAGAAAGGAAGGGTGGAATTGTGGGTGAGAGAAAGAGAGAATAGAGCATGTGGAAAATAGCAAATAATAGTCCAATAGATATCAAATAATATTCTAAGACATACTTCCAATAGAAATATATATATAAAAACTCCAGTCAACTAGATACCATTGTAACGTGCATATCTTAAACACAAGACCATGAAAATGTATAAAATTGAAGTGATAAAAAAAAAGAAACCATGAAAATGCCAGCTACATAAAAGTGGGGTATCTATGTGAATATTTGGCAATATAAACTAAAACCAAAAAGCATTTTTCTCAATGTAGAAAATCTTTATATAATGATAAAAGTTCAATCAGCTAGAATAAAATCAATGGCAAAATTATTTTCTCATTTCTAGTAAAGTAGCTTTGAATCATTAATTTCCCCCATCCCAAGAATTATTGATACGGGAAATATTGCCATGATCCATGCACATGAATGAGAAAAATATACACTGTATTTTCACTGACTTTCTTCAGTTACGAATATGGGCAACAAACAGCATTATTGGCAGCGCCTGTGACTTTATCAACTGGAAAATCAGATATTAATATCATAATAAAGTTGTCAAAGATATCGCTACTTCAAAATGAAGCAGAAACTAGATTGTATTACTTAATGTATTACAAATGAAGCATATACCTTATATATAAAAGAAAATTTTTAAATATACATTTTAATAATGCCCTTATTTCAGCCTCATGCATTTTATTTTATGAATCTAAGAATATTATTCTGAAGTAGTCCATGGGATTATCCAGACTCTAAAATTTGAAAGACAGATCTTGACCTAAAACAAAAACAACAAACTAAGAACCTGGCCTTATTACTATTTTAGACAGTGAATTTGAGCAGAATCAGCAAAACTGATTATAAACCACCAGAAAGAAAGGAAGAAAACATATCAGATAAAAGGAATCTGATGGAAAAATTACCAAAAAAATGAAAGAGGTAGGTAAATATTATCAGTTTAACAATAAATATATAAAACACCAGTGGTTTTTAACATGTAATATTTGGAGTCCTGATATAACGTGGCAAAGCCTCAGAGACTAACAGGGCTCTAATGACCTCTATCCTGCTCACCCACTTCATCAGCTTTGTCTGTTCTGAATTATCTACTATGATGATGCTTATAATTCTATTTGAAAAAACATAATAAAGTTCTGCTGCCAAAAATAACTTTAAACTAATGTTGGAGTTAACAAATATCTCAAGAAAGCCAAATAGTTGAGAGAGAGAGAATTGGATGCTTTCTTACACTTTTGCTGACATTTGCCTAGTTTTTCAAATTTAGACTTGTATATTTGGCAGCTAAGAACTGTAGATATTGCCATCTATTTTACATGTTTTCGTTATTGTTAGAATATGCTGAATAAAACAACGTCAACAACAACAACAAAAAACTATAGGTGTATAGGTTGTATGTACGGGAGATCCTCTACCCATTCACACATAGGCACCGTTCCACGCATTGGGAATATAGCAGTGATCCACATGGACAATTACTCCTGGTTAAAAGGAGCTTACATTCTGCTGGGGGAAAATACAGCATAAGAAAATAAATGAGTATCATACGTTTATGTGCTATGGAGAAGAACAAAAGGAGAGAAGTGAAGTGGGGTTGCCATTTTTAACAAGTGGACAAAGAAGACCATATTGAAAAACAGATATTGAATAACCCTGAGAAAGTTGACAGGAATTGGCATTTGGATTTCTATGTGGGGAGTGGGAGATAATTAATTACAGAAAACAAAAGGAGGAATACCCTAAAGAGGGAATGCGGCTTCATTTTTAAGGAGGCCAATGGAGCGAGAGACCACCAAGCAAGGCAAAGAGGAGTAGAAGATGATGTCAGATATAAGTGAATTAAGGGTCAGGTCATGTAGAATTTTTTAGGTGCTTGTAAGAACTTTGAAGTTTTTTGGGATGAGAGGAAAAGCCTTTGGAGAGTTCTGAACAAAAGCCTTAACTAATCTGATATGTTTCATGGGTCACTGTTAACTTTTATGTTGAGAATGAAAGCTTAGGCATTGTTAACCAAAATAAAATATTTTCTTAATGACATTGACATTCAAATAACAAATTTTTTAAATACTAAGTTTTAAATAAATAACTTAGTAGAATTAAATGATTTTATTAAAATGCTATTTTAAGATGGTATTTTTGGTTTTAAAGGACCCTTAACATCATTCATAACACCAAAATCTTCCAAATCACTTATTCTCTGTTCATTAGTATTAACCATGTAACTTACCTCTAGCATTATTTATAAACTTTCTTCTGATTGTGGGAGGTTTGAATCTTGTATCGCAAAGTCAGTTGTGCAAAATGTCTGACATTTATTTCATTTCCTTTTAGTCAACATAATCTCCCTTTTAGTTCTCATCCCAACAAAGATGTGAAACATTTAACTATATTCATTTTATACGATTTTTTCTGTCTTCCAAATGGACACATTTAGTCTCTCGAGCATATATCAATCTCTGTTCCAGGTGAGAAATCTCTCTCTCTCTCTCTTATCTCTCTCTCCCTCCTCCTCCCCTCATTCACTATTTTTTCTTTTGCACATTCATACTACTGACTGCAGAAAGAATAAATTTTTGCTTTAGACATTAAAGCCATTCACAAAGCAAAGGGAAGACATGTGATAATAAATTATAATTTAAACATAAATTAATCTGAAATTTTTATATATTAATTCACCATTTAATTATTTGAATATATTTATTTAACTACTTATTTTATTGATCATATATGGGAATAATTTTATCCTTGATTTTTGACACATTATTAATTTAAGAGATGATGACTGTTCATTCATTGAGTTTAGTTGAACAAAGTAATAAAATCCAACATTTTGTTGTATTCAGTGGTTCCCAATCAATGTGGCTTAAACAAAGGGGAGATATTACAACACTTTTTAATATCCACATGTACATCAAAGGATGTCTCTGGGCTTAACCGATACTCTTACATCTATAATTTAATATACACTATTATTTTTAATGTGCTTACTGTTCTATGTATTAATAAAAGAAAGTATTGATACTGTGATTGTTAAAATTCACTTAAAATCATTTTTTGGAAAGCTACTACTCTCAGGTGTGACATTTCAATGTTCTTTGGTGCTACAGGGTGGGTTTTATAGTTTCGCCCTGGTTTAATTATACTAGCTCTTCCTACCTTAGCTTGAGTTCTTAGGATACAAAACCTCTAGGCATGGTTTGCATTTGACACTGATGCAAATTGCTTCTAGGCTCTCCTTCTAGCAACTCTACATAGCTTACTTCTGTTAGAAGCTATTAGTCTAATTAAGGAAACAGACTTAATTTTCCTTTCAACTTCTGAATCAATGGAAGATCCAGGTGTTATTATTACTAAATGTCTTTTCCTATTACTGAATAAGAAAGAAAAAAAAAGGAATAGACTCATAACTGATATCTTTAGATGTAAGTATATTATATACAAATGACCAAATTTTATCATTTGGAAGAAGGTAATATTAACTTCTTCCTTGTTAAAGGGAAATAAAATATCCTAGCATTTATTTCTTACTTGTTAAGATTTTTTAATAATGATAGATGTGGTTTATAAATCTGTCATACCTATAGAAATCTGTCTTTGACACCAACTGATTTGAAGGAATCTGTAGCTATCAACATAGATCATTATTTTTTGAGAAACATTTAAAACTAGAAACTTTTCAGTGATTTTATAATACATTGTTTTCATTAGAGACAAATACATTTACTATGTAGATGAATGGTTCTGTGATGTTCTGAATACCTTACCTTCTTTGCTATAGAAAGAAGGCTACTGTGTAAAATCAAGGTAACGAAATAGGAAATTGAACTTCTGTTCTGTTCCTGGAGTCCAAGTTTGAACACTGAAAAAATGTTACAAGACATTTATAGAGATATGACAATATTTTAATATTAAAAAGTGGTAGATCTGAAGTTGACTTATTGGACAGGGTAAGGAATAGGTGTAAAATCTTCCAGAAGATAACTCCATCTGGATTTTTATTATTATTATTGAATGAGGATTTCATTGAATCTTAGATCAATTTGGGGCATTTGCCATAATAATATGACAGTTTTCTGATTCATGAAAATATAATATCTTTTCATTATTTTGATATTTTTAGAACCACATTAAAATTTTAAATTTAAAAAATATAATTAATATTTGGTAGTTTTCATTGTGCAAAATTTTCGCTTCCTTTGATAAGCATATTTCAAAGAAGTGTAGTGCTTTTGATGCTAATAATACAGAAGTTATTAAGAAATAATTTTAGGAAGCTAGACAGGGTAAAAGTTCTTGGTGGAAACTAACAGAAAGGTGGCTTAAAGAGCCAGACCGGCAAGCTTTGATATGCAAAAGCCGGAAAATAGAAACTGGGTCTACCCAACATGGTGATTCTCTCTGTTTTCTCCTTGTCACCCAGTGTGCCAAGTGTCGTGGCTGCCCCCACATAATACCATGTGTTCAAAACATCATGGTGACCCACATTTGCATATTAAAGGGCTAAGGTGGGAAGGCCAGGTTTTTTGTGGGCTATGTGAATGACACCCCTGGTCAAACCAATCCCCCATGCAAACCAGACGCCATCTCCTCCAGCCTCCCAATATAATGGACTGCCTTTCTGCTGCACACAGTGTTCCTCTTTGTTCTGAGCCCTCTCCCTTTGTACAGGGGAGCTGTTTACTTCTATCTTTCTTCTTTCTTGCCTATTAAATTTTTTGCTCCTTGAAACCACTCCACATATGTCTGTGTAGTTAATCCTATGGGCGCAAGACCAAGGACCCTGGTGTTCTCCAGTCATCGGAGCTGTATCATTTTGGTGTGTTGACTGGGAAATCATTCACTGAAAGGCTAGGTATGCAGCAAACCTCAACTTTGAATATGCCCTTTAATCTAAAGGCTCTCATCCAGCTACCCTGTCACCAAACTTTCTTTCTCTCTCTATCTGCGGCCTCTTACTCTCTCTCTGTGTATAGAATGTGCGGGAATGCTTACAGCCTAGGGAAATAATCCTGTTAGGCAAGATCAGGAAGTGGTGTAGTGCCTGGGAAACAAACTCAGGAAAATGCCATTGCAATCTTCTAGGAACAGAGTTCTCCCCATTCCCCCCAAGGTAAGGTTATTCACTACTGATTCTCTGGCGAGCACGTGGTATTTCTCATCCAACTGCCCCACCTAGTGGAAATAGAAATCCACTTCATGAGACGCAGTGCTGGCTCTCTGAGGTACACTGCAGCTTTCCAACTTTTCCTTTTTGAGCTATTCTACTGGAAAGTAGGATCTATGCTACTTCTGTGAATGGGAAGGCTTTACATATGTCTTACATAGCCAGAATTTAGTCTCAATATTGTCCCATCAGCAGGAAAATGGCCATTCGGTTCCTATGTTCTTTTAATGCACTTAAATCTGTCTCCAGTTAAAACAGTACTTAATTAATAAGGGGATTTTAAGTTCGGAAGTTATCCAAAAGCATTTGTTTAAAGGATAAATGCTTTAGCATGGGCCATAACAGCAGGCAATCTAGCACATTGTCTCTGTTAAAGGAGTCTTGCCCAAAGGCGACACAGTCTCTCTGGAGATCCATTTTTTGGGGAGCCAGGCAAATCCACAGGTTTAGGAAGTCAAAGGGGAATCACACAAGGCAGATAAGCTAAGGTTGTGTGGGTAAGCGTGGTTAGCCCCATCACCTAGTTCATCCAGTTCCATGGCTTGCAGGACCACGCCTTCAACCATGGACAGCACATTTAACATGGTGTCGGGATCCAGAAACCAGGGAGGGGAAGCAGTCAGAGAATTCTCCCTGTCTTCTTCTCTGCTCTGGGTTACACGGAAAGAAAGGAGACTAAGAGGACACTTTTATTCTCACTTCTTTTTCTAGATGAGTAACAGATTATCTTCAGCTTGCAACCCTCTGAAGTGCAGTCTAAAACACTGGAACTTCCTTAACTTCAGGAATTTGAAGAGGAAAGTGACTAATTTGCTCTTGCAGAAGGGCATGGCATTTTTACTAAACCTTTGCAGGTGTTGTAAGATCAATCCAGCTCTTTTAGCAATCGTTTTGGGTAGGCCCAGAGGGAATGGTTCCCCATAATTAAAAAAGCAACTTCCAGGGGAATCATCTAAGAATTCCCTCTTATTTGGGGCCCCCTCAAGTTCCATTCTCATAACAGAACCTTAGGCAAATAAAAGGAAACTTAGGCCAATTTCCTAAAGACCATAATAGGTATACAGAAGTTTTCCAAAATTGATCTCAGGTGTTTAACCTCACATAAAGGGATGTTACGTTGCTTCTAAACCAGACCCTAATGACAGCTAAAAAGCAGGCAGCTCTGCAAGCAGCAAAGAATTTTGGAGATATGCAATATATCTCCTATAATACACTAAAAGAGAAAAAAACAGATAGGAAAAGCAAAAAAAAAAAAAAAAAAAAAAAGACAGAAAAAAGCAGAAACACCATTCCCAATAGGGAGAGAAGCAGTTCTAGTAAACAACCCTGATTGAAACCCCAATAGCCCAGAAAATAAAAGGAAAAGGAAGCACTTTTTATTATCCATTTTAAAGGGCCTATGGAAGGCCAAACCTCTCAATTATTCTAAACTGTGTATAATAGGCCAAGAGCCAAATAAGAATCCTGTAGCCTTTATGGAAAGGCTAAGAAAGGCACTAATGGAGCACACATCCTTATCCCCTGATTCAGTCAAGGAGCAGCTCATCCTGAAGGACAAGTTTATTACACAGGCAGCTCCCAATATTAGAAGGAAGCTACAGAAGCAAGCTACAGGACCAGATAGCACCTTAAGGGACCTCCTGAAGGTGGCTACTTTGGTCTTTATAATATGGACCAGGAGGAGGCCCAAAGGAAAGGCAGAGCATTCAGGATAGGAACAAAGCCTCTGGTAGCAGCTTTGCAGGCTTGCAAAGTCCAGGATCCCCAAGGTGCATTTGCTAGTTGCTATCAGTGTGGCAGACCAGGGCATTTTAAAAAGGAATGCCCAGGCAGCAAGACAAAGCCACCTCAAACCTGCCCAGCCTGTGGTGGAGACCTCTGGAAACTGAACTGCCCCCAGAGACAGAGATCACTGGGTTCAGAACCAGTCTCTCAGGTGGTTCAGCAGGACTCATGGGTCCCAGGGCTCAAGCCCCAGTTCCAGTGGCTCAAACTGCCATTATAGCACAGAAGCCCCAGGTGATTCTGGAAATTAAAGGAAGGAAAGTAAACCTCCTTCTAAACACTAAAGCTGGTCTCTCTCTTTTCTCCTCTCTAATCCAGGCCTCCCCTCTTCCCATAGCATGACTGTAAGGGTCATCTCAGGAAAAACTCTAATCCAATATTTTTCTCAACGTTAGTTGCAATTATTTACACATGTTTCCAGGCCATAGTCACGATAGCACTACTAGTCAGAAAAGCCTCCAAATTAGCCCTAGGACATAATTTAACTGTTTACACTCCACATAAGGTGGCAGGATCACTGTCCTCTAGGGGGAACTCTTAGCTAACAAACAGTTAGTAAAGCAAGCATTCATAAGGTGGGATAAGCAGTAGTCGCTCTAAATAACATCTCTCCCCAGCCAGAAGTACTCAATTAGCTGGGCTAATTGCTCTTTAAAAAAGCACTTAAATTAAGCAAGGGAAAGGTAGCTAACAGTTACACTAACTCCAAGTATGCTTTCCTAATTTTCTGTGCTCATGCTGCCATTTAAAGGGAAAGGCATTTTCTTATCACCCATAAATTCCTATAAAATATCACCAGGAAATTAACCGTTTATTATCCTCAGTTTTTCTTCCATGAGAAATATCAGGGATGTGTTGTAAGGAACATCAAAAGGAAACAAATAAGGTAGCTGAAGGAAATAGATTAGCTAATCAGGCAGATAAGTCAGAGGCAAAAAGCCTCAAAGCGTTAGTACAGTTCAAGCCCCTTCTAATCTAGGAAGGCTCCGTAAGAAAAATTAAACCTCAGTATCCCTTACAAAAATAAAATAGGCCACTTGTCAAAGGCATTCTTTTAAGCCCTTAGGATGGCTACAGTCAGGATGACAAACACTATTTGCCAGCCTCCAGCCAATGGAAAGTCCTTAAAATCCTTCACCTAGCTTTTCACTTGGGAAAGGATAAAACTTCAATGTGCTCAGAGATTGTTTTCAGGCAGGAAGCCTCTAAATTGGTTAAGCATGTAAACTTTCTAGCTCACTTCCAACAGAAACCACCTGTATTTAACCCAGGAAATTTGGTATTAGTGTAAACTCTCATCTCTGTCTCCTCCCCTAACCCAACCTGGGAAGAGCCTTACACTGTTTTTCTTTCAACCCCCTCAGTAAAAATTACAGGAATCGACTCCTGGATACATCACCCTCAAGTCAAGCCCGAAGAGCTTGGGAGCAACCTCTGACAGCCCAGAGGAACGTCTTGAATATCAGTGTAAAAAAATAGAAGATCTTAAGCTGAAAATCATAAAAAATAAGTAACTAAGGGCTACCCATCTTACTCAGTCCCACTCCTACCTCACCAAATATTTTATTGTTTCTACCCTTTCCTCTCAAATTCACCACCAAATATTACAACTTCTTTTTAACACATATTTATAGGAGATTTTCAAATATACATAGGATCACATTTGTAACTTTTTAAATCCCCAAAGGAAAATGTTATATATTGGCAAGTAAAGTTTTAGAGAAAAATTATTTACTACGCCACTCTTGTGGGAATGATTATAGTCACGCTATTATTTGCAATAGAACTATACACTGTGGCACCTACAATGTGAAATTCTCGTTATAAAATTCTAATTGCTGTAATATTTTGCCTGATTATTATCCTTATAACAGGATTAATAATTGCAGAAAAAATTAATCCAGATTGTTTTGCTTATAGCAGAAGTAATAGTTACTGATAAGAAATAAGCATAAAAGTTTTACCATCATTAAGTTTAATAAGATTTTTTACTGAAGTTTGGCAGTATAATGCACTCTAAGCTATGAAAAAAATGTTGTAAAGAAAGAAATTTTATGTAAGGAAAAATTTTGTATGGTAAATACTTGTCCTAAAAAGAAATGACTGGTTGTTTAAAGAATGAGTATTTAAAACAAGTAAAAACGTTTAAGTATGTTGTAACAGAGTCTATACAAGTCATAAAACAATTCAATAATTAAAGAAAAGGAATTGTCAAAATTAATGCTAAAGTTATTTTAGCCACCCAATAACGTATCTCTCCCAATCATATTACAAGTTATAAAAATGGCCTAAGCCTAAGGTTATTCTCTAGTGGCAAGCCAAGGGGAAATGTATGCGTTTCTCAAGAAAAATGTTACTTTCATATTAACGTTTCTGGTAATGTACAGCAGCATCTAGTGGAGGCAAACCAGTATTGCAATCCACTGGTATAACTAACAGGTGTCAACAGGTATAACTAACTGGTATAACTAACAGTTAGACTATAACTGTCAGTTATAGTCTAAAGGACCCCTATTAATGGTGGTAATCTTAATGCTCGTATTCAAACCCTGTATTTTAAACCTTCTTGTCGAATTTATCACTTTTCACCTAGAAGTAGCCAAACTCCAAACGGTGCTGTGAGCAGAGCCACACATGGACACAGCATTATTCTGAGAACCCTTAGATAAACCTCAGAAGGCCAAACTGCTGAACCCCCTACACAACACCCCTTTTCAGCAGGAAGTAGCCAGAAAGAATCGTCATCCAACACCCCCTAACAATAATTAGACCTACTTCTCTTTGAGGGGGGAATAATACAGGAGTTATTAAGAAATTATTTTAGGCAGCTAGATGGGGTAAACGTTCTCGGTGGAAACTAAAAAAAAGTTGGCTTAAAGAGCTAGACCGGCAAACTTTGATACGCAAATGCCGGAAAATAGAAACTGGGTCTACCCAACATGGTGATTCCCACCATCTTCTCCTTGTCACCTGGTGTACCAAGTGTCATGGCTGCCCCCACGTAACGCCATGTGTTCAAAACATCATGTTGACCTGTATTTGCATATTAAAGGCTAGGGTGGGAGGGCAAGGTTTTTTCGGCTACGTGAACGACACATCCGGTCAAACCAATCCCCTGAGCCCTATGCAAACCAGACACTGCCTTCTCCAGCTTCCGGATATAATGGACTGCCTTTCCGCTGCACACAGGGTTCCTCTTTGTTCTGAGCCCCTGTCCCTCTGTCTCTGTTTTCTTCTGTCTTTCTTCTTTCTTGCCTGTTAAACTTTTTACTTCTTAACGACCACTCCACATGTGTCTGTGTCATTACTCCTAATGGCACAAAACTAAGGACTCTGGTGTTCCTGCAGTCATGGAAGCTGCATCACTATTGTGAGTGGAATGACTTTTTTTTTTTCGATTGTTAACTGTTGGTGTATGGATATAATATCTATTAGGCATATATTGTTTACAGTTTAATTCCAGTCTTTTATTATCTTTTCTGTCTTCTGCCTATTTGTTCTACCCCTTATTAAAAGGTGGATATTTGAGTCTCCAGTTATTACCGTTAAGCTATCTATGTTTTCCTTCAGTTCTCTCAGTTATTGCTTCATGCATTTTAAAGCTTTATTAGATCCTATAGGTTTGTAATTGTTGTCTCTCCCTAATATTTTGACCACTTTATCACTTAAAATGTCTTTCCTTCTCTCTAATAACATTTTTTTCTCAAATTGTATTTTTTGTTATTAATAAGCCATTCTAGGTGTCTTTTGGTTACCATTTGAATTATATATTAATTTCTACCCTTTAACGTTTAACTTACTTGTGCCTTTTATATAAAGTGTGTCCTCATACATAACATATAATTGGATATTTTTTCTCTTTCTTTCAATACATATCTTTTGATTGGAACGTTCAACAAATCTACATTTAATAAAATTACTGATAAATTAAGATTAGTTGTATTATTTTATAAATGTTTACATATGTGTGTATACATATATATATATATCTCACGTTTATTTTAAATTTTCTCCTATTTCTATTTCTGCCTTCTTTTACGTAAAATAAACACTTTTTAGTTCTCCATTTTATTTTCCTTGTTTTTCCTTTTAATATATATTGTGAGATATTTTCTTCATGATTGCTCTGGGATTACAATATTTATATCTACATAAAACTGTATTTTTTGAGGGATTTTTTTTTTGCTGGGTGTAATTATTTTAGGTGATGATCTTCCCCTCCTCTCCTCTCGTCTCCTCTCGTCTCCTCTCGTCTCCTCTCCTCTCCTCTCCTCTCCTTTCTCATTCTTTCACCCAAGATAGAGTGCAGTGGCACCATAATAACTCTGGGCAGCCTTGAACACCTAGGCTCAAGCAAAATTCCCACCTCTGATTCTCAATTGGCTGTGACTACAAGCATGTGCCACCATGCCTGGTTATTTTTCATTTTTTATTTTTTTGGTAGAGATGAGGTATTGCTATGTTGTCCAGGCTGGTCTGAAATCCCTATGCTTCAAGAAATCCTCCTGTCATGGCCTCCCATAGTGCTGAGATTATAGGCATGAGCTTCTGCCCCCAACCTGATGATGGTCTTTTTCTTTTTCAACAATTTGAATATGTCATTCAAAAACAACGGCTTTCTGGTGTCCAGTTCTTGTGAGAATGCTGCTGTTAGTGTTATTGTGAATCCTTTGTATGTCATGAGTTCCTTTCTCATGATGCTTTCAAAGGTCTCTGTTTTTGGCTTTTGAAAGCTTGACTAAAATCTGTCAATGTGTAAATATGATAACAGCAGTTTCCTGTCTGGGGTGGCTGCTGCCATGATGCCAGCTGCAGTAAGGGAGGTGCAGTGGGGGCTGCGAGTTCCATGAGCCCACAGGAACTGGGAACAGGTGGAAGCCCTGCTCACTTCCAAGTTGGAGGGGCAGCAGTCCCGCCCTCCCACGTGGAGCTGCAGCTGCCCAGTGACAGCTGGGAACCCAGGCATCTCTGCAGTCTCAGAGGCCTGAGAAGCCCCATTTCCCCAACAGGCTCAGAAGTGTCTGCTCCTGCTGCCTGGCCTCTCCCCACTCCTAGCACCTGATCCAATTTTAGAGCAAAGTTGTGGCCAAGCATGAGCATTGTCGTGACCTGGCCAGGTTTGCACGTGCTTGGGGCAGTGCTGACACACCAGCCCCCTGCTGCCTCAGCTTCTTCCGGACTTTCAGCACCAACGAGCATGGGGAAGCTGAGGGAGAGCTAATGGCGGCTCAGTGTGGGCCTGCAGGCACCCATCAGCAGGAATAGCCTGGGCACTATGGCACTGTAGATGGCAGGCTAATGGCAGCAGGAAACAGGCTCCTGGCTGGAAAGGAGCAGGTCTCTGGTGAAGCCCCACCTTCAAGGCAGGGATGGCCTGAAGCCTGGGGGCTGAGCTGTCAGTTCATGGACCTGAGTTAGAACTTATGGTGCTTTTTCTGGGCCCGCCCATGACTGCCCATGGACCAATCAGCACACACTTCCTCCACTCTGAAGCTCATAAAAACCCTGGACTCAGCCAGACTTGAGCAGTCAAATGGATGACCTGCCTACGGAGAGGAGCTTCTCACTGTCGGTGTCCTCTGAGCTGTTCTGTGTCTCAATAAAGCACCTTTTCACCTTGCTCAGCCCTTACTTGTCTGTATACCTCATTCTTTGTGGAGGCAGGACAAGAACTTCGGACCCACTGAATGGCAGGGCTGAAAGAGATGTAATACAAACAGGGCTGAAACACCTTGCTCACCATTTCGCAGGCAATGAGAAGGAGAGAAGAGAGAAGGAGAGAAGAGCTGCAACCTCTTGGGGATCCCAGACCTAGGAGCTCTCCAACCCAGGGCTGTGACACCCTCTCTGGGGCTCTGTGGCTCCTGGCTTCTGGGTGCCATTTGTTCTCCAGTGCTAGCCATGGAAGCTGATTGCAGTACTCCTGGTCCAGCTGTAGCCTCACAAGGAGCTGGCACCTGTGCTGGTGCCTGGAGCTTCCTGCCCCACTGCAGCCAGCATGCCTGGCTGTGCACAGTGGCTGGACCCCATGCTCACTCACTCAGACACCCCTCGCCATTCCTTGCCTGGCTCGCCTTTGGCAGATGTGGGATCCAGGTGGGTAGTGTGGGCCAAGCAAAGCCTGCCAGGCTGAATCTGCAGAATGAGCCTAGAGGGCCTGAACAAAAACTTGAGCAAAGGTGCTACTGGCCACAGAGGTTTCTGGCCAGAAAAGTGACACCCCAAGGATCCTGTGACGCATATAATTGAATTTATATTACTTGGAATCTTTGAATTGCTTGAATGTATAAATCATGTTTTCATCATATATGGAGCTTTCTGATTATTTCTTACTCTTCTGTCTCTCTCTGCTCTTCTTATGTCACAATTATTTTGTATGTTGGTATGTTTTGTGGTGTCCCTTAGACCTCTGAGGCTCTGCCCACTTTTTTCATTCTTGTTTCTCTTTGCTCCACAGACTGGATAAACTCTATTGACTTATTTTTTCATTGTTCTAATTCTTTTTTTTTAGTAAATTTAAATCTGCTGTTGAGTCATTCTTATGATTACTTTAAACTTCAATTAATATAGTTCCTAAATCCAGAATTTTTGGGGGGTTCTTTTTTGGAATTTGTCTCTTTTTATTGATATCTTGTGTTTGATGAGATGTCAATCTAATACTTTAGTCTTTTAGACATAATTATCTTTAGTTCTTTAAATGTATTTAAAGTTGCTAATTTAAAATCTTTGTCCAGTGAGTCCAATACCTGTTATTCCTTATGTTAGCCTCTATTGACTGCTTTGTTTTATTGGTATGGGACATAATTTAATGCTTTTTAGAAAACATTTCTTAAAAACATTTGTATTGAAAACTGCATCTTTTAGATAATATGAATTGAATTGTAAGCCTGGGTTTCAGACTCCCCTTTCTTTCCTAGGTTTTATTGGTAGAGGTGATTTCCTTATTATTTCTGTGGTTTGTTTGTTTAGTTAAATGTCCCTGAAAAGAATCTATAAAATCTGTATTCCTTGACATTTATGGCTACTAAAGTCTCTGCTTATTTAGCTTAGTAATTAAGTAATGTTTGGACAAGAGATTTCCCTAAATGCCTTGAATCAGTAAGTCTCTGAGACTTTGCCAAGGTCCTCTCTTTCTGGTGTTGGTCATGTGTTCAATGCACTTGTGAGCAGTTTTTCACTCTGCTTTAGCCTTCATTTCCCGTTTGCATTGAGTCTCAAAATCAGATAGTAGTGAGGTATTATTGCATTCTTTGGGCTTTTCTGAGCAGGCACACTGTCACACAGACTTTTTAGGTCCCTAGGAAAATGAAGAGGTTTCAAAGTCACTGTGGACAACTTATTTCTCATATAATTCTTATAAATGTTTTGAATTCTTCTTGTTTGTCCCAACTTGTTATCATTGGATTTGTCAACTGCAGTGTTAAATATTTGAAAGCAATTTTTCAGCAACTTCTTGGGCAATAGAACATTTTTTTATTGACCAAGCTCAGAATAGAATCTAATAACAATCAGCTGTAGAAATGAGACTTTGACAGGGTGCTCCCATCCATGCCAAACAGTAAAAAATTTCTAGGTATCGACTTTTGAATGAGCTGCATAGTAAGTCTTCCCCCATCCAATGGCTACTAGATTGCTAGATTTTACGGCTCCATGGTTCTGAGGCTGCCATTTTAAAGTCTACTATGCACTTGGGGAGAGGTGGATGGGAAAAGGGCAAGTTAGTATCTCCCAAAATCACTGTTTTTACAAAATTTGGCTGTCTTTGAATAGAGTAGCATGTCTCAAATGATTGCAAGCTTTTGTTTAATTTCAGAGTTCTGAAAAAAAGTATGATTTTCATACTGTTGTCAGTTGTGTAATGCCTTTTTGATTACGTGAATTTTTGAAGGACCTTGTTCTGCCACTCTTTAAGTTCTGCCTTTCTACTTAACCTTTTATAAGGGCTTAGAGGCTGGGTAATTTCCACTGGTGGAAAAGTTATGCCTTAAGGCATTCTCTCTATATTAATGTGCCTTAAGACATCCTCTCTATATTAAAATATAGACAGATTTTTTTTTTACCAAAAATATTAATGTTTTAATTCTAACACTAACTTATCAGGTCTCTACCCAAATAATTATTTATCAAAATGTACTTCTTATAGAAGAAAAACAATACATTTACAATATGAGATAATCTGTCATTCACCTATGTATGTATTCACTCACGAATTTATTGTAAACAGATACTTACTGAACAAACAAAATTTTCTAGACACTGGAAAAACCATGGTGAATAAATTATTACATCATTACTCTAATTAATTTTACATTATATACTTTCATGGAGATCATTAATAATGTTGGAAAACTCTTCCTTAACTTCTGTCTTCATATAATAGAAAGACCTAGATATGCCCTCTTCCATTTTTATTTTTGAAATTTAAACAGTTTAAAGTGTAAAATTCACATACAGTTTCCATAGCTAAATGTACAGTACATAGCAAGTAGATATCATATAGTCTTTGTCAAGAAAATTTTCTATGACAATCTCTCTTAAAGCTGAATAAAGTATGGCCTCTTTTTAAGAAAATAATTAAATTATGGTGAACTCCCAGTCTTACACATATTTTATTAAAATATTAACATAATAATACTTTTAAAATCTAGAAATGAACTCATGCTTATATTTTCTATGAAGCTATAAAATGAAATCAAATTTACAAATTGAATATTAACAGATCTATACAAACAATACAATTTTAATTAGCTAATTAATATTCTGAATGTTGTGTTAAAGCTTAGTTCCTGAGAGAGGCTTAATTATGATATTAATGTCAACAGAACAAGAAGTTCTTTTGAATTTGTCATTTCTAGATTTATGAGTGACATGTCAGGCTTAAATTATCCTGCTGTTTACAAAATTTGGAACTATTGTGGAAACTTAATGTGTACAAGGTGATGACATCACTGAGATTTCACTTGATATGAAAACATTTTTTATGTCACATTTTCAATGTTCAATCCACATTCACCCTTTCAGTTTAAAGTAGGACTACTTGTCACCAAAGCATTAATAAGTAGCACAGCAAACACCAACTCCAAAATTATATGGTGATGCTCAGTTATAAGGGAAATACCCAATTGATCCAAAATATAACAAATATTCCAAAAGAAATTGTGCTCTTCTCCATGCTTCATGAAACACTGTGAAGCTTTTAAAAAGAATAAAGTAGATTTTTATTCATGGACCTGGAATGAGACACAAGAAATATTATGAAGTGAAAACCTAACATTGAATAACATTAAGTTTTATTTAATATGTTGTATAATAATATAATACTCTACAGAATAATATACTAAATATTACATACTATATATAAATATTTTATGTTATAAATATATGTGATATTTATAAAACAAATTTTCTGTATAAGCATATATATTACAAATACCTGAAAGAATAAACTCCTAACTGGTTAACTATTTTTACTATTAATAAATGGGAATGAGTGGGGGAGCTGAAAAATTGCTGTTACTTATTATTTTGCACATATTTATATAAAAATATTTAATCTGTATTATAAAAATATATACCATACAGAGAAAACATATATTTTAATTCTTTGGGACCAGGAAATTTAGGATAGTAATTAGATAAAACTTTTATAAATGTAAATTGATAAATAAAATTAAGCCTCCAGTGATTGGTTAGACAATAGCAGTAATGAGGTTTGTGTCAAATTAACCTGAATACATAATGAAAACCAGCATTTTCAGTTCCTTTAAAAGTTAGGCTGTAAATAAAAACAATTGAAATTTATTTTAGATTTCTAGTATGGCACTTTTTTTTTTTTAAGATGCAGTCTCTCTCATTTGCCCAGGCTGGAGTGCAGTGGTGTGATCTTGGCTCACTGTAAACTCTGCCTCCTGGGTTCAAGCAATTCTCTGCCTCAGCCTCCCAAGTAGCTGTGATTGCAGGCACCCACCACCACACCCAGCTAATTTTGTATTTTTAGTAGAGATGGGGTTTCCCCATCTTGGCCAGGCTGGTCTTGAAGTCCTGGCCTCATGATCCACCCACCTCAGCCTTCCAAAGTGCTGGGATTACAGGCATGAGACACTGTGCCTGGCCTAGTATGGTACTATTGATACAGACAAGAGGCAGAAAGATATTTGGTAGAAGAGGGCAGTTCCTCAGCAAAGGCCCTACCCTCAAGCCTGGAAACCACAGCCCTAAATGGGAACAGACATTCATGTATTTGTGCACAAATGTTGCCTTCTGGCCTGCCACACCTCCCTATCCTGTACTCATATAAACCCCAAACCCCAGCCTCCATGAAGAGAAGAGCAGAAGAGTAGAGGAGCAGAAGAACGGCAGAGCAGCAGTGTGGTGCAGCAGCGAAGGAGACAAGAGAAGGAGTGTCGGAATGTCAAGAGGAATTTGGCTGGAGATGGTTGGAGTGGAGATCGGCCGCAGGATGAACGAACTCCTTTGGAAGATCATCTTCCCACTCCATCCCCTTTCCAGCTCCCCATGCATCCTTCTGAGAGCCACATCCATCTGGCAATAAAATTCCCCACATTTACCATCCTTCAATTTGTCTGTGTGATCTGATTCTTCCTGTACATTGGACAAGAAGCTGGTACCAAGAGGGCACTGAGCCGGTTAACACTTAAGCCATCTGCGGATGGCAGAGCTAAAAGAGCACTGTAATACACCCACTGGGGCTTTGGGAGTCATAGGCACTCACCCCTAGACATTACCGTGGCTTGCCCTGGCTCCTGCACCTGCCTGTCTGTGTACCTCCCCTTCTATAAGGGGTTTGAGTGTGCAGTGGCCTAACAGACAAGCCACATCCCTGTTGCACATCCTGCAAGGGGGTTCAGGGAACTCTCTCATTTCACTATAGAACACTCTCAGTATGTGGTTTAGAAATTTGAGCATTTAACCAATTTCAGGTAAAATAAACATCATTCCATACAAATAGATTTATTCAAAACCCTCAACTTCTAACACCACAATACACCATTTTATGTCTTACATCATAACAAAAGTCAGTTGCTTTACCAAAAACAGGTAAACTCATCTCTCTATTTAGTATTTTCTTCTTAAAGTACTGGTTCATTCTATTACCAACCAGATCCTTTTGTCACAGAGAGAAGTCATAACTTAAGCCAACAACTATTTTTCATAATGTTCATGAAGGTATGGAGTATCTTAGTATAATATAACTTAATTGTAGGTATCTTCTCACCTCTGCCTCTTCTCTCAGCAACATTAATTTTGCATGTTTGTTGTTTCTTGAAAAAGTACGGTGTATTTTATCTTGAAAAAATAATTTACATTTATACAATATAAATATTAAATATATCTATGTGCATATAGAAGAGCTACATTATTTGTATGTTATTTGTACCTAAAAGTTGATACAAACAGGAATTCAACAATGATTTTATCATATATTATATATCACTAAGGGATATATCCCTTAAACTAAGGGATATAGCTAACCTTTAGAATTAAACCAATTATCTTACCAAAATGATTATCAACGTTTATATGGTAATACTTTTCAGGGAAAAAACACTTAATAATTACACTTTTGGAAAATAATTATAAATATTAATTGATCTTGTTTACAAATATGTTCAAAACAATAGTGACAGTTTTTAAATATTTTCCAGCACATTGACCATATTTCTTTGCTTTTGATAGCTATGTAATTCTTTATTTAGGTTTAAGAATGTACCCTTTTCCTAAAAGGATATAATTAGATAAATCAAATATGTAGCTAAACTATGATAGAAATCTCTTGAGTTAGGTATGATAAATATAATATAGGACCTCTTTTCACATTTAAAAATGATACCTGGAAGCAAGGCTGTTATCTTTCTACAATTTATAAAATTACAGACAAAGGCAGTAAAGAACATTACCTTCTGGCAGGAAAGGAATATTAACAACCTTGGGATCTCAGAAAAGACAGAATATACCTTTATAGTTATAGGTACCACAGGTGAAACATGGATCAGTTAGATTCAAAGGTTCTTTGTTTCTGATCTTTTCAGAGAAGTTGATATGGGAAATGAAGTACCTCTGACTCCTTGAAATAAATTACAACCCTAGAGACTTTAGAAGACTGTCTAGGTTCCAGTTTTGTTAACCAGAAAATAAGAATGGCTTTGCCCACTAATCAACATCTCTTGACAAGTAAGTGTTGGCATATTATTTAACATATTTTGTTATATCTATGCAAATAAACATGGGCAATGAAAAAATTAATGGTATTGAATTCCAAACATTTCAACATCACCTTCTGTGTTTAAACTGTGCCTTAGGAGCAGAGGTTTGATCACAAGGAGGAACTGGGGAACCAAAATTGACATTTTGTTTAACTGCCATCAGGAATAAATATAAATTGAATTTCCTAGAGTTGATAAAGTGTGGCGTACTTTGTACCCTGAGATAAACAAACAAACAGTGTAATAGTTTAAGCATTTTCTTTTTGTTGCTGACTAGGAAGTGAGAAAACAAACTCAGAAGCAATTTCCTTTATCCCTGGGCTGTGCAATGCTGATTTTGGAAGACATGTTACATTCTACGTGGATATAGAAATTATTTGAGAAAGAGTCTATTTTCCATAACTGGTATTAACATGCTAACCGTTGTAATTTTGCAGTTTCTTTTGTCCTGAAATACTTTGTGTGAGTGTATTTGTGTGTGTGTGTGTGTGTATGTGTGTGTGTCTGTGTGTATTTGATGAGCAAATCTTTCTGAGGTCTGACTTCCTTGCAAAGTAACCCTTTAGCAAGTGCATTTTGTCTTGTTCTAGTGCTTTTGTCATTGAATCTTGCTTTCATATGGGTAAGTTTAGATATAGGTATTCTGATATGAAACATGAGGTCTTGGGATCGGAAGACTGTCTGTTTATTACTTACAGCACATCTTAGCACTGGTTCTCCTTGCTCCATTTCCCACAGGACAATAAGGTAAAAACATGATGTTATCTCATGCATGCAGTGGGATTGTGCTGCAGGAGAATGATGATGGAATTATGAGACTTGGAGCATAAGCAGGGTGGTTGGCACATTGATCCATCCTCCCCTCTAGGGAGAGAGAAACACTAGCATATAAACAAATCTCTGTGGAGGGGGGAAGGCTCTCTGGCTTCCTTACCCTGTGTTGTAAACAGACGGGTGGGAAAAAGTCTGTAACTCTCTTCAGAAAAAAAAAAAAAAAAAAAAAAAAAAAACGCTATTGTTCCTGAACCAAACTGTGTGTCGGGCTGCTTGTTCTCTTGGCCCAATAACAACATGCAGATGAACTGAGAAAGAATAGAGTTTTTATTTCTGTAACCAGGTACAAGGAGAAGGCCTGGAAAATAACTCCACACAAACTCAAAGTTACTAAGTTTTCCAGAGCTTATATACCTTCTAAGCTATGTGTTTATGTGTAAGTGTGAATTCATCTAAAGACTTAAGTGATTAACTTCTTTTAATCTATAACTAAGATCTGAGTCCTCAATACCTTCCTCTGAATCCTCAGTAAATTTACTTAATTTAAATGGGTACAGGTGCTGGGGTGATTACTTTTATCTTGTCTCCTGCTAAATCATGGAGGTTTGAGGAGTTCCTTCAGACCCCCAATAAACTTGTTTGTGGAGGTCTATGGAGTTTCTTCGGACCCCCAATAAAATTTGTTGAATCCTAAGCTGGTCCTATTAAGAACTTCTTCATTATCTTGTCATGATTTAAGGCCCAGGAAAGTCCTAGGCAAAACTCTTGGTGGGCTTTTGTTATATTCCAGTCCTTGTATAATTGCACTGGCTCTGTCAGCTTTTAAAATATTTAACTTAACCACTTAGTCAGTGCTGAAACAGTTGTTATGGAGGCCTGCCTGTTCAGCCATTAGGGAGACCTGGACTGCCACACTATCTCTAGCCTTCAAAGCATTTTTCCTATTGAATCAGGTTTCAACAATGTTTGCTAGTTTTCTTTAATAAAAAGCCTGCAAGATCCTAGTGTTTTATGTTTTGTAAGCATGAAAATATTAATGAACAATTATCTTCATTAGTTTGAAAACTAAAGATGTCTGTATGTACAAAACTATGAAGAAAAAGTCATGAAAATGGGAGATAAATATTTGGGTTTTGTCTTAGATACAGGAAAAAAAATTTCAAGCATGTCATTGTCAATAAAAGTTGATTTTTCTACAAGTCCTCTGTTTGTTTATGTACCTAATTAATAACTGTTACTGAATAGGTCAAACTGGATATACCATTTGGCATCATAACATAGTAAAGATGTATATCTGAGTGTTTCTGTGATTTGAATCCAAAGAAAAATAACAATAACTTTTGGGTTATTCTTA
Source organism: Homo sapiens (assembly GCF_000001405.40). Classification (NCBI taxonomy): domain Eukaryota; kingdom Metazoa; phylum Chordata; class Mammalia; order Primates; family Hominidae; genus Homo; species Homo sapiens. The sequence goes on along the minus strand of NC_000004.12, from coordinate 161,240,779 downwards.
ATTTTGCAACATCTTAATTCTCTTAAGAAAGATCCTGTGAAATTGACCATATCTAAAAAGTATACATAAATATTTGATAATATATTTTATACCTGAATTTACTTTTATGATTTCATAGTAAACTTATCACTTATGGGAAACAATTTTTCTTTTTATATGAATTACTTTTCTACGTTAATTATATATTGTGATGGCAGTAATATATGATCATGCTCCTAATACTTGACTGTGGTCAAATTCATGATGAAAATTCCTGTTGTACCTTTGCATGAACAATTGGTAAACACAATTTTATATTATTAGCACAGAGCAACGTATAGTTCTAGCATCTTATTTAAGATACTACCCTACTGTGGTCTGGCTGTTTGTATCCCCTTCCAAATTCAGGTGTCGAAATCATAACCCTCTAGATGATGTTATTAGAAGGTAGGGCCTTTGGGATGTGATTAGGTCATGAGAATGGAGTCCTCATGAATGTAGAGTTCTTATAAAAGAGGCTCCAGGTGGGCCCTGCCCTTCTTCCTTTATGTGAATGCTTAGCTAGGGGATGGCCATTTATGAGCCAGGAAGCAGACTTTCACCAGACACTGAATCTACCTGCCCGTCAATCTGGGAATGCCCCACCTCTAAAATTGTAAGAAATCAATTTTTATATTGATTTCTTTTGATTTATATTGATTTATATTGATTATATAGATCAGCCACCTGATCTGTAGTGTTTTGTGGTAGCAGCCCAAGGAGACCAATATATACATCTTCTGCCCTATTAAAAATTATTTTTAAGGACATTGTTTCCCTTATTTAGCAATTTGAATAAGATCATTTTTCAGAATATGCATGGGAGTGTGAATTTAAGTGAAATTCCTGGAAGTCTGACAAGGGATAATCAACGTAATTGTGAATAAATTGCTTATGTGAGGCAAGTTGCTGAGGGATAATTCAGTTCTCTTAGGATTTTTTAAAGTAATCTCAAATAAAACTTGCACCTTTCTTTCAATGTTAGATACATAAAAATCTTGCTGAGTGATGAATATCATGGCTCTTTAGGTTTTTGCACCTGCTTTGAAAGGATAGTTAAGGCTCAAGTAAAATTATTGTAGGCACTTGAAATTTCTCACCTGTGAAAGACAAAAAGCTGCAGTAAGTGAGAGTCCTTGGAGACCACTATAAAAGATTCATTTGCAAATAATCTCAAGTGCTTAAGAGATAACTTGTAGAGGAAAGTGTTTGATATTTGGATTTTTTTGTATTACTATAGCAATTGTGAGAACAAATGATTTTTGCTTCTTAAGTATGTTTTTGGGAAATCACACTTATAATGACTGTCTTTTAAAGGTCTTACATCTCAACAAAAGCTATAGGCGAGTTAAAATGAAGATTAAAGAAGAAACATTTAGATTAGAAAACATTTAGATGGAAAGAAATTTATTGTATAAGGTCATTATTTTGAGTGCTTAATAGAATTCTGAGCTTCCTGACAATTTACACTCTCTCTTAATGCCAAACATCTCGGTTTTATATTTATTCTTTATTTATTCTTTTAATCTCAAACTTATATTTTTCAGACTAGTTTTCTCTAACACACTAACTCTAATTTCCATGTATGTGCTGTTTAGCACCCCTTGTTTACTTGTAGGACTTATTAACACTAAATACTTAAATACATAGCTATCTGCTTAATGTCTGTTTCTCCACCCGAAAAACTAGTTCCATGATATTATAAACCTTTATTTTCCACTGCATTCTTTGAAGTGCCAATGACATTCCTTTAGATAGAATTCCCAAGAAATCTCACATTGAGAATAGGTAGTTATATCATCACACATAAATTATCCTAAAAGGAAAGAGATCCAGCAAAGTCATTAGAAATGAAGAAAGTGATAGCCCTAAAAAACTGTCTTCTTTTACAGTGATGGTGGGTGACTAGACTTCTATCACCTTGAGTAAGAAGAATAAAATGCTTCATTTTTCTTTGTGCTTTCAACATATTTTAAATAAGTGCATGCTCTGAACACAAAGTACTTAATTAGTATTAACAAGACTAATGAATAAATAGATTTATGTTAGTTGTCTTCCTTATCCAGGCCATGGAGATGCTGATAGCACAAGGAAGGGTCAAAAATATCTTATCCATAATTCTGACTTTCTGATATTGAGGAAAAAGAGTAATAGTCATGGAATAAGCCCTGACTCCTCTTTACATTAGTGTACTTTTACCTTGATAATGTACAGTTATAAATGGATACTTACCAAGTTTGTATTTGTTATGGATCAATAATTACTCAAAAAATATTTATTTATTTTAAATCAGCACAATTATAGGATCTGAATTACTTGCACAAGCCAGTAAGATATATTTTTCTATAGATATAAGTTTGAAAATAATAAATGTTTTAAAAATTATATCAGTTCAAGACCCATATAGATAACATATTTGACTAAGTTTTACTTACGGAAATGATCATGTAAAACAGACTATACTCTAGACACCTTGATTAGATTAAGGCTACTCAGGATCCATTTTATTCAATGATTACAGATTATGCTTTATTTTTAGTTACTTTATTAGACGGCTAATCTCATTTACTCTAAATCAGTTTTTCCAATTTGCATTATTGGAAGGCAGTCTTTACCCCAGTTATTGGTTCCCTTATGTCATCCCCTGTATACTGATTAAAATCTCTACAGCTTTAAGTTGGGAGGCATGAATATGTGTATGTGCCGGCACACATGAGTGCACACACACACAAACTGCAGAAATCTACAAAGTTGACACATCACATGCTTCATCCTAATGTTTTGACTGGACCTATGTTTCTTTATTGTGCTTTATTTGTGTTTCTATGGAGTTGTGTGAAAATCTGTTAATTCAATCTGTCAGTCATCAATTGCACACCTGCTAATGTATGTTCTTATTGTAGTGACTACATTTCAGACTTTGCAAGCACGACTGCATTTTGCTTTTCTTCATAATGCTTTCTACTTTGCATTTACAATTGGTTCAGCAGTGGTATTATTTCTTAGGCAAACAAGAGGCTATTGTGAATGTAAAGGCAGGTTTTTCACTTCCACTATTCCAACCAAAGTATCAAAATCAAGTTTGCTTTTAGAAGGATATGAATGAAGCGTTGCTTCATTGCTTTGTGTTTCATGTCCTGAAAGTGCTACTTACCAGCTCACAAATGCTGTTATTACTAACATCGTAGGTATTATATATATCTGCTACTATCATGTATTCAGTAGACTGCACAAACGCTTTTCACATAAGAATGTATTTGCACAATGTGTGAACATGTTTTGAATGAAATAATTAAGTCAGCAAAATCTAAACATTACCTACTGACCATTAACACTCAGTTCTAAATTCTATTCAACTTTCAGTTACCTCTAATAATGGAATAACAAAAACATTAAATAACAAAGAGTCTGTAGGCTATTATATTTCATTTTGAAATGAGGCAACTAGGGCATAAAAACTAGTGATCTCAACAGTTTTGGAATCAAACACAATGAGTTAAATATTTTTATTTGGGTTATGTGAATAAGTAAGTGGCTTATAGAATTTTTCACTTCACTCAAGGATTATTTCCTATAATTCAGCCAACATCTGAGAAATATATTTCTTCAGAGCTGCTGCTACCTATAAATCTATGATCTATTTTAAATGCACGTGACATTCAAGTTTAAGGAATTATATTCATTGCCTATCCTTATTTTCTGTTTATAATATTAACTGGACTTAGGTAAGTATCATAATAACAATAGTAATAAACATTTATCTAGAAAGAAATAATACTGTTTCCAGTAATTATTTTATTAATTTTCACCACACTACTGAGTGGAAGGAGAACAATAGTGCTAAATTCAGGAGGATGCCTTAGTAATATGCTGAAATACATAGTGGTCTTGCTCTTGCTACTACCTTCTGAAAAACAAGCACACAAGCAAAGCAGATACTAACTACCTAATGTTAGAGCAGTCATACAGGCAGTTTATTTTTTTTAATTAAGTAATTTTATCTGTTAAATAATATATAAATGCAGGAAAATTCTAAATGCTAGAAAAGTTTACTAAATGAAGAGTTTCTAAGCATAAGGAAAATTCCCTTCAGTTTCAGTAGAGTTATTTATGACACAGGGTATATTTGTGATTTTGTGTTAGCTTTTATTATTTCCTGCTGTCAGGTATCTGTAGATACAGGGCTGCTCATAATTTGCTTTTTAACCATACTTTCTCACCAACAGGCAGCTTCCTACAAATATGGCATGTCTAAAGGATTTCTCATTTATTCTAACTTTTCCAGCTCTTTCTTCATGGTAAACGTGTCCAAGAAAGCTCATGTTAATCCCTGGACCATGTTACGGTTGCTTTAAAAAAGGGGTGATTATTTTTCTTTTCAGGATGTGCTGCCTCCTTTAGAAAATAATTTTTAGCCACACATCCCTGAAATCTGAACCTGTAGGGGTTCTCTTTAGCCTCCTTGCAACCCTCTGTCATCTTGTTTTTTAAAGATGGATTTTGTATATCACTCTCTCACATTCCCTGTGGTATTTGACGATTTATGAGAGAAGCAGGCATTTCCCATTTATACTCTACAATGTAACTACTATAAATAAGGTGGTGTGGTGGTGTTGTTGTTTTGTACTGAGTCAAAATAACTAGGTCAGTGCATTGAAATGGAACCTAAAGATAAAGATAAAATAAATGTGTATGCACAGTGCAGAAAATATTCATAAATATTTAGATTTTTCTTACAGCAACTTTAACTTCAAATATGTATACTAGGAATATCTAATCAGATAAACAGGAGGTTAAGAAGGCTTGCTGTGTTTTAGAACAGAGATGGCCCAGAGATGATCCACGGGGGTCCAAATTAGGTGTAACTATGTTATTTTTATTAATGTATTGGGTATAATTTTGTCTGTATTTTGAACAAATAATTATTGTCTAGACATTTCTGTATGGTACTGTCAAGGGAACAGGGGATATCAAAGTGAAAATATGCAGTCTTTTATCTTTATGAGCTTGCAATTAGTAGGAAAGGTGAGCTAGTTTTTAAGGCACAGATTCCTAGTCTTTCAAACAGTAAAAGGAAACATTGTTGCGTGAATTTGAGTACAGAGAGAATGCTTTTATTAAAGAGCTGGTTCTTGAAGATAGGACTTATTCAAAACAAGAAAGAATGAAAATATTCCAGAAGAAAGAGCATGGGTGATGAGAAAATACGTGGTGCCCATATAAAAAGAAAGTAAATACATTTGGCTGAAGCCTTGAAAATACAAAAGATTTTAGTTGAATAGAGGTTTTAATAGTTTTTTAGAAACCCTCAAATACCAGGCAAAGAGGTGTTATCCTTTTTCCTTAGGCAGTGCAAAAACAATGCTATAAAATACAGAGATAGGTTTTATTAATGAGGAGATTTGAATGGATGTCTTATTTGAACAATTTTAAGTTTCCAAAATATTTATGTTTCTTTTTCAAAACTTTTGAAACAAAACAGACATAAAAATATCTAAAGTGTATGGTTTTTCTGCTCACAAAATAACTTCTACATAGGCATAATTTTAGAAAATAGAGTTTCCTCTGCTTTTCATGTATCAGTGAGGAAAATATTCTATATTTTGCCCCTCTTGCTAAATTGCTGTTCATTATGGAAACGTAAGTATGAAAACATGTAAGGTTTTCTTCTGTCTGTACGTTCATTAGGAATTTCAACTAGTAATTAGCAAAATTGACAATACTGCAATGAAGATAACAAAGCTCAAACTTTGGAGCTTTCACTTTCATGAGATTTTTCCAAAGCCTAGACAAGGGCTCAGGATGTTTGTTCTTCAAGTTCTATATTTTTGTAAGATTTTCAAAGTAAGATTTTAAATACAATTACTAAAAACTACTACCTCTTAATTGTTTATCTTACTTTCTGTCACTTTTTCTCTCCTACTGGCTGATATTGGACAAAAGCATGGGCCCTTTTGAGTCCAACTAAGGACTCAAAAGCCCTTATTGAGTCCTTGTTGAGTTGGGGAATCTTCTACTTTTGGTTTAGTGGAATGTATTTCTAAGACTTGCAGAGTATGGCTGGCCATTCCCATTTTAGGAATTACTCTACACTCTACTGGATTACCTAGCATTGTGGCACAGGACCAAAGGAAAAAAAATTACACCATGCAAATTTAATCTATAGCTCAAGCATTTGAAATTATGTGGATAGCACAGAAAGAACAAAAATCAGACATATGGATACAGAAATTATTTTGTGAAAAAATGCTCTAATTGTGAAATCTATAAATTGTAAGTGTAGTAGTCAGTTCATTGACCCTTAGTCAGAATGGACATTCTCTCCTGTCTGAGTATTTCTATAATTCAGTTTTTGCTGTTGTGCCAGATGGATGAGTGAATGGTGGAATGGGTAGATGGATGGATGGATGGATGTTTGGATGGATGGATGCATGCATGCATGAATGCATGGGTAGAAAACCAGGTAAATAATTTAGAGGAGTGGTCAGGAATTGTTTAAAATAGAAATCATCAATGTTCATGTTTTTGCAGCACAAACTGGTTTCAATACTTCACACAGTGAATGTTTTTGTGTGTGAAGTTGCATATTATATGAATCTGTGTGCATTAGGTTCTGTTTAAGGGTGCTTCATGGTTCTTTGTTTTTTTTTTCTGATAAAGTTTGGCATTCCCGAAAGAAATGACATGCAAAATTGCCTCTGGTGTGGCAAAATGGTTTGAAAAAGCAAATATTGTAGTGACAAAACTGCTACACATATAAAGAAAGCAATGTAAGTAATATTACAGTAATTTAAATGTATGTTTTTGTAGCTTCATACATAGTAGAAAATTACAAATGCTTTTGAACTATTTCATGTATGCCTTTATTTCAAAATAATTTTAAATAGTTTTTACAATCATTCATTCTATAAAAATTAAGTATAACTAAAAGGGAGTATCCCGGCTGAAGCCATAAGTGTTAAAAATAAGATCGCTGGAAGCATCAAAATGTCAAATATTTGCTCAATTTGTTTTTGTGTTTTATTAGGCAATTAACTTGGTTGACTCAAACAACACAGTGTCTTATGTGGAAGCTCAATCCTAAATTCAGTTCTTTAATTCTTAGCTTTAGCTGTTTGGTGTCTGTCCCATGTTTGTATGGTTCAAGGGTAACCTAGATATTTAGGCAATGGTTATACACAGATTTTGGAGCATTCTTTCTCTGGTTCTCTCCTTCCTCAGGTTTCTCTCCCATTGTCCAGCCCTATGGTTGTCTAAAACTCAGTACTTTTCTTCCTCATGCCAGAAAGATTTCACATTTTCTTTCAAAGATTCAGCTATCCAAGTAGCACTGCCAGCAGCCTGCCTCAGGCCAAAAGTCATAAAATCCACTCTGGGGCATTCCCTTCCCTCAAGTGTCATCCAGTTGGGTTGCTTTGTTCACCTTCGGTATCTTTAAGATTTCGGTATTTACTCGAGTTTATTTTTAATTTACAAAACATTTGTTTCTGTAGAAGCTTAGTAGGCCAAAACCTAAATGGTGGTTCTCTACCAGTCATTGAGAATGTGGCAAGTTTCTGAGTCCTCAGAGCTAACAAATGTGAAAGACCACATTCTGTCTCTTAGAGGTTTTTAGTTGAGCTCCTTAGCCTCATCCTACACACTCTGAGAGTCTGACCTATGCTATGAGGGAGAGACTGTGTTTGTGTTGTCAGCACTCCCTTGTATTTCAAGCAGTGTGACACTGTATGTTGTATGATTTTACTTTGTATTTATGACCCAGACATCCAGACTCCCGTGTCACTCCAGGATTCAGAATACATCAAATGTTCCAGGGGTAAATCCAGCCTTGTTTTTTGTGTTGGTGAATGGTCAGGCCAGTTCAAGTAACCTTGATGATTTTCATCCCCCCTTACCCCCAGAGAGAATGTTCTGTTGAGCTAATCCTGATTATCATGTCACATGGAGTGTTCTCATTGTCAAAACTTGAAAACCACTGAGATATCGGTCAATAGGTGAATGAATAATTGAACCGTGCGTGATACATCCACATAATAAAATATTATTCAACAATAAAAAGGAATGAAATTTCAAGCCAATGAAAGCCATGGTTAAACTTTAAATGCATATATTGCTAAGTGAAAAACAGTCTAAAAAGTCTACATACTGTATAATTGCAACGATGTGATATACTGAAAAAGCCAAACAGACTATAGTGATAGCAAAAACATCAGTGGTTGCCAGTGTCTAGAGTAGGGCTAGGGGAATGGTTAAGAGAAGAATAGGTGAAGCACGGATAATTTTTAGGGCTGTGAATATAATTTTGTAATGATGGATACATGGCACTATGTATTTGGCAAAACCCATGGAACTGCACAGCAGAAAAAGTGAACCCTAATGCCAACTATGAACTTTCATAATGTATCAATATTTGTTCGTAAATTGAAACAAATGCTCAACATTAATAAAAGCTGTTAATAATGGGAGAAATTGGGCAGGCAGAAAAAGAGTATATGGAAACACTAGGTCTGTCTAATTATTCTGTAAATCTAACACTGCTCCAAGAAATAAAATATATTAATTAAAAAAATAGTAAATGTGAAAAATATGATTTCCTCTATCAATGTTTTTTCTATTTTCAGCAGGAGTCACAACTGGTCATAGTCTACTGCATCCTGTTCATAAGTAGGATGAAAGAAGTCTCAAATAAGTGGAATTTTAAAGTAATGCTTGAATAAGTTATCCTATGGAAACTTCAGGGCTTGCTGTCTGTGAACTAAATGGCTCATGGACGAGTACTGTGTAAGCACTCTTCACAAAATGAGGATAGACATCCGGAGCACCTGAGTGTTTCACTGTTAAAACTCTTATTGCTTGATATAGCTGGAAGATGACTTCTGCTAATCTTACTCAGTGAATGGAGCATTAGGCCATGAGTCTAGTTGTGTGTTGAATATTTGAATTCTGTTGTGGCTACAGAATATGTACCATAGGGAAAATGTTTAACAGTAGTAAGCCATAGTATTTGTAATATACCTTAGTTTTTAGAACCGTTTTAGATGTACAGAAAAAATTGAGAAGAAAATAATCTGTTCTCATATACCCTGTATAAAGTTGTCCCTTTTATTGACTTCTTATACTAATGCAGTACATTTATTAAAATTATTTAACCAATATTGATACGTTATCATCAATTAAAGTCCATAGTTTATTCATGTATCCTTAGCTCTTACTTAAGTCTGTTGTATTGCTCAACAGTTGCATCCAGAATACATTGCTTTTAATTGTCCTGGCTTCTTGACTTCCTCTTGGCTGTGACAGATTCTCAAACTTTCCTAGTAATTTTTTATCTTAACAGTTTTGAGGAGCACTGGTCAGATATTTTGTAGGAGTGCCCTTTATTGGAGTTTCTCTGATGTTTTTCTCGTGATTATACTGAGGTTAGGGGTTTTGTGAGGAAGTTAGCAGAGGTAAAGTGTCATTTACATCAAATATCCAGGGTGTGCTTTACCAACATTATTTAATTGTTGACATTGAGCTTGATCACCTGGCTGAAATAGTGTTTCTTAAGTTTCCTCACCGTCAAGTTATGTGTTCTTCCACCCTAATTTCCATATTTACTCTTCAGAAGAAAGTCAGTATGTACAGTGTGCAGTTAAGGAGTGGAGAATTATGCTTCACCTTCTTGAGGGCAAATATCTACATAAACTATTTGGAATTCTTTCTTAAGAGATTTGCCCTTTCTCCCTCATTTATTTCTTTTTCAGTCATTTGTTTACATTAGTATGGATTCATAGATATGTATTTTATAATTTGGGTTATAATCCTATTCAACTACTTTATTTTTTCATCAAATTGTTACAGCATTTACTATTGGAAGCTCTTCGGTTGTCTCCTATGCCTCTTTTGACACACTCCAATCAATGCATTTTATTTTTTAAATTTTTTTTGAGCATTTTCTTACTTTCTGGCACTACCAGATTCTCTAGGCTCATTTTGAATGTTTCCAGCTCTAGTACAAAAATCAGCCATTTCTCCAAGGAGACCTAGTGCCTTTCATTGAAGAATGTTATTGTAAACAAAGATCTGGGTGCTGAGTTTGCTGTTACTCCTGGGGTGTCATTTCTTTTAAGTCATCCATAGCATTTTTATATCAGTAACAAAAAGATATCCTGAATTATATTACTACAAAAATGATACAGCAGTCAAAGAAAAAACCAAGATTTAAATCCAAGGAGAAAACAAAATGAAAATGTATGAAAAACAAAGTTTATAGACAGTCCAGTATTTAATGAATGAGTAGCTGGTGAGTTGATTTATATATTCAATACTTAGATGGTTTTGCTTATCCTAAATGTACAAAACTGCAGCAATCCTTGGATACTGTGACATAAAGATAATGCTCACCTAGAATTAGAGAATTTTTTTTTCATAAACAGGATTTCTAAGATGACCTATTTTACTGATAATTCTGTTTTTAGATAGCCAAGAACAGAATTACATATAACTTGGAATTCTAAAAGTTTATCAAATTGTTCTAATTATTCTATTTTTAATGCTTATTTTTGACCTACAATATCTGCTTTAAAATTAGAATGCCTCAGTTCTCTGAAATTATTGTAACCTTTCTAATCACTTTTTTTGAGACAGAGTCTCGCTCTGTCACCAACTGGAGTACAGTGGTGCAATCTCGGCTCACTGCAACCTCCGCCTCCCAGGTTCAAGCGATTCTCCTGCCTCAGCCTCCTGAGTAGCTGGGACTACAGGCATGCGGCGCCATACCCAACTAATTTTTGTATTTTTAGTAGAGACTGGGTTTCACCATGTTGGCCAGGATGGTCTCAATCTCCTGACCTAGTGATCTGCCCACCTCGGCCTCCCAAAGTGCTGGGATTACAGGAGTGAGCCACTGCACCTGACCTCTAATCACTTATAAGGCATAGATATTATCATAAATGTACTTAAGAAATGTGTAACTCACACACTAATTTAGAAAATAAAGCAATATGGAGTGACTTCTTATGAATTACATACCACATAACAATTATTTTCAATTCCTAACTATAAGTAATTTTAGAAAGAAATAAAAAAGACATTTTTAAAGCTTCATTCAATATAATTTGGTATAAATAAGAAATTATTTATATCCTCATTATAATTTCTAAATCTGAAAACCACAAAAGTTGATTAAGAAAAATAAAAATCCACAATTGGATAAAAATGCAATAGAAAATCAAATTAAAGATGTCTAAAAGTACATATTCTAAAATTAGTAATTGCTTTAACTGCAGAATTAACACTTTAAGAATGAATTAACAGAAGAATAACACTTCAAATAAAACACCATGAAAATGTGACCCAGAAATAATAGACTTATTTGGAAAACTTGACCAAAAATATTATTTACAATGGTACAACCCATAATTCATCAAAATTGGCATTAACCCTAACTTCTTATTGAATATGAGCTTTAAAGTTAACATGGCAAAAAAATAATAATTTTTGAGTAAAATTATATTTTAAAAGTGCTGTTATGCTCTTAAGGAAAAAAGTAATTAATTTCACTTAATGAATTTTGCTGCACAAATTCTTTCCCAAATATTAAAAATGTTTGTATTATTTTGATAAAACACTTGTTTTCATATGACTCAATTTAAATATTTTGGGTCAACAAAACAGAAATACCAATAGGTCCACTAAAGATTAAGATAGCAAATTTTGAATCATCCTGTATATAGGTCAACACATATCTATTTGAGTTCAGATTATCTGAAGTAATTGGTCTCATTTGGAATAATTTCTTTACTTCCTTAGAGTTTTTGGGTACTATTGGTTTCATCTGATTATTTTGTTAAGGTACTCTAGAAACAAGATATTCAGATGAATACCTTAGATACTGGTGTTCTAGAAACAAAATATTCAGATGAAGCCAATGTATTAAAATAAGAAGAAAGTTGAATTGCATTTCTCGTAAGGATTTTAATATGAGACCTCTGTGAGTTAGTGCTAGAATATAGCTAAATAAGGATTGTGGTGAATTGATACGGTTTGGCTCTGTGTCCCTACCCAAATCTCATCTCAAATTATAATCCCCATGTGTGGGAAGAAGGGCCTGGTGGGAGGTTATTGAATCATGGGGGGTGACTTCCTCCTTGCTGTTCTCATCCTAATGAGTGAGTTCTCACAAGATCTGATGTTTTAAAAGTGTGTGGCAGTTCCCCCTTCTCTATATATATCCTGCCACCATGTAAGATGTGCCTTGCTTCCCCTTTGGCTTCTGCTATGACTGTAAGTTACCTGAGACCTCCCCACCCAAGCAGAACTGTGAGTCAGTTAATCCTCTTTTTTCTAAATATAAATTACCCAGTTTCAGGTAGTTCTTTATAGCAGTGTGAAAATAGACCAACACAGAAAATTGGTACCAGGAGGGTTTGGCAGTGCTATAAAGGTACCTTAAAATGTGGAAGCAACTTTGGAGCTGGGTAATGGGCAGAAGTTGGAGCAGTTTGGAGGGCTCAGAAGAAGAGAGGAAGATGTGGGAAAGTTTGGAATTTCCTAGGGACTTGTTGAATGGTTTTGACCAAAATGCTTATAGTGATATGGACACTGAAGTCCAGGCTGAGGTGTTCCCAGATGGAAATTAGGAACTTATGGGGAACTGGAGTCAAGGTCACACTTGCTATGTTTTAGTCATGATACTGGTGGCATTTTGCCCCTGCTCGAGAAATCTGTGAAACTCGGAACTTGAAGGGGTGATTTAGGGTATCTGGCGAAAGAAATTTCTAACCAGCAACGTGTTCAGGATGTGTCATGGCTGTTTCTAAAAACACACAGTCACATGCCTTCACTAATGGATGGTCTGAAACTGGAACTTATATTTGAAAGGGAAAAAGAGCATAAAAGTTTGGAAAATTTGCAGCCTGGCCATGTGGTAGCAAAAAAAAATCTGAGGAGGAATTGAAGGTTGCAGAAATTTGCATAAGTAATGAGGAGCTGAACGTTAATCACCAAGATAATAGGGAATATGTCTTCATGCCATTTCAGAGGCCCATAAAGGCAGCCCCTCCCATCACAGGCCTGGAGGCATAGGAGAAAAAAATGGTTTTATGGGCTAGGCCCAGGGCCTCACTGTTCTTTGCTGCCTCAGGACATGACACCCTGTGTCCCAGCCACTCCAGCTCCAGTTGTGGCTATAAAGGGGCAATGTGCAGCTTAGGCCATTTATTCAGAAGGTTCAAGCCCCAAACCTTGGCAGCTTCGATGTGGTGTTGGGCTCATGGGTTTTCTGTGCAGAAGACAAGAATTGAGAGTTGACTCCCAAACCTCAACTCTTCCTAGATTTCAGAGGATGTATAGAAATGCCTGGATGTACAGGCAGAAGTCTGCTGCAGGGGCAGAGCCCTCATAAAGAATGTCTACTAGGGAACTGTAGAGGGGAAATATGGGTTTGGAGCCCCCCACACAGAGTTCCCACTGGGGAACTGCATAGTGGACCTGTGAGAAGAGAGCCACCATACTCCAGACCCCAGAATGGTAGATCTACTGACAGCTTGCATTGTGCACCTGGAATAAGCGCAGGCACTCAACACCAGTCCATGAAAACTGCCATGGGAGCTGTACCGTGCAGAGCCACAGGAGCAGAGCTGTCCAAGGCCTTGGGAGCCTACCCCTTACATCAGCATGCCCTGGATGTGAGACATGGAATCAAAGGATATTAATCTGGAGCTTTTAGATTTAGTGACTGCCCTGCTGTTTCAGACTTTGATGGGTCTTGTAGCCCCTTTGTTTTGGACAATTTCTCCCTTTTGGAATGGGAGCATTTACCCCATGCTTCTCCCCCAATTGTATCTTGGAAGTAAGTAACTTGTTTTTGATTTTATAGGCTCAGAGGCAGAAGGAACTTGCCTTGTTTCACATGAGATTGTGGACATGGACTTTTCAGTTAATGGTGGGATGAATTAAGACTTTGGGGACTGTTGGGAAGGCATAATTGGTTTTGAAACATGAGAAGGACATAAGATTTGGGAGGCACTAGAGGTGGAATAATATGGTTTGGATTTGTGTACCCACCCAAATGTCATCTCAAATTATAATCCCATGTTGGGGCAGGGAGGTGGCTGGAGGTGATTTAAGCATAGGGACAGACCTCCCCCTTGCTGTTCTCATGATAGTTAGTGAGTTCTCATTAGATCTAATGGTTTAAAATTGTGTGGCATTTCCCCTTCTCTATCTCCTGCCACCACGTAAGATGTGCCTTGCTTCCCCTTCACCTTCCACCATGATTGTAAGTTTCCTGAGGCCTCCCCAGCCATGCAGAACTGTGAGTCAATTAAACCCCCTGTTTTTATTTTTACGTATTTATTTTTTTTTTATAAATTATCCAGTTACTGGTAGTTCTTTATAGCAGTGTGAAAGCAGGTTAATACATGAATCTATCTATTTTGTATATTTTTAAGAATAAAATGAAAATGTGGAATGATAGTAGAACAAATAATTAAGAAAAGATGCAACATTTTCAGATTTGCTTGAATTGAAACCAGGTTCATCAGTTAAACTTATAGGCAGAGCCATCATCAGTTAAACTTATAGGCAGAGCCAGTTTCATCCAAAAATATTACATGGTATTTTTTAATAATATTTTTCTAGAATCCATGAAATTGTTAGGTATTTGCATTATGCAAATGTTAAAATGCAAATACGGAACCTCTTTTATGATTTTGATTCTTAAACACTGAAAAGTAAGAAGAAATAATTTCTGAAGAAATTTGCTTTATAAATTTCTCAAAGGTAATCTCAGCTGTTGCTTGCAACTGCCACTAATTCGAGTTTTCATTTAAAAAAAGTCCTCTATTAATCTCTGGACACACTGTATAACCAATTTAGTTACTGATTTAAGAATGTTTTTCTTGCAGCATACAGAATTTATATGCAAAATGTGTGAAATTATCATTTCTCCTCCATTTTTCAAAGACTATAGGCGTTTAAGTACATATTTAGTCATTTTTGTCATCAGTTCACTCAAACATGCTTCTTTTTCTTCAGATCTTATCACTACATATGATACATAAGGTCTATGGGTGTGGGCTTAATATTGGACCAGGGAAAGAGTAGTGTTTTCTTAGACTACTTCTAGACAAAGGAGAGTTGTTTTCATAGTACTTAGAATTATAGTCAACCCCTATAATAAAGGCAATTATATTTGCTGAGAATATATTTTATTGGCAGTGGTTTCACAGAGCCATATGGGTGGCTCTATTTTCTTCTTGGCTTCAGCTACATTTGTTTCCCTCTTCCCCATAAGATTGCCTTAGATGTCTTATTTATAATATTTTAAGCAGTCTCAAGTCCAGTGAGCTATTGCAACACTATGGCCTTGACAATAACTAAAAGTTTTCTCACCTTGGAATGGCAGGTAAGTTTGAATATATATTCATGATCTAATGAATCTATAATCATGTTTATGTACCAGCTGTTTGCCTTTTCTCAGCTGCAGTGAATTTTCTCTTGCTCTTTATTAACTCTCTTGGAAGAAGAAAAGAAAAAATTCACAGGCTATGAAAAGAGTCTTTTGATAAATATAAAGTTCTGACATTATGACTTTTCAAATATATATGCACCATGATGAAACTCAATATTCTATGTATACAAAATGTATTTATGATATTTATTTTAATATTCTAACTTATTTTAGTTGGAGAATTTAGTAAATATAAAATATGTGACTACAAATAAAACTGATTAGCATAAGGTGCATTAATCATCTTGTTTTTTCTGTCACATCTCACAATCAAAGCCTTCCTAGATAAATCCTGCTTAAACAGGTTCTATATTTTCTTTGTTCTATTTTCCACTGAGTCTACTTCTCTAATTTTCTGATCTCAATATAATAGTTTCATAAAATTGCTAATGTCTTAGTAGAATATGCCAAAAATGCTGAATAAATACATTAAATGTGTTCAGAATTTGAATGGCTTAGAAAATAAAATGAAGATGTTAATTTCTTAGCTATTCTGAAGATTAGGAAAATGTTTATGACCTTTAAACTAAGACCAATATGACACTTCTATGCTAGTTATAGCTACATGTAGATATATGTAAAATTTGGCTCATACTCCCATCCAGCCCAGGGATTGTGGAAATGTCATCTACTTAATCCAGGTTTCAGTAAATTCTTGGATCCTAACATTTTCATGGCTGCCTCAGCCTGTAAAACTATAGTGACTTAATCAAGAAATCCAGCCACACAAAGAATATTGTGAATACAATAGATGACCCTTATGATTTCACAGGTGTGGTACAGCGTACATCGAATGATCATATCTTTGTTTCCCTGGTCAGTAAAATACTCTTCTAAACCCAACAGCAAAAATAAGAAGTGGTTCTAAGTTCTTCATTAATTAATTCATTTATTTAACAAGTGCTCATGAACACCTGCTGAGAGAGTTACTTTACTGGATCCTGAGAATTTAGCTGTGAGAACAGAATAGTCAATTATTTTTCCTTATGAGATTATATCGTCTATTGCATAGTTACAATGAGTAGATTAATAACAATTTCCTATGCCTTGAGCACATGCTGGAAACACATCATCTACCCAAATAACTTCCTTTACATAAAACAAATATAATTTGCCTATGATCACATAATTTTATTTATTTTGTTACAAATATTATGAAGAGGGAAGGGTTGATAATTTTGAATATTTGGCAAATTGTTCATAGACTTGATTTTTCTTATTTTAAACTAATTTATTAATGCAGTTCACTTTCTAAATGCATAATCTAAATTTCTTGATTGTGTAATATATTTATATAATTCTCATTTTCAAATCAAGACAAGCATTTTAAAATTGCAGGTGCAATATATAATATTCAATTATTAATATTTGCATTCTAATTTAGTCTACTTTTATCTAAATTTCTGATTATCTACTTAGAACAGATTTCCACAAAGAGGGAATTTAAAAATATTTAACATTTAATGCTAATTTGCTATAAAATATAAATTTTAAAAATTATAGTTCCATTAGCCTTGTATGCCCATCCTATCACTTGTAGCCTCTTATTTATACCTTAATTTAAAATTTTTGTCTAACTTGAAAGAAAATAAGAATCCCATGTAATTTTTAAAATTTAGTAATTATTTGATTGCTAGTATGGATAAACATGTTTTTGTATGCTATGAAATGTATTTATCATTTAATATATTACCTTTACTGTTATTATTAATGCAATATATTAACATTTTTAAAAAGAAAAATAAAATAGTGTTAAGAAAAAGGCTCCATTTCCTCCCACTATCATCATCTACCAATTCCTACTACTGTTTCCCAGGCAAGCTCCCTTGACTCTTATAGGTCATTCTTCTGTCACTTACCACTACATAAATACTTAATACGCTTTCTCGTATATCTTTAATTTATGAATTTCAGATAATAGCTATTACTTTACTCTCACAATAGATGAGAACTTTGCTCATTTATTTGACCTTACACCCAAACATCTTCCCACCGTATGTATATCCCTGTTTTAATTACTCTGTTTGCTGCATTAATTTTCTTAGTTTGGCAAACATATTTATTCCATTAATTATCACTTGACTTATTATGAAGGCACTGTAAACATTACTCCTCTCTTAAGTTGCTTCCACCTCTAGATAGCTGCAATCTCTATTGTAATGCTGTATTTTCCAGGTTAATGATTTACATTCTGTTCTTTGAACACTGCATAGCAATATCTTTAGTTTTTGTCTAATGATAAGAAAATGTAGTCAAGCGTTTACTTTATTATATTTATGCAAAAGTTTTCACTGTGAAACATGACAATACATTTTAGAAATAAGTCTTATATACTGTTTTAATGTAATAATTTAGATTCTTTTTTAATGAAATACATGGCTTTATAATAGCCAATTATTTTCACAAACTGTCCAACTAATGAAGTCCTATTGAGTCTTCTTTATTGGCTAGAACTTCCCTCTCTTCACCTTCAATTTTTCTGCTCCACTGTGGTTTTGTATTCTTAACTAATCACCTGCCTTTCTGTGGTGCATTTCTGCCATGGAACTGCTCTTTTTGGGACCCCAGTCTTCCCTTTTCTTAATTTATTCCTTCCATGGCTGCAACATATCCTTACTACTTGCCTGCAGCAGGTTTGTAGGATGTAAATGTTTGGGTCCATTTAAGTCTTGAAAAATGCACTTTTCTTACCCATACCAAGAGATTGATCAATTTGTTATGTATAACATTTTAAGTTATAATCGTGATGATAATTAACATTTATTGAGCAGTTGCTATATTCTAGGCACCATTCTAATTGTTTTACATGTGTTCACTCACTTATCCTTCAAACCACCTTATGGATTTGGTGCTGTTATTGATACAAGTATAAGAACTATAAACACAAAGTTTCAGTAACTCAGTGAAAGTCACACAGCTAATAAATGGCACATTCGAACACTGACAGTGTCCTTCCAGAAACACATCTTCTAAGCATTATACTCGACTGGCTCTATTTTTAGGAGTCTTAGTACCCATCCCAGGCAGAGATGGGTAAGGGAAAGCTGAAAAGAGAACTTCACTTGAAAGAGTCCTACCCTGACAATGGCCATACAAATGTGTTCACATGACCAAGAATTTCTGCATGATTTGAAAAAGTTATATATATATTTAAGACCTATATTTAAAATAAATCTTCAAGATCATATATTTAAGACTTATATGTCTTTCTACTCTCTTAATTTTATTGATATGTTTTAAACTTCATTGTAAATCTGACAAAAACAAAAAATGCACTCTCCAGTAAAAATCACAATAAGTAAATCTAATGCTCTAAAGGACAATGAACAAGCTCCAAAATGGGAGAAACCAGACCCCAGTATATCAGTAATTAAAGCAATTTAAACATAAGTGAATATGATCAAATATAATACAAATTTTAATTCTATTTTGCACATAGTATAAGGCCATAATATATTTTATGTGGGTGAGTTAAATGATCATATTTTCATTCAGAAAACTCATTTTGAAAGTACAATAAGGATTTATTATGGTAAAAATTAAGTTATAAATTAATATTTATTGCTAATTGAAATAGGCCAAAATGTCAAATAAAGCAATGTAAATGGGAATGGAGAGGAAAAACAAAGAAAAAACAGTTTGAGCCCCATTACACAGGTAGATACAGCAGCAATTAACCGATTGAATAAAGGCAGATGAGGGTCAGGAAAAATCAGTAAGTTTCATAATCTTCTTGCTTGATTAACTAAATGAACAGTTGTGTTGTTTTGAAAAGTATATCACTGAGGGGAGAAGCAAGTTTGAGAGGAAAAGCAATGTATTTATTTTTGTCATGGATTAGCTGAGGTTTGTACTGGCAGAGATATACAACCCCATTTTTCTAAATACTCTGTAACTCTCTGCGTTCTTCGATAGAGCCAGAGGAGTTGATTTGGCAGGGTATGCCAAGTTATTTTCCATCAACATAGTTATTCGTACATATGTTTTCTGACCCGAGATGTAAAGTTTTTTTTAAAACTATACTATGCAATCTTGCCAGAGCTGATTCAATTTGGGAAAACGACATGTTTCTTTTATTTAAATTTAGCTTTCTTCTCTCTGTTCGTCTATTTTTATTAATACTTCCAAGCCCGAAATGTACTTTCTTGAGGTTTAGAATTTATATTATAATAAAGGAGATAAAATGCCAAAATATTCATTGTTGCTGTTAAGATGGTGCTGAGAATAACTTCTATAACGTTTTTCACTGTTTTCTTATTTTTTTACCGGAAGGTTCTCTCTTATTGTCTATTGATGTTTTTAAGATATTCTGTTAGTCTCTGACATTCCACAGATTTTTTTCAATATGTTCGAGTATACTTTAGATTTATATCCTGTTTGAAATGTGTTCTTCTTGTGTCTAAGGGTTTATATCTTCCATCGATTTTTAGTCACTAACGCTTCAGAGATTTAATAGCCCATATTTGTTTTTTCCAATTTCTTTTCCTGGAAGTTTTTTCACCTTTGTTCTTATCATTGTCTTAATATACTTTTTTCCTTTTTGTTCATATTTTTGCATTCTTGACACTTTTCAAATGTATTTTACGACTTTTTTCCTTTAAATTGAGTGTAATCTGATATTTAAAATTAATACTCATTTTAAAAAATAATGTGGTGGAAAATAATCAAAATGACAAAATAAAATTGTTTTAACAAATATATACACTTTTGTAAATACAACCACAATTAAGATATAAAATATTTATCATCTCAAATTTCCCTTGCTCCCATCTGCAGTGACCTTCATACCTCACCTAAGGCCACCACTATTCTGCTTGGCTCGTCTTCTCTTGAGTTTAATATAAATGGGTAATAGCTATATGTTCATTTGTGTCTGCATTGTTTTTATTCAGCATGATGATTTTCAAGTCTGTCTATGTTGTTGCAAGTATCAATAATAGGTTTCTTTGTATCTCAGAGTAGTATTCCGTTTCAGGAATATTTGTTGGACCATTCGTTAGTTAATGGACATGTACATTCTTGCTAACTGCTATAAAAGCTGTTGTAGATCTTTGAGTTAATATATGTTTTTATTTTTCTTGGGCAAATATGTGGGAATGGACCTGTTGGGTGATGAAATAAGTACATTTTAAATTTCCTGAGAAACTTCCAAAATGCTTTTCAAACTGACAATGTCATTTTACATTACAATTATCAAAGTATCGTAGTCCCAGTTACTCTGGATCCCTGCCATCACTGAGTATTTTTTGTCTTTCTAATTGTGCCTACTCTAGTGGATATGTAGTGAAATCACATAGTGATTTTAATTTGCATTTATTTGATAAATAATGATATTGTACATCTTTTAAGGTATATATTAGCTGCATGAATAGTCTTTTTTGAACTGTCACTTCAGATATTTTACACTTTTAAAAATTCAACTATTTTTATCTTATTGAGTTGTAATAGTTATTTATATATTCCAGATACCAGTCTTTGTCAATACAATGTGTTAAGAATAGTTTCTTCCTATCTGTGGCTTGCCTTTTAATTTTCTTGTGGTGCATTTTGAAGAGCTCCTTTAAGCTTTGAAGTTGATTTATCTCTTAATAATTTGTACTTTTTTTGCCCAATCCCCCAAATTCTTGCTTTATATAAGGTCACAAAAATTTTACCCTACCTTTTATTGTAGACATTTTACAGTTTAAGATTTTAAGTTTTGGTCTAGGATCCATTTGGAGTTTATTACTATATATGCTTCAAAGTAAGGGTCAAGGATTGAGTTTCTATTTTTAGTTGTGTATGTAAGCATCTGTTCCACCCCTCTTAGTTGAAAATGCTGTCCTGTACCCACTGTATCACCTTGGTTCTGTCCCTTTTATCATATCAAACATATGGGTTTTTCTCTTTTATTTTGCATGGATTGGTGTTGTGTGAATCTGCATCAAAGGCGTCTTTAAGGCCTGGATGTAATTACCTCTAAAGAGGAATTTCTTGCGTATCTCTTAGTTGCTTAGGGATACTGTCAAATCATAAACACTTTTAATAAAATTCATTAATTTCCCAGACCGCCTATGTTTTGTTAATTCAAATCCAAACATGTCTAAAGATAGAATTGTGGTTGCAAATTCCAGTGCCTATGCGAAGACAGAAATACGTTATTTGGCATTGCCTTTTGCAGGCAGTGATACTTCTGATAGTGCATACTTTAATTGGGAGTGTATCCCTGGATAAGCCTGGGTTCTCTGGAGACTCAGAATATATATACTGTGTGTGTGAATGAGAATATTTATAGTGTGTGTGTGTGTGCGTGTGTGTGTATAGTATGTGTGTGTATATATGTATATAAATACAAAGTATAACATTTTACATATTTAACAAACTGTATATATAATTTTAAAACACTACACATGCACACACACACACATACATATAAACTGTTCCAGAGAAAAGTAAAAGACAATTCAATCTAAAACATAATTTAGTGAGTCTATGTAATTTTTAATTCCACACCAAGCCATCACGATTTACAATATAATAAATCAAAAACATTGTTAATTGTACTTTTCAATGCATGCAAGCATACTAAATAAATATAACATATTTTTACTCATTATTTTATATCTTCAATTAGGTATTGGTGATATTCTTTCATGATTATTGTACTTAATTTGCATGCTTGAATATTTTTATAGTAAGTTTTGTTTTGTTTTGTTTTGTTGAGATGGAGTCTCACTCTGTTGCCCAGGTTGGAGTGCAGTGGTGCAGTCTCGGCTCATTGCAACCTCCTCCTCTCAGGCTCAAATGATTCTCCTGTCTCAGCCTCCTGAGTAGCTGGGATTGCAGGCACATGCCACCGTGCCCAGTTTATTTTCGTATTTAGAGACGGGGTTCTACCATGTTGCCCAGGCTGGTCTTGAACTCCTGACTTCAGGTGATCCACCTGCTTTGGTCTCCCAAAGTGCTGGGATTACAGGCATGAGCCACCACACCTGGCCTATAGTAAGTTTTTAAAAGAAAAAAATGATGAAGCAATTTGAGTTTTTGACAAGGACTTGCCATTGTTGTCCTATATCTCTTACATACATACTCGATAATATATCTCTGTGGCTACCTTTGATAGAACATCATGAGTCATTCAACTCAGAGGAAGCAAATTCATTTATTGAATTCAGAAAATCTGTTTTCTTTTTCTTCCTTTTTTCTGAGAAACTTTTGTTAAGAAGGTGTTATCAGTGGAAAGGTGTACTTTGCTGTGCTGGGTCACATTGAGTTTAAAAAACTAAAAGACTCTGTGCCTTCTAAGTTGTTGTCACTCATCAAACATTTCATTATGGCCATATCACTTGTGACATACATTAGCTTTTAATATATGACCAGTGATTAAAGTAAACTGAGGGTCAAGTAAAGCACTGGTCAAATATTAAAAGCTTATGTATATATAGATCAACTAAGAACCTTATTAAAATATAGATTGTGATACAGGTCTGAAATGAAGCCTGAGATTCAATATTTCTAATAAGCTCCCAGCTGAAGTCATACTGATATTCTGAGGACCACCTTTTCGACAGAAATGTCCTAGACATGCTATTGACAAAGAAGTAAGTACAGAAGAAATATTGTCAAAGTTCACTAAGTGGCGGAAGAAAATCTAAGTCATCCTTCTTTAGTGTGAACTGTAATTCAAAAATATTCTTGAAGTTCACCCACAATCAATGAGGGTATGGGAAGCAAAGTTTATTGATTATACTTCTCTTTTAAACTTTATTTAACATAAATTCTCCTTCTAATTAAAATATTTTTTTCAGAAATAAAGTAATTAAAATCTGTCTTTTTATAGTACCCAAACCTGTCAACTATTTTTAGTCATAACAATATTTCTACAATAATATATAATATAGATGATTTTGAAATTTACACTGGCCTTAGATTCTATCTTTTTAAATAAGGTTTGACCTGTACTCTGAGAATTTAATGATTTAAAATTAAACATGATATTTATTATTAGTGATTCTCCCGCCTTAGCCTCCCAAGTAGCTGAGATTACAGGTGCTTGCCATGATGCCTGGCTAATTTTTTGTATTTTTAGTAGAGACAGGCTGGTCTTGAACTCCTGAATTCATGATCTGTCTGCCTTGGCCTCCCAAAGTGCTGGGATTACAGGTGTGAGCCACCACACCCGGCCTTATTATTGTCTTAATGGCCATTATAAAAAACATACTATTTGCAAATTATGTTTTGACTTTTGCTTAGTGTATAGAAAGCTCTAGAGAACATTGCCACGCATCCTATGTCATCACACTAACAAGACAATTCTAGATATTATACAAAATCATAGTTTTTCTTGAACTTACCAGGGAGCTAAAGTCACAGATATGCAATTAGCCTAAAATTTCAGAAAGGATAGATACGACATAAGTAGAGGCCCAGTTTACTTAACCGGAAGCAGGATGAAGGTAGGATTGTGGTAGTTCTATTTTTTTTTTTATTGGGGAACCTCCATACCGTTTTCCATAATGGTTGTACTAATTTTCATTCCCACACACAATTTATAAGAGCTCCATTTTCCCTACCTCCTCACCAACACTTGTTATCTTTCATCTTTTCAAAAAATGCTATTCTAACAGATGTGAGGCAACATCTCATTGTGGTTTTAGTTTGCATTTCCTTCATGATTAGTGATCTTGAGCACTTTTTAAATTGTACCTGTTTTCCATTTATATATCTTTTGAGAACTGTCAGTTTAGCTCCTCTGCCCATTTTTTAATTGGGTTGTTTATTTTCTTGCTATTGTTATGGTTGCTTTTATTTTGAATATTAATACCTTATCAGATTTGTGGAGTACAAATATTTTCTATATTCTGTGGGTTGTCTTTTTCTTTGTTGTTTCCTTTGCTGCACTGAAGCTCTTTAGTTTGATGGCATCTCATTTGTCTATTTTTGCTATTGTTGCCTATGTATTTGGAGTTATATCCAAAAACTTGACCAATGTTGTGAAGCTTAGCAGTTTTAAGTCTTAATCTATATTGAGTAGATTTTTTGATGTAGTAAGAGACCAAGAGTACTTTTTCATTTTTCTTCATGTGGATATCCAGTTTTCCTCACACCAGTTATTGAAGAGACTACCATTTCTCTGCTGTATGTTCTTGGTAACTCTGTCAAAAACCAATTGACCATAAATGTGTGGGTTTATTTCTTTCTGGGCTTTCTATTTTGTTCCATTTTGTGTGTCTGTTTTTACTGCAGTACCTTGTTGTTCTGATGACAGTTGCTTTATGTTTTGAAATCATTTAAAGAACTAATTCTAGTTCTTCTAAACTCATCCAAAAAATTGAGCTGGAGAGAATATTTCCAAACTCATTTGACAAGACCAACATTACCTCAATAACAGAGCCAGAGAAGAACACACACACACACACACACACACACACAAAATGAAACATCAACATCCTTGATAAACATAGATGCAAAAATCCTCAACAAAATGTTAGTAAACCAAATTCAACAACTAATTTACAAAATCATTCATCATGCTCAAGTGGGATTTATCCATTGGATGCAAGGATGATTCAACATACACAAATCAAGAAATGCCATACACCACATCAATTAAAGGAAGGATAAAAATCAAATAATTATCTCAAAAGATGCAGAAAATGCATTTGAAAACATTTAATGTCCTTTCATGAAAAAAAATATCTCAACAGTTTAGATATAGAGGCAATATACCTCAACACAATGAAGGTCATGTATGACAAACCCATAACTAACATCATTCTCAATGGTGAAAGGTTGAAAAGTTTTCCTCTAAGATCAGGAACAAGACAAGCATGCCCACTCTCACCACTTCTTTTCAACATACTGTTGAATGTCCTAGCCAGAAAAATTAGTCAAGAGAAAGAAAAGGAATCCTAATAAGAAAGGAAGAAGTGAAATTGTCTCTACTTGCTGACAGCATGGTCTTACATATAGAAAATCCCAAAGAGTATATAAAAAACTGGTAGAACTTATAAATGAATTCAGTAAATTTGCAGGATAAAAAATCAACATAAAAAATCAGTAGTATTTCCAATACTAATAATGAACCATCTGAAAAAATAATGAAATAATCTTATTTATAATAACAACAAAAAATTAAATACTTAGGTATAAACTTAACCAAGGAGGTATAAGGCTTGCATATTGAAAAATATAAAACACTAATGAAAGAAATTGAAGAAGATACAAATAAATGGAAAAGTATCCAATGTTCATGGATGGAAAAAATTAATACTGTGAAAATGTACATACTACCCAAAGTGATCTACAGATCATTATAATCCCTATTAATATTCCAATGTCATTTTTAACAGGAATTTTAAAAAAATCCTTAAATTAGTATAGAACCACAAAAGGCCCTAAATAGCCAAAACAATCTTGAACAAAAAGAACAAAGTTAGAGTCATCCCCTAACTTCTCAAATAGATTATTAGAGGCTGAATGCCTGAGTCTGAGAATATTAGACAGAAGGGAAGTTCACATTCAATTGCAGGCTATTCTTGAATCTCACTGAGTGCTCACAAGAAAGGTAGTGAGAGAGAAAGCGTTCCAGTGGTACAGGCCTGTGGAGGGAAAGAGTTCCTGCTAGGGGAAACAAAACCCTGTACAGACTTCACTTAAGGAATAAAAGCTTTGGTGTTGGGTGGAAGAGGGGGAGTCTTATCCCACTGAGGAAAGGGCAGCAAACCTTGTCATGTACCTTCACAGAAAACTTATGAAGATTTATCATATTTGGAGAGAGGGAAGAGAAAAAGCCTGCTACCTTTGGGGAAGTCACAGGAAATGGTATTTAATCTAGAACATTAGATGTCTTCTATGCTGGAGGAATGACAAGATCACAGAGAAAACCAGACTCTAAAAATGTTAAACACAGGTCTTGCCTAAGATTGAGATTGAAATAGGACAATAGACATGTACACCTACACTTCACCCTCCAATGAGGTTAGCAGAGATCTAGTAATAGAGGACAGCAGTCTAACACCAAGGGGATAACAAAAACGTGGCAAGAGACCCTCTCAAATGTGCAGGCTCAGAGAGAAAGCCAAAAGTAGAAGATAGAAAAAGAACACTGAAAAAAAATCTCTGTTGATCTAACCCCAAACCCTAAGCAAAAGGTAAATGCTAATGGAATTTGAAGCTTATGATAGACCAATGGTAACCATAGCAACAATTAAACCTTTACCCAGCTTAACACTAGTTTAGATTAACTCCACTAAATGCCTGCAGAGAAAAAAAATGCCCATCTTAATGCATAAATATTATTTACCTTCTTATCTACTTCCCTACACATGGTGTAGTTTTCATCCTAAAAGACATGAGAAAACTTCAGAACATTAATTCACTTGCAAGAGAAAAAGCAACCAACAGAACCAGAAGTACATATGATCCAGATTTTGGAACTACCAAACAGTAAATTTGAAGTAAGTATGATCATTTTTTAAAAGCATTAGTGAAAAAAAATCAAAAACATGCAAAAACCGATGAAGAGTTTCAGCACAGAGAGTAAAACAATGACAGAAGGTAAAATGAAAATGTAAAAACGAAAAATCATGGTAAGAAAGATGACGATATTTCAATAGGTTCAGCAAATACTCAATGCAGCTGAGGAAAAAATCAGTGAACTTGAAGAAAGTTTGATGAAGTTTGAAAAATATGTGACACTGAGGAAATGCCAATAGACATTATTCAAACTAAAACATAAAGAGAAAGTAAAGTGTAAAAGAAAATAATAGAATATATTGGCATTGGTCTATATCAGATAGTCCAACATACATGTAAATAAATCCCACAAGGAATAGAAAGATAATGAGGTAGAAGAAATATCTGAAGAAATAATAATTGAGATTCATATGAAAATGAGAGACACATGAAACCATAATTTAACAAAGATCAGAGAACATCAAGCAAACTATTTTTTAAATAGCAAAGAAGTAAATTAAAAATTCCTAAACACAACATATTCAAAGTGTTCAAAACCAAAAGACAGAGGGAGAAAGAAAACCTTAAAGGTAGCCGGAGACAAAAGGCACATTACACATGGAGGAACAGAGATAAAAAGAAGACATATATGCACACAACAAGAACGTGAAAAAAAGCTCAACATCACTGCTCATTAGAGAAATGCAAATCAAAACCACAATGAGGTATCATCTAACATCAGTCAGGATTATTAAAATGCCAAAAAAACAAAAAACCAAAAACCACCAAAACAGTTGCTGGTGAGGTTGTGGAGAAAAAGGGAACACTTGGGCCGGGCACAGTGGCTCACGCCTGTAATCCCAGTACTCTGGGAGGCTGAGGCGGGCGGATCACAAGGTCAGGAGGTCAAGACCATCCTGGCTAACACGGTGAAACCCCATCTCTTTTAAAAATATAAAAAATTAGCCGGGCATGGTGGTGGGCGCCTGTGGTCCCAGCTACTCGGGAGACTGAGGCAGGAGAATGGCGTGAACCCAGGAGGCGGAGATTGCAGTGAGCCGAGATCGTGCCACTGCACTCCAGCCTGGGTGACAGAGTGAGACTCTGTCTCAAAAAAAAATAATAAATACATAAAAGGAAAAAGGAACACTTATACACTATTGGTAGTATTGTAAATAAGTTCAACCTTTGTGCAAAGCAGTGGGGCGATTCTTCAAATAATTAAAAACAGGTCTACCCTTCTAACCAGCAATCCCACTACTGGATACATATCCAAAGGAATATAAATAGTTCTATCATAAGGACACCAGAATGCATATGTTCATTGTGGCAATATTCACAATAGCAAAGACATGTAATCAACCTAAATGCCCATCAGTGGTAGACTGGATAAAGAAAATGTGATAGACACACGTTATCACTTACAAGTGGGAGCTAAATGATGAGAAAACATGGACACATAGAGGGAAACAATGGACACTGGGGCCTAGCTCAGGGTGGAAGATAGGCGAATGGAGAGGATCAGGAAAAATAACTATTACTAGGCTTAACTCCTGGGTGAAGAAGTATTCTGTACAACAAACCTTGTGACATGAGTTTATCTATATAACAAACCTACACATGTAACCCTGAACTTAATATAAAAGTTAAAACAAATACAACAGCCTTCTTGGCAAGAGGACAGTGGACTGAAACATTTAATGTTGAAAGAAAAAAATGACCCACCCAGATTCTATATTTAGTTTTTCTTGTTTTTTTCTTCCTATCTTCAAAGATTGAAGGAGAAAAACAGACTTTTCCGAGAAGAAAAACAAGGAGACCAGCAGACCTGCGTTACAAAAAAAAATTTAATGAAACTTCTTTAGGCAGAAGGAATATGACACTAGAAAAAAAACGTGAATCGCCAGTCTCAGTGGCTCACACCTGTAATCCCAGCACTTTGGGAAACCAAGGGTGGGCAGATCACTTGAGGTCAGGAGTTCAAGACCAGCCTGACCAACATGGAGAAACCCCATCTCTACTACAAATACAAAAATTAGCCGAGCATGGTGGCACATTTCTGTAATCCCAGCTACTCAGGAGGCTGAGGCAGGAGAATCTCTTGAACCCGGGAGGCAAAGGTTGCCGTGAGCTGAGATCGCTCCATTGCACTCCAGCCTGGGTAACAAGAGTGAAACTCTGTGTTAAAACAAACAAACAAACCACACACACAAAAATACTTGAGTCTTTCTACACAAGTAATGGAGCTGAAAACGGTAAATATCAAAGTAGAGATGGATTTATTTTTAAAAATTTTAATATTTCTAAAAGCTAATTGTCTGTTAAAGCAAAATTAGTAGCAATGCATTATGTGTCTATAACATATGTAAAAGTAAAACTTCTATCAATAATACCAAAAAAGATGGAAGGTAGAAATTGTGGGGTGGGAGAAATGTGTTGTTGTATGGTATAATACACTACATGTAAAAAGGTATTATATTGTTTAAGGAAGACTGTGATTAAAGATTGTACATTCCTTACTCGGGAGGCTGAGGCAGGAGAATGGCGTGGACCCGGAGGTGGAGCTTGCAGTGAGCTGAGATTGCGCCACTGCACTCCAGCCTGGGAGACAGAGCGAGACTCCATCTCAAAAAAAAAAAAAAAAGATTGTACGTTCTTTAAACATTTAAAAAGTGTAAATAAGAAAATAGTGGAGAAGAATTTTGGAATATAAAATTGATAAGACTAAATATATTGCTTTTTTATATGAAACACATGATACAGTAACTGAAAGTTCTTCAAATCTCTACTTAATCAAAGGAATTAATGAGTATTCATGAGTCATTTAGCAGAAATAGAAGAAATAGCTAAAAATTTGTGTGAACCACAAAAGACCCCAAATAGTTAATGCAATCTTGAGCAAGAAGAATAATGGTGGAGGCATTATGCTTCCTGATTTTAAATTATATTACAAAGCTATAGCAATCAAAATAGCATGGCACTGGCATAAAAACAGACACATAGACCAATGGAACAGAATAGAGTTCATAAATCAACCAACACATATACAGTCAACTCATTTTCTACAAAGGTGACAAGAATACACAATGGGGAAAGAATAGTCTCTTCAATAAATGGTGTTGGGAAAACTGGAAATCCACATGCAAAAGAATGAAATTGGATCCTTATCTTACACCAGACGTAAAGATCAACACAAAATGGATGAAATACTTGAACACAAGACTGGAAACTGTGAAACTCCTAGAAGAAAATATAGGAGGAAAGGTCCTTGAAATTGATCTTAGCAAAGATTTTTGGGGCACATTACCAAAAGTACCAGCAGCAAATACAAAAATAAACAAGAGGGACTACATCAAACTAAAAAAATTCTGCACAGCCAAAGAAATTATTAAGAAAATGAAAAAGCAACCTATGGAATGGGAGAAAAATATTAGCAATTATCCATGTGATAAGAGGCTAATATTGAAAACATATAAGCCAGTTATACAACTCAATAGCAAAAAAAAACAAATAACCTGATTTTTAAAATGGGCAAATGACCCGAATTGACAGTTCCCCAAAGAAGACATAAAAAGGTCCAACAGGCATATAATATCACTAATCACCTGTTATTATGGCTATTCTCAAAAAGTCAAAAAATAACAGATGTGATAAAAAGGCAACTCTGATGCATTGTTGGTGGGAATGTAAATAGGTAAAGCCATTGTAGAAAAAATATGGAAGTTTATCAAAAAATTAAAAATAGAATAGACTATGTCCAGTAAACCTACTTTTGGGTGTATATGCAAAGATAATTAAATAATTATCCCCAAAAGCTATCTGTATACTCATGTTCATTCCAGCATTATTCACAGTAGCCACAATATGGAAACAACTTAAGTTTCTGTTTATGGATGACTGGATAAAGAGGTTGTATTATGTATATACAATGAAATATTATTCAGCCTTAAAAATGGAAGAAAATCCTGCCATTTGCGATAACATGGATGAACCTAGAAGACATTATGCTAAGTGAAATAAGCCAGACACAGCCAAATACAGCATGATTTTACTTACATGTGGAATTGAGAAAAGTTGAGCTCATAGAAACAGAAAGTAAAATGATAGTTACCAGTGGATGGAGGGGGTGGGGAAAAAGGGAGATATTGGTCAAAAGGTACAATCTTTGTGTTATAAGATAAACAAGTGTGGAGACCTTATGTACAGCAGTACATATGTATATAGTTAATAATAACATATTATGTACTTGAAATTTTCAGAGATAGTAAAAAACTCTTCTCATCCCACATACAACTGATAAATAGGTGATGTAATGGATGTGTTAGTTAGCTTGATTGTGGTAATCATTTCACAAACGTATACATATAACAAAACATCTCATTGTGAACCTTACATATACACAGTTTTAATTTGTCAATAAATATGGGAAAAATGTTTTAAAGTTTTGATTTTTTTTTTCTTTTTTGAGATGGAGTCTCGCTCAGTCGCTCAGGCTGGAGTGCAGTGGTGCGATCTCGGCTCACTGCAACCTCTGCCTCCCGGGTTCAAGTGCTTCTTCTGCCTCAGCTTTGTGAGTACCTCGGACTACAGGCGCGTGCCACCATGACTGGCTAATCTTTGTATTTTTAGTAGAGATGAGGTTTCACCACATTGGCTAGACTGGTCTTCGAACTCCTGACCTGTTGATCCACCCTCCTCGGCCTCCCAGAGTGCTGGGATTACAGGCGTGAGCCACTGTGCTCGGCCAAAGTTTTGATTTTTTTAAGTGAGAATGAAACTATAAGCAGGCTTGAATGTCCCCCTAAACCTGCCACACTTAGTTTTGGTTTAGCCACCCCATCCAGCACACACACCTAGTCTGTGTTTAATCTTTCTGGTTATCTCCTTCAGTGTATTTTCTTGGCACTGACTGATGATAAATTGTTATCATTGTTCCTTTTGTTATTTATAAATGAAATTAGATTGAGCTATTTCTCCCAGTGGAAACCTTAATTGCAATGCAGTTTTCTATTCTCCCCAAATGACTTGAGGGCTCTGTTTTTTTTCCTTAATTGAAGACTTCAGGCGGCCTGGCTTCATCACACATTTATTGAAGCTGTGTGCTCAGATGTCTATGGCTATTAGATCATAAAACAATCATCTGTTGTTTATCATGCAGTAAATCTTCATTCAGTGCACATGAAAGGCACTTATATAATAATACAATTTCTTTTATTCTATTCATTCTGCAAATATAATGAAAAGTCATCACAGTATATTATAGAACCTGGAAAGCATTTTATTTCAATTTTTTTAAATAAGCCAAATACAAAGTATTATAAGAATATAATATTAACTTCTATTTATGCCAGATATTTCTTTTATCTTCTACAAAATGAGCTCAGATCTAGCCTGACACTTGTTCTGATCAATTGAACTTTTATGCCAATATATGTTTCAAAGATGTTTGACGTGGATGAAATACAGTGGAGAAAGGGAAGATTCCACTTGAGAGAAAAATGAGTCAAAACAATTTGGAGACTACAGCGGTAAATGTAGAAAAAACTGAAAGTTAGCTAATGGAATGAAATGGCATGTTTTAGGTTTGCTATTAAATTATTTTCCTTCATTTTATCATGAAAATTGAAACATTTAAAAAATCTATATATACTATTTATTTATTTAATAACCATTCAAGAAAGCTGTTTCTTTTTTTTTTCTTTTTTGAGACAGAGTTTTGCTCTTGTCACCCAGGCTAGAATGCAATGGTGCAATCTTGGCTCACTGCAACCTCTGTCTCCTGGGTTCAAGTGAATCTCCTGCCTCAGCCTCTCTAGTAGCTGAGATTACAGATGCTTGCCACCATGCCTGGCTAATTTTTGTATTTTTAGTGGAGATAGGGTTTCACCATGTTGGCCAGGCTGGCCTTGAACTCCTGACCTTAGGTTATCCCCCCGCCTCAGCCTCCCAAAGTGCTGGGATTATAGACGTGAGCCACCACGCCCGGCCAGGCTGTTTCTTTTAGAGTTACCCTATACTCTAGATCTGTAGGAATTTAGTAATTATTTATGTCTATATCTAAATCTAGATATACATACATGTACACACATGTAAGTACACATACCATATATATACTTACTTAAATATTGAACACAAATTTTCATATGTTGCATTATATGTTTATTATGTTATATATCTTATTATATATAATTACATATGTCAAATTACACATGACAAATAGTCAACATTCTTAGCATTGACTACTCTATAAATCAAGGTTTTTAAAATTAATCATCACATAAAATCTGTGCCACATTTCTGTTTGTCTTTTATCCATCATTGCTCCCAGAGCTCTGCTTTCTCTGATAATCATTTGAGATTATATGTGTAATTTTTTAAACAGTAATTCTTATTTTTTAACAAGCATATAAATATTATATATTTATTCATTTAGAAATGTTCAAAACCCATAGTCTGGCTGACTTATATGTTCTTTCTGGATAACTCCATCTGAATAATTTTTTGATTAATACATACCAAAACTTCCAGTAATTCCAAATATAATTCTGGTCTATCGTTTGAGGCAGTGAGATACCTTCTGGTATTTACCTTCTGGTATCTACACTGAGTTTTCTCAGTCAAAACTTAAACTAAGTGTGTATAGATAGACCTGAAGATGATCTGCTTCCAAAATGTCCTCTCTCCCTGCTTTGCCATGTTCATGAATTTCCCTACTTTTGCAGTTGGCCAGCCCAGAGATTTAGAATTTCTTTCCCCTCCCCTTCAGTCATACATCTGATCATCCATCAGTTCCTGTTCATTTCCCTTCTTGTTAAAGTTTGCAGTTTCATCTTCTCTCATTTTCCACTGCCTCTGGTTGTTTTATTTCATTTGCTATTTCTGTCTAAATATCCAGATTTGACTCTCAATTGCACTTCTTGTTCTTGTTTTCAAGAACATTCACCCATCCTCCACACATAACCAAAATAAATTTTCTAAAATGCAAATGTGCTTTAAATATTTCAACGGCAGTACATTGTTATCATTTTAAAATGCTTAGCTTAGAACATAAAACCTTTATAATTGGCTGGTGCCTGCTGCTTTGCCTCATTTATCACCAATCTCTATCTGTCATCTTATGCCTCTGTGGCATTGCATGTGCTCTTTCCTGAAACAAACATGTCCCTTCATCCAACTAACTCCAGTCCATCTTTCAAAGCACAATGTAAGCCTCATTTCCTACAATGAGACCCCATGGACTAGTCTGATGGCAGATCTTCGCTCTCCCTTCCTAAACACATAGAATGGTGTGAAATTTTAACACCTGCACACATCATACTTTCTTGCAGCCACTGACATATTTGTCCATCTCTCTCACTGGGATATAATATTATTTAATGAAGATTCGTCTTTGTTAACTTTTTATCTCCCTAACATAGCATAGTGCTCAGCAGATAATACGGGTTTTAAATGAATGCTGCAAGTTATAGATTGTTTTCTATACTTTTTACATTAAAAATGAAAACAAACAGCTGAGTCTCACAGAAGCTAATAATGTGGCCAAGTTCCCATAGCAAATGCATCAAAGAGCTAGTTTGAGCCCAATTTTCTCCATGACAATTTCATAAAATTCTTACCTGTGGCCTTGAACAACGTATTAAAATAATATATTTAAGAAAAATTAAAATTTTCCGTGTACTTATAGATGTGACTATAGAAAAAGTCATAATATTTATCTACTTTTTATATTAAGAAAATTTCCATTCATCTTTAATAAAGCCACAGGTGAGGCCTGTTGGTTTTTTCACTGCTATACTCATTTAATAAAAAGTCTGTGAAATCCATATATCCTTTTAAAACTTCTTTGCTTTTAATTTGTTTCTCTTAATGGATATAATGCTAAAAAGAAATAGGAAATTTTTTGCATGTTTTAGTCAGACACATGATGATGTAGTTGATCCAGGTATATGTTGCTTATCTAGAATTGTTATGTTGCAAGAAATCAACTATTTGTTTAAAATGTCATAATACTGAATGTTAAAGCTTTCTTTGAAGTTATTATATCAGTAAAGGCTCTATATACTTCATTAGTAGTTTATTTCCATTATGAATATAAGTGTTTTGAGACATAAAAGTATTTTAACTTTATTATTCATGATATTCTGCAATTAAAATATCCTATTTTTAGTCCTATTTTCATTTATAATTGTTAGTCATTTTTTTTTTCTGTCAACTGAAAAACTGGCCATACAAACCCTTTTTTATGTGATTCTAATAATCATTTGAGACTATACAGGTTATTTTTAAAACAACATTCTTTTTTTAACAAGCATATGAATATTATATCTTTATTCATTTAGAAATGTTCCAAAATTATACTCTGGTTGATTTATTATGTGGTGCTGCTGGCTTATATTCATTTATGTAAATTTTTTTTTCAGAAAAGATATAGTGTTGCTATGTGTTAGCATCAAATATTCTATAATTTCATTAACTTTTTATTATACTTTAAGTTCTGGGATACATGTGCAGAACATACCGGTTTGTCACATAGTTATACATGTGCCATGGGGTTTGCTGTACCCATCAACCCATCATCTAGGTTTTAAGGCCCGCAGGCATTAGGTATTTATCCTAATACTCTCCCTGCCCTTGCCCCCCACCCCCTGATAGGCTCCAGTGTGTGATGTTCCCCTGCCTGTGTCCATGTGTTCTCATTGTTCAGCTCCCACTTATGAGTAAGAACATGCAGTGTTTGGTTTTCTGTTGCTGTGTTAGTTTGCTGAGAATGATGGTTTCCAGCTTCATCCATGTCCCTTCAAAGGATATGAACTCATTCTTTTTTATGACTGCATAGTATTCCATGGTGTATATGTGAGGCATTTTCATTATCCAGTCTGTGATTGATGGGCATTTGGGTTGGTTCAAAGTCTTTGCTATTGTAAATAGTGCTGCAGTAAACATACGTGTGCCTGTGTCTTTATAGTAGAATGATTTATAATCCTTTGGGTGTATACCCAGTAATGGGATTGCTGGGGCAAATGATATTTCTGGTTCCAGATCCTTGAGGAATCGCCACACTGTCTTCCACACTGATTGAACTAATTTACACTTCCACCAACAGTGTAAAAGCATTCCTATTTCTCCACATCCTCTCCAGCATCTGCTGTTTCCTTACTTTTTAATGATCACCATTCTAACTGGTGTGAGATGGTATCTCATTGTGGTTTTGATTTGTGTTTCTCTAATGATGAGCTTTTTTTCATGTTTGTTGGCTGCATAAATGTCTTCTTTCGAGAAGTGTCTGTTCATATCCTTTGCCCACTTTTTGATGGGGTTATTTGTTTCTTTTTCTTGTAAATTTGTTTAAGTTTCTTGTAGATTCTGGATATTAGACCTTTGTCAGATGGATAGATTGCAAAAATCTTCTCCCATTCTGTAGGTTGCCTGTTCACTCTGGTGATAGTTTCTTTTGCTGTGCAGAAGCTCTTTAGTTTAATTAAATCCCATTTGTCAATTTTGGCTTTTGTTGCAATTTTTTTTTGGTGTTTTAGACATGAAGTCTTTGCCCATGCCTATGTCCTGAATAGTAATGGTGGATGCCCCTTCCCCCACCAAGCTTGATTGTCCCAGGTAGACTTCAGACTGCTGTGCTAGCAGCGAAAATTTCAAGCCAATGGTTCTTAGCTTGCTGGGCTCCATGGGAGTGGGACCTGCTGAGGGAGACCACTTGGCTCCCTGGTTTCAGCCCCCTTTCCAGGACAGTGAATTGTTCTGTCTCACTGGGGTTCCACGCACCACTGGGTTATGTAAAAAAGTCCTGCAGCTAGCTCAATGTCTGCACAAACAGCCACCCACTGCTTGAAACCCAGGGCCCTGGTGGTGTAGGCATATGAGGGAATCTCCTGGTCTGTGGATTGCAAAAACCGTGGGCAAAGCATAGTAGCTGGCCTGGATAGCACAGTCCCACATGGCTTCCCTTTGCTAGGAAACGGAGTTTCTCAGCCCCTTGCACTTCCCAGGTGAGGCAACGCCCCACCCTGCTTCTGCTCACCCTCCGTGGGCTGCACCCACTGTCTAACCAGTCCCAATGAGATGAACTGGGTA
This sequence comes from Homo sapiens, assembly GCF_000001405.40. Taxonomy (NCBI): domain Eukaryota; kingdom Metazoa; phylum Chordata; class Mammalia; order Primates; family Hominidae; genus Homo; species Homo sapiens. The sequence continues at coordinate 161,203,743 of NC_000004.12, read as the reverse complement.
TCTCAGTTGGAAATGCAGAAATCACCCGCCTCCTGCATTGGTCTCGCTGGGTGTGGTGATGTGTGCCTGTAATCCCAGCTACTTGGGAGGCTGAGGCAGGAGAATTGCTTGAACTTGGGAGATGGAGGTCGCACCACTGCACTTCATCCTGGGTAGCAGAGTAAGACTCTGTCTCCAAAATAAATAAATAAATAAGTAAAACATATCAATATGTTTTACAATAGCAGAGCAATAATAGCAGAGCAAAATATACAATAGCAGAGCAAAAATATAATAAACCTATACAATAGCAGAGCAAAAATATAATAAAACTCATAAAAATTTTCACTTGGAAAAAGGAAGAATGCTATAATAGTTACTGATTATTAATTTGCTCTAATAAAAGGTCACAAAATATAAAGGGTGAACACGTCACAGATTTTAATTTTGCCCGGGTTTAGATGTTGCCCATATACTTCAGCTCATTGTTCACTGGAGAGAAGTTTGTCACAGTTAAACACAAATGAAAAAGAGGCTGGGAAATGTGGCTAGGCTGGATGTCCATATTCTTATCTAATACAGATGAGCAGGAATAGAAATCATGTTAAACAGCCAGCATTCTCTACCTGAATAAAAAGCATGCACCAGTCAGCTGTCCATAGCAGTCTAAACATTTTGCTAGTCAGATAATTTCAAAAACCCCAACCCTGAGAGAGGAGTAAATGCCTTGGTAAGCCATCTGGCTACCACTGGTTTTGCTCTTGGGGAACAATTTTCTTTTCCATCCTTCTTTGGAGGTTATGTTGTTTCATTGCCTATTTCCTGCTAGTGAAACTTGTGGGGTCTCCAAAAGAGGACCTCAAGATGAGCACTTGGGTCCAGAGTGTTGAGAAAGGGTTAATCCAGCGGAGACAAATCAGGAAAGTAAGAGAATGAATGAAGAAAGTCAAAAAGGCTGCATAATTGAGAAGGGTAGCTCTTTGAGCAACTGTAGTTCAATTCTTCCATGAATCCCTGAGAAACCCCATAGATATATCAAAGTTGCCTCACCAGAGGAATTATCCCATCTGAGGCATTTATCCATTCAGACCCATATGTGCTCAGTGTTGCATCTGGAATCTTCTAGATTTTAACTCTAACCCCAGCCCCCATTCTCTGGTCAGCTCTTAGTCTGTGGAGGGACACAAGTGCATGAAGAGGGAGATTCTGATGGAAATTGACTTGCATACCTGCAGGTGAACTCAAACATGGGGTAGGATCAACACCATCTGCTACAACTGGCTTTTGGAATCCAGACTTGTGGTTTCTTTGACAGTAAAATTTTTAAAACACTTGTTAGTCTTCTTACTGATTTACTTCTAAATATTTCCAAGTTGAAGTAAACACACTGAAAACTTGCTTAGTCTCTTATTAGAGAGGCCTGCAGTCAGCCCATCTCTTCTTTCTATTTAATGGCAAAAACCACTGTGTTGGCTTCCTTTTCCTTATGTAGGAGACCATTAAATTGTTAGCTGCCTGTCAGTTTCATTGTGGGAGAGTTTGGGTGAGGTGCGATTCCATTTGCTAATAACTAATATTAACCCTCTAATTAATTCTTACTCTCTGAATTTCCAGCTAAGATTGAAACATGCCTGAGAGGTTCATTTTCCTTAGCGTCATAAATGAGGGCTCTCTCTGCCCATGACCTTCAACTGGAGCATAATTGGGAAAATATAGAAAAAGGGATAGAGTGATTTTCTTAAGTAACTTGCCTTGAAAACTTAGTCTCTTGTCCAGGCAGTAGCAAAATTACCTGCATGATTTGAAGGAATAATCAGACCTAGTAAAAGCCTCTACAGCTCCATGATTATATGAACACGTTCATGAGAGTCCAAGATGCACAGCTATATGCTTTCATATTTCTAAAGGCCACTGTTCTATCATTTTTAATTTCTCAATGTTCCTGCATGACAAAATAAACTGTTGTGTAAACAAAAAGTAAGATTCTAAGTCCCCCAACTGACTGATAGATCTGCCCCGTGGCCAAGGGCATTCCAAAGTTAATTTGAAAAACAACTTAAGGACATGATGAGGAGGGTGTTGGGCATGCTTCATTATATATCCACCTTCCTTTTGGAATTCAGGCGCAGCTAACTAGCATTAACATCAACACAGAGATCTTAAGACTGATAGAACAGTCTCTTTAAGTATGATTGGAAACTTTTACAATCTATCATCCCTGAAGCCTGCTACCTGAAAACTTCAGCTGTATGATAAAAGGTTGGTCTCCACAACCTCCTACCTTAACCTAGACATTCCAGGTCTTTAAATAATAATTATTTCGACCGATTGCCAATCAGAAAATCTTTTAATTGCCTTATGACCTGGAAACCCCTGCTTCCAGTTGTCCTGCCTTTCTCCACCAAACCAATGTATATCTTACACGTATTGATGGATGTCCTATGCCTCTCTAAAATGTATAAAACCAGGCTGTAGCCTTACTACTTTGAGCACAAGTTCTCAGTATCTCCTGGGGCTGTGTCATGGGTCACTGGTCACATATACTTGGCTTAGAATAAATCTCTTCAAATGTTTAACAAACTTTGACTCTTTGGGTTGACAGTTGGGATATCAGAGAGATCACCAATAAATCATGGCTCTCTTTGTTGACTGGATTATGGTCATATTTAATACAAGTCAAATAGCTCCTCATCAAAAAACTTTACTCATTCTCCTTATCAAATATTGGTCTTCACTCCATTTACAAACAACCAGATAATGACATTAAACAAAGAAACATGATACTAAAACAAGTAATGAAAATTAAGAGGTAATGCATAACTAAATTGTTTGCCCACAATGATAAATGCATAGCATTCATATTAATCTTGGTGTTTTCTTTATTTTTGCCAAATTTATTTAAGTTCACTTGTCATGAATTCTGGACAACTGAAGAAGACTGATTGACATCCTGTGTCTGATTTTTTTTTTTTGTTACTTCTTTTCCAGCAGCTACCAGTGAATTTCTGTTGTGGTGTTTGACAAATCTAAGTATAGAGTTCTTTATGTACATTTTCGATACTTTTAACCTTCTATAGCGTGGAGATACTGTTTTTCTTTCTGGGGTGTAGGTAGAAGGAGTTATATATAGTGTTATGTTTATAATATCATTAGTATGACAATATATATATTGTATTAATGCCATACCTTTTTAAATTGTGGGAAGTCTGAGGTTTAGCATTCTAAATTTTGAGGCCTTAAAGGATTCTCATCTTCTCAGTGAGAGAGAGCAAGGCTGGAGCTGCTGAGCAGACTCCATCAGCCTTCTCATTTTGCAAATGTAGACCTGGAGTGAATCAAGCTAAAGCTTATTTTTTTTCTACTTTCAGTTTAACTCCTTGGACTTTTAGAAGAGGAATTAGACCACAGTAAAACTAAAATAATAATAATAATTTTATATGCACTGGTAATAAAATAAGAGAAACATTAGATAGTGATCCCTGGAATAAGTTATTAAGCACATCCTTCAACTCATATCTGGGAATGCCATCAACTTATCAAAAGAAATGTGATTACAAAGTTAGGCGTATAGAATGAGATACTTCGCACAGTAGAAAGTCATTGCTGTATGGCCTATGTATACCTAATGATTATGTGTACATTTCTTTCCAATTTAAATGTCAGATTAAATCCAACAATACATATAAAATTAAATGTACATTTGAATAAATGTAATATTTTAAGTTATCAGCATAATGTCTTTGACAATGAATATTTTTCTTATACACAATATTAAGAATTATTTAAAAAGTACACATGAGAATAAATACATTGATCTGTTTTCTATTTTAAACACTGAGCAGAAGAGGTTTATGATATTTGAGAAGAAAATGGGCGATAATTTAGAACAAATTATATCAGATGTGTTGAATATAGAGATCAGCATGATTAGAATGCATGACTCATTACATGATCACTTGAGATTCTTTTCTCATCTCTAATCGCATGCCCAAAACTCCATTATCCTCTACAGTTCCTCTCCTGTTGTGCTGTGAGTTTTTTCCACTAATCTCAATTGAAGCACAAATTTTTGTTTCATCTGATGCTTTATTCCAAATTCAGCACACATAGGGTTCCTCTTGCTTTTCAGCAATAAATCAATGACATTTTTCTCTATGTCTCTCAATAATTTGAGTTTTGTTCATATTATTCACAAATGCAACACCTGAAGTTCCCTTTATAATATGTAATTTATATTATGAAAAATATAAGACTTCATATATATGTGAAATATATCAAAGAAATCAAAGAATCTTCCATAAACACCATTACAAGTAAATTTACCACCATTGTCTATAAATTCCTATTCTTCTTTTCTTTACATAATCTACTTAAAAATGTGCCTGTGATATAAAATAATTCATTACAAAAATATATAACTTAACTTGTAACTATTGATTTAGGTTCAGAATAGCACTATTTTAAGACACTACAAATATCTAACCTATAGTAGTGAATACTTGCATAGGGGTGACAGTTTAAATAGGTTCTATGCAGCTTGAATCAGAAAGGGTGTATTAATCTATTAAACATCCTCAAAGAAATGGACATTATTATGCCTTTTGGAAATTAGTGTCAATGATATATGTAACTCCCATAAAATGAATAAAACTAATAAAATATATTGTATTTACACTGAAAAAACAAAGCAATGTACAAATAACGTGTTCTGATCTGCTCAATAGAAAATACTAGCACTTCTTTCTTCAAATAAAAGTGATATTAATGGTAAAGAAAAGGTGACTACTACTATACTTCTAAGATTTTGAGACATGTTTTGATAGCATAATAGGTAGTGTGAAGTATTTGAATAGAAATTAATATCGGTAGATGATTATACATATTTTCTAATTTGCAACACTTCAGTCTTTGCTAGGAATACTTAAAGCCATCACATTTATTAAATGTGATTTTTGCCATAATAAAAGTACATTTAATAAAATGTTAAATCCATCAAAAATATTAATAAAATTTACAACATTATTGGAGTAATCCTGACACATTTTCTAGTAGATATTAAGATTCTTAATTATTTCATCTTGTTCAATTCAAATACACATATCTTTAATATTTTCTATTTTTATTTTTTCCATCTAATTTTAATTAATTTTCAGAACAGTTTTTCTCATATTCTCTTCTTTTTTCTCTCTTTCCTTTATTACTCTTTATTTTAATCTTGCTGCCTTCCAGAAGCAAAATCATATGTATGTAATAATGGAACCTAATTTAAGAAGTTTAGTCATATGTGGTTTAAATAGCAGGTATACTGTAAAAGCAGTAAAATTACGTATATATAATATATATGTACATATGTGTGTATAATAATTTTGTTTACTTACTGTAAGAGGAAGAAATTTTGTGTATATATATACATATATGTGTGTGCATGTGTGTATTACAAAAGCAAAGTAAAATCTCAGTGCCCCAAACTCACTATGCCAAAGGGAAAGTTGAGCATGGGAATGGAGTCATGAAAAAACTGCCTCTTGAAAAATTCCAGACAGACAGCTATAATTTTACATTTACTTTGTCTTATGTAAAATGTAGATCTACCAAGCATGACACAAATGCATATTTGACATTTTTCCCCACTCCTCTCTTTTCTCATGTAAAATGTGGATTCAGTGAGCTCTAATCAAAGCCTCACAAGAATGTAACCACTTGCCTCATCGCCTATCCTTCTTTTTCTTTCTCCCTCCTCCCCCTCATGCTTGTTCTTTCCCCTTTAAATATTGAAGTCTTCAAGATCCTCTTTGAAAAAAGCATAGGCCACAGATCTTACTGTAACTTGTATTTCTTTTTCTCTAGTGCGTCTTCCACTTTAGCGAAGTAAACCTTTAAATTAATGGAGATGTCTCTCAGAAACTTTTTGATTTATAGTATACACACACACACACACACACGCACACACACACATTTATTTCCAGTCTCCTGATTTTACTCGTAAGAACTCTCAGAGATTGTCTCATGTGTATACATCTATTCACATGCTAATATTTTTGACTATCGTGTGTTCTTTTTTTTGAGACAGGGTCTTGCTCTGTCACCCAGGCTGGAGTGCAGGGGCACAAACAGGACTCATTGCAAACTCTGGGGCTCAAGCTATCCTCCCACCTCAGCCTCCTGAGTAGATGCATGTCACCATGCCTGGCAATTTTTTTTTTTTTTTTTTTTTTTTTTTTGTAGAGTCTGGGTCTCACTGTGTTTCCCAGGCTGGTCTCAAACTCCTGGGCTCAACCAATCTTCTCGTTTCAGCCTCCTAAAGTGCTGGGATTACAGACATGAGCCCTGTACCTAGCCTGTTTGTTATTTTGATAAACTGCTGTTCCATTTCCCAGCAAGGTTGCTGGATGCCAATGTGCCAGTCAAACAAACATGCTGCTTCTCTGTCTTCTCCTTTCCAGTGCTTTTTTAGCTTTCTAAAAAAGAATTAGGTAGTTTGTTCCATGTATTGTCATGTAGGCAAAATAGTTGCTACAGCTTAATACAATGGAATGAAAAATTGTCCAGATAAATTTTTCTGGGATTTCTTTTATTTTAGCAATAAAAATGCTGCACCTTGGAAAAAATTCCTCTCCAGGATTTGAAAAGTCTTATTTTTTAGAATGAGGGTCAAAGTTTGGGAGAAAATATAGAACCCATATTGTAGTCATCAATATAGGGCCTAAAATCAACACTGTTATTAGCGTTAAATGGGTATGTCACTGACTATCAGCCTTCAGTAGTCTCTGCTCTTTTTTCTGACCTCTGATATGAGCAACTCTTATCTGCAGTCATAGATCACTCACTGTTGCATCCTTCCCAATTGTGTGACTTACGTGTGCAATTTGTGTTTATAATTGCGAATGTTAATATTTTATTGTTGACTTTTCCTATGGCAAACTCAATTGTAATGCTTTGTATCATGATAATGCTGGCTTAATTTTTATGATTTAAGACATTTTAACATATTGTGACCAAATTTTCTAAGAATTAAGATAATAATAATGAGAATGAATGATTACAATACCAATGCCAAGATGAGCCAGACATCAGTGAAAAAGAGGGCTAACCAACTGTGTCATTTGAATGGCAGATGGAAGGACACATACAACTAGATCAGGGCGGTAAATAATCACAACAGAGCCTATCAGACAATCCGCAGAGAAGAATTTATGATTGGACCTGGCAGAGCAGAGCATGTGAAAGCACACATGGCGATGGAAATTCTCACATCCAGGATGAGACATACAAATGCTTTTAAACCAACCAAAAGATTTTTCATTTCCCAAAAAGACACTAATCGTATATGGAAAATAGTGACTGCTACATTAGCATGGGCAAACCACAGGAACAAACACACACTTCCCCATTGTTCCCTTGAGGTATGTACAAACTGAGTAAAATACGTTTTCTGACTCAGAGGTGACAACAGAATATCCTGTGGGCAGACACAAAGGAATATTTTAATAACAGACATTTTGGTCTTTTACAGTATAATAATTATGGGGATCTTATCAATAGTCATGCTCCCTAGGTTTACCAAGTATGTTGAACTTTGGTACAGTTTAATCTGAAAGGTAGAGTTTCAAATTATCTTGATTTTCAAAAGGATTTAAATGAAACGGCAGAAAACATGAAACAAATGATCATTGATATCTTGTCCAGATACAAACTAGTTTTTGATCTGCATGTGTCAAATATGACACAAATGTAAACTTTTGCAATTTCTATTTAGATTATAAACTTCTTACCCCCAAAATGAAAACATCTTACCTGCTAAATACCCTGCACATCTTGGAACACAACATTTTTAAAAAAGAGTGAGATTCGCTGACTTGAAATATTGAGGCTTTCATAATAAAGGTTTTGCTCGCTTTTCAGTTTTCCTAACAGATGTACAAGCACTTACTGAGATTTCAACTTTATGGAAATGGAAAGAGATAACCTCCTTAGACATATGCCTACAAGATGGTCATCATTGCTCCTGGCTACAGAGAAGATTTTATGGTTTGCCATAAAATCATACTCTCAAAGTGTGGGAAAATAGGATGTCCTTCTTTAATTTAGAGATACGTTGAGGATGAAAATGGAGAAAAAAATATTACAGTAAAACAGGTTAGATAAAACTGTTTATCTAAAACTGTCTGATGATATTTGAAGAGGACATGAGGAGCTAAGAAAAGGACTGAATTTGAGTTTGTTCACTGTTATATGAAGGTTGTGACAAATTTTACAGTGACAAAAATGACTAAGATTATAGAAATAAAACTGCTTTAAAACAGGGGAAAAATACATCAGAAAAGGTTAGCCAGGTTAAAGAAAACCTCTTTATGTTTTTACTAAAGTTAATCCATTTGAAATTTGACTTAAATTTTATAAATCTAAATTATCTTTGTGCATTAAAAGATTTTCCCTGAATTAAAGGTGTTTAACTCATGATGACATCAATGTGCTTCAGAGCAATTAAAAGTTATGGACATTTTAGACATGAAAATAATAAATCTATAAGTGCAAAGAACCTGATTGACAAGTAGCGGGTCTACCAGAACCAGCCTGTGATATAAGCAGGTGTCACTTTTGGAGAGCCGGGACCTATTTCTACAATTTGTTTCTGGGAAGTGAAATTCTAAGAACTTCAGGCTCAGTGTTTACGTTGAGAGGATCTGTAGCTTGATGTCAATTAACTGAACTTGACAGGAGAGATAATGACACAGGACCTTCCTTCAAGTATCAGGACCTCCTTTCCTAAAGAGAGGTAGAAAGATTTTCTCATACAGTGGACTCTAAAGCATTATCCAGAAGATGCCCTCTAATTGTCCTTTCCCGGTCTGTGAACCAATGGTCCAACCATCACAATGTGAATATACATCCAAAGAAAAGTAAGCCAATACCTTGAGGAGTTATCTGCACTCTTATGTGTATTGTAACATTATAGATAATAGCAAAGATATTAAGAAAACACAAAAAACCTGTGTCTGTTGACAAATGGATTAAAAAATGTGGTGTATATAAACAACGCAATACTATTTAGCCTTAAAATCAAAGGATGTTCTCCCATTTGCAACAACATGGAGGACATTATGCTAAGTGAAATAAGCCAGGCACTGAGAGACAAATACTGCATGATCTCAATTATATGTGGAATCAATAAAAGTCAAAACTCATGCAAGTAGAGAGTAGAATAGTGGTTATCACATTTGGAAAAGATAAGGGGTGGGGAATGGAGTGATATTGGTCAAAGGGTACAAAGTTTCAGTTATAAAAGAGGAATAAGTTCTAGAAATCTATTATATAGCATAGTGACTACAGCCAATAGTAATGTATTATGTATTTAAAAATTGTGAAAAGTGTAGATTTTATATGTTCCTACCTCGAAAAAGTATATGAGGGGATATATTTATTAATTAGATTAATTGTGATAATTATTTCACAATGTATATGTATATCAAAACATCATGTTGTACCCCATAGATACAATGATTGTCAAATAAAAATTTAAAAAATTTAGATTTAATCAAAACTTTTTGTAAATTAGTTATAAATGCTTAATTGATGTTGTGAATATTACTTTTAATGCATGGAAACTCAAGCTTTAGAGACACCACCTGGGAGGTAAGAAAAGGAAATAAAAAGAGATAGTGATACAGACAAGAAATTTACCACTGTATTAAGAATCCCAACAGGCCACAATATCATGAAAAATGTAAAAAAATTACACATCATGGGTGATCAGTGACACCAAACGCTTCAAAAGATCTGGGACTGGGTACAGTGGCTCATGCCTATAATTCTAACATTTTGGAAGGCCAAGGCAGGAGGATTACTTGAGCCTAGGAGTTCCAGACAAGCCTGGGTAACATAGTGAGAGCCCATCTCTCCAAAAAAAAAAATTAGCCAGGTGTGGCAGCAGCACATGCCTATGGTTCTAGCTACTCCAAGAGGCTGAGGTAGGAAGATCATTTGAGCCTGGGAGGTTGAGGCTGCAGTGAGCTATTATTGTACCACTGCACTCCAGCCTAGGCAACAGAATGAGACACTATCTCAAAAAAAAATAAATTACATTAATAAAGAAAGATACACTTAACAAGAGTTTGGACATGTTAGAAAAGAAGGGCATATATTCAGAAGCTAAAGCCTCATATATATTAAAAGATGATAACCAGAGACAAGGTATGACTGTACGCTAATTTCACAAATGGTATATATATTTTTACTGCTATACTGAGGTGAGATCAGGATATGAGAAAAAAACTCAGGATTTTCTATTAGGTATGAGACAAGTTATATTATTGAGGGCGAGTGAGAATGAGCTGAGGTTGGGAACTTAAAAGTAAAATGAATCCTTGTGTGATAACATCTGCGGGACAAACACTAGAGGGTCAATTAGAGATAGGCAAAATACTAGTGAAGCATCAACAAGGATAAGTTTGAATCACTGTTTGACTTCAGGAATGACTATTTTTAAGGAAATCTGCACATAGACTTAATCAAGTCTTACACAAACTAGTTTGAATAACTAAAGTCTTATGCCTTTTTTCTATAAGTTCCAATATTTAGACAAATATTTTATTCACTAGAGCTATACATTTTTCACTTTGTCCCTTCTTTGATTAGTATGACCTCCACTCCAGGGAAATTGAAGTAATCTATAATAAAGGGTTGAGCTACAAAGTTCTAAAGCAAATTAACCTTTGGAAAAATGTGCCATGGTTTCTGTAACGAAAAGAATGAGAATTCTAAGAATAATATTATTTAGTACTTCTCTCCTCTATATAAACGGGGCCTTATTTGCACTCAAACAGCTAATCAAAAGACAAACTGTAAGTATATGTCTGGAAATTCTATCCTTAAGCCTCTAAGGCCAAATACTTTCCTTTTAAAAAAATGACAGCTTTAGACAAGGGTAAATTTGACATTTACCAAAAATCTCCAGAGGTAACTCTGTAGAATGTCAATATTAAACTTTCTTGACTTTGACTCTTATATAAATGCAGAAAGTCTTTTTTTATCATTTGGAATTTTGAAATTTCATTTTTATTTTATAAATATATTTTATGTTCAAAATATAAATAATTTTTGAATGCTTAGACTTTGCTATTAATTTTTTCCATAAAATGTTATAAAAATTTTAGTGACTAGATATAATAATATTGGCAGCAGCATTGTGATTATATGATAAAAGGGCTTAGAAATTCAAACTGTGGATGTGACACCTTTAGAAGAGTGTAACATAGGGAATATGACAGTATGCTATGCTGACAAATATATTCCAACACTGGTATTAGTAAATTTTGATGCAAATATATAAGGAAGAAGTTAATAAAAGTATATATAAGACTTCTATTTTCTAATGTCACAAATTGTTTTTGTGACAAGATAAAGACAAAATAAAGGCAACAAATGAATGATATGAATGGTAGAAGCAGCCATGGAGCAAATTAACAATTATAATAACTGGACTGTGATATAAAGTAAGAAAAGAGAATATTAAGAAGTTTCATAAAATACTGAAATCTTTGTGGTGGTAACCACATTAAAAACATTTGAAGTCATTTTAAGCAGACTTAAGTGTGTATAATAAAGTCTTGTTTCTGAGAAACGCAATGAGAGATTATCAACACTATGAGTTGTATATTTCCTGTGAAACTTCCAAAGAAGGTCATCCAACAGGTAAATGCAAACAGAACCAGTATCGTAATAAGAATGAATTCTCAATGTTCCTGTGTATGCTAGTAGTCCCAAATGATGCATTCAGCATTACAGTTATCTAAATACACATTTTTAAAAACCCAGTCTCATTCATGGATACAGTAGGTACCATATTTGTGTCCCAAAATGACACTCTTTAGTTCCAAGTACTCTATTAAACTCAAGATAAGGGCAAATAATGGACTCAGTCCCATTTCCTGGGAGTTATGTTCACAACGTCAACAAATAGTGTGGACATATTTTACCTCTAAACATCTTAAAGTCATTTTATTTTATCCTAACTAACAAAAACTTGTCTTAAAAACGTGAACATTTGTCTATGACATCTTGCACTTTGCACACTATGGAACAGTTGTAAGGAGAATAGATGATTCTTATATGTTATTGTAAAACTATGAGGAATTGCACATTGTGCATAATAAAAACCATAGAGCTTTATGAGATCCATTTATGAAAGAAAAATAATGATCTCCCCAAGCACAGTCATAGGTGGTCATGCAATGCATAGCAGAAGCACGATGATGCTATTAGGAAGAGGTTTTTGCTGTGCTTGTTTTTCACATAATCTCTAACTTAGGCTTTTATTGTCTTATCTTCCATCAGTTATATCAGACAGCAGGTGACAGATACAGGTAGGAATTGAAAAGCTTGCAGGTGAACCTTGAGGATTGTAAACCCTATTTTGATCTCTAAGATCACTGCATTTGTCTGTTTTTCCTTTCTTCACTGCATGATACTCTAAATAGAATATACTCAATCAGTGGAAGAGAGAGGCTAGGTTGCTCCACTTAACAAGAAGTTCAAAAAGGAGAGAAAGGCAGAGAAGAAAAACCACATTGTGAGATGCAGGTAGCTGAGTTGTGGTTTAACTGCATGAGAAACTGCAGAAGAGATGTATCAATAAAATTGGATAGAAAAGCAGGAATTTTGAAAAATTTGATATAGATTTTGAATTAGTTACCTTTTAGTAATCTTTTATAGATTCAGATAAAGAATATAATTCCATTGTAGTTACTAATCTTCTGTAAGCTGCTTTAAAAGTAATTCAGTGTAGAAGTTGAAACATTTGTCACCTGAATTTATCAGTTTTTTTCTTGAGGAGCTCATCTTAGATTTTGAAATTTAGGTGTTATATTAACCTATAGGGTAAACTTATGTAATTCAATAAATTCAGAAATCTAAACTGTCTCCTCCAGAAAACAGCAAACTGTTTTATTCCCACACAATTTCAAGGAAACTACTTTGCTTAAGAATTTGAATTCCTTTTTGGATGATGAAAGAAAGGCAATATTTAAAATTGTTTTAGTGCCTCTGCCTGGCAGTCAACATGAGAACTTCCAGGATTTGAGGTTGCTGCTATGAAAAGCATGATTAAGTTGCTGGTATAGTCGAATTGCTATTAGAAACTTGAGTAATTTTATTAGATAATGTTTCACTAATTGGTACATTTACATAAATATAAATATGTTTAATATGTTTATACACACATGTAGTGCTATGGTCAGGACATCATTTAAAATTGTTTACATATGAGCTAATTTAGAGCAGAAAAATTCACTAGCTGTGTGAGAATATATAAGGTACACATAAAAGGGTGTTTCCAAATTCAGAGGCATAAGATATGCTTTATTATTTTATTGTAACGTATTTTACTCACTGTCCTAGAAAAATGTCCATGTGTTTATGTATATGTCTCTGTGTGTGACGTTGCTAAAGTTAAAGTACATATCAAAAAAGTTTGAGGAGGTATATTATACTGTACATCACCATTGGCCTCAGTTCCAACACCTGATAGTCTAGAAATGTGTTGAAAAGCTGAGAATAGTGATTGCAATTTTGGTGTCATTTGTATGATGAATTTATTGTCACACGCTGAGGGATGGGCTCAGGCAAACACTATTAAGTATCATATTTGTTAACTAGAAAGAAGAAAGTTACCAATAGCCCCCTGTTCTCTTGGCATCTTTTGAAAAGAAAGACATGTTTGGACTAGGCACAGCTGGAAATAACATGGTTCTCCAGGGGAGGAATTTTCACCACAATATGTTCCACATTGTTATGCAAAAAGTATTTGAATGAACTTAAAAATAGCAGCTTGAGATTGGGCACTATCTGCTTAGTGCAGTTGCACTGAGGTCACTGGAAAACCTTAAAGAATGCTGAAACAGTTCACAGATTCTTCTACCACCTGGCAATGGTACGTACTGGCTCACTACCAAGTAATGCAAACAGAATTGTCATAGTCTTTAATATTACAGAAAATCCTGTTTGACTCTGCCCCGTGAACTTCTGCTCTTCAGGAATAATCAAACATAATCCTTATTTATCAGGATATACAATTAACTGACTCAAGAATAGGATAAAAGAGAGAGGAAGATATTATCCTTCCGATCCCACTTCCAGGGTTTAGCAGTGTTTATGACTAATCAGTCGGGATTTTCATCCCCTTGAGTGTGAAACTTCTCTCTTACCCAGCAGAGAACATTCTGCCACAATATGTGATCTCTGGCAACACAAGAGAGTATCTGCAGAGCCACCTGAAATGAAATCAGTGCCCAAATTGTGTCCATCTAGTTGCCCTTCATCTAAGCAGTAGGAATGGCCTGCTAAGGCATCCATCCATCTGCCTGCTAAGCTCAAAGCTGTTACAAAAACAAAGAGAGATCACCAAGATTCTCTATTTTCCACTTACTTGTAAATTTCCAGTTTTGTCACAATAGGAGGTCTGAGTATTGATTGCCTTTCTTTTGCAGACTTTTCTATCAGCATTTTTGTTGCCAACAGTTGCTATTTTGAAGCCATCGGTAAATGTCACAATAAGCAATTCCAACTGCTATTTTGACACAGAAAGTCAGTGAACAAAAGTCACCATCCAGTCTAAGGAACTTTGTATGGCAGACATTTGGAATGAAAATTAACAGTTTTAATTTTTAACTGTCCTCCCACTAGGGAACTACTTTTTCCAAACTCCTTGCTTGTTATTTCTTCTAAAAACTATGTAGCCTGATACTATGTTTAAGGACATGCCCATCCTTACAAAACGTGTGCGTTTAAGTTTTATTTTCAGTTATCTGGTTTCCCTGCATCTCTGCCCCAAATTATTAGCCACTGGCAAGCTCCTTAGGGGATTACTTCACCTTAAGGACAAAACTGGAAACTTTTCTTCGTCCTATCCAGCTTCCTTAGTTATCTTTCCAGGCCCATTGGCTTTTAGCAGGAGCTAAAAGGAAAGCTCCTGCTAGCCTGGGGAACATACCTGTGAGGAGAAGGGCAAGCAAGTGGGAGCATGCAACCAAAGGCACACAGTGCTCAATATCGCCAGTTTTGTGGAGCGCAGCTTGTGATTAGAAACCTGAAATAGGTTTAGCTAAACTTGCGTAGCTAAAATTTTAGAAATCGGATGTGCTCCTTCTCATCCATTGGATTGTCCAAAGGCAAAGAACAAAAATATGACGACTCTAAAGAAACTACACATTTGAAAAAGGAAATAGCATACGCAGCTAGACTGATTGGACAGTAGCCTCAGTGATCATCAGGAGAGAGTGCCATCCGCTATCCCCCACCCAGTAAAAAACTATCTGGAATCTATCAGTACCAAATTTATAATTTGCTTTCTCTAATCAGGAAGTTTTAGCTGCATAAGAAAAAGGTAGTTGTATTGGGAAGCATTCAACCAGAGAAACGAAACAAGTAGGATACATACATATGTTATTTATGAGTGAGTTATTCAATTTTATATGGATTTATTGCAAGGAATTAAGATATATAATTGCAAGGTCTGGCTAAGCAAATCCAGAATTCCTAGGGCTGGATTTTTAAACAATAATCTCTACTCTATTCTTCATGTATGGTAATATCCCAAAATATAGGCCTAGAGTTTACTTTATATGGATCATACTTCTTCTCTAAAAGTGTATAAGGTCTAGAATTTCATACTGCTTCCATCTAAAACCTCAGGACTAGTTTACCTCAAAGCTATTCAGAAAACTGCCACTGTTCGGCACTCTGAATACTTCCAAGAAAATAAAAGAGGAGATAGTTTGCTTTTTAAACTTTCCACCTATCAGGTTTGTGCAAAAGTAATTGCATTTTGCCACTAAAAGTAATGCAAAAACTGCAATTACTTTTGCACCAACCTAATATTTAATATTAATATTTCTACTGCAGTCATAAAAGCTGGAAGTCATAATTGTATGTTGTATGACCTAGTAACATGCCTCTCAGAGTAGAGGTGAATGTGACATTTCATGCTGGCAGGAGCAATTCTTGAAACTACAAATCTAATCTTATTTGCTGGACCCAGATTGGGGGCAGTATTGCTTTGTGATTACATCATAAACTTTAGAATATGATAGACATAGTTACAAGGAATGAATCTTCTTCACATAAACAAATCACTTAACCTTTGAAATCTTCAATTTTCTCACTGTAAAATAAAAAGTAATAGCGCCTATTTTTTGAGATGTCCTGAAATTTAAATGGGATAATTACTTTTATTCTTATACTGTGCCCAGCAGGTAGAAGAAGTGACTATTACATGATGATTTTATTATGATATGCACTAAAATTGTAAGCTTGATGTTCTCTATGTGAATAGTTTACCTGTTTTGTACACAATGAACTATACAGTGGTATGGGCAGAAAAATCATTCCCTGAAAAGACACCAGAAAAATGAGAAGTGAGCATAGCATTGTTCAATAAAAAACAAATAGGCTTTAAAGATTTATGTTAAAATTACTTTAAATACATGCATAATTTGGCCATCACATTAATTCTCTGAACCTCATTCTTCTCATTTGTATAATGAAAATAGCAATATGTATGTCTCAAATTTGTTGTGAAGATTAAACATAACAATTATGAATTAATGACAGAAAATATTTTAGGTGCTTAAAGCTTTTGCATGTTATGTCCTTTCATTCTTACAGAAATTACTAATGGTGGGTGACAGTATTATTTCTATTTTACCCTTGAGGGACGGTTCTTGTAGAGAAGTAAGAAATTTGCCAAAGGTCATCAAACAAGTTAATCAAAATTGAATTATGTCGTACTTTAAAGCCTGTGTACTTAAGCCCTCTACTAACATTTCTGGCACTGTTCTTGATATTTGATAAGCAGCTGGCATCTGGTAAACACTCAATTATTTTTATTAGCTTTCCTCTTTTCCTAATTAACTTCATGTCCAGAAAAAAGAAGTAACCCTCTAGAGCTTGTTGGAACAAAATTGTTCTCTCATTATTTTGAGAAAATAGTAACATCACAGGCTATTTTTCTGTGGCTAGATAAACATTCTTTTAATCACTAGCTTAGGATACAAATACAAAGATGTATGAATTAAGTCAATGAACTTAAGCATCATTTATTTCTCATGCATGAAGACAAACACTTGTTTAGTTTTACTTTCTACCTTAACTGGTTATAAGACAGCCTCCTTCTGAATAGAAATGATCTTTTTTTCCCAATAGTAACCAGGAATAGCACATTTTAAGACCCTTTGAGGGACAAAAAAAAAAAAAAAGCATAATTGTTCAACAATGGTGGCAATTATTATCTTTCTATTATAAACTTATAAATAATGCCATATATTTTGCAATGTTTCCAAGTAAACCTCCTTAATTTCAATACCTCACATATTAGCGACCCAACATAAAGCAAAATATGAATAGGAATGGAATGCATTTACAATTCATTCACAGAGAAAGGCATTTTTATTTCTTTACTACATTTCTGGAAGCCAACATAAACAAATGTTCATAATCTTTACTAACACATGAAATCTTTTTAGAATAACATAATGTAACTAACTTGTTTTTACATATTTAGTGGCACATTACCAAGTAAAGCAGATGAACAGATGGTATTTAAAAAATAGGCAATTAGGAAACATTTGACTCCAGCCCTTCATTTAGGTTTTACAGCTGTTTTATGTTTGATCATGGCAAGTCTTTGGATAAATGCAACTTTGGGAAACTAAGGTGCTGACTTTTTTTGCTGTTTTAGTTTAGTTTTGTTTTAACACCAGAAGTGGCTCCCTCAAGTGAAGAGTATAAAGTTGCTGGGCTCTCTTAGGATCCAAAGGAAATTACTTGTGGCATGAAGTGTGGTGGTAAAGCACTGTTACTTTTTATCAAGATGTAATCCAATAAGTCAGTGGGGATACACCATTGCCCCTGAAACATAAAATAAAATGTCACAATGACCATCTATTTATATGCATCTCTATAAAGAGACCAAAGGGAAAGATAATGGATTTTTCTGAGGTCTCTAGGTTTCCAAAATGCCCAGATACATTATCATATTCAATAGTGAAATAAAAAAATCTCCCCTGATATCTCAGTATTTTAACAACCCAGGTAAGAACTCACATTTGGCAAATTTAAGCTAAAATGTAACCTTTGACATTTATAAGATGCTGCATTTGAATACTAAAATTTTGATGCAATCAACTTTATTTTGTGACAACCACAAGCAATTATGTATTTACATCTATAGTTTCATAGCTTTTACAATACACTGCAGTTTTGTCTATATATAGTTTGATTATATATATCTTCTGAACTGGCATGTTTAAGGGGATATTCCATTATATTCTTTATATTATTGAAAACTGAACTCCAAGGAAGTAACAGATCCTTCATGAAGGTCTATTTAGTGTGCTTGATCTTCAGAAACATGATTTCAATTTCATGGTCTTTTGAGGTATTTGTGGGTTTCAGAATATATCTGCAGTTTCTAGCTACTAGTGCAAAGATGGCAATAGAAACAATACT
This sequence comes from Homo sapiens, assembly GCF_000001405.40. NCBI lineage: Eukaryota > Metazoa > Chordata > Mammalia > Primates > Hominidae > Homo > Homo sapiens. The sequence continues at coordinate 161,185,263 of NC_000004.12, read as the reverse complement.
AATTGTAATTAACCATAATATTGTGGAGTTTAGATTTATGACTTAAACATTTATGTAGAGCCAGAGGTCATTTTAAATGTTTCTTTTTGTTACCTTAGTTTACTATGAGGTAGGTATTATTGTAATCTGTTTTTTAAATAATGAAATTTAAACACTGAGATTTTAAGTAAATTTATAAAAGCATACCACAAACAACCTGTGAAACCTGCTTTTGTACCCAGCATGGGGTCTTTGTAATCTCTGCTTTCCACAGTGTATGTGATGGTTGTTTTGGTATAATTTGTATCCCATCTTTCATTTCCCACATAATTGAATCTTATTTCTTATAGGAAACCTATTTCATCGGATTTATGTGAATACAGTTTTACCAGCAATTTATACCATAGGGCTAGACAACCAATATTTGCCTAATTTTTGACAGATGCACCCTGGGCAAAAAAGGGTCTCTCATCCTTTAAGACAGATACTTGTGAATGTCAGTCAGAAGATTTCCACCAATTTTCCTGGCTTTATGAAAGTGTCAAATACAGAACAGAAAGAAAGAAAAATGTGCAAAGAAAAACAGAATTTATAAATGGACAGAAGAAAACATGAGCCAAAATACCAATCCTGGTGTACCTACAGTCAGATGAGGCCATGGTACTGTTTCATGAATAATGAATAACCCAATTTAGCTTAAGCTTAAAGGACAACTTAAAATCATCAAACTTTCCTTTTACAAATGAGGAGGAAAGCTAAGGAAGGTTAACTTTAGCTTCACTTTCACTTCAGTTTCCTGAAGGGAGGAGTTGTGTGTTTGATGTAATTGCACATGAAGGCACAGGAAAATATATGTTGATGAAGGAAGAAAAGATGGGGTGCAATGCTAATAATTACAAGCATTGTAATGGGCAAAGTGGGACCCATACATCCAGAGAAGTCGTTGATGTTTGATTAGGATGCATTTACCCTGTACTTGAGTACATTCACATTGAATATTTTTTATCATTATCATCATATTTTTTTAAAATATTGAAAGAAACTAAGATATACTAAGGGAAACCTTGATGACTATTGACAAATATATACATCCATGTAACTGATGCCTCTATTATGACACCGAACATCCCCTCATGGAAGAATTTTTTTACATCTTTTCCCAGTTGATTCCTATCACCAGTCATCTCTTCTGAATTCTATCAGGGGTTAGTTTGGATTGCCTAAAATATCATGCAGTGGGTAGGAATGTAAATTAGTACAGGCAGTATGGAAAGCAGCATGGAGATTGCTTTAAAAACTAAAAATAGAATGACCGTACAATCTAACAATCCCTCTACTGAATATTTATCCAGAGATAAGGAGTAAATATGTCAAAGGATAGGTGCACTCCCATAATTATTGCAGCACCATCCACAATAGCAAAGGAATGGGAATCAACGTAAGTGTCAATCAATGGATAAGTGGGTAAAGAAAATGTGTTATATACACACACAATTAAATACTATTCATCCATAAAAATGTATACAATCGTGTCATTTACAGTGACACAGATGGAACTATATATATGGAGGTTGAGTGAAATAAGTCAGGCACAGAAAGACAAATATTGAATGTTCTCACTCATATGTGGGAGCTGAAAAAGTTGATCACATGGAGGTAGACAGTGGAATATAATATTAGAGACTTGGAAGGATGTGTGGGTGGAAAAGGAGGGATGTAGAGAGGTTGGTTAATGGGTACAAACAGTTAGATAGCAGAAATTATTTCTAATCTTTGATAGTGGACATTGTATTATATTTTTCAAAATAGCTAGAATTGAGGCCCTGAAATGTTCTCAAGACATAAAAATGATACTCAGGTGATGGATACTTTAAACACCTCAACCTGATTATCACACATTCTATGCATGTAATAAAATTTCATATATGTCCCATAAATATATACAAACATAGTGTATCAAAAAATAACAAAGTCAAGTGCTACAGTTAAACAACTTCATTTTTCAATTTTCATGCAAATAGGATCATACGATATAAACTCTTGTGTCTGACTTCTTTCTATCTAAACACTGTTAATATCCTCTTTCACAAAAAAGGAAAGTAAGATAAGGAGAATAAATAATTAGCGATTAATCATTACTAGGCGAAGGTCATCCAGACAGTAGATATCAGAGCTCAGATCCAAACTTAGCAGCTTTGTTCCAAAGTCCATGCTCCCAAGAGACAGGTTTAATGTCCACTTGTTTGAATTTCCATGTATTTAAATTTAATAGCTAAATGCATTATCAAAGGTTAAGGATTTGAATTTTATTATAGAATATGTTTATTATTATAAAAATTATCTAACTAATATTAAATCACAGTGATTTCCTTACGTTACTCTAGCATATTTTATACACACAAAGGAAAGAGAACCAAAGCAATCATTTAGAAATTTAAACCATAAAAATTTGCTTTGATTGAATTATTTTACTGTTTTAACAATTGTTTTTACCAAAGTGTTTATAATTAATCTCTAAATATTCAATTTCCATTTCACCCTGTATATGTAGACCTAGCTTTAATTGGGGCAAAATATTACAAACAAAAAGAGGTAAAATATATGTATAGATATATATATACACACACATATATCTCTCTCTCATATGTTAAAGATAAATTTACAATTACATAATAGGGTCGTTAGTTTAACTGGTTCTGACTGAAGCATTGATATAATGGAATTATTAAACAACATTTTGCATTAAAAACAATATTGTAGCAGGATTTTTTTAAAAAAGACTGTTATTAATCAGTTGATGCTGTGAGAATCAAGAAAGCTATGTACAGAGGTATTTTCTTATTGAATTATTTGAGTGAAATTATTTAGTGAAAATTTGGCATAATGATGCCATAAAATATTGTCTGAGAAAGAATTGCTGCAAACTCCTTATGAGTTCCCAAATGGAACAACATTCTTTATTGAAATTTAAAGCCTCTCATTAAGAACTCAGAAGAAAATTATTGACACACTGTGGGATTTTCCAGGGTGAATAGAAAATTATCTGTTTTTCTTCAACATCATATAAAAAAGACGTATATAATGAAACAGATGTGAATGGGGATAATAATGCACAAAGCTGCTTTTTAGGGGACTAATTATTCCTCTCTCAATATTTTTAGGCCTTTTAACTGCTCCTATTATGGTCATTGTTAATCATATATAGGCTCATTTTGATAATATTTTCCAGGCATAAGCATAAAAAGCTATGTCCTCCCGAAGAATAATTTAAATTTCTGTCACCTCCTCCACAACTTGCCCTCCCACTTCCTCTTTCCTGACCCTGGTGAGCTAAAATGGCATTTAAATTGGTAAAGTAATGAGCTTTATATAAGACACATATAAATCAATTGGCAGAGATAGATTTTATTTTTATATTAGCTGTAATATAGAGAAGAATGTGATTTGTCCTTTGTCAAAAGAATTACCTGGGCCAGGCGCGATGGCTCACGCCTGTAATCTCAGCACTTTGGGAGGCCGAGGTGGGTGGATCACGAGGTCAGGAGATCGAGACCATCCTGGCTAACATGGTGAAACCTCGTCTCTACTAAAAGTACAAAAAATTAGCCAGGCGTGGTGGCGGGCGCCTGTAGTCCCAGCTACTCGGGAGGCTGAGGCAGGAGAATGGCATGTACCCGGGAGGCGGAGCTTGCAGTGAGCCGAGATCGCGCCACTGCACTCCAACCTGGGCGACACAGCAAGACTCTGTCTCAAAAAAAAAAAAAAAAAAAAAAAGAATTGCCTGAACCCACCTTCAAAGGGGTGAAAATTGTTCTTTGGAGGTCAGTATATCTAAGATACTACAGTGGTTTGTGGCTTTCCAAAGGACCACAGTATATAAACAGATACACAATGAATTTGTGGTTTTAACATTTTATAGTAGCTGCTGGACAATTAGGGGTAAAAAGTCTAAAAATGCTCTGTCTGGGAGTTGTGATAAACAGAATAGTTATGAAACACGGAAATAATAAAATTATATGAAATATAGCAGTGTTGATTTCAGTAATTGTGGCCATATGTATTTTCTTGTGAATGCAGTAACAAATAATAGATTGCTTGTTATGGGGGGTGAAGGGGAAATTATCAAACTCTAGTTTTTTAAGTTACTGGACCACAGGCAAATTAAATACATATTTGCCAATACTTTCTTAATTTGCAATAACACACCACTCCTTATATTTGAATGAATATACTTAAAATTCTTTTTGTTATAATTTACTTATGAGCCAATTAAGAGGACATAAAGGGAAAACTCTTAACCTATGCCATTACCTTGGTCATAGGTAGGTGTGGAAAATGCTGGATGAATAAGAAGTTTGAAATAACTCTCACACCAAGGGCAGTTGTTTTATGTTTGTTTTACTATTTTTTTTAGATATAGAATTATCCCAAGAAATGTTAATTTTAGGCAGAGATATTGGTAATTCTTGGCTATCAGAAGGTGAAATATGACCATAACTCTCTCAAATTTTAAGAAGGAAGTGTCAAAAAAATACAGACATAAACAGGCAAGGAAGACTTTATTCAAGACTATTGCAATAGGCAACAGAGGTTGAACTCAACTTCTTGAAACATAAACTGGGAAATTGGGGTCCTATGTCCTTCCTGATTACATTTGAACAGGATGGCGCTTAACTCATTGAGCAAGACATCCCTGGGTTATAAAACTGGCAAGAGGCTGGGAGGAAATTCACATCTCAAAAAGGCAGAGAAAAAGTTTACGAATATGTTTTGTAAATTAAATGCCCTAGGGAAATGGAGGTCAGGGGCTCATCGTCAGGAACAAATCTTCCCAAAGTATAGTCTAATTGAGGGGAGCATCAAGCTTTTCTAAGTAAGAATAAGACTATTCATGATCAGGATTTACCATATGATTAAATCAGGCGTTCTCAGGGATGGGGTTATATTATCAGAAATAAAAAGATTAAAGTTAAATATATGTGGTTTTCACTCTCTTTTGGGGATCGAGTTTGTTGGTTAATTTGTTCCAATATGCCATTGAGGTAAAATAAGTTCAAAGATTTTTCTCTTTTTGTTTTTTTGCCGTTTGTTTTGTTTACTTGTTTTTATTTGCCTGATTTTTCTGCATATCCTGATTGACTTCCAAACCCTACTTTAGGACCTCAAAATAAATACATTTTTCTTTGTTGTGTAAAATTTTAGATTCATTAATTTTTGTTTACTTCACTCTGCCTTTCAGATGATAACTTCCGTATATCTAAGATTTGTCAAGAACCTTGCAAAATGCCATTAGGCAGCATAGAATCCCAGCAGTCTAGTACTACTAAAGATCTTTTATGAGGAAAAAATGTAAAATAAGTTTATTAGAATATCACAATGAAGATTTGCAATGAAAATGACCATAGAAGTGTCCCAGAAGTCCTTCAGTTAATACAAAAAAACAAATTTTTGAAATGGGATTATAGGACCACTTGGTTGGGGTCTTAATAGATGTGCATTTGGTATTTATGGTTTCTTTGAGATACATTTTCCTGTTTACATTGTAAATACCATAGTATGCTACATTTCTACTGAGAAAGTTTGGAGCGAATATTCTGGATTTTCCTTTTTTTTTTTTTTTTTTTTGACGTAATAGTAGATAAAAGGAAATGTACTTTCTTTTATAAAAATAATCACAGATTTTCTGGTGGATTCAGTGTGGAGTTCTTGCTTGTCACTTATCTTTGGATGCCAAGAATCACACATCTCTAAGTCACTTCCCTCTTTAATAGTCTCATGTCATATTCTAAAAAACATTTTGTCACATTTCGGCCCTGGATATCCTGAAGTTGTGGGATTCGTGGGGCTGTCACTTAAACTATTTTCCCTAATCTTTTTGGAGTCATCACATTGGTAGATTGAGAGGGGCGAAGCTGGGAGGAGAGCCACTCTTTGCAGTCTAGTTTGGAGCACTGCTGGGGAATTTGAGCTTGGTATCAGGGCACATGTTCTGGAGGAAATGGAGTGGATCAACAAGGCCGTCCTCTGCTTCCTTTGCTCTTTTAGCTGCAGTCTCCACCAAGTTAAATCTGCAAAATCTCCTAGAGTTCTCCTCAAGAACATGAATGGCTCTTGCTAGCTACAACACGTCTGGAAAATATAGATCCGTAAAATCTTTCCTTGTCAGCAATCCATCTTTTCTTTGTCTAGCTTGAAGCCAAGAATCCATAAAGAGCAAATATATTTTCCTTCCTTTCTTAATCACACAAAAGTTTTTTGATCCTAGATGAATGCCGTACAGGTTCTGATGTTCTTTTAAAAAGGGGGGAAAATGAATGTTAGTGCATCCTAATTCTAATAGCTTCTCAGGTTGGCATTATTTTAAATAGATTATCTTAGTGTGAAAAATTTCTTTTAAATGCATCAAATTGAAATTGTATCTGAATATCTGCAGCCGCATATGATCCAAAAAATCACACCCTTAAAATACATACTTCCTGTTATTTTCAAAAGTGTCCAAAGTCACCTGCATGATTACTAGAATCACAGGGTAATATTTCTGAAAGTACTCATATCTTTCTCAGTCAATTTATGGAGCATAGTGGAAATCTATAAAGTAAACCATTAATTAGTAATAATTCCTTTGGTTCCTTGAGCATATCTTGTGTGTCCTTGTATTTATGGAGAATGTTTGCCCATTACAAATCGCCACTTTGCCACCTCCCACCATGAGCTTCCCACCATGCTCGTTTTTCCATTACTCTCTTCGCGTCTTTTCTCATTCTAACAAACCTTAATCCCTATCTAGGGAAATCTTTATTTCCATCTGCATTGCTTTGGGATTACGTAATTTACATCTGCTGTGTCCACAGCCTTTAAGTAAAGCCACAGATTATCAGACTGGGCTTTTTAAATATTGAGTTGGTTCCACTCTTGCACAGCCCACATCCTAAAGTGAGAAATAGTGCTTTTCCTTGTGATGTCACATTCAACTTTTTGAAGACTCGAAATGACTGTATTGAAAGCACAGAGATTTTTCTCTCTTGTAAGGAAGATAAACAGAATGCAAGGAAAATGGACGGTTATTGTTCCCTTACCACTGACACAATAGGGACTTATCACATTATGAACTAACTTAGTGATAGGTAAGCTTAGAAAGGGAAATCCCTTTGCTGAGCTGCAATTTAATGGAAATGGCTCAGAGCTGGTAGGGGAATTTAATCCTAATGCTGGGTGGGATGTATTAGCTCCAGCTAGCATACCAAGGCATCTACCAGCCAATTTAACATCTTTTGTGATGTCTAGCAGGGGTTTCTTAAGTGGGTGTGGTTCAGCGAAGTGCCAGGTTGGTGTGGTGGGAGATATCTCTCCTGGGTGTGTGCAACAAAGCAACACATTTTCTACAGAGAATTTAAGAACCAAGTAAAATCAACTGACAATTGGTAGGCTTTATAATATAAACATGAACTGGCAATTTCAAATAAAGTTAGTAATAAAATATTCCTCAATAAAAATTATACTGATCTGAGTTTCAAAGAATTTATGTGCTTCATATTGAATATATATATATGTGTGTGTGTGTGTGTGTGCAAGCGTGTGCGTGTGTGCAAGTGTGTGCATGTGGGCAAGCGTGTGCGTGTGTGGTTTTCAAATTAGCACATATTTTATTATCTATACCTTAACAAACATCGTATTCTATATGTATATTCTACAAGAAAGTTAATCTGGAAAACTCACAGTTATATAGTTAGTACCTAAATCATACAAATTCACCTTTTAAAAGAGTATATGTAGTAAATTAATCAAATTCCTGTTTGTTTTGGCTCACTTAAGGCTGTTTTGTCTCCAACCCTTATTGTGATACATTTTCCTACACTTAAACAGTAGATTTGAAATAAGCAATAATAGTACAATGAGTACAAAGACAAGGAAAGAGAAGACCTCTTATTTCAATTCCATTATTTTATGTGATCATGTGGAATTTGTGTTTGAAATTTAAAATCAGGAATCAGATTGTGAATTATGAAGTATAATGTTTTTGTTTGGTAAGTGCATATTTTAGATCATATATGAATTTTTTTTTGGTTCATGTTATCTATTACACACAAGGTGCATTAAGAAAAGACCCACTACGTGACACCAACATGCTGTATATGTCATTCAGGTGGTGATGACTACCTTATGCATCCTGGTACCATGAGCCTCTAATGCAAGGGAGATTCAATGGCTCTGTGGAGAAATACTCAGCTCCTTAATCAGCAAAACTGAGGATTATAAATCTCCAAGTTGATATAATTTAGCAATTCTGAAGACATTTCAATCTACATCTTTTACAGTCATGCTGTCTCATCCAGAGAAATGTGTTTGGATCTGAGACATAACCTTGTTATTTTCATCTTCTTTTTTCTGAATTAAAATGACTTTTACCCAGAACCAGTGCATTCAGCACTATTACTGCTCAATCTAGTACAATTTAATTTGTTGGCATCATTTCATTAAATTTATTGAGTTTGATGTAAAATACTTCTGGAATATTTTACATGGTTTTCTTTTTAAATGCTGCCCCAGATTTCAGAAAGACCAGGAAAACACTCCCCAAAATGCCCATAACATCTAAAAGGGTAGTAATGTGTGTCCTACTATGAAAAGAAATAACTCACATCTGCATAACTAGGCACATCTGAGAGCTCAATGGATGGGCAGAATGTTTCTTTGGATCTCCCACTGAGTTTCTACTAAGTATGCCTTGGATGAACATTAGCAATTTCCACTTATCTGATTTTCTTCTCAAATTACAAACCTTTAAATCCTCAGTTGTTTTTGTTTGTTTGTTTTTGTTTTTGTTTCTCTAGATATCCCTTAGGATTTAAGCTTTAAGATAATCTCTTCTATTTACATTTACTTTTGTAGAGCTATAAGAAAAGAATATTTAACTCCTTCAGCTTCCTTTTTCAATATTCATAATTGGATTTCCTTTGCCCTACAAATTCAGTGTAATGTAATGTTTGGCATCGTTTATTTCACCCTTTCTCATCTCTAAGATCAATTGGCATTACTATCCTTGGACCTACACTCTATAGTCATCCTTTTTTGTAGTTACTTTGCGAGAGTAACCTATTTTTATTTCCCTCACCCACTCCCATACATTCCAGCATGGCAAGATGTGTATCTATCATGTATGTATGTATGTATGTATGTATGTATCTATCTATCTATCTATCTATCCATCTAGCTTACATAAATGTATGTGTGTACATGTGTGTGTGTGTGTGTGTACAATCTTGTCTCAGGAAGGACATCAATCCACATTGAAGCCCCATTTCATTAAAGAAAAAGTTTTACCAGTGTGTATTTTTATAGCAATCTTTGCTTCTTTCACCCTCCTCCCCCTTCATCCACTTATTTATATCTATTTAATGTATACTAAATATAATATTTTATAAAATAAAATAGAGGATTCTTTAAAGGGACAGAACTAATAGGATAGACAAATATATGAAAGAGGGTTTATTAGGCAAATTGACACAGAATCACAAGGTGAAGCCCCTTAATATGCCATCTGCAAGCTTAGGAGCCAGGAAGCCAGTCCAAGCTCCAAAACCTCAAAAACAGGGAAACTGATAGTGCTGTCTTCAGTCTGTGGCTGAAGGCCTGAGAGCCCCTGGCAAGTTACCGGTATAAGTCCAAGAGTTCAAAGCTGATGAGCTTGGAGTCTGCTGTTCTAGGGCAGGAAGCATCCAGAACGAGAGAAAGATTAGCAAAATCACGTCTTACATGGTGGCATGCCAGAGAGAGTGTGCAGTGGAACTCCCATTTATAAAACCATAACATCTCAGGAGACTTATTCACTACCATGAGAACAGTACGGGGAAAACTGCTCCCATGATTCAATTATCTCTACCTTGCCTCACCCTTGACACAAGGAGATTATTACAATTCAAGGTGAGATTTGGGTGGGGACACAGCCAAACCATATCACTTGTATTTATTTAATACATTATTCTCAGCTAAGTTATAGATGCCACAATGGAAGGGAGCATGTCTGTCTTGTTTAGTGCTTTATCCCCAGAACTTCACACAGTGCCTCCCTTACAGCAGAATCTCAATACTTTGTGAATTAATGAATAAATAATGGAAGGAATGAATATCTTTTTATTCGTCCAAGTGGCTAGCCTACCCAAATAAGGTTAAAAAACCACAAGGTAGGCTGGGGCCAATTGCTCACGCCTGTAATCCCAGCACTTTGGGAGGCTGAGGTGTGTGGATCACGAGGTCAGGGGTTCAAGACCATCCTGGCCAATATGGTGAAACCCTGTCTCTATTAAAAATACAAAAATTAGCCGGGCATGGTGGCATGTACCTGTAGTCCCAGCTACTTGGGAGGCTGAGGAAGGAGAATTGCTTGAACTCAGGAGGTGGGGGTTGCAGTGAGCTGAGATTGCACCACTACACTCCAGCCTGGGTGACAGACAGAGTGGGACTCCATCTCAAAAAAGAACAAAAAAACCAAACCAAACCAAAACATAACAAAACAAAAACAAGGTATTGCTACAGCTGTGTGACAATTGAAGCTCATAAATCTTAGTATCCATTTCTTTGTTTCTAGAGAATGAGGATATTTTACATTGGATTCCTATGTGATTATATTATGGGTAGTCTTCTTTGTAAGTAAATCTAAGGAAAAGAGATCTAACATTTATTTTGAGCTTGTTATTTATTTTTTGAGACAGGATCTCACTTTGTTACCTTAGGCTGAAGCACAGTGGTGCAACCATGGCTCACTGCAGCCTCGAGCCAATGGGCTCAAGCAATCCTCTCACCTCAGCCTCCTGAGCAGCAAGGATACAGGCATGCACCACCACATCTGGCTATTTTTTGTTTGTTTGTTTTGTATTTTTTGTAGAGACAAGGTTTCACCGTGTTGCCCAGGCTGGTCTGGAACTCCAGAGCTCAAGCTATCTGCCTGCCTGGGCCTCCCAAGCTACTGGAATTATAGGGATTAACCACCACTCCCGGCCTTGAGCTTGTTACTTTCAAGTAACTATTTAAGGACATGTAGAATACATTATTTAATTTGATTAAATTATAGCTTTAGGAAATAACCACTATTATTCTCTTATTGCAAATGATGGAACTGAGACTGAGACGGAACATATAAATTTAAAAAATGTCCATGATTTTTCTTCATCAATGTTGAAACAACATTTTTCTGGGTCCTACTAGGTGCAGGCTATACCAAGAAAACACTGTTGAAGTCTAAGAGGTGAAGTGTGGACGATAAAAGAAACCCTATGCATGCTTCAGCCACAGCAATTGATACACATTTTGAGTTTCCAAGTGAAAATACATTGGAAGAAAGTGACAGATAGCTTTAAAATATGTACATGATTGTACCACGGTATTTTATCTCCCCACATCAGTGCTCAACATTTTGGACTTAATTTTCAAACCATTCAATTTTTTCTGAGTAAATTCTCTGTCCCTAGATTAATCCCATTCATACACTAAGATCTTGAAAAAGAAAAAAAGAGGAGACATGAAAAGGTCTGTGTGTGCGATAGACCCCAGATGCTTCAAGAAATTATCCCTGAACTTCAAAAAATATACTCAAAGACACTAATATCTTTTGATTGCTGGTTCAGTTATTCACTTCTTTTCTATGTTAATAACAAAATCAACAACAAAAGAAACAGGAAAAAAGGCCTTGATAGAGGAAGAATTCTGAGCACATAGGCATTTGAATAAAAATCTTCCTAAGTGATGAATTTTACTGCTGTGTGTTTCTAAAATGAAGCAGTACCGACGCATTTGTGCCATTCATTTCCATACAATTTGTAAAGTTATTACCTATTTGGAATATTACCCACTTTTTTCATGTACAACATAAAAATTTATGATGGATACCCTTTAAATGTGTATCTAAAAGTATGCATTACAATAAAGTATGATTTGTGATGGGAATAAGCATTGTGTCTTCATTTTTAATTACCTTTCTCTTGTAGATGAACTCAGGAAAATATCAAAGTAAAATTTGTCTTGTCACAGTAGAATACACTGGGATAACTAGCATACTATATTAAACACTCCCTAGATTAATAATCAGAGTTATTTTTCTACTAAATAACCACATAGGCTTGAGATCAGTCTTTTTTTTATGGAGACGATTATTGAATTACACAGTCTATATTCTCTTTGTCATTATTCCATGATATAGTATTCCACAAGACAAAAATATTTCTAGGGATTTACATATGCCCATTGAGTTCTGAGAGATTCTTTTATGTATTTTCTATAGTTTTAGATGACAATTATGTTCATATTTTCTAGGACACTAAATGATTCATAACTCTACTATCCTAAGATATTTTATTTTATGTCATAAAATGTGAAGTGGTGCAAAATAAAACTAAGCAGGATAGTCATCTTATGAAAATGAACCTTTCCACTTAAGTTTAGGAGTGACAACTTTTTGAATCAGGTGCCACGTCAGCAAGTTTGCAAAGAAATAAAGTTCAGAAAATATGCAGAAAACACAATACACAGGAGAGAGCAGAATGTTAAATATATTTGTTTATTTTATTATGTAGTATGTTTATGATAAAAGTCAGTGGTGAATTGTGTAAGGATAATCATACACTACAGTAGAACAAGTGTAGTCCTGTCATTGGTCATTGCCTATCCACAAGGCTCTGAAGCATGATTCAACATGCCATCTTCTAGCTGGTATCACAAGTCATCCTCTCAGAGTGCTGTTTTTGCTTCCTTTTTCAGATGCAGAAAATCTCCCCAAAGTAATGAGGTTTCATAGTACTCTCAGGAGAATACTGAACTGCCACACCATATTTCATGTATATGACAAACCCAAATGATGGTAGTGGAGAAGATGGGAATTAAAATTACACCAACTTCTTGATTCTGTAGATGCAATGGCCAGTCACCAGGGGTGCCACTTATGAGATGCTTGCAGATTGAAAGTAGCAAACATAAAGTAGGTTTAGGGTCCCAAGCTAGCTAGCTCTGCGTACGGGTTGGATACAATTTTCAAGAAGAAAATTTCATTTTATTTGCAGCAGATAAAACACTAATCCATGGTAAAAGCAGAGAAACTTCATTAGAAAAATTGTGGCTAGAGAACTACGGTTCTCTACGTTGGTTCTATCCAACCACGGTTGGATATCATTAGGTAGTTTAGGGACAGTAATTTATTTGGGTCCCCAGGTCACTGAGGAATGTTGGAGCAGACAAATAAATGACCAACAACCTCTTTTTTTCTTTTTAAATACAAACAAACAAACACAAAACCAGATTAAAAATACAAATGAAGCACTGTGCTTAATGTTTGCATCACTGTGTAAATTTTAAACATTAAAATAACATTCATTTAAGCATTTTTAATTATTTAAAATTATCAGGCTGGGCACAGTGGCTCACACTTGTAATCCCAGCACTTTGGGAGGTCGAGGCAGGTGGATCACCTGAGGTCAGGAGTTTGAGACAAGCCTGGCCAACCTGGTGAAAAGCCATCTCTACCAAAAACACAAAATTAGCTGGGCATGGTAGCACACACCTATAATCCCAGCTACTCAGGAGGCTGAGGCAGGAGAATTGCTTGAACCCAGGAGGCAGAGGTTGCAGTGAGCAGAGATCATGCCATTGCACTTCAGCCTGGGTGACCAGAGCAAAGCTCCATCTCAAAAACAAACAGATAAATAAATAAACAAATAATAAAATCATCACATAGGGAATAAAAATGAGATATTTTCATCATATAACCCAGAATTGACCAATGATCGTGCGATAAGTGCATGTCAAAAACAATATGCATATTCATTACACAGCATTTTATATTTTTTTAACACACATGAAATTGGAAAGGAGATTAGAAGGGAGAACAACAGTTTCCTCTACTTTTTTCTATCTTTCTTCAGTAACATCCTATTCGTTCAATTCATATGCAGTATTTCTCATGATTTTCATGCTTCTAATTCTTGATTTATTAGTATTAGACAGGATCTATTGATTTCAACAAAAGGTGGTAATTTATCTTAGTAACATTACTCTGTTGATCCCCATTTTTTTCACCCAATGTGGAAGAATTATATAATTTTCAAATCCACAGTGGTTTTTTAACTAAAATATATACTTTAGACAACTTTAAACATTATCTATTGATTTATCATTGCCTTTTAAGAAGATGATACAAGTACTTATGTTCTTTTTGTATTGAACTTATTTGAGCTTTAGGTTTACTCTCATTTTTTCAACATTGAAAACAATTGTATTTTCTTTTTTTAGGTACAATTAAGTCTCATGTGCTTTGTCTGTTATTAATACCAAATATTACACATTCAACACAGAGATTTTTCTTCCAAGTATGATGGTGTGACAGTAGGTTAGATCTTCTATTAAACAACTGAGAAAATAGAAAAATATATAAGGCAACAATTACAAATTGGAAAGTAAGCAATATACAACAGCAGATTCTGAATGCATAGAAATGTATGAGGTGAGCTCCACAGTCATCTCTCTACCAGCACAAGACTTCCTAATGATGGCTCAGCAAGCTGGACTCCAAGCAGAATCATGATGGTTGAACTGAGGTGAGTGAGAGATCAGAATTCATAAGTCTGCAAGCAGCTAAATTCTGTAGATAAGATCACTGTAATAGGAGGAATCCTTGCACAGGGGGTTTCCAGAAATGTGTGTGAGGTTTCCTCATAAATCTAAAGCTCAAGACTAGGTCTCACATACACAATGGAAGACTTCAGGGTTTACCATACAACAGTGACTATAAAGTTGAGAATCAAGCAGAGACACAAGAGATCGGACAGTGCTGGGAGACATTGGTAGTCAAGTTCACCCAAGTGAAGAAATCTCATTACACCTCCTTAATATCTTGTTCATGCAGTTGTACCGGAAAGACCATAGCTATGAGTAAGTGCCATGACCTAAAGGATGCCTACACTAGCCCTTCCCTAACATGGCTAAAATCAAGCATTGCCAGGTTCCACAAGATGGAGTTTGATTAAATCCTACGAAATTAGAAGTGCTTGAGAAACACTTTGGACTTCCCAAAGATTCTTTGCAACAAACATTAGTAAAGCCTACATAAACAAGGACTATTTGATCCTCAAGTAATTAAACTCCTCACCAGAAGAAAATAAATGCACTTCAGAGGAAGTTAACAGAATATGGAGTCTTTACAGTGTCTCCTCAAAAACATTCCATAAAAAATAGTTTTAAAAATTAGATATACAAAGAAACTCTGGACTGTGTGATTAGTAGTCGGTAAAACATGCATTCAATAGATATCAAATCAGCGATAACCTGTGTGTGAAATACAGCGACAAAATATTTAAAGTAGATATTATTTAGTTCAAAGAAGTAAGATAGGTTTTATAACTATTTTCAAACTAGTGAAACAAAAGTAGACAAAAATAAGGGGATGATAAGTGCACATAGATGGAGTTTCATTAGAGAAATGAGATTTATAAAGAATAAAAATCTAAAACAAAAAACAATCACTAAGGGAAAATTTTCTGTGCTTCACAGTGCATTAGAAATTAGGGAAGAATCAGTGAACTTGATAACAAATCAATAGAAATTATACTATCTAAATAACAGAGGGAAATACATTTGAGACAAAGATACGCATAATAGCAATTGAGGAACAAAATAAAACAGTCTAGTATACATGTAACCGCAGTTCTGGAAAGAGAAGGGTATGTGATTGGGGTAGAGCATTTCTGAAGAAACAGTGGAGAATAATTTCACAAATATGAAAGAAATAAAGGAACTTGAAAATTCAAATAAATTCAGCAGAAAAAAGTAGAAAATCTGAAAATACTCAGAGAAAAAAGAAATATTACATACAGAGAAACAATGATACAAAATTCTACCTACTCATCAGAAATAATAGAAGGCCAGGAAAATGGTATTTTGAAAGACTATAAGAAAGCAAGGCACAAAAACAAAACTAGATTCTGTCTACCCAAGTTTCTATATAAATGGTAAAAATTCCTAAAAGCAACAGTGAAATAAAAATGTTTTCAGATGCATGAAAACTGAGAGATTTGGTTGCCTGAAGACCCTTACAAGTAATCCAAAAGGCTGTTTTTTATGCTGATGTTTTTTATGAACCTCAAACAGAAACATTGATCTACTGGGAGGAAAGAAAAGTGCCAATAAAGTCAATAAGTCAGTGTGTATAAAGGACTGTGGGATTTTTTGTTTTGTTTTTACGCCATTCTTAGGACATAATGGGTTAAAATGAAAATATTAACCAAAATTGATAATTATGAAGGGTGAAGCATGAAATAGAAAGGATGAGGTATGAAGAGCAAAGTCCAATAGTACAATGTTGACTCTAAATGTCCTTTCATCAATTAATAATGCATATTTTAGTCCTAAAATAACCAGTAAACATATCAAAGGAGGTACAGTTAACAATTATTTATAGAAAAGAAATAGCACATGAAATAATTATTGAATGTCAGCAGCATCCATGTTGGTGTAATTGGTACTCAAGTTTCCCCTCTTCCCTAAATAATGGAGAAACCGGACAAAATTTAAAATAAATTCAAAATTGGTTTTTAACTTGAGATCTTATTGGTTTTTCACCTGGGGTCTTATTATTTCTGCGTGTCACTTTCTTGTTTATAGAAGAAAGAACTGTTCTTGAACAGGGATTCTCAAGTGCAATTATACAGATTGGCTATGTTGAAATTATCTGAGGAATTTGTTTTTTTTATTATATTCGAAATACATATTTCTGGCCTCCCAAAGAGTCTTACTGAATAAGAACTTCTAGAGACCAGAATATTCTAATGTGTAACCAGGCATGGAAACTACAAATCTAAATGATCTTCAGTCTCTCTTAAAGCTTTTACATCTGACTTACTGAATAACAATTAATTTTAAACTCATATATTTGCAGTTTTATTTCCAGTAATAACACATCTTTAAGGATTTTTTTACTACTTATGAACATGTCATTACAGCATCATTTAAATAGGCTTACTTATGAATTTAGATATCTAATGACCTTTTCAATGAAATGTTTCATCTTAATACCCCTTCACTATAAATGTCTCATTAAAGGGAGAATACTCCCAGGAGCTTATAGAAGCCCTGAATTTACAGGGTCAGAACTACAAATGATAAATTGTAGCAGTTTGAGTGACACTACAAAATAAATCTTCAGAAAACTAACAGTAGCACAGTTTTCAAAACCAAATAATGTGGCAGCCAACATAAACACAAATAATTACAGTCCTAGTAATATTTGTGAAATTATGGACTGTTACATAATGAACGATGGCCAAAAATACTATGCGTTTATCATTTCTTTCCTTTTATTTTCCAGAACATTTAAGCTTACCTGCCAGTGGGATATCACATAAGAGCCCATTATCTGTTCCAAAAATTGATTTTCAATTAATCTACATCTCCACTTCTGACCTTAGCCAATATATCTCCAGGAAACAATGCTCACTGAGAACATTAATTCATGAAATTTGATTAGATGACACTCAGTGGGCTCAAACTGATACTTCACCTCCTCTGGACATGTTAATTACACATTTGGTTTCTATAAATAAATAAAACTCAATGTATCTCCTAAGACTGTTTCACACATCATTGGAAACCAGGTCACAACTATTTATAGCACTGTGAACAGACAAATGAAACACCTACTGTGTATTTACTAGGGACATGATCTGAATAACCATAGTTATTTCTTCCCAACTAGGAATCTTTGAAAACATTACCTAGCATTATATTTTTCTCAAATATAAATTTTGTAAACTGTAGATGAGTTCAAATAATAATATCTCTTCAGGTGAAACAAACACAAAGGAAAAAAATTACATATGCCAATTTACCTTATTTTCATCTTTCTTTTCCTACTGCTCTGTGCCTCCTCCCATACATAACAAAGACGAATCCACAGAGTGAACATACAAACACAGATACTCATAACTGGAGCACAAAATTAATTCAGCACCATGTAAAGAAAAATTATACAGTCTGCATATTTTCAATGTTACACAATGTAATGACAATGAGCATGTTTCTATGACTAACCCATAGCAATCTCCACATAAACTGCCTTTTCTCTTATAAAAGAGCTGGATTTTACAACTCTGGAACTTTTTTTAGCCATGGTCTTTTCTCAACAGTCTTCCAAACTAGTTTTGAAGGAAAAGGGTTCCAATCAAGACTTATACTGTGTTCTTCTTTTTATACATTTCCCTCCATATACCAAACAACTACAGAATTAAATACACTTTCTATTTTAATCTAATAATTTAATAATAATTTATGTTTAAATGGGCATAACATTGAAAAATATCAATATTAGGAAATGTAGATTGAATAATCTAACAATTCAAGATTAAAAGCTAATATTAATGATTAATGAGATTTTTATAATTTGGGGACAACAGATTTGTGGGCTATAAGCTTTTAAACTTACTAGGTCAAACTGTTTTGAAACCTGTGATTTTTATCATACATTTTCCTTTGACATTAGTTCTAAACCTCCGTATAAATTATATTATTTTGGTTTTAAATAGTCAATTATAATTTGAAAAGAATAAAACATTATTTTATATTTGCCTCATAGTTTCCATGCTGTAGATCTTTCTTTGTGTGAATCTTACTGTCTATCAGCTATCATATCCTTTCCACATGAAGATATTTTAGCATTTTCTTTTATCACAAGCCTCTCAGCAATTCACTCTCCCAGCTTTTGTTTGTTTGGAAATGCTTTATGTTTACCTTTCTTTGGAATAATGTATTATTTTTTCATTTATTTACTTATTTAACTTTTATTTTAGGTTCAGGGGTACATGTGCAGATTTGTTATACAGGTATACTCGTGTCAGGATATTTGTTGTACAGATTATTTCATCACCCAGGTATTAAGGCTAGTACCCATTAGTTATTTTTCCTGGTGACCTCCCTCCTCCCACTCTCCATCCTCTGGTAGGCCCCAGTGTCTGTCGTTCCCCTCCTTGTGTCCATGTGTTCTCATTATTTAGCTCCCACTTACAAGTGAGAATTTGTGGTATTTGCTTTTCTGTTCCTATGAGAGTTTGCTAAGGATAACGGCCTCTAGCTCCATCCATGTTCCTGCAAAGGACATGATCTTGTTTTTTTTTATGGTTGTGTAGTATACCATAGTGTATATGTACGACATTTCCTTTATCCAGTCTTCCACTGATGGACATTTAGGTTGATTCCATGTCTATGCTATTCTGAACAGTGTGGCAATGAACACACATCGTGCATTGTGTTTTTATGATAGAATGATTTCTATTCCTTTGGGCATATACCCAATAATGGGATTACTGGATTGAAGGGTAGTTCTGTTTTTAGGTCTTTGAGGAATTGCCACACTGTTTTCCACAATTGTTGAACTAATTTACACTCCCACCAACAGTGTATGAGCATTCCTTTTTCTCTGCAACCTCGTCAGCACCTATTATTTTTGACTTTTTAATAATAGCCATGGAATGGTATTTTTAATGGGTGGGGATTTGTAAGTTGCAGAATTTTTTTAACACTTTAAAGATGTCCTGTCATTGTGTCTGCCTTCCATTCTCTTATGGACTGAATTTTTATGACTTACTAAAATTCATATGTTGAAGCCCAAACCACCAGTGTGATGGCATTTGGAGGCGAGTCTTTGGTAGGTAACTAGATTTAGATGAGGGCATGAGGGTAGTGTCCTCATGATATCAGTGTTCTTACAAGAAGTGGAAGAGAGCAGAGTGAATTCTCTCTCCTCTTTTCCTCCTCCTCCTCCCTCTTTGCCCCCTCATTCCATTTCTCTCTTTCTCTTTCTGCCTGTGTCTCTTTCTCTGCCATGTAAGCATGCAGAGATAAGCCAACTGTTTGCAAGCCAGGAATTGGGCCTTCCCAGACACCAGATCTGCCAGCACCTTGAACTTGGATCCTGCAGCCTCCAGAGTGTGAGAAATAAATATCTGTTGTATAAACCACCCAGTCTATGGTATTTTGTTATAGCATATTAAACTAAGACAGTAATTGGTACAGAGAAGTGGGGTGTTACTGTAAAAACCTGGAAGTGGCATGTAACTGGGTAATGGGTTGTGGCTGGAAGAGTTTTCAAGTGTGTACTAGAAAAAGACAAGAATGCTGTGAAGAATTTTTTAAGGCAATTCTGGTGAGGGCTCAGAAAGAAAAGAGGAGAGTTATAGAGAAAGCTTCCATTCTCTTAGAAAATACAAAAATAATTATGAACAAAATGTTGGTAGAAATGTGATCATTATGGTGAAGTTTCAAACAGAAATCGGAGTATGTTATTGGAAGCTGGAGGAAAGGTAATCCTTGTTATAAAGTGACACACAACTTGGCTGATTTGCTTTTATGTTGTACGTTTTTTTTTTTCTTGAAAATAGAGCTTGACAATGATGAAATTGTATATTTAGCTGAGACAATTTCTATGCAAAATGTTGAATGGGTGGCTTACTTCCTTATGACTGCTTATATTAAATATGAAAAGAGAGAAATGAATTGAAGTAGAGATTGTTAAGCAAAAAGGAGGAACCAGAATTTAAACATTTGGAAAATTATCAGCCTTTTCATATCGCATATCATACAAGTGTGCTCAGAAGAAAACACCAAGGCTAACCTACCATTTGGTGAACAGATTAACATGGGTGTGTACAAGGGACTTAATCAGTCATCTGAACAGAGGCCAGGGATAGAGGTGGGATTATACCAGCAAGGGCACTGCCTGTTTAAACTAAGGAAAACAGAGAAAACATAATGAATGAAGGAAGGTTTCCAGACTTCTTAGATCCTGCAGAACCAGACTGTTTAGCTATTAAGGCTCTTAACTTGTGCTATTCTTCAAGGCAAGGGAAGAATTACCCTGAAAGCAAATTCGAAGAATTGCAATCCTCCCACTCCCCTTTGAAATGGAGGAAGAAGCCCTGATGATCTCTGAACTGCCTTCAGAAATCACTTTTCCCTTGTTGCATATATGTAGAATTTATATCACTTTCACTTATAGCCCACTTTTCAGAGTAAGGTACATGTCCCCTTCTAACTCCAAATTGGTCTAGAAAGATGTGGGAACAGATTAATTTAAAAAAACACCATATATACATTTTCAAAATCCTACCAGGAGAAACTATTAGCAAAGTTTTTAGACCAGTTTTTAAAGGGAACTTTAAGAAAAATCTTGTAATTAAATTTGCACATGTAAGAACAATAATCAGTCATACCTAGGATCCACCTTCTTGACCTAACCTACTCTGAATTACTTCCTAAAAACTCCACCCCCAAATACAGGTATTCTACATGTATGTAACTCACTCTTCACCACTTAGACCAAAGAAGACTATTTTTAAAACTTTTTAATTAATTTGTTTAAATTGACAGATAAAATTGTATGTACTTGTGTACAATATGTTTTGAAATGTATATACATTGTGGAATGGTTAAGTCTAGATAATTAACGTGTGTTCCTCACATAGTTATCATTTTTTGTGGTGAGAACATTTAACATCCAGTTTCTTGGCATTTCTCAGAAATATAATGTATCATCATTAACCATAGTCATCATGCTGTACAATCGATCTCTAGTATTTATTCCTCCTATCTAACTAATTTTGTATTCTTTGACAAATATCTGCCCCATGCCTCACTTCCACCCTTCCCAACTGCTCCAGCTTCTGGTAAGCAACATTCTGCCCTCTATTTCTACTTCTGTGAGTTCAACTTTTTAAGATTTCAAATATGAGTGAGATCTTGCACTATTTTTCTTTCTGTGCCTGGCTTACTTCACTTGGCTATTACCACCATATGATCCAACAGTCCCACTACTGAGTATCAGTTGACCCTTGAACAACATAGGGGTTAGGAGCACTGAATCCCTCCACATTAAAAAAAATCAGTGTATAAATTTTGGCTCCCCCAAAACTTAACTGTAATAGCCTATTGTTGACCAGAAGCCTAACTGACAATAGTCAATTAACACATATTTTGTATAAGTATTATATGATGTATTCTTACAATAAAATAAGCTAGAGAAAATAACATGTTATTAAGTTAATCATGAGGAAGAAAAAATATGTTTACTATTTATTAAGTTGAAGTAGGCCATTATAAAGGCTTTCATCTCCATTGTCTTTATTTTGAGTAGGCTGAGGGATAGGAGAAGGAGAGGTTAGTCTTGCTGTCTCAGGTGTGGCAGACGCAGAAGAGTCAGAGGAGGTTTAAGGGTAGTCAGGAGAGTCAGTCACCCTGGGTGTAACTTTTACAGAAAAAAATCCCTATATAAGTGGATCCATACAGTTCAGACCTGTGTTGTTGAAGGGTCAACTATATATTCAAGGGAGATAAAATCAGTAGGTTGAAGCAATATCTTCATTCTCATGCTTATTGCTCCACTATTTACCACAATAGTCAAGATATGGAATCAACCTATGTGTCCATGAAGGGATGAATAGATAAAGAAATATGCTACATATCCTCAATGGAATACTATTCAGCCATTAAAAGAGGTAGTATACTGTTATTTGTGACAACATGAGGAACCTTGAGAACATTATGTGAAGTAAAATAAACCAAAGAAGCCTATTTGATACAAACTCTCTGAATGACTGTGTGAAGCAGACCCTTTTCAATGACCCTTAATGGCTATATAAGATGATTGAGATGTGATTTTTGTTGTGATAAGCAAGTCAGAGTTTAGTGTTGTCAGTTATTGCAACATAGCCCATGATATAGTTTGACTGTATCCCCACCCAAATCTCATCCTGAATTGTAGTTCTCATAATTCCCACATGTTGTGGGAGGGACCTGGTGGGAGGTAATTGAATCATGGGAGTGTGCTGTTCTCATGACAGTGAATAATTCTCATAAGATGTGATGATTTTATAAAGGGGAGTTCCCCTGTACATGCCACCTTGTCTGCCGCCATGTAAAACATGACTTTGCTTCTTGTTCACCTTCTGCCAAGATTGTGAGGCCTCCCAAGCCATGTGGAACTGTGAGTCAATTACATCTCATTCCTTTATAAATTACCCAGTCTCGAGTATGTCTTTATTAGCAGTGTGAGAACAGACTAATACAGCCTCTCTTACCATGATAAGTATACCCTCACACATTCATAAGTTTAGAAGTTGGTTTTTACTAATATGAGATAGGGTATATTAAATAATTGAAAATATAAAATGGGATTTGATTGATTATATTTAAAATAAATATTTCATAACATGATGTAATAAGGTAGATTTTGAATAACATTTTATAATACATCCAGAATATAAAAGAATCCATGAAATTTTATTTTTGTGTTTTATACAGTGTTCTTGAAAAAGATAGTTGCTCTCAGAAAAAATTCCAGTTGCATTGAAAAGAAACTATCATTTATTGGCTCAGAAAATGGCTAAGTATTCTTTAAACTTGGCATATTGTTTTGAGTGTTCATTTCACAGCTTTCTTGCAATTAGTTGTGGTCATGTGTCCAAATTTTGAAAGCTCATTTCAGGCTAAGTCCCAAGAAAACTTTGCAAACTTTTCTTCCTCTCCATTTGACATCTTTTTAAAAAAAATTTATTTAAAGTAATATGAGAAGTCAAATGTCAAAGAAGGTAGAAGTTCCCATCAGTACGGGTTCCTGAATAACTCTATTGATCAGAACTCCCACAATAAACTTTATGTGACAGTGTTAAGCCACACTTCTCAGTGTTAATGAACTAATTCACTTAAGACACTGAGATGTCAGAGTTTATGTATCACGGTGTTAAACTCACATTAACTAATTCTTTAACCCAGCTATTCTCAGTTCACTTCAGGGAAACACAGACCAAGTTTCATACCTAATAGAAAAATACATTACACAGACAAAGATGGAATGCTCAAAATCTAAAAGGGATCAAGAAAATTTTGCCACAACTGATATTTCAAAATATGTTTCTATTTGTCATGTTTTAACATCTCAGAGCAAGGCACCTTAAGACAATTTCACTGTTTCTCAACAAGTCATTTACGGTCTGTTTCATGCCCATGCTTTTGCTTTGTGTGTCCCTCTCATTCTACCTGTCTATTCCTGCATATTCTTCAGAACTCTGCTTTAATGCTATCTACTCAGACAAGTTGTTCTAATCACCCCGCCAGAAGTTATACCCCATTATTTTATTATCAAACTTAGCAATTTTGTTGTTTCTATTATTTACTATGCTTCTAGTTATTATGTTTGTTCAGTTTATTTCTGATTCCTAAATAGAAGGTGAACCACCCTGGGGAAATCGTCAGGTCTTCCTGGTTTATTAATGGAATTCAAGCGCCTAAGCTGGAAGATAAGCTTAGGGATCATCTTTAAGTAGTGGAAAGAATGCATTGCTCAGGAGTGCAGCAGGAAGCTAAATGCAAAGGGAAGGGGGACCAGAAGGGAGCCTGTTGCTGATGAGGAATAAATGAATGCTTAGCATTGCCTTAAATAAGTATAAGAAAACAACATAAATTTAAATAATACCTACATTAGCTTAATTGATTAGGAATCAAAGTAACGGGTGGGGATCTTTCATAAATTAATCTCTGAGAAATTGGAGAGAAAAAGGCAGCATCTAGTGATTGAAGAAACAGCAGAAATGTATTATAATTTTTACTTTTCCGCCAGTACATTGGTTTTCCTATGACAGAAATAATTTATTTAATCAATGCTCTTTCTTAAGAATAGAATACTGTAGCTACTCAGTGAGCTAGTGTTGCTCCCAGAGGCAGCAGTAAAGTGATAAGAGTAGGAAAATTATGCCTAAATTAAGAAAGTGATTTACAGTAGCAGCTCTGAGAGCAACAGAGTTAGCAAGGAGTGTTTGAGCTCCAGATATTTATCAGCTTAGAGCAAACCACCTCATAGCAGGAGAAACAGCAGGATGGTCTGAGTAAGAAATTATAAAACAGAAGGAAATGTGCAGGAAAATGTAGTCAGGTGTAGAAAATCATTGAACTCATCAAAGAAGGTGCATACACTAGTGATTTAAAAAATTTATAAAAATTTTCAAAAAATAATGACCTACCATTTATATTTCCAATGAATGTAAAATGTATTTCTATAGCCCTGCAACACTATGAAAGATGAATAACACTGTGACCCATGCAACAATTCTGGGGATACATCAGTTCATATTTCCTAATTTTTTTCAAATTAACGTCTCACCTATTTGTTGATTAAATTAGCAGGAAAATTAATATGTCTTTTTTAAGCTTTTATTTCTTTCTTCGTTTTTAACTGTGCAAACATTTTAAAGCAGTATATTTATTTCAAAAATGCTAATTTACGTTTAACAACCAGACCAGACAAAGCCCTGGAGTGATAACTCAATACTTTACTGCTGAACTCAGTACTACCTGCTGCCATTTCCATAATGTTCCTATTGTGTTGCTTTTGTATGTTGTTTTCCTACTCACTGAGACTTCTTTTTTCTGCTACTATGATCACACAATTACTCTTTCATATCCCTCCACAAGCTAGAAAAAAAATGGCCAAGCTTGATCTACCAAATTAACAAATATTTATTTAACACGCATATGAATTGTAGTAGTTCCCAAATTGTTAACAATAAAAGAAAAAGATCTCAAGCCTAGGGCTTATGAATCTGGGGGACAGTGGTGGAAATAATTATAGGGCTAGGGTTTCAGCCTTAGCCCCAACCTAAAAAGAAACTCAGCCAGATTTGCCCCTTGCATTATGGCACATGGAAGCAAATCTGTTCTAAAGAAGCCTGCTATCTAATTTTAAATGGTGATGTTTATTAATAGGGTCCATTTAAATGGAAAAAAATCCTTAATGCTATAGAAGAGAGCATAAAAAGAAATATATAGAAAAGAGAGAGAAAAGTAAAAAGAGAAGATTACCTGTCAAATTAACAGAAAGAATAATCTTTCCTAAAAATTGTCGGATAGAGAATAGATACTAACTTTCTTTATAAACAAATATGTTGGTTAAGCTACATTTTATGTATAAAATCATATATTTACTTTAATTTTTATGGTCATTGTCAAACTTTTTTTTTTGAGGCAGAATCTCACTCTGTTTCCCAGGTTTGAGTGCAGTGATGCCATCTTGGCTCACTGAAACCTTCACCTACCAGGTTCAAGTGATTCTCCTGTCTCAGCCCCCGAGTAGCTGGGACTACAGACACACAACACCAAGCCCAGATAACTTTTGCGTTTTTAGTAGAGATGGGGTTTCACCAAGTTGGCCGGGCTTCTCTCAACTCCTGGCCTCAAGTGATCCGCCCACCTCAGCCTCCCAAAGTGCAGGAATAACAGGCATAAGCAACTGCTCCTGGCCTAAACATTCCTTTTTATGATAAGCATTGCCATTAAAGTATCTTAACCAACTATCATTTATATAAAAACATTTATAATATGGCAGAAACTGTTAAACATCATCACCTGATATTATACTACACTAAGAGAATATTAGACAGATGTTTGTATTTATTTCAAGGAATGAAGAGTGTCAAAAATGGTAAAGTAAATATAAAATACTCTTCACTTTTTAACTTTTATAAAGTAAAACTGACTAAAGTTATATAAAACATATATATATGTTATGCTTTCCAACATTTGTAACACATGTTGAACTAAAAGATATGCTAAAAATCGCATAAATGATATTAGTTGAAGCTAGACTGTGATAAAGTTGTGTATTGTAAATCCTAAAGCAACCAATAAAAATAAAACAAAAAGTACAAATATTAATCAAATAATTTTGATTTTATATCATAATAAAAATGTTCAGTTAATCTAAAGGAAGGCAGACAGACAAAAACAAAAAGATGCGGGAAATGGAAAACAGTTTGATATGTTTAAAGTCAATAGTTTTGAACATACATTAAATACAGTTGGGTGAAATGTTACAAATATAAGATAGAGATTGCCCAAATGGATAAAAACAAAGACCCAGCTGTATTATGAAAAGAAACAGTGGTAATATGGACAACAAAAGTTTAAAATTCTTTAAATAGAATAAAATACAATGAATAAACATTAATAATAGGAAAGTAAGAGTGGCTATATTAATGTCAGATATAATAGATTTCAGAACAAGGAATATTACCAGGCATAAGAAATAGTTTAATAATCATAATAATGTTATTTTACAAAGGCCAGAATCTGCAATGTATATACAGTTAACAATAGAGCTTCAAAATACATGAAAGAAAAACTGACAGAAGAGAAAGAAGAAATATACAAATCTGTAATTGTAGATTGAGATCATTTCAGAACTTGTTCTCTCAGTATGTGATAACTTAAAAATTCAATAAATATATAAAGGACAGGAATAATATCATTCCTTAAACCAACTTAATTGATCTTTATAAAACACTCCATTCAGAACCATCAGAGTATACGTTATTTTAGGTACATTCACCAAGATAAGACTGTATACTAAACCATCAAGTAAGTCCCAATGAATTTGTATTGAAATCATATGGAGTTTTCTTCTCTGACTACAAAAGTATTACATCAGACATTAATAGCAAATAGATACCTATAAAATCTCTAAATATTGGAAGTTAAACAACACACTTCTCATAACTTATGTTAAGTAAAAATTTGCAAAGGAATTTATAAAATATTTAAATAATTAAAATAAAAAGTATCAAAAGTAAATGCTCGTATTAGAAAAGAATAAAAGTCTCAAGACAACTAAACTTGTAATTTAAGAACCTACAAAACCAAAATAACAATTTAAATGTATTAGAAAATGTAAATGCTCGTATTAGAAAAGAATAAAAGTCTCAAGACAACTAAACTTGTAATTTAAGAACCTAAAAAACTAAAGTAACAATTTAAACTCGATATATTTGTTAAAAAATAGTAGTGAGGGAAAGTTAATGAAATAATAAACAGGGACAAAGGGAAAATATAATATCAATGGTTGGTTTTGGGAAAATGTCCATGAAATTGTTAAAACTGATATTTATTTACATAGGAGTACATACTACATGATAAAACTCTAGATGAAACTAGAAATTGAGATTGAATCTATAGTGACAGTAAATGGAACATTGCTGAGTTTGAATTAAATTACTTGAGGAAGGAGCAAAGGAGAATTTTCTGGGGTGATGAGCACGTTTTGTCATGTCACAGCGGACTTATAGGACCTTTTTGGTATATACATGAGTTATTAATGTTTTGTATATTTCTTATGTATATTTAATGTTTATTTCTTTAAATAAAGGAATTATATATATTTATATTTGAGATTCATTTATGTATTAAGATTGGCTGATACTTAGAAATATTGTGTACTTGCTCAAGCAGGAGAAGTGATGTATTTGAACCTACTACATCCAAATTTATGATCTATAAATCAAATACAAATTTAAATTATATAAATCTATTATGTCTCCATTATAGGACATTATTACTATTTTTATTGGTAATGGTAGTCATATTAATAATAAACATGATCACTGCAACTGGCATAATGAAACGCTATAAAATATTACATGGCATTTTTCATCGGCTGAAACTTCCTATATTGACCTTTAAAGTTCACTTGGAAAATTACAGCTCCCCTGTGTCTACTGGGAAATGCATATTCAGGACAAAGAAAACATGGTAAATTACTCATTTTCAGAGTTTGTCTCCATATATGTTTCTGCTTCTATTTTCATTCCCAAATTTTCATTCCCAGCTCCAGTTTTTCCTAATACATAAACGCACATTCTGTGAGACCCTTTATTTAAGGAGCCAGAAATCCTCAATATTTGCTTTACATTTTTAACTTTTTCTTACATATTTTTGTAAATTTTTAAGTCTTTTAGTTTTAGCCATAGTATGTCATATTATGCTTAATTCAGGAGGAAGTCAAATATTAAAATATATTTATTAAACCCAACAAAACAAAAAATAAAAAGTTATTTTAAGTTAAAATGAGATTTTTATGTATATATTTTATATGATAAATTCTGCATATCAGTCCTTTGTCACAATATTTTCTTCCATCATGTGACTTGCTTTTTTATTTTCTTCGTAGACCCTCACCCTTGATCTTTACCTATGTGATAACATTGCATATTTTTCTTAGTTTTCTCATAGCTGAATTTCTTGTTAGCTCCAAAATGAGCTTTTCACCTAAAAATATTTTAATATTTTTACCTTATACCAATTCCTCACAATAAACCACTTTAACCCTTTTCCTGTTTGCCCCAAGAATACTTGCTGGCAGAGCCTGTGGCTGCAGTGTTTACCCCAGGATAACTTTGCCATAAAATATCTTGCTTTTATTATTATTTTTGCAACGCTCTAGTATAATGACTTTGGAAACAAAAGACATCATTCTTTTTATAGTATTCTGGTTTTAGTACTGGTATTACCATTTACAAAATATAGTAATTCCTGATCACAGAAAATGTCAAATTCTAGAAAACGTAGCATGCTTATGTGTGATATTAACATCATTCTTGAAAAGTTATTGGCCAAAGACCCATTTGATGAATCCAATTTTTCCAAAATAGAATATTCTGATGATTCAGATGATTCTGATGTTAGTTCTGTTTGGAAATAACTCCAAGAACAGTTTTTATATTTTATTTTTACATTGAAAATCAGGTTTGCTTCAGCCTTAAAGAACGTGTCTATGCAAAATTAAATGAGCGCTGGCAGTGAGCTGCATTTTTTTTTTCTAAATGGGAAAAGGGTTAACTAAAAAAAAATAGATCTGTGAAGCTGAAGTTACATGTGCTTTTTCGAAATATAATTTTACCTAACTACCATTTAACTGTTACTTTCTGTTCAAATATTTCCACATTTGCATTTTCAAAAGTAAAGCAGTAATTTTGTTACCAATTCATTCTTAGTATTCAGCCCTGTATAGTAACCATATATATTATAAATTTCTGAAAAAACCAAAATATTCAACTAATGACTAATTTTTCTATATCTCAGATTCATAGACTTATTCAGAGTCCCATATTTTCACAATTGCATCTCCATAGCACCATGTACAACTATGTGCTGAATAACAACATTTTGGTTAACAATGGGCTGCATATAGAACAATGGTGGTCCAATAAGATTATGATGGAGCTGCTGAAAAGTTCTTATTATATAAATACTTCCCATTGTGTTCCAATTACCTATAGTATTTGGTACAATGACATGTTGAACAGGTTTGTAGCCTACAAGCAATAGGCTGTCACACATAGCCTAAGTGTGTGTGGTAGGCTATATACTCTAGATTTGGGTGAGTATACACTATGATATTTGCACAAGGTCAAAATCACCTAAGGACATATTTTTCAGAATGTATCCCCATCAATAAGCAATGCATGATGGTATTTTGACACCATGATATCAATTGCTCCATTAAGATGATTTCAGGCCATGTATAATCCAGACTCTTCAAACAATCCAAATTCAAGATAAAAACAGAATTATAGAATTACATTCCCAATAATGAATAGTAGTCCTCTTTCAGTAACTCTTGTCCCTGAAATTGGGAAAAGTTTAAGTCATACTCAGAAGTGTCTTCTTAACTATTCATAAGAATTCTGGGCCCCTGCCCAAAATAAGTAAACAGACATGTTTTGGATAAGTTTTCTTTTATCGTTAGGAGTTTACTTGTGTTTTGTTTTAAATCCCCTTTCCCTTTATGCTTTCCATTGCAGAGGTATTCAGTGAGATTAGAGAATCTACCTTATTATTATTAAATATTTTTTCCTTGGGCTCAAGATCACACACGTTAAGACCATAAACAACTGCTTCTTATTGCTTCCTAAGGCCTTAGTGCAAGTTCCTTACTTCCAATTGCTGTTACCTTCTACTGCTGAAGCTCCTGATACTGAGAGCCAGCACTACCAACTCTCTCTTCCTTTAAAATACAGTTTTATTCCAATGCAGTGACATCCTTGAGTCTCATTCTTTGTTTCTGGATTGCTGTATATATGTATGTGTTCATTTACTTAGTGCCGTGATAATCTTAAAATGTCACACACAGACTCTTGTCTGCAATAGTCACATTATCAACATGACCAGAACTTAATCTAGAAATCCTGCTTCATTTATCTTAAAAAATAAAATAGATTTATTTAAGAAAATTTTTCTATCCATTTATGGGACATCTCAAGGTTTATGTCCAAATCTTAGTACTAGAACAATTTCTTTCCCTTTCACTATGTAAGTTTGCTTTTCTTCCCATGGATTTATTATAAAATATCCTTTTAAATCAAATGTTTTACTTTTTTGTAAATTTTTAAATTAAAATTTATTTAATGTTATTTTTAACAGAAGAGATATGAATATTTCCACAAATAAAAGATCAGTAACAGCCACAAATCAAAATGAGGAAAGCTTGATAAAAACTATCATACCTTCTTCTAACAGTTTATTAGTAACTATCTTATGATGTTGCTAGTAAAGAGAGGAGTTGTTTCAAGTTTCAATCAGACAAAAATCTTAATTTTTATAATATATTTCTGCTAGTAATAGGAGTATTCAAATGCTGCCTTTTCATGACAAAAATTATCTCCCCACAGTGATTTGTGCCTCCAGTCACAGTGATATTTGAGTCATTAGACAGGATTTTACTGCAATTCTTTCTTATTTTCACCAACACCATCATCAAACCTCTAAGATTCTACAAAGATCAGCGGACTTTTAAAATTTAATTACAATCTAAAAGTTATATTCTGACTGGAGGTAGAGAGAACGGACAATTCTGGTCAGCAAATGAATTCAAATACGCAAATGTACACATTTCCAGCTTTGGGCAAGAAAATGTAAGCTATTTAATTCCAATCAACAAGTAGTAATTTATCAAAAAAAAAAACATTCTTAAAGATGATGTTTCTGTGATTGTCTAAAATTCAGACTGAAGAATGGGTCAATGTCTCTTAAGCAAGATGAAATATCATAGTTAGCCCAAGTAAACTTGTTTTTAGAAGGAACAATTTATACGTCAACAGAGATAGGGATTAGTGTAGTCCTTTCGTAATGCCAACACTCCTATCTGCCAAGCCGGAAGGGTTGTAAATGAATGTATGTCTGATAAATGAGTCTAGAGAAAAAATGTCTGGCATCTTTGCTCTGATGATGAGGTTCCAGTAATTCCTGATTCCAGTAAATCTACCAATTACTACTTTGAATCAAACTAAACAGTCTACAGAACTGAAAGACTGACACTTAGAAAGAAAGCAACATACAGTAATTGATCTATCTAAGTATTTGTTGCAAGTTTTACCCGCAAGTAAACAATTGGGAGCACTTGGGGGTGGTAAAGTAACCTAAACCATGAGTAAACAGTGCACTAAATGTTTGTTTGTTTGTTTGTTTGTTTATTTATTTATTTATTTTTTGAGATGGAGTCTCGCTGTGCCACCCAGGCTGGAATGCAGTGGCAGGATCTCGGCTCACTGCAAGCTCCGCCTCCCGGGTTCACGCCATTCTCCTGCCTCAGCCTCCCGTGTAGCTGGGACTACAGGCGCCCGCCACTATGCCCGGCTAATTTTTTGTATTTTTAGTAGAGACGGGGTTTCACCATGTTAGCCAGGATGGTCTCGATCTCCTGACCTCATGATCCGCCCGCCTCGGCCTCCCAAAGTGCTGGGATTATAGGCGTGAGCCACCGCGCCCGGCCAAATGTTTAAAACAGACTTCAGAGATGAATAGTTAATATTTTAAACACAAATGATTCTAAGGGAACTACACGTTCTTTTTTAGTTTTGCAGACAGTTCCCAATCTCTCTTTGAACTGAGGGCCACTTTACTCTTCTCAATGACAATAATGTAGCATCTTGTGGGATTACAACTTAGATAGCAAATTTGTGAGTATGTTGTGTCAAACAAACTTTTAAGCAGTTTTGTAAAAAAAAAATGTATTTTTTACACTTTTCTTTGCGAACATGACAATTCTTCTATTTTGAAATATGCAATAAATTATGATTAAAACAACATAATAACAGACAAAATTATGCTATAAACATCAATGTGTAAATAAATATGTATATGTATTTGAGAGAATTATCTCATCAGTGATGAATCTAAATTCTAAGATCCTGATAGGCAAACAAGTAGAACAAATGTAGAAAGTAGAAAGATGGTATCTGTCACGCTGTTTATTTTGGAATAGAT
Source organism: Homo sapiens (assembly GCF_000001405.40). NCBI lineage: Eukaryota > Metazoa > Chordata > Mammalia > Primates > Hominidae > Homo > Homo sapiens. The sequence continues at coordinate 161,152,173 of NC_000004.12, read as the reverse complement.
TTTAGCAAATGCGTGCACACACACACACACACACAGACGCACACACGCAGGCAAGTGATACAATGACAATACTAATACCAAAACAACTTGTTAAAAGCAGACCACTTATATGGGACTGGTAATTTTCATTTGAACTTGCCAAAATATTTTACTAAAACATGTTTCAAAAAATGTGTTCTTAGACATAGAAACAACTTACCTGATTGCCAATGAGTTATTTAATTGGTCATCTAAATTAAACTTCACCTTCCTTACTAACAGAAGAGTAGAAAAATGAGGAATTTTGGTTGGAGTAACTTGGTCTACATATTTGAAAGATTTCATCTTTATTATATATATTTTGGAAAAATCAGAGATTTTATTCATTCTTATCTAATCAAACATGGTAATTTCAAGATGATGGGATTAAACAATATACACATGCCATTATTTGAATGCAGGAAACTATCGTACTGATGTGTATTTCCTGCTGCCCAGGCTGGAGTGTGGTGGCACTATCACAACTCACTGTAGCTTCAACCTCTCAGGCTCAAGTGATCCTCTTGCCTCAGCCTCCTGAGTAGCTGGGACTACAGATGCATACAAACACACTTGGCCATTTTTTAAAATTTTTTACACAGAGTCTCACTATGTTGCCCAAGCTGGCCTTGAAATTCTGTCCTCAAGCAATCCTCCTGCCTTGGCCTCCCAAAATGCTGAGATTACAGACATGAACAAAAATGCCCTGCCCTGATGTGCATTTTCACAGTGAGAAAATATCTGAACAAACTCACAATAATCTGCTTGTAAAGCTATATGAACAATTTAAACTACAAAGTTGAAAATCGATCTCATTATTATTTCAACTACGTTAAACTTTTTTCTCTGTCTTTATTAAGCGACAGTGTTATATCAAAAGATAAACCAGAACCTTGAAGATCATCCATTCCATTTCTCTGAACTTCCCACTGCAAAATCCAATCTATTTTTATATTATGTCATTTTCATCCCCCTGGTGATTATTTATAATAGTGATATCTCATTTGGATGTCTATTATTTTCTTCAAATCCAGCCTTATTCCCCTCCAGTTAATCTCCATACCATGACAAAGTTGCATTCCAAAATGCAAATTAGATAATATCACCTACTGGAATAATTTATCAACAGTTATTCAAAATCTTAAGCAAAATTATCCCAAGACCTCAAAATCGCATCCATTTTCTATCTCTTCAGCTTCGCCCCTTTCAACTATTCTTGTCTTTGTGTCCTGTGCTGCAGCTACACATAATGCTTTCATAGTACTCAAATAAGCGATTTCCTCTTTCACCTCTCAGTCTTCTGATACATTCAGCCTTTTGTCTGGATCAGTGCTGCTCAGAGATGGTCTAAAGTAGTTTGCTACCAATCCATCTATGATGCTATAAGGAGCTTGCATCAGAATATAAATCAACTATTTACATCTTCTACAATTCAGCTGAGATGGCACTTATGTACATATGGATACGTATATGCAAACTCTCTCACATATGTATAAATATAAGCACTTTTACATTTTATGTGGGTATACATATTTACATAATGCATTAAATATAAATGCATAGGTATGTATACACAGAATATTATAACATTGTAATTGTCATGTCTGGTACTTAACTGTGGATACCTTTAGGTTTGGGAGTGGCCATGTTACGGGGCATTTTTGTTAATTTTTATAACACAATAATTTTTCATTAACAGATAAATTTGGGGAGTTTCCTGTTAATATCCCTTTGAATTATCTTTCTACTTGGATCTCTCTACCTCTGCTTTAAGGACAATAACTTTTAGATATGCTTTTTTGAGACTATTTTCTAGATCTTGTAGGCATGCTTCAGTCTTTTTTATTATTTTTCCTTTGTCTCCTCTGACTGTGTATTTTCAAACAACCTGTCTTCAAACTCAGTAATTCTTTCTTCTTCTTGACATATTCTGCCATTGAAACACTGATGCATTCTTCATTGTGTTAATTGTATTTTTTCAACTCCAGAATTTCTGCTAGATTCTTTTTAATTATTTCAGTCTCTTTGTTGAATTTATCTGATAGGATTCTGAATTTCTTCTCTGTTTTATCTTGAATTTCTTTGAGCTTCCTCAAAACAGCTATTTTGAATTCTCTGTCTGAAAGGTCACGTATCTGTCTCTCCAGAATTGGGTCCATGGTGCCTTTCTTGTTTAGTTGATTTGGTAAAGTTATGTTTTCCTGGACTGTCTTGATGCTTGTGCATGTTCATCAGTGTCTGGGCATTGAAGAGTTAGAGATTTATTGTAGCCTTTGCAGTCTGGGCTTGTTTGTACTTGTGCTTCTGGGGAAGGCTTTCCAGGCATTAGACGAGACCTGTGTGTTGTGATCTTCATCTTTGGTCACCGTAGCCGTGTCTGCACTGGGGGCACCCCAAGCGCAATAATGCTGTTGCTCTTGCAGACTCTTAGATGCACCGCCTTGGTAGTCTTGGGTAAGATCCTGGAGAATTCCCTGGAGAATTTTGCCCTGGCAGTCTTGGGTAAGATCCAGGAGAATTCCTGGATAATTTTTGAGAGAAAGTAAGGGAAGAGAACAAGAATCTCTGCCTCCAGGCTTTCCCTCAAAAAAAAAAAAAAAAAAAAAAAAAGTCTCTCTCTGTGTGTGTGCTGAGCTTCGTGGAGCTGGGGGAGTAGTGACATGAGGACCCTTGTGAGCACCACCACTGGGACTGTGCTGGGTCACACCCAAAGGCAGCACAGCACTGTTTCTTGCCCAAGGTTCATGGTGGCCACTTCCTGGTTACCACCTGTGTTTACTTAAGGTGCAAGGGCTCTACAGTTAGCAGGGGGTAAATCCAGCCAGCCTTGTGTTTTTCCTTTCAGGGTGTTGAGATCCTTCTGGTCCGAGGTGGGCCAAGATATGCCATCTAAGATCCAAAGCCTGGAGTCAGGACCCTTCGGAGTAGACCTGATGCTTGGGTCTGCTGCTGCTGAGCTGGCACCGATGCCATAGGATGAAGTCCTTCTCACTCTTTCCTCCCCTTCCTTCAAACAGAGGTGTCTCCTTCCCTGGCCACCACCGTCCCAGGCCCACAACAAGTACTACCTGGCTACCACTTGTGTTCACTCAAGGCCCAGTGATTTCTCAGTCAGATTGTGGATAATGCTTCCAGGCGTGATTCTCTCCTTTCAGGGCAATGGGCTCCCCTCTTACCTAGGGCAGGTCTAGAAATTAGAAATGCCATCCAGGAGTCAAAGCCTGGAATTGGGAACCACAGGAGGCTGCTTTTTACTCTCTTCCCCTGTGGCTGAGCTGGTGCCTAAGCTGCAAGACAAAGTGCCCTTTACTTTTTCTTCTCCTTTAGTCAAGTAGAAGTCTCTCCCCATAGTCACTACAGCAGGGAATGTGCTGGGTTACATCTGAAGCCAGCATGGCTCTGAGTCTCATCCAAGGCCTGTGAAGAGTACTGTCTGACTACCACTACTAATTATTCAGAATCCAAGGCATTATACTCAGCAGATGATGAATCCTGCCAGGACTGGGTTCTTCCCTTCAAGGCAGTGGCTTCCTTTCTGGCCCAAAGTGTATCTAGAAATGTCATTGGCAACCTAGGGCTTGGAATGGGGGCCTCAGGATTCTGCCTGGCATCTTATCCTACTGTTGCTGAACTGGCATCTATGTTTTAAGACAAAGTCCTCTTTACTCTTCCTTCCCTTCTCCTCAAAGAGAATGATGTAATCTCTCCTGCAGGTGTGAGCTGCACTGCCTGGGGTTGGGAGAAGGGTAATGCAAACACTCCCTTCTCTGCCCTGTCTGATTTCTCATTAGGTTATGTGCCCTCCAAGTCCACTGGCTCCAAGCCCAGCACAGCACCAGGATTTGCCCAGGAATTGCAGTCTTTGTGGCCTAGACTGAATTTCAAGTTTATTTAGGACTCAAAAACACTTTAGCCTGCGGTGGCAGGGCTTGCCAGAACTCAGGGTTCAAACACTGGGATGGGTGTTTTGCCTTTGGCTAGGGCTGGTATAAATGTTTCACCCATGATTTCCAAGTCAGTTCTGCCCTCTGTTGCTATCTGCTGTGACAGGGCAGCTCTGAGTTCTAATGCAAAGTCCTACAGTCAATGTACTCTTCCTCCCCGAAGTGCAGATTCTCTTGCCATGTAGCTGCTGCTGAGGATAGGGGAGGAGTGACATAGACTATTCAATACTGACTTTCCTAGCCTCTTCATTGACTGTTTCTTTGATATGATGTAACATCTAGGTACTGTGATTGCTTGCCTGATTTTCAGTTCTTATGAAGGTGCTTTTTGTCTTTGGCTAGTTGTTCAGTTTGGTGTTTTAGGAGGGAACCCTCACTGGAGGCTTCTATTCAGCCACTGTGCTCTATCCTTCATCATTTTTTTACCTGGGGAATTTCTGCTTAAATTTAGAGTATTAGATAAAGTAGACATCTTCCAAATCAGACATGTAGGTCCTGCCTATTTGTGCCATATTGGTGTGGCTATTCTTTCTGTTTATTGTTTTCATTCTTCCTGTTTCTTTCTTCCATTCTTCCTCTTCTTTTTTTTTCTTTTATGAAACTCCCTTTTTATACAGGCTAACCCAGTATAAACACTGTATCTTCCCTCCAATTTCTTCATATGGCTGGCAGGAAAGAGAGAGTAAAGGGGAAGGTGCTACACTCTTTTAAACAACTATATCTCATGAGAACTCTATCACCAGACAGCACTAGAAGGCTGGTGCTAAATCATTAGAAACCACCCCCATGATCCCATCACCTCCCACCAGGCCCCACTGGGAATTTCAATTCAACATGAAATTTGGGTGGCAACACAGAGCCAAACCATAGCAGAGGGATACACAGGAGAATTCTCCAGTACTGGTAACACTCTTATTTCTTTACTATCAAGTTTTATGGGTACTCAATTTGTAATTATTTATTAACCTGCAAATATAAGTGCCATGATGTGTTCATGAATATGTGTACATGAATACATGCATATTTTATAGTAAAATGATGATATATGTATATATGTATTCATTTATGATATACTCTAAGTAATTGGAGTTTAGATAGTAATATATAAGCTATTTTAGATATAATATCAATGCCATTACTTTAAAATACATTTTATTGAAAATAACTGACATACACTTGAAAATCATGAGAGTATAAGAAAATCTATTAACTGATTTGTGAAAATTTCAAGCAATGATATTAAGCAGTCTCAGTTATTCTCACATTAGGCAGAAAACATGAATGCACCATGTAAAGGTTAAGTTTCAATTATACAATAAAAGAGATTTTTACCAATATAAGAATAAAATTATGCATGGTCAATTAAGTTAAACAGAGTCAATGTGAAATTAAAAAAAAAGCCAGTATGCAGCAGCCAGACAATGAAAGAGAAGAAGGAGTATTTTTAAAAATCAAATGGAACACCATGCCAGTGATATTTACTAGTTGACTGAGCTATTGCTTACCCTTTTAAGCTCCAGTGATCTAAAACTGTCAATGTGGAGTTCAAATGGCTATCTTATTATCTAACCTCAATAACAAATAGTTTCTGCTGAAAGTCTGTATTTGCCAAATAACTTGCATAATTTTTATTATATAAGCTAAAAAATACACGTTATTGTGTTTTGTTATGTTTTTAGGTAATTAAACCTAATTATAAATGACATTACAGTTAGGTTATATTAATATTACAATTGATAAAACCCCAGGCAATTGATCCTAGGGATATTTGTACTTATCTTTTATTCAGTGTACTATTTGTGAGATGATTTATTACTGCCTTAGGCCTGAGTTGATAAAATGAAAACTCTGAACTTAGGATATACATTAATACCTTTTGGGGACCTGAAACGCTGTCTTCAATTTTTGTCCTAAGATCATAGTAAAACACACTAATGAAGGACATAGAAACATAAACAATTTTTTTTTCTGTTAATTCAAATATGATTGTTTCTCAAATAAATAATTAGAGGTGGAGACTGGAGGAACAAAGAAAAGAGAAAAATATGAAGGAAGGAAGAGAAAGAGAAGGAAAACAAAGAAGAAAATAAAGACAGGAGGGGAAGTAGTTGAGAAATAGGTGAGAAGCATTAGATGAAGCAAGTGGAGCTGAAGCAAAAACAACAGAAAAAGAAAGTGGAGAAGAAGGGAGTAGGAGAAAGAAGGAGAGGGGGAGGAGGGGAATGGGGAACAGGAGAACAGGAAGGCAGTAGAAGGAGAAATTTCAGAATTTCTTAAAGCTAGTCAAAAGATTAATTTACTGGAATATGTGATTTTTCTAACTAAATTCATGTAAATGGACAATTAAATATAGTAGTTAAAACATTTATTTTTGAGTGGCATGCCATTTCCAAATGAAGATAAAAATCCCCCAAAATCTATTTCTGATAAGTAATTGTTATTAACATAGCTAAACACATCTGTTTTTTGCATGCTTGTTTTTATTCATTGATTCTTTCAGGCTAATTGTAATACATTTTACCCCTCAAATTCATTAAAATGTGTATTTTTGTAAACATATTCAAAAATTTGTAAATTATTATTTCAGTTCTATAAATTTTTACTGCATACAAATCACTAGAATACAAGTTTATTCTACAATATGCGCCCTTAAGAACCAGGACCCTGAATACAGTTACATGAACAATCCCATGGATGTAATAGTAGCCCAATTAACATTTGTTAAATATAGAAATACATAAAAAAAAAACAAAAGGAAGGAAGAAAATAAGAAAGGAATGTAAGCTTTATATCTTTTTACCTAGTGGGTATTTTATAGATCAGTAGATAGATATGCATATAGTAGATATTGTTTTGGTAAATATAACATCAAGGTATATAATGTCACTGTGTTAGGCTTCTTGCATTGGTATAAAGAAATACCTGAGACTAGGTAATTTACAAAGAAAAGAGATTTATTTTGGCTCATGGTTCTGGAGGCTTTACAGGAAGCATGATGCTGGCATTTGCTTCTGGTGAGGCATGCTTTGTGAAGCATACATACAATCGTGGCAGAAGACAACGGGGAGCCAATATGTCACATGGTGAGAACAGGAGCAAGATAGAGAAAGAAGATGTCTCAGACTCTTAAAGAACCAAATCTCACATGAATTAACTGAGTGAGAAGTCACTCATCATCAAGGGGATGGTGCTAAGCCATTCAAGAGGGATCTGCCCCTGTGATCCAATATCTCCCACTAGGCCCCACCTCCAACATTGGGAATTACATTTCAACAAGAGATTTGGAGGAGACAAACATCCATACCATATTATTCCACCTTTGATTCCTCATATCTCATGTTCTTGTCACATTACAAAATGCAACAATCTCTTTCCAACAGTTCTAACAAAGTCTTAGCTTGTTCCAACATCAGGTTCAAAGTCGTAAATCTCATCTCATCTGAGACTCATCTCTTTCCACCTATTAGTCTGTAAAATCAAAACAAATTATTTACTTCCACAATAAAATGATGGTACAGGCATTGGGTAAATGCTCCCTTTCTACAAGGGAGAAATTGGCCATAGAAAGGGGTACAGGCCCCACACAAGTCTGAAAGCTGGTAGGGTAGACATTAATCATAAAACCTCCAAAATAATCTCTGTTGACTCCATGTCCTACATCCAGGGCACAATGGTGCAAGGGGTGGGCTCTCAAAGCCTTGGGCAGCTCTGCCCCTGTGGCTTTGCAGGCTACAGCCCCCATGGCTGCTCTCACACCTTGGAGTTGTATGTCTGCAGCTTTTCCAGGTCAAGAGGCAAGCTGCTCCTGGCTCTACCATTCTGGGGGTCTGGCCACAGCTTCAGCAGGTAATGCCCTGGTGGGGCTCTGTGAGGGCTCCAACCCCACAGTTCCCCTCTGCACTGCCCTAATAGATGTTCACTGTGAGGGCTGTGCTTCTGCAGCAGGCTTCTGCCTAGACACCCAGGCTTTCCCAGGCATTCTCTGAAATCTAGGGAGAAGCCACCAGGCTTCCTTCACACTTGTATTCTGTGTGCCTGTGGACTTAACACCACATGGAAGTTACTAAGGCTTATAACTTGTACCCTCCAGAACAGTGGCTGGAGCTGTATCTCAGGCCTTTAAGCTGCACCTGGAGCAGGAGCGACCAGGATGTGGGGAGCAGAGTCCCAAGGCTGAACAGGGGAATGGGGCCCCAGGTCTGGACCTAGAAACCATTGTATCCCTTAGGTCTCTGGGCTTGTCATGGGAGGGGCTGTCTCCAAAATCTCTGAAATGCCATTGAGGCCTTTTTCCTATTGTCTTGGATGTACTACTTGGGTCCCTTTTAGTCATCCGACTATCTCTAGCAAATTGTTGCTCCACAGCCTGCTCCATTCCTCTCCTGAAGATGCATTTTTTCCTCTTGGCCACATGGCTAGGCTGAGAATTTTCCAAATTTTTACACTCTGCTTCCCTTTTAAATATAAATTCTAACCTTAAGTAATTTCTTTGCTTCTGGATCTGATCATAGGCTGTTAGAAGTAGCCTGGTCACCTGTTCAATGCTTTGCTGTTTAGAAATTTCTTCCACTACATACCCTAAATAATCACTCTTAAGTTCAATCTTCCACAGATCCTAGGACATGTACACAAAACATCCACGTCAGTTGCTAGAGGGTAACACGGGTGACCTTTACTCTATTTCTCAATAACTTTTTTTATTTCCATCTGAGACCTTGTCAACCTGGGCTTCACTGTCCATATTTCTATCAGTATTTTGGTCACAACTACTTAACATGTCTCTAAGAAGTTCCAAACTTTCCTTCATCTTCCTACGTTCTTCTGAGAACTCCAGACTCTTCTTACCTCTGCTCATTACTCAGTTGTAAAGTCACTTTCACATTTTCAGATATGTTATAGCAATGCCCCAATTCTCGGTAACAGTAATCTCTGTTAGGCCATTCTTGCATTGCTATAAAGAAATATCTGAGGCTAGATAAATTAAAAAGAAAAGAGGTTTAATTGACTAACAGTTCTGCAGGCTTTACAGGAAGCATGATACTAACATCTTCTGGTGAGGCCTCAGGAAGCATAAAATTATGGTGGAAGGTGATGGATGGAAATGCTGGATCATATGGTTATTTTTATTTTTGTTTTCTGGGGAAACTCCATACTATTTTTATTTCATAATGGCTGTATTAATTTACATTCCTACCAACAGTTTACAAGGGTTTCCCTTCCTCCACATCCTCACCAACATCCTTTACTCCCTGTCTTTTCAATAAAAAAAAAATTTAGTTGAGGTGAGATGGTGTCTCATTGTGGCATTGACTTGAATTTCTGTGATGACTAGTGATATTCTGTGATGACTAGCGATCATTTTTCATATACTGTTGGCTATTTATCTGTCTTCTTTTGAGAAATGTCTGTTCAGGGCTTTTGCCCATTTTTAAATAGAATTATTTAGTTTGGGCCTATTGAGTTGTTTGAACTTCTTATCTATTATTAATCCTCTGTCAGATGGAGAGTTTGCAAATATTTTGCCCATTTTTCAAGTTGTCTCTTCACTTTGTTGTTTCTTTTGCTGTATAGATTTTTACCTTGATGTAAACCTATTCGTCAGTTTTTGCTTTTGTTGCCTGTGGTTTTGAGGTCTTACATAAAAATATTTTGCCAAGACCAATGTTCAGAAATATCTCCACAATGTTTTCATTTAGTAGTTTCTTAGGTTCAAATCTTAGATTTAAGTCTTTAATCCATTTTTATTTGATTTCTGTATATGCAGAGAGAGAGAGAGGGTCTGGCTTCGTTCTTCTGTGTATAGATGTTTAGTTTTCCCAGCACCATTTATTAAAAACTGTCCTTTCTCCATTGTATATTCTTGTTACCTTTGTTGAAAATGAGGTGGTTGTAAATATAGGTGTTTATATCTGGGTTCTCTATTCTGTTCTATTGGCCTGTGTGTCTATTAAGCCAGAACTATTCTGATTTGGCTATCATACCCTTATAGTACATTTTGAAGTCAGGTAGTACACTGCTTCTTTTCTGTTCATTTTGCTCAGAATTGCTTTGGCTATTTGGGGTCTTTTGTGGTTTCATACATATGTAAGGATTTTTTTCTATTTCTATGAATAACGTCATTGTTTTTTTATAGGAATTATGCTGAATCTGTGAATCACTTTGTGTACTATTGTTATTTTAACCATGAGTCATGAACATGAAATATCTTTTCATTTTGGGGTACTCTTCAGTGTCTTTCATCAGTGTTGTATAGTTTTCCTTTTGTCGGTCTTTGATTTCTCTGATTAACTTGACTCCTGTGTATTTTATATTCCTTGTAACTATTGTAAATGGAATTAGAATTCTTTCTTTTTCAGATTGTTTTTGAAATATATAAATGCTACTAATATTTCTATGTTGATTTTGTAACCAGTAAGTTTTCCGAGTTTGTTTATCAATTATAACAGTTTTTTGGTGGAGTCTTTAGGTTTTTCCAAGTATGAGATCATGTCACCTGTGAACAAAGCTAATTTGAATGCTTTCTTTCCAATATGTATGCCTTTTATTTCTTTTTCTTGCCTAGTTGGTCTGGCTAGGACTTCTGATATTAGGTTGAGTAGGAATCTTGAAAGAGTCTTGTTCCAGATCTTAGAGAAAAGGCTTTCCATTTTTCCCCATGCAGTATAATGTTGGCGGTGGGTTTGTCATATATAGCTTTTATTACTTTGAAGTATGTTGTTTCTATACTCATTTTGTTGGTAGTTTTATCATAAAACATATTGAATTTTAACAGATTTTTAAAGCATCTATTGAAATAATTATATGCTTCTGTTGTAGGTTTTGTTAATGTGATGTATCACATTTGCATATGTTGAACCATTTTTGCATCTCTGTGATCAATCCCAATTGATCATGGTAACTGATCTTTTTAATGTTTTGTTGAATTTGGTTTCTTAGTGTCTTGTTGGTTTTTGCATTTATGTTCATTGGAGATATTGGCTGTACTTTTCTGTTTTTATTGTGTCCTTGTGTGGTTTTGGAATCAGAGGACAGACAGCCTTATAGAGTGAGTTTGGAAGTATTTATTCCTCTTTAATCAGTTTGAAGAGTTTGAGTAGAAGTATTGTCAGTTATTCTTTAACTGTTTGTTAGAATTCAGAAGAGAAGCCATCAGGCCCTGGGCTTTTCTTTGATGGGAGTCTTCTTATTATGGTTTTTATCCTGTTACTCATTATTGGTTTGTTGAGGTTTTCTATTTCTTCATGGTTCAATCTTGATAGGTTGCATGTGTCCTGAATTTTATCTATTTCTTCTAAGTTTTGCAAGTTGTTGGCCTATAATTTTTCATGATAGCCTTTAATTTGTCTTTTACTTTTGTAGTCTCAATTGTTATGTCTTATTTTTTGTTTACAATTTTATTTGTATATTTTCTCTTTCATTTTTTAGCCTAAAAGTTTGTCAATTTGATTAATCTTCATTAAAAAAAAAAAGTTTTTGGCCCAGCACGGTGGCTCACACCTGTAATCCCAGCACTTTGGGAGGCCAAGGAGGGTGAATCATGAGGTCAGGAGTCAAGACCAGCCTGGCCAACATGGTGAAACCCCATCTCTACAAAAAATACAAAAAATTAGCTGGGCATAGTGGTGGGTGCCTGTAACCCCAGCTACTTGGGAGGCTGAGGCAGGAGAATCTCTTGAACTTGAGAGGAGGAGGTTGCAGTGAGCCGAGATCATGCCACTAAACTCCAGCCCAGGTGACAGAGTGAGACTCCATCTCAAAAAAAAAAAAAAAAAAAAAGTTTTTTTCCAAAGGAAATTCTGCAGAGTTTGTCTCAATTTTATTTATTTATGCTCTGATATTTATGATTTTCTTTATTCTTCTAATTTGAGGTTTGGTTTGTTCTTGCTTTTCTAGTTTCTTGAGATGCATAATTAAGTTGTTTATTTGAAGTATTTTTAGTACTGTTTTTGCTGTATCCTGTTGATTTTGGTATGCTGTATTTCTATTTTCATTTGTTTTAAGACATTTTTGATTTATTTCTTAATTTTCTCATTGACCTATTGGTTATTCAGGAAGTTATTCTTTGATTTCCATGAGTTTGTGTTGTTCCCAATGTTCCTCTTCATGTTGATTTTTAATTGTATTCCTTTGTGGTCAGACAAGATAGCTGATAAGATTTCTACTTTAAAGAATTAGCTAAGACTTGTTCTGTTGCCTAAGATATGGTCTATTCTGGAGAATGTTTTATGTGCTGATGAAAAAATATGTATTCTACAGTGATTTGGTAAAATATTCTGTAAATGTCATGTAGGTCTATTAGATCTAGCGTGTACTTTAACTCTGCTGTTTCTTTGTCATTTTTTGGCTAGATGATCTGTCCTTTACTGACAGTGAGGTGTTAAAATTCCCTACCATTACTGTATTGCAGTCTATCTCTCCCTTTATGTCTATTAGTGTTTACTTTACATATTTCATAGCTCTGGTGTTGGGTTTATACCTATTTATAATTGTTATAACCTCTTTCTAAATTGACCCATTTCCTCATTGTATAGTGACCTTCTTTGTCTCTGTTTATCATCCAATTTGTAGTTTATTTTATCTGATATGTGTAACTTCTCTTGCTTTTTTATTTTTTTGGTTCCCAGTTGCATGAGGTATCTCAACCCCTTCGCTTTCAGTTTATTTGTGCTTTTATAGGTGAGTTGGGTTTCTTGTAGGTGGCATATATGAACTATAGTTCAATCATATTTATTTATCCACTCAGCCACTTTATCTTTTAATTGGAGAATTGAATTCATTACATTCAGTGTTATTATTGATAAGTAAGGACTTACTACTGCCATTTTGTTGCTCATTTGTAACATTTTTTAATATCTCTCCTCCTTTTTTCCTGTCTTTCTTTGTGGATGAGTGATGATTTTCTCTGGTAGTATGTTTTAATTCACTGCTTTTTATGTGTTTACCATGACATTTACAACAATAGAGGTACACAAGTTATTTTAAAGACTTGTCAATTTCTTTCAGATCACAAAGAAAAAAATAGAAACAAAGAAAGAAAAAACTAAAATTCCACTTTACATACACTTCATCACTATCTCTTCCACATTTTGATTTTTTGTTCTCTCAAATTATATATTTTTATAATGCCTATCTCTTAACAAGTTGCTACAGCTATTATTGTTTTAATAGATTTATCTTTTAGACCTTATGCTACATTTATGCACTGATTGCACACCACAGTTATAGTATCAGAGTATTTTGGGCTTGTCTGTGTACTTTCTTTTACCAGTAGGTTTTATATCTTCAAATGTTTTCTTTTACACATTAGTGTTTATTTTTGTTTTTGTTTTTTGTTTTTTCTTTCAGACTGATGAACTCCCTTTAGTATTTCATGTAAGATAAGTCTGATACTGGTGAATTATCTCCTCTTTCTTTGGGAAATACTTTATTTATTTTTCATATTTTAAAGATAGTTTTGCTAGATGCAGTATTCTTGGGTGGCAATGATTTTCACCACTTTGAAAATATTATCTCACTTCCTCCTGGCCCATTCGGTTTCTGTTGAGAAGTCTGTTGCCAGGTATATTGGAACTCCTTTATACGTTATTTTCTTCTTTTCTCTTGTTGCTTTTAGGATGCTGTATTTAACCTTTGATAACTTGATTATTGCATGCTTTCTGGTCATCTTATTGGGGTTACATCTGTTTGGTGTTCTCTGACCTTCCTATACCTGGATATTTGTATCTGTCTCAAGTCCTGGAAAATTTTCTTATTACTTATTTTAACAAGCCTTCTACTCCTTGCTCTCACTCAACTCTCTTTTGAACACTAATAATTCTTAGATTTGATCTTTTGATGTAAATTTCTGTATCTTGTAGGTAATATTTGTTCCTTATTATTCTTTTTTCTTTTTTCTCCTCGACTGTATATTTTCAAATAGCTTGTTTTGGGGCTCAACGATTATTTCCTCTGCTTGATCCATTCTGTTGTTAAGAGCCTCTAAAGAGTTTTTCAGTTCAGCAATATATTTTTCAGTTCTAAAATTTCAGTTGAATGTTTAATCATTATTTAAATCTCTGTATTACATTTCTCCAAAAATTTTCTGATGTGATTTTCTTTGTTATTTTGGAGATGACTGAGTTTCCTTACAACTGCTATTCTGGATTCTTGTTCAGAGAGCTCACATAGAACTGTCTCATTAGAGTCAGTCACTTGTTCCTTGCTTTGTCCATCTGCGAGGTCATGATTCCCTGTTTGCTGTTGTTTCTTGCGGATGTACATCTATGTATTTGCCTTGAAAAATAAGTTATTCATTCCAGTCTTTTCTGTTCAGCTTGTTTTCACTTTCCTTGGATATTTTTGTTTAAAAATTCTTTGTGATTTCCCTGGTTATTGTAGTGTTGTATCCAAGTTGTTGCTTTTCTTTTGGCACTAGATGGTTCCTTAAGCACAGATTTGCCTTGGCTCTAGTGAATAACCAAAGTACTGCCCATCTTGAATTGGGGAAGTTCCAAAGGCTATATCATGCAGTATGGGAAGGCTAGCTAGGGATTTGTGCCCAGGAGGCCAGTGGAATGTACTTCGTATAGTGAGGTGCTGCCAAACAGCCACTCTGATTTGGCATCTCCTTTGGCTGAGTTATAGCGTAGTTTCCAAGGCTGGTGATGGTAGTCCCACTTACCCCCATTGTCTATAGCTGTCCTGAGGAAGATTTCTCCCATCAGGCAGTCACAATACTTCCCATGAGTTAAAGAAGGCACAAGTCTCCTGCCAGGAAACCCAAGAAGGTGGGTAAGCTGGTTGTCCACCTCCATCTCACTTTTCCCAGTTTAGAAACTATGATTTGGCCAGGCGCGATGGCTCACGTCTGTAATCCCAGCATTTTGGGAGGCTGAGATGGGCAGATCACAAAGTCAGGAGTTCAAGACCAGCCTGGCCAATATAGTGAAACCCCGTCTCTCCTAAAACTACAAAAAAAGTTAGCTAGGCTTGGTGGCGGGAGCATGTAGTCCCAGCTACTTGGGTGGCTGAGGCAGGAGAATCACTTGAGCCAGGGAGACAGAGGTTGCAGTGAGCTGAGATCATGCCATTGCACTCCAGCCTGGGTGACAGAGTGAGACTCCATCTAAATAAAAAAAGAAACTATGACTCAAGGGAATATTTTCTATGAGCTTAGTCCTGGACAGATTGGGGATAGAGATATCAAATATATGGAAGTCCAATTCTCTTACCATATGCTTGGACTGTTTTCAATGTTCTGTGGCCCCAGAAACAGTTTCCTTCTCATATTTGAGTTTGGGGATTTTGCTGGTGATAATCTCCCTGTGTTTATTTGGTTTTGGTTTTCTGTGAGGGAGGATGACCTTAGCCAAATCCCTTCTAAGCTACTATTTTGGAATCAGTTTCATTTATTTATTTATTTTCTACCTGGCTGCTTTACCTATTCATCTTCAAGTGAAGGATCACTCAGCTTTTGCTAAAACATTTTAAAAACATGGACATGATTTGTTTGAAAACCATACTTGCTTTTAGCACACTATTGCTGATGGTCTGAGTCTTTTAGCCTGAAATGATAATTCATGGCAATAGCAGTTAAAGATAATCAGTACCACAGAAGAATTCAGATGAATGCCTCTCAGTGTAATATATAATCATTTGTTCTTCAACTTGGAAGTCCTTGGCTGTCCTTATTGAGTTAGGCCTACTGGAGTAGTGTCTTGGACATGAGTCTTAATTTTTTTTTTTTTTTATCTACTGTCTCTGTGCCTAACTAGGTAAATTCTTTTATCAGAGAAAACACTGTTATCTAAGTATGATTGCAAATAAAAGCTACAGTCTAGGTTATTTCTGTAATCAAGTTGATATTTTGATAAAAAATGATGCCCATTATAATTTTTTATGTTTTAAACTTAAAGAAAGTTGATTCCCCTGCCCCCAAGTTAGAAAATGTACACTCATGACAATAAAGACGAATCTCAAAGAAAATCTGTATCACAGGACTAATCAAAGTGGATGTGATTTATATGAGAAAAGGCAAATTTACATAGGGAAAACAGTGCCACATTATCCATGCAATAAAACATTAAAGGGATAGGAAATTATCACAATAAGCTAAGAAAAATGAGATGAGTTAAAAAGGCTTTTAATCACATTTAAGGGAACACAAATACAATTTGTTAATAGAAACATGACAGAAATACATTGAAGAGGAAGAAAAATGATTAACTATGGGAGAGGGGCTTAATACAGAAAGAGGGGAGAGTTAACTTTACAATAAATATTTTTAATATAATTTTCTTTTGAGCCATAGAAATGTATTATATGAAAAATAACATTAAATTTAAATGAAAAAAGAACTAAAATATAGAAATCACATCAAGTGGTTCTATATTGATGTGACATATATAACAATGGATGCTCCCTATTTGTATGCAAGCTTATTTAATTTTATTGTGCTTACATATTTTTGTCTGCATGTCTTTATTTATGCTTTTAATTTTTTTTCCCTTTCTATCCTTTAAAGTATTTTTTGAAATACTTCGTTGCTTGTTCAGAAAGCAACTTATATTTAATTATTTCCATAATGGTGATGCTTTTTAATTACCTTTTACAATACTTAAGGTCAATTTCTGTTTTACTTGTTGTAATAAAGATTTGCCATGCATAACTTCTTTTACCTAAAATAAATTGTAATTAACAGTATTTTGTTCTGCAGTTGGGTTTATCAGAATTTTAAATGTGGGAAATGTTTAATATATGCAGTGGGGTAGGCAAAATAAATAGAAGGAACAATCAATTTCATTGATTTTGGAACTGCAGAAAACCCAACCTCCAAGAAATGTCAGATAGAACATCTTTTGGCTTTGTTTCTTGCTGTTTGTATTTTCCTCAAGTTTCTCAGAGCAATGTTTGGTTTTGTATAATTACTTTTAAAAGTTGTATGTTTGCCTCAATCTCATGCTTTTTATAGAATATTTTTCCATCAGAGAGATCACTATAAAATACCTTTTGAAAGTGCTATAGGAATGCTAATCATAATTTGGGCACTATTTAGAAAGCTCTTTCAAGCATTAAGTGTCTTTTTTCTTCCCCCTAGCTTTTAACTAATTTGCCAAGATTTCTTGTTTTCCACTTTTAAAGTTTATTCACCCTTCTCTTTTATAAAAACCAATATCGGTTTAAAACTAACAGTGACCAGTAGTACTCTTAGGATCTGTTGGTCAAGAGGCACACACAGTAAATAAAGACAGCATTGCAGCAATACCATGGATATTGTTTCATTAGTATTTGGGAGCAGTTATTGCTTAACTGTATAGAAACATGTTTATTAAGCTCACTGACAGCTTAGTACACCTCCTTTAAAAATAGATATTATTATTTTTCACTTCCTAATGTATTGTGCTTACATTTTATATATGTATTTTTAAAAGGAAAACGTTATTATAGCAGCAACTAGGTTTTTAACAAATATTACCAACTATATTGCATAATTTGTGGAATTTTGTGGCATTAAGTAATATGAAGTTACTCCTTTAAAGTAATGAACACATTGCTGAGCTTTATGCTCCCTAATACTAAGAAAGGGACACAGCATGGTGGACCTCTTTGAATTATGAAGGCAAAAATTGTGATATTTTGCTGTCCTGTTTTTTTTTTTTTCATTTCCTGTATTCCCTCAAACCTGTCAGCTTTCCATATGGCTCAGATTAAGAGAAGATGCTTTCTAGGTGGACTAAGGAGACAATAGTTTTACAGTTAAGTCTTTATAATTATCCACTGGATTAAACTGTCTGTAAAATTTTTTACAAACCATAACAAGTCACAATAAGAAAATCGTAGTCATGGCCTCTGAATTTTTGGAGTAAAGGTAAAATAAGTGAAAAAGACACCTTTTAAAAATAGCTCTAGCTATCACTCTCTGAAAGATACTAAAAAAAACTTGCTTTCAGGAAAAGGGAGACTTGAGCAGCCTATCATAAATTTAACATTATCTGATATGACTAGCCATGTAAATCATGTGACCCAGTAGCATTTTGTTATCTAGAAGAATAGTTATACAAAAGACCTTAACACATTTGGAAAAGTGTAATTAAATTTTAAGAACAGTTTGCTCATCTTCCAACCTATCTTTCCAATCTTGTCATTCTGTTGTCTCTTCTTCAACCTACATCTAAGATTTTATGTGTGTTTTTTGTGACAATTAACAGATCCCCAAAAATCCAATACATGATTTCTGTGTAGCATGGCGTTGGTCCTGGCTTAATGGGTTCCAGATGGCCATGAAGAAGGAAAACTCCACCGTGGGCAGAACTTCAACTATTATATTACATTTCCTACTGTGCCTGAAAGGAGAAACACTAAAAAAATAGATCTCTTACAATTTACAACAGGGAGCAAAGGTTTGTTCTGAAAGATTGAAAGCGTGTTTGTCCATTGTAAGGCTCATTGGTGATGTCAAGTCTGGAGGAGGCCCTTTATTACTGGGGAAAATGAACACAGTAAAACACTTGTGGATATTAGTCAGTTATCAAGGGCTTCCCTATCAGTCTCATGAAGTGGATATGGTGGAACTGTTGCAGGTTAGATATTTAACCATGAGTTTAAAAACATATTCTTCACGCCAAAATCATTTGCAACAGGAGCAAAAATTGACAAACGGGATTTCATTAAACTAAAGAGCTTTTGCAAAGCAAAAGAAACTATCAGTAAAGTAAACAGAGAACCTACAGAATGGGAGAAAGTTTTTGCAAACTATACATCTGACAAAAGTCATTAGCATCTATAAGGAACTTAAATTTATAAGAAAAAAACAACTCCATTAATAATTGGGCAAAGGACTTTAACACTTTCTAAAGAAGACATAAATGTGGCCAACAAACTATGAAAAATAGCTCAACATTGCTGATCATATGAGAAATGCAAATCAAAACCACAATGAGATACCATCTCATACCAGTCAGAATAGCTATTATTAAAAAGTCAATAATTAACAGATGCTGGTGAAGTTGCAGACAAAAATAATGCTATACACTGCTGGTAGAAGTGAAAATTAGTTCAACCATTGTGGAAAACAGTGTGGTGATGCCTCTAAGAGCTAAAAGCAGAACTACCATTTGACCCAGCAATCTCATTACTGGATATATACACAAAGGAATATAAATCTTTGTACCATAAAGACACATGCATGTATATGTTTATTGCAGCACTATTCACAATAGCAAAGATACGGAATCAACCTAAATGCCAGTCAGTGGTGGACTGGATAAAGAAAATGTGGTACATCTACACCGTGGAATGGTATGCAGCCATAATAAAGAATGAGATCATTTCCTTTGCAGACAGACATGAGTGGAGGTGGAGGCCTTTATCCTTAGCAATCTAACACAGGAGCAGAAAAGCAAATACCGCATCTTCTCACTTATAAGTGGGAGTTAATGATGAGAACACACGGGCACATAGAAGGAAACCATACACTGGGGCCTTTCAGAGGGTGGAGGTTACAAGGAGGGAGAGGATCAGGAAAAATAACGAACGGGTAGTAGTCTTAATACCTGAGTGACAAAATAATCTGTATAACAAACTTCTGTGACACAAGTTTACCTGTAAAACAAACCTGCACAGGTACCCCTGAACTTAAAATAAATGTTGTTTTTAAATAAAACAAAAATATGGTCTTCTATTCACCAAGCTAACTTGGTTAAAAATCTTGCTAAGTACTCTTTTCAAGCAGCAACCATTAATCTTTGGCCACCTGCTGTTTAAAACCATGAGTAAATAGACTCAGGAAAACAACCTGGTTTTTTGGTAGCAACTATTTCAGCAAAAAGGCAATAATTAATACAAATCTGAAATTTGTATTTGTTTTTACTCATGCATGACATTCCTTTCTATAAAGATTCCCATTCCTTGAAGGTCTAAGGTGATGTGTGGGAGAGTATATTACTCCATATTTTATGTAACATTAAGTTACTGGGAACCAAATTATTTCTGCTTGGACTACAAAATTTTATAGATGTTTGTTTGCTTGTTTGTTGGTGTTATATGGAAACAGCTGCTGCAGCTGTTAATTTTAGCCTACTTTTCTCCTGGGACCTAGTTTTTATGCCCATGAGAGTTGGATGAAGGAATATTAGAATTATAGCCACCAGAATATAGTCACAATCACTACCCAATTTTGATAACTGAAGATCATTTTTTGATTAATTGCATTGTTCAGGCTATCTTATCTTTTAGAAATATTTCTGTCTTTTGTATTTTCTACTTTTTTATACCAATAGAGTTGTTTAATATATTCAATCTAGCTCAACCTTTAACGAATTTTCCCAGATGTGTAGAAATTTCAGATAAGGCTCCAGCTGGTACTCTTTCATATACAGGATTAGATGTGCTTATACCATAAAAAAAATGAGCAGTAAATCCAATGTTTTCCTATTGTATTCTTATAAAAAAGATTTTTTAATTATCAGAAAGTAGCTCATATTAATTTATTGAACAGCCATTTAAGTACTTACTTCATAGCTGGAATGTTTCAGACTCTGAGACTATGCTCAAAGATGGATCAAATGTAAATTCCATGTGTGAAAATATAAGAAATTTTTAAAAATAAAAGCAGAGATATAAAGTAAGAGTGAAGTCTAATGCAGTTATTCTGGTTTGGCTTAAAACACCTATTCAAATTTTCTTCTGATGTGACTTTCCTTTTCTGTAGAGGGCAGAAAACTATAAGGGAAATTTCTCCAATTCATTTTCATTTGATAACGTAAATGTGATTTAGGTCCCACATCAGAGACAAACACATTGAAATTTGAAATTTGAATGGAGATATATAGGATATGGTGCAGATATATTATCAATGTGGATTGTAGCAAATGTGGCATGGTTCTGGAGCCAAAATTTGTCTCTGAGGCTAGCTGATTTGGCAGAGATGGCTTCTTGATAGTAGAAAATGTGGCATGGTATAGACTTCTGCAGCTATAATAGCAGCTTCTTGATTTTGCACATGATGTTTCCTGATGGGAGGACAGAGTGCCTTTTGGAAGCAGTAACTACAGCTAATTTATGCAGCTCAGAATGGAGATAGTTCTAATATTTGTATACTCAATGAAGAATGCCTCCTGATTTGACCAGCAGCTTCTTGATCATGGCAAAAGAAACAACTCCTTTTGCAGTTTGGTTCTGCAGCACAGACCTAAGAGCAGATTCTGGAATTTCATTGTAGAATCTCCTTCAGCCATCTCAATTCTGTAAGCCATTTGACATACTTTTTAATACATCCCCTTCTATTCAAATTGTGTATAGTAGAATCTGTTCCTTGACCAATACAAAGTCCCCAAAAGAATATAAAGAACACAGAAAAGGACACATTTTAAAGACTATTTTTTACAGTAAATCAAGTTCTTTTGTTAAATAATAATTGGTCCAGATAATAGTGATTTCTCTCTTTTCACTTTAAGTTAAATGCTGCTTCCTTTTCTCTGTACTCATCTGTTGCCCTACCATCTAAAGGAAAGGTAAGAATAGAAACTACATTCAGCTACAACATCTGTGAGGAAACATTCTTTTGAAATGCAATATCATGTTTCTAATTTGCATTGTTTGATTCCTCCTCAATCTGGTGAATGATCTTAATTCAAACTAAACTCATTTCCCAGCTGATACTCTTATGTACATGCTCTTACTTTTTTCTTCTACTTAAAAAAAATCCTTTCTGCTAAACTTTCTTTTTTTAATCTTCATTCTTTTTTATTTTGAAAACATGCATTTTTAATATCTTAACATTCTTTGTTCTTGCAAAAGTTAATGTCAATCTCTAATTTGTTAGATACATTTTCTTTACTTTATAAGATTAAATATATAGAGTTTAAGATGTTTTCCAAATTCCTTTGTTTATAAAATATTTTATCTGCTTATTACTTTTCAGTACACTATGCAAATCAAATTCCCAGATTATTGAAATCATAGTTGTAAAAATAAACTGATTAACTTTAATATATTCATAAGGCCTTTTTATGGAAAAATTTTTTTAAAAGTCTGCATAGTGTAACTATAATACTCATCAATATTTAAACTGCAGTTCTAATTTGAAAACTAGGTAAAATCTCAACTGCCAACATTCTGGGCCAGACTCAGTAGACATCACTTCTCTTTATGTCAGTTTTCCTGTCTGTAAAGTGAGCTCGTGATAGTACACATTCTGTAGGATTGCTGTTGGGATTAAATGAACATACACACACATAAGTCCTTGTCACATAGCATATGCTATACAAATATCAATTGTGGTGGTGCTGCTGCTGCTTCAGGGAAGCTACCTTTGAATGAATTTAAGGAAAGTGAATATTCTTATATTACTAATGAGAATAAATACATGGTTGAGTGGCAGTAAACAATCAGCATAAATAGTGAAATGTGGCTTTATGATACCTGGAGCTCTGTTCTCACCACATAGTTTTCTCTTTCTTTAAACTTACCAGGTGCACTATAAACTAAAGCATGTGGTTTGGATCCATCACCAATACTCATTACCTAAGAAGGAGACTAATGTCTCTAGAGGAAGATGGGTCTAAGCTGGAAGAGCATTGCCATAAAATAAAGATAAAGTTCAAAGAGATCACCAAAGTAGAATTGTTGGGATAGACATATTGAGATTATCTTGAAAAACATAATAATTAAATGCAAAGGCATAATGAAGAGTACTGGAACAAATACATTGGAAGAGTATACTACTGAGCTAAAGAATTAGAATGAAGAATTCTCATAAAACTCATTAGAAAGCTTTCATAAATAAATAATTTTAAGAAAATGTTGCTAAGAGGCATGGAGATTACAAGTATTAAAATCTCAATAATAGGAATACCGGAAGGAAAGATAAGCAAATAGAAGGGAGAAAATAGTAGTGGTGGCATATTTTCCATAATCAAAGAATGATTTTAAAATCACACATTGAAACAATTCATAATGTGTCAACAGGTCACCAAAAAATACCATATCTACACTTTGATAAATTTGTAATAACTGTGGATCAAAAATCACATTGAGAAAGGGAAACTTCTTAACAGAAACGCTGGCTGCAAAAAAGAACCAAGAAGCAAAAAAACAACAAGAAAAGAAATAGGAAGCAAATTTTTCAGTGTTAAGACTACTCTCCATTTAAATTGTCATTTAGTGAAAAACGCAATAAAAATATCAGTTAAGCTCTCATGTTTTTCCCCAACAAGCTGACTTGAAAGAAATTTTGGAGAAAAGTTGAAAATTGAAAGATGAACATAGGCAAATTAAACATAATCAGAGAGCCAAACAAATGTAAATTAAAATATATGTATCTGAAAAATCCAATATAAAGTTGTAGAAAATGCCAATATGGTGTTGGGCAGAGATAAGATAACATATTGAAAAACTATACTAATGCTCTTGTCTTCCTTTGAAAATGTATATATTCTGATCAATTTTATAAATCAATAGTTGTAAAAAGGGCTCAAATATGTGTCTTATCTAGTTTCCAAAGAATTACAACATATGTAAATTTATATTCAGCAGGAGGAAATTTAACATATGCAAATGATAAACACATACATATACAAGTGAAAGCAGGCAAGAAAAATAAAGTACGTAAATGGAAAAGATGAAACAGTATCATAGAAAAAAGTTTAAAGTAATGAAAATATGGCTTAAATATATCAATGAAAGGGTGGAAACTTAAATTCACAAAAATAATTACTAATTTGTTGCTTACAAGAGACACTTTTAAAATAATATATAGAAATTATGAAAATAAAAGTTGAAGAATGTGCATGTGAAAAATAGAAATAATATTTTAAAGCTGGGTATGGAGAACAAAGTAGAATTATAATGGCTTAATTTTTGCTCTTTCTTTGGTACACTGTACCCCACTTGTCCCCTGGGTTTCCACCACTTGCTCGAAAGAGAGCACTTACTTCTAGCAACTTGCCTCATCATCTAATATCACCAACTGTCACTTGCTACCCAAGACTGGAACCTAGCTTTTGGTGCAGCTTCCATGAGATCTGCCATATTAGACATTTCAGTAGCTCTGTTACCCTGCTCTCATCATTCGGACTCACAGAGTACCTGGATTCTTTTGCCAGGTCCTGATTCTGATGCAGCACCACACCAGGAGTCATGAGATCCAACACCCCAGAGGCAGCTCATTTGGACCAAGTGACACATGATCAACACACAGAAGAGTTAACACAACATGAGGCAATATTCAAATATAAGAGGCAGAAGAAATGAAGAAGAAAGTGAATGGAGTATTCTTATTTCTCCCTTGATGGACATCTATTAGACATATTGGTTCACTTCCTGTGTTTTCTTCTGAAGCTCTGGTCAACTCAATAAGCTGCCATTGGCCGGGCACGGTGGCTCACGCCTGTAATCCAAGCACTTTGGGAGGCCGAGGTGGGCAGATCACGAGGTCAGGAGTTTGAGACCAGACTGGCCAACATGGTGAAACCCGTATCTACTAAAAATACAAAAATTAGCCAGCATGGTGGTGGGCACCTGTAATCCCAGCCACTCGGGAGACAGGCAGGAGAATCGCTTGAAACTGGAAGGTGGAGGTTGCAGTGAACCAAGATCCCGCCATTGCACTCCAGCGGGACAACAAGAGTGAAACTCTGTCTCAAAAATAAAATAAAATAAAAAAATAAAGTGCCGTCTTGCATTTGCTTCCACTACTTTCCTGTTTCACTTTAGTTTTCCCTGTCTGAGGATTGTACCTCCAAATAAAATTATATATACATACGCATATATGTGTGTGTCTATATGTCTATGTAATTCCTATATATACATAACACATATGTGTGTACATAAACGGCCATAGCCTTATTTTTCAGGAAATAGGGACTAAAACACTTAATACCAGAAAAGGCCAGAGTCATATTTTGGATCTAGCTTTCCCACTTGTTAAAACAAAGCAAAGCAAAACTAACAAACACAAAAACGGGAACTTATGCTTCTGTTTGCAATTTGAGTGAGCATAAAACTTGGTTGACAGATAAGGTTCAGATGAGAGTTGATACTTTGGCAGGAGGAAAGTTGCTATTGTACTTGATGGTAGAATGGCAATAATGACCTTATTATATTATTATTATTTTCTGTGAAGAAGCTGCTTTTGAAAGCAAGTGAAGCTTTGCAAAAAATTTTTAGGTTAAGAAGTGTTAATTAGCAACTTAAATCATGCTGTGAAAGTGAGAATGAAAAAGATGTTTAACTAGAAATTCTTATCCTCTACAGATAACGGACAGACCTTGGTGAACATTAGCTTCAGGATCTAATAATAAAGAATGAGAAGTAATCTAAAGCCAGAATAATTGTGTTATAATAAAGTCAGATCCCTGATGAAGTAGGAGAGAGAGCTTTAGTCTTAGTATGATAGCCTCAGAGTGTGGGAAATTTGAAAACCCAAATCCCTGTAAAACTCCTTGGCAAACAGTAACATCCTCTCCCCTTTTCAGAAGAGAAACAAAAACAAAACAAACCAGATTTCCTTGCATAGTGACCTCACCTGAAGGAGGCACCTTGCATGATAAAGTTTGTTCCTCTCAAGAACATCCAAACCAACTCTAATGTTTTTGTATTAATAACCAAGGTTCCGATTTAGCATCATTGAAATTGGAAAATATTGGCCGTCCTCCAGAAAAAAAAGGGATCTAAATTCTCCCACCATAAATTGAAAAAAAAAGCTTATTAAATATATATTTGAAGGAACCTGGATAACATGTATGGAGATGTATTTTTAGGGAGTTATACCAGAGCAGGAATAATATAAGAGTAGATAAGGGAAAACGCATTGAAAAAGGGACTTATCCCTTACTATACATTAAGTATTCTGGCAAGGAGAGACAGAGCTGTCCTAATACACTGCTGTGTTATCACCTTGAGTTCTGAACATAATGATGCCCTATAGTAAATGAGATTGAGATGTTGGTGTGTCCTTAATATAAGACCTTGGAATTATCAGGGAGTAAGTAGGGAATGTTGGAGTGGATTTACTGTGTTAGAAACTAAGAAATTTCCTTTTTTAAAGCTCACTAATATTTTATTTTATTTATCTATATCTATATGTACATCTATTTCATTTTGTATCACTATCTATATCCATTTATACATTGACAGGCACTTAAGTTGTTTCCAGTTCTTGTCTGTTGTGAATAATGTTGCAATGAACATAAGAGTGCAGTTATCTCTTGAAACAGTGATTTTAATTATTTTGAATATATAATGAGAAGTGGGAGTGCTGAATTATATGGTAACCCTATTTTCAATTTTCTCAGAAACCTTCATACTCATTTCTATAATGGCTATACCAGTTTATATTCCCATCAACAGTATATAAGCATTGCCTTTTCTCTACATCTTCACCAATACTTACCTTCAGACTTTTTGATAATAGCTATCCTAACAGATGTGAGGTATTTTTAAATTATATTTTCCTGATGATTGGTGATGTTGAACACTTTTTCATATACTTATTGGATATTTGTGTTTCTTCTTTGAAAAAATGTCTGTTTAGATCCTTTATTCATTTTTTTTAATTGGGTTATTTGGTTTTTCACAATTGAGTTCTCAGAGCTCTTCTTACAGTTTGGATATTAACTCCTTATTAGATACACAATTTGCAAACATTTTTTCTCATTTTGGGGGTTACTTTTTAAGTTTTTGATTGTTTCCATTGCTGTACAGAAACTTTTTAGTTTGATGTAGTCCTATTTGCTTATATTTGCCTTTCTTACCTGTGCTTCTGGTGTCCCATCAAAAAAATCATTGCCAAGACCAATGTCATAGACCATTCTCCTGTTTTCTTGGAGGAGTTTTGTAAAAACATGTATAAACATGAAGGACATTATGCAAAGTGAAGGAAGGCAGACATAGAAATACAGATACTGCATAATCTAATTTATATGTGGAATCTAAAGAGTTTGAACTCATAAAATAGAGAGTAGAAGGGTGGTTACAAGGAGTCTGGGGTGGGAGAAGAGGGACATGTTGATCAAAGGGTAGCAACTTGTGCTTATAGGGTGAATTAGCGCTAGAGACCTAATGTACAGCATGGTAATTATAGCTAAGAATAACATAATATATCCTAGAAATGTGTGAAGGAGTGACTTTAGGCATTCTCACCACCAAGAAAAGAAAAAGACAACTATGTGAGGTGATGGATATGTTAATTAGCTTGATTGTGGCAATTGTTTTGTAATTTATACATATATCAAAACATCACATTGTGTACCTTGAATGTTTACAATTCACATTTATCTATTATACATCACTAAAGCTGAAAAAAGAAATATAAATTTTCACCTTACTCTATTCTTTGGCAGGGCACGGAGATCACTATCTTTCATAAAGCAATGAAGAATGGACAGGTAAGGGGGCACCAGCATCTTTTGAGACATTTGCTGTTGGCCATCCTCTTCTGGTTAGAGTTAACAGTGGAAGATGTTGCCATGGAACCACATTCCCTAATTTTAACATGTTTTATAGAATTTCATAATAGCAGATATCAGGTTGTGGACTTTTTATTGTGATAGGTAAGATGGCTTTAATCCTTATGTTATAGTAAGGCTGGAAGTCTAACAATGTGCTCTGACTCTCAGGTCACTGTGTTAACCTAGAGTAGTTCATAATGTCCCTGGAGGTATGATAGGTAGGGTGTTTAATCAATATAATCAAAACAAAATGGAGAGTCAGTAAGGTCAGTATGTCAGTCATTGCAATGGGAAATAATGATTTTTCACCAAGGTGCTACAAATGATGCAATGATTAAAAAGCAGAGAAAATTATTTTAAGAAAAGACATTGTATTACCATCCAAAATGTTTACAAAAAATATTATTCTCATACTTCCATAAAGAAATCTGTGGCAATTTCCCCAGATAACTGTTCACTTGAGAAAAGGAAATGCCTACAAATTCAAGAGCGGAGATAAGGCACCTGACCTTACTCTGATACTAGGTAAATCACAAAGGCTATAAGAAATAATGAATATTTTCAGCTGTGCAAACTAAATACATAGCAGGGAATATATGAATAACCAAGCCATAAATCCATGTTTACACTCAAAATATTTGCCTCTGTGGAACCTCGGGTTTAGAAATCACATGGTTGACAAAGGCAAGCCTTTGGGATCATGCAAGGCAAGTTGATGGAAATGAGTAGGTTATAAGAACTTTCCTTCCTACCCCCATGTCCCCACAAAATGCCAACATTCTTGAAATATAGGCTTCATGAAAGGATAGTCAGCAGGTAGCTAGATTCCATGGAGATCCACTCAGTGAAAGGATAGTCAGCATTTCTAGCAGAGACACAGAGACACATACATACACAAATGTGTCTATGTGTCGTGTTTTGTCTGGAATTTGAATGGAGATTTTTTTTCAAAAATAATTTGTATATAAAAGCCTTTACCCATAATAATCTTCTGTTTTGTTTTCTTCTTGAAATGGAGTCTCTCTCTGTCACCCATGCTGGAGTGCAATGACGTGATCTTGGCTCACTGCAACCTCCGCCTCCCTGGTTCAAGCGATTCTCCCACCTCAGGCTCTGGAGTAGCTGGGATTACAGTCACTTGCCACCATGCCCGAGTAATTTTTTTGTATTTTTGGTAGAGACGGGGTTTCGCCATGTCGGCCAGGCTAGTCTTGAGCTCTTGACCTCAGGTGATCTGTCCGCCTTGGCCTCCCAAAGTGCTGGGATTATACCACTGCGCCTGGCCTCTGTCAGCATTTGTCAGTGTTGAAACAGTTGTCATGGAGGCCTGCCTGTTCAGCTGTTAGTGATACTTGGCCTGCCACACCATGACACAAGTTTACCTATATAACAACTTGTACATTTACCCCTAAACTTAAAAGTTAAAAAATTAATATGTAAATTCTAAAAACTCAGATAACAAGCCAATTAAGAGACAAGAGAAACAGCAAAGGAGTTTGAAGACAACTTTACTTATGACTATAGATGCAAAAAATCCTGAAGACAAATATAAACTAGAAATTACACAATGTGCACATTCATTAACACATTAAATGATAAAAATAATCCCAATAAATGAAAGAAAACATAATTTTTTCTCCTGTCATAATAATTTCTCTTTATGTGCTTCACCTACTAAAGGACAATTATCACTATCCTAAAGCAAACACTATTCTTAAGTCTGAACCGTTAGAACTATTTTTTAAATCACATATTAGACAAGTCCTTGATACTTACCACTAACAGTTGTTTTAAAAAATAATTAATAGTCAATAGTAAAGAAAAATAATTTATACTAACAATAAAATTTAAAAACCATATTGTTCATTCACACATGTAAACATATTTGCTACTGGGTACATCTTTCAATTAAATAAAATTTAACTTCCATAATTTTCCCTACACCTTAAAATTTTATGTAATTGCTAAAAAAACCTTTCATTGTTGTTTCACGTTCAACCAAAATAATTTACAATAACTGAGATCCTGTTGTACCTATGTGATTTGCATAATTAATTTCAGTACCATTCCTCTGATTTGGTTGTGTTATTTACAATAGTGTATAACTGCCTATTTTTCCAATGAGAGTTCAAAAAATGTGTCAACAAAAAAAATACAAAGTATTTTTGTCTAAAGACAGAAATAATAGGCTATTATCACAATCCTTTTACTGTGGTTTGGCTTTTTTTAGGCAATGCGTATTACAACATTCTTGCTGTTGGGAATTCTATAAATTAGTTGTTTGAACCTTAACTAATTATTTCCATTTTATTTTGATCACTGAAATGTAATGTACTTAATATAGCAACAAATGTACATGTTAGACAGAAATTATTATCTTCTATCTGGTATAATAGTCATATCTTTTTACTTGCCATCATAAATAAAATTTAAAACTATAATATATGAGATTGTATGTTCAATGAAATTATTTTAAAGAAACAAGAACAGAAAAATTTGTAAATTTCTGACTCTTACATGAATTTGTTCAAAACACTTATTTTTAAGATGGTCAGTTTATACTCAGAAAGAAATATTTTCTCCTGAGCTAGTACTTGAAATGAAGCTAGCACACAGGCAAACATATCTTATTATAGGGTCAACATATGCATTTCTTTAGTAGACTCAAAGAAAAAAACCTCTTTAATTAATTAACTTAAAATATTTCATCTTAATCAAGATATTTTAAATTGTTATTAATTACATTAAAAGGATTTTTAAAATAGTTCTGAATAAAACAGAAGTGTTTGTATGGATTAGTGAAACATTTTAAATTTTACCCCAAATACTGTGTTTTTTGAGAGAAAATAGGTTGAGTGTAAATATTCAGATGGAAGTTAATTAAAAATGGTCATGAAAATACTTAGATCAGGCTGGGCACAGTGGCTCATACCTGTAATCCTGTCACTTTGAGAGGCCTAGATGGGAGACTTGGGAGAGCTGCTTGAGCCCAGGCATTCAAGACCAGCCTGGGCAACATAGTGAGATCCTGTCACTACAAAAAAATAATTTAAAAACGTAGCCAGGCCTGGTGGTGTGCTAAGATAGTCCCAGCTACTGGGGGTAGTGTGGCTGAGGAAGATAGCTTGAGCCCTGGAGGTCAAAGCTGTAGTGAGTCATCATTGCGCCACTGTACTCTAGCTTGCAAGACAGAATAAGACCCTGTCTAAAAAAAAAAAAAATGCTTAGATCATTCAAGAATTTTAGGGATTTATGGTACTTATTTGATATCATGCCTAATTTTACTTAATATTTTTATGTAATTGAAAAATATGTTATAGTTTAGGTTGTAAGTTCTGACTTAGATATTTCTTGGGTTATTAGTGAAATGAAGTTAGAATTAAAAACCAAGAATTTTCCTTAATTTTGTGGAGAAAAATAGGAAACACTAGATGTAAAAGTGAAAAGAATGAATAAAATATTTGTACACATGTGGAAGAGAAATACTCTAAAATTAAATTAACTGATGCAGAGGGAAAAAAGGAAAGGGGCAACTTTTTTCTCGATTCTTTTTAACTTTCCTTCAATTCTGAATTATTTATGAAAAAAATAGTTTTAAAGATAGGATCTTAAAATCAAAAATAGTTACCAGCCTCTTTTCCCTGCTTCAGAACCATTTTCAGAGATAACCATTTTTTGAGTTTTTAATTTTTACTCATTTGATGATCAATTGTATAACTTTGAGTTATATACATTTTTTCTTTAGTCTATTGTAAAATTCCTTAGAAATAATACTGATTTACCACTAAAAAATGTGAAGAATGCAGTAAATTTCCCTGCTCCCCACTTCTGTGTTCAACTCCTGGTTTGTGTTAATTTTACTATGATTATTTCATTGTCAAGTTTTACAGCGTTTATCCTCCTTTTCATATATAATGAACTCTTCTGTGCTTTTTCGTCAGTTTAAAACTTGAAACTTAACTCTCTACACAACATTTACACAATTATAATAATGCAATCAATATTGTAGAGCAAGTATTGTGAATAATCCAATAGAAAAGAGATGTGAGTCTGTGCTTCAAATATTTGTTGCTCAGTGAAGACTTTGCCATTCATTCGGTCCAATGAATTTGCTTCTAATTTTTTTATTTTCTTTCTTAGGTTATCTTTACTCCCATGCCTTCTGTTTCCAATTTTACCTTCTTTGAAATAGATCTTTACATTTTGCTGTCGTAACTTTTTAAGTTTTTTTTCATATAGTTTGCTTAGATGACTAATATTCGTATTCTTTGGCTATTGGAAATATTCTAGATCGAATAATCAAACACTCAAAATATTTGCCTATATGGAAGCTTGGGATTTGGGAATCACATTGCTGACAAAAGGCGAAGCTTGAGATCATGCAAGGCAAGATCCCCAGTGTGACAGTATCTTGTCATGACTTGATAACTTTCCAGTTTATGGAATTATAAGTTCAAAAATGTTATTTTATTATAATTTGGAAGGTGTTGATTGATTGTTTGTAACCTTCATTGTTGATGAGAACAATGACGTTAGTCTAATTTTCTTCACTTCTTAGAGACGGAGTCTCGCTCTGTCGCTCAGACTGGAGTGCAGTGGCGCGATCTTGGCTCACTGCAAGCTCCGCCTTCTGGGTTCAAACCATTCTCCTGCCTCAGTCTCCCAAGTAGCTGGGACTACAGGTGCCCGCCACTACTCCTGGCTAATTTTTTGTATTTTTTAGTAGAGACTGGGTTTCACCATGTTAGCCAGGATGGTCTCGATCTCCTGACCTCGTGATCCACCCGCCTCGGCCTCCCAAAGTGCTGGGATTACAGGCGTGAGCCACTGCGCCCAGTCAGTTCAGTTGATTTTTGCCACCCTCATATATATGAGAATATTTTCTCTTCAATTTTCGGTCTCTGATATTTTATCTTAATCTGTTTCACCATGAGTCTTTGATCATTGGTTCCGTTCAACAGTCAGTGGATTCCATCAATCTAAATATCTATTCCCTCTTCAGCTCATAGAGAATATTTTATTAAAGTGCTTCATCAAATCTAAAGTGTTCTTGACTCTATATTATGCCATAGTTTGCGTAACATTACCAAAGAAAAAATCTGCCAAATGAACTACCACATGCCAGTGATTGTATCATCTCAACTTTAGAATTGTTAAAAATGTGAAAACAAATATATGTTCTAAAGTCAATGAAAATGGTACTTCACGTTTGTCTCTGATCTCTCCCTCTCTATGATTAGTTACATGCAGAGCCAGCCTTTAATCTAAACCCACATCTGTTTATTTTTCCCATTCCACCCCTTTTCTTATACTTAATCCTATGAGAATAACTTTGCTTTAAAATATGAACTCCACATTATTTTGTATATTTTTAAATTAAAACTTCATTAAATGGTTTACATTTTATCCTCATAAGAATCCCATTGCACCCCACACACAAAATAAATTCTGGATGTATTTCAGGCTTAAATATGAAGGGCAAAGCATAAAGCACAGTAGAAAAAGTATATAAAGGACTCTATTTATTCATGTTAGGTAAATTTCCGTAAAGAATAGAAACAATAACAAGAGAGTGACGAGAGACATAGGAAGCAGAAATAATAATGACGAGAGACATACAAATGGCCAAAAGGTATATAAAAATATGTGCAACATCACTAATCATCAGGGAAATGTAAATCAAAACACAAAACACAATGAGATATCACTTCACACATTGGAATTAAAAACATCAACAAAAGATACTTGTTGGCAAGGATGTGGAGAAACTGGAACCCTTGTAACACTGTTGGTAGGAATGCAAAGTGGTGCAGCCACTATGAAAATAGTGTTCCTCAAAAAATTGAAAATAGAATTACCATATTCGTCAACAATTGCCGCTTCTGAGTATATATCCAAAAGAATTGAAATCAGAATCTCAGAGATATGTGCACTTCCATGTTCTTTGCAGCATTATTCACATTGCAGCATTATTTGTATACAGAATCAACCTGTGTCTATCAATGAATGAATGTATAAAGAAAATATGATATATACATAGAATATTATTCAGCATTAGAAAAGAAGGAGAGATTCCTGGGCAAGATGGCAGAATAGGAACAGCTGCGGTCTGCAGCTCCCACCCAGCGAGACCAACGCAGAAGGCAGGTGATTTCTGCATTTCCAACTGAGGTAGCCGGTTCACATCATTGGGACTGGTTAGACAGTAGGAGCAGCCCATGGAGGGTGAGCTGAAGCAGGGTGGGGTGCCTCCTCAGCCAGGAAGCACAAAGGGTCAGGGAACTCCCTCCGTTAGCCAAGGGAAGGCATGAGGGACTATGCTGTGAGGAACAGTGCACTCCAGCACAGATACTACACTTTTCCCATGGTCTTTGCAACCTACAGACCAGGAGATTCCTTCGGGTGCCTACACCACAAGGGCCCTGGCTTTCAAGCTCAAAACTGGGTGGCTGTTTGGGCAGACACTGAGCTAGCTGCAGGAGTATTTTTTTGTACCCCAGTGGTGCCTGAAATGCCAGTGAGACAGAACCGTTCACTCCCCTGGAAAGGGGGCTGAAGCCAGGGAGCCAAGTGGTCTTGCTCAGAGGTCCCACCCCCATGGAGCCCAGCAAGCTATGATCCATTGGTTTGAAATTCTCGCTGCCAGCAGAGCAGCCTGAAGTAGACCTGAGATGCTCCAGCTTGGTGGGGGGAGGGGCGTCTGCTATTAATGAGGCTTGAGTAGGTGGTTTTCCCCTTACAGTGTAACCAAAGCCTCCAGGAAGTTTAAACTTGGCAAAGCCCACCACAGTGCTTCAAAGCCACTGTAGCCAGATTACCTTTCTAGATTCCTCCTCTCTGGTCAGGGCATCTCTGAAAGAAAGGCAGCAACCCCAGTCAGGGGCTTATAGATAAAACTCCCATCTTACTGGAACAGAACACATGGGGAAAAGGGCAGTTGTGGGAACAGCTTCAGCAGACTTAAACGTCCCTGCCTGCCAGCTCTGAAGAGAACAGCAGATCTCCCAGCACAGCACTTGAGCTCTGCTAAAGGACAGACTGCCTCCTCATATGGGTCCCTGACCCCTGTGCCTCCTGATGGGGAGACACCTTCCAGGAGAGGTCGACAGACACCTCCAACAGGAGAGCTCCGGCTGGCATCTGGCAAGTGCCCCTCTGGGATGAAGTTTCCAGAGGAAGGAACAGGCAGTAATCTTTGCTCTTCTGCAGCCTCTGCTGGTGATACCCAGGCAAAAAGGGTCTGGAGTGTACCTCTGGCAAACTCCAGCAGATCTGCAGCAGAGGGGCCTATTAGAAGGAAAACTAACAAACAGAATGCAATAGCATCAACATCAACAAAAAGGACATCCACATAAAAACCCCATCCGAAGGCCACCAACATCAAAGACCAAAGGGAGATAAATCCAAGAAGTTGAGGAAAAACCAGCGCAAAAATGCTGAAAATTCCAAAACCCAGAGTGCCTCTTCTCCTCCAAAGGATCACAACTCCTGGCCAGCAAGGGAACAAAACTGAATGGAGAATGAGTTTGACAAATTGACAAAAGTAGTCTTCAGAAGGTGGGTAATAATAAACTACTCCGAGCTAAAGGAGCATTTTCTAACCCAATGCTAGGAAGCTAAAAACCTTGATAAAATGTTGGAGGAATTGCTAACTAGAATAACCAGTTTAGAGAAGAACATAAATGACCTGATGGAGCTGAAAAACACAGCACGAGAACTTCGTGAAGCATACACAAGTATCAATAGCTGAATCAATCAAGCAGAAGAAAGGATATCAGAGATTGAAGATCAACTTTATGAAATAAAGCATGAAGATAAGATTAGAGAAAAAAGAATGAAAAGGAACAAACAAAGCCTCCAAGAAATATGAGACTATGTGAAAAGACCAAACCTACGTTTGGTTGGTGTACCTGAAAGTGATGGGGAGAATGGAACCAAGTTGGAAAACACATTTCAGGATATTATTCAGGAGAACTTCCTCAACCTAGCAAGACAGGCCAACATTCAAATTCAGGAAATACGGAGAACACCACAAAGATACTCCTTGAGAAGAGCAACCCCAAGACACATAATGGTTGGATTGACCAAGGTTGAAATGAAGGAAAAAATGTTAGTAATGGCAGCCAGAGCGAAAGGTCAGGTTACATACAAAGGGAAGCCCATCAGACTAACAGTGGATCTCTCTGAAGAAACCCTACAAAACCAGAAGAGAGTGAGGTGCCAATATTCAACATTCTTAAAGAAAAGAATTTTCAACCAAGAATTTCTTATCCAGCCAAACTAAGCTTCATAAGTGAAGGAGAAATAAAATCCTTATAGACAAGCAAATGCTGAGAGATTTTGTCACCACCAGGCCTACCTTACAAGAGCTCCTGAAGGAAGCACTACATATGGAAAGGAAAAACTGGTACCAGCCACTGCAAAAACAAACCAAAATGTAAAGACCATCGACATTATAAAGAAACTGAAACTAATGGGCAAAATAACCAGCTAATATCATAATGACGGGATCAAGTTCACACATACCAATAATAACCTTAAATGTAAACAGGCTAAATGCCCCAATTAAAAGACACAGACTGTCAAACTGGATAAAGATTCAAGACCCATTGGGGTGCTGTATTCAGGAGACCCATCTCACATGCAAAGACACACATAGGCTCAAAATAAAGGGATGGAGGAAGATTTACCAAGCTAATGGAAATTAAAAAAAAGCAGGGGTTGCAATCCTAATATCTGATAAAACAGACATTAAACCAAAAAGATCAAAAAAGAAAAAGAAAGGCATTACATAATGGTAAAAGAATTAATGCAACAAGAAGAGCTAACTGTCCTAAGTATATATGCACCCAATGCAGGAGCACTGAGATCCATAAAGCAAGTTCTTAGAGACCTACAAAGAGACTTAGGCTCCCACACAATAATAGTGGGAGGCTTTAACACCCCACTGTCAATATTAGGCAGATCAAGGAGACAGAAAATTAACAAGTATATTCAGGACTTGAACTCAGCTCTGGACCAAGTGGACTTAATATACATCTACAGAATTCTCCACCCCAAATCAATAGAATATACATTCTTCTCAGCACCACATTGCACTTATTCTAAATTGACCACATAATTGGAAGTAAAACACTCCTCAGCAATTGCAAAAGGAAGGAAATCATAACAGTCTCTCAGACCACAGTGCAATCAAATTAGAACTCAGGATTAAGAAACTCACTCAAAACCACACAGCTGCATGGAAACTGAACAACTTGCTCCTGAATGACTATTGGGTAAATAACAAAATGAAGTCAGAAATAAATAAGTTCTTTGAAACCAATGAGAACAAAGACACAATGTACTAGAATCTCTGGGTCACAACTAAAGCAGTATTCAGAGGGAAATTTATAGCAGTAAATGCCCACAGGAGAAAGTGGGAAAGATCTAAAATCTACACCCTAATGTCACAATTAAAAGAACTAGAGAAGCAGGAACAAACAAATTCAAAAGCTAGCAGAAGACAAGAAATAACTAAAATGAGAGCAGAACTGAAGTAGATAGAGACATAAAAAACTCTTCAAAAAAGCAATGAATCCAGGAGGTGGTTTTTGAAAAGATTAACAAAACAGATGGACTGCTAGCCAGACTAATAAAGAAGAAGACAAAGAAGAATCAAATAGACACAATCAAAAGTGATAAACAAGATATCACCACTGATCCTACAGAAATACAAACTACCATCAGAGAATACTATAAACACCTCGACAGAAATAAACTAGAAAATCTAGACGAAATGGATATATTGCTGAACACATACACCCTCCCAAGACTAAAACAGGAAGAAGTTGAATCCCTGAATAGACCAATAAGAAGTTTTGAAATTGAGGCAGTAATTAATAGCCTACCAACCAAAAAAAGCCCAGGACCAGACGGATTCACAGCTGAATTCTACCAGAGGTACAAAGAGGAGCTGGTACCATTCCTTCTGTAACTATTCCAAACAATAGAAAAAGACAGACTCCTCCCTAACTCATTTTATGAGGCCAGAGTCATCCTGATACCAAAACCTGGCAGAGACACAACAAAAACGGCAATTTCAGGCCAATATCCATGGTGAACATCGATGCAAAAATCCTCAATAAAATACTGGCAAACCGAATCCAGCAGCACATCAAAAAGCTTATCCACCACGATCAAGTTGGCTTCATCCCTGGGACGCAAGGCTGGTTCAACATACACAAATCAATAAACATAAGCCACCACATAAACAGAACCAATGACAAAAACCACATGATTATCTCAATAGATTCAGAAAAGGCCTTCGATAAAATTCAACACCTTTTCATGCTAAAAACTCTCAATAAACTAGGTATTGATGGAATGTATCTCAAAATAATAAGAGCTATTTATGACAAATCCACAGCCGATATCATAATGAATGGGCAAAAGCTGGAAGCATTCCCTTTGAAAATCGGCACAAGACAAGAATGCCGTCTCTCACCACTCCTATTCAACAGAGTATTGGAAGTTCTGGCCAGGGCAATCAAACAAGAGAAAGAAATAAAGGTATTCAGATAAGAAGAGAGGAAGTCAAATTATCTCTATTTGCAAATGACATGATTGTATGTTTAGAAAACCGCATCATCTCAGCCCAAAATCTCCCTAAGCTGATAAGCAACTTCAGCAAAGTCTCAGGATACAAAATCAATGTGCAAAAATCACAAGCATTCCTATACACCAATAATAGACAAACAGAGACCCAAATCATGAGCAAACTCCCATTCACAATTGCTAAAAAGAGAATAAAATACCTAGCATACTACTTGCAAGAGATGTGAAGAACTTCTTCAAGGAGAACTACAAACCAGTGATCAGTGATGGTGAACCTTTTTTCATATGTTTGTTGGCCGCATGAATGTCTTCTTTTGAGAAGTGTCTGTTCATATACTTTGCCCACTTTTTGATGCTCAAGTAAATAAGAGAGGACACACACAAATAGAAAAACATTTCATGCTCATGGATAGGAAGAATCAATGTTATGAAAATGGCCATACTTCTGAAATTAATTTATAGATTCAATGTTATTCCCATCAAGGTACCATTAACTTTCTTCATAGAATTAGAAAAAACTACTTTAAATTACACTTGGAACCAAAAAAGAGTTTGTATAGCCAAGACAATTTTAAGCAAAAAGAACAAAGCCAGACCCATCAGGGTACCTGACTTCAATCTGTACTATAAAGCCACAGTAACCAAAACATCATGGTACCGGTACCAAAACAGATATATAGACCAATGGAACAGAACAGAGGCCTCAGACATAACGTCACACATCTACAACCACCAAACCTGACAAAAATAAGCAATGGGGAAAGGATTCCCTATATAATAAATGGTGTTGGGAAAACTGGCTAGCCTTATTCAGAAAACTGAAACAGGACCCCTTCCTTACACCTTATACAAAAATTAACCCAAGATGGATTAAAGATTTAAACATAAGACCTAAAACCATAAAAACCCTAGAAGAAAACCTAGGCAATACTATTCAGGACATAGGCATGGGCAAAGACGTCATGACTAAAACACCAAAAGCAATGGCAACAAAAGCCAAAATAGACAAATGGGATCTAATTAAACTAAAGAGATTCTGCACAGCAAAATAAACTATCATTAGCATGAACAGGCAACCTACAGAATGGGAGAAAATTTTTGCAATCTGTCCATCTGACAAAGGGCTAATATTCAGAATCTACAAGGAACTTAAACAAATTTACAAGAAAAAGAATTAACAACCCCATCAAAAAGTGGGCAAAGGATGTGAACAGACACTTCTCAAAAGAAGACATTTATGCAGCCAACAAACATGAAAAAATGCTCATCATCACTGATCATTAGAGAAACGCAAATCAAAACCGCAATGAGATACCATCTCACACCAGTTAGAATGGCAATCATTAAAAGGTAAGGAAACAATAGATGCCAGAGAGGATGTGGAGAAATAGGAACGCTTTTACTCTGTTGGTGAGAGTGTAAATTATTTCAACCATTGGGCAAGACAGTGTGGTGATTCCTCAAGGATCTAGAAATAGAAATACCATTTGACCCAGCCATCCCGTTACTGGATATATACCCAAAGGATTATAAATCATTCTATCATAAAGACACATGCACATGTATGTTTATTGCAGCATGATTCACAATAGCCAAGACTTGGAACCAATGCAAATGCCCATCAATGTTAGACTGGATTAAGAAAATGTGGCACATATACACCGTGGAATACTATGCAGCTTTAAAAAAGAAGGAGTTCATATCCTTTGCAAGGAAATAGATGAAGCTGGAAACCATCATTCTCAGCAAACTAACACAGGAAAAGAAAACCAAACACTACATGTTCTCACTCATAAGTGGGGGTTGTACAATGAGAACATATGGGCACGGGGAGGGGAATATCACACACCAGGGCCTGTCGGCGGATTGGGGGCTACGGAGGGATAGCATTAGGAGAAATACCTATTGTAGATGACGAGTTGATGGGTGCAGCAAACCACCACGGCATGTGTATACCTATGTAACAAACCTGCACGTTCTGCACATGTATCCCAGAAATTAAAGTATAATGAAAAAATGGGAAAAAAAAGAAGGAAATCCTGTCATTTGCAACAAAATGGATGAACTTGGATGACATCACAGAAAGACAAGTACTGCATGATTCCACGTCTATGAGGTATCTAAAATAATCAAACTCATAAAAAGAGAGTAGTGTGGTAATTGCTAAGGGGTGTGGGGAGGGGTAAATAGCTAATTGCTCTTCAATGGGTACAAAGTGTCTATAGTTAAACACTGTATTGTGCAGTAAAAATTTTGTTAAAAGTGTAGATCTTATATTAAATGTTTCAACCACAATAATAAAAAAGTAAATAAATAAAACGGACAAACAAAAAGCTGGCCTCTTGCCTCACCTCTGGGCAATGATGGAACGTTTTTAATGAGTAAGCCATCTGGGGAAGTCAGTGAGCAGGGGAGTGTCTGGGCTGTATGGGCACTTGCAAGAATACCCACAGCTATTAAACAGTGAATTTTGTTTCCATCCTTAACATTACATATTGTTTAAATGACACACACACACACACACACACACACACACACACACACAGCTATAGTAAGTAATTTCTATAGTTAGTAAATTTCCTCTTCTGTGTCTTTGCCCATCTTCTCCTTGAAGCATGCATCCTTTTATTATTAATTGGTAAAATATCTGTATATATTAAAGATGTTCTTGTGTGTAAAAGACAGAGAGAAAGTGACAAGTTAATCTTCCTTAAAACTAAATTAAAATACAAATGTATATGCATGACCTAATGTATAAAAAACTAAAATATAAGGGCCGGTGTGAAATGATATGTTTATATATATCAAAATTAACAAAGAATTGGCATTGAGAATAAACAAAATATTCTTTTAAATGTGAAAAGTCCACAAGCCAATAGAAAACTGGTGAAAATATATGACTAACGAATTCACATGTTGACACTAAATATACATAAAACTGATTTTCCAACTTGGTATTCTAAGAAGTGAAAGTAAAAGTAATGCTAATTCAATCTGCACACCATTGTGTTGGTAGGAAAAGAAGAAGTCTAACAATGCCAAACATTGTCCAGAATGTGGGCAAATAGGATCTCCCTGGAAATGCTGGTGATAGCATTAATTAGTAAAAGCAATTTCAAAAATGTTTTTAAAATACTTAGAAAACTGGAAAAAGAATCTGTTTTACCAATAATCATTTTTATTTCTAGGAAAATAAAACATATTAGAACCTGGAGATTAAATGTAATGTTATATATTCCAGCATTCTATCTGGATCTACTAATTATTATTATCATTATTATTTTTTTTTCTTTTTTGAGACTTGGTCATACTTGTTATTGGTATCTCCAGCTGGTCTATTTTCCCACATAATTACTCGTGGAATGCAGCTATTTAAGATTATAATTCAATTCCCCACATCAATAAATCATTGCTGATATAACTTTGATAAACTGTTTTATATTAAAATATATTTATGTTATAGGCAGCTTATATATCATATGCAAATATATAATATGCATTGTTATATTATAAATAAAAATATGTTTATATTATGTTACTATAGAATAAATTAGCAAATATGTTAAAATATGTATTAAATATTAAAATATTTTTATGTATCATTAAATGCAAAACAATCTATTTATTCATAATTACATTTTAATTCAGTATTGCATTTATTCTCAAATTACTATTATAGATGACATGTACTATCTCCTCCCTATTGGGTTACACAAAGACATACTCCCGATTTCAAGACACATTAGCATAGCTCTCCTAAGCAAATCTGATTTGGTTCACTTAGACTTATTCAAAGTCAGTGTTATGAAGCTCTACTTACAAATAATACTAGCAAACTTCACAGTTATCACTGTCTCCTGATACAAAA
Source organism: Homo sapiens (assembly GCF_000001405.40). Lineage (NCBI taxonomy): Eukaryota > Metazoa > Chordata > Mammalia > Primates > Hominidae > Homo > Homo sapiens. Next base: position 161,110,321 of record NC_000004.12, on the reverse strand, counting down.
TGACACAAGTTAGAGAGTTTCAATCTTTACCAACCTATGAATAAAAGAATAAAAAATTTTATGGCTGACCCACTCTGGAAACAAATGTATTTTCCTGCCATATCTATTTTTCAGCTCATGAGAAAATAAGTTTGTAACCTATATTATCCTGCAGAACTAGCCTAAAACTTGTTCTAAATCCATTTTAACTTTTAGATGTAAACAAGTTATAAATAAATATATTTATTTATATATGAATAATTATTTTCACTTATAGCTCTGCCTGAAATCTCTTTAAACTACTTCCGAAAGTGAGAAATGTATCCGTGCTTGAAAATTCTCAAATTTCTTAAACTCTTAAATTCTGTCGTATCTGATCATATTTATACCTATTGACTGGTTGGAGCCATATTTTTGTTTGCACTGGGGAGCACTCCATTTATGACACTTGGCAAGTTTCATCTGAAATTGTCCAGATCTCAGATGTAATATCCCTGATTATCTTGTAACTACACCGCCATCGCCTCACTCAGGTTTTCTACTTCTTAGTCTAATTCTCATAATTTGTAATTTCTCAGAAATTTATTATTTCATTAATAACGTTCTTATAAGTGCATTGGCATAAGTCAAAGTCTATATTATTAATTTTATAATCTTAGGCTGGGTATAATTTGATTTTGTTATCATTGCTCAAGTTATTTGTTTTCTCTCTTGATTCTGAAATTCCATTTATTTTTATGCATTTCAAATACATGCCTTTTAATATTAAATATCTTATATATGTTAACACATTTCTCAGGAATTTAGAATAAATATTTAACACCCTTTAGAATATGAGAAAACAATCATATTTTCCTTCAAGATATCAGAGATGTCTTTTGGGGGCACTGGATGGCAGGATTCTACTTTGCTGAGTATTATGGCTTTTTGTTTTTTGTGGGTTTTATTTCTAGAAAATATGAGACTGAGGGATCTCATTACATATGAGGCACTTGCTCTCTAGTCATTGAGTAGGGGATGCTTTATTATATATATATATATAAAATATATATATACATATATTATATGTAATATATATGATATATATAATATATATATACACATATATTTTATATATACTTATATACTTACATATATATATATATATATATATCAGGCTGCATGAATCTTGGCTGTCTTTCTCCCACCCCAACTCACATATTCATTTATCTGCAGCTATCAGGAGCAAGGAGATTGGGAATTGACAATATGCAAGATGTGACTCTCTTGGAATCATACTGTATATGCTTTAGTACTCTTGCTCTTGAAACCTTTTCTCTTTCTTATTCCACACCTACTAATGACAAGAACTATTAATGCCTCTGGCACACACTGCTAGTTATCAATCCAATATCTATTATAGCTTTCTTCATTACTAATAGAAACTATAAAAACTTCAATTTAGTCCAGAGATACAATGGGTAAAGCTAAACAAAGAAAATGAAAACTATATATCAAGGACTCTTTTCTGAGAAATATTGCCATAGGACAAAATTTTGGCCACAGAGCTGTACAAAAATGGAAAACCTGTTTAAAATAGGGTCAGCTGACAACTCTCTTCTACTTTCATTTCCTTTTACTAACTGCCAATAACATGCCCTTGATTCCTGGACATAGAGGTGTATTCCTGAGCTCATAAAGCAGAGACACAACACTAATGACAGTGGAACAGAAAGTGTTGAGAAATCTACCACATTAATGAAATGAAATCCTGGGGCTACTGGATCAGCCTTATCTCTGAGAGCCTTGTCTTGGAGAAAAATAAAACACTCATTTGTTTAAGCTACTATTTGTTCAAGTTTTCTATTAGTCATAGCCAAATGGAATCCTGCATTTCCATATGTAATTTTTCTTTTATTGTTTAAAAGTTTTCTTAAGGTTTGACACAAGTTAAACTGTACATGGTCAAAATATGCAATGTGATATTTGTTACATATGAAGCCATTACTACAATTGAAATACATGCATCATCATTTCCAAAAGTTCGTTCACCTTTTTTATTCCCACTTACCCTGCAAAATCCCCATTCCAAGACCATAATTGATGTTCTTTATGTCACCATATAAATACTTTCCAAAGCAATTGTACAATGATACATTCTCATGAGCAGTGTATAAGAAGTTGAATTATACCACATTCTAGTCAAAACTTCCTTTTGTGTTTTCTTCTACATTTTCCATTTTGGTTTTACATTTGGTTATAGGATTCCTTTCAATTTAATTGTTTTATTTGGTGTAAGTTATGAATCAATGTTTATTTTTCAGTATAGAAAAATATCATTTCCCTGAACTGTTTATAGATAAGATTATTGTTTCCCCATTGAATTTGCTTTGCTCCATTGCCAATGATCAGTTGACTGTATATGGGTGGGTCTATTTCTGTACTATTTATACTGTTGTACTGATTGCTAAGATTTTAATTGGGATTGCTTAGATATTAATTGGGGATGCTTAAATCTATAAATCACTTTGGGAAAACTCTCCTACATACCTTTGCACAGTGTTTCCAGTTTTCTTAGCCTTTCTAAACTTCCAACTTCTATCCTTAATTTAGAGAGACTGCAATACTGTTTTGCTAGTAGTCTCTTTACTCTGTCTGCTCTATTTTCCTCTCTCAGTGAATACTGTTCTTTTGTATACATTTTTTATACATTTTATACACAAAATATACAACTGCTAGGAATTACATATTTTGTCTGTGTTAGTGTTGTTGTAGGGAGGGTAATTTTAATCCCAGATCCTTTATATTGATCCATTATACATACATTTCATTCAAGCATTTCATATTGAACTTTTATTCTCAGTAATATATTATCTGTTTTCTCTATTTCCAGGATTCCCCCAAATTTCTTGTCCACTAAGCATGGCATTTATAGCTTTCTGAAAAAGCTATAGATATTTAAATTAAAAAAATTAATACCATACATTTGAGTAGGCCAGGTAGAGCTAAGTTATGTGCTCAGTCCATCGTTTTGAAAGTGTATATATTAGAATGAACATATATATACACATATATTTGTAAATATTCATAGGCATAACAACATTCTGCTTTTGTGACAATTATGTCTTCTTATAGTTCTCATTTGATTCAAAACTCAGTAATGTGAGTGACTTTTTTACTGTATGTTTCAAAATCAAAAGTTAGCAAAGAATATGAGTTTCGATATTTTAATTTTAGTTATATATCTGCTACTAATTATCCGTGTGTATTAGTTGGTTCACTTAAGTGCTCTGGATCTGTATTCCTGCTTATGAGAGTTAAAAAGTCACTAAATTTCTGTCTAGCACTAAGTCACTAATTTTCCAACAGGAAATGGTTGATGATCCACTTTAGGGGTGAGATCTATCTGGCTTTATATTCTCCAACTGTAAGATACTTTCCTTTATAAAGATATAGATCTGTTGTTTAAAATGAGAGCAGGGACACTTTCAGAGTTTCTTCACAACATGCGTATATTTTTGTTCTTTTTTTCAGTTTATCTGACCCATTACTTTTCCTTTTCAAGCTTACTGCCTTTGAAGTACTTGTTATTTAATTTTACTCTGCATGAATTGAACTCAACATATTACATCTCCAAGGAAAAATCTGAAGTCTTATTTCTCATTGTGGTATAAAAGATTGATCTCCTGTTAAAGGGATTTCAAATATTGGTTGGAGAAAAGTTGCTTTGGAATTAAAGTAGCTTTCCAGAGGCCACAGAAAACATGTCATGTAGATAAGAATTTACTTTACTTATATGCACTACGATTCTTTTCTGCTGGGGATACGGAAATCATGGTTTGCCTTATAGTGATACACTATTATAGGATTTTATGATCTCATGAATATTAAGTTAATTTGGGAGTCTATAACTCAATAGATGTTTAGAAAATCTAAAGAACATGTAGATGATACTAAAAATAACACTTCAGAAAACAACAAAATGTTAAAGATAAATTAATAAATAATGAGAATGACAAAAATGGAATCAGTAAGAGGTAAGCTATAGGAAAAAATGCAGTTACATTTTAACATTTAAAGAGCTTGGAATTAATCACTTGCATCCCCACAACAGGAGTATATTAGTTTGTTCTCACACCGCTATAAAAACATACCTGAGACTGGGTAATTTATAAAGAAAAGAGGTTTAGTCGGCTCTCAGTACTGCAGGCTGTACAGACTTCTGCTTCTGGAGAGGCCTCAGGAATCTTACAATCATGGCTGAGGGTGAAGGGAAAGATGGCAGGAGAGAGTGAAGGGGAAAATGCTACATACTTTCAAACAACCAGATCCCTCATGAGAACTCACTCAGTATTATGAGAAAAGCAAGGGAGAAATCTGCCCCCATGATCCAATCACCTCGCACCAGGTCCCTCCCCCAACATCGGGGATTACAATTCAACATGAAATTTGGGTGGGAACACAAAATCAAACCATATTAAAGTGGAAACTGGATAAAATAAAAATCAGTGATTTGTTTGAATTCTGAATTTGCAGGGAGAACTGCTGGCTGAAAATATGAGAAGCCAGCACATCCTGAAAGAAATACCCTAGATCCGCTTAATGGGAAACGAAGCAGCTGGAACCCTAAACAGGTAGGAATATTAAAAGAGTACTTTCATCATTGTTAGTGGTTGAGTATGGGTTAATATGAGACTGAGAAACTGCTGGGGGTCTCAGTCTTTCTATAAAGCCCAACACATTCTCATGGTGAAAATATAAGAAAGATCCCCTCTTGGTTCTGGCAGGTGGAAAAGAAAGGTAATCATTATAAAATAGACCAAGAGATTTCTCCATCACAAAAGCTTAAACTCCAGGGGAAGGCATTTTTCTAATGCCTTATGACAGCTGTAGGAAGGGCAGTTCTCCTACTCCAGCTCTTTCTATCCTTCCTGTAACTAACTAAAGGAAAAAAGTAGCTAATAGGAATCAAGTCATGGAAGTTGACAGAACACTGTAGACCAGAGTAGAGGTCTGTGGAAAAAAAATATTATACCACTGGAGAAACATTATGAAGGTTACTATCCTAAGACACAGGGCCATTTAAACACTGATTTAACAGGAATATTATAAAATACTCTTCTTTGATACATCTTTTTCTACACTAACTGGGTGCAAATTTAGTAACAGATAATTACAGTTGAAAGAACTGTAGAACTTAAACTCTTTCTGAGGAGCAGTGCTTAAGGGAAGTTCAAAACCAAGGGAAAAGACAAAAAACAAGCACACTAGAGGAAATTGATGACTCTGACACCTACAGTTAGAATAAACTTTAACACAACACAACTCCTAGCATAAAACCTCACACTAAAGGCCTTTTTAACTTAGTTCCCATAATCAAATACATCATGCCCAGTTTTAAACAAAAAAATTATAACACATGCCAAAACACAGAAAATACATGGTCCGAGGATACAAAAAATATCAGAAATAAATTCAATTATGTCAGATATTTTGGAATTATCAGACTGGGAATTTAAAATAACTAAGATTAACATGTTAAGTGCTCTAATGGAAAAAAGTAGACAACATTAGAAAATAAATAATTAGTGAAGGCAGAAAGGTAGAAACTGTAACCAAAAATCAAAAGAAAATACTAGAAATCAAAAACAATGTCTAATAAAGAATGTCTTTGATGGGCTAGCCATTAGACTTTACATAGCTGAAGAAATAATTAGTGAACTTGAAGATAGATTCAAAAGAAACTTCTGAAACTTCCAGAAGAAAATTCAAAGAGATAAATAAACAGAATGACAGGGTGACAATATCGAAGGTGTAGCATATGTGTAATTAAAATGTCAAGAGAAAAAAATGAAAGAAATATTTGAAGTAATAATATACATCAAATTGCAGATCCCAGAAGCTCAAAGAATACCAAGTAGAATAAATATCAAAGCACAAAACAAAACAACAATAAAAACCAAAAAAGAAACATATTTAGGCATATTATATTCAAATTGCAGAGAAACAAACACAACAAATAAATGCTGCCAGATAAAAAATAAAACATCCTAAATATAGGATAAGAATAAGAATTACAATACCCTCCTCATCAGAAGCCATGCAAGAAAAAAGAATGAGCAGAAGCCTTTGAAGTGCTAAAAGAAAAAATCCATCAACCTACAATTTTTTTACCAGCAAACTTATTCTACAAAGTTGATGAGAAATAAAGTCTTCTCAGACAAAGACTGAAAGGATTTATCTCCAGCAAAACTGCCTCACAAGACGTTTTAATAGAAATACTTCAGGCAGAAAGAAAATGACATAGATCAGAAACTGTATTTAAAAAGAAGAGCATTAGACAAGGCACGAATGAACGTAAAATAAAATCTTTATTTTTCTTATTCTTATGTGATTTAAAAGATAACTCTTTATTTAAAGCGATAATAGTACCTCTACACTTGATAATTTTAGGATATAGATAAGTGAAACCAATGTGTCACTATTATAAGTGATGGGAGAAAAAAGTTAGGAATACTATGGTGGAAAGTACCTGCACTGCATGCAATAGAGTGTTATTTGAAGGTGAATTTAGATTAAATAAAAATATGTATTGTAAACTCGAGGTCAGTACAAAAAAGTTCCAAAGGAAGTGCAACAGGTATGAAAAAAGAGCATGTAAAATAAAATCACAGAAAATATTCAATTAAAACCAGGGAAGGAAGGAGTGGAAGAAACAAAACAAATGCACCGCATGGAAAACAAAAACGTGGCCGATGTTATTCTAATCATAACAAGGATCATTTAAAAATGAATGGTCTAAATACACCAACTAAAAGGCAGAGATGGTTACAGTTGATTAAAAAAAGATCCAATTATGCTTTTTCTACGTGATGCTTACTTTAGATATAAAGACTCAGGTTGAAAGTAAAGTGGTGGAGAAATGTATACCACGCTAGCACTATGCAAAATAAAGCTGAAGTAGCTATATTAATTTCAGACAAGCCAGACTTCATAAGATGGAAGGTGATCAGCAATAAAAGCACAAGTACATGATGATAAAGAGGTCAATTCTTCAAAAAGACACCATGATCTTAAATATTTATGTATCACAACAGCTTCAAAATACATGAAGCAAAACTGATAGCAGAAAAAGATAAATCCAGTATTACAGTTGGAGAATTCCACATTTTCCTATCACTAATGGTTAGATCAAGTAGGCAGAAAATCACTAAGGATATAGATGATCAGAATAGCATTATGAATTGATGTTATCTAATTTACATGTATGGAAAAAATCAATACAATTAATAAAACTATAGCCAGAATAATGAGGAAAAAGAGAGAGAAGATACACATTAGCGTAATAGAAATGACAGAGAGGTCATCATGACTGATCTCATAAACACTAAAAGAGTAACAAAGAAATACTATGAATAATTCCGTGCCTGCAAATTTTATAACAGAAAAAATGGACCAACTAATTTCTTGAGAGATGCAATCTAGGCTCGGGTTGCGGTGACTCACGCCTGTAATCCCAGCACTTTAGGAGGCCTTGGCAGGAGGATCATGAGATCAGGAGATCGAGACCATCCTGGCTAACATGGTGAAACCCTGTCTCTACTAAAAATACAAAAAATTAGCCAGGCATGGTGGCACATGCCTGTAGTCCCAGCTACTCAGGAGGCTGTGGCAAGAGAATCACTTGAATCCAGGAGGCGGAGGTTGCAGTGAGCCAAGATCACGCCACTGCACTCCAGCCTGGCCGACGGAGCAAGACTCTATCTCAAAAAAAAAAAAAAAAAAAAAAGAAAGATGCAATTTATTAAAACTCTACACAAGGAGAAATAGATAACCAGAATAGCTTTTTAGAAGTCCAGCTCCTGGTCAAAAATTAAAACAACAACAGCAACAATATCATCAACAACAACAATAACAACAAAACATTCCTGTGTGATTTTTCAGATCTGACCATAAGCCATTAAAAAGGCTTTACCTGGTAGTCTTCACAGTGGAAAGCTGCCCTTCCTAAACTAGACTATGTGCACAGCCAGTACATTGCAATTTTGAAGAGAGTTGCAGTCCAATACTTAGCCCTGCTTGGCTGGACATGCTCTTGTGCATACCTGCATTTTTAGTCCAGGCGTGTTCATGTAGAAGCTTTTTTGTCTGAGGCATTTGGCTGAGGTCTTCATCAAGTGCCTCTTCTGAGACCTCCTTGGGGAAGGACCTGTGTTTGAAGACACTAATACTTAGTCTGACTCAGTACTTAGTAATTGTTCATTCCTAGCACTCTCTCTACTCTCTCCCCACAGCCTTAGAGTCCATAAAACTACAGGAGCCTTTTTTTCTTTCTCTTTCATAGTGATGCCACTCTGTGCTGATACACCTGACCCTCCACCAATGAACTGGCCCAACTGGGGAAATGGAAAATGGGAGAGTAGGTATTTTCTCTGAATTTAGCATCTTGCTGATGCTATTGCAATAAGTGATTAAAGGCTTCCCTGTTACTTGAATTTTGGCATGTTTTTGCTTTAGTAAACGACTGGACACCTGGTTGCTCAGCTTTCTCTCTAGCTCAGCTGAGCTCTTGACAACTCTGTATCTATTAAATAAATTAAATACATCATTAATAACCTTCAAGAAAGAAAACACTAAACCTAGATACCATCGCTGGTGAATTCTACCTAACATATATGAAAGAAACATTTTTTTTTTCACAATCTCTTCTAGAAAATAGATGCAGAGGAAACACTTTCTGACTCATTGTATAAAGCTGATATTACCTTAATATGAAAATCATATTCAGACATTACTAAAAGTAAAACTATAGAACAATATTTTTCTTATAAACTTAAACAGAAATAGCCTCAATAAAATATTAGCAAATTGTGTCAAACAATGCACAAAAACAGTTACACTCCGTGAACAAATAGAATTTGTTCCAAGAATTCAAGGCTAATTTATCATGCAAAAGTCAATAATATAATTCATCATATCAACAGGCTAATGAAGAAAAACATGATCATTTCGACTGACACATAAAAAAGTATTTGACAAGATCCAACACCAATTTATGAAAAACATTTCAGCTTATGAAGATAGAGATCAATATGCAAAAGTCAATTACCTTTTCATACTCCATCAATGGACAATTGGAATTTGATGTTACAAAAACAACACTGTTTACAATAGCACCAAAAATATAAAGCATTTAGGAATCAATCTAACAAAACTTTTATATGATTAATATGTATAACAGTCTAATGAGAAAAATCAAGTAAAAAGTGAAATATTTCATTTTCATGAATTGGAATACCTCAATATTGTTAAGATATCCATTGTTTCTAACTAGATTTAAGGATTAAAGACAATCTGAATAACTACTCCAGAAAGATAGTTTACAGATATTAATAAAATGACTCAAAAATATAAATGGAATGGCACTTCAAAATGATTATAGTTGGGAAAGCTAAAAAAAAATGAGCAAGAGTCAGCATAGCATCGTGATTAGGATCATGGACCCTGAGCCCCACAGTTGAGGTTTGAATCTGGCTCTTCTGCTTACTATTTTACCAGGGCTAGTTAGGCTTTTATCACTTGGAGGCTACCAAAACTGAGTAGACAAAAAGCTTATTATATTTTTGAGGGGACTATCTTTTCTAAAGTATCTGAAAGAAAACATGACAATTAGGATCTAAAACAAAGCTTTTGTCTCCAGATGTCTCTGCATCAAGTGAGCTTTAGAAAGTTTCTCAGAACCCACAAAGTAGGTGGTATGGTAAGGCTTTGTCTCCCCACCCAAATCTCATCTAGAATTGTAATCCCTGGGTATTTAGGAGGAAACCTGGTGAGAAATGATTGGATTAAGGCAGTAGTTTCACCCATGGTGTTCTCATGATAGAGAGTAAGTTCTCACGAGATCAGATGGTTTTACAAGGCAGTTTTCCCTGCTCTTGCTAGCATTCTCTCACCTGCTGCCATGTAAGATGTGCCTCTTCCCCTTCTGCCATGATTGTAAGTTTCCTGAGGCCTCCTCAGCCATGCAGAACTGTGAGTCAATTAAACCTCTGTCCTTTATATATTAAACAGTCTCGGGTATTTCTTTATAGCAGTGTAAGAATAGACTAATACAGTAGGTATTTTATGAAGTCCCTTCAGATAGAGCAAAAGTGATAAGGAAAAAGAAAGAACTTTAGGAGGTCAGAGTCAGGGTCTTTGGAGAACAAGGTTTCTAGTCCTGAAGAGAGGGCCTTAGAAAGAAGTTTCCTGCCTCCTTCTTCACTAACTTTTCTGCCAAGAGACATTTCAGAATTTCAAAATTTCTATAGATCAATATTGCTCTCCTTCTTCATTTATCCAAGTGGAGGTATTCATTGTAAATATATTTTTCCTGTTCCAGCAATACCAAATGAATATAAGATTGACTGTAACAAGAGGGAGCAAACTCATGCCTTTATTCCATAAGGGTCTAAATCAAAGGGGTACCATCTGAGCCTGAGGAGGTGGTAAGGACACCCACCCCAAAGTTCCTGAACTTTAAATTTGATGCAATGATGTCATTACTGAACTGGGCTTTGTGGTTTTTTTCCATTGGGGATGAAGTGAGTATATTTTACCTTTGGTCATAAGAAAAGTGGATTGTCATTGGAATTAATTCAGTTCATCAAATATTTTCAACTTTGCTCTCTGGGTATAAGGATGATCTTCTTAGCTTTATTAACATTGGGTGGTGCTGAAAATATGATATGTACTTTAAGATATGAGAATTACTTCTGGGCCAGAATATTTAATTGCTGGTTTGAGATCCTTCAGAGTCCTCTTTTGCTCTGTACAGCAACCAGGAACATGCAAATTGTTAATCACCCCAAATGAATTAAATGAGCATAAACTACTTATATGTCACCAGATATCACATGCAAAAAGGTATTTATCATTTTAAGCAACTGATAAAGATTTTTTTTTTTTGCCACAGCATAATCTGGCCTATGCTGATTGATATAGGAATGATAGAGAGATGACAGGTAGATAGATATATTTCTATTTAGATATGTATATGCATGTGTATACACACACATAGTTAATTCAGTAGAAGTGTATCTATATGCTTACATGTAGGTATGTTTATAGATATAGGTATGTACATATTTTTAAGATTAAAAATTTCTAATATATTTATAGCTCACCAGAATTATTTTTTAGAGAGAGAATGCAGAATTCTTCAGAGAAAGACCTGTAAAACTGCTAGAATTGTGCCTTGCAAAAACAGAGGGTAAGGGATTTAAAGCATAAGTGTAGACACTGGACTCTATAGCTGTCTGGAGAGTTTATCTATAACAATGTAATGCAGCTGTGAGGAAAGAGAGAAGTGGCACATTATGAACTAAGCAGCTATTGCAGGGAGCACACAATGGCCTTGATAAGAACAGTGAATATAGAGGTGAAAAAAGTGGCTCAAGAACTGTGTGGGAGGAAATTTCAGAAGTTTGTAGAAGTTGAGTCTATGTGTTGGTACAGAAGTACTTCAAAGTGCTTCTGAATTTCTAGTATAGGTGACTGAGAATTTGTAACATTGTTGATTTAGGTTAAACACAAAAGGAAGACAGGTTTGGGGTGAGAAAGAAGGAAGATAAACAGTGTACGTGGAAAACATTCAGCAGCATGAAGTATTGCTGGCTGAATAGAACCAAACAATCAAGTTATTCTGAAGATGAGCTAAAATGACTAACACTATTCATTATCATCAGGCATATTACATAAATTTCATTGATTCTTTCAAATGAATGAATAAATTTCTTTCTACATGTTTTACTTCTTTAAATTTGTTTTATAATCATTGAACAAAAACAAATGCATAAATAAATCTAAGTATGTTACTTTTTACTTTTCCTTGCTTTTTAACTGTTTTATACCCTCTTCACTCCTTCTCTTGTAAAGCTAGTTTTCATTCACCCTTTTTTTCTAACCATCAGAATAATCACATAAGAACAATTATATTTCTCAATGTATAAAATATCAAAAAATCAGAGATTAGGAACTTTGTCCAGTTCACAGAGGTAACAAAATTCAGAGGATGATATCAAGCTCAAATCTGTACAATTCTAGATCCCGTAATGGTTAACAGTAAGCTGTGCAACTAAAGGCCTCACAATACTTTTTATTTTTATCATTAAGAAAGGCTTCCACTAGCATTTAGCCATTTATGCCATCTTGATGAGTGTTTACAAGTTTTCTGCAAAGTTCTGCATCACTCTGAAAAGCAGCACATACTTCATTGGATAAGAAGCTCTTCATCTAATCACTCCAAGAGCATTACTTATCATATGACAAGGCAGCTATTGTCTCCATAGTTTCTATTATCTTACCACAGCTGTCTTGTTGGAAACAGCTGCCTGTATCAAAAGTAAAGCCAAGACCATAGCAAACACATTTACTTTTGCTCATGAAGATATCTTGTTCTACTGTCATAATGAATGACAATTGTATTAACATTTGGATAATGAGTTTTTAGACTTAATGGAACTGATGTGGTCTAGGTGTTTATGTCTTCTTAATATATCCCTATGAGTGCTTCTTAAAAATAGGATTCTTCTAATATCATCATAACCATTAACGCACATGACATTTTACATTGTAAAGTGTGAAGAGCTTTTTTACCATAAATCTCACTGGAGAATGTAGAACTCACAACAAACCTCTGAAAGCTTTTATGTAGGTAAGCAGCACACGTATTTGGAGATGAAGAACAAATAATTAATTTTATCGGCAGAATATTTGCCTTTAAATTGCGGCTGTATGTGAACCATTAGGAAAAGCAATCACCCTAAGAAGACTCTTCTTTTTGAGTTAGAAGTACAACAAACAAATTTGTGAATTAAATCAACTAAATAATAAATTTTAAAAAAGAAACAAAAAGAGCAGCTATACGAATGGACAGGTCAAAAATTAAAACTTTTCCAGTGTTATTCTTTTATAGAGGTAGCTTCATTTTGCCATTTTCAAATTAATCTTCACATTATTATATATTCATTCTCATATTAAACATGTTATGTTAAGCAGGCAAACATCCAAATCTCATATTAATATTGAAGCTGACAGAGAAATCTCAGAAGAAAATTAGTATACTATGTATGAGTATCACAGTATGAAACAATCAATTATACATTTAAACATGAAGAACAGATAGTCTAAAGGTCTATGTGACCCCATGCCACTTATCTCCAGAATAAAACCAATAAATGTTAAAAAGGTAAAATTATATATTTTGGAAGATAACCAGTAGTGTTGTGTTTAGTTTGGTGTTTCCTAATTTAGGGAATAAGAAATAAATTCACATATTTGGAGATTTTCTGTTGCACAGGAAGACTGAAACATTTTTTTCACAAAATAAAATCACAATATGGGCCAGGCGCAGTGGCTCACGCCTGTAATCCAAGCACTTTGGGAGGCCGAGGCAGGTAGATCACGAGGTCAGGAGATCGAGACTATCCTGGCCAACATGGTGAAACCCTGTCTAAAATACAAAAAAAAAAAAAAAATTATTAAAATACAAAAAAAAATTAGCTGGACATGGTGGCAGGCGCCTGTAGTCCCACCTACTCAGGAGGCTGAGGCAGGAGAATTGCTTGAACTTGGGAGGCTGAAGTTGCAGTGAACGGAGATCTCACCACTGCACTCGAGCCTGGAGACAGAGATTCCATCGCAAAAAAACAAAAACAAACAAACAAACAATCCCCCTCCAAAAAAATATGACCTACGGTAAAGAATACTTGATCTTATAAGCTCAATTTCTTGTTTTCTTTTTCTTTCTTTCTTTCTTTTTTTTTTTTTTCTGTAGCTGGGACTACAGGTGCACACCATGCCCAGCTAATTTTTTGTATTTTTAGTAGAGTTGGGGTTTCACCATGTTGACCAGGCTGGTCTTGAACTCCTGACCTCAAGTAATCCACCCGCCTCAGCCTCCCAAAATGCTGGGATTACAGGTGTGAGCCACTGTGCCTGGCTAGCTCAATTTCTTTCACACTATTTTTTCTAGGTTTTCTTTCTTATCATTGATGAAATTTATGAAAATTTATTATCATTTAACTATTCCTATAAGTAAATTTTATTTTTGTAAACTTTGTTGATTAAATAAGAAATGATTTGCATAGCATTTTACTCAAATTTTAATTTGTAAATAATATTTTAAATCACAGTTTCTGAGTATTTTCATGATATTTTCCAGTGCATTTTGTATGCTAATTTTACTGGTGTTTAAAATACTTGATTTACTACACCAATAAATATAGAATACGTTAGGGGTAATTGTGGGGGAAATATTCTTAAATTGTTACTATGTTATACAATTTCATTAATACCTTTTATTGGTACAATATTTCTAAACTTTATTCACATTATTATTAATCATGTATCTATAGGAAGATAGAAGTCAAGTTTCATTTTTAAAATATTTAAGTGCGGTTAATATGGTAACATTTATTTCAAAAGACAATGACTTTCCTGGTGCTATCCAATGCCATTTTAATCACAAATCTATTCTCCCTATGTGAGAAGGATAGCTTCTAGGGTTTATATTCTCTTTTGGTCTCTTCATCCTGCCTTATACTGAAAAGGCACTGTTTAATAAATCTAACTTTATCCTAGGGCTTAGTAAACAACATTTTTCTCTGCAAAAGTAACTTAGCTACATTTGGCCCTCTGTCTTTTCATTTATTGTTTATAATTACCTCATCAAATATAACCACTAATACATTAATAAAAACCATTAGGATGTTGACTGATTACATTGCATCTATGAGGTAGTTATGGAAGTATTCTTATCTTTACAATATTGAGTTCCCAATATACAATCAAATCATGGTATGTTTCCCTATTTATTTAAGTATATACAAAATTTCCTGCAATGTTTTCAATATATAGATATCTTAAAGACTTTTTGTTACATTTATTTCTAAGTACCTTTTCAATGATATCTTTTAAAATAACATTTAATAAATGTTTGTATTTAAAAATGTAATTTAGGCAGAAATGTAACAAACTAAATTTCTGCTTGTTTTAATTTGTGGATATATATTTTGAATTTTCTATTCACATAGTTATAGTACCTGCTAACATGGTCCTTTTATTCCTGTTAAAATTACAATTCTTTAAAAACTGTAATGTTTCATATACTCAATTAATATTTAGTAGCTGTGATGCTAGTGAGTATCTTTGTCTCATTTACGATCTCTGATAGACAGTTTAAAAATTCACTAGCAAGTATGTTTGCTGTAGTATTTTCTTAATAGAAATTCTATATCAGATGAAGAAAATGACAGCCTATTTATTACATGGCTTTCTGTATATGTTGAAATGTTTCTGATTTTTGTTTTCTTAACATGATAAATTCTCTAATTACATTTTAACATTCATAAAAACTTAGCAGAGAATGAATAAATCCAATGTATAAATATATTCCCTCTATTTAAAAGGAACCACATTCTTTATATTCTATTTAGGGACATTTCATCTATGTTCGTGAACAATTGACCTCTAATTTTCCTTTCTTGTAATATCCTTGTCAGATTTGATAGCAAGTGCATGATGGACTGAGAAAACACATTGTGAGAAATACTTCTTTATGTTGTTTGGAGGAATTGTTGAAAGATTTGCAGTAGTTTTTCCTTAAATGTCTGTTGAATTGACCTGTGAACAAACTGAGCCTAGAATCTTGTGAAAAGGTTTTTAATTAAGATTTATTTTACTTAGACCAGGCACAGTGACTCACACCTGTAATCCCAAAACTTTGGGAGGTCAAGGCAGGTGGATCACTTTAGGCCAGGACTGTGAGACTTCAGCCTAGCCACAGAGAGAGATCCCATATCTAAAATAATAATACTAAAAATGATAATAAAAATAAAATGATTTATTTTATTTAAAAGTTGTAAGACTTTATATTTTCTAATTTTGGACTGTTTTTGGTAGCTGTGTCTGCTAGGAATAATCACTTTTATTTATATTTTAAAATTTATTCATCCAATTTTCTTTATATTTCCCCTTACCTTTATTGCTTTTAGGATATATTGTGATGCCTCCTTTGTCATTAGATATTATGTCTTCTCTTTTTTTGGTTCCTGATCCATACACTGCATTTTTCATTAAATTTTATTATTTTTAACAATGTTTCTTTAGTTTTCTTTTTTATATTGCTTTTATATATTTTAGTTAGATTACCAGACTGTAATCTACTTCTACTTCCTACTTTTCATTCATTAGTGTTCTTTTTCTTATCTTATTGAGAATTATGCTTAGGTCAATGACTTTAGCCTTTCTTCCTTTCTAACATATGCAGTTAAGTCTCTCAAATTTCTTTGGGCCTTGCTTCTTCTCAAGAAATTTCATTGCTTTTGCTGTATTCTATAATTTTTAGTTAAGTTTTTATTGATGTACAATATTTATGCAGTAAAGGGCTTTGAATTTACTTATCTTTCATATAGATATTCCTTTTTATAAATGTGTACATCCATGTCAATATAATACAGTTCAGAATATACAATATTTCCAGAATTGCCAAAGATTCATTTGTACTGCTTTCTAAGCAATGGGGCCTTACAGAGATAATCAAAATAGTTTGATTTCTACCACTATTTTGCATGTGTGTGTACTGGAACTTCAAAAGAATATAATATACTCTTTTGACTGTATTGCAATCTAAATTTTCTCTTTGTGCTATATAATATGTGTGGATAATACAATCATGTGTTAAAGTTACACTCAACTACCCTAACTCTGTTCAACTTCCTGACCTATATATAGTTTTGCTAAAAATGTATTTAGACTCTCCCATAAATATATTTCAAAATAGTATTTTTTTTAATCTAAGAGAATAAAATTCCTTTAAAACTTTTAAAGTTTCCTTTAAGGCTGTGTGTTGTCATTTTTTCTTTTTTTAAAAAAATCATTTATTAATTTAGAACAATGGTCCCAAGAAGCACTTATTCAGCCTCTAGATAGAACATTGCTTCATGGCAAATTCATGAAAACTCTGAGGTGCTCCTATTTAATTATAGGTCAGCTTTCTCCTTTTAACCTCATATTGATTAGACTGTCATTCATATATATTTTTAGATTCACAAGGTTATTAAAGTGTTAACTGAAGCTTAGGTGGGGGCTACCTTCTGTATGTAACAGTGGACATTTTAGAATTTGCTACATGATCCCCTTGGTAAGCTGTTATGTCGTCAAAGGCAAAAGTAAGTGCCTTCCCTTTTAGAACAGAGCCATTATTTGGTGATACTTTTGTCAGAATCAAAATAAATCTGTCAAAGTTGAAGAAATCATACTTGCCACAAACCAAATTGAAGGACTTATTTGAAATAAGTTGTAAAATAGGCAGTGGGGAGGGGTTTGATTTCTCCATCAAGAAGGTGATACACTTTAAATCACATTTCATTGTTAGACAAAAGTCAGAATGCCATTCTAAGCAGCACTGAAACCTTTTTTGTTATTTTGATGGAGAGCTCTATGCAGCTTATAAATCAGATATAAATTTAGTGTACAAAGGCAGACCATATAACCTCTTCACGTATCCAATGTGCTGTACAAGAAGAACAAAATGCCATCAATCTTCAAAATCTATAGTACTGTAAGGTAAATTGCTAGTGCCTCATTCCTGCACTCAGATTTTTCATTTCAGGTGCCAAGGCAGTAAAGTCTATAAAGAGAGCATTATTCAGAGTCTCTTATTCCTATTCTTTGTCAGTTCTTTATAACTTTTATCCAAAACTTACTACCATCCTCCTTCCTGCCTCTAGAGCTATACTCATTATCTCTGATTCCAAATTACCGAGTGAGGGATCAAAAGTCTGCGGCTGAGGCAGAGCAAACTGAGATTTCAGTGTAGAGCACAGCAGACACATAACTAGGGTGACCATGAGTCCCAGTTTGCTGGAGGCAGGTCTGTTGAATACCTGTTGTTCCAGGGTCCCAGCTGTCGCTCTTTGTCCCACATCCCCTCAGTCTGAAAAGTGCTACCTATGGTTTAGATGCTGGTTGTATATAGCCTCCCTAGCCATAATCTGAAATTTCTATGGGACCCGTGACAATTCCTGAGTCTGATATAGAATTTATTAATTAGGTGCTTGAATTAATATATGGACAACCATTCTCATATATAATATGAATCATGGATTCTATTGGAATCTTTTCTACTTTTAACAGTTTCCTGTTTCCAGATGAAAGAATAATGAGACAGCAGAATGTTTTTCTTTATGTTGCATGTACTTCATTATTAATAGAAAAATTCCTATAAACTTCAGTGGGATATATTCTTAGTAATTTTTTAGTTATGTTTTATGTGTTTATATTATCAGGCATGCTGAAAAATAGATTACAATCCTGATGAATTTTGGATAACAAGTAAATTTGAATTTTATTTTTGAAATATTAATATTGATAGTCACAGAAAAAGCCATTATTTTCTTAAATTAACAAAGTTCTTATTTCGTATTTAAACATTATTATATTTCAAATGTATGTGATGTAATTTACATAATTAGCTATATATATTTATAGTGCCAAATACAAATTAAACTATAGCTAACTACATTCATATAAAATATTTAAGTAAACACCAAAGAATAAAACATTACAATTCCAAAAGTTGCATAGTTTTCCTACAGGTGTTTAATAACATACGTTGTTGTTCTTAGGAAAGCTAAGAGTGTACAATAGCAAAATGCTATAAGTGAAAACTATATCATCAACATTCAATGATATTGAATTTAATATACCAACTAGGTATTTCTAAAATACCCATGTAACACCTCTAAGTCTTTTCTTGAATAATATACTTTCTTATCCACTACAAAGTTTTTGTTTTAATGACTTCTATCCAGTGCCCAAATCTGAGAAAGCAGGGAGGCCTGAACATGTGAGAGTGTGAAGCCTACCTGTACCAAGTGACAGGTAGGAGTTTGTGGACTTGCCCAACAAGGAGATGAACTTAATTGGCCAAATCTTCCCGTTAATTAAAATCATGCTGAAGTCAATGGGAATTGCTTCAACTTAGGGCAACATTAAATGCTAGATATTGATGTTCCCTCTTCACTACTGTAGCTCAAACATCAGTCCTGGAAAATACAAGGGAGCGTTTTTAACCCGCTGCATATACACACAAAGCTAAAGTAACCAAAGCTGTTCTGATGGAAGAGTCAGGGCATAAAAACTTACCCTCTGAATACATAAGATAGTCCCATTCCCAAAACATATTTTTGCCATGTAAAATAACATGTTTTGCTCATCTCTCTACTTTTATCTACCATCTCCATATATGTGTCTCACCTTGTCGCTCAGGCTGGAGTGCAGTGGCGTGATCTCAGCTCATTGCAACCTCGTGCTCCTGGGTTTAAGCAATTCTCCTGCCTCAGCCTCCTGAGTAGCTGGGATTACAGGTGTGCACCACCATGCCCGGCTCATTTTTGTATTTTTAATAGAGACAGAGTTTCACCATGTTGGTCAGGCTGGTTTCGAACTCCTGACCTCGTGATCCGCCCACCACAGCCTCTCAAAGTGCTCGATTACAGGCGTGAGCCACCGTGCCAGGCCTCAGCTTTTATTCCATTACAGATATTATTGCTTTTTATCAGTCTCCTTGAAGTTATCTCTCTTTTATACCTACCTTCTACTCCCTAGTGCATTTTTTCTTACATATTTAGCTGTGACACTTTCACTCTAGGTTTTCCATTCTTGTGGTGTCTCAGAGAATGTCCCTTTTGACATCCTTATCCTATTCCTATCTCTGTACCAGCAATATTCCACTCTTGCTTGTTACTCAGTGCTTCCTACCCAATGGCTTTTTTATGTCTTCCAACTCTGGAGGGCATGGAAAATCCATTCTGTTTTTCAGATTAAGCCACAGTCTGAGGCAGGCACTCTGACCCTGGCCTCAGGGAGAGTGATCCCCTCAGTGTTCCTGCCCTTCCTGTTCGTCCTGTATTTCTGGCTACAGATTTTGTTCCTGCCTCTCTCCCAAAAGTAGTCTGTTTTCTAATTTTACTCCCTTGTCCCAACTGCAATAGATTTTCTTCAGTGTCCTAAGGACTGCAGTGTTTGTTTTCCTTCCCCTAACAAGATGAAGATTTTTGGCCAGGTGCGGTGGCTCACGCCTGTAATCCCAGCATTTTGGAAGGCTGAGGTGAGCAGATCATATGAGGTCAGGAGTTTAATACCAGCCTGGGCAATATGGCAAAACCCTGTCTCTACTGAAAATGCAAAAATTAGCCAGGCGTGGTGGTGCATGCCTGTAATCCCAGCTACTTGGGAGGCTGAGGCAGAAGAATCACTCGAACCTGGGAAGTGGAGGTTGCAGTGAGCAGAGATCACACCTCTTCACTCCAGCCCGGGTGAAAGAGCGAGACCCAGTCTCAAAGAAAAAATAAACAAATAAATAAAAATAGAAAGAAAGAAAGATTAAGACTTTTGTTCCATAGGATAGATAGGGAAGGAGACTTAGGGTGACTTTCTTGCACCTTACTCTTGGCTGCTTTTCTCCCCTCAGGCCTAAATCACAAAAACAAAACAAAACAAAAAACATTTTCTTTAAAAAGTGAGGAATTTGGTTTGAAAATTTTAGGAATTAACTTTAGCTTTGAGTTCCAAATTAGAAACTCTGCTCAAATTTGAAGCGAAGGCACCAATTAGTTATCCATCAAAGATAGAGATATAACAAAGAATAGGGGTACTATTCCTTTTGTTTACACAATCCAAAAGTATTACTTGATTAAAATAAAATGTATTTTTATTTCCGGAACACTCTATTAAGTAAAATCATTTAAGGAATTACCTGGTATAAATTATAGTCTAAAATATCTATGTGATTTGATAACTTAATTATATGAAAAAATTAAAAGTGTGATAATCAAGCTATAGTTTCTGTCCCTTATTGAAAATGTATATTAAATAAAATATTTTCTTTGTAGGTGTTAGATTCCTCTTATTCATATATAGATTGCACATCCAAAAAAATCTTGTCATTGGTCTTTTTAAAATCTTGTGAGAAAAAATAGAAATGTCTTTTAAAGTATTTTATTTATTCAACATATACTGAACAAATAATTAGTGAGAACTTATAAGCCACATTTTTCTATGTAGAAGGATTTGAATCAGTGAATAACAAGAATACAAAGGCAAAACATCTACTGTCATTTGCCCAATTGTATTCTAGTAAAAACAGAGTGAAAACAAACAACTAAACACAGAATATGATGTCAGATATTGATACGGACTATGTAGAGATATAAAGGCAGAGTAGAAGAGGGTGAGAGTAGGAAACGCTTCCATTTTAAATGGAGAGATGATGCCAGAACACTCTGAGGATTTGTCATTTGAACAGATATGAATGAAATGAACGAGAACATCAGGAGATCTGTTGAAAGAGGATCCAAATACTCTAAGGCAGGGAGGTGAATGTGGCGGAAAAAGTGAGCAAGGCAAAAATTTTAGAATATAAAATATTTTAAAATATTGTACTTCATTTTTAAATAACATGTTTACCATGTTAATATAGCTTTTTGCATTTTTAATATGTTATTTATTTGTGTAGATTTAGGGGGCAGAAGTGCAGTTTTGTTACATGGATATATTACACAGTGATGAAGTCTGCGCTTCTGCTGTAACTATCACATGAATACTGTACATCGTACGCAATAGACAATTTCTCATCCCTCCTCACATTCCTCCCACCCGCCTATCTTTCTGAGTCTCTGATGTCTATTATTCAGCTCTGAATGTCAATGCATAGTCATTGGTTAGCTCACACCAAGAAGTGAGAACATGTGGTATTTGACTTTGTTTCTTAGTTATTTCACTTAGAATAATGTCCTCCACCTCCATCCACGTTGCTGCAAAAGACATGATTTCATTCTTTTATATGACTGAGTAGTATTCCATGATTTATATGTACCACATTTTACTTATCCAATCATTCATTGATGAACACTAAGGGTGTTTCTATATCTTTGCTATTGTGAATAGTGTTGTAATAAACATACAAGTACAGGTATCTTTTTGATATAATGGTTTATTTTCCTTTCGGTAGTGGGATTACAGGATTGAAGGGTAGATACATTTTTAATTCTTTGAGAAATATCCATACTGTTTACCATAGAAGTTGCATTAATTTACATTCCAGCCAACAATGTCTACGTGTTCCCTTTTCTTTGCATCCTCACCAGCATGTGTTCTTTTCTGACTTTTTATAACTGCCATTCTGACCGGTGTAAGATAGTATCTCTTTGTGGTTTTAATTTATGTTTCTCTGATGATTAGTGATGTTGAGAAATTTTTCATATGTTTGTTGGCTATTTGTATGTCTTCCTTTGAAAATGTCTGTTCATGTCCTTTGGCCACTTCTTAATTTCTTTTCTTGTTTAGTTGTTTGAGTTCCTCATAGTTTTTTTTTTTTTTTTTTGAGACGGAGTCTTGCTCTGTTGCCCAGGCTGGAGTGCAGTGGCGTGATCTCGGCTCACTGCAAGCTCTGCCTTCCGGGTTCATGCCATTCTCCTGCCTCAGCCTCCCGAGTAGCTGGGACTACAGGCACCCGCCACCACGCCCATCTAATTTTTTGTGTGTTTTTAGTAGAGACGGGGTTTCAGCATGTTAGCCAGGATGGTCTCGATCTCCTGACCTCGTGATCTGCCCATCTCAGCCTCCCAAAGTGCTGGGATTACAGACGTGAGCCACCATGCACAGCCGAGTTCCTTATAGATTCTTGATAGTCCATTGTCAGAGGCATAGCTTGCAAATATTATTTTCCATTTTGCAGGTTGTCTGTTATTTCTTTTTGCCGTGTAGAAGATTTTTAGCTAAAATGAGTACCAATTGTCTACTTTTGTTTTTGTTGCATTTGCTTTTGAGAACTTAATCATAAACCCTTTGCTTAGGCCAATGTCCAGGAGTTAGAAAATAATTATTTTACAAAATAAAATCTTCTCATTTAATCTTTATAACAACCCTAAAAGGTAAAGCTATTACTTATTTACAGATGAGAGCACAGAGACATGTTAGACATTTACCTAAGGTTGTATATCTTGTAAATGTGTGAAACTGGATTAAAATCCAGACACTCTGACTATACAATCTGATATTAGCCACAATACTATGTACTGCTTCAACTGTTCTTATGTGAGAAACATACATTCACCTGTCCAAACCCAAAGAGTAGACTTGGAGACACAAAGAACAGTGGAAGCGAGACTTTTAATGGCGGTTTTGCTAGATTGGGTGCCTGGTAGGCAGGCACACCTGGGGCAGTTACAGCAGGTAATTTATCTCCTAGCTCATAACTCCCTCGCCCAGTTCCTCATTGGTCGAGTACTATGGGTTTACAATCTTCCCTGACATCACCTAAGTTTTATTATCTCCCTTATAAGGTTGTATCCCTGTCCCCTTCCCCACTTAAGGTTCAATTTCCCAATAACAAAACTTTCTTTATTGTCTGACCCCCTCCTCTACATTCTGTTTGCTTATCGTGACCTTCTAGGTGCATGAGCTGTGCAGTTTGTTACATCCTCGGGCTGGCTACCTGTACTTAGATTTATCATGCCTTGAAAATTTAGAAATTAAAATGTTTTCTCACAGGTAATCCTTTTCTTTCTTTCTTTCTTTCTTCTTCTTCTTCTTTTTTTTTTTTTTTTTTTTTTTTACCTACTCACTAACTGCTCTTTTCAGGTAATTGTTTTATTAGAGCCTCTAAGACTAAGCTCATTACTTTCATATACTTGCAATATACTCTGTAGTAACCAACCTCTTCACACTCTTTCAGGTATATCTGAGGCCCTAGTTCTCTTTGCCAAAACAAACATCACATTTTATAACTGAAACTCATATTTCTGACGAACTTCAGCAATTTTTAATCACCTTGTGCCTTTTATTTTGAAAGTTTACTTATTTTCTTACTAATTTTGTTTTCATTCATTAAAAATTACAGTTTTTCAAATATACATATTTGAAATATAGTTTTTCAAATATACACAATTGAATTTGAGTTCTTTAGCATTCTAGGAAAAGAAGAAACATAGACATGTATATAATTTTTTGTTCCTAAAATTAAAGAAATTTAAAAGTTTCATGACACATTTGGAAAGAGTACTTCATCTAAGGTTTTATGAGCAATGAATGAGAAGTGGAAGACAGAGAAACTAAAATGGCATGGGTTCATGAAGGAATATTGATACAATGCAATACAGCAAGCTTTGAAGGATCATAACTGAAGAATGAAACTTTTAAATCTGGCTCAGGCTGAAAATCATTACTGGGTGATACATGGCTTAAAAAGAGAGACGGTTGGTTTGAGAAAATCATTAAAGTGCGTTTTTGCCATACTTCACACTTGAGATAATAGGAATCTGACATACAAAAGCCAAGGGGATATAGGAAGGAAAGGTCCTGAAAGCTCAGGACTGCTACAATCTACAAGTTTCAGTTCCATTTTAATCTAGAGGAAAAGTGAGAAACAAAAGGTCATGTTATATTTCTATCTCAGGTAACATGAGAATAAAATAAATTAAATGTCTCAACCTGACTAATTTTCCTTTCTATTATACACTAAATTTTCATCTAGAAATTTGGTTTTCTGACTCTATTTAATCCTGTTTCTACCACCTATAAATATCACCTGTTCCAATCATACTCTCTACCAAATATTAATGTGAAATTAATCTAGAAATGTGTTAAACCGCTTATAGGGCTAGAGTGTGTCTTTCAGGTGGTAGTAAGGAAAGAAAACCCAATTTTTTTATATATATTTTTTTATTATTATACTTTAAGTTTTAGGGTACATGGGCACAAAGTGCAGGTTAGTTACATATGTATACATGTGCCATGCTGGTGTGCTGCACCCACTAACTGGTCATCTAGCATTAGGTATATCTCCCAATGCTATCCCTCCCCCCTCCCCCCACCCCACAACAGGCCCCAGAGTGTGATGTTCCCCTTCCTGTGTCCATGTGTTCTCATTGTTCAATTCCCACCTATGAGTGAGAATATGCGGTGTTTGGTTTTTTGTTCTTGCGATAGTTTACTGAGAATGACTATTTCTAATTTCATCCATGTCCCTACAAAGGACATGAACTCATCATTTTTTTATGGCTGCTTAGTATTCCATGGTGTATATGTGCCACATTTTCTTAATCCAGTCTATCATTGTTGGACATTTGGCTTGGTTCCAAGTCTTTGCTATTGTGAATAGTGCTGCAATAAACATACGTGTGCATGTGTCTTTATAGCAGCATGATTTATAGTCCTTTGGGTATATACCCAGTAATGGGATGGCTGGGTCAAATGGTATTTCTAGTTCTAGATCCCTGAGGAATCGCCACACTGACTTCCACAATGGTTGAACTAGTTTACAGTCCCACCAACAGTGTAAAAGTGTTCCTATTTCTCCACATCCTCTCCAGCACCTGTTGTTTCCTGACTTTTTAATGATTGCCATTCTAACTGGTGTGAGATGGTATCTCATTGTGGTTTTGATTTGCATTTCTCTGATAGCCAGTGATGGTGAGCATTTTTTCATGTGTTTTCTGGCTGCATAAATGTCTTCTTTTGAGAATTGTCTGTTCATGTCCTTCACCCACTTTTTGATGGGGTTGTTTGTTTTTTTCTTGTAAATTTGTTGGAGTTCATTGTAGATTCTGGATATTAGCCCCTTGTCAGATGAGTAGGTTGTGAAAATTTTCTCCCATTTTGTAGGTTGCCTGTTCACTCTGATGATAGTTTCTTTTGCTGTGCAGAAGCTCTTTAGTTTAATTAGATCCCATTTGTAAATTTTGGGTTTTGTTGCCGTTCCTTTTGGTGTTTTAGACATGAAGTCCTTGCCCATGCCTATGTCCTGAATGGTAAAGCCTAGGTTTTCTTCCAGGGTTTTTATGGTTTTAGGTCTAACGTTTAAGTCTTTAATCCATCTTGAATTGATTTTTGTATAAGGTGTAAGAAAGGGATCCAGTTTCAGCTTTCTACATATGGCTAGCCAGTTTTCCCAGCACCATTTATTAAATAAGGAATCCTTTCCCCATTGCTTGTTTTTCTCAGGTTTGTCAAAGATCAGATAGTTGTAGATACGCGGCGCTATTTCTGAGGGCTCTGTTCTGTTCCATTGATCTATATCTCTGTTTTGGTACCAGTACCATGCTGTTTTTGTTACTGTAGCCTTGTAGTATAGTTTGAAGTCAGGTAGTGTGATGCCTCCAGCTTTGTTCTTTTGGCTTAGGATTGACTTGGCGATGCGGGCTCTTTTTTGGTTCCATATGAACTTTAAAGCAGTTTTTTCCAATTCTGTGAAGAAAGTCATTGGTAGCTTGATGGGGATGGCATTGAATCTATAAATTACCTTGGGCAGTATGGCCATTTTCACGATATTGATTCTTCCTACCCATGAGCATGGAATGTTCTTCCATTTGTTTGTATCCTCGTTTATTTCCTTGAGCAGTGGTTTGTAGTTCTCCTTGAAGAGGTCCTTCATGTCCCTTATAAGTTGGATTCCTAGGTATTTTATTCTCTTTGAAGCAATTGTGAATGGGAGTTCACTCATGATTTGGCTCTCTGTTTGTCTGTTGTTGATGTATAAGAATGCTTGTGATTTTTGTACATTGATTTTGTATCCTGAGACTTTGCTGAAGTTCCTTATCAGCTTAAGGAGATTTTGGGCTGAGTCAGTGGGGTTTTCTAGATATACAATCATGTCGTCTGCAAACAGGGACAATTTGACTTCCTCTTTTCCTAATTGAATGCCCTTTATTTCCTTCTCCTGCCTAATTGCCCTGGCCAGAACTTCCAACACTATGTTGAATAGGAGTGGTGAGAGAGGGCATCCCTGTCTTGTGCAGTTTTCAAAGGGAATGCTTCCAGTTTTTGCCCATTCAGTATGATATTGGCTGTGGGTTTGTCATAGATAGCTGTTATTATTTTGAAATACGTCCCATCAATACCTAATTTATTGAGAGTTTTTAGCATGAAGGGTTGTTGAATTTTGTCAAAGGCCTTTTCTGCATCTATTGAGATAATCATGTGGTTTTTGTCTTTGGCTCTGTTTATATGCTGGATTACATTTATTGATTTGCGTATATTGAACCAGCCTTCCATCCCCGGGATGAAGCCCACTTGATCATGGTGGATAAGCTTTTTGATGTGCTGCTGAATTTGGTTTGCCAATATTTTATTGAGGATTTTTGCATCAATGTTCATCAAGGATATTGGTCTAAAATTCTCTTTTTTGATTGTGTCTCTGCCAGTCTTTGGTATCAGGATGATGCTGGCCTCATAAAATGAGTTAGGGAGGATTCCCTCTTTTTCTATTGATTGGAATAGTTTCAGAAGGAATGGTACCAGTTCCTCCTTGTACCTGTGGTAGAATTCGGCTGTGAATCCATCTGGTCCTGGACTCTTTTTGGTTGGTAAGGTATTGATTATTGCCACAATTTCAGCTCCTGTTATTGGTCTATTCAGAGATTCAACTTCTTCCTGGTTTAGTCTTGGGAGAGTGTATGTGTCGAGGAATTTATCCATTTCTTCTAGATTTTCTAGTTTATTTGCGTAGAGGTGTTTGTAGTATTCTCTGATGGTAGTTTGTATTTCTGTGGGATCGGTGGTGATATCCCCTTTATCATTTTTTATTGCGTCTATTTGATTCTTCTCTCTTTTTTTCTTTATTAGTCTTGCTAGCGGTTTATCAATTTTGTTGATCCTTTCAAAAAACCAGCTCCTGGATTCAATAATTTTTTGAAGGAGAAAACCCAATGTTTTAACAAATAAACTCTTGTTTTCAAACACAATATAATCAGCCACATCAGTTTTCTGTTGCTATGTAACATTACGGCAACACTCAATGGTTTAAAACAAACATTTGTTGAGCTCAGGAATCACTGAGTCAGTGTGGGCGTGTCAGCTCTAGGATGTCCTTGGCTATGTACCTACTGCAGTCAGCTGATGGATTGCTCAAAGATATGATGAGGGTTGTCTATGTGGAGCTTGTCTGGGCTATTTTGCAAGTCTTGTGCCTTGGATGACATAAACCAGCTGATTGACTCTGTTCCATTTGGTGGTTAGCTCAAAGAAATGTTGAGGGTTGTCTTTGTGGAGCTTGTATGGGTTCTTTTGCAAGCCTTGGGCCTTGGATGACATAAACCAGCTGATTGACTCTGCTCTATTTGGTTTCTCATCTCCAGGAAGCTAGTCTTTTCTTATTCATATGGAAGTTTCAGGAGTCCAAGTAAGGGAGCAGAGGCATGCAAGGCCTCTGAAGTCTGAAGTGAGGAGTTACATAACATCACTTCTGTGTCATTCTCTCTGGTCAAAGCAAATCACCAGATCAGCTCAGATTCCAGGAGTAAGGAAAGAGTCTCCACCTTTTAAAGAAAAGACTTGCAAATCACTCTGCAAAGAGTGTGGGCATAAGGAAGCATGGATCATTTTGGCCACTCTTCTAATCTACTATTAATGGTCGTACATTCTTACATATGTGTAAAGAAACTTTCCCCAGCAACTTGCTGCTCTGAGATTTTCCTTAAAGTATCAATGGCTTTTTGTCTATATCATTATAATATTGGAAGTAATTTATTACAAGAAGTTTCAAGTTGCTTGCATATAATTTTACTCCTCTGCTATCTCTGCAGCATGCTTAAAAACTTACACCCTTGGGCTTTGTCTCTTCTGGTTATTACTAACCTGCAATAAAGTGTATTCATTACTACCCTAATGCAGCAGTTAATTAAATTTCAGTGCTAGTCAACTTCAACCAAGGTCATCTGAAGTCAGCTTCTATTTTGACAGGAATCTATTAGCATCATGAAACACCAAGCAAGTTAATAGCTACATTTAAAGTTTGGTTATTTTCATTTTTTCTTTCCCTACATCTTAATAAATGGAAACACATATCAAACCTTACAGTTATGAATTAGAATGTCTTTCCTAGTAAATGACTTATTGATGCTGAAGTGATTAACCTTTCATTAAAACTTGATATAAAATTCTTCCCTCCATATATCTATGTTTATGACTCAAGCCCCAAAGGAAAATACATCAAACATAAGACAGCTTGGTTATTTAAAACACTTTTACATTACAGAGACTCATGAAGTCTGGAATTTTCTAATTTCTCCTCAAGTCTTTCTGCTTCCTGGTAAATTGTAATAGATTCCCCAAATGGACATATACATTTTGAAATGTATTCCACTGTCTGCTTTTAGAATAGATAAATGAAACTAACTAGCTACTATTCTATATTTCCTACATGACATCTAAATAGAGAGGTGTAAATAAATCTTCTCTTTTGGCAGAATGTTTTACCCTTTGAATTGATGCAGTGTCCAACTTTATATATCTCTTCACAACAACTCTGTTACCTAATTGAAACATATTGTATAAGGAACCCTGTTATTTTAGGACATAGTAGTCTGAATGTAAATGTAGTGTCACAATTTCTGTAACTGAGAGAAGTTATGTGTCTCTATCCAGAGGACTCTTTCAAAGCTTCTGTCCTATTTATTCCTTTAGGTCCACAGGGGTTGTGATCCTATGATCACGGCTAACACAGAAGCATCACCTTTTACCTTGTCCTCTGCTTTGACTCTGCTTCTCTTTGATAAAATTTACTTTTCCAGGCCTCTAAAGGCCAGCAAATCCCCTAGCTAATATTTCAGTGGGCTAAAGATGTTCAGAGTTGCCTTCACATCCTGCTATGCTGCTACTGCAGCTAGTGCCAGTTCAATGCTGGTGACACCTGACAATGTCTACTAAGGGAGTATTGACCAGCACCAAGCTGTACTGAATTTGCTTCACTAATATGGAGAGAATCCCTTCCCCTGTGCCATAAACAGTTACATATGTAAAAAATAAAATAAAAAAAAATTTAAAAAGCTGTCTAATTTGCTAGGCTTTAGAAAGTTTTCATGTGATATCAGTGTTTTTGTTTGTTTTCTTTTTTTTTCAAAATAACCAAAAAAATACTAAAAGAAAATCTCCACCTCTCCACTCTGGTCATCTTTGCCCTTCCCATTCCCAACCCCTGCTCCCCCCACAGCCAATATTCTTAATAGAAGTAAGGCTGGCCTGGCAACAATCTGAATTGTGGAACACTGTACTATACTTAGCATCTGATGACTGATGACTACTGTTAAATGGAGAAATTTTTCTTTCCTAGGTGATTTTGCCAGTCATAAAATCTAGAGTATTCAAGACAATCCAAATGAGCTTTGGGAATATATTAACTTTTTACTCAAGTTTTTTGACAATGAAAATTAGTTTAAACATGATAGCAGCTACTGAGGCTAGATTCCATTAGTACTTCGTAAGCTGCTTCCACATGTAGCAAGAGATTCCCTTTCACTTGCAAGGTAAAAAAAATGAGGCTTAAAGTACTATTTTTCATTGTTTTGAAAAGAACAGAAGCAGCAGAGTAGTTCAGCAAAGCACTGTTAGAACAAGTTATAATTTCCAGATATAGAATGCATTCAATAATACATAATACAAGTTGGGATCTGAACTTTTAGTATGAACTGAATGAAAAAAGACAGTTATTTCATTATTAATATGTGAGAGCAAATGATAAACCTGTCAATATGCCAGGTAATGGGACCACATCAAGGAGCAAAACAGACACGATGCCTGCCTGCCCTTTGTACATGTACATATTAATAATAAAGGCAGACATTAATGAAATATCATGAGTAAGCTTATTATAAATGGAAAGAGCATGCCTTACAGAGGTGGGTAAATAGAGATTAGATGTAATCAGTAACATTGGGGAAGGTATAGTGGAAATATACTGATGTGTTTATCAAGCATTACCTTTTCCTTTCTGCAGACCTGTCTTACCTGTAGCTCAGGTAATGATCAAATGCATGGACATATCACCTGAAGTGGGCTACTTGGAAATTCATTGAACAATTTCTTGTAAGATTAGAGGCAATCAACATGCTTTTCTCTTTTATATTGAATCTCTCTCTTTTTTTTTTTTGAATTTCACTTTTAGTTCTGGGATACATGTGCAGAATGTGCGGTTTGTTACATAAGTATACATGTGCCGTGGTGGTTTGCTCTCTTAAGTGTAGGGACCCAGAAAATCTGTGTTGAGGGCTCTTGAAACATAAATTTAACACGTCCTAATGGGAATAAAATGGACATTAAGTGACAAATCAGGACAGAAGGCCACCATAATGTGTCATGCTGGCCCTGAGCTTCTCTTTCAAATTATGAGCCAATAGTTTCATGAGTCAATACCTCCCATTATTAGAGTTCAAATTGGCCATCTGTCACCAGCAAACAGAAAAGTCCAACTTCATACACAAATTCATAATTGTAAACATTACAAGTAACATCATAATATGTGAGAATGGTTGTGAAAAATGCATGATTATAAATGTTCCTCCAGTGATACCATGAGATGCCATTGATGTTTGCTTTGTTATAATGAAGGATCTGTTTAAAATTTCTCTCTCAAAATAAGATATCTTGGCCTCAATTCATCTACTTACTGATGAAGGTATTTGAGGGTGATTAATAGAAATATATCTGAAAATGATTTTGTTAGCCAATTCTTTAAATTTTAGCTGATAAAATCACTCCCTGACATAAGGTAAAATGAAATAAGCAAGAATGAACCCAAGAAAACTGATATGGAATAATGATTTGGAAGATCAGGAAACATTTTTCTAGTGGTAGAAAACAGGTTCTGATGAATATGTCAGACAATTGCCTTCTTCTCAGTCTCCCAAGTCAGTATATTTAGAAGAAATTATCACTGTCTGCCACACACCCATCTACTCCTTCCATTAAGTCACTTATCTTCAGGAAAGAAGGATTATGTCCCTCTTTGATGAAATGTAAAAAGAGGAAGACTGCAAAACTAATAATTTAGTTACTCTCTCTTAGATTTCTATTTTTGAATCTACTAGATGCCACCAACATTGAATCTACTATGTGTGACAGGCTTCAGTCTTCCTTCACCTGATGAACCTAAACTTTATCATTATAGTGATATAGAGATGATTATAGAAGACTTCCAAGCAATTGAGTTTCAATTTCTGGTTAATGTAATAAAAAGTATTGATTAATGTATATAGAACCCTCCAGACCCCAAGACTGTTTTAAGAGTTTTCTTTACAATATCTTATTTAATACTCACAGAAAACCTATATGCTAAGTACTCATAATTTCCATGTTTCACATGAGCAAACCAGCGTCAAGCAGAGTAATGAGTTGAACAGACAGAACCGATCTGTGGCAGGGCCAGAATTCATGTCCAAGAAGGCTGACTCAATAGTCCATACATATAACCATTACCTTAAATCACAACGCAAAATACAAATCTATGTTATAGGATTTAAAATTCCCATTTAATTATCCCTCCGCTTTCCTAGTTCTGAAACTTTGCATAAGCGAATGTAGGAATTAGCTGGAAACCAAAATGTCAATTTTGTTTTTGGGAAATATGCATTGATGTATTTCAACTTGATGCAACATATGATCTCCTGTTTTTACTTGAATTGAGCCTATCTAGCAAATGGTTTGCTAAGCTGAATGCTTTCCTGCATAGAGAAAGGGCTTAGCAAACCATTTGCTTACATTGCCATTGTTATTACCATTATTATTATTATTTACTTTTAGAAGATTTGTTTGATATTTTCTTTATCCTCATTATTGTGCATATCAAGAAGATATTAATTATGCTTCTCTTTCACTGAATATTTTGGCTTTCTGGGAATTTTTAATCTAAAGACTGGTACTCTTTTCTACCATTATTATTATTATTACTATTATTATTTTGGATAATTTCAGACATCTATTTTCTGAAGTCTAACATCCTAGGACTCGTAGATATTTCACATTGTCAATCTATATGTCTATTATTTTTTCTGTCATATTTTAAATTTTTTTCCTTTGGCTATATGCTCTGCGGTAAAGCCAAAGAAATAAGTAATGATTTTAATGTAATAAATATATTATAAGAACAATATAATACATTTCTTCTATTAATGTTCTTCATTGTTATTATTATTTTAATTTAAACAAGCATGTTTTTAGTCTTTGAGTATTTAGGAATCTTCTTGGCTCTAGAAGCTTGACATTTAGGCTAACTAAAACTGAAATTAGTGACAAGAATGTGAGGCTTTCATAACAAAATCCAAAAATAAGTGATACTGGTTTAATTACCAAATGAGAAACAAAGAAAAAAATAACAAAAATCAGGAATTATCATATCCTCTTTTAGGCATGCATGACAAAGGTTAGTGGTGTTTTGACTTTTCCTTCCTGGTGTCTTTACAGGTA
This sequence comes from Homo sapiens, assembly GCF_000001405.40. NCBI lineage: Eukaryota > Metazoa > Chordata > Mammalia > Primates > Hominidae > Homo > Homo sapiens. The sequence continues at coordinate 161,077,084 of NC_000004.12, read as the reverse complement.
TTCTTTTGAGAATTTGGGACCTATTTTCATTGGAAATGTAAACCATGAGAATAAGATCCCAAAAGATTTACTAGGCTTTTTCATTATTTCTGAGTGATAGCCACTACATTTTGCGCTAAATGGTAACATGTTTTTAAGATATTCTATGATGACTATAGTGCTTTTGAAGTGCTGGACTAAACTAAAAAGGCATCAAGATTTTAAAGGCACATAAAAAGATATAGAAAGAGCTAATAAGACAGCCATTAACTTGGACTCTTCACTGAATGATGTACCGTACACTGTACCAAACGTTGTAAGAAATACGTTTTACACATTTTGTTATTGTGTGGGCATATGTTTGTTTTGATTTGTTTAAACACTTTTGTAAGATCTCAGAGCCCATTTAATAAACAAAGGTAGAAATAACAAATAGATTAATTAAATATTTACATAATTTTAATTCCCACTCAGTACTTGCTGCATTGAAGGCAAAGTACAAATAATTATTTTCTAGTTATAAACATCAACTGAATATTTGGAGCCTCAGATAAAATATACATTAAATAAAGGAAATTTATTAATAAAAAGTTTTTTTTCTTAAGTTACACAAAAGTGTTTTAATCTTAAACATTGAAAAGAGTATTTCCACTTACATCAGCAGAATTGAGCTTTACTTCCAGGGCAAAATTACCCAACAATATAATGAAAGTTCTCAGCTTTTTACATATCCAAAATCATTCCATTGCAAATCTATAACAAGTATATACATGTAAAATTTTTCTAAACATCAACAAATTACCTTTATATTGAAAGTACTAATACCACTTTTCTGTAGGTATACTTAAGAATATATCAAAATATTGTGTTTTAAAAGTCTTCAGTTATATGTAGATTTTTAATCTTGTCAAGCGTAATTTAATTTTGAAATTACTTGCATGTTTTAGTGTTTAGCGATATGTAAGTAGGTAAACAACTGTAATGATTTGTCATTTTCCAACACCATTACTTATTTTTTGGAAAAAAAATAATTAAATTGCATAATAAAATATTTATAATTTAAATTCATCAAACATCACTTAGTATATATGATACAACATGCTTTGAAATAGTGTCTTATATTTTTTAAAGTTTTAAAAAGCCATCAAGATACAACATTGAGATGCTTTAAAATTGCTTTTCACAAATGTAATAAGGGGATTTGTGTGTACAAGTATGTGGCTAGGGTGTTTAGAGAGAGTTAAAAAGGATAAATTTAATTTTTATTTTTTTAATCACTAATCTAATATATGGTCAACTTCAGAAGCTTGTGAAATAAATTCACCTTCCTTTCTCTTTCTAGGAAACATATTTTTCTCTGCCTTCTCTCTTTCCTTTCTTCTTTTTGGAAGACTATTTTAAATTTTGTACTACATTCTCTTTTATATATTTTTCTGCCAAATGCTATTAGTAAAGCTTAGCTAAGTTCCCATTTTTTCTATGATGATGTCACTATTTCTTCACACTAGAATTCATAATTTTTAGTTTGCAATGTCTCTGCATGTGTGGCCAGCTCCATTTTTTAAAATTGATTATTTTCTAATTATTTTTATTTCTACATTTGTCTTTCACTCTATGGAGGAAAGGAATAGAAAATGTGTTGCTGTATCGATCACATATTAATTACTTAATAAATGTCCATTTATTTGTATTCTAATGAACATATTAATAGCAGCGGTAGAGATTATTTACTGTCACAAAAATGGACTTTGGATACATGTTTAGAAAAATGAGTTAATAAATTATCAATTTTGTAATTTTTATTGCCTATATGTGGCAAAGGCCTTATTATATGTAGCAATGAGGGAAGAGATGGAGCCTTTTCTGGCTATTTCATGGTTAGAAGTTTGCTTGGAGAATGTGCTTTCCTATTTTTTAGAATTACTGGGAATCAATATTATCACTTCATACAATTCAGATATTGAGCAAAGTGGGCTCCAAATTACATAAGAGAAAGTAAAGTATGTAACTTCTTTATAACTAAATAATAGGCATAAATGGGTGTTTCTATCATGTGTTTCTCTATGTGCTTCATGTGTATTTATTGATTATTCCAGGCTGTTACCTTTTTCTTTTCCTTCTCACTATCAATATTATTCTTGGTCAGTAGGTGTCTTTGAAAAGATGCTTATAATAAAACATCCCTTCTTCTGAAACAGAAAAACAAAATTAGTTTTTCTGTTGGCCACATATTTACCAAGGGCAAAACTGTATACAAAGAATTGCCTAATGTAGTTTCAGTTTGAATCTTCTTTCTGAAAGAAAATAAATATTTTAAGTTAATAAGGGAAGAAGAGCATTAACCACTAAAGTGGTTGCTGCTGTTGTCCAATTTTATTACTCTTTTACTCATTTGGTGCTAAGCTTTAAAACTCAATTGTTTTAAATGATTGTCAGTTCGTCATATTTTCACTCTATTTTTCTTTAATACTTTGTTTTAAAAACTAAACCTATAGCAAAGTTTAAAAGGTTTTACTCTGGTCACTGTCATATTTAGCACCTAGAATAAACCTTTGCATTTTACTATACTTGTTTCTTCACGTATCTATTCATCTACCCAAACTTCTATCAATGAATACAGTTTGTGTTGTATTTCAAAGAAAATTGCTGATAGCAGTTCAATTCCACCTTAAGTTCAGCATATATATTTAAAAATATAGTTCAATATTTATTTATAGGTATTTAAACAAACTTTACATTACATGAAATACACAAATCTTTCTTTTACATTATTTTATTTTTGTCAGGTGCATATACTTTAATCCAGATCTTCATCATTGTATAAAATATGAACAAATGTTCACATCAGTCTTTAACTTTTAACCCATTTCATTCCAGAGACAACCATTATCATTATTTTTCCCACTGAAAATTAGGTTTACCTGTTCTAAAATTTAATATATTAATACACGTAATTATACATAAGGTATTCATTTGGTTAAGGTGTCTTTCACTCACCATAATATCTTTCAGATTTACCTATATTATTGTTATACTAGTAGTTTCTTCCTTTTTAATTCATTGAAATGAGTAGTATCTCATTGTAAGACTATACCACAATTTGTTGATCAATTCCTGTTGATAGACACTTAGGTAGTTCCCAGTTTTGTGGATTATGAATAAAGATGTCATGAACACTCTTATAGAAGTTTTGTGTGAGCAAGTATTTTTGTTTCTGGTAAGGAAATACCTTCAAGTGCAATTGTGTATGATAGGGTAAGTGTATTTTTCATAAGAAGCATCTAGAGCTTTTTCCAATGAGATTTTACCATTTTACATTACCACTACCAATGCCTGAGAGGTCTTCTTGCTCCAAGATATCACCAAGTCAGTCTTCTAATTATAGTTCTTCTGGTGGATATATGATATGATTGTACCCTATTTTAAACATATGTTTAAGAATCTTTGTGAATTTGGATTTAAATTCATAACATAAATATGTTATTTGGATTTAAATACATAACATAAATATGTTATTATATTTTCATCTAAATATGGAACACCTTTTAAACTAATATATCTGCTGTATTTTTATTAATTTCTCTAGAAGTTAGCATTCTACAAATTTTTAATCACTCATATTGTTATTTCTTAAGTAAATATTTGCGTCTTTTGCTCATATATTTACCACTTACCTTCTTATTTTTGCAGCATCTTAAAACTTTTGTCAGAAATTACTTTTTTTTTTACATTAGACTTCTAGAATCATTTCAATTTTTCTTTAGTGGGATTAATTTTTTCTCTCTCTTTTTCTCTCTGATAATCCATAAAGATAAAAGGTCATGCAATCACGACATAAAAATATTATATGTGAAATAGAAAAATCACAACAATAGTTGGAGATTGTAACATTTCTGTCTTGACAATTGGTAGAACAAGTAGTCAAAAAGAGTAAGTCTATAGATCTTAATACTAACAACCAACTTTACTTATTGACTTTTGTAAACCATTACATCCAACACCTTAAAAAACACACATTCTTTTTAGTGCACACTGCTATTTGTGAATATAAACAATATATTGAACCATACTGGACCACACATGAGTTACATATTTCTAATTAACTTTTGGGTAAGCAGATGTCACAAATGGCTTATAAGGTTTATCGAAACAAACAGAATACATAAAGAACATAATAAAATTCACGAGTTGCATCTAAATTATCCTTTAAAGAGGGATTTATAGCCTTATGTTCTTGTATCAGAGAAAAACCTGAAAACCAGAGATTTTTATTTCATCTTGTAAAGGTAGAAACAAAAAGGCAAATTAAACCAAAGTAAGTATAAGTAACTAAAAAATTGAATATAAAAACAGAAATCATGGATAGTAGAGAGACAAAGAGAACAAATCTGATACTTTAGAAAGGTTTGTTAACATGATGACCCTTAAATATGACTAATAGAGAACAAGAGAGAGAACAGAAAACACTAATATCAAGGATTAAAGATGGAATATCACCAAATATTCTCCAGACAATGAAAGAATACATTTATCCCAATTTTTGAATAACTGTATGCTAATTACTTCAACAACTAGATGAAATGGATAAATTTCTCAGTAAAACACAACTTACTCATACACAAATATAAGTAGACATTCTAAGTAGTCACATGTATATTTAATAAATTAAATTTGTATTACAAAATATCTCCACACAAAAAAATAACCCAAGACCAAGATATTTCACTACTGAATTCCGCCAAATGTTTAAGAAATTAACACTTTTAATCTCACACAATCACCATTAGGATACTGGAACATTTTCCAAATAATTTCATGAACCTAGTACAAAACTCATACGAACACCTGACAGAAACTGCAAGAAAAAATTTCCAGAGAACCATCCCTTGTGAATTTAGATGTAAAAGTCCTATGAAATTATTAATGCAAAGAATTTGGCAACATATTTCTGACAGAAGACAAATTAATTTGTATCCCAGAAATGGAAGATTGGTTACATCCATTTAATATACCACATTAAAACAACATATAACACGATTCATATGATAATCTCAACAATGAAGAAAAATCTGTTGGACCAAATTCAACACACTCTCATAGCCAACAACTTCAGAAAATTTGAGAAATATGAGCACTACCCCAAGTCGATATACAGCTGTCACATAAAACCTCAGCTAATAATATACTTAATGATGAAATATTGAACAAGACAAAGATGCCCTTTCACACTACTTCTGTTCAATACTGTATTGGGATGGTGGAGGAAAAAAGAAAAAAAATGCTGTTTTGGAACAAAAAAATTGCAATAGTAAATATTAAAATAAAAATAATATTGATTGGAAAGAAACCTTTCTATAAGTGAAATCAATATGGGTGTGATATGAAAATTGAAATTGAAATCTAATATAGCACAAAATTTATGGCATTTTATTTATCATAATTATACAATCATATTCAAACTTTATCTTTTTTTTTTACCTGAACAAAATTTAGTTGAAAATAAATTGAATATTTATTGGTTACTATAACTGTAAAATTAAGTTTAGTCAGGGCATATTTAATCCTCTCATTCCATATCATATAAGAGCCTGTTTATAATACCATTATTCATATTGCATAACCAAAAAGAACATAAAAGTTCTAGGGCAAAATTAAATATAATGCACAATGGGAAATAAGTATAAAAACAGAAAATTCAATTAATACAGTTTATGCTTATAAACTTTCAGAGGATGTATCTTTACCTTTCATATCCTTTGTGTATTTTTAGCTTGAAGAGTTAAATCATAAGAATGAGCTAAAGCTTTCATAATATTTGAAGTTTGTGAAAAGAGACAGCGAAAAATATATAATGCCCATCATAATGACAACATCGATTACAGGAAACAATGTAAAGATATAAATAATTTATCTTTGCTATATTCAAGTTGAGTCAATGTCAGAATGCCTAATTTGGGAATCTTACAAATAATGATTTAAGAATAATTTGAATAATAAAATAATGTATTAAATAGAGATAACTCTAGTCCTATACTTCATGGGATTTAGAAGATAGCTACTACAGTGAACTCACAATTGATAAGATGTTATGGGCAAAATAATTGTTAATTTTCTTGAAATCATGATTTAGATGTTGTGTATGTATAGTCACCAAAGTAAGATTTAAATGTGACACAATGAATAAATGATATGTGCAGAATGTTTTATGCTTTTTTCATTAGTAACAACAGAGACTTTTCAGGTACCTAGCTCCCAAGAGTTTATTGAAAATGCTTCTAAATTCATTTTGTTCTTTAACGTCTGTAAATTAGAAAGAAACATTTTACTCTTGTCAATCTTCACTTGAAATATCCTCTTTTTTAAAAAACCTTAAGCATAGAGATTGCAAATCGCATTTGAAAATATCTGCAGTTGCCAAAAAGATAAAGAGAAATAATTCTGTATAATTAAATGTTGTGTTGTACTTGCGGAAGGTTGAAGGATACTATGCTGTAAACTTGCATGGATCTGAAATTGAATATGAGTGGTATTGTTAAAAATATGACATATGGTTGATACCTAATTACTTAATTCCTAGTTGCCTCTTTTCATTAAGGCACAGGGTGTATATTTGGGTGGGTTTTCCAAAGCAAGCTTATATTGATATGAAATTTGAAAGTGACCAAAGAATTACAGAGGTTAATGTTAGAGAAATATGCCTGTGGATCAAAAGTAGACAGTAGTATGTAGGAACTGAAACTATGGGATTAATTGTATCCAGATCTAGAAGCAAAACAAACAGGGAGGGTTCTGATTCCAATATAGTAATTGATATTAAAAGGTCCCCATACGTCTTAAGCAACTGAAGTGAGGTTCAATGCATGAATCTCTTGTATAAAATAGTAGTTGCTTATTGATAAATTAAAGCCCCTCAATGTTAAAAAGCTGCATATGTTCAGTAGCACACACAAAAGAAGAAATAGGCAACAGAGAGAAAATGTGGGCAGAGCCTCCTAAGTAGCCACTGATTGGACATGCAATATGCAGTATGCTACCAAGAAAACAAGCTCACATTAGCAAAATCAGGCAGGGAAAGAAAAGATAAAACTTGGTAGGCATGGATATTAAGTCCAGAGAGAAAGAGAAATAAATTCCTGTATTAATGAACCTGAAAACTGAAGTTTAAAATGCAGGAGGACAATAGTACTAATAGTGTCAAAAACATTCAACAATCAGGAGATAAATTCTCTTTTAATTAATGTAAGTTACAGAGCCATCTCCATATAAGAATCAGATAGAAACAGTGAGCATTTCTTTGGTAATAAGATAATTTATTTTTAAATAATTTCTTGCAAGAATATAAAAGTGCCCATTGCAGGGCACTTGGGAGTAAATAGAGGAAGAGGGATGAGTAGAAGCAAGATTTCACACAACTTTCTGAATGCTTCCAGTATTTTAACATTACATTAACCTAATGTTAAAAATAAATTGATTAGTAGGTCCAGAAAATAATATTCACAGTAGGAATTGAAAGTTTTCCTTAGTATAAGAGTTGAAATATTAAAGAATAGGATAAATATGTATATAATGACAAATAAAACACATTCATAACTGTGAATGTGTTTTATTCAATGATAAATTGCTCATCAATATGGAACTGGGGAAAATTGGAGGTTCAGAGATTTGATAGTGTATTCTCAAGAGAACAATTACAAGGCATTTCAAAAGAAGAAAAGGGGAAATCTCAGGTAGAAAAGTGAAATTATTCTCTGAGACACTTACTTGCTAAAGAAACTCTTTCGTGTGTTTTTATCTTATAAAGGTGTTAATATTTTCCCTGACAACTGCCTTGTCCCTCTCTTTTCTGATTAGGAGAACATCACTTATAGGTTCCTGAAAATCATGTCAGATTTCCTGGGAAAAGACTAGTATTATTCTCAATGTAGAATGCTTGATATGGTATTAGAAGAAAAACAAATCCAAACATTTAGGTAGGAGACCAATAGGTTATATACGTATGCTGAGGGACATCTATTACTTAGAAGCATGAGGTATGTCTCAGGGAAGACAAATCTTTCTTTGGGGAAGGAAGGTAGAACAATAAATGTATTCCATGGAGGGGAGAGATATAAAATGGATAAATGATACCTCTTGGGTAGAATTATACAACTTAGGAGGAGAGGATAGAAAAGATTTGTTTGAAAAATGAATGTTTCTATCAACGTGAGAATTTGTAGAATTCATAGGTTTCACTGTGAGGGATTCTCAATGAAAAATATGGAGAAAAATTTTAGCAAAACAAATGTCTATGCCTAAAGGCAGGAGAGACAAATAAAAGGACAAAGATTTCGGGCCATAGCAAAGGAACGCTCTTAGGAAACAGTTAACATTTTAATAACTTTAAAAGTCTTCCTTACAGATATAGTTGAAAAATAAATGGGAAGTGGAACATAAGTGAAATATGTCACTGCTGAATAAAAATAAAAGACAGAAATGAATGCCTCTGATATTGTTGAAGTAGCACAAATTGCTCACTTATGGTAAGTTTTAAAGATGAAGTAAAGCAAGGTCTTAAGAACAGACCTTGGCAAAGCAGCTGTACTCTGGGGCACAGGCACTGAGAAAAGTTAAGAACCCTTTCTATTTAAAATCACTTAAGGCAGATATGAGCACAAAGGGATAAAATGTTTTTCCTGAAGGAAGACTCATTAGTTAAAAAAAATGCAAAGCATGATTCTCAATGGTACAATGGTAAAAATTGTCTAGGGAACCCTATGGATAGAGACATTCAGAGACAATGCAAAGTCAAGACAGAGAAGAATGTACAAACCCTCTTTAGAAAGTTTTCTGCATAAAGTTGGGGTGCATTGTTCACAGAGAAGTGGAGGCTATGCCTGATAGAGTGCACCACCTCTGTTTAGTTATAGCTTGCTAGGAACATGAGATAAGTACAAATTAAGTATATTATGCAGTTTACAATTCACATTGACAACCTGACAGTCACTTCCCCTCTCTTTCTCTCTTTCTAAACAGAACTGTGATTTCATTTGTCCATCTCCTGATGAAGATGAGTTTCAAGAGGAGACTCACTATTCTAAGCTAACCATTTTAAGTCCATTCTCATTTTGTGACAATAATTTAGGAGCACCATAAATATAAACCACCTGTAGCCAATGAGACATAAGCAAGATCATCCGAAATGAACTTCTGGAAAATTTTCCTCAATCTCAGAAGGAGATTTATTCCCTCCCCCTCACCAGAATTTCCAAGGGTTTATACCTTAATGAAACTGTCACAAGTCCCCAAGGGGAGCCAACTTCTACTTCTAATGGGGAGGAATGCTTGCATCTATAGGTTCCATTAGGTGCCTGCTGTGTGTCAAATATTTTCCTATGCATTTCACATGCATTTTTAGCACTTAACCTCCATATCCTCAGGACTATCTCTAGAAACATAGATGCTTAAGAAAATTATCTTTTACACAGAGCTTGCTAAACAGAGGGTGGAAATCAGACAGCTTGAACTTAAGAATAGAGTAAAAATGGATATTAAGATACTTGAAATATTGATTAGGAATATGTATTGTGTCAAATTCTGGGGTAAAAGAGAAATATAAGTTGAAATTTTCAACTTTTTTTCTATTTTTAAAACTGGAATTAATAATCTGGGGTAGTAAGTTTCTTTGTTGCTGTTAAAAAATAAAAAGAAACTATAAGAGCACCTTTCAGTTGTACTCACATGAAGCAAAGATTCTCTGTAGTCCAGAGAATTTTTGGAATAGCTTCGAGAAGCTGCACAAATCAAAACTGCTTTGAGGTCTTCGCTACTTACATAAAGGAGAGACACATTTACCTTTAATAGAAATGGGCTTTGTGGAGAGGAAAAGGATGGAGAGAAAATTGTCAGTTGAGCATTATTCACCCCTCTTGAACTCCCAGACTGATTTTGAGCCTCTATTTTCATTTTGATGTCTGCAGTCAAAATCCAGGGAATTTTCCAAAATCCCTAATAAAATATCGAATATTTGACATCATTCCTTCCCCAAGGGTAAGAAATATTTTCAATATTTGACATTGTGCGGTTAAACATATTGCTGCCTTACGTAGAAAAGTGGGTTGAATACTTCTCTCATTGTTTTAGAATTATTTTCCCTTCTTCCATTTGCTATATTTGATCTCTATAATTCTGGTATGTGTTTGGCCATAGACTAGTGATCATATCACCCAGGTCTTTTGTAACATTCATTCCTTCAGAACTTAACAATGGGAAATAACACAGGTGTCAATTGGACAGAGAGATTTGAGGGAAACTCTCAAATTAGAGTGAAAGTTTCAATCTGTCTACTGCGAAGAAGCCTCATTCTTTCTGCTCCTGTATCATAACACAGAGGCCTATGTGAAGTACATAGACTAAAATTAGTTCAATCTAAAGGGATTTATTTTTACCAATAAAATTGTGTTTCTTCAAAATGCATAACATTGATACAGATTTGAGATGCTGCCAGGTCCACTTCTCATTAGTTTTTTTTTTGTTACTTGCAATGATAGAATCCCCTTATGTATTGGCAGAGTGTTGTGCCAAGGCATCTTTCTAGTTTACTTCAGGAACCTCAAGGAGTAACAAACGGTGAAGAAAAAATATTGATATTAGGAGAATAAAGACCAGAAACTTTCTCCTTGTTGTTGTTGATGATGTTATTTGTTTGTTTTCTACTACAGACATTAACTAAAACACTGCTCAGAGTGAAATTCCAAAGCTGAAAGAACATTTAATGAGAGAATTTTAATATGTACACTGTGGCTTGGGTGGAAAAATAACGAAAATGAGTAGCAAAATGTTTTCTCTGGATATGAAAAGAATAGAGAACTATTCTGACATTCAGGATTGAGATATCTGGGAGCAGCACTTTTGCTGTAGACCAGAGGTTCCCAAACTTTTGCAGCTAACAGAGTCCTTACTCTGGCCTGATCACTACCAGCTAGTGATGTCATTGCCATCATAATATCATAGTGCAAGGCATTACTCACATGTCTGTGGTGAAATAAACCTACTGTACTTCCAATAAATGTACAGCACATACACTTATGTACAGTAAAAAATGGTTCTTCTCCATAAAATAAATACTAATCAATTTTATTTATTAAGTAGTTAACCTAAACAGTACAGCCATTTTAAAACAATACATATAAATTGTAAGAAAATATTTTATTTCATTATTAAAAAACCACAATGTCTTATAAAATGGATATATTTACCTTTTGCACACTTTATAGCTTCTCAAATTTTGGAATTAGATTGGACACCAGTATCCCTAAAATCTGTTTTGTGGTAGCTTTCCCTCAGTACTTGATTTTTATTATAGCAATTTCTGAAAACACAGATTTGCAAAGACATGATGCCATTGAAAGGAATTCAATGTGCATTAATACTGAACTGTGAAGTATCGTGTGATGTATGATGTTTAGTAACTCTGTTGAGTGTTGCTGTGTTTTTCTTGAAAATTATGAAATGCAATGCATTATTCCATGGGAATTGGGTGAATTCACTGTTGCAACCTGAGCACCTCAGCACACATTTTGGGAACTTCAAGCATAGGCATTGCTATTAACTCTCTGGATATAAACCAACACAGCTAACTCCTCCTCCAGAAATGTTAAACTGTCATGAATACCAATGCCTTGCCAACAAAGATATAATATATGTATATAAATATAAAATTGAAACAATTATACTTTTAATTTTAAATTAATTATAATGAATCTGGTGACTTAGCATGTGGTTATTAGTTTTAACCTTATAAGAATAAATCACATTAGTAATTAAACTTCTAAAAATAAATTTCCTGGATTATGTTTATTTATTTACACATCCCTTATATCACATGATATGCCAAATCTTTATTAGAATAATTTTCAAATTCTATTAAATGTTAATATCTTCAATACATCTAGAGCTTGCCTTTTGTACACATAGACACGAACATATACATATTTTGTTAGATGGCTAAGTTTCTTGAAAATTAAGTCTACTGTATGATTACTGCATGGTATATTAATTTTTAAAATAAACACATTTAATGCTTGCTATGTGCCAAGCAGTATTCTAAATGTTAATTTGTTCCTGCCTCATAACAACCCTATGTTACTGTAATTTACATTGTTAAGCTGAAATCAAGCAGAGCCATACCTTTTTATAAGATGCAAAGATGATAACTAACAATTCCTTATTTTTTGCTAGATGGAGAAACTGTCTTAAATGCTTTAAATATATTAAATACTTTAATATTTACAATTACAACCATGCCCTACATAATGACATTTCTGTCAAAGAGGGGCGGCATATACAACAGTGGTCCCATAAGATTATAATGCAGTCAAAAACTTCCTACCACCTAGTGATGTCATTGCCGTCATAATGTCATAGTGCAAAGCATTACTCACGTGTCTGTGGTGAAATAAACAAACCTACTGTACTTCCAATAAATGTACAGCACATACACTTATGTACAGTACAAAATACTTGATTATGATAATACATGACGATATTACTGGTTTATGTTTTTATTTTGTTTCATCATTTTTTAGAGTATACACCTTCCACTTATTAAAAAAATACTTAAAAATAGTCTCAGGTGGGTCCCTCAGGAGGTATCCCAAAAGAACACATTGTTATCACAAAAGATGACAGCTCCATGCCTCTTATTACCCTCAAAGGCTTTCCAATGGGAGAAGACGTGGAGGTGGAAGACAGTGACACTGATGAACTTGACCCTGTGTAGGCCTAGGCTAATAAGGGTATTTATGTCTTAGTTGTTAACATAAAGTTGAAAAAGTAAAAAAAAAAAAAAAAACACTACAAATACAAATAGAAAAAGCTTATAGAAAAGATACAAATAAGAAAATATTTTTGTATAGCTGAATAACGTGTGTTTTACTTAAGTGTTACTACAAAAAATCAAAAAGTTAAGAAGATTAAAAAGTTTGGCTGGGCACAGTGTCTCACGCCTGTAATCCCAGCAATTTTCGAGGCCGAGGTGGGTGGGTCACTTGAGGTCAGGAGTTCGAGACCAGCCTGGCCAACATGGTGAAACCCCGTATCTACTAAGAATACAAAAAATTAGATGGACATGGTGGCGCTTGCCTGTAATCCCAGCTACTCGGAAGGCTGAGACAGGAGAATTGCTTGAACCCAGGAGGTGGAGGTTGCCGTGATCTGAGATCGTGCCATTGCACTCCAGCATGGGTGATAGAGGAGACTTGGTCTCAAAAAAAAAAAAAAAAAAAAAAAAGGTTTTAAAGTAAATGTTACAGTAAGCTAAGATCAGTTTATTATTAAATAATTTAAAATACTTTTACAAGTTTAGTGTAGCATAAGAGTATATCATGTATGATGTCTACAGTATTGTAATGTCCTAGCTCTTCATATTCACCACTCACTCACTGACTCACCCAGAGCAACTTTCAGTCCCATAAGCTTCATTCATGGTAAGTGCCCTACACAGGTGTACCGTTTTTTACTTTTATATCATGCTTTTACTATAACTTGTTTTGTGTTTTGATATATTTAGATACAGAAATATTTAACATTGTGTTATAATTGCTTATGGCATTTAACACAGTAACATGCTATACGAGGTTGTAGCTTCAGAGCAGTAGGCTATTCCTTATAGCTTAGATGTGTAGTAGGCTACACTATCTAGCTTTGTGTGAGTACACTCTATGATGTTTGCACTATGACAAAATTGCTTAAAGACCCATTTCTCAGAGCTTATCCCTGCCCTTAAACAATACATGACTGTACATTAGGAAACTGAAATAGAGAGATTAATTCTGTGCCTTAGGCCTCAAAACCATCTAGTGATAAAGAAAAATAAAATCAAGTAGAATGAGAGAGAGAAAAAGAGAGAGAAAGGGAGGAGGAGAGAGAAAAAGAGAGAGAAAGGGAGGAGGAGAGAGAAAAGGAGAGGGTAAAAGAGGAAGGAGGAGAAGTAGGAGCAGCAGGAGGAGAAAGATTTGAGGCAGTTTATACAAATGCATCTAATTTTAAATATTAGAAAAAATCAAGGTCACATTCAATGATAACAAAAAAGATAAATTCACTTTTTAATTATTTGACTTAACCATTTGATTACTTCTCCTAGTAAAGCATGGAGTTCTTATTCAATTTTATCATGAGATTATATATTCTTAGTTAATTTATTGCCTGCTTTTATTTGTTGTATTTGTTTTTTCATGAAGTAATTTTTAAGAAACTATGCTTATTAGGCATGGTGAAAGTTTGATTTATATGTATTATTTTATTTATTAAATTCTAAGATCAATTGTGTGAATTATTGTCCTCATTTTATCAATGAGAAAGTTAATCTTTCACAGGTTAATTAAACATTTTTTCCAAATAATTTTTGCTTAGCATTGACCTGAAACAAAGCAAATTATTTAAGATGCCAAAGCTCAGATCTTATCTGCTACAAGATACACAATATAATTTAAATTACTTTGTATAGTAAGATTTTTTGTTTGTTTGCTTATTTGTTTTGAAATTACCAGGATGTATTTGTAACTGGCCATTTTATGCTAAGAATACAGTTATAATTTTGAGTCCTACAAAAATAGAATTAAAGGATTGAAGTAACCCCGGTGAGATCATCTAACGTTTTTTCTACCTTTTAAAAAAGATTCTAACAGATTTTAACCTGTGACTATTCATCATATTTTCAGAATCTCCAGGGAAAGACCAGGCACATCTTTCTTCAAATTGCTCTGTCATTTTTTTAAACACCACTTACATTCCAAAAACATATCTTCAAACAAATCTCTCTCACTTAATTTTAGCTCTTTTCTTATTTTGCTTTCCAAGGACTTGAAGAGAGAATCTCTAAATCACGTCTCTTCATATGTAGGACAACAAGTGTTTCCTATTAACAGGTTAAGAATTTTTCCATTTTTAAACTTTTTCTCGTAAGTCTTTTGTTCTAACTTTTTAATCTACTCTGTATCACCATTTTTAGATTTATAATATCAGAAACCGAACTAGAAAATTACCGAACAATGTCTAAGTGTAATGGGAGGATATTAAGATTTCTACATAATAGTTATATACCCAATGTGCTGTGCTCTCTCTCTCTCTCTCTCTCTCTCTCACTTTCATATTTTCTCTATTTTTTTGAAGATAGGTGGGTTTTCTCTACAAGTATTTATGTAGTACACGACAATGATAAATGATTTACTCAGTTTGAATTATAATTTTAAATTTACATTAATAGTAGCAATACTGACCAGAATAATGAGCCATCTGTTTGGTTGCTCTTTTATGTGACATATGCATATGTTAGTTACTCTATATACATTTATATTTCTCACATAAACTCTGAAAATCTCTGTTACCATCCCAATATTAAATAGGTAGGAAACAAGATTAAGAGAGGACAATAAAATTGCCTGTGATTGCACAGTTACTAATGCAGCCTGGATTTGAACCACTTGTATCTATGAATTTAATTTCCTTGAAATAGCCATGTACTCAGAAGAGTACTCGGAATCCTTGCTTCCTGTAATGGTGGATAAAACAATGTATAATATGGTCAATGTTCTCCTTGAGAACAACCAAGCTCATTCAAAAACATATTTTATCTTCTTGAAAATACCAAAGATCTAACCATTCAATGAAGAATTTCTAGGCCATGATTTGAGGAATAAATCAAGCAAACAACAAACAAAAAAAAGTCATACTAATAACCATGGATTCTGAAAGCATTTATAATCAAGGAAGAAAGAACTACAAATGAATCTGTTTTTCATCTATGGAACTTAAAAAAAATGAGATATGAAACATTTTGTGATGCTGATGAACCATTCAGTATGTTAACGTAGGACTCAAAGATCTTTGTCATCAGTTAAGGTTTAACTGGATTAAAGCAGGCTGCCATGCATTAAAGCCTGTCTTTACATGGTCTTTTAAAGCTTTAGCTGAAAAAACAAATCCCAAACTTACATTAATATGATCAAAGATTGCATTAAATATAAGTAAAGGATATCATCTTTGAAAGAAGATATAATCACACAAAAGTGAAATAAGCAAGGATAATTAAAAGTATTTTTTATACAAGGTCTAATATGGAGTACAAATGACCAGACATAAAAGGAAACAAGACACTGTAATTAAGAATGAGCATAATCCACAAATTGAAATATTTCCCCGAGGACTATTTGGAAATATCGACCACAGCCTACAAATACAAATTATGATTACTATGTAGTAAGAAATAAAATGCACGTTTTCACACTTTTATTAGACTTGAAAACAATAAAACAATTTTAAAAGGCATAAAATATTTTAAAAAATAAACCAATGCACACCAAAACACAACCAAAATTAAAAACTGAACGGATATGTTTCACAGAAGTTTAGGCAGGGCTGAATGGAAAATTGGTGAACTTGAAGATAGAGCACATACAACTATCTACACTGCAGCATAGAAAGAAAACAAACATAGATTTGCCATAAAGCAAGTCTCCAAAATTTCAAAAGGACTAATAGCTTACCAAATGTTTCTGCTGTATACATTGTAACTAAGTTGAAGATACTTATATTCTTAAAAATTAAGAAAACAATTTAGAAATACTA
The DNA here is from genome assembly GCF_000001405.40 of Homo sapiens. Taxonomy (NCBI): domain Eukaryota; kingdom Metazoa; phylum Chordata; class Mammalia; order Primates; family Hominidae; genus Homo; species Homo sapiens. Next base: position 161,060,503 of record NC_000004.12, on the reverse strand, counting down.
TGTGGATTCAATAAAAACCATAATAGAAATAGGAAAATATTATCATTTAAAATACTATTTCAAAGAAGTTAAAAGAGGGTTTATGAACTCAGTTTTGAAAGTAGAAAAAAATTATAAAAGTGGGCAAAGGATGTGAACAGACACTTCTCAAAAGAAGACATTGATGCAGCCAACAGACACATGAAAAAATGCTCATCATCACTGGCCATAAGAGAAATGCAATTCAAAACCACAAGGAGATACCATCTCACACCAGTTAGAATGGCGATCATTAAAAAGTCGGGAAACAACAGGTGCTGGAGAGGATGTGGAGAAATAGGAACACTTTTACACTATTGGTGGGACTGTAAACTAGTTCAACCATTGTGGAAGACAGGGTGGCGATTCCTCAAGGATCTAGAACTAGAAATGCCATTTGACCCAGCCATCCCATTACTGGGTATATACCCAAAGGATTATAAATCATGCTGCTATAAAGACACATGCACATGTATGTTCATTGCGGCACTATTCACAATAGCAAAGACTTGGAACCAACCCAAATGTCCATCAATGATAGACTGGATTAAGAAAATGTGGCACATATACACCATGGAATACTATGCAGCCATAAAAAATGATGAGTTCCTGTCCTTTGTAGGGACATGGATGAAGCTGGAAACCATGATCCTCAGCAAACTATCACCAGGACAAAAAACCAAACACTGCATGTTCTCACTCACAGGTGCGAATTGAACAATGAGAACACTTGGACACAGGAAGGGGAACATCACACACTGGGGCCTGTAGTGGGGTGGGGGGAGCGGGGAGGGATAACATTAGGAGATATACCTAATGTAAATGACGAGTTAATGGGTGCAGCACACCAACATGGCACATGTATACATATATAACAAACCTGCATGTTGTGCACATGTACCCTAGAACTTAAAGCATAATAAAAAAAGAAAAGAAAAAAGAAAACCGCACAATGAGATTAGAAGACAGAACAATTATAGACTATTTTATATCAGTGATCTGCCAACTTTTTGTTTAAAGGGCCAGAAAGTAAACATTTTAAACTTTCTATGCCTATGATCTTCACTGAAACTATTAGAATATGCAGCTGTATCCTGAAAACAGCCACAGAGAATACATAAGCTAAAGACTGTAATCGTGTTGCAATAGACTTCTATTACCAAAGTACATGGTTGTAGTGGGCTGAATTAGACTCAAGTGGCCTAAATTAATGATTTTTGAGCTTGAAGATGAGAATAGCTATCAGTCATTATGGGAGAGATTTTAGCAGGAAGAGTATTAAGAATTCAGTGCTTGACGTGTTAAGCATGAGATGACGATTTAACATCTTAATAGAGATATTGAGAATGGCCTTTGGTAAAATATTATGCAATTCATGAGAGAGATTTAGCTGGATATATAAATTGGAAGTCATTAATATTAAAATATGAGACAATGCTGGAAAGTATGCAGCTAAACAGCTGGTCTTCCCTTCATTCAGTTTCCTCTTACTAAGGAAAATAAAGAAGGCAAATTACTTGGTAAATGTCCTTATAAATATAATAATGATAATTTTCCTGAAAAATAAACAAATGATTTTGCTAGTTGAAGGCTCTATCTGTGATTGATTTTAAAAGGATATACCTGATTTAGAATTGATTACAGTAAACCTGTCATCTATGAATTTATGTGGGTGGCCCATGGGATATGTCATATAAATTATTTAATAATCTGAATATACATGATTTAACTTATTGACCACAATGACTCCTTCTTTGTAAATAATCTCAACCTCACACATCACTTAGAGACTACTTGTGTTAATTTTTTAATTAGTTCGGAGCAGGTCCAGTGTAGAATAAAAGAACCATTGGAACTGTGTTGATAGTCCTAGAGGTCTTCCTACTTATTTGTGCCTCAATATTTATTAGTTACCCTGATACTGGGTAGTATTTCTGTTTCATATGAGCCTAGTTAATAATATGATCCTGTGTATTCTTTATAATATCATTACATATGATAAGATTAATACAAGGGTAAGTTTAGACAGAGAAGAGAACCAAGAACTGATATCCCAAAGGTACTACCATAGTAAATGTCGGATAGAAGAGAGGTAATAGGAAAAGAGGACTGATATGGAATAATCAATAAGGTAGGAGAAAATTAACAGTGTAGGCTAAGTTAGAAGCCAAGTAAGACAGTGTATCAAGGAGGTGAGAGTATTGACTGTGTCAAATGTCACACATAGTTATTGGAATTTAGATAACCCATAAAGTACTTTGGTGACCTTGGGAAAAGCAGCTTTGGCAAAATGGCCAGAGTAAATGCTCAATTTAAGACATAATTTGAGAGAGTTATTTGAAGACAGCGAGTATAGACAATTATTTCACATGGAGTTTTGCTACAAAGAGGAGGAAGTTTATTAGAGTTGTGGGCCAAAAAGTTTTATTTAAGATAGGAAAGAGTGTTTAAATACATTCCTATGATGACTGATACAATCTATCAGAGAGGGAAATTTTAGTAACTAAAAAAGCAAGTAGAGAAATGTTACAGCAATATCTGTGTAAGGAAGACAAAGGAAATTTGGGACATAGACTGAGTAATTGGCATTACATAGGTAAATGAAGATTTCATTTCTCATGAAGGGCAGAAAGTTACTTTATACTAATATAGATGATGGCATATGAATAGGTGTAGTGGTGACAGTCTGTCAATATTCTCTTGTGATTGCCTCAACTTCCCGAGGAAAGTAAGAACGATAGGCATTATATGAGGGTAAATGAGGTAGAAAATGTTGGAAGTTTTAGTAAAGAAAAGGCAGTGTAAGATAACATCTAGAACAACGGGAGAGCAAATAGTATGGTTTGGTTGTCTGGCAGCACAAGAACCCACTTTTGTTTTTTGGTCGTATATTTAAATATTTATGTGCATTTTCTTTAGTCACAATCAGCAATGCATAGTTGCAAGATAAGAGAAATAAGAGATTGAATAAACCATGATGTTATTCTGTCAACAAATGAAGGCGTAAGCTAGGTCCCTGGAATTCAACAATAGTTATGAGGGAGTAGTAGTAATGATTGCATATGGAATTGAAGTAGGATGAGAAGGATGGAGAGCACCTCCAGTAGTGCAGGACCACGGGAATATGGAATGGACAATAGTTTGGAAGTTCTAGTTGAATTAGGGGACACTGGAACTAACTTAGAAAGACAGAGGTGGTATTAGGGAGTATTATGCATGAAATGGTAATACCATAAAAGCATTACAGTTATTAGTAATGACAGCACCTCAGGGATGACTCTGGTGTTGAATGGAGGAATTTAAGGGACTTAATTCTAGTTGCTGTAAATATTATCTACACATAAATTGAAATAGATAAGAACTAATATTGGAATTAGACATAGTACTTTGATCAGTTTGACTCATCTAGAAGTTCCAGTGAAAGATCAGTTATTCATAGATAGAATGATAGATGATAGTAATGAGTTATATAATCTGATGACAGGAGAATGAAAAATGGAGTTTTTAAGGATGGGCAGAAGAAAAATGGTCTGAAAGGATTAATTAAGAGCAAAGAGAATGCCTATGTTCAGGCTCAGAGTCAAAAATGCTATGACATAAAAAGGAACCACAACAGGAATATGCAGGTATCTTCTCTCTCTGGAAAAAGCCAGGTGAACGAAACAGTTGGAGAGAAGATTGAGGATGTGGATCATTTTGCAAATAATGGACTATGAATTCCAAAAGAAACAGTGAAATATTTCACAAGGTAGGACGTGAGAAAGGAGGAAAAAATAAGGGATAAATACACACATTACAAAAACATTAAAATGGGCCAGCACGGTGTCTCACGCCTGTAACCCCAGCACTTTGGGAGGTCTAGGCGGGCGGATCACTTGAAGTCAGTTCAAGACCAGCCTGGCCAACATGGTGAAACCCCATTTGTACTAAAAGTACAAAAAAAATTAGCTGGGAGTCATGGCACATACCTGTAATCCCAGCTACTTGGGAGGCTGAGGCAGGAGAATCACTCTAATTTAGGAGGCAGAGGTTGCAGTGAGCCACTACACTCCAGTCTGGGTGAAAGAGCGACTCTCTGTCTCAACAAATAAAATAAAATAAAATAAAATATACAAAAATTAGCCAGGCATGGTGGCAGGTGCCTATAAACACAGCTACTTGGGAGGCTGAGGCAGGAGAACCACTTGAACCAGGGAGGCGGAGGTTGCAGTGAGCCAAGATTGTGTCACCGCACTGCAACCTGGGCACAGAGCAAAACTCCACCTCAAAAAAAAAAAAAGGAAAAACATTAAAATGTCTTATAAAACTATTTTGGTGATAATGTGGAGCAATGGAAACATTGCTGTTAGCAGTTTAAATTGGTATAGCCACTTTAGAAAATAGCTGGATGCTCTCTGGTCATCTAGTAAGGTTGGTTATAGAAATAACTCATGTGCCAGCAATTCCATTTCTAACTTTATGCCCTAAAAATGCATGCATATGTGCGCCAAAAGGCATGTGAAGAATATAACAGCATTGTCTAAAATTTCCCCAATCCAGTAAATATCCATGTTTCTATCAAGAGTTGAAATAATAAATTATTCGTGGTGCAATAATAAATAGAATAATGCATAGCAAGTAAAAAGTACGATGAGAGCTGCAAACAACTTGCGTAGCTAGCTAATATAACATTAAGTGAAAGAAGCCAGACACAAAATAATATATACGGTGTTTGCTATCTATTCATATATCACTGAATTCTAGAAAAAAAATCTATGCTGTTTAAGGATACATTGAGACTTGGTAAAACGATAATAAAGACATGAAAGAGATTGCCAAAAATGTTAGAATAATGATTACTTCTTGTAGACAATTAGAGGGTTGTCAATGAGAAAGGCCATTTGAGTGGCTTCTGGGTTGCTGACAATATTCCATTTCTTGACTTATTTGATAATTCCAAAGGAATTTCTTTCATAATTATTCCTTTTACTGAAAATGCATTATGTGCTTATCTACATGTCTGACATTTTACAATAAAATTAAACATACGAAATAGTGCTGAAATTGGGGGACTAGTGTTTTAATCCTAATTTGGTAGTTTCTTTTGATATAACCTTGGTAATATCACTTAAAATTTTAGCTCTGCTTCTCATTTTCTCTTTTTAAAATGTATAGATGGGAAATTGAAATCTCCATCTCATCTCTCAGTCTCATCGTCTTATTGGATGTAATTTATACTGACACTATTCTCATTTCACTTCATATTCATTCATTCATTCAAGAAATACATGTTGAACATCTATTGCTAGGCATTATGTTAAGCACTGGGTGAATAGTGATACATAAACACAATCTGGGAATGGTAATATTTTTTAAAATGTGTATTTACACTCACATACAAAATACAAGAATAACATAAATCTAAATCTGCCTTTCTTGACTAGGAGGCTCAGGTAAGCAAACAGTTCAGCTGCTGTGTATGTATGCCATGAGCAGAGTACATCATGCTAGGCAGCTAGATAACCCAGGTATTTGTTATTTGTTTTCCTTAGAGAGGGAAAGAGAGAGAGAAGTACGTCAAGAAACAAGGAACCAGATATTTATCTCCAAGTAATTTAAAGTTTTCAATGTAGTAAATCACAGACCAAATTGGGTAGATGTGCAATGGAGTTTAGAAACCGTTACATGTCATTCCATTTTATTTTTACTATTTTATTTTATTTTAGACACAGAGACAGACAGAATCCGGCTGGAGACTCGCAGGTTGGAGTGCAGTGGCAGGATCTCGGCTCACTGGAAACTCCGCCTCCTGGATTCAAACGATTCTCCTGCCTCCACTTCCCAAGCAGCTGGGATTACAGGTATAGGCCACCACGCCTGGGTAATTTTGTATTTTTAGTAGAGACGAGGTTTCACCATGTTGGCTAGGCTGGTCTCGAACTCCTGGCCTCTTGTGATCTGCCCACCTCGACCTCCCAAATTTCTGGGATTACGGATGTGAGCCACCGTGCCTAGCCTGCATTTTAACGATGAATAAACTAAGCTCAAGAGATTTCATGTAACTTGTTCAAATTTTAAAAGCTATGTCTCAGCAGTGCCAGGGGAAGCAAAACAAAGCAAAAACCACAAAATATTGAACTTGTTGAAGCACTTTTACATGCTTTTGCAGCATTCATTTACATACAAACAATGTGATAATTGCATTATTCATATTTATTTATTAGAGTAGGTCCAGGAGGAATTATAACAGGCTACATTTTGCAAACCTAATTTCCAGACTGACACAACAAAAAGCTTCTCCTTCAATTATTTAAATTAATGAGGTTTTACTCTATGTTTATAACTGACCTTCAAAAGAAATTTATGAATTGCCTTACTTTAAAAATGGCTTTGGGTCTTTGTCTTTATATGAAATTATACCTTGAAATCATTCAAAGATGAAGAACTAAATTATCTTCTTTATTTCACAGCAGGTGACTAATATTCACTGAACCAGAATGATGATTTCTGGGAAAGTGAATGCGCTAAAGATTCACTAAAGTTAAATTAAGTACTTACCATCTCGTTAGACACTTATCGGGGTGGTATCATTCTCTCCCCTCTCCTTCCCTTTTGCCTTCCTCTACCCGCTCTTCTTCCCGCTTCTTTCTTCTTCCTAAAGAAATAAACACAGTTAATTGTGTCCTTGTGTACCTCCCATTTCTTCCAATTGCCTATGCAAAAGAAACATCTTTTTTTTTTGGTCTGTGAGAGGATCTTGACATCAAAACTAAAAACTCAGACTAAACCAGAGTACATGAACAGTGCATTTGCCAGTGACAATATTTTCAAAACAAGTAACAGAATATATGAATAAAAGTAAGTAACTGGTAAAATAAGATTTTTTAAAAAATAATTTTAATTACAGACAAACAATATGAAGCAAATGGTTCAGGATTAGGTAATTCAACAGAACCACGATGATAATTTTGTGTGTCAGTTTCTCTGAGGTCTTCTTGGCTTTCTCTCCAAGACCTAATGCTGACTTCTGCTACCCTAAGCAACATGATCTCCCATGATGACGGCCAGTTAATTCCCAGGGCAAAAAGAAAAAGGGAGAGAACTCTCCTTGAAAGTTATTTCTTTCTAACAAAGATTTCCAGAAACTCCTATTGCAAATTTCCCATGGGAACTGTTTGGAAAGGACTGTGTTGGATGCAGTACCTCAGCTGTAAAGAAGGCGGCCACCAGTCGCTGCCATGATACATTTACCAGATTTCACTCAAAACTTGGAAGATGCTGAATATGAAAAAGGAATATGCACACCAAAGTTTACTAATTCATATCACCTGCCATCAAATCTATGTAAATGTAGATATTACTGGGGTAAATGCCACAAATTTATCTCATAAACACCATTTCCGAATGTACTGCATGGTAATAGGCAAGTTCATAACAATCATTCTTTTATTGACATTGGTAGTAAATAACAGAAAGTGGAAACATCAGAAAATAACCCTTTCCCTCTGATACCGTTTGGATATTTGTCCTCAACAAATCTCATGTTGAAATGTGGCCCCCAGTATTGAAGGTGGGACCTAGGGGGAGGTGTTTGGGTCATGGAGGCAGATCCCTGATGAAAAGCTTGGTGCCTTCCCCAGGTTAATGAGTTCATACAAAAGCTAATTGTTTAAACAGCCTGGCACCTCCCCTCCTTGCTCCCTTTCTCGCCGTGTGACACGCCTGCTCCCCCTTCACCTTCTGCCATGAGTAAAACCAAGCAGATGCTGGTGCTATGCTTGTACAGCCTGCAGAAACATAGTGAAATTAACCTCTTTTCTTTATAAATTTCCAAGTCTCAGGTATTCCTTTATAGAAAGCAACACAAATAGACTAATATACCTTCTGATTCATTTGTGCCTTTAAATTAACTGTTTTGATAACAACTGCAATAACTTACAGTGTTATGTATTTATAAGTGCTTTACATTAATTAATTAATCTTTACAAAAACCCAATGAGATGGAGCCTATTATTATTTCCATTTTATAGATGAGTAAACTAAGTCAAACAGGGAAAATAATTGTCGAAGATCATGATGGCAACCACTCTGTCAAGAATGAGAAACCACCCAAATACCTACAGAAATCCGACTTCTGAACTGGTGGCTATATTATGGTGTTTATGTATAGGTATATATATATATATATATATGTGTGTGTGTGTATATATATGTGTGTGTGTATATATATATATATATATATAGAGAGAGAGAGAGAGAGAGAGAGAGAGAGAGGCATATATTGGCAACAAAATCACAGTTCTTTTCAATAGCAATAAAAGCAGTGTTATTATTGCCAAGTGGTGGTGTTTATATATTTTGTGTTCTGTTAGGAGACAAAAGATTTAATAAACATTTTGGACAGCAGTTATGTAATATTTGTTAAATGACTGATCAGGCTAACTCATTTAATGTTCATAAAACACGTTGAATGGGTATTGTCATAATTTCTCTTTCACAGATGAGAATATTGCAGCGTGAAACATGCCTAAGTGACCTGACCAAGTAAAGATGGTATTGCAGTTACTCGAGGCAGTCTGGCTAGAGTCTGCATATTCTTAACCATAGCGTTATATGGCCTTACATGGCTGAATATAATTTTTGGAAGCCTTGCTTTTCCATTCACCAATTGGGAATCACCAGGTGCCTTCCTTCTCTTCCCAAACTTGGTTGTACACTGTTGCAAGTTTCAGAAGTGTGATATGTCATATAAAATTCCAAGTAATTATTTACATTTAAACGTGAGCTTACAACTACTTACACAGACACCATAATATGTTTAACCTATTAAAAACAAGTTTTTGTAAAAAAAAAAAAATCTCTGCAAAGGAGTGGGTGGATAGTATACATCTGATATTTCTTTTTTTCTGAGTAGCAAAATTGTAAATTCAACTGCTTCTATGATCCATCTTGTTTCTTTGACAAATTATAAAAACATTTTGGAGGATTATTTAAAATGTATGAGTTTGGATATTATAACATGAATAAGGATTGCTGATTACTTGGAGATAATAACACATAAACATGTACATTCATATCATTACATAAAAATTGTGCTTTTCATTCTCAACTGAGCATCACTGTTGTTGTCAATCATTCTTTACATCTCTTAGCTTGGTTTGTCAACTAATCTTTCAATTTTCCATGAAGTTATTTTAAACTTACTCCATTCTTGTATATCCATGAGAAAGCTCCTTGTTTCTGTGATATATCCTTTAGTCCCCTAACCTTGAAATAAAGGGGAAATGGGGTAATCTACTGTGTAGAGCAGTAGACATTTGTTTATTGTTTATTACTCATAAAATATCTAAACATTTTATGTTTTCAAATAATAATCTAATCTCAGATAAATTGGCAATATTGAAGAAATATATCTTCCATTTTTCATTTTGGAGGATGGAAGATTTTAAAATCATTCTCTGAGATGTGTTTTTATATTTCCTAATTAAAAACTTCTCTGGGAAATACCGAACTGCAAGCAACTTTAAATTATAGCACAGAATTGCTTTACATAATGTAATTGCTATTTTCTTCCTGTAACATCTTTACCCACCCATAATATTTGTAAGCCATTTCCATAGATTCTTCATGAACAGCTCATCTGGACTTGCACTTGACATAATGACATTCCACTTTTCTCCCATGTCCCATGAAAATGTGTTAAGTATCACTAATATCGTTAGGTGTTACATCCCTGAGGTGTAGCCAGGATTTCATGATTGTGATGGTTAATATTGAGTGTCAACTTGATTGGATTGAAAGGTGCAAATTATTGTTCCTAGGTGTGTCTTTGACAGTGTTGCCAAAGGAGCTTAACATTTGAGTCAGTGGACAGGGAGAGGCAGACCCACCTCAATCTGGGTGAGCACCATCTAATCAACTACCAGCGAGGCTAGAATAAAGCAGGCATAAGAAATTGGAATGAGTAGACTTGCTGAGTCTTCCGTCCTTCATCTTTCTCCCATGCTGGATACTTTCTGCCCTCGAACATCAGACTCCATGTTCTTCAGCTTTTGGAATCTTGGACTTACACTAGTGATTTACCAGGGTCTCTCTGGTCTTCAGCCACAGACTGAAGGGTGCACTTTTTGGCTTCCCTACTTTTGAGATCTGGGGACTTGGATTGGATTCATTGCTCCTCAGCTTGCATACAGCCTACTGTGGGACTTCACCTTGTGATTGTGTGGGTCAATAATCCTTAATAAACTCCCTTCATATATATATATATATATATATATATATATATATATATATATATATATATATATATATATCTATATCCTATTGTAACTGCCCAAGGGGCTTACCTTGCCCACTGCCTAGACAGAGCTGGTTTCTCAGTACAGAGGAATTGCAATAGAGAAAAAGTAATTCACACAGAGCCAGCTGTGCAGGAGACCATAGTTTTATTATTACTCAAATCAGTCTCTCTGAGCATTTGAGGAGCAGACTTTTTAAGGACAATATGGTGGATGTGGGGAAAGCCAGTGATCCAGGAGTGCTGATTGGTTAGGGTGAAATCACAGGGAGTCAAAGCTGTCTTCTTGTGCTGAGTCAGTTGCCCGGTGGAGGCCACAAGATCAGATGAGCTAGTTTATCAGTCTGGGTGGTGCCAGCTCATCCGTCAAGTGCAGAGTCTGCAAAATATCTCAAGCACTAATTTAGGAGTAATTTAGGGAAGGTCAGAATCTTATAGCCTCCAGCTGCATGACTCCTAAACCATAATTACTAACTTTGTGGCTAATGTTGTTAGTCCTACAAAGGTAATCTAGTCCCCAGGCAAGAAGGAGGTCTGCCTTGTTAAAGGATTGTGTATCGGCTTTGTTTAAACTACAAACTATAAACTAAGTTTCTCTCAAAGTTAGTTCAGCCTATGCCTAGCAATGAACAAGGACAGCTTGGAGGTTAGAAACGAGATGGAGTCGGTTAAGCTAGATCTCTTTCACTGTCTCAGTCATAATTTTGCAAAGATGGTTTCACTGTTAGTCCTGTCCCTCTAGGGAACCCTGACTCATACAGATATTAGTATCGCAGAGAGTGGGGTGGTGCTATAAAGATACCCAAAGATGTGGAAGCGACCTTACAACTGAGAAACAGGCAGAGGTTGGAAGAGTTTGGAGAGCTCAGAATAAGGCAGGAAAATGTGGGGAAGTTTGGAATTTCCTAGAGACTTGTTGAACGGCTTTGACCAAAATGCTAATAGTGTTATGAGTAGTGAAGTCCAGAATGAAGTGGTCTCAGATACAGATGAGGAACTTGTTGGGAACTGGAGTAAGGTCACTCTTGCTATGCAGAGACTGGCAGCATTTTACCCCTGCCTTAGAGATCTGTGGAACTTTGAACTTGAGAGAGATGATTTAGGGTATCTGGTGAAAGAAATTTCCAAGTGGCAAAGCGTTCAAGAGGAAGCAGAACATAAAAGTTTGAAAAATTTGCAGCTTGATGACATAATAGAAAAGAAAAACCCATTTTCTGGGGAGAAGCCTGCTGCAGAAATTTGCATAAGTAACAAGGAGCCAAATGTTACTCACCAAGATAATGGGGAAAATGTCTTTAGGGCTTGTCAGAGACCTTCACAGCAGCCCTTCCCATAACAGGTCCAGAAGACTAGGAGGAAAAAATGGTTTTGTCGGTGGGTCCCAGGGCCCCTGTACTCTATGGGTCCCAGGGCCCCTGTGCTCTATGCAGCCTCTGGACATGGTACCCTGAGTCCCAGATGCTTCAGCTCCAGCTGTGGCTAATGGGGGCCAACATACAGCTCAGACCACTGCTTCAGAGGGTGCAAGGCCCAAGCTTTGGTGGCTTACACATGCTGTTGGGCCTGTGGATGTACAGAAGTCAAGAATTGAGATTTGGGAACCTCCGTTTAGACTTCAGAGGATGTATGGAAAAACCTAGATGTCCAGGCAGAAGTTTGCTGCATGGCCAGAGCCCTCATGGAGAACTTCTGCTAGGGAAGTGTAGAAGGGAAATGTGGAGTTGGAGACCCCACACAGAGTCCCCACTGGGGCATTGTGTAGTGTAGCCATGAGAAGAGGGCTACCGTCCTTCAGACCCCATATTGGTAGATCCACTAACAGCTTACACTGTGCACCTGGAAAAGCCACAGATATTCAATGCCAACTTGTGAAAGAAGCTGGGAGGGAGGCTGTACCCTGCAAAGTCACAGGGGTGGAGCTGCCCAAGACCATGGGAAGATACCTCTTGTATCAGCATGACCTGTATGTGAGACATGTAGTGAAAGGAAATCATTTTGGAACATTAAAGCTTAATAAATGCCCTATTGGATTTTGGACTTGCACGGGGCCTGTAGTCCCTTGTTTTGGACAATTTCTCCCATTTGGAAGAGGTATATTTACCCAAAGCCTGTGTCCACATTGTTTCTAGGAAGTAACCTACTTGCTTTTAATTTTACAGGCTCATAGGCGGAAGGGACTTGCCTTGTCTCAGATCAGACTTTGGACTTGGACATTTGAGTTAATGCTGGAATGAGTTAAAACTTTGGAAGACTGTTTGAAGGGCATGATTGTGTTTTGAAATGTGAGGACATGAGATTTGGGAGAGGCCCAATGATAGTTTCACTGGGGTTTAATGATGTGGTTTAGCTGCGTCCCCACTGAAATCTCATCTTGAATTGTAGTTCCCATAATCCCCATGTGGGTATTACCATATGAGAGGTAATTTAATCATGGGGGAAGTTACTCTCATGCTGTTCTTGTGATAGTGAGTTCTCACAAGATCTGATGGTTTTATAAGGGCCTTTTCCCCTTTTGCTCATTCTCTCTCCTGCTGCCCTGTGAAGAGTTGCCTTCTGCCATGATTTCAAGTTTCCGGAGGCCTCCCCAGCCATGCAGAACTGAGTCAATTAAACCTCTTTTCTCAGGCATTTCTTCATAGCAGCATGAGAATAGACTAATAAAATGATGTTTGTTTTATGACTTTTATTTCAGAAATTCACTAGTAACTAACTCGCTTAAAAATTTTCAGCTATATTTTCTAGCATCAGTACTAATAATAAAATGACAGATGCATTTCTTATTATATTACATTGCCTTGTACATATTTTACACCTTATTCTACAGATCAGAAGTTTATCCAAGTTAATTATTTTAATGTTTCACCCAGATCTGTTCATTCTACTAAAGTAATCTGACACCATAAACGAACATACTGATTTTGATTCTAGAGGGCTTTTGTGGTGGGTTTCCTAATATTCTCATATTCCTTTTGTAATTAAGCCCACTTTAACTGCAGACCCACCACCTTTTAAGAAACACAGGTGCATATGTGAATAGAGTCATATTGCCAGCAGGTATAACTATGTATTGAATTTGCAAGTCATTTTTATGAAGAACTCTTGTTTATTTTGTCTGCTCTGCTTGTTTCTGCGATGGTTTTATTAAACAAGTAATAAAGAAGTATAGGTACAAAAGGGTATATATGGAAGCATGGCGGGTACCTCACATGCTGAATATAAATGTGCTGCTGAGAATGCATAATATCACAAAATAATGAGGCGAGAAAATTTTGCCAGCAGATATTCACAGCAAATATAGCAGTCCAGCCTTGGACTGAATCAATAAACCCCATATGTGACCAGGCAGCAAATAATCTTTATAAACACAAAGATATTTGTTTTTATTTGCCTTGATTTTTCCCATTATATTTAATAGAAATGGATTTATGTCCTTTCCATATATTGGAAAAGTTACACAGTAGAAAATCAGAGCAGTGGGTAAAGCGGTGGGTGAGGTAGGATGGGTTAATCATTACTACTGGGATTTCTTTCCTTGTGAATACGCACAGTATTTGTATTCAGCATTTCATCACAGTATTTCACACAAAATGGAGAATGAATAGCAATATTTACTATTAATATAAAGTGATAGACTACATTAGTCTAACCATTATATTAGCATAAGATGGTAAAGAATATATATATTTATGTTGAGGGGAAACAATAAGTACCCTCTTTCTACATTTGTGCTAAGTATTATTGGGATGTCAAAGAATGCGTGGGCTATGTGACTTTGAAGGGGAAAACCACATGCACTTATTCAGCCAATTAGAAACTTGCTGGCAGTTCTTTGTACCTTTTAATATAAAACTGTAAAATTCTGGTAATGATTTTGCCTGTGGAATATATGTATTGGGTCTGGTGTGAATACAGCTATACTCTCCTTCCCACAGCATACAAACAACAGTTGGCTCCAGGCTAGGGCTCCTCTGAAGTCACTTATAAGCCTGATTGAAAGAAAGAACAAAGAAGGAAGCAGAGGTGTATTCTTCTCTCAGAAATGTCTTTAGTACATTTAGACATTTTGGATTTAAAAAAAAAACAAAAACAAGTCACTGAAGTTTAACACTTCAGACTGATTTTGAAAGACCAGAAGAACAGAGGTCAAGTTTTAATTACTTAACCCACAATATTTCTTCCAATATACATTTCTCCATGCCATAATCTATGTCTGCCTGTCTTTTCCTCTCAATGCCTAAACCCATATGAATAAATAAATCATTACAGCATAAAGTGATTCTGATGAGGAAAAAGGAGGGGCTTATTTTTCTGGGATGACTTGATAATAGTAAAAAAAAGAATTTTCAAGAAGTAATTCTACATAAAATAACCATGGCATAAATGACACACAATAAATATAATGCCATATTTTGAGAACTCTAATATTTCAGAAAATCTTAACTATTTAAGAATAACTGTCTCCAAGATGGTAACTTTAAAATCAAATAATAGGGGCTTGCTGTTCATTTGAAAAGCTATTTCTTGACTTACGGCTCCCTTTTCATCTGCAATATGAGAAACAGTGCTGCCTGTTCTTCTTTTTACTGGCATAGGCATATATTATTATTGATAGCCTTACCAGATGTCCTATAGACATTCTCTAATGATTGACACCAACATCTGCATTTGAAACTAACACTTGTAAAGACATCAGAATGTAAATGTTCCAGGGTAACCAAAGGCTGTTTAAAAAAATCTAAACCTTTTCCTCTTTTTGACTAATCAAGAATATATAACAGTGCCATGACATTGCACACGATTTCTTGAGAGCTACAGTTTTGAAAAGTAGTAGCCTCATTTATTATGTATGTACAGTGCCAGAACTTATTTTTTAAAAACTCATTACCCATTCAGTTTTTAAATTGGAAAAGTGATTCAAGAACACAAAATACTTTCTGCTTATAGATTATTACAATTGATCACTATTTAGTTTTGACATTCAGTGGCTAAGTCAGTCATATGGTAAACAAATATTTATAAAAGAATGCATTTGATCTTGTGATCTTGTGAAAAACTGTTTAAGATACGATGTCAATTATAGGAGAGAAATGTGTCTATAATAATAATAGAACAAGGTTTGGGACTGATCAAGGGGAAAAAAATCTGTCTTGTTTACATATTAGACTGTATTATTTTTACTTATTAAAATTCTCTAGTCTCAAAATTTTTATAGTTAGTGTCTTTATATAATGACTGATACAAACCTTTTTAAATTTATTTACAAACATTCCTATTCTTAAATATTTATCATTTTTAATGTATATTTTTTAAGATTGTGACAGAATAACCAGCATCCAGAAATAGTTATTGATAATTTTATAATATTATTTTGGATGAGGGACTAGACAAAACTATAATTATGGCATTCCATTGTTAAGAAAAGTTTTCTTTGCTGAAAACAGGCATTTTTAGGAGTGAAAAGGCATTTAAAAAAAAGAAGAAGAAGAATGTGAACTGAAAGATCTGGCTCTCATTCTGGGAATTGGAGTGTGAGCAATTGTCTGGAGAAATCTCTTTTGACTATCATGTGGAATAAGAGTGAGGTGAACAAAGATGATAAGTAAAATATTTTGACCATTCAACTTATTTTATCATCAAATTGAAAATTGCTGATTCTTTACAATATCAAATATCTAGATATTATAACTTCAAATTTTACAGCAAAACACAAGTCAGAACACCTTATAAAACATCTATCTGCCTGGGCCCAGAAATCAGAATTATTTCATAGAGCTTATTAATATACAGATTCTAGTCATGGCCCTAGATCATGTATTTAAAAACCAAAACATTGATGGATTTTATTTTTCTAGAGCAGTTTTAGGTTTACAGGAAAATTGAGTTGAACGGACCAAGTTTCCATCTATCCTCTTCCTCTCCACTCTATTCTCCTATTATCCTGTTATTAACATTCCATGGCTAAGATGAGGTGTGTTCTATTTGTTACAATTGATGAGCCAACATTGATACAATTTAATAATCAAAGTCCATCATTTGCATTAGGGTTCACTCCTTATACTATATACTTCAATGGGTTTTGACAAATTAGTCAAATATGTCCAATGATACCGCCATTACAAGATCAAACAGAATAGTTTTACTGTCCTAAAATTCCCCTGTACTCCACTCTTTTCTTTTGCTGAACCCCTGAAACCACTGATCTTTTCACTATCTCCACAGTTTCTCCTTTTCCAGAGTGTCATATGGTTGGAATCATAAAAATATGTACTCTTAAGAAGCTCCTAGGGAATCTGATGAACAGGCAAGTGAGGTCACTGGTAGAGTTAGGTGTGAAAGAAGCATCATTGGGCTCCAAAGCCCACTATTGTACTAATTAGTGTAAATGTTGCAGATGGATGTGAGGTCTAAGAAGATCAAATGTTAGTGAACTCAATGAACTCAGAAGCCAATACGTAGAATATAATTTTGGGGTTAAAAATCAGATAATTGTGTCGATCAGCTTGGAGATTTACTCCAAAGTGGGCCTATAGAAGTGCACAGACATGAAAATGGGAAGGCAGGTGATTGACTAAAGTATATAAATGTAGAATAGTCTTCTATGTAATATTATAAACATAATAAGCCTGCCAGAATATTTATTTTAAGCATATTCCTTCACTTATATAGTAGGGCAGTGTTGAGGGAAGTCAGGGACCCCAGACACAGGGACTGGCTGAAGCCACAGCAGAAGAACATAAATTGTGAAGATTTCATGGACATTTATTAGTTCTCCAAATTAATACTTTTATAATTTCTTGCACCTGTCTTTACTGCAATCTCTGAACATAAATTGTGAAGATTTCATGGACACATCACTTCCCCAATCAATACTTACGTGATTTCCTATGCCTGTGTTTACTTTAATCTCTTAATCCCATCATCTTCGTAAGCTGAGGATGAATGTCACCTCAGGACCCTGTGATGATTGCATTAACTGCACAAATTGTTTAAACAATATAAATTCTGGGCACCTTGAAAAAAGAACAGGATAACAGCGATGTTCAGGGAACAAGGGAGATAACCTTAAAGACTGGCTGCTTGTGGGCTGGGTGGAACAGAGCCGTATTTCTCTTCTTTCAAAAGCAAATAGGAGAAATATCCCTGAATTCTTTTTCTCAGCAAGGAACATCCCTGAGAAAGAGAATGTGTTCCTAAGGGAAGGTCTCTAAAATGGCCGCTTTGGGAACATCTGTCTTTTACAGTTGTAGATAAGGGATGAAATAAGCCCCGGTTTCCCGTAGCGCTCCCAGGCTTATTAGGATGAGGAAATTCCCGCCTAATAAATTTTGGTCAGACCAATTGTCTGCTCTCAAACCCTGTCTCCTGATAAAATGTTATCAATGACAATGCGTTCCCAAAACTTCATTAGCAATTTTAATTTTGCCCGGGTCCTGTGATCTCACCCTGCCTCCATTTGCCTTGTGATATTTTACTACCTTGTGAAGCATGTGATCTCTGTGACCCACACCCTATTCATACACTCCCACTCTTTTTGAAAATCACTAATAACAATTTGCTGTTTTTGCGGCTTCTGGGGCATCACAGAACCTGCCGACATGTGATGTCTCCCCTGGACACCCAGCTTTAAAATTTCTCCCTTTTTTACTCTTTCCTTTTATTTCTCAGACCAGCCGACACTTAGGGAAAAATAGAAAAGGACCTACGAAGAAATATAGGGGCCTGAATTTCCCCCGATAGGGCAGAAAGTTGGAGGGGGGAGTGAGGAGAGACAAATACTAACAGACACAAATGGGATCATGAAATTTCCTAATGTAGTGCTAAGAAAGTACTTAGCCTGTTAGTACCTAAACTGTGGGTTGCTTTGTTTTTTTTTTTAACCTCAGAATATTTTTGAGGAAGGTATATTTACTCTTTTTAATATTAACAACCATAAAACCTTAGTATATACATTATCTTTTCCTACCACAAATCTGTACAGTTTAAATATGGTTTTTATTTTTTTTTAACTTTTCTCTGGATTGATATTAATTTATGTGATAAAACTTGAATCATTTGCTGTTCAGAAAAGTTGGTTGAAAATACTTTTCAAAATATGAATTTCATGGGGAATAAAAACAGAAAGCTATTCATAAATAAATGATATATCTATAAAATATGCATTGTATTGCAAAAGGAAAGAGGATTACATGAAAATAGTAACTTGAAGGAGGAATAATGCATGAAAGTTTCACCTGTTTAAACCAACTACATTTACATTAAGATCTAGAAAATAAGAAGCTTCTGGATAATCAACTAACTACTAGCAATTTCTTTTCTTTCCTCAATGAATTTCTAAATTAGCATTAATCTTTAATTTTAAATAATATGCTTAGGTTGAGAACACTAAAAATACCAACTAGGATAATAGCATGTAAAGGTGAAATAGATAATATATATAAAAATCTCACCTACTATAATCTTTGTTTTTAATGATCTCATGTCTCATGCATCCTTTTTTTAATTTTTAAGATTTTATTTTTTATTGACACATAATATATGTACACATTTTGGGGACTATTTGTGATAATTTAATACATTCATATAATTTGTACAAATCAAATCAGGGCAAATGGGATATACATCACCTTAAATATTTCTCATTTCTTTACACTGGAAACATTTAAATTATGCTCTTATAGCTATTTTGCAATATATAATAAATTATTGTAAACTCTAGTCACCCTATTGATCTATGAAACACCAGGTCCTGTTTCTTCTATCAAGCTATGTATTTGTACCCATTAATCAACCTGTCTTCACTTTTCCTCCCCCAACCCTTCCTGGCCTCTGGTAGCCACCAAACTATTCTCTGTCTTCCTGAGATTCATTTTTTACCTCTGTAAAATAAGTGAAAACATGCAATATTTGTCTTTCTGTGCTTGGCTTATTTCACTTAACATAATGACCTCCAGTTTTATCAATGTTGGTGCAAATGACAGAATTTCATTCTTTTTTATGGTTGAATAATATTCTATTTTATATATATATTTGTATATATAGGCCACATAATCTTTATTAATTTATCTGTTGATGAACAATTAGCTTGATTTCAGGTTTTGGCTATTGCAAATTGTGCTGCAATAAACCTGGCAGTGCAGATATTACTTTGATATATTGATTTTTTTTCTTTTGGATACATACACTCAGAAGTGTAATTTCTGGATCATATGGTGAGTCTATGTTTAGCTTTCTGAGAAACCTCTATATTGTATGCCATAGTGGCTGTACTAATTTACATTCTCATTAACAGTGTATGAATGTTCCTCTTTCTCTACATTCTTGCCAGCATTCCTTATTCCCTGTTGTTTTGGTAAAAGCCATCTTAATTGAGGTGAGATGCTATGCAATTGTGGTTTTGATTTGCATTTACCTGGTGATTAGTGATGTTCAGCATTTTTCCACATACCTGTTAGCCATTTGTATGTCTTCTTTTGAGAAATGTCTATTCAGATCATTTGCCAATTTTTAATCAGATTATTTGTATTTTTTGCTATTGAGTTGTTTAAGATTCATATATTCTGGTTATTAATCCCTTGTTTAAAAATATTTTCTCCTATTCTGTGGGTTGCCTCTTCACTTTGTTAATTGTTTCCTTTGTTGTGCAGAAGCTTATAAAACTTGATATAATTCCATTAGTCTGATTTTGCCTTGGTTGTCTATGCTTTAGAGGTCTTGCACAAAATGCCTTTGCCCAGACCTATGATCAGAAGCATTTCCCCGAAGTTTCAAAGTTTTCTTCTGATACTTTCATAGATACAGGTCTTAGATTTATGTCTTTACTCCATTTTCATTTGATGTTTATATATGGTGAGAGATAAAGGTTTAGTTTCATTCTTCTGCATATGGTTATGAGGTTTTCCCAGCACCATTTATTGATGAAACTATCCTTTTTCCATTGTAGGTTCTTGGTGTTTTTGCTGAAAATGAATTGATTGTAAATATGTGAGTTAACATCTAGTTTTTCTATTTTGCTTTATTGGTCTATGTGTCTATTGTTATGCCAACACCATGCTGATTTTATTATTATAGTTTTGTATTTTATTTTGAAGTCTGATAGTGTAATGCCTTCAGCTTTGTTCTTTTTGCTCAGGATTGCTTTGGGTATTCAGTGTCTGCCTTTTATGGGTTCATATAAATTTCATGATTTTTTTCTATTTCTGTGAATAATGTCATTGGTATTTTGATAAGGATTGCGTTGGATTGATAAATTGCTTTGGGTAGTATTGATACAAGAGTTAAGAAGTTACTTAGGTAGATAGTGAGGGTCCGGAAGTCCTCAGTAAGGTTTTCCTTTTAATAAAAAGCAGCCCCAAATGGTTTTCCTTTCTAACAAAGAGCAGCCTGTAAAATAGAGTTGCAGACATAGATGATGACAGTTGTGCCAATCATGTTCAAGATGGCAGCTCCATCTTCCCATTTCTTTGTCAGCCATACGTACAGTAAGGAGCAGAGAAGATGACACTAGTCAACTGGAAGGCTCATTTGGATTATAAGATTAAGCTGGGGCAGCCAGCCTTCCCTGCAAACTATATAAACGTCATACCTGATTTAACCAATCTGTGAGCCCTGTGTAAATCAGACACCACCTCCTCAAGCCTGACTGTAAAATCCAGTGCATCTGCTGTCGGCCCATCTTCCCATCAGCAGTTCCCACTCTCTAACTACAGAGAGAGCTGTTTTCATTTTCCTTTCTTCCTTTTTCTTTTGCGTATTAAACCTCTGCTCCTAAACTCCTCATGTGTGTCCATGTTCTAAGTTTTCCTAGCACGTGATGACAAACCCCAGGTACTAACCCCAGACAATGTAGCCGCTTTAGTATTGTTATTTTAACAATATTAATTCCTCCAATCATGAGCATGAAGTATTTTTCCATTTTTTGTGTCATCTTCAGTTTCTTTCCTCACTGTTTTATAGTTTTCCTTTTATATATCCTTCACTTATTTGGTTAAATTTATTCCTATGTATTTTTATTCTTTGTAGCTATTGTAAATGGACTACTTTCGAGTTCTTTTGCAGGTAGTTCACTGTTAGCATTTATATATCCTACTGATTTTACTGTGCTGCTTTTGTATCTTGCAACATCACTGGCTTCATTCCAACAGTTTTTTTTTAAGTCTTTAGGTTTTTCCAAATATAAGATTATGTCATCTGTGAACAATGCTAATTTGACATCTTCTTTTCCAATTTAGATGCCCTTCATTCATTTTCTTTCTTAATTGCCCTGGCCAGGACTTCTAGGATTCTGTTTAATATAAGTGGTGAAAGTGGGCATCCTTATCTTATTCCAGATCTTAGAGGAAAGGACTTCAATTTTTCTCCATGTTGTGTG
Source organism: Homo sapiens (assembly GCF_000001405.40). Lineage (NCBI taxonomy): Eukaryota > Metazoa > Chordata > Mammalia > Primates > Hominidae > Homo > Homo sapiens. Next base: position 161,038,841 of record NC_000004.12, on the reverse strand, counting down.
ATGTTAGCTTTGGGTTTGTCATATACAACCTTTATTATTTTGAGGTACATGCTTTCTATACACAATTTTTTGAGAATTTTTATCATAAAGGGATATTAAATATAACCAAATGCTTTTTAAGCATCTATTGAAATTATCATGTCTTTTATTCTTTATTCTCTTAACATAATGTATCACTTTTATTAATTTGCATATGTTAAACCATCCTTGCATCCCTGGGACAAATTCCATTAGATCATGGTAAATAATCTTTTTAAGGTGTTATTCAATTTGGTTTGCTAGTATCATGTTGAGAGTTTTTGCATCTATGTTAATCAGTAGTGATGGCCTGTAGATTTCTTTTTCTGTTGTTGTGTCCTTGTCTGGTTTTGGCATCATGGTAATGTTGGCCTTATAGAATTAGTTTGTAAGTATTCTCTCTTTAAAATTTTTCAAGAGCTTGAATAGATTTGATATTATTTCAGGAATGAAGGCATCAGGTGCTTGGCATTTCTTTGATGGAAGACATTTAAATATGGTTTTGATCTCATTAGTAACTGTTAGTGTGTTGAGGTTTCCTATTTTTTAAAGGTTCAATCTTAGTGAGTTGTATATGTCCAAAATTTTATCCATTTCTTCTGTGTTTTCCAATTTGTTGGAATATCATTGTTTATAATAGTGTCTAATGAGTCTTTATATTTCTGTGACATTAGTTGTTATGCCTGCTGTTTTGTTTTTGATTTTATTTTTATGGCTCTTATCTGTTTTTTAATCTTAGCTAGTGATATGGTTTGCATTCGTGTCCTCACCCAAATCTCATGTTGAATTGTAATCCCCAATGTTGGAGCAGGGGTCTAATGGGAGGTAATTTGATCATGGGGGTGGATTTCCCCCTTGCTGTTCTCAAGACAGTGAGTGAATTCTTAAATATCTGGTTGTTTGAAAGTGTGTAGCGCATCCTCCTTCACTCTATTTCTCCAGCTCTGACCACGTAAGACATGCCTGCTGCCCCTTTGCCTTCTGCCATGATTTTAAGTTTCCTGAGGCCTCCCCAGAAGAAGAAGACTGTAGAGTCTGCAGAACTGTGAGCCAATTAAACTTATTTTCTTTATTAATTGCCCAGTCTCAGGTAGTCCTTTATAACAGTGCAAGAATGGACTAATACAAGGTAGTATTGCTAAAGTTTTGTCAATTTTGATTATCTTTTCAAAAAATCAATGTTTCATCTCATTGATTTTTTCCATCTTTTTTTAGTTTCAATTTTATTTATATCTCTTTGATGTTTATTATGACTTTTGTTCTACTAATTTGGGGTTTGGTTTTGTTGGTTTTACTTTTCTACTTCCTGAGGTACATCATTAGCTTTTTAATTTAAAGTCTTTTTACTTTTTTCAGATATGTGTTTATTATTATAACATCTCTCTTACTACTGCTTTTGCTGTATCCCATAGATTTTGATATGTTGGATTTTTACTTTCATTATTCAATAAAAGCTCTAAATGTCCTTCTTAATTTCTTCACTGACTTATTGGTTTTTCAGGAGCATGTTATTTAATTTCCATGTGGTTATGCACTTTCCGGGGTTCGTATTATTGATTTCTAGTTTTATTTCACGGTGACCAGAAAAAGATTTGAAATTGAGACTTGTTTTGTGGCCTAATATATGTTCTATTCTGGAGAATGTTTTCTTCGCTGATGAAGAGAAATAGTATTCTGTAGCAGTTGGGTAAAATATTCTGTAAATGTCATTTAGGCCTATGTGGGCTAGTGTGTAGTTTAACACCAATGTTTCCTTCTTGATTTTCTGCCTGGATGGTATGTTCATTACTGAGAGTGGGCTGTTAAAATTCCCTATTATTATAGTATGCAGTCTATCCATATATATATATATATATATATATATATATATATATATATATATATATATATATATATATATATTAGACACAATATAATATATATATAATAGACATAATATATAATTGTATATATATATTATATATATAATAGACAGCAGGCATGTCTTACGTGGTCAGAGCTGGAGGAAGAGAGTGAAAGAGGATGCACTACACATTTTCAAATAATATATATATATATAATGTTATATATATATAAAAGTGTTTGCTTTATATACTTGGTTGCTCTGATATTCAATGCAGAAATATGCATAATTTTTATATATCCTTGCTGAATTGTCCCTTTTGTCATGATATAGTGACTTTCTTTGTACTTTTTTCAGTCTTTGACACATTTTTATTTTATCTGATGTAAGTATAGCTAGTCTTGCTCTTTTTTGTTTTCCATTTGCTGGGAATATTTTTTCCTTTTTTTTTTTTTTTTCACTTTCTCGGATGTGTGTCTTTACAGGTAAAGTGGTTTTCCTGTAGCCAGCATGTAGTTGGGTCTTGCTGCTTTATACATTCAGCCACTCTGTGTCTGTTAATTGGAAAACTGCGTCTATTAACATTCAATTTTCTTATTGATAAGTAAGGAGTACCATGTTGTTTGTTTTTTGGGTTGTTTTATAACTCCTCTTCCTTTCTTTCATTCTCACTCTCTTCCTTTCTTTCATTCTTACTGTCTTCCTTTGTAGTTAAGTGATTTTCCCTGGTAGAATGTTTAATTTGTTACTGTTTTAAAAAAAATACATGCTACAGGTTTTTGCAATGTGATTTCCATGAGGCTTAGGAAAAAACATCTTATAGATGTAATGACTTATTTTAAAGAGATCACAACTTAAAACAAAGAATAGAAACAAAGAATAAAAAAACAATGAAAAAAAAGAAACAATGAAAAAAAACCTGTGCATTTCAACATCATGTCCCATACATTTTGTTTTATGTTGTCTCAATTTACATATTTTTATAATGCCTACTCTGAACAGGTTGCTATAGTTATTATTGTTTCCAATTGATCTGTCTCCTGCCAGGGAATTGACGATGATGGAGAGGCTGGTTGTCTGTCTCAATCTCACTCTTTTCATTGTAGGAACCATGAGTTGGGAAGGAAGTTTTCCTGAGCTTGATGCTGAGCAGTTTTGGAGAAGGAGTGTTTTGGACGTGGTAGTCCAATTCTTCTACCTTCTGCTTTTTTTTCCCCCTTTCTATGGCCCCAAGAACTACGTCCACTTCATATTTGAGTTCAGGGATACTGCTGGTGATAATCTTGGAACTGTATTCTTGGTTTTGGTTTTCTGTGGGGGTGAGTGAAGCCAGCTTGGTTCCACATTGCCATTTGGAACCAAAAGTCCCATTCCACCTTTTTATCAGCAGCCTAAATTCATTTTGAGGAATCCAACATAGTATATATACTATATACTATGTATATTTGGAGTAGATTTGGAGAAATATGAATCCAGCTACCTACCCTCTCTCCATGGAAAACAAAAGGTTTCTTGGAGACATTCTATGGTGCTTCTTCTCATGCTCCTGGTACAGCCAAGGCAAAGGCACATTCAACCAGATACTCGACGATGATCTTGAGAGGATGATAGGAATCATTTTTGCTAGTACAATAGGTTAAACACACAGCTCCTGTTATGTAGTTGTTTCTTCCTACCCTCCTGAGCTGCCTCAATTTTATGTAATTTTCAAATCTAATTTTTCAGCCTTATCATTCAATTTCAGAGCTTTTAATAGGTTTATAATAATAACTAATTTGGTAAGATAGCCAGAATCATAATTTCCCTTGCTTGTACGCAAATCATAATTTATATTTCTGTCTCACAATCTTTCTTCCTATGTGCCATGGCAAATGCTATTTAAGAGCCTCCACATATTTACAGATATACATAAATGAAGAGGATATATTTTGTATGTAATACTGAGAAACAAAATTATTTGAATAAAAAGTGTTTTTTTTTTTAGGAATCACTCCTCATGATTTTGGATAAGCTAAAAAAGAACAGAGTATAAAAGAGAATAAATATTGAAGTTAACATTTAAGATATCAAAATTAATCTTGTCATGGAGTATTAATAATACATCAAGTTTCCCTTAATTGCAATAAATAATGACAATAATAATGATAAAAATAAAAGGTGATTTCTACCAAATATTAAGTCACAAACTATAGTCATATTAAATTTGCATATAAATTATTTGTAAAGCAGTGGTGTACTTTGCAAAATATGTACAAACCACAATCCACAATAATGAAAATATTAACAGTCATCCAGGGAAATAACTTTTATGGATTTACATAAACTCTGCATTTTCATATATGTATCTGTTAAGAAGGCCACATCAATAATTTATGAATAATGTATGTTCTTAAATACAGCAATTAACAGATTTCATTATAATACTAACAATTACCAATAATGCAAGTGACATGTCTGTTTTATTACATGTATAACTTCCACCATTTAATAGTAAAAAAATCATATTATATAAAAGTACAATATTCAATATTAAATAAAGACTTAATTTTATAACTTTGATTTCAGCAAAGAGAGTTGAATCTCTCCCTTTATTTTACTATTGTTCTATCTGCCTTTTTCTTTCATTACTTTACATGCTCCAGAATTATTTATACAATCTCCTGTGTCTTGTCTCTTCAGCTGGTAGTCCTGTTAAGATTTTCCCACCTTATCATTAAATAGTAATCGTATATGGAAGATGAAAACAGGAAAGTAAGCATACAATCTATCAAATTAGAGTAAATATCTCCAATAGTATATAAAAAAGACAACACGGGGCATATAAAAAGTTTTCTTTATGGAGAAAATGGTCAGAGAGGTCACAGCCTTAATGTTGAATAGTATTTCATTTGAAGCTGAAAGGAATAGGAAAATATTCTTTATAGTGCATTGTAATATTAGTAAAAGCAATAACAGGGTAAAAGCAAAACTGAGCTCTAAGTGCTACCTATGGAAATACATACATAAAAATGATGGTGATACAAGATTGAGGAAAGTTTGAACACTCGACAAAGTAGGTTTTATTTTATAATGTAAGCCATGGAAACTCTGGAAACTCATTTAATCAATGTCTTCTTCCTTAGCATCTTGCTTCTCCCTTCTCACCCTCCTTGGATAATGCTAACAACTCTCAAAATACCATTTGAGCTTTCCCATTCCCCACTGAAAACCAGAGAGATGGAATAAAGAGATGTTCTGCCCTGAAGAGAGCATGCAAAGCAATATTGTTAAAGAATTTGCCCTCTGCTTGATTCCCTGTTGAAGCTCAATCTGGTCAAGCCAACCTATACACGTTTTGCATTTTTCATAGCCTGGTAAAAATACTTTATTTTACTATATATCCAGACAACAATGTGAGAAAATAATATAATCAATAAAATAGTAGTCTATTTTAGTAGGAATGAGTGTGTAGTTATTTATTATATTTATCCACTGTCAGAAAAGTTGAAACTCAGAGTAATTTTCCTGTGAGTATGAAAAATGTCATTCAAGTAATATTAACTACTACTAACATTGATTCTCTGCGCTATTGAATGACATCAAATATAGAAAATAAATCTCTTAGTAGAATTAAGCTACATGAATGACCTTATTTCAAAAAAGTTGTGTTTGATTCTGCATTTAAATAAGTTGTCCATATTCTAGTAACTTCAATTAAATATGTAATATTGTCTTAATGATTATTTTTATTTTATACTCAAGTCTGGCATTTTAAGCTCTTCAGTTACATAACTACATTAGATATAATTAATTATAGACTACCTACAATGGAGTGTGCAAATGAAAGCTTCTATTCACTCATTTATTCGTAAAATATTTTAGACTTGCTGTTTGACAAATGCTGCCATAGGAACTATGGATACAGGGTAGATATGATAGGCTAAATACCTATTCTTATGGATTTTTATTTTATAACCTTAGGTTTTCTTGTCCTTATACTTCTTTATATCCAAATATATATGCATAGAATTATAATGTTTCTCAGGAAAAATGACCTAGCATTTTGATATGCACTTTTAATTCATCAAGACTGTAAAAACGTTGCTTTCTATAACATAAATCAGTCATAGAAAGAATCTTTCAAACACTCCACCATCAAGATATCTCTATATTCCTTTGTTTTGAAGTTCTTATTACTTTTGAAACCTTGAATTTCCATATATATCTTCCCATTGTAAAATTATACAATGTTATTTTTATGTACTCTATACTCATATTTTTCTTCTCCAACAGAGTAGCACAAAAGGAGCCACAAATCTATTTCTATGACTACTGCCACTACGAGTAGAATAATAATTATTATCATAATAATGACAAATTCACTAACCTTTTCTATCGTCACCTTCAGTCTGTTTAGTTAAAGAATATTTGCCAACCCTACGGAATGATCAAAAACTGACTGACAGGGCATTAGAGACTTTATAGAAGCTGCCTATCTCAACTTAATATTTTCTAACTTTTTCTAGGGTGGTCTTACTCAGAAATTCAATCCTGCTTGATGGAGGATGCTAATATTACCACTTAAAATAGGGAAAAAACATCTTTCATCTTTCAAATTGTCTATATTATAATACTTTTCAAACATACCTAGTTTCATTGTGCTCTGCTTTACTGTGTTTAACAGATAGTGCATTTTTGTTTTTAACAAACCAAAGGTTTGTGACAACCCTATATCAAGCAATTCTATCGGTGCCATTTTTTTCTAACAGCATGTGTTTACTTTGTGTCTCTGTGTCACATTTTGGCAATTCCGATATATTTCAAACTTTTTCATTATTAGTATATCTGTTATGGTGAGCTGTGCTTAGTGATCTTTGTTGTTGCTATTGTAATTGTTTTGGGGCGCCACAAACTGTGCCTATATAAGACTGCAAACTTGATTGTTCAATGCTGTGTATTCCGACTGTATCATTGACTAGAACTTCCCTTAGCTCTCTCCTTCTTCTTGGGCCTTTCTATTTTCTGAGACACAATAACACTAAAATTAAGCCAATTAATAACCCTAGAGTGACTTCTAAGTGTTCAAGTGAAAGGAAGAGTCTCATGTCTCTCACTTTAAATCAGAAGCTAAAAATAATTTAGCTTATTAAGGAAGGTATGCCAAAAGCCAAAAAAGGCTCAAAGTTAGGCTTCTTGCATTAACCAGTTAGCCATGTTGTAAATGAAAAGGAAAAGTTCTTAAAAATAATTGAATGTGCACCTCTAATGAAAATGTGCATGATAAGAAAGTAAAATAGCATTATTGATGAACAAACTTTTTGTTGTCTAAATAGAAGATTAAACTGGTCATAGCATTCCTTTAAGCTAAAAAACTTAATTCAGAGCAAGACCCTAGCTCTGTTCAATTCTCTGAAGGCTGAAATAAGTGAGACAGCTGCAGAAGCAAAGTTTGAAGGTAGCAGAAATTGGTTCATGATGTTTCAGAAAATAATTTGTTTCATAACATAAAAGTGCGAGGTGAAGCAGCAAGTGCTGATGGAGAAGTTGCAAGTTTTCCTGAAGATATAGCTAAGGTAATTGGTAAGGATGGCTACACTAATCAGCAGATTTTTAATGTAGACCAAACAGCCTTCCATTGGAAAAACATGCCATCTAGGACTTTTCATAGCTAGACAGAAGTCAATGACTAGCTTCAAAGCTTCAAAGAACAGGTTGACTCTCTTACTGGGGGCTAATGTGGCTGGCAACTTTAAGTTGGAGCCAATGCTGATTTGTCATTCTGAAAATCCTAGGACCTTTAAGAATTATGCTAAATTTACTTTACCCTTGCTCCATAAATGAAACAACAAAGCCTGGATAACAGTACATCTTTTTGCAGCATGATTTACTGAATATTTTAAGCCCACTGTTGAGAGCTACTGCTCATGAGAAAAAGATCCTCTTCAAAATATAAGTGCTCATTGACAATGCACCTTTCTCACCAAAGAGCTCTGATGGAGATGTACACAGAGGTTAATGTTATTCTTTTTCTTTTAATTATACTTTAAGTTTTAGGGAACATGTGCACAATGTGCAGGTTAGTTACATATGAATACATGTGCCATGCTGTGCGCTGCACCCACTAATTCGTCATCTAGCATTACGTATATCTCCCAGTGCTATCCCTCTCCCCTACCCCACAACAGACCCCAGAGTGTGATGTTCCCCTTCCTGTGTCCATGTGTTCTCATTGTTCAATTCCCACCTATGAGTGAGAATATGCGGTGTTTGGTTTTTTGTTCTTGCGATAGTTTACTGAGAATGATGATTTCCAATTTCATCCATGTCCCTACAAAGGACATGAACTCATCATTTTTTATGGCTGCTTAGTATTCCATGGTGTATATGTGCCACATTTTCTTAATCCAATCTATCATTGTTGGACATTTGCATTGGTTCCAAGTCTTTGCTATTGTGAATAGTGCTGCAATAAACATACGTGTGCATGTGTCTTTATAGCAGCATGATTTATAGTCCTTTGGGTATATACCCAGTAATGGGATGGCTGGGTCAAATGGTATTTCTCTTTCTAGATCCCTGAGGAATCGCCACACTGACTTCCACAATGGTTGAACTAGTTTACAGTCCCACCAACAGTGTAAAAGTGTTCCTATTTCTCCACATCCTCTCCAGCACCTGTTGTTTCCTGACTTTTTAATGATTGCCATTCTAACTGGTGTGAGATGGTATCTCATTGTGGTTTTGATTTGCATTTCTCTGATGGCCAGTGATGGTGAGCATTTTTTCATGTGTTTTTTGGCTGCATAAATGTCTTCTTTTGAGAATTGTCTGTTCATGTCCTTCACCCACTTTTTGATGGGGTTGTTTTTTTCTGGTAAATTTGTCTGAGTTCATTGTAGATTCTGGATATTAGCCCCTTGTCAGATGAGTAGGTTGTGAAAATTTTCTCCCATTTTGTAGGTTGCCTGTTCACTCTGATGGTAGTTTCTTTTGCTGTGCAGAAGCTCTTTAGTTTAATTAGATCCCATTTGTCAATTTTGTCTTTTGTTGCCATTGCTTTTGGTGTTTTAGACATGAAGTCCTTGCCCATGCCTATGTCCTGAATGGTAAAGCCTAGGTTTTCTTCTAGGGTTTTTATGGTTTTAGGTCTAACGTTTAAGTCTTTAATCCATCTTGAATTGATTTTTGTAGAAGGTGTAAGGAAGGGATCCAGTTTCAGCTTTCTACATATGGCTAGCCAGTTTTCCCAGCACCATTTATTAAATAAGGAATCCTTTCCCCATTGCTTGTTTTTGTCAGGTTTGTCAAAGATCAGATAGTTGTAGATATGTGGCATTATTTCTGAGGGCTCTGTTCTGTTCCATTGATCTATATCTCTGTTTTGGTACCAGTTTTGGTACCAGTACCATGCTGTTTCGGTACCAGTACCATGCTGTTTTGGTTACTGTAGCCTTGTAGTATAGTTTGAAGTCAGGTAGTGTGATGCCTCCAGCTTTGTTCATTTGACTTAGGATTGACTTGGCGATGCGGGCTCTTTTTTGGTTCCATATGAACTTTAAAGCAGTTTTTTCCAATTCTGTGAAGAAACTCATTGGTAGCTTGATGGGGATGGCATTGAATCTATAAATTACCTTGGGCAGTATGGCCATTTTCACGATATTGATTCTTCCTACCCATGAGCATGGAATGTTCTTCCATTGTTTGTATCCTCTTTTATTTCCTTGAGCAGTGGTTTGTAGTTCTCCTTGAAGAGGTCATTCACATCCCTTGTAAGTTGGATTCCTAGGTATTTTATTCTCTTTGAAGCAATTGTGAATGGGAGTTCACTCATGATTTGGCTCTCTGTTTGTCTGTTGTTGGTGTATAAGAATGCTTGTGATTTTTGTACATGGATTTTTGTATCCTGAGACTTTGCTGAAGTTGCTTATCAGCTTAAGGAGATTTTGGGCTGAGACAATGGGGTTTTCTAGATATACAATCATGTCATCTGCAAACAGGGACAATTTGACTTCCTCTTTTCCTAATTGAATACCCTTTATTTCCTTCTCCTGCCTAATTGCCCTGGCCGGAACTTCCAACACTATGTTGAATAGGAGTGGTGAGAGAGGGCATCCCTGTCTTGTGCAGTTTTCAAAGGGAATGCTTCCAGTTTTTGCCCATTCAGTATGATATTGGCTGTGGGTTTGTCATAGACAGCTCTTATTATTTTGAGATACGTCCCATCAATAACTAATTTATTGAGAGTTTTTAGCATGAAGCGTTGTTGAATTTTGTCAAAGGCCTTTTCTGCATCTTTGAGATAATCATGTGGTTTTTGTCCTTGGTTCTGTTTATATGCTGGATTACATTTATTGATTTGCGTATATTGAACCAGCCTTGCATCCCCGGGATGAAGCCCACTTGATCATGGTGGATAAGCTTTTTGATGTGCTGCTGGATTCGGTTTGCCAGTATTTTATTGAGGATTTTTGCATCAATGTTCATCAAGGACATTGGTTTAAAATTCTCTTTTTTGGTTGTGTCTCTGCCCGGCTTTGGTATCAGGATGATGCTGGCCTCATAAAATGAGTAAGGGAGGATTCCCTCTTTTTCTATTGATTGGAATAGTTTCAGAAGGAATGGTACCAGTTCCTCCTTGTACCTGTGGTAGAATTCGGCTGTGAATCCATCTGGTCCTGGAGTCTTTTTGGTTGGTAAGCTATTGATTATTGCCTCAATTTCAGCTCCTGTTATTGATCTATTCAGAGATTCAACTTCTTCCTGGGTTAGTCTTGGGAGAGTGTATGTGTCAAGGAATTTATCCATTTCTTCTAGATTTTCTAGTTTATTTGCATAGAGGTGTTTGTAGTATTCTCTGATGGTAGTTTGTATTTCTGTGGGATCGGTGGTCATATCCCCTTTATCATTTTTTATTGCGTCTATTGGATTCTTCTCTCTTTTCTTCTGTATTAGTCTTGCTAGTGGTCTATCAATTTTGTTGATCCTTTCAAAAAACCAGCTCCTGGATTCATTAATTTTTTGAAGGGTTTTTTTGTGTCTCTATTTCCTTCAGTTCTGCTCTGGTTTTAGTTATTTCTTGCCTTCTGCTAGCTTTTGAATGTGTTTGCTCTTGCTTTTCTAGTTCTTTTAATTGTGAGGTTAGGATGTCAATTTTGGATCTTTCCTGCTTTCTCTTGTGGGCATTTAGTGCTATAAATTTCCCTCTACACACTGCTTTGAATGTGTCCCAGAGATTCTGGTATGTTGTGTCTTTGTTCTCGTTGGTTTCAAAGAACATCTTTATTTCTGCCTTCATTTCGTTATGTACCCAGTAGTCATTCAGGAACAGGTTGTTTCAGTTTCCATGTAGCTGAGCAGTTTTGAGTGAGTTTCTTAATCCTGAGTTCAAGTTTGATTGCACTGTGGTCTGAGAGATAGTTTGTTATAATTTCTGTTCCTTTACATTTGCTGAGGAGAGCTTTACTTCCAACTATGTGGTCAATTTTGGAGTAGGTGTGGTGTGGTGCTGAAAAAAATGTATATTCTGTTGATTTGGGGTGGAGAGTTCTGTAGATGTCTATTAGGTATGCTTGGTGCAGAGCTGAGTTCAATTCCTGGGTATCCTTGTTAACTTTCTGTCTCATTGATCTGTCTAATGTTGACAGTGGGGTGTTAAAGTCTCCCATTACTAATGTGTGGGAGTCTAAGTCTCTTTGTAGGTCACTCAGGACTTGCTTTATGAATCTGGGTGCTCCTGTATTGGGTGCATATATATTTAGGATAGTTAGCTCTTGTTGTTGAATTGATCCCTTTACCATTATGTAATGGCCTTCTTTGTCTCTTTTGATCTTTGTTGGTTTAAAGTCTGTTTTATCAGAGACTGGGATTGCAACCCCTGCCTTGTTTTGTTTTCCATTTGCTTGGTAGATCTTCCTCCATCCTTTTATTTTGAGCCTATGTGTGTCTCTGCATGTGAGATGGGTTTCCTGAATACAGCACACTGATGGGTCTTGACTCTTTATCCAATTTGCCAGTCTGTGTCTTTTAATTGGAGCATTTAGTCCATTTACATTTAAAGTTAATATTGTTATGTGTGAATTTGATCCTATCATTATGATGTTAGCTGGTTATTTTGCTCGTTAGTTGATGCAGTTTCTTCCTAGTCTCGATGGTCTTTACATTTTGGCATGATTTTGCAGCGGCTGGTACCGATTGTTCCTTTCTATGTTTAGTGCTTCCTTCAGGAGCTCTTTTAGGGCTTTTATGCCTGCTAACAGAATATAAATTCTGTAGCCCATGTATCAAGGAGGAGTTTTGACGTCCGAGTCTTATTATTTAAGGAATACATTTGTAAGTCCATAGTTGCCACTGATAGTGATTCTTCTATAGAATGTGCACAAAGTAAATTAAAAACCTTCTGGAAAGAATTCACCATTTTTGATGCCACTAAGATCATTCATGATTTATGGGAGGAGGTCAACATAATAACATTAATAGGAGTTTGGAGAAAGTTGTTTCTCATCCTCCTGGATGACTTTAAGGGGTTCAAGGCTTCGGTGAAGGAAGTAACTAGATGTGGTGAAAATAGCAAGAGAACTAGAATTAGAAGTAAAGCCTGAACATGTCACTGAATTGCTGTGTTCTCATACAGGTATTTCCAGGTACCTGTTATTTTTCGTATAGTTTGACTACTGATTTTTAACTGTTTGCTAGTTATTTATTCACATAACCAAAAGTGCTTTTATTTTTCAAAAAAATCTAAGAATATTTTCCTTGTTGACTCCTACTCTGTCACATCTAATTGTTAAATTTAGGTAATTTTCCTTTGAAGATAAATTTGAACTTATTATATTTTATTCTTTTATGCACTTTTTGACATCAAAGGAGAAATGACACCCTCATCTGTAAAATTACTGAACCCGTAAGCTTCTCGTGCCTCACATTGCTGAACTCAAATAACTGTGGAATGAGATATGAAATTTATTTTATCAACCCTGTGGTTCACAAACCATGTCTAGTTTCCAGATTTCCCACACTTAAATTCTCAATAGTGGGGTAAAATCTTAAGTTAATTTGGATGTTAGCATTTGTGGGTCAACAATCCTCTATAGATCCTATTCTCGAGGAAAGCCAAGGTATGTATGAAATTTGTTTTGTGGGAAGGGAGACATGGGGGAAAGAATGAAACTAAGCCAGTTTTGAAGTACAAGATGGAGAGCAATGTTTTCATCACTACTATTCTATCTCTCTAGATGTTAATAACCAAGAAATTTCTATATCTACTCACTGTAACAGGGAAGATTCTTGAAATGATAATTTCTGTTCTAGAAGTTTCAGTCAGCCACACGACCCTAAATCTTTTGCATGCTTATTTTTGCACCAGAAGTCCTTGGGGCCAGCAAACCTTTGGATTGGTGAATGATGTAAGAATTACACAGCTCAAGGAGAACCTCCAAAAACATGAGTACATCAGAGAGTTTATAAAACAGAAAATATTTTTGGTATCTGAGTCCTCTTGAAGGTGGTTGTAGGCGATAGGATTAGAGATCTGAGCACAATGTAGATATATATTTCCCTCATACATTTTGAAAATCAAGAAAAAGTTAAGTCTCACAAAGCACACCATGCCATAATGGAGTAACTCCAAATAAAAGCAGAAAAAGTTCATGTTATCAAAAGAAAATGTGAGATTGGCCCCTCCACTGGTAGCTTCCTGTAGCTTCAGAGAGAGCTGGAGATTAGACATAATTCAAATATTTCCAGGGTCTATATTTGAGCCGTCCATACCAAAATATCGGTCAGAACTCGGCTGCACTTCCCAATGGATCCCATGGTTCAGATGAGGAAGATGTCTAGCAAGTGAAGGCCAAAGTGGGATTAGCAGGTTCTCTAGTCTAAGTAAAAGAAATATAGAGGCCAGTGTCCTAAAGATATCAGTGCAGACGAGGGAAGACAAGGATAATCTAAATATAAAATTCTAAGAAATTAGTTAACCCTAAGACTTAGGGTTAAAAGGATAAGGGGGAGAGAGCAATACTGAATGAACTAAAGATTAATGCCAAACAAATCAATTTTAACCTTGAAGTAATTTTTTAAATTTCAGAATCGGAGTAAGGAAATACATTGAAATTGCTAGATTAAGTTATCTTGCTAGAGAACTGAGCATGAATTAAGTTTATTATATAACCACAAATAAGGTGCTTCTCTTCCGTGAACACCTGAGTTTTGACTGTGGATCACGTACATTTCTTTCTTTCTTTTTTTTTTTTTTTTTTGAGACGGGGTCTCGCTCTGTCGCCCAGGCCCAGGCTGGAGTGCAGTGGCACGATCTCGACTCACTGCAAGCTCCGCCTCCCGGGTTCACACCATTCTCCTGCCTCAGCCTCCCAAGTAGCTGGGACTACAGGCACCCACCACTGCACGTGGCTAATTTTTTGTATTTTTAGTCTAGATGGGGTTTCACCATGTTAGCCAGGATGGTCTCGATTTCCTGACCTCGTGATCCGCCCACCTCGGCCTCCCAAACTGCTGGGATTACAGGCATGAGCTACTGCGCCTGGCGTGATCACATACATTTCTACACTCTGTTTTTCAGTTTTACCCAGGATTGTTTTGTCTTTTAAAATTTCCCTCTGATTCTTGTTCATTTAACCTCCACAGAAACTCATGGCTCTCAAGTTGCATGATGCATTAGCTATAACACTATGATTCTGCCTGTTTCTCTCAAAAAATGCCTTGTTCTGGACCTTTCTCGCCTTTCATCATAATTGCATTTACTCCATCAAAATTTACATGCCCTGTGTGCCATTATTTCTGACTAAGAAAAAAATCAATTCCAAGCCTGCCATATAAATAATTAAAAAGGTACCAGGGTTACTTACCCTAGGATGCCTGTGGCCTTTAGTTATTTAGACAGCAGTTATTTTGAAATGGAATTTGATAAGGTATCTTCAATTGAAAGTTGCAGCATTATATCTGCACTTCGGACTTAAAATGTAAAGAGATGTCATTAACCCTACTTCAGGACTAAGAAATGCTAGAGAACCCACTAACATTGTCTTATTCGATGCACTTCCCACTGCCTACATGCAGGTATGATGCCTTGAAGTGTGGCAAATATTAACAAGGATCTAAATTGTTAATTTTTTTGACGTGCATTAATTTCTACTTTAAAGACTGAAACATTAGAAAATAATAAACAGAAACTTACTGTCTTGTTCACACTATATTTTATTTAAACCATTTCATTGTATATGATAGTGTGGTTTTATTACACTCTGAGAAGGGCACTTACCTTTTTCTCGTAGTATACACATAAATGCAGTCATGCACCACATAACAACATTTTGGTCAATGATGGTCTGCATATACAACAGTGGTCCCATAATATTAAAGCTGAAACTTAATTTTGCTTAGTAACATCTTGATGATTCTCACCCTGTATTGGCATCTACTAATATGTGTGTTTGTGTTTTAGTTTTTAAGAAAAAAGTTTTAAAAGTAAAATAAATAGTTTAAAAATTTAAAAAGCTTATAAAATAAGAATATAAAGAAAAAACCTGTGTTGATGTATAAAGCGGTTGTGTTTTAAATTAAGTGTTAAAAGACAAAAAGTTAAAACAATTAGAAAGTTTATTAAAAATTACAGCAAGCTGGCATGGCATGGTGGCACACACCTGTAATCCCAGCACGTTGAGAGGCGGAGGCGGTGGATTGCCTGAGGTCAGGAGTTCGCGACCAGCCTAATGTGGTGAAACCTCCTCTCTACTAAATACAAAAAAAGTAGCCGGTGTTGTTGGCGCATGCCTGTAATCCAAGCTACTTGGGAGGCTGAGACAGGAGAATTGCTTGTACCTGGGAGGCAGAGATTGCAGTTAGCTGAGATGGCCCCATTGCACCCCAGCCTGGGCAAGAAGAGCGGAACTCCGTCTCAAAAAAGAAAAAAAAGAAAAAGAAAAAATTACAGCAAGCTAAATTCAATTTGTTACTAAAGAATTAAAAATACACATTATAGGCCGGGTGCGGTGGCTCACGCCCATAATTCCATCACTTTGGGAGGCCGAGGTGGGCTGATCACGAGGTCAGGAAATCGAGACCATCCTGGCTAACACGGTGAAACCCCGTCTCTACTAAAACTACACAAAATTAGCCGGGTGTGGCGGCGGGCTCCTGTAGTCCCAGCTACTCGGGAGGCTGAGGCAAGAGAATCCCTTGAACCCGGCAGGTGGAGCTTGCAGTGAGTCGAGATCACACCACTACACTCCAGCCTGGGTGACAGAGCGAGACTCCGTCTCAAAAAAAAAAAAAAAAATATATATATATATGTGTATACATACATACGTATATGTGTATATACACATATACGTATGTATGTATACACATGTACATGTGTATATATAAACTTAGTGTAGCTTAAGTATCTAGGGTTTATAAAATCTACAGTGTTTATAAAGTCTACAGTAGTGCTAGGGTCCTAGACCTTCACATTCACTCAGCACTAACTCCCTGACTTACTCAGAGAAAATTTCAGTCCTGCAAGCTCCATTCATGGTAAGTTTATGTTTTTATTTGTATTTTTATTTTTATTTTTTGAGATGGAGTCTTGCTCAGTAGCCCAGGCTAGAGTGCAATGGCGCAATATCTGCTCACTGCAAGCTCTGCCTCTCTGGTTCACGCCATTCTCCTGCCTCAGCCTCCCAAGTAGCTGGGACTACAGGCGCCCAGCACCACGCCTGGCTAATATTTTTTGTATTTTTAGTAGAGACGGGGTTTCACCGTGTCAGCCAGGATGATCTCGATTTCCTGACCTCGTGATCCGCCCATCTCGGCCTCCCAAAGTGCCGGGATTACGAGCGTGAGCCACTGGGCCGGGCCTCATGGTAAATTTTTTATACAAGTGCAGCATTTTTTCTTGTGTATAGTTGTTCGCATTACCCTATAATTATTCTTTTTATTTTGTGCATCAACTGATGTCTCTTTCTGATATCTGATTTTATTTATATGACTTCTTTCATTTTTTCACAGTCTAACTTCGCCAATTTTATTATTTCAAATATCCAAGTCAATTATTTTATAAAAATTATTTTTCTATTCTCCATTTATTTTGCCTTACCCTTTATCATTTCTTTTCTTTTCTGAATTTGTGGCATAGTTTGTCTTATTTTCTGGTTCTTCAAGGTAAGTTTAGGTTGCTTATTTGATGTCCTTCTTTAATGTAGGTACTTATCATGATAAACTTCTCCCTTAGAACTACTTTTGCTATATTTCATAATTTTGCTATATTTCATAGATTTGTTTTTGTTTTAATTTTTTAAGTTATTCTCTAATTTCCCTTTTGATTTCTTCTTTTACCCATTGATCACTCAAGAGTATGTTGCTTTAACATATTTGTGAATTTACAATATTCTATTTTTGATGTCTTAATTTTATTCAGTTGGGGTTAAAGATAGTTCGTATGATATCAATCATCTTAAATTTCTTAACACTTGTTTTGTGATGTAATGTAATTTATACTGGAGAATGATCAGTGTGTGCTTGTGCAGAATATATATTTTGCTGCTGTTGAGTAGAATGTTCTGTATATGCCCATAGGTCAATTTGTTCCTGCAATGTTGTTCATGTCCACTTTTCTTTGTTGACTTTCTGCCTGGATGTTCTAGCTATTATTAAAAGTGTATTATTAAAATTTATTATTATTATGCTACTGCTATCTATTTTCTTTTGGTTCTGTCAGTGTTTGCTTTACATATTTAATTTCTCTAGTGTTGGCTACATATGTATTTACAATTTTTATATATTCCTGGTTGATTGACTCATATAATTATAAAATGACTCTCTAGTGACAGCTTTTCTTTCTTTCTTTTCTTTTTTTACTTAAAGTCTATTTTCTCTCATGTAAATATAGCCATCTCTGGCTGTTTTTTGTTTACCATCTTCATGGACCATTTCTTTTCATTTCTTCTTTTTTCAGCCTTTGTACGTCCTTAAATCTAAAGCGATTCTCTCATAGATAACATATAGTTGGGTCTTAATATTTTTTTACTTTATTTATATTCAGCCACTCCAAGTCTTTTAAATGAGAGTTTAATCCATTTACATTTAAGGTAATTATTGATAGAGAAAGATATTCTACTGCCATTTTGTTATTTTTTTCTCTATTGTAATTCTTGTATCCCTTTCCTCTCTATCTCCCTTTGTATTTAATTGATTTTCTTTTGTATGGATGTGCTTTGATTTCTTTATCTTTGCGTGTGTGTGTGTGTGTGTGTGTGTGTGTGTGTGTATTCTGTAAATATTTTCTGTGTGGTTGCCATGGGGCTAACATAAAATATCATTTTATATAGTCTATTTTACTTGATACATTAATCTCATACAAAAGCTGCATGTTTCCTTTTTCCCAATCCCATACATTTGTTATTGATGACAGAGTTCATACCTTTCTATGTCTTTTCCCTGAACTTATTTTTATACTTATATTTATCAATACTTTTGTCTTTTAGCTTTAATACCAGAATTAAAAGTAATTTAATCACTACTATTACATATTACAGTATTCTTTGTATACACATTTATCTCTACCAGTGAATTTTATACTTTAATATTTTTTTGGTTGCTGTTTGGCACTGTTTTGTTTCAACTTGCAACACTCTCTTTAGCTTTTATTGTAAAGTAAATCCAGGGTGATGAACTCTTAGCTTTTCTTTGTCTTGAAAAGTCTTTATCTCATCTATATTTTTAAAGTCAGTTATGCTAATTATAGTATCCTTGGTGGGCAGGTTTTTGTTTTTCCTCTTAACACTTTAAATATATCATTTTACTCCCTTCTGATCTATAAGGTTTCTGCTGAAAAAACCTGATAATTTTAGATAACCTCCCTTATATGTAACAAGTCATTGTTCTCTTGCTGCTTTCAGAATTCTCTTCTTGTCTTTGCCTTTTGATAATTTAATTATAATATGTCTCAGTGTAGACTTCCTTTTCAGTTTTTATTTTTGGGGAGTTTCTTGGTTTCATGAATCTGGATGTTCATTTTCCTCCCAAGATGTGAGAAGTTGGGGGCTATTATTTTTTGAAATAATCTTTTTACTTCTTTATCTCTTCTTCTTCTGGACCTCCCATAATGCTATTTTGGTTCTTTGGATGGTGCCCTGTAAGACTTGTAGCTTCTGTCTTATTTCTTATGTTATTTTTAAAAATGGTTGCTTTTCTGCTTGGGCAATTTAAATGATTTGTCTTCCAACTCGCTGATTCTTTGTCCTACTTGATGAAGTCTGCCACTGCAAAATTCAAGTGAGGTATTCTTCAGCTCCAGTATTTCAGATTTTTTTAATGTATGATTGCTTTTTGTTGGTATTCTCATTTGTGTGTGTGTGTGTGTGTGTGTGTGTGTGTGTATGTATGTATGTATGTATTAGTATGTATTATTTTCCTGATTTCACTGATTTGTCTACCTCTATTTTACTGGAACTCACTGAGCTTTTTCAAGAATTTTGAATTTGGAATTATTTGTCAGGCAAGTAATAGATCTCCATTTGTTTGGAGTCAGTTACCAGAGATTTATTTTGGTTCCTTGATTGTATCATGTTTCCCTGATTTTTTGTGTTGCATGTACCTTTGCTTTGGTGATTGCGTATTTGAAGAAAAGACCACCATCCCAGCCTTCATGGACTGGCTTAACCGGGAAGTATTTTATTTTGGCTAGAAATTCTGAATGCCTATCAAACAGCAATCATCATACACTTTTCTTTTGTTCTTAGCTCCCTCCCCATAATTGTGCCAGTTCTGTCAGCATTACAGATGAGATGAGACATAAGCTGGCCCTATAAGCAGCACCCTGAAAAGCTGGGACTTGGGACACACATTCAACTTCTACTATTTCCTTTCTTTGGGAGAAGCCTGAGGTTCCATCTTTTCTCCCAATCTTGCAAAATTATGCTAGGCCACAGAAATCTGCCACTTCCTTTTTATTTCTTCTTAGCTGCCACAGGTATCCACATTTTGACAGGTTCATCAGCACTTCATGTGAGATGAACAGAAGCCCATTGGATAGCACACCAAATTACCAGGGAAGTTGAAAGGATGATGATTTACTCTTTGTTTTCCCCCAATAAATAAATTACAGGTCAGGGTGATCTCTTGCAGAATTGAGCTGGTTGGCTTTGGGGCCTGGCTGATGTAAGTAAAGTAAAATTGCTCTTTTGTTTTCTTTTTAACGTAGTTGTTTGTGATTTTGTGCTCATCTGGGGCACTTCAACCTCTTAACTGATATCTAGACTTCTCATAGAAATATTCAGTTCTCATATTATTATTAACTCAGTATTTCTGTGGTAGAACAAGGGCTGGGTCTTCCTATTCTGCCATATTGCTGATGTCATCCTCAGGTACATATTGATTTTAAAATGAGAAAACTCTTGTAAATAATGATAGATTAAAAATAGAAAAACTGTGAATATATCATGAGAAGTAATTTTCTAAAATCTTCAATAGCTGTATATTGTTAATTTCACTATAAGTGCCATGTGAAATTTGCTGCGGTGAATAAAATGAAAAAGCAAAAAATATTTGTTTGCCTAAAATAAATTTATACATAATAAAAGTAATAATAGAGAGAAATATTTAGAAAATACATTCTTAATTTGGATAGAAATGCCCTTCAAATTAAAAAGAAAATTAAATAAATTAGTCACTTGCAATCAAAAGTAAATATTTAACAACAAAGGTAAATCATATTTAACAAGATCAAAGTGTGTGACTTTGGCCAGCTTTCAAATGACTTGGTCTTTGCACAAACTAAAAACTATTTTTGGATGGATAATTAATAAAATACATTATTTATTTGTTTCATGGAAGTTTTGTTAGACAATTCTATAATTGTAAAGACCAAGAATATTTTCAGAAGTAAAAAATCAATTAAGCTGTTAATTATCTACTAAATATAGCATCTTTTTAACAATAGTTATAATTAATTTAAAATATTAAAAGTTCATGTAATTTTGTTTATTTTCAATTAACTATGTGTTGCAAGAGACATTGTTCATTTGACAGTTGGAGTACATATTTTCTCAAAGTACTTCTGAATTAAGAAAAAATTGTTGCCAATTTGCAGCTTAAAAATTGAGCTCATGTCAAATATTTTAGAATCTATGGCATGTCAAAGAAGAATCTCAATTAAATATAAAGAATTAGTTTTTGTGATGTATGATGCTTAATTATTTTAGTTTAACAGTGTGGATTTGAAATTTAAATGTATATTGGGAAAAATACACTGAGGTTTTTTGAAGTAGATTCTATAAAAAAGTCATGAATACAGTTGTTGATAGCATTCAGTATACACATGCAGATGCTGTAAATCATCACTAGTTTATGTAGTTGTTGAATGCAATAAAACACAATAAATTATATGATGTTGTTTGCCAAACCTCACTGACACAAAGACTATTATAAAGCTTCAATATAGCGTTATTAGATACTTTGTGATATACATATATATATAGAGAGAGTACCTTTTTGTAAGGCTTGTGGTATATATGGAATTCCTTTAAAAAAAAACTAACAATTACTTCCTTAGGCTACTGTGCAGAAGGTAGACATGGGAAGAGAAGGAAATGATTGAGCAGTTTACAAAGGAATTATTCTGGTATCTTTGTCAGATATGAGGGTGTATTAGTTAGTTTTCATGCTGCTGATAAAGACATGCCTGAGACTGGGAAGAAAAAGAGGTTTAATGGACTTACAGTTCCACATGGCTGGAGAGGCCTCACATGGCAGAAGGCAAGGAGGAGCAAATCACATCTTACATGGATGGTGGCAGACAGAGAGAGAGCCTGTGCAGGGGAACTCCTCTTTTTAAAAGCATCAGATCTTGTGGGACCCATTCACTGTCATGAGAAGAGCACAAGAAAGACCCATCCCCATGATTCAATTATCTCCCACAAGGTATCTCCCATAACCATGGGAATTATGAGAGCTACAAGATGAGATTTGGGTGGGGACACAGAGCAAACCATATCAGAAGGATTGAGAACTGTGAGTTGGAATTGTTTCCAACATGGATTGCAAATCTGGACTAAACTATCAATAAATATTTCAATTTAGACTACAATAAAATGTTTCCAGTTGTTCAAAAATATGAATTTAGTGTTCTTAAAAATTCATGTTATTATTTTATATTATTCTTTTTACTTATCTTTTTAGACTGTTATTTTGATAAGTCTCTACAAGCATTTTTATATAAAAATAACTGCACTGGATAAAACCTTAAATACCACAAACAAGATTATGTGTCCATTGGGATACATAATTTTCATTGCCATATCATGCTTCTGCAGTCTGGACTTTCTAAGCAAAAGTACTGATAATTCTTGCAATGATGTTTGTATATTTGCAGAAATATATTCCTTTTACAAGTCTATGCTGAGGGGAGTACACATGTTGAATATATTTTTGAATCTCAGAATTTTGCTATGCATAGCAAATGCATATTCTTAGAAGATTTATGTATTGTCTCCCTTTGTGTCAGAGAAAGTAGTCTTTTTATAGTATAGATAAAGCCTCTGTCCTCAGAAATATTCTAGGATAGTAAAGTCTCATTCCCCATCCTGGAGATGATGCTTTTATATTCCAGAATAAACACAAGCTTTCTCTTTCTCTCTTAGACAGAGAGGTCATCAGTAGACCTATAATGCACTCTACTGCATGTGCAAGTATCATCTAGCCCTTAGTTTGCATACTGTTAAGTGTATAGTCAGGCAAAATCAAGTAAGTACCACAATTAACAGCAGGTTAATTGTGCTAAATTAGCTGTGCTAAAATTTTCTATTTCTCTCCAGGTATATTATATGACAACTATTCATGTATTTCTTCTTTGCTACACTATTGTGAAGTAAGTAAATATATCTAATTTGTCTTTTGTATTTTTTTGCCCAGAATAGTAATATATTAAAAGGATAATAAAAACACATGAGCTTTGTTGTCTATTGAGACCACCTGTTTATAAACTTAACACAATATTTTAGAGCTTGGATAAATGTGTTGGTATTTGAAATACTGGGACTATTTAAGACTTTTGCAGAATTTAGGCCTGCTTAATTTATAGACTGAAATATGTCAAACATAAGAATAGAAATGCATCTGTAATGGATATACCTATTTCTATAAAGAATGTAAAGGAATTCTGTTAATCATCTTGCTTTTGAAATAATTCTGTAACAATGAACTTATTAAATTCACAATTGGCTATAATTTATAACTAAACAAATCAAATCTGGAGGAGTTTTACAAAGTGAAAAAATAAAACCAAACTATTTCTAGTTTAGTATATTTTATAAATGCCAGATTTTATTAATACAATCTGGCATTTATAAAATATACTAAATTAGTTATATAATTTTATAATATAAAATATACTAAATTAATTTGATGTAGTGTTACATTTTATATTTATTTCAGTAAATATGAATTACTTTCTAATTTCCAGGGTTCTATTGTTATTACAGAAATAAAATGTTTTAAGTATTTTTTTAAGATCTTTTACATTTCCCAGACCCTTGAAAACTCTAGGCTCACTTTACTTAAAGACTAATAAAAAAATTCTGCATAAGACAGTACTTAGAATCTTGACTTACTTAAAATATTTTCAGTATAACTCTGTGATCTCTAAATCTGTCTAGATTATTTCACTAATTTTCACTCTCTGATGGCATGTGGATGAAAGTTCCTTACCCCTTGAGGGTGCTATGGCTAGCGTCCCTTTCTATAGATTACTTCAGGTGACAATGCTTGGAGCACTGATTATTCACTCCTAACTTTTTAAGAGAACCTTAATTCTGCAGCATGTTTATTTCATAAAAAGAACAGCACATAATTCATGCAAAAATGGGACTTATTTAATTACTTGGTGTTAAACTGGGAAATCTAGAACAGATTTATGATAGATCTAAAAAGGAAAGCAGAAAACTTGAAGGCTGATGATAGGCTCAATTTGCCTAAATAGCCAACATTATACAAGACGTTATGGAAAATGTACAACCTCCTCAGTGAACATGAAACTACATTAGGAATTGAGTTACCAAAGTATTTTTGCTTTCATGGATACTTTAGTATAAATCATGATTTGAAAAAATGATGACAATTAGAAAATATTGTTTGTAATTTTGTTTTTGATATTTTTGTCTTGCTCGCCTGATTATGTGAGAGTGTTTTGTTTTTTAGTTCTGTGTATACATAGTTTAAAGGGTCTATATACAACACGAGTTGAAAAAATAAAAATTTTCATGACACTTTTTGCAAAATGCTACAATTTAAAATCAACTTTCTTGTTTTTGATCCTTAAATGAAAGTAGTGTTACAATATCTTTAATTTTCAAAAAGCCCTTAAACTTTGAATACAAAATGGAAAAATTAGTTGCCTTGGAAACTAAAGAAGTTCTAAGCTTTCTAAATACATTATTAACCCATTATCATGCAGCTGTAATATTATATTTAAATAGAAAGGTAATTGATTTTATCATTGTATTGTTTTTCCTAAGTAGTATAATATAAAGTAATTCTTACAAAATATAACCTATAATACAAGATATTTAAAAATGAAATCATTATAGCCTTTGACACACACTTGAAATTCCTTTTTTTCTTCCTACTAGAAGTATTTGTTCAAAAATGCACACACTTTTATTTATGTTGCTTATATTTGTATGCATTGAACTATAATTCTTTTGTGTAAAATATTTTGTACCTCTCTTTTAAAGTTATTTTTAAAAAATTTCTGAAAAAAAAATTTTGATTATATTGGATGAAACACCGTTGCCACCATTACTTCTTATCATGCTCCACAGTCAATATATTCTCTCTGAATACAAAAAGTACACTTTTTTAAAAATAATCTGAGTTCTTACTGGTCATCTTCATTAGTTGGGATTAAGCTCACGAAGTAGTAACATAACACCTCAAGTCACAGTTGCTTAAAAAAAGAAGGATGCTGCTTTTCCTTTCAATTGCAAGAAAACTTCACATAGTTGGTCTAGAACTAAAATGATGTTTCTTGTTAGAGATAAAGTTACATTTATTGTTTGCTTTGTCTTTCACGATATTCATTCCCAAAGTAATGTCTCTGACTAAAATGATGTCGGGAGCTGCAGGCCTAGAGTCTGCATTTTAGCTAAAAAGAAAGGAGACCAGGTTAGGAAAGAAATCACATCACTTAAAAAAAATAAAAATAAAACGACCGGGCACAGTGGCTCACGCCTGTAATCCCAGCACTTTAGGAGGACGAGGCAGGCAGATCATGAGGTCAAGAGATCAAAACCATCCTGGCCAACATGGTGAAACGCCGTTTCTACTAAAAATACAAAAAATTAGCTGGGCGTGGTGACACGTGCCTGTAGTCCCAGCTACTCAGGAGGCTGAGGCAGGAGAATTGCTTGAACCCGGGAAGTGGAGGTTGCAGTGAGCCAAGATTGTGCCACTGCACTCCAGCCTTGCAACAGAGTGAGACTCCATCTCAAAAAAATAAATAAATAAAAACAAAAATAAAGCAACAACAACAACAAAAACCATGCTCTGAAAGTTATACACAATACTGTCCTTAGGATCTGTAAGCTACGAAATATAAACATGCTCACAACTAACATTATGGATAATTGGGAAATGTATAATTGTTTCTAGGTGGTTGTGTATCCTGATGAAGATCAGGAGTTTCAATACTACAGATAAAGTGCAAGAGATAGAATGAGAGAGATAGGGTGGGAGGAGGGAAATATTGTGGGAAAATAAAGTTTCTAGAACATTCTCCCACTTTATTCATGTGTCCATGTACATTATCCATGTGCAGCTATCACACAAACTCTCTCACCAAAAATTATAACCACAAAAAACTGTCTAATCACTTCATCCATTTGAAAATATATTCCATAGTGATGACACAAAGTCCTCTTCATCAGATCCAGATATGCTTCCTTATGGTCTAGTTATATCAGGCATAAGATTAATTCAAATTATAGTAATTAAAACAGTAATATTGGTGATAGACAAGTGGACAAGAGATCATAAGAAAGACCCTCACATATATATGGACACACGTATGTTAGAGGTAGAAAAATATTTATTGGGAAAATCTGTATTTTTTAATAGCTGATGTTAGATTTTTTTAAATCCAAGTTTAAAAAGACATAAAATTGCCTCTTTATATTGTACAACACACAAAAATAAGTCTTTAATAATGGATCTTTATGTGAATGGTATAACTCAATCTTCACATAATGACAATGTATTAGTCAATCAAGTTTGATTAATCAAAAGAAGATCCAGGAACTGGAAAGGATCAAAGTTTTACCATAGCTGATATATAATGCAGAGTTTATATATCAGTATAAATGACAAATATCTAGAGATTGTGGTTTCAGACCTTTAATAAAGTCAAAGCAAATGGTCAAAAATTATTTGTCTTTAAATACAAACATTAATTCTCATTTAGCTCCTTAAGGAAAGGTGGATCACACTCCTCGTATTTTTTTTTTTTTTGCCAAAAAAACCCCCAAAAAAACCATAATACATACCTCTGTTACTTTTTATTTTTTTTGAGACAGAGTCTCGCTCTGTCACCCAGGCTGGAGTGTAGTGGCATGATCTGGGTTCACTGCAACCTCCATCTCTAGGGTTCAACAGATTCTTCTGCCTCAGCCTCCTGAGTAGCTGGGACTACAGGTGCGCACCACCACACTTGGCTGATTTTTGTATTTTCAGTAGAGACAGGGTTTCACCATATTGATCAGACTACTCTCGAACTCCAGACCTCGTGATTTGCCTACCTCAGCCTCCCAAAGTGCTGTGATTACAGGCGTGAGCCGCTGCACTTAGCCTTCTGCTATTTCATTTATGCCATTATAAATAGAATGTTTACAATTTATATTTATAACTAAAATATGATCTGGCTAATCTTTAAAGGATGAGATTAATCTTTAGTGGAGAATAATTACTCCTTATCCTAAAATAATTTTAGAATTGTCAGTAAGCAAGTATTAACTACAAATTCTTAGGCACTGTTTTTATTCTTTCGGTTACTTAATAGTTCCATCAATAATTTAATATTAATTTAAAGTCCCCATTCAAATTTTGGGGGGTGCTACTCATAACTATTGTTACTACTTTGAAATTACTTAATAATTAACAAATAGATATTCTAAAGAGCATTTATATTACACTCTGTGATTTCAAATGATTGCCATTATAGATACTGTTTAATGATAACACAACAGAGGGATTAGTTGGCAAAAAAATCTTAAAGTGCAACAAATGTTTTTATCATGAAGTTCATATTTCTTTACTGAGCTGTAATTTACATATAATAAAAATTACCCCATTTTAACTGTACATTTGTGTGAATTTGCATGTTTGCAATCAATTTTAAAATAGTCTCATTACCCAAGAAGTGTCTTCATAGTGCAGATTGAGCTATACATTAGTGTATATGTTAGAGGTCTATTAATAATAATTTGCTTCCAATAAAATATCAAAAATATCTTATAACTGTTTTTGTTTGTTTGTTTGTTTGTTTTAAATGAACAATGTCTCATAGTGTAAAATTCTTAGAAAATCTTCTCTACTGCAATGGTTCCGTATTTCCTCTTAATTTTTATTTTTGTGGCATATTATGAGGGTGTGAAAATATCTGTGTGTTTCTGCAGAACAGGGACTTCCTGCATTAATTTTGTTAAGAACTTGGGATTCCGGGTTAAGAACAAGTCTTAGGAAGTTTATTTATACCTATCTATCTATCTGTGGAGAACTTCAGAGGAATTAACTCAGACGATGTGTGTGCATGTGTGTGTTACAGTGAAAAATGAAAACCAAGACCATGGAGACATCAATATGTTGGATAACCCTGAGCCACCAGGTTGTATCTGGTCCTTGGAGACATCTATCTACATTTCAACATTTGAGTAAGTGAACTCAGAATTCTTTCCATCTTGTATCCAAATAGAAAGGGTTTTCAATCACCTTAAAGTGGGGAAAAAGATGACAGCTGCATCTCTAATGTATGTAATCATATACAATTTATTTTTCTCTATTCTTCATATCATAGAATTTTTTTGTGGGGGACATTTGGGACTTTCATGTAATTGTCAATGTGGTAAAAATTGATGTGTGGGGTGTCATTATTTGTTTTTTAAATAAACAATAACAATCTTTCTCTGATCCCAACACATTCTGTATACTTGAAGAATGAAATTATTTAAGATGATGATTAAAAACCCCAAACACAACAAAATTCAAAACTCTACTTTAAGGAAAAGACATGAGCAAATGCGATCATCTTTCTTAATGAATCATATCCTAATTTTGTGCAAGTTGTGGGAAATAATATGATTAAAATATTTGAATGAACTTCTGCTCTGATATTGAAAGAATAACATCAGATTATTCTTAATTATTTAAAATAATGCAAATCCGAGCAACATATGTGAGACAAAATATACACGACAAATGCTTTTCAGCATTCAGTAATGCAAGACTGCAATTTCAGAAAGGCAGGAAACAAATGATGCAAGCCCCCAAAACATTCCATCTCTCCTGACTGCAGGGCAAGCTCTAATTTAAGTGGAGTGTTATGATCTTGCTGAGCTGAGGCCAAGATTAGAGTTCAGAGCAGATTAAGCAGCTGATCTGAGCAGAGTAAAGCACTAGGGAAAAGGGTATTTCCCAGAGGGGAACCCTAGAAGCTTGAGTAGGGGGGTTCTCTGGGATTTCTTGGTCAAGAGCTGGGCAATACATGCTCAGACCAACATCACATGAGACTTACCAGAGAGAAGTTGCCATGAGATTGAAAACAGAACAGAAACACCAGACATCAATAATTGCTGGGGAAATGTAGGATCTCCAGAACTGTCATAATGTACAGATCTTATTACCACCCCTAGCATTCAACTGCCCCAAAAGAAAGGCTATAACTTAGAAATAACAACGACGCCTTAGGTCTTGGATTACTCTAAACCTATTTTGAGATTAAGTCTCCTGCAAAATCCTCAGGATGGAGAAAACTGAAGGTTAAGTCCTATTGTGTTCAAGGGACTTGGAAGACCCCCTTAGATTTTTTACAGATAGATATGCCTGTGCTCAGGCAGCTTTTAATAGATGTTGAAAAATAATGCTCTTTAAATAATATAACAATTCAAAGGGTTTTCAATGTATCAACAACAACATTATTGTCCAAAACAAAAACTATGAAATGCAGGAAAACACAAACAAAAAATACACTTTCTCAAGAAATTAAAAAATTGATAATACAGACCTAAACCCAATGACCCTGATCTTGGATATTGAAAACAAAGACTTAAAACGGACCAGGTGCAGTGGCTCACAAACATAATCCCAGTACTTCAAGAGGCCGAGTTGGGGGTGGATAATTTGAATTCAAGAGTTCGAGACCAGCCTGGCCAACATGGTGAAACCTCATCTCTAACAAAAATACAGAAAATTACCTGAGTGTGGTGGCGGGCACCTGTAATCCACCAGCTACTCAGGAGGCTGAGGGGGAGGTTGCAGTGAGTAGAGATCGTGCCACTGTACTCCAACCTGAGCAACAGAGCAAGACTTCTTCTCAAAAACAAACAAACAAAAACAAGAAAACAAAGACTTAAAACATTAAGTTTGAATGTACTCATATTACTAATGGAAAATAAGATCAACAAATTAAAGGAAATGAAGTAATCAAAAGACAGACTGACATAAATAGATCTCAAAAAATATTGAAAAAAGTAAAAGAGTACACATTGTAATATTTCATATACACGGAGCTTTAGAATTGGTAATACTACTCTGTTGTTAGAAACCACATCCATGGTTTCCTGGTGCCACAGTAGGAGAGACTGACTGCAAAAGGGAACCAGGAAGCTGGCTTAGGGGATTGATACACAGGTTCTGTAACTCATTAGAGTAGTGGTTACATCAGTGAGTATATAAAAGTGTGCACTTAAAATGTTTGAATTTTAATATTATGCAATATATGCCTCACTAAAGTTAAGAGAAATGAGTGTAATCAACAATCTTCTAATTTTATAGTTTATGAGTAAGTCTTCTTTGTCTATCTTTAACCATTAATGTCTAAACCTTTTAACAAGACACATCTCTCATGTTTTAAATTGAGGTAGTGGAGTACGCCAAGTTTTAAAAACCAGCATTGATGATTCTTAGGAAGAAAATTTATGTCACAGCAGTTATCTGAAAACAGTTATCCTCCTTTGATATGATCTGTTTCTTCACATGCCCTAGGGTGTTTTTAAAGAGTTAGAGCAGATGCTGGTATAACTGTAGCAAAATATGCCTATGCTAACACTT
Source organism: Homo sapiens (assembly GCF_000001405.40). NCBI lineage: Eukaryota > Metazoa > Chordata > Mammalia > Primates > Hominidae > Homo > Homo sapiens. The sequence goes on along the minus strand of NC_000004.12, from coordinate 161,008,693 downwards.
AGAAAAACGTTCTCAACCAGTAGTAATTACACCCTCATAGGCTTTGATCTGTTTGCCTTAAAATTGAGGCAAAAAAGTCTCATCTATATACAGTCATTCAAAGTATGCCAAAATTTCCATATGATTTCTGGAAGTGATAGTAAAGAAGGTTCCTGCTATTAATAATACTTAAATGTTTAATTTTAGTGACTAACAAACAAAAAGATCAAATGTTAATTGAAAAATCCATATTAAACATTCTGTTACATATATCTTTTGAAAGAAGATATTTACATCTCCTGCCTAGTTTGGAAGTGCATATTTTCTTGTTTTCTTGGCTAAGTTTTGTATTATATTGAAGAGTTTTTTTTTCAGAAGTTCTTTTCAGATTTTTGTTTTATGAAATTCAATCTATCAAAAAAAAACACTTTTTCCTACCGATTGCTTCTTAAAAGTTTGTGATACTAACTTTATGACAGAAAGCAATTAAAGTATCATGATAATAATAAACATTTTGTTCTCTGTATTGGGTGTCTATTATATTATCTCTGAATTAAAATATTGTGATCTAGCTTTTAAAAAATCACCTATTAGAAATATTTGTCTCCAGTTAATATAGGCTGGTTAATGTAAATCTGTTTAGATAAAAGTAAATAACATATTCGTTGAATGTAGGATATCCTTTTTTTTCTTTAACTCAGAGTAAACAAAAAAGACGGTTCCTTGTTAATGCTATGAAGTTTGGTTAGGTTTTTCTTTGACAACTTTTTTAACAATGTCTCTCTCCAAGGCTATCATTGTTCCCCACTGTTAGTGACAGCATTGAAGCCTATAGAAATTCCTCTCCTGCCACACCTTTCAACTATTATACAAGATAAGCAGCAAAATACAGTACTCTCGGGCCTCTAATGAGTCTGACTCAACTTTCTACCTCCCAATCAATAAAGGAATCCTACAAGGGATGATTGACAAAGAAACATAGTAGTTTCCAGCTTGAGAGTTCTAAAAATGCGTTCACATGCATAAAGTCAACATATCATTCAATCATTAAACTTGAAGAGATTAATCCCTTTTTCAATGAACCACACAAAATTCCAAATGTTAAATATTTATTATCTGTATGTAAACAGTAATAAAATACAAAAAAGAGTAATGGTATTTTGGTCTCAGGGATAGTCCCTTGATACAGGCATGTGTAATAGTAGTACCATTTTATCTGAACATGATGGCATATACTCAGTTGGACACATGACTCAAGCATGTGTCTTTCCTCTTGTTGCCTAATGCTATCTCTTTTCTGGCTGGAAACACTCAGGCTATTCATTGGCCTTTTTTCCTTACTAAACATAACGGTACAGTCAAGCAAAACTAAGTGGAAGAAAAAGAAACAAAATTATTCTACATCTTTATCTTTGAATTTTGTTTCTGGTATTTTCAGTGGAAATATTATTGCTAAGATGCTTTAAATAATGTATGTGTCACCACAAAAAAAAAACCCACAGTATTTGATATAGTTTAGCATTTTATGTGGCAACTGTTATTTTATTAATTTTTCTTGGTAATTTAAAGAATATAGATTCATTAATTCATCCATTTAACACATATTTATTGAATGCTAGTGTATGCAAGGAACATGCTAGGTTCTGCAATTGCAGCAATAAAGTAAAGAAAATTACAACTTCAACTCCGAAAGTGTGGAGATCATCTCTCATATTCAACATAATTTAAACCGAAATAAAGATGATTGCTGCAGTTTGAAGTAAACTTTTTCAGACTTTGGAAATAAATAAAAAGTTATGTAAAATAAAGTGTTACTCAACAGCCCACTCTGATTCTCTGCTTTATGTGATAAGGTCCTAGGTCTGTGGGTAGCCATAGAAGAAATGAAGACTGTTTACTCAGTCTTCCAATTCTAAAGTTAGAAGGGCACAAAATGAACACATGAAGGATAGAAAGCAGATTAACATGTGGCTCTTATTTTCTATAAATCAGTCTTTGATGAAAACAAGACTGTCGAAGTGAAGAAATGAAAAGCAATGATTACCAAATTACACCACCAAGAAATTGTGTCTTAAAATGCTTCATTTTTAATCAAACTCTCCTTTGCATTAAAAACTTGAACTGAAAAGCGCCTCTGGAAAAAAAAATATAAAGTTTTTTTAAGAGGGTGTAAAGCATTTGAAGCCTTTGGTTACTCCAATTAAATCCTATTTTCTATGTAGTACTAAAATTATTAGTAGTAAGCTGCTTGGACCCATTGTATGTTAACAGAACAAAGATAAAACTATGACAGCTATTAGAAGAGAAAGATAAGGTAAAAAAAGAGTTGATGAAGAATGTAAGACAAATGACATATAAGTGAAAAAGAAGCAGAGGAAAAGATTAGAGTTCTCCTTGACTTCAAAGAAAATAAAAAATTAACAGATCTGGCAGCATTCACACATGAACACATTTATATATACACACAAATGCAAATGCATGATTAAAACTAGTGAAATACAAAGTATTTGATGAAAATACAGATTGAGTAAGAATAAAACCATCTTTTCTGCTAAGTATCTCCCTTTACAAGAATAATAAATGATATATATAATATATCTTCTTTCAGGATGTCATATTTTCTCTCTAGGAAATCCTCATCTGCTAATGAAAAATCAAACATGAAGCAGTCTCATGATATATTTCTAAACCTCAGACCCCTCCTTTACAAAGTCTCACTTGCTTTCTGCCAACAACAGATGTCTTCATTACATTTGAATTCCTGACACAATTGAAATGCCTTAGGCTCTGTTAGACAAGATTATGACTTAAAAATCTCTGTCTTCTTTGCCCAGAGGAGCGCCTAAAACTCTTACAGTAGATGCTCATTCAATGGTAATTGGGTTAAAAACATAGATATCATTTTAATAAAATATCAGTGGCATAATTCCAAGCTTGGTAGATTTTTTTTTCTCCCCGGCTCCTGAGGAGACTGGAGAAATATTTTCATCATATTTTAGCAAGAAGTGCAGAGATCACAGGACTAATCATATTGTTATATTTAATATGTAAACAATAATCAAGAAAAATATTTCATGAAATATTCAGTCAAATGTAGCAATCAAACTCCCTTTTTCCTCCTAATTATACCAAAAATGCTTAAAATTGTTATTTATATATATTTGGATCAAAGCAAGTGATTCCGTATTTATCAATCCTAATTTATTTTACACCAGGAAGAAAGGAGATACAATAAATATATACCAAAATAAACCTATTAAGAGGAATATATCATAGCAATGAAGTTGTGACATAAAATAAATGTATAAAATCAGTCTTATAAAGAAGCTTAACCCAAATAAAATGTATTATTCACATGAATGTCACCAAATATTTTTTTACTTTGGCATGTAATTTTTGTGGTTTTTTTTCTAAATAAGTGTTTGCATTTGTAGTATGAGACATCATGAGACTCAAGTATAGAATAATATACTTTATGTTCATTTAATTTAAATTTTATGACACCACTACATACATATAAAAGTCAGTTAGTTTTACAGGGCTCAAACCAAAAGCTAATATTCGCTTTCCACATCTCACCTCTCCTGTTTCCTTCTTAGAGAAGTAAACATTTTAAACTCATTCAGTAGCTTATTCTGCTTTTTTCTACATATTTTAATGACATCTTTATATTAATAACACTTTTTTAAAAGTTCTACATACTATCAATTTATTTTCTATCACAGATTTTAAAGATGTAGCTCTCTTACAGCAGGTGTACATCTGTCATAACTCAACATAAACGTATGTCAACGTTCTTCTCTTTCCATCATGTCCCCATTGCTATCATATAACTTTAGATTAAATCAGTATTCAGTGTTTACGAATAGTACATTTTTCCCCAAACCAAAAGTATGCAATATATTTCCTTTCTAGTTCAATCATGTTTGATCCAGGAGTTCATAACATTCTCTTACATTTTCCATAATTAACATAGATTCAAACTTAAATTCTAGGATAAAATCGTAATTATACTTTTAATAATTAACAAGTATTGAAAAATGTGTATTTTACTTTTTAAATGACTATACCTCCCTGACCTGCTCAGTCCTCTGACCCTCATCTGGAACCTACTTTCGCTCAAAACCTACTTTCCAGCTTTAAAAAGTTATAGCCTTTCTCTTGACCCTGGAAATTCTCACCCCCCTCTTCGAAGGTCAACCTCTTCTTTCTTTCTCCCATGTCCCTCTTCATCTTTTTGTACCTTATTATTTTTCTTGATATAGTTACTTTCTGTAACTAGAAAAGTAAATATTTTAAAAGGGCCCTTCTGAAGATGTTTTTGGTTTACTTTGACCCTCAAATGATGATTTGTTGGATACAGCTATCTAGATTAAAAAGTATTTTCTCTGTGAAGCATGAAGAACTTCTAGATATGTAGGTCCTATGCCATTCCTGATCCTTCTATACACACTCTTTCTCTTCACACATCTTTCATTTTTCTCCGTTCAAAAAATGCAATAATAATGTATTGGCATGAACCTTCTTTTTATCCATTTTTTAAGATACTTCTATTTTCATACCTATGTTCTTTATTTCTGGGAAATATTCTTGTGTTAGCTCCTTGATCATTTTCTCCGTCCATTTCCTCTACTGTAGGATTCTGTATTTTTAAATAGTATATTTTTCTAAATTTTTAAATCCTTTTCAGTTTTATTTTCTAACGATATTATTCTGTGTTTTACTTTTGCTGGCGGCAATGGCCTGTCTGGAGCAGCTGCTGCAGTGATGCCAGCTGCAGTGGGGGAGGCATGGCTAAGGCTAAGAGCTCCATGGAGCCCGCAGGAGCTGAGAACAGGTGGGAGCCCCAGTCCTACATAGTTAGCAGGGCAAGAGCTCTGCGCTCTCATACCACAGTTGCAGCCGCCCAGCGACGGCTCTGGACCTAGGTAATCCTGAGCTCTCGGGGGCTCAGGAAGCCTCACCCTGCCCCTGTAGGGTCAGAAGTGGCTGTTCCTTCTCCCTGGCCTCTTCCTGATCCCAGCACCCAATCCTATGCGGAGCAAAGCTGTGGCCGAGCCCAGCTGCTGTTGCGACCCAGCTGGGTGTGCACACGCTTGGGGTGGCACTTACATGTCAGTCCTCTAACACCTCGGACCCCTACAGACTTTGGGCACCAACGGGCATGGGAGGGAGACCAGGGGGCAATGAGGGCAGCTCGATGGGATCCTACAGGCGCCCCTCACCACAAACAGTCTGGGTGCCATAGTTGGCATGTTGATGATGGAAGGCAGACAGGTTCCTGGGTGGAAATGGTCAGATCCCCAGTGAAACTCCACCTTCAAGCTAGGAATGGCCTGAAGCCTGGGGGCCAGGCTGCCAGTTCCAGGCAAAGTCCACAGCCTGGAGTGAAAACTTCATTGATGACTTTTCGGCCACTCAGATGGTGCTTTTTCCGGGCCCTTCCATTGCCATCCATGGACCAATCAGCATGGCTTATTCTCTTCTGAGCCCATAAAATCCCAGACTCAGTGAGACTTAGACCTTGGGACTACTGCTTGAGGGAAGGAGAACCCACTTTGGGTCTCCTCCACTCACCAGGACAACCTCCCTGCAGAAAGAACCTACACACTCTGCATTGCCTCTCCCCTGAGGAACTGTACACTCGTCAGAACCACATACCTGTGGAAAGGAGCTACTCACTTTCACTTCTGGCCTCATGAAATCTGTTCTTTCACTCAATAAAGCTCCTTTCTTCCTTGCTCACTCTCCAGTTGTCCAAGTACCTAATTCTTCCTGGTTGTGGGACATGAACTGGGTACCCGCCCAATGGCAAGACTGAAAGAGTTGTAACAAACAGGGCTGAAACATTCCCCCTGCTTGCCATGTTGCAGGTGATAAAAAGGAGTGAAGAGCTGCTGTGCCTTTTGGAGCCCTAGGTGCTCCCTGAGCCAGGGCTGTGACACACTGTAACACCCTCTTTAGGTTTTTGGTGTCTCCAAGCTTTCAGGTGCCACTGCATTCCCCTTGTCCTTATGCTGGTGCCCACATTAGAAACCTTCTGGCTGAGCTGCAGCCTCGCATGAAGCCGGCGCCCGTGCTGGCATTGAGAGCTGCCCACCCGGCTGCAGTTAGCATGCCTGGCTGTGTGCAGTGACCAGACCCCATGCTCGCTCACTCACACACCCCTCCTCACTCTGCACCTGGATCGCCCTTGGCAGGCATGGGATCCAGGCCAGTAGCACTAGTGGAGTGTAGTCTGCCAGGCCGAGTGGGCAAAATCAGCCCAGCAGGCACAAGCAAAACCCAAGCAGAGGCACTGCTGGCCACAGATATTTCTGGCTGGTCAAGTGACAACCTAAGGATCCTGTGACGCTTTCTGAAATATGTATCTTAAGACCATTCTATGCTTTCTAAACGTACGTTTGTATAGTATAGTGCTCTGTTTTTCACGAAAGTTGTATCTTCGTTTACTTACCTTTATTTAGGATATCAATGATCAGATTTGTTGTCATTTTTCTTTCCTGGTACATGCACTATTTTGTATCTCTGGTTCCTTTAAATTTATGTTTGTTTGTTTTGTGTTTTATTGGTTCTTCATTACCTGATGCATGCTTGGGTTTGTTTTTCATATTAGAGGATTTCTGCACACATCTGGTTACATTTGGCATTTTTAAAAATATTTAATAGAAAGATATTAAAAGTTTTCAGGGAATCTGTGAGCATTGCTGGGGCTTATAGACTAGAGGACTTAAGTTTAAGTTACTAGTTAGGCACTCAGTCATTTCACTTGATGAGTGCAATCATTGGTTTATTGTTCTCCTTGGTTGTAACAGAGAGGTATCTTTGTCTAGTTACTGGTAGTAGTAGGAGTGGAGGTGAGGGTGGAGTATCAGCGAACCAGGAGTAATCTGATTGTGTGTTTACTGTAGCCAAGGGAAATAAATTGGAGAAATTGATCACCCAGACTTTCACATGATTCCCTGTATTTCCTATATAACATCTCTGTCTTCACCAAGTTCCATGCCCTTAATGTACTGTATTGCTGTTTGAACACCTGCAAAGAGCAAGACTCCAAAGTTCTAGCAGGTAGAGAAAAGGCACCTAGTAATTTTCTTTGTAGGATTTAAATGTTTTCAGATACACTTTTAACCGCACTTTTAAATGGGTATAGTGACCAAAACTGCTGAAACCATTCAGAGTTCCATTGTGTGATACAGTTTATTTCTAGACTCTTTACTTCTTTCTCCTATTAGGCATTTATGTTTTGGTTTCTCAGGTCCAAAATGGCAGTTAACACATACCCATATAAATTTTATGTTTGTAGCTCTTTTCATTATGTATCTCTAATGCTTAAATTTGCTCATCCACAACTTTATTCTTTGTAGGTTAGTGCATCATCAAAAAAATCCCCTTACAGTTATTTTATTGAGGTTTCATCGAAGAAAAAAATGTGTTCATGTTTCTATGCTTACCTAGAAGTCTTTCTATTGGTATTAAAAAATGGGCATCTATACTTAACATTTAATAATATTTCTGATCCCTTTATCTCGGAAAGTAAATATAATTAAATATGATGGAACAAAATACAATGGAATAAAATATCTGAAGCATGCAGCTGTGTCTACTATATTCAAGATATTGAGTTTGGTATTGAGTACACAAAATTTAATAACAAATCAGAATGAGGAACTTTTTAATAATATGAAACATTAAACTTTATTTAGAAAATGTTTGATCACAATAATATTTGTCTCATATTTACCCATGAATACTGATTAAATGATACCAGTTGCATCTGTCATGGAAGAATACGTTTTGTCCTTATTGATGACTCGGTACAGTTGTCATTCATATACATTTTTATTATATAGTTTCATTTTATGTTGTTTAGTTGAACTGTGCATGCTCTGTTTTTCTCTATAATAATTTACCCATTTTGATAAACAACTCTCAGAATAGTATTGTTAGAGATTATTGTTATTGGGAAGGAGACAAAAGCAAAATTTTACAACTTAAAAAATATAGATGCTTTTACAGTTTTTTGGTTAAATTTACCTTGACCTTTATTTTATGTAGAAAGACAGTTTTCAGATAAACAAGTAGCATTATTTTCTCCACTTAAGTGTTTTATAAATAGAAACATATGCAATGGAAATGACAAAAGGTACAAAAACGTGTGGGGATTTAAAAATGAGAAAATAATTCAAATACATATTAAGATGCTGATTTTTACGCTAATCTGTGTTTAAAGTTCATTTATATATCTCCTATTTTTGATAATGAAAACAAGAATGAAAGAAAATAGTAAAATAAACTAAAAAAATTGCATCATTAAAATAATGATTCTTTGTTGACTTCCAGATTTCATGTCACTGAAAATAAAACCATATTTTCATATCAAAAGCATAACATATTTTTATGTAATTGATAAAAATAATATCAACATAAAATTAATCATAAAATTGTACTTAGATGGAGCATCTGACATTTACACATCCACATTTTTAGTTATCTGCAGTGATGTATCTATTTTAAAAACTGTTCATGTAAAAGCAAATAATTAGAATGAATAGATACCATTTTGGGAAGAAACGCACACACACACACATGCATGCACGCACGCACGCACGCACGCACACACAAAAATAATCCCAGATGTGGGGAACATCAAACACTGGGGCCTGTAGTGGGGTGGGGGGAGGGAGAAGGGATAGCATTAGGAGATATACCTAATGTAAATGACGAGTTAATGGGTGCAGCACACCAACATGGCATATGTATACATATGTAACAAACCTGCACATTGTGCACATGTACCCTAGAACTTAAAGTATAATTAAAAAAAATAAATAAAATAATCCCAGAGTATTTATTTGAATGATTCTTTGTGAAGTTGAAGGACCTTATTGCAAAAGCATTCCAAGAACTGCTCTTCAGCATGAATTGCACATCTGGGAAAAGGCATATGCTTATGAGTGATGCATGTTTGAAGAGTTCGAACATAAAACTCTCTTTGCTTTAGTAGCTTCATTAAAGAAGAGTTATAATAGCCTATTATCTTTTTTCAGATTATGGATTATGCATGTCAACGAAATTATTGTAAACTAAATGTACTTTGACCTTTAACAATATGTATCAATTTTCAGTTGTATTATGTTAGGTTGGTAATTTCAAATAGAATATTTTATACTTAAAATTGTAATTAATACATATTTTGAATGATTATCTTTAGAAGTCTTGTGAGAAAAAGCAGAATGTAGAGTTCATAGTGAAAAAAGAAAAATATGTATATTGCATATTTAAATCATTTGTAAGCTTATTTCTGGCACATGGTGCTGTTATTCAAAATTATTTGTCACAATAAAATTGATCAAAGTTTTATGTTTCATCTAGAAATTGCATTGAAAGAAGTAAAGGTACTTATAAAGTTTCTACTTTAGGGTTTCCATGTGTTATATATGACATTATAATATCTACATATTATACATTGTGATTATAAAATATAGATAAAAACTGTACATTACAAACACTTGATGAAAGTTTTACTTTCCAAAGTTTTACTATTGCTAGATTGTTTATTCCAATGTGCTATTTACTATTGCTAGGTAGTCTTCCCAATATGAACACATATAAAAATTATACAAAATATGTTGAAAATTGGATTGAAAACATCAGAGAGCTAGAGAGTTAATGAGATTTTAGAAGTTAAGAAAAGGAAAGCAGCAAAAATTAAAATATTTTCCAATGAACAATTACTAGTTGCAAAATTAGGGAAAGAAATGTTAGAAAATTGAAAGGACGTTTCTGCAGATTTGATACTGAGAAAATATACTCAATAAGCTCTGAATCTCAAGAACCTTCTTTCATCCCTCCATTGCTTAAGCAATTTGCTTTTTGGTTTGTTTGTTTGTTTGTTTGAATCTAGAAGGTCTAAACCCTAAAAATTATCACTGAACAAAGAAAGACCAACCTTCAAATTAGGGCTGAACATTAAATTATACCTACCCCCACATGAATCTATTTGCTTTTAAACTAAAACTTGCAAAAAATTGTTTTGGAGAAAAATATTATTAGTAGAAACAAACAGTTTACACAAGCTATATTTATAATACCAAGCATTTGATGAAATATAGCTAGAAATAGAAATAAGATGTTATTTATAACCCATTGAAAACATGTCAAATAAAAAAACTAAAAAATTATCCAAATATTAGAAGATATGAAGCACCATATTTAAAATATATATGATTAAATCGTAAAATAAAGGGAAAAAAGTATACTTTTGGCACAGAACTGTAAAATATAAAAATAACACCAATAAAAATTCTAAAACTAAAAAATAAAACCACATTATATAAAATTAGAAATCAGCTAAATGAGATTGGCAGTATATTAGTCACAAATGAAAGAGAAATAGTGAACTGAATTATTACTCAAAAGAAAATTTTCAGAACAAAGGCAAAAAAATTAGAAATAAAAAGAACAGTAATGAAATAAATAAATAAATATTCTACATTTATTTAATACATGCACAATTTAAATGTCACAGAGAAAATAATATGAAGGAGCAATATATAGACATAATACGTATAATGTTTCCAAAACTAGTAAAAGAAATTAAACCACCGATTAAAAGATTATTAAAAATCCCAAGCAGGATGTATATAAAGGATACAGAAATTTGTCAAAAGACCTAAACTTATGGCTGGCATCTACACAGAAATAATGGAAGATAAAATGGAATAATGTGATCAAAGTTCTAAAAATTATTGACTAAGTGGAATTCTATGAAGAGTGAAAACCTATCTTAAAAGGAAATACATGAATTAATTACAAATACAAATGAAGGCATACTGAATATTTTTCAGAGAATCAAAATTTCCGATTTGTCAGCACTACTTAACCAAGGAAAATATTTTAAATAATTGTTTTTCCTAAAGAAAAGTGGTCCTAGCTAGAATCTCAGAGATACAGATAGAAAAAAATTAAAATCAAGACCACAAGAATGACTAAATTTGAAGGAAATCTGAATTAACATCAACTACATATAACAATAATAATAGTTTTTAAGAAATGTTAAGTGCAAAATGTTATAATGCATGACAAAATGGTTTATTGCAGGATAAGTTAATAGAATTAAAATTTTCCATGTTGTTTACACTCTATGGGAATATGTAAAATTACTCATTTATAGTGAACACTTATGTTTCAATATTTTATGTAGTAATCAGTAAATTATAACTTTAAAAATGTTGACAACTCAAAATGCAGCAAGAAAGAAGAGAAATGGAGCATAAAATTGATACAGCAAATAAAATAAACAAGTAATGTGGTATATATAAACTAAAACCTTACTTTAGACTAAATGCTCTAAATAAAGTTTGGCAACCAGAAATAACATAAATCATAGTTATATGAAATGTATAAAATACACATTTTAAATGTAACGAAAAATGTTGAAAGGTAAAGTATATAAAAGATGTATTAAATAAACAAAAAACAAATAGAGTGGTAAGGCTATAGCAAATCCTGAAAAGTACAATGTAAGATAAAGTGTCAGTGGACTGAAAACATTAACTTCATCAAGTAGATATACAAAGTCTACATTTTAAATGTACATATCAATAAACCTATAACATAAATACATAGAGAAAAACTAAACCTATCTCATAAATACATAGAGGAAAACTAAAATGAAAAATATTATGTGTTATTTTATCATGCGTCGACATTTTATCTCTTACCACAGATGTTAACAAACCTTTCTCAGTAACACTGTTGTACTAGAATATGGTTGTATTAAAACATTGCTGTAATTGTTGGAATAGAAAAATTATTTGAACTGATTCTCAAAGAAATTAGATGATTTGAAAAGCCCAGTCAATAAACTTGAACTAATTTATATTTATTGAATACCACATCAAAAAAAATATGATGGGCCATAGAAGAAGCCTATAAACAAAAACATTATTTTTTCTGATGCTAGATGACTAGATAAAATACAATAAAGCCAATGATCAATTAATACAAATAAGATAAAATTAAATCTGTAATTGTGTGAAAGAGAAAGAGCAAATTAATCCTAAGTAAAGTAGAAAAAACAGTAAGGAAATAGTAGAAATCATTGAAATGAAAATCAAATGCAGAACACAATAAGTAAGACCAATAGTTGGCTTTGTGGAAAGACCATTAAATCAACAAAAATCTGGCAAAACTGGACATTGATAAACAAAAACAGTAAAACCTGAATTACTCACATCAAGAATCAAAGGGTACATCACAAGATGGGACATTCTACAAGGTAAACATCCTGTCAAAAATATCAAGGTCATATATACAAAAGAGGGACACAGAAATTCTTCCAGATTAAAAAAAAGAAAAAAGAGATGCGACAAATAATACAATAAATAATATTGAATTTTATAGGACTATCAATAATATTATCAAAACAATTTATAGAATCTCAAAAAGGCTGTAAATTAGATAAAATATTTTTTCTGCATTAGTGTAATTGGCATACGGGTATATAAATACATGTGTTTATGGACATGTCACCGTGTACTTCATTTATAGCAAATAGAAACCAAAATATTTACTTTTAAATGGTTATCAGATGTGCAGTTTATTCTTTAACAGTTTAGAAAATTATATATGAATGTTTATCTATCATTATTTTGTACTATTTTACAACTTTTCTGTAGGTATATGAAATAATATAAAATTTTTTCAAAAGGAAAAAAATTATTTATCGGATGTGACTATTTTATATTGTTCAGTTGAATTGAATTGATATGTGAAAGATATTTTGAAGACCTAAGTAATACCATTCTGGACATTGACCTTGGCAAAGAATTTATAGTTAAGTCCTCAAAGACAATTGCAAGAAAAACAAAAATGAAAAGTGGGACTTAGTTAAACTGAAGAGCTCCGCACAGCAAAATAAACAATCAACAGAGTAAACAGACAACCAGCAGAATGGGAGAAAAATTTTCACAAGCTATGCATCTGAAAAAGGTCTAATATCCAGAATTTATAAGAAACTTAATCCAACAAGCAAAAAACAAACACCCCATTAAAAAGTATGCAAAGGACATGAATGGAAACTTCTCAAAAGAAGACATACAAGCAGCCAACAAATATTTTAAAAGGTCTTCAACATCATTAATTATCAGAGAAATGCAAATGAAACCCACATTGAGATGCTATCTCATGCCAGTCAGAATGGCCGTTTTTAAAAAGTCAAAAAATAACAGATGCTGAAGAGGCTGCAGAGAAAAGAGGATACTTATACACTGTTGGTGGAAATGTAAATTAGTTCAGCCACTGTGGAAAGCAGTTTAGAGATTTCTCAAATAACTTAAAACAGAACTACCAAAGGAAAAAAAATTGTTCTACCAAACGGACACATACACCCTGCATGTTCATCATAGCACTATTGACAATAACAAAGACATGGAGTCAACCTAGTTTCCCATCAATGGTGGATGGATTGAATAAAGAAAATATACACCATGAAAAACTATGCAGTCATAAAAAAGAACAAAATCATGTCCTTTGCAGCAACATATATGTAATTAGAGGCCATTATCCTAAGCAAATTGATGCAGGAACAGAAAACCAAACATCTCATGTTCTCATTTTATGAGTGGGAGCTGAACATTGGGTGCACATAGACATAAAGTTGGGAACAATAGACACGGGACTACTACAGCGGTGCGGGGATAAGGGATGGAATGGCTGCAAAACTTCCTATTGAGTACTATGTTCACTATCTGTGTGACAAGATCATTCCTATCCCAAGTCTCAGTATTACACAATACAGCCATGTAACAAAGCTGCAAATGTACCCCTGAATTGAAAATAAAAGTAGAAAGTAAAAAAAAAAAAAAAAAAAGGTATCTGGCTTTTCAGGATAATTCCCAGAGTCAGAAATTATGAAAAACAACATTTGTCTACATATTGATTTTTGTCTATATAATTTTGTTAGCATTGCAGTTTTGGCATCAGGAAAGCAATTCTGATTATTGATTCTAATAGCTGAACCTAAGACAAGCTAACTGCTAACATTTTGTTCATATATAAGCAAACACACACAGTCTCACATCACAAATCAAAGTGACTAAATGTCCTTTTAGTGAATAGTGAAATGTACTTTCATTATTTCAGAACTGTCCTTCATTCATATGCAGTGATGAATAAAACTCATATGAAAATCTATTTAACAAGTTGTGAATCAGATATTGCAGTAAGGAAATCAATATCAGATTTTATTGTATAAAAGTGACAGTACAACTTTCAATCTCATACTGTTCTCTTATTTGACTTCTATTTGATGATATAAATTAACAATTATTTTCTCTTAGTTGATAAAATATAACTTTATTTGATTGACATTCTGATGTTTTGACAGCAAAGGCTGGTGTATTGATTCAAGGTAAGAGATCTGAGAAAAGGATTTTAAAAATGAAATTCAGTGATGAAATCAATTTACTACCAGGGTTTATGCACAATGGATGTGGTCTATATAAAAAAATTGGTAGATATGTTACTGTATTCTTTTATTTAAAGGAGAACAATAATATGACAACCATATAGGTTTTCCTTTGCAAAATTTTCAATTAGACCTAATTATCAATAAAGTTATAGGAAACTTTGTTTTAATCAGAAATTCTTCCTTTCTCAGACAGATTAGTAAATATTTATGAGTGTTGGAAAACAAAATTTAAAAAGTCTATACTGTGAATACTAACCTAGATAATATATTTTTATAAATTAGGCTTCAAATGTAATTATTTCTTGATGGAAATCTTAGCCATTTCTTAGAACTCTAAAGCTAATAAATTAAAAAATAAAAGAGATAATGCCAATAAATAGTTAATCTCATTACTTTGACCAGAAAATATTAAGAGAAAGTGATTAACCTGCCTTTCAAAAAATTATTGTCTTTTTTTTTCTGTGGAAAATATTTTGATTTATTTTAAAATTCAATATTATATATTCAACATGTAACTAAGTACCAGTGAAGAGAAAGGATTTTTAATTTTATATATTGTTATTAATTAAATTCTTCCTTCTACTAAAGTAATTATTAAAATTGTTCCTTTACTTTGAACACTGATATGGTTTGGCTTTGTTTCCCAATCCAAAGATCATTTTTAATTGTATTCAAATATCATCTTGAATCCCATAATCCCCACATGTGGGAAGGACCAGGTGGGAGGGAATTGAATCATGGCGCAGTTTTCTCCATGCTGTTCTTGTCATAGTGAGTGAATTCTCACGAGATTTGATGGTTTTATAAGCACCTGGCATTTCCCCTGCTGTCAGTCATTCTCACTCCTGCCACTCTGTGAAGAGGTGCCTTCCACTATGATTCTATGTTTCCTGAGGTCTCCCTAGCCATGTGGAACTGTGAGTCAATTAAACCTCTTTTTTTTTTTTTTTTTTCATAAATTACCCAGTCTCAGGTATTTCTTCATAGCAGTGTGAGAACAGACTAATACAAACACATATTCAAGACATACGGCTCTTTAAACAAATATATGCCTGTGTGATAGAGGGAAATAACTTGGATAATACTGAAACTATTAAAGTTATGAAATGCACTTAATTATTAATTATTTAACAGAAGTTGTATTATATGGATGTTAGCTATGGTAGCAGTTTGTGTTAAGTATATAAATTTAAAAGGTAGTTAATATTTCATTTCTCAATACATTATGTTGAATAAAATTAACTGAATTTAGTACTAACCATAATCTTTTAAGTATAATTAAAGGTTATGTCTTGCATTTGATATTATTCATCATATTTTTATACCTTTCTATTCATTTATCCATGTACTTTCTTTATTTCTATTTATAAAGAATTGAATATAATTTGTTAATATTTGTGGTAATATTGGTCATAATACAAACGGTAAGATTACAACTCACACTATGAAATGGAAAACACTTCTTAAGTAATCTGCCTCAATATTTCAAATTCTTATTTATATATAAGAAAATATTAAGACATATGAAAGTTGACATGTCTGAACTGTTTAAAAAGTGAATTAAATTTAAAGACTATGATGTCCATTTGTTGTCATATAGACTCAGTGGATTGAAACATCCGGAGTGTTTTATTATTTAGTTCACATTCCTTGTACCAATGTTGATTCATTGTATCAATAGTGTATCAATAACCTTTCCCCTCTCACCTTGTTCTCTTTACATAAATACATTTGAATGAGACCAACAATTTAAAAATGGTTGTATGTTAACTCAATACACATCCATAACCGAATCTAAGTCCCCTACTCCAAATTTCAAAATAAAGTAATCTTATAAGAAAGAACCTTAGTTTTGTACTTAAATCACAAAATATAATATTTGTTTTTTTCCTTTTAAAGTTGGGTCAAATAATTTTTTAAGGTTTTCTTAGAAGTTTCTTATCACTTCAATTTGATATACTCTTTAATCTTAGAATACTTAATAGTATCTTCAGTGAGTTTATTTATTCAGTCAGTATCTTTTGCTCATCACTTTTAAACAAACTGTAGCATTCTAACTTATCTAATAATATCAAATTTAAATGGAATAACTGTCTTCTGATTTAAACTGAATAAGAGATGAGTTGTAGGCTTTTACAAGAGCAAGAAAAATAGCCAAGATCAAGAGCTGGATAGTATAACTGAAAGTAAACATAGTAACTCAAAGATGGAATTTTTCAAGCACTCATTTTTGTATCTTTTTCTTTAAGCAGTGAATATTTATCATAACAGAAACAGTTTAGTCAAGAACAATTTTTTATTGTTATTGAAAAGATAAACTAAGTTGCTGTATATTAACCAGAAAACATATCAAATTTATACAATATGATATGTAGTCACTGAACAAAATCAATTTTTAAAACTGCAAAGGCATGCACGTAGGGATAACTTTTAACTTTTTGTATTATTTGACTCTTAAGTAAAAGAAATACTTGATATTTGTTCTAGTAAATGAGGATAAATTGAAAACATTGATGTGTCTGTCCTCCTTCTTCTAATGTCACTAAGATAACTATAAAACTATCTTTCAAACATGGCATGCATCTGTAAGTTCAAAGAGGACAGTATATTGCAAAACAATAGAAACTGGAAAACAGAATAAAGAACAGCATTGATTTTCTAAGTTCTGAAAAAACTGTGTATTAAACCAGCAATGAGAAACCCTGGAAGCAAATTGATTTGAACTACAGAACCTCAAAGAAATCCAAAGACCTTCAAATTGAGGGTGAAGGGGGGAATTAAATTGGAAGTATTGGATGAAAATCTGTTTAAGAAGGAGATAGGACAGCAGATCCTCTACGTAACCCTAAATAGCCAGTAAACATTTCATCCCACCTTGGTACAATTATATAGGGCTATTCTTAAGAAAGGTATAAGAAAGTATATTAAAGTGGTAGAATTGAGGGATATGAAACATTTGCTGAAAACAAGATGTTTAGCAAGAGTGTTCACAATGAAATGTAAGACTTCCAGGCAATGTAATACTAGAAAACGTATAGAAGATAAAAATGTATTTTTCTGGAGATCTTACTTACTGCCCCAAGGAGGATAAAAAAGATCCGAATTAAAAATTGGCTTCGAGATTTCCCAGTGAAAGAGTCTATATATCTTATTCTAGCAGAAGCTGTTAGTAAACAAGCATCATCCATACTCACGAAATCTAATCAATACTTGGAATCTCATTCTCAAGTATTAACAGAAAAAATGGAATCATTAGACATCTGAATTAAACCCTTGATAGGAAAGACTGAAACACATTTAAAAACTGGAAGAAACATGGATTTTTAGAGAGATGGCAACTTTAAACACTGTTATTAATATTAATATCCTCTGAGTATTAAGAGGAAATAATGGGTCTATCAAAAAGGGACATAAATGTATATGAAAGGAATATTATGAAAACAAAATATAACCTCTTATGTATTAAAAATATACTTTCAGAGACAAAAATACAACAGAAATGTTCAAAAGGTAAGTTTGTGGAACTATCCCAGAATATAGAAAAAACAAGAGAAAGATATAAAATAGATTAAAAAATAGATCAGCCAAGAGACTCAATGTAAGAATAAAGTGAGTTACAGGAAGAGAAGAGATAAAATTGAGAGGAAGAACTATCAGATAAATTATTCTAGCACATTTCTCATAATCGAAGGAACTTTCATACCAAAAATATTCATTGTTCCTACTGCTTGCCCAGTATTATACATAACCACATATGTCATAATTGAAGTTTACCCAGGAACATGGCCTGAAAAAAGAACACATGTGCAAGGAACTTGTTTTGGAAAGGCTTTCAATAAACACCAGCAGGGAATATGGAAGTAAGATAATGGCTGGGTGCAGTGGCTCATGCCTGTAATCCCAGCACTTTGAGAGGCCAAGGCAGGTAAATCACTTGAGCCCAGGAGTTCAAAAAATAATTTTGTATTTTTATAGGGACAAGGTTTTGCTGGGCAAACAGCGAAATCTATGTATAGATTTACTCTATACATAAATATATTTATTCCCTATGAAATAAATATATTTATTATCTACAAAAATTACAAAAATTGACTGGGAATGGTGGTGCACGCCTGTAGTCCAAGCTACTCAGAATGTTGAGGTGAGAGGATTGCTTAAACCTGGGAGGTCAAGGTGTCAGTGAGCCATGGTAGTGCCACTGCACTCCAGCCTAGGTGACAGAGTGAGACTCTGTCTCAAAAAAAAAAAAAAAAAAAAAAGGAAGGTATTAACATATGTACTATTTAGCAACTAAACTTTTCCAAAATCCAAGCCAGGCTAGGAGACTCTGGGAAAGGGTAAAATTGTGCCTCAGAATTATGTCAACTGAGAAGTAAGGTAGATAGGTTATGTCTAACAACCTTCTGCTCATCATTGGTTAAGGGCTGACTTCAGGGACTTTAAATATGTGACAACTTTGGCTTGTTATGCACCTAGACCAAGTGTAATATAATGACCGGAAAAAATCCTCAGGCAGAGAGATGCAAGTAATCATAAA
Source organism: Homo sapiens (assembly GCF_000001405.40). Lineage (NCBI taxonomy): Eukaryota > Metazoa > Chordata > Mammalia > Primates > Hominidae > Homo > Homo sapiens. The sequence continues at coordinate 160,989,701 of NC_000004.12, read as the reverse complement.
AGCAATCTTAATTTTGTATAGGTGAGTGTTTGGATGATATGAGCAGAGAATTCTACTGTCAACAACAGTAAACAACTTTTAACACTCAGATACACTCATCTGAAAACTGTTTCATATTAATTCCACTCAAGTTCATGAATCACTCTTCAAGATGGTGGCTATTTGTACTTTCTACAATAATAATAATAAACTTTAAAATTACATGGAAGAGGGAGATTAGAGGAAGTGTTAATAAAATTGGTCTGAGGATCCTAACTGATACTGTACATTTTTTCCCCTGCACAACACATTTCACATTTCCTTGCCCCACCAGTCAGCAATTCTGCTGGTATAGTTAACTTGTCCATTGGTGTGATCCAGATATTCAAACTGGAAAGGTGAGCCCCTGATTCCTGTGCCCTTATCAGAAACTATTTGCTGCAAATGTTCACTCACAGATACCACGAAGCATATGAGCACCAAAAATCACTTCAGTAAGTCCCTTCAAGCTTCAACAAGGTCTTCTGTGTCTTAATTATTTAGTAGTACTCCTCTTCTCCTTATGATAAACAGTATACATTAAACCTGGTAGTAGGAATTTTTTTTTTACAGCTGCTTTATTATCATGAGGTGTCAAGATGGCTAGAAAGCTGTTACAGCTTTAGGTTTATTAGAAATTAGGCCAGGTCATTTGCTAGAAGTATCCTTCCACAGTAACTGCAGTCTCTAGGCTGATAGAGGTTAAAGTTGTAGATGTAGGAAGCAACATTTCCCAAATGGGTTCTAGAAATGATGGTAACTGGGCCAATTCTACTAGTGCTCATTGCTTTCCAGATCCATATATTTAGCAAGGAGGAATGCAGCTATGCTTAAAGTCTTTTGGTTCAAAACATATGTCACATCTTGAAGAAGAGCACTCAAGTCTACAGAATATCATTCACAAATTGGCATATTAGTGGCATCTTCAAAAGCCATTCTAACATTCTAATAAATCAGTAGCACCCAGAAATAAATGGTAGTATCAAGCAATTCCATGTTTATATGTCAATTCTAGCAATTCTTTTTTCTTTTTTCTTTTTCTTTTTCTCTTTTTTTTTTTTTTTTTTTTTTTTTCATTTTTTGAGACAGGGCCTTGCTCTGTCACCCAGGCTGGAGGGCAGTGGTGCAATCATAGGCTCACTGCAGCCTCCACCCCCTGGGTTAAGGTGATCCTCCATCTCAGCCTCCTGAGTAGCTGGGATGACAGGTGCTGCAACCACCCCTGGGTAATTTTTTTTTTGTAGAGATCAGTTTTGCCATGTTGCTGGAACTGGTCTCAAACTCCTAGGCTCAAGTTATCTACCTGCCTTGGCCTTCCAAAGTGCTGGATTACAGATATAAGTCACTGTGACCGGGTTTTTGTTTTGTTTTGTTTTGTTTTGTTTATTTCACCAAGGCTAGAGTACACTGGCATGATCTTAGATCACTGTAGTAACCTTCAACTCCTGGAATCAAGCAATCATCCCTCCTCAGCCTCCTCAGTAACTAGGCCTACAGGTGCTGGCGATCATGTCGAGCTATATTTTAAAATTATTTTTGGTACAGATAAGATCTCTCTATGAGGCCCAGGCTGGTCTTGTACTCCTAACCTCAAGCAATCCCCCTACCTGAGCCTCCCAAAAAGCTGAGATTACAGGTATGACCCAAGTCCCCTCGCCTCTAGCATTTTTTTTTTAACTATTAAATGGGCCTCTTGGTCTAAGGCAATGCTAGGTATGATGCCATAACCATATACCAGATACTTCATATACTTTTAGATACTGTTGTTTGCTGAGACACTAGAGTCAGGAAAGTCAAAGTCATACCTTGAATAAACATTAAATATATTAATAGTAGGGATGGATTGTGTTTTCTCTAGGATATAAGGAACGTAAAAACAATTAACTTGTTACCAAGTAGATGAATTGTATCACATCAAAGACACAGCATTAGTCTTGGCTGCTCATTGAGTGGGAATTCACCAAAGATTTTTAAAATAGATCTTAAATAGGTTTAGAAGAAGATGTAGCACAGAGTCGGGTTCATGCCCTACTCTGTCTCTGCTTCAATAGCTGCCATTTTCAAAGGGCCATTGCACAAAGATTGGAATGACCTAAATGACAGAAGCTGAATGACCTATGTGAGCAAGTCATTTGTCCATACTGTTGTTGGACAATTTCCTGATAGTTGGCAAGAGACAAAAAGTCTTTTAGAAGACTTTAATCTTCTCATCTTACTCCTTTCAGTCCTATAAGCCAAACATCTGCTGCCACTGTATTGTAAACATTATATATCAATGTTATAATAAAACATTTAACAAAATGTTTTATAAATAAGCCCCAGGAGTTTGTTCAAGAATCTAAAATATTGAAAAAGAATGGCTAGAAAATGGGAAAAATTTAGGAGCGATAACTGTTTTTATAAAAATACAGTAAATTATTTTAAAATTATATACATAATTATGAAGAAGACCTATATATGATAATACAGAGTCTTTTTCCAAGACGCTAGGAAACATGGCTGTGTGTGTGGAGGAATTTGTATTATATGTATGTAGATAGATAGACAGACAGACATATAGATTCGGAATATTCTAGTGAGAATAGAGAGTCCATTTTACAATTTACTTTTTTTGTACTATGTGGTTTTCAAAATCAGTGACTTGCCTTTGTAATTAAAAATTATAAAATACATTTCAAAATTATGTCAAAAATGCCCAAGCCTTAAAATATTTTTAGATTGTCTAGACTGATGCAACAGAGTCACTGATGCAAATGTGCACATGAATCAGAGAAGAAAAATAAATCACAAAGCAGCCAGTTTCTCTTGCTCGTGCATTAAATACTTTTGGAATCCTAGAAACTATAGTGAACTTAAGGAATGTAGTCCTGTGTGGCCACGTCTGCTGTCATTGTTGGTTTCTTGGGAGGCACAATTGCTTTATTTTAATCATTTCTTAAACCACATTGTTTATTCTGAGCATACAATTTATATTTCATGATGGTTAAAGATGTTATGTTGCACATGATCCACATTTCATTTATTTATTCTTAGATACCAGAATGCTAGAAGTAGTAACTATTCTGATGAGTTCTACTTGAAGCTGTGGAGTGAAATCTCTCTTAGCAATTCTGAAGTGGACTTGGTGGTTCTGAATGGTAACTTGTTCATGATAATCTTATTAATAAGTTGCAAAATAATACCCTGCACTAAATACAAAGTTGTAAAATCATAGTTTCTCCCCTTTATTTGAACATTTGGTGAAGGTGTCTTAGCTTAGCAACATACATCATTGAACTGAGAAAATTAGTGACCGGAAATGTTAAGGGGACAATGAAGCTGTCAAATGCTGTTGGCATCCTGATCATGTTTAAGTGTCATTTAAAACATCATCTTAGATGCCTGAAAGGAAACACTTATATAATTACAATCTATACTACTTATCTCTAACAGCGTAACAAATTACTACAATTTTAGTAGCTTAGCAACATGTATATACGTATGGTTCAGGAATTTGGGCATTGATTGGCGACTCTGCTGCTTCAGGGTCTCTCTCATGGGGCTTAATCAAGGGGTTGGCCAGGACCAACACTTTGTCTGAGAGTCTGACTGGGGGAAGGACCTGCTTCCACACCACATACATGGATTTTGACTTAGTCTTTTGGATTGTTGGACTTTTTGATGGTGGGAGGTCATCCTCAGTTCAGTTCCACATAATCCTCCCCAGTCTGGCAACTTGCTTGGGAGGGAATGATCTAATAGAATGAAAGCCGTAATTATGTAACATCAGCTCAGAAATCTTAACCTACCATAACCTTAGCCATATTCCTGTTGGTTAGGAGCAAGCCTCAGATCCTGCAAAATTCATTTGATATTCATCCATTTTGTTGCCAAAATCAGTAGCTCCTTCCTTTTTATTGGTGAGTGATATTCTACTATGTGGATACACCACAGTTTGTTTGCCTGTTCATCAGTTCAGGGCAAACTTGGTTATTTAAAGTTTGAGTAATTATGAATAAATGTACTGTAAACATTCTTGTACAGTTTACTGTGAAAATAAGTATTTAATTCAGTTGAATGAATACCTAGGAATCGTATTTCTGGGTCTTATGGTTCTAGTTAATATTATAAGCTGCAAACTGTCTTCCAAAGTGGCAATGACATTTTGCATTCCCTTTAGCAAGGAATTATTGTTCCTATTTCACATTTTGATAGATACACAGTGTGTTCCATGGCACTATTTCTTTTATTTTTTAACTAATAACTACTAATGTTGAACAAAATTTTATTCAATTACTCCCTTTTCACATATCCTTTTTTGGTAAAGTATCTTTTCAGATTCCCTTTAACCCAATATTTATTGGTCTTGCTGTTTCTTTATTATTGAATTATAACTTTTTTTTAATCTGTATGTATTCCAGATAAACTTCCTTTAGCATATATGTATGCAACTCATACATAATTTCTCTGTCTGTGATATAACTTTCCATGATTTTAACAGTGTGTTTCAAAGAGCTAAGTATTTTTATTTTATCAAAATCCAATTAGTACATTATTATTTGGTTGATTGTGCTTATGGTTATATGTGAAATCTCATCTTCATACTCAATATTTTCTTCTAGAACTCCTATGGTATTGCCTTTTACATTGGGTTTATAATCCTTGATTTTTGTGTAACATGTGGGGTATACTAAGGTATTTATTGTTTGCATACGGAAATTCAGTTCTCTGAGAACCATTTGCTGAAAAGATTACCACTGATCCCTCGAATTGCCTTTACACTTTTGTCAAGAATTAGTTGGTTATATTTACATTGGTCTATTTATAGAGTATCTATTGTGATTCATTAATCTGTGTCTAGCCTTGATTAACACTATTATTTTGTTCATTAAAGTAGTTGCCTAGTAAGTCTTGATATTGGGTTGTGTGGGTTCAACAAGCTTCATTCTTTTTCTGAATGGATTTGACTATTGGAGTCCCTTTGCCTTTCTGCCTAGTCTTTAGAATTAGCTTGTTGACATCTACAAATACACTTGCTGAGATTTGAATATTAATGTTTTAAATCTATTTGGGGGAGACTGACACCTAAACAATATTGTTTTGCAATTCAAGAGCATCATATATATAAATTATATAAATATGTAAATATGTAATTTATTTTTTTGGTTTGTTCATCAGTGATTTCTGTTTTTCAGCATAGAGATCTTACATATATGTTTTTGATTTAAACATAAGTACTATGTTTGTGGGCAGTGTGCATATGTATGTGTATGTGTGCATAGTAATATAAATTAATTATTAATTTCATATTTCATTGTTTCATTGCTAAAATATAAAATATAATTGACATTTTTAATTGATATTTTGTATTAAAACATTGCTAAACTGACTTATTTTTCTAAGAGTTGTTTTGTAGGTTCTTTGGAGTCTTACAAAATCAATCATGTCATTTGAAAATAAGGATAGCTTTAGGCCCTTCTTTACAATCTACATGATTTTATTTATTTTTCTTGGCTTTTTACTTTGGCTAGAACTTGTAATGAATAAGAATGATGTGAGAGAATTGGTAACTTCAGCAGGATGTTGATACAATCATGGAAATTGCATACATTATGTACCATCTTTCAGGGATCATTGCAGATCCTCCCTTTTTGTGGAGTTTATTCATAATCATTGTCCATTTGTTTGTTGAATGAAGAAAGATGAATTTATTCCCTGTTACTTCATTTTGCTTATAGTAGAAATATGACATTTCTTTTAAGAGAAAAACAATGTTTAAGGTCAGACATCGATTATAGTTAAAATAATAGAACTTGTAGGAAGTTAGCGAATGCACAAGTTTCTTATCTTAAGTAGGATAACTCCAAGGTTAAAAATGAAATTTAAATAAAGTCTTACTTTACATGTATTTTGTAGCATGTAATAAAAGTGTGCAATCTAAATATTTATAAAATTAATATTTTATTTAGCTATTCACATAGACTCTGATTTACTAAAAAAAACCCTCCATATTATTTTACTGCTTTTTGTCCATAATAGGGATAGAATATTTTCTGATGGTTCTCTTTAAAATATACATTTTAATTATGTACCATTTGGCTCTATTCAATTTTCATTCTCCTAACTTACTCTGACTCAGGATTATCAATTACACGAGCCCCTGTGTAAGCTGGCTCCTATCTGGAATCGAATAGTGGTTGACTATTAGAGGAGAGGTCCTCAACCTTTGTGGCACCAGGGACTGGCTTCATGGAAGACAATTTTTCCATGGGTTAGGGTTGAGGGTGGAAGGGGGTGCATGGCTTTGGGATGGGACCATTTCACCCCAGATAATCAGGTATTAGCTAGATTCTCACAAGGAGTGCACAACCTACGTCCCTCGCATGTGCAGTTCACAATAGGTTTCAAGCTCCTATGAGATTCTGTTGCCTCCACTGATCTGACAGGAGGCGGAGATCAGGCGGTAATGCTCGCTTGCCGGCTGCTCACCTGCTACTCCGTGGGTTGGCTCCTAACAGGCCATGGACTGGTACAGGTCCACAGCTGGGGCTTGAGGACCCCTATCTTCCTCTGTGTTCTTTAACTCCCATCAGAAAGACTTGCTGTTGTTTTACTTTCCACTAAATGACCCACGTCCTGAGTGTAGTAAGACTGCACCTTACGTTATCTGTTCAACCTGTATTAAATACTTACAGTGGCTTTTGTTCTGCAGAATTGACGTTACTAATGCACTTCTTTTTACCATGAGTAGTCCCAGAAAACAAACCATAACACAGAATTCTGGGACTAGGTTACTCCACTCTGAGCATTAGCAAGTAATGACTTCCTTGTGGATAATATGACAGAAAAAATCTGTATGTGAGTATGATTATTACATATTGTTGCACAGGTGACATCGTAGATGAAGAAAAGGTTTAGGAAAATCAAGTAAAACTGCTACATACAACTAATAACTGCTGCATAAAACTGATGCAGCAGAAATTGTGACTACAAAGGCTGTAGAATGGGCTTACATTACAGAATTTTAAGAAATTAAATAAGCCTAGGGCTTTAAATTCTCTGCTTAAAAGAGTAATGGAAATACAGAACACTTTATGCAGATTTTAAAACAACTTCTTACTTTCTATATATTCAAGGCATACATACTTGAGACTCATGCTCCAATTTGATTGTGGTAATTGCTGAATTAAAATTCAAATATAATACATAAAACTGCCAAATTTATTAAGCTAAGATTTTGGCACTATGGAGTAAGTGGGGGTAACATAGGCTTGATTTGCAGACATTAATGTAAATAAGATGAGTAGAAGATCTTTGAAACACAAATCACTCATCTTTATGACCTCCGAGCCTGTAAAATAAGTCTGATTCCTAGAGGAGAATTATATACAGTCTTGTCCAGGAAGAAATTGCTAAGTCTTAATAGCAAAAACGGTGTGAGTTTGTGAGGGAATATACTTTAGGAGAGATAGGCTGGAGGATGAGGCTGAATTTGAGTAAAATTATCTATACAAAGGCAGTTAATTATATTTAGCAATGTAATGTACTAGCTCAGGCAGATGGAAGTAACTTTAACACTTTGCCTGGTTCAATAAATGAAGTCAGGATTTAAGAGTGCAATTTACATTAAATGATGTAAGAGGCCAGAACTCAGTCTAATATAGAGAAAAAAATATGGAGATGCAATTAGTGTATTCAATTTATTATGTAAAACTAATTTGCCTTTCACCCATAGGTGTTCACAGAAAGGGCCAGAGGATACTCCTTCCTACAAAACATTGCAAAAAATACATATTAGAAGGGGAAGGAGCAAAATGACAAAAAAGAAGCCTACACAGTTTGTTCCCTCCACCCCCAATGCCCACAGAAACACCAAATGCTAACAGCTATATACACACTGAAAAGCATCATCACAAGAACCAAAAATTAGGTAAGCAATCACAGTATTCAGTTTTAACTTCATATCACTAAAGGAGTTATTGAAGAGTGGAGGAGAGATAGTCTTGAATTGCTGATGCCATGTCTTCTTTTTCCCCTGTCAGTGTCTGTGCTACGTGGAGAGAGAATCTGTGCACTTAGAGAGGCAGAGCACAGAGACTGGGGGACTTTACGTTGAACTCAGTGCTGCCTTGTTGCAGTGCAGAGCACAGCCACGCTGGACTCAGCCAGTACACACATGGAGGGAGCATTAGACCAGACCTAGTCAGAGGGAAATCGCCCATCCTAGCAGTTAGAACTTGAGTTTCTCAACAAGACATGCCACCACAGGCCAAAGTACTCTGGGGTCCTCAGTAAACTTGAAAGGCAGTCCAGGACGCAAGGACTGAAATTCCTGGAAAGCAATTAGTGCTGGGCTAGGCTAAGAGCCAGTGGACTAGGGTGGAACATGATCTAGGCAGATACCAGCCATGGTGGTTAATGGAGTGCTTGCACCTCCTGTCCCCCAAACCCAGGCAGTGCATCTCACAGAAATAAAAGTGACTCCTTCCTTCTGCTTAAGGGAAGAAGAACAAAGAGTAAAAATGACTTCGTCTTGCATGTTGAATAACAGCTCAACCACAGTAGGATAGAGCACCAGGCAGAGTCATGAGGCCACCATTCTAGGCCCTAACTCACAGATAGTTCTAGATCAACCCTGGGCCACAAGAGATCCTGCTGCCTTGAAGGGAAGGACCCAGTCCTGGCAGGATTCATCACCTGCCGACTAAAGAATCCTTGGGCTCTAAATAAACAGAAGTAGTACCTAGGTAGTATGCTATGGGCCTTGGGCTCTGAGACATGCTGGCTTCACATGTGATCCAGCACATTCCCAGCAATGGTGGCTACAGGGAGAGACTTCTTGTGTTTGAGAAAAACAGAGAGAAAAGTAAAGGGGACCTTGTCTTGCACCTTAGATATCAGCTTGGCCACAGTGGAGAAAAGCAACAAGAAGGCTCTAGGGGGTCCCTGAGTCCCGCATTTCTAGATCTTTCCTGGGCCAGAGGAGAGTCTACTACCCTGAAGAGTGAGTCCCAGGTCTAGCAGCATATACTACAAGCTGGTGAAAGGGCCCTTAGGCTTTAAGTGAACATTGGAAGTGTCCTGGCACAGTCCTCCATTGGCTGCTGGTGGTGGTGGTCATAGGGAGAGGTGCCTCTTCCTGTGGAAAGGGGAGGGAAGAATGGGAAGGACTTTGTATTGTGGGCCAAGTACCAGGTTAGCCACTTAGAACACCAGATAAATTCTAAGGTTTTTGACTCCAATTCCTGGTTCCCAAATAGTACCCCTAGACCCTCCCAGGGAGTGAGGAAACTTGCTGTCCTTAAGGGAAGAACACAAAGCTGGTTGACTTCACCACTTGCTGGTTGTAGAGCCGTAGGGCCTTGAGTGAACGTAGGTGGTAACCAGGTAGTGACTATAATGGGCCTTGGGCAAAACCCAGTGCAGTTCCAGTGGTGGTGGCCACAGGGGTGCTGGCATCACCGCACCCCTAGTTCCAAGTGGCTCAGCACAGACAGAGAGATTCCATTTGTTTGGGAGAAAGTAAGGGAAAAGAACATGAGTCTCTGCCTGGTAATTGAGAGAATTCTTCTGGATATTGTTCAAAACCACCAAGGTGGTATCTCTGCAAGTCTGCAAAAACCATAGCATTTTGGAGCGTGCGGGCCCAAGTCCCTTTGATTACCTGGAAAGCCTTATCAAGAAGGGAAAAAAAAAAAAAAAAAAACATGTCCAGACTGTGAAGACTATGATAAATACCTTACTCTTCAAGACCTAGACACTGATGAACATCTACAAGCATCAAGATCATCAAGAAAAACATGACCTCACTAAATAAACTGGCACCAGGGAACAATTCTGGAGAAACAGATATATGACCTTTCAGACAGCTAATTCAAAATAGCTGTTTTGAGGAAACTCAAATTCAAGAAAACACAGAGAGGAAATTCAGAATTCTATCAGATAAATTTAACAAAGAGATAGAAATAATTAAAAAGACTCAAGCAGAAATTCTGGAGCTAAAAACGTAACTAACTGACATACTGAAGAATGCATCAGAGTCCCTTAATAGCAGAATTGATCAAGCAGAAGGAAGAATTAGTGAGCTTGAAGACAGGCTACCTGAAAATACACAGTCAGAGGAGATAAAATTATAAAAAAAAAGCAGCGAAAAACTATGAAGCATGACTACAAGATCTAAAAAATAGCTTCAAAAGAACAAATCCAATAGTTACTTGCCTTAAAGGGGAGGTCGAGAAAAAAAAATAGGGGTGGAAAGTTTATTCAAAGGGATAATAACAGAGAACTTCCCAAACCTAGAGTAAGATATCAACATTCAAATACAAGAAGATTATAGAACACAAAGCAGAATTAACCCAAATAAGATTACCTCAAGGCATTTGATAATCAAACACCCAAAAGTCAAGGATGAAGAAAGGATAAAAGCAGCAAGAGAAAAGAAACAAATAACATACAATGGAGCGCTAATAAATCTGACAGCAGACTTTTCAATGAAAACCCTGCAGGTCAAGAGAGAGTGACATGACATACATAAAGTGCTGAGGGAAAAAAAATACTCTACCCTAGTATAGTATATTCAGTAAAAATATTCTTCAAGGCCAGGCGCGGTGGTTCACGCCTGTAATCCTAGCAAAATGTTGGTAGCTAGGTTTTATTATATGTTACAGGTTTTGACAAACCTATATATTCATTATGTTTATGAGAAATCCAGAATATGTATAATTTAGAAAGATAAAACTAAAAATATTTACAATAAATGGACTATAATATATGAAGAGGATCTTTACGTCAACAGCCTACCAACAAGAGAAATGAGATTTAAAATCTAAAATCATGTAGAATTGCACTGAGATACCTCTAATAGTGAACAAGACAGAGTTTGTGTCACCAAGAAACTTACTGTTAATAATCAACAGATAACAAACAGATACTACTCCCATAGTCAAATAACCTCACACACTAAGGAGTGACACTCAAAAATGAGGTGAGGTTCAGGAATTGTGACTATGTTATACAAATCTTTGTTTAGCCTTTTATGCTTAACTTTAGGCAAATACCTATCATTTACAAATGATGTCATCTTTTCTCCAAGAAGAGTAAATCCAAACTCTACTTAGTCATTTATCATATCCAAACCAATATGTCGTTCAAACTCCACTTTTCCTCCATCAGATCTAAATTGTATAGCTTAGCATACTACGTCAAGGGAGAGAAAGAGCAAAAATAAAATGCTAGTTAACATACAAGTAACAAAAGTATACCTAGCTGCTATAGTTCTCATATCTGTGCTGACTCTGAGGCTGTGGTTAGCATTTATTGGGTTTTCTTCTATCACCTTGCACACAGCCAGCATCTAATCAGGTTTCTTTACCTGGTGAGGTGATCCAAACTTTCATTTTGAAGAATCTGAGTACTCAGTGATCCTGGATTTATTTGGCTTCTGTATGCCTTCATTAAACTTGGTGAGGAAAGTAGTAAGAGACATCCCACAGAATGTTACATTTTCCAAATATATTTTTTCCTGTTCTAAATTTGTAGCAGAAAAGGAAAGCTGTAAATCAATTGTAATGGCTCAGTTTATCAAATTTCACTCATTCAAGATGTCAGTTCACCTATCATAGTCATGGGGTACAAGTTCGGTCATAACCCCTCTGTAAAGTCTCAGTAGAAAGACAGATATTGCTCTTCAAAAAGAGAACATAGTCAAGTGCTTCATGACAATGTTTTGCTCAGCAACAGACCGCATATAAGATAGTGGACCCATAAGATTATAATCCTGCAATTTTAGTACTCCTTTTATGTGTTTAGATATGTTTAGATATACAAGTACTTACTGTGTTACAATTGCCTACAGGATTCACTACAGTAACATGCTGTGCAGGTTTGTAGCCTAGAAGCAATAAGCTGTACCATATAGCCTAAGTGTGTAGTAGGCTATACCATCTAGATAATGTAAGTATACTTTATAAGGTTCGCATGAGGAAATTGCCAGGTGACATATTTATCAGAACATATCTCTGTCATTAAGCAACACATACCTGTACTTGTCACTAGAGGAGGGCATTACATTGTTGCAAAATCTTCTTCACAATCTGCACTCTGATTATTGTAGTGGGCTTAACCAGAGGAATCCATCAAACATCACTTATTTATGAATGGCACTATGAGCACCATTTTATCTACTGGTTAATGATGCCCAGTTTGCAGGAAACTTTCACTTTAGTCTGAACCTGCTACAGAGACTAATTTTGCTCTGAGCTCTATTCAAAAATTTGCAGCTTCATGAGTTAATTGGTAATGGGTCAGAACAGGTAACCCAATTTGGTTTATTTTGCCTCTAAAACCTGAAAAGGCCCAAAATTAATTTTGCTTCTTTATTTTAGTGTGTGTTAGTGCAGTGTCTCTCACTATAGAGGGAATTTCCCAACCTGTTTAAAATTGTTGGGCCTCTAGAAACTTTAGTTTTGTGTTAGGACCTAGAATTCTCAGTAGGTTTATCTCTTACAATTAGCAAGCAAGTATTTTACTAGGGTATCTGATTAGTAGCTACTTCTGCTCACCAGATCCCATCATTTGGTGTTATCAGTAATGGAACAGCATGATATTCAGTAGAATATTTAGATGATTTATTCCATTACAACTAGTTTACTATAGAGACTATGAGAGCTGACACAGTCCTGGGGAGAGAAAGGGTAGGTTTACCTTTGTTCCTACCTGATGAAAGTAAATTGCATCTCTTCATCCCTGTTCATTGTTTTGGAGAAATATATAATTGCCAGCACTCACTAGGGATTGAGTTAATCTAGTTAAAGAACAACATGTAAAACAGTAGCTGGATTTAGTCATTACCTGCTTAAATTTGAAATAGCAAAATCCATGTGGCATTTGCACCAGCCAAAAATGTCAGTTAAATGGAAATGCTTGTATTACTCATATCTTATATATTACCACTAATTTATTCAATTCCTCTGGGAATGAATGAAGTATTGATTATAATTTACTTTTTTTTTTTTAGGAATAGTTAAAGGAAAATTCTGAGGGTCTTTTACTTAACTCTTCCTTTTTTTACCATAATATATCATAGCTGTCCAGGAGCCAAATGCAGGGATTCTGCAAGTGTCTGGCACAAAAACATTAGATCTGTGCATAATTAGATCTGCGCAAATACTGCAGTCTCATCGTCCCATCCTGAGAATCTCTATTACATGGGTCAAAACTTTATTTATCATTTAGACTCTACCAACATTTACTCCGACTAATAAAACAAACGCAATATTCTCTATACTCAGGGCTTAGAATCTATGTAGAGTTATTTATTCCTGATAATTCTTGGTCACTGGAGTAGTCACCATGGTGTATGTCTCCAGGTCCCCTTGCAGAAGGCTTGCAGAAAATTTACAGCATTTACACATGGAGATGTGGAAGTTCTTCCTTATGTGGATGTGGGTTGGTTTATTGGTTTAATGTAGGAAATAGTTTAGTGGCCATGACTTCCTATGAGAGCAATTCATATCAAGCATCTATGCACCAGTCCAATTCTTCAATAAATAAAGTATTATTTTAAGATAATGTTTTATTAGACTACCACCTATTTCACATTTAAAGGTGCTATGGACAACTAGCAACTACAGATCACTTAGTGTCAATGTTTAACATTTCATCCATGCCACCAAGTAATAATAATTTCACCTATGTTGCTTCTGCTATTTAACACAGTTACCTGATCTCTGCCACTCCAGTATGCCATCATTCCTGTTGAAAAAAGAAAACCCCATCTCAATGGTGACATTTCCTATCATTACTCCTAATTTAAAAAGCTACCTAAAAGTGCTTGTGCCCATATCACTAATTTTTTTTAATGTTTAATTTTTGTGGATGTAATGTAATGGCTCAGTTGATTAAATAATATGCTAGGTGTATATATTTATCAAGAACATGAGATATTTTGATATAAGTATGCAATGTGTAATAATCACAACATGGAAAATGGGATGTCTATTCCCTCAAGCATTTTTTCTCTGTGTTACAAACAAGCAAATTATACTCTATTGGTTATTGTTAAATGTACAATTAAATTATTAATTATTATTGACTATGGTCGCCCTGTTGTGCTATCAAATTTTATTTATTTTTATACCCATTAACTATCTCCACCTCCCCCCACCACCTCTGACTCTCAATACTCTTCCCAGTCTCTGATAACTGTTTGTACTCTCTACCTATGTGAAATCAATTGTTTTGATTTTTAGATCCCACAAGTAAGTGAGAACATACTATATTTGTCTTTCTATACTTGGCTTATTTCACTTAATATAATGACCTCTAGTTCTACCCATGTTGTTGCACATGACAGGATTTTATTTTTTTCTTATGTCTGAATAGTACTCCATTGTGTATAGGTACCACATTTTTTAATGCATTTATATGTTGATGGACACTGAGGTTACTTCCAAAGCTTGGCTATTATGAGCAGTGCTGCAACAAACATAGGAATACAGATAACTCTTCACTATACTTATTTCCTTTCTTTTGGGTCTGTGTCCGTTTTTATGCCAGTGCCATGCTTTTTTTTGGTTATTCTAGCTCTGCAGTTTTGAAGTCAAGTGATGTGATTTCTCCAGTTTTGTTAATTTTGTTCAAAATAACTTTGGCTATTCTGGGTCTTGTGTAGTTCCGTATGAATTTTAGGATAGTTTTTTTTTTTTTTTAATTCCTGTGAGGAATGTCATTGGAAGTTTGATAGGAATTTCATTGAAGCTGTAGATTGCTTTAGGTTGTAAGGACATCTTAACCATACTGATCCTTTCAACCCATGAACATGGATTATCTTTCCAATTTTTGTGTCCTCTTCAATTTTTTTCAACAGCATTTCATGGTTTTCTCTGTAAAGATCTTTCAATTCTTGGTTAAGTCAATATCTAGATATTTAATTTTATGTGTGGTTATTGTAAATGCAATTATATTTTTATTTCTTTTTCAGATTGTTCACTGATGGCATATAGAAATGCTACTGATTTTTGTTAAGTTGATTTCATATTCTGTAACTTTACTGAAATTGTTTATCAGTTCTAATAGTTTTTTGGAGTCTTAGGCTTTTCCAAATATAAGATCATATCATCTGCAAATAAGAATAATTTGACTTCCTCCTTTCCAATTTGGATGCCCTTTATTTCTTCCTCTTGTCTGATTGCTCTAGCTCGGACTTCCAGCATTATGTAAATAACAGTGGTGACAGTGGACATCCTTGTCATGTTCCAGATCTTAGTGGCAAGGTTTTCAGTTTTTCCCTATTCAGTATGATAATAGCTGTGGGTCTGTCATACATGGCTTATATTATGTTGAGGTATGTTCCTTCTATACCCAGTGTTTTGAGGGTTTTTATCATGAAGGGATGTTGAATTTTATCTAATGCTTTTTCAGCATCAATCAAAATGATCATGATTTTTGTCCTCCATTCTATTGATATGGTGTATCACATTGATTGATTTACATATATTGAACCACCCTTACAGCCCTGTGATAAATCTCACTTAGTCATAATGAATGATCTTTTTAATGTATTGCCGAATTCAGTTTCTAGTATTCTGCTGAGGATTTTTACATCAATAGTCATCAGAGATATTGGCTTGTAGTTTTCTTTTTTTGATGTGTCTTTGCCTGGTTTTTGTATCAGGGTAATACTGGCCTTGTAGAATGAGTTTGAAAGGATTCCGTCTTCCTCTATTTTTTTTTGGAACAGTTTGAGCAGGGTTGTTATTAGTTGTTTGAATGTTTAGTATAATTCAGCAGTGAAATCTTTGGGTTCTGGGCTTTTCTTTACTGGGAGAATTTTTGTTACAGCTTCAATCTCATTACTTCTGGTTTTGGATTTTTTCATAATTTGATCTTGGTGGATTGTATGTGTCTATGAATTTATCCATTTCTTCTAGATTTTCCAAGTTATTGGCATATAGTTGCTCATAGTAGACATAACTGATCCTTTGAATTTCTGTTCAAAAACATTACAACTGAATGTCAGTTGTAATGTCTGCTTTTCATCCCTGATTTTGTTTATTTTGGGTTCGTCTGTCTTTTTTTTCTTCATTAGTCTGGCAAAAGGTTTGGAAATTTTATTTATCTTTTCAAAAAAAAGACAACTTTTTGTTTAATAGATCTTTTGTATTTTTTTCTTCATTTCAAATTCATTTAATCCTGCTCTGATATTTATTTTTTATTTTCTTCTACTAATTTTGAGTTTGGATTGCTCTTGCTTTTCTAATTCTTTAAGATGCATTGTTAGAGTATTTATTTAAAATTCTTCGTTTCTGACATAGGCACTTTCAGCTATAGGTTTCCTTCTTAGTATTGCTTTTGCTGTGTCCTATAGGTTTTGGTATGTTGTTTATCCATTATCATTTGTTTCAAGATATTTTTCAATTTCCTTCTTGATTTATTCATTGATCCACTGGTCATTCTGGAGCATATTGTTGGATTTCCATGTGTTTGTAGTTTTCCAAATTCCTCTTGTTATTAATTTCTAGTTTTATTTCTTTGTGGTCAGAGAACATGCTTCATATTACTTCAATTTTTGAATCTTTTAAGACTTGTTTTGTTACCTAATATATCCTTGAACATGATCCATGTGCTGAGGAGAAGAATGTGTATTCTGTAGCCATTGAATAAAATATTCTGAAAATATCTATTATTTCCATTTGATCTATATTGCATATTAAGTCTCATGTTTCTTTCTGGATTTTCTGTGTGGGAAATTTTTTCAATGCTGAAAGTGGGGTGTTGAAGTCTGTAGCTATTATTGCATTGAGGTCTATTTCTTTACCTCTAATGTTTACTTTGTATATCTGGTTCTCCAGTGTTGAGCACATACATATTTAAAATCATTATATACTCTTGCTGAATTGACCCCTTTACCATTATAAATGAATAAATGATTGTCTTTGTCTCTTCTTACAATTTTTGTCTTGAAACCAATTTAGTCCGGCATGAAATCTATGCCTGTTCTTTTTGGTTTCCATTGGCATAAAATATCTTTTTTTTTTCGTTACTTTCTCTTTCCTTGCCACTTTTATCTTCATGATTTATATTTTTTAATGTTATATATTTCAAGATAATATTACTTTTTTTAATTTTTAATTTTATTTTAAGTTCTGGGATACATGTGCAGGACATGCAGGTTTGTTATACAGGTAAACATGTGCCATGGTGGTTACCTGCACCTATCAGCCCATCGCCTAGATACTAAGCCCCACATGCTTTAGCTATTTATCCTGACGCTCTCCCTCCCCCTTCTGCCCCCAACAGGCCCCAGTGTGTGTTGTTACCCTTTCTGTGTCCATGTGTTCTTACTGTTCAACTCCCACTTATAAGTGGGAACATGGTTTTCTCTTCCTGTGTTAGTTTGCTGAGAATAATGGCTTCCAGCTCCATCCATGTCCCTGCAAACTATCTTTTTTCATTATTCTATTTTCAGTCCATGTGTATCTTAATAAGTGAAGTGTGTTTCTTGTAGGCAGCAGATAATTAAAACTAGTTTTTTTTCATCCATTCAGACACTCTATGTGTTTTTATTAGTGAGTTTAGTCCATGTACATCCAATGCTCTTACTGATAAGTAGGGACTTACTACTGCTGTTTTGTTATTTGTTTCTTGGTTGTGTTGTGGTCTTTTCTTCATTTTTTCCTTCCTGTCTTCTTTTTAGTGAAGGTGATTTTCTCTGGTAGTACAATGTAATTTCTTCCTTTTTATTTTTTCTGTTTCTATTGTATGTTTTTCAATTTGATATTACCATGAGGCTTGCAAATACCATCTATCTTATAACCCATTAGTTTAAACTGAGGATAACTTAACACATTGCATAAACAAACATGCAAAAAGAAAACTAATAAAAAATCTACACTTTAACTTCATCCTGCTGATTTTTAACTTTCTGTTCTTTCTCTTTATGTCTTATTCTACTATGTCCTAGAAAGTTGTTTTAGTTATTGCATTTGATTGATTCATCACCTAGTCTTTCTACTTAAGAACATTTTATAAACCGCAATTACAATGTTATTATATTCTGTATTTTTCCAGTATGCTTACGATTACCCGTGAGTTCTGTACATCTAGATGATTTTTTTTGCTCGGTAACATTCTCTTTTTTCAGATTGAAGAACTCCCTTTAGCATTTCGTGTAGGACAGGTCTGGTGTTGATGAAATTCCTCAGCTTTTGTTTGTCTGGCATGTTCTTCATTTCTCCTTCATTCTTGAAGTCTTTTTTTCTTTTTTTTTTTGAGACAGAGTCTCGCTCTGTCACCCATGCTGGAGTGCAGTGGTGCGACCTCGGCTCACTGCAACTTCCGCCTCCCAGTTTCAAGTGATTCTTCTGCCTCAGCCTCCTGAGTAGCTGGGATAACAGGTGCGTGCCACTACGCCTGGCTAATTTTTGTATTTTTGGTAGAGACGGGGTTTCACCATGTTGGTCAGGCTGGTCTTGCACTACTGACCTCTTGATCCACTTGCCTCAGCCTCCCAAAGTGCTGGGATTGCAGGCGTAAGCCACCGCTCCCGGTCTTGAAGAATTTTTTTTTTTTGAGACGGAATCTCGCTCCGTTGCCCAGGCTGGAGTGCAGTGGCACGATCTTGGCTCACTGCTCTGCCTCCCGGTTTCACGCCATTCTCCTGCCTCAGCCTCCGGAGTAGCTGGGACTACAGGCGCCCGCCACCACGCCTGGCTAATTTTTTTGCATTTTTAGTAGAGACAGGGTTTCACCATGTTAGCTAGGATGGTCTTGATCTCCTGACCTCGTGATCCGCCCGCCTCAGCCTCCCAAAGTGCTGGGATTACAGGCGTGAACCACCGTGCCCAACCTTTTTTATTCTTAAGTAATTTTTTATTTTCAGGATACATGAAAATATTTTCAGCATTATAGATTACAGAGATTGGCTTTAATATTAGAATTTGAAAGAGTTAGTTAATATTGTTGTTTTTTTAAAATTATTTATTTGATTAAATTAAATAAAGAATATGTTGAGAGAACAGACAAAGAGATATCTTTATGCCGTAAGTGGCAGTCTTTACTTTCTTTTAAAGTTCATGACGAAAACCAATTAATACAGGTTTCTTTGCAAATAGGTAGTGCTGAGTGTTCTCACATGAACAAGAAATCTAAGACTACGATGTATAAAAAAATCTGTGGCATATTCAGGAAATGTTTATCTCCTTTCTTCGTGACATTTTAGTTCAAAATACCATACTACTCATGAATACTTACTATTTACACACCCCAAAATATATTTAGAAATAAATGATGACAGTGGTTCTCAATTGTATAGATGGTAGTTAATCTCTGGTCTTTTATTGCAAAACGATCCAACAAATAGAGTGAGCTTGACATTTAAATCATTTAAAGATAATTCTGACAATGTTTGGTAGAAAATTGAAATTTCCACAGGCTAGTAGACATCTCAAATTTTTTTTTAAGAAATGAAAGGTTTCAGAGATCAAAGCTGAAGCAGCATACACGGGAGCCAATCTATTACCAACAAGAATGTCATCACTCAGAATCACTTTCTGCCTTGTCACTTCTGACATTCTTGTTGAAGCAAACTGTAGCAGAGAGCTGCAGAGCTGACATTTATGCTTTTGTCATGATGAGTAGTCCTACTAAAGTAAGCTGCCAAAATGCCAATAAAAAGGAAAACATTTTCATGTTAACTAGTAACAGAACCTAATAAATAAAATACAATTACTGAAATAATAACATTAGTAATTAGTAATATTGAAAAACTGCTTACAACTTCAAGAATCACACAAGTGGAGAAAATAACCAGAGTATTGTGCCACACTCATAGGAACTAATGTAAAGTAGTATCTTAAATTTTAGACTAGTTTCAATATGCTCAGTTCCTGTGCTACGACATTTTATTTCCTTTATTTGAAACTGCTTAAAGTGTAGCCTAGTGTATTATTCTACTATGAAAATATGTTTTATTTAGTGGAGATTTTTCCTCCTATTTTAAAATAAAAAGTGTTCATGTATTTTTACATCTCTGACATTATAGACTATCTACCCTGCAAATAAATGCCAAAATATATGTTTTGTGAATGAACAAATGATGAAATGGTATTTGAAACAATGTAATAACATCTCTGGTTTATTTCTGCATTCTTCTAAGACTTTAATTTGTTATATCATCATTTTATGATTTATTATCCACTCTTTGGAAACTCTACACTATTCAAAAGAGCATTTTTGAAAATGCCTCACAGGAAAAAAAGAGCTCTATTTGATAATTAACTATACGATCATTTATGTAATGTAGAGAATGTTGGGTAATTGCAATTATCATTACAAATACTACTTCACATAAAATATATCTTCACAGTGCAGAAGTACATCTGCAGGGTGAAGTCCATTGCATATTATGGTATTGGCTTAAGTTATGGGGAAAATATTTCCACATTCATATAAATGCTTCTATCTTATCTATTTATTGTGCAGATCTTTAACTAAGTACAGTATTCTTCTATTTTGTTTACAGTATTCTTACATTTTACTCTGCAGGTGACTATTGATTAAATCAAAATTGTATATCTCCAAAGCTGGAAATTTTTGCAAACATCATGTCACTTGAATGTAATAGATGGCATTTGGCCCTGAGGTTTTTTTCCCAAATAACCATCCAGTCATTTCACATAGAAAAGATTCAACTTTTGGGAAGACCTAGCCAGTTTTACCATTTTTTCTAAAAAATTACATGAAGCTTTACAGTTGGCACATGATATAAAATGACTATTTTGATAAAGAACAGAGTTTCTGACAAAAACATATATATGTGTATATATACACATATATAAATATAACTAATTCCTTCTTTATGGGTACACAGTAGTGGTATTATGGGCAAGAGGTATGTAAGGTGATTACTTTTTTAACATTACCTCTGCATTAGCATTAGGGTGGAATAATTTTGCATCACCACAGTTATCAAGTTATCAAACTATTTATAATTTTCAATACAAATACTGGCAAAAGCATTAGGATAAGAAGAATCTGTGACTCAACCTTATTAGCAAAATAATCCTCGGTTTAAAAAGTGTTTCAAAAAGTCTGATATATTATCCTAAGATCCATGTTTAAACATGATACGGAAGGTGTGCCATCATATTGTGTAATCTAGCACATTGAAAGTATTTACCATGCAATTTAGTTGAATTACAAGTGTTATCTTCCAATTCAGTGCCTGGAGTTGGGACATATAAGACAAGAAATGATCACTAGATGGTTATGATAAGCTGGCCACTCTGTTGATTTTTTATATACATTATCCTATTTGCTGCTTATAAATATTTCAACTGTGATATTTTTCTGACTATGCAATTAGGAATTGGGGCTCATAGAGATTTAATAAAGCTTACAATGTTAGTACGTGCTAACTCTGATATTGAAGCCTGAATCATCTGACTCTAACACTGTCTCAATTTTTTTTAGCATGATAATTATCTGTGTGTACTAGCTTTAAACATCCTGGCAAGTACTTCAGAGTCTATTCATTTTTTGGTTTAAAAAACTTTGATACACAGTGGCTTAACTCAGAATTAAATGCCTCAGTTGGACCAAAAAATAACAATATTGTTAATCTCATATGTGGTTGGATAAAATTCTGTACAAAATACTAGCAAACTGAATTCAATAGTTCATTAAAAAGATTATACATCATTATAGGGTGAAATGTATCCCTGGGATGAAAGTATGTTTCAACTTACGGAAATCAATAAATGTGATATGTCACATTAACAGAATAAAGACAAATATCAACATGATCATACCAATAGATGCAGAAAAATCAGTTGACAAAATTCAAAACCCTTTCATGATAAAAATTCTCAACACACTTGTATTAAAAGGAAATTACCTCAACATAATAAAGGCTGTCTATATAAGACAAGCTCACAGCTAACATCAAACTCAATGGTAAAAATATCAACGTCACTCCTATACGGTCAGGAAAAAGTCAAGGATACCCACTCTATTCACCATAACCTGGAAGTCATAACCAGAGTGCTTAAACAAGAGAAATAAATTAAAGGCATCCAAACTAAAAAGTTAGAAATAGAACTGTCTCTGTTGGCAGATAACAATATTATATAAAAAATCCTAGACTTTACCCCTCAAAAAACTGTTAGAACTCATAAACAAATTCAGTAAATTTGAAGAATATAATATCAACACACAGAATCAGTTACATTTCTCCACACTGACAATTAACTATCTGAAAAGCAACTTTAAAAAATTTGATTTACAGTAAGATTAAAAAGAATAAAATATTTCTGAATAAATTCAACCTAGGAGATGAAAGATCTGATAGTGAAAGCTATAAAATACTGATGAAAGAAATTGAAGATGACACAAACAAATAAAGAGCCATCCCATTTTAATGGTTTGGAAAAAATTAATATTGTAAAATGTCCATACTACCCAAAGCAATTTGCAGATTCAATTCAACACCCATCACAATTCCAATGACATTTTTGACAATATAAAAAAATCCTATAATTTATATGACACCACAAAAGATTCCAGATAGCTAAAACAATGTTGAGCAAGAAGAAGAAAACTGGAGGTATCACACTTCCTGGTTTCCAATTATATTATAAAGATCTAGTAATTAAGACATTATGGTACTGGCATAAATACAGGAGCATAGAACAGTGCAACCAGAGAATCCGTAAATAAACCCACACATGTAAGTTCAACTAATATGGTGCCAAGAATACACAATGAAAGAAGGTAGTCTCTTCAATAAATGGAGTTAGGAAAACCAACTTTCAAGTACCAAAGAATGAAATTGAACCCTTATCTTATACTGTAAACAACATTAACACATAATTGATTACAGACTTAAACGTAAGACCTAAAACTGTAAAACTGCTAAAAGAAAATATGGAGGAAAAGCTCCGTAACATTAGACTTGGAGATCTCAGTTTTGGATATGACACCAAAAGCATAGGAAGCAAAAGCAAAAATAAAGTGGAACAACAAAGACATTTCTGCACAGCAGTGAAAACAATCAACAACATTAAAAAGCAACCTATGGACTAAGCAAAAAAGTTTTCAAACCAAATATCTAATAAGAGAATAATATTCAAAATATATAAGGAACTCATGCACCTTAACAAAGAAAAATAAATCCAATGGATAAAAAATGGCAAAGGACCTGAACAGACACTTGTAAGGAGAACATACAGATGGCCAACAGGTATATTAAAAGGTGCTCAACACCATTAATTGTCAGCAAAATGCAAATCAAAACCACAATGAGCCATCACCTTATACCTGTTAGGATGGCTATTTCCAAAAAGTCAAAAAAATAACAAGTGTTGGCAAGGATGTAGAGAAAAGAGACCCTTTGCACACTGTCAATGGGAATATATGTTAGTACAGCCATTATGAAAAACAGCATGAAGCTTCTTTAAAAAAAATAAGTAGAACTACCATATGATCCAGCAATCCTACTTCTGGCTATATATGTAATGAAAATAAACTTACTATCTTGAAAAGGTATCTGCACTCCCATGTTCACTGCAGCATTGCTCACGATACCCAAGATATGGAAACAATGTAAGTGCCCATCAGTGGATGAATGCATACAGAAAATGTGGTATAATATACAATAGGATATGATTCAGCTTAAAAAGGAAGTTGCCTTTTGCAACAACATGTATGAACCTAAAGGACATTATGCTAAGTAAAATAAGCCAGACACAGAAAGACAAATACTATCTAATTTCACTTGTATACTTGTATATGGAATCTAAAAATGTTGAACTGGTAGAAACCCATGGTTAGCATGGGTTGGGAGGTAGAGGAAATGTGGAAATGTTGGTCAAGGTGTACAGACTTTCAGTTATAAGGTGAATTAGTTCTAGAGAACTAATGTGCAGCATGATGACTGTAGTTAGTAATAACTCTATACTTAAAGTTTGCACAGAGGTAGAACTCAAGCATCCTGACCACACAATCATGCAAAAATAACTAGATATGGTGATAGATATGTTAGTTCGGTTGCAGTAATCATTTCATAATATATGCACAGATCAAAACAGCAAGTTGTGCATCTTAAATATAAGTGATTTGTACTCATCAAGCATACCTCAATAAAATTGGGGGAAAAGGCATTCTTTGGATAAATTGCACTTATTGCCTGATACCCAGGATCTCTAAACTAACCAATAGACCTCAATGGCACCATGTATTCTGAGGAAAAATTATTATATCAGAGCAGTGTATGAAAAGTTCTAAGACTGATTCACTTCCTTCTCCTTAGAGTCCTGTTACCCTGGTACATTCTCTTCGTCCTTTAGGGAACGGTTAGGAATAAGACTTACAAGAAGTGCATTTTTTGTGGTATGATTGGAAATTTTTTCTGGAAATAACATAAATTCCCTCCCATTTAAGAAGTGCTGGATCTGTAAACTTATTCATAGTTGCAAATTGAAAGAGGGGCTGTTGATCTTCATAGCATTCAAACTATATATCTCTGCTTGAAAAACCTCTAGTTACTTTATAAAGTGGTCCCTTAGTGAGCTACATGAATAATTTAGTTACAGGGACTTCAGTATTATTGAATCACAGACATAAATGTTATTTAACCTGAGGTCTAATTTATCTCTGGAGATTATAGGTTTCTATTTGGCTTCTTCAAGTCTGATAATGCATTATTTCCATTAAAATCAAGGAGGGAATATCGATGGAGTCTCTCTTACATGATTCCATCTGTTAGGAGATAGAAAGTGCAATGCTTTTCAAGGATGCTAGTGCTTCCCTCATAAACTTTCTCAGTAGCATGAGCCAGGTCATCTTTGGGGATATGTTTAACAGTGAATAAGAGGATCATATTATAAATCCCATCCAACATTCCTGTATCCCTAAATCATTTTATTCATTTATCTACATTAAAAGAGGTAATTTTTGATACCCTAGCTTCTCTAGAGAATTCCATTATAGAGTCCATGTTTTAGTCAACTAAACTCTTACAAATAACATATTGAGTCAGCATTTCTGATAGGTGGACTCATGCTGATAAAGTGGCCACATCAAAAATTATATCTCTCCCTTCTCATTCCTTCATCCTGACTTCTGAAAATTGGTGATATTAGTATGTATATCACAAGCGTATTATAATAATTGAATACATTAATATTTGTAATGCTCTGAGAAAGTACCTGTGTACTATTGCTATGGAAAAGTTGGCTGAACAAAAATTTATCAATTATATAGGAGCCTTTGAGTAGTTGATTTTTTTCTTTGTCCTTTCGATCTCACATTTTTTCTGGATGCTTTTCTAACTCTTACTTTCAATTAAATACATTCACAGTTAAGGAAAATTTAACTGAAAGCTCTCCTTGTTATAAAAGTTATGGAATGTTATTCCTTTATTAATTTAATGTTTTCTTAATACTATGAGCATGTAATAAAATTTTATGTAAATACAATATATTCTCTGTTAGAAATTTCTAGGAGAAAAGAATAAACTGGAACATAATATGACAAACATGAAACAAAAAATGTGATCAATGAATAGCCAAAAATAAAAATGTTTTGTGCCTTGGAACATAACATAAAAAAACAATTTATATTGAATATGACATTTATTCTATATCTTAAATGATAAATAAGATATTAAGTGACAAGAGAAAAACAATTTGGTGTTACCAGTGCACATGTTTTATAAGAATATATAGAAATTGTAAGTCTGGAACCAGATTAAATATTCCTTGAATATATTAATGTTTCCCAAACCAATCTTTAATTATATACAAGAATATAATCAGTTGCAAGTAATGGAAACAAAACTTTTACTGGGCTAAACAGATAGTTTATTTTATAAGCTATACTTATACAGAGGCTGGAATCAGTTGCTATCACAAATTCTTTTAATAAACCAATTTCTGTCTTTCTACTCCAGCAATCTTAGCATGTTGACTTTCTTTCTCATTTGTGTTGTTTTGTGAATATACTGATGTCTGCTACTGCTATACATTCTAATTCTAAGAAAAGACAGAAAAAAAACAACATAAGAACAGCAATAGACCCAAATATAACCTTTTATACAACATGGTTATTGGTAAAGTATTCTTATTTTATTCTCCCCTGCCTTTGGTTTAGAACAATCAGTGTTGTCCCAGCCCTAACTTATCATACAAATGCCTTCCCAAAATTATGTAGCATCATTCCACTTACATCTCACTGGTTAAAACACAATAGCCATGCTTAGCTGCAAGGAGCCTGGGTAAATCATTATCTGGCTAGACACATTAATGCCCTAGAAAGGATTGGAAGAAAAGGCAGCGGATATTGGATAAGAATTGCCATGCTATGCTCTAATTCTTGCTAACAAATCTACGAGCTTGCTAAAAATACTAGACATGATTTTCTTTCAATAACCCCATTTCCTTATCTTTTAATGAATGCTTCCTTTTGACTACATGGGTCTTCTCTCACTTATAGATTACAGCCGTTTGCCTAATATGTGAGCCTCACCACTCTGTAATTCAGAGGATTCATGTTGAATCTCTTATTATAGACACAGGATATTTTTGAATTGTCCATCCTTCAGCTTGGCATGCATTATAAATGACAGGCTATACATTTAGGACAACAGGCATTCAATTTGAATTAAGTTATTTAAACATTCTTTTCAGTGCCAGAAAGTCTCCATAATATATAAACATATAGTTGGCTAATTAAATCTACAATATGGGTAATTATATTACTCACTGGTTCCAAGTTCTTTCAACAGTGAAGAATGAGGCTAAACTTTCATTGACCTTCTTATCTATTGCCTTTGTGTGTCTCAATAAACCTTATATATTTGTCAATAATAATAATTTTAAACAAAAAGATCCCCCTATTTTTATATCACTTTATATTATTTTTGTAATGTTTTCCGCATTAGTAACATATATGAAACACTTGTAACTAATATGCCTGTGTTATTATGGCAAAATTTCATGTATCTTTAAAACCATACACAAAATAACAATAATAAGTAATGAGATTTTCATGTCCTCAAATACTTCAACACTATATATACCAGAAGAGAGGTCCATAATTATTACAAAGAATGAAAATGTTTAAAATAATCTCTCTTCTAATATTAAATTTTGATTGCTCTATTTCAAATATATAATCACAATTTTTTCCCCTGCCATGATCTAACAGAAAGAATGTATATAAATTATAGAAGCAGGGGTCTTCATTTGCTTAATGGGTTTTCATTCTTAATTTTCTTAGTAATTATTTTTTGAAATCATTTTAAGCTAATATACAAATAATATAATAACATTATATAACTATGTGTCAGTCACAGATAAATTGCAATTTTTTAGAAAACTCTGATGTTTATGAGAAAATAAAGACGATATTGACAACCACTATCTAGTAAGAAACTAAAGTTATATTTATAGAAAGATAGTTGCTGGATAAATATGGATATCAGTACATATAGGTATAGATAGGTACAGATGTGTGTATCTGTTAAGTATCTTGTATTGCTAATACTTGTAATGTAGGATGCTGGACTTATTTTCTTTTAAATTTATACATAAAAGCATAGAATTTCTAATAAATGTTTTCACTTCTCCATTGGATCATCTTTTTCACCCCTGAGGGCATACAACTACACTTAGGGACTACTCTTTTTGCTGGTTGCCATACCTAAATTTGGTATTATTTACCTTATGTGATGACAGTATTTGTGGGATGTCAAACCCACAGACACGGAGGGCAGACTTTTCTTATATGCAGGTTTATCAGGGCTTCCTCTAGGAATTGAGTAGGCATAGGTTTGGCATATGTGGGGGTCCTGGAACCAATACTCCATGTGTACTGAGGGATGACTGTATAATCTATCTATTCATTTGCACATTTGAGGCAACTACTTGTATATTCCTTAGCTCCTCTGTTGGCAAATATTTCTCCAAGGTAAAATTTAATTCACTTAAACCATGTCTAGGTATCTTTGAATTTGTTTAATTCATGTATTATTTAACCTTTTAATTAAATTTAACACATTTGATTCTGAATCTTCTCAAAGATAATTGAATCTGCACTACCACCTATTTTTTCTCCCCTTATAAGTAATAAAAAACATTTAGTTCAATAGTAATTAAAATTTTATTTATATAGTGACTCATTTGGAAACACCATTTTTAAAAAAAGTATTTTTTATAAGAGATTCCCCATCTATCTTCAGAACCCCAATATTTAGATCTATATTAATTGGTGACATCACATTCTTTTTTTTCACAATGCCTTGAGAATGGACAATGTAGAAATAATTAAGAAATAAATGAGTACCCTCAGAAAGTTAATTTCAATAATGTAGCGAAGTGGAAACTAGAATGTAATGAGTTGAAAATTGCAAAGTAGTTGATAAATAGAAGAAAGAATGTGGAGAATGACATTTTAAGTGGTTTTATAATGAATTAAGAGAGTTTATTTTCAGAGTGTATCAGAATCAAATAAATGGTTTTAGATTCTGTTAAGCAGGATATTTGAAGCAGAGATCATTTTAGGTACAGCATTAGGTCACTAGGTGTTGGGGAGATGGGAGGGGACATAAGACAATTGAAAGCTGTGGTCATAGGCTGGAATGTCTAATTGGAAATCCTGGAAATAGAATACTTTAAAGGATAAAGAGTCTATGTGAAGCCTAATTCAGTAGAAAAGAGTCAAATATTACTACTGTTAAATTTATTTAGTAGCTGCAAGATTATCATTAATAGAAAAGTGTGTAAAAGAAATTATTTCTCAAAACAATGGCAGAGGGTTATTGAGAGAGGTAAATCAGTATAGTAATTTAATATAGAACTTATAAAGACACTTTTTTTTGTATATTAGTCAGGGTTTCTCACATACAAAGAACCAATAGGATACATAGATGATTGATAGGTAGATAGATAGATAGAGACAGAGATAGATAGAGACAGAGATAGATGAGAGGGGATTTGTTAGGGAAATTGGGTCACATGATCGTGGTGGCAGAGAAGTCCCAAAACAGGCCATCACCAAGCTGGAGACTCTGGGATGCTGGTGGTTTGGCTCAGTCCAAGTCAGAAAGCCTTAGAACAAGGGTAACCAATGGTACAACACTCAGTCCAAAGCTAAAGGCCTAAAAACCACAGGGGGTGGGAGTGAACATGGAGAGTGGTTCTATTGTAATTCCTGGAGTCTCAAGGCTGAAGAGCCTGGGTTCATGATATGCAAGGGCAGGAGAAGAAGAGTGTGTTCCAGCTCAAGGAGAAAAAATCCTTTCCTTTGCTTTTTTTTTTTTTTTTTCTAGCTGGGCCCCTAGTCTATTGAATGGTGCCCACCCACATTGGAGGTGGATCGTCTCCAATCCATCCACTGATTCACATGCCAATCTCCCTTAGAAACACTCTCACAGACACACCCAGAATCAATGCTTTACCAGTTCTCTAAGTACTCCTTAATCCAGTCAAGTTGACATTTAAAATTAACCATCACACCTGGGAAGAATATTCTGCCCTATTTTTGATGTTCTGTATCATACTTCATACTATTTACTACTTATAAATGTTAACTTTTCAGAAAAACTTTCATGACTCTGTTTAAGTTCAACTCTAGTAATTTACGGGCATAAGACAAACAATTGGCACTTGTAAAAATGTTCGTCTTGTCCTAAGAAAGACATTCTTTTTAAAAAATTAGAAATTGTAACCTTTATCATGCCTCTATTTTAAAATCTGTACTGTACCTGGCCTTCCACCCAAGTGAAGTAACATTTTGGTCTAATAAAAAGAGAAGTTCAGAGTCATACCATCTTTATTGTTTGACCTTAGGTATTATGTACGTATTAAACTTTAGTTTCCTTGAATGTAAACCAAGACTAATAATGTATAATAGCCATTTTTGAACAGCTACTATGTTCAAGGGAGTTTGGTCTACGTTAACTGACAAAAAATGCAGAAGGACTTATTCTTAATTTCATAAGCACTTTAACAAATTATTTATGATTTGGTACACAGTGATAATAGTGAAGGATACGGTTCCTAGGAAAAATAATCATAATAACAGATACATTCCAACTTGTTGCTTTTACCAAAATTCTCCCTTGTAAATGGGAGCTCAACAATGAGTACACATGGACTGTAAAGATGGAAATAATATACAAGGGGGGAGGAGAAAGGGTAGGAAGTGGGGTCGTGTTAAAAAATTACCTATTGGATACACTGTTTAATGTTAGGATGATGAACATACTAGAAGCCCAAACCTCACCAATACAAACTGTATTCATGTTACAAACCTGTACATGTACCCCCCTGAATGTATAACTTAAAAAGAGTTAAATGTACGTAGTTACATATATGAACTTAATAATGATGAAGGCTAGTTTCTGGTAATTTTTGGCAGACAAGACAAAAAAGAAAATATATACATAAAAAATACACACACGAAATAATTTAAAAAGGTTTTCCTGAGGACTGGGTCTTTTTTTGTTTGTTTGCCTAATCTAACTTGACAACTTTTGCCTCTTAAAAGTGGTCTTTAATCCATGAACATTTAATTTAATTATCAATATTATTGAGATTAAATATACTACCTGTTCTTTTTTTTCTCTTCTGCATATTTTTGGTTTAATTGCTATATTTTATCTCCACTAGTGAATTAGTATTTAAATCAATTTATTTTATTTTTTAAGTGTTTGCTCTGTGTTACATCTCTGTAACATATCACAGCCTATCTAAAAATAATATTATGCCATTTGAAGTATAGTATAAAACATTGTACTACCATTTCCACCCTTCATTCTTTGTGACATTATTATCATACGGTTTGCTTTCACATGTTATAATTCCCAAAGTACGTTATTAAAATGTTTTTTAACCCCACAATATGTCACTACTATTATACTTCAGACAGTGTATTATCACTTAAAGATACAAGAAATACAATAAATGGTATTTTATATCTTCCCTTATTTTGACCTCAGACGTAGCTTTCTTCATTTCTTTGCATAGGTCCACATTTTCGTCACGTATCATTTTTTTCTTTGGCCTAAACCACATTGTTTAAGTCACTTTGCATTGCAGGTCTGCTGACAATGGAATCTCTCAGCTTTTGTTCTCTGAATAAAGCCCATATTTTTCTATGTCTTTTGAAAAAGATATTTTAGATAAATATAGAATTCTAGATTCAAAATTTTTACTTTCAGTATGTTAAAGAAATTCTTCAATACATTAAAGAAGAAAGTTACTTCTGGCTTCCAAAACTTTACAGGAAAAATCTGTCATATTCTTATATCTGTTTCTCTATATGTAAAGTTTCCTTTTTCCTTTCAATTGCTTTTAAGATATTTTCCTCATATTTAGTTTTCAGCAACTCAACTAAGATGTAATTTTTAAAAAATATTCTTTTCTTGGTGTTCGTTGGACCTTTTTCATTTGCGCTTTGCTGTCTCATATTAAATTTGAAAAAATATATAGTCATTATTTCTTCAAATAATTATTCTATACTTCTTTCCCTTTCTTCTCTGTTGGGCATTCCAAATATATGCAATATGTTCCCAAAGGTCCTAGATTTTCTTTTCTCTTTTCTTCATTCTTCTGCATCTTTGTTTTTGAGTTTATATCATTATTATTGACCTATTAATTTCTATTGATTTATTATTTTAGTTGTGGATTTTAGTCTGTTTATAAACTCTTTGAAGGAATTATTTTTCTGTGATATCCTCTAGATAACATTTTTTGTATAATAGAGTATATTATCCAGATTTCATATTTAGCCCTTTTTTGTTAGAGTTTCCAATGTCTCACTGAAATTTCCCATCTGTCCAAATCTGTTTCCAAGTTTTTCACTAGATCCTTTAACATCTTCATCATACCTACATAAACAACAATGCCTTTCTGATAGATCTAACATCTGGGTAATTTCTGGTGCTATTTTATAATCTCTGTGGGGGTCTGAAAATCAAGGAGATTTACCCCTGTGTTCTTATGCATTTTTCTTTTCCTCAGTAGAACACTGCTATTTCTTGTTATATAGCATAAAGCTTGTTGTTGAGTGAATTAATGTTCTGATTTGCCTTCTCCAGCTCAGGTTCTGGAAAGTTCTCTGTGCCTGATGTTGAGACTGGGACTTTGTCAATGATCCTGTACATTCTCCAGAACCCTGGGGTATTATATTTCTTAGTGTTTATGAGCATCTTCTGTGGGACTGAATGTCCTGCCCTTCCTCTAGAGATAAAGGACTTCTGATTTACATCAGTGCAGGAACCTGGGTCTGATTAATTTCACTGCATCTTTCATTGGATCAGGTAGCTTTTGCTTTAAATTCTCCCCCAATGAACGTTTGCTTGGGAATACGGTTTTCTGTCCCTTCTTCCATGGGAAGTAGCTTACTTGCTGTTATTTGTTGAAATGCTTGTGGTGGAGCAGGGGTGTTTTCTTCCCCACCTTTAGGAGCAGGTGGCTTTTCCACTACCTTTCCCTAAGCAGCTGTGTATCTTTGTCAGAGATCCAGAACACTCATATTTTATGTTTCTCTCAAAGTGGCTTTCAGTTTTACCACTGTATGAGAAGAGCCTGAGGAGCAGACAGTTTTGCTTCAGTGTACCACAAGAGGTGGCTTTCTCAGGCTGCCTGCTTTGTTCTTGGCCTTTTTTGGTAGTCCATCATCAAGACCTGTAGGAAAGAGAAACTGAGTGAGTGTGGGCTCCAGGTGTGCCTGTGACCACTGGGCATTCCATACTGTCTCTACAACTCATGCTCAGATTTTTATTTGTTTGATGTTTTTGTGTGTGTTTTTGATACAGGGTCCAACTCTGCCACCCCAGCTGGAGTAGAGTGGCACAATCTCAGCTCACTGCAGCCTCAACCTCCTGGGCTCAATTGATCTCCCATCTCAGCCTCCTGAATAACTGTTACTACAAATGTACGTCTGCCACCACATCCAGCTAATTTTTTTTTTTTTGAGAAATGGGTTTTCACCATGTTGCCCAGGCTGGTTTAAAACTCCTGGCCTCAAATAAAATGCCCGGCTCAGCCTTCCAAAGTGCTGGAATGATAGGCCTGAGCCACCATGCCTGGCTGCTCAGATTTTAAGAATATGGAAAACTTCAGCTGTTTTCTTTTTAGTTTTTGCAGCAAAGCTTGGTACCACTCTGGCAAAAGTGAGACATTGTATTTGGCCCATGTGTGCTTGGAGTGGCTTGTCAGATCTTGAAATTTAGTTCAATTGATATCCTTGCAATCATCATCCTTTGGCTCAGAAAATATTATTATTTTGAAGATATTTCTGTCTTTTTCTCTTTGTTGTAGAAGGACTGACATTCTCATGGTTTTTTTATATCTTAAGTTAAAGCAGAATTTATAGTTTTGTTTGTTGTTTGGGGTTTTAAAGTTTTGTGTTAGTCTTATTTTCAATAATTATGTTGTACTCAATTTTGCATCCTGAATTATATTGTCATGTAGTATCATAGTGGAGTTAATTATATGTGGAATTAATTATGTGCTTAATCTATTTATCTTAGGAATGTATGTATGTATGCATATTTGTGTGTGCACGTGTGTATGTGTCAAGACACAAAGATAGAGATGAATTTAAATGGGTGATTACATTTTATGCATATTAAATAAGATATCTGAAACCTCTTTACCCTCAGTTGATTGTAGTTCTCCTTGAATCTCAAAGTTGGAACATACCACACTGAGGATGATGCTAGTGTTTTCACAGTTCCTAAAATTAAGCCCAGTTTTTCACCTGGTATTGCATAATCTCTTTGAGGGGTGCCACTAAAGAGATTGATGTTACATCTCATGAGTGTACCAGAGATTGTGTTCAAGAGAAGAAAAACATATTTTAATATGAAAAACTAAATGACTATGTTGGATTCCTGAGAGGAATCATACTACAGGCACATCTTTAGTGGCAGGTCTCAAAGACTTTGCTCAAGGTTACCTTGACTGTGATATTTGCATAACTTGCTGACTTTATCATTTGACCCTTACATAGATGGCAAACACACTGTGTAACTTTAGGGTTGTATATAACATTAACCTGTGTCCTTTGAAAGTACCTCCTAAATGCAGTCCATAGTTATACTCAAATAGGTTCACATCACAATAATGATACTACCAGGATTTTTTCTAAGTAGAATGTTGAGAATGAGCACAAAATTCCAAGTCTTACTTCAGTAATTAATTTTTTCTCTGACCTTGAAGAGGTAATTTAATCCAAATTTTCTTTTCATGTAAATATTAGGGTGCTCCATCTCTCTTTAAAAAATCATGTCAATTAAGTAGGCAATGGCTTAGATCCTTCCAGGTGTACAAACTACTCCCTGAGTGTAAATTACATTGTACTAACTACATTAAGTCACTAGTGCCTGAAATTCAGTGAATTACTGCTCTACTGCACTAAATGTTCCCCTAATGACTTAAAAGAGTCAATGTACTTTTAAAAATACTGAGCTTAAATACTAGGAGTTTTATAATGTTTTTTACAAAACTTGAAGAGAAGTATATTAACTATATGTAGTACATTTTCTCACCACTTCTAGAAAAACAAAGCTGACAAGAAACTTAAAACGAATTAGATTGTACAATATACCCACTGCTTTTAGTTCATGAGATGAACTTTAAAGGGAAAAAAAAATATGCAAGTTCAGGGTACTATTTGAATTCATCATGCTAAATAGAATTTCTGGAGCATAAAGCAAAGAGTGTCCCAAAACAGTTGGTAGCATAATACCTGTCACAATACTTGCTAATTAGTAAAATCTAACAGTAGTTCTTAGTGAATGTAGTTATCCATACTTTCAAACTGAGTATACTTGAAGGCTTTGAAACACTACGCTATATTATCATTGAAGAGCATTTCCTCGAGTTGTTAATTTTGTACTGAAAATGTGCTACATGTTTAGATAACTATGCCTACATGATTAGCTATTTAATAGTATTTTGTAAATTTGATTATAATAGTTTATTGTTGTTAGTTGTTTCCAAGTAAATTAATTTCAAATCTGTTTATGTAATTAAGGATATAATCTAACTTGAATGTTATTCAGAATATCATTACTTCTTAATCTGTGTCACAACTGCAACAACATACCAGCAGTTTTTACGTGTCCTCACATTTTCCTGCCTCATGATTATTCCCTCTCGGCTTCATTTCCTCCTCCCTGATATAAGGGCAACCAGAGATTGTGCTCTTCACTCATTTTTTCTCTCCTCTGTTTATGCATCCCTACTCTTGTGGAATCAGCTTCAATTATGATCGATTGCATATATCATTCCCATTCCTATATTTAAAAAATTAAAAAAAATTTACATTTTTATACATACCTGTCACAGTCAAGTGTCAAAAACACAAATAATTAAATCTTGACTGTTAAGTCTATTTTCTGTCTTAGAATATCTATCAGATGTTCCATCCATCAGTCTGATTTGACTTTCCCAAACATTAGTGGCTGTGTAATCTAAGTAATTTATTTTCTTATGTTATTTGAAATTTGTTATTTCTAAGAGACTCAGCACAAGTTTATGGCTTTCTTCAAAAAGGTCAATTCTGAAAGTTCTATAGAAGGACACATCATGGCATACAAGAAACAGCAGAGGAAACTATGAAAATAAAACAAAAAAGTATGGAGACTTGTCTTTCATTGATCGTTGAAGGCTAAGGGCAGCAGAATGGGAAAGGAGTCACTGGCAGCACAAGGAGAAAACACTAGAAAGACCATGTGAATTCTGCTTGTTTTCTCTGGGTCTTCAACAGTGCTGCCTCACACCTACTACCACTCCCAGATGCTATTGCAGACACTCAGAGCAGTAACCAGGGCACTCACAAATATTGCCATGAATTTCTGAGGAAACAAATGACCTTAGAAACTTTTTCATTTTATGTATACCTATATGTTTGTGTGTATAGCTGATAACTGTGGAAGAAACAACATAATTAGTCAAGTAACCAGCTGCAACCTCTAATGAATACTTGACTCAGACAATGATTATTCATGGTTGAATCCATTCACTGTCACCACCTGAGCACACTGATCAATCTTAAAATCATAAAAAATAAGAAGAAAGGTTTGGGCTCTTTGAAGTGAAACAAGCAGCACAATCCCAGCTGGGTATTTTTGGCAACATCATTGTACCTAAAACTTGTCAATACCCTAGAGCTCACTTTTATTCAGGGGAAGTATGAAGACTATATGAAGTATCAATGAAGCAAAGAGACAAATTCAGATAACATGACTTTGAAGTGGACAAATGACCCAAATTGCTGCAAAAGTTCAAAAGCAGTGAATTTGAAAGAGATGATTGCTGTGAATTAAATGAGATAGATATAAGTAATATAATTGTAAGAAATTAAAGGTCTCGGATTTTTCAAGGCTCAGGTAAAAGTCTCAGCCTCCTGAGATTCTTCACATAACCACCAGAATTAGGCCTGTAGTCATTGCTTCAGATAATTGCTCAGATCCTAAAGAATAATAAAACTCCTCTTATCTCTTTGAGAGGGCAAATTGGTTACAGTGCCAGACAAAGTCTCTAGATTAAGCTCCCAAGGTGCTCCTGAAGAGATATTAGCAAATCAAAGAACTACAGTAAGGAGGAAACCCTTTCAGACAAGAAAAGGAAGAATTACTTCTATCCTTTTTATAAGCAAAGAAAAGATATTTTATTTCTTACTCTTAAAGAGTAGCTGGCTACTCCTGTAGGGTCATTGACTTGGCCAAAGGGCCAAGTCATCAGTGCGTAACTAGGGTAAGGGGAGGGGAGTTACACACTTCACACTTGATATTGACTGTGAGGTATTAATAAGAAATCTGTGTCTGATCGAACATGTTTCATATGAGTATTCAGGATAAAATTATTATTTAAAATTAATAATGATAATATGTGACTCTTATCTATTAAAGAAGCTGATATGCCATAGAGATTATTACAGTCTCTCCTGGAATTCAAATTTACCTTCTTATTTTACTATTATTACCTAAACATTTTCTCTCAACTCATTGTGTGTAAGTGTGTGTGTGTGTGTGTGTGTGTGTGTGTGTGTGTGTGATTTGTGGTATATGTTTGCAATTCAATTCTTTGCATGCCCAGCCTTTCAACGCTTTCATGATGGCCATTTCCAAACATGGTTTTCACAATGAACTCAGAATCACAAGTTTCATTGCTATGAACTGAACTCATGTTTTAGCACGATTTTCTTGGCCTAAAGAAAATTTAGGGCAGAAGAAAAATGCAAAAGAGGGTTTGAGAGATGGGCTAAAATGTATATTAAACTAGAGCATTTTTTCATTTTGAATATAGAATTCTGGTTTATTGACATATACTTGTGTGTAAAGTTATTTATTAATGACTCTTAAAATTGTGGCATGTCAGTGGCATGACATATTCCTTATGCACAAAATAACCATTATGCATATATCAGGATCATTGATATATATTTTGTGGGAAGCAAGTAATTTTATAAAAATATAATGAGTGCATTAAAATAAATCAAAATAAGCTTATAGAATGCCCTTATTTACTTTATGATTTTAAATCAAAAATTCAAATACAGTCAAATTCACAAATGAAGAAATAGGATGACATTAATTTTCTTCATTAATTTTCTGATTAGGAACATAATAATTGTCCTTAGATGTTTTTGAACATAGGAAAAAACATAAATAAGGAAAGCACAATCAACCACTTTTCTTCTACTCAGCTAAGTCGCTGTTAAATTTTTGGGTATTTCCCTCAGGACGTTTTTTAGTAATTGTGTGTATGCACATATATTCTTATATAATTTGGATCATACTACATTACCTTGATATAATATTAGGACTACATATAGTTTTTTAAGACACTACCAAGCAAAAGATGAAAATAAAAGTCATTCAGACTGGGCGCAGTGGCTCACACCTGTAATCCCAGCACTTTGGGAGGCCAAGGCAGGCAGATCACCTGAGACCAGGAGTTCGAGAGCAGTCTGGCCAACATGGTGAAACCTCATCGCTACTAAAAATACAAAAATTAGCCAGGCCTAGCGGCAAGTGCCTGTAGTCCCAGCTACTCAGGAGGCTGAGGCAGGAGAATCGCTGTAACCCAGGAGTCAGAGGTTGCAGTGAGGAGAGATTGTACCACTGCACTCCAGCCTGGGAGACAGAGCGAAACTCCGTCTCCAAAACCAACCAACCAAACAAAGACATCCAAATTGGAAAAGAGGATGTCAACCTATCTCTGTTCATTGATAATGTGACCTTATACCTAGAAAATCCCAAAGATTCTTCTAGAAGTCTCCTAGATTTAATAAATGACCTCAGTAAAGTTTCAGAGTACAAAATCACACAAAAGTTAGTAGTATTTGTCTACACAAATAATGATCAAACTGATAATCAAAAATTCTCATTTACAATAGCTAAAAAAAAATCACAGAATACATCTAATTAAGAAGGGTGAAAAATCTCTACAAAGACAAGTATAAAACACTAATGAAAGAAATCATACATGATAAAAAGAAATGGAAAAACATCCCATGCTCATGGATTGGAAGAATAAATGTAGTTAAAATGACCACAGTACCCAAAATAGTGTATAGATTCAATGCAATCTCTTTCAAACATTATTTTTCACAGCATTAGAAAAAAACTATTCTAAAATTCATCTGGAACAAAAAAAGAGCCCAAATAGCCAAACAAATCCTAAGCAAAAGGAAGAAAGCTGGAGACATCACATTACCTGACTTCAAATTATACTACAAGGCTATAGTAACTAAAACAACATGGTAATGGTATAAAAACAGACGCAGAGATCGATGGAAGAGAATAGAAAACCTTTCATTTTGAGTCCTTCCTAGAGTTTCCATTTCTCTACTTTGATTTATTACAATTTCTTACATGTCCTCCACTGTTTCATTACAGACCTTTAAATACTAGTCATAGTATGTTTAAATTCTCTATCTAATGATTCAGTATCAGTATCATAGCCGAGTCTAGTCCTGATGATGCTTTGCCTCTTCAGGCTGTTGTTATTTTTTGAGCTTTCTGTCCTTTTTAATTTTTTTGTTTTGTTGAAATCAAGGCATTTTCTATTAGATTATATGACTGAGGCAGACCTTTGGTGTGGGGATTTTGTTAATTTGGCTAAGAGTTGTACTGTGCTTAATTTGTGTTTTAGCTATGAGTACCAAAGCCTTCAAGATCCTCTAATGTCCTTTGTTTCCTTTGTTTGTTTCTGCCTCTTCCCTTGACACTGGGCTTCACTACTAACTCTTCCTTTTAAAGCATCTATATATTGCAGTACTTTATTTATTTATTTATTTATTTAGACAGAGTCTTGCTCTGTCTCCAGGCTGGAGTGCAGTGGCATGATCTCGGGTCACTGCAACCTCCAACTCCTGAGTTCAAGTGATTCTTCTGCCTCAGCCTCCCAAGTAGCTGGGACTACAGACATGCACTGCCACACCCAGCTAATTTTTGTATTTTTAGTATAGACCGGGTTTCACCATGTTGGCCAGGATGGTCTCAATCTCTTGACCTTGTGATCTGCCCACCTCAACCTCCCAAAGTGCTGGGATTACAGGCGTGAGCCACCATGCCCAGCCATATTGCAGTACTTTCATCCACAATCTAATTTAATATACTGAAGCCCTATTCATATGATGGTAAGATTTGGGTTTATTATGTTCCAATGAAATCTCAGTCTCTTAACTATTAATGAGACTGTATTTTGGAACTATGAAGTTTACAAACCTTTTTCAAGCTATGTATATAGTGTTATATCTCTGTGTGTGTGTATACATATATCTGTGTTTATATACATATATGTGTGTGTGTGTGTATTTTTCTCTCTCCTACTCCCTTTCCTGAATACAGTGTTTCCAATCTATCTTCTTAATGTATTGACTCCTGTTTTCTCTGTATTTCTGCCCCACTCCTCCCCTGTTAGGAAGGATAGGAAAGCTAGAGTGGGCTAGAGTGGAGTGACAGCCCATCCCCAATTGGGATAAGACTTTTTTTTTCCTCCTGGAGATTAGGCCTCTGTCATTGAGTAAGATCTGGGCATATTTTATAATGGTTAATGTTCCCTTTCTCTATTAGATTTTTATCTTTTTTCAAATCTTCATCATGAGAGCTAGTGGGGTTCCTATACATTTTTAAGGACTGTAGCCTAGTGTTTCTCACTCTGACACTAGACCACCCTCAGCTTCAAGCAATTTATCAAAATTACCACTGTGGCTCTAGCGGTTTCTGCTCCAAATAAAGTAATCTCAGTTAATGTATCTGTCTCGATGCATCTGTCTTTCTTGAATTTGGAATGATTCTTTGTCCCATGGCCTCAGTTTTCTGAAGGGTTCAACAAAATGTGTTGATTGTTCGTTTATCTAGACTTTTCATGTTACACTCATGGGAATAATGACTTCAAGTTCTTTGCCTGAAGTATGTTGAAGCTGAAATCAGATTTCCTGGATCACTTATGAGAAGCCAAGAATATTATATATGAGAACAACTCACAAACTAAAATATTACGAGGAGGACAGTAGAAATATTTTTCAAAAATGACATTAGCAGTATGTGAAGGCATATTGTAATCTTATAATTATCACCTGATGGAATTGCTATTTAAATTTGATTTTCTTGTATGTCCACTAATCTAAGCTACTAGAAATATAACAATAAACAAGTCCAAAGGGTATCAGTTTTTTGTTTAATAAAATTTATTAACTTTTCCATCTAATCCAAACTTCTTCCTCTTATCTTCATCTCAGAAGACGTTGTTCAATTA
Organism: Homo sapiens; assembly: GCF_000001405.40. Classification (NCBI taxonomy): domain Eukaryota; kingdom Metazoa; phylum Chordata; class Mammalia; order Primates; family Hominidae; genus Homo; species Homo sapiens. The sequence goes on along the minus strand of NC_000004.12, from coordinate 160,948,926 downwards.
ACAAAACAAATTCAGACAAAAATATACATGATTTTACCTGATTAGTGTGTTCCATTTTAAGTCCAACAAATATACACAATTAATTGTTGTGACTGAAGCAATTACAAAGATACTTGGATTAAGGAAAAAAAGTATCAAAAATAGCACAAAAATCCTTTGTTCAGGTTATGAGGTCATGTTTCTAATTATGAAAACTTTTTTACTTTTTTTTATGTTCTTCTCTTAAGATAGTGCTGGCATAAATAAAAATCCACAAGGCTTAGGAATAATTTAGATGCCAAATCTACCAATTACCATCACTTTAACATTGGACATAACAATCAGCACTTCAGAGATTTATTTCTAATAACTAATACTAAATAAGAGCAGCTAATAGTTATTGTGGTCAAATTTATATTAAGTACATGGAATTAATAATTTCAATGGTTGGTACATAACAAACATTCAGAATATATGTTTCCTCTTATTACCTATGTTCAGAGGGCAATAGATCTACTTTATTTGAAAGATGTGTCAGATCATTGGTGTATAAAGTGCAAAACGTGTGTGTGTGTGTGTGTGTGTGTGTATTATTACTACAGCAAACAGAAATGGACTTTGGTGAATAAATCAATAAAAATTTTAATTAAACAATTTTAGGATTTTATAAAGTTAATAAAAATGTAAAAAAAAAAAAGAAACAGGTTTGGAATATAGGTAGTGAAATGTATTATAGCTTGGTATCAGAAACATATCCAAAACCTTACTAGAAATGAATCCTGGGAAGATATCCATATTGGTAGGGGTGATCTTTACACACTATCATTGGCTTTCTGCTTTTGCTCTTATTGAAAACTATAGATTCCAGTATAGCTGAGACCACTTGCCAGTACATTTTTATTTGAAACACTTATTTTCAAATCAAGTCTAGAGAGAATTTGTATTAGTTTGCTCTTGCTGCTCTAACAAATCACCACATGCCTGGTGACTTAAAAAACAGAAGTTTATTCTTCCAAAGTTCTGGAAGCCAGAAGTCTGAAATCAGTATCGCTGGGCCAAAAACAAAGTGTCAGTAGGGCTGTGCTCCCTCCAGAGGCCCTAGAGGAGGTTGTTTCCGCCACTTCTTGACTTGTGGTCGTATCACCTAGTCTCTGCCTTTATCTTCACATTGTTTCTTCCTCTTCTGTCTGTGTCAAATCTCCCTCAACATCTCTCTTAAAAGACATTTTTGATGGCATTTAGAGCTCACATAAATAATGTAGGATCATTTTTCCATCTCAGGATCTTTAACTTAATCATATCTGCAAAGCATTTGCCACATAGGTAAATGTTTGATAGTTCCAGGGATTAGGACATTAAATTTTGGTGAGAGGGCATTTTAAGACCTCCACAGTGCCTGAATGGGTTAACATATGTTGAAAGACTTATATTCCATATTGTGGACAACTAGGAAATAAAGCACAGTTATTTTTAGCAATTAAAATTTGTCCCCTAGGAAGATAATTTCTATTTACCTAGATATAACAGTGTGACTAAATGCAATTATACAATACTAAAATTTAGACTTAGAAAACAAATTGTGAAATTAAACTTACTTAAGATGAAAAAGCCAAAACTAACACAATCACTATTATATTTAAGGGTTCATTACAAATGGAATATTAGCCACGTGCTTTTTATTCCCTCTAAGCTCAAGACAAAAATTTTCTTATAACAAGCCGTCTATAAAAAACAATATCCTGAGACAACAAAATTACATATAGATTACAGAATTTCTTTTCTAAAATCTTCAAGGAACTCACCTTTTTTCTAGAAAAGAAAAAAAGAACTTTGCTACAACATTTTACTTTTAGAACTAATTGAATATAAAAAAATCTCATAATGTATATCCTTGTACCAAATATAAAAACAAATAATATATTACAATAAATGCTGAGAATATTTATATGATTTAAAAGTCACAATAGAACACATTAAAAATGAATAAAATGGCATCCTGAGCCATATTTTTATGACTCACTAAACCAAAACCTATGTATCTCAAAAATAGTACCACGTAATTCTTTGACAAACATATTGAAGGGAAAAAGAAATCGGAGTACACTACATCTCCGGATAAAGAAAGAAGATAAATACTTTTGATGTCAAGTGTCATTTTTATGAACCTCTTTTAGGACATTTCATTTTTTATGACTTCAACATGAATTTTCCTCTTGCTTAAATAAAAATATATATGTGTTTGTGTGTGTTTTCATGCACGTGTGTGTGTACACATATATATTTGGGAAGTTCCATCTAACAACTTTAATGATTGCAGAGCCTGTTGAAACTTCATATATATATATGTATGTATGTGTAAATGTATCCATGCATAGGTATGTATGTATGTATATGTGTGTATGCACATGTATATATATATGCACACACGCACGCACAAAACACACAAAAAAACTAGAAACTTATGAACAATAGACTAATTATTGTAAAGTTCTTAAATAGCGCATAAATTAGTAACAACTTTAAAAGCCTAGTAAGAAATATAGGAGACTCTTTAACAATTATAATCATATCTGTACCAGATCTGGCTTTTTCTGGCTTGAAAGAGACAATCATTTGCATATCTTCTGAACTCCACATTTGGTAGACATTGTGTGAATAGCTTGAAACTGGCCATGGCAGTAATAATAACATCATGTAATTCAGCAAATACTACATATTTTTTCTGAGACAGCCATATATTAAATTTTTACTGGAAAATTACTGATTATATTATTGTAGCTAATTATCTACTTAATTTCAAGAGCACATCTTGAAAATATTAGATGACTAACATAAAAGGTCAGAAGTTCATGAGAATAAAAATTTCAAACGTGATTACCAAATAATTTATTCTCATGTAAATAAATTTTCAGTTTACAAATTGCCTATGTAAAAAGAACAAATCCAAATTATTTATTTATATTCATTGTAAAATTGAACAAAACAAGAAGTACCTGTTTCAAGAATTGGACAACTGACAGTGGAGCACTCAGTCTTGAGAGAAGGGAAAAGATGGTGCAAATATTAAATTTTAAGTTGCTTTTTTCTGGGGAGATTTTCTAATCCTTAAAACAGAAAAATACATGATTTTAAACAGAAAGTAGCAATTTCACTGAGTGAAAGAAACAGAAATGAGTGACACAGGCCCATGATGCATTAGGGTCTAGGAGTCTAGGAAACAGCCAGAGGATCAACCGAGAAGAAGCTCAGGCGATCAAGATAGGCATCGCCTTGAGCATTTGCCCATCCATGGAGCTGTGAAATGAATGGAAATTATTCATATTATGCCATTAGACTTCTGATTATGTGTATTGGATAAAACACATTAAACACCTTTTGCATTCAACTGAGACCACAAAAGCTGAAACATTTTACCCTTTGTTTACCCCTTCCCCCCAGCTCCTGCCTTGGCAGTCAAAATTAACACAGAGGTAGCAAGAGAAATGTAGTAATTTAAACACTGCATTTGCAACAACTAGAAATCACAATTTAAATTGTTCAACATAATCCTTGTATTTACAGTCAACATAATATGGAAAATTGATTTAGGAATGATGGAAGAACTTTCTGGTTGCTATTAAAAATCAGTAAACGTTTACAGATACCAAGAAGACCTCCCCTTGCTCTCTTACATAATGTTACAAATCTACACTCTCCAGTCCCCAATTTTTGTTTTACATAGTAACCCTCATTTCCAGTTGTCATATTTTCCATTTCATTTTTCTTCACCGAAATTATTTTAAAACAAACACACACATACACACACATATAAATATATATTTACATCATTAGTTTTATTGACTAAAATTTTAAGTACTTATTGACTTCAATTGTTTTTTGACAAGTTTCCAGTAGATGTAGCCCAATGAAAGTAAAACAAAACATGGCAAAAAAAATCTCATAATGTTTCATCAGATTGCTCAACTTCCTAATGTTTCTGATTAAGTATTCTCAATATTGAAGACATTTGCACTGTTTTCAGCAAGAGAACTCACAATGGTGGACTTAGTGCTTCCTCCCTTAAATAAAAAGTCAATATCATTATAAGTAGAATACATGAAGTTTTTTTTTTTGAGTCACCAGATGATTGTAATACACACAGTAGACTTAACAACTATAGTTCTACTGGTTTATATGAGAAGAATTTATGAAGAGCAATGACACCTGGATTATATTTTTGGCCTATTTCTAAAATAGTCTAAAACAAAGCCATCAAGTCTAGAGATAATATCTAACCAGAAGTGATGCAATATTTTATACATGAAGTGATACATTCCCAGGGAGAGTCCTACTATTAATTTTACTAGACCAGAAATCCGAAAACATAAATATGTTTTAATTGCAATTTTAAAACCAAATAATGGTGTTGATAAAGGAAAATGTACTTACTCTTCATGGGCCTCAATTTCTGAGGTCATTAGTTAGTAAAATGTAGAAAAAATAAAAAAAAAATTCAGTTGTGTGGATTTTCTTCAACATTCTGCTTAAAAATTGTTTTAATATAATTATTTTAATATAACCAATTTGTTGATAATGAAGACTCATTTTGACGGTCCTAATATAATTCTCACGTATATTAAAAAGCAGGACTTTCGAGTCACTTGAGATAATGGCAGCTCACTAATCCTAATCTATTCATACATGATATGAAAAATTATATAGAGATAGATTAATGTCAGATATAGATATATATATGCACATACAAATATAAATTAATAGACTATTTTGAACAATTTTATGTCTACAAAAAATCAATCAGATAGTACAGAGAGTTCCCAAAAATCCCACCCATCCCACCTTAGTTCCGCTATTATTAATATCTGGCATCGATTGTTTAAAGTGGAACTAACTCTTTGTGTTGTACATTCTATGGACTTGGTAAGTGTTAAAAATGACATATGTCTCTTATTACAGTATCATAGAAAATAGTTACACTACTCTAAAAATTCCATGTGGTTTAACTATTCATCTCCCCCTTCCCATGAACCGCCAGCAAGCTCTGATCATTTTGTTGTCTCTATAGTTTTGCCTATTTCAGAATGCTATAGTGTAACCATACAACATGTAGCAATTTCAGATTAGCTTCTTTCAATTGATAATATGCATTTAGGTTTCAACTGTCTTTTTGTGTCTTGATAGTTCATTTCTTTTTATCACTGAATAATATTCTATAATATGGATATACCACAGTTTTCTTATTCACCTACTAAAGGACATATTAGTACTTTCATGTTTTGGCAATCATGAATAAAGCTGTAATAAATATTCATGTGTCAGTTTTGTAAGTACATACATTTAGAACTAATTTGGGCAAATTCAATGAGAATGAAGGATGTATCATATAATAAGATTATACTTTCTATTTTTCTCCACTGAAAAGACCTAAGAAAATAACCCTGCAACAGTGAGTAAATCTAGTATCCCAGTCATGTTTCTAAGTACCTCCCATTAAAAGGTACCAGGAGAAATAGCTCATTCTTGTTGTGGTGAATAATGAGTTTGCAACAGTTTGTCCTGTGAAAAAGTAAGAAATCTACCAATGATTACTGGTGCCATGTCAAAAGGAACCAGAAAAATAACGTGATGAAATATTTGATAAACAGCAAAAATAACCTTAATGGATAACGCACAACACATGTATTAAGAGAGATGAACTGTTAAAATAATCATGTAAAAACTCCTTTGAATACCTTTGGAAGATATTAGGAAACCAACTCACTTTGGCTGAATGTTGGTCAAATAAATTAAAACATCCAGGAATTTCCTTTCCTTTTCTTTGGAAACTGTACCACAGTGTAACCAAATAAGAAACAAGAAACATCAGGTGAATGCTTCTTTAAAGAAGTATCCTAACTTATAAATAAAGAATTAATGATAGAATATCAGTATTTTTAAGCCCCTAATGAAATAATGGATCTATGAAATGATCATACGTAGTGGCTGACATCACATAAAGATAACTGGACATCCCATTTTATGGAAGTACTCAACAACACCTATGGTAGTCTCGCTAAAATAAATTCAGTCTTATCTGATCAAGTATCTAAATAGAAAAATTATCATTTTTTAAGGTATAGCAGACCAAGGAAAGTGTAAAATAATAAGGAAATACCACCAGTAAAATTCAGATTGTAAAACCTATAGGAACAATAACCTGCTCTCTCCACTGCTTACATTGCAAGGGTAATTTCTTAAGGCAATTAAGTAGAAGATTAACCAACACATTAAGAGAGACTGAAGAGCAAATTTGTGGATTTTGCTTAGATCTTAATTCAAACAAATGAGAAATGAAAATTAAGAAAATTAGAAAACTAATATTTTGATGATATTACATGATTTTATTAAAGATTTTAACAGACTTAAAAGCAGTATGTTTATGTTTACAAGAAAATATGTTACATGTTATATAAACATATATCACACATGTTATATAAACATATCACATATGTTATATAAACATATATCACATGTTATATAAACATATATCACATGTTATATAAACATATATCACGTGCGTTATATAAACATATCACATGTGTTATATAAACATATATCACATGTGTTATATAAACATATATAACTATATATATATGAGGTATATTAAATCATGGGTCCCCAAACGCCAAGACTGCAGAGCAGTACTGGACTATGGCCTGTAAGGAACCAGGACTCACAGAAGTTGTTGAGTGGTGGGCGAGGGAGCATTACCACCTGAGCTCTGCCCCCTGTCAGCTCAGCAGCTTGGCATTAGATTTTCATAGGAGTGTGGACTCTATCCTGAATTGTGCATGCGAGGGATATAAGTTGTATGCTTTTTATGAGAATCTAACTAACGCCTGATGATCTGAGGTGGAACAGTTTCTTCCTGAAACCATCCTCACCCCACCCCCATCTGTGGAAAACTTGTCTTCCAGAAAACTCATCCCTGGTGCCAAAAGGTTGGGGGATACTGTATTAAATTATTATGAAGAAAATAGTAGGATGCCTGGGATATCCTTCCATAATTCAGTAGAAGAACTGTAAAGGGATGAAGATAAAGTATGATTGTCTATGATATTATCATTGAACAAGCTAGTTGTAAGCATACGTTTCATTACATTATCTTTGTATTACTTATATTTAATCTTTTCATAATAAAGTTACAAATGAGTTATGTGCAATAATGCCCTTAACCTGACTAAGTAGAGATCATATCATATTAAGTAATTAAAAATTTAAGTTCCATTCATATAAAATAATTAAGAAAAAATTATCTAAGTATGTTAAAATGAATCAATTTTATTTATATTGCTTTGAAATTGTTTTAGAATTTATTTCCCAAAAGATTATGCCAAGCTTGTCCATCCCATGGTCCATCCGCATCTCCATGCAGTCCATCCCAACCGCATGCAGACCAGGACGGTTTTGAATGGGTCCCAATACAAATTTTTAAATTTTCTTAAAACATAATGAGATTTTTTTGAGAGTTTTTAAAAGCTCATCAGCTATTGTTAGTGTTAGTGTATTTCATGTGTGGTCCAAGACAATTTTTTTTCTTTCTTTTTGTTTGAGACGGAGTTTCACTCTTGTTGCCCAGGCTGGAGTGCAACGCCGTGATCTCAGCTCAGTGCAACCTCCACCTCCCGGGTTCAAGTGATTCTCCTGCCTCAGCCTCCCTAGTCGCTGGGATTACAGGCATGTGCAACCACGCCCGGCTAATTTTGTATTTTTAGTGCAGACAGGGTTTCTCCATGTTGGTCAGGCTGGTCTCCATCTCCCGACCTCACATGATCCACCCGCCTCGGCCTCCCAAAGGGCTGGGATTACAGGTGTGAGCCACCGCAACTGGCCAACAATTCTTTTTCTAATGAGGCCCCGGGAAGCCAAAGATTGGACACACTGGTTTAATCTACCTTTTATTTTAATAATTCTTAAAGATTCAGGTAGTTTTTAAATATCTCTTATCTCAGATTATAGAGACTATATTATATTACATGGACATTCTGTTTTAGGCAGCATATTATGGTCTTCTACAGAGCTTAACTTAAAGTGTACGAGTAGGTGAGGAGTCTAGATGACATCAAGAATTACTGTTGCTCACCTGTAGTAAGAAAGACATTTTATGTTTTCTCAAAAATCTCTGAAATTTTAGGAAAATGTATTATATGGATATGATTTAAAACATGTCCTTTCTCCCCAAAGAATAAATTCTAGAAGTTATAAGCAAGGCTAAATAAACTGTAATTAATGAGAAAAATAATTTAATACCACTTTCTTAATTTTTTATCTGTAATTTATGTCCCATATGGAATATTTTTTATTATTTTTATTTCAATTGTTTAGTGCATGTCTTTACCCTCAATTAAGTTAATATTTTCATTAAGAATCAATAAAGTTTTAGTATTATTTAGATTCTGAATCCTTTAAAAGTGTATAATCTCAGTAGTGTTTTTCACAATAAAATTTCTTTCACTGGATAAGATTCCCAGTGTGCAATTATTAAGTAAGAATAGCCTCATTCACTGAACTCTGATGTAGAAAATACAGATCCCAATGTAACTGAAGACAAATAAATTTACTTTGCATTAGAGATTTGACTTTAAAGACAAAGTGGGCACATTTAATACAAAATTAATTTACTCTTCTAACTATAGTTTAGAAATATGACTATAAGAAGACTTTAATTCTACATGAATAGAATAATGATATAAAGAAAATGTAAAAATGACAAAATGATACATAAATGGGGTTTCAATTTAAACCTAGCTTTCAAGTCTTTAAGGTGAAATTCCTCTAAAGGAAGAATTGAAGAGCATTTGAAATGTATATAATTCCCTTCTTAGAAATCCAGTCCAATTCTCACACATTTGAAAAGAAGGGGAAGTATTTAGATGATAATCATATTATGGCTTAACATTTTTGTCTCTTTATTTTAAAGAGATTTTATTCTCACTTAAAAAAATAAACATATATAACTACATTTATTGATTCTCCATTAGATTCCTATTCTATCTTACTAGTAACACTGATTCCAGAAGATAAATATACAGATGAGGATATACAGTTATTTTGTGCTTAGAAACACATGTGAAATTGTAAAAACCTCACTGATAATACACATTACTTCATGTGCTGTATTTGCAACTTGAATTACAAAGCTTTCATTAATTATGAGATCATTTTAAAATTAATTTTTCATTCACAGAAGTTTTTGAAAGTATTGGTTTGCACTGTATTGCATTTTAGATTTGTGCTATTAATTGTATTCTTAATTTTAAATTAAGTTTGCCATGAGTTTTAAAGGTTTTTCAGTCATTTTGTAGATAGTATGCTTTTTCTTAAATTAAGCATTGTAATTTTGAGTGTCAGCAGTTAGCTTTTTTGTTCTTTATGTATAATTAGAGTGATTACATGTCCTGATTTTTTTCTGGGAAAATTCCATTTTACATATGTGGGTTTTGAATTTTTTTTTATATTTGGTCCCAGATTTTTCATATTTTCTCAGTTATTATAAGTTTTAGTTGCATTAATGGAGCTAGAATGGGCTTATTAGACTTCCATTTTGTACTTTTACTTCTGTCAAAAGGCCTCATCACATGCAAAGCCAAGCCATCAAGTATAGAGGTTGGAGAGAAAATATGTGAGTTTATAGGTTCAGTATATGTTGAATGTTTGTGGAAAATAAGAGGCTAGATAGTCCTGTATTAGATTGCTTAGAGTTTTCTGAAAACTCTTTTTGTCTTTTTTTTTTTTTTTTAATTTCAATAGCCTTAGGGGTACAAGTGGTTTTTGGTTACATGGATGAATTCTGCAGCGATGAAGTACAGAATTTTAGTGTACTCCTCACCTAAGCAGTGTACATTGTACCTAATATGTAGTTTTTTATCTCTCATCCTTCTCCCAGGCTCTCCGCTTCCGAACCTCCAATATCCATTGTATCACTCTGTATATCTTTGCATGCCCATAGCTTACCTCCAACTTAAAATTGACAACATGTGGTATTTGGTTTTTCTTTCCCGAGTTACTTTACTTAGAATAATAGCCTCCAGTTCTATACAAGCAGCTTGCCAAATATATTATTTCATTCTTTTTATGGCTGAGTAGGATTCTGTGTGTGTGTGTATGTGTGTATATGTGTGTGTCTACATGTAATGTTGACTAACTAGTTTCTCCATTCTTCCCACACACATATACTTCCCATACACATACACTACATTTTCTTTATCCACTCATCAGTTGTTGCATACTTAGGTTGATTCCGTATCTTTGCAATTGTGAATTGGGCTGTGATAAAGATAGGCATGCAGGTGTATTTTTGATGTAATGACTTCTTTTCATTTGGGTAGAAACCCCATTGTGGGATTGCTTGACCAAATGGTAGATATACTTAGTTTCTTAGAAATCTCCATACTGTTTTCCATAGAGGTTGTGCTAATTTACATTCCCACTAGCAGTTTATAAGTGTTCTCTCTTCACTACGTCTGCAGCAACGTATTTTGTTTTTTGACTTCTTACTAATGGCCATCTTTGCAGAGGTAAGCTCGTGTCTCATTGTGGTTTTAACGTGCATTTCCCTGATGATTCGTTATGTTGAACATTTCTTGATATTTGTTGGCCATTTGTGTATCTTCTTTTGAGAGCTGTCTATTCATGTCATTTGCCCACTTTTTCATGAGAGTATTTGATTCTTCTCCTTGGTGATTTGTTTCCCTTGTAGATTCTGGATATTAGTCCTTTCTCAGATGCATAGTTTGCAAATATTTTCTCACATTCTTTAGGTTATCCATTTACTCTGATGAATATTTATTTTGCTGTGCAGAAGCTTGTTAGTTTAATTAGGTCCTATTTATTTATTTTTGGTTCTGTCGAATTTGCTGTTGGGGCTTAGTCATAAATTCTTTGCCTAGGCTAATGTCCATAAGAGTTTTTCTTAGGTTCGCGTCCATTAGGTTGGTGCAAAAGTAATTGCGGTTTTTGACATTGAAAGTATTACTTACCATTGAAAGTACTACTTGCCATTGAAAGTATTGCATTACTTTCTATTAAAACCAATTCTAGTAAAACCAATTTTTGGTCAATAAATGTGTTTCAAAAATAAAAGAAAAAATATTGTCCCAAGTTAATCTAACTTATAACAAACACATTGCATTACTTTCAATGGCAAAATCACAATTACTTTTGTACCAGTCTCATAGAATTTTTATGGTTTCGGGTCTTAGATTTAAGTCTTAAATACATTTTGGATTAATTTTTGTATAGGATGAGAGATAGGGATCAAACTAGGCAAAAAGAGAACATATCTCAAAATATTAAAAGCTATACATGACTAATCCAAAGCCTACATCATACTGAATGGAAAAAACTTGAAAGCATTCCCCTTAAGAACTAAATATTCTTGATATAGTGATGGCCTAATTTCTTCCATGAAATAAATCTACAGCAATTTATTTCATTATTTTATGAATTGTTTTCTCTAAAGTTTAAAATTAAACATTTCAGCAGCCATAAACTAAAACAAAGCACGCACGCACACACACACACACACACACATACACACACCCTAAATTGCAGGCCAAATTAAAATGTAAGTATTGAGTTTCTGTTTTTTCAAATAAGAATTAATACCGTGTAACTTACAGAAAATATTCATTTGATATCCAATCCAAGGGCATAGTTATCTCAGTGACTGTATAGAGACCAAAAGAAATAAAACTGGGGAACTGGAAAACATAAAAGTAAATTTTCTTTTAAATCAAATGGCTGATCTAGTACAATCTAAATTTTAAAAAGTAATACGAAGCCCAGTTACTTATGCTTGTTATTATAATATGAATACAGAGTTTGAGGGAACACACCATCATGATATGAACAATATTTTTACTCAATTAAAAAAATCTATGCTTGAACTTGGTTGTGGTACATATTTACTTTAAAACACATCTAAACTATGATATCTAGCAATCAAATGGAAATTCTTATTTCTAAAGTTTGCAACTATTTTTACCTATAGATACTTTAAAATATTAGAATCACAATATATTTGTAATAAAGCTAATGTGAAATATACATTTACTTATATAATATTTTGGCAAAATAGTATATGTTCTCTCTCTTGCCTGATACCAATTGAATTAAAAAATGTTAGAATGTTTGAAGAAATTTTGTGAAACCAATCTTAGTATTCTACTAAGTTTTAAAAGAATTTTGTAAAGGAGCACTCTAAATGTTTATTGCATTAAATAAAATCAGTTGGAAACTGTAAATCAGAGTGTCAAAACTAAATTTGTGTGACACTAAAGTAAGTGTCAAAACTAAATTTTTTGATGTTTTTATGTTACAAACTATAATTTTGAAAACAAAACTTGCAAAAAAGTTGAAATTCCATTGTTCTCCTTCAAATGCAAGGGAGAAAATTAAAAATAAAACAAAAAATACAAAGATGAGCACTTCAAGTTGTTTTCCAGATTGCATTTTAATTCTATAATTGTTCTTAGAAATATCTTGAATTATAGGAACAATCTATTGATGGAACATCAACTTTTAGTTAGGCCAGTTCATATTCTATAATGGGATGGAAAGTAGTTTAGAAGACCTAAGATGTTCCATCATCTCAATTCAAAAAAAATCAAATTGTTCTATTAAATTTATCCTGTAAAATGTTTATCAAAGACAAATATCTACAGTGGGGGCCTAAAGTCAGTATTAAAACTATTTGTACTGAAGTATTTACAAATATTTCAATATAAATGTTATTAGAATCAACAATATTTTTGACTTAGATGAATTTGCCCTAAGTGCTTGGTTTGTGTAAACATGTTTTATAAAATAAAAACAAAATTGTCTAGTGATTAAAATGTTAACCTTAATAAATCAAACAATAAGTTAATATTAATAAGTTAATCTTGATAGAAAGATATAGTAATCTTTAAAAATTTAATGACGATTTTTGGTAAGTTTTATTAAAAAATTCAAAAATATTAAACATATACATTTCTTAGAAAAATACCAGTGATTATTAATGATAGTTAAGAATCTGATCAAATATGAATAGTACCAAAAACAATGACTTATCTCAATGTTATTTTTAAATGTTTAGACAATCAAAATAAAATGTGATATGCTTTTTGGGTTTGGTTTTGTTTTGCTTTGTTTTGGTTTTCAGTGATTGGGTATGGATGATTTTACTTTTAGAATAATTATTTTTTAAAAAATAGTTTTTAAAAAGAAATAATCTAACAATCTATTAAAACCAATTTTTAGTCAAGAAATATATTTCAAAAAATAAAATAAAACTTAGTGTCCCGGGTTAACCTAACTTTTAACAAAAGCTTGAATAAAATACTTTCTTAGTAAGTAATGTTGACTAAGTAATTTCTCCATTCCTCCCTCTAAAATTCCAGTTTTAGTCATTAAATTTTCTGACACCTCTGAATTTTATTTGTATTTCTGCTTAAGATTAAAAAATTTGAATTCTGTAGTTAATTGCTGCTATATGATTAGTGTTGGCCATTTGCTTGCTTTGCCTGCCATTTGAATAATTTGCATATAAGTGAGGAAACATCAAGTTAGAAGTCAAAACATGCAGTTACAATTTTTTTCATCCATTAACTCTGTCTTAAATGTCAAAATTCATTATATCAAATATTTTACATGTAGCTAGGTGTCCAGTTTCATTAAATAAATAAATTTAAATTAAAACAAATAAAGTCTCAGACCAACAGAGGTACTAAATGTCACACGTTTCTCTTTTGTTATGAGGTTATTACTAGGTCTAAAAAACCCAAATTTTCTTTCTAAAGCAGACTTGACTTGCACTTATTTTAACTCCAGTGAAAATGCTTTTCTTTAAATGCAATGGTTCTTCATTTTACTTTATGGAGACCTATTTCTGGTTCCTAAAAGTTTCTATGGTTATGTTTGTTCATTAATGCTTTTAATGTTCCTTGCTATATTGCTGCTTCGATTTTTACTATCTTGTTCACACCAGGTTCTCACAGCTTGGAGTTTACCTTGAGTCATAAAAATTTGAGATTGTGACCTAAACTCTAATGATGTAGAACACTGCATGGCTCTACAGGGCACAGTGGGATTAATGAGGGTTTGTGTACTTTTAATCAAGTGCTCTAATGAACATACACTGAATTTTGTGGAATGGCTACAAGATAAATAGGTCTGTTAGGAGTGGAAAAGATGACATGCTGAATCACATAAATAACATGATCACGGGAGAGAACGTGCTCCACATCTCTACTTAAATAGGAGAATCCTGCTGAGTATTCTCAATGTGCTCCCAGCTAATGACCATAAATAAGTACATATTCTATGCAAAATAATTAACTTTTATATCTTTAAGATAGAGTGTGACAGCAGAGACCTGAAACTTCATAAATACCAAAGCATAGAGAATAGAATAGGAATAGCTCTTCCAAGGTTAAATATACAATTTTGTAACTAAAATAAAATAATAATAATAATAATAGAAATGAGATTTGAAATCAAGTTTTTCCCAATTTATCTTTTGACCCGGATCATGCCTGCTTGCTTCAGATAACTGAGGCATTTGAAGCAGAGTAGCTTTAATCCAGGAAAGCTGAAAGAGATGGAACCTGCAGATTGTTAATGGTTCCTTGAGCACTGCATAGAGAGGAATTTTAGACTAATCTGCATTCAGCAGGCATGAACACTGTGGTGGAAAAGAAATAGACACAAAGTGCTGTGAAGGAATGATTTTTGCTGTCATGATTCCCATGCATTTTGCACCCAGAAACCTCAGTTTTTGTTAAACAGATCAATTTTAGTGTGTCTATGTAAACATCTCAAAGCCAAACTTACTTTTCTTCAATTACTTAAATTGTAATCATTTCATGTAAAGACATATACATCTATGACTTTATAAGAAATGCATAAATATACTTCTACTTATATAATTTTACATGTTGTTTTTAATTTTTAAATGATTTCCTTATTTCTTATTTCCCATCCGCATGTTCCTTCCACCCTCGACCCTTCAGGAACATTAGAACTCAATACCTCAACACCTACCTAACAATATAGTAATATATCTTTTGGGACTTGATTAGTATGTTCTGATAACCCTGTAGAGACATACACATTTCTAAATAAGTATACAAGCATAAGTATATATGAGAAAAATTTGTATTATGGTTTATTTCCAAAAATTACATATTATGCATAATTTGAGGCATCTTTTTTCTCATATAACACCATACAATGAAAATCCCTACATATTATATAACAGAGCACTTAGGTATATTTTCAAATGTCTACTAAATTCTACCTACTTTCTATGTACCATAGACTTTAGCCGTTTTTATATTAAAACGTCTGTACTTTCTTTCCATTCTTGCCAGTTATAAGACTTTTGCACATTAGAAATTATATATTTCAGTACCATCTGCCAAAACTCAATATTTTATTACTTTTAAATATTATGTTTAGTAATGGAAGTTTTTTAGAGTTCATATACATTTAAGGAAAACATTGCAGTTATTTTACATCAATATATTGCATAGTGGTGAAGTCTGAGCTTTTAGTGTAACCACCATCTGAATAATGTGTGTTGTGCATTAAATAATTGTATCCATTAAGTCATTTCCCATCCCTAACCCTTCCAAGTCTCCAGTGTCTATGATTCCACATTCTGTGTACATGTGTATAGATTATTTAGCTTCCACTTATGAGTGAGAACATGTAGCATTTAACTTTCTGCTTCTGGATTGTTACCTGTTCATGCAAATGTTGTTTAGAGTTCTGGAGTTTAAAATCTTAATTAGGTAAGTGTCTGCTTATAGAATTTAAATGTACTTTCGTTGACTTTTTTCAAAAGATATATATCAATGTTTTTTAAAGTTTAATTCTGTGTTTTATTTTTGAAACTCTGTGAGATGGCCGGCATGGTGGCTCACACCTGTAACCCCAGCACTTTGGGAGGCAGAGGTGGGTGGATCGCCGGAGGTCAGGAATTCAAGACAAGCCTGGCCAACATGGTGAACCTTCATCTCTAGTAAAAATACAAAAATTATCCGGCTGTGGTGGCACACGCCTGTAATCCCAGCTACTCAAGAGGCTGAGGATAGAGAATGGCTGAGGCTGGAGAATCGCTTGAACCCGGAGGTGAAGGTTGCATTGAGTCAAGATCGCGCTGCTTACTGCACTACTTACTGCAGCCTGGGTGACAGAGCAAGACTTTGTCTCAAAAAAATAAAATAAAATAAAATACTCTGAGATTAGTATCTTGAAAAAAAAAAAAAATCTTCGGCCAGGTGCGGTGGCTCACGCCTGTAATCCCAGCACTTTGGTAGGCCAAGGCGGGTGGATCACCTGAGGTCGGGAGTTCAAGACCAGCCTGACCAACATGGAAAAACCCCGTCTCTACTAAAAATACAAAATTAGCTGGGCGTGGTCGTGCATGCCTGTAATTCCAGCTACTCAAGAGGCTGAGGCAGGAGAAATGCTTGAACCAGGGAGGCGGAGGTTGCTGTGGGCCGAGATCATGCCATTGCATTCCAGCCTGGGAAACAAGAGTGAAACTCTATCTCAAAGAAAAACAAACAAACAAACAAAAAACAAACAAACAAAAAAACTCAGATAGTTATGCCAGAACCATTAAATAAATATATTTTATGTGGATTTGTCATATTTAAGATATTTTCTCTTATATAAGGAAATCTACTGGATTACTAATCTTTTGTCTACATCTACTAGTATTACACTGATGTAATTACAGTGAGTCTATAACGTGTGACTCTGATGAAATAAATATTCTCTCATATTTGAAATACTTTAGTATTCTTTTCTTAACTACTCTCAGAAATTTTTCTTTTTCTTTTTTCAGAGTCTTGCTCGGTCACCCAGGCTGGAGTGCAGTGGTGGGATCTTGGCTCACTGCAACCTCTGCCTCCTGGGTTCAAGCAATTCTCCTGCCTCAGTCTCCCGAGTAGCTGGGACTACAGGCGCCCGCCACCATGCCCGGCTGAGTTTTTGTATTTTCAGTAGAGACGGGGTTTCACCGTGTTAGGATTGTCTGGATCTCCTGACCTCATGATCCACCTGCCTTGGCCTCCCCAAGTGCTGGGATTAGAGGCATGAGCCACTGTGCCCAGCCCAGAAATTTGTTCTTTTAGATGAAATTTGAGATTACTTTATAAAATCCAAAAAATAAAATAACTAATAATCTTGAGGGATTAAAATTATATTTTTGAATAATAGATATGTTTCCTGAAACTCATATTTTATAATATTGTCTTTCCAACCAAAGACAAAACATTTAGGAGAGTGATCAAATAGTCACACACATTGGACAATATTGAATCCAGTATACATTTGGTATCATAACCAGGAAAGTTTTCACATAAAAAGTACATAAAAATAAAGCACATACATGAACACAAATGCAAATAATCTAAAGGTGTAGCCAATAAATCTAAAAGAAATATTTGAATCCAGCATAAATATGTTATTACTTTTTTTCTGGTTTTGATATTATATTTGTACTGGATTCAGGTATTGTAAAGTCCTCTGTACATCTATTTGATCACTTTCTTAAATGCATTGTACAATTATTTTTAGCCTAACTTTTGATTATTATTATGTTTAGGTCAGTTTAGTCCAAGACATACAGTGAAGATAATATACAGTGACATCTCCAACTGTATATTAAAAATTTATTTCATAAAGATATCCGTAAATATTTAATTGATTTGCTGTAGGTGTCTATTTTACATACCGTTTTGTGATTATGGTTTATTATAATTAAATTTTCATTATACATACATTTTGTCTTTTTCATCACACATGTATCTCTTTTATTATTGCTATCGATTTAAATTTCCATATGTTTGACATTAATATTAATATTGCCTTTTTTGTTTTTATTTTCCTAGTATGTTTTATCCTATGTCCCTCAAATTTAATATATAAAATTGATATTTTAGTATGCCTTTTAGAAAGCATATAATACTGTGTTTAATCTTTGGAGTAGACAAATGAAGCTGAGTTAATAAACAACTCTAGACTCTCAGCAGCTTTGAACAGTAAAGGTTAATTTTTCACTCATATTTTATGTCTAGTTCTTTTTGGGGCTGGGATATGTACCCTCTTAACCTCATGGAAAGAAGTGGAAGTGATTACAGCAATTGTGTTTGACGGTGATATTAATTTAAAATATTCTGCGTTTTCTCTCCTCTGTATATGTGAGTTAAATTTGTATGCTATAATCTTTATAATGAGAAAACACTATTGATACAAAACCTAGCATATACATGAATGATTTAAGCATTATTGATAAAGCTTTTGTAAGTAAAACCTTTTGTTTTCATATTTGCCGTGAAGCACTACAAGCTATAGATCCCTGTAAGAAAGTGAACTATATATTTTCATATCTGTGCATTTATATGTTGGCCATATCTATATTGAGATAAGCTCCAGCTAAGGCAAATATCAGAGCCAATTTAAACTTGTTTGGATAAAGACCCTATATGATTTTCAAATTTGGGATTATAGTTGATAATAGTGTTTGTGAGAACTCTGAATGTAAATACTATTATAAATTATGTATAATGGAAACACAGTGGCTTCTGATATAGATCTGTATTTCTCACTTAAAAGACACTGAATAGTTTTTACCTAGAGGCCAGAATAATAATACCTTTTATGGACAAGTCTAGAGCTTCCTCTATTTTGGGAACTACTTATTTTGTACCTCTTTGCCTGATCCTTTTACTTAATTACTTGAAGTCATTGATATTTTCTTATGAACTCATGCAGAATTTTCATGTTCAATGTTTTCATACATTGACTCCTAAATAAAAATTTGCTCCTCTCCAGCATACACCCTGAAATTCTTGCTTCCCATGTTACTGGTTAATGACCACAGCCACATGAGACAGGAGCCTTCTGGCTCTCTCTGGCCTGACTGTTCTGTGTCTGTGTTCTGTATGGTGAATAATGAGAAAAGTATTAAACAACTCAATAGGTGGGAAGTCACCTCTTGCCTACAGTCATATTTGAAAAAAGGATATCCTATTGTATAGTATTATTAAACATCCTCCAAACAGACATACTCCTGAGGCATTTCTGTTTAAGATTTCATGTTCTGTATATGATAGAAATTTGCTGAAAACAATAGTCAAGTAAAATATTTCCATGAACATTTTTTCCATTTACATATATAAATTAAAAAGAAATCGTAATTTGTTTATTCTATTTACAACAATCAATTTCAACTATTTTGATACTTTTCTAAGCATGTAGAAATAATTTAATACCCAATATTCAATATCATTTTATCAATAATTCAAATAATGATATAAATTTGCTTTTCCTCCAGCAATTACAAAAGAAGCAAATTTGTTTCACTGAATTTAATACATTTTTGTTGAATAGTAATCGTCTGAAACATTAGAGTATACATAAAAGCTTATCTTTATAGACCCTGTCACACATTATTTTAAAAAACAGGACTTTGTAATATACAAAATAATATTTTATAGAATGTTATTGAAAGCATTTTTCTAATTTTATTATATCATTTGTCAAAAATAACATGTTAAAAATGCCAGAAATTCAGCTACATTTTTTTTTTTTTTGAGACGGAGTTTTGCTCTTGTCACCCAAGCTGGAGTGCGATGACACAATCTCGGCTCACTGCAACCTCTTCCTCCCAGGTTCAAGCAATTCTCCTGTCTCAGCCTCCCAAGTAGCTGGGGTTGCAGGCATGCACCACCATGCCTGGCTAATTTTTGTATTTTTAGTGGAGACAGCATTTCACCATGTTGGCCAGGCTGGTCTTGAACTCTTGACCTCAGGTGATCCACCCACCTGGGCCTCCCAAAGTACTGGGATTACAGGAGTGAGCCACCGTGCCTGGCCCAAGTATTTCATGTTTGGAAAATTGGAGACCCCGTTTCTACTCCTCTATTTCTGCTACATGTTACAAGAGGAATGGAACTTGCACAATCTTCTATCCACAGACTTCCATAACATTTGGTTTGCTCTGAGCTACAAACAGAACTACTCTCAGGGCACTGAATGTAAGGAAGAGAAGGAAATAGCACTCTCCCTGTGGATTTTTTTTTTTTTTGGCAGTATCTCTCCAGCAGCAGCATATAACAACTGCTTCGAAGAGATTGTTGCCAGTTCTAACACTGCAAGCTCAGAATCTCTTCTCAGTGACAAGCCTCAGTGTGGCCCTGCTGGTCTTAACCTCATACATGTTATGTTTCTTCTGTGGTGGCAGTATAGTCACAGGAAATCCATTCTTAGGAGCTCCAGTCATGATCATGTGGTTCTTTTCACCTTGGTATTCATAGCAACTCAACGTGGTATTCCTCTAGAAGGGCAGGAAAAAGTGAGCTGCTGGGATTTGGTAATAACATTTTTCTTCCCCTAGAACCAAGGAGATTCAATGTTTCCTGCGATTACTAATCTTTGGGTTACTCAATTTTTCTTTTTCCCACTCCAGTTATCTCAATACTTTTTTACTGCTTCCCTGTGCTAAATGTCCTCTTTCTAAAATATCTACGATCATTTCTATTCATCGACTGGATGTTTATTACATGATACAATAGGTAATGCAATGAAAGGACTCAAATATAATAGGAGATTTCTTCTGAAATGCGTTGGACAAAATAAAACCATGATCATAGAAAGGTGAGTTTGGTCAGTTGCTATGCCTTTGATTTTTATATGTCCGTTGATAATCTATTCATATTGCATAGATTTGTTTAAAACACCTATCTTGAGGAGCCCAGATATTTTCAAGAAGACAAAAATTATATAGGAGATTTCAAATTTGATTTTGTTTCATTAGCAAAAAGTTATCTAGTGAATAATTATGAACGGAGATCTAAATTCATGCTTAATATTAAAAATTTATCAAATTGTATGTGTATAAAAGTATAGTTACATCAATGTTGCGCTTTAAATACTTTAAAATTTTATTTTAATAACAAAAATAGCACATACTATCTTTAAGTTTAATATAAAAAAAATTGAAAGGGAAAAAAATTCCGAAATGGAGCCACCTCTTGTGTTAAGCTTGTATTTCAGCAAGGACTGCTAAGCACTTTAAGGCAAACTGGTTGTTTATTAAAGCTTAAAATGTCAGACTTAAGAAGTAAATAAAACATGAGAGTTCCAAAATAAGTTTAGATCACTGATCTATTGAACAAAGAGACAAAATAGTTAGTTGTACAAATATTCACCCTCTTTTTACCGTAGGCCTAATTTGAGTAAAAGATGCTATGTTGTTTAGGTTTACTTGTGTAGAATGTTAAATCAATGAGCTCATTCAGACTATTACTTGCTACTTCAACTCAGTATTTCATGATGGCAAGAGCAGTTCAGAGTGTTGGGGTTTCATTGAAGAGTCTCATTATAAGAACTGTTTTTGTTTATAATGGAGGTTTTTGATGTTACTTTCCTTATTAGCTGACAGTAAAAAAGCATGGTAGATTTAAACATATGAATTACTGTAAACCATGTCAAATTACTTCAAAGGCCATCATATTCTATAAACACAGACCTAAGTTGTTTATTATATCTTAATAAATACTTAGGAAATCCTTTAAATTCTATATATAGTTACTGTTCCAAACATTCAGAATCACTCTGTTCAAGAGTATAATGGTAAAAATTAGATTGGTTATTTTTATCTTCTGTGGGAATAATTTTGTGAGAGGTTTGGGTCAATTGTTTTGTGATCTAAATAAAGGGTTTTAATCCTTGTATAAAACACTAAGTTTTTCTCTCTCCACTTGACCCTAACTTCATCACTAGTAGTATGAAAAAATAAATAGAAATAAATAAATATCAGAAATGTGTAGTATTATAAATTTAGTATCAACTCCAATTTCATATTTTACTCTGCTCCAAGAACCTATCAATTTATCCATCCATCTCTCCATGAACAAGGAAGAGAGATACTTCAAAATGAAGACACTTCAAGTTTTCTGAAATTATTTATGAGTAATCAAATATTTTTATTATACCAGAGGCTGCTTAAAAAAACAAAAATATCATTTTTTTACTTCTGAATATATTATGGAAATATAACATTACTGCTTTATCAGCAATGTCTTATTTTTGCACACATTGAAACTTTAAAGGCTGAAACTGCTATCTGATTCTTAATGAACTAAGTATCTCTGAGACTTGTTTAAATAAGAATAATTTGAAATAATAAAATACAATCTGAATAATACATTGACATTTAACCATCAAAGTAGGACATTTCTATTACATGGATGATTTTTTGAAAAATTCAACTCATACATTTTGTGGCACACTATTCTTTTCTGCCATGATAATTTCCTTTCCAGATCCTGTAGAAACATTTTTAATTCATAGTATGTTTGGATGTTATGATGCCTGATTGGGTCTTATGAATTAGTACTATAAACGTTACCTATTGTTTAAAGAAAATTAGTTTAAACATAAAACTTACACAATATTATCTTTATTACTGAAATGTTTTTATTACTTATTATATTATACCTTGTATTATAACTATATATAATATAATCTTAAATATAACATGATATATATTATATGTAAATATATATAAAATATAGAATATATGTATGAGCTATAGAGCAAAATTCCATAGGCACCAAGAAATTTTTAGTCATAAACATTGATATAAAATAGAACATTAGGAACATTTAATGATATTCTTAAACAAATCTTCAATCAGGAACATTTTTATCTCTGTTATACTATATTATCCCAAGTATCATCACCTCTTTACTGCTTTCATTCTTGACATCTCACTTTTACTGATAGTCCATTCTCAGCATGATAGGCCAAGAAAACTGTCGATCATATCGATCACTGTTTAGAGCTCACATATGACATATCTTCTGTATGAGGTCTAAGTTGTGTCCCAATTCCTTTATATACTATGCTTTAATCTCAATTAAATATTGTTCAACTTCAGAACATGTTTGATTTCAGAAAATCTAATCTACTGTAGGTTGTATAAATTTAAGGGAAATTATTTCAGAACTTAAGATAACTTATAAAATCATTTGGGATGCTCAAGAAAACAAATTTCTGGGAATGAGTCCCAAATCACACCATAAGTCTCAGATGCAAAAGGCATTTTTCTCATGGCACCACCAGGAAACTTAAGACAGAAAGATAAAAATTAGCTAAAGGAAAATGAGCATCTAGAATGTTCAGGACAATATCAAACAATGTAACATATGTGTAATTGGAGTCCAAAGAAGAGATGAGAAATGTTGTGTGTTAAAAACATTTTTATAAAAGTGAAAGCTAAAAATTTTCTAAATTTAACTAAATTTAAATTTTGAACTATTGAAACAAGTAGCTCACCAAAATCCAAGCAGGGTAAATAGACACATAGTGCTCAAATTATTGAAAATCTCAGATGAGAAAAAAAAAAAACTGAAAGAATTCAAAGTTTAGGGAAGGGACAAGAGGTACATTATGTATAAGAAATGAAGATAATAATTATCATTTCTCATCAAAAATAATGGCTAAAATTAATGAGTAGATATCCACAAGGAACTAAAAAACAAGAAATAATTTCTGTCAATTTAGAATTAAATATCCATCAATATAACTCTCAAAAACAACAGTAAATTTGAAAGACGTTATGACAAATAAAGGCTTGGAGAGTTTGACACTAATAAGCTTGTGCTACAAGGATGAAGGAAAATGGTACCAGATTGAAATTTGGATCTACACATAGGAATAAAGATCAAAACAAGTGTAAGAAAGAGGAAATATAAAAGTTTGTATTTTTAAATTTCATAGTATATTTAAAAGTACCTGTGCAAACAGAAATAACAGTACTGTAAGATAAGGTTGTAACATTTGAGGAGGGAAGGACACGGCAACAATCACAAAGGATGAGAAAGGTAGACAAAATTACACTGCTGTACATTTATTACAGTTGTGAAGTGAAAGCATGCATCATGAATTGTGTAGTGTGAAATGTCTAATGTGAAGGGGAAAGAACAAAGCAGCAAGTCCAAAGTTTAGGTAGAAATCTTGAAATGTGAAGAAGGATAATGTCCGCCCTGATTAGACAGATGAGTTAAGGATTCGTATTGTTAGCATTAGGGCAACAACTAAAAATAAAAAAATAGGTATAGCTACAAGAGTAATGGACAGAAAATTAAACAACAACCAAAAAGCATTCAGCATAGAAGAAGCAAAGAAACAATAGCAACAATTAAAAAGTAAAAACCAAAGGGATTGCCAATGTAATGATAATAAAGTTGTTATTTGTTATTCATATGGAATAAACAATCAAAATATGTATGGGTATAAATACAGAACATCAAAATATCAAAATATCAAAATTCAGGTAAGAATAAGTGACAGAAATAGAAAAATCCAAAATCACAGAGGAGATTTTGTCATCAGTTTCTCAGGAATTGATAGAATAAATAAACAACAAATCAATAAATAGAAGAACCAACAACACAATCAACCAACTTGACCCAATTGACATTTTCAGAGCATTACACTCTACAGAATCCCTGTTCTTTTCAACTGGATTTTACGAGAAATTCTTCTGAAACAAGGAAATCTCATGTATAATGATAAAAATTATTGCCTGGCTAGGAGAAGTTAACTGCAAAAGGACACATACATTTTCTGGGAATATGTAAATATTCCATGCATTAACTTTATGATATGTATATTATAACTGAATAAAATTGAAAAAAGAAGCTGCTACAGGATAAATCAGGAAGTCACACCTTCAGCAGTTGTCTCAAAACCAGACAGTATGAAGTGTAATCTCTATACACAATATGGATGTTTTATTTAGTGTTTCTCCACCCCCTAAATTAATTTTTGCTAAATTTATGGTATAGATGAGTTTAACTCACAAAGATAAGTAAAATCAACAGAATCCTAGGTTCAACTTTACTTAAGATCTCAGTTTTTACCCTCTTAGTTACTGTAGCAAAAAAATGTATTAGAAGAAGTTGAGCACAACTATACAATACCCTTCATAATTGGATGCCTATTCATTGTTCAAATGTTCAGATCCGTCAGATACATCTCACAGACTCTTAATCTAACACTCATGTGCTATTTGGATTTCGGCTTAAATGTCGCTTCCACAGAGAATTGTGATAGCCAATAATATTAATCATGTTTCCCCTGGTGTAGACCTTTACACCTTTACAGAACTCTACTACTCCTTTAAAACAATCATTTCAATCCCAATTTAAAAATAAACATCAGCCTCCCTCACCAATCTATTAACTATATGAAAGTAGTTTTCCCTGTTAATCAATGAAACCATGCTTTACTGCATTTCTTGAAGGGCTCTGCGTAGATTTGTTGAGTGAGTAATTATTGACTACTTATCATGGAAGAATACAAAAATAACATAGTGAGTAAAACATAATTGCATAGTAGTCAACATAAATCAGAAGGTAATGTTTTCTGACTAAGTGTAGATTATAAGTCTCTCTAATTTCAGTAATTAGTCTTTAATAGACTCATACAAAGGGTGTGTTGAGTGGTACAGTTATAAGACTGTAATATAAATAATAAACTATGATCTAATAAAAGGAATGTACACTCTGGATGATTCAATGTAGAGCTGAGAATCATATGGAGTCTACGAAAGATAAAAAATGCGAAACTATAGCAGCAGAAAACAGGTATACTTAAGGGTTGGCTGTGTGTTCGATTACAAAAAGGCAAAAGGGGACATTTTAGCCTACTGGGCATTTTCTATAAGTTGATTTTGCTGGTAATTATATGACTGTATGCATTTGTCAAAACTCATAGAACTGTACGTTAAAGAGGGAAACGTTTACTTTGTGTAAATATCTTAATAAATCTGACTTGGAAAAATAAAACAAAACAAATAAACAAAAATTGGCTTGTTCCCTGTAATTGCAACAGGGTTTGAAATGTGATAATTTTAATTATTAAATTAAATGTTTTAATCCATTATTAACCCATTTTATAAAATATTTTTAACCTCTATAATATAACAAAATATTTTTTGTTATTTAGATCTTAAATTTACTATGAACAGAGGATGTAATTTTGCATTTTTATGCATGCTTCATGGTCAGTCTGTGTTAATGTTCCATTTTTATTATAAAGAGATTAACTTTCTTATTTTTCATATCTATAGACCTTATGTCTATAAAGCCACACTTGTTAATTATGTTATTAAAATTTGCACTACTTTCTTACTTGTTTTAACTGTTAGGCAAATCAATTACTGAGAAGTTTATTGAAGTGAGGAACTAGGATGTGAGAATTTTTCAGCTTCTTTGCAATTCAGCCAAATGCACTTTTATGTGTTTAGAAGATAACTGATCATATGTAGAAACTTTGAACTGTCTATATTTTAAGTGTATGTTTTAAAATAAATAAATGCTGATACTGTGATAGTCTGAAGAATGCTTCCCTTCCCCTAAAAATATACATGTCCTAACTCTAGAAATTGTGAATGTTTCTGAATCTGGAAAAAAAAAAAAAGGGCAAAGGAAGATCTTTGGTAGATGAGAAAAAGTTAAGAATATTGATAAGAGGCTGACCTTGAAGACTGGAGTGATGTAGCCACAAGCCAAGGAATACTGACAGCCACCAGAGGCTGGAAGAGGCAAGAAACTGATTGCTTCTGAGAGCCTCCAAAGGCAATGGGATCTTGCTGGCACCTTGATTTCAGCCAAGTCAAATTCATTTCAAACTTCTGGCTTCCAGAGCTGTGAGTGAATAAATTTCTGTTGTTTTTAAGCCATGAAATTTCTGATAACTTACTAGAGCAGCTACAGGAAACTAATGTAAACAGATAAGTCTCTTACTTCTGTGTTTTTCCCCCCAGCCATATTCGTCTTTTTTTAGCTGATACTAACTGTACTTCAGTTCCTAAAAGCCTATACATTGAAGTTATTTTTCCAAACTTTGAATTTCAGTTTATCTGTGTTCCTATGATTTTTTTTTTTTGTCTTTTGAAGGGCTTTGTAATTTGGTTTTAATCTAATGGCATCCTTTATCATTTAGCTATCTTGATTATTCTGCTAACATTGAACATGGGTATAAATATTATTTGGGCTGATTCTATTGTCTTTATTTTGTGCTATTAGTACTGCATTTTTTAAAAATTTTATTTTGTCTTTGTTTCCCTTGACTTCACATGAATTAAGTAACGTTTTTCTTTTCTCTCTATTTCTTATTTACTTTGCAGGATGTTAAACACTCAGTGATCATGATGAGAATTTAAAAATAAATTATCGAACCCGAAATTTAACATTTACTAACTTTATGTACAATAAGGATCTTAAAGTATTTTATTTTCAGTAATATCGTTTTGATTTAGATGCTTTTTAAATAGATATTATTTTTACTATTAATAATTCAAATTTAAAAATATATATTTATTTTATGTAATCAATTTAATGAAGTTTCATCCTTTCCTTGGTCTTTTTTTCCTAGATGTCAAATCTTACATATTGTATCTTTTTGGATGTCAGATATTCTTTCAGAAGTACATCTTTCAGCATTTCCTTTAATAAGGATACACTGGTATTACTTTCTTTCATATTTATTTGAACAGAAAACAAATGTTCCTTACTCATTAAATGATAAAAAGAAATAAATGCACAAATTTATTTTCTCTCAAGACTCAGTTGACATTATTTTATTATTCTATTTTTCATCATTGTTGGTGACATTTAGTTTAAATGAAATTTTTTTGAAAATAAAAGCTTCTGAGTCCATTCTATGATTTTCTCCTTATCTATGATGTCTTTTGTTCCTGCAAAGAGGTTACTGTGCTTCTTTACTCTTTCCAGTATTCAGAAATTATTTTCTCCTCTAACCACACCAATTCTAGCTTTGTTTGATCTCTATTAGAATTTTGGATCCAGGCTCATATTTCCTTTTGTCTTCTCTATTTCAATAGCTTTATTAAATATTTATATCATTACGTTTCAGTTACACTTTCATCATTCCACTTAGATATTTTAATATTGTGTTCGCCTTATTTTGTTACCTTTTACTATAATCATGGGTTCTTTTTGCTAATTCACTCGACACTTTGGTAAAAGGACTCTAAGTATTTTCCATATGAGCTTAATGATTACTACCAATTGTGATCTTTACAAGTCTGAATACAATTTACACTACCAGATGAATAGTAGTTTGTGTGGGATTCTTGTATTAGTCAATTGTGCTCTGGTTAAATGCATCATACAGAATCTTCCAGCACCTTTTTATGGTTATTATTTGAGAGAGGAAGTTGTAAGAGGGAGGGAATTGCAGACCTGTGTTTAGCCTGTTATCTTCACAGATTATCTTTATTTGTCCCTCAGAAGAGGAACATATTCTTTACTTTTATTACTTTTTGAGGTTCTGTGGAGTTTCATATTATTTATAAGATACATGGTGAGTTTTGGATAGTAATTAGTTCAATTTTGTTAATAACAGTTTATAATTTAGGATTTTTAAATAAGTGTGGGAAGCACAGTGAACAAACATATAAAATATCCAAAAGATGTACCCTTTAGCATTCCTGATGTAATGCAAATTCAAATTCCAAAGTTTAGTGCAGTGTTATGGATGCTCTTCATTTTAATAAGTTAATAGGAACATTTGCATATGCACTGTTGGCACTCTGGAGTTTTTTTCTTGCCTAATTTAGCAACATAAGTGGCAAAATAGCATAATAGAAACTTTTCAAAGAATTTTCAAAAGTGTGTATAGAATGCTTTCTTAAAGAATAAGCCACAAGCAGAAATCTCTTGTGGTGGTAGCTTTCCCCTAGTTGACTGTGAAAGCCAAATCAGCTGGTAACGCATGCAGGAAAACAGGACACTGTTTTGCCACTTAGGTAAGTTTCTAATAGAGATTTGGGTCCTATGTATGAGCAGAGATCACATAAATTTAACTTCAGCTAACATTTATTAGGTGATCATTTTGTCCATATTATTATTTAAATGTGTAATGTAAACATATGCATTTTATCACATAAGTTATATTGATATATAAAACAAATCAATCTATGCAGCCTTAGAGATTGTTCATTTTTAAAATGATACACAATTATCCATATCCAAATATACAAATAAATTTTAGTACATAGCTTCTAAAATGGCCCCCAATAGTCTCTGCCTCCTAAAATTTACATCCTTATGTAATCTCTATGTCTTGAATGTGAGTTGGACCTAATACCTTCCTTCTAATGTCTCTGGCAAAAAAATGATTGATTTGAGATTAGATTACAAAAAACTGTGACTTTCATTTTGTGTCTCTCTCTCTCTCTGTTCTTGTTTTGAGAGAAGCAAGCAGCATTGTTGGGAATAGGCCCACATGGCAAGAAAGCAGGAAGGTAACAGGTAACAGTCCAATGATCGCATTTCGAAGTGGTGCTTTCATACGTCAAGTCTGAAGATGACTCCTGCCCTGGTTAACATCTCCATTACAACCTTGTGAAAGATCTTGAGTTAAAGGTACCTAACTAAATGGTGCTATTTACTGATCCACAGAATCTTCAAGATAACAAATGTGTGTTGTTTTAATTCACAATATTTTGGGGTAATTTGTTATGAAACTATAATGATTAATAATTACCTGATAATATACGCATTAAAATATAACTTACCGTGCTTTTTGTTATCAATATTAATTTTTAGCCATTTCTATATTTGAAAAATTTATATTTTTTCATAAATCTTGAAAAAGTATTATTTTATTAGTTTACAACTATTTGTAATAACATATCATGACAAAATATATTCCAGCTTGGTTTTTGCAAACAATGTCAAAAGGGTTTGCTTACAGGGAAGATTAAAATATTATCTTCCACTTCCATTCATTTTAATCAACCCTTGGTCAAAATTAAATATAGTTTGGCTATGGATTTGCTTATCTTTATTTTAGAAATGATATGGGGATTTGGAGGATTATGCATTTTGTTCATAGATCCAAATTGCTTCATATATTATTGGTTAATTTCTCTTCCTACAAAATATTTATCTTAATTTGTTTTCTCAACAAGTCTGCTTTGCTGTCATTAAGAGGCATTATACATTTGATTTATAATTGTACTATTAGCATATGAAATCAAAGGATAAGAACAATTCTATAAACTACACATTGATATTCTATTGTTCAAGAAACGAATTCAAAACAAAAGTAGTTCAGTTCGATACTTCATGTTTATACAAAAATAGTATTGAATGCATCACACATGATATAATCTAGTAGAGTCTAATTAATTTAAATGAGAAACAAAGCAAAAACTCAGTCCTGATATTAGAAGTAAACATAAAAACAATCCAGTCGTTTTATAGTCTAATTTGTTCTAGAAAGTAGTTGCAGAAAATTTTAATCATTAGAAGATACAAATAACATAAGCATTGACTGATAGGGTAGAGAACATATCCAAATTAAAATGAGTTATAATATGTTAGGGATATGAGCATGTGGGAGGACTGAAAATTTATTATAACTGATTATAATTCAACATCAATTAGAACATTATTTTTGGTGTGATGGTCAATCTTTGCAATTTAGGCTTATAATGAAGGTGTGTAGGTCTGAATATGTCTTTGTCCATCTTCATCAGAAAAAGCTGTTTCTACATCAAATGCATAGAACAATTGAACCAGATTGTTTAACAATTACTTTGGGAAAGTTTTTGACTTCAGTAGGGGAGAATGGTCCTAGAGGTGGTAAGACCTTGATACCTGAGACTGGGAAGAATGAGAGGATTTCTATGCTTTCTGTAACTGGCGACTCCACTGATTTCCTAATACATAGTAATGGGGGTAAAAAGGTCAGAGAACACTGGCCACATAGAGGATTTAGATTAAACAATGTGTAAAGCATTTCTTTAGATATGCACTGTATTTTATATGAATATTGTACATGTAATGTGTAGCACTGTTAAAAATGAAAAATAGCGGATAGAAAATATTAGATTGATTGCACAAACATGTTCAGAATTAGTTGTTAATGATATTTATTATTTATCAAGTAATTATGTAGCACAATAAAATTACTTTAAAAATCAAGAAGCATAAAAGTTATATACTCACATTTAAAGAAAAAAAAGTGTACCTTTATTTGAAAAATAGGGACAGAGAGTATTTATTTCAAATTATACAGTGCATAGCTTATCCATAGCTTTTTGCTTTAAACTAGTCAGAAGCAATCACATTTTAGTTAGGTCAGTTCAACATGCATTACAAACAGTATTTTTTATTGAATTCAGTTGATAAAAGTTTTATTGGATTTTCTCTATGCTTATTTATCCTATTTTCATATTCTTTAAAGTTGAAATTTTCACTGTCCTTCAGAAGACTTTGGGTATGTCAACAGCATATTTTTATTGTGTTTCTTTATTAATTTCCATGGATATCTGCATGAAAGGCATGAGTAAGTGAAATGAATGAACTAAATAATACAACTATCATGGTAAAACTGGGCTCACAGTTCAAAGAAATATCCTCCAAGTAAAGACAAAAGACAGCATAAAAAATGACAACAAACATAACCAAAAATGTTACCAGGGTTAATACTCATAACTTCATCTAAATAAATATATTCTTCCTTCAGTCTTGGCTTCTACCAAGAGTAAAGTGTCTTAAATGTTATGTTTAATTGTAGACAGAAATAAGAGTACAGAAAGGTGTTTTTGATAAGAAAGAAACATCAACATGACAGGTCTTGTGTTTCCTGGGCCTCCACCAAGCAGCTGAAAGCCATATAGAGTTTGCACCTCCCAAGTTCCCACATAACAACAGCGAGCCACTCAGACACAGTGACTTACGGTCCTCAACTTAAACACAAAACAAGATCACTCTAGGCATTTTCTAAACCTCCACCCAATGGCAGAAGTCATCTGGGATAACTGCCTCTAGGCCTTCCAAGCAGTGGCAGAAGCTGAATCAAACCTGGGGTCTTTTGACTCCCTACCAAGCTGTAGAAAGCCCCCGCCCATACCCCATGACATTAATATTCCTCAAATTTGTACATATATTTTTTAAAAAATCTATATGAAAATGTCAATAAGGGTTTTTTGTAGACATAGAAAAGATTATTTTAAAATTTATATTGGAAGATATGAACAATGCAATACTGAATGTAATCTTGTAAAATAAATATATAGTGGAAAGAATCACTCCACTCAATAATAAGTCATAATATCTAGCTAAAATAATTAAGTTAATATGGTGTTAATGTAGGGATAGACACATAGATTAAAAAACAGAATAGATAACCCCCAAAACAAAATCAAACAAACAGGTACAACTAATTTTTGAATAAATGTGCCAAAGCAGTTCAATGTAGGTATGATAACCTTTTTGACAATTGGTTCTGGAGCAACCAATTCCAAACATATTTGTGTAATCAATCTAATACTTTCTTATATCTGCTATTTTTCATTTTTAGCAATGCTACACATTACATGTACATTCATAGGCCTGATAGATAGATACATAGATGATAGATAGATAGATAGATAGATAGATAGATAGATAGATAGATAGATAGATAGATGATAGATAGATAGATAGATAGATAGATAAAAATAGAAGAACCATATCTTGAATTAAGTCTCAGATTTTACTTATTAACGCAAAATAGGTTTAAGTTTTTATGGAATATGTCGAAACCGTTAGCACTTTAAAATTTTAGAAAAAATGTAGTATGAAATTTCTATGAGGAAAGCTAACAAAAATTCTCTGATAAAAGAAATCAAAGAACAAAGTAATTACAGAGCTATTCCATGTTCATGGATAGAAAGATTCAATATTATTAAGATATCTGCTGTTCCCAACTTGATCTATAGAATCAGTGCCTTCTAAATCAAAATATGACCAATTTATTTGTTAGCATACTGACAAACTTATTTTAATGTTTATATGGAAATGCAAAAGACCCAGAATAGTCAATACACTATCAAAGTAGAAAAATAAAGCCAGAAGACTGACATTATCCAACTTCAAAGCTTACTATACAGCTGTAGTAAGAAAGGCAATGTGGTGCTGGTGAAAGGAAACACAAATAGATGAAAAAAAAAAACCAAAATAGATTAACAAGAAATAAACTTTTAATACACACAAAAACTTGAATGACTCTCCACAGGTTTAGGCTAATTGAAAAAAACCTATTATCAATAGGTAACATACTGCATAATTTCATTTATGTGACATTTTTATTGTGGTTAAATATACACAACATAAAAATAGCATTTTTAAGCAGTTCTGTAGCACTAAGTACATTACATTATTGTGCTATCATGAGCCCCATTCATCTTCAAAACTTTTTCCTCTTCCCCATCTGAAATTGTGTACTTATTAAGGATGAATTCTTTATTCTTGCTTCCTCCAGCCTGTGGCAACCACTATTCTGTTTTCTGTCTTTATGTATTTGACTCCTCTAGATACCTCATATAAATGGAATCCCAATATTTTTTCTTTTGTGATGAAGTTATTTCTCTTGACATAATGTCCTCAGACTTAATCCATGTTGCTAAATTTGTCATTGATTTAATTCTTTCTTAAGGCTAATATTTTATTGTATATACACATCACATTTTGTCTTTCCATTCATTCATTTTGTAACATTTTCAGATGAAAAAAATAAAATGTAAAAATGATTATTGGTTGGCAAGTGATACGGATGAAAATAAGGGTGGGGAAGAAGTGGGTGCACTTTTATAAAAGAGTAACATCAGATATCCTAGTAGTGATGAAATTATTCTCTGTATTTTCAAGGTGGGGTATATCCAAATGTCCAGTTTTAATAAAATTTGATAAAACTCCATTTGATAAAAATGGAACTAAATATAAACACACATACTTAAATTTGTACATGTAAAACTGCACAAATCTGAATAAGATCAAAGCCAATATTCTAGCTGAGATCTCTGCCATAGTTTTGTAAGATGCTATTATTAAAATAAATTGGATAAAATGTTTGTCTCTTTGTATTTATTCTTACAACTGCATGTGGATCCACTGTTATTTTAAAATGAAATGTTTAATTAAAAATAGGTAAATGTATAGAACTTGAAATGTCTCATATTATTTGGTATCATTGGGAGTATTCTTAATCACAGCATCTGCTAATGAAGCATCATGCTGAATCTGATAAAAATGATTGGCAAAAAACATCCAAATAAGACTTGGGATTAAAAGCTTTCATAGAGAAGAAGCCATTTGCAGCATATAGTAAAAGAAAAATTATTTAAGTAAAAAACGAAAGTGAGAAGATTGAGGCCATTTCAGGCAAAAACAATAACAAGAAGAAAAACATGCAGAGATAAATATGCTTTAACTGAGGGAAGTATAAATAGAATTGTCCATAGCTGATCAAGGAAAATAGAGAGGGATTTAAAAAAAAAAAAAGAGGTAAGTGATACAGAATATTTTGAATTAAATAAAAAAGACAATTAATGTAATTCCTAAAAGCACTGATGGTGTGATTGGATTTGCAGCTTTTAAAAAAGCATGAAACATGGTTTCAAAATGGTTTAGAATGAAAGATGGAAGTTCAGAAAGGAAGCTATTGAAATAAAACATCATAACATTATGCCTAGACAAAAGC
This sequence comes from Homo sapiens, assembly GCF_000001405.40. Taxonomy (NCBI): domain Eukaryota; kingdom Metazoa; phylum Chordata; class Mammalia; order Primates; family Hominidae; genus Homo; species Homo sapiens. The sequence continues at coordinate 160,914,345 of NC_000004.12, read as the reverse complement.
AATGGCAGTGGCGAGAGGGAGTCAGCAATGGGAATAATAAAAAATACTGAAGAGAATCTAAGAGGGAGAAGGAGAGAGATTCTTTGAAGTCACAGAAAGAGGAATAAGATCACATATTATAGGTCATTGTATATAATCTTAAAAAGTAGAAATGTATACTCATAGCATCTTGTGTTCTGCAGTACAAAGTGAAGATGTTTGAACAATACAGCAGAGAAAAATGCAAATGTTAAAGATCGGAAGAAAGTAACAAGCCGGCCAGGCGCAGTGGCACTTTGGGAGGCTGAGGTGGATCATGAGGTCAGGAGTTCAAGATTAGCCTGGCCAACATGGTGAAACCCCATCTCTACTAAAAATACAAAAAACTTAGGCAACATTAAAGAATGGGTGACAGGCAAAACTCTGTCTCAAAACAACAAAAAAAGAGTAACAAGCCACAACTTCCAAAGATAAACACTATATTTTTCTATAATTAATGTAGTGCATCAACTCATAATGTAAATATTATTTTTCTCAAATATTTAGCTCTGTTTGATTCTTTAAGAACATTAATCAGGCATCACCAGAAATAGAACTACCTAAATCTATGTGCAATCTATTGACTATGTGATCTCTGGCTTACTACACAGGTAAATAACACCCCTCCGCAATTCGACCTTCCAGGACTACCTCAACTGGACTCATTGACTGGCCTCTGAATTTTAGTATGTTCTTTGTTCCTGTGTTACTCTCATAATTCACCACATTTTACTGAAGATCTCTCCTTCTCCAAGGAACTGACCATTTGTCTCACCCACTTAGCTTCTGAGAGATAAAGAACAATTCAAATTCGTCTTGATATTTTTATAAATTCATGACTCATTCAATAATAATCTTGACCCCAGCAGTTACTTCATTAACAAAAGACTAATTTCAATACCATAATTGTAAGAGGCTTCTAGCATGAAAACATTTATATTTTCTGTATTCTGCCTACAACTTAAGGCATAGAAGGATATGATAAATTAAAGATACGTGAGCTAACATTGTGGTTTCTTTTACAGCAAAATTAATATATTGGAATTTCACCTCTTTTTGAAATTTTTAGAGAGTTTAGATATGCTTTATCTGGAGACTGTTGAAAAAACATATATCCTAAAAGCAACTGCACAATGTATGTATAATATTAGAGACCTTTACTCTATAAATTAGCAACTCCCAAGTATTGTTCCATACCTGTGAATGATTTATATATATGTATTATTTACATAAAAATTAAAAATAGTATGAGTTAATATGTTTATATATACACATATATACATATATACACATATATACATATATACATATATATATATAGTGCTGACATATAGTACTAATTTGATACTGTATCTGAACAAATTCCTACTAGGAAACCTTATCTACTATCCAGCTCAAATTAAAATATATATTCAAATGAATACAAATGCATTTCTTTAATAAAGTTTGTGATTACCTTAATAATTACTTTCCACCTATTTCTGAATTATGATACTTCAGTGGATACTTCCAGAAGTACATTTAAAATACCTTACTTTTCATTATAGAGTGAAAGGAACAAAATGAATGTTTATAGTGAGATTGCAATGTGCTGCGTGGTGGGAGCCATGCTTAGAGAATCGCTAGGAGATAACAGAGCTCTCTCAAACAGTTTAACTGATAGTTTTCTAAATCACAGTAAATTTCAAATGTGAGATTCAACATAGGATAAAGTAATTTTAAAACTCATGCTTTCTGCTTTCCACAGTAGTTCTCACATAGAAGAAATCACAGTATCTATACAAAAAGCAGTGATTCCTGAGGCTCAGGAACTTGGAATTTGAAGCCAGGTGCTTCAAAGTGCTCAGTTCGCCAGCAACTAGTGCAGGGAATCTGTGCAAGTATAATTTGTTCCTTTGACTGTATAATGGACATACAAAACGTAACTAATTCTAAGTGTGCTCTAAAAATTAAATAATGTGATTATGTCGAGATCATAGCATTAGCTATTATAATCATGAAATTAACATATTTTAAGTTAATTCAGCCATTACTGTCATTATGAGTGCTTCAGAATATTCATAAAACTTATCTAACACTGTTTTTGTACATTGTTAGGGAAGAATTTGTAAGCCTCCTAACCTTAAAGAATAATGTGCTAGCTAAAAGTTACATACCAGCATGGCCATGTTATCTCAAATATTTTAAATATTTTGAATGGCATCATGTTAATTGAAACCCATGCAGATTGGAATCTTGTCCTTGATTTTGTATTATTCTGCAATAACTGGACCACTGTGCTCACATGTAATCCTAATCATTAAATTTTGTTGAACTGGACTGAGTCACCAAATTTAGAGCTGGATGAAATTTTAAGTTATCTGGATATATCTCAATTCTTTATTTTCCCCAGAATTACTAGATATATAATAATGAGTTATTTATGAAAAGTCACATAAAAGTTTTCATGTGTTCTTCCAGGTTTCTTTCTACGTGAGTTCCTTAGACCTGAATAAGTTAATTGTCTCATATCTGAACAATTACATCTAAGCAAGAATCGGAGATATAATTTCTGTGTTCTTCAGCTGTCTTAACAAGTGGAATTTAATCAGTTCATACTTATTATGTGTTGTGTTTCCTTTCTAAAGGTAAAGATATTAAAACTTAATAGCATTACAAAGATAGAAATTTATATAAGAGATGGATCAGGCAGCTTTAAGCTATACCTTTTTTTAATTTATTTTTTATTATTATACTTTAAGTTCTAGGGTACATGTGCACAACGTGCAGGTTTGTTACATATGTATACATGTGCCATGTTCGTGTGCTGCACCCATTAACTGGTCATTTACATTAGGTATATCTCCTAATGCTATCCCTCCCCCCACCACCCCACTGCAGACCCCAGTGTGTGATGTTCCCCTTCCTGTGTCCAAGTGTTCTCATTGTTCAATTCCCACCTATGAGTGAGAACATGCGGTGTTTGATTTTTTTGTCCTTGCGATAGTTTGCTGAGAATGATGGTTTCCAGCTTCATCCATGTCCTTACAAAGGACATGAACTCATCATTTTTTATGGATGCATAGTATTCCATGGGGTATATGTGCCACATTTTCTTAATCCAGTCTATCATTGATGGACATTTGGGTTGGTTCGAAGTCTTTGCTATTGTGAATAGTGCTGCAATGAACATACGTGTTCATGTGTCTTTATAGCAGCATGATTTATAATCCTTTGGGTATATACCCAGCAATGGGATGGCTGGGTCAAATGATATTTCTAATTCTAGATCCTTGAGGAATCGCCACCCTGTCTTCCACAATGGTTGAACTAGTTTATAGTCCCACCAACAGTGTAAAAGTGTTCCTATTTCTCCACAACCTCTCCAGCATCTGTTGTTTCCTGACTTTTTAATGATCATCATTCTAACTGGTGTGAGATGGTATGTCATTGTGGTTTTGATTTGCATTTATCTGATGGCCAGTGATGATGAGCATTTTTTCATGTGTCTGTTGGATGCACAAATGTCTTCTTTTCAGAAATGTCTGTTCATATCCTTTGCCCACTTTTTGATGGGGTTGTTTGTTTTTTTCTTGTAAATTTGTTTAAGTTCTTTGTAGATAACTGGATATTAGCCCTTTGTCAGATGAGTAGATTGCAAAAATTATTTCCCATTCTGTAGGTTGCCTGTTCACTCCGAGGGTAGTTTATTTTGCTGTGCAGAAGCTCTTTAGTATAATTCGATCCCATTTGTCAATTTTGGCTTTTGTTGCATACCTATACCTTTAGAAAAATTACCACCAAAAGCTTAATTTAAGTTCTCTTAAAGCATATGTATGTTTACATGACAAACAAAGTCCACTCCACATTTTTTAGATCTAGCTTTCCTGGTAAATCTAAACTATAACATAACACAAAATTTTCTGTTTTCACTGGAGACATTGCCAGGGAGAAGTAGAGGCCACGATGTGGTGAGCAGTGCCTTGAAAGCAGAAAGATCAGAGTGCCAAGCATGCCTCAGTCACTCACCAGCTAAACCATGTGAAATTTACTAGGTTAAAATAATAGTCAAAATTTTTATATTATTCTACATATATATAATATGTGTGTATGTGTATATATATATGCATACATATATAACTTCTGTTAACTCAGTTTTGTAAATTTTAAATTGGGCTTAATATTTCCTTTTTGGTAAAGAGTTAAAGTAAGGCAATATTTCAACAGTATTTGAAATGCATAAATGGCTACATAAATAATAGCTATTTTATTAAGTCAGGTATATCTCTATATTTACTTCATTGTGCTTTACAAACTGCCATTTAATCCTTTTGAATTAATTTAAATGCAAATATTGCATTCAGATCTTAGCAGTTGTATAGTACAAAAAAGGTTACAGCTTTGAAATAATGATAAATATTCTATTAAATTTAATTGTTATTTTCTAGGAAGCATGCAAGAGAGTGTGACAAGAACATCACCAAAGGCAAAGGTCTATTAGCCAACTAGACCAATAAAAATTACCCCCTTGTCAAAATCAGAAGGGCCAGTAATCATTAACAAGCCTAATAAAGAATTACAGTATTCATTAAAAAGTTTATTTTTATTCACTTGTGAACCTTGAGCTAATTCCAGAAGTCACATGAAGGAAATAGAAACACTGCCTGTGCAATCTCCTTGCCTGCTTTATGCATAATGAGAATAGAGTTGACTCTCCTGTCAAGAAATCAATTATTAAGCAGTGCAAACATTATTTTAATTTAAAAGAAACTTGTTTCTGAAACTTTGTACTCTTGTAGTGAAATTGAATCTTTCCTTCTCAGCAGTTTCCATGGTCGTGAATCCACCCCATCTCTTTTCACCAGTAGCAAGATTGCTACTTATATGGAAGGGTTTTAGAGTCCATAACAAAATAACTACATTTTTATCCATACCTTTTTCATTAGATTGGACTATGTATATTCATTTTAAATTTAATTATTTAGTTCAGATTAGCAATGTGGGACAAAAATAAAAATTAGAAACTGAAAACAAGTTTATCTGGTTTTCAAACAAATTAATGAAACTTCAAATATACTGTTTGGCAAGTAAAAACTAATACAATTTTGTAACTATCAGTCCCTGTACAATACTAATTGAAAGGTAAATATTGAGAAATAAGTTTGCAAACTTATTTGTCTTTAAAAATATTTCATGGAAAGAAAAAGTAGGAACAGTAAAGGTCTTTGTCTTTAAAAATGTTTTATGGAAAGAAAAAGTATTTAGGAACAGTAAAGGGTAGCCATAATGGAATCTACAAATACTGTTCTACCATCATATGATAAAGCCAGATTTATTGCTATTGGTGTCAGTTTTAAGAAGGCTAGCCAGGCACAGTGGCTCATGCCTGTAATCCCAGCACTTTGGGAGGCAGAGCTGGGCGGATCACCTGAGGTCAGGAGTTCGAGACCAGCCTGGCCAACATGGTGAAACCTCGTTTCTACTAAAAATACAAAAATTAGCAGCACGTGGTGGTGGACGCCTATAATCCCACCTACTCAGGAGGCTGAGGCAGAAGAATCGCTTGAACCCGGGAGGCAGAGGTTACAGTGAGCCGAGATCACGCCACTGCACTCCAGCCTGGGCAACAAGAGCAAGACTCTGTCTCAAAAAAAAAAAAAAAAAATTATAAGAACTAGCTCCTACTTTGCAGAAACAGCATTACCTATGGCAATCACCTGTGATATTTTAGTACTCAATACAGCAAAATTGTATTTCATATGCATGTGTAGCTGCAGTATTTTAGCATTCACACTGGATCATTTATATATTTCTTTTTGTCTTGTAACAAAGTGTAAAAGCTTGAGTGGTTGGATTAAGAGTGGCAAAAGCTTAATTTTAGTCCTTGGAATTTAACTTTAAAGCTATACATCCAAGTGATGCACTAATGTCTTACTCTGCTGATACGTATTCTCTATCACTGTTAAAATCAATGCATAAAGGCTAAGTGAACATTTTATAAATAAATTAGCTTTTAAAATATTACATATGTATTATTTCTGATATTTATCAGAAATATTAAAGCAGTATTTTCCTCTTCTACAATTAAAAAGTTTTTTAATCATGATAGAAATCTCTTGGCATTGTCATGTTTTTGTCAAATAAGATAAATGGTGAAAAAAGTTTGTGGCCGGGTGGGGTGGCTCACGCCTGTAATCCCAACACTTCGGGGGGCCGAGGCAGGCAGATCACGAAGTCAGGAGATCGAGACCATCCTGGTTAACATGGTGAAACCCCATCTCTACTAAAAATACAAAAAATTATCTGGGCGTGGTGGCGGGCGCCTATAGTCCCAGGTACTCGGGAGGCTGAGGCAGGAGAATGGCGTGAACCCGGGAGGCAGAGCTTGCAGTGAGCCGAGATCACGCCACTGCACTCCAGTCTGGGCGACAGAGAAAGACTCCATCTCAAGGAAAAAAAAAAAAAAAAAAAAGAATTAGCTCCTATTTTGCAGAAACAGCGTTACCTATGGCAGTCAACTGTGGTATTTTAGTACCCAATACAGCAAAATTGTATTTCATATGCATGTGTAGCTGTAGTATTTTAGCGTTCACACTGGATCATTTATATATTTCTTGTTTGTCTTGTAACAAAGTGTAAAAGCTTGAGTAGGTGGAGTAAGAGTGGCAAAAGCTTAATTTTAGTCCTTGGAATTTAACTTTAAAGCTATACATCCAAGTGATGTACTAATGTCTTACTCTGCTGATACATATTCTCTACTACTGTTAAAATCAATGCATAAAGGCTAAGTGAACATTTTATAAATAAATTAGCGTTTAAAATATTACATATGTATTATTTCTGATATTTATCAGAAATATTAAAAGGATATTTTCCTTTTCTACAATTAAAAAGTCTTTTAATCATGATAGAAATCTCATGGCATTGTCATTTTTTTGTCAAATAAGATAAATGATGAAAAAAGTTTGTAAGCCACATAATATTAAAAACTAATTAATCATACTACTTGCACAATACATTATTAGTATGGTAATGGAAGAAAATCCAAATGAAATAATTTATTCTATTCCATTGTCCACTGGACAATGATATGGTTTCCTGAAGAATCAATAGAATGAAGAAAATGCTGAAAATCAGCTGTGTAATGAACTGCAGTGAAGTGAATTTTCATAAGTAGATGAAATCATACTGCATGATAATAATGACTGTCTACTCAAATCTGTAATATTCCTGAAAAATAAAAACTTATGAAGAAAATTCCAGCATTTATGAAAGTGATTCAAATGAGTCAGTTAGCAAAACTTCTTATTTATTGAAAATATATTTATTTTTCTAATGTCATTAATTGTGCATTAGAACAAATAGCAGTTATGGTTGTCAGCAGCATGGATGTTGGCCATCACCCAAAAATATATCAGGTGTTTTAAATGTTCATTACATAATTTATCAGCAACTTTAGATACTAAGAATCATAATACAACAAATTAATATCAATGCAAGTAATATATTAATAGTAATTTCTCAAACAATAAATTTTCTTATCGGCCATGAAACAAGTTCAAAGAAAAGTATTTGTGCTTTAGCCTACAAATAGAAACAATATGGATTTCAAAAGGAAGTTGCTTAAAAATATTTATTTACTCTAAAAAATATAATTTTTCAGTTTATTCATTGAAAAAGTCAACACTGACAGCAAATTATTGCTACACTTCATATTGTAATTTAGGTATATATGTGAAGTTAAAGCATCATCTTTTATTCTGAGAAAATACAATTAATTTTATGAAAGAGAATATGTTTATCATAGGATTTATCATATTAATTTTGTAATTTTTTCTTGTTCTCCAAAGTTATTCAGTTTCCATCTTTCCAGCTTTCTTAAAAAGAAAGGCTTAAAACTATTTATTTAAAATGTATTGCTCTTTTTGATATTATTAAGTATGTAATTCTTAGAGTTAAATATTTGTATACATTTGCATGATCAGATTGTGTGATTGGTGCATTTGAAGAAGATGTAGGACATGGTAGCCAAAACTTAGGAAGATTGAATCATAGCATAAGTAAGTCATTTTAATAATAAAAGGTTTTGAAGCCAGTTAAAACTTCTGTACATAATTATTTAGAAACAAAGTCTGTTACTTTTTATTTCTTTCTAAATATATTACTTTAAAATGGTTTTAGTGCAGTGTTCAATTAGAACAAAGGCAATAAAATGAGTAGCAATTAAGGGAGAGGAGATGTGAGTCTTATTTTATGGCAGATTTAGAAATAGATTCTCCCTCGTTCTTCTCTGTATGAAGGAGAATCAATTGGTGATTTACATTACTACCTATAAAGTTTTATTAAAATGCAGATGTTTAGGAACTTTTCTTCATTGACAGCTAGATTTTATTCAGCTTCTTAATTCCCATGATTATAAATATGTTCTTACTATCATATCCATGTTCTTTCACAACCAACACTGTTGCCAAACCCCAGGCAGTGTGACCTTAAATTAGTGTTTCTTAGCTAAAAAGGTAAAAAAGCCAGTCTTCATGGAAGTGCACTCCAATAGAAGAACTTAAATACAGCTCTCAAGAGCCTCCGCAAGCTGACGATACCACAAGGTAAACAGCTTTTCCCAAAATTTACAACTAAGTAGATGAAAGCAGAATGAAGGTTTCTACCCAAGACATCAGAACAATATTTCTTTGGATTCTCTTTTTTACTTCTTATTCTCACCACATTCACTGTCCTTCTTTGCTATATTATCTTTCTTCTCTCCAATATAACCCTCGCTTTACTCATAACTCCCCATATTGCAACAACAGCCTTTGATAATGAGCCATAGTTTATACTAGCTCCTCTTCCCCCTTCCCTGACATATTTCCCCTTAAATGCTAACAATAACTTTCGCAAATGGTCTGAGGAAATGGTGTGTCCAAACAGAACATGCAGGCCAACTAAAAGCTGTATGGATCAGAGGGATAATTTGCAAATGCTGCATTATTGACTGTAATGATTCTACAGGTTTTCTTTACTTTTTCACAGGTCAAAATCAGGAAAATTTAGTTTAAGCCTTTGTATATAATAATCCCTCCAACAGCATTTTTCCCTTTTCCAAATTGTTGAAGTTTGTTGGTCTAGAAGGAAAAACATATATTTTGATGAGAAAATAAAAACTGTTGTCATGCACCTAAAATATTTCACTAGCAATGAGTGTGATTTGCAGTACTTTTAAAATGACTTATACAGATTATTAATTTATTTTCAGAAGTGGGTAATAAAATATTTGAGAAGTTAATACATACTGTTAGCATAAGATAAATGTAATAAATCATATGAATTAGCACATGGGAAATGAGAGAATAAAATATTTTTATGTATAATTTTCTGTTTATAGGAAGTAGTCTTTTTTACAGCATTTGTATCATTATTAATATGTGATAAATGATAGCATTTTTTGTAAAAATTTTTGGTGTTAACTTCTTGCCAATTCTAAGATTGGAGGAGGTAATGTAAGTGATTTAATTCTATTGTTTAATAGAGGTAAATATATATACTACTATTTCTGATAGTAAAGTAGTAAAGAGACAAGTAATATTCATTGTGGACCAACAAAGTAATTGTTCTATTTTTGTTTTGTTTTGTTTGAGATGGAGTCTTGCTCTGTTGCCCAGTATGGAGTGCAGTAGTAGGATCTCGGCTCACTGCAAGCTCGGCTTCCCAGGTTCAAGGGATTCTTGTGCCTCAACCTCACAAGTAGCTGGGATTACAGGCGTATGCCCCCACGCCTGGTTAATTTTTGTATTTTTAGTAGAGACGGGGTTTTACCATGTTGGCCAGGCTGGACTCCAACTCCTGACCTCAAGTGATCTGCCTGCCTAAGTTTTCCAAAGTGCTGGGATTACAGGTGTGAGCCACCACACCTGGCCTAGACATTGTTCTTAATACTCACATTTTAACATGCAATTTGTACACAATATAAGTGTAATGTAAGCTCCTCCTCCTCCAAATTTATGTGTGCAAAAACCAAGTTTTATAAATGTTAAATCATAAAAGTAGTTAGGAATGTTTTGCTGTAGTAATGTTTCTGCTTTATTACATTCTAAAAATATCACGTACCTCAATCCCATCCAATTCTTATGCTTGAATGAGAATACAGCGGGGTATAGAATTGTAGCATGAAGGATATTTTTTCATCAGAATTTTAATATCATTATTCAATTTTTCCAATATTTACTGTTGATAGAAGTCAACTGTAAGTATAATTTTTTTCTGTTAGCTAGATAAATTATAGAATAAAAGTAATATTTCTTTCATATTTTAGAGTTATTATTCTTTTTCTCCTAGGATATTGTTGCTGATGAAAACAAATCTGCCAGTCCAATATTCTTTCCTCATAAGTAATATATATTTTGTGAGTGTCTTTAAGCCTGTTTACTTTTTATTTTATGACTGCCGGTTTTATCACAACGTTTCTGAATAGCCAGCTCTGCTTTTATTAAGGTTTTCTTACGTATTTTTTAAATTCTTTTTCTAGTCATAAAAACTATTAGCTATCATGGCTTTGGATAAAGCTTCTCCCTTATACTGTCAAATTCCAAGTAGACTTTGTTGAGACTTCCTGTTTAATCTACATACTACGTAATTGCTTGCTTTGTTTATTTAGTTGATTTTCCCTTCTTTATTTCCCATTACTGTATCTTAGGTTGTTTTCTTTTATCAATCTTCCAAATCTTATTTTATCTTAATGCCTATTATGGAATTTCAAATTTAGAAGAAAATAAAACGTAAATATAATATACATAAAAATGATAAAATGAAGAGCTGGGAATCTACTAATCCATGAAAAATAATTTTTCCAAAATGTACCATTTAATAATGATTCTCTTCTTTACACCATCCCTGGCCTGACTATGATTCTCCAACTTAAACCTATGCTAAATTTTCTGTGTAGTTTTCTCTTATATTTCTTGAAATTTCCTATATGTTTGTATGTCCATGAAATGCATATTGTCAGCTTAACACAAAGCTTCACAAAGACTCACCGGTGTTGTTGAATGTAACTAGTGAACTTTCATTTTCATTGTACAAAAATTTAGTAGATTATTTTTCTATATCTGGCTGCCTGGCTAAATTCTCAATTATATCTAATGATATTTCTAGTAACCATGCTATTTCTAGTAATTTGTATAACTGTTTATGTACACAATCATAACTTTGCAAATAGCAAGAACTTGTTTTCTTTTTATACTTTGAAGTTTTTACTTTTTTATTTTGACTTGCTGTGCTCCAAAGGATCTGTACTACACCATGAAGTAGTAAGAGTGATAATGGGAATGTAAGTTTTTTTTTTCCTTCAGTTTACATGAAAGATGTATTAGGGTTCTCTAGAGGGACAGGACTAACAGGATAGATGTATGTATTAAAAGGGAGTTTACTAAGGAGTACTGACTGACAGGACTAATAGGATAGATGTATGTATAAAAGGGAGTTTACTAAATAGTACTGACTCACATGATCACAAGGTGAAGTCCCATAATAGGCCGTCTGCAAGCTGAGGAGCAAAGAAACCAGTCTGAGTCCCAAAACCTCAAAAGTAGGGAAGCCGACAGTGCAGCCTTCAGTCTGTGGCTAAAGGCCCGAGAGCCCCTGGCAAACCACTGGTGTACGTCCGAGAGTCCAAAACCTGAGGAACTTGGGGTGCGCTGTTTGAGAGCAGGAAGCATCCAGCACGGGAGAAAGATGGAGGCTGGAAGACTCAGCCAGTCCAGTCTTTCCATGTTCTTCTGCCTGCCTTATTCTAGGTGCTCTGGAAGCTGATCAGATTGTGCCCACCCAGACTGGGGGTGGGACTGTCTCTCCCAGTGCACTGATTCAAATGTTAATCTCCTTTGGCAACACCCTCACAGACACACCCAGGAAGAATACTTTGCATCCTTCAATCCAATCAAGTTGACACTCAATATTAACCATTGCAAAGGATGTCTTATTTTCAACTCGAGTTTTATTGTAAGTTTTTTAAGGATACACTGAAAGGAAATGCTTTTTTCGTACTAATTTGCTGTTTTGAGAAACCTTTAATAGATATCTGTAGTTGATCATACTGCAATTGATGTACAGTTCTTTGCAATTAGTTGTTATTTGATATTATAAGTTTTTATAAATATTTTATATGATCTTGAAAATAGTACATATTCTTCAATTTTTAGATTGGATCAGTTTTATATTTGTATTCCATAATGTCTATTTTATTTGTGATATTATCTGCTTGTTCATGTTACGCCGACCTTGAATATTCTGCATTTGCTATTCCACATATACCTATATTTGCTTAGAAACTGTATTTTATTTATTTCATTCTTGCAGTGATTAACTAAAAAATACAGCACACATCTCTCACTGAATAAAATCGACAAACACATTCATTCTTCTCACAGACATGAAATGAGCTTAGAACATATTAACTTTATTTATCTCCATCCCAAATGTTTTTGCTATTTTTGGCATGTGATTTAATTTATCATATATAAGATGTTTTAGCCCAAAGGATAATATTCTGATTGCTTTTTATAACCAATAATCACTTTGATTATCCAACATTTTTGTCATATGTACTGTTTTTTATTTTTTCATTTATAATCTTTGATTTGCAGCCATGTTCTTTCTGCCTAAACTTGAAGAGCACCTTTAGAATGGCCTTCGTTTGATTCTGCTGGTAGAACATTTTTTCTTTTAAGCTGTTAGAAAATATATTTTGGCTCACCTGAATTCTTGAAGTATATGTTTCCTAATAGGTTGTCAATGATTTACTTATGGAGCATTTTGTAGTTAGTCTACTGTCTTCTGGCTTCTTCTAAGAAGTCAGATATTTTTAAAATTTAGATTTTGAAATAAAATCTCTCTTTTCTTCTAATGATATTAACATTTAATCTTTGTTTGAATTTCTACAGTTTTGTTGTGATGTATTGGTTGTGAGCTTCTTTATGATTATCATATTTATAATCATTTCAGCTTCTTGGATTTATGACTTTTAAATGTTTTGGAAAATTCTTCAATATTAAATACACATATCTCCATTGAATATTCAAATTTTTCCCTATTCTCTCTTTTATTGCTGGCCAAGTTTCCAATTAAATATTTGTTAGTCTGGATCCACTACATGTTTTTTCTACTGATCTGAATGTTCCATTATTTCATCTCTCTATTTCTCATTCTGTACCAGTTGTTTTTTTGTTTGTTTGTTTGTTTTTGTTTTGTTTTGTTTGTTTTTTTGAGATGGAATCTCACTCTGTAGCCCAAGCTGCAGTGCAGTGGCGTGATCTCAGCTCACTGCAACCTTCGCCTCTGGGGCTCAAGTGATTCTCCTGGCTCAGCCTGCCAAGTAGCTGGGACAGACGTGTGCAGCACCACAAGTGGTTAATTTTTTTGTATTTTTAGTAGAGACAGGGTGTCACCATGTTGCCCTGGGTAGTCTCGAACTCCTGAGCTCAGGCGATCCACCCGCCTCGGCATCCAAAAGTGCTGGGATTACAGGCGTGAGCCTCTGAGCCCGTCCTGTACCAGTTGTTTTGACCTATCTTCCAGGCAATTAATTATCTCTCCCACTGTATATAATCTGTTAAATTCATTGACTAGTTAATGATTATTTCTGTGTTTATCAATTTGTATAATTTTTCTTGGCTATTTTTGGTCCAAATCTGATTGGTCATTTCTGAATGAATAAATCTTCATGCTTATTCTCAAATAATTTCCAAAAATAATTTGTGAAAATTTAGCACTTAATGAAATCTAGGATTTACAATTTGACTCATAGACTGTTCTAAAACTATGCTTAATATTTCAAGCAGATGATAGTTAAGTTTGAAAGATTCAGTATAATTATAAATTTAAAAAATAGTGACAGATCAGATTTGGACAAAAGAAAAATGTCAAAATATTATACAAACTGATAAATTTAAAAATATAATTAACAATTAGGGTCCTTTAAGTAAATATCTGTTTCCCTAGCTGTCTGCAGACATACTGCAGCTGCCAGTTTCTTTAAGTATTCCCTTACCTTGTGCTCCTAGAGCAGCCCATACTATTGACTGATTTGGGTGCAGATTGAAAGACTGGTCATTCCTGCAGAGCAAGGTCATCAGTCTTGAGCCATGTATATTTCTAAGCTTTCTGTTAGGTTAGTTGAGACTTTTTTAGGCCTATATTTTAGGTAGACTTTTACCCTTTCCCCAAATCTACTTCTCCCTCTCTGCCACACTTGTTGATGCCTGGTGAACACCATGCATGTCAAAACTCTATCTCAGCATGTGCTTCTTTGTCAGCCTACAAAAATATTGATAAGACTTACAGGTTAATTGATATCGACTTCAGTTGCCTTCTTGCGAGCAGTCACTCACATCATAGTACTAAGATTATATATATAATGCAAACACCAAAATTAAAAAAAACCCTCAGCTCTAATACATATCTTTCTAAACATAGCTCAGTACTTATTCAAGTTCATTAAAAAATGTATTTTCACTGAACACTAAGGTTATGTTTAATTCATGTACCTTCCCATTTCCAATCTACCCCCCCATCATTAAAGTGGCACTTCTCCAGAGACAGTATGAGAAGAACATAATTTTTCCTAGCAAAAGGAGAAAGCATAGTAAAAAAAAGTTGGAAGTAATTCCTCAGAGGTAGACAGTACATAAAAATTAGGGGCCTATTATTTACTCACCCCTGAAACAATCATTGGTATGCAGGAAAAGAAAATCAGAAGTGTTTGCTTGCTCTTATCATTGAAAATATAATGTGAGTACATAATGTGCTTAAATATTATTTTTTTTTTGTTTTTGAAAAGTATTTTATCATATGCAACTTTAACCTTCTTATTTTCACCTGTGAGCCTCAAAAAAACAATTTATATTTGGTAATCTTGGCAAATGGCATAATGACTATGTGTCTAGATTTTTGCTCTTTTGAAACACTAAAATCAAGTCAAAAACATAATACACTCAAAATGGTTTGTGAACATTGCTTGCCAATACCAGTATCAACATTTGGCCTAGGGTTAATTGTGAAAACTCATCATACAATGAATGCTTGAGGATGAAATTGTGGGGATAGTGATGAGAGATATTTGTGTGCATTCATGTGATTTTAATACATTTATTTGGATTTTTCTAGCCAATATTTATATTTAGAAGAACATAATATTAGGAGATTCTATTCAATTCTCAGTTTTTCACAGTGTAACAAGATATTGTAAGTGATGCATTTATTTTAAAGCTGAAAAGAATGTTCCTAGGGTAAAAAATGTTTGTACATTGAAGCCCAATGGAGAGTTGTCCAGGCAATAAAGATATAATCTTTAAAATGGATATATCAGTCAAAAAACAAAAACAGTATTTACTTTGTAATTGACTATCACAACTAATGCTGGCACAGAATAAAACTCAAACTTTACTCTCCTACAGTTTGTACCTCCCGTGCATATTCCCCATAGTCTATGTTATTTTTATTAAATAATTTAGTCACTCAATAAATAAAAAGAATGACAATTTAGTATAAGCAAAAGTATTTTTTTCACTCCCAGGATAAATATTTGTCACTTATCCTAATTATTATATCTGCATTCAAAGAAATAAAATGTATTGTTCATCTTCAATGTCATGCCTTTTTCTGGATTTCTTTGTATTATTCAACATGTAAGGTATTATTTCAAAAATGTACTAAGGGTTTTAGTTTGAACATAGAAATATTAACTATTTATATTTTTAATTAGAAGAGTATCTCATTTTTGATAATGAGTAATAGATCACTTTGATAATCCAAAGAAAGTTATAAAATCTGTAACCAAAAAATGCACATATTAATAAATGCAACTTTTTTACAGAAATTAGGAATATCATTGACATTCTAATAAGGGAGAAATACCAAAACATACTTCAGTCATATTCATGAAATTTCAAATTTCATGAATGTTAATTGAAGAGCATCTGAGTAAGATTATAAAGGATAATTGATTCTTCATCTGCTATGCATTTATGTGATATTCAATTAAAATTGAGTTACATTAATTATGGAGTGATTCTATCATTCAGTATAACAGTAAGATAAATAGTACTAATAACTATTAACTATAGCTATTGAGTACTTATTGACCACTTATTAGATTATAATGCACTGTACCAAACATTTTCACTCTCATATTTATGTCCCCAAACTAATTCAGGTGAAATTTACCATTAATACTCTCATTTTTACATGACAGAAGAGAGACTTTGCAATATTAGCTAAATTTTTTAAAATCAATAATTTAAGAAATAAGTTGGACTCCATAGTTTATATGGTACCAAAACCTTCGGCCTTAATAATTGATTATAGAGTATGAGAAAGCTTTAACATCTTCATGAGGAAAAAAAAAGTATTTGGTACAAGCTACTAGGTCTATTGATTTTTAATTTTTTTATACTTCATTCTCTTTTAAATTACATTGACTTTTAAATAACATACAATTTAAATGCATAAATTTTAGATCAGTTTTGCTATCATTATTAAAAAATATTATATTATAAAAATATTTTACATACATTAATCTTATATAACATATATGTATATGAGGTAAAGATAAATGAAATGAACACTCTTGTGTACAACCTATTGCTTGAGAATCATAATTCCGCTACATTCTTTGAGGCCTCCTACATACTTCTCTATCGCAGACTTCTCTTCTTACAAGGTAAATACCATGCTGTTCATGAGTATTGTATTAATATTATTCACATACCTTTTGTAGTGTGATGAGTCCCATGCTAAATGTGTGTCTGCGATTAGAACCCTGAGGCTGGGCGGTGAGCCAAGGCCATGGTGCCCAGCCAAAGAGCAGGCAACTTTAAGAACCCAAACATCCTAGAGAGTATCTGAGAACCTACAAAGGAAAATAGTACCGTCACACAAACACAGTAGGCAAAGAGCCAGAAAATTAACTTACAAGCAGCTTAGAGATCGGAGGTGGCATGGATCTCTAGAGCCGTCCCGATGCTGTCCAGGAATGCCACATATCTAAGTCCTAATAAGCTAATCTACCTGCCAAGCTGAACTTGTCCCAGTTGCGCTTTGGTTTCTTAGCACCTTCTCAGGGTGTTAAGTAGGGTCAAGGGATATGGGGCTGGGTGAACTTACAATCCCAAGTTTTTCTCGTTATACCTTTTACTGAACATTAATTTATTTTCAGGTGTTTTTCTGCTTAAACATTTATATATTGGAACCACAGTCATAACGTTTTTTTTTTCTCCACATTGAGATTGTTAAAAGTTATATGTGTGGATATGTGAAAGTGGCTGGACAGCTATAGAAAAACCATTTTTATAGCAATGTAGTATTCCACTGAATGAAGAATATACTAATTCAATTATACAATCTTCTGTGATGAATATTCAAATTTTTCCCAACTTCTTATAAACGATATTTTTATGAACACTTAATTACACGTTTCTTGGTGCACATGCATGAGAGATTTTACTATTGGATATATCCATTAGTAGAACTGCTGGGTCACTGGTATCAACATTTTCAAGTTTCATAAATACCATATTTCTCCCATAAAAAATCTTACACTCTAAATGTTTACCAAAGTGAGTAGAATTACCAGATTTCTAACTTTTCTCAGTTTGTCATGATAGAAATTTGTGATTTTCAGTTTTCTAATTATTTATGTTAGAATGTCCGCTGACCTTTCCTTTTGCTGAAATAAACACTTATTTTTAAGATTTTTAAATAGTTCACAATATATAACTCAATGGCCTCTTATGTGTATTAAATAGGCCCTCCAAATTCCTGTATTCCTCTTCCATTTTCCTTATTTCATCTTTTTGAATCACAATTTACTTTTAATTTAATGACCCTAATGAATTGGTCATTTTAGAGTTAAAATATTTTTTCTATATTTCCATATTTCATACTAAAAGTTCTTAAGGTTTGAGTTCAAATTTAAACCCTTTATTTTTATTAATTTTACTTGGGTTGAAATGTCATATTTTCCCTTATAATATGTGTGTCTGTGTGCATGTCTGTGTATGTGATTTTTTTTTTTTTTTTGGAAAACTAGTAACTTTACTCCCTCTATGCAAGTTCTTCAATATTCTCCTCATACATCAACACTGATCTTGGCCTTGTTAAAAGTCTGACAAATAAAACAAAAAGCTTACATGGCATAAGGAGAGGTTCAAAAAATAAAGAGCAACAAACTATTCTAATTGATTTTATTTTACTCTATGACCTACTTAATAGGAATCAGTACTATTCAAAAATTGAAGACTATGTATCCATTAATTTATTCTTTAAATCATTTTTTAAAGATGGGCATGATTTCCACAATTTTGCATGTATCTTTTATTACCAATAAATTCATATCTTGTGTTTTTTGTTTTGTTTTGCTTTTGATTGTTAGAGATAAGCAGAGGTTGATTAAACCCCTGCTGATGTCATACGAGTTTTTTGTTTTATTTGTCAGACTTTGTAACAAGGCCAACATGGAAATCATCATTCTTAGCGAACTAACACAGGAACAGAAAACCAAACACCGCATGTTCTCAGTCATAAGTGGGAGTTGAACAATGAGAACACATGGACACAGGTAGGGGAACATTACCCACAGGGGCCCGTCGGGGAGTGGGAGGCTAGAGGAGGGATAGCATTAGGAGAAATAGCTAATGTAGATGACAGGTTGATGGGTGCAGCAAACCACCACGACACGTGTGTACCTATGTAGCAAACCTGCACGTTCTGCACATGTATCCCAGAACTTAAAGTATAATAATAATTTTTAAAAAGCCAGGCATGGTGGCACACACCTGTAGTTCCAGCTACTCAGAAGGCTGAGGCACGAGAATTGCTTGAATTTGGGAGGTAGAGGTTGCAGCGAGTGAGATCACACCATTGCAGTCCAGCCTGGGCTACAGAGCGAGACTCTGTTGCAAAAATAAAAAAAAAAAATAAACTATATACTTCAGCTTTTTTTAAAAAAGTACTAGTCATTGTGGGTTTTGGCTCATGCTGCTGAATCTCTTCTGCCATCATGCTTGGAAGCCCAGGGTAGCCCTACTGGAGATTTGTATTGTGTAAGCAAAAATGAGCTTAGTAGAGGTACCCTACATCAATTATTCTAACCAGACATTTTAGACCCCTCAGTTATAGCTAAGCTACTAAATGACCACAATGATCAGCCAAACCAGCTAAGAACATAACCATATTAGGTTACCTACAAAAAAAAGAGCTGAATCAATTTGTTATTTTAAACCCATCTCAGTGTGGGGGCTTTATATGCAGCAGTAGATAATTAATACAAGATAATGAATAGTCCTACCACTAAATTCTGAAAGGTTTGTCCTCTCTCCATTAATCTGCAGTATCACGTTGCCATAAATCATGTTCTATGTATACACAAGTCTGTTTTTTTTCAGGCTATCCTTTGAAACATCATCCTTCTACTTTAATTGAATTACTGTGCCTTTGTAATAAGTCTTATTATTTAGCGTGAAATACCCCGTTTGTTTCTTTTCCCCATATTCCATAGATATTCTTAGCAGTTAGCTTATTTGTACACTGTCTTAAAGGTATTTCGGGTTTCTCATTGATTCTAATTGAATTTGTTTTACCCTATGATCTACTTAATAGGAATCAGTACCATTCAAAAATTGAAGACTATGTATCCATTAATTTGTTTATTCTTTAAATCATTTTTTAAAGATGGACATGATTTCTGCAATTTTGCATGTATCTTTTATTACCAATAAATGCATATCTTGTGTTTTAGTTTTATTTTGCTTTTGATTATATATATGTCGTATTCTATGTATTATACAGAGTATTCTATGTAATTGTGTTTATATATATGTACACACATACATGTATATACAACTTCTATCGTTTTCACATCCTATGCTGGCTATGAGAATGTACTTCTCATATCTATGGTTGCAAGGCACATAATTGATTGTAGAACTCAGCTGCCACCCTCTGAAATCCATTACTTCATTTTCCATGAACTCTCACTTCTCATCACCTGCTCCTAGCCACTGAGTAATTAAGTCTAGCAGTGATACTAAGGCAGGTCAGTTTCTGAGAGATGTGTGACTCCTATGATTCCTAACTGACTTCAGGACACCTTGACAACCTCGTTGACTTTCATTAAAATCACACTGCAGTTTAAGATATTTCAACCTCAACATTTTCTTTTTCCTTTTCTCTCTTGTTCACCCTGAGTCAAACTTAAATCAGGGTCTCAGGGCTTCTCCAGTATTCCTTCCCTTTTTTTTAAACAGCCATTTTCCTTAATAAATTTCTTGCATGTATAATTCATTTTAGTGTTTGCTTCTCAGAGAACCCAGAATAACACACGTTCTTAGTAAAAATAAAACGGGATTTCTTTAGTTTTAATAAATTCCAATTCTTTTTTTAGTGATTAGTTCTTTTTCAAATCTTACCTGTGCAATGTTTGCTAATATATTTTCTTGTTGTTTCTTCTAAAAATATACCAGTATGGCATATAGATACATACCTGTAATCCACTAAATTTATTTTTGCATACAAATTTCCAAAATGTGGCCGGGCGCGGTGGATCACGCCTGTAATCCCAGCGCTTCGGGAGGCCGAGGTGGGTGGATCACGAGGTCAGGCGTTTGAGACCAGTCTGGCCAACATAGTGAAACCCAGTGCCTACTAAAAATACAAAAAATTAGCCAGGCATGGTGGCAGACTCCTGTAATCCCAGCTACTTGGGTGGCTGAAGCAGGAGAATCGCTTGAACCCAGGAGGTGGAAGTTGCAGTGAGCCGAGATCATGTCACTGCACTCCAGCCCGGGTGACAGTACAAGACTCTGTCTCAAAAAAAAAAAAAAAAAGAAAAAATTCCAGAATGTATATTGATAATAATTGTACTGAGGAAATGAATGATTTTGATCCATATTTTCAACTAATTTCTCTAACACCATTTATTTAATGGAAGGTTGATGATTTCCTCACTAAATTGCAGCAATGCCTTTGTTGTAAATAAAATGATTGTTTATAGGTGGAATTATTTCTAGACCTTCTGTATTCTTATATCTTTTTATTAATAACACTTTATTGCTATTATATAATACATTAAAATCAGATAGTTGGAATCCTTGAACTTTGTTATTCTTATTGAAGATTGTCTTGACTTTCCTAGATATTTTGTATCATCATATACATTTTAGAATCAGCTTGTCAAAATGCATCAGTGCATACACACACATTGAGTATTTTATTAATTCTATTAATATATTTGGTAAGCATTGGCATTTTAATAAGATTTGATATCTTACTCTTAAATCTTCTAATGTCTTTTAATTTTTTCCAGTCTCTTTTATATAACACAGTAGACTGCTAGGTTTCAGTGTAGTTATTTTTGTCTACTTTCATGAAATTAATTAATAGATATTTGATTCTTTTGAAGTGCTTTCAAATATATTTTTGACAGCTGCTTTATGGATGGCTGTTGAAATATAAGCGATTTCATGTCTTTTTATTCAGTGCTTGCTAAGATTATCATTTATCAGTTCTGGAAATTTTATGTTTATAATGTACACAATATGTCATCTTCAAATACTGACAAATTTTTATGCCAATTATTTACGCCAATTATTTACGCCAATTATTTCTTTTTTTAAATTTTTGGCCGGGCGCGGTGGCTTATGCCTGTAATCCCAGCACTTTGGGAGTCCGAGGCGGGTGGATCATGAGGTCAAGAGATGGAGGCCATCCTGGCCAATATGGTGAAACCTCGTCTCTGCTAAAAATACCAAAATTGGCCGGGCGTGGTAGCAGGCACCTGTAGTCCCAGCTACTCTGGAGGCTGAGGCAGGAGAATTGCTTGAACCAGGGAGGCGGAGGTTGTGGTAAGCCGAGATCGCGCCACTGCACTCTAGGCTGGCAACAGAGCAAGACACCGTCTCAAAAAATAAATATAATAATTTTAATGGGTACATAGTAGGTGTATATATTTATGAGATACAGGAGAGATTTTGATACAGGCATACAATGTGTAGCAATCACATTAGGGTAAATGGAAGGAATATCCATCACCTCAAGCATTTATTATTTCTTTATGCTATAAACATTCCAATTATACTATTTAAATTGTTAAAATGTACAATTAATTATTGTTGACTGTAGTCAGCCTGTTGTGCTATCAAATACTACATCTTATTCATTCAATTTAACTGTAGTTTGTAGATACTAACCATCCACTCCCCCTTCCCCTCCAGCACCCTATTACCCTTCTGGGTAACCATCATTCTACTCTCTATCTTCATGAGTTCGATTGTTTTACATTTTAGATTTTTTAAAATTTTTGGACTGTATAAAGTCTTTAAAGAATTACAGTAGATAAAAACACATATTTATTAGTTATATATGAAGTACTTCTTTTTTTTACTTTTTAAAATAATTTCAATTTTTGTTTTAGATTCAGGGTATACACGTGCAGTTTTGTTACATGGGTATATTGTGTGGTGCTGAGGTTTGGGATAAGTGTGATTCCACCACTCAGGTCCTGAGCATAGTACCAGGTCCCAATAGGTAGTTTTTCAACCCTTGCCCCTATTCCTTCCTTCCTCTCCCTCTAGTAGTCCCAAGTGTGTATTGTTCCAACGTTTATGTCCATGAATACCAAAGTTTAGCTCACACGTATAAGTGAGAACACGCAGTATTTGCTTTTCTCTTCCTGCATTCATTTGCTTAGGATAATAGACTCCTGCTGCAACCATGTTGCTGCAAAGGACATGATTTCATTCATTTTTATGGCTGTGTAGTGTTCCATGTTATATATGTACCACATTTTCTTTATCCAATCCACCACTGATGGACACTTAGGTTGATTCCATGTGTTTACTATTGTGAATAGTGCTGCGATGAATGTAAGATGCATGTGTCTTTTTGGTAGAATGATTTATTTTCTTTTAGATATATACCCAGTAATGGGATTGCTGGGTCGAATGGTAGTTCTGTTTCAAGTTCTTTGGGAAATCTCCAAACTGCTTTCCAGGTGGCTGAACTAATTTACATTCCCACCAACATTCTATAAGTTGTCCTGGTGGAAACAAAAAAAAAAAAAAGAAAAAAAAATTCTTCATAAAACACATATTAATTTCCTGTTAATTTTAAGACATTATTTTTTCTTATTGTAGAATATTATGTTGCAGTATTCACAGGTACATATTTCACATTTTAAAAATACTAGTCCAGGGTGGGCATGGTGGCTCATGCCTGTGATCATAGCACTTAGGGAGGCTGAGGCGGGTGGATCACTTGAGGTCAGGATTTCAAGACCAGTTTGGTCAACATGGTGAAACCCTGTCTCTACTAAAAATGAAAAAAAAATTAGCCTCATGTGCTCGCTTGAGCCCAGGAGGCAGAGGTTACAGTGAGCCGAGATCGTGACACTGCACTCCAGCCTGTGCAACAGAGCAAGGGTGTGTCTTAAAAAATAAAAATAAA
This sequence comes from Homo sapiens, assembly GCF_000001405.40. Classification (NCBI taxonomy): domain Eukaryota; kingdom Metazoa; phylum Chordata; class Mammalia; order Primates; family Hominidae; genus Homo; species Homo sapiens. The sequence goes on along the minus strand of NC_000004.12, from coordinate 160,890,858 downwards.
TAATCCATTGTCTTCTTGCTCTCACATTTCATATTAAAATGTCTGCTCTCAGTCCTATTGTTGCTCTTTAAACTCATTTGTCTTCTGGTTGTTTTTAAGATATCTTTTTAAATTTTTGTCTTTGTCTGCTTAACTGTAAGATGTCTAAGTTTTATTTTCTTTATTTTTATCCTATTTGAGATGATGTATTTTTTTTAATCTCTAGTAAAGTGTTTAATCAGTTTTAGAAAACTCTCAGCCATTGCATATGTTAATATTCATTTTATCATATTCTCCTACCCCCTTATCTCCATTTTGAACTACAGTTACAACTTTAAAGCCTCTGGCTATATTCAACAAGCCTTTTTTACTATCTTATTTCTTAATTTTCTTCCTTTCATTGTTATTCTTAATGTTTTTCAAAGTGTATTATTTGCGTGATTTTCCAGGTCATTAATTCTATATTAAGACGTGACTGATCTGCTATTAGAGCTATCCAAAGAACGTTTAGTTTCAGAAATTCTGTGATTTGAATTACCTGAATTATTTTTATATCTCCTGACATTTCTGTTTAAATTCTTTATGTTTTTACATAACTTCTTCATTGTTTTACTTGTCACTAAAATAATGAAATTATAGGCTATTCTTGTATTATTTCCTTCTTTCTCTTGCTTCTGCATTTTTTGTAGTTCAAAATGAGATGTCCTGCTTTATCACTGAAAAAATATTGAGGCTTTGAAATTATATCTTCCTTCAAAGTGGCTGAATTATTTTCTTAAAACATGTAGATAATTTGTTACCATATCACCCTGATTATATATAGGCTTGGTTTTAAACTTTATAAGCACTAGATTATTTTCATTTTCCCTTAAAATTCAAGCTTGAACATTTTTATATTTCAAATAAAATGCAAATGATGATTATCATATTTCTCTTTTTTACTATGACTTAACCCCAACTTGTTTTTTCATCACTATGTGAGTAATAATATTTCTAGTTAGGTTTGTAAAACCTCAGTTATATTTTTACCATGGTTTCCTAGAGTCTTACTCTATATATGCCTGGTTTTGGTCCTCTCTTATACTCAAATAATTCTGCTGTTCTGTTTGGGTTCCATTTCCTCCTACTTGATTAATAGTAAAGCTGCATGGTTATGAAACACAAGTCAGCTCATATGTTTTCCTTATTATTTTAAAAAAAATTAGATGGTGTTTGCATTAGGATGATCCCTCACATAAGTTAAAGGAAGATTTAAGAGTTAATTCTGGTGAGAGACTTATTTATATAAAATCTAAAATGAACTCATGTTTCTTTTTTATTCAAACATTTGAGTGGTTCCAATTGTGCATGGAATAATAAATGCATGCCAATTCAAATTTTGAGAAAAACCTTTAGATTATGTAAAATATTTGGATTTTATTTTCCATTTTATAAGAAAAGTTTTGTTAGAATTGAGAATCATTTTAATCTAAAATTATTAGTTTTTCTGTGAAATACACCAGCGAATATGAGTGCTTGAAAATAGGATAAATAAAAAATTCACCTTACATATTGTCACCTTTGCTTACTTTCTTCACTTTTTTCCAATTTTGCATCTTCTATTAGGAAATACTGTTCTGATAATTGTGTTTGCTTTAATATGCTATCATTCTAATTTAAAAACATATGGTAATTAAACTTATACCTGAAAAGATAATGGTTCTGAAATAGAATATATATATGTATATATAGATAGATATGTATTTTCATCTCCTGATTAATTATTGACCCTGAATGGTGTGATAGAGCACACATAATGAATGTTAAGTCCCATAAACATGGGCAAAAATTTTATGAACACTATTGTGCCAGTAATTCAGAATAAATCTGTACTTTCCTAAGTGTATATGTGTAATCATCAGTATCAGCAAATGGATACATTCACGGGTTGACTAATAGCTTTCTTAGGGAATAGAATCTGTTTGTTCATGACTAGCGAGACTTCATCATTCCCTCGGGCTATTGATGAAAAGTTCCCCTCATTGAAAATAATATAGTTTATTCCACAGAAATCTGTTGATAACAGTATCCAATTTTAATTCTAAAATAAGAAACTATTGTCTATATGATTGATGATCATCAGTGATATGCAAAGGAGTTCAGTGCAAAGCAAAGGAGCTCAATTTATTGCATTCAGTATCAGAAAACTGATATTTATATTAATCTCATTAAATGTAAGATAACATTTCAAAAGTGATACTACTCAACTTTCAGATTGAAAGCACACATTATTTTGTCCTCTTCAAAGGGTTATTCTTTGATTTAAAATTGAAGAATAATTCTCCTGATTGCCTTTTAATGTGTATTTGTTTACTCTAATTTAGAGTTTATATAGCATGTTTTATTTCTCCAAGCTGCTTAATTAATCTGAAAATAGATGCTCTTTAAGAGGGTGAAAATAACACAGCTTTTGAACATATGTAACTCGCAGTTTAATTGGTTTTAATAAATATTTCAACCTAAATTGAACTATATCATGTGTATGTATCTGTATCTATATAGATGTAGATACATACACAAAGCTACATATACTATTTATGTAGTAAGTAACAAAACAAAGTAACTTATTGTTGGGGCTAGTATACTGTAAGGAATATTTCAAATATTTAAATTATTAAGATAATAAATATTTGAGCAATGTTCTATTAGGGTAAAGTGGATTGCCTGAACAAAATTACTGTTAGTAATCACCAAGATTCTGACATCAAGGCTTAGCCTGCTCAAAGTGCATTAATACACAGAGTTCCTTATTAAGCTGAGTTTCTCAAAATGGACCAAACTCCAATGAAAAGTATTAAATTACTTCCTGTACCCACATTTAGAGAAAAATCAAACATAGTAATGAGACAGGAGGCAGTAAGAGGCTGGCAGTTAGAGGTTAGGCAGATGGAGAGGGAGGGTATTGATAGTGGAAAAAATACCCACAGGACTGCACCTGCACCACCACTGTAGCTAGCAGGAAGAAATGCGGTTAAGAACCTCCTCTAATGCCAGGATGTTGCTCAAAAGGTAGTGTCCCAAACTAGGTGCAGGTGCTATAAATCAACCTAAATGTCCTTAACTTGACCCAACTCCTTTTAATATCATTAGCATGACATTAGCATTGTGGTTTCAGCCCTTCTGTGGCACTCATGGGTAATAGCCAAGATGGAGTCACTCTGGCCAAACCCAGGCATGCAGAGAGGCAATACCCTTAGGAGAGAAACTTATCCCTCCCACTTGGGCAGAGCCCACAGAAGACTTCCTTGCTCTTGACACATAAAAGACCCAGAACTCAGCCACATTTCTGGCAACCTGATTTCAGGCCCCTCTCTTTGCTGAGAATTTTCATTTTGCTTAATAAATCCTACTCTACTCACCCTCTTGTGCCTGGGTGCCTTATTCTTCTTGGTCATGGGACAAGAACTTGGACCTAGTTGAACTAGGGACTAAGCACACTGCAACAATAATCTTAAAGAATATGTTCCTATTTTCTCTCAGTTAATTATCAAGATTAAGTTTAAAAAATAGAAAATGAATATCAATAAATAAAAATGATAAATTTATAAGAAATTAAATCCAAAAGAGTCAATGATTTTATTGTTGTAATTAATTGAAGATACTTACTGCACACAAACACACCCACGGACACACACACACACACACACACACACACACACAGAGTAAGAGAGAAGGCACTTCAAAAATCGACAATGGCAGGCTTCTGGAAATTTGTATCAGCATATCTTTTGAATATTTTGTTATCTACTTGAACCATTTATATGTTGATATTAATATGAAACTCTAAACTATATAAGATGCTATGTCAGTAGAAGACACATAAGTTTTTCAAGGCTGAAGGAGAATTTTGTGAAAGAAGAAAAATTAAAACAAATGAGAATCATATCTACTTCACATGGATTTTAGAATCAAGTCAGCTAACATTATTTTTCAAAATATTTTGAAAATAATTGCTCAAGGAACTATTTCTACTCCTCAGTATATATTTATTTTATAGAACATTTGAATTGATTCATGAAAGTGGATCTTTGAAACACGTATATGGATCCCAGACTTATTGTTATTGTCTCGTTTCCTTTTATTGTCCATTTCTGTCCCTCTTCTTTGGCATGTCATTGACATGGTGTTGTTATTCATGGTGATTGCTTTGGCTACTTATCCCACTTCATATACCTTTCTTTACTTATATTATCTTAAAATGCCTTCTAGCATCAAAATCTCTATTTCAAATGGTTAAGGATACTTTCAATGAAGATAATAACAATTACTTGATGGTGAGTCTATTTAATGTAGTATTTGTATTTGCTATTAAAACAATAAAATGTATTATTTTGAAATATTACACATGTAAAAATATTTACATTCCTTATACTGAGAGGTGAAGCCAGGTGGACTTCCTGGGTCAAATGGGGACTTGGAGAACTTTTCTGTCTAGCTAGAGGATTGTAAATGCACTAATCAGTGCTCTGTGTCTAGCTAAAAGGTTGTAAATGCACCAATCAGCACTCTGTGTCTAGCTAAAGGATTGTAACTGCACCAATCAGCACTCTGTAAAAATGCACCAATCAGAACTCTGTGTCTAGCTAAAGTATCGTAAATGCACCAATCAGCACTCTGTAAAATGGACCGATCAGTGCTCTGTAAAATGGACCAATCAGCAGGATGTGGACGGGGACAAATAAGGGAATAAAAACTGGCCACCCCAGCCAGCAGCAGCAACCTGTTTGGGTCACCTTCCAGGCTGTGGAAGCTTTGTTGTTTCGCTCTTCACAATAAATGTTGCTGCTGCACACTCTTTGTGTCCACACCACCTTTAAGAGCTGTAACACTCACTGTGAGGGTCTGTGGTTTCATTCCTGAAGTCAGTGAGATCACGAACCCACCAGAAGGAACAAACAACTCTGGACGTGCCATCTTTAAGAGCTGTAACACTCATCACGAGGTCTGCAGCTTCATTCTTTAAGTCAGCAAGACCAAGAACCCACCAGAGGGAATAAATTTCGGACACAATACTATACCACCTAAAATATTCATAATTAATACTTTGACATATCTATCCCTACTTGCTATATAATATATACATAGATGTATAGATAAAAGTATTAAAAATATACCATTTATACTCATATTATTTACAGGTTTTATTTAACAATATATAATTAATAGCTTGCCATGTTGTTAAACATACTATACAAATCATCATAAGCTGTCTGGGTACCAATATATTGGTACTCCCATTTTCTTGGAGTACCAGTTTACTTTCCAACACTTCAATACTTAACCAAACATTTTTGCAACTGAATGCTAGAGCAAATACACATTAACTTTTATATAATCTATCATTGTGGAGGGTCTGATCTAATGAATATGAATAATTAAGGAAATTGTTGTGTCTTTTGAAAATTTGTTTTCTGTAAAGGTTAAAATAATTGACATCCCAGCTAGCTGTGTATGACTGTGCTCATTTGTACATGTATCTGTTGAATATAGATATATCAAAGTTTAATCACCAATTTGAAAGGTTATAAAGAATTCCTGAGGTCTCATATCCTAACAGTCTCCTGTTTTTTCTCTACACTTCAGCTACACTAAACTCCTTATCACTTTCTAGGCTATTTCACATTATGATGTATTTATATATTATTTTTCTTTGGCTTTGGATGCTCTAGTCAATTTTTGTTGAGCAAAACATATTTACTTTCAGTATTCAACCCAATTGTAAAAATTTATCAAATGTTTATAATTGTCCTGTGAGCAATCAGTTTCTCTAGAGACTCTGAATTTCTACTGGATTTTCATAATATTTTTATTGTAGCAATTAATAAATTTATTGCAGTTTTTGTTTAATTGCCTATGTACCTACTAGTGAGATTATTAAGAACAGAGAACATGCTTTTATTAATCTTTACATAATTAGAAATTAACATAGTCCCAGATGCATGCTGTTGTTTTAATGTGTTTTTTGAAAGAATTAATATTATGAAATTTAGGAGACAGGAAGAAAGACAGAACAAATAGTGTTGATTTATGTATGATTTACAAAAGTGATGAGAGGAAGAAAAATGGAAGAGGAACATAAGCAGCATATATGAGAGGAGAAAATCAAGGGAAAAAACTTTTCCAGAAAGTTTGTTGTATGAGGCTGTTGCATAAAGAACAAAGTAATTGCCCACGAAGAGATTACTTGGAAGCCAGCTTTATTGTCAATACAAGTCAGGGAACATATGTTTCCATATTTTAGATTCTTCAAAACAAAACCTTGATACAAACTGAAGATAAGTTGATAAAAATGACTGAGATTTCTGCAAGAAATTTGTAGTAACTCTGCTAATCAGATTGTCAATCACTGTTTTTTGTTTACTTACTGAAACCACAAAATATCAGAGACATAACTCATTTTATTTATTTATTTTATATATATATATATTTTTATACTTTAAGTTCTAGGGTACATGAGCACATAGTGCAGGTTTGTTACATATGTATACATGTGCCATGTTGGCGTGCTGCACCCACTAACTCGTCATTTACATTAGGTATATCTCCTAATGCTATCCCTCCCCCCACCCCACTGCAGGCCCCAGTGTGTGATGTTCCTCTTCCTGTGTCCAAGTGTTCTCATTGTTCAATTCCCACCTATGAGTGAGAACATGTGGTGTTTGGTTTTTTGTCCTTGCGATAGTTTGCTGAGAATGATGGTTTCCAGTTTCATCCATGTCCCTACAAAGGACATGAACTCATCATTTTTTGTGGCTGCTTAGTATTCCATGGTGTATATGTGCCACACTTTCTTAATCCAGTCTATCATTGATGGACATTTGGCTTGGTTCCAAGTCTTTGCTATTGTGAATAGTGCCACAATAAACATACGTGTGCATGTGTCTTTATAGCAGCATGATTTATAATCCTTTGGGTATATACCCAGTAATGGGATGGCTGGGTCAAATGGTATTTCTCTTTCTAAATCCCTGAGGAATCACCACACTGTCTTCCACAATGGTTGAACTAGTTTACAGTCCCACCAATAGTGTAAAAGTGTTCCTATTTCTCCACATCCTCTCCAGCACCTGTTGTTTCCTGACTTTTTAATGATCGTCATTCTAACTGGTGTGAAATGGTATCTCATTGTGGTTTTGATTTGCATTTCTCTGATGGCCAGTGATGATGAGCATTTTTTCATGTGTTTTTTGGCTGCATAAATGTCTTCTTTTGAGAAGTGTCTGTTCATGTCCTTCATCCACTTTTTGATGGGGTTGTTTGTCTTTTTCTTGTAAATTTGTTTGAGTTCATTGTAGATTCTGGATATTAGCCCTTTGTCAGATGAGTAGATTGCAAAAATTCTCTCCCATTCTGTAGGTTGCCTGTTCACTCTGATGGTAGTTTCTTTTGCTGTGCAGAAGCTCTTTTGTTTAATTAGACCCCATTTGTAAATTTTGGGTTTTGTTGCCGTTGCTTTTGGTGTTTTAGACATGAAGTCCTTGCCCATGCCTATGTCCTGATACAAAAATTAATTCAAGATGGATTAAAGACTTAAATGTTAGACCTAAAACCATAAAAACCCTAGAAGAAAATCTAGGCAATACCATTAAGGACATAAGTCATTTTATTAAGGTTATATATATATTTTTTGTTTTATTTTATTTTTAATCGACACGTAAGTAGTGTAAATATGTATGAGGTACAGCATGATGTTTTTGATATGGTTGGGATCTGTGTGCCTACCCAAGTCTCATGTTGAATTGTAATCCCCAATATTGGAGGTGGGGCCTGATGGGAGGTGATTGGATCATGGGGGTGAAGTTTCCACTTGGTGCTGCTCTCATGATAGTAAATGAGATCTGGTTGTTTAAAAGTGTGTAGTTCTTCCTCCATCTCTCTCTTCCTCCTGTTCAGGCTTTGTGATGTGCTCCCTCCCTGTTTGCATCTGCAATGATTTTAAGTTTCCTAAGGTCTCTCCGGGAGCTAAGCAGATGGCTGACCTTATTCTTCCCATGGAGCCCACAGAACCATAAGCCAATTAAATCTCTTTTCTTTATAAATTACTCAGTCTCAAGTATTTCTTTATAGCACTATGAGAATAGCCTAGTACAACTTTGATACATTTTTTCAGCACGTAACAATTAAATTAGGGAAATTAGAAAACTCATCACCTCAAAGATTTATCATTTCTTTGTAGTGAGAACATTTACATCCTCTCTCCTAGCTATTATGAAATATACATTATTGTTAACCATAGTCACAGCACTGTGCAATAGAACTCCAGAACTAATCTTTCCTATCTAACTGTAACATTGTACCCATTGCCATACCTCTCCCCCACTCATCTCTCCTCCCTCCCCTCTCCTGCTTCGGGTAACCACTATTCTACTCTTGACTTCTCTGTCCTCAACTTTTTCAAATTCCACATGTAATTGAGATCATGTGGTATTTTTCCTTCTGCATTTGGCTTATTTTACTTAACATAATGCCCTCTAGGCTCATCCATGTTGCTGCAAATGACAGAATTTTATTCTTTTTGTGGCTGAATATTATTTCATTGTGGGTGTGTGTGTGTATGTGTGTGTGTGTGTGTGTGCGTGTCTCACATTTTTTATATCCATTCATCCATTGATGGACACTTAGGTTTATCCTGTATCTCGGCTATTGCAAATATATAAGCACAGATGTGCCGGTATCTCTTCAACTTAACGATTTCATTTCTTTTGGAGACATACCTAGTAGTGGGATCGTTGGATCACAGGGAAGTTCTATTTTTAATTTTTTGAGGAAGCACCATACTTATAATGTTATCATTTGTATGAAAAATAATCAAATTTGATGTTGAAATAAAAATTATCAAATAGAATTTGATATGTAAATAACTTCTGTGGGGCCATGGAATTATCTACATTCGAAATTATGCCATACACAAGTGAGACAATGTGTAACTTGTCCAATCAGTAGGATTTAGGAAATACAGGATCAGATAGGAACAAAGCTGTACGTTAAAACTACCTGGGGAAATAAAGGGTGGGGTGTGTGGAGCTAAATAACACTAAGAAGCAAAACAAAAGAAAATAAGTAAACTATTACATATGTAGAGATGTTGAAAAAAAATTAAAGGTGACATAATGTTGCAAAAAAAAGTCAGGTCTATTTTAAAATAAAGATTTTGGGAAGTTTTAGGAGAAACATAAGAGTAAAAATGAAAAAACATAGGGAAATAAAAATGACAACATGGGACACATATGATATTAATGCATGCTAAGAAGATAATTATTTCACTCACCAAAGAGGTTCTGAGCAGTAGCATCAGATCCTTCTTTAGGCACAGGGGCACAGTGACAAATATGATTTTCAAGACCCTGACTCTAGGGAAACACTGAGTGCCCAGAGAAACTGTGGCAGTGGTATAAAATAAATCACAGAAGCAGGTGACTTAAAGACGATGTAGCACAGAATTTGAAATTTCAAGAAAATTAACTGTCAAAAGCAACCAGCAAGCACAAAAAGAAGGTTTGAAAGATTCATCAAATAATCATTTCTAGTACTTGTATAAAACCCAGGTGAAAGTAGGAAGATTAAAAAAGAACAGTATCAAAATATAAGATTGCATTAAAAAGCAAATGTAACATAAATAAGAAAATCTAAAATATTTTTAATATGTTCTTGTACAACTGAGTTACAATTATAGCTTCTGTTTTCCCCTAAGAAAGACCTTTTTATTTTTTTACTTTAATATTTAGAATTATGTATGATTAAATATTTTCCTAATAAAATATAATATTAAATGAAATAGCATGCATCATTGCTCTAAAATACAAGGCAATAGTAGTAGGAATTATATTTTAATTTTTATCTAAAGATGGGAAACATAGATTCCAGTCTTAAGTTTCTATCAGGAAAGGAAGAATTTGATAAATCATATGGATTACATGAGTAGTTGCAAGAAAATTATTTTAACATTATCATTAGTACAGCAAGTCCTCACTTAACATGCTAGAAAGGTTCTTAAAAACTGCAGATTTAAGTGAAAAGATGTATAATGAAACCAATTTTTTTTTCATCTACATTATAATGAAGCAACATTGAAGAAAAGAACCTTATTTCAGGACCCAATGCAGAATAGATGAGGCCCAATGGTGGGGCCTAGCCCAAGAGCATCCTAGGTTTTCCCAGAAAGAATTCGAGAATGAGCTAATGGTGAAGGAGAACAACTTTCACTGAAGTGATTTTGCTCCCTGTAGAACAGAGCCAAGCCAAAGATAGTGTGCCCAGAGTCCGCAGGGCTGCTGGGTTTTTCAGAACTTTCTGGAAAAGGGGAGGGGAGTTTCCACATCACATAAGGTAACGTTTGGACCATTGCCATGGCCCATTGTCATGGTATTTGTAAAATGTCATGGTACCAGGGGAGAATCTTTATGCTAATGAGCAGTGAGGGCAGCTAGAGGTCGCTTTTGTCACCATCTGCTGTTTTTGGCCAGCCTCTTCACTGCATTGTTTTGACCAGACCCTGCTGTGACCAGACCAGCATAGCAGTGAGTGGAAAACAAGTCCTGCAAGGCCTCCTGCCTTCAACCTGCTGTACATTATTTCACTTAAAGTCGCAGTTTCCAATAACTTATGGACAATGTTAAGTGATGACTTGCTGTATGTCTCTAAAAGACACGCAGTATGTGCTTACTGTAAGGATATACAAGTAAGTAGATGTGATCTATCTAGCAGATCAGAAAATGTTTTGGGCAAACGGAAGAGTACAAGAGGTAAAGATTTTACTTTATTACAATATAATCAATATAATCAATATATAATCAATTATATAATCAATATAAATATGTCCAACATTGTGAGATAAAAGTGGAAAAGGAAATTTGTAAAATGTGTTTTTGGTAACCTAAGAGATGTAACAGCTCTCAATTTAATGGGTAGTTTCTGCTAGAGAATTGTGTGGGAAAAAAAAAAAGGATACAAATAAATGAAGACCATGCAAATGAGAAAAAAACGGAAGCCATTTATCCAGAGCTTACTACCATCACTTGCGTTTGGCAGATGCTCAAAGGCAGTCAGGTAAGCAAGTTTTTCCCCCTAAAGGGGAAACGGAGGCCTTTAGATATGGCGTATTTGGAGATTATTGACTTGATGAAGCTTGAGGCAGGCTAGCTAGAGGCAGGGCATCCTATATGATTGGTTTGGGGAACATATCTGGCTTTCTCTTGTTGGTCTTGAGTGGAAGCAGCAAAAAATAGGAAAGTGGGGAGTCACTGACCAAGTCTTGACTGTTCTGGGCCAATTTTTTGCGAAGATGATAGTTTGGTTTTCTGAGCTCGTTGCTGCATAGGCTGAGATTCAGTTATTTTATTCTATATAATCTGGTCATTGTCAATGTGTTTATTTGGTATTAGATACAACTCAATAGCAGATAAAGTCAGTATTAGATCAAAATTAGATACAATTAGTAATTGGCAGCACTAACCTAGGCATTAAAATTTTTCTCCACTATGTCACCATATCTGTATTATTTTCTGAAAATTTTGAAAACAAAAGTCCAAATATTTTTTACCATCACATTTTGAGAGTAAGTTTCATAAAAATCTGCTCTCTCTTATCTATCTCTGGAATAATTTTTAATGATTTTCTCTTAATAACTGGTGAATTTTTCCAAGTATTAATGTGATGTGGTGTTTTTGTTATTGTTTTTTATTTTGAGACAGTCTCGCTCTGTCGTCCAGTCTGGAGTGCAGTGGTGTGATCTTGGCTCACTGCAACCTCCGCCTCCCAGGCTCAAGTGATTCTTGTGCTTCAGCTTCCTAAGTAGCTGGGATTACAGGTGCCCGCCATTGCGCCCAGCTAATTTTTGTATATTTAGTAAAGATTGGGTTTTGCCATGTTGCCAGGGCTGGTCTCCAACACCTGAATGTCAAGTGATGTACCTGCTTTGGCCTCCCAAAGTAATGTGGTTTTTAATAGATTTGTATTTTGAAGGCTAACAAAAAAATAGAGAAATTTACAGAGATTTCTCATAAACCTCCTGCCAGCACACATTGACAGCCTCTTTCATTGTCAACATGCCCTGTCAGAGTGACACATTTGTTACAATTGATGAATCTATTTTAACACATAACAATCACCAAAAGTTCATAGTATCTATTAGGCCTCAAGCTTAGTGTTGTATATTTTATGGGTTTGAAAAAGTATATAATGACATGTATTCACCATTGTAGTATCACACAGAGTAGTTTCACTGCCCTAAAAATTCTGTGTTCCATCTATTCATTCCTCCTTCTCTTCTAACCCTGGGCAACCATGAATATTTGTATTGTCTCCATGATTTTGACTTATCCAGAATGTCATATAGTTGGAATCATATAGTATACAGCCTTTTAGTCTGGCTTCCCTCACTTACTAATACGCAATTAAGGTTCCTGCATGAGTTTTCATGGCTATCAGTTAATTTCTTTTCAGCTCTGAATAACATGCCATTGTCTGGATGTACCACAGTTCATTCACTCATTCACCTACCAAAAGACAACTTGGTTGTTTCCAGGTTTTGACAATTATGCACAAAGCTGCTGAAAACATCCCTGTGCAGGATTTTGTGTAGGCATAATGTTTGTTTTTTATGACTCATTTAGCTCTGTACTTGATGTGCTTTTATAAATTTTGTATGTTCCTATTTTCTTTTGTAGCACTCCTTGACAGATCTTGCATGTATCTTCCCATTTATTACTTTTTATCGTTTTGTTTTTGTTCTATAGGCAGGAAAATTCCTCATACTTTTTATTCTTTTTTATGTATTAAAATCCTCATATTTGTAAACTTATATATTTTTTATTATTGAACATTTATGTTTCTCTTAGTATTTATCTATCATTTTTTCACATAAAATTGAAATATACAAAAAAATTTTTCAGAATATTGAAATTTTATTTTCTTTTGATGTTCTTCTCTCTTCTTGAGATTATCTAGCATAAGTATTTATTGATATCTACTAGTTCATGGTTACTTTTAAGTTTAAAAATTAGGTTGATTATTGCCCATTGCTAGTAATGATTTTATACTGCCATTAGTGTGGCAGCTTCTTCACTCCCATAGTTCAGCGAGTGGAAAGGAGTGGTACAGCTCTTTCACTCTCACAGTTTGGCAAGTTCTAAATTCCTGTCTCATGACCAACAGGAATTAGATATGCAGACACTGGGGAGTAAGGCAGAATACAATTTTATTGAGCAACAGAAATAAAGCTCTCAGCAGCAAAAGGGGACAGACCCGAAAGTGGGTTGCCAGCTGTGAGGCTGAGTCCGGGGATTTTATGGGATTAGAACGGGGAAATCTGAGCTGATGTGGTTTATGGGTAAGCTTGGAAAATCACTATTCACAAAGAGGTAATACAGTGTTAAGAACCAGTTGGGGGCTGAAGTGAAAGCTTGGCCTCTGACCTTGGCCCGGGACCAAACAGGGCAGTGAACAGGAATGGACGTTCTCACCACGGTCCATGGACTCTACTGGGAACTGGTAGTTTGGGTGTTCAGACTTCAGGCTGTCCTTGCTTGAAGTTCGAGTGTCACCAGGTACTCATCCTGGTCTGCCTAGGAATTTGTCTGCCTCCTAGTGGGTCATCAGGAATGCATCACCCCCGATTGATACTTGTTTATTGTGAGTATGGTGGTGTGTTAATAGGAAGATTCATTTAAGTTTTGCATGCAGAATGGCATGTAGGCTGCACTAGTCCTATTTAAATAAAAGAAGAAAAAATATGAACAAAGAAAAAGGAAGGACAAAGAAAGAAAAAAGATATAACAGAAAGTTCCTACATTCGGCCTCCAAATCCCATTTTTGAAGATCTGGTATCTCCTAGGGAAATAGATCATATAGCTCATTAGGATTTTTAAAATACAGTATTTCTGCAGCTTTACTTTGAAGACCATTGTCTACTTGTGTACAACTGTAGCATACACATGCCTTTTTATTTTATTTTCTGTTATTTATTTATTTTGAAACAGAGTCTCACTCTGTAGCCCAGGCTGGAGTGCAATGGCGCAATCTCGGCTCACTGCAACCTCTGCCTCCTGGGTTCAAGGGATTCTCCTGCCTCAGCCTCCCAAGTAGCTGGGATTACAGGTGCCCACCACCACACCCAGCTAATTTTTGTTTCTTTAGTAGAGACAGGGTTTCACCATGTTGGTCAGGCTGGTCTTGAGCTCCTGACCTCAGGTGATCCACCCACCTCGGCCTCCCAAAGTGCTGGGATTACAGGTGTGAGCCACCACGCCCGGCCACCATTTTAGAGCTGGGAAATACTTGAAGAAAATGTATACATAGGTATTCAGTTAATTCTCATGATTTCTGTAACTTCATTTAACTCAGCATACCTTTACAGTGTGATCTATGCTGAAAGCATTTTTCAGTTAAAAACAGCCCCTTCCTTATTGTAACATTCTCCTGTATATATGCTCAAAGATGTGACTCTCTGCTGTGATTTTTCTATCTATATAATCTCACCATGAAACAACCTTCCAAAATTTATTGTAATCATGGAACTACTGCTGGTTCCTCATTTCAGTCTATTTATATTCACACTTCTTCACCGTCACTACAATAAACTTTCAAGAGGGAGACAAGTAAAAATGAGATGCTAAACTACCTTGAACACAAGTGTAATTGTGTAATTAAAGGCACTGTCTTTAAATATCAGTGACAATGAATGGCATTATGATTCGATATCATTTTATATATATTAGCTATATGAATATATGATTATATAGATATTTAGTCTATTTGACTTTTTTCTAATGGAATGCTATCTAGTGACTCTATAAGACAGGATTGGGGCCGGGCAGGGTGGCTCATGCCTGTAATCCCAGCACTTTGGGAGGCTGAGGTGGGTGGATCACGAGGTCAGGAGATCGAGACCATCCTGGCTAACACAGTGAAACCGTCTCCACTAAAAATACAAAAAATTAGCGGGGCATGGTGGCGGGTGACTGTAGTCCAAGCTATTCAGGAGGCTGAGGCAGGAGAATGGTATGAACCTGTGAGGCGGAGCTTGCAGTGAGCCGAGATCGCACCACTGCACTCCAGTGACAGAGCGAGACTACGCCGAAAAAAAAAAAAAAAAAGAAAGAAAGAAAGAAAGAAAGGAATGGTTACATAAATGAATGTGGATTTGGCAGATGGGAGAAATGCAAAAGCACAACAAAAAAAATGAATCAGTGTTTTGTTTATAGAATTATAGAAATGGTGAAGAAAATTTAGAATATTTGGAAATAGGCTAAGTAAATTTTTAAAAGTTTAGAACTTTGATAAAAATAATGTCTAATGTTCGTTGTAATTGGTAGGGGCTGAACTACCAAGCACCAGTGTTTTAGGGTGTGCTTAGATTGTAAGCCCTTTAAATCCAGAGTTGACCAGTTTTGCACTTGATACCAAAATGAGAGCCAATAAAAATATTTGAGGAAAGGAATGTATTAGTTATTTCTATTATTTTGAATTAGTATCAGTTAGTATAAATGGAAGACATGTAAGACCAGGAAAACATGGGGAGGCCAGGTGAGTGATGATGAGAGTCTGCAATGGGGCACTGTGCTTGAAATGCATATAAGGGCATAATATCAAGACAATTCTGAGCGAGAACCACAGTAATTAAATATGTGTGTTTGGCCAGGCACGGTGGCTAACACCTGTAATCCTAGCACTTTGGAAGTCTGAGGTAGGTGGATTGCTTGAGTCCAGGAGCTGCAGACCAGCCTGGGCAACATGGTGAAACCCCATCTCTATTAAAATACAAAAAAAAAAAAAAATTAACTGGGCATGGTGGTGCGTGCCTGTATTCCCAGCTACTCAAAAGGCTGAGTGGGAGGAATACCTTAGCCCAGGAAGGTCGTGGCTGTAGTAAGCAGAAATTGCACCACTGCACTCCAGCCTGGGCAACTGGAGTAAGACCCTGTCTCAAAAAAATAAAAATTTAAATTAAAAAAAAGTGTGCTTGTAAAGAATTTGGTTAACACATTTGTTTCTACAGAACACATAAAATACTAAATATAACTCTCATCAATAAATAATTATAAATTAAAGAAGCCCTTTCCCTTATAGGGGGTTTTGATTGCTATTTAATATTCAACACTTTCATAAAGAGTAGTTGAGATTTAATTCACAATGAAAGGATTATAGAGGAGTGCAGGAGTGATTAGGTTCTTATTTCAGTTTTTGTATTATGTATACCCATTGCCAAAACTATATATTATAAAATTTATCTCAAAAATTATAATGCAAAAATTAGTATGCACCTTATTTTAATATACTTCAAAGAAGAGAACCCAGAAATCTGTAAACATGGTCCTCTGCACTTACTAGTAATGATAAACATATGTTATGATGGATATAATACACTTCAACAATTTTCTGTAATCTGCCATTATACAGCTCCAGTTTATTTCAAAATGTTGTCATATATAAATAAAGCTTGATGCAATGTTGAAATACTTTCAGTTATAAGCACAATTTTTTCAAAATTTGAAACATGTTTGTTGCTGTTAATACTGTTGTGATTGTTGATATTTTAATCTTCTACTCTAACACAGAATCTGTAGTCCTTAATGAATTAATGCTTGATCTAATTAGAACCATTCATACCTAACTATTCAATTATTGAAATATTAAAATAATAGTATTTTTGAAATTCCACAATTTAAGTATAAAATGCACAAAATATATAGTATATATTACATCAAATGTATAGCAGTGTGTTTGGACATAACATCATAAAGCAGTAATTTTTTTTTTGGCAAAACTCATTCTGTAGAACAGGTGGTTGCACTGTCTTCAAGCGATTAACTACAGCTGAATTGACCCAATGTACTTGATGACTACTCCCGAAGCTAGATCAGTGTTGCTGAAAGCAGCCCTTGAACATTTGTACTCATTAAAGTTCAGAAAGATACATTCATATAGGTTATATTTTCTTGAGTTTTCTCCTGTTTATCCTAGTCAACAGAAATAATAAAAAGAAATAAACTTAACCAAGTTTTCAGCAGTTTCTTAATTTGACATATTACCTGAAGCATGTAATTTTGTTCATTAGATGTTAGGATGTTAATTCTAAGTTGGCGATATTCTTAAAGATTGTATTCATGACAATATCTACAGATCACAAAACATTATCTAATTCCAAGCAGTAATTACATAAATATTTATAATTGAAGGAACACAATGATCAGATATTTTTGTAAGCCTTAATAAATTGTATAGGGTAAGCTGTATTCAAATACTTGGTAAATATCTACATAAGCACAGACAGATGTCTATCTACCTATGTCATACATTGCAATTTGAAACAGAAAGAATATTAATGACATTTGTCTGTTCAACTGCAAACAGCAATTTAATCATTGTACTCTGTTAGGCTAATCAAATGATGCTGTTTTCCTACTTGGAAGATATTAGGCTCATTTTCAGTCAACTATATCATGTACCTTTGTTTAAAAATGGATAATTGCGTATTTATGTCTGTTAGGAAATTTAATTCCCCATGAGAAATCAGCTAAAATGTTTCTCATTTATGTATTATTAGGCTTATTTTATAAGTAATATGAGGCAATGGATTTCAAATTGAATAAAGATAAAAAGTAATAATAGAATTGAGAACATTTCTTCTCCAATATTCCCATTGATTCATACTCTATATTCTTCATTTACCCTTGGTTTGTAATGACCTGTACATTGTGCTAATTGTAAAATGGAGAAACACTGTCAAAGACTACAATGCTAAGACTTATATTTTTAGGACTTGACAAATTGATTCTGGCAGTTTTCTACTCTGCACGATAACCAATAACAGTGTGGGCAGAGACAGCTTATTGAATTGAGCACAATATGTCTTTCATATTTTCATTCTCTTCTATTCCTACTGGGCAATTTCTGCATTTTGACTGCCCTGATATGTCTGCCCTGATATGTGCCCTACTCTTTATGCTTGCTTTCTCTTTCCTTATACACTCTTCTTCTGTTACTGAAAGTTTAAAGATTTATGGATTTTTTAAAAATCAGAATTATCAAACTCCATTTCTTCATACTTCATGTCCATCAACTATATCCAGACACCAATTACTCACCCTGATTAATCAATACTGAGGTCCTAAACTTATCACTGCCCTGTTGACTAGAACTTTATGTAACTGTTTTTTGTATGACTAACAATGTTTGAATTCTACTAAGACAGACTTAATCTTTGAACCTGTTTGTCTGGAGTGTTTTTTTCCAGTATCAGTGTAGCCTCATGATAGTGTGCTCTACCAAGTTATATTTTATATATTGAAGAAATCCAGAATATGTGACCCCAAAATATGCTACCTCTTTGATATAAAATTTATATTGGGCTGAAGGCAATTAAAAAGTAGCAAGTATGTGAAAAGCTCTATCTTGTCACTTTTATCCCTAAAGGAAATATAAGAATTTACTGGATATGGCCGGGCGCGGTGGCTTACGCTTGTAATCCCAGCACTTTGGGAGGCCGAGACAGGTGGATCACGAGGTCAGGAGATCGAGATCGTCCTGGCTAACGCGGTGAAACCCCGTCTCTACTAAAAATACAAAAAATTAGCTGGGCATGGTGGCGGGAACCTGCAGTCCCAGTTGCTGGGGAGGCTGAGGTAGGAGAATGGCGTGAACCCGGGAGGCGGGGCTTGCAGTGAGCCGAGATCGTGCCACTGCACTCCAGCCTGGGTAACAGAGGGGGACTCCATCTCAAAAAAAAAAAAAAAAAAAAAAAAAAAAAAAAGAATTTACTGGACATAACCCTAGACTCTTATCATCCCGGAAATGGCTCCAGAAGAATCTACAAACAAATCTTTCTCTATTAGTTTCCTCTCTCATATTTACCTTTGCACAGTTCTCCATCCTTGGAAACCTAAAACCACTCCTTTCGTCCTGTTATTTCTTTATGAATGCGTTGTTCTTGATTGAAGATGCTATAGAAGCCAGAGTTCTAAGCCACTGATTGGAGTTACTTGAAGTTTCTCTCCTGTAATGTACACTGCATGCATTACTGAACTTTTGTTTTTCCCTTGTTAATCTGCTTTTGAGTGGTCTCTTGCAACTAAGAACTAAGAGAGTAGAGGCAAGTTTTACCTCCCCCACCGTATACTCTATTTAAAGCTGTTAAAGTGCTGCATATTATACAACTCAATGCTAATATTTATGCTTTAACAGGCATTCTAAATTTAGGAGTATGGAAAATTATCCCTATAGAATTCTAAAAAAGCCTTATTTTATCATATGTAAAATGAGAAACAATAACAGCCACTAATTACTATTATTTTTAAGATTTAGTAAATTCATCATAAAGTACAATACATTTTGTTATTATTATTGATGCTTACTGTGATTAATTACTGTTATTATTGTATTTAGTCAAATGTGATGTTAGCTTCACAAAGAGAGAATTTTTTTTGTCTGTTTAGTTCACTGTTTTAATCTTAGAATATATTGGTCTAAACAATGCATTAAATGAATACTGATTAAAAATTAAGTGATCAATACAATTAATGGTTTTTTTGTTTTTTGTTTGTTTTTTGTTTTGTTTTGTTTTGACAGAGTCTTGCTCTGTCGCCAGGCTGGAGTGCAGTGGCGCAATCTTGGATCATTGTAACCTCCACCTCCTGGGTTCAAGTGATTCTCCTGCCTCAGCCTCCTGAGTAGCTGGGACTACAGGCACCCGCCACCATGCCCAGCTAATTTTCATATTTTTAGTAGAGACGGGGTTTCACCATGTTGGCCAGGATGGTCTTGATCTCTTGACCCTGTATCACTCACCTCAGCCTCCCATAGTGCTGGGATTACCGGCATGAGCCACGGCGCCAGCCCACAATTAGTATTTTTTAGATATTCAGCACTAAGGCAGAGTATTAAAGACTGGTTCTGAATGTAGCTGAACTGAATTAAAATTGCAACCCTGTAACATAGTAACTGTGCTATCTCTGGAAATTATAAAACCATTTAGCCACCGTTTCTTTTATCTGTAATATGAGATTATGTTAGTGTTAGTTTATATGGCTGTTTTGAGTTTGAAGATACAAGTTAATAGCAAGCAATATTTAATAAACCTTATATATTATAATAAAGGTATATTTTTGTCTCAAGTAAAATAAATAAGTGATAAAGGTAAAAGTAAACTATAATTTAAACAAGTTAAAATAGTTACTTTTACCAAAGTAGACATTCTAGAGAAATTTAAAAGAAGATAATAAATTGAATAGTGAGAGAGAATTAGAAGAGGCATTATGAGGTTAATAGCATTTTGGATTAACTTTCAAATAAAATAAGAATTTAGGAGCAATGATGAGTATTTCAACATGAAAATGAAAAAAGGAACCTATCAGCGATAATGTGTTCAACACCATGCTATTTTGTTTGCATAGAGTGAAGACTGAAAAAAATGGAATAGAAACTGTATTCTGGAAAGAAATTGACTACTTTCCCAGGAGATTACGTGGTTTATAAGCCTGTTAGGAATAGATTTCAGCAACATTTCCAAAGTTAGGGGCGGAATAAGTAGCATAAATAGAATATTTGCCCAAAACTATAGAAGACATTTTAAATTTCATTTCATAATAATCTTACTATGTTGATAGAGATGGTAAAACAAAGCATGATTGTACTATGTGTGGAAATATTTCCTAAAGACAGTGAAGTTGGGAGCCATTTGAAAGAAACCTAAAGTTAATTAATTCTAATGGATATTATGTTCTGATTTTTTTACTGGTCAGCATAATTTGACACAATAATGTTATAATTTATTAGTACTTCTCATAATTAGGTTGTAATAACTGCATAAATCACATTCAAACCCCTCACTTTAGGCAAGAATAGACCAAATAAAATTATGCTTTAGTTGTGTTGAGAAAAAGCCACAGTTGAAAATGTAATCCTTATTTAATGGAGAATACCTGGGTGGGAAAAAGCAATAGAAAAATTCTGAACTCTAGTCATGGTTTATGGCTGATATGATTAATTTTATAAACATTTTGTTTTGTGTAGTATACACAGCACCCATATTTTGCACCTATAAATAAAAATCTTGTTAGAACACAGCAAAAGGAGTCAACTGTGATCTAGAAGAAGCAATTATAATTTTATCTGTATTCTACAGTATCCTAGAGGAATGATTACAATAAAATATCTGAACTCTGACATTATTTCAAGGCATTCCAAGATCCACAAATGAAACTGCACCAATTTCTGGCTTATTATATAGCTATACATTCAAAAAGAACCACATAGCAAAAAGGGAAAGCAAAAATGGGCCATGGAGGTCTATTCTTAACAGGCAAAACTGATCTTTGCAAGGTTTGAGAAGTTACTGTCCCTTTGACTCAATATGTGCTCCAACCAGGACAGAGTGTGGGTTGAATATAAACATTTTTTAAACTCGAGTTCATCACTAACTACACAGACAAAGGGGAGATTTTCTAGGGGACCAAGATAGATAGCAGCAAATGGGAGGTAGAAAAAAAAAGCAAACGAAACCTAAGAAGAATTATCAACAGATCAATAGCTGAATATTACGTAGTGAAGACAGATTCTATAGGTTGAAACCAGGCAAGTTACCCACTAGAACAACAACAACAAAAATTCACATAATAACAAAAACAAAATTCCAGAAACATCCCAATAATTTGTATGCAATGTTCAATTTTAAACTAAAAATTACTAGATATCAAAAGAAACAGAAAAAAAATCATTTAGCCATACTAGGAAAATAGTATGGTCAACATGACCTAATTACTGATTACAAGCAGGCCTAGATGTTTGGGTAAACAAAAACAAAGATTCAAAAGATGTGTTATAAATCTGTTCAAAAGTAAAGTAAAACATGTTTACATGACAAAAGAAAAGTATATCAGGCTGGACGTGGTGGCTCATGTCTGCAATCCCAGCACTTTGGGAGGCAGAGGCAGGTGGATCACAAGTTCAGGAGTTTGAGATCAGCCTGGCTAACATGATGAAACACCATTTCTACTAAAAATACAAAAAATTATCAGGGCGTGGTGGCATGCACCTGTAATCCCAGCTACTTGGGAGGCTGAGGCAGGAGAATTGCTTGAATCTGGGAGGTGGAGGCTGCAGTGAGCCGAGGTTGCGCCATTGGACCTCAGCTTGGGCAACAAGAGCAAAACTCTGTCTCAAAATAAAAAAAAAGAAAAAGAAAAAGTACACTAGTAATAAGTGAAGAGATACAGAATCCAATCAGAAAAATAAAACAATTATATAGAACAAAATGGAAATTCAAGAGCCAAAACAATACAGGTGAAAAGAATTTTAATAGACCCTACAACAGATTTAAGATGACAGAAGTGAACTTTAAGATAAAACAATACAGCTTACCCAACCTGAAAAACTGAGAGAAAATGATTGAAGTGAAAAGGAACAAAACCTCACAGGCTCGTAAGACAAGCCCAATGTTTTAAAATGTATATTGGCTGGGCATGGTGGCTCATGCCTATAATCCCAGAACTTTGGGAGGCCAAGGTGGGCGGATCACTTGAGGTCAGGAGGTCAGGAGTTTGAGACCAGCCTGGCCAACATGGTGAAACCACATGTCTCCTAAAAATACAAAAATTAGCTGGGCGTGGTGGTGCATGCCTGTAATCCCAGCTACTCGGGAGAGTGAGGCAAAAGAATCGCTTGAGCCCGGGGGGCAGAGTTTGCAATGAGCTGAGATCATGCGATCATGCCACTGCACTCCAGCCTGGGCTATAGAGCGAGACTCTGTCTCAAAAAAAAAAAAAAAAGAAAGAAAAAAAAGAAACAAAACAAAAAACAAAATAAAAAAGTAAATTATTTTAGTCAAACAAAAGTGTCAGAAAAAGTGAGACAAATAGTGATGGAAAAATAATGACTGAAACTTCCTAAATTGTAGAAAAATATAATCTTACAGATGCAAGTCTATCAAAACCCAATCAGCACAGGAAAAGATGAAAAATTATAGATTTATCTTAGTCTAACTACTTAAAAACAAAAGTGAAGAAAAATATTGAGTGAAGCAAGAGAAAAGTAATACATATTTTCCTGATAAAAATGGTGCATTTAAAGCCTGAGCTATCATCAGACACAATACAGGCCAAAAGAAAATACGAAGACACATCAAAACTGCTGAAAGAAAAATATCACAATTTTATATTCAGAAAAAATACCTTCCACAAATGAAAGCTGATAAACATATATCTAGACAAAAAAAAACAATATTTGTTGACACCATATCTGAACTAAAATAATACAAAAATGGCAAAAAAATTTGTTCTACATGTAGAAAGGAAATTATACCAGATAATAAGATGAATATACAGAAAGAAATTGCTATGTTTTGTTTCTGTCCCCTCCAAAGTTCATGTTGAAACATAACCTACAATCCAACAGTATCAAGAGGTAGGGCCTTTGGGAGGTAATTAGTCATGAGGGCAATATCCTCATGAATAGGATCAAGGACCTTATAAAAGGGCCAGGAAGAACTAGCTAATCCCTTTTGCCCCACTGCTCCTCCTCACTGTGAGGTCATAGAATTTGGAAATAGCACTCAAGGCCCCATTTTAGAAGCAGAGACTCAGTCCTCATCAGACACTAACCTTCCCAGCACTATGATATTGGACTTCCAGACTCCATGACTGTAAGCAAGAAATGTATGCTGTCTATAAGTTTCCCAGTCTAATATATTTTGTAATAACTGCAGGAATGAACTGTGACAGCAGTAAAACACCCAAGAAGTGGTACAGGGGAAACATATTCTTTTACAGGCCAGATGATAGGTATTGAAACCGCTGCTACGACGACTCCATTTTCTGTTGTGGCATGAAAGCTGCCATAGACAGTTCCTGAGTAATGGGTATGGCAATGTTTCAGCAAAATTTTATTTACAAAAACAGATTTGGCCCATGGGACATTACTTTCTAGCCTGTGGTTTAAAGCGAACTTATAATTCTTCATTGTTAAGTTTGTGAGACCTATATATGGGATATATGACATAAACAAAGCACAAAATGGAGATGAAGACAGACGTGTAATGGCATAGCGTTCTATATTTTACCAGACGTATTCAGAATGAACTTTTTAAAAGTACAGATGTAGCTTATCTTCCCTTCAAGAAGATACTAAAGTATAATTTAAAGAAGTTTAGTCAGAAATTCAACAGGAAAATTTTAAAAATAATATAAAATATACAAAAACGATGGCAGAAAAAGTGGAAAAGGAGAATAAAAGAAAAGAGAGATGAGATAAATAGCAACCAAATTCTAAAATATCAATATATCCAACCATATTAATTATTACACATAAGTGAATTATGCACAAGCTCTAATAAAAAGAAAGAGATTATTAGGCAGGGCTACAAAAAGATGCAAGTACGTAATCTCTAGAATATTCATTTTAATATTAAATATATAAATAGTTGCGATGAAAAAGTAATGTGCAAGGAAAAAAGAATTGTAAGTCTAGATGGCTTCCCTGGCTAATTTTAGCAAACATTTTAGGAAAAAATAATATTAATCTTGCACAAATTCTTCTATAGTATAGACCAAGACAAAATATTATTCGTGTCATACGGGGACTGCATAACCTTGAAAACAAAGTCCTTCAATGAAAGCATAATAAAATAAAACTAATGACTAATGTTTCTAATAATTATAGATAATTGTATTTTAAATAAAATATTAGCAAATTTTATCCAGTAAGATATAAAAGTAATAATGCATCAGGGACAAGTAAATTTTATCCGAGATGAAAAGATAATACAACATCTGTATCTCCATTAATTTAATGTAAAATATTGTTACAATCATGAACAATAGATCTTACAAAATTCAACATGCGCTCATCATAAACATAAAAAAATTGAGCTGATATGAAATTGTAGTTAGTTCCTTTAAAATGATGATGATGATGTATAAAATTCTACCTCTAAAATAATACTTAACTGTGAATGGGTGAGTTCTTTGAAACTAAGGTAATAAAAAAGACAAGAAATTTGTCTCGTCAGTTTTATCTAACATCTTGTTAGAAATTCTAGTCAGTGAACTCGAGTAAGAAGTATTAATATAAGAAAAACAGAAATGACAAGGAGAAATAAACATGCTTATTTGCAGATGGCATCATTGCATGTGTAGACAATCTGTAAAAATCTGCAAAAATGATATCACAGTGAAAATGAATTTAGCAAAATCACAGGATACAATATCAATGTTAAGAAAAATTTTCATTTTAGGAAACAAATGGGAAATGAGTAAATAAATAAAAATTAAATACTAAAAACAAAATTCTTACAAAGTTAAAATTTGTGTAAAAACAGGAACTTAAAACTGACAAAAGTATTGTTGACAGAAAGTAAATAAAACCTAAAATATGAAGAAATAGGCCATGTCCATTGATTGAATAAATCAATATTACTAAAATGGCAAATGTTCCTTAATTATAATGCATATTCAATTCAATTTAATTCACTCTTAATCACATTCTTATCATCTTTGTTGTTGTAGAAATTGATAAGATAATGCTAAAATTCATACAGAAATCACAAGACCAAAAAATAAGAAAATATAGAAATTTTTAAAAATACAGAAAGTAATATCAGGAATCTAAACAAAAATCAATAGTCATGCAAAATTGTAGGCAAATATTAACCATAATAAAGAGAAAAATACCAGTTGAAATTGATCTTGAACTGACACAGATCTCAGAGTTAACAGAAAAGACAATTACTCTTATTGCAATAGATATAAAGCAGATTTAAAAAAAACAGGAATAAAGAGGAGACAAAAACAGGATTAAAACAATATTCAATTTGCTCACAAAATAATAAGTAAAACATTTAACAAAGACACAAATCACATTTATGGGAATGAAAGCTATTACATCTGAGATGAAAAATACACTGGTTGGATAAACATCATATTAGACATTTGCCTATTATGAATAATGCTGGCATGTACATTTGTGTACAGGTTTTAGGGCGGACATATGTTTTTATTTATCTTGAGTATATACCATGAATTGGCACTGCTGGGTGATAAACTCCATGCTTCTTTGAAGAACTACCAAAATGTTTTTTTAAATAGCTGTACTATTTTTTTATTCCCACTAGCAATGTTTGAAGGTTGCAATATCTCAAAATCTTTGCCAACACTTTGTTGTTCTAACTTTCTGGTCATAACCATCCTACTGGATGGATAGTGAGATTGCATATTGTGAATTACATGGGAGATACACGAGTTTCTTGAAAATTTTATATGACTAGAAACACTGTCAACATGGATTGGAAAGAATAGAGGGAACAAGAAAAAGAGTCTCTCTTTCTCTCAATTTTCTCAATTTCTCAGGCATAAAGTATGTCCTCCTTTTTAACAAGAAAAGGAAGAATGACTCAGAAGGTGGAGCTAGGATCCTAGAGAATGGAATTTGGAACCATAAAGGATTATCCCTTAGCCTTGATAGCCAGAGGAGTTGCCTGGCCTCAATTCTAAATTTCTGGAGATCAGTGGCTAATTTGTCCTTTTATTTGTCTCTCTTTTTAAACAAGACTATATATAACATTTCATAATATTCTGACTCTCATTCAACCATTTGTTTTCAAAAAATAATTTATTTCTCTTTCACAGGTCTATAGATGGAAAGAAATTGTGCCACAAGGTAGATTCTCATAAGACCTTCACCCACATCTAATTTACATAATTTAGTTGACAAAAGTTGTTACTTTTAAACTGATGTGGTTTAGATGATATTTTGGGACTTTGTGTTGACGCTGTCATGGGTTGAGGTTTTGAGGATGTTGAGATGGCGCTAGTTTTTTGTCTGTGATAGTAAGTGAATCTTTGGGAGTCAGAGGCAGACTGAGTTAGGCAGAATAATGCCGTAGTCCCAGAGACGCCCACTTGCTAATGTTTTGAATCTGTGGATATTTTATCTTACATGGCCAAATTGAGTTTACAGATGTAATTAATATTAAGAACCCTAACACAAGGGAGATTATTCTGGATTATATACAACTTTAAAAGTAGAAAACCAGTCGGGCACGGTGGCTCATGCCTGTAATCCCAACACTTTGGGAGGCCGAGGCAGGCAGATCACAAGGTCAGGAAATCGAGACCATCCTGGCTAACACGGTGAAACCCCGTCTCTACAAAAAATACAAAAAATTAGCCGGGCATGGTGGCGGGCACCTGTAGTCCCAGCTACTCGGGAGGCTGAGGCAGGAGAAACGGCGTGAACTCAGGCAGGGGAGCTTGCAGTGAGCCGAGATCGCTCCAGTGCACTCCAGCCTGGGCGACAGAGAGAGACTCCGTCTCCAAAAAAAAAAAAAAAAAGAAAAAAAAAAAGAAAACCTTTTAACTGGCTGTGGTCAAGGAAAGAGATGTGAAGACAGAATCAGGGTCAGAGATACTAGGTTGATGAAGACGGGGAGCCACAAGCCAAGGAATACAGGTAGCCAATAAAAACAGTACAATACAAGTAAATGTATCCTTTCATAGAACACTTAGAAAGTAAGACATCTCTGCCAACTTCTTCATTTCAGCCTAGTTAAAAAAAAAAAAAACACGAATAATCATGTCCCCAAAGAATATATACAAATGGCCAAGAAGCCCATGAAAATTTGTTCAACATCACAAATCTTTAGGTAAATGCTTATGAGATAGCTAGTATCAAATATATATATTTTCATATGTACATATATATATATACACAGAAATATATATACTGCAAACATATATAAATATATATACTATATATGTAAATATATATACACACACATACAGAAAATAACAGCTGTTGGTTAGGATGTAGAGAAAGCAGAACCCTAGAGCATTGCTGATGGGAATTTATAATGGTGCAATTGCTGTGAAAACCAGTATAATGCTTCTTCAAGAAATTAAACATAGAATTACTGGATGGTCCAAGAATTCCACTTCTAGGTGTAAAACCAAAATTGAAAGCAAGGGCTCAAACAGGTAATTGTCTACCAATGTTCATAGTAGCATTATTCATAATAACTAAAAGGTGGAAAAAAACCCACAAATGTTCATTGATGTATGAATTCAATTTACACAGTTAACTTATAAGGAATATATGATTGGTCAGGTATAGATTCTGTATTTGGCTTGATTAGCATTCATATCAGCAAAAAAAAACATAGTATGAATATAAAAATAACTCAAATATATAATCAGAATTGATCCCTGAGAAAATTCTAACGTATTTTTATTCTGATTTTACTACATGGGTAATCATAAAAACTGAATTCACATTATAAGATTAGTTTTATATGTAGTCTTTTACAAATAATATACAATGAAATTTAAATATTATTAGAACAAGAGTTTCTACATAGTATCTCATACTTTATTAATTTCAGTATATTTTCTTATATTTGTTTAACAATGAACTGAATAACAATGTAAATAATTACATGTGTCTATCAATTAATATTGTTTCACAATAAAATTCCAAGAGTGGAAACTACTGTGTCAAAGATATCATTGAGCTTGTACATATTTTATGAAACCAACCTTTAAATTATTTAATACATATAAATGATATCCTCAGGTTTGTAATTCTGAACGTCAAAACTAAAAGTACATGAATATAAAAGTGATGGTGACAAGATAAAACAAAACCGATGGTGACAAGATATTATAGGAAAATAAAACTGACGGTAACAGGTTAATAAAGTTATTCCTGAATTTTGCTGTTCCCTAAATTTTAACTGCCTACATTCTGATAAAACTGGTGTGGGTGTGACATGGACATCAGGATTTTTTAAAAGCTCCCTAGGTAATTTCAATGCATAGAAAAGTGTGGTAAACCTCTCTTAAAATAATTTGTTTTCATTTTCACTTTATGTTTTATTCTAATTTATTTTCTTGCAGGAGGAGTGCTTTTATGCCCATCATTGCCTTTTTACCTGCTCTCTAATTATAATGTCATCAAGAGGTTTTAAATGCATTAGATGGCTCAGTCTGTATTGTTTAATGTACTTTTTAAAATGAAATTTTATTTACTCTGCATTTTCTTGAAACGTCATGCATGCTATTTTTTATATTATTTTAATCCTCATCTATACATGCCTTTGATTATTTTGACTCTGCTGCAGTTCTGTTGAATGTGCAGTTCTTGTGAATAGCAAGCAGTGTAATTTTGGAATCAAATTTAAGAGTATTATATTGTCTTTGAAGGGAAATATGTTTTCTTTTCTCTTAACATTGGAGTAAACTACCTGGATGATATGGTAGGTAATGTTTAACTTTTAATGAAACCATCAAATTGGTTTCCAATGTGATTGTAGTATTTTATATTTCCACCAGCGGTGTCTGAGTTTCCCCATATCCTCACAGACACTCAATGTGGTCAAGCTTAATTTTAGCCATTCCACTAGGCACACAGTGCTATCTCATTAATGTGCATTATCATGTGATTGGATCAATAAATTATGGTATATCCTATTCTAGAACAATGAAATACTGTTCTGGAATAAAAACAAATGATCTATTGGTATAACAACATGAATAATTCTCAAGATAATGATGCTAAGTGAAAAAAAAAGGCTATATTTATTCCATTTGTAGAAAATTCCAGAATGTACAAACTAATGTACAGTGACAGAAAGCAAATCAGGTGTTATCTAACAATAGGGGAGAGGGCAAGAAAGAGCAGCAAGGGGGATTGCAAAGAGACACCACGAAACTTGGGACTTAAGGACTGTATGTCGATTATATTTTAATGAAGCTTTTTAAAGAATAGAAAAAGGCATTTTGTATTGAGTTCACCTTCTTTTACTGATTTGAAAATCATTTACCCTGGTTTACTCTTCTAATTTGTAGTTTCATTTAAAAGTATACTTAAACTTTTTGTTTTCTCAGCTTCAGTGTAATGAATTAAAAGTGTATATTGGAGTGTGTTTGCTTCCAGTTGGTAAAATGAGGAGTTGAGGAGCCAAACAAACATGAAACCTTTTTAAAGTATTTTATAATGTTAGGAAGACAATACAGTTGCTGATAATCTTAACTCACTAGTGGTAAAGAGATGTGGGGTATGACGCTACAGTTAAAGACTATGAACAAAGAAAAAGTACAAAGTACAAGTTTCAATTTAGCAGAACAAAACACGTATCATCCAAAAGAAATCTTACAAGAAAAACTATTATTCAAATATTAAATTCAGTAAATAGGACACATGAAATAAAATGATAAAATAAGTACTAATAATATGGAAATTTAATAATATAATTTAAATTCATGCATTAATAGATAAGGAAAGTAGATTTTACATAGTCACAAGTTCTTAAATGCAGTGACTGCATTTAAAACACTTAAAAAAGGAGGTAGAGAGGTTTTTCAAGATAGAAAAATACTGAGCAAGTATCAGACAAAATAATTCTGAGGTTGCAACTGTATTGCGTTAAAAATATAAGTAAACGTAATCACGTTAACAATACGGAGTTTGATATAAGAATAGATCTCATATGGCTAAAGAAAAAGACAACTGTCAATAGAAGACAGTAGATTGAGTACATATGCAGCATAATGAGATCAAGATAAGGCAAAAACACTGTTTTAGCTAGCCTCAAATGCATCTGCAAGAGATCCTAAGAAGCTCATTTTAACTTGAGACCTCAGTACTGAAAATGCATTTATTTTTTGTTCTGTCAAAACAGTAGGTTTTTACCTATATAAATCAAACATATACTTTGGACAAAGGGTTTTTTGAAAAAAATTCTTATTTCTTATAAACAGTGACGTTTTAGAAATACCTGTTCAATAAATATTTTAATATTTTGATTTCTACTTTGTATACGTCTAGGATACCCAGTTTTTAAATTCATGTGGTGATTAATCTGTGGTAAGAAAAACATAGTTACTAAAGTTAGATCTGAGTTTGAATCCTGTATTTAATGAATAATAACAAATGTGTTCAATCTTAGTCTCACATTCCACGTTGCATTAGTTATAAAATAAAGGTAATTGAATTTACTTTATAGTAACATTATATGCAGATTACCTAATTCCAGTTTGGGTACATATTAAGGATTTAATAAATATTTTTCTGCAAGGTAATAAAGGCTTTAACTTCAGGAGATTATAAAGAAAGTTTCAAATTTTAGATAAATTAATTGCTAACATGAATGGGATACTATGGCAACTGAATGTCCAGCTTTCTGTGATAGCATGTTAGTGTATAGTTTTAACAAAATATCTGCCCTGTAATTAGACAAGATGGCAATGTGGCAAATAAAAAAGACACTCTACACTAGGAATATAATGATTAATCAGAATACATTTGCATATATTTGGTATTTAAATGGAATTAAGTTCCTTGTAAACTTTACAGCTATATACACATGCTGATGGTCTCTTTCAAACAGTCAACTATTAAAAACCATTGGCAATAATGGTATTTTATAAAATGAATCACATTGATATATTATTTTACATTTGATATACAATGTGTAAAGAAATCTGACTTTTCACCAAATTTAAACAATGGATTTACTGAAAGTTTTATTTGTCTTGGTAAAATTATTGAAGAATTGAAGATTTGCCCCCAAAAGAAGCAAGGGATGCCATATAGCACCCTGAAGAGCAATTTAATTTACAGTAGACGAAGTTAAGAATCTCCAAATATTCCATTTGGGGTAACTTAAAACACAACATAGCATTACCTAATAACCTGACAGAGTTGCTTAGACAAGTCATATTTATTTTACTATCTCATTTTTTATGGTATAATATAAGATATCATCACTAAGCTTTATTAAAAGAGTGTTGTTGATAATTTGAAAAATGCACACATAGTAGACCTATGCTTAGAGTATACAGCATAACTAAATACCCTATACAGAGTTAAAGATTACAGGAAAATTAACAAGGCATTTAGAATTTGAAATTAATTAAATCATGTTTAATAATAAAGGGTTAGATAGATGGTGTCTCATGTACTATTTATGAACAACATCTTGTTGGAAGAGAGATCTAAATTACATTTTGGCTCTGGAATTATTTAGTATTTTATATCTATTAGCATTTATTTTGGAAGTGCATGACAGCCTGCTGTTAAAGCAATACTGTAAGTAAAGTGTATTTAATGAACTCTTAATGACTTTTTTCCTTTACATTTAATGGTGTATAGTTTTGCCAAGATTACAATAATTTCTTTCCTAATGGGGATTCAATATTTCTACTAAAACTTCATTATTTATTAACTTACATTTTTTGTGAGCATTGATTCTTGAATTCTGTTTCACATTTACATTTCCTCATGAGTAAAAACATTAGTGGTGTACTAGTCAGGTTCTCTAGAGGGACAGAGCTAATAGGACAGATATGTATATGAAGGAGAGTTTATTGAGAAGTATTGACTCACACAATCACAAGATGAAGTCCCACAGTTGGCCGTCTGCAATCTAAGGAGGAAGGAATCCAGTCCAAGTCCCCACATCTGAAAAGTAGGAAAGCCGAAAAAAAAAAATGTAGTCTTTAGTCTGTGGCTAAAGGCCCAAGAGCCCCTGGCAAACCACTGGTGTAGGTCCAAGAGTCCAAAAGCTGAAGAACTTGGAGTCTGATGTTTGAGGACAGGAACATCCAGCACGAGAGAAAGATGGAGGCCAGAAGACTCAGCCAGTCTGCTCTTTCCACCTTCTTTTGCCTGCTTTATTCTAGCCGTGCTGGCAGCTGATTAGATGGTGTCCACCCAGATTGAGTGTGGGTCTGCTTCTCCCAGTCCTCTGACTCAAATGTTACTCTCCTTGGGCAACACCCTCACAGGTACACCTAGGAACAATATTTTCATTCTTCAATCTAATGAAGTTGGCACTCAATATTAA
Organism: Homo sapiens; assembly: GCF_000001405.40. NCBI lineage: Eukaryota > Metazoa > Chordata > Mammalia > Primates > Hominidae > Homo > Homo sapiens. Next base: position 160,858,013 of record NC_000004.12, on the reverse strand, counting down.
CAATCACAAGTGGCGAATTTTGTGATTATGCAATATGATTAAAAATTTTTATCTATTAGAATCCCAGAAATAACTCTCAGATAATTTTCACAATCATTTAGTTTCTGTTCCTTTACATGCATTTCTAGGAAGAAATGCCTTGTGGTTGCAGTTATAAGGGAAAGTAAATATGATCATCTCTTTGTATGTGTGTATGTGTGCCTGTACCCTTTGTAGAATACCCACTGAATGTATAAAAGCTTTTCTATTTCTTGTACCTACGGTTAGAGTTTTTCAAGAAAAAAATTCTACCTCTTATGTTTGCATAGAATTTCTAGACTACTTGTACTTAAAAGTAAGTATAGTCTATTGTGTCTGTCTTTGACTAGTAAGAATCAAATCATCATGAGGAGAGCAAGAGTTCAGATCAGAGGAAGAAACTGCTTTGCACACTATTTATGTATTCAAGTTGCACTTTTTCATCATATAATAATGGAAACAAACATAACTTTTAAAGAAAACATATAATCTCTAGGAAGTCTTAGTGATACACCACAATACTGGAATAGTGCCTAAACACAAAGTCAAATTTTTTATTACGTGAAGGTAAATCGAGAATGTATTTTCTCAGTGTTCCTAACATGCAAAATTTGAATGCATGGGTAAGTTCATATTCGAGAGTGAAGAACATATAATAATTGCACAAAAAGGTTTTATTTCACAAAAACCTATAACTTGATCTACATTAGCAATATTTCTCTTGTTGGTTTAATTAAACAATCATTTACTATTTTGCAGAAATCTATTTAATCAAACATTAACTCCACTTAGATCACAGCAAATGAGACAATCTCAAATCAAGAACTCATGTGAGCAGTACAATTGACCAAATTACAACTCTAACTAGAAATCACTAATTATTTAACCCAAATCATAAGAATACTTTCAAAGTCGTTGGTTCATTTCTCATTAGTTGGACCACGCTGAGAGTCCTGATTTCATTACAATTCAAACCTATAATTAAAATTTACCTATTTCTGGGTGTAAATTTGGAAGTGAGAATGAATAAAATAAAATTATTAAACACATATAGTACATTTACTTTATCTTCCTTTTAAAAGTTTGATAGAAATAAAATGCAAGTTTTTTTATGGTTGACTTTTTCTGGGAACTTGATGATTTTTGTATATTTTAAACTATCATCACACTTCAAATTGAATCCTGCAATCTATGCTCCTCTAGTCTGAATATGATTCATGGAGAGCCAGGTGGTAACCACAGGAAACCAGCACTTAAGTTAGGTTTAAGACAGTAAGAAAAGGAAACAATTTTCAACTTTAATATCAGCTTAGTATTCTATGGAACTAGCCAAGAAACTGATAGCAGAAGGCTGACATAATCATGCCATCTACTCAGTTGCTCATCAGTTCAACCACTTCCTAACATACTCAACAGTACTTTTGCATCTGCTCTCTTGAGTTTTATAATACTATTAATTTGAAACATGACACGTATAGTTATTCAACCCAGGGTTTAGCAGAGTGTGAGAAGTTCCAAATGTTGGTTCAAGTTAATTAAAATATGAAGTTGAAAGGCAAGTTTGCGTTATTCAACAATTGGTTATGAGCTTTATAAATTCAAACCTAACCTGGAGAAGGCAGAAGAAGCCCAGATTTAACTAGTCACCCCTTCCTAGGTAAACAGAATATTAAAATTGTCACTCACTCCTCTCTCTTAATCCAACTTTGATTAAGGATGTACAATGAAGTGCCTTCTGAGAACTGTAGCCCTAATTAGTACACTAAAAAGCCTCTGACTTTTTAAAAGTCATTATATACATGCAAAATATAAAAGTATTTTTCTTAGTCATATATATGTGGCAGTTTAAGCCTGGTATCTCAAAAATATTTTAGGTACTTAAATTTAATTGAATCATAAAGAAACATGAATAAAATTAAGTTGTTAATGTATATGATGGAGATCACAAATGTGATGTGGTACAAACTTCGCTGAAACGGTGAAATAGTAGACATTATATATAATGTCTTATGTATGTGTATGTATACTTATATAATGTCATATAAATATATACACACATATATGTGTGTGAATGTGTGTACATATATATAGGATCATGAGGGCAGTTTTCCTGTTCTCGTGATGGTGAGTGAGTTCTCACGAGATCTGATGGTTCAAAAGTATGTTCCCCTGGCTCTGTCTCTCCTGCCACCATGTAAGGCCTGCCTTGCTTCTCCTTTGCCCACTACGTGACTGTGAGCTTCCTGAGGCCTCCCCAGCCATGCGGAACTGTGAGTTAATTAATCTTCTTTTCTTTATAAATTACCCAGTCTCAGGTGGTTCTTTATAGCAGTGTGAAAATGGACTAATAAACTATGCATAGGACGGAGTGCAACGGTGCGGTCTCAGCTCACAGCAACCACTGACTCCTGGGTTCAAGTGATTCTCCTGCCTCAGCCTCCCGAGCAGCTGGGATTACAGGCACCCACCACCATGCCTGGCTAATTTTTGTATTTTTAGTAGAGACGGGGTTTCACCATGTTGGCCAGGCTGGTTGCGAACTCCTGCCAGGTGATACACCCACCTCAGCCTCCCAAAGTGCTGGGATTACAGTTGTCAGCCACCACTCCCGGACTAGGCTAGTTCTTTAATCAAGCAATTGCACACCTACATATATGTTCAAGAGAATTTGTTACCTATGACTACAAAATAATTATAGCAGTGTGTTTATAATAGCTTTATTAGGTAAATATTAGAAGTAATTCAAGCATTAGTAAACAAGAGAAGAGAAAAATAATTTGAGCTATATTTTTATTGTAGAATGATAGATCACAGTAATAATCATAAAGAACCAGCAACTGATGAATCAACAACATGGGAGAATTTCACAACTACTGTGTTTAACAAAAATACACCAGGCACAAAAGAGTGTATATTGCATAATTCCACACATGAATTTCAAGAATGGACAAAACCAATCAATCGTGATAGATGTTATATTGTTTCTATTTTGAGAATTTTACTTACTGGAAGGAAGCATAAGCATGCCTTTGAGGTGCTTATAATTTTCTGTAACTTGCTCTGGGTGGTAATTTCATGGGTTTATACGTATGTCAAAATTCAAAGATTCACTTAAAAATACAGCTTTTAAAAAATAGTTTACTACACCTATGCATTTCTTTCTTTTGAAGAAAAGTAAAAATATAAGAGAAAATTCAAATGACACAGGTTCTGTAGAATGACACAGATCTATAAGCTTTTAGGTAGACCATAAAATTTAATGTAATATAGTTAAACAGAAGAAGAATGGATATGTTTAATACTTACCTATCTTGAAATCAACTGGGTCCATATGAAATGTATCTTTGGTTACCTATGAGATGCCAGAAATAATACCCATGACAGTGTTCTTGGCTACAATTTCTGAGAAAGTTAGAACCATGAAAGTGTTTGATATGAAATATATATATATACACATACATAATCTTCCTTTCATTAAGGGTTTTATATCTAGATTCATTGGAAATATAATATTTAACACCATAAAGTTCCACCCAAGAAATCGTTTAGCCGCAAATTTCAAAATGTTGTTTCTATTTTTATTAAATTTTAAATATGATATGATTTCTCTTGTGACTTTTTGTTTGATACACAGGTTAAATTTAAAAGTATATTGTTTGTTTCCCTAGATTTGGTGATTTTTCCAAGATTACATCAAGATTATCTTTCTAACACTGTTTTTTAGTTTACTTTCAATCTAATTAGAGCTGATACTTGGTGTGATTTCACTTTTTAAAACTATGTCAACATTTGTTTGATGCCTCAGAATATGTTTTATTTTAGTTAATGTTCCTTGCACACTAAAATGAATAGTTTCCCTGATGCTCTTGAGTGGAATATTCAATAGATGTCAATTAGGCCAAGCTGATTGATAATACTGCTGAGATCTTATATATTCTTGATGATATTCTGGCTAACTGTTCTATCAATTACTGGGAAGGGAATAGCGAAGTTTCCAACTGTAATTGTATACTTCTCTGTTTCATTTCAGTTTCACATGGTTTTTGCCTTATGAATATAGAATCTCTGTATTAGGTTAATACACATTTAGGATTACTATGTATTAATGGTGAATTGACTTCTTATGTGAACACCCTTTTCATCCCTACTGTTCTGAAGCCTGCATCTTCTGATCTTAATAAAGCCAATTTGTCTGTCTCCTAATTAATGACTGCATGATCCGTATTTTTCCATTCTTTTTAAACCTCTAGTTAAATATCTAGCTAAAGGTGATTTCTTGGAGGCAGCTTAGAGATGAAGCTTGATTTTTAAATCAAATATTACATGCTCTGTCTTTAAAATTTGAAATTTGTACCATTTAATTTGGTCTAATTATTGCTATAATTGACTTAAATCTACCCAACATTTTGTCAGTTCTTTACTACTTGTTTTATTTCTTCTTTATTTCTTATTTTTCCTTTTTCTCTATACTTCAGATGGTATATTTTATTATGATTCTATTTTATGTCTGCTATTGGCTGAGTGATTATACACTAGGGTTTACATCTTATATGTTTGAATTATCACATTTTCTCCTCAAATAGTATTATACCACTGCCCATGTATATTACAAAAATCTTAATACAGTATACTTACAATTCCTTCAATCTCCATGCTACTGTTGTGCGTTTAACTTTTGCCTATATTATAAACCGCGAAATGAGTCACTTATGTTGCTTTAAAGTCCCAGTGTTCTTTTAAAACAAATATAAATAAGAAGAAAGTTATATTTATCTACATTTTTATCATTTCCAGATTATTTCTTTAGATACAAGCTTTTGTTTTATTTCATAGTGTTTCTATATGAACTTCTTCTAATAGTTCTCATGGAATCAGTATAATGGCAATTAATTCTTTCGGGCTTGTTTTTCCATCTGCATACAGCATTTCCTAGTTCTCAAACAGAACTGTAGTTTATGTGTATGGCTTTGTTGCTTTCTCTTTGGGTGGTGTTTTGTTATTGTTCTTGTTTGTTTGTTTTTTGCAGCCTCTTCTCATTGGTGGAATTTTGGTACTTAAACACCAGACTACTACAGAAGATTTTTCTCTGTCTAGCTTCCTCTACCTTCTTCTTCCTTCAGGTCCTCATGAAACTCTGATTCAGATCAGAGTGATACTCTTTTCCCTTAAAATTCTGCCTTTAGAGTATGTATTGCTTAGTCTTTAAATGTATTTTTTACATGTTTAATATCTAGAAAATATCTTTGGAGGGATATATACTATGCATTTATACCAAATGAATCCCAGTAGCTTAACTTTGACCTATATGCATCACTAAACTAAGAAATCTTACTCTACTTTTCTAGATGAGCCCCCTAAATCCATGGCACCCTCCCCCTGAATAATAATTTTAAAAAAATGCCCACATAGTAAATTGGCCCTGTGTTGAAGAACTTCTACATTCCAGTCTGTCAAAAAATCCACTGATATGTTTACAATAGTACCTATGGTAAGCCTCAGCCTCGGGGAATAAAATAACTTAATATCAGTTCACCTTACAAGTGCTCATCACTTTGTAGAATTTTAGTTCATAGATTTCTTTATTCTATAGCTCTCTGATTTCTTTTAAATTATTATGTTTGTAATATATATTCTTTCTCATTGCATAGGAAACAATACCTTATATCTACTTGGCACTCCTTACCAAAGAGAAGGAATCTAAATGCTTTAGTAGTCCACTTAAGACATTTCCATTTACTTTCAATGTTATAGATAATTCTTAACTTGAACATATGTGTGCATAGTGGCTATTATTTAGTTTCTCTATTTTAGAGCTACTATTTTATTATATATTTCCAATAGTACAGCTGACAGCTTTAATAGTTTTGAGATATTGAAGTTAGACATATATGTTTAACTATTTTCCAAACAGTCGGCATCTAATTATCTGTCAATATAATTGTTCATAGCTGGAACTAGGGATGTGAATTTCTTTCCAAAACCATATAACATAATGAAATCAACAGAATGACATACATGCAAATTCAAAAAAGGTGTATTGAGATTAACAAGGGAAGAATGATAGACACACTTACCAGAGTAAAATTTAGAGCAAAAAATACAAATTATAAGAAATGATCGTTACGGGGGAGCTAAGAATCTGGTTTAAGTCCCACAGAGGAGCCGCCTGCCTATAGAAGATGGCGTTCAACTTCGCTAGGTAAATGTTATTAGAAAAGATTCCTATTTGAATTTATCTTCAAACTCTAAGCTGAAATGCATTTACAAAAAAAGGCTTAGATTTAAAGACCACCGCAAGGAATTTTCTTAGGTTGGGGACATAGTTTGATTGGGTTTCACACAAGCTGTAGTTTTACCAGCATAGTGTTCGCAATTTTGCAATTGCTTGTCAATTGATACAACAATGCAACAATTTTTCCATGAAATTTCTGATATCTTCTTGAAGAGAAAATGACATATAACTAGAATATTATTAATAAAAATTTGGCTCACTAGCAGATAAGGAAACCCAGGAACAGTAGCAAAATCCCACATTATAGCAAAACAATGAATTGACAAACCCTGCAACAATTTAGGACGACTGAGTCCATATGTCAATTTTGGATCCTGGGACAATATCAATTTTCCAGTTGACATATATTTCCAGGGTCCGGGTCTAGGCTGTTGATAGGGTAACAAACTAGAAACAAATCTAGGTAATATTTTTGAGATTTTTCGTGGCCTAAGCACATGATTATTTTATTTCGTATGCTATATGAACATTTAAAAATAAAATGTATCCATCACAGAAGTCAGTTTGTGATACATTTATTAATTGAACCATACTATTTTAACATGTTTAATATCTACTATATTCTTATTTAAATATGTTATTATAACTGTCAACATACCTATAGAAATAACTATGTATATTACATTCATTATTTATAATGCTCAAGAGACCTACCTAATTATTACAAAACCTCAACTGAAGTCTTCCATTTTATAGTCCAAAACCACAAACTTCATAAGTGTCAGATTTATTAATAAGGTAAGTTTATTTCTGGTTCCAAACCTTGACATTTTTGGCCCGCGATTACTATCTATCCCAACCATATCCAGCCAAATGCAGGCAGTCGCTCTGCTACTGGAGGCAGTTTTTTTAGTGACCCACCCAGAATCTCTCCCCAGCTCATTCATTTTCCATACATGTTGTTTTCCATGTTTTATTTTATCTTTTTACTTTTCATCTTTGCAGAAACTTCTTGTCAGCACAAAAAGGAGAAACCAACAAGAGGTAGAATATTGTCTCCTGAATATGTGAGACCATTGGCATTATCCATCTTTAACCTAGGTTACAAGACAAACTTAGAAGAATGGTTTTTCATTTACTATTTTTTATGGAAACTCATTATTTGACACTAGTTACGTAAAGATAAAAATGACTACGCTCTTTAAACCAGCTCCTGAAGTAGATATGTAATTTCGTTCTGATTTATTTTTCAACAGTTTTCTTCCATTTCAAGGTACTTTATATCATTTCTTTTAAAAAAATTATCTTTTGTGTTTTATTTCAAGTTTTCTGAATGCAGTTTTGTGTACTGTTTCTTTTCATAAATATTTTCATTTGTATTTAGGTCAAGGCATTGCAGTATAAACCTGTTGCCTTCCTATGAAATAGTTTAAGCTTATGACATTTACTGGAAATTCTTATAATCATTTTCTCTAGTATATTAAGTAATAGTTAAAATTATTTAGTTATAAGTAAAATTGAAGACAATTTTCCCAAAATATTAATATTATATATGTAGAAAATGTGGCCATTTTTTAGTAGTCTACACAAAACCCTGTCAAATACTTCTACCCAAAGGAAATAATAGCAAAGTAATAAGTTCTGAATATTAGAACTCTGATCCATAATCTTCTTTCAAGGAACATGGTAGCCGAACATGGTAGCCAAGCATTCAAATTTAAGTTGTATGGGGTATTTTTAATTGTACCAAAAATTTAAAAACCTAGATAAAAATTCAGCAAAGATGACAATGCATGTTAAATTAATATTCTTTCATATCAGATTCCCTGCCTATTAAAGGGATATTATTATTATCTGTAGGGATAAACTATAAGAGTAAATGTTTGCTTTACCTAATTAGGGATAAACTATAAGGGTAAATGTTTGCTTTACCTATAAGAGTAAATGTTTGCTTTACCTAATTAGGAAAATGCTATTTAAAATGGCGTTATCAAAAATCTTAGACGAAATGAACTGGCTTTACTTTGGAATATGACTTGACAAGCTCATTGAGTTTCAAAGAACTCCCAGGCACAGGGGTCAGCTGGTTCAAAATATTTGAGGGAGAAAAAACAGCGAGTGCAGACAAAAGTCCCCTGCTCTACCACAGTGGCATGATAAGAAGAGTCAAGCCCTATTCATTATTTGAAGTGTGTTGTGTGTTAGTCCAGATCCTGGGTGAAATTTATGCTGTGTCAGTCTTAGTCCTAGCAGGAGAGATGAGTCACACAGTAATTCTAACAGGGGGAGGGAGTTTAATAAAAGAATTTTAAACTAAAAAAGGGGAATGGAACAAAAAAGATTGGATAGTAAAAACAGAAACCTAAGAAATATAAGAATAGCGGATGTAAGAAACTGCTGCTATTCCAGGGTTGAGACAGAGCAACCCAGAAAGACACTCCTCTCCCACAGTGCCGAGGTCCTAACCTTACTGTAAAGACCAATTCCACGGTTTTCCAAATAACAGAGAAGTTGCTGTGGTGCTGTATTGGAAGAATGTCCTGTAATTTCTGCCTTCTGGAATTTGCTACAAATTTGTATCCTCTAGGATCCTAGGGAAAGTTGTTTTGAGCAGAGAAGTTGCCTCCCTAGAAGCATTCGGCTTACAAAACTGTCCAAAACGAAGTGCCAGACGTAGCTGCTGAGTGCTGGGTTGCTGCGAGCCACTGAGCACCTCAGAAGCTAGGAATGTGAAAAGCTGAGTGCTGAAGGACACTGGTACTGGAGGAAACTGTAAACAGAAGCCTGCACAAATGAGCACACTGGAATTAGGAAGAAAAAGTCTTTTTTCCCCCTGGAATGCCTTTCCTGTGCACCCCATTGCAAAGCATATTGTGATGCCAGCTGTCAGAGGAAAGATATTGAAAGGGCTCAGATTCATTTTCATAAATCCAGAGATTAGGGTGAATTTCGAACTAATGTTCAACACATTGATAACTATCAAGAGGGAATTAAACAGGGAAATATTTTATTAGAGAAAATACCGTGTGACAGATGAGAGGGACACAGCCAAAGGAGTCTGAGAGAGCCATCTGAGCACAGTGGAACACTGACCCCGAGTGAAAGGAGAAAGAAGAGAAGGTTTAATAAAAGTATGCTAGAATGCCATCCAGGAATATTCAGCAATCACCTTTGGTTAGGAGGGTGTCCTCTAACCAAAATTGGCTCCCACAGGGGGTCCCATGCGTGCTGGCAGTGGGCCTACCTTAGTAAAACTGCCTGTTGCTGTCATGATCATTGGATGCACATGTATGCAATGAATTTCAGAGTGCAGCAGCTAGGGCCTTTAGTCAAGTAAGTATGTTCCTAAATTTAGAGATTTGCAAGGTACATTCTCATGGATATCACAAGCTACAATATGATTGTAATTTTCTTGGCACATATTCATACAAAGTCTACTGTATTTATGGACCCTTTTTAAGGTAGAAAGGTAGAGGTGAGACTAGAGTTAGAGTTAGAAGAAGAAAAATATAGAGATTAGAGATAGAACAGAAACAAAATTAGACATAGAAATAGTATGAGAGATAATGAGAGAATGAGAGAGAGAGAAGAAAGAGAGAACTCTGTATCTGGAATCATGTGACTTATGGAGACATCGGAATTTACTAAAGGAAACTAAAGATAAAGGAGGCTATAAGAATTTTTTCAGGGCTATGCACCAAATATGAGGAAATTTGGGGGAATGAATTGGGCTTCCAAAAGCCATAGAATTGGAAGGATATAATCAGACTACATGGAGACATTCTTTATAAGAAATAAAATAATAAGATTTGTTTTATAAAGAATGCATTTTATTCTCACAATCATTAACTCTTTTTTCAACACCTTTATATTTTTTCCATAACTTATGCATTACTGCTGAGGAGTAGATTTTCTACTGCAGACTATACCCACAGATGTCTAGGATGAAGGTGGTTACTTCCTATTGATACACTGTGGGCATACAAATAACCTTGGAATGTTGCTTTCTGGAAATGCAACATAATGTTCAAATGCCTTCTTTCTAGCCATTTTAATATAATGAAAGTTTCTTGAGATTGAAATAGAATGAGGAAACATGATTACATTTAAATAGAAAAAAATCCAATAAATCTGTGATTCTTAGCTACGCTCTTGCCCCCACACCAAGTGTTACTGTAAACTCACATTGTTTGAGCATGGAGTTTTTGCAGTGAAGGGAAAATGATAAATCATGACACCAATAGCATCTGTTTCAACTCCTGAATATTGCTTTGTCTTTTTCCTCCTCTGAAATTCTTTGAAATGTATGAATATATCTTCCAGCTAGTTGTAGAATATCATATTGCATGTAAATGAAATTCAAATTAAGATTGCCTAAAGGAACACTTGCATTTCCTTTGACCATGTAACCTGATGACATTTTTTGCCAAGGCATTTTTTTCCAAGTGACAAGGGATTACAGAAGTAATCAGTACAGGAAAATAAATAACATTTTAAGAAGTGACTGAGTGTTTGAAAATGAAGAAATAAAAATAAAACCGCTCAAAAATGCCAGCTGGGCAAAGGCAAGGAATGACCCAAGTGAAATATACTTTCTGAGGTTGAATGCTGTCAGAAACATTGATCTAAGTTCAGATTTGCCAAATGAATTTTTAATATCCTAAAGTTCTGTTTTCTACATCATCTTTATTGTTCACTATTTTAAGAAGCATGTGCATGTATACAGACATCTAAAGCTGTGATAAGGTATTCAGATTGACAATACTTTTTATATGTTTATATTGTATTGTTTCTCAACATTATGAAATGGGATGCCTTAGTAAAATTAGTAGTCAAATGATAAGATCAAGGTAAAATAGAGATTTATAGATACAATATTTTTGCCCTGGATTACTAGCAAAAAAAAATGTAAAAGAGAAAAGAAACCATCTTCATTAGTTCTTTATTAGTTGTCCTTTGTTAAATAACTTATATTCCTGAATAAGTAACCCCTAAGTATGATTTGATTTTAAACCATTTCTAGTAATAACATTATCAAGAATTTCTAATACTGCCCCAAAGACCTATATTAAACTATAATGACCTCTGTATCTGCTACCTCATACGCTCTCCAATTGCATGAATATATCCATGAATATCTCTTACACATGTCAGAAGTTTTGTAATAAAAATCAGACTCAATTGCAGCTGTGCACCACCCTGTCAGTTGGGCTAGGTGCATCTATTAGATTATTTTTGCTATAACTTGATAACCACTATTTTCAGTCTAATTTTACCATGCTTAGAGTCTTTTATTAGCAAGCAGAGTACTAAATAGTCACACACTGCAGCTCACTCTACATTTTAGTGCTCTAAAATCTCCTGTGTGAAAGGTTCATCTAGAAAAAATGTGATGAAATTTCAGAGGCTTGTTCAGCTGAACATCACTTACATACAGCAACAAGAATTTTCTGAACCCGCAATGGGAACATTAAAGAATCATGAGCACCATTCTGAAGAATTCAAATTATACGGGTTCTTAGATTGCCACAACTTCCAGTGATGTTAAAAGAGTTGAGCCAATATCTTGACTAATTCTATCAATGAAAGCTGTTTTTCAACATTTGAGTTGCTAATTAAAAAGTCACTAACTTTACAAATAAAGACCCATTTCTTATTGAGTTTAAAAACAAACAAAAATTATATTTTATAACAAGCAAAAGGAGGTTGGTGTAGGACAACAAAAATCAGTTCATTGTTTTATTGACAGAGATATATGGAAATCCAATTACTTTCCAGAAAACACATATATTTTTGTGAATATATGAAAATGGATGTATTAGTATATTTACCCATTGTAATATAGTTATCTAATTTGAACTAATTATATTATTATAAAATAAATGTAGTTCATTTAAAATAAAACATTTAATTAAAATCAGCACAAATTAAAGTTTACTTGGCTAAAAACTCATATAAGAATATATGTATATGCATGCATATATATATATATAATTGAAAGTATGATGATTTAGAAGATGAGTGAACTTTCCAAATAATCTCTATGTACTAAAATTAAAAAGTAAATTATCTTAGTCCTATGACATGTATTCATAACAATGGAAGGCATAAGAAAGCCCAAAATGCAGTTTTTAAGGAAGGGCCACATTGCCTACTCTCCCTCTCAACCTCAATCTCTGACCTCATGGAGGATTCACTATGACTGGCTGAATGAGGAAGAAGAAGAAAAAAAGACATACTTTATAGCACCCTGCAATCACATGAAAGTTCCTAGTTTAGTGCTATTTTCATATTTAGGTATGATTCTGCAAAACACTAGTGAAATAAAATATTGTTGGTGGGTAGAATTTTAAACAGTATATGCCTGTTGTTATTGTCATTTTATTTTTGTTTTTGCTTTTACAGGGAAGAAAATAGCCAAGATACCGAGCAGTTATTCATGGGCACTGAATCACTGGCTAATTCTAGCACTGTATGATCAGGGACAGGGACTTGAAACACACACACACACACACACACACACACACACACACACACACACACAATTAGAGAATTGGCTGGGCACAGTGGCTCACTCCTGTAATTGCAGCACTTTGGGAGGCCGAGGTCGGAGGATCACTTGAGATCGGGAGTTTGAGACCAGCCTGCAACATGGTGAAACCCCATCGTTACTAAAAAACATACAAACAATAGCCGGGCGTGGTGGCAGGCACCTGTAATCCCAGCTATTCAGGAGGCTGAGGCACAAGAATCACCTGAACCCGGGAGGCAGAGATTGCCTTGAGCCGAGATCGTGCCACTGCACTCCTGCCTGGGAGATAGAGCGAGACTCTCTCTCAAAACAAAACAAAACAAAAAATTATACATAAGGATATCTGGGAAAGACAGATGGATAAATGATAGATAGATAGATAGATAGATAGATAGATAGATAGATAGATAGATAGATTTCAAATGGGCATAAAGTATGAAGATACCCGTTATCTGTATGAATATTCACCCCAAAAACAACTTGAGCAGAGTAAAATCTCAATAATCAGGTGGACAAGATGCCCTGTTCTTGAGGTGTTAGCCATCTCTGTTCTTGCCAATAGGCTAATAAACAAAGTGGCCATGATGGCAGGAATAAAATTTAAGTCTGGGCTTGATAACATGAACTTTACTTCCCAGGTTGATCTGGTTACAGCCACTGCTAAATGTCAAAGCTACCAACAGTGGATACCAATGCCAAGAACATGTTTTAGCACCATTCACCCACAAAACCAGCTGTTCAGCCATAACGGAAGGGGTAACAATTTGTTAGCATTAAATAAACAACATGGATATGGGTTTGCCTTCCTAGTCTACTATATTTCTGCCATAACATCATCAGTGGGCTTACAGAATATCTTACTCATCATGTTCCCCACACAAGTCTTCCGATAGGGAATTCACTTAATAATAGTAAGTTATTACAATCATCTTAGTAACATAATTCATCCTGAAGCAGCTGGCCTGATTTTATCATTGTTTTTATCTGGAAATTAAATGTGATTAAAAGGTGTATGCAAAGAGGCCAAGTTGACAAGGGGTAGGCTGTGACTATTTATACTGTAAAATTTTGGGCCTTAGTCAAGTTGAAACTCCAAATACCCCCAATTTCTTTCCTTATATGCTGCCAGGTTAGGTTTGGCCAAAATAGAAATGTGTAAGAGATATAAGATTGGAAGCGTAGCGGCCATGAATACTTTCTGACGATTGTTATGGTTAGAGGTGAGAGACAGTTGCAGACATTCTAGTGGGTTTCAGCTTGCCCTCACTTTCTATCTCATGTTCACTTCTTTTTTCCCAGCTATAAGCCTTGCTAAGTAACACCCCAAGGCCCATCAATGAGTATTAGGTCAACCAGACAACAGTTTCTTATAAATATCACTGGCTCCCTCTTTCTTAGCTCACTTTAGCCGCAGGCTATTTTGGGGATCTCAGATGGATTGTGTTCGTGATTCTTCTGATATTGCAATCCTTGTTTCTGATCTCTCTACCAACTTTACCTTATTACGTATCTCATAGTGGTTCTGTGATTAAACTCTGACTAAATTAAACTCCTATTGTAATGATTGATTCTGGCAAGAATTATAAATGAATGTCAAGTTTTTAACTTAAGGGGCCATTTCCTCCTTCCTCCCATAGTAACTAAATCTCAAATAATAGATTTCTTACTGGCTAATGCTGGCCATCAGGGAAGTATCTATTTAGCCTGGTTACATTAACGTAACTTACTATCATTAATATTAGAAAAGAAAACATGCAGTGCCATGAAATATGATGTGGTGTGTGTTTGTGTGATGTATAACATATATGTATATACACATATGTACACATATAATTGTACTATACACAATTTAGCATAGTATTTAATATTTAATGTTTATATTTATAAATCTACAATTTAGGAGCATAGTAAATATATTTTGGAGAAAAAGAAATATTGTCAAATCTATGTTTATTTCTAGTTAAGAATCAAGCACCTTAAATTAGTGTGCTTATGTGTATTTTTTTGTGTGTCACTTTCTTTTCCCTAACAGTATTGTTCCCAGCAAAGTGCCTTGTACTCAGTTGAACTTTGGAAGTGCAGATGGAGCACAAGACCTCCAGTACGGAGCTGGCTTTGCTGGCTTCTCCATCAGACTCTTCCCAGATGGTCCCAGGTGGCCTCTGCTTCAGCCTTTCACCAGTCCATATTGCAACATTTTCTGAGGCTTCGTAGTTGAAAAATTTAGAGAAAATGAAGGCCATTCGGAATTTCCATGTTCATGTGTGAAAGAAATAACTGAAATGTCAAAATAATTTTCTTCTGCTGAGGAAAAAATATTCTGATTATATGGGTTAAGTAAATGTAAATATGCTTCTAAGCAGAACTAAAAAGGTGCAGAAGAGTAATAATATATCACTAACAATTAGGCATTTATTCAAAAGATAGCTCCAATCAGAGTCTCACAAACTTACCTGAAGATTTTCAATGGCATAAAATACTGTTTTTACAAAGTCATAAACATAATAATCCATGTTTTACTGCCTGATCACAAAGAATCCATACATCATACAAATATTAACTCATCATTTGGTGCCTCAGCATGTCAAATGAAACCAAAGTATACATGGTGAATTTTATTCCCCATGAGGGAGGTATTTGGGAAAACATTTAAGGAAATGTTTCTTCCTTACTATTTTGCACATTTTTGTAGATGGGACTAATGGTACAGCCCAGAAACATTGTTTTAAGGCTTTGTGAGAATGAGTTGTTTGGTTACTATGGAATAATCAATGAAAGGAGCAGTTTTGTCAAGATTTTAGTAAACAGTGATGTATAAAACGTTTTAAAGATATAATCTTTGTTCTTAAAAGGAAGATTCTTTCATAGGAAATAAATGCAAATGTCAAAGCATATTTTGTTTCTCTTTTTGTTTTGTTTACTGTCTGAAAAATGTATAACTAAACCACCAGTGTCTGTACAAACATGGATTTTGTTCTGTTTCTATTCTTGTTCTGGAGAGTTTTTTAAAAGTATAACAGCTGAGGATATACACATATACATACACATATATATACACACACACATATATACATATATACACGTGTGTGTGTGTATATATATATAATCTAAACTTATATAATTTAAATTTATATACAGGCATTTCTTCCCCCAATGCCCATGCCCATATTTACAGTTTTGCTTCCCATGGTTTCAATTACCCATGGTCAAATAAGTTCTGAAAATATTATCTAGAAAATTCCATAAATAAATAATATGTAAGTTTTAAATCACAGACCTTTCTGAGTAGCATGTTAAAATCTAGCACTCTTCTCTCAGGCCCCATCCCACCTGAGATGTGAATAATCTCTTTGTTCAGCATATCCATGCTGTGTATGCCAACTGCCTGTTAGTCACTTAGTAGACACTGGTTATTACATTAACTGATAGTATCACAGTGCTTATATTCAGGTAACCCTTATTTTACTCAATTATGATTCCAAAGCACAAGAGTAGTGATGCTGGCAATTCGGATATGCCAAGGAAAACGAAGGGGGGAAAAGGTGAAAGGGGTAGAACATTACAATAAGATATTTTGAGAGAGAAAGAGAGACTTTATCATAAGCATGCACATATAGAGAAAACACATAGATACGCATATCTATGTTTGGGATATGTATATAGAGTTTGGTACTATTCGTGGTTTCAAGCATCCACTGAGGGTCTTGAAATGTATGCTGCATGGATAAGAGGTAACTATTGAAATATACATAATATTATGTATGAGCTAAACTTTTTGTAATTACAACTTTTTATAAGATGTAAATGTTTGTATCTATAATCCAATATTTTAAAAAGACATTTTGCGTATTTTGTGTGTATATGTCTTTTTCTTTTTTTCCACTTTTCCCCTTCTTTTTCTGCCAGCAAACTGCATATGGTAGTTAACAAAGCTTGAAGTTTATGACTGCAAGTTAAATTAATATGGAGGGGGATGTAATAAAGTCGTAGGAGGTTGATGAAGGCCTCCAAAGAAAATATAAGTTAAACAGCACAAAGATCTGCAAGAGAATACAAGGAAATAAATAAGGAGAAGGAAAAACGATAATGATGACAAAAGCGTAACTACAAGCCTAATAAAAAGGTTTAGATTTTTGGAGAAGAAAATATTTAAGAGCAACAGTAAGGGGCAAGAAAACTGTGATGACCAAAATGGGTATTTGAAAAATATTACTAAACATTAATAATTGGATTATGCTGAATTGTCTTAAGAACGACAGTAAAACTTTGAAATAAGTTATAATTCTTTGTACTCCTTGTTATTAGACTTTGCTTCATTATATGCAAATTCACACTGAGATTGAGCCATAGGAATCTCTATACTTTATTAGAAATATGTGAGCCAACGTTCTAATAAGAACAAAACCTGCTATCTTATGGAGTTTATACAACTGAAATTTAATTTTGAAACTGGCAAATATTAAAAAACAGCATAACTGACACGATTACTCATTGTCTATTTAAGCAATAATAAGAGAAAACCTATTGATAAAAATAACGTTTTTGTTAATTTCTTATTTGTGAAGTTATTGTAAGATGGGGCTGTCATTATAAAATGGGGAAATCATGTTGACATATTCCATCTGAATATTATGATGACCTTTAAAGGAATGTACTCCTAGGCAATATTCATACATATCTATTTTATCCTTTGATAAATGCACATACACTTGTGGGATAGCCTTTGAGATATTTGTTTAAGCACCACTTAGAAATCAGAATTTCCTACAAGTAAAAACAAACAGAATAGTTATAACCATCTTTCACATAATTTTTTCTCGAGTAAGTTTAATATATCTTGGACAAGTTTGGGCACAGTAATGTTTTTCTCACAAATGTCTGCAAAAAAAAAGATATTAACTATTTTTCATGAACTGTAGTTGGAAAGTAAACTACTTATCAAAATATACATTAACTAAAAATATGTTTATGAAAACATTATTGGGAAGATATTGCTAGTAGAACTTTTGTCATCCCAGAAACATTATAAAACATTTGTTTTATATTGAAACTATATATTTGGTAAATACATGTTTGCTTTATTGTATTTGCATTTATTGATATTAAAATATATCTATTGACAAAGTAGCATGAGATTTCAAGATATGCAGAATCTTATATCAGCTCATACTGCTTTAACATATGTTAAATAAGGAATAACTAGTAAATATCATTAAAGTATATTACATTGTTAAAAATGTGGCAATTTGACCCAGTGCCAAAGGACATACTATAAGTGAAGAAAGTAACTAAATACAAAAGAACATTTAAAAAATTAGCAGTTATATATAAGAATTTAATTTTTGGAATTGTATTACAGCAAATATTATCATCTCTATGCTCTTCAGATGTCTCTATGAGTACAATAAGAATAGATAATCGCTCATAAAATGGCAGTAATGTGTACTAGAAAAAAAGTGGTTTGTAAATAAAATATTAGTAATTCAATGCAGAACAAATTTAAACTGTACTCATATTTTTAATATGAGTAGCAGTATATCTCCTAATGCTGCTATGAAGGTAAAATATTGGTTTGAATTGTTTTATAGTGTTACACAACTATTGTTGATTGCACCAAATGCATTTCACCTGTGAGTGAATAGAATGCTTCCGAAGGAACAACCATGCCTTACCCCAGCTATGAGCTAGTAAATATTTGGAGGACATGATCTAGTAAAAACAGGAAGACAGAGATGGAAAATACAACGAGAGCATAATGTAAGCTAAATCCCCCCCAGAAAAGTATAGAGACAAAACAGAAACAATTACAAGATAAATTATAACAGGAGTAATAGCAACATGATGAATAAAGATATTATTTAAAAGCCTTCATTTATTCAATAATTGTGATTATGGCAGTTTTCTCAAAAAGTGAAATTGGAAGACAAAGAATAACAAATAACTGGGTTAGAGTGTGGGTGTAAAAGAAAAAGAAGATGTAGAATAGAAAAGGAAAAGTTGGAATTTACTTTTTAACTTTTTTAACTATACTGTCTATAGAAGAATAAACTAAAAAAATCATATCTATATTTTTGTAAAGAAAATTGGAATACCTTCATGAGATACAGTTCAAAGATTTATTTGAAATAGGAGAATAGTATCTATTACAAATAGACTGATAAATTCAAATAGGATGAATTCAATGATTATATTTGCAGTTATTAAAATTCCTAGAATTAAGTTTAGTTACCTTTTTATTGTATCAAAATCTTCTAAAATCTTTTTCCAACAATATGTCTTTCTACTAAAACTCCAATCTTATTGAGCTTCTTTTAGTTCACTCAAAAAGTCAGAACCCCTCTACCTCAGAGATGGTAGGACATTTCTCTTTGGTGGAATGCTTTTCTTTGGATATTCACGTGGTCCATCATTCACTTTCTTCAGATTCCTGGCTCCAAAATCATGTTAACATGAATTCCCCATTCAGGTACCTTATGTAAGAGAGCACTCTCACTTAGACTCCATTTCTAGACCCATCAGCCTTTGTACCTTTCATCACTAACACATTCAATATATATTTGTATCTTTTACATAATCATAGGATATAAGCTTCAAGGTATTAAGGACTTTTTTTCTGCTTTGTTCGTTTGTGTATCAACAACACTTAGTGAAGTTTCTGCAGCTCAATTTAAAGTTTTCAAGTGAACACATCTATGAGTTTGAGTCTAGTTTAAAATCAGGGAAGATACTGAATTCATTTTGAAACCATAATGTGAGAAACAGAACCATAATAAAAATGATGAATATTTAGAGATGATATTATAATAACTAAGCAAACCAAAGCTCACTTGCTTTGTCTATCCATCTATACCTTAACATGTAAATATATAAACATGTTATATTAATTTACAAATATGATATCTATTAATTACATATACGCTCCTCTTTAGCATTTAGTTCAGAAGTTATTAAATACTTTAACATTTCTACAGAAAGTAGTTGACAGGCTTGTGAAATGGATTGAGAAATGCATGAGTTGAAACTGTTGAATGAAGACATAAAGTTAACCAACAACATTGCGCTTTTCATCTGAAGACAAATGGGGCATAAAACTGCGTAAAGAACATAGTTCTAGCTATGGCTGTAACTGGAAATAATGTTCAATGCAATGTGAAGTCAAGTACATATCTTAGATGTGGGGAAAAATTAATATTATTATAAAAAACCTATAAAATAAAATTAGTATGTTCCATACACACTGAAAATAAGATTTATATGTATTTTGTTTGTGTCTGGAAACCAGTATAGCCGAAAGTGAAGTGGCCTGTAGAAATTAAATCAAAATGAATATGTAAATAAACAAGCAAACATCAAAAAGTGATGTAATTATGCTCTATGAAAATATTATAGTAAAATATAATTTGTGGTTTGGGTACAAAAATAAAAATAAAGAAATTATATAATCTGACAGCCACCTTATAAAGATGGATAAGAGATATAATTAAAAAATGGCAGAGAAGGCATAGAAAAAAATCAACATAGACCACTGTAATTGGAAACAACAGAAGAGAAAGAGAGGAAGAAATATTCCAAAGGAAAATTCAGAGAAACAATTTTAAAAATGTAAATACCGGTAAAATGTGAATTCCAATAAGAATAGTAACGTGGTTTGGAGAAATAATGTAAACAAAAAAGACAAAATAGAAAGAGATAGGGCACCGGCAATCAAAAAGAGAAGGCAGGGGGCGGGGATGTTTAAAAGAAGTTACTGAAAACTTAAGCCCTCAGTACAGACATGAACCAAAAAAAAAAACAATGAAGAGGACATTATAATACAAATCTATGTAAAAGTATAGAGGCCAATTACCCTAAATTAAACTATAAATTTCTCTGGATTCCAATGCAACTACTAAGAGGAAATTTGGGTGCAAGTGAGGGACTACTTAAGCTTACTCGAAAGGACTTAAGCAAAAGTACGTCACCGAAGATATTCTGAGAAAGAGAATTGAAGTGAAGGTGGGTCTTATGAGACTTTGAGCAATAATAAATGCAGTAATTGAAGCAGTGAACTACTGAAGCATGAATTAAAAGATCAATGGAATGAATTAGAAAATCCAAACATACAGCTAAAATGTACAATAGATTTAGTAACACTATAACAGTAATACTTTTAATTAGTGGGGATAAGAGGGTTATTCAATAAATGATATTGACACAACTGGAGTATTCTAACAAAACAAATTCGGATCTACTATATATTATATGTTACACTGGAATAAATTCCTAATGGAACAAAAATATAAAAGTCACTTATAAAATGAATGTAGATGATAAGGCACTTCTAGTGTGTGTGTATATGTGTGTATGTGTGTATAGTCATGCCACATTTTGGTTAAGGATGAATTACATATATGATGGTGGGCCCATAAGAATAAAATACCATATTTTCTATGTTTAAATATATTTATAGGCACAAATACCTATCGTGTTACAATTGCCTATAATATTCAGTGCAGTAACATGTTGTATAACCTAGGAGGATTAGGCTATATCATATAATCTAAGTGTGCAGTAGGCTAGACCGTGTAGGTTTCTGTAAACACACTCTGGGATGTTTACACAATGAGGAAGTCACCTAATAATGCATTTCTCAGAAGGTATTCTTGTCAATTAAGTGACATGAGTATATGACTGTGTGTGTGTGTGTGTGTGTGTGTATAAGTTTCTGAGCAACTAAAGAGAAATCTCCTCTGACACTTTCTAATCCCATACATTTAAAATTAAAACTATTTTCAATTAAACAAATTGGCAACAATCATGAAGCTTTAGAACCTACTTGCGGTCACAAAAGAGAGAAGTGCAGCTGTAGGTTACTTAAAAGAGTATGAATTGATAAAAGCTTAATGGAAGTTAATTTAAAATATTCATGAAAATTTAAAAAAGACACCAGAACCAGGACTTCATATTTACAATTTGCAGAATGATGTATGTAAAATATTTTAATTATATTTGTCATGGTGTTGCAGGACTTTTCCTTAGTTCAGCTAAAGACGGGGTTGTCTGTCCCACAGCCACGAAGATTCAGGCTGGAAGACAATTTGAATGGAGAGTAAGACAGGGTTTTATTGGGTGAAAAGGAAGAAAAGGGAGAAAGTGGGACTCTCCCTAGGCCAGAGTCCCTTGTTAGAGTGCTTCCTGCCTGCAGGGTGAGTCTCAGGTTCCACACAGAAGAGGAGGCGGCAGGCTCCTCCCAGCTGCAAATGTCCTGAACTTCCTGAGGCTGCACCCCTCAGTGAGCAGGCCGGTTGGAATTCCTCCAAGGAACCCTTCCACCTGGCTGTCTCAATAGCAAAATATTTGAAAAGCCAGAATGCCAATCACCATGAGCCTGTTTAAATAAACTATGGTGTGCTGACAAACACTAGAATTCTATTAACTTATTTAAAAGTTTAGAGTACCTTTATGGGCTATAGAAAGATTATCTAGATATATTGTGAGTGGAAAAGGGTGGTAGTTGTATTAGTTTTCCATTACTGCCATACCAAATTACCACAAACTTAATGGGTTAAACAACACAAATCTGCTATATCACAGTTTTATTTTTTATTTTTTATTTTTTGTGGGTACACAATAGGTGTGTATATTTATAGGGCACTTGAGATGTTTTAATATAATGTGAAATAATCACACAGCTTTATGTTTTGTTTTGTTAATATCAGAGGTCTGGCAGCTTGGCTGGGTCTTTGCTTAGAGTCTCAAAAGACCACAAACAAAGTATTTCAGGGTCATGTTTCTGGAAACTCTAGGGGAGAATATGTTTTCTCTGCTCATACAAGTCATTAGTAAAATTCAGGTTATAATTTGAGGCTTTATAACTGAGGTTTCTTGCAGGTTATTAGCTGAGGGCCATTCCCAGGTTCTAAAGGCCATTGCATATCTGGGTTCATGGCCAACTTCCTTTATTTTTAGGGCCTCCAACTATAACTGGAGTCCTCACTTTGCATTTCTTAGATCAAATCATCTGCCTTTTCTCCCCCAAGCATTCTTTCTGGCTATCTTCTTGTCTACTTTCAGGTGTCCATGGCATTGCAGTGAGCCTACCCAGGTAACCCAGGACAATGTCCACGTAACATCAATTCCATCTTCAAATCTCTTGTGGCATGTAATAATATACTACCTCTAATCTCTTTTGATATGTAGTAATATACTGGCAGGTTCCAAGGATTAGGATGTGGACATCTTTGGGCTATCATTATTCTGCCAACTACAGTAATCTAGTATGTTACCCGGCTTTGTATAAAATACTACCAATATGTGGTTATATAAAATTATCTCTGAAAGTTATCCAAGAAACTAAGAAAACTCTGAAAAGATGATCTGGAGGTCTCTAAGAAGGAGAGAATGGGAAGATGCTTTTCATTATTTATTCTTTTCATAATTTATACATATATAAAATGTACTTATGTAATATGTATAAATACATGCACATACACAGTGTGTTTATAGCGATATATGAATGTACACATATTTTGAATTTATACATATATATTCAAAATAGAAATATAAATGTTTTAAAAAAGAAATCACTTATTCAGAAATTACCAAAAAAAAGATAAAAGAGAACTTTGCTGCAGGGAAGATTGAACTAATTGCTCTGTATTTGGAAGTAGGGCAGAGGGAAATGCCTGATTAAAAAAATTAATGTAAATAAGAAAAAAGTATATCTATAATAAAAAATAATAAGAATAAAAACCTTTTTAATATTTTTAGTTATTCATTGCATGTTAATTATTGCTGTAAAGAAGTCTTTAGAACCAAAGGCTTTATAGGACAAATAGCCCATTTGCAGTATAATATAATAATGAGCATAGAATAAAGATAAAAAATAGGAGAAGCAACGAAGAAGAAATTAAAAGGAAAGACGTTTGAATAGACGGTAGAATGAGAGAAGAAAGGGAGGGCAAAGCTTTAAAATAATGGATGTGCTACCTGTAGATGTACTGTGTGTGTGAGTGTGAGTTTGTGTGTGTATATGCATATATGATATTCCCTGGAATATAAGTAAAGATACAAAATATTTTAAGGGGTTATTAGAAGAAAACTTACATAATGGGGGAGCTGTTGCTCTTTGTGGCACTGTCCTAAGTGAGAGAACATCTTACCTCACCTTATTTTGGACATTTTAAAATTAATTAGCAGCAGTTGAACAACTCAAAAAGAGGTAAAATAATTGTGAAGATGATGGCTGACGTGATTTTGTTAGAGTTTTTAGATTGATCCAAACAGACTTAGGTAGAAACTTTCATTTGAAGAAATGGTGAAATAAGTAACATATAATAAAGGAGGAGTAATAAAGGCTCTTTCATTTAAAGGAGAGATGAAGTATATTGGAATAGGAAGTACTAAAATTATTTAACACTGATGACTAGAAGTATGTTTGTTAGTTTAGTTTCGTCTTTCTACGAAGACAGGAAGAATAAGACAGACAGCATGAGAGAAGGTCCATGAGTACACCAAATAGTGCCGAGCATAGACCAGTGAACAATGAAGTAAGTGCAGAACATTCAACAAATGACAGGTAAAGAGATTGGATTTTTAAAATCAAGAATATCAATATGTTTAAATGGAAATAATACTCTGCTCTAATACTTTGCAAAGAAATACAGTGTCAACTAAACTGACTGGTTGTATGACAGCAAGGATCAATAAAGTGTACCTAATTATGCATAAGGAAATGAAATCAATTAAAATTAACTAAGGAAATTAATTAGGACTTATTCTTTCTTTTAGGGGGCTGGGGGGCACCGAGTCTCGCTCTGTTGTCAGGCTGGAGTGCAGTAGCCCAGTCTCGGCTCACTGCAACCTCTGCCTCCCGGGTTCAAGCAATTCTCCTGCCTCAGCCTCCTGAGTATCTGGAACTACAGGCGCCTGCCACCAAGCCAGGCTAATTTTTGTATTTTTAGTAGAGACAGGATTTCACCATGTTGGCCAGGATGGTCTCGATCTCTTAACATCATGATCCCCCCACTTCGGCCTCCGAAGGTTCTGGCATTACAGCTGTGAGCCACCCACATGGCCTTTTTTTTTTTTTTTTTTTTTTTTTTTGAGACGGATTTTCACTCTTCTTGCCCAGGCTGGAGTGCAATGGCGCAATCTCCACTGAAACCTCCACCTCCCCTCTCCCGGATGCAAGAGATTCTCCTGCCTCAGTCTCCCGAGTAGCTGGGATTAGAGGTGCCTGCCACCATGCCCGGCGAATTTTTGTATTTTTAGTAAAGACGGGGTTTCTCCATGCTGGGCAGGCTGGTCTCCAACTCCTGACCTCAGGTGATCCGCCTGCCTTGGCCTCCTAAAGTGCTGGGTGGGAGTCACTGCACGGCACCCGGCCAGGACTTATTCTTTCTATGTACATATGATTTGTAAAAACTGTGAAGGAAACATTTATAAAATTTAGGTTATCAAAAATAAACCACATAAAATATTTAAATCCAGAAATAATGTACATCAAACAATTATTAATAGACCATTAAAAAATAGAGCTCTAGGGCCGGGCGCGGTGGCTCACGCCTGTAATCCCAGCACTTTGGGAGGCCGAGGCGGGTGGATCACGAGGTTAGGAGATCGAGACCATCCTGGCTAACACGGTGAAACCCCGTCTCTACTAAAAATACAAAAAATTAGCCAGGCGTGGTGGCGGGCGCCTGTAGTCCCAGCTACTCGGGAGGCTGAGGCAGGAGAATGGCGTGAACCCGGGAGGTGGAGCTTGCAGTGAGCCAAGATTGCGCCACTGCACTCCAGCCTGGGTGATAGAGCGAGACTCTGTCTCAAAAAAAAAAAAAAAAAAAAAAAAAGAGCTCTAGAAAAGTATATTTGAGCATATTAGAGACAGACACAACAAATTAGTGAAACAAATGGAATGTACAGAAAACTTATATGCTGTTGGATTAGCATATATAGCTAAATAAGATAATAGAATTGTGGGGGAAAAAGCCATACATATTAAAGGGGCCTATCTGTTCCCTTAAAAAGTGAGCTTGTAGTTTTCACAGAGGGTATTGGTATATGACGGACAGAAATATATCAAAAGGCACAATTTAAGAAGCTAAATCCAGTAGCACAGTTATGAAAACCTATGAAAATGGTTACACCAATATGGAAATAATAGAGTTGGTTCCTAACAGGCATGGTCTCTATTTCCTCAATGTTCCCGTATATCCATTGGGACAGGAAGATTTAGTAAATTGAATTCACCAGTTTTAATGGGATTTTAGTATTCTTGTGGCACTTCTAAGCTCTTCTAAGAATTCTGTATGCCTGTGGCCTCATGATGTACTTACATCTGGAAACAATACTGTGATATTCCTGAAGGCTTCTTGCTATACAGGTGAAGCCAAGGTCAATTCTCCTGTAACATCCTTCAGCCAATTCTGGTGTCAACTCTTTCTAAAAAGCTTATGCTCAGAAATGCAGGAAGGAATGGTGTTAATAACTGGGAAGTTTTTGAAATACAGGAGCCAGTTTAGCAGGTTCTGAGGTCAGTCTTCTATTGGGTTAGTTATGTGTGACTGATACTGAGGTATGCAGTCTCATCAAGGGGACTCTTTATTTTGATGTATTAATAAATGCAGGAAATAAAGTTATGTAAGCAGAAAGCAACTCACATAAGCTTTAAAAAAATGAGAGTGAGAAAATGGCATTAGAATAACATTTAATACTTTTATGACCATGTTTTGAGAAACAGAAAATGACCACAGTTTGTAGGGGGGTTGTTCTTACTTTTTTAACTATATGTGAGAGAGGCACAGTTAGAAGCCAACTTGGCAGATAGAGAGGGAGGATCTCAGGAGAGGAAAAACAACCGCAGGACCATACCTGCACTACCCTGTAGGTAGTGGGAAGAAATGTGATTAAGAACTTCCTCTTATGCTAGAATGTTTGGTCAGAAGGGACTGTCCCAACTTAGGCACAGGTGCAATAAATTAATCTAAATGTCCTTAACTTAACCCAGCTGATTATAATATCATTATCATGATATTAGCATTTTGGTTTTAGCGCCACCCCATGGGTTTTGCTTAGGCACTCATGGGAAATAACTAACATGGAATTACTCTGGCCAACCCCAGGCATGGAACAACTGCAGAAGGGAACTTTACCCCTCCCATTTGGGTGGAACCCGCAGAAGACTTCCTTGCTTCTGCCACATAAAAGACCCAGAACTCAGTCCCGTTTTTGGAGACTCATTCTTGGGTCCCCTCTTGCTGTTGAGAGTTTTCTGTTGCTTAATAAAACCTACTCTGCCTTATGCACTCTCCAGTGTCCACATGCCTTATTCTTCTTAGTCATGGGATAAGAACTCGAATGTAGCTGAAACAAAATAAGAAAAAGAGAGGAAAAAAATACATGTACTTAGCTTCAAAGGGTTTTCCTCGTTGTAAAGTTTCTGTCTCTTTTTAATTTTTTCCACACCTTTCCCTGCTGAGTTATTATATGTTCCAAGGTTGCAGACCCAACAGGATCCATTATGGACTACCATGTGTACAAGCTTCTGGGTGGATGTTATCCATAGGGAATGTTTGAACAAGAGAAGTAGAGGCTTCCTGCTGTTGTTAATGTTTGGTGACCTCTACCTCTTGTTCAAGTAATTCCTTGCCTTCAGTCTTTATCTTGACTGTTGCAATGCTATACATTCCTGGCCATATATCTAGGCATTTGTTTTCTGAGAAAATGGAGGACATTTTGATTTAATATTTTTATTTTGATGGTCATATACATTAGAATTCTGAGGCTGAAGATAAATTCTATCTGGAGATAAAAACAGTTCACATCTAATACTGGCATGTGATTTCAAAACAAATATTTTATTATCTTGTGAAATTTTGAGTAATAAATACATCATGTTTTCCCTAGATGGCAAATAAAGAAGAAAAGCAGAAAATATATAAATTTTGTATTCACATCAAGTGAAAGCCAAATGATATAATGGCAAATTAAATGCTCCAATAAAAAGAAAATAACAGAAGAAAAACAAACAAAACAAAAAATAAACAACAAAAACAGTTTCTTTAAGGCAAAAGTTAAGATTGGAAATAATAGTTTTAATTATCAAAAATTGTGTTTTCTTTAAATATTTTGGGAACTTTTATTACTTCTATTGTAATTTTCAACAAGACTGTAGGAGCAAATAGTCCACAGGAGCAAACTATTAAAAATGAATGAAACTATCTTATACAAAGTAGTTCAGTGCATTTTTAATATTTTGTCTGTAATTTTTACAAAAAGAACAAAGCCATGTTCTAACTGCAATTATTTTATTATACTCTTTTCTTTCTCTTACCTAGTGTTTACATAGCCAAATAAGCAAAGCTGGAGATACAACTGCTTATATTAAAAAGATAAAGTGCACTGATTCATATAGGGCTTATATAACAGAATTTGCGTTTCTCTCAGCAAGTCTTTCTCATATAAAACATTTTATATATAGCATTGTATATTTTACTATACACTGTATATTAGGAGTAAGTGTAAAATATTTAAAGATACTGAATGAAGACATTAAAATTAAGAAAACTTGATGCGATATATACAAGGTATAGATACTAGATAAATCCTGTATTATAATTTATATTTTTATTTAAAATTAGATAGTACATATGAATAAGTATATAAACAAAATAAGCATATTTCAGGCAATAATGATTAAGTATCACCATTCAGGACCCAAACTGGATGACTGTCATGACCCAGAAGCCCCACAAATGTCCCTTTTCATTTCGCTCTTCTGTAGTTCTGAGATGGGGCCTAATGGGAGGTTTTTGGGTCATAGAAGAAGATTCCTTATGAATGTCTTGGTGCGGTCCTCTTGGTAAGGAGCAAGTTCTCTATGTGTTCCCATAAGAGCTAGTTGTTAACAAGAACCTGGCACCTGCCCCACTCTCTCTGTTGCCCTTTGATCTCTGCACATGCTGGCTCCCCTTGGCCTTCCGCTCTGAATGAAAACAGCCAGAGACCCTAACCAGAAGCAATTCCTGGTGCTATGCTTCCTTTACCACCTGCAGAACCATAAGCCAAATAAGCTTCTTTTCTTTATAAATCACCCAGCCTCAGACATTCTTTTATAGCAACACACATGGACTAAGACAGTTCTTTCTGAATAAGTCAAAACAAGCTAAACATAATACCCAAGACCCCCACATCTACGTGCAGAGTTTGTTGGAAAACAAGGTTCTTTCCATGTGGCCTTCAGACTTGGAATATCCTTATAAACATTCTGCATTTGGCTGGTAGACAAGGGAAGTTATAGTGCATCAACCACAGTCCAATAGGTTTTATGCATCAAAAGATATTCTATTACACAGAAGTATAAAAGGGTATCAAAGAACTACCTGTGAACATTAGAGTTATAGTCTAGCCTCAATCTGAAGAAAAAGGGAAAATATTTGATGAACTCCCAGAGAGTCTGTCATTACATTCTTAGTCTGTGCTTTCACTATGCTAAATTGAGTGTTAATCATCACTTTGTATTTCTTTATAGTTTTTACCACCCACATATATATGCCTTTCTATCTAATCTATCTATCCAGCTAGCTAAAAGTAGATTTTAGCTATCTATCTGTCTACTTATCTAGGTAGTTGAGCTTTATATTTTAATTAAGTTTATTGAAGAATAAAAATTGTATACATTTATGGTATACAACAGGATGTTTTGATATCTGTATACATAGTAGAATGGTTAAATCAAGCTAATTAATACATGGATTACCTTGCATGCTTCTTACAGTGATAGTAATTAATAACAACATGTTGTATACTTGAAAATTGCTTTGTCTATTTTTGATACAAGATTATTTCTCTCTGTGTAAATATTTTCAAATAATTAATGATGCTATATGGTGCATTTGTTTTATTGTTACAGAGTATCCTATTGTATGAATATCACAGAGCATATTCATTTATTCTACTGTTAATGAACATTTTTAGTTCCAGGTTTGATATTATGAGCAATTCTTAAGTAAATATTATTTTATGTATCTCCTGTTATACATGTGCAAGAGTTTCCTAAGAATATATAGGTAGTAGTAAAATTATTTTGTAATGAGGCATGTACACACTGATATTGTTGGTGAGTAGCAACATGTTTTCAAAATTGATTGTGCTTCCAGCAGTGGATGAACACTCTGATTCTTCATATCCTTACCAACTTCTTATATTGCAAGACTTTATTTATTTGATTTCTTCAGTCTGGGGTGTATAAGATAATATTGACCTTATTTACTTGTTCAAAAAAATACCTAACAAGTACTTAATATGTACCAAGCACTGTTGATCTTGGAATGTATCATTTAAAAATAACAGCCTGAGAACCATGTGCTCACAGAGTTTATATATTTATGAGAACAGAGAGAAACCAAACACAGATGAAATAAACAATTTTATAGAAAACAAAACAACATTTAAAAAACTAAAAAGAAAAGGAAAACAAGAGCAGGAAGAGAGGAACCAAAATAGTAGAGAATATGAGTTTTAATTTCAAATAGTTTGCTCACCACAGGACTGCTGAGGAGGTGAATTTCAGAACACATTAAGTTTTAGCCACGTAAACATCTGGAAGAACAATCTCTCTCCTTATATGTATTTACATGTAATCCTAATATTTGCTTAATAAAAATGCATGGTTTTAATAATCATTTATAAATTTTTTATTGCTTAACATGTAGAATACAATTATATTAAGATACAATTTTCATAAAATGACCAAATATCTAGAGTCCTTACTAAATCCACATATACATCCTAATATTTTATAAATTAATTTCATTTTTCTATGTACATCATCATGTTATTTAAAAATAATTAATTCTTTCTTTTGTGGGTATGTTTTATCCCACATTAGGGAAGTTTCTTTCTATTCCTGGTTTGCTTAGAAGTTTTATTTTTTTCATGAATCAGCATTGATTTTGTGAAATATTTTTCTGCATTTACTAGGTGATCATGTAATGCATTTATTTTGTTAATGTATTAAACTATATTGATTGATTTTCTAATGTTAAACAACTTTGCATTCCTGGAATGAATGCATCTGAGTCACAATGGATTATTCTTTTCAGTAAGTGTTGCCTTTGGCTTGTTAACATTTTATTTAGGGATTTTGCCTCAGGGTTATGAGAGTTATTGCACAGTAATTTTCCTGCTAATAAATTTGTCAGGGTTTTGATAACAGACTCTATTTGGCCTTACAAACCATATTAAAGAATGTTTTCCTTTTTTCACTCTTCAGGAAGAATTTGCTTAAAATTGGTATTCTTTCTCCCTTCAATTTTTAAAATAAATTATCAAGGAAGCCATCTGAATTTTTTGCTTGTTTAAACACTTTTTTAATGAGAAGTTTTTAAATAATGTATTTTTCCCCAGCTTTATTATAATCATTTTAAAAATAAATATATTTTATGCAAATTTTCTGTTCCTCTTCTGTCCATTTGGAAAGTTGTTGTTAGATATGAATTCTAAATTTCTTTTCAAAGAATTAATATGTCAGTATGTTCAATTCTGTGCCTTCTACTTTTAAAGTTAACTTCCTCATAAAGCAACCTTTTTTGATTATCTGCTCCACCCTGACTCATTTCAATCACCTGCTCCACCCTGACTCATTCTGATTCCGTGCTACCTGCTCTGCCCTGACTCCCGCCAAAGTACTCACCCCATCATTCTCTTTAAATTAGCCAATCGAAATTAGTTTAGCCTGTGCGGTCTAACCCTAGCCAATACGGGAATGACACAGCAGCAGGAGCAACGTGCGTGGCTTTACTAGTAGTGAAATTGTTAGCACTGGGGAATGTATCTGAGCCACACGGCACTAAAGTGTGTTACCGATGGCAAATCCACGTGGATCTGCAGCAACTTCCACTCTTGCCTCCTCAGAAGAAAGAATCCAACTGAGGGACATAAAGCAGAGTAAGAGACCGAGGCAAGTTTTAGTTCAGGAGTGATAGTTTATTTTAAAATTTTAGAGAGGGGAAAAAAAGGAAGTGAAATACACTTGGAAGAGGTCCAAGAGGGCCACTTGAGAGATCAAGTGCACTGTTTGACCTTTCACTTGGGGTTTTATACGGTGCTATGCTTCTGGGGTCCTGCATCTCTTTTCCCTGATTATTTCTTTGGAGTGGGCTGTTTACATGTGTATACGTGGCAACATGTGGGAGGAGCTGCATGTGTAGAATGTTTACTGGAAGTATACACATGCTCACTTCAGTCATTCTTCTCTTACCAGTCAAATGTTCCTAGAAGGCCATATATGAGTTAAGCTTTGCCCTTTTGCCTCCTAGTGCAAGCGCATCTGGAGATCTTATCAGGAAGCTGCTGATCATCAGATTCAGGTGTTTCTCCTTACTGGGAGACCGCCTTTCCCTGGCACGGCTGCAATCAATTATTACAACTAACTGCCTGACCATCACCTGATGGCTTCCGAACATTCCAGGTATGTGTAAGGGCCTGGGAGCCCTCTCCTGCTCTGCTCATGTCTGACTGGCTACCTGGTGTAACAAAATGGGACCTATCACAGCGTTTTGAACAGAAGAGTAAGTAGAAGTGATTTTTGCAAATAATATTTTCTCTTTGTGGAAAATAAATTGTAACACAGCAAGAAGAGAATCTAGGAGACCATTAAATAATGCGTTGTTTTAATCTAAATGAGAAATGAGAATGGCTCATCAAGGTGGGAGAAGTGGTTGAATTTTGTGTATACTTTTAGGATAGAAACAAGAGGATATCCACACGGATATTACAGGCAGGGGTAGTGAGACGAAGAAATGAATCAAGAAGGCTTCCAGTATTTTTGGCCTCAGAAATTAAAACAACTGGTGTCATCAGTTGTGATGAGGCAGGGTTTAAATCAAGCTATCAAATGTGTTGCCATAATGCTGTCTAGAAAACTATCTAAATAAAATATTGGATTTGTATAAACATAACTTTAAAAGTTATTCTCTCATAAAGGGATTTTTCACATTCCTTATATTTAAAGTGACAAACAAGGTATTATTTTAGATTAAAAAAAAAACAAAAACCATAAAGGAGAAAGAGCCCTTAGTGTGGTTTTAATACATTACAGATTTGAACTGTTTTTTAAAACTAAATAAGATGGTGTTTTTGAAGAATTTGAAAGGTGAAGCGATTAGTTTGCAACTATTTTGTTTTTTCACAGACTTTTTAGTAATTTATTTATGTAAGTGTAAATGACGGAATACCAAAGATGCATATACTTAATCATATTTGTGTCTTTTATAAGCTTTATCCATAGTTTAGCAATTCAGATAATCATAGATTTTACTTCTCCCAAGCCATCACACTTGATAAGTTTAAATTTAACCTCATGTATTTAGCATAATGCCATATGACTACAAAGGCTACTTTCTCTAATTTGAATAAGACACATTTTATTTCCTACTGTGTTTTACCAGTAGCTTCTCTCATTTAAAAAAAAAAATTCCTGGAATGTTATATAATGGATTCTAATCTGCAACACTTCCTTGGGCTAAATTGCCTATTTCCATCGAGACAAAAGCCTCCTCTGGGTCATCAACTAATTATCCACCCCTTTGTGTCCAGTCCCAAATGAAGCTTTGGATCTTTTAAAAATTATTAATATAATTTTCAAAGACACACACATAATGAAAGGCGTTTTAACACTGATAACAGTAAGAGAACTTCTATAAGGAGAAAACCCTCCTGTGTAATGATACTATCAAAATTTTACTCCCTGCTGTTTTTTCATTTTCTACTGTGTCCTCTCAAGAACGAGCAAAAAAAAAAGATCAATTAGAAAAGATAAATAAAAGTAGAAATTTTTACAAATGAGGAGGTGTGAAATAATTTAAATTACGTTTGTGCTTTATAGTTTAGCTCTAACACAATAGTCATTGTTGAGAAATGGAACATATTTATTAGAGTGAATTATATTTTTCTTCAAGCTGATATAAACTGTTCATTGATGTAATAAAGGTTAAAATGTATATTTGTTAAATTGAAATTATTCCTTATTTATTTATTTTTATTATATTTTAAGTTCTAGGGTACATGTGCACAACGTGCAGGTTAGTTACATAGGTATACATGTGCCATGTTGTTGTGCTGCACCCATTAACTCATCATCTATATTAGGTATATCTCCTAATGCTATCCCTCCCCCCTCCCCCACCCCATGACAGGCCCCGGTGTGGGATGTTTCCCTTCCTGTGACCAAGTGTTCTCATTGTTCAATTTCCACCTATAAGTGAGAACATGTGGTGTTTGGTTCTCTGTCCTTGTGATAGTTTGCTCAGAATGATGGTTTCCAGCTTCATCCATGTCCCTACAAAGGACATGAACTCATCATTTGTTATGGCTGCATGGTATTCCATGGTGTATATTGCCACATTTGCTTAATCCAGTCTATCATTAATGGACATATGGGTTGGTTCCAAGTCTTTGCTATTGTGAATAGTGCCACAATAAACATACGTGTGCATGTGTCTTTAAAGCAGCATGATTTATAATCTATTGGGTATATACCCAGTAATGGGATGGCTGGGTCAAATGGCATTTCTAGTTCTAGATCCTTGAGGAATCACCACGCTGTCTTCTGCAATGGTTGAACTAGTTTATAGTCCCACCAACAGTGTAAAAGTGTTTCTATTTCTCCACATCCTCTCCAGCACCTGTTGTTTCCTGACTTTTTAATGATTGCCATTCTAACTGGTGTGAGATTGTATCTCATTGTGGTTTTGATTTGCATTTCTCTGATGGCCAGTGATGATGAGCATTTTTTCATGTGTCTGTTGGCTGCATAAATGTCTTCTTTTGAGAAGTATCTGTTCGTATCTTTTGCCCACTTTTTGATGGGGTTGTTTGATTTTTTTCTTGTAAATTTGTCTAAGTTCTTTGTAGATTCTGGATATTAGCCCTTTGTCAGACGGGTAGATTGTAAAACTTTTTTCCCATTCTGTGGGTTGCCTTTTCCCACTGATGGTAGTTTCTTTTGCTGTGCAGAAGCTCTTTAGTTTAATTAGATCCCATTTGTCAATTTTTGCTTTTGTTGCCATTGCTTTTGGTGTTTTAGTCATGAAGTCCTTGCCTATGCCTATGTCCTGAATGGTATTGTCTAGGTTTTCTTCTAGGGTTTTTATGGTTTTAGGTCTAACATTTAAGTCTTTAATCCATCTTGAATTAATTTTGGTATAAGGTGTAAGGAAGGGATCCAGTTTCGGCTTTCTACATATGGCTAGCCAGTTTTCCCAGCACCATTTATTAAATAGGGAATCTTTCCCCATTGCTTGTTTTCGTCAGGTTTGTCAAAGATCAGATAGTTGTAGATGTGTGGTATTATTTCTGAGGGCCGCGTTCTGTTCCATTGGTCTATATCTCTGTTTTGGTACCACTACCATGCTGTTTTGGTTACTGTAGCCTTGTAGTATAATTTGAATCAGGTAGAGTGATGCCTCTGGATTTGCTCTTTTGACTTAGGATTGTCTTGGCAATGCAGGCTGTTTTTTGGTTCCATGTGAACTTTAAAGTAGTTTTTTCCAATTCTGTGAAGAAAGTTATTGGTAGTTTGATGGGAATGGCATTGAATCTATAAATTACCTTGGGCAGTATGGCCATTCTCACGATATTGATTCTTCCTATCCATGAGTATGGAATGTTCTTCCATTTGTTTGTGTCCTCTTTTATTTTGTTGAGCAGTGGTTTGTAGTTCTCCTTGAAGAGGTCCTTCCCATCCCTTGTAAGTTGGATTCCTAGGTATTTTATTCTGTTTGAAGCAATTGTGAATGGGAGTTCACTCATGATTTGGCTGTTTGTCTGTTATTGGTGTATAGGAATGCTTGTGATTTTTGAACATTGATTTTGCATCTTGAGACTTTGCTGAAGTTGCTTATCAGTTTAAGGAGATTTTGGGCTGAGACATTAAGGTTTTCTAAATATACAATCATGTCATCTGCAAACAGGGACAATTTGACTTTCTCTTTTCCTAATTGAATACCCTTTATTTCTTTCTCCTGCGTGATTGCCCTGGCCAGAACTTCCAACACTATGTTGAATAGGAGTGGCGAGAGAGGGTATCCTTGTCTTGTGCCAGTTTTCAAAGGGAGTGCTTCCAGTTTTTGCCCATTCAGTATGATATTGGCTGTGGGTTTGTCATAAATAGCTCTTATTATTTTGAGATACAACCCATCAATACCTAGTTTATTGAGAGTTTTTAGCATAAAGGGTGGTTGGATTTTCGAAGGCCTTTTCTACATCTATTGAGATAATCGTGTGTTTTTTGTCTTTGGTTCTGTTTATATGCTGGATTGCATTTATTGATTTGCATATGTTGAAACAGCCTTGCATCCCAGGGATGAAGCCCACTTGATCCTGGTGGATAAGCCTTTTGATGTGCTAACTGTTACCTTGTGAAACAAAATAGTATAGTAAATACAGACTGGAAAACTAAAGGAAAAATTAGATTGTAGTTTAAAGGTTAAGCTTTCAATAAAAAAAAACAGTTGAGTTATTCCACTAAATTCTGTGATGTCAGCCGTTATTTTAATGTGGAGTGACAGGAAGACAATTAAAAGCAACAATAAAAAGTGTAACACAATTTTCTTGTGAGAAAAAGAGAGAAGTGTAAAACCATATGTTTTTAAATAATATTTTTACTAATATGTTTTGGACATGAATGTAATCTTTTCATTTTATTTAGAATTTGATATTAATAGAAATCTATATTCTGTTAAATTGAGAAAAGTAAGATGACATTTCAGCCTATACCCATGAGAAAGTAGAATTAACTGACTTAAATATCAATTATATTCTGAGTCACAAGAACAGTTTTCCTCCATTTACTATATATGTAAATAAGATAATAAAATAATGCAGAATGTTAAAATATGGTGTGTTTCTCTACTGCTGTTTAAAATGTTGAAATTTCAAAATAAATGAGCCAATATGTTAACATGGGTAGGATATTTGGCAAAAAAAAACTATTGTATCTCCCTAATACCTTGTAAAGTTGGCTCTATTATTCCTTTTCTTATTTTACAGTGTCTTTTTTCTATGAACATTGATGTCCTTTTAAGACCTAGCTTGAACACTTCTTTATTCTTGAAGTTTATTTTCACTCTCCCCTCTCTCCAGACACCATCACTCTTTCTAGGATGCTTTTAGTTTTTTTGGTGGCACAATACTCATCTCTGGTTGATGGCAGCTACTTGCCTGGATTCCAGAACATGTAACAGAGATGTAGCCACAGAATGAAATACCCCTTAAAATTAGAATTATCATGAGTTTATAGTTCTGTAACTAGTGTTGGCAACATCTTAAAGGTGGCGCACACCACAAGAGAAGGAAGTGGCACTCAGTGAAAAAGAAGCTTCACAGAAGCCTGATTGGAAATTGTGGTTTCCAAATTGTGAGAGGGCTATTTTCAGTGTTTTCAGGCATAGGAACAATAAGAATAGTGTTTATTTGCATTGACATCTGAAAAGGAAGGCATTGACTCAGAGGCTGGAATTCATTATTTCTGCAAACATTTATTGAATAGTCACTCTGTGCCAGACTCTATTGAAAAGTAAAGGATATGGAGGCATGCGAGGTAGGCATGAGACATGAAGTTTCTTCAGTCATGGAACCAGCAATTAACATGTTCTGACTATCATGTTCTATGAAGACACAAGCTAGTGTAGTTTTAGTTACTTAGCTGGAAAAATCATATTCTATAGTCAATTGTTTTTGTTTTCACATAGCAATAGGTATGAGGTAAGCAGCTAGTGCATTTATATTCCTAAAGGATCTTACAGAGAAATCTCTATAGTAGATGCTTAATAAACGTTTTTTAAGCCAAATGTCTATAACTCCTTAATATTATTTCAAACCATGGAAATAAAATTTGGGATAATTCAATATTTTTAAGACAGTGGTACCTCTTTATAATTACTCCTCTTCTGTTTTGTTTCCCAAGATGGAACCTATATTGGAGGTGTTTTTGTGTTCTCTGGTTAACAGGGAATTATGTTGTTCATCTTTAGTAAGCTATGCAGCTCTCTTGTGGAGTCTCTGGACTGCTTTGCTCCCTAATATGTATTACCAGCTGTGGTGCAAATATTCTACCTAGATTATTTGCCAGTAGGTAGAAATCAATCACTAAATCCTTTCCTTCTGCTCCAGACCTATGCTAGTCTATTAATGTTTTCGGTGCATTTTAGTCCCTCATCATGGGTTCTGTATACACTATGTAAATACCATGGACAAATGACTAATTTTGCAATAGTATCACATTTCTAGAGCCTACTTCCTGATGGTATATTTTTATTACATTGTTTATGCTGGAAGTGACCATATGGATAGCTTCCTCGAGAAGCCACAATCCTCCCTTTAGTTTATTTAGGGGTTTCTGCCACTAATTTCAATGTCATCTGGCCCCCAGATTTCTTCTTACAGATTTCGAATAGCTCCTCTTCTTCCAAAGACTGTAGAAAATGAGTAGGAGTAAAACCAATACTGTAAATAATGGCCACTCACTCTTCCATAATTTCCTTGCTTTATAGGTCAAGAAGGGCCTAGCATCAGGCCTTTCATATCCTTTAAATCACATAACCCTTCTTCCCTTGGCAGAAACATGTATAGCCTAGCCATCATAAATTGAGATGATATATCCCAAATATAATAGCAGCTCTGAACTCTCTAGATTGGCTTTTATATGATACAGATTTTATAACATGTCTTCTCTTAGTGAAACTGGCTTTAAATTCTGTTACATTGAGAGCTAATACTATTTTGAATGTCAAAAACTTAAAATATTTCAATCCATATTACTTTTGCTATAAAAATCCTAATCAAGCTGGGCACGGTGGCTCATGCCTGGAATCCCAGCAATTTGGGAGGCTCAGGCAGGTGGATCACTTGAGGTCAGGAGTTCAAGACAAGCCTGGCCAATATGGTGAAACCCTGCCTCTACTAAAAATACAAAAATTAGCCTGGTGTGGTGGCGCATGCCTGTAATCCCAGCTACTCAGGAGGCTGAGGCAGTGGAATCGCTTGGACCCAGGAAGGGGAGGTTGCAGTGAGCCGAGATTGTGCCGCTGTACTCCAGCCTGGGCGACAGAGGAAGACTCTATCTCAAAAAAAAAAAACCCTAATCACAACGTCATATAACTTGTGTCAGCTGGATAACTCAGGCTAGCTAATGTAATGTCATGCAAAATAAAGTGAAAAAGAGAAGAATTTGTATTTACTTAAAAATAGCATCTCATTGGTATGCTTGTTTATTAAGAACACTTCCTTAACTCAGAAATATTTATTCTTTAGAGTTAATATACATTTTTGGCTTAATCAAGGGCAATTTATAAACATAAAACAATATTTTGAGTATTCTTTTTCACAGATGGCTACAACAGTGACCCTTCTTCCTGTGAGTGCTGTCATAAGATGTCAATGACATCTTTAATCTGTCCAGTCTCCTTTCCTTAATGAGCAAAGGCACTGAGAACTGACTGAGCCCCAGGCCCAGGGATCTTGGCTGTATTTCCTCCTGTGGTCTGTAATATGATATGTATTGCAACAATGTCCAGACCCTTGCACTTCTGGGCCACATTGTGGATGGCCAACATGGTAGTTTAAGGTGAGAATTCATTTCGATCACCCTTATTCTTCATCCCCCAGTCATGCAGCAGATAGTTTATTTGTCAGTGATATCAATAACATGGACAGAAGTGTCACTGAAGGGTAAAAAAATGTGGCAGACATCAAATATATTCTCTACTTCAGCCCCTGAAATTCAAAGCCGATGACTTGTTCTTCATTTCCTTCCCCATCTGAGGTGCCATTTCTATGGTTGTTTCCAGACTCTGCCACCAGAAAGAATATATAAAATAAAATTAGAGTCATGATAATTTTCTTTCTAAATACTGTTACAATGAAACAATATTATACTTAGAGATGATGTATTAGTCCATTCACACGCTGCTAATAAAGACATACTCAAGACTGGGTAATTTATAAAGGAAAGAGGTTTAATTGACTTGTAGTTCCAGAGGGCTGGGGAGGTCTCAGGAAACTTGCAATCATGGCAGAAGGGGGAGCAAATATGTCCTTCTTCACATGACAGCACAGAGAAGTGCCCAGCAAAAGAAGGAAAAGCCCCTTATAAAACCATCAGATCTTGTGAGAACTCACTCACTGTCATGAGAACAAAATGTGGGTTACTGCCCCCATGATTCAATTACCTCCCACTGAGTCCCTCCCACAACATGTGGGGATTATGGGAACCACAATTCAAGATGAGATTTGGGTGAGGACACAGCCAAACCGTATCTGATGACTAATTAGTGTATATAGAGGACTTGATATTTCAAGTTATGTCAAGCTATTATCTTTTCTGTCCTTAGAAAATTTTAAAAAGCATGAGCATCAAGAAAAGCTTAGGCAATAAAAGAATTCATTACAGTTAAAATGGGAGCTTCCATTTTATTAATATAAAAAGAAATTTATTATTTAGATAAATTTCTACCTGCAAAAAATAAGAACAGAAGTAGTTGGTATTGACTTCTGATATTGACCCTCTCAGGGTGAATAGAGACTACTCTTAGAAATGGTAAATATGATATAAAATATTTTGGTAGAATAAATTAATTTTATATCAAGAAATTTGCTTATGAAATGTGTAAGTATTTTCTAGGTACAAGAAAATGATTCCTTAAGTAGCATTTAAGCTTTAAGTATATTCTGAACCAGATATATACGTTTTCTTTATTTTTTTCCCAACAATTTATTATCTCTGTCAGTACAACCATGGAAATAGAAACATAATTTATAAATAAAAAAGAAATAGAAGCTGAGAAATTTTAGATATATTCTTTTTCTCTCTCCTCCACTTAATTTTTCATTTGCACATGCACACACACACACAGCAATATATTCTGGGAGCTGTATTTAAAATAGATTTTAAAGAGCAATTTGAATAATGATTTTGTATATGTATTTAACTTTTCTTTAAAATATTAATATCATTTTCTTTCAGTTTATTTTATTTCATAAATTATATGGAGAACAATATTGAAAGGAAGACTGTATTATTTATAGGCAATAATACTAAGATTAATACAGGAACAAATGTCAATCACAAAGTTTGAAGAGACTAAATATTTGTTAAATATAATTTAGTTATGTTGAAGCCATTTTAGTTTTCAATAATGGATGCTTTAATTCCAATCAAAAGACTAAGTGATAAATAACATAAAGAAAAATAATATATGCTGTGAATAAATAATCTTCAGGGAGCATAAGACATATGAAAAAGGAGTAATGCATATTTAACTTACAGTTATAAGTGATTTAAGAATGTTTGTCTCTATAAGACCCCAAAGCTATAATTGGAATATTAAGAAAATTAATGTTATTTTGCTGTTTTTAAAAGAAAAAAAGTTAAAATTAGAAATATAAATTTAAATATTTATAAGTTGTAAATTAAAATGTATGAGTTCATAAATACAAATATACTTATAGACATATTAATATAAACTAAATTGCTTATTTCCATTCATCTAAAGCCATTATAAGACTAGAGACTATGCACTGATTTTATAGGGGAAACTGGAAAAAAATGATGTCAAGGAACAAAAATGTCATAGATGAATAATAAATCCTATATAATGCTGTGAAGCAAAGACGATAACATAGATAGGAGATTAGAAGCAAATTGAAAACATGTCTGTTGCAATAAATAGAAAGATAATTCAAAACAGAATGATAATAATTCAAAAGAGATATGATTTAAAAGTAGAAAAAACTCAGATGATAAGGCATCTATTGTATGTACAATACTGTATTATAGATTAAAAATAGAAATAACTTTTAAGTATATTTGAAGTTAAATATGGGATTGTCTAAAAAATAAATATAAGTAAATTGTGAAAGAAATATCTAACATAAAGAATATATTTTTATAACAAAAAAGGAAATGGTGAGTAAAAGTAGATTTCATCTCATTAACATTTATAGTTTTATAGAAGTATGAAATTTAGTTATATGATATGATACCTGATACAATTATAGTTAAATGAGAAAGTACAGTAGGAGAAAGGAATATGATTACTGCACAGATATATTGAAATAAATAGAATGATATAGCTAAAATAGAATATTTGTTGGCAGAATATTTACCTACCTACTAAAATTTTTGAAATAAAATTACTAATAGTTATTTAGCTTATAAAAATACAACAAAATATGTCAAAATGTGTCACATAATGAATAGCCAAAGGTGAAAATATAAAATAAAAACAATATAAAGAACAATAAAAAGAAAGAATACTAGAAAAATATTTGGTCAATATTATGTTTCCTATTGAAATATGGTGGTTCCAGTGAAATGTGTCTATCACAGAAACTAAAGGATGGAATTGTATAGAAAATAGACACAAAATTGCCAGGGAATAGCTCATGTGTTCTACATGTTACATCATTAATTGCATGTGAACACTAAACTAGGTTCAACATCAAAATTGGTCAGGAGGTAACCAAGTAAATTGAAATTATTTGGATAAGTATTTGAGATGTGGGTTCTATGGAGAAGGTCCTATGATGAAAGAACCATTGTACTGATAAGAACAATGCAGCAAAAAAGAATCTAGACAAACAATAAACATTGACAAATAGAAAGATAAGTATCTATTGATAGAGAAATCCATCTTGATTTAGCAATTTGTCCTAGTTAGATGACATCATCCTGTGGAAAAAAATTTATGGGCAGTTCATAATCTGTGTAGTCCATCAGGAGCAGTTATGAATATAATTATTCTTTCATAATAAATTATTATTGAAGCATAATTTAAGAACAATATAAATATAAAGAGCTACTTATAAAACAGGAAATTTTATGTAAATAATTGAAAATACACATAAAATTATTATATAAGCAGCAGTAAAAGTCATTCATCTATCTAACACAAATGAAGGAGTTAATGGTATGTTCAGTGGGAAATCTGCAAGTCAACCAAATCTGGACAAGGCGTCATTATACAATTATTTGCATTCTCTTAATTATAAGAATGAGAAAAGGCAGACTTCAGATTTTGTACAGGAGATAAGAAAAGAAGAAAGGACTTTGTTCGGTTGGTACAATAGAAAACCTCAGGTGAAATAATAATTATATTTTCTAACCAACTAGCAAATAATGGTAAAATCAATAAAGGATTACTGAACTTAATTTCAGTGAAGAAAAAGCCCTTCATATGCAAAATGCAAGTCACACAGTTTCAATATCAGAGGCAAACACATTTTCTGATTATGTTAGGCTGCCATATGGAGATGTGAGAAAATCATTAGGGCTTTGAATGACAGTGTGAACTGTTGGTTCAGGTTTGAGAGTGGAAGAGCTTGAAAAGAAGAGAGAAATCCATTGGCCCAGTGATTCTTATCCTTGGGCCAATGACAGGGATTTGACAGAATTTACAAATTTGACAGAAATTACAACAGAAGAGGCCCTTATAGGAAGAGAGAAATTGTGCAGTTCTGGACATTCTTTTAGAGATTAAATATGAGGTTCTTCCTAGAGTTGAGTCCAAAGGATAATAAAAATATATAAAAGAGAAGCCAAATTTTTCCCAGCTCACATGAAGAATATGTGTAGAAACTGCTTACCTTACCACTCAGAGAGAGAAAAGGTATTAGATCCTAGCATATAAATAAACGAAACTATAGACATGAAGTCCAAACTTTTTTATTTCATGTAATATCTGGACTTCACCTATATATACATAAAAATTGACTAGTAACTAAGATAAGTAAGGTCAATAAAAGAAACCTGACAAATAGTTTATTTACTAAATTAGAAAATAAATTAAATAATTATAAATATTATAAAAAAGTATAGGAACAAATGGATATCATATGCAAAGAAATGAAGTATTTTGAGACAGAATTATAAGATCTAAAAAAGAGCTAAAATAAATTTTACAACTGAGCAATATAAGACTTAAAATAGAAATGCATTGGATGGGATTAGCAGCAGGTTGAACAGAAGACAAGATCATTGAGTTTGAACTGTTAAATATAAATTACTCAACTGAAGCAGAGAGAAATTATAGGAGAAAAGGAACCAATACATGATATCATGTGAGACATGATCAAAATGAATAACATACACACAATTAGAGTTCCAGGAAGGAAGAGAGGGAAAAGAGAACAAAGGATACAAATATTTGCATAAGTAATATAGCTAAATTTTTCCATTTTAATAAAAAAAAAATCCAACCCACATATCCGAGAACCTCTAAAAAGCCAAAATCAAATAAACTAAAAAACAAAAAAAATCAAAACAGAAAACACATTATACTTAACTATAATGTAGCAAAATTACTTTAAAAAGCCTTAAGAATTTTAAGAGCTGCAAAAAAAACTATATATCACATGCAGAAGTATAAAAATAGTAACACATAACTAATCAATGTATACAAAGCAAACAAGAAGTTGATGGAACAATGGATTTAAATTGCTTAAATTTTTTAAAAGGTCAATATAGAATCTACATGTAGGAAAACTACCCTTGAAAAATGAAAGTGAATACTCAAATAAAAGACACTTTGGATAATTCATTGCCAGCAGGTCCACATAATAAGAGAGACTAAAATATGTTTTCTATTTTAAGGGAAATTATATCAGAAAGCAGTATAGAATCCTTGGAAGGAAGAATACCATAAATTATATTTGGTTATTATTATGGCAATTTTGTTTTTTCAAAGGCAACTACTTTTATGTATAAACACTCATATATATATACATATATACATATTTATACATTTACATTTCAATAAAGTGAGGAATTTATAACACATGTAAAAGAAATATATGACAAGAGAATGACAAGAAAAGTAAGAGAAGATAAGGTAAAGTGGTGCAAGTGTTTTAAATTACATATTAGGTGGTATAAATTTTCTGAAGGTAGATAGTAATAAAAGAAAGAGAAAGACTATTATCTATTCTTTTGTAATACCTAGAATGTAAGGCCAGCCATTATTTTAAGTAG
This sequence comes from Homo sapiens, assembly GCF_000001405.40. Classification (NCBI taxonomy): domain Eukaryota; kingdom Metazoa; phylum Chordata; class Mammalia; order Primates; family Hominidae; genus Homo; species Homo sapiens. Next base: position 160,813,223 of record NC_000004.12, on the reverse strand, counting down.
AAATGAGAAAGTGAAGAACATGGAAGAATTTTTTTTTTGCATTACATTTCTCATAAAGATTATTAATGATAGGAAGGTATACAACACTTGAGATTTTTGCAAGGAGTATGTACAAAGATAAGCAAATAATAATGCATGTGTGTGTGTATGATATTTGTGTCTTAACTTTTTATATGGAATCCAAGTGCTGTCCTCTGGGTGTCTTTTTTGATTGCTAGTATATGGGGCCACTTAGTCTTCTCTGGAATAGGAATGGTCATGGAAGACCGTTGGAAGTAAAGAATATGCTACCTTGTTAGCTAGGTACCTTTCTATACCTGTACACCAAAGTCAGATGAACTAAAGAAAAATAATGGCTTTCTAAATATGTTGGAAATACCTACTTAGTTTTTTTTTTATCATATCACAAATTTATTTTGAAAAATTTCCAAGATCATTATCAAGTAAAATAGTTGACACTATGTACTAAAGCTAATTCAGTAGTAAGAACAAAAGTGAGATACATAACTTTAGATGTAATAGAATAGTCAAGAGTCTATTGTAGTGAATATTTTAGGAATGATATTAGATTATCTGTAATACCCCTTCATTTGTTGTAGTTTCTCTCCTTAACATGGATATCACTAGGATTTTCCTTCTTCTCACACAGTGCTAAATAATGGATTAGATTGTATATGTCACTGAAAAATAGAAAACCAGTTAGCTAGTCACTTTTACCTATACTAACTCTTGAAAAACCCAAATCATTGCCATACTGACAACGAGTGCTAGTGACGTAAATTTTTATTTTAAGAAAATCTAATCAACAAATAATCTTAAGAAATATTAGACAAATATCTATGCATGAAGATTCAAAGCAGGATTTCTACTCTTGTATAAAAGCCATGAGTCAACCCAATTATTTGAATCAGTTCATTCCAAGCCATCATTCTTAATGATTGTCCTTGGTGTCTCTTTTGTCATAATGTTAAAGTCAAATCCAAAAGAGACACAAACATTTAAAATCTTGAATTTTACAAAAGTGAATGCTTTGTCTTCACTCTTAATTTTGTTTTCATGTGGAGTGATATCTAATGTTTCTTTTTCCAATGGAAGGAATGGGTATTGCAGGAAAAGAGCAAAAACAAACAAGGACACACAAATGTAAGGTAGAGAGAACCAGAAGAGAATTTGTATTCCTTTCATGCAGCTGACTTCATTTTTTTCAAATGTGAATTAAATATGTGCTGAGGTGGCCTTATCTTCTTCTGGAAGTCCCTAGGTAAGATTGCATCACACTGCTACGTGACAGGGAGTATTGGCCCTGCAAAACACTTGAGTGGGCCTTAATGACTATAAGTCTTACAGTCCACTGTAGTTTATAAAAAGTTTTGCACTGTTAGTAAATGGCAAAGGAATATGCCAATAAGGCACAAAAAACAGTTTCCAATGGTAATACTAGTAATATCAAAATGCCCCCAATTAATAAAAATCTCTCCTATTATTAAATATCTTGATGTAAATTAAAGCACAAACATAAAAACTCTTGAAAATTAAACCTCTAAGTATCAAACTTTTAAGACACTGAAATTAAAAATTAATTTTCTTGTGAGTTGAACATAAAAAATAAGATTTGTACTTTTTGTTGTTGTTGTTGCATTTTTTTTTCTGTCTAGTCCCAGCCAGTTGTCAAAATGGGACCAAGATTTCTTAAACTCCCAGTTGTTGCCAGGGCTGTCTCTCACTGGATTTAATATTACCCCCAACATTTCCTCATATGTTACAAATGTAGTACCAAAGCCCTCATGAACCTCTTTGATAGAGTAAAAAGAGTTAATAGGACACAAAAGATGACTATACTTTTTGACTACTATCTACCTAATTTTAGAATCAGTCCCATGCCCAGTCCCCAGATATGTGACCTTAAACAAGGCTTTAATCACAGAACAGTTTCTAGCATTGCCATAGGACCATATTAAAGACACAAAAGTATCTGCAGGATGAAGAGTAGGCAAGGAAAATCCTCATTTCCGCTTCACCAGGATAACAGTCAAAACCAACTGACATAAATCTAAAATTTGTAAACTTAAACTCAATTGGGAAATAGCTTCCTACAAAAAGTTAAATTTAGTATAAAGAATTTTGCACACATGGAGAATATTCAATTATGCATATGTCTCCTGTCTTGGAAAGAGATATTGAAACAGTGTTGTCTGCATGCAAAATTTAGAGATTTACAACTGTGGTAATTCCTCTCAGCAGATCTTACTGGAGGCAGATTTTTTTTCCTTCCAGTATATTTAAAAGATATTAATAGTCATTACTTTTAACCCTGTGTTTCTGGCACCCCTGGAGTAGTAAACTGAACTTAGATTGGATTTAGTTACATGTAGTTCAAACTATTTGGAGAGTTGAGTTTTGAACTGAGTTAACAGTGAGTGTATCTGCTGCCACTTGGTATGGAAATCCTTAGGTCTAAGAAATCCATTTCATAAAAAATGATTCATCCTTCATATGTTATTAGTTAATATAGAGCTAAGTTGAAACTCAGATTGGTGATAGCTCATATGCCTATATACAAACACATGAGTTCACTCCTCTCTCTTCTTCACTCATACTACTGCTTTGACCCTGAATGAAAATGGAAACTGAAACAACTAATTCAGGGCTGCCTACATAGACTTGGATCTAAAATTTAAAACTCGACTTTACCAGTGCTTTAAAACACATGCTAAGCTCAGCTACCTGAGAGCTTAAAGTAGCATATATATCTGACTCCCTAAGTCTACAAAGATGACATTTGAACTGCCTTCATAATATTTTGAAATTTTGCTTCATTGACATCTGCTTCAATGAAGGTAAGATCACTCCTTTTAAAGAAAGAGCTACTGACTTTGGAAAATATGCAGCATAAACTATAGTCACCCACTAGAGTCGAAGTACCTTATGGCTTATAGGATAGAGCTGCTTGTTAAAGCTACATGACTTTTTTGGAAAACTGTAAAAGCCAGCCTCATAATTCAATATTAGTTTCTGCAAACTGCTAACTTCAATATGCCTGGCCTACTCACAAAAGTCCAGAAGCTGAAACTGTATGACTTGCCTATAAAAGAGGTCTCAGTCAGCCCGTATGTGTTTTGCTTCCTGAAAATATACTTCTCATGTATTATTCAAAGTCAGAGGCCAGCCTCCTGTAAAATTGAATTCACCAGGCAAGGTGGCACAAGCCTGTTGTCCCAGCTACTTGGGAGGCTGAGGCTAGAGGATCACTTGAGGCCAGGAGTTTGAGGCTCAGTGTGCTATAATTCTGTCTGTGACTAGGAACTGCATTTTACCCTAAGCAACATAGCAGGAGCCCATGTGAAAAGAATTATAGATATAGAAATAATTATATTTATCTATTATATATTATAATATGTTATAGCATATAATATGTAATTATATATTATATTATTATAAAATATTATTACATATTAATTATATATATTTAATATCTCTATTTAAAATTGGCTTTGCCCCCACCAAATTGCAACCTCCCAGTGTTTCCCTCCTACCCCCTTGTATTAGTCAGGGTTCTCTGGAGAAAAATAACCAACAGGTTGTGTGTGTGTGTGTGTGTGTGTGTGTGTGTGTACAGAGAGAGAGAGATTTTAAGGATTTGGCTCACATTCTTCCTTGGGAAAGTCAGTCTTTGCTCTAGTAAGGACTTCCTTTAACTGATTGAATGAGGCATGAGGCTCACCCATATTATGGAGGGCAATCTGCTTTACTCAACGTCCATTCATTTAAATGTTAATTTCACCCAAAAAAGCATCTTTACAGAAACATCCAGAATAATGTTTGATCAAATATCAAATGTTGTTGGGTACCATGGCCCAGTCAAACTGATACATAAAATTAACCATCACACTTCTGCACACTCACATCAGACAGGACCTTCTCCCATCAGATGTATGTTTTGTGGCAAAGATAGGAATGTGTGCTTCATGCAAGTAGCTCATATTCAAGAAAAACAAGTATGATGGGATGATTGATTTAAGTCAAGTTTCTTACCAATCAGATGCATTTTTCAAACACTGAAGAGGGGGAGTGATCAAAAGGCAAAGAGAAGCCAGAAGCTTCACATGAATTGATAATCCTCCTTATCAAAGAAAACAGAGGAGATTATTTTGGGTGAAAATGTAATCATATTGTTACTTTAATTTAAATTAATGATTACTAGATAAATTGATAATTTTTCATTTAAAGGCACAATTACTCTTTCTAATTGCGAATTATTTTTCCATGTTTCTTAAACATTTGTTAATTGGCTTCAAAAGTTATTCTTCAGCAATATGTACTTTCTATTTATATAGAAATGAATTAACCACTTTTTGTAAACATCCTGAAAAGAAATTGTTTTTTGATAAAAATCTAATCTAAAGTTCTCACAAATTAAATTGCATTTATTAGAATACATTAAAATATTAATATTAGACCAATGTATTGATTAGGATATTGAGTTGGCTGTTTAAATAAGGACCAAAATGACAATACCTTAAACAAAAATACAAGTTTATTTCCTTATTGTGCCATGCCAGCTAGTGAAAAAGAAGGAATGGAGAACATAACTGTTGGCGTACACAGCACTATATTGACGTTGCCCAAATAATGTCTGCTTCCACATTCGCTGTCAGAACTCTGTCACAATGCCCTATCTGCCTCAAAGAAGCCTGGGAAAGTTACTCTTTAGCTGGGTGGTCATGCAGCTAAATCTTTTATTACTCTAGAGAAAGGGTTAGCAACCTTTATCTATAAAAGGACAGAGGGTAATTATTTAAAGTTTTGGAGCCATATGGTCTCTGTTGTACTACCCAACTCTGCCACTGCAGCACAAAAGCATCATGAATAACAAGTAAATGAATTAGAATTGCTGTGTTTTGGTAAGATTTAATTTATGAACACTGAAGTTTTAATTTTGTTTACTTTTGACATTACTACATGTAACTATTTTTTGAATTTTTTGAATTTTTAAAATTATTTAAAAATTATTTAAAAATTCAAATATAATCCTTACCTTGTTAGCCACACAAAAAAAACAGATGATGGAGTGGAATTTGGCCCACTAGCACTGATTTCTCAATTCATATAGGAAAAGAGAAGGGGTATTAGGGACCAGTTATTAGTTTCTGCCACATGTATCTAGTAAGATATATTTCAGGAATATGGGAATGGTATAGCAATACTAAATCTATTAAAATATTTCCTGAAGTTAGTCCTTAAAATTATGAAGCATTGTGTACTACCTTAATAGATGACAAAATAGCATTTGACAGTTTTAAAATCTGTTTGTAAATTGTGAAACAAACAAAAACCTTTAAATATGGATTCAGTTCTGACTCCATACCTCACTAGATGTGAAGATTAGACAAATCTTTCAATCACATTGATGCTAACTTTTCTTATTTGTGAAATGATAACATTGATTTTTGTCTATATTAAATCATGAAGGTTAATTACCAAATGCAATAAACACTTTAATTATTTTTCATCTCTCTTCAGAATTTCATATTGATTGGCAATTTGCCTTTGTGGGAAAATTTTGGTAAGTACATTTCTAACTACATGATCCACTAGATTTCATTTTCTTCTTTTGCAAGCCCTTCTCGAACACTTTCATATGTTGCTTCTTCCTTTGCCTATCATTTTTGTGTCAAATTTTTCCTGGGTACTATTTTTAGCCCTTTTCTCCCTACATACATTTTCTCCTTAAAGATCTCATCTAACTTTATAACTTAAGTGGTCACTGACACCTGTAAGATCTATAATATCTATACAGCCAAATACCTACCAGAAATCTTCCAGATGCCCCTAGGCAGTTGAAATTCACTGTAACCCCCATTCCACAAAATGTGATTTTTCTTCTGTAATAATTATTTCAGTCACATATACCACAATTCACTTACTTGTCTAGGTAATTATTGTTCATGTGTACATTATTCAACATATATATTTTGTATGACATTCAGTCCTCTAGGCACTATGTTATAGTAATAATCAAGAAAGACTAGTTCCCAATTTTCATGAGTTTAAACTGTTGATGAGAGAGGAGCAGAGAAAAAAATGTAAAGTAAAAAACACATGAAAATAATGACTTAATTTTGAACTAAGAATTATGAAGATAATAACATAGACTACCCTTTTGGATGGTAACTATGGTGGGGGAAGCAATAAATAGGGTGGCTAAGGAAGGCCATGCCCAGGAGGTGGCATTTTGGTCTTGTGCCTTTCGATTAAATCTTCACAGTTTGCCAGAGAGATGGTGTGGGTTACATAGATCTTACCAAGTGATTTCCCTAATTAACATTTTTAATTGGGTTTTAAATAGGAGGGACCACCATAGTCCCAAAACTGAAATATTGTTCAAGGCCCCAAAATATTTCTGATTCCATCTTAAACCTCATCTTTTCCAATTCCACATCATTATTTCTGCTCAGTAGTGAATTACTGAAGTTCCTTTAACAGTCACCATTTATTTCTGCCTCCTTATCATTGCACATGGTCTTCTTTCTCATTAGACTTCATATGGCTAAATAACTATTGCTCAGAACACTCAGAGACCAACTAAATGGGACACCTCATCTGTTATATAGAAAATGTGTGTTGTTTACTCTTCCACTAGTTTGTTCCTTGAGTGCTGGGAATTGTGTTTACTCAACTTTGTATACCAAACACTTAGCACATTAACTGGAAACATTGCAAGTATTTGTAATGCTCAATAATTATTTACTTAATAAATCCAAACTTTTTTATTATTTTGTTTGTGTTAGTCATTTAAACTAATTGTTTTACTCAATTTTTTTTCTGGTAACACCAACGAGGTCTTTGTGATTCATCTTTGAACCCCTAATGCATAACAAAGTAGTTTCTCACTAAATATATCTTTTATATTTGTATGTATTCATATTTGTATGAATGAATGATCAAGTAAATGAAATTAATTTAAGTTTAAAAATATAATGTAGGAGAGTTATTTAGGGTAGGATGACATATGACACCATCTTAATGCCTTCTGGAAAGCTCTATTCAAAGTGTGGTCAGAAGACTAGCTCCATCAAAATTACCCAGAGTTTGTTAAAATTGATAACTTTCAGGCCCATCCCAGACCTACTGAGACATAATCTTTCATGTAAATCCTGGGAATCTGTGTTTTAATACTCTTTTACATAATGGACACATTATGTCACAGGCTACTGGAAACTACACCCCAAAATGTAGATCTTGTAGGGGTAGGAAGTGATAATTTACATTTCTAGGAAGCTCTCAGGTGATGTTGGTAGCGCTGGTTTGTGGACCACCCTTCAAGAAGCACTGCTCTGGTGAAGGGGTTGGCAAACTGTGGCTGGTCAAATCTGGCTAGCTGTCTGCTTTTGTAAATAAAGTTTTATCAAAACATAGTCACACCTATTCTAAGTGTTTTATGGCTACTTTTGTACTATAATGATAGGGTTGAACAGTAGGACAGAGATCATATAGACTGCAAAGATTAGAATATTTGCTGTCTGCTCCTTTATAGAAAATTTGTCAAACCCTGTTAAAAAACACAGATTTTTGAATTTTGTTCATTTTGAGTTGAATTTCATTTATTGAAATGAGTTTTTAGTTAAGGGGGAGTTGGCAGATCAATTCAAGTAATGTACTATAATAAGAAATTATGACATTTATCTGTTGGCATAAACTCTTCCGAAGCATTTGTCCATAAAGCTCAGGTTAGCAAAACTCTATTCAATACTGCAAGCCATTAAATCTTACTTCGTGGGTACAGTCCATGTTAATAACTGAATGACCCATCTCATAGTAAAGCTTTAAAAAATGTGTTTTTTTAAGTTTACTGAAAGAACTCTCAAATTAAAATGAAATGATATAAATATAACATAAAGTAATATAAAATAAAACTAAATTACAATGGGACTCATTTAATGAATAACAATGGAAGTAATAGAAAAATTTAAAAGATATATGTTTTGTGTTCTTAACCAGAAAAAAACAAATTCAACATATGTCACAAAAGTGTAACAAATAAGCTCTTTAATGATTCACATTCTAAGTACTAAAACATGAAATACACTCATTTGAACCATAGCAGTACATTAAAATAGTAACGCTATTAAAGTGCCATTTCTCTACAACAAAATGAAAACCCATTAATTTCCTGCCTTTACAAACGATACTATAGAGAGAATATTTCTTTAGTAAAAATGAATTGAGGAAATTTACCAAAGCATGCTTAAATAAATAAATGTTTCAAGAAAAAACAAATAAATATTTAATTTCATTTTGTGTTAAATATTAAACACACTTCTCGGAAAGAGCTCTTTCTTTTCACTGAAATTGGCTTATAAAATCTGATTCAGTCATATCATTGAAAACATAGTTGTAGTTTCAGTATAATATAATTCACCTTTTAGCTTTTTTAATATTCATACGTATAAAGTGAATGATTTGTTCGTGAAATTTTCTGGTTTGAAGCAACATTTTTACAAATAAGATCATGGTTATTTATAGCAAATTTGTCTTTATAGTGACATTTTCTTGGTGTCAACGCAGTAAATAAAGAATAGTTGGAGAAGCAATATATACATACATTAAGTGTGTGTGTGTGTGTGTGTGTGTGTGTGTGTGTGTGATTATGGTATTTTTTGTAATTATACCGCAGTTCTTGTTTAACAAGAAAAATGTATGTGATCGTTTACTACACATATTCGCCACCTTAACATAGAACTTTCCTTTTTTTTAATGGAATGTCCATTGCATTCTTAAAGGCATCATTACTAGGATGTGAAAAGAGGCACTCAGGGCACCAGCTTAAAAAGACCTACCTGAATCTCAGTGTTTTAAAGTGAAATATACCCCTTAAAAACTTAAAAACTCCTTCTCCAAATAGTAAGATATATTTTATACATTAAATACATATTAATTAAATGTGTATTAAATAAAAATTAGCATGGCAAAGATCTAAATTAAATGTAGGTACTATTAAATATGTTAAATGTGTTTTAATTAAAGAAGAAATAATAATCCATGTTAATTAATAATGTGGTTTCTTTTAATTTGGTCCCATATTTTCTGTAGAAATAGTTCCATCTTTTAGTATATATTGATCCTAAAATCCAAACGAATATTTAATTTTACTTTGTGTTTAGTATTTAAAAGTTACTTAAATAATCTTTATTTTGAAATTTGGAAAAAAAAACAAAAAAAACTATTGGCTGTGGCGCAGAGGTATTCACATTTAAAATTGTAATAGGTACAGGTTTTTCACCCTTTAATGATCTTCCACTGATTTATACTCCCAAGATGTAATAAAATATACATTTTCACACATTTTTCCTTGTGAAAATGTGTGTCATTATCAATATAGTCAATATTTACAACTGTTGAAAAAATTAGTTCTAAGTTTTATGTGGCTATTATTAAATAATATATGAACTTAAAATTAACTTCCTTAATTTCATTTGAACCATTTTCGTTAGGTATTTTGATTCACTTTAATTCTTCATTTGTATTAGCTAATATATATAAAAAGTTCATATAGTATTTTTGTGCATGACACAAAACTTCTCTTATTGCTACTTGTATTTTAATTTTGATTATACTGATTTCATCACACAGAATTTTTAAAGTTTCTTTTCATCTGTCTTTCATTGTAATTTCTAGTAATTTCCCAAGAACTTTGTTTTATTTTCATGTAAAATAAATTTGGGGTCAAATTTTTACAGCATCACAGAAATTTGCTTCCATGGAAAACTACCTTTGATAATACACTATCCAAGCACACTTGAGAAATTAAAATGTAAGAAAAGTGTGAACCACCCAACGTCCTTATAAATTATTTCACTAGATATTTCACAAAATTAGTAAATTTGTCTGAAAATAACAAAACATATCTTTGATGTAAAATGCCAATGTGAAACCCCGAAATTAAAACTTGAAACCTGGATGCCGCTCTTGAGAGTTCATTTCACACTTTAAGTAGTTTAAGTGGTATCAGGACTTGGTTTTAACTTAACTCTCCGCTATTGGATTCTGGACACTGAAATAATACCTGGTCTTGAACCTTCCTCCCGTCTGCAAATGTAGACATCACCTCTAAAGGCTGAGAGTTTAGATCTCAGTATTATTTTGAAATCTCTTGCTAACTAAATAGTACTTTAGAGTGGTGATATTGCCTTTCCTGTGGTGTCACTAGTGTCCCCCTTAATAAACCCATCTTTCTCTCCACTTCCATCCCCACCTCCATTAGCGTTTTCTCTCCTGGCTTCCTTGAAATCTCTTCTCAATCAGTTGCAGGCCTTTTTCATAATCACAATTAAGAACAGTCTAATTATAGCTCTGCTACACTCAATTTGAAATACACCTGCTGTGACTGCTTTTTTATTATAACTGCATATTTTTAAAGCTTATTTACTGAAATAAAAACTGTGGAGAGAAATTCAAATACTAAATATGATTTATTTCAGTTTGATTAGCCATCTAATTTAAATATAATTTCTAGTATAGTTTGGTTTATATTTATGAATCCAAAAATTCTGAAACCTGTTTTTTAGGGAGTTCTTTTTTTTTTTTTTAATTTCAATAGCTTTTGGTTTGAGTGAGTTTTTTTGTCCCATGGATGAATTGTATAGTGGTAAAGTCTGATATATTATTGCACCCATCCCCTTAGTAGTGTACTTTGTTCCCCATATGTAATTTTTTACCTCTCACTCCACTCCCACCATCCCCATTCTGAGTCTCCAAAGTCCATTCTACCACTGTGTATGCCTTTGGGTATCCTTAGCATAGCTCCCACTTGTAAGTGAGAATATACAGTATTTGGTTTTCCATTCCTGAGTTACTTCACTTAGAATAATGACCTCCAGCTTCATCCGAGTTGCTACAAAGGGCATTGTTATACTCTCTTTTATGGCTAAGTAGTATTCTATGGTGTATACATATCACCTTTTCTCTATCCATTCACTGGTCTATGAACACTTAGGTTTGTCCCATACCTTTGCAATTTTTAATTGTGCTGCACTAAACATACACATGCAGGTGTCTTTTTGATGTAATGACTTATTTTCCTTTGGGAAGATACCTGGTAGTGGGATTCCTGGATAGAATGGTAGATCTACTTTAAGTTCTTTTAAAAATGTCCATACTGTTTTCCACAGATGTTTTAGTAATTTACATTTCCACTAGCAGTGTATAATTCCACATCCACACCACATTTATTGTTTTTTGACACTTTATATTAATGGCCATTCTTGAAGGGGTAATGTGGTATCTCAATGAGGTTTTAATTTGCATTTCCCTGAAGATGAATGATGTTGAGCATTTTTTCATATGTTCGTTAACAATTTGTCTATCTTATTTTGAGAGCTGTTTATTCATGTGATTTGCCCACATTTTGATGAGATTTTTTCTTTTTACTTTTTTTTCTGATTTGCTGAGATCCTTTTAGATCCTTAATATTAATCCCTTGTCAGATGCAGAGTATGCAAATATTTTATTTTATTCTCTACGTTGTCTCTTTACTCTGATGATTATTTATTTTTCTGTGTGGAGCCTTTTTAGTTTAATTAGGCCCCATTTATTTATTTTTGTTTTAGTTGTGTTTGCTTTTGTGATCTTAGTCATAAATTCTTTGCCTAGGCCAATCTTCAGAAGAGATTTTCCTAGGTTATCTCCAGAAGTTTTACAGTTTCAGGTCTTCGATTTAAGTCTTTAATCTATGTAGAGTTGATTTTTGTACACGATGAGAGACAGGAATCCAGTTTCATTCTTCTACATGTGGCTATCCAGTTTTCCCAGCACCATTTATTACATAGGATGTCTTTTCCCCAATGAATGTTTTTGTATACTTTGTTAATGATTAGTTGGTTGTAAGTTTGGCTTTATTTCTGGGCTCTCTAGTCTCTTCCATTGGTCTATGTGTCAACTTTTATACCAGTACCATGCTATTTTGGTTTCTATAACCATGTAGCATAATTTGAAGTAAGGTTATGTGATGCCTCCAGATTTGTTCTTTTTGTTTTGGATTGCCTTGACTATTCAGGCTCTTTTTTGGGTTCCATATGGATTTTAGGGTTTTTTTTCTAATTCTCCAAAAAATAATGCTGCGATTTTAATAGAAATTGCATTGAATCTGTATTTTGCTTTGGGCAGTATGGTCATTTTTGTGATATTGATTCTTCCAATTCATGAGCACAGGAAGTGTTTTTATTTGTTTGTGTCATCTATGATGTCTTTCAGCACTGTTTTATAGTTCTATTTGCAGAGATCTTCTACCTCCTTGGTTAAGAATATTCCTAGGTTTTTTACAGCTATTATTAAAGGCATTGAGTTCTTGATTTGATTCTCAGCATGGTTGTTGGTAGGTAGTAGTGCTACTGATTTGTGTACATTAATTTTGTAACCTGAGAATTTAATGAATTTGTTTATCAAATCTAGAGTCTTTTGGAGGAGTCTTTAGGGTTTCCTAGGTATATGATCATATCACTGGTGAACGCTAATAGTCTGACTTCCTCTTTTCCAATTTGAATGCTTATTCCTTTCTCTTGCCTGATTGCTCTGGCTAAGACTTCCAGTGCTATGTTGAACAGAAGTGGTGAGTATGGATTTCTTTGTCTTATTTCAGCTCTCAGGAGAAATGCTTTCAACTTTTCCCCATTTAATATGATATTTTCATTATATTGATTGTGGTGATTGTTTCAGGTATATTTATATGTGAACATATATCAAATTGTATGCTTTATGTATGCTCAGTTTATTATATGCCAATGAAGTTGTTTTTTTATAAGCAACTGCAACATAATAGAATAAAATGACATGTTGAGGAGAAGGAAATACAGAAATAGAAAAGTAAGAAAAACTGCTGCACACGCACATAATGGTAACACTTTTAAATACAATTAAAAGAGCTAGCTTCTTGCTATGCTAGACCTAGTCAGAGCTCTGAAAAAAATACATCAATTCAAAGTATTATAAATAGCAATAATTCTTAAAGTAAGGGATCAAACACACAAATCGTTATTCAACAGGAATTCAGATCATAAATCTGAGTATGAGAATTATTTCAGGACTCCTGCAAATTCAAACTTGCTTTTTCATGATTGTCCTCATGTTATATATTTGTGTAAGTGTACTATGTATCTGTACATATATACATCTATCATCTGTGTATCTTTATGTACAGAAGGTTGAATTCTGCAGGAAATAGACTCAGAAATGGAGATTTGCTTAACTCTTTGGGCAAAGACTATTCATGGAGAAGGATAGATACAGTTGTGAACTGTAAGCTATTTCTTTCTGAATCGTGGAAATAAGTGCCTCTATCCCAGAATGGGAATCTTGAGACACCTGCAGCAATCACTAAGTGTACCCCTACGTCACTTGATGCATTGATTCATATAATAAATTCACACATCTGCAAACAGCTCAAAGATTCTGTGGTTATTCTCTTTTTCTGTGAAAACTCAAAAATATTTGGCAGGATGAGCTAGAGACCCTGTCACTGCAATTAATCTCAGGCTGCAGCTAATACTAATCCTTTTCCTCCTTCACAACTCATTCTAGATTTCCTTCCCTTTTAGCTAGTACCTCTGCTGGTCCAGATCTGTGGCAAGCATGGAGAGGTATTACTCAATTGTGTCTTCAAGAGGACCCAATATACTAAGGCAGTTGCCTGACAACTTTAAGCCACCTTACCTTCGCTTCCACTTCAGTATTCACACTTAAGCCACACTCTCTCCACTCCTTTCTCAAATGATTGGTAATAACTGGGGTGCTTAAGCTGGGTGAGGGGAGATTCCTCTGAAATGTCATCACTGCTAATTGCTTAGGAGCTCCCCATTAGACTATTGAGGCCTTTTTGTAGCTCTACTACTCTTTGAGGCTCTTCCTGCATTATCTTTCTTTGCTGTCTTACTTCTTCTTATGTATTAGACTCAAATAATGATATTAATGGTTTTTTAACCTCTCTCCTTTAACCTTCACAAGATTATTCTTCAACTTCTCAAAAAAAAAGAGCCTTGGTATATTGTATTTCTTCTTGCTGTATGCTTCTTAGAAAATTCGAATTAACACAATGGCCTACATGATGACGTGTCTCAGATACCTATTCCTGAGAGCTCTAAGGCTTTAGTTGTTATATTTTTCTTAAGCTGTTAGGCATGTCTACTGACTATTGGATTTAGAAAAGGAAGTAAAAGGAGACTCCCAGTGGATCACCTGGGTGCCCCTGTATTCTTCTTTGTTCTATTGTAAATCAGATGTCCCACCTCATAGAAATGATAAGAGAAAATTACTCCTGCCATGTTGTGGGAAGTCAGGGACCCTGAACGGAGAGACCTGCTGGAGCCGTGGCAGAGGAAACATAAATTGTGAAGATTTCATGGACATTTATCACTGCTCTAATAATACTCTTATAATTTCTTATGCCTGTCTTACTTTAATCTCTTAATCATGTTGTCTTCATAAGCTGAGGGTGTACGTCACCTCAGGTACACTGTGATGATTGTGTTAACTGTACAAATTGATTGTGGAGCATGTGTGTTTGAACAATATGAAATCAGTGCACCTTGAAAAAGAACAGAATAACAGCAATTTTCAGGGTACAAGGGAAGACAACCATAAGGTCTGACTGCCTGCGGGGTCGGGCAGAATAGAGCCATATTTTTCTTCTTGCAGAGAGCCTATAAATGGATGTGCAAGTAGAAGATATATCACTAAATTCCTTTCCTAGCAAGGAATACAATATTAAGACCCTAGGAAAAGAATTGCATTCCTGGGGGGAGGTCTATAAATGGGCTGTTCTAGGAGTGTCTGTCTTATGTGGTTGAGATAAGGACTGAAATATACCCTGGTCTCCTGTACTACCCTCTGGCTTACTAGGGTGGGGAAAAACCACTCCCTGGTATATTTGAGGTCAGATGGGTTCTCTGCTCTCGAACCCTGTTTTCTGTTGTTTAAGATGTTTATCAAGACAATACGTGCACAGCTGAACATAGACCCTCATCGGTAATTCTAATTTTGCCCTGTGCCTTGTGATCTTTGCTTTGTCCTTGCCCTGTTTCCTCAGAAGCATGTGATCTTTGTTGTCCCTTTTGCCCTTTGAAGCATGTGATCTTTGTGACCTACTCCCTGTTCATACATCCCCTCCCCTTTTAAAATGCCTAATAAAAACTTGCTGGTTTTGCGGCTCAGGTGGGCATCACGGACCTACCGATATGTGATGTCACCCCTGGCGGCCCAGCTGTAAAATTCCTCTCTTTATACTCTTTCTCTTTATTTCTCAGACAGGCCAACACTTAGGGAAAATAGAAAGAACCTATATTGAAATATTAGGGGTGGTTTCCCCCGATACTGCCAGGATGTTTATTCCTTTCCATGCTTTCTTATTTCTTGGCATCATTGAAAAGCCCAAAGTGACCAGAAGACACAAAATTTACAATATAATGGGATTATTGCTGTGTCTGGTGGTAGTAGTATTTTCTCTGGGAACAAGAACTCTAGATGTGCAAATTCTAGAATTCCAGGTATGGCAAACACAAATTACCTAAATGGTTCACTGAGAATTAAGGTAAAAATATTACTTCTAGTAACATTATTTTGTTCCTGGGACCATGTGTTTTTGCCTGTTAGAGATAAAACACCATATAATGGTCATTGATTAAGCTGTAAACTGCACTTTTGAAGATGACTTCCAAGCTACTGATGGAATCGTTTCCAAGATGACATGTCAGTTTACTCTTCAAAAGCCTTTCCATCATTCTAGCTGATTGGAAACTTCTGGATGGCATGTTATGTAATAGGACAAGTGAGTTCCAAGATCCTATGTATGTCATCACAATTCATTTGATGTAATGTGTCCTTTGCTCTTATGTGATATTTTTCAGGGTTGTGTGTCGGTGGAATATACACTCAATAAACCTTTGGGTAGTGGTGATCTCTAAAGCTCTGTGGTCAAGGAAGGCAATCCCATACCCAGAGAATATGCTGTTCATTCAGTATCTCTTTTCCTTTCAGAGTGGAATGGGCCTGATGTACCAACCTGTAATCAAGGCACTGGTTGCTCTCTTTGAACAATGATGTTGCCTTTACAGCTCAGTGTTGAGCTATTTGCTTGGGTATTAAACAGCAATAGTAAGTTGGCTGTCATTATTGAATGCAAGTTTATGCTATTAAGTTTATCTACAGATTCCATCCTTGTCACTATGGTCCTCTTCTTATGAGCCCAGTATATCAGCATTGGAGATACCCAATGAAAGAAACTGGCTGATGTTAAAAGCAACTATGTAGTTGCTTTTTAAAAGCATTTTTAAAAAATAACTTATTTTATGGCCTTTAGTATTCAATACAAAGATCTTCACAATCCATGTGTGCTCCCAAAAGTCTGTGCACATGCTGCTTCTACAGAACTTTTTGTCCTTTAACTTTTAATCTTTATTCCTTTAAGAGCCTGTTCATGGGGCTTAGCAACTTGACACTGTCCATGAGTTTATGTATATTCTAATACTGGATTTTCTTTTTATACAAAGTAGATGATGAGGTACATGTCCTGAACATCTAATCCTTGAGAAGATTTCCCCTCAATGCAGTATTACAGGGCCACCTCTGAATAGTACAGAAAAGCAATAATAGTCTATTTTCATCTTGCATCCAAATATGTAGCCAACTTCTTTGTGAACCAATCATGGACGTTACTCATTTTCATCAGGTTGACATGAATAACCTCAGACCATGTAGCCATAAGTGTGAGTTGGGAAGAAAGTGTTTTGGTTGTATATTTTTTAAAAAGTGGTGAGACATATGAGATGCATTAATTTGATAATTTATTCCATCTCTCTGTGGGGCATATTTTAGCATGCCCCACACTATTAAACCCATTAATACACTTCATTGATCTAATGAGTCCTTAGGTTTTGTGGAATTTATTACCTATCCTTAGGGATCCTTGTGTGTTATCAGGACTTCAGTGTTCCTATCACTTTGTACTAATGCAAGTATAGTCCAATTATCATAATGTCATCAATAGACCAAGATAATGTAATATTGTGCACAGTGTACAGATGTTATAGTTCCCTTTGAACTGTATTATGACAGTGGGCAGAAGAGTTAATATAGCTCTGGGACAAATAAAATATATTCTGTAGTTCATCCTAGATCGATGAAAACTGCTTTCTAGTACAATTTCCCTTCATAATGGTAAACAATACACAACCCAGATCAATGGTCATATATCACATACCTTGGATTATATTACTGAGATGTAGCAAAGATATTATATTTGATCACTAGCTGGTTGAATATTCAGTAGCCCATTGTCATTGTCTAGGGTTCATCTGGCTTTTGTCATGGCCAAATTTGGGAATTAAAGGGGGGAGATAATGGGGATGAACATCACTGCACAACTTGAATACTTAAGGATGTTCTGCCATTTCTTTTGAGATGCAACATTGCTTTCACCTTATTGTCTTGACAGAGCCACGGATCAGCTCAACAGCTTTTATTTGATCTTTCCAGTCATGATAGCTCTTACTTAACAGACCAATATTGGGGTTCTAAAAATTACCAATTGCCTCTGTTATACTGTTCACTCAAGAGATCAGGGGAATCATCACTGAGTGGTCCATGGACTCAATGGACCTTCTTTGAACTAGACATAAGACAAGATTCTATTTTTGCAAGTCCCCCACTAACATGAGGGCTGTAAAAATGCTTGGCATATTTGAATACCAATGTCAAATTAGATCTGTGTGTAGGAATTCTTGAAATGTCTTGGTATTTCCCTTTCCTCAATTTACAGTTAGAATAAATTACCATATGCCTTTTATGGGAAAGAACATTAGTAATCATTACTGTATAAACTTGCTGTAGTGGCAAATTGTTTTCTCATGGGAAACTGGCCTCTTCTTCCACAAATGGGTTCTGGATTTTAAAACTGACACATGTCTGAAAACTGTGTGGGGAAATATGATTTTTCATTATATAGGCTGCTCTTTGAATTATAATCATGTACACTTCATTTCTTTGGTTGCATAAATTGAGAAGAGACTTAAAGGTTGCTTGTTTACTGTGTTCATAGGAAGGCTATGTTCTACCAACAATTTCCATAGTTTTGAAACTGGATTTTGGTTTCCATTCTAATGAATTTATTTTCCTATTTCAATAGTTTTGCTTATCTGTTTTCTGATAGTTAAGTGCTGCAATCCTAACTCTGTTATTCTGAGATCCAAGCACCCTCATTGTTATCAAGGAACTACTATCAACCATGTCCTTTGTAGGGATATACCATTGATCCAATGATGATGGTGACCTTCTCACAATGCATTCCTTATCACATTGATAAATGGAGAAATATGTAGGCCCTTTTGGGGAAAGTAGTCGGCAATAATACAACTACTTTAGCCTGCCAACTTCATTGAGCCTTTTCATGTTTACCTTGACCCACCTAACATGAAAATTCTGGCATTTCTACTTTACTTTGTGTGAACCATCACTTTCTCCAATCTTCCAAAAGCCATACTAATAGGATGTTAGTCCTATATTACAAGATTTTATTCATGGTATTAAATTCTTAACAAGGAGGAGTCCTTTCATAGTAATAGACTTTCTTTATTATACTTTATATTCATCCAGTTGTGGTCTAATCTCTATAGGACTCTGTTCCATGTACATGCTCCTAGATCCTAACAGTACATATAGGCTAGGTGCTACATCTTCTCTGAAGTATAGTCCCTTACGTCTTATAGTAGAATACTTACTAGTAGCACCTTTTTGGACCGTTTATATTGAAACCAATCTTTACATATTGGTCTAGTGGTTGTTAGGGAGATTGGGATACATCTTGAGAAGACACAGGTGTTATAAGGCAGAGGTTTCTGCATTTCTTTGAAGCAAGGGAAAAGGACTAGCTTTCAGACAATAAAATTCATATTTTTAGGCCCTGAGGGGTAAAACTCTGGGGATTCAGATTTCTGACCAAGGTTTCACTATTCTATGTCTTATCATCCTTTTTTTTTTCAGTCATAGTCTTCTCGACATAACACTCAGGATTTAGATTGTTGAATTTTCTGTACTTTTATTATTCTTCTAATTAAGACTCAGGTCTGATTGTTAGCTTTACCTACCCTCCAGACATGGGAGATGATTGTTTGTATGTACTTATGTGATGTGTTGCCTTAAATTAGTGATTAATCACTCTGAGCCTTTCTTAGCTCTTTTTAAATCCCTATGTATAAATGGCTCTTAGCAATAGCTATCGTATTCCACTGTCCTTATAGTTACTATTTCTCCTGAATTTCTAAAATGCCCCAGATCTGAGATATTTCAACAAGAATTTATTTTGTTTTGTTTTGCTTTTTCTAATAGTATCCCATACTGGTATGTTACCAGAGAAATTCTAATGATTGCATGTCAGAAGTTCTTAGTACCCCGACTACTGCCAGTCATAGGGTTTTCACTGCCAGCTGGTAGGCAGATGCTTCAGTTCCAAAAATTTAATTTCAGAGTCTTATTTTTTGGAACATAATTAGCATCAACTGACATAGATAAGGTTCCCTGGGAAACAAACTCTGAGATAGTTATTAGAATGAAGGTAGTTTATTGAGGTGAGTTCACTGAAATAACACCTGCCTGAGAGTGAGGGAAGTAAGATGGGGCAGAAATCTCTGACATAGCTTTTCAGATAGTGTTGCCAGATTTAGCAAATAAAAAAATACAGGATTCCACATTATATCTGAATTTCTGATAAACAATTACTTTATTGCAAGGATATATTTTAGTTTAAGTATGTACTAAATATTGTCTGGACACACTTATGTCCCATAATTGTTTGTTGTTTATCTGAAATTAAAATTTAACTGAGTGTCTTGTAATCTTTCTGAAAAGTCTACTCTCATAGTTGTCACACATTAAGATAATAGACCAGGCTGTTTTTCTCCTTAAATTGGAAAACCTTTAGATGCAAACTACCGACAGACGTGAGGAAAACTTATGTGAGGCAGCTTCTTTGGTTAAAGATAAGTCTTGGAGGTGATATAAACTGTGAATTGTTAGTAGCCATCACTCCTGAAATCTGAGTGAATAAGTACTTCAATTCTAGTTATTAGAGCTGAGTAGTTCACAGTCTTAATGATTGTGTGAATGTGTGTGTGTGTGTGTGTGTGTGTGTTTGTGTATTTGAGGGAAGAATGGAGAAAGAGAGAAAAGATTAGATAAGAGGCAGGAAAGTGGCAGAAACTGTCTCAGTATCTCATCTAGGCTAAATATATGTCATCAATCTTAGCATGTTTCATTATACAGTAAGAGTGTGGTATGCAGTAGATTAAAAACATATAGGCATGAGTTTGGGCTTTATTCAGGCTTTTAGTCTTCCCAGTCCAAAGCATATGGGCTACGATATTCCCAGACTTAGAACTTAGGAACTTGAGCAAGAGTCAGTTAACCAAACATGCAAATGGACCCTAGACTAGCCATAGAGCTATGCTACAGAGTCCATATCTAAAGGGAATTTTACTTACAAAAAACATTTTTCTCTAAAACATTTGAAATTTTTACTCGAAAAGTATGATTTTGAAGACCACTGTCTCCATTGTCATTACACAAAAGATCTACTTAAGCAACCAAAACTAAAAATTTAGATACTATTATATGCCTTTTTTCAGCATTATAAACCCTATTATTGGGGCATTAAAAAACAGAAGGCACAATTTTTGCCTAAATGGGGGAAGTAAGATGTATTAGGGCATTCTTGCATTGCTATAAAGAAATACATGAAACTAGGTCATTTATAAAGAAAAGAGGTTTGATTGGCTAATAGTTCTGTAGGATTTCTAGGAAGCAGAGTGCTGGCATCTGCTCATCTTCTAGGGAGGCCGCAGGAAGCTTACAATTATGGCAGAAGGCAAAGGGGAAGCAGACACGTCACATGGTGAAGTAGGAGCAAGAGAGAGAGAGAGAGTAGGGGCAGAAGGGATGCCACACACTTATATGACCAATCTTGTGAGAACTCATTTACTATAGTAAAAACAGCACCAAGAAGATGGAGCTAAACTTTTCATAAGAAATCTGCCCCCAAGATCCAATAACCTCCCACTAGGCCTCACCACCAATACTAGGGATTACATTTCAGCATGAGATTTATGCTAAGACAAATATCCAAGCACTATCAGAAGGGTGGAGGGAGAAATAACAAGGTGTTTCACAATAAAATCAAGCTATCAGTTTACTAATCATTGAAACTCATAAAACATATTAAGAACAGAATTAATGTCAGATATTCTGTGGTATTACTAAAACTAAGGTGGATTTAAAAAAATTTTAATGCCAAACAAAGCAGTATTGTAAAATATAAAACTACTTTTGCATAGGAAACATAGAGGTTTATTAAATAACTATGAAAAAGATCATAATCATCTCATTTGAAACTATTATTTATTGAATAAAATATTTGGAAAAATATAAATAATTTTCTAATGGATTTTTTTATTATACTTTAAGTTTTAGGGTACATGTGCACAACGTGCAGCTTTGTTACATATGTATACTTGTGCCATGTTAGTGTGCTGCACCCATTAACTCGTCATTTAGCATTAGGTATATCTCCTAATGCTATCCCTCCCTCTTCCCCCAACCCCACAACAGGCCCCAGTGTGTGATGTTCCCCTTCCTGTGTCCATGTGTTCTCATTGTTCAATTCCCACCTATGAGTGAGAACACATGGTGTTTGGTTTTTTGCCCTTGTGATAGTTTGCTGAGAATGATGGTCTCCAGCTTCATCCATGTCCCTACAAAGGACATGAACTCATCATTTTTTATGGCTGCATAGTATTCCATGTTGTATATGTGCCACATTTTCTTAATCCAGTCTATCATTGTTGGACATTTGGGTTGGTTCCAAGTCTTTGCTATTGTGAGTAGTGCAGCAGTAAACACACATGTGCATGTGTCTTTATAGCAGCATGATTTATAATCCTTTGGGTATATACCCAGTAATGGGATGGCTGGGTCAAATGGTATTTCTAGTTCTAGATCCCTAAGGAATCGCCACACTGATTTCCACAATGGTTGAACTAGTTTACAGTCCCACCAACAGTGTAAAAGTGTTCCTGTTTCTCCACATCCTCTCCAGCACCTGTTGTTTCCTGACTTTTTAGTGATCGCCATTCTAACTGATGTGAGATGGTATCTCATTGTGGTTTTGATTTGCATTTCTCTGATGGCCAGTGATGATGAGCATTTTTTCATGTGTCTTTTGGCTGCATAAATGTCTTCTTTTGAGAAGTGTCTGTTCATATCCTTTGCCCACTTTTTGATGGGGTTGTTTGTTTTTTTCTGGTAAATTTGTTTGAGTTCATTGTAGATTCTGGATATTAGCCCTTTGTCAGATGAGTGGATTGCAAAAATAGTCTCCCATTCTGTAGGTTGCCTGTTCACTCTGATGGTAATTTCTTTTGCTGCGCAGAAGCTCTTTAGTTTAATTAGATCCCGTTTGCCAATTTTGGCTTCTGTTGCCATTGCTTTTGGTGTTTTAGACATGAAGTCCTTGCCCATGCCTATGTCCTGAATGGTAATGCCTAGGTTTTCTTCTAGGGTTTTTATGGTTTTAGGTCTAACATTTAAGTCTTTAATCCGTCTTGAATTAATTTTTTTATAAGGTGTAAGGAAGGGATCCAGTTTCAGCTTTCTCCATATGGCTAGCCAGTTTTCCCAGCACCATTTGTTAAATAGGGAATCCTTTCCCCATTTCTTGTTTTTGTCAGGTTTGTCAAAGATCAGATAGTTGTAGATATGCGGCATTATTTCTGAGGGCTCTGTTCTGTTCCATTGGTCTATATCTCTGTTTTGGTACCACTACCATGCTGTTTTGGTTACTGTAGCCTTGTAGTATAGTTTGAAGTCAGGTAGCATGATGCCTCCAGCTTTATTCTTTTGGCTTAGGATTGACCTGGCAATGTGGGCTCTTTTTTGGTTCCATATGAACTTTAAAGTAGTTTTTTCCAATTCTGTGAAGAAAGTCATTGGTATCTTGATGGGGATGGCATTGAATCTATAAATTACCTTGGGCAGTATGGCCATTTTCATGATATTGATTCTTCCTACCCATGAGCATGGAGTGTTCTTCCATTTGTTTGTATCCTCTTTTATTTCGTTGAGCAGTGGTTTGTAGTTCTCCTTGAAGAGGTCCTTCACATCCCTTGTAAGTTGGATTCCTAGGTATTTTATTCTCTTTGAAGCAATTGTGAATGGGAGTTCACTCATGATTTGGCTCTCTGTTTGTCTGTTATTGGTGTATAAGAATGCTTGTGATTTTTGCACATTGATTTTGTATCCTGAGACTTCTAATGGATTTTTATTAATAAAAACCAAGCATAGCATCCAATTAGGAATCAATTCTATTAGAATTTGAAAAAAAAAATGGGGCCAGGCTTGGTGGCTCATGCCTGTAATCCCAGCACTTTGGGAGGCTGAGGTGGGTGGATTCCTTGTGGTCAGGAGTTCGATACCAGCCTGGCCAGCATGATGAAACACCATCTCTACCAAAAAAATACAAAAAGTTAGCCGCTTGGTATGGTGGTATGTGCCTGTAGTCCCAGCTACTCAGGAGGCTGAGGTGGGAAAATCGCTGGTACCTGGGAGGAGAAGGTTGCAGTGAGCCATGACTGTGCCACTGCACTCCAGCCTGGGTGATAGAGTGAGACCCTGACACAAAAAATAATAATAATCATGATAATTTGAAAAAAAATTGAATTGGAGTTTCTCCTTAACCCCCATTACATATTATGTCATAATTATTATGATAATATGGAGTCATCCTGGATAAGTAGTTCTCTTGGGGTTGATTTTGATTCCCAGGGGATATTTGGTAACATCTGGAGACAATTTTGATTGTCACAAAGTGGGCAGGAGGTGCTACTGGTATGTAGTCGATAAAGGCCAGGGATAGTACTAAACATCTTACAAAACATAAGACAGCCCCCACAATAAAGAATTATCTGTCACTAAATGTTAATAGGATTGGGATTGGTAAATCCTAGTCTAAATTAATCCAAAAATGATAACCAAATATTTATCACCTGATAATAAACATTTATTAAATATATGCATACCTTGAAATTCAACCATCAATGCATTCCTTCAGTCAGCTACTCATTTAAGAAATTGCATATTAGGTACTGTATTAGTCCATTTCCATGTTGCTGATAAAGACACACCCAAGACTAGGTAATTTACCAAAAAAAAAAAAAAAGAAGATTAATTAGACTTATAGTTCTGTGTCACTGGGGAAGCCTCATGATCATGGCAGAAAGCAAGGAGGAGCAAGTCATGTCTTACATGGATGGCAGCTAGCAAAAAGAGAACTTGTGTAGGGAAACTGCCCCTTTATAATACCATCGGATCTCATGAAACCCACCCACCACTACAAGAGCACTATGGGAAAGACCTGCCTCCATGATCCAGTTACCTCCCACCAGGTCTCTCCCACAACACACGGGTATTTAGGATGAGATTTGGGTGGGGACATAGCCAAACCATATCTTGCCACCGCTGGCCCCTCCCAAATCACATGTCCTCAAATTTCAAAACCAATCATGCCTTCCCAACAGTCCCCCAAATCTTAACTCATTTCAGCATTAACTGAAAAGTCCGCAGTCAAAAGTCTCATCTGAGACAAAGCAAGTCCTTTCCACCTATTATCCTGTAAAATCAAAAGCAGAGTTAGTTACTTCCTAGATACAATTGGGATACAGGCACTGGGTAAATACTGTCATTCCAAATGGGAGAAATTGGCAAAACATCGGGGCTACAGGCCCCATGCAAGTCTGAAATCCAGTGGGGCAGTCAAATTTTACTTCCAAAATGATCTCTTTTGACTCCATGTCTCATGTCCAGGTCATGCTGATTCAAGAGGTGGGTTCCCATGGTCTTGGGCAGCTCCACCCCTGTGGCTTTGCAGGGTATAGCCTTCCTCCCAGCTGCTTTCACAGGCTAGTGTGGAGTGCCTGCTGCTTTTTCAGGTGCTTGCTGCAAGCTGTCAGTGGATCTACCATTCTGAGGTCTGGAGGATGATGGCCCTCTTCTCATAGCTCCACTAGGCAGTGCCCAAGTAGGGACTCTTTGCCTAATGTCAGAGCCCCCACATTTACCTTCCACACTGCCCTAGAAGAGGTTCTCCATGAGAGCACTGTCCCTGCAGCAAACTTCTGCCTGGAAATCCAGGTTTTTCCATACATCTTCGGAAATCTAGGCAGAAATTTCCAAACTCTTGACGTTTGTGGACTTGCAGACTCAACACCACATGGAAGCTGCCAAGGCTTGAGACTTGCACCTTCTGAAGCCATGGCTGGACCTCTACATTGGCCTCTTTCATACATGGCTGGAGTGGCTGGGATGTGGGGCACCAAGTCCCCAGGCTGCACACAGCATGGGGACCCTGGGCCCAGCCCACACAACTACCTTTTCCTCCTAGACTTCGGGCCTGTCATGGTAGGGGCTGCCGTAAAGACCTCTGACATGCCCTGGAGACATTTCTCCTCTTTATGGAATTATTAGATCTCGTGAGACCCACCTACCATCATGAGAACACCATGGGAAAGATGTGCCCCCATGATTCAGTTACCTCTCACTGGGTCCCTCCCACAGCACTTGGGAATTCAAGATGAGATTTGGGTGGGGACACAGCCAAACCATATCAGGCACAATGCTACTTGTTGAGGATTCAGTAGAATGCAGTATATGGTGTACATTCTATAGTTATTATTTCCCCTTTGGCTTCATAATGCTTTTGCTCTGTTGCCTAACATTTTCAGATTAGCCCACCACAAATAAATACAAAGGTGCCATGGTGGACTACTGGTGTTGTTAGAGAGTTTGGAAAGAAACCTACAGTAGGAAAAATAATTTAAATTTAAACATCATTATGACTGAAATCTGTATTTATATAAATCTATATAATTTTATATTTTACCAATGATTTAAGAAAATGTGTGACTATGCTCTTAGATAGCTGATGAGCTATAATTCATGACCAAAAATATCTAATGTTAGGGGTCTTTTGTAAAGAGTGATTGAATGTACACATTTACTGTGTTACACTCAGATCATCTTTGGGAATATAGAGAATTAATTATTCATTCTGTAATTTAGATTGCATTTATCAAAAATTTTCATATGGTAAAGAAAAATTGTGAAATTTACATGCAAAAGAGATATTATACAGAAGATCATGAATAATGTAAAAAGGAATACAAAATTTTAACTGGTCTGCTAAGAGCAAATAGATACAGACCTAGCTTCTGGCTAGGATAAACCTAACTGGACCTGGTAAAATACAAAATACCAATTAAATGGATTATAAAAATCAATGGAACCCATAGACAGCATTCGGAGACACAGCTCTTCATTCAGAAAGAATTCAGATTCAGCCAGGGAAAGTAAATCAACACAAACATCCTCACTCTCACAGAATTACTCAAATTTGATTGTCAATATATTTGAATGTGTCAAGAGAAGTTCTCCACTAAATGACTCATCTGCAAAAGAAATTCATTAACTATTTTTTACCTGAATAAAAATAGAAATTTCTCAAAATTTTTCTGATTCTAAGCAAAAAGAATGGGTCTATTCCAAATGTACTAGATGTTTATTTTGTTATGCGTCTATGCAGCCATTTGTAAAAGAATCATTGCCATAGTACACTGTGTGACATAACTATTGAAATATGTTTGGATGGTAATAATATTAATTCCTGTCTCTAATACATGTCAAAACTGGTAAAACTGGTAGATATGAAAGAAATAGATGTCTACAAAAAACAGTTGTGGATGGAAAGTAGAAAGCAGTATCACCTGAAAACAGAAACCTCTTTGTGATTGGTTTCAAACAGCAGAAAATGAAACACAGGGAATGATCAGTGAACCATTTGCAGGAGGGCAATGACAGCTAGGGTGTAACCATAAAAATTCCTCTAAGGAAGTAAAATGTATGTAATCCTTCAGAGATGTCATTGCCAAAATCTTATGAAGATTCAAATAATGAACATGATTATTTCCTTTAAGAACTTGAAACATTGACCTCTGTCTATAAAAATGATAGTGTCTAAAGAGAGTCTTATATCCTAATTGGCATATCAGGAGAAAAGTTTTCAACCCTATTCTATAAAAGAAAAAGATTTCTTTCAATCTGATTCCTATTCTCAATTTGTTAATTGAAAGAAATCTTTAATGAATATTCTCCATTTACCTCAATACCACACAAACTGGGCTTCAGGATAAAGCAGTGGATTGTCAAAAATAAACACAGAAAGACAGCTAAAATAGTGACATCGTATTACATTCAGTGACTACTGACAGTAGAAAAAAAGGTAAGTTTCATTCTGATTGATGCAGGGGTGACTGGGTGTTCTAAAGGTAGAATGAGGGAGAAGACAAGAGGTGGCTCAGTAAAATAAGAAAAGTGAAAAATTACAAAGGGTTGTTCACTTTAAATTTGATTAGACTGGCTTTTTTTGCTACCTGGTAGATATGGAAATTAGTATTCTATTCTTCTATAGTGACTGGGAAATAGAGATTTTATTCTTTCAATGATTATATTTCAAAGAAATGGTTTCTCAGGTCTTTGAGAAAGACACAACAGAGTTGGAAAAGATACATATTTATAATTTTAAGACATTTTTACTAAAAGCTGTAAGAAAAGGAGATGCTAGGGTTTAAATGCTCCCCCTAAAAGTTCAGTATTCTTATAGTTCTAATTAAGTCCTAAGCAGTGATAGACTGGCATGTGTGAAATTTATATTCTCTTCATTTCATAGCATGTCTTTCCTCCAAGGCAAAAGGGGTAAGCCCTGAATAAACTATCAACTTTGTGGGATATTTTTCATTCAGAATTCAGGGGAGGAATTAGAAATTGATATCTCATTTTCTACAAATTGTTGAGAGGCCATTTTGGGAGGTGATTGAGTCACGCATGAGGCCTCTGCCCTCATTAACAGATTAATACTGTTATCTCAGGAGTGGGTTAGTTATTGGAGGAGTAGATTAGTTATAGAGAGAGTAGCTTTGTTATAAAAGTGAGCTCTCTCTCCTATGCTCTCTTGACCTTTCACCTGTTCTCCATGAGAAGATCCTCTCCAAATGCAGCACTATACTCTTGTACCTCCCGCATCTAGAACCATGAGTTTAATAAATGTATCTTTTATATAAAATCACCAGTTGCTGTATTCTGTTACAGAAATAGAAGACAAACTAAAACAAAAAATTAACAACAGGAGTGGGGTTGTGTCTTTAACAAATACTTGAAAATGGAGAAGCAATTTTGGAATTGAGTATGGGTAGAGGCTTGAAGAATTTGAAAGGGCAGCTAGAAAAATCTTGTATTTTCATGAATAGAATGTTAAGAGGAATTGTAGTGAAGCATCAAAAAAGACAAGTGCTAGAGGAGAAGTCTGAATTTTCTTAAAGATTACTTAAGTTGTCATGAGCACAGTGTTGGTGGAAATAGACAGTAAAGGCCATTCTGATGAAATCTCAGATGGAACTAAAGAAACAGATACTGGAACCTGGAGCAAAGGCCATTTTTGTTCCACAGTAGCAAAGATCTTGGCTGAACTATATCCGTGCCCAAGGGCTTTATAAAAGGCAAAATTTGAGAGTGATGAACTAAAATATTGGGTGAAATAAATAGCTAACAAGCAAAAAATTTAGGCTGCTGAATGGCTAGTTTTGCACACCTACTATGAGATGTGAGAGCAAATAAATTACTTGAAAACAGAATTTATACTTAAAAGAGAAGCAGAATGAAAATATTTGGAAAATTTGCATGCTGGCCATATACAGAGTAAGAGATGTTTAAGAGAGAATACTAAGGTTGTAGCCAAGAGACTATTTGTTAAGGAGATTCATATGGATTGAAGGAAGCCAGGTGCTATTTATTAAGACAATAGAAGAAAGACCCTGAAGGCATTTCAGAGACCTTTGAGGCTTCCCCACCCATCTCAGGTCCAGAGCTCTATGACAGCAGAATTGATTCATGGCATGGGCCAAGGGTGCCCCTCACAGATCACTGCCCATAGCTGCCTTGGGACTCTGCTCCCCACATTCCAGCACATCTCCTCTCAGCCACACCTTCTGTGGCCCAAGCAGCCCCAGTTGTGAGTTATGCTGCTGCCATGGAAGGTACAAGTGGTAAGCCTTGGTGGTGTCCACATAGTGTTAAGTCTATTAGACCTGCAGAATATAAGAGCGGTAGGGGCATGACTACCTCCTCCTAGGTTTCAAAGGATATCTCAAACCACCTGGAGACCCAGACAGAGATTTATTGCAGGGGCACAGCTGCCAAAGAGTCCCAACTAAGGCAATGCCTAGTGGAGCCACGTGCAGCCCCTGAGACCACAGAACTGTAGCACTAACTGGGAGAACTACACAGATGAAACTCTGTTAGACATGAGTTCTAATTTTCTTTTCAAAGAATCAATATGTCAGTATGTTCAATTCTTTGCCTTCTACTTTTAAACTTAACTTCCTCATAAAGAAGCCTTTTATGATTACCTACTTCACCCTGACTCGTTCTGATTACCTGCTCCACCCTGACTCATTCAGATTACCTGCTCCACCCTGACTCATTCAGATTACCTGCTCCACCCTGATTCATTTTCATATGGTAAAGAAAAATTGTGAAATTTACATGCAAAAGAGATATTATAAAGATGATCATGAATAATGTAAAAAGGAATACAAAATTGTAACTGACCTGCTGAGAGCAAATAGATACAGGCCTAGCTTCTGGCTTGGATAAACCTAACTGGGCCTGGTAAAATATAAAATACCATTTATGGTATGGTTATGCTCTGTCGTAACAATTTTTCTGGCCAAACTATTCACCCTGTCACTCTCTTTAGCCAATCAGAATTAGTTTAGCCTGTGAGGTCTAACCCTAGCCCATAGGGGAAAGACACAGCAGCAGGGGCCACGTGCGTCAGGGATAAGAACCCCTTCCCCTGCCTTGTCCAAGTGTGCACTTACCATTGCTCCATCTGTAAGGGTGCACCCTTCTATAGAAGTAACTTGCTGAGAATTAAAAAGAAAATTTTATATTCAAGTGCTATTTATTTTGTGGCACCGAAATTTTATTTATAACAACTCCAACATGTGGGGGCTGCTACCTGGACTGAGCCCAACAAAGCTGTGGTAATGGGTTCCCTTTAGTGCCTTGGAGGCCCAGGGCCCACCTCGCATGCTCAGGATGCTAGACATGAAGTCAGGGAGATTATTCTCCAGCTTACAAACTTGAAGTTGTTTTTCCTGTTGGTTTTGGACTTTCTCAGGACCAGTTATTCCTCTTTTCTTGTCTATTTCTCTCTTTTGAAATGACAGTGTCTATCCTGTGCCTGCCCTACCACTGAATTTTGGAGGTAGATAACTTGTTTTGATGTTATAGGCTCAGAGCTGGATAAATTTGCCTTGGGATGAATTGTGCCTTGAATCTTACCCATATCTGGTTTAGATGAGACTTTGTACTTTTCAGTTGGTGCTGGAATGAGTTAAGAATTAGAAACTATTAAGATGGAATGAATGTATCCTGAACATGAGGGAAGGACATTAATTTTAGGCTCCAAGGGCTAAATGATATAGTTTGAATGTGATCCACAAAAGTTCATGTGTTGGAAACTTGATTGCAATTGTAACATTGTTGAGAGGTGGGCCTTTGGAAGGTGATTGAATATTGAAGTCTCTGCCCTTATGAATGGATTAACGCTATTATCATGGTAGTTGTTTTGTTATCTAGCAATTGGCTCTGTTATAAAAGTGAGCTTTCTCTTGCATGAGCTGTCTCCTGCCCTTTCACCTATCTGATAGGGAATAATTCTTGCCAGATGCCAGTGCCATGCTCTTGGACTTCCCAGTCTGTAGAATCATAAGCCAAATAAACCTCTTTTCTTTATAAATTACACAATCTGGGGTATTCTGTCACAGCAACAACAACAACAAAAATAAACACACTAAAACAGGAGGTCAGGGGCCTATTGTCAAGTGCTGGCTAAAGCAAACAATTAGTTCTGCCAGTGTTGTATTTTTGTAGGTAGGCATTTTAAAAGGGAACTGGAATCTTTCTAGGGACAAGGCCTTATGCTGCTAGCAGCCATGCAAGATTTTGCTTGTCTCTTAGTGCAGAAGTTTAAACAAAGTCATTGTGTGCCAAGAGTTGCTGTTCTCAGGATTATATCTGAAAGGGCTGCAAGATATAGACTATCTCTAAGAAGGAATACTTAAGGAACCCCAAAGTTAAGAGAGGAGACAAAAACTAGGACAAAAAAGAAATTTGAAGCCTCTTGTATCTCCTGCTACAGCAAACTTAAAACACAGTTCAGCTCCTACCAACTTAACATAAAACCTCAAACAAAGCAAGGAAAAAGAAACACTGTAAAGAAACAGAAAAGCAAGCATCAGAACCAGACATAGATGTGACACAGATGTTGGAGTGTCAGATAATTAAAAATAACTGATTAATATGTTAAAGGCTCTAATGGAAAAATGTAGAGAACAAGCAAGAACAGATGGGTAATACAGCAGAAATTTGAAGACTCTGATAAATAATCAAAAAGAAATGCTAGCGATTAAAACAAACACTATAAGAATCTAGAATGTTTTGCTGCGCATATCAGTAATTTTACATGGCTGAGGAAAGTAACACTGAGTCTAAAAATATGCCAACAGAAACTTCCCAAACTAAACAAACAAACAAAAACCATACAAAAAGAGTGGAACAATTGCAAAAAAAGTATAATATATGAATAATTGGAATAAAATAAGGAGAAAAGAGAAAAAAACGATATAGAAAGAAATGCTTGAAGTAGTAATGGCCCAAAACTTATCATAATTGAAAGAAGCCAGTCACAAAATACCAAATTTTATATAATTTCATTCATAATTGTCCAGAATAGGAAAATCTACAGAGACAGAAAGTAGATTAGTGATCGCTTGGGGAATGCAGGCAGGGCTGGGAATATAGGGTAATAGGTAAAGGGCATTAATTATTTTTTTTGATGTGGTAAGAATGTTCTAAAATGACTTTGGTGATGGTTGAACATATTTGCGAACATATTGAAAACTTTTAATGAGTGAATGATATGCTTTATAAATAGTATTTCAATAAAGCTGTTAGAAACAAATGTAAAATTTAAAAATGGCCAAAACCTTTTTAAATTGACTGATACCAAATCACCAAACCACAGATTCAAAAAACTTTAGAGAGAACTAAACAGAAAAAAACACAAAAACAAAACAGAGCAAAGAAAGAACATACCTATAAAAATCACATTTATTATAGAAAATCAAAGACAGTGAGGAAATTTAAAAAGAAGCCAGGGAGAAAGCTAGCACCTTTGATGTCAAGGAAGAAGGAAGCATAAGAATTATAACAGACTTCTTTTTTAAATTTAATTTTCCATAGGTTTTTGGGAAACAGGTGGTGTTTGGTTACATAAGTAAGTAATTTAGTGGTGATTTGTGAGATTTTGGTGCAACTATCACCCAAGAAAACCATACAAGTTAAAGTGTTCAGAGAACAAAACTAACAATCTATTATTCTATATTTATTTAAATTATTCATAAAAAGTAAAGGAGAAATAGATTTTCTGAGAAAAATACAAACTGAGGAAATTCACTGCCAGCAGTATTGCCCTACAAGAAATTTTAAACATTCTTCAATCAGAAGAAAAATATGGTAAGTCAGAAACTTGATAAAGAAAGGAAAATCATCAGAGAAGAAATAAATACAGATATAATATTTTATTATTATTTATTGTTCCAAAAGAAAACTCTATTTAATGTAAAAATAGTAAGAATATATTGGATAATTACTGCATGTGGATGATTAAAATAAATGACAGCAATATCACAAAGGATGTAAAGGAGAAATCGAGAATACGACATTACAAGATATCTGCACTACACATCGAAGTTGCACTTAGATTAGTTTAAAATGTGTTTTAAATTTTAGAACAACAACTAAAATTATTCTAAAAAGAAAGATATTCAATAGGCTAAGAGCATTAATAAAATTGACTCATAAAATCCTTAAAATTAAATTAAATTAGAGAAGGCAGAAGGCAGAATTAAACCAGAGAAGGCAGAAGGAAAGAATGAGAAGGAAAAAAATGCCTACATGGCTAATACAATAATTAGAAAACTTTTAGAAACATGGTAGATATTAATTCAATTATATCAATAAACACTTTAAGTGCCTAAATATACATGTTAAGGTAGTGACTAACAGAGTGGCTATAAAACACAACATGCTCTCACACACACACATACATATGTGCATACAGATATTTAGAAAGGCAGAGTGTATAAGAAACCCATTTTACATATATAAAGCCACATGTTAAAAAGTAAAGAAATGGAGATATACAAAGCTAATAGAAATAAAGATAAAACTGACATAGGGATATTTATTTCAAATATATCAGACTTTGAACCAAGGAATGTTATCAGGGATAAAAAAGAAGGCATTACATAATGACAAAGAAATTAATTTTCTAAGAAAACAGCAATTTTAAAAGCATATGCATCTAAAAACAGAAAGTCAAGATACATTAAACAAAAACTTACAGTGCTGAAATGAGAAGCAAACAAATCATTGTTATAAAAAATTCAAAATCCTCTTGTCAATAATTAATAGATCAAACAGGCAAAAAAATGAGCATATAGATCACCCAAAAATAACTATTAATCAACTTCATCCAATTGACAATTATAGAATACTCCATCCAACAGCATAATACAGAGTCCTTTCAAGCTCACGTGGAAACTTCATTAAGATACACCATATTCTGAGCTATAAAACACACGTATACGAATTTATAAAGAGTAAAAATCATTCAAAGTATGTTCTGATAATATAATTGATTAAAAATTAATAACAGAAAGCTGAAAAATATTAAGATATTTGGAAATTAAACAATATACTTCTAAATTACATATAAGTCAAAGAAGTCTTATGATAAATTTTAAAAAATGGTTGAATTAAATTAATATGAAAATAGAACTTAACAAAATATGTGGGATGCCAGGGATGCAGTGCATAAAAAGAAAAAAGTAGCACTGAATGCCTATACCAGAAAATATGTGAAATAAATAATCTAAACTCCCAATGTAGAAACTAGAGAAAAGAGAGCAATGTAAGCCTAAGGAAATAAGAAGAAAATAAATGATAAAAATTTAAGCAGAAATAAATAAACTAAATTGCAAACAGGAAAACAATAGGGAAAATCAATTTAACCAAAAGTTAAGTCTTTGAAAATATCAATACAATTGAAAAATAAGTGACTGTGGTATTATAGTTTTCCATCCTTTTCATTTACTCTAAAATAGTATGCAAGCTTACATAGTATTACATATCACAAGACAGTTGCTCTCATCCTAATTTTAATAAATTATTCAACTTATGGATGACAATTATTAAGTTCAGATATGTAAAATATACTTAAATGCACTACCATGTAAATCTGTGAATAGGTAAAACTCAGCAAAAATTTAAGACAACTGTGAGTTTGAAACTCTCTAAATGTGAATTCTGTTAGAGGTTAAGAAAGAATAGCTCTTTCTTAGCATTTTTTCTGTGTTTTCATAGTATTAATGAAAATGCAATATTTCAGTTAATCACTGGATCAAGGGCAAAATGGTGAGATAAATAATTCCCTTTAAAAGTCTCTCATACTGACTCTCATAAAGTTTTGGGAAACAGAACAAATTCTTCTATGACTGTGGCCAATTTCTTCTAATCAGAGAAACTCAAGTATTTGGGTGTCCCAAACTAAGGCACAGATTATAAATAAGAATAAATGTTTTAAACTGAAAGAATCTAGCTATTATATTTTCTTCACTAATTATTTAGCAGAATTCATATGAGCAACTAGCAGTTAGTTTTTATTGGTAAGAATAATTCTATATTATACTTACTATAGAAAACATCTAAATTCTGTAATTTAAAATTTATAATTGAAAGAGTCCATTTTCAAATTCAACTGATTATATATACTCAAAAGCTCATTCTTACAGAGTTTTGCTTTTAGTATTCTATGCTTTATGTATTATAGTCCTTTAATTATGAAATCATATATTCAGTTTAAAATTTTGGGAAACATTTTTTATGAGTATGAGAAAGATAAAACAGCACAGGTAAGTTATCAAGATTGTAAAGATATTAAATAAGTGTATAAGATAAACTTTTGTGTTAACGCATGCAAAAAAGCTTGGTTTTTGGGAACAGGACAAAGAGTATGTACTGTTTAAAGAAAAATGCATATAAGCTAAGCATTAGGATTAAAGAGATATACAGACTAATTGTTGGTAGACAAAAGTGTTAAGCAATCGGAAACTGTCACTATAAATTTTTATTTCAAGGAAACTGAGATTTTTATCCTTACAGCTGTGAACTACTTCAATAATTAAATAACCATGAACTGTGTATGCTAAACAAATTGTTCTTTGCAACAGGTAAGTAGAAAAGGTTATTAAGAGATAGTTAAATTATTTTTGTTAATGCAACTTGCACACTTTTAGCCTCTTAAATGTATTCAAATATATAATAAATAAGGAATGAAAAATCAAATAAAATTTGTTTTCAAATTTGTAATTTGTAATCAAATAAAATAAAAATTTGTAATCAAATAAAATTTTATAATCAAATAAAATCAAATCAATTTTGTAATCAAATAAAATCAAAATCAAATAAAATAAAATCAAATAAAAATTTGTAATCAAATAAAAATTGTTTTCATTATCAAACTCCAGGGCAAAATTAAAGACCAAATGTTAACTGTCCAAAGGTGCTAGAAATAGCAAGCATGTGCACAGTGTTTGTCATGTGCTAGGCACTAATCAAAAGAGTTTACAAATAATATCATTTAATTCTCACAATAATACTCCGAATTAGATCTCAATGGCATCTAATTTTCTGAAATAGTTAGGCATCTTGTCCAAGGTTGCCCCGCTGGCAGGTACCATGGTTCCTGAGTTTAAATCCAGACAATAGATCAAGAGTTTGGTTCTTGCTTAGCATAAAATTCTGCCTCTCAAAAGGAATTATGCTATACTGCCTCTCAAAAGTAATTAACATTCAAAATTAAATCATATTTTCCCTTTGAGATTAAGCTCAAGTTTTAAGGTTCTTAAGTTATATCAAAGTCCAAAAAATTATCCTCCCCAATTTTATTTTCGGTTGAAGGTGATGGTTACACAACAGAGCATTGTGAATATCTAATTTTCTAGAAGTTGAATTGGTCAAATGTCAAGTCCCTGAATACACTTCAATTTATAAAGTACAGAAATAAGAAAAGGAAAGCTCATTATTATGCTCTTTACATAGCTCTAAAATTTAGAGAAGCAACCTATCACCCAATCAGGCCTGATAGCACTTATCCCAGGTGAAATAATGTTCCCCAAACTGTTATAAATATTACAGTATATAATGACAGAAATTCATTGATGTCTGAGAGAAGAAAAAACTTTGTCTCAGACTCATTGGCATGACAATCAGTTGATAGAAGTCAGGAATATACAACCTCTGAATTAAACTTATTTTGATAAATCTGTCAACAACATGCTGATTTTGTATCAGGCAAGCACAAATATCTGTGGGGAGATCCTATCTATGTAGATGAATCATAGCTGCCTTTTCTACAAAGTTTAGAAATTTATCATGTTGGAAAAGCACCAGTTAGCAAAAATAATAATTCTAGATAATTTTATTTTATATCCAGTATATTCAGAATTTAACTTCCATTTTTTTCTGAGCCCCATGTTTCTGGCACCTTATATTACAGTGAGAGTGGTCTCCAGCTAGTACAGCTAGTATCTTAGCCTACACACTCTTCTAAGTTTTTTATTTTTTATTTATTTATTTTTAATTCTAAGGCCCAGTGGATGTTTCCACTGTCACTTTTTATGCAGTTATTTAGACCTTTAAAGCTTGCCTTCTAGCGAACAGTTTAACTTCCAGCTTTGATCAACTGGAGAGTTTCCCTCAACAAACTTCCTAACTGAATTTACTTTTGTAGTTTCTACAGGATTGAAATTACCATCTATAGCATTGCCAGGCACATCACAAAACTCTGTCTTTTCTGTATTTTTGGGTGTTCCAGCATTGATTTCAGCTATGTCATTTTTTGAGGGGGAGGGTGGGAACCAATGGGATACACTGCACGCAGTGTCTTTAAATAGCTAGGTTAAGTTTACCCTGCTGTATAAATTTGTTTCTTTTTTCTTTCTCTAAGAATGTACAGCTGAAATCATTTGCTGGAATTGAACACCTGCCTTCATTTTGCTTTTCATTCTTTTCTGGCCAATCCATTTGCCTTTCTAATATACTCCCAGAGAGCTTAACTTGTCAGGTTTCCTTTTCTTTTGACTTATCCAAGTGTATTTTATTGAAAAAATTATACTATTGTTTTGAATAATGCAATAAACTTAGAATACATTAACTTCATATGCCTCTGCTTCTTACTAATATACTATCCTTTTTATATTTGAATTCACTGCATACAACTTTTAAGCACACAATATTATTTTATGAATTTTATATTAATCTATATGTGTATATATGTATATTTATTTATTTCTGTCATTGCTGTATTATAGATAAAGAAAGTGATGGAAAACTAAATGATATAATAATTCAAGAGAAAATGGTTGAAAATTTCTCAGACCTAAAGAAAGATATGAATCTACATATACATTTTTACACATATATAATAGTGAAATTTCAGAAAACAAAGCAGAAAGAAAGTTATAAAAAGGCAAAATAAATAAATAAAAGTTATCTTCAAAGAAGTTGGGATTTGACTGATAACTGGCTTTCTATTAGCAAAAGTAGAAGACAAAAGACAGTGGAAAGATACTTTCAACAGGTGAAAAAAAATAAATTCAAGTCTTGAATTCTATAACCAGTAAAAATAGCTTTCAAGAATTAAAGTAAAATTATTTTTAGTAAGTGATAACTTTGGAGAGTTTGCCTAAAACTGTCCACATTAATGTGAAGCTTTATTTTTATTTTTATTTTTGAGATGGAGTCTTGATCTGTCGCCCAGGCTGGAGTACAGTGGCATGATCTCGGCTCACTGCAACCTCCGCCTCCCGGGTTCAAGGGATTCTCCTGCCCCAGCCTCCTGAGTAGCTGGGATTACAGGCGTGCGCCACCACACACAGCTAATTTTTTGTATCTTGGCTCATGCCTGTAATCCCAGCACTTTGGGAGGCCAAGGCAGGTGGATCATGAGGTCAGTATTTCAAGACCAGCTTGGCCAATGTGGTGAAACGTGTATCTTTAGGGTGCATCTCTCTAGAGTTTCCAATAAGCAGAAGGAGACTAATTTAAGATTGTTTGTCAAAGACTCATGTTGGTTCTTTTAAACAAAATAATCACTTTAGGAGTCTTGAGTTGAATAATCCCACAGATGAGTTATACTTCCATTTAGCTCCCTACCTAAACAAAGGAAAAACTCAATCTTTCTTGGTTCTATTTTAATGTGTCTCATATACTCTCCCTGGGGTTTCTAATTCCACAGATTTCTGGGCATCTTTATTTGGAGCACAGATAATAATTCTATTCTAGTTACAATGGCCATGTTCCTTGAAACTCACAGATAAACATATTAATTCTCCAGTGTGTCTACCTATTATGTGTCTACTTAACAAAGACACCATAATATTGAAGGTATGTTTCCCAGTTACTACTACTATGGATTCACTACTTTTAGTTATAAGACACTGTCTGGTAATACTTTCCTGATTCCCAAATACCAACTCTCATCTTCTAGCTCTTGGTTTTGGTTTGGGGCTCCAGGCTGTTGCTTCCTGCTGCTCTCTGAAATATACTTCTTGTTTGGTTTCAGTTACGTATTGCCATCTAACAACAGTAAAGCTCTCTGTTTCCTAATGATCTCTTTCAACTTGATTCCTCACTATACACCATAAATCCTTTTATTTCTGGAGACATGAAACATACTTTTTATACATACATAATAGTGAAATTTCAGAAAACAAAACAAGGCAAAAAGAAAGTTATAAAAAAAGAAAAATAAATAAATAAAAGTTATCACAAAGAAGTGGTGATTTGATTGATAACTGGCTTTCTATTAGCAAAAGTAGAGGACATATTCCCTTATATTTATTGAGCTTGTCTTCTAAGAACTCAGATTTCTTCTAAGGCTTATATCTCTTCCTCTGCTATTTAATTAGCCTATTTTTTTTTATTTGTTTCCATTTCTTCTCATTTATTGTTTTAACCACCCTAATTTCTCTTTTGTTTCCTGAATAGTGCTGATTCCTAGTAACAAAAATTTTGAATGTTACATTTACACTTTGGGATTGTAAAAATGTTGCCAGGTTGCTTGTCTTAACTAATAAATAGAAATATTCCCTTTAAAATAAGGCTTGCTGTTTTTCTTTTTATTTATTAATTGATAAAATATACTGTATTTTACAAGTGAAACCAATGTTCTGTACCAAAAAAAAGAGGTTGTAATCAGAGCTCATATAATTTAAAAATCCAGAGCCAAATGAAATTCTTGATAAGGCATGTATTTTAGCCTGTGTAAAGCCATATAAACGAGGGTTTGCTAGCCCCTCCTCACCTGTTTCTCCTAGAGGTAAAGGCAGTTCAAAACTTAAACAATGAACTTAAACAAGACTTTAACGAGAATTTGCAGCAGTGATCTGTGCCAGGCACTAAAATGTTAAAGATAGAGCATCAGAAATGCTATCTAGCATCCACAGAACCCAGTGCCTTTAGCTTAAAGCCTGAAAATACTGTTCAGCACATGAAGTCCTAAAAGACGAGAAAGACTATTTTCTACACAATTAACTTTTCCATGTCACCGTATTTAGGAAAAGTGTAGCCAGGACTTGACAGTGTCTGTACCTGGGCAGGTCCATGACTTTAAATGGTCCACACTCCATGACTTTAAATGGTCCACACTGTGGCTTGGGGGCTGCTTGCCAGGGACCACATCTCATGTGGTCATCCCATTGTTAGGCTTAAGAAAACTGAGGCTTAGAGGTATTCCTTAAGCCTGTCTCTCATTGCTTATTAGGTAATTTTTCTCTTCTCTTAGGCCACATGTTGACTTTCCTAACCCAGTTTCTTCTCTCTTTCAAAGTGAAAAGTTAGGTGAGGCTTATGAGTTATTCCTTGAAGGCCCAGGGCACGCTCCTGAAGTATTCATCCTCTTGTGGATATAGCCGCCATAAGCTGTAGTCACTCTATGACATCTAAAGCT
This sequence comes from Homo sapiens, assembly GCF_000001405.40. Classification (NCBI taxonomy): domain Eukaryota; kingdom Metazoa; phylum Chordata; class Mammalia; order Primates; family Hominidae; genus Homo; species Homo sapiens. The sequence goes on along the minus strand of NC_000004.12, from coordinate 160,772,947 downwards.
TTATATTCAAGCCATAGCACTAAAAACTAACTGCACAACTGAAAAACCCATCTGGCCTCCAAGCTGCAAAGTAGAAAGCAGGCTGCAGGTTCACAAGCCCAGGGAATGAGTCATAGATCTGGGCTGCACAAACTCTTCTCTTCATATATATTTAGCACCCTAAATTCCACTCTTAGGATTTTATATCCTCTTATTTCAGATAAACACAGATTTGTAATCACTGAGAAAGTCCTCAATTAATGGTGGCCCTTTCTCATACTTTGATTTTGAAAAATTGGAGAAATAAAGAATAAGGTAAAGGCCAACAATTATTTATTTTATATTACTTGTTTTTATTTCAGCCATTTTATTAGAAATAGAGGCTTATTCATTACTGGAAAAGATTACTGACAAAGAGGGAACTATGAAAATAAATGTAATTTCATTGGCTATATTTTAAATATAGTTTTACATATTAAACATCACTTTTATTGATGAACTTGTTCAGTTATATTTATATTTTATCCTGTACTTATTGATGAGTGCTTTTATTAACATTTTAAAATTTAAATATTTATTTCCCAAATTCACCAAATGCTTAAAGTCATTCAGAGAAGAATGAGTAAAGGTATGAGTAATATATCAAATCATTTTAATAAAAATTTGGAAAGGAGGGCATTCCATCTATTATCATTTGATTCATACTTTTTGTTTAGTTTTCACTACATAAGAAACAGGTGTTTGAGTTGTTGATTCATAAAGAATTTTAGGAAGTTGTAGTCTAAATCCTTGAAAATCAATCCAAGAACATGTTCATATTGCATTCACACTATAATTCCTCTTGACTGTCCATAGAATTTTTGAGAAATATCATTTTTGGATACATATAGCTTTCATTAATGAACTTTCTGACTTATTTATAACACATTTTTATTTTATCCTCTACTCATTCATGAGTGCTTTAACATTTTACAGTTTGAATGTATTACCAGAATATACCTAATAGTGGTTCTCTATGCATGAAGTTTTCCTATAAAATATTGCAATTTTATTTTGCCTTTTATCATAAAGTTTTGGTGAATATTTCCTTAATTGCTTTTACATTTGTTCTTGTATATTTCTTTAAAAGTCCTGTCTTATGTAAATTAGAACAATGGAATACTGTCTTTCACAATATATTTAGCCTCAGACTTTCTTGAGAATTTCATGTATTTATCTTGGATTGGACATGTCAGACATATTCTTGCTTCAGAACCTCTTCTTTCAGCCTGAGAAACTCAGATAGTCTTTTGGGCCAATGCTTTTCTCTTAAGGAAGCTTCACAACCACCTTAAATGAACATAGCTATCTTTTTTCACTGGAATTAAGGTCCGTTTACCAAGCTTTTATATTTATTCTTGGATGTCCATCCTCGTGATACTTACATTCTAGCAGAAGACAGACGTCTCTTCTGCTAGAATGTAAGTATCATGAGGACAGCCATCCTTTTTTTTTCTTTTAGGTAGTCCAAGTACCAGACCTGCATCTGCCCAAAAAAATTCTAAAAAGATATTAAAAATTGAATAAATGAATGAACGCATGCATGAATGAATTTTCTCTAATGGTTTTTTAAATACATTTTGATTAATGATATGAATATTAGAAGCATTCGTAAACATTAATGATTTTCTCCTTTAAATTATTTTCTATAGTTGCACTACAAAACATAAAAATATGTACTTTTTTTTGCTTTTAGTAAGTGTTGGAAATTACCCTTGAAACAGCTTGTACCACTTCATCTCCTATAGATGCCTTTTCTTCAAAATTCTCAACAGTGATAATTATAGTTTTATATCTACAATCTGATAGACAAGGCATATTTCTATTCATTAATTCATTAATTAACTCATTTTTTGACTTTTAGGTATTTTTTCTGCAAGCATTGATCGAATATCCAGGTGCTGTATACACTAGACAATAGCATTCAACGTGTCAAATAATGCCTTCATACTATGAGTCTAGGGAGGATGTTAAGCAAAATCAAGTAACACAATGTCTGAACTAAGTAAAAATACATTGGGGTAATGGTTGTGATGGCAGGGATTGGATATTTTGCTCAGATATATAAGAAAAATCCTCTTTAAATAATAATATGTAAGTTGAAACCTGGGTAACAAGGAGCAGCCAGGTAAAGATGAATATAGACACCAGGGTAGAGCAAGCAGTGATGGCAGCTAAAACAAAGGCAGCAGGCAGCAAGAATTTTGCCATGTTTGAGGAAGTCAAATAACAAGTTACATAACAACCAGGCAAAGTGATTTTGTAGGAACTTCATAAAGGGTAAGTTCATGGAAGGAGAAAAATACGTGATCTGAAATTCACATGATTGTTGGAGAGTAGGGAATAATTCAACAAGAAAGAAGAGAGAAAACATATGTTTTTCAGAAGTTTTTCATACGTTAAGTAGCTAGGTATAGGCAACCTAAGTATTAAAATACATTTAGGTATTTCAAACCATTTATCCAGAACCAAGTTCAGAAAATAAATAATGTTATGTCAATAAATAATGCTATGTCAATTTCAGTACTACTTCTACTTTGTTCACTTGTTAAAGTAAGCAAAGATTTTAAGTCTGATTATCAGTAGACTTTAAATGATGCTTTCTTTGTTATTATATTTATTACAAATTAGAGGTAACTATACCTTACATTTAAATGTGACTCTTGTAATTCATGCTATTCAGTTATCTTTGAATGATACTAAACACTTAACCTGTTTGGTAAAAATTACAAGGAAGTCTATATACCCACTTTAATATACTCTATATTCTGCAAATATTTAATATGTTTCTATAAAAAATTCTCTAAAATCCATTTATTTATATTTATTTTTATTAAAAAGGCAATAAATATTTTTATGCTAGGAAAAATGGCTTTTCAAGAAACACCATATAGGCTAGGAAATGTATCCCTTTCACTCATTTAGAACAGCCATTTATGTTTAGGGTTGTATTGCCAAAGACAAAAATGGGATCAGTGAACTCAAAGCAGGAAGAATTAGTGCACTGAACAATTATTTTAAAACTTTTTTCCAGATTTTTTAACCTTTGACATATGGAATGAAACAATTTGTACTTAGCAAAAACATTGTAGTAGAGAGAATTTGCAGCATATGAAATTTCAAAAGTCAATTTTGAAGTATACTTCTAGAGGATATTTAAAAATTTAATGAGGGATAGAAGTATATATTAGCTAAATGCTAATATATTAAGAGCTCCATCTGCTTGCCATGTGTACTTATATGACAAAAATGTATCAATATGTGTATATTTTATTAGAAAGTACTTGGAGGAAACAATTAGAATATTTTGTTTAGGATGAAAAATTCCAGTTATATTGTCTACAAATTATTTTAAAAAACATCTATTTCTGAACAAACATGGGATGGGACTCCTTTTTTTTCTTTTGAGAAGGAGTCTTGCTCTGTCACCTAGGCTGGAGTGCAGTGGCGTGATCTCGGCTCACTGCAACCTCTGCCTCCTGGGTTCAAGTGATTCTCCTGTCTCTGCCTCCCGAGTAGCTGGGGCTACAGGCATGTGCCACCACATCCAGCTAATTTTTGTAATTTTAGTGGAGACGGGGTTTCACCATATTGGCCAGGCTGGTCTCAAACTCCTGACCTTGTTATCCTCCCGCCTCGGCCTCCCAAAGTGCTGGGATTACAGGCGTGAGCCACCACGCCCGGCCAGGACTCTTAATAATTCCACCTCAATATGACAATCATTACTGAAAAGTGCTTTTTCTAAGATATTCATGAAGTGGTCTTCTGGCTAAAAGATAATAGTGCTGTCATTGTTGATCCAAATAACTTATTATAGTTTATGGCATTTTGTTGCTTGAAATATTAGTCAACAATATTTATATAACAGTTTATGTAACTTTTATGTAAAATAAATCCTATATAGTATTTTAATTAAAAATAAAAATACCCATTCAGAAAAAAAAGTTCTAAATTTTATTGTTGTTATATACCAGAATAAACTCATAACAATTTTGCATTGTTATTTTTCATTATATTTTTCAAAAGAAAATAAAACTAAATAAACAATGTCCTGATTAGTTAAACAGTATTAGGCATACATTGCTATTTAACTTATACATATTTTAAATAACTGGAAGGATACTTGTTCCTCCTTTTGAAGGGGTAATGAAATTTGTAAAAATAATGAAAAAGATACATGTAGGATCTTAAAGATATTTTTCCAAGGACCTTCCATAATGCCAAGTGTCAAGATATTTCACTGAAATGTGTCCTGAACTGAAACTCAGGAAGAGATTGATGTTTTAGATCCAGGTTACTATTAACTCACTCACTGTGGATTTTTAAACACCCCATATATACTCTTTACAACTTCTCGAAGAATTTCAGTTTATTTTAAATAATACAAAGGTTTTCAAGTGTTTGATCACTTAGGAAGAAAGAAACCGTATAATCTAAAAAGCTGCATAATGTGTTATTGCTATCATTACCAATTTTATATTTCTATGCTCTCATAGCTTAAATGGTAAAGACAAATTTTGGCTCACATAAGAAGATCCAGTTCGTGATTCTCACCAGTATTTTATAAATATCTCTATCCTTCATAACCTGTGTCAAAAGGGAGGCCCATGTTCCCAGAGTTACTTTCCTTTCCAATATTTCTTAGCTTCTATCAGCAAGAGTCAAGATTAAGCCCCAGGCATAGGACATTTTTGCCAATAGAGAGACTAAGTTGTATAACTTAACCATGGTCTCTAAAGCAAATATGGCAAAGCTGCAATTGGAATCTCAGTCTTATTCTTAGGAATAAACTGCAAGCACAATACCTGCAAAGTTATCTCATGACTATGAACATGATTTCATATTGTATAATACTTTAATTACTTATTATCAAAGAAACTGTTTACATTTTTAAACAAAAAATAAAGAGAAGTTTGGTTTCTATATATCCAGATATCCTTTATTTTACAATGATGTTATAAACTACCAAAATGTTTCTTATGCTTTAAATTAATATGATTTTCTTTGTTTGCAAATTATTCTGTATAATATAACTACACTAATGAAATTAGTTTTGTAAAACTTACCTTTAGGGGAAAGTAATAGTAAATTTTTTTAATGAGAAAAATTTTAATGGCATAATAAAATATTAAACTTAAAGATGATTTTGCTTTCTTGGAAATCTCACATTTCAAATAATACCTGTTTATGTTTTCCAAAATGCTACTATTTTGTAGTTTTTCAACAATATTTCCACACTAATATTTCAATCTATATAATTCAGTTATTCAATATGTACAGTAAAATTTGAGGTATAGATTAAATCATTTCTCAATTCATTGCTTTCAAAATCCAGTCTTATATAATTTGACTTACAGGTCTGGTTAAAAAATATCTATATATTTTATTTTGTGATGTATGTCCTGAGGAATCAAAAATTTATAATTTATATCAAAGGCAAGTAAATGCCTTTACACTCATAAAATAGCACTTTTAGTTATACAGTTTTTTATGTGTTGACTCTATGACCACTTGGAACTGTAAGGCTGAAATATCTTTTGGCCAAGTTCTAAGTTTATGAAGACTAAAATGTACGAAATGGTCTTTCACTTCAAGTTTTAAAAATGACACCCTGAAAATAAAAGCAAGTGATATCACTGATGTGGAAGAACTATATGCTTATAGAGAATTTATGGTGTGTACTCCAAATGTTGAAAATGGACACTTCTCAATTTAGGCCACTGTGTAGCTCCAGCTAAGATGATTCAGTGTTAGAACTTCTGCCCCTTTTGATGTACAGAAAGAAAAGTGTGAAAGTGCCTTTCTTTTATTTCAAATACACACCTTTTTTATTAAGAATTTATATACATAATAGTACATTTCAAAAAAATCTACTACATTTCATACCATCTCTTTCACTCTACCTCAATAACAAATGTAAAAAAAAATTCTTAATAGATAATTTTGCTGAAGAAAGTTTCTTACATAGCTATTACCTGTGTCCCACTAGTCACAAAAACAGACAAATATACATCACAAAACATTATACCTCATGCTATAGCATTGCAATGTAGGCTGACTGAGCCCTGTGGCTTCTCCAAATACTCTAATTTTAAAATCTAAATGTAAGTACAAATATCTAAGCAATTATCGTTTAATAGAAGAAAATCTTTATTAGCATGCAATGTAAACAAATGGATTTATTAAGATCTCAGAGAATCGCAAGGAACGAGAAGAAACAGTTTATAAATAGGAAGAAATAAAGGTTTGGAAAGCCAAGGATGAAAATAATGGCTAACATATATTATGTATGTCAGCTGCATATCCGGATAAAAATGTACATACGCCGGGCACGGTGGCTCATGCCTATAATCCCAGCACTTTGGGAGGCTGAGGTGGGTGGATCACAAGATCAAGAGATCGAGACCATCCTGGCCAACATGGTGAAACCCTTCCCCCTTCCCTTCCCTTCTCTTCCCTTCCCTATTCCCTTCCCTCTTTCCTCCCTCCCTCCCTGCCTCCCTCCCTTCCTTCCTTCCTTCTTCCCTTCCTTGCTTCCTACCTTCCTTCCTTCTTCTTTCCTCCCTTTCTTTCTGACTTCCTTCTTAAGTATTTAAACAATATAATCAAAAGCCATTCAAATCCTTTTTTTCTTCTAACCTACCTCAATTCTAGTACTGGTTGGAGGCACCCTACGTGTATAGATGCAGTCCAGGCAGTTGGGTTAGGGACAAGAGTAAGGCAGTGCCCTGGTGTGGTTGAGAGGTTCATTATATACAGGAGAATTGAGCAAATTTCTGAATCTATTAAAGATGAGAATCAGACTTCTCACTATTAGCAAGAGATTTATACATATGAGAAAACTAGAATAAAACCTGTGTTGTGGAATTGGAATTAAGTTATCAGTATGCGGTCAGGCACAGTGGATCACGCCTGTAATGCCAGCACTTTGAGAGGCCGAGGCAGGCGGATCACTTGAGGTCAGGAATTTGAGAACATCTTGGCCAACATGATGAAACCCTGTCTCTATTAAAAACACAAAAATGAGCTGGGCGTGGTGGCGAGCACCTGTAATCCCAGCTGCTCAGGAGGCTGAGGCAAGAGAATCACTTAAACCTGGGAAGCAGAGGTTGCAGTGAGCTGAGATCATGCCATTGCATTCCAGCCTGGGCAACAAGAGTGAAACTCTGTCTCAAAAAAAAAAAAAAAAGTCATCAGTATGAACTCCTGTTCTTGTATAGATAGATTAGACAGGTAGAGATAGATAGATAAATAAATTTAGATATAGTAGATGTAAGTACGCATATGGGAAGATATGTGTATGTGTCTAAATTCTGTATCTCTATCTACATATTCATAATTCTATATCTATATGTCTTATATGCAGACTAGTTTCTTCCTGGGGACAATAATATCCAGTAGTATAAGAATGCCTATCAGTCATATCTTGGTTTATAAATATGATTTTCCTATATATCTATATCTATATATCTATATTCTGTATCATCTGTCCAGATCTAACACCTAGATATGGATTTCCCATTGTGAATGCCTGCAGGTAGCAAAATCCAGAATCACGAGAACACCTAGTGGTCAGAGCTGGGTTTCTAAATATGATTTTCCTCTATAGGAAAGCAGGGCTGTTTGGAGAAATAGCTGATTCCATGCCTGGAATATCTTGTTGTTCCAGAAATAAACAAAGTGAGCCTGGAATATCGTATGCCTGAAAGAAAGAGAGCTTTGAAAGAATGATAAGAACATGTTAAAAGAACATGGAAGCAGGTAGAAGAACCTTCCACTGGCCAAATATAGGACAAATAAAACAAATTCCTAGAACCCATGCCTGAATAAATAAATGGGAATCTCAGGACATGTGATGCAGAAACGTTGTTTTTAATCCTTTAGGTGTTGCTAATTTGTAGCCAGCTTTGAGGACTAAAAATCCTCTTAAGGTCAGAGAATATCTGTTGTCAGGATGAAGTGTTGTGTTTCAGGCTACATAAAAAAATCTTTAGGTTATCCAAACCCAGCTGCAGGACTTGGTGTGTTAAATGAAGAAACTTAAAAAGTGTATCCCCTTGAGACATCATTGAAAACTAAAATTAAGCTTTCTTTCTCAGTGCAGTCCCCTGAAATTCACCACCAGAACTATTCCCAAGATACATATTGATAGAAAATTAGAAGCTAGCCTGCACTGATGGCTTATGTTTGTAATCCCACAACTTTGGGAAGACTAGGTAGGCAGATTATTTGAGGCCAGGAGTTCAAGACCATCCTGGGCAACATGGCAAAACCCCGTCTCTAATGAAAATACAAAAATTAGTCTGGTGCAGTGTTGTGAGCCTGTAACCCCGGATACTTGGGAGGCTGAGGCACAGGAATCACTTGGACCCGGGAGGTGGGAGGCGGAGGTCGCAGTAAGCAGAGGTCGCAGTAAGCAGCCTGGGTGACAGAGGGAGAATCTGTCTAAAAAAAAAAAAAAAAAAAAAGTCAATTATTAACAAAAAATAGGAGTTTTCCATGTACTTCCTTGGAAAGTGCTAGGATCTGATTTTAGTTACCTATCTTGTAAATTATCATTAACTTTACTAAGGAAAATGAGTCAACACTTTTCAATCCACAAAGAAACATTCTGGAAAGACAGAGGATGGTCATTGAAAGCTGTTCTTTGTGCTTTAAGGTTTAGTAAACTTCCATATTGCTGTAAATAATATTATCCTAATGAAAAAGAGCATTGTCTTCCCCCAAACAATGCCCTAATATTCACATCAGTGAGCAAGCAAAGTTACAAACTCAACTAACACAACCTGTGGAATCAAATTTGAAATTTTGTTTTCAGTACTCAAACATCAATCTATAAAAATAATATGTAATCAAGACCATCACAGAATATTTGAGTGTTTCAATTTCTGCACTGAGAAGCAAACACATAAATATAATATTCTGGTACAAGATTTTGTTTTCCAGAGATTCCACTGGCCTCCAGCAGACATAGAATATAAAGTAGAATTTGATTTCATAGATACTAGACGTGTGCCATCAATTGTTTAGAAGCTTACAGTTTCTCTTAGCTATTATTTTCTCACCTTCTCATTAAGACATGCCCTTCAGTTCTATTACAGCTTAATAGGATGAATAGGGCACAATCTACATGAATTCTTAGCTCTACTCACCCCAAATCAGACTGTATTCTTTGTCATCCATTCCAAATCTTAAGGGAATATAACATTCTACTAATAATCTAATTCTGGGTCAAGTGGCTCAATTGCTCAAGGTTATACAGATTAAATTTCTTTGAGATGAGAAATTAAGTATTTGAATTTGTCATTCTCTTGGATTGAATTATGACCAATTATCCAGACACAGCCATTTTAGCAAGATCTCAGAGTGTTTTATTTTAATAGTTAACTGCTTTGCCAAAAGACTTATCCCCTGTTTCCATGCATGTGCAGCTGTCAGTGAATTTAGTTATTTCACCACAGATTTCTATAGGTCTGGTCCTGGAATATGAATGCCTCCCTCCCCTTCCTGCTAATAAACTAATTCCAAATACTATATTTTCCTGCCCTTTCATTGCCTGCAAGCCCTTCTCAAGAAACAATTTCTTTATCAGTTAGTATTCTTTGTTAAAAATTGGCAAAACAAACCTGGATATTGTTGGCAGTAATGAAATTTACCATAAGAGTACTAAGAGTTTATAAAAATGAGAAGATGGCAATTTTGAAAATGGAGCAAAACAGAGGGAGTTCTGGTGTGCTACTCAAACTAAACTGTGGGAAAAGTCATACTATCAGCAACATTAGGACATTTATGCTTAGATAAACAAGTATTAATGGCTTCTTCTAGTCTTGAATCATCTGCTTAAGATTCCAAGCCCGAGGAGAGGTCATTTGGCTGGTAGAGTTAAGAATATGTTACTATCCAGGGCCAGGAGCAGTGGCTTACGCCTGTAACCCCAGCACTTTGGGAAGCCAAGGCAGGCGGATCACAAGGTCAGGAGATCGAGACCATCCTGGCTAACACGGTGAAACCCCATCTCTACTAAAAATACAAAAAATTAGCCAGGCGTGGTGGCAGACACCTGTAGTCCCAGCTACTCAGGAGGCTGATGCTGGAGAATGGCGTGAACCCGGGAGGTGGAGTTTGCAGTGAGCTGAGATCGCGCCACTGCACTCCAGCCTGGGCGAAAAAGCGAGACTCCATCTCAAAAAAAAAAAAAAAAAAGAATATGTTACTATATGTTACTATCCAATGGCTCTTTTGGCATGATCAGTAAGCAGAGCCAAAGAGCTTCTGGGGAGGCACAGGCCACCAGAAAGGATGGCAGGCCCTAGGCTATAATATCTCACTGAAAATTACAAAATACACTAGTTCGTATAATGAAAAGGAAAACAGAGTGCTGTTAGGAAGGAAAGATAGATGCTGAGGATGGAGAGAAGCAAAGTAGTCAGCAATGTGGTTATTGAATATAATCTAAAAGTACAGACTCCAAGGATAGGAATCATCAAATATAATTTTATTATTAGGTAATCAGGAGTCCAAAGAGTTGATTTTTTTGTCACTTTTTCCAAATATCTATTTAAAGTTTATATTTGGTGACTTTTCTATTTTATTCTGCTACCCTAGATCAGCAGATTTTAAATTTCATTTATGTCATACTGCTTTACTTACAAGATTATATTTATGACCACCTGCAAGCCAAAAAATAATATTCATGGGCATATACATGCATACAGAGCATATAATTTCAGAACTTTTATGAGGTTCTGAAATAGCTCACTAATGAGAGCTTAGGGGAACCATGGTTCTCATTTTAATAAATCATTTCTAACAGGCTGATCCATGGATATATCTCAAATCAAAGGTAAAGTTAGAGTAATATAATTACTATTCTGGAATTTTCAGCTATAGACATGTTTTATCTCATTATTTGCAAAGACTCTATATAGAGTTCCAAGAGATATTAATCTTATATAATTTTTTATTTTAAAAAGTATATTTATTGGAGAACATATAGTATGTCTTAAGGTTATAAGAAAAAAAGGAACTTAGTCTCACTACCCAGAACTAACCATTATGAAGTAATTAACATTATTATGTAATTCTCTATTTTACTTTTTTATATCTTTCTTTATGTAATTTAATATCTGATGCCCTGAATGATGCTGTCCTTTTCACATTTTGTCAAAGGTTTACCCTTATCATTAGAACTTACTTACAAACTTCATTTATTATCCGTTAACTTGACACAGGAAAACCACTAGCAGAGTCAATTTGCAGATTGATAGATGGTAAAATGCACTGTTATTTTCTTATTAGGAAGCAAAGTGAATAGGAGGCAAATTGGATAGGATTTTAGTCATTTTGAATCGACCATATATTTTGTGAAGGAGTTGGCTTGATTAAACTTCGGAAGGTTGGGGTATTTTAACTAGTAACCAGGTTTAGATATAGCTTTTTTTGGGAAATCAAGTTCATCAATCAAGACAATGTGTTACATGGATGACAGGAGGATTAAAATAGAGCAAGGCAGTCTCCAAATTCCTGGGCGTCTAAGCCATTCTAAACGAGATTACATTTATACATATTAACCAGCCAAGGGGCAATTTCACCCTGTCTAAAAGTATCACTGTGATATATTAACTCCTTTCCATTTTCTTCTTGACTTTAAAATAAACAAAAATGACAGGGAGACATATATATATTAAAATCATTTCTAACTATCTTTCCTAGATGGAAGATTAAATAAATGAATTACAAACAAATATGAACAAATTTAGTATATCAAATTTAAATACATATTCTTCTTTATCAAACTTTTAGTCAAAAAGTCTTGCTGGAAGTGTAAGTCTTATTTGATTTCTTACAAAAGTAAAATTTGGGAATATAAGGTTGAAGTAGAATTCCACTTCTCTACTTATAATGTTCTATAATAATGTATCATCACAGCTTGCTTAAGGCCCAGTGACTGCATCACATAAAAAACTGTGGATTTTATCTTTGAAACACCCAAAGGGACACTGGATTTCAAGATATGTGACCATGTCAACATTTTGAATAATTAATTTTAATATGAATTATTTTAATAATTTGTATTTGCTTATTTCATAAATATTGTCGAACAAGTATCTCAGATACCAGTAAGCTCTGATATACGTAGATGAAGGGAATAGTTACTCTTTTCAAAGTTTCCACAGTCTAAAGGAAGAGAAATACAAGTTAACAATTCCATGCAATGCAATGAATGCAATAACACTAGCTATAATAGGAATAAGCAGAGTTCTATGGGGACACTTTCATCATTTAAGGAGATTCATGGGTGCCTAAGCATTATATTGTTGAGTCAGTAGGAGTTAGTCAAGCAAATAATTGAGGTAGGGGGTGGAGGAGGATCATTCCTGGCATAGGACAAAACTTGTGGAAAAGTGTGAAGGTTGATTCCATGTTTTTGCTCTTGTGAATAGCACTCCAATGAATAGATGAGTGCATGTATTCTTTCAGTAGAACCATTTATTTTCCTTGTGTATATACAATGGGATTTCTGGGTCAAATGGTAGCCCAAATCATAGTTCTTTGAGAAATCTCCAAAAAGCTCTCCATGGTGAGCGGACTAATTTACATTCTCACCAACAATGTATTAGTGTCCCGTTTTCTCTACAGCCTCACCAACATCTGTTATTTTTTGACTTTTTAACAAAGGCCATTCTAACTGGTATGAGACAGTATCTCACTGTAGTTATTATTTGAATTTCTCTAATGATTAGTGATGATGAGTATTTTTTTATGTTTATTGGCCACTTACATGTCTTCTTTTGAGAAGTGCATGTTCACATCTTTGCCCACTGTTTTACTATTTTTTTTAATTTTATTATACTTTAAGTTCTAGGGTACATGTGCACAATGTGTGCAGGTTTGTTACATAGGTATACATGTGCCATGTTGGTGTGCTGCACCCATCAACTTGTCATTTACATTAGATAGTTCTCCTAATGCTATCCCTCCCCTGACAGGCCCTGGTGTGCGATGTTCCCATCCCTGTGTCCATGTGTTCTCATTGTTCAACTCCCACCTATGAGTGAGAGCATGCGGTGTTTGGTTTTCTGTCCTTGTGATAGTTTGCTGAGAATGATGGTTTCCTGCTTCATCCATGTCCCTGCAAAGGACATGAACTCATCCTTTTTTATGGCTGCATAGTATTCCATGGTGCATATGTGCCACATTTTCTTAATCTAGTCTATCATTGTTGGACATTTGGGTTGGTTCCAAGTCTTTGCTATTGTGAATAGTGCCACAATAAACATTGTGTGCATGTGTCTTTATAGTAGCATTATTTATAATCCTTTGGGTATATGCCCAGTAATGGGATTGCTGGGTCAAATGGTATTTCTAGTTCTAGATCCTTGAGGAATCGCCACACCGTCTTCCATAATGGTTGAACTAATTTACACTTCCACCAACAGTGTAAAAGCATTCATATTTCTCCACATCCTCTCCAGCATCTGTTTTTTCCTGACTTTTTAATGATCACCTGTCTAACTGGCATGAGATGGTATCTCATGGTGGTTTTGATTTGATTTCTCTGATGACCAGTGATGATGAGCATTTTTTCATGTGTCTGTTGGCTGCATCAATGTCTTCTTTTGAGAAGTGTCTATTCATATAGACACTTAGGATTCATATCCTTTGCCCACTTTTTGATGGGGTTGTTTTTTTCTTATAAATTTGCTTAAGTTCTTTAAGTTATTTGTAAATTCTTTGCCCATTTTTTAATGGAGTTATGTTTTTTGCTTGCTGAGTTGAGTTCCATGTAAATTATGGATATAAGTCTTTTGTCAAAGGCAGTGTCAAGATTTCTCAAAGAACTTAAAATGAACTACCATTCAACTCAGTAACCTTATTACCATTCAGCACAGTAACCTTATTCTTAGTAGAAAATAAATTGTTCTACTATGAAACGTATGCCCTCATATATTCATTGCAGCAATATTCACAATAGCAAAGATATGGAATCAACCTGTATCAATTAGATCAATGGTTGATTGGGTAAAGAAAATGTGATACATATACTCCCTGGAACACTACACAGCCAGAAAAAATGAAATCATGTCCTTTGTAGTAACATACATGCAGCTGGAGATCATTATCCTAAGTGAATTAATGCAGAAACAGAAAACCCAATACTGATTGTTCTCACTTATAGGTGGGAGCTAAGTATTGGGTACACATAGACATAGAGATGGCAGTAATACACACTGGGGACTACTAGAGGGAAGTGGGAGGAAGGGGAGCAAGGGCTGACAAGCTACCTGTTGGGTACTATGCTCAATACCAGAGTGAGGGTCACACCCCAAACCTCAGCATCACACAATACACATTTGTAAATAACCTTCACATGTACCCCACCCCCTGATTCTAAAATGAAAGTTGACAGAGAAAAGTATGAAGGAGAGCCAGATCCTAAAAATATATGATAATTTGTAAGTAGTTTAATGAATTTCTTAATGAGACATAATTGAACAGGAGCTAGTTCATAAGTTAACTTGTATGCAATAGTTTGGAGTTTGGCTTTCCATATAGGACGCTATGGAAATTTGTAAAGGAAGGATTAACATAGTTTTAAATTTTTACTTTTCGTTAGCATTGTGAAGGCAGACTAAAGTGTGCAACAATTCAAAACAACTTATTATGCATTGTAGGGTTACTGAAAAGAGGTCATGAAGACCTGAGTTATATAGATTAAACAAGAAGATAAAGATGAGAAAGAATATTTATAGGTATAATCCATATGACTAGACTAACAGAGTAAATTGTAGAATTCTGTTTCTAGCAATTCCAGGTGAACGATTCCACAAGTCATATATGAAAACTGCCTTTATTGCAATTTGGAGAGTCATTTATATTCATTTTATATATGCATTTATTACTTTTTTCTTAAATTTAAGTGTGTTTATCACTACATATATAAAGCACCTATTAATGTAGTACAAGCATTTACGAATGGAATCTGGATTATTCCTAATGTAGCAATGTGTTAGTCTCATCCTTATACTGTAAACAACTACCAAACTTGAGACAATCTATAAATCAATTGTTTTATGGCATTAGAAAAGAGAGTACAGGGTGAAGATCCTTTAAAGAAGAGAAACAAACAGTGTGCCCTACTATCACTCTGAACATTTTCCTAGGCAGGATATGAACCTAGGCACAGAAAAATGAAGGTCAGAGAAAGAGTAGTGGAAAATGACTTTTTTTTCCAGCAGTTTCCCTGCTAATGATAGGGTACTAGAACTTGATCACTCCTGAGTAATATTGGATTCTTCTAATGGACATGGACTTTCCATTGGCCTGGCCAAGAATTTCTCAGAACTGCACTTCAGTCTGCAGTTCTTTTCTTCCTCTCATTCTTTTCCTCCTTTCATAAGTATTAGACCCATATTATCAGCCTAGAATTTCTCCCTATTTCTGTTTCCTCCTTTATCATTCACAAACATTTTCTCAAGACATCTCCTGCACATCTAATTGTATCTTAGCATCTTCTTCTCTAAGAGCCCAAATATACACCAGTGATTACAGGAGGGTCCAAGGAAATCAATATTATAGAGAGTTCATGGACTAGAAGACTTACCAATTGACAGATGATTACAGTGGTATGTAGAATATGAAAAGATGCTGGAAAAAAGTGGCAAGCCACTTACTAAAGCTACAAAGGAAGTTATCTTACTTTCACATGGAGGCCTTAGCTGCTTATTAACCAATCTCAGTTTCACTTTATTCTTTTGCAAAGGATTTATACAACTTAGTTATAACAAGTCAACTCCATTGTCACTGTTGGCACTACTCTTCCCATATATCTCAAATACCCAGACCTTCACATTAGTGTTTCTAACTCCACACTATTGTGTGCAAGTTTACCTGTACTTATTAGTAGGTGCAGGGGAGCTCAGTAATAAACTACACCTGCAGTGACCTGGGAAAATGACTTTGATTCTGAAAGATATAGGGAGCTAAGGAAAGTTGGAAAGGAGGGACTTCTATCAGTTGGCTGATAATTGCTAAGTTGTAAATATTCCATGCGTAAAAATAAATTGAAACTGAGAGTGGTTAAGATGCAGCTAAAGCCTAAGTGTGAAAACTAGAGAGCTTCCTTTGTAGGCATATAAAGAAGCCTTTATCTCCTTCAGTGTGAGAGAGTACAAAAATAAAGGGTAAACTCAGGTCAGATAGCATGGTGGAATTCCCATATAAATGTTCAATAAAGGTGAGTTTGTAATTTTACTTCATGAGTCCAACCTATGTTCCTAAAACACATGATGGAGACCTTTAAGTACATACTACTAAGGGCTTTCAGTGTGCAAACCTGCCAAAAAACGTCTGCAGGGATTTTAGAGTGGACTCAAGAATCCCAAGTAAGAGCTAGCATTTCCCCAGTGAAGAAAAGAACTGATAAAGCCTCAGTCTCCATCCTCTCCACTTGAGGCAAAAAGTGCCCACGTGAGGAGGTGCTCTCATCTCTCTCACATGATAGGTTGAAAATAAAAGGTAGATTTCAATACAACCCAGCTTTGAATATGCTTAGCTTGATGTATGTAAAAAGTGTTTATACAACAAAGGACTTAAGAATTAGCTAGCATGTATGTCAGAATCCAGGAGTGTATCCCTGGGATTGAACTTTGAGGGTTCATGATCAAGATGGAACATAAGACTGGATAATCAAGAATTTATTGACTTGAGGTGATTTTTTGGTATTTCATACGCTGGCAAGGACCATAAAAGATGGGGCAGACATGCTCCTAGCATGGATCTCAGAAGCCAGGAGAAAGTTATGGTCCATGCTGAAAAAAGTGGAAAAGCCTGACAGATGGTATAGAAATGAATAGGAAATAGACATGTTGAAATGGATATGATATTTGAGCTCAGAAAACTCACCCAGAACATCATGTTCTTTGGAAGGGCCAAGAGTAAACACCAATCACCAATACCATTGGGTTTGTGTGAGTAAGAAGGATACCATCATTTCTGTGATAGTCAATGATGGCTCTTCCAGGCAGGTAAGGACTAAGCTTCATCCATTAATAGCCATGTGAATCATGCAACCATGAAATAATAAAGGTCAGGTGGCAGTGCTTAAATCCTATAAGTCAGGAACCTGCAGTCACAATAATTGCTGTCAAGAATGAAGGCTCTCCAGGGGACATGACATATAGAAAATTGTGGAAATGGCTAATAGAACATGGTGTCTGTAAGAGCAAACCCCATGGGCAACCAATGAGAATGTTGCTTATTATCTGCAATCCAAAGAAGGAAAAGTGATGGAGTGAGGGGCTCCAAGAAAACATATGTGTTTTATTGTTCCCATAAAAACACATATGTCTTGCTCAGGCCCTGGACCTGAGCTAACTTTCAGACCCATAACTTATTAACTGAATTGGTGTCTGTGTCCCTAGGAAGAAAACCTTGCAACATCAGAGCAAGTACAGACTGTAATGATTCCATATGTTTTCCCCAATAGGATCTATAGTCATTTTTTTAGGTCACTGTATACTGAAGAAAGCATATACTCAGGCATTTTTAGGATGGTTTGATAAAGGGT
The DNA here is from genome assembly GCF_000001405.40 of Homo sapiens. Lineage (NCBI taxonomy): Eukaryota > Metazoa > Chordata > Mammalia > Primates > Hominidae > Homo > Homo sapiens. The sequence goes on along the minus strand of NC_000004.12, from coordinate 160,755,360 downwards.
TTGAATTAACATTGACCCAAGCAATAATTCCTTGTTAGAGTATAGATTTATACAAGCCAGGTAATAAATTGGGTCCTGGTTTATAGTGGTTCAAGTAGGTTCATAGATCTACCCAATAGTATTTTCCTCACACTTTCAGAGCATAAATGGTAATGACATATTTGAAAATTGGAGTAACTCCAATATTGGGTCCTTTTTGTAAGAGTACGAAGTACAGAGTACAAAATGCCAAAAGGAAAACCTCAGAAACTACCTCTTACCCTGTCTAAGTTAGTAAATTTAAAATATTTTTAACAATTCCTGGTTGGAAATATGGAGATTAGTGCCATGTTTATAGAGCTGAAACACCCAGGGATGTCAGTTCCCATTATATTTTTGTTTAATTATCCAGTTTGTCCCCTGCAGTAATGGTTGGATTCTGGGGAATTTCTGTAGGCTACTATTAATTCGACCATTTGTAGCTCCAATTGCAGCTGTTATATTGGATGTGGTACTACAACTAGAGACGATGAACACAGCTTTAAGTACATGAGTTACAGGCATGGGTTTGGCAAATGCATTATTTTCTATAATAATCAGAAAAAGAGTATAAGAATCAGGCAATATTTGCATAAGACATACAACAATATTTATTTAGAGTTTTGACCTAAGGCTGTTTATTTATCAGCCTTCTGTCATATATAGTCTAAAAAGATCTTTGTGTGCACATTTTATAGAGTATTATACTAATTCATTATATTGATTTTAGCATGCTGATCAGACAGAACAGAAATGATGGCTAGTTTATGAGAGGCTTTGGTATGACCACGTACTCTAGAGAATGGAAAGTAATCCTAATGAAGAGTCAGGATCTGCCATTCACAGATACTTTTTCCTGAAAATCTCTTGAACATTTAATCTTCTGCACATCCAATTCTTTTTGACTTCTGCTCCTCAGAAGACTTAACCTGATACAGACATTTATCAAAACCACAGCATCATACTTAATAGTGAGAGATGGAATGTTTTCCTTCATGATGGAGAGAGCACAGTGATTCCTATGCTTACCATATTATTCATTATGCTATTGGAGGTCATATCCAGTACATAATGCAAGAAAAAAACAGTAAAATTTTAAAAGAAATAAATACAAAATGTTATCTATTTGCCCTCCATATGATTGTATTTAGAAAATCTGAAATATGCTACCAAAATTTTTACTAGAATGAATAAGTAAATTTAGCAATTACAAGGTAGAAAGTTGTCATATAAAATTAAACTGTGTTTGTATGTACTGACATTGAATTACTGAAAATTGTAACTTTAAAAATATAGTTTAAAATGGCACCAAATCTCAGAAAATATTTAGCGATTTACTTAATAAAGATATGTAAATCACTATGTTGAATACTACAAAATCTGAGAGAAAAGAACAACAAAAACCATTTTAAATATATATAATTTATATATTAAATATATATAATTTATTAGAAGGTTAAATATTGTTAACATGTCTATTCTTGCTAAAAACTTCCATAGATTTAACGCCAGCCTAATTTAAATCCTCCTAGACTTCTTAAGATAGATTAATATGCTCATTCTAAAATGCCTATGCAAAGAGCTTAGAATAGCAAAAACAAAAATGAAAATAATGTACACAATTAGAAGTCTTACGTTAAGCTTATTTCAATATATTCTGAAAAACCGGAATAATCAATGCATTATAGTATTGACACAGAGATATACATTTGATCAATGGAAAAAAATGTAGAATTCAGAACAGGGATTTCTGGATCATATAGTAGTTCTATTTTTAATTTTTTTAGAAACCTCCATATTGTTTTCCACAGTGACTTCATCATTTTACATTACCACCAACAGTGGAAAAGAGTTCCAATTTCTCTACATCTTCATCAACACTTGTCTTTTTTTGTAATAGTCATCTTAATGGTGTGAGATATCTCACTGTGGTTTTGTCTGAATGTCCCTGATGATTAGTGACCTTAAGCATTTTTTCAAATCCATGTTGGCCATTTGTGTGTCTTCTTTGGAGAAATATCTATTCAAGTTTCTGATCATTTTGTAATCAGGTTATGTGTCTTTTTCATTGAGTTCTAGGAGGTTTTTAAAATATCTTTTGAATATTTATCCCTTATCAAGTAATTGGTTTGCCAATATTTTATCCAAAGCAATCCCATTTATAATAGCTTCAAAAAAGAACAAAATACTTAGGAATAAACATAACCAAGAAGGTGGAAGATCTATGCACCAAAAACTATAAAACTTTAATGGAAGAAATGAAACACAAATACTCTGAAATACATTTCAGAATGTATTTCATGTTTGTGAATTAGAAGAAAATATTAAGATGTCCATACTACCCAAAGAGATTTATAGATTCAATTCAATCCCTAACAAAATCCCAATGTCATTTTTTATAGAAATAGAAGGAACAGTTCTAAAATTCATATGGAACCCCCCAAAAAAGCCAGAATAGCCAAAAAATTTCTGAAAAAACAAAACAAGGGTAGAAGCATCCCACTTTCCACACTTCTTTTTTTTTTCAAGATATATCACAAAGCTACAATAATTAAAACAGAAGGATACAGGTATTGAGAAAGACATATAAACCAATGGAACAGAATAAAGAGCACAGACATAAACCCCATTCATTTACCATCAGTTTATCTTCAACAAGAGTGTCAAAAATACACTATGAAGAAAGGAGAGTTTCTTCAAAAAATGGTGTTAGGATAACTGGATATCTACCTGCAAAATAATGAAATTGGACCCTTATTCGCCAGTTGATAAAAGTCAACTGAAATGAATTGAAGACTTAAACGTAAATCTTGAAATTGTTAAAACTCTTAGATAAAATATAGGGAAAACCTTCTTGGTATTGGTCTTAGCTATGTTTTCTTAAATATGACACTAAAATACAGGCAATACAAGCAAAAACAGACAAGTGGGACTACATCAAACTAAAAACCATTTGAACAGGAAAAGAAAAAGAAAAGAAAGGCAATCTAGCGAATGGGAGAAAATATTTGCAAATCATTTGTCAATTTTTGAACAAAAAGCCAAAACATTTAATGAAGAAGAAAAAGTCTTTTAACAGATAGTGCTATTTTAATTAAATATCCAAAAATAAAAAATAAAATAATCTTTGACGGTTACCTCAAAACATTTATAAAATTAAGTTGAGATGGCATACAAACCCTAAGCATGCAAGCCGTCGCATTAACGTTTCTGGAAGAAAACCCCCAATAATTACCTAGCCTTTTGGGCTAGGCAAAGATTTACTAGGACACAGATATTCAAAAACATCTCTTGAGAAGATGCAGTGGCTCATACCTGTAATCCCAGCTCCTCAGGAGGCTGAGGCAGGAGAATTGCTTCAGGCCAGAAGTTTAAGACCAACCTAAAAACTGGGCAACATAGGGAGATTTTGTCTCTTTAAAAAATACTCTCATTCTCAATCATACTTGTACATAGCAAATTCCTGAATTCTTTTTCAGTGATATGTTTCTTTTCATGCTATTGACTTGGCCAGAAACATCAATTTCTACTCAGCTAATTTTACCTTTTCTTCTAGATTCCAAGAATATGTATCTTTCTAAAATTATTATTATACTTTAAGTTCTAGGATACATGTGCACAACGTGCAGGTTTGATACATAGTTATACAAGTGGCATGTTGGTTTGCTGTACCTGTCAATTCATCATTTACATTAGGTATTTCTCCTAATGCTATCCCTCCCCTAGTCCCCAACACACGACAGACCCCAGTGTTTGATGTTAGTCGCCCTGTGTCCAAGTGATCTCATTGTTCAATTCCCACCTGAGTGAGAACATGAAGACATTTGGGTTGGTTCCAAGTCTTTGCTATTGTAAATAGTGCTGCAATAAGCATATGTGTGCATGTGTCTTTATAGTAGCATGATTTATAATCCTTTGGGTATATACCCAGTAATGGGTTTGCTGGGTCAAATGGTAATTCTAATTGTAGATCCTTGAGGAATTGCCACACTGTCTTACACAATGGTTGAACTAGTTTACAGTCCCATCAACAGTGTAAAAGTGTTCCTATTTCTCCACATCCTCTCCAGCACCTGCTGTTTCCTGACTTTTTAATGATCACCATTCTAGCTGGAGTGAGATGGTATCTCATTGTGGTTTTGATTTGCATTTCTCTGATGGCCAGTGATGATGAGCCTTTTTTCATGTGTGTTGGCTGCATAAATGTCTTCTTTTGAGAAGTGTCTGTTCATATCCTTCGCCCACTTTTTGATGGGGTTGTTTGAAATGAACAAAGCCTCTGAGAAATATGGGACTGTGTGAAAAGACCAAATCTACGTCTGATTGGTGTACCTGAAAGTGACGGGGAGAATGGAACCAAGTTGGAAAACACTCTTCGGGTTATTATCCAGGAGAACTTCCCCAACTGAGCAAGGCAGGCCACTAGGCCTGCCTTACAAGAGCTCCTGAAGGAAGCACTAAACATGGGAAGGAACAACCAGTACCAGCCACTGCAAAAACATGCCAAATTGTAAAGACCATCAATGCTAAGAAGAAACTGCATCAACTAATGAGCAAAATAACCTGCTAACATCATAATGACAGGATCAAATTCACACATAACAATATTAACCTTAAATGTAAATGGGCTAAATTCTCCAATTAAAAGACACAGACTGGCAAATTGGATAAAGAGTCAAGACCCAACACTGTACTGTATTCAGGAGGCCCAGCTTATGTGCAGAGACACATATAGGCTCAAAATAAATGATGGAAAATCTACCAAGCAAATGGAAAACAAAACACTTGGACACAGGGCGGGGAACATCACACACTGGGGCCTGTTGTCGGGTGGGCTTGCAATCCTAGTCTCTGATAAAACAGACTTTAAACCAACAAAGATCAAAAGAGACAAAGAAGGCCATTATATAATGGTCAAGGGATCAATTCAACAAGAAGAGTTAACTATCCTAAATATATATGCACCCAATACAGGAGCACCCAGATTCATAAAGGAAGTCCTTAGAGACCTACAAAGAGACTTAGACTCCCACATAATAATAATGGGAGACTTTAACACCCCACTGTCAACATTAGACAGATCAGCGAGACAGTAAGTTAGCAAGGATATCCAGGAATTGAACTCAGCTCTGCACCAAGCAGACCTAATAGACATCTACAGAACTCTCCACCCCAAATAAACAGAATATACATTCTTTTCAGCACCATATCGCACTTATTCCAAAATTGACCACATAGTTGGAAGTAAAGCACTCCTCAGCAAATGTAAAAGAACAGAAATTATAACAAACTGTCTCTCAGACTACAGTGCAATCAAACTAGAACTCAGGATTAAGAAACTCACTAAAAACTGCTCAACTACATGGAAACTGAACAACCTGCTCCTGAATGACTACTGGGTACATAAGGAAATGAAGGCAGAAATAAAGATGTTCTTTGAAACCAACGAGAACAAAGACACAACACACCAGAATCTCTGGGACACATTTAAAGTGTGTGTACAGGGAAATGTATAGCGTTAAATGGCCACAAGAGAAGGCAGGAAAGATCTAAAATTGACACCCTAACATCACAATTAAAAGAACTAGAGAAGCAAGAGCAAACACATTCAAAAGCTAGCAGAAAGCAAGAAATAACTAAGATCAGAGCAGAACTGAAGGAGATAGAGATATAAAAAACCCTTCAAAAAAATCAATGAATCCAGGAGCTGGTTTTTTGACAAGATCAACAAAATTGATAGACCACTAGCAAGACTAATAAAGAAGAAAAGAGAGAAGAATCAAATAGATGCAATAAAAAATGATAAAGGGGATATCACCACCGATCCCACAGAAATACAAACTACCATCAGAGAATACTATAAACACCTCTATGCAAATAAACTAGAAAATCTAGAAGAAATGGACAAATTCCTGGACATATACATCCTCCCAAGACTAAACCAGGAAGAAGTTGAATCCCTGAATAGACTAATAACAGGCTCTTAAATTGAGGCAATAATAAGAGCCTACCAACCAAAAAAAGTCCAGGACCAGATGGATTCACAGCCGAATTCTACCAGAGGTACAACGAGGAGTTGGTACCACTCCTTCTGAAACTGTTCCAATCAATAGAGAAAGAGGGAATCCTCCATAACTCATTTTATGAGGCAAGCATCATCCTGATACCGATAACAGGCTCTGAAATTGAGGCAATAATTAATAGGCTACCAACCAAAAAAAGTCCAGGACCAGATGGATTCACAGCCGAATTCTACCAGAGGTACAAAGAGGAGCCGGTACCATTCCTTCTGAAACTATTCCAATCAATAGAAACGAGGGAATCCTCCCTAACTCATTTTATGAGGCCAGCATCATCCTGATACCAAAGCCTGGCAGAAACACAACAACAACAAAAAAGAATTTTAGACCAGTATCCCTGATGAACATCAATGCAAAAATCCTCAATAAAATACTGGCAAACCGAATCCAGCAGCACATCTAAAAGCTTATCCATCACGATCAAGTGGGCTTTATCCCTGGTCAGCAAGCTAGTTCAACATATGCCAATCAATAAGCGTAATGCATCATATAAACAGAACCAAATACAAAAACCACATGATTATCTCAATAGATGCAGAAAAGGCCTTCAATAAAATTCAACAGCCCTTCATGTTAAAAACTCTCAGTAAACTAGGTATTGATGGGATGTATCTCAAAATAATAAGAGCTGTTTATGACAAACCCACAGGCAATATCATGCTGAATGGGAAAAAAATGGAAGCATTCCCTTTGAAAACTGGCAAAAGACAGGGATGCCCTCTCTCACCACTCCTATTCAAGGTTAATATTGTTATGTGTGAATTTCATCCTGTCATGATGTCCTTTGGTTATTTTGCCCATTAATTGTTGAAGTTTCTTCATAGCATCGATGGTCTTTACAATTTGGCATGTTTTTGCAGTGGCTGGTACTGGTTGTTTCTTTCCATGTTTAGTGCTTCCTTCAGGAGCTCTTGTAAAGCAGACCTGATGGTGACGAAATCTCTCAGCATTTGCTTGTCTGTAAAGGATTGTATTTCTCCTTCACTTATGAAGCTTAGTTTGGCTGGATATGAAATTCTGGATTGAAAATTCTTTTCTTTAAGAATGTTGAATATTGGCCCCCACTCTCTTCTGGCTTGTGGGGTTTCTGCAGAGAGATCCGCTGTTAGTCTGATGGGCTTCCCTTTGTGGGTAACCCGACCTTTCTCTCTGGCTGCCCTTAACATTTTTTCCTTCATTTCCACCTTGGTGAATCTGATAATTATGTGTCTTGGGGTTGCTCTTCTCGAGAAGTATCTTTGTGGTGTTCTCTGCATTTCCTGAATTTGAATATTGGCCTGCTTTGCTAGGTTGGGGAAGTTCTTCTGTATAATATCCTGAAGAGTGTTTTCCAGCTTGGTTCCAATCTCCCCATCACTTTCAGGTACACCAATCAGACGTAGATTTGGTGTTTTCACATAGTCCCATATTTCTCAGAGGCTTTGTTCGTTTCTTTTTACTGTTTGTTCTCTAACCTTGTCTTCTCACTTTATTTCATTAATCTGATCTTCAATCACTGATACCCTTTCTTCTAGTTGATCAAATCAGCTATTGAAGCTTGTGCATGCATCACGAAGTTCTTGTGCTATGGTTTTCAGCTTCATCAGGTCATTTAAGGTCTTCTCTACACTGTTTATTCTAGTTAGCCATTCATCTAGTCTTTTTTCAAGGTTTTTAGCTTCTTTGAGATGGGTTCAAACATCCTTCTTTAGCTTGGAGAAGTTTGTTATTACCGACCTTCTGAAGCCTACTTCTGTCAACTCGTCAAAGCCATTCTATATCCAGCTTTGTTCTGCTGCTGGCAAGGAGATGTGTTCCTTTGGAGGAGAAGAGGTGTTCTGATTTTTAGAATTTTCAGCTTTTCTGCTCTGGTTTCTCCCCATCTTTGTGGTTTTATCTACCTTTGGTCTTTGATGTTGGTGAGCTACAGATGGGGTTTTGGTGTAGGTGACCTTTTTGTTGATGTTGATGCTATTCCTTTCTGTTTGTTAGTTTTTCTTCTAACAGTCATACCCCTCAGATGAATGTCTGTTGGAGTTTGCTGGAGTTCCACTCCAGACTCTGTTTGCCTGGGTATCACCAGCAGAGGCTGCAGAACAAGCAAATATTGCAGAGCACCAAATATTGCTGCCTGATCCTTCCTCTTGAAGTTTCATCACAGAGGGGCAGCCACCTATATGAGGTGTCTGTTGGCCCCTACTGGGAGGTGTCTCCCCGTTAGGCTACATGGGGGTCAGAGACCCACTTGGGGAGGCAGTCTGTCTGTTCTCAGAGCTCAAACAACATGCTGCAAGAACCACTGCTCTCTTCAGAACTGTCAGACAGGAACGTTTAAGTCTGCAGAAGTTGTCTGCTGCCTTTTGTTCAGCTATGCTCTTGCCCACAGAGGTGGAATCTAGAGGCAGTAGGCCTTGTTGAACTGCGGTAGGCTCCGCCCAGTTTGAGCTTCCTGGCTGCTTTGTTTACCTACTCAAGCCTCAGCAATGGCAGATGCTCCTCCCCCAGCCAGGCTGCCGCCTCACAGGTAGATCTCAGACTGCTGCGCTAGCACTGAGCAAGGCTCCATGGGCGTGGGACCCATCGAGCCAGGCATGGGAGAGAATCTCCTTGTCTGCCGGTTGCTAAGACCTTGGGAAAAATGCAGTATTTGCATGGGGAGTGTCCTGTTTTTCCAGGTAGTCTGTCATGGCTTCCCTTGGCTAAGAAAGGGAAATCCCCAGACCCCTTGCACTTGCCAGGTGAGGCGATGACTCACCCTGCTTCAGCTCACCCTCCATGGGCTGCACCCACTGTCCAACCAGTCCCAATGAGAAGAACCAGGTACCTCAGTTGGAAATGCAGAAATCACCTGTCTTCTGCATCAATCACGCTGGGAGCTGCAGACTGGAGCTGTTCTGATATTCCGAATATGTATCTTTTTACAAGTATTTCTGCTTCCTGCTTTCCTTCACCTTCAATCGTCTCCCTTTGTGTTCTCATTGTAGGTTGTTCAAAGTTTTATTTTAGCATTATTTTCACACAGAATTCAAGACACTGTGTTTTATTTATTATGCATTACCTATACTTACCACCTAGAATGTAGTTTGATGTAAAAAGCTACACTCACAAAGACCTAAGAATTTCTATACTTTGTTATATTAGTCAATATGATTTGATTTTGCTTCTTGTAGAGTTATTTTGCTAAGCCAAATTTTTAAATAATTATTCTTACAATGAAATACATGGCAGGTAGGTATATTTACAAGAAAAGCCAATAAGATTGAGTGAGAGATAATAACCCAGCAGTACACAAAGGTATCAGCCGTGGGAGGGAAGAACAAGAGATGTAATACAAAATACACTTAAAAATGTTGATTGTTATATTTTTTCAACACATATCCTTTATTAAAAGTAAATCTTGAAATAATTTTAATTAATAGGAAAAATTTTCAATTATGAGGCTTATTAATAAAAGCATTTATTCACTCAGTTATACATTCATTTACTTATTCTTTCACAAATATATAATATATGCCAATTAAATGCTTAGTATTAACTTTTAAATTCAGAGAAATTAGATAGATAGATACATTGATTGATAGATCAATTGATGGAGATAAATATTGATTGTTAGACACATTTTATGTAAATACATATAGCTATGCCTATACTCACACACATATGTGTATGCTATAGTAGTAATATATTTTATAAATATCATAATATTTTATACAAACACATAGAGAAGTAAAACAACCCAAATAAGAATAGAGGCCATTTATTAAGAGTTTACTATACAAAGGAGTGAGTCACAATAATTTGTGTTTTTAAGACTCAAAAAGCAGTTAGAAGAGTGGGAAAGCTTTGTTGTGAAAGAAAAGAAAACGCTTAAGGAATATGGAACATGGATCTCACATTTCCCAACCCAGGCCAAGAGAGGATCAAATGTAGAGGATGAGATAGATTTTTCCTGCAAGTTTTATATGAGTCATTCTACTTTGCATGTTTCATTGAACCATGAACAGCAATGCTACAAATGCCACACTGACCAGTCAACAGAACACTTAGACCTATGTGATTGTTACTCACCACTCATGCTAATTAGTGTATATTGGCCTATATTACATTTGTGGCAGTGATAGTATTGTTAATAACTTTTTTAAAAGTTATGATAAGCTTATACTCTTTCTATTTGTCTGAATCCCATCTTTGAGAACACTACTCTGATTGTTTGCATGAACCAGTAAATAATTATCTACATAGAGTGTTTGACTAGTTAAGGTGGTCCCCTTTTGGGGCTTGGGTCTGAGATTGATTTTCCAGCCTGTGTGATTTATAGAATTAAGGTCACTATGTACATGCAAGTCTCAGAATATGAGTTCTAACAGGCATGAGGTTTTCATCTGACACACACAAGATCAGGTGCGGCCACAGTGAAAGTAATAGTCCACAGAAGTAAATGGGGATCCAGCAAAAAAGAAGTTCCTCATGACATGAGGTCTAAACCAAGGCCTTACCTTATCTGGGTTACATATTTGGGTCTACACTTGTCACTTCCAGGTAGTAATTCACTCCACACCCTACGAAGTTTACTGAATCAAAATTTAGAATGATCTAGGGTCTGGTTGATAGATAATAGTAATTGGTTAGTTTTCTGGGAAAGGACACTAGCCAGTTGACAGGTTGATTTGTTTAAGGTCATTCGTTGGTGCCATTTGATAAGAGTACAATTGTCCAGGGCTTATTATCATAAGCTTCTAATAATAGGTGGCATATCCAACATTCAGGAATATTAGGGTAGTGACTATTGTTTTGGATAATCTATAAATGGCATTAAAACAATTCTATCCTGAGCTAATAATTCAAATATGGAGGAAATACAAGAGAAAAGAGACATTTGTGAATGGATCATGATCATGAAACTATATAAAATGAGGAGAATGATGATAAAAAGCAGATAAAAAATAAAACATGGCCAGGTGCAGTGGCTCACTACTGTAATTCCAGCACTTTGGGAGGCCGAGGCAGGCAGATCACTTGAGCTCAGGAATTTGAGACCAGCCTGGGCAACATGGCAAAACCCCCATCCCTACCAAAAGTACAAAAAATTAGCTAGGAGTGGCGGTGCATGCCTATAATTTCAGCTACTCGGGAGCCTGAGGTGGGAGGATTGCCTGAGCCTGGGAGTCTAAGACTGCAGTGAGCCAAGATCCTGCCACTGCACTCCAGCCTGGGTAACAAAGTGAGACCCTGTCTCAAAACAACAACAACAAAACCATGAATTACCCCTAGGTCTTGGTATGATATCTTAGGCAGAACTCTCTGCTATTCAGGGGCAACTACTTGTTCAGAAGATCTTGGTTCAGCTGTCTTCTGAAGATCAATTGATTCTACAGCATTTCTGATAATACCCAAATTGAGTACTCCTATTGTAGTAGCCTTTAAATTTTGTAGAATTCTGGATTGCTTATTTAATTGTGAAACATGTACCCAAGGACTGACCCCTGGGGTTTCACTGCTGTATCTGGAGTTTCATGGCTGTATTTGGGGTTTCATGGCTGCATTTGTTGTTAACAGTCCCTGATAAGGTGGTTTCCAGTGATGTTCAAGAGCACTTTTTCTCTTATCCTTTCAAATTGACAAAATTACTGGCTGAAGATCATGATGAGATGGTTTAGGAAAATGTTTTGGAAGCATGGCCTTAACATTTTGGTGATAGGATAGATATAGTACAAGAGTCCCCTGTGAAATTTTGCCATGTCTACTTATAACAGGACAGAGTACAGTATTCCTGAACATAGAGGACTTCCAAGTTTCCAATTACTAGGAGGATGACCGATGTGTTTCCACGGGAGTGTACCATTATGGCTCTAAAAGCTAGTAGTGAGAATATCTTTGTCGGAGATGTGATCCAATCAATTTTTATGAGAAATGTTTCTGTATGCCTTTTAAAATGTTTTTGTCTATTTTTAGAAGCTTTTTTTAGCCTCAAGTTTACTGTGAAAAGAGAGATTCGATAGGTGCCTTTCCAAGCTAGTACAATCAGCTTCTGCCATCCATAGTTTAGTTTCTGAGGTTCAGATTAGAGTGTGTACCAGTTGATATAGGTCAGGTAACCTGAAGTAATGCTGAATTCCTCAATTATTAGTTTCTGATGGCATCTGGATTTAGATATGCCCTCAATTATAGACTTTATCAGCCTGGGCCCAAGGTTTAAATTCCATAATTACTGGCGTACCTGGCTCAAGGGCAGAATTGATTTTTAAGAGAAAGTGTCATTTGGGGTTTTCAAAGAACCAGTGGGAAAAGGTTAGAAGTCTGGAAAAGGGAAAGAGGGGGAATGAGTTGTTAGAGGTTCAGAAGGAAAGAGATTGAAAGGCTAAGGAGGAAGAAGGAGACATGGATAAAGAAGGCAACTGGAAGAGAAAGAGAAATAATTTACCAGGAAAGTGATCTAGTTCATCACTGCTTATGTTTGTCAAATATTTCATCAGCTTTGGCCAACAAATATTTTAGTGAATCAATTTTTTAATCATTTTTTGGGGGGAAAACAGGCTTCTGTATACAAAAAACAAAAAGTTACACAATGGGCCTAAGAAATGTGATTCCATATCTTTTTTAAGGCACTTCTCAAATGAACAATCTCTTCCTTAGGAAGGTCATGAATATTAGTTTCCTAGGGCTGCCATACAGTAGCACAGTCTGGGTAGCTTAAACAAAAACATTCATTTTTTTCACAGTTCTGGAGGATGGCGACTAGAATTCTAACATCAAGGTGTCAACAGGTTTGGTTTCATTCTGAGGGCTCTCTCTTTAGCTTGTAGGTAGCCATCTCTTCCCTATGTCTTCCCTCTGTGTTTATGTCATATTCTCCTCTTCTTATAAGGACACCACTCGCATTGAATTAGGACCCACTCTAGTGACCTCAGCTAACCTTAATTTCCTCTTTAAAGGCCTTATCTCCAAATACAGTCACATTCTGAGATACTAGAAATGAAGCCTTCAACATATAAATTGGGGAGGGGGGCAACAATTCAGCCTATAACCCCATTGAAGGCCCAAATTATATTAGTGAAATTATGTCATTTGGAAAGATACTCATAAGAATTAAAAATGTAATGAGTGCATGTAAGAAGCAGGAGTTTTTCCTGGAGTAGAAGAGAATTTAAATTTGGAGACTACCATGACAGCTAGCAATGGTTGACTGAAAGTCTTGCTTGGACATTTTGTGTCTTAGGCTGCCCACCTACCTGTTGGTCACATCCTCTGATTGTAGACCCAACAATCCATACTCTTCGAAGGGCAGAAAACCAGAGAAAATGTTCTGTGGATCAAAGCCAATACCTCAAGATAAAGAACCAAAACAGGAAGAGAATCATATCCAGCTTTATTGGTGACAAACAGCAAAGTTATCCAAGTGGACATCTGTGTGGTGAGAATAGAGAACTCAATGGTTTGTGAGGCCTATGCCAACAGGCTAATAATGCTAATGCCTTAGTTCTGCCTCATTAATCTTTGTATGGAAAGCAACACTTTTACATAGCACAAAACAAAATGGAAGAATGAAACAGAGCAAAAAGTGCCAAGAAGAAATGTCTTTCCTCCACCACCAATGCTAAACAAATGGAAACCAATAACAAAACTCTGGTGATAAGGTTTGGTTGTGCCCCCACGCAAATTTCATCTGGAATTGTGATCCCTACATGTTGAGGGAGGGACCTGGTGTGAAGTGATTGGATCATGGAGACAGTTCCCTCTATGCTGTTCTCATGATAATGAGTAAGTTCTCATGAAAGCTGATGGTTTTAAAGTGTGGCACTTCCTCATTCACTCTCTTCTGCCGCAATGTAAGATGTGCCTTTGCCTTCTGCCGTGATTGTGGGTTTCCTGAGGCCTCCCCAGCAGTGTGGAACTGTGAGTCAATTAAACTTCTTTTCTTTATATATTACCCAGTCTCAGGTATTCCTTTATAGCAGTGAGAAAAGAATAAGTAGCCAAGGAACTTCATGCAAACAGAGTGAAGTTTAGATCTGGTGCTGACTTATCATGAAAATCAAGACTCATCAAGCTGTGAGGAACAAGTCAAAGGGTGCCTGCATGTGTACCACATCCCAGTTGATAACCAGGTTCCATGGTAGAATATAACACCGATGGCATCTTGGTGTATTCTCCAGGCATACTGTGGAAATACAGGATAATCGCCCAAATGAAAACAACGTATTTTCAGAGTTTGCTATAGCAAAGGAATCAATCATTATCACTTACATTTTTCAGAGACTTGAAAGCAGGCAGGAAGGTAGAAAATATTTACGGTAGAAAAAATCAAATGGCCTCAGGTATGCCCTGATTGTAGGTGACTGACATGGAGAAGCTGAAGGCAGGTCATGTAGAAGTTGGTCATCCAAGGTAATTGATTTGATAAACATATTTGAATTCTCTGGTTGGTCCTAAGTTGGAAGTTGGGACAAAAAATAGGAAGCTTACAGTCAGTCAGCAAGTTCCAATCACTCTGGGTTAATTACTGTAGTCTACGTTTTACTTCCTGAACTGATTGCTGCAGAGGTGCAGAGTGTGTGGCTGGCTTCTTCAGCTGGTGGCTGAAAAAGTTATGGATCAGAGTTCTATTGTCATTGTGATCAGGCCATTGTCTATTTGTGTACACTTACATTCAATCTCTAACCTATCATTCAGGATGTTTCTAAACTATACACATACATGTTCTTTATATTCTTGGAGCTCCAGCTTCATGAAAGAGATAAATATACACAAATAGATAAATAGAAAAATATAAAAGTAAATTGTGTAGGATATGCAAAGAGAATTTTTGCATACATGAATTAAGCTTGTATGTGTGCATTTGGGAGAGGCTCAGGTTACAATTGTTTGAACATAAGGCAAAATGAAACAGTGTATGCAACCTAGTTAAAGGGAGAAGGGAGAGGATATTTCCTAGTAGTAAACACATGCATGATCTAAGACATCTAGATGGTAAAAAAAACAAACAAACTATGTGTAGAGAGGTAAAATTATCTAAATGTGTTTAAATGTAAAGAGAAGTAACAATGGATGCACAAGTGGGTAGCAGCTACTCTGAATTTCTGATTAAGGAGCTTATGCTTTGATCTTCATATGATGGAAAGCTATTGAGGATTTTAGAGAGTAGTGACTTAATCTGAACTTTTAAACAAATTGCCTTGAAGACATTGGAGGATGGATTTCACTAGGTCAAATCTGCAATCAGAGAAAGTAGTTTTTAAGTTAGCATGCGAATACTCAAGTGTTAAGTGCCGTAAATATGGAAGTGGAAGGTAATAGAGATGAGAGTAAGGAGCAGAATCACGAATCAATTAAGAAGTAAAAGCAAAGGGCTGTTTGATTCAGAGTGGAGAGGGAGAGAGAGGCAAAAAGTTATGCCTGATGGCCCAGAAGGTCAAACTACTGACACAGGTGGGAATGCAGGACTGTGGCTTAGCCAAAGATGTTATTAAAATGTTAAATATGTTGAGCTCAACTTTCCTGTGAGAGAGGTAGGAACGTATTTCCAATAAATATTTTGATGTAAACTCAAATTAAAGGAAGAGAGGTAGGAAGATGCTATGATTTTGCAGGAGAAAGCAGGTACCATTACAGAGTAATGGGAGTGGGTAAAATGGAAAATGACAGTAGGTATTCCTGCATATGTTCTTATGAAATTATTTCCTTCCTCCAAAATAGCACTTACCACAGCTCTACATTTTAAGAAGGTTATTTAGGTGCCTGGTTTATGTAATTCTGTTGGCCTTCTGACAGAAGAGAATTTAACATTATGTTTACCATTCTAATTTTAGAGCCTAGCTTAGCCCTGAATTATTTTAATAGCTTCATTTTTAATAAATCAAGGAATAAAGAAATGGATAAAAAGATAATCTTAAAGCCAGCAGAAATTTAAATAATGCATACACAGAAGGACATATAAAAATGACCATGAGAAAACAGATGAGAAAATAAGGAGAATCATGCAAGTATGGTATCAAGGAAGATAATGGAAGGGAGAGTTTAAATAGGTAAGTAATAAACTCTGCAGTTCAAATGGAATAGAAATGCTCTGTAAGTGAAGACGAGAATCAATTGGCTTTGGCAACAGGTTCCTCGTGGATATTAGCTAAAATGATTTCTATACAGTGAATAAAGCAACGTCACAATGCAGTGGACTCGGAGAGACAGTAAATGGAAAAGAAAATTAAGAGAGTGCAGTCTACTTTGGAAAATGTGAGTGGAGAACTGAAGAAATTAGAGGATTGTTACAGAGAGAAGTGAGATCAAATAATACTATTATTGTATTTTGATAACAATTTTGAATCTGGAAAATTTGCACATATTTTTAAGTTAAAAGGAAGGTACAAGTAGAGATACTAAAAATTCCAAAGGAAAAAATAAAAGTAATTAATAGTGAGGGCAATTCCCTGTTGGGAAGAAATGCCTTTAGCAAAGAAAGTAAAGTTGAGTTTTACAAAACAAACAAACAAGCAAACAAGAAACCACACAAAACTATGTCCAAGTCTTTAGGGAGGGATTTGGGGAGAAGTGGCAGAAATAAAAGGAAATCATACCTAATAACTTCCATTATCTTAATGGGCCAGGATTTGATCTCACATCATCTGGTTTCAAATTCATATTAATAATCTCAGCCTAAAACTGCATTTTCAGGCGTAATTGGGAACTGGGCCAGAATTAGAAAATAAGGTGCTAATTTTCTCACATATTAGGTATCTGTGGCAGGATGTATTGTCTATCATGGTCTCACAAGTTCTCTTATGCCTCATGTTTTTGTTACAATTCGATGCTGATACTCCTCTCAGTGAGAGATAAGAGGTCTATGTTTTCTGCTTTAGTATGTGGGTGAAAATGTGACTACACTTGAAGTGACTCCTGGGGTTAAGTCATCAAAAGTGATACAGCTGCCACATGGTTCTCCTAGGGCACTCATCCTTGGAAACCAGCTACTGTCATGCTTTGAGAAAATCCAGGCCATTCAACAAGTGCATAGATGGGTGCTCTGGCCCACAATTCCAGCTAAGTGTCTATCCTACAGCGAGCTCCAAGTTGTGAACACATAACTGGACATCTTGTAAGCAGATGCTCTAGTTCCAGTCAAATTGCGCCAGCTGTTACTGTATAAAGCATAGATGAACCTTCCCTATAAGCCCTGCCTACATTGCAAACACACAAGCTAAAAACAAATAGTTATTGTTGGTTTAAGCCATTCGAAGTTGGATTGGTTTGTGATGCAGCCATAGTTACTTAAAACAACAGCATTCTTTTTATATACATCTCCCATCACACAAACACACATATATTCTATTAAGTAATGTTATGCTTTACAAAACCAAAAATCTCAAGGCCTATAAAGAAACAGAAGCAGACTGGGTGCAGCGGCTCATGCCTGTAATCCCAGTACTTTGGGAGACTGAGGCAGGTGGATCTCTTGAGTTCAGGAGTTCAAGACCAGCCTGACCAACATGGTGAAACCCCATCTGTACTAAAAATGCAAAAATTAGCTGGGTATGGTGGTATGTGCCTGTAATCCCAGCTACTCGGAGGCTGAGGTAAAAGAATCACTTGAACCCAGGGCGGAGGTTGCAGTGAGCCGAGATCGTGCCACTGCACTCCAGCCTGGGCAACAGAGCAAGACTCCATCTCAAAAAACAAACAAACAAAACAAACAAACAAACAAAAAACAAGCAGAAGGAGAACTCTTTTTTTCTTCCTATTGGAAAATATTTAATATTTAATTAGCATTTTCTGACCTATGACAGATTAGCTAAATAATTTGACTTATTTTAAAGAACAAGTTGTTTGAAAGTTATTAATTTATCTAATAATTTTCTCTGAAAAATATTCTTCATGAAATATGTTGGCAAACAGACTATTTTTCAGACATAGCTTCATTGAGTTCACATAGTTAAAGTGTTTGAGTGGGAATTAATCTATTTGATTCCGTATGACATATACGTATAAAAGTAAATAACAGAGAATAAATAAAATGTATTTGTTTTTCTTTGTTTACTTTTCTCTTGCATGTAGACACCTTAGAAGATACCCCTTGAAATAGAACAATTTAATTTTTTGAGCACTTTACAATGAATAAAAACTTTTTAAAATATTTTGTTGCTATAGCAGTAGTATTTTTATCTGAAAGAACTTTCCTCTTTGACACTACACTGGTTGCTTGGCAATGAATACTATATGATTTTCAGTAAAAAGATAGTGTCTCTGAAAGTTGTTTAGAAGTGTATTAAAATTAGAATTTTTCTTAGATTATACACTATTATATGAGACTTAATCTCTCTGTTAAAGGCTAGAAAAAGAAAACATTTGCATAAAATAATTCAAGGTTAAAAAATAAAATAGTATTTCAGTAGGTGAAACCATCAATAACTTTTTTGACTTTTATAATTTTTTTGACAATGGTTTACTTGCTAATGTTTCCTGTGATTCATAAAGAGTGTTCATCAAAAAGAGTATAAGAATGTGTATTAAGGATTAATATGAGTGCAAAAATTGCCTTTGTCTCTGATGTCAATGTTCATAGTCTAGACTCAGAAATAAAAGATAATATCAATGTGATAATCCAAGCTTTTATAGTAAGTGAGAACTGAGAAATACTTAAAAGTAAAATAGTGCCTTTTTATCATGTGTATTTAAAAAACTTTGAAAACTGAATAGTACTATGTAAGTTTTTTTTAGGCTTATGGCTATTAGACTTGAGAAAATAACCATAGTAGAACATGAGATAAAAACATTTTTCTGAGAAGAAAGATAAGGAACAGAAAGAAGATATCATTATGACTTAACAAGTTCACTGAACAGCAGATGGAGTTATTAGTGGAGGATGAAAGATAAAAGATAGGAAATAAAGAGGCGAAGTTAGTGAGGTTAACAATCTGGGGAAACATCAAAGCATCAAAACTAAAAAGGAAGATGTGTCTATTCAAACTGCCAATCCATTATTCAGATACTAGTAAGGCCAATACTGTGGGTGTTTTGATATCAAAGTAGTTTTATTTGAACATATAAAAATGGAGAAAAAAACCATGTGGAAAAATGTGTAGACTTTTGTTGAATGGAAATGTGAGAATTTATATACTAGACTGTTAGATATTTAATCAGAGATATATAGAGTAGGCTTCACACACCCTAAAATGGTTTTATCGTCCACTTCAAATGTAAATTACACCTTTGAAATGTGGCCTTTTATTTTGATTTTCATTAGTTAATGGTTAATTTGTATAGAAAGACAGCAAGAGAAAATGTCTTTTATATCATATATGGAAAGAATTTAGAGATTAATATATGTTTAAAAAGCATTTTACTGTGTAATGTAGTGTAAATTAAGATAAATTTAAAAGAATTCATAAATTTAGAGGCAAAATAACTTAATGGGTCAGTATATTATCACAGCCAAATAAGTATTTTAAATGTAATCAAATTAATGTATTAGTATAATACCCACTAAACATGAGAACATATGCTAGTTATTTTAATATTTATCAAAAGCTACTAAAATGTAAGTAAAATAGATGTCTTGAACGTATTTCAAATGATAAAACATTTGATATACGTAGCAAATAATAGCAGTTTCCTCAAACTTTGAGACATCATTGGGATTTGTTTTACTTAGAACACTATATTGTTGGGAACAGGCCCCCAAATCTGGCCATAAACTGGCCCCAAAACTGGCCATAAACAAAATCTCTGCAGCACTGTGACATGCTCCTGATGGCCATGATGCCCAAGCTGAAAGTTGTGGGTTTACCGGAATGAGGGTAAGGAACACCTGGCCCACCCAGGGCAGAAAACCACTTAAAGGCGTTCCTGAACCACAAACAATAGCAAGAGCAATCTGTGCCTTAAGGACATGTTCCTGCTGCAGATAACTAGCCAGAGCCCATCCCTTTATTTCCACCCATCCCTTTGTTTCCTGTAAGGAATACTTTGATTAATCTATAATCTATAGAAACAATGCTTATCACTGGCTTGCTGTCAATAAATATGTGGGTAAATCTCTGTCTGAGGCTCTCAGCTCTGAAGGCTGTGAGACCCCTGATTTCCTACACCACACTCTATATTTCTGTGTGTGTGTCTTCAATTCCTCCAGCGCCACTGGGTTAGGATCTCCATGACCGAGCTGTTCTCGGCACTATATATTTTCAATAAGCATAACAATAAATTGGAGGTGATTCCTCATAAGGTTAAATGTAGAATTACCATGAGACCTAGCAATTCCACTTCTGGGTGTATACCCCAAAACTGTAAAAACAAGGAATCTGTCTTAATTTGGTTAGGCTGCTATATCCAAAATAAAATAGGTTGTGTGACTTATAAACAACATAATTTTATTTCTCACCGTTCTGAAGGCTGAAAGTTCATGATGAAGGCTCTGGCAGATTAAATGTCTAGTGAGGGCCTGCCACCTGGTTCATAGATGGCTGTCTCTTGCTGTGTTCTCACATGGTGGAAAGAGCAAGGGATCTCTCTGGGGTCTTTTTTATGAGAACACTGATCCCATTCATGAGGGCTTCATTCTCATGACCTAATTACCTCCCCAAAACCCCATCTGTAAATACTATCATATTAGGGATTAGGTTTCAATATATAAATGTGGGGGGTAGGTATGAATATTTAGTCTGTAACAAACTCAAACAGATATTTGTACACCCCTGTTAATAGTAGCAGCACTCACAATAGCTAGGGGGTGGAAACAAGCCAAGTTTCCACTGAGGGTGAATGGATAATCATATCGTGGTACACACATACAATGGAATATTCTTTCGTCTTAAACAGAAGAAAATGTTAGGCCGGGTGCGGTGGCTCACACCTGTAATACCAGCACTTTGGGAGGCCAAGGTGGGCCAATCATGAGGTCAGGAGATTGAGACCATCCTGGTTAACACAGTGAAACCCTGTCTCTACTAAAAATACAAAAAAATTAGCTGGGCGTGGTGGTGGGCGCCTGTAGTCCCAGCTACTGGGGAGGCTGAGGCAGGAGAATGGCGCAAACCCAGGAGGCAGAGTTTGCAGTGAGCTGAGATCACACCACTGCACTCCATCCAGCCTGGGCGACAGAGCAAGACTCTGTCTCAAAAAAAAAGAAAAGGAAATGTTAACACATGCTGCAGTGTGGATGACTTTTAAGGACATTAAGCTAAGTGAAATGTCAGTCAAAAAAGACACATATTTTGATTCCACTTACATGAGAGTAGTTAAATTCACACAGACAGAAAGTAGAATGGGGGTTGTCAGAGAATGGAGGGTGGAAGGAAAAGTGAGTTCATGTTTAATGAGGACAGAGTTTCAGTTGGAGAAGATAAAATTTGTGGATATGTATAGTGGTGATGGTTGCATGACAGTGTGACCACACTGCATGCCACAGAACTGTGCACTTAAAAATGAATACAATTGTAAATTTTATATTATGTATATTTTACCACAATAAAAAAGAAAGAACGCAAAAATAAACAAATGAGCAAAAAAATGACAGAACCTCATTAATTATCAAGATGGTGAATTCTTTAAGATATATTGTTAAATGGAACAAAACAAGTTAATCTAGAGTGAACAGTTGGCTTTCATAAAAATAAAGTGGGAAAAAATTATATATATATATATACAACTTCTTTAATAATAAGCATTTCTGGAACACTAATATAGAAATAAGTGAAGTTGTTACATCTCATGGTATGAGAAGCCGGCAGATGCAGTAGAGATATGAAAGATAGTGTTTACTTTATACTATTTTATACTTTACATATATATACTTTATGAATGCATTTATTGAACAAAAATTTAAACAAGTATTTTGGGATAAAAAAGATGGCAGCTACAAAACTTTGCAAATTTCCAATACAAACCAATTTCCTGTCTTTATAGGTCACAACATAATTAAGAAGTGAAGGAAAGTCAAAATTGTTTCAGCTTGAACAAGCATGGGTTCAAGAAATATAATTTTTTTATATTAAGAAATATAATTTTTTTGTATTAAGGAAAGAATATTTTTTGATGACCAAATGGATCCTGGCAATAATTCATTGTTCTAGGCATTGATGTAGTTATACTAATGTCTAAGAGCTGGCCCAAGCTCATAAAATTCGTGGATATTTAGCCATTTATTAACAACTCATAGTAATAAAAGTATGTAAGTAAGTTCTATCTGAACTTTGCTCATTCCAATGCAGACTATTATTTGTAAGAATAGAAAATATATGCCAAATCATTAGAGTTTTGGTTTTAAATCACTTGAGAGTTGTTTGAACATTCAAGCAAACTCTGTCATACATGGATTAATTCAAAATTGGAAAATAAGTTACTTTCAAATTGCTGAAAAGAAGAAACAAAGATCAAGGACCAGATTTTGGCTATACAGAATTTGCCTTGAAAGTTAAATAACCGATAGTCTTTGGTTGTTTTGTTTTATTTTATTCTGGGCTATCAAATCGGCTTACTGACGCTTCTGCTTCTTTTGTGAATTAACCTGCCACTTCCCAGACTGTAAACAAGTTATTCTTTGCAATGAGCTTTTTGTAGTTGCTGTTTAGAGTTCAGCTGATATCCATGCTCACCTGTACATTTTTTTTATAATTAATAGGGCTGAAGTTTATTTTCATTTTGCTTGCTTAATTAAAAACTATTTTAGTGTCATTTACAAACTGTCATTTCCATTCATCAGTATAACTGTTAGTTTTCTTCTTCGTATCTCATCCTTGTTCAAAAGTTCAAAAAAAGGATTTCAACTTATTTGGAAATCATTATAAAAATACGAACAAGTTCCCAAGAAGGTCCCTCCAGGAAGATGAAGTAATGCCAAAACATGTATATATTGATTATGTTATGTAGAAAAGTTGAGTTAAATGCAGTAACATATAAAGCCATGAGTTATTTCCTTTTATTACTTATGAAGTCTCTCTTTCTATATATCAGCTAATTAAGCAATGAAAATTCTTTCATCAGCTAAATATATGCTGGACCCCTTGAGATAAAGCTATTTATAAATAGTAGAGAATCTCTTTATCTCACAAAAAAGTAGAAAACTCTCTGATTTGAGAGTGTTTCCATTTATCTCACACACTACTTTTTTCCCCTTAGGTGAGACAGGAAAATCAGACTGAAGTTGCTAATTGCCCTTTCCCTAGGTCTCTACTAAATATACAAAAATTAGCTGGGCATGGTGGTGAGCACCTGTGATCCCAACTACTGGGAGTCTGAGGCAGGAGAATCGCTTGAGCCTGGGAGGTGGAGGTCGCAGTGAACCAAGATTGTGCCACTGTACTCCAGCCTGGGCAACACAGTGAGGCTCCAAGAGAGAAAGAGACAGAGGGAGGGAGGGAGGGAAGAAGGAAGGAAGGAAGGAAGGAAGGAAGGAAGGAAGGAAGGAAGGAAAAAAAGGAAGGGAAGGAGGGAGGGAGGAAGGAAGGGAGAGAAAGAAGGAAGGAAGGGAGGGATGGAGGGAGGGATGAAGGCAGGAAGGAGGGAAGGAAGGGAGGGATGGAGGGAGGGAAGGAAAGAAGGAAGGAAGGAAGGAAAGGGAGGAAGGGAGGAAGGGAGGGAAAGAAGGAAGGGAGGAAGGGAGGGATGGAGGGAGGGAGGAAGGAAGGAAGGAAGGAAGGAAGGGCAGTTTCATTAGGAGAGTAAGGCTTCATTATGGATAATCCTCTGGACATGCTTAAAAATGGTTGCTTTTTCCCTTCCTTTTCCCAGAAAACCACATGAAAATTTTTATTGGGTCTTCACCTAGAGAACTTGCTGGAATTCCTGAAGGCACAACAAAAGCGTGGGGGTCCCCTAAGACTGGGTGCTGGGAGTTTCTCACTCTCAAACTAATCAAAACTCAGCCTCCAGCAATTTGCAAACATCATCTGGTTATTTCTGCCAGTTTGTGGCTCCCACAACTTTTGCTCCCAGATAACCTAATCTCAATTGTATTTGTCTCTCTCTGTATTTCAGGTGGTAATGTGTTCTGTGACATAAGTTATCTAATGGGTCTGAGAAAAGTCATTGGTTTTCAGTTTGTTTAACCTTTTTTTTTTTTTGTAACAGTGGGAGCGATGACTTCCAAGCTCCTTATATTTCAGAGCGGAAACCAGAACTCTGTTTATACTGAAATTAAATGCTTCTCTAAAAGATAGCTTTACAGAAAGAAAATATATAGACAGAAAGTGATGAATGGTCAGCGTAAGAAATATTTTAAAATTTATGTGCTTCTAAATCACCGTCCAGTTTCTGACTATTAATATAATAATCTATTTGTTTTTAATCGAAGTTCTTGACACCCATGCCCCTCTCTATCTCTGGGTCTGTAAGCACATATTGTATTAAGACAATTTTAATAATTTTATAACAAGTACCCATACATCTGTAGAAAATACCACTTTCAATGTATTTATTTTGGTCATTTGTCTAAAATACTTTCATTTTATTTTTGCTTTTTAGAAAGCACACATATTTTTATGGTCGTTTATGTTACTTGTGTGTTTTTCTTCATTGTGATTTTATTCTTTTTCTAAGAACTATTACACTTTTTCTGAAGGAATCATTATATTTCACTTACCATCCCCCAATATCTTTCCTGAAAAGTAAGACTTTTCTCCTTACAAATGTGTCATTATTTGTATAGTTAGCTGCTTCTGTTTACCACATATCTGTTTACCAAACATCTGTTTACCAAAACTTCTTGAAACAATATTCTATAATTGTACAAATAGCATTGATAAATATAAGAGAAAGATGAAATCACAGTAATTTTTTGAAAATACGTTATTTCTGTAATTCTTTTTTTGTTTGTTTGTTTGTTTGTTTGTTTGAGACGGAGTCTCGCTCTGTTGCCCAGGCTGGAGTGCAGTGGCATGATCTTGGCTCACTGCAAGCTCCGCCTCCTTGGTTCACACCATTCTCCTGCCTCAGCCTCCCGAGTAGCTGGGACTACAGGCTCCCGCCACCACGCCCGGCTAATTTTTTTGTATTTTTAGTACAGACGGGGTTTCACCATGTTAGCCAGGATGGTCTTGATATTTCTGTAATTCTTAATTTTATGGGGATTCAATCCAGTCCCATATGGTATCAGGAATGAAACCATAAAATGTGACTGACCCAGAGTGGGAACACATGGGCTCCATCACTGTTATTTTTTCTGCAATGTCTTCTCATTTTCCCAGAGGAAATTATGAGCTTTCTATGGTGAGAAGAAAGAAATATAAGGAAGTTTGAAAGATACTAGAATTAAACAAAAATATTCAACTTAAAAAGAAAAATAATGTGTATTCTAAACATTATTTTTAGGGTTCTATCACTAAATGTAAATTTATATTGCGATCAGTCATAATGAAACATGGAAGTCAATATAATTCATATATAACATTGGGAAATATCTCCAGTTTTTAAACATCGTGAATTAGGACAAAGTATTTAATCTACTGTATTTGCTTTTCATAATGGCACAATTGTAGATATAGCATCAGATACATGACTGGAATGAATTTCAGTGTCAGCTCTCCATGAATAACCCAAGAGGAAAATAAAAAATAAGAAAAAATTAAAGTAGGAAGAATTTGGAAAAACTTACAAAATCCTGAAGATTTAGAGAAAATATAAATAAAAATCCTACTAGTGACAAAGCAAAAATTGCACTGTACAAAAGAAACAGATAGACCGGGCGCGGTGGCTCACACCTGTAATCCCAGCACTTTGGGAGGCAGAGGCGGGAGGATCACGAGGTCAGGAGATCAAGTCCATCCTGGCTAACACGGTGAAACCCCGTCTCTACTAAAAAATACAAAAGAACTAGCCGGGCGTAGTGGCGAGCACCTGTAGTCCCAGCTACTCCGGAGGCTGAGGCAGGAGAATGGCTAGAACCCGGGAGGCGGAGCTTGCAGTGAGCCAAGATCGCACCACTGTCCAAATTGATACACTTTTTCTATTCCTGAAGGCAGAGTTCACTGCACTCCAGCCTGGGTGATAGAGTGAGACTCCGTCTCAAAAAAAAAAAAAAAAAGGAAACAGATAAGGAAGACTTTATTTAAGGCTATTCCAATAAGGAGAGAGGCCAGAATGATGTCTGAACTACAGTAAAACAAAAGACAGAAGAGGTTTTTAAGAAATGGAGTAGGAGTATCTAGGTCATGTTGGTTTGACAATTGGCCTTATTCAAAGAAAACATAAGCTTTCTTGTATCTACATGACAGGAAGTAGTTTTACAATTTGGAGCTAGGTACTTACAAATTTGAAGTTAGGCTCCTACCTAACTATGGAGACTGAGAGATAGGGGTGCCATCATCGTTTACTTATTACATTTCAAAGAGATGGCTCCCAGATTCTTGAGAAAGACAGTCCTGGGTTGTAGAATGGGCAAAAATAAAACAAAAAATTAAAATGTTTACTTTCAAAGGGGAAAAGAAAGAATTTGCAATTACAAGTTTTCTAATTAAATGCTATAAGAAAAGAGAATTGTAGGACCTCTGCAGTTAAACCACCTGCAATGGGAGGGAGTCAGGGGCCTGAGGACAGAATAAAGCCTGTCTAAATTTAGTCAAGCTCAGGGAAACATCAAGACTGTCTTGCTTACTAAAAAGAGAATATTCTATTAGAAATACCTGCATAAAATTATACTCATACATGTGCATACACTCTTTCATAATAAATACATTTCAAATGTTTATTAACCAAATTAAAATGACACAGAATATTTTAGTATTTGTTGTGTTTCTTACAATATGTGCACATAAAGGCGTATACATTTAGATAACATAAACTTACCTGAACAAATTTTCTATAATATATGACTAAAATAAATGTAAGGCCTATATATATATATATATATATATATATATATATATATATATATATGAATGAGAAATATCAGCATTTTAGAGTATAAATTATACCTTTATTTTCAAAGGATAAGTGATAAGTTCTATGGGGAACAAAAAGCTAATAATTCTATGAAAATATGGGGCCCTTGGTAAGGTTTTAAGATGTTTGTTATACAAACCTAGACACATTTTGAAATATTTTATAATCTACTTAATAAATATTAGTGATATAAATGATTAAGGAGCATTAAAAATGCAGATGGTTAGGTTCTCATTTTAAGTGTAACATGACTAATTTGTAAATTTTCTTTCTTTAGAATTTAAATAAGGTAATGTATTTCACTGTACTACATGTGATAAATGTTAATTACTTTTATATACTTTCATGAGTCACATAGCCAATGCAATTCTGATAACTTTTTCCCCACCCTCAACAAGTTGAAGTACATTGTCTTGGTTTATTGTCTTCTTTATCCATATCAACATCTCAAAGATGAAGAGGCAAGATAAGGATGATGTCTTTCTGGTGAATATAAATGTAGCTTCTATGGGTAACATAGTTAACATTGTGAAATCACATTCTATATTTATACTCCAAATTAATGTTACTGTACTATATTTAACAGATAAAATAGAACTATTATTTAATAAAATCAAAGGGTAGCTATACATGCTTTTCTAAATTATAGATATTCACTCCATTTTCTTCACATTTGGAGTATTATTTGGCCTATTTGTTTACAATTATATTTATTATTTTGACAAAAAAATTAAATTTTAGTAGCCCAATATAAGAAACAACCTAATGTCTATCAATATGCTAATGGATAAACAGTACACTGATTCCCATAATGAAATATTCCTCAGCAATTGAAATACACACACACACACACACACACACACAATGCCACAGCTAAGCCTCAAAAACATTCTGCCCAGTGAAAGAAGCCATACATCAATGAGTAAATGCTGTCTCAACCTATTTATATCAAATTCTCAAAAAAGGCAAACTAAGAAATCTATAGTCTCAAAAAGGCAAAGCTAATCTATCTATAGTAACAAACACTAGATGAATAGATGCCTGGGTCCTGCAATTGAAGTAACAGTTGGCTGCATAGAAGCATGAGGAAATTTTGGAGTTAAGGAAATCGTCTATATCTTGATGACTATGGCAATTATTTCAGTGAAAAATTTCTAAAAGCAGTCGTTTACTTAAAATGGATGCAGTTTATTGTATATCCACTAGATTTCAAAAGAATTAAAAAAATAGAATATGAATCACTTGACCTTTAAAGATTCTATTTAGCACATAAGGTTCTTAAAATTTAAAATCATTATTAAAATAAATATATATATTCTCTTACTTTGAAATTTTAGAAAAATAAAATATACAAACTGACAAAACTTTTAATTACTATTACAGATTATTAATTTCTCTAATAACACTAACAGCTGTTATAGACAAAAAAGAAAAACCAGAGCAAACTACAATGGATTTAGGCAAATGATTCTATGTCTTGATATTTAAAGTAATAAAAGTAATATCAAAGTATTATGCATTGAATAATAACAATAATAAAAGCCTTCATGTCTTGCTCATATAATTTTGGAACTGCAGTCACTAATTCCTCTATATTTTATGAAGAGATACAAATGTCTTCAATAAAGATATGTTTCTTTTCCATTGGGCATAAAATGAAACTTTCTCTGATAACTTAAATTATTTGCATTTAGTTTTGAAACATGGTTAATTTTCCTTAAAGAACATTAAATATATATATGTATCCATATATTTATATGTTAAATATATATCCCTCAATATTTTAGAGATATATATATTAGTACATATAATATATATGTGTGTATATATATACATATATGTGTGTGTGTGTGTGTGTATATATATATATATATATATATATATATATATATATATATATTCCCCTCATATCTATTTATCTATCTAGCTGTAATACCTGGAATCTGGAGTTCAGAATTGCACCCTGGGATTTTGTTTTTAAAAATCCTCAATCTCTCTGCTCACTGTTCAATGATTATCAAAGCTTGGGGAAATGAGATTTAGGATGAATTTGTAAGAATCCATTCCAATTTTTTTTACATCAGCGTTTTATATTTTCTGTTCAAGGTAAACTGTTTGATGGCATAATAACATATGTTCTGCTACTCCATTTTAAATTGGAAGTCTGATCAAAAAGTATAAAAAAAAGATTATGCCTCAAATATGGTAGAGTGGTGGCAACTGGTGGCATGCCTCTGCCTGAGGGTAGTGTTTGGTTCAGAACAACTAATAACATAAATTAAATTGTATATCTAAATAATTCACAAGCTTACATAAACCATTTTTGTATTGTTGATGTGCTAATATTTTCTTGTGTCATTTACTTATATTCTACATTAAATTTCTTTCTACCCATCACATTTAATCAAATATAAGTGGTGTGTATATGAATAGATGAATGTATTCAAGTGAAATTCTGAACATATTTTTATATCCTATCTGTCTCTTTCCTAATAATATTTGACATAGGAGTATAACACGATAATATCATAACAATAAAGCGTCTAGAAAAATGACTACTAGTGGTTGGACTATATCAATAAATTTAGAGCGGAATAACAACATTTGAATGAGTATTGGCTACTTGGGCAAAAGTGCAAAAGCTTAAGTTTAAACATGCATAGAGGGAGCTGTTGATCATTCCATCAAAACCACCATGGGCCCTAAGTATCCTTTTAGGGTACAAGTATGACAGAGGAAGGAGAAAACTGGGGAGAAAATAGTAACAAAAAATGAAATATCTCAACAAAATATTACAAAATATTCTTACCACCTCTTTATCACTCATCTCTACAGAAGAAATAATGGTCAAATATTTGCTCTTAACGTCATACATGTTTACCTCTTAGGCTTGAAAACTATATAAACTCTCCTCTGGTTCCAGGACATTTAGTTGGGTAAAAGTGCATGAGACTAAAACCTTTGCATTATGACATTTGAGATCTTCTGGGATGATGACTGGGTCCCTATCAACCCTGCAGCAGGAGTATGTGGTAGATGATAAGAGCCACTCACTTTCACACAGGCGAGTCAACTTCTTTCTGCTTCATTTTTAAAATATGAAAGGGAAAATAAAGATGATTAAATATATAAAGCAAATCTAGGTTATTAAATTAGAAGACCAAAGGAACAAAAATAAATAAATAATAGAGAGATACATAGATGATGATGATGGATGATGATGATAAATAGATATAGAGATAGATAGGTAATAGATAGATAGACAGATAGATAGATAGATAGACTTATAGAAAAAATCAACTCTGATTTTTTAAAAGGAGCAGTTAGGATATATAACATTTTTTAAAAATGTATTTAGCAACCTCAAATAATTAGAGACATTACACTACTCATAAAACAATAGCAAAATGCTCTGAAAAAGAAATGATCAGACGTTTCTTAAAGTGCCCAAGAAAATTACAAATATGCTATAAGAAATTAAAATACAATAAGTTAAAAGAAATTATTCAAAATATAAGACAAAAAAAATTCAAGACTGTGAATTAGGTGGTTAAGTTATTATCTGTTTTACTTTGGTACACAGTCCACCTAACTATAGAAGCTAGATCAGTAAAAACCATTATTTGAACAGCACCATAAAGTTGGAATTGGGCGACTACTTCTTACAGTCTTCAAAGAGGCTTTACAGAGAAGAAAACAGCTTAAACTGAACCTTGCAAGAAAGGGAGTAAGACATCACAGCATGTGATCATACAAAATAATTCCCCAATAGTTGAGAAGAAAACAAAGCAACTAGAGAGAAGAACTATCAGAGAAACACATTTAAATACACAGTAGCACTATTTCAGATCAGTGACAATATCTAAATAACCTTAAATATTTTTACAGAAGAAATTTTTTTGAAAAAATCAGAAAAGGACAATTTAAGTAACAACACTAACACAAATATCAAGTCAATAACAAAAACTAGAGTATTCTATTGCCTTCAGCTTGAGTGTTTCATCATTAATTGGAAGCAGAAAATAATGGAGCAATTTCTACCATATTCCATATAAGAAAGCCAAAATGTATTAAATAAGAATGTAGAGCATTTTTCATTGTAGCATTATTCACTATAGTCAATATATGGAAGCAATCTAAATGTCCATCAGCAAAAAAATGGCTAAAGAAAAT
Source organism: Homo sapiens (assembly GCF_000001405.40). Classification (NCBI taxonomy): domain Eukaryota; kingdom Metazoa; phylum Chordata; class Mammalia; order Primates; family Hominidae; genus Homo; species Homo sapiens. The sequence continues at coordinate 160,724,251 of NC_000004.12, read as the reverse complement.
GTTTTTTAAATATAATGAAATACTACTGGCCAGGCATGGTATTTCACCTCTGTAATCCTAGCACTTTAGGAGGCCAAGGTGCATGGATCACTTGAGCTCAGAGACCAGCCTGGGAAACATGGCAAATCCCTGTCTCTACATAAAATACAAAAATTAGCCAGACATGGTGGTTTGTGTTTGTAGTCCCAGCTAGTTGAGAGGCTGAGGTAGGAGGATCACTTGAGCCCAGGAGGCAGAGATTGCAGTAAGCTGAGATTGCACCTCTGCACTCCAGCCTGGAAAACAGAGCAAGACCCTATCTCCAAAGAAAAGAAAAAAAAAAAAAAGAAAAAGAAAGAAATGTCACTTAGCTTTAAAAAAGGAGATTCTGTCATTTCCTACAATATGGATGGGTCTAAAGGGCGTTATCCTAATGGTAATAAGACAGGCACAGAATTAAAACTATTGCATAATCCCAATAATATGTAGAATAAGGTAAAAAAGCTCAAATATACAAAGACAGAAAATGAAACAGTAGTTACCATGAGTGGCAGGACAGGAGTCGGGGAGGAAATGGGGAGCTGTAGGTCATAGTACACCCAATAGTGTATATGTGGGATAAACAGCTTTAGGGATGTAAAGTACAACATGAAAACTGAAGGAAAGAAAATTGTATTACTTTATGGATTTTTGTTAAAAAGTAGATTTTAGCTGCTCTTGTCACAAAAAAAGTATGTGAGATAATAGATACCTTTTTTAATCATTAAAAATTGTTATGGCACTTTATAATCAATGTAATTATAGTACATATGCAAATTATAACATAAAGAAGGATATAGACATAAAAATACAGCATTATGTGCCATTTAATCCAAACACGTGAATAATTACATGAAATGTTAATTGATTAAAGATTCCAGTTTAAATTTAGATTCCCAGAAAGAATAAAAGAGTTTACACATAATGATATTCTGTATTTAAGGGATACACATGGCTCAAACATGCTAGAAGTAAATGGCTGAAAGGAGATAAATCATTCAATCAGTAAGATTTTTTTTTTTTTTTGAGATGGAGTTTCACTCTTCTTGCCCAGGATGGAGTACAATGGCACTATCTCGACTCACTGTAACCTCCGCCTCCCGGGTTCAAGTGTTTCTCCTGTCTTAACCTCCCTAGTAGCTGGGATTACAGGTGCATGCCACCACGCCTGGCTAATTTTTATATTTTTAGTAGAGATGGGGTTTCATCATATTGGTCAGACTGGTCTCGAACTCCTGACCTCAGGTGATCCACCTGCCTCAGCCTCTCAAAGTGCTGGGATTACAAGCGTGAGCCACCATGCCTGGCCATCAATCAGTAAGAATAAGCAGTAAAGAATAGCTATAAAAATATCAGGTAAAATATGTGTCATAGCTAATACTATTACTAAATATAGAAAGGGACATCTCATAATAATAAAATAGGCCATTCAGCAAGTAGATATAACAATAATAAATGTGTCTATATATAACAGAACTAAAATACATAAAGAAAAGTGAATAGAATTAAAAGAAGAAATGAACAATAAACAGACAAAATTTTAAAATTCTTTCTTAGGAATCAATAAAATAACTGGAGAAAATATCAGAAAAGACAAAGAGACCTAAGTACATTATTAACTATCATTACTAAATTGTATCTGTGGAATTCCACACCAAAAATTATCAGATTGTACATTATTCTTAATGTACATTGTATATATATTGGGCTAGATAATATGAATTTTCCTATTTTTAATTATCATTAAAATATTAAAATTACACAGAATATATTCTTTATAAGTTGAAATTAAATTTGAAATTAAATAGCATACTTCTAAATAATCCATGAATTAAATAACTCACAAAAAATTAGAAAATAATTTGAATCAAATTAATTAAAAATACAATACTGTATATCACAATTAAGAGAGACAATGCAGTGCTTAGAAGAAAGCTGGTGGTCTTGAATTCTTGTAGCAAGAAAGAAGAAAGACCTAAAATTTAGAAAGTAGAAATGAGAAATGAGTTCCTAATTTAAGATATTAAGAAAGAAAAGATAAAATTAAAACCAAAGTATGTAGAATAAAGGTTATAATACAAATAAAAGCAGAAAACTTTGAAAAGGAGAATGAACATGGAATGAAATCGATGGATTTAAAAGCTGATTTCTTGAAAAGATAAAATGAATCAGCTTCTAACTAGACTGATAAGGGATAAAAGAAAGAAGACGCTCATTGGCAATAACATGGCAATGTTATTAACAGTTTTTGGGTTTTTTTTTTTCTGTTTTTTGAAGTGTGAGACAGATTTTTACTGTTGTGCATTCCAGAGTGCAGTGGTGTGATTATAGCTCACTGTAACCTCAAATTCCTGGGCTCGAGCTATCCTTCTGCCTCAGCCTCCCAAGTAGCTGAGTTTACAGACAGGAGCCACTGCACCTGATCTGATAGCTTACAATTTAAGGAATGTTTCCACAAAGAACACTACAGGCCATTGCAGTTTAGTATTTAAGTCCAACAATTTTTTTAAGGAAGAAATAATACTAACATTACTCACACACTTTCAGTAAATACAGAAGAAAGAGCACTTGTCAACTTATTTTCTGAAGTTGGTGCAGTTCTCTTACCAAAGTCGACAGTGTTCCCACATGAAAACTGCAGCTTTAGACTAGACATTAAAAAAAATACAATTCTGTATCATTTAAATAGTGTATTTTGTAATTCTTGTTAAAGAATTAATTACTTCTTTATACAAATAGAAGAATACAACAAGGAATATTATAGCAACTGTTAGTTGTTTATTTACTCTATTAATTTTTAATTGCTTGTTTATAACAACCTTTCTTATTTTAAAAAAGGCATTTGCAAATAACAGATACAGAGTGCGTAGCCAAGAGAAACTGCATTTTTCTATTTGGCTTACAAATTTCTAGTTTTTCTACACATTCTTTGTTTTTAATAATAAGTACAAACATGCCTCTTAGATTAACCAATCTAATAATTATCCAATGTTGAATTATATGATATTCATAATCATATTTGATGACTAGATGCATATTAATAAAATGGAAGCAAAGAATATAATTTGTTTTTCTACATTATTTGCCAAGAACTGTACTAAGCAACTGAAATCAATTATCTGCAATAGTCAATGTAATTCAACAAGTTGTATTATGCCAACTTATATTTGATACAATTGAGTACCTAATTGTTTCAGTAATTACGTGGTACAGAATTTATAACCAGGTGTACTTAACTTGTAAGCACGTGTAACAAAAACATAATACTTGATACAATAAATATTGTTTTATGATAAAATATTTGATCCAGAAATATCATCATTTACTTAACCTCTTCCCTGGGTGCAGTTTCTTAGTTTGAATACAATTATTTCTATTTTTTCAGTATAGTTGTCTAGAAGACTCATATTTTGGGGCATTTCCATACATATATGCATGAAAAATGCTATTTCTGCAAAGTTATGACAAGATTAATTTTTAAAACAGATTATATTTTAAGAAAATGTCATATTTCCCTGCAAAGCTATTTTAAAATAATCTACTATATAAAGATGTTAACAATATTATTGCCTTATACTACATAAAAATAATAAATTATTATTTTTCTTCATATTTGTTAGAAAATGTAGGAGAATAAAAAATACTGTGTTCAAAATTTTAACAAGAATGTAGTTTACATTAGCTTATGAATCTCATAGTTAATTTATAAAACTCACAGATTCTTAGACCTGAACAGTACATTAGAGATATTCTAACAAAAATGGTTAAAGATGCTCATTTACATCAAGACTGAAAACGGGAAAACAAAATAAATGTCTTAACCTGTTTTTTTTCAACCCTGCATTCCTTACTTTCTTTGAACACTTACTGAGCCTATTGCTAGATTCTAAGGATTCAATAAAAAAAATTTAATAAGGATTTTTAAATATTTAATATTCTAAGGATTCAACCAATAAATAAATTCAATAAATAAATAAAATAAAACAACAAAGACAACCTCCTTGCCTCTTAGAAATTGTGATCTGGCTGGGCTCGGTGGCTCACGCCTGTAATCCCAGCACTTTGGGAGGCCGAGGCAGGCGGGTCATGGAGTCAGGAGTTCAAGACCAACCTGGCCAACATGGCGAAACCCCGTCTTTACTAAAAATACGAAAATTACCCGGGCGTGGTGGCGGGCACCTGTAATCCTAGCTACTCAGTAGGCTGAGGCAGGAGAATGGCGTCAACCTGGGAGGCGGAAGTTGCAGCGAGCCGAGATCCTGCCATTGCACTCCAGCCCAAGACTGTGCAAGACTCCATCTAAAAAAGGAAAGGAAAGGAAAGGGGAGGGAGGGGAGGGGAGGGGGGAAGGAATTGTGATCTAACTATGGAGAGTGAGGAGAAGAATTAACCAGATGCCATCAACAATTCCTACCCTTTCCTTTCCTGTGCTTGGCAGGAAGGGAGTTTCAGCTGTTTTGATCCCACTCGTCACAAGAAGGAAGCCTCCTAGTGTCAGCATCCAGTATTTGTACGGGAACTCAGCAGAGTATTGGCTTCTTATGCCTACTTACCCACTGCCTTTCTGGACTCGGAGGCCTGTGGTTTTACATATTTAAATAGATGGCAGCTACACACTCTCATATCAGTCTATAAATCTGAAAAACCAATGGGGAAAATTCTCCTATTTTGAGTCCTGTGAACGGAGCGTCTAACTCTGTCTGGCCTGAGCACATTTTCTATAAAACAAGGAGAACCTAGAGGATCCTGTGTGTTGTTTTGCTTCTCTATCCTCAAAATCTTTAAATCTCTACACTCAGTCTTACTTATCTTACACCAAGTAGTGCTAATGATTTTTGAAATGATGATTCATTAATCTTCTTAACTTACCTTCTTTATCAATCCATACTTTCACAACTGAAATTATTTCTATTTGTATTTAGTCTACTTTTCTAATATACAAGGTCTATTAACCAGGTAACTCCACTTAAATATACACACACGTATACACACAATTTATCAGGAAACAGCACATTATGATCAAATCAAATTTCACATAGGCTACCTACTGAACATCGTACTTTATTTATCTTTCTTGAAACCCACTTTCTCTTCAGAAATCTGTTTGTTTCTATAAGTCATAAATTCTAACTTGGCTTTCCTTGAAGATGTACCTGTTTAATATTGCTCGAAATTGATCTTTTACATCTTGCATCTTACCAGTTGCTGACATGTGTTGTGGCCTTACCTCTTATGTGTTCTTTCTAACTTAGAAAAAGTATGTCAATAAGTCAGTAGGCTATTTCTCTCAGTTGGCGTAAAATTAAGAAAACTATCATATAAATAAAATATACTTTCTGAATAAATAAATGAGTGAATGAATGAATAAGTGTTTCAGGAGCATTTTAGAATATAAAATTTATAGTTATTGTATTAACTGAACTTTGGGAAGCCTGAATATGTGAAATCAGTATTTTCTAAAAAGTATGGAAAAAGAACTGGTGTATTGGAATCAAAATATATATGTTTCATTCTTATCATATCATTTATTAGTGTGTTTGTGAACTTTGCTTACTGTAACTTTCATGTCTATGAACTATATAATAGTTAAGTTATGCTTAACTTTCATTTCTATGAACTATATAAGAAAAACAACCATCTTCATTTTAATATTTAAATATGATGTAACGTAATGGGTCTTCTTTATCAAATATTTTAGTGTTTTCCATATACTCAAGACTTCACTTCTGCTATTTTTAATTTTTCTTATCTCTAAACTTTTATTGAGCTTTAAGTCTATAAATGCATTTTAAATATCATATTTTAGAATACTTTTTTGGATTTGCCCTTTTCTTCTTCTTTTTACTATGCCTGAATTTAGGCATAGAACTTTGAATTTACACTCTTTAAGGGCAATATCATACTAGAGCCTTTCTTATGACACAGAACCTGAACAGAGTGTCTTGCCTCTAATGGACATAAAGGAACTATATTTGGTCATTCATGTTTTGATTGAATTTTAGTGGATAGTTTATATGACATTGAAAATAAAAGGGTTCCTGTTAGATCATGATAGGAAATCTATCTTTAGTAGTTGGTCATATTATTCCTCTCAGGCTTTTCTGTTCTTTCCCCTTATTTTCTCTTAAAAAATTGGCAGATCATCCAGTGCATGTAATATCATGTAAATATCAGGTTTCAGTGTTGTGCAATCAAGTACCCACTCGGAAAAGAGATTTAGTGAATTGAAAACCGTAAAGCTGACAATACTGTGGATCAGTTAAAATAATGAAGATTCATAAACTAATAATTAAATTAGTCATTTGAACTATAATGTTTGAGTCATAACTATGTGTTACATCTTTTGTGACCAAAATAAAAGTCATTTCTGGCTCATTGTTAGATACCACCAAAATTATTCATGTATCTAGTGCATTCATTATTTCTTGTAACCTTAATTAATGTATAAATGAATATGAACACTCTAAGAAGCTATATAAAACCACATTTCTTGTAAAAGTGTGTGGAAACTTTGTTTTACAATTATGTGACTCTCGTTCTTGCCTGAGAGCTGAAATGTGGGTTATTGTTTAAAATGATACAGAAAAGAACCGATGGTAGTGGATGCAATATGGATTGAGGGCTTAGCTCTCCAGAAGTGTTACAGTGAATGGAACTTTTTAAAGCCTTATTTCTGTTCAAGATGTTTACTATATTTTATGCATCAATATTGGGAATTAGTGCATATAGCAGTTTTATTTTATTAGAATAAATATTGCTATGACTTGAAGCCCTTAACAATTAGAAGACAACATCAGAACTTAGTATTTTTTACTTGAATCTTAACACTAAAGTATCTTCAAAAAGAGGGAGAAAACAGTCTTATTTCTTTGGTCTGAAAGAAGAAAGATGGCTTCCTCAACCACAGCTACCCACTCAAGGCTTTCCTTCAAAACGTGTGTCTTCATTTCATTAAAATAAAGACTGATCATGACACTGAATAGTACGTGTCATTGCAGTAAAGCACATCACCATGAAGGATTCTTTTTTAAAAATAATTATTTTTCATGACATAAAACCAGAAGCCACAAAAAATATTTTCTTATGAAAAATTATTTTCAACAGCACCTCATTAGTGGAAGAAAAAAATCCAATTACATTGATTCATGAATTGCATTTCTGTAATTTATTTATATTGTCTATAATTTTGAATGTAGTTACTCTCTATTAACCAAACTCAAAATTTCATAATTATAATCTTACATTTTTAAGCTACCTACTAGACAATTTTTATTAACAATGATTTTATTTCAAGTTATTTCTAAATTCAAATTCTGCTTGATTCTCAATTTCTACTTTCTCTTTGACCTCAAATACTGACCTCAGTGCAGTACAACTTCCTTGATTCCCCAGCGTCATTTTACTTTCTGTATTACAAATTCAAGAGTGTTTGCTTGGACAAATAAGCTCAGTTCCTCCATGCTAGTGGGTCACATTCCATGTGGTTTCCAGGATGGGGCTCAGCTTTGTTCTCACATCTTTTCCAGAGAAACTAGAGACTTGCTCCTTAGCTTCAGTCATTGCACGCTACTGTCAGCTGCTGCTCTTTTCCAATTCTTGCTGTATCTCTGAAAATGTCATCATGAACTTTCAAGAATTATGGGGCTTCTGCAAAAATTTGTCTTCATTATTGCATATTGACCCCTCTTGTCCAGAGCATTCCTGATGTTTTGGTCTGGGAACTTCAGCTTTAACTTCAAAAGGGGTCTAGATCTAGTTACATACCCTTGGAATCTTCCCATTTCACTGCAATTGACTGAACCCTTTAAAATTAAGGTTTTGAAATACAACTTCAATAATGATACTAGGAGTTATTCTGAAAATTTGACAAAATGAAGATGGTTATAAGTGATAACCATGTTAGATTTGAGTGAACTGTTAGGGACACTCAAAAATAGTTATCCTAGAGTGATTACAGTTATCCTGACCTTGCTTCCTTCATAGAATATTCATATTTTCTTTCATTTTTATTTATATATTCTTATTTCCATGAGTCCAATGATTCACTTTTCGCCACTATCTAGATCTCTATCTTCATAGGAAATTTATTGATTACACTTTAGTACTTGGGCTTTATAAATGCAATGTGGAGTCTTAAAATTAAAACTGCTTTTATATTATGTACAAACCCATACTTCCAATTTTAATATTTTAATATAGCATTTTAAAAAATTATATAACCAGTTAAACAAAGAAAACTACCTATACTATAAAATAATAAGATTTAAGGACTTAAAACTCCAGCTATTTATTAGTACTACATGTTTTGCAGCTCTCAACCATCTCAGCAACTGCTTTTAAGTTATTTCTTTGAACCCTACTATCTCCTCAATGCAACACACACAAAACTCATTTCATATCTACTATATTTCCTTTCAATAATATGCACTCTTTCTAAACATTTCTAATTCTCTATGTAGTAATGACATATTCATGTAAGGATATCTTTGAAACTATCTTTTGTTTTTGTTAGTCAGGCAATATGTTATATATATATATACGTTTTTTAAGACAAAATAAATATTAAAAATAATGAACAAAAAAACAGATTTAAAGAGTAAACCATGTATCTGCCATTTATTTCTCCCTTTAATCATCATTCAAAAATACATTTGAATTGCCTGTGCAGACCTAGGTATTGTTCTAGACAAGAGAATACAGCAATAAGCAGAATAGGTAATTACTTGGCCTAGCATGGACAGAGATAGTCAATATACAAAAATGTACATGTATAGTATGTCAGCAGCCTGCAATAAACACCATGGATTAAATCGTAGTGTAACAAAATGACAACTGTTTATTTCAGTTAAGGAGCATTTATTTTCAAGTCACACAGATTTAATCCTAGCTTTTGGCCTGTGTAAGAAAAAAAGAAAATGCAATAGTCTAAATCTAGCACTTTTAGAATTATGTAACTTAAACATCAACAACATGATAAAATAGTCTAGATTGAGGCTGCAACAGTATCTGTCAGTTTCTTACTTTCACTACAACATGAGATTTCAAAAAGTGCACAGATGTACATTCTGAAGGATTTCAAAAAGTGCACAGATGTACATTCTAAGGGACCCTCTACCTAACATGGCCAAAATTGCAAGAAAATAGGAAATGAAAATTTTAGTCATTGATTGTATTTTTACTCTGTGACTTCACAGTGTCTGAATAATTCAAATCAACATTTATATGTCTTTTTCAAAGTACTGTAAAATCTGAGTATTATTTTGTTTTCATTTATTTTGTTATTTATTTAAAAAATCGAGTCTTGAAAAAAAGAAAAACTGAACAAAGAAAAACAAAAATCAGATAATTCAATGTCCATCTTGCCAAGAATATGTGCAGTCATATGAATGTATAATAAATATAGATGTTTTATAAAAGATATACTGCTCATGCAAGCCTTTACATTAGTAGGCAGAGACAGCTTTTGCCATTTTTTCTTAAATTTCTCCATTTTGAAACATACCTTTGATGTATTTTTGCATAAGTACTCATTGAGTATATACTTTTTTCCAAAAACAAGTGTTGTCTTTCAAAGTAAAACAAATATTTCATCTCCTTAAAGAAAAATAATATGAAAAATATAAATAGATTGTATTTTTGTTTTTATGTTCCTCATGAAAGGCAAGGATAAACAAAACACAACAAAAGTCTTTGGAGTCCAAGCTCACCCAAGGTGCTATAATTTCAATGTTGGCAACAAAACTGATATGAGACAACTTGACCCCCAGGGTGATGGTATTAAGTAGTGGGGCCTTTGGGAGGTGATTAGGCCATGAGAGCTCTCCTACCTCGTGGATGTGATTAGGGTAATTATACAGGGCTTAAGAAAGCGAATATTTTTCCCTTCTGCCATGTGAGGATGCAACAGAAAGGTGTCATCTTTGAAGCAGAGAAAGCTGCCCTCACCAGACACTGAATATGCCAGCATCTTGATCTTGGACTTCCCAGGCTCCAGAGCATGGGGAATAATTTGTCATTATTTCTTTATTATTATTATTATACTTTAAGTTCTGGGATATATGTGGAGAAGATGCAGGTTTGTTACATAGGTATTCATGTGCCATGGTAGTTTGCTGCACCCATCAACCCATCATCTACATTAGGTATTTCTCCTAATGCTATCTATCCCTCCCCTAGCCCCCCACCCCCGAGAGACCCTGTTGTGTGATGTTCCCCTCCCTGTGTCCATGAGTTCTCATTGTTCAACTCCCGCTTATGAGTGAGAACATGTGGTGTTTGCTTTTCTGTTCCTGTGTTAGTTTGCTGAGGATGATGGTTTCCAGCTTCATTCATGTCCCTGCAAAGGACATATTAAGCAGCCTGAGGTATTTTGTTACAGCAACCAAATGGACTAAGACTCAAGGTAAACATATTACCAAGATAGGAACATTGTGGGTCCACAATCAATGTCATTTCTATTTCCTTACCTCCTCTATCTCATCTAGTAACTAGTTGAATAAACAATCTCTAGCCAATCAACCTAATCTTTATTTCTTACATGTAAATAATATATTGCAAAGTGTTTACTATTTCAAATGAAGAGGCATATTTGCATTTTAAGAAATATCATATTTATTATAAAAGTTTGAAAGTCAAATATCCTGAAATACATTTGTGTTATTCTGTAATTATTTGTGGCATTTTAGTTCTAACTCTGTAACTACTTTGTTAGTTAACTGAGAAACATGAAGTATACAAATTAGGTACTGCGTAAACTCATGTTGATACATTGCCTGATGAATTCAGATGCCTTTTAAAAATATACACTCTTATTATGTACAACTATACTTATTGCATTTGAGTTTTTTTGAACTCTTGGATGAAAGCTTCCGTCAAAATAGATCATATTTACACAAAATGCAGAGATTTGACTTTAAAATAATATTTATAGCAAAGAGGAGTCCCTAGATGAATTTAGAGAGAGATATGATAAGGTATGAATGACAGGAAAGCGTGAATATTTTTATACCATAATTTTCAGAAGACAGGAAAATCAAAGAAATGATTAGAATACTAAAAATTGAGTGACAAGATTTTTCCAAATGACAGTGAACAGGCAAGTCAAAAAATAAGCCAGAATACTCTCTTTGGGAATGGAATAGAAAAATTGTATTTTATGAGGAATGGTATGTTAAAAACATAAGTAGATAGACAAAGTGGTGTCAAAATCATGTTTGTATGATTATCTAAAAATAATATTGCAGTATATGAGAATAAGTTCTGAGTTTTTTAAAACAAGGTAAATACTGTATTGAAATTTTAAAAAGTTAAAAGCAAAGAGAAGTAACTTTTAAGACAACTAGTTTTCATTGAATAGGTAATTTTTAAAATATATAATGAAAAACTTCCATAGATAGGCAAATATATATATTTACATATATTTTCTTATTTATTTTAGTGAGATTCATGTAACATATAATTAGCCACTGTAAACTGTACAATTCTGTGTCATTCAGTTCAGTCACAATTGTTTGCAACTACCACCTTTCTCTAGTTTAAAAACATTTTAAACCCAGAGAAAACATTCTGCACTATGAAGTAATTAGTCCAAATTCCAACCTCCCACATTCTATGGCAAACACTAATCTTTTTTCTGTTCTATGGATTTGCTTATTATGAGTGTGCCATGTAAAATTAATCATACAATACTTACTTTTCCCCCCCTAGCTTCTGAAGAAAGAAATGGTAATTTAAACCGAAGTGGGATAAGAAAATTTAAGAAAATATTGAGTAACGCCTCTGGCAAAAATAACCAAATTAAATTTTTGGTGTAGTCAATTTCATTGTGTGATTAATTTTTATTTTTGAATAATCAGTGTGATTTACTAACAATCAATAAATCTTCCATAAACTTAATTTAAATAAACTATATAGGAATCATAAAGTGGGAAACAGTATGACGACAGACCAGGGCCAGTTTGGCACTTTCTCAACAGGTTTATGCAGAATTTTGGAATAACATATTGAAAGTACCTATTAAGGCCAGGCACTGTGGCTCACCCTGTAATCCCAACACTTTGGGAGGCTGAGGCGGGCAGATCACGAAGTAAGGAGATGGAGACCATCCTGGCTAACATGGTGAAACCCCGTCTCTACTAAAACAATACAAAAAATTAGCCGGGTATGGCGGCGGGCTCCTGTAGTCCCAGCTACTCAGGAGGCTAAGGCAGGAGAATCGCTTGAACCTGAAAGGCAGAAGTTGCAGTGAGCCGAGATCGCGCCACTGCACTCCAGCCTGGGCGGCAGAGTAAGACTCTGTCTCAAAAAAAAAAAAAAGTACCTATTAAACTATTTTAAAATTATAGTAATTCAACAAATTAAGGTCGTTTGGGGGTTAATTGATGCCATTTTGCACATAAACATCAATTTAAATCATCAAATGCAAAACTAAAAAAAAAATCATCTTATTTTAAGTTGAGACCAGTTCTGAGCATTTACTTGTCAAATAAGAACAAATCATATCAGAGTTCTGATTGCAAATCCCTGAAATTGCAGTGGTTTCTCTGCCTTCTTTCTGGGAGCTTTCTAGTGTTTCAATGCACAGCTGGTTTAGAAATAATTTTCCAAGCTGCCACTCTATATTGAGCCTTGAAAGGAACAACAAGACTTGCTTACCATGTTGAGCATTAAATCTAAGAGTTACAACATTAGTATTACCATATTAAAAAAATGGATATACAATTTAAAAATTGGTTTCATACACTGATTAATTACAAAAACATTCTTGTCAAATCTGAACCTCATGAAAACATAGGTATACAAAAATGTCCTTTGTATATCCATATTGGAAAACAAAAGAGTGAATGAATGAATGCATGCATGAATGAATGTATCGAGTAGGAATCTCAGAGGCCACCATAAGAAAAGATTTTCAGTTTACAGGATACAAAGCTATTATAATTGCTATGGCTACATGTCCACATTTATGACAATATCTTTTCACAGAAAGTATTTTTTGTTTCTAAAACAATGGACTTGTTTGAATAGCAAGCTCTTATTTTTCAAGTTATTTAAATTTGCATTTAATCTTTAATAAATTTCTTCATTTTTCTCAATAGAAAATGAATATCCCATCCTTTGGGCTTCATTTTATCCATCCAAACTGTCTCCACTCACAGATCTGTTAATACTATCTTCTATTTATGATTGAAATCTGTGTCTTTGAATATAATCCTCCTGTGCTCTCAACTACACAAAGACAGGCATAGGCATGTTATTTACTGCTTTCACCCCAGGGATTTGCCCAGCAAGTGGCACATAATTGGCACTCTGTGTGTCTGTTGTATTGATCACAATATGTGATGTATGAATAAACTGGTGTATTAGAGACAATGTTATGTTGTAAAGTTCTGCATGCTTAATAAGAGTTTCTAGCATTAAAAAATATTTCTAGAGTTTTACAATAACTTTCGTCTTTTTTATGTCACTGACACATCTTTGAAATCTATTCTGAATCCTGGAAAAGTTGACTGGAGATCTTCCTTCTATTATTTTTTTGAGAAAACTAAGGGGATTTTCTGGTCATGTCTCCAATGGCCAAACATTTTCAGATGTGAAGTCTTTGGGGTATGTTATGCCGCCTAACTAGACCCCCATCCCTGTGCTGTGCACCCATCCCCTAGATGATGTGCAGGTTGGCTACTAGAGCATACAGATGCTCATTTTCTAAAGACTCACTATCTACTCTCCGGCTGGGATAACCTACCCTGAGCAGTTAAGCACCCTAGTCCTCATCTAGGCTTTCAGTACTCAGTGACTAACTGACAGGAGTTAAAGTACCTCCTTTGTCTCAAAGTGTGAAGACCCTGTGCTGAGACCTCCTTGTGGGACCAGGGTGATGTTACCCTACAGACAAGACAAACCTTTACTTGGCGTTGTCACCCTGTTCTGCTTCTGTCACTTCCTTTAGCCTAGACATCTTTCCCTCACTAGATCACTTTCATAATACTCCCCCAAGACTACTGCTGACGAATCTGATCTGAGACCATTGAAATCTCAAACAGATCTAGGATCAAACTCAAACAATGAGATCGATCTGGAAGTGGGTCATTCTCCAACTCGATTGCCAAGAGGACCAAATCACGGGTAGTGGGTAGAATATGGCTAGTCTTACGATTTGTAGAAGTACAATTTTCATCTGTGGTGACCTGGAATGGAATAGAAGTATAAAGAGATACTCTTTACAAGAGCCTGTGCATTATCTCTTGTGCTGGAGGAGTATAGAGGAAAGAGCAACTATAAGGATTGTGGAATTGGGTCACTTTTAATGGCTTTGGATAAGTGACACTGATGTATTTAAGAGATAAAATGTCAGACTTAGATCAATCAATCAGCAAATTAAAGCAAAGTGTAAGTACCACAACTCTTCTGGGGCAGCATTTAAGGACACTCATTTCCTGCAGCTGGAGAGTCAACTGAGCTGAAAGCCAGATACATAACATAATTGCTAAGAATGGCAGAATTTCAAAAAGGGCTGAATTCCTAGGGTAGGGAATGTTCTTATGTCAAAGTCAGGGCCATTATAGGGGAATATTGAGATACTAACATTTGTGATGGAGACATATATAGAACTTTTTAAAAAGAAAATTAAATCCCTAGAATCTCTTGGATCCTCCAAGCCTGTTGAACTGGCTCCTTCCATTTTGCCGAAAGATAGCGACATGTTTTTTTTTTTTTTTTTTGATATTTTGATAAGGATAACTCAAATAAAACTGGTGTCTTATAACAATGAGAATCTTCCTTAGGATCAGCTCCCATGTCCTCTCCTGGCCATCAGACCTGCAATGGTGGGGTTGAGGGGCCAAATCTCATCATCACCTGACTTCAGAAGTGCTGGAAAGGCTAAAGTGAGAAGAGGGATCCTCAGGCAATGTTTTCACAGGATCCAGCTCAAACATTTCAGGAAAGTTTGCCTTGGGAGATCCTAAAGGCTTGAGTTAATATAAAATTGGATAAGAAACTTTTGCTTTGGAGTACTGCCCTGTAACACAAGATTTAACTCCTCAGCAAGGATCCAGGAAGATGAGTGTTTGGAAGCTTAATAATAGCAACGTTTCACATTGCATGAAAGCCAGCACTACTGTGGCTGACTGCCGTGAGACAGGGGAAAAAGCACAAAGAAGTGGGCATGCTAGCATTTAATTAATGTTCAATTTTTGTTAATAGTTCAAAATGCAACTTAAAATAGCAATGGCTTTAATAAACGAATTGCTTCTAAATAGATGGAGATTTGTGAATAGATCTATTAAATTGTAGTACTGTTCAACATAATTCATTGTTTTTATACTACTGTATTGGTTGTTAATAAAATGGCCATGAAACATGGTTTTGCCCCTTGAAATTAGACCTAACAGCTAAATATAAATAGTCATTAGATAGCTATGTTCATAAATAATCGGTTGAAGTGACCTTGTCTTAATGATCATTCATTATTACTTGTTAAGTACAAAGGGCTGTTCTCTTTTCATTTAAAGTTTTACAAGAAATGTTATCTGTTTCTCCTTACGTAATCATTACTCCGTTCATGAATTAGAAACGTTCTAATTCCTAATTCTAATAAGTATTAAATAATTAGAAAATAGAAGTTTGCTTTTGGTTTGTTTTCTTTATCATCAGTTTTGCAAATTAGCATGATGGTAAAAGAGTAAGATTAGGTAATGTAGAATGAAAGGTAAAGAGAACTAATTTTGACACTTCTTATGACAAATACATTCAGATTTTCATTTTAAAAATTTTATTACCTATGTATTAATATATTATTTATACATACCTATATAGATGCACATGTTAGGTGCAAAATCAATATTCAACCACTTTCTTCCATTTATTTTCTAATAGGTAAGAAATTAAATGAATTAATTAAATTAAATTAAATAGAATGACCATGTTTCAGTGAAAATGTATGCAGGACTAATGGGGACCACCCTTTATATATAGGGAAAGAGTCGATTTTTGCTAAGAAATACATATTACAATGAAATGACATTTCCTGAAAGGGAAACTTAATTGAACTCAACAATATTTATTATAAAATATATTTATCATTAAAAAGTTTCCAATAATTTCAGAAACTATTGTCTGAACTAGAATAATACAGGCTAAGTTTGCAAGTAATTGTTTTACTTCTGCTTTTTTTCTTTTATACTCAATTAGCTTATCTGAAAAAATCGGTGTTCTTTAGTGAAATTTTATTGAGACAAATTTGTCCAATTTGCATCATTTTCATCTATATAGTAAATTCATTTATTTCTTTAGTTAATATGTGTGCTACAGAATAATTTTCTTATGCATAATTGGAAATGACATGCAGGCTCAATCAATTTAATTCATTATTATTAATAAAAATTCCTCATGCCCAAAGATGAGTTTTTCTTAGCCACGTCATTTAAAATTGCTGTGTTTCTACTGAGACATAGATTAACTTTTAAAATATATTGCATAAAAATATCATACTCCAGTTAAAGCATATGAAACCATAATAAGTAGAGAACAATCACTATATCATAAACTCTGAGAAATACGAAAGAAGTCAGGTGCCAATGGATGAGAATAATTACATACTTCCTCCCCGCTTCAACTCATTTCAATAAACTAAAGTTAACAGAGGCCTGCTAATGCCAGGTATAGCATTAAGTGTTAGAGATAGGGTGATTGATCAATCATAGTTCATGGGTATCAAGGAGCTTTCAGTGTATTTTAAATATGAGAAATTGGCTTACAGTGTAACATCTGTTGTAGTATAACAGGCTTATAAATAATATTAGATTCTTGAAAACATAATAGTTGAGGGCTTGATAATGCCACAAAAATTATTGACAGCATTCAATATCCCTTTGAGGTAATGTAATTCTGACAATATACCAGGGGGTGTGACAGTCAGTAGAGTTAAAATGGTTAGCAAAATAGATACAAGTTCTTTTCTCATGGAAATTAGAGTTTATTAAGGAAAAAAGAATCAATCAAATATCATGTGAAATACCTATAAAATGTGAAAATGGTGTAATCCTGTTTTCACTTATACCCTTGCAACAATTTTAAATTTATAGAAGTTAAATTCTCTAAAATTATTTGAATTCAGAACTGTGTCTGGTCTTATGCTTTAGTAATTGATGAACAATAAAACAGCTTTCCTTTCCCCAATTTCCACATTAAGCATATAGAAATAAAGAGATGAAAATTAATCTAACATTTTTACAAAAAGCATTTGTTAATAGAGTGTAATTGATTCAATATTTATGAAGATATGGAAAATGGTTGTATGGTTGTAGATCACCTTCATGCAAACACCTTACACATTATGATTCTTAAGACACATTAAAGTTTTGCACTTCATGAATCAAATAGACACAATAAAAAATGATAAAGGGGATATCACCAGCAATCCCACAGAAATACAAACTACCATCAGAGAATACTATAAACATCTCTACGAAAATAAACTAGAAAATCTAGAAGAAATGGATAAATTCCTCGACACATACACCCTCACAAGACTAAACCAGGAAGAAGTTGAATCTCTTAATAGACCAATAACAGGCTCTGAAATTGAGGCAATAATTAATAGCTTACCAACCAAAAAAATTCCAGGACCAGACGGATTCACAGCTGAATTCTACCCGAGGTACAAGGAGGAGCTGGTACCATCCCTTCTGAAACTATTCCAATCAATAGAAAAAGAGGGAATCCTCCCTAACTCATTTTATGAGGTCAGCATCATCCTGATACCAAAGCCTGGCAGAGACACAACAACAAAAAAAGAGAATTTTTGACCAATATCCCTGATGAACAATGCAAAAATCCTCAATAAAATTCTGGCAAACTGAATCCAGCAGCACATCAAAAAGCTTATCCACCATGGTCAAGTGGGCTTCATCCCTGGGATGCAAAGCTGGTTCAACATACACAAATCAATAAACATAATCCAGCATATAAACAGAACCAAAGACAAAAACCACATGATTATCTCAATAGATGCAGAAAAATCCTTCAACAAAATTCAACAGTCCTTCATGCTAAAAAGTCTCAATAAATTAGGTATTGATGGGACGTATCTCAAAATAATAAGAGCCATTTATGACAAACCCACAGCCAATATCATACTGAATGGGCAAAAACTGGAAGCATTCCCTTTGAAAACTGGCACAAGACAGGGATGCCCTCTCTCACCACTCCTATTCAACACAGTGTTGGAAGTTCTGGCCAGGGCAATCAGGCAGGAGAAAGAAATAAAGGGCATTCAATTAGGAAAAGAGGAAGTCAAATTGTCCCTGTTTGCAGACGACATGATTGTATATCTAGAACACCCCATCGCCTCAGCCCAAAATCTCTTTAAGCTGATAGGCAACTTCAGCAAAGTCTCAGGATACAAAATCAATGTGCAAAAATCACAAGCATTCTTATACACCAATAACAGACAAACAGAGAGCCAAATCATGAGTGAACTCCCATTCACAATTGCTTCAAAGAGAATAAAATACCTAGGGATCCAACTTAAAAGAGATGTGAAGGACCTCTTCAAGGAGAACTACAAGCCACTGCTCAATGAAATAAAAGAGGATACAAACAAATGGAAGAACATTCCATGCTCATGGATAGGAAGAATCAATATCGTGAAAAAGGCCATACTGCCCAAGGTAATTTATAGATTCAATGCCATCCCCATCAAGCTACCAATGACTTTCTTCACAGAATTGGAAAAAACTACTTTAAAGTTCATATGGAACCAAAAAAGAGCCTGCATTGCCAAGTCAATCCTAAGACAAAAGAACAAAGCTGGAGGCATCATGCTACCTGACTTCAAACTATACTACAAGGCTACAGTAACCAAAACACCATGGCACTGGTACCAAAACAGAGATATAGACCAATGGAACAGAACACAGCCCTCAGAAATAATACCACACATCTACAACTATCTGATCTTTGACAAACCTGACAAAAACAAGCAATGGGGAAAGGATTCCCTATTTAACAAAAGGTGCTGGGAAAACTGGCTAGCCATATGTAGAAAGCTGAAACTGGATTCATTCCTTACACCTTATACAAAAATTATTTCAAGGTGGATTAAAGACTTACATGTCAGACCTAAAACCATAAAAACCCTAGAAGAAAACCTAGGCAATACCATTCAGGACATAGGCATGGGCAAGGACTTCATGTTTAAAACACCAAAAGCAATGGCAACAAAAGCCAAAATTGACAAATGGGATCTAATTAAACTAAAGAGCTTCTGCACAGCAAAAGAAACTACCATCAGAGTAAACAGGCAACCTACAGAACGGGAGAAAATTTTTGCAATCTACTCATCTGACAAAAGGCTTATAACCAGAATCTACAAAGAACTCAAACAAATTTACAAAACAAACAAACCCATCAAAAAGTGGATGAAGGATATGAACAGACACTTCTCAAAAGAAGACATTTATGCAGGCAACAGACACATGAAAAAATGCTCATCATCACTGGCCATCAGAGAAATGCAAATCAAAACCACAATGAGATACCATCTCACACCGGTTAGAATGACGATCATTAAAAAGTCAGGAAACAACAGGTGCTGGAGAGGATGTGGAGAAATAGGAACACTTTTACACTGTTGGTGGGACTGTAAACTAGTTCAACCATTGTGGAAGTCAGTGTGGCGATTCCTCAGGGATCTAGAACTAGAAATACCATTTGACCCAGCCATCCCATTACTGGGTATATACCCAAAGGAATATAAATCATGCTGCTATAAAGACACATGCACATGTATGTTTATTGCGGCACTACTCACAAAAGCAAAGACTTGGAACCAACCCAAATGTCCAACAATGATAGATGGGATTAAGAAAATGTGGCACATATACACCATGGAATACTATGAAGCCAGAAAAAATGATGAGTTCGTGTCCTTTGTAGAGACATGGTTGAAGCTGGAAACCATCATTCTCAGCAAACTATCAGAAGGACAAAAAAAACAAACACTGCATGTTCTCACTCATAGGTAGGATTTGAACAATGAGAACAGTTGGACACAGGAAGGGGAACATCACACACCGGGGGCTGTTGTGGGGTGGAGGGGGGATAGCATTAGGAGATATACCTAATGTAAATGACGAGTTAATGGGTGCAGCACACCAACATGGCACACGTATACATATGTAACAAACCTGCACGTTGTGAACATGTACCCTAGAACTTAAAGTATAATAAAAATATATATAATAAAAAATAAAAATAAATATATATATATATATATTTTTTCTTCTCAACATTTTAATAAGCCATGGAATGTGGGTAGAAGAATGAAAAAAAATAAATAAATTTTGCACTTCACGGCCATCCATAAATCACCTACATCTTTTTTTCTGAAACACAGTCACAATGTTTGCTCTTTCTATCTTTTCTTCTTTTTTCCCTCATAAGAAAAATTTGATTCTTGAATTTCATGGTACAATAACACTAATTTATTAGCTGGACTGGTAACAACTTTCTAAACTCAAGAATTATTTCTCTAGAGAATTTCCCTTTCTAAAAGGAATTCTAATGTTAGCTACAGAGTTCATAAAGTGTGCAATCCTGTAATGCTGTAGAAGTACTCTGTTCTTTCTGTTAAGTATGTAATAAGGACAACTTACTACTTATTAAAGAAATATTTAGTTGTTTTCTGAAGGATGGTTAGATTTCAATCAGATGTTGCATGCTTTTTGAAAATTATTTGGACATATACAACTCTTAAGAAGCTTGATATTATACAAATCATTATAATCAGGAAAGAAAAAAACATGTAAGTATAACTTCTTATCTGACTTGAAGAAGTCCCAGCTTTCTGGTCTTTCTGATGTACTGACCACACCTAGAGTGTAAGTTTCATGTAAGACATCAAACAACTTGCCAGAAACAGGATTCTGGGATTTCTATAAGCATCAGGCAAACAGAAATCCTTCTAACCCAATGGCCAGCCAAGCTAATTCATGATTATTCCTTAGGTTCCATCTTCTAAGAGAACTGATCTTGATGTAGGTTTCCCAGAACACTTATAGACAAGAGAGTTCTTAGTATTTAGGTAATGTTTATGTGAAACTCCTAAGCCAAAATCAATATCATGTATTATAGTTGCCTGTATTATGGTGTTAGCCCACAGAATTTAATATGTACTTACATACTAATAATAACTTAGCTTCTGTTTAACAAACACTGGAATCCAATTATTCATGGAAAACCTTATTTCCTGTTCCACACTGATTTTCATGTGCCACTCACTTTTTCTTACAGCAACTGCTGAAACTTAGCTTTGTAAAAGCATGACATAGGCATTGGCACTAAGAGCTTAAGTTATAGCAGTGAAAAAGAAAAGGTAGCCAAAAGAATTTAAGTCCTAATTGCACTTGCATTATACAGGGTATAGGGTGGACAGAAAATAATTTTGAAAAGTAAATTTTATTTTAGAAGGACGTAGTTGTCTTTGAGAAGAGTACGGACAGGAAAGGATGGATAAAGTATACAGTACAATTCTGAATTGAGCAGTCGAGAAAAGCTTTTGAGAATAAGATAGTTGTTTTTTGTTTTGTTTTGTTTTGCTTTTTGAGACGGAGTCTCACTCTGTCTCCAGGCTGGAGTGCGGTGGTGCGATCTCGGCTCACTGCAACAACCGCCTCTCGGCGATTCTCCTGCCTCAGCCTCCTGGGTAGCTGGGATTACAGGTGCGTGCCACCATGCCCAGCTAATTTGTGTGTGTGTGTGTGTGTGTGTGTGTGTGTGTGTGTGTGTTATTAGTAGAGACAGGGTTTCACCATGTTGGCCAGGATGGTCTTGATCTCTTGACCTCTTGATCCGCCCACCTCAGCCTCCTGAAGTGCTGGGATTACAGGCGTGAGCCACCGCGCCCGGCTGAGAATAAGATATTTGGCAAAGACTTGAAGAAGATGAAAGATTGAATTGCTTCATGAAGATTTTCTGAAGACTAAATGCTTGTGCCCCCTTCACATTCATGTGTTAAAACCTAATCCCCAATGTGATGGCACTTGAAGATGGGCTTTTGGAGAAGTGATTAGATCATGATGGCGGAGCCTAATTAATAGGTTTTGTGGTCTTAGAAAAGAGACCTCCTGAGAGCTTCCTTGCCCCCTTTTACCTTGTGAGGACTAAGCAGAAAGACAGTCATCTATGAAAAAACAAGAGGGCTCTTACCAGACACTAAATCTCCTGGGACATCGATCTTAGAATTCCGGGTTTCCAGGACTATGAGACATAAATTTCTGTTTTTTAAAAGCCACTCCTATACGTGGAGGAAAACAAGAGCAAAGATTACGAAGCAGGTAAGACCTGCCTGGTGAGTTAAAGAAACATTAAGAAAGCCAGTGTGACTGGAGGTAAGTGAGCCAAGAGCACATAGAAGAAACTGATGAAGGACAAATTAGACAAGGAATTAGAGCTCAGTGTAAGGACTTTGATTTCTACTCTGATTGCAAAGTGGCCAATAAAGTGTTTTGAGAAGAAAAATAAGATTATGTAACTTACAGTTTACCTGGTTCACTTAGCTTTGTTGAGACTAGAATTTATATGGGGAAGCAGAAACAATAATTATATGGGGAAGCAGAAACTACTAATAGTAGTGCAGATGAAGAGGAGTTGTCTTATTCTGAATATATTTTAAATAAGAGCCAGTATGACTTGTTGATGAATTAGATTTAGAATGTGAGAGAAAGAAGGGACTCAAAGATGACTCCAAGTGTTTCCATATGAGGTACCAGAGGGATTTAGGGTCATTCTTAGGATAAATCATGAGTAAAGAAAATAAGCTTTGTATCAGATCTATTAAGATAGAAATGGTTGTAAAATATATAAATGTCTTGTAAATAAGAGCATCCACAAATATCTTTCCTGTCACTTTAATAAAGTATATTGCATCAGCAATCCTTCCTTCTTCAGCATAAAAACATCTGTAGACAATCTCAAATGAGTTATCTGTATTCACTATTTCCAATCTCTCTCCCCACATTAATTTGTAAACTCATTTTAATCCCAATTTTATACCAAATAAATAAGTCTTTTATCATAAAGACATTTACTTTCACATTGACAAACCAAATAATTTCTTCTAGGTCTTTTTCTTGTTTACCGGGTCAGCAGCTATTGACAGAGTGATTACTTTCTCCTCCATGAAATGTTTCCCCCACTTAATTTTCCGTGTTTTTTCTCTATCTCACTGGATGTTGATTCTCAATTATTATTATTATTATTATTATTTTGCCAATTTCCTTTCAACTCTTTTACTCTAAATGTTGGAGTCTTGTTCCTCTTTCTCTCCTATTTCCACATATGTTACCTGGTGATGAAGGAGTGAAAGGTATAATAAAATTGGAATCAATAGAGATAATTTAGAAAAAAAATAGACTGCTCAGGTTGGGATACTACACAGAAAGAACAAGAAAGACCAAACTGTGTGGCTGGAGAATGTAACATTTGAAATTAAAATTATGTAGATGTTTTTATTATTGCTAATAAAAAGCTAGAAATTATTATGAAAATGAATGGTTGATACGTAAAGCAGAAGACAAGTTTTCATCAGAATTACAAAATATATATTAAAATTAACTAATATTAAGAAATAATAGTGCTATTAAGAGTGATAGTGATCCAAAAGATAAAATCTTATGAAAAACGAAGGAAAATTTCTGGTGGAGAGTGGGTAACAGCAATTGAAAAAAAAATCAGATAGCAATGTACGGTTTTGAGACTAAATTAAAAGTGAGAGTGTTTAGAGGAAGGAGAATGAGAATAAATTTCAAATGGTAGTGAGAACCTAGGCAGTAGCTCTCAAACGTAGCTACACAGGGGAATCTTTTGGATAGTTTAATAAATACGAATGTGTAAATCTCATCCCTAGTGATTCTGATGAAATTAGAATTTAGAGGTCATTATTGTTTTTAAGGTACCCCAGGTGGTGGCTATGTAAAATCTAGAGTACTTATCTCTCCTAAACTCCAATGGCAATGTGGGAGGGAGAAGAAAATATATCTACTGCATAAGGCTTACAGGGGGTAAAGCGACTCCAGAGAAAGACACGTTTTGAGGAAGAATATCAATGTTAAGAGAAGTTGCCTGGTTACATTATTTTTCTGACAATCACTGGTTTCTAAGGACTGAAAGGAAAGATTTTAGAAGTAGGTAAAAAGAGAAAGGACAGAAAAGAGATTATGTTGACTGCATAGTGACCAGATTGGAGCAAATGAAGGGAGTTTAATCCTTCTTGGGTGAAGGAAGAAGCAGGTATAAAACATGTAATAAAATTACAATGGTTGGTCTTCAACACAAATGGTGATAGAAAGCTGTAAGTTCTGGAGAAGAATTTTGTGTGACCATTCTGGTCTCTTCTTAACAACCATAGATGGAGACAATTCTCAGTGTCGTTGTCTAACTTTGAGGCTCACACTTGACCCCTTCTACAAGGGAAACTGTCTTCCTTCAAAGGCCAAAGTTCTGAGAAAAGTAGATTTTTTAAAACCCTGGGGGCAGCTGAAAGAGTGCCTTTAATTTAGTAAAATTTCAGGAATTTTGTAAGAGTGTCTGTTCTTTTCTTTTTTCTTTTTTCTTTTTTTTTAGATGGAGTCTTGCTCTGTCACCCAAACTGGAATGCAGTGGTGTGATCTTGGCTCACTGCAACCTTCACCTCCCGGGTTCAAGCTGGGATTACAGGCGCCCGCCACCATGCCTGGCTAATTTTTGTATTTTTGATAAAGACAGGGTTTAACCTTGTTGTTCAGGCTGGTCTCGAACTCCTGACCTCAGGTGATCTGCCCGCCTCGGCCTCCCAGAGTTAAGAGCGTCTGTTCAACTACATCATTACTGCATTCATCTGGAAGGTCTAGATGATGAATGCAAATAGGCAGTTACACAAATAAGTTTTAGGAAACGGTCATTATTTTATTTGTAGATGATAACATTACTATAAAAATTAACACCTAGTCTATAGATACAAAATAAGTTAAATCATAATGTAAAGACTACCACAATATCAAAAGCTCAAAATTCCAAACTTCATACAATCATGCTCAGCAGATAGAATAGAATTGTATTTGGTATAAGAGACAATACAATTTCATAAGGTATTTGAACAGGAGGAGAGTGAAAAAAAGGAAGAAGCATAATAGAAAAGAGAGAAAACAAAACTATAGGTGAAAAGATGACTACAATCAACTGTTAACCTGGAGCAAAACAAACAAACAAAACGTTTGATAAGAAATCAGTAGATTCCTTAGAAATCCAATAAAGGTCTTTAAAGATTTTTCCTAAAAAGAGGGGTGTCTTTGGCAAAGGGAAGAAGAGATAAATACAAGAAATAAGTTGCAAAATAAAAGCAGAGCGAGAGAGAGAGTGCAAGAAGGGAGCAGTAGAAGAAAGTATTGCTAAATTGATATGAGGAAGACAAACATTTCTCTATCTTTGAATAACACAGCACAAATATTTATTTTTTCACAGAAATATGTAACTCTATATTATTACCATAGAGTAATATAGTATAGTATTACTGTACTAAGAAATCAAATTTATTGCATAGTGTCACATAATCATAAAATGTATCCTTTTAATATTCATTATAGAAAATCATTTCTTACAGATATTTTCTAAAAGGTAAAATATTTTCATTTAGAAGAAATTTATTTGTAGCATTTTGTGATAGTTTCAACAGTTTGCAACTATAAATTATTTTAGCCTACCTAATATATTAACATTTCAAAATATTTGTTTCCTTTCTCTCTTTCTTTTTGTCACTTTTTTCTTTTTCTGCTTTCTTTAAAATTGATTTGTAATTAATGTTCTGTTTTAAAATACCAACTGAAAAGTTTTGTTTATTCTGATTTTGAACATCACTCAAAAATGTTTATTTTGCTCATAATTGTGGTGAGTGACTTTGGGGGTAGTTTATATCATCTTGTTTGAAGAACATGTGATATTGTTTATTTATATTATCTTGGTAGTCATAATTATTATCTGTAAAGCCTTTATCTCATTAACGGAGTAGATGCACTACTTAATGGAAAAAACAAGATATGCTGTGATTTGTCATCTGGCCTTAGACGGGGAAGTTGTGTTTTATTTGTTCTTGTTAGTTCATTTGTTCTTGTTGCTCATTTGCATTTTTTTTGTTTTTTTTAGCAGTCTATATTAACTGAATTTGGTGAAAAAAATGTTATTTTTATTTTTATAACCATAACAGGGACCTCATGATTTAGAAATCTAAATTGCTTTAAATCAAAGAAATAAAGTGTTATAAATTGGGAAATAATAAAGTTTGAAAGCAAATAACAATTTGGAATAATATTATAAAACATATGCAGGCAAAAGATTTAGATACTTAAAATAATTGTCAATAATGGTGACACATGTAATAATTAAAGATTACCAAGTCTTAGTTAATTTTGATCATGAATCAATTTTATTTCAAGTTTGCTAGAAGTAGAGGCTTTATGTAAAAGCTAACCGAAAAAGATCCCCTTTTGGCAGTTGTTGATCGTGGTAGTAAAAAATGTTACATATCAATTTTTAGGCTGCAATAAGAACAAAACACATCGCTTAAAGGTCATTAGATTCCTTGCAAGACTGGTTAAAGGTCTTTAAAGGATCTTGGCAAAATGGACTTTCTTTGAATGAATTTCCAAGAAGGTCTAGCACGCTCATTAGAGTCCATCAGGAAATTGCTCAAGCATCATTTCAGGAATGTTAATTTTGTTCCCAGAGGATCAGCTAATCACATTAGACCACAAAGTTATATCCCATTTTAAGACTGGAACAATTTTTGAAGTCCCTCTTTTAATTTTTATTTTTCAAATAACGTTCGCTGTGTATATTTAAGGTAAACAACATGATGTTATGAAATACATACATGTATATATAGTAAAAGCTTTACCGTACTCAAGCAAATTAACGTATCCATCATCTCACATAGTTACCAATTATTTTGGTTTTGGTTTTGAGTCAAGGGCAGCTACATCTACTCATTTAGCATAGATCTCAAATACGGTACAGTTTTATTCCCTATAGTCGTCATGTTGTACCATTAGAACTCTAGAATTGTTCATCCTACATATCTGCTACTTTGTATCCTATGAACCACATCTCATTTCCTTCTATTGTAACTCCTCTTTCCTGGTAACCACTGTTTTGTTTTCTATCTCTGGACAGATGCTCCTCAGCTTCTCATGGGGTTAAGCCTTGATAAAGCCATCATAAATTAAAAAAATCCTAAAGTGAAAATACATTTAATACTGTTAACCTACCAAACATCTGCGCTCGGCTTAGCCTACCTTGCACCTGCTCAGAACACTTATTTTAGCCTACAGTTGGGCAAAGTCATCCTTCAGAAAGGCTATTTTATAATTAACTGTTTGATATCTCATATAATTTATTGAATACAGTATATGGCAGAGTACAGTACCTGATATTTAGCCTCATGATCATAGGACTAACGGAGCCGTGGCTCACTACCACTGCCCAGCATCACAGCCATGCCCAGCCACTGCACAGCCAGTCTTATTGTACTGTATATTGTTAGCCCAGAAAATATCAACATGCAAAATTTTAAATAAAATTTCTACTAAATTTCTACTAAAAAATTTCTACTAAATATCTATCACTTTTGCACCTATATAAAGTCAAAAAATTGTAAGTCAAACCATCATAAGCCAGAAACCGTCTGTATATTTTTCATTTTTGTTTTATATTCCTCCTATAAGAGAGATCATGCAAGATTTCTCGTTTTGTGTCTGTCTTATTTCAGTTAGCATGATGTCCTCCAGGCCCATCCATGTTGTGAAAAAGGACATCTCATTCTTTCTCAGGGCTGAATAATATTTCATTGTGCACATGCACCACAATTTCTTCATCCATTAACCTATCGACTGACTTAGGTTGTTTTCATATCTTGGCTATTGTGAATAATTTTGAAATAAAGATAGGAGTATAGATACCTTTAGGACGTGATAATTTTATTTCCTTTGACTATATGTTTACGAGAGGGATTGCCAGGTCATATGATAATTCTAGTTTCTGTAGAAACCTTTATACTGTTTCTATGATGACTGTATCAATTTACATTCCCATCAACAGTGTACAAGACTTCCCTTTTCTCCACACACTTCTCAACATTTATCTTTTGACTTTTTGATAATAGCCATTCTAATGGGTGTGAAATGATATCGTTAGTGGAACTGATTTGTATATGCCCAATAATTAATAATGTTGAGCATCTTTTTGTATATCTAAAGTTCCTCTCTTAATGCAGATAAATTTGTTTTTGTAAAGAAAGGTATGTATGCATTTTGCGCTGGTGTCATGAATTGAATTTGAGTCAATCTATATTAACATTTCCTGTATTTGTGGAAATTAGACTTATTTATAAAACAACACACACTAAACAAAATTTGTTGATGAACTGATATTATTCTTTAAGCTTCTTGCTTTATTAATGCAGATTATCCAGGCAAATTCTTATCACTGTGAGAATGACTTAGTTTCAGGAAAATTTTTATTTATACTTAGGCTTTTCTAGCATATATATTGCTATATTTGTTATTTAAAAATATGTATAGATTATACAGTGTAGGTATAATAAATTTTATTAATGAAACAAATAATTTTTTATTGATGTTCAAAATAAATATCAAGGGTCATATGTAAATGTTAAACATACCAAAGACAGAAAAGTAACTTTATCTTCTGGAGATATTTTATAAAACTTCAGAAATGGATTTTGGATTCCTTCAATTGTCTCAACGTGTGTGTATATATATCTATATATATGGTAGTGTTTACATTATGACTTAATTTACATTATGACATATGTATCTGAGACAATTGAAGATGATATATACACACACACACACACACACACACATACACACTCAGAACAAAACAGGTACAAGTTTGAGGGACAGGACTTTATAGACACTGTTTTTTTCATACATAAAACAGGGACTTTAAAATACTTAATTAAATAAGACTTTTCTTTGACTATTATGCTTTAGTCATCTTCAGTTTTACCCACGTGGTTTTATGTAATTAGACCCTGGTGTGAAGGAGAGCTGATTTATATTCACCTATGTGAGTAGTTGTATCTACATAAAAACAAAATAACTATAAAATATCTGGCAACCATCTGAGTAGTTTTGCAAACAAGGTCACCTATACATAGATATAAATTCAGGTATAAATAATACTTTCATTAGAATCAATATAAACTCTAGCAGTGACACTATCTGCAAATTTGGTTTGATTTTTCACAAATCTGTTGCTGTTAGAATTTTAAAAATTTAATTCAATGGCATTTATCAAAGGACAATGGTGGTTTTTCTAAGCCTGACCCATTATAAAAGCACAGTTGAAACCAGAATAACAAAGAAAGGAAAAGGACCTTCATCATATACTTATCACAAAATAAAATATGAAAAACTATACTTCCTGATGTTTCTTCTAGAATATCTGATCTGTGGCTTTTAATGTACAGCAGGAAAATTCAGGCTAGTGTTAGAGAAGAGCAAAAATCAGCAGATGATGACAAGACTGAATGATTCAGTTAATATGTTTTTGTAAATAACAATATGAAAACGGAAAAGCATAGACACCTCTATTGGGAGTGTAGTGCATAAGATGAGGGCTTATGTAACTCTTTTGTAAACACTTAGAAGACTTTATGGATAGTGCATGCATAGAGGGTCCTACAATCCACTTGCAATGTCAAATAAATGCACAGATATTAGAAAATTTAGCTTCTCTTTTTAATCCAAATAACATTTTGTAATGTGCTAACAGTCTTCTCTACTCTGTTACCGATAAACTTCCCTCTTTTATGAAAACAAACTGAAATACATTTTAATATGCATATAGTTTAATTATAAACTTTTATGAAGTCACTAATAATAGTACACACTAAATAATAGTAGATACCATTTAGAAAATTATAAATATAATCTTGAAAATATATTTATGACAATGCCTGTTTCTTACACCTATTTGCCCCTTAATTTAAATGTTATGAAGAGCTAACACATTTGCATATAGACAAAAGCACAAAGATAACAAATGTTTTCAGAAGACTAAATTATTTTCACTTAAGTTTTTAAAATATTACCCATTGATTACCTCTGTATATTATTAGCTCAAATGTCTGTAGTTAAATATGTATATTAGCACAGAACAAATATACTATCATTCAAATACTTATAAGATAAGTGCATATAAATTTGATTTCTAAAAACAGTACAACTCTGTTGATATTAAAAGTTTACTATGGAATTATGTCAAACATTCTTAATCTGGTAAGATATCCATGAGTCCATACTAATAACAATAAATGACTAAATACATTTTAAAATGAAGAAGAGATAACTCTTCTATACAAAAAATTCCAAATAATTTATGTAGATATTCCATCCTACATGAGGGAGAGCATAATTCCCACCCCTTAAATTTGCCATGCACATAGTGACTTCCTTTCAAACAGTACTAGATGGAACACAACAACAAAGAACACCTTTACAGTACAGCAGGAAAACTGGCAAACAGCACTTCAGACAAGTGATCAACGTTAGCATCAAAACTCAAAAATCATGGAGATCCTCAGGCCTGCAATCCCAGCACTTTGGGAGGCCGAAGCGGGAGGATCACGAGGTCAGGAGATCGAGACCATCCTGGCTTACATGGTGAAACCCCGTCTCTACTAAAAATGCAAAAAATTAGCCAGGTGTTGTGGCGGGAGCCTGTAGTCCCAGCTACTCGGGAGTCTGAGGCAGGAGAATGGCTTGAACCCGGGAGGCGGAGCTTGCAGAGAACGGAGATCGCGCCACTGCGCTCCAGCCTGGGCGACAGAGGGAGACTCCCTCTCAAAAAAAATAAATAAAATAAAAAATAATGGAGATCGTCTATATCTTTGGTACGATTTGATAAAAATGTAAAAATGGCACTTTAGTTAGCTGTATTTCAAGATATTTCATTCTTTTTTTAGTGTTGGGCATATTTTATTGTTTCAGCATTCCAATCTATTATGGCCCAAATAGTTGCTTATGAAGAAAGAAAGAAACGTGGCATGTTTATTGAATAAATGAAGAAATAGAGAAACCAAAATGTAGTGTCTCCTGGAACAAAGTGTTTTCCCCTTTATTTGATGCCACTTTACACTTTTGACTCATTGTTACATAAAAAATATCCTGTTCTGGCATTAAATTTCAACTTCACGAGCCTTGCAGCCTACATTATTAATATCATGCTATATTATGATGTGCTATAATACTATAACATAATGCTATAAATGATTATATCACAAAACCATATTATTATATAATTCTAGTGTATGGAAGATAGCTCAATCCCTGAGCCTTGACTCACACTTAAATGTCACAGACACATCATTCTAACTAATCATGCTTCTTAGACTGATCCTATTTTCAGTTTCCTTTAATTCTTTTTTTAATGGTAATACAAATTTTATTTTATTTTTTATCTTCATTTTAATTTTTACTTATATATTTTTCACTTTTATTTTAGGTTCAGGGGTACATGTGCAAGTTTGTTGTATAGGTAAATTGTTTGTGACAGGGGCTTGGTATACAGATTATTGGGTAGCCCAGGTAATAAGCACAATACCCAATGGGAAGTTTTGTTTTAAGTTCTTTCAGAAATCACCAAACTGATTTCCACAGTTACTGAACAAATTTACATTTCCACCAGCAATGTATAATCATTCCCTGTTCTCCACAGCCTTGCCAGCATCTGTTACTTTTTGACTTTTTAATAATAGCCACTCTGACTGGTGTGAGATGGTATCTCAGTGTGGTTTTGATTTGCATTTACCTAATGGTTAGTGATGTTGAGGATTTTTTCATATGCTTGTTGGCTGCATGTGTGTTTTCTTTAGAAAAATGTCCTTTTGTGTCCTTTGCCTCTTTTTCAATGGGGAGGTTTGTTTCTTGCTTGTTAATTTGTTTAAATTCCTTATAGATTCTGGATATTAGACCTTTGTCAAAAACATAGTTTGCAAATATTTTCTCCCATTATGTAGATTGTCTGTTTCTTCTGCTGAGAGTTTCTTCTTCTCTGCAGAAACTCTTTAATTAGGTCTCATTTGTCAATTTTTGTTTTTGTTGCAATTGCTTTTGTCTTCTTCATTATGAAATATTTTCCAGGTTCTGTGTCCAGAGTTGTATTTCTTAGGTAATTTTCCAGGGTTTTTATAGTTTTAAGTTTTACATTTAAGTCTTTAATCCACCTTGAGTTGATTTTTGTATATAATGAAAGGAAGGGGGTTCTGTATCAATCTTCTGCACTTGGCTAGACAGTTATCTCAGTACCATTTAGTAAATAGGAAGTCCTTTCCCCATTGCTTGTTTGTGTCAGGTTTGCTGAATATCAGATGGTTGTATGTGTGCAGCATTATTTCTCGGCTCTGTATTCTGTTCCATTGGTCTATGTGTCTATTTATCTACCAGTACCATACTGTTCTGATTATTGAAACCTTATAGTGTAGTTTGAAGTAAAGTAATGTGACTCCTCCAACTTTCTTTCTTTTGCTTAAATTTGAATTGGCTATTCAGGCTTTTTTTTTTTTACACCTGAAATTCTTTTTTAAATTTCTAGTTCTGTGAAGAATGTAATTGGCAGTTTGATAGGAATAACATTGAATCTGTAAATTGCTTTGAGCAGTATGGTACAATACTTATTATTCCTAACCATAAGCATGGAAAGTCTTTTTATTTGTTGAGTCTTCTCTGATTTCTTTCAGTAGTGTTTTGTAATTATTGTTGTAGAGAACATTTACTTCCATGGTTAGCTGTATTCCTAAGTATTTTATTCTTTTTATGGTTATTGTGAATGAGATTGCATTCCTGACGACTCTGAGCTTGGATGTTGTTGGTGTATAGGAATGCTACTAATTTTTGTACATTGATTTTGTATCCTAAAACATTGCTGAAGTTACCTTTCAGATCAAGGAGCTTTTGGGCAGAGACAGTAAGATTTTCTAAGTATGGAATTATATTATCTGCAAACGGAGATAGTTTCATTCCCTTCTTCCCATTTGGATGCATTTTATTTCCTTCTCTTGCTTGATTCCTCCGGCTAGAATTTCCAGTACTATGTTGGATAGGAGTGATAAGAGAGGACACACTTGTCTTGTTCTGGTTTTTGAGAGGAATTCTTTAAGCATTTGCCCATTCAGTATGATGTTGGCTGTAGGTTTGTTATATATGGTCCTTATTATTTTGAGGTATGTTCCTTTAACATGAAGGTATGTTGAATTTTATTGAAAGCCTTTTTGGCATCTATTGAAATAATCGTGTGGTTTTTGTTTTTAGTTCCCTTTTTGTAATGAATCACATTTATTGATTTGCGTATGTTGAACAAATCTTTCATCCCAGGGATAGAGCCTACTTGTTCATGGTGGATTAGCTTTTTGTTGTGCTGCTGTATTCAGTTTGCAAGTATTTTATTGAATATGTTTGCATCTATGTTTATCAAGGATATTGGCCTGAAGTTTTCTTTTGTTTGTTGTACCTCTGCCACATTAAACTATTAGGATGATGTTGGCCTCATAGAATTAGTTAGTGAGGAGACCTTCCTCTTCAATTTTTTGAAATACTTTCAGTAGGAAAAGTACCAGCTCTTCTTTATACATCTGGTAGAATTCAGCTATGCATCTTGTCTGGGGCTTCATTCTGGTTGGTAGGGGTTTATTCTTGTTGGTAGGCTTTTTATTACTGATTCAATTTTGGAACTCATTATTAAGGATTTAATTCTTCCTAGTCCAATCTTAGTAGGTTGTATATTTCCAGGAATTTTTTTCATTTCTTCTAGGTTTTCTGGCTCGTGTGCACAGAGGTGTTCATAGTTATCCCTGATTTTTTTTTGTATTTACTGGGGGTTAATGGTAATGTCCTCTTTGTCATTTCCGATTATGTTTATATGGATCTTCTCCCTTTTTTTCTTTATTGGTCTATCTAGCAGTCTATCAATCTTATTCATTCTTTCAAACAACCAGCTTCTGGATTATTTGATCTTAATATGGTTTTCTGCATCTCAATTTCCTTCAGTTCAGTGCTAGTTTTGCTTATTTCTTGTTTTCTGCTAGCTATAGGGTTGGTTTGTACTTGTTTCTCTATTTCCTCTGATTGTGATTTTAGGTTGTTAATTTGAATTCTTTCTAACTTTTTGATGTGTGTATTTCGTGCTATAAACTTACCTTTTAACACAGCCTTAGCTGTGTTCCAGAGATTCTGATATGTTGTATCTTTGTTTTCATTGTTTCAAAAACATTATTGATTGTAATTATAATTTTATTATTTACCCAGAAGTCATACAGGAGCAGGTTATGTAATTTCTTCTTTTTTAGCTTGCATAATTTTATTTTGTAGACAATTTGCATAGTAAATTGTCCCATCAGCAAATTATCCCATCAAATGGAGAGTGAAAATTATATATTATTTATTTGTTGGAATTCCATGGCAACGTTAGATTTCTTATTATTTTGAAATTGAGCAGTATTATCAAACTTGTTTTTTAAAAAGAAGGCCGGGCACAGTGGCTCACGCCTGTAATCCCAGCACTTTGGGAGGCCGAGGCAGGCAGATCACGAGATCAAGAGATTGAGATCATCCTGGCCAAGACGGTGAAACCCCGTCTCTACTAAAAATATACAAAAATCAGCCAGGCATGGTGGTGCACACCTGTAGTCCCAGCTACTCAGGAGGCTGAGGCAGGAGAATCCCTTGAACCTGGGAGGCGGAGGCTGCAGTGAGCCGAGATTATACCACTGCCCTCCAGCCTGGGCAACAGAGCAAGACTCTGTCTCAAAAAAAAAAAAAAAGAAAGAAAGAAAAAGAAATGCAGCTTTGTTTTACTCTTCAATATCAGCCACCTCAGTCTCCAAAGAGTAATTTAAGTATACTGATAAAGAGCAGGAGTTCCAGAGCCAGATTTCCTAGATTTGATTTCTGCAACTGTCACTTACTAGCTTTGTGACCGTGGAAAAATGACTTAACTCCTCTGTGTCTCAGTTTCTTCATCTGTAAAATAGGTATAATAATAATGATCTCATAAGTTATTGTGAAAAGTAAATGAATAATCTAAAAAACTAATAGCACAAAGTGCTTGGGAAATATTAACCACCATCATTACCTTCTTCATGATTAATGGCTTGTATATTATTAGCAATTTATACAGTTATTTTGTTGTCAATCGAGATGTATAAATTATTTTCTCAAAGTGGTATTTTTCTAAAAGCAGTGCATTTAATCTTTTTGATTAGTATAATATGCTGTCTACTGTATTTTTATTATAGTCATTTAGCTTCTCTTAGCTTTCAGGAACATTTTATTACATCTCTACTATGTCAGTTAAGGCAGCCTGAGAGGCATTGTTAAGAGTTTTCTTTTACTTTTTAAAAAATGTTGCTTAATGTAGCTTTAGGGAATTACACTTTTTCTATTTTTTTTTTCTGACATAAGTATACTCTAACACTGAAAGTTTGTCCTTAACTCTCAACTGCATGTTACATAATAATGTCTATGCAATTCTATGGTTTTGCATGATTCTCTAAGCACTTATTTTTATTTTTATTGTGTTGTGGTCTGAGAGTATGGTTGGTATAATCTCATGCTTTATTTTTTTATATATATTTTGCACAGGATTGTTTTTTGCTTAATTGTGTAGTCAATTTTAGAGTATGTGCCATGTGCAGATGAGAATAATATACATTCTGTTGTTTTGAGGTGGAGAGTTCTATAGATGTCTATTAAGTATATTTGGTCACATGTTGAATTCAGGTCCCGTATACATTTGTTAGTTTTCTGCCTCAATAATCTGTCTAATACTGTCAGTGAGATGTTAAAGTCTCACACTATCTTTGTGTGGTTATCTAAATCTCTTAGTAGGTCTCTAAGAACTTGCTTTATGAATCTGGTTGCTCCTGTGTTTGGTTTGTATACATTTAGGATTAGTTAGGTCTTCTTGTTGATGTGACCCTTTACCATAATGAAATGCCCTTCTTTGTCTTTTTTCATCTTTCTTGTTTTAAAATCTGTTTTGTCTGAAACTATAACTGCAATCTTTTTCTATCTTCTTTTTTCTATATTCTTGCTAGATTTTTCTCCATCCTTTTACTTTGATCCTATGGGCATCACTGCATGTGAGATGTCTCCCTTGAAGACAGCATACCATTAGGTCTTGCTTCTTCATGCAGCTTGCTGCTCTGTGCCTTTTAATTGGGGCATTTAGCTTATTTACATTCAAAGTTAGTATTGATATGTGAAGATTTGATCCTGTCATAATGTTGCTAGCAGGTTATTATGCAGACTTCTTTGTGTGGCTGCTTTACAGTGTCAAAGATCCATGCATTTAAGTATGTTTTTGTAATGGCCACTAAGAGTCTTTCCTTTCCATATTTAGCACTCCCTTCAGGACCTCTTCTAAGGCAAGTCTGGTGGTAAAAAAAAAAAAAAATCCCTCAGCATTTGGTTGTTCATAAAGCCTCTTATTTCTCCTTCACTTATGAATTTCAGCTTGCTTGGACATGAAATTCATAGATGGAAATTATTTTCCTTCAGAATGGTGAATATAAGCCCCAATCTCTTCTGGCCTATAAGATTTCTGCTGAAAGATCTGCTGTTAGGCTGATGGGATTGCCTTTGTAGGTAACTTGCCCCTTCTATCTAGCTGCTTTTAACGTGTTTCTTTATTTGACCTTGGAGAATCTGATTACTATATGTCTTGTTGATGATTTTTTTTGTGCAGCATTTTGCAAGGGTCCTCTGTATTTCCTAAATGTGAATGTTGACCTCCCTAGGGAGGTTGGGGAAATTTTCATAGATGATATACTGAAATATGTTTTTCAGGTTGCTTGGTTTCTGTCCTTCTCTTTCAGGGACATCATTGAGTCATAGATTTGGTCTCTTTACATAATTCCATATTTCTTGGAGGTTTTGTTTTTCCTTCTTTATTTTTTTTTCTTTATTTTGTCTTTATTGAGTCATTTTGAATAGCCAGTGTTCAAGCTCTGAAATTCTTTCAGCTTGGTCGATTGTGCTTATAATACTTTTGATTGTATTCTGAAATTATTGAAGTCAGTTTTTCAGCTCTATGAGATGTTTGTTTTTTCTTAAAGTAGCCATTTTGTCCTTCATATCCTGTAGTGTTTTATTGTATTCCTTAAAATCTTTGAATTAGGTTTCAACTTTCTACTGAATCTCAATGATCTTCATTCCTATCCATATTCTGTATTTTATTTCTGTTATTTCAGCCATTTCAGTCTTACTAAGAACCATTACTGGGGAGCTAGTATAGTCTTTGGGAGGTTAGGAGACACGCTGGATTTTCAAGTTGCCAGAGTTCTTGTGCTGATGCTTTCTCATATTTGTAGGCTGATATCCCTTCAATCTTTGAAGTTGATGTTTAATGGATAAATTTTATTTTTTTGTTGTTGTTTCTTTTATCTTCTTTGATGTCCTTGGGGGTTTGATCACTGAATAAAGTAGGTTTAGTTGGCTGGCTTTGTTTCTGGAAGATTTTAGGGGGTCAAGGCTCAGCTCTGGATTCCTGTGCTGTGTGCTCTAAATCTGGGGGGCTAATATTAGGCCCCCTGATTTGTTCTCTGGCACCTTGATGTTGGGAACCTGCTATTCTACAGAGGTCAAGGTGTTCTCTGTTGGTCACAACACTCTGATGGGTGGGGCTAGCCAAAGTGCTTTGTCTGGTAGTGGCAACAAAATCAGTGCTCATTTACATTTGCCAGTAGCAGTAGCAGTGCAGTCTGGTGCACACTTGTCAGCTGACGGGGGTTGCTGGCAGGCATAGGGTGCCAGCCCTCTTGTGGGTGTTTACAGTGGCAGCAATGGTGGCATGGCACGAAGGGTGAAGAGATGGGGCCAATAGTGTCTGTGTGGAAGCAGGAAACCAGTGGGCATGGGACTGGTGGTCTCCGTGCATGTGATCACATGGGTAGCAATGGTGGCACAGGGCAGGGGGGGCAGAGCTATTGGTCTCCTGGTGCACTTTCACATTGACAATGGCATCACAGTGGGGAGCACTGATGCCAGCAGCATTGGCACAGTGAGGAGGCACATGCACACATGCACCAGCAAGGACATGGAGGCAAGGTCTACCTATGTGCATGTGTGCTGGTCAAGCAATGTGGGGGGTGGCCATGGGTGATTGCATGCTTGCAAAGCAGCACATAGGAGGCTGTGGTGTGGGGAAGGTGCTGGTGAGCTGGTGTACATTGGCAAGTGCCATTTTGCTGGGGCTTTCTGATGGTGAGGTGTAGTCTTCCACTGCAGGAGCTATGATGCAGGCCCCCAGGAAGCCCCCTTGCTGGGCACCCAAGGCTACACTGAAAGCAAGTTTGACCTGGCTGGGGCCCCATGAGAGGCCAGCAGACAAAGGGATGCTCAGGTCAGACCAGATCTCTCATGGAAAAGACAGCCCTTGCTCTGTTCAGCTTTGACAATTCTCCTAAGGCTAAAATCTCCTAGGGAATTATGGCAAACCTTGGGGTGGATATCCCAGGCTGTGTTCCACTACAGGCCCTCTTGCACCAAACCCTCTAGGCTTTGCACTGCCTGGAGTTCTGCCTCTATCACCTGTCTAAGCAGCTCTCCAGTGTGCTAGTTTCTGTACTTGTTTATCAAAACCACATGTATCTTTCTCTCTGGCATTTAGAAATTTCTGGCTTTTCCCCTTCAGTGAAACTTGATGAGTTTCCTCACAGTTGTCTGTTCCTTGTTTGGAAAATAATTATGTACAGAATATAAAGAATGTTTCAAATCAGTAACAAAAATGTAGAAAATCAATAGAAAATTTGGCAAAAAGAACCCTGAAGAGATATTTTACAAACAAGAATATCCAACTTTATTAGTCTTTATGAAAGTGTAATTTAAATTTGCTTGTGATGTCAGTATATGGCTACTAAAGCCTCTAGTAAATAGATAAAAAGAAATTAACATCAACTGTGAAAGAAAATGTTGAACAACTGTAATTCCACATTGAAGAAAAGAGTGAAAAATAGTACAGTAACTCAAGAAAAATGTTTAGCAATATTAACCCAACAAAACTGTGTGTATATATTATTTAAACCCCATACACAAAAATCTTAATTGCACCACTATTCAGAAACCAAATATTTAAATTGACTCAAACATCTATCGGAAGCTGTATGGAAAATTAATTTATGGTAAATTAATGAAATGTGATAGTATACAGAATTGAGAATTTGAAAATCAAAATTATCAACAATACCATTAATAAAGCTCACAGTCATGTTGAAGAAATGATACCAGATATTAAAGTATACTGGCTTTATGACAGCATTATATATAATTAAAAATAGGCAAGGGTAATATATCATTTTAGACTTCAGAGAGTGATTGTCCTTACTCAAGTGGTGACTACATGGATGTAGGAGAGGGTTGAGAAATGCTGGCAATTTCCTTTTCATGATCTATGTGCTGATTACATGGATTTGTTCACTCTTTGAAAACACATTACCTCAAACAGTTACAATATGCAATTTTTAGTATGTATACTATACTTCAATGAAATAAAAAATAATAGCTTAATGTATTATCTTTAGTTTTTTTTTTTACTTTCTCAACCAAAAATGATTATTGACTATTTCCTATTGCCTATAAAAAGAATAATTATTCAGTTAATATTCCTAGATTTTATTATTAGGTTAAAAGTAGTATTTTGTTTAAAAAATACAATATTTTTTAAAATGTATAGTTGCTCTTTTTCTCATAGTACCAATAATTTATGTATACTAACAGAATATCATTTTTTAAATATATTACATTAAAGGAGCCATTTTACATATTATTTGAAGTCACTAATGATGACAATAGCAATTAATTTGTAAGACTCTTCTATTTCATCTTGGAGATTACCCAAAGTATGATTTCATAAAAAAGCTATCATTAGAAAATCAGATTTAAATTTCCAACAAGAAGAATGGAAAGTTTTACATTCAACATTTTTTTCACTAATAATTGCCACAAAAGTGGAACTGTCATGTTCAATTTTCTTTTCTGTTATCTCTTTAATAAGACGAATGTAGAAGAAAACATCTTCCACACTATTAAAAGTATAATTGGACTGGATTGATCCTTGAGTTTGATTTGCTAATTGTCCCAGATTCTTTCTTATTGTAATATCTTTTTCCCCTGAAAGAAATATAGGAGAGTGCTGAATGAAAATTGCCTATCACAGGCTATCAAACTTTAGTGCTGCAATTGATTACAATAATTTTCCAGAAATAGAGAATTTTGTTTAGGTAGGTTGAAGATTACAAAACAATAATTTAGCCAGAGACTGTCAACATATCAGTGAATGAGTCTTTATATGTGATATGTGATTGTCTGTGAATTAATTAAATTGTTTTGACCATTTTAAACTTCCATATATAGTTACAAACATATTTTATGTGTGTACCTGTATTTTAGGTACATAGATCATCAAACAAAAGTTGCTGTCAACAGGACAATTTTGTGATTAAGACAAGGTTTACTCACTGTGTATCTACTTTTAATTATTCATATTCAGACATTTATCATAAACATTAAGTGTTTAAAGTGTTTAGTGTATGTTAGATACTTCTATAACTACTGAATATGTATGGCAGGTAAGATTAACCAAAAAGAGTCCTTACAGAACTCTTACTCCAGTATCCTAGATGTATAATGCTCAAGTAAACTATTATGCATTCATTTTAATGTGACATATTTTTTTTTCTGGAAAATATATAGATAAACCCATAGAGCAGCTAAAGATATATGCTATTTTTCTACATCCAATACAGGATGAGATTGCCCTTGTTATGTAGTATAGTGAATTCAGAGCTTTCCTCAGCAGTTGTGCCA
Source organism: Homo sapiens (assembly GCF_000001405.40). NCBI lineage: Eukaryota > Metazoa > Chordata > Mammalia > Primates > Hominidae > Homo > Homo sapiens. Next base: position 160,683,317 of record NC_000004.12, on the reverse strand, counting down.
GGACCCCGATGGCTGTCTGTAGTATTTACAAGGACCATTCTTTTCTGGCTTTCTTGGGACCGAGTGACTTCCTGCTTTCAATGGACCATTATTAAAAGCTATTCATTATACAGAACATAGTGTCTGCATTAAAAGACACAGAACATTAAAACAATAAAACTTTTTTCTTTAGGAACTGAGGAATTACTTCAACAGATTTAGTATTTATCAGCCTGCATTTGTAATTTACCTTTTATGATTCTGTCAATTTTATCACTGTAATTAATCATAGCTGTCATGAATGTTCACTCTGGTCAGAATGTTATGGCAAGAAATGTATTTAACCTTTCACAATAAACAATTATATCATAGATAAAGTAATATAATAATATTTGAAAGTAAGATATGATAACTTAAAAATAAAAATTATATACTGCATAGCAATGAATAAAAAGAAAAAAGCATAGTTAAGAATCCAATATTAGAGATGAAACAGTTTTGAAAATTACCACAATAATAAAAATGAAGAAAAAATTTTAAAAATGTTTACAGCATATACAAAGTATAGAGTAAGATGTTAGATTAAATGAAACTATATTGAATTTTACATTAAATATAAATCACATAAATCCAAGCAAAAGAAATAATTTGCCAGAGTGAAAAAAATCCACTTTTAAATATTTTTAAGAAACCTATTTAAAATATAAAGATATACATTGATTAAAAATAAAACAAAGAAAAACATTTATTATAGTACAGCCAAACCCAAGAAATCTGAAATGGTTATAGTGATATCAGATAACATGGACTTGAGAAAAAAAATTATTAGAGAAAAATGATGTATAATGATGAAGGTATCATTTTATTAAAAAGCAATAGCAATCCTAAATGTGTTTCATGAAATTACAGATGTCAAAATATATAAAGCAATATTAACATGTGGAAAAATAGACCAACTGGCAATTATAGTTTAGTATTTCAATACTCTTCTCAATAACTAATAGAACAAAGAGAAAATCATTAAGCCTATAGAATATTTGAACAGTTCTTTCAATTGACCTTAACCAATAGATGTCTTATTATATTAAACCCAAAACTATAGTATACATATGCTTTATATTGTACATGGTATATCCACTCTTATAGATTACATATTGTGCCATAATACAAGACTCAAGAAATTAAAATATACAGATCATGCTGATCACAACTGATTTAAATTAAATTATCAGTAACATAAATTTACCTAGAAAATTATCATATATTTAAATATATGATACAGAATACATCACCCATGAAAAAAGGAGAATCTGTGATAAATTAGAATATATATTGGACTGATTAAAAATATAAACACAACATATCAAAATTTGTGGGATATAGCTAGTGAGGTGTTTAAAGGAAGATTTTTAGTTTAAGTTCTTATGTTAAAAAAAGGGGACTGTATCTGTCAATAATCAAACCATCTGCCTTAGAAAGTAGATTAAAAAATTATTCCCAAGGCTTTTTGAGGAAAGGAATAATTAAAAATATTAATAATTGATATAGAAAATAGAAAAGGAAAAATATTAATATTCCCAAAGGCTATTTTTTGAAACAAAAATTAATAAAAATTCATAGGCCATTAGCTAATCTGGTAAGATAAAAAGAGAGAAGACACAAATAAGCAGTATCAATAATGAGAGGAAAGACCTCACAACAAGCCTATAGACTATAAAAGAATCATAAGAGAGGCTTATGAGGAATTTTATTCTAGTAAACTTGATAAGGGAGTTGGAAAGATTCCTTGAAAGATGCAAATAGACAAAATTAACTTAAAAAGAAACTCAAACTTGTATTAGTAATTAAAAAGCTTCTCACAAAGAACATTTAAGTCAGATAATACAATAGTGACTTCTATGAAAAAATCTGAGAAAGAAGGAATATCAATCACACAAAAACTCTTTCTGAAAAGTAAAGGCAGAAGATGTATTGTCTCGCTTATTTTATAAGGTTCACACTACCATTATAAACCAAAATCATACCAAGTAAGGAAAACCACTAAAACAGATGCAAAAATCACAAACAAAATATTACCCAATAGAATCCAATAATAAATAAAAAGGATAATAAATCAAGGTTGGCTTAATGTTTGAAAATTCAATATAATCCACAAATATAAAGTTCCACCTAATTAAATAAAAATATAATTTTAAAACTCTCAGTAAATTAGGAATAGTAAGGAACTTTCTCAAACAGGTAAAGATCATCAATAAAAATCTCATAGCTAATGTTATACCCATGAGGAAATACAAAGTTATTTCCTTCTGAGGTCAAAAATAAGGCATGGGTATCTGCTCCCAGACCTTATACTCAACACTATATTAGAGATACTAGCTATTTCAATTAAGCAAGAAAAAGAAAGTAAGGACATACAGATTTCACAGATTGAAAGAAATAAAGAAACTGTCTTTATTTGTAGATGATATGATTGTATACTTAGTGAATCTTAAAGAATCTCCAAAAAAGTTACTAGTATCAAGTTTGCAAGATTTAGTGTCAATATGAAAAATTCGTTTTTTCTTTATACTAACAATTATCAAGGGAAATTAAAATTTTAATATAGCATTTATTTTTTTCTTACTCTGTTTTATGGGGCTGATAATATATCATTTAAAATAGCATGAACATAAAATACTTAGAGATACATTTAACACAGTATATGCAACATCTTTACACTGAAAATTCAAAACATTAATGAGAGGAATTATAGAAGTCCTAAATAATTGGACAGATGCATTATTTTCATAGGTTGGATGGCCAACACACTTCTGATATCACAATACTAATATTTATTATGAAAAAAGGTTATATCTTAAACAAAATTATGGCAAACTGATTCCAAAACTATAAAAAAGCAAATACACAATGACTATGTTAGGTTAATCTCAGTAGGACAAGGATGTTTTATTATGTAAAGAATTTAGAATGAAATTCACACAACAAGAGATCAGGTAGAAAACTTGTATGATAATTTCAATAAACAAAAATATATATGACAAAATGCAATATAAATTCATAATTGCAGAACAACTATCTCAGTGATATTGGAGTCATAAATGTTGGTTAAGAGGAAATTCAGTTGTCATTATTCTCAAAAAATCAATAGTATACATTTTAAAACTAAACAAAACTATTAGAATAAGAAAATGTGTAACATTTCTTAATATGTGATTTATATACAGACGTAAGTTGCAATTCTATATTTTTGAAACAAACTAAGAGTAAACTATGAGAATAACCCCAAAGAATATATATATTTTGAAAAAATACAAGAAATGTTTAATATTTTTATGTGACAAACTATGCAAATTTTCATAGAAAATATAAAAATCTAAGGAAATAGGAAAAGATTCATGTTTATGAATAGAAAAAACAAATATTGTAAAGCTACTGATTTTTCGCAATTATTTCCATTTAATTGATTTAATGCAATTCAAGTAAAAAATGCTAATACTTTTTTTGTAGTATTTGATAAAATATTTCAAAGATTTATGTGAGAGGTAAATTAGACAAGAAACCAAGACATTTCTGAATAGCAAGGAAAGAATGCTTGCACTACAGGATATCAAGACTTATAAAACCACAGTAATTAATATAGTATTAATTATAATATAATATATTAATGGAACATAGTTGAATAATTTTACTTACAGACTAGAATTCAAAGACAGTCATTTGCAGCTCTTTGTAGCATGGCAGAATTAGCTTGGAAGTTCAGTTAAAAATTATTTTTAATACATAGAGCAAAAAAAATTCTTATGAAATAAATGCACTTGGATTCCCTTCTTACATCATTAACAAAGTTAAATCTATATAAACCAAGAATTTAAATGTAAAAGTAGTATTTTAAGAAATTTTGTAAAATTTAATTGATGTATTTCTGAGCTTGTGGTAATGAAGCATTTCCTAAATAAAAAAAAAATTTCATTTATAAAACAAAAAAAAATGACAACTGGGATGACATTGAAATGAGAAAGCTCTAAATCAAAAGCATTTCATAGAAATTGAAAATACCAGTTTCACAGTAGAGGAATATATTTGCAACACATATAACCAATAAAGAAATATAAAAAAAACTCCTACAGATCAGTATGAAAATAAAAACCTCAATCATATTTATGATCAGATAAATGGAAATTGAAACCAGAACAAGATTTAATTTCACATATTTTTCAAGACAAAAATCAAGTATGAGACCGTCACGTGCTTGAAAGAATGTGATTAATCACAAACTCATTTACTGTAGACTGCAGATATTGTACCAGTTTGTACAGCCATTTTTAAATATAATTTTACATTAGCTTGGAAATTTTAGATTTTATACTTGTTACTATCCATGATTTTCACTGTTTAGTACATATAAAAGAAAAACAAATATAAATGTATTCTAAGATAATAAGCACGTTAATAGCAGCATTCTTCAGAATAGCAGAAATATGCCTATCAACAGGGGAATGGCTAAACCAAGTGTGAGACATTAAAACAATGAAAAATTAAATATTAACCACAGCTATCTATGGTGATGTTGATGAATCATATGAATATAATATTTGGTTTAAAAATCACAAAAGACTACATAAAATGTGTTACTATTTCCACAAAATTAAAATATCTAATATGAAACCAAGACACCTCATAGTAATACTTAGAAATGTAACCAAACTAAAATTTTTAAGAGAAACAATGACAACAACAGATTTAAGATCATGGTTATCCTGGGTGCTTGAAGGTAGGAAAATAGAGTTGGGTTGTATCATATTGGAGTAAATGAATTATTGTCAATATTTTATTTGTCATATTGGGTGAGTGTTATATTGATAATTATATTTTTAAAAACAAACAAATATAAACATACTTATATTCAAGCAAGTGAGCAATGCATTGATCAATGGTAAAATAATGTCAGGAATTAGATGATGAATAGCCCAATTCTATGCCTCAGAAAACTAGAAATTAGAAGTTAACAAAACACACACACACACACACACACACACACACACACACAGGCAAATTTTTTGGAATAACTTCAAAGCCTTTCTTTATATTGTCACAACTTTCCTATGCAACTTTATTTTTTGCCAGTCTGTGTCTAATATTGCATGTTGTACCTGCAGCAAGTCACTTACATTTTTTTCTAACGTGTAATACTTTCTCTTCATGTCCTTTGTCTTCTGTGACTATATATTGTAGCTTTTTCCTAGCTCATTTGGTTCATCCTTTATTTGATTTATTTACGTGAGATGAGGTCTTGCTCTGTCGCCCAGGCTGGAATGCAGTGATGCGATCACAGCTTACTGTGGCCTTAGATTCTCCCAGGCTCAAGCAATCCTCTCACCTCAGCTTCCCAAGTAGCTGAGACCACAGGCACGTGCCACCACATCCAGCTAATTTTTGTATTTATTGTTGAGATGAGGGCTCACTATGTTGCTCAGGCTGGCCTCAATCTCCTGGCCTTGAGCAATCCTCTGGCCTCGGCCTTCCAAAGCACTGGGATTACAGGCGTGAGCCACCATGGGCAGCTTTTCATCCTTTTATAGTCTAGTTCAGCTTCTATTTTTTAAAAGACGTCTCTGGTTCTTTACTTGCTCAGAAAACATATCTAATTCTGTGCTTTCATAATACACTTGGCTGTTAGATTTGGAAGTAGCGCTTCTTCCACTAGACCATAAGCAATTTAAAATCTGGAAATGCATATTTTTAGTCTGCAAATTCCCAAATAAGTACTACACCAAGAATGTAAGCAGACATTCAATAAATATCAAATTAAATCAAGGGTATCACTATGAACTCACTAATTGAAAACTGTTGGACTATATCCTTTCTAACTACTGCTCATTATAAAGGCTACCATCTCAGATGAACTCTAAGCTGTTCAACAATTTAGTAGACTAGAGCTCTAGGAATTTTATGCCACGGGCATAACTCACAACCACTGTTAAAGGTAGATACAGAAAAAAAAATTATCCCCCTCTTTCCCTTCCTTCCTCCTTCCCTCACTTCCAAATACTAACTCAAAAATCTCCCAGAAAATCTAGTTTTGGGCAGGCCCTTTTTTCTTCTCTCCTCTAAATTTTCTCCTTCATGGAAATGGACAAGAACTTCTTTCTCAGTCCTTCCCGGGACACCGCTGTTCTCTTCAACTCCTCATCTTCCTTCACTGCACTAAGCCTCCTTCTTATGTGCTGTGTCATCCCCCTGAGGAATTAAATCTATTTGAAATATGTTTTCTGTGGAAGAATCAACTTGATTTTTCAAAAATAAGAAAAGCACTGCCACGGACTTGTCATTTACCTGAATTTTGTTAGAAACAGAACATAGGACCTAACCAAGGAGCAAGAGTTTTTATTGAAACTGGAGGAATATGAAAGAACATCTGTGAACACTTAGTTGTTCGTAAGTTCTGTAATTTCTTTTCTTTGTTTTTTTTTTTTTTTGAGATGGAGTCTCATTCTGTCATCCAGACTGGAGTGCAATGGCGTGATCTCAGCTCACTCCAACCTCCATCTCCTGGGTTCAAGCAATTCTCCTGCCTCAGCCTCCTGAGTAGCTGGGATTACAGGCACACACCACCACGCCTGGCTAATTTGTGTGTGTGTGTTTGTGTGTGTGTGTTGGTGTGTGTGTGTTTTTAGTAGAGACGGAGTTTCACCATATTGGTCAGGCTGATCTCAAACTCCTGACCTCGTGATCCACCTGCCTTGGCCTCCCAAAGTGCTAGGATTATAGGTGTGAGCCACCACACCTGGTCAAGTTTCGTAATTTCTATACAGGTCTTAATGTTGCTAATTTAGTACCAATATCTATTCTCTCCTCTATCTCAATGATAGACCCTTCACATTTATCCTTACTCAGGACCAGAGTAGAGCCCTATATTTTCAGTCTTTCTTGTGGACATGTAGGTGTATGGCAAAATTCTGGTCAATGGAATCAACAGAGATATCATGAAGAAAATTACTGAAAACTTCCTTAAAAGAATGCTGATGCATGCCCCTTGACCAAGTTTTTTCTTCCTCCATTATATATTTATTCTCTTCATATTGCAACTTGATGGCCGATATTGGAAAAAATACATTCTCTTTATAGACCGTCTCACATAAACCACTCCCTCTTGCCAACTATCTGAGGCTAAGATGCACACATAGTGCAACGTTACTTCTAAATAATTAAGCAAAATTTCCAAAGAAGGACATTTGTGTACGCAAATGCATTCACCATTAGCACACTGAAGAACATCGACTTTTATTTAACAGCACACAATATATGGTAAATCAACAAAGTTCACCGATTTTCCCCTATTTTTACCTGATTTCTTATTCAGAAACCAATAAATATTCACATAAGTCATCACATAAGTGATGACTGTTTAATTTCTAAATATCTGAAACCCCCCTGCCCCATCCCAATTTCTCTTTATTGTTCTTGGCACAAAAATTTTGAAGGATCCAGGCCATTCCAGAACATTCTGCATTGTGGACTCATCTTGCTATTCCTCAAGGCTTGATTTAGGTCCAACATTGCTGACAAAACACCATAGAGTGGATATTCCGTACTTCCTATTGCGTCACATCTAAAACTATGTAATGTCAAGATGTTCTGCTATTGGTGATTAGGTGGTGCCAAGCTTGATCTCTTTTTGGTTAAGATGCCAAGTGACAGCTATCTCCTAGGAAAAAGCATATACTTCCCTTTGTAATTACTAAGTAATCTGTGAGGTGACATTTTGAAACTGTATATATATCCTGTCCCCCAGCAATCTTTCACTCCATGGTTTTAACATCTATTGGTGATCTCTGTCTGAGTAAACTACATTGGGAGTTTCTCATTTTATCATTCCTCATCTATTAATTAATGGATATTCTTCAGTAAAGAAGTACTTTTCTTTCCGCCTTCATCTTTTATTGAGTATAACTATAGACTAACAGATTTTGAAAGTTCAAGTTATTATTGAATATACCATAAATATTATTATTATTAATCTTATTTTGAGGCTTATGGTATCCAAACTTAGACCAGTAGAAACCATTACAAATTGGCTGCTTTTCTTGTGGACATGACCCTATTACTTGTTGAGCACTATATATGTATATATATAAATATATTATATATATTTCATATTGAATTTCATATCGATGCTCCAGTTTCAGCTATCTTACCAAATTTTTCTTTATTTCCTTGCTTTTTCAGTAAAAATTTTGGTTTCCAACCTTATCAATATATCTTTATTAATTTGAGGTTTCATTCAGTACTGATGAAGTGATTTCAGAATTACAAAATGAATACCATACCAACAAGAATACTAAATAAAGTTCAAGATTGTCTTGCAGTTCTCTTTGTCCTTAAAATATGTTCCATTAAAGGTATACAATTAAAATACAGTGTTGAAAATTACATGAATTATTTTCCACATATTTATGTAAATTTGGCACAAAATGGGTATAAAGTTAGGATTATTTATTTATATTTAAGTTCAGAATTTGCTTTGGGGGGGCAATTCTTTGGCTTCTTTTAAAATTATCATAATATTAGTTACCTGTAAGTGTTCTTATTGTGTCACTAATTATTAATCTATTTTAAATAAATCAAATAACCTGTTAAAGACCTGAATTCTCCTTAATCTTGAATATTTTTACTATATTTTATTTAAATCTCTTCAGGTATATTTCTATGATTCTGTCTCTGTAATTAGTCCCCTGTGGTTATTCTTCATCAGCAGGTATTTTTTTTAGTGTTTCATTGATTGATTGAGTAATTGTTTCACTTCTTTCCTATAACTCCATTAAATCCCAATATGCATTTTAATGTGAAATGCGGAAATACTGTCTTTCAAGAAATTTCAGTCCCAACCTCAAATTCAATATAATATTTTTAATTATATGTTTATCTGTGTACACATATATAGTACACATATATGTATATACATATATGTGTATATATACACACACTCATATATATTTACACACACTTCCATTACTATCTGCTCAACTCTAATTTGAGCTAAATATTTTACTTTCGAAGGTGTTTATGGCTTCTGTGTGTTTGCTCTTGTCAAATTTCTAGTGTAGTCAAAGTGAAAGTTATTTTACCGATTTTAAGAGCTACAAACTGCAAACATTTTAAGCTTTTTCAAATAGTATCCATTTGCTTTTTGCTGCAACTAACTTAATACCTGGCGTGTCATCACACTCCTAATCCATTGTTGACAACAAAATACCAATATTCTCTCTCAAAGCCTCAAATGTTCTATTGAAAAAAAATAATGATTTTCTTTATTTTATAAATCATAGAATTGTGAAAAACGGATGTCTTTTATGTCAATAGAAAACTTCACCCCGTGTATTCCTTCTGTTGCTTCAGTTTTAAAGATCCACTGTATATTGACTTGGTAGAGAAGCATGATATAGGACTGAAACATAAAAATATACCGTGTTATTCATTCAGGAATTAGAAAAGACAATATTTTTATTAGGGGAATAGTGGCTATAATAGTTACTTAATCTAGCAATTGCTTTACTTTGTCCCTGTCCCAACCTTTTTCAAGAGAAGGCTCTTTTACGATGTGGATTTTCTGGCAGGTTATACAGAAATAAGGCCTTTTTTATGGCAATATCACTTGCAGTATTTTTTTCTTTTCTTTTTTTTTTTTTTAAGAGAGCGGGTCTCCATGTGTTCCTATGTTGCCCACGCTGTTCTCGAACTCCTAGGCTCAAGGGATCCTCCTGCCTTGGCCTCCCAAAGTCCTAGGATTACAGACGTGAGCCACCATGCCCAGCCTGACTTGCAATATTTCTTTAAAGTCTCAAAAGATATTCTGAAGCCAATCTAAGTTTGCAAATGTAACTCCATCTTCAAAATAAGTACTTATACATGAAAAAATTTAAGTGTTATATTGTCAACCCCTGTCATATTTCAACTAGCGACTAGTGAAGAGAACAGTAACATGAATATAACTTCCTTTTTAAACACATGCAATAGTCTTTAAATGTGTCAATATAAATAACCTACAGTCCCCAGTGATTCAGTCAATCCCTAATCTATGAGTTACTCTGAAGATATTTTGTAAATGTGATAAAAATACATAAGCAATTGATTTTAGGTAAGGAACATTAACCTGAATAATATTAGTGGGCCTGATTCAGTTGGTTGAAAGGCCTTAAAATCAGAGCTGAGTTTTTCCTGAACAAGAAAAAAATGTTTCCTCTCTATGGCAGCTTCAGCTCATGCCCAAGAATGCTAGCCTGCCCTTCTAGATGGTCTGCTCTACGAATTTTGAACAGCCCCACAATCACACACACCAAGTTACTGCAATAAATCTGTTTAAATACATCTCCTACTGCTTCTTCTTCTCTGGTTGAACTCTAACCCAAATTTAAGTACTGGATGTGGTTCTACAGGAACAGAATCTTGAGGTTATATGTTCTGAATTCATTGTAGTTGTTTAAAAATTGGCTCTATACCCGGCTGGGTGTGGTGGCTCACACCTGTAATCCTAGCACGCTGGGAGGTTGAGGTGGGTGGATCACCTGAGGTCAGGAGTTTGAGATCAGCCTGACCAATATGGTGAAACCTCATCTCTACTAAAAATACAAAAATTAGCCAGCTCTTCTGGCATGAGCCTGTAGTCTCAGCTACTTGGGAGGCTGAGGCAGGAGAATTGCTTGAACCCGGGAGGCGGTTATTGCAGTGAGCCGAGATTGCACCACTGCACTCCAGCCTGGGTGACAGAGCGAGACTCCATCTCAAATAAATAAATAAATAAAAATTGGCTCTAGAATGTGACTAGATTTAAAGGTACTAATAACTCTATTTCCAGTGATAAAGAAAGCATTCGTTGTACAAGGCATATTGTGGCAATCAAGATACACAAAATATTGCTATTAGATATGCCTAATCAAATATTTTATACTTTATATATAAAATATCAAAATTTTATATATTTATTTTACATAATATATATGTACTTACGTATAATATATCTTATATATGTATATATATGTGTGTGTATATATGTGTGTGTGTGTGTGTGTGTGTATATATACATATATATATATATATATGGTAAACTTCTGGATGTCCTTCTATTTGTAGCCTTAGAACATTTTAGTTAAACTTAGGGTATATCATGGTATTTTATGTTTGGTCGTAAGTGTATTGGAAAACAATGATGAAAGAAAATAATGAGCTAATGAGCTCAGGTCTTAAAATTCCCCACACAAGCTCCTCATTAGTGATCCCCAAATTTCTGTATCTTTCCTAGAAAAATCCCTTATGACCTGTACCTGCAGTGATGAGATTTATGAAAACCAAATCCAGAGTCTCATCCTGTGAATGGGTGAATGATAAAGCAAATTCAAGCCCCAATTTCACAGGTTGTGTTATTTTAAAGGTAGGGCACTGATTAGGAAGGAATTGGATACTGAAAATTGGAATGGGGACATAGAGCATCCCGATGGAGCTGGGAATATCAACTCCTAAATTCTGCCGAGCCTTCTTTGCCAGGAGAAGCAGCCCTTTCATTCCTGCCTAAGCATGTCAGCCTCCCCTGAAATATGGCCTCTGCAAGTGCCTTGCACACACTACTGATTCTCCTCAGGACCTACCCCTGCGGGTGAGTCTACTTCTAGACCTATAATCAGATTCAAGTCACAGCAGGTGTTCAAGGGTAAAGTATGAAAGGTGACCTGCAACAAGGTACATTACACTTTCAAAGAACTGGCCAGACGCGGTGGCTCTTGCTTGTTATCCCAGCACTTTGGGAGGCCAAGCGGGTGGATCACTTGAGCTCAGGAGTTGGAGACCAGTCTGGGCTACTCGAGAGGCTGAGGTGGGAGCATCACTTGAGCCTAGGAGATCGAGGTTGCAGTAAGCGAAGATTGTGCCATTGCACTCCAGCCTGGGTGACAGAGTGAGAACCCAATCCATATCAGAAGGAAAGGGAAGGGGAGAGGAGGGGAGAGCGGGGAGAGCGGAAGGGAACAGAAGGGAGGGGGGAGGGAGAGGGAGGGGGAGGGAAGACAGAGAGAGGGAGAGAGACAGGGTTGATTGAATCCCTAACCTGCGTGTTACTCTGAAGGTATTTTGCAAATGTCCAAAGAGGCAGCGGGGAAAATTTGCAAAAGAGGCAAAGCGGATAGAGAGAGAGAGAGGGCGGGGGAGAGAGAGAGGGGGGCAGGGGGGAGACAGGAGATAGAAAGAGAGAGGAAGGAAGGAAGGAAGGAAGGAAGGCAGGCAGGCAGGCAGGCAGGCAGGCAGGCAGGCAGGCAGGCAGGCAGGCAGAGAGGGAGAGAGGGAAGGAAGAAAGGAATATTCAAGTCTGTTTCAGAAATCCCACAACCATCTGAAAGTTGGGGAAATATCTAGGAGGACTCACATCTGTATAACTCTGGTTATACTCATAGCCAACGTTTATTACAGCAAAACACCCAAAGTAAAAGTAAAAATAAAACAATATGCATTACATGAAGTTCAGAGAGGTTAGGTGTCCTCTCCTGAGTTCATCTTTATCTGGGTTTCACAAAATGCCATGCTTAACAACTAGTTTCCAAATTCCTGAAAATTTAACCATTGGTTCTTACAAGTTTTTAGAAGTAAACTCCAGATATCACTGATGCTTACCTCTTTCTTTATCTTGCATAAGAGATTACAGATTTTCCAGCTGTAAACTTTCTATTCCAGATTTCTGGGAAGTCCCAGATTAAATGACTCTATTATTCTCTTAGTTTCTGTATCTGGATTTCTAGTCTGCATCTGTAATAATAGTTAAAACCTCTTTGTAGACTGAGACTCATTTTGCTCTTACATATGTGCCTCCCCTGGAACTGACATGCTATGATGTGATGCTACCAATTCCAAGAACGCATGTGCTTTTCTATGTAGTCTGTGAGCATTACCATCCCTGCAACCTTAGACTCAGATACCTTTGTGCTAATTTCTAGAGCTATATTGATTATAATTCCTTGCATTCTCACTAAAAATTGTCTGGTACCTTGGATATCTTGTTCTAACTTTTTAGCTGTGTCTTTATTCTTAGTCTGGATTCTCCAGTTTCTTCCCCACTGTAGGCTATTCTAAAATTGTTTCTAAGTCTGTCCACTTGTCCATTAGTTTTCTTTTTTGTTTTCTATGTGGGCATTCCCCATGATAAGACAAAAATATAAATTGAATATATTTATTTAGAGATGGTGATGTGCAACATACCTTTTCAACAATTATTTTCATTTTGCTTGTGAGCATCGTTTTTTTTTTTTTTACAAATTTTTTTTGAGAATTTTATCAATTCAAACACACACTTAAGCCATTTACAATTTTGTTGCTGGCTTTCTCTATCAGCTTCAAGTATGCTATGCATACCTCTTTCCAACAAAAATAGCTCAAATACTCTTCCATGTAATAATCCCTTATTTTCCTCACTGTATCTACTTCAGTCTAGTCTATCATATCTTTCAAACTGCATTAGATTTCTCTAATAATTTAAGATTTAGTATGTTAATGAATCAATAGTACTGATCACACAAACAATAGTACTGAGTTAGAATTACTATTTAGGTTATTACAGACAAACTAACCCAATTTATCAAGTACATTTTTAAAGATTGTTTTGTCCTTGATAAAAATAATCCAGAGAATGAATAGAATACATTATATTTTCCAATAAAACACAATGCAGTCTCGCAATTATTTATGTGAAAATATAAAGAACTTTAAAAATATCAAACATGTCAAATGAATATGCAAAATAATTATGAATAAAAATGTGTCTCTGTTATTGTAAAATGGGCTCAAGAAGTTATGAATCTAAATATAATTGCTAGGTAACATACTTGAAATAACATTATTAAGAATATTTTGAACAAAGGATATTCAGAAGAAGTAATGGACTTGTTTTACAAAGTCTAGTTTTATGGTAGAATAATTAGACTTCAGTTTATTGTCAGAAGCATGGGTGGTTTATTCCTTTATTCAATTAATATTATTGGAGGCTTATTACATTCTTGGCACCTGAGAAGCCACTTCTAGGGAAAGCAAAAAGGGGCTGAAGCAGTAGAAATAAAATAAGAAAATAAATTAATTTGAAATGATATGTGATAAAGTTAAAGAAAGTTACAAAGTAGCACTTCTATGGAAAAGCAAAATGTTATGAATGAGGAAAACAGAATAAAACATAATCGCCTTAATTTCTGGGTGTGTTTCTAGAAATCAGACTCTAGATTTGGTCTTTTCACAAAATACAGGACCCCTGTGTAGCTGTTTAACTATTGATTTCTGAAATGGACTCTTGATGGAGGAATTACCATTCTTGCCAGATTTTGAAGTGCAACCCCAGATAAAATGGAGAGCTGTCTGGTAAGTGTTTTATATATATTTATCCTTTAGAAAGGTACAGGGAGTTCTTTGAAAAGAACTGAAAGAGGAAATCAATCAATATTAGACACTAAAATCAGTCCCTGATCCCTGTTTTCTTGTCTCATATTTTGAAACTCTAGGGTGGATAAAAGGAGTTCCGGATACAGCATACTAACAGAAAGTACCCTAACAAAGTGGTGATGTGATTGGTTAGAAAAATAGAGTCTGAGAGCTCTGCTCACAAATCATGCTTTCACCCTCTTACTCTCTTGCTTCCTAGATACCATAGTGACCCTCCATTAAGTTCCCAGAAGCCTGAATGGGCATCAATGGCTGAACCTCAAAATCAATGTTTATGGTAGTAATTCATCACGAAATAGAGTGAGTTATATGCCATACACTGAAGTTTGATTGAGAAATTCACTTTGGAAATAGTGGCTTTGAGAAAGCCTAAACATTTGCAAACCTTCTCAAGAAATTTGGTTGCTATATATGCTATTTTATTTATAAATAATATATAATATTACATGTATTGTATTGTTTACATATTATATATTGTTTATATATTATATGATATATTATATATATATCTAACATGATATTGTGTGTGTGTCAAGGAAAAACTATTGACTGAGAGTTTAAAAAAAATGAGAAATGTGCCAGGATGAAGAGGTGAGAGAAAGTTTTACCTTCTTTGGACAGATATATTTTATAAATGAGGATATTTATATTTTATAAGTGAGGATAATGAAATTCTACTTTTAAATATAACCCCAAAACTGGTGTCACATTTGGGGAAAAACATGTTTTAATTAGATTGATGAATTTAAAGAAATGTTCTTTGGAAAATATTGACTACTGTTTTGAATTTTCTTAATAACTAGTAGTGTGTCCCATCTGGATTGCCAAAATGTGTCTGGAATTTATTCCTTCCAGTGGGTTCTTGGTCTCACTGACTTCAAGAATGAAGCCGTGGACCCTCGCAGTGAGTGTTACCATTCTTAAATAGTGTATCTGTAGTTTGTTCCTTCAGATGTTCACGTGTGTCTGGAGTTTCTTCCTTCTGGTGGGTTCATGGTCTTGCTGACTTCAGGAGTGAAGCCGCAGACCTTTGCAGTGAGTGTTACAGTTTTTAAAGGTGGTGCGTCCAGAGTTGTTTGTTCCTCCTGGTGGGTTCGTGGTCTTGCTGACTTCAAGAGTAAAGCCACAGACTTTCCTAGTGAGTGTTACAGCTCATAAAGGTAGTGCGGACCCAAAGAGTGAGCAGCAGCAAGATTTATTGTGAAGAGCAAAAGAACAAATATTCCACAGCATGGAAGAGACCCGAGAGGGTTGCCACTGCTGGCTGGGGTAGCCAGCTTTTATTCCCTTATTGGCCCCTCCCATGTCCCACTGATTGATCCATTTTACAGAGTGCTGATTGGTCCATTTTACAGAGTGATGATTGGTGCGTTTTTACAGAGTGCTAACTGGTGCATTTACAATCTTTAGCTAGACACAGAGTGCTGATTGGTGCATTTTTACAGAGTGCTGATTGGTGCATTTACAATCCTTTAGCTAGACAGAAAAGTTCTCCAAGTCACCACCTGAACCAGAAGTCCAGCTGGCTTCACCTCTCAATCCCCCCTCTAAACAGGACACCCCAATTGCTGTTGGGAATTGGGCAATGACCGCTCTAGCTACTTCCTACTGGATAGAGGTGAAGAAAGGGCCCTGCAGTGGTAGTGTCCTCCAGAGGGGAACCCTCTAGGCCAACCAAACAGCAAGTGGGTCGATCCAGGGGTCCTCGGTAGAAGTTGTTGGTTGAGCTCATTTGGAGTTCCATTTGTAAGATCATCTATAGCTTGATGGCCTCAATCCTAGAGGAAACAAATTTGACAAGGAGGTTAAAAATACAGGGCCCAAAGGCAAGTAATAGCAAGACAGCTGTCACGGGACCTAGAAAGGGGAGAAGCCATGTTGCCTAACTCCAGAGGTTGGTATAAGAGTTTGAAAGGTGTTGTCTGATTTCAGAAGCCTTTTCCTGTAAATGCCGGGTGGCATCTCGTACTATCCCTGACTGTTTAGTGTAAAAACAACACTTTTCCCCTAAGAAGGTGCAGAGTCCTCCTTTCTCAGCAGTGAGGAGGTCTAGGCCTTGGCAATTTTGGAGAGTCACTGCTGCCAAAGAGTCTATGTGGGATTGTAGAGTAAGGATAGATTTCATCATTTCTTGTAAACTGTCTAAGAAATCCTTTGAGAGTGTGTGGTAGTAGGATAATACATGTTACACTGTTAACTTTTAGCAAACTTTACTGTAGTTGAAAACCTTGTAAGTCTGGGATTTTAATTTTTCTTTGCTATTAATAAAACCTCATTCAGTCTATATTAACTTAGAATTGGTATAGATGGCTCCTTCCTGATTCTGTAAGTACTTTAAGGTTTAGCTGATTCCAGACAGCTTGCATGTTTGAGCAGACAATTATTAGGCAATTTTCCTAACTCTGCTTCTGTAAGAGTTTCCTTATCACTTACTGAATATCCATTGTGTCTTTTTCCTTAATCGCCTGGGAGGAACCATCTATCATCCTGTCCTGAAGGGAGCTCCTCCTATGTCTGGTTGGACCTTAAGATTTAGGTCCCTTGTTAGGAAACCTGCTTGGTTAAGGATTTTTGATAGGAAGGCTACTGGTTGTCAGTGGCCTCAGTGCTTTCGGGCTATGCCCTTGTTTACACTGTCAACAAGGTGGTATTGGAGTGTTACAGGGTCACAGAGAAGACCTTCAGTTATCAATTATAGGTTTTAAACTTACCATGGCTTTTAAAGGAATAGGATACACGGTGTTTTTCTTTACTACTTCCATCTCTCTTTCTCTTTGACTTCTTCTTTGTCTCTCTCTTTCTGACTCCCTCTTTGTCTCTGTCTCTTCCTCTCTCTGTCTGACTTTCTCTTTCTCTCTTTCCTTTCTGCTGGTCTTTCCCTGCCTCTGCCAGCTGCTTATGCTGCTGTTCTCCTCTCTCCTTCCCCTTTTTGATGGCTTCAGCAGTGTAAGACTGCCACCTCCTTGGGTTTTTGCACTGCATGCAAGAACTCCATGATTTCCTTGTGGTATTTAATGGGGGTTCCCCCAGAGGTTAGGGACTCCCTTCCTTTCCATATTGCAGCATGGGCATATAGGATTAGATAAGCATACTTACTATCTGTAGCAAAGTCTCCCAATTACAACTGAGGAGGTAAGAGAAATACCTGGATACAGGATGTCCCAGGATTCCTCATATGGTAACGGACCTTGAGGACAGCTGTCTGGGACAGGAGATTAACACTGAGAAAGCTGCACCAGTGTCCAGGAGGAAGTCAATTTCCTGGCCCTCAATGGTTATATGTACCTGGGGCTCAGTGAGGGTGATGACATAAGCTGGCACTTTCCCCGGGCACCCTCAGTCCTGTTGTTGGATCATCTGGTTGGGGGCTTCTGGCCCAGAGAAACTTTGTCCTCTGGGGCAGTGCACCTTCCAGTGATTGCCTCAGCATAGTGGACATGGGCGAGGAGGCAGCTTGTTTCTCACTGGACAAACTTTTTTAAAGTGTCCTTGCAAATCACACTGATAACAGTCCCCATTAGGTGATTGGCCTGCTCCATTTTCTGTCCTCTTTGAACCACCAAGGTTTTTTTGTCTGAGGGCCATGACTAAGGCTGCGCCTTTCTCTGATCTCACTTTTCCTTCTGGGCCTGTTCCTGTTGGTCCTTATTATAGAACACCGAGGTTGCCAGGTTTAATAATGCCTCCAGATTTTGTTCAGGGCCCAGGGCTCGCTTTTGGAGCTTTCTCCTGATGTCTGTGGCTCATTGGGTAATAAACTTATCTTTTAGAATCAATTGACCCTCAAGTGAGTTGGGTGACAGGGGAGTATGTTTTCTTAAGGCCTCCCATAGCCACTTGAGGAAGGCAGAAGGATTTTCTTTCTTTCCCTGAATTATGGTGGTCATCATTGACTAATTCATGGCCTTTTCCCTAATTATTCTTAGTCCTTCTAGAACACAGGTCAACAGATGTTTGCGACTCCAGTCCCCATGATCTGAGTCGAGGTCCCAGTGGGAATCCATACTGAGGATGGCTTGCTGACCAGTAGGGAATTTGTCCCTTTCTTTGGCTGTCATTCTATCATTTACTTGACTAAGATACCAGGTATCTCCAAACTCTCGGGCTGCAGCTAAAGCTACATTCTTTTCATTAAAGGCCAGGGTTTGATCTAACAGTAGCATGACATCTCTCCAAGTGAGATCGAAGTTTTGCCCTAGACCATGTAGGACATCTATATAACTATCAGGATCTTCTGAAAACTTCCCCAGGTCTGCCTTGATCTGCTTTAAATCAGAGAAGGAGAAGGGGACATGTACCCTGGTTAGGCCAAACTCCCCTCCCCCTACAGCTTGAAGTGGACAAAACTGATAGCCCAGGGGTTTTTGTGGTCCTTTGGAGATTTCTTTGCTTGTTTCCTTCTGGGTGGGGGAGATTAGAGGAGGCTTATCATTAATAGGAAGGGGATCTATAAGGAGGCTAGGATATGGGGGTAAGCTGAGAGGTCCTCCTGTGGGTTGTAAATTGCAAGCTTTGCATAGTTGTGTATTCTTCTTCAATGAAAAGAGAGCTTGGACATAAGGTATTTCACTGCATTTGCCTTCCCTCTTACAGAAAAGGTCAAGCTGCAGGATAGTATTGTAATTTATACTCCTCTCAGGTGGCCATTTCTCCCCATCAGAGAGAGAATATCAGGGCCAAGCCATAGTGCAGAAAAAAATTGAGCTGCCTCTTTTTCAGGGTTTGTGGGTCAAATTGGTCCCAATGGCTTAGGATGCATTTCAAGGGTGAGCTTGTTGGTGTCTGAGTGTTTCCCATCTGAAAGACAAAACAGCCCACAGTTTTGGTTTGTTTGTTTCTCCCCCACCCAAGAACCCTCAATGGTCCCTGGACCCTACTGATCAGAATAGTTGTGCTCACCAACGCAGCAGCAGAAACACCTCTTACCCAAGAACCCACAACAGTCCCTGGACCCTGCTGATTGGAATAGTTGCACCCACCAACACAGCAGCAGGAACACCTCTTGCCTAAGAACCTGCAATGGTCCCTGGACCCTGCTGATCAGAAGAGTTGCACTCATCAACGCAGCAGCAGAAACACTAGTTTTCCTCCTAGACCACAAGGAGGACTGAGGAAGGTCAGATTTAGTGGCCCTTACCGATGCATTCTCAAAAAACTTTTAGAGTCCTAAGCATTCTCCTGTTAGTATTGGGACCTTACCTCTGTCCTATAAAGATGTTATACCCCAAAAATGAAGTGGACAGCCATACCCTGAGGGAGGGAAGGGATCTCCAGGGTTGGAAGAGTGACACCTTTTGTCCTCACTTGAATAGGAAGGATACCATTTCTGAAGCTCCCTGTATCCTAGCTCCAGGAATAGCTTTTGTTAGGCCTGCTAGTCTGAGGAGGGATCCTAAAATTCTGGATAAGATAGTCCCCACCACCCCGATGGGACTTTGGGCAAAAATTATGTCTTTGTGATTAGTGAGCCCGGGTGTCTAATGAAGGGAATAGAGTCCTGGAGTTTATACTAGAAATCATTCTTATAGGAGAAACTAGAAAAGCACCAGAAACAGGGAGTGGTTTTCGGAAGCGGGACTAGCCTCAGAGAAGAGAGGTGAGAGGAAGTTTGTCTGACAGGCATTAGGACCCAGGAGGCAAGGGTCAGGATAGATAGGATAGATGAGCGAGTCTCGCTTGGGTGACATGACTTTGAGAGTTCCACTCATGGTCACAGGGTCACCCAAGTTGTTGTTGGGACCCCGGAGCTGAATGGCTTTCCTCTCTGTCTACCCTTGGCTCAGCCCAGAAGTACAGGGAAAGCAGAAGCTGGTTCCCGGCAAACTAATGCTCCCAACTCCGAAGAGTCAGGGGTTGTTAGAGAGCTCTTTCCCAGAAAGCCTGACACCCATGTCTTTAGTCTGGTGGCCGTGCTAGTCGCTTTTAACTGGCAAACAGGTGCCTGGTATTTAGCCCCCAAATTCTAAGGAAAAATAGGACAGAATAGCAAGTGAAAGGGGTCTGATGGTACTCACTGCTTGGTGACAGTCCCTTCATGGTCGCCAAAGTGTGTCTGGAATTTATTCCTTCCGGTGGGTTCTTGGTCTTGCTGACTTCAAGAATGAAGCTGTGGATCCTCGCGGTGAGTGTTACAGTTCTTAAAGATGGTGTGTCTGGAGTTTGTTCCTTTAGATGTTCAGATGTGTCTGGAGTTTCTTCCTTCCAGTGGGTTCATGGTCTCGCTGACTTCAGGAGTGAAGCCGCAGACCTTCACAGTGAGTGTTACAGCTCTTAAAGGTGGCATGTCCAGAGTTGTTTGTTCCTCCCAGTGAGTTCATGGTCTCACTGACTTCAGGAGTGAAGCCGTAGACCTTCGCAGTGAGTGTTACAGCTCATAAAGGTAGTGCAGACCCAAAGAGTGAGCAGCAGCAAGATTTATTGTGAAGAGAGAAAGAACAAAGCTTCCACAGCATGTAAGGGTTGCCACTGCTGGCTGGGGTGGCCAGCTTTTATTCCCTTATTTGGCCCTGCCCACATTCCACTTATTGATCCATTTTACAGAGTGCTGATTGGGGTGTTGTTACAGAGTATTGATTGCTGCATTTACAATCCTCTAGCTAGACACAGAGCGCTGATTGGTACGTTTTTACAGAGTGCTGATTGGTGCGTTTACAATCCTTTAGCTAGACAGAAAAGTTCTCCAAGTCCCCACCTGAACCAGAAGTCCAGCTGGCTTCACCTCTCAATAGGAGTTAAAAATACAATACATTGGACTAATTAAAAGGAATATTAGAGAGTCAGAAATCCACAAATTATAGTGACTTCATGTATTAGTGTTCTCCAGAGAGAACGAAGAGGATATATATATATATATATGTAAATAGATAGATGGATGGATGGATAGACAGACAGACAGATAGACAGATAGATAAGGATTTATGAGAAGGGATTTATGATGGGAATTGGCTCACACAGTTATGGAGGCTGAGAAGTCCTACAACAGGCTAGTCTTTCAGGTTCACACATTATTTCCTTTGAAAACGTCATCCCAGACATAGCCCCAAATAGTGCTTTACCAGTCTTCTAGGTATTGTTTAATTCAGTCAAGAGTGACAGCACATCACACTTAGATGTAGGCACAAGTGAAAAATTGATGGATAAGTTTCACTTGAGGTTACAGGAGATGAAAGAACCAGAAAATAAGGATTTATTCAAAAGAGCTCTGAATTCAGTTTGTCAAATCTATGACTTGATATTTGAAATTTGAAAAGATGGTGATTATTTCAAAAATCTACCTTTCTAGGATTCTTGGTGGAATAACTGATTCAGACCTAGACTTGTTGTAATAAGTCAGGTGCAAGAGAAAAGGAGGATGTCCATGTCAACAGACAGGAAATATAATGGACACAAAGCAGATTAAAATTGGGTTTAAGTTTCTGCTTTTGATGAAATGTCTTCCAGAACTTTGAAGACATGTCTGACTTGTATACTCCATGTTGTGCTGTTCTGAGGACTCATTTCAGTAAATCTAACTCAGTATCCTAGTGCCTACCTTTCACTGAGAGACAATTACAACTGCCTGCACTGTATTTTTTCACTCAAAGAAGAACTGTGGGGAAAAGCAAGAGAGATCAGATTGTTACTGTGTCTGAGTAGAAAGAAGTAGACATAGGAGACTCCATTTTGTTCTATTCCTAATAGTTGATCTGCATCTATGTTAACTGGAGGATTGGCAGCCCTATTTCTTCGGACCTGTTCTTGTACCCCATCAATCCACCAAGTCTTAAATTGTAAAAATTGAGAGGGTAAGAGAGACGATTTTGCCAGAATCTCCCAATCATAAGGAATGAGTCTATGTCCATGAGCAATGGAATCTAATAATGTCCTCATATAATGTGGGGAAAAGCAAGAGAGATCAGATTGTTACTGTGTCTGTGTAGAAAGAAGTAGACATAGGAGACTCCATTTTGTTCTATTCCTAATAGTTGATCTGCATCTATGTTAACTGGAGGATTGGCAGCCCTATTTCTTCGGACCTGTTCTTGTACCCCATCAATCCACCAAGTCTTAAATTGTAAAAATTGAGAGGGTAAGAGAGACGATTTTGCCAGAATCTCCCAATCATAAGGAATGAGTCTATGTCTATGAGCAATGGAATCTAATAATGTCCTCATATAAGGGGAGTTGGGTCCATACTGTTTTACTCCCTCTTTCATATCTTTTAGCATTTTTATCGAAAAAGACTTGTATCTGGCCTCAACTGTGGGAGGCTCTCCCTCTTGGGCTCCTTCTCCAGGTGGCATCGGTTCTAACGTTACTGGGAATTGCCATGCCTCAGTATCTCCTTCCTTTCTTGATTTATCAATAATTTCATGTAATTCACTACCCTGTCTACTAGGTGGTGCCGTAGGATTAAGTCTCCTAGTGGGCGGCTGAGGGTATGGCGCCCTGCCCTGTGGTGCTGGGGGCATTCCTGGATATCCACACTGACTTTCTAGGGGTGGCCGATACTGAAGTTCAGCCGGCGGCCAGTATTGATAAGCTACTGGCGGTTGGGTCTTATTTTCTTTAACCTGCTTTTGAGGTTGTAATGTTACGGGCACCTGACCTGCTGGAAGAGGACTTGGCCCTCGTGGTTTAGACTCTGATGGCCCCACTAATTCTGGACCTTTTCCTTCTAATTTTAACGTTTCAGGATATATCACCTCCTGTAATTGATTATAGTCAACATTTTGCGTTGACTGAGCCATTACCGGCTCTGCTACATATTCGCAATGTAAACTTTCCGTTTCTTTCTGGGATTTTTTTCCTTGTCTTTTCATTACAATCTATTATACAGCTTCCAGGGGCATCAGAAACTGAAACGCTATCTTCTTCTGTTTGAAATGGCTTGATTAGATTTTTTGTAGATACTTTAACTCCCCCTCTTTTTAAAAGAATTTTAATAAAGCTGAGATAAGAGGCATATTTACTTTTAATTTTACTTTTAGTTTGCCCCATTATCACCCTAGCTTCTTCCGAGCGCACAAGCTTACCGTAAGGCTGACTGTAGACATACTCGGGATCTCTCGTCGACTTGTCCTCAATGACCACGCTCGAGCGTACCTTCACCCTAGAGAAAAGCCTCCACGTTGGGCACCAGATGTAGGGGTGGGTTGCCCCTACACACCTGTGGGTGTTTCTCGTAAGGTGGGACGAGAGATTTGGAAAAGAAAAAGACACAGAGACAAAGTATAGAGAAAGAAATAAGGGGACCCGGGGAACCAGCGTTCAGCATATGGAGGATCCCGCCAGCCTCTGAGTTCCCTTAGTATTTATTGATCATCTGTGGGTGTTTCTCAAAGAGGGGGATGTGTCAGGGTCACAAGACAATTGTGGGGAGAGGGTCAGCAGACAAACACGTGAACAAAGGTCTTTGCATCATAGACAATGTAAAGGATTAAGTGCTGTGCTTTTAGATATGCATACACATAAATATCTCAATGCTTTACAAAGCAGTATTGCTGCCCGCAGGTCCCACCTCCAGCCCTAAGGCGGTTTTTCCCTATCTCAGTAGATGGAGCATACAATCGGGTTTTATACCGAGACATTCCATTGCCCAGGGACAGGCAGGAGACAGATGCCTTCCTCTTGTCTCAACTGCAAGAGGCATTCCTTCCTCTTTTACTAATCCTCCTCAGCACAGACCCTTTACGGGTGTCGGGCTGGGGGACGGTCAGGTCTTTCCCTTCCCATGAGGCCATATTTCAGACTATCACATGGGGAGAAACCTTGGACAATACCTGGCTTTCCTAGGCAGAGGTCCCTGCGGCCTTCCGCAGTTTTTGTGTCCCTGGGTACTTGAGATTAGGGAGTGGTGATGACTCTTAAGGAGCATGCTGCCCTCAAGCATCTGTTTAACAAAGCACATCTTGCACCGCCCTTAATCCATTCAACTCTGAGTTGACACAGCACATGTTTCAGAGAGCACGGGGTTGGGGGTAAGGTCATAGATTAACAGAATCTCAAGGCAGAAGAATTTTTCTTAGTACATAACAAAATGGAGTCTCCTATGTCTACTTCTTTCTACACAGACACGGTAACAATCTGATCTCTCTTGCTTTTCCCCACAAAGAACATAGGTTTGTTTGTTATGATGAAGGGTCAGATGGATGGTAAACCTGGCCTGTATCACCTTCACAACCATACGCAAAGACACAGATGGATCAGTACTGTCCTCTAAGAGGAAACTCGGCCATCATTGTTCCCTTTTTGGTATTCTATTCTTTTAGTAATTCTGAGAAGGAAGAAAAACAAATAAATAAACAAACAAACAAAAGGCATGGTACTGATTCAGAAATTTCTTTCCTCATCTCAGTCTTCTCTCCAGTCAGATTATTTCTTCCATACAGTTGAGTAAGAAACCTTGAACCCCGTAGTCAGCAGACAATTTCTGTTCCAGGCATGCTCTCTCTGCTGCCTTAGAATAGACAATATTCTTTGTATACTTCACTAGAAACTTTCAGGATTTATTTTAAAAATTTAAAAACAAACATTCAATGAATTTATTTCACGGTGTTATTCACTGAACGTGTCTTTTTCCCTAAAACCCCTGGTGCTTAGGCAAAAACGATATCACAATTTGGGATGCTGTGTGCTCCCCTCTTTCATCTAAAAAATCTATATGCATTTCTCTTTTCATATTATTTACATCTGTCTTAACTTTTTCTGAAAAGATATCCAAGCCTACTTACAAGTAGTTATGTATTCTCAAAACACATTTTAGTTTAGACTAAACAAAGTCTTTTTTTCTTTCAATTGCCTGAGTATTGTAAACACTAGAGACACTACTATATAACTCCTGGTACTTTTGTTAGAATTGAAACAGCCATTTATATACTCGTCTTATAATCTGTATCTCTGTGTAAGTGTTACCTGCTATGACTGAATATGTGAGTTGGAAAGTCCCACTCATTCTAAAAGTAACTTTAGCACTATTTTCTTAAAAATGTAAAGTATGTAGAGTCTGACTTGTTATAATCATCAAATACACAAGATAAGTGAATTATTCCACACTCACCATTAATTGTCTCTCTCCATGATCCAGCAAAAATGGAGAGATTTGAGTAAGTCATTATTTGGAAATAATGATGATAGTAAAGGCAAAGCATAAGCTGAATGGGATAAATTTATGACTGAACCCCCACATTTTTCATGAGTGAAATGCATCTATTACAGCAGATTTTATGCAAATACAGAAAACTGACTCAATAGTCATGTTAAAATTGCATTCAGTGTTCTGTGTATCTTACTGAGCTATCACAACAATATTGTACTTGAACTTTTCCAAACCATTTTTTACCCAGACTTAAAATATTGCTCTAGTCTGCCTTTATTCTTCTGAAGTGACATCTTGAAAGTGATGCCTTGTGTGTGATAGAAGATGGACTAAAAGTATATTCAATAAACTGTCTAATTTATACCTCATACAACATCATCTGGGGACAGTGTGCAATAAGGCAAAAAGGGAAGAAATAAATAGTGCTTCTGGCATTTCAGAGAGTGTGCAATGTTTTGAAGCCTGAAGGACTGTATTTTGTTAGCTGTTTGTACCTCAATTTCAAGAACTTGTTGGATTTTAAATCTCCCCTACTCCCTACAATTTGCACTACATCACAAAGTTATCTTGGAAATATTTGCCATTAAGTTTTAGCTCGTTTTCTTTCCAATGTTTCAGGAATAGAGTAATATTATTTAAATATGGTATGGATTTAGAAAACAACGTAATTTTTTTTCTTTTAACATAAACACTGTCTTTATGAAACCAAACTGTTTTTTTCCCAAAAGAAAAGAAAATTACCCATTTGTTAACCCCACACCACCTCCTTCAAGGATATGTACTTAATTCTAAATCATGGAAAAAAGGGGTTAGGAGACAGGGTAACTCAAGGTCTTTTATAACACATTAAGTTACAAAAAGCTTTACATGTGTTATTAAAATAATGTATGGATGAAACTCACTGCATACCAACTATAGATATTTTATTAATGAATTAAAATGAAAATATGGGAAGGCAGTGCCTTATTCAAATTTGTAATGCTCACAATACCTTACCTTACAACACATTGTCTTGGTATTTGCACAGTAATTATTTATTGTGTTTAAGTGAAAATCCATTTTAATCTTCAAAATAATTTCAAAATCATTTTTATAATACTTGGAGTAATAACAGAATACTATCTTGAGACATTATACATCCAAGTAGAACTAAAAGAGATAATAAAACAAAGTGGTTTAATATTTCAATCATATGAAACCTTGAATAATAGTTAGTCATAATAATATGCACAATAAAAATAATTAAGAAAATATAACAATAAATTGTTTCAGAAAATACCAATGTTATTGACCATACATGTTCTTTAAAAAAATCCAACATTATAATTAAAAATATAAACTCACCAAATGATTTTAATCTTTTGTTGTAGTCTTGTTTTGTATTTAGGTTTAAAAAATGTAAGAAGCATATTTCTTGATATTTCCAATTGATTGAGGATTTACACTGGATCATAAATTTGACCTTCCTTTTTGGGTGAGAAATGCTTTATGATTCTCATATTCACTCTTGGACACCTAAGCTGTAGCCATAAAATGGAATAGAACCATTGCCCTCAGGTAAATGTCATATTCTGTGACTGCATTTTCAGAATGTAATAAAGATGCTACAGAGGAACAATGAAATAATTAAGGGCTACACTTACTTATATAATCAGCTTAAACAATAATTTAATATAGTGTTTTTGTAATTGAGACAGTAATAAACATTCTCCCATATTCCATGCATTAGATACATCTAAATATTTTAAATATCAACTCCCATTTTTAGAGAGGACAAAAGGTTATTGTCTTAAAATTGTTCTCAAAATGGAATTCATTTAGAAATTGTTTGTTCAAAATATGTTATGCTTCATATTTATTTATTCTTTTTGTCAAGACTAGCAAGTGTCTGAATTTTATTTTTCAAATTAAAACTCATTACCTTTAACAAATGGTAATGTAACTCTTAACCTATTTTTTTTCTAAACTACTTCAGTTAAGAATGAAAATTTGTTTTTAAAACTATAAATATTTGTTATCACTAAATATAAACCATTTAATATAAAAGAATTAAACAGGTTTTTAATCAATGAATGCCATAGCATTAGTTAGATTTGATAATGCAACATTCTTTCACCCTGGTGCATCTAAACTAGTTTTCCCTGGGTTTGTTGCAAATCTGGAAGCTAGCAATGCCCTGTTAGAATAGTGATTGCTGATCGGGCGCAGTGGCTTAAGCCTGTAATCCCAGCACTCTGGAAGGCTGAAGTGGGCGGATCACTTAAGGTCAGGAGTTTGAGAACAGCATGGCCAACATGGTGAAACCCCATTTCTACTAAAAATACAAAAATTAGCCGGGCATGCGTGGTGGTGGGTGCCTGTAATCCTAGCTACTTGGGAGGCTGCAGCAGGAGAATCACTTGAACCTGAGAGGGGGAGGTTGCAGTGAGCCAAGAGTGCACCACTGCACTCCAGCCTGAGCGACAGAGGGAGACCCTGTCTCAAAAAAAAAAAAAAAAAAAAAAAAAAAAAAAAAAAAGTTATTGCTGCTGGAGAAGGAGTAGAAGCCTACAGAAAGCTGCTGGCTCTTCATGGTTATTGCTTCTGTGTGTTCTACAGTTCTGTCTCTCAGCACCAGTAACCAATAGAGCATAGTTTTTGCTGCTTCCCTAACCCTCCTGTTTTTCTCAACTTCAGTTTTAGTGAACTGCAACCCAGAAGTATATGAGGAAAAGGATTCTGGGAAATGTAGTCTTAGCATAACCAAATTGAAATTAAATCCATCATAGATACATTAAGGTATGGACATTTGTCAACATTTGTGAGGATGAAACTCTCTATTTAACAATTCCTCAGGCCCCAGTACCTATAAATGGGCAAGTTCTGTCTCCATAAGGCAGAGCAAATATCCCTACACAGATGCTCTGGACTCTCTGTGCAAGATTCCCTTAAAGATAGAAAGTGAGGCTATGAATCACCCTCCAGCACATTGAATCAGAACTCAGTGGCATGAAAGACTAAGAACTGAGTAAATTTTTTCTAGTAGAAGTGGATGGGAGGAGAGAGGGAGGAAATGGTTGAATGAGGCATTGACAACTGCATTACTTTTCTATATGCAGCAGTAGCAATGATTATATCAAGATTTTTTATTGTCAAGAGTTTCTTGTTTATAGCAGTAGAAATACAACTTGCTGTATCTGTATCCAGTAACAGTGTTATCTTCATGTAACCAGCTCTCACTGAGAGATTAAAGCCCCATCTATGGATCTTAGATGGACACTGAGGGCTACACAATAACTTTTCTCCTGTAATTATTTGTAATGTATTAATTTTTAAAAACTCTTTAAATTCTAAACTCCAATATTATTATTTTCAAATTTTTCATTGAAGTATAATATGAACACAGAAAAAAGGTACCTATCAAGAGCTCAATATTTTTCCTCACTTGCAATCAGCACACATAGCAAAAAGAACATTCCTGCTCAAGAGAGCTACACATGTGCCCCCTTTAGCATCCTCTGCTAATGGATAACAACTATCCTGCCTTGTAACAGCAGAGATTCATTCTTCCAGTTTTTGGTCTTCATATCAGTGACATCATAAAGTGTATGTGCTTTAATATCTGTCTTCTTTCACTTAACATCATATTTGCAAGTTATTCAAATTGTTGAGTGGCTGTATTTATTTTCTTTGCTGAATTATAATCAATTGCATAAACATGTATTACAATCATTTTTCCATTTTTCTACTCTTAAGAATTTACTAATTTTCATGCTTTTGCTACCACAGACTTACGAACATTCTAGCGCGTATCTTTGGTGAAAATGTGTACATATTCTGTAGAGTATTTTTCTATGAGTGGAATAGCTAGGTCATAGGCCATTCATACATTGAGCTGTAGTTACTACTGTAAAATCATTTATGAAATTGATTTGTACTGTGTTCCATTTATACCAGTTAGGTAAAGTTGGTAAATTGTGTTCTTTAGATGTACTATATCCTTACTGACACTTTGTCCCAAAGCTCGTTCTATTAGCTGTTGAGAAAGGTATGAAGATGGCCCCCATTATCTCTATATGTTTTTTTTTTAATTTTTACTTTACATAGAATGTGCTTACAGATTTGGAATAAGGATTTCTTCAGGGAGGATTTTATCATTATGACAGTCCCTCCTTATCTCTAGAATGCCTCTTTCCTTAATGCACAATGTCAGAAGCTCAGCTGGATTCAAGAGAGCTGAGCTGCCAGATGTTGGAGTAGCCAATTGAGAAAACAAGCAAAAGAATGTAACAGTCAAGCCTTTAACCACTTACTGTGATAGTATAAATAAGCAAGAGGCTAAGCCTGAGAAAGCACTGGTCCCCATTCCCTCTCCATTCCTGACCAGCTCCAATTTTTCCCCACTGAGTGGTGCAGTTAGATCTGCACAGACACAGGGGTTGTTTTACTTCCAAGGGAGCCATAAAGTAAAGGCATCTGTAGCTTTACAGACCTGGGGGTTGTTGAGTTGGAGAAGGAAAGTCTAGGAGTAGGAAAGAACTTAGTACAGACATACCTTGGAAATATCATAGGTTTGGTTCCAGAGGACCACAATACAGTGAATATCACAATAAAATGAGCCACTCAATGTTTTTGGTTTTCCAGTGCATATAAAAGTTATGTTTACATGATACTGTAGTCTATCATGTGTGCAATAGCATGATGTCTAAAAGACAATGCACATAACTTAATTAACATACATCATTATTAAAACATGCTAACAATCATCTAAACCTTCAAGTAGTTGCAAACTTTTTGCTGGTGGAGGATCTTGCCTCGATGTTGATTGATGCTGAATCATCATAATGGTGGTTGCTGAAGGTTGCGGTGATTGTAGTAATTTCTTAAAATAAGATAACAATGAAGTTTGCCACAGTAATCGACTCTTCATGAAAGATTTATCTGTAGAAGGCAATGCTATTTAATAGCAGTTTACCCATAGTAAAACTTCTTTCAAAATTGCAGTCAATCTTCTCAAGCCCTGCAGCTGCTTTATCAACTAGGTTTACATAACATTCTAAATCCTTTATTGTCGTTTCAACAATATTCAAAGCACCTTCACCAGGAGTAGATTCCATCTCAACAAATCACTTTCTTTGCCCATCCATAAAAAGCAACTCCTCATCCAATCAAGTTTGGTTATGAGATTTCAGCGATTCAGTCACACCTTCAGGCTCTACTTTTAATCCTAGTTCTCTTGCTATTTCTACCACATCTGCAGTTCCATACTTTATGACATTTGTGAACCCCTCAAAGCCATTTATGAAGGTTTAAATCAACTTCTTCCAATTCCTGTTAATATTGGTACACTGACTGCTCCTATAAGTCACAGATGTCCTTAATGGCATCAAGAATGGTGGATCATTTCCAGAAGATTTTCAATTCACTTTCCCTAGATCCACCAGCAAAAGCACTATGTATGGCAGCCTTATAAAATGTATTTCTTAAATAATAAGACTTGAAAGTCAAAGTTATGCCTTGATCTATGGGCTTTCTAATAGATATTGTGATAGCAGGCATGAAAACATTAATCTTCTTGTACATCTCTGTCAGAGCTCTTGAGCATCGCCAATAAGCAGTAATATTTTGAAAGGAATCTTTTACTTTCTGAGCAGTAGGTCTCAACTGTGGACTTAAAATACTTCAGTTAACCAGTGCACATAAAAGTATGTTTACATGATACTGTAGTCTATTTTCTGTGCTATAGCATTATGTCTAAAAGACAATGTACATTACTTAATTAAAACACATTATGGCTAAAACATGCTAGCAATCATCTAGCCTTTGTTGATGATTGTTGCAATCATCCAGGCTTTGTTATTTAATCTCTAGAGCAAAGGCAGAGTAGATTTAGCGTAATTCTTAAGGGCCCTAGGATTTTCAGAGTGATAGATGAACATTTGTTTCAACTTAAATTCCACAGTTGCATTAGCTCCTAACAAGAGAGTCAGCTGGTTCTTCATAGTTCTGAAGCCAGACATTGACTTTTCTTCTTTAGGTATCAAAGTTCAAGATGGCATTCTTTTCCAATAGAAGGCTGTGTTGTCTACATTGGAAATCTGTTGTTTAGTGTAGCCACCTCATCAATTATCTTAGCTACGTCTTCTGGATAAGGTGCTGCAGCTTCTCCATCAGACCTTGCTGCTTCACCTTGCACTTATAAGTTATGGAAACAATTTCTTTCCTTAAATCTCATGAACCAACCTATGCTAGCTTCAAACTCTTCATATTCAACTTCCTTACTTCTCTCAGCTTTCATACAATTGAAGAGAAGTAGGGCCTTTTTCTGAATTAGGTTTTGCCTCTAGGCAATGTTGTGGCTGGTTTGATCCTCTATCCAGATTTCTAAAGCTTTCTCCATATCAACAATAAAGCTGCCTTTCTTTCTTATCATTTGTGTGTTCACTGGAGTGGCAATACTAATTTCCTTTGAGCACATTTCCTTTGCATTCACAGCTTGGCTAACTGTTGGGGGCAAGATGCCTAACTTTTGTTCCGTCTTGCTTTCCATGTGCCTTCCTCATTTAGCTTAATAATCTCAAGCTTTTGATTTAAAGTGGGAGAAACGCAACTTTTTCTTTCACTTCAACATTTAAAGACCATTGTAGTGGTTAATTGACTTAATTTTATTATTTTTTATTTCTGCCAAGAGGAAGACCTGAGGAGAAAAAGAGAGATGATAGGGGAATGCTTGTTCAGTGGAGTAGTCAGAAGACACACAACATTTATCAATTAAGTTGTGTCTTATATGGGTACAGTTTGTGGCATCCCCCACAATTGCAATAGTAAAACCAAAGACTGCTAATTACAGATCACCATAACAGATACAACAATAATTGAAAATTTTGAAATATTGCAAGAATTACTAAAATGTGATAGAGATGCCAAGTGAGCACATGCTGTTGGAAAAATTGTGCTGGTAGATTTCTTTGAGGCAGAATTACTCCAAACTTTCAATTAGTAAAAATGCAATATCTGCAAAGCACAATGAAGTGAAGTACATTGAAATGTGGTACTGACTCATAATAAAGAAATGTCCTCAAGCCCACTTTCTCCCTCATAAAGAAATCTCAGCAGAAGGACCTGAGGAAGGCTTCAGCCAAAGGCCCCGGATAAACAGGCTTCCAAATGTCAACAGGTTATTGGAAATTACAACTTTAAAGGAAAAGACATATCACCAAACCAACTTTTTTTTTTCTCATCAATGTTATAAGAAAACAACAGCATTGAAGGAAGCAGAGTTATTTGAGGGCCTGTTGTACATTGTGTCACTTAAAGTTGAAGCTTCCAAGAATTTATCTACAATGTTAAGTGAGGACTTGCCTATGGTAGGACCTGAAAAATCATATATAGGTTTTGTTACAGGAGCCAGACCCTGTGTGCCCTTTAATTGAATATAGTTCCGCAGTATTTGTTAGCATTTTTGTTCTTTGATTTATATTTACATGGTGTCTCTTTTCTTTCATTTACTCTTCTTTCATTTACAAGTTCTCTGTTTTTATATTTAAAGTGTATTTTATTTTCCAAAGTTGGCTTTATAAACCCAATATGACATTCTCACTCTTTTACTTATGGTATTTAGTTCAGTTATAGCTCATATATGTGGAGTCCTAATTAGAGAAAAGGAGTCTGGCTGGCAGTACTGAGGCAAAGCAAAAAGAGAAGGCAGATAAGCTCTAAGTCCGCCTTTCTTCATGATCCAGGAAATATAGCCCTCCTACACAAATAACTCACAATCTTCCTGTGCCCAACTTATTACAAGACACTTGCAAGTTAGCTCACTGAAATCTTGGTGTTATCAGTACCACACAAAGTTCAACATATAGCCTAAGCACTATTCTATAAAATCCTCAGCAAGCCTTTGTTTCCTTGCAGTCAGATTCTTTCTGCTGGCCTGCCGGTTGTAACCTTGCAACATATTTTCATACTTTCTCTAATAAATCTGCCTTTCTTTACCTACAACTGTTTGGTAAGTTCTTCTTATTCTCATGCCCCAGCCTTAGGTAGTCACTGCTACCTGCGACCATATAATTACAGTCACGTGTGTGTGTGTGTGTTTGTGTGTGTGTGTACATCTACATATGTAATGTGACTACCATCTTAATTTTCTGTTCATTTGTTTTATTTATTTTTTAATGCTTTTTTTTCTCTTCTCCTTTGCCTGCCCTTGGATTAATCTATAATTTCCTATTGCTCCATTTTTACTCTCTATTAAATTTTAGCTCATACCATATGTCTAATATTCCTTTTGAAAGGACCCTGTAAATTACAACATGCATCTTTGCTATATTATAATACAATGGTTATTATTATCACTTATCCCTTGAAGAAAATGTTTTTTTCCTCCCTTACTGCTTTTACTTGTTTATTTTGTCTTTAGTGTTCAACACTATTACTGTGATGTGTCTAGGCGTGGTATTCAGCTAGGCATTTACTGTGCTTCTGAAATCTGTTAATGTTGCACCCATTTTTGAAACATTATTGGTCATTATCATTTAAGTGTTCTTCTGCATTTTTCATACTCTTTTCTGTGTGGCTCCAGTTCCAAGAATGATTGATCTCTTCACTCTTTTACCTCTCTCTCTCCTACCTCCCCTCCCTCTTTTCAGGATGTGGCACTCCATTGTCCCACCCCTGCCCCTACTCCAGTGCTTTGCATTACATTTACCATTGACCTGTCTTCTAGTTTAATAGCACACCTTCTGTTATGTATACTGTGTTCTTAAATTGCTTTAATGGGATCTTAGTTTTAGTTATTGTAATTTTAATTTCTAAAACTTCTGTTTAATAATTTTGTAGATTCTCATTATCTGGTTACCTTCTTCATTATTTCTTCTGTTTTCTTTATTTTTTTCTATATATTTTGAACACATTACCATAGTGCCCTTAGAAGCTTTGTTAGTTACCATCAAGGTCTGGATCCCTTAAGAATTTTTTATAGTGTTTGTCTATACTGTCGATTTTAAGAAATCATGTTGCATTGTATTTTGGCATACCGGGTGATTTTATTATCTAGATATCATTGTGTAGAAAAATTATAGAGTCTTAAATGATAATATCTTCCTCCCTAATGAAAGAAAGTCATTCTGCTAGTCAGATGATATGGTTTCTGAACACTTTAATTCCATCAGGGATTTTGCTAATTTAAGTGTAGGCTGCATTCTTGGCCAGAATTCACCAAATATCCTGAGAGTAAAGCTAGTCAAATTCTCCAAGATCTCAAATTGTTTGGACAGAACTCTGCTGGTTTTTCTGTTCCCCTGCATTGTTCATATATAGTTTTGTGCTCACAGCCTCACCCTCCTGCCCATGCCCAAATAAGCAATTGTCCCCAGGGTAAAATGGCTGCAGAAGTCAGATTGCCTATGAGGGTCTTTCTTCTCTAGTTTTATAGCATCTACAATATCTAATGACTTAGCACTTAAGGAAGACTTTAAGCTAATATATTCATATTTTTTTCAGCATTTCTATTATTGATGACTAGAATGCACCATGCTATACTATTTTATTTCACCTGGAAGTCAAATTTCTCATTCAGTGAACTTTTTGACGTCAACTTTTAAAGCCTGACTTGCCCCCCGCCCCACCTGAACAACAACCCACAATGTAGATGGCCAGTTTGAAAACTCAGATTACTACATTTTAAAGTAATCTCTGGGCTTCTCATCAGAAATACATTTGATTCATAGACCACATTCTGACAACCACTAAAATCTACCTAAACTTTGAGACAGACATCATTGGGTTTAGAGATTTTAAGAAAATTTTGCAGCAAACACGAAGATGAGATAAACGTATCATATAATCTCAAATCCTTGTGTCCCATTTTGCCTTCCAGATCACAATAAGTAAAAGTTATGACTAAACAGTCCAAAATTCAACTACAATCTTTCCTCTTTAAAAGGCAATCTCTTTTAGAAGATAAAGGTTAATCTCATTATATTTTATTTTCAAGTAACAGCACCATGACTTTTAGAGTCTTAACTTCTGGGAAGACATTAGAATCTTAAAAAATCTTTCCTTTCTCAATAATTTTACTATTATTATTTCATTTTCTTATGTCTAGATTCTTGTTATATCTACTGCAGTTGCTCATATATTTCTACTTAGGGAAACTTTTATAATTACATATTTCTGCCTAAAAATTAAGAACTGATGTTAAATTGGTTATAATAATGGCAAAATCTGACAGTTATGCTCAATTACAAATATAATAAAATGTTAATCTGTAGGTCTTCTGTGCCTATTGAAATATTTCTGATCAGAGAATATACCATAATTTTAGGCTCTGATTCACAGGTATCTGCTTTTAGCCTTTCTGTTTTTAATTCATGGTGGAACACCACTGAAAAACACAGTGTGTTTATGCTCATAAATAAATGTCATTCTTCGGCAACTGCACAAGGTCTTAACGTGTCCTTCAATTATTTTCCAGACAAAAAAATCTGCCTAATTTTCAACCTCTTGATATGGATGCCAGAAATATCCTGCCTTGCTTTACAAAGTGAGATCTCTCTCTCTCTCTACCCCCCCGCCCTGCTCCCATTTTCTTTCCCTCTGCCTGTCTCCTCTCCCTCCCTCTTGTAGCCCATTCATCATCTTTTTATTGTTTAACATAGCTACAGACACAGGCTGTGTTTTTCTCCACACTATATAAGCTAGAAGAAAATATAACGTGCAAAGTCCAAGTCAAGAATAGCCATTGATTAGAGATGATGTCAGAAAGATGATAGAATTGGGAGACTCAGATCATTTATTCCACAGAGAGACACGGATTCAACAATATGTGGACCAATTCCCTTTGTGAAAATTCTGGGAATGAGGGAGAGGATTCTGCACCACCACAGGCAGGTACAAACTAGCTGTATACATGTTTGTAGGAAATTTCATGGCACTCACTGGCCATCGCCCCTCCCTCTGGCTCAGAATTGAGCCAGGGGAGAAAATCCAGCTCTCAACGGCTTCTCTTGGAGGAGAAGGAAAGAATGTAGCATGAGACAAACATTCTAGTTTCTTGAAAATCACCCAAGGGACTCTTTTTTGTCTCAGCTGTCTCCGAGTGCTGATGAGACCCAACATACGCTAGATGCCTGGGGACCACTGAGAACAAAACAGAGCTAGATGACCTGCTGTGCTCAGAGGCCCTGCTGTACAGCAGGCAAAGCTGTTAGAGCATGACAGCTTCTCCCTCAAGGGGCAATGGGAGGAATGGGGAAAAAAACAAAACAAAACAAGAATGGAGTGTTTGTTCAAAATTCTATCTTTTTAGAGAGATTCCTGAGGGATTGGTCTCTGTCTCACCTGTCTTAGAGCATCGACAGGACTCTACATGCCTGGGGACTGATGAGAAAGAAAATGAATTGGGAGGCATATAGCGGACCCAGAGAACCTACAGGACCATAGACACACACCCGAGGGAGCAAGAAATATAAGCACCTGAAAAAAGAAAGAAGCAAATTCACTATAGTGGAGAATTTACATATACACGTCTAGGGAAAGCACATTGAGAGAAAAGTGTGGGAGGCCCCCAGCATCTCCAGCTGGACTGGCTGGTGAAGATCTTTCCTTCTATAAAGTCAGTTCACAAAGACCAGGAGATGTGGTTGTTTTTTCAGATTCATGGATCTCAACTCAAACTAACAAGGCACATAAAGAAACAAAAACAGCCAAAACAAAGCCATAAAATAAATCTTCAGAAAATAATCCTAAAAAATGAATATTTTGCCAGAAAAAACAACCATATAATCAATCAATAGACATAAAACATAATTAAACAATCAGTGGTGAGACTCAAGTAATCCTCTCTCTAATCTTAGTTCCTAAATTTTAGTTCTTTACAAATTATCTAAATGCAGATATTTTCAGCAAAATTACATTCAGACTGTCACTTCATTATTATCTATTAGAAGAAGGCAATAGAATTGAGCTTTTTTTTTTTTTTTTTTTGAGACGGAATCTCACTCTGTCTCCCAGGCTGGAATGCAATGGCATGATCTCGGCTCACTGCAACCTCTGCTTCCTGGGTTCAAGAAATTCTCCTGCCTCAGCCTCCTGAGTAGCTAGGTTTACATGCACCACTAAGCCAGACTAATTTTTGTATTTTTAGTAGAGATGGAGTTTCATCATGTTGGCCAGGCTGGTCTTGAACTCCTGACCTTGGGTGACCAACCCTCCTCAGCCTCCCAAACTGCTGGGATTACAGGCGTGAGCCACAGCGCCTGGCCCAATTAAGCTTTTAAAGCACAGACGCTATTATGATTTTCATTAAAAAAAATCTTAGAGACCTACAACATTTTTTTACTATTTATTTATATTTTAGGGCTTAGATTCTATTGGGATTTTGCAAACAAATAATATACTGGGTTTTTTTTTTACTATGCTTAACAGCCTAGAAAAAACATAATTACATAATGTCACAAAATCTCAATAAAATTCAATAAATTTTAATATATATAATACAACTGAAAATCAACAAAAAGAGAACCAAGAAGATACAATCACTCAAGAAATTTGTAAAAAATATCAGTATAAACGTTAAGTTAAAGATTAATTAGAACTATAGTGTGAACAATTTACAATGCAGTCAAAGCTGTGTAATCGCTACTTGGTAAGAATTTTTATTGTTCTTTGCTACATTCATCCCTATATCAAAAATTAAAATTATTTTCATGAAGTTTTTATGTTTGTTTCGTCTTTTACTTCCACAGAATCCAGCTGCTCTATGCAGCTTCTTTTGAATTTTCTGACTGTATTCCATAATGTTATGCCCACTATCCATACCAAAAATTGCCTTCTTAACTCTTTCTTTTGTCTGTATGTATGTGAATGTATATATACATATATACATTCACACATATATATATGTTCATTTATACTGTTCGTTTTTATCTTGTACCAGAAAATGGAGAAAGAACAACAAAACAAATAGTTGAGAGTATGAGCAGTTAAAAAAAATACACTTCAAATTCTAAAGATAGTTTTTTAAACATTTACTGAAATAAACATGCTGAAAAAAGAAACAATTGTTTAAAGCTGGGAGAGAATATAACATTCACTATCAGTATTTAAATGCCTGAAGTTTTTAGCTGAGGAAAGTAGAGTTTAAAATGTGAAACCAATGACAACCTTAATTTTGAATGATGAAATTCATAGAAACAGAGTGTTAGATGGAATATAATGATTCCTTATCAATGGGTAAGATTGAAACATTTTTGTTTCAAATGAAAAGTATTGAGAGTTTTAATACTTCTCTTAAAAAACATGTTAAAGAAACTAAGGAAATAGATTTGGAAAATATATAAACAATATTTACATGTGTCATCAACAATATGTTATAAAATGAACTATTAGAGAAATTGCTTTGCTTTTGATTCTTACAAAATGGCTTTGCATAATTCATTGCAAGGATTTATCCACTAATCAATAATTCATTATTTAATGCATTAATTAATTAATTAATATTTTCTAAAATATTCCTAGAAAATAAACTTTTTTATAGAAAATGTTTATAGTAAAACATTTTCTGTAAATCCTTGTGGTCAAGGAGTTGCAGAAACATGATCTACAAGATGAAAGATTTTTCAGTGAGGCTACCCACATCCCTGTAGTATGCATGACTGATAGATCCTAGATATAACACTGTTTATTGCATTTTACAGTTGTTTTCTGATTACCCTACTATGCTATTTTGAGGATATTGAGAAATTGATTTTAAATATAGGGGAAGGCAAAAGACCCAGAATATTCAAAACAGTGTTGAAAAAGAACAAAGTCAGAGCACTTGGCACAAGTTGACTTCAAAACTTACTACAAAGCTACAGTAATCAAGACAGTGTGGTAATGGTAAAAGAATTGACACATATATCAAGGGCACAAAATAGAGAGCCCAGAAATATTCATAAAATCTCTAGTCTTTTTTCTGTGTCATGAAGCTCCCTTTAGACTAAATCACTAATTGGTAAGAATTTCATTGTTCTTAGCTACATTCATCCTTGCATCTAAAATTAAAATTATTTCTATAAAATTATACTAGTTTTGTCTCTCACTTCCACAGGATCTAGCAGCTCTGTGTAGTTTCCTTTGAATTTACTGACTCAATCCCTAATGGGTTGCCCACCACCAATACAAAAAAAAATGTCCCTTTTAACTCTTCCTTTTGTTCATTATTTTAGCTCAACAGAGGTAATTATAATAACAGTTAATCATTACAAAAGCTTACTGTGTGCCAGGTATAATTCCAAATTCTC
The DNA here is from genome assembly GCF_000001405.40 of Homo sapiens. NCBI lineage: Eukaryota > Metazoa > Chordata > Mammalia > Primates > Hominidae > Homo > Homo sapiens. The sequence continues at coordinate 160,643,534 of NC_000004.12, read as the reverse complement.
TCTGTACACTAGTAATTAACAATCACAAAAGACCAGGGTGAGAGATGCTATTATTATCTCCACTTTATGAGGAAACTGAGGGATGGAATATAAATAAATTACTTGAGATTGCACAATTTGTTCAGTGGCAAGCCTGGATTGCTGTCCACTTTACCATTTGCTGTACTTTTGATTAATTTGATATAGAGGACAGGTGACTTTAGGGAGGATAGGGAGTCAAGGATGAAATAATAGCATATATGTTCAAATCATGGCTTGTTTATAGATTAGAAGAATTTTGTGTGTGAGTGTGTATGTGTGTGTGTGTGTATCTTCAAACACATAAATGTGTCTAGGTAAACATGTCCCCGTGTTTGGAGATTTATGAAAATACATTTGTAACATGTTGATATCATTAGTTGAGTTGTTTTAGAAATTTCTAAATATTTTTCAGTCTCTAAGCTCAGTTTAGTGTCATATAGTAGATGGTAATGAAATATTAAAACATTTTCACCTTCAAAGAACTTCTTTTATTTGGCAGTTCTCTTGAGATTATCAAGAATGTCTTGGACATTCTGAAAGTTTTATTATCTTTCAAACAATAGTTCATTCATGCTTTTATAAGTATCATGTTACTTTATGGAGTAGCATACTTTTCTGTTAAAAATATGATTAGATTATATAATGAATAAAGTTTCCTATCTCTCTATTAGTAGATTTATGGAGAAAAATATGTATATTTTAGAGGAAAAAAGTGAAAATGCAACTATATACATTAGATGACTTAAGGAGGTTATTCTATGATTCAGAATGTTCTTAGGTCATGAAAACACTTGGAAAAAGATAACAATGTGAACATACATTACAAATTAATATGTTTTCCCTCTTCACTCATAAATAGCCTTTACTCTTATATGGCCTTTGAAATAATAAATGAGCCATAAAAATATGGAAAAGCAAAAACATCTGTCACTGCTGTGAACTTAGAGCAGTTCCATGGACAGCTTAGAAATATCAAGCACTGTCTCCTTGACATGAGAGTTGGTCCAGATAATATCCCAAAGTACAATTCACAGTTTCCTTTTAAGAAGAATGTACAGTGACTCAAAAATACAGTAGTAGAGGAGCTACTACAAAATTCAGCCAATAAATTAATCCACATTAATACGGCATCTTTTGGGTTTAAAAAAGCTGGTAAAATTATTTTTAAAGGAAGAAATTTCTGCTTAGGCACATATATCTGCAGATAAATTTCCTTATGGTTTGGACAAAATTCATGCTAGAATTTTGAAGTTTTTTTCTTCTTCTTCTTAGTGTGAAATAATCAATTTCAGTAATTCTGGGGATTTCTTCAAAGAAACCCTGGCCAATGTGGATATAAAATGGGTTAAGGGCATGCTGTTTTTGTATGGTGTGCAGCATGATGACTAAGGTTGGTTCATTGTCCTTATGGATACTTACTGTAAATCGCTAGAAAACAATGCTCACATCTATATGTTTTCTCAATGCCAGAATAACAAAGTACAAACTCATCAGAAGCCAGAGGTACATGGCTTCTTAAAATATTCCCATAGCTTTCTACCTCCCTTGGAATGACAGTCAAATCCCCTTAACATTTCCTTAAAAGGTTGTCACAATCAGATTCCTCAACACACAGCATTACCTCATGGACATCAGCTTCTCCCTCTCTGTTGCTTACATCCATCCCAGTACCTCTTGCCTTCTTTTTGTTCTTCCCTCACTGTAAGTACAATACTGATTGACTCACTAAACAGTGCTTTTCATATCCTTCTGTTTGGCCCCTGTTCTCATCCTTACTACATTTTTGGTGAACTGACAATTTCTCAGGGAAACATTCTATTAAATTGCAAATAGCCCTCAATATTTAATGTTATCCTTCTTAGCTTTATTTATTTATTTTTGGTATCCATTGCTTCTAATATACTGTGTATTTTATTACTTATTGTATTAGCATCTGTCTTGCTGAACTAGACTATAATCACCAGAAGTTCAGGAAATTGTTATCTGTTTTATTTACTAATTGTATTATCTGCCTGTTGATCATCCTAGTGCCAAATTATACTCAATAAAATTTGCTAAATAAATTAATGAACAAATAAAATATTTAATATAATTATTGAAAAAATGCATTTGTGTTTAAAAATACCTTTATAAATGTTTGAGAACCTGTATTAGGATAATTTTTTTTAATTCACTGAATAGCCTATCAATAATAGCATTAAAATGGTTAAATAAAACACAAAACATACCCACACCTACACACGTGTGTGTGCATGAATCAACTCAACATTTAATTGAATCATGAGTACATATTCAAGAAAACCCTAAAGACTAATTGTGTGTATTAAATAAGAATGAGTATTTCTGTGACTATTTTAACTATGTAAAAAATATCAACAAAATGCTATTTTTGGCTGGGCATGGTGGCTCACACTTGTAATCCCAGCACTTTGAGAGGCCAAGGCGGGTGGATCACTTGAGACCAGGAGTTTGAGACCAGCCTCGCCAACATGGTGAAATCTCTTCTCTACTGAAAATACAAAAATTAGCTGGGCATGGTGGCTCACGCTTGTAATCCCAGCCACTCAGGAGGCTGAGGCAGGAGAGTCACTTGAACCCAGGAGGCGGAGGTTGCAATGAGAGAATGAGCCATCACAATTCACCCTGGGCAATACAGAGATACTCTCTGTCACACACACACACACAAAAAGTACTTTTTTACCTTTTTTTAAATTTAAATTTAAATTTAAATTTTTTATTGTACTTTCTGGGATACATTTGCACAACATGCAGGTTTGTCATATAGGTATACATGTGCTGTGGTGGTTTGCTATACCCAACAATCCGTCATCTACATTAGGTATTTTTCCTAATGCTATCCCTCCCCTAGACCCCTACTCCCCAACAGGCCTCAGTGTGTGATATTCCCCTCCCCGTGTCCGTGTGTTCTCATTGTTCAACTCCCACTTATGAGTGAGAACATGCGGTGTTTGGTTTTCTGTTCCTGTGTTAGTTTTCTGAGAATGATAGTTTCCAGCTTCATCCATGTCCTTGCAAAGGACATGAACTCATCCTTTTTTATGGCTGCATAGCATTCCATAGTGTATATCTGCCACATATTCTTTATCCAGTCTATCACTGATGGGCATTTGGGTTGGTTTCAAGTCTTTGCTATTGTGAAGGGTGCTTCAATAAACATACATGTGCATGTGTCTTTATAGTAGAATGATTTATAATCCTTTGGGTATATACCCAGTAATGGGATCGCTGGGTCAAATGGTATTTCTGGCTGTAGATCCTTGAGGAATGGGCACACTGTCTTCCACAATGGCTGAACTAATTTACACTCCTACCAACAGTGTAAAAGTGTTCCTGTTTCTCCACATCCTCTCCAGCAGCTGCTGTTTCCTGACTTTTCAATGATCGCCATTCTAACTAGAGGGAGATGGTATTTCACTATGGTTTTGATTTGCATTTCTCTAACGACCAGTGATGATGAGCTTTTTTTCATATGTTTGTTGCTGTATAAATGTCTTCTTTTGAGAAGTGTCTGTTCATAACCTTCACTGACTTTTCGATGGGGTTGTTTGTTTTTTTCTTGTATATTTGTTTAAGTTCTTTGTAGATTCCAGATATTAGTTCTTTGTCAGATGGATAGATTGCAAAAATTTTCTCCCATTATGTAGGTTGCCTGTTCACTCTGTTGATAGTTTCTTTGGCTGTGCAGAAGTTCTTTAGTTTAGCTACATCCCATTTGTCAGTATTGGCTTTTGTTGCCATTGCTTTGGTGTTTGAGTCATGAAGTCTTTGCCCATGCCTATGCCCCGAATGGTATTGCCTAGGTTTTCTTCTAGGGTTTTTATGGTTTTAGGTCTAACATTTAAGTCTTTAATCCATCTTGAGTTAATTTTTGTATAAGATGTAAGGAAGGGGTCCAGTTTCATTTTTCTTCATATGGCTAGTGAGTTTTCCCAACACCATTTATCCTTTCCCCATTGCTTGCTTTTGTCAGGTTTGTCAAAGATCAGATGGTTGTAGATGTGTGGTGTTATTTCTGAGGCCTCTGTTCTGTTCCATTCATCTATATATCTGTTTTGGTACCAGTACCATGCTGTTTTTGTTACTATATCCTTGTAGTATAGTTTGAAGTCAGGTAGCATGATGCCTCCAGCTTTGTTCTTTTTGTTTAGGATTGGTTTGGCTATATGGGCTCTTTTTTGGTTCCATATAAAATTTAAAGTAGTTTTTTCTAGTTCTGTGAAGAAAGTCAATGGTAGCACGATTGGGATAGCATTGAATCTATAGATTACTTTGGGCAGTATGGCCATTTCACGATATTGATTCTTCCTATCCATGAGCATGGAATGTTTTTCCATTTGTTTGTGTCCTCTTTTATTTCCTTGAGCTGTGGTTTGTAGTTCTCCTTGCAGAGGTCCTTCACATCCCTAGGTATTCCTAGGTATTTTATTCTGTTTGTACCTCAGGGTTAAGAAACTCACTCAGAGTTTCTTAACTACATAACTACATGGAAACTGAACAACATGCTCCTGAATGACTACTGGGTAAATAACGAAATTAAGGCAGAAATAAGTAAGTTATTTGAAACCAATGAGAACAAAGAGACAATGTGCCAGAATCTCTGGGACACAGCTAAAGCAGTGTTTAGAGAGAAATTTATAGCACTAAATGCCCACAGGAGGAAGCAGGAAAGATCTAAAATTGACACCCTAACATCATAATTAAAATAACTAGAGAAGTAAGAGCAAACAAATCTAAAAGCTAGCAGAAGACAAGAAGTAACTAAGATCAGAGCAGAACTGAAGGAGACAGAGACACGAAAAACCCTTCAAAAAATCAATGAATCCAGGAGCTGGTTTTTTGAAAAGATTAACAAAATAGACGGCTAGCCAGACTAATAAAAAAGAAAATGGAGAAGAATCAAATAGACACAATAAAAAATGATAAAGAGGAAATCACCACTGATCCCACAGAAATAAAAACTACCATCAGAAAGTACTACAAATACCTCTACACAAATAAACTGGAAAGTCTAGAAGAAATGGATAACTTCCTGGACACATACAGCCTCCCAAGACTAAACTAGCAAGAAGTAGAATCCGCGAATAGACCAATAACAACTTCTGAAATTGAGGCAGTAATTAATAGCCTACCAAGCAAAAAAAGCCCAGGACCAGATGGATTTACAGCCGAATTCTACCAGAGGTACAAAGAGGAGCTGGTACCATTCCTTCTAAAACTACCCCAAACGATAGAAAAAGAGGGACTCCTCCCTAACTCATTTTATGAGGCCAGCATTATCCTGATACCAAAACCTGGCAGAGACGCAACAAAAAAAGAAAATTTCAGGCCAATATTCCTGATGAACATCAATGCAAAAATCCTCAATAAAATACTGGCAAATGAAATCCAGCAGCACGTCAAAAAGCTTATCCACCATGATCAAGTTGGCTTCATCCCTGGGGTACAAGGCTGGTTCAACATACGCAAACCAATAAAAGTAATCCATCACATAAACAGAACCAATGACAAAAACCACATGATTATCTCAATAGGTGCAGAAAAGACCTTTGATAAAATTCAACACCTCTTCATTCTAAAAACTCTCAATAAACTCGGATTGATCAAACATATCTCAAAATAATAAGAGCTATTTGTGACAAACCGACAGCCAATATCATACTGAATGGGCAACAGCTGGAAGCATTCCCTTTGAAAACTGGCACAAGACAAGGATGCCCTCTCTCAGCACTCCTATTCAGCATAGGGTTGGAAGTTCTGGCCAGGGCAATCAGGCAAGAGAAAGAAATAAAGTGCATTCAGATAGGAAGAAAGGAAGTCAAATTGTCTCTGTTTGCAGATGACATGACTGTATATTTAGAAAACCCCATCATCTCAACCCAAAATCTCCTTAAGCTGATAAACAACTTCAGCGAAGTCTCAGCATACAAAATCAATGTGCAAAAATAGCAAGCATTCCTATACACCAATAATAGACAAACAGAAAGCCAAATCATGAGTGAAATCCCATTCACAATTGCTACAAAATAATGATGCTATTTTTAAGCCCCAATACATGTTAACATTAAGATCTATTTTATGGTGTGAAAACCATGAATTAGCTGAACTATTGTTTATGGGTTTTATGGTTTCAGAGAAACTATAAAGTAGAAAGGAAGAATGTTTGAAACTAATATAAAAGTAAAGCCTAACCAAACCTTAAAAATATCAGATTTATCATTAAATCTTTAAAAAGAAAGAAAGATTAGAATAAAATCAGTGGACCTGGGAAGTCACATTCTCTTTGTCTTACTTGGTTAACAGCTTAATTTTCTCTGAATCCTCTTTTCATTGACCCATGATACAACTAGACCAAACTAGGCAATGCCAGATGATCATTCCTTAAGGATGCTCTTATTAAAGCATTGCTATATGTATAAAGGTAATTTTCATTAATTTATCATTTAATAAAAATTAATACACAGACATATTAGTTCTCGTGATCCATTTCTAACCACCAATTCCACTCACGAATTTTACATGCAGAACATTCTGCCTCTGATATCATTAATCAAAAATATCTTTCTCTTCACATCATTGAATATCAAACACAAAATTAAGTGTAGAGTTTAAAAAGATCTAAGATCTTTATAGGATAATATTGGATGTATATTTGAAAGTGATCAATATTGATTTTTAAAAATACCAAAATTTAATGCAAAGTTAATGCTGCACATTTTGACATTTAAATTTTTAGTAACATTTTTTCATAGAACTTTATCACTTGTTTATTTGCTTATTACTTTGCTATTTATAATCAAAGCATGAAATAATTTTAGTTTAATAGCAAACTGTTTTTATTTTCAAAATTTAAAATACTTGTTTTAAATTAGTAATTTGAGAAATAAACTTAATATATATATATTTTAATTGTTTCCTTTTCCTTGATTGTTATTTGTAGAAAAAATTATGAGTCATATTTAAACATATACTTATAAGCTTATAAGTATATACTTAAGTATAGAGAAATATATCTGATATTTATGTTCTATTTTTCCATATATTTTACACCTGCAACACTAATCTTTGTTCTTAATTGGAAAGGAAATGTCTCACCCAGTTGAAGCAGCAGTGATGTAAAATGAAGATGAGTTTAATATAAATATGAATAATTTTATTATCAAACTAGAAAACTTTATTAAAAAATACTTTCTGTGGAAAAACACAAACTGAGTGAGGTAGAATGATGGCAATCTTTAGGTCTTTGCAGGTATTTGATGAGAAGTAGTTGTTTCTAATTGGGATAGAACATATCAAATGGATCTCCTATAATTGTTTATTCTGTCAATTGTAGGTAAAAAATTTTTTCAGGCTTAATTATTTTCTCTCACTCAAAATAAATTTCTTGTGGCATTTAACAAACTCTAATCAGTTTATTTTATGAAATGTTCACGTGTATTTGATGTGAATTCAAAGTATTGTTCGACTTTTTTCTTTATATTCAACCTTGTGGTTCAAAAGCTGCCACATACATCAAATGTCCTTTGAACACAAAAATATCTGATAATGGGGAGAAGATGTGCTTACTAAATTCATAGGATATAATAGATTTTGTTCCCTGACCTGCATCAAACAAAGAAACTAGACAAAAGGAGGAATGAATAGAAACTGCCAGACATTAGGTCAAGTAAGTCAGTTTCCTTAGTAAGTAAACAATTTAGAATTTCTCATCACTTCGCAGTGCATGTTCTTCTGTCATCTCTGGTAACGGTTCAAAACTGATTTGTGTGATTTCTCTGACTAGGTATCAATGTTGCAGGTATTATCTTCTTTCTTTTTTAAAGTACTTAGACTATGGATAAAGCTGTTGGGCATAAACCAGGCTGCAGCTTTTTGAGTTTGTGATGCAGAGGTTTTATTAGAACTACACATCTCACATGCATGTCTCCAAAACGACGTCTTACACAGTTACTGAACAAATCATTTTTCCAATTTCAATGTCAGATTTAATAACTAAGTGAACCCTCTTGTAATTCTTGAAGTTACTTAAACAACTTTCGTTTCAATTCAGGTAGGTTGTACAAGAAAAATAGGGGTGGGGGTAGGAGGGAAGTGGGCTGGATTTTTGTTATTTTATGTAATTTATTCATGAATTTCTACTTGGTATTTTTAGCCTCATCTGATTACCGCCCCCATATTTCTGAATTTTGTTGTAAAATTTTCATTTGCAGCAGCTGCTCTACTTTGGATTAGCAAATTGTCATTCTTTATGTCTCTTTCCCTTTCAGTTTTATCCGCTAGCTTTAATCAGAATCACTATTCTAAGAATGTTTTAATTAAAATAATTAAGAAAGATACACACCTGTTCAAATTGTTAGCATTCCACATATGCTTAAAAACACTTAAAGTTTTTTCAATATTTAAAAATATATAAACCTTTGGGCTCCTGGTCCTCTAGTATTTTACAGATACTTTGTTTCCATAATACAAATGGAAAAAATGGCCCCAGCTTCCATCCCAGATCCTGTTGAAAATCTCCCACTATCATATCATCATACCTCTGAGGGTTCCTAAACAGTTGGTTACATTAATCTATAATTTCTTACTCCTGATATCTGCTCCCAGAGCTCGTCTCAATTATCACCTGTCAAAGGTGACTTCTTCGCCTTCAGCTCTGTCCACGTGTGTGTTTTTCAACTTTAATTCCTCAGAGAAAAGCCAATGCAAGTGGTGGCACTTTCACCAAAGGTTTGAGATAGTAGGGGTGTGATAGGAAAGTAGAGATTATAACCCAAGTCAAAACAAAGAACAAATTAAATACAATTGAACCTTGAAAAACATGAGGGTTAGGACACAGACACCCACCTCCTTCTGCAGTCGAGAATTCAAATAAAACTTTTGATTTCCCCAAAACTTAGCTTCTAATAGCCTCTTGTTGACTGCAAGCCTTACAGATAACATATGAATTATATATTGCATTCTTACAGTAAATGAGCTAGAGGAAAGAAATTCTATTAAGAAAATCAAAGGAAGAGCAAATACATAAATACTGTACTGTATTTAACAATACTATGAGTTTACATCATCTGTTTAAAAAAAAATCCTTTGTCTGAAATGTTGGGCAATTGCAGCTGCAGACCTAAATCTGTGGTGCATATCAAGCAATTCAAATTTATATTGTAATGTCATGACTTTTCTTTGCTTCTTGAGAGTACTTTCAGTATCACTAGTGGCACTTTGCATGGGTTCCATGGTGTTATTCAAGGTTTATGATATTACACTAAACACAAGATAAAATATACTAGCATTGCAAGGGATCACATTTTACTGCCATACACAATTTACTAGAGACAAATTGCTCATGTGGAGATAATTAGCATTACATGGTGTTCTAAGGGGATGCTTGCAACGCTACAACTCACCACAATAGCAATAGGAGGTGGCCACCACACTATTACAGTAGTACAGTATGCACTACAGGTAATTGTATGCAGTTATAATTTAATACTGCTTCTTTACATTTATCTATATTTCTCTCAGCTGTGAGTGGCACCATGTACAGTCTTTATTTGTATTTGTAAGTTTTGATAAATTTTAACTTTTTAATAATAATATGTATTTTATGATAATAAATGATAAAATATACTAGTATCTGCACATACTTTATCCATTCATGACAGATCTAACTTTTTTCTTTTTTTTGGCTATTTCTAGGCTACATAGTTTATTTGCAAGTTTTTTTTCAAATATTTGCAAATCTCCAAAAAATTTTCCAGTATATTTATTTTTAAAAAATTTTGGAAGTGGATTCATACAATTCAAGCCTATGATTTTCAAGGATCAACTATACTATGATCAGTATTCTTCCAAGTTCCTTTTATATCCTTCAACTTTGCTGGTTTGTATTTCTCATCCTTCATAATTATCCCCAAACCCAAGCCTTCTGCCATTTTCTGGGCCATTTCCGAATTCCCAAGAGGTTCGTTTCTCTGGAGTTTTCAGAAACCATTTTTAATATTTTTGACTGTATTATATAAAATTACCTAACTCCTAGATTGCTTTACTCCTATAATTTTAGCATACCTTAATGTCTAACAAAAATGAATAAACACAAACAGCAAATAAAGGCCATTAGCAGTGTTGATCTAAATTTCTTTGTCTACGAGTGAGTCTATAGATTATAAGAATCCTGTAAGACTTAAAACATAGGTCCTTGGGCCTTATCCCAGACATATTTATCTGGAATAGTTGAGATGTTGGCACAGAAATCTGCCTTTCAATAAGTTTGCAGGGTAATATTCAAAATCTCCTAAAGTTGGACAGTCACCTATGGTTACTTTTATGTGTCAATTTGAGTGAGTCACAGGTGCCCAGATTAACCATTGTTTCTGAATGTGTCTATGAAGGTGTTTCCAGAAGAGATAATCATTTGAATCAGTGGACTCAGTACAGTATATTGCCCACGCCATTGTGGTCGGTCATATTTCAACCTGTCAAAGGCTTGAAGAGAGCAAAAACTGGAGGATGGAAGAATTTTCCTCTTTTATCCTGCCTCATTGCTTGAGTTGGGACATCTTATTTCTTCCCCTTTTCTTGAACTGGGATTTACAATTATTGGCTCCCCTTGTTTTCAGGCCTTTGAACCCAGACTGAATTACATTACAGGTTTTTCTGCATCTCCACCATGCAAATGGTAGATACTGGGACAACTCAGCCACCATAATCACATGGACCAATGCCTCATAATCTTTTTTTCTCTCTCTCTCTAGAGAACCTTGACTAATACATCTGTGTAAAAGCTAGAGCATTTCTCTCTCAAGGAAAATGCAGAATCTGCAAATATAAATATGTTTAAACAGCATATTTATATATTTTTAATCTTTCTCAATGTCTACTGTTTTGAAACATAGAGCTTTAAAAATATGTTTCTTTTACTGTTTTATAAAAATAACAAATATTAAATTATATAAAATATTATATAGTCACATTTATGTCACTGAAATTTTGTTGTAATAAAAATTATACAATAATGACATCTCCATTGTATATATGCAATTTACAATAGGATATGCTTTCATTTTACATTCCAAAATCTTTAATATGTTTATTCTATGCAAAGCATTGTGCTATACTCATTGAGAAGACAAAACTGCCCTCCTGAATTCAGCCTAAGGGAATATATATATATATACACATCTACATACACAAACACACACACACACACACACACACACACACACACACACACACACACACAAATTGGCTATCAAATCAATACCATTAGGGAATATTATAGAAATAGCTTTCAATGAAAATGTTGTAGATAGGGAAGTCATTTTAGCTATAAACCACTTAATGCTGCACAACTGTTTTAAGCTTTTAAGTTAAACGTGTTTATGCATTTGTATACAATGAAAAACAAATAATGGAAGAAATAAAAGACTGAGTTTATGTAACAAATAGGAAGCAAACATCACTGTTGGAGGAATAAATGAGAATGTATATGAAAGAGCTTACTAACCTAAGAGATTCCTAAGGAAATACTATTTTATAATGTTAAGGGAAGAAAGTAATTTAAATCACATGATGGATAATAAAAGAATGCATCAAACAAGAAAATTATTGATTGTGGTTTGAATACAAGGATTTTTATACAATAAATATTTAATGAATAAATTTAATGCTGAAACTATAAAAACAATAGCATGAAAAGCATTGAGGTGTTTACTAAATCAACAACTGTGTTTTTATATAAAGTTTAAAAATTAGAGATAGATATTTAAGACATGTAGAATTATAAATATACATTAGAGATAAAATTTTGTCAATTCCAATTAAGAATTCTTTAAATTTTCTTGTAAAAATAGATGCTTCAAAATGAAAGTTAGAAATGAGAAAAATCTTTCCACAAAGGTTTTTATTCAATATTTAATGACAAATTTACAATTAGATTTATCGATTTTATCAGAGTAGCTACTGCCATCTATAATTTCAGAAACGCTTCCAATTATTTATGTTTTTTAATTAACTACAATCAACTATGGAAATAAATTATCATCCCTAAAGCGTTTGGCATGGCATTTAGCACCATATTTTGTTTTATTTTTTGATAAGGTACAGTGATGACTCTATCCTGCATAGGGATGACAAACTGAGAATAAAAAAGACATAAAATGATTTCCAACACCTCAGGTGGTCTCTAAACAGCATCAATAAAATTGAGTATTCTCTGAGCACTGTCACCAAATGTGGCATTCAGGGTGATGGAACTGAGAAACTGACAGTCAATTACAAGCTCAAGGACACCGTGATATGATACATCTGCCAATTATATGGGAGCTTAACACTAATGCAGAATAAATGGTTTATATCAAAATGTGATGGAATGACAACTGGTAAGGAAGTATCAAAGAAGTGTTTTTTTTTTCAAGGGAGGCTACACTGAAAAGAAATTTCAGTTTAGTCTTCTATTTTTATCAATATAGTCAAAAGAAAAGACAATGGGAATTCTTTAAAATATAGAGCTCTGTAGAACTAATATTAATTCCATGATTGGGGAGCAAAGATAAAAAATCACTACTTCCAATGTTATCAGACATTTTCACAGAGCAAATTTTATCCGTAATTTTGTTTTTATTAAAGCATTATAAAAACTTACAATTGAGCTACATATAGTGATCTATCAAAAAAGAATAAATATTACTAAATTAATTTGAAAGCAGTAGATGTTTTGGAAAGAAAAAATGCTAGTAATATTTTTTACTATAATATCATAGAAGACAAAAATAGTCTGATATTATTAGATGAGTGACTCTAAGGGTTTTTAAAAATCGTGGAAGATATCATTGTCTCAATAATCATATATGTTTATATGTTAAGGTAGCATCTTATTTATTCCTGTCTAATAAGATTCTTCTCTAATGACAGTTGATAATATATGACCTGGCACTTGAGGAAAAGGTGAGACAACCCCAAATAAACAATTGTGTTCAATTTAAGAAATTCAAGACAGAGGAAACAGCATTTACAAAGACAAGCAGATATTTATTAAACTGGCATATTTTGACATAGTTGGAATAGAGAGTAAGAAAATATGGAATCAACTAAACGTAGAAATGTAAGCTACCTAGTCAAGAATCTAATTACAATAAATTTTGTTTTATGCAACAAGATACAGTATGATTTTCCTCAAAATGTATCAACATATAATTAATTTTATGAGATATTTTACATAATGTTGGTTGCAATATAAAAATATATTTCTGTAAGATTTGGACTGACTTAGGAAAACCTGCAGATTCAAAAGTACAGTTAAACAGTGATTAGATTATTTAGATTATAGTTGAAAATGTGCTGGGTGAAGACTGTAATATCATAATCTTTTTTTTTCTGAGACAGAGTTTTGCTCAGTCACCCAGGCTGGAGTGTACTGGCACAATCTCAGCTCACTGTAACCTCCACCACCCGGGTTCAAGCAATTCTCCTGCCTCAGCCCTCCGAGTAGCTGGGACTATAGGCACGCACCACCACGCCCAGCTATTTTTTGTATTTATAGTAGAGACAGGGTTTCACCATATTGGCCAGGCTGGTCTCGAACTCCTGACCTCATGATCTGCCCGCCTTGGCCTCCCAAAGTGCTGGGGTTACAGGCCTGAACCACTGCACCCGGCCATCATAACCTCTTTTTTTAAAAAAGATGCCTAAGTATGTCCTCAAAGTGAAAACAGGTCTCTTGTGGGAAGGATGTATTTGGATCCTAATTTTGTAAACACATTCAACCACTCTGTCCTTTGATTGAAGAATTTAATCCCTTTAACAAGTAAGGTTATTTTTGATAAGTATAGACATATTTCTACCATTTTGTTAACTTTTTTCTTGTTGTTTTGTAAATCCTTTGTTCTTTTCTTCCCATCTTGCTGTTCACCTCCGTAGTTTGGTGATTCTCTATAGTGTTGAGGTTTGATTCCTTTCTCTTTATCTTTCATGTATCTGCTGAAGTTTTTTGCTTTGTGGTTACCATAGGACCTACACAAAACATCTTATAGTTACAATAGGCAATTGTAAGCTGATAACAACTTAACTTTGGTCTGATAAAAATATCCTAGAATTTTACCCTCCCCTCATCACAATTTATATTTTGATGGCCACAATTTACATCTTTTTAGTTTGTATATTTCTTAACTTATTGTAGCTACAGTTATTTTTTATTTTATCTATTTATTTTGAGATGGAGTCTTGCTCTGTTGCCCAGGCTAGAGTGCAGTGGCATGATGCTGGCTCACTGCAACCTCTGCCTCCCGGGTTCAAGCAATTCTCCTGCCTCAGCCTCCCAAGTAGCTGGGATTACAGGCTTCTGCTTGCCTAGGAAAATTCATTTCTCTTTATTTCTGAAAGATGAAATAGCTGGGTATAGTATTCTTGGTTGGAATTTTTCTTTCTTAAGCCCTTTGAACGTATTATCCCATTCTCTTCTGGACTATGAGATACAGATTTGTACACTGAAAGCTGCTATACATTGATGAAAGAAATAGAAAACACAAATAAATGGAAATATATCACATGTTCACGTGGGAAGAATTAGTATTCTTAAAATGTCCTACTACCCAAACCAATATAGAGATTTAATGCTATCACTATCATAATTCCCATTGCATTATTCACAGAAATAGGAAAAAAAATCCTAAAATAAGTATGCAACCACACACACACATAAATAAATAAGTAAATAAATAAATAAATAAATAAAAATCTAGCCAAAGTAACACTAAGAAAGAAAAACAAAGTAAGAGGCATCACACTTCTGGATTAAAAATTATATTACAAAGTTATAGTAAACAAAACAGTATCATTCTGACACAAAAACAGAAACATAGAGCAATGCAGCTTTATTCCTAAGAGTAAAGATATGAAAACAACCTAAGTTTCTTTATAGAGATGAATAGATTTAAAAATGTGGTGCGTATATGTTTACACGATGTCAGCATTTCAAGAGAGGCAATAGAAAGATAAAATTGTGCATGTGTGTGTGTGTGTACATATATATGTGTGTGTATATATATGTATACATGCAATGGAATATTATTTAGCCTTTAAAAATAATGAGATCCTTCTATTTGCACAATATGGGTGGACCTGGAGGACATTATGCTAAATTAAATAAGCCAGACACAAAAATAAAAATAATACATGATCTCACTTATATGTGGACTATTTAAAAAAAAGAGCTCAAATGCAAAAAAATAGAGAATGAAATAGTATATAACATAGGTGGAGTGGGGGGAAAGAAAATGGAGAGACATCAGTTGAAGTATACAAAATAGTAGATAAAGTAGGATAAACAAGTATAGAGACCTAATGTACAACCTGAAATTAGTATAATGTATTGTGGGAACTGAAACTGATATAATTGTATTGTATTAAGGACTTTTGTTAAATAAGCATATTTTAGCTACTGTTGTCACAAGAAATGAATTATATGATATGATAGATATGTTAATCTACTTCACTGTAGTAACCATTTTACTACGTATATGTGTCCCATAACATCATATTGTAAACCTCAGACATACATGATGAAATTTATTTTTAAAAAAGAATACATTTATGAGACATTTGGGATGCTTAATTATGGAATTCATGTATTAAGGTGAAAGTGTCACAATTACCATAATTTAAAAAATTTATATAATTTTGCAGTAATATGATCAAATAAAATAAATATAAGAAAAACAAACAGTTATAGAAGAAACAATGATTTCAGTATTGAGAAGATGTAAGTTACCAGTGGGGTATCCACTTGGAGTTATTAAGTAAATAATAGGAATTTTTGGAGTGAACTCGTAAGAGACAAAACAAGTTTTGACAGTCATTATTACCTTCAAATTTGTGTGTTTTGAAGCTTCTTAAATCAGTTAACTTTAGCTATGTAACAAACCATTTTAGAACTGAGCAGTTTAAAGGAATTGAGATATTTATTTCATGCTCTTGCTAGTTTGGAAAACATCTGACGGGTTCTTCTGTAAGGAGTTCTTATCAACAAGTTTCAGCTGGATCCATTCATGTACTTTCCATCAACTTAGTGGGTGGGCAGTATCTGGCTCATTTACTTAGCTTCAGATGGGGCAGCTTAGAAAACTTGGGCTACTGTTCATGTGGCCTCATCATTTGGCATGCTAGCCTGGGTTTGTATACACGGTGTCAGCATTTATTTTTTAATTATAGTTTAAGTTATAGGGTACATGTACACAATGTGCAGGTTTGCCACATAGGTATAGATGTGCTATGTTGGTTTGCTGCACCCATCAACTTGTCATTTACATTAGGTATTTCTCCTAATGCTATCCCTCCTGCTTACCCCCACCAGGCCCCCATGTCTGATGTTCCCCGCCCCGTGTCCAAGTGTTTTCATTGTTCAATTCCCACTTATTAGTGAGAACATGCGGTGTTTGGTTTTCTGTCCTTGTGATACTTTGCTCAGAATGATGGTTTCCAGCTTCCTCCATGTCCCTGCAAAGGACATGAATTCATCCTTTTTTATGATTGCATAGTATTCCATGGTATATATGTGCCCTATTTTCTTAATCCAGTCTATCATTGATGGACATTTGGGTTGGTTCCAAGTTTTTGCTATTGTGAATAGTGCTGCAATAAACAAATGTGTGCGTGTGTCTTTATGGTAGCATGATTTATAATCCTTTGGGTATATACCCAGTAATGGGATCACTGGGTCAAATGGTATTTCTAGTTCTAGATCCTTGAGGAATCGCCACACTGTCTTCTACAATGGTTGAAGTAGTTTACAGTCCCACCAACAGTGTAAAAGCATTTCTCTTTCTCCACATCCTCTCTGGCATCCATTGTTTCCCACCTTTTTAAGGATCGCCATTTTTACTGGTGTGAGATGGTATCTCATTGTGGTTTTGATTTGCATTTCTCTGATGACCAGTGATGATGAGCATTTTTTCATGTGTCTGTTGGCTGCATAAATGTCTTGAGAAGTATCTGTTCATATCCTTTCCCCACTTTTTGATGGGGTTGTTTTCTTCTTGTAAATTTGTTTAAGTTCTTTGTAGATTCTGGATATTAGTCCTTTGTCAGATGGGTAGATTGCAAAAATTTTCTCCCATTCTGTAGGTTGCCTGTTCCCACTGATGGTAGTTTCTTTTACTGTGCAGAAACTCTTTAGTATAATTAGATCTCATTTGTCTATTTTGGCTTTTGTTGCCATGCTTTTTGTGTTTTAGTCATGAAGTCCTTGCCCATGCCTATGTCCTGAATGGTATTGCCTAGGTTTTCTTCTAGGGTGTTTATGGTTTTAGGTCTAACATTTAAGTCTTTAATCCATCTCGAATTAATCTTTGTATAAGGTGTAAGGAAGTGATCCAGTTTCAGCTTTCTATATACGGCTAGCCAGTTTTCCCAGCATCATTTATTAAATAGGGAATCCTTTCCCCATTTCTTGTTTTTGTCAGGTTTGTCAAAGATCAGATTGTTGTAGATGTGTGCTATTATTTCTGAGGCCTCTGTTCTGTTCCATTGGTCTATATATCTGTTTTGGTACCAGTACCATGCTGTTTTGGTTACGGTAGCCTTGTAGTTTAGTTTGAAGTCAGGTAGCATGATGCCTCCAGCTTTGTTCTTTTTGCTTAGGATTGTCTTCGCAATGCAGGCTCTTCTTTGTTCCATATGAACTTTAAAGTAGTTTTTTTTCCAATTCTGGGAAGCAAGTCATTGGTAGCTTGATAGGGATGGCATTGAGTCTATAAATTACCTTGGGCAGTATGGCCATTTTCACAATATTAATTCTTCCTATCCATGAGCATGGAACGTTCTTCCATTTGTTTGGGTCCCCTTTTATTTTGTTGAGCAGTGGTCTGTAGTTCTCCTTGAAGACGTCCTTCACATCCCTTCTAAGTTGGATTCCTAGGTATTTTAGTCTCTTTGTAGCTATTGTGAATGGGAGTTCACTCATGATTTGGCTCTCTGTTTGTCTATTATTGGTGTATAGGAATGCTTGTGATTTTTGCACATTGATTTTGTATCCTGAGACTTTGCTGAAGTTGCTTATCAGCTTAAGGAGATTTTGGACTGAGATGATGGGGTTTTGTAAATATACAATCATGTCATCTGCAAACAGGGACAATTTGACTTCCTCTTTTCCTATTGAACACCCTTTATTTCTTTCTCCTGCCTGATTGCCCTGGCCAGAACTTCCAACAATATGTTGAATAGGAGTGCTGAGAAAGGGCATCCTTGTCTTGTGCCGATTTTCAAAGGGAATGCTTCCAGTTTTTGCCCATGCAGTATGATATTGGCTGTGGGTTTGTCATTAATAGCTCCTATTATTTTGAGATATGTTCCATCACTACTAGTTTATACAGAGTTTTTAGCGCGAAGGGCTGTTGAATTTTTGTCAAAGGCCTTTTCTGCATCTATTGAGATAATCATGTGGTTTTTGTCGTTGGTTCTGTTTATGTGATGGTCTACATTTATTGATTTGCATATATTGAACCAGCTTTGCATCCCAGGGATGAAGCCGCCTTGATCGTGGTGGATAAGCTTTTTGATGTGCTTCTGGTTTCAGTTTGCCATATTTTATTGAGGATTTTCACATGGATGTTCATTAGGTATATTGGTCTAAAATTCTTTTTTTTGTTGTTGTTTCTCTGCCAGGCTTTGCTATCAGGATAATGCTGGCCTCATAAAACGAGTTAGAGAGGATTCCCTGTTTTTCTATTGATTGGAATAGTTTCAGAAGGAATTGTACCAGCTCTTCTTTGTACCTCTGGTAGAATTCGGCTGTTAATCTGTCTGGTCCTGAGCTTTTTTTGGTTGGTAGGCTATTAATTATTGTCTCAGTTTCAGAGCCCGTTATTGGTCCATTCAGAGATTCAACTTCTTCCTGGTTTAGTCTTGGGAGGGTGTATGTGTCCAGGAATTTATCAATTTCTTCTAGAATTTCTAGTTTATTTGCCTAGAGATGTTTATAGTATTCTCTGATGGTAGTTTGTATTTCTGTGGGATTGGTGGTGATATCCCCTTTATCATTTTTTATTGCATCTATTTGATTCTTCTCCATTTTCTTCTTTATTAGTCTTACTAGCGGTCTATCAATTTTGTTGTCAGTGTTTTAAAAGAGGGAGTAGAAGGATTCAAAACCTTTAAAAGCCAAGGCTCATAAATAGCATACCACCACTTCCGTTGTATTTTATTTCTCAAAAATACTCAGACCAAATTCAGTAGGAGGGAAAGAAGCACCATTTCTTTATGGCTGGAGCTATTGCAAAGGGACTTAGATTTAGGAAGGGGATGAATATGCAGGCATGTTGGATGCATTCTCAAAAAAATAATAAATACAAGTTCAGTAATTTTTAAAGAGTTCCAAAATCAAAACAAGGAAAGTGTTTTTTTGATACAAGGTTGAAGCAGTGAAAAAAACTGATTAGAAACAGAAAAAGTCAGATGCTAGTGGGAAGACTAGGAGATAACTATTCAAAAAATTGCAAATCAAATATAAATCTAAGGTAATCTTGAAAATCATATTTCAATGTTTAATTTTCATTCATCATCTAGTCATTAATGGTGAGAAGTCAAACTTTGAGGAAATATAAACATAACTTTATTTAACCTTTTTTATGTGCTGGAACTAAGTCTTGAGCAACACCCTGCTTATTCAAGTTGTCTCCTTTCTTCCTTTTTTTTTTCCCATTAGATAAAATGTTGTAATCATCAACCAGCTTTATTTAACCATTGGCAATTGTCTGATGGAATTGATATTTTTTATTTCTAATTATGTAGACTTCTTTTGGATGTATTTTGTTTTTAATCTAAATTAACAAATTTTATATTTCAGATCAGTTTTAGGTTTACAAAAATTAATTAGAACTTCTTGTTCTTCAGTTTCCCCTATTATTAATGTATTGTATTAGTGTGGCACAATTATGACAATTGGCACACCTATATTGATACATTGCTTAACTGTAGTCCATGGTTTACATTAGTAATTACTCTTTGTGTTGTACATTTCATATTTTTTTGCAAATCGTATGGCTTACATCTGCCATTACAATATCTTACAAAATAGTGTCACTGCCCTAGAATTTCCTTGTGCTTCTCCTATTCATTCTTACTTCACTCCTTTCTGAGAGGGAACTCCTGGCCAATCACTCGTCTGTCTTTTCAGTTTAGCTTGTTGCACTTAGTAAGATGCATTTAAGCTTCTTCTGTGTTTTTTCATGTCAATAGCTCATATTGTTTTTATCACTGAATAATATGCTATTGTATGAAAGCACCACAGTTAATCTATTAATCTATTGAAGAACATCTTGGTTGTTACTGAATTTTAGCAGTTACGAATAAAGCTACTGTCAACATTTGTTTCTAGGTTTTTGAGTGGACATAAATTTTTAATTCATTTGACTAAATACCAATTGGGTATTGTTGCTGTATCATATGGCAGCTTTGAAAAAACCTGCCAAACTCTATGCCAAATCATTCTACCGTTTTGTACTCCCCCAGCAATAAATGAGAGTCCCTGTTGCTCCACTTTCTCACCAGCATTTGATGTTGTCTGTGTTTTGAAATTTCACTATTCTAAAGGCATCTAGTGGTATTTCATTATCATTTTAATTTTCAATTGGCTATTGCCATATGATGTGGAAAATCTTTTCATCTGCTTATTTGCCATCTGTATATTTTTCTATGGCTTGAGAAGATTATAATTAAAGTATTTTTCATGAACTCATAATTTATTAATAAGACAAGAAGCTAAATTAAATGACTAGGCAAAAGATTTAAAAATAAATATCACAAAAATGATCTAAAAATAGCCAATAGATACACACAGAGATGCTTATCCTCATTAGATATCAGGGAACTACAAATTAAAATGGCAATTATGTACCACTACACATCTAGTAGGATCACTAAAATTTAAAAGATTAATAATACCAGGTGTTGACAAGGATGCGAAACAATTAATACTCTCATGCATTGCTGGTGTAAATATAAAATGGTACAAGAAGTTTGGGAAACAGTTGAGAGGTTTCTTTTATTTAACTTTTAAGTTCAGGGGTACATGTGCAGGTTTGTTACATAGGTAAGCATGTGTCATGGGGTCTGTTGTACTGATTATTTCATCATCCAGGTACTAAGCCTACTATCAATTAGTTATGTTTTCCTGATCCTCTCCTTTCTCTTCCCCTCCACCCTCTGATAGGCACCAGTGTATCATACAAGACTGATTCAACATTCAAAAATCAAAAGTTACATTAACAGTGTAAAGAAGGAAAATCATGTAAATATATTTAGTCAAAGCCTCTGATAAACCAGACACCTATTCATAATAAAAACTCTCAAACTAGAAGTGGTGTATAATTATTTTATACATTTTAATGTGATTTGTTAATATTTTATCAAACTTTTAGCAATATTCATGATAGACATTGGTTTATAGTTTTCCTTTTGTTAAATAAATATCTTTGCCTGGTTTGGGTGTTAGAATAACGTTAACCTTAATGAATGATTTAGAAAGTATTCCCTATGCTTCTCTCTTCTGGAAGAGATTGAAGAAAGTTGGCCTTTTTCTTATAAGTTTGTGAGAATTCACCATTGAACCCATTTGGGCCTAGTTCTTTCTGTTTTGGAAGGTTATTAATTATCAATTCAATTTATTTAATATACATAGGCTTTATTCATATTATCTATTTGTTCTTATGTGAATTTTGATACATTATGTTTTTCAAGGAATTTGTCATATTTTCCTAGGTTATTAAACAAGTGGCCTTACAGTTGTTTATAATACTTCTTTATTATCTTGTTAATGTCTGAGATCTGTAGGGATGGCCCCCCTTTCATTTCTGATATTTGAAATTTGTGTTTTCTTTCTTTTCTTTGTTATCCTAGATATAGTTTTATCAACTTGATTAATCTTTTAATAGAATTTATTTTTATGTTTTAAAATTTTCTCTATTGATTTTCTGTTTTCAATTTTATTGACTCCTATTCTAACTTTAATTTTGCTTTGCTTACTTTCATTTAATTTGCTATTCTTTCACTAGTATCATAAAATAGAAGATTAGGTTGTAGATTGCAGATCTTTCTTCTTTTCTAATATATGCATTTTATATTATAAATTTTCCTCAAAGCACCGCTGCATCCTACAAATTAAGTTTCATTTTCAATTTCTTTAATTTAAACTAGATTTAAATTTGTTTTGTGGCCTTGTCCTTAACTTATGTATTATTTAAAAGTGTGTCATTTAATCACCAAGTATTCTGGAATTTTTCAGGTGTCTTTCTGCTTTGAATTTTTGGTTTAATTATATTATGCTATGTCATCATACTTTGTATGATCATTATTATTTTAAATTTGTTAAAGTACATTTTGTGGCCCAAGATGTGGTCTATCTTGGTGAGTATTTCATGTGAGCTAGAGAAGAATGCATATACCACTGTCATTAAATTAGGTATTACATAAAGGTCAATTAGATTTAGTTAATTGATAGTGCTATTTAGTTCAACCATGTCCTTACTGATTTTTTACTAGCAGTGTCTGTTAATTGCTAATAGGCAGGTGTTTATTTCTTCAGCTATAATTGGCTAATACAAAATTATATAGTATATAATAGTATAAAAGATTATTCTGACTTCTTTTTGCAGATTTGATGAAATAATGAATAATGTGGAATTAAGAATCTTAGGAAATTTGAACCTATTTGGAGAAAATTATATTTTCTCATCTATGGTGAAAATTATAGAGAGTGATGTGGACTATATTTGGATGGATTTTGGAATTATTGCTGACCGGACTTGCTAATGAATTAGATGTGAAAGTTAAGGTAAAGAAGGGAATAAAAAAGACTTTATATCTTTCTTTGAACAATTGATATCATTATGTAAGATAGAGAAAATTATACAAAGGATTGTTTGGGAGAAAAGAATGTAATTAATAGGCCTATTTAGGGCATATGTCTCAAAGGTGGCCTTCATGGCCATAAAGTACTCATGTAGCAAGTGCAGGGAGAAGAGGCTCTAGCACTCATCACTGATTCCTGGGTCTCACAATATTTAGAGAGTGAGTAAAAGTGTAAGAGCAAGAACAGGCAATTGGAAGGAATGACTAGTGTAGCAGAATAGAAACCAGAAAAAAATAATTTTAGAGAAGTCATAAGGAAAATTAAAAATGCTGCAAGAAGGTGAGTTTAATTATTTATTTGAAATGCTGTTGAAACTTTGAGTTTCATACACTGGGTTTTGGTTTATCAGGTTTGAATTTTTCTCTATATTCTAAGATTAATTGTATCTCCCTAAAATTCATATGTGGAAACTCTAACCTTCAGTAGCTCAGAAGGCAGACTTATTTGAACATAAACTATTTAAAGAAATTATTAAGTTAAAATGAAGTCCTTAAAGTGAGGCCCCAATCTAGTATGACGATGGCCTTGTAAGAAGAGGAGGAGAGGTCAGGGGTGCTCATGCACAGAGGGACGACCATGTGCAGATGCAGAAAGAGGGTGGCATCTGCAAACCATGGTGGGAAGTCTGAAGAAACCAAACCTCCTGACACCCTTCACTTATGGCCCCCAGAATTGTGAGAACATGAATTTCTGTTATTTAAGCTAGCAAATCTGTGCTAATTGATTATGGCTAGAAAACTAATATGCATATATGTATCAATGCCAATGTAAATATCTCTTATTTATATATAATTATTGCAAGATTGTATTATTTCTACCTCTAAGAAGTTGTGACAAATTAAATCAGTTGAATAACTTATCTGGGACACATAATAATGAATGTGTTAGAAGATACAGAGATCCACAAAGTTAAGTAATTGCATTTAAAAGAAATCAGATGAAGCAAATCAAATCAAACATTTGACAATATCAGATAAATACCAAAATGTACAAAATCATTGACCATTGGACACCTGGTCATTAAAGTGGTGAAAAAGATAAAAATCAGTAAAAATAATAGTATGCTAAATCCTTTAAAAGAAAGTCAGTTAGCATTAGAATGAATAATAGAGGCATCAGGCCTTCAGATATTTTGGCAAAATAAACATTTTGTAATCAGACTACGAAAGTTCAATCTGAAGTGAAGGAAGATTTATCTTGCTAGTATTGTCAGATACCTATGGCAAAAAAATTTTAGCACCTGATTCATCATTTTGTTCATTTGACACTTTAAAAAATTTATTATAATCTAAAATGTATTAAATATAATGTAAATAGAAATTTTTAGAATTTTTGTTTTTACAGATAAACTCCCATCAAAACTTTTTTTTTTTTTTGAGATGGGGTCTTGCCCTGTTGCCCAGACTGGAGTGCAGTGGCACCATCATGGCTCACTGCAGCCTTGATCTCCCGAGCTCAAGAAATTACACCACTGTAACCTCCTGAGTAGCGGGGACTACACATGGATGACACCACACTGGCTAATTTTTTTAATGTTTTGTAGAGATGAGGTCTCTCACTCTGTTGCCCAGGCTGGTCTTGAACTCCTAGGCTCAAGCAATCCTCTTGCCTTGGCCTTCCAAATTGGTGCATGAGCTACCATGCCCAGCACCATTAAAATTTTAATATGACATTTGTGTTTGTTTTATGAATGAATTCATTCCAGATAGCTTTTTCAAAATGATAATTCACTTTCAATACCAAAATGTCCTACACATCTGTTTTTCTAAAACTTCCCTCAAGACATATATAAAATATTTGTATTTACACACTAAGGAGATAGAAATATGTGTCCATTAAGGATGCTATCAAAAGTAATTGATAAAAACATTATTACCTTATTTTCATTTCATATATGTTTGTAACATGCCACTTATAAATTCATATATTTCTTTAAATAAATATGAATTATATTATAAAGGAATATTATTATTATGTCAACTATTTTGAGGATCATAGAGGCTACCTTAAAATGTTGTTAGAAAATCACTTAAATCATATTTTGTGTTAATAAATCTGATGCCATTTTCAGGCACAGTAGTTTTTTATGAAGCTTTTGGCCAAGTACTGTACAGCAAGGTTCAAAATATACCAATTTACATAATCCTATTAACTACTTTTCTGCTTACAAATATATTATGACTGATTTGTGTCTACATTATAATAAATAGCTGCTCTACAGAACACGAAACAGAATTTCATAACATTGGTTATATTTCAATTATATTTTTAAAATGTTTTAATATATAAGAATTAAGCTTTAAAATATGGAGTTTTTAATGATCTAAGAAAAATAATTTTCTTACTCTTACAATTACTTTTCATCATCCACACCACTTTTAATGAACCTCAAAATGCCATTTATTCCAAAAGACAATTACACTTTTTTGCAGCCTGTAGACCAAATATTTACAACGCACCCAATGAAATTGTGGCATATTACCAAATTATAAAAGCACCTTAGTTTTACAGACATTAAAAGGTAAAAAAAGTGAGCACTAAAAGTAATATTTGTGTTATCATTTTATCCTGTTTAATATAATATCAAATGATAATATGAGAAAATATATCCAGCATTTTAGAGAAATGTTTAATTTCTCAAAGCCTATGTTATAACATTCTTCATGAAATGATAAAAATATCTACAAAGTTACAATGGATATTATTCAAAAATTATTTGAATTTAGATAACATTCCTGGTAAGTGCTTTATAGACAGTTTGTATCTTTCACAGAGAAATCTTATTTTTGAAATATGCTTCATATTTCATGTGGGGTTTAAAGAACTTGGAATTAGTCCTTTACTATTAATTACCTGCATTTAGCTTGTACCCCAAATGGAAAATCTAATTCTGTCAGCCTGATATTTGATTTGACTGGACTTAATAACTAATTTTTATATTTTGTTATGCACCCTGTTGAGAGAATGACATCAACTATTTTTTTCTGTCCTACTTACTTCCAATTTAATGAAGTAAAGTATTTCTCAAAAAAACAGAACATCTTTGAATTACACTTTTTTCCTAATTATTACAGGAGTAGAATTTCTTTGAAGTTGACAGCAAGAGATTGTATTTCTAATGTTATTTTCAGTCTGGCAATTACTGAATTATTGAATTAATCTAGCTATAACTATTTGCTGAGATAAAATGAAAGAATAATGAGGAAATGGAACAAAAATAGTATTTGATCATCAATCTGCATGTCAGTAAAGCAATTTCTTTATACTCAAGACCCTTTCTTGGCATCTGTGTTGCAATTATTACCTATTACAGAGATAAAAACACACCAAAGTTTACATCTCAGCCAGTTCCAGAGAAAAGTTAAATAAGTGTGTTTGCCTTAATGCAAACGTGTTTTTAAATTCTTTGATAAATCCATCATCTAGGAAGGTTAACTCAATGTTCTTGAATTAACTGTCCAAATTGATACACTTTTTTTATTCCTGAAGGCAGAGTTCACTGCACTCCAGCCTGGGCAACAGAGTGAGACTCTGTCTCAAAAGAAAAAAAAAAAAAAAAAAGGCAGAGCAGATGGAATGTGAACTTCTCTTAGAGATAAGTTTTTGCCAAACAAAAGCCCCTAAATATATAAAAAATTAACAAATATCTCCCCCAATTTAGCCAATGGAATAGAATTTCAGTGGAATTGAATCCCAATAGAAGTTTCCCCAAATGGATCCAACGGTATAAAAAATGTCATAATAGTTTATGACATTCATAATTAAACTGCCTACAAGGAAAGTTGTACAGATGCTCCTTGACTTACAGTGGGGTTAGGATCTGATAAGTCCACCCCAAGTTAAAAATATTGTAAGTTGAAATGCATTTAATACCCCCAATAAATCTATCATAGTTTGAGAAATCATGTTAAATCATTGTAAGTCAAGGATCATCTGTATTCCTATGACTCAGTTTCTTCTGGTAGGCTTTCAGAGGATTCACTGTTAATGTTGGCATTGAGAAAATTAAATCAGCTGAGAAGTAATGTAGATAGATAGATAGATGATAGATAGATAGATGATAGATGATAGATAGATAGATAGATAGATAGATAGATAGATGATACACAAATAAGCAAGCATGCAATAACAAAACAGTCATGACATATACAGGCAGTTAGTATGAATCTTAAAACCACTCATTTAAATACTATATCAGGGCAGGAAAGAAGAATCTTAAAACCACTCATTTAAATACTGTATCAGGACAGGAAAGAAGAGGAGTAACATCTGTCTGTCATGAGCTGAAACTGTCATATGAGCTGAGGAGTTCAGCAGTGGCCTTGAGATGCATAGAGATCAGAGAAAACAGGCCACTTTTATCACAGCCAAAAATTGTTTTCTATTATTGCCAGATAAAAAAATCTAAAGCAAATGAAGTCTTAAATATATGAGAATGTATATTGTAACCTTAAATGCACTTACCATCACATGATAAATATCTGTAAAAAAAAATCAAAGTAATGCCTCTATTTAAAGATCTTAAAAATGGAATTTTAGCCACCAGTGACCCTACCTGCTGAGCATACCCTAAAACTGCAGCAGAGCAAAACTGGTGGACGTATACCCCAATTGTGTAACAAGTAGCACATCTTTCTATTTTATATACATAGTATAAGATATTTTTCTGCAGGTACCTGGTCTAGGATGGGCTCACTGCTTAATTACTTCAACACACACACACACTCTGCTTAAATGATTGAATTTATGTAAGCCATCCCTATTTGCCATTTTTTAAATACTAGTCACACATATGTGTTTGTAATAAAAGAAAATATTTCTGCTTAAAAATATATCCATATATACATAGATATTTTACCATATATACATTATGCACATAGTATAATAGAGTTTTTCTCTGGAGGAGCCACCAAGACATATCACGTGGTCCAAGAATTGCCTTAGATAGGAAGAGTATCTCTTCAATTGTAGAAGTATCTGTGGACAAAAATTTCAGGCAGATGAATTAAGTTTTTAGTTGGAGTGACAGGACATCATAGAGAGAGTTTCTCAGTTTTATTTTAAACATCAATTTATTAGATTCTTGATGCCGCATTCATTTCAATTCTTCATACTCAGTTTCTGTAGAATGGAATTTGTGGGAGGTGGCCAGTGACAAGAGCCACTTTTATCTTTCTTTTAGGAGGCACAGTGTTTTCCCATCAGAATTGAGGGGCTAGTTGTTACTGAAGACAATTAATATTAAGATTCATGTATTAGACTCACAATTATGTATCACCATATACACACAAAATACCCAAAACTATAAATGTGAAAAGCACCAAGTATTTGCAAGAATGCAGAGCAACTATAATTCTTATCTATTGCTGGTAGTGATGTAAAATGCCTCAACCTTTTTTGTAAAGATACGAAAATTTCTTATAAAGTTAAAAATACATTTACCCTGCTACCTAAGAATTCTGCAACTAGTTATTTATCCAACTTTAAGGAAAACACCTATCCACACAGGGCTTGTACACACAGGAATGTTTATGGAAAGTTGGTTCATTATAGCCAAAACCCGGACAGGACACAATTATGAATCAAACTATGTTAGATTTATACAAAGTAATTACACTCACCATTAAAAGGATTGAGCCACTGATTTACATAGCTTGGATGACTTTCATTTTTCTTTCTCAGTGGAAGAAGAAGCCACACACAAAGCAATACCCTGGCTCCTTCAGAGTATGGGTAGGTCATTGATTGAGAAGTTTCATAAGGAAACATTTTTGAGTGTTTGAATATATGATGTTTTCATAGGGGTGTGGGCTATGTGGGTTCATGTACTTGTCAAAACTTACCAAGCTGTATGCACAGATTTGTGATTCTCACTCTACATATATTTTGCCTAAAATGAACAACTGTACATAAAAATTATCCAGGCTTAAACTATTTTTTCCCTTCACTTTATTCAACAGTTAAAGAGCGCCAAAAGCAAAAAAGTGGAGTTATTCTGAATAAGGGTTTGTCACAGAGAACAAAAGAAAGATGTTAAAATTATTAGAAAGAGCAGAGTTAAAATGAAAGGCCAATGTGGGGGTTCACAGTAAAGGGGAAAAGACTGAACACTGGAAGGAAATCAATGGGTAGACGTAGAGAGGTCAAGCGTGGTCAAAGAAAAGGTTTGGAGAGAATAGCCAAGGAAACATGCTAGATTCATAGGAAATTGTAGTCAGAGAGTTCAAATAATTCAACCATTTGAGGTTTGACAGGCCCCAGGGTTTGAGGATGTGAGTGATAAACTGACCCACAATAGCATATGAGTTTCCCAGGGCTGCTATCACCAAGTATCCTAAACTGGATGACTTGGAAGAGCAAAAATTGATTCTCTTGGTGTTGGCAGTTAAAAGCCCAAAATTAATATGTTAGCTGGGCCTTGCTCCCTCTGTAGGTGCCAGAGAAGGATCTGTCTCTGGCCTCTCTCCTAGATTCCGGAAGCGTCAGACACCCCTTGATGTGTAGATGGTATTTCCCAGTGTCTTCACATTATCTTCCCTCTGTGGATGGCACTTTCCCTTCACACGCCATTCTTTTCATGTGCATGTGTCTGTCTTCAAATTTTCTATTTTTATAAATACACAGTCATATTGGATTGGGAGCCACACAAATGACCTCATCTTAACTCATTACATCCTGCTATGACCCTATTGCCAAGTAAAGCCACATTCTTAGGTACTGAGTTTAGGACTTCAACATATGAACTTAGGGAGGATACAATTCAACATATAGCACATGGCTATAGGAACCAGGTTATTAAAGGAATTGGCAAGTTAGTGATGGATACTGAGAATGATGAGGGAGAAAAATAATGTAATATGACATGAGTCAGAGGACAAGGCTAAAGGAACAAGGATCTAGATGTGGCATGGGAAACAAAGTCAGTTGCCACTGAGGAGAGGAGGTGTGTGAGAAAGAGCAATAATTTTTGAGGGAAGCCAAATTGGCCTTATGTGCAGACAGAGAATGCAGAATTGGGTTGTGGTGAAAGGTGGCCCAGTGGACAGGCTAAGTGGAACAAGAGGGATCATACAGAGGAGGATCTCAATGTGAGTGCAAGTGAGCCAGCCAGCCTGTTAATGCAGGAAAGCTTAAGTCTTGCCTGTGAACTGGACAATTCCTCACTCATTGCCCTCACCTTATTTACTTAAAATGACATTACACTTTATGTCTTTTGATGCTTAGGAGGGAAAGGCCAAACTCTTTTCCCTGAAGGGCTTTGCAGTAGCTGCTTTCTTTGTTTAAAACATGATATTTGCATGACTGGGGCATTAATGTCATCCATCTCTCAGCTTAAATGTCACCAGCTTAGAGAAGCCTCCCTGCCAAAGCAATACAAAATGACTACCTGGCCAATGTCTGTCACATCACACCTTACTTTAACTATTTGCATGGAAGGCATCACTGTCTGACAAATTTCTAACTTGTTTATATTGTGTATGTTTTACCACATAATAATGTAAGCTTGCAATGAATAGGAACCTTAACTCTTGATTACTTCTGTGTTCCCAGCAACTAGAGCAGTGACTGGCACAGGGAAGGACTTAAGAAATGTTTGTTGAGTGAAACATGATGTCTGTTGGTTCATCCTCATGTTCTCAGCATGTAGCACAGACCATGCCATATCAGACGTGCTCAATAAATAATTGTGAATGCATGAATAAATAAATAGATAAATGACCAAATGTAATAGCCTTTTCAATAATTACCAGAGATGACACATATTGAGGTGACACATGATAACATTTTCCAGCCGGAAGCTGACAGAATGAATTACTTCCTCCAAAATTCTGGAAGATATAGCAAGTGTGGTAGGCTGCATAATGGCTCCAGGAGACGTTCAGTCCTAACCTTCAGAACCTGGGAACAGATAACCCTGCATTGTAAAATGGATTTAGCAAATGTAATTAAGTTAAGCATCTTTAGATGGGGAAATTTTCCTGGGTTATCTGGTGAGTCCAATGTAATCACCAGGGTTTTTATAAAAGGGAGGCAGGAGGATTAGAGTTAGATAGAAGGTTAAGTGATGACAGAAGCAGAAGGAAGAAAGTCAGAGAGAAATGTACCCATAACATACTGGTGGCTTTGAAGATGGAGGAAGAGTCCACAAGCCAAGGAATGTAGAAAGGCTATAGAGGTTGTAAACAGCAGGGAAATAAATTCTCCTTTAGAAACATTCTCCTCTAAAATCTCCCCTGATATATCCAGAAGGAATGTTGTGCTGTGTACCCATTTTAAATTCCTGATCTCCAGTACTATGAGAGAATCAATGTGTGTGTATTTTAAACCACTCAATTTGTTATAATTTGTTATAGCAGTGATAGGAAACAAACACAGTGGGTGAGGGGCAAGGTAGAAAGTTTGGTTGCATGGATTCATTGAACTTTAGGAGGGAATCCTTGGATGGTAAATTTGTTTTGGCACATTATATTCATAGTAAAGTTACTATACTGTAATATATAACTGATTATATACCCACATATATATGTATTTTATATTGTTTTTCTACATGATACTAATTCATAGAATAAAATACAACTACTATTACCTAATTCCAGTGTATATGTATGTGAACTGATATTTCAAAAGCCAGAAATGATTTTGTCCCCTAGCCTTATTAGAAACACAATTGCCCTCTTTATCCACGATTCTTTATACTTATCTTTTGCAAAACCAACAATCCTATAAGTGGGATGCATTGATGCTGCCTCACAATAGATTAAATTTAAGTCAATAAATAGCAATATAAAGCAATATTTTACAACTCAGAGAAATATTTTAGATGCTTACTACCTAAATGATGATTCATGGATCAGCAACATCAACAGCACCTGGGCACTTATTGAAAATACAGATGCTTACTCCATTCCAACCCTGTGGAATCAGAATTTACATTTTAATAACATCCCAGGTAATTTGTGTGCACAATATATTTTGAAAAACACTGGTTTCTTTCATCCAATCAAATTTTGTTTTGTAAATAAGAGCTTTCCAATAAAATAAAAACCAGCGTTAGGACAAGAATTTGAATCTCACACTTTGAGATCTTTCTGCTAGTTTTTTTTTCTTTTCTGTAGACTAATAACTACTACCATCAACTACTAGTTTTGACTGAACATTTTCCCTTTAGTTGTGATCACCACTTTAGTGCTGAGTGCAGGGGCGTGGGACAGGAGGAGGGTGGGTGTGTCATACAGGCTGTTCTTTATGTGAGTATCACATGTGTCATGTTCCTAGCAGATCAGCAATTTCAGTTCCTCACTTCTGGGAGTAATTGACAATAACACCGGGTTTGGAAGAATCATAAAGTATTAATTCATTCTCTTTATTTTATAGTGGTGGAGAAAATGACCATAGTAGAAGGAAAATGAGTCCATGAAGTGCATAAAGTTGAAGAAGTCAAAAGGTCCTGAATATTAACAAGATATTCAACCTAAAAATATATCTATGTAAAAAATGAGAAAACATGACAGAAAGAGCTTATTTATTCAACTGTAAATTAAATTACATTTCAACTGCATTAAGTTGTAAATTAAATTATACTTGTTTTTCTACTAATTTTGCCGAGTTTTAAAAATGTCACAGAGGCACTGATTAAATTGTCTTGCAAAATATTACATAAAACTCCCAAATATTTTATTTACAGTAAATGCCTTATATTCTGAAAAGAATTATCTGATAAAATTGTCAAGCTAAATAGCTTCCTCTGCTATACTTATTATAATGAATCAACTGGTGACAGAGATACCACAGAATTTAAAATCAGAACTCAATGAAAAATTAAAAAATTAAAATTAAAATAAACATTAAATAACAGATTTATAAGAAGGAATCATTTTACTATAATTATGTTCTTTTCCCCTTTTTAATATACTGTCAACTTATATTGTTTATACCTTTCCTAGAGAATTTAATTTATTTATTTTAAACAACCTAAAATTTAATCTGATTTAAGATATTATAATTCACTGGTATTGTAAATTCTTTGGAAATTTTAAAAGAATAAGCACTCATTTTTTTTAGTTTATATTGACCACAATGAAATGTGTTTTTACTCTACACTTTCTCTCCTAACCTGTCAAATCTGTCACGTAAATATCTACTACACACAGTGTCAATCCTTAAGGACCAAAATGAAACAAAACAGAAATTTTTAAGATATAAATACATTCAGGATGTATCATTATTTTCTTCATTGCTTAAGAGATTGGGAGAAAAACCATTACATGTAAAATTGGAATAATAATGAGATGCATCACCAGTCATCAAATATGTTTTTGCCCATAAAATAAAACCAAAACAAAATTGACTAGATAATTAGGAGAACTTGATTTTTCTACATTTTAGCAAGACAAATTAA
Source organism: Homo sapiens (assembly GCF_000001405.40). NCBI lineage: Eukaryota > Metazoa > Chordata > Mammalia > Primates > Hominidae > Homo > Homo sapiens. The sequence continues at coordinate 160,610,202 of NC_000004.12, read as the reverse complement.
AAAAACTCATTTAAAATTCACAGTTACATGAAAGTAGACCAGCATGTTAAGCAGTATTAATATAGATAGGAAATAGATTACTAATCGATGATTAATAGTCTCGTGTAAGAGTCAGGTAAACAGATAGATGACTGGCAGTTACAAAAATGTCAGAAAATATATTACGAATTTGAATAAAATTGTTGTATAGGTTACAAGACATGTGAAAACTAGTGATAAACCCCCTAAGTTCAGGTGCAGTGAGGGAAACAGGCCATGGCTTCATTACTTGCTAGCTGTGTAAATATACTAACATCACGGAACTTCCAGAAGCCTTTGTTTTCTTTCCTGTGGAAAGCTGTAATTATATTATTCACCTCCTGGGGTAAAACTGAATGAATCTATTAATATTTAAACAATATTGCATTGATCCAAGTATAGACATCATGGGAAAATAATGAGAACAAATTTGAGTAATTTCTTGATTTCTCAAATTCTAACTGCATAAATATAACAAGGTTATCAGCATGACATATGTGTAAAATATGCACAGGTCTATATTTAATTCAAAGGTAGCACAACTGAAACATCAAATTAATGAATTAGTCGGCCTATCATATTTTTGTATTGAACTTTTAATTCAAGCATAGACCATTTTCAGGCCTTTCCAAGAACGATTCATCTAAAATGTCAAATGTCACTTCTTGGAATCAATATTATAATGCAAATTTAATAGATCCTAACAATGATATAATTTCTTTCGTATACCCATAATAATTATTAAGGTAAAAATATTAATGTTTTCATTGAACATGAGAGCAGAAAATTAAACTTTCCTATTTTGATAATGATTCATCTTATAATAAATCTTCTAGAGAAAACAGATCCTCACAGGTGGGCAGGCATCTTGATTCTGATGCTTCTGAAGAGAGAAGTAAGACGTTATTTCCTGACTTTTTAATGATTGCCATTCTAACTGGTGTGAGATGGTATCTCATTGTGGTTTTGATTTGCATTTCTCTGATGGCCAGTGATGATGAGCATTTTTTCATGTGTTTTTTGGCTGCATAAATGTCTTCTTTTGAGAAGTGTCTGTTCATGTCCTTCGTCCACTTTTTGATGGGGTTGTTTGTATTTTTCTTGTAAATTTGTTTGAGTTCATTGTAGATTCTGGATATTAGCCCTTTGTCAGATGAGTAGGTTGCGAAAATTTTCTCCCATTTTGTAGGTTGCCTCTTCACTCTGATGGTAGTTTCTTTTGCTGTGCAGAAGCTCTTTAGTTTAATTAGATCCCATTACAACAGGTGCTGGAGAGGATGTGGAGAAACAGGAACACTTTTACACTGTTGGTGGGACTGTAAACTAGTTCAACCATTGTGGAAGTCAGAGTGGTGATTCCTCAGGGATCTAGAACTAGAAATACCTTTTGACCCAGCCATCCCATTACTGGGTATATATCCAAAGGATTATAAATCATGCTGCTATAAAGACACATGCACACGTATGTTTATTGCGGCATTATTCACAATAGCAAAGACTTGGAACCAACCCAAATGTCCAACAATGATAGACTGGATTAAGAAAATGTGGCACATATACACCATGGAATACTGTGCAGCCATAAAAAATGATGAATTCATGTCCTTTGTAGGGACATGGATGAAATTGGAAATCATCATTCTCAGTAAACTATCACAAGAACGAAAAACCAAACACCACATATTCTCACTCATAGATGGGAATTCAACAATGAGATCACATGGACACAGGAAGGGGAACATCACACTCTGGGGACTGTTGTGGGGTGGGGGGAAGGGGGAGGGATAGCATTGGGAGATATACCTAATGCTAGATGACGAGTTAGTGGGTGCAGTGCACCAGCATGGCACATGCATACATATGTAACTAACCTGCACAATGTGCACATGTACCCTAAAACTTAAAGTATAATATTAAAAAAAAGACATTATTATCCCCTTCACCATTTTGTCTCTTTTCATAGCTATGGCACTTACATTTAACTGAAGACAAGATTTCATTTTTGTTATGTTTGTTATTTTTTTCTGTCTGAGGAAGAACTAAATAAACATGCAAAACACTAAGGGAATGTTAAGGAAGTGGAGGTCATCTGTCTCTGATCCCATCTGAGAGTCTGGATTTTAGTCTTCACAGAGAAATGACAAAAACAGGTTAAAGGAGGCATGTTGAGTGTGAGACTGAAAAAAAGCAATGCCACTCATAAAATACAAATATGATTGGGAAAGAAGGTCAACTATCACACACACCTCCAAGTAGAAACAAACAGATATCCTCAGGAAGTTCACAAGCAAAGACTTCTATATCCAGACAAGAAAGAGGAACTACCACAGGACCCTACAGGGGAGCTTTGTTATATGGGCCTCCATGTCCATGCTGTAGCAAGAGACTTCCCCTAAGTGGTCTGCTGGTACTGCCCTTCAGTGTCTATACAGTAATATGAACAAGGCTGCTCCCGCCTATATGTAAAATGTTACCTCTATTCATTTCCTACTTCCATGCAACAAATTACCACAAATAAAGGGCGTTAAGCAGCATACTTCTATAGTCTCGCGGTTTCTATGAATCGGGAGTTGGACATGGTCTACCTGAATTTTCTGTTTCAGGGTCTCCCCAGGCTGCAACTCAGGTGTCAGCTGATATTGTGCTCTCATGAGAGTCTAGACTGCTAAAGATCCATTTCCAAACTCCTGCAGGCTGTTGATGGAATTCATTGAGATTTCCGATTTTGTTCTGGCTGTCAGCCAGAAGGTGTCCCTAGGTCCTAATCTGCTTCCAGTGTCCTACCTTGTGTCCCATACATAGCTATGGCTATGGCTGTTTGCTTCTTCAGGTCCAGAAGGGGAATCTTTCTAACCCAGTCCCTCTTTTTTTATTTTTATTTTACTTTAAGTTCTGGGATACATGTGGTGAACGTGCAGGTTTGTTACATAGGCATACATGTGCCATGGTGGTTTGCTGCACCTATCAACCCGTCATGTCTGTTTTAAGCTCCACATGCATTAGGTATTTGTCCTAGTGCTTTCCCTCCCCTTGCCCCCCCACCCCACTACAGGGACCGGTGTGTGATGTTCACCTCCCTGAGTCCATGTGTTCTCATTGCTCAGCTCCCACTTATGAGTGAGAACATGCAGTGTTTGGTTTTCTGTTCCTGTGTTAGTTTGCTGACAATGATGGTTTCCAGCGTCATCCATGTCCCTGCAAAAGACATGAACTCATTCTTTTTTATGGCTGCATAGTATTCCATGGTGTTTATGTGCCACCTTTTCTTTTCCAGTCTATCATTGATGGGCATTTGGGTTGCTTCCAAGTCTTTGCTATTGTAAATAGTGCTGCAATATGTGCATGTGTCTTTATGGAATGATTTGTATAGCATGCATGTGTCTTCATAGAAGAATGATTTATAATCCTTTGAGTATATACCCAGTAATGGGATTGCTGCTAACCCAGTCCCTCTTTTTAAGAGCTTAATCCTGATGAAGTGAAGCCCACACAGAATATTCTCCCTTTTGATAACTTACTTGAAATCAACTGACATTGTATTTTAGTTATGTTTTTATATGCCTTTACCCTTTTCATATTCTACAGACTATAATCAAATCAGATTCCATCCACACTTAAGAGGGATTACACAAAAGTGCAATTCTTTGGAGAGCAGTTTAGGCTGTGTCCACTATATTTTTCACAGATACAGACATTTCCTAAAAAATATGGGAGTGTGAAACTGGGGAGAAGAAGACTGATATTTCTAAGACTGATGAGTTATATCAGACTGAATCCAGATGGAGAAGCTCCAAACACCACAATCAACTTGGGGCAATAGGTATGTGTGTCTCTGTGTGTCTGTGTGTGTGTGTGCGTGTGTGTGTGTGTGTGTGTGTGTGTGTGAGCATATCATATTAGTACTGAATTCGCATATATGTATAGTTTGAAATATCAATTTCTTTAGGCATTTTTACAATTTGGGGAATCAGGCCCCTTTGTTTAATGATTCCTGAATTACTTTCAGATGTAAGAATTAACTTCTATTTTTCTCACTTAACAGAACTATTGTTTTTAACAAGATAAGGATACTTTACATTGAGGCAAATGGCTTTGGTGGCTCCAGAGGAGCAAACCTTCTGCCAGTGATTGCAGAGGCCACCCTCAAGGGTGGTGTTTTATTTTTCACTCCATAAGCTTGTAGCAAGTATGAACCAGTGATAATTTCTGAATACATGTGACCACTCTATGGTTCTTGTAATTATCTGGGTTGAAAACTTTCAGGAAAGTATCTAGTGAAAAATATTTAAGTTGGAAACAACAGGACTCAATATTGACCTAAATGTAAATTAAAGGTTGAGAAATTCTTGAATATACAATGTTATAAATGATGGTTGATAGCCAAATGTGATATTAAGCAGCATATAAAAATTGATTTTTAAATTATCATAAAAGGCCCCATATACTGGTAATTCTCATTTAGCTATCTTTTGTCTTCTTTATTCATGAATAGAACAGACAAGATTATTCAGAAAAAAATCAATTTACAGGATTTGCCACCTTTTCAACTAAGGTTTTATGTGATGGCTGCAGAATAAAATGTAGGGCCTATCTCTATATTTTATCTGTGTATGCTTAGAAGCTGAGCATGTCGCGATGTCTTAAATGCAGTTCTTGAAGTAAAGTTTATACTATGTCTTCTGTTTCACAACAAATTATACTACTGCGGTCTCAGCATGCCTTAAGATTGTGGCCATGTAGGGTAAGAATAAGATACCTAGTCTTCTCATTTTATGGATGAGAAAATTGTGATCAAGTAATCTATACATAGAAGTGTAATTTATGAACCCAACTAAGGCCAGGGCTTGTAGTTGTGCCCGCACGGTTGCTGAAAACTGAAATTAATTTACTTTTATAAATTAGGTGAGAAAGCAGTGAGCCAGAGGGACCAAATTATTTACGAATGCTTAAAATCTAATTGGTAGTTTTAAAATGCCTAGAATATATGTACGATGATTTCATTGCCTATTCATTTTCTATAGCTATGTTTTTCGTATCATTCTCTGTAGTATCATTCTCCTAGTGGATAAGGATCAGGTTATACATAATGAACATTTCAAATAATCTCCAACAATCTTTGACATTCTAGGTATTCAATAGGTAGTCATTGAAAAGATGAATGAATGAGAAGAAAATCACTTAGCCTGTAAGTTAATGATATAACATAACCAACAAAACAGACAAAAAAGTTTCATTTGAGTTATTAAATTTACTTGTACTAAGGAAAATCAAGCAAAATAATAAGACAGGACTTTCAAATTTGAAAGTAAACAAGGATGGCTTCATAAAATAAGGCAAACTGAACCTGGTGCATAATACCTGCTTATCTCTAAAATATATTATTCGTGAAGGTTTTGAATTTCTGAAAATGCATTATTATCAAAGCAGCCGTAGCACGGCTTGCCTCATACTTTGATGTTGGATGACTAGTTCTTAAACTATGTTTTCTTTGGGCTAAATCCTTGGTTGAAGGGTTTATAACTCTGTCAAAATAATAATAACAATGGTAGCAAATACCAGATAGAATAATATATCTACATCTATAATTGCGGATTAGAATTTTAAAAAAGCTTTATAATAGTAAGGTTTAAATCTACTTTTCAATTGAATAGTGATGGTGAGAAAGTTTATTTTATTGTATAGCTCTTGGTTTATTTTCCAGTGACTGATCAATTGTGTTAATTGAACTAACGCACATTTTACATAGCCAAACATAGTATAAAAAGTTGTTGAAGTGTGTGGATCACCTGAGGTCAAGAGTTCGAGACCAGCCTGACCAACATGGAGAAGCCCTGTCTCTACTAAAAATACAAAATTAGCCAGGCATGGTGGCTCATGCCTGTAATCCCAGCTACTTGGGAGGCTGAGGCAGGAGAATTGCTTGAACCCAGGAGGCAGAGGTTGTGGTGAGCCAAGATCAGGCCATTGCACTCCAGCCTGGGCAACAAGAGCAAAACTCCATCTCCAAAAAAAAAACAAAGTTATCATAACTTTGTTATAATGCATTATATTTGAAAAATATTTCAGTCTAATTAATTGCTTACAAAAAATATATGAACATGTTTTCATCAGTCTCTTATACAGAATCATCAAGGAATTTGAGGGAAAACAAAAATATAATTATGTAATTGAATGTTTTGTATTCAAGTATGTTATAGGAAAAATTAGTTCATTAACATCTACATGAACATAACAAATTCATAGATACTTTTATTGTTTTACTTCATATATGATCCCCTTTGATGATAATGATTCAGAAAAAATAAAACTAGAGGCAACTATAATTTAAACAAATATAAACCATGTAAGTTGCTTTTATGTAAAAGTAAAAAAAATTGTATTTATGTATAAATTCAATAAGAATTACCCAGCTGCCTACTGTTTAGGCACTATATTAGACAGTAGGAACATAGGGAAACAATTCCCTGCCTTCTAGCACGGTGATTTGCAACCCTGGCTCTGTTTCATTACTACTTCTGGAGCTATTGAAATAAAGACACATAACCCAACTTCAGGAAATTGCAATTCAGAACTTCTCAGGCAGGTCCCAAATAATTCTTTCTGTTTAGGAATTCTATTTAGAAATAATTCATTTTGTGATTTGAATGAATGAGCATTTTTGAAAAGCCAGCTTTCTATGCCTCACTTACTAATGAAAAAGACATCATAAAAATAAATCTAACATCATAGAAATACACCCTGAATGAAGTATATCTAGCCCATTGTATTTTTTCCCAAAACTCATTGAGTGAGTCTCTGATTGTTTCATTCAGGTTTTGAATGGAGGATAAAAAAATAACAATTTTGCCAAATATTAGTTATAGGATAGATTACGTTATAAAAGCAATCATAGAACTGATCATGAGTTATGCTAAGCATTTTGGAGTCCTTCTTGAAGGTAATAGGAACTCTATGAAGAATTTTGGGTAAAAGAGTCCTACCTGTTGTCTGGAAAGTGAACACTTGTTGCAGAACATTTCAACTCTTACAGGAGGAAAGGAATACATATGAGACTGTTCTAGTAAAAAGAGAGTAATAAAAGTGGCATGAACTCAGATACAAAAGAGCAAATTTGAGAGAAATGCCGAAGGGTCAATAAACAGAATTTTGTGAATTGTTGAGGTTGAGGTACATGGTAGAAGGAGAAATACAGAATGAGACCCATTATCCAAATCTCAGTTTTACTGTCACATGATCAAAGACCTTCCCAATCTCTCAATTTATATTATTTGTCTCTGCACTCTCCATTAGTGTGATATATTCTTCTTTCATCATGCATATCAAACTTTACAACTATATATTACTTCTATATTTTTCAAAATATATTGTCTCTCTAAACCATATGATCTCAGAAGATGACAATCATGTTTACTTTTTAATCACAGTATTTCCAGTGTTTAGAATAAATATTGGTAGATTACTAAATATGTGTTGAAGAATTTGAATGAAAAGATGCGTTCAACTTATCCATAATATAGTTACATTCTTTCATCAGGGGTTATCTATTTCCAGCCAATTTGAACTCTTATTTTTAGGCATTGCAATCTATTTATTTTCCTGTTCTTTCTGTGCTTCCTCTCATCCCACACTATTTCCTGCACTTGTGTTTCCTCTTTCTTCCTATGCTAGTAACTAAATAATATCCATTATTAAAGGTTTTGCTTTTAAATTTCTTCATGTTATGTGAGAAAGAGCTAGAAACAGAGTACCTGAAGTCCATTTAAAAGATTACCCAAAAGATGAATAAGCAGGATAATGCAATATGAATTTAGGTCTGCAAATTTTGAGGAAAAGGTCTAAGGTAGTTTCTTGGAAGACTTGTGGACAAATTATTGATTCCAATACTAACGTGAACATAGATGTCTTAAACCAAGAGGTTAAGACTGTCAACTAGAGCAGTAAGATTTGATGCAACTTCTTCTACTCGGAATGGAGTATTTGTCAACAAATAGTCCTAGTTCAGGTCCTCCTTCTATAAACAAATAAAAACTGGACAAAATATATAAAACAATTATTTTCAGGCAATATGAATTACTCAGCATAGGATTACAATCCCTGAGAGAAGAAAAATAAACAAGATGATCATTAAGACAGCCTCATTTATCTGCCTGGAGGTCATTTCTGGTCTGAAAAGGAAGTAAATCTATAAAGTGCCCTACAGTTTCAACAAATTAGGAAGAAACAGAGATTAGTGTTTGAAGAAGCCAAGATGGATGGATATGAAGGGCAGAAAACAAAAAAGGAGGATATTGTCTTTTGGCTGAATACTAATCTATGCATATGTCAGATAAAATTCCAAAAGGCCCTGCATAAAACAACTTCCAGGGAAAGTAATGCTACTACTGAACACTTTCATAGACTCATGTATCACTGGGAAATGTTAAGAGTTATAATGAGCTAGAGTGGAGAAACTTCATTCCATACACAGAACATTTAGAAGAGATACCGAAGTGTCGTTTCTTAGTACCACTATTCAACTATTCCTTGAATAAACTAGACTCACTCCAACAAACTTCATAAACAAATCTCAAGATAATTATGCTCAGTGGAAAGGATCTTATCTATTGGATAAAACATACTTCCACATTCTTGAAAAGAACACAAGGGAAAATTGTAAAAACTCACTGAACATTCATAATATCTAACAAATGATAAAAATTTAGACATGGAAAGAAGCTGCCAAATGTGAGACATAAGCAGAAAAAATATATTTAATAGCATTATATCAAGAAATGGCAGAAATGCTGGAAATAGTATATAAGGACTTGAAGATGTGTGTTATAATATATGTTAATACAAGGATTTAAAGCAAAACATAAAGATGATGAAGATTGACATGGCTACGATCATTTAAAAGGAAATAAATGGAACTTTTAGAATTAAAATATAGTATATAAAAATACAAAACATCACTAGATAAACCTAAACAAAGATTGCAGAAGAAAGTATTAGTGAACTTGAGAATATAACAAAACTAAAGTGGAGAAAACAAAAGAGTGAAAACAATTAACAAAGCCTCGGTAACATGCACAATAATATAAAATAATGTAGCATATACATACTAGAGTCCTAGATGGAGAAGAGACAAAAAAAGGCAGAACAATATGCAATACCTCATAAAAGTCAATGCAGAGTCTAGTTAAGTCCAAGTGGAAATGTGTATAGGCAGGCAGTTCTTAGGTTAACCCATACAGTAATGCCATTGATGCCATTGATGAAGTGGGACAAATTGATACCATGGCAGCAATAGAAATTACAGTCTAATTTTTCACACAGAAGCTGTTATTAAATTCTTTTTGATCAAAAGCTGATCTAGGCGTTCAGTACTGGCTATCCTCAACTGTTAGAAGTATGTTCTAGGTGGATTTTTAGAATGCCTTATTCCAGAAAAAGGATGAGGGCAAGGAAACTTGTTAGGGGACATCTACTATTGGAAGGCGGGTTTAAAAAGTTTTATTAAGGTAGACTAGAATTTCCACCACTGATGAAATAAGGGGAGAGAAGAATTCATATTACATTTGACATTTTGAAACATCAGAGAAAGACGAATTCAAAGCAATAATGGGACAAGACGTTAGAAATATCAAGAAAATAACATTTCTGGGTTAAACCTTGTGAGGTCAGTATTATAAATTTAGATTTGGGAATTATTTTAAAGATCTTCATTTTCTCCCCTAATGGCTAAAACTGTACTAGGTACGTAGTAAATTTCCAGGAAAAGTTTTCATTTAATCTACTGATTAATATGATTTATGTATAAGATTTGGAGAACAGCTACAATATTTTGCATGGTGAGTGAGAGAAGAGGGGAATCCTTAGATATTTGGAAAGACTTACAGCATTTACTTAGATGACCAAAGCCATAAACTAAAAATCGGAGATGAGGATGTGCTGTAAGTGTGGTTGCAGGATAGAATTTTACAGAAGGTACTTTGTATATTATCAAAAATATACCAGTTAAAGGATAATAGGAAGAAGCTTTTGTTAAGGAGTTGAACATGTGAACTTGCGCTAATGAAGACATAGCAAACTGGTGGTTTATTGAGGAAAAGGTAAGACATTATATTTTTAACTAGGTCACAAAACAATGAGAATAAAACTGAGTTGAGGTAATATCTCACAGTAAACTTAAAATAGAGCCAACATGAATTTTTCAAATGTTAATGCTTCTAGTGCATAATATAGCAGTCTGTAGCCATGAAGTATGCACTGTTGAAAACCGTCTAATCATGTAATATTAAAAGCATTGATTAGGAGGAAGTAAGCAATTGTGGAAAATCTATGGAACCATTAACATTTCAAAGTACTAAGTAGCACTGTAGTATTTTTAATAAAATGCCTCAGGCAGCCTTTCCATTGCAAAAGGTATGCAGTGTATGACCTGTGGCACTGCTACTATCTACTGTCAAGGTTAATTCATCCAGATCAATCTTGGGCATACAGTAATTGCTTCCAGTCTAGTTATAAAAATAGTACAACCAAAATCAACAGTGTTTCATATCAGTCACATTGAGAATATTTATTTTATATTGCTATGTACAGCAATTTCATATTTTAATTTTATTGCTCTATCGGTAAATAATAAAGATTTCTAAATATTTGTTTTATCCCCCCAAAAAACTTACAAAATTCTAATTGTTTTCTATAATAGTGGAAAAATTTGCTAGTGATGCAACTGCCCTATTCAACTCATTTTCACTTTTTAAAACAATCATTGCTGATTATATACCTAATAAAAGTCATATGTGTACACATATGTACACACATATATTAAATGTTTTACATATGTGTGCACAATTCATAGCAGAAATTTATCAAAAGAGATAAATAACTTTTTAAATCAAAGTCATAAAAATGCCATTAGAAAGTTATTGGTCAGTAATTCAGGAGCTTTATACTGACCATGTCCTCTCCTTAAATATGGAAGAAGACTTAAAAATAATATAGGTATTTTTATAGTTAGTTAATAAATATATCCTGGTGAATGTGTTCACAGACGACTGTATTTGGATATCATTTATCATTTATTGGACAATTATTACACACATAATATGTCACAGGTCTCTAGAAATGTGATCAATTTATTTTCTAAACCTAATTGTGACTTTCAAATAACTATTTTATAATTTAGTTTAAATATAAAATTATTAATGCATCCTTTTAAAAGAAGTTATCTAATGTGAAAGAGAAAGAATAGAAATTGATATTGCCAATGTATTTGAGTCTTAATTCATCCTAAACTCATACCAGGGAAATATAATTATATAGTAACATGGGGAAAAGGAAGAAAGTAAATTCAAATGATAAAATGTAGCAATCCATTCGCAGATACAGATTCACTAGTAAATATTTAGGCTCCTTCTGGCATATGTAGAACCTGGAGGCTACCACTATAATTCTCTGTTTAATGAATTCAAAAAAGAGAATTCAAAAACAATTCAAAATCTGAGAATTCAAAATCAAGAAGCACATGATAGTGGCTACATTTTTACTAATACCTTGCCTTTACTTATATATATATATATATATATATATATATAATTCGAGGAAAGGCCTGTTTGAAACAACCATTGGATACTGTATCAACATGAATCTACAAGATTATGGTTATCAAAGCCATACATTTGGACAACACATATGAAGCTAGTGTTAAACAAAACCAGTATTTAGTTAAATTGGGTAGCAATTGAGTTTGGAAGTTATCTACCAACAATGAGAACAACTTAATTGCTTGAAAGAGTTCAAAGTTTGGGGTAAGGTGAGTAGAATTAATTTGGCCCATTAATATTAGTAAGTATTTGATTGGCATTTTAAATTCTACTTTTGAGGATTTCACTTTAATGTATTATGCCTTTAAAAGAATTGCTTAGGTTGAGTGCAGATTTTCATATATCAGCTAACAAATAGTAATCTATCACATTGTAACATATATTCTAGCCAATGGTTCATATGTGGTGTTATGACAATTTATGTTATATAATACTTGATCAGTTATTCAATGTACTATTTAATTTTACTTTTTTCTTTCATGCAAATTAGGAACTAGAAAAAAAAAATCACTAACTTTAATAATGAGAGGTCTAGAGTTTCTGTTCTTAAAGCCATTAAAATAATCTAGAAATAACTAGATTTTCCCAATGCAGCAGAATTTTAACCTCAATAAAATAGTCACTAATTTTTAAGCATAGTCCTTGTATGACCCATTATGAAATAAAAATGTAAAATTAAAAATACATAAAAATGCTAGACTATATTGTTAAAAGTTGCCAAAAAGTTGAAATATCATGAATGACTTCATAAAATATTTCATTCTTGGAAGCTAGATTCTCCTCATAACTCTAATGTCTGTTACATGAATTTGGTAATTTGATTAGTTTGTATATATTCACAAACCTATTATGTCTTAAAGAAGGAATTTTGATATGTTTTGCTTAATCAAATATGATTTAGTCATTTATACTTATAAAATTTTGCTTTCTATTTTTAAAAGTAAACTTGTTAATAATGTGATTTATGTTCACCTTCACTTTTAGAAGAAAGAATAGAAACAGTAAATGAAGGTTAATAATTCAAATAATGCCTCCAAAGTTAATTAGGGTGTTTTACTGGCAACAATGCCATTGGTTGCCAGGATTTGGACAGTGGTCTTTGTTTAACTGCAATGACATTTTCAATAAAGGAGATTTTCTGGGTAGGAAAACAACTGTGAGTCTCTTTGGGTGTCTTAAACAGTTACATTTGCATGTATCCATATGTCCACACCAAATTATCCTCAGGACTCATATTTAGTAATTGTTAATGCTACTGATAGCTTACAAATTACAAGCTTAAAATATAAAATGAAAACAAATAATGTAAGATTCCAGTTTTCTGACGATATTTCTTTCATATGCAGTAAACACTCTTTTACCACTTAGAAAGCATGAAGTATAAAAAAGGGCCAATGTCAAAACTTAATGTTTAAGTATTTCTACTATTTAACATTTAAAGAAGCTATACATTGTGAATGATCCAATATTAATGGTAAAACATCATACATATATATTCAGTTATTAAACTCTAAAATGCTGACATTATAAAAAGACAATTTTGTCAAATGCAGCCTCTAAAGGAATAAAGAAAATTTGGAGTACCTTATTCTTGCCTTTAAATTTATATGCTGTATTCTTATAGCATAATGAAGAAAACAAGATATATGAAATAGAACAATTAGATTATTAGAGATAGCAGTACATAAGTGCTATAATATTTGCCAAACAATAATTTATATAGAAAAGTTAGATTATGATGGAAGCATTTTAGGGTAGAAACATGAAGAAAGGATATATTAAAGAGATGGTAACTAATGTGCTTTGCAGAATATTTATGTCTAACTGAGAATCCAACTAACCTCTCTTCTATTTTCTGAAGCCATCCAGCCTGTTTTTATCATTCTGACTCCAAAAATAAATATAAATATTTATTTGATTCTCCTCAAAAGAATAAATAAAAATTAGTTTGATAATGTAGATTTTACAACAGTGTGTGTAGAGAGGAGAGATTTTTACATCACACTTTTCTAAGAAATTATACAAAATTTCTTTGGACATATCTATTTTCTGATACCCAATGTGCCTACTCAGATTTCTTCTCATGTATTCCCTGTATAGTGGCAACCTTACTAGCAACTTATTTTTCCCCCTCCAGGACTTGCTGGAGACATTCAGATCCTTCTGTGCAGAACATCTCAGTCTGAGCATGTATTGTATTTTTAAGTTTGCAAATCCCAATTCAAATAAAAGTGCTTCCATTTTATAAGATCCATCCTCCACTCACTGAAGTTTTAGAGTCCATCTGTGTGTTTTTTAACACATTCATAGTTCTACTCTCACTCACGCTAATTTCTTATAAACAATTATATGGCTCTCTTAAAGAGGAATTTGGGCGGAGATATATTTTACCATAATATGCTGAAGGAATCATAAAATGGATGTCTAAATGAACAAAATCAAAGAAAACAGGATAAGAAACAAAAAAAATGAGTTTGTGGGGCAAAATAGGAAGATAAAAGTTTCAAAATAAAGGTATTAAGTCTGTATATACAGGCAGATAAATTTAAGTTGATAATAGAAAACAGGGTGATTTTTAAAAATTGTTGCATACCATAAATGTTTTGCCAAGAGAATCTAATCCCGCATCGGCAACGTTCTATATTTAGAGTAATAATGTGGTGATTGATGATAGATTGAGTCTGGGGTGAAAAAGAATGTGAGTAGGTAGAGAGAACGGCAGATTACTGAAACAAACCAAATGTGGAATAATTGGGTTTCGAATCAATTAAAGGCAATAAAAATAAAGAGAAAGACTGAGTCTGAAGGACCTAGATAAATCAAATTGCATGCCATACTAAGACACATATTTAATTTATGTTTATATATAAAATTTAGAGCATGAGGTCATATATTTTAATTGCATGCATGTTAACTCTAAAAACAGGTACAAACAAACAAAAACATCTTATACTAAACAGTAAGTCCGGAAATTAGGTTTTACGAGGCTGAAAATAAGCTTCACCTCTTGAAAAAATACATATTTTATTGTATAGGCTGTTACTTGCTCATTTTGTGAATTAGGTAATTTTCCTATGATTTTTCACCAAAATTATATATATGTTTAGTTTATATATTTTGTGCATACTAGAACATCAAACTGTAATTCTGCATTAATTTAGCATAGTTTTGATAGTGAGTTTCATAAACTATTCTGAATGGTCTCCAAAACTGGATGGTGATGTTCCACAAAGCTTACATGTTTTTTCTCTCACACAAGCATTGCCTTTATGAAAAGGAAACTTAAAAATTCTACTTGTATGTATTAAATTTTTATTTTTAACTTCTATTTTTATATATGTGTAAAATACATATACAAGGGCTTATGTGCATATGTATGATTTATAAATATATCAATGTAGGATACATGTATTTAATAATGCATATATTTGTATTTGTATATGTATAATTTATATATTTATTTATATGCAGGTATGCATGATTACATATGCATATTACGTCTTAATTCTTTGACAGAATCAAAAAGATTTGGAATTCACTTTTAATAAGTGATGAACTAACCATGCCTTAAGATACTTGTAGAAATATATTAAACTATGTTAAATCATATATGCACACACACACACACACACACACACACACGCATTTCTATTCACAATATTGTTGATACAGAGGAGAAACAGCATTCAAGCCCGTTACAATCCAATTGCAACAATAACCTGCTACTTTAGAAAAAAGAAGGTTCTCTACCTCCTCATGAAGCAGCAGCTTTGTGTGACAGAACAATGCCACTGGATAAAAAGGCCCTCAGATGACCCAGTGTCTAAAGAAGCCATTTCTTAAGTAAGCCATCAGTTACAGTCACTATCTTGGCTACTGCCTACCCAGCACTAAAATGAAAGTTGCTCAGAGGCCCCACTCCGTCCAAGTTGAGGTGGTTTTCTGTCTTCCTTCAAGATGTTTACTATGATGAAATTTGTAAGCTTCATACAGTTCTTCCCACCCTTAGAAACCCATACACTATAGAAACCCATATACTTCCTACACCAATAGAAATCCAAGCTTCCAAGTCCACTTATTATTCTACATATCTATTAGTCTGATATAATTAAACTTACACAACCTTCAAAAA
The DNA here is from genome assembly GCF_000001405.40 of Homo sapiens. Classification (NCBI taxonomy): domain Eukaryota; kingdom Metazoa; phylum Chordata; class Mammalia; order Primates; family Hominidae; genus Homo; species Homo sapiens. Next base: position 160,594,464 of record NC_000004.12, on the reverse strand, counting down.
TATCCTACAATGTATTTTGACTGACAAGATTGCTAATTGACAAATTTCCCCTTAATTTTAAAACTATTTCTGCATGTCCACTCCACCTCTTTATAACAGCAACTTGGTAGTATGCTGACCACACTACCACACTACTGCCTCTGCAGCTCTCTTAAAGGAAGATGTCTTGTTTTCATTTAATCACCAATTATTGGTATTCAGACAGATGAAAAAAATGCTTCTCTCTGCATATGGTTTTTCTTCACTCTACTCTGCATATGATTTTTCTTCACTTCAGCTATTTTTCCCAGCAATATTTAACTTTATTGATGACTACAATTTATTTTCTCTATGAGTTACTATTTTTCCAAAACCTGTATTCACTTTACTTCTTATTCAACTTTGATTTACTGTTCAGTAATTATACCAGCACCCTTGCAAGTACTATTAACTCTCTCCTTCTCCATCTGTTTTACTTAACTCACAAAGTGTGATGCCTAATTAAACTCAAATTTCTGCCTTCTTCATGACTGCACCCATCAGAACTGACTTGGCACACCCTACATTTAAGAAAGTTTCAAATGGTCAATTATTCTACCCAGAAATCTGATTGTAGAAATCTGATTTACGTATTCTTTAACTTCCTACGACCCAAAACCTCTAATATTCATTTTCTCTATTCCTCTCAATTTTCTTTTTCCGTCTTCTTTCTGTTTCAGCTAATGGCTTTGGCTCATGTTTTCCTGAGAAAATAGAAGTAATCTGGGAGTAGTAATTTCATTTTTGGATTAAATACACCTGCATATGCACCTGTCTTGTATGCCTTCCATCATCTTACTACTATGGATGAAAGATCCTGCATTTACCAACGGAGAGGCAGCCCTTCTGCTTGCGCCCTGGACTCTCTCCCCTCTCCTTCTCTCAAAAAAGCTATTTCTGCTTTCTTCTACAGTATGTTTCTTCATTTCAACTGACTCATGAATATAGACCACACTAAATGCTATAGGTTGGTGACCCCTAAGTTTATATCTGACTTCTCAAACCTCAGACTTCTTACTCAGCATGCTCATGCAGATTTCTTATAGTGATCTCAAATTTAACATGTTCAAAAAATCAATTCCCATTCCTGACACTCCCATGTCGTTCCCCTTTAATCTCTTCCAGCTAAGTAAAAAGCGCCACTTTCAATCGGTTGTTTGTCAAATTGAGGAGTTAACTTTGAGTCTTACTTTCCCTTAAACTCCCCATATTCAACAGATCAGTAACTCTTGGTTGTTTCTTTCTTAAAAATACATTCTAACATCTAATGTTTTCCATTTTTACTAGCTCTACTATCACCATGATAAACACCATTTCTTCTAAGATTATTTAAATATCCTCTATGTGTTCTCTTTTCTCCCACATTTTACCCCTACATTCCACACAGTTGCATAAAACTCTTCAAAATGAATTCCCTTTGCACTTGACATAAATGCTTAACTCTCTTCACGCTAAAATAGCTCTGCATCGTCTGCCTTGTTCACAGGCCTGTAGGATGACCTTACCCTCACCTTTCTTTCCCTTGATGCTATTGTCCAGTCATACTTCATTTTGGTTTCTAAAAGACTCTCTCTGTATGGATTAACACAAAATTATTATCTTAAAGTCACATAATTTAAAGAGATAAAAGACTTATAGCTAAAATAATCAGATTTTCTATAAGTTTTCTCTTCGTGTATTGAGGCATACATAATGTTGAAGGTCTATGCCACGAGTCTGGTGGCAGGAAGCAGGAACTATTTAAATTATTTAAATTGACTTTGCAGTTAATGACTAAGAAAAGGCAGGACTTTTCAACTAGTCTATCAGTATCGGCTCTGTGGCATCCTTTTGTTGGAAGTGTTTCAACATCTTTTAAAAAAAAAGTATCACTGAAAAAATATTAGAGGATGGAAGTGATGAAAAATTCTCTTCAACAGGGTCTAAAGAAAACCGTGGGAGGTTAAGCCTATTCTTCTCCTTCCTGGAAGACTGTGCTGTAATTTTCTTTCTTATGCAAATTTCAAATGTGTGATACCTTTAACACACTCAGCAACAGCTTGTAAGAATCCATTACGGAGCACGGGGCACTCCACACAAATATTCATTTCTATCTCTTGCCATCCCTCTTCCACATACTGTTTTTTTCAGAGTATGTAATGTATGCTTTGGATTTGCTGTTCTTTTTGTCAAATATGTTTCATTTTCTGCATGCTGATTCCAGCAATAGAGATCTTTGGAAATTGGTAAAGCAGTTCTGTAAACCAATACTATCACAAAAATTGTCAGTATACCACCTGAAGATCTAGACTAAAAAGGACAGAGAAAGATCATTTTCTTAATATAAACCTAGATGTGACTTTTTTATGGAATAATTTAATAACTGATTTGAAATAAAAAATATTAATTTCTTCTCTCATTTTCTATGTTTTATAAGACATGACAGACTCACTAAGTCCAAATCATATCAATAAGCAGTGTAAAACTAGATTGTTTCAAATAAAATCAAAGTGTTTTAGCTGAACTTTTTCCCTTTTATGTTAGTAAAGGCTTTTATACTTGAACTTAATTAGTTAATAATAATAATAGCCTACATTTTTTAAATTGTGAAATTTTTTTTGAGATTTTATAAGTAGTTCTTGATTCTTGTTTTATCAGACACAAGCATTGGAAACATCCCATAGTAGCTATAAGGTTACAAAGTAATCATTACCCTATTAAAACAGGATTCACCTGTCTTAAAAAGGTTTCTAAAGAACCTTTAAATTTAATTCAAATGACATAATTAGCATTACAGAAAGTATTAGCATTGCATGAGCTACAGCAGGAATTATAAAAAAGATTACTGGTTTGAGACCTTTGGTCCATGATAGACTTCAACAGTAAGTCCTGCTAGCCTTAGATCAATTCTGCAGCCTCTCTTCACTTCAGTTTTCTCACTTCCAGAAGAGAGATTCCAGTGCTCGTTGTGATAAATGGTAGCAAGTCCTGCTACACTGAATCAGAAAATAGGTGTGTGATGCAGCAAGAAATAAAAAATATATATCCAGAAATGGCTGGGCTACATATGATACCCTGTAAGCGTTATCAAACTGGCTTATGGAACTGGAATGGCAAGAAGTTATAAGCCTCGATGGTAAGCCTGAGTTATGGGGAGGACATATCTGCCACCCCAAGCTGGAAATAAATGGGAAAAAAGAGAGCAAGTGGCATGCATGTCTGGGCTTATGTGTCCAAGCAGACCTCTCTCTCCACGTGGCCTGTTGAGATCACTGAATTTCAGAGGCACCCCTTCAGGAAACAAGGAAGCACAAAGGAATGGTTTTCACTTCCACCATCATATGTATTTGATCCCCTATGTATCTTTTCCATTGCATCCTACATGAGGAAAAAAATAAAGTAAATGTAATTTAACCAAGTTATAGTATATCTTTCTGTATTAGACTTTCATTTAATAAGTAATTTAAATTTCTTCTCTAATATCAGATGTACAGAGAAACCACGTCTATTTTTCAATTTAGTTGTTCTCAGTTGCAATATTTGTTTTCAAGTTTGATTTTCTGTGACTGAGAAAAAATACTTTAAGAGAATGGCAGTCTTCAGCACCATTTGCTAAATATTTTGAAGATAATTTTTGTTAACAGCATAGTGTTAAATATAACTTGCAAAAATATAAAAATTTATTTCCTTTTTTGCAAGATGGGGAAACACAATGCAAATTTCACTTTCTTTATAAAATTTATTTGATTATCCCATCTTTTATTACTACTTAGTATTTAGTACTACCTTTTAAAATACATATTGTATAGCACTGACGTTTGGGTCATATAAATTGAACTCTACCAATACATTTGAAAACTGTCAGATCTATTAGTATGCTAGTCAATATTTTTAATCGCAAAAATTAAAATGGCAAAACACATAAAAAACAGTAATTGCATTTGTGAATAATACAGCCTTGAGATTATCAAACTGTGAATAGGCAAAAAGATTGCCTACAAAAACAACACAAATAAATGCAATAAGAAGAAAAGTAAAATTCTGAAAATAAGTTAAAATAATTGCAAATTTCAGGACCAGGAGATATAGCCAGAACTGAATGTTTCAAAGATTACGATCACTACAGTTTGCCTTGAATAAAAGGAAGCAATTATATGCTCCAGACTAAATGTGAATTGACAATGTAATATGTGGTGCTATGGATTAGATATTGTTTGTTAGGTCCTGCCAAGTCACATGTTAAAATTCGATCTCCACTCTTGGAGGTAGGACATGGTGGAAGGTATTTGAATCATGGGGGTGGATTCCTCATGAATAGCTTGGTGCCATTCTCCTGGGATTAAGTGAATTCTCACTCTTAGTAATTACTCTTAGTTTCAACAAGAACAGATTGTTGAAGGGAACCTGGCACCTCCTCCTCTCTTTCTCGCTCTTGCCTTGTGATCTTCACGTGATGGCTCCCCTTCACCTTCCACTGTGAGTGGAAGCAGCCAGAGCTCCTCACCAGAAGCAGATGCCAGTGTCATGCTTCTTGTACAGCCTGCAGAACCATGAACCAAATTAACCCCTTTTCTTTATAATTACCAGCCTCGGGAATTCCTTTACAGCAACACAAACAGACACGTGGCATGGCCATAAAATACAAAGATTCAAAGATTCAAATTTAGGCTAGGTCTCTTGACATATAGTATCCAGGAAAAAAAATAATGTGTTTGTGTGTCTGTGTGTGTATGCATTTAAAAATTCTGTTTTTCAATTATTTTCTTTTTAATAAATTTGTATCATGCTTTTGCTTTTGCATTCTATTCCTGTGTACATCCCATTTAGGTACCACCACAAGGCTTTTGCAAATGTTATCACTGCTAACTGTGCCCTTTTCCTTTCCCTCTTTGCTTCATTAAGCTTTCACCTCTCAGCTCCATCATCACTCCAGAGAAACCTTCACTAAACCAGGTCAAATCCCCATATTTCAGTCTGCAGAAATGAACATACTGATGTATGTTTAAACATATAATGAAAATTACTAAGAAAAATGGGAAAAAATCTTTATTGAATGCGTTATGTGAAATGGATTAACAAAGACATTTAAATTCAGACTAAAATGATACAGATACAGCATGTTTTTTTATCATGTTATAAAAACAATTAAATTACCATATTCTTTTTAAATAATTAATTTATAATGAAGCATAGTTAAAATAATAGATTTTTATAAGAATTATGATCAAATACATATTATTGTTTAATAATTGTGAGTGCACTCATTGTCCAGGTACCTAGCTTTTGAGACCATCTTTTATAGATCATTATTAAACACTTTGATGTCATTTTATTAATTTTATTTGATGCCAAGATTAACTTTTTCTACAATAAACATTACAATATATAGAAAGTCTTTGTTGATTTTCAGGTGTATTTCTACCCCAGTTTAGAGATTACTGCTCTGGTAAAATTTGTCAAAGATTGCATATTAAGTACGTTTTATTTTTCATGATCACATTTATTCATTGTCTACACTGTAGTTAGGATTTTTTTTAATGTGCATAGTTAGGTTATATTTTCTATGGAAACTATTTCAGGATAATAATATATTTGCTTTATGTCTGGTAGGGTTGAAAACCTCTAGCTTAAACTGATGTGGACCAACCTGGCTTAATTTGTAATGCTTAGCATGTACTGATTTCTCACCTGACCTTAGGAACTGAAATCAGAGTTCTCATTCTTCTGATCATCAGATATGTTTTAAATGCAGCTACAGTGCTTTGGAATCTGTATTGTGTGAAAGGTTACATCCCTTATCATGTATTGCTATTGTTATTCCTGACTTTGCCCAGGGTGTTAATATTTTCCTCTTGGTGGCAAATCAACTTAGGATGTTTTTCACATTTCCTCTTGTTCTTCTACTTCCTACTGAATTGTATGCATTGTTTGTTATGGTACCCTCATACATTAAAAAATAAGGAAAATGATGGCAGTGAAAGGAGGATAAAGTATAATTTTGTGTCAGGCAAGCTCAGAAAATTAGAACTGGGCAGCGGTGTCCAGTTTGTTTAAATTATTTTCTGCTCATTGCAGTCACTGTGTCCTCGAGTGAAAGGAATATGATGAGGTTAGTCTGACAAAGTTCCTACCTTTTCAGGGATATCAATTCACTTCAAATTCAGGAAAAAGAATATGGTTAGTCAAAATTATGGTTTGCAATCCACTTACATGGATGGACAATTAGTGGAAAATCCCTCTAGAATTTGGTTCATGGTGTTCTATTAATTAATTTTAGAGGGCTGATGTCAAATTTGATGTATCTGTGTTTATCTACAGAAGCATTTTTATACAGGGTTGTGATAAACCATATGAGATATTATGTGTTGGTACTTGATGTGAATTAAAAACCACTTCTGCTATTAAGAGGACCAAAATCATTTTTGTTTTCCAAACTCTGTAAATTTGTGAATGTGCTTGATCATTTATACATTTTCCTCTTTTAGTGAAGCTTTCATTTTTTTAAAATTATCTTCATTGTAACTTCAACCCACTGTCGTCCAGCTTTAATATGCTGAGGACAGATTTATAAAGGGGCAGAAACATATTTCTATATACTAATTTCTTTTCACACCACTCTATTCTAATAAATATGAAGTAAGCTGTGTATCAAAACTAATACTTTCATCCTCTTAATAGCTTCCAAATTATCCACTACCCACATCACGTGTCTTCCAATCATTCCAAATGTTGAAAAAATAAACCAGCTTGATTTTCTTCATGTCTACATTGAATACCAAGTGCTCATTTGGATTTTTGTGTTTTACATTTTTAATCAATGTTCAAATATCTTAAAATAGCTGATGCAAACCTTGATGCAGTAAATTCTGCCTATACCCTTGCTTAGCATGTAAATTTAATATCATTTTACTTAGCTATATTTGGTGTCAGTTAAGTTATAAAACAATCATGTCTTTATGTTAAAATCAGCATTTGATATTTCTCAGTGTATTTTCATAATATGTTACTTCATCAGTCTCACATGGAACTGCTGCCATATTCTTATGCCATCACATCTGGAATCCAAAGTTATAAGGATAGAAGACATTTTATGGGCTGGGCACAGTAGCTCACGCCTGTAATCCCAGCACTTTGAGAGGCCAGGGCGGCTGGATCACTTGAGGACCGGAGTTCGAGACCAGCCTGAGCAACATGGTGAAACCCCATAGCTACTAAAAATACAAAAATTAGCCAGCTGTAGTGGTGTGCGCATGTAGTCCCAGCCTTTCGGTAGGCTGAGGCACAAGAATCACTTGAACCCAGGATGTGGAGGTTGTGGTGACCCCAGATAGTGCCACTGCACCCTAGCCTGGGTGACAAAGCAAGACTCTGTCCCCCAAAAAATATATGTATATATTTACATATATATGTATATATTTACATATATATGTATATATTTACATATATATGTATATATTTGCATATATATGTATATATTTACATATATATGTATATATTTACATATATGTATATATACATATATATGTATCTATATACATATATGTATATAGATACACATATATGTATATATTTATACATATATGTATATATTAGTCATAGTAAAAAATTATCAGTGAAATTGCTGATGTTAAAAACCTTGAAGGTGTCAGATGGATTTGAATTCATTTATTGAGCTTTAAATTATTATTTTCCCTTCTTTTGACCTTTAAAGTACTCCTTCTCATAATGTATTATATATACCTCTTGAAATTCCAGATACTACAGCTTATTTCCTAAACTCAAAATATTTTTTGTCATAGTTACACACTGAACTTTATATTACATTTGTATTTGATTTTTAGATTTAAACAAAACCAAGGTCTTAAAAAGCACGTTTCAGTTATGCTTAGTTTATATTATTTTTATTTTATGTATAATATAACTCTTACCTAAATACTAAAGATTTTCAGCATTAGCAAATAGTCTGTTTAGTGTTTTCATCTTCTGCATCATGATGAAAATGTAAATATGAACATTAATATATTGACGATAATATTTGTTTGACTATACTAAAAATTTTACTTACATAAAATCCAATACTAAAAGAATCAAACTTTGATATGAGTCCTCATTCTCTGCTACACAGTTATTCTTAAGATGCCTTCTAATGACCATGCAATTTCAGTTCCTCTTGTTGTTCTCTGGAGTTTCTTATTTCAGTCCCTTGGCTTCAATTTAATGCTCTGAAAGAGAAAAAAGAAAGAAAGATGCATTTGGAATATTTAATGTCAATATTGTTATGTGCTATAAATAGTGAGTCATGAAAAGAAAGATTAAGTAGTCTCTAAAAGATAGCATTTGAAATCTTTAGCATCTACAGTTTTGTGGGTTGCAATGATGTTGGCATGAGATGGAACAGGACAGAACTGGAGGACATAGTGAAGCATTAGAATGTATATGAATTCAAATGCAGTTTCAGAGAATCAGCCTTGGATATGGGCATTATCTGTATCGCACAGTAAGGTGGATGTGTCTCAATCTTGTTCTATTTCATTAGGATTCAAAGGGCCCAAGCATCTACAATATGTGTGACAGAGGGGAGTGGGAAGAGATAGTAGCAGTGATAATTGTTTATGTCACTTGATTATTAGTTTAGTTTTTCTAAATTGTTTCAAGATTAACTCTTACATTTTTGGATTACATCAGTATTGTCTAGCATCTTCAGTCCCATCAGGAAAAAATGGCCCATGTAAGTGGTAGTGGAGGAGGAGCAATCTGTCAGCGAAGGGTCTGCTCTTCTCTGACAGGTACAAATTATTCATATCAATCTGAAGCTGGCCATGATAAAGTGTAACTGACAATTTTGTCTCTGTTGAAGTAAGAAGGCCAGTCTCTTAATCTGCACATTTGACAGTAGCTCATATATTTTTTTATTTAACTCCTCAATATTCTAGTTTAAGACCCATAGAATCATTTGCAACTTTAATTTTCGTTTTTAAGAAGAATAAAAAAATTCTATGACTGAGTCACTTTTTTAGGTGTAATAATTGGTTGTACTGCCTGAACTAAGTAATTTTAATGATTTTAAGACATTTAATATGTGCACACACGCATTATTGTCTCTGGATGCAGATGTCACCAGCAAATAACATCCTGGATGTTGTTTGTCCAAGTCACAATAGCAGACCAGCAGGAATGCAGAAACAGGCAAATGTGTCTGAAAAAAGTGGCTTTCTACAGTTCAACTAGATAATATGTCTGCAATATCAGAGAATAGATTTCAAACTAAGAAAATATCTCTGAGTCTGTTGTAAGTATATACACAGAGTATAAATTTTTAAAATTCTCTCTATACTCTTTGAAGCAATTGGGAATGGTAGTTCACTCATGATTTGGCTCTCTGTTTGTCTCTTATTGGTGTATAAGAATGCTTGTGATTTTTGCACATTGATTTTGTATCCTGAGACATTGCTGAAGTTGCTTATCAGCTTAAGGAGATTTTGGGCTGAGACAGTGGGGTTTTCTAGATATACAATCATGTCATCTGCAAACAGGGACAATTTGACTTCCTCTTTTCCTAATTGAATACCCTTTATTTCCTTCTCCTGCCTAATTGCTCTGGCTAGAACTTCCAACACTATGTTGAATAGGAGTGGTGAGAGAGGGCATCCCTGTCTTGTGCCAGTTTTCAAAGGAATACATCCAGTTTTGGCCCATTGAGTATGATATTGGCTGTGGGTTTGTCATAGATACCTCTTATTATTTTGAGATACGTCCCATCAATACCTAATTTATTGAGAGTTTTTAGCATGAAGGGTTGTTGAATTTTGTCAAAGGCCTTTTCTGCATCTATTGAGATAATCATGCGGTTTTTGTCTTTGGTTCTGTTTCTATGCTGGATTACATTTATTGATTTGCATATGTTGAACCAGCCTTGCATCCCAGGGATGAAGCCCACTTGATCATGGTGGATAAGCTTTTTGATGTGCTGCTGGATTCGTTTTGCCAGTATTTTATTGAGGATTTTTGCATCAATGTTCATCAAGGATATTGGTCTAAAATTCTCTTTTTTGGTTGTGTCTCTGCCCGGCTTTGGTATCAGGATGATGCTGGCTTCATAAAATGAGTTAGGGAGGATTCCCTCTTTTTCTATTGATTGGAATAGTTTCAGAAGGAATGGTACCAGCTCCTCCTTGAATTCGGCTGTGAATCCATCTGGTCCTGGACTTTTTTTGGTTGGTAAGCTATTGATTATTGCCACAATTTCAGAGCCTGTTATTGGTCTATTCAGAGATTCAACTTCTTCCTGGTTTAGTCTTGGGAGGGTGCATGTGTCGAGGAATTTATCCATTTGATCTAGATTTTCTAGTTTATTTGCATAGAGGTGTTTATAGTATTCTCTGATGGTAGTTTGTATTTCTGTAGGATCGGTGGTGATTCAACTTACAAGGGATGTGAAGGACCTCTTCAAGGAGAACTACAAACCACTGCTCAATGAAATAAAAGAGGATACAAACAAATGGAAGAACATTCCATGCTCATGAGTAGGAAGAATCAATATCGTGAAAATGGCCATCCTGCCCAAGGTAATTTACAGATTCAATGCCATCCCCATCAAGCTACTAATGACTTTCTTCACAGAATTGGAAAAAAACTACTTTAAAGTTCATATGGAACCAAAAAAGAGCCCACATTGCCAAGTCAGTCCTAAGCCAAAAGAACAAAGCCGGAGGCATCACGTTACCTGACTTCAAACTATACTACAAGGCTACAGTAACCAAAACAGCAAGGTACTGGTACCGAAACAGAGATATAGATCAATGTAACAGAACAGAGCCCTCAGAAATAATTCTGCATATCTACAACCATCTGATCTTTGACAAACCTGAGAAAAAGAAGCAATGGGGAAAGGATTCCCTATTTAATAAATGGTGCTGGCAAAACTGGCTAGCCATATGGAGAAAGCTGAAAGTGGATCCCTTATTTACACCTTATACAAAAATTAATTCAAGATGGATTAAAGACTTAAATGTTAGACTGAAAACCATAAAAACCCTGGAAGAAAACCTAGGCAATACCATTCAGGACATAGGCATGGGCAAGGACTTCATGTCTAAAACACCAAAAGCAATGGCAACAAAAGCCAAAATTGACAAATGGGATCTAATTAAACTAAAGAGCTTCTGCACAGCAAAAGAAACTACCATCAGAGTGAACAGACAACCTACAAAATGGGAGAAAATTTTCGCGACCTACTCATCTGACAAAGGGCTAATATCAAGAATCTATAATGAACCCAAACAAATTTACAAGAAAAAAACAAACAACCCCATCAAAAAGTGGGCGAAGGATATGAACAGACACTTCTCAAAAGAAGACATTTATGCAGCCAAAAAAACACATGAAAAAATGCTCATCATCACTGGCCATCAGAGAAATGCAAATCAAAACCACAATGAGATACCATCTCACATCAGTTAGAATGGCGATCATTAAAAGTCAGGAAACAACAGGTGCTGGAGAGGATGTGGAGAAATAGGAACACTTTCACACTCTTGGTGGGACTGTAAGCTAGTTCAACCATTGTGGAAGTCAGTGTGGTGATTCCTCAGGGATTTAGAACTAGAAATACCATTTGACACAGCCATCCCATTACTGGGTATATACCCAAAGGAATATAAATCATGCTGCTATAAAGACACATGGACACCAACAGTGTAAAAGTGTTCCTATTTCTCCACATCCTCTCCAGCACCTGTTGTTTCCTGGCTTTTTAATGATTGCCATTCTAACTGGTGTGAGATGGTATCTCATTGTGGTTTTGATTTGCATTTCTCTGATGGCCAGTGATGGTGAGCATTTTTTCATGTGTTTTTTGGCTGCATAAATGTCTTCTTTTGAGAAGTGTCTATTCATGTCCTTCGCCCACTTTTGATGGGGTTGTTTGTTTTTTTCTTGTAAATTTGTTTGAGTTCGTTGTAGATTCTGGATATTAGCCCTTTCTGGTGGGACTGTAAACTAGTTCAACCATTGTGGAAGTCAGTGTGGCGATTCCTCAGGGATCTAGAACTAGAAATACCATTTGACCCAGCCATCCCATTACTGGGTATATACCCAAAGGACTATAAATCATGCTGCTGTAAAAGCACATGCACACATATGTTTATTGCGGCATTATTCACAATAGCAAAGACTTGGAACCAACCCAAATGTCCAACAATGATAGACTGAATTAAGAAAATGTGGCACATATACACCATGGAATACTATGCAGCCATAAAAAATGATGAGTTCATGTCCTTTGTAGGGACATGGATGAAATTGGAAATCATCATTCTCAGTAAACTATCACAAGAACAAAAAACCAAACACCGCATATTCTCACTCATAGGTGGGAACTGAACAATGAGAACACATGGACACAGGAAGGGGAACATCACACTCTGGGGACTGCTGTGGGTTGGGGGGAGGGGGGAGGGATAGCACTGGGAGATACATCTAATGCTTGATGACGAGTTAGTGGGTGCAGCGCACCAGCATGGCACATGTATACATATGTAACTAACCTGCACATTGTGCACATGTACCCTAAAACTTAAAGTATAATAATAATAAAAAAAAAGACACATGCACATGTATGTTTATTGCAGCACTATTCACAATAGCAAAGACTTGGAACCAACCCAAATGTCCAACAATGATAGACTGGATTAAGAAAATGTGGCACATGTACACCATGGAATACTGTGCAGCCATAAAAATGATGAGTTCATGTCCTTCGTAGGGACATGGATGAATCTGGAAACCATCATTCTCAGCAAACTATCACAAGGACAGAAAACCAAACACCACATGTTATCACTCATAGGTGGGAATTGAACAATGAGAACACATGGACACAGGAAAGGGAACATCATACTCCAGGGACTGTTGTGGGGTGGGGGGAGGGGGGAGGGATAGCATTAGGAGATATACCTAATGCTAAATGACAAGTTAATGGGTGCGGCACACCAACATGGCACATGTATACATATGTAACAAACCTGCACATTGTGCACATGTACCCTGAAACTTAAAGAATAATAATAATTAAAAAAAAAATGGCATCAGTGCCCTTATAATGAGACACATGAGAGCTTGCTTTATCTCTCTGCTTTGCCATGGGAGCATGCAACCAGAAGATGGCCATCTGTAAACCAGGAAGTGCGCCCCGGTTAACAAGATACTGGATCTTCCTGCACCTTGCCCTTGAACTTCTTAGCCTCCAGAACTGCGAGAAATAAATGTTTGTCGTTGAAGCCAAAAAATAAATAAATAAACAAATAAAATAAAATAAAATTCTCTCTAAAACAGTAGCTTTAAAACATGGCCATATACTGTTTAACTATTATAAAAGAATATTAGCAAATACTTTAACCAAAAATATTTTCTTGATGTGACTGCATATGTCATCTTAAATTAAATAATTTTAATAACCATTTTATATGAAATAAACATATATTTGCTGCCCATGACCATATGCATGACTTTTTTTTTTTCCTGCCAAACTAATTGTGGTCATGTAACTTCAGCCTCTGTTTGGGGAAGATGTTTATCTTTCTGTGCTTTAATCTGTCCTAATCACTTTGGTTTACCACCATCACTCAGAAAGAACTTAATTGCTTTCTTTGAGATGCCAGCCCTACTTGAAATCACCAATATGGTTTGTCACTGAGGGAGAAGCAGAGCATCTGTTACCACATCATCACATCTTCTTCTCTTGAAAAAGCAGCTGCAGCTGTTCTTAGTAAGATTTCTCATTTCATGTTCAGGATTATGGAGAGGTTGATGTCTTTTTATTTCTATGAGACAATCTACTGTAGGAAAGCCGGGTTTTTAAGAAGCTTTCCCAATATTCAAACCATGTTTTGCACTGTGTTCTCTGTTATGGAATCACCCAAGATTTCATTCTAGCCTTCCATGAAGTGATATGCAACTTTTATTGGCTATTTCTCAATGAATTGTACTGTCTTATTTATGATAGACTGTGTCATTTTTAGCCCAAACTACCAACACATATATAAAAGACATTCTATTCTAGCACTTCATCTCAATTGTGATACTGTATTTCCTCCCTCCAGTAAGTCATGAGCTAGAAGAGGTTGTCCTATTTTCTATGTATGTAAGTGTTCATCATAAAAAGGTGCAGTCTTAGATAATGAATTCTGATTCTCTAAATAAATAAACAGACTTTTTGAAGGAAAATTTGTTACCAGCAAAATCTCCTTAGTCACTTTATACCTATATAAAATACTTTCCCTTGTATTGTCTTTTCGATAGAACAATTGAATAAAAACGACAATAACAACAAATCTTATGCAAGCATAGGTGATGCATTTTCTTTCTTGTTTAGAATAGATTTAAATTTTATTTTATTTTATTTTATTTATTTTTTTTTAATTATACTTTAAGTTTTAGGGTACATGTGCACATTGTTCAGGTTAGTTACATATGTATACATGTGCCATGCTAGTGCACTGCACCCACTAACTCGTCGTCTAGCATTAGGTATATCTCCCAATGCTATCCCTCCCCCCTCCCCCCACCCCACCACAGTCCCCAGAGTGTGATATTCCCCTTCCTGTGTCCACGTGTTCTCATTGTTCAGTTCCCACCTATGAGTGAGAATATGCGGTGTTTGGTTTTTTGTTCTTGCGATAGTTTACTGAGAATGATGATTTCCAATTTCATCCATGTCCCTACAAAGGACATGAACTCATCATTTTTTATGGCTGCATAGTATTCCATGGTGTATATGTGCCACATTTTCTTAATCCAGTCTATCATTGTTGGACATTTGGGTTGGCTCCAAGTCTTTGCTATTGTGAATAATGCCGCAATAAACATACGTGTGCATGTGTCTTTATAGCAGCATGATTTATAGTCCTTTGGGTATATACCAAGTAATGGGATGGCTGGGTCAAATGGTATTTCTAGTTCTAGATCCTTGAGGAATCGCCACACTGACTTCCACAATGGTTGAACTAGTTTACAGTCCCACCAACAGTGTAAAAGTGTTCCTATTTCTCCACATCCTCTCCAGCACCTGTTGTTTCCTGACTTTTTAATGATTGCCATTCTAACTGGTGTGACATGGTATCTCATTGTGGTTTTGATTTGCATTTCTCTGATGGCCAGTGGTGATGAGCATTTTTTCATGTGTTTTTTGGCTGCATAAATGTCTTCTTTTGAGAAGTGTCTGTTCATGTCCTTCGTCCACTTTTTGATGGGGTTGTTTGTTTTTTTCTTGTAAATTTGTTTGAGTTCATTGTAGATTCTGGATATTAGCCCTTTGTCAGATGAGTAGGTTGCGAAAATTTTCTCCCATTTTGTAGGTTGCCTGTTCACTCTGATGGTAGTTTCTTTTGCTGTGCAGAAGCTCTTTAGTTTAATTAGATCCCATTTGTCAATTTTGGCTTTTGTTGCCATTGCTTTTGGTGTTTTAGACATGAAGTCCTTGCCCATGCCTATGTCCTGAATGGTAATGCCTAGGTTTTCTTCTAGGGTTTTTATGGTTTTAGGTCTAACGCTTAAGTCTTTAATCCATCTTGAATTGATTTTTGTATAAGGTGTAAGGAAGGGATCCAGTTTCAGCTTTCTACATATGGCTAGCCAGTTTTGCCAGCACCATTTATTAAATAGGGAATCCTTTCCCCATTGCTTCTTTTTCTCAGGTTTGTCAAAGATCAGATAGTTGTAGATATGCGGTGTTATTTCTGAGGGCTCTGTTCTGTTCCATTGATCCATATGTCTGTTTTGGTACCAGTACCATGCTGTTTTGGTTACTGTAGCCTTGTAGTATAGTTTGAAGTCAGGTAGTGTGATGCCTCCAGCTTTGTTCTTTTGTCTTAGGATTGCCTTGGCGATGTGGGCTCTTTTTTGGTTCCATATGAACTTTAAAGTAGTTTTTCCAATTCTGTGAAGAAAGTCATTAGTAGCTTGATGGGGATGGCATTGAATCTGTAAATTACCTTGGGCAGGATGGCCATTTTCACGATATTGATTCTTCCTACCCATGAGCATGGAATGTTCTTCCCTTTCTTTGTATCCTGTTTTATTTCCTTGAGCAGTGGTTTGTAGTTCTCCTTGAAGAGGTCCTTCACATCCCATGTAAGTAGGATTCCTAGGTATTTTATTCTCTTTGAAGCAATTGTGAATGGGAGTTCACTCATGATTTGGCTCTCTGTTTGTCTGTTGTTGGTGTATAAGAATGCTTGTGATTTTTGTACATTGATTTTGTATCCTGAGACTTTGCTGAAGTTGCTTATCAGCTTAAGGAGATTTTGGGCTGAGACAATGGGGTTTTCTAGATATACAATCATGTCGTTGTCTGCAAACAGGGACAATTTGAGTTCCTCTTTTCCTAATTAAATACCCTTTATTTCCTTCTCCTGCCTAATTGCCCTGGCCAGAACTTCCAACACTATGTTGAATAGGAGTGGTGAGAGAGGGCATCCCTGTCTTGTGCCAGTTTTCAAAGGGAATGCTTCCAGTTTTGGCCCATTCAGTATGATATTGGCTGTGGGTTTGTCATAGATCACTCTTATTATTTTGAAATACGTCCCATCAATACCTAATTTATTGAGAGTTTTTAGCATGAAGGGTTGTTGAATTTTGTCAAAGGCGTTTTCTGCATCTATTGAGATAATCATGTGGTTTTTGTCTTTGGCTCTGTTTATATGCTGGATTACATTTATTGATTTGCGTATATTGAACCAGCCTTGCATCCCAGGGATGAAGCCCACTTGATCATGGTGGATAAGCTTTTTGATGTGCTGCTGGATTCGTTTTGCCAGTATTTTATTGAGGAGTTTTGCATCAATGTTCATCAAGGATATTGGTCTAAAATTCTCTTTTTTGGTTGTGTCTCTGCCCGGCTTTGGTATCAGAATGATGCTGGCCTCATAAAATGAGTTAGGGAGGATTCCCTCTTTTTCTATTGACTGGAATAGTTTCAGAAGGAATGGTACCAGTTCCTCCTTGTACCTCTGGTAGAATTGGGTTGTGAATCCATCTGGTCCTGGACTCTTTTTTGGTTGGTAAGCTATTGATTATTGCCACAATTTCAGAGCCTGTTATTGGTCTATTCAGAGATTCAACTTCTTCCTGGTTTAGTCTTGGGAGAGTGTATGTGTCAAGGAATTTATCAATTTCTTCTAGATTTTCTAGTTTATTTGCGTAGAGGTGTTTATAGTATTCTCTGATGGTAGTTTGTATTTCTGTGGGATCGGTGGTGATATCCCCTTTATCATTTTTTATTGTGTCTATTTGATTCTTCTCTCTTTTTTTCTTTATTAGTCTTGCTAGTGGTCTATCAATTTTGTTAATCCTTTCAAAAAACCAGCTCCTGGATTCATTAATTTTTTGAAGGGTTTTTTGTGTCTCTATTTCCTTCAGTTCTGCTCTGATTTTAGTTATTTCTTGCCTTCTGCTAGCTTTTGAATGTGTTTGCTCTTGCTTTTCTAGTTCTTTTAATTGTGATGTTAGGATTTCAATTTTGGATCTTTCCTGCTTTCTCTTGTGGGCATTTAGTGCTATAAATTTCCCTCTACACACTGCTTTGAATGTGTCCCAGAGATTCTGGTATGTTGTGTCTTTGTTCTCGTTGGTTTCAAAGAACATCTTTATTTCTGCCTTCATTTCATTATGTACCCAGTAGTCATTCAGGAGCAGGTTGTTCAGTTTCCATGTAGTTGAGTGGTTTTGAGTGAGATTCTTAATCCTGAGTTCTAGTTTGATTGCACTGTGGTCTGAGAGATAGTTTGTTATAATTTCTGTTCTTTTACATTTGCTGAGGAGAGCTTTACTTCCAAGTATATGGTCAATTTTGGAATAGGTGTGATGTGGTGCTGGAAAAAATGTATATTCTGTTGATTTGGGGTGGAGAGTTCTGTAGATGTCTATTAGGTCCGCTTGGTGCAGAGCTGAGTTCAATTCCTGGGTATCCTTGTTGACTTTCTGTCTCGTTGATCTGTCTAATGTTGACAGTGGGGTGTTAAAGTCTCCCATTATTAATGTGTGGGAGTCTAAGTCTCTGTGTAGGTCACTCAGGACTTGCTTTATGAATCTTGGTGCTCCTGTATTGGGTGCATATATATTTAGGATAGTTAGCTCTTGTTGTTGAATTGATCCCTTTACCATTATGTAATGGCCTTGTCTCTTTTGATCTTTGTTGGTTTAAAGTCTGTTTTATCAGAGACTAGGATTGCAACCCCTGCCTTTTTTTGTTTTGCATTTGCTTGGTAGATCTTCCTCCATCCTTTTATTTTGAGCCTATGTGTGTCTCTGCACGTGAGATGGGTTTCCTGAATACAGCACACTGATGGGTCTTGACTCTTTATCCAATTTGTCAGTCTGTGTCTTTTAATTGGAGCATTTAGTCCATTTACATTTAAAGTTAATATTGTTATGTGTGAATTTGATCCTGTCATTATGATGTTAGCTGGTTATTTTGCTCGTTAGTTGATGCAGTTTCTTCCTAGTCTCGATGTTCTTTACATTTTGGCATGTTTTTGCAGTGGCTGGTACAGGTTGTTCCTTTCCATGTTTAGTGCTTCCTTCAGGAGCTCTTTTAGGGCAGGCCTGGTGGTGACAAAATCTCTCAGCATTTGCTTGTCTGTAAAGTATTTTATTTCTCCTTCACTTATGAAGCTTAGTTTGGCTGGATATGAAATTCTGGGTTGAAAATTCTTTTCTTTAAGAATGTTGAATATTGGCCCCCACTCTCTTCTGGCTTGTAGGGTTTCTGCCGAGAGATCCGCTGTTAGTCTGATGGGCTTCCCTTTGAGGGTAACCCGACCTTTCTCTCTGGCTGCCCTTAACATTTTTTCCTTCATTTCAACTTTGGTGAATCTGACAATTATGTGTCTTGGAGTTGCTCTTCTCAAGGAGTATCTTTGTGGTGTTCTCTGTATTTCCTGAATCTGAACGTTGGCCTGCCTTGCTAGATTGGGGAAGTTCTCCTGGATAATATCCTGCAGAGTGTTTTCCAACTTGGTTCCATTCTCCCCATCACTTTCAGGTACACCAATCAGACGTAGATTGGGTCTTTTCACATAGTCCCATATTTCTTGGAGTCTTTGCTGATTTCTTTTTATTCTTTTTTCTCTAAACTTCCCTTCTCGCTTCATTTCATTCATTTCATCTTCCAATGCTGATACCCTTTCTTCCAGTTGATCGCATCGGCTCCTGAGGCTTCTGCATTCTTCTCGTAGTTCTCGAGCCTTGGTTTTCAGCTCCATCAGCTCCTTTAAGCACTTCTCTGTATTGGTTATTCTAGTTATACATTCTTCTAAATTTTTTTCAAAGTTTTCAACTTCTTTGCCTTTGGTTTGAATGTCCTCCCGTAGCTCAGAGTAATTTGATCGTCTGAAGCCTTCTTCTCTCAGCTCGTCAAAGTCATTCTCCATCCAGGTTTGTTCCGTTGCTGGTGAGGAACTGCGTTCCTTTGGAGGAGGAGAGGCGCTCTGCGTTTTAGAGTTTCCAGTTTTTCTGTTCTGTTTTTTCCCCATCTTTGTGGTTTTATCTACTTTTGATCTTTGATGATGATGATGTACAGATGTGTTTTTGGTGTGGATGTCCTTTCTGTTTGTTAGTTTTCCTTCTAACAGACAGGACCCTCAGCTGCAGGTCTGTTGGAATACCCTGCCGTGTGAGGTGTCAGTGTGCCCCTGCTGGGGGGTGCCTCCCAGTTAGGCTGCTAGGGGGTCAGGGGTCAGGGACCCACTTGAGGAGGCAGTCTGCCCGTTCTCAGATCTCCAGCTGCGTGCTAGGAGAACCACTGCTCTCTTCAAAGCTGTCAGACAGGGACATTTAAGTCTGCAGAGGTTACTACTGCTGTCTTTTTGTTTGTCTGTGCCCTGCCCCCAGAGGTGGAGCCTACAGAGGCAGGCAGGCCTCCTTGAGCTGTGGTGGGCTCCACCCAGTTCGCCTTCCCGGCTGCTTTGTTTACCTAAGCAATCCTGGGCAATGGCGGGCGCCCCTCCCCCAGCCTCGCTGCTGCCTTGCAGTTTGATCTCAGACTGCTGTGCTAGCAATCAGTGAGTCTCCGTGGGCGTAGGACCCTCCGAGCCATGTGTGGGATATAATCTCGTGGTGCGCCGTTTTTTAAGCCGGTCGGAAAAGCGCAATATTCGGGTGGGAGTGACCCGATTTTCCAGGTGCGTCCGTCACCCCTTTCTTTGACTCGGAAAGGGAACTCCCTGACCCCTTGCGCTTCCCAAGTGAGGCAATGCCTCGCCCTGCTTCGTCTCGTGCACGGTGCGCGCACCCACTGACCTGCGCCCACTGTCTGGCACTCCCTAGTGAGATGAACCCGGTACCTCAGATGGAAATGCAGAAATCACCCGTCTTCTGCGTCGCTCAGGCTGGGAGCTGTAGACCGGGGCTGTTCCTATTTGGCCATCTTGGCTCCTCCCGACAGATTTTAGGTGATGCATTTTCATATCAAATGGCTTATCCATGAAAGAATGTTCACTGACGAATTCTATTAGGAAACCCTGGAGGCTTCTGCCCCTACCTACATTGGGGCAGTAACACTGATCTTTGGTTAGACACTAAATCTCTTTTACCTAGTTTACCACCATAAAAATAAGACTACTAGTTGCAATTGTTTGAGGCAATAAAAAGATTTAAAATAGTTGTGCCTCCTTTGACTTCCTCAGTGTTAACTGAAGACACAAGTACTACCCTTGCAACAGAAGATAGACTAACATGATTGTACATACCCACAACTGGGACTGGAAAATTTTCTCCTTCACTCACTCACAAGGGACAAGCAGAAGTTTCAAGACAGATTCAGATGATAAAAGCAATACTCTTGGCTGGGCACGGTGGCTCATGCCTGTAATCCCAGCACTTTAGGAGGCCAAGGTAGGCAGACCACCTGAGGTCAGGAGTTCGAGACCAGCCTGACCAACATGGTGAAACCTTGTCCCTATTAAAAATACAAAAATTAGCCAGGTGCGGTGGCGCATCCCTGTAATCCCAGCTACTTGGGAGCCTGAGGCAGGAGAATCACTCAAACCTGGTGGGTGGAGATTACAGTGAGCCGATATCATGCCATTGCACTCCAGCATAGGCGACAGAGCAAAACTCTACCAAAAAAAAACAAAACAAAACAAAAAAAAGCTCTTATTGACAATAAGACTTTTTTTCTTTCTTTTTTGAGTCTCATTTGTAGAAACCTAATTGCATCCAATCATGTTTCCATGCCTTTACCACTGAATTTAAGCCTTAGGTCTCCAGCATAGATGACCCTTTTTTAAAAAAAAAATCAATTTAACTGATAAAATTTGGGTTATCATGTATGAACGCTCAACCTTTTATCACCAAACCTTTGTAAACCATTAATTCTCCTTTCTGTGACAGAAATCTTGGACTTCTTTCTCTTTTTGTTGTATACAAAATGTTTTCAAAAGTGAGGCATATATTTGCTGTCTCTGCTTTTAGTCCTCAGTCCAATCTAACTTTTACTGGATCTGCTTATCATGGAAGTCACCTGTGACCTCTCTAATTCTAAATCATTATACCTTTATTTATCAAACACTTCCATGGTTTATTAAGTACAGGTTACTGTTCCAAGAGCTTTATAAATATTACTTAGTAATAAACATGTAGAAAGAAAGTGAGGTTTGTGTATCACTCGCAAACATTTTTAGTTTGTGTCTAAAATCCGCTGCTGCATTTGGCATCGTTGTATACTACACCTTTGTAAAACTTCTCCTCTCTTGATTGCCATGATGAAATTCTCTCTAGGATTCTGTTTACTCAGCCTTCCTCCTCTTTCTTGGGCTTCTTTTCAAACCTTGATAACTTATTTTTCTACTCTTTTTTTCTTTACATGCTTTACATTAGGTGATCCAAACACAGTGAAGGCTGCAATGCATCTCAACTCTCATTTTCTTTTTATGCCTTCAATTTCACATTTTTCTTTGCTTACTGAATATCTCCATTAGTTCACTGTCCCCCAAAGCTAAGACTTTTAAAAAGAAAGAGTACTACAAAACAGATCTCCCTCAAACTTCCCCATTTGCAGTAAATGTGTCACCACTAATCTCATTGCAAAAGACAGAATAGGCATCTCCCGAATTAGTCCATGGATATTTTGATTCTGTATCTTTAATATCTTTAAAACTTGGACCAAACTTTTCAGCAGTGTATACCATATAGCTGTTTGTTCACTTGCCCCAGTCATTTTGAGAGAAAACTTAATAAAAGATAAATATTTACTTGGTGTAATTTACAGAACTTGAATGTTTTTCCAAAGCTATTTTTAATGTTTGAAAACTGTACATTACTCTATTCCATATAGATTTAGATTTAGAGCCTATTCAATAAATAACAGTGTTTTATCAATAAATCATACTGTTTCTGTATTAAATAGTTAAAGGCTTATAATCACAGGAACAAATAGGAAGAGTAAAGCTCAAGCTAAAATGAGAATCTATTCATATTGTACAATGGTCATTTTAATTATATCTCCATTTAATGAAATATTTAATCTAAAATACAAATGATTTTTATATCATTATGCAGCATTTTACAATGTAGATAATAAAAACAGCTATTAAATTTAAAACAATATTAAGCTAAATAATTTAGAAAGTTGAAAATACTTTTAGGGTCATCATCACAAAAATCATTAAACACATTCTCCAAGAGAGATATAAGTAGAATGTGTATCATGACCATGTTCTGATTGACTTAAAACAGGAACACTGTTTTTTACCAGAAATCAGTTTCTTGATCAGGTGAATTAGATACAGAAATGTTCTTACAAAAAATGTGTTTGTTGTCTACATAATATGAAGAACCATAAAGGAAGTCTTTGTAATATCTCCTCAAAGAACATTATGGATTTTTTTAATGACTAAAAACATAAAAAGACAGATTTTATAAAACATGGACACAACTAGGGTTGAAGTAAAATGGAGTAGGTTTCTTTAAAAAACAAACATTTTATTTTATTATTATAAACATAGTACTTTATCATACTTAAATTTTTAAACTTTGTAAAAGAGCATAAGGAAAATATTAAAAGGTTCCCCCCACATCTATTGTTATTATTAATTCATAGAGGAAATCAGTTTCTGGATTTAATATTTATGTTTAAATTTGTAATCATTAACTTGATTAACTTACTTTTATTATTTGAACAAATTTAGGATTATACTAAACACTCTGTTCTACAATAAAAGTATGAATGATAAAAGTCTTCTCTAACTGCATATAAATTGCCCTTCATATTTTTAGGGTTATATGTTATTTCATCTTATGGTTATCCCATAGTTTATTTGACAATCTTGTATTGATAGATATTTATTCCATTTCAGTTATATTTTCATTCTATTGCCATGAATCCTGCAAAGAATTTACATATGTATACTTCCTATCATTTTTTATAAACCTATAACATGCATTCTGAGGAAGTATAAATTAACCCACTCATATAGTTCTTCTCCAATAATTTCCTACATTTAATTTTTTTTTTGTAAGATGGAATCTCGTTCTGTCATCAGGCTGGAGTGCAGTGGCACGATCTCGGCCCACTGCAACCTCCACCTCCCAGTTTTGAACCATTCTCCCCTCCCGAGTAGCTGGGACTACAGGTGTGTGCCACCACGCCCAGCTAATTTTTGTATTTCTAGTAGAGACGAGGTTTCACTATGTTGGCCAGGATGGTCTCCATCTCTTGACCTTGTGATCTGCCTGTCATGGCCTCCTAGCATGCTGGGATTACAGGTATGAGCCACCACGCCTGGCCCCTATATTTAATTTTATCCATTCAAATTATTTCTAGGCTTCTAAATTAGTGAGAGTTCCTCATAAGTTAATTTATGACAAATACAAAGGATTTCCTATAAGAAATAGTTGTATTTAATACTTGTTCTACTTGTCAACATTTTTTATTATTCTGGGAAATAAAGTGCAGTACATATTATTCTCAGGCTCACATGCAAATAATTTGGTGTTAATCCAAGTCTGAATTAATATAAAACAAAACATCTGTTTTCTTTTAATATAAGCTGAATTTATTCCAGAAATCTTTCTCATTTAATCACCTGAGAGAATATGTTAAGGATCTTTATTAAAAATATAGCTATATTTTCTGGCACAACTGTATATAGTTCAAGTGTGATGGATGGTGCACCCCTTTTGTGATGTTGTTTTAATGCTGGAGTTTATGTTTTTGAAAAACAATGTAGTGACAAAGTTTATAGAAGGGTATACGGAAGTGCCTTTTCCATTTTTTTTCCTTTCTGACCGGACCTGGTTCTTTAAGACTACATGAATGACAATTAGAAATCTTCAAATGAATTAAGTTTATATTCATATGCCAACCTAAAAAGTGGTGGAAAAACAAAGCTAAGGTGACACCATCCCTTCTCATCCCTTCTTTTTCATATCAATTAAGGAACAACATGGAGTTTTCTTTTTCTGTGCCAATCATTTATCCCTGTCCTTTCGGTGCTTATCCGCATTCTTTTACACGGCTACTGAATTCTGATGAGGATGCAATGTCCACTCCAATCTGTTCAGCCTTCAGGTAATTACTTTGTGTACTTAAACTCTCATTCTGTTGAAATAAGATAAATAAAATGCCAGGATGCACAGTGGCCATTTGAGCAGCAACCAGAGGTAATTGTCAGTCTTAACCTTTGCCAACCCAATTGATGTTGTTTGATAATGTAGTTGTCAAGGACATTTCTCCAGTGGCATTCTGGCCGGGATAGGCATTGTGTTTTTAAGGATATAAGTTCTGACATTACAATACCTTTTTTATAATTAATTCTGAATTATACAGATTCCCAGTTGGAGAGTTCTGAATAGCAAATAAGACACGATAGATAATAAACGCTTTAGATCAGATAGAAATTACTAAAGTAGTAGTGATATCAAAGAGCAATTTAATGTAAGTGTGCTGTAAGAAAATAATTAAAAGTAGCTGTAAATTAAATGTTAAGAAAATAGGTGGCCAAGTTGAAAGAATGAGATTACAGAAAGAATTAATTACTTATTTTGATTAACCGATAAGCTCGGTAGGCGCACACACACAGAGCCTCACCTATACACATGGTTTTCTTTTTCTTTTTATTTTTCCTCTGCTAGTAAGGCAATGCAGAAAATAAGTTGTTTTCAACTGCTTTTCTGTAAAGTAAAATGTGGAGATGTTCTAGACCACTTTCTAAAAACAAAAATTAAACGCGACTGTGGATTCACCTAATGCTGCCTTCCTTCTATATTGTGTAATTCAAAGCCCAGGCTGTTAATCAACCTTGTGCCATAATGAGATCAGTTTCCTACATCTTGCAAAGAGAACATCAATACTGCACACTCCCATGCTGTTTAATGTGTCTGCTGCTTTCACTGGTCACCCACTGAAATTGGGCTTATAATAAAACCCACTCTATCTATAAAGTAATGTACAAGTATATAATGTACAAGAAAATAATTAAAAGTAGCTGTAAATTAAATGTTGAAATAAGATAAATAAAATGCCGGGATGCACATGTATATCTCATTTAATTGATAATCTGGCAATCTCTAAAATAATTTATGTTAAAAATGAAGATATTGAGCATGTAAGTCAGATGTTCCTGGGATTATATTTGTAAGTCTCAGGACCAGACATAAACTAGGGATTCTCTCTTCACAGATGATAACTTTGCCCCTGCCACAGGACCTGCACACATGTGTAGCCAGCACTCTAGCGTGCAATCCTTTCAACAATTGAAAAATAATACATAAATGATCTGATGTTGGTACTATTGATCTTAGTGTAAATATGCTACCAGGATCTTCTTCCTTTTCTACCCCTCCCAGGGCTATGCTCTCACTCTGTAACTGGAGACTATGTAAATAAATTGGCTAGGTTTCAAAGAAGTTTGACACGGGTAAACTATAGATGATTTTCTAATAATGTATCATCCAGAACCACCTCTCTGAAGAACCTTTTAATATTCGTATGGTGACCCTGTCTTTGTAGAAAGTCAAGTAAAATTAAAAATTACAAAAGAGCAAGTCTTGATTCAGTTTTCATAATAGTGCCCTTGAGAAAGTTATCCTGCTTCTTTCACTTTCTAAAAATGCAGAAGAAATCATACTATTTCAGTTAAGTTCTCTCCATTGGATTCCCATTTTGACTTCCTATTTTATCAATGGAAACATTATTCTCCCATTTTACTCGTCTGAAGAACTTAATAATCTTGAACCTTTAATATCTCATTCTCCTACACAACATGGTAAGAGACCATGACTCTCCATCATCTACCTGAAAAAATCCAAATACTTAGTCTGTTACTACTACTTTTGTGATCCTGGACAAGTCAAACTCTGGGATTCAATATCATCCATTGTAAGTTGGGGATAATAAAAGTGCCCATCTCATATGGCTCTTGTAAATATAAAATTCATAATTATTTCTCATATATACAGCCTTTCAAAGAGTGTCTGGTATATATTAAGCAGCACATAAGATTTAACAATCTTAGCTAAGAGCATAAAACCCTCTGCAAACTGCGTTTCTAAATTCTACCCATTTCCAGCCACTGCATTCACTGTTTCCCAATTGCCAAACTGATATTGTCAATATTTTCTAAATGATGTCATCACAAATTTGTTGCCACATTTTTCCCTAAAACTATGTCCTCTATTTATGATGTGCTTTTCTATACTTTGGCATGATGGAAATTTTAGGTCCTAGTCATCAGACACTTACAACACAGTTCACATTTTTCACCTTTTCAAAAGTATTTTTTGACCTTTTATTACAGGGTTACAGGATAATCACTCCAGATATGAATTTATAGGACTCATCATGTAACTTATACAGTTTTTATAAATATTGTATAAATGCATCAGGGTAAAATGATATGAAGAGCTTGGTCCAGTGGCTGGTAAACAGTAAGAATTCAATAAATGTCAAATATCATATATAAATAATATATAAATATGATGTATAGTAGTATTATTTTTAAATTATTTACATCACCCCCTTGGCTACAATGTATTGTTTTATGACAAATTCTCTTTTTCTGCATTGCCTTTTAAAAATATATGAATACATATCTTTTATACCCATGTTTATGTTGTTTTCCCAATTCAACTGTACATTATTTTTATTAGATAAATATTATTGAATCTTCATAATTCAGCAAATAGATGCCAAATTATGATAAAATGCCAAAATGGCACCTCTCCCCTCAGAATTCACTTTAAAATATAATTTATGTCCTAAATATAATAACATGTAGTTTCAAAATGAATATTAAAGCCACAGAATTTTGTAAGAGATGCTTTTTCAGAGAAAATGAACAGCCTTTGGATCCCTAAGACAAAAATGAAAGAATTATCATTCAAAGCATATCAGCCATATGTTCATTATACCCTGTCAATGACTTGCAACAACGATGTGATTAGGGTGGCAGTGGCTGGAATGTGACCAGGCTTATTCTGGTGGCATTGGAACCATCAATTCTTGGGTAATGGTATGCTTGGCCTTGGTCCTCTTTGCAATCAGATCAGTTGGATGAAACAGAACATCGAGGCTGAGTTTTAAATGATCAATAAAAGATTCAGAGGGAAAAATATTAAAGGAGGACATGACTACCTGAATGTAAGTGTGTGTGGGATGTGAGAAGCATGCCTGTGTATGCTTCTTCTCCAACTCATAGATTTGAATAGACATATACAAGATCCTCACATAACCTTTTTTAAATATCAAACATATGGGAATCCCAAAATTGGTAAAATCTCTCTAACTTTTTTTATCCTTGATTTTTAAAAAGTTTCATAGAAGGAACTTTAGATGAAAGATTATATTTTTGAAGCCTTTTCACTCCCATAAATGCTGGCCAATGGCCCTGGGCCCAGCTCTCATTGAAATGCATGACCACTCGTTGGCCATGTACCTCCCTTTATTCAACAGTTTCAATTAATTACAAAAACCATTAAGAGAGAGCTGGGTTATACTGCAACCAACAAATACATCCATGCATTTTTTTTTTTACTATTTTTAATGCATAAGGACGACATTTGTTAAGTTTTAATATTTGAACTCCCTCTCAGAGTAAAAATACTAAGTCAGCATTGGTTTGTTATGATTTGTTTCTGTCATTTTCTTTCTTCAGATTACTGGTAAATATCCAATAATTTTATCTTTCATAGTACCTCTTTCCACATGTAAAGGGAAGATACATATTCTTAGCTATTAAAAAATAATAGCCTTAATATGCATTTGTTTTCTAGCCACTCTGTCTGGAATACACATGAAATAATTTATGTTACATGTAAACTATAAATGGGTCTGTAAAATTTAATTTTTTCAATATTTTTCAGAATCAGTGGTGATATAATAAAAATATTAGCAACAAAGAATGCTGTAAAGAAATGTCAGGTGTGTATTAAGAACACTGCTTACGCTGTGTAAAATATAGCTTAAATCCTCTATCAAAGTTAGAGATAAAAGAAGAGAAAGAGACAGGAAGAAAGCCCTCATGAGTGAAATTAAAGATAAGGCAAATACAATTACCTCTAGGTTATTCGAAGTGATAAAGAAAAGTGGAGGCATAAATACATTTTAAGAGTAAATAATAAAAAAACTTTTCTAATCATTTTTATTTGTATTCAAAATACATACAAGGATTTTTTTACATACGTACATTTACAATTATATTTTGCCCAGCCATATTAAATTGATATATGAATTGCTTATAGTAACCTATAATTATTTTGGTTAATAAAAAATTATTTAATATAAAATATGGTTCATATTAAACTATCTATAGCCAACTCAGCTTTGACTGCACTGTTCAAAGTTCAGAAGAAAGTAAAGGTTTTGAAGTACATGGGAAAATACAATATTTTATGAAGTACATAGGGCAACAATAAGGCATTCTATATATTTGAAGTGAAAGTCGTCTAAGTATTTAATTTGAGGAAATGAAAAGAATGAGTTTAGTATCTCTAGAAGTGGCTGAGTGTGGTAGCTCATGCCTGTAATCCCAGCACTTTGGGAGGCAAAGGCAGGTGATCACTTGAGGTCAGGAGTTCAAGACCACCCTGGCCAACATGGTGAGACCCCCGTCTCTGCTAAAAATACAAAAAATTAGCCGGATGTGGTGGCCTGCGCCTGTAATCCCAGCTACTTGGGAGGCTGAGGTGGGAGAATTGCTTGGTGGAGGTGGAGGTTGCAGTGAGCCAAGATAGCGCCGCTGCACTCCAGCCTGGGCAACAGAGTGAGACTCCATCTCAAAAATAATAATAATAATAATCTCCAGAAGTAATATTTTCCATTAAATTATATGTTAATGTCAGAAACGGAGCAGGTCAAAACGCCCATGCTGATCAGTAGTGAGATCATTCCTGTGAATAGCCAATGCACTCCAGCCTGGGCAACATAGAGAGACTCTGTCTCAAAAAAAAAAACAAATTATATATTAATGTGTATCTGAGTGAACCTACTATTCCTTTAAGTGACCAGGGTTTACCCCTTAGTAAGTGTAAGTCAGCATGAAGCCTGAAAAAAGGAGACCTAAATTCATCACTAAGTTTCCTACACTGTCCAAGAGCAAATTTGGTATTCTTAATTGCTGTATTCTAAACCACAATTGGTCATTAAAAGATTACAGCATTAGATTTTGTGATCATCTACTAAACTTCACTTTCTCTGAATGCATATCACTGAAGACCAAGTTAGAATAAAATTTGGCCTCTCTATATTGAGAGATAGATTGCAAAAACCGTCATCAATCTTGGGCATAGAATGCACCCTTAAAACAAGGTATTGTCATATTTTACTGGAATTGGTTGTTTATGAGGGTATCTCTCTGCTAAACTCTTAAGTGTTTGAAGTGGAGACTATTTCATTGTTCTCTCTGTATCCTCTCAAACTAGTAGGGGCCATGGTAACGAGGATCACTTCATATGTGCTTGTTGAATTAATCCCTTAATTTCTTGTTTCGTTTTCAGAATTAAAATATTTCATTTGTTGCATGCACTACAACATTCTTATTCTGTATAAATCAATCAAGTCCCAAGTGTAATTTTTTTACATCATCAGAATTATATATCCAAGGCTTAAGATCTCCATATGATTTTCTATAATATGTCACCTTTTACTTTACCTCACCTTCTTTTTTAATTAAGAGTATATTTAATCACAATCTACTCACAGAAAGTGCTCGCCTAACAGTTATTTAATGTTGAAGCTTGTATATTCTTAAAACTGGAACTTGGAATGGGTACAGTATGAGCAGATGTTTATTAAAGTTCCAGAATAGGATAGACACTTAAAGATATTGAGTGATTCAGTGCACTGGTTCTGCAAGCTGCTGTCAGAAAAGCTAAAAGGCTCTATGGCCTTTCTGTGTATTGCTGTTTCCAGCAATAAAATTTGCATTTTAATCTGCAGGGATGTTCATATCTTTCCGCCAGCTAGTATCAGCATCCTGTCCAGAATCATCAAACTAGAAGCATGATGGCCTTGACAAATATTTTCATTTCACTTAACAAATATTTCTTCCATTACTGAAAAGTTAACGCCTCCATAAGCAGAACTTATATTACTTTGGAGGGGTCTAAAACTTCATTTAAACAAACAAAAGTGATTTCACAAGGAATTATATTGCCATGACAAATCAACAGTTTGAATAAGGGAATAGTCATAGGAGTTTCTGTAGCATCTGGAGTGCATAGAATTCAAAGTGCTCAAAGGGGAAAACATTGCCCTTAGTTATGCTTGCTCACTTTAGTGGAAATTACACATGCATATCAGAGTAGAAGCAGTTCCTGTTCAACTTACTGAAAATTCTAATTAGAGAGATCCATACAGTGCTCATCCAATTATACTTACAGACTGGCTGAAACCACTTATATAAGCAGGAATATAAATGAACACGGGTTGCCCAAAAATATATACAAAAATATTCACAGGATTAAATTTAGAAGAAAGACCGGCTATTAAATCACTAATACTTTCAGTTTCTAGAGGACCATTTTTAAAAGAGATAAAAAGAAGAACAAATTAGGTTCTCTTCTTTACTTTCTCAAGCCAGTTAATGAATGCTTTCCCAACAGTATTCCCAAAGATGCTTGGCGAAACATCCCCAAGGAAACTCTTCTACATCCTAAAACTTTTTACCATTTGTTGAAGGTATCATTTTACTTTCTAATAGAGAAAAAAAGAAGGATGAATTGCACAAAATGTGTGCAAAACTTGAAACTTACAGTGCAGTGTAGTATTATATGAATAAAATATGATCCCATTAGTTCTCTTATCACAGGCCTTGTTTCTTTTCCTGCAGTTCTGAAATTCTTCATCTATTTCTGACTTTCCCTCCTCTCATTCTGTGATAGTACATGCTTATAATCCTAGACTGTAGCAGAGAAGGAATATAACTATTTCAGAGCCCAAATCTGAAGATAGTACAGGGGTAATTGGTTATTAATATTTTTGGCTATGCCTATAATTATCTCCATAATAGTTATCCGTAAAGTCAGTACCTGTGTTAGTTAGTTGGAAAGCAAAACAAGATGAGTGTTTGCCATTCTGGCTTTGGCTGCATTTCCCCACCTTGCAGCTCCAAACCACTGACAGAAGGCGACACCCTTATGTTATCCCAGGTAGCCTCACTTCGCACTGCTTGCTTGATAGTACCTAGTCAGGCTGGTAAAATGGAAGCAAAGGCTAATGATTCGCCCTGTTATGATTTATATAAATGCTCCATTTTCTGCACTTTAATTTCTTGTATGCTTTTATAAATCAACTGAGATATATTTATTTCTATGCTATATGAAATAAAGCCCTTGAAGCTAGAATCATACATTTATTCACTGTTGTTTACCTTACAAAACTTAACTCATAGCCTACATAGGCAGGAAATGCTCACTGAATTTTCGCTAAGTTAAAGAAAACATAAGTTACTTGAAGTTACTACTTACATATGACTAGAAATATTTATGTTTTACATTGCACATACTTTTCTCTATTAAATTTTATGGGGTTTGACAATTCATGAAGGTCTTGGGATCAAGACAAGAATAGCATTTTGGTATGCTTTCTATAGAAAAATAATATTCAAACCCTATCACTTTAATGTGGAACTAATTACCCAGAAGACAACACATTGTATTCAAGGAGTGTCTATATTTTTTTCCATTAACAGTTCTCCAGCACTTTAAGATATGAGTATTATAAGTCATATTTTGCATAGTCTTGCAAGGAATCATCTGTCTATAGGATTTGTAGTGGCTATTTCATAGAATGTTGCCAATTGATTAATAATCAGTTAGGAACCTTACTTGGACCTTATTTTTCTATTAAGTAATGCTGTCTCTCATGGTTTTCTTTGACTTATATTTTCTCAAAGCCTCACTTAAAATATAAATCCTCATTATTAAAAATACTGCCAGGTTGTGACTTTCACCATCAATTTTTGTAAACAAGCCAGAGCTTGGCTGTCTTGTTGACATAAGGGTTTCATTTGTTTTAATATCTCATACTTGTGATCACACTGCCTCATCTTTTCACACAGACAACTCTTGAATGCGCCACCGTTATCACTTCTCTACCTTTGCTGTCAATGTGTTCTTTAGTTTGGTGTTACTTGTTTACATATACTTTTATAAATGAGTACTGTTTCAGCAACATCAAACTATCTTCTGGGATACATTGTTACTGTATTTAAATAAGATCAATGACAGAAATGGAGATACATGAATTTTGGTACTTGAAATAAAGCCATTCCCCAATACTAAATTTATTGTTATTATATGGGTAATATAAAAAGTTGCTATTTAGTGTCAAATACATACAGCATAAGTATATACGTACTTAATATTCCTCACATTCTTCTCAGGGGGATTTCTACCTGTCAGATTGTCACATCAAAATGCTTCATCCTTCCTCTCATCTGAAGTCACACTGAATTCCTGACCAATATCTCCTCAACCAATCTGTCAGTTATGGTCTTGACTGCAGGTCCACTCTGCTCTTCCTTTTCTGTTCCAGCTCCCGTTTTTGTTTTGTTTTGTTATATCATGAAGATGTTTCTCTGGCCCTTGTGAAGAGAATACTTTTTCCATGGTTTTAAATAATACAGTAATTCCTTGATACTGCTATAGCTTCACTTCTGTGGGGTCCTAGAGAGTAATGAGTTCCACGCACAACTGGAGAGAAAAGGATTCTTCATAATTCCGCGAAGGCCTCGTTATTTAGCCCAGATTGTTGCAAAAAGTAACTGCCTGCTAATTCTTTATTAGCATGGCCTCAGATCAAAATCAAGTGATTCTGTGGGGGAACAAAGGCCATCCCTTACTGTCCAGCTCTCCAACCTTCTTAAACACTTTCATGTCTTTTTTTCCCCAGAAATTATGTTTGCTACAGGAATTTCATAATTAATTAAATAATCCATACATAAAAATAAGGACATATGATTGTGATTATGAGGATGTGCCTACTTTGGCAAATGCTACATCATCTAAAACAGTGGACACTAGCTGCGTAATGTTATTGAACTTGAAATATGCCTTGTCCAGATAGAGGTGTGCTGCGTGAAATAAATCGTGGAATTAGACGTCCTTGTACAAAAAAAAGTCATAAAATTTATAACATTTTATATTGCTTACATTTTAAAGGCATATATGTTAGATATATTGGGTTAAAGAAAATGTATTATTAATGTTAGTATCATCTGCTTTATTTTACGTTTTTTTCATATGGATACTAGAAAGCTTGAAACTGCATATTGAGCTCACGTATGTGGCTCACATTATTTTTTCTGTTGGACTATGCTGATATGGGGAATAATACCAAAGTAAAATTTATGGTTACACTATTTTTTGGTAATAGTAAAATTTTTCAATAATAGTGTTAATTTTCTAATAATTCAATGTAAAAGAGTGACTGAAAATATTCTAATTCTCCATATGATATATCACATAATAGCACTTAATTCCTACATGTTATTCATTTAAAATTTGTTATAAGAATGTCATAACCCAATTATTTAATAATTTTTAGAATAAAATTATTCTCAAAATGGCTACCCTCATATTTGATATAGTCAAATATTAGTGTCTTGTTCTTCCAAGTTACTGAATTCCTATTGCAATCTATTGGTAATACAGATAATTAGCAAAATGTTTAGCCTCATTCGGGATATAAAATAAAATATATTTTTCAGCAGGACTTTTTTTATTCTATTTTAAATTGAATTGTTCTGTACAAATATTAAATTAAATCTACTAAGAATTTTCCAGATAAAACTATGTGTGATGTTCTTTCCTCTGACATGCACCTTGGCTTTCCTGATCACTTATGATAAATGTCTGTAGTGCTCTTCAAGTTCTACCATAAAATATACATTTCTAAATTTTAGTCTACAAGAAGCAAAAGAGGCACCACATTTGACAAAATTTATATGGCAAAATATAAATATGATAAATCTTTATTTGTTAAAAATTGTAGGCCGGGAGCAGTGGCTCACGCCTGTAATTCCAGCACTTTGGGAGGCCGAGGCAGGCGGATCAAGAGGTCAGAAGATCGAGACCATCCTGGCTAACACAGCGAAACCCCGTCTTTAGTAAAAATACAAAAAAAAAAAAAATTAGCCGGGTGTGGTGGCGGGCGCCTGTGGTCCCAGCTACCTGGGAGGCTGAGGCAGGAGAATGGCGTGAACCCGGGAGGTGGAGCTTGCAGTGAGCCGAGATCGCGCCACTGCACTCTAGCCCGGACGACAGAGCGAGACTCCGTTTAAAAAAAAAAAAAAAAAAAGAAAAAAAAATTGTAAAACATTTTTATAAGACATAAATAGGTGGATTGAGTATAACTGCTAAGGTTTAGTTAAATCCACTTGGAAGTGAAGTGGCCAATGGCTGAGGCTCCATTTAATTCAATTATCTTTTACAGAGCATTAGCTGCTACATCGTGCAGAAATGCTTGTGATTGGCGAAACCTACCTTTCCTGCAAGGAGGTGATGATAATATGGTTTTCTGACTTTACCTTTGAGAAGATGATGAGATACATAATGTGAAAAATACAAAACATAAAGGTAAGTAGTCAAAAATGTTGTATGGCTACAAATAAGACAAATGGTCACTATGATAGGTATTTGAAAATTTATATTTTTTCCATAATTCCTTTCTCTATGACTGCTTCTCATTAGTAACTTTACATTTCTGGTTGCAATGGATTCTTTCACTCTGGTTCCACTGGTATATAAGAGAAAAGCTAAACCATTATCCATATGACAGTCTTGATATTCAAGAACAGTAAACAGTGTTGATTCTGTTAAATAACTCATTATTAACCAAAATTTAGGGCATTTCTTTACAAAACTCTACTCCTTACGGTAAAAATATATGTAAAATTGAAATTCATTGTGCATGTCATTTGTTTAACTTGGAATAATTTTTAGGATACATAAACTGAGTAATATCTTCAGTGGTATACACACTTTCTTATAAAAATTATGAGAAGTATAAAAATATAAGAAAACGAGGATTCCTTTGAATGTGTCTGAATTATTTATTCAAAAGTGTCTTCATGAATTGTTTCTGCTGCCTGTTTATGGTTTCTTTCATGGTGTCAAAGCATTTTGAAAAGCTTTAACAGCATTATAGACAGATGGCAAGCGTAAGGGAAATGGAAGTTGGGTCTAAGATATATTATGAAACTCTAGCAGTAAGTTTCAGATTATTGCTTCCAATATATAAATTAAGTTTTCATAACAGTGGTAGCAACGGTAAA
Source organism: Homo sapiens (assembly GCF_000001405.40). NCBI lineage: Eukaryota > Metazoa > Chordata > Mammalia > Primates > Hominidae > Homo > Homo sapiens. The sequence goes on along the minus strand of NC_000004.12, from coordinate 160,558,699 downwards.
CATAATTCCTATTTTTTACACATATATAGGAACAAATATGATACATTCTTTCATAAAACAGCTAACATTTTTTCATCTATATGACATCAATTTATAGAACTTTTTTAACATTGTATCTGTGAAAAGTATTACAAACGACTTACTGAAAGCAGTGTCTTCTGTAATTTATGGTGGTGTTTAGTTATATAAATATTTCTTTTTATATATGTTGCCCTTGTTACTTCTCATAAACAAAATTTATAAATGTGTATTTTATTATAGAAATGATCACCAAATGATATTGTTATTTAAATTTATCTTTAATACATTTAAAAATTGTTATGTTAAAAAGACATCATATTTACCATTCTGGGCAGGAATAAATGTTTTACTAAGTGATCTCAACCGCCTATAGATTGTAATTAGAAATTCAATGACTTAGAGGAACAAAATGCTGAAACTGAATTATATCAAGCACATAGGAAATTAATTTGAGAATAATATTAATTCAGCATATAATTAAATAATTGGACTCTGATACTCATTATAATTCTAGCAATTATTTTAAGGAATTTAGTGTAAAAAATGAATGTGTTTTGTGGGATGTCATGTGAGGAATATGAAAACTCTGAAAACTCTTCAGTCACGCTTGGGAATTGGATTATCCAAGATATTAGAAAGAAAATTAACACCATTATTAAAAATAAGAATATTAATAAAAGAGACAGCTATACATTTTAGTTCAGTATTATTTTCTATATCAACACTATCAAATAGGAATATAATGTGAGCCATAAATGAGAACTACATATATAATATTAAATTTTCTGGCAGCTACATTAAAAAGAAAGTTAAAAGAAAGTCATTAAAATGAATTACTTTTGATGACTTTATTTAATTCAATATATCTACATATTTTCATTTTAACAGGCAATCGATATATTAAATACATATATGGGATTTTCCTGCATACTGATTCTTTAATGCTGGGCTATAGTTTACATTTAAAGCACATCTCAGTTTGAACTGGCTGTATTTCAAGTGTTCAGAAGCATCTTCTTGCCAGTGACTAATATATTGAACAGCAGAAGTTTATACTTTAGATATCTCAATGAATACAGTATCTAATGTTCAGCATATAAATGCTTTCATTTTAATCTACCCTACAAATTCACTCCAGATTTTGCCTTTGTAACCCAGTGGAGGCCTGAGAGATTAATCCTCAACAGAAGCAATCATGATAAAAATCTCAGGAGCACTTTCTTTCAGCTGGTCAATTGTTAACCAATTGTACAATAATTGTTAACCAGTAGTAAGTAGATAATGCAAAGCACTGTGTTGGACACTAGGAGTAAAAGGGCCTTATTATTATCAGCTCAGATAGGACATAAATAAATATGTCTAATACACTGAAAAATGCTGCAGTGTTAAATATAGAATATGAAGTAAACACAAAAAAAGAATGAAGACTTGGATCAGATAATTCCTTATAAAGAACCCCATATTTGAAATGGTTCTCCAAAGTTAAATATTTTAGTAGCCCTGATCTAAGTCATTTTCATCCAATCTTGGGCTACTAAGCATACATAGAAAAAGTAACATGCCATTAAATATGGTACCAATTTATTTAAAATGCAGTTTGCAATCTCAAAAAGATGCTCAATGATACAGCAAATCCATTCATGTTTCTGCAACCGGTACCCTATTGTCCACACAATCTTTCAAACCTTCAAGTTCCTGAACATCCAGTTGATCTATTCATTTTTCACTAAGAACAACAGTTCTTTCTTTCTTCTTTAGTGAGAAAATAGAGCTATGGCCAGGAGCTACTTCACACAAATCTACAGTATTTTTGTAACATAAACTCATCTATTTTATTTTTTCCCCTTTTACTGTTGAAAATATGTGCCTTTTCCTGTTCAAATCTCAGTTCCCCAATTTTGCTGTTCTGGAAATTTTAGCTACTCACCTATTCTAGGATCATGTTCTAACAATTGTACATTTTTTACTCAGTCTCTGTTCTGTCAATGTCTTCTCCCCTTTTCTATCTTGTCCTCATCTACATTTAAAAATATTCATATTTGTCACCTCTTAAAAACAAATGAATAAACACAAACAATAAAAAAATTGCCTTGGTTCCACACTCTTTTTCTGCATCCAACATTTTTAACAACTAATAATTTTAAAACTATTTTAATCTTCATAATTTTCAATTTTCACTCTCCTGTTACACTACAATGTTCGCCATAGTCTCTTCTGCCTTGTTACTCGTTATATGATGTTCTTGCTAATGTCACAAATTACTTCTGTTTTTCTATACTCATGGAGACCATTCACTATCTATCTTCATCATCCTTATTTCTGGAAGCCATATGTAACTTGTTATCTTTTCCCCAAATTGCTCATTCTCCTATATTCTCAAATTTACTTGATAGAATCACAATTTAGCCAGTTGTTTGAAATCAGAAAACCTTTTGTACCCTTGACTTTTTGCTGTCCTTTTTGATCGACATTCATTACCCTTCATTTCTCATTATTAACTGCATGCTTTTCTTTCTGCCTCTGATATATCTACCATTGTTATTCAGCTCATTTATTTACAATGCCACTTTTCTGATTTAGGCCGAGAGAATCAGACTAGGAACTTAAAAATAGCTGTAATGTGGAATATGCACTGGAGGCACCCAGCATTATAGGTAAGTTCAGTTTCTATTGAACAATCCAAGAGAGAGATGACAATGTAATTTCCACCTGGGAAACGGAAACTTTCCGGAAATGTGTTACATGGTTATTCTTAGCTAGAAGGTGACTGAGGACAAGGAGGCAGTAAAAATGGGTAAATCATCCCATAAAAAGTGTCTCCAACAGTTTGTGTGTGTGTGGCTGTGTGTTTGTGATTGTGTATAGTTGTATGTAAAAGAGTAGGGGCAGCATCAAGACATGAGGAATAAATGAGCAGAGGTCTGGAGGTCTACCTCACACAATTAAATGGTAATCTTACTGTTATATCTTTTATATCTCTAATTACAATACCAACTTATAGACATTAAAAAATCTAGTCTATGTTTCATCCTCAAAGACTGAAAAAAATCTGGTGCCAAAATGATAGATAAATAGATAAGTAGATAGGTAGTTAGATATATGGATAGAGACAGACTGTCCATGTCTGTTTGTAAGGACTACTTCTGTCTACTTTTACCATCCTCTTTCTAATTGATTTTTGGACTATGTTCTCCTCTTTCATAAAGGCTCCAGAGCTTACACATGATCTACTACACCCTGCTCTTTGGTAACATTTTTCAAAATATAAAAATAATAATGATGATTAGAATACTGATTATAATGACTATAGTATCAGAGTTGTTAAATTCCTATGTTCCAGTATACATTGCAGGTTATACAGCATCCATAGTTTTCAGTGTAAGATTCCATTATTTCTATATATTAACAAATATATAAAATCTAAAAATGTATCATTTCAGAAGTACACATTAAAATTGTGTATCAAGAAAGTGTGCATTATCTTATAATTTCAGAATTTTCAAAGGGAAAAAGATAATAAATTGTGTATTACAAGGATATCTTTTTTTCTAGCATAAAGACTTCCTTATGTGAAAAATTAACATGATGGTATCAAAAGTAACATAATGAATTCTATTTTGGAATATTTATCTCTGTATAATGACTCTGGAGATCTCAGAAGTATCAAGCAAAGATAGTATTGTTTGAAGATGAAGGAATCAAAAAAATAATATTTGGAATTAGATTATAAGTAATTCATCATTATTACTCATGGAGTAGAGTTAAAAGAACACTTTTAGCAACTGGAAGAGTAGTAAAAAATATTATCCAGATTGGATTGTGACACAAATGACAAATTTACATCTAAGAATAACAATAAAATTACATACCATTTTACTTTAAATAGTATGGCTGAATAAATATTTTTCACTTACATGAAATTTATGTTTCGTCTACTTTGCTGATAATAATTTATATGACAATGATAATCATGTTGACGTTTATATTTTATAGTTACACTTCTATTTAACTTTCTATAAGAAGTTATTTAGAAGTTATTTTCAAAACACACTTAATATTTAGTAAATGTCAAACTTTCAAATTACACATGGTGATTAATACTTGTAATTAAATATTGATATTGCTACTTTGCTCTGACAATGTAATAGTTAAGTAATATAATGATTACTGAATTGGAAAAGAGAAAAGATTAAAAAAACAAGAAAGGGAAAGAAATGGATTTATATAGTATTCTATATTTTTATATTATTTTAAAATGTAAAAAACACTTTTAAAAATAATTTTATTGATAATACCCTTAAAACCAAATTATTCAATATCCAATACACATCAGCAACCTTCTGGCAGGGTCATGTATTAAACCTCCATATCACTGGAAATACATGTATTAAAAGACCTCAAGACCTGAATTTCTCCTGTCAGATTGACAATTATTTTTCTTCAAACCCTCTCATTGTTTTATTCCCAATGCATGTTTATTTAAAATGTTCTTATTTCTTGTTCTACATATGTTTCTAGAGTCAAGATATAAACAACACTTCGCTTACCTGCGATATAGACAGGAGACAGGGAAATACTAGGTAGAAAATGGTGAGGTCTCTCGTGAGGGCTCCACCCTCAAGCCTGGACCATGGCTGTAAATAAGAACATGCATTTCTGTTTTCCCACCTGAATGTTACCTTTTCCAAAGCCACCCTGGCCTGCCCTGCCCCCTACTCTGTACCCATAAAAACCCCAAGCTCCACTGGCAGAAGTGCAGAGCGAGAGGCAGAGAAGGAGAGAAGAGAAGCAGCTCGATGTTAGAGAAAAGCAGCTTGACTTCAGAGGGATGGCTTGACCGCGGGACTTCTGAGAAGAGTTCGGCCAGGGGCAGATGAACTCCAGGGGAAGATTATCTTCCCACTCCATCTGCCTTCTAGCTCCCCTTCCCACTGAGAGCCACTTCCACTGCTTAGTAAAATCCTCCGCATTTACCACCCTCCAATTGATTTGCAGACATCATTACTCCTGGACACCGGACAAAGAGCCGGGTGTGGGCGCAAGAGGCTGTCACACTGACTCTGCACTGAGCTGTTTAACACTTAAGCCATCCACAGATGACAAAGCTAAAGGAGCACACTGTAACACATGCCCTCTGGGGCTCCAGAGGTCACAGGCAACCCCTAGACGCTGTCGTGGGAAAGTATGGGGTTTGTTTCTGCCGGCGCCCAAAGGCCCTTGCCCTGGCTCCTGCACCCACTCACTCACCTGTGTGATCCCCCCACTCTCAAGGGGTTTGAGCACTGTGGACTGAGTAAGCAAGCTACCCATTTACAAGTTCTGTGAAGGGGTCAAGGGAACTATCTCATCTCACTTGCATCTGTACTGAATGAAAGTCAGGTATTTTAATAATTTGTCTTAAAATTAAATATAGAGGAGAGGAAACAGCGATGAGAATGAATCCTGCTACCAATCTACCCAACAACTATTATGAAATCCAAATGGACAACAGTATACTCCCTAAGAATAGGCTACATAAATGTCAAATAGGATTTTTAAAGTCAAATATGTTTATTATTTTTTCTAAATGATTGGTGATAGACTCTCCAGGAATACATAATACACGCTCTAAACACTGATTATGAGCTAAAATACTTCACTAGCTTTAATTTCTTCAAACTGTGACAGCATAAAGCAATAAGCATGCTAAACAATATCATCAACATTAACATTATTATAAACACCACCACCAGCATATTGAAGATGGCAGATGATGAAAGTGTCTGGTCCTTGATTTATAGTTGAACTCCTGCCCTCACATTTGCCTGCCTACTTCTGTATATTTTTTGTGAGATAATTTTCTGTCTACTAAACCACTATTATTTTGATATGTGCAAAAATACAAAATGTAGCCTAAGGATTTTTTAAGTAAGTCCTTTACATTTTTATTTTTTATTTGTTTGCATTATAAATTCCCCACTAGAATGGAGACTGAAGAAGGGCAGAGAAAAGCACTATTTGGTTTATCGTTACATCCCTGGTGCATACAACAGTGCCTAGAATGTGTGAGGCACTCAATAAACCTTAATATTGTTCATTACTTAACAATATATTGTAACTCTATAATAAGAAATTTGAAAATATAAAATAATTAGAATATTTCTTGTAAAGCATCAATTATCAACATTTTCCCAGGAAGTATGAACTTAAATAGATGAATTAGTATAGAAGAAACTATTTTAAGAGTTTAAATATTTACTAATACTCAAATAAAAACTTCTAATTCCAGCAGCCTGTTAACTTGACAGCCAGAAACACTTCCCATGGCAAATACGTAGAAATATTACATACAATTTTAATATTTTTTAAATGCATAGCTTCAAATCAAGTTAGAGTAGATTAAAACCTTTGGTGTCAGGAGTATAGAAAAACATAAACCAGTTCAGTTAGCAGATAGGAGGATGCACTGGCTAATCTAGAATGATATAAAGAATACCATTCTAGTCACCAAAGGGCCTGAGTTTTAACACGTGTTGGAGGAAGGATATGAGATTTGAGCCCATGGGAGCTGAAGGTTGATCTTAGAGCCTCATGTGATGAAGGAATCCTCAAAGGGCTTACGAATTATTAAAAAAGTGAACTATCAAAAAAATAATAACCCACTAACAAGCAGAAGAAGAAGGCAAAGAAGCCTTTCTATTACTACCTGGTTTTTAGGTTAAAAATATCTGTCTAGATAATTTGTAACCATGTAACTATTCATGGCTTTGAAGTTGAAATGTATGCCCTACTTATTGCTAACTCAGAATGCCTAACTTGAAAAATTATCTTAAATACCAGGTCCTGAATATTGACATTTTATAAGCTCCCAGCAAAACAAATGTAAAACCACTCATCAGAAACAAATCCTCTACCAGGGCTACACAGGATCCATATGCTAACTAACTCCTCGGTTAAAATTACACATGTTGTAAAGCTGAAACGCAACTAAGCAAAAATCAGCATTCCCAACAGAATAAATTTAAATTCATATGTGTTTCAAACACACTCCCCTACACACATAGGATTGAATGATCTGAACATGGCTTTAACTTTCTGAATTTCCCGGAGACAAAATTTTATAACTTAGAATTCAATACAATAAAATTTCTTTTTGTTTTAACTTGAAGGAATTTTTAATGTTCATTTGGAACCCAAAGGAATTAAAACCAAAATCAAAATATGTCCTTTCTGAACTAAAGCCCAAAAGAAAATTGAAGCCTAACATCAATTCTCGTTCTCTGCAGTTCTAATTCGGCTTGCTGTCAGCCCCAGGCTTTTCACATAGATTCCCCCAGAGAAATAAAGTTGTTTCAACACCTACAGTCTGGGCTGTCTTCTGAAATGGAAATGGATTCTTTAAGAAAAAGTTTAATTAGTTCAACAGTAAGTCTTCTTTGTTTTGTTTAAATTCAAAAATTTAACAAAAACCGAAAGAGTGTCACAAAACTGGCCCCACGCCTACAATATTTAAAAACAAAAGCAAATCCTCAGCTTTTACAGATGTCATCTCAGGCCAAATTTTTTTCACCCAAATTGGTATCATATACACTTTTTTTTCAGATATCAAGGCAGAGGCAGTTTTATGTAGTAAATGCTTCTCAGAAGGAGCGTAGTTAGAGAAAATCTTGGTTTCAGCTTTGTAGGGATAACAGTATCCATCGTTTTTATTCCTTTTTGTTGTTATCTTTCCTGCCGTTTTTTCTGAACCAAGCAAAACTTCACCATCTGCTTTCTCCTTTAACTTTTGAACTGGTAAGGGCTTCTGAAGAAATTAACGGAACTGTACCAATAGCTTCTGCTACATTTTCATGGTTTCTAACTCATTACAGTTCCATCTGCCAAAGTTTTCTTCACTTTTTTATATTCTTTTTGCATGCCCCTCACATTAATCCATACATTTCTCTATAGCCAGGCTTAAAATCTTACACCCTCACATTTTGTACATTGCCTTGATATTTTATAAGAAATCATACTGAGAGGTGACAGCATGCTGGCAATCCTCACAGCCCTCACTCGCTCTCCGTGCCTCCTCTGCCTGGACTCCCACATTGGCGGCACTTACTTGAGGAGCCCTTCAGCCCACCGCTGCACTGCGGGAGCCCCTTTCTGGGCCGGCCAAGGCGGGAGCCGGCTCCCTCAGCTTGCAGGGAGGTGTGGAGGGAGAGGCATGAGCGGAACCCGAGCTGCGCGCTGCGCTTGCGGGCCAGCTGGAATTCCGGGTGGGCGTGGGCTTGGCAGGCCCCGCACTCGGAGCAGCTGGCCGGCCCTGCCGGCCCCGCCGGCCCCCAGTAATGAGGGGCTTAGCACCCAGGCCAGCGGCTGCGGAGGGTGTACTGGGTCCCCCAGCAGTGCCAGCCCACTGGCGCTGCGTTCGATTTCTCGCCGGGCCTTAGCTGCCTTCCCGTGGGGTAGGGCTTGGGACCTGCAGCCCGCCATGCCTGAGCCTCCCACCCCCCTCCGTGGGCTCCTGTGCCGCCTGAGCCTCCCCCATGAGCACCGCCCCCTGCTCCACAGCGCCTAGTCCCATCACCACCCAAGGGCTGAGGAGTATGGGTGCACGGCGCGGGACTGGCAGGCAGCTTCACCTGCAGCCCCGGTGCAGGATCCACTGGGTGAAGCCAAGTGGGCTCCTGAGTCTGGTGGGGAGGTGGAGAACCTTTATGTCTAGCTCAGGGATTGTAAATACACCAATCAGCACCGTGTGTCTAGTTCAGGGTTTGTGAATGCACCAATTGACACTCTGTATCTAGCTACTCTGGTGGGGACTTTTGGAGAACCTTTGTGTGGACACTCTGTATCTAGCTAATCTAGTGGGGACGTGGAGAACCTTTGTGTCTAGCTCAGGGATTGTAAACGCACCAATCAGCGCCCTGTCAAAACAAACCACTGGGCTCTACCAATCAGCAGGATGTGGGTGGGGCCAGATAAGAGAATAAAAGCAGGCTGCCCCAGCCAGCAGTGGCAACCCGCTCGGGTCCCTTTCCACACTGTGGAAGCTTTGTTCTTTCGCTGTTTGCAATAAACCTTGCTACTGCTCACTCTTTGGGTCCACACTGCTTTTATGAGCTGTAACAGTCACCGCCAAGGTCTGCAGCTTCACTCCTGAGCCAGCGAGACCACGAACCCACCAGAAGGAAGAAACTCTGAACACATCCGCACATCAGAAGGAACAAACTCCAGACGCGCCACCTTAAGACCTGTAACACTCACTGCGAGGGTCCGCAACTTCATTCTTGAAGTCGGTGAGACCAAGAACCCACCAATTCCGGACACAATACCAGCAAAACAAAGCAAAAATAATAAAATATCTAGAAATTAACCCACATATTTGTTTGTTTTTGAGGAAAAGTGTTCAAATAGTATGGACTTTTTCTAGGGCCATTTTTTTTAAGTGCCACAAAAATTGGTGAAAAGTTAGGGACAAATAATAATTCATCACGGCTTAAATATTACAAATCAGAATTGTAAACATTCAAAACCATTTTGATTGGTCGAATTAGGCAGGTATAATGTTTCACTTCCACGAATCTTCTACTTTAATCCTATTTCACAATCTTAGCAATTATACTTAGACAACACTGTTTTAGCTAAATAGTTTTAATATAAATGCACTTAGTTTATTTCTGTATTATTTTTCTCTGTCTTCTTTGTAGGACTCCTTTACTCTGCATCCTTGCCCCAGACCACACATCCACACACGCACACACACACATACACATGCACATACACATACATTCCTTTTCTGCTTTATGATGTCTATTCACTAAGAAACAGAGCAGTAATAAGAAAGCTGGCCCTACTATAAGACTACAGTAAATGAATGTACTGAAAGGCTGCAGTTACCAATTGGTTCAGACATCATGAATCTGTGCCAAACCTTAGAGTGTGAAACTACCAGGATCAATACCCATAACATCCCTATAGCATGAAGTGTATCCATCTGTAAAGCAAGCTTGCAAAGGACCAGCAACAACTTCCAGATAATAAAACTATCCACTCAACAACTGCCTCAGGGAAGCAAAACCAGGAACTTCTATTATTCTGCCTATAATTGTCCTGGTCTTTATAGTAAAAGGAAGCAGCTATAAGGGGATTGGAATGTATGTTGAGTGAATCTGTCTCTGATGCCAGCTAGAGAGGTAAAAGTTGTAAATTACCCAAAGCCTATCTCTTGCTAGTATTTTTTTCTTGTCCAGAAACCCATGAAAATTCTTGGTATTTTTCCACGAACTTTCTACCTAAAGACAATACTTCATCCCCAAGACACATATTTCTGTACCTAAGGGAGAGAGGAAGGAGTTGAGGAAAAGTCTGTTGCTCTCTTAATAGAGTAGGTTACCTTCTCCAAATATTTTCCTAAATTTTATTGTTCTAATTCTTTCAAAATTATATACCAGATATGTTTCTATTGTAGTTCTTTAGCGTCTATATTTCTCAGGAAATTATCAGAAGGGATTAACTGAATGCAGTAAGATATAAGGTGTAAAATGATTATACTTATTTAAGTGACTTCTTTTATAATTGATGTATGTGTTGTATAGTTTTCAATCACTCAGTAAATGTTCAAAATAGGTCCTATCTATGTCTTAAAAATATCTTGACTTTCATCAATACTCATTGCATTGACTTGATTTTATGAACTGTTTGGTTAAAGAAAAGCCACCAAACGAATCCCCAAGGATCTTTTTGATAATTACTATTAGATATCAACACAAATAATTAATGCTATTCTTATGTTTATTCAGATCAACTCTTCCTACACTTGTGAAATTTGTTATGATGTGATTGAAACATCTCTGGAATCATAATTTAATGCTGGAAGAACACTGAGAGATCATAGTAAAAATAACTTTGCAGTTAAGGAAATTAAAATGAAGTAAGTTAAGAAGCAAGTTAATCAATAGCAAAACTTTTAGTTTCCTGATAATTTGCCAAATACATTTTCCAGTATATGGTGTTATTTTAAGCTTAGCTTTTTGGCATCTCCGTATTCCAGAACAGCCATCATATAGGTATATGTGCTTACAGTAAAGGTAGCATTTCAATAAGGTATCAGCATCTTTTGCAATGGGTCCAACTAGAGATTTTAGTAAACCTCCGATTCAATTGGTGAAGTGTTTATTTAGCACCTAATCATGTTCATCATTTAATATTTTCTCAAGTCATTCATAATTATCCGTCAGGTGGGCATGAAAGACAGGATTCTTCTTCTAAACTGTATTTTCAAGGACTGACATTATTAGAAGCTGTGAAGTTTAGGCTAAATTTCAGGCAAGTGTATGTTTAGAAGGAATCATCTTATTTCCAATGACAGTGCTCCTAATGCTCTGTTTTGTTTTCATTTTTTTTAATCTCAGTGATCCCCACTGCTTGCAAATGAGTGGAATGCATTCACTTGACCCTCTAAGGTTGTTTCTGTCTTCTAACAGAACATTTGAATATCATCTGTTGTCATCTGTGTGTAAAGATTATCTGGCTCAGCATGATTGTTTTCCAATTATCATTACTCTAATGATGTTGAACTCCTTGCTGGTGATATTTTCTTCCACCAAATGTGAACTATTGAGAGATCTCTCTTCTGAGAATTTAGGAAAGGGTTTTAAAGCTGATTTGCCCTCAACTAGTTCTGTAGCTATTATAGAATGTTACTTACATCCTTTGTATCAAAGTTAGTTTGCCTCAGGAAGGAAGAAAAGAAAAATTTAACAAAACTAGCAAAAAAGAAAAAGCATGTATACCGCTTATTTAACTGGCCTTTCAAATTTCTCTTTAGAGTAAGATTGACAATGGAAATCAGTGACTGAGGCATAAATCTTGATCATGGAGGTTTATTAAGCCACTTTTGGACATATCCCAGGAAAAACACAAGCCACAGACAAATCTGTGGCTGTTTTTCTGAAGAGATTTTCAAAAGGCTTAGTGTTCATACATTTCTTTAAATGAGAGGAGGAGGAAGGCAGATGGGGGGCAGGTAGGTTCTTAGGTTAATACCTCTTAAGATGATAAGGTGAATTACTGAAGAGACAAATGGAGTAACAGAAGAGTCAATTATGCAGAAGTCTCTAGGTAGGTGAAGGAAGGAGTCTTGACTGTTCTACCTCTGAGAAGATAAGCCTCTAATGGACATTTTCAGTGTCCATTAGGAGCTAGACTTAGATTGTAGACATACAGTTATAATTGGCATGTCCTTGTTTATGAGAGGCCAGCAAAGAATTCACTCATGAATGATCCCAGAAGCCTGTCTTTTTCTTGATGCCTGAGGCCTTTTACCTCTCCTGGAGGATCTGGCTGATGCATAATCTAGTAACAACTACTCATTTGGAAGAGAGTGTTGCAAGACCTTCTCTTTCGCATAAGAAGTTTGCAGGTGGGGTTGTGGGGTGGGGGGGGGGGGTCCTGACATTATTTGTAATTTTCCTTTTCAAGGTTATACTCTGCTTCCCAATATCCAAGGACAATTTGAGAATGTTGATTTGTCTTTTTAAATTGGTTGATTAGTGTCCCACAAGATATTTACTGAACAACTAGAGAAGAATCAGTAATAAAGTTAAGCATATGCTACTATCTAAAATCTGTGTCTTTTTTATGGGTTATCATTGAAACCACCTTTGCAAAAATTATAACAGAAAATTATGGCAGTGGAGAAGATCTGATCTCACCAACCCCCATCTTGCATTTGGCCTTCAAGCTGTCCTTAATTATTCCTGGGGTTGGGCCAAGCTGACTTCAGGAGACATTTAGTTTATAGCTTAAATGATAAAGCCCTTCCCACAAACTCTATCACCTTTGTAAAGCTAATGAGACACCACCAGGCTAGGAGGATAGAGAAGCCTGAATTCTGCTAATCTGTATAAATAAACAACTTCCAGCCATTATTGCAGAGGTCACAAGATATGCAAATTCCCCAATTACTCCTGTACATGACATCTCTAATGTAGAACCTAAGACTGGCCCTTTGAGATATCTTTTCAGTTTTTATGTCTGATGAGTGATGGCTCCACTTGGACCTGCCAACTGCTCCTGTGGCTCCACCCAGAAGAGATTCAGTGCACAGGAGGACCATTTCCCACATTCCTACGATTGCACCCCCAACCAATCAGTAGCAAGCATCCAATGTCTAGCCACTCCCACCCCTTCCCCCAAATTACCATTAAAAAACATTAGCCTCAAAATTACCTGGGAGACTGATTTGTGTAGAAATAAAACTCTGGTATTCTATTCAGCTGGCTCTGTGAATTATTAACCTCTTTCTTTATTGCATTTCCCCAACCTTGATAAATCAGCTTTATCTGGACAGGGGGCAAGAAAAAACCACTGGTCAGTTACACCATGATGAACACTAATGCAAGCGCTAAGGATTCTTTAGCATTGCAGGAGTTCTATGAAACCATCCATGACCATGTTGGCAGCTGCCTTAAAGGGTCCTATCACTGATGTGAAATAATTCTTTATTGAATGTGTCCATGATATTTGACAGCTTTTTTGTTTATTCTTTTGGAAGCGTGGATAGGATATATAAATACAACTTCAGATGCACTTATATGATAGTGTGCTGAAATACTCAGTAAGTTTCTGCAATATAAAAACATCTGCACTCACACGTTTGTTTATAGACATTGCACTGGTATATGAAGGGGGTGGCAGCAAAGTAGACATTAAGTAAGCATCTCAAGGATAATGTCTGAAAAGTTGATGAAATAGCTACTCACGAAAATGATTGATAAAGTAATATGTTACGTTATTTCTATGTAGACTAGAAAATTCTACCATAAACCTCAATTTCTATCTGAACACTGTGGCAGGTTTTTTAAGATTTAAGAGAAATAATAAACATTAAATTAAAAATATGAAAAATAAAGCACAATATCTGTGATTTATTTTGGCTGAAGTACAAACAACTTAATCTAACCTTACGTAAGTATCTTGAATAAAAATATAAAGCCATGTTCATTACTGCTTTGAAGTTAGTTAGTTTCCATTGGGAGCATGCGAAGATTATTAAAGTTGATTTTACATATTAATATTTAAGAAATATTGTTGTATAAATAAATATGCATCCTGACAAAAAAGAACAAGATTAGAGAGAGAAAGAGAAAGAAATAGAAGTAGAGCCTAACAGAGAGAGAGAGACAGAGATACGATGTCATGGGAATTTGAAATATAAATAGAACAGGTTCTCCAATAGCATTTGCTAGATTGAAAAGTATATTTCTTCCAAAATAAGGTAAGTTATTTTTGATAAGAATAAAAATACAAGGAAGGAATAAATAATAGCTCAAAAACACTTATGGATTTAAATGGGTAATGATATGGTTAGGCTCTGTGTCCCCACCCAAATCCCATCTCCAGAGGCTGAGGAGAAAATGGTTTCATGGGCCAGACCCAGGGTCCCAGTGCTGTGTGCAGCCTAGAGACGTGGTGCCCTGCGACTCAGCTGCTCCAGCCATGGCTGAAAGGGGCCAACATAGAGCTCAGGCTGTGGCTTCAGAGGGTGCAAGCCCCAAGCCATGGCAGCTTCCATGTGGTGTTGAGACTGTGAGTGCACAGAAGTCAAAAACTGGGGTTTGGGAACCTCTGCCTAGATTTCAGAGGATGTATGGAAATGCCTGGATGCCCAAGCAGAAGTTTGCTGCATGGGGCAAGACACTCATGGAGAACATTGGCTAGGGCAGTGTGGAAGGGAAATGTGGGGTTGGAGCCCCACACACAGTCTCCACTGGGGCACTGCCTAGTGGTTCTGTGAGAAGAGGGCCACCATTCTCCCGACCCCAAAATGGGTTTATCCACTGACAGCTTGCACTTTTTGCCTGGAAAAGCCACAGATGCTCAATGCCAGCCTGTGAAAGCAGCCAGGAGGGAGGCTCTACCCTTCGAAGCCACAGGGGTGGAGCCACCCAAGACCATGGGAACCCATCTCTTGCATCAGCATGACCTGGACATGAGAAATGGAGTCAAAGATCATTTTGGAGCTTTAAGATTTGACTGCCCCACTGGATTTTGGACTTGCATGGGGCCTGTAGCCCCTTTGTTTTGGCAAATTTTTCCCATTTGGAAGGGCTGTATTTACCCAATGTCTGTATCCCCCAATGTATCTAGGAAATAACTAATTTGCTTTTGATTTTACAGTCTTATATGCAGAAGGGACTTGCCTTGTCTAGGATGAGACTTTGGACTGTGGACTTTTGAGATAATGCTGAAATGAGTTGAGACTTCGGGGGACTGTTAGGAAGGCATGATTGGTTTTGAAATGTGAAGATATGAGATTTGGGAGGGGCCGGGGCAGAATGATATGGTTTGGCTCTGTGTCCCCACCCAAATCTCATCTTGTAGTTCCTATAATTCCCATATGTTATGGGAAGGAGCCAGTGAGAGGTGACTGAATCACGGGGGTGGGTTTCTCCCGTACTGTTTTCATGGTAGTTAATAAGTCTCTACAAGATCTGATGGTTTGATATGGGAAAACTGGTTTGCCTGGCTATCATTCTCTCTTTGCCTGCTGCGATCCACATACAATGTGACTTGCTCCTCCTTGCCTTCTGCCATGTTTGTGAGGCTTCCCCAGCCACGTGGAACTGTAAGTCCAATTAAACCTCTTTCTTTTATAAATTACCCAGTCTCAGGTATATCAATCAGCAGTGTGAAAACGGACTAATAAACGTAGTTGGAGTTTTCAATCAGGTTTCTAAAATGATATATGATATATTGAATAATCATTAAGAAAATTTCAGTGGAAAATAAATCATAATAGTCAGCTCATAACTAGCAACTTTCACAACTTGTTGAAACTACCAAACATCTACCTGCATGGTGTTTCAGAAATTATTTTAGTGACCTCGGTATTTCTAAGATAAATTTGCTGTTCATTATGTCTCATTCATATTAATGACAAAGAAGAACATGAAGAGCTTTCGTTTTTGCATTCGTTATAAATTATATTCCATTCTCTTTCATTATAAGGATAATGAAACATTTCTGGCGATATAATTCATGGTCATTTCACTTTTTGTGTGTTCTCAAAGTCACTTGCCTATTGCATGGTTGTTACAAGAGTACCTATCTCTTGGGTCATGTCTATGGAGCTCAATCATATGCAATTATGCTGTGCTATTTGAACCATTATTGCCCTTATATACCTTATTATTCCATATGTAGCACCACAAGATGATTCAAAATTTCAGTTATTAATATGTCACTTCAAACGTGAAGTTTACACACACACAAACACTAAATATGTATGAATGCATGTATTATTTACATGAAAACAAATTGAAATATTATCCATATTTGTAGAATGACCTTATTTACTGTATGTATCATACAACATATTAAACCTAACCATGATGAGAACTTTTTTCACATAATAATATAAAATAAATATTATTAAATTATTTTAGTAAAATTAATTTGTTACCTAGTTGTACTACAATTTTTCTTTCAAATAGAAAACAATGACAAGATAAAATACATTGTACTTTGTGCCTCAAATATAATTATTTTCACCAAAGCAGAAGTAAAGGTAGGAAGAAAAAAATATATACACACTCTCAGTGCTTTGAATTTTCCTGCCTTATGAAAAAAAAAGGAAAAGAAGCATTCACTGAATGCTTACCTTACTGCATTTTTTTTCATTTAATCCTTAGGACCATTATGTGATATAGTTGGTAACCCTAGAACAAAGATGAAAAATAAAATCTAAAAACACCTTAAAAACTAAAAACATGGGGCCACAAAGGCAATAAGAAACACATCTAACTTATCTAGCTATGGATTAACAGACATTGAATATAAAATTAGAATATTACCTAACTCAAAATTCCCATGTTTTTTACTATTGATGACAAAAATAGTCAAGCTCTGTAAAATATTTGAAGATATTTATTCTGAGTCAAATATGAGTGACCCATGACCTATGACAGGGATCCCCAACCCTTGGTCCATGAGCCAGTATTAGTCCATGGCCTATTAGGAACTGAACCACACAGCAGGAGGTGAGGGGCATGCAAGTGAAGGAAGCTTCATCATCTCCACATCACTCACATTACTGCCTGAGAGCTGCCTCCTGTCAGATCAGAGGCAGCATTAGATTCTCACAGAAGCCCAAGTCCCATCGTGAACTGCACACAAAAAGGATCTATGTTGCATGCTCCTTATGAGACTCTAATGCCTGATGATCTGTCACTGTCTTCCATCACCCCCAGATGGGATTGAAAGGGCCTTTACAAAATTATGACTGAGACAGTGAAAGAAATCTAACTTAATTGACTGCATCTTGCTTCTAACCTCTAAGCTGTCCTTGTTCATTCCTGGGCATAGGCTGAACTAACTTTGGGAGAAACCTAGTTTATAGTTTAAAACGAAGAAGATAACAGCCCTTTCCCAAATCTTGCCTGGGGACTAGATTGTCTTTGCCGCACTAACATTAGCAACAAGATTAGAAATTATGGTTTTGCAGTCATGCAGCTGGAGGCTACAAGATTCTGACCCTCCCTAAACTGCTCCTAAGATCAGTACTTGAGACATTTTGCAGAGTCTGCATTTGATGGATCAGCTGGCACCACCCAGATTGATGAACTGGCTCATCTGATCTTGAGGCCTCCACCCAGGAACGAGTCAGCGCAAGGAGACAGCTTCCACTCCTTAGGATTTCATCCCTAACCAATCAGCACTCCTGCCTCATTGGCTTCCCCTGCCCATGAAGTTGTTCTTGAAAACTCTGCTCCCCGAATGCTTGGATAGACTAATTTGAGTAATAATAAAACTCCAGTCTCCCACACAGCTGCTCTGTGTGAATTATTCTTTGCCCATTGCAATTCTTCTGTCTTGTGAAATTGACTCTGTCTAAGCAGCAGGCAAGGTGAACCCAGTGGGCAGTTACAGGGCTATCTAGTTGCAGGAAAACAAGTTCAAGACTCCCTCTGAATTTACATTATGGTGAGTTGCATAATTATTTCATTATATCTTACAATGTAGTAATAATAGAAATAAAGCATACAATAAATGTAGTGTGATTGAATCATCCCCAAACCATTCTCACCCCCACAGTCTGTGGAAAAATTGTCTTCCATGAAACCAGTCCCTCGTTCCAAAAGGTTTGGAGCTGCTGGCCCATGACACAGCCCTAGGAGATCCTGACAATAGGTTCCTAAGATGGTCGGGCTACAGCTTGGTTTTACACATTTTAGGGAGATAGAAGACATCAATCAATACATGTACAAAGTACATCGGTCTGGTCCAGAAAGGCAGGACAACTAGAAGTGGGGACTTCCAGGCTATATGTGGATACAAATATTTTCTAATTGGCAATTGGTTGAAAGAGTTTTTATCTAAATATCTGGAATCAATAGAAGGGAGAGTCCAGGTTAAGATAAGGGGTTATGTAGACCAAGGTTCTTGTAATGCAGATGAAGCCTCAATGTATCAGGCTTCAGAGAGAATAGATTATAAATTTTCCCCATCAGACTTAAAGAGTCTATTCTATCAGTCTTAAGGTCTCTGTTTTGATCTTAATGCTGGTCATTTGTACCTGAATTCCAAAGGGACTAGGGTATACCCATCATGATCTGAACTAGTTTTTCAGGTTAACTTTGGAATGCCCTTGGCCAAGAGGAGGGTCCATCAGTTGGTTGAGGGGCTTAGAATTTTATTTTTGGTTTACACTATATAAACTTTGTTATGAGTATACCCTCAAAAAAAAAGACAAAAGAAAAACAACGGTAATGTGAGAATTGTTGTAATCTAATATTTCAAGTCCATTTGTGTTGCTATAACAAATGCTATAGACTGAGTAATTTATAAATGACAGAAATTTATCGCTCACAGTTTGGGAAGCTGAAGAGTCCAAGATCAAGTTGTCAGTAGATTCATTGTCTGGTAAGGGCTCTTTGCTTCATAGCTGGCACCTTGTTGCTGCATTCTCACACTGTAGAAATGGCAAATGAGCTGCCTTAGCCCACTGGTTACTTAATGGGATGTCCCCATCAGTGTATCACCTCCCACAGGACTTACCTCTTAATGCCATTAACTTAAGGTTAAGATTGCAACATAAAAATCTGAAGAGGACACAGATATTCGGACCACAGCATTTATTACTTCATTTGATTTTCTATTGTTGAAAATATATTCTAGGTAGTTTTAAATATATATGTACATAGTTAAGATTTTTTTCCAAATAATACTTAAAAAGACAATAAACTTTCTCTGATGTAGCTTGTTTTAATGTACGGCAGATATTGACACTTAAGATATTTAAAATGTGTGAATTGTATTACATTTAGAAATAGAGAAAGTATAATAGTTCTTAATTTCCTGTATCTTGGAGTCAAAGAGTTCTGAGATAAAGCCTAATTCTGATATTTAGTGTATATAAAGCTCTGAGCAGTTACTTAACTTGTCTAACTCAATTTTGTCATCTATAAAATGGGTTTAATATAAACTATTTCCTAAAGTTGCAGAGAGTTTCAGTGATTTAATACATACAAAGCCTCTAACATATTATTTTTATTATTAGCAGTAAAAATAAAAGCTGTAAGTTACAAATATATTCAGTCAATTAATATGCAAAAATACAATGGGTTCAACCTGAATAAGATAAAATTAATGGGAAAATTGTTTGATGTATTTCTTCTACATACGAATTTACTATATTTTTCAATATAAATGGAAATGAATTTTTAAAAATCATGTTAAAGAATTTTATACATCCATAATCAAAGAACATAGTTAGCTTAACAACTAGGTAGAACAAGGTAACTTAACAAGGTAACTTAACAAACTTTCCAAATATTTGAAATTTCATCAACAAGCAACATTTTGAGATTTTATTTTTATTAATATTTTAGAAATATGGAGCTTCATTTGAAAATACTCTCTAGTATCATCTTATGCCAAAATGAATTGTACAATAACGGGGTGTTAAGGAAATTTATTCATTTATATAATGGAAGTTTATTTACAGCATTAATCTATACTTAAGAAATTATATATCATGTGCTATACATGCATGGACTTGTAATTAAATGATTCTAATTTTTCTAACCCTTTGGCAAAAGATATATCCATATTTTTTTCTGTTTATTTGGGAAAAAGTTCATTCTCTTTAGCTAGAATATTTTTAACATTTAAGGTGAATTAATTCAGAAACTTTTCTACCTACATAGACACTTTCAAATATGTTACATCATATGCAATTCCTTTTAAACCCTCTAAATCAAAGTAACTCAAAGCCATAAAAGCAGTGCTCTCTAGAAATGCATTACGTTTACAGACATTAATAAGGCATACTTATTTTTCTGATATATGAGATGCATTAGAATAAGAACAATAAAAAATTATTCAGCTTCTGCTCATAAATGGTCCACAGATAGCACAAACATTGCAAATAAATGCAAATCAAAATGCAGTTACAGAAGATGGTGATGTAGTCAACAAAGAGTAAATGAAAAGCCTTAGGATCCAAGAGATAATTATGGACATTTATCCTTGGTCAAGGTAGAAAAGTCAGAGGGATTCACATTAAAATTTCTCAAGATTGTTTTCATTATAAGCCCTGAATGGCTTACAAGAGTATACATTGATAAACAGAGGTCTAGGCTTTAGGTTAGCTGTCTAGCAATTTCAAAATTCATTTTTTTTTCTTCTCGTTTTGAGCTGCTGATTTTTTGGTAAGAAAGAGTTCGGATTAGCAGTACGTGCATTCCTGTGACTGCGTATGAGTATTTAGTCAGTCATAGGCATAATCTCTCAAATTGTACCTGTTATTTTAATGATACTATGTTTGACTGTAATTTTGAAATTCAAAGACCAAGAGTAGAATTTCAACCACAGCTGAGTCATGAATTAATCAAACAGAGGGGGAGGAAAAAAATAATGGATGTTATGACTTCCAATTTTAGTCGACATCTAAGGAACTTTGAAGTTGTCACATTTGTCCTTAAACCAAGAAAAAACTGAACAAACTGAAACTCAGTAACTCTTCTGAGAGCTATCAGAATATTTAGGTCATAGGGCAAACTAACACCACTAAGATGGAGATCCCAGAGAATACAGAGACCCACCTCTGAGATCAGCTTATCTGGATTAAAATCCTTTAGAGCTATAAACTGGTAGGAACACTTAAATGGTAACTGAGACTCAGTGCTGGAGGCAGAGTATGGACTAGTGTGAAAGTGAGAATTTTCTGGAACTCTGTCTTAGGTTTTTTCCTCCAATCTTTCATGGGCTTTTCCTCCAGTAACCCCACCTGTTTTCACAATGAAAAGGGCCAAGAATACTCTTGGGAAAAGTAGTCATTTTTGAATAAACCCTCAGCACTCTTTGTGGCAAAGGCCCACTGAACAAGGTCAAAGACATTGGAGAAGCCTTACCCAATTCCAACCCCTCTAGCCTTACTTTCTCAACTAAGGTGGGGAAAAATAACTGAAAAATATTTGTGAAGATTAGGACCAGTAATACAGGGCTACTAAAGACTAAGATTTATCATAGTATTACAGAATGCTTCTCTCCCATACCACCATATCACCACATGAACACAACTCCAGTATCATAGCAGCATTTCAGCTGCTGATACAGCTGAAAGAGCTGCAAAAAGCAAAATTTATTTATAAAAATAAGTTTTTAGGGAAACCTAATGACAATAAAGAAGAAAAAAAGTATGTAAGAAGAAATTAAGGCCTCTGACACCTACTGCTACAGCAGAAATAAAACACAGCCTAAGTCCTAGCCAGAGTAACACAAAACCCACACCAGAGGGCTATTTAACTTAGTTCTCATTACCAGATACATCATGCTCAGCTTTCAACAAAAAGTTATAAAACATGCTAAAACACAAGAAAATTCATAGCTTGAAGAGAAAAATAAAGCAATAGAACCAGACTCAGGTACAACAGGGATTTTGAAGTCATCAGATTGGGGATATAAATGGACTAATTTTAATATTTAATGCTCTATGGAAAATGTAGACAGCCTGCAAGAACAAGAGAGGTAGGAGTTCCACAAAAGAGTCACAAGGAGATGCTACAAAAACAAACAAAAATAACCTGTAACAGAGATGAAGAATGTGTTTGATATACTCATCAGTAGACTGACCACCACTGAATTGGTGTCCTTGAAATATTAGTAGACATGACTAAAGTTGAAACACAAAAATAAAAACAAATTTTAAAATATAGAACAGAATATTCAAAGACAGTAAAACAATTGCAAAAGGTATCATCTTCATAATGGAAATACCAAAAATAAAAGCTAAAAAAAAAGAAAGGGAAAGAGAAATAAGCAGAGGAAATATTTTAAGTAATAATGGGTGAGATTTTTGCAAAATTAATGCCAAACCAAACCATGGCTGGAACTCAGAGCACAACCAAACAGGGCAATTACTAAAAAATCTTCACCTGTGTATAGTATAGCAGGTTTAAATTACAAAATAAATAAATAAATAATAATAGAGAAAATAAAAAATGTTAAATCAAATAGAGGAAAAAAAACTTAGATATAGAAGAACAAGGGAAAGAATTATATTACACTTTTCTTTACAAGCATTGCAAATAAGAGAATTGAGCACAACTCTACCAACTTAGAATTCTACATACAGCAACATTATTTTTCAATGTGAACAAGAAATAGACCTTGTCACACAAACTTTAAAAAACAGATAATTAACTGCCAATTTAACTTCTCAAATTTCTTGCTGTGCAAAAAATGGTTGGAAAATCTTCAGAGGAAAGAAAACAATATAGATCATAAACTCAGATTGATTAAAGAAAGAGAATCAGAGAAGGAATAAAGAAAGATAAAACAGAATATTTTATTTTTCTAATATTTTGTTGATCTAAATGACTGTTGAAATATTAATATCAGTAATATACTACATGATTATGTCATATAAATAAATGATAAATAAATAAAGTGAATGACAACAATGTTACAAGGAATGGGAGAGAGGAATTGGGATTACTCCCTGATAATATACCTTAATTACACATGAAGCTTAATATATTATTTGTGAGTGGGCTTTGATTGGACATGTATACTGCTAATTCTAGGGTAAGCACTAAAAAATGTTATAATAGAAGTAAAGTTGACATATTAAAAAAGAAGATAAAATGCAATCACATAATAATGCACAACTCAAACCACAAAGAGAGAGAAGAAGAAAAGAGCAAGTGTAATGAATTAGAAAAATTTCAAAGATGGTAAATATTAATGTAATAATAGCAATAATCAATTTAAATATCAATGGCCTAACTGTATTAATTTAAAAATAGAGACTAGAAGACTAGATTTAAAAAAATTATCCAACTCTATGTTGTCTAAAAAAAAACCCTTAAATAGACAAATTATAAATAGGTTAAAAGTAAAGGAATAAAAGAAGATATTCCATGCTAATATTAATAAAACAAAAAGCTAGACAAACTATTAATATTAGACAAAGCAGAGCAGATTTTAGAAAACAGAAAATTATCAGCAAGGATGTTTCATAATCAAAACAGGGTTAGTTCTTCAAAGAGACATCATCGTTCTTAACATGTATACACCTACCAACAGAGGTGAAAATATCTGAGGCAAAAACTGATGAAACAGCAAGGAGAAATAGACAAATCCATGATTATGCTTGAGGATGAAATAACCCCGTTTCAGAAATTGATACATCAAGCAGGCAGAAAGTCAGTAAAATATAGTTGACCTGAGTTGCCCCTTTAATCAACTTGATTTACTTGGTATTTATAAACAACTTCACAAATAACAGCAGTAGAATGCACATGTTTCTAATGATTATATGTAACATTTACCAAGAAAGACCACATTCTGGGCCATAAAACGTACTTAAAAGAAGTGAAAGAATAGAAATCATACAAACTATGTCCTCCGACCACAATGGAATTAAATTAGAAATCAATAACAAAATAATAGCTAGAAAATCCCCAAATATTTGGAGATTAAACCACATACTACTAAAAAAAAAAAAACACAGATTATAAGAAGTCTCTAAAGAAATTTTTAAAATACTCAAAACTAAATGAAAATAAAAATACAACTTATCAAATGTTGTGGGATACATTGAAAGCAGTGTTCAGGAGATAATTTAAAGCACTGGATGTAGGTATTAATGTTTCTTTTTTATTAAATAGGTACTATTCCATTTTGGAGGTTCAAATTAAAAAATCAGTAAAGTATTTTGAATTCAGTCTAAGAAATATATTCAAAGGACTTCTTCCCAAAATAATATTTATCTAAAAATGAGGTTTGTTTAGAAAATCAGGAAAAAGACCAGACTCAAACTGGATTGGTAGAAAAGTAAACTAAAGCAAAAGAAAACTACAATTATGTATTTAATTATATGTGATTATTATATGTAATAATTAGTATTACATATTCTGGTTAGGCTGCTGAAAGAGACATAGCAATCTTTGGTGAAGTTCTGGATAATTATAAAACATAAATCTAGGTATTGACAGTCATTCTAAGGACCTAAATGAAAGATACAAGTGTTAAGTGTGAAAAATGTTTCAGAGTAAATAGAACAGAGAAAATGACTGTGATTCAAAAATATCTAACACAGAGAATGAAAAATACCTGAAAGTGCCATAGAGTAATTTCCAGAAAGATTCCAAATTTTATTGAGAGCATCTTTTTTAAAAAATATCTTTTTCATATGGGGTCTTGCTATATTGTCCAGGCTGGTTTCCAACTCCTGGGCTCAAGCCATTCTCCTGCTCGGCCTCCTGAGTATCTGGGGTTACAGGCATGCTGTGACCATACCCAGTGGTAGATAATCTCTTAAAGCAACAGATGAAGATTTCATAATAAGAGCTAATAGAAAATAATCATTTAAAGTTTCAAAAACTTAGATATGCTTGAGAAAAAGAGATCCATCAGCAAAAAATACTTGACCACTATTGGTTAAATTATACTTCCATTATTTTAAGTATAATGCACAATGCTGTAGGTATAATATAGATAACTTGTATCCTCCCTGAGCACATGCCCATGCAATGAATGAACTTAAGATCTGAATTGTCTAGTTCAGCGGATTCAAGCATATATTCAAATCATAATAAGAAATAATTTGTTACAGCCATTCATGAGCAGATGCATATCAAAGCACAGCTATTAAAATGTGAGAGTTAATTCTTTAGAAGTTTCATCATATATGAAAAAGAAAGGCGTATCTATTGCTTCAAAATATTAGTTGTTTTACAAAACTGAAAATAGCTCTTACGAATGTTGTGATTTTTATCTTGGATATCCAACCAAATAGCATAATCCATAACATGTGTAGGATTTAATTAGCTTTACTTAATTATTTCTGGTCATTAAGTTAACACACAAAAATCATAATAATTAAAGTTCAGTAATAAAATATGATGTCTTATTACATTTTATGACTAATTAGTTTTTATTTAAATATAAAATATACAATGGAAATTGCATATGGATATAATTTGTTCAAATATATTATAAAAAGATACCCTGTTTGCACAGCAACAAAACTTGTGTTTTATAGTACTTTGTGTAAATTACTAATCAGGAGAAATTGCTTGTGTACAGTGCAAAACAGATTTCAAAATTGTGTTTTACCACTCCAAATAATGAAGTGTTTTCTACTGAATAAGAGAAACTTCTAAATCTATATTTGATATCAACTTCACTTGAGTTCTAAAAATGTGTATTTTATTTCTCAAATAGTTGCCATATTTTGATTTCTACAGTGCTCATAACAATCATGAACCATTAACTTTTCCAATAAATATTTAAATCTAAATGAAAGTTTTCTACATTTTACAAAGTAAATACAAACGAAGATGTGACTATAGTGAATCCAACTATTGAGATGGAAATTCTTCATAAGAACTTCAGGATTTGTTTAGAGCTGTAATCACAAGCTGGAGTTTTTTGGGGGGAAATATATAAACAATTTAAATTAATATGATCCAGTTTAGAAAATAAAGATAAATTTTTATAAATTTTTTTCAAAAAATGAATATGTTTATAAAGGCCTTAATAGAAATCAACTGTTTAAATATTTTCATGTGTACAGATCATTATACATTAACATTAAAACTGTAGTCACTTGAATATTAAACGTAAACATTTCTCTGAAGTTGTTACATTTCTTTGTAATACTGAAAATAATATATTTACTAAAAGATAAGGAGAAAAAAATCTCAATATATATTCTAGTTTCAGTTGAATTAGTTAACAGTCATGTCACAGCTGAAAGTGCAGAAATTTTCATAACACCAAAATCCAGAAAATGTCTCCTTCAAAAGGAGAGTAAATTAATAAATTGTGAAATATTTACACAACAGAATATACACCAATAATAATGAGTGAATTTAAATAATTCACATTAATATAGATGGATTTTTATAATATAATTATAGGGGAAAATACTACACAAAAGAATACTTATATAATGCTATTCATTTTATAAAGTTAAAAACAACCAAAGTATGCATGTGCAACTTAGGAATGAGTTAAAAATTCATCAAAACCAAATAAACTATAAAGCTTTTTAATGCATGGTCCCCCAACTTCCTTAAAGAGTTTGATTGTAACTAATTTAGCTTGTGGACTAAATGGTCTCCATTGCAATTATGCAACTCGGAATGCAAGCACGGACAATACAGACATAAACTTCATTTGTAAAGCAGATGTCCACCCTATAGGTTGTGGTTTGTTAACTCCTGGTCTAAAGCTGAGAGGAAGCAGGAGATGGGTTGGCAGTAGTAAGATATGTCTTACTTTCAATATCCTATCTCACATTTCGGATATGGTCTTTTGGGTGCCTATTTTATATTATTAAACTTAAATTCTTAACTAGACAAAAATGACCCATGCAAAAACTAATTTTAAAAATGGGTTATGAACACAGTATTATAAATAATCCAATTTTGTGCATTTGAGGTTCCATTTTTTAAAAGCCATCACGTAAAAAAGGAAAGTATGAAAAGAAGCAAAAAGCAGACAAGCTACCTCATATGAAAATGCTACCAAATGTGGTAGATATATTTTGTGTAGCTATTTTCTAATAAATTAAAAGAACTAAAAGAATTAAATTGACTTATGAATCAACAACACAAAACAGAAATAAAAATTCAGAGGCATAAAACAAAGAGAGAAAATAGGGAAATTTTAAAAAAGAGAGTGAGATAAAAACAAAGCTAAAAGAGCTTAGTACAAATAAGAAACAAAAAATAAAATAATCACAAAATGTAGATGAATTTGGAAAGAGCACAGACAGGATAAGATTCTACGGAAAACTAAGTAAAGCCAAGAAAGCTAAAACATCAGAAAGAAAAGTGAAATTAAAAAGTAATTAAAGAGTTTGCTCTTCAGTGATAATTAAGTTTCTCCTATCAGACATACCCTTCCAAAAATAATAACTAAAATCCTGAAAAAAGAACAAAAAAATTGTGATGGTTTTTTTGATATGTCTACTTGGTTACTCTAAAGTCCCTAGATATTCAATCAAAACTCTAATCGAGGTGTTGATTGAATGTATTCTACAGATGTAATTCAAGCCTCAAATTAGGCAATTTTAAGGAGGATTACACTATGTAATCTAGGTGGGCCTGATTCAATCAGTTAAAAGGATTTAAAGCCGGATGAGGCTTCCTCAAAAAAGAAGAGAAATTATGCCTGTGAACAGCAGCTTTGTCCTATTCCCCTAGACTTTCATCTTGCTCACACTCTCAGACTATCCGACTTGCTTAGTCAGTTCCCACAATCACATAAACCAATTTCTTGTACTAAATCTCAGAATATCTGCTACAACTCTGCTCTCTAATAGAAGCCTGATATCACCACAATGATAACAAATTATATACAATATATCTAAAAATACTGCAGACTGAACAATGCAGACGACTGTTGAAAGGGTCTCAAAACTTGAACCAAAATATGATAAACAACCTCATGATGACCAAGATTTTGGAATTAGCAAATAATAACTTTAAGTCAGCTATTAAAATTATGCTGAAACTCACTGAGGAAACTATGATAAGAAATGAAAAGACAAAACCCCTAGAATGAAATGGAAATTACAGTTGAACATTGAGTTAAAAGTGTAATATTTACAATTTAAAAACCACAGATTACAGGCTTTATAGCCAATTGGAGAAAGAATAATTTAGTGAGCTTGAAGATAGGCTTAGAGAGGTTATTCAAACTAATGTGCAGAAATAAAAACAAAACAAAAATAAATGAAAAAATTCTCAAAGCATCTAGAACAACATCAGAATGTTTTACTTATGGGTAGTTGAGTTCTCAGAACAGAAGAGAGATATTAAAGGGCACTATTTGAGAAAGCAATAAAAAATTTCTGAAATTTAGTGAAAGGTATAAATTCAAAAATCCAGGAAATGACGCTATCATTATACAGAAAATATGAAAAAAAACACACAAGCAAAACAAGAAAAAAATCCGCAAAACTCAGTTAAGCACACAATAATCAGACTGCCACAAACCAAAGATGATGAGAAAACTGTGAAAGCAGCCAGAACATAAAGATATCATACCTACAATATTGTACCAAATCTCTGAATAGCTCCTACTGACTTTGCCTCTCTGACAGAAGCCTGATATAACAACTATAACAATAACAAAATATATATGCAATCTATCTAAGAATGTTGGAGACAGAGCAATTCAGACAATTTTTATAAGGGTGTCAAATATTCAATAGATAAATTTCAATAACAACTGACTTCTCATCACAAATAATTGAGGACAGAGACTTGCTACAATTACTTTAAAGTGCTGAGTGAAAACAGCAAGAAGAAAACTCTGTTAACCCAATATTCTACATCCAATGAAATATCCTTCCAGAATAGAAGGAAATTAAAGAGATTTACTGATACAGTAAAATTGAAATAATTAATTTTCAGCAGATTTGTACTCTAAGAATATAAATATGGTAAATGCACCATTTCATAAAGGATGAGTATAGACTTACCTCTGTTGTTCAACATTTATTATTTTTGCATGATGTAGTATAAAGCCAACTCTAGTTAGACTGTGAAAAGTAAGCATGTATACGGAAATCACTAGAACAAATATTTTTTAATTACATGGTAAAAAAGTATATCTAAATATCCAACAGATAAATTAAAAGCAATATTTAAAATAACCTAACTTAAGACAGAAGGGGAGAACAATGGAACTGAAACCAGAAAAGGCTAACAGAAAAATGCATAGAAAACTTGGAGACTTCAATCCAACAGTTCGAAAATTACATTAAATATTATTTAACAGAGTATACCAACTAAAATGCAAATGTTGTCACAATAAATAAAAAAGTGAGACCCAAGTAATGGTCACCTAAAAATGCATTATAATAATAAAAATACACATAGGACAAAAGTACACATTCCGAGTTGTTATACCATGCAAATAGTAGACACATGATAGCTGCAGTGACCACATTAATCACAGAAAAATTATGTTAAAATACTACCTGAGATAAGAGGAGCACCTCATAAAAATTAAAGTTCAGTTCATCATGAAGACTTAACAAACATGATTGTACATGTGCCTAATAACAGAGCTTGAAACTACAAGAAAAAATATAAAATGGACAGAATCAAAGGAAGGAGGAGATATGTCCATAAATATGTTTAGTCATTTTACATATACCTTTTCTGGGCAATAAATGGAACTGGAAAAACAAATAAAAATATATATGGACCAACATTACCAAATACTTTGACCAAATTCAGATTTAAGAAATACTACACAATCACAGGAGGACTATTCTTTCTAGGGTAAATGGTATGTT
Source organism: Homo sapiens (assembly GCF_000001405.40). Lineage (NCBI taxonomy): Eukaryota > Metazoa > Chordata > Mammalia > Primates > Hominidae > Homo > Homo sapiens. The sequence continues at coordinate 160,528,884 of NC_000004.12, read as the reverse complement.
TACAACAGGAACAATATATACAGGGTTTTTTTTCTTTATTGTTTTTTAGACGGAGTCTCGCTCTGTCACCCAGGCTGGAGTGCAGTGGCACGATCTCAGCTCACTGCAAGCTCCGCCTCCCGGGTTCACGCCATTCTCCTGCCTCAGCCTCCTGAGTGGCTGGGACTACAGGCACCCGCCACTATGCCCTGCTAATTTTTTGTATTTTTTAGTAGAGACGGGGTTTCACTGTGTTAGCCAGGATGGTCTCAATCTCCTGACCTCGTGATCCGCCCACCTCGGCCTCCCAGAGTGCTGGGATTACAGGCATGAGCCACCGCACCCAGCCTATATACAGTTTTAATGCAGTGCTCAGCTAACTTAAAAAGATAAAAATTATATAATGTTCCACTTCCATCTAAAATGTAAAAAACTTGAAAGAGTATCCTTTCCAACCATATGAGGTAGAAAGTCACATATACTATAGAGTCATAATGTTCTTGAATGTTCACAGAGTTTACATTGTAGGGTAACATAACAACAGGCTGAGCACAGTGGCTCACACCTGTAATTTCACTAATTTGGGAGGCCAAGGCAGGTGGATCACCTGACGTCACGAGTTTGAGACCAGCCTGTACAACATGATGAAATCCCATCTCTACTAAAAAATACAAAAATTATCTGGGTGTGGTGGTGGGTGCCCGTAAACCCAGCTATTTGGGAGGCTGAGGCAGGAGAATCACTCAAACCCCAGAGGAGGAGGTTGCAGTGAGCTGAGATCATGCCACTACAATCCAGCCTGGGCAGCAGAGTGAGACTCCATCTCAAATAAATAGATAAATAAATGAATAAATAAATTAAATAACATATCAACAACATATCAACAACATGTGTGGGAATGCTGTGAAGGTGATGTTTAACGATAAATTCCAAGCCTTAAATGCTTTAAGTAAAACTTTTGAAAATGTCTAAATCAACAAACACATTTCCAGCCTAAAAAGCTAAATAAAGAAGAACAAAGTAAACACAAAATAAAACAATGAAATGAAAATAAGACAATAGAGAAATGTAACAATGTCAAAAAGTGTCATTTCAAAAAGCTTAATTAAATTAATAAACCCATAACTATACTGATTAAGATTTTGGGAAAAGAGAAAATGTGATTTTTAAAATAACAGGAAGCAAGAGTATTCACTACATACATAATAGGTTTTAAAACAAAAAAAGTAAGAAAACTATTTAAATAATCTCAATAAATTTAAACAGATTGAAATCACACAAATTTTGATACAAAGAAATAAACTGTAAAGCAATAACAGAAATATATCTTGTAAAACATTTAGTACTACATTTATAAACTAAAAGTAAAATTTTATAATTTTTTAAGGTAGACTATAATAAGTTATAATTGTATATGGTAAAATATAGCACAGATGCTAAAAAAAGTATGTCTATGAGGCCACCACTAAAGATTTAATGCAGTAAAAATAATAAGCCAAAATAAGGCAAAAGGAGAGAGAGGAAAGTAAAAGACTTATAAGATAAATAGAAATATAAAAGATGATTAATTTAAATCTGATAATTAAATATAAATGTTACAAACACTCCAATTAAAAGGGAGAGACTGTTAGATTCAAAAGCCAAGAACCAAGCACATAAAATCCTATGAAAAAATCTTCAAATAATCTACAAAAAAAAATTTTATGCAAAACACAATTAAAGGAAGTTTAAAGATAAAACTGATGGGAAAAATTTTAGCCTGCAAACACTAAACAAAAGAAAAATAAAATGAGTGTATGAGTAAGAGACAAAGTAGGTTTTAGAGACAGGAATAAGGCCAGGAATAAAAATGGAGGGGCATTCTATAATACAAAGAGCAATTTATCAAAAAGACATAACAATCAAAAAACTTCAAAATACATGGAGAAAAAAACTGATAAAACAGAAAAGAGAAATTAAAAAATCAATAGATTAAGATATTTTGACATTTTTCTCTCTGTATAAAATGTAGCAAGCACATTAAAATGTAATAAAGATGTACAAGGCTTGAACAACACTATTAGTCAAATTGAACTAATTGATATTTATAGATCACTGCACCAAAGTTATAATATACATTTTTTAAGTACATGTTATATATTTACCAATATAGCTGATATTCTAGACCATACAATAATGTAAATAAATTCAAACAGATTGAAATCACACAAATTTTGATATAAACAAACTATAAAGCAATAACAGAAATATAGCTTGTAGAACATTTAGTACTACATTTGTAAATAATCCACAGACTAAAGAGAAAAACAAAAAGGAAATTAGAAAATATTTTTAACTGAATGAAACTAAAAATACAACGTATCTATATATTTGTAGGCCCCAGCTAAATATTTATATTAGAAAGACAGAAATTTGAAATCAATGACCTAAGCTTATACCTTGAACTAAAATATAGAAGGTGAATATCAAGTAAATCCAAAACAAGCAGGAGAAATAAAGTAGTTAAGAGAAGAGCAAAAGTGAAAGAAATTGACAAAACATTTAAAACAATAAAGACAAATCAGGCTGGGTGCCATGGCTCACACCTGTAATCCCAGCACTTTAGGCAGCCGAGTCAGAAGATGGCTTGAGTCCAGCATATCAAGGGCCTGGGCAACATATCAAGACTGTCTCTACAAAAAATAAAATAAATTAGCCAGGCTTGTGGTGTGCACCTGCAGTCCCAGTTATTCAGGAGACTGAGGTGGGAGGATTACTTGAGCCTGAGAGGTCGAGGCTGCAGCTAGCCACGATAGTGCCACCGCACTTCAGCCTGAGTGTCAGAGACAGACACCATCAAAAAAAAAAAAAAAAGAAGGAAGGAAGGAAGGAAAGAAAGAAAAAGAAAGAAAGAAAGAGAAAGAAAGATCAGTGAATACCAAGGCTATTGTTTAAAAAAGATCAATACAAATAAATCTCTAGCAAGAATGACCAAAACGGTGAGACAACACAGATAACAGCAATGTTCTACAAACATTAGATAATAATAAGGAAATATTACAAACTATTTAAAAAACATAAATTTAATAACTTACATGAAATGCACAAATTCCTTGAAAGATGAAAACTGGCCCAAGCAGAGTCTCACAAGTTTTGAAAACAAGGTGAGAAGGCCAAAGCTGTGTCCCTTGTGATGCTAGTTTGGATACTCTCAGCAGTATGAAGCCTGACTGTACTATTAAAAGTGATTAGATAAAGGAATTTTAATAGAGCTACCACCCCTAATAGTTTATTAGAGCTGCCATGACAAAATACCAAAAGACTGAGTAGCTTAAACAACAGAATATATTTATCAGAATTGTAGAGACTGGAAAATCCAAGGTCAAGGTGCCAGCAGGGTTGGTGTCTAGTTGAGGATGCTCCCTTTGGGCTGATATATTAGTCTGTTCTCACACCACTATACTTCCTGAGACTAAGTAATTTATAAAAGAAAGAGGTTTGGTTCACAGTTCCACATGGCTGAGGAGACCTCAGGAAACTTACAATTATGGTCGAAGGTGAAGGTGGAGCAAGGCACGTCTCTTCATGGCTGCAAGAGAGAGAGAAAGAGTGAGGAAGTGTCACTCTTTAAACCATCAGATCTTGTGAGAACTCCATCACTATCACAAGAATAGCATGGGGGAAACCACCCCCATGATCCAATCGCATCCCACCAGGTTCCTCCCCTTGAAGAGGGAGAAAAGGAAAGAGAGAGGGAAAAATAGAGAGCTCTTAGGTGTCTCTCCTTGTAAGGCAACTAATCTCTTCATGAGGCCCACCCTTATGACCTCATCTGAACCTAATTACCTTCAAAAGGCTTCATCTCCAGATCCCAAATAGCATCATATTAGGATTTGGGGCTTTAACCTGTGTTTGGGGGAAAGAGGGGTACATAATTCAGTCCATAGCACTTCCTAAAATCCTACAGCCAATAAGAGAGAATGAGAGCAGAAAGTGTGAGAAAACAGTGACCGAGAGGTAAGTAGCCTATTGGAAAGGGCTATGGCAGAAAGAAAGGGGTCTGGATGATAATTATTCTCTGGAATATAAAGGAAGGCAGACCAGACCCTGTAACTTAAACCCTTGTCAACATTAACTACCCAAGCACCCTTTCCTTGTCTGTCTTTTTTTCAGGCCTCGAGGTCTCCTTTCCTAGGTTGTCTATCACTCTGTCTTGATATTTTCATTACTGTCACAAAAATTTCAAACAAGCATCTACAAATCTTGGTTAGACTTGCATACGACTACTACTAGATGTAGGAGACATAGAATTTAACAGAGGAGAGCTGTCCAGAGAGTAGCCACATTTCAGTGCTTGCAGTGTGGTGGACCAATGAGAGAAGCAATGTCTTTTACATTTTAGAGACCAGACAATATCACAGGCTTCAATATTAAGAGTATAGCAATGCCAGGTGGAAGGGTGATTAGTCGATTAATGACCCAATCAAATAAATGTAAAAGTAGAAATGCCCTTTGCTTGCTGATTTGTTTCTATTATGTTTTTAAGATAAATATTTAATATGTATGCTTTTATCTCTCACTACAAGAATTTGAAATTACAAAAGAGGTAAATTATATTTTAAAACCTGTTTAATCAGTATTTATAGTAAAATAAATACTGTGTTTGGGGTTGCCAGATTTAGTAAGTAAAACACAGAATGCTCAGTTAGCTTTGATAATAGCTTGAAAATCTGAATATGAGACACTTACGGAGTCACAACAGAGTCATTACAAAACATAAGATAAAGGCATTAAATACAGGCCATGTTCTGTATATAGAGGATACCTGGCAAGTCTACTTATATCTTGTTCTTTAACTGTGCTCTCTAAAACCTTCCAAACCCAAAATGAATGATTATCACTAATTTTAAAAATAGAAAAAAAAATTCAGAGGCATTGTATCCTCCAACTGGCTAAGAATCTGTTTTTAAAACGTTATTATTATTTACACAATACCTGTATAAATGTGAAGCTGTAGTAAACAGAAATAAAGTACTTTGAAAAACTTGCTAATCCCGAGGGAGTCAGAAAGTAGTCTTGTCATCAATTACATAAAAGTATTTTTATTGTCTTTTAGATTTTGAGTAGGATAAATTGAAGGAATGTGGCCAAAATAGAAAAGTTGGCGGGGAGGCACAAGGAGGATTGACTTACTCCAAGCCATTCTGATTATATGAATTATAAAACCAAAAATATACTTGGTTTAAATCTTGGCTCTAGGAGAGTGAGGCAACATGACAAATAGATCTGACATTATTTGTTTTGTAAGCCATCGTGCATGTCAGAATTCCTGTGGCAAAAGCATAAAAGCTGAAGTGGACTTGGGACCACAGAAGAAAATAAAGTGTGCCTTTAGCATTGAGAATAAGTGAAAAGCAGACTTTCCATCTACCCTTTATTTCCACACTTGGGAAATAAGGCTGAAAGTACTTTATATGTGAGATGATAAGAGAGCCCTCCCAATGAGGGAGTCTCTTTTATAATTGCTCAACACATCTGGGTGTTACCAGCTGTCTTAAAGGTCAAGCTAACATTGGTCATAAAGGTTAAGAAACCAACAATGCTGGAGGTGGGAGGAACACAGAAAAAAATGTTTGTCATTAGGGAAAGGGAAACATTGAAACCAAAAAATTATACAAAGTTAAATGGTGCTTGAGAGAAAAAAAAAAAAAAGATCATACAAGACACGTATAATAACATTAGGAAGTGTGCATTCATTTTATATGCTAATCACATTTTTAAGTAAATGGAGTTGAAATATGGTGTTAAGAGGTGGAAGGCACATTATGTGGGCTAATTCTATCATTTCATTGTATTTACAATGAATGGCACAATTATCTGTAAATACATGCTTCTAAAATAATACATGATCCCAGTAGAAAAGTTTGAAAATGGAAAGATGTATAAGGAAAGAAATAAATGTCATGTTCAAAACAGCTTTCATTGTCTGCATAATATTTTATCATATAAATTTCTTCCTTTATATTTAGAAATTTTATTATAAATTGTACTATAGTAATTGTACTTTTTAAACAAATATTTTTGATAGTTTACTATGTGATACTAAGAATAATCCTATGAGTCAGTATTATTATCAATAACTGTTTTACAGACGAAAAAACTGAGGTTCAGGAGTTGAGATTCAAATCTAAGATATTGATTTCTATGCCTGCACTCTTCATATTAATAGTATCTTATTGATATTTAATTTAGGATAACGTCAATGCATGATATTACTGATTTAAGTATATGAAGAACTGCAAGACTCTTGACTGATTTTGCCTCATATTTCATTAAAAATGCCATGCCAATTTATTCTCCCACTAAGTTTATGACAGCATGTGAGGGCTTATTTGTTTCTACTAATAGTGGAAATAAAAATTAAGAAAAAAATTAATTTTGCCAGAATTGTCATGAAATGGCCTATTATCAGGTATGCTTTCATTTCTCTGATTATTAACTTGGTTAGTCATTTTCCATATATATAATCTCTATTATATCTAGATAGATCTATATCTAGAAAATTATCTATCTGAATAGATAAAGATAAAATTCCACAAGTCTGTATACCTACTGCATCTGGAAGAGAAGTCCAGGTAAGAGCTGCTGAGCACAGAAAATGGCATCTATCTCATCATCTAGGAGGATTCCTGGCCATAGAAGAAGAAAATTAAGCCAGAGCTGCAGTGGAACTCCATCAAGAAAGTCTGGAAGTCAATGGCCCTTGACCTGGTGAAAGAGGACATAAAGTCAGTAGTGTTTGCATTACTCAAAATTTTGTTTTTCAAAAGGAGCTAGTCAACAAATGCCCCATGGACCTCCACCAGCCTCTCCATTTCAGATATCAAAAAGGACAGCAGTGTGCTCCACCAGGATTTTTTGCAGGCAACACTGGTGGCCCTGATGCTCTGAAACAACTTCCCGACATCTACCTCATGATGAGTGCCTGAAAAACAAAAGCCTGCAGTGGGAACCAGGATCCAAATTTTCATCCAGGAGAAAACTCTGCAACTCCTGGGCCACTGGAAGCCTAGCCACACTTGGGGAGCACTAATGTTGTTCTGAGGAATGTGGACATTTACATATCCCCTCTGGGGTTTAAATACCATGATGTAGAAGGGTGGGAAAATGCCTGCAAGGGAACAGAGAGGCATTGGCAAAGGTGCCCCTTCCCTGAGCCCACGGTGGCACACTTCATTTGTTGTTAAAGACTAAAACTACCTTTCTCATTGTTAAAAATGATGCATGTGCATATGTGGTTTGTTTTTATGTGAATTGCATCTATGTATTTTTGAGTATTTGCATGTCTATCGCTTGTATTGTTGGCTGGGTCTTGTATTGCAAGACTCATTATCAGCTCAAGAGAACTAATAATTCAATTTTAAGGAATTTTTACAAGCTTTTTGATCAGTAGTTGCGAATCAGCCATCTTAGGGACATTTACATGATGGAAAAGACCAAATTCTATAAATCACCAAACACTAAAGATAAGGTTGTTTTGTCTTCTTGGAGAGTCCCCATTTATTAATTTTGCTCATTATTTTACAGATGAAGAAATTGGGTTCTAAAAGTTATATTGACATCCTTACAGTCACATACATAGATAGTGGCACAGAAGCTAACCATTTAATACTATCCCTAAACCTGGGTCAGAGGTTTCAACGGGGACAACTGAGTTAGATCATCTATGAAATTCTAAGTCATTGACTCTTTTGTTCCCTCAATGTCAGTTCATACCAGTAACATTGAGCCCTTCTGATAACATGTTGCAGTAAAAGGACCCAGGGCTCCTTGCGGCCATGGTTAATTCTAGAACTGAGACAAGTAATGTAGAAATTGGGCCTGAAGTAGTACCAGAAAATAAGGACTAACGAAACAAAAAGACAAAAAAAAAAAAGACAGGAAAGGGTGTGTCAAGGGATACAGGAGCCAACTGGAAGAGCTTCCAGTGGCCAAAGCTAGAAGAGTTTCAGAAACAAAAAAGAGAACTGAATTAAAACCAAAAGTTTAAAATAAATATTCATCTTTATATAAGCAACTGATTTAATACATGAATAGAACAGAATAGATAAATATAACATCAGAATAATCCAAATAATTTATGTAGATAATACCTTCTCAAGAAGTGATGCTTAAGTGTGGGCTGCTCAATGACTTATTTTCAAAGATTATAGTATGAAAATAGGAAAAAAGTAGTGTTACAGTGAAGAAAAATGAGAACTATTACCTCGGCCATGTGATGATAGTTAATATTAATGACATGTTCATACCATGTATTCTTAATATGATGTGATGAGAATAGCACTTTGCCTCTGTAATCTTCCTCCTTCCCCCTAAAAATGTCACCAAAGTCTAACCATTAAAAAAAATCAGATAAACCCACATTGAGCAGGGTTCTACAAAACAGCTGGTCAATGCTCCTCCAACGGTCAAGGTTATCGGAAACAAGGCAAGTTTGAGAAACTGTCACAGGCTACAGAAGCCTAAGGGGTCATGAGAACTAAATGTCATATATCCTGCATGGAACTCTGAAACAGAGAAAGAACACTGAGTAAAAACTAAGAAAATCTAAATATGTAAAAGCTTTAGTTAATAACAATGTATCAATGTTATATTATTGGTTGGAATAAATATAACATATTGAGGCAAGATGTTTATAATAAGAGAAAATGGGTGAGTGGTATACAGGAAACTTCTGTACTAATTTTGTAACATTTATGTGAAACTAAATTATTGCAAAACAAGTTTATTTAAAACAAACTGTTCATGGTTTACCATCATATTAAAAGCTCTTCCTTTGACGACTACTTATAGGTTTTGCCTGTACACGGAGTCACTTCATTCTTTATTGAAAAAAAAACTGCTTTGCATCATCTTCTATAGAACTGAGTTATGGCAGAGCAACAAATAAAAAGTAGAGTGAGAATTTTTAAGATTCTGGTCAAGGGATTTAAAATCTACCCAAGTAACTAAGAATGTAATGTATCCACCTAACTGAGTATATGAAAACAAAGTTCAGTCCACAATTGTAATAGCACATTGTTTGAGTTTTTGCTTGTAAGTCACAATTAATTGTTTAAAATGTTTTGTTTTGATCTACTTTAATCTGCAATACTTGGTTTTTTTCAAGTTGACAAGCCATTTTTAAAAAATTATTTACCAATACTTATATCCTTTATCATATTCATATTTGGCTAGATAGTTGCTTATTAATAAAGACATTTAAAGACCAGTATGTAAAAAAGAGAGGAAGGAAACCAAGTCAGTTATACTGACTAGCTCAAAGCACCTCTCCATAAAAAGTTAGTGGCAAAAATATGTTGAAGCTTTTAGTGAAAAAAAAAAACAAAACCCTAGAGAATCACCATTATTCAATTTTGTGTATTTAAAATTGTTTGATCACATTAGAATAAAAAATTTGAAAGTAGATTCCTTAAAAAATTTTTCTAATATTCGTGAGATGCCAGAATTTTTAAATACATTTTCATTAATATCACTTTTGAAAGCTAGAGTCCCATCTTTGTAAGCTTATTTGTAAAATAAGAAGGAAAACACTAAAAATAAATCATGCAAATGAATATTGATAATTAATTGGAAGTTTTGCCTAAATATATGCATAGCTAAGCACGTTTTGAAATAGGTAATTATCTTAGTCCATTTGTATTGCTATCAAGGAATACCTGAGGCTGGGTAATTTATAAGGAAAAGAGGTTTATTTTGCTCACAGTTCTGCAGGCTTCACAAGAAGCATGGAACCGGTATCTGCTTCTAGTGAGAGACTCAGGCTGCTTCCACTCATGGTGGAAAGCAAAGGGAGCAAATGGTCACAGATTGCATGCAAGAGACAGAAAGCAAGAGAGAAGTGAAGGTGAGGGGCTAGCAACTAGCTATTGTTGATAAAATAGGTGAGAACTTACTAATTTCCAGGAGGACAGTAGCAAGCCATTCATGAAGTATCCACCACCATGATCCAAACACCTCCAATTAGGCCCCACCTCCAACATTGTGGATCAAATTTCAACATGCTGGTTGGAGGGTCAAATATCCAAACTATAATAGCATTCAATTGGATTCTCTGCAATTTAAAAAGAGGAGAAAAGCCAAAGTTAATTTTTCTGAAGCAGGAGATTTAGTTAAGAATTTTAATTCAACAAATGACAGTAAAAGGTATCCAGAATACTCTGTAACCAAGTTAAAAATATATACCAGATAAAATAGCATATTTATCCAATAAAATTTTCAAATTATACTTAATGAGCTGATAATTGCAAATCTTCCTTAACCTAAAAATTCAAAAGGGATTCATTTATACTGTGATCGGCATTGCTCAGAATGAATCTAGTTATCTCTGTTTTTAAATGAAGTTCTCTTAAATGCATGAAGTAGGAAATGGGACATAACTATGCCACAATTATTGCAGTTTTAAAATATAAAAGGAAATAAAAGAATGTCAGTTTCAGTTCCATCACTTCTCCAGGAATGACAAGGTGCAATAAGTCAATAGAAATAGGATATGATTAATTGAATTAATAGTGTTCAGTGAAAATGGAGTTCAAAAAGGTTGGCAACTTAAAGGAGTTTAATTTTTAGAGTTGAGTCATATGTCACAAGATAGAGAAAGGGCGTTTTTGTGACACAGAAAGATATCCTATAATAGCTTAAAAGAATTTAGGAAGGGAATTTTTATTATACGTTAGTGCAATATGCCAGGATGGTTAGACCTTGCTTTTTACCTTTTGCAAACAAGTATGCCAGTTAGAATATTGACACAAGGGCTCATGATTCAAAAATTGTTATTCAATATTATATGTTCTAGAGTATGCATAAAATGTTTTGGTTATATTATATATTCAATCATATCTAGACAGTTTAATTACTCATAACTATTTCTTATTATAGTGATTATTAAATGTTTGTTTGGTTTAATAGCCTCTTTAAAAGCAATGGCAATAAACTGATTCATTTCTATTTTATTTTTTTGTAGAGACAGGGTCTCAATATGTTGTCCAGGCTGGTCTCCAATTCTTAGGCTCAAGTGATCCTTCCACCTCAGCCTCCCAAAGTGCTGAGATCACAGATGTGACCCATAGTGTTTGGCCTTAAATTCACTCATTTCTCTTTTTTTGAGACAGAGTCTCGCTCAGTCACCCAGGCTGGAGTGCAGTGGCGAGATCTCGGCTCACTGCAAGCTCCGCCTCCCAGGTTCATGCCATTCTCTTGCCGGGACTACAGGTGCCCGACACCACACCCGGCTAATTTTTTGTATTTTTAGTAGACCCGGAGTTTCATTGTGTTAGCCAGGATGGTTTCGATCTCCTGACTTTGTGATCCGCCCACCTCGGCCTCCCAAAGTGCTGGGATTACAGGCGTGAGCCACCGCACCTAGCCAAATTCATTCATTTCTATTAATAAAATTGAGAACTATTTGGTTAGTGAAAGAATATCATAGGACAGTCTCATAAAATAAATATATTTTCTATATTTGATGTTAAACCTAAAAAAGGAGTCCAGGTTTCACAGTTGCATCTAAATAGAAAAGTATCAAACATTAATATAGTCCTCTGTCTTTGGAAGAAATATCAAATAAAATATAAAATATAAATAAAATATAAAAATCTCTGTTCATTAAGTTTCTCAGACAGTTCCAATCTGAGCTGATAATATTGAAGCTAAAGTTTAAAACAATTAGTAGAATTAGTAAGGGTCCGCTTTTGAGATAGTGAAGTGCTGAATGCCGCATTTTATACAAGATCTACTGTGTTCGAAGCCCCTCAGATTGGAAGTGTATGATATCAGAAATATTTCAGTAGTAGAGGTCACCTATATGAATTAAATTAAATTATTCTTTGATTCTGTTATTTTTAAGAAACATAAATACCAAAATATGTGGATTGAACCATCCATCCTTTCAACTACATAGAATAATATTGTCAACTAGCAGAATTTCAGAGCATCTTTAAGGAGTCCTAGCAACCGGTGGTCTAATTTCACAAATGAAATATTTGGGGCTTACAGAAGTCAGACTTGTGTCATGGTTATCTCCACAGGGCATAAGGTAAATTCTTGCAAATTTGTGCTTATATACAATGCTATATATATTGTCTTTCTAACTCCATTCACTACCAGTTACTTGGGAAACCCAGATGTGCAAGCAAGGGTTACATTGTCCCCATTAGAGCGTCAACTGATTGACCACATTCTCCCTGTTGAGAGAATCACACATACGCCAGGACCCTAATGCTTCTGTTACATATATTTACAGGAAAGTGAATTAATTAATTTCTAACTTGGAAAATATCTTTCTTACATCAGATTATCTGACATCTGCCTTCTTTTAATTATCTTAGTTTATCTTTACCTTTCTTTCTCTTTTGTTTCAGTCTTTAATTCAATGTACATATTATCCCAAAACAACTCTGATAGTGAAATAAAAGTTTTTATAATGGAAAGAAAAACAATGTATTAGGAAATATATTTTGATGTCCAAAATTAACTTTAATAAACTCTAAAGTTATTTCAAATACAAAAGTTCTATACCTCTTCTTCGTGCAAAAACTTAACATGATTGTCTCTGTCACCACAACTGACAATACATAAGTCAATAAATAAATAAATACTTGATATATTTGAGTACATGTTGGACATCCTTATTTTTAATAATTTGTTTTCCATTAAGAAAAGTGAGGTATCAGGATTATTTAGAATATATGAAATTAGTTAATTTAGTGATCATAGAGAAGAGTGTCTAGGAAGTCTTAAAAAAGAACCGAAAAAAACAGGTTAAGAGACTCCACACTTTCAGAATGTTTTAGAATGTAGAATTCTTGCTACAGCTGTGGAGAGATTGCCAAGAGAATGATCAGTGACCAGCAAGGTGGAGCCTCATTCTTAGAAAATATTAAACTGGAGATGGTATATCACAGTGGTTCAGGACATGTGTTCTGGAAATACACACTGGTTATATTAGACACCCAGTTTTGCCACTTACTGCTATCATATTTGATGGTTTCTTTAATATTTCATGTTTCAGTTTACTTTCCTGTAAAATGAGGTAATTAGAGTACTCAGTAAAGTTGATGTAAAACATAAGATTTAATACATGCAATATACTAAAAGCAGTGCTTAGCACATCACAAATCTTCAAAAGAGTTACTTATTATAATTTTTCATCACTTTTTGCCAATTATCCTGCTGACAACTTTTTATGCTACTGGTATTATAATGAAAGCACAAGCAAATAAATAGTAATTAGAAGCCAGGCGCAATGGCTCACGCCTGTAATCCCAGCATCTTGGGAGGCCACGGTGGGCGGATCATGAGGTCAAGAGATCAAGACCATCCTGGCCAACATGATGAAAATCTGTCACTACTAAAAATACAAAAATTAGCTGGGCATGGTAGTGCACGCCTGTAGTCCCAGCTACTCGGGAGGCTGAGGCAGGAGAATAGCTTGAACTCTGGAGGCGGAGGTTGCAGTGAGCCAAGATCTCCCCGCTGCACTCCTGCCTGGCGAAATAGCGAGACTCCGTCTCAAAAAAAAGAAAAAAAAAAGTATTTCGAGGAAAAGTAACTCTTAGAGAAAGTACTCTACCTTGCTAAATTGAAAGGATTCTAAACAAAAAGTACATTTTCACAACTTTTGCAACTAAACTTATAGATGAAAAATAGATTGCCTCAATTAGATGCAACAGAATAAGGCTTGAAAGGATATAAGGTACAGCATGGTAAATACTGTACTGTCTGCTTGAAATTTACTGAGAGTAAACCGTAAATATATACAATTCTTATTTGTCAATTATACATCAATAAAGTTGGAGGCGGGGGTGAAGCAGAATGGAGGCAGAGCTCATTGCATGTAAAAATGTGAAATAGATATATCTAGATTCCGTCTTCTAGTGACTTAGCTTTGTGGTTGTCAGAGGCAGTATTAAAAGTGAGAGCCTCACAAATAGCAGTTGTGGCTGCAGTACTTAATGACTTTTCTGTTACAGCAACATGGGTATGAAATTAAGGCCTATTCCTAATTGCTTGTATTAAATTATATTCTGTATAACTAGATCAGTTTTGTATTTTCTGTATTCATCTTCAATGATTCTCTACTTGCAACCATCATTCACCATAGCAAGTAACTGCTACAGGCAGAAGCAGCATGGCTACTGGTGTGAATAGCACGGTCAGCACTGTAATCAAAATGATTTGAACTGCAGGTTCTTTGGTGGGGGCCAAGTGATCATGATGCCCCTAGGACTAAAATAGATGAACAATCTAATAAAGTCCTGTTAGACTGGCCATAAAAAATTTAAAGAAAATAAATTTCAAAACAAAACAAAAAACCTCCAGGTCTGGAGAAGAGTGACCTGACTGAAGTCACTAAAATGAAGAATCAGGATTCTTCACCCAATTTCTAAACCTGAGTCAGTTTATAGACACAAAGCTCCTTAAAGGAAAAACAGCATTCCTATGAGGAAGAACATTCTGACGTTACCACAGGTGTGCCTGTGTGGCTTGTGGCCACCTACACATGTAAACATGCAGAGAAGAGGCAGCAGTCTGAAGAGAATGTGGTTCATGGACTTGGCTGCTAGGAATCTCTTGGGTCGTGGAAAGTCACCGTGGTTTGGCAGAAGAGGAATGAAACTTTGGTTCAAGTATGTCTCATAAAATGATATTAAGAGTACATTTCTGATTCTACTCTGTGTTCATTTCCTTCACTTTTCACACACAAATGTGAATTAACCATAGTTAGAACCTGGCAGAATATCTACACTGGCTTCTTGTAATATGAGAGCCACAGTGCAATCCCTTTAATTCTTTACTAAAATAATATAAGAAACATGCAACACCACATCTGTTCTGGATTTCAGACATTTATACCAATATGGGTTGAGTGTCCTTTATCCAAAAATAGACTTAGAAGTGTTTTGGATTTCAGAATTTTGTATGGATTTGGGAATATTTGCTTGTATATAATGAGATATCTTGGAGATAGGACCTAAGTCTAAACCCAAAATTCAGGTTTCACATATACATTATAAGCATAGCCCAAACGTAATTTTATATAATATTTTAATAATTTTGTGCATAAAATAAATAAGTTTTGACTGCATGTTGACTGTGATGTGGCACATGAGGTCAGGTGTAAAATTCCCCATTTGTGGTATCATGTCATGTTGGTGTTCAAAAACCTTTGGGTTTTGGAACATTTTGGATTTTGGATTTTCAGATTAGAGGTATCTCGATTTGTATCAAGAAATTAAAATATTGAGGACTGGTGGTTCCTGTCTCTTCCCTGATTTTTTAGTTTACTTATTGTATGTAAAAAGCAAATGAACCTTTAAGGATATAAGTGGATTATCATAATCATAACTGATATTAACTGTAATTGAAGACAGTTTCCTGATACAGTCTCTTTACTTGCCCATATCATTACAGTTCCTGTCATCTTTTACAAAGCTTTCAAGCTAATCATATATTTACTATTCCAGGAACCCACAATACTACAAATAATTTGTTTTCATCCAGTGATAGCAAGAATGGTTCTTACTATTTTACTTTGTTATCTGTCATAATCTAGTCTACAGGATCATTGAGCGCCTCCCATCTTGGAACCATCATCCAGATTCATCATACTTATTGTATATCCCACTAATTACCCTGGAAAACCAGAACTGGTACTGTAGATAACCTGAACATACATATATGTACCAAGTGATAGGAGAAATAAAACACAAAATTTGGGGTACAGTGTAGCTTCTGGAATGCAGTGGTCTAGACATACAAAAATCCTGCCTTTAAACTAAAATTTCAGTGCTGCACTGTTGCACTCTCTCTAACCCCAAAAAGGAGCCAATCTTTTTGGGTTTTAGAGGTAATAGATATCATATGTTGGCAATGTATCAAGTAGTTGTCAAGCCCTGCCCCTTGAGCCATATGATCCAGAAGATCCAGATTCTCTTCTTCTATTTTACTGTTATTTTATATAATACGTATGCATTTTTTCCAATTTTTATTTTAGATCTAGGTGGCACATGTGCAGGTTTGTTATCTGGGTATATTGTGTGATGCTGAAGTTTGATTATAAAGGATCCCATCACCCAGGTACTGAACATAGTATCCAACAGTTAGTTTCTCAATCTTTGCCTTCCTCCCTCCCTCCCGCTTCAAGTAGTCTCCAGTTTCTACTGCTGCCACCTTTATGTCCATGAGTAACAAATAACATGCATATTTATACAAACCTTAAAGTTCAACCTTTAGCTTAGGACACCAATGTAGTATTGAGTTAGAAGAGGAATGGATATTGTCACCACGAGTTGGATATAGTGACCATTGTGGAAAAGGGCGCATAGACACATACAACTTGCACCTTAGAGTCATAATAGAAAATAAATTTAATTAAGGGAGTACTTATAGGAAAAAAAAAGTATAAAAATGCACTCAATCCCCTGAACTTTCATGATTCTTTAGAGGGGTGTGTTATGTTAAACATAACCAGGATCACAGTGAAAGGGAGCTCTCACTTGCATTGCTCTACATATTTATGGGAACATGAAGCAGGAAATATGCATTTCACTGTCTTCAATAAGCCAACTAGAACCAACGATTTGAGTGAAAATATTTTAGTTTGAAAGTAATAGCAGAAAGCAGATATAGGGAAGATAGTTAGGTCTGGCGCAGTGGCTCACACCTGTAATCCCAGAACTTTGGGAGGCCGAGGTGGACCAATCAAGAGGTTACCAGATGGAGACCATCCTGGCTAACATGCTGAAATCCCATCTCTACTAAAAATACAAAACATTAGCCAGGCATGGTGGCACATGCCTGTAGTCCCAGCTACTCAGAAGGCTGAGGCAGAAGAATCCCTTGAACCCAGGAGGCGAAGGTTGCAGTGAGCCAAAATCATGCCACTGCACTCCAGCCTGGGTCACAGAGCGAGACCCTGTCTCAAAATAAAATAAAATAAAATAAAATAAAATAAATTTTAAAAAGATAGATAATGAAGCATGTGTTTTATAAGCAATTTTCAACTGTGGATATGGATCCATTAGTTTCTATCAGTTGTTGCTTGAGATGAGCTTCTGGGGTCATCAACTCCTTGGCTCTTCTAGCTTGCCAAACGTACAGGCTGAGTCTGCTCTGACATCCACAGGAATCTTTGCAGAAATGATGAGCACTCGCTTGCAAAAAGAAACAGTTGGGTTACCCTGAACAAGGAATATGTGACAGGACAATCCAGATGAAAGCACTAACAGGATCTTCCGTGCTCTGGTCTACTCCTTCTACAAGTTGAATTTATTCATTATGTTAAGTTACTAATTCTCCACAGTGACAGATGATCACAACTTTTGGAATGATAAATACAATAGTAATGTTAAAAATTAAAGGCTACAAGGCCATAATTGATGTCTTCATCCTTTCTTTATATATAAAATAGATATAATTCCACTAAAGATAAATCTTTGTTTTGTCCATGGGGAAAGAGACCAGTCTGATGAATTTACTTGCCATCAGACAGATGATTGATCTGCTAGAAAGATAATGTAGCTACACAACCATATGTCCCAAATCCCTGTGTCAACTACATCTCTTGCATCAACATCTCTCCCTCAGCCCACATCTATGGCCTCATTGGTCTCTGCTGGTGATTTTAGGATTGGCAGTAGCTAGGTTGACCTTGGTAAAGGGTAGCTTATATTATGGGGCTCATCCACACTGTGTGTACCTGATGTCATGCATCATGACAGCTTTGTTTATAGGACTGTTATGCAAGTACAGTGGTGACTAAGGATGGGTGCTGGTTAACATCATCATGAATGAGTCATTCTCTTTCTCTCCCTCTGTGTGTGTGTGTGTGTGAGCACAAACATATATATACCTATATGTGTATATATCTATACCTATACCTATATGTGTATATATGCATATATATATAAAATGTGTATATATATGCATATATATATATATATATATATATATATAAAACTCTTAGATCAAGGTTAACTCAATCATCCACTATATGGTCAGTCTCATATATTTAAGAATGAATAAACACTATGATGACATATATATATAAAACCATATATATATATAAAATGGTTATATATCTCTTCTGTAGAAGATGCTTAAATGATTCCAGGATATGAGTCACAAGAATTCATACACTTTTGCTTCCCATAGGTCCACAAAGCCTTTCCACAAGTTTTTCTCTGTCAGTGGAATTCCAAGTTTGCTCCTTCAACGACCAGACCAAGCAGTCAATGCATCCACATCTGCCCATGAGTCTATGTACAACCTTACCAATAACTACCTCTTCCTCCACACAAACTTGAGGACCAGGTGGAGTGCTTGAAAATCTGTATATTATTTCTTCTAACAATTGTCTTTCAGTGTGGGACTGTCATTGGCAGCAGCCCATATTTGGCTTCTTCTAACTTATGGATGTGACCAAACCTTAAACCTGGCCTAAATCTTTTCCTTATCATAAAGAAACCTTCATGAGGCCGTAGATGTGAGCTGTGGGAGAGATATTTATGCAAGAGAGGTAATTGATGTGGTAATTTGGGACACATGGTTGTGTAATTTATTTGTGCTACCTAAATATACTGCGGGGCCAGTTCTCAAAAATATATATTTTGACTAAACATGTCACTGACATGAACATCACCTCCTTTCTGGCCTCCAAGATTATGCCTTTTTCTACCTATAACTTTTTTTGGAAAATATTAGAAAGAGTACTTAAAAAAAAAAATATATATATATATATATAGAAGAAACTGTCTGCCTAAATCTCTCCAAATTACTTCCCTAACTGAAATTAAGTTTAGTTTAAACTCCTTAAAAGGACCTGTGTTACCTCATTTGGCTCATGGCTCTCTGATTCATTTCCTACCTCTCATCCTCTCAAAAACTGCTGTCCAAACCTATTGGTTTATTTGCTTTTCTACATAGTTAATGCGATATTTGGGAGAGAAAATGGGTATTTATTTGTTTATCAGATTAATAGTTTGCATTAAAGTTCAGCACCAACTTAACTAGACCAGCCTTGTAAATTTTATAAGCTATTTTATAACTAATTACCCAAAAACTGTTTTGAAAGTACAGTGTAAGAGTTTTTTAGAAACACAGCTGGAAATGATAATTTATGATTTGCACACAAGCATAGTGTTACATAAATTTACTCATGTGATCATTTTAACATTTCTGAGCATAAACACTTTTTTCATGCTTGAAAACCTCAGAGCTTTAACACACATCTCTAATTAGGAAATTATTTTTATACTTGGAATACTTTTCATATCTCAGTGTAGTGTCTCATGATTTTATATCACCTAACGTCTTACATCATAATTAAAACAGATACTGTGTCATATAGAACCAATAAATATTGAGTAGTAAACTCTAAGTACTTAGAAAATGCTTAAGTTAAAACTCTTAGATCAAGGTTAACTCAATCATCCACTATGTGGTCAGTCTCATATATTTAAAGAATGAATAAACACTACGATTACAGTGCAATATAGCAAATACAAAAGATTTTTAGAACCTTAACATAAAAACTGTGGATTTTATACTTTAGTACTAAAATTATTTTAAAGGAACATTTGGAGACTTGAAGATTTAATAATGCCAATTCTTGAGAAAAATAAATAAGAGACTTTAAAAATTTGCTGAACTAGAAAAAGAAAGTAATTTGCTTTTTTTGTTATCTTGGAAAGCCTGAGACAGTTGGAAGAGTTAAGAAAGATTTCCAAAAGAATCCAAAAAATCATTTTTGAATTAACATATCTCTGTCACCAATATATTATTCTCAGTGTTTCATTGCATAATAATAGCAAATTATAGTAAAATCTAATGAAAATAATGTCTTACAAGATAAGAAATGCCTCCTTTTAGGAGAGGGTCCAGATGTTTTTTGAAAATGTCTTGTGCTTCTGTGAGAAGGGGTGGTGGGTAAAAGATGTTTTGTCAAATAAATTAGTGAAGAGTTCTTTTTGGCAATATCACAACAGATGTGGATTTGAGTTTTGATGGTTGCTGCCAGCTGCGCTTCTTCCTAATCCACCAGAAATCATGCACATGTATCATGTAGGAATAATATGACATGAAATGAACTGGCAAAAAAGGGCTCATCTAGGTATTGTTAGAAAGATCTCATCTTTCTTTCTCGTAGAAGATGCTGAGCCCTTGATTGAGTGTGGATTTCTTACATAAATATAATTAGAATGATGCTGAGACTATTGTGTAAATTCAAAGCTTAGAACTATTTTAATACGATCAAGATTCTATCTATTGATCTGTATTTTCCTATTCCATAACACGTGCATAAGGCTGAAAATTTTGTAACATATATTGGAGGCTGTTTTTGAGATGACCTAAAACTTTTACTATGTGGAATATTAAGTATTTATTTTGGGGGTTCTCAGTGCATCTCCAAGGAAGTGCTGATCCAGACATCTCATTTCATGGCAATTTTAGGTTTACAGAAAAATTGAGCAGAGAGCACAGAGTTCTGATATAAACCCTTTCCTACAGTTTCCCCTATTGTTAACATCTTATATTAGTGTGATGCATTTGTTTCAGTTGATTAACCAAAATTGACCCACTATTATGAAAGTCTGTTGATTACATTGGGTTCACTCTTGGTGTCATAGTGTTCTATGGGTTTTGACAAATGTACAGTGTCAGGTATCCACCATCACAGCATCTTACAGTATAGCATCATCGTCCTAAAAATCTCCCATACTTCAGCTATTAACCACCTATTGCCAAACCTGTTGGAAACCACTGACATGTTTACTATCTCTGTAGGTTTGCCTTTTTGAGAATGTCATGTAACTAGAATCATCCAGTTTGTAGCTTTTTAAAAGTCTGGCTACTTTCATTTAGCAATATGCATTTGAGGTTCCTCCACATCTTTTGGTGATAGCTCATTTCTATTTATTGCTAAATAGTATTACATTTTATGAATATATATAAAATAATGTGTATATTCACATATTGAAGGGGATCTTACAAAGCTGCTACAAACATTCACGTAAACATTTTTTTTTTGAAATAAGTCTTCAATTCATTTGGGTCAATACCTAGGAGTGAAATTGTTGGATCATATGCTATGTTTAGCTTGGTCATAAACTGCCTGTTTTTCAAAGTAGCTGTATCTTTTTGTATTTCCATTAGGAATCAATTAGAGTTCTTGTTGTTCCATATCCTCGTCCGCAATTAGTACGCACAGTGTTTTGGACTTAAGCCCTTGTAATGCGTGTGTAGTGGTATTTCAATGTTGTTTTAATTTGCATTTCCCTAATAATGTATCCTGTTGAGCAACTGTTCATATGCTTATTTGACATCTCTATATATTTTTAGTGAGGTGACTGTTCAGATTTTTCGTCTATTTTGTTAATTTTTTTGTTGTTGTGTTGTAAGAGGCCTTTTGTTTTTGTGTTACATTTTAAACACAAGTCCTTTATCAGATATATGTTTTGCAAATATTTTCTTTGGGACTGTAGTATAAACATACAATTAGGTAGAAGGAATAAATTCTAATGTTAGATAGCAGAGTAACAATAGTTAATAACAACATATTTTATATTTCAAAATAGCTAGAAGAGAGGACATGAAATGTTCCTAATACATAGAAATAATAAGTGCTTGAAGGATACCCTAAATATAATTACTTGACCGTTACACATTATATGTATGTAACAAAATATCACATGTATCCCATAAATAGGTGCAAATATAATGTATCAATTTAAAAATATAACGTGCAGTATAGAAGTCCAAACTTTCTATTTTTTCTTCCATTGATTAAGCTTTTGGTGGGGAATTTTAAAATTTATTGCCAAACCTAAGATCATCTAGACTTTTTCCTATGATATCTTCTAGAGTTTTTATAGTTTTCCATTTTACTTCTGGCCTATGTTTTGTGTTGCTTTAATTTTTGTGAAAGGTGCAATATTGGTGTGTAGATTAATTTTTTTTTCATATGGATAGTCAGTTTTTCCAGAATCATTTGTTCAAAAGAGTATCCTTTCTCTGTTAAATTGTCTTTGCTGTTTTATCAAAGATCAATTGAATATATTCATGTGGGTCCATTTCTTCACTCTATTGCGTTCCTTTGATCTATGTATCTATTTCTATTCCTTCACCAATACCACATTCTCTTAATTACTGTAGCTTTATAATAATTTATAAAGAAGAGTAGTGTCAGTCCTCGAACTATATCTTTCTTTTTCAGTGTTTTCTTTAGCTATTCTTGGTCTTTTGCCTTTCTGTATAAAATTTAGAATTATTTTTGTGGATAGCCACAAAATAATTTGTCAAGACATTAATTGCAATTGAATTTATAAATTAATTTGGGAAGTGCTGACAAATTAATGGTATTAAATCTTCTTATATATGAACATAAATATCCCTCCATTTATTTAGATTTTTAAAATTTCTTTCTTCAGAGGTTTTGTTTTTTTCCTTATGTAGATCTTGTACATATTTTGTTAGATTTGCAGCTAAGTATATCTCCTTTTTTGGTGTAAATGATAGTGGTATTATTCTTTGCATTTTAAATTCAAACTGTTCATTGCTGGCATGTAGGAAATCAGTTGACTTTCATATGTTAACCTTGTATTCTGCAACATTGCTATAATTGCTTAATGGTTCTGTTGTTGATGATGATTCCTTGGGATATTCTTATAGGTAATTGTGTCATCTACAAAGAGCTTTATTTCTTTCTTCTAATCAATTGAACATTTTCTTTCTCTTTCTTTTTATACTGCACTAGCTAAGACTTCCTGTATGATGTTGAATAGGAGTGGTGAGGGAAAAACATTGCCTTATTCTTAATCTTAAACTGTTTTTTCTTTGTTCTCACACCACAACAATCAACGCAGAAGACGTCTGTCACCAAATGTGTGGGGATTTTTCCCCACCATCAAGCAAGTATCAGTTCTGCAGTGGACACCTGCTGGGTGCCCTCTGATTTAATTCTGACACTATCTACCCGGAGTTGGCATCAGATCTCACAGGTTGAGGGCTCAGTCCCACAAGGCCATCTCCCACTTCTGATGACATTTGCAAGCCCCACGTTGTTTTACCTGTGCTCCTAATTGGCTATAAATTGGAAATCTCATGACTCCCTCTCTGGGTTTGATTGATTTGCTAGAGCAGCTCCCAGAACTCAGGGAAACACTTACTTATGTTTACTGGTTTATTACAAAGAATATTACACAAGCTACGGATGAAGAGATGCATAAGGCAAGGTATGGGAAGGGTCATGGAGCTTCTACGCCCTTCCTAGGCACGCCAGCCTCCAGGAACTTCCGTGTACTCAGCTACCTGAAAGTTATCTGTCCTCCATCCCTTTGGGCTTTTCATGGAGACTTCATTGGATAGATATGATTGAAGTATGGATAACTTTGTAGAAACGTGATTGGATAAAACGGGCATGATCTAATACTAATAGTCTGAGTGGGGGAAACTCAGCAAGAACTGTGTGTTCAGATTTTTCTTGGCCTCTCTGTGCAGCGTTTCTTTCTCCAGGGTATGGGGCAGGACCCCTCCTGAAATGGGGGTCTTACGACCTACAGTCAGACCAAGGTAAGCCAGAAAATGTCTTTATTGCCAGCTCCAAAACAGAAAGGCGGGGAATGATTAGAGGGCATTTTTAGTGTCTACTGCATGTCCAGTTGGGGAGAAAAAAGAGCAGTTGAAAGGAGGGCAGAAGAAGGTCAGAGAGAAGAGATTCTGTTTTCCGAGGCCTAAAGTACTGCAACATTTTAACAAAAGACTGTCTCTCACCTTTATGGCTCTAAAGCTGTTTCAAAGTTTTTTCAGGAGCCAAGGACAAAAAGCCAAATACTTTAACAGAAGATATGCTTATTGTTTTAGTAACTTAGGAAAAAAATAAACAAGTGCTATGACAGTTGTGAGCCAGAAACAGTGGACAAAAGTCTATATATATGTGTGTGTGTGTATATATATATATATATATATATATATATATATATATCTCATAATATCACACATGATTATATGGTTTTACTTCTTTAGACTCTTGAGATGATGGATTGCATTAACTGATTTTTGAATATTGAAGCAATCTTTTTGTCTTAGTCAGTTTGGGCTGCCTTGACAAAATACCATACATTGGATAGCATGAAAGAACAGAAATTGATTTATTATGTTCTGGTGTCTGGAAAGTTGTAGATCAAGGCACCAGCAAATTCAGTGTCTGGTGAGGGCTCACTTTCTGGTTCATCCTTTTTTTCGACAGTGTCTTGTACTGTCACCCAGGCTGGAATACAGTGATACAGTAGCAAGATCCTGGCTCTACCTCTGGGGCTTGCATGATCTTCCCACCTCAGCTTCCCAAGTAGCTGGGGGAGCTGCTACCATGCCGCGGCTAATATATATATATATATATATATATATATTTTTTAACTTTTTGTGGAGACGAAGTTTTGCCCAGGGTGGGGTATTCTGGCCTCAAGAGATCCGACTGCCTTGGCCTCCCAAAGAGTTGGGATTACAGGTATGAGCCACCTTGACCAAATTGGGTCATCTTTATTTAAACACATTCTGATATATTACTTATTTACTTCAGACAAAATTTGAAAAAAAAAGGGCTATTTTGATTTTCAGTTAAAATCCTGTTTACCCTACAAAGAACCACTAGGCAAAGTTTAATTGAATACAATTTCATTGACTACTATTAAATAAATCATGGAAAAACCCCCCCAAATATAAAAATTATAAAAAATATAAATAAACTAGCTGAATAGTTGCCAAATATAATATTTTTTTCTGTGGATAGTTGGTAAAATTTTTCTATGGCATTTAGTACACTTTTAAAATTTTCTTAAATGTTCTATACATTTATTTAATTCAACATCCAAAATTTCAGGGTTTTATTTTTTATTTTGTGTAGGATTTTTTTTCATTTTTTTTCTAAATACTATTTCTATGTATAAAGAAGAACTCACAGTGCTGAATTCTCACATTGCTTTTAATGAATTTTCAGTTGATTTTCTTGAGTGTTTCAGCTATATATCATTTGATCTAATGATATAATCTAAAAAAAATTTTGCTTCATCTAGAAATATAAAATACTATATCCATTTAGACTACATACTTATACAAAGCACACACACATACGTTACTTTTGACTAAATGCATTTGCTAGTGTGTCCAGAATAATGTTACAGGAACACATTGACAGTGGCCATCCTTGCCTTGTTTGACCTTTAATGAGAGGGTTTCCAGTGTTTCACTATTAAAGATCCTTTGCTTTTGCCTTACATTTCCCTCTTTCTTCCCCCCTTCTTCTCTTCCTCTTTTCTACTGTCTATATGAGCTGGCTTTCATTTAAAGAAAAGATCCATTTATTTTTAGTAGAATGGAATTCAAATAATTTGTCTTTTTTTTCAGATTTTATAGACATAAAACAATTATCCTTTTCTTTAATCAAGAAAAATATGAAATCAGAAATATAAGTATTTAATGATATAAAGTCAGCATTAATTTTACAATGGTGCTGTATTTCAATTAGATATAAATATACATTTCTCACAGTCTGCTATATAAATCATTTTTTTTAGCTTTTCAGAAAAACTAAGGGTCAGAGTACTTACAAACCACAAAGGAAAAAATTAAAGCCTGCCATCTAATGAGATTGAGCTTCACTAGACAATTAACTGTAACATTTTCTGTGATCAGGTGTAAGTGGCAGAGTGCTTGTTTTATATCTTTCTCTCTTTCAGTGTAAAAGTTAAGAATAATATTTCTTCCAAATGAAATTACTGTGCCTCCCTTCAGTCATGTGAAATATAAACTTTACCACTGAGGTTTATATTAACTTTGAAAGTTTTTATTGTTTTATTTGAGAAAGTTTTCAAGGGTCATATATTTTAGGGGGTGGGGTGGTAGGAAAAACATTATTTAATAAAATGCGTACCTGCTATTCACTTACGTGTAAATGAAATGACTTGTCTATTTTTTCCTTTCCTTTCTTTGTTCTAAACAAAAGCTAAAGTAACCCTCCAACATTGTGTATGTGTGTGTGTGTGTGTGTGTGTGTGTGTGTGTGTGTGTTTTGAGATGGTTGCAATATTGTGCTTTCTTCCTTCATCAAAAGCTGAAAAACACAGCAATAAAAATACTTTTGACAGCTTCTGAACCTAAAAATATGAGGGCTTAATTTATATTTTACACTGTAAATTTAAGAGTGACTCAGACCTCAGGACTTGGCCCAGTTAGAGTTTCTGTGTACCTATTCTCTCTAAATTAGCTCTTACAATGCCATGGCTTGGAATACCATTTATCAGCTGATGATCCTAAAGTACAGTATCTGTACTGCTCTTCCGCATTCCAGACTTACAGATTCAATTTCTTATTTGTTATCTCAACATGGATTTTTAATGACAATCTTATATTTATTTTGACCAAAGCAAAATGTTTAATCCACCGTTGCTCCAACCAGCAACAGTGTAATGTTCTTTTACCTGCCTTACTTCATCATCCAGCTAGTTGCTCAGCTTAAAATCTCTAAAATCATTCTCAATTCCAATCCTTGAGTAGTTGCTACTCAAAGTGTGATCCAGGACTACCATCACCTGGGACATTTTTAGAAATGCAAAATCACATTTTCCACTTCAAACCTACAGATTCAGAATCTGCACTTTAACAGGATCCCTGGATGATTCATATAAATATTACGTTTTGATAAATACTGCCACATATTGAATGCTACATTGAAATCTGTCAGCCATTATTATTACTTTTATATCTAAATCAAATGCAAAAGAGATTCCTTTTTATTGTCCCCTTTGTTACCAGTCTCATTCTTCATCACCTGTCAATTTACCTGCTTCCCACTTCCATTTTGTTTCTGCATGGTCCATTTTGGTCCTTCTTCCCACAGCAGCCAGAGTGTTCTTTAAGAATTATATATCAGACCCTGTTGGTTCCCAGTCTTATCATTGCATTTGAAGTTCTTTAGCCTGTTCTATAATGTTCCATATGATCCATTCTTATTTGCCTTTCTGCCTTTGTTATCTACCACTCCAATCTCACTTACTCTTCTTCACAACCGTAGCCTGTTCTGTAGATATGGCTATGTGGTATCCCATGCTTAAATACTCTATCTCTATTGGGGCCCAATAACATGCCAGAAGTGTTTCTCAAAAGACATATAATTCCTCAGGGTCAACGGCATGACACTTTTCAGTACCCTAGGGACCTGCTTTGTGATTCTCCCACTGGAATTTGCAATCAACTCTGAAGCGCATCTTTTCTCATCCCTACTAGCTAAAATAATAGAATCACTCAGATGATATGGCTCAAGCTATAAGGCTGCTGGCATGGCAGGCTGGACCTGCTGCAGAGTACTTTACTTCCTTGAGCTTTACTCAAATTTATCAGCCTCCATGTCTCCCAGTAAAGGAATCTGAAGCGTATACCTATGGGTAAAATGTGCTGTTCTCAGAAGCAAAATAAAACTACCAGGTGCTTTCTTTTCTGAGGTGTAAAGATGCAATGTTAAACAGTTTTTTTCTTTTATGTGGAGAGAATATTATCGCACACCTCTGGCCATCAGGCTCTAAACTCTTTGCTGAGTGGCATGTCCCTGAAACTTCATAGAGTTTGTCTTCCAATCTCTGAAACACATGTGGTACCAAGACCTTTGGCAAACTAGCCACTTTTAGCTTCTGTCCAGATACCATGATGCCATTGATAAAATACATACGTGTAATGTTCTGAGGGGCACCTAAATGATCTAGATCTTTATGAACCATATTACCAAGGGGAGGACAGTTAACAGAGCCTTGCAGAACATCTACAAATTAATATTATTGCCCATTTCACATGAATTTGAACTCTTGCTGATCCTCAACGTTGATGGGAATAGAAAAAAAAATACACATTCACCGATTAATGACTAACATACCATACACCTAAGGCTTTACTAATCTGTTCTGGCCATGCTTTCTGGCAATGAAAACACTTAAACATAGCTACTGTACAGGTATATATTTGGCTGAATCTCTAGTCATTCTCAGGGATTCATTTAGTTTGTACCAGGGCCAAGCTGAAATATAATAGAAACTACTTCTCCTACATACTTTACAACTTTAATGGTATCACTAATCTCTATCATATTTCTATGGGTGTTATATGATTTTTCATTTACTCCTTTGGCTACAAGGGAAGGAGGCAAGAAAACGGCAGCCTCAGAGGCTCTCATTCAACCTTCCCCATTACAACAGCTTTCACCTCATAGGCTAAGGATCCTATGGAGAATTATTTCAGTTCTGAAATACATCATTCCCAATTATATACTCAGGGAGAGTGGCAATCACCATAGATTGCAATCGTGGACCTTTGGACCTATTACTCCCTGGCTTCTATTACTTAAGTCCCATTAGCCCTATTTCTAATAAAGATGCCAACCATATTTCTATTAAAAAGACTGACATCTCTGCTATCATCAGAGGAGATCCATCCCTGAATATCCTATTGATGCTGTTTTTCTTCTCACCAGAACTTTTCAGATAGTTTTTAGTAATGGCATGTCCTCTGGATCTCCTACAAAATACAATCTGCCAGTATAGTATTCTAGTCTTACGTCATATATACATCTCAGCATGCCCACCTCCTTGAGCCTTCTTATTCCTTCTACCATCCATTAGAGTAACTCACATATTTTCTACTTTGCTTAGCATAAGCCATATCTTTTTCTAGGCTTTTTGGGCCACTCTAGCTGCAAGTTTGCCTAATTGTCTGGAGTCCATAAAGGGGGTTAAATCCCATGTTCCAGAAAAGTGACCCAAAGTCAATGAATTCTTGACTCAATCAACCACTCACAAAATCCATTCCCAGGAGTTTTCTCCTGGTTCCCAGTAATGCATCTAGTTACTTCCTAGAGCTGCTTTGTCGTATTTACAGCTAGGTTATTCTGGGATTTATCTCTTGTTTTCAGCCTGGCAGGCAAGAGAGTAGGTGCAGGAAGCTCCTGAGGGTAATACTTGTTTCCTTTTGTAGACAGGTTCCTGTAGAGTCTTCCTGCACAAGGAAAGCCTAGATATTACTTAGGAATGGGTAAGCCCCTCTTGCAAGTTTGGAGGATTCAGGAGGATCTGAAGGGCCCAAATCCTTGGGGACATTCAACCAGATTTTTCAATAGCACATTTCGGGATCTGTGTTTTTCCTCAACTAGAATCTCAACCTTAGCCTAGCATGGGTGTTTCAACATCACTGAAGCTCTCTGACTCAAACTACCAAATCCTACGGCTGTTCTTCAGTTGAGTGTTTTTGCTGCAAGGAGATGTGGGTCATTAGTAAGATACCAAAGAGGTCTTCTGGCTCTCATATTTACCTTTAATTGGAGTTAACCTTCCCAGTTTCTTCTTATTCCTTTGGAGACTGTCAGTGCAACTTGGTAATAACCAGGTAACTCTCCTGTCTTTCGAAGAATTTCCCCCTCGTTTCTTCTTCTTTTTATTTTATTTTATTTTTTTTGAGACGGGAGTTTCCCTCTTGTTGCCCAGGTTGGAGTGCAATGGTGCAATCTCGGCTCACTGCAACCCTCGCCTCCCGGGTTCAAGTCATTCTCCTGCCTCAGCCTCCTGAGTAGCTGGGATTACAGGCATGTGCCACCACGCCTGGCTAATTTTGTATTTTTAATAGAGTCGGGGTTTCTCCATGTTGGTCAGGCTGGTCTCAAATTCACGACCTCAGGTGATCCGCCCACCTCTGCCTCCCAAAGTGCTGGGATTCCTGGTGTGAGCCACCACGCCTGGTCTCATTTCTTTTAAATGCCTGAATCAATCTATTTTAAATGCCTGGATCACCAAAACAGCAAGGAGATTTGCAACTGTGAATTTTCCCAGGTCACTGCCATTTCTGTTTTCAGCCACTGAGCAACCAAATTATGTCAGAGATTGTGCATTTCATGCATTCTGTTCAAGATGACATGTCCCTTGCCAAGTGTAGGTTGGTGGCCAGTCACCAAACCCCATTTTAATACTGATTGCTCAATCACTCTGAATATCAGATATGTATGTTAAGTTCCTCTGAGAAGCAGACACCAAGACTGGATTAGATCTGCACAAAATTAATTAGGAGACATGTGGGTAAAACATAAAAGGAAGAAACAGGGAAGATAGGGAGAACATTAAGACCTCAGTGCATGTTTGACATGCAGAAAAGAGGAGAAGGATAATAGAATAAAAAGAGCCACAGAACACACTGCAATTCTGGAAAAGAAAAAAAAAAAGAAAGAAAGAAAAAAAAAGAAAAAGAAAAAGAAAAGGCTAAGCCAATGGGGATTCCTGAGCACATGTTGCCCATTGGAATATTTCCTGATTGGTCAAGAATGTGCTAGCACTAGTGCCGTATCCTATTCAGTCACTGGGAACAGAGTAAAGAAAGTATGGTCTCAGCACAATGAAATCGTGGATCCAAACACATGTTACCTCTGTTTCCTGTCAAAGATTCTCTTGAAGGATTTCTGAAGGGCACGCGTTGATGGCCACCAGACCTCCCAGCTAATCTACTTGAGCTCAAGTATTTCTCTCCAAATCTGCTTTCAGGAGAGAGCAAATTAGGGGAGCATTCCCTCTTTATTGTTTTCCCTCTTTCTCAGTGAATTTATACAATAGTGGTATAATCTGTGATTATTATAGCTGCAGAAATTTCAAGGAATAATTTAAATTGCTCCCAGCATTTTTTTGGTTGGAAAATTTAGACTAGTAGTTTCAATTCCTTAATGATTACAGGGCTTTTCAAATTTTTAAAAGTACTTTTTAGATGCAGTTTTGGTAAGTTAGTTTATCTTGGAGTGTGTTCATTTCAACTACGCTGTAAATATTTTTGACATGTAGATTTTTATAGTATCTGAATTATTGGTGATATTAATTCCAATTTTTTTAATGGTAATATATATTTTTTAGTTTGCTAACTTTTGTTCTTGGTTGATATTGACAAACATTTCTCTATTTTAATAGCCTTTTCAAAGAGCCAACTTTTAGCTTTGCAAATCCCCTTCACTGTGTTTTTGTTCCATTTTATCAATTTTTCTTCTGTATTTATCATGTTTCTAATTGTTTTAGATTTATTTTTCTTTTATTTCTTTTGAAAATTTTAAATTTATAATATGCTTATTGCTTTTAGTCTTTTCTAAAATAGACATTTAAATATAATAATTTTACTTGTAACTTCTTTAGTATTCATTTCTAACATTTTAAGTTATTCATTATGTTTTCTTCTTTGATTAATTTCTTTGTTTTACAAGTATGATTTTAGAATTCTAAATATTTCAGTGCTCTTATTAAGAATCTACCTCTTTGACTTCAAATGTATTTCACTGTGGTCATAGTAGAATATGTACATGTAACCATTTTTTAAAAGTTCTGTTATATCCTAGCATATCAACGTTTGAACATTTGACATGAGCTTGAGAAGAATATCTAATTTGTAATTACACATAGAAAGATTGATTTATAGATAAACCTCTGGAAATCAAGTTTGTTAATTGCATATTTCAAATTAACTACACATTTATAAATGTTTCTTCTATATAAGATTACTAAAATTTCAAGAAGTGTTTTAAGTTTCTCATTTTAGGGGAGATTTCTCAGTTTCTCCCTGTTATTTTATATGGTATATAAAATACAGAATTTTTGTAACTCTCTGATGAATTAAAACTTTTATCCTTATAAAATAACCTTCTATGCCTAATGTTTGTGTGTGTGTGTGTGTGTGTGTGTGTGTCTTAAGGTATTATTTTGCCTGATATAATTAAAGCCATATAAACTTTATTTTGATTCATAATTACCTAGTATTTATTTTTCATCCCTTACATATTTCAAAGTATTTTTGTTTTTGTCTTCTATTGCAAAGCAGATAGCTAAATTTTTGAAATCCAATATGCCACCTCTTCTTAAATGATGGCTTAATCTATTTACATTTGCCATGATTACAAGCAAATATATTGATAGTTTTAATTTCTTATGTTATGAATTTCTTTATCCTGTATTTATTTATGTTTGTTTATTTATGTATTCTGCATATTTTTCTCTTCTCTTGCCCTGAAATATATTTAGATTTTGTATTGTTCTGTTTTGTTTTCTTACTCAGTTTTCCCCCTTTACTAATGTTCAAACTTCCTTTAGAGGTTCTGTAGTATAGAATTGATCATTGAAACTCAATTTTTTAATATTTGAGAATTTTCTTTACTTTACTTTTGTATTCAAAAGATACTTTTGCTGGATACACAAATCTTGATGGACAATGATGTTCTCTCAGCATTCTACACCCAGAATATAGAACCCTATCTTCAGGCTTTAATTGCTGAGAAATCTCTCATCGGTCTAATTGCCCTTAGGTAGGGGACTTTACATGTACCTCTCTAGCTACTTTTAAAATATCTTCCATGAGACTGGCGTTTCTCAGTATTCTTATATGCCTTTAGATGTGTACCTTTTTGTTTACTCGATAATTTTAAACTGTGCTTTGTGTACCTGAGGATTTATATCTTCAATATCTTCAGAAAATGTTTCAGTTATGTCTTCAAAAAATACTTGTATCATGTCTTCACCATGCGTTTCGCTTTTCACTTTGGACTATTTCATTAGCCATGTATGATAGACTTTCCCATTCTATTCTTCATGTTTCCTAAATTCTCTCATATTTTGTTTTATCTGTCTACCTAGCAATAGTATGAAGCCATTTTCTTCCCCTTCAGAGGATTCTGTTACAATTGGGGGTCTCTTGTTTCTAACGGTGGCAAAGATATTGTGGATTGCCCTCAGGGTACTCCCCTGCACCGCCACTTTACAGGAGCTTCCCTCTCTCAGTTTCAGTTCAACTCTCAGCTCACGATCTCCTCCTCCCCACCTTTGTTTTCAGGAGATCCTTCCGAATATGTGGATTACCGTACTTCTTTTTGGTTAGTGTATTTTTAGACAAATTTAGAGAGGTATAAGCTACACACCATAATATTAAGCCACTTTAAGTGTTCAGTTCCATGTATTTGGACAAACATAGATAATTGTGTTAACAAAACAATACTCAAAATATTCCCTTCCTCCACATCAAATATTTTCTAGTTCTTCTTTAAAGGAAAAACCTCTTCCCCTCTGCCCCAGTCATTAGCTCATGGCAACTGATCTGCTTCTTGTTACTACAGATTTTGGATATCTCTCTTCTGTGAACCTGCATGTCATTCACTTGGAAGATCTAATTTTATCTGAGATTGCACCCTGTCCTGCTTTCTAAAGGGACTATTTTCATTCTCTCTTTTAAGTACTGCTGAAGACAATTACCTCTAAACGATCCATTAAACTTCTTTTTAGCCAAGAGCCACCAAATAGATGAGATCCAGAATTTATTTCCTGTCCCAGATGGGATGTAAATGTGATAAGGAGAGAATGTCTGCTCTTTCTACTTCTCTGCTTCTCTTCTTGATCTCTCTCTCTGCAAGTGTGTATGTGTGTGTTGGCGGGGGTGTGTAGTAAGATATTTTATCAGAATTTCTTTTACCTACCTGTAAGTTTTTTTACACTCTTTGAGTATAGGGTACAGGAAATGAGATCTGGAATCTACATGGATTCAAAGTGCAAGATTTTTAAAAATGTAAAATTCCTCTTTCACCAAATATTGCTTTCACCAAGATAAGAACACAAGACTTCACACTTTTTAGTCTTACTGCTCTTGTGTTTTCCTGGCTGATTTGTTTGTTTATCTTTTTCATTCTTCTAAATGTTTATCTCAGAGGAAAATTTAGAAGTCTAGCTTGACTCCAGCATACTACCCCCAAATTTTAATACAGTACTTCTAAAACCACACTTACTGAAGTAGAAGAAATATTGTTATTTCCAGGAAATAATGTACTTTTAAGTAATTGCAGTGGAGACTCTTTTAAATAATCCTTAGAGCAGAAGCTACTTAGTTATTTTATTTTGTCAAAATGTATAATTAAAACACTCCCACCTCAGTATCCCAAAATAAAAAGATACACAGATATATTTTAAATATTTTGTGTTCACATTATTCTCTAATCAGTCTACAATGTTGTCTTCATATTATCCTGTAAATTCCTTAAAACATTTACCCACTGCAACCCCAGGGCCTTGTAATGTGCATAACACATAGTATAAGTTTAATAAAGGCTTTTCTATTGAATTAATGGAATATTATAATTTCAAAGAGTTATACCTCTAAAATTTCACATATTTTAATATTACAGCTATACTCATGGAAAGAAATGCCATCTCTCTTTAATGAAGACTAGGATTTAGACTATATGTGATAGAAATATCAACTGTTTGCATTTGTATATCAGCTCTGACAGGGAACTTGCCTGTTTAACATCAGAAAAGCTGATTATGCCAGGAAATATGACATAGAATTCAAAAATTGAACAATACAGCACCCCAAACTAGGAAAATGACAAAAGATGCAATAGGAGAGATATTACACAGCCATGTGAATAATATTTCCCTGAGTGTTCTACTGAGGATGAATGGGTGTTTAAAAACAGAGCATCACTGTTATCACACGTACATGATATTGGTAGACGTTTTAAATCTATTTAATATGTACTAATCCATGGGCATTGTGCTATTCACCACTGGTATGCTTGTAGCATATATAAAGCCTGCAAATTGATAAGGATTTAAAGGATGATCTCTAAGAAGAGACTCCTGGTTAGCAACCAATTTGATTTTTCTCTTTTCTATAGGCCTACAGTCAGACTCCATGTGAGTGAAAAGGGTAGCTGCCACCTTTACTTCCGGCCCTTGGAAGCCTCCATGTGCCTATCACCAGCTTTTTCTACTTCCCCATGATTGGGATGGATTCTACACTCAGGGAAACCTTCCATGGAATGTGTTAAAGATATTGCACTCCCCGAATCATATCATACCTCCCTGTGCTCTACTCCCAACTTGTGAGTCAAAAAAGCAATATTCTGGTTTTGAGCATTGTACACCTGGGTCTGTTTGTTACCCAGTCTACTTTATCTATTGTTGTTACCAGAAAGGAGTCCTGATCCAGACCCCAAGGGAAGATTCTTGGATCTTGTGCAAGAAAGAGTTCAACGTGGGTACACAGAGTAAAGGGAAAGCAAGTTAATTCAGAAAGTGAAGAAATGAAGAAGGGCTAATTCTTAGGCAGAGCAGCCCTGAGGGCTGCAGGCTGGCTATTTTTATGGTTATTGCTTGATTATATACTAAACAAGGGATGGATTATTCATGAGTTTTCTGGGAAAGGGGTGGGCAATTTCCAGAACTAAGGGTTCCTCCTGTTTTTAGACCATATAGGGTAACTTCCTGATGTTGTATGGCATTTGTAAACTGTCATAGCACTGGTGGGAGTGTCTTTTAGCTTGCTAATGCATTACAATTAGCATACAATGAGCAGCGATGTTTACCAGAGGTCACTTTCATCACAATCTTGGTTTTAGTGGGTTTGGCTGGCTACTCTACTGCATCCTTTTATCAGCAAGGTCTTTGTGACCTGTGCCTTCTGCCAAGCTCCTATCTCATCCTGTGACTTAGAATGCCTAACCTCCTGGGAATGAAGCCCAGTAGATCTCAGCTTATTTTGCCCAGGCCCTATTCAAGATGGAGTTGCTCTGGTTCAAATGCCTCTGACATATTTCCCCATCTCTTTTACAAGGAAACCCTTAATCCTCAGGGTTGTAGACGGACAAAGATTCATTAGGGGTGAAGATAATTCTGCCTAACTATTAGGGTCTCTTGTATTCAGGGTAGAGAGGAGCTCAGTCAGAAAGCATCCAGTATGGTAAGGGCCATTCATAACTCTGACAAAAGGTGATATCTGGGAGATTAATAAGTGTTCAATTTAAGAAAACACTCAGTAAGCTTATCCTGCACTTCAACACAAAAAGTACAACAATGGATTCCACAACCATAGGCAAAATAAGCAAAATTATCCCAAATAAACTAAATAAGAAGGCTCTTCGTGAACTGGGAAATTGTTGGAACCAATCTAATATGGAGACACTAGCTGAGTATAACACATGCCCAGAATTAGAATGCCAATCTTGATTTTTACATTACCCATCCCACTTATTTCTTCTAAACAGCAGCCAGATATCACGGGTTGGTGCCCAGGAATAAGCAGTCAGTCTAAATTACAGAAGAAAAGCCTCAAAAACTGATAAGACTAGAATTTAATAACTGGTGTACCATAGTTTTGGAAACGTAACTTTTTTCTCTCTCCAGTCTTCCATTTTTACTAAAGACAAATCATGGTAAGATGAATTTGTCACACTTAACCTGATTTTTTGTATAAAGTGCAGTAAGAATAATATTTTTAACATAGGCTTTTCAAATTGGCTTGATAGAACTCTGTTCCCTAAGGATTATCAGAAAAGACCTTTTTTTTTTTTTTTTAAGCTGAGCCCAGCCATGAGTTTGTACTCTCAAATACCTATGGGTTGAGTAAGGTCCTCTCCTCTTGAGGTCCCAAGATAGCTTGGGGCTCCTGGGTCTGTCATAAAGTGACATTCTTTACTTAGCACTTCATAAACAGGTCAGGAACCCTGTACAGGGACTGTATAGATAAGGTATGAGGCCATTTTTCCCAGTGGGCTTTTATTGGCTCTATAAGTCAGGCTTCATTACTTAAAGGAAAGCACACCATTCCAGTCAAATCTTTGGTAAAATAAACAGTTTCTCCAACTGTGTCCCATTACAAAAGAAAACAGATTCTTACTGCAGTAAGTTAAGAATACTCACAAAGAGTGTCCAAATCCTGGAGAAATCAGGTAGAGAGAAATATGCTCCAAATTTTGTTCACAGGAGTATACTTTAAGCAATTGTTAAAAGCTGTAAGTAGATCAAAAGAACACTTTTCTTAGCAATGAAAAACAAATCAAAGCATCAGCAACATTTTAAGCAAAAAGTCAAAAAAGATTGTTTCAATCTTCTATTAGTTCAGTCCATGCAGTTATCTCTGGTTCTCCTTGATATGCATGAACATTTCAGCTCTTCATGAGTACTGGAAATTTCTTCCTCTATTCTGATGTCACAATCTCCAACGTTATCAGAAATCTGCATTCAAGAGCACCTGCCAAAGTCCTATAGCTGATTATAAGCCACTTTATGAAGAGGATCAAAACAAGAGAAAAATTGTCTCTGGATAACAAAAAGTTTTTGTTAGGACAGTCATTGTTAAAGACACACTTGACTAGGAATTTGGTTACTTCTATGGGATACAGCAATTTTACATAACAATTATAATTATTAATAACATTCTATACATTAAGTTATATCAGAATTACAGAAGTTTCCTAATTTTGGAACACATACCAATAACGTTTTTTACAAACACACCCCAAAGAAAGCCAAACACCATTTTATTCATTTAGCCAAAATTATAATGCAAAAACTTTAAGGCAAAAATCTTTACTAATTAATAGAGGGAAGACTTAACTTTCCAGACAATTTGTCTCTTTTTTTCCTTATTTTTACCTAGAGATTATTCAAAAGGCAAACAAAAATATTTCCTTTTTAAAAATATTACATGAATATCTTGTTCAAGAGATATTTGAAATTTGCCTTTGCATTAGTCCACTCTTCATGTCAACCCCAATTTTTTTTTTTTTTGAGATGAAGTCTCATTTCGTCACCCAGACTGGAGTGCACTGGTGTGATCTTGGCTCACTGAAACCTCCACCTCCCAGGTTCAAGTGATTCTCCTGCCTCAGCCTCCCAAGTAACTGGGACTACAGGTGCAAGCCACCACACCCAGCTAATTTTTAGGATTTTTAGTAGAGATGGGGTTTCACCATATTAGCCAGGATGGTCTCAATTCCTTGACCTCATGATCCATCTGCCTCACCCTCTCAAAGTGCTGGGATTACCGGCATGAGTACCGAGCCAACCCCAATTCTTAATAAAACCTTGTAGACAAATCTTTTCAGCTTTAATGTCTGACCATAAGAGTCTCATAAACCTTTTTCGAATAACCCTTTACAATTTTATGTTAAAGAGCAGATCAATGCCCTAAAATAACTATGTTTTGCTTTTATTCCATTGTTTGATTTACAGAAAAACTGAATACTATCTCTTTAACTTTAGTCAATATGTTCACACACATATTTCTTCTACAAGATTAATTTTTCACAAACCTTCCATAACTTGTTCAAACCTTCAGCTTTCATGTA
Source organism: Homo sapiens (assembly GCF_000001405.40). Lineage (NCBI taxonomy): Eukaryota > Metazoa > Chordata > Mammalia > Primates > Hominidae > Homo > Homo sapiens. The sequence goes on along the minus strand of NC_000004.12, from coordinate 160,490,702 downwards.
ACTTAAAACAATCCTTTAACCCTTTAAAATCCACATTCCCATGCCTTCATATAATCTTTTACTGAAAATACATTTCATTTTCTTACACACCTTGCATGTAAAACTGTTTTTATTCCCCAAAGATTATTAAAGTCATGTGAACTGAAAGGCATTATATTCTTTTTCCTTTTCGGACAAAATGTTTGACTTAAGCCCTTTTTATTTTTGAACCAATGAGTCAAAGCTCTTTCATACATAAATATCACACATATAACACACATAAGCACACAGACAGAAAAAGATCCAGTGCTTGCAAGATTTTTCACTTTCTAATTTTTATGTTTCTCTTTAAAACATGCAGTTTCTATGGCCTAATAAGCAGGCACAGCTGGAAGGCAAAACAGATTCCCCAAAATTCAGGGTCCCATTTTTATACCAGTTCCTGGATCCCAAACAGAAGGAATCAGCCTGTCTCCTCTGGAAGTCTTATCTCTCAGTGCAGGCTGGGGACATTTCCATAGCTTCTAGGTGGCTAAGAGCATGCTTCTCTGATCCAAACATGCAAAGAGATGCATATTGCCCCATAACTGCCATTAGCTATCCCCAAAGGTATATATTTCCTACTTAGTTATTATGCGGCAAAGTGCAATCATAATGCAAAGTAATTTCTGATGACCCCCAAATTTGAAAGCTTCAGATAATGCAATGCAAAAATGAACAGAGACTTAGATTTTGAGAGGGATCTATCTACTTTCAATTCCTGGGGTTTTATGAGGAAAGCAGAGGCTTTTCCCAAAACTGGGTCTGTGGTGCCTCACCTGTTTTTCACAAGGAGTCCAAGGTTGTTAGAGCTTGAATATTTGCTTTTAATTAAGTTGATTTTTAACCATAGCACTCTTTTGAAAAACACTTTTAAATCTCTTATTACCCAACTCTAGCCAGAAAAAATGTGTAATACTTCTGACTTTTAAACTTTACCAAAAGTAACCTCCCAAGCAATACAAATAAACCTTAGCTACTAACCTACAGCACTGGGCATTTCCCATTGCCTTTCCCAGAAAGAGCCTAGAGCAGCCAATTTTGAGCTTGAAAAGGCTTTTAACTGCTCAAGACAATGGTTAGGGCTAAGGACGACATGAATTTCAAAATTCCTGTCCTCCGGGTTGCAAAGACTAAGAGAAAATACTGCCAGCTGGTACAAGGTCAAGCTCTGAAGACATAAAACAAGATTAGAAGGAAACTTTGTCTAGTTTTTTAGGGACCCGCAGCAAACTTTGCAACTGACCAGCTTGCTGGGCCATCTTGAAGAGCAGACTTACTGGGTCCTAAGCCCATATTCTACCCTAAGGTATTCCTCTTTATGGCAGAATGATACAGAGAGACAAATGTATAGCACAAAGCACACCAGATTTGTTACAGCTTAAGATAAGCTTCACAAATCCTTTTCCCATTAATCAAAACTTTACAGAGGAGATAAACAGTGATTTTTACCATTCATTCAACCAGTTTGCACAGACAGTTTTACTGGCATATGAGGTTTCTGGGTTCTTTTTCCCTGAGCAGCCTTAGTGACCCTGTGCAACACACCACATTCCTGGGGGCCAAGCCACATCACCAAGATGCCACCCAAGGGGTTGCCTGTGGTAACCAAATAAACATTTTTCATTCTGGCCAGAGCAAAATACATATGACAAAACATAGACATTAGCCACTTCATTTAGCACCCAATATCAAACTGGCAAGGGTCAAATGTGCCCCTGGTTCGGCCCTGTCATCTTTATTTCAACCTCCAACCAGGAGCTTCAGTATGTGGTCTCTGGGCAAGATCTTTGCCCTAAGTAACAGAAAAGATAAAAAAGAGATAGGAGAGAAAGAGAAACAAACATTGTATGCAGCAGGGTGAGGAAGGCAAGGAGCTAAGAGAGGCCACAGAAAGACCCACCCATTGCAGTGACACTGAAAATTTCAGGTGGCTGCTTGTCAGTCATGAAAAGATCTTTACCAGCAGTCCTGTCAGTTCTCAAGTTTCCCCCATTTGGGGAAGAAAAAGCTCCTCATTTTCCATGGTCCTGTACATGCCTAATCCTATCACCCACAGCCATCAGCAAAGAGTGCAAGGCAGATTAATCCAAACAGAATAAATGGTTAACATCCCATAATTCCAAATCTGTTCTTAGTCAAGAAAAAATCTGGAAAGGGAAGAAGACACTCCATAGAATGCATATTACCTGTCCAAGAGATAGATTTGCAGGGCCAATCCAAAATATGTCAAAGTAATATATTTCGGTGTAAAATACTTTGATTTCCTATTGTAAAATACTTTGATAGGACCAACTGTCTGTTATGTGATGCCATAGCAGGATCAGGTTGGAGTTGGGTAACTTATTGCTACAAAGAGGTGTCCCTCCCCATACAATGCCTGAGGTCAACCAGGTGTCTCTCCTGTTAGAATGCCTATTGTCAGCCAGGTGTCTCTCCCCATATAATGCCTGAGGTTAACCAGGTGTCTCTCCCGTTTTATCAGTCTGAAGATTTCTATTTTAATGGTCAGTTGTGCCTAAACTCTGGAAGAGAGAAGATATAATGAATGAGACACGTCCTTCCACCCTTCTCACGGTCTGAACTAGGCCTCTTACTGAGAGGGGACTCTAACCTCCTAAATCTTAAAAAGAATTCTAAGCCTCCTAAGTTGGGACTTGAACACAAGTTTGGTCAAGTGTCCTGCCATTGATTGAGAGGGGCCTTTAACCTTCTCTGTCTTAGAAGAGACTCTAACTCCCCTAAGTTGGGCCTTTAACCCAATCCCATTCTTTACCTCAGTACCCCACCAGTTACCCAACATGGGACAATTGGTGCTGCAGTCTATTTCCTTTGGGTCAGGGGTCTCCTCAGTATCATCCCTTTGTAGTTGCCCAGGAAGATGTTACAAGAAAAGGGTCCCTGTCCAGACCCCAAGAGAGGGTTCTTGGATCTCGTGCAAGAAAGAATTCAGGGTGAGTCTTTAAAGTGAAAGCAAGTTTATTAAGAAAGTAAAGAAAGAATGTCTACTCCATAGGCAGAGCTGCCGCTAGGGCTGCTGGTTGGCTAGTTTTATGGTTATTTCTCCATTATATGCTAAACAAGGGGTGGATTGTTCATGAGTTTTCCAGGAAAGAGGTAAGCAATTTCCAGAACTGAAGGTTCTTTCCCATTTTAGACCACATAGAGTAACTTCCTGATGTTGCCGTGGCATTTGTAAACTGTCATGGCACTGGTGAGAGTGTCTCTTAACATGCTGATGCATTATAATTAGCATGTAATGAGCAGTGAAGATGACTAGAGGTCACTTTCATCCCCATCTTGGTTTTGGTGGTTTTCACTGGCTTCTCTACTGCATTGTTTTATCAGCAAGGTTTTTGTCACCTATGCTTTGCGCCAACCTCCTGTCTCATCCTGTGACTTAGAATGCTTAACTTCTTGGGAATGTAGCCAAGTAGGTCTCAGCCTTATTTTACCCAGGCCCTATTTAAGACAGAGTTGCTCTGGTTCAAACGCCTCTGACATTATTACTTCTGACTCTAATAGTATCAACCTAACTGCTATAAACCAAGAATTAAATTCTAAGCCCCTCAACTAACTGAATGGACCCCCTACCTTGGCCAAAGGGATCCCCGTGAAAACCTGAAAAACTGGTTCAGACCGTGAGAAGGGTAGAAGGACATGTCTCATTCATTATATCTTCTCTCTTCCAGAGTTCAGGCACAACTGACCAGTATTAACATTAAAATAGAAATCTTCAGACTGATAAAACGGGAGAGACACCTGGTTAACCTCAGGCATTATATGGGGAAAGACACCTGGCTGACAATAGGCATTCTAACAGGAGAGACACCTGGTTGACCTCAGGCATTGTATGGGGAGGGACACCTCTTTGTAGCAATAAGTTACCCAACTCCAACCTGATCCTGCTGTGGCATCACATAACAGACAGTTGGTCCTATCAAAGTACATTACAATAGGAAATCAAAGTATTTTACACCAAAATATATTACTTTGACATATTTTGGATCGGCCCTGCAAATCTACCTCTTGGACAGGTAATATGCATTCTATGGAGTGTCTTCTTCCCTTTCCAGACTTTTTCTTGATCCAGAAGAGATTTAACGATGACACTGACATCTTTTAAAGTCCAGTAAAAGACATTTACCATCTATTTTCTCTGAAGCCTCCTACCTAGTGGCTTCATCTACCTAACAAGAACCTTGGCTTCCATAAGCCCTCTTAATTCAGGCATTTCTTTCTGCTGACTTCAACCTTTTAGACAAAGCTCAACGTTTTCAAACAATTGCCAGTCAGAAATACTTTGTATTCATCTATCACCTGTAAGGCCCCCAGTTCAAGATATTCTGCCATTCCAGGCTGAACCACTGTATACTATGCCTGTATTGATTTATGTCTTTGCCTATAACTTCTGTCTCCCTAAAATGTATGAAACCAAGTTGTAACCCAACCACCTTTCGTACATGGGCTATGGGCCTCTTGAGGCTGTGTCATGAGCCATGGTCATTCATATTCAGCTCAGAATAAACCTCTTCAAATATTTGATAAGGTCTAGAATTTTTCCTCAACACTGCAGATGTGCTATCTTCTTATAAAAAAATCTGAATTATACCAATTCTGTAGAAGTGTATTAATCTTTCCTGCATACAGAAAAGATTCTGGTGTCTTTTTCTATATTATCAACAAACAACATATTAATATCTATATGTTGCACACAGCCATTATTTCAATACAGCTAAAGATAATATTTCAAAAATTATAGAGAAAGAACAACAGAAATGAAGAAAGTTTTTCTATCCTTTTGTTTTATATTCTTAGAATAAACTAGAAAACTCTGTTATTACTCCTTACACAGGTAGAATATGTTGTGTATATTTTTTTAAAGCAAAAACATAGCACTTGTGTTTTTTCAAACATTTTCTTTGGATAAATATGTTTTTATCAATAATAAAACTTATCACAGAGTTTTAATGAATTGATTATTCGGTTAAATTCTCAGGCCAACCACCTTTGCTCCAGCTGAGGAATAAAAAGCAGTTTCTTTGTAGTACTTTACAAATCCTTATATAATAAAAATGTGCCAAAAACTCAGAAGGTAGAAAATGGAGACTGTAACAATAGGCATTGTCACTAAACAGTTCTGACACAGCAGTGTAAGTGTGTTCCCTGTGGGGCAACAACAAGACATTCAGCAGGAAATGGTATCATTATAAAGGTACTATGGATATGGTCATTAAAGTCAGCAGCAGACTCCTGTTCTGTGGAAATGTGCTAGCCAAGATGTTCTTAGCAGTTTTCATCATATTTTTTAAAGAGGAACATGCAAAATGACATGTGTAAACCTTGACAACTAGCCTACAGGGGCTTCATTAAAAGCATTTACCATGAAAAATCTTGAAAACAGTCTTTTGCTGGAAAAGGTAGCTGAAAGCTGTCAAATTCTGGTCTTCTGTGCTGCATAATGAGCTACTAGTGCCATTGTATTATCCTCAGTAGAGCTCGGTTTTAAAGGATTCTTTAGGAATAGTCTCCTACATTTGTCAAATGTACATATAACTTGGAATTTTGGTCCTGGATGTTTATAATATCTCTCACCTAAGCTCTGTAAGCTTTTCTTCCTTGGCTCATCCCCTCGTAAGAAGAAACAGGCAGCACAAAGAAGACAGTGATGCTCTTCCCAGAATACACTAAGCTTTCAGTATGGTTCTCATTTGAGCTAGTGATTTGCTCCATATGTCCTCATTCCTATTGCTATACAGTGTGAGTTTAAATACTTCATTTTTCTTTGGAGTTACCAGGTTCTTTATATTTTTATTGTACTTATTCTTATATATTCAAAACTAACTCCCCCCATTGTTTCAGAAACCACTTTTGTTTTTCCCTTTAAAATGTAAATAAAAAGTTTTGTCTTTTAATGCTTAGGCTATGGCAATTGGTATATACTTAAAATGGAATAAGTAGTTTGAAGCTATTTCTATATCCTCAGAGTCATATATATATATATATATATATATATATATATATATATACACACACACACACACACACACACACATAAGAACTCATATAATATACATAAGATACACATCTTACTTGAGGTATGATATGCATAAGATATATACATAATACCTATAACACACATAAGATACACACATATCTTACTTGAGGTATGAGAAGTTCAACAAGAAATGTATTCTGTTTTTGTTGTAAAATCCAAATTGTGGATTTTTAATGCTAATAAGTTATTTTCTTAGGCAGAAATTTTTTTTTATTCTGTAAATATTATTTTTATTTCCTCAATTGTCTCTTGGTAATCTTCTTAAAATGGACCTTATTTCCTTTCCTGGGCTTACACTGGTGACATCTCTTCAGAGCTTAATCATCACTTGCAGTACCTTGACTCTATTATTATTTGGCCCCAAAGGAACTGACAATACATTGGTCCTGCACCTATTATCCAGTCCTCATACCTATCCTGTTCTCAGTTTTCTCCACATCCAGATTAGAATCCATGGTTTATCATTATTGTCATTCCCTTGAAACATCATTACTAGCCTACATAATTTATTTTACCCATAAAATTGCCTAGAGAATTTCCAATCTGGGAATCCTCCATCCACCCTGTGCTTGAAGTAAAATACCCAACCTGCTTGGACTGGACTCATGTTAAATCATGATTCCTCACCTCAGGTGAGCCCTTAACGTGGCCTGGCAATCTTCTTACAATTTCCCAGCCCATTAACTCTCCCACTCTCTTCAAGAAGGTATTTTATATTTGTTTTTCTTTCCTTAGAATGTGACACCACCACCGCTTCTATCCCAATCTTAGCTTTCTTCCACTTCACTGAGAAAATAGAAATAGTAACATAAAAGAAATTTTAGACATACTCAGTATCCCATTTCCCACACACTCATCCCTCTTCTTGTATGTTCTGTGCTTATGTTTGCTAATACAGGTGGATTGTTCCACCTGTTCACTAGATATCATTCACTTCTCTATATTTGGGGACATAATTTCAGGAATCATTCCTTCTCCCATTGTTTTATTCCTTTCTCTTTTCCCATCAAAAATTTATTTTTTGTTTATCATATAACTGCCCCACCTGCTGTACCACTTTACAGTAAAACTGTTCACAATCTTATTGTCTTCTGATTTTAGTCTTTCTTGAACTCATTAATTTTCACTTTTCTTACCCAACATTAAAATCTTCACTTTTATCCATTTTGCTAAATTCAATAGGTGGTCTTCTGTCCATATTTTACTTACTCTGTCAGCTGTATGCAATTTGACAGGCTTTAAATGCCATCTATTTGTGGGTGATTGACAAATACTTCTAGTTGGAATATATATCCGTAGTTCTGGATTCATAAAGTCTTTACTTGACATCTTCACTCGAATGCATTCAATATTACAAGTACGAAGGTTTACTCTTGATTTCCACCTAAAACTTAATTGTCCCACAGTTTGCTCCAGCTGAGGAAATGGAAAGCTCATCTTTCCACTTAGGCAAAATAGATCTTAAATTTATTTTAGTATCCACTTTTTCTTTGTATGCTTTATGCTCAAACCATCATCTAATATTTACACTCAAAAACATACAAAATATGTCCTCTTGGCACTCACTGCCTTCACCAATAACAATCTGGTTCAGGCCGCCATGTTTTTCTTTTCTCCCTGCATTATCATTATAACCTCCCAAGAGGTCTCCCTGTGTTCGGAATTGGTGGGTTCTTGGTCTCACTGACTTAAAGAATGAAGCCGCGGACCCTCGCAGTGAGTGTTACAGTAAAGGCGGCGTGTCCGGAGTTTGTTCTTTCTGATGTTTGGATGTGTTCAGAGTTTTTTCCTTCTTGTGGGGTTCCTGGTCTCGCTGGCTCAGGAGTGAAGCTGCGGACATTCGCGGTGAGTGTTACAGCTCTTAAGGCGGCGTGTCTGGAGTTGTTCATTCCTCCCAGTGGGTTCGTGGTCTCGCTGGCTTCAGGAGTGAAGCTGCAGACTTTCGCGGTGAGTGTTACAGCTCATAAAGGCAGTGTGGACCCAAAGAGTGAACAGCAGCAAGATTTATTGCAAAGAGCAAAAGAACAAAGCTTCCACAGTGTGGAAAGGGACCTCAGCAGGTTGCCACTGTTGGCTCCGGCAGCCTGCTTTTATTCTCTAATCTGGGCCCACCCACATCCTGCTGATTGGTCCATTTTACAGAGAGCCCAGTGGTCTGTTTTGACAGGGTGCGGATTGATGCATTTACAATCCCTGAGCTAGACACAAAGGTTCTCCACGTCCCCACCAGATTAGCTAGATACAGAGTGTCAAGTGCTGCATTCACAAACCCTGAGCTAGACACAGGGTGCTGATCGGTGTGTTTACAAACCTTGAGCTAGATACAGAGCGCCCATTGGTGTATTTACAATCCCATAGCTAGACATAAAGGTTCTACAAGTCCCCACCAGAGCCAGGAGCCCAGCTGGCTTCACCCAGTGGATCCTGCACCGGGGCACAGGTGGAGCTGCCTGCCAGTCCCACGCCATGCGCCCGCATTCCTCAGCCCTTGGGTAGTCGATGGAACTGGGCGCCGTGGAGCAGGGGGCGGCCCTCGTCGGGGAGGTTTGGGCTGTGGAGGAGCCCCCGGAGCCGGGGGGAGGGGTGGGAGGCTCAGGCATGGCGGGCTGCAGGTCCCGAGCCCTGCCCCGTGGGGAAGCAGCTAAGGCCAGGCGAGAAATCGAGCTCAGCGCCAGTGGGCTGGCACTGCTGGGGGACCGAGCACACCCTCCGCAGCCGCTGGCCCAGGTGCTAAGCCCCTCATTGCCTGGAGCCAGCTGGGGCTCCAAGTGCGGGGCCCACCGAGCCCACACCCACCCGAAACTCGCGCTGGCCCACAAGCACCTCGCACAGCCCCCATTCCTGCCCGCGCCGCTCCCTCCACACTTCCCCGCAAGCTGGGGGAGCCGGCTCTGGCCTTGGCCAGCCCTGAAAGGGGCTCCCACAGGGCAGCGGCGGGCTGAAGGGCTCCTCAAGCGCGGTCAGAGTGGGCACCAAGGCCGAGGAGGCGCTGAGAGCGAGCCAGGGCTGTGAGGGCTGCCAGCACGCTGTCACCTCTCATCCCTACTTTCACTGCCGTCTTCCTACATTCCTTTTCAACACAAAAGTCAGAAAGAATATTGTAAGCGAAACCATTACACTCTGTAGCACAAAACATTCCAATAGATTTTTATGTCACTTAAAGTGAAATCCAAACTCTTTGATTTGGCTATACAGTCCTACAAGCTCTGGCCCCTGATTCCACTCTGACTTAGACATGACTTCCCTCAAAGTTGCTCTCTGTGCTGCAGTCACGCAGGCCTCCTCGCTATTCTTCAACCAAGTTGAGTCCATTTAACTTTTGCCTTTGCAGTTGCCTTTCTCTCATGAATGTTTGTGGCCACTACATAATTTGTAACATTTTTCCTTCAGTTATATGCTGACATTATGCTTTCAGTCCTTCTTTTACTATTCTATATAGAAGGAAAAGCCCATTCTTTGTTCTTCTTAGTTTCTGTTCTCGGCATTCCACTTTTCCATTTAATGTATTACCAGATGTCAGAGTACATGTCTTATTTGTTTATCATTTATCTTCCCCAACTAGAACATAAGTTCCTCTAAAAGTAACATCTTCATTGTGCTCCCAGCTGCTACCACATTGTCTAACACATATTAGATGTTCAGTAAGTATTTCTGGAATGAATTAATGAATGTGTTTTCTTGCAAACAAATTTCAACAATTATACCTTCAACTATTATTTAAGACATGTATCGTAACTTACATTTCATCCTCCATCAGTGAGTAGGAAAAGTGTTAAGTCCTTGATTACGTAGATTTCATATAAACAAGATACCAGGTTGGGAATCAGCATTTGGCTTCACTTCCATTTTTGATTATTTTATTCATATAAATTTAAGGCTTACTCTCCCTGTATTACATGGCCTTTTTGCTGTTTATAAGATACAAACTGTGCTGTACATTCATAAATTTCTGAAACATACTGTTTTTTTTCTTAGATTATCTATTTTATTTTTGGATATAAGATATGACACATACTAATGGTAGTAATTATAAATTGAAATATATATTTAATTCTGTCAATTCTCTTTTTTTTTTTTTTTCTTTTTCTTGAGACAGAGTCTCACTCTGTCACCCAGGCTGGAGTGCAATGGCATGATCTCGGCTCACCGCAACCTCCTCCTCTCGAGTTCAAGTGACTGTCCTACCTCAGCCTGCCAAGTAGCTAAGATTACAGGCACCCGGCACCATGCCCAGCTAATTTTTGTATCTTTAGTAGAGACGGGGTTTTGCCATATTCGTCAGGCTGGTCTCAAAATCCTGACCTCAGGTTATCCACCCACCTCTGCCTCCCAGAGTGCTGGGATTACAGGCGTGAGCCACCGTGCCTGGCCAATTCTCATTTTTATCTTAAGGTTTTTTATTTATAATTACTTGCTGAATTTCTTTTGGCACATTATGATTGATGATCTCAGTGCCTTCATTGTTTATTAACTGTGATATAAAATTATCTGTTTTATTACATGTAAGAAACTTCACTTCAAATCTGCTTTTGTGTGTTTCTGATTTTACCAATCTTATTTATTTTTAATTTTGCCTGGTTATGTTTGTCCAGTTATAATCATTACCGTTCTTGTCAGTTATTTAAAAATATTTTTATATGAGAATCATATATTTAATTACACATTGTTTTAAATGATTCTGTGGTTATTTACACTTATTATTGTGACTGATACACAGCTGGGTTTTTTTGTTGTTTTGTTTGTTTGTTTGTTTGGAGACATGGTGTCACTCTGTTGAAAGGAGTTAGCCAGCTTGCTTTAGGCAGACAGTAGGACATGGGTCCCTGGAAAACCTGCAACCCATCCCATAAGTGCTTACACTAGATATTTTGTGCAGATAAGGGAACTTGCACATGGGTCTTGCCTAAACATGACCGCAGTGGAAAATTCCGTTCCTTAACACATGTGCAGTAAGGGAAATAAATCAATATGGAGTGGCTCAGTCTAAGGGCCTGCATGCACACTGGAAGATGGGGTGGAGCCACCAGGAATTTGCACCTTAAATCCTGGTATACAACTGTGAAGGGGGTGACTGGCAACCTGCTTTCAGGACCCCTCCCTTTGCTGAGAACTTTCCTTTCGCTTAATTATATTCCACTCACCCTCTGGTGTCCGCATTCCTAATTCTTCCTGGTCTTGAGACAAGAACCTGGACCTAGCTGAGATAAGAAGCAGAAATTCTGCATCACTGTCACCCAGGCTGGAGTGCAGTGGTGTGATATTTCCTCACTACAACCTAGACTTCCAGAGCTCTGACGATCCTGCCATCTCAGCCTCCCAAGTAGCTGGGACTACAGGTGTGCAACACCAAGCCTGGCTAATTTTTGTATTTTTGTTAGAGATGAGGTTTTGCCATGTTGCTCAGGCTGGAAGAGCTGTTTTTGTTTACTTGAAATTTTTCTCACACCTTGATGTGTGAGTTATATTTGTCCACTTTTATCTTGTATTATTTTCAAATTAAGAATTATATTTTAAATTCCACTTGTTTAAAATTTTCAAATGTAAGTATGTCACCCTATTTTTATAATTATCAAAAACAAAGAAAGGATGTCTTCTGATTTTTAATAAGTAATATAAGGTATATTTATTATTTTTTAATCTTTCTTCCAGTTTTCATGATTGTTCATTTATTTCCTGAGTTTTAAATATGATGTAACTTTTATTACTTTTAAAATCTGTTAAAATTGTGTAACTTGATATTATATCTTAATAAATATTAATGGGGCATGGATATGAGAACAAACATAAATATACTGATCATAATTTGATTTTGTGTATGGTATACATGAATGAGAAATATATTCTTTAACCAACCTTTATTAACTTACAACATAAATCTTTTACATGTCAACATAGGTTAAAATTTATCTTACAAGTAAGATACAACTGTTGAGTTATTCATAATTAGAATTTGGTTTCTCTGAGTGGCTGTAGAAATCAATCGAAGTCAATGATAAATTTTCATTTATTGTGACAGACATAAAAAATAAAGATTTGTTGGAGAGCCAGACTGATATGAAATAAAACCTATTGAAAGCAGACTTGTGGAGCTACACTACAAAAGAACTGTATGACCTACCTTGCTACGTCAATTTTCCATGTAGAGGGGTCTTGACATAAATTCATGTCAGTAAAGTTAAAGGCCAAGAGAAGTTACCCATGGTCATTAATACATCATTCCTTTTTAGTGGATGTGCAAATCAAGCGCAAATGAGTATTTGTGGCACTTTCTTCCTTATCCAAAACATTTGATAAGTAGTTATAAATTTCCTAATGTGGAATAGTTAATTAAATTAAACTATATGTATGATTTATAAATATAACCTGAACTGGGTTTCCTTTCTGTGGTTAACTTGGGCACTGGGGAGGAAATACATATAATGAGCATTTATAGATTATTGCTTACCTCTCCATAAACACATATATTCTCTTTTTTGTTGTTGTTTTTTCACTGCTAATGTTATTCTGTACATTTTCTGTTTCTCATTTACTGATCTTTCTTTTTCTCTCACTTGGGAATTTGTTTTGGGGAAGATTACTCAGGAAAGTATATATTTACATTATCCATGTGTTTGCAGTCCTCTTGCTTATTTGTTTATTTATTCATTATTTTATTATTTGATTTTTGAGATAAGGTCTTGCTCTGTCACTCAGGCTGGCATGCAGTGGAACCAAATCAGCTCACTGCAGCCTCGACCTCCTGGGATCAAGAAATCCCCCTGCCTCAGTTTCCCAAGTAGTTGGGACTACAGGCATGCATCACTCTGACCAGCTAATTTTTCTTATGTTTTGTAGAGATGGGGTCTCCCTATGTTGCCCCAGCTGGTCTTCTCCTGCCTCAGCCTGCCAAAGTGTTGAGATTGCTGGCATAAGCCACCACACCCAGCCCCTGTTGCTTTTTAATATTATCTCACCACATAGACGTTATTGCTTTCCTGCATGAACTCTCCAATAATTATCCTCTTTCTTAAGCTTGCATCCAGAGAGTTAGACCCTCTTAACAAATGTAGAGCCAAGGGGTGAAAAACAAAAATTAATTCAAGATGGATTAAAGACTTAAACGTTAGACCTAAAACCATAAAAACCCTAGAAGAAAACCTAGGAATTACCATTCAGGACACAGGCATGGGCAAGGACTTCATGTCTAAATCACCAAAAGCAATGGCAACAAAAGCCAAAATTGACAAATGGGATCTAATTAAACTAAAGAGCTTCTGCACAGCAAAAGAAACTACCATCAGAGTGAACAGGCAACCTACAAAATGGGAGAAAATTTTTGCAACCTACTCATCTGACAAAGGGCTAATATCCAGAATCTATAATGAGCTCAAACAAATTTACAAGAAAAAAACAAACAACCCCATCAACAAGTGGGCAAAGGACATGAACAGACACTTCTCAAAAGAAGACATTTATGCAGCCAAAAAGCACATGAAAAAATGTTCACCATCACTGGCCATCAGAGAAACGCAAATCAAAACCACAATGAGATACCATCTCACACCATTTAGAATGGCAATCATTAAAAAGTCAGGAAACAACAGGTGTTGGAGAGGATGTGGAGAAATAGGAACACTTTTACACTATAGGAACACTTTTACACTGTTGACGGGACTGTAAACTAGTTCAACCCTTGTGGAAGTCAGTGTGGCGATTCCTCAGGGATCTAGAACTAGAAATACCATTTGACCCAGCCATCCCATTACTGGGTATATACCCAAAGGAATATAAATCATGCTGCTATAAAGACACATGCACACGTATGTTTATTGTGGCACTATTCACAATAGCAAAGACTTGGAACCAACCCAAATGTCCAACAATGATAGACTGGATTAAGAAAATGTGGCACATATACACCATGGAATACTATGCAGCCATAAAAAATGATGAGTTCATGTCCTTTGTAGGGACATGGATGAAATTGGAAATCATCATTCTCAGTAAACTATCGCAAGGACAAAAAACCAAACACCGCATGTTCTCACTCATAGGTGGGAATTGAACAATGAGAACACATGGACACAGGAAGGGGAACATCACACTCTGGGGACTGTTGTGGGGTGGGGGGAGTGGGGAGGGATAGCATTAGGAGTTATACCTAATGCTAAATGACGAGTTAATGGGTGTAGCACACCAGCATGGCACATGTATACATATGTAACTAACCTGCACATTGTGCACATGCACCCTAAAACTTAAAGTATAATAATAATAAAATAAAATTTTAAAAAATCAATGGAAATTGCAATTGAAAAATGCAAACAAACAAACAAGAAAAAGAATTATCCTCATTCTCAAAGGGAGATCCTGAAATATTTGCTGATGGTTTCATATGTTTTAATGTTAATCCCTTGTACCTTGGCATAATGCCTAAATCATATATGTCATATTATTTGCTTATTTTTAAATACATTAATGTCCCATTTCTTTTTAAGCTGATGGCATTTTGCTTCTTATGTAGTCCCTTAAAGATAAAATTGATGGATAAGAAAGAGATCACATATGTTTAGAATGCCAATTGATTTCATGTGTGTAAGAGATAAGTTACATAATTAGAATATATGCAATTACGTTTCCAAAGTCTAATATTAAAACAAAATTTAAAAACATAGACACACAAAAATTCTAGTTGGCGGTTCTCTTTGCTCAGTGTCTGATAGTGATTTCTAAAAGTAACTTTAAATTACTTTAAAGGGCCATATATTTACATAATGGCTTTTCTCTCTTTCCTGAGCTTTCTGCTGCCCCACCTAGTTGCTTTAACGATAATCTCCTGTAGGATCTAATCTTACTGATATTTAAATAGCTTGCTCATCAAAGCATACTGTTGAATCTATTGGCATACATTAAGGGATAACAGAAGACATATAGCTCTCAGATAAAATCAACTTAAAAATTCTACTCTCCCCCTACCTCTTTGTTTTTGTTTTTGTTTTTACTTTCCATAATATTATACATCTTCTCCCATTAATTCTGTCCATACCCAGGACTTTGCCTGCCTTCCACAGAATTATGAATGTCATTTAATATAATTCATTGAAGACATGGATATTAGGATTCTGTAGAAATAAACAGAACCAATAGTATGTATGTGTAAAGAAATGTATTTTAAGAAACTGAAAGTTGAACCAGATGATTGTGGGTGTTGCCAAGTCCAAAATTCACAGGGCAAGCTAGTAAGCTGGAAACTTAGGCAAGAGATATTCTAGACTTGATGAAAAATTTGTTGGGAAAGCTGGATACAAATTCAGGTAGTATTTCAATTATGGCATTGAGGTAGAATTTCTTCTTTTTGTTTCAGATGTTAATCAAACGTACAAAATGCCATCACAGCCATAACTAGACTAGTGTTTGATAAAAACTGGGCACTATATTGACACTTAAAATTGACACAATTGACAAGTTGACACATAAAATTTGGCCATCACAATATGTCCAGCAAAATTTCTGAGTAGAACCTAGCACTTCAAATGACCATAACTACCAAAAATATACAAAATATATATACTGTTAAAATACATTTATATACAATAGTAATCATTTTAATTATAGTAAAAAAACAACATAATAATCCATCAATAAGGAAGTAAAAAGTAAGTTATAATGCACCCATACAGACCATACAAGATGGTCTGTTTGGATACTCCTCCTGCAGAGAAAAAAATTTAAAACCAGGATGCAACCATTTTTTAATCAATTTACAATTATTAGTTATCAAGGGAGTGACAAAGATGGAATATCATAACTTTTGGAAAAATAAAGGTGTTTTATGGATGCTAAATTTATTAGATATTTAGGCAAAGAAAGGAAGTTGACTTCCAATTCACATGTTTCACAATTTTAGATTGTAATGAACAATTACAATTCACATTGTAGATTTAAATATAAAAGTAAAATAATAACAATTATAGAAGATTACTCAAATTAATCTTCATGATCTTGAAGTCCAGAAAGTACTTACCTTAAAGGAAAACATTAATAAGTTAGACAATGCTAATATTAAGGATGACTGTTTATCAGAAGATGCACGTACGGTAAGAACTGGCAAACCACAGACTATGACAACACAATTGCAAACATTGGAATAAAGGGTTTTATATAGTAATACCATCTACAGAACAATATGAAAAAGTTAACTTAATAAATACTTTCACAAGAATTTTACAAGGCACTGTTCATATGGCCAAAGCCAAGAAAGTATATTCAAACTCATTAGCCACTAGGGAGATGCAAATAAAAATTACAAATGATACACTTCTAGAGAATTATCAGAATTGCTTTAATGAAAAACCTTGAGAATACCAGTTAGCGAGGAAGTGAAATAACTGACTTTTACACATGGCTGGTGTTAATGTGAACAGTGAAAAAAAAAGGTTGAGTTGTATGAAAAGTTTTAAAATGTTAAGATTTAAAATGTTAATATATATGGCAACTTAAACATATATTCTTTTTTGTGTGATTTCATACTTCAATAATGTACTTATTCAAACATGAGAATCAAAACAAAATAGAAATCAGTTCTATGTGGGATGATAGAGAAAAACTGTACTTTATCAAAAAAATAAAATGTATAAGAATAGGTATTATATGGTCTCATTTGTGTATGTAAAATTGATAGCCCTTTCCTGAAAGGAAATATAAGGAAATTGTTAGTATTTCGATAGTAGAAACATGGATGGTATTTTAATTCTATAAATTTCTATTTGAACACTCTACTATGTATGCAAATTACTTTATATCAAAACAAATTTTAAAAAGAGGGCTCTATATTGGTAATATTAATTTAAATGTTTCACAATATAAAATAATTGTCAACAAAAAGAAATTGTAAAAATGCACAATTAAAAATGAGATCACTTTAGTTGTTGTAAGAGAAGTGCAATAGCAATACTTCCAAATTCTTTATTAGTGTTTTATGCATTAATTAATTTTTAATATTTTTCTTATTTAGGTAAACATTTCATAAAAGTCATACTAGCTACTTCTGTTATATATAAAGCATATTTTATTAGGAAAAATCCTTGCGTTTTAACAAATGCTTAACATAAGCAATGTATTATGTTATTGAGGTCTAAATCTCGCATTTATCACATCTGTGTACGATAACATTATGTGAGGTACTTAAACTATCAATTTGCCACCTATAATATCCCTTGTGTGAATTTTGTAGGTATTAATTGATTGCTATTTTTAAAGCATCCTTAGACACTTCATATTGAACATTTCAGAAATTCAATTTTTATTTATGTTATTTTTTTTTAATTTCCTAGATACAGGTAGATAGAATTTAAGTAACATTAGGATAAGGACAATTTAAAAGTAAATGTGTAAAATGTGAATGTTGCCACACAGTGAACAATGGGAACAATGCACTTGGAAGATTTTTGTTAATTTTTCTGAATTTTTTTTCTTTACATTAATTTTCTTCCCTATATTGTAGGGGTCGGAAGTCTTAGGATTATGCTCTTCTGACTTTCTTCTATCTAATGTTCTAGATGTAGCTTACAATTTATCAGTGATATATACATATAAAAGAATTAGAAGACAGTGATACATGATGTGGATTTTGACAGATGTGGAGGTGTTTTGTAGCTGTCTGTCCTGCCAGCCATCTTCTTCTTGCCTGCACGTGGAGGTAGCTGCAATTTCCTGGGAAACTGACCATGGCTAGTCTCCAGCCCATAGCTGTGGCAGTTAATATGAAAGCCAAGGTGTTTTGTTTTGTTTTTTTTTTTTTCCCCACTCCTCTAGCATTTTCAATGCTGTTGTGGGAAAATATGTATAATGGTTTCTGTTTTACGAACTAGGCCATGACTGGCAAAGTATTTCTGAAATGATTTTTATACTCCTTGAATGTATTTTCCTGGTCCAGGACATAGTTGCACCTGACCATATTTGAAGTAATTCTAGTTCATTAAATCATCTGACATTATACTATTATTTATTTTCTGTGTCTAACATCCCATATCCAAAATATCAGGCTTTTGGGGGAAAGTAGAGATAACATGAACTTCTATTCAATCCCAGATAAAATGATTTTTTAATAATCATGTATTAACTTTTTATCTTTAAAATTTATTTTTTTCTTAAAGTCTTGCATGTGACTATTGAAACAACTGTCTTACTTTGCCTAGAATTTCTCTGTTATGACCTCTTATTTCTACTTAAATTCATATGTTGCTTTTTATATTGTAGTCCTGTCATTGGCAAACAACAGATTTGGTTTTTATTTAAAAATAATGAAGACTTTATTGGGAAATTCTAATCCATCTACATTTGTTGTAATTATTTTGTAATACATTTAACAATGGCAATATATTTAACTTGTAATATAATTATAATTAAATTGCAATGTAATTAATTATAGTATATTTAACCATCTATTTTGACAGGTTTCTACCTTATTCATCTAGTGATTCCATATAATCTGATGATTTATAACTAAAATTAAAGTTTTGTGTTCTCAACTCATCTATTAGGCAGCAATGAAAAGAAAAATAATTACAGAGATTTTAAATTTGAAATCATATCTCCTTCGCAGGAATGGCAAGGATGTCACACTGGTGGACTAAGCCTATTGTGTAGCCTTCTAGAAGCTGTTGATTGTGAAATTTAAAAGGATGTTCCTTTACCTTTATTTGCTCTGCCTTTTGAGTATAGGCTCTGTTCATTTTTCTTTAGTGTCATAGCTTGCTTGGGCATTGAGGAGGATTCTCCGTCTCAGACATGTAAAGCATTTTGCAATGCACTTTTTTTTTTTTTTTTGAGATGAAGTCCCACTCTGTGGCCCAGGCTGGAGTGCAGTGGCATGATCTCGGCTCACTGCAACCTCTGCCTCCCAGGTTCAAGCAATTCTCCTGCCTCAGCCTTCCCAGCAGCTGGGACTACAGGCACACGCCACTACACCCAACTAATTTTTGTATTTTTAGTAGAGACGGGGTTTCACCATATTTGCCAGGCTGGTCTCGAGCTCCTGACCTTGTGATCTACCTGCCTCGGACTCCCAAACTGCTGGGATTACAGGCATGAGCCACCATGCCTGGCTGCAATGCACTTTTTTAGTATGAGTTTGAGGGCCAAGGAATAAGATCATGATATAAAAACTAAAATTTACTAACCATCAGGCCTTAGGAGTGCCAAACTAACCATTTGGCACTACTTCACCTCAATTATTTGTATGTGGGTACGTGGAGAGTAAGGCCATTTTATGTAAGCATAACTGTAGACAAGTATTTTTATTAATACATGGCCTTTAAGCTTTAGAGTTCTTGTTTTAACAGTGGGTTCCTGTGCTTGTCCTAACCTCTACTTAATGGTCACTGCCTTGAGAAAATTTGAAACAGCATGCTTAGTTGGAGAGGCACCTTCAGCACTCACTAAATTAATATATTTTTTGTTGAGCACTTACCCTCTTCCAGATACGTTTACAGGTAATAGAAATAGAGCACCAAAGAAAAGAGAAAACATACTGTTCTTATGAAGCTTATAATACAGTAGAGGAAAATTTGCAATAAAATTTAAGCAAGTAACATACATTTTGTCAGATAGCAAAACATGTTATAAAGAAAAATAAAGGAGTTGAAATAAGGAATGTTTGTGCAAGGGGCCTGTAATCTAAAATGCACATTTAAAGATGGAGCCCTGAGTTACTCCAGTGTGTTTAGGGAGAAGGGCAAGAACTAGCAATCAAATGATAACGCGACGTTACCTGAGAAATAATAGGAGAAAAATTAGGATAGTATGGTATCTGGAATTCAAGAGAGTAAAGTGTCCCAAGCAGCTGTAGGAGAAAAAAGAACTGATTCTGCCACGTTTATGAGATAAGAGGAGATCACGGAGAGTATCAAGTATGAGCAATTCTTTCCAGATGTTTACCATAAGGGCAACACAGACAGGGGCTTACCTGGTGGGAGAAGTGGGGTCAACAGAGTTTATGAAAATGGAAGAAATGATAGAATTTCTCTTTTTCTGATGAGAATGACAAAGCAGAACTTGATAATGCATAAGATAATAAAATTAATGCCGCTCTGTCATTGGGTAGATGAGAAAGGATAAGATCAATTACACAATTTGAAAATTAGACCACAGGTAGAATGAGTATAGGCACAAAATCATAGTATCAGAAGAAAGATGAGTATATCCATGCATCAGGGAGACAGGGTTGAGTGTGTGTAAGATGTATTTTGTGATTTCTTCAATATTAGTTAAATAGGGCACCAATGGCTGGGCATGGTGGCTCATATCTGTCATCTCAGCATTTTGGGAGGCTGAGGTGGATGGGTCACTTGAGCCCAGGAGTTCAAGACTGGCCTGTGCAACATGGCAAAACCTTGTCTCTTACAAACAATACAAAAATTAACCTGTGTAGGGGCACATGCCTGTAGTCCTAGCTGCTGGGGAGGCTGAGGTGGGAGGATCGCTCGAGCCTGGGAGGCAGAGATTGCAGTGAGCCATGATTGCACCACTGCACTCCAGCCCCAGTGACAGAGCCAGACTCTGTCTCAAAAAAAAAAAAAAATCAAACAACATAAAAAAATTGGGGCACCAATTCCTGAACTGAAAGCAAGGAACAGGGAGAATATTCAGGGAGATTGAAGAAAGATAAGGAGATACAGAACATTCTAAGAGAGTAGGGGAGAGTAGGAAAGTGAAGGGATTAGGGAAATGTAGAATCATTGCCAGGCAGATTTTAGAGTCCATTTTCTATGTAGTGTCATGGATTTCAAGTGAGACCAGTTAGCTCAGCAAATAACTGATAACAGCTACCAGGTTAATAAAAGGGACTGATGTGTAAATATCCAGAGTAAGATGCTTACGCAGGGATACAGATGCAGTCTGGTTTACAGAGGACTGCATCAAGCCAACTGGGCAGAAAACAGTCTGAACTGCAGAGTGTATCAGACAACAGTCAGTTTATGGGGCAACTTCAAGAAGTGTTCAGTTCTTATCCCAGTCTGTGGCATCATCACCATTTGTGCATATTTGAATAAAAACCTGATGATGCCGTGGTAGCCATATATCAACTTGGTTCAGTAGTTCTGTAAATCCAATTTGCCTAATCATATATATGTACTTATTTTCTTATACCCTAAATTCACATTGATTACTTGTGTATCTTTTGTTTATGCATCTTTCTGTCATTCATACTTACGACAATCATGATACCCTCACATAAATATACAAGGTTTTTTTTAGGTATATTAAGTCCCACACTTGTTTATGCTTTATTCTATATTTAAACTGATTCTGTTTTTACCCCTAGTTCTTTCATTCTATATCATCTTTTCTATATCATAGTTGTCTTTTAATTATGAAATATTTGAGGTAACAGTTACAGAGGACAAGATAGTGAATAGATATACTCTCACACATTATAAAAATAGAATATTAATACAGTTTAAACAACTCCTGCTCATATGCCCTTTCCTCTATGCAAGGTTATCACCATCATACTCTTAATGATTATAATATTTATGTTTTGATATGTTAAGAAAATGTTAACTTGTACATATTATAGTTAAACAACATATGTTAAAACAAGTTCAGTATACATACACTATGCAATCATTTATCTCCATTGTTTAGGATGATTTCAGACTTTATG
Organism: Homo sapiens; assembly: GCF_000001405.40. Lineage (NCBI taxonomy): Eukaryota > Metazoa > Chordata > Mammalia > Primates > Hominidae > Homo > Homo sapiens. Next base: position 160,468,980 of record NC_000004.12, on the reverse strand, counting down.
TGATTTAAAATTTTTTTGCATTCTTTTCTTATCTCTCTCCTAACACACACACACACACACACACACACACACACACGCACTCACACACCCCAGTGTGCTGTGAAGGTTAATTCCAGCAGTCCCGGACTTACTCTGAACTTATTGCCAAAGTTCTTGTATGTCACTAACACTGGTAAAGTCATGGAACATACTGATGTATAGTATTTCTTTGGAATCATGGATACAAGGAATTTCAGCTTGTCAGCATTATTGATTGAACAGCAAGTAATATGGTTTGGCTCTGTGTCCCCACTCAGATCTCATCTCAAATTGTTATCTCCACGCGTTAAGAGAGGGAGGTAATTGGATCATGAGGGCAGTTTCTCCTATGCTGTTCTCGTGATAGTGAGTGAGTTCTCATGAGATCTGATGGTTTTATAAGCGTCTGGCATTTCCCCTGCTTGCTCTTCTCTCTCCTGTCACCATGTGGAGAAGATTCTTGCTTCCCCTTTGCCTTCTGCTTAAATTGTAAGTTTTCTGAGACCTCCCTCAGCGAGGTGGAACTGTGAGTCAATTAAACCTCTCCTTTATAAATTACGCAGTCTCTGGCAGTTCTTTACAGCAGTGTGAAAACAGACTGAAATAGTAAGATTGATAATGCCATCCAGAAGACTTTGCCATTAAGCTGGTCTATATCAAAGGTATGCCTGCGTGCCCAGTATGGTGCAACAAACCCTGACCGAGGCTCCATGTTGTTGACATTTTGTTCACGCTTCAGTGGTTTCTAATCTAAGATTTTATATATATATATATATATATATATATATATATCCTCCTTATTGAGGGCAGAAAATAGGATATGAGCTGGAGCCTGGCATCTTCAGATCCCTTGCTGTGAGACAGCTTTGTGCTGTGATATAAACCTTTAATTTAATTATTGTTTGAACATTGTATCCTTTCCTGTAGTAGACTATAGATTTCTAGGCATGGTCATTTGGGACCTCATAAGTTTTCTTTAGCAATTGAATCCTGTCAACCTACCCCTGTGCACCTAATAGTATTATATTTGTAAAACCAATTCACGTGGACAGATAGAGCACTAATTGCTTCATATTTTCTGCCTCTATATTTCCATTGCAGAAAAATACTACTACTTATTTTTTATTACCTTATTGATAAATATTTAGGTTGTATTTTATACAAAAACAATGCCTCAATTAGCATTCTAGTATATGCCTCTTCCTGTATACATATAGGAATGGAGCTATTAGGTCATAGGACATAACTCCAATTTCATAAATTTTGCTAGACTGCCAAACTCATATCAATTTATAAATCCAGAAGCAGTATATAAATGTTCTCATTCTTCACATCTTAGAAAACATTTTGCACTTTTGACTGTTACATGCTGGGCAACTTGTGAAATGGTCATTGAATTAATACTGTGATTTTCATGAATTACTAGTAAGCATCCTTTTATTTATTTATTGGTCATAAGTATTTCCTCTTCTGTGAATTACTTTTTCATACTTCTTACTTATTTTTAAAATTTTGGTTATTTATTTTTCTTATTGATTTGTACAATATATTTATGTAGTCTTTATATCGACTCTGTTTTTCACATATACAGCAAATCTCTCTAAATCTGGGGTTTCATGTTTTTACTTTTTATTTTATATTTTGATAAATTTTTAACATAGTCTGTGTTGTAAATTTTGCATTTTTTTCTGATTATGTTGTGCCTTGTTTAAGAAATACCTGGATAAACTGATATCTGAGGGCTAGTTTCCTATATGCCCTTCCAAATTCTAAAATTTTAGGGTTTCACATGTATATTTTTAATCCATCTGTAATTAACTTTAGTTATAGTGTGAAGCAGAAGTTAAATTTTTCCATATTCATAATAAATTTTATCAGATTCTTTTCATGGCACTTATCCTGAAAGATATAAATCATCCTAATATAGTTTATGTTAAAATATATGTGCATTTCTGACATTACACCCCATTTGGTAATGATTTTTGGTTATATTTATAGATCTAACTTGAGTTTTCAAATTTTACATCTATATCATAATTGAGATTGCCCTATACTTTTTATGTTGTATTCACATTTTCATAGAATTTTGGTTTCATAATTTAGCCATTTATTTAAAAAATTGATGAATAATTTTTCTTATTTATTCTCTGGAAGAATGTGAGTGAGTTTAAGACTTTTTATTCTCTGAATGTTGGTAAGACTAGTTAGTACAATTATCTAAGGCAGGTGCTTTTGTTGTAGAAAAAATTTAAATTATTAATTTATTTTATGGTTCTAGAAATATCTTAGATTTTCTATTTAGTCCTTAGTCTTTCTGAGGAGAATATTCATTTATCTTGGTTTTTGAATATGTAACACAGAATTTTTCACAGAATTTCGTTGGCTTCAAGTCCTTCACTTAACACTAGTACACCTGATCTTTCTGAAGTATCCTGTGGACTTTGGCTGAGCACGGTGGCTCACACCTGTAATCCCAGCACTTTGGGAGGCCGAGGTGTGCAGATCACGAGTTTGGGAGATCAAGACCATCCTGGCCAACATGATGAAATCCCGTCTCTACTAAAAATACAAAAATTAGCCAGGCATGGTGGCATGCACCTGTAATCCCAGCTACTCGGGAGGCTGAGACCGGAGAATCGCTTTAACCCGGGAGGTGGAGGTTGCAGTGAGCCAAGATCACGCCACTGCACTCCAGCCTGGGCAACAGAGCAAGATTCTATAAAAAAAAAAATATACAAGAAAGACAGAAGGACAATATTCATAAAAAAAATTGCACCTGTAGTAACATGAGTCCTTACTGATTAAGAACCAAATGGAAAACCCCTCTAGCAATGACAAAATCACTTAGAATATATAGAGTCACCATATACAAAAATTTATGTTTGCATGAAAGATGTAACAATTTTAACTTGCATATGATTAGTAAAATCATCTGACATAGATCAAGAAAAGTAATACATAATTGTGATAAAAAATATAAATAGATAAGAGTTATATTAATGGAAAATACACTCTTGTATTCTAATTATTTAAGAGAATCCTGGCCTTTTATCTGTAGAATATAAATTGTGGTATTTGTTTGCCCCATATTTCAAATAATCTGATGAATATATATAGAAGGTTGACTAGATTCAGCTTCATTTTGGGGGGGTCAAAATATGTGGTTCAATGTACTTCCTATTGTTACATCAAACAAAATATCTGATTGACTTAGTTTCAATAGTGTTAAGATTGCTCAAGTTTTTAGCCTGATCTATTTATCATAATTCTCCCATTAATCTTTACCTAATTATTTCATCATCATTGATGATAATTGCCTTCATTCATTATTACATAAAATGCAGCAAGATGGTGATTTAAAAATTTTATTGTTTCCTCTATATTTATTAACTGAAATTGCTCTGCATTAGTCTCTATATTTTTCAATATGTCATTTAGTTGCTTTTGTTATGTGAATTCTAAATACTTCTGCTTCTCATTTAGGAGTGTTTCTAGTGAAGACAATAAAATCCAATTGACTGAAGTGAAAATGAAATGTATCACCTCCTGAAAACAACATAAAAAGAGTACCTCAGGGTCAGCTTTATTCAGTGCTTACGCGATATTCTCAAGGTTTATTCCTGGACTGAATTTTTGTGTAAATTCGATTTTTTGAGACTTCACTTCTGTGCTACTAACATAGAGAAGTTCATATTTCTATTTCATTCTGCCTAATGTAAAACTTTGTTTACCAGTAGTTCTAAAGGAAGTTCTAAAATTACTTTTTTCTTTGGCTCTGATTGACATTTTTGGGGTAACGTATTTATCCTCTAATATTGGTGTACTCATTACCTATGAGTGTAGACTTGGTTAGTCATTATTAAAGTTTAGTGTGCTTGATAAAACACAGGTTGCTGTACCTCAACCTATAGTTTTGGCTTAGCTGTCTGGGATAAGACCAAAGAATGTGCATTTCTGGCAAGTTCCCAATATTCAAACTTTGAGAACTACTCGTCTTACTCTTGTACTACACCCCTGAATGCCATGATCATCTTGATCATGTAGGCTTTCATGGGTCACTTGCTCCATCTTTACTCAATATCTTTGCTCAAATATCATCTTTTCAATCAGTATATGTTAATCACCCTATTTAAAATTTCAGCATGCATCCCACAATTCCTAATGATCTTATCACCCTTCTCTTTTTATTTAAACTGTACCATTAATGTATATATGTATGTTGTTCATTATCTCTGTTATCCCTTCATACTCACTTAAATTAGTTGTATAAGCTCATGATGGCAGGAATTTGTTTGTTGTTTGCTTTTAATGCTCCCCAGCACCTAGAGCACTGCCTGGCAAATGTGACATACAAAGCCATGTGTTAAGTGGAGGAATGAGTAGATTGCTTACGATGAAGAATGACCCCTCCAAAGCTTAATCAGAATGCAATCTCCATAAGTCTGAAAAAGGATGGTTGTTAGGCCCTTACAAAATAAATACATCCCAGCTGGACCTACATTATCAGCTTTTTATCTCAGCAAATAAGAGTGAGTGCTGAATGTCTTCTGGTTTGTAGTGTTAATTAAAAATACAAAGTGAACAAAAGTTATTTTGTATATCATATTTGACTATTTTGTACTGTCCTTTTTTTAAAAAATCAATGACATCGATTTTGTATACAATCTGTGTCCTTTTCTGCCTTCCATAAGTAAAATCCCTAAACACACACTTTAGTCCTTTGATTTTCTTTATGTGCGTGTGAATTTTCACAGACTGTGCTCCATATTGGTGTCTCTGGTTTTGACAGAGACAAGAAGTGGAGAAATCCTGGGAGGGTAGGTCTTTGGTAAAGGTGAGGGCCCCACCCTCAAGCTGAAAATCCTGATACCATGGCCCAAAGTGAGAAGTTATATCCCTGTTTTGCCACTCAAATGGTGCCTTTTCCAAAACCACCCCTGGCAAACCCCAGCCAACATCCTGTGCTCATAAAAACCCCAGGTTCAGCCAGCGGAGAAAAGAGAAGCAGCTGGACAATGGAGACTACAGTTGAATGTCGGAGAGGAGTGGCTTGACTTCAGAGGGACAGCTTGATGGCATAGCTTGAGAAAGAAATCCAACCAGAAAGGGCCAGACTTCAGGGAAAGATTACCTTCCTGCTCCATGCCCCTTTTTAGCTCCCCTTCCCACTGAGAGCCACTTTCATGGACAATAAAATCCCCTACATTTACTATCTTCAATTCGTTTGTGTGACCTCATTTCTCCTGGACTCCGAACAAAAACTTTGGTGCCATGAGTGGAGGTGCAAAAGGCTGTCACATTGACCCTCCACTAAGCTGTTAACACTTGAGCCATCCATAGACAACAGAAAAGAGTAGTGTAACACTTCTTCTGGGGCCTCAGGGGTCATGGACAACCCACCTAGATGCTGCCTCAGGGCCAGTACGGAGTTCACTCCTGCTGGTGCCCAAAAGCACTCGCCCTGGCTCCTGCGCCCACTCACCTATGTGCTCCCCATCCCGTGAGGAGTGGAGCACAGCAGGTCCCAGTGAGTGGAATTTGCCCCTGCCAGCACTGAAGAGGCCAGCGATTTCCAGCGACCTTGCTCTCCAGTTCCCACCTGGTTCAGTTTCATACAACTTCATTCTATTTCTTGTTGCTTATTTTTTATGCAATATAATTTTTGTTTATTTCCAGCTATTTCTTTCCTTAGATTTTCGTTCTTTTTTTGGTTATCCTATGATCCTTTTATTTCTTAGTACTTCTTAGTGTACTATATTTATCCAACTGTTTCATATACTTTAAAACTTATTTTATTTAAATAAATTTTCACTTAGAACTTTCTTCTATTTCTTAGAATAATATAATTTTCTAACATGCATTTTCCATGTGTAGAGAATAATAGAAGATGAAGAATTTAGAATAGAGACTAAACAATGACATTTCTGAGATGATAAAAAAATATATTTTTGGAATTAAAAGAAGGGCAGCATAGTTTGAGCATATTGAGCCTGAGATATAGTTGCATATGTAGGAAGTAGCCAAACAGTGTATACTGCTGTAGGACTTTTATATCTGGTATTTGATTCCCTTCCTCACAAATGCCAATTACAATGACCAAATATGTTTTTAATACATTGAAATAGTGATAGAAAAAAAGATATAAAGAAAGTGGGCCAGAAATATTGTGAATTTTAAATAGTGCAAAGAATCAAAATGATAATTTCATGATATGCTATAGAATTGAAAACTAATGTTAATATTAATGCAAATAGAAAAGACCTTAACAAAGAGTCTTTATTAATAATTATTAAGGGGAAATATTTTAATAGAACCACAATTTTTCCTGAGATAGACTAAAAATCCAAAAGGTACATTTATGTATATTTAATATTATGTATGATATATAGACAAGTAAATAAATGAATAAATATAGGGTCTACTAGCAATATCTTATAATGTTGTGAGGTTTCCAAGTCCCTGTGTTTGTTTTCTTGAAACAACCACTAAGCTCCTTAAAGAAAAGGCTAACTTCAAAGTTTTTTCAGAGAGGATAAGCTTACAGCAGTGTTTCAATACCCCCAAGGACACATAACATTACTACATAGCTCTTCTGAAGAATTGTGCACAACTCCAAGTTGACTTAAGGAAGAAAGCCAACGTTTTCAACACAGACTAACCCCATCATGCTATTGCTTCAGTTCCTTCTTCATCTTTGGGCTGGAACCCTTGTTTACTGATGCTCCCTGGAGAACCATAAGCTCTCACATCTCCATGCACTCTCACTACTTATAGCAGATAAAGATAATCATGGTCTCTTAGCAGTCTGCATAATACATGTATGTAGGGGTAATGTTTATTTTTGATTCTTATCGTATCAAATGATTATGGCTCATGTTAATTTGCAAATGATTTCCAAGCACTAGCCATGCTCTTTCTAAGAATATATACTTGGAAATCAGACATTCTTCCCTTTCCTAAGAATTCTCCTTATTTTAATGTTCTTCCAGTTTTAATGTAAAAGGAATTTTAGTACAGAAGCATGATATAATTTATCCAGGAAAAAAGATGAAGTTATATTTATTAATTCAACAAAAATTAATGTCAAGCCACTATATATTGAACAGGGTTTCATAGCTCAGAATAAACAGATGAAATTCCTGTTCTCAGGAAAATTACAAAATATTGTGAATACAAGTGTTACAGTCAGAAGTATCAAAAGAAAAAGAACAAATAGGACATATAGATGTAGATATATCTCCTAAGATATATCTATCTATATCTATATATTCATATCTAGAGTGATTTATTTTAGAGAACTGTCTCATACCATTGTGAGGCTAGCAAGTCTTAAATCTGTAGGGCAGGCCAGCAGGCAGGCTGAAAATTTAGGAGGAAATTGATATTCCAGTCTTAAGTCTAAATTCTACAGGGTAGCAGGCTGGAAACTCAAGCAGACTTTCTATGTCATGGTCTTGAAGAGCTCTCTTCTTAGAGAAATCTCCATATTGTCTACTGATCTAAATGTTAATCACATTTTAAAGCAAAATCAAAAACAAACACTCACAGCAACATATAGATTGCTGTTTGACCAAACAACCAGGCACCATAGCCTACCCAAGTTGACACATAAAATTAACCATCTCAGCAAGGAATGTGGAGATTTGGGGGATTACAGAGAAAAAAAAGAATGGTGATTCTAGATAAATTACAATACTAAATGAGCATTGTTTTAATAGGAGAGGAAGACAAACTGGCCTGAGAAAAGCTAAAGGCAAGGGATGGAATTTTGTTTTACTTTATCACCAGTGACAGCCATAGATAGCATACAGCACAGAGTAGACACTCAGCTTGTGAAATAAAATATCAAAACTTTCTCAAAGATATATTTGATTTGTCTAAGGGAGTCTTTGGCAATAATGTAAACTTGCTACTTCAATGAATTTGGTTTAGGACGTCAATTCTTTTCTGAAACATTTAAAAATAAATGAATATTTAGGAAAATGTGATCATCTTCCCACTATAATCTGCACCATACAGTAGAATGCCTGCCACTTTGGGAGACTGCATTATATTATTTGAAAATTTAGCTGTTATGATTATATGTCTGGACAATATGAGATGCCAAATGAAAGGTACTTCATTAAAATGAACCACTAATACAAATTTTCTATAAAGCAATACATATATTCTCATGGTAATGGGCATTTGGTGTGTATCAGTAAAACTATCATTCACATGCAACCTCTGTCTCTTTCTTTTTCTCTGTTTTTGGAAACTAAGTCTCCCAAGTAACATCTGTGAAAAATAATAAGCTTAGAAGAACACTATCAATCTGTCCGTGCCTCACTTTATTTTAGAGTGTCTATCAGAGCTTCTGACCTTAGAATAAAGAATAATAAAGCAAGTCATAACCTTAATGTATTTTTAAAAGATTGTGTATGCTTCTCTTATGAACTCTTTGCTTATAATGCCACTATATTCATTTATTCACACCACAAATATTTATGAAATGTCTATCATGTGCCAGACACAACAATGAAAAAAATACTCAAAATTCCCTGATTTCATGGAGCTTAGGTTCTAATTGGAGAGGGTGAGAAACATTATCAATAAAAAATAAAATTCATGATATGTCATGAATGCCAGATGATAGTAAACTCTAGAGAGAAAATGAATACAGGGGTGGCCTAATAAAGTACCAGGGAGTTGTGTTTAAATAAGATGGTCATAGAAAGATATGCAGGAATATCTAAGATCATCTAGAGGAAGATTATTTCAGCCAGAAAATAAAATAAGGTTTGCAAAGGCGTTGAGGAAGATGCATACCTGACATGCCTGTAGTTTGAACACAGTGAGTGAGGGCATGAGGAGAGAGAACTTTAGCTGGAGAGGAAGTGAGAGAAGTAGCAGGTCAGAGGAAGAAATGAAGATAAATTGAAGTATTGAAAGTGTTCAAAAGGATTTTATGAGGAAAAGATACTTTTATATACTACTTTTATGAGGAAAAGATAAGAATCTATCAGTGGATTTTGAAGTATATTTGCCCCCCCTCAGAAAATGAAATAAAATAATGATTGTTGTACGCTACTTAATTTTCTTATACCATCTACGTAAATATCTTGCTGCATACATAGTTAATATTTACAAAAAAGGAGTGATGAGTTATGGGAAAAGGAAATATTTATTAAGCACCAAGTATATACACAGTATGAAATTACATATTGGAACATTATCATCTTAATCTGTAACAAAATTATAGTCAAATTATTATCTCCATTTCACAGATTGGGGTGGTTCAGAGAAAGAATGTAAATTGAATGAAAAGAATGTAAAAGAATGAAAAGAATGTAAAAGAATGAAAAACTTGGAGCTGGGATTGAAGTCCAAGCACATCTGATTCACTCTCAATTTAGGTTCATAGAGGAACTTATATTCACTCTACCACAGACCAACATTTTTGAGGACTAAGGTAGAAAATTATATTTATTTATCTACTATTTTATACATATATTCATTATTTGTTGGTGACTCATATATAACTACATTGTTTGATGGAGGGGTAGAATATAAAGATGTTTAGGATATAATTCTTTACTCTGGGAGTTTTTAATGTAAAGCAAATGGCTTTTTCAACAAATCTTATTGAGATTATTCTATATGTTAGCACTATACTAGAGACTGTGAATACAAAAATAGATGAAATGTAGTCATAGCTCATGGAGCTCATGGTTTGTTGACCCAGTTTAAACAAACAAACTACCAAGCTATAGGAGAAGAGCTAATAGTCTGTTTACATGTGGTATGAGACTTCTGTAGGGATTTCCAGAGAAAACTAAAATGAAATAATCTATTTTATTTGTTCTGGTTGAATAATTCCATTAACTCTGCAACATTTAACAACATAATTTAACATACAACAAGCATCTTAAGATATTAAGTTTATATTATGTGCTGTTCTGGCATAAACAGTAACATTCAAAAATTAACATTCAATAATCTGACTTCTGATTTTTAGCTCCAAAATGTGAAGAATTTGTAAGTCATTATTCCTTTTCTCACAAAACAGATAGTTAAACAAACTGAAAATAAATGTTTCTTAGATCCATCAGGGAGTTAAGGTTACATAGCAAACCTCCATTCTTACAGCTAGAGAGATAGACAAGTACAGAGAAACACAGCCTACATCAGTTCACTGGGAGCCATAAACTGGAAGGAACACTGAAAGCTAATTGATGAATTGCTGCAGAATGACTGTGAATAGCTTGATAGTTAAATGTTCCTGTGGGCACAATCTTAGTGTCCTGATACTTTTCTGGGTTTTGCGACCATGAGCACCATCAGGTTCTCATGGTAAAAATGGGAGAATAAAATCCCTCTTGCTTCAGTGTATGGGGAGGGGAAAAATAACCATTTTGAAAGATCAGGTGAAAGTAATCACTTTGAAATACATCCAGAGAATTATTCATAACAAAGGCCAGCTTTCAAAGAAAACTACTTTGTCTTAGCCTTATCTGAACAGAGGAGAGGTCAATTAGACAATTACAAGGGTAGAAAATGGTAAAAAGATCAAGAAATGCATCAGAAGGCCACAGCTCAGGACCAAGACCTGTAAAAAATAAACTGAGATTGAGTAATAAGACTACAGAGTGTTTCCCCTCTCTAACGCCTTACCACTATGGGAACAAGGCTCTAGAATAACAGCAGTGGATTACAACTGAGAGACCTACAGAACATCCGTTCTATTTAAGAAGTTCCTAGGGAAAAACAATGACAGTAGGGCAAAAAACAGCAAAGACTCTAAAGAAAACTAAAGCTTCCGGCACCTGCAACTATAGCCAACACTAAGCACTATCCAGTTCTTACACAGATTAATATAAAACCTCACACTAAAAGCCTGATTAACTTCATTCCTATGACCAGATACATCCTTTCTAACATTCAACAAAAAAATAACAAAGCACGCTAGGAGGTAAGAAAAGAAGATGGCCAGAAAAAACAAAACAGCAGAACAAAATTCTTGCATGATACAAATTTTGGAATTATCAGATAGCTTAAAATAACTACGATTAGTATGACAGGCTCTAATGGAAAAATGAAACAACATGCAAGAACAGATGAATATGTAAGCAGAGAGATATAAACTTGATGAAAGCATCAGAAAAATGTACTAGAAATCAAATTCACTGTAAATGAAATAAAGAATGCCTTGGAGGAGTTTAACCAGTAAACTGGACACAGCCCAGGAAAAAAATCAGTGAGCCTCAAGATTTATCAATAAAAACATCCCAAACTGAAATGGAGAGAATAAAAGAGTGAGGGAAGAACTCACAGAACTGCAAACATGAACTTACAAATATATTATTCTTGGAGAATTAAACATAACTCTACCAGTAATTGTCAGATTAAGCATGCAGAAAATCAGTAAAGACATAGTTGAACTGAATAGCACCATTAATAAAGTAGGTCTCATTGACATTTATAGAATATACCAAACAACAACAGAGTACACATTATTCCAGTCTCACAACATTCACAAATAAAGATTTAATTCTAGGTTATAAAACAGACATTAATAAATTTAAAAAAAGGAAAGCATACGAAATATGCTCTTAGACTACAGTGGAATTTATTGAAAATTAATAACAAATTATAGCTGTAAAAACCCCCAAAATATTTGGAGATTAGAAGTCTTAAGAGAAATTTTTAAAATTTTGAATTTAATGAAAATACAATTCCATTACAAATTTTGCAGTGTAGCAAAAGCAGTGCTTAGAGGGAAATTTATAGCATCAAGTGCATATATTACAAAAGGAGAAAGATCAAAATTGCATAATTTATGCTTCCAACTCGAGAAAGAAAATTCACTTAAATCCAAAATGGGCATAAGAAAATAAATAATAAAAATTAGGGCAGAAACCAATACAATCTTAAGCAGAAAAACAGAGAAAATGAAGGAGATAAAATACTGCATCTGAGTATAAATAAAGAGACGTATTACACAGTGTTGGGTCATATGTTTATGGAGGCTGAAAAGTCCCACAATTGGCTGTCTGCATGCGGGACACCCAGGAAAGTTGGTGGTATACTTCAAAAGCCTGAGAGCCAGAGAGCTGATGTTGTAAATTCCCATCTGTGCCTGAAGGTCTGGAAATCAGGAGCACCAAGGGCAGAAGAAGATCAATGCTCCAGCTTAAGCAGTCAGGAGGAGAGCAAATTCAACCTTCTTTCACCATTTTGTTTCCTTTAGGCTCTGAACGATTGCCTGAATGCCCATTCACATTGTGAAGGACCATCTACTTTACTCAGTCTATCATTTCAAATACTAATCTCTTTCCAAAACCAATTCTTTACAATCTCTTCCAGAAAACAGAAACAGAGGGGACACTTACTTACTCATACTATGAAGCCTGCATTACCAGATAAAGACATTCCAAGAAAGAAAAACTACAGGCCAGTATGTCTCATCAACATACATGAAAAAATTATCAACATGGTATTAATTAATCAAATTCAACAATGTGTAAAAACCTATTCTCTATGACCAAGTAAAATTTATTCCCATTATGTGAGATTATTTCAACATCTGAAAAATCAATTAATGTACTCTATTACATCAAAGAAGAAAAGTCGCATGATCATATCAATAGATGTGGAAAATAATTTGACAATAGTTGACTTATTCATGATAAAAACTCAGCAAACTAAGAATGAAGGGAAACCATTCATTCTTGAACTTGATAAAGAACACTTACAAAAATTAAATGGCTTACATCAGTGTTAATGTTCAGAAATTAGATGCTTTCCCTCTATAACTGAGAATAAAGCAGGGATGTCCCTTCTTATTACTCCTTAACATTTTACTGAAATTCTTAGCTAATGCAATGAAACAAAGAAACAAAGAAAAGAAATAAAAAGTATACAGATTAGAAAAAAAGAAATGAAACTGTCATTGTTCACAGATGACATCTGTCTGTGTAGAAAATCCCAAAGAATCAACAAAAAACTCCTGAAACTAATAAGCAATTATAACAAGGTTGCCAAATGCAATCTTAATACAAAAAACTCAAATGATTTCCCATAACAACAATGAACAATAAGAATTTGCAATAGAAACATTTACTAGGAGCAAATCTAACAAAATAGCACAGGGTTCAATATAAGGAAAATTATACAAGTCTAATGAAAGATATCAAAGATATAAATACATTGACAGATATTAGATGTTCATTGATAGAAAGACTCAATATCACTAAGTTAGAATTTTTTCCCACGCAATCTCTAGATTCAATGTAATCCTAGTCAAAATACTAGCAAATTGTTTTGTGGATATCAGCAAACTGACTCTAAAATTTATGTGGAAGGCAAGAGAAACAGAATAGTCAACACAATACTGAAGAAGATCAAAGTTGCAGGACTGACACTACCTGACTTCGAGAGTTACAATGCTGAAGAAATCAAGACAACCTGGTATTTGTAAAAGAGCAGATCAACAGATGAGTGGAACAGAATAGAGAATAAAGAAAAAGGCATACAGAAATATATTCCACTGATCTTTCACAAAGGAGAAAAGATAAAAGTTTCTTATGCTGCACTGAATACTGAGGTCTTCCTACTCAATCCACCTTTGCTGTCTTTCTGCACTCACGTGTGTCAAACCTGCAATGTGATCTTAAGCTTTCCCCAGCTACTCTAGTTTCCTCACCATTTTATCCCACGCAGATATTTCTCCAGTAGGTCTCCTGTGTTTCTTGTCATCTGCTTCTTGGAAAACCTAAACCGACACACAGTGCCTGCAATTCTGTTGTACAATTAGTAGGTTATCAAATATTTGTTAAATGATTAAATACATTGCTGATCTGATAAGACTGCTGGAGAGTGTTTTAGCTAGCAGACAGCCCCAATTTTTTTTCCAAACATGAGATGAGTTTTGATGCTGTAAAAGCAAAGTTGAAAAATTAATCATGGCTATCAACCTGCATGAAAGCCATTCTATTCCAAATGTTTTATAAAATAACCTATTTTATTTAAGGACATTTAGGCTGAGTTCTATCCCCTTTTAATTAAAAAATCCTAGCATAAATTTAATTAAGAGGAAAAAGTTAAGTCAGATCAAAGAAGTTATATGCAAGGAGCAATGGTAGCCAAGGATGTTCAATATCCTAATGGCAAATCTAATAAATATTCAACGTAACTATGTTGTATTAAAAAACAAGGTATATCAAAGAGATACCTACATCTCCATATTTATTCCACCACCATTCACAATAGCAAGATATGGAATCAACTTAAATGTCCATCAATGAATGAATGAATAAACAAAATGGGGTATATGTACACAATGAAGTACTCTTCATCCATTGAAAAGGGAATGAAATACTGATATTTGCAGCAATATGGATAGAACTGAAGGTCATTATGTTAAGCGAAATAAGCCAGGCATAAACACAAATATTACATATTCTCCTTCATATGTAGGAGTTTAAAAAGTTGATCTCATGGAAATAGAGAGTAGGATGATGGTTATCAGAGGCTGAAAAGGGTGTGTGTGGGGAGGTGGGGGTTGAAGAGAGATTGGCTAATTGTACAAGCATAACCATATGGATTTTGGGAAATTCTGTTCTACAATATTACAACAGAGGAGTTCAATATGGAAAGAAAGAATAAAAACAATGCAAAATGGTCCTGTCTCATGCATGAGAAGAGAAACACTAAATAACTTATTACCTTTGTAGGAAAAACACCACTAATCATGTAAGTTAGAATGAATTTGTAGGTAGCTACTAAAGATTGTAACTAGAATTCATATTTTCCAATGAGCTGAAATACTTATTAATATAAGGGAAAAGAGAATAAATGAGAGTTGGTTACTTCAAAGAAGAAGGGAATTAGAAACAATGAAAAAAATAGAGCAAGGAGAAAAGGTAAAATAAGACAGCAGATCAGTTAAAATAGATCAGTAGTTACATAACTGTAAATAAGTTAACTTTATTGATATTAAAAGGTCGAAATGTTCATATTGGCCATAAAAATCCACTTATCTATAACATATTAGATCCTTTTCTGAAACAGGATTTAAAAAGGTTGAAAATGAAGAGATGAGAAAAATAGTACAATAGGCATATATAGCTGTCACATCAACATGATATTATATAAAAGGTCTAAGATAGAGATATTACATTCTAATAAAAATGCACAAACATATAAAATAATTAACATGTCTGTACCTAACTTCATAGTCCTAAATTTTCTAAAGTTATAAGTAACAGAATGATAAGGACAATTTAAAACTCAACAACATAGTAAGAGGAATGCTAACATAACTTTCAAGAAATATCTCAAGCATGCAAGAAATAAGTTAAGTATATAGATCAGAAAAACTTGATTAACTAGTCTGATATAACAGGTACAGAGATAACATTTAACCAACAGATAAATGCATGCATTTAAAATGGACATGAAACATTTGTAAATATTTGCCATCCTATATTCAAGAAAGGTTGGCTCAAAAATCTTGGGAGATTTGACTGATCTCAATGCAATAAAATTAGAAATTATTAAAAATCATATTGCTAAAACATAATCCTAACACATTTAAAACCTAAAAGTATACCCATAAATCGCCCATAATTTATGTCAGCATTTAAGATATATTTAAAACCAGATCACAATGAGACCATTAAATTGCAAAACTTACAAGAAGCAGGCAAATTGTTACTTATAAACAACTTGTAGCCTTTCATACATCTAGAGAAAGCAAAAATAATTATAATTAAGTAAGCATTCAAATGAGTAGCTATAGTAATCCATAAGCAAAATGTATTGAGTTAAAAAATAAAATAACCTGCCTTTCCTTCAGTATGGAAAAAAATGTGGTCCTTTAAAAATTATGATAGAATAGAAAAAAATCATTAAGTAAGCTAATCAAAGCAAAACAAAACGTAACAAGCAAAACCCAGAAGCGATACCATCAAAACCCAATATTTAGAATAAAATAAGGACTTTAAATCAATCTGCACGTACATTTGGGATTTAAAAGTCATAGAAACACTTTATGAAATAATTCAGGAATCTAAATTCGAAATATAAACAAAATGGATGAATTTCCAAATAAATATAAATGACCAAATTAGTTCAAAAATGTAAAACCTGGAAATAGACCAATAACAGAAGTTGTATAATAAGCAAATTTTTACTCACCCACAGAACCACATTTCACTAACACTTCAAAGAACAAATATCTCGTTATAATTATCTTGCACCAACTTTTGCAGAGAATGAAAGTAGAAATATCTACTAGATTTGTTTATACAGTTTATGTAATCGTTGTAACAAAGTTGGAGAAGCGTTTTATAGGAAAAGAAAATCACATAGACCAGTCTCACTTTATTAATATAAATGCAAATGAATTTTTAACTTAGCAAATTAAACCCAGCACTTATCCAACATAAATCACAGTCCCTAAATTTGTCCATAGAATTTTAAAATGGCTTATCAAGATATGTAATAATGAAATTTACCATATTTATAGAATAAGGGAGAAAAATAAACATGGTTGTTTCAGAGGCAGAGAAAACATTTTGTAAAGTTGCAGATTTAGCGAGTGTCCAAGCTAGAGTACATGCTTTTAAATCCAGACTTGCTTGACTGTGCTTCAGGTACACCATGGGAGTTAGAGTAAAAGATCCAAATCCTTCCATTTTTATGATGTCATATACTAAGTTGTATTTATTCAAAATGCACTAATTGATATGAAATGAATCCCCAATTCCTCTACACTTTGTTCTCTCTCTCTTTTTCTTTTTCTTTTTAAAGACAGAGTCTTGCTCTGTCACCCAGGCTGGAGTGCAGTGCCATGATCTTGGCTCACTGCAACCTCTGCTTCTCGGGTACAAGCGATTCTCCTGCCTCAGCCTCCTGAGTAGCTGGGACTACAGGCGCCCACCACCATGCCCAGCGAATGTTTTGTGTTTTCAGTAGAGACAGGAGACGCCAGGATGGTCTCAATCTCCTGACCTCGTTATCCACCTGCCTCAGCCTTCCAAAGTGCTGGGATTACAGGTGTGAGCCACCACGCCTGGCCTACACTCTGTTCTCTTAATCATCTTGCTTGACCTTCCTTTCTGTCTCTACCATGTAGGACATAATCTTCTGCCTTACTCTGACCTCTGCTATAATTGACCTGCCAGACCTGTGAGCCTACACACAGATTCAGTATATAATAGTTCATGTACTAAAACTATTTCAGGAATATATCTAGGAAGAACTACAACATCAAACTACAATATATGTTATAATTTTGTTAATTGATAGGAATAATTTCACCAAAATGGATTAAAACTAATTCTTAACTGACCACATCTAAATTATCCACAATATAAATATAATCAAATGTTTCTTGTTTCAAATCAAATTAAGTAACTATATAGTTACTATGTAGGTTTTGATATGAATTAAAATTTCTGTACAAACATATCTGACTTCCTTAGGAGTTTAGTACAGACTCTGTTGGAAATTTATATTTTAGAATTAATAATCACCTATTTCAGCATAAAATTAAAAACAATATTTTATGTGGAAACGAACCGACCAACAAATTGCAATAGAAAATAGGACCCCTATTTCTCTCACTGCATTTCCCACTATGGAAATATACCCAGCATCAAGAAACACAATATTTTATGTAGCTGAATTAGCAGAGAGGGGCTGCAACAGTGCCGAAAGCCATAATTTGTAATAGCATACTAAAAAATATTCATCAACCACAGATGGAGCTCAAATTATCTGCAGAACAAAACTGGAAATACCTGTAACTTAGAGGTAGTTCAGAAAGTAATAAAGGCAGTTGGCAGATTCTTCACCAAATGTTCCTTCTGGAACTCCTGTCGACTCTCTTGAAAGATAACACCATCCTATTGCCAGATTTGGCATGCTGATTTGTACTGAGATGAAACCTCCTGGTGTATTTTCCCACACAGACGGGAGTTTAGAAGTGACCACACATTTTCCAGAACAATGTAGTCTTTGCTTACACTGCTTCAAATGCTCCAGTGCAGATTTTCTGTTTTGTTTTGATTTTTCTGCAAGGGCTAAAGATAAGTAGGTATCTGTAAAATTTTTCTGTTATTTTTTTATATTTGCTTGCTTCGGGGAATTATTTTTTCTTTTGGAAAATATATTCAGATCCATTTGCAGTTTTAGATTTTAAGAATAATGTGTACCTTATGAATTATTTTTATTATTCATAAGTATCACATTATCATTTGCAAAATTAATGTTTAAAATTATGAGAAGTACCCTGCTAAACAAAGTTCTAGACAGGAGAGACTGGAAAAATGTTGAATTGGTTATTAATTTTTTTTTACCATTTTATATTTATAACATTACCGATTATGTATTCATCTCAAATCCTTTAGGAGAAATTGCGGGGAATTTCAAACAGATTAACATTAGTATATGAAGAATAAATGAGCCAATTAATAAATACATGAAATGCAGAGAAATGTACTCAGGGAGTAATTGCACAAAATAGGAACAAAAAGAGATCACATAGCCTTAGGCTCTCTTTAGATCTCTTTAGAAAGAGTGAGTTTCCAGGTGTGATCACTGAACAGTAAGGATCATCTGGGGTTTTGTTAGGAATGTGAATTTTCAGAATTCTTCCTGCACCAACTGAATCCTGTGGCCCTGCAATCTAAGTGTGCAGCCCAGTAACCAGTTTTAAAAATTTCTACAGGAGATAACAATGCATGTTAAGTTTGAGAACACTACCCTACCCTAAGATTTTTTTTTTTTTTTTTTTTTTTTTTTTGAGATGGACTCTCCCTTTGTTGCCCAGGCTGGAGTGCAGTGGCGCTATCTCAGCTCATTGCAACCTCTGCCTCCTGGGTTCAAGCGATTGTCCTGCCTCAGCCTCTCAAGTAACTGAGATTACAGGCACATGCCATGATGCTCAGCTAATTTTTGTATTCTTTAGTAGAGACAGGGTTTCACAATGCTGATCAGGCTGATCTTGAACTCCTGACCTCAGGTGATCCACCCGCCTCAGCCTCCCGAAGTGCTAGGATTACAGGAGTGAGCCACTACACCCAACCTGCCCTAAGATATTAGCTTCATGATTCTAGTAAATAAACCTAGCCCACTCATTCTTCTAGTCGTCTAGATTTCTCTGTTCCTTGTCATAGTTCCACACACATTTACACCTTCTCCCCCATTCTCCTTCTAATTAACTATTTCCTATTTTACTGAGAAAAGAGAAGTTTCCAGAATAGAATTTCTCCTTGATGACACCACCGCATTTGGCAACTTAATCATATCTGCCTATCTGCTCTGCTGTCCCTCCTGTAGCTGAGAGGAACTGTATGCACTCCTAGTTATGATCAGGGACCACTTCTGTGCATTTGGTCCCATAAGCTCTCACCTGATTAAGGACAGAACTCCAAAAACTACTCCCTCACTCTTATATCACCATTTTGTTTTCCTCTTTACTGGAATGTTTTTTTTAACAGCATATAAACATCTTACAATGACTTTCATTTAAAAATATTCTTTTGAGTCCACATAATCTGACCTTTACATCTAAAATCTTTAATCTCAACTCTCTTTCTCACTCACTTTGCTCTAGGAACACTGGCTTCTTTGTAGGTCTCCAGGCACTCCAGGCACACTCCAAACTAAGGGTCTCTGCCCTTAGCTGTTTTCTCTGTCCAGAATTTTCTTTCCTCAGATAATTGCTTGGCAAACTTTCTTGTCTTCATTAAGGCTAAACCTTCATCTCACTTTATCAGTGAGACCTACCTGACGACTCTACCTAATACCGTGCCATCACCCTGACCCTGGTACCCTTGTATCCTCTTACTTATACATGTTTTCACTAATTCTACAGCATTTTGCATGTTCCAAAAAAGTACTTGTTTACTTTACCCATCTTTGTTCCTCAGATAAAATATAAGGCCTAAAATAGCAAATACCTATGTTTTATTTACTCATTCATCCCATATCTAGTATAAGGGTAATCTCTTGCATGATTAGTAGCTATTCATTGAATAAATTAATGAAAAGATATAAAATACACTAATATCAAGGTTCTTTTTAACATTCACCATTAACCAAAAAAGAAGACATTACAGAATTTGAAGTTGAAATACATGTTTAAGGAATAAGAATTTTCTATCCAGCAATGTTCAGTCACAGAAGTGGTAGTGAATTCCTGCTTTTGCCATGCTTGGTGGTGATTTACCCCCATGCCTTCTCGGACCATCTCAAGCCTGCCATTACCTTTGTGATGATTTCCAGAACTCTACAGGGAAGGGGATTCTTGGAAATGTAGTTCTAACTTATCTAAGTTAACATAGTACAAAACATTCACAGACCATCACTTAAGTAGGTATTCATACTAAATACTCTGTCTTAGCTATTCTTAACTTCTAAACACAGACACGCATTTATTATTTAAATCATGCTTCCACAATGCAATTACTTCATCATGCAATTATTACTTGTCTAAACTTAAACATGCTAACTCACTCCCCAAAATAGTATACAACGTCTCATGTATCATTTCTTTATCCCTAGTTGAGGATAGAGTCTACTGCTATTGTAACAGATCCTTTAATATCAGTAAATCCTGATGTGTTCAGGTTAACCATTATAAAAACATTTTATTTCAGCTGATGGGAGAATGAGAGCGGGGAAATAAAATAATTAGGTAACATATACACAGTTTTTTAATATAAAAATAAAGGAGAATCTTATAACTATTATACTTCTCTTTTCTTCAACTTGTCATACTTCATAGCTGTTGTTTATATTTGCTTCTTCCACTATCCATTCCATAGTCCTTTTATCCCTGGCACATAGCTTGTCTGTCCACATTTCTTGCCTTGCAGTGTCCAGAACTTTATTCTGCAGAGTCTACGTCATAGCCATCCTACCTGCTCTGGCTTGTTACAGTTTTTCATTAATTTTTACCACAAAACATGGAGTCCTGAGAGGCTTCTCATGAGTTATTCTTCATTCCACACATTTAATTCCATACTCACACCGTGTAGTGGAAACCTAATTTCTTTTTGAAAGGGATAATTTGTTTAGTCAGTTCAGGATACTATAACAAAATGCCACAGACTGGGTGGATTAACCAACATTTGTTTATCACAGGTCTGGAAGCTGGGAAGTCCAAGATCAAGGATATGTGTTTCTTCTTCTGAGGGCATTAATCCCATTCACGAGGGATCTGCCCTCATGACCTAATTATTTCCCAAAGCCCTGCCTCCTAATACCATGGCACTGGGAGTTAGAACTTTAAAATATAAATTCTGGGGGGGATACAATCATTCAGTCTGCAGAAAAACTTATTACCCTATTTCAATAGAGTAACTCACTTCTCTGCTTCTTCATTTACTAGAGTGAAGAGTCCAAAGAAGCAGTATGGCAATTTCTACTTCCAATTTAATGAAACCATTGCTATGTCCCCTTATGAAGCCTTTCTTGCACTGAAACTAGGATGTGAAATTTTTTTTAAATTTTGTCCAATTGTATAGGGGTAATGGTGAAAAAATCTGCTCCCAATTTCACCCCCTTGACTAATGGAGCTGTGAACATGATTTATGGGATAAAGAGCGCCCTATATTGGTTGTTGATTTGGAGCACATACATATGCTGAGTTATATTATCCTAGCCCTGTAAGACATTGCTACAGGCTTGCACTATATGTGAGTTTCCAGAAGACCATTCACTTTTCTTTTTTTCCAGGTTTATTGAGGTATAATCCTCAATTATACAAAATTATTATACAAAATTGTATAGATTTAAGGTGTACAATAGGAAGAGTTGACACACGTATATGAAATGATTACCACAGTAAAATTAGGTAACACCCCTATCACCTCCCAATAATTACCATTTGTGTGAGTATGTGGTGAGAACATTTAAGATCTTTAATAAGGGATCAACATCCAAAATATATAAGAAACTCATATAACTCAATAGCAGAAAACAATCTGAATTAAAATGGGCCAAAGACTTGAAAATACATTTTTTGGGGGGTATGGGAATAGACATTTTTACGAAGAAGACATACACAATGGCAAACAAGAACATGAGAAGATGTTCAATGTCACCAACTATCAGGGAAATGCAAACCAAAATCACAAAATATCACCTCACAACTGTTACAATGGCAATTATAAAAAAGACAGGAGATAAATGGTGGCAAGGATGTGGAGAAAAGGGAATCCTTGTGCACCACTGGTGGAAATGTAAATTAGCACAACCATCATGGAAAATGGTATTTTCCCTCAAAAAATTTAAAATAAGCTATCATAAGACCCAGAAATCTCACTTCTGTGTATGTATCCAAATAAAACAAAATCATTAGCTCAAAGAGCTATCTGCAGTGCCATGTTCATTGCAGCATTATTCACAATGGTCAAGAAATGAGAACAAGCTAAGTGTCTATAGAAGGATAAATGGATGAAGAAATTGTGAGATATATTATAATTTTATATATTTTAATTTATATATATAATCATATATATATAATCTCACTTATATGTGAAATCTAAAAATGTCAAACTCATAGAAATAGAGAGTAGAATGGTGATTTCCAGGAGATGGGGGTTGGAGGAAATGGGAAAATTTTGGTCAAGAGGTACAAATGTCATCTATAAGATTAATAGTTTCTGGAAATTTAATGTACAGCTTGGTAACTATAGTTAACATTAAGACCGTTCACTATTCTACTAAGACAGCTATTTTTAGTGTGAGATGTGATGTGGTAAGACCAGTCCATTTCATAAGCATGCAATCATTGTTAAACTTCATCTTATATAAAATGGTTTACTTGGCCAGAAGCAATGCAGTGCAGAATACACACTAGTCATTCTGTCACTACACAATCCATGTACAGAGTAAGCAAAAACTATGCCTTCTAAGATGGTAGTACTCAAGCTAGGCAAACTGCTACATGTAGCTAGATGAATCCCTTAGAGAACAATGCCATATTGGAGGTTCTGTGTGCCAGCTGAGTGTGCACCCAGTGAGTACCAACCTGCTGTTGGCAAGTTAGGCACTCAGCAATAGGTATTATTTAGTGAGTCCATGCATAACTTAATCTCTGCTGTCATAGCCATGTTGCTCATGAACCACATTTGCAAGGACAGAGTGGTTGGGGAAAAGGGGGAATTATGTCTAGAGAACAGAGTATCTTATCCGCCTAATTACTAATAGGTTTTTCCTAGGTTAACATTTATGTTGGGCACATATATCTTCACATTCTGTGCCAACTGAAAGAAGTTTATCCTTAGATTTATTCAGCAAAATTTCTTACCTAAAATCTCTTAGCTATATCCTTTCCAAGTTACCCATTATGCAGCCAATTTGTTACTGCTCATCAGTCAACATAGATCTATGTATTGATCAATTTCTACCTCCATTAAAAAATGAATTACTTGGTGCTCTGCTCAAAACTCTGCCCACCGGGAAGATTTTTCTTCACTTTTGTCCATCATAGGCACTCCTGCATGGAGCTGTGGCAACGCAACTAGCAACTTCAGATGGGACCAGGATATCTTCCAAACCATATGTAGAAACTTCACCAAGGTAGCAGGCCCTCACTTTTTGGTGAGATTTATTTCCTGCTCTCTGCAACGTGTCCCTTATTACAATTTCTAAAATAATTGCTATTTACCTTTGAGTTGGTCTGATCAGCAAATTGTTGATGAATCGAATGAGCCAGAATGATGCTGTCATTTGTGGAAAGCCCACATAGGATAGTTTGAGTTGGAGATTTGATAGAGTTCTGCAATTAAACAATGAAGATGTGTACTTGACTACCTAGCTTAAAATCAACTTCTTCTGATGATGTTCATTACCAGGTATGCGGGGGATGGGTGGAGGGGGAATTCACCGCGTCAAGAACTGCATTTCAGGTGCAAAATAATGTGTTGATTTTCTTTAGTTATAAGGTCAAATTTGGAATAGCTGCTGAAGTTAGAGTCCTCATGTGATTGAGTCTGTGATAATCCACTCTCATTTGTCATAATCCATCTGTCTTCTGGAGCAACCAAATTGACAAGTTGAAAGGGATGTGGTAGAAATCACCAACCTTTTTCTTTCACATTCTTAGTGGTGGCAATTATCTCTGCAGTTTCTCCAGGAATGTCTCATTGAAGAGGCCGATTGTCTTCCACTTGGCCTTTTGACTAGAATAATCCTTACACTTTGGGTCAGGGAAGTAATATGGAGATTATTTCAGAAGCTATGTCTATTTTGTGTCAGGAAATAATGAAAAATGTTTCATGACACATTAGGTCCACTGAGAGATGAACCTGAGCCAATTCTGTTTTATCACCCATGCTTCATAAGCCTCTGCATTCCCTGGTGGACTGATGGCATTCTGGGTTTCTAGAAATTAGTGTCAGTTGACAGCCAGTATCCAGTAGTCAAGAGACCCAGTTGCGGTAATTGAATCATGGAGGCAGGTCTCTCTCCTGCTGTTCTCGTGATAGTGAATAAGTCTCACAAGACCTGATGGTTTTATAAGAAGGAGTTTCCCTGAACAAGCTCTCTTTTTGCCTGCTGCCATCCACATAAGATGCGACTTGTTCCTCCTTGCCTTCTACCATGATTGTGAGGCCTCCCCAGCTTCATGGAACTGTAAGTCCATTAAAACTCTTTCTTTTGTAAATTGAACAGTCTCGGATATGTCTTTATCAGCAGCGTGAAAATTGACTCTACATCACTTTACAGAGAATAACCACCACTGAGCTGTTCAACAATGAGTGGCTCCCTCACAAACATATTCCTCATAGCCTCAGTAAAGGGAAGGTCTGCTGGATGCTCTCACACGGCAAGACACAAAATGAGTGAGCAGTTTTCACATGAAAAATCTGCTCTAGCTTTCCAACCTTCCTAAACCTTTGGATTCCTTCTTTTACAATATAGCAAAAAAGTTCAGTCTAGGTCACCTTTGAATTTATGCTTCAGTCAAACAACCTAAAAGACTGTCTCTACCAACTACCATAGATAACACAGATAATACAGAATCCAGAATATGTACCAACAAATATGACTTGATCCCACATTATTTTATTTCACTCGCATTCACCCTCGGGAAGCCCTGATATGAGTTAGAAAAATCTTATATTCTTGTTGTCCTCCTCACAGGATGCAATTTATAACTTACTACCTGAGGCTTTCAGATTTGAGTCTGCTTTAGTTCTAGAAACAATGAGAGGTGTTGAGTATAGTCCTTAGGAAAAATTAGCAGTTACCTCATGATGATTGGTTCTTAAACAAAAGGAGACTATATCCCTCAGGGGACAAAAGAGTGCTTCTACTGGTAGAGGAGGCTCAGCAGAATTTATAAAATCAAGATCCCTAGTTACATAAAAATTCAGACATACATCTCCATCCCACTCTTTGGTGTTCCACTTCTACCTAATCAATGCCTTAATTTTAACATAAGAGACCTGTGGGACCATGAATTCATTTTGTATTACAATTCAATCACCTGCAAGATGAGACTGTGGGTTTGGTTTTTATAACTTGGCTCTGTGCCTGTAGGGAATAAGTGGCTCTTTTGGAGTCATCACAAAGTTTTCTGATCACTTTTTGAGGCCTTTAGTTTTGGATTTAAAGCTTTGCACTAATTGGGTTGTTTTTCTCTCTCTTTTATAAGCACTGCAACACAAGTAAAAGCAACCAATCAATTACATCATACTCTTCATTTTCACTACAATATTACTAGCAGCAACTCCTTTGTCTCCTAAACCTTCCCTCTCATAGGCATTTTATTACAAGAGTCTAATTGAAGTATGATAATTTAAGTGACTATTTGCCACAGATTGCCTTGGGCTACCAGCATCCTTCACTATGGACAACAGCATCACTAATGCCATTAATATTAATCATATGAGAAGATTTTTTTAAGGCAATCCATTCTGAAGGTTGTATGTAGTGTAACTGCTTGTAAGACTAGTCTCTGAATCAGTCAGTGATTAAACAAAGAAGCAAAAAAAAAATATGAGTGATGCAGAGTTAGGGATATAATACTGTGATTAGCCTGTACACAGTTGTGGAACCATGTGGCAAATTGAATGAAAGGCTTTTGCCTCTGTACCTATCTGAAGCTTTAAAGTCACTGAAAGGTAAAATATAGGTTAAAAAGCTGGACATGAAGTAGAGAAGAGAAAAAAGACTAGAATCCGTGAAGACAACCTAGAATCCATGAGTATAAACCTCCAACCTTGATTGTGAGGATGACCTGAAAAAGAAGCTGGCACCTTTGTAGTAATGTGGCCTACGTGCATGGCTCATAATTGGAATATGTGAGGCAGAAGATCTGGAAGGAGCTAAGGGCCTGTGGCCTCAGTACAGCTTCATGCCCACAAAGTGATCCAGCAGATAAGTGACAATGTACATGAGATACAGTAGTGGCAGATACCCTTCATCAATCTTCACAGCTCAATGGCTGCTGCTGAAATTCTAACTTCCATATTTCTTTTATTGACAACCCTAACTCACATCCATAAAGGAAAGTGATTTCTGGGAAATAATGTCCAACTGAGCTAAGTTGAAAGTGCAAATTCACCACAACCCACATCAGATATCATTGCAATTGCATGCATAATGCCCACACCCCTTATTATACAACAATATCTTTAAAGGCAAAGATAATATCTTGCCTATTAGTTTATCTCTAGCATACACTCCAATGATTAACTCATAGAAGATCCTAAATAGATGTATTCTATGAAAAAATACATATATAATCTTACAAAGTGAAAAGAGCTGGATATAGGGAAAAAGAAGAAAGGATTTTGAAATACAGTTGAAAAAAGCACATTGCAAAAGATTTTTAATGACAAACAGTGGAATATAAAACCTGATATATGTCATAATTTAATGAAAATGTAATGTCCTTCAAAGACAGTTTGACTTAAACATTGCTAAATTCATGAATAAATTTGTCCTCTTAATCAAAATACATTAGAAGTTACATTATCCAATATTACCTAAGTCTTAGAGATTTGTTTTTATCTATCTGTTAAAGGGCAATATGATTTATAATCCTTTTATAAATGCTCTGTCTAGGCTTTTGGCTTTGTTGATACACTCATAAGAGTTATTAAATTCTTCATTTTCTTCTAGCCCTCATTGGATAGGTTATAATTTAATTTCACGTTCTAAATATAAATTTAAAATGCATTTATATCTAATGAATCTGATGGACTTGTACTAGTGCTTTGAAAATATATGTGTGTATGTATTTCAGATATTTCAATCAACATAGTGATACAACAAGATATAATATAGTTTATATCAAAATTATTTGAGCGTACACCCATATTACTAATATAAATCAACTTCTGTTAATGGTCCCCATAAATTTTTCTTATAGTTCTTTAGTAGAATTTTTCATGAGTTCTCAAAGACATGGACCCCATATTCTTCCTTTTGGGGCCCAATTTTGGACTCCTTTTAAGCCAGTTTTCAGCTCCAAAATTTAGTATACAGTCATTCTCCAATAGATATCACCACTGACACCACCATACCAACCTCACAAGGGCACACAGTTCTTCACTTAGATCCTTCTAGCTCTCTAAGAAGTCTTTCTTTGATTATACCAAAAAATATTATCTGGCTAAAACTCAATGATGCTTTTGTGAAAGCACAGAAGATGCTCTCTTGTGTTTGCCATTAGCTTATTTATCTCCAGATCCATTTCTTATTCTTCTCTTGTAAGTTACATTTCCCTGGTGCTCTTGCTCTCTGGCTTTCCTAAAGATTTGTTCAATGTGAGGCAACTGAGGGAAGAAAAGAAGGAGGAAGTGAAAATGAGAGGAATTAAGAGAAATCAGAGTTTTCTAACCATTTCTCTGTGCCTTCAGTGATAAATCTAGCAATGGCTTTATGTGCTCTTTTACTCTGTTTCATTGACCTAACACTCATTTTGTGGCCCTGACTCCTGCAGGGGTAACATTGCTTTGGTTAAAGTTCCATATGGAATGCTGTGGTTTCTAGTCTCCTCCCTTGTACCTCCGGCCCTAGGGACAGTGGAATTTTCTGTTCCTAATCTACTGGGTGGCATTACTATCTGTTGCTATAACCCTCAGTGTTTTCATCAACTTATTCAACCGATTCTTTGAATTAAATTCCCTAGGCTTAAAAATTCCCGGAGGCTGAGGCGGGCAGGAGATCGAGACCATCCTGGCGAACACAGTGAAACCCCATCACTACTAAAAATACAAAAACTTAGCCAGGTATGGTGGCGGGTGCCTGTAGTCCCAGCTACTCGGGAGGTTGAGGCAGGAGAATGGCATGAACCTGGGAGGCAGCGCTTGCAGTGAGCAAAGATTGCACCACTGCACTTCAGTCTGGGCAACAGAGTGAGACTCCATCTCAAAAATATAAATAAATAAAATAAAAACATAAAAATAAACAAGAAATCTGTAGCCAAAGAAGACAATGACTGAAATAAAAAATTCAATAGAAAGCTTCAACAGAAGACTGAATCAAGCAGCAAGAGGAAGAATCAATCAAAAAGAAACAATTGGAAAACTCGAGGGCACATTATTTGAATTATCTAATCAGAGGAAAAAGAAAAAAGAATGAAGAAAGGTTACTTGCTTTACGGCACACCATCAAGTGAAACAATATCTATATTATGGAAGTTCTAGAAGGAGCAGAGAGGGAAAACGGGAAGAAAATCTTATTTAAATAACTAATAACATAAAATTCCCCAAATCTAGAAAGGAAAATAAACATCCATATCCATGCTGCTCAAATAACCCCAAAGAAGCTGAACACTTTGAGATCTGTGCTGAGACACATTATAATCTAATTATCCAACATGAAAGTCAAACTGATATTTTTGAAAGGAGCAGAAGAAAAGTGAAATATCACATATACGGGAAGCTGCAGAAAAATATCAGTATTCTGTCAGCAGAAATCTTGCAGGAAAGAAATAATGGATGATGTATTCACAGTACTGAAATAAAATAAGTCTGTCAACCAAGAGTACTTCACTCCACAAAAGTGACATTCAGAAATGAAGAGGTAAAGATTATACGCCTGTCCTACCACAAAAAAAATTTGCTAAATACAGGTCTTCAAGTTGAAACAAAAAAGACACTAAATAGAACATGAAAAAACATAAATATATAAAATGTAAATGGAAAGGATATAGTCAAATTTATAATACTCAAAAACTTTAATAGTGGTGTGTAGGTCACATTTAACACCAGTATGAAAGTTAGAAGATGAAAATACTAACAGTAAGTATAGTTACAATAATTTTAATGTGTGCACTTAATAAAAATACATAAATAAGGACAATAGCATAAAGTGTGGGGTGCAAGGAAGTAAATGTGTACTGTTTTTGTATGCTATTGAAGTTAAGTTATGACTAGCTTAAAATATAATTACAAAGAAAAACCCCATAATAGATACACAAAACGTTATTAAAAGTAAAAGCATGACATTAAAAAAATCATCATGTCACTAGGAAAAGCAGCAAGAGAGAAAAAAAGAAAGAAAGGAACTACAAAACAGAAAACAATACACAAAATGGCAAATTTAAGTTCTTACTTATTAATAATAATTTTAAATGTAAATGGATTAAATATTCCAATCAAAAGACAAAGTGTGGTTGAATTTTAAAAAATCTAACTATATGTTGCCTATAAAAGACAAAATTTACCTTTAGAGATTCACATAGTCTGAAAGTGAAGGGATGGAAAAAGATATTTCATGCAAACAGTAACCAAGGATGACTATATAAATATAAAACAAAATAGACTTTAAAAAAAATTCTAAAAGAGACACAAAGGTCATTACATAATGATAAAAGAGGGAAATCATCAAGAGAATGTGATGATTGTAAATATATATGCACTGAACATCAGAGCACCTAAGTATCTAAAGCAAATATTGACAGAACATTTAAAGAAGAATTAAAACCAATACTTTTCTTTTCTTTTAAAACTATACTTTAAGTTTTAGGGTACATGTGGACAACGTGCAGGTTTGTTACATATATATACGTGTGCCATGTTGGTGTGCTGCACCTATTAACTCGTCATTTAACATTAGGTGTATCTCCTAATGCTATCCCTCCCCCCTCCCCCAACCCCACAACAGGCCCCAGTGTGTGATGTTCCCCTTCCTGTGTCCAAGTGTTCTCATTGTTCAATTCCCACCTATGAGTGAGAACATGTGGTGTTTGGTTTTTTGTCCTTGTGATAGTTTGCTGAGAATGATGGTTTCCAGCTTCATCCATGCCCCTATAAAGGACATGAACTCATCATTTTTTATGGCTGCATAGTATTCCATGGTATATATGTGCCACATTTTCTTAATCCAGTCTATCATTATTGGACATTTGGCTTGGTTCTAAGTCTTTGCTACTGTGAATAGTGCTGCAATAAACATACATGTGCATGTGTCTTTATAGCAGCATGATTTATAATCCTTTGGGTATATACCCAGTAATGGCATAGCCGGGTCAAATGGTATTTCTAGTTCTAGATCCCTGAGGAATCGCCACACTGACTTCCACAATGGTTGAACTAGTTTACAGTCCCACCAAGAGTGTAAAATTGTTCCTATTTCTCCACATCCTCTCCAGCACCTGTTGTTTCCTGACTTTTTAGTGATTGCCACTCTAACTGGTGTGAGATGGTATCTCATTGTGGTTTTGATTTGCATTTCTCTGATGGCCAGTGATGATGAGCATTTTTTCATGTGTCTTTTGGCTGCATAAATGTCTCCTTTGGAGAAGTGTCTGTTCATACACTTTGCCCACTTGTTGATGGGGTTGTTTATTTTTTTCTTGTAAATTTGTTTGAGTTCATTGTAGATTCTGGATATTAGCCCCTTGTCAGAAGAGTAGATTGCAAAAATTTTCTCCCATTCTATAGGTTGCCTGTTCACTCTGATGGTAGTTTCTTTTGCTTTGCAGAAGCTCTTTAGTTTAGTTAGATCCCATTTGTCAAATTTTGCTTTTGTTGCCATTGCTTTTGGTGTTTTAGCCATGAAGTACTTACCCATGCCTATGTCCTGAATGGCATTGCCTAGGTTTTCTTCTAGGGTTTTTATGGTTTTAGGTCTAACATTTAAATCTTTAATCTATCTTGAATTAATTATAGTATAAGGTGTAAGGAAGGGATCCAGTTTCAGCTTTCTACATATGGCTAGCCAGTTTTCCCAGCACCATTTATTAAATAGGGAATTCTTTCCCCATTTCTTGTTTTTGTCAGGTTTGTCAAAGATCATATAGCTGTAGATATGTGGCATTATTTCTGAGGGCTCTGTTCTGTTCCATTGGTCTATATCTCTGTTTGGTATAAGTACCATGCTGTTTTGGTTACTGTAGCCTTGTAGTATAGTTTGAAGTCAGGTAGTGTGATGCCTCCAGCTTTGTTCTTTTGGCTTAGGATTGACTCGGCAATGCAGGCCCTTTTTTGGTTCCATATGAACTTTAAAGCAGTTTTTTTCCAATTCTGTGAAGAAAGTCATTGGTAGCTTGATGGGGATGGCATTGAACCTATAAATTACCTTGGGCAGTATGGCCATTTTCATGATATTGATACCTACCCATGAGCATGGAATGTTCTTCCATTTGTTTGTATCCTCTTTTATTTCATTGAGCAGTGGTTTGTAGTTCTCCTTGAAGGGGTCCTTCATGTCCCTTGTAAGCTGGATTCCTAGGCATTTTATTCTCTTTGAAGTAATTGTGAATGGGAATTCACTCATGATTTGGCTCTCTGTTTGTCTGTTATTGGTGTATAAGAATGCTTGTGATTTTTGCACATTGATTTTGTATCCTGAGACTTTGCTGAAGTTGCCTATCAGCTTAAGGAGATTTTGGGCTGAGACGATGGGGTTTTCTAGATATACAATCATGTCATCTGCAAACAGGGACAATTTGACTTCCTCTTTTCCTAATTGAATGCCCTTTATTTCTTTCTCCTGCCTGATTGCCCTGGCCAGAACTTCCAACACTATGTTGAATAGGAGTGGTGAGAGAGGGCATCCCTGTCTTGTGCCAGTTTTCAAAGGGAATGCTTCCAGTTTTTGCCCATTCAGTATGATATTGGCTGTGGGTTTGTCATAAATAGCTCTTATTATTTTGAGATATGTCCCATCAATACCTAATTTATTGAGAGTTTTTAGCATGAAGGGCTGTTGAATTTTGCCAAAGGCCTTTTCTGCATCTATTGAGATAATCATGTGTTTTTTTGTCGTTGGTTTTGTTTATATGCTGGATTACATTTATTGATTTGCGTATGTTGAACCAGTCTTGCATCCCAGGGATGAAGCCCACTTGATCATGGTGGATAAGCTTTTTGATGTGCTGCTGGATTTGGTTTGCCAGTATTATAATTAGGATTTTTGCATCAATGTTCATCAGAGATATTGGTCTAAAATTCTCTTTTTTTGTTGTGTCTCTGCCAGGCTTTGGTATCAGGATGATGCTGGCCTCATAAAACGAGTTAGGGAGGATTCCCTCTTTTTATATTGATTGGAATAGTTTCAGGAGGAAAGGTACCAGCTCCTCCTTGAAACTCTGGTAGAATTCGGCTGTGATTCCGTCTGGTCCTGGACTTTTTTTGGTTGGTAAGCTATTAATTATTTCCTCAATTTCAGAGCCTGTTATTGTTCTATTCAGAGATTCAACTTCTTCCTGATTTAGTCTTGGGAGAGTGTATATGTCGAGGAATTTATCCATTTCTTCCAGATTTTCTAGTTTATTTGCATAGAGGTGTTTATAGCATTCTCTGATGGTAGTTTGTATTTCTGTGGGATAGGTGGTGATATCCCCTTTATCATTTTTTATTGCGTCTATTTGATTCTTCTCTCTTTTCTTCTTTATTAGTCTTGCTAGTGGTCTATCAATTTTGTTATCCTAGTCTCTGATAAAGTCTCTGATAAAACAGTCTTTAAACCAACAAAGATGAAAAGAGACAAAGAAGGCCATTACATAATGGTAAAGGGATCAATTCAACAACAAGAGCTAACTATCCTAAATATATATGCACCCAATACAGGAGCACCCAGATTCATAAAGCAAGTCCTGAGTGACCTACAAAGAGACTTAGACTCCCACACAATAATAATGGGAGACTTTAACACCCCACTGTCAACATTAGACAGATCAACAAGACAGAAATTTAACAAGCATATCCAGGAATTGAACTCAGCTCTGCACCAAGCAGACCTAATAGACATCTACAGAACTCTCCACCCCAAATCAACAGAATATACATTCTTTTCAGCACCACACCACACCTATTCCAAAATTGACCACACAGTTGGAAGTAAAGCATTCCTCAGCAAATGTAAAAGAACAGAAATTATAACAAACTGTCTCTCAGACCACAGTGCAATCAAACTAGAACTCAGGATTAAGAAACTCACTCAAAACCTCTCAACTACATGGAAACTGAACAACCTGCTCCTGAATGACTACTGGGTGCATAACAAAATGAAGGCAGAAATAAAGATGTTCTTTGAAACCAATGAGAACAAAGACACAACATACCAGAATCTCTGGGACACATTCAAAACCAAAACTTTTCAAATTTCTCCAAGAAATGGAAGATTAGGGAACATTTCCAAACTCATTTTATGAAGCCAGCATTATATTGAAATCAAATTCAGACAGTAACACTGCAATAAAAAAGAAAAAATAAACAAAAACTACAAGCTAACAGTCTTAGTGAACATAGATGCAAAAATCCTCAACAAAATACTAGGAAACCAAATTCAATAGCAAATTAAAAGAATCATAACTCGAATTGGGTGCAGTGGCTCATGCCTCTAATCCTAGCATCTGCAGAGGCTGAGACAGTCAGCTGCTTTCTCCTGCAGCCAGTGTCAGCCAGGCAGGATGGTCTGGACCGACAGCAGTTCCCCACAGTGCAGCATAGTGACTGGACCACTTTGTGACCAGACTGCTTCTTTAAGCAGGACGAGATCCACTCCTCCTTACTGGGTGGGGCCTCCCTGTGGGAATCTCAGCATCCCCAGCCAGGGGTTTATGGATAGTACACTGATAATCCTGAGAGGAGCCCATAGGAGGAGGGGTGGCTGTGGTATCATGGATGAGCAATCTTAGTCTTTTCTGCCTGCTGGCTCTGGAGGGTCAGGGCATCCTAGATGATGGGGATTCCCCTGAGCACAGCACACCCACCCTGCCAAGGGGCAGATAGTCTGCTTATGTATTTATTTATTTTTGAGGTGGAATCTCAGTCTGTCACCCAGGCTGGAGTTCAGTGGCATGATTTCAGCTCACTGCAACCTCCGCCTCCCAGGTCAAGAGATTCTCCCACCTCAGCCTCCCAAGTAGCTAGGATTACAGGCATGCACCACCACACTCGGCTAATTTTTGTATTTTTAATAGAGACAGGGTTTCACCATGTTGGCCAGGCTGGTCTTGAACTCCTGACCTCAAGTGATCTGCTCACTTTAGCTTCCCAGAGTGCTAAGATTATAGGCGTGAGCCACCATGCCAAGCCCAGTCTGCTTATTTAAGTCGGTCTTCGACCCTACTCCTCCTGACTGAGACTTCCCAACAGGAGTCTCCAGACACCTCATACAGGAGCGCTCCAGCCAGCATCAGGTCAGTGCCCCTCTGGGACAGATCTCCCAGAGGAATGAGCAGGCTGCCATCTTTGCTGGTCCGCAACTTCCACTGGTGATATCTCCAGGGAAAGGAGGGACCCAGGCAAATAGGGGCTGGAGTGGACCTCAAGAGAACTGAAGCAGCCCTGCAGAAAAGGGGCCTCACTACTAAAAGAAAAACAAACAGAAAGCAACAACATCAACAAAAAAAGATCCCACAAAAAACTTATCCAAAAGTCAGCAGCCTCAAAGATCAAAGGTAGATAAACCCATGAAGATGAGAAAGAATCAATGCAAAAATGCTGAAATCTCAAAAAGTCAGAGTTCCTCTTCTCCTCCAAAAGATCACAACATGTCTCCAGCAAGGGCACAGAACTGGACTGAGGCTGAGATGGATGAATTGACAGAAGTAGGCTTCAGAAGATGTGTGATAATGAACTTCCCTGAGCTAAAGGATTATATTCTAACTCACTGAAAAGAAGCTAAGAACCATGATAAAACATAGGAGCTGTTAACCAGAATAACCAGTTTAGAGAGGAAAATAAATAATGTGATGGAGCTGAAAAACACAACACAAGAACCTCATAGTGCAAACACTAGAATCAATAGCTAAATAGACCAAGTGGAAGAAAGAATATCAGAGCTTGAATACTATCTTGCTGAAATAAGGCAGGCAGACAAGATTAGAGAAAAAATAATGAAAAGGAACAAACAAAACCTCCACGAACTATGGGATTATGTTAAAAAAACCAAACCTGCAACTGATAGGGGTACCTGAAAGAGACAGGGAGAAGGGAACCAAGTTGGAAAACACACTTCAGGATATTGTCCAGGAGAACTTCCCCCAGCCTAGCAAGACAGGCCAACATTCAAATTCAGGAAATCCAGAGAACCACAATAAAATACTTCACAGGAAGATCAACCACAAGACAAATAATCATCATGTTCTCCAAGGTCTATACGAAGGAAAAAATGTTAAGGGCAGTCAGAGAGAAGGGCCAAGTCACCTATAAAAGGAAGCCCATCAGACTAGCAGCAGACCTCTCAGTGGAAATCATACAAGCCAGAAGAGATGGGGGCCAATATTCAACCTTCTTAAATAAAATAATTTTCAGCCTAGAATTTCATATCCAGCCAAACTAAGCTTCATAAGTGAAGAAGAAATAAAATTTTTTCAGACAAACAAATGCTGAGGGAATTCATCACCACTAGGCCTGCCTTGCAAGACTTGAAGGAAGCACTAAATATGGAAAGGAAAAACCGTTACCAGCCACTACAAGAAACGCACTGAAGTACACAGACTAGTGTCACTGTGAAGCAAATACATAAACAAGTCTGCAAAATAACCAACTAGCATTATGATGTCAGGATCAAATTCACACATAACAATATTACACTTAAATGTAAATGGGTTAAATGTCCCAATTAAAAGACACAGAATGGCAAGCTGGATAAAGAGTCAAAATACATCAGTGTTCTGTGTTCAAGGGACTCATCTTACATTCAAAGACACACATAGACTCAAAATAGAAAGATGGATGAAAATGTACCAAGCAAATGGAAAACAAAAAAGCAGAGGTTGGAATCCTAGTTTCTGACAAAATAGACTTTAAGGAAACACAGATCAAAAAAGATAAAGAAGGACATTACATATAGGTAAAGGGGTCAATTAAACAAGAAGAGCTAACTCTCCTAAAGATATATGCACCCAATACAGGAGCACCTAGACTAGGAAAACAAGTTCTTAGAGACTACAAAAGATGTAGACTCCCATACGATAATAGTGTGAGAACACCTCACTGTCAATGTTAGAGAGATCATTGACACTGAAAATTAACAAAGATATTAAGGACTTTAACTCAACTATTTATCAAGTGGACCTGACAGATATCTACACATCTTTCCACAACCGCCCCCCCCAACCAAAAAAATATATACATTCTTCTCGGTGCCACATGGCACTTACTCTAAAATTGATCACACAATTGGAAGTAAATTACTCCTCAGCAAATGCGAAAGAACTGAAATCATAGCAGTCTCTCAGACCACAGATTAGAACTCGAGATTAAGAAACTCACTCAAAACCACACAACTACATGGAAAATGAGCAACCTGCTCCTGGGTAAATAAAGCAATTAAGGCAGAAATAAAGAAGTTCTTTGAAACCAATGAGAACAGAGACAATGTACCAGAATCTCTGGGATGCAGCTATAGCAGTATTAAGAGTAAAATTCATATCACTAAATGTCCACATCATAAAGCTAGAAAGATCTCAAATTGATACTCTAATATCACAATTAAAGGAGCTAGAGAGGCAAGAGCAGCTAATGCAAAAACTAGCAGAAGACAAGATATATCTAAGATCAGAGCAGAATCATGAAAAGCCCTTCAAAAAAAAAATCAATGAATCCAGGAGCTGGTTTTATTTAAAAAATTAACAAAATAGATAGACTGCTAGCTAGACTAATAAAGAAGAAAATATAGAAGAATCAAATAGATACAATAAAAAATGACAAAGGGGATATTACCACTGACTTCACAGAAATTCAAACTACCAACAGAGTATACTATAAACAGCTCTACGCAAATAAACTAGAAATCTAGAAGAAGTGAATAAATTCCTGGACACATGCAGCCTCCCAAGACTGAACCAGGAAGAAGTTGAATCCCTGAATAGACCAATAAAGTATTCTAAAATTGAGGCAGTTATAAATAGCCTACTAACTAACAAAATTCCAGGATCAGATGGATTTACAGCTGAATTTTACCAGAAATGCAAAGAGAAGCTAATACCATTTCTTCTGAAACTATTCCAAACAATTAAAAAGGAAGGACTCCTCCCTAACTCATTCTATGAGGCCAGCATCATAATGATACCAAAACCTGGCAGAGATACAACAAAAGAAGAAAACTTCAGACCAATATCTCTGATGAACATCAATGCAAAATTTCTCAATAAAATACTGGCAAACCAAATTCATCAGCACTTCAAAAAGCTTATACATCACTATCAAGTTGGCTTCATTCCTTGGATGCAAGGCTGGTTCACCATGTGCAAATCAATAAATGTAGTTCATCACATAAACAGATTTAAAGACAAAAATCGCACGATTATCTCAATAGATGAAGAAAAGGCCTTCAATAAAATACAACACACCTTCATGTTATGAACCTTTCATAAACTAGGTATTGATGGGATGTATGTCAAAATAATAAGAGCCATTTATGACAAACCCACAGACAGTATCATACTGAATAGGCAAAAGCTGGAAACAATCCTTTTGAAAACTGGCACAAGACAAGGATGCCTTCTCTCACCACTTCTATTCAACACAGTATTGGAAGTTCTGGCCAGGGCAATCAGGCATAAGAAAGAAATAAAGGGTATTCAAATAGAAAGAGAGGAAGTCAAAAATATTTGTTTGCAGATGACATAATCTTATATCTAGAAAACCCCACTGTCTCAGCCCAAAAATTTCTCAAGCTGACAACCACCTTCAGCAAAGTCTCAGGATACAAAATCAATGTGCAAAAATCACAAGCATTCCTATAGACTAACAATAGACTAGTATAGAGCCAAATCATAAATTAACTCCCATTCACAGTTGCTGCAAAGGGAATACAATACCTAAGAATATAGCTAACAAGGGACGTGAAGGACCTCTTCAAGAGAACTACAAGCAACTACTCAAAGAAATAAGAGACGACACAAACAAATGGAAAAACATTCCATCCTCATGAATAGGAGTAATTAATATCGTGAAAATGGCCATACTGCCCAAAGTAATGTATAGATTCAATGCTATTCCCATTAAACTAGTATTGACATTCTTCACAGAATTAGAAAAAAACTATTTTAAAATTCACATGGAACCAAAAAAGAGCCCTATAGCCAAGTCAATCCTTAGCAAAAAGAATAAAGCTGGAGGCATCATGATACCAGACCTCAAACTATACTATAAGGCTACAATAACAAAACAACATGGTACTTGCACAAAAACAGACACAAAGACCAAGGGAACAGAATAGAGAACTCAGAAATGAGAGCACACATCTACAACCATCTGATCTTCGACAAATCTGTCAATAACAAGCAATGGGGAAAGGATTTCTTATTTATTAAATGGTGCTGGAAAAACTGTCTATCCATTTGCAGAAAATTGAAACTAGACCACCTCCTCAAACCTTATACAAAAATTAACTCAAGATGGATTAAAGACGTAAATGTAAAATCCCAAACTATAAAATGCCTAGAAGAAAATCTAGGCAATACCACTCAGGACACAGGCACAGGCAAAGATTTCATGATGAAACCATCAAAAGCAATTGTAACAGAAACAAAAATTGACAAATGGGATCTAACTAAACTAAATAGGTTCTGCACAGCAAAAGGAACTATCATCAGAATGAAGGAGCAACCTGCAGAGTGGGAGAAAATTTTTGCAATCTATCTATCTGACAAAGGTCTAATATCCAGAATCTACAAGGAACTCAAACAAATTTACAAGAAAAAAAAACCTATTAAAAAGTGGGCAAAGGACATGAACAGACACTTCTCAAAAGAAGACATTTATACAGGGGCCAGGCGTGGTGGCTTACACCTGTAATCCCAGCATTTTGGGAGGCTGAGGCGGGCGGATCACGAGGTCAGGAGATCAAGACCATCCTGGCTAACATGGTGAAACCCTGTGTCTACTAAAAAATATCAAAAAAAAATTAGCCGGGCATGGTGGTGGGCACCTGTAGTTCCAGCTACTCAGGAGGCTGAGGCAGGAGAATGGCGTGAACCTGGGAGGCGAAGCTTGCAGTGAGCCGAGATGGTGCCACTGCACTCCAGCCTGAGCGACAGAGTGAGACTCTGTCTCAAAGAAAAAAAAAAAAGGAAGACATTTATCAAATCAAAATGAGATACCATCTCACGCCAGTCAGAATGGTCTTTTTTAAAAAGTCAAGAAACAACAGATATTGTTGAGGTTTCAGAGAAATAGGAACACTTTTACACTGTTGGTGGGAATGTAAATTAGTTTAACCATTGTGGAAGACACTGTGGCAATTCCTCAAAGATCGAGAACCAGGAATACCAGTTTCTAGAACCAGTGATCCCATTACTGGGTATATACTCAAAGAATATAAATAATTACATTACAAAGATGCGTGCACACATATGTTTATTGCAGCACTATTCACAGTAGCAAAGAGATGGAATCAACCCAAATGCCCATCACAATAGACTGGATAAAGAAAATGCAGTGCATATACACCATGGAATGCTATGCAGCCACAAAAAGGAATGAGATCATGTCCTTTGCACGGCCATAGATGAAGCTGGAAGCCATTATCTTCAGCAAAGTAATGCAGGAACAGAAAACCAAACACCGCATGCTCTCACTTATAAGTGGGAGGTGAACAATGAGAACACATGGACATAGGGAGGGGAGAATCACACACTGGGGCCTGTCAGGGGTGGGGTGGGAGGAAGGAGAGCATTCATAAAAATAGCTAATAAATACTGGGCTTAAAACCAAGGTGATGGGTTGATAGGTGCAGCAAACCACCGTGGCACAAGTTTATCTGTGTAACAAACCCACACATCCTGCACATGTACTCCAGAACTAAAAATGAAAATTAAAAAACAATTAAATATGAGTTGATCTGTAGAGTTTGATTGCTTTGCTGGTGAATTGGGAAAAATATTACACAAATTTAAACTACTTGAAATAGTTTAGGCAGAATATTATAGAACCCTGACATGAAGAAAAAAAACAGAAAAGATACAAATAAAATGTTGTGCAAGGGTAACAGTGATTAAATTTGGTCTTTAAGTGAGTATATTGAGACTGAGATAAGGAAAATAGTTAAACTAAATATATTTTGGAGATTTCTAGTTACCTTTTCTGAATTAAAGATAGTACCAGTAACTGGGAACAGGAATAGGGAAATATAATAGTAGACAGGACACTAATTTTGATCACTTAAGTGTGGATAGTATTGACACGTTTTGGTGTTGTGTCCCCACCCAAATCTCATCTCAAATTGTAATCCCCAGGTGTTCAGGGAGAGACGTGGTGGGAGGTGACTGGATCATGGGGGCGCCCCTTGGTGTTCTTGTGATAGTGACGGAGTTCTCATGAGATTTGATGGTTTTTCGAGTGGTGGTTTCCCTTTCTCTCTCTCTCTCTTTTTCCTGTCACCTCATGAAGAAGGTGATTGCTTCTCCTTTGCCTTCTGCTATGATTGTAAGTTTCCTGAGGCCTCCCCAGCCATGACGAAATGTGAGTCAACTAAGCCTTTTTCCTTTATAAATTACCCAGTCTTGGGTATTTCTTTTTACCAGTGTGAAATCAGACCAATACAAGTATATTTAGGATTTATTCTATTTATTAACACAAATGTCACCTGCTGTCACCATTCAGGGAACATCAGTAAAGTTGCGGTAAAGTAGCATGAAATCGAAATATTCATGCAAAATCTTCATGATTACTTTCCAGCTCCCAACTCAGTTATCTTTGACATTTCCTAAATCAACTGTTAATGTATATCCCAAACCATTGTCATATATTGTCTCCAGGAAACAGTCATCATGGGCATTCTTTTTCAGTTTCATAGCTTGATGTTAATGTTCACTTCACATTGATTTACTTATGGAGCTCCATTTTCTTCTGAGGATGTTGTTGTACCTACCTAGGGTACTATGTCATGAAGTTTCCAATCCACTAGATTCCCAAGAAGGGCCAAGTTAAAACTAGAGATAAAGAAATTATCTTCCCCTCCTACGCAGTGCTGTGCTTTGTCACCTCAGAAGTAAATGGCTGTGATTGTTCTCATTAAAAAATCTCCTTCGATTTTTTTTCTCTTCAGTCATTCACTGAAAGCTCCAGTGTCATTTCACGATCAGAGGAGACATAGGTACGTCACTATTTCTCTTGCATCTGTCACCCTCTGCCAACTTTCATTCATTACTTCCCTTTTGTCTAGAAGCAAAGCACACCTCTCCTTGCATACTAAATATGCAACACACAAGGGTTTACCACACTTTAAAACTTCATGGTTTAGCAAAATTTAAAGCAAAAGTTTTTCTCACTACCATAGAATAACTTTTTACTTCGTCAAATGAAAAGGTCATTTTAACCCCCACAAATTTAACGGATATCATCTTATAATACAAAGGATAAATCCTTTTAGTGTTAAAAAATAAATGCACTAATGTATCTGTATTTTTCTTATGTGTCTGACTGTTAGATAAAAGCCTGTCAAGCACTCACCCCAGTTCTTAGGAGCTGTACTTGAGAATCTTTGCAATAGAAAATGGGAGAACCACCTGCCCAATGCTTCCCAACATAGCCATGGTCAATTAGGACATCATACTATCAAACGTGAATATCAGTTATCTCAAACATAGATCAAAAGGGAAAGTTTATTCCAATTACCCAATTATCACTTCAGTCAGTTTAATTCATCGCTGCTTGAATTTGACTGCCTATACCTCATGTCTCTGGAATATATGAATCTCCCAGACAAGCTTTCAACATTTTTCTGAAAAATTATATTTTACTAGAATTTTGAGTGCACAATGAAAATAAATAGATAACTTATGATATCACACAAATTCACAACTTGCATTATATGCAGGTGTTTCCTCCGATTAGTCTCATATAAGCCTGAGGCAGGGGTGAGGTGGGAAAGAATTTCTAGAGGAAGCAAATTCGCTCTTTGCCAATAGGTGTTTTTTGATGGAAACATCTGACAAACATTGCAGTTAATTCAAAATAAAAATCTATAATTAAAACTTTTTATGGAAAACAGGGGCATATCAATCTTCGTACTACAGCAAATGCACCCTACCACATACAAAATGAACTTTTTAACTACAAAAGTATTTTTTATTTTAAATCACAATATTTTCTAAATATAATAAATTGAACTTACTTTAATCACATTAAATTAATTAATCAAATTAATTATTAACCAAATAATCTAATCAGATTTAATGATTTAAGTATAAAAAACTAAAATATTTTTAATTTAATGATCTGATTTATGAAACGGGAAAGATATTTTCAAAATTTTAAATCACAGTATCAGTACACATGTGTTCTATAATAAGTTGTCTAAATTTATATAAATAATTTAACACCCTCTCCACCATGCTGTTATTTATAACCTGGTCTTATTTTAAACTGTGGGAAATAATTTAGTTAAGGATGTTTAAGTCTGTTCACTAAGTAAAGGACATTGTATCAGCCAAGATAAAAGAAATTATTAGGTAATGTCCTACAATCATTGGACTGACCAAATAGCAGTGTAAGAGTTGAGGTTACCAGACATGGTTTAGGAGAGAAATTAATAGACCCTGATAATGGTTAGGGAAAAACCTGTGTATTGTAGTTAACTACCAAATAATGTAGTCCACTAACTCTTTCTCTAGGTATTGAAAAATGATGTAATAACGTTCTCAGTCAAAAGAAACACTGCTCACACTTCACAAGTGCTTACACTTTTCATATACCACCAATTACAATTTCTAAGTTCCTCAAAAACTCTTACTTGTATCTCCACTTTAAATTAGAAGAAAGCAACACCACTGTGAGAAATGAATTTGTTGGATAAAAAGATCAGTATGGGGGATGAAGAGGAAGGATTAAAAGTTTTTTGATCCTTATCCAGAGGTATTCAATACAATATATTCATCTTGTTTATTTTATCCCAGAATATCAAAACCATTGGCCTGCCATTAGTTGCAAATATTTAGGTAGTATAAGAAATACGCAGAGCATCATATAAACCAATTTAAGATGTATTTTCAAAATACAAATGTTTTTAAAAATACATTGGTATTGACTGGACTCACATGTATACGATCGACGAAATGGTATAATTGGGTAATGTCTTGGAAAACAAAGGAAAAACTTCTGGAATATATTCCTGATTTTTTGGGGTTCCATAGATTATAATGTGCCATATGATGGGTGAGAGAGGAATATATTAATATGTTTTGCATCCATCATTCCCAGGGTTTTTGGCACATGAGGCTTGTTTAATTCTAGTTCACATACTGCACTGACAATGTCACAAGAATTTCTTCTGCTATGAAACAAACAGACATACAAAAGCCTAAGATTATGTAGTTTCAACATAATGTGATAAATTAGAGTGAATTTCAATGTAGGATTTTCTTACATAAAATTATTCTAATGTGAATTTTAGCATGATATGATGAAAATAACTCTAGGTTAGCTGCTGGAAATTTAACTTTTTACCCACTCTTACACATTGTATTACCTTTGAAAACTTTAGCATTCTACTTCTTTTTTTCCATTAAACATCTTTTAACAAGTTTTGACACTTTATTTGGAATTAAAACTAGGATAGTGATTAGTACTTTATTAGAGCTAAAAAAATTGTTGATTGAATGAAAAAAGAAATAGATTACTTCACAATGCTAATGAATTTAATTATTTATCTGAATCTCAATTTTTATGTGTTTCTTACGTAGTACTTCATTAGATCCTACCAATTATATTCATGTCTACATAAGGATAATTATGCTAATAACTAAGATTAATTCAGATTTGCATGTGCTCATCTGTATTTAAGAAATATCTGAAAAGAGGCTCAAATTTGGCAATGTCTTAAGCCCACTAAAACTTATCTTTTCCAGTGAGGACCCCTAAAGCCTCTGTGTGATGTACAGAAAGCAACTAGCTAAAAACTTGAAAAAGTAAACAAAAGCAGGTTTGTGCAGAGGGAAGTCAAAACTTAAGTAACTCTCATGGGAATAAACATTTCATTATCATTGTTGTTATTGTTTATCCTCTCCTGGCTTTATTCCAAGGGTAGAAACTATTTACAGAGGAGTGAAACTGTGG
The DNA here is from genome assembly GCF_000001405.40 of Homo sapiens. NCBI lineage: Eukaryota > Metazoa > Chordata > Mammalia > Primates > Hominidae > Homo > Homo sapiens. The sequence goes on along the minus strand of NC_000004.12, from coordinate 160,424,491 downwards.
AGAGAATAAAACTACAATACAAATCTCATTTTTGTTTTAGAGGAACCAGGATCCTTCATATGCAATGTTTATAAAATAATTTCAGAGGAAACCAAGAAAAGATTTTTAATTTCATGTGTAAACCCACACATGTATTAGCTTAACAGCTAAGTATCCAGAGCGTGGGACAGATCCAAACAAGACAACGGCAGCTTTCAAAGCTGAACTGTCATTGGAACCACCCACATCAATCTCAGAGTAACCCCTAGATAATGATTGAGTGCAGCAGACCAAAACCAACTTAGCAAGACATAGAAAGTAAAGGGAAGCCCATATTAAATTAAGAAAAAAATCTTAGAAGTAAAAAAGAAAGTATAATTGAAGAATCAAGTGTGAAACTTGGATCTGAGTAATACAGGATGTGGGGGTGGGGATCAGTGAAGGAGCTTAGTCACAGAACGTAGATGACGTAAGACAAAGAAAGTCAACCTAAGACGCACCAGTAGATATTTTTCAATTGGAAGAATAGAGGGGAAAAAAAGTGATAAAGTGCTAACAGATCGTAAGGCACCTGTAGAAGTCTATCAAAGAATCTAACATATGTGTAATTGTAGTATCAGAAAAAAATGAAAAGGGATGGGCACACCAAAAATTGTGTGTGTGTGTGTGTGTACATATTTATTTTTATACATATACATATCCAAACACATGCATACATACATACACAAAACAAACATACATATACAAAATAATGGCTAAAAATCATAAATATAGTAAAAGAAATATAATTTACAGATTTTAGCAGCTCAGGATTCCAGATAAGATCAAAGAAAGTCATACCTATATACATCATAATCAAACTGCTGAAAACCAAAGATTAAGAAAAACCTCTTGAAAGCAACTAGAAAAAATAAATTACAGATTACTAATTACAATGATCGTGAATTTCTCATCAGAAACCATTGTGGTTGGAAGACAGTGGAACGTCTTTAAAGTGCTTAAATAAAAGAAATGTTAACCTCAAATTTTACATTCAGTGAAAATATCCTTCAGGTATAAAATGGAAATAAAAGTATTCTGTGATGAAGAGAATTTATTTCTGAAAAACCTCCTCTTCTGGTAATGCCAATAGCAGTTTTCATCAAGATGATGGTAAATAATAGAAGGAACCTTGAATCATCAAGAATGAAGAGAGAGCAGCAGAAATAGTAAATATAAAAGTAAATATAAAATACTTATTTTTACCACTTGTGTTTTTTTAAATATGTATGAATGTTTAAAGCAAAACTGTAAAGACGTGTGATGGAATTTTCAATGCATGCATATTTATACTTACAATAACTGTAATGTGTAAGTCAGTGGAAGAATAAAAAGAGCTGAATATTTCAAGGATTCAACACTGTGAGATGCTACAATATTGACCCTTGTTAGACTGTCAAAGTTTATCTGTGTATATTGCAATTTCTAGAACAGCCAGAAAAAAAAATAGTCACAATGGCATACTAAAAATATATAGACAAATAATCTAAAAGAAAAAAGGAAAAGAGGTACATAAAAATGAGGAGACAAAAATTAAAGAAATAATAAAATTGTAGGTCTACATCTTAACCTACGAAACTTATATTAAATATTATTGTTTTAAAAACTGCATTTTAATGCCAAAAATAAATGTATAAAAAGCAAGACTCTATAATATGTCCCCTAAAAGAGACACATTTAAATATAAAGAGAATGATAAGTTGAAAGTAAAACAAAATAAAATTAATCTCTTCTTTAACAGTGGCTTTGCAGAATATATAATTCTATTAGAAATATACCAATTATAATTAACTTTCAAAAATTCCTCCCTTTTTTTCTTTCAGATTATAAGTCTGGCACATGTGAAACTGTGGAATAATACTAAAACTAAAATTACAAGTGAGAGTCTCACACAGCCATGGTAGATATGGAGGTAGTAAGAGGCAGAGATCTAAATAGTACCATTACTCGCCCACACAGCACCTTCACACCAGCGGGGGAGATGCCAGTTTGTTTATTTCACGGTATTAAACAGAACAGGATGATTTTCAAAAATTTATTTTTACGTCTATATTTGAGGTACAATATGATGTTTTAATATAGATAATGAAAAGATTGCTACAGTCAAGCATATTAACATAACCATCACTTTCCTTAGTTACTTCTTTTTATGTGTATGCTAAGAGTACCTAAAATGACTCTCCTAGCAGATTTTTAATATGCAATACACTATTATTAACTGTAATAGTTGTTACTTTAGAATGATTCCTTCTTCTTTCCTTACATCCTTACATTAGATCTCTAGATTTATTCATCTTACATAACTGCAACTTTGTACTCTGTCCTATATCGCCCATTTCCTTCCACTCTCCATCCCTGGTAAGCACCATTGTACTCTCTATGTATTCAGCTTCTTTAAAAAAAAAAGACTCCACATATGTGAGATCATGTGATATTTTTCTTTCTGTGTCTGTCTTATTTCACATAATACAAGGTCCTCCATTATTTGTTAAAGCAAGAATTTTACATTTTGATAGAGCTAGGTAAAAATTTACATCCCAAAATAATCTTGTCAAAATTTTTAATTCAAATTATGAAAATTAATATAATACTGTGAAAAATTCAGGGTAAATTAGACCAATTAAGCATAAATCTTAAAATAATTTTCACAGTGCAGAAAATGATAGCATTGACCCAAATAAAATTAATGAATCACTGAGTAGTACAGTCAATTTAAAATTATGGAATGTTCTCATGTGATAATTTCAAGTATGGTATTTAGTAGTGGCAAATATAATTGAATATAAAAATCTGAATTTCCTATATGAAAAAACCCACAGAATAACTGATTACATGCCATCACTGCTGCCAAGAACTTTATTAAAATATGAAAAACAATCACCAAAATTATTTTGAAGCAAATACAAGATATTCAAGATATTTGTTTTCCAGGAGCAATATAGTAAAAAGTATGATTAAATAAGCCACAAAATCAACTTTAAAGTTTTCTTCAAGATTGGAATTTGAGGCTTATACAATTGATGAGAATTTATTGAGGCCATAGGCTAAAGCTATGGACAAATGTATTTCAGGTTGAGAAAAGGCAGCCAAGCTTGAAAATGTACCCTTATGGAATGACAGGGTCAAAAGATGTGTTATAAATTTCTCAAATGCCATACTGAACAAATGAACTGAGAAAATGATGTTAAGCTGACAATTTTCTTTGAAGTTGGTTGATTAAACTGTAGCAGGGATGAAAATGATTTGGTCATTTCAGTGGTAATTTTCCCCTACATTTTTAAAGATAATGACTCCAAAATTGTTTTATTTGAAAATTATTTTATTTATGACATTAAAACTTGATGAAAAAAATTTCAAGAAGGGATGTGAAATTTTGTGTTTGGTTGTTATTCTTTGATATGATAATAGTCCAAAGAAAAAAATGTGTGAATGTATGTCAAGAGTAGGGCCAGCATACCTGTGGGAAAGCATGAGTTCTAGTTAAGCAAAAGTACGTGTCAAGAAGACAGTTGCATGTTTTCATTTGGCAATCTTGGCTCAAGAGACCACCTTTGAGGTGGGGGAAGATCTTTAGAGATTGTTTAAAACCACAGAAATGAAATATAACCTAGAGAAAAAAGGTGCAGAAGGAACAGAGCACTAAAAAATTTGAAAATTTAAAATTCAGGTAGGGGAAAAGTGAAGGAGAATGAAATCCACGTGCATGCAAAACCAGAGACAAACCAGAAGGCTTTGGCAACACAGAAGTAAAATTAGAAATGTATGAAGAAGTATATGATGACTTAATGTCATATTTTAATGTCTCATTCAGATAAATTAAAATTTAAAAATAAGCTGTAACATGTAAAAATATATCAGCAATGACCAAAGGAGATAGCTCGTCCAGAAAAAAATAGGCGAAATAAAACTCTGCAATATTCTATAGGGCTATGTTTAGAAACATTCTATATAGTTTCTAAATCTGATTTCCAAAGAATCATTATGTAGGAGTAGGTGAATGCACAATTTCCCCAAATATCTTGTTAATACCTCTCTACTTTAAGAGTGTATAATACTTAGAATTAAAAAGAAAGCCACTAGAACAACTAAAACTAAAAGCAAAACAAACAAAAACTAGAGCAATTAAGAGAAAGTTGACAGGAAAAACTGCATTTGTTAACTCTAATATATATAATTATTAAGATAACCACTAAAAAACTAATGTGGTAAACTGTTACCACAACAAACATAATTTAACTTAGAAAATTATACAAAACAATCATCAATCATCTATGGTAATCTAGTCTCCAGAAAAGAGCATATGTTAAGTGAAAAAATATTCATACAAGAAGATCTACTAAATCTCAGTGAAAACAGCCAGAGTTTATGGCATTTGAGCCAGAATCTGACTGGTGAGTCTTCTCTTAATGTGGGACTTTCTTCTAGAGTGTGAATTTAGGAAGCCAGTGATGCTTTATGATTGGTTTTTGAATACATTTGGCAATTTTTGATTGGGTCTCTATTTCCAGGTATCTACCTGTGGGGTTTTTAGTCTGGATAGGCCCACATGGGTTTGTTTTTACTATTTCAACAGGAAGAATGTCTAGTCCTTGAATTTGGGATCTGAGTCTTCCATAAGCAGTTCCCCAGGTCCTACTTTTGGTTGTTCTTCAGTGTTCCAGCATGGTTTGAGAGGTTGATTATTATTCCTGTTCTTGTGGTCTGCCCAGATCATCAATTCTCGGTCTGATAACTAGATTAAAATTCAGAAGAACTAGGTCCCAGAGATTGCTGTATGATGTTGGCTTTTGTTACTGTGAGAAATTTGAGTCATCCATCAAATACAAGGTCCATCTCCTTGTCTATAAAATGAGTAGTTGGATGAACAGCCCTCACCTCCTGAATTTAAAATTCAAGGAATTTATCAATTAACCATAGATTTCCATGGTAAATTTGTTGTGAAAAATTAATTTGTTAAAGTTGCTGCTAAATGAGAAACTGAGCTTTTCCCTCAATATTTTCACACAGATTTAATTCAAGCACTCTAGCTTGTGTAGTTTACTAATATTTCCTCTGAAATATTCCACTCTGTTCAATGATTTAACGTAGTTTAACTCTAACTTCATTTGCTAAAGGCAACAAATCATCCTAATTAGCATGGAAGTCAAGATGGTTGTATTCTTTTTACTATTTTTGTTTATAACTTAGCTTTGAAACACTGACATCTTTTATATGCTTTCTTCTTTTCACTCATTACGCACCTCTAACATGAGCAAAAATGTTATAAAGACTGATTTTTCATGCTAATAAGAAACTCTGATGAGTGAATCAATATAAGGAATGTGCCAATTTGACATCTAATTCGGTAATTCTAAATGTTCTTTTATTGAACAATGTGAAAAAATTTGTTGCTTTTTAAGAATCCCTGATGAATCTTTTTAAAGTACATTTGTTAATTTCTTGGGACCTTTGTTTTGGTATGAATGTTTCAATACCAGGCAATGGTTTGTTTTATATTTTTGAATTTATATGAAATATATGAACACTTACCATCCTTAAGAGAAAACTGGCATGTCATCACAGATGAAGAAGATATTCATGCGGGCATTAAAATTATTTCTCATATGCTGAATTTAAATATGAAATAAAAATGTTTTCTATTTTTATTATTGTTTACTAATATTTGCTCACAACATAAAGTTAGGCAGCACATAAAACTGAAACTATACTTGCCACCATACATTTTTTTTTTTTTTTTTTTTGAGATGGAGTCTCAGTCTGTTGCCCAGACTGGAGTGCAATGGCATGATCTCGGCTCACCACAACTTCCGCCTCCTGGGTTCAAGCAATTCTCCTGCCTCAGCCTCCCAAGTAGCTGGGATTACAGGCATGCGCCATGAAACCCAGCTAATTTTATGTTTTTGGTAGAAACAGCCTTTCTCCATGTTGGTCAGGCGGGTCTCGAACTCCTGACCTCAGGTGATCCATCCGTCTCAGCCTCTCAAAGTGCTGGGATTACAGGCGTAAGCCACCGCATCCTGCCTACCATGTGTTTTTAATAACATACACATCTATGATTCTTATAATTGTAGATTTAGGTAGTAGAATCAATCAATTTTCACTTAGAGAAAAGTGTATTTGAAGGGAACATCAATCCACATACGTTTATGAATTATTCCCCTGTTAAGCTGAGAGATCAATTATTAAAGTTAAATTAAAATATCCACCAAATGCTTATCAAATTGAAAACTGAACACGTGGAACAATTCTTCCAACAGAATGTATATGTTGGATTTGGTTTCCTACTTCAATGCACATTTAAATCACATTTTTGCATTTAAAAAATAAGGAGCTGGGCGCGGTGGCTCACGCTTGTAATCCAGCACTTTGGGAGGCTGAGGCAGGCGGTTCACGAGGTCAGGAGATCAAGACCATCCTGGTTAACACGGTGAAACCCCGTCTCTACTAAAAATACAAAAAATGAGCCAGGTGTGGTGGCGGGCACCTGTAGTCCCAGCTACTCGGGAGGCTGAGGCAGGAGAATGGTGTGAACCCGGGAGGCGGAGCTTGCAGTGAGCCGAGACTGCGCCACTGCATTCCAGCCTGGGCAAGAGCGAGAATCCATCTCAAAATAATAATAATAATAAAAAAATAAATAAATAAACAAACAAACAAGGAATGTATTGCCTTTTCAGTGAGAAAAGTAAACAGAATAGTAGCTCAATGCTTTTTAAGGAATTACATAATCTCATATCATACTGAGAATGATTCACATGGGAAATGGTAAGATATATTGGAATATTTTGTTACAGCTTTTCAATCTTTATAATTAATTCTACCCTCTAACTCTAACTCTTTGAGTATTTTTTATCCCTCTGTTCCATCCAGTTCTTCTTTTTATTATTAAGGGATGCAGTGATGTGAACTCTAGCCTTACAGCTGATATCAAAGAAGGAACTCTAATTGGATAAAAGAAACTAACTCAAAGGGTCGTGAGATGGGATAAATTAGTTCATTGTTATATGAAGAGATGAATCTTCAAATAACATACTCTTTAGACTCTTTAGACAAACATCTCAGTCAGCTGGTTAACATTTAATTCCTTGACTGATGTCATGAAATCTGAGCCTGTCAATTGTGATGATATCTGTGCTTTCTTGGCCTAACTAGTTTACCATTAAACACGTCTATTGCTAAAGCAGGGTCACAGCTGTTCTGCTAAAATGTCAACACGGTTTCTTCTAATTGGAAATGCACTTGCCTGTGCAAATACTCTAAAAATCCTAAAACTATTTGGCCATAATTTTTAGACAATTATCTAAAATAAATGTTTTTTTAATTTCATTATTGCTATTTTTGTTATAGAGGCAAATTCCAGAATCTTTGATGATGTCGTTTCTGAAATGTCTCTTTTAGGCACAGTCATAGATAATACACTTTAAAATGATTTTCTAGTTTTCTTCACAGTCTATCTCTTATTTCTCTTATCCATATATGTTCTTTATATTTTATACTAAATAATTGTCAAAAACTGACACTTAGAATCAATTCAATTAATTACAATTAATGGTTGTAATTCTCAACAATTCTTTTTTCTAACAAACTTCTGAAACAAAGGAAAGTTAATCAGGAGTCAGGCCGAAGGACTCAGGCAGATGGAGAGTAAAATGCTAGTGAGGTTTTTGGTGGTTGTTGTTTTGACACAACTGTTTTAAAACACGGTCTGGGTGTGTAGCAAAAATGGGTTTGCAAGTGCTAAACATTAGAGTTATAGACTTTGCAACCCAGGGACTAGCAGCACTAGACAACTGAAGGGCTATCTCCAAAGAGCAGGGCCTTTTTATTGTTAAGTTTAATCTAAGTCCAAGAGTGACCCAGATCACATGTTCTCCGCAGACAGATACCCTATAAGAGAGAATATAAGCCATATTTGCTGTGAAATTTGTATCATCCTCACTAATAAGTCAGTACCAGAAAGGACAAAAAGTCCAAAAGTTTTTATTCATGGATCACTCTATTACTAAGTTTCCTATTAATTTTTGGAATGTGTCATGAGAAATGAAGGATAAGTATCCTCTCAAAACGCTGATGCTGTTTGTTTTATTAAGCCACCGTGTTCGACCATTAAGACTCTGATCAAGGGGGATGATTCAGCATATGGGAACAGAGAAGGAAGAGATTATAAATAAAGCACTGCTATTTTGCAAATGGTTTTGGAAAACACAGAGGCCTAAAATGGGTTAGAATACTGCATTAATTAAGTTAGTTGCGTGATCATTCTGTACCTAAGGCTGAAATTGTATTTCCTCTTCTACTGCCCACTCTGATTTTTTTCTAGGTATATTGTTCCGTATAGTCTATTAAAAGCCCTTCAAAGAGATCAGACTTTACAAAGATACTCTAACACAATGCATCAGAAAGTGTTATGTTACTTTATTTGAATTAACTGCCTCTCATTACCAAATTGTCATGGAGGAATTAAAGCCACAAATTATCTTGACAATTAAAGCCCAAATGAACTTAAGCTAAAAATCAAACTACTCCCATACTGATTTAAAGTTAAAAAATAAAGTCCAAACTGTAGCCTACCTGTTTTATTAATAAATTATGTGTCATCTAGAAAGGTTATCAATATTTGAGTAGACTTTTTATCCTTTTTGTCTAGCTGCTACCTAAACCATCTTTAACTGTTATGAATGTGTGTTACCAGGATGCAATGCTTAGTGATTATAGCAAAGAATCAGGGGTATTTGAATTAAGGAAGATAGATACAAGAAAATTTGATTTTAGTATTTTAGTGGGCTGTCTGTTGATGCTACTTATTTAAAATCCATGTTCATGATACTTGAGAATGTGTGTGTGTGTGTGCATGTGTGCAGCAGTGTGGGCTAGCCCTCACAGTGCGTTCAAGCCATTTCTGCCTTCTATCAAAGTTTAGAAGTTTAGCCTGGAGACAGTTTTAGTTACTGGGCTTTAAATGAGGTATATTTCATTTTCCTCTATGTATATTCAAAATTCTTAACTTGCATTTTCCATTTGAGCCCTGTGTTTCTGGCACTCGTGTTGGGTAATCCCAAGATTTGTTTTAGCTTTAGAAATATTCTCAGAGGTTTTCTGAACTGAATCTTTGATGGATGCTTCTGAAGCTTATGCTCCAGAGTCTTAGAATCAACATCTCTGCCATGTGCTCCTCAAAACACCTTTTAATTTGGGTCTTGAGACTCAAAAGCCATGGTCACAGATAATACAACTAGTCAATGCAAAGCCTAATTAATTATAGGACATGCCATAAAGTTGAATCTTGGGCCTGTGAACAAGCTGCAGAAACCCAAAGTGATCTTCTTCATTATTCACTCTAGTCACTGAATACAATATATCATAGTCCATCTAACTCTGCCTACATAGACTTGGAGAACAGCAATTCTAGAAACTCAACAGTGCTCTGTTGCTCAGGCAGAAGTCAGGTGTCTTGATGTTTGATATCCTCATCATACAGATATGGCCAATAAAGGAAAGCAGAGAATATTTTACTTATTTTAATTTCTGCCAGTGTGTATAAAAAATACTGTATTCCAAACTCACCCTCACGTACAACAAAATACTTGTTCAATTTAAGATCAAGCTGCAGCAGCCTGAACCATAAGGCCCCAAGCCGGTTTTGTGACCTTCTTGCCATTCGACTCTATCCTAATGCAACCTTCTCTGTATACAAATGAATACTGGCTTATGTAAAAAGAGCCAGAAGGTGTAGGTAACTGCCAACATCAAAATCCCATGTGGCTCACTGGCTTAAAGTCTAAAGCTTAAGATTGCAGCAGTTAGAAGCCAACTATGCAACCGCGAAAGCAGCCACATGGCACAACAGAGGTCACTGTAAACCTTACAGGCAAAACAACAACCAGTACTACTCCAATTATAATAAGAAATCTTTATTTCCTCTTTTAGTTCAGTGACATAAATGCTTAATGTTCCTGCCGTGGCATCACTAGAGCTTCAATCATCCTGAAATTATTTGATTCATGCAATTGCCCCTTAAGTTTCAAAGTTCCTTGATCAATACACAGGTTACTAATACTCCACCTCTAAATTGAACTTATCTTCCACAAACTTCATAATGCTCCCCAGCTGAGGGTCTCTCCCTATAAAACTTGATTTACTAAAGAGCATAACTAAAGTGAGATCATAACTAAAGTGAGATCAAAATAATAGCACATTTAATACTGACTGGGTATGAGATTAATTATGGGCTTTTAATAGTGAAGTGCAAAATTAGGTAAACAATCCACCCAAACACAGTCTTACTGAGAATCCCCAAGTATCTCCCAATTAGACAGAGGTTTGACATCTAAGTCTTTTTTGTTTGGGAGCAAATCTGAAGACCTGCTCTCTGCAGGCAGGAAGCTTCACAGAATGAAATAACTGACGTGTCTGGTTGTCTGTATTAAACTCAAAATAACACAACAATGATTCAGTTTTTCTGGAGGAAGTTTTCATGAGGAGTGAGATGACAGAGAAAATGGAAATGCTTCTACATGGCAAAAAATATCAGGAACTGGGACTATTTCCTTCAATAGGACTAATGGAAAAATGTTGCAAGTCAGATTTTAAATAGGGACTGCAATGTCCACAATAGGAGATTTCATTTTACACAGCTTAGACTTCATGAAGTCACTGTAACTCAAACAAAGAGAGCCAAGTCAATTAAAGAATAAAGTCCCAGGTAAATACTTACATCCATGTATTTGATTTTACAACATTATATTGTTGGGAGCTGGATATCCAGGTGAATAATAAACAGTCTTTGATTTCTAGGAGCTCATGATAAATATAAATAATGAAAAGAATTCATAAATTCAGGCCATGAGACTACACAAATAATATTCCATAAATTTCCCTTAACAATGTGACATTTTCAAAACAGTAAATAAAACTATGAAATAAGAACAATGAGAGGGTAGAATTATCAGTAGTTCTTAACTGGGGTAGTCTTTAAAGTTCAGAAATACTTATCTCTGGGTTCTACTTTGTGATGATTCTGAGATGAAGGAGATAATTTTTAGCAGCTCATGACAATTATGAAGAAGAAATATACATGGGAAAAATTAAAATATGCTAAGATATGTAACAAGCATGCATAAAATCTAATGGAATCCTCAAGACAGGAACTCAAGTACATGAGTACATAGTTAGTTGCTTTGCAATAGGAAAGCCCATAATAATGAATAATAATATGAAAGGATTTTGAATCATAGATAACACTCTTCATAGCTTACTTTACTATTTTATATTTAACAAATGAATTAATTCACACTAATATAGCATTAATTAATTGATGCTCTATTTTATATTGTGCAAATGAATTAATTGATTTAACATCAATGGTCAAGTAAAGCTACAAAGAGTGTCATGACACATATATACCATATATAACATAGTTATGAAATATATATTTTATATATATATATATATATATATATATATATATATATATATATATATAAATTTCACAGTTTTTTCATCCCAAAGGCATTTATAAGCATTCCTAGTGTCATAAAAATAATACCCAATTTTGGAGTCCCCAGGTGGTGATTGTATGGATGGGTTGCCTAATTCTGTGGTTCAGAATTAGAGGTAGCTTTAGAGCTTAACCACACCTTCCAACCAAGTCAATATTAAAGATAAAAATAAACATAAGAATTTAGTACAGTGGTCCCCCAAATTTTGAGCACCAGGGACCAGTTTTGCGGAAGACAATTTTTCCACAGACTGCGTGGGGGCAGTGCGGGGGTCGAGGAGCAACCTAGATCCTGTAATGCTCAGTTCACAATAGGGTTCAGGCTCCTCTGAGAATCGAACGCTGCTGATGATCTGACAGGAGTCAGAGCTCAGGTAGCAATGCTCCCTTGCCCACTGCTCACCTCCTGCTGTGCGGCCCGGTTCCTAACAGTCCAGGGACTCATATCAGTCCCTGGCCTGGGTGGTCAGGGACCACTGCTTTAAAAACCTAAATAACAAAAACAATTTTAAATAACTTTGAAAACTTTGTAGCATAATCAAGATGAGAAAATATAATTCGATACAAATGTTATTGTTTCATTTGTACATAGATCCAGAATAATTATCAGTACTAAAATCACATGGTAATTATGGTATGTTATATATTTGTTTGTCTATTCATGTATGCTTAACGTACTTTCTAATATTTCATGTATTCTGTGATATGGACTTTTATAATTAATAATAACTTTTTTGGTAACTTTATATAACTGAGTCAAAAATAAAAAATAACCCTTCTGACATATTAAACAAAATGTATTATACATCATATAACCATTTTTTACAGCATAGTAAAACTAATTCTTTTTATGGTTAACAAAGGAAGAATCTATGTAACCTTTTAATAGAAGAATTAGGCTTAAAAAAAGTACATTTTTCTGCATGGGAGAAAATCAGAGGCTATTTCAAGAAAAATTGCAACATTAAAAAAAATGCTATCTGTGAATCTACAATCCACCATCTGGAAAGAACTTGACAGGATCCTTCTCTTTCACATCCATTGATTCTCACTTTTTTTCTGTAGTCAGGGCATCTCAGAGATATGGGAGAAATCAATATTGACATCAATCATTGAACAAATGCTTACTGAACATTACTTAAAGCAACCAGGGAGGGAGAAGCTGTAAAGAAATGGATACAAAACATAAATGACAACCTGCTTGCTCCCAAGATACTTTAACCATATAATGTAATTGGGAGAAGAGCTGCATGTAATTGACAGAAGGGGTAACACAGAGGTTGCCAAATCATATGCTTCTGTGATCTAGGCAGGTTACATACAAGCATGAAGCAGCTGGATGTCTAACAACAAGGAATAGTAGAAAATGTAATAAACTGAGAGTGTGTGGTCATCCTAAATTATTAACTTTTATTTTCTAATCTTGGATTTGCTGAGCAAATACATCTGGGGGCTTCTTCCAAGAAGTTGCAAAGTTTCCCGAGTTACAAAGGAAGCTCTATTCACTGATAAGTAGACACAGAAACTCATATTCCATGGACAAGTAGAGTAGGCCTTCCAGGGCTCTGTTTGCATGAGAGATTTAAGAGACTCTGATGAAGAGCTCATATAAAGAAAGTGATGGTCAAGTTAATAGAAAAAGTGAATAAAACTGTCCAAGTTGTAGCCAAAACGTAACAAATCTAAAGAGATCCTGATGTGCTGCTGTACATCCTTTAGGGCTGCCTCATCTCTGGTCTTAACTCTGCTAACACGCCCCATCCCATGCTCAAATGGAGCTTAATTTTTATATCACTCTTGAAATCTTGGTTGCAAAGTCCTGGGGAATAAACTGATGGTGATTAAAACCATTGTAATCAGACTTTAAAAGAAAAGACCCATATTTACTTAGATACATGAGAAAAAATACTGCTATGTGTCTTTCTTTCTAGACATTCCTCAGACCACAGGGAGGATTTAAGAGAACATTACTCCAATGGGTTTTTTAATTAGCGGGAGTTAAGACATATTTGATCACCTCCACTCCACTCAGTAGAATGCATGAATAAAACATCCAATTCTAACCTATAATATATTGTGGAGCATTTTAGTCATGCTGAAATGCTAAATTCCATCAAGGATGTGCAATTTCTATTGCTAATAGAACTGAAGCTATAGACTGCACACCATTACATACATCTATATCCATATAGATATAGATATCCACAGATAGACAGATGATAGATAGATAGACACACAGATAGCTAGCTAGCTAGCTAGCCAGATAGATAGATAGATAGATAGATAGATAGATAGATAGATAGATAGATAGATAGATATAGATAGATAGATGATAGATGATAGATAGACAGACAGACAGACAGACAGACACAGACAGACAGATAGATAGACAGATAGATAGATAGACAGACAGATAGAGAGATAGAGAGATTAGATAGATTTGAGTAGAGCATTTTCTGCTCTTTGACTTTAGTTTTAGAGTGGCCTCTTGGAGAGAAGATAGTACAATTTACACCCAAAATGCTGTATAAATAAAATATCATTTTTGAGAAACTTAAGGACAAGCCTACCATCAAATCCAATATGATCATGATTTCAAATAGATCACAGTGTGTTATTTATTTCTTAACAAATATATAACTCCTTCGAAATTGTATTAGTTTCCTATTGCTGTTGTAACAAATTACCATAAATTTGATTCCTTAAAACAGTACAAATTTATTCTCACACTTCTGGAGGTCAGAAGCAAAGTGCCATAGGACTGTGTTCCTTCTGGAGGCTTAAGGGGAGAAGCTGCTTCCTTGGCTTTTTCAGCTTCTAGAGGCTGCCATCATTCCTCGTTTCAGGGCCCTTCCTCTACCTTCAAGGTGCATCACTCAACCATCTGGTTTCTTGTTCACATCTTGTCCCTGTGATTCTGATCCTCTCACCTTTCTCTTATGAGGACCCTTGAGATTACATTGAGCCTACCCAAATAATCCAGGATAATTTCTCCATTTCAAGATCCTTTACTAAATTACATCTGCAAAGTGCCTGTTACCATATAAATTAGCATACTCACAGGTTCTGGGGAATAGGACATGGACATCTTTGGAGGGTCATAATTCAGCCTGCTACGCTAATACTATGAATAGCAACCTTCTTCATTGTTTTATTTTAGGGGTTTGCACAATGGCAAGTTGGCAATAGTATTTGTTGAGTGAATAAAGTTTTCCACATCCCTTTGGGTACAATGATTAGTATCAATACATGTGATAGGATCCAAACAGAAGAAAGTGTTGTCAGTAAGAATCTTCCTTTAGGACACTCTGCTACAAGAAAAAGAGTTGGATAGAGCTTGTATCACAACATCCCAATCAAGCTGTTACTTACTCTACTATAATAAGAATGTAGGACACACTTTATGTAGCTAGCCTCAGGACTATGATAAATAATAATAAATATATTGAAACAATGTAGCCAAAGGAAAAACCACTTGACCAAATAATCTTTACTTTCCTTTACCCAGTTTCTTTATTAACTTTTTTTATTATAAAGTCTCATAATTACAGGAATGTTAGAAGATAAAGCACAGATTACTCATCCAAAAAGAAAAAAAAACATTTCCTCCAAGATTATTTCCTTTGTTATTCTCAATATAAATATAAATGATACTTATTTTAAGTGGCAAGTAGTAGAGAAGTATAAAAGTAAAACTCTTAAGGCTACTTACTTTCCTTTTGCCTTCTTCCCTGTACCCAGAAAAAAAATCACTTTTAATTTTTTTTTAGTATTCTATAAAACATTTCCTATGTATAGATGCAGATATGTTGTTTTTTATAACAAAATAGGCTAATACAACGCATTCTATTTTAGACCTTGCATTTTGTAACAGTCAAATGATCTTGAATATATTACCTAACAGTTACATTTAGGACTTCATTTCATTTATACAGACATTTAATAGAATTGCATTATATGACTAGAAAGTGATATATTTTGTGATTTTGCTTATCTTCACATTTTCACTAAGATTGCATATAATTATATTATGAATTATACAATATATTTTAACTAGTATTTCATTAATCATAAAAAATGGATCTTTCTGTGTGTGTATGTGTTTATTTTCAGAATAAACTCTGTATAGGTATTAAACATAAATTTTAAGGCTTGTTGAGCATGAGATTCTGTGAGAAACATAATTTTCTGGAAGCAAAAGAGGCTTCACAGACAGATGGAGATGAAAATTGGTAGTGGATATGTGGATCACACTGTTGCTGGACTTTTCGGCCTGTTACAGACGGATTGAGAAGATAGTGGTCAGTCCAGCGTAGGAGCAGAGATACAACAAGCACTTCAGATGCTGTTTTATTTTTTGGTCTCTCCTCCGGAAGGGAAGGGAAAGAGTTTGGGAGTTCACAGAGCTGATTTAGGGCTTTGTAAAGGCCAAGAACAGTACAAGATTATGGTCTTCTCTCCTCCAAAAATGAGAAGAAAGTGTCCAAGAATCCTGAAAGCTGGGCCTTGGGTGGGCCAACCATATTAGGCTTGTGTGTGAGAGGAGACATTGAATTACTTCTCAAGGTTGAGTAAGGTGTTGTTGGAACGGCCTCTATGCCTCCCAAACCTGAATGCAAACCTGACACACTTATTGGCACACTTTCTCTGGTTCCATTAATTTATCCTTCTCCTGATACCCTGACCACAATTGCCTTACAGATTCAGGATGAGGCTGAAGTCAACCTGTTCCCAAGGGACCAGCAGTGCCACGCACTTTCTGATTATGATGGGCAATGTCATGGAGGCCAGATATGTAAACAGTTACAGCTCTTTTGGATGCAGACACCTAAGTACCTAGTCGCATGGGAGAAAGAGTGCTGGCATTGTGGATGGCCAAAGTACCAATAAATGTATGATAGACGCATGGTGGCAGGTGAGGGAGCAGAAAGAATCCCTTCAACCCTGAGCACTCCCCAGACAGTAGGAAATATACAGGGAAAGACAGGAATCCTGGGTTCCTGGGCAAGGAAAGAGAGAGAGAGAGAGAGAAAGAGAGAGACAGACAGACAGAGAGACAGAGACAGAGGAAACAGAGAGAGAGAGAGAGAAAAAAAAAAAGATGCATTCCCCAGCAATTCCTATCACATCACATAAGCTAGACAGCAACATGCCCACTGCATTCCCAGATTCCCAGATTCCCAGATTCCCAATGGGAGACAGCAGCAGTTGGCTGTGATTTTAATCTTTGAAATATTAAACGGGCTAAAAGTGAGTTAATAGTCAGGGATGTGAGTAAATGTATGTTTAAGAAAACAAATGAGGATTTTAAATTTTTGTGTCAAAAATATTTTATGTTGTTTTGTTTATTCTTATGTGAAAATATGGTCAAAATTGATATAATTTGACATATGCTTGTAATTCATCAGCTCATAATCTCTGAGCAGATCATCCCAATTGGGAAAAGCTACAGATAGAGAAGTGTGTTATTGGGTGAACTCCCCTGCTGTTTGCTAAGTGTGAGTATGTTCGGACATAATACAGATGCCTCTAACTTTCCAGGTCCGCAGTCAGAGGAAAAACTGCTGTCTTTTTGACCTCTTGCCACCCAGAAGGAAAGCAGTCTGTAAAGGGAGACAGAATACAGAGGAAAACAGCCTCCAGCTAGAGGCATCTTTTTGTAGTGTTGGATCTGGCTACCAGCTATGCCTTTGAAGAACTTGTTACTGAGCTCTTGTTGAAATTAAATGCCTGACCCATAGAAGCCTCGTAACTCTCAGACTGAATATCCATTTTTAGGTGGACTCTCTGAATCACAAGGCAGAAGCAATGAAAAACAAAACCAGTGAAATTCCCTCCTTGTCAAATGAACATGGCATATTAAAGAATGCAGCTCTTCAGTACCAGCGGTTATCTTGACTTTAGATGAAAAAATGGCAGCTATCCCTGTGGTGGGAAACTTCCCACTTCAAAGCAAAACTAAAGTCACTGGCTATTTGAGGACATTTAATTCACAATGGTTTCCCCAAAGTCAAGTTTGTCTCCAGGAATGTTCAGCTAGGCTGAAACATTATAATGTATAACAGTAGCTGTTCTAGTCTTTGGAAGCAGTTGAGATTTATGCTTAGGGATAATCATCAGAAACATTCAAGTATAAAAGAAAACACCTGAGATGCATATTCTGTGGGCAGTGTGACATTGCCGCCGCCCTGGAAAGCGTTCAAGTCAGCCTCAGTTCACTGGCCAGGTTTGTTATGGATATGGAATTACCCTACACTTTCTCCTTTGCAGGCCAAGGTGAAGTCTGTGCATATAATTAACATACTCTGCTGTACCTGGATTATTGCCTTGGGCCAGGTGGACAGGTCAAGCCACCTGGCTTTCTAAGGTAAACTCTGAGACTTGACGGTATTTATTTGGCTGGCTAAATACAAGACACCTGAGGGGCATGGCTGAGTTCAACGCTACAGTTGTCTCATCCTGCTGCTCTGAATTCTGCTAGAAATAGCATTGACAAGTGCTATATAGCAAAACCAAGCAGATTGTTTCTCACCCCTGCTGGTAAGAGTAATCAGAATTGCTGATGTAATGGCATATAAATAGTAAATTTTACATAAGCCATACCATGAAAAACAAAGGGTAGAGCTCTAGAAAATAAAATATTTTCTTATTCCTTTATGGTCAGGGCTTTCTGAGCCAAAATCACTGGCAACCAGGGTTAATGGGTATTTGAATATTAAACATAACTTGCAAATTGGAGACCTCCAATTTGCAGATTTTTCTTCCCAATAGTCATTTACTTATTTGCATCCGAACGTGTTATGAACATTTAGAAACCTTCCCTACTCTCCCAGAGAGGATTCCTTTGTAATGACTTTCTCCTTCTTTCAGAAAGGGAAGAACTACTGTGCAGTAACTCCAGTTTATACTCTGAAATTAATAACTTCAGATTTTTTCTATAGTGTGGACCCTCCTCTGTATATGTAGGTTCCATTTGCTCTCATCATATCACTCCAAAGGGAAGAATAGGGCATTAGGAACCAGCAGAGTTATTGCTGAAAATAATAATAAATTTGATCTGTGATCCAGAAATTTCATTCTTGCTTTTAGGCCAGGTGCAGTGGCTCATGCCTGTAATCTCAGCACTTTGAGAGACCGAAGCAGGCAGATCACCTGAGGTCAGGAGTTTGAGACCAGCCCAGCCAACATGGTGAAACCTCGTCTCTACAAAAAATGCAAAAATTAGCCTGGCATGGTGGCATGCGTCTGTAATCCCAGCTATTCGCGAGGCTGGGGTGGGAGAATTGCTTGAACCCAGGAGGCAGAGGCTGCAGTGAGCCAAGATCGTGCCACTGCACTCCAGCCTGGGTGACAGACTGAGACCCTGTCTCAAAAAAAAAAAAAAAAAAACCAACCAACCAACAAACAAAAAACCAGTTTTACTTTCCAACCAGCAAGTTATTGAAGATCTTCTTGAAAAAAGAGAGTTAATTCTTCATTTCATTTTTTTGCAATATCTTATGATTCACTATTAAGAAAAGTCAAAGCATTTTGCCTGAAATTCTCAGTCAGATCTGCCAGTTCATTGAGTAAGTTTGCAATGGCAATTCACTCATTGTACATGAAGTCTTTTTTTCACCATTCAGTCCCAAAACTAATGCTATAATTTTACGTTTCCAACATTGCAGAATTAAATTTCCAGGTATAAATTTTTGTTTCAGTTATCTAATCACCTCAAAACTTGATTTAAAATAACAACAGTTTGTTATTTCTCACAATTCTATGGGTTGAAGTGACAGAACACTATTCTGTTCCACATGGTATGTACTGAAGTCACATGTCCACACTGATCTGTGATGGCCTGTCACCCTCCAGAGCTTTTCTCTTCGTGGCCCTTAATTATTTAGTAGAGTAGCTTGGTGAGTTTCTTCCCATGATGGCAGCTAGCTGCTGATAAAAAGTAGAAGCTACCAGATTTCTTAGGGTCTAAGCTTATAAGATAAATTCCTTCACATTCTTTGAGTGAAAGGGAGCCACAAAACCAGCGCAGACTCATGGGAAGGGAAATAGATTCCACTCTCTTGATGGGAGAGGTGGGATGCATGCACAAAAATGAGGGGATTGTTAATGGTGGCCACATTTAGAGACGCTATGACATTATCCAAATTATTCATTATTTCGTTTAGCTTTTTCTCCTTTTAAAGAAGTATTTTGAATATTGTTTATTATTATTACCTCTAAAGTGGTTTTGTGTTTTTAAATGGCTCCATATCACTTTTTTGTGGTTATTCAATAATTTAATTAATTATGCCCTAATTTATGGATATGTAGGTTGTTTTCAATTTGGGGCTATTCCAAACAATGATGGGAAGAATACCTTTGTATATATGTTTATAGGGAAACATATATACATCAATTTGCTGCATCAAAAGATGTAAGCAATTTTTAACATTGATAGATATTGTTAAATTACCCTTCTTCTAACAATGCATGAGTACTTTGTCTATATGCCTTTGAAAGCACAGTGTATCACAGAAATTCTACGTTCTTTCTCATAAGAATACTGCTGTATTACAGTTTTAATTTTCATTTCAATTTTTCCCTTCTTGTTAGTGGAGTTGGATATTACCTTTACATGCTTCTCTGAAGCTTTAATTTCCTCCTTTTTGAATGATTTGTTTATATTCTTTGCTTATTCTCATACTGAATTGTTCATCATTTGTTTTTTCTTATTGATTTATGGTAGCTATATTACCCTTTATGTGTATTTGCCTTATAAATGGTGTTCAGAAAGTAGCTTTAAAATAGTATTACTCACAGTTTTAGTAGCAAAGCCAGCCAGTAATGTTATTTCCTTAATTGGGAAGTTGACATTTAAATAATATTATTAATATCCAGAATTTTTATTTTATAACATAAAAATAGATTTTAGATGCATTAAATAGCTCTATGTTAAACATTTAAAAAGAATATGCTTAAGTGTACTGATTGCAGGATGATAAAATAAGCTTGTTGCATTTAAAAGAAAATTTTCTTTTTCGTATGGAAATCTAGAGTTAAAAACTTTTTGTAATAGAGCTCAAAGAGATGACAATTCTATTCACTTTTTGAATTAGTAAATTCGTATTTACATTTAATCATTCAGATTTCTCACGCTTATTCATAGCACGTCATCAAATATTTATTATATTCTTTAGAACTCCAAGGAGTATGGGTGCACACTAGAAGGTACTGGTCCTCAAGAGATAAGCTACCTAGCTTGAGGGACCAAACTGATATCCATGTAGCAAATACATATAGATGAAAGTGAATGTCATCATGACAGAGAAGGTGAACAGTCCATTAAAATTATAGACTCATTCTAAAAGAGATATTAAATGAAATGATAAAATGGGGAAATGGTAAAAAACAAGAAATTAAAAATAACTTTTGATGAAATTAACTTAGAAAATTATGAAAAGAAGATAATTTCCTTGCAGTAGTTATCTACTGGTGCCTGACAAATTTCTTCCCAATTTAGCAGCTTAAAACAATAAAAATTCACTATCTCAAATAGTTTCTAAGGGTCAGGAATCTGGAAGCAGCTTTGCTGGGTGGTTTGGCTTAGTGTCTCTTGTGAAGTTGTCGTCAGGCTGTTGGCCAGGACTACAGTCATCTCAAGGCTTGACTAAGGCTGGAAAATCCTTTTCCAAGCTCATTCACATGGGTTTTGGCAGGCCTCAGCTCCTCACTGGCTGTTGGCTAGAGGCCTCAGTTCCTCACCATATGGATCTCTCTGTAGGATGTCTCACACCATGGCAGCTGGCCTCCCGTAGAGCAAGCCCAATACAAGAGAGAGTAAAAGTGACCTATTATTTTCTGGTATCCAAGTCATACACCATTGCATCTGCCTTATTCTATTAACTAGAAATGAATCACTAAGCCTAGCTCACAATCAAAAAAAATTACATGAAGGTATAAATATTATAGAGCATAAGGATGTACACATCCTTGAATTTTATAAATAATATCTGTAAACTCTTAGAGTGAAATTATGGTAAATAATGAATAATGTGAAGTTTTTCACCCTGACATCAGAAACAGCACAATGAAACCCTCAGTTACCACTTCTATCCAATACTGTACTAGAGGTTCTAAGTAGTACAACAAGAATAAATAAATAAATAAAACTAAATGACACAGGGATTAAAAAGAACAAAATGAAACTATGATTATAAGAGGCTGGAAGGTAGAAAAGAAGGTAGGGAGGAGAGGGATTCCTCCCTCTCCTATAAGAGTGGAAGAACATTTTTTTTTTGCATACAATGCAGTTAAATTTAGTCGAATTTCTTAAATCATTACACATTTAAGAGCTTAAACAGAAAAAAAAACTGTTACTACACACAGAAAACAAAAATAGGTCATTTAAAATAATATCAAACACATAAAAATCTAGAAACTAGAATTTTAAAGCATGTGTATAATCTCCACACTAAAACATACAATCTATTACACAAATAAATAAGAACTAAATAAATGGAGGAATATGTTGTGTCCATGAATTGCAGAGCTAACGTTGTAAAGATGTCAATTATTTCCAAGTTGATCCACCTATTCAAAGCAATTTCAACCAAAAGATTAGAAAATTTTATTTCTTTAGAAATCAACAAGATGATTCTATTATTTATTACATGGAAATACAGGTAATCTTGAAGAAGAATGTGACTGAAAGATTAATATTATGTTGAGCCTTATTCAGTGATATAAATTAGACAGTGTGATATTAGCACAAGGATAGAAGAATAGATCAAGTTCTAAAATAGCCCAGAAACAAATTTCTGTATATGCTGCCACCTGATTGAGTGGGGGTACTGCAGTTCAACATTTGTGCTGGGTCAAGTGTATATTCATTTGAAAACAAATGAAAACAAAGGACCTCAATTCCTACCACATAAGAAAAGACATATACAAGCTTTTCATAGCAACACTCTTTTCAATAAACAAAAATGAATAAAAATAAATAAAATTGCTATGAATATTACCATGAATATGTATTTTGTAGTACATTAATAAAGAAGAATGTTATTATAAAGCAATAAATATGAACAAAGTACAACTATATATCACAAACATCTATTGATTGAAAGAAGCCACAAATAAGAGCATGTACTGCATAATTTCACCTGCATAAAGTTAAAAAATAAACCAAATTAATTTATGGTATTAGAAATAGGCTGTGACTATATCTGGCCATTGAGAAGAAAATGAACAAAGGGTCATGGTGGATTTTAGATTTCAAGTAATTTTTGTTTAGTTTTGTTTTACTTTTAAAATATTCTAGATGCATATCACAAAGCATGTTCACTCCACGGTTTTGATTTATTTATGTTTTTAGATGAGTATTATTGTTCAATAAAATTGACAGAGTAGACTTTTTTTTATAAAGGCCCTAAAAAGAAAAATTATTACTGAAAGAAGAAAAGTATGTTTTAAAGGTCCTATCTTTTCAATTTGTCTTTTTGGTTTAAATTTTACATGGAAGCTCTTGCTGATAATTGCAATTTTTTTTAAAAAAAGAAAATATTTATGGGTATTTTTCGATATATCATGAAGTAAGATTGAAAAATATGAGTAATTGTGAAGAAATGCCTCATTATGCAGCCTTGAACAAGCAAAGAAGCAGTCTTGAAATAATATAAAAGAAATGACTCACTGTCACATTCTCATGGTTCTTCCAAACTTTTTAAAAATATCATAAAAATCTATAGGTATTTTACAAATTGATTGCTATCAGTTATTAAGTATTTAGTTTTGAGATTAGGCTACTATAACTTTGGCTTCAGATGGCAGGAAAATATGTTTAAGTAGAGCCACAACTAGAAAATTAAATACACAAAAACAACCATCAAATGTATTTTCACATAATGGAAAGAAGTATATAGTATTTGAAAATATGGTGATGGTCCTGCTTTTGTTCAGCATATGAATGTCTCAAAAGAGGGTGTTTCATGAAACACACTAAAGTGGGGGCACAAACATTCATGGATCAGGTATTCAGTGTTTGGGTCTGGTGAGTATCTCTAGTTCTTAAGGGAAGGGATGGAAATTACACACAAGAATAAACTTATTCCTGAGTTAAGGGTAGAGAATGTTAAGAAAACTAATGGCAACAGGAGCAACAGCAAAGTTCCTCTGAAACTAAATCTGGTGAGCATATGAAGGATGAATTTTTTTTTTCTTAACAAGAATTATCTTGGTGCCATATCTTGAGAAATGGCTTACGCTAGATGTAGTAGGTATGTGGCTGTAAGAGTGAAGAATGAAAGTATGTGGGGATGGGGTTGGGATGGTGCACAGAGCTTTAGGTAGGTCATTACTTAGATTTTTGAGACTAGCCCCTTGACCAAATGCATTACTCAAATAAGAACACAGTATTCTTTTTTACCCTAATGGTATGTGCCATTTGCAGAGACTGGTATGTTTACTTTGCAATCTTTCCAAATAGTCCTGTTTTGCTAAATTTACTATGTTTTACATTAGAAATACCTTAATTTAATACTAGTTAATGCACATTATGATAGTGTACCTTTAAGTGCTTTTATAAAGTTTTCAGATTTCATCATATAGCATTAATATGTTGTTAACAATGTTCAACAAAGTGCTGATATAAGAAAAAAGAAACAATTCAGCACCTGATAAGAGAAGTTATATATTACAAGATTTTCATATTCATAGATATAAAGTTAGTAACTAGCTTAGATGTTGAATTAGTAATTTTCATCTTTATCTAAAAAAATTTTCACGGCAGATATAGATGAGAATAATTTCAATTAAAATTTAGGTTTGTGTTCAATTATACTGGCCAAAGAAGCAGAATAATATTGGTTGAAAATTGCTGTAAATCTGAAAATTGTCTTCAATGAGCTTGGCTTCAAAAGCACTGGAAAAGTAAGATGCATTCCTTATCTGATAGCCCAAGGCAAAACTGAGCTCACCTGACTGATCTTCAGAGTAAATCAGTATATCTACTTACAAGCAACACTGCCAGAACATTGATGTGATAATAAATAATGTAGCTTGCACTCGAAGGCCATGGAAGTTTCCTTTTGCAACATCGTACAAGTACAATTTTCTCAGTCCCCTAGGGAATGTGATGAGCAAATTGTTCAACTGAAGAAATAGTGAGTTAAAATGGAAGTAAAATAGAACAAGAACATCACACATTTTATCAGTGTCCTCTCTAATTTAAGAAGTGAGAATACTTTTGTGCGATCTCTGTAATCAGTAATTTTTCTAAAGTATAAATATCATAAAAGTACAAGCCAGTCCCTAAAATATTAACGTATTATGTATTTAGAATCTGAAACTAGGAAAATAATAACAATGTTGTCTTATTGACCACCACAGTTAATAAGTCATGGGAGAAAGGCTTCATATACAACAAATCTTTTAATTCTCATATGGTAAACAATTCTAAGATAAGCCCCTGGTGACTCATGTCCTTATAGAATTCCCTCTCCTTGAGTATAAATGGGACCTATGAAAACAATAGGTACCAGCCCTGGGATTATATTACCTTATATAGCAAAAGGGATTTTGTAGATGTCATTAAGGTCCCTAATCAGTTGACTGAGTTAATCAAAAGGGAGATTTTCCTGGGTGGTCATGACTTATTCAGTAGAGCTCTTAAAAAAAACCAGCAACAAACACGCTCCTGCTGAACTAGGTGAAAACAAACAGGCATGTTCTAAACTGCCTATGCAGGGGGCCCATGGCTAGATCTTGAGGGTAAGTTCTAGGAACTGACAGTGAACCCCAGGTGACAGTCCAGTAAGAAGAGAGACACTTCAGGCTTACAACTGCAAGAAATTGGATTCTGCCAATAACCTGAATGAGATTGGAAGAGAAAGAAGAGGTTCAAATGAAAACTGCACCCCCAGTCAATACCTTGATTTCAGATTTTTGAGAAAATAACAGAGAATTCCTACACAATGCCCAGACTTCTGACCCACAGAAACTGTGAGATGATAAACTTCTGTTGCTTTTAAACACTAAGTTTGAGGTAATCTGTTACACAGCAATAGAAAACTAAAACACCTCATAAGAGCCTTGCAATGCAGTCCTATTATTATTATGTTAGGTTAACAAGAAAAGTGGGGCTCTAGGACATTAAGTGAAATAGCTGTGATTGGTACAAAGTTCTGTTTGACACACACACACACACATACATGCTTCTGCTCTCTCTAAAATCACATTACTATTTTGTTCTTAAATTTTATTTTATTCATAAGGTGAGCAATCATATTACTATAATTCTGCAAATTACGGGAGAAACAAGACAAAAAAATCTCTTTCAAAGGATAGGGCTAATTCTAAAAAGATTTTTGAAATATGGAAGTATTATGCAATTTGATTTCTGATTTATTTTGGTGTTATTGTGTCTTTCAACTACCACTGTTTACTTACTATATGCCACCATGTTGCTAAACATTTTTAAGTATTATTGCATTTAATATTGATAATGTAATGAGATAGCTACTATACCTATTTATCAATCATGGGAATTGAGGCACAAATAATTTAAGTCATGTGTTCAAGGGCATATATCCTCCAAGTGGCAAACCTGCAATCTGAAACTAGGTTCTCTGATTCTAAAATTTTCACTTGCACTTCATCATTATATTTTAAGTGTTCCCTGTATATCTTGAAAGTCTCTTACTTCTCCCTTTACCCTTATTTTTCATCCCCTGCATTTTTCTCTGTCACCAATTTGCATTACTCACACATTACAATCCTGACCTAATGCATTGCACACTTACGGTACAAGTAATTATTGCATATTACTACAGGTCATGCACCTTTGGAAGTGCAATGAATTTAGTAGTGAATAAAATGAAGCTTCTTCCTTTAATTGGCTTACATCTGAGACAAGACAAAAATACAAAAATAAATAATTAAACACATATATATCACTTAGTAGTAACTGTTATGGAGAAAATAAAAGTAAGAGGGAATGTGAATAAGGAATAAAGGGATGGGTTGCTGTATTATACAGAATTTAAGAGAGAAAAAAATCAATGTTAAAGTGTTGTTTGAACAGAAACATAGAAAACAGAGGGACAGAAAGTAGTATTTCTCATAAAGCGCAAATGCAAAGGAGGTAGAAAAATGCTAATGAAGCTCATGTAAATTCAAAGAAGTCAGTGTGGGTACAATCCAGTGAGTAGTGATGAAGGATATACAAAGTGAGGTCAGAGAAGTAGTGAGGGTCCATATAATATAGAACTTGTAGGTCTAGAGCAGTGGCTCACACCTGTAATCTCAGCACTTTGTGAGACTGAGGTGGGCAGATCATTTGAGGCCTGGAGTTTGAGAACAGCCAGGCCAACATAGTGAAACCCAGTCTGTACTAAAAATACAAAAAGTTAGCCGGGAGTGGTGGCTGGCGCCTATAATCCAAGCTACTCAGGAGGCTGAGGCACCAGAATCGCTTGAACCCGGGAGGGAGAGGTTGCAGTGAGCCAAGACTGTGCCACTGCACTCCAGCCTGGGTGACAGAGTGAGACTCTCTCTCTCTCTCTCTTTCTTCCTCTCATATATATATATATATATAAAACTTGTAAGACATTTTAACCCTTTTCCTGTTTAGGAAAAAAAAGTGCAGCTCACTGCAGGCACTCATTTAATTTTACATAAACAGATTATTTGAGGCTGAAGCAAATCTGACTAATTTTCAATGTGAAAATAAAATATAAAAATTGTTTTGGAGTTAATTCTAAACAGAACTAACATCAGAATCATCGGAATAATCAGAATCTTTTATTTCAGAAAAATCGATCTCATCAAATGAATCTTTGGCCAACAACTGTTTGAGAACAACGTTAACATCATGGTTAGGAATGCTACGTTTTCTAGGATTTAACATTTTCAGTGATCCAGAATTACAATTTTGTCAATGTAAACACCACTGCTAAAAACAGAATTCTATAAATAGAATGATGTCTTTTGTTTCCAAAGTCAATATACTAAAGTGATGGAGAAATAATAATAAAAGCGAGATATTTCACGGCAAAGTTATCTCAGGGTAAATGCTGCAACTCCAAGTGCCACCAGCAAGTATTTCAGGGCAAAAAGGAAAAGGTTTGAGGACACTGGCTTTTACTTTAAGTGAAATGAGATGCCACTGGGAAGACTTAAACACAGAGGTGATATAATTTGCTTAGATTCTCACAAGTTCAATCTTGCTGCTGTAGTATGTTTTAATCCAAACAAGAAATGATGGTGGTTTGGGTCAAAATGATAGAGGAACATGGATAAGAAAGCTTCAGACCTGGGGGATATTTTAAAGGTAATATCAGCAGTAGACAGGTGGAGTGTGGGATATGAGAGAAAGAGGAGTCTTGGATGACTCCCAATTGCTTGTCCTACATAACTGGAAGGATGAAGGGTTCTTTTGCTGAGGTAGGTAAGAATGTAGTGGGAGCATCACTTTGGGAGGCTGAGGTAGGCGGATCATGAGGTCAGGAGTTCCAGACCAGCCTGAACAACATGGTGAAACCCTGTCTCTACTAAAAATACAAAAATTAGCCAGGCGTGGTGGTGCATGCCTGTCATCCCAGCTACTTGGGAGGCTGAGACAGGAGAATCGCTTGAGCCTGGGATGTGGAGGTTGCAGTGAGCTGAGATCATATCATTGCACTCCAGCCTGGGAGACAGAGTGAGACTCCATCTCAAAAAAAAAAAAAAAGAATGTAGAGGGAACATATTTGGAGGTAAGAAGTAAACAATTGTTTCGGGAGCATTTCTTAAGTTAGCGATACCTAGTGAATATCAAAATAGAGGTGTCAAGTAGGCAAGTATATACATAGCTAAAGTTCAAGGGAGAAGTGGCTATAATATGTGAGTCATTGCACAAAGAGCATATTTAAATTAAAGGACTGGATAGAAACTCCAAAGGTGTGAATAAAGAGAGAGGCGAGAACATCTGTGGCCTGAGTCCAGAAACATCAGTGATGAAGCAAAGTCAGCAAAATAATAATAATATTTAAGAAAGAGCAGCCGTTGTGGTCAGAAAACTGAGAGAGTAGTTTCCCAAAAGCCATGTAAAGAAATGTTTTAAGAAAAAGGGAAGGATTGACTTTTTCAATGTCTGCTGATAAATCTACATGAACTAATAATTCACCAGTGGACTTAGCACTGCGCTGTGGCCTTGACAAGAGCTGAGAAGTGAATGGAGAGAAACCTGACTATGAGAGCTCAGTAAGAAAAAGTTGCAGAAGAGTTAGAAAGAATGAGCTCAGACAACTCTTTCAAGAACATTTGGTGGTGTTAAGGGAAAAGAATTATAAATTAATACCTAGGAAGGATGCAATGTGTACAGTGGGTTTTGTACTATTTCTCCTAGCATAAATTTTAGACTATTTGTATGCTAATAGAAGTGTGTTTCAACCACGCAGACAGTGCAGAGGCAAGATAGGTAAACATTGGATTTTAGCAGTGTAGAGATTTGCCAAACAAGGACATAGATTGACAGGATAATGTGGGATTAAAAATTCTGTGAGATTGTTCTGATGATTGACTGTGAGTAGTTGTAGACAACAAAATTGGAATAATTTTGAGATTTGAAAAAAGGTCATAGGAAGTCATGAAAAGGGGATGCACAAAGCCCTGTGGAGATGGGTAAAGGTTTCTTGGGCTTCTTCCTCAGACTGATAGAAAAAGAAATGAGGATGTGGTAGGATTACACTGATGCTGGCCCATGGCACGTGGTGACTGTATGAGTTTTGGGAAAGGCAGAGGAGTCATGCAAGGAACATGCAAAACTCTGGGTTTCCTTTTGAATTTGGCATCATGATCTGCACTTCTGCATCTTTATTCAATATAAAGAAAAATATCTTAAAGAAAAGAAGTAAATTATAGGATTGCCAGTTTTGACTGGGGCTTAATTCTATTCTTTAATATTTTGTAAGGTTTGCTTGATTCACAAGCTTATTTCATTCACCATATCCAAACACAAAGATGACCTAAAACTTATAAATGTTTTAACCCTGTCAGACTGGTGGATCAGGACCTTTGAGAATGAGGGGTGGAAAGTAAGAATAAAGTGAGAAGTTGTGGATAAGTAAAAATGAGAACCTATGTTTTGTTAAAAATTTTTCTCCGTTCCAGTTAGAGTGTGTCTTGACATTTACTAAGATAGTTACTCTCATCCTTGCATTTTACCTTTAAAAAATATCATTCTATTCTCTAATATTTATAACTGAAATCTGAATGCCTGCTTGCAAATTGTATTGACTAAACATTGTCACAATTTAGTGATTCAACTGTACTACCTAGTCTCCATGGGTTATGACTTTCAGGTCTGGCACTATTTTGATTCTATATACCAAACTGCTTGGAATGAAAAGCTATGGAAACCTGCATTGATTATTTTGATGGATTATCTGAGGAAGAACTGAAGGTTATACCTAAGTCTAAATAAATGAGGTCTTTTCATCTAACACTCCTCATTTGATCACTAATCTTTCAAAAATAAGATAAAATGGTAGTAACAATAATAAGAATAATATCATACACGCAGTTGCATAAAATACCAGCTTTAAATTGTAGAACACATATTTACATCTATACCGTAGTCAAAAATATATTTATGTAACTTTTGAGTAAAATGTATGGAATCAAATATTAAAACATCTGAATTTATGAAAGGTTAACTTTTCTAAAGTAATCATTCCTTAACATCTTCCCTGTGAGGCATGATATTGACATTTCAAATATTCTTGGTACCTTTTAACAGGAAAACAAGGTAATATATTTTAGTATAGAATTGACCTGGGAATTAGAAATTCAGAACAATCTTTAAATATGCAATGCAATTATGCTGTAATCCTGAATAATGCACCTAACCTAGAATTTCAAAAAGAATTGAGCAAAAACAGATATCATGGGTCATATTTTTGCCAATGCCTGAAGGCATGACTCTATGTATATATGCATGAGTAAAACATTTGGTATTTTAAATCTATGACAGTTCATAAATACAGTCTTATGAATTAAAAACTAAAATCTTAAGTATTTCATAAGTGTATGCAATTAGAAGAGGCAAAACACGTAAAACAGATCTAAAATGTACAAAGATATGTGGAGGCATAAACTAAAACATGTCATGACCATACATCATCAATTTAGGAGAATGCTGTAGCTCTTTTCAAATGCATCAATCATTTTTAGATATATATTATTATAACATTATCTCAATAAGCTCTCCTCATCAAATGCTTAAACTTGTTTGTAGCTTCCTACCGCAATAATAAAGCCTCAAATTCACTATAGTTAAACATTCTTAGCCAAACAGCAGTGCTCTACCATATCACCTTTTATGATTTCTCAGGAATTGTCACCATCTTTGCCTATGAAACTCCTAAAAAAACTTTTGGTTATGAAAAATGTCAAACCTATACAAAGTAAATCAAAGATTACAATAAAACCTCATGAATGAATCACCTAGTTTCAACAAATCATTACTCTCTAATTTTTGATTCATCAATATCTACTCCAACTCCAAGTTCCCCAACTTCATTACTAGGATTTCATAGTCTCTTTTGAGGTAAAAGCGATGTACATTAAATTTCACATATCTAAGCCATATAATTTTGACAAATAAATACACTGATTTAACCCAAAGACCTAGCAAGCTATAGAACATTTTTCTTAACCCAGAACACTTCTCTTATGGCCCTAATGGGCCCATCCCTATAAAAGAGGCAACCACTTTTTTTTTTTCACTATGGATTAGTTTTGCCAGTTTGAGAATGTAATAGAAATTTAATCTTACAACTCTTTTGTGTCTAGCTCCTTTAAAGCAGCATAATACCTATGAGATTGTTTCACTGTTGTAGGTAGCAGTATTCTGTTCCATTTTACGGCCAAGTGGCATTCCATTGCACCCACATACCACAACTTAGGTATGTATTCTTCTGTGGATGGGTTATTTGAACTTTTTGTTTATTATGTATAAAACTTCTATTAACAGTCTTGCAAGAGCTTTTGATAGAAAACAGTAATTATTCTTCATAGATTAAAATATCTAAAAGTAGAATTGCTTGCTAAACTGGTAACTGATAGTTAAAGTAAATGTCAAAAACATTTTCCAAAGTGGTTTTACCATTAAATATTCCTATCAGTAATATATGATATTTCTGTTTGCGCCACATTGTAACCAACATTTTCCATTTGTCAGGTTTTCATTTAAATAGCTTTAATCAGCCATAACATGCATATTTATAAAAGGTACCCATTTAAAATGTATAATTCAACGGTTTTTATTATGTTTACTGGGTTGTGTGTAATAAAGAGGAAGACTCCATTTCAGATATCTTAAGCTTTTAATCACTGTTTTCCTTTTCTCCCTTCCTCTTTTGCCCCATATCTGGGTATAAGAAATTCCTCACTCTCTCTCCCTCAGCTTGTTCATAGTTCAACCGTGCAAACCCTGTCCCATGATCAAGAACCTTCATGCTGGCCCTGCTTCCTAGCCACAATAAAAGCCAAAGCCACCTGTCTCTTTTCACTTTTTATGATCTGGACTGCTTTGTGCCAGCCCTGCTCTCTCTGGAAAGTCCGATAATATGAGTAGTAAGGTTTTCCATATATTCCTAGTGCATGTTGCATCATCAGTCTTGACACACAATCCGATTTTTGGTGGGAGGTTTATCCTGACATCCACAGGGTGACTACAAAATATTGTGTAACTACATAGTCTAATATTAGAACATTTTCACCACCTCAAAAAGAAACCTCATAGACTTTAGCATTCACTCCCAAATACCTTCCACATCCTTATCTCCCAGCCTTAGCCAAGCATGAATATACTTGCTGTCTATAGATTTGCCTATTTTAGACTATTCACATAAATGAACTCATAAAATAGGTGCTCCTTTGTGACACCCTTAATTTATAATATTTTTAGGTTTATTCATGTTGTAGCATGTATTAGCACTTCTTTCTTATAATTGACAATCTTACATGGCATAGAGACACTGCATTTTGTTTAATTATTCAACAATTGATGGACATTTGGGTTTCTTCCAGTTTTGGTATTGTGAATAATTCTGTGAACATTCATGTACGATATGGTTTGGATGTTTGTTTACTGCAAATCTCAATGTTGGAGTTGGGGCCTGGTGACAGGTGTCAGATCATGGGGGCGGATCCTTCACGAGTGGCTTAGCACCATCTCCTTGGTGATGAGTGAGCTCTTGCTCTGTTAGTCTACTTGAAAGTTGATTGTTTAAAGGAGCCTGGCACCTCCTCCTGTCCACTTCTTGCTCAGTCTATTGGCATGTGATGTGCCTGCTCCTCTTTCCCTTTCTGCCATGATTATAAGCTTCCTGCGGCCCTCAACTGAAGCCAAGCCAAAGCTGCTCTCATGCTTATACAGTCTGCAGAACAATGAGCCAAAATAAATCTCTTTTCTTTATCAATTACTCAATCTTAGGTATTCCTTTAAGAGTAAAATAGCTAGGTCATATGGTAACTCTGTGTTTAACATTTTAAGGAATTGCCAAACTGTTTTTCAGAGTAGTCACACCATTTCACATGCTGCAAAACAACATGTAAGGGGTCTTCCAATTTCTCTACATTTGTTCCAACGCTTTTTTGAGTTTTGGATCATAGGTTTGTTCTTGATCATTGTTTTATTTCTAATTGTTTCCAATATTTTTGACAACTGTCTATAAAATACATATTATCTGTTTATGTGTGTTTCTATTTCTCTTAGTGTAGTAGAAAATGTAAGGCAGGCAGAAATATTAATAATGTTAATAGAACATATATATATATACATATATATATATAGAATATATATATAGAATATAACATAATATTAATCATGTTAATAGAAGCAATGAGGCCACATACAGTTCATCATCTTCTGTTAGTAAATTGTAGGGTTAAAACATAATGATAGTAATATACTAAAAGATCACCCCACAGAAAAATAATACCTAGATATGAATAAAAATGGATTAGAAGAAAGAAGAAGAATGTTTAAATTTCTCTAAAAGTTTTAAAGACAGTAATACAAATCAAGTTAAATGTCACAACAATAATAAACATCGAAGTTACCTTTAAATAAATTAAATCAACAAAGCAATAGATGACATTATTGTCTCTTTTCAATTAGTGTTAAAGCCATTCTAAATTACCAATGTCTAAACAGACAAAGGGAAAAAAATCAACTATGGGTCTTTAGTGGCACTTGTAGCACTTGGCCATACACATACTATATATATATATACACACACACACACACACATATGTATGTATATCTATATACACACACACACATATGTGTGTGTATATATACACAAAATATTATATATATTATGTTATATATGTATACTTTACTATATATACTGTATAACACACACACACAAACACACACACACACACACACACACACAGAGTCTACTAGGAGGATCCCTAAAAAGGCCATAAAGCAAAATTCTAATGCACTGGGACAAAAAAAATCCCAATAAATATATTTATTAGTGAATATTATTTACTAAAGCAAAATACCTAAGGTAAACCATCACTGGCAACCCGATGGCCAATAGATTATCAATAAGAGATGGTATAGATAAACTACATCTAAACTGCTATACTATATCTAAACGGCTCTCCATCAATAGCTTAAAGGAGGATTTAAATATGGCCACAAATATCCATGTGTTTCTAATGAAATGGGTGTATGGAATTGTATAAATAAAGAATCCCGATTTCTTGTTTCACTACTGAACCTGAATATTTTGTTGTTATACACGCATCCTAGACACAGGAGAGAAATAACATACATGCTGCTTCACATTGTGAGCTAAAAATTCAAGTTGTACCCATGTATGGACACTTCACAGCATTCATTACATTATGAGAAATAATTAGACACTAAATTAAATAACACAGACCTCCATGGTAAATCAACTAAAATGTGAATGTACCTACATTGCCATAGAAGAATGACTACTACCACGTTTACTTAGTGTTAAATTCTACTGTATATTTCATTTTCTAATTTCTCATAATGTATGATGTTTGTTTACCCAAAAGCAGTGATTAAAGACTTTTAAATTGGAATATGTATGTGTGTGTGTATATATATATATATATATATATATATATGAGATCTGTGCTTCTTTTATATAAATGCATTTATTCCACAGTAAAAGTGGATTTTTTTCTTTCATTTTACTGTAATGAACTTGTGAATTAAATTTGATATGTACTACAATACATTTCCATTCAAAGGGTACCAAATACTCTTTGATCTAATGAGAAATGATCAAAGTCTAAGCCTGTTTTTAAAACCCATGGAAATATTAGATTCAAGTGCTTTTCTTCTTATTTCTCTCTGAGTTAGTCCTTTGATGATCCATTTTATTAAAAGAAAAAAGGAAGGAAACTAATATAACATAGAGAATAAAACTATGGAAACATCCTTTGGGTAATATTTTATTTTAGATAGACTTATCGTGACACTGAAAAATCAGCATTTTGAAGTGAAAGTCATCAATGATCTAAGGACATGTGTTCCCTTCAGATGTCACAGTTGCTTTGGTTTTGTCAGTCAGGGAATTCACTTTTTATGGTTGGATTTTACTGCTGTTTAGATGCTTGTTTGATTTGAGAACATCTTAAATTTAAATGAACATACCAGTGCTAACGCAGTCAGAAAAGACTGAGTTTATTCCTAGATAGAATGGCAAAATATTATATCAAAGTGCAGACCACAGCTTTCAGTGCTCACTATCAACTTACAAAATTACTAAAAACAAGAATAATTCCCAAATGTCTTTGTTAATGTTATATCACACATCTGTGTCATCAGCAAACCAAATTCTGTTAACAGAGAGAATTCACTGATATATATTGTTATAAAGCCAGACCACACTAGATTGAGAAAATAGTTTACCTAATTCAAGTTTTTTTGTCTTGCTATCAAAACATCATCTCGGGAGGCGGAGGTGGTTGGCTTATGAGGTCAGGAGATCAAGACCATCCTGGCTAACACAGTGAAACCCCATCTCTACTAAAAATACAAAAAATTAGCTGGGTGTGGTGGCGGGCACCTGTAGTCACAGCTACTCGGGAGGCTGAGGCAGGAGAATGTGAACCCAGGAGGCAGAGGTTGCAGTGAGCCAAGATCACGCCACTGCACTCCAGCCTGGGCAACAGAGAGAGACTCCGTGTCAAAAAAAAAAAAAAAAAATCATCTCATCATCCTCCTTTAAAAAGAAACATGCATCTTGAATGTTACAATGTATTATAGAGTGAAGAATAATCCAGCCAACTAAAATAGAGATAGGGGAATTATTTGTACTTCTCATAAGGTAGACTGTTCAAATAAAGATGTTTCCGGTGCTATATTTGACATACAATCTTTTGAATGATAGAAATTTTGTATATGGCTTCCTTATTTGAGAAGAATGAGAGAAACACAAATCTTATCCACACAGTTTGTTAAAACCATCATGGAAAATATTAACCACCTCTGAGGTGGCAGAGTTCTATGAAATATTATCTTCCTTTTATCGTCCCAGTTATTACTCTCTACTTTTTTAGTGTGCTCAAGAACACAGTATAGTGTTTATTATTGAAATTAGTATTAATGATGGAGGCTTGAGATTACTAATTTGCTGCTAATATGGAAGTTAAGTAATTGCTTTATATTAACTTGATCTTTGGCACCTCTCTCTTTCTGTCAGTGGGTCAGATACCCATTTTTGTAATATCTACCTGCATCACAGCATAACTTCTTGACTCCAATATTATTCAACCTCTAGACTTTTCTGTCTTCTAATCTGCTTCAAAATCTCAAGCCCTCTTCCTTTAGAGCCATGTTTTCTCCTACATGTTAACTAATGTTATACAAATAAGTATTTACTGATATGAGTATTACGCTAATTTATTAGGTAATAAGATCCATTAAATAAATTCTTATATTTTATATAAAACTAGAAAAAGAAGTTTAAAGCAAACTCATTTTAAAAAATAACCTCATTCAGTTATTAAGACAGCATCTATTTTTCTATATATGTTATGCAAAATAATTAAAATAATTTTAGTACAGTAGTATAGAATTTTTTTAAAAAAAAGGAAATTTGGGAGGTAAAAAGATATCATATGTATTTATTGTGTCAATGACCTATTACTGTTTCTATTTCCTATATAGTCACTTTTTTTCTGATAAAATTAGTACTCAGATAACTTTTATTCTTCTCTTCATTTTCTGCTTATTGACATAACTTTTGAATTTATTTTACTCTGTTTTTATAAATTCCCTAGGCTCTCTAGAAGGCAAACTTTGAATTGCAAAGGATGAGATATCTCAGTTTCAGTTCACAAGGCCTTTAAATCTTATTATTGAGCTTTAATCTCCAGTGGCCCCAAACCGTTTTTATCTCTTTCTTAACCTTCTTGGTTAAAAAAGTTGTAGAAACTGGCAGAGCGAAACCTCTCTAGTTATCTCATGGCTCTTTAAAAAAAAGAATTATTGCAGGCAGATAATTTGTTCCTATTCTCCTAGGAGTCTAAAAGTTTGAATGATTTGGCCATACTACTCTGTTTCTTCACATGTAAATAATTAAAATAATTGCTACTTAACTTGGTGGCTTAAAAATACATGCATATTATAGACATAGATCTCATATCCATAGGTCACTTTGGCAGTTCTGCTAATGTAAATTAGGCTTAACTGATGTTGGCTGTGTTTGTTTATAGGTCAACTCCTTGGTGTTCTGGGGACTGAGTGTTTTAAGTTGCCTTCTTTTGCATATCTGACAATTGTTTGGCTCTCATTTGAGATCACAGATATAATTGAACCATGTTTTTTTTCTTTGTTTAATATACTAAACCAGCTTTGTTCACATGATGATCTTTGTGTTCCCAAAGAGAAAGTGGAAGTATGCAAGGTCCCTTGAGGCCTAGACTGAAAACTGGCAAAGTAGTACTTCTGTCTCATCCTGTTAGAGAAAACCCAGACTAAAAGGAATGGGAAATAGACTACATCATTTGATGGCAGGAACCACAGCCTCACACTACACATGCATAGCTTAAGGTTGAAAAATAAATTGAGAGGAATTTTACAATCAATCTACCACACCATCTAAACAGAGAAGAAAAAAATGTCTAATCTCAGCAAACACCGATTTTAATTGTCAGAGAGAAGTGGAGGAACTCTCCAAGGAAATTGAAAAACAGAAGCCAATGAGAGGGAAGAAAAACAGAATAATAGTGGTGTCCCCACTGATGAGCAAGGAATAAGTTTCAAGAAGAGGGACGTGATCAACCCTCTCAAATGATGCTGATAGGTCCAGTAAGATGTAGCCTAAGAACTGATTACTGAATGTAACAATGTAGAAATCATTACTTGGGTAGATTGGTGGAAACAAAACTTGGTTGAAGTAAATTTAAAAAAAGAGTAAGAGCTGAAGAATTAAAATCTTAACATCCTAACATAATCACCAATATTATTAATTATTGTTTTTATTCCCAAGCAGGTGAGACAAACTAGTTATTATACAAACCACCACCCCCTCGAGAATAAGTGGAACTCTCCCAGACAAATCTAAATGTAATGTCCAGAAAGAGCAACTGAATCATTCCTTCATCTTTTTTGTGTGGCAACATATGAAGCTGTACCAAATTGTATGGTATCAGTGATGGCAGCAGTGGCCTGTCTGGAGTGGCTGCTGCAAAGACAACGGCTGCAGCAGGCGAGGTGTGGCTGGGGCTGCTCCCTCTGTGGAGTCAGTGGGAGCTGGAAACAGGAGGGAGTCCCACCCCCTTCCAAACTGGTGGGATGAGAGGCCTGCCCTCCCAAGCACAACTTCAACCACCCAGTTGCAGGGACCCAGGAAGCCCCCACAGGCTTGGAAATGCCTGCTCCAGCTGCTTGGCCTCTCCCCACTCCAGGCACCTGCTCTGATTTTGCAGCAAAGTTGTGGCCGAGCCTGAGCACTGTCACGACCCAGCTGGGTGTACACATGCTCAGGATGTGTACACATGCTCGGGATGCCTTTGGCCACCTTGGCCTCCTCTAGATTTTGGATGCTGACAAGCGTGAGAGGAAGGCCAAGGAGGGGTTGAGGGTAGCTCAGCATGGGCCTGCAGGTGCCCCTAGTCATGAAGATCCCAGGTGCCATGAATGCAGCAGGAGGCAGACAGGCTCCTGGGCAGAAATGGGTGGGTCCCTGGTGAAATTCCACATTTAAGCCAGGGATGGCCTGAAGCCTGGGGGCCTGACTGCCAGTTTCATGGATCAGAGAGAGAACTTATGGTGCTTTATCCAGGCCTGCCCATGGGTGCCCCTGGACCAATGAGCCCAGACTGCCTCCCCTCTGAAGCTCATAAACACCCTGGACTCAGCCAGACTCCAACAGACAAATGGGATGACCTGCCTGCAGAGAAGAGCTACCCACTGTGGGTCTCCTTTCTGCTGAGAGCTGTACACTCATCAGGATGACCTGCCTGTGGACAGAACTATCCACTCTGGGTCTCCTCTCTGCTGAGTTCTGCAGAGATGTCAGGATGACCTGCCTGTGGTTAGGAGTCACCCACTCTGGGTCACCTGAGAGCCATACTGTCAC
Source organism: Homo sapiens (assembly GCF_000001405.40). Lineage (NCBI taxonomy): Eukaryota > Metazoa > Chordata > Mammalia > Primates > Hominidae > Homo > Homo sapiens. The sequence goes on along the minus strand of NC_000004.12, from coordinate 160,385,377 downwards.
TCAATAAAGCACCTCTTCACCTTGCTCACCCTCCAGTAGTCCATGTACCTCATTCTTCCTGGACATGGGACAAGAATTTGGGACCTGCTGAATGGTGGGACTGAAAGAGCTCTAACACAAACAGGACTAAAACACACCCCCCACTTTCCACCTTGCGGGTGACGAGAAGGAGAGAAGAAAGAGAGAGAAGAGCTGCGGCCCTTCAGGGAGCCCAGACTAGGAGTTCCTCAAGCCAAGACTATGACACCCTCTTTGGGCCTCTGTGGTTCCTGGCATCTTCAAGCTTCCAGATGCCACCATGTTCCCCAGTGCATAGTGGAAGCTGCTTCTGGTATGTCTGGTCCAGCCACAGCCTCTCAGGGAGCTGGTGTCTCTGACGGCACGTATAGCTGACCACCCTGCCACAGCCAGCATGCCTGGCTGTGTGCAGTAGCTGGATCCTGTGCTTGCTCACTCATATACCCCTCTCCGCTCTGCACCAGACTTGCCCTTGGCAGGCATGGGATCTAGGCTGGTAGCACAAGCCTAGTGCAGCTTGCCAGGCCAAGTGGGCAGTATATGCCCAGTTGGCCCAAGCAAAACTCAGGCAAAAGCACCACTGGCCACAGAGGTTTTAGGCAGGTGAAGTGACAACCTAGGTCCTGTGACAATGTCATGCTAACACTCTTTGCTGATTGCTTCTTTTTTCTTGGAAATAAAAATAAAGATCATCAGATAAGAGTAAGGATACAGGAAGATATTGGAAGTTTAATAAAAAGGGAGAAGTTATGAAGCAAGTGAGCAAATGAATGAGCTAAAGAATTGCTTAAGAATGCTAAGCAGCACTAAGGTGGGTGGTTACAAATGTAACATTGTTGTAGTAAGCTGTTGTTCCTTGTATGCATTTTTCCTAGTCATATTTGACTGTGCAGGCAAACGTAGTTGGACAGTTGGATTTTATTAGTTTTGGCATTTTAGCAAGTTAAGTACAATGAAGTTATAAAACAGAAAGAAAGTTTAAGGATAGCAAGGAAGTGACTATAACTAAAAAAAAACAAGGACTCATTAATTTGTCATTAGAGAAATGACCATTTGAGGTGGGTATAGGCAATCAAGTTATATGAGCAGTGAATTATACGTAGCAATGGGGGAAAGAATTGTCAGAGTACTGGGAATGAGCTGAGAAGGGAGGTGGAGGTGAAAAAGTGAAGGAAAATGCTGCAGGGATTTTGGTTATTTCAAGTGAAAAGGGACGAGAGTGATTGAGGTAGGTTGGTGACACGTTATTGGAGTATAGGAAGTGAAAGGACATACATTAAAATATTAAAATTAATTTTTACATGGAAATTAAATTGCCACTAATTACAAAAGCAGTAATGCTATAGAATGGCAGTGGGACAGGTAATAAAATCTTAAAGAACAGGAGTGAATGAATCATCAGTAGAAGATGGCACCAAGGAAGGAGAGTATAGATATAGTTTGAAGACAAGAGACCTAGATCTGAGTGCCTGGAAATGGAAATGAGAAACAAGGAGGATATGGAACCCTCTTCTGGCTACCCTGTGACAGGGTTACAGGGGAAGCAGTGCTCATAGGAGAAACAGATTTCAGGTTGAAGAACCAAATGATGAAACAATTACAGAAGACAAAGGAGAATTTGCTCATTGTGGACTGTGAATTGCAGGGTACCATTAGAATATTTTAGTCTTTAGAAAGAAATGGAAGATGAGGCCAATTAGAAGTGTTTGGGATAGGAATCTAAGGAATGAGTGGTGTCCTGGGAGTCTTGGGCTTCTTATGGTTATCGATGTAAACAAATAAGAAGGGCATATAGGATTAGTTCTGGTAGCACAAAGAATTAAATGGTAGTAACATTATGAAAAACAAGAATGGGGAGGGAGTGTTCACTATTACATCCACATGATTCTTAAGAGCCATATTATATAGAATGGTATATATGAAGTGTGAAATTAATCATCCTACTTAACCCTCTATATTCACTAAGAACAGTTTCTTTGTATTCATTGAGAAATTTCTATGCACATGTGAAATATATCTAGATAGACAACTAGCTCTAATTAATGTTTCTATAATTGCATGACTGCAAGTATATTTGTATTAGTATGTTTTCACACTGCTGATAAAGACACACCAGAGACTGGGCAATTTACAAAGGAAAGAGGTTTAATGGACTTACAGTTCCACATGGCTGGGGAGGCCTCAAAATCATGGCGGAAGGCAAGGAGGAGCAAGTCACATCTTATATAGATGGCAGTAGGCAAAGAGAGAGCTTGAGCAGGGAAACTCCCATTTTTAAAACCATCAGATCTCATGATACTCATTCGCTATCAATGATAACAGTGCAGAAAAGACCCACCCCCAAAATTCAATTACCTCCTACTGGTCCCTTCCAGAACACATGGGAATTGTGAGAGTTACAATTCAAGATGAGATTTTGGTGGGGACACAGACAAACCATATCAATATTTATATAGAACAAAGATACTGTTCATTCTGTTCTTTTATCTCACTTAATTTACCTTGGGAATATTTATTCAATAATCATATGTGAATATATCTTATTTTTTAAAAAACTTCCTGCATTATTTACGTTTGCATTGATTTATTTAACCTTTTGTTACTGATGAACATTTAGGTTGTTTACAGCTTCTTTTGGACTTGTAAGCAATAAACATATTGCTACATACTTCATTTCACAATGTGTATGAGGGTATTGTATAATATGAGAACCATGAAAAAAAATTTCATACAAAATAATGTTTTTATGTTAAATGTTTGTAGTTACTGCTAAATTACACCCCCTCCAACCACCAAACTTACAAAAACATGTGCCAGCATTTCATGAGATACACTGCAATATGGATGCTGGCAAATTTTTTAAACTTTGTCAATTTTCTATTTGAAATTAAAAAAATCATGTTTTAATCCAAAGGCTTTCAATGACAAAGGTGGAAATTTTGGTAACCACATACACACACATACACACATATTTTAAGAGATGTTATTAGGCCAGGTGAAAATAATCCATATTCCACACATCACTTTACCTGAACAGTTTCTTGCACCTTTTCACAGGGCTAGCCTTGAATCTGAGCAGGATATATCAACCTTCCCACTTGCTGTGAAGGAGAGAAATGATTTATTTGATATCTATTCCAAATACACACAAGCCAACTAGGGAGGCAGTTGGAATTTTACTTGAATGATTGCAGCATTTTTTTTCTCTTCTCCCAGGCATGTAATATTTAAACTTTTGGCATATGTCAAAGAGTGCTTTACCTCTGGCAATCTCACCAGGTCCTTTGAGGAATGCTCAGCCTGGAACCCATCCCTGGATGTCACATCATTATAAACACAATTTCCATCTTCTCAGTTATCCCCTAGACGTGCGTTGAAACTTTAACTTCCTTTTCTCAACATGAAATGTCTTAGTGATACATTTCTATTTTTTCCAAGTTTTTAAGTTTTCTTATTTACCTTTACTGATTCATTTTATTTTCCTTCATTTTATGTTATTTTGTTTAATATGAGGTATTAAAGTTTTCTGATGAAACCACATATTTGTTTAGGAAAAACCAACTAAAGGAGAGAATAATAAGGTAAAATTTGTTGAGTTTATGAAATAATTTCATACTTTAATGGGTGTCTATTTTAATTTAAATCATATAGTTATATATTTTTTTCTCCAAATAGTTGATATAAAGTCAAGGATGCCTCTTTTAATATTGACTGGATTCAGAACACACTGCCCTAAAATAGGGCACCATCACATTTGGAAAAAGAGTAGAAGCAGGAAGATCACTCTCACCTTCCCCTTCCCTCTCCCCCGTCTAAAACAAGCCATAAAATCTGGCTAACCTTCACCTGAAGTAGGTCATAACACCCTCACTTCTGTTCTCTCCCTATACCCAGAGGATTGTCATTGTCTCTGAAGACACAGGGACACAGAGAAAAATATGAGCAAACAGGCTTTGGTAAGTTCCCCCCAGTTTGTTAATATTAGGTCATACTTCTCCAAGATTGTCCATTCTTCATTAAATCCAAGCACAAAAATGTATAGGTTTTTCTGTTTCTTTGGATCTTCATTTTTGCAGGCTCCTGTGTCACATAAAACTTACATTAAGCAGATTTTTATACTTTCTTCTTGCTTATCTGTCTTTTGTTATGGGTGCCTCAGCCATGAACTTAGCAATGGGTAAGAAAAGAGATATTTCCTCTCCTATATTAGGCATACACCAATAGACATCTCTTTCACATCTCTTTCTTTCATAAATCACACATTTAATATATGATGGGCAATTTCTTCAGATGGGAATGTCAATGTAGATGCCATCTAGAAAAATCAAATTTTAGTATCTTATCTTTTTTAAATGCCTCACCTACCTCTAATTTGACATTTTTAGTGATTCATCTTTACCAAATCTTTCCAATATATTTAATTTAGTTTTAATATTAATTACTATTTCTTTTACCTAGGTTGTTTTTTGTTCTACTTTCATCAATTCAGCTATGTAATGATAATAAATAAAAGAAAAAGAAATATTTTAAGCAAGCACAATGGACTCTTGATAATCAAGTAGCTACCCTAAAGGGAACAACAGTGCTAGGGCATACTAGAAAAAAATCATACTAGCAAACATATTTATTTAATGATTTTTTTAAAAAAATATTTATTATTATTTATAGAGGGGAAAGTGCACATAGCTCCTAGACACTCAGCTGAGTGAAGTGTAGTTAAATGAAGGTATCTTCTATTCGACTCTATGCTATTTATTATAATAGGTATTTTGCATTTACTATTGTCAATTCACAAAACATTCCTAAGAAATAGGTATTAATTTGTTTGCAAATGATGAACTTGAAGCTGAAAGTGATTAAGTAACTTGATCAAATTCACAAAATTAATGTGTTGGAGATAGAATTTCAGCAAAGAAACCTTTCTTATATTGAATGACCTTTCAAAAGATAACATTCCCCAGAATGCTGAATGATAGTCTATGATCCCATCAGTGCATTTCTGGTGCAATGTATGCTAGATTGCCCCGTAAATAAACTTTTACAACTGAGAAATGTATAGGATCTACTTTTCTAGATTTTTTCTTAGATCCAATGAGGATCATCTGAAAAAAGTGACAATTCACATCTAAACAGTTGAGCTTATAGAAAATATCAGAGTTTAATGATGTTCGTGTGACTCAATTCTCTATAGACAAATAAGAACAGCTGAAGTAAAGATCAGAAGGTTACTAGAACTTTTTTTTTTTTATTTTAACTCATGGCCTTAAGCCTACAAATCTTTGATTATCAACCATATTTCACCATCAGCTGTATAGCAAGAAACAAAAAAAGAAATGATTGTCCTGGCATGGTGGCCTGTAATCCTAGCACTTTGGGAGGCTGAGGTGGGAGGATTGCTTGAAGCCAGGAGTTCAAGACCAGCCTAGGAAACGTAGTGAGACCTGCCTCTACACATTTTTTTTTTTTTTTAAATTAACTGGATGTCAGGATGCATGCCTGTAGTCCTAGATACTCGAGAGGCTGAGGCAGGAACTTCGTTTGAGCCCAGGAAGTAAAATAAATGGCTAAGAAGTCAGTCTCAGGAACAATAATGTTCAGCCACATTCACTAGTTGGGTAAGCAATTCATTGTACTTTAACTAGTTATTAAAATGGATGTAGGACTCCATTCTGCTCTTTTACTTCCTCTTGTAGGATCTAACTGGTTAACTTGAATGATGTCTCTCCCTGCATGGATAAAGTTATCTTCTCTTCCAGACAGTCTTTATGTTCGGCTTTGTTAAAGCAGGAAAAAGATAGGCCTCTCTGGTCTGAAGCTTCAGAATAGCAGTCTGTTCAAGCATGAATGTTATTTGCTTTTCACGACTTGGGATACAAGTCTAACTAAAATACAGTATTTAATACCTTTCCTTTATAATTATCCATTTTTAAATAAATCTACCTTAAGCTATTTCAGAAAGAGGAGGATGATTGCCATGCCAGAATTTAGCATTTCTAGGTATTAATACTATCAGAATCCCTTTAATATCTCTGTCTTTCACTGTTTCTCCTCTCTATCTCTTCATATATAATTTGTATATACAATTTGTGTCTACACACACACACACATATAGTATAACATATCAGGTGACATATTTTGTAACGTTCAATCCTGTGATTTTTTAACAAACATATATAGTCACGAAACCACTACCTAAATCAAGATAGAGAACATCACCTCAAAAATTACCCCCTTGGCCGGGCGCGGTGGCTCACGCCCATAATCCCAGCACTTTGGGAGAACAAGGCGGGGGGATCACGAGGTCAGGAGATCAAGACCATCCTGGCTAACAGGGTGAAACCTCGTCTCTACTAAAAATACAAAAAAAATTAGCTGGGCGTGTTGGCGGGTGCCTGTAGTCCAAGCTAATCGGGAGGCTGACGCAGGAGAATGGCGTGAACCGCGGAGGCGGAGCTTGCAGTGAGCCGAGATTGCGCCACTGCACTCCAGCCTGGGCGACAGAGGGAGACTCTTTCTCAAAAATAAAAATAAAAATAAAAATAAATAAAATCTCCCCTTGTCCTGTGTACTTATTCACTGCTTCTCACCACTATGCCTTGGAAAATACTGACTTTTTGTCCTATAGAATTTTCTCTTACACAATGTCACATGAACTAAATCATATGGTACCTTTTAGTCCTATTAACTCTTCTTACAAATCTAAAACTCTTTTCTCAAATAATGTATGATTTTTCTATACTTTATTGAGCTCCATTAATCATTCCCAAAACCACACTTAAAGGTAATTTCCTCCCTTTCTGCAAACAACCCTTTCCTTCCCAATCATATATATATGCACATACACACACATATACATACCCATATATAATATATATACATATACATATATTATATATATACATATACATATATACATATACATATATAATATATATTTACATAATATATTATATATAAAACAAATATATAGTATACAAATATATGTATATAATATATAAATATATAATATATAAATATTATAACAAATGTATATATATATTCGTTTAAGTAAACTCATAAAAATGAACTGCAGGATTAGCAGAAGAACCAAAGAATTTTCAACCTCAATATTTTAGAATGTTTAGACAGAGAAAATCCTCAAATACAGACAGGAAAAAAGACAGACAAGGAGAGAGACAGAGAAAGACAAAGGGATGGAGGCGAAGAGATTGAGATCACTTAAAAAAAAAAAGTGTTCCAGAGAAGAGTATCAAATTCTTCTTCTTTGTCAAACTAATTTATTACTACACATTTATAGTGTTGAAAGTTAGAACTCTGGGTATGTCTCAGAGAAATTAATAATCTTACCAAAGTGTTAACGTGGTTACATATTTGTTATTAACAATAAATGATTTTATTGAATACATCTAGTAAGTTTAGGGCCATAATTTATCAAAATATATTCTATTGAATAATAAAATAATGGTAATACCCGTAGTTACTTAGATGCATACCTTATTCCTTTAATTGAAATGCAAGCCTCTTTTAAGAGGAGTTTTTTTTTTTTTTTTTTGGCATTCAAAGCAGTGTTGCCCATATTGTAGATGATATGGGAATTTAACCTAGTAAATAACTGTCAAATAGGTGAGTAAAGTTACTAATTAATGATAATATTGAGACATAATTATTCTCCAAAATGGGAAACATAGTAAAAGGGGGAAACGTATTCAAACAAATGAGCTTTTTCTTAGACAAAACATTTTATGCATAAGAAATTATACCACCTCTATGAACTGGGACTCTGGAAGTAGCAGGCACAGAGGCACAGAGCATGTCTTAGTACTTGTAATAATGTCAACCAAGGTAAAAATCTATTCTTGTTCAATTTCTTCTGATTATTACACACATATACATATATAATATATATTTATATGATATATATAAAACATATATATTTGATATTTATGATATATATGAAAGTACTTTTTAAAATCTTTTTGTTGAAAATCTTAGTACAGTGTTAAAGCTTATGGCCCAAAGCTGGTAACAATTTCAGAAAAGACTAGAAAATCAAAGACACAAATGTGAAAACTTTGGATTTTTAACTAAGAAACTTCAGCTGAGAGAAGAGAATTGTTGTGTTTCCTCACAATGAAGAAAACAATATTGAAAAAAAAAAAAAGGAGCAAGTAAAGTGATAAAGTTTGGATATGTGTCCTGCCAAATCTCACATTAAAATGTAACCCCCAGTGTTGAAAGTAGGACCTGGTGGGTGGTGTCTGGGTCATAAGGGTGGATCCCTAATGAATGGAATGGGTCATCCCTTTGGTGAAAAGTGAGCTCTCACTCTGAGTTGTCACGACATCTGGTTGTGTAGAAGACTGTGTACCTCCCCCTCCCTTGTTCCTGCCCCCTCCATGTGAGATGCCTTCTCACCCTTCACCTTCCATCATGATTGGAAGCTTCCTGGGGCCTCTCCAGAAGCAGGTGCTGGCACTATTCTTCCTGTGCAGCCTGGATGGCTGTGAGCCAACTGAACCTCTTTTAAAAAAAATAAATTCCGGTCTCAGTATTTCTTTATAGTGATGTGAGAATGGCCTAATACATACAATTCAGACAACTCTTGAATATGAATTTAAGTAACTGAAAGAACATTTATAATTTAAGGAAATGGAAGAGATTCATTTAGAATTTAAGGAAGCAACATAACATTCACATTGAGAATATTATTTGTAGGAAGTTATAGACTAGAAAAGCAGAAAAGTATAAATCTAAAGAATAGAAGATATGAGAACCCATAGTACCTATGCTCCTAGATGGCTTTTTATAATTCAAAATACATTCGGTTTTTAAAATTCAGCCTCTTTTATTGCTTAAATAGAAACAAACTCTTCCTATTAATTTCAGAAAGCTGGACATAATATATACTTAATGTTTTTAATAACATATCATGGTAATTTAGAACTTTAGAGGGTCCCTTTTCTTTGGATCTACTACTCTAACACCTCCTCCTAAGAGGAGAGTGAGAAAGAGAAAGAGAGAGAGAGAGAGGAGGCAAATTTAAAGTAAATGCAATTACTTTACATTCTTAAACTCTATACAATGTCATACTATTTTGCTTAGCGGGCACATTTTGAAAACTGAAATTCAATTTCACAGGTAGAAGACATACAATGTATTTATTGCTGTGTAACAATTTACCCCAGTACTTAGCATTCTTAAGAAAGCAAAAATTTATTCTATTCCACAGTTTCTGATGGTCAAGAATCCAGCTTAGCTGGCTAGTACTAGCTAAGGGTCTCTCAAGAGGTTGCAGTCAAGGTGCCGGCTGGGGTTGCAGTTATGTGAAGGCTTGACAGGGGCAGATGGATAACCTAACAAAATGGCTCATTCACAAGACTTTTGGCAGAAGGCCACAGTTCCTTGCTCAATGTTGACTGAAAGCCTCAAAGCCTTGCCCAGTGAAAGTCTCCAAAGAGCAGCTCATAGGATAACAACTGGCTTTCCCCAGAGTGCATGATCTAAGAGACTGAGAAAGAAACCAGGATGAGTTTTCAGAAGTGACATGTCATCACTTTCACCACATTCTCTAATCTACACAGACAATTTTGATACAATGTAGGAGAAAGTTACACAATTATGAACCATTTTAGAGACTACCAAAGATGTGTTATGTGGTTGTTAAGCTTGTTTCACCTGGGGTGGGTGGGACAGCTGTAAACATAAACCTGATTAAAAGAAAAGGAACAAGAAGGGAGCAAGAAGTAAGATACCCTTGTTCCTGCTAAAGCCTAAAGACAAGAACGAAATGCTGCTTAAGGTGATCATGTTCACGAGTACTAGGGGTTGGTGTTACTCAATGTATGATGTGCAGGCTAGTGTTCATCTACCAACGCTTTGTCACTAGTCCAAAATGAGGTGCCCTAAAGAGCTGGGATTAAAATCTCTGAATACAGCCTACTACTCAGCTTTCACTGGTATCTCTAAGAAGGATAATGAGGCTGGATCTGGGAATATTGGAAGATGCTGGAAACTGAAACCTGTTGCCTCAGCTAATGTGAAAAGCAGTTGTTGAGGTGATAATGGAAGAAATGGGAAGGACTTTGTCTCTTCCTCTCCCTCCTGCTGTCTACTATTTATCTTGCATTTCCTATTGGTAGAAACTAACAGGAAGTCAGCAGTCAAAAAAGAAATGTGGATTTAAACTCAGCCTCACAGTCCACTCCTATTCCTAATCAGCATCCGTACATATGCTCCATACATATATAAACCTCCATACCAAAAAGTAAACACATATAACTAGAAATAGTTTTACTCTCTTCCCCCAAAAGGGATCACAACATTTCAACAACCATGCTGCCCAATTTTGGGTGACGTTAATTCCTCCTCAAATTGAATTCCAGCTCAATTCTAATATTCCTTAAGCTAATGACTAAATTGCTAAGTTAATTACCATTAATAATCTTTATGTAAAACAATAAGAAATTAGAAGAAAGGAAAAATAAATGCACACACATCACATTTAATAAGGAAGACAGTATGTGTAAGTGCTTCAACTCTGTAACTATCCATGAATGTGCAGTTATGACTTTATTGTTTCCATTCCATGCTCATTTTATTCTCAGCCATAGCCTCAGTGGTTGAAATTTTCACTTGTTTGAGTAACCTAAAATTTCACTCCTAAGAGTCAGTGTACTCAGTGGTCCAGCCTTTTTAGTCATTGTGATTTTCCTTAAACTATTACAATTAGACATGAGGGAACAAGGACACACACCAGAAAGTCACCTTGTCCAAAAATGTCTTCCATGTCACCATTGTATAGTGGAAACCCCTTTCCCCTTGGTAATAACCACAACCAATATAATAATATTGTATCTTCTTATAAAAACAATGGCATGAGATCCCAACAGAACCAGGTATTTATCTAAATATTCAATTTTATGAAACTGTAAATTATTTCATTTGGAGCTAAGACTTCCAGATCACCAAATTCCAAATTTTCAAGATTAGAAACATAAAAATTTTTGAGTAACTCATGAGGAATAATAGTGAAAGTTGCCAATTCACCTTTCATTTCTGGTTTCCTATACCCATGCATTTGGTGAGAAAAAGAAAAAAGGAAAACTGCTCATGTAATCACTGGTCCAAAGAAAAGACTGCATCATGTAATGGAACCTGAATGTTAAGGGGATTTGATTTCTTCTTCAAGAAAAAAAGCTCAAATCTATGAACTGACACATGGTGAGCGACTATGACTCTCCTTCGACATTTGACAACTCCTTTGATGACTCAAGTTGAGTGGCCACTGGGCCTCCAGTTTTTCCTGTTATAGAAAGTAAGAAATATTTGAGTAGGCTATCTGTTTTATTTCTAGGGACACCATAAGCAATTCACCACTAGTAAGAATCCCAGTATATCAAAACAATCTGACACTATTGTGTGCTTGCTGCACACTATGGAAATGTGATACCTTGTCTATAATGGTTAAATTCTAAAACTTCAACCTCACTGCTCTGTAATTATATCATCCCTACTAAATTAGAGAAGCCATCTTAATGGCAGCATTCCCCAGTCATACTCAGCCTACAGAGTACTGCCACCACAGAGCTTTTCATGTATTCTGATATTCCCTTCACTAATGAATTTATCAATGTCTTAGAGTGAGTAGAGTATCTTCTAGACCCTATTAGTGATGTAATGGAGGATGGCCTGCAGGTCATACAATGATAAATGCACTCCAGTATTTCTTTCTTCCTAAGCCTTTGAATCTGTTATAATATTTCCATCATTGTAAATTCAAGTTTAAATCAATTAAACAAGTAAAGTGTTATAGGCAGTTTCAGGTTAACAAATGAGTTAGTTGCACTAACTCATTAAATCCGGAATCCATGGTAAGTGCATCTGTATCAATATATTCTGGAATCTGGAGACTAAAACCAATTACTGCTGGGAAGGGAAAAACAATTGCTAAGGTGGCACAAAACAAGAAGAAGCAAGTACCTTTTACAGCTTCATGCCTTGCAGTCATTTTCTTGCATTTCTTTTTGGCAGAGCTCAATAAGAAGTCTGCTAACCAAGAAGAAATGCAGGTATGGTACCTCAGTTTCTGCATTACAAAAGAAGGTATAAAAGAAAGGGCATGGAAATGAGAGACAATCATTTAATTAGTGGCACACCTCCTTGAAATAATTTTATATTATATACCACCTTACACATTATTGAGCTGACATTTGAAATTTTTAACATAAGTTGAAGTATATTTAGTTTTCTGTTACTATGACTTAGACATACTAAATATTTTATAAGATGAAATAAGATGAGGATTTAGTTATAACTGGGCACAATACAATTTACATATTGTGACCCACACCACAATATGATTTCTGAAAATAAGTTTGAATGATCTTATTGCATATTTCACAATGAATTTGAAATTGCTTATGTACAAATCTTATAAAAATGTCTGTATCTGAAAAATATTCGTTATTATTTTTAAAAAATCAGGCTCAATACTTAAACTGTATTTTTTGTTTTGAATACATAACATTTCAATATGAGCCAATAATAAGAATAAGAATGGTAAAAGGAATAAGAGAGAGAAAACTGACAGTCCTGTGGAATCCAAATGGCTTCATTAATTAATTAAGGATGCTTCCACATGCAAATATCATAATCTAAAATACTCGCTTATTTTGTTCCTGAGAGGTTTTTATGTCCTGGGGCATGAAACACGGTAAAATTGGAGATGAGTGAGGAGTTTGACATCTGTGTCATATTCTATTTTTGTCTCCAATGAGAGGATGAGACATCTTTTCCTGTTTGCGTGTGAATCACGGTATTCATATAGAAGCCTACCTATTTTCCTTATTTTAAGGCTTAAAAATATTTCCTTTTTGGCCAAGGAAATATTACTGTAGGTGACAGGACCACACTGGGACTTTGAGAAACATTCCGTACAATTCCACTCACTTGCTTACTTTCTCCCTCTCTTAGGTCCCAAATAGGTTACTGCTCTTTAGCCTGCATCTCAAAAATAAGAAGACACTTTTCTTAGAAGATTTGAAGCTGACCTGTAGCCTGGAGCTGAACCATAGCTATTCGGCACCCAATGTGCGACTTGAGTACCAAATACACTTTTGTTGCAAGGTACCTAAATTTGGGAGTTGTCATTTGCTACCACATAAGTTAGAAAACATTGACTAACACTCCTGTTTTGATATAATTAGATAGAGGATATTTTGAGCCCAAGAAATTCTGAGGCAGCTTCTCAATTAAAAAAAAAATGCATTGAAGTTAAGACTGTGGAAATCAGTTCCCTCAAAACTAGCTGGCTGAATGCACCTAGCCCTTAAAAACTTTACGAACTCTCAGGAATATATTTCCTATTTTGAAGATTATTTAACTCTACAACATGAACTGAAATATGGCATGGATCCCTCAGCTGTGCCATGTTATCCCTCAGTGAAAAGACTACAACTCCCTAATAATTTATCTTATATCTCAAGTTTATTTTGCAGGCAAGATATGTTTTATTATATATCTTCAGAAACTAAACAAGGAAGCAAACACATAACAAAGCTATGGAGTAACAAATTACCAACTAATAATAGACAGTTTTAAACTGCAGGTTTTGATTGAAATAAGAATTTCTCGGTAACAGCCACTGCATTCTTGAAGTTAAGCAAGGTTATGTGGTAAGGAACTTGGTATTCCAAAGACAATTTTTTTTCAAATTTTCACCCAGGGAAAATCTCAACATCTGCTACAAGAATAACACAGTTTATGTCATTACTTCATTCTTAATTTTGAAGCTATAATTTTAAACTATGAGGACTATTCAAAATATTTCACAAGCCATTTCTATTGCTTATTCATTCTGTTAAATTCTAGTGGTAGCTATTCAGCATAATCTTTTCCCCACACAACATATTCAATGGAAAAAAAGGAGCTCATTTAACCTTTCCCATTTTTTCTTTAATTCAATGAACTGCTTTCTCTCCTTGAAATTTTTTATGTTCACAATATGTATAGAAGTGAATAACTGTGCAGGTGTAATTTTGAAACAGCTTTAATCATTTTTTAGAAACATGCTGATATGATTTGGCTGTGTCCCCACCAAAATCCCATCTTGAATTTTAGTTCCCATAATCCCCAAGTGCTGTATGAGGGACCAGGTGGAAATCATTGAATCATTAGGAGTGGTTTCCCCCATCCTGTTCTCATCAGAGTGAGTTAGTTCTCACAAGATCTGATGGTTTTATAAGGGACTCCCCTCTTCACTGGGCACTCATTCTTCTTCCTGCCGCCATGTGAAGAAGGACACGTTTGCTTACCCTTGCACCATGATTATAAGTTTCCAGAGGCCTCCCTAGCCATACTGAACTGTGAGTCAATTAAACCTCTTTCCTTTATAAATTACCCAGTCTTGGGTATGTCTTTATTAGCAGTGTGAGAATGGACTAATACACATACTTATCTTTTTTATTACTGTTATTGTCACAAAACTATGATTATAGACCATTCTTTTCAGCACTGAAGCCACTCTCTAAGTTTTAGAATTGACAAAATAGTAGAAATTATTACAGATCAGCACAGTATTTCTACAGCAATTCTCATAAGTCAAGGCCCTAGATAAAATTATGTCTACTTCAGAAGATAGTCTCTAATGCTGTGACAATATTTAGTTTTATATACATTCTTATTGCATCTTTGTCACCCCAGTTTCTACAACATGCACCATTTTCTAATATTATAGGGCTTCTGGAATGCAAAGACCATGTCTTGTTTAGCTTCACATAAATCAAACTTTAATACTTGTCTTACAGAGTATGACAAATTGCAAAAATGTTCACATGCTTTACCATCTTTCTTGAAATGAGACTTTGAAGCTCTTTCCATTAAAATGTAGAGGCTATCTCTCTATTTATGCGATTCTTTAAAATATTCTTTCCCCCAGTAGGACGTGGTAGAAATGGTCTTGTGCCAGCCATAACCTGGGTCTCAAGAATCTCAGTATGCTTAAATTTTGCCACCACCTTGTGGGCAAATACAGGCTAACCTGTTGGAGGATAACTGACCACATGAAATAAAGGAAAGCTATCACATCTGAGGTTATAAACACCAGACATCCCTGAGCTACACCAATGACTAACTATAGATGCATGAATGGATCCAGCTGAGACTCACTAAGAAGAATTACCACCGAAGTCAAACCCAAATTGTTGACTCACAGAATTGGAAGCTAAATAAATGATTGTTGTTTCAAGCCACTAACTGTTGAGGCAGTTTGTTACACAGTAAAAACAAACAGATTTACAGGACAAATGAAGGAAACACCGGGCAAGCAAGAAGTCACTTCTCTTCTATATACCATGCTAATGTCCTCAAGCTTTTCTTCTTAAATGCAGTTTTTGTTTTCCTGTTCTAGTCCTCTGGTACATACAATTTGCTTGATTCAACATGTCCCACAGTTAGTAGGACAATGTCAACATCCATTCATACTTAAATTTATATTCTTTTCTCATATCTTATTTTCCACTGAAGATTTTAAAGTCTCCTAAGATATTCAAGAATTATTGGAAATATAACTCGTAACTTATTTCTACTGTCCAGGCAACACTTTTTACTCTTTGACCAATAACTCCTCATTCCCTTGCTCCCCTACTCCCATCTGGTGGTAACTGTCATTCTACTTTCTTCTTTATTATTATTATTATTTTACTTTAAGCTCTAGGGTACATATGCACAACGTGCAGGTTTGTTACATATGTATAAATGTGCCATGTTGGTGTGCTGCACCCGTTAACTCATCATTTACATTAGGTATATCTCCTAACGCTATCCCTCCCCCCTCCCCCCACTCCATGACAGGCCCCAGTGTGTGATGTTCCCCACCCTGTGTCCATGTGTTCTCATTGTTTCAGTTCCCACCTATGAGTGAGAACATGCGGTGTTTGGTTTTCTGTCCTTAAGATAGTTTGCTCAGAATGATGGTTCTACTTTCTATTTCTATGAATTCAATTTTTTTTTAGATTTACATGTAAGTGAGATCATGCAGTATCTGTTTTTCTGTACCTGGCTTATTTCACTTGGCATAATGTCTTTTAGATTCATCATGTTGTCCCAAATGATAGAATTTTGTTATTTTTAAAGGCAGAATAGTATTTGATTGTGTAGTTTTGAGATCTATTGCACAGCAATACTTAATAATAGTTCATAATGTATATTTCAAAATAACTAAGAGAGTAACCTTCAAATGTATCACCACCAAAATATCAAGTGAGGTAATGAATAGGTTAATTAGCTTGATTTAATCACTCGACATCATATACATAGATCAAAACATCATATTGTATTCCATAAATATAATACAATTATAACTTGCCAATTAATTTAGAAATAAAAAAGAATTACTGAGAGAAATTCAGTCTTAAATGTGTACTATGACTGATATTATTTGTATCCTGAGTTAAATAGTATTATATAATATCTCAGATACATAAGCATGACTTTGAAAATATTAACCAACATTTAATGCACATATTTTGGAATACCTTGCATCATGTAAGTGTGTCATGGAAAATTTGATGTTGGACAATTATGATGAAAGTCAGGGCTCTTTGTGTTGGATTCATGCATGTGTGGAGGAGAGTGCAGAAATTTCCAAGGTTGCTATTAGCAATCATATAAATAGGCATAGGAATTTATTGAGATGACAAGAATGTCTTTCTATTAAAATTACATTTACATCACTTTTTTGTTAAATACACATAGCAAACAATTTAGTATTTTAACCACTTTCAGTGTACCATTCAGTGGCATTAAATACTTTCACATTTGTGCAACTACCACCACCATTCATTTCTATAAGTATTTCATCATCCCAAACTCAAACTCTGTATCCATTACACAATAATTCCTCATTCTCTTCTCCTCCCCAGTTCCTGGTAACTATTATTCTACTTTCTTTTTCTATGAATTTAACTATTCTAGGTTTCTTATGTAAGTGAAATCATACAATATTTGTCCTTTTGCTTCTGGTTTATTCTACTTAGCATAATGTCTTTGAGATGCATCCATATTATAGCAGGTAACAGAATTTTATTCCTGTTTATTTCAGTAATAGTTCATTGCAGATATATATACCACATTTGTTTATTCATTTATCCTTCAAATATATACATACACACTCTAATTTGGTTAAGAAAGTAGAATGGAAAAAATAGGTATAGAGAGGCAAGATAGGAGGATTTGGCAGAAGTCTTTGTAAGAGATTACACTATTTTAGACTAAAGAGATGGCAATGAAGAGAAAAAAAATTTGAAAAAAATTAAAAGTAGAGAAGTAAATGAAGAAGTAGAAGACTAGTGAGACTTAAGTTTCTGGTGTGAACAAATGCGAATGGAAGAAACAAGATCAGATTAGATGGACTTTAAGATATGTTTTCAATAAGATTAAAAAGAAGTACTGTTCTATAATGAAGAAGCACATTTATACTGTAGTTGTATATGCACGAAGTAATAAAATTCCTATTGTCAAAGTAGAACAACATAATATTCTGTTGGTCTAGCAGACCTAATAATTATTGTGGATCCTAGTTGGATCATTCAAACAAATGATAGGATAGTCTCAGCTTTTGATTAATACTTGTAATTTCACAGTAAATTTCTTGAGAGTACTGATTTTGTTTTATCTTTTCTAAGTTGTGCCCTCCAATTATGTTCTCAAGCTGCAAAGAACTGCCTGTATTTTTTTAAAAGTTGAAAACAGAAACTCTTTGTAATAAATGTAAATTTATTTGGTGTTAAATGGACTTGATATTAGAGAAACTCAACTAACATTGGTGATAATAATATTTTGTTCTTAATATTTAAGGATTAGAGAAATGAATTTGAGTGCAATTTTTTACTCATTTTCATTTTTAAACCATTTGTTTATTCATGTATTTGCTTTATGCTACAAATTTTAAGAATTATTGCAAGCACAAAATATGACCAAAAAATTGCTAAAGAAAATTACACATAGAAAAACCTTAAAGATTCGAATATATAATTTATATTTATTAGTGGAAAATATTCCACTAAGCTATATTACTTGAAAATGTAATTAAATATATAAAAAGACTAAAAATAGGATAAAATATATATTTAGTATTAGACATATATTTTATTAAAAGTTATTGGTTTAATAGGTAATTGTTTAAATATGTCTCTCTTTTACCCTAAAATAACAATATTATTGACCAAAAGTAATAATAATGATATACAAAAAGTCTTTTATTTGAAAATGTAAATCATTAACTACATTCTATTTATTCATATTCATATAAGATCCTATATAATTTAAATCATGCAACAATTTAAAATAGCTGTGCTTATGCCTTAATCTTACAAATTCCAAATCCATTAAGGTCGCATTCATGAAGTTTTACTTTCTTCTCAGCACAACAGAAAAGACTGAAGATGGTTGACAAGGGCAGATGGGGCAGATGTCTGTTTAAAGATTCTTATTTTTCAGTATCTTATAATTAGACAGGTGCCATGTTCATTCTAAGGAGGCCTATCAAAACATGCTACTTTTTTTTGTTGTTGTTGCTTTTTTCGCCTCTCTTCTCAGTTTCACAGAATTGACTGAAAGGGAAATTGAAAAGAGACATGTTTTGTTTTTTACTTGAGCCACTGACAGAATAGAAAAGCTAAAGAGAAGGCAAGAGGTTCAATGGTAGGGAGTATTATAATTCATAATATTTTCCTGGTAATGAAGCCACATTTGCATGATAGTCCTGTCTGAAACTCAGAAAAATCTTTGTTCTGATTCTAGCTACCATATATATAGATCAATGTTTATGTAGCTCAGTCTGGTCATCTCTAAGACCCTTGTTGTTTTAGGTGCTGTTATAGAACAGTATCTGTAGAGTCAATGTGCATATGATATAAGCAAATACTGAAAATAAATGTGGGAGAATTTAATGAGAGGCTTTTATATTTTATCCTCCTCAGAAATTTTTTCAATCTTCCATCAATATCAAGCCATGCTCTATAGTGAGGTATTCAGTACAGAGAAATAGTATGTGTATACCAAGTATATATCTAGAAAAGACATATTTTCTTTCTGAGAAGCAGCAATGATCATGAGTTTTTCTTTTATAAATTTTATCTTATGATAAATTTTACGAAAGTCATCACATAACAGAGATAGTCTAAGTGAACCGAGTAACCAAGCATAAACACTCAAAGATGTGCTGTTTGTGCTATGTGTTTTTAAATAGTGTCAGTGATGTACACACAACACACATGCTCTCTCTCTTTCACACACACACACACACACACACACACAGCTTAACTGCATAACAAACTAGCAGTATGTCTTTATATAACTAGAGAAAGAAAACCAGGTAATGAGATAGGTACTAATTGGGATAGTCTTCTTTAGTGAGATAGTCAGAGAATATCCTTAAGGAAGTAAAATCCAAGCTGAAGATGAGTACTAGGATGCGTCTAACTGTAGGGAGACCCCCTGAAACTATTGCTATGGAATAAAAGATAAAATGCTCCTGATTATTGTAAATACAAAATTGCATGCAGGATTTTATAAAGA
This sequence comes from Homo sapiens, assembly GCF_000001405.40. NCBI lineage: Eukaryota > Metazoa > Chordata > Mammalia > Primates > Hominidae > Homo > Homo sapiens. The sequence goes on along the minus strand of NC_000004.12, from coordinate 160,365,784 downwards.
CAATGCCAGGTTGGACTGCCAGAATGAGCCAACAGTGCATGATGTGCTTCCCCCTGCAGAGAGTCTATGAAGGGACGTGCAGTCAGGGAGGTTTCACATCACCAAGATTCCTATCCCAGAAAAGCAGATGTTCATAGCTCTGGGAATGGAATGCGACCCTTGTGGAGACCCTATAAACAGACGCATGGGGGCGCCTGTCCATATGGATAAGATAGGGCTATAAACACCCTCATCTTGCCACGGCTCTTCTGGGCCTCTTTAGGGTTAAGGCATACTCCCTTCTGAGAATTTCGTTGGGCACCAGATATTGTGGGATCTGGCCAGCAGCCCGCAATGCAACGGGGCTCTCTCTTTGTTCCCAGACAGATCAGCAGGTTAAGAAATAATAGACACACACAAGATAGTGAAAGCTGGGTCCAGGGGGGTCACCGCCTTCTGGTCCCGCAATGCTGCCAATGCACTGGATATACCAGCATTTATTATTAAGTTTAGTGAGGGCGGGGGTAGGTTAGTGAGGGATTTAGGGTCATTTGATTATGAGGTGACATGGTCACATGGGGATGAAGTAATTCTTTAACATAATATTTGTATGTGGAAGTATAGTATACAGAGATAAGAATTTACAATGTAGTGTGTGTGTCAGTAATTTCTAACAGAGCCTTAAAACAGAAACACAATCTTTCCATAACCTATGATTAGCAAGATATTAATCAGCAGTAACAGTTGCAGCAAAAGCTGGTTACAAACAATCCATAGAAACAGGATGTGAAGCTAGACAACCGGTTAGACCAGAAATTCTCAGAAGGGAGTATGCCTTAACCCTAAAGAGGCCTAGAAGAGCGCTGTGGCAAGATGAGGGTGTTTATAGCCCTATCTTATCCGTATGGACAGGTGTCCCCCATGCGTCCATTTATAGGCTCTTCACAAGGGTCGCATTCCATTCCCAGAGCTATGAACATCTGCTTTTCTGGGATAGGAATCTTGGTGATGTGAAACCTCCCACTGCACATCCCTTCATAGGTTCTCTGCAGGGGAAATCACATCACGGACTGTTGGCTCATTCTGGCAGTCCAACCTGGCATTGTCTTTACACTATCCTGCATGCAGTTTTGTACTTACAATAATCAGGAGCATTTCATCTTTTATTCTGTAGCCATAGTTTCAGGGGGTCTCCCTACATCTAACCATGGAGAAAATGTGGAGGATAGCAGAAAAGAAATAAGCTAGAATACATGTAAAGGCTGTCAAAGTGCAAATTACAGTAGGTAAAATTAAAAGGTAAGGAAACCTTCATTCAAGGCTATTGCAATAAGGAAGAAGAAACAACAGAGTCTGAACTAAGTTCCTTCAAAACAAATAGCTACAGAGATTTTAAGAGCTGGAGTTGGGAGGATCAGAGGCCATCTGTGTTGCTAATTACCCTTATCCAAAGAAAAGTAAACTTCCTCTTATTTTCATGACAGGTGGTAGTTTTATAACTTTTTTAAAGAATGCCACCTAAATTAGACTTCTACCCTCCAACAAATACTGAGAGATAGGGATACTATCTTCCTTTATGCTTACCTTTCAAAAGAATGACTTCCAAGCCCTTGGAATAGACTGTACTGGGATGTAAAACTGACAAGTCTTTCACAAAAGATTAACATCTCAAAAAGGCAGATAAATAATTTTCAATAAAAGTTTTCTAAAGTAAATGATCTAAGGGAAGGGATGTTGAGATTTTAGAGAAAAGAAGAAGCCTGTCTAAAGTTTGGTCAATCAGAGTTAAGGCACTCTTGGTCAACCATCATGAGAAAGGAGCAATCTGATTTCAAAATACACATCTCTGGCCCTAACAGCCCACCTGTTCTCAAGTCTGAATTGAGGAACATGTGCTGAATCTTTCAGTGCCTTTGGGTGTCTGCTATGTACCATGTTCTGAGTTAGGTACCAGGGATTCACAATATTTAAAGAAAAATCAACATCTTACCAACAATAAGTGCTATAATATATATGTATACACAGATTCATACCTGTGAAAGTTCATATGTATGGATATGTGAAACTCTAGTTCAGCTTAAAGTAGCCAGCACTACTGATGTAGTTTGGCTCTGTGTCCCCATCAAAATCTCACTTTAAATTGTAATAATCCCCATGTGTTGAGGGAGGAGCTCGTTGGGAGGTTATAGAATCATAAAGGCAGGTTTTTCCTGTGCTATTCTCATGATAGTAGATAATTCTCATGAGATCTGACAGTTTTTTATAAAGCGGGGCTCCTCTGCATATGCTCTCTCTTGCCTAGTGCCATGCAAGACATGACTTAGCTTCTCATTCACCTTCCACCATGATTGTGAGGCCTCCCTAGCCATGTGGAACTGTGAGTCAAGTACATTTCTTTTTTTATAAATTACCTAGTGTCAGGTATGTCTTTATTAGCAGCATTAGAACAGATTATTACAGTAAATTGGTACCAGTAGAGTGTGGTGCTGCTGTAAAGATACCTGAAAATTGGAAGTGACTTGAAACTGGGGAACAGCAGAGTTTGGAACAGTTTTCAGGGCTCAGAAGAAGACACGAAGATGTAGGAAAGTTCAAAACTTCCTACAGACTTGTTGAATGGCTTTGACCAAATTCTGCTCATCTCAGATGGAGATGAGAAACTTGTTGGGAATTGGAGCAAAGGTGACTCTTGCTTTATTTTGGCAACTGACTGGTGGCATTTTGCCCCTGCCCTAGAGTTCTGTGGAACTTTGAACTTAAGAGAGATGATTTGGGGTATCTGGTGGGAGAAATTTCTAAGCAGCAAAGTGTTTGAGAGGTGATTTGGGTGCTGTTAAAAGCATTCAACTTTATATATTCACAAATATGTGGTTTGGAATGGGAACTTATGTTTAAAAGGGCAACAGAGCATAAAAGTTCAGAAAATTTGCAGCCTGACAATGTAGTAGAAAAGAAAAGCCCATTTTCTGAGGAGAAATTCAAGCCTGCAGTAGAAAATTGCATAAGTAACGAGGAACCAAACGTTAATTGCTGAGACAATGAGGAAAATGGCCCCAGGGCATGTCAGAGACCTTCCTGGCAGGCTGTCCCATCAAAAGCCCAGAGGCCTAGGAGGAAAAAACGGTTTTATGGACTGGACCTGGGGCCTCCCTGCTCTGTGCAGCCTAGGGACTGGGTGCCCTGAGTCCTAGGCTTCCAGTGATGGCTAAAAGTGGCCAAGTTACAGTTCAGACCATGGCTTCTGAGGGTGCAAACCCTAAGACTTGGCAGCTTCCATGTGGTGTTGAGCCTGTTGGTGCACAGAAATCAAGAATTGAGGTTTGGGAACCTCTGTCTAGATTTCAGACAATGCAAGGAAATGCCTGGATGTCTAGGCAGACAAGTGCTGCAGGGGAGGAACCCTCATGGAGAACCTCTGCTAGGTCAGTGTGGAAGGGAAATGTGGAGTGGCAGCCCCCACACAGAGTCCCCACTGGGGCACTGCCTAGTGGAGCTGTGAGAAGAGGGCCACCATCCTCCAGACCCAGAATGGTAGATCCACCAACAGCTTGCACCATGCACCTGGCAAAGCTGTAAACAGTGCCAGCCCATGAAAGCAGCTAGGAGGGGAGCTGTATCTGCAAAGCCACAGGGGCAGAGCTGCCTGAGGCAATGGGAACTTACCTCTTGAATAATCATGACCTGGATATGAGACATGTAGTCAAAGTAGATCATTTTGGAGCTTTAAGATTTGTCTGCCCTGCTGGATTTTGGCCTTGCATGGGGCCTGTAGCCCCTTTATTTTGGCCAATTTCTCCCATTGGAACAGGTGTATTTACCCAATGCCTGTACCCACATTGTATCTAGGAAGCGACTAACTTACTTTTGATTTTACAAGCTCATAGGCAGAAGGGACTTGCCTTGTCTCAGATGAGACTTTGAACTTTTGAGTTAATGCAGAAATGAGTTATGACTTTGGGGGACTGTTAGGAAGGCATGATTGGTTTTGAAATGTGAGGACATGAGATTTGGGACGGGACAAGGGTGGAATGATACAGTTTGGCTCTGTGTCCCCACCCAAATCTCACCTTAGATTGTAATAATCCCAATATGTTGTGGGAAGGACCTGATGGGAGGTAATTAAATCATGGGGGCCGGTTTTTCCCATGCTTTTCTTGTGATAGTGAATAAGTCTCATGAGGTCTGATTGTTTTACAAAGGGGAGTTTCCCTGGACATGTGCACATGCCCTCTCTTGCCTGCTGCCATATACGACGTTCGTTTTCTCCTTCTTCACCTTCCACCATGATTGTGAGGCCTCCCCAGCCATGTGGAACTGTGACTCAATTAAACCTCTTTCCTTTGTAAATTACCCAGTCTCAGGTATGTTTTTATTAGCAGTGTGAGAACAGACTAATACAACCACGTCAAATTGAACTGTGCAAAAACTGAAACTCACTATCCTTTATACCTATTCCTTTCCTCCTAAATAGTTAATTGATGTCTAATTCCAGGTTACTTATTATGTTTTACATTCCCAATCTATAAACAAAACACATGAAAGTCTTTTGATGATTCTACTCCATTTATCTTGTAAATAACCTACAAATGTGTCTACTATACTTATTTTCTAACACCTTCTTGTAAATAACCTACAAATGTGTCTAGTATACTTCACTGATTATTTTCTAACACCTTCTTCTGTTCAAAAAATTATTTCCAGTAATAATCTGGAAAGAAAACCAATGATGAAACAGCTGGGTGAGGTGGCTCACGCTTGTACTCCCAACACTTTGAGAGGTCAAGGTGGGTGGATCACCTGAGGTCAGGAGTTCGAGGCCAGTCTGGCCAACATGGTGAAACTCTGTCTCTACTAAAAATACAGAATTAGCTGGGGGTGGTGGAGGGTGCCTTTAATCCCAGCTACTCAGGAGGCTGAGGCAGGAGAATTGCTTGAATCCAGGAGGCGGAAGTTGAAGTGAGGTGAGATCGCGCCACAGCACTTAAGCCTGGGCGACAAGAGCAAAACTCTGTCTCAAAAAAAAAAAAAAAAAAAAGGAAAAGAAAACCAATGGTCAGAAAGAAAACTGAAAACTTTGCCTTACTGAATCTCATAATCATTTCTTTAAATATACAAATTAATAAAATTTAAGTAAATATTATAAAAATAAAATAATTCAAATCCTGTTTCATCATCTTTAAAATTACTGAACCACCTTTGCTTATTTCAAACTTGTTGCTTTTCAGTGCAGGAATACCTAATAACTCAGGGATTTGCAATACAAACTCTACCTGAAGCAAGCTCAAAGGGTTCCAAATTCTTATAAATTGTCTCGTAAAATAAGCTGGTGTAGCTGAGTCCCCATGTAGAGGGAGATGACTTTATAACTGGAAGTTCTTTGAATTAACATTCTTGCAGACACAATGCTTATTAAGGAAACGTAAATGAAATATGCTAATTTGAATACTGCATGTATATGAATAAACCCATCAGTAACAACAGCAATTGGTTAGTACTTAGACCAAAAGTAAGATTTTAGTTTTAAAGGAAAGTAAGATTTTAGTTTTAAAGGAAAGAATATTTTATCGTTGACATTGTTTAGAAGCAGACACATTTTCACTCAGTTTATTTTCAAATTCTCGACAATGCACCTCCCTATTGCCTCTGACTAGGTCTGAAGACTAACATTTGCCACTCTTTTATTTCATCTGTATGGAGACCAGGTGCTTGTATTTTTACAAAAGAATTATTTAGATTTTTTTTTTCAGTATTATCTGGTGATTTTTTTCTTTCTCAGATATAGTCTAAATATTAGTCCAAGATTAATTTTCCTGAAATGATAGCGACATCATGTCCCTATCCAGCATTAAAAAGTAGGCATTCAAAAATGCATTTATATATTTTTATAACAGTTTTGAAGTACAATTTGAATATGTGATATTTTGACATATTCTTATAAAATTTTAGTAAAGTAAAAGTTAAAAGTGTCTACTACAGATTCATTTAGTACAGATGCAGTTCTTGTTTCTTAAATATATCAGTGATAATTTACTATAAATTCAATTTTTGAATGTTGATTTTCTATTATATAATCTTTCTAACATAATAAGATTATCAGCTCAGTTTTAAAATGATTCTATCTCAGGTAGATTTCCTAGGTAGATTATAGTTTCATAGATTTAAAAATGGGCTAGAGTTTATATGCATATGAAAAAATGAATGAATTTGTTTTAGCAGGTGATACTACTAAAAGTTCTACTTTATGCCATCCCTTTACATTAAGATATAAATCTGTATAAAATTTATGGTTAAATTCTCTATGATTTTCAGAGCCATTATTTACATGCTTTTTGGATGGCAGCAGTGTAACTGTCACTTCTAGCTGGACTTCTGTTGGCTAGATGGCCCCTCTCCATGGTAATTTCATTATGCCTTAAACCTGCGTTCCAACTCCCACTGCTGCAGTTACATGCGAAATTTAAAGTGAACAGATTGTAAAGTTATGCTACCTACTACCAGCTATTCAAGGGTAATTCCCTCATTACTTTCCGGATCTAGACCAAATTGTTCTTTTATATGATTTTAAAAGGAAAAAATTTCTTAAAGGAAACAAATTCCCCATATCTGTATTCTTATACATGGGATTTCTGCTGAACTAATAATAGTAAAGAGCATCTAGGTCTCTAAAAGGCAAATCTTCTCACAATCATGAAGCTCTTTGATTTGTATTAAGTGACATTCTGTCTATGTTTCTTCAGTCAAAGTCACTTTTGAAATTATGACTTGTTTGTTCATTTAAGGCAAGTAAAATTCTCCAAACAAAGATATTAGTTAGTTTAGAACATTTTAAACCAAACTTCATTATCCAGAAGACAAACCTAAACCAGGTAATCAGAGCTCAATTGCATAAGCTCATACCATAAAACTTAAAGCGTGTGCACTCAGAACTAATTTCACTCATGTGGATCAAGCTAATTCTCAACAATGCCAGTTAATGAAAGATTACTCTATTTAATAGTCCTCTAGAATAGTGCAATGATACCCAAAAGCTTGGAAAGAGCCAGTATCTTTACAAAATGCTCAAGATATTACCTGGAAGGTCACAAATGCAGGAAAAAAAAATAGATGACTGAAAAAGAATAACCAACCACCAGAAGTCATGCTAAATCTTCATTTCAGAAGGTTATCTATTAATCCATTCTTCTTTCAGAAATCAGTGAAGCTACAAAGAAGCATGTGCTGTGTAGTAGAACAAGGAATTTGTCATTTTCCTATTCTGAGTGAAGATATTGCCAAGAATAACCAATCATCCTTAAACAACAAAAAGAAAATCAGACTACCCAAGATGAAAATTTCCATAGTGACCATATAGCTCAACTTCCTTGTTCTTTACTTGAGAGCAAAGGACTGTATAGGTTAATTAATTTGCTCATACCAGAACATTTGTTTCCTGAATCCCAGTTCAGGGCTATTTCATTTTTACCAATGATTCTTAGTCTTTTGGTGGCAAGGATCAGTCAAAGAATTTGGTGATGAAACTAATGACATTTTCACTGGGAAAATGTATGCATGTACAGTGCTTTCTACAATTTTAGGCATCTGAATTTCTCTACAATTTTATGATTAGAAGTAATTTTTGTTGTCATTATTTCCAGACCTATTTATGTTTTGATTTTGTGTTACAGTTGCCCATGAGGAATTAAACCAGGTCAGTTTTTTTCTTTTGCTGATTTTTTATAGATATCCATTATTGGTTTTGATCATAACCACATGTCTCCTTGTTCAAAATTAGTGGAGATTTCCTGGAGAACAATAGCAATAGGTATTGCCTGCATTTGTTTGACTATTTATTTTATTATATTATTTTTACTTCTGAAGAAACCTGAGGTTTTTACGTTTTCATGTTTGTAATCTGGTCAGAATGTCTATGTGTTATCATTTGACCAGAGTTGAAATCAGTAACTTTTACTAATAATTTTTAAATAATAAGTAATAAAAACAAAATAGGATGAATTCCAACCTAGCTATTTGTATGTATCCATACATAAACACACATCACACAAAGTAGCTTCTTTCAAAGTAGCTTCCCCAGTAATAACTAGGGATCTTCAAATGTGTACATGCATATGATTGGAGATCTGGCAGCATGGGGATTTTGTGCTGCTCCTTGTCATCTACTACTTAGGTTCCATGTTGCGATGGCCCCTTTTATTGTAGCTACTTGAAGAAGGCCTACCTCTGACATGCAGAAATTGTCCATTGTTCAAAGTTCAATATGCATGCCAAAGGTGCTTAGCTCTTAGGTTACCAGAATGTTGTTGTCCTGTGCACAGATGCAGTAAACAATCTACCCCATAATATATGCCACATGTAGTGTTTCCCAACACAGCTCTAGCTGTATCAAACACCTCATCTCACTGAATTATGTCAGGTGCTAGCTCTCCTTCTTGATACAGAGCCTCAAAATTACTCTCAAGAAAATAGATCCTTCCGTTTATGATTCTTTCTCCCCTATGGAGCTTCCAGGGTAATACACTGAGCTCACTTCTATGGTGTTTCTTCATCCCTGAGATTTTGCTTCTCAAATCTCCTGAGCTTTTGCCCTCTAAAGACCAACTCCTGAATCTTTAACCTAGTATTACTCCTTTCCGAATCTTAGGATTCTATTCCCTATACCTCTGTGAACTGGCAAATGTCCTTAGGGAAAAACAAAGTATGGTGAATATGTGGCTGTCCTCCTAGTGCCTCCCTTTTCCCGGGAATTTTATTCTTTCCAATCCTGGCTGCATTGACCTATCCTATCCAGTGCCTTCAAATAGAGGTTTGATGCATTTAGTTCAGTCTGGACAGCTATTTTCAGTGAGAGTTGAGTTCATTACAGGCTATTCTGTCATAGTCAAAACCTGTAGTTTCTATTTGGTATGTGTGTAGTATATATATTTAATATTAGGGATGCATATGTGTGTGTGTGTGTATATATATATGTGTGTGTGTGTGTGTGTGTGTGTATGTGTGTATATACTACACACATACCAAATAGAAACTACAGGTTTTGACTATGACAGAATAGCCTGTAATGAACTCAACTCTCACTGAAAATAGCTGTCCAGACTGAACTAAATGCATCAAACCTCTATTTATTATTATATTATATATTATACATAATATATAATATATTATATATTATACATTATGTATAATATATAATATATAATATATTATATATTATGTATAACATATAATATATAATCTATAATATATATTATATATTATGTATAATATGTAATATATATTATATATTATGTATAATATGTAATATATATTATATATTATAAATATATGTTATATTATGTATCATAGATATTTATATTATTAAATATATAATAATATATATAATATATATAATATATATTATATAATATATATAATATATTATATAATATATTATATATACTATAAATATATTAAATATATTATATAATATATATTATATATAATATATATAATATATTATATATATTATATATAATATATATTATATATATTATATAAAATATATAAAATATATAATATATATAATATATATAATATATTATATATATTATATAATATATATTATATATAATATATTATATATATGTAAAATATATATATGTTTCCCCCCACAACACACCTTTTAACCTGCCTGTTTCTTCACAAGGTAGTAATTTTGACCCATTCATGAAAGCTTCCCAAATCAGCTACACCTTGGCTGGAAATATCATCTACCATTGTTCTTCAGCATGACTATTTTCATAACCAAACTACATTCAATAAATAGAATATAAGTATTGATTTATGCTTGATTTGTTAATTAGCCTTTCTTCTTAGCTGATATACCAACTAAGTATTCTATAATTGCCACATCCAAAGGGAAAAAATGATTTTCTATTCTAATGTTGAAGTCTGACTAGTCAGATACATTGAATTTCAGGGGTGTTAACAATTTAGTTACTACAGAGTAATAAAATGGACAAGTCCCACAAGCAAATGTGACACTTTTCTGGCAATAAAGATAATTTTCAAATACTGTTCCAAATATTTGAGATATCTGTTTTCAATATAATAACTTGAAGAAAAACAATAAAATTAGGTTGACTACTTGACCTTTTTCAGTCTTTTTTTTTTTAAATGGAGTCTTGCTCTGTCGCCCAGGCTGGAGTGCAGTGGCACGATCTCAGCTCACTGCAACCTCCGCCTCGGTGGGTTCAAGCAATTCTCTGCCTCAGCCTCCCGAGTAGCTGGGATTACAGGTGCCCACCACCTCACCCAGCTAATTTTTTTGTATTTTTAGTAGAGGCAGGGTTTCACTATGTTGGCCAGGCTGATCTTCAACTCCTGACCTCGTGATCCACCCACTTCGGCCTCCAGAAGTGCTGGGATTACAGGCGTGAGCTACCGCGCCCGGCCCTTTTTCAGTCTTTAACTTCATTTTCATATAGCTAATTGGCTATTTTTAAGGAAGCCTCCCTTTATTTAATGTTTTATGCCATTCTTTAGTCAGATTTCAACTAAAGTAAATTTGGTAAAGAAAGTTATATTACACAATTTATTTTACTTTGTATGTGTCAACTTCTTGTCTACTTAGTATATAAAATAATCATTTATTTCCTTCAGTCTTGAACACAATTTCTAGGATGCCCTTGGTATGCCTTAGAAAGTATGTGTGTATGTATATATATATATATGTGTATATATATATATATATATATATATGTGTATATATATATATATATACACACACATATATATGTGTGTGTATATATATATATATATATATATATATATATTTACTTTTGCTGTTGCATATGGCAGTTGTTCAGGTATGTCTAGAACTATAATGTCCATCTATTGAGTACCTATCACCTGAATTTTAAATTTTGGAAGACCTGAATACAAATAATTATATCGTTTTGTCAAAACATAGTTCACAGCAGATATGGATTTCTCCATAAATATTTATTTCAATATGAGAAAAATATATTTGTCTGAGATAATGTATAATACCAGATAATTATTACTCATTGGAAATGTGTGTGACTTTTCTTGAGTTAGTACTTTTACATTTCTAATTAAGGCATTACATTTTGTTTTCTTTTTTCTTTGCTAACCTTTATTTCAGTGATAGATATTTTAGAACAAGTTGAGAAAACCTTTTTTGCTTTCAATATTGCTCTTCCTCTAGGGACCATAATCAATAAAACATGGAGACTAGAAAAATAAAAGGAAAAAAATATAAAGTGTTTCATTCCATAATAACTTACTGTGGTCTAAGACCTTGCAATACTTATCCATAATTTTTTAAAAAGATAACCCTTTTCTCTCAAGTAATAGTACATCAACAGTATTATGTACATTATTATATTTACTTACAGGTGTATATATTTTAATACCAATATACATTTATTCACATTTATAGTAAAAGAGGACATGTCCTATCCTGAGTCATATACCTAGGAACAACAGAAAAGGACAAAAATCAACAATGTTTCCCCAAGAGGGAGGACAGGAGCTAAGAGAAATGGGAAGAAATGAAAGGCAATGTCTCAGCCCACTGCAAGAAATTTGGTTTTATTTTAAGATTCAGGAACTATGGCAGGGCTTTAAGCTAATGAAGAGTATGACCTGATTTATGTTTTGAAAATGTCATTATAGGAGCTGTGTGGAGATTAGATTGGGATGAAAGAAGAGTGAAAATGGCGAGGCCAGCTAGGAAGGTACTGCAGTAAGGCAAGTGAAGATGATGCTGGTAAAGAATGGAATGGTAGCTGTGGAATTTGAAAGAAGTATATAAATGTGATGTAAAGTTTGCATTCGGAGCTAACAAAACTTTCAGATAAATTGAGTAGGGGGGTAAAAAACATGATCAAATCGGATATCCAGATTTTTGGCCTGAGAAGCTGTGAATGTGAGCAGCTTGCATTTTGGCTATTTGAGCTCCTTTGTTCTTTGTATCAACCGGAAGATATCTGGGCACTTTCCAGGCATTGCCTCTCAAACACTTGCGTGGCGAACCACAACCATTACAGATGTTCCACTTCATTAGAATAGTTATGGGCTTTCACAGTTTAAAAATAGTCTTGGCTTTAGTGAGGGAACATAAGCTGCAATCAGCCTCTTTCTGAGAGGGCCTGGTACAACTGTTCCATACATATCACTCACTAAATTCTTTTCTGAATCACCATCTTCTGCTCCCAATTTCTGAGATTGTAGTCCTTTCCACCACTCGCCAGATTTCTTTTGGGGATATTCACTCAAAGGTCTTCTCTTTTGCTTAGCAGGATTTCAAGTTTGTATTTCAAGACTTTTGTGAAATTATTTACATTTTATATTTTTCTGCTATTTCAAAAAGATGCAGGTAAAAATGTGCACACCCGTGCACAAATCTTGAATTCAGTCTATAAATGTGCTCATCAACCAGTATTTTGATTGATTCTGTTCTAGAAACACAGTTCAGGTAGTATATCAGGATTCTCTTTGGAGTTTTGTTGTTGTTGAACATTTGTTGGTTTAGTTCAACAGCCTCTTTAAATCTAACACACAGAAGATTCTATATCCCCCTTTAATAATAGTTTTCCATCTTGCCTATGCCTCAAAATCAAGTTGTTTTGCAAACATAGACATGCCCAGGTCCTTCTCAGCTGTGCAGAATCGAAATTGTAAGGACATAAATCTGAAACTGTATTTTTATTAAGTTTGCAAGCAACTATGATGAACAGCTTGAACTGAGAACTATTACCTTAGGGAGATATGACCTTCTACTTCTCTATCATTTTAGAATTATTTTATGTAATGAGTGATGTCACCCATGAGACTATGTTGTAAATATGATCCGTGTGAGGCAGAAAATAAGTTGGATAACTTAGCTACTGATTTAGATAATTTGGATGCAGTCCTTTTTAACTCCACAAATTAGGAGATAATCATCCCTCTCTGTGCAGATGACATGGTTTCATTATGAAGCAGCCTTAAGCTATTGAACCTTTCACTAATTATTGTCAGGATAATAGCTTAGCAGCAGCTGAGCTGAAAAAAAGCCCTAATGTTTGGTAAATATTTTCTAAAGTTTCACCGGCTAATATTATACAGCCTCACCCAGAGGTCAAATTATTTATGACTAAATTGTCAGTTATTCTTCAGGGACCCAAATAGGTTCCAATTGGGGTAAAATTGTCCAGTTGGAAACTTTTAACCTTACATAGTTAATTATCTGATAAGAATCCCAGCATCACACTCATATTTTCACAATTGCAATGTGGATTTATCTGCTAAGCGTTTAACATGGAAAGCAGAATAGGTACAATACAAGAGGATGAATGAACACATTATATTTCAAAATAATGTGTATTGGCTTGAATCATACTCCAGGTACTCAGTGACCATGTGATGCTGATCAATTAATATATGCCTTTTGATCCACTATTCTCATCTCTAAAAGAAAATAGCAATACATTCCTACAATAGTTATTGTGAGGATCAAATAATCTTATAAGCAGCAGAGTTGCTAGCATATCATCAGGCTCCATCTCTAGCAGCTGTTAACATTATGCTCATGCTAACAACAAAATTGCAACACCTGCAGATCAATGATTCCTTTTCTATTCTTCTTGATGCACCCACTTATTTTCCTAATATCTCCCCTTTTCCTCCTTATACTATTCTTCACTACCATCACCTTCTAGAACTCACACAAACATATTGCTGCAAAACCTGACAACTGGAAATAATAGTTGCGCTTCTCTTCCTTTTCACATTACTACTCTAACATGGTAGTTCTATTTGACTCTTTTTATTTATTAATGTTGACATTCTAGCCTATTGAGGTCTCCCTTTTTCGAGAATTTGATTTATAGAGTTCTGGTAGGTTTGTGTAGCAGTCTTTATCTCTAGGAAAATGTTCTGCTTTATTTTGTAGGAGTTCTAGTTTTGACATTTGGTGACATTTTCTCTACTGTTTTTTGTTTCTTTAGACAGTGTACCAGACGGGTGTGATGTTTCATTTGTTTTATTCAGCCTGTTTTATATCTCAAAAAACCCTACAAAGTTCTCATCTCACAATACATTCTTGTTTTGGTTTTCATTTGCACTACATTTTGCTTTGCCTTGAATTATTTTCTTGTTTACTAGGATATGGGAACTTGATTTTTTCTGCCACAGGCATCAGGCAAAAATATATTTGCTGCTATTTTTTTTAAATAAGACATTGCCCTCCTGCAGTAATCATTATGTTGTCAGTTATTTATTTTTTGAAACACTATAAAATAAAATGTCTTAATTCAATTAAAACAATTTTGTCACTATTTTGCAACTTGTTCTATGTTTATTTATACGGGGTATTAGGCAGGCAAAATTTTGTTATAGAATCTTGGCTTTTAGCAAATTTTCTACCCTCATCTTGAATTTGCAACAAACATTATTATCCAAAATTACTGATAGAAAAAATGTCTGCATTTTTATAGCACAAGAAATGTATTTTTAGCATTGCTGAAATGAACACGATTAAGGCAACACTTTCTGGCGAGCAGTGGGAATCACTGACAGTAATTGGACAGCACTTAACCAAGACGGATGCTCCGCCTCACAACTATTCACACGGCATCTTACAAGGCAAGAGTAACATTTCTTCCTACAGTGCCAGGGTCAGAAAAAAATCACAGTGTGTAACATTCTTGCAGGGCTTGAAAGTTTAAAGTATTTAGTCATTTCTTTATTCACATGTCAATCATCTGCTATTGCTCTCTCAAAATTTACATTTTGGGTGTCTCCAGCTATTTAACTCACAACCGTCATACTTAGTCTGCTACTGGAATTGTACATTGCTAAACTAAGGACACCCACTCCTGTCATCTGTGTGAATTTATGCAAGTAATCTCACCCCCATACATACACACACTTCACCATTTGAGTTATTTTATTGGTACTTTGTTAATAATGCCAACATTATTTTTATGGTGGTTGATAACAAATTTGATAAGCATTAAAGCCAGAATTTTCTGCTATAATGTGGAGATAAATTCTTGTTCCACTATATATACATATATATATTATATATAGTATATGTATATGTATGTATATATGTGTATGTATGTATACATACACTATATGTATATGTATATATACATATATATACATATAGTGTATGTATGTATACATACACTATATGTATATGTATATATACATATATATACATATAGTGTATGTATATGTATACATGTGTATACATGTATATATATATACATATATACATGTATATGTATATATGTATAAAGTGTATGTATTGTATACATACACTATATATAGTATACATAAACTATATATAGTCTATATATAGTGTATGTATAGTGTATATATAGTCTATATACATATATGAATACATAGTATATGTATATGTATGTGTATATAGTATATGTATATGTATGTAAGTATATATACACTATATATAGTATATGTATAGTATATATAGTATATATACGTATATACGTATATATACTATATATACACTATATATACTATATATACACTATATATACGTATATACGTATATATACTATATATACATATATAGTGGAACAATAATTTATCTCCACATTATAGCAGAAAGTTCTGACTTCAATGCTTATCAAATTTGTATCAACCACCATAAAAATAATGTTGGCATTATTAACAAAGTACCAATAAAATAACTCATATGGTGAAGTGTGTGTATGTATGGGGGTGAGATTACTTATGTAAATTCACACAGATGACAGGAGTGGGTGTCCTTAGTTTAGCAATGTACAATTCCAGTAGCAGACTAAGTATGACGGTTGTGAGTTAAATAGCTGGAGACATATATACTATATATATATACTGAAAAAAGCCCTAATGTTTAGTGTATATATATATATATATATACTATATATGTGTATATATGTATATATGTGTGTGTATATATATACGCATATATATTTTTTAAAATATATATTTTTTAAACATATATATTTAAGAGAAGTATGGTAAGGGAAGATTCCAAATACTTTTTAATGCAGCTGATTTTCCACAGAATATATTCAAACATGAGCTAAGAGATGCAAAGAAGAGATAGTGTAATTAAAGCACTATTTTCGCTGCTCCCTATTTTAAGATTCTCTCAAAAGAAAGGTTAGAGCATTTTATAAAAGATGAGCAGTAATCACACCAAAGTTAACCATCCACGAGCCTTCTTAAAGAAAAGGGAAACACTCTTCCAGTTTCTCCTAAGAGGAGTCTGGACATTTTGGCTGAATTTGTTCATCTGTAGGTAACCTTAACAAGATTATCTATGCAATTCTCTTGTGTTTTTTAACTATTTCAATTTGCCAAGTCTTTTTAAAAATCTTTTCTTCATAAAATGTAATTTGTGTATTTAAAAAAAGTAAATGTTAAAAGCCGTTTGGGGGGCCAGGCTAAGCTCTCCTATCTACCACCCACACCCCTTGACATCATTTTTGATATTCTCTTGACAAAGTTTTAAACCCCCAGCTATTTCATTTCACCTGCCCTTAAGACTTCAATGTTGATTGAAATTAAGTGTCTTTCTCCTGCTTATCCAAGCTAGCTGTCATGCCGGAAGTAATCACATGGCCTAGAAGAATAGCACCAATGTAAATTTCTACTCACTAAGCATAGTGCCTTCTAGGGTTTGATCAGCAATATTACCATTTCCCTTGTGAATTTACTCTCTAATTCTTCTTAATCACTATTTGCAACCTTCTTGACTTTTCTCCAAGCTCCTTAGCAGATAACCTCAGAGCCACATTAAAGACAGTAAGTCATCTTGTTAAAAGGTCTTCAATTTTGCATCATCAAATTAACAAATGTGTATTTATCTGGACCTCTTTCTTCATTATTTCAATGGAATGACTCTTATCTTCTGCCTTTATCACATCCTCTTCTTCCTCTCAGCTGCCTGGTTATATATTCCTTCAGAGGCCCTGGATACACATGTGTCCTTTTACACTGTACTCTTTCTTTCATTGCTGTTATATGGTAAATTCTTTCTCAAACACACAAAAAAGACTCTTTTTTTGACTTTCTGTTTTTGTCCAGGTCATACCTAGCTTTTATTTCACACTCTCATTTTTTATGAACATTTGTTTGTACTTGCTGCCCTTATTCTTAATTTTTAACTTAGTGCTCAATTCAATTTAATCTGACTTCTGACTTGTCATTCCAGTGGCACTGCCTTTGCTAAGGTCTCCAAGACACTTCTCCAGGACACCTCTTCTTAGAAGTCTTATAGACATATTAACCAATCTGTCCAAAATTGAACTCATAAATTTTTTTCTCCCCATACCAGTCCATCCTATAGAATTCCCTAACTGTGCTATATCATATAACCAGTTTCTCAAGGTGGAAAACTGTATGGCATATTTGCATCTTTCTTCTAGCCTTTAAGTCTGATTAATAAAAGATATAACAAATCTTCACAGAAAGACCTCAGTAAATATTAAGTATTTAAAATAGTAATAACAGAAATGATCACATATGGCATCCATTAACTATTCATGTAAATTTATATTTTACCTGTGTTTTTCTCAAGAGGCTTCGAGTTCATTGAAGAAAATCTTTTGAAATTGACTTCTGAGTTCCTAATTTCTATCACAGTATATTTAGAAGAATTCTCCATTTCAATTTTAATGTAGAGAAAGAATACTAAGCTGTATTCCCACCTTACAACAGACAGCAAATAAAAGTACAGATGGGCAGATGGATAAGAGGGAGAAATACAAAATATGCAATCAAAAAAAAAAGTATTTAATAAACCTCAATATAAGAGTACATTGCCATAAAATAAAACTTTAAAAAGTTATGAACACATATCAATAAATTTTAATTCTTATAAAGTTAAAATAAGTAAGAGGCAAACATCATTCTGAGGTAAACTAAAAAACAAATCTCAAATTGTTAAAATATTGCAATGATAGAAAGAATCTTGCAATAGGTTCTTTCAAAACATTTTGATGAAAGGGTTTATTTTTTCCTAGGATTGTACAGACTTACATGGTGCAATCTGGTAGATATCAAGATAGGCATAATCTGCGCCCACCACTGGAATGCAGACATTTCTTGATATATTAGGCATATATATGAATACCCCAATTCCACCTGCATGGTGGAAATGCATTGGGGGTTTCGGTGAAGGCAAAGGTATGCATATCCACGTACACTGTGGCAAAATTAATGGAGATATTGGCAAGCTACTGACATCCAAGACCAGATTATACTGACAACACAGGAAATCAGAAAAACCTGCTTTTTGGACAAGATTCCATGAGACTGGAAAAAAAAATAACACTTCTTTGGTGTCAGATGAAATGTGTGGTGCAATGTGAGAAGGCCAATCATTTCACTTTTATATCAAAGACAGAATGACATGAAAGCAATTCAATACTCAGTCAAAACAGAAGCCATGCCCATGGAAAGTTAAATGGAAAATGGAAACCTTGACAAGAGCATGCAGCCAATGCCTGTAAAGAAGATTTAATATGAATAATTGGAACTAATTGAGCTATAATAATGAATAATAGCAATCTGAATAGGTGAAGAAAACCTAATACACAGATATACCCAGTTGTGTATGAAAAGAGAATTTCTCTAGACATATTGTCAACCACATGAGAAATACTTCTGAAGATGCTGTTAGATAACATGAAAAGAAATAACTGAGAAGACTTGGAGTTACAGCAGTAGCAGGTGAGAAAAAAAAACTCATCAAATTATGGTTATTGCCATTTGTAAATTTTCTTTGTAGCTATAACCTGATAAGGCATAGAGAACTCTTACATGCACACAATCACACAAAGTATACACATATAGCCTAAGAGTTCCACATAGAAACATAGGAAAAGTTCTAAAAGTGAATACAATGAATGGATAATGGTGATTAATTCCATATGATGAAATGCCACGTCAGTTTAATTTTTATTTATATATGTTTTACATTTTCAGTACTTCCACAATGAATATGTGTGTACATTTATAAATGTTATGATAAACAAGAGAGTGCTATTATGCAAAATGAAAACAAAAATAAGCATATATTCATTCAGTTTTCTGAATTTTTACTTATCCTATTACTGGTAGACACTACAATAACAATTTATCAAAATTTTGTATCTTTAAGTCTGAATTAGTTTTTTTCTAACATCAGCATGTTATATTCATATTCTCTATATTAGTGTGTGTTTTTAAAGCAAGCAGTTAAGAAGAGTGAATGATAATTGATGTATTTGCCATTTATTAAAAGAAGCAGCTCTGATCTGCTGCAGATTTTTAAAGAGCACAATTTTAAATAAGAAAACAGCAGCGCTGAGGAAGAAACAGTGAGACCTAAATATTGGAATAAATTTGATCTCTTTTCTCTCTGTAAACCAGCATTTTCTCTCATAAATTTAGGTTTCTAGTGTATACATATAAAAAGGAAACATCGACTTCTGGCACTAAGCTCCGTTTTCCATAAACCAATAGCAGAGTCTCTCATCAGTTTTCTTCTGAGGCTTGTTCCTGGCTGTATTCCCATGTTTGAAGACCTGGTTCAGGTGTGCTAAAGCCTATGAAACATGTTCTACAGACTACTTGGAGAGTTTCCCCAAAACAAAAATAGAGCTAGAATTCATCTGTTTTAGCAAACAAATAAGATAATTTGGCGGGGGTGGGGGAGGAAGGTGGGTAGTTACTCTATGCTTCTGTGTTCAGAACTGCCATGTGGCAATACAAATATTTGAATATTTTCCCAAGAATGTACACTAAATAAATACTGTTCTGGATTTTAACAGGATTTTTTAAAATTCCAAAACTATGCTTTTATGTAATTTCAAATTTCAAACTAGAAATGGAACTGCTGGAGTTGCTAAATGAAAAAAAACATTAGCTTTGGTTAATATAAAATATATAATAAAATAAATATTCTTAGTGAACATTCAAAATGCTGCTCCACAAGACAATTGGGAAACTTGTTTCTCATCTTATATATGAGGCCCATTATTTGATAAATTAATTTGTAACATTTTAGTTTCCTGAATAAAAATGCCCTTAGAAATTTTTCTTCAAAATAAATATTTTATGTATAAACAGGCATTTATTTAGTCATTAGATACTCAGATGTGTTGAGAAATGTTTTTCCTCATATGAAAGTATAATTATTTGTTTAAATTAGCATTCTAAAGTTTGATGATTAGGATTTTTTTTGTATTAAAAGCCTTGTAAATTAAACCCAACTTGTGAATTTTAAGAATAAAGTTCATAGATAGATTTAAGAGTATCAAACAGAATACCAACCTAATAATTTTTTTTCTTCACTAGGACTTTGAAAATAGAGGCCTGGCAGACAAACAAACAAATAAAAATCAAAGAGCATAGAATTATCTGTGATTTAGGAAATAATAAGAAAATAAAAGTCATTTTCCTGTGAGATAATCGAACTTAATGAATTTTTCTAATATCTATTTATTGGCTCCTATGTTAGACTACATATGATTCTTTACCTGTGGTCTACTACAGAACATACCCTTTCCCTAATCATTGGATTATAAATACTTTTGGTCCCAACTGGACCAACTTTATGTTTCATATTCTGAGTGCACTATTTCTGGTACCAGTTGTTGCTATGTAGAGTCATGCATTGCAGTAGCAGTTGAACACGAAGGAGCTAATGCCTTTTCTAAATGCTTTTTATGGATGTCTTAGCCTGAAGATGGAGAAACGGTGATGACGGTAGAGATGGAGGTGACTCTATCAGGAGGTTTTGGTTTTGCCACTTCCCTATTAATAGAGACCTATTTTCTTCAACACTTTAAAAGTTGGATTAAAATGTATCTCAAAGGAAAAAAATATTGTCTCATCTGAATTTTAATGTTTCTCTATTTCACACTCTCTAAATGTGACTTATATATACCCTGTGTATAGATTCTGAAATATAATTCACTTGTTCCGATTTTAATTTGTATAATAACATTGAATTTCCTAACTCCTGAGTGGAAGATTCACTTTTCTTATATTTTCATAAGGCATGCTACATAAGAACATACCATAGAATTATGACATTAGGTTACAATAATCTATTTCTTTACCTTTTAGACTATAAGCTTCTCAGGATAATAATTTTTAAAATTATCTTTCTAGTTATATTACCTATCAGAGTTTGTTACATAGTATTAGAACAATAAATACTTGATAAATTAAGATATTGATTTTTCAGAGATTTAATGAAGCACAAATAAGTATTAAAAATTGAGTGATGTAGTTAATATTAACACAATTATACTTTTTTATCAAGAAATATTTTTCACACTTTCTGATTTTTCTGTATTTTATATATTTTGCTATCATAGTAGGGTTACTAATCTCTTTTTAAAAATTTGTATTGATGCATAATATTTATACCAATTTATGGGGTGCATGTGATCTTTTGATACAAACAGACAATGTGTAATAATCAAATTACAGTATTTAGGATATCCATCACCTCAAACATTTATCATATCTATTTGTTGGAACATTTCAAATCTTCTCTTCTAGCTATTCTGAAATATACAATATATTGTTATTAACTACAGTCACCCTACTCTGCCATCCATCATTAGAAATTTTTTCCGGTGGCGGGCGCCTGTAGTCCCAGCTACTCGGGAGGCTGAGGCAGGAGAATGGCGTGAACCCGGGAAGCGGAGCTTGCAGTGAGCCGAGATTGCGCCACTGCAGTCCGCAGTCCGGCCTGAGCGACAGAGCGAGACTCCGTCTCAAAAAAAAAAAAAAAGAAATTTTTTCTTCTATCTAACTGTATTTTGTACATACATTACAAACCAACTTGTCTTCATCTCTTTCTCCCCTCCCTGGGGCAATCCTTCCCAGTCTCTGGTAGCCATCATTCTACACTACCTCCATGAGGTCAAATTTTTAGCTTTCACATATGAGTGAGAGTATGAGGTATTTCCTTTTTGTGCCTGGCTTATATTATTTAACATAATGATTTCCAGTTCCATCCATGTTGTCACAAATGACGGGATTTCATTCCTTTTTAATAGCTGAATAGTGTTTTATTGTGTGTATATATCACATTTTCTGTATCCATTCATCTGTTAATGCTATTGTGATTTCATATCATACCTATTATGAATTGTGTTGTAATGAACATGGGAGTGAAGTTATAACTTTGATATACTGATTTTCTTTCCTTTGGATAAATATACAG
Source organism: Homo sapiens (assembly GCF_000001405.40). Classification (NCBI taxonomy): domain Eukaryota; kingdom Metazoa; phylum Chordata; class Mammalia; order Primates; family Hominidae; genus Homo; species Homo sapiens. The sequence continues at coordinate 160,343,580 of NC_000004.12, read as the reverse complement.
TAGTGAGATTGCTGGATCATATGGTAGTTTCATTTTTAGTTTTTCAAGAAACCTCCACACTGTTTTCCATAATGGGTGTACTAATTTACATTCCCACCAACAGTATAGAAGAATTCCCTTTTCTCCGCATCCTTGCCAGCATTTGTTATTTTCTGTCTTTTTGAAAATAGCCACTTTAACTGGGGTAAGATGATATCTCATTGTGGTTTTGATTTGAATTTTCCTGATGATTAACGATGATAAGCACTTTTCATATACCTGTTGGCCATTATTTGTATGTCTTTTTTGAGAAATGTCTATTCAGATCTTTGGCTGCTCTTTTTCAAAACCTACCTCTGAAGATATAGCTGAAAATACCACATTCATTATCTGTCTTATCTACACTGTACACATGTAAAATAGGGTTTTTTCTTTAAGCTTAAACTTTTACAATATCTAGTTCTATATTTATCTCCAAATAAATATAAAGACAAGGCTCACACTCCTTTTAAAGCTATTGAATTAGAAATCAATGAATTTACTATAATTGGGTCAGTGTCAACTAATTGAGAGTGTGGGTCATACTAATACTGTTAAATAACAATCAATATTCAAATTTAAAGAAAGTTGTAACAGAATAGTTTACCTAAAAACCATCATAGGTGGCTGGCAAGATGGCCAAATAGGAACAGCTCCAGTCTGCAGCTCCCAGCAAGATCAACGCAGAAGGTGGGTGATTTCTGCATTTCCAACTGAGGTACCTGGCTCATCTCATTGGGACTGGTTAGACAGTGGGTGCAGCCCACAGAGGGTGAGCTGAAGCAGGGTGGGGTGTTGCCTCACCTGGGAAGCACAAGGGGTCAGGGAACTCCCTCCCCTAGCCAAGGGAAGCCACAGGGGACTGTGCCATAAGGAACGGTGCACTCTGGCACAGATATTAGGCTTTTCCCATGGTCTTTGCAACCTTCAGACCAGGAGATTCCCTTGGGTGCCTACACCACCAGGGCCCTGTGTTTCAAGCACAAAACTGGGCAGCTGTTTGGGCAGAAACTGAGCTACCTGCAGGAGTTTTTTTTTTCATACACCAGTGGCACCTGGAAAACCAGCAAGACAGAATTGTTCACTCCCATGGAAAAGGGGCTGAAGCCAGGGAGCCAAGTGGTCTAGCTCAGTAGATCCCACCCCCACAGAGCCCAGCAAGCTAAGATCCACCGGCTTGAAATTTTTGCTACCAGCATAGAAGTCGGAAGTTGACCTGGGACCCTGGAGTTTGGTGAGAGGAGGGGCATCCACCATTAATAAGGCTTGATTAGGCAGTTTTCCCCTCACAATGTAAACAAAGCCACCTGGAAGTTCAAATGGGGTGGGACCCACCACAGCTCTGCAAAGCCATTGCAGCCAGACTACCTCCCTAGATTCCTACTCTCAGGGCAAGGCATCTCTGAAAGAAAGGCAGCAGCCCCAGTCAGGGGCTTATAGATAAAACTCCCGTCTCCCTGGGACAGAGCACCTGGGGGAAGGGCTGGCTGTGGGCACTGCTTCAGCAGACTTAAATGTTCCTGCCTGCTGGCTCCGAAGACAGCAGTGGATCTCCCAGCACAGCACTCGAGCTCTGCTAAGGGACAGACTGCCTCCTCAAGTGGGTCTCTGACTCCATGCCTCCTGACTGGGAGACTCTACCAGCAGGGGTTGATAGACACCTCATACAGGAGCTCCAACTGGTATTGGGTGGGTGCCCCTCTGGCATGAAGCTTCCAGAGGAAGAACAGGCAACAATCCTTGCTGTTCAGCAGCCTCTGCTGGTGATACCCAGGCAAACAGGTTCTGTAGTGGGCCTCCAGCAAACTCCAGCAGACCTGTAGCAGAGAGGCCTGACCGTGAGAAGGAAAACTAACAAACAGAAAGGAATAGCATCAAGATCAAAAAAAGGACGTCCGCACAAAAACCCCATCTAAAGGTGACCAACATCAAAGACCAAAGGTAGATAAATCCACGAAGGTAAGGAAAAACCAGCACAAAAGGCTGAAAATTCCAAACACCAGAACACCTCTTCTCCTCCAAAGGATCACAACTACTTGCCAGCAAGGGAACAAAACTGGACGGAGAACAAGTTTGATGAATTGACAGGAATAGTCTTCAGAAGGTGGGTAGTAACAAACTCTTCTGAGCTAAAGGAGCATGTTCTAACCCAAAGCAAGGAAGCCAAGAAACTTGAAAAAAGGTTAGAGGAATTGCTAACTAGAATAACCAGTTTAGAGAAGAAGATAAATGACCTGATGGACCTGAAAAACACAGCGTGAGAACTTCATGAAGCATACACAAGTATCACTCGCTGAATCAATCAAGCAGAAGAAAGATTTTCAGAGATTGAAGATCAACTTAATGAAATAAAGTGTGAAGACAAGATTAGAGAAAAAAGAATGAAAAGGAATGAATAAAGCCTCAAAGAAATATGGGACTGTGTGAAAAGACCAAACTTACATTTGATTGGTGTACCTGAAAGTGATGGGGAGAATAGAACCAAGTTGGAAAACACTCTTCAGGATATTCCAGGAGAACTTCTCCAACCTAGAAAGACAGCCCAATATTCAAATTCAGGAAATACAGAGAACACTACAAATACACTCCTGAGAAGAGCAATCCCAAGACACATAATCCTCAGATTTATCAACGTTGAAATGAAGGAAAAAAACGTTAAGGGCAGCCAGAGAGAAAGGTCAGGTTACCCACAAAGGGAAGCCCATCAGACTAACAGTGTATCTCTCTGCAGAAACTGTACAAGCCAGAAGAGAGTCTGGGGGCCAATATTCAACATTCTTAAAGAAGATAAATTTCAACCCCGAGTTTTATAGCCAGCCAAACTAAGCTTCATAAGCAAAGGAGAAATAAAATCCTTTACAGACAAGAAAATGCTGAGAGATTTTTGTCACTACCAAGCATGTCTTACAAGAGCTCCTGAAGGAAGCACTAAATATGGAAAGGAAACACCGGTACCAGCCACTGCAACAACTTAGCAAATTGTAAAGACCACCGACACTATAAAGAACCTGCATCAACTAATGGGCAAAATAACCAGCTAGCATTATGAGAACAGGATCAAATTCACACATAACAATATTAACCTTAAATGTAAGTGGACTAAATGTACCAATTAAAAGGCACAGACTGGCAAATTGGACAAAGGGTCAAGACCCATTGATGTGCTGTATTCAGGAGACCCATCTCACATGCAAAGATGCACATAGGCTCAAAATAAAGGATGGAGGAATATTTACCAAACAAATGGAAAGCAATAAAAAAGCAGGGTTGCAATCCTAGTCTCGGATAAAACAGACTTTAAACCAACAAAGATCAAAAAAGACAAAGAAGGGCATTACATAATGGTAAAGGGATCAACACAACAAGAAGAGCTAACTCTCCTAAATATATATGCACCAAATACAGGAGCACCCAGATTCATAAAGCAAGTTCTTAGAGACCTACAAGGAGACTTAGACTCCCACACAATAATAGTGGGAGACTTTAACACCCCACTGTCAATATTAGACAGATCAACAAGACAGAAAATTAACAAGGATATTCAGGACTTGAACTCAGCTCTGGATGAAGGGGACCTAATAGACATCTACAGAACTCTCCACCCCAAATCAACAGAATATACATTCTTCTTGGCAACACATCACACTTATTCTAAAATTGACCATATAATTGGGAGTAAAACATCCCTCAGCAAATGCAAAAGAACAGAAATCACAATAAACAGTCTCTCAGACCCCAGTGCAATCAAATTAGAACTCAGGATTAAGACACTCACTCAATGCCGCACAACTACATGGAAACTGAACAACCTGTTCCTGAATGACTACTGAGTAAATAACGAAATTAAGGCAGAAATAAAGAAGTTCTTTGAAACCAATGAGAACAAAGAGACAACATACCAGAATCTCTGGGACACAGTTAAGCAGTGTTAAGAGGGAAATTTATAGCACTAAATGCCCACAGGAGAAAGTGGGAAAGATCTAAAATCAAAACTGTAACATCACAATTAAAAGAACTAGAGAAGCAAGGGCAAACAAATTAAAATGCTAGCAGAAGACAAGACATAACTAAAATCAGAGCAGAACTCAAGGAGATAGAGACATGAAAAACCCTTCAAAAAATCAATGAATTCAGGAGCTGGTTTATTGATAAGATTAACAAAATAGACCACTAGCCTGACTAAAAGAAGAAAAGAGAGAAGAATAAAATAGATGCAATAAAAATGATAAAGGCATATCACCACTGTCCCCACAGAAATACAAACTACCAGCAGAGAATACTATAAACCCTCTATGCAAAGAAACTAGAAAGTCTAGAAAAAATAGACACTTTCCTGGACACATACACCCTTCAAAGACTAAACCAGGAAGAATTCAAATCCCTGAATAGACCAATAACAAGTTTTGAAATAGAAGCAGTAATTAATAGCTTACCCACCAAAAAATGCCCAGGACAAGATGGATTCACAGTTGAATTCTACCAGAGGTACAAAGAGAAGGTACTACCATTCCTTCTGAAACTATTCCAAACACTAGAAAAAGAGGGACTCCTCCCTAATGCATTTTATGAGGCCAGGATCATCGTGATATCAAAACCTGGCAGAGACACAACAAAAAAAAGAAAATTTCAAACAAATATCCGTGATGAACATTGATACGAAAATCCTCAATAAAATACCAGCAAACCGAATACAGCAGCACATCAAAAAGCTTATCCACCATGATCAAGTTGGCTTCATACCTGGAATGCAAGGCTGGTTTAACATATGCAAATCAATAAATGTAATCCATCACATAAACAGAACCAATGACAAAAACCACAGGATTATCTCAATAGATGAAGAAAAGACCTTTGATAAAATTCAACACCCCTTCATGCTAAAAACTCTCAATCAACTTGGTATTGATGGAACATATCTCAAAATAATAAGAGCTATTTATGACAAACCCACAGCCAATATCATACTGAATGGGGAAAAGCTGGAAGCATTCACTCTGAAAACGGGCACAAGACAAGGCTGCCCTCTCTCACCACTCCTGTTTAACATAGTATTGAAAGTTCTGGTCAGGAGAATCAGGCAAGAGAAAGAAATAAAATGTATTCAAATAGGAAGAGTGGAAGTGTCAAATTGTTTCTGTTTGCAGCTGACATGATTGTATATTTAGAAAACCCCATAGTCTCAGCCCAAAATCTACTTAAGCTGATAAACAACTTCAGCAAGTCTCAGGATACAAAATCAATGTGCAAAAATTACAAGCATTTCTATACACCAAAAATAGACTAACAGAGCCAAATCACGAGTGAACTCCCATTAACAATTGCTATGAAGAAAATTAAATACCTAGGAATACAACTCACAAGGGACATGAAGGACCTCTTCAAGGAGAACTACAAATCACTGCTCAAGGAAGTAAGAGAGGAAACAAACAAATGGAAAAACATTCCATGCTCATGGATAGGAAGAATCAATATCGTGAAAATGGCCAGACTGCCCAAAGTAATTTATGGATTCAATGCTATCCTTATCTATCTCCCATTGACTTTCTTCATGGAATTAGAAAAAGCTACTTTAAATTTCATATGGATCCAAAAAAGAGCCCATATAGTCAAAACAATCCTAAGCAAATTAACAAAGCTGGAGGCATCACACTACCTGACTTCAAACTATTCTACAAGGCTACAGTAACCAAAAGAGCATGGTACTGCTACCAAGCAGAGATGTAGACCAATGGAACAGAACAGAGGCCTCAGAAATAATGCCACACAACTACAATAATCTCTTCTTTGACAAACCTGACAAAAACAAGCAATGAGGAAAGGATTTTTTATTTAATAAATGGTGTTGGGAAAACTGGCTAGCTATATGCATAAAATAGGAACTGGATCCCTTCCTTACACCTTACACAAAAATTAACTCAAAATGGATTAAAAGACTTAAACGTAAAACATAAAACCACAAAGTCCCCAGAAGAAAACCTAGCCAATACCATTCAGGACATATGCATGGGTAAAGACTTTATGACTAAAACAACAAAAGCAATGGCAACAAAAGCCAAAATTGAGAAATGGGATCTAATTAAACTAAAGAGCTTCTGCACAGCAAAAGAAACTATCATCAGCGTAAACAGGCAACCTACAGAATGGGAGAAAATTTCTGCAATCTATCCATCTGACAAAGGGCTTATATCCAGAATCTACATAGAACTTAAACAAATTTACAAGAAAAAACAACCCCATCAAAAACTTGGCAAAGGATAGGAACAGAAATTTCTCAAAAGAAGACATTTATGTGGCCAAAAACTATATGAAAAAAAAAAACTCATTATCACTGGTCATTAGAGAGATGCAAATCAAAACCACAATGAGATACCATTCACACCAGTTAGAATGGCAATCCTTAAAAAGTCAGGAAACAACAGATGCTGCAGAGGATGTGGAGAAATAGGAATGCTTTTACACTATTTGTGGGAGTGTAAATTAGTTTAACCATTGTGGAAGACAGCTTGGCAATTCCTCAAGGATCTAGAACCAGAAATACCATTTGATCCAGCAATCCCATTACCGGGTATATAACCAAAAGATTATAAATCATTCCACTATAAAGACACATGCACACATATGTTTACTGCAGCACTATTCACAATATCAAAGACTTAGAACCAACCCAAATGCCCATCAATTGTAGGCTGGATAAAGCAAATGTGGCACATATAAACCATGGAAGACTATGCAGCCATAAAAAAGGATGAGTTCATGTCCTTTGCAGGGACATGGATGAAGCTGGAAACCATCATTCTCAGCAAACTAACTCAGGAAGAGAAAACCAAACACCTCATGTTCTCACTCATAAGTGAGAGTTAGAAATGAGAACGCATGGTCACAAGGAGGGGAACATCACATACTGGGGCCTGTCAGGGGGTGGGGAACTAGGGGAGGGATAGCATTAGGAAAAATACCTAATGTAGATGACAGGTTGATAGGTGCAGCAAGCCACCATGGCACATGTATACCCATGTAACAAACTTACACGTTCAGCATATGTATCCCAGAATTTAAAGTATATACAAAAAATCATAAAGCTTAAAATAGTTTACATTATTTGAATTACAGAAATAATTTACTTGACATTCCTTTGCAATTGTTTTACACAAATTAGTGCATCGTTAATACTAATGCTTAAGAAATGTTTCTAATAGCCTGATCACTATCACAATATGTTTTTCATTTTCTTTATATCATCAACACAAATTTTCTTAAGATTTTAAGAAATCCTTGAGACTTGCTGTCTTTTCTCGCTCCCTTCATCGTTTTCTCATCATCCCTCTCTTCGTCATTCATACTCTTGAAACTGCTTTCAGCATTGCCTTGTACATATGATTAAATTTTCATATAATTTACTTTGACCCAGAATAATCCGTATCATCTAAGTGTCATGACTTTGTAAAAATGTAAATTGGAATGTTTTATCAGAATCCCACTAGGGTTTCTGTCAGTTCTCAAAGAGCCAACAATATTCACTCAGTTACTTGCAACACATGAAATTTCCCAGTTTCCAGTGCTTTATTATATGTTTGATCCATCGAAGCCTGAAGGGTCCACTTTCCTCCCATCAGTACAGCATACCAATGTAAAATCTTCTAGTAATAGGAAATAAAGTCCAAAATCAAGTTATGCTGAACTTTTAACATATTACATATGCTGAACTTTTAACATATTACTATTAGTCTACTTGCTTGGACTCTGAATAATTTAAAAGGCCGCCCTTCACTAGGAAGTTGAGTCCTGCCTTGAAGCTCTTTGAACTCTTTGTTCCAAATATTTCTTTCTTCCCTACAATGATTCTAATCTTTCTGAAGACATCTTTTAAAAAAGTAACCTTAATGTGGTTTTCAGTCATTTATTTATATGTATTAAGTCATTCATTTACATATCCCTTTATTTGGAAGAGTGATTTACACTCTTTAATGTGCTTAAGAAAATGAGAATAGCTTTCTTGAAAAGCAGATTATAGATCCTTCTTCAAAAGATGTTAGTTCAGCCCCAGGTGGGACTAAGACATCTGCACATTCTAGCTTCCCAGGTGATCCTGGTGCAAGTGGTGGGTGACCTCTGTTTTAGACACTCATCTTTTGTCCCACTAACTTCATTTTTAGTATGTTAGTTGTGGACAGAACTAACTTGGCCAAGTCTCATAACTGGGATTTGAATCTAAAACACACCAGCACACATACATTCATGCACACACATAATACTTCTTATTCAAAAGCTAAAATATAAACATTGAGGAGAAATTATAGTAATTCAGAGCAAGTTAGCAGGAACAAAATGGTATGGGAACTGGCTTAAGAAGACAGTTTTATTAAAATATGTAACTGATTTTTCCTGTAAGTACTCTGACATAATTTATTTCATTTTTTTCTAATGGCTGAAACATCACAAGATAATGTTTGCTAACCTATTATATACATGTATATACACACATATATTTATGTAGAGAGATATATGAATATATGAATATATCTGAATTCATATATAATATGAATATATGAATATATACCCATATATATATAGAGGAATATATATAGGTATGTATATACACCTATATAAATATAGGTGTATATTCACATATATCTATATTTATATATGTGTGTATACATGAGTGCATATTTAACTTTTAGAAGTGTATAAATTTAAATTTCACCAAATTTAATCCTCCTAAAATCCCGCTTGTGTTGAAAAAGACTACGTGAGTGCAACACTTTGATAATGGAATCTCATGGGAATTGCCTAAGAGATAGCAGAAAGTATAGAACAAACCAATGATCCAAGTCTCAGTCATTTATTTATATTTATTAAGTCATTCATTTACATATCCCTTTATTTAGAAGGGATATTTAATATCCCTTCTAAATAAAGGTTCGTGTATTCAGTTTATGGAACTATGCAATGTTTTTACCTTCCAAACTTTGAGTATGTTTTTTAAAAATGGCCAAAGCTTATGCATTTTGCCAATTGATTACCTTTCTAATATGTTCTTATTTCTTGCAGGATTTCACAAACTATTCTAGCTATTTGAATTACCTAAATTTAAATGGATAGTACTGTTAAGTATGTTGCTGGAAAGCCATAACATTGTTGACTTTTAATGGACTATATAAAAAAGAACCCTTATATTCCCCAAAAATGATTACTTCAGTTGTAGTGAACACCATTTTAAAAATTAAATTGTATCGTTTTTGTTTATGCACTTGCAGAAGTATGTACTAGGCAATTAATAATTTCATTTAAATGCTATGCTTTTTAAAAAGTTATATATATATATATTCTAGTATGAAAATAGAAAATAAAATTTAAAACCTGACATATCCATTATTATTGTGTTATAGAAACAAATGTGTTCTTTAGATATTAATAAGAATATAAACCTTATGTTACTTAGATGGTTCTCTAAATTAAAAAAAAAAACTTCAAGGTTAATATATCTTTCTAATAATATACCGAAAATTCCCAACCAAATTTAAAATTCAGGCCTTCCAATTTGTCAGTTTTAAATGTATCACGTTGTCTGATTTACTCTGGGTAGAAAATCAGAAATATAGCTTACAAGATTAATAACAAAATTTGCGCCCCAATTCCGTAAGAATTAGAGATGTTTACCAAAGTGACTTCTTGAAAGATAATATTTTCTAGCATGAATCATATAAAATGAGAAGTTGAAAAAAGTTAATGGCACTTGTAAATGCCTGTGTATCAAACAAAGATACTGAATGCCATTGGTGTTTTCAACAGCTTCCTTATTTTTTTCTTCTTACTAATTTCTTACATAGAGAAAACGAACATGAAAAGACCGCTGCATAAAAATTAGCTGCATTTTGTTAAAGCAACTGTCAACTTCAACATCAAATTTTATTTTCAAGATCATCTTCTCTGATTTCTGTTTTGAAAATGCTTCTTAATGAAGCTTTATAGTGACTATTTTATGCTGATTAAATACTAGAATCCACTTATTTGTGCAGATTTGTGCAGGTCCCTTGTGCTCCTCACTTGTATTAAATGTAGGCTCTAATGAGGCTTATGCAGTGTTTCTGGGTAATTATTACTTACAGTCTGAAGTGAATTTTAGTTACAAGCCATTTACATTTATGTGCTGAAACTGAATGATTAATGTGGATTTTTACACATTTTTAGATTTAATTTTTCAGAGTAATGAAACTATAAATTTTGAGTTCTCAGAATCTTCCTATCTCTTATTTAATTCAGTATGTAATTGAGAACACTCTTTTAATACAGACAGGAGGACTGTTCAAATTTAAGTTGATTAGCTATTAAGCCACACTCATATTTAAAACAAAAGATTTGACTGGAGTTTGAAACATAAAATTTGAAAAAAAATAAAATTTGGAAATTCAAAACATTAATTTACTTCTCCCAAATAGTTTACATTTTTACCCATTGGACTGTTTTATATAACTATTTAAATCTAACAGACATTTATCAGAAAAAGAATTTTTTTCAATGCCTATCAGTTTTAAAAATGTGTTAAAAAATGGAGCATTATTCACAGTAGACAAGATGTACAATCAACCTAATTTTTCATCAGTGGATAAATGGATAAAGAAACTATGGTATATATACACAATGGAATACTATTCGGCTATAAAAAATAAAACACTGTTGTTTGCAGCAACATAGATGTGATTGGAGGTCATTATGTTAAGTGAAATAACATTCATATGTGGTAGCTAAAAAAGTTGATTTTCTGGAGGTAGAGAGTAGAATGATGGGTACCAGAGACTCGGAAGGGTTGCCCGGGCAGGGAGGTGGGGGTGAAGAGAAGTTGGTTAATGAGTATAAACATATGGGTAGACTGAAGGAATAAGTTGTAATGTTTGATAGCACAGTAGGGTGACTACTGTTAACAACAATATGTAGTATATTTCAGAATAGCTAGAAGAGAATATTTGAAATGTTCCAAAACAAATGATAAATGTTTGAGGTGATGGATATTGTAAATACTGTAATTGATCATTACACATTGTATATATATATCAAAATATCACTGTACCTCATAAATATATTCGACTATTATGTATCCACAAAAAATTCTACATTCTTCATTTAGCTATAGAGAAATGTAGGATTTCATGACTTTAACCAGAATGGGCACATTAAACTAATTCTTCCCATAAAATTACCAAAAAAACCCCATAGATATATCCTGATCCGTATTTAAGGTTCTATTTTTTTATGCAACTAATAAAGCAGTAATAATTAAATTATCAAATGATTGTTTTTATTGTTTAATACATTATTAATTAAACAAATACAGGTTTGCTAACCATTATAACCAGTGATAATATAACAAATCAAGCACAGGAAATAAAAATTTTTTAAAAGTAAACTTTAATTTGGGAGCAGTTATAGGTTCACAGCATAACTGAGTAGAATGTACTGACAGATACCACATACCTCCTGCCTCCACACGCACATATACCCTCTCCCACTATCAACATCCCATATCAGAGTAATCCATTTGTTATAATCCATGAAAGTATATTGGTACATCATTATTACTTGAAGTTTATAGTTTACATTAGGATTCACCCTTGATATTGTGCATATTATGGGTTTTACAGTAAACACTACAAGGTACGATGACTTGCATCCACCATTATATTATTTTAACAGTTTCATTGTTCTAAAAATCCTCCGTGCTCTGCCTATTAATCCTTCCCTTGCCCCAACACCTGGTAACCACAGATTTTCCTACTGTCTTCTCAGATTTGCTTTTTCCAGAATGTCATACAGTTAGAACCATACAGTATATAGAGTACATAACATTTTCAGATTGGATTTTTTTTTTTTTTTTTTTTTTTTTTTTTTTTTTTTTTTTTTTTTTTTTTTTGAGACGTAGTCTCGCTCCGTCGCCCATGCTGGAGTGCAGTGGTGCGATCTAGGCTCACTGCAAGCTCCGCCTCCCGGGTTCACGCCATTCTCCTGCCTCAGCCTCCCGAGTAGCTGGGACCACAGGCACCCGCCACCAAGCCCGGCTAATTTTTGTATTTTTAGTAGAGGCGGGGTTTCGCTGTGTTAGCCAGGATGGTCTCAATCTCCTGACCTCGCTATCCGCCCACCTCTGCATCCCAAAGTGCTGGGATTACAGTCATGAGCCACCGCGCCCCGCCAGATTATTTTACTTGATAATATGCACTTAAGTTCCCTCTGTGCCTTTTATGGCTTGATTGCTCATTCCTTTTCAGTGCTAAATAATATTGCATTGTCTGGATATACCATAGTTTGTTTATATATTCACCTACTGAAAAACATCTTGGCTGCTTCCAAGTTTTGACAATTATGAACAATGCTACTATACATATCTGTGTGCAGGGTTTGCCAAGGAGCATGATTGAGAAACTAAAATGCCAAACTCTTTTGAAGTGGCCTATACCATTTGACATTTCCATCAGCCATAAATCAGGGTTCCTTTCATTCCACATCATCAACAAGATTTAGCGTCATCAGTGTTTTCCAGATTTTGACCATCCTAATAGGTATGTAGTCGTATCCCATTTTTTATTTACAATTTCCTAAGGACATATGATGTTGTGCATCTTTGTATATGCTTATTTGCCATCTGTGTATCTTTTTTGTGATATGTATTTTCAGACCTTTCACCAATTTTTAAATTGGGTTGTCTGTGTCTGTTGATGAGCTTTAAGAGTTATTTGTATGTTTTGGATAACAGTCCCTTATTACATAAGTCTTTTGCAAATATTCTCTCCGAGTCTGTGTTTTATCTTCTCATTCTCTGGAGCTTTCATTTCTTAAAATTATTATTTATGATATCTAAAATATGGCATTTATTCTTTCCATAAAATTTTAAATATAAGATTTTCTTTGTATCAATATAGCTTTCATTTCTAAATATGTATATGGAAAGAAATAGATATTTCAGAATTGGTCAGGTTTTTTAAAGATTTTTATTTAGAAATAATTTCAAACGGAAAAATTAAATAGTGATAATACAAAGAACACTTATATACTCTTTGCCCAGCTCAGCCTCCTAATATTCCATTTGCTTTATCATTTGTGTATGTGCACTTTCTCTTTGTCTACATGCACACACACGTGCACACACACACATACACACTTATTTTTCTGATATAGTTGAGATTATTTATAGCACGGCTGTTTAGCTCTAAGTTTGACTTTCAGCAAGTTGTTTAAGCTTTCTTTGCCTCAAGTTTCTCATTGGCAAAAACAAAAAATAATTTTGCCTTCCATAGGATTTTTGATGTGGATTAATGGAATTAATAATGAAATGCCATTAGCATTATGCTTGGGCTCCAAAAATGTTATAAATTTTAACATTAGGAATGTAGCTGATTTTAATGCACTATAAATTAAATAATAAAATTAAACCATTTTAAACATTCATAGATACCCATAACATGACTTAGTGTCCACATAAGGTAAAGTGTATTTAATATATGTGCAATGTTAAGGCAGTAGCACTATTACTATTATCATCTTCACAAAACTTTTAAAATCAAATTAAAACAGTCAGTTATGAAGTCTTCAAATATTTAAAAAGCATTTAGACATCTCTAATGGCTAATTTAGCTAATAAAACACTCATGAGATGATCTTGAAATTTTGTTCTAAGTTTCAGAGTTAACAACCATATTCTCTATTTCTTTGAGAAACAGGCAATAGTGTTTTCATTTAAAGAGTCTTAAAGATATTATTATTGCTAGTAGCTTATCTATCATTAAAGTAGACAAATTTCCTCAGGTTTTATGATACATTTAACTAAGTTCCACTAATATGATAAAATTACATTTGTGAATTATGAAAAACTCTTTATTTATATTCTTAAAAATCATACTTTAAAATTCTACTCCTAAGAATTGTCTTAGAAATGCTCACTTTCACATTTTCCTAAGGTAATGTGTAGTATTAAATGTGTTTTATTAGGCTGGGCTACTGCAAGAAGATCTAGTACTTCTTGTCATGTCTTTGGTGCCAAATTATAAATAAAATCCAGAATCATATGGAAAACTTTTAGGTTTTATGGAAGAGTGCCTGTGAAAATGGAAATTTATAGAATATAAAATCTCTGGGACCAAACATCTCTGATATTGGGCTAAGGACAGTGTTGAAAGGATACAAAGATGATGAGATAGTGTAATCTGAAAATGGATTTTCATCTCGATAGGAAACTTCTGTAGTTTTCCTCTGATTCTTTCATTATAAAATATATTTTAATTTCTTATGAAAATGTCATAAAGTCATACCAGCCTCTGTCTTTTCTGCATTAGCTTAAATATTATGATAATAGTGTTCTAGCAATGGTTATAAAATATTTTCCAACTTACTTTTAAGGAAGTTTTGAAATTGTATATTCCTATCAGCAGTATATATACGTAGTCTTCTCCCCAAAACTTGTGCCAACTCTGGATATTATCATACTTTCAAAAATCTGTGAGATTAAGAGCTGTCTTACATGTGTCCACTTCCAAGAATTTACAAAAAAAATTATGTAAATAAATGTATATTTTTTGGACACGAAACAAATGGGTGTCATAGATTTCAATCCAAAGTCACATATTCTTTCTTACCTTTTGAAATTGTATTACTGATGTACATCAAGTAGAGTAAATAAAGCAGGATATTACTTCCACGTCTAACTTCATTTCTATGCACCTCTATGCAGAAAACTTCCCATTAAGGTATGAAATAAGCAAAGGCCAATATACCCAATATGAACATACTAACAAGAGTACATAATATGTAGTAGTAATGGAAATACATGTTTAAGTAAAAACAGAATATGTCCTTATAGCTTATTATTATTGCAGTCACTACATAATTTTCTCAAAAATGACTCTCATGAGGAGGTAGAGAAAGGCTTTTAAAGTACTAAGTAAAAAAGGTAAAAAGAATAGGTGGCTTTATTGGACAATATAGAAATGGATTCTCTGAAAAGACCAATAATGAGCTTGGAAATTGAATCAGTAATAAATAACCTATTAACAAAAAAGAAAAGAAAAGAAGCCTAGGACCAGACAGATTCATGGCCAAATTCCACCAGATGTACAAAGAAAATATAGTATTATTCCTACTGAAACTATTCGAAAAAATTGAGGAGGAGGACTCCACCCTAACTCATTCTGAGACCAGCATCTTTCTTATGCCAAAACCCAGAAGAGACACAACAAAAAAAGGAAAAGTTCAGGCCAACATCCCTGATGAACATCAATGCAAAAATCCTCAGCAAAATACTGGTAAACCAGATCCAGCAGCATGTCAAAAAGCTAATTCAGTACAATCAAATAGGCTTTATCCTTGGGATAGAAGGTTGACTCAACATATACAAACCAATAAATGTGTTCATGTTCATCACATAAACATGACTAAGGAGAAAAACCACATGATTATCTCAATAGATGCAGAAAAAAAGCTTTAGTTAAAATTCAACACCCCTTCATGTTAAAAACTCTCAATAAACTAGAAATTGAAGAAACATACCTATGGCAAAGCCATAGGCAACATCATACTGAATTGGCAAAAGCTGAAAGCAGTCCCCTTGAAAACTGGCACAGGACAAAGATGCCCTCTCTCACTATTCCTTTTAAATGTAATATTAGAAGTCCCCGTCAGAGCAACCAGGAGACAGAAAGAAATAAAGGGTATCCAAAGAAGGGAGGAAGTCAAAGTATCCCTGTATGCAGACAACATAATTATTTCTATACCTAGAACACTTCATAGTCTCAACCCAAAAGCTCCTTGAGTTGATAACTTCAGCAAAGCTTCAGGTTACAAAATCAACATACAAAAATTAGTAGCATTCCTATACACCAACAATCAAAGCAGAGAGCCAAATCAAGAATTCAATCACCTTCACAATGATCACAAAAAGAATAAAATACTAAGGAATACAGCTAGCCAGAAAGGGGATAGATCTCTACAATAAGGATTATAAAACACTACTCGAAGAAATCCAAGATGATACAAACAAATGGAAAAACATTCCATGCTCATGGATAGGAAGAATCAATATCATTAAAATGGCCTTACTGCCCAAGGCAATTTACAGATTCAATGCTATTCCTATTAAACTAGCAATAACATTCTTCACAGAACTAAAAAACAGACAAACAAAAACAGACAAAAAATCCTATTTTAAAATGCATATGGACCAGAAAAAGAGCTGAATAGCTAAGGCAATCCCAAGTAAAACTAAAAAAGCAGGAAGCATCACATTACCTGACTTCAAACTAAACTACAGGGATAGAGTAATCAAATATGTACAATATGATATTGGTACAAAGACATATAGACCAATGGAACATAACAGAGAGCCCAGACATGAGGCCACACACCTATGACCATCTGATATTTGACAAATCTGACAAAAACAAGTGGATGGGAAAAGGGCACCCTATTCAATAAATGGTGCTGGGATAACTGGCTAGCCACATGCAAAGATTGAAACTAGGCCCCTTCCTTATACCATATACAAAAATCAACTCAAGATGGATTAAAGACTTAAATCTAAAACCCAAAAGTGTAAAAACTTTGGAAGATAACTCAGGCAATACCATTTTGGGACACAGGAACAGACAAGGATCTCGTGACAAAGATGCCAAAAGCAATTGCAACAAAAGCAAAAATTGACAAATGGGATCTAATTATCATAAACAGCTTCTGCAGAGTAAAAGAAACTATCAACAGAATAAGAAGACAATCTTCAAAATTAGAGAAATTTTTTTGCAAACTATGCATTGACAAAGGTCTAATATCCAGCACGTATAAGGAACTTAAATTTACAGGAAAAGAAAACAAATAACCCCATTGAAATTAGGCAAAGGACATGAACAGACAATTTGAAAAGAAGACATACATACAGCCAACAAGCATATATAAAAAAGCTCAACATCACTAATCTTTAGAGAAATGCAAATCGAAACCACAATGAGAAACCATCCCACACCAAATAGAATGGCACTTATTTAAAAACTCAAAAAACAACAGATGCTGGTAAGATTGTGGAGAAAAGGGAACACTTATACACTGTTGATAGGAGTGTAAATTAGTTAAGCCATTGTAAAAAGCAGTGTGAGGATTCCTCAAAGAGCTAAAAACAGAAATGACATTCTATTCAGCAATCCCATTATTGGATATATAACCAAAGGAATATAAATCATTCTGTCATAAAGACACATCCATGTATATGTTCACTGTAGCATTATTCAGAATAGCAAAGACATGAAATCAACTTAAATGCCCATCAATGGTAAAGTGGATAAACAAAATGTGTTACATATATAACATGGAACACCGTGCCGCCATAAAAAATAATGAGAGCACGTCATTTGCAGCAATGTGGATGTATCAGGCGGCCATTATCCTTAGCAGGAACGGAAAACCAAATACTGCATGTTCTCACTTATAAGTTGGAACTAAAGGATGAAAACACATTGACACAAAGAGGAGCAGCAGACACTGGGACCTACTTGAGGTTGGAGAGTGGGAGGAGGGAGAGGAGCAAAAAAAAAAAAAAAAGGAACTATTGGATACTAAGCTTAGTACCAAAGTGATGACATAATCTGTACACCAAACCCCACGACATGAGTTTACCTATATAACAAAACTGCACATGGAAACTTGAACTTAAAATAATAGTTTAAAAAAGAAAATGTATTATTCATTCGAAAAAACATTTAGGTATATTGTGATGGTTAATACTGAGTTCAACTTGATTGGATTGAAGGATTCAAAGTATTAATCCTGGGTGTGTCTGTGACGGTGTTGCCAAAGGAGGTTAACATTTCCATCAGTGGACTGGAGAAAGCAGACTCACCCTTAATTTGGTGGGCGTCATCTAATCAGCTTCCAGCAAATATAAAGCAGGCAGAAAAACGTAAAAAGGCAAGATGGGTCTAGCCTCCCAGCCTACATCTTTCTCCTGTGCTGGATGCTTCCTGCCCTTGAACCTTGGACTCCAAGTTCTTCAGTTTGGAACTCAGACTGGCTCTCTCTCTCCTCAGCTTGCAGACACTATTGTGGGACCTTGTGATCCTGTAAGTTAATACTTAATAAACTCCCCTTTATGTGTGTGTGTGTGTGTGTGTGTGTGTGTGTATTTATAAGATATATATATATATATATATATATACAATATTAGTTCTGTCCCTCTAGAGAACCCTCACTAATACACATATACATATGCTTTTATAGAAGACTAGAACATATCTCAAAATATTAAGCACAATTATTACTGCATGTTAAGCATTTTTATGCATTTTATATTGTCAAAATATTCAGAAAGTTATTAATAAAAAAACTTTCTAATATAGATTTTAAACTAGCAATGAATATATCTCAAACAAGAGCAACAAGAACAAAATACACTTGTAAACTCTTAAGCGTTTCCTTTCATATTTGAAAATTAGTTTGATAAACATTAATATTGAATGCTAAAAATATGAGAACACTAAAAATACAACCCTCCTTATAGACTCTGACAAGTGTTACCTTTTTCTGCTTTTAGAGAAATTTGGGAACTGAAGCATTCTTCGAGTAGAACTATTTACAAAGAAAATAGTTTACAGCTCAACATTGGCATACATGGAATTGCCTGTATCAACTTCACTGTCAATTTTAGATCATTAAACTCTGTTTCAATGTATCTATTATGCTTCCTTACATTTTATTCCTGTGAAATTGTTCTTTTCCAATGGAATTTTCATTTACTTGCAATTTTTTAAGCAATACAGACTCCATTTTAATAATATAAGACTTGGTTATTTTGCTTTTAAATGTAGTTCTTAAAATGGGAGACAAACATTGGGGAAAAACAGTTGAGACAAAATTAGATTTGGGGAATATATTTTCTTCTTTCTATGAATGCAAATTAAATGTACTTTAAAAAGTATTTTGGTTACAAAAAATACACATGAATTCCTCAGTCTCTTTACATTCGATACTCTTGTAGTTTTCTTCTTAAATTAACTGTATTACCAAAAAATCTATAGGGAATATGCCTTTGAATTTAAATTAGGCATACAATACTGGTATTAGACATATGTAACTAACTAATTAACTAATATAATGGTTCTCAATCTTTTTGTACATAAAAATTACCTAAGAATTTCATCAAAATGCAGATTATCAAATTCTACTTCAGAAATACTGGTTTAATATGTCTGGAATTAGCCTAGTAATCTGAATTTGTAAAAAGTCCTCCAAGTACTCCTGCGGAAGTTTGGACTTTATTTTTAGAAAAGTTGACTTAGAAAGTCATTAGTATTATCTTTATAGTTTTGTAGGAGTATTGGAAGTAAATAATATTTATAAATAAAAGTGGACATATTGCTCAATAGTCCACATTTATTAAATAAATAATAATGAAATAAGCAAACAATGTGAGTTACTGTTTTTATTTCTTTTTGATAATCATAATTATCTGTCCATTTGTAAAGACAAAAATATGGTAACTTTAGTAAACCTTTTAATTTGATTAATGTGTCCAAGGTATCTAATGAATTGGTTGATCAAACTAAAATGCTGATTCCATATTTTTTTTAATTACTTGAGTGCATCCTACTTTCTCAATAAATGGGATGGCACCCTGTCAGTCGTTTGGGATTCTGTAACAAATACCATACACAGGGTCTCTAATAAAAAACATAAATTTATTTCTGACAATTATGGAAGCTGTGAATTCCATAAATAAGATGCCAGCAAATTCAGTGTCTGGAGAAGTCCCAATTTCTGTCATAGATGGCATATTCTAGCTGGGTCCTCACATGTTGGAAAGGGCAAAGCAGCTTTCTGGAACCTTTTTTATAAGGAGACTAATCACCTTCCTGAGGTCCCAACTCTTAATATTATCACAGTGGTGACGAGCTTTCAACATATGCATTGTGGGGAAACATAAATATTCAGACCACTGCTTATTCCATGGGATAAAAAAATTAATAAACCTTATTAAAAGAAACATTGTATTAAAAATATATCTACATGTAACCCTTCACCTGCTATTTCAATGCATAGGATATAAAGTAAAGAAAGTTAGAAACAAAGATATTCTTCCTGGTTTTAGTGTGTTAATTCAGAATTAGAATGAAAAGAAATATAAAATGACAATTTCAAAGAGCCACCATAACTTGAAGAATAATATCTATGTCATTTTATTCTGTTTCCTTTTCACCACTTCATTCTTTTGAAAGGAAAAATCTTTCATTCCAAGTAGACAACAAAGGACTGTACTTTGCATTCAATTGCTCTTTATTGCCCTTCACCAGTAGTTCCACTGTCTCCGTAACTTTATTCTCTTTTTTATTTCTTTTCATATTTTTCCTCATATTGAGAATAAAGAAAATTTAGAAAGGCAAGTCAGAATTAATAGACTGCAATAATAACACCAACTAGACAGTAGTGTAAGCCAATCCTAATTGAAAACATTGCTCAATCAATGGCAAGACTTTCATGTACACCTTTGACCTCATGCTGCCTACAGTCCTCTCTTGTCAGTCAAGGTTTTCAGACATTGCGAAAAGAATAAAGCATTGAAAAGAGCAATCAGTCTCTGTTTTAGGATCAACTGTTCTTTAATGCTGCTTTTCTTCCATCCAGACTTTAGAATTGCCAAACTACCCGGACCCTGTCTCTTACTGCACTTGAGCCATCTGTCAGATGGCTTTCATTTAATAGGGCACCGGGTCAGAGTTGTCCTGCTTTTACTCTCAGCCCAGAAATAAGCAGAGAAAGGGGAACATTTCTGTCTATTTACCACTTATTAAAACCATGAAAATGAAAATAAACATTCTACAATACACTTAAAATGTTTTAAAAATTAACTGCAGGAAAATATGAAGCAATTTAATAAATTAATTTATCAATGAGTAAATAGAAGTGCATTCTATACAATTCAAATTTAATCATTCCCTTTTATTTATAGGAAAGATTGGGCCTTCGATAAGTGAAAAATAAATTTTTGAGGAAGGCACTGGAAGACCTTTCCAGATATAAAGTCTCCGCAATCCACGGGCAATTTCCCCTTTCCAGTCAAAAAGAGTAGTCATTTCTTCAGAATAATTCAAGTTCAGACTGAAAGTACTTCTGTTATCTCCACATTCATTGTGACTTTTACCTCCAAATTAATGTTTTTATTTTTTATTTTTATTTTTTAACTGCTGACTGATAAGAGGGAACAAATGAAAGGAGAAAATTTCCACTGAGTCACCTACTTAATCCAGGCTTTACGCATAGCTGGTCAACTTGTACCTGTGTCGTCCCTGTTGTTTAATTTAGCAATTTCTTGTGAGATTTCATTGAAATTAACTTGCTCTGTTAAAATTTTTGAAACCTTCTACCAAAACTCTTAATCAGACTTTATTCATGTCAATGATTATTTTTGTTAACTAGCAAATCAAGTAATGCTTACTTACAAATTATAAAAGGCATTTTAGAGTGTAGTTTGACCTATAGTTAATTTAGACTTAACTGGCATTAACCAAATATGCGCATTCATATAAGACATGAGCCCTCTTTTGCTGTCATCAATGAAAAGTAAAGTTGGTGAAGTATGTCTGCCTACTTCTTAAAAATGCTTAAGTTATTTCAACACTGACCTATGTGTTTTTTCTCATTTTCTATTAAATTCTAAATATCAAAGTCCCAGAAGCAGCAGTTTTGCATCACTGGCTAAAATTGGCAGAAGCCACAAATTTTCATTATGTTATTTCTGTTTTCTCAGTCTCCATGTCACTATTTTACTTCTGACTTTCTTCATTTATGATACATATTGTTCCTGCATTTGAAATATATGCAATGTTAAAAATGGCAGTAGTTACAGTCACAAGAGTTAGCAATTGAGAACAAATGTGATGAGAATAATTAAAATGAGAAAAAAAATCTGGACTTAAAGAACTGTGATGTAAAAGTATTTTTAAGTATTTGGGGATTTCAAGAAATACAGTTCTATGATTTCCATAAATGTTTCTTAAAGGTGGCATTGAAAGAAAATACATTAAAATAAAAATAAACTAATTAATGGGAGTCTGAGGCCACAGTGATAGATAATAGTCTGAAGCCTTGGCCGGCTGGGCTTCTGTTTTGAAACAGGCAGCAATAGACGGCAGTTGTGAATCCAAAATAACCTACTTGTACAGTGGAGAATAGAGCAGAAAAGTGTCAGGGAAGGTCTTAAAGTGGGCTTCGCTCAGGAAGAGAAGTTAAAGAAAATTGAGCATTTTCCTAGGTCTATGACTTAAAGAGCAGCACATTTGCTAGTGGATGAGAGTAAAAAAGTTTAAGTGTACATAACTGAGAGACTGTTCCCTAAATCCCCAGTATTTCCAAAGGAAAGAAATTCTGACCTCACCTGCCAGTATAAACTGGTTATTCATAAATGGAATCTGGAAGGAAAAAGTTGACATAACTGCAAAACTACCAGACAAAAAAGGATAAGCATAGACATAAAAAAGTAAATGCATTAAAGAACATGGATACTAAAATTAAAAGCCCATTAAAAAATTAGTATTACAGAACAACAGCCAGACAACTAAATAATCAGATTACATCACTAATAATATGTAAATTACAACACATTCTCAGAAAGGTTAAAAATAAGTAGAATGTAGACTCCCAGAGAAATGGAGGAAGGAAAATATCTGTAAAAACCATAAGAAATCATAAGACAAAATAGGATATTTGAATCAAAATCAGAAAACATCTAAAAGAATCAATTGGAACTACTAGAAATATAATTATCCTATTAAAAATATTCCATAGATGTAGAATATTCTAAAATAAACACTAAGAAAAAATTAAATGATTTTGAAGACCATGTTAGAGAATTCATTCAGAATAAGCCAAAGAGAATGAGACTAAATATGGAAAATTTGAAATACATGAAAATTTTCTTAAGAGGCTCTAAACTATTAATATATAGAATTTTCAGAAGGAAAGATTAGAGCAAATAATATAGGAGGATTACTGGCTAAGAAAATTTCACAGTTAAAAAAAGTGAAACTTCGAAATAAAAATACACACAGATTATGAGGCAGTATGTTTAAAAATATAACCTAGTTATAGTAAATCTACAGAATATAAAGGACAAAGAAAATCTTTAAAAACAGTTTCATAATAATTTCAGAAATGTTAGCTACAAGAGATATATTTAGATAGTGTTAACTTCGTAAATATTTTCCAAGGTATTTATTTAACTTGCCAAGTATATAATTGCAGAAAACAATAAAAAGGAGGATCCATATTTTGCTGTAAAAAGAAACCAAAATATTCTTCATGAAAAATATACAGATAAGAAAACTTCAGGAAAAAATACCAACACAAACAGGAAAAAATTAAATTACATTTAGAAACAACATGATGGCTACTTTTTTTATGAGTCAGTTTGACTGATTCACCTGGTGCCATGCAAGATATTTGGTTAAACATCATTCTGGGTGTGTTTGTGAGGATATTTCTCAATGAAATTAACCTTAGAACTTGGTAGACTTAGTAAAGCAATTGACCTCGCCAGTATAAATGGGCCCATTTCTAGTAGTAAGAGCACTGATGGACTGATAGTCCCATGGCATGATCCGGCAATGGACATATGCAAAATATCTCTGTTGGACACTTTTACTCAACCACCTATTATATTCTGGAAGTTGGGTGACTGTGGACATGATACTTTCAAATCTTTTTGGAAAACTAACAGATGTAATGAAGTTGGATGCTTGCTCCTAATGCTGCTAGAAAAGATGATGAAAGACAAGGATGAACTCAGCGACCAGAATTCCAAGCTCGTAGGCTACACAAGTGACCTGAAAGCTTCTGTGTGTTTCCCGATGGTGACTCTTATACCGGGTAAATACAGAACTGAAACTGATCCAGAGCCTCATTCTGAAACTGGCTGGATTATAGCACAAGTTGAACTCCCACTTCACAGGATGTCTACTGCTAAAGTGAGGGCATTGATTGGGATGAAGTTGGGGGCATTGAGTCCCTAAATCCTGTTGAATCTTCTCTGCCAGTAGACATGCCTTCCCTGCTGCCAGTGCTATGGGCCTTTCCATGGGCATTTGAAGTGACTAACTGCATTGTCTGAGGAAACTGTAATGTCTTCCCCTGAGGCAGTTACTATGTAAGACAATGATGATTCTTATCAGGATCCAACCCCACCTCCCCTCATTGCTTGACCTGTAGCTGAACTCAAGTCCCAGCAGGCTTCTAAAGCTAAGGTACAAAGCATGACTCATGAAGAAGTGCACTACACTCCTACACTTTGAAAGAACTGCTTCAGTTTTCTAATGTACACAGGCATAAACAGAGGGAACATATATGAAAATGAACATTAAGGCAATGAGATAATACTGAAAGAAACATAACGTTGAATAAGGCTAATTTTTTAAATATACGCTCACCAAGGAGAGATTCTCCATTCAATGTTGCACCACAGGGAGTTAGAGCAGGCTCTAACAGTTTGTTTGGTTAGCTGAAACATGGACCAAAAGGTGGCCCACAGCCAATGAATTAGGAATGCCAAATCTGCTTTGCTTTAATGTTAAGTATTCAAAGGCTTCGGGAATATTTGAGTAAATTTGTCATTTAAGACCTACTCATCTTTACTGGTAGGACCCAGAAAACATACTTTCACCGCTACTGAAAGAAATAAATTTGTGAAAGGAGCCCCAGCCTCTTGGAAGAACTCTGAGATTGCTCTTTTCTGCAAGCCAGACTTCAGAGTTGGAACTTCAGTCACTGAATTGGGCAACCTAAAGGTAATGGGAGTAATTGGATCCCAGGGTGCCAGAGGTTAAGCGGAGCCACTCAACTTTGAGAAGGAAGGTGGGTGTAGTTACTATAAAGTACAGCAGAGTCAAAGCAATATTCCGAAGGTCCAATATGATATGCA
This sequence comes from Homo sapiens, assembly GCF_000001405.40. Lineage (NCBI taxonomy): Eukaryota > Metazoa > Chordata > Mammalia > Primates > Hominidae > Homo > Homo sapiens. Next base: position 160,318,631 of record NC_000004.12, on the reverse strand, counting down.
CAGAGCTCTAGATTGACTAGTTGATGATGGTGTTTCTAGAAGTAAAATGGATAGGATGCCTAGTGAATTTTACTTAATAGATAAAAGCAGAAAAGTTTTAGGCCAAATGAGCAAATGTCTAAGTGAATCACAAAATTAGAGTCATGACCCTTGGTTTGAATGTTTGTCCCCTTCAAACTCATATTGAAATTTAATAACCAGTTGTGACAATATTGGGAGATGGCACCTTTAAAAAGTGGTTAGGTCATGAGGATTCCACTTTCATGAATGGACAAGTGCCATTATTATGGGAGTGGCTTATTGCAGAATTCAGTTTGTTCCCTCCTGCACTGTCTCTATCACTCTTTGCCCTTTCACCATTTGATGACTGCTGCCACGTTACAGCAACGAAAGAAAGCCCTTGCCAGATGCTAACACCTTGATATTAAACTTAACCAGCCTCCAGAAGTGTGAGCCAGTAAATTTCTGTTAATTGTACATTACCCAGTGGAATTCTGTTATAGAAGTACAGAATGGACTAAGACACCTTTGAATCAAAGACTTGTTTGAGGCCCTCAAATAAAAACGTGAGCCAGTTTACAGACTGAGAACTCCTTGAATAAAAGGGAGGCCAGGTCCCCTTGTGGAAGGACCATAGAACATTGCCAGAAATCCATACTGTTAATCTGTCTCCTAGAATTCCCCAAAGAGACTTATTGTCTTTTATAAGGGTAATTGTACATTGGGGAAAAGGAAATAAGTTGACTTTTCAGGACCTAGCAGACACTGACTCTGAACTTCCAGAATTTCTAATTAGAAAAGATATACTTGGAAACTTGAAGTATCCCCAGATCAGTTTCCTGATCTGTGGAGTGAGGGCTATTATGTTGGGAAGGGCCAAGTGGAAGCCTCTAGAACTGTGCCTACTTATGAAGTAGTAAACCAAAATCAGTACAGCATTCCTGAAGAGACTGCAGGGCTTATTGCCACTGTGAAGGACTTGAAAGATGCAGACGTGTTGATTCCCATCACATCACCATTCAATTTGCCTATTTGGCCTGAGAAGAAGACAAATAGATCTTAGAGAACGATAGTGAACTATCATAAGCTTAACCAGGTGGTGAATCCAACTGTACCTGCTGTAACAGATGTGGTTTCATTGCTTAAGTAACTTAACACATCCCCTGGTACCTAGTATGCTGCAATTGATCTGGTAAATATTCCTTTCTTTATATCTTTTACTAAAGATGGCCAGAAACTATTTATTTTCAGCTGGGAAAGTCAGCAATAAACCTCCACTGTCCTACTTCAGAGATGTCAACTAAATATCATAATTTAGTCTGCAGGGATCTTGATCCCATTTCTCTTTCACAAGATGTCATACTGGCCCATTATGCTGATTGGATCATTATGTACATTACTAGGTACACATAATTAACTGATTAGTGAGTCTGAAGTGGCAACTACTGTGGACTTACTGGTAAGACATTAGCATGTCAATAGGTGGGAAATAAATCCAACTAAAATTCAGAGGCCTTCTACCTAAACTTCAAGGGGTCCAGTGGTATAGGATATGTCAAGATATCATTTCTAAAGTGAAGAATAAGTCATTGGATTTGGCCCCTTCTGCAACCAAAAAAGAAGCACAATTTCTGTTGGGTCTTTTTAGATTTTAGAGGCCGCATATTTCTCATTTGGATGTGTTACTCCAGCCATTTTCTGAGTTACCCAAGAAGCTGCTACTTTTGAGGGGGACCCAGAACAAGAGAAGGCTCTACAGCTGGCCTAGGGTGCTATGCAAGCTGCTCTGCCACTCATGTCTTATGATCTAGCATATCTAACGGTGTTTGAAGTGTCAATGGAAGATAGGCATGCTGTTTGCAGACTTTCACAGGCAACTATGGGGGACTTGCAGCACAGGCTCTTAAGATTTTGGGGCAAAGCATTGGTGTCATCTGCAGATAATTACTCTCATTTCAGTCAACAGCTTTTGGCCTGCTACAGGGCCTTGGTAGAAACTAAATGCTTAACCATGGGCCACTGAGTGTTCATGTGACCTGAGCTGCCCATCATCAACTGAGTGTTATCTGACCCACCAAACCACAAAGTTGAGTGTGCACAGCAAAATTCTATCATGTAATGGAAGTGATACATATGTGATGGGACCTGAATAAACCCTGAAGTCACAAGTAAGTTACATGACGTTGTGCCCTAAATGCCCATATTCCCCACCCCTGTTATACTGCCTTTTCTCTCGCAGCCTATACCTATGACCTCATGGGGTGGTCCCCAGGATGAACTGGCAGAGAAAGAAAAGACTCAGGGGGCCTGTTTTGCAGATGGTTCTGCTCAATAAGGGGTAACCACTCAAAGTTGGACAGCTGCAGCACTACACCTGCTTTCTGGGAAATCTCTGAAGGCAGTGGTGAAAGAAAATCCTCCCAGTTGGCAGAACTTCAGACAGTGCACCTGGCTGTGTACTCTTCTTGAAAGAAGAAATGTTCAGATGGATGATTATATACTGATTCATATTCCATGGTCAATGGTTTGGCTGGATAGTCAGGAACTTTAAAGAGCCATAATTGGAAAATTAGTGACAAGAAAATTTGAGAAAAAAAGTAGGTTGATAGACTTCTCTGAGTTAGTAAAACATGTGAACGATAATTGTGTTCCATATAAATGTTTACAGAAGTTTGACCTCAATAGCGAAGGATTTAAATAACCAACTGGATAGCTGTTCTGTGAACTCCAGTCAGCCTCCTTCCCCAGCCACCCCTGTGATCACACCGTGGGCTTATAAACAAAGTGGCCATGGTGGCAAGGCTGGAGATTAGGCATGGGCTCAGCAACATGAACTTCAACTCATCAAAGTTGACCTGGCTACAGCTACCACTGAGTGCCCAAACTGCCAGCAGCAAAGACGAGCACTGAGTTTCTTGTATATGGCACCATAACCTTGTGATCCACATTATCATTCAGGAATCTGATGCCAGGTTGATTCCACTGGACTGCTTCCATCATGGAAAGGGCAATTTTTTGTACTTATTGGAATAGACACTTGGGATTCAGATTTATCTTCCCTGCAAGCAATGTTTCTGCAAATACTATCATCTATGGATTTACAGAATACTTACTCATTTTATTATAAATATATGTGTATGCAAATATATTTCTTTTCTTCCCCTTCCTAACTCTTATCATATATTGACTATGTAATTATATTTAAGTGTTGTTAGTTTTACATTACAGTATTTAAGTTATGGGTTATCAAAGAGAAGAGTAAATATCACTCAAAGACTTTAACTCCTCAGTAAGGAAGGCCTTATTGCATTTTTGGTTATGCACAGGATAATTATATTATTAGGTGAAATCGTAACCTTGTTATTTTCTTTTTTTGGAGATGAAATATGTTTTAAGGAGATGTGTATCAGTGCCAACACAATGTGATGGTTAATTTTACCTGTCAACTTGACTGGGCCACAAGGTGCCCAGATAATTGGTTAAATATAATTTTTCTGAAATCAGTGAAAAACTCTACATGTAATCCAAAAGAAAAAAAAAGCCATAAGAATATAAAGAACATGTTTTAAATTGATAAGCTATAAATTGACCCTATCTTGACAATTTATAATATTGTTATAAAAACTATTATAATACAAATTATGTTAATGGTATTAAGTATGACAACCTAAATGACATAAAAATGAGACAGCTCAGACACAGACAACAAAATATAGAAAAGTACTTTATGTGAAAGAAAAATCTCCACAAATCAATTGCAAAAGTTAAATTTTCAAATAAATTATGTTGAAAGAAGCCACCTGCAAAAATGTAAAATATTTGATTTCCACTATACATATTTACTTGAAATAAATCCCAGTAAGATATAAAAAATATGAAGTTATCTAAATGTGATTTATTTTTGAGAATTGTAAGTGACTTTTGTTTTCCAAGCAACCTTTCCTTTACTACAAGTGCTGTGCCAATTCAACGGTAAAGGCACTCAAGATGTATGCTCTGTCTATCTACATCTTTGTTTTTGATTCTCTTTGCCTTATGCCTAACACGAAATTGGTAAAATTATTTGTTTTCCTTATTCTTTATCATCTGCAATGAAATAGTTAACAACTTGATAATACAAGTCACTTGGACATCATACATACAGGACAGCATGTAATAAGCTGCAGAGACAGACAGATTTGACATATGATAATCATTATATTATTACCAGCCAATGCCAGAATAAATTAGTCAAAGACCAACTCATAGTTTCATAGAAAAATAACCTTACCTATATGACCATTTATTTAATACACTTACAATATAAAATGTGTCATTCCAAGTTAACTTATGCATAATAACAAATGCAATTTAAGGGAAGAGCATTAAAAGTAAATATTTTTAATTTGAATTAAATTTGAATTTTAAATTGAAATACTTTAAATGTTTAGATCAGTATGTTCTGGAGCTAAGTAATTTTAGTTTCAACAAATACTATGATTAAGACTTAAAAATAAATATATAGCCAATTAAGCAAGGTATCACATATGTAGGTTTTATTTTGAAATGTTATTTCTACTTTTTTTTTTCAATTGCATTCAATTCATGTTGGGGTTTAAACTATTCTGGGTCAGGATTAATGTGATTCTAACTTGCATACACCTAAAAAGTTAATAATATTCCATAATAAGCCTTATTGTGAAAATATAATGTTAAAATAATATTTTCTCATAGCAGATTCCTAAGACACTTGCATTATTTACTTCTAAATGGCATTACAGCATTTGGGAAATATATTACAAATAAAACCTATTTCACACTATTTAAATTATCTTAATGATCAGCCAATTCTTGCATTTAAATTAGTTTGAAAGACCAATTCCTTGAACATAAAAAAAATCACCCTCATAAAATTCTACATTTTAATAATGTTTAAGTAAGATTTATTTTGGTTTTTAGAGAAAAAGCAACTCAACTTGCTCTGGTTAAGATGTAATGATTGCAAAATAAAAGAGAAACAAGGAATATAGGGAACAAGTTCAGCAGTCAGAGGGCCAGGCTTAAGGGTCTGATACAATTGATCACTCACATTTTAGGAAGACAGCCATAGGCTGAGAAGCCTGACTGCAGAATAGCAATCTGCTCTATGGTTCTTAACTTGTTTTTTCTACTTATAACTAGAGAGTTTTACCTTATAGCTTTAGCTATGATTTCTACTGCATCATGCTTTTGCTGACAGTCTTCCTTCTCTCCTTTTTTAATGCCTCTGATTACACATCACTTCTATTTATTATCTTCATTTTCCTTGGTTACAAGTTTCCCAAGAGAGATATCTTATCATGTCAAATGGAGCTCCTGGGCCAGGTGTCTTGCAAATGACTGCTGTTAGGTGAAGGGCTGATTCCAGGTCTAATCAGTCATGGAGTCCACAGTGGAATCATATGGAACATCTCAGAAAGAGGATCTAGGTAGAGCAAAAACTTAGACTTCTCAGAAAATTTCAGTGTATACAGCAAGTCCACTGAAGGGCTTTTCCAGTACAAACATGATGTTTTAGATACGATAGGGTCCCATCTGTTTTATTTGCATCGATAAGATTATTCTACTGTATTCCATTCATATTGAATCCAGGGAAAGAAATCTAAGAATTGGGAAAGAGCAATTGGCCTTCAATAAAAATAATGAAAGAAGGTTTTGAAAACTTATCCACATTGGGATATATATATATATATACACACAAATCATATATACATACACAAAGATATATATATATATATATATATATATATATATACAAATCATATCACCCATGCTAATATAACTGTGTTCTTCAGATATATATATATGAATGATTATATATATATTTTATATATATCTGAATGATTATACATACATATATCTGAATGATTATATATTTTATATATATATCTGAAGAACACAGTTATATTAGCATGGGTGATATGATTTGTGTAAATAAGTAAACATTAGAGCTTTAGGTAAAAAAAATTAACACTGGTGAGAACTATGTATACATTTGTAAATAAACTTCTGTGACAACAGCAAAAAAAGTAACAACCTGAAAAAAAACAGAATTGGGAATAATTGTAAAGCCTTTCATTTTTACTCGAAGGCTTCTCCTCTTTATCCAGAAACAGATATTAAGAAAAGGGGTGGGTGGGAAGCTCTAACTAATAATTCTGTGAAAGGTGATAAAGTTCACAAGACTCAAAAGGAGATAAGAGACTAGCTACTTTGGGGATGTAGGAATAGCCGACCAAGGAAATGGGGCAGGGAGAGCTCTAGCAGGGAGAGTGATCTGAAAGGACGGAAGTGAGGAGGAAGGGACAAGAGCAAGGGCGATCATAAAGTACAGTCATAACCTGAGTGTGTGATAGTGAGGTTCTGTCCTTTCATGCCATCATTAAGTGATGTTGCAGCATTCCCTGACTCTGTGTGGCTTGGATTTGGGATCTGAAATATTTAGTAAACATATGCCTAAATCTTAAGTTTCCCAATATGCATTTCTGTCTTAGGCAGACACTGAGACAAAAATAGTTTCTCTTTCTTCTCTCTACTGGGATACAATAGAGATAACATTTTTTTTGAGCAAAAGAAACTATCAACAGAAAACAAACAACCTACAGAATGGGAGAAAATGTTCACAAACTTTGCACCCAGCAAAGAGCTAATATCCATAGTCTGTAAGGAACTTAAACAATTCAACAAGCAAAGAAACCAACCCATTAAAAAGTGGGCAAAAGACATAAACAGACACTTCTCAAATGAAGACATACAAGTAGCCAACAATCGTATTAAAAAATGTTCATCATCACAGAAATGCAAATCAAAACCACAATGAGATACCATCTCACACCAGTCAGAATGACTATTATTGTAAAGTCAAAAAATAACAGATGCTGTTGAGGCTGCAGAAAAAAATGAAACATCTATATAATATTGGTACAAATGCAAATTAGTTCAGCCACTGTGGAAAGCAGTTTGTCAATTTCTCAAATAATTTAAAACAGAACTAACATTCAACCCAGAAATCCCATTACTGGTGTGTATCAAATATAAATAAACAGTTCTACCAAAAAGACATGTGCACTCTATGTTCATTGCAGCACTATTCACAATAGCAAAGACATGGAATCAACCTAGGTGCCCATCAATGGTGGGTTGGATAAAGAAAATGTGGTATAAATGCACCATGGAATTACTATGCAGTCACAATAAAGAAGGAAATCACGTCCTTTGCAGCAATATGGATGTAACTGGAAGCGATTATCGTGAGTGAATTAACTCAGGAAGATAAAACCAGTACTACATGTTTTCACTTTTCAGTGAGAGCTAAACACTGGGTAGTCATGGACATAACAATGGCAATGACAGAAACTGGAGACTAATAAAGGGGGAAGAGAGAGAGGGCCACTTTTTGAAAAACCAGCTATTGGGTATTATACACACTACCTGACTGACAGGATCATTTGTACCTCAAACCTCATCATCATGCAATATACCCGTGTAACAAACTTGTACAAGTATCCACTGAATCTAAAAAAAAAAAGTTGCTATTATTTAAAAAAAATAAAGAATATAGTGAAATAAACCCTCCCTCTTCTACTTGTGGCCCCACATCTAAAGAAAAAAAAATCTGGGTACTCCCCCTCTTTCGTTGCCAGCTGTAGATCAAAACCATGTAAATCCCTGCCCATGAAAGTGAATTCCACCCCAGCTTCACATCTAACCTCAATAAAAATAAATAAATAAATCAGCAGAAAATATGTTATCAAAGATCAACCAAATAAACACAGCTGGAGAAAGGAAAAAAGGATAACAGTACAGTTTCACCTTTCATGTAGCTGATGACCCAATAGGAAAAAAAAATGCCTATTGCACAGATACGCACACATGTACAAGTGTAATGAGATTGAGAATTACTACTCAAGAACAAGTGCATTTGTACAAATTAGTCATTCTTCGTTATTTATGTGGAAGTGGGGAATTTGTTCCAGAACCCCTCCCCTCCACCAATACCAAAATCTGCAGATGCTCAAGTCCCTTGTATACAATGGTGTAGTATTTGCATATGATCTAAACACATCTTCCTGTGTAATTTAAATCATTTCTAGATTACTTATAATACATAATATAATGCAAATGCTATCCAAATAATTGTTATACTGTATTATTTAGAGTAAAAGAAAAAAGTTTGCATATATTCAGCACAAATAAAATCATCCATTCATTTTTGAATATTTTTGACCCCTGGTTGGTTGAATTTATGCATGTGAAATCCATGGATATCGAAAGCCAACTGTATTGTCTTTCAACTTTTAATAGTAAAAGACAAAAATGTTTCTATACTTTCCCTTAATTGTATAACCATATCATGATTATAAACTTCATTATCTTAGCTACCCTGATACAACCCGATCATACACTGAAAACATTTCCCATTTGGACATTATAATATCTAGTAATTGTATCACAACTGAAGCTTGGAGTACAGTCAATGTCTGAAGTGACTTAAACACGCAAAAATTGTAGCTTTATATTCCATTACGTATGCCTTATTTTTTAGATATTTTGTTTCACACCTAAAACAAATGATTTTCCTTACTTAAGACGTAAGTAGTTGAAAAATATATTTATTCAGTACATCTTCCAAAGCAGTGTCATTACCATGTATTGAACACCGTGATACCAAGTGAGATCAGAGCATGTATCCTGCGTGCCCATCTACCCACCAGAAAGCATAAACAGCAATGCATGATCAGCACACTTCCTTAGCATATTAGTCCATGAGATATACAGATTTTTTTTTTTTTTTTTTTTTGAGACGGAGTCTCGCTCTGTCGCCCAGCCAGGAGTGCAGTGGCGGGATCTCTGCTCACTGCAAGCTCCGCCCCCCGGGTTCACGCCATCCTTCTGCCTCAGCCTCCTGAGTAGCTGGGACTACAGGCGCCTGCCACCATGCCCGGCTAATTTTTTTGTATTTTTAGTAGAGACGGGCTTTCACTGTGTTCACCAGGATGGTCTCGATCTCCTGACCTCGTGATCCCCTCCCCTCGGCCTCCCAAAGTGCTGGGATTACAGGCATGAGCCACCGTGCCCGGCCGAGATATACCGAATTTTTAAAGCATGATGAAATACATTTGAATAATGAATATAATGTATGAAAAAACATTTTTAAATATAAAACAAGAAAATGTTTAATATTGAGATATGTAGAATTTCTCCCATATCCACATGGGATACATTCTAAGAGCCCCAGTAGATGCCTGGAACAATGGATGGTACTAAACTGTACAGATACTGTGCATGATTTTTTCTTTTTTACAATTTCATAGAGAGAAGATTTGTTCCCCATAAATCTAGCAAAGTCAGCGTAAGATTTCTTTTCTTATTAAGTCAAGAACTTTCACCTTTTCACTTAAAATGAGCATTCCAATGTGTTTCTTTCCAAAATGCCAGAATCACTGTTCTTGCACTTTGGGGCCATTATTAAGTAAAGTAAGGGTTACTTGAACACAAGCACTGTGATACTGCAACAGTCAAGACAGCTAAGTGAAAAACAGGCAGGTAGCATATACACACGGGGTGAATATACTGGACAAAGGCGTGATTCACTTCCGTTCACAGGATGGAGTGGGAAGGCAAGAAATTTCTGAGGGTCTCAGAATGGCACACAATTTAAAGTTTCAGAATTGTTTATTTCTGAAATTTTTCTTTTAATATTTTTGAATCCCCATTGGCCACAACTAACTAAAACCATGGGAAAAAAAAAAAACCATAGATAAGGGGAGATGAATATAAAGGGAAAAGATACCATTATTTTTGTTATAGTGGATTAAAATATGCTAAACTCATATATATCTTCTATATACAATTACATTATATACTCACCCTAATGCTTTCAATTTCTGAACTGCTTAAAGTAGGAAAAAAGAACATTAATGACTAGCTTGTGAATGACATTAATGATAACAAAACATAAAAGCTTAAATATCCTAGTACCTGGAATGACTATTTTTCTCCTAACCATCAACGTAAATCTAAGAACACATTACTGACAAAAGATTTGGTCTACTAAGTTCAAAAAATAACTCACAATGAGGCTGGTGAATGGAAACATAGTACCCGAGTCACATTCTGCTTAAAAAGGTTGTAATAAATACAGATGAATTAAAAAGAAAAAAAAATGCTTAAATATGAATTCTTGTTGCTTTTCTCTCCCAGATTCTTAGGCTTTGGCAAAGTAGAAAAACTAACCTAATAATCATGGACACTAAACCAGAGACAAAGAAATATTTGAGTCCTAAAATCTGGCTTGGTTTTAAACGGAGGCACCATTCCTTCATAATGGACCATTTGCTTGACGGGGAAAAATGGCAGAAAAAGTGTGTCTTTTGGGCCATCAATGCTAAGCATAATAGTCAAAACATTTCACAGTTTTTTCCCGCTTAACAATGTTTACTGCTACCAGAGCAACCCAATACACTATATATAAAATAAGAATATACTTCTCTATTACAGCAGTTAGTTTTGATGACTGTTTCCTAATATAGTTTATACTTAGTTTTCTTCTCCTGCAATGAAATTCCTTTGGTGTACTACAGATGGAGTATGTGTAGAGAGTTAAGTCTCATTCTTTTCAACAACCCAATCCTTTTGTGTAAAAATGTTGATTTAAAGAGAAATGTGTCCATTAAACATGTATCCCACAAAGATGAAGCAGAGCCATAAACCTTTTTCTTTAGAATTGTAAGCATTCGATAAAACAGATTATTAGTATAGTACTTTCAGTTTAGTGAGACATTTGAAAATAACATGTTTGGTTTGTGGAACCATACATCTTAGCAATATTAAATATGAAGAACTCAACTTATTCATGGCCTGGTTTGTGAGGAAATTATTTATTTGCATAGGGCCTGGAAACAGACTAAAAAACTCTCCAGGGCAAATGGCAATATCACATATCAAATTCCTGGGCATGCAAAGCAGAGGGAGTAGTAAACACGGATGGCCAAGGCTAGGTCTGCACATATAATTTGAACCAAAGATTGACCCACCTAGATTACTAAAATAGACTTCTTTTGCTACAACTATCAGGGCCGGGGGTAGGAGTAAAATGTCACCTGAATTATAAAAGCACATGCTTAATATCTCACCTGTACATACAGCATCAGTGATCCCTCAAAAACTTTGCCAGGCTTTCAAAATACTGTTTTTCTATCCTTAAAAAATATTTTTATCTGAAATAATTTATTTCCTTTTCTGGTGTGCATATTTCTCAATAATCATGACGATGAGTTACATAAATAGGGGTAAATAGTTGTTAATGTATAAGACATTTAAGGCCACTTTGCTGCTTTTAGGCAGCATGTCCTTTGACAGAAAAGTTTGTGAAACTTTTACATTTCCACTATTAGGTAGGGAATCATAATCTGATTATTGAATTCCCTCAGCATGCTCAAAGCATTGCTTACATATTGTCACAGTGAAATTCTATCCATAAGAACAGCTTAAGCAAGAAATCACCTCTACTAACACAGTTGACTTGGTAAGTACATGGTCTGCATAAAAAGCAAAGCATGAAAAAATGCTAAATTGCTGTTACTTCTAACCCTTAGAGTTAAAAATTGCTAGAATGCTGAGTTAGAGGAAAGAGAAAATAATTATGCCAGTCATATATTTATGAAAGAAATATTTATATCTCCCAGAAACACATGGCATCCAAATTAAACATTTTGTCTGACAGAAAATAAATAGAAAGTTTGGCAGCGATCAGTGTCGACTCCTTGCAACACCCAAATCACCCAACTTCAGGTTGTTTTTTTATTTTCCCCCAACCAACAATAAAGTGGATTTGATATTTATTCATGGAGCTCTGAGGAAAAAGTCCTGGCATCTCTCATTTAATGTACAGATTTTCTTTTCTACCACACTTATGACTAGGTTTCCATCATTCTGTTACGGGTCTCTATTATAAAATGGAAATGGAATTTGGCCTTAAAATGAACAACTCTTAAGCATAAAATTCTGTTTGATCCTTTCTTTTACCTGTGCTAACAAAAGGGAATGAGAGAATACATAACCTCAGACGTACAACTTGCATGCATAGAATAATTTGAACTACAGAATAATCTGGATTTGCTTTGACAATAGACAAATTTGCTTGGTGGAAACAAGAGTTTGAAATTTGCAGTGTTTACTCATGTTACTTTACTTTCAGAGTCAACTCAAGCAACAATGTATGCAATTTCTTTTTCTATTGGGAAAAAATAATAGTCCATCTCCTACAATCAAGGATCTCCTTTAAAGAGGCTACATCCACACAGGGCCACAGTGGCTGCACTACAGAGCATGAGTGTATGCAGCCTCACTGAGGACAATACAGAAAAGAACCAGCCCTAGTGACACAGCCATTGGAAAATATGGGGAGGTGGTAAAATAGGAATTTTTAGCAACTGGTCTAGGCATTTATTTAAAATGATCTGGAACTTTGGTCCTCTGGAAAGTCCTCAGAGGCTGAACTGGGTGGTCCATTTACCTAGATACATGCAAATTTTCTTAAGTTACATCTTAAAGCACTAATTAAGAGCATAAAAAATTAAAACATCTGCAATAAAATACTTGCAAAAAATACATGAGGAGAATAATAATATATAGTAAACATGAGCCAAGTTTTTAAAAGACTTTCTTAATATTGACTCAAAAAATAGTTTTTTAAAGACATAGATTGTTCAAGCTTTAAGGCATAACTCTGGGCATATGACACAGTATTTGCTTTAATGAAATTGATATACTGTTGAGGACCATCAATAATCCATTTGTTCAATAAGGATTTATTGAGTGCTTAACATCCTTAAATAAGTTTCCTAGGCTTTGGCTATATCATACTGATGAAAAAAGCCATAAATTTCTTATTCTATAAAGTTTCATTGTCATAGAAGTGAACATATAATACACTAATTTATGTACTGTCACTTATTAGAAGAAGATAAGCACTATGAATAAAAATGAAACAAAGAAGGAGAATAGGGAATTTCAGGGAGAGGATTTTAATTTGAAATGGAATAATCAGGGTGGACTTTGTGGAGAAAGTAAATTTGAGCAAAGACTTAAAAATAGGAAGAGAGTGGACCACACAGATATCTGTGGAAAGTCCATTCTAAGCAGTGGGAACAGTCCATTACAAGGGTACTGAGGTGGGCACATGCCAAGTGTGTATGAAAAACAGCAAGAAGACCAGTATAAATAAAGAGTAATTGACAGGAAGGGTAGAAATATGGTCTGTGAGGCATACGGTATCATAACAGAGGGTCTACAGATACATTAAATAGGAGTAATTTTTCTCTCAGCATGAGTTGAGAAGGCATTGGTGAGTTCTGAATGAAAGATAGGTGTACTCTGATTTATGCTTGAAAAACATCACTCTGTTTTCTGTTCTGAAAATGAAAAATAGAAAGTAAAGTCCAGAAGAGAGATCAGTTAGAAAGTTTTTCACAAATCCAGCCAAAAAAAAAATGACTGTGGACTGGACAAAGGTGGCTGCAATAGAGATTGAACATGTTATCTAAATTCTTAATAATTTTAAGTAGACAAAGATTAGCTCACATATTGAATATGGAATATGAGGTAAACACATCAAAAGTTCTACTTGTGGCACAATGGCATGAGGGGCTCCACAGACCTACTATCCTGTGAAACAGGTGAGAATTATTTTTTTAAAAATGAAACAAAATAAAAATGCATCTAATGTCTTTGAAAATTGTTCTAAGGGCAAACAGAAAATCAAAAAACATATATTCAAGAAAATATACTAAAACCCAATAAGAACAGTGAGTCTTTGGTATTTGAGTCTTTGGTATATGTGACTGTCTCTCCTCCCAAATCACTGTGGTTGGAAGAATGTTCTCCAAATTTATTAAGACAAAAATAACACTCCAGACTTGGATAGCCAAAAACAGGGCTCTCCAGGCCACCAGAAACCAGCTGAAGTGTTACTTTCTTGGAAGGGGCAGGATGTCAGCATTTCACATCCTAGTCATAGCCTGTTGCTGGGGCTAAGAGGTGGAGGCTCCTTTTTTCTTCTCAGCCTACATTCATTGGATGAATGATCTATCCTGGGTGTACTGAAATTAAGTTAATATAAATATGAAGCTTATTCTGAAAAATTAAAACATATATAATATGTCCTAAAGCAACCATTCAAAAACATATAGCAGAAAATTACTACAAAAATTAAAATGATACATTAGTCCCTACTCAATGCATTAAAAAGGAGATGAGGAAAAGAAGAATCAAGTGACAAAAAGATATGAGACATAAAAAAAATTAAAAATGGTAGACATAAATCCAGCTATATCAATAATAACATTAAATATTAGAGAATTTTAAAAAATTGGATCCAAGGAAGAGATAGCAGGAATGGATTAAAAATAATATGTACTCTGTGCTGTCTAAAGGAGACACATTTTAGATTCACATATACAATTTGAATGAAAGTAAAAGGATGAAAAATAACAACCACAATAAAGATGAAATGACTAAGCTAAAATTAGAAATATAAAAGAGAGCAGACATGGATTTAAAAAATAATATGCACTCTATGGTGTCTACAGGAGACACATTTTAGATTCAAATATACAATTTGAAAGTAAAAGGATGAAAAAATAACAACCACAATAAAGATGAAATGACTAAGCTAAAATCAGAAATAGACTTTAAAACCAAAAAGAGAGAGGGAGATATGCGACTAGAAAGAGGAACATTTTATAATGATAAAAGGGTCAATTTATTAGGAAGATACAATAGTGATGAACATATATATGCACATAATAATAGAACACCAAAATATGTGAAGAAAAAGATATGGAAGGAGACATACACAACTCAACAATAACAACTGGAGGCTTAAAACCCCACTCTCAATAACAGATAAAACAATTAAGCAGATGAACAAGAAAATATATGACACAAACAATACTATAAAAGTACTAGACCTAACAGATACTCAAATATCTACAGAATACCCACCTAACAACAACAGGATACACACTTTTCTAATGTGCACATGTAACATTCTACAAGACAGATTGTATACTAAACTATGAAACAAACATCAATAAACGTAAAAGGATAGAAACAGTACAACATATTTTATCTGACTACGAAAACAAATTAAATAACAGAAAGGAATTTGAAAAGCCCACAAATATGTGAAAATTAAACAACCCACTGATAAATAACTCATGAGTCAAATAACAAGTCAAAAAAAATTAGAAAATACCTGACATAAGTAAAAGTAAAAATACAACATGCCAAAACATATGGGATGCTGCAAATGCAGTGTTTAAATAAAAAATTATAGCTATAAATGCTTGTATTAAAAAGAAGAAAAATCTAAAATCCACAACCTAAGCTTCCACCGAAAGATATCGGGGGAAAAAAAATTAAATCTAAAGCAAGCAGAAGGAAGGAAGTGTTAAAGATTAGAGTGGAACTTACTGAACTTGACGGTATAAATACAATAGTGAAAAACAATTGAGAAAACATCAACAACATTTATAAACATTTAGCTAGATTAACAAATAAAAAACAAGTGAATAGTCCAATTACTAGAATCAGAAATGAAATTATACTGACCTTATGAAAGTGAAAAGGATTACTTAGGAGTATTACAAACAATGGTATACCAATACATTTGCTAACTTAGGTAAAATGGACAATTTCTTAGAAGAAAATATAAGCTACTGAAACTTACTCAAAAAGAAATAGACAATCTGAATAAACCTGTAACAGTAAAAAATTAATTATTTTTAAAAAATGCCCACAGGGAAAATCTTAGGTCCAGGTGGCTTCACTGGAGAATTCTAACAACACTTAAAAATTAACACAAATATTTCATAAACTTTTCCAAAATATAGACGAGAAGCAGGACATCCTAGCTCATTATATGAGCCATTATTACCATAATACCAAAACCAAATAAAGTATCACAAGGAAAGAAAATTACTGACCAATATAGATGCAAAAATTCTCAACAAACTACTAGCAAAGCAAATCCAAAAACACATAAAAATAACTATACAACTTGGTCAAATGGATAGAATATCTCAAAATCATTTAATCTAAGTAATATATCAATAGGATATTTTTGAAAAAAACACGATTATCTCATTAGACACACAAAAAAGCATTTGACAAAGTTCTATGCTTTTTCGTGATGAAAGCACTCAGAATAGCAGGAAACTTCCTCAATCAGATAAAAGGTATCTAAAAAAACCCACAACTGACATTGTACTTAATGGTAAAATATTGAAGTTTCTCCTTAAGATCAGGAACAATAAAAGGATGTCTGCTCTCTTTGTTTCTATGCGTCATTATGGTGAATGTTCTAGCCAGCATAATTAGGCAAAAAATACAGAAGTAAGCATTTTAAAAAGAGAAAAAGAAAGCATACATTTGGAAAGTAAAACTATACTTGCAGATGGCATGTTCTTTTTTATAGAAAATCCTAAGGAATACAATACAATTTTTATAATTAATGAATGAGTTCAGCAAATTTGCAGGATGTAAGATTGATATGCAAAATTCAATTGTATTTCCCTGCACTTGTACGAAAAACCTAAAAGTAAAATTAAGAAAACAATTTAGAACAACAACAAAAAGAATGAAATACTTAGGAGTAAATTTAACTAGAGAAATGCAAAATGTATATTCTGAAAATGAGAAAATATTATTGAAGAAAATTAGAAATGATCTAAATAAATAGAAGAAGAGTCCATATTTCTCCATCAGAAGATTTAATATTGTTAAGATGGAAATACTCTCTAGATTGATCTACAGATTCAATGCAAACCTTATCAGTATTTCTGCCGGGTTCTCTGCAGAAATTAACAAGTTGATTCTAAGGTTTGCAATGAACTCAGGATAGCCAAAACATCTTTAAAAAGTAAAGCAAAATAGGAGAGCTCACATTTCCCAGTTGCAAAACTTACTACAAAGCAAAATAATCTGGTCAGTATGGTACTGGAATATGGGTAGACATATAGATCGATAGCATAGAATTAAAGGCACAGAAATTAACTCATGAGTCTATAGTCAACTGTTTTTGACAAGAGTCCCAAGACCGTTCAATGGGAGGAAGAATAATCTTTACAATAACTGGACGCTTACTTTACAAAAGATGCAAAAATTAACACAAAAGACCAAAATTTCATAGCTAAACATGAATGATTTCTGAGAAAAAAACTTAGGAGTAAATCTGCATGACCTCAGGTTTGACAATTAATTTTTACATATAACACCAAAAGCACAAGCAACAAAAGAAAATATAGATAAATTGGACTTCATAAAAAATAAAATCTGTGCTTCCAAGGACACTCTCAATACATGAAAAAGCAAACCACAAAATGGGAGAATATATTGGAAAATCATATATCTTAATAGGAACTTGAATCTAGAGTATGCAAATAACTCTTACAACTTATAATAAAAAGATAACCCAATTAAAATGAACAAAAAAATATGTATAGACATTTTTCCAAAACAATATACAAATGACCAATAAGCATATAATAAGATGTTTTGCATTTCTAGTCAACTATCAGGTAATTTAGTCATCTTCCAGGAAAATGTATAGCAAAACCACAGTGAGATACCACTTCACACCCACTAAATATTTCTGAAACCAAAAAGTTAGGTAATAACAAGTATTGGAAAGTAAGTGGATAAATCAGAACTCTCATATACTGCTGGTAGGAATTTAAAACTGTTCAGCCACTTTGGAAAACAGTCGGAAAGTTTCACAAAAGGTAAAACAGAGAGTTACCACATGACCCAGAAATTCCACTCCTTGGTATATATCCAAGAGAAATGAAAATAAAGGTCTACACAAAAACTTGTATATGAATGTTTGCAGCAGTGTTATTCATAACTGTAAAAGGGCAAGGGAAAAAACACAACTGTCCATCATTTGATGAATAAACAGAAGTAGTATATCTATACAACAGAATATCATTCAACCATCCAAAGGAACAAAGTGCTGATGCATGCTACAACATGGATCAATCTTAAAAACATGATGTTAAGTGAAAGAAGTCAGTTACCAAAGATCTCATGTTATTGTCAGCCCTCTGTATCTGTTGGTTTCACATTTGTGGATTCAATCATCCATGGATCAAAAATATATTTTTAAAAATAAAAAATTAAAACAATTTTATTAAAAATAATACAACTAAAAATACAGTGTAAGAACTATTTACATAGCATTTACATTGTATTAAGTATTATTAGTAATCTGAGGATGATTTAAAGTGTGTGAGAGGATGTGTGTAGGTTATATACAAATACTGCTTCATATTATATAAAGAATTTGAGTATCTGTGGATTTTGGTATTCGCGGGAGTCCTGGAACTATTCCCCTGCAGATACCGAGGAACAATTGTATAAAAGAAATGCCTAGAATTAGCAAGTATATAGACAGCAAGTAGATTATTAGCTACGTAGGGCTGGGTGGCTCGGAAGGGAGACGGTAATAATTACAGGGTTTCCTTGTGAGGTGATGAAAAAGCTCTAAAAGTGACTGTGGTGATGGTTGCACATATACTAAAAGATTTGAATTATATACTTGAATTAAATGGGTGGATATGATGGTATGTGAATTTTATCACCATAACATCTTTTAAAAAAAGAGATGAGTCAAGCGTGACTCCAAGGATTTTGACCTGGGCAATTTAAAGAATAGTGTTAAACACACTGAGATGAGAAGAAGTGTGGAAAGACAAGATGGAGCAGCTCAGAAATCAGCAGCTGGTTTTGTACATATTAAGTCTGAGTCATTTACTAGATAACTAAGTAGAGATTTGAAAACAGGAAGTTGAATATACAAACTGGATTAGGGCAGTGGTCCAAGCTAGCAATATATATTTGGCAGTAATCAGTAAAAGGTATATAAAAGCCAGTAGCTGAATGACATTAACGAGACAGTTAACACTGACAAAAATTGGAAAAAATCCAAGGATTGAATTTTGGCGTTTTCAACTTTAGAGATCGAGGAAATGAGAAAAAATTGAGAATGGACAATGTAGCAGTAGAGTTAAATGAAGAGAAAATTATGTCTCTAAATCAATTTTGTGCAAAATAAAGCTTTTCAATGAGTAGAAAATAATCATCTGTTTCAAATACCATTGACGAATAGAAAACTAAGAATTCAATATCATAATTTAGAGGTAACTGATAAAGGCAGCTTTAATGGCATGATGGAAAGTGAAAGCCTAGTTGGATTGTGTCCAAGTGAGAATGAAACAATTAAATTGTAATTGTATTACAATCTCTGGAAACTTAAAGTGAATAAAACATGCATGCCTGTTTATAGAGTGGATGGCTTAAGCAAACATGGAACAATTATTTCTAATAAATTTGACTGAACATACCTATCAGGATGTACATTATCATAAACTAATGTAACCAACTGTCCCAGTCTTCCCTGGATTCATGAAGCTCCAGGAAAGAGAGAATTTTGGTTTTAAAACCAGGATTTAGGACTTTCAGTGCTAAAAGTATGAAAGTCTCATAAGAATTTAAAAAATGAAAAAGAAAGAAGCTTAATTGGTGTTCCTTCATAACTATGTACCTATAAGTTGTATGAGTATCCTGAATCTATTGCATTTATGTTCACTCACACACAGGAAAAAAATTAACATGCTAATATCATCAGAGATCAAAAATTTGAAGAAAGAAAATAACACTAGTGTATGTATATATAAACAAAAATATAATTTTTTATTCCCCAAATTGAACTCAAGAAGTGTTTTACTTTTTTAAAAAAAATATAGCTTTTTAAAGATCTCTGTTCACTAAAAAGAATCAATTATCAATTCAATAACGAGTGCCCCTAGCACCCAGATTATGGAATCTAAACTATAATTTTTACTAAAAACAAAACCAAGGGCTCCCTAGAAAAATAGCTAATCCTAAATCTGTCATACCAAAATGCTAAGAGGCTCCACTGGCTAAAGTCAGGAGAGCTAGTGTGTCCGTGGAAACAATAAAATGCAGTGACTTGAATGAAACCCATCAAATCTTTTCAAATTTATAAGTTCATAATTATAGTGATATTAAAAAATATCAGTGACCTTCTAATACTGCTAAAGAAACAATTCAATATTGTTAAAATGATGAAGGGAAAGAAACCACATTTGAACTTGATTTCCTATGTGAACCTTATATTTCATTTAGAGTAATTTTACAGTTGATGGGGGAATATATTTTTTATAGAAGTATTCCAGTGCATAAATAGTAATAGAATTATAAAATCAACATTTTTTTCAAACCCTTGGAAAGAAAACATGAATCTAGGTAATTTGCTAACATAGCAGCAAGACTTTAGATCTAACAGGTACTCTGCAAAAAATATAAGTCAGAGAGAAACATGTTAGCATAATGGAGATAAAGACAGCTAAATGCAGAAACATGATCATAACTATTTTTTAATGAAGGAGAGAAGAAGAGAAAGAGAAAGAGACTATAGATGGGAAGACTTAAAATTTATTTAAATGTGTAGAGCATCTTTAGATTTTTATTCAAACTAAAAAATTTAACAATTGGACATACTTGATATAAATGAGTGATATTATGGAATAATTGCTCCTTTTTAAGGTAAAGTGAAATTCTCATGGTTATATTTTTAAATAACTGCTCCCTTTTAAAGATATGTTTCTACATATTTATAGATAAAATTATAACCCTGCTAAGGATGGAGGTGTTAAAGAGATGAGAATTATAAAGAAACAAATTTGGACATAAGTTGATAGTTGTAGATAATCTTCAATTATTTCTACCTCCTCAGTCTTTGTCTGAGTTGATTTGTTGCTGTGATCCACAGTTTCTTGCATATTTACAGGTTTGCACCGGAAGTGCATGTCTTTCTTCTTCTCAGCCTGAGGGCTTTCTTCCCCAGTGGTAGGGGCTTCCTTGGCCCTTTTATGGATAACCCAGAATTGTGTGGAATTAATTCTTTCAAGAACAACCCTCAGAGGTGGCAGTAGGTAAATCGATGCCACAAATTCCCAAAACACATTTCTCAGAACATCCCAGTTGGGTAGCCAGGATCCCAGAAGAGTAATTCATTCTTCTGCACATTCTTTAATAGTGTTACTCCTTCCTTGATATTTCCAAGATCCCTCATTTGTGCTTCTTGGCATCATTTTCCAAATGAACCACCTGAGTTTAAGGCTTTTTCTGAGGGTCCGCTTTGTATGAACCCAATTTAGTATAATTCAAAAGTAATCCTTGAAAGCAGACACTCCAGATGGGATCCTGAAATTAGATTAGTCACTAGTCAGATGGCAACAAGCAACCCATTGCTGATGATAAGTGGGATGGTGATAGCCTATGTCATGACATAGCATCGTAATTACCAAAACTCTCATCCTTAGCAAATAAGATGAGATGCAGGTGAAATGGGGAGCACTGGCTTGTGAAGTACCCCTAGGACTGGAAAGATATAAGGGCAAAAAGTAATTATAAAGATTGTGGAGATAGCTTAGCGGTTTTGAAGAAAAATGAAAGGCTCAGATCATAATTATCAACTCAGGGAATGTTGTGAAAGCCAGGTGTCCTACATAGCAGCATTTAAATACATCATCTGCTGGGAAGAAATTCAGGCACAGGGTTTTATCATAAGTATAACCAAGTTGCGAGAGAGAATGAATGCAAAGACTAGCAGGTCTTCCATGCTAACATTAGGTCTCACATACTGAAGAAATGGGAAACTGAGACTTGAAGGAGGGGGCATATGGGCTAATGATCTTGAGAACCTTGAAAAAACAGCTGGAAGAAAACTCTGTTTAGCTGGAGAATATGAAGAGGCTTCACCTGAGTTGCATGCCTCATGTGATGATGCTTACCCTCCTCACAATCTGTCCTTGCCTATCTCAATTTCCTCTTCACCAGTAATTAGGGCCAAGACTCAGCATGGACCATGCAGGGAAATATGGTCCTTGTTGTAGAAGGAACTGGCTTATTTACCAAAAATAACTGCAGGTCCTGGACAATAGAAACAACAGGTTTAGCAATTTGGAGAATATGTTTGGGAGTAGAGGAGGGTGGTCGACTCCAGTATTGAGATATAGTATTAAATGACTGGATAGGGAAGAGTTTATTGGTATTATGACACCCTCCTAGGATTCATAATACAATGTCGTGACACAGGCCTTATTCTGACCTCTTGCTGAGATGGCTCCTTGAAACTTAATAATGACAATAGCTATAGAAATGGCAAAATTGCCTTCACTTAATAATGACAATAGCTTATACTGAATGCTGTAGAAATGCCAAAATTGCCTTCAAAATTGTGGAAGGGATTGTCAGGCTGATAGGTTTGGGCATTTCAGAAAGGATTTACTGGAGGAAACCAAAGTCCATTAGCTCATTAGGTTCCCCAAGAGGGCTGAGAAAAAAAAAATCCCTTTGCTAAAACTGTAAGAAAATCACTAGTGAGAGATCCTATGATGAGAAGTTTCCTGGTGGTCTTCCTTTGAAATCCAGGATTGATAATAAGAGATGCTGCCTTGAAACAAGGTTCCCTACTACTAATGGGATGAAAGGACTATAGAATATGAGAGGCCAGATGGTGGTAATTAACCTGCATAACAGTTTTTTTTATAATTATTTAAATGGGAAGCAAGATTGAAGGGATAACAAATCATCCTCGACCCGTAAGTACCTATGGTGGTGGAAAACAGACCACAGAATTCCTAAGGATGAAACAGAGAATAGGCAAAAAACATGACTTGATTTATACAACCAAAGAGGATTAAAAGCTGAATGCTGATGTCAGTCACTGCAATGGAAAACTTTTATCCCTTGACCAATTTCTAGACCTGAGCCAGTTCTCTGTCACAAAACTCATCAAGACCCCTGCAAGGGTCCCTGTAGCAACACAAGGGTATCAGTTCACCACATTCTTCTCACAATGGAACCTTTGGCCATTTTCTCCAGATTGTGGCTTGGATTTCCAGTCTTTTGAGGTTTCTAAAATCATACCTTTAGAAACAAAATAACAACGTGGGATATGCTTTAACCGGAAAGAAAAATACACCTTTTCATATATAAGCCCAATTCTGTAAGACAGTTTTTGAAAACA
This sequence comes from Homo sapiens, assembly GCF_000001405.40. Lineage (NCBI taxonomy): Eukaryota > Metazoa > Chordata > Mammalia > Primates > Hominidae > Homo > Homo sapiens. Next base: position 160,295,494 of record NC_000004.12, on the reverse strand, counting down.
GGAATATTTGTAGATCTAGACTGTCATATAACTGTTGATTTTTCTTTTATTCATAAGCTTGTTTTAATTTTAGCAACTGTTTTACAAACAACGTGTATTATCTTTTCATATTGTAATTGGCAACTGTTAAAACAAAAGTCTATACCTGTTACATTGCTATGTAGCAAACAAAGTCTCAGGGCGATTACTGGAAGTGACTACCAGGTTTGAAAATGAATGCTGACAATTTATCCAATGAAGAGTGATGAAAGTTAAGTAACAAAAAATCCTAACTATAAAAAGGATAAAAGAAGACCTTCCCTAGCCATCTTGGATTGTTTATGCTAAATAAAAACACAACAAAGATGTCCTTTGAGAGATCTTAGCCTCAGAAATGTACATAATTCTGATCACAGGCTTTTGGGATAAGATTTGGTGGATTTGTGTGTGTTTGTGTGTATTTTGGTGTATTTTTGGGGATAATATGTAATTATGCACACAGACATATCAAGGATCACATGGATATCTGTTATCCCACTCAATCGCGTAACACCTCCTTCTCTTCTCAGAGCAGTCCAAATTTATGAAATTTGATATTTCCCTGATCTGAATGTGCCCATTGATTACTAAGCCCACTATTCTCTTCTGTGGCCTTCCCAGTATATAAGATGCAGAAATGGGCCCTGTGGTCAATGGGAATCCCCTGTTATGCACAGAATATTCTGAAAAGCCACTTGGGTAGCCACAGATCCTTAAATTTTGTGTGGCTGTTGATATAATAGTAAACACTGAAAAGAAAAAAAAACGGGGGATCTATAATTTTAATATGAAGGTTGATAAAGAAATACCTTTAGATCTTGACTAAAATATTAAAATATATGATCATAATTAGAGATTGGTGTGTGGCTGCAATAGAGAAAATAAAGGCTGTAATTTTGGAGCAAACATCTATTACCACCTAGACTGTGCTAGAACCAAGACCCCACCATAATTTAGTGTCTATATATGTTCAAAGAATCTCGTTTACAGGCTGGAAGAATAGGAAATCTTGGTCATCATGACTATTGGGCAGACAGGAATAACCTAGTGGTAGACCCTATGCCTTTGGGTCTAAAAATATTTCTACTATTTATTAAATCAGATGCTTAAGCCACGTCATGTAAGCAGCCTCAAAAATTGCCTGACACATAATAAATGTTGCATAAGCATTTGTTCTTCTTATAACTAATTGGAGATTCTAGCAAAGAAATAGGTGTCTAGAGAAGACATTTATAGGAAATCCAGACTGTTAAAGTGAGATATGAATCATCCAGAAACAGAAGAATCTCCAGAAGAGATCCACAGGCAGCAGACTGTAACATCCTCTTCATGCAATCCCCTGTGCCTGCTCAATGAAGCAAGTGTTACAGGTGTGAGGTTCCTTGTTTGTGTTTGTTCACATATGAGTAGCCTTTGGTTGTGTGGTCAGTTGTTCCAGAAAACTAACCAATGTATTCAAACCCATTCTGACCTGTGCGTAGAGAAACTTGAGAAAAAAAGAAACAGACAAACAAAAAACAAGACAGATGCCAAGGTAAGGAAGCCATAGAAGAGAGTCCAAAGATGTAGAGCTTGAAAAATATAGCAGACTAGAAAACCAAGCTACCGAATTAAATTTCCATGTAGAAGGAAGAAAAAAATCACAAGTTTGGCAATCAAATAACAAGCAAATAAGGCATACTCTATGCCATCTCTGGCTGAAAAACAAATAAAAAACGCTCTTTTGTTGTATGATGTAAGTGGTCTAGGTTTAATTAAATAGCCATAGAATAAAAAGAATTAAGACAGTTTTATTCTAGAAAGAGAACATAAGATCTATTCTTTGAATTTACAATCTTGCCATTAATTCCCTTTGATTTAGCAAAAGTCTCTGATATGGCTTGGCCGTGTCCCCACAGAAATCTCAACTTGAATTTTATCTCCAAGAATTCCCATGTGTTGTGGGAGACACCCAGGGGGAGGTAGTTGAATCGTGGGGGCCGATCATTCCCATGCTTATTCTCCTGATAGTGAGTAAGTCTCACAAGATCTGATGGGTTTATCAGGGGTTTCCACTTTTGCTGCTTCTTCATTCTCTTGTAAGAAGAGCTTTTGGCCCACCCGCCATGATTCTGAGGTCTCCCCAGCCATGTGGAACTATAAGTCCAATTAAACATTTTTTTTGTTCGCAGTTTCAGGTATGTCTTTATCAGCAGGGTGAAAACGGACTAATACAGTCCCTCAATCTCTTTAGGCCTCAGTTTCCACATTCATGAACGGAGAGGGTTAAATAAAATGGTCATTAAAGTTTCCTTTGAGAAAAAATTGCCTATGTTGTATGGTGTGAATAAAGTCTATTCAGATTTTCACCGATTTAAGCAAACCTTAGAACAAACAGCTGGGATCATGACTAAACGGATAACAAAAATCTATAAGGGAAAATGAACATCACAGTCCTTATTTGGCATTCTACTGGCAAGCATATATTACCGGGTACTGAATGCACAGAGAATAGTGGTGAGTGGGTTTAACTTGTGCAATGGATGAAAGGACCATCTCTTATATCTTGTAAAATATAAAGTATGGATCCCTAGAGATTGGGACATTTTTAGCACAATATATGAAAGTTCTAATATTCAACAGTGGACAAATGATTTCTACCTTTTTCAATCAATAAAACCTTTAGAAATCTCAGAGAGACATTTGTTTAATATTAGGAATTTATTCACTTGTATAAAATTGAATTGTCTATTTCACGCATCTCTCTAATTTCCTTTTCCAAAAAATAATAATTACAAAATAACCATAAAATATTTTGAAACTACATGGGAGTGTCACATAAATGAAAAGTGATATTAACTATATTAAACCATTTTTACACATTATTGATACCAACCAAGTTGCATGTTTTTCAATTTATTGTTACAATCCACACATAATACTGCCATGAAGGAAAATGCGTCAAATTAAAATTCAAGAGAGTTGAAAAACTATTCAGAACTTTGCAAAACTGTCATTATTTAAGCAGTTTAGAGAAAACTGTGTTTAAAAAAAAACAGCCAATGCACATAAAAAAGAATTAGGTTGATGCAGAGCATCTCATCTGAATGCAGAGAGAGGGAGGACATTAAACAAGTCAGATTAATATAGAGAAATGGGTTGTTTTCCCAGGATCATTTTGTAATCAGGTAATGTATCACATTATCCAATCATCCCTGACAGGAAGGCTGCTTTATCCTACCTTCACTAAGAAGAGTGGTGTAAATGGTATCACCTGAAATTATAGCTTTTAAAATTGAATTATATTATTTTACATCAGCCATGTCAGGGTTTTTACAAATTGTTAGTCTCCTGGTAAACATTCTCACATCTAAAACACAATGATTATTTATAAACAAAGTGAATGTGTTAGGAAAATGTAACAGATAGTTATTATGCATAAATTGCCTGCTGTCCCTTAGGACTAGAAAATTAGACACTGCATCTCTAGGGCCATCCTAAAAGGAATATTGATAAGTAAATAGAATAACTGAACATTTGGTAAATTACCATTTCAATGAATTATGTTCTTCCTAAATTCAGTAGGTAACACCTTTCAGGAAATTGTAGAAACTGGGAAATGGATAAGAAAGCATTCTAAACTGAATTAAGAAAACATTGACATTTAATACTAAGAGCTTACATTTAGAAATAAAATAGAATATTTTTCTTCAAATACAGCCAACTGTATAATTCCTACTAGGCTGGCATAGGCATCAGAAAACCTAGCACTTACTCAGCACTTTCCTTGATAAAATGTGGAAATTAAAAAAAATGCAATGCTGTAGTTCTAAGTAGTCAATAGAACCAAGAGCCTAACCCATTGTGATCCTTAAGTAAATATATATGCCAATATAAATAAAGATCCCAAAGCCCCATATCCCAGAAAGTGAATAGAATATATTCAGAATATTTTCAATTAAAATTGAATTTTCATGTGCTGAAAATGTATTATTTTTCTTATCAAGTGTATATATGCTTTTTAATAACTACGTACTTCCAAAGGCAATTATTTTTAAGGTTTATGAATTTTCATGGACATGTATGTTCATTTTTATTATCCCAATTTTTCATTAACTTTTATAAAATGCTTATCATTGTTCTTGAATAATTTTTAAATAATTCAGTACTTCACCTTGGGACATACAGCTCCTAAGTTTTCTAAGGAAAAACTTTGACATCTTCCCTACAGTTTTGTAGAAATTACATAGACAGAATTGTATTTATGTGATTTCTTCCCAGTGTACATTGTTATTTATGTGATTTCTGACACTATTAAAAAAACCTTAAACATATGTTTATCAAAATCCATCTGAATGCTTAGGTAAGCCACATTGGGTATGTTTTACTTCTAACTCTTCATCTTCCCATTTCCGTATTATATATTGAATGAGATCTTAAGTAACTTAGGATCTAAGAAACTTAGGTTTTAGCTTTTCAAGCAGTATACAAAAATCTTAAATGACTGTTTCAGGCATTTGGTTGGTTTTACATCACATACATAGAGAAATATAATATTCTAAATATGAAGATTGCTCAATAAATATGTTGGAATTGAATTGTATTTTAATGACAAATTTTACCGACTCTTCTTATATATATACTAGGTTTTATTAATTTCTATTAATACATTAATTCCTTCAGTCAACATAAGTTTTAGTGCCCTGCATCTGTCAAGCACTGAAATCAACATTGGCGTTGCAGAAATGAGGATTATCTACTGCTCTCAAAGAATTCACAAAATTAGTTTGTCTCTAATCATTTTAAACTGTCTATACCAAAGCATGAAATGCTCTAAATGAAGAAACACTTAATACTTAATAGCAATGGTCCTGTTTTCTAATTCCATCATATCTTGTTATCTAACCAACTAATAGTCAACTTTTCTTACTCGTGGCAGATCAGCTACCAACCCACTTCTTTTAGGCCCTGCTTTTTCACCTCCCTGCTTTGTCACTTGCCTGCTTCCTTGCAGCTAGCTATTTGAATCTTCTGCAAGTCAGTATTACAAATGGATTTTCATTTATCTCTAGCCTGATATTTTAATGAGTTATGGGACACAAAGCAGAAAGATAAGAATTACTACTTTGGAAATCATCTTTGATAGCTTTCTGACTAGTGATGTAAACCAAAGTAATTTGGCACAGCATCAATGAATGTGTAAGGGTCACAGTTATGCTAAAGAATTGTCTTCTGTATACAAGGCTGAATGAATTTCTTTGGGGTTTTGGGCAAGTGGCAGGCACCCCTTCTTGGTGGGGAAGAGTTAGGCTCATCAGGGTATGAATGAATGAATGATTGGGATATGCATTATTTTCACTTGCCAGTGCACATCACTGGGCCTCGCATACAGTTGGTGCTATCCTATTTTCTCACTTCGAAGGGCATATGAAAATTAAAACATTTCATTATCATGAAATATCACTATATAACAATAAAATACCCTTCTTTGACACCAAAATGGCTATTCTCATATTTCTTTATTTTTTATTTTTCAATTTGACAAGACTCATGCTATATCCTTTTTTGAAATTGTAATATTTTTAGAGATTTTTTCATAAAGTAGAACAGCCTTCAAATAATATTTCATTTCTGGTTATAAAATCTAAAGAATACAAAAAATAGAATTTAATTTGAAAAGTCTTCAAGATCAACTTTTTCCTGTATACAGAGCCATTTCTTCAGGGATAGTTCTATTATCAGGTGTGCATGAAACCCTGGGGGTAATGAAACTATTTCATTTTCCATTTGTTTAGGAAGGGCTAGAAGACTATTTGTGTACTAATAGGTTTATTAATAAAACTGAAAAAGCAATAACCTCACCTGTATAGTGATCAGTGAAGCCAGAGATAATGGAAAACCCACTTTCTATAAAAGGAATTTTATGGCTTTCATGACCATCTTTGATATTTTTAATAATGATTCCATTTCATGAACTTTTATTGTTTTGTTTGCATATGTACCTCTACATTTTAAACTAAATGAAAAATATTTTATTTGCATGACTATTATCAAATGTAAATAAACCTCTTGCAAATTAATAAAACTCCTTCATGTTAGTGCTACTCATTATAATCTATTTATTTGGGGACTGTGGCAGTTACATATTTTTCAGCGTATCTCCTTAGCCAAGTTTTCAATGACCATTATAATGAATCCTTCCAAAGTAAGTTATACTTTTTTTTTTTTTTTTTTTTTTTTTTGAGACGGAGTCTCGCTCTGTCGCCCAGGCCGGACTGCGGACTGCAGTGGCGCAATCTCGGCTCACTGCAAGCTCCGCTTCCCGGGTTCACGCCATTCTCCTGCCTCAGCCTCCCGAGTAGCTGGGACTACAGGCGCCCGCCACCACGCCTGGCTAATTTTTTGTATTTTTAATAGACACTGGGTTTCACCGTGTTAGCCAGGATGGTCTCAATCTCCTGACCTCGTGATCCGCCCACCTCAGCCTCCCAAAGTGCTGGGAATACCAAGTTATACTCTTTAATGTCAGGTCTACAATAAGGATGAACTGGCTATTTCCAGTACTGTATCTCTGTTGGCAGTGCTATACAAAGAAGAAGATAAGGGAGGAAAGAATTTTAAAAATACATTATTCTATGTGTGCTAAAATAAAATTATAGATTCTACAGCTATGTTGGTATACATGTGACTGACCATTAGGAAAATTTTTGTTTAAACAACCTGTTAATAATACTCAATTTATTTTCCATGGAAGTTCTATCATATATTAAAAAGTCATTTTGTAAGATGATTATTCCTCTTTGATAGGAAATATAATAGTTTATCATTTACCTTTTAAAATTAAATATGTTGTTACCATCAAGTCTAGATCTCAAGCCCTATCCACTTTTAGGCCAACATGCCCAAATAAGACTCTACCCATATTGTCTGATAATGTAATGTAACTGTATTTTAACTAGCAAATATTACCAGCCTGACGTGACCATGCCATTGTAAATTTAGTGATTCTATGTACAAACAGTCTGGGACAACATAATGGATAAAAATTGATAGAATAATGGATCATTTAAAATGATGAAAGAGAGATGGATTTTGAGGAATTTAATTATGATAAAATTTAGACGTGCTGCAATTAACAAAAGAAGAAACTTAGAGATATAATAAATTCGGGATAGCTAGAAGGCAGAACTAAGCAGAACTATAAAAGGAGGCAAATGATGGTAGCTGGCTAAGCAAAAGGATTCATAAAGCATGAGACAAAATGGATCCCGTCAGCAAAAAGGTAAGGATGAGACCAGTTAAGACAAAAATACCATAAATGCTTTTGTATAATTTTAGTTCTAGAGTATGAAATGTGAATGTATATTTTTGTGAATCCTTCAAAGAAATATTTAAAGTATATCTTCATTAATATATTATTATTAATTATTTGAAGTTATTAAAAAGTTAAAAATAAATTTGTCTTTTTTAAAAATTGGCAGTGAGTGTACAGAAACTACTTTTCAATAAATGAACCTAACAGCCAGAGTATCTCCTACTTTAACGACTGCCAAAGGAGTGCAATATGGATCATTAAAGGTAAGTTGAAACTGTTATAAAGAATGGTAAAATACATACATTTACTTTCTACAGGGAATAAATGATTCTTACCAGTAGAAAAAAATGAGTCTTTGCCACAGAAAATGTGAGCTAAATTTTATTCAAAATAAATGACAAATTCTGTATATGCCTGTCACTGGAAAGGAAAATTCCGAGATTCCAAGAGATACTGGAGGAATTTACAAAGATAGATGATTAAATTTAATTTCCAGAGCTTGAAGGGAAAAATCTATAATTCACTTTTGGGAATATTTTATTGAACATTTTTCTTGATGTCTACCAGATTCATGATTCTCCGTGATTCTTTGAACAAGGAAACTTTAAGAATGTAAGAACGTAAACACAAGGTGTTTTTTAATTCATGAAACAAATGTGTCTTTTTCTCATTTTTAAAATTGTTTATTCATAGTTCCCAGCATTTCTCAACTCTTTTTGGAGAATCATGGATGCCATTTTTGGATCTGGTAACAATATCCATTCTTTCCCCAGAAAAATTTCTTACTCTTATCGTACTATTTGGCAAATGAGATCATAATGTTCATAAATGCTCTGAATTCAAGTTGATAACCACTGATGTACATTTTAAGTTTCCAGGAACAGGCTTATGAACAAATGCTATACTTGCTTTAAAGAAACATTAAAGCCTCTCTGTCAGTCTTCCCTATAGCCACACTGGCATTCAAGGAGATGTATTAGACTGTATTTACAAGCAAAGAAAATGAAGGCACAAGAATTACCAATGATTTAAAATTGTCTGCAGACTACCATTCTACATAAATCTACTTCAAGATATTTATTATCACTTCCCTCCTTGGAGCCTTTCAGTTTATTTCCTCAAAATTGTCTAATCAGATAAAAAGTAATCACAAATGTGTTCTCCAGATTCATATTTATTAGCAATCTAGACAATCAAAGCTAATGTATTTTTTAAGGCCGCATTTTGGATTTTTTTAATGCCTATTGTGTTGTAAGATATCAGAAGATGAAAATTGGGTATTTTCCAACAGTGCCATCCTGTTAACAAATGAAGAGAAAATTAATTTATATTCCTAAATGAGGTTTTGCCTAAATAATCTAGATTTTTTGCAGCATAATTTCAATGTATGTCCCTCAGACAATGCTTATAACTATATTGAACACAGAAGAGCTACAGTTCTAGTCAATTAAAAAATAATTAACAAACACTATTTAAAAGCTGATCAATCTTTTTAGAATCATTACAATTACTATACTTTTAAAACTCTAAATTTTCCATTTGAACTATGCAATGAAAATCATAGATGTCTTCATTTGAACCTATAATAAATTGACAAACCTTGTTATTTCAATTCTATCCAGTATGTTTTTAAGTACAACAACGTAACATTTCACTTTCCTAGTGGTCTAATAGTTAAAGACAGTTAATATTTTAAAATTGGAAGATTCTATTAATTCTACGAAAGGTTGAAAAGTATTAATCTTTTGAGTTTGTGCACTATATTTTTTCTATGTCTAAAAGCACTTCTTCAACTACCCACTTTCAAATAAATCCTTTCAAATAATTAAAAGATGCTTGGACAAATTACATTTGATTTAAGAACCTTTTGAGTCAAAGTAATAGCACAGTAAAGCCATTTTACTTAGCATTCTTTTTCATTTTGCAATTTCTATGGCACTGGTATTACTATCACATCGGAGAATGCTGGTAAATGGTTTGTATGCTCTAGCATTTAAAAACAGTAAATGCAATTAAGCTTGGATACATAGATCATTCTTCAAATACTTGGCAATCTTTTTAAGAAAATACAAAAATAGAGAAAAGTACTTAGAGAAGCTTTCTCAACAACTTTGCAGGAAGGTTGGAAAAGGAAATACTTCACCAAATAATTGAGAAGAAGCCCACACAAGCCAAATAGTGCATTCATCACATTTTCCTACCAAAAATATTCTGTAACAAAATGCTCTTTCCAGTAAAGAGCAACAAAGTAAGTCAACTATTTTTAAGACAAACATGGCAAAACAAATCACTTTTCCAAAAAATCACTCTTCCAAAAAAATGTAAAATGTTTTATCCACATATTTGTGTATCAAAGATCATAGATAAGAGTCATAGGTAAAATCTATTTCACCTATGTACCCTGACGTTAATATTGAGAAAATATTTTTAATTAAGATTACTGAAGTTTGGTGGTTTTATGCTAAACTAACAATGATTATGGAGTATCTCAACCAAGTGGAACTCTTTCTTGTCCTCTGCGGATTTTACTGGGAATATTAGTATCCTTAGTATTTATTAATATTGTAAGATACATTGTTGGAACATCAATTTTAAATGTGTTTATTGAGACAGTTAATAAAGCGGAAACATGAGTGAGCTCATTAATAAAATCAATCAATCAAACTTTTGTTAGGAAACAGAAAGTCCCATGGCGACTGCGCTTACATGACTCACTGTTCGGGTGATTAAGAAGCATATGTTAGCATCCTCTAGAACCATCTATAAATACCAGATTCATATCAGAGACAACAAATGAAAAATCTCCCTTTAAAATTGTGACTTCACATTAGAGAGTTTGTCCTCATTCATGAGACACTGAGGGTCTGAGGGCACATGTGCCCTATATATATTGTAAGTAAATAATTATCCAATAGCACTTACTTGGCAAATATGTATTGCATGCCTATACACTAGCAATAGAACCGATATTCTAGTGGAAAATACAAGAAACAAGTGAATAAAAAGTTAAAACACAAAAACTTGAGAAATACTGGGTGACCAACAACGTGGTGTCATTGGAGAGAATTACAGGAATTGACTTACTGACTTTAGATAAGAGGGCAGAGAAATGCCTTTCTTAAGTAATGTTTAGGCTAATTTCTAAAGCTGAGAAGATCTTAGGCATATACAAAGATGTGGAAAAGCATTTCCATACAAAAGCAGTCATCCAAAAGAATATGTATTACCTACTACACATTGCTGTGCTGAACACTATACAAGGTCAATACAAAATTGCTTTTCATTACACTTTACTCATATTTTTTATTATCTTACATAGCAAGTCAAAAATGAAACATTGGATGTAAGTGATTCTGTCTTCACAGTTTTGTAGAGAATATTTTCTACTATCTAGGCCACAAATCCTGTCTTCTTAACATCATAGACCATCAATTAAAACTAGGTCAGCAACTATAGAGGTTTTAAAAAGCCACATTAATATCCCTGACACTTCTGCTGATGTTAGTTGTACTTCTCTTTGCTCTGGTGCAGTGGTGAATGCATTCTGGAATCTCAAGTCATTAGTGACTCTCTTCTAAAATTAATACACCAGGTAAGTGACATCAGACATTACAGTCTAAATTTTATGTTCTGTAAAAAACCGTAATTCACACTAATTTATATTTTGTTGCATTTACATTGGAGTCACGTTCTATGCAAGCAAAAAGTATATTCTTTATTTTAACAATCAGATAAGAATATGATTCAGAATTTAAAACATGTTTCTTCTACCGTTTAATTAAATTATTTTTTCTTGGATTATACAGTTATATAAGATGAGTGGTATGATTATTATGTAATCAGCCAAAATAAGATCTGATACCAGTGCCTCTGCAGTATTCTCTTACCATACAAACAATGTTTCAAACCTCATTCAATTTAAATAAAATATTTTTCAGCGAGAAACACAGTTCTATGCTCCCAAACGTAACATGTACTTATGTTATGGTCATGTATATCCTGATTTTGGTCATTATTCTCTTAATATTATATACACGCAAAGGGGATGGACAACAACACTTGAGACCTGTAGTCAGACAGGGCTCTGAATTCTAGCTCTTCCATTTACTATTTGTAACTTCAGGTGAGCTACTTAACATTGCTGCCTCTTTGCAAATATGCAAAATGGAGGTAACAATACTTGGTTTAAAAGATTATCAGGGTTAAGTAATGTTACATATTTGATGTATTTGGTACATTGCTGGCACATGGTAAAGATTAAAAATCGAAAGTCATTAATTACTATGATTGCACATTGAAGTTAAAATTGTTATATAAAAAAGTAAAATTTTCTGATATTTTTAGCACTTTCTATATGCTGCAATCATCCAGATCCTACCCATCATTAGGATCTCTCAATACTTTAACATTTTTTAAAGAAGGTGCTATAAAATACATTATTCTCAAAAGTTTTTAGTTACTCATTTCAATGACTTTTCAAATGTTGGGGAGACTTCTTTCACAGAAAAATTCTAATATAACAAATCACATAATTTAGTAAAGAAACAAATGAGAGCCACCTACAAAATATTTTTTGAAAAAGTTCAATGCTGACCTATTGTTAAAGTTTTTTTAATGCAACTCTCACATGATGTAAAATAATTTTAAAACATGGAATCCATTACTATGCAGAACTACAAAATTTTACTTACATTTATTACCTTTATAAGGGCTCATTTTCATTTCAATGTCCTCTTTTCTGTAATCCCACTGAGGGCTTTTATCACTTTTGCTTATCTTGACTCTCACCATCACTCTCACCAGACCTGCCTCACTCTTCAGAGTTTAGCGTGAAAATTGCCTCTTCACAGATGCCTTCTCCTCTGCCACCCCATCACAAGTATCTGAACCAGACTGACATGATCCAGATCAGCCCTAGTATCTCCACAAAATCAATGATGTAACAACTACTCAAGGTCAAAAACAGCTCTAGGGGAGCTCTGGAGTACAATTAAGAAACTGCAGCAACCCTGTGGAGCATAGAAACTGAAGGTAGCCACACAAAAAACATAAGAAGCATTACCTGCCTCACCTCATCCACCAAGATGTCACAACTCAGGACAAAGAGGAATCTTCATAGCTGTGACTTCTCAGTCCCCAGAGGAAAAGAAGAGCAGGAGGACCCTCATAGCCTAGCTGCTAAGGTACCCCACCAGCCTCACCCTGGGTAACCCCCTTGAGTGTCCATCCCCCAAACCTGGAGCACATTAAACATCATATTAAAAGGATTACACAACATGACCATGTGGGATTTATCTTTGGGATGCAGGAATAGTTCAACATATGCAAATCAAACAATATAATATACCACATTAACAGAATGAAAGATAAAAAGTATAAGATCATCACAATATACTCAAAAAAAGCACTTGACAAAAATTTAACACTCATTCACATAAAAACTCTAAACAAAATAGGCATAGAAGGAACTTATCACAATAAAGGTCATACATGAAAAGCCAACAGCTAACACAAAAATCAATGTGATTATTATGGAAGCTTTTCTTTTACTATTTGGTACAATAAAAGATGGCCACTGTCACGCTTTTGTTCAACATAGTACAGTAAGCTCCAGAGAGAGGAATTAGACAAGAGAAAACAAATGAGACATTCATATCAGAAAGGAAAAAGTAAAATGATATCTGTTTGTAGATGACCTGATAGAACAGGTGAAAAACCCTAAAAAGTCCAGCAAAAAGCTGTTAGAACTAATTTTTTTAAATTCAGCAAAGTTGCAGGATACTAAATCAACATATGAAAATCAGTGCCTGTTTTGGTGCCAGTACCATGCTGTTTTTGTTACTGTAGGCTTGTAGTATAGTTTGAAGTCAGGTAGCATGATGCCTCCAGCTTTGTTCTTTTTGCTTAGGATTGTCTTGGCTATACGGAATCTTTTTTGGTTCCATATGAAATTTAAGATAGTTTTTTCTAATCTTGTGAAGAATGTCGATGGTAGTTCGATGGTAATAGCATTGAATCTGTAAATTACTTTGGGCAGTATGGCCATTTTCACAATATTGATTTTTCCTATCCATGAGGATGGAATGTTTTCCATTTGTTTGTGTCCTCTCTTATTTCCTTAAGGAGTGTTTTCTAGTTCTCCTTGAAGACGTCCTTCACGTCCGCTTGTAAGCTGTATTCCTAAGCATTAAATTCTCTTTGTAGCAATTGTGAATGGGAGTTAATTCATGATTTGGCTCTTTGCTTGTCTATAGTTGGTCTATAAGAATGCCTGTGATTTTTGCACATTGATTTTGTATCCTGAGACTTTTCTGAAGGTGCTTATCAGCTAAAGGAGTTTTTGGGCTGAGATGCGGGGATTTTCTAAATGTATAATCATGTCATCTGCAAACAGGGACAATGTGACTTCCTCTCTTCCTAACTGAATGTGCTTTATTTCTTTCTCTTGCCTAATTGTCCTAGCCAGAACTTCCAATACTGTGTTGAATAGGAGTGGCGAGGGAGGGCATCCTTGTCTTTTGCTGGTTTTCAAAGGGAATGCTTCCAGCCTTTGCCCATTCAGCTTGATATTGGCTATGAGTTTGTCATAAATAGCTCTTATTATGTTGAGATGTTTCATCAACACCTAGTTTATTGAGAGTTTTTAACATGAAGGGATGCGGAATTTTATGGAAGGCCTTATCTGGATCTATTGTGATAATCATGTGGTTTTTGTCCTTGTTTCTGTTTATGTGATGGATTGCATTTATTGATTTGCGTATGCTGAACCAGCCTTGCATCCCAGGGATGAAGCAGACTTGATCATGGTGGATAAGCTTTTTGATGTGTTGCTGGATTTGGCTTTCCAGTATTTTATTGAGGATTGTCACATCAATGTTCATCAGGGATACTGGCCTGAAATTTTCCTTTTTGGTTGTATCGCTGCTAAGTTTTGGTATCAGGATGATATTGGCCTCATAAAATGAGTTAAGCAGGAGCCCCTTCTTTTCAATTGTTTGGAATAGTTTCAGAAGGCCTGGTACCAGCTCCTCTTTGTACATCTAGAAAAACTCCACTGTGAATCCATCTGGTCCTTGGCTTTTTTTGATTGGTAGGCTATTTATTACTACCTTAAATTCAGAACTTGTTATTGGTCTATTCAGGAATTCAACTTCTTCCTGGTTTAGTCTTTGGAGGGTGTATGTGTCCAGAAATTTATCCATTTCTTCTAGATTTTCTAGTTTATTTGCATAGAGGTGTTTATAGTATTCTCTGATGGTAGTTTGTATTTCTCTGGGGTCAGTGGTGATATCCCCTTTATCATTTTTTATTGCATCTATTTGATTCTTCTCCATTTTCTTCTTTGTTAGTCTAGCTAGCAGTCTATCTATTTTGTCAATTTTTTCAGAAACACAGCTTCTGTATTCATTGCTTTTTTGAAGGGTTGTGTCTCTATCTCCTTCAGTTCTGCTCTGTCCTTAGTTATTTCTTGTCTTCTGCTACCTTTTGGATTTGTTTGCTCTTGCTTCCTTAGTTCTTTTAATTGTGATGTTAGGGTGTTGATGTGAGATCTTTCCAACTTTCTGATGTGGGCATTTAGTGCTATAAATTTCCCTCTCAACACTGCTTTAGCTGTGCCCCAGAGATTCTGGTACATTGTCTCTTTGTTCTCGTTGGTTTCAAAGAACTTATTTATTTCTGCCTTAATTTCGTTATTTGCCCAGGAGTCATTCAGGAGCAGGTTGTTCAAGTACCATGTAGTTATGTGGTTTTGAGTGAGTTTCTTAATCCCGAGTTCTAATTTGATTGCACTGTGGTCTGAGAGACTGTTGTGATTTCAGTTCTTTTGCATTTGCCGAGGAGTGTTTTACTTCTAGTTATGTGGTCAATTTTAGAATAAATGCTGTGTGGTACTGAGAAGATGTATGTTCTGTTGATTTGGGGTGGGGAGTTCTGTAGATGTCTATTAGGTCCGCTTGGTCCAGAGCTGGGTTCAAATCCTGAATATCCTTGTTAATTTTCTGCCTCATTGATCTAATATTGACATTGGGGTGTTAAAGTTTCCCACTATTATTGTGTGGGCATCTAAGTCTCTTCGTAGGTCTCTGAAAGCTTATTTTCTTAATCTGAATGCTCCTGTATTGGGTGCACATATAGTTGGGATAGTTAGCTTTTGTTGTTGCATTGATCCCTTTACCATTATGTAATGCCCTTCTTTGTTTGTTTGTTTGTTTGTTTGTTTTTGATCTTTGTTGGTTTAAAGTCTGTTTTAGCAGAGACTAGGATTGCAACCCCTGCTTTTTTTTTTTCTTTTTTTTTTTCCTTTCCATTTGATTGGTAAATTTTCCTCTATCCCTTTATTTTGAGCCAATGTGTGTCTTTGCACATGAGATGGGTCTCCTGAATACAGCACACCAATGAGTCTTGACTCTTTATCCAATTTGCCAGTCTGTGTCTTTTAATTGGGGCATTTAGCCCATTTACATTTAAGGTTAATATTGTTATGTGTAAATTTAATCCTGTCATCATGATGTTAGCTTGTTATTTTGCATACTAGTTGATGCGGTTTCTTCATAGTGTCATTGGTCTTTATATTTTGATGTGTTTTTGCAGTGGCTGGTACTGGATTTTCCTTTCCATATTTAGTTCTTCCTCCAGGAGCTCTTGCAAGGCAGGCCTGGTGGTGACAAAATCCCTTAGCATTTGTTGAATGGAAAGGATTTTATTTCTCCTTTGCTTATGAAGCTTAGTTTGGCTGCATATGCAATTCTGGGTTGAAAATTCTTTTCTTTAAGAATGTTGAATATTGGTTCCCAATGTCTTCTGGTTTGTAGGGTTTCTGCTGAGAGATTGGCTATTAGTCTGATGGGCTTTCCTCTGGAGGTGACCTGACCTTTCTCTCTGGCTGCTGTTAACATTTTCTGCACAGCAAAAGAAACTACCATCAGAGTGCCTACAGGATGGGAGAAAATTTTTGCAATCTACTCATCTGACAAAGGGCTAATATCCAGAATCTACAAAGAACTCAAACAAATTTACAAGAAAAAAGCAAACAACCCCATCAAAAAGTGGGCAAAGGATATGAACAGACACTTCTCAAAAGAAGACATTTATGCAGCCAACAGACACATGAAAAAATGCTCATCATCCCTGGCCATCAGAGAAATGCAAATCAAAACCACAATGAGATACCATCTCACACCAGTTAGAATGGCAATCATTAAAAAGTCAGGAAACAACAGGTGCTAGAAAGGATGTGGAGAAATAGGAACACTTTTACACTGTTGGTGGGACTGTAAACTAGTTCAACCATTGTGGAAGTCAGTGTGGCGATTCCTCAGGGATCTAGAACTAGAAATACCATTTGAACCAGCCATCCCATTACTGGGTATATACCCAAAGGATTATAAATCATGCTGCTATAAAGACACATGCACACGTATGTTTATTGTGGCACTATTCACAATAGCAAAGACTTGGAACCAACCCAAATGTCCATCAACGATAGACTGGATTAAGAAAATGTGGCACATATACACCATGGAATACTATGCAGCCGTAAAAAATGATGAGTTCATGTCCTTTGTAGGGACATGGATGAAGCTGGAAACCATCATTTTCAGCAAACTATCACAAGGACAAAAAAACAAACACCACATGTTCTCACTCATAGATGGGAATTGAACAATGAGAACACTTGGACACAGGAAGGGGAACATCACACACCAGGGCCTGTAGTGGGGTAGGAGGAGGGAAGAGAGATAGCATTAGGAGATATACCTAATGTAAATAATGAGTTAATGGGTGCAGCACACCAACATGGCACATGTATACATATGTAACAAACTTGCATGTTGTGCACATGTACCCTAGAACTTAAAGTATAATACACACACACACACACACACACACACACACATTTTTTCCTTCATTTTGACCTTGGATAATCTGATGATTATGTGTTTTTGGATTGATGTTCTCGTGGAGTATCTTAGTGGTGTTCTCTGTATTTCTTGAGTTTGAATGTTGGCCTGTCTTGCTAGGTTGAGGAAGTTTTCCTAGATAATATCTGAAGTGTGTTTTCCAACTTGGTTCCATTCTCTCCATCTCTTTCAGGTACTCCAATCAATGACAGTTTTGGTCTTTTTACATAGTCCCATATTTCTTGGAAGTTTTGTTTGTTCCTTTTCATTATTTTTTCTCTAACCTTGTCAGCATGCCTTATTTCAACAAGATGATCTTCAAACTCTGATATCCTTTCTTCTGCTTGATTAATTTGGCTACTGATGCTTCACGAAGTTCTCTTGCTGTGTTTTTCAGCTCCATCAGGTTATTTATGTTCCGCTCTAAACTTGTTATTCTAGTTAGCAGCTCCTGTGACCTTTTATCAACGTTATTAGCTTCTTTGCATTGGGTTGGTACATGTTCCTTTAGCTTAGTGGAGTTTGTTATTACTCACCTTCTGAAGCCTACATCTTTCAATTTATCCATGTCATTCTCTGTCCAGTTTTGCACCCTTGCTGGAGAGGTGTTGCAATCATTTGGAAGAGAAGAGGCATTCTGGCTTTTGGAATTTTTAGGGTTTTTGTGCTGGTTTTTTTGTCATCTTAATGGATTTATCTACCTTTGATCTTTTAGGCTGACGACCTTTGGATAGGGTTTTTTGGGGGGCATCTTTTCGTTGATGTTGTTGTTGTTTTTGTTGCTTTCTGTTTGTTCTTCTTGTTGTCAGGCCTCTCTTCTGCAAGTCTCTGCAATTTGCTGGAGGTCTATTCTCAACCCTGTTTGCCTGAATATCACCAGTGCAGGCTGCAGAAAAGCAAAAATTGCTGCCTGCTCCTTCCTCTGGAAGCTTCATCCCAGGGGGGGTACCTGCCTGATGCCAGCCGGAGCTCTCCTGTATGAGGTATCTGTTGACCCCAGTTGGGAGGTCTCACCCAGTAAGGAGGCACAGGGTCAGGGACACCCACTTGAGGGGGAGGCAGTCTGTCCTTTAGCAGAGCTGCTGTGCTGTGCTGAGAGAATCCCCCTTGCCAGGATCAGCTGCTCTCTTCACAGCTGGCAGGCAGGAAAGATTAAGTCCACAGAACCTGCGACTGCAGCTGCCCCTCCCCAAATGTGCTCTGAAGAGAGTTTTGTCTGTAAGCCCCTGACTGGAGCTGCTGGATTTCCTGCAGAGAACCCCTGCACCTAGTGAGGAGGAATCTAGAGAAACAGTCTGGCCACAGCCACTTTGCCATGCTGTGGTGAATTCTGCCCAGTCAAACCTCCCAATCTCCTTAGCACTGTCAGGGGAACACTGCCTACTGAAGACACAGTAAATGGCAGCCACCCCTCCCCACATCAAAGTGGATCTTCCCAGGCTGACTCCAGGCTGCTGTGCTGGCAGTGAGAATTTCATTTCGAGCCTGTGGTTCTTACCTTGCTGGGCTCCTTAGGAGTGGGACCCATTAAGTGAGATCACTTGGCTTCCTGGCTTTAGCCCCTTTTCAGGAGAGTGAATGGTTCTCCTGTCTCATTGGAGTTCCAGGTGCCACTGGAATATGAGAACATTCTTGCAGCTCAGTGGTTACCCAAACAGTTGTCAGTCTTGTGCTTGAAACCCAGGGCCCTGGTGGTATAGGCTTATGAGGGAATCTTCTGATCCATGGATTACAAAAATCCATGAGCAAAGCATAGTACCCAGGATGGACAGCACAGTCCCTCGCTGCTTCCCTTGGCTGGGGGAGGGAAGTCCCCTGGCTCCGTACACTTCCCAGGTGAAGCAATACCCCACCCTGCTTCTGCTCACTCTCTGTGGGTTGCAACAATTGCCTAACCAGTCCCAGTAAGAGGAACTGGGTACCTCAGTTGGAAATGCAGAAATCACCCACCTTCTACGTTGGTCTCGCTGGGAGCTACAGACCGGACCTGTTTCTATTTGGCTATCTTGGCCCCTCCAAGGTCATAGTTTTTTCCTGGTGGAGTGACCCAAAACTTCATTTCTGAAGGTTCTGGGCCATTTGCAGTCCTGTCTGGATTGGGCTGTTTTAGTTACCCATTGACATTAATCACAGGGCATGGTAATACTAACAGACACCCCAATGGATCTCCAGTATTCCATGCATACTCTTCCTTACCACTGTTGTGGAGTAGTAGACTGATTTCATCTTGATAGTCCAGGTCAGTCACCCCAGCCAACACTGTAACTCCTTTCTTAGCCTGTTGACTTATAGGTAGGAGGAGCCCAAAGTGTTCAGGTGGCAATCTTAACTTCCAGTTTAATGGAATCGTTGTTGTTTCTCCTGATGGCAGCATTCCTCCCTCTGGAACTAAGACCTCTAGGCCAGCAGAACTTAATGTCATGGGAACAGAAAGCAAAAATTTTGCTAGTGGATCACTAGAGGTGTTGGTGAGTGGTGCCATTTCCACTTCTACCCCTTGATGCCTGGACTGATGAATCCTGGCTATGGGAGAAACAGTACCATATATTGGACTTCCAATATATGGATATCCGGAAGGCATACATGGCCTTCCGGAGAAGTTTGCCCCAGCCCTGCAAAGTATTGTCAACTACTTAGCATTGTAATTGTGAATTCAAAATTCAAAAGGCCATTCTACCATTCTATCAATCCAGGTGCTTCAGGATGATGGGGAACATGGTAAGACCAGTGAATTCCATGAGCATGAGCCCACTGCTGCACTTCTTTAGCCGTAAAGTGAGTGCCTTGGTCTGAAGCAATGCTATGTGGAATACCGTGATGGTGGATAAGGCATTTCATGAGTCCATGGATGGTAGCCTTGGCAGAAGCATTGCATGCTGGATAGGCAAACCCATATCTGGAGTAAGTGTCTATTCCAGTGAAGACAAACCTCTGCCCTTTCCGTGATGAAAGAGCTCCCATATAATCAACCTGCCACCAGGTAGCTGGCTGATCACTCTGAGGAATGGTGCCATATGGAGGGCTCAGTGTTGGTCTTTGCTGCTGGCAACTTGGGAACTCAGGAGTGGCCATAGCCAGGTCAGTCTTGGTGAGTGGAAGTCCATTTTGCCGAGCCCATGCATAACCTCCATCCCTGCCACCATGGCCACTTTGTTCATGGGCCCATTGGGTGATGACAGGGGTGGCTGGGGAAAGAGGCTGAGTGGTATCCACAGAATGGGTCATCCTCTCCACTTGATTTTTAAATTCCTTCTCTCCTGAGGTCACCCATTAGTGAGCACTCACATGGGATACAAATGTCTTCACAGTTTTGGACCACTCAGAGAGGTCCATCCACATACCACACATCTCTTCCCCCAAATTTCTTCATCACCAGTTTTCCAATCATGCTTTTCCCAAGTCCCTGACCATCCAGCCAAACCATTGGCTACAGCCCATGAATCAGTATATAATCATACATCTGACCATTTCTCCTTCCATGCAAATTGCACAACCACATGCACTGCTCAAAGTTCTGCCCACTGGGAAGATTGTCTTTCACCACTGTCCTTCAGGGATGTCCTAGAAAGGGGCTGTAGTACTACAACTGTCCACTTTCTGGTGGCGCCTGCATATCATGCAGCCCATCTGTGAACCAGGCCCTAGTCATCTCTTCCTCTGTCAACTGATCATAGGGAACTCCCCATGAGACTGTTGATGCAGGCTGGGGGAGAGAAAGCAGGGCAGGAGGAGTATATACCATGGGCATTTGAGCCACTTCCTCATGTAATGTACTTCAGGACCTGTTCAAGCCCGATCACGTATATACCGCTTCCATTTGACAATGGAATCCTGCTATGCACGACCCACTTCTTTATGGCTAGATGGGTCAGAAAGCACCCAGTTCATGGCAAGCGGTTCAGGTTGCATGGTGACTTGATGACCCATAGTCAAACGTTGAGTTTCCAACAAAGCCCAGTAACAGGCCAAGAGCTGTCTCTCAAAAGGAAAGTAGTTATCTGCAGAAGATGGCAGTCCCTTGCTCCAAAATCCTAGGGGCCTCCACTGTGATTCACCTATGGGGGCCTGCCAAAGGCTCCAAACAGCATACCTATCTGTCACTGACAACTCAAGCACCATTGGATCTACTGGGTCATATGGCCCAAGTGGCAGAGCAGCTTGCACACCAGCCTGAACCTATTGCAGAGCCTTCTCCTGTTCTGGACCCTACTCATAACTGGCAGCCTTTTTGGTCACTTCATAAATGGGCCAGAGTAGCACACCCAAATGAGGAACGTATTGCCTCCAAAATCCAAATAGGCCCACTAGGCATTTTGTCTCTTTCCTTGCTGTAGTAGGGGCCAAATGCAGCAACTTATTCTTCACGTGAGAAGGAATATCTCAACAGGCCCCATACCACTGGACCCCTAAGAATTTTACTGAGGTAGAGGGTCCCTGAATTTTAATCCAATTTATTTCCCATCCTCTGGTATGCAAATGTCTCACCAACAAGTCCAGTGTGTTTGATACTTCTTGCTCACTGGATTCAATCAGCATAATGTCATCAATGTAATGGACTGGTGTGATACCTTGTGGAAGCAAAAAGTGATCAAGCTCTCTCCAAATATAAATATGACACAAAGCCAGAGTGGATATATCCCTGAGGTAGGACAGTAAAGGTATATTGCTGGCCTTGAAAGCTGAAGACAAATTGCTTCTGGTAGGCCTTATGGACAGGAATGGAGAAAAAGGCATTTGCCAAGTTGATGGCTGCATACCAGGTACCAGAAGATGCGTTAACTTGCTCAAGCAATGAAATCACACGTGTTACAGCAGGTGCAATTGGAGTCACCACTTTATTAAGCTTATGATAAGCCACTGTCACTCTCTCCAAGGTCCATCTGTCTTCTGCACAGGCCAAATAGGAGAGTTGAGCGGGGATGTGGTGGGAATCACCACCCCTGTGTCTTTCAAGTCCTTGATGGTGGCACTAATCTCTGCAATCCCTCCAGGGATGCAAGCTTGTTTTTTATTTACTATTTTTCTAGATAGAGGAAGCTCTAATGGCTTCCATTTGGCTTTTCTCACCATAGTATCCTTCACCCTACCAATGTGGGGGTTCTGCCAGCTGCTAAGTATTTCTATGCCAATTATGCATTCTGGCACTGGGGAAATGACCACAGGATAATTCCAGGGACCTACTTGTAAGTTGGACCCGAGATAAAACTCCATTAATTACCTGAGCTCCATAAGCCCCTACTTTAACAGGAGGACAACAATGATGTTTTAGGTCTACTGGAATCAACCTCAGCTCAGAGCTAGTGTCCAGTAATCCCTGAAATGTCTGATCATTTTCCTTTCCCTAATGCACAGTTACCCTGGTAAAAGGCCAGAGGTCTTATTGGGGAAGGATGGGAGAAAGATTAACAGCATAAACTGTCAGCAGTGTAGTGGGGTTCTATCTGAAGAGCATCCAGCCTCCCCTTTATTCAAGGGGTTCTGGGTCTGTAAACTGGCTCAGGTCTGGAAATTGATTGAGGGGCAATGATTCTCTGTTTTTATAATTTGAATTAGTTTTTTGTCCATTTGACCTAGAAGTTTTCTGCTTATATAAACTAAGTAGGAATGCAGTAGGCTTCCTATCAATTTCACTTCTAGGAACACTGTGATTAATTAGCCAGTGCCAGGGCTCTACATGAGTCAGAGTATTCTGACTACTGCTTTGCCTCTTCTATCCATTATGGTAGTTACACTCACCTTGTCTTTGATGACTGAGTGCTGCCACTTGGCCCCTGACACCTGGAGATCCAATTATTCTCATTGTATTTATAGTTTGTAGTTGAGTGACTGTGGTTCCCACTGTTAGATCTTACATATAGAGAAGGGCAATTTCAGGGCTCTTCAAAGATGCAAGTACTGCCCTCACAAATCTATTTCACAAAGCATTGGTCAAGGGTATATCTTTTGGACACTCTCAGCTGGGATGAGTAGATCTAAAGTGAATAATCCACTCCACAATCCCAATCTCCCTAAGCCTTTGGATCCCTTCCTCTACATTAAATCAAGGAAGATCAAGCATTTCCAGCTCATTCACAGGGGGCCATCTTTTAATCCATATTTCAGCTAACCAAGCAAATAAACTATTAGAACCTTTTTTAATTCCCCAGGCTGCAACATTAAATGCAAAATCTCTACTTAGTGGGCCAAAATGAATGAATTCAGCCTGATTCAACTTTATGTTCCTCCATTATCATCCCACACCCTTAATGTTTATTCCCATGACTGTTCTCCAGATTAATGCATATATGAATTAGAAAACTCAAGCAGTTCTTTTTGAGTGTAGCACACCTGCACATAGGTCACACTCTGAACCTCACCCCTAGGGCCCTGCCAGGATTTTAGTCTTGTTATAGGTCTGGAAGCAAACAGGAGTGTTGGTGGTGGCTCTTGAGGAGAATCAACATTATCTTGCCTGGCAACTGCCTCAGGCATTGCAGAGCTTATCTCCTCAGACAAAGATGGAAAGGCTGATGGCAACATGGGTCAGGGAGGGGATGTTGCCACTACTGGGAATGGGGAAGCTGTTTCTTCTGGCAAAAAAGCTTCATCAGAGTTTACAAGCTCAGTGTCCTCAGCTTCATCAGGGTCCTCCCATACATCCGCATACCAAGTTGCAGGGTCCTAATTCTTTTCCAATCAATGCCCTCACTTTAGCAGTAGACACCTGGTGAGCCTGTGCACGTACCTTTCATTGCAAGTCAGCCACTTGCATGATAAGATCTTTTGTCTGTTTTTCTACAATTTCAGCTCTTTCTCTCCAGGAGATAAGACACTCACTCAAGGCAATCTTAGCAGATTTGAGATTCACTCTCTGCTTCTGAGGCTGGGAGTCTGAATCCCTGAGTCCAACATTTTCTTTTATCACTTTGTCCACTGATCTCAGGAGCAACCAACCTGCTTCATTATGTTTCTTGGTTCCCCACATATGGTCAAAGGTATTATGTAATAGAGTCACTAAACTCCTTGCCTCTCAGGAGCAGTGAATCAGGAGTGTCAAATGCATTTATTTTGCATAACTCTCTAAACGGTTCATGCCAAGGACTCTCAGTGTTTTCCATACTATTAGAAGTAGAGTCCTTAGTATTTTGGGGTCTAATCATATTAAGCAGCAAACTCCAGAAGCCCCAAAACCAATGAAAGAACTCCATCCTTAATATTCTGTTTCTCTAGAACTACCCCGGTACCAAAATCTGATTAGCGAGGGTTCCCTAGAGGGACAGAAATAATAGGATATATATGTAAAGGGGAGTTTATTAAGGAGTATTAACTCACATGATCACAAGGTCCCACAATAGGCCATCTGCATCTGCAGACTGAGGAGCAAGAAAGCCAGTCCGAGTCCCAAAGCTGAAGAACTTAGAGTTTGATGTTCGACGGCAGGAAGCATCCAGCACAGCAGAAAGATGTAGGCTGGGAGGCTAAGGCAGTCTAGTCTTTTCCTGCCTGCTTTGTATTCTGACTGCTCTGGCAGCTCATTAGATGGTGCCCATCCAGAATAAGTGTGGATCTGTCTTTCCCAGCCCACTGACTCAAATATTAATCTCCTTTGGCAACACCCTCACAGACACACCCAGGATCAATACTTTGCATCCTTCAATGCAATCAGGTTGACACAGTATTAACCATCACACTACCTGTGTGAGGTAATGGGCATGTTAATAAATATGACTGGTGATTATTTCACAATGTATATGTATATTAAAACATCAAGTTATACACTTTAAATATTTATGATTTTGTCAATTATATCTACAGAAACCTGATAAAAGGATCCAAATCAGGAGAGATGTTTTGACCACAGCAGTGCATTACTTTACTTCATTCCACTTATAAACAGTTGTGAGATAGGAGTACATAATTTATTTTTACATACATACATATATATAGATGATTACATATATACATATATAGATGATTTAGCAATCCTGTTTTCTCAATGCAGAGAGACCATAATTATCTCTTCCACTTATCTATCCCAAGTACCTAGAATACTTTCCAGTAAGTACTCAATTAAAATTTTCAAATAAAACAATGGATAAAGAATAGTTTTAGTTTAGTTATTCTGTTGAAGGAGGGCACAGGGAAGAAAATAATGAGTTACATTCGAAGCAAGAAAAAGTTTGAGGTGTGTATGAAACATCCAAGGGAGGCTCCACATACTGCGTTCGATATGCAGGCTTATAGCAATGGCAGCTGTAGAGTTTGTATATACATTCGGGAATCCTTCTTCCACAGACAGGCCAGGAGTGAGGATGAAATGCACAGTGTTCATGAATGCAGAATGGTAAGAGAACAGTACAGAAAAATGTAAGAAACACTGATACTCAGAGGCTGGGCAGAGAAGCTTGTTTAAACGTCTCAGCCCCAAATCTCCTCAACCTGATAAGCAACTTCAGCAAAGTCTCAGGATACAAAATCAATGTACAAAAATCACAAGCATTCTTATACACAAGTAACAGACAAACAGAGAGCCAAATCATGAGTGAACTCCCATTCACAATTGCTTCAAAGAGAATAAAATACCTAGGAATCCAACTTACAAGGGATGTAAAGGACCTCTTCAAGGAGAACTACAAACCACTGCTCAATGAAATAAAACAGCATAAAAACAAATGGAAGAACATTCCATGCTCGTGGGTAGGAAGAATCAATATCATGAAAATGGCCGTACTGCCCAAGGTAATTTATAGATTCAATGCCATCCCCATCAAGCTACCAATGACTTTCTTCACAGAATTGGAAAAAACTACTTTAAAGTTCATATGGAACCAAAAAAGAGCCTGCATTACCAAGTCAATCCTAAGCCAAAAGAACAAAGCTGGAGGCATCACGCTACCTGACTTCAAACTATACTACAAGGCTACAGTAACCAAAACAGCACGGTACTGGTACCAAAACAGAGACATAGACCAATGGAACAGAACACAGCCCTCAGAAATAATGCCGTATATCTACAACTATCTGATCTTTGACAAACCTGACAGAAACAAGCAATGGGGAAAGGATTCCCTATTTAATAAATGGTGCTGGGAAAACTGGCTAGCCATATGTAGAAAGCTGAAACTGGATCCCTTCCTTACACCTTATACAAAAATTAATTCAAGATGGATTAAAGACTTAAACGTTAGACCTAAAACCATAAAAACCCTAGAAGAAAACCTAGGCAATACCATTCAGCACATAGGCATGGGCAAGGACTTCATGTCTAAAACACCAAAAGCAATGGCAACAAAAGCCAAAATTGACAAATGGGATCTAATTAAACTAAAGAGCTTCTGCACAGCAAAAGAAACTACCATCAGAGTGAACAGACAACCTACAGAATGGGAGAAAATTTTTGCAACCTACTCATCTGACAGAGGGCTAATATCCAGAATCTACAAAGAACTCAAAGAAATTTACAAGAAAAATACAAACAACCCCATCAAAAAGTGGGCGAAGGATATGAACAGACACTTCTCAAAAGAAGACATTTATGCAGCCAAAAAAACACATGAAAAAATGCTCATCATCACTGGCCATCAGAGAAATGCAAATCAAAACCACAATGAGATACCATCTCACACCAGTTAGAATGGCAATCATTAAAAAGTCAGGAAACAACAGGTGCTGGAGAGGATGTGGAGAAATAGGAACACTTTTACACTGTTGGTGGGACTGTAAACTGGTTCAACCATTGTGGAAGTCAGTGTGGTGATTCCTCAAGGATCTAGAACTAGAAATACCATTTGACCCAGCAATCCCATTACTGGGTATATACCCAAAGGATTATAAATCATGCTGCTATAAAGACACATGCACACGTATGTTTATTGCGGCACTATTCACAATAGCAAAGACTTGGAACCAACCTAAATGTCCAACAACGATAGACTGGATTAAGAAAATGTGGCACATATACACCATGGAATACTATACAGCCATAAAAAATGATGAGTTCATGTCCTTTGTAGGGACATGGATGAAACTGGAAACCATCATTCTCAGCAAACTATTGCAAGGACAAAAAACCAAACAGTGCATGTTCTCACTCATAGGTGGGAATTGAACAATGAGAACACATGGACACAGGAAGGGGAACATCACACACCAGAGACTGTTGTGGGGTGGGGGGAGGGGGGAGGGATCGCATTAGGAGATATACCTAATGCTAAATGACGAGTTAATGGGTGCAGCACACCAACATGGCACATGTATACATATGTAACAAACCTGCACGTTGTGCACATGTACCCTAAAACTTAAAGTATAATAATAATAAAATAAAAAAATAAAAATAAAATAAATAAAATCCCTGAAAGGAGCAAAACAAGTTAGAGTGGCCTGGACTCCTAGGGAAAGAGGAACATTGCAGGAGTGCAGGGATGATCAGCTGAGTCAAATGTTGCTTCCCAGTTTAGTGTTTGAAAACATGGAAAATGTGCTTAAGAATTGTCGACATGGAAATGGTACCTTAGCAAGAATTGTTTTGATAGACAAGGCTCGAGTGAGTTGAATGATGAATTGGAGGCAATAAAGTGAAAATAGCACGTGAAGGGAACCATCTTGAGAACCTCGATTAAGCATGAAAGGACAGGTCCGCGGTCCTTTATATGAAAACTTGGAGCTCAAGTATGTTTTGGAATTTCAAATATTCGTATTTCAGAAAGATGGAGAAACGTTTAATCTATATACATGACATCTTCGTGACTTCTTCATAGCACCTCAAATCAAATATTACATTAAAAATTACATAAAGTTCCCTGGAGTAAAATACATGAATATTTACACTAAGTTAGATAAGATTATAAATGAGCTTTTGTCAGTCAAAATTGGGTAAGGTTTCAACCAGCCAAATGAAATAAAAAGAAAACATAAGCCTTTGGTTTTCAATCTCTTTGGATATCTGGACCATGGTTGAAGAATTATGTCAAAAGATAGGGTGCTAATGAAAGAGATTTTCTTATAAGAGATTAGTTTTGTTTTTCTTTTGTTTTAATTTTATTTCCTATTATAAGAATTACAAGAACATATCTTAAAAATGATATTGGGGAACTTAATAATGAGGTTGCTGAAGGTTGGGAGAGAGACAGAATATTTCTGATGAAACTGAGATTTCTGAATAGTCAATTTGTAAGAGAGTCCAGAGGACACAGAGAGGGGCTGACATTGCAGGAAGAAGACCCTCCCCCTTTAAATTACACCCAGGGATAAGGAGAAGAAGGGTTTAGATGCAGGGGGTTCATTTATTTGGTAGAGGGAAGATAATCGTATCTATTTTAATAGTTGTTATTTTCTTTATGAAATGTGATAAAATGTCATTGCCAGAGAGTTTAGAGAGAAGGAGGGTCATCGTTTGAGTGTGGAGTAACCATATGAAATAGTTTTTTTTAAATATTAGTAGAAAATGCTTTAAGATGTGATATTTGCATCAGCAGATTTAGACTTGATAAATCAAGATTAATTCAACTATTCTCTATGTAGTTATAAAGACCTGTGATGTTACAGACTTATTCTAGGCATTCAAATAGAGGAGATGAGACAATGGCATTGCCCATCTATAAATTAAATTCTAGTGGGAGAGAAATAATATATTAAAAATATTCAGATATGAAAACCTTCAAAATAAACTAGACATATTTCTCAATTCATTTAAAATTATTGTGCAGAAATACCTGGAAGTATACTTTGTATACTTTAAGTTCAGGATTTTAAGAACTGGTGCTGAAATACCATATTATGGCCAAATGAGAACAGGAGAAATTGGCAAAATAATTCATATAAAAATCCCTTGTTTTTGCCTCACATAGTCACATAATACAAATTTCTGCGGTATTATAAATATTATTTGATATTTAAAACAAAAATGAATAGAAAATATCAATATAATCAACTGGGTTTTTTACATAAAATAGTCATTATCATATAAAGTTTACCTAACCTTCCAATGCCACATGCTTATCTGTTACAGAATTCGAACCATGTGTTGTAGAAAACTGGTTTAATTTCATAAATTCATCTGGGGCAGGTACCTGAATCATATTAGCAATTACAAATCATGTAAAACACATTTTCTTCACTAGCCGCGGTGTTTTCTCTATGAGAAACATCTTTCCTCTCTTCCTTAGGGAACCATATAATATAAAAGAATCTCACTGAAAATGCATATCAAGAATTGTTTCTTGATTACAGCTTCATGCATCATGGCTCTGTGGTTTAAAGTCTTTGTGCTTCCCTTCAAAACACTAGTTTTTGAGCACTTCTACATCAGCAGCTCAAAATGTAATGTTCTGAAACCTGGCACTTGAACTGTAAACTGAGATGAATACTTCTTTGTAAGAATTAGTGCAAGGCAGTAAAGCCATTTCATTTTTTAAAATATAGTTTCTAGGACTCTTCTAGTCATCCACAAATAAAACATGTTCTCAGTACTTTTGAAGATTAATAGTTCAGCAATATGTTGTGCAACAGCAAGATAAAAATTAAATAAAGGCTGATGCCAAAGAACTTCCTTTTTTTATTCTTGGATATAAACAACAAAAAAGACTGAATATTGGTCTCAAGTGCCTTTCAACTAGCGATGAGACAGCAACTATTCTCAACATACTAAATACAAATCAAATTTATAATCTTTATTTCAGATCCTCAAGTTATTTAGTTTTTATTATACTGAGAGCATTGAGGTCTACACACACACTCACACACACACACACACACACACACACACACACTGCAAAAGAGGATCTGACTTAGTGGTTTAGGTAGGGCCAGGCGATACACATGTGAGTAGTGTTTTGGGTTCTCTAGCATTTTCACAGGTTTTGACACTGAAAAAGAATGGACATATGGAAATGTTTGGACTATCATCATATGCTTACAAACTCTATTTTGTTTTAAAAATAAAAATAAAGAAACATCAACAGTGCCTCTCACTTGTAAGTTGGATGATCACCCTTTTGGATTTTTATCACAAGTCATTCCATTAATTCCAATACATTGTGCAATCTTCTAACAGGGCAATATACTTCCAGCTGAGGATGCTGTCTTAACTCTTTTTTAACTTATTGCCTCACATGCACGTTAACTCTGTTGGGACTTAAACCTGCCTAACAAAGCTGAATTAAGTGTTGAGTAAATGATCTTCACTAAAGACTATATATCTGATAAGGATGAGTGATCACAAAGAAACAATAAACAAATCAAATACCTTTCTTATCTAGGTTACTGGATTTTATATATTTTACTTAATTAGACTTCTAAATGCCCATCATATTATTGGTTTTAATCATAATGCTGACTGTTTCAGTCAATTTTTTCTACATTGGAAAATAATACATGCTTGTATTCTAAAAAAAAAAAGAATTAAGTAAGTAAGCATGGATTGCTAAAAACTACAACTTTTAACACACTCCATGTGATACCAGAAAAAAATTATTTGAAGTAAAATGTTTCACTTATTAGGTATGTAAACTCACATACACACGCACATATATATATATATATATATATATATATATATATATATATATATATATATTTAAATTATATATGAAAAGCTGATTGCCTATTCTTGCTGTCTCTTTTCCATTAATGTAAGCATTCTAATCTTTAATATTCAAAACATTAACAGTGCACTTTCCCTGGGTCAGTGTCTTACAGAGTTGGGATATGAACCCATGAATATGGCTCTAAAGTACATGTTTTTAACCAACAAATTTCTTAACAAATACTTTTTAAGAATTTCATTAAAATCGACTGCAATTTAACCCCCAAAATATTATTGAGTGATGATCATCAAGCACTGTGATAGATGCTTTAGAGTCTCAAACAAGCAATGGACATGGAAACTCAGACCATAGTGTAAGACAAGGTTGCGATGTGATGCAGCCTATAAGTAGTAGGAATTATGGGGCTGTTTCTCAGTTTAATAAATAATTCCACATAAAAATAACCAAAAAGATTTCCCCAGTTCAAGTGCCCTGTTTTTTCCAGGGACTGTTGTGGTTTTTGCGCTGAGAAGTCTGTGTTTTGGAAAACCAGGGTGACTGGTCATCGTAACCTGGCCTGGCAAAAGCAGAGTACAACCCAAGAGAACTGAAAACAGATACTCAAGCAAATAATTTTACTCATCACAGTAGCTGAAAAATAGAAACAACTAAACCATATATTAAAGGATAAAGGGAAAACTAATATGTGGTATATACACAAAATGAAATATTATTAAGCCATGAAAAGGAATGATATATTAATATAGGCTACAACATGGATGAATCTCAAAACATACTAAGTGAATGAAGCTACACACAAAAGGCTACATATTATATGATTTAATTTATATGAATGAAATACCCTGAATGGGTAAGCTCATAGAGACAGAAAGAAAACTGACGGTTACCAGGGGATAGAGAGAGGGAAGATGGGGAGTGACTATTTAATAGGTATGTAGTTTTCTTTTAGAGTTATATAAAATTTTGAAATGAGACAGAGGTGATCATTGCCCAACATTGGGAATTTACTAAATGCCACTGAATTATGCACTTTAAATTAATTAATTTTATGTCAATTTTTTAAAATACAGTTGACCCTTGAGCAGCACAGGTTTGAACGGTGCAGGTCCCCTACCCCTCCTCTCCCTACTCCTCTTCAGTCTTCTCAACATGATGACAAGTATGAAGAACTTTATGTTGATCCATTTCCGCTTAATAAATAGCAAATATGTTTTCTCTTCCTTATGATTTTCTTAATAACATTTTTTCTCTAAATTTCTTTATTGTGAGAAGATAGTATGTAATACATAAAACATGATATATATATATAGAGAGAGAGAGAGATCTATATATATATTACATATCTATTTCAGATCCTATATATATATATATATATATAGAGAGAGAGAGAGAGAGAGAGAGATGATGTCTTGCTCTGTCACCCAGGCTGGAGTTCAGTGACACAATCTCAGCTCACTGTAACCTCCGGCTCCCAGGTTCAAGTGATTCTCCTGCCTCAGCCTCCTGAGTAGCTAGGACTACAGGCATGCACCACCACGCCCAGCTAATTTTTGTATTTTTAGAAGAGACGGGGTTTCACCATGTTGGCCAGGCTGCTCTCGAACTCCTGACCTCAGGTGATACACCCACTTTGGCCTCCCAAAGTGCTGAGATTATGGGCGTGAGCCACCCTACCCAGCCATAGACAAGATATTTTTAAATCCACTGTTTATGTTATAAATAAGACTCCCAGTCAACAATAAGCTATTAGTATTATAGTTAAGTCTCGGGGAAGTCAAAAGCTATATGTGGATTTTCAACTGCATCAGCACCCCTAACCCCTGCATTGTTCAAGGGTTAACTGTACTACTCAAAATGCTAGAGAACAAATAGAAGAATTTTAGATAATCACCACTATACAGTGCTTTACAAAACAATGAAAAATTACTCTTAGGAGGAACATAATTATCACTACCTAGAATAATCTATTAGAGTTAAAATCTGAAAAGATATTTATACTTTATTATAATATATGCTAGCTGTGTTTTCAAATTTTGAGGTTTTTCTGTGAAAAGGGGAAAAAATAACTGTTTCTGAAATCATATTTTGATAGTAAATTCCTAAGATATCCAGGAGTACTCCTAATTGTTGCCTCCTTTTTCTATAACTCTGCTTGTGCTGTAGTGGCTACAGTATTGTGAGGAGTCAGATCAAAGGGGTCACAGTCACACTTACTTAAAACTATCACTAAATAAAAGTACTGGAAAAGCCTTTGACCAATACTGACTGAGTAGCTAAAAGCAGTGTGGTGATAGTATTCTAGAAAATTCCCTTTAGGAAAGGAGTTTCACTTTTTTATGTTTAGGATTTAGTGAGAAAAAGAATGTGCAGCTACCATAATTTGCATGAACTGAAGCATTACGTCTCATGATTTATTTGTTCATGGAAGCATATGAAATCAGATGTAATATTCCTACAAGAAACAATATTTTTACTACCTTCTAAATATTCTTATCCACTAAGCCAATGGGAAAACTGAAAATTAACCTTAATACTGAATATTTATTACTATAAATCTCACCTTCCAGGTTCTGACCTTCTTTTTTCAGCTGAAATGCAGTTTCCAAATGCATCATTGATTTTTCTTACAACACATCAACCCATCTGTACATGAGCTAATAGGCAAATGAAACTCTAGCTCCAAAATTAGATTTGGTTCTCTCAGTTTAGCTGCCAGTGCCCCATTACCAATCCTTTGCTGCCAAAATACATTACCTTAACATGAGCACATAATGATTAGGAATTGTTTTACCAAAAAATTGTCTTTATTTTGAAATATTATTGTTTTCAGCATTGTTAAATATTCAAAAGGCTTTTTTTGACAGAATATGTGATTGCTTTTCTAGTAACATTTTTTACTGATCTTCAGTTTACACTATCCCATCTACAATTCCTGAGTTAATCCTAACTATTTATCTCAGTACTCATGATAGCAGAAAAGCCATTTTATTGTGTACAACTCTGATTGTCAGGCTTGGATTTGCATGGAGTACAGCTCTGATGTGTATCCTATCCTCAAGTAAGCAATATACTGAGTACAAATTGGCTTTTTCATTTCCTATTTAATTAAACAGTTATTTTGTTTGTTCACTTTAATTTCTCTTGACTTTATTATCTGCATAATTATTCAATAAACACTAGATAAAAGTACAAAGATATATTAAAATTATTACTGATCTCAGATGCTTCACATTATTAAAAAGTAACAAAATTAATAAAAAGTAACTTGTGTGACATGTTATATGCAATATACACTATAGTAATTTTGGGGAAAGAGAGAGATGACTTCTAGTTGAAACAATGAGACAATTCCTCAATACTTTCATAAGGAATTTGAGATGGTGTAAACAAAATTGTAGAATTGGGACTAGTCAAGCTATGTTTGCATGGCAACAATAGGACCAGATGCATAGAATGCAGAAAAAGCTAATAAAAAACAAACGTAATAGGGTGTAGTATTAGCAACTTAAATGTAAAACCCGAAACCATAAAAACTCCAGAAGAAAACCTAGGCAATACCATTCAGGACATAGGCATGGGCAAAGACTTCATGACTAAAACACCAAAAGCAATTGCAACAAAAGCCAAAATTGACAAATGGAATCTAATTAAACTAAAGAGTTTCTGCACAGCAAAAGAAACTAGCTTCAGAGTGAACAAGCAACCTACAGAATAAGAGAAAAATTTTGCAATCTACCCATCTGACAAAGGTCTAATACCCAGAATCTACAAGGAACTTGAATTTGCAAGAAAAAAAGCAAACAACTCCATCAAAAAGTGGGCAAAGGGTTTGAACAGACGCTTTTCAAAATAAGACATTTATGCAGCCAACAAACATGAAAAAAGCTCATCATCACTGATCATTAGAGAAATGCAAACCAAAACCACAATGAGATACCATCTCATAACAGTCAGAATGGCAATTTTTAAAAAATCAGGAAACCATAGATGCTGGTGAGGCTGTGGAGAAATAGAAACGCTTTTACACTGTTGGTGGAAATGTAAAGTAGTTTAACCATTGTGGAAGAAAGTGTGGCAATTCTTCAATTCTAGATCCAGAATTACCATATGACCCAGCAATCCCATTAGTGGGTATATACCCAAAGGATTATAAATCATTCTACCACAAAGACATATGCACATGTATGTTTATTGCAGCACTATTTACAATAGCAAAGACTGGGAACCAACCCAAATGCCCATCAAAGACAGACTGGATAAAGAAAAGATGGTACATATGCACCATGGAATACTATGCAGCCATTAAAAAAATGAGTTCATGTCCTTTGCAGGGTCATGGATGAAACTGGAAGCCATCAGTCTCAGCAAACTAACACAGGAACAGAAAATCAAACACCACATGTTCTCTCTCACTCATAAGTGGTAGTAAAACAATGAGAACACATGGACACAGGGAGGGAAACAACACACACTGGGGCCTATCAGGGAGTTGGGGGCAAGGGGAAGGAGAACATTAGGACAAATACCTAATACATGCTGGGCTTAAAACCTAGATGATGGGTTGACAGGTGCAGCAAACCACCATGGCACATATATACCTATATAACAAACCTGCACATTCTGCACATGTATCCTGGAACTTAAAGTTAAAAAAAATAAAGTAATGAAAAATAAAGCCAAAAAGGTGAATGTGGGCTGGATTATCAAATAATCAATGAAAATAAGAAAATCTAAAATGTAATCTGTAGGCAGTGATAAATTTTTGCAAGTTTTTCAGTTTCCCCCAAAAATATGATAAATAAAAATAATATGGCAATGTAACCATGATTCATTAGGGGTAGGGAGAGAATAGAGGCTGCAAAGCCAGTTAGGAGCCTAGTATAATATTCTGTATTTAAAGTATAAATCACTAATGGGGTGAAGGTAATACATTTAGGAAAAGAAAAAATTGGCCAGGAGCGTTGGCTCATGCCTGTAATCTCAGCTCTTTGGGAGGGGAGGAGGTTGGATCATGAGGTCAGGCGTGCAAGACTAGCCTGACCAACATGGTGAAACCCTGCCTCCACTAAAAACACAAAAATTAGCCAGGTATGGTGGCGGGTGCCTGTAATCCCAGCTACGCTGAGCCTGAGGCAGGAGAATTGCTTGAACCCAGGAGGCGGAGGTTGCGATGAGCCGAGATAGTGCCACTGCACCCCATCCTGGGTGCGAGAGCAAGATTCCATCTCAAAAAAAAAAAGAAAGAAAGAAAAAAGGAAAAAAGAAAAAATTGTTTACCTAGCAAAAGACAAAATATTGTACCTAGAAAATTAAATATCACAGATACTAGGAGTACTGTGTTGTAATTAGGAACAATGTAGAACTCAGAGGGCAGGCTTCTTGGTGAGGACAATGATAAATTTTAGATAGGATGACCATATGTCTAGTTTTCCTGGGTCAATCTCAGTTTATATCTGTTGTCTGGGTATAGTTATTAAGAAGACAATTAAAATATTTCATTCTCAAAAAGGTCACAGTTTTAGCCAGGTACAGTGGCTCACATCTGTAATCCCAGCATTGGGAGGCCGAGGTGGGCTGATCACTTAAGCCCGGGAGTTGGAGACCAGGCTGGACAACATGATGAAACCTCATCTCTACAAAAAATAAAAATATAAATAAATAAGTAAATAAATAAATTGGCTGGGCATGGTGGTTGGCACCTGTAGCTCTATCTACTCATGAAATTGAGGCCATACGACCCTTTGAGCCTGGGAGATCAAGGCTGCCATGTGAAATAAGCTGTGATCTAGCCACTGCACTTCAGCCTCGGCAACAGAACAAGATCCAGCATTAAAAAAAAGTCATAAATTACGTGGAAATGTTAATTATACTTAATAGAATAATATCCAAAATAAACTGTAGAGTACATAATAAGAAAGATGAGTAAAATAAAGATAAAGGTTAGAAAGAAAGATTGGAGGTGTATTGATACAGAGAGGAACTTTGTTCCTGGGAATAGACTCACTGAATGAAATGATGAAAAAAGTGGAGGTTGAAAAATTGCTTTCACAGCATGAAAACAACAAAGTCATTTAAGGATTAAAGAAGTTGTCAGTCACGAGAGGCAAGCCAAAAGGCTACTGTATTGTGGAACCAAAAATAAAAGAGATTTGAGAAGACAGCAGTAGACTCCTGGTAAAATAATGCAGATATCAAGGGGATTAAAGACCAAGATGAGTTCATTGATTTTATGACTTAAAATCTGTGCAAGAGTAAGCCTCTGGAATCTGAAAGTTATTATACAAATAGTATTATATCCAACCGAGTGCTTGATAAAAAGGAGCTAAGAAACTAACTTATGTGTCAGTATAAAACAGATATTTCTCCTTACCCTCTCCCTCCCAAATGGTGTAATAAAATTATCTGCTACTGTCAACAGGCAGCACCACATACACCACTGTCAAATTTTTCCATTTCTAAAGGTAGGTTGTTGGAATGGGTTACATCTTTTATACAGGCAATACAATGATATTTCTTAAAAGTACAGCATCTTTTGCTTAAGTACGGTGAGAACAGAATCCAGATATTAAGGTAATACAAGGTGAATGGCTAGTGGTGAGTTGCAAGCAGCAATTCAATGTCTTGAATTCAGTTTGGATTTATCAAGGTTAAAAAGACCTGTAATGCCTGAAAAAAACATATGTGTGAGAGAATAAGTTGACAATACAGAGAGACAAATTGGACTTCTGAATGCTTGAGGAAGGGAAGACTCAGTTCAAAGGCTGGGATGGAGAGTTAACAGAGGTAAGGAACACGCAAAACTCTCCAGAACTGAAGAAATAAAAAAGTGGTTATGCAAACAGAAATTGAGGAGAGAAAGGTGAGATGAGGATGTAAAAGCACACTTAATGAGTTTACGTTCATCCAATTAAATTGAACAGACTTTTTAAGAATAAGAATCTGTATGGTATTTAAAACAAAACAAAACACTATATACAATTTATGCTTGGTGATAATAACTTTACATATCCCCAAACTCACCAAACATACCTTATATGCAAAAATGCTGAGCAGCTGTACTCGGCATGCTCTCTCCACACCTCTTCATCTATTCAGGTACAGATTATTTTTAAGACTCATCTCAAGTCTATGTCCTTCCCCAAATCTGTCTTTGCTGCTCTAGTACACAGTAATATCTCACTACCCTGAATACTCATAGCACTTGGTGTGTGTCTCATACGTTGGATACATCACCATCTGTGGCTCTTTCAAAGTGTAAATATTTCTTGCTCATATTTCCAAATGATTACAATCTCATATGAGTTAGAGACTATATAATTTTTTTTGTTTGTTTTACACCATGGTGATTCATCTCATTCCTTGTAAGTGAATTAAATGAAAATTTAAAATAATACATACATACATACATACAACTGAGAGATTGGGAAACTGAAAATGGAGATGTTTTTCAACTGCACAAATATTGTTAACTAACATGAAATAAAATAGAAAAACCGCTTGCAACATTTCAAAGGCAGCCAGTAAAAATACATCCATAAAAATTCTTAAAAGTATTTAATATTGATATTGTATTATGAGTGAAAGGGGTCTCATAATACAATAAACTCATATGGTATTATGAGTTTAGAACATAGATTGCAAATGCAATGTGATTGGAATACTTCTGATTTTTGTGTAACTCCATTCCAATATAATGAGTCTGTTCACAATTGGGAAAAAGTAAAACGCCATTTATAAGGAAGTGAAGATAATTTAAGTTTAGACATAAGCAAGCTAAAAGAACAGATTTTTGAGGCCTCTCAAGCACACTTAACTGCTTTACCCAGTGCTGAAGTTTTAGGTGGTATCTCTGAGGGTTTATCTAATCTCAACCCCATTCAATGGGTAAAACATTTGGGAGGATCCAATACTGTTAACTTTGTTCTGTGTATAATTTGTGCTATTGGTTTATTATTCATGTGTAAAATTGGAAAAATTTTTCTTCATTCCAATCGTGATCAGCACCAAGCTATGATTGCTACGGTTCATTTAAATCAGAGAAATGGAGGAGATGTAAGGAGACCCCCTGAAAACTATTGCTATGGAATAAAAGATGAAATGCTCCTGATTATTGTAAATACAAAATTGCATGCAGGATTGTGTAAAGACAATGCCAGGTTGGACTGCCAGAATGAGCCAACAGCACGTGATGTGCTTCCCCCTGCAGAGAGCCTATGAAGGGACGTGCAGCCAGGGAGGTTTCACATCACCAAGATTCCTATCCCAGAAAAGCAGATGTTCATAGCTGTGGGAATGGAATGCGACCCTTGTGGAGAGCCTATAAACAGATGCATGAGGGGCGCCTGTCCATATGGATAAGATAGGGCTATAAACGCCCTCATCTTGCCATGGCTCTTCTAGTCCTCTTCAGGGTTAAGACATACTCCCTTCTGAGAATTTCTGGTCTAACTGGTTGTCTAGCTTCACATCCTGTTTCTATGGATTGTTTGTAATCAGCTTTTGCTGCAATTGTTACTGCTGATTAATATCTTGCTAATCATAGGTTTTGGAAAGACTGTGTTTCTGTTTTAAGGCTCTGTTAGAAATTACTAATGCACACACTATATTGTAAATTCTT
Organism: Homo sapiens; assembly: GCF_000001405.40. Classification (NCBI taxonomy): domain Eukaryota; kingdom Metazoa; phylum Chordata; class Mammalia; order Primates; family Hominidae; genus Homo; species Homo sapiens. The sequence goes on along the minus strand of NC_000004.12, from coordinate 160,256,137 downwards.
ATCTCTGTATACTGTACTTCTGCATACAGATGTTATGTTAAAGAATTACTTCATCCCCATGTGACCATCTCACCTCATAATCAAATGACCCTAAATCCCTCACTAACCTACCCCCGCCCTCACTAAACTTAATAATAAATGCTGGTATATCCAGTGCATTGGCAGCATCGCGGGACCAGAAGGTGGTGACCCCCCTGGACCCAGCTTTCACTATCTTGTGTGTGTCTATTATTTTTCGACCTGCCGATCTGCCTGGGAACAAAGAAAGAGCCCCGTTGCATTGCGGGCTGCTGGCCAGATCCCGCAATATATATGGATCTTAAAGTATTTAATATTGATATTATATTCTATATAGCCATTAAAAAATCTCTTACAAAAGATGATTTCATCACATCAGATAATTGAAATATTTCTTTTAAAAGAATATTCAAACATATTTACTTTATAATGGTTTTGATAGGAAAAATAAAAGTATGCTTAGATATGAGACAGGAAAATATACAATACAGGAACTAATATTTGCTATCCTACATTAGTCAGATACATTACAGTTGCCTTTTGGCACCTTGACACTACCTTCAACGTTTTCCAAAGTGAATATTTATTATTTATGCAATTAAAATATTCATGTACTTTAAAGTACTTAATTGCTAATCTTATAAAACAATTCTAAAATTCATCAAATGAGATCTATGATCATAAGTTGTACTAAAGAGGAAATATACTATAATTGTGTGCAAACATTAGATTGTGCCACAATATATAACAATCCTACATTGTTATAATGTAATTAATCAAGAGCTCATGAATTCGATTACTTCTAAATATATCAAAAGAAGATATGATATGACAGGCCTTGACATAGCACTTGATCATCCACAGAGTTACTGTTATATGTAAGGCACAATGATAAGTACTGAGAATGTGTCACAGAAAGAGTTCTTCATCAAAATTTATTCACAGTTTGAATTTCTTTTTAATTATCTCTTTAGTACAGCATTATCATTACCATGGCCACAAGGTATAAGAGAAGGATAACATGTGCGATGGTTTAAACAAGGGTCAGAGAAAAACTTGATCTTCTTTACTCAGTTTTAAAGGTTCTCTTTTTGCTAAAATACCTAATTTTGTCATAGTCAAAAATGTTTATTTTCTAACATTGCAAATTCTGTAGAGATGCTGAGGTGATTTATATCAATATATGAATTCAAGATTCCATGATGATAAAGGACACTATTAATTAAATTGGAGTGCTAAAGGAGTTTGGAAAATTTGGAAGCACCCAACTGTAAAGGACAGTTTATGAGAGAATAAGTTGTTTGCATTGTCATATAGGGTATAAAAATCAATGACAGCCATTCAAGCACAATAGTAGTAATCTGAAAATATTAGGGTTTTAGAAAGAATATTCTATCCATGATATAGAAAACGGAATGCAGGATCGTGAAGCTAAAATAGAGCAGTGAAGATGCTTTTGCAGCTGAGAATAGGTGAAAACAACCAAGGGACATGTATGAAGTGAGAAGACAAGGCCAAGATTTAGAATCCCAGGGAATGGCAAAAAAAAAAAGATTAGCAGAAGGATGCCATGATGGGAGAGGGCGTGTATGATACCTAGAAGAAATAACCAAGCAGGTAGAAAATTTTTCATCCATTCATTCATTTATTAATTTAAAAACTACTCATTGTGTACCGATCATGGGGAGGCATTTTCATGGAATGTAGGGATAATGAATCAAATAGAAATTATACTATCATGAAGTTTATTTTTTATATCTTAAAAGGAAAGTTTATAGTACTCTAAGTAAAGCAAAATAGGAAACAATTAGTGATCTAGACAACAAATGAAAGAGAAAGTGAGTCTAGAAAATGTGGGGCCAAGGAGAGGGAGCTTGTTTAAAATAGAGCACACTGGGAAAGCCTCAGTGAGTTTGACATTTGAGCAGAAACCTGATGGTGATGAGGGAGAAGGCCAAATGGATACAATGGGAACCAAGTTCCTGGCACAGGGACAGCAAGCAGCAAAGGTACTTGAGACAGGTGGAAACTTGGAGTATTCAAAGAACAGCAAAGAGGATGTAAGGCTGGATGAGAGTGACTGCAGGGAGAATTAATAGCCAGCACATCACACAGCTCTGCCCTTGAGGTAAGGGTCGTGGCCTTCTCTCTGAGAAAGAGAGGAAGTTTTGAAAGATTTTAAGCAGGAGTAATGTGATTGTAATCAGATTAGATTTGAAAAACAATCATCTGACTTCCTGATATGAGGGCATGGGCAGGGAGCAGTGGAATCAAGGCATAAGGCAGAGACACCAGTCAGGAAGTATTCCAGTGACCCAAGGGAAAGAGGATGGATGTGTGGGTAGTAGCAATGAAAGTGATGAGAAAATTATTTGATTCTGAAAATATTTTTGAGGAGAAGACAAATAGCAGATGATGTTTCAGAAAAACATGGATATCATTTTTAAAGGGTAAAGGAGTAAAATATTGATTTAAATATTATTATGTAGTATTTCAAAGTGCAATGTTTTTAGAGGAATATAGAAACAAAAGCTATACTTGCATAATCTGAAAGCAAATAAGAATTTGGTCTAGATGACTTTTACTTTCTTTAGCTAGTTCTATAGAACTGTTGCTAGCTCCTGTTCTGTAGTCATATATTGCAGTTATCACTTCATTTAGGATAAATATTTTGTTTTCTTTGTCTTGTTCCAATTAACTTTGTATCATTTCTAATTTTAAAGATGAGGGAGGGAGGGAAAGAAGGAAAGGAGGGAGGGAGGGAGGGAGGAAGGAAGGAAGGAAAAACAAAACTAGATACTGAAATGTTATATAGAGAAGGGAGAACATAGGGTGAGTGAAAGTTGGTTAAATCACAGTCTGTCAGAATTTTAAGTCTGGGAGACAAGTGCCAGTTGACAAATCTCAGGGCACTTCACTAACTGTGAGTTGGGGAGGCATAATGCTCTGAAACTATCTTTGGGGATCAAACAATCTAAGGAGATGGTGTCTAAGTCAGTCACAGTGTAGTCAATTTCCGTATCCTTTATTCCAAGGATGCGGAATGAGGGGAAAGGACCAAGTTGTGAAACCATTAGTGGTAGGAGCCACAGAGTGGTGAGAGAAGCTACAGACTTTGTAGAAATTCCCCAAACAGGTCTTTGGCAATAATAGAAAGGAGTAAACTGAAGTTTAAAGGCTAGTACCTTTTTCTTCCACCTAATTGTATCTTTGGAACACATGGTAGGCAGAATAATAACCCCCACAGATGCCCAGACTCTAGTTATTTACCTGGTAAAAGAAGCTTTGCTGAAGACCATCAAAGGCCTGTAGCTCCTAGGCCATATCAGGTACTGGAACTTTGTAACTAGTATTTTTACATTGCTCCAGGGACTTAGGTTTGAAACAACCCCACCTTGCAGGGTCTTCATGAGATAAGTTACTAGATAATCCAGCAAAAGTTAGATATCTTGCTCTGATGACAAACATCTTCCAATGCATCTTCTTCTCTGTTTCCCAGGCACCAGCACATATCTCTGGCCCTGTGTTATAGTACAGAAGCAGGATTTTCAGTAACTTAGTATACTTAAGTTTTAAGAAAAGAGGTATAGATGATAAATAATGAAGCTAAAGACATGTGGAAAGGGGACACTCCATGTGTGGCCTGGTACAGCATGGTAATGGGTTTGCAGGTTATACTCATGAATGGGAAGCTGAGAGAGGACTGTAAACAGGAAGCACCATGATCAGTAACGTAGGTGAGCACATGGATATTAGAAGTGTTCTGTTCTGTATAGGTTGAGACTGATGTCCCCTATAGGAATTATAGGAGGAGTTGCTTAGATGGCAATGGAATTAGTAGTCTTAGAGCTCCAGAAAGTGTTGCAGGCTATTTAAGGACACTGAAGTGGCAAAGTTCCCACATGGAAAGAACATAAAGTGAGAATAGAAAAGCCTTAGGACAAACCCCTCAGGAACAGATGCACTTAAAGAAGGTAGAAGAGCAGGACTTCCTATAGGCAATCACAAAAGAGCAAGCCTAGACAGAAGATCACAGCCTGAAAAAATAAAAAGGTCTCTCATAGAAGTCAAAGAGTTCAAAGAAGAAATCATGATCCACAGTGACAAATAGCCAGTGATGTCTTTGTATCTGTTGCTAGGAAAAGAGGGGAGAACCCTGATTGGTAGCATTTGCTGATTTCTGTGTTATAAATATTCCCAATACGGTCAGTTTCAAACATGATGTCAGTTGGCTCTCAAAATTCCTCCAATTTGAACAATCAGCTTTTTTGAGTGGCTAAAAGCCAGCTCCTACATACCACCACAACAAGTTGAACTAAAGCAAAGCTGAAAAGAATTCATTAGATTACAACTTTCATTATTGAGGCTCTTTTATGTGTGTGTTGGAGGGGGGATGGCGGCAGGCAGAGAGAGAGAGAGAAGGAGTACATGAGAGGCTTGAGTACAGTGTCCTTTTGCATAGCACAAAGCCTGCTTTTATTCTTCATTCTCAGCCATGGCAAACAAACAAACAAAAAACACTGAGCTTGATAAAAACTATGTCAATTACTTACCACACTAAGTAAATCTTCCTTCGTATTCCAGGTATTTGTAGTTGTATAGATCTGTCTCCTATACATTGAATAACAGATAGGCAAGGTTTTCATTTCAGAGATACATAAAAATACAAATAGTGACAGCTGTATTTGAAATAAAACAACACAATAGTATCTCATTTTAAAGTTTAGTAGTACGACACCATGTGTAATTAATACTTATACAGGAATAAATTCGAGCCTTGGTGTTTTTGTGACTTTTTATCTTATTTCTTTTCATAATTGGTACCAAGTTATTTACATATTCGAAAAACAAATATACTTAGACTGCACCTAACCTATAAACTTTTTTATGACAGAGACCATATTTTCAATATCAGAACACTGCTAAACTATAATATGGAGATTTTCACTTAGCAATTAACTATGTATTCCAAATTTAATTCTATTTGATATCTAACACAAATTTTTACAGGGTTTTCTGCCAAAGGCATTTAATATTATTGCTAATTAAGTGGCTGAATAGAGGAAGAGAAAGGAAATAATGACTTTAAAAGACAAAATATTTGTCCATGAAAATATTCAGTGCAAGTTTGCATCTTCCTTAAGAATGCTTCATGTACAGATCATCCTCTAATAAAGCCAGACAATTTCATGTTCTTAGGTGTTTTTATTTTATTGACTGGCTGCATTTAAACAAAACCGAACCACTGTGCTTCTGTTGCAGTCAGTTAACTGCACAATGTTGTGAGAATTTATCATTGAGAAGAGTGACTGGCTTCACGCTATGACTTCATATATACATCATCTACTTGGCTCATTTACCTGGTACTAGCTCACAAGGTTTCCTGTTACCCAGTTCATCTTCACATGCTTCATCTTCTCCCAGAAAATATTTTTTTTCTGCTTTGAAATGGGGACAAAATACATTTCACTTAGGCTACTGTTTAGTGTATGCTGCTTCCCTTTTTCAAAGTACTAAAACTGCTGTCGGGCTACTGTACTTCTTGTAAGTTTCACTAAAGCTTTTGTCATGGGCCCAAAATGCAGTGGAAATTTAGTGATATATCTCCAGATATCAAAGCCTGTCCTGTGGCCATCATAGTAAAATATCCTTCTTTGTTATTGCTAACATCACTCTTTAGAGTTTCTCATCCTTTTAAAGGTCTACTGAAGAGTCAAAAAGTTTAAGGTCTTTTGTTTTGGGTTTGGATTATATTCATTAACCCATTAGACATGCCTTCTTCTGGTTAATATGTAATTTTTCACCTTGATTTAACGTTAGCTGGCCTTGTTTGTTGTTTAAGAGACTCATTAGTCTATGTTAAATATATACCTACTAATTGCTACTCACCCTAAAGCATCCTCTGTAAAGTTGCCCATAGAACTACAGTTTGATCCTAGATAAATATCTGTAATTCAGAATGTTTGACCCCATGATTTTTTTTTAATTTTGGTTTAAGTTGAAACCATTGTTTATTTTCCTCACTCATGGACTCTTTTCAACATACTATCAGTACTATAACATATCTAGAGTAACAAAAATGGTTATTACTTATTAGTGACTTTCGAAGATGACTATTTTTTGTTTCCAAAAGTGAACTTCCTGTGCATCTCATAAGCCCTACTTTCAGAAACACATGGCTTTCTAAATTTATTAAAAATTTGATTTCATGTAATTCGGTAATAAACCAACATCCCCAAACATATTTTCATTAATTTAGATTAATAAGCCCTGCTAATACATGCCACACAGGGACTAATTTTGACTAAAAAAAGTCACTTCAATGGGACTAATGCAATGACGTTCAAATATAAAATTAACCTCTGCTGCAATATTTTCTATTATTCTAATCACGAGACCATTTTTGTACCATTTCTTTTTACAAGTAATTTGTACAGTCAGTAAACTTTCCCTGACATTTTTCATAACATTTTAATTTTATGCCAGGTGAATTTACACGATTTTTTGGTTTGCCCTCCTGACAATATATCTACTATTACATCAGTCTTTCTCGTGGTCTGTCATCAAACCAAATTTTATGCAATTGAAAAACAAATATACAATGGTCACAGAAAAATGTAGCATTAAAGTCAAACAGTTGCATAAACCTAAATTGTTCAAAAAGAGTTAGTGGGAAAATGACCTACTAACAGAACATCTACTAAGACAGAAAAAATATTCTAACTTGGGAAAGTTCCTAAAAATTTTATCATGCCCAGGCAGCAAAGATACTTTCTAAAATCAACTAGCATATCTTTGCTCTAAATTGAAATCTTTATATGTAAAATGTATTGTCTTTTTATTATTGGTTCATTGACAACAATTGGCTTTTCAGTCTCTCATACTATTTGATGTTGTTATATTAAAAAAAAAATCACTTTTAGCCACTTCTATATCCCTGAAGTAGAACACATGTGCACACTCACAAGGAGACAGCATCAGGGGAACTATTCATGCATTTAGCTTTCAGATGCTTTGTAAGAAAACAGTTTTTGTTGTCAATATAAATTATTTATTATTTTGTCGCCACAGTCATAGGATTTCTTTTGCAGAATATAGTTTGCTTTATAATTTAATGTCAAAGCAAACTTAATGGTAGAATAATACTCCTCAGTAAATTAATCCTCAACACACGGCTTAGGATTTTAAATCTGTTATCTTCCTGTTTTCTTCCCTTCTTTCCAAATTTTAACTTTGTTAAACAACAGAAACATTCATATTTTTCAACAATAGTTAAAATATGTGTGTTCACATTTTTTAATTTATAAATGGGTCTATAATGGGCATACTAGAACTGGAAGTGATTCAAAATATAAACCAAATATACAAAGTTTTATATATGCTTTTTATTTAGTTAATTCTTTGCATAATCAACATAGAAGAAGTAATGTTGTAGGCAGGCAGTTAAGCCCTCTTGTTGAATAAGTTCATCATCAGTGCAACATATTAGGTAATAACATGTTTTTTGAAAAATATGTTAGCATATCACAGTCTTGTATCAGAAAGACCACTGTAGATGGTAGGCTTCTTATTATAATTGCAGATGTGGGTTCGTCTCCAAAATCAAATCTTATGTAACACAACATGGATAGGTTTGGGCATATTGTGTACAAAATCTTAAGTAACAATCCAAAGACTTCTTAAAGGAAATAAGTAGACATTTAAACAAATATAAAAGTGGCATCAGTCTTTTTATGACATGGAGAATTTAAAACATGGAGAATTTACCAATTTAGGAAAATAAACCTGGATATGAGGGATATGTAAATAAGAATGGGGTCAGGACTTTAATGGGGTTATGGCAAGAATAATGGATAGAAAATAACCATACCAAAAAAAAAAAAAAAACTATGAGAAAAAGTATTGCCAGGAGAATAGAAGCAAGGGAGAGGGAGTAGCCATGAATTAACCTAATAGTCCTCTGCTTAGGAAATAGAGGGATATGAAAAAGTTTTCTATCTGCGAACATAAGAAATTACCAGATAAGTCAAACTATTATACTAATTTTAAAGCCACTTAAAATTGTGGATAGTTTTTTTGTGTTTTGTTGTTCTTGTTGTTGTTTCAGCGGATTTGAGGCATTGCTAACATTTCTTTCCCACTTGGAAGGACAAAACTTGTGTGTTGAGATTCATGTCGTGAACTGTTTTTCAAGAAGCAATGCAGAAACTATACAGGAAAATCTAAGAAATCTATGGACCCTTTGAAGGAAGCAGGAGGCTACAGCCTACACTGAGTCAGGTGAACAGCGGTGAGTGCCCAGATCATGAGAGAGGGAGAGTTTGCCTTTAGGATACACACTTCCACTGGGGACCCTGAAAGACCAGGCCCTAACCCCATCTAATGCAGGAACCCACTTGTGCAGGGTCATAGAGTATAGAAGCAGAAACAGCAGCAGAAAGACACTTGCATGGATCTCAGATCCCAGCATGGACTGCGGACAGCCATTCCTTACAGTTCCTCACAGGGGATGCTGCAGAGGACAGCCAAAAATTTCAGGTGGTGGTCATAGGTTGAAAGAAGTTCCCAACAGGGTTTCATGATATAAACTTGGGTAGGGATGAACCCCCTTGGTCAGGGCCGGGGCGAGGGAGAGTGCAAGTGCAGGAGTCATGAGTGCAGGACGTGCCAGTGCAGAAGCCAGTGGGTGCAGGAGCCAGGCGCCAGCTCTGCAGTGCACAGGGAATAGCATGCCCTGGAAGCCACAGCTGAAATCTCCAAGGGAAAAGCTTACGACTCCAGGCAGTGGCAAGTTCTGATTACAGGCTGACTGGAACTCAGCTTGCTGCTGCCAGTGGAACACTGTGGGAGTGGATCTGCCTTGCCAGGTGCGTGGGAACTGTGGGTCTCACCACTGCCTGCTATACCCCACTCCCTGCACAAACTCTTCTGTGAAGCACAGGCAGCAATGCTCCACTCTGGAACATCATGCCAGTGGCCTGAGACCCACTCCTGTCCTCCAACACAGAGGCTGCTGCTTGTCCTGCATGCAGAGACTCAGAATGCAAACCCACCTGACCCAGCCCCTACCTGGCTTTGCCCTGCCACCTGCCCTAGTAGCTTAACACAAAGGACAGAATCTCATGGGAGTTCTATGGCCCCACCTATTGCCTGAGAAACCAGAGTATACCCACCCCTCCCTGCCATACCTGACAATATAAGGCAAACACACATCCCATTGCTATTACCATAGCTGGTTCTCTTTTGCCAGCACCACCTCGTGGCTGGAGACAAATTAACACAGTCCACCACAGCATCTCCTGGTAGAATAACACTGCACCCAGGAAAGAGAAAATGGCTGCACCATCTCATTTATCACTACTGCCTGCACCACTCTGGCTAACCAGGAGGTCCTGAGTCCATCCACGTGATCAATTTATTTCTACTATCACTGTCATTCAAGAAAGCCAACACAATAAGGTGATCAAAATCCAAGGAATTTCACAGAATCTCTGTCACTCCCCTGACACCCCCATTAGAGTTGGTGCTGCTACCCACTGCTGGGAAACTTCAGGACAGGTCACATCACCAGATCCGTTGCAGACATTCCCCAACACCAGCCTGGAGTGTGGCAAACTCACTGGGCAGCTAGACCCAGAGGAGCAACAACATTCACAGTAGTCTAGCCCTCATGGACTCCCACTCCTAGGGGAAGTGGAAGTGCACCACATCAAGGGAAAACCCTGTGAGACAAAAGAATCTCGATGGCAAGCTTTGAGAACCAGATCTTTCCACTGGTGGAAAGCTTCCTTCAGCAGTGGCACAGTTGAAGAGCTGGTCTCAGCAGGGAAAGTCTTCAGCTGTATCCCAACAGTCAGACAGCCCTGGTGCACAGGAAGGGTCTTGGAGGAGAGGAAGTCTTTCCATCCCTGTGCACAAACATAGGCATAGCTGGGGGCTTCTCCCATGGGAGCTTAGCATTCATGCAACTATAGACAGCCTTTCTGGAACACAGCAGGGTGACTTCATACCCACAGGAGGAGCATCCTCCAGGTTCAGGCTTGCATAAGAGACAGAGTCACAATTCCTCTCTATTTGAAACATCAGCATTCCTACCATTGAAAAGAGGTGCTTGTCTGATCTTAATAGCTGGAACACTGGAACAGGAGTGTGTCTGAGATGTGGATAATTTTCTGCTGGCCTGGCAGGGGAGCTGAGGTAGCTCCAACCCTTTCCCCTGATAAGACCTCAGACTGATTCACTGAGCTCCTCCAGCCACCTCTGTCACGCCTGGGACTTCATTTACCCACCTGCTTTAGCCACAACCTATATCTACTCAGGGACACCTCCCCTACTGGCCTGAAGCCTGAACCATCAAACCAGTAATAAAATACTAGGGGAAAATAAATAAATAAAAAAGTGCAGGAGATGTGGGAATTAAATAACCTTTAAGAGACCTTTACATTCCAACCCCTTAGGAGATAGTAAACTTGCTAACACACAGAGCACATTACTACTACAATCAGCATATGAGAAAGCCATCATAAAAAGACCGTCTATAACCAAGGAACTCATACAGAGTCTTCTACCCTGAAAGCACCAAGAACTGAATTGGGCTATAACTACCTATAAGCATTAAAGTCTTATCCTTAAGGAGAAAAAAGAAAAAAAAGTCAGATCAAACATAAATTCAAGAATAGAAGTAATCAGCCCAAATGAGAAGGAACCAGAAGAGTAACTCTGGTAATATAACAAAACAGGGTGCTATAAAACACCCAAAGATCACACTAGCTCTCTAGCAATGAACTTAAACTAAGATGAGATCTTTGAAACACCAGATAAGGAATTCAGAAGATCAAATATTAAGCTACTCAAGGAGATATCAGAGAAAGGTGATAGCCATCATAAAGAAATTTAAAAAGGAGTTCATACGAATGAAAAATTATATACGTATATATATTTATATATATTATACACTAAAATAGAACCTTTTGAAAGCTTAGAATTCACAAGACCTACAAAACCGTAACACAATGTGAGAAAAAAAACCAGGTAACAATTAACAACAACAACAACAACAAAAAAAAAACAGGTAACACTAGGTAACAATTACCAACAACAACAAAATACTAGGTAACAATTAACAAAAAGTAAAATAGTGAATAGTACCTCACAACTCAATATTAACATTGAAAGTAAATGGTCTAAATGCTTCACTTAAAAGATACAGAATGGCAAAATGGATTTAAAAAATCACAATCCAAATATCTGCTGTCTTCAAGAGACTCAACACAGAAGGATTCATACAAACTCGAGGTAAAAGGGTAGAAAAAGGTATTCCATGCAAATGGAAACCAAAAGCTAGCAGGGGTAGCTAATCTTATATCAGACAATAGGCTTCAAACAACAACATTAAAAAAAGACAAAGATGATCACAATGTAATAATAAAAGGACCAATTCAACAAGAAGATATTACAAATCTAAATTTATATTCACCTAACAGTGGAGCTCCTAGATTCATAAAACAATTGCTACTAGACCAATGGAATGACAGCAAAACAATCATGGGAGACTTCAATACACCACTCACAGCACTAGAAAGATTTTCAAGACAAAAAAGTCAACAAAGAAGCAACTGACTTAAATGATATGCTAGAGAAAATGGATTGAATGGATATTTGCAGGACATTCTACTCAAGATCTGAAGAATATACATTTTACTCATCATGATGGAACATTCTCCAAGATAGACCATATGATAGGACACAAAACAAGTTTTGATGTATTTTTAAAAATCAAAATCATATTATCTTCTCAGACCACATCAGAATAAAACTAGAAATCAACTCCAAAAGGAATCCTCAAAACATACACATGGAATGACATAACCTGCTCTTGAATGATATCTGGGTTAACAATGAAATCAAGATGGAAATGTCAAAATTATTTGAACTGACTGATAATAATGAGACAAGTTATCAAAACCTCTGGGCTACAACAAAAGCAATGCTAATAGGAAAGTTCATAGTACTAAATGCCTACATCAGAAAGTCTGAAAGAGCACACATTGATAACCTAATGTCATACCTCAAGGAACTGGAGAAACAAGAACTAAAACTAAAGCTAGAAAAAGAAATTAAATAACAAAGATAAGAGCAGAACTAAATGAAATTCAAACAAAAGAAAACACAAAATCTCAATGAAATAAAAAGCTGGTTCTCTGAGAAAAATAAAATTGATACACCATTAGCTAGATAAATTAAGAAAAGAAGAGAGAAGTACCAAACAAACTCAATTAGAAATGAAACTGGAGACATTAAAACTGACACCACAGAAATACACAAGATCGTTAGAGACTCCTACGAATATCTTTATGTACTCAGACTAGAAAACCTAAAGGAAATGGACAAATTACTGGAAACATACAGCCCTCCTAAATTAAATCAGAAAGAAATAGAAACCTTGAACAGACCAAAAACAAGCAGTGAGATTGAATCAGCAATTTAAAAATTGCCACCAATAAGAAGCCCAGGACTAGATGGATTCACAGCTGAATTCTACCAGACATCAAAGAAGAATTGCTTACAATCCTACTGAAACTATCCCAAAAGATTGAGAAAGAATGAATCCTCCCTAAATCATTCTGTGAAGCTAATTTCACCCTGACACCAAAACCAGGAAAGGACACAACAAAAAAAGAAAACTAGAGACCAATTTTCCTGATAAACATAGATGCAAATATCCTCAACAAAACATTAGCTAACCAAATCCAACAGCACTTCAAAAAGATAATATATGATCAAGTGGGTTTCATACCAAGGATGCACGGATGGTTAAACATATGCAAGTCAATAAATATGATACATCACATAAATAGAATGACAAACAAAACTATGTGATCATCTCAATAGATGCAGAAAAAGCATTTGACAAAATCCAGCACCTTTTTATGATAAAATCTCTCAACAAACGAGGCACAGAAGGGACCTACCACAAAATAAGAAAAGTCACATAAGACAAACTGACACCCAACACCATAATTATAGGGGAAAAGTTGAAGGCATTGCCTCTGAGAACAGGAACAAACAATGATGTCCACTATCAACTCCTATTCAACAAAGTTCTGGAAGTCTTAGCCATAGCAATTAGGCAATAGAAAAAAATAAAGGGCATCCAAGTTGGAAAAGAGAAATTCAAACAATTGCTCTTTGCAAATGATATGATTGTATGCCTAGAAAATCCTAAAGACTCCTCCAAAAAATGTAGATTTTATAAACAAATTCAGGTTACAAAATCAATGTATACAAATCAGTATAACTGCTATATGCCAACAACTACCAAGCTAAGAATCAGACAAAAAAACTCAATCCCTTTTACAAAAGCTGCAAAAAATAAAACAAAATAAAATAAAAAAATACCTAGGAATATACCTAACTAAGGTGGTAAAAACCTCTACAAGGAGAACTATGAAACACTGCTGAAAGAAATCACAGATGACACAAACAAATGAAAATGTATCCCATGCTCATGGATTGGAAGAATCAAAATTGTGAAAATGCCCATACTACCCAAAGCAACCTACAGACTCAATGCAATTCCCATCGAAATACAACCATCATTTTTCACAGAATTAGAAAAAAACAATCCTGAAATTCATATGGAATAAAAAAAGCCCAGACAACCAAAGCCGTCCTAAGCAAAAAGAACAAATCTGGATGCATCATATTACCAGACTTATTACACAAGGCCAGACAAATTATACAAGGTCATAGTTATCAAAACAGCATGATACTGGTATAAAAGTAGGCATGTAGACTAATGAAACAGATAAATAACTCACAAATGAAGCCACATACGTACAGCCAACTGATATTCAACAATGCACACAAAAACATAAATTGGAGAATGGACACCCTATTTAATAAATGTTGCTGGGAAAACTGGCAAGCCACATGTAGAAGAATGAAACTGGATGCCTATTTCTCACCATACACAAAAATCAATTCAAGATGGAATAAAGACTTAACTATAAGGCCTGAAACCATAAAAGTTCTAGAAGATAACATTGGAAAAATTCCTCTAGACATCAGCCTAGGCAAAGAATGTATGACTAAGATCCCCAAATGCAACAAAACAAAAATAAATAAATGAGACCTAATTATTTTTATTTTATACTATATTTTTACTGTACTCTATGTTTTTATATGTTTATATACAAAAATACTTACCACTGTGTTACAATTGCCTACAGCGTTCAGAAGAGTAACATGCTATACATGTTTGTAGCCTAGGAGCAATAGGTTATATACCCAGGTAGCCTAGGTATGTGTGTACTTTGTACTATGGAGGTTTGTGTAAGTACACCCTATGATGTTCACACAATAATGAAATCAACTAACGACACATTTCTCAGAGTGTATCTTTGTCATTAAATGACACTTGATTGTATTTTAAAACAGAGGTAAACTGAGTCTAACCAAAGGTGCAACTAAAGTGCTACCCAATTAAACTTCTGCCATACAATTATATGCCCCTTGGCAGTAACAGAAAGTTGAGACTTGATTAAAAGCAAAGAGAGATCTATCTTCTTAGACTCTTTTTGCCTAAATCCATAGAGGAAGTAAAATCATAAGACCACGCCAATATATCTCAACATCTAGTTATCTGGTTAGATCAATTGACCATACCTTTATCTTGGCTCTTAAGTTGCTTAACGAAGGAAAGAAAATCAGAAGAATGTGACTCCACATAAATGTAAAATTAGACACTATAATAGAAAAACCCCAAAGATACAATCATCAATAAAGAATTTTGATATATCTATATCTATTAAAAGTATCTTAAAATGAGCAGAAAAAATAGACATAATAGGAGGTGAATTCCAAAAAAAAACTGGAAACTGTATAAAGAGAACCAAATTGAAATTCTAAAATTGAAAAATATAATATCTGGAATTTAAAAATGAACAGCAACAGGTAACAATAGAATAAACATTATATAATGTCAGTTAATAAAAATATTTAAACTGAAGAACAGAAAAAAAGTCTGAAATAAAATAAACAGAGCCTTTGTGACTTGTTAAACAGAACACAACAGTCAAACATGTAAGTAATGGATAACTTAGATAGAATAAGGAAGGAAAAATGATTGATAAAATTATAAATATGTGTTTCAAATTTGATGAGATAAGAGCAAACCATTAATTCGGCAAGCTTAACAAACTATTAGCACAATAAATATAAAGAATATCATACCTCAGCAATTCATAGTCAAACTGCTGAAACCAAAGGTAAAGAAAAATTTTGAAATGCAGAAATAAAAAATGAAAACAGTACATTAAATTGAACAATAAGCAAGACTGCATATTTCAAGTCAGAAGCAAGAGATTCAGAAGAAAATGGAACATCTTTAAAGTAGTAAAAGGAAAAATATAATAAAACAAAAACCTGACAAACCGGAATTTTATATCCAGCAAAAATAGCTTTCAAGAGAAAGGGAGGAGTCTTCCTGTCTGAGGATGATGAAGTATCAGGAATTAGATTTTTTCTCCTAACCGAAACATTTAAAATACTGCATATAATATATGTTTCATAAATGAAATATATGACATAATGAGTATCAAGACATTGGATATCAGGAAGGGGAGGACTATGATTCCCAAAAGACATGAAACAATTGAAATGAGCATGATTGCCCCATCTCACCGACTGGAGAAAGTTTCCAGGAAATAGCACAGGGAAGATTCAGGCAGAGCTCACCTTGAGTAAAGAAGATGGAACCTATTTGATATTTGAAGAAAAAATAGTAACAATATGTTGGGTATTTGTTCGATTTGAAGTGAAATATATGACAATTATAGCACAAAAATGTAAAATGGATCTAAATATAATTGTATTCTGATATATAAAACAAATGAGAGTAAACTATATTAATAATTACATTAAGTGTGAACAGGAAAAATGCTCAAGTTAAAATGGAAAATAAAAATTGGCAGACTATATATAAAGCAAGACTTAACTACGTGGTGTTTATAAGAAATATCTATTAAATATATCTCAAATAGATTGAAAGTGAGACGATGGATAAAAGAAGCATTAAGCATAACAATTATGGGGTAGCACTGTGAACATTTTACAAAATAGAATTCAAGACAAAAAGTTTTGTCAGAAGAAGGTGTGTCTTTTTTATAATGATAATGGTTAATTCATCAGGAAGACTCAACAATTCCAATTATGTGATAAGTGACAGAGCTTAAATATGCAAAAATAAAAATTGGCAGAAATGGAAATAAAAGGTAAGTCTGTAGCCTTGGTTGGAGAATTTTAACATTCTCATTTCTGTAAGTGAGAATAAGAAGATAAAAGAAAGTAAAGATGTAGATGACTTTAACAGTGCTACCAACTAACCTGGTATAATTGACACTTCTTATACTATACAAAACAAACACAGAATACGCCTTCTTCTCAAGAACAAATGGAACATTTGCCATATTTTGGACCAGAAAACAAGTCCAAATATATTTGAAAGATTGAAATAATATGCAGCAGTTTCTCTGAACACAATGAATTTTAATTAAATAATAAGTTATCTGAAAAATTTACTGTAGTTGGAAATGAAGCAACACATTTATAAATCATCTGTGTATCAAAAAAGAAATTACATGGGACATTTTGAAAACAATCAATCTAAATGTGAAAATACAACATATCAAGGTGTGTGAGAGTCAGCTAAAGTGGTGATTAATGGTAAATTTATATCTTGAAGTGCATCTGTTAGAAAAAAGAAATTATTAAAATTAAAATCAATGACATATGTTTCAACCTACAAAAAGAAGAAGAAATTATTTTTAAAAAGTGAAGAAAAAATATTTTAAAAGATAAAAGATTTCAATACAACAAAATACAAATAAAAATTGTATAAAAAACAATTTGGCTTTTAAAAAATTAAATAACATTGTGATTCTGCAATTTCACTCATAGGTATTTGCTTAAGAGAAGTAAAACATGTCCACAGGGAAAGAAAAAATACCTGAATAAGGTTACACACAACAAGTATATCCAGAAAAGCCAATAACTGCATCAGGCAAAAATATTCATTAAATAAAAAAAAAGTGATGAAATCAGTTGTAGTTTCTTGGCATAATGTAACATGACTCAGCAATAAAATGTACAAGCTACTTATATATGCAACAACATGGATGAATCTCAAAACGGTGTAGAGTGATTGAAGTGTGGGAAGAAACTAGAAACAAAAAAAGCATATGCTGTAAGATTCCATTTATACACAGTTCCAAAACAGGCAAAACTAAGGTATAGCAACAGAAACTGGATCAGTGGTTCTCTCCTGTGGCAGTAAAATTAACTTCGAACTTGAATGAGAGCTAGAAATATATCTTTTCTTCGGTGATAGTTATGTTGGAATATACATGAGATAAAACTCATTGAACTGTACACTTAAAATCTTTGAATCTTCTTGTATATAAATTATAAATTTGATAAGGAATAACTAATGCACAATATCAGGCTGGAGGACAGTGAAAATGGCAG
Organism: Homo sapiens; assembly: GCF_000001405.40. NCBI lineage: Eukaryota > Metazoa > Chordata > Mammalia > Primates > Hominidae > Homo > Homo sapiens. The sequence continues at coordinate 160,238,593 of NC_000004.12, read as the reverse complement.
AATAATTTACTGAAATAGGGCAGATATAATGGAGAATTGACTTTAGAGAGATTTCTTATAACCACATGGCCCAAGGGCATAGTGGCTAAATATGCAGTCCAATGAAATACAGTTTCCATCTCTTCCTCAAAATCCAGTCTACAACATAATGTCATTTATATTACTATTCACATGATATATGCCACCTTTAATGTGGTTTTATAAAATATTTTTTCCCAGTAAATGTGAATATTTTATATTCTCCTTTTGGATATTGAAAATAATTTGTTATTTATTTTTACTTTATTTCCTAAAAACTCATACACTATGTTAACCACATCTTTTAAAATATATTACTTGGGGGCTTCAAACACCTTCCCCTTAGCTCCCCTCAGTAGAATATAGCATTTTAATGTAATATGTGCTTAATTTTTTTTTAGAAAAAGCAAAATACACATCTTAATACCATTAGAGTAGCCCCCACATATCCATGAAGGATATGTTCCAGAACCCCTAGTAGATGGCTGAAACCATGGATTGTACCAAACCCTACATATACTATGTTTTTTTCTATGCATATATACTTGTGATAAAGTTTAATTTATAAATTAGGCACAGTAAGAGATTAACAAAAATAAGTAATAATAAAATAGAACCATTATAACAATATATTGTGATAAAAGTAACTGGAATGTGGCCCTTTTCTCTTCCTCTCAAAATATCTTATTGTATTGTATTGTGGGTAACTGACATCACAGAAAGCCAAATTGCGATAGGGTGGACTAATGTAACAGCATCAAAACTATGCTCATTTCAACATGTTGTTCAATTTCAGTGAAAAAGACTCCACTTGAATAATGTACTGTAAGATGCCTAAGCCATTCCTCTCAGGTGTATTTAAGTGGTAAGATTGTAAATAAGGAGTCAGAATCATCCTTTACAGAAGTTTACACTTAAGCTCAATTATAGTTCTATGATTATTAATTCCAATGTCCACACTAGCTTGATAAAGAGAACTCCGTGGAGACAAAATTGTTGGTTTGTTTGTTTTTCTTTTCCATTTAGATTTTAGACAGAATAGAAATAAAATGCCACATCTGAAGGCACACCAGGTACTGCTCATCAGAGCTGCAGTGACAAGTCAAAGGCCAGCATTTCTAGGTAGGAACAATGCAGAAGCGTTACTGGGCATCAGTTCGAATCCTCAATACACATCGTGCTGATAGATAACGAGCATGTTGAGCGGCATTCGCTTTATAAAAAAGTACAAAATATATGAAACATGGCATTGAGAAATCTTTTTTTATCCTCTTTATCCAGACAACTAGATTAAAGATACTGAAAGGGAGAAATTTGCAATTGATAATTAGGACATCCTGCTTGGATATTTGCACTAATGTGAAAGTGTTGAAAAGCTAATTGTGCTCTCTCTCTCCCTCTGTCTGTCTCTCCCCATATGTGTGTGTGTGTGTTCTGTGTGTATACATATAAAGATAGATTTATGCATACATATAAACATGTATACACACATACACATGTATATATGCATATACATAAGATATTAATATTATTGTTCAAATATGTTATTGGTCAGATTGATTGTTTGCAAGTGCAGACAAGTGAGTAAAAGATTTCATTTTTGCCCTATTAGTATTTGATTTCTCATAAAAGGACATATTAGAGTTCACAACAAGGGTTGGGCCTGTAAATTTTGTAAAATTGGCTTCATATACCTGAGAAGAAGAGCTATTATTATAAAGTAGCTTTAACTCCTTCTTACTCCTAATTCTGTTGAATAGTTCACTAATAAGCCATAATTTTTGTGGAGCATACCATAGAGAGCCTTGTCTCCACTAAACGATTTTAATTCCTTCCACAGAGAAAAGTGTATATTCAATATTGATTTTTACATTATAAGCTCCCTATGTAACCTAAATATAGCCAGTTCCCAAAATGGTTCCTTTCTCTGAGAAGCAGTTTGATCAATAACATGTCATATATTGTTTAGTCTTCTTCTAGATTGAAACTTGATACAAGTATCACATCTTACGGATAAGCAATCTTCCTCAAATAATGATTTTTTTTTCCTATTCTATGGGAAACAAGTGCAAAAAGAAAACATTTTCCCCCAAATTACTCTGCAAACCTAATATGAAATACACGCTAATCTTCATTACACGGCAGAAGTTATTTAAGCTACTTAGCTCTTAGGATAACAATGATTTGAATTTGACTTTAATGTTGAAAACAACTACAGTACATTTTCCATTTAGAATGAATGTAGTTTAAATGAGGTTTAATTTTAGAACATAGTTATAAGGCACCTTCTGTTTAGAAATCCTGCTGTTTGGATGTGATTGTATTTCAGAAAATCTGCAGTTACAAATTCCATTTTCTTCAGAATGCTGCCATGTGAATGAGGATTTTGAGCAGAACATTTGCTGTTACCAGTTACCTTCCATTCACAGGGCTGCCTTCTGAATGTGCTTTCAATTATGAAATCTCAATAAGTTCATTTTAAAATCAAAAAAACCTGATTCAACTCTACAGCTTTGAATTACCAGGCCATTTTGAAACCCAGTTCCCACTGTTCTTGATGTTGAGAGTCATCCAAATAGGGAACAAAATAAAAATCATGTGCAAGGAGAGAAATTTTTAAATCACCCAGTTTTTAACATTTTTTGGCCAAAAGGACAGATGGTGCAGTCAACACACACACAGGGTCACACATTTTTGGAAATCTAACCACAATATCCACCTCCTAAGGTAAATAATTCTATCTGTAAGCACTTGTAACAGTACTGAAAGAAGAAATGAAGCAAGTAAGCATAAATCTGTATTGCAGTCACTCAGAATGCAGAGAAGCTTTCCTGAAAAGTTAGCAAATAAAAGAAAGAATAAAGAGCAATAAAGAAGTGTCACAAGAATATCATCCTTCCATTCTAACAATTGAAAAGCACAAGAATTTACAACATAAAAATCTATGCCACTTTCAATTTGTTGTAATTCCTTCTTCATCTAGTTCAAATAAGCCCTGTTTCAGAAAATTCTCTAGTAATCATCATATTGACACTTCATCTAGACTGAGTGCTAATGAGCCAAGATTTTTCTGCCATAATTTTTACCCAGAGCTCACACTGTCACAGCCCATCAAAAAAACAGTGCCGGGTGCACTTTCAATCTAAAAGCAGTTTCCTCTTTCAGAAGCTTCGGTTTTCAAGTGTAGGGGGTTATTTGTTCCTAAATATCTTTTTCCCTACTCTATTTCAATTGTCTACATGACTTGCAATGAAATGAAGGAAGACTAAAACTGTTCCCTTCACTGTCAATTTGTGTCTTTCTTTATCCTTTCAAAATCTGATTATTTTCATTTAGACCAAACCCTTTATAAATAATCCTCCAGTGGCAGCCATGTATATTCCTGATCTTAAAATAAACTACAGAAACTTTCTTAGGTAGGAAAGAAAATTATATTGTGATAAAGGGAGACAAAGATTTCTAGTAAGAAAAAAAAAAGCTTCAACTGTCTAGAAGCTTCTGAGAAACTGAGCAAATCTATTTCATATTAATGGTACTTCCCTGGCTGTATCTTCCTTTTGTCTTTTTTCTTTTCTCTGATTTTGTTAGAATCATCACTGTCTTGAAATTCTTTATTTTTTTTTATAACGTCTTCAGAGCTCTGAAGTTGGATATTATTCTAGTGTAGATAGCCAAGCCTTACTTTTAAGATGAAGAATGCTGTTGCTCTCTATTTAAGGCATTTTCATGGTTGATAGGTTAGAAATTCAAAGAGAGAATCATTAAGTTGTGTCATCATCACTCTCTGCCCTTCCAAGAAAATACAAACATACTCGTATAGACTGCTTACACACACAAACATGCATGCATACTCTTGGAAGTTTTTTTTTCTTTTTCGTATTGTTTTGTTTTTGCCAGTGGTTAGACTACCACTTCTAAATAAACAGATCAGGGCTGGGTGTGGTGGCTCATGCCTATAATCCCAGCATTTTGGGAGGTTGACGCAGGCAGACAACTTGAGCCCAGGAGTTCAAGACTAGCCTGGGCAACAGAGTGAGACTCTGTCTCTATGAAAAAGAAAGAAAAGAAAAGAAAAAATTTGTAATTAGCCAGGTGTGGTGGCATGCATCTGTAGTCTCAGCTGTTCTGCAGGCTGTGGTGGGAGGATTGCTGGAGCCCAGGAGTTCAAGGCTGCAGTGAACCAAGATCTCACCACTGCTCTTGAGTCTGAGCAACACAGCAAGACCCTGTCTCTAAAAAATAAATACACAAACCAGCATTTTTCCTCAGTCTACCAATGTTTCTCTTGAGTCTCTTTCTTAATCTGTGGGTCATCCAGTTCCCATTACAGCAATTCTGGGCATTTTGAGTGAACAGTCAATTGACTTTCCCCTGAGCTCAGACTACATCAGATTGAGAAGAGAGGAGTAATACTTTCCCACTAAACTCTATGCCTGACAGATCAGTATTGGACTGCCATTTTAGCTGTAAAATCTTAACTCCAGAAATAGAGCTGTTTCTATATATTTTTGTATTTTTCTATTGTTCTCTTTGTATTGTAGTAAAAATTCCTGTCAAAATATTTCAAAGTTGTACTGTGTAGCAATGAGACCGCTCTTTACACAAGTCTAGGTGATTTAAAAAGTAAAGACATCAGAGAAGCCATGTTCAAAAAACTTGCTTAAACACACACACACACACACACACACACACACACACATACACATACACACAAACTCAAAAAGGTAATGAATGATACTAAAGTCAGAAATAGGATGTGGGGTAGTAAAAATAAATAATAATGTTGATTCCTCCATATGTTTATCTATTTTTTCCCTCTGAAAGTCCAGTATCATGATGTTGGTAAAATAATGCACCACCCATATCTTAATGAGTTAGCTCATTAAAGAAAAGTTAGGTATTTCAATGTGTATTTTTTCTAAGCACCGCATACATTGACTGTAGTGCTTGCCTTATAGAAGATTGCTATGACTTTATATACAACTCCTCAAAGGAATGGCTACATTTTCTGCTTCCATTTCATATCGGCCCATTCTCTCTTAAATTTACTCTAAACAAATATCTTACTTACTGCTCTGCAAAACTATCCCTATTAAGGTCATGTTGCAGATGTGTGACAAGATCGGGCATGTTTGGGGTGCTATGTATGGCCATAGACATGTTGCAGATTTAATCATTAGTTCTCTGAATTTACCTTACTCTGCTTAGCAGTAATGTCTGATACAGTTGATTACTTCCTCAGCCTCAAAATATGTGATTCACTGAGCTTCACAGAACCATGCTCTCTTTGTTCTCCTCCCTGCTCACTGACAACTTCTTTCAGCATTCTTTGCTGTTTGACTTCATCCACTCAGCCTGTAAATACTGAAATGACCCAGGGCTTAGGATTTGGATACGTTCTCTTTTTAACCTATACACGACCCCTAGGAAACCTGACGCCATCTCATGGCTTTAAATGCCATATATTCACGGAAGACTCTCCAAGTTATTTCTTCATCACAGACGTCTCCCCTGAATCCCAGATGACATAGCCCATTGGTTTTTTACATCTTCACTCGAATATTTAATAGAAATCTCAGACTTAACATGGATGCAGCAGATATGACTTGGTGGTAGGCAAAGATTTGTGCTTTCTCCCTAAAATATAAAGCTGATGAGGATGAGGTGCTTGTACAGGGACTACCTTTCCCTCTAACCCTCCCCCAAACTTCCTTCTAGGTGGACTCATGTCACTGCATCTGAGTGATAGAATGAATATGAAGGCACTGCAGTTTCCTTATGGGCTGGGAGTAGGTATAAAGTGTGGTGTCCTGCTCTTGCCCACTGGTGGAGGGCAACAGCATCATCTTGAAGCCACAGGATGGCAGAACCAGGAGACAAGCAATTCAACTCTCAATCAACTCTTAAGGGAGAAGTACCTAGAATAATTGCCCAATTTGGACATCTATATTAGATTATATGTGAGTAAGAAATAAATGTTTATTGTGACAAGTCATGAGATTGTGGAGAAATTTGTTACTGCATTAAAAGTGATAATCATCGGGTTCTGATGCAGTCCAAAAAGCAAACACATTATTAACTGACTTGCTCATTCTATCCCCCCAAAAAAACAGACATATTTGGATCATCTGTTAGTTGCTTAGGCTGAAAACCTTGTAGTGATCTCGGACTCTCTTTCTCACACACCCACCTCCAATTCACCTACAGATCCTGTTGCAGCACATTCTGAGTATTCTGAGTATCTCATCCCATACTTTGATCTACCTATCATCATATTTTGTCTGAAACTACTGTAATATTTTTATTCATCTTTGCTCCTTGCATACTTGCCCACCTATAATGTCCTTTGCATTTAGTAGTAATTTTCATAAGCAACTAGATGTTGCTAGTCAGCTTCCCAGGGAAGATGAGTATGAGAGAGATAAATACAGTGCCCTGGGGATTATCACCTATGCAAGAGTGAAGCAAGATTGGGCAGAGGGAGAAGGTGAGCTGTAATGCAGTCTCAGTGAAGACCCCACCAACCTCACAGAGAGCTCTGAAATTGGTGTGGCCTTACATAGTTGTTCCAAATTTGAGCAGTAAGATTAAGGCTTCATACCTGCATATCAACCAGACATTGTTGCAGACTGGCCCAGGAATGAGGCACGGCCTTGGGCAAGGTCACTCTCTTGTTAAGGCAATTCTAGGAGAGGACTGATGGCTGAGGGTTTTCTGCTGCTAGCATTCCCATTCCCTGAGGGAATAACACAGTCACTCCTAAAGAGGGTCTGGAAGGCACATCCCAGTGTCCAGCACATCAAATCATGTCACTTCTGTGCTGACAATCTTTCAGTGGCTTCCTAACTTACTCAGGATCAAGGTCAATGTCTTTTTCAGGGCTGTCAAGGTCCCTTGGTGATCTAGCTCCTGACTGCTTTGATACCATTACAACAATACCTCATTCATTTGGCTCCAGCCACTCTGGTCTATTGCTTCTCCTTGGGTATGTTCATCACAGTCCCATTTCAGGACTTTTCCACTTGTCCTCTCCACCCCTGTTATTTTTAAATCTATTTGTCTTCTGGCTTGACCATTTACTTTAATCCAGAAGTTGGTAAAAAGTGTTTTTTTGTTTCCTGTGAAAGGCCAGATAGTACATATTTAAAGCTGTGAGCCAGAGGGTCTTTGCCACAACTACTCAGCTCTGCTACTGCAGCCTCAAAGCAACAACCGACAATATGTGAATAAGTAAGTATGGCTGTGTTCCTGTATAACTTTATTGATAAAAACTTTTGCCTATGGGCAATAGTTGGCTGACTCCTGCTTTGGTCAAATCTTGGCTTATATGTGGCCTTCTCTGAAAGCAGCATAGCAAGTTAATTTAAAAGCTTGATTTGGAACCTGTTTGCTCCAGTGTCTCTTCTGGCTCTAAAGACTATGATGTAAATAACCTTAGGTTTCCTGCACCTTACATTATTATAACATGTTATAACAAGCCCTTCAACATAAAGTTGATGGTTAAATGAGATAGTATATATAAAACAATTTTAACAATGCATGGCACAAAATAAGTGCTTAATAAAAATACACCTGCTCATCACTCTCAGTTTCCTCATGTTGGTTAGCACTTATCATTATCTAGCAGTTTGTTAGTCATTATCTCTTCCCTTCCTACATAGAGAACATCAGCATCTCCTCCCTTTCTCCACTTGAATGATGATCTATGACAGCAAGGACTGTGTTCTTGAATTATAGGTGACTTGCCTGATCCTGCCAAAGTGTCTTACATATGGCAGGCTCTCAATAAATATTTTTGAGTACATAAAAAATTAAGAGGCTGTTGTACTTTACGAGCCTTGAAATGGGATGAAATAAATGTGAGTTCTGATTCCAAATTCATTAGCAGTTTTGGTTTTGGCAAAGTTACTTATCTGAGCCATACTGTTCTTATTTGTCAAAAGAGGAGACCCAATGATGAACAACTTAAAAGAAACATCAGGCCCAGAGACCTCAAAATTATCTGCATATTCTCTCATTTTAAGATTATATGTAATTGCAAGCACATGCATTGAACAACAAGACTCAGTGGGTAGTTATGTTGTCATAAATGTACTGCTTCACCCTTGAGTCTTGGTTACTCAGCATCCATATTCCTAAACTAGCATGACTGTGATAATTTCCTGGAAATGCAGGAGCCTCCCTAACTTTCTTAGGATCAGACTGATCTGGGCAGAGTCTAAGTCATGTGTTCAACTTAATACATTTCTACTTTATCTTGTTTGTAAGTCATGAGCCCTATTATAAGCAACTGAACTTTTAAAAATTTATTTGACAATCACTGCTTTATCAAAGTTTCAATAGGAAAATTCAAATACTTCTTATTTACAACACTCTCTACTGTTCATATCCTAGAAAGGAGCCCTCTCTCCTGCTGGGCACGGTGGCTCATGCCTGTAATCCCAACACTTTGAGAGGCTGAGGCGGGTGGATCACCTGAGGTCAGGAGTTCGAGACCAGCTGGCCAACATGGTGAAACTCTGTCTCTATTAAAAATACAAAAATTAGTTGGGCATGGTGGCACATGCGTGTAATCCCAGCTACTTGGGAGGCTGAGGCAGGAGAATCACTTGAATCCAGGAGATGGAGGTTGCAGTGAGCCGAGATTGTGCCACTGTACTCCAGCCTGGGTGACAGAGTGAGACTCCATCAAAAAAAAAAAAAAAAAAAAAAAGCCCTCTCTCCTTTATCTACACATCAAATCCCTATCCAGCTTTGGCTCTACCTCCTCCTCTAAGCTACTGCTCAAGTCCATGGTGAACTTCATCCTCCAAATGCACTTCACTCTACCCTGATCACTATATTTAAAGTGCAGTCTTTCTCCCAACACTCCCAATATTTTATTATGTTCCACTTCTTTGCTTATGTGTTTTCATGAAAGGCTTATCTTTTAATATGCTATAGTAATATTATATAGTAATATAGTAATGTGCTCTGCCTGCCTCCCTAGAATATAAATTCCACAGGGCAGGGATTTGTCTGAGTAACTGATCTATCTTGAGTACCTAAAACACTGTCTGACATGTAGCAGGCTCTTAATAAGTATTTGTTGAATATATTGTCCTTTTCATCTTTCACTTTTTTTTTTTTACAATAACCAAAAGTGTGTGTCCTTATTTTCATTCCCAAATTACAACACAAAATTGAGGATTGCTGGGTTTCTTCTCAACACCTTCCCCTGACAATGACAAGAGCAATATTATATGATTGTAAGAAATTTAATAAACATTTTTTAATGATTAGGTAAACAGATAAATGAATTGTGGCTTTGGGGGTTATGGTGTCTTTCACAACAGGAACAGAACTGAAACCATGGGTGTTTGTTGTTGTTGTTACTATTTGCTTCTGTGTCTGTTATAGGATGGATGTAAGATTTTATTAATTTGTGTCTCAATATTTTGTTTGAAGAAACAATAACCTCTAGTTGGAGATAATTATTTAGCTCCAAAGAACCTGGGTGGATCATTTGCACAAGTGAATATTTTTAGAAGCCCTGAGGCATCGACACTGCTGTGCCAAACTAAAGATTTTGGGGAAAGAAGTTATTACTCCAGAATACTGTTTCCAACCACTTCTGCAAATCATTGAGCAACATAGAATTATATTAATTATATTCTTCTTTCTGAGAGGTTATTTTCCTCCTTCTCTTTAGGAGAAAAAGAAAGGGTAAATTGCGTCATTGTTACTGTGAAATTGCATGGTTAAGGCAAGTTTGAATAACATATTTTTCTATATAATAATGGAGGGACTAAAAATTCCATTAAAATACATCTGATGCCAATTAAATTATAGAAATGAGAAAAGTTTAGGGTTTCAAAATCTAACTTCCATGGATTTAAACTTATCAAGGTAAATTTGACAGGATTTACAACAGCTACAATAGGATAAACAACTCTAACCAAAAAGAGAGTTGTTAATCTTATTGTAACTGTTGTAAATCCTATCAAATGAATGTAACTCCCTAAAGGAATTAAGGTAGAGACTTGTTTATCCTATTCATAAAGATTCCTAAAAGCAAAGATTTCAAAAATTTTTTAGTTTACCTTCAAATTGTAAGGTATTTGGAATATTGCTTTTATGCTCACATAAATTCAATTGCTTCATTAATGAATTATTGAACTCTGAGGAAGAGAAAAATGCAGTATTCTACATGTAAAACAATGCTATAACTTTTAGCTTACTATAGTTTCAAAATAATGTTGCCAAATATAAAGACAGTGACAGAGACAACTTGCTAATATATTAAATTTCAAGCAGTGGAGTAATTCTGATAATTCTATGAAAATCAGCAGATCAATAGAAATTTATTTATAGAATGTTAGACTTTCTTCACACACCTGCTGAGAGTGGTTTAGATTATCTATTTTGAACTTTAAAATCATTAAAAATGTAGCTTGCATATTTATACTACATATTAACATTGTTTCTAAATTAGAAGATATGCTTTTTTTCTTAAAAAAAAAAATGTTTCCATGATGATAAAAAAAATTCATTCAAAAGCACAAGTACATTCTAAATATTTATTTAAGTGAAAATCTGAAACTCGACACTTAAGCCTGCCACTTCCAATGTTATATTCTCCAATTCTAATCACAGTATAAACTCAAGTTGTTTCTCTAAGGCTTTCTGCTTCCTGAAAAAAAAAATCCCTTTTTAGTAGTCTCTTCATATCTTCACTTTTACTCATGTTTAATATAAACTTCCAGTAATCTTGATTATGCAAACTTAACAAGGTTCCCTAGTGTTTCATGCACAGGGATAAGCATAAAATATGTCATTCTGACATAATGTGCAGAATCTAAGCAAATCTTAAATGTTACAAAATATATTCATTAGCCGAGCATTGTGGCTCATGACTGTTATCCCAGCAACTCAAGAGGTTAAGGTGGAAGAACCCTTTAGCCCAGGAGTTCCAGACTTCCATGAACTATGATCATGACACTGCACTCTAGCCTGGGTGACAGAGAAAAACCACTACTTTGAAAAAAAAAAAAAATATATATATATATATATTCTTCCTCTTTTCCCCTCTTTTCTTCTCCTTCTTCAATCTATCCCTTTGTTTCATCCTCCCTTCCTTTCTTCTTTCCTTTTTCTTTCTTTTTCGACTTATCAATTTTATTGTAACCACAGTTGGCCAACTTATCCTTTTCAGGTGCAACTTACAGTGAGACCAATGTTTAAGCTCTGGAAGGAGCATTCAGCTTTTTGTTATTTGTTATTTTTTGTATGTGTTTATTTTCAGTGTCTATAAATATATTATCTTGTCTATCACTGTGATACATTTGGAAATGAATGCTATTTTTACTACATTTGTACATTATATAAAGATTAAAACAAATAGTATGCTTAAAAATATATATTATAGAAATACTGGGATCAATTTCTTATAAATAAAGCAAATAACTTCTAAACATGCATATGTTTCTTGTAGAACTGTCTATCATTTTGTCAGTATTAATATTTATAAGTTAACAGGCACATGCATTAATTGATGTGATGACTATGAAGTGAAAAATTCTGTCCTGAAGATACTTGTGATAACATACATTAAGTGTTTAGTAAGGTAGATAATGGAAAGTAGCAAGCTGAAACCTATCAGGCCAATATCCCTCCCCTGAAACACACACACCCCACCCCCCCACACACACCCCACCCCCCCACACACACACACGCACACACAAACACACACACACACACAGTAATTTGGTGTATACAAGAAACTCCCATGGTAATCAGTAAATAATTAGTACCTCCTGTGGAATGGCCACTGTATATAGGACATAATTTGTTCTGGGTGGTATATCTGAGCTGGTTGGTATGTTTGAATTGTCAGTGTAACTAGACTTGAGGTTGACACTCTGCCCAGGCTATTGGTGTTTCAAGCGTGATACTTGAACACGGGCTAATTGATAGGTCTTCTGTGGCCAGTTAATCTCCAGTGGTGAATTTGTCTAAAATAGTCCTTCTGTTCTAACCCTTGGATCCCAACACAAAAGGAATGTTCTTTCACTATGAAAATTCAGCCTCATCCCAAAGTATATGATTGAGGGGTCCTATACCTTTGCTCCATCTATATCCTACCCTTCCCCTGTGTATTCCCAACAACGAAGAGATAACTCACAAGTAGATAGTAGAAATGTCATTGGGACTAATCCAACATGAACATATCACTCTTTTCTGTTTACCTATAACTCATCTCTATTCTCTCACACTCACAGATCCTTACTTGCAATGTAGTCCTCACTTACACCTTCTGAACTTTGTCCATGAGGCATGGGATGAGATATTATATCTAGAAGTTTAAAAACAAGCTTCAATTCCAGTCAGATATCTGGGGTTTGGCCCCCTGTTCACTCCCTACTTACTGACAGTCCTTGGCCAAGTCACTTTCACTGTCTGAGTCTTATTAGTACTTTCCACTCAACAGTGGTGACCATCACAACACCTATCTCAGGTTTCTTGTGATGTCTGACTAGTATCTCTTAGCACAGAGCCTGAAACAGTCTAAGCACATAATAAAAGGTAGTTGGTATCATTTTTAATATGCCAAATTTATATTACTAATGTTAGATTCTTAAATATTAATGAGCTGGATTAATCAGTTACAAATCAAGCCCAGCAGAATTTTTAAAATTCAGTGAAAATTAGGTATAGCTAAACATGATGAGCATGATGTAAAAACAGACCCAGTGGACCTTCACAGAGCTATATCTCAGCATTTGATAATTAAACTGGTATAGTCAGCTGTGTCTGTATCCTCATTTTATTCTATCTATTGAAACCATATAACCTATATCTATATTTTCCCTGAGGTCATGATGTAGTTCTGTAAATATTCTACCCTCTGTCATCAGCTTTTATTCCCGCTTTCTAGCCTACGGCTGCTTTTTCTGCAAGATCTAGGGATCTAGGTCTCACTATTGTCTTTTCTGGTTCTCTTCAAATTGTCATTACTAGAGAGCCAATTAATCTTTTTTCATAGATATAATCCATTGAAAATTTTTGAGAAAGTTTGTTTTTCTTCACACCCTTTTATTTTTTTTTTACCATACCACAATGAGAATTAAAGAATAAATACATCAGGAATTTTATCAACCACAAATGAAATAACTTACCGCTATTAAGCTTTATGTGATTATGTTTAATATTTCAACTGTATGATCCCAATTTAGTCAAGGATACTTAAGTTAGAATATGGTTTATAAATATTTGAGACCAAACAGAATAAATATTTTAACACTGAATATTACAGTTGAAAAATATGTTAAGACTTCACTTCATATAATAAGTAATGTACAAAGAATTTTGGAAAATTATAGTTTACTTCTCGCCATTTTGATTTTGCAGAATCAATGGCTAGTTTCAAAATAGGTTAAGAAATTATGATTTTTTTTTCTAAGGTGGCAGATTAGAGGCTTTTAGTGTGCCTCAGCCACTTGGAAATAGCAAGATAGTGCATAAAGATAAACTCTATGAGCTTTAATTCAGGAAGAAAAATGGAAACCCACTGGAATCATGAAGGACACCCAAGATCACAGGGAGGAGACCATGGGCAAACAGCCCCCATGACAGCATCCAGCTGATAAAAGTGAGGGAAGCCCCAGTATGTGAGAAAGGCAGAGAGCCTCCTCTGTGACTCACCTTTCCACTGGGGATCTGAGCAACTCAGGCCAAGGGAGAACATTTTGCTTCTCCCAAACCCTGGAGATAATTTGGGGAGAGAGATGAAGATGCTGTGAGAGAAAGACCTCAGGAAAATCTGCAGGCATTTATCCAGACCCAAGACCAAGAGTAGAACGCCATTTTTAATCCAGGTACATACAAAGTCAGCCATTCTTTTGAGGCCCAGCAGTGTCGCCATGCAGGGATTTTAGTTTTGGGTCCGAGATTGGAACACCTGCTCTGGAGTGAGGTAGGGGCTTCCAAAGCCAGAACTATGGAAAGCATCTCAGAGGTAGACACTGGAACTGTGTCCTTCCCCGTTGCAGGCTTGGGACATGAAGAGAGCTGCTTCAGCTGCAGTTTCTCCTGGATGACAAGACTTGCAGCCAGGGCCAGTTAGGATACCTGGAACCAGCCTGCATGTGTCATTCTGGGTCCTGCTCCCCAGAGACTGCGGTGCAGTGGGACCCTCTCTGTTCCACCCCCAGGCAGAAATGCAGGCATACAGGAGCATCTGCTTGCCTACACCAGCAGCCTGAGCCACCACCCTTCGTAGACATAGATCATGGTGCAACAGGGCCCTCCCTGTTGCATGCCCAGGCATATCTTCAGGTATTCAGAGTAACCCCTCACCTGGATCAGCACCCTGATCTGCCCCACCCTTCTTGTGCATAGATCATGTTGTAATGGGGCCCTCTCTGCTCCACGTATAAGCAGATCTCTAAGCATTTGGAGCAGCCACTCTCATGGACTTGCAAACTGAGTTGCCCCACATTTCCTACACAGGAGCTCCCTCTTTGCTTTACACCTAGGCTTATTTCCAGGCATTCAGAGCACCTGCTTGCCTGGTTTAGCAGCCTGACTCACTCCACCCTTCCTGTGTAAAGATTCTGGTACAGGGAGACCCTCTCCACTCCACACCCAGGCAGATCTCCAGGTATCTGGAGCACCCACTCTCCTGGATTAGAAGTTTAGGCCACCTCTCATCCCCATAAAGAGAAGTTGACATATAGGGGGTTTCCCAGCTCCATGCCTAGGCACACCTCTGGGCACTTGGTGGCCATCCACTAGATTCCTCCTCAGTGCTGATGCTTGTGCCTGCCATTGAGGGACCTGTAGGTGCACCTGCCCAGTCCAGCCCTGCCCATCTTGTCCCTGGCCCCCTGGGCTGTAGAGAGAGCTCAGACTGCTCTGTGCTCCACAAATCACCCTATTGCCTGGGGCAAAAGAGAGCTTCTCTCAGTAAATAGATCTCAGATCTTGATCTCAAGATCAAATATATGCTCCACCACATTGGCTGCAACCAGCTCTTACCCATGAGGATCATCTACTGGCTTGTAAGTCAAACTGCACAGCCCAACATAAAACCTTCTGACAAAAGTGCTTAGGGCTATAGTAGCAAAGAATTTTACCCAGGATTCTCTAAATTTACAACCACTGGGGAGAGGGGAAGGGAAAAGAAAAAAAACAATAGCATAGAAAAAGAAAAAAAAGGAAAACACCCTAACAACATAAAATTAATTATAAAATTAGAAATGCCAGGATTTCCAGATGAGAAGAAGTTGGAGCAAGAATTCTAGCACAATGAAAAATCTGGTTGTAGTGATACCATCAAAGGATCACACTAGGTCCCCATCAATTGTCCTTAACCAAAATGGAAATGACAAAGAAAGAATTCAAACCATGGATTGCAAGAGACGCTGAGATCCAAGACAATGATGAAAATCAACACAAAGAGACTTCTAAAGCAGTACAGGAAATGAAGGAAGAGATAAACACATTTAAAAATCAATCAGAGCTTCTAGAATTTAGAAACTCACTTAAAGAATTTCAAAATGGAATCAAAGCTTTATGAATAGACTGGACCAAGCAGAAGAAATAATTCCAGAGCTTGAAGATTGGTTTTTCAAACTAACTGAGTTAGACAAAATTAACAAAAGAGTCTTAAGAGGAATAAACCAAGTCCATAATATGAGATTATATAAAATGATCAAACCTACAAATTATTGGCATTCCTGAGAAAGAAAAATAAAACAACCTGGAAAATGAATTTGAAAAAATAATTCAAGAAAATTTTCCTTATCTCACTACAAACGTAGACATTCAGAAACAAGAAATCCAGAGAACACCTGCAAGATACTGTATAAAGCAAGCATCACCTAGGCATACAGTCACTAGACTACCCAAGGTAAAAGCTAAAGAAAATATCTTGCCCAGGCACAGTGGCTCATGCCTGTAATCCCAGCATTTTGGGAAGCTGAGGCAGGTGGATCACCTGAGGTCAGGAGTTCAAGACCAACCTGGCCAACATGGTGAAACCCCATCTCTACTAAAAATACAAAAAAAAAAGCTGGGAATGCTGGCAGGCTCCTGTAATCCTAGCTACTTGGGAGGCTGAGGCAGGAGAATCGCTTGAACCCAGGAGGCGGAGGTTGCCATGAGCTAAGATTGTGCCATTGCAATCCAGCCTGGGCAACAAGAGCAAAACTCTGTCTCAAAAAAAAAAAAAAAAAAAGAGAGAGAGAAAGAAAATATCTTAAAGGTGGCTACAGAAAAAGGTCAGATCACATACAAAAGGAATCACATCAGGCTAACAGCAGACTCCACAACAGGAACCTTATGAGACAGGAGATGTTGCGGACCTATTTTCAGCAATCTTACAGAAAATAAATTCCAACCAAGAATTTCACATCCCAACAAACTAAGCTCCATAAGCAAAGGAAAAATAAAATCTTTCCCAAACAAATAAGTGCTAAGGACATTCACTGCCACTAGATCAATCTTACAAGAGATCCTTAAGGGAGTTCTAAACATGGAAATGAAAGAATGATACCTGCTGAGATGAATCACACTTAAGTACATAGCCCACAGATCTTATAAAGCAACCACACAAGGGAAACTACAAAGCAACCAGTGAACAACTTCATGATAGGATCAAAACCTCACATATCAATATTAACCTTGAATATAAATGGTCTAAACACCCCAATTAAAAGCCACAGAGTGGCAATTTGGATAAATAAATAAGACCAATCCATCGGCTGTCTTCAAGAGCTCCATCTCACACATTAGACAACCTCAAAGAAAAAGGTTAGAGAATTCAATTATGCAAATTGGAAATGGAAAAAAAATAGCAAGCGTTGTTCTTCTTGTATCAGATAAAACAGACTTTAAACCAACAACAGTAAAAAAAGGATAAAGTAGGGCATTACATAATAATACAGGGTTCAGTTAAACAGGAAACCTTAAGTATCCTAAATATATATGTACCCAACAATGGTGCACCCAGATTTATTTTTGGAAAGTACTTCTAGACCTACAAAAATACTTAGACAGCCACACAATAATAGTGGGGGTCTTCAACACACCACTGAGAGTATTAGATCATTGAGGTAGAAAACTAACAAAGAAATTCTGGACTTAAATTCAACACTTGATCATTTGGACCTAATAGACATCTACAGAATACTTCACCCATCAACCATAAATATGCATTCTTCTCATCATCACATGGGACACACTTCAAGAACAGTCACACGCCTGGCCATAAAGCCAGTCTCAATAAATTTTTTTTAAAAATTGAAATTTTACTCATATACTTTGGATGTGTGTTCCCGCCCAAATCTCAAATGTTACTCCCAATGTTGGTGGTGGGGCCTAATGAGAGGTGACTGGATTATGGAGTGGATTTTTCATCAATGGGTTAACACCTTGGTACCATCCTCATGAGAGTGAGTGAGTTCTTGTGACATCTTTTCTTTTAAAGTGTGTAGCACTTGCCCTCTCTCTCTCTTGTTCCTGCTTTCACCATGTGATGTGCCTGCTTCTGCCACAATTAGAATCTTCCTGAGGCCTCCCCAGCAGCAAATGCGGCTATGCTTTCTGTACAGCCTGCAGAATTGTGAGCCAATTAAACCTCCTTTCTTATGAAGTATCCAGTTTCAAGTATTTTCATAGCAATGTGAGAATAGAATAATACAGAAAATTGGTACTGAGAGTGGGATATTTTTATAAACATACTTGAAAATGTGGAAGCAACTTTGGAATTAGGCAGCAGGCAGAGGTTGAAAGAGTTTGCAAGGCTCAGAAGAAGATAGAAAGGTGAGGGAGAGTTTGGAACTTCCTAAAGATTAAATGGTTAAATGTTTGTGACGAAAATGCTGATAATGATATGGACAATGAAGTCCAGGCTGAAGATGTCTTGAATGGAAATAGAAAACTTATTGGGAACTGGAGAAAATGTCACTTTTGAAATGCCTTAGCAAAGAACAGGCTGCGTTGTGCCCCTGCCTTAGGGATCTGTGGATCCTTGAACTTGAGAGTGATCATGTAGGGTATATGGTGGAAGAAATTTCTAAGCAACAAAACATTCAACATGTGGCCTGGCTGCTTCTAAAATCCTATGCTCACATGTGGGAGCAAAGAAATGATTTAGAGCTGAAACATATTTAAAAGGGAAACACAGCATAAAAATTTGGAAAAATTGCAGCCTGGCTATGTGGTAGAAAAAGAAAAGCCCATTTTCAGGCAGGTGCTGAGTAACCACTTGCCTGAAAAATTTACATAAGTAAAAAAACGACAGGTAGTAATAGCCTAGACAATGGAGAAAAAGGCCTCAAAGGCATTTCAGGGATCTAAGAGGCAGCCCCTCCCATCACAGGCCCTGAAGTTTAAGATGACAGAATGGTTTTGTGACCAGGCCTAGGGCTATGCAGCCCTGCACAGCCTCAGGACATAGCTCCCTACATCCTGGCCACTCCAGCCACAGCTGTAGTTCAAAGGGGCCCAGGTACAGTTCACACCACAGCTTCAGAGGTAGCAAGGTGTAAGCCTGGTGACTTCCATGTGGATTCAAGCTAGCAGGTTTCCAGAATACAAGAGTGAAAGAGGCTTGGGAATGTTCACCTAGATTTCAGAGGATGTATGGAAAAACCTAGGTGCCCAGAGAGAAGCTTGCTGCAGGGGAGTAGCCCTCACAGAGATAATCTACTAGTGAAGTTCAGAAGGGAAATGTGGTATTTGAGCCCCTACACGGAGTCCCTGATGAAGCACTGCCTAGTGGAGCTGTGATAAGATGGCCACTGTCCTCCAAACCCCGGAGTGGTAGATCCACTGACAGTTTGCACCCTGCATCTGAAAAAGCCACAGGCACTTAATGCCAACCCATGAGAGCAGCTGTGGGAACTTAACCCTGCAAAACCACCAGGGTGGAGCTGCCCAAGGCCTTGGAAGCCCACCCCTCACACCAATGTGTCCTGGATTTGGAACATAGAGTCAAAGGAGATTATTTTGGAGGTTTAAGATTCAATGACTGCCCTGCTGGGTTTCAAACTTGTGTGCAGCCTGTAGCCCCTTTCCTTTGGCTGATTTCTCCCATTTGGAATGGAATTATTTACCCAATGTCTATAATCCCATTGTTTCTTGGGAGTAGCTAACTTGTTTTTGATTTTACAGGCTCATAAGTAGAACAAACTCGCCTTGTCTCAGATGAGACTTTGGACTTTGGACCTTTGAATTAATACTGGAATGAGTTAAGACTTTGGGGATTATTGGGAAGGCATGATTGTATTTTGCAATGTGAGAAGGATATGAGATTTGGTAGGATCCAGGGATGGAATCATATAGTTAGGATGTGTGTTTCCACCCAAACTTCATATTAAAATGTAATCTGCAGTGTTGGTGTTGGGGCCTGGTGGGAGGTAATTGAGTCATGCAGGTAAATTTCTCATTAATAGTTTAGCACTTTGGTAAACTATTGACAGTGAGTGAGTTCTCATGCGATCTGGTCATTTAAAAGTGTGTAGCACCTACCCACCCTCTCTTGTTCCTGCTTCACCATGTGATGTTCCTGCTCCCCCTTTGCTTTCTGACATGATTGGAAACTTCCCGAGACTTCCTCAGAAGTAGATGCTACCATGCTTTCTGTATAACCTTCAGAATCATGAGCCAATTAAACCTTTTTCAAACAAAATAAATTTTTCAGTCTCCAAACCAGAGACTGGGTAATTTGTAAGAAAAAGGCTGAGTCATTATCACATTACCCAGTAATGCGAGAATGGACTAATACATGTGGCAAAAACACTCTTGGATCGCAGGGGGATAAAAATATAAATTCACACCAGGAACACCTCTCAAAGTCACACAATTACTTGGAGATTAAAAAACCTGCTACTGAATGACTTTTGGGGAAACAATGAAATTAAGGCAAACATCAAAAAACTTTTTGAAATAAATGAAAATAGACACAAAATATCAAAATCTCTGGAATGCAGAAAAAGTTGTGTTTACGAGGAAAGCTTATAGTGCTAAATACCTACCTCAAAAGTTAAAAAGATTTCAAATTGGCAATCTAACATCACACTTATTGGAACAAGAAAAACAGGAACAAACAAACTCAAGAACTAGCAGAAGAAAATAAATAACTAAAATCAGAGTGAAACTGAATGAAATTAAACCCCCAAATCCAAACAAATAATAAAAAAAACTTTGTCTTTTGAAAGGATAAACAAGATTGATAGACCACTAGTTAGATTAACAAAAGAAAAAGAGAGAAGATCCAAATAAGCACATTCAGAAATGACAAAGTTGACATTACAACCTATACCAGAGAAATAGAAAAGATCTTAAGAGACTATTAGGAACACCTCTATGTACACAAACTATGAAACCTAGAGAAAACAAATAAATTCCTGGAAAAACACAATCTCCCGAGATTAAGTCAGGAAGAAAATGAAATTTTTAATGGGTCAATATCAAGTTCCAAAATTGAATCAGTAATCAAAAACCTATCAAACAAAAAAAGCCCTGGACAAGATGAAGTCACAGCTGAATCCTACCAGATGTACAAAAAGAGTTGGTACAAATCCTGCTGAAACAATTCTAAAAAATCAAGCAGGAAGACTCCTCCCTAACACATTCTATGAAGTCAGCATCGCCCTGATACTGAAACCTGGCAAAGATACAATGAATAAATAAAACACAGGTCAATATGCATGATGAATATAGATGCAAAAATCCTCAGCAAAATACTAGCAAACTGAATCCAACAGCACATCAAAAAGTTAATTCACCATAATCAAGTGAGCTTCATCACTGGGATGCAAGGTTGGTTCAACATACAGAAATCAATAAAGGTGATTTACCACATAAACAGAATTAAAAGCAAAAACCATATAATCATCTCAACAGACACAAAAAAAGCTTTTAATGAAATCCAACATCCTTTCATGACAAAACCCTCAAGAAACTAGGAATTGAAGGAACAAACATCCAAATAATAAGAGCCATCTATGACACACCCACAGTCAATATTATGCTGAACAAGCAAAAAGCTGGAAACATTCCCCTTGAGAAATGGAACAAGAAAGGGATGCCCACTCTCATCACTCTTATTCAACATAGCACTGGAGCCTTTGCCAGAGCAATCAGGCAACAGAAAGAAATAAAAGACATCCAAATAGAAAATGAAGTGAAACTACCATTCTTTGCTGATGATACGATTCTATACCTAGTAAACTCTAAAAACACTGTCAAAAAGCTCCTAGAACTGATAAATGTCTTTAGTAAAGTTTCAGGAAACAAAGTCAATGTACAAAAATCATTTCTTTTTATTTATTTATTTATTCATTTTATTTTATTTTTTAAGTTCCAGGGTACACGTGCAGGATGCATGTTTATTACATAGTTAAACGTGTGCCATGGTGGTTTGCTGCACCTATCAACCCATCACCTAGGTATTAAGCCTAGCATACATTAGCTCTAATTCCTAACGCTCTCCCTCCCACCCTGCCCCAACAGGTCACAGTGTTGTTCCCCTCCCTGTGTCCATGTGTTCTCATTGGTCAACTCCCACTTATGAGTGAGAACACGTAGTGTTTGGTTTTCTGTTCCTGCATTAGTTTGCTGAGGATAATGGCTTCCAGCATCATTCTTGTCCCTGCAAAGGACAGGATCTCATTGTTTTTATGGCAGCATACTATTCCATGGTGTATATGTACCACATTTTCTTTATCCAGTCTATCACTGATGGGCATTTCAGTTGATTCCATGTCTTTTTTATTGTGACTAGTGCTGCATTGAGCATATGTGTGCATGTATCTTTATAATAGAATGAAAATATCAGTAGCATTTCTATACATCAATTACATTCAAGCTAAGAGCCTAATCAAGAATGCAATTCCATTTAGAATAGCCACACACAAAAAATAAAATACCTAGGGGTACATCTAACCATGGAAGTAAAGGATCTCTATAAGAACTACAAAATACTTCTGAAATAAATCATAGATGACACAAACAAATGGAAAATCAGGCCATGTTCACGGATTAGAAGAATCAATATTGTGAAAATGGTCATACTTTCCAAAGTAAACTACAGGTTCAACACTATTCCTATCAAGCTACCAATGTCATTTTTATAGAAATAGAAAAAAAAATTCTGAAATTTGTATGGAATAAAAAAAGAGCCCAAATAGCCAAAGCAATTCTAAGTAAAAAAGACAAAGCTGGAATCATCACACTACCAAACTTCAAACTACACTATAAGGCTACAGTAATTAAAACAACATGGTACTGGTACAAAAACAAATATATACACCAAGTGAACAGAACAGAGAACTCAGAAATAAAGCCAGAAAGTCCACAAAAATAACCAATTGAGAAAGGACTCCCTATTCAATAAATGGTGTTGGGAAAGCTGAATAGTCACATGCAGAAGAATGAAACTGGACTCCTACCTTTCACCATATACAAAAATTAAGATGAATTAAAGATTTAAATGAGTATATTGAAGAGGTACCTGCACTCCTATGTTTGTTGCAGCATTGTTTACAATAGCTAAGATTTGGAAGCAATCTAAAGGTCCATCAACACAGATGATTGGATAAAGAAAATGTGGTACACAATTGAGAACTATTCAGCCATAAAAAAGAATGAGATACGGTACCTCTTCAACAGTCAATATTATGCTGAACAGGCGAAAAGTTGAAAACATTCCCCTTGAGAACTGGAACAAGACAGAATGGTAACACAATTCTGGATATCAACCTTGGAAAAGAATTTATAACTAAGTCCTAAAAAACAATTACAACAAAAACAAAAATTGACAAGGGAAATCTAACTGAACTAAAGAGCTTCTTCCCAGCAAAAGAAACTATTAACAGAACAAATAGACAACCCACAGAATGGGAGAAACTATTAGCAAACTATGCATCAGACAAAGGTCTAATATCGAGAATCTATAGGGAACTTAAATAATTGAGCAAGCAAAAAACAAATAACCCCATTAAAAAATGGGCAAAATACATGAACAAACACTTCTCAAAAAAAGACACACAAGTAGCAGACTAACATATTTAAAAACACTCATGATCACTAACCATCAGGAAATGCAAATCAAAACCACACTGAAATGCTATCTCATACCGGTCACAATGGCGATTATTAAAAGGTCAAAAAACAACAGATGTCATATTGCATGTGCTGAGAGGGGAATGCTTATACAATGATGGTGGGAATGTAAAGAAGTTCAGCCATTCTGGAAAGTAGTTTGAAGATTTCTTTAAAAATGTTCAATGAAGCTACCATTTAACTCAGTAATCCCATTACTGATTATATATCCAACAGAAAAAAAAATTATTCTACCAAAAAGGCACATGCACTCACAGGTTCAGTGCAGCATTATTCCCAAGAGCAAAGACGTGGAATCAACCTAGGTGTCCATCAACAGTGGAATGGATGAAGAAAATGTGGCACAGAGACACTATGGAATACTATGCAGCCGTAAAAAGAATGAAACCTTGCCCTTTGTATCAACATGAATGGAGCTGGAAGCCATTATCCTAAAGCAAATTAATGTAGAAACAGAACATCAAATGCTGCATGTTCTCATTTATACGTGGGAACTAAACACTGGGTACTCACGGACATAAAGATGGCAACTACAGAAACTGGGGACCACTAGAGGAGAGGATGGAGGGCTGAAAGTATTGAAATACTAACTATTAGATACTATTCTCAGTACATGGGTGATACGATCAATCATACAACAAACCTCAGCATCATGCAATATACCTAGGTAACAAACCTGCACATGTACCCCGAATCTAAAATAAAGATTGAAATTATTTTTGAAAAGGAATTATGCATTATAACTCATAAAAATTAAAATATGAAATGCTGACTATCCCAAACTGTTATGTAAAAATTATACTTACGATATTTATAAAAATAAAAATCTAATATTATAATTATAAATTGAATTATTCTATTTTAAATTATTATTTAGATTTCATTTTGGGTATCTAATAAGCATACATAATAAGGAAACTATGGCTTTTTGTTCTAAAATCTAACTTCACTAAATGCATAATTGGTGTTTATTTTATGTAAAATTTAAGTAAATTTAGTATTTAGTAAACAATACAATTGTTCATGCTTTTATAACTATCAGTGAATCAAGGAACCCAAATTGTCTGTGTTGTAAACATGAATAAAAGAGAATAATAATTTAACAAATACATTAAAACAAATGCAAAATGTACCTTTTCAGATTTTGATTTAGCTAATTAGAAACATTGTATCAGAAGAGTTACTCAGCAATCAAAAAAAGGCTTGATTTCAGAAGCGAAATGATCTTGATATTCAGAAAAGCAGCAGAGCAGTAATTTCACTGCTGTCTTTATGAGCGCCTTGCTTAAATTGGGTATTGATGGGTTCAGTCCCCATTGCTAAATGGATAAAGAAATCTTTGCCCAGAGCAATTAAAAAGACTAAAGGGATGATAAATAATGAGATGTCTATGAAAAAGGAAAGTGGTGTCTAACAGGCTTGTCAACTAACTCTACGCCACAATATCAGCCCTAGCTGGAAAATTTGATTATGTTGTTTTGCAACAGTGATCATCTCTGAGGAACGAATTGCATACCTGCTTTGTATAACCATTTAGTCATTTAATCACCATTCATGTTTTGTGTTATACCGTTTTCTGGAAACCTCCGTAGACCACAGGAGTCAAGACATTCCTAAACCGTTTGCTTTTTATATTATTTTTTTCTCTCCTCTGTTTACAATTGAATTGGTGAAACAAGTTTAAAAGTATTTAGACAATTCAAATTGTATGTAGTTTTTCCAGTGTCTGTGTCAGTGCAGTGGTAGGTCTATTTACCAGTTTCAGAAAATAGATGTATTCTGGTTTCCCTGCAGAGCTGCATGGATGAATAATGTGATGATCTGAAGCAAGAGCCTCTCCTGCCCGAAGATTATGCTCTCTATGCTGCAATCCACCCAGCAAAGCAATCTATGATACACATCCCTCTCTACAGTGTTTGTCCAGAAGGACTGGCTTTACATCACCCTCCTATGTCTCCTCTAGGAGAATACTACATTGCTATCCAATCTGTCTTTTCAATTCCCTGAGAACAAATTACAGACCTGCAAATTGAGTCAACCCATATACAGTAGTAGCTCAATTCTGAGCTCTGCTAGTCACAGAAAAACTATTTTCAAGTCTAGTGATGTTGGTGCTGGTGGTGCTTTCTAAAAGCAAAGTAACAGGGGTGTATATTTTTGTATGCCCTTGGAAAGCTTCATCTAGGTGCCCTGCACAAGCCCATCTCTCTTAAGTTCACCTAAAGTAGTTTGGTTACCAGGCTGTTATCTATTCTCTTGAAAATTGCAGCATAGCAAAGTTGCCTTTTTCTGATAAAACTTTTCCCTGGGAAGAACTTAGTATATTCCAGGTTATTATTTTTGAAGACATTGCTTTTATAACCCTCAGTGTTAAATACGATGTCTAAGTTGCTTGCTTGTCATTTGTTGAGTAAATAAACATAATGGCAGCCTTGTAACATAAACTAGATTGTCTACAAGCCCACCGGAAGTATAGGCAGTGGCTAATATATTCTGTTTCTAACCCAGCATTATACCTAGTGTGGAAGGAGAAAATTATTTTCTAACATTCTCCAATGTTCACTGGTTAGCATGAGGGAAATACTAAGTCAGGAGGTAAACTAAGTTAAGAAAATATAAAGTGTCTTAAACAGCAAAAAGGAGACGAGGAGCATATTTGCTGGAATTATTACAGAGAGAATTTAGATGTATGATGTAGTCTCAATAGAGGCTGGTTAGTGAAAGAAACTCCTACTTAGCCTCTTCATATTAGGCCCCAAATTCACCTGTTAGTATCATGATTAACAGGTAACATTGGTGTTTCTTAGGTGAGTAAATCTTAGGATATTCTCTTAGATAAACATATATTCTTAATTATTTTTATATGTTTAAAATAGTGTCAAAAATATGATAAAAATATTTGGGTTGAATATAATCAATAATAATAAATAGCATTCACTGCACACAGGCCAGTTTATAGGACCTGAGGATGTAATTATTTATAAAACATTTTGTCAAGATGTTTAAAATCTCATAGAAGAGAGAACGTGGGCAAATGCAAACTCCAATAATATTGCAAAACCAAGATTATTTTTAAAAGCAGTTAAGCATTTATTAAGAGATTACTACATGTCAAGAACCTTTCTAAATGTTTTACTCATTTAAACTTCTCACCAGCTGCAGAGATAAGCGATATCATTATCTCTCTCTTGCAGAAGAGGAAAGCGAGCCAGAAAGAAGTGAAATAAGTGAGCTTGCCTATGTTCCCACAGCTAGGGTGTGGTAGAGACAGATTTGAGCCAGGTAGTTTGACAGTTTTACACTAGAGTCCTAATAATAAGACAGAATTATCTTTTTTAAAGATTGGTTTATGGCATGCAGGGCTCAACAAAAGAGAGGTGACCAATCTGTAGATGCTTCGGAAGAGGAGACATTTCAGGAGGAGTCAAAGGATAGTCAGCTACATATTCTACCTTCTCTCATTATAGTTCATTGTTGTAACATATCTAAGTTAGCATATCTTCTTTTACCTGCTCCTTCTCCAAATTCAACTAATCCTTATTCCTTCTCACCTATGAACCCTGCTCATTCTGACTTACACTATGATTTCTTTCCTTTCCTGAATTCAAAGACAGAATTGGACATGAAGATTATTACTTTGGAAATTTGATAGCCTAAAATATCCTCATCTCCTGCAAAAGATTTGCTTCAAATTAAGCTTGCACATGTCTCTATACATCAAAGTAGGAAATTTATCTTTTTAATACAAATGGCCCATATGGTTCAGATTAAAATTCAAGACAACCTGATAGCCTCCTACTACATGGCATCAGCATGATAATTTCAAATCTAGGGAGGAAGAATAAATAAGAATTTCCCTCCTCTTGATGTCTGTGAAATAGACTTCCTTCTAAATCTGATGCCTAAATAATTGAACTTCAAACTACTTCTAGCTTTATAAACCCACCATATTTTCTAATAACTATCTGATCAGCATTCAGAGTATTTAACTAAATGCTGCATTTAATAAACTCTACCAGCCCCCAGCAACATTCCAAAGTTCCTTTCCATTGAAATTTGCTTGAGGATTCAAAGTACTATTTCTGCTAGATTCAAAAAATGTTATTTTGTGTGGTATAACCAAATACAAAGGGCTATAGAATCAAAACTACAGAATATGCATCTACCACATAGCTATAATTCAGGCAGCAATATCAGTGCTTGAATTTTCTTATCTTTAAAATGCAAGTACTTATGTTTATACCAATTGTTATTCAGGGGGAAAAATAACAAAAAAATAAGAGTTTTTGGGATAATTATAGGAAAATGAGAGAACAGTCATATTAGAGTGCTTGAAAAGTCAGAACGAAGGTTCTGATCTTTCTCATCCATAAAAGAATAAATGATTCATCTATGAAATAAATGTTTATTGATTGGTATCATTACACAATTATAAACATAGTGACACAATGCTGTACTAAGACTTGCTTTTCAACAGACAGAAATATGTTACATTTAAAGACAATAATTAACTAAATTTAACCCTAATGGTTATGAGATTATACCTGAAGATACAGAATAAAGAATTTTATTTTTCTGTACCCGTTAGTTTTGTCTTTTAAGAATGTATCTTCTGACAGAAGTATCTTTCCAAAGTATCATAACAAATTATTCTACTGCCTCACAGAACCAAAATGAATGCTTTCCCCACCAAGAGTTGAACCCTGTGTTGAGACTGATGACACCACACACTTCCTCACAAGTGTATGAAAAAGTTTCCTATTCACATAATAAGGCTGTATGGGTCGAGTAAGTGGCTTCTAAAAGGGTCCAAACACCGAAACGAGAGAAAATGAAAAAGATACTGGCCTAGGGCATTTATGGTGGTTAGATCTGGTGCTAAAGGAAACAGGATCCTGATACGATAATCAGTTGCTCACATGTAGGACAAAGAGGGAAGAGGAAGAGGTGAGAATTACAATCTATCAGCATTCAAACATTAAAAATTGGAGTCACACTGTTTATTATACAAATATGAGCCAGTTTGGAAGGGAGGCAGGATCTGTAGAATAAGATGTCAGCAAGGGCCAGATCACGAAGACCCTTAGAGGGAATAGAAGAAAGTTTGGAATTACCTGTGACTAAAAAAGGAGATAGAAAATTGTTTTAAGCACAGAAATGATACAATGTGATTTAGATGTTTAAAATGATGCCTTTGGCTGCTTGGTAGAGAATGGGCTTTATAGGGGCAACGGTAAAATTAGAGAGGCCAGTTAGGACTGTAAGAGGAAGCATGTAAGGGGAGACGGTGGCTTGCACCAGACTGGTGATGCCAAAGGAAGAAATAAGTGACACATGTCTGTAGTTAGAACCTAAAGGACTGTGGAGAGAAGAAAGGGAGAGAGTGGGACATGAAAGAACATTAAGTTTCTGACTGTAGCAACCAGATTTATGGGTGTACAATTTATAGAGATGAAAGTTTCAGAGGAATAGCTATTCTGCCAAAAATAAATAAATACCTTTGTTCAAATAAATACCTGTTGAATTAAAAGGTAAATTAAATATTTGTACAAAGTCTCTAAATGTCATTACTGACATCTATGCATATATTAAAGAACAAAATTTGTATACTCAATAATTAAAGAGATTTTAGTTGTATATTTCTTCATAAATTATAACATAATTTATTGTCTCACAGTAGTTATTGCATTATCTCATCTCTAAAAATGAAAAGATTCTGATGAATTGCTTCTAGAGTCACTTTCTATTCAAATTGTAGTCACTCTGATTCTAGATGTGCAGAGAATGATTAAGCTATAATATATAAAACACATGTGTTGTGAAGTTAGAAGGGGAGCTTTGTGTTCAAGAATGATGGATGAATCTAAAATTCTTTCCTGAGCCTTGATTATTTAGGTTTTTGATGCTTCTGCACTGTCAGCTAAGAAGAAAATTCTGTTTTTTGCAAACAGTTCTCTAATGATAACAAATGGTCAAATTCAGCTTGGCAAAATCCCCTTTTTTAGAGTATTCTTTCTGGAGATGGATGACTTTTAATAGTCTCCATATGCACACCCTGCCTACATAAGATATAACAACACTTAAGGTAAGTTAAAATGGACAAGAATGCCATATCTTAAGTATTTTTTTCATTAGGTTATCCTTTTTTCAAAGGCCATGACATTTTACCTGACGTTTTAGCAGATTGGACTGCCCTGCTTAAGAGACTATCAGAAAGAATATTAGGAAAGAGACTTCAGAAGCCAAATAGCTTGACCTTAAAGGGTGCTGATGACCTCTGAACCAGCTTGAATCCCTTTTGTCCTCTAATGTTGCATGAATAATAAATAAAACAATATCACCAGAGGTCTACACAGGTGCTGTGTAAGCCAAAGAATGTAACAGCACAGCAGAGCTTGATTCTGAAAGCTAATAAATCAAGAAATAGTCTACGTAGTAAAACTGCAACAGTAGCATGGCTGGTTGATAGCCATGACAGCCACACTGAATTAAATGGGAAAAAAAGAAACAATTGTGCTCCTTTGCTTTATTCCTTTTAAAGCTAATAGAAGCAGAAATACAAGTGTTTACCATTCTTTTAGCAAAATAGACTTTTCAAAAGATGGATGTATCCACCTGTGTTATACATAAAACATATATCATGTCAGCAAGCACTAGATTTCTCTCATGGTTAGAAGTTATGTGATTTAGAACTTATTCCTTAAATTCAGCAGTTAAGGTAGGTGAATATTACTCTGCCAAAGCAGGGGAATGGAAGTTGTTTTATTGATGCATTCATTTAGAAACCCCATGATACCTCATTAACTAAAAGAGCCATATAAAACTGCAACAATTTTCAGACTATTATGTCAGTCTCGTTAGGTTAAAGTATTGCAAACCAATTCATGAGGATTCCTAGATGGTAATCAGGTAAAGGCCTGTGGTATAATGCTAACAAACAATGCATTTATTTATAATTGATATTTGCTTTGGTGCTTCTCTCCATTCCATAATTCATTGAAAATCTGAAAGTTGCAACCGATACAGATTTCTGAGAGTAAAAATATTCATGACAAGTTAAAAGGTGTAAATTAAAATAGATAGCTGTACAAATTTAATTAGTCCTCAATGGAAACTTAAATAAATTCCTTTGTAGACTATAAGTAAGCAAAATGTTATTTTAATACATGTATTTAAAGAAGTTTTATTAAAATATGAATAACATAAATATCTATGGTAATTTTTCTGATGTCTTTTAAAACACATTATAACTGTTTATTGTATTTTAAAAGCTTCTAATATATCTAGATACAATATAGTATTAAGACAATCTCTGTAGCAGAATTCCAGCTATGGCTGTGTGACCCTTAGCCAGTTACTTAATCTCCCTGTGACCCCAGTTACCTCACCTGAAAAATGAAGTCTAGTGATGGCAGCTACCTGCTAGAATTGGTGGAAGAATGACATAAATGAATACAATTAAAATCTTAGGATAATGATTGGTACGTTGTAAACAACGATAAAATAACAGCTATATTTATTGTGTCCAATCAGGAGTTTTCAACTTCTGTGTGCCATGGACTCCTTTGGAGGTCTAATGAAATGTTTCTCATAATAATGTTTAGAAAAATAAATATGATTACAAAGGAAGTCAATTATATCAAAATACACTTTAATCCACACACTCCCACACCCATTAATAAAGGGTAAGACCCCCCTGAGCTATATACATTGTCAAAAAAGTCCTGTTATTCATCCCTTTAGTTGTTGTTGCTTTTTCTTGTAATCCACCCTGAATTCATACAGTATCATTAGCCAACTGATTGTGTTTAGCGTGTAATATTGTTCACTTAGAAGGACATAGGAATTTTTATTTTTAATACTAATTCTATTCTGAAAATGTAGATTATGTTACACATATATGTATGTGTATTCCCAAATATTTTCCAACATATGTGCATATACAAGATAAATCCACATTACATTCAATGCTCCAAAATAGACCTTTTCTAAATCAAATTATGTAGAGCTCTTTATAATATTTAAATTTTATTACTATTTTAAAATAATCAGATCAGATGTTGAGTCATAATGCCCCAAACCTCTGGAACCAAAAAATTTAAATAAACAGTAACATTAAATGATATTTAATGTTATATTTTTCAAAGCTATCACATAAATGAAGAAATAATTGCTTATATAAGTACGGTGCGAATTGCATAAAGGTGACTTAAATTTCTACAACTGGATATAGCAAACGACACAAACAAGTCAATAACAGGTCAGATTTAGAGTGGAAGAAAATAGAATACGCAAACAGATGAGGTTTATGAAGCTTTTAAAAAGAATATGAAATAAATCTTACTAAACTTGCGCTGCTAAGCACTGAAAAATTCAAGTAAGTGATATTTTTAGTACATTCCACTATAACACAGGTGCGAATTTAGTCAATATAGCCCTTGTGTAATAATTCATTTAAAAAATTCTAGCAGTGGAATTGGTTTACCACTACTAATTACAAAACCTATAAATAGGGCAAACATTTTTTATTTTACAAAAAATGGATTGAGCAACAAATGAGAAGCATGATCTGAACTGAGACTTTGTAATCTTTAACACGTTAGACAACATGCTTTCAAAATAAGTTGCCAAATGATTATAGACAGAAATTAATATACCTGAAAAAAGTAATTGTTAATAGTTTTAGCATTATTTTATTCACATCCCCAAAGGTATTGAAATTATTTTCAAAACAATAGAAAAACCTCTGATGATAGCATTTCATTGTTATGGTTGATACTAAGTGCACTTTCCAAAGGAAATATTGAACAACAACAACAAAATTACTGGTGTTTAGAATATATATGTAGTTGACACTAACGCTTGTTTGAGAGCCCTAAATATTAAATGAAAATTCCATGTACTTGTCTTTTATAATTTAATTTGAAGCCAAATAATTTCTTATTCAAAACATAAAATGAGGGCCAAGCATCATGGCTCATGCCTATAATTCCAACACTTTGAGAGGCTGAGGCAGGAGGATCATTTGAGCTCAGGAGTTCCACACCAACTCGGCAACATAGTGAAACCCTGTCTTTACAAAAATTTTTTAAAAGTTAGCCAGGCATGGTGGTTTACACCTATAGTCCCAGCTAATCAGAAGGCTTGGCAGGAGGATTGCTGGAGCCCAGAATGTAGAGGCTGCAATGAGCCGTGATTGCAGCACTGCACTCCAGCCTGGGTGACAGAGCAAGGTCCTGTCTCAAAAATAAAATTAAATGTTTATCTTTTCCTTTACAGAGTTTTTCCCTAAAAAGACTTCAACTTCTTCAAATCACTTTTAATTTTAGAGCCTCTTCTCCCTATTTAATTTAATTATGAATAAAAAAAGTTTTTTTATGAATAAAAAAAAAGTTTATAGTTAAGATCCAAATGAGAAGTTTTTGAGTAATAGTTTCTAACTGTAACCAATTTCTCCTGCATTTCTATTTGATCCAATTCAACAAAAACGCCATGGCCTGTAATTTACATAGCAAAGTTAATTT
Source organism: Homo sapiens (assembly GCF_000001405.40). NCBI lineage: Eukaryota > Metazoa > Chordata > Mammalia > Primates > Hominidae > Homo > Homo sapiens. The sequence continues at coordinate 160,205,939 of NC_000004.12, read as the reverse complement.
CAAACTGTCTCAAATTACACAGTGCAGAATGAATTGGAGACAGCAGAACGTTTCAGAAGACAAGAAGACACTCAATCAAAATGTCTACTCTCATCTATAATGTTGTATATCAAAAACTTAAGCGGCCCTGATGTATCAGAGCTACATATTACACACACACACAGAGAGAGAGAGAGAGAGAGAGAGAGAGACAAATGCATAACTTTGGAAAAAATTTTACTGTCTTAGGAAGACTCAGGAGTAAAGGATCTGTTATCTAATGAATAATATAGTATCTCCCTTAGAATAATGCCTGTATATACAAAAAGTTTAGTAAATTTTTTAATAGACAAACACATTTGCATTTAGCTTACATTGTTTGTGGAAGCGTCTATGGACTTTTAAGTTAAGGGTTAGGCTTACTGTCAGCCTGTTTAAAACAAAACATCTATGCTTATCTGCCTAAGACCAATTTTAATTAAAGACATCAGCTCACAAAAGGTTAAACGATATGGCTGCTTTTTCAAACAAAGCAAACATAAAAATATACAGTAAGCCAACTAGGCATTAAAAATACAACAAAATAACAAACACACATGCACACACACACAAATACAGGCACACACACTTGCACGCATACAGATGCACAAACAGGTTCTATTTTTAGTGTTAAATATGGAGAGTGCAACTGCTCACATCACATAAAAGCCTACACACTCCTCTGCATTATCTCTACTATTTCTGGGCTATTTCCCCATACATGAGATAGAAACACTATAGAAATATTTTTTAATCAGGTCTTTGGATGTTTAGCCCTGCATAATCCCTGCATGTTAGGCAGGGATTACTATGTGGTCTTGTCCATACTTTTTCAGCCCAACAAAAGTTGCTGTGAAAGTAGTCCTGTAATGGTTGTTTGACAATATCTTCAGAAATATATAGCAGGTATATTCTTTGTCTGTAACTAATCTTATGGTTTTCTGGTCATCATTTTCTATCCTCACTCCACAATAGTTGGACCCCTAGATCTTCGTTTAATCTTATTGGGTTGAGTACAGACCATGAAGCTAAACTACCAGGATCAGAATCCTGTCTGGTTCTACCACCTCCCAGCTATGTAACCTTGGGTAAGTTACCTAATTTATCTGTGCCTCAGTTTGTTCATCTCTAAAATAGTAATCATTAATAATACCCACATTAGGAGGCGGAGCTTGCAGTGAGCCGAGATCGCGCCACTGCACTCCAGCCTGGGTGACGGAGCGAGACTCTGTCTCAAAAAAAAATAAACATAATAATAATAATAATAATACCCACATTATAGGATTGGATTGTGATGAAGGTTAAATAGGCTAATATATACCAAAGTACATAAAAGAGTGTCTACACCCTCTCCCCAGAAAAGTGCTTTGTAAGTTTTGGATATTGTAAGTTTTCATTTATTTACAAGCCAAAACACAGAGTAAATGAAGTCTACATAGCTTAAGTTCGGAATATATCAAAACTCACCTTGAGGAACACTGATTCTTCAAGATGATACATGACAAAAGCACTGGAGAAACAAAGTTTAATACACGTCTCTTACACAAAGCCATCAGCTTATTAAAGACTCTGAGAAGTTTATATCTTTTTTAGCCCACATTTCCCCAAACTTATTTGATTATATAACCCAATTTTGTCTATTTTATATAAGGTTTGAATTTTAAAACTATCCATATTTTGAAAATGATATTTCTCCAGTAGATGCAAAGAAACGGAGCAAAAGTAGGATTAAAGCAAGACTGGAATAACAATAAGAATTTTTATCCTGTTTGTGTGGCAACATCAGGGAGCAGCCTGAAAACAGAGAGCGAAGTAAAGCTAAATTATTAACATTAGAAAAGCTCTCGTCTATGAGAAAGAGCTATTTTCTATGAGAAAAACAACAACAACAATAGAGTAAAAGGATATACTTTGAAAGCAGCAAAGCACTATATTTTCGCAGGATAAAATGATTTGCTGATAAGGAGGAAATTAAGAACTCCACCTTTGAATCTCATATGAATTTCATTTAGTCAACCCATTGTTGTCCCAGTTATCTACAAGTATCTAAATCAAACACTCTCATTTCTCAATAATTTCAGTTACTCGAGGAAATTCTTTCCTACACTAATGTTTGCATTGTTTTTTATGATATTAGTATCTTCCTAGATGATCTCTTCGCTCCCTTGTCAGTTAATACCTGGATCCCCTCTCTTTCAATGATCTTCTATTTTAATTTAATCTCATTCTTTCACTCCCACCGTAGCATACACCTGATGTGAGTAAACCTAGTAGATTATTCTCACCACTGCATCTCATATTCTCAGTGCCGAGCCTTTGCTCCAGTGCTAATCTCCATCTTAAATAGCTCCCTCTAGTTTCTTCATTCACTCCTTAATATGTAAATTTAACAACTTAAATATGAAGTTTAACTGTTTTTCTTTTGCTTGAGTATGTTATCATCTATGGATACCTGCTCTTGTATTATTAGGTAACTACTACAAACATTAAGAACTATAAGCATTCTTTTCCACAGCCATTAGAATGTAAAGAATAGCCACTTCAGACAGTTTTTCAAAAAACAAACAAGATGAAATGCAGATGCATAAAAGTGTTCAAGAACGTGTTTTAAGAATATTCTGAAGCCAAGTTTAAAGCAAACACTTAATGTAGAGGATTTGAAGTAAGCAATAACTTACTACATTCTATAAATTTTTAAAAATAATTAGGTATTGTCATTCCAAGATTCAATCTTTCTTCAACTGAGAATCAGAAGGGGAAAGTGACTCAAACTCTAGGTCAGCTAGTAAGGCTGCTTTCACAACTCAAAGAGAACACAAGTAAATCAACAGTGTAGGAGAGGTTTCTACTCGCACATTCATCATGTAACTTCCATTCTGACACAGCACACATAATTCAGTCAAACACTAAAGACAAGCCTACCGTAACCATGACACTGCATGATTCATGATGACATTGTAGATGATGAAAAAAATTTTAGAAAGACTCCAGGAACAATCTATTCCTTATAGTAATATGAGTAGCAATAATAACTGCCAATTATGGAGTGCCTACTGCTTTAGGGTAGGACCTTTAGTTACACAACTTTTAAAGCTCAAAACAAGTTTCCAAATAGTCATTCTTACTCCATATTAGAGAAGCCAAAACTGAAATTCAGAGAGATTTAGTATATGCCTCTAATCAATTAAGTAGTAGAACTCAAATTGGATCCTAGGTCTGTTTTATTTCAAACTCCTTATTCTTTAAACGATCTCAAACTTCTTCTCAACTGTTGTGCTTGAAAAACCCCTGAATAATAGTCATTAAATAAATTTGAAATATAAAGCAAAGAAGCTCTTAGTGACAATTATTAATCTAAGCTGACACATGTACAGCTCACAATAAAAATTACAAAGGAGAACAGATGTGAAATTGTCTATATCATAGACACTATGGGAATAATAAAATTACCTTTATTTGTATGAAGAGAATTGGGAAATTCTAATGAATTTACATCTTTAATTATTATTAACAAGGGGCCAAATAGAAACATTCAGAAAAAAAGTTAGATGAATGTTTGTACTTATTTCATTCTAATTGCCTATTATATTTTATCATTATAATCATAGTCCCAAATTGGCTAACCTTGAGCATAGCATAAAAAAAGAGACAAAGGAAAACAAATTTCATACATTTTTTGTGCAATATGTGGAAAACATTTTTGTTCCTTCCTTATATTGACTTTTTTGTATTCATATTCAAGTTAAAACAGAAAACTGATTATACTAAACCTTCTTAAATGTCAAGGGAGAATACAGCCATGCCTCAGAGCACAAAAATAAAATGAAATATATTGTAATAAGCTCTACAGTAAGGATTAATACAAAGACTTTTTTGGAGCCCTAAGGAAGGAGTAATGGATTCTGCCAAGATGGAGGAGTGGGAATTGGTAACATAAAGATCTCAGAGAGAAGATGTAATTTAAGTTATGCCTTGAAGGATAGGTGAATTCCACTGGGTTGAAAGAAGGAAATAAAATTTTAGGCAGTGAGAACAACAAGAACAAAGGCCCAGAGGAACAGGAAAGCATGGGATACTCATTACAGTGTTAAAATTCTTGGGGTCAAGAATATAGTGTTCCTGAAAGTGAAGTGAGGAAGAAAGTTACAAGAGAGAAGTCAGTAGGAGTGATTTAAGCTTTGTACATTTTTCTTAAATGTTTGGGCTTTATTAAATAAACAAGAGAAAATCAATGACATTTTTACATAAAAAATAAATTCAAACCTATAATTTCCAAAAATGCTTTTATACCATAATTAAGAGTGAATTTCAAGAAAAAAAAACTACAGTTATATCTTGTTTTACTGTGTTTCACTTGATTATGTTTTGCAGCTATTGCATTTTCTTACAAAATGAAGATTTGTGGCAACCTTATGTTGAGCAACTCAAGCCAAGGTGCCATTTTTTAACAGCATGTGTTTACTTTTTAGCTCTGTGTCACATCATTTTTGCAGTTCTCACAATATTTCAAACTTTAGAATTATTATAATATTTGTTGTGCTGATCTGTGGTCAGTGATCTTTGATATTACTATTGCAATTTTCGGGAGGTGCCATAAATCACACCCACATAAGACAGCAAACTTAATGGATAAATGTGTATTCTGACTGCTCTACAGACTGTCCATTCTCTCATCTCTCTTCTTCCTCGGGCCTCCCTATACCCTTAGACACCACAATACTAAAATTAGTCCAACTAATATCTCTGCAATGGCCTCTACATGTTCAAGTGAAAGAAAGAGGTGGACTTCTCTAACTTGAAAAGCTAGAAATGATTAAGCCTAGTGAGGAAGGTATGTTGGAAGCTGAGATAGCTGGAAAACTACACTGCTTGAAGCAAAAAGCCAAGTTCTGAATGAAAAGGAAAAGTTTTGAAGGAAATTAAGGAAATTAAAAGTGCTACTCCAGTGAACACATGAATGATAAGAGTATGAAAAAAGTTTTATTATTGACCCGGAGAAAGTTTTAATGGTGTGAGTAGAAGATCATACAAGCCATTCCCTTAAGTCAAAGCTGAACTAGAGTAAGTTCTAACTCTCTTCAATTTTATGAAGGCTGAGAGAGGTGAGGAAGCTACGGAAGAAGTTTTGAAGCTAGCAGATGTTGGTTCATGAGGTTGAGGAAAGAAGATGTATCCGTAACACAAAAGTATGAGGGAAAATGGCAAGTGCTGATGTAGAGGCTGCAGCAAGTTATCCAGAAGATTTAACTAAGTTTATTCATGAAGCTGGAGTTATTAAATGACTGATTTTTTTTAATGTGGATGAAACAGCTTTATATTGGAGAAGATGCCATCTAGGACTTTCATAGCTAGGAAAAGTCAATGCCTGGCTTCAAATCTTGAAAGGACAAACTGACTCTCTTGTCAGGGGCTAATGCAGCTTGCAGCTTTAAGTTGAAGCCAATGCTCATCTGCCATTTCAAAAACCTTACAGTCCTTAAGAATTCTACAAAATCTACTCTGCTTGTGTTTTATAAATGGAACAAAGCCTGCATGACAGAACATTTGTTTACAGCATAGTTTACTGAATATTTTAAGTCTACTGTCGAGACCTACTGCTCAGAAGAAAATACTTCTTTCAAAATATTATTATTTACTGATGGTACAACAGAGTACAAAAAATTATTATTTACTTTTGTACAACAGAGTACAAAAACTCTGATGGAAATGTACAGGGAGAGGAATGTCTTTTTCATTTCTGCTAATACAGCATCCATTCTGTAGCCCATGAACTAAGAAGTCATTTTGGCTTTCAAGTCTTAATATTTAAGAAACACATTTTGCATAAGGCTATAGCTGCCATATATAGTGATTTTTCTGCTGGATCTAGGCAAAGTAAGTTTAAAAAGTAAAAACGTTACCATTTTAGATGTTACTAAGAACATTCATGATTCATAGGAGGAGGTCAAATGTCAACATTAACAATAGTTGGAAAAAGTTAATTCCAGTCTTCATAGATGACTTTGAGGGGTTCAAGACTTCAATGGCAGAGGGAACTGCAGGTATGGTGAAAATAGCAGGAGAACTAGAATTAGAAGTAGAGCCTGAAGATGTGACTGAACTGCTGCAATCTCATGATATAATGAAAAATGAGGACTTGCTTCATATGGATGAGCAAATAAAGGGGTTTCTTGAGGTGGAATGTACTCATGGTAAAGATGCTTTGAACACTGCCAAAATGACAACAAAAATTTGGAACATGTTATAAACTTAGTTATTAAAGCAGCTACAGGGTTTAAGAGGATTGACTTCAATTTTGAAAGCAGTTTTGTGGGTAAAATCCTACCACACAGTGTCGCACACTACAGAGAAACCTTTAATGAAAGGAAGAGTCAACCAATAAAGAAAACTTCATTGTTGTCTTATTTTAAGAAATTTCCACGGCCACTCTAACCTTCCGCAACCACCACCATGATCAGTCAGCAGTCATCATCATCAAGGCAAGACCCTCCATTAGCAAAAAGATTACAACTCACTAAAGGCTCGTATGATTGTTAACATGTTTTAGTAATAAAGCATTTTCAATTAAAGTTAGTATTTTTAAGACATAATGCTATTACACTCTTAATAGACTAAAGTACAGTGTAAGCATAACTTTTATATACGCTGAGAAACACAAAAATTTGGGAGACTCACTTGATTTCCAGATTTGCTGTATTTTCATGTTCTGGGACTGAACCTGCAATACCTCTGAAGTATGCCTGAATTACAATAGTTAGTTAAGAGAGACAATGACAGTTTGGACTCAGAATAGGAAGAGAATTCATCTCAGTGATATTTCTGAAGTAGAACCTGAGAAGGCATAAAGACCATTTGCTTATGGAGGGTGAGAAAATTTCATAGTGGTTCCTCTGTGGTTTCTAGCCTGGATAACTGAATGGATGATGCAAACATTGAATGACCAGGAAACATAATGAAACTGTAAACATATCTATTTTCAAGAGTTGAGCTTGATTTGTGTGAGTGTACACTAGGGTACTGGCTAGAAGCTCAGCATCTATAATCTGGCAATCTGTATTTGTAACCTGACTTCAACACAATTACCTGTATGACTCTGAGTGAGTAACACAACCTCTTCTTTTTTTTTTTTTTAATTTGCGATATGGATAGAATAAGATAATCTATAAAATTAGGTCTGGAAAGAATGTGATGAAATAATGCAAATAAATTTCCTAGATCCATGAAAGCATTTTTAAAATGTTACTCATTATTATTCTTGTCAGGGGAAAATGATGGTTTAAGTAATAAAAGGAGGTAAGATTGGCCAGAAAAAAATGAAGAGAAAGAAAACAGAATAAGTTAGAAATTGGAAACACTGAGGATACCAAAACTTAAAGTACTTCCAGGAAAACATGAACAAAATAGTCTAGAAAGCAATATGGTCAAATCCAGGAGATCAAAGAATACCATGAACTATAGGATGTTTTAAAATTCTCCAACACTGCAGAGAAGTAAACAAAATGAGAATTGAAAAGCAGGTTTGAAATGTACAATTAGAAATATTATGAGAGATGTAAAAACAGAATTAAACCTGTCCCCTTCTTTACAAAGCTTATAATCTATTCAGGAGTCTGTACACTAGAGATAGTTCAATTGATTCAATAAATATCTATTAAAAGCCAATTATGTGTCAAAGACTGTAAAATGTAAGGCCAAAATTAATAATGCAGACAAAAATTGTTAATGATATTTCAGAGCAATTCACATGCATGACGCAGTAACCTAAAAGAACAAAGTATGGAGGAGGTGAGAATTAGAATTGGGAAGACAGTGGAGAAGACATTCCACAAAGAAGGAACATAAGAAAAAAATGCATAAAATGGGGACAATAATTGAGCTTTCACTTGGGTTTTAATAAAGCAATTTGCATTTCCTCCTTTTGATACACATATGTAGAGAAATAAAAAGAAAACTGGGTAAAAAGCAGTTATCGAAAGAAAGAAAATTGAAAAAGCTTTAGTCGCATATTCAGAAACAATCCTCTTAGTTTATTGCAGTTTAATAATATCAAGAAATCTTCCAAGGAACAGCATTGGCATTAATGTAGTTGGAAGCCTACTTTTACTATTTCAATTCTTTCAAAATATACTGTATTAGAAAAATGCTGTTTTGAGTCTCATTATCAAATTTATTACAAAAATATAAATAATTCTAATGGCACAAATAAGAGAACCAAAACACTCATTTTTTAAAAACAACTCGTTCAGCAACACTGTTCATGTGAAGGTCACCTTAGTGTTGAATTGTATGATTTTATTGCCTTGTTAAATGTAATCTGTATAATCATGTAATAAATCATGTTAAATATATCCTATAAATAATACAGGTAAACCTCAAAATGATAAAATGAAAATGACCCTGTAATTACATGACCCATTTTTTCCAAATTACCACTTAAGCCATATCATACTTATCTTTGGATACCAAATTCTAAATAAAAAGTTTATTTCTAATAAATGTTACATTAATTTTTAGAAAGTTGAATGTCAATTTCTATATTTTATCTTTCTCATACAAGACTTTAAACACACACAATCAGATAAATACTTGGTACAACATATTCATGTGCTATTCATCTCTAATGACTTTATGTTGACAGGGTATCTCACAAATATCCATAATAATTAATATTAAAACTATATAACTGGAATGTTAATAAGATTTAATGGTGTTCAAAATAATTCAGGGACTAAGTAGCAACTTTAATGTGATTTATATGACTGATGTTTAAATGCCCTGACAATTTACACTTAATGGTACTTCATGAGAATAAACATTTTAAAAGATCTATATTGATTAAAAGTCTTAATATATCATTGTATTAACTAAAGCTGTCAAAATATATTTGAAATAATTGTGATCAGCAGAAAAAATGATCTGAGTATTAAGTACAGATTTTCCTATATATTTAAAAAATTCTTACAAAAAAACCTTTTCAAGTCAGAAATTTAGAAAATGCTTTATAGAAATAACTGTATGGAAAATGAGGGAAAATTGTACAGATTAAATGTCCTTATAGTTTATGGTTATTCTAGTAATATATTTTTAAGGGAAAAGTTTGCTGTTTAAAAACTCAAGCTATGACAATTGCTTTATTAAAAATAACAGGCTAGGAGCAGTGGCTCATACCTGTAATCCCAGCACTTTGAGATGCCAAGGCAGGTGGATTGCTTGAGTTCAGGAGTTCGAGACCAGCCTGGCCAACATGGTGTAACCCTGTCTCTACTAAAAATACAAAAATTAGCTGGGTGTGGTGACAGGCACCTGTAATCCCAGCTGCTGGGGAGGCTAAGGCAGGAGAATCAGTTGACCATGGGAGGCGGAGGTTGTAGTGAGCCTAGGTTGTGCCACTGCACTCCAGCCTAGGCGACAAAGAGAGACTTTGTCTCAAAAAAAAAAAAAAAGGAAAGAAAGAAAGAAAGAAAACAAAAGAAAATACCAATGTGGTAATCATAAAATTCTGCACCCCTGTGTTCATTTCATGAAATATTATTTTAACATATTCATTGAAAAATATACGGCTATGACACAGCTCCTTCCCAACAATCTTTGCCACTGCCCAGGGTTTTATTTAATCTCTGTAAAAACAAAACACAAAATTCAATAAAAGATACTTTTATATTTAATGTGATTTTATCAAGACTCCTAAAATAAGTTCCCTCATTTTGTGAGCAACTTTCTAATTTGTTTCCAGATATTCCTGACAAGCTTTCCACGGAAATAAGCAATACATTGTAGCAGGGAAAATGTAACAAACGCCACAAGAGGTTTCCCACTTGTTTTGTCTTTAAACGCAGGGACCACTTACAAAACTATTACCAGAATTTTACAAGTACCATTTTTTTTAATGGACTCAATAAGTCTAGTAATGTAAAGGTTTTATTAGTTGCAACCTGCAGAGATTGGTAAATTCTGAAAAGATCACGTAGATTAAAAGCACAATATCAATCATTGAAGAAGGCCGATTCATAAAAATGAAATTCGTTATAATTCAGAAAAAGTAACTTATTGGATCATTTATGTTAAGGTGAATCAAATGACTAAAAATAAATATAAGTTGAATCCTAAACTATTTATACTTTAATCTGCTTCAGAAAATCACAAGTATTTTAGTTATATATATGGACAGGATTTTACCTATTAGTGAACTACAAAGAAAAAAAAAGTGCAGCGGCGTGCCACTGTAATCCCAGCCTCTTGGGAAGCTTAGGCAGCAGCCAGCCTGACAAACTTAGCAAGACCCCATCTATAAAAAATAGAATATATTTTTTAAAAGTTTAAACAAGCAGCAACAGCTCTGAAAAATGTGTACTTATAAAAACTGTCATTTTAATTGTCAAAAGTCAGCACAAAACTATTCATATTAGACTCTTCTTCTCTTTCTATGCACATAGAGGCAGAATAGGCTGGGCGCTGTGGCTCATGCCTGTAATCCCAGCACTTTGGGAGGCCGAGGCGGGCGGATCATGAGATCAGGAGATCAAGACCATCCTGACTAACACGGTAAAACCCCGTCTCTATTAAAATACAAAAAATTAGCTGGGCGCGGTGGCAGGCACCTGTAGTCCCAGCTACTCGGGAGGCTGAAGTAGGAGAATGGCGTGAACTCGGGAGGCGGAGGTTGCAGTGAGCCTAGATAGCGCCACTGCACTCTAGCCTAGGCGACAGAGTGAGACTCTGTCTCAAAAAATAAAGAGGCAGATAATATATATGTAATCTTATATATTCTTAGTATCCTCATTATTATTATTTTGAAACTGGCATTTAATGTTATTGTGCCAAAAACGTTACAGGTGACAGATCTTGTCAACACCTGCTGGCCATGGGTGCCCGCCCCATCTGCTGAGGCTGCCTCTGCTTCCCACACTGAAATCCTGGACAGCAGTCATGATCCCCAAAGATGCTTCCACTCCGAGACTTCAAAGAGACTAATGGTGGTGGTGGAAGCAAAAGGAAGTAAAAGGAATGCAGTGAGGTCAGAATCTCATTGTCCAAAACCAGTCTAACTGCCACCCCTGCCCACGCTCCCCTTTAGGACTTGCCGACCTCCACAGAGCTGGAGACCACAACACAGCAACCCACATGTTTGGGACCAACCCTCTATGTTTCTGTATATATACTGAGAAAAAGAGAAAGAGACAGAGAGATATTTGGAAGGAAAAAATGTGGCTATCCTGAAATCTGCTAACTCGACATTAACATATGTTATGTAAAATTCATACACAGCTTATGTCATAATATTCGAATAGAAAACCTATAATTTTTCTTTAAGCTTTGCAAATGTTAGTAAGTAGGTTAACTAATTTCACAAAATTCAGTGACTAGAATATGTAGTATTATCCAAAGTTTGACTTTATCACTATCTCCTCCCTGTCCTTCATCCAAACTTCACTTCTGAAGAATGTTCTGAAAAGTCATCTTCTATTGTTCTTATTCTCTTCCTCCAAAACAGGGAGGGTGACCTTGGACTATCTGCCTGTTTTTTGTTTTTTGTTTTTTCATTTATTTTGTTTTGTAAATAACATTTTATTGAAACACAACCACACTCATGTATTTACCATCTACAGCTGCTTTCCTGGTATAACAGCAGAATTGGCAGTTATGACAGGTTCTATTTGGCCCCCAAAGCAGAAAATATTTACTATCTGGCCCTTTACAGAAAGCTTGCCAATCCCTGCTCTAAAAGATGTAAAGATTCTAATGAATAATACGGATTACTAAAGGATGCCACCAGGAGATAAATAGCCTTTTATCGCAAAACAGTATAATTAGTCTTTAAGAAATCAGGACATTATACAATAAGAAAGGAGAATGGAAGTCATCTCGTTCTTTATCTTAGGGGTCAAATTATTGAGGCTCATAGAAAAGTTAAACTCTACCTGATCCCACCACCAAGTGGCAGAACCAGGATGGGAAATGAAATCTTCCCAATCCTAATTCGGATTCCTTCCCTGTCACCAGCAAAACTGGAGGCAAACTGGAATAGAAAAAGGCATTTTTCAGGACATGTAACAATTCAAATAAGTAATACAGGTGAATGCACTTTATAAATTTGTAAACACTATAAAATTATTATTATGATTATTATCTTTACTAATAGGTTTCTTATTGATATTGTTGCCATCAATTATTATCTCATACAGGAGTTTTGCTTAGCTACTCAATAGCTAACTATTTGTTGGATATTCTATGTTGAATATAATTATTCTTATTTTTTCTAACACTGTACTATCCTGAAAAGTGAACACTAGTGGATATTATTTGTTACATATTTCCAAGGATTTTGGCACAAAACGCATTTTAGAATATTCACTAAATACACAGCATTTAGGCGAGGCACAGTGGCTCACGCTTGTAATCCCAGCACTTTGGGAGGCTGAGGCGGGCGGATCACTTGGGGTCAGGAGTTCAAGACCAGCCCGGCCAACATGGTGAAACCCTGTCTCTATGCTAAAAATACAAAAACTAGCCGGGTGTGGTTGCACATACCTGTAGTCCTAGCTACTCGGGAGGCTGAGGCAGGAGAATTGCTTAAACCCAGGAGGCAGAAGGTGCAGTGAGCGAAGATCGTGCCACTGCACTCTACACTCCAGCCTGGGCAACCGAGCAAGACTCCATCTAAAACAAACAAACAAACAAACAAAAAAACAGCATTTGTGTGTACTTTTTATTCATAATTATTCTAAAACATCTATATGATTGCCATGGATGTAATAAATGAATTTCATGCTATTGAACATATCAACATTTAAAATTAATTGTTGTGTTTGTAGAAACTAGTTACTTTCTTAAAAGAACAAAGATGAAAAAAGATAAAGGACGACAAGGAACAGAAAACCAAGTTATTTTTGTGAAAAATCAGGAGTATTTTATTCCAGTTTATATCAAATTCCCAAGACTACCAAATCCGAATATTTCAGTATATGTAGTCTAAGGTCTCACTTGGCTCTTGTTTTGTGATTGTACTAATATCGATGAAAACCCCACTAACGTGACTTAAAGTAAAAACATGCAAGAAAATATAAAGATTAAAATTGGACATATCACGATTTAAAATTTCTTCCCCAAACCAAGTTACTTCAGTATGCTCAGTGGTATCTGATTAATACAGTTGTCTTAGTTTCACATATCTCCAATTTATATTCAAATATTCCATTGCATTTTTTTAAACATAGACAGATCATGTGCCCAGCAAAGTTCAAGTAAAGCAAAATGATACCTGAAACATAACAAGGCTGAAATAATATTTTGGACCTGTAGAAATGTGTTGGCTTATTCAAGGCCAATAATATATTATTAACATACCATCCATAAGTTTAAATCTCAAAAATGAATATTCTGTCAGTGTTAACAACATTTAAGTTGATATCATGAAGAGTGTAACAGAGAATAAGATAAAGAAAAGATCTGGAGGAAGCATCTTGAGTGTCTCCCCATCACTTCATGCATAAAGTGCCTAACCTTAGGGGCTAGATAGTCGATGTTCTTATCCACAAGCACTGACAGTGATTCAAGTATCTTAACTTCTTGTAAGATGTGCCACTCAAAACAAACTATTATGTCTATCCCTCTGGCAATGTGAGTTAGAGATTAAGGAGGAGGGTATTGAGCGGTTCTTTTCAGAAAAAGATAAAGTAGCTTTAGAAGCCACTCTCTGTTTTCTAGTGTTAGCATTTTATTACATTATATGGGAAACATTTTATCAGTGTTAAATCTATTTTGGAAATTATTTTTAGTATATATTGTTGATATAAAGTAACCATTTAATACAAGTCTATTTTCAAAAGTCAAAGTACATTCTCATGAGACAAGTCATTATTTAATGTTTTAATTAGGTTAGCTGAAAATTTAGGACTTGATTTTTCTTCGTTTAATGACTTTTTTAAAAAAGATATTTGTGTTATAAATTGTGTTATAAACTGAAGGTTAACTTCAGTTTGCTGCTGATCTTTGTTAGAAATTATTATTGTGTCTCTGCCCTTGGGCTTTATTGCCTATTATCAACTAAACTGACACCTATTTTAGGAATCCCTTAACCCCTTTACATATGATATTCTATTCTAATCTGTCCTTCATAGTGAGGAAGGTGAGTCCATGTCTTGACTTATTAATTCTGCATAAAATAGAATTTTAGGAATTAGCATTATTTAATTATAGTTACTAGCAAACTAACGTGGCTCTGCGTTACAATGTAAGATATGTGAGACTACATGTCAGAAAATATGTTAATGTTACTTCTAAAATTCAAACTTTAATACCCTGCGCATTGTATGTGATAACAGTAAATATGTACAATGTCAAGTAGAGTTACAGTGGACTAGAACATATATTACATGGTTATTGTGTCCTCTAAGTTATTTAACTAGATTTTCAATTATCTTGTTAAGATTGTGCAGCACTGATGACAATTTAAAAGTGTGATCATTGCCTAAGAACTGAAATGCAGATTTTTTGTAATAGTACTATTCAAACTCTCATATATTTAAGATCAATCATTACCGAATGAGAATATGTGTAAGAATAACGTTGGAACACAAAAGCAGACAGTGCATGAAGCCCATATGATAATCGCCAAGGGTGGAAATTAAAAAAAAAAATACTCTTTAAAAGCTCAACAGGTGATTACAATATATGACTACAATTGAGACCTACTGCTTTTCATACAAAGTCTGTTGCTAAAAATATATTTTATTTTTAAATTAAAGGATCTGCTGTATGTTCTTGGCTTGCATTCTTGCTACAAAAACAAGGGATAAAGAAAAAAATACTCTCGATGTCAATTAGGGCTTAGGAATACATGCAAGAAAGAACAGAAAATTTGAAAAATACCTCCAGAGCTTGTTAAATGAACAATTTAATGTATTATACTAAATCTCTAGAATTCCCATGTCATAAAATATTTAAAAATTGGGATGTTAAAGTTCAGGGTCAAAAATCTGAAATTTCTACTTGCACTATAAAATTAGATTTTTATCTTCAATATTAAAAAGAACATATAACCTTAGACCTAATCCATTTTCTGGGAATTCATCCTAGAATTACATGTGCACAAATGACTTGCACAAATGACTATTCATTGAAGTATTTTTATAATTAAAGAGTCTGATTTATGCAGCCAAAAAATGCATGAAAAAATGCTCATCATCACTGGCCATCAGAGAAATGCAAATCAAAACCACTATGAGATACCATCTCACACCAGTTAGAATGGCAATCATTAAAAAGTCAGGAAACAACAGGTGCTGGAGAGGATGTGGAGAAATAGGAACACTTTTACACTGTTGGTGGGACTGTAAACTAGTTCAACCATTGTGGAAGTCGGTGTGGTGATTCCTCAGGGATCTAGAACTAGAAATACCATTTGACCCAGCCATCCCATTACTGGGTATATACCCAAAGGACTATAAATCATGCTGCTATAAAGACACATGCACACATATGTTTATTGCGGCATTATTCACAATAGCAAAGACTTGGAACCAACCCAAATGTCCAAAAATGATAGACTGGATTAAGAAAATGTGGCACATATACACCATGGAATACTATGCAGCCATAAAAATGATGAGTTCATGTCCTTTGTAGGGACATGGATGAAATTGGAAACCATCATTCTCAGTAAACTATCGCAAGAACAAGAAACCAAACACCGCATATTCTCACTCATAGGTGGGAATTGAACAATGAGATCACATGGACACAGGAAGGGGAATATCACACTCTGGGGACTGTGGTGGGGTGGGGGGAGGGGGGAGGGATAGCATTGGGAGATATACCTAATGCTAGATGTCGAGTTAGTGGGTGCAGCGCACCAGCATGGCACATGTATACATATGTAACTAACCTGCACAATGTGCACATGTACCCTAAAACTTAAAGTATAATAAAAAAAAAGAGTCTGGAAATTATCCATATTTCACCAATAGGAAATTAGTTATATAAATTAAATTATAGAACATAAATAGAATACTATGTAGCTAACAAAAAATGAGGAAGCTCTCTATGTACTGTAGAAATATACTAAAATACATAAATTTAAAAAGTAAGGGGTTTGTCGGTGTATATAATATGGTGTGAATATATGAAATATATATTATATAAAATGTAAACTATGTGATATATAATATACATGATATATTCAGACATACTATGTTATATAAAATGTAAACTGAAATTATGATATGTAATATATATGATATATTCAGACCTACTATATTATATAAAATGTAAACTATAAGTGTGATATGTTATATATGATATATTCACACATACTATATTATATAAAATGTAAACTATAAGTGTGATATGTAATATATATGATATAGTCACACATACTATATTATATAAAATGTAAACTATAAGTGTGATATGTAACATATATGATATATTCACACATACTATATTATATAAAATGTAAACTATAAGTGTGATATGTAATATATATGATATATTCACACATACTATGTTATATAAAATGTAAACTATAAGTGTGATATGTAATATATATGATATATTCACACATACTCAGTACACCTGTCCTTCATAGTCAGGAAAGCAAGCCTCTGTCTTGATTTATTAACTCTGAATAGCAACATTAATGATTTGTGGTAATTATTTCAGATATATTAGTTCTTGCTTGCATTATATGAAAATTTCTTGATGGATACCCAATTAATAAGATGTATATATGTATACATTTTATGTGTGTCAAATGTTATGTATCATTGATATATATAGAGAGAAATATCTTATTCAAAAAACTGCCTTAGCAATGAAAGGGGAGGGAGGTATCTTGAGAGCAGTCTGCCTTTTGTATGTGAAATAAGGCAGTGTACTTTTTGTAAAGAATTTTAAGCAACAGCAAAACTGACTAGAATTCACCCTTCTTGTTATTATTACTATGTGAAGGAATTTTAAATAATGTCAGTGTTAAACGATTCCTCCCTTCCAGAATGGACATCTCCTACTGTCCTCCCAACCCCCATATGCCACCGACAAAAACAAACCAAATTCTAACCCAGTCAGAATTTTGGTTAAGTTAGTTGCAACAATCATGCTAACTAGATAAATGAGTAAACCTAGTTAACACACTATTTTCACAATTATCCATTTGAGTGCCAAAACATATCTTTCAAGACAATGATTTTGGCTTTGTTTGACCTACTCTTCTTAACAGAAAGTGCAAGCAATTTCACTTGGTTTTTAGGACACTCTTGGGAATGGGATGGCAAGACAACATCATCAGTCCAAAGAAAGATGCTTATCTTTCTGTTTAGTAAGATAGCACTTTTTTATATTATTTATCTAAAATCTGTTTGGAAATAAACTACAAAGAAAGAGAAATAGACTTTCACTTAGGCTATATTAACAGAAATTTGATAAAGATTAAAACACATATGTCAGAAGGCCATTTCTAACAACTTGGTTTCTTGAATTATGATAAAATATCTAAAGAATACATAAAATCCTTAGACTATATTTAAACCTTATAGTGATTTATTTTTAGGTTGTAAAATTACAGGCATACTCATGAGAAGCTATAGAGACTCAGTATTAGAAGGTGTCCTTGGTCCATTCATTCATCGATTCCTTTCTTTATCAACAAGTATGTATTAAGTTCTACTAACAGTGAGGTGGCACGAAGCATTCTGGGGATTCAGCAGTGAGCACAAGGATTAGATCTCTTCCCTTGGAAGGGGAGATGACAAGACAGAAAAAGCAAGTAGATTAATAGAGAATATGGAAGATAGTTACAAACTGCACTAAGTGCAGGAAAGGAAATAAACAACATGGGCACACAGTGGTGGGGTTGTTCTCTAGTTTAAAAAGACCTCCTCGGCTGGGCGCAGTGGCTCACGCCTATAATCCCGGCACTTTGGGAGGCTGAGGTGGGTGGATCACGAGGTCAGGAGTTCGAGACCAGCTGGAGCAACATGGTGAAACCTCATCTTTACTAAAAATACAAAAATTAGCCAGGCATGGTGGTGTGCGCCTGTAATCCCAGCTACTCAGGAGGCTGAGGCAGGAGAATCACTTGAACCCGGGAGGTAGAGGTTACAGTGAGCTGAGATGGCATCGCTGCACTCCAGCCTGGGTGACACAGTGACACTCCGTCTCAAAAAAAGAAAAAACAAACAAACAAACAAAAAAGAAGCAGCTAACAGAACAACCAAGGTCCTTGATCATAAAATGTCTTGAGGACCACGTTGAGGAGTTTGATTTTCTTTTAAGTACAACAGGAAGACATAGAAGGGCAGTAATTAGAAGAGTGATATGATTTTTACTTTTGAAGTATAGAATGCTTTGGAGAAACTGAGAAATAAAAATTAGAAGCCTATTTTAAAAGTCCAAGTGATAAAAAGATGGTAGTAGTTTAAATTAAAGTAGAAGGAGATGGTCACAATTAAACAAATTTGAAATATATTTTAGAGTTAAAATCATATGTTTTCTTGACTGTTGTGGAGCGTGGGGGCAGAGGAATGATTGAAGGTGGGACAAGGGATGATTGAACAAGACAGCATTAAGTGAGGTTCATAGTTTTACTGGGGGAAAGAGGAATTTTTTTTTTGGCATTGAGCAACTGGTTCTAACCCTTAATAATATATAGAATAAAAAAGAAAGATGTTTGGAGAGAGGTGAAACTAAGAATGGTATATATATATAAAGTTGAGATGTCCAATTGTCATGTAAATAGAGATGAAAAACAAAGAGTTGGCTATAGGGATCTGGAATTTAGAGGAGTCACATCTTCAAATACAATTCAATTAGAGACCAGCATGTAGTCACTATTTTCAGTCATTGAACCCAAGGAGATCACCGAAAAATAGGGAATAGAGAGAAGGGGAGCTAGGTCGGAGACTTTTGATGTAATATACATGAGGAAGAGCCAGCAAAGGGAGCTGAGAAAGTGTGACCAGAATAATTGGAGGAAAACAAGAAGAGTCTGTTGTCATGAAAGCAGAGAGAAGAGAGTTTCATCAATGAAGAAGTGGGCATCGGACTCATTACTCCTGAGAGGGCAAGTAAAATTAGAATGTAGAAAGTATCCTTTGGATATGGCGACTTGGAAGTTTCTATTATTTCTGGGAGTACAAGACCTAATAGAAATGTGATGAGGAATGAATGAGAGGCAAGGAAGATGAAAACAAAAAAGAAATTTGGTTTCAAAGATCAATCCGATAGGATAATAGCTGAAGGGTTGTAGAATGAAGGTAGTTTGTTTTTATTTTAATATGTGAGATATATACTTCATCCCCCTTATCCCCGGTGACAAAATAAATGAATACAAAGGGGAAATTTTTAACAGAGCAGAGAGACTATGCAGAAGTGAAAGCCTTGAGAAAAAATGAGGAGATGGAATCCAGATTACATGTTTATGTTTTGTATCCAGTGTTTTGGAATGGCAGTGGTAGGGTTATATGTATATATATTCTATATATATATATTCTATATATATATATTCTATATATATTCTATATATATATATTCTATATATATTCTATATATATATATTCTATATATATTCTATATATATATTCTATATATATTCTATATATATATTCTATATATATATATTCTATATATATATTCTATATATATATATTCTATATATATATTCTATATATATATATTCTATATATATATTCTATATATATATATTCTATATATATATTCTATATATATATTCTATATATATTCTATATATATATTCTATATATATTCTATATATATATTCTATATATATATTCTATATATATTCTATATATAGATTCTATATATATATTCTATATAGATTCTATATATATATTC
Source organism: Homo sapiens (assembly GCF_000001405.40). Classification (NCBI taxonomy): domain Eukaryota; kingdom Metazoa; phylum Chordata; class Mammalia; order Primates; family Hominidae; genus Homo; species Homo sapiens. The sequence goes on along the minus strand of NC_000004.12, from coordinate 160,186,073 downwards.
TATATATATATGTATATATATGTGTATATATATATATTCTACACTTCAGGCAGTTGCATAAAAGAGAATTGACTATTTTGTTTATATGAAGTGGCAAAAAGATTTTATACTTTCATTGTATGAGAAAAAGACTACTTTAACTGATAAAGTGGTTGTAATTTTGTCTAGTTAAGAAAAACAGAGAAAGAGAGAGAAGCGGTTAAGTTTGTCATAGGCTCAACTCTCTGATGGCTGGTGGCTTCATGGATGTCTCCTTTGCTTGGTAATTCACCCAGATAGCACAGCTAAAGTAGAGGACAAGGATTTCAACTCAGCAACAAAACTGCAGTGATCCAGGTCAAACCTGTGGCCAGATTATCATAAAGGAGTAATTCTTTACCCTGGGTCAGATTCACAATCTTTTGGGAACTTATAAAAATAAGATTTCTTGCCCCAATCCAGAACTTTTGAACCTTGAATGCTGAAGACAGATGAGCAGGAGGCTGGATTTTGACAAGCACTTCAGATGAATGTATGCTGGTCTCTTGGCCCTGTTCTGCAGATCAATGTTCAAAAAATGGTGTTGAGAGAACCTTAGGTAAATATAAAAAGTGGGGATACTCTTGGGAGGCCAAGGCAGGTGGATTGCCTGAGCTCAGGAGTTAGAGACCAGCCTGGGCAACATGGTGAAACCCCATCTCTACTAAAATACAAAAGAAATTAGCCAGGCTTGGCAGTGTGCACCTGTAGTCCTAGCTACTCGGGAGGCTGACACAGGAGAATTGCTTGAATCCAGGAGGCAGAGGTTGCAGTGAGCCGAGATGTTGCCGCTGCACTCCAGCCTGGGTGACAGAGCAAAGACTCCATCTCTACAAAAAAAAAAAAAAAAAGCGGGGGGGTGGGGGTTGGAATATTCTAGATCAGCAGATTTCAGCAATAAACAACCATGTGGTTGAGAGCTGCTAAGCGCACAAAAAAATCCATCTGCATCTGGTCCATTGAAAGCATAGCTATTTATGGAGCTCATCAGTCCCTCCCCCAACAAAGAAAACTCATTTCATCAGACAAAAAATGAGAAATAGATGCTTACTGAAGATTACAGAGGGGAGCTGGAGGTAATGGGATTTATCAAGCAAAGCCTCACATTAAATCAGCATCATATGTTTCTTAATTTCTCTCCTCAGCTACTACCCAGGTTGCTTCATTCTTGTAGCTGGCCTCTAAACTCCCAGGTTCCTTTTGAAAACTCCCCCAGTATTTTATCTTGGCCTTTATTTGTATCTCTTTTGTATGCAGAAACATTAAACTGCATCTGAGCTACACAACTGGTGCATTCTCATTGGCATCCTTATTATTGTATCTAAGTTTGCAAAGGCTCAGCAAAGTGAAATTTATAAACATTCCATGTGCATTCATAGAGTTGTCAGCAGAGAATTATAAACATGTTTTCTGTCATATTTATTCATATGAGTGAGATGAAATCATTGATATCTTAGATACTCTGTGTAATAGAAAAAGTTGACTATAGTTTATAAAATGAAAAACTTAGTCAAGAACAAGATAAAGGGCAAATCGGCCTCATGGATGTTGGAGCAAAGTCAGAGCAGCTCAATCGTGTTCATGCTCAGCCAAGCAGCCTTTCAACTGAAGGACCAATTTTCAGGACCAATCATTCTTGTTTTTAAGTAATAGACAGATGCTGGTGAAAATCCTTAGCATGTTCCCTGAAATGTAATTGGACTCCAAGGTCATATAGAAAAGAGATGAGCAATACTATTTTCTAGCACTGGATTGCCAATTACAGAGTAAAAGGCAGGAATTTGGGGAGCCATAGTGAAACTCAGGGTTGGATGAGATGAAGATGTCTCCAGAAATTGGTTTAAAAGTACATTTATCAATTTAAATTAGGAGCTGGGCTGTGAGAAGACAATCACTGGCATTTTGACTAATTGAAGGTAGATCCTCAATTAGAAAAAGAGTGGCTTTAGAACTAATTTTTGAAGTAGGAAGAAGTTAAAGCTTTCTTTGTTTGCCATGTGATATTGTTAGTGCATAGGTACTTTGGCAATATTTCTGTAAAATTTGTTAACAGTAGAAACAAATATTATAAAAAACTAAGTATGTACTTGACCACCTAATACTCATTTTAAACATTCTTCTAAAATATCATCCCCCAAATCCTTGCTTATAAGTACTTGCGTATAAGAATAGGCCCTATACCTTGTGTACAGGCTCTTAGCAGAATTTCCAGGGACCTTTGGATAAAAAGAAAACTTTATAGTTTTTCAGCCTTAAGTTCAGAAATGTATTTTGACCAATCTATGTTAGCTTGTAATATGAGAAAGAAAAATGAGTACCTTGTTTATGACTAAGTCTACTCTACTCTTTCATATGGTTGTGTTACATGTCATGGAGCTCTGAGATTATTAATGTAGTAAATTGGCTCAAATAAGAATGTTCCTAGCATCTAGACTAGTGTCTATGCAGGACTACTCCAGCCTTGGAGTTTGGAGGAGGTAGCTCCTACTTCAGAAGTTTTAATAAGCAATATCAGCAGAGAAATTGGCTATGATCTCCAGATTGAGAACAGTTTTCTTAGCAAGAATATCTAAAACTTGCTACTTTTTTTTACAAGATTCTGAATTTGCTAATAATAACAATAAAAATAAAACAAGAACCCAATCACCAAAGAAAATAATGTGAAGTGTTAGCTTGGTGGAATTTTTAGATATAATATTTTTAACTGTTGAAATTTTGGTCAAATAATAAAGAGAATATATTCTACTATAATTATTCTGTAAAATATCTATTTATTTATTCTTTCCAGAACTAGAAAAGCGAGAGCACAATTTATAATATTTTTAGTATTAGATTTATATCCCCAACAATATTTTTATCTTGAGGGGTAAAAATATCTTTTAGTCTTACCGAGCCTATGGTAGATGACGATAGATTTTTGACAAATTTCATGAGATATAATCTGAAATAGGTCTTTTCAAAAAGCTTTTTTGTTTCAAAGCATATCTAAGAAAAAATCAACCTGCCAATCATTTCTATTTTTTAGAAGAGCAGTGAAATTAATGAGCATGTCTATAAAATATTTTCTACTAATTAGATTCACTTCAACTATCTAAAATGCAAGGTTTAACATCATATGTCATTAATCACTTAATTATAGTGTACTGAGCACTTGCATACTAACATTCCAATGAGATGAGAGAGATATTAAATAATCACACAAATAAAAATATTATTTCAAAGTATGTTAAAGCCTAGAAGGAAAAAGAATAATGCAATTTGTACTTCCATTAACAGGAAAACTGAGCGGACCTTGGCAGACAAGGAGAATGAATAGAAGTTAACAGACGGGAGGGTAAAGATGCTTCCATATAAAGGGAAGAGTATATAAAGCCTCTGAGGACAATCAGAAGTTCCTTGGAATGGTTAGAGGATATAAACACAAGGAGGAGAAGGGTGAAGTGAAGATGGAAAGCAAAGATTTCATCATCCAAGGACATGTAGGTCATGATAAGTATTTTGAAATTTATCCTAACAGCAATGTAAAATGCTTGAGGATTTTAAAGTTGTGGAAGGGATGCAAAAGTGGAAAGAGGCAGGGAAATTCAGCAGAAATTTAATAAGGGAATTTGTATTTATAACTGATCTTTCTGACTACAGTGGAATGGAAAAATGCCAGTATGGCTACAAGAAGAGAAATAGTAGTTCAAGGGTGAAAGAGTGTAATGTATTTTTCTACTCTTTGAGAATTACCTACCAAATATACAAGAAAAAATAAAAATGATAGGCTTTATACCCCAAACATCCTACTTTCTATAATACGTTCTAATCTTATTGTATCATACATTGGTCTTGAATTTTTATGTTGTTATTATGGATTAGAGCTGTCATCAAGCCTCTATCTTAAAATGATGATCTAATTTACATCATACATGTTTATACTGTATCAACATTTGCTTGATATTTCTATACTCAATATCTCTTGTTTTGTAAACTGAACTAAAATTCTGGATTTTAATTAAATATTAAAATTACCTAATTAGAATCAAACATAGCCATTAGATTGCATAGTTTTTTTCCTAAATATTAGCTACCCTTTGTAATATTGTCATTAAAACTTATCTTCTCAAAATGTCTTTACTAGTAATTTTAAAGTTATCTAAAATTAAGACTATTAAAATAGTTTTTCAACTAAAACATTTATTCCCCTCATGGAAGATTAAAAAAAAAACTACAACACCCTTCCCAGACAAATCATTTCAAACTTGGCCTTAAACTTTATCAATAGTTAGCAACACACATACAGTTGATTAGCTTAATTAGAGAATCACCATGCCTTGTATTATTAAATTATGTGATGATAGTATTCTCAGCTCTCTCTTCAGTGTGTGAATTCTTGAGTAACTAGAGTTTGAGATCTACCATATTTATCCAAATTACTTGTGATGGTGGTTGTTTTCTTTTCCAGAAGATGGAGATCATTGTGCAGTGGATATAAACACCTCACCTTATCTTTTACTCTTCTTCATTCTTAATCATGAAAGAGGTTCCCAAAAACTATCTCACATTCCATATATTAAAATATAAAGAATCAGTCAGAAAGAAAAGGTTAAAATGTATGCTTTGTTTTTCTTGCTCTCTCTTTTGTATTATTGTCTAAGTCTGCTATGGTGACAATCCTTTCAGACCTGAAAAAAAATATTAAGATTCCTCTGCCCACCTGACGGACAGATTGCCTCAAAGATGGAATCACAACTCAGTATTTATTATTGAGATTTGCATGATAAAGTTTGACATAGGCAGAAGAAAAAAAAACTATTCCTTCAGGTAAAAATCTACTTAAAATATAGCAGAATTCAATTTTGCAATTGTTTCAATATGACAAGAAATAATGCAATTTCAAACACAAGAAAGGACTAGCTATTCAAGAAAAGCCCAGATGAAAGAACATTAAAATCTCAACAAATATGGAGGCAAGATTATAATTAAAATTAATTAAAACTCTTGTTTTCCCAAACTGTAGCATTTCTTCAAATTTTAGCAAGTGATTAAAATATTTATATTTATTTTTTTTTGTTTTAAGTAGTTAGCTTCAGTTTATTTTAAAACAATTATTTCATTCAGAATTAGTCAAGTCTCCTGTGAAGTAGTTAGCCTCCCTCTTATGAGTATTCAGAGGAAATTTGTAATTAATTATCATTAAGTATCTGTACTAGGAAAGCCAGTCCTTTATAAATTGAACTAATTTTTTCTAATTTTTTTAAAATTTTAATGGACACATCACAATTGTACATATTTATGGGGTACATAGTGATGTTGCCAAACATATAATGACCAGATGAGGGCAGTTAGCATATCCATCATTTCAGACATTTACCATTTCCTTGTGTTGGGAACATTTGATATCCTCCTATCTATTTAAAACTATGTAATATATTATATTTTGAAAATTTTACTTTTAAGGTGGCCTGCTAAGTGATATATGTTTCTGACTTGGGTAGTCTTAGGATAAATTTTGTGTGGTTTTCCTCAACTGAAATTGATCCCAGCTTTTTCTATTACTATTTCATCCCCTGGGATTTCCTACTGCATTCCTGACCAGTGAGCTTTAAACTCATAAAATAACCATCTTCTGTAGTGGCAAAGTCTTCTAAGCACATTTTCAGTGCCATTAGTCATCAGGCTTCCCTCCTTTAACCTCAGACTACACGCTACATAACTGCTGCCTCCTTGGAGTCTAGCTTACCTACCTGCTCTCCTTAAGTCCAAACCTCAGCAGTTCTCAGTGTTCCTCAACAGTCACCAAGGCATTAGCACATGAACGGAGGTAGAGAAGGAAGTAATAGAACTACTACACTCAACTAGTCTCCCAACAACCCAGTCCAACAACTATTACCCTCTTTGATTTCAGACTGATTTTGCCCTGAATTCTCACATGTCCCACTACTTCATCTCCCTCTAAGTTCAGCTCGCTTTTGCTACCAGCAAGTCATGAAAGAAGTCATGAAAGTCAAGTAATGAAACAGTTATTTTTTTAATCGGGTACTATCCTTAACTTTTATCAAATTTTCATATGAAATGTACATTACAAGACAATGAAGAAAGTATAAAATTTCACTTTAAATATAGGATAGTCATTAATATAAGTAAATATAAACATGTTCTCTCACTTCGCCAGTAAAGATCACTTTTTATGGATCACTGTCCTATCTCTTAACCTGGTTTTTGCTGGCCCCATATCGGAAACTGCCTCTTCATTTCTACCTAAGAACTCACTTAACTTTCATTCTTTGACATTTTTCTTAGATTTACTTCTCTCTCACAAAGTTATAAAGTGTATATACAAAGAGTATAAGCTGAATTTTCTTGACTTCATTCCCTAAAATGACTATCATACTTAAAAATGTAAGGACATAAATTGGTTTTGGCAGTGTGGCCATTGATTCTTCCCATCCATGAGCACGGAATGTTTTTCCACTGATTTTGTGTCACCTCCAATTTTTTCAGCAGTGTCTCTAATTCTTTCACCTCCCTGGTGAACTGTATTCCTAGATATTTTATGTCTTTGGTGGGTATTGTGAAAGTGATTGCACTCTTGATTTGGCTCTCAGCTTGCACATTGCTGGTGTATAGAAATGTTACCAATTTTTGTATGTGGATTTTGCATCCTAAAACTTTGCTGAAGTTTATCAGATGTAGGAGCTTTTGCACATGGAGTATGGGGTTTTGTAGGTATAGAATGAAATCCTCTGCAAACAGAGATATTTTGACTTCCTCTCTTTCTACTTGGATAACTTTCATTTTTTTTTCCTCTTGCTTGCTTACTGTAGCTAGGACTTCCAGTATTATGTTGAGTAAGAGTGGTGAAAGTGAACATCCTTGTTTTGGTTGCTTCCAGCTTTTGTCCGTTCAGTACGATGTTGGCTTTGGATTTGCCATGGATGGCTCTTCTTATTCAGAGTTATCTTCCTTCGGTGCCTAGGTTATTGAGGTTTTTTATTAGGAAGGTATGTTAAATTTTATTGAAAGCCTTTTCTGCATATATTGATATAATCATGTGGTTCTAGTTTTTAGTTCTGTTCACGTGATGAATTGCATTTATTGATTTATGTATGTTAAATCAACCTTGCACCCCAGGGACAAAACCTACTTGACTGTGGTAGATAAGCTTTTTGATATGCTGCTGGATTTTGTATGATAGTATTTTGTTAATTTTGCATTTATATTTATCAAAAATATTGACCTGAAGTTTTCTTTTTTTATTGTGCCTCTTCCAAGTTTAATATCAGAATGATGCTATCCTCATAAAATGAGTCAGGTAAGACACTTGCTTCCTCAATTTTTGGAATAGTTTCAGTAGTAATGGTACCACCTCACCTTATTCATCTAGCAGAACTTGGCTGTGAATCTTTCTGGTCCTGGACTTTTTCTTGTTGGTAGACTTAATTACTGATTCAATTTCAGAACATGTTATTGGTCTGTTCAAGGTTTCAATTTCTTCCTGGTTCAATCTTGAGAGGTTGTATAATTCCAGGAATGTATAGATTTCTTCTTGGTTTTCTAGTTTGTGTGAAAAGAGGTATTTGTCATAGTCTCTGGGGATTTTTTTGTATTTCTATGGGATTCTTGGTAATGTTCCCATTGTTAGTACTGATGGTGTTTATTTGGATATTCTCTCTCTTCTTCTTTTTTGTTCTAGTTCGTGGTCCATCAACTTTATTTCTTCTTTCAAGGAACCAACTCCTGGATTCACTGATCTCTTTTATAGTTGTTTGCATCTTCAGTTCAGCTCTTATTTTGTTTGTTCTCTTCTGCTATATTTGGGGTTGGTTTACTTTTGTTTTCTAACTCATGTAGGTACATATTAGGTTATTAATTTCAGACCTTTCTAACTTTTTGATGTGGCCATTTAGTTCACATCAAAATTCTCAGAAACTAAAGAGAACAGATAGAACATACTAGAATGTCTAGGATACAGATGAAGCAGTGTTAAGAGGAGTTAAACTCTTAACTCTTAACACTGCTTCATCTGTATCCTAGAGATTCTAGTTAAGAGTTAAGACTCTAGTTAAGAGATTCTAGTTAAGAGTCTTAACTCTTAACACTCCTTCATCTGTATCCTAGAGATTCTAGTTAAGAGTTAAGACTCTAGTTAAGAGATTCTAGTTAAGAGTCTTAACTCTTAACACTGCTTCATCTGTATCCTAGAGATTCTAGTTAAGAGTTAAGACTCTAGTTAAGAGATTCTAGTTAAGAGTCTAAACTCTTAACACTGCTTCATCTGTATCCTAGAGATTCTAGTTAAGAGTTAAGACTCTAGTTAAGAGATTCTAGTTAAGAGTCTTAACTCTTAACACTGCTTCATCTGTATCCTAGAGATTCTAGTGTGTTATATCTGTTCTCTTTAGTTTCTAAGAATTTTTTTTTATTTTTACCTTAATTTCATTGTTTACCCGAGCATCATTGAGGAGCAGGTTGCCTAAATTCCATGTAATTGTATGGTTTTGAGTGATCTTCTTAGTACTGATTTATATTTTGATTGCACTGTGGTCTAAGAATGTGGTTGGTATGATTTTTGTTTTTTTTTAATTTGCTAAGAATTGTTTTATGGCAGATTGTGTGATTTATTTTACAATATGTGCCATGTGCAGATGAGAAGAACGTACATTCTGTTGTTTTGAGGTGGAGAGTACATTCTATTGTTTGGGGTGGAGAATGGACCTACATTCTGTTAGGTCCATTGGGTCAAGTGTCCCATTTCAGGTCCCAAATATACTTGTTAGTATTCTACCTCAAAGATCTATCTAATACTATCAGTGGGGTGTTGAAGTCTCCCACTGTTATTGTGTAGTTATCTAATTATCTGTGTCAGTCTCTAAGAACTTGCATTATGAATCCTAATGCTCCTGTGTTGGATACACACACACACACACATGCACAGATATGTGTATGTGTGTGTCTAGATATATATGTGTGCGTGTATATATATATAAAATTAGAATAGCAACCCCCGCTTTTTACATATATATACACATTACATATATATACATTATATACATATATATACATTACATATATACATTACATATATATGTAAAAAGTGGGGGTTGCTATTCTAATTTTAGATAAACAGACTTTAAACCAAAAAAATGATTAAAAAAAGACAAGGGCCTATATATATTTAGAATAGTTAGGTTTTCTTGTTGAATTGAACCCTTTACCATTATATAATGCCCTTCTTTGTCTTTTTTGATCATTTTTTGGTTTAATGTCTGTTTTGTCTAAAATTAGATTAGAAACCCCTGCTTTTTCCTATTCTCCATTTGCTTGATAGATTTTTCTCCAACCCTGTTATTTGAGCTTATGAGTGTCACTGCATGTGAGATGAGTCTCTTGAAAACAGAATATAGTTGCGTCTTGCTTTATTATCTAACTTGCCCCTCTCTGGCTTTTGATTGGGGTATTTAGCCTGTTTACACTCAAAGTTAATATTGATATGTGCAGATTTGACCCTGTCATCATGTTGTTTGCTGATTATTATGCAGACTTGATTGTGTAGTTGTTTCATAATGTCAATAGTCTATGTACATAAGTATGTTTTTGTGGAAGCTGGTAACAGTCTTTTCTTCTCATATTTAGCATGCTTTTAAGGATCTCTTGTAAGGCAGATCTGGTAGTAATAAATTCCCTCAGAATTTGCTTGTCTGAAGAAGATCTTATTTTTCCTTCACTTATGAAGCTTAGTTTGGCTGGATATGCAATGCTTGTTTAGAATTTATTTTCTTTAAGAATGTTGAATATAGGCTTCCAATATCTTCTGGCTTAAAGGGTTTCTACTGAAGTTCCACTGTTAGATTGATGGGTTCCCTTTGTAGGTATCTTTCACTTCTGCCTAGCTACCTTTAACATGTTTTCTTTCATGTTGAGCTTGGAGAATCTGATGACAATGTGTCTTGAGTGTTTGGGATGATCATCTTGTATAGTATCTCACAGGGTCTCTACATCTCCTGAATTTGATGTTGACCTCTCTAGTGAGGTTGGTAAAATTTTCATGGACAATGTCCCCAGATATATTTTCCAAGTTGTTTGTTTTCTCTCTCTCTCTCTCTTTCAGGAATGTTAATGAGTCATAGATATGGTCTCTTTACATAATCTCATATTTCTCAGGGGTATTTGTTTATTCTAATTTATTTTTTTTCTTTATTTTTGTCTCACTAAATTATTTTGGAGGAATGATCTTCAAGTTTAGAGATTCTCTTCTCAGCCTGGTCTATTCTGTTCTTAACTTGGGATTGTATTATCAAATTACTTAAGTGAATTTCTTAGCTGTATTGTATCCGTTTGCTTTTTTCTTAAAATGGTCATTCTGTCTTTCAGCTCCTGTGTCCTTTTATATTCCTTGAATTGGGTTTTGACTTTCTTCTGAATATCGATGATCTTCATTCCCATTTATGTTCTGCATTCTATTTCTGTCATTTGAAGCCATTTCAGCCTGGTTAAGAGCCAACATAGGAGAGCTAGTTTGGTCATTTGGATATAAGGCACTCTAGCTTTTTAAGTTGCCAGAACACTTTGTCCAGATGGTGGCAGTGGGATCCATGATCACTCACACATACCCGCAGCCAAAGGAATGCAGTGAAGTGCACACACATTGGCTGGGATGGAGAACTGGCAGGAGCAGAGTTGCTGGCATCCATGTGTGTGTTTGCACCGGCAGCAGTAGCACTGGTGCAGTGGGTGTGTGGTTGTCGACATCTGCGGATATATTTGTGTCAGTGATGGTGATGTGATGGAGTATACTTGTGCCAGCAATGGGGTGTACTCATGCTGGCAGTGGTGACATGGTGGAGCACATGCACACAGGCATGCCAGCAGGGAAAGCAAGGTCCACCTACACATGTGCACCAGCAAAGCGGTGGAGGAGGCCGTGGGTGAGTGCATGTCGGAAAAGCAGTGGGAGGAGGTTGGAGTCGGGGGTGGGTGTGGGTGGACTGGGGCAGGTCAGCAAGGGCCAAAGCTCTCCAAAGGTCATGCATGGTCTGCTGGAAAAGGATCTATAATGAGGGCTCCAGCTTCACTGCAAGCAGGTGCAGCCAGGCCAGGGACCCAGGAGAAGCCAGCAGACAGGAGAGTGCTCAGACCAGACTGGCACCATCCTATGGTCAGGACCATCCTGCTCTGTGCAGGTCCAACAGTCACCCTAAAACTAATGTCTCCTGGAGGATCAGGATCATGGAAAGCCTTGGGTGATATGTATCCCTAGCCATGCTCCACTGCAGCTGTTCCCACAGCAAATCTTTTGGACTGCACACAGGCTGGAGCCCTGCCTCTGCCATCTCTCTCAGCAGATCTCTGTGCCAGCTCAAGAATCCATGGGAGTCATGGGGTCTCCTGCTGCTAAGACAGCAGAGGTCCATGGCAGGAACAGGCTGCTGTTTACCTGTTAAACTCACCCCTTCCCCAGGAGTCCCTGTGGGCCAGGAATGAGTCCTAGCGCTTGGTAGCTCCATGCAGGAGGGTTCCTGTCTTCCTGCCTTCAGCCTAGCATCTGTGTCCTTCCTCTGTCCACTCTAAATGCCTTCCCTCCAAAGATCTGCTCACGGTGTGCCAGTCTTCCTGATGTACTGGTCTCTCAGTGTGAGATATTCCCCCAGGATGCACCTAGTTGGCCATCTTTGCTCCTACCTATTATTTCTTTTGATTATTTATTTTTAAGCATTTGTTATCTATTCAAGAATGGAATGAGAATGTTCTAAGTTTAATTCACTTTGAGAAAAATATATTATTTCTGCTCATTTCTACAGACCACATATATTTTAAACATGCCATACATGTAGTTCAGTCTAAGATAGAACCATTAACTCCACATTATTTCTAAATTTGGCTTTTTACTTAAGGCTGACTACTGATGTATTATTTGAATTGTTTATGAAAAGCATGTATAATTTATATAATCATAAAAACACATGCAGTACAGTTAGGGTAGAATAGATATTGAAAAGCATTTTAAAACAATTTTCAGTAATCTTTATAAAAATAGAATTGGGCAATAAATATTTAAGACCCTAAATAAGAGAGATAAAGTAACTGAAAAAACTCTAAAACAGCTCTTAACCCTGATATAACTTGACTTTAAAATTATACCTATGTCTATTAAAAGCAACTTCTACCAAAAAAAGTTTAGTTGATTAAAAAAAACTCTGCTGTCTATAGCCAAGAGATTTAACTACACTCCACAGTGATGCAAATAGGGAATTTACGAGCTTGCATTATATTGTTCTTGGAGGAATTAAAAACAAAATACTTCAGTAAGTATAGTGTGTTATGTGGACAATCTTAAACCTTAAATATGATTAATTAGCATTAAAACATTCTTATTTAAATCACTACCATATGATTGTACACAAAATTATTATAAGAAATCTTAGAATATATATATATGATATATATAAAATGTTTGAAGTATGTGATCTATAAAGTAAGGTGGTAGATAAAAGTCACATTATAAATATAGTGCCTATGGAATTTTACACAGACATACTCCTATTTAACTCTCACTCCAGAAGAATCATCCACACCACCCCCTTTCCAGTCAACCCCAACACACATACACAAACACACACACACACACACACACACACACACACACACACACACACAGAGCCTTAGCTCAGGCTACCGTAACAAAATACTATAAACCAAGTGGTTTAAACAAGGAAATGTATTTTCTCACAGTTGTGGAGGCTAGAAGTCCAAGGTGTCATCATGTTTCATTTCTTGCAATGTCTCTCTTTCTGGCTTGCAGAAGAGCTGGCTTCTCACTGTGTCCTCACATGGCAGGAAGACAGATAGAGAAAGCAAGCTGTCTGATTTCTCTTCTTGTGAAGACACTGATCTCTTCATGAGGGTCCTACCCTCATTACCTCATCTAAACCTAATTATCTCCAAAGATTTTTATCTCCAAACAACATCACATTGAGGGCATAGGCTTTTCTTAATTTTTAATTTGAGTTTTAGTTCTGGAGTACCTGTGCAGGTTTGTTACATAGGTAAACATGTGCCATGGTGGTTTGCTGCACCTATACACACCCATAACCTCGGTATTAAGCCCAGCATACATTAACTATTTTTCCTAATACTCTCCCTTCCCCTACCCCACCCACCAACAGGCCCCAATGTGTGTTGTTCCCCTCCCTGTGTTCATGTGTTCTCATCGTTCAGCTCCCACTTATAAGTGAGAACATGTGGTGTTTGGTTTTCTGTTCCTGTCTTAGCTTGTTGAGGGTAATAGCTTCCAGCTTCATCCATGTCCCTGCAAAGGACATAATCTCATTCCTCTTCATAGCTGTATAGTATTCCATGGTGTATATGTACCATATTTTCTTTATCAGATCTATCACTGATGGGGATTTGGGTTGATTCCATATCCTTGCTATTGTGAATAGTACTGCAATGAACATACATGTGCATGTATCTTTGTAATAGAATGATTTTTATTCCTTTGGGTATATACCAGAAATGGGATTGCTGGGTCAAATGGTATTTCTGGTTCTAGACCTTTGAATAATTGCTACAACATCTTCCACAATGGTTGAACTAATTTATATTCCCACCACAGTGTAAAAGCGAACCTATTTCTCCACAATCTCATCAGATCTGTTGTTTCTTGACTTTTTAATAATGGCCATTGTGACTGGCCTGAGATGGTATCTCATTGTGGTTTTCATTTGCATTTCTCTATAATCAGTGATGTTGAGAGCTTTTTTTCATATGTTTTTGGCTGCATGAATGTCTTCTTTTGGGAAGTGTCTGTTCATGGAGGACTGGGCTTAACGTGTAAATTTTGAAGGGGTACAATTCAGTTCATAGCACACACACAGAGAGGTAACCACTTATACTGTCATCAGTTGGGTTGCTTCTTAATCTCTTCAAAACAAAATAACACAATATGTAGTTATTCTCATCTGATTTTCTTAAGTTCTGTGAGAATTATGTGTATTGTTGTGATATCAGCAGTTTGTTCTTTTTCATTGCTGTGTACTATTCCACTGGATGAATATACTGCAGTAGGTGTATGTTTTCTATCACCGATGGCCATTTGGGCTAGTTCCAGTCCTAGGCTGCTGTAAAACTACTATGAATGTTCTTGCCTTATATTGGAATTCTGCATTCATTTATCTAGGAGTTGGACTGCCAAGTTATAAGGTAGTTATGCATTTAGCATTAGTAGATATTGCCAGTTGTCCAAAGTGGTTTAACCAAACTACACTCCCACAGGTATAGTATGAGGGTTCTAATTTCCGTATAGTCACATCAGGCCTCATTATTGTTGATTTTTATAACGTTCGCCATTCTGGTGGGTGTATATGACTAATTATTGATTTAATTTATATTTTCCTAAAAGCAGTGTTATTAAGCATATTTTTATATTTTAATTGGCTATCCTCTTTTGTGAAGAACTTCCTATTTTAGGACTTTTTGGGGTCATTTTTCTTGTGCTCATTGATTGGTGAGACCAGAAGTGCTACACATTAAAACCGTCAGATCTTGTGAGAACTCACTCACTATCACAAGAACACAATGGGGGAAACTGTCCCCATGATCCAATCACCTCCCAGTCCTTCACTGGTTATTATTTATATAATATAAATCATGATTTTATATACTGCATTTTGTTCATATTCTTAAATTGTTATCAGTTGAAGGATCACTGTTACTCCTTAAGTGGATGCAGTAATCTCGTAATTGGTTTTGAACCAGAAAGAGATTAAATTTTTCAGAGTGTTTGCCTTTGGTTCAGAGTCATATTAAGCTAAATTGACAGTGTGACTCTGTATATTTAAAATTCAATAAAGGCATTTATTATCTATTTTAATTTTTTTCATCTTCCATACCAATTTTTGTGCCTGGCACATAGATAGTTGAAAAATTCCTTACACTTTTAGGTTGCTTCATTAGGGAGATATTTATATGAAGAGGACAATTTGTAGTTCACTAGTCCTCACAGGATTTAAATATTTAAAACATGTAATTTAAAAATTATATATTTTTAACACAGTTTAGATGTACTTGACTTAGATTAATGAGTGCATAAGAATGGCAACTTTAAAAAAATTCCTACAGTTTTCTAACCAATTTTAAATGTTAAAATAAGAGTTAATCCTGTGTAAGAACTTGGGAAGTGTAGGCTCGACACTAATTAATAGTTATTTTTCTGTGAACCTCTCCAAAAAATAAAAAATTACACTGTTTATTCAAGGTTCACATTATTATACTTGGTCTTTACTAAAGAGAGTCACATAGCTTTTTATAATCTTCTGTTATTTGGAGATATTAAACAAGATGAAAATGAATTAGATTTTTTAGCATTCAGAACTTCATAAAAGCTATGATAATTATTACATTTCTCACTATGCTTTCCAGTCATGTAAAACATTTGCTTTGTACATTACTTTTAAAATATATTGTTGTATTTTCTTGTTTTCTATTTTTCTAGCCCTTGGTTTTAAGAAAACATTTTTCAAATAGGTCAGTCTGCTCAGAGGAATGAGGGAAAAAAAACTTAAGATTTATATTTTATTGATAACTGAAAGAATAATGGGTATCAGAATGATTGGTAACAATTGCAGTATACTGGTGGAATAGAATTCTAAGTTCTCATTAGCTCTTATTCCACATTGAGAATTTTCTTCTTAGTACTTCCTTATTCATTTCTGTGATTTTTTTTTTTTTTTTGGCATACAGATGCTTTTCTAACTATTCTTTTCTAAGAAAATCTAAGTCCTTAGTCTATGAAACCTTACCTTGTATCATATATAATTCTTAAACCACACAATTTGGAATTTAGCATTAATCTTTTTGCAATTATTTTATATGTATTAGGCTCCTCTCCAATTATATTATATGTTCACTGAGGACAGATACTATAGCTTACTTTTTTTCTAAATTTCTTATAGATTTTTTGTATGTTTGTCATTGGAGCAATTAAGCGTTAATTTTCCTTTGAAAATATTAAATATTTGCTGAATGTAATTGAATAAAGAAAAATGGTTACCTTATTGTTTGTGAATGTAATGTATATTATATTTAAATATTCCAGTGTTCCATTTCCTGGATTCTAAAATCCTATTTATAATAGTATAGTTGGTCTTCCTTGTCAATGGGTTCTGCATCCATCTATGAATTCAACCACTGTGGATTGAAACTATTCAAGAAAAAAACAATAAAATATAACAACACAACAGTAAAATAATACAAACTGAAAACATACAGCATGACAACTGTGTGTGTACCATTTGCATTGTATCAGGTATTAAAAGTAATCTAGAGATAATCTAAAGTATACAGGGGGAAGTGTATAGGTTACATGCAAATACTACACCATTTTATATAGGGGACTTGAGCATCCATAAATTTTGGTATCTGCAGGGGGTTCTGGAATCAATCCCCCATGGATACCAAGGCAAGAATGTACTTTCAAATATTTTCTTAATTGTGAACTATAACCCTCTATCTTTACTTTCTATCGCTTTAAGGATATTTTTAAAGACAGAGCAATTTGATTAATTGCTGGGGTGTAAGCTACTTTTTAAAGAAATGCCAAGCCACTTATCGGAATGGCTGCACTATTTCTTGCTTCCAGAGAAGCAAGAAACAACTAAAGAAGCCTATGATTGCCCTAGCATACTGTATGACAACAGAGTAATAATGGGATATTATGAAAACCATGTGTGAATAGATTAAACAAATTAGACAAAATTAACATATTACTTCAAAATCATAAACTACCAAATCTCAGTCTAGAAGAAAAATCTCTGTAGCCCTTTATTAAATAAATTAAATCAGTTTTTAAAGCTTTCCTACAATAACACTAGACCCAAATTGCTATACATATATTAATGAATTACTCTAAAGTTTTGAGGAAGAAAGTGATAAAAGTTATAAGTCTTCAAGAAATTAAAGAAGAGAGACTATTTCACAACTTATAATATGAGGCCACTTTTCATGACAACAAATCAGGTATCGATATTCCAGAATTACAAGATTGATATGATATTAAAAAGTCAATCAATGCATTTTATCATCAATATAGTTGGTCTCTTAATAGAGTTTAAAAAATAAAAAGTATATTCTTATTCCAATAGATGTAGAAAAAACATTTGACATTTGACATAATCCATTTTTCATTCTCAACAAAAACCATCAATTCTTAACAGAAATACAAAATAATGCTGGGCGCAGTGGCTCACGCCTGTAATCCCAGCACTTTGGGAGGCTGAGGCAGGCAGATCACTTGAAATCAGGAGTTGGAGACCAGCCTAGCCAACACGGTGAAACCCCGTCTGTACTAAAAATACAAAAATTAGCTGGACATGGTGCTGTGTTGCTGTAATCCCAGCTACCAGGGATGCTGAGGCAAGAGAATCACTTGAACCCAGGATCTGATCTTTGAACTATCTGATCTTTGGCAAACCTGACAAAAACAAGCAATGGGGAAATGATTCCCTATTTAATAAATGGTTTTGGGAAAACTGGCTAACCATATGCAGAAAACTGAAACTGGACCCCTTCCTTATACTTCATACAAAAATTAACTCAAGATGGATTAAAGACTTAAACATAAGACCTAAAACCAGGCAATACCTAGAAGAAAAACCTAGGCAATACCATTCAGGACATAGGCATGGGCAAAGACTTCATGACTACAACACCAAAAGCAGTGGCAACAAAAGCCAAAATTGACAAATGGGATCTGATTAAACTAAAGAGCTTTCTGCACAGCAAAATAAATGATCATCAGTGTGAACAGGCAACCTAAAGAATGGGAGAAAAATTTTGCAATCTATCCACCTGACAAAGGGCTAATATCCAGGATCTACAAAGAACTTAAACAAACTTACAGGGAAAAAACAAACAACCCATCAAAAAGTGGGCGAAGGATATGAACAGACACTTCTCAAAAGAAGACATTTATGCAGCCAGCAAACATAGGAAAAAAAGCTCAACATCACTCGTCATTAGAGAAATGCAAATCAAAACCATGAGACACCATCTCAGGCCAGTTAGAATGGCAATCATTAAAAAGTCAGGAAACAACAGATGCTGGAGAGGATGTGAAGAAATAGGAACATTTTTACATGCCGTTGGTGGGAGTGTAAATTAGTTCAACCATTGTGGAAGACAGTGTGGTGATTCCTCAAGGATCTAGAACCAGAAATACAATTTGACCCAGTAATCCCATTACTGGGTATATGCCCAAAAGATTATAAACCATTCTACTATAAAGACACATGCACATGCACATGCACATGCACATGCACATGTATGTTTATTGCAGCACTGTTCACAATAGCAACAACTCGGAACCAACCCAAATGCCCATCAGTGATAGACTGGATAAAGAAAATGTGGCACATATATCCCATGGAATACTATGCAGTCATGAAAAAGGATGAGTTCATGTCCTTTGCAGAGACATGGATGAAGCTGGAAACCGTCATTCTCAGCAAACCAACACAAGAACAGAAAACCAAACACCGCATGTTCTCACTCATAAGTGGGAGCTGAACAAGGAGAACATGTGGACACAGGGAGCGGAACATCACACACTGGAGCCTGTCAGGGGGTGGGAGGCTAGGGGAGGGATAGCATTAGGAGAAATACCTAATGTAGATGATGGGTTGATGGGTGCAGCAAACCACCATGGCACGTGTATACCTATGTAACAAACCTGCACGTTCTGCACATGTACCCCAGAACTTAAAGTGTAATTTAAAAAAAAATGAATTTAATAAATTGTCCAATCTCCAATCAGGTCCAGAGAGACAATGAGGACCATGAGAATTTGTCCCTTGATATATAAAGAATTTACTACCTCATGTAAGTAAAATTAGGGGACTCAATCCATTGTTGTTCTAAAAACGTAAATACCAATGAGCCATTTGCTTCCCTACCCTGTACAAAAAAAAAAAAAAAAAAAAAATTATCTTACATAATGGAGAAAAGGAATACTCTTCTGATGGTGTAACAACAAAATAGGAGTTTTGTGGTCCCTGACACCAGAGAGGTGCCACTTTTGCTTTGAAATGTTAAACTAGATTTACACAACAGGCTAATAAACTTTCAGTTTGTTTAAGCTGTTGTTGATTTGGCTATTTATTTTATTGACAAAAATACAGTTCTAATATAGGCTATGTGGCTAGATAATACATGTTTCTGAGCCAAATGAATGCCTGAAAAAAGTTTAAGAACTGTAACTGTGTGTGTGTGTGTCTGTGTATGTACATGTAGAAATATGCAGTATATATGAATAGAAAAAGATACAAAATGGGAGATGTTGAAGAAATGATTCTATGGCTTTGATAACATATTTAATAAATAATATAGACAACTAGGAAGAAAAAAATGTCAATTTCACAAGTGAAAGATGAGAAATAAAGCTAATGAATATGAAAATATCTGTAGGTTTGGATTAAGCCCATCTCTTGAATTGAAAAACCTAATTTATTATTATTATTTGTGATCTCTCAGTATTCTTTTTTTTTTTAGCAAAACTTCGTACTTCATTTGTATTTCACTAGTGTTTCTCTCATGTCCTTTTTTTATTCCAGAATCAAGCAGACCACCGTATTACATTTAATTGTCACATGGTCTTATCTTCCTTTGGTTTGTGACAGTTTTTCAGGATTTTCTGATTTTTGATAGCCTTGTCAGTTTTGAGGAGTATTGGTCAAGTATTAATATTTGGTAGAACATTTTTCCCATTTGGGTTTATCTTATATTCTTCTCATGGCTTAACTGACATTACGTATTTTGGGGATGAAGACCACAGAGGTGAAGTATCAAGGGCACAAGCTATCAACATGACTTATTATTGATAATGTCAACTTTGATCACCTGGATAAGGAAGTGTTTTCCAGATTTACTCACTGTAAAGTTACTCCTCTTCCCCTTTCCATACTGTACTATGTGGAAGCAAGTAAGGAAGGGCAACCCACATATTAGAGGGGCAAGGGTGTTTGAGGTCCACCTCCTTAAGAGAGACTATGTACCTAAATTACTTGAAATTCTTTTATATAGAAAATTTGTCTCTTCTCTCTCATTTGTTTAAGTCAATCGGATATTTATATTATTTTCTATTTGGAGTTATAATTCTATATGATTTATATTGTTGCTTTAATTGTTCCAACTTTGGCTATTGGGAACTCTTTCAGGTTGACTTCTGTGTCCCTTTAACACGTCCACATTTTTGGTATACTTTTTGTTTTTTGGCACTATGAAATATTCCAGTTTCATCTTGTATATTTCTTACCCCAGAGCTAGCATCACTATTCTCCAAAGAGTTCTGCTTTCTTATGTTGGAGAATAAATTAGAAACCAAGATCTAGATACATGGTATTCTTATTATCACTAAGTTATAGTTGCTTCTAGTTGCTGTCAGTGGAAAGAAGAAGGAAATATATGCATGAATACTAACCCATTTATACCTATAAATACAAGTATTTTTGTATCTATTCCTCTGTGTCTACGTTAATTAAGTCAAGAGTTAATACTGACATCTTCATTCTAATGCAGTACCACATAGTTGATTCTAGTCTTCCCCTTTTTCTTATCTGTTACCTTCTATTTCAAGAATGAGATACCTGGCTTCCGCTATCTGTCATCCATTCATTCATTGGTTTAATTCCAGCATACATTTACAACAGCTTCAGAATGTTAACTCATAATGGAATTAGTAATTATTTTGTCAACTAAAGCACAATGTTTATGTACAACCACTTTTATCTTTAGTCCTACCATTTCCAGTCAAAACAGTTTTCCAAAATTATTTGGATCAGCACCATCTTTTCTCACCACTGAAGTTAAGTCATTTGTACACAATTGAAATACTGTTACACTCTTTTGTCACAGTGTAACACATGGTTGATTAACACATGGTTGATTATTTTTACTAAGTTTCATCATACAAATTAATTCAATCACTCTAAGACATCTCTTATGCTTCTTCTCCTGAAACTCTTTTCCCTCTACAATCTCTGGCAACCACTGATCTGTTTTCTCCCTTTTCCATAATATCATATAAATAGAATCATACAATATGTGAAAGTCTGAATTCTTTCTAAGTGAAATTCTTGCTTGAAAAATTTATGTAAAACTCACCATATTGTTATATATAGATTAGTAGTTCATTACTTTTTTCTTGTTTAATAGTTTTCAACTGTATGGATGTATCGCGATTTATCCATTAATATACTGAAATTCATCTGGGTTACTTCCAGCTTGGAGTAATTATCAGTAAAGATGTTATAAATGTTTATATGCAGGTTTTAGTGGAGATATTAATTTCTAAATAACTTACATAATTGATGGATTATATGGTAAGGCTATGTTTAAATCTAGAAGAACCATGAAACTGATTTCCACTGTACCATTTTACATTTCCATGACCAATGAGTGAGAGTTTCTGTTCCTCCATGCCCTCACCAACTTCTGATATTGTCAGGTTCTTTTTGGATTTCAGCCGTTCTAGTAGTTGTGTAGTGGTGCCTTTCATTTTAGTTTGCACTTCTCTAATGACAAATGCTGTTTATACCTTTTTATATGGTTTATATTTGAGTTTTAAAAGTTATTTGTGTATTCTTGATATAAGTCTTTTAGCCAGTATGTTATGGATACTTTTAAATGATAATATAATGCATTTTTATTGAACCACAAGAAAATAAATCAAATAGAGAATAGAAAAACTACAGAAAAATTTATCAAAACTAAGAAGTTTTTTAAAAAGATACAACAAAATTGACGAACTCTTAAGGAGACTATCTAAGAAAAAAGAGAAAATAATTGAATAAAATCATAAATGAAAGACAAGAAATTACAATGTCTCAAGAAATAAAAAGTATCTCAGAAATAAAAAGGATTGTAAGAGGCTATTATGAACAATTATGTGCCAACAAATTAGATAGCCTAGAGTAAACAGATAAATTCCTAGAGACATGCAAATTACCAAGTCTGAATCAAGAAATAGAAAACTTGAATAAACTAATATACCCATAACAAATAAATAAATTTGAGTAGTAATAAAAAAACTACCAATCAAACCAGGACTAGATGGCTTCTTGGTTGAATTCTACCAAACATTCAAAGAAGAATTTATGCCAACCCCTTTAAAACTCTTTCATAAAGTAGGAGTAGAGAAAATACTGCCAAACTCATTTTATGAGGCCAACATTACCATGATACAAAAGCCAGACAAAGATACCACAGGAAAAGAGAACTACAAGCCAGTGTCTCTGATAAGCATAATCTTCAATAAAATAATCTTCAATAAAACAATGGCAAACCAAATTCTCCAGTACAAATAAATGATTACACACCCTAACCAAGTGGGGTTTACCCCTGGGGTGCAAGGTTGTTTTAACATACAGAAATCATTTATCATTTCCTTTAAAAATTTGTTCACAATGAAAAATTTGGAATTTTGATAAAATCCAGTTTGTCATTTTTAAATTTCATGCATTGGATTCTTTATATTTAAATATTTACTGACAAGCACAAAGTCATGAAGAATTTATTTTACTTCTATTTCTAGAAGTTTTATAGTTTTATAGTTCATCTGTAGGTCTACAGCATGTTTTGAGTTAATTTTGGTGGCAGCTGATAGATCCTGTCCAGATGCACTTTTTTTAATGTGGAAATCTAGTTTTTCCCACATCATTTGTTGAAAAGACTATTCTTTATCCATTGATTTGTATTTGCATCTTAGTCAAAGATTGTTTGATTATATTTGTATTGGTCTATTTCTATGCTTTCCATTCTTTTCCAGTAAACTATTTGTCTATTCTTTTAGTAGTATCACACTGTCTTGATAATTATTGCTCTATATTAGTAAATTTTTAAGTCAGGTCAAATTAAAACTGATTTTGACTTTTCACTCTTGTGATGGCTGTTGAGGGGTTTTTACATTTTTACATTATCTTCAGAATCAGTTTACTGATACACACAAAACAACTTGGAATTTTGATTGTCATTGTGTTGAATCTAAAGATTAAATGCGGAATAATTGACATTTTAATAATATTATGTTTCCTGATCTATGAACCCAAATATCTCTTTACTTACAGAATTTTGATCTCTCATCACTGTCTTATTAACTTGACATATAGATTCTGCACAGTTTTTTAGATTTATACCTAATTATTTATACTTAGTTTCATGCTGTTGTAAAGTGATGTTTTTCTAGTTTCAAATTTCAAAAAAATACATAAGTAGACAATTGACTTTGTCTATTCATTCATGACACTTCTTCAAAAATGTACATAGCAGTTTATAAATAATAGCTCCAAACTGGAAGTAGTTCATATTTCCACCAACAGAAGAATGAGAAATCACATGTAGTATGCTATTTAGTGATAAAAAGAAACAAACATAGATCAATATTTTGCTGAGTGAAAAATACCTTGAATAAGACTGTTTATACTGTGTGGTTTCACTTATATGGAGTATAGAAAAAGGATATATTAATTTTTTTTTTAAATCAGAAGAGTGGCTGCTTTTGCTCAAGGGCTAGAGAGAACTTTCTGGGTTGATAGCAGTGTTCTGAATCTTGATGGGGTTTGGGTAATGCAGGAGTATTTTATTTGTCAAAATGCATAAGATGGTAGAATTGTGATTTTTCTCTCTTGAAAACAAAAGGAAAACAAAAACAAAGTACATAATTTTGTGGCTAAGATGTTAGGGATAAAGTGTACTGATGTCTACAATATGCACTGAAATCCACCAAATAAATAAGATGAATTAATGGACTGATAAAAAAGATAAACAGATGTCTGAATATATAAGGAAGCAAATAGAGCAACAATTTTTATTCTAGAAGTTAGATCACAGGTATATGTGAGCTCTGTGTGCAAACATTTAAACTTTTCTGTATTTTTGACATTTTTTATAATGAAAGGTTTGGGAAAATAATAAAAATTTCTAGAAAATGTACATATTTTCCCATATCACAATTGGCCTAGAGATTTGGTAATGTTTTCCACTGACTTGTTAACACAGTCTTTCAATTTGTGCTTTGTGATGGTTAATACTGAGTGTCAATTTGATTGAAGGATGCAAAGTATTGTTCTTGGGTGTGTCTGTGAGGGTGTTGCCAAAGGAGATTAACATTTGAGAAGTGGACTGGGAGAGACAGACCCGCCCTCAATCTGGGTGGCCACCATCTGATCAGCTGCCTGCACAGCTAGGATAAAAGCAGACAGAGGAATGTGGAAGGACTAGACTGGCTAAGTCTTCTGGCCTCCATCTTTCTCCTGTGCAGGATGTTTCCTGCCCTCAAACATCAGACTCCAAGTTCTTCAGCTTTTGCACTCTTGGACCTACACCAGTGATTTGCCAGGGGCTCCCAGGCGTTCAGCCACAGACTGAAGGCTACACTGTCAGTTTCCCTACTTTTGAGGTTTTGGGACTGGGACTGGCTTCCTTGCTACTCAGCTTGCAGACTTCACCTTGTGATCGTGTGAGTCAACACTACTTAATAAATTCCCTTTTATACATACATCTATCCTATTAGTCCTGTCCCTCTAGAGAACCCAGACTATACATACTTTCACTCCTAAAGCATGAAATAAAAATATAATCTCAGTCTATAAATGTTCACAGAAAAAGGAAGCAGTAGGAAAGTGGGCTTGAGCATTTGAGATACTTCAGTATTCTACAAATTTCATATTGTCAAGATAAAAATCATGGTCTAGATGATATTCAAAGCAATGCATCTTCATATTTATAAGAGTTAATTATCTTGATACAAAGTCTCAGAACAGATGGATATCTAGGAATATATCCAAAAACAAACTCAGAATATGTCCATGCATGATATAGTAAAGTCATGGGACACAAGCAGTGGAATCTGTCATCCCTGCTAACAAGACTTCAAGCTGGGCATCTGTATCGCATCATTCTAAACCAATAGACTCTATTTTTAGAGCTGTTTTAGGTATAAAAAATAATTACAGGAAAAGTATACAGAGCTCCCACCTACCCATTCTCCCCTCACAGTTTCCCCTACTATTAACATCATGCATTAGTGTTATATATTTGCTGTAACTGATGATTCATTATTGATACATTATTAGAAACTAAAGTTCATAGTTCATATTAGATCTCATTCTTTATGTTGTAAATTCTCTAGATTTTGACAAATGTATAATGACATGCATTCACCATTATAGTATTATGTAGAATGATTTCACTGCCATAAAAATCTCCTGTGTTCTACTAGTTTATCCTTTACTCTCTACCCTTAAAACCCTGGCAAACACTGATCATTTAACTGTCTCCATAGCTGTGCCTTTTCCAGAATGTCATATAGTTGGGATGATATGGTATGAGGCCTTGTTAGATTGGCTTTGCTCATTTAGCAAAATGCAGTTGGGTTCGTCTATGTCTTTGGAGCTCATTTTTTTGATCACTGGATAATATTACATTGTATGGAAGTACTGCAGTTTGTTTATTTATGAATAAGGCTGCTATAACATTCATGTGCAGGGTTCTTGTAGGCATACATTTACAACTCATATGGGTAAATACTGAAAAGCATGATTGCTGGATCATATGGTAAGAGTATGTTTGGTTTTCTAAGAAAAGTCAAATTATCTGCCAAAGTGGCTATATGATTTTGACAGCGGCAGGAGACAGACAAATTCCTAGGCAGATAGGGGTTGGTCTCTGGTAAAACCCAACCTTCAAACCAAAGACAGCCTGAAGCCTGAAAACCAAGCTGCCAGTTCCAGAGAGAATCCCTGACCAGAGTTACAACCTCTATGATGCCTTTCAACCAATCAAATAGTGCTTTTTTCCAGGACTACCCATGGACGAATCAGCACACATTCTCCCATTCTGAGCCCATTAAAACCCTGAACTCAGCCACACTTTGGGCTACCCATTTCAGTCCCCCTCTCACACAGAGGGCTACACACTTTAGGTCCCCTCCCATTGTTGAGAGCTTTTCTGTTAATAAAATTCTTCTCTGCCTTACTTATTCTCCGGCGTCTGCATACCTCATTCTTCTTGAACATGGGAAAAGAACCTGGAACCCGCTGAATGGCAGGGGCAAAAAGGGCTGGACTACGGGAGTGAACAGTGGCGATCCTTCCGGGGGCCTAGACCTCGGGCCTCCCCAGGCCAGAGCTGTAACACATACCTGTTCTCAGGGCTGTGAATGATGGGAATGAGAGAGAGAGGGACTCAGACTTCGGGACTCCTCAAGCAGAAGCTGTGACACCCTGTTGGGGCTCGGCGATTGCTGGCATCTTGAATTTTCAGGTACCACCACATTCCCCTCATCTGGACGCCAGTGCCCAGCCAGGAAGCCACTCGTGGCACACTTGGTCCCTCCACGCACTGAGCATGCAGCTGCAGTTGTTGTGGGATCTAGGCTGAGGAACAAGCCGAGCCTGTGCAGGCGCTTGGAGCTGCCCGCTGCATCACAGCAGCCAAAGTGCCTGACTGTGTGCTGTGGCCAGAGCCCGTGCTCACTCGCTCACACACCCCTCGCCGCTCTGTTCCTGGCTCACCCACAGGGTCTAGTAGCACAAGCCAGGCACAGCCTGCCAGGCCGCGCATGTCCGAGCAAAGCAAGGGTATAGGTGCCACTGGCCTTCTACAGAAGTAGCATAGTTGCCACTTCTGGATGGTGAAGTAGTGCTGAAAAAATCCTGTGTCAATTTTTCATTTTCAACTGCAATTTTTAAAAGCTTTCTTTAACTATAGTCACCCTTTTGGCAAAGAAAAGATAAATGATTGAGGTGATGGATATCCCGATTACCCTGAATTGATCATTACACATTGTATGTCAGTGTGAAAACATCTCACACACCCCATAAATATATACAAATTTTATGTACCCATTATGGTAAAAAATAAAAACACAAAAAATACAAAAATAATCATTTAGACTCTAAAAAATTTGCTGTTGCTACACATTTTTGTTAGCATTTGCTGCTCTTAGTGTTTTGGATTTCAGCCATTCTCATAGTCATGTAGTAGTATCTAATTGTTGTCTTAACTTGCAATTCCCTAATGATGTATAATGTTGACCATTTTATCATATGATTTTTTTATCTGTATATCTTCTTTAGTGAGATATCTGTGCACATATTTTCCCAGTTTATAATTGAGTTGTTTTCCTATTGTTGAGTTTTAAGACCTCTCTATATTTTGGATATCAGTTACTTAACAGATGTGAGTTGCAATTTTTTTCCTAGTCTGTGGCTGTCTTTATATTCTCTTAACAGTGTCTCACTCTGAGGAAAAGACTTTTAAAATTTTAATGATGCAAAATTTATTCTTTTTTTTCTTTTATGGAGTAAGCTTTTGGTGCTGTATCTAAAAGCTCATTGCCATAACTAAGGTAAAGTGTATTTCTTACCATTATCTTACAGAAGGTTTTAAAGTTTTGCACTTTACATTTAGGTCTATGAGAAATTTTGAGTTGCTTTTTGTGAAAAAGGTAAGGTCTGCAAATAACATTTTTTTTAAATTATTCTTTCTTCATTGAATTGTCCTTGACCCATTTTCAAAGATGAGTTCCCTACATTTATGTGGGTCTATGTCTGGGCTCTCTCTTCTCTTTTAATTATCTATTTGCCTATTATTTTGTCAACAACACATTTTCTTGATTACAGTAGCTTTATGGTAGTCTTGGCATCAGCTTGTATCAGTCCTCCAACTATGTTATTATACTTTAATATTATGTTGGCTATTCTAAGTCTTTTGTCTTTCCATACAAAATTTAGAATCAATTTGTTGATATCCACAAAATAACGTACTGGGATTTTTATTGGGATTGCATTCAAGCCATAGATCAGGCTGGTAAAAACTGACAGCTTAACATTTGATTCTCCTGTCCATGAATAGGAATATATTACCATTTATTTAGATCTTTGATTTCTTTCATCAGAGTTGATATCTTTTCTTACATAGATTTTGCACATATTTTGTCATATTTATTTCTAAATATTTTTAGATGCTAATTAAAATAATCTTGTGTTTTTAACTTCAAATTCTAGTTGTTTATTATTGATATAGACAAAAATAATTGATTTTTTATATTGACCTATCTCGCCACCTTCTTATAATTTTTATTTGTTATAAGAGGATTTTTTGTAGATTTTTTGTATTTTTCGGCATGTACAGTTGTGCCATCTGTGAACAAAGACATGTTTATTTTTTCCTTTCTAAGACATATGCATGTTATTTTATTTTATTATGTTAATGTATCAACTAGGACTGCCAGTAAAATGTTGAATAGAAGTCATGAAATGAGACGTCCTGGACTGGTACCTGATTTAGCATAAAACACCTAGTTTTTCACTAATGAATATAATGTTAACTGCAATATTTTGTAGATCTTCTTTATCAATTTTAGAATGCTTTTTCTATTCTTAGTTTGCTGACTTTTTTACAAAATTAGGAATGGGTGATAAATTTTGACAAATGCTTTTCTGTATTTACTAATATGATCATATGACTTTTCTTCTTTATATTGTTTATATAATGAATTATAATAATTGATTTTAAGTTACTGAACCAGATTTCATGCCTGGAATAAATCTCACTTGATCCTGGTGTATAATCCTTTTTATACAATGCTGAATTCAATTTGCTAATATTTTGTTGAATATTTTTACATCTATGTTTATGACAAATATTGGTCTGAAGATGAGTCCTATATTTTCCCTACGTTAAAGACAAGTAACAAGATGGCTGAATAGGAACAGCTCCAGTCTACACCTCCCAGTGTGAGCGACGCAGAAGATGGGTGATTTCTGCATTTCCATCTGAGGTACCAGGTTCATCTCACTAGGGAGTGCCAGACAGTGGGTGCAGGACAGTGGGTGCAGTGCACTGGGCACGAGCCGAAGCAGGGCGAGGCATTGCCTCACTCAGGAAGTGCAAAGGATCAGGGAGTTCCCTTTCCTAGTCAGAGAAAGGGGTGACAGACGGCACCTGGAAAATCGGGTCACTACCACCCTAATACTGAGCTTTTCCAACGGGCTTAAAAAACGGCACACCAGGAGATTATATCCTGCACCTGACTCGGAGGGTCCTATGCCCACGGAGTCTAGCTGATTGCTAGCACAGCAGTCTGAGATCAAACTGCAACGCGGCAGCCAGGCTGGGGGAGGGGCGCCAGCCATTGCCCAGGCTTGATTAGGTAAACAAAGCCGGAAGCTCAAACTGGGTGGAGCCCACCACAGCTCAAGGAGGCCTGCCTGCCTCTGTAGGCTCCACCTCTGGGGGCAGGGCACAGACAAACAAAAAGACAGCAGTAACCTCTGCAGACTTCAATGTCCCTGTCTGACAGCTTTGAAGAGACTAGTGGTTCTCCCAGCACACAGCTGGAGATCTGAGAACGGGCAGACTGCCTCCTCAAGTGGGTCCCTGACCCCCGAGCAGCATAACTGGGAGGCACCCCCCAGTAGGGGCAGAACTGACACCTCACACGGCCCGGGTACTCCTCTGAGACAAAACTAACAGAGGAACGATCAGGCAGCAGCATTTGTGGATCACCAATATCCGCTGTTCTACAGCCTCTGCTGTTCTGCAGCCACCACTGCTGATACCCAGGCAAACAGGATCTGGAATGGACCTCTAGCAAACTCCAACAGACCTGCAGCTGAGGGTCCTGTCTGTTAGAAGGAAAACTAACAAACAGAAAGGACATCCACACCAAAAACTCATCCGTACATCACCATCATCAAAGACCAAAAGTAGATAAAACCACAAAGATGGGGAAAAAACACAGCAGAAAAACTGGAAACTCTAAAAAGCAGAGTGCTTCTCCTCCTCCAAACGAATGCAGCTCCTCACCAGCAATGGAACAAAGCTGGATGGAGAATGACTTTGACAAGTTGAGAGAAGAAGGCTTCAGATGATCAAACTACTCTGAGCTACAGGAGGAAATTCAAACCAATGGCAAAGAAGTTAAAAGCTTTGAAAAAAAATTAGGCGAATGGATACCTAGAATAACCAATGCAGAGAAGTCCTTAAAGGAGCTGATGGAGCTGAAAGCCAAGGCTCGGGAACTACGTGAAGAATGCAGAAGCCTCAGGAGCCGATGCGATCAACTGGAAGAGAGGGTATCCGTGATGCAAGACGAAATGGATGAAATGAAGCGAGAAGAGAACTCTAGAGAAAAAAGAATAAAAAGAAACAGACAAAGCCTCCAAGAAATATGGGACTATGTGAAAAGACCAAATCTATGTCTGATTGGTGTACCTGAAAGTGACGGGGAGAATGGAACCAAGTTGGAAAACACTCTGCAGGATATTATCCAGGAGAACTTCCCCAATCTAGCAAGGCAGGCCAACATTCAGATTCAGGAAATACAGAGAATGCCACAAAGATACTCCTCGACAAGAGCAACTCCAAGACACATAATTGTCAGATTCACCACAGTTGAAATGAAGGAAAAAATGTTAAGGGCAGCCAGAGAGAAAGCTCGGGTTACCCAAAAAGGGAAGCCCATCAGAGGAACAGCGGATCTCTCGGCAGAAACTCTACAAGCCAGAAGAGAGTGGGGGCCAATATTCAACATTCTTAAAGAAAAGATTTTTCAACCCAGAATTGCATATCCAGCCAAACTAAGCTTCATAAGTGAAGGAGAAATAAAATACTTTACAGACAAGCAAATGCTGAGAGATTTTGTCACCACCAGGCCTGCCCTAAAAGAGCTCCTGAAGGAAGCACTAAACATGGAAAGGAACAACCGGTACCAGCCACTGCAAAATCATGCCAAATTGTAAAGACCATCGAGGCTAGAAAGAAACTGCATCAACTAACGAGCAAAATAACCAGCTAACATCATAATGACAGGAACAAATTCACACATAAAAATATTAACTTTAAATGTAAATGGGCTAAATGTTCCAATTAAAAGACACAGACTGGCAAATTGGATAAAGAGTCAAGACCCATCAGTGTGCTGTATTCAGGAAACCCATCTCACATGCAGAGACACACATAGGCTCAAAATAAAGGGATGGAGGAAGATCTACCAAGCAAATGGAAAACAAAAAAAGGAAGGGGTTGCAATCCTAGTCTCTGATAAAACAGACTTTAAACCAACAAAGATCAAAAGAGACAAAGAAGGCCATTACATAATGGTAAAGGGATCAATTCAACAAGAAGAACTAACTGTCCTAAATATATATGCACCCAATACAGGAGCACCCAGATTCATAAAGCAAGTCCTGAGTGACCTACAAAGACACTTAGACTCCCACACAATAATAATGGGAGAATTTAACACCCCACTGTCAACATTAGACAGATCAACGAGACAGAAAGTCCACAAGGATACCCAGGAATTGAACTCAGCTCTGCACCAAGCGGACCTAATAGACATCTACAGGACTCTCCACCCCAAATCAACAGAATATACATTTTTTTCAGCACCACACCACACCCATTCCAAAATTGACCACATACTTGGAAGTAAAGCTCTCCTCAGCAAATGTGAAAGAACAGAAATTATAACAAACTGTCTCTCAGACCACAGTGCAATCAAACTAGAACTCAGGATTAAGAAACTCAGTCAAAACCGCTCAACTACATGGAAACTGAACAACCTGCTCCTGAATGACTACTGGGTACATTACAAAATGAAGGCGGAAATAAAGATGTTCTTTGAAACCAATGAGAACAAAGACACAACATACCAGAATCTCTGGGACACATTCAAAGCAGTGTGTAGAGGGAAATTTATAGCACTAAATGCCCACCAGAGAAAGCAGGAAAGATCCAAAATTGACACCCTAACATCACAATTCAAAGAACTAGAAAAGCAAGAGCAAACACATTCAAAAGCTAGCAGAAGGCAAGAAATAACTAAAATCAGAGCAGAACTGAAGGAAATAGAGACACAAAAAACCCTTCAAAAAATTAATGAATCCAGGAGCTGGTTTTTTGAAAGGATCAACAAAATAGATAGACTGCTAGCAAGACTAATAAAGAAAAAAAGAGAGAAGAATCAAATAGACGCAATAAAAAATGATAAAGGGGATATCACCACCGATCCCACAGAAATACAAACTACCATCAGAGAATACTACAAACACCTCTATGCAAATAAACTAGAAATTCTAGAAGAAATGGATAAATTCCTTGATACATACACCCACCCAAGACTAAATCAGGAAGAAGTTGAATCTCTGAATAGACCAATAACAGGATCTGAAATTGTGGCAATAATCAATAGCTTACCAACCAAAAAAAGTCCAGGACCAGATGGATTCACAGCCGAATTCTACCAGAGGTACAAGGAGGAGCTGGTACCATTCCCTCTGAAATTATTCCAATCAATAGAAAAAGAGGGAATCCTCCCTAACTCATTTTATGAGGCCAGCATCATTCTGATACCAAAGCCTGGCAGGGACACAACAAAAAAGAGAATTTTAGACCAATATCCCTGATGAACATCAGTGCAAAAATCCTCAATAAAATACTGGCAAACCGAATCCAGCAGCACATCAAAAAGCTTATCCACCATGATCAAGTGGGCTTCATCCCTGGGATGCAAGGCTGGTTCAACATACACAAATCAATAAACATAATCCAGCATATAAACAGAACCAAACACAAAAACCACATGATTATCTCAATAGATGCAGAAAAGGCCTTTGACAAAATTCAACAACTCTTCATGCTAAAAACTCTCAATAAATTAGGTATTGATGGGACATATGTCAAAATAGTAAGAGCTATCTATGACAAACCCACAGCCAATATCATACTGAATGGGCAAAAAATGGAAGCATTCCCTTTGAAAACTGGCACAAGACAGGGATGCCCTCTCTCACCACTCCTATTCAACACAGTGTTGGAAGTTCTGGCCAGGGCAATTAGGCAGGAGAAGGAAATAAAGGGTATTCAATTAGGAAAAGAGGAAGTCAAATTGTCCCTGTTTGCAGATGACATGATTGTATATCTAGAAAACCCCATCATCTCAGCCCAAAATCTCCTTAAGCTGATAAGCAACTTCAGCAAAGTCTCAGGATACAAAATCAATGTGCAAAAATCACAAGCATTCTTATATACCAATAACAGACAAACAGAGAGCCAAATCATGAGTGAACTCCCATTCACAATTGCTTCAAAGAGAATAAAATACCTAGGAATCCAACTTACAAGGGATGTGAAGGACCTCTTCAAGGAGAACTACAAACCACTGCTCAAGGAAATAAAAGAAGATACAAACAAATGGAAGAACATTCCATGCTCATGGGTAGGAAGAATCAATATCGTGAAAATGGCCATACTGCCCAAGGTAATTTATAGATTCAATGCCATCCCCATCAAGCTACCAATGACTTTCTTCACAGAACTGGAAAAAACTATTTTAAAGTTCATATGGAACCAAAAAAGAGCCTGCATCGCCAAGTCAATCCTAAACCAAAAGAACAAAGCTGGTGGCATCACACTACCTGACTTCAAACTATACTACAAGGCTACAGTAACCAAAACAGCATGGCACTGGTACCAAAACAGAGATATAGATCAATGGAACAGAACAGAGCCCTCAGAAATAATTCCGCATATCTACCACCATCTGATCTTTGACAAACCCGAGAAAAACAAGCAATGGGGAAAGGATTCCCTATTTAATAAATGGTGCTGGGAAAACTGGCTAGCCATATGTAGAAAGCTGAAACTGGATCCCTTCCTTACACCTTATACAAAAATTAATTCAAGATGGATTAAAGACTTAAATGTTAGACCTAAAACCATAAAAACCCTAGAAGAAAACCTAGGCAATACCATTCAGGACATAGGCATGGGCTAGGACTTCATGTCTGAAACACCAAAAGCAATGGCAACAAAAGCCAAAATTGACAAATGGGATCTAATTAAACTGAAGAGTTTCTGTACAGCAAAAGATACGGTATACCATCAGAGTGAACAGGCAACCTACCAAATGGGAGAAAATTTTCGCAACCTACTCATCTGACAAAGGGCTAATATCCAGAATCTACAAAGAACTCAAACAAATTTACAAGAAAAAAACAAACAACCCCATCAAAAAGTGGGTGAAGGATATGAACAGACACTTCTCAAAAGAAGACATTTATGCAGCCAAAAAACACATGAAAAAATGCTCATCATCACTGACCATCAGAGAAATGCAAATCAAAACCACAGTGAGATACCATCTCACACCAGTTAGAATGGCGATCATTAAAAAGTCAGGAAACAACAGGCGCTAGAGAGGATGTGGAGAAATAGGAACACTTTTACTCTGTTGGTGGGACTGTAAACTAGTTCAACCATTGTGGAAGTCAGTGTGGCGATTCCTCAGGGATCTAGAACTAGAAATACCATTTGACCCAGCCATCCCATTACTGGATATATACCCAAAGGATTATAAATCATGCTGCTATAAAGACACATGCACACGTATGTTTATTGTGGCACTATTCACAATAGCAAAGACTTGGAACCAACCCAAATGTCCAACAACGATAGACTGGATTAAAAAAATGTGGCACATATACACCATGGAATACTATACAGCCATAAAAAATGATGAGTTCATGTCCTTTGTAGGGACATGGATGAAACTGGAAACCATCATTCTCAGCAAACTATCGCAAGGACAAAAAACCAAACACCACATGTTCTCACTCATAGGTGGGAATTGAACAATGAGAACACATGGACACAGGAAGGGGAACATCACACTCTGGGGACTGTTGTGGGGTGGGGGGAGGGGGGAGGGATAGCATTAGGAGATATACCTAATGCTAAATGACAAGTTAATGGGTGCAGCACACCAACATGGCACATGTATACATATGTAACAAACCTGCACGTTGTGCACATGCACCCTAAAACTTAAAGTATAATAATAATAAAATTTTAAAAAAAGAAAAAAAAATAAAGACAAGTAAATTTGAAATATTTATATTTTCAAGTTTTCATTCACACAAAAGAGAACTTGCACATATTTTGAGAATTAACTCATCCACAGTAATTTTTGAGTTAGTAGGTGGAGAGGTTTTTAAATAATCACCAGAAGGAAATGGACTCATTAAAATGTTCTTAAATCAGAAAATGACATGATTATAATGTTTTCCTAGAAAAACAAATATGGAGGTAATGTTTCTTGTGGTAAATAGGGAAAATGAATGAATGACAGTTCATTAGAAAAAAAAGGGGGGAAATGAGGCGTGAAGTTACTGAAAAAGCAAGATAATGTAAAACAGGCTCAATCATAATGTCTGATTTAATATCAGAAGGAGGCAGAAGGCAATGCAATGGATTAACAAAGATATTTTAGCCTTGATAACTGGAAGAACAAGCATAACTGATGAAAGGAACACAGTAGAGGAAGTGGTGAAAGAATAACAGATTCAATTTTAAGATTTTTACACTTAAGTCAAGGTCAGGGAATCTGAATGCAGAGTTATGGTAGAAACTAGAGATATATAACCAGATCTCCAAAGAAGACGGG
The DNA here is from genome assembly GCF_000001405.40 of Homo sapiens. Classification (NCBI taxonomy): domain Eukaryota; kingdom Metazoa; phylum Chordata; class Mammalia; order Primates; family Hominidae; genus Homo; species Homo sapiens. Next base: position 160,150,570 of record NC_000004.12, on the reverse strand, counting down.
TTGATATTTGTCTTCCACTGCATTGCACCCCTTTCACACCCACTTCCAGTGTCCCCTTCAATATGTCTGAAATTCTGGGGAGGAGTATGAGCTGGAGACATAGATTTAAGAGTCATGTCTCCAGTTGATACATTTCCTCCAAATTTCAGACACCAAGTAAATGCTGATTATATTAACATGATATTTCAAAGTTAACTCGAGGTCCTGGTGTTCAAAACAGAAGTCATCTGTCCCCCAAATTTATTATGCCAAGAATTCTCAATCTCTATTTATGGGACCACCCCTTTTTCAGTCTGTCAAGTGAGACACTAAGAAAGCATGACTTCTCACTCCCTACCTCCCACACATAACTTGCTGAATTTACATCCTAACTCATTCTTCTTTCAACCTGCCACTTAAGGACTCCTACCACTCCCTTCTTTCAGATTTCTGTCATCTTTGCCCTTGTCTGCAAAAGAAAGCTAACTGACAGCAATATATGTATCCCACACTTGAACCCTGAGCTGAGTTCAAAGTAGCCCTTTTCATACGTACACATACCCCTCGGCCATTTGAAATCTTATTATGGCTCATTTTCTCAAGATAGAAATACTTTTAGATTGCCCAACCAAGAAATTTCTTTTAATATATAACCATCTCACCATAAATCTATAGGGCATTTATTTGTCTCTTTTATGCATCTTTCTGTTAGTGTTTACCTCAAAATGGGATATATGGCAAAGTTCTGTAACACAAATAAAAGCGACTTTAATTTAGCAATTTTCCCTATTCATTTTCCACTGTTTTAAAAATAATGTTTCCTTCTTTAGAGATAGTCATGAGAGAGCAAAGCAGAGGGCATCGGATTTAAGCACACACATGTGTATACATATTTTAACAGATTACCAATTATTTTAAATTATTCTTACTACTCATTATTAGGACAAATATGAGGAGCAATACACCTTCAAACAGCTAAAACCATACAGAATATTGATACTGTTTCTTCTAAATAGAAAAACGCATTACTGGAAAAAAATACTTTTTAAGGTAGATTGAATAAAACTCAAGGATAAAACATTTGTGTAACTTTTTTTTTCAAATTAATGTTATTCAAGAACATAGCTGACATTTATTTTAACAAATAATATCATAAAATAGTCTAATCAGTTCCTCCTAATCTTATTTTGTAATTTAAACTATTTAATATTTTATACTTTCTATAAACAAAAAGTAAAACTGCAGGCTAGTCAGTGGATTAATTTGTGCTTATGAATTTTAAATTTCCCCTTTATCAAATACATGAGAAATATTGATCAGGATTTGTCTCATTAAAATATTCAGTTCGAATATAATTTTACTTTTTGCCTTGGTTATTTATTAAACTTTACAAAACACTTAATGTATTTGATTAATTGTGTATTCATTATAATTATGTTATCTAAATCCCAAAATATATGTAATGCTTCATGACTTTCTTGCAAGGACAAAATGAAAATGCAAAATTCTGAATGTTAATAAAAAGCTGTCACATATTTTTTTTCAACCTGAATTGTGGTAGATATCAAATCAATGTGGAATTTAGATTCTATTGCCTGCATTTTTAAAAATGGTGTCACAGTTTTACTTTTCAATGTCAACATTTACAACATGCCAAAAATTACATGCATGAGAACTATGTAAAATCGCAATGAAAAACTTCAGTTGAAACTTACAAATACGTAAAAGGGAGCATGGATTTTCAAAAGTTTATTAAATGCAATATGAATAAACACAATTCAAAACCTTAAATGAGCTCTGAGTATAGACATTTCTTTGCATTTAGTATTTTACCTGTGTAATTTCATAAGAACTGCTAACTTCCGGGGAAAGCTGTTTTACAACTCCCCTCAGGAAATTATTCCCAAGGTATTTAAACCTGTCAGCAAATTATCTTCTCCAGTGACTCATGTTAAGATTTAAATCAAATTATTCTTCTATTTTCATTAGCAATAAATACTATTAATTTTTTTCTATAAAATATCCCAGAATACACATACAGAATTCATTCCTTGTGCTTACTTTTTCAACCCCTTAATTCATTGGTCTGGTTAAATCAAACTCTTCAAGCATCACTAAGAAATCTAGGTAGCAAAATTGAAATCCCATTACTTTCTACTTGAAAGCAGTCTATAAGATTTTGAGCTTTTGTAATGCCAGATAAAGCTTAAATGAGGTTTTAAGACCAGATTACTGTTGTAGGTGAAATCCTGACTGCCTTTGAAGTAGAGCTTACTATTCTCTCCACCTACATGAATGTGCATTTAGTTCACAGAGGAAAACACTGATTTATTAATTAAAATGGTTTATAAACTCCTTGTTAACAGTCAATTTACAAAAGAAAGAAAGCATTTTCTGGGAATACAGAATAATAAGCTATTTGAACACAAAGCACTGGTGACCTTCTAAAACACTAGCAAAGTGAAGTTGGTATCTTCATTTGCATAGATCAAACTATCACTGAAAAAAAAGAGCTTATATATTAGAAACATGAGACAAGTTAAACAACTTTTAAAAATAATCTCTTAGTGAACCCCAGGTTAAAATACTGATACTAAGCAACATTTTAAAACAATATGTTTCAGGATCCAAACAGATTCAAAGTACATAAGGAGATTTAAAGATTCTGGGATAGTTCCACAGCATTATAGCACCCTCCCACCACACATACCCTTTTCATAAAGACTTTATCTTCCAAAATACTTGCTTAGGAAGGAAGAATTCTCAAATATATGGGAAAATAAGTTCCATTTGACCTGGATTTCTAAATAAGATCAACAACTATGTCAAAAGCATTTTGATTAACTTTTGTAATTATCTGATAATCATAAAGTCCCTGATACAAAAGAGAATAATACTCCAGAAGATCAAATGTACTATCAGAAATATTGAATTGTTGGTAAACAGCAGTTAGCCTCATTTGCTGTTTTAAACTTATTTATACTTATTTAAATTGAGCTCAATTCTCATATATCATCTAGTGTCTAGCTACTATTGTTCTGCAACAGATAACCCCAAAACAGTGGCTTAAAACAATAGTAGTTATTTTCTTATTGTTTCTTATGGTTCCAATGCTTGACTCGGCTCAGCTAGGTGGTTCTTGACTCAGGAATTTTCATGCAGCTACAGTAGATGATGTCTGGTGCTCATGTAACTACAGAGGCTTCCTCCCTAGTGGTTGATGCTGTCAGCTGGCACGTCTTCCACAATCATCAAATAGGACCTCTACTTGCAGCTACTTCAAGTGGCTGCCTGGCTTCTTTATAGCAAGGTCAATGTGCTTCGAGAGAGCCAGAAAGAAATTATATAATATCTTTCCTTCCATAGTCACAAACCCACCAAGATTCAAGAGGAAAGAACAAAAATCCCCACCTCTTCAAGGGAGGAACATCAAATACATGTATTTGAGGGACATGTAATAAATCAACAAATTATTCACATTCCTCCTATATTAAAAAAATCAGGAATCCAGATGAGGTAACATTTACTTGTCATCTTACATAATGCAAAATCAATTCATATGCCTAATAATCTTTACTTCCAAACAAGGATTTTGACCTCCTGAGAAAGCTGCAGCTTTTAGCCAATTAAATAGTGACAGACGGAATTAAGACCTAGGACTCATCTAAAGTCTCATCCTATCATTGTCACCAGACACAGTTTGAGGTCCACGATCTTGTCATTTAAATCAAATCCAAGATGAAATGAGGCTGATGGTTTGGGTTTGCTGAGAACAACTCCCCTGACAATATTCCTCTCAACTTAACAGCCTATGAACTAAAAAAGACAAGTTATCTGCCCTATGCAAACTTCATATACAATAGTGTCATTATAGTAATAGACACTGCTATTCAAAAAGTGGGAACCAGAATGAGTGCAGCAGTTACTGGCGTGCAGCAATTCAGAGACCTAGCTGGGCACATATTGGTAGATTTTTTTTTTTTTTTGTATTTTTAGTAGAGATGGGGTTTCACTGTGTTAGCCAGAATGGTCTCGATCTCCTGACCTCGTGATCCACCCGCCTCGGCCTCCCAAAGTGCTGGGATTACAGGCGTGAGCCACCCCGCCCGGCCTCTGCTAGATTTTTTTTATAGGGCCCTAGTACTGTTCCCTGGGAATGATCCTTCATGGCTCTTGGCTTCATTTCTGAGCTGTTGATCCAACACTTTGAAACAACTATCTTTTCTTCATAAGGAAACCAAGCTTGCAGCTGGGTACTCTTCGCAGCTTACTCAGTGTCCAGAAATGTTGGAAGTGCAAAAATTTATTTTAAACCTGTACACTCTATTTTCTTTTAAGTCCATGTTGGCAGTGTTTCCAAAAGAAACAATATCTTAAAAACTTTGTGTGTTTTCTATCAATCTTACTGGAGTTCACTTCTTTATGCAAAATAAAAAACTATCAATTGATACCACACATGCCCTTCTTCACTGGGGCTCCAGTAAAACGTGCAGGACAACGTCCTCGAGATTCTTAGAGGTTCTGATGTTAATGAAGAGGATTTGCAAGACATGCCCTTAAGAGCCTTAGAAGGCCTTTTATCTTTCTAAAAGTTTCTATGAGGTGCCACCTTATATTTCTCTGAGGTCCTCACAAAGCACCTAACAGTCCTGCTCTGGATGTGGCATGGAACGCGTTTTATTATGATTTTTTTAACTTGAAACATATGTACCATCCAAAAAGCAACGAGAAACACTTTAATGTTTTTAATTGAGCAAACTGTATCTCTTATACAAATCTTTTCAATATTTTTTGAAAACTGCAGAGTTCCTTTTTTTAACTTTCCTCTCTCTTCTCACATTTGAGTATAGTCAGCTAGAAAGTCAAGTGGTACCTTTAATAGTCTGCCTGAAAATCAGCGTAGTTGTGCTCTCAAGTCCTTTAGTTACATTTCCTATTTTCATGTTACCACACATGTCAGCGTCACCAAATTCTTTGCCAAATGAGGGTCCTCTTCTAGTTTTACAGAATATTTTGTTATCTTCCTTCAAGCCCCCATATACTCCTGATGCCCTTTAGACTTCTGCTTACCCTCTCCTCACAACCCTAAACTTTCCCCGAAACACTCCTGGATACCTTTCATTCTTGTCTTGTTCCAAAGCCAATGACACGAGTTGTGCATTTTTGTTACAGCACTTTCAAATACAAAAATTGGTTTAGTTACTATTGCTTAGTAACAGATCACCCAAAAAAAGTAGTAACATACATTTTATTATAACCTTTCATATTCCTAAGGGTCGAGTGGGTTCAACTAGGTGATTCTCACCCAGGATCTCACAAGTTTTATAGTCAGGTGGACGCTGGGCTGGCTTCGCCACAAAGTTCTCTCCCTTCACTTATCTTGAAGTGATGCTGACTATCATCTGGAACCCCATCTAGTGCTATTGGCTGGAGCATCTCTATATGGCCTATTCATATGGCTGCTAGGCTATCAGAGGTTGAAGGCTGTGTTTTAGTGTGAACTTTCAAAAACCATCGGGTAGAAGCTCTATCTGATTTAGCCTCTGAAGGCATTCAGCATTTCTTCCTAAACAGTCAAAAGTCCATCCAGATTCAAGGGAAGGAAACATAGATTTCACCTTTTGATGGGAGGAGTGTCAAAGGATTTGAGGACATTTATGACTTAACACTACAGTCGGCATATGGTAAACTACTTTCAAACTCTAACATATGCTCTCAGTCCATTTTCATATGATAAAGAGATGCTTTGCTTACTAGAAAAAGAAACTCCAGAAAATTTGATTTTGAAATAATTTTTTAATATACAATTGTTAGTGGTTATTCTTGATGAAAGTGAAGGTACTGAGTTATTAAAAAGCCTGTCCAATATGGTGAAACGCCGTCTCTACTAAAAATACAAAAATTAGCCAGGCATGGTGGTGCACGCCTGTAATCCCAGCTACTCAGGAGGCTGAGGCAGGAGAATCACTTTAATCCAGAGGCAGAGGGGTTGCAGTGAGCCAAGATCACACCACTACACTCCAGCCTGGGCAACAGAGCAAGACTCTATCTCAAAAAAAAAAACAAAAAAAAAAACAAAAAAAAAAAACAAATGTGTGTAAGAGGAACTTCTAGACTGCTATATCTGGGTATAGGTTAAACAGGTGCATTCACGCTGCGAAAATGTATGAAGCTTTACCTTTGGAATTTGTGCATATGTATACATAGATAAAATATTTCAATCAAAGCTTGCACTTAAAGATTATATAAATATATCTTACTTTCCTATGAACATTCACTACAATATTAAACATTAATTCCTCGGTTAAAAAAATCCCAAAGAAGAAGAATCATAATTGTGTCTAGTTAGAGTTTAAACTAATGAATAGTTTAATAACTGGCCTGGTCCTAAAATTATTTATATTTCTGTGTATTCTGAAAGTTGTAGCACATAATCAGTTAACTATTTTAAATGTAATATTTAATAATTTTAGAAAATATCTCTGATGATAAAAAATGTGCAAGCACACAAAAGTTATATACTAGAATTATCCAAACATACTTATATCTGATTGAGGCAATTTAATATTGCATCACAAAATCAAAACCTATTGTTTCATATTATAGTTGTTAAAGAAAAGCTTTTTATAAAGTGAAAGAAATTTATACTGGTTTTGGATTTTTGCCACCAGGATATTACCCTGTCTGAAATAAAAAAATTGTAAAATGAGCCAGCTGTTACTAAAGGACTATAGCTCAAATGTGTTTGAATAGCCTTCTGCTTTTCCATTCGCTCATGTTATATATCTTATAGTGATTTTCACAATAACATCCCACATAAACCCACGAGTTAGTCATAAGGCGCACCCATAATAAATCTGGAAGGCAGATGGCAAACATTGCTCTTCTGACTTTGATCACTTTAGTTCTTCTTTTGTCTCTGCTTGGAGCTCTTTTATCTATACTTCTTCAAATGTTAAGAAAAAAAGTATTAGGTTTTTTTCTAGCACTTTTAATTTTAGCTTCTTACATCCAGCCTCAGGATTTATAAACACTTTAACAATAAAATGTCTCAGATTATAGACTAAGACTTGGATCATAGATGCCTTATAAGTAACAGATTATCAGCTATTGTTCATATAATGAGAGCTGGATAAAATCAAGATAAGTATATATCTTTAAAAATCATGTTGCTAGATGTCTACATACCAATTTGATATTTTTAAATTTTAAGGAAAGTAAGAAATTGTTGTGCCATATATAGTACTAAGGTCTATCTGGTGACATAGCAGGACAATAATAGGTAACTTTAGCTAGGATATAGTATACAAGACTAAAGAAATCAGATAGGTAAGTTTAAGTGTAGTCAGAATATAGTATATAAGGCTAAAGGAATCAGGTAGATATCTTAAATAAAAGGAAAGTTAATGAAACTGAGAAATTTCAGAATTATCTAGGTAATTTTAAAAGACATCCCATACAGGTAAAAAGTTACAGAGAATTTTAAGGTCTCAAGTGTCAAGATAGAAAAAATCCACATCTTAAAAAAAAGGGGAGTAGATATTGGCACCCATGAGCAAAAATAATAAAATGTACTGACCCATTTTAATATTTCCTGCTGGGCTCATAAATAGAAACAGAATACTAGATGATAGTAGTTCTTTCACATCTTAGAAATTTTCACCTTAGTCCAGAAAAATGATCCAGCTCTAATTTTTTAAAACTATGTAATTCTTTAGTTTATTCATCAGCTGTCATTGCAGTAACATGACATGAGAAAGCATCCCAGCACCCAGTGGTTTAAAACGGTGCAACACTATTCTCATGGGTATATTGGGGTGGTTACATGTCGACCTGTGGTGACCACACACCACACATTGCAGATCTAAGAGCTTTCATCTGATCTACATGTTTCTCTTCCTCCTTAGACCAGTAGTCTAGCTAAAGCATGTTCTTCTCCAAGTAATTGCAGAGGCATAAAGGAAGTCCCAATCATAATGAAACATTTAAAGTCTCAACTCATGTCCCCTCCACTAGCAGACAGATTATTAACCAAAGCATGTCATATGGCAGAATTCTAATTCAAAGTGTAGTGAAATAATCCACTGTTTGTGAGAAAAACTGAAAATTCATAGAGCAAAGGAAGTGGATATAGGGAAGAGTAGAGAATGGGGGCCTTAATTCAATGTACAACCATGGTTCCATCTTAGAAATGAGCACTTTTTCAGGGGAGAGTATTCTAAGTCTAGTTTTAAGTTCCTTTTAGGTTTCATCAACCCAAGATGGATCCAAGATTAAAATGGGAACTTCTAAGACATTAAAAGGAAGATGATTAATTCACATTAATACCCGTATCTAGATCCTGTTTTATGAAGGAAAGATATTCACAAAGTTTTGTAAAATATTATTTTTACAAATGCACCTCAATTTAGAGAACATCTATCAATGTTACAAGTACATACAAAGTGTTCAAATGTCTATTCATTCATCTATAAGCTCACAACGTGCACATAATATGGCGGTAATATACACAAATAAATATATTTGCTAATTAAAATTATATATTCTCGAGTCACCTACTCTTTTTTAAGTACAAATACCACTGCTTTTTAATTACAGTCTGTTTTTCTAGTGAAAAAATACCACAAATATGCTTAACAAGTATACCACAAATAGTTGCCAGTTATATTGAGCTATAAATCTTATTAAATTATTAAAAACATTTTTAAATGCAAATCTTTGTTATTTTGTTTTTCTAACTGTGTAGTAGATAGTCATCCTCTGCCAGTGCCATCATACCAAGGAAAGCAACACTTTAACAGTCTATGTTCCTGCCGCCAAGTCAAAATACAGCCAATATTTTTTTGGCCAAGTACACAACATGCCAATTGTTTCTACTGTTACCAAACTACTCCTTAATTATTAACTTTTTAAAAAAATGATGCTCAGTCTGCTAGGCATGTAAGAAATTTTAAATTAAGAATCTATACATCAGTAGGTTTAAATTATTTTAAACAGACAGATACAATTCTCCAAGAACCAATGATTGATTGTTTAATCACTCTGCTAGTCCACAGGCAGCATTTGATTATGCTGCAATACCTTCTTACAGTGCTGCTGATCTGTGACTATCATTACTCATAGCATTTCTCCAGAATAAAGCAGATCCACTTCCTTCATTGACAGTATTCCTCAGATAGAAAAATCTTGTCAAATGCACCTTGCTAAAATTAAAAAGAGAATAAAAAACTCTGCACAGAGCAGGTGGTGTCTACTCAAGGAAAGAATTCTATTTTTATGCTTCTAATATGCATTTCTCCTCTCCTAAATGTGCAATGTAGTTGCAGTGGAAGATGAAGTAAATTCTAAAAGGAAATAAAACCAGAGGTACCAGTCCCACATAGCATGCATTCAATTTATAATAATTGTTCCCCAGTTTTCAAGCTTGTCTATTTGCATCTGACTTTAAGTCAGTGGTTTTCTAGTTTACAAAACCGTGGGTTTGTTTTTTGTTTCTTTTTTAACTCTAGTATTCACAAAGATGTTAAGGCTCCCCCTTAGCATCTTTAAGTACTTGAATAAGTCAGAAAAGTATAGGCTTTTCCTTGGGTAGCAAACAACCCCATATCTCAGTGGCTTAATGTAAGCAAAGTTTATTTCTCACTCAAAAAAGCCCAAGAAGGCTGTCCTCAAGCAGGAGGAATAAAGTTCACTTCAATCTTGTGGCTCTGCCAGCTCAAAAAGACTTTATCAAGATATCTGCTTCAAAGAAGAAAAATTGAAAAATTACATAGGGAGTTTCTATTGCTTCAGGCCAGAAGTGACAAATGTCCTTTATGCTCAAAATCTTTCATCAAAAATAGTCAAATGATCTGCCTAACAAGCTAGGAAGTGTGGTTTTCCATGTGCCCAAGCAGAAGCAATAAAAAGCAAAATTCAATAAACTTTTTTTTTTTTTGGTCACAGTACTCAAAACACTCCTCTTGATATAAACTTTAGTGTAGCAAAATAAAAACAAGAACAGGATGCCCAGGTTTACTGAGTAATTTGACTCTATTTCAATTTCCTTGGATGCTAAATTAATATGCCCCATATTAAATTAAGTGATCTTTGGCTTTTCTGTAATTTTATAATATCCTACTCCTGGAAAAGAAGTGCTCTTATTTTATCTTGTATGATTATCATTAGCCTTTAGAGATTGACTAGTGCCATATATCTCAAAAGCAGGGTTAGCAGGATTTGAGGAAGGAGCACATTGTCTTAGTTTAGCAATACAATGGCAATGGTAAGATTATTCAATTCTGTATTTTCCCATATGAATTGCATAAGAGAACAAGCGTAGACTCATGACCAGAGCAGTAGAAAAAAATCATCTTTCAACATCTATACTTTTATAAGAGTGACAGAGTAGTAAGCTGATAAATTTTGACTTAAATTACCAACACCTGAGCATATTTAGAAGATCTTCTTATTTTAATCCCAACTTCCTTCTTGTCTGTATGGAAGCCTGATAGATGCATAGTAGAGTCATGATGAGACAGTAGAAAGAATATGGAGTTTGGTATAAGACAAGCCGTTTCTTGAAACATAATATTTCATTCGCCACTTTAGTAAGCTAGTGTTTTCCATACGATGTCAACATTGATGTGGTTAAAATTCTAAACTCACTGAATTTATAAACAAGCAGTATGTATATTTAACATTGCAATATAGGAATTATACTAGCAATTCTCTGCCCAATAAATTAAATCATAACGTAGCTCACATTCCAATCAGAAATTTTTTTAATTTAAAAAAATGCTAAAATGTCTTTCTTTGGCACTGGCCAACAGCATGCAGAAACAGGTACACAAAACTAATGTTATACAGTTATGCTGCAATAGCAAGAAATCAAAATTTGATTGGTTAAAATATAAATTAAGCAAGCAGTATCTAGTAGACCACATTGAAGGGAGAATTCTATAATCAATTAACAGAGACAATTCAAAAGAGACTGTAAATAAATGCATATGTTAAGTGAGAGGAAGAGGCTGGTAAAAGGGAGAAAAAAATCAAACTAATCAAAGAAGTATGTAGAATAGTCTTTACTAATTACTAAGAAAAGAAGCTGAATGTTGATGCAGAGCCCGTTGTATACTTTGCCAGTTATAGTTACTGAGGTCAACTAAGTAAAATGTATATAATTACATATGGCATAGATCCAGTCTTTCTCAACAAATATACAAATGTTTGTACTTATTCATATTTATAAGATCCAAATTTAAAGAACTCAATCAAGTATTGTTATAATCAGATATCTCACCTTAATATTAAGTAAATAATTTTAGGCAATAAACATAGGAAAATGATATGCATAGCAATCTTTACAAACTACCATCTTAATAAGGCTATTGTCTCTTAGGTTTATTATATGTTACCATTTCCTGAATTTTCTGCACTCCTTTAATATGTAAATACTTTCAGATATCCTTTTTGAGTTCTTTTCATATGACTTAGAGTGTAGAGTGGTACTCAGGTTTAGTCCTTAGATCTCTTCTCTTTTCCTATTTTTTCATTCCCAAACTATACGCTTTTTTGTTTCATAGCTTTAAAAGCAATCTATATGGTAGCTCACAAATTTGTATTTCCTTCTTATTTTCTTCTCTTAACTCTGTATTCAAGTATCTAATAGTTTATCAGATAATTTCTTCAATAACTAAAAGCATCTCAAATTCAACATCTTTAAAATTGCAATTCTTATTTCCACACTATCATCAAACATTTTTCCCCAGCCTTCTACTCTTCGACAAATGGAAACAATCTTTCTGGTTCGTAATGCAAAACAAACCTTGGAGCCATATTCCAATTGGTATGTTTGTTTCTCTTTTTTTTTTCTGACAGTCTACATCCAATTCAAATTTCAACTTTAAAAATAGATTCAGAATCTTACAACTGCTAATGCTACTACTGTAGTCTAAGCCAGTCATGTCTATACATACATACATACATACATGATTGCAGTTTCCCCACCTTATACATCCAAAACCATGCCTGGTAAATTGTAAGTACGCTGTTCCTACCCAATTATTCATTTTTTTTTTATATTTCCATTTTTTTTATTGATTTCATCTTTGGGCCCTCAGTTCTTTGCAAACACTCACATTCATATTTATAGACCACTGCCTCTTTTAATAAGAACCAAGAGAGTACAGTAGTTATACACATCACTGGTTTCACAATAACACACCAATACTAAAAGAAACATGTTGACAATGCTAAAATTACATGTTGAGCATCTGCCTCACTATGGATTATGCTGTATTTGCTTTCTGACAAAAGGTAATGTTAGAAAATATCTAACATTGTTTTTCACAGATTATGAACAAACCTGCTGCTAAATCATAGACAAATTGTGCTCATCAGGAATTAAAAGTGCCATCTGAAAAATTAAAAAATTTTCGAACTACATGAAAATCAATGAAACCAACCATAAAAATTATTACTTGTCGCTTTACCTGGAAACTTGATAAATCAACATTTCCAATGCGCTCAAATACATCTTGTAAATTTTCCCTGTCAGGAAAAAAAATTATCTCCTCAAAATTATCAAGAATTTTGGAGTTTACTTCATGGAAAAATTATTTTAAATCAGTAAGTTTTATATTTAATATAAAAATTTATGTTTCAGATTGAGTAATGTGAACATTACAAAACCCAAAAATATTAGTATTAGATTTAAGAAAGTAATCCTTAATTAGTTTAAGTGGGTGGATTATCCTATAGTAACAAAGATAAAGAAGTAAATTTTCATTTGTAAAGGGAACACAGGAAACAACAATTCTGTATATGAAAGCACAGAGCCCAAAACAATTGACAAGAAATATAACAATGATAATTCACCATTTATTGAACAGCTAGTCCGTACCAGGCCTTAATGGTTGCCAAATTATTACCATTATGTCATCTAGTTTTCACCACAGAATTGGAACACACATATATTTAACTTCACAGCCAGTATTCTTAAAAAATCTGCTATATTCACTATAAAAATAATAATACTAACTAAACTTGTGTACACTTATTTCATAATAAGCTTTCCTTTTTTTAATTGGCACATTGTAATTGTACATATTTATGGAATACAATTTGGTGTTTCAATACATATATGTATTGTATTGTATAATAATCAAATCAGGATATTGGACATGATCATCACCTCATGCATTTATCATTTCTTTGTGAAGAGAACATTCAAAAGCCTCTCTTCAAGCTGTTTTGCAATACAGTTGACCCTTGAACAACACGGGTTTGAGTTGTGCAGGGCCACTTATACACAGATTTTCTCCCACCTTGGCCACCCCTGAGACAGCAAGACCAAGTCCTTCTCTTCCTCCACCTTCTCAGCCTACTCAACATGGACAACAAGAATGAAGACCTTTATAATGATTCACTTCCACTTAATGATTAGTAAATGTATTTTCTCTTTCTTATGATTTTCTTAAATAACTTTTTTCTCTAGCTTACGTTATTGTAAGAATACAGTAAGAATACAGAAAACATGCAAACGTTATTGTAAGAATACATAAAACATGCAAAATATGGTTTAATTGACTTATGTTATCAGTAAGGCTCCCAGACAACAATAAGCTATTAGTAGTTATGTTTTTGGGGAGTCAAAAGTTATACATAGATTTCAAACTGCACAAGGACTCAGTGCCACTAACCCCCACATTGTTCAAGAATCAACTGTATACCATATCTTACTGTTAGCCATCATGGTGCTTTTGCACAATAGAACACCAGAACTTATTCCTCCTATCCAATTGTAATCTTGCACCCATTTACCAGCCTCTTCTCATCTTCCCCTCCCCAGTCTCTGGTAAATGCTGTCCTTCTCTGCTTCTATGATACCAAATTTGTATTTAAATTTTCAATTCCATATATGAGTGAGATTATGCAGTATTTGTTGTTCCATTTCTGGCTTATTTCACTTAACATGTTTTCTTCCAGTTCCATCCACATTGTTGCATATAACAGTATTTCATTCTTTTTTATAACTGAATAGTGTTCAATTGTGTATATATACCACATTTTCTTCAGACATTCATCCATTTTTGGACACTTAGATTGATTCTGTATCTCAGCTATTGTAAATAGTGCTGCAACAAACATAGGAGTGCAGATATCATTTTGACATCTTGATTTCATTTCTTTTGTATAAGTACTTAGTGATGGGACTGCTGGATCATATCACAGTTTTATTTTTAAGTTTTGTGACTAACCTTCATACTGTTTTTCATGGTGGTTGTATTAATTTACAATCCTACCAACAGTGTGTAAATATTTCCTTTTCTCCACATCTGTGCCGCCACTTGTTTTCCTTTGTATATTTGTTTATAGACATTCTAACTGGAGTGAGGTCATACCTCATTGTGGTTTTTACCTGCATTTCTCTGATGATTAGTGAAGTTGAGCATTTGTATGTACTTGTTGGTCATTTGAACGTCTTCTGAGAAATGTCTTTTGAGGTCTTTTACTCACTTTTTATTGGCTTGTTTTTTGTTACTGTTGAGTTGTTTAAATTTTCTATATATTCTTGTCATGAATTCATGTCAGATGTATAGTTTGCAACTATTGCATTCCATTCTGTAGGTTGTCTCTTTACTCTGTTAATTGCTTCTTTGATGTGCAGAAGGTTTTTAGTTTGATGTAATCTCATTTGTCTGTTTTTACATTTGTTGCTTTTGAGTTCTTGTTTAAAAACTTTTTGTCTAACCCAAAGATGTAAGGCATTTTGATCTATGTTTTCTTCTAGTAGTTTCATAGTTGGGTTTTACATTTAAGACTTTAATTCATTTTGAGGTTTTTTTTTTTTAATATAGTGAGAGGAAGGGGTCTAGTATCATTTTTCTCTTTATGGATATCCAAATTTCCCAGCACCATTTGTTCAAGAGACTATCTTTTTCCCAATGTGTGTTCTTGGCACCTTTGTCAAAAATAAGTTGGCTGTAGATGTGTGAATTTATTTCTGGGATTTCTATTCTATTCCATTGGTCTATGTGTCTATTTTTATGTCAGTACATAGTATAGCTTGAGGTATGTTTTGAAGTCAGGTAGTGTGATGCCTCTAGCTTTATTCCTTTTGCTCAGAATTGCTTTGGCTATTTGGGGTCTTTGTGGTTCCATACCAATTTTAGAATAGTTTTTTCTATTTTTGTGAATAATCACATTGGTATTTAGATCAGGATTGCATTAAATGTGTAGATCAATTTAGGTAGTATCCCATTTTGACAATATTAATTCTTCCAATCCATGAGCACAGAATATCCTTCTATTCATTTGTGTCTTCTTCAATTCTTTTATCAGTATATTATAATTTTCAAGGTTGGGATCTTTTACCTCATTGGTTAAGTTTACTTCTAGGTTTTATTTTTTTTTTTTTTGTTACTACTGTAAATGGAATCGATTCTTTTTTAGATAGTTTTCTATTAGCATATAGAAATGCTACTGATTTTTGTATGTTGATTTTGTATCTTGCAACTTCACTGAATTTATTTCATTAGTTCTAAGAGTTTTTCTGGTTGAGTCTTTAGAGTTTTCTATACATAAAATTGTATCATCTGCAAACAGGAACAGTGACTTTCTTCTTGCCAATTTGGATGCTTTTTATTTCTCTCTCTTAATTGCTCTGATTATGACTTCCAGTATTATGTTAAATACAAGTGGTTAAAGTAAGCATCCTTGTCTTGTTTCTGATCGTTGAGGAAAATCTTTCAACTTTTCCTTGTTCTTTATGATGTTGGCTGTGGGTTTGTTATAGATGGCACTTACTGTTTTGAAATACATATCTTCCATTACTAATTTGTTGAGTGTTTTTATCATAAGGGGATGTTGAATTTTGTCTAATGTTTTTTCTGTATCTATTGAAATGAATTTTGTCTAATGTTTTCTCTGATCTATTTTTAGTTTTGCAAATGTGATGCATCACTTAATTAATTTGCCTATGTTGAACCATCCATGCGCCCTGAGATAAATTCCACTTGATCATATTAAATTATCTTTTGGATGTACTGTTGAATTTGACTTACTAGTATCTTCAAAATTTTTGCATCTATATTCATTAAGGATGTTGGTTTGTAGTTTTCTTTTTTGAATGTATCTTTGCCTGATTTTGGAATCAGGGTGATGCTGTTCTTGTAAAATGAATTTAAAAGTATTTCTTCCTCCTCAATTTTCCGGAATAGTTTGAGGAGAATTGGAAGTAGTTCTTTTTTAAATGTTTGGGAAACTCAGCAGTGAAGCCATCAGGTCCTGGGATTCTTTTTCTGATTGAAAATGTTTCTATTATTTATTAAATGTCCTCACCCTTTATTGGTCTGTCCAAATTTCTATTTCTTCACAATTTAATTTTGTTATGTTGTATTTATCCAGGAATTTATCTTTTTCTTTTGTGTTCCCAAATTTGTTGGCATATTCTAGCTCACAATAGTCTCACATGATTCTTTGTATTTCTGTAATATCAGTAATACTGCCTTTTTTCATTCAGGATTTCATTTATTTGAGTCTTTTTTTTCCTCTGGATTAGCCTAACTAAATGTTTGTCAAT
This sequence comes from Homo sapiens, assembly GCF_000001405.40. Lineage (NCBI taxonomy): Eukaryota > Metazoa > Chordata > Mammalia > Primates > Hominidae > Homo > Homo sapiens. Next base: position 160,134,027 of record NC_000004.12, on the reverse strand, counting down.
TTTGTCTGTCTTTTAAAAAGCCATTTCTTTCTTTCATAAATCTTTAAAATTGTTTTTAAGTTATTATTTTACTTATTTATGCTTTGAGCTTTACTTTCTACCTTCTACCAACTTTTGGTAGTTTGTTCTTGTTTTCCTAGTTCCTTGAGATGCAACCTAGTTCCTTTGGTTGTTTATTAGGAATACATTTTTTTCATCCTTTGATGTTGGCATTTATTGCTATAAATTTCTCTCATAACTACTTTTGCTGTGTCTCCATTTGGTCTGTGGTATAATATAAGTCTGATGTTTCTTTGATGTTTTTCTGTCTAGATACTTGTACATTGTTGAAAGTGAGATATTGAGTCCCCAATTATTGCAGTCAATTTCTTCCTTTAGATCTAATAATATTTTCTTTATAAATTTTTGTGCTCTGGTGTCAGGTACATATATAATTGTTACATTCTCTTGCTAAATTGATCCCTTTCTTATTATGTAATGACTTTGTCTCTTTTTACAGTTTTTGATTAAAACCCTTTCTTATTTAAGTATAGCTACTCCTGATTGCTTTTGTTTTCTGTTTTCATAGAATATCCTTTTACAATCCTTCACTTAATCCAGATATCTCTTTAATTGTGAGGTAGCCTCTTGTAGGCAGCATACAGTTGGGTTTATTTTTTAAAAAAATCTGTTCACTCTATATTTTGTAATAGGAAAATTTAATCATTTTTCATAGAAGTTTATTATTGATAGAGGCTTACTTTTCCCATTTAATTGTTAATTATTTTTGGATTATTGGATACTTAATTCCTTTCTTCTTTTTTGTTACTCATGTAGTTTGGTAGTTTCTTATATTGCTAAATTTTGTTTACTTTCTCTTTCTTTTTAGTGTATCTGCTATAATTTCCTTCTTTGTGGTAACCATGGGGCTAATGTAATCAGTGTTGTAGATACAATCGTTTAAACTAATAGCAACTTAACATTGGCCATATAAAAACACTCTAGAGGCTCCCCCCAAAAAAATTTTTTTCTTGCCTTAATTTACCTTTTTAAAATCTATTATGTGTTTCTTACCTCTAATTGCAGCTGTTTGTATTTTTGATCACTTTTACTTTAAACTTTTATAGTAGAAGGTAGCGAGATTTATGTTGCACCATTTCTAAGTTTGATTTGTGAATTTACCTCTCTTTATGAGTTTTATATTGTCATGCATTTACATGTAGTAATTGTTCTTTTGTTTCTAGCTGTAACACTCCCTTAAACGTTTCTTGTAAGGCTGGCCTAGTGGTGATGAATTTTCTCAGTTTGTGCTTCTCTAGGAAGGTCTTTATTTCTCCTTCATTTCAAAAGGATAGCTTTGCTGGATATAGTATTCTTAGTTGACAGATTTGTGTGTGTGTGTGTGTATCTCATCCCATTCTCTCCCATCCTAGAAGGATTATCCTAAGAAATTTGCTTATAGTCTGGTAAATTTCACATATTTCTCTGGAAGCCTTCAGAATTCTCTTTTTGTCTTTGACTTTTGATAGTTTGATTATAATGTGCCTCAGAAAGAAACTTTTGAGGTTGAATCTGATTGGATATTATTAAACTTCCTGAATCTGGATTTCATGTATCTGCCAATGTTTGGGAAGTTTTTAGTGTTATTTATTATATAGGTTTTCTGTGCCTTTCTCCATCTTTTCTCCCTATGTGAAATCTATAATGTGAATATTTATTTGCCTATGTGACTCATAAGTTTGTATTCTTTCTGCATGCTTTTTTATAATTCTTTATTCTGCTTTATCTAGTCTATTGTGAAGGTCTCAATTATATATTTTCATTTCATTCATCAATTTCTTTAGCTTTAAAATTTCTGTTTGATTGTTTTATGATATCTCTTTGTTGAATTTCTAATTCAGATTATGAATTGCTTTTCTGATTTTATTGAATTGTTTGTTATCTTGTAGCTTGCTGAGTTTCCTTAAGATCATTATTTTCCATTCTTTTTCAGGGTCTTCATAAATATTATTTTCTTTGGTGTGTTACTGAAGACCCCCAAAAAAGATAATACAGAGAGTCCTCATTTTTTCTGTTGGGGGGGCAGTGTCATGTTTTCTTGCTTTTTAATGTTTCTTGTGTCCATACATTGATATCTGCACATCTAGTATACTAGTTGCCTTTTTTGATTTTATTAGTAGCTTATGTAAGGAGATAATTTTTCCTGTAGTGGGTCATTGGGGTTGGTTGTGTAGGGGACATTGGCTTTGGTTCTGTACTGACTCAGTAGTCCTGTCTCTGTGGAGTTTCTTCAGCTGTAATCCTTGTCAGTGATGTCTGTGATTGCCTCAGTGGCCTAGGCTGTCTGTGTTTGTGATGCCACTGGTGTGGTTTTGCTGGAGGCAGGGGTTCAGAGCTGGATGTCCAGTGCCAGACAAGTACAGTCATGAGAGCTGACACAAACTGTCAACAAACTCTCTGGGAAAGCTATGGCTGCTGTTGGGCTGGCTATTAGAGGACAGGCATGGGTTCTCATGGGTAGAGAGAGGCAAGGTGGCTCTATCAATTAATAGGTGTCCGAACTTGGACAGGCATGGTTTTGCCCAGTAGCCCTGCAGAGGCCTGAGGAGGTGGCGCTGCTGCAGGATTAGCTGTGAGGTGGTTCACTGCCCTCTGTGAGTGCAGAGGAACCGGGTTGGCACTATAAGGCTGCCCTGGGGTAGGGGTGCCACAGGACCAGCTGTCAAGCCAGTAAGCAGCACCTGTGTGTTAGTGGTGAGGAGCAGCTGGTTTTGTGACACAGGTATATGCAAACATGGTGGTTGTCAGGCTGTTCAGCTGCTTTCCCTCTGTGCAAGCCTGCCTATTACCTTAGGGGGTGGGATACCATGTGGGTTTGGATAGCAGAGTCTCAGTTATTTTATCTGTTCTATGCTTGGGCAAGCAGGGTTGTTGTACTATATGCACCCATGTGAATGTGGTGGAATGATGGCAGGGCCTCAGGGATAGACAGAGTCAGTTGCTACTGATCCCCATAGAAAGGCACACTCTAGTAGTATATCTAGTTTCAAACAATGCCCAGCCATAGCTGCCTAGGTTGCAAGAGTGAGAAAATGTTCAAGGTAGGCTCTTTCTATGAGGCAATACTGATGCATGGACTCCTAGATACTCCCCAAACTGGATTCAAGGCCAGTAAAGGCTGGGTTTCTCTCCTGTAGCATGGACTGCAGGTATTTGTGGCAGCAGTGGGGGCTGCTATGGATCTCCAGCTTACCTTTTCCCTGTAGGAAGAAGTTCCTCCTGAGTCTGAGCTGATCCCATTTGGGGAGAGAGCATGGCAGAGGGAGAGTGACACACTTCTTTCTCTATGGTGCTATCCTGAGCTTCCATGCTCCAAAAAGATACTGCCATTTCTCTGGTGTTTATAAGCATACTTCTTCAGTCACTCTAGTTGAAATATAGTTGTTTACTCATTGTTTTGGTACCTTTTGACTTAAACAGTAAAATGAGATGAGTGCCAGATAACTGTAGTCAGCTATCTTGCTGATGTTACTCTCCCATAACGAGCTTTTCTCATATATTATCTCATCTAGCCCTATCAATAACTCTTTAAGATATTTAAAAGTTTTGAAGATAAGGAAATGGGGTATAGAGAGAGTAAGTATTCTAATTTTGTAATTTAAGTGGTAAAGCTATTTAACTCCAAAAACCATGCTTGGATTTTATTTTACTGAAGTTTCAAAAAGAGAAGTTATCTGAAATAATAATTGTGAAATTCTGGAGTGAAGAACTAGGCTCTGTTATATCAACCTAGGATATAACATACTCCAGTCTCTTAAAAATAACAAAATATTAATATCATATTTATTTGAGACAGAATGGCCCTTGCCACAAAAATACTCTGGGGAAAGAACCATAGAATCATAAAAATTATCTCTTACGAATCACTCATTACACCTACGGAGTAAGTATGCCTTGAAGTAGTTAATTGGCACTGTATATCAGTAAACATTCAATCAGGAAAGCAGAAAACATTCTATATATTTTAAAAACAGAGGACATGTAATTCAGGGTTCTGTTATATAGCCGTTAGAAAGGCTAATGGAGCAAAAAAGGAAAGCTCTGGTGTGCTGAGTGACCCCAAGACCACACGTAGGCTCAATGGCTCACAGGACTCAGAAAAGCTGTTATTTCTCATGGTTATAGTTTATTATAGTGAAAGAATTAAAATTAGCAAAGGAAAAAGGCATAGTGGGTGAAATGTGGGAGAAATCAGGCGCAAGTTTCCAGGTGTCCTCTCCCAGTTTAGTCACAAGAAGACACTTAATTTTCCCAGCAACAATGTGTGACAACATATGCAAAGTTTAGTCAACCAGGAAAACTTACCCAAGCTTTACAGTCTAATGTTTTCTGATGAGTCAGTCATGAAGGTATGCAGTGAATTACCTCAGCTACTCACAGCAAAAACAGACATTCATCTTAAATAACATTGTTAGCATATACCATCTAATTAAACCAGCACCTCAGGCCCCAAAGCCTCAAGCATACAAAAACAGGTGTTCACCATAAATAACGTTGCTAGCATAAACTATCTCATCAAACAGATACCTCAGAACCCAAGGCCTTAAACATACAAAAAATACTTTTGTTAGACAAAATTCCAAGAGTTGATAATTTATTTCCCAGGAGCCGACCTTTTTTGTGTGTGTGAATTTGCAGGATGTGAGCAACCCAGGACTATTGAGTTAATTCTTTCTGCAAATGAAGTAACCTAGATATATTGCTAATACAGGGTGGTGATTCCCACCTCTAGCACTGGTAAAACAAAGAGTAAGATGTCAGAAACATATTCTCTACCTAGCTGGTGTTTGGACACCTCGGTAGTGGGAGGGGGATGATAATGTGAAGCTGGAGCTTGGAACCATTGAAGGAGGTTTAGTTGTCTTCTCTTAAGAGCTATAGTACTGCTAGTCCTTCAAAAGGAGGTAGCACATCGAACTGCAACTGTCTTTCCTTGCTGGATCAACACTGTTAAGAACTGAAATTAAGAGGTCTTCCTTCCTTCCAGCTTCCCATTTTCCCCCAAAGTCTCCCTTAGGCTTTTCTTTCTCATGCTTTCTGGCCAAAAAAAGTCTGAAATTTAGGATACAGAATCCTGTCCCAGCTGATACTCAATAGGCAAATAGCCATCATACTAACCTATAGTAAACTACTAGTTAACAACAGCTTAAATGTTTTCTTACTTCTTGACAAATGGTCCTTCTACTCTGTCTTGATAACTAAATTGCTGCAGGAAGTGATTAGGCAAACAGTGTGATTTGGACCACCAAAAGAGTAGAACCTACAGTTTTTATAGGAAAAGACATTTATAATTAGAATCATCTAATAAAATTAAATAACTAAGATTAAATATTAGAAATCTTATATCCTTATCAACTTTCTTTTTGACCTTAGTTAACTCACAATTGTCCCATGTTATCAGCATCCTTATCTGTAAAATCATAAGAGCTATGAGTTCATCTGCAAGTTAAGATTGAAATAAACCAATTAAGGCTGGGAAACAAGATGGTTACCCAAACCTAATTTTCTAAATTGGCAGTGTATTGAATTTACATTCTTGTTAGCTTCTTTATTAAGCAGTTTTTATTTTGCCTTCATAAGGTCATTTTAAGAAAAATTATACTGGTCTTTCCTCTGAAGGTAGAGAGTCAGGGGCAGAGAGATCAGGAAAGTACCACCTGCTTGTTTAACTGATGGATGGTTGTTTTTTCTTAAGATTAATGTCTTTAGGTGGAAAACCATCTGTTCTCATAACATATCCACAGTCTGTCTATTAGAGGGCAATATATAACAGCTAGCACCACATGTTAAATGCACACGTGTTTCCAAATTTCCTCCTGTAAAATAACTTTACAACATATTTGCATCCATGTCAGTCCTTTGCTTGTGGATGAATAACTATAATTCTTGAGTTTGTGTGATTTATAACAACTTTCAAAGAGAAATAAGACTGGTTAAGATTCTATTATTTTGATATATTTCTCATATCATAGTCAATTTCTAGGCATGGGCCTGGAATATGAAGCCTTCATAAACACAACTAAGTTGATTTTATTCACCCTTCAATTGATGTATTACCTGTCAAAGGGTTTACCTCCTGGTTTGCCCACTCAGGGGCATATTTATTCACTTTTATCATATTTATTTAATGGCATGATAATAATAACCTAAGTAAGTTCCAAATATGCTCTGTTTGCTTTCATACATAGGCCAGTATGCAATGAAAGAGTTTCAAACTCAAACTTCGTAAAAGTAAAATTTGCTCAAGTGATTGAATACACCAACCCACGTTATTACTAGAACTTTATACAGGCTATTTCCCAAGGTTATACAATAATATCTGACACAAATCCTCTGGTTTCTTTCCCCAAAGAGTGAATCAGTCTTTACCTATGTGATTAAAAGAAAGTACTGTTTCATTTCTAAATCCTTTGTTACAGGCCTTATCTTTTTGTGTATGTTTTGAAGGTTGGAGTGATTGGTTGTATCAATTCCTGGCAAAAATAATTGCCTCATGATTGGCTTGAAAGGTAAATGGATTGCACATTGTCCAGGAAAGTAATGCTCCTTCCTGTGCAATCTCAAGTTCTCACTCCCTTCCTTATCACTCCAGTAGTAACTTTGAGCCTCTCTGTTTACTTATTGTGTCCTATTGAACAGCTTGCATATGCACAACTGATTTCTGAATTACTGATGACAAAGGTAATCAAACTGAAAAATACCATTTACATCATTGGAAGAATTTTAAAATTAAGTCTGTGTTTTATCTTTTTAAGTGGTATAAAATACTATTCTTCCAATGAGCTTGTTTAGATTCTTATCAATACAACATTTTCAATATTTATTTCATAGCTTAAAATGATTTGCATAAATTATTTTGGATAAAGTTTATGATGGATCTTTTTTAAACTAAACTGATCATTTCCAGGACACTTTAGCACATCACTATCATAATTATTGTTGTTTACTTATCTGATTTTAAACTTTATATTGAAAAATGTTAAAACATTGTTACAGTATATTCAGAAGTCAATTGTTTCTTAACTTTAACAATTGCAAATCAGATTAACACCCCATAGTCTTATTCTTTATCTCCTACCTCATGGAGAAAATAAATGTGATCAATAAATATGTGCCCTGGGCAGTGTCTGGCTTCTCTCTTGGTTTGTAGATTAGAGTCTTACTTAATGAGATGAGATAGAACATAACTTTATAAGAGATTTTATGTTTTTGAAACATGGATGAATGTCTTGTAGATTTAAATCTAGTTAATTCGTCATTATCCATTAGAAATATCTTCTGGAGCTTTTTCCTCTGTGAATAATTCATCCCCCCATGTCAATGTTGAACTTCTGTGTAAGGTTTTTGGAAAATAGGCATGTTTATGCCTCCAAGCTGTCTTGACTGTCTCTGTGTCATCCAGGCCTTTGTCATTTGTTATAAAGCACTGTGAATTTTGCTTCTTTCTAAACAACCTCTGAAATGAAATTTGAGTGTGCTTAGATAAACATGACATTTAGATATAAATAAAATATGAAGTTTAAATGATGCTCTTTGGCATTTACTTCTTCAACTATTTTACCCACTTGAACTCTCCTATTTTCCTCTCTTTTTATTTAATTGTATCTTTCAAATATATTCATTCATTCTTATATGTATTCCTAATTCTTGCAAACTTTGTACTTAAAACATTATAAGTTAATTCTACATTACCAACAAAAAAAGTTTTATTTTTTAAAACTAATTTTGTCTTATTCTGCAAGATTTTCATCATTTTAAGAATTTATTTTTCAGGAATAGGAACAGCTCCGGTCTACAGATCCCAGCGTGAGCGACCCAGAATACCAGTGATTTCTGCATTTCCATCTGAGGTACCGGGTTCATCTCACTAGAGAGTGCCAGAGAGTGGGCGCGGGTCAGTGGGTGTGCGCACCGTGCGCGAGCCGAAGCAGGGCGAGGCATTGCCTCACTCAGGAAGAGCAAGGGGTCAGGGAGTTCCCTTTCCTAGTCAAAGAAAGGGGTGACAGACGGCACCTGGAAAATCGGGTCACTCCCGCCCGAATACTGCGCTTTTCTGACAGGCTTAAAAAATGGCGCACCAGGAGATTACATCCCGCACCTGGCTCGGAAGGTCCTATGCCCAGGGAGTCTCGCTGATTGCTAGCACAGCAGTCTGAGATCAAACTGCAAGGTGGCAGCGAGCCTGGGGGAGGGGCGCCCGCCATTGCCCAGGCTTGCTTAGGTAAACAAAGCAGCCAGGAAGCAGGAACTGGGTGGAGCCCACCACAGCTCAAGGAGGCCTGCCTGCCTCTGTAGGCTCCACCTCTAGGGGCAGGGCACAGACAAACAAAAAGACAGCAGTAACCTCTGTAGACTTAAATGTCCCTGTCTGACAGCTTTGAAGAAAGCAGTGGTTCTCCCAGCATGCAGCTGGAGATCTGAGAACGGGCAGACTGCCTCCTCAAGTGGGTCCCTGACCCCTGACCCCCGAGCAGCCTAACTGGGAGGCACCCCCCCAGCAGGGGCACACTGACACCTCAGAGGGCCCAGTATTCCAACAGACCTGCAGCTGAGGGTCCTGTCTGTTAGAAGGAAAACTAACAAACAGAAAGGACATCCACACCAAAAACCCATCTGTACATCACCATAATCAAAGACCAAAAGTAGATAAAACCAAAAAGATGGGGAAAAAACACAGCAGAAAAACTGGAAACTCTAAAAAGCAGAGCGCCTCTCCTCCTCCAAAGGAACGCAGTTCCTCACCAGCAATGGAACAAAGCTGGACGGAGAACGACTTTGACGAGCTGAGAGAAGAAGGCTTCAGACGATCAAATTACTCCGAGCTATGGGAGGACATTCAAACCAAAGGCAAAGAAGTTGAAAACTTTGAAAAGAATTTAGAAGAATATATAACTAGAAAAACCAATACAGAGAAGTGCTTAAAGGAGCTGATGGAGCTGAAAACCAAGGCTTGAGAACTACGTGAAGAATGCAGAAGCCTCAGGAGCCAGAGCCGGTGCGATCAACTGGAAGAAATGGTATCAGCGATGGAAGATGAAATGAATGAAATGAAGCAAGAAGAGAAGTTTAGAGAAAAAAGAACAAAAAGGAATGAGCAAAGCCTCCAAGAAATATGGGACTATGTGAAAAGACCAAGTCTACGTCTGATTGGTGCACCTAGAATGGAACCAAGTTGGAAAACACTCTGCAGGATATTATCCAGGAGAACTTCCCCAATCTAGCAAGGCACACCAACGTTCAGATTCAGGAAATACAGGGAACACCACAAAGATACTCCTCGAGAAGAGCAACTCCAAGACACATAATTGTCAGATTCACCACAGTTGAAATGAAGGAAAAAATGTTAAGGGCAGCCAGAGAGAAAGGTTGGGTTAACCTCAAAGGAAGCCCATCAGGCTAACAGCGGATCTTTCGGCAGAAACTCTACAAGCCAGAAGAGAGTGGGGGCCAATATTCAACATTCTTAAAGAAAAGAATTTTCAACCCAGAATTTCATGTCCAGCCAAACTAAGCTTCATAAGTGAAGGAGAAATAAAATACTTTACAGACAAGCAAATGCTGAGAGATTTTGTCACCACGAGGCTTGCCCTAAAAGAGCTCCTAAAGGAAGCACTAAACATGGAAAGGAACAACCGGTACCAGCCACTGCAAAATCATGCCAAAATGTAAAGACCATAGAGACTAGGAAGAAACTGCATCAACTAACGAGCAAAATAACCAGCTAACATCATAATGACAGGATCAAATTCACACATAACAATATTAACTTTAAATGTAAATGGGCTAAATGCTCCAATTAAAAGACACAGACTGGCAAATTGGATAAAGAGTCAAGACCCATCAGTGTGCTGTATTCAGGAAACCCATCTCACATGCAGAGACACACATAGGCTCAAAATAAAGGGATGGAGGAAGATCTACCAAGCAAATGGAAAACAAAAAAAGGAAGGGGTTGCAATCCTAGTCTCTGATAAAACAGACTTTAAACCAACAAAGATCAAAAGAGACAAAGAAGGCCATTACATAATAGTAAAGGGATCAATTCAACAAGAAGAACTAACTATCCTAAATATATATGCACCCAATACAGGAGCACCCAGATTCATAAAGCAAGTCCTGAGTGACCTACAAAGACACTTAGACTCCCACACATTAATAATGGGAGACTTTAACACCCCACTGTCAATATTAAACAGATCAACGAGACAGAAAGTCAACAAGGATACCCAGGAACTGAACTCAGCTCTGCACCAAGCGGACCTAATAGACATCTACAGAACTCTCCACCCCAAATCAACAGAATATACATTTTTTTCAGCACCATACCACACCTATTCCAAAATTGACCACATACTTGGAAGTAAAGCTCTCCTCAGCAAATGTAAAAGAACAGAAATTATAACAAACTATCTCTCAGACCACAGTGAAATCAAACTAGAACTCAGGATTAAGAGTCTCACTCAAAACCGCTCAACTACATGGAAACTGAACAACCTGCTCCTGAATGACTACTGGGTACATAACGAAATGAAGGCAGAAATAAAGATGTTCTTTGAAACCAACCAGAACAAAGACACAACATACCAGAATCTCTGGGACACATTCAAAGCAGTGTGTAGAGGGAAATCTATAGCACTAAATGCCCACAAGAGAAAGCAGGAAAGATCCAAAATTGACACCCTAACATCACAATTAAAAGAACTAGAAAAGCAAGAGCAAACACATTCAAAAGCTAGCAGAAGGCAAGAAATAACTAAAATCAGAGCAGAACTGAAGGAAATAGAGACGCAAAAAACCCTTCAAAAAATTAATGAATCCAGGAGCTGGTTTTTTTGAAAGGATCAACAAAATTGATAAACCGCTAGCAAGACTAATAAAGAAAAAAAGAGAGAAGAATCAAATAGACACAATAAAAAATGATAAAGGGGATATCACCACTGATCCCACAGAAATACAAACTACCATCAGAGAATACTACAAACACCTCTATGCAAATAAACTAGAAAATCTAGAAGAAATGGATAAATTCCTTGACACATACACCCTCCCAAGACTAAACCAGGAAGAAGTCGAATCTCTGAATAGACCAATAACAGGATCTGAAATTGTGGCAATAATCAATACCTTACCAACCAAAAAGAGTCCAGGACCAGATGGATTCACAGCTGAATTCTACCAGAGGTACAAGGAGGAACTGGTACTATTCCTTCTGAAACAATTCCAATCAATAGAAAAAGAGGGAATCCTCCCTAACTCATTTTATGAGGCCAGCGTCATCCTGATACCAAAGCTGGGCAGAGACACAACCAAAAAAGAGAATTTTAGACCAATATCCCTGATGAACATCGGTGCAAAAATCCTCAATAAAATACTGGCAAACCGAATCCAGCAGCACATCAAAAAGCTTAACCACCATGATCAAGTGGGCTTCATCCCTGGGATGCAAGGCTGGTTCAATATACGCAAATCAATAAATGTAATCCAGCATATAAACAGAACCAAAGACAAAAACCACGATTATCTCAATAGATGCAGAAAAGGCCTTTGACAAAATTCAACAACCCTTCATGCTAAAAACTCTCAATAAATTAGGTATTGATGGGATGTATTTCAAAATAATAAGAGCTATCTATGACAAACCCACAGCCAATATCATACTGAATGGGCCAAAACTGGGAGCATTCCCTTCGAAAACTGGCACAAGACAGGGATGCCCTCTCTCACCACTCCTATTCAACATAGTGTTGGAAGTTCTGGCCAGGGCAATTAGGCAGGAGAAGGAAATAAAGGGTATTCAATTAGGAAAAGAGGAAGTCAAATTGTCCCTGTTTGCAGACGACATGATTGTATATCTAGAAAACCCCATTGTCTCAGCCCAAAATCTCCTTAAGCTGATAAGCAACTTCAGCAAAGTCTCAGGATACAAAATCAATGTACAGAAATCACAAGCATTCTTATACAACAACAGACAAACAGAGAGCCAAATCATGAGTGAACTCCCATTCACAATTGCTTCAAAGAGAATAAAATACCTAGGAATCCAACTTACAAGGGATGTGAAGGACCTCTTCAAGGAGAACTACAAACCACTGCTCAAGGAAATAAAAGAGGATACAAACAAATGGAAGAACATTCCATGCTCATGGGTAGAACGAAACAATATCGTGAAAATGGCCATACTGCCCAAGGTAATTTATAGATTCAATGCCATCCCCATCAAGCTACCAGTGACTTTCTTCACAGAATTGGAAAAAACTACTTTAAAGTTCATATGGAACCAAAAAAGAGCCCACATTGCCAAGTCAATCCTAAGCCAAAAGAACAAAGCTGGAGGCATCACACTACCTGACTTCAAACTATACTACAAGGTTACAGTAACCAAAACAGCACGGTACTGGTACCAAAACAGAGATATAGATCAATGGAACAGAACAGAGCCCTCAGAAATAATGCCACATATCTACAACTATCTGATCTTTGACAAACCTGAGAAAAACAAGAAATGGGGAAAGGATTCCCTATTTAATAAATGGTGCTGGGAAAACTGGCTAGCCATATGTAGAAAGCTGAAACTGGATCCCTTCCTTACACCTCATACAAAAATCAATTCAAGATGGATTAAAGACTTAAACGTTATACCTAAGACCATAAAAACCCTAGAAGAAAACCTAGGCATTACCATTCAGGACATAGGCATGGGCAAGGACTTCATGTCTAAAACACCAAAAGCAATGGCAACAAAAGCCAAAATGGACAAATGGGATCCAATTAAACTAAAGAGCTTCTGCACAGCAAAAGAAACTACCATCAGAGTGAACAGGCAACCTACAAAATGGGAGAAAATTTTCGCAACCTACTCATCTGACAAAGGGCTAATATCCAGAATCTACAAAGAACTCAAACAAATTTACAAGAACAATATAAACAACCCCATCAAAAAGTGGGCGAAGGACATGAACAGACACTTCTCAAAAGAAGACATTTATGCAGCCAAAAAACACATGAAAAAATGCTCACCATCACTGGCCATCAGAGAAATGCAAATCAAAACCACAATGAGATACCATCTCACACCAGTTGGAATGGCAATCATTAAAAAGTCAGGAAACAACAGGGGCTGGAGAGGATGTGGAGAAATAGGAACACTTTTACACTGTTGGTGAGACTGTAGACTAGTTCAACCATTGTGGAAGTCAGTGTGGTGATTCCTCAGGGATCTAGAACTAGAAATACCATTTGACCCAGCAATACCGTTACTGGGTATATACCCAAAGGACTATAAATCATGCTGCTATAAAGACACATGCACACGTATGTTTATTGCGGCATTATTCACAATAACAAAGACTTGGAACCAACCCAAATGTCCAACAATGATAGACTGGATTAAGAAAATGTGGCACATATACACCATGGAATACTATGCAGCCATAAAAAATGATGAGTTCATGTCCTTTGCAGGGACATGGATGAAATTGGAAATCACCATTCTCAGTAAACTATCGCAAGAACAAGAAACCAAACACCGCATATTCTCACTCATAGGTGGGAACTGAACAATAAGAACACATGGACACAGGAAGGGGAACATCACACTCTGGGGACTGTTGTGGGGTGAGGGGAGGGGGGAGGGATAGCATTGGGAGATATACCTAATGCTAGATGATGAGTTAGTGGGTGCAGTGCACCAGCATGGCACATGTATACATATGTAACTAACCTGCACATTGTGCACATGTACCCTAAAACTTAAAGTATAATAATAAAAAAATAAAAATAAAAAATAAAAACCAATTAAAAGCTAAAAAAAAAAGGAATTTATTTTTCAGTGTAACCAAAACTTCTCATCTTTATCCTAATTACTTAAGGACAGTTATCTAATGCTTAAATTTTCATCTTCGTCCTAATTACTTTTTCCTTAGTACACATCAAAGTAATTCATGTATAGAAAACTCTAAAAACATAGCTTTCCTTTCCTTTTCATTGTTCTTGTGATTCCATTAATGCTTTGGGGATTACAGTTAATTTTAAAATGCTGCTTTAAAGAATTAAGATAAATAGGCCAAGCACAGTGGCTCACACTTGTAATCCCAGCACTTTGGGAGGCCGAAGCAGGCAGATCACAAGGTCAGGTGATTGAGACCATCCTGGCTAAAATGGTGAAACCCATCTCTACTAAAAATACAAAAAATTAGCTGGGCATGGTGGCACATGCCTGTAGTCTCAGCTACTTGGGAGGCTGAAGCTGGAGAATCCCTTGAACCTAGGAGTTGGAGGTTGCAGTAAGCTAGACCATGCCACTGCACTCCAGCCTGGGCAACAGAGTGAGACTCTATCTCCAAAAAAAAAAAAAAGAAAAAGAAAAAAGAATTTAGATAAATAAAATGACATGTAGGGTTCCTCAACATTTCAGATTCTATAGTTTCAGAAGAGAATCAATCTTGTTTCTCAAAATTTAATGATGTCATTTGGAGGACAATTATTTTATTTGTTTACCTCTAAGAAAATAATTCATAAATACACGATTTTATATAGAAATTTGGGTTATCCTGTATTTGTCAGAGTTCTCTAGAGAAACAGAACTAATGGAATAGGGTGGTTTATTGAGGAGTATTAACTCACATGATCACAAGGTCCCACAATAGGCCATCTACAAGCTGAGGAGCAAGGAAGCCAGTCCGAGTCCCAAAGCTGAAGTACTTGGAGTCTGATGTTTGAGGTCAGGAAGCATACAGCACAGTAGGCTGGGAGGCTAAGCCAGTCTAGCCTTTTCTTGTTTTTCTGCCTGCTTTATATCCTGGCCATGCTGACAGCTGATTAGATGGTGCCCACCCAGATTAAGGGTGGGTCTGGCTTTCTCAGCCCACTTACTCAAATGTTAATCTCCTTTGGCAACAACCTCAAAGAGACACCCAAGATCAATACTATGCATCCTTCAATCCAACCAAGTTGCCACTCAATATTAACCATCACAAGTCCACCCCTTGTCAACTTGAACCCATACGTATCTCCTGAGATCATACATAATCTTCAAATAAAGACAAAATAAGTTCATAATTATGCATAACACAATACAACTATCCTTTGTACAACCGGAAACTCACCAATCCCTAACCAAAATGCTATTACATAAAGTTAACAATACTTAAATGCTGATATCAATTCAATACATCTTCTTTTACATTATAAAGGCAAAAGGAAATAAAATGAAGATATTTTCTTGGTACAAGCGTATACATTTTCTGAATCAGAGTCCATTATACGGTACTGTTTCTCCATGCACAAACATGTTTTTAACAAAAGAAGAAGGAAATACGACAATTACAGTCCTCATTTCTGTAACTGGTCATGTGGTTGTAGCTGGTATTGATCACTACCTTCTTCTGCTACCCATTTTGTATTCCTTTTGGTTTCAGCAAGCACCTCAACAAGTCATAGTTTTTTACCTTGTGGGGTGACCCAACCCTTCAATCCTGAAGGGTCTGGGCCATTTGTAGTCCTGCCTGGATTGGGCTGTTGTAATTTCCTATTGACCTTAATTATAGCGCATGGTAATATCAAGAGATTCCCTAAGGAAGCTCCTGTATTCCATGCATACTCTTCCTTACTTCCATTGTGGAGTGGTAGACTGATTTCATCTTCATAGTCTAGGTCAATTGCCCCCAGACAACACTGTAACTCACTTCTTAGCCTGTTGACATAAAGGTAGGAGGAGCCCAAAGTGTCCAAGTGGCAATCTTAACTTCCAGGATAATGGAATGGTTGTTGTGTCTCCTGGTGGCAGTGTTTCTCCAACGTAATGTCATGGGAACAGGAAGCAAAAATTTTGCTAGTGGATCACTAGGGGTGATGGTGAGTGGTGCCACTTCTACTTTCACCCATTGATTCCTGGACCTATGAATCCTGGCTATGGGAGAAACAGTACCATATATTGGACTCTGATTCAGAGACAACACAGCATTCTGAAGAACTTTGCCCCAGTCCTGCAAAGTATTGTCACCTAGTTGGAATTGTAATTGTGACTTCAAAAGGCCATTCCACTCTTCTATCAGTCCAGCTGCTTCAGGATGATGAGGAACATGGTAGGGCCAGTGAATTCCATAAGCATGAGACCACTGCCACATTCTTTAGCCATAAAGTGAGTTCCTTGGTCTGAGGCAATGCTGTGTGGAATACCATGACTGTGGATAAGGCATTTCATGAGTCCATGGATGCTAGCCTTGGCATAAGCATTACATTTAGGATAGGCAAACATATATCTGGAGTAAGTGACTACTCCAGTCAGGACAAACCTCTGCCCTTTCCATGATGGAAGAGGTCCAATACAATCAACCTGCCACCAGGTAGCTGGCTGAACACTCCAAGAAATGGTGCCATATCAAGGGCTCAGTGTTGGTCTCTGCTGCTGGCAACTTGGGCGCACAACAGTGGCTATAGCCAGGTCAGCCTTGGTGAGTGGAGGTCCATGTTGCTAAGCCCATGCATAACCTCCATCCCTGCCACCACAGCCACTTGTTCATGGGCCCATTGGCCAACGATGACAGGGGTGGCTGGGGAAAGAGACTGAGTGGTGTCCACAGGATGGGTCATCCTCTCCACTTGATTATTAAACTCCCCCTCTGCTGAGGTCACCCATTGGTGAGCACTCACATGGGATACAAATATCTTCACAGTTTTTGACCACTCAGAGAGGTCCACCCACATAACCTCTTCCCCACATTTCTTTGTCATCAAGTTTCCAGTCATGCTTCTTCCAAGTCTTTGACCATCCAGCCAAACCATTGGCTACAGCCCATGAATCAGTATATAATCACACATCTGGCTATTTCTCTTTCCATGCAAAGTGCACAACCAGGTGTAACGCTCGAAGTTTGGCCCACTGGGAAGATTTCCCTTCACCACTGTCCTTCAGGGATGTCCTGGAAAGGGGCTGTAGTGCTGCAGCTGTCTACTTTTGGGTGGTGCTTGCATATCATGCAGAGCAATCTGTGAACCAGGACCTAGTCTTCTCTCCCTCTGTCAACTGATCATAGACAACTCCCCATGAGGCCATCAGTGCAGGCTGGAGGAGAGAAGGTAGAGAGGCAGGAGTGGAGACCATGGCCATTTGAGCCACTTCCTCATGTAACTTACTAGAACCTTCGGGACTTGCTTGACCCTGATCACGTATACACCACTTCCATTTGATGATGGAATGCTACTGTGCACGGCCCACTTTATGGTTAGATGGGTCAGAAAGCACCCAGTTCATGATAGGCAGTTCAGGTTGGAGGGTGACTTGATGACCCATAGTCAAACTTTCAGTTTCCACCAAAGCCCAGTAACAGGCCAAGAGCTCTCTCTCAAAAGGAGAGTGGTTATCTGCAGAGATGGCAGGGCCTTGCTACAAAATCTTAGAGGCCTCCACTGTGATTCACCTATGGGGGTCTGCCAAAGGCTCCAAACAGCATACCTATCTGTCACTGACACCTCAAGCACCGTTGGATCTGCTGAGTTATATGGCCCAAGTGGAAGAGCAGCTTGCACAGCGGCCTGGACCTGTTGCAGAGCCTTCTCCTGTTCTGGACCCCACTCAAAACTGGCAGCCTTTTTGGTCATTTGACAAATGGGCCAGAGTAACACACCCAAACAAGGAATGTGTTGCCTCCAAAATCCAAATAGGCCCACTAGGCATTGTGCCTCTTTCCTGGTTGTAGGAAGGGCCAAATACAGAACTTATCCTTCACCTTAGAAGGAATACCTTAACAGGCCCCACTACACTGGAAACCTAGAAATTTTATTAAGGTAGAAAATCCATTAATTTTAATCATATTTATTTCCCATCCTCTGGCACACGAATGTTTCACCAGTAAGTCCAGTGTGTTTGCTAATTCTTGCTCACTGGATTCAATCAGCATAATGTCATCAATGTAATGGGCCAGTGTGATATCTTGTGGAAGGGAAAAGCAATCAAGGTCTCTCCGAGTAAGATTATGACACAAAGCCAGAGAGTTGATATACCCCTGAAGTAGGATGGTAAAGGTATATCACTGGCCTTGCCAGCTGAAGCAAATTGCTTCTGGTGGGCTTTATGGACAGGGATGGAGAAAAAGGCATTTGCCAAGTCAATGGCTGCATACCAGGTACCAGCAGATCTGTTAATTTGCTCAAGCAATGATGCCACATCTGGTACAGCAGCTGCAATTGGAGTCACCACTTGGTTAAGCTTACGATAATCTACTATCATTCTCCAAGATCCATCTGTCTTCTGCACAGGCCAAATAGGAGAGTTGAACAGGGATGTGGTGGAAATCACCACCCCTACGTCTTTCAAGTCCTTGATGGTGGCACTAATTCTCTGCAATTCCTCCAGGGATCTGATATTGTTTTTTACTTAATATTTTTCTAGGTAGAGGCAGCTCTAATGGCTTCCATTTGGCCTCCCCCACCATGACAGCCCTCACCCTACCAGTGAGGGAGCCAATGTGGGGGTTCTGCCAGCTGCTAAGTATGTTTATGCCAATTGTGCATTCTGGCACTGGGGAAATGACCACAGGGTGAGTCCAGGGACCCACTGCACCCATTGTAAGTCAGACCTAAGCAAAAACTTTATTAACTACCTGACCTCCATAAGCCCCTACTTTAACTGGAGGACCACAGTAACATTTTGGGTCACCTGGAATCAACATCAGCTCAGAGCCAGTGTTCCCAAAATGTCTGATCATTTCCCTTTCCCCAGTGCACAGTTACCCTGGTAAAAGGCCAGAGGTCTCCTTGGGGAAGGATGGGAGAAAGATTAACAGCATAAATTGTCAGTAGTGTGGTGGGGTCCTTCCTCAAGGGAACCCCAGCCTCCCCTTCCTTCAAACGGTTCTGGGTCTGTAAATTGACTCAAGTCTGGAAATTGATTGAGTGGCCGTGATTCTGTTTTCATAATTCAATTTAGTCTTATGTCCATTCAACCTGGAAGTTTTCTGCTTATGCAAATTAAGTAGACTCAGAGACTACACAGCATTCTGAAGAACTTTGCCCCAGCCCTGCAAAGTATTGTCACATAGTTGGAATTGTAATTGTGACTTCAAAAGGCCATTCCACCATTCTATCAATCCAGCTGCTTCAGGATGATGGGGAACATGGTAGGACCAGTGAATTCCATAAGCATGAGACTACTGTCACATTCTTTAGATGTAAAGTGAGTGCCTTGGTCTGAGGCAAGTTGAGTGCCACCACTTGACCCCTGCCACCTGGGGATCCAATTATCCCCACCGTATTTAAATTTTGTAGTTGAGTGACTGTGGTTTCCACTGTTAGATCTAACATACAGAGAAAACAATTACAGGGCTCTTCAAAGATGCAGGGGCTGCCCTCACAAATCTATTTCACAAGGCATTGGGCAAGGGTATATCTTCTGGACTTTCCCAGATAGGATGAGTGGGTCTAAAGTAACTAATCCACTCCACCATCCCAATCTCCCTAAGCCTTTGGATCCCTTCTTCTACATTAAACCAGGGGAGATCAGGCATTTCCAGCTCACGTGCAGTGGGCCATCTTTTAATCCATATTTCAATTAACAAAGCAAATAAACTATTAGCACCTTTTTTAACTCCCCAAGCTGCAACATTAAATGAGGAATCTCTATTTAGTGGGCCAAAATCAATAAATTCAGCCAGATCCAACTCTATGTTCCTTCCACCATCATCCCACCCCCTTAATATCCATTCCCATGCCTGCTCTTCAGGTTCCTGCTTTTAAAAATTAGAAAACTCAAGCAGTTATTTTCCAGTGTAGCACATCTTCCTGTGGGTCACACTCTGAACCTCACCTCTAGGGGCTTGCCAGGACTTTAGTCCAGTTACAGGCCTAGAAACAAATAGGCGTGTTGGGGGTAGATCCCGAGGAGAATCAACATTATCTTGCCTGGCAACTGCCTCAGGGGAGGCCATCACTGTTGCCTCAGGCAACACAGGGTTTGTCCCCTCAAACGAAGGTGGAAATGCTGATGGCAGCATGGGTCAGGGAGGGGATGTTGCCATTACTGCGGATGGGGAAGCTGTTTCTGTTTCTTCTGGCAAAAAGTGTTCATCCAGAGTTTACAAGCTCAGTGTCCCCAGCTTCATCAGGGTCCTCCCACACATCTTTCCAATTTACAGCATTCCATTATTTTCCAATCAAGGCCTTTACTTTTACAATAGACACCTGGCGAGGCTGTGCAAGCATCTTCCGTTGCATGTCAGCCACTCACATGATACGAACTTGGTGTCTGGTTTTTCCATAATTTCAGCTCTTTCTCTACAGGAGATAAGACTCTCACTTAAGGCAATATTAGCAGATTTGAGGCTCATTATCTGCTTCTGAAGCCAGGAGTTCAAATCCCTGAGTTCATCATTTTCTTTCATCACTTTGTCCTCTGAACTTATGAGCAACCAATCAGCTTCATTATGTGACTTGTTTCTCCACATAGGGTCAAAGGCATTATATACAGAGTCACTAAACTCTTTGCCACTCGTGAGCAGTGAATCAGGAGTTTCAAATGCATTGATTTTGCATAACTCTCTAAACCGTTCATGCCAAGGACTATCAGTGTTCTCCGTACTATTAGAAGTAGAGCCCTTAGCAATATGTATATATATATGTATATATATATTTTTTTTTTTTTTTTTTTTTTTTTTTTGAGACGGAGTCTCGCTCTGTCGCCCAGGCTGGAGTGCAGTGGCGCGATCTCGGCTCACTGCAAGCTCCGCCTCCCGGGTTCACGCCATTCTCCTGCCTCAGCCTCCCGAGTAGCTGGGACTACAGGCGCCCGCTACCACGCCCGGCTAATTTTTTGTATTTTTAGTAGAGACGGGGTTTCACCGTGTTAGCCAGGATGGTCTCGATCTCCTGACCTTGTGATCCGCCCGCCTCGGCCTCCCAAATGTATATTTTTTTGTGTATATGTTTATATATATATATTTGTGTGTGTATATATATTTTTATATATATATATATATACACACACACATACACACACACATGTATGGGGTTTTATTAAGGAGTATTAACTCACACTTTCACAAGGTCCCACAATAGGCCATCTACAAGCTGAGGAGCAAGGAATCCAGTCCAAGTCCCAAAGCTGAAGTACTTGGAGTCTGATGTTTGAGGGCATGAAGCATCCAGCTTGGGAGAAGGATGTAGGCTGGGAGGCTAAGCCAGTCTAGCCTTTTCATTATTTTCTGCCTGCTTTATATCCTGGCCTTGCTGGTAGCTGATTAGATGGTGCCCACCCAGATTAAGGGTGGGTCTGGCTTTCCCAGCCCACTGACTCAAATGTTAATCTCCTTTGGCAACACCCTCACAGACACACCCAGGATCAATACTTTGCATCCTTTAATCCAATCAAGCTGACACTCACTATTAACCACCACAGATGTCATCTCTGCTTCCTTCTCTCAGTGAATTAATAACAGATTTTATACATAATATTTGCAATCATTTTTTTTTGAGATTGAGTCTCACTTTGTTGCCCAGGCTGTAGTGCAGTGGCATAATCTCAGCTCACTGCAACCTCTGCCTCCCGAGTTCAGAGTCTCCTGCCTCAGCCTCCTGAGTAATTGGGATTACAGGTGTGTGCCACCATGCCCGGCTAATTTTTGTATTTTTAGTATAGACGGGGTTTCACCATGTTGGTCAAGCTAGTCTCGAACTTCTGACCTAGTGATCCACCCACCTCGGCCTTCCAAAGTGCTGGGATTACAGGCGTGAGCCACCGCAACTGGCCTTTCCAATCATTTTACAAAGATGAACAGATACAATTCTTATTTACTGCGTGGCCCTCTTTATGTAATTGGAAATGAATTGCTTCTGACTGTTTTTGTTGCTATCACTACATTAAAGTTTTCCTTTTGTATTCTTTTTTGTACTGTCTTTTCAAAATGTGAATTTTTATCCTAAGATTTCTCATTTAAATATAAATTTCTCAGTCATGATACAGTGCATGAGCTTTTCAGAGAGATCCTTCTACTTCTGATTCACTTTATGCCTGATTACAGATCTCTTACTTACTGGCTTATACAAACAAGATCTCATTTGACAGATGGAAAAAAAAATAACAATAGTAAGCACTAGAGTGATTCTTTCCTAAGAGTAAGCCAGAGGATAGTAAAATCAAAGAACAGTAAAATCAACGTTTTTAAAGTAACCACAAAATAATGTAGTTTAATCCAGCCTCTTATCTGAGGCTTTAATCTCCATTTCCACATACCCATAAAGGGTTTGATAAACTACAAGCTCAAAGACATAAAGGGAAGAGAAACAGTTTTTCTTTCTATGCTTACTCAAAGATTTGCCATACTACAACTTCAGCTTAATGGTCCTATTCCAGCTTTTGAGCCTAACAAAATGCTACTAATTTCTCCTTCCTATCAATCTTATGAATATTTGAACAAAGGCATTATATCTTCTTTTTATACACAAATATTTTCAGATTTCTACAACAGAACATGTTTTTAATTCCACTTACCATCCTAGTCCATCTTCTGTAGTCTAACCTTTGTGATCAGCAGAGCTGAGCCGAACTATTTCTTCCATTAGGAACTTTTGCTTTTCTATCTCTGAAGTATAATATCACATTAATTTTACCCACATGTTGCATTGTCTTGCACTTATTTCTCCTAAAGCTTCTATTGCCGACAGAATAATGCCTCCTCCTCAAATATGTCATACCCTATTCCCCAGAATCTGCAATTGTTACCTTACATGGCAAACAGATTTTGCAGATGTGATTAAATTAAATAGCTTGAGATGGGAAAAAATTCCCTGGGTCATCTGGCGGGCCCAATGTAATCTTAAAGGTCTTCATTAGCAGGAAGCAGTGGGATCAGAGTCAGAGAAGGAATCACGGAAGCAGAAAGCAGAGCGATATACTGCTGATATCCAGTGATATATTGCTGGAGGGATGCCAGCAGCCAAGGAATGCAGGCAGCCTCTAGAAGCTGCAAAAGGGAAAGAGGGATTTCTCCCTCTCAGCCTCCAGAAGGAACACAGTGCTGCTGACACATTGATCTTTTTCTCATTAAGACTCATTTGGGGGTTTCTCACTTCCACAATTGTAACATAATAAATTTGTCTTCTTTTAAGCCATTAAATGTATAGTAATTTATTATAGCAGTGTTTGGAAACTGACACAACTCCTAAGTCATCTTCATTAATATTACTTCTAAGCCATGTGGTACTTAGGCAGTTCTTAAGAACTCCATACAGCCAGTTACATTAGCTATGTTTAAATTTTATATTATGTATTCATTCTATTTCTCTGTTACTTTAATACATTTTAAATGCTCACTTTTTACCTTATTTACTAGCCTCATCACTTTTGTTCCTTCTGAAAATTTGGTACACCAACCCAATTATATGGTTTGGATCTGTGTCCCTGTGCAAATCTCATCCTGAATTGAATCCCCAGTATTGGAGGGGGTAGTGGTGGGAGGTGATTGAATCATGGGGCCATATCTTCCTCTCAGTGCTGCTCTTGTGACAGTAGTGAGTGCTTGTGAGAAAGTACATGGCACCTTCTCCATCTCTTTCTTGCTCCTGCTCCAGCCACGTAAAATGTGCCTGCTTCTCCTTCGCCTTGTGCCATGATTATAAGTTTCCTGAGGCCTCCCCAGAAGCAGAAGCTGCTATATGCTTCCTGTACAGCCTGCAGAATCACAACCCAATTAAATCTCTTTTATTTGTAAATTACCCAGTCTCAGGTATTTCTTTATAGCAGTGCCAGAACAGACTAATACAGAAAATCAGTACTGATGAGTAGGGCATTGCTATAAGGATACCTGAAAATGTGGAGGCAACTTTGGAACTGGGTAATAGGCAGAGGTTGGAAGAGTGTAGAGAGCTCAGAAGAAGACAGGAAAATGAGGGAAACTTTGGAACTTCCTAAAGACTTAAGTTGTTAAGTTGTTGTGACCAAAATGCTGATAATGATATGGACAATAAAGTTCAGGCTGAGGAGGTCTCAGATGGAAATAAGGAACTTATTGGCAACTGGAGTAAATGCCACTTTCACTATACTTTAGCAAAGAGACTGGTGGCACTGTGTCCTAGGGATCTGTGGAAATTTGAATTTGAGAGCGATAATTCAATGTATCTGGTGGAAGACATTTATAAGCAGCAAAGGGTTTAAGATGTGACCTGGCTGCTTCTGATAGCCTATTCTCATATACATGAGCAAATAAATGATCTGAAACTAGAACTTATGTTTAAAAGGAAAGCAGAGTGTAAAAGTTTGAAAAATTTGCAGCCTATCCATGTGGTAGAAAAGAAAAGCCCATTTTCAGGGGAGGAATTAAAGTCAGCTGCAAAATTTGTATAACTAAAAAAGAGCCAAGTGCTAATATCCAAGACAATGGGGAAAAGGCCTTGAAGACATTTCAGAGACCCTCGTGGCAGCCTTTCCCATCACAGGCCCAGAGGCCTAGGAGGGACAAATGGTTTTATGGGCAAGGCATAGGGCCCCACTGCCTTGCACAGCCTTGGGACACCACTCCCTGTATCCTTGCTGCTCCAGCTCCAGCTGTGGCCAGATACAGCTCAGGCCACTGCTTCAGAGGGTACAAGCTATAAGCTTTGGTGGCTTCCATGTAGTGTTAAGCCTTCAGGTGCACAAAATGCAAGAGTCGAGGCCTGGGAGCCTCCACCCAGACTTTAGAGGGTGTATGGAAAAGCCTGGATGTCCAGGAAGAAGCCCGCTGCAGGGGTAGAGGCCTCCTGGACAACCTCTACTAGGACAGTGTGGAGGGGAAAATGTGGGGTTGGAGCCCCCATACAGCAGCCTCACTGGGGCACTGCTTAGTGGAGCTGTGAGAAGAGGGCCACCATCCTCCAGACCCCAGAATGGTAGATCCACTGACAGTTTGCACTACACATCTGAAAAAGTCACAGGCACTTAATACCAGACTGTAAAAGCAGTTATGGGGATGGAACCCTGCAAAGCCACAAGGATAGAGCTGCCCAAGGCCTGGGAAGCCCACCTTTCATATCAGTTTGTCCTGGATTTTGGACATGGAGTCAAAGGAGATTATTTTGGAGCTTTAATGTTTAATGACTGCTCTGCTGGGTTTCAGACTTGCATGGGACTTGTAGCCCCTTTCTTTTAGCCAATTTCACTCTTTTGGAATGGGAGTATTTACCCAATGCCTATACCCCCCATTGTATCTTAGGAGTAACTAACTTGTTTTTTATTTTACAGGCTTATAGGTGGAAAGGACTTGTCTTTTCTCAGATGAGACTTTGGACTTTGGGGAGAATGCTGAAAGGAGTTAAGACTTTGGGGTTTATTGGGAAGGCATGATTGAATTTTGCTATATGAGAAAGACATAAGATTTGGGAGAGGCTGGGGTGGAATGATAAGGTTTACATCTGTGTCTCTGACAAATCTCATGTAGAATTGTATTCCTTAATGCTGGAGGTGGGGCCTGGTATCAGAGGTGATTGAATTATGAGGGCAAACTTCCTCTTTGATGCTGCTTTCATGATACTGAGTGAGTGCTTGCAAGATCTTGTTGTTTAAAAGCGTGTGGCACCTCCCCATTCTCTCTCTTGCTTCTGCTCTGTTCATGTAAAATGTGCCTGCTTCTCTTTCACCGCCTTCCATAATTGTAATTTTCCTGAGGCCTCCCAGTGGCAGAAGTTGCTATGCTTCCTGTACAGCCTGCAAAACCATGAGCCAATTAAACCTCTCATGTTTTTATAAATACCCCAGTCTCAGGTATTACTTTACAGCAGTGCAAGAACAGATTAGTACACTTATATTATGTAACTACCATGACATAATCAATGTTTATTTTACATAATCTGCCACCTGCATTGATTGGTCTCTGCCTCTGAGGAAGGACATAGCTGTGAACTGCTGTTACACTCTCCTGCCTCCCACTATAGCATAAAGGAGAGAGTTCTAGCTCCCCTTAACCTATCAGCATTGGAAAAAGTAAGAAGAAATAAAGAAGTGCTGTTTTCCATTAGGATTCTAAGAATCCAGAATCACATCAAAAATACAAGGTCACCACTCTTTACCAAATCTCCAAATGGAAAATAATAGTAATAGCAAAATGTTCTGTAAGTAAAAATAACCTGATATATCTGAAATGAAATTTAGAATTTAGGTATAATATGACTTAATCATATGCCATATGTTAAGCACTGTAAGAAGCATGGATTATCATGCTTAAACTCCACAACTTCCACCCAGTTTGGTAGGTGCTATCTTCATATATAGAATTCATAACTTGTGCTAAAACACCAATTTGCCTAACAATAACATTGCTAGCTAGTAAATGTTGGAGGTGTGAATCAAACCCTCTTGATATTTTACCTTTATAAAACATTGTATCATAACCTTGTGAATAAAAATACTTCAAACATATTAATATTCGGATTTTTCTAGCAAGAAAATTGAGACGTTTTGTTACTAAACCCAAATAGAATTCCAAGGTTTTAAATTAGAAATATGCAATAGAATAACAAATGTTTCTCAAAGCATTAAAACACTAGCAACTTAAAATAGAAATGTCAACCATTACCTATTTTTATAGGAATTATTTTGCTAAGAAATTCTTGGTCAGTTGGTGAGCTATCAATCAAATCTTACTCCTAAAGTTGACCTATAAAACTCAGCTAAAAAAAATTGTTTTAGTGTCATTATGAATTAAAACACTTTTAAGGTGACATGCATGTCTAGGAAAAAATAAATGTTGTGAATAGAACTTTCATCAATATTAATTTACATGTATGAACCTTTATCTTTAAAATGTTCAGGTCACTGTAATTATTTACCTTAATTCTTTAGGAAATAGAATTTAAATTTTAAAAAATAGATGTACTGCAACACGAGTCAGATATTATTAGGTAGTGCTCCGTGAACAATTAGTTGCTATGCAACAACCTTTAAACAGTAACTGAAAATGACGTTTTATAAAATAAGATTCTTTTATATTCTAGCTGAACTGAAGCCAGGCATATATAAATAAGATGTGATTAATCTTACCTTGATTCGAATTTGATTTGTGTGCACCTTTAATATACCTTGGTTACATGAAGGAAAAACACTTCATTTGACTATAAATCAAATACCATTATAAGCTTTGAATGTGTGTCTGTCTATACAAAGACAGAAGAAGACAATGGGAATAGTGGTGTTTAGTGTTTATTTATCATCCATCCCTGAGAAACTCAATACACTACAAAATTATATTCTCTAAAAAGTAAGATATCTTTACTTTAACAAAAAAAAAAATTCTGGTAAATATTATTATCAACTCAAAATATCAATTCCTAAGAGGAAAATATAAAGACATCATTTATAATCGGCATTATTGAAGCTAGCACCAATTTATAAAAGAGGAATATGTGCAAATCTACTTATGTGTCAGGATTTGGAAAAAATTAGGTATTGATTTTTAGTAAGAGGATATCCATAAGATATCTCAGCTTCTGGTCTGAAATCAGATGCCCTATTACTATTATCTAAAGGCATGTTCTAGAGGTATCTCCACAACCATAGTGATCAGTTTCACACCTAACTATTGTGTCAGCATGACTGCAAATTCAGAAAGTATTACAATGGTAGTTCTCTTGCTTTCTGTTATCCACAGTAATTTTTCCTTCTGGAAAAATATGATTTTCTTTCTTCTGATTGTTATGGTCTGAATGTTTACTCCTTCCCTCAAGCCCCCACAATTTATAGACTGACATCTACTACTGAATGCAGTAGTATTAAGAGGTGGGATCTTTGTAAATTGATTAGGTTGTGAGGACTTCACATTCGTAAGTGGGATTTGTGCCCTTCTAAAGGAGACCCAAGGAAGCTCATTGGTCCTTTCCACCAGGTAAAGATGCAACAAGAGGGTGCTGCGTATATAGCAGAGACCAAGCCCTCAAGAGACAACGATTTGCTGGTGCCTTGATCTTGAATTTCCTATCCTCCACATCTATGTGCAATAAATTATTGTTGTTTATAAATTACCCAATCTGAGGTATTTTGTTTTAGCAGCTTGAATGAATAAAGACATTGATGTATACATGGATAAGTGGACGAAAGAAAAATATACAGATAATTTATGTTTAAATTTTATTTGATGAATCAAATAATGATGCAAATCAAACTGAATTAGAGATGAAGGGTATATAATTGTAGGAGTTCCAAAAGAGCAGAGAATTTACTTGCTTGTATGTTTGGTTGTTTGTTTTGTCAAGACTGCCTTGAAATGATTTCTCAAAAAACGAATAGGTAGAGTGGAATTCTAGTTTATACTACAGCATTTGGATGGTGAAGATATTCCTATTAAGGAGAATTACATGAGCAAAAATATAGTGTCACAAAAGAGAAAACCACGCTTGAGAGCAGTGAATAAATTGTCTTTCCTGGAATGAAATGTTCATGCTGATTAAAAGAGGGTGATATGGTTGGAAAGTCTGGAAAAAGACAGTGTAGGACTTTGATCATAGAGTAAGAATTGCATAATGATTTAGAAGAAAAAGAGAGAAAGAAAGAGAAGAAAGGGAGGAAGGAAGAATAATAAATAGGAAGGAAGGAGCACAGGAAGGGAGTAAGTGAAAGAAACAGAGAAAGGAGGCGGGGAGGGAAAGAATGAGGAAGAGACAGAACAAGACAACAAAAAGAAGAGATTATGAGTTAAAAAAGGAGATATCAGAAAGTAAATGGCCTTCATTAGAGTCCTGCTGTGTGCCAATCACTGTAATAGATTATTTTATGCAATCTAGTACTCGTGATCTCTATAGACACATTCACACTATAAATATTTTAAATTCAGAGAATTTACCTACTATGTTTAAGCCACAGTGTAAACAAAAATCAATATTTGAATTCAGTTTTAATTACAAATTGCAAACTTTTTTATTATGGCTTGCTACCTCTCACTGTAATGTGCGGGTAAGATTTTTGTGAGTGTGAGATAGAAATATCATATAATTATATTAATGACAGCTTTTCCAACTACAGTCATATCAGCATTTAACTTGTTCCCTTGTCCTAAACTACTAACAGGCATTGAGAAAAAATACTTTATATTAAAAACCAAACGTTATTCCAAGTCATGTCTGAGAGTGGCTTTAGCAAACCTTATGCAAAAGGGTATCCAGCATAAGGGTATCCAGCATAAGGGCCAGCATCCTTCAAGATTTCACAGGATTGACTAAGAATGACGATTTTTCTTAACTCAACCACCTGCTCATGGAGAAAATCATGGCCCAAACCGCACTCAGATTCCCTTGTTATATATTCATTTTATCAGTTCAAGACCTTTGGAATTTTCTCAAGGGTTTCTTCTAAATTAAGAGACCAGAAAACTGTCCTTTGACTTTATGATCTTCATATCACCACTTGCCTAAAAATTGTATTCAGAAATGGAGACCAGAAGTAAGAAATAAAATATAGAAGATACAGAGATGTATTCTGAAATGCCATTGATTTTCCCAAGCCATATCATATCTGTGTATAACTCAGATCAGGCCAGCAGGGATTATGACAGTCTATGGATATCCCTCACCTGAGAATTTGGAGTCGCATGCAGCCAAGGATCAGGAGAGTCTTCAAATTTTCAGGTGAAACCAAAACCTGGTTTAACCTCTATAAACCATGGAATCATTTACTGCCATTGCCTCTTTTCTATTTTCTATTACAAACAACTTCTCCCTGAGATGACTAAAGCTTATCATTTTCCTCTTCTTTTCTAAACATATTTAGGCTAAATATATTTAGCTAAAAGGATTCCAGTTTTCATTCAAGTAAGTTACTAATTGAGACTTGGGTCTATGCCATTTCAATTTGCAATGAATTGCCCTATTTTCTTAGCAAGTTATCTTTACTTCACTCTAGGTAGATATCAGTTACTACATCTGACTATAATTGAGTATTCCACAGATAATCATCATTCACTTATAGGAGACTTTTTCACCTTCCTTCTGAAGAAGAGAAATAAAATTTTATGAAGTTATTGTCATATTGCTTTTTAAAATACATCTACCTTTCTTAAGGGAAGTGATTGTCTTCATTGATCAAAAAGAAATCATTTGATTTGTAACTTGACCCAAAATATTTAGCATCATTGACCAGTCCCTTTCTGAAATTCTCCTGTTTTTTAAGACATCATTTGTCTGTCTCCCTGTCTTTCTGATTGCTCTTCCCCAGGGGATTTTGTAGATGTTCTTCATACACATTCCTTTAAATGCGATTTTGTACCCCCCTCCATAATCTGCCTTAGAACCTTTTCTCTTCTTTCTAGAAATATATTCCTTGGATGACAAGCAAGCCTCATAGTTTCAGCCACAACCAAGCTAATATTAAGCTAATATATTTAAAATCTACATCTGTATCTAAATCTCCCCCCAAACTCTCTGTATACATTACTCTCTAGTCTTGGACAGCTAACAGGCAGCTCAAACTCCTCATCATGTCACTCAGTTGAGGATGTCTCCATAGTTTTCACCCAGAGATAAAATGTATCACTTGATATATAT
This sequence comes from Homo sapiens, assembly GCF_000001405.40. Classification (NCBI taxonomy): domain Eukaryota; kingdom Metazoa; phylum Chordata; class Mammalia; order Primates; family Hominidae; genus Homo; species Homo sapiens. The sequence continues at coordinate 160,103,496 of NC_000004.12, read as the reverse complement.
CTGTCTCCTTATTCTCTCCCCCGCCAATTACAATATCAACTATTACATGATAGTTCTAGTTTTAGTTTCTTGAGAAATTTTCATATAGTTTTCACAGTGGCTGTACCAATTTACATTCCCACCAACAGTGTTGAAGGGTTCCATTTTCTTCACACCTTTGCCAACATTAGTTATCTATTGTTTTGTTTGTTTGTTTGTTTGTTTGTTTCATAAAAGCCATTATAACCGGTGTGAAGTGATATTGCATTGTGGTTTTGATTTGCATTTCCCTGATGGTTAATGATGTTGAGCAACTTTTCTTACCATCTATATATCTTCTTTGGATAAATATCTCTTCAAGTCACTTGTCCATTTTTTAGTCAGCATATTATGATTATGATTATGACAATCATTGCTTTTGAGCTGTAGGAGTTCCTTACATATTTTCAATATTAACCCTTTATCAGATATATGGCTTGCAAATATTTTCTCCCATTCTGTAGGTTGCATTCGGTTAATTATATTCTTTGATGTGCCAAGGCTTTTTAGTTTTATGTAATCCCACTTGTCTATTTTTGCTTTTTTATGCTTGTGATTTTGGTGCCATTTCCAAGAGATAATTACCAAGGCCATTGTCCAGAATATTTTTCCTTAAGTTTTCTTCTAGATGTCTTATAGTTTCAGGTCTGCCATATGATCCCTCAATCTCACATGTGGACATATATCCAAAGGGAATAAAATTATGATCCTGAAAAGATATCTTCTCCCCTATGTTCACTGTAGCATGGGATGCTACCTAAATGTCTATCAACCAATGAATAGATTTTTTTAAATGTGGTAAATACATAAATGGATTATTATTCAGACTTGAAAAATAAGGAAATCTTTCCATTTGTGACAACATAGATGAACATGGAGGATAATATACTTAAGTACGATAAGCCAGACACAGAACAAAAACTACTACGTGATACCATTTATATGATGGGTGTAAAATAGTCAAACTCAGAGAAGCTGAGAGTGGAATGGTGAATGGCAGGGGCTAGGGGGTGGGGGAAATGGAAAGGTATTAGTCAAAGAGTGCAATGCTTCAGTTATACAAGATAAATAAGTCCTAGAGATCTACAGTACAACATAGTGTCTATAGTAAACAATATATATTATACGCTTTAAAATTTGCTAAAAGGGTAGCCTTATGTTGTGTTCTTATCACAGAATTATAATAATAATGTTCATGGTAATAGTATTTATAAATGAGAGGGCAAAGAGCAACTTTTGGAGGTGATGGATCGATTTATGACACAGATTGTAGTGATGATTTCATTGAGTCTATACTTATCTCCAAAGCGCTTAAGTTGCATACCTTCATTATGTACAGATTTTTCTACGTCAAAATCCATTTTTAAAAAAAGAAAAGAAGAAGAAATGGTATGACAGTTCATAAGAAGAAATTACATCCAGTTAGGGGAACAAGTATTAGAGAAAGTTTTAGTAGAAGTAGATGATAAGCTATTTGCAGAAATTTGCAATAAAAGTTACTTGTAACAAGTTTATTCTGTATATTCTTTTTAAAAATTAGTATATTTTAAAATGTTTGAGCTTTTTTTCTAGCACTAAAGAAAATAAAAGGTTCCTGCCTCAAGTTTTGTTTACATTCCCTTAATGTATAAGGTCTTTTTGTAAAGGTTAATGTCATTTCAAAATATTAGCATCCCAAGGCAAAATTCTGACAAGACCGTAGTTTTCCCGAATGAAAATTTAAAAGCTACTTTTAAGTGGCAACTCAGTAAATGAGAGCTAGCTTGTATAATGTGTGGTAATTTTAGATAAAAACGATAATGTAAAAAAGTAAAGTAAAGCAAGCAGACATATATATGTTAATAAGAATACAGAGAAACGATCTCTCATATACTACTGGAGAAAATATGTAAGTTTATTTGAAAACTAAGCATACAACTATCATACAACCAGCAATTATACTCTTTCACATTTACCCTAGAGAAATATGAGTTCATGTTCACACAAAAATATATACATGAATGTCTATAATAGCATTATTACATGGAATTATTATAGAATTCATGTACATAATTTTGTGTGAACATGAATTCATATTTTATTATATATATGTGTGTGTATATATATATATATGTGTGTGTGTGTATATTTATATGTGTGTGTGTATATAGATATATATATATATAGCCACAAACTGGAAACAAGCCAGACGTCCTTCAATAGGTGAATGGTGAAACTGTGGTGCACCTGTACTGTGAGATACTATTCAGCACTAAAAAGGAATGGACTACTGCAGCAACCTGAATTAATCTCCAGAGAACAATTATTTAGCACTAAAAAGGAATGGACTCCTGCAGCAACCTGAATTAATCTCCAGAGAAAAATGCTCAGGGAAAAAAGACAATCACAAAAGGTTACATGCTCTGTGATTCCATTTATATAAAATGATTGAAATGGCAAAATTATAGGATGGAGAACAGGATTGCCAGTGGTTACATGGGGAGTGGGAGTTGGAAGGTAGTGGGTGTGAGTGTAAAAGAGCAAGATAAGGAATCCTCCTTGTGATGCAAATGTTCTGCATCTTGATTGTATCAGTCAATATCCTGGTTGCAGTATCATGCTAGTTTTGCAAGAGGTTACCATGAGAGGAAACTGGGTAAAGGGTGTACAAAATCTCTCTGTATTATTTCTTAAAATGGTATGTGAACCTACAATTGTCTCAAAACTAAAAAATGTGATTTTATAAAAAAAATTAAAGGCTATTAAGGAGCAATGGTATGATTCTCAATAGACATTTATAAGAAAAATAATTTTGATATAGCAAGGAAGAGAGAAAAGATATACAGCAAGAATGAAGTGGTAGAAGATACCCAATTGCATTTACAAATATCAGCTGATGTTATAACTCACATATCTACTCCCAGTACCAAGGAGTATCTGATGATTTATTCCACTGTCACATTCAACCACACCCAAAAGGGACAATTTCTTATCAAGATGACAAAGAGGAAAATAATCTCTTGCATTCCATTTCAACCCACAAGCTAATTAAATATGAGAGATAGAAAGAAGGAAAATAATGTAAAATGTAAGAAGACAGGGGAAATGCAATAAGGTACAAAGAAAAAAACTGTAAGACATTTCTTATTTATTCGGCATCATGTATCAACTGGCAGATTTTCTTATAGACTTGTATCAAGAGGCCACAGTCTAGCACTTGTTTAAGAGAGAAAATCACTGTATTTTATAAAGCTAAATATATAAGCAGAAAACTAGAAACTTTAGTTGTTTCTAACTAACAGAGAAGCTTTAAGGGAGCAGTAATGAAACAACAGGCCTAGTGTGTTACAGGTTAATGAATTGCTGATCTAGCTAGTTCAATCAAAGTAGGCCAATATTGATGTCCCTTTAGAAAGACAGGTGGGATATTGCATGTGCCATTCAATGTAATGAATTGTCAGGGAGAGAAAAAAATATCCAGTATGTGTATAATCATTTATGATCAGTGAAGGGAGAAACTAAATTATAAGAAGATGTATTTCAATTCAGCTAAGAAATAAGCAAGGACATTTTTGAGTATACAAAAGTGTTTTTTTAATAATCAATTATTTTATAGAAATTAGCTATTTTTCAAAGTGACTCATACATTGGGTCTGAATACAGGCATGCAGTATGATGAACTCATTAAAACATGAAAAAAATAGATTTTCAATTCACTAACGAAAAAAAGAGGAGATGAGAGCAATTCCAGATCTAAGCAGAATTAGAACTGAATCTGAAGTTTCTAGGAGTAGAGTAATGACATCCAAGGCTGTGTACGTGCATTTTTGCAGCTTACATGTCTGGCATAAAACAAGCAAATGCTCACTATGTGCTTAAATAAAGGAAAAGGAAACAACTAAAAATTCTAAAAAACTAAGACTTCTAGAGCAAGGGTATGTGCTAAGGACGTTTATATTTCCAGTTACACTTACATTTCTCATTTACATTAATCCTCATGCAAATCCTGCAAGGTAGATATTATTATGCCCATCTTTAAAAGAGAAACCTGAGGCTCAAAAAAATATGGTAGCTTCCCAAAGTCAATATGGCTTGTAGATGGCAGAAATGGGCATATCCTTTTTTATGTATGTATGGTTTCAAATTCTATTCTCTCTCCCTCTCCTTCTCTCTCATTAAATTGCTACAAAATTCATTGCATATTGACAAGAGATGTAAGAAAATGTTTTAGAGCAGACATTCCCTAGATCTCCAAGTAGGTCAGTTTCCTTGGTGACATCAACATATCAAATTAAATGGGAGATAGGTACTAAAAATGTTATTAAAAATTTAATTTTTTTTAATTGGAGGTCAGGGTAAAATGAAGGATGAGATTACTTGTCATTTTCATTAAAAATATTTCTTCTCACCTCCTCTAACCTTTCTCCATGGAAATAATATATTGAACTTCATTTCAGCATTTAGTAAAACAGCTATGAAATAGCATTCTATTTCACAGTAGGCTAATGAGGAAAGATGTGTGTTGTAGGAAAAAAAAATGGGCAAAGACAAAGAACAAGCCAACAATTAATACTGACAGAAAAGAAATGACTAGAGAATTGATCTGGGTTGGAAGTGTTCCAAGGATTGATATCAGTGGTAGATCCCAGTACCCTTAGATCCTTACCCTTATTGTCTCTCAAACTACACACAGAATTCACAAACCTGAACTAACAACACCCAACATATGGGTACTACTTTCTCAGGAGAGCTCTTAGAAGCCATAACCACACTTCCCTTGCCCAGCAGGTCATAGAGTTGGGATCCATCTCTATGATGTGCCAAGAGAATTGTCCCATTAAAAATACAATTAATCATGGCATTTTATTCATTCAACACAGTTTATTAAGTGTCATGTAGCAGGCTGTGTTCTGCATGCTGCATATATAAACTAAATAGAAAAAAACATTGCCTTCAAGGAGCTTACATTCTAATTGGAGAAGACAGAAAATAAGTCAAAGAAATAGCATAGGAAAGGAATGAAATGGGGCTAAAGACGAGTGAAACTTAGAATAGGTTCATGGGAAAGGCCTCAGTGATTAGCTGACCTTTGAATAAAAACCTGCGAGAAAGGAAGGATTGAGCCCTGTGGAAACCAACTGGAAATGCTTTTCAGGCAGAGGTAACAGTAAGTGCAAATGCTACAGTGAAATTGTGTTGGCTGTATTTGAGCCAGAGCAAGGAAACAAAGTGCATCTGGATATAACAATTGAGGATGGAGTAAGACAAGATCAGCTCAGAGGGGTAAGAATAGTCCAGACCCTGTAGGAATTTATTGGCCCTTATATAGATGTTGACTTGGAAATCAATAGATTGCTCTGCAGAAAGAAGTGATACAATCCAACTTCAGTTTTAAGAGATCATCCTGGCTGCTGTGTAGAAATTAGTCTTTTCAAAGGTAAATGTGAAATCAGATTAAGACCCTTGTGTGCTATCCCAGAGGTGAGAAAATGGTGATAGAATGGAATGGAAATAGAATAGAAATAGGATGGAAATGGAATAGAAAGCAATGGAAGCTGTGAGAACGTTTTGAAAGATTTTGATAGATTTTTTAATTTTGCTGGGAAAAAAATTGAGGAGTCAATATTGATGTCGAGTTTTTGTGGCTTTCTAGTACTGATCAACATTTCATCAGAATCCTGGAATTGATCCTTATTTTTGCTGCAAATTCAGAGAAGTTGGCCTTCTCTTTGTTGAGTGGGTCATACTTGCTGGTATTCCCAACTACAGTTTGTTTTTTTGTTTTTTTTTTTTAAGAAAATTAACAACAAAATGTAATTACCAACAATATAGCAGAAGATGGAGGAGCACAAAACAACAGTGAAAAGAAAAGTAAACTGAGTTATCAGTTAGCTTAAGACAGATTCATAGTACATGAAAAATTTTACATGGGATTCCAACCGTAATTTAAATCACCTTTAAACTGGTCTCTTTACAAACATTCTTGCCACCTCTTCAGTCTTTTTAACATGTTGCAGCATTCTTTAAAAATATTAATTGGACAGTCACTCTTCATATCCTTCACAATCTCTTAATCACTCTCCATTGCAATTAGAATAAAATCTTGACATAAAGTTCATGATTTTGTCTAACCTGATTCCCACCTACTATTTCAGGTTCATCTGGCCCCATTTTTGTGGACATTGGCCCTTCTTTCAGCTGTGAAATCATCATGCTCCTTTGCCACTCTGGATCATTTTGTGCGCTGCTTCCTAGGTCTACAAAGTTCTGCCCCGCTCTTCTCCTCTCTTCCCCTTCCTTAGTCAGATCCCCTCATCTGAGTAGGGCATATCATTTTTTGAAATATTAACTCAAAAGTCACATCTTCAGGACAAAGTATCAGAATATATTACACTCTCATATTACAGAATTTAATGATATCTTTTGTTTCTTTTTTATACTTACTGTTTTGTAATTATATATTTATTTGTGTGATTATTTGATTAAATTTTCTGGAGGTACACAAGGCAAGGATAGGTAAACCAGATAAACATGAAACAGAAGATAAAATTGACTTAATATGTCTTAGGAGTAGGCAGTTGCTTAGTGAATCAATCATACACAGTGCAAAAGGAGAAAAAAAGGCATAAAAGCATGAGAACTTATTAAATTTGGAGATCAAGAGACACTGTCCTTGGGTTTATTGTGCCCTGCACCCATTCTCTATTTCTCTCTTGCCACCAGCACAGGACAACTAAGATAAGAGCATTGTCTTTGGACATGAGATTTACTTGTCAGATACTGTTACCTCTGATTTATCTTTCTGGATACAGGGATTATTCAATGAATTGCTACCATGGTAATAAGACATAAAGTGAATGAAAATAACTAACAAAGGTATCCTAACTTTTGGTTTGTAAGAAAGTGTTTCAGAAGACTTTAAAGATTCCTGGCTTTCTTTATCCTTGTTTTTGCATACCATTCTTAAGTTGTTTTTATAATTCTTTAAAGAAGGTAACCAAAAAACAAAGTTAAAGAATTAAATAAAAAGTGTATATATTTATTCCTTTCAAAGAAAGGGAAAAAAATCACACATTAACCTATGATGAATAAAGGTCCTATTGTTGCAGCCTGTATTGTGTAGGGAATGGCAGGGTGCTCCACTGACTTAGCTAAGAAGGAGTTGTAACCAAGAAACCTGTCATAAAATAGCACAGCACCTGAGAGAGATCAATGTAGGAGTGTTCATTAAACTAAGACAAGAAATATTGATCTGCAGGGGAGGAGAAGAGCCGCAGGGGACATTACAGTGGTGCGAAGGCAGGAAGGAGAACAGAGATGAGTGAACTAAACTGTGTTTTCATTCTTTCTCCTTTATCCAAAGTAGAGTTTGCAATGTAACTATTATAACATATAAAAAAAAAAAGAAATCAAGTACCAGAAAAACAGTGGACTCATGCAGTCTGTAGAGAAGGATATAAAAGTGTTCAGCAAAACACACATTCAACTGAAGATGTTTTTATATGCTTTTGGTTCAAAATATAAGCATTATTTTCATAATGTTTTAGATTTATTTCATTTGGACAGTGTTGATACTTAAAAGATATTCTTAACTGCACAGCCAAGACATTTAAAAATTAGAACAACACTCCTTATGAATCTCAGAAATTGAGAAAAAGTAATAATACAGCACAAATAAATAGCAAAAAAAAAAAAAAAACACTTCATTTTTTAAGATGGGAATAGTCCATGGGCTAGGAAATCACCCCTACTAACATTTATTTGCACTTACCTACTAGAAAAGAAAGTTAATTCGTTACTCACTAAACATGACCTACCACTTAGTAATACTAATTATAAATACTACTAAACTATCCTGACTAGCAAAAAACTGAAATAATTGATTATTTGATAAAAAAGATTTCTTGAAGGAAATAGCCACTTATTCTTTCACTCAATAAAGATATGTTGCCTATGTTGTCATATTGATTATAAGCACTCTGCTGAGTTTGATCTTCAAGTTAAATTCAAATTTCAGAAGCAAATGTAGGCCAGTCTGCCTGGAATTTATACACACACACACACACACACACACACACACATATATATACACATATATATTTATGATTATTGGATTAAGTTTTTTCTGTAACCATTTTATAACATATACTTTATATATATACTATACATATACTTTTTCCTATAATAGCATATCGTATACATAGTATACTAAAAGGTATATATACTATATATAATATATAACCAAATAATCATAAAAGTAAATATATAATTACAAAAGATACATGTATAAAATAAAATCACAACATATTAAATAATATGACAGGAGAGTGTTATTTTTTTCTGAGGATGTGACTTTGAGTTAACATTTGAAAACTTGGTAGGTGTTATCCAGATGAGGGGATCTGGCTAGAGAATGGGAAGAAAGGAAGGGCTTTGTAGACTTAGGAAGCAGCACACAAAATGATGTGGAGTGGCAAAGGAGCATGATGATTTAACAACTGAAAGAAGAGTCAAAACCTACAAAACTGGGGTCAGATGAGGCTGGAGTAATGGCTGGGAGTCAGGTTAGACAGAATTGTGAACCCTGTTTTAAGATTTTATTCTAATTGGAATGGGGAGTGATTGAAAGATTTTGAGGGATGCAAAGTGTTGCTATCCAATTAATACTTCTAAAGAATGATGCAAGACATTGAGAAGACTGAAGAGGTGGCAAGAGTGTAAAGAGACCAGTTTAAAGTCTATTTCAGTAAAATAAGCATGAGACAATGGTGGCTTGAATGAGCACAGTGGCAGTGGAATTACTAAAAGTAGTTGGATCAGAAAGTCCGAGCTGGGAGAGATTTTAGAGATCATCATATTTGTATTACTTATTTGTATTAATAAGTGTTAAATCAATATCCGTTAAAAGAATAGCAAGGATGAAAGATAGGAGGCAGGGAAGCAAATAATGACATTAATTTTTAAATAAACATTTGTGGAGCAAAAAATGATGTGGGAAGGAAGAAGGAAAGAAGGAAAGGAGAGAGGGAGAGAAGAAGAGAGGGAGGAAGAAGGGAAGTAACGCTGTGGCAATTTGGCAGAAAATTACATTACATTTCAGATCAAATTTAAAACCTACAGCATCTCCCAAATATTTGTGAAATTTACACATACAGATATTACATTCACTTTTTCTAAGATATCTCTTAGTTTCACCAAAAAAATTAAATACCTAAGGTTGGTATGCTTCCAATTCTATCAACGTCAATACCCCAAACTATTTTGCCAGGAGAACACTGTATAAGTCATAACTGAAAATAAAATATCAAGATACTGGGTGACTTCTGATAGATAGCAGCAACCCACACATCACCTGAGAATAGCCCAATCAGAAATTAATCTTTTAAACAATTTATTTTAAATAAGAGATTTTAATTGTCATAAAAATAACTTGTTATCAACCAAAGAATGATCTTGATTCCTTTGCGAGCAACTCCCCCACATTCACTGGTAAAAGTTAAAGTCATTCCGGAAAAGAAAAAAACTATAAAAACAGTAAAAAAATCAATGGTTGCCAGGAGTGTAGAGGAGATAGAGAGGGATGATAGGTGGGGCACATGGGATTATTAGGGCAGTGAAATGATGCTATGTGATGCTGTAATGGAGGAAATATGTCATTAAACATTTATCAAAAGCCATAAAACATATAACACCAACAGTTAACCCTTCTGTAAACTATAGACTTAATTAATAATGATGTATCAATAGTGGCTTATCAATTATCACAACTGTACCACAGTAATGCAATATGTTAATGAAAAAAATTGTGTTGGGGGGTGAAGGAGTAGATGGGAACTCTAATTTCCACTCAATTTTCATAAGCATAAAACTTCTCTAAAAATTAGTGTCTATTAATTAAAGACAAATCAAAGTCATTACAATATTTCCATTTTGGTCAGCATCATAATAATTATATTTTGTCAGATAATAGTGAGCCCCAACTACTTGAAGTAAGAACATACAGAAATAAACACATTAAAAGTAAAGGAAGAAGAACAGTGACAAGCTAACCATGTTGGCATCTTGCACAGATCTAGAATTAAAGATGTGGTATTCTATTTTTATACCTAGAAAAATTCAATTTTGACAAAGCTGTCAGCTTTGGGAAGGCAGCTCATAACAACAGTGAATGGGTGAGATCTCATTACTTCGAAGTTCATACAACAAACAATACACCTGACAAGGGATTAATATCCAAACATACAAGGAACTCAAACAACTCAATAGCAAGAAAACAGTCAATTAAAAAATGAACAAAAGATCTGAATAGACATTTCTCAAAAGTAGGTATACAAATGGCCAAAAAGCATATGAAAAAGTGTTCGATATGACTAATACCTATCAATGCTTTTTCGGCCTTATCATTGTAAGAATAATACTTCATTAGTAAAGAATGTCATTGATTTTCAATTAAAATTCAATCAGAAGAGAGGTGAACTTAGGAAGGCCTAAAATATTTATCCAATAAAACCTTTTGTTCTGTCATCAAAGGGGACTTAACTTTCAACCACTTTGTTGACTTTGTTGCTATGTATGGCCAACCTGAGAGAGAAAAAGCAAACCATTTTAGACAGCCCTGATGTATAATCTTAAGTGTAGCATTAAAGAGATGGCGATATAGTTTGGATATTTGTCTTCGCCTAAATCTTATGTTGAAATGTAATCCCCAATATTAGATGTGCCTTGTGAGAGGTATTTGGGTCATGGGGCAGGACCCCTCATGGCTTGGTGTGATAGTGAGTGAGTTCTCATGAGATCTGGTTATTGAAAAGTGTGTGAAACTGCCCCCCGACTCTCTCTCACCCCTTTGCTTCTGCTTTTGCATGCGACATGCCTGCTCCCTCTTCACCTCCCTCCATGATTGTAAGCTTCCTGAAGCCTCTTCAGCCATCAGTTGCCAGCACCTCGTTTCCTATAAAGCTGCAGAACTGTGAGCCAATTAAACCTTTTCTTTGTAAATTACCCAGTCTCAGCTGGCTATTTCTTTATAGCAACAGAAGAACAACCTAACACAGATGGATAGTGTCTTTCACTTTTTTGTGCACTCCATCCAAAAAATGAAGTAAATCACCTTTTATTATTTTTGTTGTGCTGTGTTTTTACATGCTTGATTTTGCATTCACAAAAAACACACGCCATATAGAAAGGATGGTATAGGTGTTTTTAAAAATTGTTTTAATGTACTTTGGCCATCTTTATTCAATTCATTTATTTATAAAGGCTTTTAAATAAAATGTAGCTACTTTATTTCCATATAAATCCTCGATCATGCTCAAAGTTAAGTAAATACCTGTCAGACTGGAAAATATGAGTAGGGCCAACTCTGGGTCTAGGTTATCAAATAAGAAGTTATTTGGATATCCATGAACAAGATATTGTGATTCTCAAGGTTACACGAGTTATCTCACCACAACTGAAAGTCTGTAGAGTATTATATGAGAAATTATAATGGGGCATCTAAAGTTAGCAAAATATTTAGAAGCAAAGTAGAGAGAAGCATTAAATAGGCATTTTAAAGTATTTGTTATGTTCCAGATTCTGCCACATGGGTTAGGGAATTTTTTATTCACTGGACAAGCAGTTATTGCTCATCTACATTAAACCAAGAACAGGTCTAGACTTGAAAGATACAGCAGTAAACCACAAATCCTGCCCTTATAAGACTTGATGTTCTAGGAAGAAGAGGGACGCACAAATCAGGGAGTTGGTAACTATACACAAAAAATTTAACGGAGACTTCCCTCTGGCAGAGATGTTTGACCTAGGTCTATTGGATGGTCGTTCTGTAAGTGGAAAGGGCACACAGATTCATATATGCATGGATGGAAGGCTGGAAGAACATGGTGCATATGGAAAAGAGTGAATGGTTTGTGATGAGCATTGTATACAGGAAGAAAGTATGTGAGAAAAAGACCAGGAAGGTTAGCCAAGATTATGAAATTTATAATTTATCATAATGACAATACAGTCCATTGCATCTTTTTAATCCAGAAAGAAATATGATCAGTTTTGTTTAAATAGCATATGTATTGAATCTCAGAATGTGAAAATGAGAAGCTGTGAGCACTGTCAGGAAGAAAATACAATAGTCTAGGTGGAAGATAATGAGGGCCAGGCAAAGTAAGTCAGGTTCAGGCAATGAGGATACAGAAAAAAGAGTCACCTAAAAACAGAATATTAAATGTACAACCTGGAGCAGATGTCATGAGCCTGGGCTTAGAAAAAGGCAGCAGGATCTTGTCAAAAGAGTAACAAATAAAGCATGTGTATGTCACACAGCAACACAAACAACAGGAGGAAAACAATCCCCAGAAATGGGAATTGAATTTTTGTTAAGACTTAGAAGGCTGTCAGAGTGTATAGTCACTTGGAATATTACTTAAATAAATACTGTTATTTTATAACCTGAAACATCCCTTATATCTTTCAAGCTAGCCAGAAATGATCTAAAAAGATGTCAAAAAGACCCTGCAATGGCAGGAAAAGAAAAAAGGAAACAAAAAAATAGGGAAGGAAAAAGAAACTGAATGCAAAAGTGCATGGAGATTTAGAAGTGATTACCGACTCGCACAATCACACATGTACATCCTCTCATAACTGTGACAGGGTAGTTTCTGTTATACTCAACATCATTTTAAATGATACATGCATTTTTTTAGTATGTGTTCACTTTCTAACTCTCCACTCATCAAACTTCCAACATGTCTTCCCTTGTAGTTACTTTTTGATGATAGATTTCTTTCTTATTTCAGTGAGAAAAAATGAAAAATAGCAATTGCTCGAGCATCAGGAAATATTCTGTTAACTTTCTCATTATAATACAGCTTTCTCTTGACCTCAGATCTCTTTATAGCTATTCCCCCATTTCTCCACTCCTCTTAACTGAGGAAAAACAACTCAAAGGAGGTGCCTGTACTCATTGTCACCAATTCCTCTCCTGTCTTTCTTTCTTGAATCCACTTGTCAAGTTTTCTCCTCCACCACTATTCCAAAATTGCTACTGTCACAGACACTGATAGTGCTGCATTTCTAAACCCAAAGTCAGTTTTCAGTCTTCGTCCTACCTGGCCTGTCAGCAACTTCTGATACAACAAATAGTTACTTTCTCCCCAAAACATGTTCTTTTTTTTTTTTTTTTTTTTTCTAAGACAGTCTCACTCTGTTGCCTAGGCTGGAGTGCAGTGGTGCGATCTCGGCTCACTGCAACCTCAGCCTCCTGGGTTTAAGCCATTCTCCTGCCTAAGCCTCCTGAGTAGCTGGGATTACAGGCAGCCACACCATGCCCGGCTATTTTTTGTATTTTTAGTAGAGACGGGCTTTTGCCACGTTGGCCAGGTTGGTCTTGAACTCCTGGCCTCAAGTGATCTGCCCACCTTGGCCTCCCAGTTCTGGGATCACAGGCATAAGCCGCTGCACCCAGCCAACATGTTCTTCTTTTGGCTCCTGGGAACTCCTCTCTTCCATTTCACTTTTCCTCACGGGCTAATAGTTACTGTATTAGTCCGTTTTCACACTGCTGATAAAGACATACCTGAGGCTGGGTAATTTATAAACAAAAAGAGATTGAATGTACTCATAGTTCAACGTGGCTGGGGAGGCCTCACAATCATAGCAGAAGATGAAGGAAGAGCAAGGGATTTATTACATGGTGATGGGCAATAGACAGAATGAGAGTCAAGCAAAAAGGGAAACCCCTTAGCAAATCATCATATCTCCTGAGACTTACTCACTACCATAAGTACAGTATGGAGGAAACCGCCCCCATGATTCAATTATCTCCCACTGGGTCCCTCCTGCAACACATCAGAATTATGGGAGCTACAATTCAAGATGAGATTTGGGTGGGGACACAGCCAAACCATACCAGTTAGACACTTTTGTTGGCTCCTCCTTGTCAGCCTGATCTCCTTCTATAGGAGTGCTCCAGGACTTCAGCCTTGATCCTATTTTCTTTTCCATCCACATTTACTCCATTGGTGACCTGATCCAGTTTCTTGGCTTTAAAGAGCATCATCTGCTGATGATTCCTAAATCTATATCCCCAGACTGGACTGTTCTCTAACAAGAGGTTAGAACATACAACTGTCTACGCACAATTTTTATTCTGATGATTATATATATTGCAAACTCAACATATGTTATAAATAAATGTCTAGTTTATCTAAAAGTAAACCAGTTTCCCCTATACCCAATCCTTTTCATCTTAGTTAATGTCATCTCCATTATTCTGAGTGCTTAGGACAAAAACCTCAGAGACATCCTATCTTTCACACCAAAATTCAATTCTAAAAGCAAATCCTCTTGGCTCTATAGGCAAAATACATCCAGAATCTGACCATTTATCAGCACCTTTTCTGCCACCACCCTGTTGGAAGCCATCATGACCTTCCGCAACGTCCCATAAGTTTTAATATGTTCTTTCCATTTTTATTTGTTTCAAGGTATATTTTTATTTCTCTTTTGATTTTTTATTTGACTTAATGGTTATCCAGAATTGCATCGTTTAATTTTCACATATTTGGGAATTTTCTAATTTTCTTTCTGTCCCTGGTTTCCAGTTGTGTATACTTGTGGACAGAAAAGATACTTGATATATTTCAGTATTTTAAATTTGATAAGACTTTTTTTGTTGCCTAACATATGATTTATCCTGAAGAATGTTCTGTAAGTGCTTATAAAAAATGTGTATTCTGCTACTGTTGGGTGGAATGCTTTGTATATGTCTCATGGTCTCTTTTGCTTACCATTAGGTAGAATATTTTTTTTCTATCCCTTCACTTTAAGAGTATGTGTGCCCTTAACGCTAACGTGAGTCTCTCATAGACACTAAATATTGGATCTTGTTTTTTTTTTTTCTTTTAAATCCATTCAACCACTGTATGTCTTTTGATTGGCAAATTAAATCCTTCCACATTTAAAGTAATTATTGATAGACAAGGAATTATCTGAATAGCAAAAGCATCTTGAACAAAAAGAGCAAAGCGAGAGGTGTCACACTACTAGCTTTCAAAATGTACTAAAAAGCCATAGTAATCAAAACAGCATGGTATTCACATAAAAACAGATATATAGACAAATGAAACAGAATAGAGAGCACAGAAATAAATCCACACATTTTTGTTCAATTGATTTTTGATGAAGATGCCAAGAACACACAATAGGGAATGGACAGTTGCTTGAATAAATAGTACTGCAAAAACTGGATATTCACATATAGAATAAAATTGGACCCTTATCTCACACCATATGTAATAAACTCAACATGGATTGAAGACTTAAATCTAAAACTTGAAACTCTAAAACTACTGAATGAAAACATATGAAGAAGCTTCTTGACCTTGGTCTGGCCAATGATTTTTAAAATATTACCCCAAAAACAAAAGCTACAAAAGCAAAAAACAGACAAATAAAATTGCATGGAATTAAAAGGCTTCTTCACAGCAAAGAAAACAACAAAGACACAACTTAACAGAATAGGAAAAATATTTGCAAATCATACATCTGATAAAGAGTTAATATCTAAAACATATAAAGAATTCGAACAACTCAACAGCAAGAAAACAAACCAATTTAAAAATTGGTAAAGAACCTAAATAGACATTTCTCAAAAGAAGGCATATATATATGGCCAAGAAGTATAAGGAAAAATATATAACTATGTATTTCAACATCATTAATTATCAGAGAAATGCAAATTTCCCTGTTAGAATAGCTATTACCAAAAAGATAGATAACAAGTGTTGGCAAAATGTGGAGAAAAGGGAATCTTTGTATATTGTTAGTCGGAATAAAAATTGGTGCATTTGTCATGAATAACTGTATGGAGGTGATATGGTTTTGCTGTGTCCCCACCCAAATCTCACCTTGAATTATAACTCTCACAATTCTCACTGGGTCCTTGGAGGAACCCAGCGGGAAGTGATTGAATTATGAAGGCGGGTCTTTCTTGTGCTGCTCTAGTAATAGTGAATGAGTCACACAAGATCTGATGGTTTTAAAAACAGGAGTTTCCCTGCACAAGCTCTTTCTCTTTGCCTGCTGCCATTTATGTAATATGTGACTTGCTCCTCCTTGCCTTCTACCATGATTGTGAGGCCTCCACAGCCATGTGGAACAGTAAGTGCATTAAACCTCTTTGTTTTGTACCTTGCCTAGTCTTGGGTATGTCTTTATCTGTAGCATGAAAATGGACTAATACAGTAAATTGGTACCAGGAGAGTGGGGCACTGCTGAAAAGATACCCAAAAATGTGGAAGTGACTTGGAACTGGTTAACAGGCAGAGGTTGGAATAGTTTGGAGGGCTCAGAAGAATTCAGGAAAATGTGGAAAAGTTTGGAACTTCCTAGATATTTGTTGAATGGCTTTGCCCAAAATGCTGATAAGGATATGGACAATAAAGTCCAGGCTGTGGTGGTCTCCAATGGAAATGAGAAACTTTTTGGGAACTGGAGCAAAAATGACTTTTGTTATGTTTTAGCAAGGAGAGTGGTGGCATTTTGCCCCTGCCCTAGAGATTTATGGAAATTTGAACTTGAGAGAAATGATTGAGGGTATTTGGCAGAAGAAATTTCTAAGCAGCAAAGCATCCAAGACGTAAGTTGGGTGCTGTTAAAGGCACTCAATTTGAAAAGGGAAGGAAAGCATAAAAGTTCAGGAAATTTGCAGCCTAACAGTGAGATAGAAAAGAAGATCCCATTTTCCAAGGAGAAATTCAAGCCAGCTGCAGAAATTTGCATATATAACAAGGACCCAAATGTTGATCCCCAAGACAACGGGTTAAATGTCTCCAGGGCATGTCAGAGGTCTTCACAGCAGTCCCTCCCAGATGCCTAGGAGGGAGAAGTGGTTTTGTGAGCCAGGGCCAGGGTCCCTGTGTTATGTGCAGCCCGGGGACTTGGTGCTTTGTGTCCCAGTAGCTCCAGCTGTGGCTGAAAGGATCCAATGTAGAGCTCAGGACATGGCTTCAGAGGGTGCCAGCCTCAAGTCCTGGCAGCTTCCACATGGTGTTGAGTCTGCAAGTGCACAGAAGTCAAGAATTGAGGTTAAGGAACCTCCACCTAGATTTCAGGGGATGTATGGAAATGCCTGGGTATCAAGGCAGAAGTTTGCTGCAGGGGCAGGGCTGTCACGGAGAACCTCTGCTAGGGCAGTGCAGAAGGGAAATGTGGGGTCTGAGACCACACACAGAGTCCCTACTGGGGCACCACCTAGTGGAGCTGTGAAAAGAGGGCCATTGTCCTCCAGACCCCAGGACTGTAGATCCACCGACAGTTTGCAACATGCATATGAAAAAGCTGCAGACATTCAACATCAGCCCGTGAAAGCATGGGGAGGGAGGCTCTAGCCTACAAAGCCAAAGGGGTAGAGCTGCCCAAGACCACGGGAACCCATCCTTTGCATCAGTGTGACCTGGATGTGAGACATGGAGTCAAAGGAGATCATTTTGGAGCTTTAAGATTTGACTGCCTTGCTGGATTTCAAACTTGCATGGGGCCTGTAGGCCCTTCGTTTTAGCCAATTTCTCCCATTTGGAATGGCTGTATTTACCCAATGGCTGTACCCTCATTGTGTCTAGGAAGTAACTAACTTGCTTTTGGTTTAACAGGCTCCTAGGCAGGAAAGACTTGCGTTGTCTCATCTCCTCCTAGGCAGATGAGATGTTGGACTGTGGACATTTGAGTTAATGCTGAAATGAGGTAAAACTTTGGGAGGCTGTTGGGAAGGCAACAGCCTTGAACAACAGCCTTGAATTTGAAATGTGAGGACAGGAGATTTGGGAGTGGCCGGGGGTGGAATGATATGGTTTGGCTGTGTCTCCCCACCCAAATCTCATCTTGAATTGTAACTCCCAAAATCTCCACGTGTCCGGGGAGGAACCTAGTGGGAGGTGATTGAATTATGGGAGTGAGGCTTTCCTGTGCTGTTCCTGTGATAGTGAATGAGACTCACACGATTTGATGGTTTTAAAAACAGGAGCTTCCCTGAACAAGCTCTCTCTTTGCCTGCCACCCTTCACATGTGAGTTGCTCCTTCTTGCCTTCTGCCATGATTATGAGGCCTCCCCAGCCATGTGGAAATGTAAGGGCATTAAACATTAATCCTTTTTCTTCTGTAAATTGCCTAGTCTCAGGTATGCCTTTATCAGCAGAGTGAAAACGGACTAATACAGGAGGTTTCTCAAAAAATCAGAAATAAAACTACTATATACTCTAGCAATTCTGTAACTGCATATAAATCCAAAGGAAATAAAACTAGTATGTCAAAGAGCACCCCATGTTCACTGCAGCATTATTCATAATAACCAAGATATGGAATCAACCTAAGCAACCATTGATGAAAGAATGGATAAAGAATATGTGATGTATACATACACACACACACACACACACACACACACACACACAATGGAATATTATTCATCCTTAAAATGGAAGGAAATTCTGTCATTTGTGACAGCATGGATGAACCCAGAGACAAATAATGTAATGGTGATTGCCAAGGACAAGAGGGTGGAGAAAGTGGGGAGTTTTTGATCAATAGGTAGAACATTTCAATTATACAGGATGAATACATTTTGGAAATCTAGTTTGTGGCATGGCAACTACAATGGTTTGAATATGTGTTTCTCCAAAATTTATATATTAAAATCTAATCACCAAGGTCGTGATATTCAAAGTTGTAGCTTTTAGGTGATTAGGTGATGAGGGCTCTACCCACATGAATGATATGAATCCCTTTATTGAAAAAGCTGGAGATAACTAGCTAGGTTGTTTGCCTTTCCTCCTTCTGCCATGTGAGGAGGCAGCAACAAGGTGTCATCTTGGAAGCAGAGAACAGCCCTCACCAGACACCAAATCTGCTGGTGCCTTGATCTTCGACTTCCCAGTCCCTGGGAAGTGAGAAGTAAATTTCTGTTATTTATAAATTACCCAGTCTGTGCTGTTTTGTTATAGAAGCACAAATTAACTAATTCAGTGACTATACTGCCTATAGTTAATAAGTCCTCTATTATATACTTGAAAATTGCTAAGAAAGTAGATCTTAAGTGTTCTTACCTCATATGCAAAAAAGGTAACTCTGTGAGGTGACAGATATGGTAACTAGCTTGATTGTAGTAATCACTTGACAATGTACACCAAAACATCACATTGTATACTATCAATACATACAGTTTTTATTTGTGAATTATGCATCAATATGGTTGAGGAAGGGGAGCCACCATCATCTTTCCCGTGGATAATTGTAACTGCCTGCAAAGTGTTCTTCTTACTTTCATCTTTGTCTATTATCTGTTCTCAAATAGGCAGAGTGATCACCTTAAAATGTAATTCAGAATCTTTTATTCTGAGCTTGAAATCTTCCCCTTGCTCCTCACCTAACTCAGAGTAAATGCCAAAGCCTTCATCAGCCACTTCTGTGGCCACATCTCCTACTACCTGTCCCTCACTCATTTTGCAAAACCTTGCTGCCTTGAATTCCATTCCCTCAAATATCCCATATTTTTTCTTGACCTTATTAGAGAGTCTTTACAAAAACATCACTGTCTCTGCAAACCTTCCCTGACAACTCTACATAAAATTGTAACACATCCCATCAGTATACCATGCCCTGCCCTTCCTTGTTTTACGAATAATATTTTTCAAATATAATTTAGTGGTCTCATTTATTTTCTCTGACCACTTACTGTCCTTACTGAGAACAGAGATTCTTGTTATTGCTATTTGTTGTTGTTTACTATTGAATTTACAGCACAAAGATCCACTTAGCACTTAGAAGTCATTTAGTAAACAGCTGTTGAATAGATAAATTATAAATCTTTCAGTCTGTTAAAATACTATCAGGCTGAATACTAGATAAAAGGAGTGGTAGCAGGGAAAAGGAGGGATAAAAAAAGAAGTTTTGTGCCCCAGTGAAGAGGCCCCAAGCCACGTGGTAGTTGCAAGCATTGAAAAGGTCTTCAGTGGTCATGTTCAAACCTATAACTATATAATAGAAACATCTTTAGCAAAGTTGTTATTTTGAAAAAGTCTATTTGGCTAACCTGATTGTATTTTAAATTCGTTTCCCCATTAGGTTAATATAGGGCATGATAATTGCTTTGTATAAATTTTATAGTTTCATAAGCTGAAGCATAGAAAGGCTAAACACAGAATTTATCCAGAATCTCAAGGCAAGTCAATGATGGAGTCAGAATAATAAAATATGATTTCCTCATTCTGGACACTATCTTAAGTCTCTAAGAGCTACTTTGTAAGATAAATTGATTTTTAAAATATAGCATTTTGTAGTCACAGTATTTTCATAAAGAATAATGGCATAATGTTTTTGATATTATTATTTCTATAGTGACTCACAACCAGAAAGAAACCGGTAGCTAGGATGAGAGAAAAACCCATTTTTATGTCAAATTATAGCCATTTACAAGGACAGATGCACATACAACATATGGCTCAAGTCCTATTGATTCTGCTTATGCCCATGATGTTTCTAAAGTGTTCAAATGCCTTCTAGCTTCCATTTCTACCTGCTAAGTTATTCCCATTAACCTTAATAGTTTCTGAACACAAAGGATGTGTAGTATTTCATATAATTTTATTAGCAATTGTTATGACCAGTTATGATATTTCCAATCTTATTTACTGTGATGTTATATAAGCATATTTTCCCTGAGAAAAATTTCAAGTGGTCATCAAAGGTCCATGGCATATTTTAAATGGAATTACTATTGTGACATGATTAACTTTTCATTCTTGAGCGTTAAAAGCATCATCAGTCATTTCTTTTGCATTTAGACCAGGGTATCATTACAATATATCACCTAAATGAAGGCTAAGGAGCAGCACAATAAGATGTAAATACCTTTCCTTTTATGGCTCAGTGTCTTCAAAATGTATACCCAAGAGGGATGTCTGGTTTCTAGTCTTTAAATTAATTTATTCCAGTTTTTCATAGGCTCTCAAATAACCTAAAGATAATATTGCTCCAATGTTTACCAGTTCATTGTTAAGGTTTTCATCAAGTACATCTTCCTATTCTTAAAATTAGTCCCTTAGTAGCAGAGGCTCTCTTTGCACTCTTTGCAAACACAATGTATAAAATGTTGCAGTCCTAAGGTCACAGCAGTTAAGAAAACATTGCAAATACAAAATAACTAAGCTAGAAGAAATCTAATCAGTTGCTTTTTTGTCTGACTTTCCTTCCTGCAGAGTGTGAAAAGTGGGCTCTCAGGTACATGTAGGTTGTGAAAGTAATTTCCTCTCATTTCCTGAAGTGTCCAAATTATTTTCTATCCATCCTGCCTTTTCTAGTGTCAAAGGTATGAGAATAAAACCTTCACTTTCAATCTAATTATTTTGACTCTGACTCCTACTCTCCAGTTTCTATTGAAACTATAATTCTCCAGGCCAATAAGTATGTTACTTTTTGACTTTTATATCTCCTTTTTGACTTGTTTCTTAATATTTTCTTTGGTTTTCATTGAGGTCAAGAAGAGAGGATCAATAAAACCTGCAACAAATAAGTCATAAAGAAGCAATCTGCACTACTTATTCGGCTAGATTTATTCTAACACAGCATATCAACTGAATGTTAAAAATGTTAAATTGTCTGTAACAGAACAAAATGAGTTACTAATAGATTCATTTATCCTGCAGGGAAACTCAAAAGCCTCATATGTATGTTTGTGTGTGTGTGTGTGTGTGTGTGTGTGTGTGTGTGTATCTGTATTTGTTCCCATGCTTCTCTCTCTCTTTCTTTCTGTGTGTGTGTGTGTGTGTGTGTGTGTGTGTGTGTGTGTGTGTGTGTATGTGTGTGTAGCCAAGGGACTATCAGTTTTAAATATTTTAGGTATTTAAACATTGATTTTCTAACTAAGATGTATCAGTTCTGGCCCTTTTATTCAATTTTGAAACTGTATTCTGTCAAAAGTTTATGAAACTGAGTAATAAACTGAAAACAATATATTTTTTCATATTTTTCCATTATAGTGTATTAAAAGTCAGTTGAGAGTAAATAAAATCATTTATTTTAATGGAATGCTAGTGAAACCATTTTTCTTCAAGTTCTCTAAACACAGGTTTGTGTGTCCATGGTGTGCTAGTTTCTATTTGTGATTTCTTTCATTCTCTATGATGAAAGAAAAAAGTTAATTTGTGTTTATAGTCTATTAAAAGTTCTCATTTACCTTGATACCTAAAATGAAATATTTTCTTTCTCATTTCTTTATTTTTGCTTATTCATTCATTCTTTTGACATTTGTGGAGTCGTACTTAGGGCTTTAGCTTCAGTTTACAGTTTATTGAGAAGAAGTAAGACATAAATAAAATGCAGGCTGATAGATGCCATAAGAAAGATATGAGTAGGCACTATGTGAACACAAAAGAATTAAATAATTCTGCCTGAGGAATTAAGAAAAGCTACACATGTACTAATACAAATTGAATTTCGAGAGAGAGAGAGATTTCATAGGTTTCTTTCCCGGTTTCGGATGTGGTGCCTTTATACCTAGAGACTATATGGAGGCATTCAGGAACACAATAACTGCTGAGAAAATTGTAGATTGATCTATGTGAGTGGAATATAAGGTAGACAGAAGGGTAGGGCAGGAAATAAGCTTCCTAAAAGCTAAGGAAACAAATCACTAAGGAATATTTATGCCATATTAAAGCTTTTGACCTTGACTATGTTGATAATATTGAATTTATGAATGAGAGTGGCCTGATTAAATTGGCATTGTTCAAAGAGTAATCTTGTGGTGTCCTGTCATATGAACCAGTTAGCAGATCCTCCAGACACCATTTTTTATAAATGCATAACCAATTAGAATGATTTTAATGATGGCAAAAGTGGGTGTTATTTGAGGTGTTTGTTAGAAAGAGACTTTCATAGTGACCTAAAAATATGAATTAAATTGGAGAATTCATCAAGTATTAGAATGAAGGGAATATGTGTCTGTTATTTATTTACACTCTGTCATATCTTAAAGATTTTGTGATAGCTTAGAGAAGTATATCCACTTCAATATGATTATAAAAAATAAAGAAATCAAAACAAAGGGTAAAAGAAGGTCAAAATATATGGTAAAATAGGTGAGAATACATCATGTATATCCAGGCAATAAAACTAGGAATACTAACTCAATACCATTTATTTAAACATATAATTAATTCAAATTTTATTGTTCAAAGTTTTAGAAAAAGAAACTAATGATACGAAAATTATTGGCTGGGCACGGTGGCTCATGCCTGTAATCCCAGCACTTTGGGAGGCCGAGGCGGGCGGATAATCTGAGGTCAGGAGTTCAAGACCAGTCTGACCAACATGGCAAAACCCCGTCTCTGCTAAAAATACAAAATTAGACGGGTTTGGTGGCACATGCCTATAATCCCAGCTACTTGGGAAGCTGAGGCAGGAGAATCGCTTGAACCTGGGAGGTGGAGGTCGTGGTGAGCCAAGATCATGCCACTGCACTCCAGCCTGGGCGACAGAGCAAGACTCCGTCAAAAAAAAAAAAAAAGAAAAGAAAAGAAAAAGAAAATTATTTAAACTCAGTAAGTTTAAAAATACATGAAAGGCTGAGTAGCTAAATAAATAATCAGAGAATAAAAGGATATGTCATAATGAAATGGAAAGAAAAGAGGAAATAAAGTACTTATTAAGTACTATTTGATGCAGGAACTATTACAGGAATAAGCACATGATTTTTATCATCTGTATATGCATTTGATTGATACTCCCACATTTCTGTCCATGGCTATATGACAGTGAGGCAAGTGTAAATAATGTTTATCTTCTAAATTGTCTATAATATGTTTGTATTAGATTTCCTAAAATTATATTTAAATTCATATTATTTTCTCTTCTGTATTAAATATTAAATTTGAAAAAAGATCATAATCACAGGCTCAAATACTCCTTTTACTTCTGAGAAATTAGAATTCCAGTGATTAAGAAGTAGAGAGTAGAAGAGTGGTTACTAGAGGCTGAAAAGGGTAGGGAAGAGGGAGAGGTTGGTTAAAGCACACAACATTACAGTTAAACAGGGAGAACAAGGTGTAGATCTCTATAGCACTGTGAGATAACTACAGTAAACAATAATTTGCTGTATTTTTTTAATAGCCGAAAGAGAAAATTTTGAATGTTATCACAAAGAAATGGTAAAGGTTTGAGATGATAGATGTGCTAACTACCCTGATTTGATCATTACACATTATATATGTGTTTCAAAATATCATGCTTTTAAATATGTAAGATATTGTATGTCAATTTTAAAATGTATGTTTTTTAAACATTATAAAAATGTTTAAAAAAGAATCTCAGTGATTAGAATTGATAGGTGCAAAGCCTATGGCTTGTTAATGCCAAGCTTACCAAACATAAAATATCAGTTTCTGAATTATACTAAGTATAAAATCAATACATTTGAATTCCTTTGGCTTTTGCAAAAGAAAATATAGTTATTTCCATTTTTTTACTTGAAATTCAAACATATATGCATGGACTACTGAATGCCATGTTGAGCATAATTTGAAAAAAAAAAAAAACAGGAAGACTAGTCTAAGAATATAAAGAAAAAATAATAGAAAAGAAGATCTAGAGTAAAAAATTTTTAGAAAAAATTGGGACAGGTAAAGGAAATGAAAGAAAAATGAACTTATGCCCCTAGGCCTACTTTCCCATTTAAATTGGGAAAGAGACCATCAGAATGCATGCAAGTCGGCTTGATATAGGTACTTTTGCATAGCTTATTATGAGCAAGACGAAGGCTATCATCGTTTATCAAAGACAAATGCCAGTACAACTATGAAGAGTAAAATAGAGAGTTTACTCTCCATCATTTTTCCAACTAAAACTCTCATTTTACTTGTTGACACAGTTAACAAGAGAAATATTGAATATTTTAATACAGAAATAGTCAAAAATAGTCACCGTAACCCAAGCATCTAGTTATCTGCAACAAAGTAAAACAAATGTACAGGAAAATTATTAAAGTCTTGTAAAGTTTCTATCAAGGAGATGATAATTACCTATACACTATAGTACCATTATAAGATAATAAAAAATTGTTTGTTTAAATTTTAGGTAAACAACATGATGTTTTGGTGTATACGCACAGTGAAATAATTACTGGAGGTAAACAATGTAACATGTATATTATCTCAAATACTTACCTCTTGAAAAATTTTCAACATACAATACAATATAATACAATATTATTAACAACAGACATCATGCTGTACTTTAGTTCTCTACATTCGTTCATTCTACATTACTGCTACTTTGTACCCTTTGACCTATATCTTCCCATTCCCACTCCCACCCCACCCCCACCATTCTGTTCTCTGTTTCGATCTACTCAACGTTTTTTTGTTGTTGTTTTGCAGTATGGTTTTTTTCCCCCCATATTTGGCTTATTTCACTTAACATAATGTCCTCCAGATTCTTTTTTTTTTTTTTTTTTTTTTTAGAGGGAGTTTGGCTCTGTTGCTCAGGCTGGAGTGCAGTAGCATGATCTCATGATCTCGGCTCACTACAACCTCTGCCTCCCAGGTTCAAGCGATCCTCCTGCCTCAGCCTCCTGAGTAGCTGGGATTACAGGCACCCGCCACCACGTCCAGCTAATGTTTTTGTGTATTTTTAGTAGAAACAGGGTTTTGCCATGGTGGCCAGGCTGGTCTCGAACTCCTGACCTCAGGTGATCTGACTGCTGCAATTACAGGCATGAGCCCACCTTGCCTGGCCATCCTCCAGTTTCATCCATGTTGTTGCAAATGAAAGAATCACCTTTTTAGCAAACTGAATAATAATTCTAATTATATATATAATTGATATATTTTAGAGGCTGTGTTTATAATTTTATTTTTTGTAAAGCAAGTCGATTTTCTAAGGATATCATAGGCACTGTAAAAATCTGTTTTTTCCTTTTCTCTTCTCAGCCTTTATCCACAGAAACTTAAAAACCAAAAATGGTCTTGATTCCGCACAACATGCATCTTGAAATGAGAACTCATATATATTTCTTCCCTTTTGGATGGGAGATTAAGCATATAATGATTATTGCCTTTCTTTCAACCCTCATTCTTTTCAGGTTTTTTCCCTTCAATTAAAATAGACATCTCTTGAGTTCTCCTTATGCCTCTCAATAAACTAACATTTCATCAGAATACAAAAAACGAATATCTGAATACCTTTCTCTACTGTAAAATAATGATTGGTCATCAGAATTGGGTAAATTCAGGTCTCTCTTAAAACACAAATCAATATACAATGCTGCGTTTTGGTTTTTGGTGCAGATTTCTACATTTATGTTTGGAATATCTACTAGGAAACCACATAAGAAATCAGGAGAGATCATGAGAAATGAGTGCTGGGATACAACACACAGACTCTAAAACAGTTCATAATAGGTCTAAGAGGCAGTAGGGAAATGGTAATAAAAGAAATGAGAGAAATTATTTCTGTTGTAATCATATCCCTATCTTATTATAATAGTATTTTTTCTGCCTTCTTGAGATGTTGCTGATTCTCAAATCTTCAGCCACTAGAGAGCAAAAGCAATCAACAGTAAATCGACAAATAAGTCAGTAAGTTCAAACTCCTAAATCAATTAGTAAGATTAAACTCTTGAAACATATTTCAACTTTGCAAAGGAGATAGTGACATAGCCCATGTCACTGTGGCCCGTATAAAGTGAAAAACTGAATTTTTCTTTATTTGTTCTGAAAATATCCACGTTTATAATGACTGCAGAATCCTTAACAGAATATGTAACCATTACATTTAAGTGTCTCTGTAGACTTACTAAATTTTAAAAACTAGACGGGACTTGAAAAATCATTTCATGATTAATTCATCTTCATTTTATAGAGGACAGGGTTACACATTTGAATTTATATTTCCATTTTTCTGAGTATAAAATTAAAGAAAATAGACACTTTTACCGAGTGGTATCTTAATTCAAATGACGCTCTTTTGGCATCAAAGGCAGTGCTAGACATCCATTTATTCATCTTTAAAAGTTACAACTATTGAACCTTAAGAAACACTTTGAATAAGAAAGACACTAAAGCAAATAAGCAAGTAATGCTTGTTTCTCTTCTCTTATAATGGGAAACAGAGGCAAGGTAAGAAAAAGGCATTTACTGATGACAGAGTCTAAACCAGCAGTAAATAAATAAGCTTTCTATATTTTTTATATAACTATATAGGAGATTGGTCAGGGTGGTGGGAAGAGTTATAAGAAAAAGTTACAGGGAAAGATGCAAACCTTCCTGGAAGGCCGGGAGGTTTTGCAAAAGCTTCAAGAGAGAACTATGGCTGAAGACAGCTGATTCTCTTATCTGGAGTCTGAGGGCAAAGGTTAGATAACAAGAGAATGTAAAGTAACTTATCTAGATACCTTTGTTGACTCCTTTATCCAGAAACCAACCTTTGATCATTCGTGCTCAGGTGCTCAGGACTGCTCTCTACCCGGGGAGTCAACAATGTTAATTACCCACAAACTGTGTTTGCTCCAAGCCTCTGTGTGTGTGTGTGTGTGTGTGTGTGTGTGTGTGTGTGTACCACAATTTCTTTATCCACTTGTTGATTGATGGGCATTTGGGCTGTTTCCATATTTTTGCAATTGCAAATTGTGCTGCTATAAATATGCATGTGCAAGTATCTTTTTTTGTATAAATCTCATGACTTCTGGCCAAGCGTGGTGGCTCACACCTGTAATTTCAGCACTTTGGGAGGCTGAGGCAGGCTGATCACATAAGGTCAGGAGTTCAAGAACAGCCTGACCAACATGGAGAAACCCCATCTCTACTGAAAATACAAAATTAGCCGGGTGTGGTGGCACATGCCTGTAATCTCAGCTACTCAGGAGGCTGAGGCAGGAGAATCACTTGAACCCAGGAGGCAGAAGTTGTGGTGAGCCAAGATTGCGCCTTTGCACTCCAGCCCGGGCAACAAGAGTGAAACTCGTATCTCAAAAAAAAAAAAAGAAAAGACAATCTCATCTCGTGACTTATTTTCCTCTGGGTAGAAACCCAGTAGTGGGATTGCTTGATCAAATGGTGGTTCTACTTTTAGTTCTTTAAGGAGTCTGCACACTGTTTTCCACAGTGGTTACACTAGTTTGCATTCCCACCAGCAGTGTAGAAGTGTTCCCTTTTCACCACAGGCACATCAACACCTATTATTTTTTGATTTCTTGATTATGGCCATTCTTGCAGGAGCAAGGTGGTATCACATTGTGGTTTTGATTTGCATTTCTCTGATCATTAGTGATGTTGAGCGTGTCTGTTTTATATCTTCAATTTGTTTCTCCTTACCTTAGTGGTAGTGTATATAATCAAAAATACTGCCATGAAATCTCAGAAAAAAGTACATTCTCTAGTGTTAAGAGGGAAAATTTTAGTCATCATAGCACAAATCGCTGAAAGTAGTTTTTCAATCTTTGAGAAAATATTGATATGCATCACAAAAATGTGGATTCTCCTAAGGATTTAAACTGCAGCAATCAATATTGGCCTTGTATATTTATGTTGTGTTAATGATCCTTCAAAATGAACAATATTTTCATTTCATAGAAAAGATCTCTTGTTTTTATAATCTATCCAAAATTTGAGTATAATATACATTATGGTATAATTTTGGTGAGACTATGTATTATATACATAGATACAATTTTGGTGAAACTATTAGGAATAATTGACAGAGCTTTTCTCATGGATATTCTAGGACTAGCATTCAACGATAAATGTGATGTGAACCCAGTGCTCAAATCTTGATTTCTGATACTATTGTCCAGTAAAAGGACCGGTGCTCCTTAGAGACATGGCTAATTCAAGGACTGGGAGAGGAAATATACAATATGAGTCTTGAGCATCTCATAGCACCAGAAAGTAAAGCAGTCCTCAAAACTAAGAGCATGGAGGTATATCAAAGTGGCACAGGAGCCAACTGAAAGAGCTTCCAGTAGTCAAAGATAGAACAATGTGAGCAATAAAATAATGTATTGCTATATTGTAGCCTATAGTATATTTTTAATTATAAAGATACATAATAAACATCCATACTAATATAAATAAAAATTTGAATACATGGAAGAAAAGAGAAAAATCTCATGGTTACAAAAACTCCAGCTTATGTGTATATCCCCTTTCAAGGAGGTGGGGCATAACCCCGCGCTCCTTAAATGTGGGTCACACGGTGACTTGCTTCCAAACAGTAGAGTATGGAAAGGGGGTAATAACTTTACAATGAAGAAACACGGCAAACATTACCACCACCATGTGTCAAAGTTAATATCAACAGTAGTAATGCATATTGATAGAATGTAATCTCAAGATAACGTGATGCAAATCCTACTTTACTTCTGTGGTTTTCTTTCCAAAACCATATAACCTCAGTCTAACCAAGAGACTAACATCAGACAAAACCAATTTGAGGGACCTTCTACAAAATACCTGATAATTACTCCTCTAAACTATCAAGGTCATCAAAACCAGGAAGTCTGAGAAACTGTCTTTACCAAGAAAAGCCTTACAAGATATGATGGTTAAATATAACATGGTACCTCAGAACAGAAAAATCTCATTAAGGAAAAACTAATAAAATCTGAATAAAGTATGGGTTTGAGTAAATAATAATTTATTAATATTAGTTCATTACTCGTGATGAATATATCGGAACAATGTAAGGTGTTGGCAATAGGGAAATCTGGTTGTGGAATATGTGTAACAAAATTGTAGGTTTTGTAAATCTAAAACTGTTATAAAATAAAATGCTTAGTTTAAAAAACCTCTTGTGAAATGTTCTGTATTTGAACAATGGGTAAAAGCTCTTTTTTATGTAGATGCAATCACCATAGAATTATTTAGGATACTTTTCCCAGACCAGCCATATCCTCTGTTTCTTACGGATAAAACTAGAGGATATTTTAGAACAATTGTTAATGACTTATTCACCAAGGATTTATTAAGCTCCTAATATCTATCTTCAATGCTGAGGATAATAATTTTTTTTTTTTTTTTTTTGAGACGGAGTCTCGCTTTGTGGCCCAGGCTGGAGAGCAGTGGCGCAATCTCTGCTCACTGCGACCTCCACCTTCTGGGTTCACGCCATTCTCCTGCCTCAACCTCCCGAGTAGCTGGGACTACAGGTGCCCGCCACCACGCCCAGCTAATTTTTTTTGTATTTTTAGTAGAGACGGGGTTACACTGTGTTAGCCAGGATGGTCTCGATCCCTGACCTCGTGATCCGCCCGACTTGGCCTCCCAAAGTGCTGGGATTACAGGCGTGAGCCACCGCACCAGGCTGAGGATAATAATTTTAATGTGTGATAGTAAGTAGGAAAAATGAGGTACAGTTACACTTTTCATGCGTGATCTTAATCATAACAACAGATTTTTACATATGAGAACAAGGAGGTTGTAAAAAGTGTCGGTGATTCTCAATTTTATGAGAGGGATGACATATAATTAAAAGGTCTAATAGAATATCCAACTGAGGAGAAATAAAACTGGAACCATAATTCCAAGCATGTCATTTAAGCCCAGGTCTGGTTGTCTCTGTGATTATAGCCACAGATGTTTCCATTTTAACTGCAGGAAAGACAAACGTGTAACAGGTGTCAGGCCTAAGTCACAGAAATTCAAGCTTCTATCTCATAATGGAAACTACATGATTCACCTTTATATCATCAGGGTGAGTTGCCTATTAAAGTTCAATGAGATAGGAGTTTGTCCAGAATATTTATGAAATAACTAATTAAAGCTAATGATTATCCACATATATGGAAAATATAAAAGTTAAGATAATTTCTCCAAATATGTTCTGTTCATTCAATCTAGGGCCTAGAAAACTTTCTTAAATGCAAAACTACAAATAACAGAAAATTATTTTAGCCTCAAACCAGAACACCTTAAAATATGTTCGTAACTGTACAGGGAAAACTTGGAGAGCTCACATAAATTTGAGCAGCAACACCTTTGCCAATGTTATGTAAGTTTTATCAAATTATTTTTCACCAAAGAATTTTCTATAATATTAAGTTATACCGTGACTATAGCAGCTTTGCGAACAAACATTATTTTTAAGCAGGTGCCATAAACTTACTAGAATCAAAGTCCTTTTCTTCCCAAAAAATAGGAATAGTCTCTCCTTTGCCTGACAAACATAGGAATGAGGAGAAAATTAAATAATGTATTTGAAACCGCCCTGTAAATTTGAAAATACCATAAATATATATCATTATACTTTTTTTGCTCTAGATTTCTACAGGAGATCATGTTATTCCTATATAAATAGCATTTATAATTTCATTCTTGACAAAGGCAAAGTTACTTTTTAAATTTGTTGACTAGTAAATTATGCCATTTGCAGTAAGTGGCCGTAAAAACTTTATTGTAAATATAGAAATCTGATTTTCCAGCTAATTGGCAGTACTTTTAACGTTTTTACTAAATTAAAATATATATACAGAACAGCACACATACCATAAGTTCAAAAGCTTAATGACTTTCTTTAACAGAGTACACTCATTTAATGAACACCCATAACAGGCATTACTACGTTACCAGCATCAAAGGTCCCTCAAATGCTTCCTCCAGTCACTGCCCCAACTATATTCACTTCTCACAGCACAGGTTATTTTTCTCTGTTTTGAACTTTTATTTACATAGACCCATTTAATATGCAGGCTTTTGTATCTGGGTCCTTTCACTCATCATTTATGTGTGTGTGATCCCTCCAGATTATTACATATAGTATAGTTTGTTCATTTTCATTGCTGTATGGCATTGCATTTTGTGAGGACACTATAATATATTTACCCATTCCTCTCTTAGCAGGTATTTGGGATAGTGTTCAATTTGAGACTAATACAAATGTGGCTATTGTGAACATTCTACTACATAACTTTTGGTGATTATATGTACACATTTCTATTGGATTTCTAGGTCTTAGATTATGTATATGGTTTTCCTTAACAGATACTACTACCAGCTTTTGACAAATAGAAATTTACTTAATAGTTAGCGAATACTTTTCCTTAAAAATAAAGCACAAATAAACTCTCCTGTAAAATAAATAGGGAAGAAAACTTAATCTACCTCTGAACCCTTGGTTAAGTACCAAGAAGGAAATATATCTGTCATAAAAAATATTCAAATAAATAGAATAAAATCTTTTTCAGATATTTTACATCAAAAAAAATTCTCATTTGGGGCTACTCTTCAAATGGTTGACTTTTGAGAAAGGCATGTGATAGTACAGGTGATGTATTCTCAATTTTGACTTTGTGAATAATGAAAAGAATGCTTATTGGGGCATAGAGCAGCATCCAGAATGCCCTTCTACTATATAACATGTCAGAGTAACAGATGGCATACTCCGTAAAGAAAATGAACGTAAATAAGTCAAGTAAAAAAAACCTACCTTTTTTGATAGAAAATACATTTTGTATAAGAAGTTAATCTTATTTATTGCCCACCTGGACAGGTAATGTATTCAGGTTTTTCCAATCTATTCCTTTGTGATAAAACAGACTTGAAACTCTCATCATGAGTGCTAGCACTTCTCAAATCCGTCTGCATTTAATTTGTTCTCATCATATTTATCACTCATTTATAGAATTTTTTGTTTCTAATTAACAGAATTTGCCTCCTGTTCTTATACTGTACTAATAGCAGGAAACTTTCCATTGTAAGCAATGACCTAAGCCTTGAAAAAATATGACAATGTGATTATGATTCTCTAGTCAGTTATACGTCACCCATATACAGTGTTTCTCTAAGTATAGATTTATAAATAAAATGTGTTTTTTGAAACATTTTATTTTAAAAATTTTACATTTTCTGATAATCAGTTACAAATATTGAAACATGCAATGCTTCTCCTTACTATAATAAATTTACAAAAGACATTTATCTACATAATGTTAATATCCATTTTACATGCTAATGTCAGAATATACTGACCTTCGAAACACTGAATATAATTTTCTTATCAGAAATATAAGAACATCTTCATTGATGATTTAAATATATTGAAAATTATCAACACTAGAGCTTGTATCTGCATATGTATATGTATGGAGGTATGTGTATAAATCTGTGTACTTGCACATAAATTTTGTTGTAAATAGATTAGACATGTATACATAATGGCTCAATAAATATGAATGTTATTAGTCGTTAACTCAAGAATCATCTTCAGTTTTCAATTATGTTCAATGCACTGTGCTAAAAATTGGAAGTATGACAAGACTGAGCACAACAAGTAAAATATGGCCTAGAAAGGAATGTAATACATGCACACAAGTGAGCATAAGTTACAAAACGATATGAGCCATGAGAAAGGTACACAGCAATACTTGGTTTGCGAGGGTAGTGTTGTATTTTATGGAGAGTGAGGATCATGGAAGGATGATAAAAACAAGATGTGAGTTTTCAAAATGATTGGGGAGAGACTAGAATTATGGATATGGGAGAGAGGCACCATATGCAGGAAAAATAACACAGGTAAAGGCATGGAGCCAGGGCAAGGGATTGAAAGCAGTTTCATTTAATTGAGGTAGAAAGTATAACTAAGGGAAGGAATAGTAGGTAGAGATAGGCTGTGTCAATTCCCTCTGACCCAGATGACTTAGTCACCCTAATTCTCAGTCATAACTAGGTAGCAAGTTTCCACTGGGTCACTTAAATTCTTAAATCTTTCTTCTCTCATACGTAAAACACAGAAGTTGGACAGGATCAAATGTTTCCAAACACAAATTCATGAAACTCCAGTGGTAAATTCATGTTATGAATAATATGTGATATTTAATTATATGCACATATAAACATTTCCATTTGAAGATATGTCCTTCTACCCCAGTAGACAAATATACTTGAGAAAACTGTGTCATTTACAATTTTTTTAAACGTATACTTTTAGAGATAAAAATTACTATTATTTGGGATAATATAATTTTTTACTCAGAAAACTAAAAGGAACTAAAAAAAGATAATAAATAAAGAAATCAGAAGTATGTCTGAGAAAAGCATATACAAATGATAACATACTCGATGGTTTTATTAGAAAATAATGATAACTAGGATAAAAAGAGAATTACAGGAATAATTTAAACAAAACATGTATAATATCTATGTAAAACAAAATTTAAGAGGCTGATGAAGAAAATATCATGAATTTCACCTCTCCCTTTTAATAATAAACATCACAAATCAGAAAAATAATTGGAAAGTCATACTACCTTCTTGGATAGGTGCATTATATGTTAAAAAACATACACATTTTGGCCGGGCGCGGTGGCTCACACCTGCAATCCCAGCACTTTGGGAGGCTGAGGTGGGCAGATCACAAGGTCAGGAGATGGAGATCATCGTGGCTAACACAGTGAAACCCAGTATCTACTAAAAATACAAAAAAATTAGCCGGCTGTGGTGGCAGGTGCCTGTAGTCCCAGCTACTCGGGAGGCTGAGGCAGGAGAATGGCATGAACCCAGGAGGCAGAGCTTGCAGTGAGCCGAGATTGCGCCACTGCACTCCAGCCTGGGCAACAGAGTGAGACTCCATCTCAAAAAAATAAAAAATAAAAAAATACATATTTTCTCTAAAAAAGGAACATGTTAATTTTTAGAACTTTTTGGAACCAGAGACGCTAATTCTGATATTTTAATGGAAAAATAAATAAGCAAGAATTTCAAAGAACATTCTGACAAGGAATCATATTGAGAAATATATACCTTCTAGGTGATATAAAACCACAATTTTTAAAACCATTTTTCTTGTACGTGAATAGATAGATCAAAAGAACAGATGAAAATGTTCAAAATGGATTAGACTCATAAAGATGTTTGATTATAAGAGAACAAAACTAGTGGGGTGAATGAAGATATACTGCTTAATAAGTAATATTGAAAACACAGAGTAGTCCCAAGACTTTTTAAGTATATTTATAAAATAAACATAAAGAAAAATAAATTACATGTGGTTCAAAGGTTTAAACACAGAAAAAGAAGTCCGTAACAGCATTAGAAGAAAATGTAAGAATTTTTTAAAAGTAAGTCACGAATAAGAAAAGTATTTCTAAACACAAAACAAAGAACTATAAAGATATAAGTAGATGTGAACACAAATTATTATTTTTTTGTTTGCTGAGTACAAAAAAAACCATGACAGGAAACAAACTTGAAAAATCACTTGCAACTCACATAACAAGGAAGGAGCTATTTTCTGTTTTTCTTTATGTATGTAACAGATTGAAGATAGCTCTAAGTTTGTTAACATTCTTTCCTTTTAGAGACAGTATATTTCCCCGCCCCTCGGCTTTGGACTGACAAATGATTATTTCAAAACTATAGTTAAGCAAAAGTGATGCTATGTCTGTTTTAGGCCTTTCCTTTAAAAAGATCAGCACTTTCTGCCCTGATCAGTTGGAGCCCTGAGGCCCCCATGGCGGTGAGGAAGCCTAAACTGGCCATGCTGAGAAACTGCTTGAAGAGAGATACCTGAGTAGCCCCTAGCTGTTTATGTAAATAAATAAGTATTCAGATAACTATAGTCCCAGATGTCATCTGACTGCCATAACAAGATAAACATCCAACAAAAACCACCCAGCTGTGTTCATCAACCCTCAAAACCAAAAAAGATAATTATAAATTGTTGATCTGCCATTGAGCTTCCAAGGTGGTTTATGACACAATAGATAACCAGAACAATACAAAAAGAGCCTCCATAAAAAGTTAGAAAAATACAATAACCAAACACAAAAATGAGCAAAATATATGGTAAATTATGTTTTCCAAAGAGGGTAACAAGAGTAGCTCCCACTCCATATGCTCTTCTGCACTGACTTTTCCACAACCCCATCCAGAGGCCTTTTTCTCCTCACCTCGAATCTAAGCTGACCCAAATCCTTTGACTTACCAATAGAATGCAGATCAAATGACCTTCTGAGGCATCCAAGGTGGAGTTATAATGTCTTACAGTTTTTACTTGGGTCTCTTAAAACACTCATTCTCAAATTCAAACCACATAAAGCAGCCAAGTGTAGACACGCCAGGCAGTAGCTCACACTGAGCTCCTAGCAAAAACCCAACATCAACTGCAGCCATGTGAGTGTACCATCTTGGATATCTAGACTAGATGAGAATTCAGATTATTGAAGTCTCATCTAGTATCTAACTATGACTGCTTCCATAAAAATCATAAGACTGGTTTTAGAGTTACTAAATTTGGGAGTAGATTTTTACACAGCAATTGGAAATGAAAATTGTAGCTTATTACATATTTCCATCCCACAATTTGACTTCACAAATAAGAGAGTTGATGTGGATCTGTTGTCTTCATTTTCTCAAATCTGGGTAGGTCATGTGGCTGTTTCGGCCATATAGGATTATAGAAGGTACGTTATGCTGTGCTATTTCTTGGTATACTGCCAAAATGATCTGGCAGCTTCTACTGTCTGACTCTTCAGGGTTCTAGGGGAGTTCCTCCTTGGAAGCAAGCTACCAGGTAAAAAGTGTTATAACTTTGGTATAACCATTCCCTTAGAAAGGCAAGTGATGTAGGTGGATTAAAATTAGAAGTCAATACCAAGAGGAACTCTCACAACTATACAAACATGAAAACTAAACTATATGTTGATGAGCAATTTTTGGGTGAATGATAAAATTAAAGCAAGAAATCATAAAAGAAATTTTGAAATGAATGAAAATAGAGACACAACATATGACAACTTCTGACATGCAGCAAAAACAGTGCTAAGAGGAAAGTTTGTAGCATTACTTGGCAACATCAAAAAGAAACAATTATCTCAAATTAACAACCTAATGCCACACCTCAAAGAGCTAATAAAACAATAACAAACCAAACCTCAAAATAACAGAAGAAAAGAAATGGCAAAGACAACAGCAGAACTAAGTAAAATTGAGACCAAAATAAGGATACAAAGGATCAATGAAATGAAAAGTTGGTTCTTTGAAAAGAGAAACCAAATTAATAGACTGCTAACTAGGTTAACCAAGAAAAACACAGAAGATTCAAACAAGCACAATCAGAAATAAAGATGACTTTACATTAGATATCACAGAAATACAAAATATCATCAGACACTACTGTGAGTGTCTGTACATGCACAAACTAGAAAACCTAAAGGAAAAGGACAAATTCATGAAAATATACAACCCCCAAGATTGAAACAGGAGGAAATATAAACGTTGAACAGACCAATAACAAGTAATAAAATTGAGGCAGTAATAAAAATTATCCTAACAACAACAAGCTTAGGACCAGATGAATTCACAGCCAAATTTTACCTGACATACAAAGGGCTCCTACCAATCTTACGGAAACTATTTCAAACCATCGAGGAGAAGGGATTCCTCCCCAACTCATTCTGCAGAACCAGCATAACCCTGATACCAGAATCAGGCAAGGACACAACAACAACAACAACAACAAAAATACCATAAGCCGATATCCCTGATAAACATAGATGCAAAAATCCTCAGCAAAATACTAACAAACCAAATCCAGAAGCATATAACAAAAGATAACACATCCTGATTAAGTGGGTTTTATTTCAGGATGCAAGGATGGTTCAAAATATGCATATCGATAAGTATGATCCACCACATAAACTGAATGAAAAACAAAAACCATATGATCATCTCAATAGATACAGAAAAAAGCATTCAATTAAATGTAGCATTCATTTATTATTTAAAAAAGCCCTTAATAATCTAGGCATCAAAGGAGGATATCTCAAAATACTAAAAGACATATATGACAAACCCACAGCCAATATTATACTGAATGGGAAAAAGTCAAAAGCATCTTCCTTAAAAAATGGAACAAGATAAGAATGCCCATTCTCACCACTTCTATTTAACGTTGTACTGGAAGTCCTAGCCAAAGCAATCAGGCAAGAAGAATAAAGAAAAAGAATTAAAATTCCAAGAAGAAGTCAAATTATCTCTGTTCTCTGATGACATGATCTTATACCTAGAAAACCTTAAAGACTCCTCCAAAAGACTCCTAGACTTGTAAAATTACCCCAGTAAAATTTCAGGATACAAAATTAATGTACAAAAATCAGTACCATTCTATACACCATGTTCAAGCTGAGAACCAAATCAAGCACTCAATTCCATTTACAATATACACAACATGCACAAAATACCTGGGAATAAATACATTTAACCCAAGGAAGTGGAAGATCTATACAAGGAGAACTACAAAACACTGATTAAAGATATCGTAAGTGACAGAAACAAATGAAGAAACTTCCCATGCCCATGGATTGGAAGAATCAATATTGCTGAAAAGACCATACTGTACAAAACAGTCTACAGGTAACAATTCCTGTCAAATTATCAATCTCATATTTCAAAGAATCAGAAAAAAATCTTAAAATTTATATGCAACTAAAAAATACTACAAATAGTCAAAGCAGTCTTGCACAAAAAGAATGAAGCTGGAGGCATTTCCCTACCTGATTTCAAATTATACTATAAGCTATAGTAACCAAAACAGCATGGTATTGGTACAAAAATAGATACAAAGATCAATGGAACAGAATAGAGAACCCAGGAACAAAGCCACCTACCTACGACCACCTGATCTTCAACAAAGTTAACAAGAACATTCAATGGGGAAGGGATCCCCTTTTCAATAAATGATGCTGGGAAAATTGGATTGCCATATGCAGAAGACTGAGACTGAAACCCTATCTGTCACCATACACAAAAATTAACTCACAATGGATTTAAGACTTAAAAGTAAGATCTGAAACTATCAAAATCCTAGAAGAAAACCTAGGAAAAACTCTTGTGGACATTGGTCTAGGCAAAGAATTTATGACTAATAACTCGAAATTAAATGCAGCAAAAACAGACAAATGAGACTTAAACTAAAAAGCTCCGCACAGCAAAAAATATAGGCAACAGAGTAAAGAGACAATGCACAGAATAGGAAAAAGTATTTGCAAACCATGCATCTGACAAAGGACTAATATCAGTAATCTACAAGGAACTCAACTCAGCAAGAAAAAACAAACAACTCTATTAAAAAGTGGGCAAAGGACATGAACAGAGATTTTTCAAAAGAAAACATACAATTGCCCAATAAATACATGAAGAAATGTTCAAAATTGCCCATTATCAGAGAAATTCAAATTAAAATCACAACGAGATACCATCTCACACCAGTCAAAATGGCTATCATAAAAAAGTCAAAAAACAACAGATGTTGGCAGGGATGCAGAGGAAAGGGAACAGTTATCCACTATTGGTGGGAATGTAAACCAGTGCAACCTCTATGGAAAACAGTAAGAGATTTCTCAAATAACTAAAAATAGTACCTACCAGTTGATCCAGCAGTCCCATGACTGGCTATCTCTGCAAAAAAAAAAAAAAAAAAGAAATCATTATATCAAAAAGGCTCCGCACTTGTATGTTTATTGCAACTCTATTTACAATAACAAAGTCATGGAATCAACCTAAGTGTCCATCAACTTAGGACATTTAGATGATAGCATAAAGAAAATGTGGCATATACACATTATGAGTTACTATGCAGTCATAAAAGAGAATAAAATCATGTCCTTTGCAGAAACCTGGATAAAGCTGGAGGCCACTGCCCTAAGTGAAATGGCTGAAAAACAGAAAACCAAATACACATATCCTCACTTATAAGTGGGAACTAAACAATGGGCACACATGGACATACAGAGAGAAATACTAGACACTGGAGACCTCAAAGAAGGGGGATC
Organism: Homo sapiens; assembly: GCF_000001405.40. Classification (NCBI taxonomy): domain Eukaryota; kingdom Metazoa; phylum Chordata; class Mammalia; order Primates; family Hominidae; genus Homo; species Homo sapiens. Next base: position 160,063,693 of record NC_000004.12, on the reverse strand, counting down.
AAGAGGTAGATAGCGGTTGAAAATTACTTATTTAGTACAATGTTCACTGTTTGGATGATTGGTACAAGTCAAAACTTTAAAATCACACAATATATCCATGTAAGAAACCTGCACATGTGTCAACTGAATATATAAAATTTTCCAAAATTTTAAAATAAAAAAAGAAAAGAGAGGCAAGCCTTGTGGCATGGTCTTGGAATACAAGATGCCATGTGGACAAAGAGTGGCAATGAATACATCATGGGCAGATAATGGTCCCCAAAAATGTTTGTGCTCTAATCCCCAGAACATGTGATTATGTTACCCTACATGGTAAAAGCAACTTTGCATATGAGACTAAGAATATAAACCTTAAAATAGATATATTATTCTGGATTATTAGGCTTTTACAAATGGAAGAGGAAGGTCAAACATTGAGTCAGAGAGATGCAATAAAAGTAAAAAGAGGATAGACTTAAAGGAAGATACAGAGATAAGACTCAGGCTGACATTGCTGTCTTTGAAAATGGAAGAAGAGGGCCATGAGACAAAGAACATGGGCAGCTTCTAGAGTGAGCTACAAAGGGTCCTCACTTAAACTGACAGCCAAGAAGAAAACAGAAACCTCAACCTATAGCTGAGGTAAAAATCTGAGTCACTGAGAGCTGAATTCTGCCAATAGCCCAAGTAAGCAGGAAATAGACAAAACCCCAGCCTAGCACCTCCAGAAAGGAGGCACTAATAATTTAAAGGAGTCTCTAGACAATTATTGATTGCCTCTATCAACAATTTGGTTTTAGCCCAGTGAATGGTATGTCAGATTTTTGACCTACAAAACTGTAAGATAACAAATGTGTGTTGTTTAAGCCACTATGTTAATGGTAATTTGGTATGGCAACAATACAAAACTTATGCAAGTACCAAACAACCAGATGTAAATAAACTATTTTGGACATCCATGCCAGATAAATTTTCAGATTACTCTAGCCCTAGCTCCCGAGCTGCCATGTGGCTACAATTGCATAAAATACCAACCTGCTGCTGGATTGGGCCCAGTCAACCCCAGAAAAATAAAATAGATAACAAACTATAGTTTTAAACACCAACTTGGGGAGTTATTTTTATGGAGCAATAGAGAACTTGAAGAGAAACAGCATTTAAACAGGGAATTGACAAAACTTTAAAAAAAAATGTTTTTAAACATAGGGAAAGGCACTCAATCCCATTTGTACCAAGGAAAATGCAAATTTGCAAGTATAATAAGAAACTTCTCATTTAAGCTTTAACATATAAAGAGTTAGTAAGTCTCCATTTTCATCCTTATGATATGGAAAATCAGAACAAACTGAAAATCAATTATTTTACTAAAATTGGACCACTTTTTACACCTTATATGAAAATTAACTCAAGATGGATTAAAGACTTAAACATAAGACCTAAAACCATAAAAACTCCAGAAGAAAACCTGGGTCATACCATTCAGGCAAAGACTTCATGACTAAAACACCAAGAGCAACGGCAACAAAAGCCAAAATTGACAAATGGGATCTAATTAAACTAAACAGCTTCTGCACAGCAAAAGAAACTATCATCAGAGGGAAGAGGCAACCTACAAAATGGGAGAAAATTTTTTCATCTATCATCTGACAAAGGGCTAATATCCAGAATCTATAAGGAACTTAAACAAATTTACAAACAAACAAACAATCCCATCAAAAAGTGGGTGAGGGATATAAACAGACACTTCACAAAAGAAGACATTTATGTGGCAAACAAACATGTGAAAAAAAGCTCATCATCACTGGTCATTAGAGAAAAGCAAATCAAAGCCACAATGAGATACCATCTCATACCAGTTAGAATGGGGATGGTTAAAAAGTCAGCAAACAACAGATGCTGGAGAGGATGTGGACAAATAGATGCTTTTACACCATTGGTGGGAGTGTAAATTAGTTCAACCATTGTGAAAGACAGTGTGGAGATTCCTCAAGGATTTAGAACCAGAAATACCATTTGACCCAGCAATCCCATTACTGGGTATATACCCAAAGGATTATAAATCATTCTACTATCAAGACACATGCAAATGCATGTTCATTGCAGCACTATTCACAATAGCAAAGACTTGGAATCAACCCAAATGCCCATCAATAATAGACTGGATAAAGAAAATGTGGCACATATACACCATGGAATACTATGCAGCCATAAAAAATGAGTTCATTTCCTTTGCAGGAACATGGATGAAGCTGGAAACCATCATTCTCAGCAAATTAATGCAGGAATAGAAAACCAAACACTGCATGTTCTCACTCATAAGTGGGAGTTGAATAATGAGAACACATGGACACAGGGGGGAACATCACACACCAGGGCCTGTCAGGGGGTGGTGGGTGGCTAGGGGAGGGATGGCATTAGGAGAAATACCTAATGTAGATGATGGGTTGATGGGTGCAGCAAACCACCATGGCACATATATACCTATGTAACAAACCTGCACGTTCTGTACATGTATCCCAGAACTTAAAGTACAATTTAAAAAAATAAAACAGTAAAAAAGATTGAAGTGAAATATTTAAAAATTTGAAAGAATAAAAACTCCAACAACCTTGAGCTGTTACAGAACTATCCTTCAAAAATAAAACAAAATAAAAAATAAAGACTTTCTCAGACAAATAATGACTGAGTGAATTTAATGCCAGGACTTTTGCATTGAAGAAAATGTTTAAATGATTAATTCAGACAGAAGAAAAATAGTATAGGTTAGAAATTTGGATTTACAAAAAGAAAAAAAGAAGACCAAAAGAGAAGGAATAAATGAAAGCCAAAAGAATTTTTTAATTTTTTATTCTTAATTGATTTTAAAATAACTTTTAAAGTTTTCATAGTAACAATGCATTGGGTGATATATTAAATAAAATTAATGACAGCAATATCACAAGGAAAGGGAATTTAGAATATTTTGCTGTAAAACATCTGTACTCCTCTTGAACTTGCGTATTATGGTTTGAAGGTAGATTTAGGTTAAAGTGTATATTGTACATTTAGATCAACCACTAATTATTTAAAGAAGTACAATTTATATGCTAAGAAAGGAAATAAATTGAGTCTTGTTCAATTGTTCAATTAAAACCAGAGAATGCAGAAAATGAGAAGAAAACAAAAAAGAAAAATGAAAAAAACAAAATCAGTTATAAAAATAGTAGATATTAATTGATCTATATCAATAATTAGTTTAAATTTGAATATCTAAATATGCCAGTTGAAAGACATCACTGTAAGGGTGGATTAAGAAATCCAAGAATATCTTGTCTATAAGAAAAATGCTTTAAATATAAGGACTTTTGTAGGTCAGAGAAAGATATACCATGCTGATATTAATTAAAAGAAAGCTATTATATTAATATCAGGCAATGAAGACTTCTGAGCAAGAATTATTAGGAAAAATGGGGGCATTACATAAGGTTAAAGTGGCCAATTCTCCAAAATGTTACAATACTAAAGCTTTATGTACCTAAAAGAAGAGAATCAAAATACATGGGGCTAAAACAATGTAAATGAAAGGAAAAAAAGAGAGAAATACACAATTACAGTTCAGACTTTAACATCTCTTAATTAGTAATCAATAACCTGGCAGATAATTGGTAAGGATATATCTGACCTATACAGCACTATCAGTAAACTTGATCTAATTGACATTTATCAAATATTTCATCCAGTACTAGCCAAATACACATTCTTTTCAAGCTCATAAAACATTCACCAATATAGACCATATTCTGGGCCACAGCACACATCTTAACAAAATTAACAGAATAGAAATCATATACATTATGTTCTCAGATCACCATAAAACACTAAAAAAGATTGAAAACTGGAAGGTCCACAAATATTTGGAAATTAAGCAACGTATAATACTTCTTAGCCATACTGAAAATATAAAACATTCTACATGTTGAATAATGTTTTGCTATTTTTTTTTTTTTTTTTGAGACAAAGTCTCGCTCCGTCGCCCAGGCTGGAGTGCAGTGGCACAATCTCCATCTCCTGGTTTCACGCCATTCTCCTGCCTCAGCCTTCCAAGTAGCTGGGACCACAGGCACCCACCACCACCCCCGGCTAATTTTTTGTAATTTTAGTAGAGACGGGGTTTCACCATGTTAGCCAGGATGGTCTAGATCTCCTGACCTCGTGATCTGCCCGCCTTGGCCTCCCAAAGTGCTGGGATTACAGGTGTGAGCCACCACACCCAGCCTGTTTTGCTATTTCTTATTTCTTCTCAGAAAGAAAATTATCTCATATTGAAGTTTGGTTATAAACAAGACCTTCTGGATGGTAATGTTTAAAATCATAAAATATATAATCTCCATTAAGAGAGTTATTAGATCTCATTTCTTCTTAGCTCAAAGGTATGTTTCTTAGGATTAGAAATTCAAAAGGTATATTATATATTATATTATTTGCTATTGCCTCTATAGAAATTGTCTTTTATAGTAAAATCAATCAAGTACATACTTTTCAAATTAGACTCATTTTTACCAATCAAAACAGTCATTGAAATATACTATATTTTAAAGAACCAGAACATCTTCTAATCATGAGAACATGAGTGGCGACAGTAGCATAGCCTCTCATTCCCATTTTATATGCAAAGATTAATTCTATAGAAGAGAATTTCTGCAAAAGAAAGTCACAATGATCTCCTTCACTCAACAGTAAGATGCAAAGAGAAGATTTTGACCTCTACTCTTATTCTCAAATTCCTTGAAATTAAGAAGTTTTATAGGTGATAAAAAGAAAATATTGTGATAAAAATACTTCAAAAAAATATCCCTCAAAAGGTAAGCAAACAAAAACTTTCTTCATAGTTTCAGCAACGGGTGCATATATAATATAATAATAATATAATATAATATATAATATAGAATGTTTATAGAATATAGCATAATCTGTACTCAAATAAATTATAAACAAAAAAATTAAAAATTGTCTCATACACTAAAGCTTTGTTTAGGCTACAGATACCTATCGACCTCCCTCTCAATTTAAAATATGGTATTTAAACCCACTAACTTCCAAAATTAAAAGGATTTTATATTACTTTGATTGTAGTTATTATGTTTATACTTGCACTTGTATCCAAGAACACAAGACTACCAGCAATAAGTAGTTAAAAATCTGTCAATGAGGATTGGCTTTCTTTTTTTTTTTTAAGAATCCATGATGATGTCATATAACCAAAAAAATTTACAAACTGTATTTTTTCAGAAGCTTCACTGTGGTAGACAACAAGATAGTTATGTTTGATGCAAAGCATTCTGATACATAAGGCCAGAAAAACCTATGGGAATCAATACATCCCTCAATATGATGGACAACACAGTCTGAAAAAGTTAAATCCCTCAATTGCAGAAGAAAACTTACCTTCTTAGAGTATTAGTTAAATCAGATTATTATAACATAGAAAATAATTTATTCCATTTGATGTTATTAACATTTCCTATCAGATTCTTCATTCTGTGATTTCCAAGGAACATATTCTAATGATGGAAATTATTGAACAAACCTAAAATTAATATCATCTCTTACAGATATTAAACATCTTTGCATATTGTCATTTTCTATTTTTAAAAAAATAGAACCATTCTTTATTCTCTACTGAGTCCTGTTATAGACAATTGAAAATGAAAGTAATATGAAGTCATCATAAAAACCATTTTAGGTAGATGTGGAGCAATTTGAGAATGATTCAAAGGACAGTAATCAATACCTTCCCAGCAGAAGATGAATGAAAAGAATAAGTAGTCAATAACCTATTAGTAAGTTCATTATAACCTTCATATAGAACATGTTTGTTGTTGTTGTTGTCATTGTTTTAGGAAACTAAAACAATTAAAATATATCTTAACAACTGAATAAATTAATAGGCTAATCTATAGTAGCAGAAGCTAAATAAATTAGTCACCATTTCTGCTCTACCAAAAAGAAATTTTGCAAGTCATTAGTAAGCATATTACCAATCATTTATTATAACTCCACATAGTGACATTTGAAAATGTTGTACCATACAGTACAGAAAATGTTGTGTTAGGTTTTCTAATATAAACTCTATTTCAAGGGAAACATCTAGGTACTAGCTGTAAAACATGCTTTTATATCAAATTAGTTAAAACTATATAACTATTTTCTTCTAATAATTTCAAATAAAAATAAGAACAATCCAAGATTAATGACTTCTGAATCATATATTTTTAAACCAGCGACAAATTAATTCCAGTTTTATTAATTCCAGTACTAACTGGAACTAATTAGTTAGTTCCAATTAATTAGTTCCAATTAGTTCCAAGCACAATTAAATGTTTCAGCTACACTTTATGGAATAAGCACAGACCTCCATACCGTAGGGCTTAGATTTAAGACAGTTTCAGTGCACAATGACTGTGTATCCTTAGGCAAATCATTTAACCTATGAGATTGTATAAAGTTTTTATCATTTAAAAAAATTATGTTGGCACATGAATACCTATATAAGAAAACTGCACATTGTGCACATGTACCCTAGAACTTAAAGTATAATAAAATAAATAAAGTAAAAATTGACAGAAAAAAATTAAACCTTGAAAATGCAACATGAAACCCAAAATAAGCCCTTTTTGATTGGAAAGGTTAAAAGTTCTCTTGATGAGTAGTGTTCTGTTTATAGTACTAGTCAGTTCAATACACTTAAAGTCAGTAGAGAAGTAACAATTCTAGTAGTATTATGATTTCTAACTGTATTTTACAGAGTAGTCCCCCCTTATCTGTGAGGAATATATTCCGATACCCCCAGGGGATGCTTGAAATTGCAAATAGCACCAAACCACATATATACCTATGAAATGTTTAATTTAAAAATTAGGTACAGTAAAAGATGGGAAACAATAACTAATAATGAAATAGAGCAATTATAACAATACACTTTAATAAAATTATGTGAATATATTCTCTCTCCGTGTGTGTATGTGTGTGTGTGTGTGTGTGTGTGTGTGTGTGTGTGTGTGTGTCTGCCTTTCTCTGTCTCTCAAAATATCTTAATATTTTTGGACCATGGTTGACCATGGATAAATGAAGATATAGAAAGCCAAACTGTGGATAAGGGAAGATTACTGTAATCATAATCTTGTTTTATTGATCCCAGATCCCTGTGACAACTAGTCCTTTTTGTTGCGGGAAGTCAGGGACCCCAAACGGAGGGACTGGCTGAAGCCATGGCAGAAGAACATGGATTGTGAAGATTTCATGGACATTTATTAGTTCCCCAAATTAATACTTTTATAATTTCTTATGCCTGTCTTTACTGCAATCTCTAAACATAAATTGTAAAGATTTCATGGACACTTATCACTTCCCCAATACCCTTGTGATTTCCTATGCCATTCTTTAATCTCTTAATCCTGTCAGCTGAGGAGGATGTATGTCTCCTCAGGACCATGTGATAATTGCGTTAACTGCACAAATTGTACAGCATGTGTGTTTGAGCAATATGAAATCTGGGCACCTTGAAAAAAGAACAGGATAACAGCAATTGTTCAGGGAATAAGAGAGATAACCTTAAACTCTGACCACCGGTGAGCCAGACGGAACAGAGCCATATTTCTCTTCTTTCAAAAGCAAATGGGAGAAATATCGCTGAATTCTTTTTCTCAGCAAGGAACATCCCTGAGAAAGAGAATGCGCGCCTGGGGGTAGGCCTATGAATGGCCCCCCTGGGCGTAGCCGTCTCTTATGGTCAAGACTGCAGGGGTGAAATAGACCCCAGTCTCCCATAGCGCTCCCAGGCTTATTAGGAAGAGGAAACTCCCACCTAATAAATTTTGGTCAGACCGGTTGATCTCAAAAACCCTGTCTCCTGATAAGATGTTATCAATGACAATGGTGCCCAAAACTTCATTAGCAATTTTAATTTTGCCTTGGTCCTGTGGTCCTGTGATCTCGCCCTGCCTCCACTTGCCTTGTAATAGTCTATTACCTTGTAAAGTACTTGATGTCTGTGACCCACGCCTATTCACACACTCCCTCCCCTTTTGAAACTCCCTAATAAAAACTTGCTGGTTTTTGCAGCTTGTGGGGCATCACGGAACCTACTGACATGTGATGTCTCCCCCGGACGCCCAGCTTTAAAATTTCTCTCTTTTGTACCCTGTCCCTTTATTTCTCAAGCTGGCTGATGCTTAAGGAAAATAGAAAAGAACCTACGTGAATATCGGGGCAGGATCCCCGATACATTTTCCCTTTCAAAAAATGTATGCAAAGCTTTTTTTTTTTTTTTTTTTCTTTTTTTAGTGACAGGGTAAAAGATAAGAAAATAATAGTCCAATAAACTCAGGAAAAGTAATTAAAAATTCAATTTTTTACTAAGATTCAAGCCTCTGAGGAATGAAAATTCTTCAAGCTCCATCTCTGGAGCAAACTAATTCAGAAATGAATTATATGTGGTGTTTCCAAAATTCAGATAACTGAGGATTACTGAATTTTGTCAACTATATTATTCTACTACTAATGGTAAAAGAAAACACACTGGATATTCTCAGAAGAATACCATGGTTGCACGTTAATAATGTAATGTGGAGTTCAAATATATTCAGGTGGCAGAACAACTGGATTAATGTATATTTTTTTGGAATACATCAGTCTGAAGTATCACTGTATTTAACAGAAAATAACTAAATACATAGTTTTTTATTTCTAATTCCACACATGTCAAAATAGGTGAAAAAGAGCCAAAACAAAGGAGAGTTTATGGGTAAACAAATTTAAATTCGTTAGTATCCATTAGTTTACTTTTTTGTGGATTTTTGCTGAAAAAGACTGGCATCAAATAATTTAACAACTATTCATAGAATATGCTGTCTGACAGCAAAGCTAGAAAATCACATCTTTTTGGAGTTGATGCTTGCCTTCCAGATAGGTTCTCTAGCCAGGTTTTCTGATGCTATTTTCTTGAAAGAAAAATTCACTACATTTGCTCAACAGGAAATATGATATATGCATGCCATAAAATCACTCTAATACATTCTGAATCTAAATGTGAGGATCTCTGATGCCTTCAGGATTCTATACATATGAGTTGATTGATTTTAGGGAACAAGAGTCCAGCAGAAGGAATTTTTTTTTTTTTTTTTTTTTTTTTTTTGAGACGGAGTCTCGGTCTGTCGCCCAGGCGGGACTGCGGACTGCAGTGGCGCAATCTCGGCTCACTACAAGCTCCGCTTCCTGGGTTCACGCCATTCTCCTGCCTCAGCCTCCCGAGTAGCTGGGACTACAGGCGCCCGCCACCGCGCCCAGCTAATTTTTTTTGTATTTTTAGTAGAGACGGGGTTTCACCTTGTTAGCCAGGATGGTCTCGATCTCCTGACCTCATGATCCACCCGCCTCGGCCTCCCAAAGTGCTGGGATTACAGGCGTGAGCCACCTCGCCCGGCCTTTTTTTTTTTTTTTTTTTTTTAAGATGGAGTCTCGCTCTGTCGTCACCCAGTCTGGAGTGCGGTGGAGCGATCTCGGCTCACTGCAACCTCTGCCTCCCCGGTTGAAGCAATTCTCCTGCCTCACCCTCCCAAGTAGCTGGGATTACAGGCACCCGCCACCATGCCCAGCTAATTTTTGTATTTTTAGCACAGACAGCGTTTCACCATGTTGGCCAGGCTGGTCTCGAACTCCTGACCTCTGGTGATCCTCCCACCTTGTCCTCCCAAAGTGCTGGGATTACAGGCATGAGCCACTGCATCTGGCTGGAATCTTTTTTTTAAGATGAGGACTGAGAACACATGGAGGGAAGGTAAACATAGAGTAAGAGAGGCAGAAAAATACAGCCATCAGCATATTTGGTTTTCAGCACCTTTACTGGGATACCCAGAAAGTCACTGTTGGTTTCTATGTCATAAATGATCCTCATGTATGAGGTTACTAAGCATTTTCTCCATTTTGGAGCAGAAAACAGCACCATGCTGACACCGTGAGAACTCCTATAGTGTGTGATTCACAATGCCGAAAGATGGCTCTGAAGAACCTCAATGCAGGCTCAGTGGCTCTGCGGAAGAGATGGGAGGCCCAGAGGACAAAATAATATTTGGCAGGGACCTGGCTGACAATTTTGTGAGACTCCAGAGATTCTCAGAAGTACTAGGAATGAGTAGATGGGACTTCCTGGGAGTCTGAGATCCTGAATAAGCTTCTGGAAGCACTAAAGTGACTGGAATTTAAATAGTGAAGTAAACAGGACTGCCAAGACACCTCCACCTCAAAAAATAACCATGTAATTATGATTCAAAGTACCACGTAACTAGAAACTTGAGTGGAGATCCTTTTCCACTGACATGGTTCATGGTATCAGATTGGATGCTTAGTTGGAGGAAAGAATGTAGAATGGAAATTCTAAAGATAAATATGATTATTTATATAACCCTTTTCTGGTTTGAATCAAAGCTGTTTGAGCAACAGCCATACGAAAATTTACCTAAGAATCTCTATTGAAGAAGACATTATTCTACATTGTAAATTACATCAATGGTAATCATTGCAAAAAGGCTCCCTGCTATAATTTGATGTTTGTCTCCCCAAACCTCATGTTGAAATTAGATCCCCAATGTTAGAGGCACGGCCTAATAGAAGGTGTTTGGCTCATAAAGGTAGATCCTTCATAAATGACTTGTTGCTGTCCTCATCTTAATAGGGACTTATTGCTTTATTAGTTCTTTTCAGAGCTGGTTGTGAAAAACAGCTTGATGCTTTCCCTCTCTCTTGCTTCCTCTCTCACCATATGATCTCTGCACACACTGACTTCACCAAATATTGTGAGAATGGAAATATACTTCTTAACTAAATAGTGTGCCATGTGGATCACTCTGAATTATTCAATAAGGTTTAGATGGTTATTGCATATTTTTGAAAAATCTTAAAATATTTTTACTTAAAATTAGGAATATCTCTAAGCAAAATGAAGTAGAAGTCAATTCATATTTCAAATTGGAAAATATTTAACTAATATGTTTTCTTCTTTCATTTTTCCCTTAACAACAAATACTTACAGTCAAATAACACAACTAAGAAGCACTTATTGTGTCTGTACACATTTTTTATTTGATCTACATTTTTCATGACCCTTTATAGGAATTCTGGTTCAGGAACTTGGATTCATGAGTTTGGGCTTTTAGGTGCATCCAGTTACTGAGCAGATTTAACAAGCTGCTATTAGCAATCAGGGCTATGAGCCATGAATATACCCACTGAGGCTTTCTTCCAGATTTAATAAAAATAATTCAAAGAAAATTAAAAAAAGAAAGGTTTTGGAGAGTTGAGTGGGCAATTATCTGAAGCACTGTGTATCAAGAATCAAGGCTTTATTAATTGGTCAATTTTTTATTATCTCTAAGATTTATTTTCTGCAAGAAAACGGAAAGTGGTGAAATAAAATGTTGTACCTTTACTACAAATTACTAGTTCTGGCAATAACATTTCATAACTGAATCACTGTCATACATTAATATCAAAAGATTACCCACATCTAATACTGACCATAATTTTAAAGCTCAAAGCAAAAAGTTACAAATGCTTACTCTTGCCTTTATGCTGCTGTGATAATAACAGAAAGTGGAACATTATCTATCTGGCATCATAACCAATTTTAATCAAGGAAGGTAGCTAATTTAAATTATGATTCGTAGAATTAGACTAATCACTTTTTATGACTCAGTTCATTCAGTTTTATTTTAATAACGGCTTGTTTATGAGCATTTTAATGACTTAAATAGTAAAGAGGTATATGAAGGAAAAGCAAATGATCTCCCTGTCATTTCACTTCTAGCTAAACATATGCATTTTTTATTCTAATAAATGTTACCAGATTACTTTGTTTTGAAAGAAGAGGAAATTGCCTAGGGATCTGAGATTCTGCATGAACACAGGTACTAAAATCATTGGATTTTAAGTAATGAAGTAAATGAGACTTCTGTAGACTCCAAAAAGCAAGCATCAATTTTCCTGAAAAGTATCATGTAAGTAAAACGTTGATGGGGGGCACATTACCACTCGCATACTGCTATTACCAGATAGGATACTTGAAAGAAGAGAAATGTAGATGAGAATTCTAAAGACAAACATGATTATTTACCCCTTTCTTAGTTTGAAGCAAGTGCAAGTTTAGTAGCGCATTATCTGTATGAGAATTCACCCTCCTGCCATTAGAATATGAGTGATGGTTTTACCACACACCTCTAACATTGGGTGTTATTGGACATGTAATGAACAACAATAAAAATAGTGGTCTCATGTATTCAACTTCACTCTCCTGGTGATAAGTAGTTTAAGACTCTGTATTTCATGTTTATATTAACCATTTAAAGTTTCTCTCTCTGACATGCATATTCACACTCTTTGTCAATCTTTTATTTGCCCTTTTCTTGTAAATATTTCAAAGGATATTGAGGAATGTTATGCCTTAAACAGAAATTTATGATTTCAATATTTTCTGTTTTAAATGTTAATACTTACTAATATAGTCAAAAAGAAACACAAAGCTTACATAAAATATGGATGTCCGTGACAGACAGGACATGTCATCACAGCTTTCTTTTTTCCACAAACCATGACATTGTTTTTTATACCCCAGCATATGCTTTTCTCATTCCTTATGCTTTATTTTGGAGTAATGTTTAAATTCGTGTTTAGAAATTCTATTGCACCAAGTAGGCTCCTTTGGAAGGCATGAGCACATTTTGCTTAACTGTACACATGGAGGCCAGAAATAGTTATGTTTAAATCATTAATTTTAATCTATCTGAAACCTAGCAAATAAATGAGTAACTTGGGAAGCCCTTGAGGCCATTTACTTCTTTGGTATCTCTCTGCCTGTTTATTTTTTTTATTTCAATAGGTTTTGGGGAATAGGTGGTGTTTGATCACATGAATAAGATCTTTAGTGATGATTTCTGAGATTTTTGTGCACCCATCATCCAAGCAGTGTTCACTGTACCCAATGTGCAGTCTTTTATCCCTCACCCCCTCCCACTCTTTCCCCAGAGTCCCTAAAGTCCATTGTATTATCTTATGCCTTTGCATCCATTTAGCTTAGCTCCCACTTATGAGTGAGAACATATAATGTTTGGCTTTCCATTTCTGAGTTACTTCACTTAGAATAATAGTCTCTAGTTCCATCCAGGTTGCTGCAAATGCCATTAATTCATTCCTTTTTATGGCTGCATCAAGTTTCCTGCAAATATCAATTTTCCTGAAAAGTATTCCATTATGTGTGTGTGTGTGTGTGTGTGTGTGTGTGTGTGTGTGTATATATATATATATATCCATTATATATATCCGTTATATATATATCCATTATATATATCCATTATATATATATCCATTATATATATATCCATTATATATATCCATTATATATATATCCATTATATATATCCATTATATATATATCCATTATATATATATCCATTATATATATCCATTTTATATATATATCCATTATATATATGTGATATATATATATATCCATTATATATATATGTGAGATATATATATATATATCAATCACATTTTCTTTATCTACTTCTTGATTGATGGCCATTTGGGCTGGTTACATATTTTTGCAATTGCAATTTGTGCCTCTATAAACATGCATGTGCAAGTATCTTTTTTCATATAATGACTTATTTTTCGCTGGGTAGATACCCAGGAATGGGATTGCTGGATCAAATAATAGCTCTACTTTTAGTTATTTAAGGAATCACCACACTGTTTTTCATAGTGGTTGTATTAGTTTACATTCCCACCAACAGTGTAAAAGTGTTCCCCTTTTCAACACATCCAGGCCAACATTTGTTATTTTTTAATTTTTTGATTATGGACATTCTCACAGGGGTGAGGTGGTTTCACATTGTGGTTTTGATTTGTATTTCCCTGGTAATTAGTGACGTTGGGCATTTTTCCATATGCTTGTTGGCCATTTGTATATCTTGAGAACTGTCTATTCATGTCCTTAACCCACTTTTTGATGGGATTGATTGATTTTTCTTGCTGATTTGAATTTTTTGTAGATTCTGAATATTAGTCCTTTGTCAGATGTATAGATTGTGAAGATTTTCTCCCACTCTGTGGGCTATTTACTCTGTTGATTATTTCTTTTGCTTTACAGAAGCTCTTTAGTTTAATTAAGTCCCATCTATTTATCACTGTTTTTGTTGCATTTGCTTTTGGATTCTTGGTCATGAAGTCTTTGCCTAAGCCAATGTCTAGAAGGGTTTTTCTGATGTTATCTTCTAGAATTTTTATAGTTTCAGGTCTTATATTTAAGTCTTTGATCCATCTTGAGTTAATTTTAGTATAAGGTGAGAGATGAGGATCCAGTTTTATTCTTCCACATGTGACTTGCCAGCGATCCCAGTACCATTTGTTGAATAGGGTGTCCTTCCTCCACTTTATGTTTTTGTTTGACTTGTCGCAGATCAATTGGCTGAAAGTATTTGCCTTTATTTCTGGGTTCTCTCTTCTGTTCCATTGGTCTATGTGCCTATTTTTATACCAGTACCATGCTGTTTTGGTGACTATGGCCTTATACTATAGCTTGAAGTTGGGTAATGTGATGCCTTCAGTTTTGTTCTTTTTGCTTAGCCTTGCTTTGGCAATGCAGGCTCTTTTTTGGTTCCATATGAATTTTAGGATTGTTTTTCCTAGTTCTGTGAAGAGTGATGGTTGTGTTTTGATGGCAATTGCATTGAATTTGTAGATTGCTTTTGGCCATATCGTCATTTTTCCATATTGATTCTACCCATTTATGAGCATGGGATGTGCTTCCATTTGTTTGTGTCATCTATGACTTCTTTCAGCAGTGTTTTGTAGTTTTCCTTGTAAAGGAAAACTTTCACCTCATTGATTAGGTATATTTCTTTCTTTTTTTTTTTGCACCTATTGTGAAATGGGTTGAGTTCTTGATTTATCAGCTTGGTCACTGTTCATGTATAGCAGAGCTACTGATTTGTGTACATTAATTTTGTATCCTGAAACTTTGCTGAATTCATTTACAAGTTCTAATAGCTTTTTTGGATGAGTCTTCAGGGTTTTCTAGGTATACAATCATATCATCAGCAAACAGCAACAGTTTGACTTTCTCTTTACTGATTTTGATGCCCTTGATTTCTATCTCTTGTCTGATTGCTCTGACTTCCAGTACTACGTGGAATAGAAGTGGTGACAGTGGGCATCCTTGTCTTGTTCCAGTTCTCAGGGCAAATGCTTTCAACTTTTCCTCATTCAGTATAGTGTTGGCTGTGGGTTTGTCATAGATGGCTTTTATTACCTTAAGGTATGTCCCTTGTATGCCAATTTTGCTGAGGGTTTTAATCATTAAGTGATACTGGATTTTGTCAAATGCTTTTTCTGCATCGAGATGATCACATGATTTTTGTTTTCAATTCTGTTTATGTTGTGTATCACCTTTACTGATTTGCATATGTTAAACCATTGCTGCATCACTGGTGTGAAATCCATTTGATCATGGTGAATTATCTTTTGGATATGCTATTGGATTCAGTCAGCTAGTATTTCACTGAGAATTTTTGCATCTATGTTTATTAGGGATATTGGTCTGTAGTTTTTTGTTGTTGTTGTTGTTGTTGTTGTTATGTTCTTCCCTGGTTTTGGTATTAGGATGATACTGGCTTTGTAGAATGATTTAGGGAGGGTTCTCTCTTTCTCTATCCCATGGAATAGTGTAAATAGGATTGGTACTAATTCTTTGAAGTCTGATAGAATTCATTTCTGAATCTGTCTGGTCCTGGACTTTTGCTGACAATTTTTTATTACCATTTTAATCTTGCTGCTTGTTATTTGTCTGTTCAGAGTTTCTATGTCTTCCTGGTTTAATCTAGGAGGGTTGTATATTTCCAGGAATTTATCCATCTCCTCTAGGTTTTCTAATTTACACACATAAAGCTGTTCATAGTAGCCTTGAATAATCTTCTGCATTTCTCTGGTGTCAGTAGTAATATCTCCCTTTTTATTTCTAATTGAGCTTATTTGGATCTTCTCTCTTCCTTCCTTGGTTAATCCTGCTAATGTTCTATCAGTTTTATTTATCTTTTCAAATATTTTTGTTTCATTTATCTTTTATATTGGTTTTTGTTGTTGTTGTTTCAATTTCACTTAGTTTTGCTCTGATCTTCATTATTTCTTTCCTTCTGGTGGGTTTGAGATTGGATTGTTCTTATTTCTCCACTTTCATGAGGTGTGTCCTTCAGACCATTTTTTTTTTTTTTTTTTTTTTTTTAGACGAAGTCTCATTCTGTCTCCCAGGCTGGAGTGCAATGGCACAATCTCAACTCAACCTCCACCTTCCGGGTTCAAGCTACTCTCATGTCTCAGCCTCTGAAATAACTGGGATTATAGGCACCCGCCACCAGGCCCAGCTAATTTTTGTATTTTTAGTAGAGATGGTGTTTCGCCATGTTGGTCAGGTTGACAGACTTTTTGATGTAGGCATTTAATGCTATGAACTTTTCTCTTAGCACCACTTTTGCTGTATCCCAGAGGTTATGATAGGTAGTGTCACCGTTATTCTTCTGTTCAAAATTTTTTTAATTCCTTTTTGATTTCATTGTTGACTCAACAATCAGTCAAGAGCAGGTTATTTAATTTCCATGTATTTGCATGGTTTTGAAGGTTCCTTTTGGAGATAATTTCCAATTTTATTCCACTGTGGTCTAAGAGAGTACTTAATATAATTTCTATTTTCTTAAATTTACTGAGACTTGTTTTGTGGCCTATCATATGGTCTATCTCAGAGACCGTTCCCTATGCTGATGAATAGAATGTATATTCTGCAGTTGTTGTGTAAAATGTTCTGAAAATATATTGTCTATTTGTTATAAGGTATAGTTTAATCCATTGTTCTTTGCTGACTCTGTCTTGGTGACCTATCTAGTGCTGTCAGTGGAGGATCAAAGTCCCCCACTGTTACTGTGTTGCCATCTGTCTCATTTCTTAGGTCTGGTAGTAATTGTTTCATAAATTTGGGGGCTCCAGTTTAGGTGCATATATATTTGAGATTGTGATATTTTCCTGTTGGACTAGTCCATTTATCATCATATAATGTCCCTTTTTGTCTTTTTTAACTGCTATTGTTTTAAAGTTTGTTTTGTCTGATATAAGAATAGCTACTCCTACTTGCTTTTGGTGTCCATTTTCATGGAATATTTTTTTCCATCCCTTTACCTTAAGTTTATGAGAGTCCTTATGTGTTAGGTGAGTCTCCTGAAGACAGCAGATACTTGGTTGGTGAATTCTTATTCATTCTGCCATTCTGCTTCATCATTTAAGTGGTGCATTTAGGCCATTTACTTTCAACATTATTATGAAGATGTGAGGCACTGTTCTATTCATCATTCCATCTGTTGCCTGAATACTTTTTTTATTGTGTTATTATTATATAGGTCCTGTGAGATTTATGCTTCAAGGAGGTTCTATTTTGGTGTATTTCCAGGATTTATTTCAAGATTTAGAGCTCCTTTTAGCAGTTGTAGTGCTGGATTGGCAGTGGCAAATTCTCTCAACATTTGTTTGTAAAAAGACTATCTTTTCTTCATTTATGAAGTTTACTTTCTTTGGATACAAAATTCTTGGCTGATACTTGTTTTGTTTAAGGAGGCTAAAAATAGGATCCAAATCCCTCCTAGCTTGTTGCATTTCTGCTGAGAAATCTGCTGTTACTCTGATAGGTTTTCCTTTACAGGTTACCTAATGGTTTTGCCTCAGAGCTCTTAAGATTTTTTCCCTTGTCTTGACTTTAAATAACGTGATGACTATGTGCCTAGATGATGATCTTTTTGCAATTAATTTCCCAGGTGTTCTTTGTGCTTCTTATATTTGAACGTCTAGATCTCTAGCAAGGCTATGGAAATTTTCCTCAATTATTCCCTCAAATATGTTTTCCCAACTTTTAGACTTCTCTTTTCCCTTGAGAACACTGAATATTTTTATTTTTGGATGCTTAACATAGTCCCCAACTTCTTGGAGGCTTTGTTCTCTTTTTTATTTTAATTTTTTTCTGTCTTTGATGGACTGGATTAATTCAAAAGTCTTGTCTTTGAGCTCTGAAATTCTTTCTTCAGCTTGTTTGATTGTATTGCTGGGACTTTCTGGACTGGTTTTCATTTCTCTAAGTGTGCCTTGATTTCCAGAAGTTGTGATTGTCTTTTACTTAAGCTATCTATTTCACTGAAGATTTTTCCTTTTATATCCAGTATCATGTTTTTGATTTTGTTTAAGTTGGACTTCAACTTTCTCTGGTGCCACCTTGATTAGCTTAATAATCGAGCTTCTGAATTCTTTTTCTGGTAATTCAGAGATATTGTCTTGGTTTGAATCCATTGGTGGTGAGTTGGTGTGATCTTTTAGGGGTGTTAAAGAATCTTGTTTTGTCCTATTACCAGAATTGGTTGTTTGGTTTCATCTCATTTGGGTATACTACGTCAGAAGGAAAATGTGGGACTCAAGCGCTGCTGTTCATATTCTTTTGTCCCATGGGGTGCTCCCTTGATGTGCTGTTCTCCCCCTACCCCTAGGGTTGGGGCTTCCTGAGAGTTGAATTGCAGTGATTGTTTTTGTTCTTCTGGGTCTAGCCACCCAGGAGAGCTACTGGGCTCCAAGCTGGTACTGGGGAGTGTCTGCAAAGAGTCTTGTTATGTGATTCATTTTCAGGTCTTTCAGCCGTGGATACCAGCACCTGCTCTGGTAGAGGTAGCAGGGGAGTAAAATGGACTCTGTGGGAGTCCTTGGTTTTACTTTTGTTTAGTGCAGTAGTTTTGTTTCGGTTGGCCTCCAGCCAGGAGGTGTTGCTTTCAAGAGCACATCAGCAGTGGTACTAGAGGGAGGATGCAAACTTGTCCTAGGGCCACCTGGTTAAGTATTCAGGTTTCTTGGGTGGTGTGCAGGGCATAGAGCTCCCAAGAAGTTATGTCCTTTGTCTTTGGCAACCAGGGCAGGTAGAGAAAGACCACCAGGGCCTCCACCTCTGACTTCCAACTGCCATAGAAGGCCCAACCCCAGTCTCAGCCCTACTCCACTCCAGTACAACAGGTGGGGGCAGGCATAGGTGTGTCTGAGCTCGAATTCTCCTTGGGCAGGGCTTGTTGTGGCTGCTGTAGGGGATGGGGGGTGTGGTTCCCAGGCCAATGGAGTTATGTTCCCAGGGGGATTATGGCTGCCTCTGCTCAGTCATACAGGTCACCAGGTGATATGGTTTGGCTGTGTCCCCACTGAAACCTCAACTTGAATTGTATCTCCCAGAATTCCCATGTGTTGTGGAGGGAACCAGGGGGAGGTAATTGAATAATGGGTGATGGTCTTTTCCATGCTATTCTTGTGATAGTGAATAAGTCTCATGAGATCTGATGGGTTTATCAGGGTTTCCGCTTCTGCTTCTTCCTCACTCTTCTCTTGCCGCCATCAAGTAAGAAGTGTCTTTCACCTTCAGCCATGATTCTGAGGCCTCCCCAGCCATGTGCAACTGTAAGTCCAATTAAATCTCTTTTTCTTCCCAGTTTCAGGTTTGTTTCAGCAGCATGAAAATGAATTAATACAGTAAGTTGGTACCAGTATAGTAGGGTGTTGCTGAAAAGATTCCTGAAAATGTTGAAGTGACTTTGGAATTGGGTAACAGGCAGAGGTTGGAACAGTTTGGAGGGCTCAGAAAAAGACAAGAAAATGTGGGGAAGTTTGGAGCCTCCTAAATTGCTGTTGAATGGCTTTGACAAAAATGCTCATAGTGATATGAAAAATAAACTCCAGGCTGAATTGGTCTCAGATGGAGATAAGGAACTGTTGAGAACTGGAGCAAAGGTGACTCTTGTTATGTTTTACTAAAGAGCCTGGTGGCATTGTGCCCCTGGCCTAGAGATCTGTGGAACTTTGGAATTGAGAGGGATTTAGGGTATCTGGCAAAAGAAATTTCTAAGCAGCAAAGCATTCAAAAAGTGACTTGGGTGCTGTTAAAAGCGTTCCATTTTAAAAGGGAAACAGAGCATAAAAGCTCAGAAAATTTGCAGCCTGACGATGCAGTAGAAAAGAAAAACCCATTTTTTGAGGAGAAATTCAAGCCGCCTGCAGAAATTTGCATAAGTAGCAAGGAGCCTAATGTTAATCCCCAAGAACATGGTGAAAATGTCTCCATGTCAGAGACCTTCAAGGCAGCCCCTCCCATCACAGGCCTGGAGGCCCAGGAGTAACAAGTGGTTTTGTGGGCTGGGCCCAGGGTCCCCATGCTGTGTGCAGCCTAGGGACTTGGTGCCCTGTGTTCCAGCCACTCCAGCCATGGCTGAAAGGGGCCCACGTACAGCTCATGTGGTTTCAGAGGGTGGAAGCCTCAAGCCTTGGCAGCTTCAATGTGGTGTTGAGTTAGCAGGTACACAGAAGTCAAGAACTGAGGTTTGGAACCTCTGCCTAGATTTCAGAAGATGTATGGAAATGCCTGGATGCCCAGGCAAAAGTTTGCTCCAGGGGTAAGGCCCTCATGGAGAACCTCTTCTAGGGCAGTGTGAAAGGGAAATGTGGGATTGGAGCCCCCACACAGAGTCCCTACTAGGGCACTACCTAGTGGAGCTGTGAGAAAAGGGCCACCATCCTCCACACCCCAGAATGGTAGATCCACCGGCCGCTTGTACCATTTGCCTGGAAAAGCTGCAGACACTCAATGCCAGCCTGTGAAAGCAGCTGGGAAGGAGGCTGTACCCTGCAAAGCCACAGGGGTAGAGCTGCCCAAAACCATGGGAACCCATCTCTTGCATCAGCGTGACCTGAATGTGAGACGTGGAGTCAAAGTAGATAATTTTGGAGCTTTAAAATTTGACTGCCCCACTGGATTTTGGACTTGCGTGGGCCCTGCAATCCCTTTGTTTTGGCCAATTTCTCCCATTTGGAATGGCTGTATTTACCCAATACCTGTACTCCTATTGTATCTAGCTTGTAGGAAGATAACTAGCTTGCTTTTCATTTTACAGGCTCATCGGCAGAAGGGACTTGGCTTGTTTCAGATGAAACTCTGTACTGTGAACTTTTGGGTTAATGCTGAAATGAGTTAAGACTTTGGGGGATTGTTGGGAAGGCATGAATGGTTTTGAAATGTGAGGCCATGAGATTTGGAGGGGCCAGGAGGGGAATGATATGGTTTGGCTGTGTCCCCACCAAAATCTCAACTCAAATTGTATCTCCCAGAGTTCCCACATGTTATGGGAGGAACCCAGGGGGAGGTCATTGAATCATGGAGGCCAGTCTTTCCCATGCTATTCTCATGATAGTGAATAAGTCTCATGTTTATCAAGGGTTTCCGCTTTTGCTTCTTCCTTATTTTCTCATCTTTGCCATGTAAGAAGTGCCTTTCACCTTCTGCCATGATTCTGAGGCCTCCCCAGCCATGTGGAACTGTAAGTCCAATAAAACCTCTTTTTCTTCCCAGTCTCAGGTATGTCATTATCAGCAGTGTGAAAATGAACTAATACACCAGGGAAGTAAGGCAAAGCCAGCAGTCACAGGCCTCACCTCATTCCCATGCAGCCCACAGTCCTAAAGGGTGGTCTCACTCCCTCTTTGCCCTCCCAACATCAATGAATCTATTTCCAGGCAGTTGGTGATCAGGGCTGAAAACTTATCCCAGACCACCAGCCTCCCAGCTGGGAAAGCAAGGTGACTCACAGTTTTTTGGCATCTCAGGGAGCCTGCAGCAACAATCCACTTCCTACAAAGGGTCTGTGGATTCTCTCAACTTTCCTGGTATGTGCCTATGGTAGGTCTTTGAGCAAATGTTCACGATGTGAGTCTCCACACACTGTTCTGTCTGTCCGAGCAGGAGCTTCAAGCTAGTCCTTCCTCCTTCTGCCATCTTTTCATCCTGTTTCTTCTAATGTGTGTGTGTACATGTGTGTATGCATGTATATTGTCTTTCCTTGTACTGTTCAATCAATCATTCCAGCAGCTATTTAACCCTTTAATTTTAAAAGCAATAATTCCAGTTGTCTGATACAGAAAATGTTCAAGGTATAATGTGATAATTTTTGTTTGTTTATGTATTAGATACTCATATTGATACAGGAACTAGAAAAAAACAATTTAGGCAGATAGTGAGGGTAAAGGAGTCCTCAGCAAGTCTTCCCT
Organism: Homo sapiens; assembly: GCF_000001405.40. NCBI lineage: Eukaryota > Metazoa > Chordata > Mammalia > Primates > Hominidae > Homo > Homo sapiens. Next base: position 160,041,529 of record NC_000004.12, on the reverse strand, counting down.
TTAACAAAAAGCAGCTCCAAAATCATTTCTTTTCTAACAAAGAGCAGCCTAAAAATTTGAGCTGCAGACATAGATAAACAAGCTGGAAGCTTGCACGAGTGAATACCAGCAGCTTGCCAATAGAAAAGGGCTACCTGGAGGCCAGGCATGTTCAACAAGGAGGCTCCATTTTTCCTTTTCTTTGTCTTCACGTGTACAGTACCGAACCAGGCAACATGACACCACCCAGGTAGAGAACCCATCTCCATAATAAAAGATTAGGGTGGGGCGGCCAGCTTTTCACATGCTGTGTAAATGGCACACCTGATTGGACTGATCTTTGGAACCCTATGCATATCAGTCATTGTCTCTTCAAGTTACTATAAAACCTTCTCATTTCACTGCAGAAGTGGAAACCCATTCAGGACCCCTCTGTCTGCAAGAGAGCTTTTCTCTTTCTTTCACCCATTAAACTTCCACTCTGAAACTCACTTTTTGTGTGTCCGCATCCTAGTTTTCCATGTCTGTGAGACAGTGAATCTCAGGTATTTACCCCAGACAAGGATGGCACTTTAATATATTCAAAATTATAATGACACATCTTAGTATAAATATGCAAAGGCTATGCAACTTGTAAATTAGACATGTTTTTCTAGGTGATTACTTAGAAGGATTTCATGTTACTCATCTATTACACTATTGAATGTTTTGAATCATTTTCGGAGACAAAGCACTAATACTGTAGTCACATCTTATATTTCAATACCAAAGTTTATGTTAAGTTTTGCCATTTTCCCATTCAATGGACAACTTTGGGTTACTTTATTTACTATTACCTAAATTTATTGCTTTCATTGCAGTTTTGGTAGTACGTGTCTATTTGTCCTATTGTGCAAGCTCCTTAAGGATTAAAAACTGTTTCTTTCTCATGTTTGAACATCCTATGCACTATATAAGTATAATGTACCAGTCAGCAAATGCTAAATAAATAGAGAGGGCCCTTGACTTACCATGATTATGATTTTTTTGACTTTATGATGGAGTAAAATAGACACACATTCCATAGAAAACATACTTTGAGTACCCATATAATCATTTTGTTTTGCATTCTCAGTACAATATTCAATAAGTTACACAAGGTATTCAATATTTTATTATAAAGTAGGCTTTTCATTAGATTATTTTTCCCAACTGTAGGCTAATGTAAATAACTGAGCATGTTCAAGGTAGGTTTGACCAAGCTATGATGTTTGGTAGTCTAGGTGTATTAAATTCATTTTTGATTTACAATATTTTCAAATTTTGAAGAGTTTAGAAGGATGTAACCACATCATATTTTAAGGAGCATTGAGTACTTTCTAAAATATAAGTTATTTATGTTGTGAAGGCAATTCTTACAGTCTAATTCTAAAACCTTTAAAATAATGGTAGCATCACTGAAATAAATGCGTAGCTTCCAAGCTAACTTTTTTTGGCATGGACAGCATTGATTTGGAGGTCTAAATTCTGGCATGTTTGCTGGAACCAGGCTGAAGTTTTATTACCCTGACAAGGTTTTGACAAAAATCCGTGCAAAAGGAGTCCACTCGAGAGGATAAGCCATGACAGTGAAAGGTCAGGAGGCAATCATATTTCAATTCAAGAAGATATTGTGAATCAGAATCTTTGGCACTAGCCAAAACTATGGCATAGTTTAGCCTTCAAAAAAAAAGGCATTGAAAGAGCTTAAATTAATGTCTGACCAAGCACTCTGGAGAGAATTCATTGCCATTAAGACTTTCATATTTACTTCATAAGAATTTAGAACTTTCTTTTCTAAGAAACTAAGGTAAACACTCAGGCATATAGTAGGGAGTGTAAAAGGATAATTATTCCAAGGCAATTGATGTATTTAGAATTTATTCCTGGTTCCTTAAATACAGAGTCAATGACAGCAACTTTAATATAAGTCCAAACAATATGGTCAACCAAGGCTGTAGGTAATATCTTCTGGTGAACTCATGGTTATTGCAGGAATTCAGTGCATAGCATAGAGCTTGCTAAAGAATTTCAACTAAGTTGATCTAGACCACAGAGATGCCCAATAGAAAGTTCTGTGATGATGGAAACATTCTAAGGCACTACCCAATAGAGAGTGGCTAGCCACACGTGACTATTAAGCACTTGAAATATGGTAAGGATGACTGAGAACTAGAATGTTTAATGTTATTTTAATTATATTTAATTTAAATACAAATAGTCATGTGTCTAAAGGCTGACTTACTGAACAGCACAGGTCTAGAGTGTGGGTTGCCAAACTACTGCCCATGGGCCAAATCAGGCCCACCACCTATTTTTGTAAATAAGGTATTATTTTATTTTGTTTACAGCCATGGTCATTTGTTCACATATTGCCTATGCTGCTTTCGCACAACACTGGTGCTGAGCAGTTGGGACTGACACTATAGGATCCACAAAGTCAAAAATATGTACTATTTGGTCCTTTAAATAAAAAGTTTGCTGATTCTTGTTCTAGAGAAGGAGGAATTAAGAGCCTTGTTTTGATTCACCCTATTTATGAGCTATAAATGGCGAAATCAAAGCAAGAACAGAAAGTAAGTAGGCACTTGGAAAATGTCCAAACACTCTATCCTTACAATTCTGTCAGGCTCTGACTTTAATTGTAGCTGCATGTTTAGACTAGAAGAACAGATTGAAGGTTACTTTTATTGTACGTAGTGGAATTAATCTCTAAAATTTGGGGGGAAATTCTTGTTTTACACTGAAGCATAGAAATGACTCACATGGTTATACATTTTTCAAGAGCAATGCCCATGAATGAGTAAACAAGGAAGCATCTTCCTTGACAGCAACATCAGGGAAAGTCAGTCTTACTGATTAGTCTAGTGCAAGAGGTCACTGTCAAATTATATGCACACTCATTGTATGCACTGGTCTTTCAATAGACACAGAAATATTTAAGTGATGTTGAAGTAAAAAAAAGCTGAATAAGTAGCTAGAAAGAAAAAAACAGTTCTTCCTTTTGTTTAGCAGAAAACAGATATTAACAGGGTAAGAGATGTCAAGGCTAAGAGGGAAAACTTGGCCCCTAGTTTTTAATTTTGTTTTGCTTTGTATTCTCACTGTGGTAAGAACAAATAACAGGAGATATATCCTCTTAAAATTAGTGTACAATACAATATTGTTAACTATAAGCACAATGATGTACTACAGCTGACTTCTAGAACTTATTGATCTTGCATAACTGAATCTTCACACTGATTGAACAGCAAATCCTCATGTCCCCCTAGCCTCAGCACCTGGCAACCACCATTCCACTTTCTGCTTCTATGAGTTTCCATATTTTAGAACCCTCATATAAGTGGAATCATGCAATATTTGTCCTTCTGTGATTGCCTTATCTCATTTTGCATTATCATCTCAGAGTTAATACATGTTTTGTATGGCAGGATTTTCTTTTTTTAATCACTGAAATATTTCATTGTATGTATATACCATATTTTCTTTATCTACTCACAAATCAATGGACATTTAGGTTGTTTCTTTATCTTGGCTATTGTAAATAATGTTACAGTAAACATGAAGGTACATATACCTCTTTGACATCCTGATTTTAATTCTTTTGGATAAATTCCCAGAAGTGGAAATGCATGCTGTAATTTTAATTTTTGAGGAAATTCCATATCATTTTCCATAGGGCTTACACCATTTCACATTCTCACCAGTAGTGTATTAGCATTGAATATTCTCCACATTTTCATCAACACTTATCTATTTTTTATACTGAACATCAAAACAGATGTGAGATGATAACTTGCTGTGGTTTTGATTGACATTTTTCTCATGATTAGTGATGTTGAATATCTTTTCATATACTTATTGGCAATTTGTATGTCTTTTTTGGAGGAATGTCTATTCAAGTCTTTTGCCCATTTTTAAACTGGGTTATTTGGTAGTTTTTGCTATTGAGTTGTGGGAGTTTCTTCTACATTTTGGATATTAGTCCCAGAGCAGATATGTGGATTGTGAATATTTTTCTCCCATTCCATAGGCTGTCTTTCACTGTGTTAATAGTTTCCTTTGTTGTACAGAAGCTTCTTAGTTTGATGAAGTCCCAGTTGTACATTTTTTGCTATTGTTGCCTGTGCTTTTGGTGTTATAGCCTAGAAATCACTGCCAAGATCAACGTCATGAAGCATTTCTTAGGTTTTCTTCTAAAAGTTTTATAGTTTCAGGTCCTTGTTTAAGTCTTTAATCCATTTTTGAGTTAATATCATTCTTTTGCATGTGAATATCAAATTCCCCCAAAACACCATTTGTTGAAGAGATTATCCTTTCTCCATTGTGTATTCTTGGTGACCTTGCTGAAGATCACTTGATGATATATGCATGAGTTTATTTCTGGGCTTTCTATTCTGCTCTATTGGCAATATATCTATCTTAATACAAGTACCATGCTGTTTTAAATTCTGTAGCTTTGTAATATATTTTGAAATCAGGAAGTGTAATGCCTCCCACTTTGTCCTTTTTGCTTCAGATGGCTTTGGCTATTTGAAGTCCTTTGTGGTTCCATATAAATTTTAGAATTGTTTCTTCTATTTCTGTAAAAACTGTCATTGAGATTTTGATAACAGCTTGCATCGAATCTGTATAGCACTTTTAATAGTATAGACAACTTAACAATATTAAATCTTCTAATCCATGATCATAGATATTATTCCATTTATTCTACCTTACTGATTAAGTGTCTCAGAGTAAAAGTCCAATTATGGGGTGCTGAGGAACCTTTCAATTAAGAAAAAAAGACTAAATTTACAAAAAGCCCAAGATTTTTATAATTGAGGTATTAGAGAAAGATGAGTAAGGAAAGAAAAGAAAGAGAGAGAGAGGAATACATAGAACTATATAAAATCTAAGAAATAATTCCAGAAAATTAACTGTGTAAGTGGCTGTTGTCATATGGAAGTGACTGCAATCAAATCAATCAGGAGTTGTATGGCAAAAAAAATCACCAGCCTTGTTCGAAACATTCTACGATGATTTAAGAAAACAATCCTTGTTTCCTGACTCATCCATGGGTAGGTAGTGGATGGAGAAAGATGCTCAGCACCCCCAAGAAAAGCATAGAGGTCAACTAGGATAATCTCTTATAGGGAGGAACTGAGTCCACAGAGAACAATGAAACAAAGATCTACAGCCTGGTAATAAAACCAAGTCCTAATAAGGAACATTAGTGAGCACCCATGGTATTGCTCTCAAAATATCTACCCACAAGGATTTCCGAGTTGATGGGTGCAGCAAACCAACATGGCACATGTATATCTATGTAACAAACCTGCACGTTGTGCACATGTACCCCAGAACTTAAGGCATAATAAAAAAAATTTTTTTTTAATTATTTTGTGATTATAAAAGTTGACAATATTATTTCAATAATCAAGTTGTATACTAGTGAATATGTCTACCATGCATTATATATTATTTTCTGTATGATATTTTTTGTATGACCATCCTATGCCTGTTATCCCATCATATATTGGAGGAATGAGAACAGATATCTTGCCTTTTTAATTAGTAAATCTGTCAAGAGATGAGCTGATGTAGCGTCTACTATGTATTAGTATTTGCTAAAGAATGTTCCTCACAAGTGCAAAAAAATTAGAATTTGTGCCTCATGTTATGATTGAATGGGGTTGTTTCCAATGGAAAGGAGTGCATATATTTTTCATTGAGAACTACTTGTCACTTAGAGGATAGGCTAAAAGAGTCATTAGTGTTGTTCAACAAATAAATTGTTTCTTCCTCCCAGATTCATGTACCTGCCCACTTGAAGTTGAAAGTGATCACATGACTTTTATTGACCAACACATTGTGAGTAGAAGTGACACATGTCACTTTGAAGTGGAAGACTTACAAATCAGTAAAAAATTTCTCACATTTTATTTTTGCTGCCTTGGCAGTCATGAAAGCACCAAAATGGACTCTCCCTCATCCTGGACTTCTTAGATGAGAATGTGATAAGTAGATGTTTCTATCTAACCCATGTTGGACACGTAGCATAAGCAAAAATTAAGCTTTTATTATTTTTAGGGACTGAGGTTTGGTGGTTATGGGGTATCCCAGCAATACCAATACTCCAAATGACCCAATGTCTCTTTATAAAATAAACATTCTTTAGTGACTATATTTAATTTGCCATGAAAGAAGTAATTACTTAATTCAAATTAGCAAATTCAAGAAGTATTTTTCAAGATGTCATGTTATCATGAAGAGAACTCTTACAAATATTACTATATATTTGTATCTGTTTCTATTTGTATTCTCTCTTTATATTTAGCTCCTATGCTCACTTTAACCTACATCAGTAGTTTTATATGAAATATTTCCTTGCTTAATTTTGTTCTTTATGTATATATATGATTTTTGATGATGTTTCAAGTTGAAAAATAACATAACCCATACTGTTACAAACAACCAGAATATATTGTGTATTTGAAAAGGCAGGTTAATATAATATACAGTGTCGTTGCTTGATAACCCTACATTTAAATTATAGGAGGAAATAGCTGTTTGTCTTCATTGACAATGACCTTGAAATTGTTTTTCTTAGTTTACTAAAACAAAGAAAAACAAACCAAACCAAAATATGCAATACAGTAGAATATAGTGTACTCACACATATTCTTTATTAAGAAAATTATCTGCATTGTCTTTCTTTATATGTGAATAGGCTATGTAACATTTGTAACATCTCTCTACTACACATTTTTTCAAGCTTTCATATTCAATATGGTTATATTACTCAACTTGTATCTTGAAGTGTTTATAATCACATAAGAGAGGAAACTGTCATCAAAATGAGTCAGGGCATCTGTGGTGACTTATTGGATAAGGACCCACAGTTATTCCAAAGCTATATATCCTCATTTATTTCTTTCTCATATTTTTCAGAATAAACAGGCAACATTGTACAAAAACAATAATAAAAATTGCACTTAAGAAACTCTTAAGTTTGCCTGTTGAAGAAATCTGTTTACTATGGAAGTCAAACCAAACAACAACAGAAAAGAGATTAGAAAGAAAAGGTTCAATGTTGTAATGTTTCATTAATCATGCTGCTCAATATTAATTTTGTCATTAAAATTATTTTGAGTCAATGTATGTATGAACTGTGGCTCATTAGAGTGACAATAATTACCTAAATTTTGATTTGAAATTTGGAAAAAAATATTATATATGTATGCATATGTATATATGTAATAAACACATATAGTCTTTAATTTATCATTATCTTCATTGTCTATATAAATAAAAGACAGATAATTTTGCAGCTGAATCTCTACTATGACTATGCTTATTAACTTTTCTATTGTTCCGTTTATAATCTGTAAAATAAGAATAACACTGACCTGTGTCAACCGATTATTACAGGTTTTCTAAGTAATTTTAAACTGTAGCTAATTAGAATATAGAATAAATATTAGAATATTTCTAAGTAATTCCCATTTAATTACCACCAAACATCCAAAATATTGCCATTCAAAGAATCAAACCATCAAAAATTGCACTGCTTGATTTTAACTTGTAGTTCTGTATAATGAGAACTATGGATAAAAATCTAGTTTTGAATGTAAAAGATTTTATGCTACAGAGAAACATTGGCCTCATATATTCCTACAAACTGCTCTGTTCAATATCCCATGGCAAATTTTTTCCTTGCAGCAAAAAGAATGATAGATTATTTGTGTCTCATTAATTTTTATGTAAAATTATTCTTTGTTCTCTTGGTTGCTCCCTGTCTAAATTGGAAGGGAAATAACTAAATATTTTTATGAATTAATTGTCTAGATTTACAAATCTACTACTTGTGATTAAAAATGAATACTATGGACATCCACGATAAATATTTAGTAAGTATTTTTTGTCATTTATTGTATTCATTCTAGAGCAATGACACTATCATTAGATGAATGAAGTAAAAGAAACAAAACCAGGAAAAAATAACGGGCAGGGGGAACAAGGTCATTTCTGTTCACATAGCTCCTACACTAAAATAGAAATAACAAACTTCCAAAATAAACAGACTTTTTAAAATATACAAGATTATACTGTAGTAACTGAATACTACTGAAAACACTAAACCTATTCAAAGACTGCTAGAACTAAAACCAAGGTAACTTTTATTTCACTTTTTTCATATATTTCACACCATACTATCTCTTTCAAGAACAGAGCAGCATTTCATTTATAAATCATGAAGCTTATTAATGCCTGGAAAATTAATAAACTAAAAAAGAGATGATTTGTATAAAAGTAATTATAAGTGTTGCTCTATAAAGATTTTAGTATCTTAGACTTAGTTGGAAAAGTACTATGTACATCTATTATGTATCCATAAAAATTGAAAACAAATTTAAGAAAAATAAGAATAATGCTTCCCAGGGGTTTTCTCTGAGTCCTTTTATGGGCTGCTTTCATAGATGAACTATAGCAGAATCAAACACATCTCTCTTAATATCTTTCTGTTGTGGCAGTTTAGAGAATTATCTGAAGGACAGAAGTAGAACAATGAGGGAGATGTATAATCATCCAGCAGAATTACCAAAGAAAATGTGTGTATAAAGAACAACCAAAAAATGTAGGTTTCAACAAGGATATAGATTAAAGACTGAGATAAAGTTAAAAACAGAAATAGATATAAAGAAAGAGAAATGAACATGTAGGTACATTATTATTATTCATTACATTTTACATGACCTGTTTATAAAAATAAATTTATTGAATTAATTTATTACATACATAGGACTTTTCTTTTTTTCAAAAGGATACATTCTCTATATTTTTCTTAATCCACTGAAATTCACTGGTTGTTACAGACAAAAGTATTCCTGCCTTAAAATTTGTGACTCCCTCAGGAGATTGAGACCACGGTGAAACCCCGTCTCTACTAAAAATACAAAAAATTAGCCAGGCCCGGTGGCGGGCGCCTGTAGTCCCAGCTACTAGGGAGGCTGAGGCAGGAGAATGGCGTGAACCCGGGAGGCGGAGCTTGCAGTGACCCGAGATTGCACCACTGCACTCCAGCCTGGGCAACAGAGCGAGACTCCGTCTCAAAAAAAAAAAAAAAAAAAAAAAAAAATTTGTGACTCCTAAAATAGTCGCTATTAACTTCATTAATTTTAAATTTTAAATAATATAATTGCAAGCAGCATGGTTATCATATTTAGAAAGTTGTTCATTATTTCAATCTTGTAGGGAAAAAAAGATTCAGAAAAATGAAATTCTCTGCTTTACTAGTGTTGTGAAGTCTTTGCCCTCATTTTCTTATCTATATAACAAAAAAAAATTTAATACCTTGCTAAGTTGTTGTGGGACAATAATCAAGGAGAAAGTTCTATGCATATGGTTATTTTAAAAAATTATTTTTGAGTTCATGTCCTTTGCAGGGACATGGATGAAACTGGAAAACATCATTCTCAGCAAAGTAACACAAGAAAAGAAAACCAAACACCGCATGTTCTCACTCATAAGTGGGAGCTGAACAATGAGAACACATGGACACAGGGAGGGGACTTTCACACACCGAGACCCGTAGGGCAGTGGGGGGCTGGGGGAGGGATAGCTTTAGGAGAAATACCTAATGTAAATGATGAGTTGATGGGTGCAGCAAACCAACATGGCACATGTATATCTGTGTAACAAACCTGCAGCATGTTGTGCACATGTATCCCAGAACTTAAAGTATAATAATAAAAAAAATTAAAAAAATTATTTCTATGATTGTAAAAGTTGACAATATTATTTCAATAATCAAGTAAAGTACTGCAAAATTTTTTCAATAGTTTATTAATATCAACTCTTTAGTTTCTAATACTTTTTTTTTTTTTTTTTTTTTTTGAGACGGAGTCTCGCTCTGTCGCCCAGGCTGGAGTGCAGTGGCGGGATCTCGGCTCACTGCAAGCTCCGCCTCCCGGGTTCACGCCATTCTCCTGCCTCAGCCTCCCAAGTAGCTGGGACTACAGGCGCCCGCCACTACGCCCGGCTAATTTTTTGTATTTTTAGTAGAGACAGGGTTTCACCGTGTTAGCCGGGATGGTCTCGATCTCCTGACCTCGTGATCCACCCGCCTCGGCCTCCCAAAGTGCTGGGATTACAGGCGTGAGCCACCGCGCCCGGCCTAGTTTCTAATACTTAAAAACAAAAATCCTGGGGGAATTGCTATATCCCACACAAGGAGATAAAAGTTGAAAGATGATTGGGACAGATACTAATTTTCCTTCTCTCAATGATGATTTCATTTTTTTTTTAAGACAGAGTCTTTCTCTCTCTAAAGTCTCCACTGCCCAGACTTTAGTGCAGTGGGAGATGAGTATAGCTCACTGCAGCCTAGAACTACCAGATTCAAGTGATCCTCCCACCCTAGCCTCCGGAGTAGCTGGGACTACAGGTGTGCACCACCCTGTCTGGCAGATTTTTAAAAAAAATTGTAGAGATGGGGTATTGCTATGTTTCCAGGGCTGGTCTTGAACTCCTGGGCTCAAGCAATCCTCCCACCTTGGTTTCCAAAAGTGATGGGGTTATAGATGCAAGCCACTGCAACTGGTGTGTTTTAACTTTCAAAAATATCCTACAGGAAATACAGCAGATAAAAGATGTAAAACAATAACCTAAAACCAAGTTTATAGTTGTTAAACTTTTTAAACACACACACACACACACACACACACACACCCCACTAAATTAACTAAAGTAATACTTGTAAAGTTAGATATTTAAGATATGTAACTATATTCCAGGAGTTCAGACTACCTTAGGATTTCAGCAAGGAATATGCTTTGTAAATCACAGGAATACACATCAAAGGAAAGAAGATAAAAGATGAATTTCAATAGAGGTAAAAGTATAGTTATGAAAGTCAGGTAATTTTAAGTCCAACATAGGCATGACTGATGTTATCAAGAAAAAAAAAAAAAAAAAAACAGAAAAAAACATAAAGGAAAAAAATACTAATCTAAATATTTACTAGAAGAAAAAAAATCAAAGAAAGATATAAATCTGTGAAACAAAAAAGCACATAGGTAAGGGAAAAAATCAGGAAAATTCCACCATGTCTGAGACATATACTGTCTAAACTAGTAGAATTTAAGAATGAAGAAAGATTTCACCACACCGATTAAAAGGATGTACATCATAGTCAATGCAGAAAAATTAGAAAGCAGCTTGACCTCAGGTTCCTCATCAGTCACACGTGATTTCATTATGTAATAGAGCTTTGGTTTAACCAGGGACACTTCACTCAGGAGCGCTGGCAACATCTAAGGACATTTTGGTTGTCACAACTGGGGTTAGGTGCCATTGACATCTAATGGGTAGAAGCCTGGGATGCTACTAAACATTTTGTAATGCACAGGATAGCCCCTCATAGTAAAGAATTATCTAGACCAAAATACCAATAGTTCTGAGACTGATAAATCCTGCAATAGAATAATGAAGAATGAAGTGGTGAAGAAAACAGGATGAGGCCCAAATATTCTTTACTCAGTCAGGCTAACATTTAAGTATAAAGGCAACAATAAAATATTCCAAATGCAGAAAGTATGGTGTTAGTGAGATCTTTTAAAAATATATCTTGAAAGATAAACAGCAAAATAAAATGTGAATCAAAATGAGAAACTCATAATTTAAGATTTAACATATAAAAACTGATGTCGACATTGATTCCAACTAAGCATACAGTTAACTATAAATGTCTAAATAACATTTATTTGTGATATGCAGCCTTGAAAAAGAAGACAAAATTTCAAAATATCATAAATATCATGTAGAGATAAGTGGTATGTTAGTATACGATATCAAGGCATAAAAGGACAAAGGTGAATAGCTTCTAAATAAACACAGATACAATAAACAGAGACAAATCATATGAATGTTTCTATGCCAAGTAGAATAACAAACACTTAAAAGAAACTATAGGACATAAAAAACCCACAGAAATAAGTAGTAATAGTAGACTTTAACATAATATTTGAAATTTATGACACACCATATTGTGGAAAATAAGTATGATGTGGTTTGGCTGTGTCCCCACCCAAATTTCATCTTGAATTGTAGCTCCCATAATCACCACATATCATGGGAGATACCTGGTGGGAGGTAATTGAATGATGGGGGTGGGTTTTTCCCATGCTGTTCTCATGATAGTTAATAAGAGATCCGATGGTTTTATAAAGCGAAGTTCCCACTCACATGCACACTTGCCTGCTGCCATGTAAGACGTGCAGCCATGTAAGGCCTCCCAAGTCCTGTGGAACTGTGAGTCCATTAAACCTCTTTCCTTTGTAAATTATACAGTCTCGGGTATGTCTTTATTAGCAGTGTGAAAACAAACTAATAGGGAGGAATCAGATAATCTAAAGAAGAACATTAAGTAAGTCTGTTTCTAAGTACAGAAAAGTATAAAATGTAAGAAACAATATTATCTATTGTTCAAGTTTCTATGGTACATACATGTTTTTTAAATTTTCCATGTATTGTAGGCCAGAAAATTAAATAAGTTCTAAAATATACAAATAGTTTAAAACTCTAAGCCATTCTCTGACCCCAATATAATAAAACTCATTATTTTTATTCTATTTTCTTCTTAGTAAATTTGTACTGACCATAGACTGATACATACTGAGTTATTATTATTTTCTTGACATCCTTCCATTTGTTTTTTAATCTTCTCTTTGATTACAGAATTGTTTGGATAGAATTTTAAGTGGTTCCAATTTTTAGAAACAATTTTCAATGAACAGAGCACAAGTGAGCTCTGGGAAAATGTCAAGCAACCTAATATACTTCAACTTGTAGCCCATGAAGGGTGAAGACAGGATAGCAAAATTATTTGATGTAATAATAACTACATTTTTTTCAAATTTAATACAACTATAACCCAAAAATGCAAGAATCTCAACTGGGGGCAGGAAGTGGGTAGAGCAAGATTGTGGAATAGAAGTCTACACTCTTCATCCTGACAATAACACCAAATTTTAACAACTATCTGCACATAGAAAAGAACCATCATAAGAATCAAAAATCAGGTGAGCAATTAGACCAGCTGGTTTGAACTTCATGTCACTAAAGGAGACTACCTGGTTTTAACTTCATGTCACTGAAGAAAGTAAGACAGACAGTCTTGAATCTCCTACACCATTCTTAATATTTCCCCTGGCAGCAGCCATGCTGTTGGGAGAGAGTCTGTGCACTTGGGGAGGGAGAGCACAGAACTGGAGGACTTTACATTGAATTCAGTGCTGCCCTGTCACAGCAGAGAGCAAAGCCGTGCTGGGCTCAGCCAGCCCCCATGCAAGAGGGAGCATTTGGACCTCACCTAGCCAGAAAAGAATCACCCAGCCCAGTAGCTTGAACTTCAGTTTCTCAGCACGCCTCACCACAGCAGGCTGAAGTGCTTTGGGGTTCCAAGTAAACTTGAAAGGCAGTCTAGGACACAAGGACTGAAATTCTTGGTAACTCTTAGTGCTGAACTGGACTCAGAGTCAGTGTATTAGGATTGCACATGACCTAGGGAGACACCAGATGGAATAGATAAAGCAGTGCTTGTGCCATCACTCCCCAGAGTCCAAGGCAGCTCAGCTTGCTTCTTAAGGTGAGGAGAATGAAGAGCAAAGAGGGCTTACATCTTGGATACCATCTCAGCCACAGTAGGATAGGGTATTGTGCGGCGTCATGAGATACCTGTTCCAGGCCTTAGCTCCTGGATGACATTTCCAGACACACCCTGAGCCAAAGGGGAACCTTCTGCCTTGAAGAGAAGGACCCAGTCCTGGCAGGGTTCACTACCTGCTGTCTAAAGAACCCTTGGGCCCTGAATAAGCAGAAGTAATACCCAGGTAGTATACTGTGGGCCTTGGGCTCTTAGACATGCTGCATTGAGGTGTGACCCAGCACATTCCCAGCTGTGGTGGCTACAGGCAGAGACGCCTTCTGTTTGAGAAAAGCAGAGAAAAAAGTAAAGGGAACTTTGTCTTGCATCTTAGGTACCAGCTTGGCCATGGTGGGACAGAGAAACAAGCAGGCTCTTGGGGTCTTTGAGTCCAGGCCTAAGCTCTTGGACAGAATTTCTAGACCTGTCCTGGACCAGAGAGGAGCCCCACTGCCCTAAAGTGGGGGTCCCAGGCCTGGCACACTCACCACAAGCTGAATGAAGAGCTGTTGAGCTTTAAGTGATCATCGGAGGTAGCCTGGAAAAACTCCCTTATGGGCTGAAGGCAGTGGTGGCCACAGGGAAAGGCTCCTCTGCCTATGGAAAAGAGAGAAAAAAGTGGGAAGAGCTTTATATTGTTGTTTCAGTGCCAGCTTAGTTGCAGTAGAATAAAATATTCGGTAAATTTCCAAGATTTTTTACTCCAATCCCTGGCTCCCAGACAGCATCCCTGGACCCACCCAGGGCTTGGGGGAACTCGCCACCCTAAATGGGAGACAAAAACCTGGCTGGTTTCCCCACCTGCTGATTGTAGAGCCTAGGGCCTTGAGTGAAAATAGATGGTAGCTGGAGTGGTTACAACAGGCAATGGGTGAGACCCAGTGCTGTGCTGGCTTCAGGTCTGACTCAGCACATTCCCAGTGCTGGTGGCTACAGGGGTGCTTGCATCACCACACCCTCAGTTCCAGGTGACTCAGCATAGAGAGAGAGACTCCATTCGTTTAGGAGAAAGTAAGAGAAAAAAAAAAGTTTCTGCCTGGCAATCCAGATAATTCTTCCAGATCTTATCCAAGATCACCAAGGTGCTACCTCTAAGAATCTGAAAAAACCAGTGTTATTGGCTTTGGTGCCCAAGCCTCTTTGAATACCTGGAAAATGTTCCCAAGAAGGATGGGCATAAACAAGCCCAGATTGTGAAGACTAAAATAAATACCTAACTCTTTAATACCCAGGCACCAGTGAATATCCACAACATCAAGACCATCCAGAAAATGTGACCCCATCAAATGAACTAAATAAAACATCAGAGACCAATATTGGAAAAATAGAGATATGTGATCTTTCAGACAGAGAATTCAAAATAGCTATTTTGAGGAAACTTAAAGAAATTCAAGACAACACAAAAAAGGAATTCAGAATTCTTTCAGATAAATTTAACAAAGAGATTGAGATAATAAAAAGAATTGAGCAGAAATTCTAGAGTGGAAAAATGCAATTGGCATACTACAGAATGCATCAGAGTCTATTAATAACAGAATTGAGCAAGCAGAAGAAATAACTAGTGGACTTGATGAAAGCCTATTGGAAAATACATATTCAGAGGAGACAAAAGAGAAAAACAAATAATGAAGGATATCTACAAAATCTAGAATTAAATCTTGAATACAGATCTTTGCCTGTAATCCTAGCATGTTAGGAGGCCAAGGAGGACAGATTTATTGAGCCCAGGAGTTCAAGACCAGCCTGGGCAACTGGGCAAAATGACAAAACCCCATCTCTACCAAAAAAATAGAATATACATATATATTCTACAGACATGCATTACCACACCTGGCTAATTTTTGTATGTGTGTCTGTGTGTGTGTGTGTGTGTGTATGTATATATATACACACACATATATATATAAATATAAATTTGTGTGTATGTGTGTATATATATATATACACAAAAAAATTACACAAATTTACACAAAAATTAGCCAGGTGTGGTGATGCATGTCTGTAACCCAAGCTACTCAGGAGACTAAGATGGGAGAATGTCTTGAGCCTGGGAGGCGGAGGTTGCAGTGAGTCAGTGAGTCATGATCCTGCCACTACACTCCAGCCTGATAAATAGAGCTAGACCCTATCTCGAAAGAAAAGAAAAGAGCCTCAAAAAATCAAATCTGAGAGTATTTGCCTTAAAGTGGAGGTAGAGAGAGAGATAGGGGTTGAAAATTTACTCAAAGGAATAGTATCAGAGAACGTCCCAAACCTGGAGAAAAACATCAGTATTCAAGTACAAGAAGGTTATAGTACACCAAGAAAATTTAACCCAAGGAAGACTGATTTATTATTAAATGCCTTGAAGCGTTTCACAATGAAACTTGAAATAATCAATGATAAAGAAATGATCCTAAAAGCAGCAAGAGAAAAGAAACAACTAACATAAAATGGTACTCAAATATATCTAGCAGCAGACTTTTTGGTGGAAACCTTACAGGCCAGGAGACAGTTGCATGACATATTTAAAGTACTGAAGGAAAAGAACTTTTACCCTAGAATAGTATATCCAGTGAAAATATCCTTCAAACATGAAGGAGAAATAAAGACTTTCCCAGGCAAACAAAAGCTTAGGGATTTCATCAACACCAGACCTGTCCTACAAGAAATGCTAAAGAGAGTTCTTCAATCTGACAGAAAACGATGTTAATGAGTAGAAGAAATCATCTGAAGATGTAAAATTCACTGGTAATAGTAAGTACACAGAGAAACACAGAAGATTATAATGTGGAATTGTGGTGTGTAAATGACTCAAATAGAAAGATGATGAGATGACCACAAAAAAAAAAAAAACAGAAAACAAATAACAAAATGGCAGAAATAAGTCCCTACTTATCAATAATAACATTGATTGTAAATTGACTATATTCTCAAATAAAAAGACATAGCAAAGATGAATGGATGAAAAAACACAATGCAATTGTTTGTTGCCTACAAGAAGCTCACTTCACCTATAAAGACTGAAAATAAAGGGATGAAAGAAGATATTCCATAACCTTAGAAACCATCAAAGACAAAGAGTAGCTATACTTACATCAGACAAAATAGATTTCAAGACAAACACTGTTAAGAAGAGACAAAGAAGGTCATTAAATAATGATAAAGGGGTGAATTCAGAAAGAGAATATAATGATTATAAATATGCATGTACCCAACCCTGGATCACCCAGAAACATAAAGCAAATATTATTAGAGCTAAAGGGAGAGATAGACCTCAATACAATAATAGCTGGAGACTTCGACACCCCACCCTCAGCATTGGACAGGTCTCCCAGGCAGAAAATTAACAGAGAAACATTGGACTTAATCTACTATAGAACAAATGGACCTAATAGATCTTTACAGAACATTTCATTCAATTGCTGCAGAATACACATTCTTCTCCTCAGCACATAGATTATTCTCAAGGATGGACTATATGTTAGGTCACAAAACAAGTCTTAGAACATTCAAAAAAATTTAATATCAAACATCTTCTCTGACCACAATGGAGTAAAACTGGAAAGCAATAATGAGGAATTCTGGAAACTGTATAAGCACACAGAAATGAAACAGTATGTTTCTGAATGACCAGTGGCTCAATGAAAAAAAAAAAAAAAGGAAATTTAAAAATTCTTGAAACAAATAAAAATGGAAACGTAATGTACCAAAACCTTTGGGATATAGCAAAAGCAGTACTAAGTGAGAAATTTACAGCTTTTTTTTTTTCTTTGAGACTGAGTTTTGCTTGCCACCCAGGCTGGAGTGCAGTGGAACAATCTTGGTTCACTGCAACCTCCGCCTCCCTCGCAGGTTCAAGCAATTCTCCTGCCTCAGCCTCCAGAGTAGCTGGGATTACAAGCGTGCACCGCCATGCCTGGCTAACTTTTGTATTTTTAGTAGAGATGGAGTTTCACCATGTTGGCCAGGCTGGTCTCAAACTCCTGACCTAGGTGATCTGCCCGCCTCAGCCTCCCAAAGTGCTGGGATTACAGGCGTGAGTGCCTACATCAAAAAAAGAAGAAAAAATTCAAATAAACAACCTAATGATGCATCTTAAAGAACGAGAAAAGCAAGAGCAAACCATACCCCACTTAGGTCCCACTTTCTTGAGGCTAATCAGAGCAACGTAGAATGTTTTGGTGGCAGATGTGTTCACAGAGCTTGTCTATGGAGATACCCTTTTGGCGAATGTGGTCATTGTTCCTTCTTTCTGTGAGCCATGCTTGATGATAATGTGCAGGATCTTGGCTTCAGTGCAGTTTTTTAAAATCAGTTTGATGGTCTGCCTTGTGATCTTTGTGTACCTTGTGGATCTCTTCCAGGGACTCTCAGTTTATGCATCAAAGGTGGTCCCTGTACCTATGCAACAGGACAGTTGTTTGGGTTCATCTGGACCGGTACTTAGGCCATTAGAGCAAAAGCAGTCAAATGTACCAAATGTATTCTTATTCTCATTCACATGTATGTGTCTGAGTCAAAGCTATTGAAGGGTCAAATGGAGCAGCTGACGGCAAAAAAAAAAAAAAAATTAAAGGAATTGAAGCCACCAAAGAAAGAAAGATGACATGAACAGGATGAACAGGTGCCACTGGACCCACTTGATGTACCACTACCAATCTTCAAGCCTAGATGGGAGAAGATAGGGTAGTGTGGCTCAACCTGGCTGTACACTTATCTCTTCACTTTGCCCTACCTGTTAGAAAAATGTCATGGGGAAGCAACCCTTAGCTTCTGCAAAGAGCCCAGGCTTATACAAGAAACAGAGCCCAAAGAATAATATTAATTTCTGTTCTAAGTAATGTACTTAATAATATACTGCATTCATGATTTTAGCTAATCTTCACAACTGGGAATTTAGTGTGACTTAGTTATGCAAAAGACAGAAAGACTAAGACAAAAGTGTTAGTCAGGGGAGGTTTTCCATGTATGCACGGCCCAAAGACTTCTCACAGAGGAAGAGATAGTAACTTAAAAGAGCTGAGTAACTGTCCTGGGTTTACATAGCAAGTCAAAGACACATAGCACAAGAGGTAAGTAAACAGGATTGCAGACACAACAGGGGCTAGTAAGTGACCTGCCCAAAACGAGGTGGCGGCACAATTTAGAAAGGAATCCCTGCTCTAGCTCTGCAAAGATCATTAGCTGGATAATGGTAATGCAGATGAGGAATTATTTCTCTTTAAAATGTGCTCAAATGCTTTTGCCCACACCTAGGACTCAGGCATTGCACAACTTCAGAGGACATAATTTACATTTTAAGAAGTATGTTCCTGGAGGTGCTATTGACATTGAATACAAGGGAAACTGTGTTACTTGGAGCTATAAAACATCAAATGCTCTACCATATGCCTAATATCAGAGCAGCCAAAAGGCATAAATGGGCTGGCCCTCAGGGATGGAGAAGGCATAAGCATCCCAGAGGCCAGAAACAGGATAAAAAAAATTCTCCCTGGAGCTTGGTTAGGTCTAAGAGGCTCAGATTCCTGGAGGCAGCCCCCATGGCAGGACCTAGAATTGAGAAATTAGCCAGAATCTGAATATTTTGGTCAGAGTCCAAGGTTAAGGACTCCTTGATCTCTCATCTAGATTTTTCAATACCCTTGAAAACTAGAACCCAAATTATGCTGTAAATTTCCCAGGGTAACAAGAACATGTTTGAGTTTCACTAGAAAGGACAAGTGGCAGTGTAGGGTCTTAAAGTAGCTGCCTCCACATTCCTTTCTCTGGACTCAGGATCTGAGGCCCTAGGAAGAGGTTGATTATCACACAAATTTAGGAGGCATAGCAATGCTTTGCTGCGGGAAAGAGGTTGGGCTGACTATAAGTGGATGAGGTATTCCTGCTCTACCTATACACTCTGTGCCAGGTAATTTACATTTATGGCAGGAAAATTTATCAAGCTATTAATTGCTATCTCCTACTCCTTGCCAAAGTCTACTCCCAAAAGAATGAAGGTAATTTTGCCCTCCTCTCTTCAACAAAACTCTGTGCTTCTGTTCTCAGAAGTTATTAATTGCTTATGTCCTAGCCTAAACTGAACTTGTTAGGCCTCGGTTCTACAACTCTATCCAGATTTTTCTGGGAGATGACTATTTACCTAAGTATGTATAAAATGGGGATGATGTGGGGGGATATGGTAGGTTGAAAGAAGGGGACTTGCCGAAGGGTATTAGTGGTATCAGGGATTTGAAAAACAGAATATTGTGACAGGTTTCTTACTGGCACGTTTATATGTGAAGAGAGTTGGAGTTGATTTGATGAGTGAATGTATTTGCTGAGAGCTAAATCAAGCACGAAGTCTTGATTCATTAAAAGATGACACTGCCCATATATGGCATGGAGGCTGTGGAGCCACCTGTCTTTGGGTGGACCATGTAGTCATGGCATCCTATAGACAGCCATAAGGAACTGAATACCCAAGACTCCTTTATAAGCAATTTGTTAAGTTTTACAATTTTTTACACTAAATAGAAGAATGAGCTGCCATGATAACTGAATGGTTTTATTCCCACCCTGGTAAATGGTGACTTCTTTGTGAACTTCATTGCTGTAGAGCAAATTTATGATTTTACATTTATTATCTTATTTAATTTTTACCACTCTTCAAAAAAGGTACCATTTATACCTACTGAGGTACAGGAAAGCTAATAAATGTTTAGTGGATAAACACAGACAATGGAGCCAGTGATAGAGAAGATTCTTGTATCGTAGGCAATTATAAGGGAAAGTATTGACTCATATAACGGAAATATCTAGGAGCAGAGTTTGCTTCCAGCAGCAGTGTTGATGCAGGGCTTCAATAGATGTCATCAAAATTTAGTTTCATTTTCACATTTTGGCTCTTTCTTCTGTGCTGACTTCATTCTTAGTCCTTAGGTAGTGGCTGGATGACTGATAGCAAATTGAAAGACATATCCTGCCAGGATTCAGTGTTCAGAAAATGTAGTGCTTCCGCACAACAGTCCCTGCAGGTGCCACCAATTGGATGATGAAATAGTCATTGTGACAAGTTGAGTGAAATCTTCTTTTAGCTAGACCCAGACACAGGAGACTTCTAGAGGGAGATTCCAGATGGAGGGATGACAACTCCATGAGCATGTATGGATCAAGACTGAAAAATGGGATTGGTTTCCCCACAAGGCAAGAGAGGTACAGTTAACATAAAATGAATGAATGACAGGTGATAAAATAAATAAAACCAAAAATGTCCACTACAACTCTGTCTCATAGCTCAATACCTGGCATTGAGCCATACCATGGCCCCTTCAGGTGCTTAAGTTTGCTGTCACATCTGAATTCAGGTACTTTTAGTGAGTCTGGATGGTAGGGTAGTGGTGGGATAGGGCCCAGGGGAAGGATCTCAAAGAGGAAAAAATATCTGGTATACCCCTAGATCTATGGATGGACTATCCAAGAAGCTGACTTCTCAATTCTTAGGCTTTCTCATTTCAAATTCATTTACCTCCATTCCAATAGACAACCTAGACCTATGACAAGGGATAATTCTTCCTTCTGAATAACAGTCTGACATCGCATCATGGACTTCAACTTCCAACCCTTCTAGCTTATGCCTTCACATGCCAGTTCACTAACATTCCCAGGACTGCCAGTCCATTGACCTTTCCATTCACAACTTTTTGCTTTCACTTCCTCCTTCTTCACAGTAAACGTCATAATCTATTACTTAAGTATCATCCTAAATATCCCCACCTACTTTTCTTTCATCATCCCTGCCTGGCAAAATCCCAACTCTCTGCCTTTTTTAGACACTCCCTCTAATTAAGTGGTTCACTCCTATCAGATAAAATCATACAAATGAGTCTACAACTAATAATCACAGCAATACCATTTGAAATGTATTTATTCATTCATTCTATGTATATTTGTGTATATGTACATTTATTGAGTGACTACTAAGTGCTAGTCACTGTGGAGTTGATATCATTGTCTCCTTAGCCAACATTAACACTCACATCCTTCTCAACGCTATTCCAAACCTCCTTTACTTTCCTTAAACTTCTGGCCTACACCTACTCAGCAGATGTGCTTGACTGCCACTTCACAGGAGAACTGAAGCCTCAAATGGCAATCTCAGTCTCTCTCTCTCTCTCTCTCTCTCTCTCTGTCTCTTTCTCATTCTGTCTCTCTCTCTCTCCCTGGATGCTCCCAAGCTAGGATACGTCTCTCACTTCCCCATCACAGTAATTTTCTCACAGTGTTGTAATTTTGGCTTATCTGTCTCTTCCTTTCAGACAGGGACCAGGTCTATCCATCTTACTGCTCTTTTTCCAACATCTATGGCTTCCAAAATCCTTTGTGAGAATGAATGAGCCGTGGCAGAGATCCCTAGTAGAGAGGACCCACCCAGTGCTCTGTAGGGGCAGGGCCGTGTCTAGGGGTGAGGCTGAGGAGCTGCCCCACTAGTTACCCAGGCTTCTCCTCAGGATGGCAAATGTAATCTCTATTGCCACTGCGAAACAAAAGTTATTGATTTATTCTCACAGAGGAGGTTCTGGTAGAAATTGTTGATGCTTTGAGTGACTTTCTGTCAGACATTCAGGGGTCATGCTGAGGTCTCTGAGAGTTACTAGCTGGAGAAATGCCTTGAATTCTCCAGGCCTGGTGTCTGGCTGCAGATACTGAAGATCCTCAGAAGCAACACACAAAGCTGAGCCTGCTGGAAATGGGAGCCACCTTGTCTGTCTAGAGTCAATGGAGATCACCACTGTCACCACCATCATAATTTCTGTTTATTGAAGCTGCACAGGGCACTGGCTGTCAGGCCTTGGATGAGACACTGAATCTGAGTCCCAGATCTCAGCTATAAAAAGATGTGTTGGGCCAGGCACGGTGGCTCACACCTGTAATCCCAGCACTTTTGGAGGCCGAGGCAGGCGGATCATGAGGTCAGCAGATAGAGACCATCCTGGCTAACACGGTGAAAACCCGTCTCCACTAAAAATACAAAAAATTAGCCAGGCATGGTGGCTGGCGCCTGTAGTCCCAGCTACTCAGGAGGCTGAGGCAGGAGAATGGCATGAACCCCGGAGGCAGAGCTTGCAGTGAGCCGAGATCGCGCCACTGCACTCCAGCCTGGGTGACAGAGTGAGACTCTGTCTCAAGAAAAAAAAAATGTGTTAATATCTACCCAATAGTGCTGTTGTAAGGAGTGGCATGAACAAGAGCTATGTACAGGAGAAGGGGTAAAGACACTGCATGGTGCCCTGATGCCATTGCTACTTGGAATTGGTGAGTGACCTTGCTTTGTGAGCACCCCTGAGAGGCCCAATCACCTGAGGTTTGGGCTGCAAGCTTTTCTGCAAATAGAGCAGAAAGTCTCAGACAACTGCCTTCACAAACTCAAGTATGGACATATTCATGATTTATTGAGAGCCTACTGTATGTCAGATACTGTACTATATAGAAACTCCAGTCACCAGAATTCTGCCCTTCAGCCACTACACTGTTCCTTCTACAGTCTTCTTAAGTGACTTTAGATGAGTTAATTACTTTAATGCCTGCTTTTTTTTTTAAGCCCAAACTCATCAATCCAATTGCTTTCTGAACATTTCCAACTTCAATTTCCAACAGGGACTCCAACCATAACAACTTCCAAATATAACACCCTGCCACTAGCTGGCTTTGCTCTTAATTAGTAGCACTCAGTCAAGCAACAAACAGAAAAGCCACCCTTCCTATCTCTTCAACTTTCCCAAAATGAGTCCGTTGCCAAGATTTCTTTTTAAAATTTTACCTCCTAAATACTTCCCAAATATGTCTCTTCTTTCAATTTGTACTGCCACCATAGTATTTCAAGCCTGCATTGTCTCTCTTCGAAAACCATGCAGTAACCTGCTAACTGATGTGTTACTTCAATTTTGCCCCTCTTCAATTGTATTTATTACTATTGGAGAAATCTACCTAAAACAAAAATGACCGTGGCACTTACCTCTTTTAAACCCTCAGTGACTGTCTATTGCCAACCAAATCAAGCCTATATTTTCTAACAGTATAAAAGTCCTGTCACTAGGTCATCTCTCATCTCTCTCTCTACTTCAACATTCTCCTGAAATTACTCTCTGCTGTGTATTTTCTGTTCCAAAATAGAGAAATGCTTGTTATTACTCCTGAATCTCTCATGCTACTCAGTGCTTTCATGTCTTTGCTCATAATGCTTTTTCTCTCTCTGAAATTCCCTTTATACTTTTTTTTTTCCTCTGGGATATTGCTTAACTGTCTTTCCAGACCCAGTTCAGGCATTAGTAGTTCCTTCAAGAAAACTACCCTGACATTCCAGGTTGCTTAGACCATTTTCCCCTAAAGATTAAGAGCATTAACTCACTGGTAGAATGACAGCAAAACCCTTCACTCTTACAGCACAGATGGACACACATTATTGTTGGGAAAGGGGAGCCATACCCTACTCCTGGCAGAGGGGTAAGAAACTGTCCCTGGCCTAGGCACTCGATATGCCCTACTGCTAGAGGAGAGGAAGAAACACTGAGAAATACCTAGCATTGGGCTGAATAAAAAATAAATTACAGAAGGCCTTTATATGATGTAATGAAAAAAATGCAACTGGAAAATAGGGAGGCCCATAGAAAGGTGGAAGGATCTAGAAGGCTCAGAAGTAGTAGAAGGATCAGCTAAACTGGCTGGTGGCATAAGGGATTATGCCTCTTTTTATACCCACCCTGAACTTCAAGAACCCTTTGTAAATGTCCTGTAACTCTGTGATGAGGCCTGGAACTCCAGTCCAGAGCTTGCATTTTCAGTTGTTAAAAGGAGCAGTGCACTTCAGATAATAGAGAACTATCTCTTTTTTCCTGAAGAAACTTAATCTACTATGGTTGACGTCTAGCTTCACTTCATGAGAAAATGATTCTAACTTTTGCTTCCTGTTTAGAGGGGGGATCTTCTTTCTCTTACTCTACTATCTACAGAAAAGTTTAGCTTTACCAATATTGGGGGAAAATAGAGACAGAAATCAGGTAAGAAAACCCTAGTGTGATGATTAAAGTTGTGTCAACGTGGCTAGGCCATAATATCCAGTTTGTGGTCAAATACCAGTCTAGATGTTTCTGTGAAGCTATTTTTCAGATGTAACTAAATCAGTAGATTTTGAGTAAAGTAGATCACCCCCCATGATGTGAGTGGTCCTCATCTAATCAATTAAAAGCCTGCGGATGGAAGACTGAGGTCCCAAGGGAAAAAACATCTGTCACCAGGCTGCCTTTAGACTCAAGACTGCAATAGTAACTCTTCCCTGGGTCTCCAGTATCTGAAATGCCAGCGTGCCTTGAAAATATCAGGCTGGCCAGTGCCCACAATTCCATGAGCCAATTCCTTAAAATAAAACTCTATCTACCTATCTATCCATCTACACATCGTATTTGTTCTATCTCAAGAGCCCTGATTAATACACTCAGAAAGATTGACTTTGTTTTATTAATGTTGCTCTTCCCATTTTTGTAACTCAATCATATTGGCAGAAGTCAGTACTGAAGATGGGAACTCTCAGAAGAGAATAGAACATCATCTTGGGGAAACAACTTGGGCAGGGTAGATGGTAGAGTGGGAACTATGGTTTATCTCAGAAGCTCACAGACTATGTATCTGAGTGTTACAGAGCTCATGGTAGCAAAATCTCAGAGTGTGTCAGTAGTTGGACACAACTTAAGTCACACAAGTTAAGGCAGATATGCCAGCATTGGATACCTAAAAGTGTGTCTCATACATGGCTTGCTCCCCACAGCACACTGCTTTCGAACCATATGTTTTGGAGACAGCAGAAACATAGCACACTTCTTGGTTTGGGAACACCACCTGCATATTCTTCCTCAATCCAGCTCATCAACTTGTGCTAAACACTAACATTATTCAGTTTGGAGTATGGTAAAGGTCTAATCCTCAAGTT
Organism: Homo sapiens; assembly: GCF_000001405.40. Classification (NCBI taxonomy): domain Eukaryota; kingdom Metazoa; phylum Chordata; class Mammalia; order Primates; family Hominidae; genus Homo; species Homo sapiens. The sequence goes on along the minus strand of NC_000004.12, from coordinate 160,015,904 downwards.
TTTGGATCCACAAACATATGTTGGCCAGCATTTCAGTGGCCTGGCCACGGATTGGATTATTAAGAGATCAGACACCTGCAACAGGTGCATCTGTGATGTGACTTTCCTTTGTATTAAGTCTAATCTGGAGAGCAATGCTGAATCTTTGAAAGCCCCTGACCAAATGCTAGAGCCCAAACTCCTGTCTCATGGAGCAAATCCTATCTATTGGAGCATGTATGCACCTGCAGTGGTAAAAGTCTGCAGAAGAGGACAAATGACTGAAGAAAATGAGGATCAAATGCAGAAAACACTTATTTAAATTTTTTAAGGAAGGCAAAATATAGATATTTTTATCCTCTTTAAAAATTATTAAAATGAAGGAGCACAGAACTCCCTTATTTTCCAAATAAAAATTCATACTTGTGAATAATGAATGTCTGAAGTTTACTTCAGGGAGGGAGTGGTGTAAAGTATGGGGGATGAGGGAATCTGACGCCTTCTCATCCTTCCAGGCCCTTCTGTCCCTGCTCTGCTCCTGATGGCATTTTGCTCCTCCTGTCTCCTACAGCCATGTAGGCATGCTTCCTGATTAGGGCAACTTTCTGCAACTCCTGCAGCAAGATCTCTGATGTGAGGTAAATGGTAACGTCTGCTGAAACTGACCTCCTGCTGCTTATGGATCCTGTGGAAGATGCTCCTCCTTCTATGCTCCCTTTGGCTTACATGGAAGCTCTAATTCATCTCTAACTCTGGCCAGTTCCTCTCAACAAATACCCTAGAAAGCCAGTTAACGGCCCCTCCCTCTCTTGGAGCCCTCACTGTTTCTTGTCTTCAACCCCTCACTGGATTTTACAGAGTCCGGTGACTTACCTCTGTCTGAGCCCTTTGAATACACAAATGAGACTCTTAGCATTTCTTAGTATTTTTCTTTCACGCCTGCCACTAGCTTTCACATCTTTGCCACCAGGGATCTTTCTGATGCTGTGGCATGCCTTCTCCACAGTCTTCACTTTGTCACAGGTCCCCACCTGCTCCTGTGACTCCACCCAGTCTCAGGTTATCATCCTCTCAGTAACTTTGACACATGCCACATGTCTCACCCACTCACTTTCCAGTAATCTCCCATCAGGAAAAATCTCTACTCTACCAACACCAGATTCCACCTTTAACTCTGACTACATCTGACCTGATTCCAATTTTACCAAACACTGTCCCAAAGAGTTCATGTCTAGATAACTCCTGTTAATTTGCCTCTTCCGCTTCAACAGTCTCAGATGTTGACTGCTCATGCTTGTGCATGTCAGCCTTCTCCTGGAGGGCAGGTGTCTGCCAAGGTCTTTTTTCTCCCACCATCTCTTACTGTGACTTTCAACATGAGCTTTGTACCCTCCATCCAACAGAGGGCTGTCTGATTTCCAAGTGCATTAGGGATATAATCACAAAGACAGTGAATTTCCAGGTTTGAGTGGAGAAAGAAAAACAAGGAGGAATCAGTTCCAAAACAGCTGAGGTCAGGCTACTAAATAAAATTTTTCCTTAAATCCCAAACATTACTTGCTGACAAGCAGAACATCACTAAGAGAATGACTTGGAAATGACATTTTTGGGAGCTCAAGGGAAAAACTAGACCAGAAGCAATTAAAACAATACAATAAAGTTATAACTGGATGAGAAGTTAAAACAGATATGCCAGGATTAGATACCTACAAGTATGCCATATACATGGCTTGCTCCCAACATTGCCTCCTGAATAATATTATGTGTTTTGAGACACCAGAAACTAGCACCCTTATTGGTTTGGGAACACCACCTGAATATCCTTCCTTGATCCAAATCATCAATCTGTGCCAAACACTAACAGTATTTAGTTTTGGGTGTGGAAAAGGTAAGGACCACCCCTCAAATTTATTGAATCCACGAAGGTACTTAAGGCATGAGAAGCACAGTTGTGACTTCCACCTTAGTCTGCCTTTTTCTGCTCAACTTCCCTCGTTTTGGGAGCTGATGCCAGAGCTGAGGTTGCCAAGCTTTTGGTGGAAATGCTTAGGCAAGCAGGGAAACAACACACACACACACACACACACACACACACACACACACACACACATCAGGCTCCACACTCAATAACCCTCTGCCTATCCCATCTGTTGTAAGGAAGGCCAGAGGATCTTGAGAAGGTGTCCCTCTGATATTGATTCACAAAGGGTCCCAAGCTGGGAGGTGAGCAGACAGAATTTTCAGCTTGTCACCTTCAGCATCATAGAAAAATAAATCTAGAGGAGTGGAACTTTATGTGGAGCTAATGGTGACAGCTTAGAGGTGACTACAAGTTGAGCAATGCAGAAATGAGCAGAGGTTTGAGAATGGAACCGCCCAAAGACTCTTGTATCCAATAAAGGAGCAACACTCAGAATCAGAGAACAGAGGGGAGACATGTCCCAGAGAGAAGGAGCACACTGGAAAAAGGGATATTGTCTAAGTTTAGTTTCTACTTTAGGAAAAGAAACGTGAAGATGAATTCAGAAATTCTACAAAGCCAGAGACCCCAAAGAGATGGTCAATACCAAAGGGTCTGATCATCAAACCACAATTGGGGACTTTATGAGAGTCATTATGGTGAGAAAAATCCCAAAAGCAAAAGTGGGATTTCAACCATGATGAGGTATACCTCTCACAACCAAGAGAGTTGGTTGCCCAAAATTAAGGCCAATCATGGTCAAGAGAGTGGCTTGATAGTAAGCGAAAACTCAAATTTGAAAGAAGGATACAGACCCCTTGCAGTGCCCCTTGCCTGCCTCAATTAGCTTGGCTTCTAAAGTCTCATAATTTCATCCCCAAGTGATTTCATTGGAGCTATGGCAATTGATTTGTGGCTATTCTGATTGAAGTGTTATAAAGTACACACTGGATAGTGAAAACTTAGTATGAAAATGTAATGTTAAATATATCATTAATATTCTCATGTTGAATACATTTTGAAATCGTATTTTCAATATATTAAATGCAGTTGAAAGCAATATTAAAAATGAATTTTACCTATTTGTTTCTTATATTTTCAAGTGTTACTACTTGAAAATTAAAAATTATATATGTAGCCAATTATGTGGTTTATGTTATATTAATCTGTTTATTTCTAATTTTTATGAGTACATAGTCTGTGTATATATTTATGTATATATTTATACAGATATTTTGATATAGACATACAATGTGTAACAATCACATCAGGGTAAATGGAGTATTAATCATTTCAAACACTTATTTCTTCATGTTACAAACATCCCAGTTATACTGTTAGTTATTCTTAAATGTCTAATAAATTATTGCTGACTGTAGTCACTCTACTGTGCTAGCAAATACCGGGTCTTATATAAATAAGATTTTTGTGCCCTAAATCCATCCCCACTCCCCCACCCCACTACTCTTCCCAGTCTCTGGTAACTCCCATTCTATTCTCTATCTCCGTGAGTTCAATTATTTTAATCTTTAGGTCTCACAAATAAGTGAGAACATGCAGTTTGTCTTTCTGTGCCTGGCTTATTTCACTTAACATAATGACCTCCAGTTCCATCCATGTTGTTGAAAATGACAGGATATTATTCTTTTTTCTTAGTATACTCCATTGTGTATATATGTACATTTTCTTTATCCATTGTCTGTTGATGGACACTTAGGTTGCTTCCAAAGTTTGGCTATTGTGAATAGCACTGCAATTCACATGGGGGTACAGGTATCTCTTTGATATACTGATTTCCCTTCTTTGGGGTAGGTATATCTCTAACAGTAGAATTGCTGGATCATATAGTAGTTCTATTTTTAGTTTTTTGAGGACTCTCCAAACTATTCTCTACAGTGGTTGTGCTAATTTATATTCCCACCAGCAGTATAGAGGGTTCCCTTTTCTCCACATCCTCATCAGCATTTGTGATTGCCCAACTTTTGAATAAAAACCATTTTATTTAGGGTGAGATGATATCTCATTGTAGTTTACATTTGCATTTTTTTATGATCAATGAATGATGTTGAGCACCTTTTTGTATACCTGTTTGGCATTTGTATGTCTTTTTTGAGAAATGTCTATTCAAATCTTTTGTTATTTTAATTGGATTACTTCTTTTCTTTTTCTAGACAAAGTCTCGGTCTTGTCCCCCAGGCTGGAGTGCAATGGTGTGATCTCGGCTCACTGCAACCTCCACCTCCCAGGTTCAAGAGATTCTCCTGCCTCAGCCTCCCGAGTAGCTGGGATTACAGGCAACTGCCACCACGCCTGGCTCATTTTTGTATTTTTAGTAGAGACAAGGTTTCACCATGTTGGCCAGGCTGGTCTCGAACTCCTGACCTTGGGTGATCCACCTGCCTTGGCCTCCCAAAGTGCTGGGATTACAGGCATGAGCCACCATGCCCAGCCGGATTATTTTTTTTATTATAGAGTTGTTTGAGCTCCTTATGTATACTGGTTATTAACGTATTTTCAGATAGATCGTTTGCAAATATTTTATGCTTTTTATATTTCTGTTGGATAGCATTTTGCCAGGTCTCCTTATCTCAGAGTTCTTTATCTCCATTCCTGGCTATAGCCACAACCTAGACCTTATCACAGGGCAGCTCTGTCTTCTGAATAAGTCAGTTTGATATCCCATCTCCTGACCTCAACCTCCAGTCCTCCTAACTTCTGTCCTCAACATGCCAGTTTTCAATCTTGTCAGGAACTCTATTCCATTGATCATTCTGTATGTACTCCTAAAGCCATCAGATGAAAGCAACTTTTCATCAACAAATACTGCATCCCACCAATCCTTGGGTCTATTTCGACCCTACCAAAAGAGGATAGATACCCTTACTTCCCCTGTCACAGCACATTTCATTTTTAACTTTTAGTTTAGTCAATCATCTTCCCTGAGGAAAAAGATCACAACTATCCAACCACCTGCTCCATCCCCAGCTTCTGGGCTTAGCATATAGTTGGTGCTCAATAAACTTTGGTGGCAATGAAAGCATTGGAGGAACCTCTGGGAGGCAGGTTCACCCCAGCACTCTGGGGGCAGGGCTGCTTCCAGGGGTGGGGCATCAGGGAGGTCGCACTTCAGGCTTCATAGTGGCAATTCTCCCAGGCTTCGCTCAGGACTCTTCAATTCTGACTCTGCTGCTTCCAATATGGAGATGTAACTTCACAGAGGCATTCATCTGAATGCCTGAGGCAGCTTGATGCAGTTCCAACATCTCTAACTCCAACAGACAGGGCCAGCATCGCTAGCATGGTGGAGCCTCTATGGGTCCATCTCCCTGAGGGGCCCTCAGAGCCTCTCAGTTCCCTGGTATAATCATGGCCTCAAAAGGTCCTCATGGGCTTTTCATGTGACCCTCTTCCTCTCCTAGAACTTGACAAGGTAATATGAATTATAATAGTATTGACCACTGTTTTTGAGGTTATACCATGTACTGCCTGCCTGGCCTTGGGCAAGTCATTTGACCCAAGTCCCAGATATCTATTAAGGGAGTTATATTAATACCTGCCAGTGGATAGGTCCCCAGATGACCTTGGCTGACTCAGCTCTTTCACCTCCTGCTTGTAGTTCTCAGGGTAACTGTAGATGCAGTGCCCTGTGCAACTGTTGGGAACAGTAGAGGATTTGTCCTCATCCCTCCTTAGAACAGGATGTCTTACAATGCTTGAGCTCAGTGGTGAATTTTCCCCTAGGGTAAAAAACAAAAAAACAACAAAAACCCAGAGTTGAATGCTTTGGGGTCCTTTAGCTTAGGTGCAAAGTAGAGCATGTGTGGAGGAGATACCATCTGCCCTGGGCAGTTTCCCGATCCTTTGAGACTGGCCTGCCATAGATCCTAGGCTTCTGTTGGTTCTTGCTGCCTATCTATGAGTAATGAAGTTGTTTTGCATGACATGTCTGAGTATTCTGTCCCACTGGGCTCACACTTTTGCAGCTGGGTTTGTGCAGAACCCCCTGCCAAATCTAGGAACCTAAGCAGAAATTGGCAAGGTGTTTACAGTCCTCCCCTGGGAGTGATAATTGGTGCACAGTGTTCTGCTTAACATGCTTACCTAATAAGACAATCATGAGGAACACAATGTTCCTCCTCTTTATTCCCATTATCAGTTATTCAAATTCAGTTATCTAAGTAAGAGACATTGAGCCATTCTATGCCTCTCCCTCATCCTTCCCATAGTTAGTCACCAAGCTTTGCTTATTTTTTTTTTCCTGATAATATTTCTCAAATCTGTCTCTGCACAGGGACTCATCATCTTTCACTTAAACTGCAGTACCTCCTATCAAATCACAAACCATCCAGCTTCGTTCATTTATATTCCTTGTTTTCATTACTATCAGAGCAATCTACCTAAAATAACAGGCCATGACATTTACATACTTGAAACCTTTCAGTGACTCTCCTGTCTACCAAATAAAGTCTGCTCTTCTTATGATGATGTATTAGTTATCTATTGCCTTATACGAAATTACCCCAGGGACTAGCAGCTTGAAACAATAAACATTTATTTTCACACAGTTTTTGCCAGGTCAGAAATCCAGGTGAGGTTTATCTGGTCCTCTGGATCAGGGTCCCCACAAAGCTGCAGTCAGGATGACAGCAGTGGCTACAGTCCCCTCAAGGCTGCTCTAGGGGAATATATGCTTCTGCTCCCTCAAGTGGTTATTGGCAAGATTCAGTTCCTTGAAGGTTATTGTATTCCTCAGTGCCTGTTAGCCAGAGACCTCCTGCGACGGCAACTCCATAAGGCAGCTCAGAACATGGCAGCCATCCTCCATCAGAACTAACCAATGAGGCAGCTCAGAACATGGCAGCCATCCTCCATCGGAACTAACCAATGATAGAGCAAGAGACGGTGAGCAGTAGGGAGCCCAGAATGCATTATAATTTAATCCCAAAACTGACCTCCCATTACTTTCGCTATAAGTCTTTCATTAAAAACAAGGCACTAAATCTAGTTCTCACTCCAGGGAAGGAAATACACATACATGGATGCAATGATGGGGGATCATTAGGAGACATCTTAGATGTTTCTACCACAACTAGCTTTGGTTTCTTTCATTTTCTCAATTGGCTTCCTGTTTTCTATTTAAATGAATTCTATTCTGTTCTTTATCACTTCCTTTCTTTTTTTTTTTTTTTTTACTTTGGCTTCCATTTGTTCTTCTTTTTCTAGTTTTGAAAATAGAAGCTTAGATCATAGATTTAATCTAATAAAGTTTAATGATAAAATTTCTAAGCACTACTTAAGCAGCATCCTACAACTTTTAATATCATCATTTTCATTCATTGAAAAATATTTTCTAATATCCCTTTTAATTTTCTGGACCCATTTTTTTAAATTTTAATTAATTAATTATTTAGTTAGTTTTGAGACAGTTTTGAGTCTCACTCTGTCACCCAGGCTGTAGTGCAGTGGTGCAATTTCAGCTCACTGCAACCTCCAACTCCCAGGCCCAAGCGAATCTCATGCCTCAGCCTTCTTAGTAGTTGGGAGTAGAGGTGTGGGCCACTGTGCCTGGCTAATTTTTGTACTTTTTTCTGTGTGTGTGGAGATGTGGTTTCACCATATTGCCCAGACTGGTCTTGAACTCCAGAGCGCAAGTGGTCTGCCTGCCTCAGCCTCCCAAAGAGTTGAGATTGCAGGCATGAGTCACTGCACCCCGTCTGGACCCACATTTTATGTATATGTGTACTGCCTTATTTCCAAGTATCTGTGGATTTTTAATTTTCTATTAATTCCTACCTTAATGCCATTTTGGTAATGAAACATACTTCATATAATTTTTTCATTATACTTTAAGTTCTGGGATACATGTGCAGAAGGTGCGGGTTTGTTACATAGGTATACATGTGCCATGGCAGTTTCCTGCAGCCATCAACCTGTCATCTACATTAGGTATTTCTCTTAATACTCTACCTTCCCTAGCACTGCCAACCCCTAACAGGCCCCAGTGTATGATGTTCCCCTCCCTATGTCCATGTGTTCTTATTCTTCAACTCCCACTTATGAATGAGAACATGGAGTGTTTGGTTTTCTGTTCCTGTGTTAGTTTGCTGAGAATGATGGTTTCCAGCTTCATCCTTGTCCCTCCAAAGGACATGAACTCATCCTTTTTTATGGCTGCTTAGTATTCCATGGTGTATATGTACCACATTTTCTTTATCCAGTCTATCATTGATGAGCATTTGGGTTGGTTCCACGTCTTTGCTATTGTGAACAGTGCTGCAATAAACATACGTGTGCATGTGTCTTTACAGTATAATGGTTTATAATCCTTTGGGTATATACCCAGTAATGGGATTGCTGGGCCAAATGATATTTCTGGTTCTCGATCCTTGAGGAATTGCCACACTGTCCTCCACAATGGTTGAACTAATTTATACTCCCACCAACAGTGTAAAAGCGTTCCTGTTTCTCCACATGCTCTCCAGCATCTGCTGTTTCCTGACTTTTTAATGATCGCCATTCTAACTGGCGTGAGATGGTATCTCATTGTTGTTTTGATTTGCATTTCTCTAATGATCAGTGATGATGAGCTTTTTTTCATATGCCTGTTGGCCGCAAAAATGTTTTCTTTTGAGAAGTGTCTGTTCATATCTTTCACTCACTTTTTGATGGGGATTTTTTTTTATTGTAAATTTGTTTAAGTTCCTTGTAGATTCTGGATATTAGCCATTTATCAGATGGATGGATAGCAAAAATTTTCTCCCATGCTGTAGGTTGCCTGTTCACTCTGATGACAGTTTCTTTTGCTGTCCAGAAGCTCTTTAATTAGATCCCATTTATCAATTTTTGCTTTTGTTGCCATAGCTTTTGGTGTTTTAGTCATAAAGTCTTTGCCCATGCCTATGTCCTGAATGGTATTGCCTAGGTTTTCTTCTAGGGTTTTAATCATTTTAGGTTTTACATTTAAGTCTTTAATCCATCTTGAGTTAATTTTTGTATAAAGTGTAAGGAAGGGGTCCAGTTTCAGTTTTCTACATATGGCTAGCCAGTTTTACCAACACCTATTTATTAAATAGGGAATCCTTTCCTCAATGCTTGTTTTTGTCAGGTTTGTCAAAGATCAGATGGTTGTAGATGTGTGGCGTTACTTCTGAGTCCTCTGTTCTGTTCCATTGGTCTATATATCTGTTTTGCTACCAGTACTATGCTGTTTTGGTTAATGTAGCCTTGTGGTATAGTTTGAGGTCAGGTAGCATGTTGCTTCCAGCTTTGTTCTTTTTGCTTAGGATTGTCTTGGCTATGCGGGCTCTTTTTTGGTTCCACATGAAACTTAAAGTAGTTTTTTCTAATTCTGTGAAGAAAGTCAATGGTAGCTTGATGGGGGAAGTATTGCAACGATAAATTACTTTGGGCAGTATGGCCATTTTCATGATATTGATTGTTCCTATCCATGAACATGGAATGTTTTTCCATTTGTTTGTGTCCTCTCTTACTTCCTTGAGCAGTGGTTTCTAGTTCTCCTTGAAGAGGTCCTTCATATACCGTGTAAATTGTATTCCTAGGTATTTTATTCTCTTTGCAGCAATTGTGAATGAAAGTTCAGTCATGATTTGGCTCTCTGTTTGTCTATGATTGGTGTATAGGAATGCTTGTAATTTTTGCACATTGATTTTGTATCCTGAGCCTTTGCTGAAGTTGCTTATCAGCTTAAGAAAATTTTGGGCTGCGACGATGGGGTTTTCTAAACATACAATCATGTCATCTGCAAACAGAGACAATTTGAATTTCTCTCTTCCTATTTGAGTACTCTTTACTTCTTTCTCTTACCTGATTGCCCTGGCCAGAACTTCCAATACTATGTTGAATAGGAGTGCTGAGAGAAGGCATCTTGTCTTGTGCCCGTTTTCGTAGGGAATGTTTCCAGCTTTTGCCCCATTCAGTATGATATTAGCTGTGGTTTTTCGTAAATAGCTCTTATTACTTTAAAATACTTTCCATCAATACCTAGTTTATTGAGAGTTTTTAGTTTGAAGGGTGTTGAATTTTATCAAAGGCCTTTTCTGCATCTATTTCAATAATCATATGGTTTTTGTCATTGGTTCTGTTCATGTGATGATTTACGTTTATTGATTTGCATATGTTGAACCAGCCTTACATCTCAGGGATAAAGCCAACTTGATCATGGTGGAGAAGCTTTTTAATTTTTTTTTTTTTTTTTTTTAAGACAGAGTCTTACTCTGTCACCTGGGCTGGAGTGTAGTGGTGCAATCTCGGCTCACTGCAACCTTCCCCTCCCAGATTCAAGCGATTCTCCTGCCTCAGCCTCCTGAGTAGTTGGGATTACAGGCGACCGCCACCACACCCAGCTAATTTTTTTTTTTTATTTTTAGTAGAGACGGGGTTTCACCATGTTGTCCAGGCTGGTCTCAAACTCTTGACCTTGTGATTCACCCACCTCAGCCTCTCAAAGTGCTGGGATTACAGGTGTGAGCCATCATGCCTGGTCTTTTTAATGTGCTGCTAAATTCGGTTTGCCAGTATTTTATTGAGGATTTTCACATCGATGTTCATCAGGGATATTGGCCTAAAATTTTTTTTTCTTGTGTCTCTGCCAGGTTTTGGTATCAGTATGATGCTGGCCTCATAAACTGAATTAGGAAGGAGTCCCTCTTTTTCAGTTGTTTTGAATAGTTTCAGAAGGAATGGTACCAGCTCCTCTTTGTACCTCTGGTAGAATTCAGCTGTGAATTCATCTGGTCCTGGACTTTATTTTGGTTGGTAGGCTATTAATTAGTGCCTCAATTTCAGAACTTGTTATTTGTCTATTCAGGGATTCAACTTCTTCCTGGTTCAGTCTTGGGAGGGTGTATGTGTCCAGGAATTTATCTATTTCTTCCAGATTTTCTAGTTTATTTGCATAGAGGTGTTTATAGTATTCTCTGATGGCAGTTTGTATTTCTGTGGGATCACTGGTGATCTCCCCTTTATTGTTTTTTATTGTGTCTATTTGATTCTTCTCTCTTTTCTCCTTTATTAGTCTGGCTAGCGGTCTATCTATTTTGCTAATCTTTTCAAAAAACCAGCTCCTGGATGCATTGATTTTTTGAAGGGTTTTTCATGTTTCTGTCTCCTTCAGTTTTGCTCTGATCTTAGTTATTTCTTGTCTTTTGCTAGCTTTTGAATTTGTTTGCTCTTGCTTCTATAGTTCTTTTAATTGTGATGTTAGGGTGTCAATTTTCGATCTCTCCTGCTTTTTTCTGTGGGCAGGTAGTGCTATAAATTTCCCTCTAAACTGCTTTTGCTGTGTCCCAGAGATTCCGCTACATTGTGTCTTTATTCTCATTGATTTCAAAGAATTTATTTATTTATGCCTTAATTTCATTATTTACCCAGTAGTCATTCAGGAGCAGGTTGTTCAGTTTCCACATAGTTTTGCAGTTTTGAGTGAGTTTCTTAATCATGAATTCTAATTTGATTGCACTGTGTCTAAGAGACTGTTTGATATGATTTCCATTCCTTTACATTTGCTGAGGTGTGTTTTACTTCTAATTATATGGTCAATTTTAAAATAAGTGCTATGTAGTGCTGAGAAGAATGCATATTCTGTTGATTTGGGGTGGGAAGTTCTGTAGATGTCCATTATGTTCGCTTGGTCCAGAGCTGAGTTCAATTCCTGAATATCCTTGTTAATTTTCTGTCTCGTTGATCTGTCCAATATTGACAGTGGTGTGTTAAAGTCTCCCACTATTATTGTTTGGGAGTCTCAGTCTCTTTGTAGGTCTCTAAGAACTTGCTTTGTGAATCTGGGTGCTCCTGTATTGGGTTCATATATATTTAGGATAGTTAGCTCTTGTTGTTGCATTTATCCCTTTACCATTATGTAATGCCCTTCTTTGTCTCTTTTGATCTTTGCTGGTTTAAAGTCTATTTTATCAGAGTCTAGGATTGCAACCCCTGCTTTTTCTTTTTCTTTTTTTTTTTTTTTTGCTTTCCATTTACTTGGTAAATCTTCCTCCATCCCTTTATTTTGAGCCTATGTGTGTTTTTTCCCATGAGATGGGTCTCCTGAATACAGCAGCCCAATGGGTCTTGACTCTTTATCCAATTTGCCAGTTTGTGTCTTTTAATTGTGGCATTTAGCCCATTTACCTTTAAGGTTAATTATGTTATGTGTGAATTTGATCCTGCCATTATGATGTTAGCTGGTTATTTTGGCCACTAGTTGATGCAGTTTCTTCACAGTGTTGATCTTTACATTTTGGTTTGTTTTTGCAGTGGCTGGTACTGGATTTTCCTTTCCATGTTTAGTGCTTCCTTCAGGAGCTCTTGTAAGGCAGGCCTGGTGGTGACAAAAACCCTCAGCATTTGCTTGTCTGTAAAGGATTTCATTTCTCCTTCACTTGTGAAGCTTAGTTTGGCTGGATATGAAATACTGGGTTGAAAATTATTTTCTTTAAGAATATTGAATATTGGTCCCCACTCTCTTCCCGCTTGTAGGGTTTCTGCAGAAATCTGCTGATAGTTTGATGGGCATCCCTTTGTGGGTAATTTGTCCTTTCTCTCTGGCTGCACTTAATATTTTTTCCTTCATTTCCACCTTGGTGAATCTAACGATTATGAATCTTGGGATTGCTCTTCTCAAGGAGTATTTTTGTAGTATTCTCTGTATTTCCTGAATTTGAATATTAGCCTGTCTTGCTAGGTTGGGGATGTTTTCCTGGATAATATCCTGAAGTGTGTTTTCCAACTTGGTTTCATTCTCCTCGGCACTTTCAGGTACACCAATCAAATGTAGGTTTGGTCTTTTCACATAGTTCCATGTTTCTTGGATGCTTTGTTCATTCTTTTTCATTCTTTTTTCTCTAATCTTGTCTTCAAACTTTATTTCATTAAGTTGATCTTTAATCTCTGATATCCTTTCTTCTGCTTGATCAATTCAGCTATTGATAATTGTGTATGCTTCACGAAGTTCTCATGCTGTGTTTTTCAGCTCCATCAGGTCACTTATGTTCTTCTCTAAACTGGTTATTCCAGTTAGCACTTCCTCTAACCTTTTTTCAAGTTTCTTAGCTTCCTTGCAGTGGATTAGAACATGATCCTTTAGCTAGGAGGAGTTTGTTATTACCCACCTTCTGAAGCCTACTTCTGTCAATTTGTCAAACTCACTTTCTCTCCAGTTTTGTTCCCTTGCTGGTGAGGAGTTGTGATCCTTTGGAGAAGAGATATTCTGGTTTTTGGAGTTTTCAGCCTTTTTTGCTAGTATTTCCTCATCTTCGTGGATTTATCTACCTTTGATCTTTGATGCTGGTGACCTTCAGATGGGGCTTCTGTGTGAACGTTCTTTTTTTTCTTTGATGTTGATGCTATTCCTGTTTGTTAGTTTTCCTTCTAACAGTCAGGCCCCTCTGCTGCAGGTCTGCTGGAGTTTGCTGGAGGTCCACTACAGACCCTGTTTGCCTGCGTATCACCAGTGGAGGCTGCAGAACAGCAAAGATTGCTGCCTGTTCCTTCCTATGGAAGCTTCATCCCAGAGGGGCACTTGCCAGATGCCAGCCGGAGGTGGAGCTCTCCTGTATGAGATGTCCATCGACCCCTGCTAGGAGGTGTCTCCCAGTCAGGAGGCATGGGGCTCAGGGACCCACCTGAGGAGGCAGTCTGTCCCTTAGCAGAGCTCAAGCGCTGTGCTGGGAGATTGGCTGCTCTCTTCAGAGCCGGCAGGCAGGAACGTTTAACTCTGCTGAAACTGTGCCTACAGCCGCCCCTTCCCCCAGGTGCTCTGTACCAGGGAGACGGGAGTTTTACCTTTAAGCCCCTGACTGGGGCTGTCGCCTTTCTTTCAGAGATGCCTTGCTCAGAGAGGAGGAAGCTAGAGAGGCAGTCTGGCTACAGAGGTTTGCCAAGCTATGGTGGGTTCTGCCCAGTTTGAACTTCCCTGCAGCTTTGTTTACACTGTGAAGGGAAAACTGCCTACTCAAGCCTCAGTAATGGCAGATGCCCCTCCCTGACCAAGCTCGAGTGTCCCAGGTCAACTTCAGACTGCTGTGCTGGCAGCAAGAATTTCAAGCCAGTAGATCACAGCTTGCTGGGCTCTGTGGGGGTGGGATCTGCTGAGATAGACCACCTTGCTCCCTGGCTTCATTCCTCCTTTCCAGGGGAGTGAATGGTTCTGTCTCACTGGCATTCCAGGTACCACTGGGGTATGAAAAAAAACTCCAGCAGCTAGCTTGGTGTCTGCTCAAATAGCTGCCCAGTTTTGCGCTTGAAACCCAGGGCCCTGGTGCTGTGGGCATCAGAGGGAATATCCTAGTCTGTGGGTTGTGAAGACCATGGGAAAAGCATAGTATCTGGGCTGGAATGCACTGTTCCTCACGGCACAGTCCCTCACGGCTTCCCTTGGCTAGGAGAAGGAGTTCCCTGATCCCTTGCACTTCCCGGGTGAGGCGACTCCCCACCCTACTTCTGCTCACCCTCCACGGGCTGCACTCACTGTCTAACCAGTCCCAATGAGATGAGCTGGGTACCTCAGCTGGAAATGCAGAAATCACCCGCCTTCTGCATTGATCTCACTGGGCACTGCAGACCAGAGCTGTTCCTATTCAGCCGTCTTGCCAGACACCTCTACATATAATTTTAAGCCTTTGAAATTTATTGAGACTTGTTTTGTGGCCCATATTATGGCTTATTTTGGTGCATGTTCCATGTTCACTCAAAAAAAATGTGCATTCTTCTGTTGTTGGGTGAAGTGATCTATAACTGAGAATTAGGTCAAGTTGGTTGACAGTGTTGTTCAAATCTCTGTATGCTTACTGATTTTCTATTTATTACCTCAATTACAGAGAGTGGAGTGTTTAGCTCTCTTATAATTGTGAGGCTGTCTACTTCTCTTTACAATCCTATCTATATTTGCTTCATCTATCTTATAATTCTGCTATATGAGCATATATATTCAGGAGTGCTATGGACTGAATGTTGTGTTGAATCCCCCAACCCTCAAAATGTATATGCTGAAACACTAATCCCCATTGTGATGGTATTTGGAGGTGGGCTTTTTGGAAGTAATTCTGTCTTGAGGGCATAGTCCTCATGATGGGAGTAGTGCCTTTAAAAGAAAAGACAGAGTTATTTCTCTTTTTCTCTCCCCACCCACTTCCTACCCCCAACCACCATGTGAGGATATAATGAGAAGACAGCAATTTGAAAACTAGGAAGTGTACCCTCACCAGACACTCAATCTGCCAGAACCTTGATCTTGGACTCCCCAGGCTTTAAAAACTGTGAAAAATAAATATTTGTTGTTTAAGCCACCCAGTCTACGGTATCTTGTTATAGCACCTTGAACCAAGACAAGAACTGTTATGCTTTCTCGATAAATTGAATCCTTTATTATTATGAGATATCCCTCTTTATCCTAGATAACATTCCCATTCTGAATATACTTCATCTGATATTAATATAATTACTACAACTTCCTTTTGATCAGCATTTATATGGCATAAATTTTTCTGTCATTTTATTTTTAAGCTATCTCTGTATTCATTTAATGTTATATTCATTGAGAAAGTATATAGTTGGGTCCTGGTTTTTAAAACAATCTAACAATTAATGCCTTTTAATTAGACTGCATAGTTTACATTTGCTGCAATTGCTGATATGTTTGGGTCTATTTTGCTGTTCATCTCATTTCAGTTCTATCTGTTCTTTGCTTTGTTTTCCATGTTTCCTGCCTTTTTTTGGATTAATTCTATTTTTATGGTATTGTAATTTCACTATTAGCTTATTAACTAATGACTAACAATGTTAAATTATAATTAATTATACCTTGTTTTCATTTTATGAATATGTGGGTTTACAATATACACCTTTGACTCACTACAACCCGCCATCAACTATATGTATTTCTTCACATATAATGTAAGAATTTTACAATATTACTTCCATTTCTCACCTTGCTTTATTTCTGTTGTTACTTATTGTATTCTTAATAATACTATGAAGCACAAAATATATATTACTATTATTTATTTTGCTTTAATCAGTTATCTTTTGAAGAAATTTAAAAATGAAAAAGGCAACTATATTTATGCATACATTTACCATTTCCCAGCTTTGATTGCATGGCATAGATCCAAATTTTCTTTCTAGTGTCTCCTACATTCTGACTGAAGACTTCCTTTAACATTTATGGAAATTCAATTCTATTGACAATAGATTCACCTACCTTTTTTGCTTCTCTGAATTTTCCTTACTTCATCATCATTTTTGAAAAATATTTTCACTTGATATAGTATTCTAAGTTGTCAGTTTTCTGTTTGTTTGTTTGTTTGGTACTTCAAAGTATCCATTGTCTTCTGGCTACATAGATTCTGACAAGGAACTTGCCATCATTCACAGCTTCTGTACATCAGTTGAGCCCTCCCTCTTTCAGTGCAGCTTCCTTCACTCCAGTACACTGTCCTACAAATTCTAGCTGCTTTGGCCTGAATATTGATTTCCATCCCCTCAACTCAGTGATACCACAGACCTCTGTCTGATGTCCCTTCCTAAAGCTATAAATTGGTCACCACCTCTGGGCAATAAGCTAGCAAAATTGTATGTCTCACCCTATTTGTTTTCCTTACCCTGGGGATTACAATACCATTTTATTTGTTGTAGAATATCTACAAAATATTGTTTTACATATGTTGCCTGGTCTTCTGTTTGTTAAATGTAAGAACATGAAAATCAGGCCCTGTAATTCCATTATGAATGCAAATAAACCCTAGAATATTTTCTAATCCCCATTCTTCTGTTATTTTACTCAGTAAAATTATCAAAATGTGGAACTTTAAATATAACTCAAGCCTGATCATTCAGAGTATATCATTCTATGATAACATTGATTAATCTGGGAATAGGGCCAAGGTCTTAGCTATTCCATTCAGGTCAATCCTTTGACTCTCCTTTTATACAAAACGGGAAGACACTTCCTTTTGACTGCATTTCCCCACTGTCAGTATGTCAGTCTGGTTACACCATGTCAGTGGCCATTTTGATGTGAAACAATGAAGCCCATTGAATAACACGGCCAAGAAATTAAGAGAGAAATTAAATACTAAAAACACTGTTTGAATTTAGGAATTTAAAAAATAATGTTTCTGTACACTGAACTTAATATTTATTCTAATTTTATATGCTAATACATATTATAGATATTTCTCTACTCTCCCCATTCTAATGCCAGCTAATTTTTTAAACCAAAATGAGTATGAGGTTAGTGCTCTCACTGCTAAATAAAAGATATGACTAATATAATAACCTGATACATGTAGAAAGTGCAAATATTTTAAATAAGTTTGAAAAAAATATATAATAAACAATACCCAAGAGAACAAATAAAGATTAAAAACTAAAAAACTAATTTTTATGTGATATATATATATATATATACCATGGAATGCTACACAGCCACGGAAAATAAAATTATGTTATTTGCAGAAACATGGATGAAGCTTGAGGCCATTATCCTAAGTGAGTTAACACAAGAAGACAAAAACCAAATATCACATATCTCACTTATAAGTGGGAGTTAAGGCCAGCACGGTGGCTCACGCCTGTAGTCCCAGCACTTTGGGAGGCCAAGGCAGGCAGATCACTTGAGGTCAGGAGTTCGAGACAAGCCAGGCCAACATGGTGAAACCCTGTCTCTACTAAAAATACAGAATTAGCAGGACGTGATGGCACATGCCTGTAATCCCAGCTACTCGGGAGGCTGAGGCAGGAGAATTGCTTGAACCTGGGAGGTGAAGGTGGCAGTGAGCCGAGATCGCGCCACTGCGCTCCAGCCTGGGCAACAAAGTGAGACTCCATCTCAAAAAAATATGAATAAATAAAATAAGTGAGAATTAAATACTGGGTACTCATTGACATAAAGATGGCAACAATAGGCACTAGGGACTGCTAGAGTGGAGAGTGAGGCAGGCAAGAGTTGAAAAACAACTGTTGGGTACTATGCTTAGTAACTGGCTGATGGGACCATTCATACCTCAAACCTTAGCAACACACAATATACCTAGATATCGAACCTGCACAGTATCCACTGAATCTAAAATAAAAGTTGAAAAAAAAAACTTTATAAATAAGTGAATAATAGATACATAGATCGATAAAATAAAAGTAAAAATGTTTATGACGCATGAGAAGATACATAAAATATATAGCCGTGATTTTCTCTATGGACAGAATTACAGATGACTTTTAATTTTCCTTTTTGTGTTTATCTGTATTTTTAAATGTTTCCACAAGAAATATGTATTCCTTGTGTAACTTCTCTTCAAGTTAGTATTTAAGCACATAAGAATTTGCCTTATTGGAGTATATATGAGATGCTAAAAAATGGTAATGTTTAGGACAGGATCAGAAAATAAGTTTATTGTTATGGCAGAGGAATGGGAAGTAAACTGATTCTTTGGAATAAAACTGTAAAACAGATATATTATTAGCTACAGCTATGAAGAAAAACATATGAAAAATTTAGAAATGGAAAAAATTCAGAAATATAAACATATTAGAATACTTTTTTCACTATATGCTAATAAATCATAAAGCTGAATGAAGTGTATTATTATTTATCTGCTTAAAATTTTGCCAATTTTACTGAAGAAGAGGTGGGGCAATATTTTTAGTGATGATAGCTAAAATTTCAGAGAAGTGATCATTTGATTCAAGAATTCCTAAATAGTCAACACAAGCTAAATTAAAAAATAATTCACAACTAGACATAAACAGTAAAATTTCAGAAAATAAAATACAAGGAAATAAATCTTAAAATCAGCCAGAAAGATAAAAATATCCTTAACAGAGTAGCAATTATATAAACAGGTGAAATCTCAGTAGCAACATTCTGAGTCAGAGTCATAAAAAATATGCAATTAAATTGCTAAAAAAGGAAACAATTGCCAATCCAAAAATTTTAACAGCAGTAAGATAATCATCATGAATAAAGCATTGTTTGAGTTAGGGAGGAGGCCAACCTTTTCAATTATTTGGAATAGTTTCAGAAGGAATGGCACCAGCTTCTCTTTGTATCTCTGGTAGAATTCTGCTGTGAATCCATCTGGTCCTGGGCTTTTTTTGGTTGGAAGGCTATTAATTACTGCTTCAATTTCAGAACTTGTTAACGGTCTATTCAGGGATTCTATTGTTTCCTGGTTTATTCTTGGGAAGGTGTACGCATCCAGGAATTTATCCATATCTTCTAGTTTTTCTAGTTTATTTGCCTAGAGTTGTTTATAGTATTCTCTAATGGTAGTTTGTATTTCTGTGGGATCAGTGGTGATATCCCCTTTATCTTTTTTTTTTTTTTTTTTTTTTTTTTGACGGAGTCTCACTCTGTCGCCCAGGCTGGAGTGCAGTGGTGTGATCTCGGCTCACTGCAAGTTCCTCCTCCCAGGTTCACGCCATTCTCCTGCCTCAGCCTCCCGAGTAGCTGGGACCACAGGCGCCTACCGACATGCCCAGTTAATTTTTTGTATTTTTAGTAGAGACCGGGTTTCACCACGTTAGCCAGGATAGTCTCGATCTCCTGACCTCGTAATCCGCCCGCCTCGGCCTCCCAAAGTGCTGGGATTACAGGCGTGAGCCACCGCGCCCGGCCTCCTTTATCATTTTTATTGTGTCTATTTAATTCTTCTTTCTTTTCTTCTTTATTCATCTAGCTAGCACTAAGTTTCCCTCTTAACACTACTTTAGCTGTGTCCCGAGATTCTAGTATGTTGTCTCTTTGTTCTCATTGGTTTCAAAGAACTTCTTGATTTCTGCCTTAATTTCATAGTTTACCCAGGAGTCATTCAGGAGCAGGTTGTTCAGTTTCCATGTAGTTTTGCAGTTTTTAGTGAGTTTCTTAATCCTGAGTTCTAATTTGATTACACTGTGGTGAGAGAGACTGTTTGTTATGATTTCCATTCTTCTGCATTTGCTGAGGAGTGTTGTACTTCCAATTATGTGGTCGATTTTAGAATAAGTGCCATGTGGCACTGAGAAGAATGTATATTCTGTTGATTTGGGGTGGAGAGTTCTATAGATGTCTATTAGGTCCAGAGCTGAGTTCAAGTCCTGAATATCCTTGTTAATTTTCTGTCTCGTTGATCTGTCTAACATTCACAGTGGGGTGTTAAAGTCTCCCACTATTATTGTGTGGGAGTCTAAGTCTCCTTGTAGGTCTCTAAGAACTTGTTTTATGAATCTGGGTGCTCCTGAATTCAGTGCATATACATTTAGCATAGTTAACTCTTCTTGTTTAATTGACCCATTTAGCATTATGTAATGCCCTTCTTTGTCTTTTTTGATCTTTGTTGGTTTAAAGTCTATTTGCCAGTATCATCCTGATACCAAAACCTGACAGAGAGACACAACAAAAAAGGAAAACTTCAGGCCAATATCCCTGATGAACATCGATGCGAAAATCCTCAATAAAATACTGGCAAACTGAATCCAGAAGCACATCAAGAAGCTTATCCACCACAATCAAGTCAGCTTCATTCGTGGGATGCAAGGCTGGTTCAACATACGCAAATCAATAAACACGATCCATAACATAAATAGAACCAATGACAAAAACCACATGATTATCTCAATAGATGCAAAAAGGCCTTTGATAAAATTCAATATCTCTTCATGTAAAAAACTTTCAGTAAACTACCTAGTTTTAGGTTTAACACCCCATTGATGGAACATATCTCAAAATAAAAATAACTATTTATGACAAAATCCACAGCTGATTATCATACTGAATGGGCAAAAGCTGGAAGCATTTCCTTTGAAAACTGGCACAAGACAAGGATGCCCTCTCTCACCACTCCTATTCAACATAGTATTGGAAGGTCTCACCAGGGCCATCAGGCAAGAGAAAGAAATAAAGCCTATTCAGATAGGAAGAGAGGAAGCCAAATAGTCTCTATTTGCAAAAGACACAAGTCTGTATTTAGAAAACCCCATCATCTCAGCCCAAAAACTCCTTAAGCTGATAAGCAACTTCAACAAAGTCTCAGGATACAAAATCAATGTGCAAAATTCACAAGCATTCCTATACACCTACAATAGACAAGCAGAGAGCCAAATCATAAATGAACTCCCATTCACAACTGCTATAAAGAGAATAAAACACCTAGGAATACAGCTAACAAGGGATATGAAGGACCTCTTCAAGGAGAACTACAAACCACTCTGCAAGGAAATAGAGAGGACAAAAACAAATGGAAAAACATTCAATCCTCATGGATAAGAAGAACCAGTATCATGAAAATGGCCATATAGCCCAAAGTAATTTATAGATTCAATGCTATTCCCATAAAACTGCCACTGACATTCTTCACAGAATTAGAAAAAAATCTACTTTAAATTTCATATGGAACCAAAGAGGAGCATGTATAGCCAAGACAGTCATAACCAAAAAGAACAAAGCTGCAAGCATCATGCTACCTGACTTCAAACTATGCTACAAGGCTACAGCAACCAAACCAACATGGTACTGGTACCAAAATATACGTATAGAACAATGGAACAGAACAGAGACCTCAGAAATAACATCACACATTTACAAACATCTGATCTTTGACAAACCAGACAAAAACGAGCAATGGAGAAAAGATTTCCTATTTAATAAATGGTGCTGGGAAGACTGGCTAGCCATATGCAGAAAACTGAAATTAGACCCCTTCCTTACACCTTATACAAAAATTAACTAAAGATGGATTAAAGACTTAAATGTAAAACCCAAAACTATAAAAACCCTAGAAGAAAACCTAGGCAATACCATTCAGGACATAGGCATGGGCAAAGGCTTTATTATGAAAACACCAAAAGCAATTGCTAGAAAAGCCAAAATTGACAAATAGTATCTAATTAAACTAAAGAACTTCTGTGCAGCAAAGGAAACTCTCATCAGAGTGATCAGGCAGCCTACAGAATGGGAGATTTTTGCAATCTACCCCTCTGACAAAGGTCTAATATTCAGAATCTATAAGGAACTTAAACAAATTTAAAAGAAAAAAACAAGCAAGCCCATCAAACAGTGGGCAAAGGATATAAACAGACGGTTTTCAAAAGAAAACATTTATATGGCCAACAAACAATGAAAAAAGCTCAACATCAGTGATATCAGAGAAATGCAAATCAAAACAACAATGACATAACATCTCACACCAGTCACAGTGGCCATTAATAAAAAGTCAAGAAACAATAGATGCTGGCAAGGCTGTGGAGACATAGGAATGCTTTTACACTGTTGGTGGTAATGTAAATTAGTTCAATCAATGTGGAAGACAGTGTGGTGATTCCTCAAGGATCTAGAACCAGAAATACCATTTGACCCAGCGATTCTATTACTGGGTATATACCAAAAGGAACATAAATCATTCTACTAAAAAGACACATGCACACATATATTTATTGCAGCACTATTTACAATAACAAAGACATAGAAGCAACCCAAATGCCCAACAATGATAGACTGGATAAAGAAAATGTGATACATATACACCATGAAATACTATGCAGCCAAAGAAAGGAATGTGATTATGTCCTTTGCAGGGACACAGAGGAAGTTGAAAGTCATTATCCTCATCAAACTAACACAGGAACAGAAAACCAAACACTGCATGTTACACCGCATGTTCTCACTCATTAGTGGGAGCTGAACAATGAGAACACATGGACACAGTGAGGAGAACAACACATACCAGGGCCAGTTGGGAGTAGCAGGGAGAGGGGAGGGAGATCATTAGGACAAATACCTAATGGATATGGGATTTAAAACCTAGTTGACTGGTTGATAGGTGCAGCAAACCACCATGGCACACGTATACCGATGTAACAAACCTACACGTTCTGCATTTGTATCCCAGAACTTAAAATAAAACAAAAAAGAAAGGAGAAAGGAACTCTCCACTCAGGCAGGAGGGAGGGTTGGGATATGCACTGTCTTAACTGAGATATTTTATTTTGACCTAGGCATTATAAGGCTACCATTGGAGTGTGTTCCACTATATCTTTTCAGCCTTTTCTGTTTTTTTTTTCTATTCAAAGAGATGTTTCACTTCACAATCTGAGCATTAAGTGTGTAAAATAAAGTTATTTGAGCATACTTCAAAAAAAAGCATTATTTGAAACCCTAAAATAGAGTATTTGGTACTGGATTACCTAATACAAAATATAAATTTTTAAAGAAAATGGTAAATATATGCTTTAACCTAATCAAACATTGACTGTATAAAACAAAAATAGTACTGTGTTATGGTCTTAGAATTATATTTTATAATAGTAAAATATTTAGAGAATTACAGAATAAAATGTATATCAGGAGTTAAGTGGAGATCCTGACATAAATTTCATTCATTGTCCAAGAAGAGAGAAAATGCTTTCATAAATCAAGAATATGTATAAACAATTTCTATGGATATCTAAATAGGAATAGAAAAACAAGGGATATAAATGGAATACATTTAAAAATCAACTCAAAAGAAAAGACAGAAATATATGGAACATACAGGAAAAGAGAAAGCTCATAAAAAGATGTTAATTTCAACCTAAACCTATCAGTTAAATCATTAGAATAAACTGGACTAAATGTAGTGATTTTCAGACTGATTTAAGAAGAATAATATATGCTGTTTATAAGAGACACATAAAAAATAAGAATACACAAGTAAATTGAGAGTAAAAGGGTTGAAAATACTATACCATGCAATCACTAATCCTTCAATCATATAGTTATATTATATTAACAAAAGACATAGTGGGCCTTAATTCAAAAAAGTACTCTCTTTATAAGGTAGTACCTCAATGAATATTTATTGATGTAGGTGCATATATTATAATAAATTATTCAAAAGTAATCATTAAATATTAAATTTTTATCGAAATAGCAACAAAAACACAAAAGTAGAAAGAATGAAATATAGAGATATATAAAAAGATCAGTAAAATTAAAAGTAAGTTTTTAGAAATAACTAACAAATTTGATATACCTCTAGCAAGACTGATGAAGCAAGAGAAGGAAAACTTAGCTCACCTAATACTGGAATGAAAAGAGATCTTTCTAAAGTTCTTACCACCTTAAAAAGATCATAAGATGATAGAATAAACAACTCTGTGAATAAATTTGAATGGATTCAGCAGATTCTTGGAAAAATACAACTTATAAAAACTGACACAATAAAAAAGAGAAAGGATGAATAGACCTAAAACTACTAGAGAGATAGATTTAGTCATTTAAAAGTTTTCCACATATACTAAAAAATTTAATTTAGAGAATTTAACAACAAAACCTCTTATATAGAAGACAGAACTGAAACTGAGATATAACTAATATAAGATCACAAAACTATTAAGTGTTAGAACCCAGAATTAACTCAGAGAATACTTTTAATCAATATGTTCCACTCAGACCACATTATTTGATTTTGGCACAAAATTGATCTAACAATATTGTTTCCAATAATCTTTTGAGTTACTATAAAAGACAGTGGAAGAAATCTTAAAGATTAGTTAGCCTAAGTTCTCCATTTTCAGATGATATAACTGATTCCCACAGATGTTAATTTCATTGTACATAAAGTTGTTTAGAGTTACAGAGGTATCGGTAGAGACTGACTGAAACCTAGTGTTTCTGATTTCATAGGATTTCACTATTCTATGTTTGTTTCAGTTAATAAAACAAAAAGGGGTTAGTTCATGGATGGCTGAAGACAATTCAGACTGTAGTAATCAACCTCTCAAATTCCTCTCTCCAAATGATTTAAAATAGATTCGTGACAACATAAACTGTACACAAAATCACATCCATGAAATTAGATGAAGAAAGAACATATCTAACCTACAAAATAACTGTGTAAAAAGAAAATCATCACTAAATTTCAACACAGTTGTAGAATAAAAACTACTAATAAGAAATGTGAAAGGCTAAAATGAACCCTGTGGTACTGTTCTGGAATCAGAGGTATGAGTATAAACTTATGTTATTAAATATTTGTAATCATATAGATAAATAAAGAAATATAGTTGTATATATATGCATGAGCCAGTATGCATACATATACATGGTTTGTTCTGCTGAGGAGACTTAGAAACACTGACAGCCCTCTAGCAATGAGCACAACTAGTACCCAGTTCTTGGTCTCTAACTACCTTTCTCTAATCAAAGGAATCAGAGTTTCTTGGAGAAGTGTGTGATTTTAACCATGGATTTAAGTGTACTTGGGAACATCTTCTTACACCAGAAAGAAAGAAAGTGCTCAAATAAATGCATAAGTAGGATAGGAACTTGTCAAAAGAACAGAGGGACCAACCTGAAGGAATTACTTCAAAGATGAAATAATTTGAACAAAAAAGTAATTAATAATATTATATTTTAACCCATGGAATAAAATAAATATCCATCTGTCCACACTGATAGAGCTCTTCCCTATAGTAGACTTCCAATTAGTAAATGTAGAAGAAAAGGGAAATAGAAAACTACTGTTAGGCAAACACCACAGTAATAATTGAAGATCCAGTTATGTGTACTAAAATGTGTGAAAGACGGAGGAGAAACAGGATTTGTGTAGTATGAAAGTATATCTTCCAAAATGTATACTGACTATAAAGGTAAGTAGGTTTTACAGCAGAAAACCTTGCCAGACATCACCTTACCCACATGATCAAGATTAACATTGCCAGTAATGAGACATATCAACATATGGACCCCTTGATACAATGCACTAGAAAGGAAATCCAGTCATAAGTAAACATCAAACCCAAATTGAAGGATCATCTAAAAATTAATGAATCAGTATTCTTCAAGGGTGATAAGATCATAAAAGAGAAGGAAAGACTGAGAAACTTTCGTAGAATAGAATAAATTAAGAATAAATCACAACTAAATACAGTGTGGGATGCTGGATAGGCTATTGGAACATATAAAAGGACATTAATGGAAAACTTGGTGAAATTTGAATGTCTACAGTTTGGTTAATAAAACTGTGCCAATGTTAATTTTCTGTTCTTGATGGTTGTACTATGGTTATGTAAGATGTTAGCCTAAGGGGAAGCTGGATGAGGGGAATCTGAAAACACTGTTTACCATCTTTGTCATTTTTGTAATTTTTCTGAAGTTTAAATTAGCTCAAAGTAAAATTTTTTAAAGAAATGCAATTAAAGATAGTTTATCAATCTCAAAATGCAGAAGAAAGATAATAAAACAGTATGTAAATGAATGTTGAGTGTCACATTAGAGCAGCTGAGTAACACATTAGAGCAGAAAATACTGATAAATTACTTCCTCTGATAAATAACAAAATTCTCAGTCACACTGGACTTTTGTTATACTTGAAAATATTGCTATGTTTTTGAAGTGCCTGTTTGTAGATAGTAGAGGCAGAACCATTAAGACACAATATTCATAATCTCACTTTCCCTATGAGAAGCATATTCAGGCAGTTATTTCATAGGTGCGTATTTAGGTCTCTATATTGGGGTCCTGTAATAACTTAATTTTCTTTTTAATTTCTGTATTTCTTTAGTGTTGGTCATGTATTACATATTTGCCAGATTCTGACGGCTATAACAGTAAATAAAAAAATATTGTGTTACTGAAAATTCTAAAAGGGCACATATAGTATAATGACAAAATAAAAAAAAACTGTCAGTGCAAATTATTTGCAAAAACAAGAGAAGAATAACTAGAATTATTGATGAGTATATATATTTCATCCACATTCCATAGCTTTATAAGCATATATATTCAATAATATATTTTCCTATATATATTTTCAATAATATACTCTAAAAAAAAAAGAGTCTCCCTCTATTACTCAGGCTGGAGTGCAGTAGCATGATCTCTATTCACTGCAGCCTCCACCTCCCAGGTTCAAGCGATTCTCCTGCCTCAGCCTCCCGATTAGCTGGGATTACAGGTATGCACCTTCACACCTGGCTAATTTTTTTATTTTTAGCAGAGACGGGGTTCTGCCATGCTGGCCACGCTGGTCTCAAACTCCTGACCTCAAGTGATCCACCTGCCTGTGCTTCCCAAAGTGCTGGGATTACAGGCGTGAGCCATCGCACCCAGCCTATACTTTCAACAATACAATATTTTATGGCTAGTATTGCACAACAATGTATCTGTAATACACAAATAACCCAAACTTAAATTTTTTCATTGGCAACACATTTTAGTAAAAAACGCAAACTAAAGATGAATATCATTTGGCCATACTACCAGCAAAAGGTAATGCAAAGTTAACAGACCCTTTGTAGCTTGATTTCTCTTATCTGTATTTGGGAATATCATTCCTAACTCCCTTGTATTTATAAGAAAAATTCAGACTAATAGTAGAAAGAAAACTCAACTGCTATACTTTTGAGAGTCACAAAATTATTAACTTGTAGCATGAGTATTCTCTCTCCAATAAAAGATTGGAGTTCTAATTTTATTACTGAAATAGAACTTTCTTTTTCTAACTGGCAGTGAAGATACGTTACAGGAAAACAATGGAGCTAGTTTCTATTCTTGCTGGTGCTGTTTGATGGTAATGAGGGTGAATATAAAATTATAAATATGATATAAATATTAGATGAGAAATAGTGATGTTACCATTATTCAAATTATCTTTCATTATTTTCAGCTAATTTTTTATAGTCCATGCTTGAAATAGCATTATTCAATCTACAATATACACTAATTGAAACTGTGTCAGCAGTTAGCATTCTATGAAGCAGTCTAACTTTCAGGGGCTTTAATTTTAGCTGTCTCAATCCTTTTGCATCAATACTTTCCCTATGAGTTTTTAACTGTATACGCAGTGTGGTAGATGAATGCTATTATTCCTATTCTCAGAACTGAGAGGGCAGACTAAGGAAGAAGATTGTGTTTGCTTGATATTTGTTTTCTGTTACCAATATTTAACATCATTATATTAGTCTGTAGTTGTGTTGAAGTGAAAGATAAGAAGCTTTTTTACATAATTTTAAAATTATTTTCTTTTTACTTTCTGATAACAGACTATTTCATTCTCAGTGGCCTTGAATGCACTAGAAACCTCAACATATGGTTAGACTAAACTTGCCTTCCATAAATCTTTTTTTTTCTTGTGTTCTTATAATTGCTGTAAGAATTAAAGTTCAACTAAATAGTAAATACTACATCAACTAAATACTCTCCGTTGTGATATCTAGCCACCTACCTTATAAATTGCATAAATTAAATACAGAAGTACTTCTAAAAATCATGCAAAGCATATGTGTTTCCTTAGATAGACATCCTTGGCCAGTCTCTTTATATTTGTACCCAGAAATTGTTCATACATATAAAATGTAAATCACAGTATTATAAAAGTTTTCCCTAGCACATAGAACCCTTTTGTGTCACACTACAAAGTAAAAAGAAGTAGTGGTCTACCTAAAATATAGTACATGCTATCTTTAAATCATCACAGAATATGAGAGAACTCAACCCATGACATTATCAAAACGTCAGCCCTTTCCCTTTCCCAAGTGATCAACAAATCTTGTCTGTGTTAGAACATACTTAAGAATTCCTAGACTAATCCTCATGATTTCTCATCTAATCAGTCTTACCTGTGATTATACCAAGACCCAATTTCTAGTTATTAGATCCCCTTATTCTTTGAAATATTATTCCCCTACTTCTACCCTTGTAGATAACAGCTTTTCAGATATTATCTAGAGTGTTGGTTTCTTTCAACTAGATTTGAGTTTATTTATTAAACTTATTCTTTCTTCTGCTTCATAATTCAAGTATCCTTTTTAGTCCTTGTATTTTACATGCTCATGATTTCTTTGAAAATATTATTCTTTTAAAACAAAACTCTCAAGGTATATCTTTGGTTATCTTCATTTTTCTTCTTTTTAAAAGTAATAATAATAATAAACTCAAGGAATGAACTTAACTCCAAATAAGTATCCCTCCTGTCAAAAACTGAGAAGATCTGAGATTTACCGTTCTTGCAGGCTAACGTGGTTGCCTGCCACAATTTCATGTTTGCTGGCAAACAGGCCTGAGCCAAGAGACAATGGATTTTCTTAATCATGGCCAGTAAGCAACATGAGCATCAGCATATTTGCATCCTAGCCCACAAGCCTCACAGGGCAACACAGATGAGCCCGCATGAATGCCTGCCTACACACACAGTAGACTCATTAAAGGAGAGAAACACTGAGGTTTTGGCCTCAAGATGTCTTCCTTCATGAGGAAGCTCCAGAGGTGATTCTGAAAGACAGAGGTAAGTACAGTCCTTTCTTTACCTATGCTTTCAAGGGTCTCCTAGCACTAAGATTGTTATCCTTCTGCCATGACAAAATTCAGCTGTCCTAGTCCCTAGCTTTCGATACAACTTTTTCCCAATCATTTTTCATTCAAATCCAGCCATTTAATTAGATCTCAGTTTAATGCAAGATCATCTTTAGGTTCAAGGAAGATCATCTTCTAGCCTAAAAGTGATCTTTCTTTAACCTAATGAAGAAAGTATGCAGAAACCAATTATGTCTCTCACTTTGGCCCATATGTTCCACTACAGGGGGAATCAACGAGCAATACATTCAACCAAATAGTCAATACCCATATGGTCTGTGACTAAGCCAATCTAACAAGAGAATCTTAGTGTCTGAACCAGAATCAAATGTGAGTTATTTAGACCCTCGTGGACAGGCTTTCACCCAGAGGAACTAGGTTGCCTGGGGTTGCTGTTAGGAAAATGAAATAAGTACCATGGCCAGGAATAATCAGGGGGGGATTCCCAAAGTTTCAACATAGATCTACATAACCCCTTCCCTTTCATTCTGATCATTATCCAGAAGTGGCTAGGAGGAGATAACTTCTTTCTGAGAATAGTCACATTGAGTCAGCAAACTGCCTTGTTAAGTAGAAGGTAGAGTTAGAAAACTTTTTAAGTCAGTTTTTAAGGAGGCTATTTCAACTATTAACAATATCATATGATAAGGAGCATTGAAAGTCCACTAATTACTTGAGTTATCCATTGTCGGATTGCAAATGATCCAGAAATCTGAAAATATAACATAGGTTAGTTTCGAAGGCCATGATGGTATGACTAGAGTCATTTGGGTCAGACTACAAGGACAAAGCAATAAGCAAAAAAAGTAAAAATGGCAGCAAGACATCACTGATAACCAGCATGGGGTCAAAGATCCATGAAGTCAAACTGTCACAAGTTGGCACAGACAATGCCCTGTGCCATACAGCCTCTCTCCGTGAGAGACAATTAGGTCAAACTTTATCAGGGGTCACAAGTATGAGTTCAGTGGCAGCCTCTGCATCATAACTATGCAGACTGTAATGTGCCCATTCTACTTTAATTGTGGAAGTGTTGCCATGTTCAGCACAATGATGAATCTTTGTAGCAACATTGGGAATCTGGGTGACGCAGGATCAATCAACAGATTGATTGCAGTTAGTCTCATTAGAAAACAAGCCTTAACCATGGGCATTTATATGAGTAATCCAGAAAATTAATCAGCAACCTTTGTTTTCACAGTTCATGGCCTCAAAATGGGTGTTTTTTATTCATCGCTTATAGTTTTCCAAGTGGCAGACTAAAGAGCTGGATTCAGTAAAAATATACTGAAGTTTATCAAAGGGAGCATTGGCCAAATCTATGAGAATGACTTTCTATACTGCCTACAAAGTAAAATGCCCGTGACTGGTTTTAATCCTGCATAGTTAGTGTTAACATTGAATATCTGCACAACCCAGAGGATACTGTCAGCTTCCAACTTTGCTCAATCATCAGTGAATTAGGCCTAGCATTTAGGGGAACTTCTGTGATTCAACGGCCCCACTGAGATAGCAGCTTGCTTTGCTTCAGACAGCAAGGTTGGGGATAAGGTTCCCATGAAGAGATAGCTGCTACTTTTTCATATAAAAGAGAGACATTGCTAGGGCCAGGCCAGCTGCATTTTTTAATATGTTACTGCATTAGAAGACAGACTTATTAGACCCTTCCCACCTTGTTAGTCATGGCAACTGAATTAACCACCCAAAAACGTATTATCAGACCAGAGAGTTATAAGGTAGGTCTGGATTAGACATTCAGTTTTGACAAAAGCCTAATAGCAAGGTAATAGCTAAGCTTTGTCATGCAGGCAAGAAGTTCCAAACCCCAAAGGGAGCCTCCAGAAAGGTATTTATTCCCTTTGCCAGTGGCTCTAACTAGCAAAATCATTAGTCACAGAAACTTGTGCCTCAAAAGCATCATTAGAGCTGTAGATCCCTGAGGGTATTAGCTCTTTTCTATATACAGTTTTCCAAATTGGTATAATCTATTATGACACTTACAGGACAGGGAACTATAAGTATATAACACTTCATTTCCTACTATACATTCTGAGGTGTAAACAACAACAGTACACTGATTTAGCCCAAAGAGCTGCACCCATAGGGTCGCACTAGCTTCTCTTTCCCACTCTAAACCTTCCCCACAGCCTATTGGTTGAATCTAGGCACTCTTTCACCTATTAAACTAGATAGAATATAACTTGGTTATTAATGTGCTAGATAACAGAGTAATAAAAGTTTAAGTATCCTCATTTCCCGGTAACATCTCAGTACACTTGAATAGGTGCATAGTGACTTTGCCCCAGTATACTCATAGAGTTGTATATGGACTTTATTCCCCTTGGGTATAGGGGAATCAGAGCCACCTTTAATCATCTTTCTCCTAGTAGCTAAGGTCAAGGCACAGGAATGAATTGGAGGTGGCAAATGGAAACCTTTTTTTAGAACCATTTCAAACTGTTTCACTGTAAAAGTAATATAGGGTAAACATCTTATGGGATATACTTGCAAAAGAATGTTTATTTGGTTTAAGATAAAAAAGATTTTAGGAGTTTAGAAGATGATACAAAGAGCTTTAACAATACAAGCTTTGTAGTAATACACTAGAGATTCTGGCATAGAGTAGGTTATAGATTCAAAGACTAGACAAATAAATAACAAATAATAAAATTACATGTATTATCTATTATTATGTTACATCAAAAACAGGTAGTCTCACATAGATCAGTGGAATAAAATAAAGAACCCAGAAATAAAGTGACATATTACAACCAACTGATCTTTGACAAAGTCACAAAAATAGACACTGAGGAAAGGAAACCTTATTTCAATACCTGGTACTGGGGAAATTGAATCTTCACATGCAAAACAATAAAACTGGACCCATACCTCTCACCAGATATGAAAATTAACTCAAGATGGATTAATGACCTAAATGTAAGACACGCAAGTATAAAAATCTTAGAAGAAAATCTAGGAAAAGCTCTTCTGTACATTGGCCTAGGCAGAGAATATATGAATACCTCAAAAACAAATGCAGCAAAAACAAAAACAGACAAATGCAACTTAATTAAACTAAGAAGCTTCTGCACAGTAAAAGAAATAGTCACCAGAATAAACAGACAACCTACAGAATGG
Organism: Homo sapiens; assembly: GCF_000001405.40. Taxonomy (NCBI): domain Eukaryota; kingdom Metazoa; phylum Chordata; class Mammalia; order Primates; family Hominidae; genus Homo; species Homo sapiens. The sequence goes on along the minus strand of NC_000004.12, from coordinate 159,983,508 downwards.
GAAAAAAAATTTGCATACCCTGTATCTAATAAATGGCTAATATCCAGAATCTGTGAGGAACTCAAACAGCTCAACAAGAAAAACAAAACAAAACAAAAACATGAAAAAGGGGGCAAAGGACACAAACAGGCAGTTTTCAAAAGAAGACATACAAGTGACCAAAAAACATATGAAAAAAATGTTCAACCTGAGTAATTGTGAGAGAAATGCAAATTAAAACCACAATGAAATACCATTGTATACCAGTCAGAATGGCTATTATTAAAAAGTCAAAAAACAACAGATGTTGTTGAAGATGAAGAGAATATGAAACACTTATACAGTGCTAGTGGGAATGTAAATTAGTACAACTTCTATGGAAAATGGCATGGAGATTACTCAGAGAATTAAATTATAACTACCAGTTGATTCAGCAATCTCACTACTGGGTATCAAATCAAAGGTAAAGAAATCATTATTTAAAAAGATACTTGCACTCATGTGTTTATCACAACACTATTCACAAGTGCTAGTTATGGAATCAACCTAAATGTCCATCAAAAAAGAATTGAATAAAGAAAATGTATATATAGGCTGGGTACTGTGGCCCATGCATGTAATCCCAACACTTTGTGGGGGCCGAGGAGGGCAGATCACTTGAGGTCAAGAGTTCGAGACCAGCCTGGACAACATGGTGAAACCCCATCTCTACTAAAAACACAAAAATTAGCTGGGCATGGTGGCGTGCACCTGTAATCCCAGCTTCTCTGGAGGAGGCTGAGGCAGGAGAATTGCTTGAACCTGGAAGGCGGAAGTTGCAGTGAGCCAAGAACGTGATACTGAACTCCAGCCTGGGTGCCAGAGCAAGACGCCATCTGAAAAAAAAAATTAATTTAAAAGAAAATGTATATTTACACACACGTAATGGTGTGTGTGTGTATATATATATATATGTATATATACACACACATACATATACATGTAATGGTATATATATACATATATACACACATTTAATGGTGTATATATACATACACATGTAATAGTATATGTGTATGTAATACTACTCAGCCATAAAAATGAATAAATTTATGTCTTTTGCAGCAACATGGATGAAACTGGAGGCCATTATCCTAAGTGCCATCACTCAGAAAAAGAAAGTCAAATACCACATATTCTTGCTTATAAGTGAGAGCTAAACAATTGGTACACATGTGCCTACAGAGGGGAATAATAGACATTAGAGGCTACAAAAGGTGGGAGGGTGGGAGGAGGGTGAAGGTTGAAAAATTACTTGTTTGGTAGAATGTTCACTGTTCTGCTGAGGGGTACACTAAAAGGCCAGACTTCACCACTATACAATACGAGCATGTAAGAAATATGCACTTGTACCCCTTAAATATATAAAAATTTAAAAAAATGTAGTCTCTGTGTAGCATTAGATTTGAATTTTTACTTCTTTTAAAGCAGGAAACCACACATAACTTTGATAAACTGGAGAGTTGCTTTATAGCACCTACGTTTAAGGATGAAGTTACATCTAGCTATTCCTTCACTAGAACAACTGCTTAAAAACTACTTAGCCAGCATTAAAACCCACTCAAGTGATCTACAGATAGTTCACAAATCTCCCTAAACCAATATGTCCCCCGACACCTCAACCCCCGAGACTGCAAAAAAACAGAAGAAGGAAAGAAGGGAGGGAGGGTTTAGGTTTACAAAAATCCTTTTAATGTAAAACATTCTCATCTACAATAATTTCATTTATGCATATCAACCCCTAAAGATAAGCAAACTGAGTGAAGGTTAAAATACAAAGAGAAAGAGCAAAACATTGATTGATTGATTGATTGATTGATCTGTTTATACTGCTTGTGTTAAGGTAAAAATAGTATGAGTGTAAAAGGTAGCATAATCTTCTCATTACTTCTACCACTTTGGCAAAATTGGTGTGACAGAAAAGAACAAAGAAAGGATTGTGTACATAGCATGAATTTTGGCTTTATGAATAAAAGTCTATTAGCTTTATAGAAATAGCTGTGTAGGTGTATTCAAGAGAATTGAACTATGTTCACATAAAAAGAAATGGTGAATGGTGTTTTTCTAAATGCGAAACTATGCAGAATCCTGCTTTGCAATACCAGGAAATCTGCAAGGGGAGTGCTGAGATCAATGTCATTATCCAGAAGGCATTACTGAAATAGAGTTTAAATCCTTTGATGTAATTGCTTGCTGAGTTTGCCATTACTGCAGCTCTATCCCTTTGACTGATTGAAGGCCTTTAACAGCCCCAGTTTTACTGAGACTGCCAACATACTCATGTTGGAATCTTAAAGTTAGACAGATGTTTGATGTTTAATTTAACTAATATGGCACACCATGAGTCAACAAAACACATTTTGTGTTAATGCCAAAAAAAAAAAAAAAATTAAAAGGTGAGGGACAGGAATACGTGCAGAGTTAATCTTTCTGTTTCAGCAGAGAAGCCTTTGCTTTAGAATTATTAACACGAATTCTGATTTGAAAACCCTATGGCATTTTCCCTGCCCCTTGAGAAAAGCAGTCTTGATTCCACTGGAGCATTTAGAACCAGAACTCAATGAATAAATTAACAGTGCATAAAATCCTCAAATGAAGTGTAAAGAGCAATGAGGTGATTTTTTTTTTCATTTAGACAGTCCCTATTTTCCATGATTCCTTGAATAATTCCAGTTGTTTGTAATGCCTCTCTTTTTTTTTTTTTTTTTGACAATCTACAACAAAATAGCTTGTCTTTAGGTTTTCTCTCTTGCTCAAGAAAGAAGAATTTGGCCCTAAGGAGAGAATTTTATTCATATTTTCATTATGTATTGTGGTTAATATAAAACAAACAAACAAACTATATTCAGCACCTTCTAGTAGAAGATATTTCTCCCTCTCAAAAAAGAAAAAATGGTGGCTATATATTTTGTTTAAGAATATGGCTAATGCTAATAGCTTCTTTAATTAATATTATTTTCCTAACATCATTTTGAGGAAAAAAGCCTGAAGATTACTTTTTAATGTGATTTTAGCTAAAGCAAGACTGTCTCAATCCCTTGGCCTTTTCGACCTCAGTTTTACAGTTTTACAGTAATAATACAGTTGTACAGAAATAATATATACTGGTTGTAAGGCAGGTAGTGGTAGCAGTGGTTATAGAATTTGAAACCACATAACTTGCAGTGTATTTTTACCAATATTATATTTTGGCTTTTGTGACAACTTTATGACCTAGGTAGAGGATCTATCATTATCCCATTGTATAAATAATGAAACCGAGGCCAGAAAATTTTGGTGACTTTTTAACCACTATAAAGTAACAACTTTAGGTCACCAGGAGGTCATCAAATTTAGGTCATCTGTGACTGGCCTTATTCAGTCTCCAGCTCCTCTAGAAGTCAAACTGATACCATATGGCCAAAAACTCCCTACCAAAAAGCACATTGTTAGCATAAACTATCTGGCATGGCCCAAGACTCCAGGTAACACACTGATATGGTTTGAGTCTGTATCCACACCCAAATCTTATGTTGAATTTTAATCCCTAGTGTTGGAGATGGGGCCTGGTAGGAGGTGATTTAGTCATGGAAATGAGTTTCCCCCTTTTGGTACTATAGTTGTGATAGAGTTCTCAAGAGATCTGATCACTTAAAAGTGTGTAGCACATCCCCCTCTCTCTGTTCCTCCTGCTCCATGTGAAGATGCCTGCTCTGGCTTTGCCTTCTGACATGAGTAAAAGCTCCTTGAGGACCCTCCAGCCATGCTTTCTATATAGCCTGCAGAACCGTGAGCTAATTAAATCTCTGTTTTGTAAATTACCCAGTCTCAGGTATTTTTTTATAGCAGTGCAAGGATGGACCAAGGCACAAAGACATCCTCATCAAGCCAGATATTCCAAGGGCTTAGAAGTTATTTCCCAGGAGCTGGTCAAGGGCCAAAACTTTCTTTGGAATGTGTAGGGTTGGTACAATCCAGACATGCTCACTAATCCTTACCCCTAATTAGTTTGTACATTACATTTCTAATAATGTTTTCAAAATATACCTTCCATTCTAATTAAAAATGACACAGGGCAGAGATGATTTTTTTAAAAAGCCAGTTTTGCTTGACAAAAGTGCTTAGAAGTTTAAAGTACTAGAAATCATGGATTGAAAAGATGAATCATGAAAATAATATAGGATAAGAGAAATAAAGAATAGAGTCATTTCTCAGTTTGTGTCTTTTTAATTATATTCTTTTGATATTTGGGGGATAATAGGTTTTTTTGAACCTAGGAAGTAGCAACTTTATTATATTTCTCTAAATTCTGCTTGATTGATGAGTAGTTCCTTTTTTATTATTTCTCTATATCCATAACTTATCATAGGTGGCTTTAAAAAAAATTGACATTTTCAACCTTCTGCTTAGCAATTTTCTTAACCAACTATGGCATTTTGTTAGGCATAATTTTATTTTTGCAACATTACTGCAGTCAATAGTTTTGCCAGACTTTCAGGCCACTACATAATGGGCATCCTCTCTTTTCTCCAGACTTCAGTTACAAAATCTCGCCGTCATCAGCCTTCACTGAGTCTCCTAAGACACTCTCAACTACTGCTCTCCTACTGGTCCCAAAACAATGCCACGTTATAGTTTTTGTTATGGTAACACTTCAACTTCTGGTGCTAATTTCTATTCAGATTAGCTTTTGTTGCATAATAAACCAGCTCAAGACTTGGTGTCATAAAGCAATTTATTATTACTCCTGGTTCTGTATATTGACTCCAGTTGGTTGAGTGGTTCTAGCTTGGAATTTATTATGCAGTTGTGGTTAAATGCTTGCTGGGGCTACAGTCATCTGAAATCTGACTGGGCTGAATGTTAAAGATTGCTTATTCCCATAATGGAAATTAATGCTATCTATGAGATGGAAACTCATTGAGGCCTGTGTTATGGATTGAATGTTTGTGTCCCCCAAAGTATATGTATGGAAGCCCTAACCACCAACATGATGGTATTTGGAGATGGATGCTTTGGGAGATCATTATACTTAGATGATTTCATGAGGGTAGGGCCCTGGGTAGTATGGGATCATTACCCCCAGAAGTGACACCTGAGTGCTTTCTTTCTTTCTCTTTCTGTTATAAATAAAGTTTCAGTGCTGCAAGTCTCAGCAAGGCAAGGTACTTCTATAGAAGTGTGTGCCCTTACAGATGAAGCAATGGTGAGCGCACACTTGGACAAGGGAGGGAAAGAGGTTCTTACCCTGACGCATGTGGGCCCTGCTGCTGTGTCGTTCCCCTATTGGCTAGCGTTAGACCACACAGGCTAAACTAATTCCGACTGGCTAATTTAAAGAGAGTGACGGGGTGAGTGGTTTGGCGGGAAAAATGCTTATGCAGGGTGGAGAATGAGTCAGGGTGGAGCACATAGCAGATAATCGGAATGAGTTAGGGTGCAGAAGGTAACAGGAATGAGTCAGGGTGGAGTAGATGATTGAAATGAGTCAGGGTGGAGCAGGTAATCAAAAAAGGTTGCTTTATGAGGAAGTTTAAAAGTAGAAGGCGAAGAATTGAACATACTGACATATTGATTCTTTGAAAAGAAATTTAGAACTCATATCTAACACTCTCCCTCTCTTTTTCCTCTCTCTCTCTTTCCTCTCCCTCTCTCTTCTCTCTCTCTCTCTCTCCTTTCTCTCTTTCCTCTCTCTCTCTTTCCTCTCTTTCTCTCTCTTTCCTCTCTCTCTCTTTCCTCTCTTTCTCTCTCTTTCCTCTCTCTCTCTTTCCTCTCTTTCTCTCTCTTTCCTCTCTCTCTCTCTCCCTGCAAGGTGAAGACACAGTGAGAGGTGGCCTTTGCAAGCCAGGAAGAGAGCTTTCAACAGAACCCAACCATACAGGCACCTTGATCTCAGATTTCCAGCCTCCAGAACTATGAGAAAATAAATTTATTTTATTTAAGCCAACTAGTCTATGGTATTTTGTTATGCAATCCTGAGCAGACTAATAACAGGCTGTCACCTAGAGCACCTGTACATGGACTATCCGTGTAATTTGGACTTCTCACACCATGATATCTTGTGGGGAAAAGAAAGAGAGATCAGACTGTTACTGTGTCTATGTAGAAAGAAGTAGACATAAGAGACTCCATTTTGTTCTGTACTAAGAAAAATTCTGCCTTGAGATGCTGTTAATCTGTAACCCTACCCCCAACCCTGTGCTCGCAGAGACTTGTGCTGTGTTGACTCAAGGTTTAATGGATTTAGGGCCATGCAGGATGTGCTTTGTTAAACAAATGCTTGAAGGCAGTATGCTTGTTAAAAGTCATCACCACTCTCTAATCTCAAGTACCCAGGGACACAATACACTGCGGAAGGCCACAGGGACTTCTGCCTAGGAAAGCCAGGTATTGTCCAAGGCTTCCCCCCTGTGATAGTCTGAGATATGGCCTCGTGGGAAGGGAAAGACCTGACGGTCCCCCAGCCTGACACCCTTAAAGGGTCTGTGCAGAGGAGGATTAGTAAAAGAGGAAGGCCTCTTTGCAGTTGAGATAAGAGGAAGGCATCTGTCTCTTGCTCATCCCTGGGCAATGGAATGTCTCGGTGTAAAACCCAATTGTATGTTCCATCTACTAAGATAGGAGAAAACCGCCTTAAGGCTGGAGGTGAGACAGGCTGGCGGCAATACTGCTCTTTAATGCACCAGAGATGTTTATGTGTGTACACATCAAAGCACAGCACCTTTTCTAACCTTGTTTTTGACACAGAGACATTTGTTCACATGTTTTCCTGCTGACCCTCTCCCCACTATTACCCTATTGTCCTGCCACATCCCCCTCTCTGAGATGGTAGAGATAATGATCAATAAATATTGAGGGAACTCATAGACCGGTGCCTGCATGGGTCTTCCATATGCTGAGCGTGGGTCCCCTGGGCCCACTTTTCTTTCTCTATACTTTGTCTCTGTGTCTCTTTCTTTTCTCAGTCTCTCGTCTGACCTGACGAGAAACACCCACAGGTGTGGAGGGGCAGGCCACCCCTTCAATATCTGGGCTTCCAGAGGGAGCAACTCAAAAGCAAAAATTCCAAGAGGATCAGGGAGAAACTATAATAAGGTTTCTTATGACTTAGTGTCAGAAGTCCCATCCCAGATTCATGAGAGGAAGTGAAAATTAGGCCTCCTACAGATTTAAGAAGCAGAATGTACTTAGAGAGAAGAAATTGTTGGCAGCCATCTTGAAAATGAGCTACCACACTTGGCATCTGTGATGTGGGAATCCATTTTTATTCATTCTCTGGTCTTGGGTGACCTAATTCAGATAAATCTGAGTAACTCCATGATCAGGTATAGGACATAATGCAATGTGTTCTTATGAGATCGGGCAATGGCGAGTTTTGATTAAGGATAAAGAATCAGGTTTAACTGATTTTTCTTCTAAATAGTATATCGAAGAACATTTTTAAAACATGCGTCATATTCACTATTTAGCTTAAGTTTTAGGGTGTTTAGTGCTGTAATATTATCAACAGACTCTATTTCCCATTTTGGTTTAAATACTGTCAGGGGAATCAGAAGTTGTCTCAGTGTCCCATTATTCCATAATGTTTGCTTTTATTTTAGGAAAGTTATCTCTAAATACTAATTTTAATAACAAGGGCTAAAAAAAAACTCTACTTTTAAAAGAAAATGTTTCATTTTACCATTTTATTATTATTCTAAAATGTTATTAATATTCAATAATAATTTTCAAGAAAAGGATTGAGCAGCAGGTCTACAATCCTTTTTGTTTTTCCTGGTGATTGGTGACATTGTAGTAGGAGGACACACCCACAAAGTAATTTTTACTTGCTCGAGGAAAGGTTCTTACCTGTGAATGCTCAGTTCTCTAGAATTCTTTATAGTAAACAAATCTAGCATGTATGGATAATGGTTTCCTGGAAAATATTTTATGTGCAAAGTAACTATCTGTATATAAAATGGAAATGTTTCATGACAGAAGAGGCTCTCTTCTGTGTAAATATTGTATCCCATGTGTATTACTTAGAGACATCACATGCTAAGCTAAGGAGAGAAAGGGACTAGAAATCTGCATTGACAGGATATCTCCCTTCTTTATCTGTACCTCGGGATTACTTGTATCCTTGCAATTGTCAGTAAATTTACTATTGGGTAATATCTTTGATTTCTGTCGAGTACAGCTTGACAATCTGATCCTTTGCATTACCTCAATTATAACATGAACTACCACTTATTGACTGACAGTAGTTCAGTTCAATCTGTTAAAGAATGGTGAAAATATTACTTAATATTTAACAAAAGACAAAGCTCAATTAGTTACTTAGCATATTGAGACAGAGCTAGACCCCTCAGGCACAATGTTCTTTGAGCAGAGAAGACTGCTGATCTTATTCAGGGTTTTGGGAAACACAAAGTGCACTAATGTTTAAAATTCCTAAGGCTTAAGTGGGCTTTTACCCTATATGGAAGCATGGTTGTCGGATTGAGATACTTGTTAATTGGCTGCCATGTTTATTGAAGGAAGTATGTTTCTGATTGCCTGGCTTTCCAAAGCATGGACTATCAATGATTTGTTGACTTTCAGAAGCATATTCACTGAGAAGAATTGGTAGTGATTAACTAAATGCATTTAAACTGTTTCTGGCAGTTATTTGTTACCATGGCTCCAGAAGAGCCTGTCTTTCCCTTGGAGTGTGGGGTCAGTTTTAATTCTCCACTCAAAAAAGAGGGAAGGAAGGAAGTAATCCTACATTTGGGGTTCTGTACCTTGGACGTACGCATTTGCAGGTATCTTTCTGAAACCTATACATTCACCCACGAATGCTATAGCAGGGGTTCAGTGATGTACCTCAAGCCATTCCTAGATGTACCTCCAAATATTAAATATACACATATATTTATTGTATATTTTTATACAAGTAAGATAGCCAACTACCATAGCAATGCCCCCTTAAAAAATGAGTTGCTGAATATAAGGAACGTTGAAGCATTTAAAGTGTTAGAACTGACTCAAGAGATGAATGCATAATTGAAATTCAACCTGCCACAAAAGAAGCATTGAATTTTACAAGAAACGTGAGAGAACTTAACATCTGTAAGTAAACAATTTGCTAAGTAAACAATTCTACTGAAAATGTTTAGTGCTCATTAGGGTGGGTGCTAATCCAATATGACTAGTGTCTTTAAAAAAAGGGGTAATTTGGACACAGAGACAGACATGCTATAGGGAGAATGCCATGTGAAGATGAGTACAGAGATTAGGGTACTTTTACAAGCCAAATAATTCCAGAGATTGCCAGCAAACCACCATAAATTGGGGTAGTGGTGAGAAAGAGATTCTTGGAACAGATTACTGCACACAGCTCTCAGAAGGAACCAACCCTACTGACACCTTTATTTCAGACTTCCAGCCTGCAGAACTGTGATACAATAAATTTTACAGTTTAAGTCACCCAATTTGTGGTACTTTATTACAGCAGACCTTGCAAATTGTATATCAAAATATAAACAAATTAACAAAGTCTTCCACCTAAAAATCTTCCTTTAACTATTTAATGATAATGAAATCTCACCCCAGGAGTTTCATTCATTTAAATCCAGAATGATGTTACTATTTCTAAACCAATGGCTAAGGAATGGAAATAATTCAAACTATGATAATTTACATATGCTATAAAGCAAACAATTTTCATCTTCTTTCTTGTGAAAAAAATGTGTTTTTTAAAAAAAAATTATTAAGCCCAGAAATGAGAAGTTTATTAGTGTATGGTCCATTGCAAATGCAGATTCAAATTAATTTCACAAAACTTGCTTAATTAAGTCTCACGTTCAAGCCAAGAGACAGAAGCTGTAGGTATGGTTGTATAGTATGGATGTTGTCCCCTCTAAATTGCATTTTGAATTGTACTCCCCAATGTTGCAGGTGGGGTCTGGGGGGAGGTGATTAGATCACGGGGGCAGATTTCTCATGAATAGTCTAGCACCATTCCCTTGGTCCTGTCTTTGCAGTAGCGAGTTCTCATGAGGCCTAGTTGTTGAAAATTGTGTGGCACCTCCTCCAACATCAAATTATTCCTGCTCTTACTATGTGATAGGCTGGCTCCCCCTTTGCCTTCTGCCATAATTATAAGCTTCCTGAGGTCTCACAAGAAGCCAAACAGATGCTCAGTGCCATGTTTTCTGTACTGCCTGCAGAATCATGAGCCAGCTAAAACATTTTTCTTTATAAATTACCCAGTCTCAGGTATTTCTATTGCATTTAGCAATGCAAGAATGGCATAACACAGAAAATTGATATCAAGGAGTGGGGTGTTGCTATAAAGGCACTTAAAAATGTGAAAGCAACTTTGGAACTGGGTAGCAGACAGAGGTTGGAAGAGTTTTGAGGGCTCAGAAGAAGACAGGAAGATGAGGGAAAGTTTGGAATTTCTTACATACTGGCTAAATGATTGTGACCAAAATGCTGATAGTGATATGGACAGTGAAGTCCAGACTGACAAGGTATCAAATGCAAATAAGAAATTTTTTGGAAACTAGAGCAAAGGTCATCCTTGTTATGCCTTAGCAAAAAACTTGGCTGTACTGGGTCCAGACCCTAGGGAATCTGTGGAAGTTTGAACTTCTGACTCACAACCTAATGTGTCTGGCAGAGGAAATTCTAAGTGGCAAAATGTTCAAGAAGTGATATAGCTGCTTCCAACAGTTTTTACTCAGACGCACGAGCAAAGAAATGACTTAAAGTTGGAATTTATATTTAAAGGAAAAGCAAAGTGTGAAAGTTTTGATACTTTGTAACATGGCCACGTGGTAGAAAAGAAGAGCCCATTTTTCAGGGGAAGAATCCAAGTGGGCTGAGGAGCAACCACTTGATAGAGAGATTTACATAACTAAAAAGCCAAGTGCTAATAGCCAAGACAATGGGGAAAAAGGCCTTGAAGACATTTCAGAGATCTTCAGGGAAGCCCCTCCCATCACAGGCCAAAGGCCTAGGAGGAAAGAATGGTTTCATGGGCCAGGCCCAGGTCCCTGTTGCCCAGCACAGTCTCAGGTATTTCTTTATAGCAATATGGGAACAGCCAAACACATGTGGTATACCACTAAGTTTTGTATGTTAATACAAAACATTTTAGAAGTACACAATTAAAATACCTTCAAATAAATACAAACAGATATATAAATACAAGATGAAAGAATAGAGTTCACTATTTCATGTCTTTTAGAATATTTGTCAGTGATCTTTGGGGATTGGTAAGTGAGTGTGAGTCTGTGTGTGTGTGTGTTTGTGTGTGTATCAGGGAAAGAAATAATATGTCTCTGACATAGAGTTTTTCCAAAGCCCTTTTATCAAACCTATTATCATAGAGTGTTAAGGCTCTTCAAACCTATTGACATAGAATTGATTGTTGGCATCCTCATTGCAGTCACAGTCAAGCTTTTGACTACTCGTAATTTATTTCATTTAAATGGAGATTTAAGATAAAAAATTATGTGCCAGAATTATGAGTAAACTAATTTTCTAGTGTAGTTCTATGACTAAATTATTTGATTTATAGTAAGAAATGTCTTGACTACATGTTAGAGCCTCATTTTAAATTTAACTGTCCAGAGAATTTATTTTGTGTCAGGATTAGAAAACACTATACTGTCATTTAAACATAATTGAATGAACTTTTTTTCCTATATTCAAAGGTATATATTTAAAAGCTTCTATGCCAGGAGATTTTTATATTATTTAAAGTGTTTCTTTTATTCTCATTTACATTAACTGAAATTGTAAAACCTTGGCTTATTAAGGGTAGATATACACTGTTTGCTTCCATGTACATGATTTAAGCCAACTCACATAATTTTCAGGATCTTTCTCTCTCTGCTTTAATTTATTTATAATGACACTTTATATTTGCTTTTATTTCTCCATGCTGTGAACTTAAGAGAAGAAACAACACTCTAGACAATAAGGCAGTTACACTTACAGAGATTGGACAATAATAAATACTGGGAAGGCCATTTTTACAATAAACTCCTAACTGGTCCCTCTGCTTCCATTCTTGGCTTTTCAATCAATTCTCAACACAATGGTCAGAGTGACCCTGTAAAAACAAAAGTGAGGTCTTGCCACTAATATGACCCATCCAATTAGCTTTCCATCTCACTCAAAGTAGGAGTCAAAGTAATTACAGTGACCTAAGGGCCCTATATTGGTTGTCACCCGTGCCCTACTCCATTACCTTTCTACTTTCATCTTCTACTGTTGTTTCCCATCTCACTCCATTCCAGCTACACTGACTTTTTGATTGCTCATTTTATTCACCAGATACACTCTCACAGCATGGCCTTTGCATGTGCTGTTTCCTCTCCCTTAAATGTTCTTTTTCATCCACTCATTCAATCTCTCATTTAATTATGTTTATTTATCACTTCTTTATGACATAAGAACTTTTTAGGATCTGGGGATAAAACACTGAACAAAACATTCAAAAATCTCTTTCTTCATGGAGGTTATGTTCTAATGGGATTAGAAAACAAGATTATACACACACATGCACACACACACGCAATGCACATGCACACAAACACCCATATATATGAGAGAGATTATTCTAGACAGTGGTATGTATGAAGAAGAAATAGATTTAAAAAGGAATGGAAGACAGAAAAAAGAAATGAAGAAGGCCTGGAGAAATGTCAGAGTGATCAACTTCTACGAGTCTCTTAAATGTAACAATTTCATTTAAAGCCTTCTCTACACTATTTAATATTGACATCACCATCCCCAAAACATGCACGCATGCATGCACATGCACACACACACACACACACCCCAGTACTATTCATACCTCTTCCCTGAATTATTTTATTCTCTATCGTTTATTACTAACACAGTTAAATTTTTTTCATTTCCTGAGTCTTGTTACCACAATATAATCCCTGTGAAGTGAGAGAGTTCTGAGTATTTTGTCCACTGTTCTATATACCACAACCTAGAGCAAGCCCTGGTTCATGGTAGACGGTCAATAAATATTTGTTGAATAGATGGATGTCCAAATCAAGGAAATATTAAGATAAGATTGAGGAGCAGAAATTACAACATCAAACTGCAGGGTTCAGAGTAATAAATAGAAAACAGTTGATAGAGAAATTACATGATGAACAGTGTGGTCATAGAGCCCAGACCATTATAGGCAGATTTATCACTCCCTATGCATGAGTTACCCTCTCTTTCTTTCCAATGCACTTTAAAGTTCTTTTTCTCCATGGTATTCCAGGAGTACCCACAGCAAACAAATACCAAGGGACTTAAAATATTAAAGGGGCATTTTCACATAAGATTACCTTTGATATGCTTGGAATGAGCATAATTGATATACATCTCCACGGCAATTAAATATACGAAGGATAGGATGACCTTACATGAAGTCCTCCAGGTTCAAATGGCAGAGGTGATAATCCTGGTCAAGCGACAGAGATACACACTTACACTTTAATGATAATTGAATCTTTAGTGTCTTCAGAGGAAGATATATGGCAAATCAGAGACCAATATTTAAATCTTTCTCTGCCTTTTATGTACTCACTTTTTATTCAGTTGATGCCTTAAAATTAATTGAGAGTGCTACACAAACAGGGCATCTTCACACATGTAAGTAAAGCTAGAAACATTTTAGATTAGTATTCAGAGCTATGGATTTATGGAGAGTTTAATTTTAAATTTTAAGTGCCTTACCTTAAGACTATCATAATTATTCTAATAATTAATTGAAAATATTATTTCTTTTTCTACGTTCAGAGTGATTCAGACATTTTTAAACCTATTCAAATGATATTTGTGCACCAGTGTTCACTTAGGGAAGGTTTATTAGGAATATACCTCAATAAAACTAAAATATAAAATAAAATATTTAAATAACTGAAATACATTCAAAATTTTCTGCTCACAAAGTAATTTCCAATTTTTTTCACATTTTAGAAAAGTTCATGTATTTGAGATGTTGAGGCAAAGCATACATTGCTGCATTGTCGAAATCAAATCAGCATTACAACTACCTTCTTCTAGGATTTTCTCTGTGCACCCTAAGGGGGAAGCTAAGAACTACATTCTCTAGAATTTCTGTCTCCATATAGTTCCAGGTTAGAGCCTATCAAGAGACATAAGATTTGCAAAAACTAAAATCAGAAAAGGTCATTATTTTTCAGGGACAGTTGCTGGCAGATGAATGGGAAGACATGATATTTGAAGCAACTCTCAGTTGAGCTCCTTGAGAATCACTGACATCAGTGTGGCAGACTAAGATAGACTTGTCCAACCTTAACACCCCCAGCCCTTTCAATTATAATGTAATCATATAATTTTATATTCTCCTTCATACTTAAATACACAGAGTGACTTTGGTCTCCTTGGCTGAACATTAACTTTGAAAAAAGTATAAATTTACAGATAATTCCAAGAAAAAAAATCTTCCAGTGCTAAATTTTGTGTTTATCTGTTATAATGCCACATACTATTAACAAACTACACAGCAAGAGAATATTTAATAAAATGCTGCATTAACAAAAATGTCAGTAATTCTTGAGCTCCAATTAGATATAATGAACTTCAATATATTAAAATGCTACAAAATTGAAGTTTAAAATGAAATGAAATTAAACTTGCCCTCTTGCCCTAGCAAATATAAAACTGGACAAAATACATGAGACAAGCATTTCCAGGCACAAGAAAACAAGCAAGGTGGGGAGGTGATTCTTGAGACAAAGAAAATTAGAAAATTTAATAGATCAGATTCCTGTTTTCCTTGGAAACTTTTTTTTTCTTTGGCCAGATGACTTTCTGCATCAAAGCACAAAGAAGTGAAACTCAAACAAAGCACAGTAGACAGGCTGAGCTGAGGAGGCAAACAGTGGTGCACAGCCTTCTTAGGAGGCTTAAAATTGTGGTGAAGATTGTCAACAAGAGGTAGAAGCAAAAAGAGGGTGACTAGAAGTCTGTATCTCGCAAGTTGTTTTTGTTGTTCTTGTTTTCTTTTTTTTTTTTTTTTTTTGAGACAGAGTCTTGCTGTCTCCCAGGCTGGAGTGCAATGGCATAATCTCGGCTCACTGCAAACTCCGCCTCCCAGGTTGAAGCCATTCTCCCACCTCAGCCTCCTGAATAGCTGGGATTACAGGCATGCACCACCACGCCCAGGTAATTTTTTGTATCTTTAGTAGAGACGGGGTTTCACCATGTTGGCCAGGCTGGTCTCGAACTCCTGACCTCATGATTCCCCCCGCCTCAGCCTCCCAAAGTGCTAGGATTACAGGCGTGAGCCACTGCACCCGGCCCACAAGTTTTTTACAAAGGACTGGGCTGTGCAAGTTCTTTGTCAAGATTATATGAATAACAAGGCTTAATCATAGAACTGTACAGCTGATAGCTAACAATATATACAATGAAAATGATTATGCAGTTCAGAGTGCTTGGAAACTTTGCAGTGAAGCCCGAGTACTCAATTGAGATCCTCAAAAAGGCCATGCCTTAAGAGTAACAACTATGACCTAAACTTAGAGCCATACCCTGTGACTAAGGTCAAAACTTAAAGAGACCACAAATAATAAGAAAAGAAGCCAAGCCTGACAAGATTAGAAAGACCCACAAGTAATTTATCTGGTTTCCAGGAAAACAAACAAATAAATATCATTTAGAGGGCAATTAATCAAGACCCCCTACAATAAACCATTTAAAATGTTTATCATATAATTAAAATGACTAGCTATATGAAGAAGTAGGACAATGTGACACATAATCAAGAAAACAGGCAATTAGTAGAAAGACGACGCAGATATGGCAATCAGCAGACAAGGACTATAAAATAACTTTTAGAAACATGTTAAAGAATTTAAACTAAAAGACAGGATGATAACATCAGCAAGTTGGCTGACTAGAGGTGCCTAGCACGTGTTCTCCCAACAAAATAGTACCAAAATAGCTAATAAACAGCTATATCTTGATTAAAATATCTGAGGGAGAATGCTGGAGTGCAGCAGGAGAATGGCAGAGACATTGTGGAACATGAAGATTCAGGATGGCTGCTTAGAGAAAGGAGCAAAGCACCACCCTGCTCCCACCTCATCTCTCCCGTCAGCTTGGAGCCAGGAAGGACTTCACTGTGTGGGGAGAAGATAATCAGGAGCCCCCAGGATCCCCCATTAATGCTGTGAATCCTTGCAATCTCTGCTGCTGGAGAATCCTGCATCTCTTATAGCCCTAAGCCTGTTTTAGGTTGCTGCAAGAAGCTCTCCTTGCTGCATTGTTTTAGAGAAGGAGCCCACATTGTGCTTGCTGCCCTGCAATGACCCAAAGAGCTGCCATAAGGCACCATTTCAAAACTGCAACCACAGCTAGAATGTGTCCTGCTCTGAAGACCAGTAGCAATTGTATCTTTCTGAACTTGAGGCTCTACTCCCATTACATCATGCTCACAGCTGATAGCTCAGCATTCCCAAGCTCAGCTGCTACAGCTCTCTAACCCTTGAGAGAAACCTAGGAGGTGCTCTATATTTCCTATTCCAAGGGATACAGCACGATGATCCTGGCCACTCAGAGACTAGATTCATGGAACAGCTGTTGCCTCGGTGCCCTACCCCCAGGGGAGCAGTGTCCAAGCAAAGCCACCAGCTGATCAGATCCTCAGTTCCTTGGAATGCAGACCGGACTGGCACCATTTCCCAGGGAAGCACTTGCCTAAGCCAAACCACAGGCTGATCAGCTCTGTGCTTAACGGAACACAGACCCCCCAGTGCCCTTCACCCAGGGAAGCAGTGCTCAAATCCAGCTACAGGTTGACAAGCTGCTCACTTTCTCTAAAAGTGGACCAGGCCTGTGCACCAACCTCAGGGGAGCAGTAACCAAGCTGAGCTACCAGTTGATCTTCCCTGCACTTCCCCCGCTCTGCACTGCCCCCAGGGAAGTAGTGCTTGATCTGAGCCACTCGCTGATGAATTCTGCACTTCCACAGAGCAAGGACCAGCTCACCAACCTGTGCCCAGGGTAGCAGAGCCCAAAAGACAAACCAGCAACAAAAATCTCTGCAGACTAAGCCACTGAAGCACTTATAGCCATTACATGATGTTATCAATAGCTAAAGAAACTGCACAGACAATACTGCTGCAACCAACAAGAACAAAGCCAACACACCCTACCCAACTGACACCCTCAGCCAAATCTACCCATGAAAGTCCTTTCCCACAAAAGCCAGTCTACAAAACTGGGGTACTGTTCCATCAGATGCACAAATATCAACACACGAGTACAAGAAACATGAAAAAGCAAAGAAATATGACATCACTAAGAAGAATAATTTTCCAGTAACTGACCTAAAAAAACTGAAATTTACAAACTGCTTGAAAATGAATTTAAAATAGTCATCCTAAGGAAACTTAGATAACAAGAGAATGCAGATAAATAATTCAACAAAATCAGGAAAAGAATTTATGATATTAATAGAAATTCAATAAAGAGATAGATATCACTAAAAAGAACCAAAGAGAAATATTGGAGCTGAAGAAGTCAATGCATAAAATAAAAAAATATATAATTGAGAGCTTCATCAACAAACTATATGATACAGGAGAAAGAATTTCTGAACTTGAAAAGAGGTCTTGTGAAATAACCCAGTGAAACAAAAGAAAAGAAAAATGAATGAATAACTCCTACAGGACTTATGGGACAAAATTAAGTGATCAAACTTTTGCATTATGGAATTTGTGTTACGGACATTGCATTATGCAGGAGAAGAAATGGGAAGGGCACAGAAATAACCTATTTAATAAAATAATAACTGAAAACTTCCCAAGTCTTGGGAGGCATATGAACATCCAGATTAAAGAAGCTCAAAACTCCCTAAATAGTTTCAACTCAAAAAGGTACTCTATAGGGGAAGTTATACTCAAACTGTAAAAGTAAAAGACAAAGAAAGTATTCTAAAAACAGCAAGAGAAAAGCATCAAGTCACATATAAGAAAATCCTCATCAGACTAACAACAGATTTCTCAGCAGAAACATTACAGGCCAGAAGAGAATGAGATGATATATTCAAATTGCTGAAAGAAAAACAAAGCTGTCAGCTAAAAATACTACACTCAGAAAGTCATCCTTCAGAAATGAAGAAGAAAGACATTATTTCCCAGACAAACAAAAACTTAAAAATTCGTCTACACTAGACTGGCTTTACAGGGAATACTAAAAAGAGTCCTATATCCAGAAGTAATAGGGCAATAACTACTGTCACAAAAACGTACAAAAGCATAAAACTCACTAATAGAGCAGATATACAAATGAAAAAGAGAAAAGAATAAAATTCTATCATTACAGAAAACCAAAACATCAAAAAGATAAACAATAAGAAACTATAAAAAACAACTAGGAAACAAATAACAAAATTACAGGAGTAGATCCTCGTTTATCAATAATAATCTTGAATATGTACAGAATAAATTTCCTATTTAAAGATCAAAATTGGCTGAATTAAAAAAAACTCAGCTATATGCCACCTACAAGAAAATTATTCACTTGTGAAGACACACACAAATTGAAAGTGAAGGGATGAAAAAGATACTCCACACAAATGCAAAGCAAAAATGAGCAGGAGGCTATACTTATACCAGATAAAGTAGACTTTGTCAAAAACTGTAATGAAACAAAGAAGGCCTATATAATGATGAATGAATCAATTCAGCAATAAGGTATAATAATTATAAATATATATGCACCTGATGTTGGAGCACCCAGATGTATAAAACAAATGTTATTAGGTCTAAAGGGGGAGATAGATCCTGCTTTAATATGTGGGGACTTCAATATCCCACTTATCATACTGGAAAAAAATTATCTGAAGGGAAAATTAATAAGAAAATATTGGACTTAAACTGCATTATAGACCAAATAAACTCAACAGGTATTTACAGAACTTTTCACCCAACAAAGACAGAATGGACATTCTTCTCATCAGCACATGGAACATTCTCCAGAACAAACAATATTCTAACCACAAAACAAGTCTCCACAAATTAAAAATAATCAAAATCATATGAAGTATCTTTTTGTGATTACAATGGAATAAAGGTAGAAATCAATAACAAGAGGAACTTTGGAAACTGTACATATACCTGGATTTTAAGCAATTTGTGCCTGGATGACCAATGGGTTGAAATGTAAATTAAGAAGAAAATTTAAACATTTATTGAAGCAAATGAAAATAGAAAAGAAAAAGCATAACAAAACCTATGAGATACAGCAAAAGCAGTACTAACTGCAAACTTAATAACAATAAACGCCAACATCAAAAAGTGGAAAGATTTCAAATAAATAATCTAATGATTCATTTCAGGGAACTAGAAAAGCAAGAACAAAGAAAATCCAAAATTAGTAAAAGGAAATAAATAATAAAGATTGAAGCAGAAATAAAGTACTAACTAAAAAATAAAAGACAATTAAACAAAAAGTTGTTTTTTAAAGGAGATAAGCAAAATCAACAAACAATTAGCTAAGAAAAAAAGAGAGAAAACCCAAATAAATAAAATCATAAGTAAAAAGGGGACATTACAACTGATACCAAAGAAATACACAGGATCATTTGAGACTACTATGGACAACTGTACACCAACAAATTAGAAAACCTAGAGGAAGTAGATAAATTCCTAGAAACATACAACCTACCAAGATTCAAACAGGAAGACTAGAAAACCTGAACAGAACAATAATAAGAGTTGAAATTGAAGCAGTAATAAAAAGTCTCCCAACAAAGAAGAACAGGATTTGATGACATCACTGATGAATTCTACGAAACATTTAAAAAAGAGCTAACACAAATTCTCAAACTATTCCAAAAAATTAAAGGTATGAAAATTATTCCAAACTCACTCTATTAGGCCGGCATTACTCCAATATCAAAACCAGACAAGGAAACAACACAGAAAGAAAACTACAGGCCAATAACCCTGATAAACATAGATTCAAAAATCATCAACAAATAATAGCAAACTGAATCCAACAGCACATCAAAAATAGTATATCCCATGATCAAATGGGATTTGTCTTAGGAATGTAAGGTTCATTCAACAATGCAAATCAATAAACATGATACATCTCATCAACAGAATGAAGGAGAAACATTATATAATCATCGCAATTGATGCAAACAAAGCATTTGATAAAAACAAACATATTCATAATAAAAACCCTCAACAAGTTAGGTATAGAAGTAATGTACCTCAAAACAATAAAGACCATATATGACAAACCCACAGCCAAATACATGCTAAAAGAAATTGAAAGTTTTCCCACTGAGAACTGAAGCAAGAAAACAATGGCCACCTTTACCTCTCTTAGTCAACATAGTACGGAGAGTCTTAGCTAATACAGTTAGGCAAGAGAAGGAAAGAAAAGGCAACTAAATCGGAAACGAGTACGTGCAATTGTCCCTGTTTACAGATGACATAATCTTATATATCATAAAACATAAAGATTTTCCCAAAAAACTTTTAGAACTGATAAATTTAGTAAAGTTGCAGAATACAAAGTCAACACACAAAAGTCAGTAGTGTTTCTATAAACCAGTAACAAACTAGCTAAAAAATAAATTAAGAAAGCAAACCTATTTACAGTCTAGAAAAAAAGTGTAGAAATTAATTTAACCAAAGAGGTAAAAGATCTCTATGAGGAAAACTATAAACCATTGATGAATAAAATTGAAGAAGACATACCAACAGAAAAAGGAAAGACATACCACATTCATAGATTTGAAGAATAAATATTGTTAAAATGACCATACTACCCAAAGTGATCTAAAAATTCAGTGCAAGCCCTAAAAAACTTCCAATGGCATTCTTCACAGAAATAGAATAAATAATTCTAAAACTTGGATGGAGTCACAAAAGATCCCAAATATCAAAATGTTCTTTAGCCAAAAAATAAAGCTGGAGGCATCACACTACTTGACTTCAAAATATACTACAAAGCTATAGTAACCAATGCATCATAATACTGGCATTAAAAAAATACATTGATCAATGAAACAGAATAAAGAATCCAGAAATAAACCAATTTATTTATAACCAGCTGATTTTCTTCAAGGGTGCCAAGAACATACATGAGGGACAGGACAGTTTCTTCAATGAATGGTGCTGGGAAAATTCGATATTCATATGCAGAAGGATGAAACTAGACCCCTCTCTCTCACTATACACACACAAAAACACCTCAAAATGGACAAAAGACCTAAATGTAAGATCCAAAACTGTGAAAGTACTACATGAAAATATAGGGGACATGCTTCAGGATGTTGATTTGGATCAAGATTTTATGGTTAATACCTGAACAGCACAGGCAACAAAAGGAAAAATAGACAAATGAGATTATATCAAACTAAAAAGCTTCTGTACAGAAAAGACACCATCAACAGAGTGAGGAGACAACCAGAAGAATGGGAGAAAATGTTTTCAAACTATTCATCCAATAAGAAATCAACATCCAGAATAGACAGGTAATTCAAATAACTCAAAAGCAAAAAGACAAATGATTTAACTTAAACATAGGCAAAAGATCTAAATAGACATTTCTCCGAAGATGACATTCAAATTGTAACATAAGTAAATGCTCAACACCACTAATCACTAGGGAAATGCAAATGAAAATCAAAATAAGATATCATCTCATCGCAGTTATAATGGCTATTATCAAAAAGACAAAAAATAACAAATACTGGCAAGGATGCAGACATTTAAAAAAAGTCATATGCATTCTTGGAAATGTAAATTAGTCAGCCATTATGGGTAGCAGTACAGAGGCTCCTCAAAAAGCTAAAAATAGAACTACCAAGTGATCCAGCAATCCCACTATTAAATATGTATCCAAAGGAAAGGATAACTGCACATATCGTCTATTCCAGTAATATTCACAGTAGCCAAATAAGAAATCAGCCTAAGTGTCTATCAGCAGATGAAATGATAAAGAAAATGTGGTATATATACACAATGGAATACTATTCGACCATAAAAAATAATGAAATCTTGTCATTCATGGCAATGTGCGTGAGACTGGAGGACACTATGTTAAATGAAACAAGTCAGGCACACAAAAATAAATACCACATGGTCTCATGCATATGTGAGATCTAAAAGTGTTGATATAGAAGTAAAGAGAAGAATAGTGGATACTAGAGGTTAATAGTAGGTGTGAGGAGAGTATAGGAAGAAGTTGATTAACACATAAAAAATTACAGCTAGATAAGAGGAATATGTTCTACTGTTCTATAGCCCTGTAGGGTAACTATATTCAACAATAATTTATTGTAATTTTTCAAGAGAGGATTTTGAATATTACCCACACAAAGAAATAATAAATGTTTGAGGTGATGGATATGCTAATTATCCTGATTTTGTATGCATGTATTAAAATATCACACTGTACTCCAAAACTATGAACAAATTTTGTGTGAATTAAATATATATATTATATAGAGAAATGAATACAATGATTGAATAGAGAGAAATCTCTGAAGAGAAATGTAATTTATAAAAACAAAACAAATAGAAATTATAAAACTGAAAAGTATCTTAGTTAAAGTAAAACACTCACTATAAAATTGAAAATGCAGAAGAAAAGGCTGGTAAACTTGAAAAGAAATTACTAGAAATTAGCCAATCTAAAAATCAGAGAGAATATAATAACTGAAAGGTAACAGAGACTTAGTAACATGTGAGAAATATCAGGTATATAATACATGTATAACTGAATTTCCAGAAGAACAGGAGAAAACTACTTTGTTAGGAAAAAATATTTTTGAAGAAATAATGGCTGAGGATTTTTTCAGGTTTGATTAAAACTATCATCTTATACATACAAGAAGCTTAGCAAACTTCAAGCAGAATAATTAAAAATATGTTCTTTTCAAAAGTGAATACTTTGACAAATTTAGAAGAACTAACATCTTAAAATATTGATACTAAGTTTGCTAATCTATGAATATGGTATTTCTTCCCATTTATTTAGGTCTTTATTTCATTTCAGATATGTTTTAAAGTTTTCAGTGTAGAAGATTTGCCCAACATTTGTTAAATGTATTGCTAACTATTTTATGTTTGATGATGGTACTGTAAATTTTCATTTGAAATGATTAGCTGCTAATATACAAGTATTTAAGTGTAAGCCCAGGCTGGGCATGATGGCTCATACCTGCAGTCCCAGTACTTACGGGGGCCAATGCAGGAGGATTGCTTGAGGCTAGAAGTTTGAGAACCCAGCCTGGGTGACATGGCAAGATCCCATCTCTATAAAAAAAATTTAAAAACTAGCTGGTCATGTGGTACACCTGCAGTCCTAGCTACTCAGGAGGCTGAGGTGGAAGGATTGCAGCAGTTTGAAGTTACAGTGAGCTATGATTACACCACTGCATTACAGTGTGGGTGACAGACACTCTGCTTCTAAAAAAACATTAAAAATTAAAAATAAGTAAATGTAAGCCAAATTGTACTTTCAAAAATATAATTGACCTAAAGCAATGGTCTTTTCTTAAACTTTATGAATTTTATTTAGGTGTAGGCACAAAAAAAATCTTTTTAGTATCTATGAACTATTTTATTTTATGAACATTCATTTTTCTTTAATTTTTTACCATCTTTTAATTCTCTTCCATTTATATTTCTTTCTTGATTACATAGTCATATATTAATACTGACATGTTTAATTCCATATTTTATATCATTGTTATTTAGAAATAGAGCTGATCTTTTTCATTGATGATGCTTTCAAAAGTGTTTAACGATGCTCTAGTTTATTAGTTCATTATTTGGCTATCTCAATTCTACTATTTAATTTATCAAAAGCACAACAAAAATCTTGTTGCAATTTTAGATTCAAGAAAATTCTTAGTAAAAAACTTAATAAAAGATAAATATAGGCATTATATCCTGATAAAAGTAACACTTGAGCCAGAAGATATTATGCTTATAAACATGCTCACAGCTAACAGTAGAGATTTAACATGCACAAAGCTTCATTTTTTTAGAATCTTGGAGAAAATAACAAATTTAGTGACAGAAGATAACATTATACTCGGAAAATGACACATGATGCCTACATAGACCAAGTAAGGATATACAGTGTTTAAAAGCATAACTGATGTTCACTAACTTGACAGCTATGTTCTTACAGCAAAAACATGCTGGGGTTTTTTTGTATAAATAAGGAAAATTTATAAAAAATCAACTATAAGTGGTTGACAAAGGATAGCTTGGTAAGGTCAAGAAAACCAACATCCCATGTTTGTCTTAGTCTGGTTTGTGTTGCTACACCAGAAGACTTCAGGCTAGGTAATTTATAAAGAAGAGGCTTCTTTAGCTCACAGATCTGCAGGCTGGGAAGTACAAGAAGCATGATGTTGGTGCCAGCATCTGCTCAGCCTCTGCTAAGGGCTTTCCTGCTGCATCACAACACGGTGAAAGGCCAAAGGAGAAGTGGACAGTGCAAAAGGGAGAAACCCAAGAAGCCTCCTGACTTTATAACAACCCACTCTTGTGGAAACTATTCCATTTCCTGTAGAACTAATCCAGTTTCATAGGATAACTCACTCACTTTTTGGAGAATGGTACCAAGTTGTTCGTGAGGGATCTGCTTCTATGACTCAATCACCTCCAACTGGCCCCCACCTTTCAACACAGCCACATTAGGGATCAATCAAGTTTTAACATGAGTTTTGGTGGGGAAAGACAAACCATTTCCAAACCATGGCAATGTTCTTTAACCATAATGCAATGATAATATACATTAACAAATGGGAAGTAAAAGGAAAAATCAAAATCTAGGTAGTAACCTTAAAATATCTAGTAAATAACCCATAGTTTAAAATGAAACCATTAAGTAAAATTATAAAATACTTAGAACTAATGAAAATGAGAAATTTGCATCCTATGTTAGGCAGCTAAAAGTAAACTGAAGGAAAATGTATAGCTTATTGTGTCCACCTACATGTATTTGTTGTCCTTTTCATCAAAATTCAAAAGAAAGTGCAGAGTTATGCAAACATTCAACTTTATACATTAGAATAGAACTCCACAAATAGTCAAGTTATTTTGAAAAATTAATCTTGAGGTGAACTAACCCTACCAGATATTAAAAATATGCTGAAGATCACTACATTAAATTGAGTGTTATACTGAGATTAAGCCAAAAAATGTAAAAATAATAATACAATTACTCTTATGATTATTGAACTTTTTAAGAACACCACAAATAAAACTTGTAATTAATAATAATGATAATATTTTGAATTTCTATTAAACACTAACAGGAAACACAGCGTTTATAAATTAAAATATATAAATCAGCTGGAGCATTTAAAATTGTTCACATTGGCAGTATAGCATCCATAGCGTTAACTGCTTGACTTTGAGCTGTCTTTTGCAGAAATTTATATCACAAATTAAAGGCAATAGTCCATACAAGAAGAGCCTCTTGTTATTTAATAAAGCCCTTCAATTACAAAGAGCAAAGAGCTCAACAATGTCAAATAGCCTCATAAGCAATTGGGATATATATCTTGTAGAAGCTGAGTACTGCTTAATGGTTTCCTATTTGTCTCTGATGAATAACTTTTATAAATGAACTCCTTGATCATGCTAAGTGGTAGTTGTTTTCCTCTAAAAATATTAGATTTTTTATTATAGCCTTTTTATTTTTGACCAAGTGTGTTCTTTTTAGTCTTTGCCTTGAAAACTGTATTATATGACATTTTAAATGTTTCAGGCTATTTAGAAGACCAGACTTATACAGAGCTACAAAAGATTTAGTACCAATGGAGCTTTGTTGAATGCTAAATGGACTATTTTGAGTTTTTCTAAATAATTTTTTAACTTATTGGTGAAGAGCTAGCCCCAATGACCATGCCCCCCATCACCACAGCTATCTTTAAATCTCTTTTCACTTTTATTCTCTCAGTCGGGCACTTCATGGAATACGATTATTAATGATTAAGCACTGTCTTAAATTTTCAACATTCTTTCTTATCTGCACTGTGAATTCTCCTTTCTTTTCTTTCTCATGTTCACTTTCTTCTTTGTAACTTAGGCTTTATAGTACTAGCGTATTATAATATTCACCTTTCTAATTTTTTTCATTTTCCAAGCTTATGCTTTACAAAAATCATATGTTATAGAATAAAGCATTTATCAATTTAACCTTTCTGTAATTAAGTGCATAATTTAGGGTCCTAAAGGCTTGATTTATAAAGATTTCTTTACTGATAGAAAAAGCTCTGATTAGTTATTAATAATAGTACTTCGAGAAGTATACACATTTATTCAATTATAAAACATTGAACCCAGTCTTTTACTAATCAATATTTCACAGAAGTAAGAATATTTCTAGGCTGTGTAATGAACTACATAGTATGTCTCCAAGAATGAAAATAAAATATTGAAAGCTGTATTGTTTGAATTCAGCTGTTGAAAAATCCAGACAGCCAACGTCTACATGACAAGAGCAAGCTGTTGAAGATGTATGTGTGTGTGGAGAGTGTGGGGAACAGAACAGAAGTGGTAGAAAGGTGAATTTTTGATAAAAGACTGACCTTTCACTAATAGATCATCAACTTTTAAAGGAATAAATTTAAAAAGAAAACTGACCCACAAAAAGTTAATATGTCAGAGTTTGTGTATAGATCAGAAGCGAAATACAACTACCTTTTTAATTTCTTGCGTCTTTCCACAGGAATACTCTTAGAATTTAATACTATTATTATATAATAACTTTGTTCATCATAACAATAAGGAATACTAGATAATAAGATTTGTTTTGCTGATACATATTTCATGATTGAATATTCACTTAAAATTATTTTTATGAATTTCTGTACCTACCTTATCATCAAAAAATCTTTTGTGAATTCATTTCTGAAACATCCAATGTCAATGCAAACTGCAAATATTAACCATTTTTAAAACACCAATAACATGGACTTTGTATAACATACTATCTGTATTCCAGCACAGTTTGTGTTCATCTGAAGAGATTGATTTGGCTATTTATTAGAACAATGAGACATTCAAATGATTCTTGCATTTTAACTTCCCCAATCATGTGGAATCACGTGCCTCCCCCAGTCACATGAATAATTAATTCTAAATAAATGTTTATTATTTTTAGTTTATTAAAGTAAATTAACATCTTTCATGATTTAAAAAATTAAATTATACTAATTTATTTGAAGTTGAACCTTTTAAAATGTGCAAAAAATATAAACAGGAAAAGAAGATATAAAGCTTCCAGAAAACATAATAGATTGCATGGTATGTTTATTTCTGCTCCATCTCAAAACTTTACTGAGAACAGAGTAAAGGAATTAAAAAGTCCTAAATTTACAAGAACAAAGAAGAGAGTGCAAGATAAGACACTAGAAAAGTGATATCGGCTGGGCACGGTGGCTCACGCCTGTAATCTCAGCACTTTGGGAGGCCAAGGCGGGTGGATCACGAGGTCAGGAGTTTGAGACTAGCCTGGCCAGTATGGTGAAACCCCATCTCTACTAAAAATACAAAAATTAGCTGGCCGTGGTGGTGGCGCTGTAGCCCAGCTGCAGCCGGGTAGGGGGAGGAGAATCGCTTGAACCCGAGAGGTGGATGTTGCAGTGAGCCGAGATCCCGCCACTAGACTCCGTCTCAAAAAAAATAAAAGAAAAACAAAAGTGATATCAAGAAACTGAAAGTTAAAATGTGGATACAGAAGTGATGAAGGCCCTAATCACCTCTGAAGGCAGTCTTTTAAGTGCTACTAAATCCTAGAAAATGGTTTGAAAGTTTTTATAGGTAGTGGTTAGATGTCCAAGAAACCCTCATCTGTTCAATGCAGCCAGGCAGTTCTCCCTGTGCGTCACAACAGAAGACTAGAGGTTTACTCTCAAGAGAGCTTGAAGTAGACGGACTTGACTCTTGAGACAAAAAGCACAGCTGAAGGGGCTGGGGTTAGGTGGAATGCTGTGCTTTAAAAAAGTGGGATCAAGTGGAAATTGACCTACTACACAGTGAAACAATAGCCTGTCTTAACAAACTGACTCCGAGAATGGTGGGAGCCACATTGACAACATCGCTGGCAGAAAATCTAAAGAATCCTTTCTAGGGAAATGGACTAGCCTCAAACAAAAGATCAATGGATACCACATTTAGAAATCCCCCCCATCAAACTGGCAGGTTCCCTACTATAAAGTGCCTGAGACCACCAATCACCTGCATAAACAGAATTTTCAAACAGCATTTTAGTGCCTTGGGCTTAAGTAAAAACAGAAAAAAGGATTGACACAGATTTGAAAAGAGCCTTTGCCATTGTAAAAAAAAAAGAGACCAAAATAATATAAAAAATTTAAAATCCAGAGTAAACAGAAACTATTCAGGGAATGATAGAAAAGTAAGATCTTCAGATGTTATATATATTTATATGTAATATATATATATTTATATGATAGCATCGATTGCTATGTTTTTGTTTTAAATGAGAATATTTCCCCCCAAAATTCTTAGAAAACATTTGTCTCATAGCATTAATAAAAACTCAATAAAAGTTACAACACTTAAAATTTGAGGAAATTTCTCAGATATCGAAACAAGACAAAGATGTGGGGAAGGAATTGGAGAGAACATTTTTTTTTTTTTTAATTAGAAGACCTGTCAAGGAGGTTTCAATAAGAAGTTAGATGTTACAGTAAAGGAGAAGAGGAATTGCGGGAATGGGGAATTATCCAAGTAATTCTAAGGTTATTTCCTAGAACTGAAGATATGAACTGCCAGATTAAAATGACCAACACAATCAATGCGAGAAGAGGGAAGAACAAAAAAATCAAGAATTAGGATGTTATCAAACTACTTCATAGTATACTGCAACCAGAAGGCAGTGAGCAAAGTCTTTCAATTATGCTAGCAATCAAATGTGAAGATCGAATAAAGACTGTGAACCCAAAATATCTGCGATAGGTGTCAACCAATTTGGAAAGATTATTTTGTAAGGTTAAGGATGCACCCATGATACAACCTCAGGAGGTTCTGACAACATGAGCCCAAGGTGGTCAGGGTACAGCTTGCTTTCATACATATTAGGGAGACATTAGACATCAATCAATATGTATAAGATATACATCAGTTCAGTTCAGTCCTGTAAGGTGGGGCAACTCAAAGTGGAGCTGGGAGTGAACTCAAAGTGGGGTTGGGGGCGAGGACCGTGTTCCAGGTCATAGGTAGATAAGAGACAAAAGGACTCAAATATAGAAGTTCAGAGTCTTTCTCAGGTCATATTTAGATTGCTTTAAAAGTATCAAGGTTTTCTCTGCAACTAAAATTATTATCCTTTCCTGATTTTTAACATATTAAAGCAATATTTGTACCTTAGATGAAATGGTTTAGAATTAATTAGTGATAGGTACATAAACAATTTTAAAAAGAAAAAAAAGCCAATCAAAGAAAAATTGCATGGGATAAAAAAGCTGTAAAAGTTGTGACTCAGCTGTAAATATTTATAATCACTATAATGTGCACACCAAATATTGATTCAACCCAAAACATGATAAAATTCTTTTAGGAAGATGGAAGCAAGGGAAAAATGTAACAAAAAACAGATCAAAGACGGGAGCTATATTTTCATCTTTCATAGAAGGAAATCAGTAGAAATATTGGAATCAAATGTTACAAATGAAACTTTTAATCTTCATTTGGGCTGAGGTCCCCAAATAATATGCCCAATACTCCAAAATGTGGTTGAAAATAGGTTGCCAACACTTAGTTGAATATCTAACTGCAGTCCATAAATACAGTTGGAGAGTCAAGGAAATGAGTTGGGGGAAAAAGAGAGGCAAGGATTTGGGGAGAGGTTTAATGATAACTGTGAGTCCCATGACCTTCCCTATGTGAGGGGAGAAGTAGTGTTGCCCCTTTCCACTAGCATAGAGGAGAAAAAGCCAACCTTTGTGCAAGACAAGTCGTTCAGTCAGAAGACTGCCTACGCTCTCAGCGTTTGTCAGGATACACGATGCGTGGCTGGTTACTGCAGGACAGATGTGGCCCATAATTAGGGGTAGATATGTTAGATCCAGTCAGTTGCATCAGTTGAAAAACAATAGTCCCCAATAGAAAGGTAACTCTGAATTTCCAGGAACCGGTGGTGAGGGAATTTCGATCAGGACAGATGTCAAAAGCATCCACAAAATGATCTTACAAGAGAACAGGTCAATTTATGCCTTTCCCAGAGTGGAAGTATGCCATCTCATATTATTAATAGCCTAGAAAACTCCTCTCTCCTCTCATTTCCACCCCAAGATTTGACTTTCAAGGGTTAGCAAATGAAGGAGAAGCAGGATAGAATCCCATAGAAGTAGAAGTGGAGATCCAAGAATCCAATTCTCCTCCTTTGTGCAAAACTGTGCAAGCTGACAGCCTACCACAAATGTAGGCAGGAGGAGAAAAGCATGCATGCCTCGACATTAAATATTTTACCACTGTTTAGAATAGGCATATTAATTATTGAATGTACGGTTTATTTTTTTAACTAAAATTGACCAAACGATTATCCTAAACTTTATCTAAGATCAAGGAAAACACTAGCTCCACCAAGTAAATTTAAGAAAACTATAGGAGATGTTTTCATTCTTGCTGTCATCATATGACAGGAATTGGGCCTGTTGAAGGAAACTATTAGGTACAAAAACTGGAAAACCAAGAAATAGAAATATGAGCATATTATTTAGCTATATGGAGGTACATTCTAGAAGAAACCCTAGGGAAAAAAAAAAAAATGATTGCCTCTAGAAATAGGAATCAGGCATTGGAAGAGATGGGGACAGAGACTACTATTTTTGTTATTTTATTCAGTTGAAAATATTATTAGAATATATAATACTATATAATGATAAAGAATTTGTCATTTACCACTATTTATAAGTAGTAATTTAATAAAGATAAAAAAATTGAGAGCTAAATTTAAAAATATGGACTGTGTCTGGATCACAAGGAGCTACATGAAACTGAGTGGCTCCATCTACATTTCTAGTAAATTTCCAGGATATCGCATAGTGACTGTGACTAATGGTCTACTAGACACTAGAACTCAAATCCCAGCAAGAACATCAGAAGCCATGGGACCTTCGGCAAGTGGCCAGTTCTGTGGAATTCAGGTTTAATATTTGCAAAAAGATGGAGTGGGACTAAACAATGTCTCAAGTTTTTTCCGTTCTAACAAGTAAAGTTTTGTAATTACTCTGCCGTGGTTAGTGTTTCTAAATAGACTAGCACCTACCTTGATTCTGTCCCATTACTCTCTTTTATTTTCCATAGTGAAACTTAACATTATCTGAAATATTTTATGTGTGTATATTTATACTTAATATGTTCATTGCCTGCTTCCCCCCTTATGTAAGAGCTATGAGGGCAAGGATTAAATATCACTCATCTCATTTACCTTATTTGTCACTGGTATCTTATTTATCACTGTACTGTAAGGAAGTAGAATAATGCCTAAAACATACTAGGCATTCAATAAATATTTGTTGAATAAATACACAAATCTTCCATTTCACAACTGTATGACAATGCCACTGCATAACATCTAATCTTCTTTGCTTGAAACATTGATAATACAAGAAGACAGATTGTTTGTGACTGAAACTTTGTAAGTAATCAGACTGGAAAATGTAATGTATGCAGGTCTACATCCCATTCATTGTAGCCTTCTAACATAATGTCAATAACTTGATTGCAAAACATTTTTTCTTGACATAACTCAGTCCTGTGTACAATATTCTTACAAAAGAAAATTCAATTTTCACTATGGTTTTTGTGTTTAAGTTTCTCTTCCTTTGCATTCAGTTCCTCTGTGCCGCTGAAGAATTCTGTGAGCAACTCTGCTAAATGCTCAGAAGTTAGGCACTTCAGTTATTAGCGCTCAATTTCAATTCATAGCATTTATTAAGGAATAGGGAAGATGACTTTAATTTCATTATATTCTTTCAGCTGGGAATCAAATGAAAATGCTGTGGTTATCTTTGATGTTCTATGAAAGAACCTCATATTCCTGAGTGAATACAACTCAAAAAATCAAAAGTCTGTATCCTGGATATTTAACATTAATACTTGAATACCATTTAAACAAAATTGACCACATCAAAATGAATTAAGAATAAACCTATGTATGCCAGCCATCTACCCCTAGAGTTTTATGCAGCCATGATCAAATCATAAAGGGAAAAATCATGATTTGGAGATAAACTGCATGAATTCTCAGATCATTTCACATGACATTGGCCTTCATTATTTATCAAAGACCTGAATCATGCTCTTTGAGATGACTTTTTTCAAATGTTATATATATTTCTTGTTTGATTGAATTAAAACTACTCAAAGAAAGCTAAGAGTAAAGGACTTTTTTCTGATCAAATTATTTATACATTAAAATATTTAGACTCTTTTCCTTTCTTCCTTCCTTCCTTCTTTGAATAATATAGTCAAAAAGCCATCAGGGATCTTTCACTTCTATTCTTCATCTCTTTGTCCTGTGCCTCCCCCAGTACTATTGTTGGAGGCAGCTGAGAGCAAATTGAGGACCTTTGCAAAACAACAGCCATGCTGGGTTTTTGGCAGCAGCTCTGGGTGATCATTGAGATTGATTAACAATGTGGGTGTTGAGAAAATAAGCAAATGGAAGCCAAGTTCCTCATTGTCAGAAAAGGGAACTACAAGTATGGAAAAGATGCCAGAGTGAATTTTACGAATTTGGATTAGAACTGGAGGTATTGAAGTAAACTTGTGGCATTGGTATGAATTTAAGGTGTGAGTGAAAGAGAAGCATAGATGTAAATGTGTGTATATATATGTGTATGTACATATATGTTCACAGACACACACCACATATATATTATTTTTTTCAATTAACCCAACCAGTGGGACTAGAAGCAGTAAACTCAAGTGACAATAAGCACATCTAGCTTATAATATTTTGGTTTCTAAGACCACTCTCCACTAACAAGAACCAGGACTCCTTAAAGAAATGGCTGACGCAGAGACTGGTGCAAGAAAAATACAAATAAACATAGAA
Source organism: Homo sapiens (assembly GCF_000001405.40). Classification (NCBI taxonomy): domain Eukaryota; kingdom Metazoa; phylum Chordata; class Mammalia; order Primates; family Hominidae; genus Homo; species Homo sapiens. The sequence continues at coordinate 159,950,421 of NC_000004.12, read as the reverse complement.
CATATTGATGGGCTGGAAAATGATATTTTATCCTCACAGAATGAAGGGAAATGTCAAAAAATGACACAGAAACCAGTCTGAAGTGGCTTTACTAGCCAGATTTGCAGCAATTTTAGCAGCAAAATAAAAAATGATATTGTCAGTGTTTTATGTAAGTATAGAGTAATGGAGTTCAAAAACCACCACTTGGCAAAAATCATAGTAACAGCAATTTCAGTCAAGGATCCTCAGTGGATGCCACAACTAGTGGGTAAAAGTTTGATTAGGAAAGTGAAACTTACATACTTTCAAAGTGTCTTCTGATAAAATGATTCATTTTATCAAAGTAATGATTCATTACAAAAGAAAAATAGTAACTTTACCTTGAGGTATCACTTTAATCAAGAAATCAGAGTTAAAAATCACCAGTAATAAAATGAGAATATTGATATTATAACAACCTATAAGATAATATAGGATAAAGTATAATAAGAACGTAGCATCTCTTAGTTATATTCCTGCCAGATGCATAGAGATAGGTAAGTAGGAAGGAAGGGAGGGAGGGAAGGAGAAAATACAATAAAACATGTATGGTTAAATGTCATCAGTCGTGGAATCTGGGTTATAGGTATTCATCCTTCATACTATCCTTGCAAGTTTTCTGTAAGTTTAAAATTGTTTCAAAATAAAAAGTGAAAATGAAAATGTATAGATGAAAATTCTCCTTTAGAAAGTGACAAAATTGTTTCTATGTGATGGAAAACCAGCGAGTGACAGCTGCTTGGTAGCACCATGTTGGTGAGCACAATAGCACCTTGGTCATCATTTTCATGCATTTCTAGAGTAAGTTGTTAAGTTTACTTGAGCTTTACTACAAATGGGACCTTGAGTGAAATTATGGCCAAATAGAGAAAATTAGTAAAATGCTTACTGTCAGCAGGCCTGCTGGGAGTGGCATCTGTGCCTGTACATTAATTCTTTTACTCACTGCTGTAATATACCCTGCCTTGATGTTGATTACAAATGTGATTGCTTTGGAGAACATTATTTTGCATTTAGGTTCTCCTCAGAAATCAGGAGTTCAAGTACCTGGGAAAGTATAGATAGATATAATCTTTATATATTCCTGCCACTATTTCAAAAATACAACTAAACAAACTCTTCACCCACCCTATCATTTCCCTCATGCTTTGTCAATAGAAAGGCTGAGTTGCTGTACAAGCCTTCCCTTTCTACATGCTAAAAATCAGTAATAAAAATATATGAATGGGTTTATAATATGTATAAATATTTACCATGTAAGCATTATATGATAACAAATATATAGAAAATTATTCTGAGACAGACTTTCACCATACATCAACTCATATTAAAAATTACTACAACATTGATTACAATAATCAAGATTAAGACATCCTCTAAAGGTCCAAAATACATTCCTGGTAAAATTATTATTGTACATCTATATATTAGAATAATAGGTAGTTACTAAAATCATGTTTTAGAAGATAAATCAGAGATATTTAAAAAGATTTTCTGTATATTACAGGAAAGAAAACCAAAAGCAAATTAGGTAAACATGGTCAGTACAGGCCCATACATATATGAACTCACATATACAACCCTGCAAGTTGTTTTCTTTGAGTGATGGAATTATGGGTCACTCCTATTTTCTCATTTATAATTTTTGCATTTTCTGAATTTTCTGTTGTGAATTTGTCTTGCTGTTAAAATCAAAGGAATATCATTTTGCAAATGAAACATATAAATTTGAATGTGTTTCCTTTCTGTTAACCCAGGTATCATTATATTTCTTAGAAGCTTTTTACAGGCTGAAGGGAAATTGAGGTTGTATTTACTCCCAGAGGTAAAATCAACTCATTTTAGTTTCTATATTTGTATCAGGTTGACTTGAATGCCAAAAGAGATTAATGGATGGTTCTTTATCTATGGTTTTCCAGAACTGCCTCATTTTAGAAGCAAAGAGCAGTGTGAAGCATCCTTCCATTTTCTGCCCCTGCTCCATCAAAAACAGGTGGCTTTCTTAAAAATGTTCTGATTATGCCTTTCTTCACAAATATTCTCTATCAAAAACATTTGACTGACAATTAACTGCTTCTGATCATTTACCAATTTCTGTATGACCTTAGATTCAAAATAAATATCTTTGATTAAAATGACTCCAGTCCAGAAATCTCTTATTTAAATACCTGAATCAATGGGGAACACAGTGGTGTGTAGGATTTCAGATTATTATTTCACCATCCAAAAATCTGTCTTATATATGGAACAACACATCTAAATATTTAAAACATATTTGTTACTTGAAGTTTTATGATAATTAAATAAATTGAAATTTGGACAAGAATAAGAGAAGAAAATGAAATTGCACTGACCCCATTATATAAATTATAATCATGGTGTCATGAACCTTTCATTTATCTAACAAGAACTTATTAAATAGCTATTTTGTGCATAGTATTATAGTTCTCCACAAGGGAGAACAATGAAATATTTGAGGAGAACGATTTTTTTTATTTTTGCTGGTTAAATTTAGGGTGAAAGCCAAAATAGTGAAATAATTGCTTATAAATCAAAACAAAATAAGTCTTTCTTTACAAGGAAAGATAAACATTAAGTAGCACAAGATTATATTTAATTTAGCATACGCAATGCTAATCATTGTTTAGGGGTAAGCCTCATTCCTCCAGAGCCAAAAAGACCTGTAGATTATTTACTAAGTTAATCACGATGGTAACTGATAAAATGAGAAGAAAAACTATTATTTGTACTTGTTACATTGTTAGTGGTTTATGCACTCGCTCCAAATGTAATCACAGTTCCATAGCCTCCTAAATCCTAGAAGCAAGCTGTGGTCTACAATTCAAATAGATGAAGTTAATGAGTTGTGTCTTGAACCAATGAATAGAAAAAGAAAGAATTATTAGCATGTCACCATGATTGACCTGTTACTATTAGTGGAGAGGCTGAATTAACTCTAGGGTGACCTTGGCGATGTATCTACTTCCTTCCTAGAACATAATATAATGATTACCATGTCATTACCGTAATGCTGCTTTGTCATTATACAGAGACTATGGGGCATTTTTCAGTCATCAATAGAAGATGGGGTTAAAATGGGAGGGAAAAGATTCTCCTCAGAAATTTTCAAGGATAATTTTTTCCCATCAAGGAAAGCAAGTAGTTTGTAAGAAATCTGTTAATAATGCAAGAGGTTGCATAGCTCCATCTAGTGGTCAGGAACTAATTTACTGCATGAATCACCTAGTTAAGCACCTCTGTTTTTAAGACACACAGGATTTCAGCAATCATAGTTATCATCGTGTTCCTAGCTAGTACAATACAAGATAAACTTGTCATGTTAAGTAACGGTTAAATATTAGGCAAGTATGTGTCCATTTGGTAAATATTAAAATAATAGAAACATTCATTTCCAGAACTAAATTCATTTAGGAGTTATTTTGTTGACTTTATTTTAGACCTGACTTTTTGTTGCATAATTATTTCTATTAATACCATAAATTCAAATGGCATTTGGTAAAAATTTTGATAACAGAATCACATACACAGTTCTTCTTGATATTTCAGATATTAGTATTACCTCAGTCTTAAAAGTGGAATAAAATTTCAAAGGATGCTTATAACAAATTCTGGGTCTTGATCAAATTGGAATATTCATGATTATAATCCTTCTGTCAATTTTTTTCCTAAAAATAAGAATTTTGGGACCAAAATAAAATAGACCGAACATATTGGCAAGCATGATCCACTCATCCCCATCCTCATCACATATTCAAAAATTCAAGGATTCCAATTTTTAAGTTACTCATGTATCAATATTCTATAATGAAGATATTCTTTGAAAACTTGTTAATAGTCAGAAAATATTTTTAAGACATGCTATTGTTTTACTAAAAGAAAAAATATGAGTGAGTACAGAAAGTTACCGTAAGTTTTTATTTAGGCAGTAATGTGAGCTAAAGCATCTAGAGACCAGAAAGTAATCAGCCAAGAAGCACTGCATGTCCTTCAAGGGGTTATCAGGTATGGTGTCACTGATACAGTATCATGCAGTGTAGAAAGCAGAAGTAGTGTGCAACATACTAACCAGCTGCGAGGCTTCAACTGCTCAGAGATGCTACATCTGGCCTCTTAAGCAGTTTCACAGGCATCATCAATAAACCATAATCAGCATGTAATGGTTTGACAAGATCACCAACAAGAAGGACCTGGAAGCCAGCCAGTCCATCAGCACTGACAGGAGTTCACTGCGATTTAGTCCTCCTGAGCTGGACATGTTTAGAAAATGGATGACAATGAGAAGTACAAAGAGCAACTGTCAGGCAGACAGAAGTAAAGACCAACAGGAAAGGAAGTAAATGTGCCCTAATGCTTAATTGAACCCCTTAAACAAGGCTGAAGCACCCAGCCAGATTGTAGGTATGCAAAAATTCAATCAATAATTGTTTCTAGCCCATGCAAAGCAGATATACATTTCAATACGCAAAAGAGTCTTATGATGCACACTTCAAATCATAATCATTTGCCAAATCTAAGAATACAACAAAAAAATGACAGCTAAAATATTCATGGGTTAGTCTATTTAGAATTCAAGGAAAGAAAGTAACCCCTAACATTCACTAGTGGTAATCGTTATTAATTTTGATTCTATGCATCTTCCAAGAATATTCCCATGAGTTTTAATCAACTATGGTTTGAGACTTTTGAATCTCTTGTTAGCAAGAAACAAATGTGAATTTATGACTATCAAAAGAGACTATACCCATTATACTAAGAAGTGGAATTCCAAAGGTCAAAAGTAGAAAACATCTGGATTCTTTCAACTGCACTGTTGCTATGGGTAGTTCCATCCCTGGGTGAAACCAGGGCTCATCTCATGATTTCTAGTCTCTCTTCCACAGTAAAAATTCCTTTGATCATTTTCAGTCACAAGAAGGTCATAATGCTCTAATCAAAATATCCATATCTGTCAATCATAATCATAACAGAACTTTCCTCTTTCTTTAGCTTAGACCTGGGAATCACAGGGGAAGGGGAAGAGTTGTACTAAGAGAGGCACATGGCTGGCTTGACTCTCAAGGCTTAAGTGGGAACTCACTGGGGAATAAAGTTTGGAAAAGTGCTCCCTCCTCTCCCCTGCCCCAAGTGACACTGATGTAATCTCACAATACCTTTCTTCTACCTTATCTTCAGAATTATCCTTCAACCTCCTTGCCATTAGCTGAAACCTGGGCCTCTCCAGTGACAAGCCATCCTTTAATACCCTTGTCTACATTCTACTCTCAACTGCTTCCTCCAGATCACTGCTACCTCCTCCTTTTATTTAAAACTGTTTCATAATTCTCTACCACTCATTGTGGCTTTCAAATTGGTTATCTTCCAAAATTTAATTAGAATGTTGGCACATGGTTCAGATGTCCATGTAAATTACATATATAATGTCTGTTTCCCACAGTTCTTGATTTCCTTCTAATTGGCATTCACTTAATTTCTCCTCTGTACATCTATAGTTGCCATGCCAAGTTTGTCATCATTTAGAATTACTCCGCCTCTGAAATCTTACCCTATATTATCTTTCTCTCTTACTACAATGCCTATTATCCCAGTTCTTCTAGTCTCCATCTCCTACAATGTCTTGCTATTCAAGGGCCCTTAAACTTGCCTTTTTTTTCTCATTACCTACAAATTCCTGCTGTCCTCACTTTCTTTCCGCTTAGGCTAATCTTTTGCCAACACCCTTAATCCACTTGCATTTATGTCACACTCGACAAGTAAATCCCTCACCCAGAACAAATCTGCCTTTTCTGCTCCTGTAACGGAACTGTTTAAAATTGCCAAAGAAGCAGGAGGAAACTGAGAAGAAGAATGAGGAGAAAGAGATGAAGGAGATGAAGAGGGAAGTGAGGAGAAGTAGGAGGAAGAGGAGGAGGAGATGGAAGAGAGAAGGGAGAGGAGGCAGAAGGGAGGGGAAGGGAAAGAAAAAAGATGAGGAGAAGAGGAAAGAAAAAGAAAAGAAAAATCTTTCAAATTCAAAATTCGTACACATACATTTTCTCCATCATTCATCATCCTTCCTTAGTGTTCCCTCTTCCATTTTCTACAAAACTCTCTCAAATCTCTGCTATTATCCTCAAGCACCCCAATCGCCCACTCACTCAGTCACTCCCAACCAATGACCACGTCTACCATGACACAGAGAGGTTAAAAAATTCTGGTGAAATTGTGCAAAACTTAGTAATATCCATCCATAAAAAATTAGTTTTAGCCATACCCGTCCTTATATGCTTATATCCTTATATGCTTACCTCCTGTTTTATTTAATATTATAAATATACCAAAACTGTATTACTTAATTTCTATATCAGAGAACATTACAAGGAATACTTTATTTAAGTATGATAACTTACTTGAGAGAGGTGTCATTCATTTAACAAATTACTTAAGGTTGCACAGCTAAAAATCAAAGACAAATTGTAACAATTCTGGAAACTATTCCTTCAATTGCTGCAATATGATACCAGGAACATATCTCCACCCCAGTTCTCAATTCAATCTGCATCTGCCTCTTGAGGATGGAAACACCACCCTTGGTCCCCTCTTTCTTCTGTGTATGTGACTGCTTTGATCTTTTCCTCTTGGCAAAGAAACATGATCAGATTTTTCTCATTTTAAAGAAAGTCCTTAATCCCACCCGCTGTTCAATTTACTTCTTTATATCTTTCCTTTCTTTCAACCCTACTTCAGAGTCTCATTCTCTCCACTTCCATACTTACCATTAACTCATTACCACTGGTATTTATTGATGAATTCACCACAATTGTCCATACCTCATTCAATCTTTGTCTCATATGACTTCCTTTATTATCTGAGTTCCCCCTTCTCAAAACTCTCCTCCTTTTGTTTCTAAGACAATCTCCAGTTCATACCCTCATTGTTGTTGTTGTTATGGTCTGTGCTTCTCATTTTTCCTCTTGGACTCTCCTTCCTCTGTCCAAATCTTAAATATTAAAGTTGGAATCCCCACAATGCGAATCATAGCCCCCCATCTCCCTACTTTCTTTTTTATTCATGCTACTCAGTCTTCACAGGCTATATCATTAAATCCACTAAGGTGAACTAGTACCTGTATCCAGGTGACTCATAAACTTATATTCCAGCTCAGATTTTTCATCTGGTTCTAACCCATATATCTAATTCCCCATTAGACTTTTATACTTAGATATGTAAGTTACTCAAATGTGGCACATGCTAAAACATCATCTTGCCTCCCAGTATCTACCTTTTCACTTGTGTTCTATCACCTGGAGATCTTCTTGGAGGAAATAGAGAAATGGAACCAGAGATATGTTGGCAGGCAAATGAAAGCCAAAACTGTAAATGAGTATCATCATCACAAAGGCAAAAGTTTAAACTATGAAAAAGAAAAAGTGGATAGAGAGAAGGGAAACTTGAATACCTCATTAAAAAAATATCATCATGTTCTTATTGAGGCCAATATCTTTCTGGGTGAGATGGGGCAAGAAGCTTTGCAGTCAGTATAAACACTTAGAAGAGGCTCTATTCTTCAATAAAGTTACTGAATCATAAAATCAGTATTCCTTAAGAACCCTGTTTGATCTGATGAGTTCAGTGAATGTCTTTTGTGTTTATAGAAATATTCAAGAGTTTATCGTCGTTGTTTTTCTTCCTTGCTATGGTAAATTTTATATTTCTGCCCTTGCCCTTTCATAGCCTTCTGGATGCTCCATTCTGCTTATTTTCTAAATCATTCTGTGCCCACCTAACAGATTCTGTTCTTCTTTCCTTGTCCTTAATGGGTTAAAATCTAACATGCACAAACTACCTAATCTTCTAGGTTACAATATTCTGACAAAAATGGGAGAACTTGTTAATGCACAGGCAGAGGAAGCAAAGCGTAGCTAACACCATGAGGGTCACCAGAGAGCATATCAGACATAGAAAAAGCAACCAACATTTCCATTACTTTTCACATACTCGACTAGATCCTCATTTCTATGTTAGCTGCTATTTACTTGACAGCCCTTAAGAGCTCTTTGGGAGCCAGTGTGACTTCTCAAATAAATATGTATTTCAGTTTGTGTGCTTATCTATCTTGAGAACTCATTTTAATTACCCAGTAGACATTCACAATGTCTTCCCAGCTGTTACTGTCTATTATGTCCTGTAAATAAGCCTTTTGGCTCTTTTTAAAAATGCATCTTTGACCTAAAGATGATAAGGGTGCTCAAGCAGTTGTGACAATAGACAGTATAAGTCCTCCTCAGTTGGGAAATGAAATGGGTGGCTTCCCCAAAAATTATCCTGGTCTGCGACTTCCACACATGGCCACACACTGCTTAAGATTTTCATGAATTATATCCCTAAAGTACTTGAGATAAAATGCATGTAGCGTTGATGAGAATACCTCTATCAACATTGAATCCATATAGGAAAATGCTTGTTATTTAACTGATGCTTTAGGTCACTGAAAGGGAAAAAAGTATTAGAAGGAAAGAAAAATTAATCATTAAGTACTTTTGTGCTTATGTGTCATATCATGATATCATGCCCCCTTTGGCTATGGAAAGCACATTCTTACTGCATAAAACAAATGTTATTCCCCTATGATTTCAAAAATCTAACAATTCATTTGGCCCATCAAATGTGAAAAGCGTTCTATCAATATATTAATAAATGCAAGTATATAACAAATTACATTGTAATAGAGTCATTTGTATAACTAAAAAGATGACTTTCTTCTAATTTAGTTTCTTTTACCAATCTTTTTTAGACCCTCGAAAAGAAATTTGGATGTGGTTAGTTCCTTTTTTTTAAGCTTTTTTTTTCTCGACAAATCTCAAAAAGAGTTCTTTAAGAACTCTGATTATTCTCTGTTAGACTTCTTGTCCCTTCCAAGATTATATTTTTAAAACACAGAAGTCCATCTGAGAACATTTTTTTTCCACTTTGTAGCAAATAGAAATTTATCCTGCAACTCCCTACAGAAACCTGAGAGAAAATCAATGACCACTTTGACAAGAACAATGCCACTTTCTTTTGAGCGGGTCACCTAGTTCCTAGTAACCTATTCTCCCAGGACACTTTATTTGGAAAATCAGACCAATCACCCCTGAGCTTGCTTGATACTCTGTTTACACACAGTATACGAGAAGCCGTAAACTTCACAACTACTGGGAGGCTATTTCTCAGTGTACCTATTTCATAAGAGAATTATTATATTTGTCTGGTACAAAGAGCAGCAGCTGCTGTGACCATTCTCCATTTAGATTTATCTGTTAAATTGGAATCAATGAATGGAGTGAGGCATATTATTCTTTTTTGAGACAGGAGTCACTATAGGCTATTGTTTGGGAACATAGATTTTTAAAGTGAGACTAATGAAGTTTTGAATCCTGATTCCACCATTTACTGACTTTATAGCTTTGTATTCTTGGACATGGTACTTAAACCTCTGAACTTCAATCTCATCATTTGAGAAATACAAATAATACCAAAAAGGATGCTCTGTTCATTTATGTATTGATCCACCACTAAGAGTTGTATGTTCATTTACGTAGATGATGCTTTTAAAACTTTTAGCATATAGACCAGTAACTCGATAGTCCTCAGAAATAGTGAATTATTTTTGTTACTATTATTATAGTTATCTACTTTACTTAGAGAAAGAACCTATATATGTATATTTTTTAAAATCTTTAGTCCCTCTCCCTCTCCCTCTCCCTCTCCCCACGGTCTCCCTCTCTTTCCATGGTCTCCCTCTCATGCGGAACCGAAGCTGGACTGTACTGCTGCCATCTCGGCTCACTGCAACCTCCCTGCCTGATTCTCCTGCCTCAGCCTGCCGAGTGCCTGCGATTGCAGGCACGCGCCGCCACGCCTGACTGGTTTTGGTGGAGACGGGGTTTCACTGTGTTGGCCGGGCCGGTCTCCAGCCCCTAACCGCGAGTGATCCACCAGCCTCGGCTTCCCGAGGTGCCGGGATTGCAGACGGAGTCTCGTTCACTCAGTGCTCAATGGTGCCCAGGCTGGAGTGCAGTGGCGTGATCTCGGCTCGCTACAACCTACACCTCCCAGCCGCCTGCCTTGGCCTCCCAAAGTGCCGAGATTGCAGCCTCTGCCCGGCCGCCACCCCATCTGGGAAGTGAGGAGTGTCTCTGCCTGGCCGCCCATCGTCTGGGATGTGAGGAGCCCCTCTGCCTGGCTGCCCAGTCTGGAAAGTGAGGAGCATCTCCGCCCGGCCGCCATCCCATCTAGGAAGTGAGGAGCGCCTCTTCCCAGCCGCCATCACATCTAGGAAGTGAGGAGCGTCTCTGCCCTGCCACCCATCATCTGAGATGTGGGGAGCGCCTCTGCCCTGCCACCCCATCTGGGATGTGAGGAGCGCCTCTGCCCGGCTGCGACCCCGTCTGGGAGGTGAGGAGCTTCTCTGCCCGGCCGCCCTGTCTGAGAAGTGAGGAGACCCTCTGCCTGGCAACCACCCCCTCTGAGAAGTGAGGAGCCCCTCCGCCCGGCAGCTGCCCCGTTTGAGAAGTGAGGAGCCTCTCCGCCCTGCAGCCACCCCGTCCGGGAGGGAGGTGGGGGGGGTCAGCCCCCCGCCCAGCCAGCCGCCCCGTCCGGGAGGGAGGTGGGGGGGTCAGCCCCCGGCACGGCCAGCCGCCCCGTCTGGGAGGTGAGGGGCGCCTCTGCCCGGCCGCCCCTACTGGGAAGTGAGGAGCCCCTCTGCCCGGCCAGCCGCCCCGTCCGGGAGGGAGGTGGGGGGGTCAGCCCCCCGCCCGGCCAGCCGCCCCGTCCGGGAGGGAGGTGGGGGGGTCAGCCCCCCGCCCGGCCAGCCGCCCCGTCCGGGAGGGAGGTGGGGGGATCAGCCCCCCGCCCGGCCAGCCGCCCCGTCTGGGAGGTGAGGGGCACCTCTGCCCGGCCGCCCCTACTGGGAAGGGAGGAGCCCCTCTGCCCGGCCAGCCGCCCCGTCCGGGAGGGAGGTGGGGGTTCAGCCCCCCGCCCGGCCAGCCGCCCCGTCCGGGAGGGAGGTGGGGGGGTCAGCCCCCCGCCCGGCCAGCCACCCCGTCTGGGAGGTGAGGGGCGCCTCTGCCCGGCCGCCCCTACTGGGAAGTGAGGAGCCCCTCTGCCCGGCCAGCCGCCCCGTCCAGGAGGGAGGTGGGGGGGTCAGCCCCCCGCCCGGCCAGCCGCCCCGTCCGGGAGGGAGGTGGGGGGGGTCAGCCCCCCGCCCGGCCAGCTGCCCCGTCCGGGAGGGAGGTGGGGGGGTCAGCCCCCCGCCCGGCCAGCCGCCCCATCCCGGAGGTGAGGGGCGCCTCTGCCCGGCGGCCCCTACTGGGAAGTGAAGAGCCCTTCTGCCCGGCCAGCCGCCCCGTCCGGGAGGGAGGTGGGAGGGTCAGCCCCCTGCCCGGCCAGCCGCCCCGTCCGGGAGGTGAGGGGCGCCTCTGCCCAGCCGCCCCTACTGGGAAGTGAGGAGCCCCTCTGCCCGGCTACCACCCCGTCTGGGAGGTGTGCCCAACAGCTCATTGAGAACGGGCCATGATGACAATGGTGGTTTTGTGGAATAGAAAGCGGGGAAAGGTGGGGAAAAGATTGAGAAATCGGATGGTTGCCGTGTCTGTGTAGAAAGAAGTAGACATGGGAGACTTTTCATTTTGTTCTGCACTAAGAAAAATTATTCTGCCTTGGGATCCTGTTGATCTGTGACCTTACCCCCAACCCTGTGCTCTCTGAATCATGTGCTGTGTCCACTCAGGGTTAAATGGATTAAGGGCGGTGCAAGATGTGCTTTGTTAAACAGATGCTTGAAGGCAGCATGCTCGTTAAGAGTCATCACCACTCCCTAATCTCAAGTAATCAGGGACACAAACACTGCGGAAGGCCGCAGGGTCCTCTGCCTAGGAAAACCAGAGACCTTTGTTCACTTGTTTATCTGCTGACCTTCCCTCCACTATTGTCCCATGACCCTGCCAAATCCCCCTCTGTGAGAAACACCCAAGAATTATCAATAAAAAAATAAATTAAACTTTAAAAAAAAAAATCTTTAAGGATAGTGTTAAAATCTAATATATAATGACTATACTGCTATAAGTAATCTTTTAAAATTTTGAAACATAGAAATTAAAATGAATGATTTACAGCCTAAATCTATAGCTCTAAAAGATCTTTGAAGTTTTTATTGACCTTAAAAGAGAAAAAAAAAGAGAAGGCAATATTTGAGATTTGGGATAAAAGCTTAGAGTATCAAGAGAGGGTAAAGCGGAGGTCAGGATTACCTTCTTCAGGTGTATTGATGTCTGTGATTGTTCATTACAGCATCAAAGCTGCCTTCTTAAGAACCCACATCGCGTACTTAATCCTCAGCAGAAACTCCATTTCTGACAGTGGGAAAAAATTGTATACGTATTGAGTCCTCTCCCCCTGAGATTCTCTTTTTTTTCTCTCTCTCCCTCTCTCAAAGTTATTTCCAGCTGTAATACAAAACTTGTGAATTGGCTGCTTCTTAGTAAATCTATGTCATTATAGCAATAGGTAATAGGCAGGTCGTTACAAAAGAGGAAGAGGTATTACCACATGCTAGTACTGTTCTAAGTGCTTTTCATGTAATGACTCACATAATCCTCATGACAACCCTATGAGATAGATACTATTGTTACCCCTATTTTTTAAAGGAGAGAACACAGGCACAAGGAATTTAAGTAACTTGCTTGAGGTAATGGCTCATAAATGACAAACCCAGGCAGCGTGGCTCCAAGGCAGTTAAACAGGATACTACACTATCTTAGGGAGAAAGATAAAGATGACAACTAATTTAGGGTAACATTGATTTTTTAAATTTTACCTTGTAATGATAGTAAGTCCATTTAATAGATGAGATCACTGAAAACAGACAAATTAAGTGAACTATCCAAGATCTCAGAGCTTTTTAAAGATGAAGGCTGGATGAGAACCCAGGCTTTCTTTGCACCATTGCCTTTCTTGTTCTTCTGTGCCAGAGCCCAATAGACCCCAGATTGAATGGTAATAAGTCTGCCTCTCAAACTGCTTTGGTAACTACATTTTACCTGGAATGAGTAAATTTCCTTACTTTTATAAACGAATAGGATTTTGAAAGGCTAGCATTAAAACTCTACTCAAGTGTACACCTTGAAATAATAAATATAGGTATTATTGTTGCATAAGTAATAATTAAGCAAATTTATTGAATTTAGATAAAGAATATCAAGATAAAAACCAATTAGAAATGCACATTTTTAAATCACTACTTACAAAAGCCACTCACAAAAAAAATCTAATTTGCCCTAGTTTTATAGAAATACAACTGTTATAACTTTAAAATACGCTACAAGATAGAGAAATATTTCCAGGTATGTATTAAGTGTAGAACAAGCTGGTAAAATAAGCTAAACTACAGATCATTATTGGTTAATTAAATTCTGCTTCATAGATTCTGAACTGATAAAACAGTGTTACCACAACATTTTATTAGATAAAAGAAAAAGCAAAGAAAATAACTATTATTGTGTAGGATATTATGCAGGGTTTATTAAGAAACATAAATCTAGTTTCTCTGATGGGGCTCAGATGAGAGGTAGAATAAAAAAGTCAGTTCTTTGCTATACACAGCAAAACATCAACTCTAGCACAATTTAAATGTGTGTGATGATTAACAGGCATTACAAATACTGTCACCAATCACAAAGTCACGGAAGTCGGTTTCTTTGTGATTCAGATTAAAAAGCTGTACAAGGTTATATCTGTTCTTTGCATCTCTAATAGTCTATTTTCTACAGAAAACTGGTTTGTACAGTTGCAGCAATACCTATTATAGAGAACACTAAGCAAGTCCAAATATTTAAACTATATCATTTATGCCATGTTCTGTATGAGATACATTGAGAACTAATATCAGTCGCTCAGGACTTTGTTATAACATTCTTTATATATTTAGTCAACAAATGTTATTGAAAACCTAAAAGAAGCACAATGATGACTAAAACATCATGCCTCTTCTAAAGAAACACACAGCCTTATTAGGAGGCAACTTATTGTAGGTAAAAATCCCTCTTTCTCTATTTAAAATGTTATTTGGTATTCTTGCTCTAGAAACAAAAGATTCATCAGAGTTGAAGTCCTAAGTGAGGAGTACAAGGAAGCATTAGCAATAAGAATAATATTTTAACTGTTTTTGGTAGGCAAAGTAGTTCACTAAGGAAGAAAGAGCATTAAAGATAGAAGAAAGAGCTTGTACAATGACACTAAATAAAAAATGGCCTGAGAAACATCACTTGAGTCCAGGAGGCCAAGGCTGCAGTGAGCTGTGATTCTACCATTGCACTCCAGCCTGGGTAACAAAAAAAACCTGTTGAGCCTACAGTTCAGGGTCAAAGGAGAAAAAGGAGGAACTTTAAAGGGAAGAGAAAGGAATAATATTCTTTTAGAAAGTAGATCGTATAGTAAATCATATAATTGGGAACAGATAGCCTACACAATGGAAGAAAATGTTCACAAAGTATGCATCTGACAAAGTTCTAATATCCAAAATCTATAAGGAACTTAAACAAATCAACAAGCAGAAAAACAAACAACCCCATTGAAAAGTTAGGAAAGGACATGAAAAGGTACTTCTCAAAAGAAGACATACAAGTAGTCAAAAAACATGAAAAAATGCCAAGCATCATAATCATCAGAGAAATGCAAATGAAAACTGCAATGAGACACCATCTCACACCAGTCAGAATGGCTATTACTACAAAGTCAAAAAACAACAGACACTTGCTAGACTGTGGAGAGAAAGGTAATTCTTACACACTGTTGGTGGGAATGTAAATTAATTCAGCCACTGTGGAAAGCAGTTTGAAATTTCTCAAGGAACTTAAAACAGCTCCCATTTCACCCAGCAATCCCATTACTGTGTGCACACCCAAAGGAAAATAAATAGTTCTACCAAAAGGATACTTGCACTTATAAGTTCATCACAGCACTCTTCATAATAGCAAAGACCTAGGAATCAACCTAGGTACCCATCAATGATGGATTGGATAAATAAAATGTGGTACATATACACCAGGGAATACTATGCAGCCATAAAAAAGAAAGAAGTCATTTCCTTTCCAACAACATGGATGCAGCTGGAGGCCATTATCCTAAGCAGAAACAAAACAACAAATACAGGCGGTTCTAAGATGGCTGAATAAGAACAGCTCCAGTCTACAGCTCCCAGCATGAGTGACGCAGAAGACGGGTGATTTCTGCATTTCCAACTGAGGTACCGGGTTCATCTCACTGAGGCTTATCGGGCAGTGGGTACAGGACACTGGGCACAGCACACCAAGCATGAGCCAAAGCAGAGCAAGGCATCACCTCGCCCAGGAAGCACAAAGGGTCAGGGAATTCCCTTTCCTAGCCAAGCAAAGCTGTGACAGACAGCACCTGGAAAATCGGATCACTCCCACCCTAATACTGCACTTTTCCAAGGCTCTTAGCAAACACCACACCAGGAGATTATATCCCGCACCTGGATCGGAGGGTCCCATGCCCACAGAGCCTCGCTCATTGCTAGCAAGGAGTCTGAGATTGAACTGCAAGGAGGCAACAAGGCTGGGGGAGGGGTGCCCGCCATTGCTGAGGCTTCAGTAGGTAAACAAAGCGGCCCGGAAGCTCAAACTGGGTGGAGCCCACTGCCGCTCAAGGAGGCCTGCCTGCCTCTATAGACTCCACCTCTGGGGGCAGGGCATAGCCAAACAAAAGGCAGCAGAAACCTCTGCAAACTTAAATGTCCCTGTTGGACAGCTGTGAAGAGAGTAGCGGTTCTCCCAGCACAGAGCTTGAGATCTGAGAATGGACAGACTGCCTCCTCAAGTGGGTCCCCAACCCCCGAGTAGCCTAACAGGGAGGCACCCCCCAGTAGGGGCAGACTGACACCTCACACGGCCAGGTACCCCTCTGAGATGAAACTTCCAGAGGAACGATCAGGTAGCAACATTTGCTGTTCAGCAATATTTACTGTTCTGTAGCCTCCGCTGCTAATACCCAGGCAAACAGGCTCCAGAGTGGACCTCCAGCAAACTCCAACAGACTACAGCTGAGGGTCCTGACTGTTAGAAGGAAAACTAACCAACAGAAAGGATATCCACACCAAAACCCCATCTGTATGTCACCATCATCAGAGACCAAAGGTAGATAAAGCCACAAAGATGGGGAAAAAACAGAGCAGAAAAACTGAAAATTCTAAAAATCAGAGCACCTCTCCACCTCCAAAGGAATGCAGCTCCTCACCAGCAATGGAACAAAGCTGGACGGAGAATGGCTTTGATGAATTGAGAGAAGAAGGCTTCAGACAATCAAACTTCTCCAAGCTAAAGGAGGAAGTTCGAACCCATCGCAAAAAAGTTAGAAACCTTTAAAAAAGATTAGATGAATGGCTAACTAGAATAACAAATGTAGAGAAGTCCTTAAATGACCTGATGGAGCTGAAAACCATGGCATGAGAACTATGTGACGAATGCACAAGCTTCAGTAGCCAATTCGATCAAGTGGAAGAAAGGGTATCAATGATTGAAGATCAAATGAATGAAATGAAGCGAGAAGAGAACTTTAGAGAAAAAAGAATAAAAAGAAACGGACAAAGCCTCCAAGAAATATGGGACTATGTGAAAAGACCAAAACTATGTGTGATTGCTGCACCTGAAAGTGACGGGGAGAATGGAACCAAGTTGGAAAACACTCTGCAGGTTATTAACAAGGAGAACTTCCCCAACCAAGTAAGGCAGGCCAACATTCAAATTCAGGAAATACAGAGAATGCCACAAAGATACTCCTGAAGAAGAGCAACTCCAAGACACATAATTGTCAGATTCCCCAAAGTTGAAATGAGAAAAAAAATTTTAAGGGCAGCCAGAGAGAAAGGTTGGGTTACCCACGAAGGGAAGCCCATCAGACTAACAGCTGATCTCTCTGTAGAAATTCTACAAGCCAGAAGAGAGTGGGGACCAATATTCAACATTCTTAAAGAAAAGAATTTTCAACCCAGAATTTCATATCCAGCCAAACTAAGCTTCATAAGTGAAGGAGAAATAAAATACTTTATAGACAAGCAAATGCTGAGAGATTTTGTCACCACCAGGCCTGCACTACAAGAGCTCCTAAAGGAAGCACTAAACATAGAAACGAACGTCCGGTACAAGCCACTGCAAAAACATGACAAATTGTAAAGACCATCGATGCTAGGAAGAAACTGCATCAACTAATGAGCAAAATAACCAGCTAACATCATCATGACAGGATCAGATTCACACATAACAATATTAACCTTAAATGTAAATGGGCTAAATGCTCCAATTAAAAGACACAGACTGGCAAATTGGATAAAGAGTCAAGACCCATCAGTGTGCTGTATTCAGGAAACCCATCTCACATGCAGAGACACACATAGGCTCAAAATAAAGGGATGGAGGAAGATCTACCAAGCAAATGGAAAACAAAAAAAGGCAGGGGTGGTAATCCTAGTCTCTGATAAAACAGACTTTAAACCAACAAAGATCAAAAGAGACAAAGAAGGCCATTACATAATGGTAAAGGGATCAATTCAACAAGAAGAGCTAACTATCCTAAATATATATGCACCCAATACAGGAGAAACCAGATTCATAAAACAAGTCCTTAGAGACCTACAAAGAGACTTAAGATTCCCACACAATAATAATGGGAGACTTTAACATCCCACTGTCAACATTAGACAGATCAACGAGACAGAAAGTTAACAAGGATATCCAGGAATTGAACTCAGCTCTGCACCAAGCCAACCTAATAGACATCTACAGAACTCTCCACCCCAAATCAACAGAATATACATTCTTCTCAGCAACACATTGAACTTATTCCAAAATTGACCACATAGCTGGAAGTAAAGCACTTCTCAGCAAATGTAAATGAACAGAAATTATAACAAACTGTTTCTCAGACCACGGTGCAATCAAACTAGAACTCAGGATTAAGAAACTCACTGAAAACTGCTCAACTACATGGAAACTGAACAACCTGCTCCTGAATGACTACTGGGTACATAACGAAATGAAGGCAGAAATAAAGATGTTCTTTGAAACCAACAAGAACAAAGACACAATATACCAGAATCTCTGGGACACATTTAAAGCAGTCTGTAGAGGGAAATTTATAGCACTAAATCCCCACAAGAGAAAACAGGAAAGATCTAGAATTGACACCCTAACATCACAATTAAAAGAACTAGAGAAGCAAGAACAAACACATTCAAAAGCTAGCAGAAGGCAAGAAATAACTAAAACCAGAGCAGAACTGAAGGAAATAGAGACACAAAAAACCCTTCAAAAAATCAATGAATCCAGGAGCCGGTTTTTTGAAAAGATCAACAAAATTGATAGACTGCTAGCAAGACTAATAAAGAAGAAAGGAGAGAAGAATCAAATAGATGCAATAAAAAATGATAAAGGCGATATCACCACCGATCCCACAGAAATACAAACTACCACCAGAGAATGCTATAAACACCTCTACTCAAATAAACTAGAAAATCTAGAAGAAATGGATAAATTCCTCGACACATACACCCTCCCAAGACTAAACCAGGAAGAAGTTGAATCTCTGAATAGACCAATAACAGGCTCTGAAATTGAGGCAATAACTAATAGCTTACCGAGGAAAAAAAGTCCAGGACCAGACAGATTCACAGCCGAATTCTACCAGAGGTACAAAGAAGAGCTGGTACCATTCCTTCTGAAACTATTCCAATCAATAGAAAAAGAGGGAATCCTCCCTAACTCATTTTATGAGGCCAGCATCATCCTGATACCAAAGCTGGGCAGCGACACAACAAAAAAAGAGAATTTTAGACCAACATCCCTGATGAACATCGATGCAAAAATCCTCAATAAAATACTGGCAAAACGAATCCAGCAGCATGCCCAAAACTTGTCCACCACGATCAAGTGGGCTTCATCCCCAGGATGCAAGGCTGGTTCAACACATGCAAAACAATAAACGTAATCCAGCATATAAACAGAACCAGGGACAAAAACCACATGATTATCTCAACAGATGCAGAAAAGGCCTTTGACAAAATTCAACAACCCTTCATGCTAAAAACTCTCAGTAAATTAGGTAGTGATGGGATGTATCTCAAAATAATAAGAGCTATTTATGACAAACCCACAGCCAATATCATACTGAATGGGCAAAAACTGGAAGCATTCCCTTTGAAAACTGGCACAAGACAGGGATGCCCTCTCTCACCACTCCTATTCAACATAGTGTTGGAAGTTCTGGCCAGGGCAATCAGGCAGGAGAAAGAAATAAAGGGTATTCAATTAGGAAAAGAGGAAGTCAAATTGTCCCTGTTTGCAGATGACATGATTGTATATTTAGAAAACCCCATCGTCTCAGCCCATAATCTCCTTAAGCTGATAAGCAACTTCAGCAAAGTCTCAGGATACAAAATCAACATGCAAAAATCACAAGCATTCTTATACAACAATAACAGACAAACAGAGAGCCAAATCGTGAGTGAACTCCCATTCACAATTGCTTCAAAGAGAATAAAATACCTAGGAATCCAACTTACAAGGGATGTGAAGGACCTCTTCAAGGAGAACTACACACCACTGCTCAACAAAGTAAAAGAGGATACAAAAAAAAGGAAGAACATTCCTTGGTCATGGATAGGAAGAATCAATATCGTGAAAATGGCCATACTGCCCAAGTTAATTTACAGATTCAACGCCATCCCCATCAAGCTACCAGTGACTTTCTTCACAGAATTGGAAAAAACTACTTTAAAGTTCATATGGAACCAAAAAAGAGCCCGCATTTCTAAGTCAATCCTAAGCCAAAAGAACAAAGCTGGATGCATCATGCTACCTGACTTCAAACTATACTACAAGCCTACAGTAACCAAAACAGCATGGTACTGGTACCAAAACAGAGATATAGACCAACGGAACAGAACAGAGGCCTCAGAAATAATACCACACATCTACAACTATCTGATCTTTGACAAACCTGACAAAAACAAGAAATGGGGAAACAATTCCCTATTTAACAAATGGTGCTGGGAAAACTGGCTAGCCATATGTAGAAAGCTGTAACTGGATCCCTTCCTTACACCTTATACAAAAATTAATTCAAGATGGATTAAAGACTTAAATGTTAGACCTCAAACCATAAAAACCCTAGAAGAAAACCTAGGCAATACCATTCAGGACATAGGCATGGGCAAGGACTTCATGTCTAAAACACAAAAAGCAATGGCAACAAAAGCCAAAATTGACGAATGGGATCGAATTAAACTAAAGAGCTTCTGCACAGCAAAAGAAACTGCCATCAGAGTCAACAGGCAACCTAGAGAATGGGAGAAAATTTTTGCAATCTACTCATCTGACAAAGGGCTAATATCCAGAATCTACAAAGAACTTGAACAAATTTACAAGAAAAAAACAAACAACCCCATCAAAAAGTGGGTGAAGGATATGAACAGATACTTCTCAAAAGAAGACATTTATGCAGCCAAAAGACACATTAAAAAATGCTCATCATCACTGGCCACCAGAGAAATGCAAATCAAAACCACAGTGAGATACCATCTCACACCAGTTAGAATGATGATCATTAAAAAGTCAGGAAACAACAGATGCTGGAGAGGATGTGGAGAAATAGGAACACTTTTACACTGTTGGTGGGACTGCAAACTAGTTCAACCATTGTGGAAGTCAGTGTGGCGATTCCTCAGGGATCTAGAACTAGAAATACCATTTGACCCAGCCATCCCATTACTGGGTGTATACCCAAAGGATTATAAGTCATGCTGCTATAAATACACATGCACACGTATGTTTATTGCAGCACTATTCACAATAGCAAAGACTTGGAACCAACCTAAATGTCCAACAATGATAGACTGGATTAAGAAAATGTGGCAAATATACACCATGGAATACTATGCAGCCATAAAAAATGATGAGTTCATGTCCTTTGTAGGGACATGGATGAAGCTGGAAACCATCATTCTCAGCAAACTATCGCAAGGACAAAAAACCAGACACCACATGTTCTCACTCATAGGTGGGAATTGAACAATGAGAACACTTGGACACAGGATGGGGAACATCACACACCGGGACCTGTTGTGGGGTGGGGGGATGAGGGAGGGATAGCATTAGGAGATATACCTAATGTTAAATGATGAGTTAATGGGTGCAGCACACCAACATGGCACATGTATACATATGTAACAAACCTGCACGTTGTGCACATGTACTCTAGAACTTAAAGTATAATTTTAAAAAATATTTTAAAAAAACAAAAAACAAACAAACAAAAAACACCAAATACTATATGTTCTTACTTATATGTGGGAGCTAAACACTGGGCACACATGATCATAACAGAGGAACAACAGACACTGTGGACTACTAGAGGGGAGAGGGAGATAGGGGGCATGGGTTCAAAGACTACCTATTGGGTACTATGCTCATCACCTGGGTGACAGAATCCATACCCCAAACCTCAATGTCATGCAATATCCCCACGTAACGAACCTACACATGTATGCCCTGTATCTAAAATAAAAGTTAAAATCAAAGAGAATTTATTATATTCTGTTGGTTAGCATAGGGGCCTCTGCTGAACATCCACAAGGGAGATATATATATAAAATCGCCTGTGGGAAATGAGACATTTGGATAAAAATCAGTTCTGCTCATACATATAGATAGAGATACAGATGAGCATAACTGATTTTTATCCAAATGTCACATCTCCCACAGGCTTGTTTTATATGTCAATATGAGGCTTGCCAATGGCCCAGTCAAATGGCTAGGCCATTAACTATAGCCCCTGAGTCTAGGAGGTTAGTCTTCCATATGCCCCATCCAATGGCCATAACTGCAGCAATTCCTGTCAGAGATTGGAGGCAAAGGCTAACAGGGGTGTACATAGATAATACATCAATACCAATAATACATTCAGTAGTAGGGGCCATAACAATGGAGGTTCATAAGGTCCCAAGGGACACATCGATACTTGGTCAAGGGTCCCAGTGGTTATTGTCTCAGATTCTAAACCAGAGAACATTCTCTATTTTCCCCTCATCTTAGTGCCAGAGATTGCAGGGACAACAGTCACTTATGCACCGGAATTTAGAAGGTCTAAGAGGTGCCATTTTCCTCCTCCCCACTGAAGTCTAGTCTTGGCATGGGGCCTCTGATCGCTCCTGAGGATTGAGACTTTTCAGGTTAATTTCTAATCTTGTTTATTTTCAAAAGTCAAGAGGTCTGGAGAAAAGCAAGCAGGGCTCTCAGGTCTCTTCACACAAGCCCGCAGGGAAAGGCAGAGAGACCACCCATGTCAGTTACAGGACGCACCTGTCAGGATTTGGCCACACATTTTGCAGGGGAGGGAGCTGGGTCAGGCAACAGGCCAGGAGGCAGACAGCTCCTTCTGTCTGATGATGTTACAAGGAAAGTTGGTCTAAGAGGAGCCCGGGCTCTCCTAGAAAGGGGTAGTGCCCAGAGGCTGTGGCTGCTGCTGCTGTGGCTAATGCTTGTACTGTGTTATCCTGGCAGCGACCGCTGTCAGGGCACTTTAAAGAGAGACAGTTTGTGGTAATTCATCCCATGTCATGTCACTCTCCTTTACAAACATTAGCAAGCTTACATGCAGAGGAGATCTAATTAAGTCTCTATGTTCTCTTCAGAACCACTGGGAAATCATTCATGAAGGGCTCTTTACCCTTATTTTTTCCTCTGAAATTTCAACAACTTGCTGCACTGTAGGGTGTTCATCAGTGCCAGGGACCTGCATAGAGTTACTTAGCTCATGGGAGCCCACTGACCTTCTCTCATCCCATTGGTAGAAAACCTTAAACAGTGGGGAACTAAGCCTAGTTCTGGGCTTAGTTTTTTCCAAACCCCATTTGTTATATCTCTAATCTGGCCTACTGCGTGAGCATATCCACAGAGTTAGGGGCTAAAGAGAAGGACCAAAGCTCCCTTTTTGAACCAATAAACTTATATAAACAGTCTGATAGCATCCTCTAAGAATGTGCCACAGTGTCCACTAGCACTTTTCAAGACCCACTGGCAAAACACCCCACAGAATCATCAAACTCTTGCAATCAATCCACTAACATCCCTCTCGAGTGCCTTTGGACTCCACTAGCACCTCCCAAAGTACCCCATGGGATTTTCATGTTTTATACTCCTCCAGAATGGCATTATGCTTAGTCAGCTATCCTCATGGTGCCAGTTTGTCAGAATATCTGGTGAGCTGGAGAGAGCTGAGTCATCAGGTGGCAGACTAGCAGATTCAAAACAATGAGCCCAAACAGAAGTAACAATAAAGCTTTTTATCACTTACTATGATCATGTAAGTAAGAGGCTAAAACCAGAGAAAGCACCAACTCCCCTCCTGTTTCATTTTCCCACATGAAAGAGCACCTTAGTCAAGGCTCAAGTGGATCAACACAGATGTGGGGGTTATCTCACTATTGCATGAGTCCAGAACAAAAGGCTCCTGCAGCTTTATAAACCCAGAGGCAGGAGGAGGTGAGGAGGAATGGCTAGGAGTAGAAAAGTACTGAATATTGAGTCAGAGTGGGGAAAATGTGTTCAAGGTTCCCCAGTAAGGAGACCTCCAAATGCAAGCATCTGAAAGAGGAAAGCAGATGTGCATAAGAACATGGCCAGTCAGGGGGCTCTGAGTCCTTGATTGCAACTCCCTTCTGAGGCAGGAAAGTAAAGAAAAATAAAATTAAAAAGAGAAAAACAAACTTTCTATATTAGGCTGACTCATCCCAAAGGCAGTAACAGGCAAAGCCCGGACCCAGGCGGAGTCTCAATAACATTCTCAAAGAAGCTAAGGCTCAAAAGAATGTGTTCTGGAGACTCTCCCAGCACTCCCTCAACATAAGGATAAGAAAAAGTAAAGTTCCCCCTTGAAACCCACCCCTATCTGTGTGATTGTACCTGGCTCTGCAAGTTTTATGAGTTTATAGATTCCTGTTTTCTGTAACTAGTAACTTCAAGTATTCTGTTTTTATCTGAGAAGCACAGTGAAGGTTATAAGACATGCCTGAGCAGGCCTAGGCTGCGGCCGTCTGGGCGCCATAGCAAAGGTTACGAGATAAGCCCGTGCAAGGCACTAGAGCAAAGCCTAGATAACAGCCATCTGAGCTGCACAGCAAAGGTCATATGTAATTCTGGGTTATGCACCTGTCACAATTTAATTAAGTGCCTTTGTTCCGCCTCTGTATCCTTGCTTTCATGCCACTGCACTTCGCGCCACTGTAACCTTGTTTCAAGCTAGCCCACACCTTTTTAGAAGCATGTATAAAAGTCAAGCACTGTCTTTGTTCTAGGCCCAGTTTTTGGATGTTAATCCACTGGGTCTGAGTACACTCAGTAAAATTCTTCTGTCTCACCTCATGGTCTCTCCAGTCCTCCTTCATTCCTGCAACACTTCAGAGACTGCAGTACACTGACTGTGCACCAAGTCTGGTGTGAAGAGGGGAGCTTTCCACTGTGAGACCTGTCATGTAAAAAAGCCTTTGCAATTGCCTATGGTCAGGCCTGAAAACATAAATATATACAGATTGGTTTTGGCTTGGAGTCAGACTCTTCAGTATGGTTTCCTAAGAAGTCAAACTTTTTATCTTATAGGTAATAGGAAACTAAAGATGGTTTTTAGGATGGAAAACGTCATGGGTTGCTTTGTGTCTGTTTTCTCAGATGAATGGAGCATTGGATGAAGCGGAGAAAAACAATTAGCTGAAGAGAGAACTTTGCAATAATCCAAACAAATGTAATTCTGAACCATGATTGTAGCAGAAGAATGAAGAGAAGTATTTAGGGAAACAACCCAGGGACAGATTTAATTAAAATTGTTAAACAATTGAATATGTAAGATAAAGGAGTTAAGGAATAATTAGCAATAGCAATTATTTTAGCTTAAGAGATAGGGCACTTGGTATCTTTGGTGAAGGTGGGAAATATAAGAAAAAGAAGTTGAGGGAGAAATGTATGCTGGGGTGGAGGTAAGTCTAATGATTTCTAATTATTTTGACACCCAAAATATCCTGACATAAGACCTAGAGTTCACATGAGAGTTGGAAACTATAAATTGGTCTGCAAATCAGCAGATAGATGTTCACTAGTTATGCCAATTATCCACATAACTGAGTAAAGAATAAATGTATATCATTCATTCTTAATACTTAGACAAATATGATTTATAGCATGAGTTTTATGAATAATTTTATAATTCCTCATTTTTGCTATCTTCATAACTTTAAATTGAATGACCACCTGAATATAAAAATGACTCTTGAAAAAACTATGAATCATTTTGATAGCATGTCTATAAAGTAATGAAACAGAAATAAGGAGCAGAAAGAACTGTTTAAATAATTTGCTGACATTCTAGATTATTTTTCCTGAATATATAACTTTACTTCCTAGAATTAGCCAACACTGAGCAACTAGAGATGACTTACTTGGGTGACCACATTCTGGGCTTAGGTAGCCTTCCTTAATTCCAAGGTTTTCTTTCCTTCTTTGCTCAAAATCATCAGTGTTTTCTTTTTTAACTGTTATAACATTTTAAGTCTTAAAAGTACCTATTCTAATTTGTTTAGTTTTCCTCTTTCTTTATTTTATTTTTTATTTTATTTTATTTGTTTGAGATGGAGTCTTGCTCTGTCACCCAGGCTGGAGTGCAGTGGTGTGATCTTGGCTCACTGCAAGCTCCATCTCCTGGGTTCAAGCGATTCTCCTGCCTCAGCCTCCTGAAGAGCCGGGATTACAGGCACCCACCACCACACCCAGGTAATTTTTTGTATTTTTAGTAGAGATGAGGTTTCACCATGTTAGCCAGGATGCTCTCAATCTCCTGACCTCGTGATCTGCCCACCTCGGCCTCCCAAAGTGCTGGGATTACAGGCGTGAGTCAACACGCCCAGACTATTTTTCCTCTAAGTCATCAGTTATTCAATAAACTGTGCTTGCCTCTAGTGCCAGTGTTAATCTTGTCCACCTTTGAACTTACATATACTAGCACTTACCTTGTACTTAGTGCTATGAGCTACCTGAGGGTAGGGATCCTGCCTTATTTACTTTGTATTTCCATAAGCTAGGTCAATAAACATTTGTGAATAAATGAATAGAGGAACAACATACTGAAAATGCACCACAAGTTTTAGATCTTAACTTAAAAGTTGAATTATTTTGTTAAAATAAATTTCATTATTCTCCTCTTGCATTTGGCAATTTGTTCATGCTTCTGGAGGATAAAATCCAAAAATTAGTCCTTCATTCTAAAATTAAAATGGAGAAACAAGATACAGATTATATCTGAAAAGTGGTACCAAATAAAATAATAGATGCTTTGAAATATTGCTCTACTTTTTTAAAAATGGGTACAATGAAAAATATGGCATATATATATATATATATATATATATATATATATATATATATTTTGGGGGCGGGGGGTGCTGCCCAGGCTAGAGTGCAGTGGCTGGATCTTGGCTCACTGTAACCTCCACCTCCTAGGTTCAAGTGATTCTCCTGCCTTAGCCTCATGAATAGCTGGGATTACAGAAGTGCATCACCACGCCCAGCTGATTTTTGTATTTTTAGTAGAGACGGGGTTTCACCACATTGGTCAGGCTGGTCTCAAACTCTTGACCTCGTGATCTGCCCACCTCAGCCTCCCAAAGTGCTGGGATTACAGGCATGAGCCACTGCACCCGGCCAGCCATTATATTTTTAAGAGTGAATAAAGTTGAGATAAACTAAGAAAGTAAGGCAATATGTGTTAGACTGTTGCTTCCCATTTCTAAAATGAATTTCATTCTTATATTTCAGGCATTAAAACTGTAACAAACTTAAATTGATTCTGCTTGAACAAAGCAAAATGATATAAGTAGTTTCCCTACCAAGAGATGTTTAAATTTTTCTTTTACCTTCACATTCATTAATGCTCCTAGAAAATAGATTCTCAACTTTTGAGCATATCAATGTTTAATTTACCTTAGAAACTTATGTATACATATTTAAACAGCGAGGAAAAGAGAGAGTTCATGAGATTTGGATATGTGGCATTATAGGCTTAGCTTAACCATGGAAGAGAAAATGAAACTTTTCTTCCTATAGCATTTCATGGTAGTTAACCATAAAATAAAATTGACAGGTTGCCAACACTGTGAAAATCCTATACAAACACAGGTCATGGTATTCAGCCCCCTGTTATATCTCTTGATACCAATCTTTCTGAGCATTCAATTGGTTTAAACTCTGTTTTGGAATATCAGCTTGGGTTGGCAGACACTTAGAACAGCCTGACATGGAAAGACAAAGCATCATAAGACTACTCAGAAAGCCATGAGTCACAAAGGGCTTATTATCGTGCAAAATACGTAACTATCAACTTCTCACCGGAGGCCATTACCTGATATGATTTTTGAACAATTTTCCTGGGTGGATGAAGTAAATAAAAGACTTTGGGTAATACGTTCCAGATCAAAGTTTCTCATATAATAGTACAATCACCCTATTTATCATTTGGTATGCTAGTCATCCACTTTGGATATACTATGGCCAACATTCTTAGCCTACTATGAGAAACCGATTCTAAGCTCTGCCATGATGAATGACTCAGCCTCAACTTCCCAAGCTTTCCTTTCTTGGATGAGTGTCTCAAGCACCCTTGCTGCCAAGTGGATTTCAAACAATCTATTAGGGGTTGCAGGTGAGGAAACCATTCATTTGAAAAAAGAATGAACAGTTAACCAATAATTTTACATCCTAATCTCTGTGAAAAGCAATTCTAAGAGAGAAAAAAAAAAGTTTAAAATATCATCTCTGCCTTCTAGGAGCTTATAACCTAACAGAGAAGAAGCAAGAGATTAAAAAAACAAGTACTAAACTGTATGATACACAAGCAAGAGTTAAGCAAATGTGAGACTGATAATCAGTCTATTAGACACATAATTCCCAGAGCAACAGGACTCCCTATAATTCCATTTCCTTTCCATTTTCCTATATTATGCAATATAATACGATGTTTGCTTTAGAGAACATCTGGTGGTTTCACATCCACTTATAGCTATTATTTCTTAAATCCAGAAATTTAAGTACTTTGGAGCCAAAAAGACTTATGTTTGTTTAATTCCATTCTGACAGACTATGGTTTTATAATTTAATTTTTTTCTTTATAAGTTTTAATTTATAAATTTTGCATAAGAGGTAGTTTTTATTCAACAAATCCGAAAGCAATTTTTGACTAAGTCATAGGAAAAATGTAAATGGCAAAGGTCTGCCTCAGCTACTATCTGTGGACAAGGTCTATTAGCTAATACTGAAAATTAATGACAAATATCATGTAATCTGACAAAAGACAGAATGGATTCAAATTGGTTGAAGACACATTACATTCATTCTAAAATATTGAAAAGAAAATTCAGTTTATAAAGAGAAAATGCCTATCTGAACTTATAAATCCTGTTTCTAATACTTAAAAGGAAGTGTGAATCATATTTGATTTATAAGTATGTACATATAACCATTCACAGTTATATGTTTGTAAAATAAGATAATAACACTGCTTCTAAGAACACTTCTTCAGCATGACACAAATATAATTACCTGATTACAAAAACTCGGGCCCATTACTTCAATTAAGAATTGATATTTGGCTGGGCGTGATGGTTCACGCCTGTAATCCCAGCACTTTGGGAGGCCAAAGTGGGGAGATCACCTGAGGTCAGGAGTTCAAGATCAGCCTGGCCAACATGGTGAAACCTCATCTCTATTAAAAATACAAAAAATTAGCTGGGCATGGTGGTGCACACCCTGTAATCCCAGCTACGCAGGAGGCTGAGGCAGGAATATCACTTGAACTCAGGAGGTGGAGGTTGCAGTGAGCCGAGATCATGCCACTGCACTCCAGCCTGGGCAACAGAGTGAGAGTCTGTCTCAAAAAGAAAAAAATAAAAATAAAAGAAATGATATTTAATGGAGAAATTCTGAAATGCCAAGAGATGTCCCTGGAACCGAATTGAGTATAGCTAAAAGAACAGCTCTTCATGAATAAATTCAGCTAATAATTATTTGTATTAGTGCATGAATGTGTGTTTATGTAGGTGTGCGTATGCATACATAGATATGTGTGTTTGGAAACTTTTAATTATTCTAAAATTCCAGTTATAATAATGCAACATTGGGATTTAGTTTTAAACAATGACAGATATTCAAAGCTAATGGTTCTTTTTTAAAATAGTAGGAAATTGCTCAGCATTATTACATTTACACGATAGATTCTATAATATCACAATTTCACTGACCTCATATAACAAAGATAAAAAAGGCATTTTTTAAAAGTTTAAATGTAGATACTGTTATAATTATCATTGTTGTATCGTTTGGATCCTATTATGTTGAGAGTTGTCTAGAACTCCTACAAAAAAACTTTTACTGTTTTCCAAGGGGAAGGAAGAAAGACTTCTGCAAAAATTTTAAGCATAGGAATATTTTGAGAAGATCACTAAGGTAAGGTCCTATATAATGTGGTTAGACAATCCGGTTTCAGCGGAGCCAGTGATCTGAAAGCAAAATACAACAAAATATTTCTAGAAAGTTAAAATTTCTCAAGAGTCATAGAAAAGAACGGAAATTGGTATGGACTAGAACTTTTGAGGTCAAATTCTTGTTAACCAAGAACTCATGGAGAGAGATATATATATTATATATTCCAAAACTAATATATATATATATTAGTGTTGGAAGCTCAATAACAATTGGAAGCTGTTCTGAGTACAGGAGAAGACATAGTTCTGCTTCTTGCTACTTTCAGGTCGTCTTTAAATTCTCTTAAAGAGAACTATGTATCTCAGCCAGGACAGGCATGTTAAGAGATTTCTGCAGAAACAAAAGGACCTCTAACTGATGTGCCTCGAGTAAAGATAGCCTGAGGAAATGAATTCACCCCTGGAGGGCAAGCAACTCATTCCATGACCGAGCCTTAGGACAGAGCTAAGAAATTATATATAGTTCACGCTTGCAGGAAACCAACATGGCACATGTATACATATGTAACAAAACTGCACGTTGTGCACATAAATAACCTAGAACTTAAAGTATAATGTAAAAAAAAGAAATTATACTCTAAAATCTCAAGGAATCTCTCCTCAGCCTTCAAAGGAGGAGGGGATTTGGCAACTAAGTCAAAGGAGACCTAGAATATGTTAGTTTGTCTGGGACTCTCCAGTTTTAGCCCTGATATCCATGTGTCTCAGGAAACCCTTCTGTCCCAGGATGGCTGGTTATCCTATGGGAGTAGGAGCAAGTAAGTTACATAATTTAATTTTGTTCCCCTTAAGGCCCCTCAAATACGACTGAAGAGGTTTACTTGTGGAATAACTTTGAAAGAGGATGTAAATATCCGTGTGTGTGTGTGTGTGTGTGCATACATATATATGTACACACATCACACACATATACACAAGTTTTATATATGTACATATATACATACACATATACATAGAGAGAGAGAGAGAAAGAGAGAGAGCATGGACTATGAAATGATGTGAAAAAAACAGTAATAGCTGAATAACTATTACTAGAATTATCTGTACAGAAAGAGCTGTCTTATTATGAGAAAAAAAATGCTGCAATAATTTTGTTTTAGGGATCGATAGAAGGTAAGCCTTTCCGCATTCTGTAACATAACATTTTAGGGTCTAGCAGTCAGCTTCTAGCTTTAGATGAGGGAAAAATACTACACTTTATAGAGGAAAAAGAATTGGAAGTAGAATAGAAATGGCGAGGGGAACAGCCAGCCAGCTGAAAGTTGTAAAACTATATGATTTGACCCCATTAGATACGCACTCACCTACTTTCAGTAAAGTCAACAGAATTGTATCAATGTTTGGGGCGAATTTTTTTTTTTTTTTTTTTGAGATGGAGTCTCACTCTGTCACCCAGGCTAGAGTGCAGTGGTGCGATCTGGGCTCACTGCAAGCTCTGCCTCCCGGGTTCACACCATTCTCCTGCCTCAGCCTCCTGAGTAGCTGCGACTACAGGCACCTGCCACCACGCCCGGCTAATTTTTTGTATTTTTAGTAGAGACGGGGTCTCACCGTGTTAGCCAGGATGGTCTCGATCTCCTGACCTCGTGATCTGCCCACCTCGGCCTCTCAAAGTGCTGGGATTACAGGCGTGAGCCACTGTGCCTGGCCTGGGGTGAATTTTATAACTGCAAAACTAAAGAAGGATCTGAGTGTGAAAATGAGCCAGACTTGTAGAAGTCAAGACCCAAAAGACAGAGAAGGCTAGGAAGACAACATCTAGAGATTGGAGTGTGAACTTCCTCAGGTCAGTGAATTTGGGTTGCCTCAAGCAGGTTTCTGCTCAAAATGTGATCTCCTTAAAGAGATATCTCCCAATAACTCTATAAAATACCCACCACTTATTCTACTCAATCTCTATTCTCTTAGACCATTGTTATTCTTCAATGCACTTTCCCGCATGTGATATATTATGTGATGAAATTTAAGAGTTTAAAATATAATACCCTTTTCTTATTCTCCTTCATTTAGACCAATTGAGAACTAAAACACAGGGAAGAGCCATATAATTTTATTTATTTATTTGTTTATTTATTTATTTGAGACAGAGTTTTGCTCTTGTAGCCCACACTGGAGTGCAACGGCACGATCTTGGCTCACTGCAACCTCTGTCTCCCAGGTTCAAGTGATTCTCCTGCCTCAGCCTCCCGAGTAGCTGGGATTACAGGCGCCTGCCCCCAAGCCTGGCTAATTTTTTGTATTTTTTAGTAGAGACAAAGTTTCACCATGTTGACCAGGCTGGTCTTCAACTCCTGACCTCAGGTGATCCACCTGCCTCGGCCTCCCAAACTGCTGGGATTACAGGCATGAGCAACCGCGCCTGGCCAAGACATACAATTTTTTTTAATGTCGACTTTCTTTTTGCTGATTAAGCCAGTTATGGAATGTGGCTTTAGGGCTCCTACTCAAAAATCTTACTAACAGTCGCTACTCCTATAATCTTCTCCAAATCTACATATTGGGGGGAGCAAATCTCCATTGTGGAGAGAGAGGCCCGGAGAGTTGTACCAGCTCAAGTTTATTCATGGAAATACAAGGCCAGGGGCAAGAAAGTTAGTACTTTCTGAAACATTACATATTTAATTATTTGTATGTTAACTGATGAATCCCTAGTGTCTAGAACAGGGTCTAGAATTTGTTAGGTATTCAGTAAATTCTACTTCAATTATTAACTACAAATATTTCAGTTAATTTCAACCAAGAGAAAGTGAGAACCTCAAATGACAGCAGGAATGTGTGAATTTGAGTTAAGGAAACACTCAGACACTGTGGCTGACATGAAGATGTGCCACCAGATCTTCCTTTGGGGAAAGGACTTGCCCAGCTGCAGGGAATGTTGTCAACAAATAGCCTCCAACCATTGGTTCCTTCAACTCCTGCCTAAGCTGTAGAAATATATATCATACTCTTCCTGGGCTGCCTTACATTCAATGAATGAGCAAAGTGGGAATCTAAAAACCTAGGAATTTTGAGCCAGTGCAGAACTCTATGGGCAATAATTGCTCTGGAGTATGCCATAGGATTTGCTGAGTCTTTGTCAGGCCTGCCCCATGATCTGACATTTCTCTCCGGTCAAGCCTTTTTCTTCCTTCCTTTCATGGTGTTGATGCTTGATAATCATTTTGCACACCTAACTCTGTTTCTGCATCTGTATCTGAAGATCCCAACCTGTGACATGAATGTCCAGCAGAGAATCAGGCATATGAGTATGGAGACTGAGGAGAGACATTTTAGTGCGAAGATACCAATTGGGGAACGATCACTCACAGACATGGACTGTGAAACCCTAAGAATTCATGATATCCTTCGGGGGAATAGAACTGAGGAAGAAAAGAAAAGCAGTAAGAAATAGTAATAATCGAGAAAATACCAATATTTAAAAGATGGAAGGAGAATCATAATGTAGCAGAGTGACCTGGGAAGATAGGATGGAAAAAATCCACTGTATTTGGCAACTTAAATGACATTGAGTACCCAGAGGAGAGCAGTGAGGGGAGGGAGGTAGAATTCAGTGGTTGAATTATGAACTGAGTGAATAAGAAGCAGAGATTTTAAGGTTAACCCATAAACCAAAGAACTTTGGATGAAATAAGAGATGTTTGTTATGATGGGAAGAAATAGGTAACAACAGGTGTGTAGAGAGCAGAAGAAAAATAACAACAAAAGGCAGACATGTCAGGAAGCAGAGATAGCAGCAGAGATTAAAAACAGCAACAGCAAAGCAAGTGACAGTCACTGCCAAAACAATATGTAAGAGCAGAGCAGAATACCAGCTGTGAGAATTCAGAAGAAAAAAATCACTTCTGCAGAGCAGGCACAATCAGTTACAACTTAAGAACCTCTTTAAGGAACATGCACTATTCCGTCCGAGGGAACATACCTGAGAAAGACTTAGAAATAGAAAAAAGAAATACCCAGAAACTATTGAAACCCATAATCATCAAGCTATGAAAACCTTCAATAGCCTACTTCCCCACTGGTGCAGACACTAACTCTAACAGAAAGGTGATATTTTGTGGGAAGCTCAAAGTGGAAAAGGTTGAATAGGCATTTGTTCCTTTTCTTTTTTTCCCATTTTTCATTGTATCTTCTGCCTACATAATTTGTTTTATTTGTGTTTAGTTATATTATACCCAGTTTAAAGTTTTGATGTTTGGAGACCATTTTGACTTACGATTTTAGGCTGATCAAGTCATGAGATTTAAATGTGTAAAACTTCAAAACGACCAGTTTCTTTAACTAGGTGGGAAATATTAGCCAGAGAAAGTTTTGTATACCACCAGATGTTATGGTTAATTTTAGTAGAGAATGAATAGTGGGAAGTGGGGAGGGACATACTTTAAATTCTTGAGGTGATTTGGTTTCATTAAAATTACCTCTTAAATCTATCCTTGCCTTTCTCTCACCTTTGCTACTGCCTTAGTTTCAACTTTATTATTTATTATTTGTGGGGCTTTTTTCATTTTCAACCTCAACATCATTCAGAGTGAGCTCACTACCTCAATGATCAGACTCTAAGATCCAAATTTCACGTAAAATTTGAGAGTATAACTTTGTTACTTAACGTTCTTCAGCAAATGCCCATCGCCTTTAGCATAAAATCCAAATTGCACAGTATACAAGAACTTCATGCCACATCTCTAACCCTTCAACCTCCTCTCCCATTATTTCTAATAAATATCCTCCATACTGAACCATTGCTTATCTTAAATATCATTGTAACTAAAGCTTTGCATGGCAACATGTATAGTTTCTCACTAGAGCATTAGTCCTTTCTGGCAAGAAGTCTCTCTCACCCTCTCTCTCGCTCTCTCCTCTGTTTCTGTTTCTCTCTCAACTTAGTATACATAGTGTCTTGAAACATTCATAGAACATAAATAGTTTGTATAGTAATGAGTTAGTACATGGATACGTAAATAGATGACTGTTAGCAAGGTGGTGTGCAGGGTTCCATGATATATAGAATAATAAAAAGACAAGTTCTCTTGCTCTTTAAAAGCTTACTATTTTATACTATTTTAGGGATTTGTAAGAAATAGACACAAATAATTATAAACAATGGAAAGTAATATATTGCAAAGGCCTAGGTGTAGCTAAATTGTCACAAGCATGAAGAGAAAAGAAATACTACCTACTCTTTTCTTTGAGGATAAGAGGGTAAGAAGACAAAAAATATTTGAGATAATATTTGAGTTAATCCTTGAGTGATAAATAGACTTTGGTGGTGCAGTGGTGGTTTTTTCTAGCACGCTCCTGTCCCTCCCTCCCTTCCCTTACCGGAGGGGTCTATTTGACAACAGTGAGCATTCTGATGGGTAACTGAATCAGTGAATTTGTAAACAAGAGAAGTAGCAGATAAGACAGGTTGGGTTCAGATTGTGGATTCCATGAAATGTTATGCTAAGGAATTTGCACACTTTTAGATAGGTGGTTAAAATAGCTTTATGCCTCATTCTGACAA
The DNA here is from genome assembly GCF_000001405.40 of Homo sapiens. Taxonomy (NCBI): domain Eukaryota; kingdom Metazoa; phylum Chordata; class Mammalia; order Primates; family Hominidae; genus Homo; species Homo sapiens. The sequence goes on along the minus strand of NC_000004.12, from coordinate 159,915,274 downwards.
ACATGTCAGTTTCTTTGAAGGAATAAAGGAAATGACATGCTAAAAAAAATGTACAATTTCACACTAATCGATAGCCTAACATTTTATAATAAACATTTTGTCATTTGAAATTCATCTTTCTGCATGCATCTGACAGATAGGGGCTATTTCAGGTATCTCTTTCCCCACAGACTTTGCAGGAGCCTTTCTTCAGTGAAATTTGAAGGCTGCCAGAGGGTTCTACTGCAGTAAGGTTTCTTTAACATACATTTTTATTCCAAATGCATTAACATCAAAAACACCATCCAGCTTTGTTTGGGACTTTTTAAAAATGTCTAAATGGTTGCGTTAGAAAGCACAAACATATTTGCTTTCTTTCTGCCCTAATCCCCCCATTACCTTTCCCCTGACTAGGGGAATTCAACTAGCTTCTGAAACAACACTGCCATCTCCCTGACTTAAATATAATCCTTTTCAGCATGCCAGCTACATGTCTTAGCTGAACTTGTAGTGATTAAAATTTAATGTGTATTCTGTCATTTTACTCATGTCTTCTTTCTCTTTAATCAGTCTGTTACATTTTGACGTTGAGTAGGTGAATAAGAAGCAGCTATATTAATATTTCCTAGCTCATCAAGCATTCTAAGTGGGAAGTGAATTCCAGCTTCCAAGTCTAGAAAGAAATACAAGAGGGGCTAACTTCTAGAAAGAATGGGAAAAAAGGTTTAAAAACTCATGTTCTGCTAACTCAAAAAAAGCTGGAATTTATATTTTCAGAAAACTCAAAATATATTAATAAAAAATATATTAATTAATTTATATATGCAAGAAACTGGCTAAGTACTTTAAATTAATCATCTAATTATTTAACAATCCTACTAATTCTACATGATGGATACTATTTTACAGACAAGCAATCAGGACTTAATGATTAAGTGATTTTTTTCCCCCAAGCATGACTATCCTCCATATTTGTATCTCCCTATTAATGGCGAGTCAAGTCTCCCAAAACGTATGGAAACCAATTTAGAATTTGCACGATACCTACTTTTTATCTCTCTTACCTTCCCATCCTTGACATTGAACCGAGCTGTAGAAGGCAACAAAATATATTATCTGAAAGGGGATGATTTTTCAACAGACACCATGCTGTCCACAAGGCAAAGCTACCAAAAACAATGTGTGTTGCAAACAGTGGTTTTAGTCATTACGTGGAATAAACCCTAAATAACATCAGTTTTGAAATAAGATTGGTGCTACTATATCCATCTGTTGAATTACATATGAAATCTTAAATCGCAAAATCATATATGATGTCACTTTCAAAATACAAGTAGACACAGTAAGAGGATCATTAGCAGACAAAAAGAGTTCCCATCAGCCTTTAATATAACCACAGGAGGCTGAAAGGACCTGAAAGTCTGCAGCATCTAACACACTCTGAAGCTGGAAACTGACATCTCCTCTTGCCAGCGCTCACTTTCTTCAGCTCTCTTTCCCCTACAGAGCACATTAGACAGATATGTGAGTCTCTGTACAGGAAAGAGCTAAACCAATTTCTGAAGTTTACACCATGTAATGGGTTTCTGGATTATGAACACCACTCAGTCATCAAGATTTGAGTGATAAGATGCACTAAAGTTGATCTCAAAAAGGTAGAAAGCAGAATGATAGATAACCAGAGGCTGGGAAGAATGAGTGGGTGGGAGGGGAATGAAGAGGTACAAATTTGTCCCTTAACAGGTACAAATATACAGTTAGAAAAAAGGTATAAATGCTATTGTTTGACAGCAGAGTGACTATAATTAACAGCAATGAATTGTATATTTCAAAATAGATGAGATAGTGAACTTGAATTGTTCCCAACACTTTAAATACCCTGACTTGATAATTATATATACTGTGCACATAATAAAATATCACATTATCCCATATATACATAAAATATTATGTACCAAAAAATTTAATTTTAAAAGGCCAAAAAAATAAAGACATGGTAGATAATAATGCTAAAATGAATTATTAAAATAAGGTAAATCTAATGTTGATTTCTGTTCAATGATCCAAAGAATGTTCTTTATTAAACTCAACTAGGCATGTGGATGTTAGTTATAGGATGTAGATCTAGGTTGACAGAAAGCAAAGATATCTTTGTATTTGTCAGTTACTTGTCTGGAAACAGATACCACATATCCAAGTATGAAGCTGAAAGTCCTGTAAACTAGTCCGTAATTCAATAATGCCAAGAGATTTTCCATTATAAAAGGGGATTTTAGTCTCCAATAGTATTCTGGATTTTTTTTAACTTGTACTTTTAAATGCAGAGATGTTAACAATTACAATTACACTGTTAAAAAGAAATAGGTGTAAATCAGACACAGTTTAAGAGAAAAAAAACAATTCAAGCTCTAAGCAAGCTTTCAGATCACTTTTATTTCTAATTTAAGCTCATTGTTCTTTCTTAGACATACCATCATTCACATAGATTAGCTAGCTCTCTGATGAACCTGCAGCATCACCAAGTTCAATATCACCAAGTGTTAGAAGAATTCCTTGTGTGAAGTTTATCACTCAATGAAATATTTACATATTCAATTACCCATGCGATGGGTTTAATTAAACCCTGCAGAACAACTGTCTTATTTTTTACCTTTTCAGTAACACTGATGGAAGTTATTAAAATGTATTCCTTAGAAATGTCCTATAAAGACTCTGCATATATTCAAGTTAAAGTGGTTTTAATAATGTGACTTATTGGCTGTATACACACATTTTAAAACTGTTTTCAAAACCACCAATATTAAAGTTAAGCAATTATATAGGCCTTCTTAATATAGTTCTATTCTGGATAAATTACATTTTCCCTGGTCTTAAAGAAAAATGTTTAACTAAATTAAATTCATTTATTAAAAATGAACAAAGTAAGACTATAATTTAATAACATTTCTCAATTTCTAATGCATCCATTGGGCTTATTTTCTTCTAACAGATGTTATCACTATAATAGAAAAGTGTATCACCAAATATTCTATTTTATCTTGTTTTTTTAAAAAAATCACTAAATGTACAAGGCAGTTAAAATCATAAATCTCTGATGGATATCTAAAAGCAGCTTTACAAAGGTTCTGATAAGTAACTTTATAACATCTTGTACATGGTTTGAAACATTCCTCTTTCTACTGAGAAGAAACTAAGAAAAGCAGGAGCCATAATGGATGGCTGAAGATCTGGAGATTACAAAGCTTGAATTGTTTTTGCTGACACAATTTTGAAACTCTGTACCTCAATTTCTTTTTTAGAAAGTAGAACTATGGTCATTCTAAAACTAATATTCTGTTAAAACCGAGGCAAAAACATCTATAAGTGAGTCTTTCTAAACATACTTTCATTTACTAGAGCCAAAGACCTTTTGGCAGATTTTTTTTATTGATGCCTCTATCTACGGCTTTATGATTAAATTCTTGAGGTCCCTGCCTCTGGATTATGTCATAGAGGAATTATGGGGACTCCTTGTGGTACTTTCAGTAACTTAACACATGGAAATCATTCAAGAGATATCTGGGCTACAAAGCTGTACACTCCGAGACTCTTGAGTGCGGTGTCTTTCATCACTGAATTCCAGTGCCTGCTTTCTTAATAAACGGTTCTTCTGTTGTTGTTATCATTGTTATTGTTATATAAAGTAATAACCATTAAGTACCTTTTGCGTGTCAAACACTAAAGAAGTTGTTTGTACCTTTGTTTTAATCACAGGACCTTGCCAATCCTACACTGCAAAGTAGGCATTATTATCTCCACTTCACGAATGTTGAAACCAAACTTCAAAGAGGATAAATAAGTTGCCCAAATCACACAGTGTCTAGGCAGCATAACACAAGTCACCCTTGCTCCATAGCCTGCCCTTCCAATGCATTTCATGGGATTGGCATAAATTCTACATAGTAGTGCTCTGATGTAGATCGAACAAAAAGATTTTCTTTGTCATTATTAAATACATAAAAAAGAAATAAGTCAAGTGATCACCAATAAACCCTAAAGCACACCCCTGGTGAATCAACGCCTCAACTGGTACTAGCCATAGTTAATGTCAAAATAGCATAGTACTTGAAATCATGCCCTGGTGTTCTAGCAGAACGAAAAAAATCATGGGACGAAATAATAATACACTTAAGTAAGGACAAGATCTATAGCTATGGGTTGGAGGGAAGAGTCGATAGCCTTAGTAAATTAATTACTCTTTGAAATCCAGCACTACTGCTTTTGAGCCAAAGTTGAGTACAAAATGGATTTCCGCTCATCTCCCAATCTGGTAAGAGTCACTGTCACCCTACAAAAAGCCACACACCACTCACTTCCCACATTTGTTTTCACACAGGCACCATTCAATTGATGATCTGTCAGCAACATTGAACTTATTCTGACAAGATCTGTGAGTTTTATAAGAGCAGTCAGGGATTTGTTTATTTTTCTAAGGAGACCAGCTTCAACTCTGCTGATAATGTGTTTTCTTTTGAAAATGAGCAGACACGCTTCTGGAATCATCCCAGAATCCACACCAACTGACAGCTCCAGCTTATAAGGTCCACAGCTCCCACCTTTAGCAGGTTTAACTTTATGTACATCTTAGGCAAGTAGCAAACAACTACAGAAAGGGAGGAGAGAATGGAAGACACAACGATGACTGAAAAAGGACTTCATAAAAACATGGAAAATCCTACTCATTAAATGAGGATTGGAGGCAATATTTTTTCCAGCTTTATTGAGGTTTAATTAAAACGTTAACAATTCTATATATTTAAAGTGTACACCCTAATGTTTTAATTAGACCTTGTGTAATGATTCTCACCATCAAGCTAATTAAAATATCCATCACGTCACAGAGTTACCGTGTGTGTGTTTATAAAGAGAACACTTAAGATCTACTTTCTTAGCAAATTTCAAGTATACAATACAAACTGTCCTTGGCTTACAATGGTTCAGCTTATGATTTTTAGACCCTACAATGGTGCAAAACTAATACACATTCAGTAGAAATAGTCTTTCAGCATTCAATAAATTACATGAGATATTCAACACTTATTATAAAATAGGCTTCGTGGCAGATACTTTTGCCAAATATAGACTAATATCAGTGTTCCAAGCATGTTTAAGCAGGCTGGACTAAGCTATGATGTTTGGTAGGTTAGGTGTATTAAATGCATTTTCAATTTACGATTTTTCAACTTGCAATGGGTATATTGGTCAAGGAGGGCCTGTTGTAAGTTGAGGAGCATTTGTACATTGTTATAACCATAATTATCATGCTGTACATTAGATCTCTAGAACTTATTAATCTTATAACTAAAAGTTTGTACACTTTCACCAATGTATCCAATTTTCTCAACCCTGTCCCTAGCTCCTGAGAATCACAATTCTGCTCTAAATACAACTTATTTTAGATTCCACAAATAAGTGATATGCAATATTGATCTTTCTGTTTCTGGCTTATTTCACTTAGCATAATGTCTTCTGAATTCATTCACATTTTTGCAAATGGCAGGATTTCCTTCTTTTTAAAGCTTGAATAATATTCCATTGTATACATACACCACATTTTCTTTATCCACTCATCTGCTGATGGACACATAGCTTTGCTAATGTAAGTAATGCTGCAATAAACATGGGTGTACAGATATGTCTTATATATATGCCCAAAAATGGGACGCTGAAGCATGTGGTAGTTCTATTTTCAATGTTTTGAGGAACCTCCATACCGCTTTCCGTAATGACTATACCAATTTACATTCCCACCCACAGTATACAAGGGTTCCCTTTTCTCCACATCCTCAGCAACATTTGTTATCTCGCCACTTTTTGATAATAGCCATTCTAACACGTGTGAAGTGGTATCTCATTGAGGTTTTCATTTGCCTTTATCTGATGATTAGAGATGTTGAGCACCTCTTCATATATCTATTGGCCATTTGTATATCTTCTTGGGGAAAATGTCGAATTGAGGTCTTTTGCCCATTTTTTAATTGAGTCATCTGTTTTCCTCTTTAACATATTTATTTTGAATTCTTTTTCAGGTAATTATTTTGTCCATTTCTTTGAGATCAGTTACTGATATATTTTTGTGTTCTTTTTGTAGTATCATGTTTCCTTGCTATTTCTTGTTTCTAGTGGTCTCATGTTGATGTCTGTACATTTGAAGGCGCAGTTAACTCTTTCAGCCTTTTGAGATGGACTTCAGTGGGGAGAGAATTTCAGCTGCAGGTGGATTTAAGGGTGCCAGTTGGGTGGGGTAAAATGTCTCCCATTCAGGGTAGAAGCAGCAGTATAGTCTCTGTGCAGCTCTGTTAGCTGAGGTCGATGTTGGAAAATACTGCAGAGGTCTTTGGTGGCCAAGGTTATGGGTATCTGCAGTGGCAGTGACAGCTACACTATTGAGGTCTTTGGTTGCTAAGGCTGCTGGGTGCCTCTATTCTCCTCCTCCTCTATCCAGGGAAGTTCTACCTGAGAAGATCCCTCTTGACACCTGGTCATGCACTGACATGGATGAAGTCATGGTAGCACTAAAACTGAGGCTCACAGCAGTGGTATAGGCACTCAGAGCAGCACTGGAGCCAGTTTCCTGGGCTCAGGGTCATGCAGGAACTATCACATTTCATGGAACCTGGGGCATGGGCACATTTGCTGTGGTTGTAGTACCAGTAACTGAGACATGGGCATTATGCAGATAGCCATGGGGCCAGGATCTGGATCCCTATGGCATGCTATGGTTACTCTGGCTCTGGTGAAGTGGGATGCAGCAGAAGCATGAGTCCAAAAATGATAGCAGTGACAGGCATCCTAGAGTCAGACATAGCAGCAGCGCACCCGCAGAGATGGTGTCACAGCTGCAGATGAGGCTCTGATGAGGGAGGCACAGAACAATGGCACCATGACTAATGTTCCAGGGGGTCGGTGCAGTGCAGCAAAAATACAGTCCCATTGATGGTAGGTCATAGCTGCGACTCAGGCCCCAGGGGTGAGTGCACACCACAGCAGCAGCTCTGGTCCCATACACAGTGAGGCACAGTGGTGTCTTGATATCAGAGGCTTGGGCACAGCAGCAACTCAGGCCCCTGAGAGCAAGGCTCAGCATAGCCACAGCTCCAGCCTTGGAAGGAGATGCAGCAGCAGCTCCTTTGGGGTAAGCACTGTAGTGTGGACTCCAGACAGCTCTGGCATCTGGGCTCAGCATCAACAAAGACTACAAATGTCCTCAGTAAGGAGGACTGCAAGTGTTCCCAGGGATGACAAGAATTGCTGAGGTCCTCTTGATGTCCTTTGCCTCTCAAGGGAAATGCCTTTGAGGGGTCCCTCTTGGCACCAAACTGCTACAGACTGAGGGATGGAGTGACACTGGCTTAAAAAATGCTTTCTAAGTTTTTCATGCAAGCATCTTCAGTTTTTGTGTTCCACAGAGTTTCTTCCACTTCTTCTTTGCAGTCTGAGCTATTTTTTTTTTTTTGTCAGTATGTAGTTTTTATTCTTTTTTTTGTTGTGGAGGAGATGAGTGTTGGGCCTCCTAGTTCACCATCTTGCTGACATCACTCTCCTACAGACAATATTCTATTGAAAGAAATAAGTAGAAAGGGAACTCTTTTAAGATATGACTGTGTGGCCAGGCGTGGTGGCTAACACCTGTAATCCTAGCACTTTGGGAGGCAAGGCAGGCAGATGGCTTTGAGCTCAGGAGTTTGAGACCAGTCTGGGCAACATGGAGAAACCCTGTTTCTACAAAAAAAAATTAAAGAAAAATTAGTCAGGCATGGTGGTTCATGCCTGTAGTCTCAGCTACTTGGGAGGCTGAGGCTGGAGAATCACTTGAGTCTGGAAAGCCTAGGTTGCAGTGAGCCAAGATCATGCCACTGCACTCCAGGCCCTGTCTCAACAACAACAACAACAACAACAACAAAAATATGACTGTGATTGATCTAAAGTTTTACCAAAATTTAAACCAAAAGCAGACAGATGAGAAAGTTAATATTTTCCTTTAAGAAAGCCATATAATGACCTTCTTAAAGGTGTCTGTCAGAGGAACAAAGAAGATAATTTTTTTTTTTGAGATGGAGTCTCGCTCTGTTGCCCAGGCTGGAGTGCAGTAGCACAATCTTGGCTCACTGCAACCTCCACCTCCCGGGTTCAAACAGTTCTCCTGCCTCAGCCTCCCAAGTAGATGGAACCACAGGTGTATGCCACCACACCCGGCTAATTTTTGTATTTTTAGTAGAGATGGGGTTTCACCATGTTGGCCAGGCTGGTCTCAAACTCCTGACCTCAGGCGATCCACCCGCCTCGGCCTCCCAAAGTGCTGGGATTACAGGCATGAGCCACCGCACCTGGCCAGAAAATAATATTATATTTTGGGTCAGTTAAGAGAGCCTCAGAATCTTTCTGAGCATTTTATTTTGGAAGCCACTATAAACTGACTAGTACTCAAAAGAAATCAATCACTGCCACAGTTTTCTCTCTTGCTTCTTCTGGCTTGCTCATGTCTGAAGTGCACCTACAGTCACTGTGCTCTCACTCTGCACCTCATTACAGTTTACTTCTGTGTGCACAGCAGTGAGACCTTAGCCACCAACATTTAATACCAAGTAGATAGAAGGTCAGATGTCAAACTATTGTTGTCCTGTCACATGACTTATTCATTAGTTCTGACTACAGCTGATGCAGTTTTCCACCACTCAGTCTCACAGGAGTCTCTCTCTACTGATCATTTGACAACTATGACACTTTTATACAGCCTAAGTAATAATAAAATGAATATCCAATGAAATATTGAAGGGTGTAAGAAGACATACAGCAATGTAAAATCTGAAGGTGTGTGTGCATGTGTTTCCAAAGTAGAGAGGGTGAGTACACCATTCTCAGTTAGAGCTCAGTGATGGTGGGAATTTATAAGGACAATTTCATGTATATCAATGTCTGCCATTTTCAAGCAATACTGGTAAGATCCTCTCCTTTTCCACTGACTAATGACTGATAATCCTTTAACTTCATCCTTTCCCACCCCTCACCCTGACTCATCCCACTATTAGAGCTGAGTTATTTTGAGCCAGGCAGTTCTTCATTTGGTATTAGAATTTTCTCCTTTGAAAAGTGAGATATTTGAGCTACATGTTTTGGTATGTCCTGTTCAGATCAGAGATGCTACATAAAACTGGGAATGAGAAAAATATACTTTCTAATTTCAATGTGATATTTCAAAATATTTATGCACAGGCAAGACTTGACAGAGTCTAAGTTTGGTGATTAGTAAATATGTGCCTCTTGGCCAAAAACTTTAATCAAATATGCTAAGTAATGAGATCACAGACTGCTGATTGGTTCAGTCCACCTAGCCCAGATAAGGTATTTTTTAACCACAGATAATTTTTTTAATTGACAACCTCAGAAATGAAGCATGTTTTTCAGGAAGAATGGAAGGACTTAGGCTACAGCATATTAAACTATGATTTCTGTAGATCAAAAACATTTAAAATGTGTAAAGTTCATATAGATCAACCTAGCAGACATTATTGCTTCCTTTTCTAAGCAACTATTATAGGCATATATAATTATTAGTAAATATTAGTAAATCCTGGATAGAATGAAGAAAGAAATATAAGCTAATTTAAAAGAAAACATTAATATTTTAGATTGAGTTTTAAAAATTGTTTTGTTGCTTTTATATAACTGAAGTGAATCCCCTTTAAGCCCAAACTTGGACTCAAAAATTTAGCTGTTTGTGGAACTTCTGGGGCAGAGTCCTGTACTTCCTTTGGAGTTTCTAGTAGAGAAGCATGAGAGGGTTTGCATTTTAAATAAAGAAACATAGAGGAATGTTATGCAAAAGAACCAGAAGGGAGATCATAAGAATGAAAGATTTCAGACTCTACCTCTACCCTCACATAGTTTGGTTTCTAAGTCCCAATAAACTAATGAATTTGAGGTAGAGACTAAGGGATCTGCTTCCTATGGGACTTTGTGGATGCTAAAAGGAAAATAACTACGTTTTGAAACATCTGAAATAATTTTAGCCTTGGGATCAGTTCAACACCAGGGACCACTGGGAAAGAGCATCCTGGGAAAGTCATCCCCAAAAGATGGCCATGGCAGCTGCTGGGTGGGAGTGTCAGTGGTCTACCAGCAGGCAGAGTACCAGAATCAGGGATTAGTTTAGCAAAACTAATCAAAAGCCACAGACCCCATGATGACTAATAGGAGTGCTGGGATGAGGGTATACTGCAGGGAGCTACGGATCCTGGAAGAGTATGCAGGGGCCTGATTCAGGGAAATTGTGTTAAGCTGAAAAGTCATCTAAACTGCTGCTATTCTAGAAAAAAAAAATCAATAATCCTTTTAGAATTTAAAAATCTTTTAAGTCATTTTAACACACTACATATTGGTCTCAGTTCCACTTGTTATTGTTCAAACCCATCATACTTTGTCCCAACAAAGTTACACATGAATACATCCCCTAATAAAGATTTTTAGAATGCCAACTTGATTTAGAATGAAGATCAATACAGAAAACACCACCCACCTCTGGCACCTGTGTTTTGAAATAGTCCCCAGCAATTGATTTAATATCATGACTGTGGAGAGCAAGTTTATCCTGCCTCCATGTCCCATTTTGCTGGTGGCCAAAGTAAAGCACAGAGGAATTATGTGATTAGCTCAAAGTCACAAAGCCGATCAGTGTCGGGGTTGAGATGGCCTATGTTTAGCCCATAGGGCTCTAGTCTCTGCCATTCTCATCATTTACTGCATTTTCATCCCCAGGCTACCCATCCCAAGTAGCCCCACTGCCCCGCACCAAAATGGCTAAGGTCTTGGCCAACAAGCAGCCGGTGCTGCTGTAGATATTGCTCTGTGAACCCGTTCTCTTTAACACTCCAGGGAGAAAGAGGAAGTTTTCATTATTATTGATTTGCTCCTTTGCTGGGTGATGTATTGTCAAGTGAAGAGAAAGGCAGGACCAGGAGAAAGGACTCAATCATTTTAATCCCAGCTCTGCGTGTGGCTTTGGGCAAGAGCCTTCATCTTATAAAACTTCAGATGTAAAAGGAAACTCAGAATGCCCATGTTAACAGTGTCTTAAAGAAATCCACGTGTTTTGTAATATTAAATTGGAAAGAATTTATCAAGGTTATATAATTTGAATGATCAATTTGATTAGTAGTATGATGATGGTTTAAAACTATATCAGCATCACTAAATTTTAGTATTTCCATGCTAGATTTGAATACTTCAAATAATTTTAAGTTATTAAAACAACAACTCCTGTGGATTACCTAATCCTACTCCTCTTTTTCTTAAGAAATCGATCATCCTTATAAAGCCCCAAATAAAGTTATTTGCTTCAGGTTGTAAGAAACAGTTTTGCTACTAATATACCAGAAAAGAACGTAAGACCATCCTCAGAAGTAAACAAAAATTTATTATCAAAAAGAAAAAGGTTTTGGTTTGGGTATTTTCATTTTCACATATGAATCAATGTGCTTTTCAGCTTTCTAAATCAGAAGCGCTAATAAAAGATGTAAAATCATTGCTTTTATGACTGTGACAGCACTTTAACAAAACATTCCTCAATGCTTGCTGAGGTGAAAATTTTTATCTGCAAATCTCTAAACATGGTTTTAGATCCCTCTGATTATTTGCAGATATGGTTTTTGTTCATTTATTTTTTATAATTCATAAAAAATGTATAAAAACATAAAACCCCTACATTCAATTCTTACATCTGAATGGACTTCTTTAGTGCCTGTTTAGTCTGTGAAAATTTACTCCCTTAGCAGGACACCTGCAGTGAATATTCACAACTCCGAATTTTGCAAGATCAACATGAAACGAGCCTGGTGCAGTATTCTACTGCAAAACAAGCCTTGACTCCCTAACTAGGCTGACTCCAGAGCAAAGAAAAAAAGATAGCATTTTCAGTGTAGTATTGGGACAAGAAAAGAAAGACAGCTTCCTCCTACGAAAGGAGAATTCTTGAAGGATGTCTGTATCAAGAGAGTGAAAGTTACTCCTAATATTTAGTTTAGATTCTTCTTCTGCCAAGAATACAAATGACTGTCTCTTTCTAACTCCTTCGATACTAGTTTCATATTTCTTTCTTCTTTTGTGTGTATTTTTCATAAATAAGATAATAGAAGTCAAGTAAAGAGGGTGAAGAACAAGGTTTATTTTATTGTTCCTTTTTAAAAGAAAAAGTCCAATTACCCCACCCCCTCTTCCCAATGTCTATTTGTCCAATTGCAATATCCATGATTTACTCACTTCAGTGAGTAAACTTATAGCTACAGCAAATGCACTTTCCTTCTTGTGCTCTTGTGGAGCAACTGTTATCAAATGAGCACAGTGCCATCAACAAGATAGATAAGTACCTTCCATTTCCCAATTACATGTGAGTAGGCAGAAAGCAGAGGGCCAGCAGACTGGATGACAATCCTAAAGGACGATTTAGAGTCAGGTCACATTGCAGAGGGCTCTGGAGTCATTTGTAATTGGACTTGCTACCAGGTAGCCATAATGGCTTTTCATTTCCCATCAGATATTTCAGACCAGATTGCAAAAGAACTGATGCCTTTCAGTGACATATTTCTACCTGACAGAGTCTCACATAAATGCTGAACGTAGCAAGCACTCAGATGGGTTTTTATCAAATCAGTAAAACTTTTCTCTTACCCAATTTTACAACTCAAATGATTTCACCGCCCTGCCCATAACCAACCTTAGTGTATAAATAAATTTTAAAATTGTAGAACCAAACTCCTTAGAACTGGGTGTTTTTATTATGGTCTAGGCCAAATTATTTAAGGCACCAATTAGAACAAATCTACATCAAATGTAGTAAGAACAAACTAGGGAAGAAGATATATAACCATCCATCTGGTTTTATATATATGCATGTATATTCATATATGTGAATGTCTATACGTATATATTATAGTATGTACATATATAGTGTGTGTATATATAGTATATATTCATTATATATACATACAAATTTACATATCCTTCCTCACAGACATAGTCAGATCCCACTTTCTTCACAACAAAAGCAAGTAACACCAATTATAACACTTTACCATCCTACACAGTTTATGTCCTTTGCTTCATTTCCTCAATCTTTGCATTGGCAGAGATTCAATTCATAATCTTATCTTCATCTGTCATGTTAATAATACATAACCATAGGACATACTTGATCTGTTTCCTTGTTTCATGGCCATTCCCGGGACCCTATTTTCCTTCCATTGTAAAAGGCTAGTTTTTCTTCTTATCTGTTTTTCTGCTTTAAAGAGATTGCAGCTTTTCACAGAAGTTCAAGGCCCACTGAATCATCAATAGAGAACTAGGAAAAGGCTATGTATGGGGTTGTTGAAACTTCTAAATACCTAGGAATTTTGAGTTTTCAGAAGTGCCCAGGGCATAACACCACATTTTACTTTTTCAGAACAAAATGTATATGGTATTAACAACTCATATTTCAGCTTCTATTACCAGTCATGAAAATGTCTTGCATATGTGGAGTCATAAAGACTTTGCTTTTATAGGAGGGCACTTTGGCATTTATGGTTGATGATGGGTTCATGTGGACTGAGCAGCTGTATTCTTTGTAGCACTGTCTATTAGGAAGACAGCAGGCAAGGCAGATAGTCCAGATTTCATATAATCAGTACATAAGTTGGATACATCCAAAAAGCACAGGTTGGCAGTAAGGTGGCCCATCATCACGCTTAGCATTCCAGAAAGCCATTGAGAATGTGTCCTTTGTTTGAATTGGCCCTAGACAACGAACAGTTCGGGGAAAATTGAGTTGAATGTCCCTACTGCATAAGTTACACAAAATCAGAAGAGAAGCTGGTTTTCACAGGGAATTCCCAAACTACTATTACAGAGTAGCCAGAATTCATTGACTTTTATAGTAGTTTAGATAATTTGAATTATTCTAGAAAATAAGAATAATTTAGGAATACAAAGCTGTTTGTGTTTCCCATAAAGTCTTTCCAATTTTATCCAACAACTTCATGTACTCAGTCTTATCCCAGATATCAGATACATCTGCATTTCTGCTGCCACCAATTCTGGATATAAATCTGCAACTTAGAGGAAAATTTAACAAAACTGGATAAGAGCATAAATTTTGAAATAAGACATGGATTTGAATACTAACATTGTAGTTTCTTAGCTGTGTAACTTCAGTCAATTTTTTTAGCTTGCCTGTAAAGAGCATAGCAAAGTATGGGACATAATAAACAATAAATTATAGCTCTGATGATAATATTTAATGAATCTGTTTTAAATAACCTCTAGCTCAGATATGACTGCAACTCTAAGAAAATAAAAATTAGAGTAGTGAACATTTAAGATGTAGTTAAAGACTGTATAACTGTAGGGGTAAATGCATCTAATCAGGACTTCTTTGTTTCATTTTATGAGTAGGAATAACAAACTTTTTATAAAGAAAAACATCTTTTTGTTGATCATCTTCATTTTTTTCTTCTTCAACAGTGCCCTCTACTGAATGCTGAGCAAGGCCAGAAGCTAGCCTAAGCAATAATATATATCATTTCCTTTAATCTTCACAAAACACTAATCAACTAGGTATTTTTATTCATTTTACATATGATATTTAAGCTTATGAAAGTTAACTAACTTACTCAGGAATACAAAATCATTAAGAAAAAGATTTAAGCTGGCCGCAGTGGCTCACACCTGTAATCCCAGCACTGTGGGAGGCCAAGGCAGATGGATCACCTGAGGTCAGGAGTTCAAGACCAGCCTGGCCAACATGGCAAAACCCCATCTCTACTAAAAATACAAAATTTAGCTGGGTGTGGTGGCACATGCCTGTAATCCCAGCTACTTGGGAGGCTGAGGTAGGAGAATTACTTGAACCTGGAAGGCGGCGGCACAGCCTGGGCAACAGAGCAATACTCCATCTCCAAAAAAAAAAAAAAAAAAAAGGAAGAAAGAAAGAGAAAAGAAAAAGATTTAAAACCAAGTGTTAACCCAAAGACCAAAATTTTAGCGCTTTCTCTCTCTCTCTCTCTCTCTCTGTCTCTCTCTCTCTCTCTCTCTCCCTCTCTCTGTCTCTCTCTCTCCATATATATCTCCCAGGCTAAAAAAAAAAATATATATATATATATTTTATCCCATACTTTATATTAATATACTTTATCCCACAGCATGTTCATATCATGGGATAGCAGAAAGTAACTTAGTGAAGATAACTTTAGATCTTCTTTTGCTTAAAGGATGATGCCTCTACCTTTTTTCTTCATTTTAAAAGGTTTTACTATCAATAATCCATGATTTCTTCAAATAGCATTGTATGGCATACATTTATTATGAGGAAAAAGAAAAACATAAGAGCAGTATGCTTTTACCCAGCACAGTTGTCTTTTTTTTCAGTAACTGGACAACGATAACCAGCCAGCCCTCTATTCGTGAGTAACAAAGCTCTAAAACACTGGCATCTTGTGGTACCCTAAAGCTACCACAGCCTTAAGAACCAGCACCAATCTGAGAAGTCACTCATTTTTATTTTTGTTTTCTCCTCATCTGGCTAAGTGACAGTGGGAAACAGAGGGGCTGTCTAGTTTCATTACGTCAAGACTGATAAGACTGAAAACCCCACGGGCTTGTTCTTGAGTTCCAAATTAGCTTTAGTTGAGGAAGGGTAATGTAGTGGGGAAAACTGTCCCCGCCTCTTTTTGCCACTTTCCACTGCAACATCAAGCATAAGGCAAACAATTCTAATTAGGCTTTTTGTCATTTGTATACCAGTAATTCTTCTTTATAGGTAACAGAAATGCTGTGCTTTCAGAATCAGGTAGCTTTCCTTTCTTTCAGAGACAGGCAATCTGTACTATCTCATTGATTTACCCAACCAATTAATTCATTGATTTTTCCCAGCTATAAAAACAACAGCAATAAAAAAGCATGCATATTCAATTTAAAAAGATGATAGAAATTAAAAGTCAGCTATGAATAAAAATCATTAATAAAAATATGATACCTACTGAATTCTGCATTTTCTCAGTGGCTTTTCTGTCACATTTTCCAACAGAATGTTTCACGGTATGTTGTGCAAGCATAACAAAATTCATGGAAATGATATAAGAAACTTCTTGGTAAGAGATGAAACTACAGAAGAAATAAGAGCATTTTTACTTTGTGTGCATTTAGCTTCTAGTTCGACAGTTTATGATTTTCTTTTCAAATTCAGTTGACACACTACTATATCCCAGGCTAAAAAATCTGAACTACCACCACTCACGAATTGTGAAGGCCAAGGCATTTGAAATTTTTACTGGATTTATGACCTTGAAAAGCAAAAAATAGAGCTGTATGAGGAAATGAATGGAACTATAAAGCAGATTTGAATCTATCTTTGAGGAAAAAGGAATGAACCAAAAAAGTTAGAAGATTCTAGAAGTTAAACATTTATCCTGGGCAATGGTTACCAAAAGAGTTAAGGGAATGAATGTATTCGTTCAGCTCAGGCTGACCAGCTGTTATAGATTATTGCTCAAGGAAAATGGGGGTGCACTAAGAATTTCAAAAAGACTGTATTTAAATTTTAGTCTCAGCTACACAAGTAAATATTTAGACAAAGATCATGATTTACATAAAGACAAAAAAGTCTCTTATTCTAGGAAGCTGACTCATCTTAATGATCCTTAATTGCTAAATATCACATTAAGAATTCTAATTTGTTTAGGCTGAAATAACCCTAAAGGCATTATGTGTCAATGTTACAGTGCTCATTCATCTTGTGTAGGAAACTCTACATTAAATGAAACATCCAAAGCTAGATGGAATTTTAACTGTCCAATCACAGACATATTCCACGAAGTTATCATCTTAAAATTATAAGGTATGCAGAAATAACTAGCTTTCATAGAAAGGAAGTGGTACAAACCCAAACCCCGCCAATTAGGAGGCTAGTGTATCTAAGAAACAGTTCGTGCCTGACCCAAAGCAGTGCCAAAGGAATTGACAGGAAAGTCCAATAATAGAAATGCTACAGAGGGATGATTTTTGGATATTGGGGATTAATTGGACTTGTAAACAGGAGGATAAGTGTAGAATGATTCTCATAATTCCAATTTAGGTAACTGAGTAGATGGTGAAAATATTTTCTGAATTAGATTACACAAATAGATTCAGGACCAAACATAAGAATTCATTTTGGAACATGCTGTTTTTGAGCTACCTGTGTGACAGGGGGGTGTGAACATGTGGAATAAGCATCAGTATGTACAGTATGTATCAATCAAGAGCTCAGAAGGAAAGTCTGTGCTTACAGGGATTTGAAGTCACTAGCATTCAGGCAATATTTACATTATAGAATTGGATAAATTTGACTAAGAAGAATATATAAACTGAGAAGTAAACAACAAGCTAAGGATAAAACACCACCACCAACAAAAATCTGGAGAACAACATGCAAGAAATCAGCATTAAAGGAGACTAAAAATAGGCATGAGACAAAAAGAATGCAGAAAAGTAATAATGAATGGGACAGGAACATAACCAGAGACAGCAATAATTCAGAAATCAAAGAGGAAAAATTCTACAAAATAATTTAGCAGTTGTCTTAGTCTGGTAGGGCTGTGTATTAGTCCATTCTCATGATGAACTACCTGAGACTAGTTAAAGAACTCTCATAAACAATTACCTGAGACTAGGTAATTTATAAAGGAAAGAGTTTTAATTGGCTCACAGTTCCTCATGGCTGGGGAGGTCTCAGGATACTTACAGTCATGGTGGAAGGGGAAGCAAACAAGTCCTTCTTCACATGATGGCAGGAAGGAGAAGTGCTGAGCAAAGAGGGAAAAGCCCCTTATAAAAGCAACAGATCTCGTGAGAAGTCACTCACTATCACGAGAACAGCAGCATGGGGGTAACTGCCCCCATGATTCAATAACCTCCCACCAGGTCCCTTCCATGACATGTGGGGATTATGGGAACTAAAATTCAAAATGAGATTGGGTGGGGACACAAACAAACCATATCAGGCTGCCATAAGAAAATACCACAGTCTAGGTGGCTCAAACAACAGAACTTCAATTTCTCATATTTCTGAAGGCTGGAAATCCAAGGTCAATGTGTCAGCAGGTTTGGTTTCTCCTGAGGCCTTTCTCCTTGGCTTTTGGATGGCCGCTGTCTCACTGTATCCTCACATGGCCTTTTCTCTGTGTGCACACATCCCTGGTATTTCTTCCACTTTGTATAAGGACACCAGTTATGTTGCATAAAGCCCCACTCTTATGATTTCATTTAACCTTTATTACCTCTTTAAAGGGCCTATCTCCAAAAACTGTCACATTGCAGGCTTAGTACTCCAACATACAAATTTGGGGGGTGCGGGCACAGAATTCAGTTCATTATAATAGTCAAATACCTTTATTGACTATCTGTCATTTATAAAATACAATTCCTTAGCATGACGTAACTGTTCTTTACAGGTGGCCCCATTCAATGTTTCAATCCCATTTCCCATCTGTTTCCCTATATATCCCATATTTAATTCCACTAGACTACTTGCTTTGTCCTGATTATGCCTTATGCTTCTATGACTCTGTACTTTTGGGGGTCATCATTATTCTTCACATGAGAAAATCCTACTGTTCTTTGAAAACCTCTCTCAAATATCACCCTTTATTAAAAGATTCCCCTTATCCTTTCTAGCAAAAGAAATATTTCCCTCTTGCATGCGACATTAGCATTTTGTTCTATGCCACAAAGTACTTATTAAATTATGTTATAATTACCCCACTAGAACGTCAGCCCATCTAAGACAACCTATATCTTATTTATCTTTTATAAATTTGTCCCTTAGTACTGCTCTAGATCCATATTAGATGTTCATCAAATGTAATGTGAATGAATAAATAAATAGATAAAAATAATACATAAATTAATGAGCTTCTACACTTTCCTTAATGGGTTGTTTCTCTAATATGGATATTAAATAAAGCAAATATTCTTTTGAGATTTTCATGTGACATCAGTGTTCAGCTGTTCTAGAGAGTCACAATTTAACAAATACCTACACTGTAGACACAAAGCAAACAAACACCATGGCAGAGAAGGTAGAAATATTCAGAGATTATAAACAAAACAAAGCATGGTCTGAACCTTCATCTAATTTATACATTAAGGAAGAAGTAAGTCAAATTGCATGCTTGAAAACAGCACAGGTTCAAGTCCACGTGTCATACTTTTAGTTTCTCCTGCTGTTATACTAATAGTGAGGATTGAATTTGATGTATTTTAGACACAAAGGATTTGTCCATGTGGATGATATGATTGTTCTCCTTGAGTTATTCAATGTAGGTGCCCAGTAACAGTCTATTATCATCCACTTTAGTGAGAAACAACCTTTGACTCCCTACTTTAACAAAGTTATAAAAATCCAAATATTTATACAATACCCTATAATTAACAATGATATTAATTTATCTTTCCAAGAATGGACAACATTAATGTTTCCATATTGCTGAGGCAATATGGATTGCAAGACTGAAGAATAAAGGAGATATCCAAGGTAGAGATCCAAGAAGCTTGCCTCACTCAGTCTCTGAAATAGGACTTGGGAGACTCCATTTTTCTTGTTCCCAAATTACTACTTGTCAGTAAATGTTCTTGGAGATACATTAACTCTCTCCAGGCACGCGGGCACAGTTACTTTTCATACCAGCTGATTTTGAATCCAGTTCATTAGCCTTTATAATATTGCCTCCGAACAACTGAAACAAAACTAAAATCGTTAGTCCTTTTCTCCAATAACCCTCTCTGCTTTTCTGATCATTTTAATGAGGAGGATTGAGGCTCAGCCCCCGGAAAATTGTTAAAAACATACTACTAAAGGATATCAGGACTTCTCCACTGTCATTTTTAGCACAGATTTGTTCAAGCCATTCTGAACTCCAAGTAAAATGCTACGTATCAGTGTCTTGTTTACCCCAAAGCTGAGCAAATTTGTCAATAGTGATTCTCCTCATAGCTGCCAGACTAATGTTTTAAAAACATAAATCAGACCTTTCACTGTCCTGTTAAAAACACGCCCACCAGATTGAATCCAAACTCCACGTAGCCTGTAACACACTATATGCACTGATCCCTGTCTTCCTCTCCTACTAGTGCTCCTACCAATTTTTGCCCACCTTACTCTGCTCTAGGCTCACTGTAGCAGCTCCTTTAGGATGCCACACTTATTTTTATTTAGGATTTTGCATTTGCTAATCCCACTGCCTAGAATCTCTTATATTTTTAACTTTTGCAATGTTCTTTCCTTCACTTAATCCAAGTTTTTGATTAAACGTAATTTTCCTAAATTTTGGTTTGGAGTAAACACCTTGCCCAAAACACAAACACACACACACACACACACACACACACACCTGTCAATCTCTGTCATCTTTGTCTGCTTACATCTTCTTAGCATTAATCTCCAGATACAATCATAATATGTATTTCATATTGTTCATATTGTATATTTATTTATTTGTTTTTTTAAAAAATGTCTCCTTTTTATTAGCCAGGTCTGGTGGTGTGCACCTCTAGTCCCAGCTACTCAGGAGGCTGAGGCAGGGGAATCATTTGAACCCGGCGGGGCGGAGGTTGCAGTGAGTCGAGGTTGCACTACTGTACTCCAGCCTGGACAACAGAGCAAGACTCAATCTCAAAAAAAAAAAAGTCTCCTTTTTTTAGAATGTAGACTATTAGGAGTGAGAACAAAAAGTGAGAAGCCAGTATTAGGAAAACCTTGGCAAAAATTCCTCTCAGGAGACATCAAAACAATTGTCTTAACCAGAGTTTTAAAATTTAATTATGTTCTGCATCTACTTAAATGTGTAAAATTCCCACATGCTCCAGTAAGTTGGCTTTAGATAGCAAACACATGACTCTGATTGAGTGATGAACAGCAGAGTTTCGGTTGCAGGATCTTTTTATGTTCAGTTTGGATGGTTGCAAGTACGTTTTGTGGCACACCGGGGATTCTAATCAGTGTCAAGTTGGTGGTTTAAAATGCTGAATTCAACTAGATGGTTATTCAACCCTGATACCATGCTGGGGTTGTCAGATCAGCAGGAATGTGTGGAGATCATAAGCAGAATCCATCCTCTCTCAAGCGGACAAGAAATTGAATGTGACTTTCAAAACATATTGACCTCATATCTAACTATAGGGATCTTTACTGTGTTCTTAGCCCTCTGTTTTCCTCATCTATCTTCACCACCAATATGATCGTGTTTGGCCTACTTCCCAAAACTGTGATATCAAAGGCAGCTGAGGACTGCAATTTCCTTTTGCCCTCCAACCTCACCGGAACAAAAGTCAACTTCCAGGTATGTTTCAGAACAACCCCATTGCATAGCAAGTATTGCACAAATTACAGTGCCCGCAATTACCTAAGCACCCACTGTAGTAAACCAGAGAACAGAGGGCAAATTCAACCTAAAATAAGCAGAAGGCATAAAATAATTAAAAACCAGAACAGAAATCAATGGAATTGAAAACAGTATAAAAAAAAAAAAAGAGGAAAATCAACGAAATCAAAGCCTGTTTTTTGGAATGGTTAATAAAAATGGTAAGCCTCTAGGTAAACTAAACAAGGAAAAAGAGAAGACACAAATTACCAATATCATCAATGAAAGATGAAGATCCTCACTACTAACCTCATGGACATCAAAAGGCTAATAAGGGAATCCTGCAAACAACTCTATGGCCATGAGTTTGAGAACTCAGATAAAATGGATAAATTCTTTCAAATACAAACTACTAACACACATTCAGGGATAATTAACCTGAATATCTCTATATCTGTTTTTAAAATTGAATTAGAATTTTTAAATCTTATTTTAAAAATCAGTAAGTCTGGATGATATCACTAGGATTAACTCTACCAAACATCTTAGGAAGAAATAGCACCAATTTTTTACAACCTCTTCCAGAAAATAGAAGAATAAAGAAAACTTAACAACACATTTTATGAGCCCCACATTACCGTAATACGGATACCAAAACCAGATAAAGATATTACAAGAGGCCGATATCTCTCATGAACATATACAGAAAAATACTTAATAAGGTATTAGCAAATAAAATCTAGCAGTATATAAAAATGTAATATGTCATGATCAGGAATATAATGCTGATTCAATATTTATAAATAAATCAATATAACACATCCCATTATAGACTGAATAAAAGTAAACACATGATCATATCAATAATTGCAGAAAACCATTTGACAAAAATTAACCACCTACTTATAATAAAAACATTTTACAAAATTAAGAATATAAGGAAACTTCCTTCACCTAATACGTACTTGCACTAAGCAGTGGGTATCATATGGCTATCATTATACTTAATGGGGAGAGACTAAATGTTTTCCACCTTATGTTGAAAATAAGGCAAAGACATCTTCCTTTTTTTCATTCTATCCAACATTGTACTGGAAGTCCTAGCTTAGTCCAATAAGACAAGGGAAGGGAAAATAAAAGCAAACAGAATGTAAAGGAAGAAATAAAACTGTTTTTATTCAAAGATGACATGATTCTCTATGTAGATAACCCGAAAAATCAACAAAAACCTACTGAAGCAATTAGTAGATATAGCAAGGTCACTGGACATAAGGTCAATATTCAGAAGTCTATTGCTTTTCTATATATCAGAAAAGAAAAATGAGAATATTGCATTTTTAAATACCTTTTATAATAACACCAAAAGCATAGACATCCTTAGGTAGAAATCTAATTATATATATGAACTCTATACAGGAAAGTAAATACACTGATGAAAGAAATCAAAAAACATCTAATAAATGGAGAGAGGTTTTGTGTTTGGGCTGGAAAACTCAACATAGTAAAGATGTCAGTTCTTCCCAAATTGATATACAGATTTAATATAACTTCAACCAAATTACTGGCAAGCTTATTTGGAGATAGTGACAAACTGATTCTAACATTTATATGATAGAAGATCAAACACAATATTGAGAAAGTAGAAAAAACTTGGAGGACTCACACTACGCAATTTCAAGATTTACTATAATGATACAATAATCGAGAAAGCATGATATTGGTAAAAGAATGGACACATAGATCAATGAAACAGAGTAGAAAGGCCAGAAATATACCCACAGAGATAAAGTTGACTGACATTTAACAAGGGCAAAAGGACAATACAATTGAGAAAGCATAGTCTTTTCAACAAATAGTGCTAGAATAATTAGATGACAAAAGAAAGAAGGAAAGAGAAAGGAAGGAAGGAGGGAAGGAAGAAAGGAGCAAGGGAAGGGGGGAAGGAGGGAGGGAGGGAGGAAGGAAGGTAGGAGAAGGGAAGGGAAGGGAAGAAAGAAAAAGAAAGAAAAGAAACGGAAGGGAAGGGGAGGGGAGGAAGGAAAGAAAGACAAAAACTTCATGCTTTACACAAATACGACCTTAAAATGTACCATAGATTTCAATGTAAAATGCAAAATTATAAAACTTCTAGAAAATGACACCTATGGGTTGGTGATGAATTTTCAGATACTATTCAACATGAAAAGCACAATCCATGAAAGAATAATGTTATAATTTGAAATGTATTATTTTTTAAAAAATGAAGTCACAGGCTTGAAAAGATATTTACAAATCCTAATCAGATAAAGGACATGTATCCAAAATATGCAAAATAATAATAATAAAAACCTCTTGAAACTAAACATAAGGAAACAACCCAGTTTAAAAATGGGCAAAGGATCTGAACAACTCACCAAAGAAGATACACAGATGACAAATAGCACATGAAAACATCCTCTACATCATTTGCCATTAGGAAAGTGCAAATTAAATAACAATGACATTCCACTACACAACCACTGGAATGGTTGAAATCCAAAATCTGATAGTGTTAGTTCCTTTATGTGGAGCAACAGGAATTTTCATTTATTGCTAGTGGGAATGCAAAATGTCACAGCCACTTTGGAAGGCATTTGACAGTTTCTTTTAAAGCTAAACATAATTTTACCCGTTATCACACTCCAGTTTCATTTAACTGTTTTAAAAACATAAGTTCACACGAAAACATGCACTTGAATGTTTGTATCAGCTTTATTCATAATAATCAAAAACTGGAAGCAACAAAAATATATTTGAATGGGTAAACAGATTAACAAAAATTGTGGTATACACACATAATGGAATACCATTTAGTGCTACAAATGGATGAACAATTAATGCCTGAAACAACATGGATGAATTTTAAATGTATATTGCTAAGTTAAAAGACACCGGTCTGAAAGGCAACATACTATGTGATTCCATTTATATGACATTTTAGAAAAGGCAAAACCATAGAGAAGGAAAACAGATTAGTGGTTATCTAGGCTTTGGGATATGAGAAGTGTTAATTTAGTGAAGCTTAAAGTATTTTTTTCAGTAGTATAGCTATTTTCTATAATATATATAATAGTAGACACATGACACAATGCATTTGTCACAACCCAGAGAATTTTCCACCACAAGAAGTAAAACTTAATGTATGCAAACAAACAAACAAAAATCAAGGAAGTCTGTGGTCCCAGGATGGAAAATAGACTGTGACAAAAGGATCTAACTGTATTACAAACATGTAACTTCAGTGAAGAGGATGGGAGAAAAAGCTTCTGATGTAAGTCACCTTAGAAATGCAGAGACTGTAAGCCTACAGGAAAAAAAAAAACTACCTAATTCATTGGTAAGGTTGGTTCTTACAGGAGTCCAGGTTGACAACTTTGAAATGATCATAGATATGTACTGTGATTGAACAACGAAGTAAATAAGTGGCAGATTGTAGAACCAGGTTTCTCACTGTTGGAGTGGGAGTTTGCAGATAAACAAAGAGAGAAGGCTAGGAGGATCCATGTGGTAATGGATTCGAGCTGGTGACATCAGTATGAACTCATGTTTAACTTAATATAAATACAGATGGAGAGATATGGAAATATTTATAAATTTGTGTGCAGACACAGGTTAATATGTGCAAATATGTTTTCAAACTCTGTTGGTTGAGGGGGCTTTGATACAATGAGCATGCCCAACACCCAGATCTTCCTTTCTAATACAATTTTCCAATAAAAGAAACCAGGGCTCCTCGGGGAAATGGCTGATCCTAGGCCTGGGGAATGGAATATACCAGATGAGTCTGGAATATCATTTGATGCTAAAAACTAATATTATATTACATACATACACACACAGACACACAAATGATGGGGACATGTCAAAGTGGGAATGGAAGCCAAGTGAAAAGTTCCCAATGGCTAAAGCGGAAACAAATCAAGCATCAAAACAAATGACATATTATTGAATTATTACATAAAACCTAAAAGAAATACCATGAGTTTAGACTGATCTAAATAAGTGATCAAATAAATGAGTAGGAATAGACAAATGTCCAATATAGAAGAATTCCAAATAATGGATCTAGATACTGCTTCATTGTGGAGATGGAGGATAAGTCCTCAATCCTGAAGTGTGGACTGTACACAATAATTTTCTTCGAAACAGTACGATAAGGAAAGGGGGCAAAAAAGTGACTAACATGGAAAAACCTGACAAACACAACCTCAGCCAGGTGATCAAGGTTAACACCAACAGTGGTAAGTCATGTTGAAAGTATCCATCCTTGGTATAATTTAATAAAAGTGGCACTTTATCACTGTGGCCTTTCCCCCCTACAAAAAAAATGCATAATGCCAGTCTATTCATGAAAACAGAAAATGTTAGACAAACCCAAATTGATTAGAAATATCTGACCAGTACACCTCAAAATTATCAAAGTCACTGAAAATAAGGAAAGTCTAAGAAACTGCCGTAGTTTAAAACGTCCCACAAAGACATGACTACTAAATGTTAACGTGGTGTCCTGGATTGAATCTTGGGACCGTAAAAGAAAAAAAATAAATTTGAATGAAATATGATCTTAGGTTAATAATACATTAATATTGTTTCATTAATTATGACAATTATTTCACACTAACATAAGATGTTAACAATGAGAGAAACTGAGTATGAGGTATAAGAACCCTGTACTTTGAAATTTCTTAATAAATATAAAAACTTTCTAAATTAAAAGATTTTTATTAAAAAATACATTGCCCACTGGTTATACTCAGAAGTTAAGCACAAAATCAAACTCAACAGAACATATCTTCAATTTTCTGGGAACTAATCATTCTCATTTTCATTTCCAAGCTAATTATTAAACACAATAACTTAGAAAAGAGGTTTAAAGAGATTCACTTTAGAAGTCTCTGTAGTTTTAATTAGAAAACTCAAATATGCATACATTGTTATAGATTTGGTATTCTTGTTAAATTTTTGTAATAGGCCTGACCAAGAAGGAAAGGGTAGGAAGTCAAATCTCGTAATTTAATGTGAAGAAATGTCCTGATTTGAAAAGTTCTCTCAGGGATATTTTTTACACAATGTACTATGGTTCAATAATGCCCCCTAAAAGTCAAGCTTACTAGCAACCTCAGAATGTGATCTTATTTGGAAACAGTCTTTGAAGTTATAATTAGTTGAATTAAGGTGAGATCATATCAGATTAGGGTGTGCTGTAATCCAATGACTGATGTCCTTGAAGGGAAAACATATAGACACATACACACAGAAAGACAGAGACACAGAGAGAGAGAAAACACCATTTGACATTGGAGGCAGAGCTTGGGCTACAGATCAAGGAACAGCAATCTACAACCACTGAAATCGAGGAAGAAGCGAAGAGGGATCCTCCCCCTAGAGTCTTCAGAAATTAACATGGCCCTGCCAACACCTCAATTTCAGGCTTCTAGCTTCCAGAACTGTGAAAAAATACATGTCTGTTGTTTTAAGCCACTTCATCGTGATTTTTTATGGCATTTCTGGAAAACAAATACAAGCAGATTTACAGGGTGGGCTCCATACTGGGTATAAAGTGTGGTTTTGTCTTTCTCAAAGCTAATTCTACGTGTTATGTTTCTTTTTTCTCTAGCAGTACCAGGAGGCTGAGGGATACAAGAATACTAAAATGAACACTTTGATTCTTAAACCTCATACAGCTTTACATTGTTATTATCTTCTCTCCTCAGGTCTATCACAGCTTCTTATCTCTGACTAGCAAATTGTGCTATTTGGATGCAGGCACTTCCATTTAATTAAACATTTTTTTCATACGTGAATTATTTTTTTTTCTAAGCCCAAGAGCCTAATTTCAGCTTGTTAACCTCATTATATCCATGAGATCACTTTGGTGAAATTCTAAAGCTTCTCTCATTTACTTTCTTGACAAAAAGTAAAAATACATATCAGACAAGCATATTAAAGATTCTACTCTAATTAAACCTTTTATCTAAAGTTAATATAGCTGAGAATAGGAAGCTTTTTTTTTTTTCTTTTTGTAGAGTGTATTAACGGCCTTTCTTTGGTCTCAGTCTTCCTTTTATTTTTCAAATCCATAGCATGCTCTAGCTATTCCGTGGTACTATGCTGGGAAAAGGTCAAGCCTAATTTTCCAGTCCTCAGAGAAGAAGGCCTTGAGAATAGCAGTACTTTCCCTCGCAGCCATGCCTATTTCCCGTTCTAAGGAACTATAAGATATATTAAGATAAATAGGAAAGAAATGAGTTTTTAACTGTGAGAAAAAGAGGGAGCCTTTTCAGCAAGTTATTTGAGTTCATATAGTAGAAAAGTGATTTCACAGCTTTGGTGAGGCAGAATCACTGCAAAGTAAAAATCCTCTTTTTATTCAAGATGAGGAGGGGGTGGAAAACTTCAGAATAAAATAAATGTCTGCAAAGTCCAGCACAGGCTTGGATTGCCTGTGCTGCCAGAAACTATGGAAGATAAATCACAAGGTAACATTAAGATTGCTAGTAATGCAAGTCAATATTTTTACAGAAAACTAATTGTAATAACCTGCTTAGCATTTCCCTCTCAATATTTCTGAGAAAAAATAAGATTGACACTAACAAAATAAGACTTGACAAATGAAGGATACACTCAACAACTCTAAGCTCCCTAGATGACGATCCAAATCTTTTCTGAATTGCTTATATTCATGACAGTCCATAAAACAATTTCTCTTTTGTATGCTTCATGGGTCAACATTTACTTGATACTGTATTTGTATACAATAGAATTCAAATTAAGCTACAAGTGTTCAATATTAGAATACTGATACAATATGCACCAGTAAACACTAACAACTGCAGCCTATATGGACTAAGGCTAAGCATGAGAATTCATTTCTGCATATGCTTAGAATAAATAAATACAAGTAACAACAATGACCATCTACCACACTTGTATAGAAAGGTAGGAGTCATTATTTCCACCTTTGTCAATAGTCTACTCCTCACTTGTTTCTGTCTTAGTTGTGTCTCCCAGGAAATATTTTCAGAAGGAAATTTGCTTATAGGAAGTTTACCAGGTATGCTCACTCATAGGGGAAAAATAAAAACAAGCTTATGAGGCAGTGAGGCAAACAGGATTGGACAGATGGAGACACTGAGCTGTGATGCAGTTTATACATATATATATATATAATTTACTTTATTATTTTTCTGTTGTTCTTTTTTTTAACTATATTTCAAGTTCTGGGATACATGTGCAGAACGTGCAGGTTTGTTACACAGGTATACACACGTCGTGATGGTTTGCTGCACCCATCAACCCATCATCTACATTAGGTATTTCTCCTAATGCTCTCTCTCCCCTAGCCCCCCACCATCTGACAGGCCCCAGTGTGTGATGTTCCCCTCCCTGTGTCCATGTGTTCTCATTGTTCAACTCCCACTTATGAGTGAGAACATGCAGTGTTTGGTTTCCTGTTCCTGCGTTAGTTTGCTGAGAATGATGGTTTCCAGCTTCATCCATGTCCCTGCAAAGGACATGAACTCATCCTTTTTTATGGCTGTATAGTATTCCAAAGATACTCCTCGAAAAGTGATGCAGTTTCAATGGTGGCCTCAGCCAATCTGACAAGGAGCTCTGAAGCAAGCCTGTTCCTTCAAAGATGCCCCAAAATGAGGTTAAGGAAGCAGGGCATTTGTAACCCTGTATCAGCAAGTGGTTGAACATGGGCTGCTCCTGGGTACATGAATTAACTACTCTTGAAATTGCTTTTGAAAGAGAGACAAGATACCTCACATCCAACACTGGGGAATGTATTTCAACATGAGATTTGGGAAGGGACAAATATTCAAACTATATTACCTTCCAAATAAAATGCTTTCAGCCAAATCCTTGCATAAGGATATATTTCTTGGATAGACCAAACTAAGACAGTTATATCAGTTTAAATGCCCACATGCAAGTAAATTTTAGGCGATGACCAAGGGAAATGACAAAGGGGAAAACAAGCAGAAGGTGAATTTATAAATGGAGATGATCTAAAGGGAAAAATGAAAGAATGAAGATATGAAAAAATATATCAGAAGAAAAATACATTGGAAGATTAATAACTGAAATATGTTTTCTTCCATTAGGTATTTTGGTTTAGGGCCAGCATACTCCTCAAGTAACCTTTATTATGAGATTTACATAGACAGCATAGCTATTATTTGCATCATTTAAAAAATGTTTTAAATTCCATGCCAGTTGCATGCATCTGAGAAACAAGAAGACACATCTTTGTAGTAAAAATTTGTTGTTTATTTACTGCTCAGCTTCAAATATCCCACCCATAGTGCTATTCTCTCTCTTATGGAGAATCATTTGTGTATCATCTTTCAAGATGGCACCCGCTAGGAAAGCCAAAGCAACAGTCTCTCCCTGCTCTGGCACAATCATTGAACAGTCACTGAACAGGCTTATCAGATATTTTCTTTATAGTCTTTGAGTCTTGAATTATCACAGTGATATATAGAGGCTGGAGGTCATATTCATCGCAGTACATGCATTTGGATTACAATCTTTCCACGGGGTGACTTTGTGGATTCTGCAGGGTGGCCTTCCCAAACTTTCATATCTCTTGCTTATTTTCCCAATAAATGTTCAGCCATCACCCAATTCTATGACTCACTAATATCCTTTTAATAAACGTTATTTTGCTTAGGTAGGCAAATCAATGCAGCTTTATGAGTAATACGTGGCAGCAAAGGGTCCTCAGGGACACAAGGGAAATTTGGGATTGGTTACCTGACTGTGATGGAGCAATAACCCATGGAACTCCTATTAATATTTCTAAAACACATTTGGAATTCTTTAATGCTTGTCACTGCCAAGCCTTCATCTCTGCATCTTCCCAGTATATTCCCTTAAAATGCTTATTTTATTGTCCCCAATAAAATAATATACGCTTTTAAGTTATAAATGTATATGTTTTATAATTTACTATAGTTGAGTCTATATGACATTTTCATAATCTAAAATTAAATATTATTTGTGTAAACACGACCGGCAGTTCAAATGTATGTTTCATAATTGTTCATTTTCTGAACTGTCCAACGTTACACATTAAAAGAGAAAAATGTTTTTCTCACTAGTGGTTTGTTTTCATTGCATTACATAAAAAGCCTATGTATAATAGAAGAAATTGCTAAATTCATTAATAAATAACTGTGAGAAAACACTGAGAAGTTAATTTAAATTGCATATTTAAAGATCAAACTGAGGAAATGATTCTTCCATAAAAGTTTTCAAAATAATGATTTTCAAATACATTCTCATTTTTAAAAATTTTATGTTGCCTATTTTTTAACATTTAAGATATTACATTCTTTCCCTCTAAAATTAGTTAAGAAAAACATGAAGGCTAAGTCACAGAAAAACATCTGTGTTTTCCCTGTGTAAGTGTATTCAACTGTACCATGTTAATTGATCCAAGACTTCCTCCACTCTGTTTTGATTATCTGCATGACTTATTAGGAAATGGAGTGGGAAAGCAAAGATTATTTGTGTGGTTATATATATCTTAATAGTTAAGCTGTTTAGTTTCATTTCTCTGAAAGAAACACCTCTGTATTTCTTTGAAGACTTAGGATCAATTGAACTACATCCAAACATTAAGTTTTTCTTGGGTTAGAAAGGTAGCAGTAGAAACTTAAATGTATAGAATCTAACTGGGGATGGCAGGATGGGGGGTGTCTAAATCCATACAATGAAAAACTTAAAGAGAAATTTGACTGTGCTGTGATCTGAATGTTTGTGTCACCCTAAAATTCATGTATTTAAATACTAACACTCAAGGTGTTGATAATAAAAGGCGGGGCCCTGGGGAGGTGATTAGAGCATAAGAGCAGAACCCTCATGAGCGGGCTTAGTGCCCTTATAAAAGAGAGCCCTGATAAATACCTTGCTCTCTCCACCACAAGAGAACATGGAAAGAAGGTACCATTTATGAGGAATGGGAATGGGCCCTCATTAAAACTGAATCTGCCAGCACCTTGATCTTGGACTTCCTAGCCTCCAGAACTGTGAGAAATAAATGTTGGTTATTCATAAAACATCCAGTTTATGGTATTTTTGTCATAGCAGCTCTAAAAAACTAAAAATATTTGAAGCAGATCTGATTAATGTTCAAGAAAACAAAATTAGTCCATTATTTATTTCTTGAGAAATAAAAACCTTAATTCTTTTTGTATCTTGACCTCATAACAGAGAAAGAAGAGTGGGTTTTATGATTATTCATTACTTGGAACATGGTCTCTATTGACCACAATAATGATAAGCTACCAAAAGCTAAAATTGCTTTAATTTAGAGACCAGATATATTATTTTCTAAACCAAATACAGTTGACAGTTGAACAACATGGGGGTTGGGGTCGTCAGTACTTCCACGTAGTCAGAAATCTATGTATAACATTTTACTCCCTCAAAATTTAACTACTAATAGCCTGCTGTTTACTGGAAGCCTTAGCAATAACATAAACAGCTGATTACACATATTTTATGTGTTATTTGTATTATATACTCTATTTTTACAATAAAGTAAGAAAAACATATATTTACTATTCATTAAGTGGAATTGGATCATAATAAATGTCTTCATTTTTGTCATCTTCACATTGAGTAGGCTGAGGAGGATGAGAAAGAGGAGAAGTTGGTCTTGCTATCTCAGAGGCAGCAAAGGCAGAAGAAAATCCATGTGTAAGTGGACCCACACAGTTCAAACCTGTGTTGTTTAAGAGGCAGCAGTAGCTTAAAGCACTGAACTTGAAGTCTGGAAACCTGGTTTGTGTTTCAGCTCTGGCCCTACAAGCTGATATTGGGCAAAACATTTCTCATCTTAAGCTTGTTTGAACATTTATGGAGTGAATACATTAATGTCTACCATGCTTGATTTCTACAGTCATTGGTCTGAAAAAAAAAATAAAGTGATAAATTATTTATATATAAATTATATTTCAACCTTGAACAACATGAGTTTGAACGACACAGATCCACTTATACATGGACCTGTGTAGCTCTCCTGACTCTGGCACCCCTGGGACAGCAAGACCAACCCTTCCTCTCCCTCCTTTTCGGCCTACTCAATGTGAAGGTAACAAAGACCCTTATGATGATCCACATCTACTTAAAAGTAATTATTTTATCTTCTTTATCATTTTAGTAACATTTTTTCTCTAGCTTACTTTAAGAGCACAGTATATAATCCATAAAGCATACAAAATGTGTGTTAATCAACTGTTTATATTATTGATAAGGCTTCTGATCAACAGTAGGCTATACGTAGTTAATTTTTGAAAGAGTCAAAAGTTACTTGGGCAACTCCCATGTTGTTCAAGCATCAACTGTACTTTAAAAGACCTCTTTTGACAAACCAATTCAAGAATAAAATTTTAAAACTCTACTTCTCCAGAAAAAAAAAATCAAATCTTTTTAACATGGTATACAAGATTTATCAAGATCTGGATGCTCTAAACTCATTGCTCTCCACGGAAACCATTAATTCTATCAATGCTGAACTTTTTCAAGGTTATGCCTTTTTATGTGTTCTATCTAAAATGCTCCTTCGCCTTTTACCTCATTCATGGCTTATCTCAAGGGTAATTTCATATGGTAAACTTTCCCAAATTCCCCAAACTTTGCCTCTCCTCTACTGCTGCATGGCACCTTTTTCATAATCTTATGGGCACCCTGTTGGCCTATATCAAGAATCTTCAAGCAGACTGTGAGCATATTGATGGCAGGTGCCATGACTTACTCTCCGTATTTCAGACAATCAGCACAGAACTGACATACACTGGGTCTTGATATATTTTTATTTTACAAATGAATAAATAAATGTCACACTCTTCTCTAAGACTGATACCCTGAAAGATACCATCCAATTATTAGAAGAGTGACAGTGACAAGAAGCTGACAAAGTACCTTTGGTGTACAAAACACAGATATATAAAATTAGCAGTATTTTTCTCATTAAATCATTCCCTATTTTTTACTTTAAAAAATTT
This sequence comes from Homo sapiens, assembly GCF_000001405.40. Lineage (NCBI taxonomy): Eukaryota > Metazoa > Chordata > Mammalia > Primates > Hominidae > Homo > Homo sapiens. The sequence continues at coordinate 159,881,853 of NC_000004.12, read as the reverse complement.
GTTATCTATATTTTGGAATTTGATGCAATAGCAAATGATAAACCCACTGTGTAGATGTATGATCTGATGACTTTTAATAGCATGTAACAAGTTAAAACATAAACCACAACTAAACCTAGGAAACATACACTATATATTTTCTATATTGGGAAACAGTGGTAGGTAGCTGAAGCTCATTATTTTCTTTGTTATCACTATCAGGTCATAAAGGCTATTTAACCAAACCCGCTACCGAATGCCTTTTCAGCGATTTTATCTGCATTTACAATTCTTTTACTTTCTATCACCTGTTTCTCTCTCTTTTTTCATTTTTTTATCATCCATATTTCAACTCTGAGAGTGTTTCTGTGTGTTTTTATCTATCCCTATGATTCAACTATTTTACAAGCCCAGAAAAGGATGCTAATAATTGTAATCAGAAAATAAAATTTACTAAAATTTAACAAGGCACAGCCCAGTGCCCTGGAGCAATGGACTGACGTTTACAGACTGTCCTGGTTTTCTTTTATCATTCAGTAGATGCATTTCTATACAATTTGTGACAAACCCGGGTTATTGCAAGGCAACTCATAATTTGTCCAATTTTATGTACAAAAATGTTATTAAGGGCATACTTTTTATGAATGATAAGAAAGTTTTTGTCACCCATTATAGTATCGTCATTATTAGCATGGTCCCCTAAGTTAAATAGCCTTTCTAACCTTTATGTCCTTTATTGTAAAGACGGTGCTCAGCAACAAGAAATAAAAGATAAGTTGTATCTTGCTTTAATAATATAAATTAATACCATACCAGTCAAATGGGCAGATCCACAGACAGTTGTAATATGAGGTTTGGTTCAGAGGGGAGTCTGAAGGATTTTGCTGCTGTCTAGGGAGTATCTCTTAAAGAATAGTTTCAACAGCTAAAAAGTGGACAGGAACTTGAAGAAATAGATGTCTCATAATGTGAATAAAGTATTGGTGACAGTAAAAGTACCTGCTAGGCATGTGCTATCTAATACAGTACCCATTAGCCACGTATGGCTGTTTAAATCTTAATTTTAATTGAAATTAAGTAAAATTAAAAATTCAGTTCCTCAGTTACACCAGCTGCATTTCAAGAGCTCAGTGGACACATACACTTAGTGGTCACCATATTAGGCAGCACAGATGATTTCCATCATTGCAGAAAGTTCCAGTGAACTGTGTTGTGCAAAAAAGAACTCTGAAGTCATGTTACAGTAATATAACGACATATATTTTAACAATCCACAGTTAGAAAAAATCTTCCATCAAAATGAATTAAAGAGGAGGATGGCAGGTAGAACAAAGTAATAGATGGTGAACTATAAATCTTCAAATAACTAAGAGTAATAATTTTAGTATATTTCTAAGTATTTTCCTAACATTTCTTTGTAAAATGGAGGAACTACCTAATTTTATATATTAATAAAAACTCATAATATGTTACTTATTATAAATAACTTTGTTTGGAGAGAAAAATGAATAACAATATCAAGCAGACTCCAAAATACAAGAACTGGACTTTATTTTCCTTTTGTTTGGTTAAGTGATATCACAATACCTTCTTTGGTAGCTTGGGCTTCCTAAGCTTTCAAAATAATACCAGCTTATCCAGGACAAACGACCATTCTGGGATAGAATAAGTGTCATTTGTTATTCCTTTGTTATTTCTGATATGAATGAAGAACCCAAAATTGATAATTATATGAAAACTATCATTAATTATTTCTTGCATCTTAATGAAATTTTTTATTGTTTTACTTTCACTCTTTGAGAAAAGGACTCTGAAACTTTTGTTTATTTACACCAAAAAAAAATCAGAATAGCAATTCTGTTCAAGAGAAACTTCATTGGTCTTGGAAACAAAAGATGTAGTGTCTATCTCTATTTCTGAGACATACTCATTGTGTGATAAAGTCACTTCAACTCTCTATGTCTCAGTCCTTTTCATGCGTAAAATGCTGTTTTGAACTCAATGAACAACATTTAAAGGTGAGTTGGCACTTGTAATGCTATTATCCACTTCCTGACAGACATCAGCAACCAATTATAGCACCATCGACAATGGAACCAAGACACAATCTCAGCATCGCTGTCAACATCATCCTCCAAGAAGCAACATGTAATTAATTTCTATTTGCATAATCAATTTAACCTCTTCTAAAATCCCTTAAAGCTACAATAATTTTTGAATTAGCATCAAATATATTTTCTAGATAGAAGAATTATAAAGGAGGCCCTAGATTCATTCTTGAAGAAATATGTCAAAGATATTTAATTTTGTGGACCTACATAGATTTTGTCCCAATGAATTAACCTTTTATGCATTATCTGTAATGTCTACAGAGGTGTTATTTATCTAAGCCTTGAGCAATGCATGTACACAAAAAGTAACGGGTGACATAATTATTCAACAGCCTTAGTCTTTCAGAATTGGGTGGTGGTAGTCACGGAATGACTCCCACTTTTCCGTACTGCATTTGGATGTCCTCTACTGTGCTTTTATGGCCTCCTTGGATTACCTACCACATGCTTACTTTGTGGTATGTAATTGTCCTTATTTGTCTGTTTCCCAACTAGATTATAACTTCTTTAAGTTTAGGAACTGAATCTTCATTTCCAGAGTCCAGCACTGGCTGTACTTAGAAACTTACTGGGTGTTTACTGATTTAACTAATGGGGCTTCAGAGACAAAAAAACAGAGTCCCTCCTATCATCCTAGTGAGGAAAGAGGCAAAAACACATTTACATCCAACAGCATAATATACTATTAGAGCACTTTACTCAGCTCAAAAAATGTTTGTTTCCTAGGGAAAGTGGCTGCAATCTGAGCTGAATTTTGAAATTAGTATCTACCCAGGTGAAGGAGAGGATTGAGGGAGAGTTTTCAGCAGAATAATTGAAACTCCTTGCTGTGCTTGAGAAATGGAAGTGTTTTGTGAGCTGGAGATATATCTGTGAGGTAGAAGATAATTTAACATAAGTCCAAAAAGGTAAGGTCGAGGCCCACAAGTAAATGATGATGGTATGGGACATTATGACGTAAAAATATTTAAGAGAGGGATTCAAAGCTATTTCTCAGAGGTTATTCTAGTAGCATTCCAGAAGTTGTATTGGGGTTGAAGCAAAACCAGCAGTGATCTCAAAGGCAGTGACAGCCCAGGTCAAGAAATGACCAGTTCATGTATGAGAGCATCAAGATTGAAAAGAAGTGATACAGGGAGAGTTTCTTCAAAAGCAGAAACAACAGGTTTTAATCATCGATTGGTAGTGAAAAATAAGCAAATGTTGTAAAGGAGTCAAAGATTTACCTTAAAGTTTGTTTTTTCTCTATTCTCACTCCACACCCTATAGGTGAGATTTCTGGGTTTGGAATTTTTTTAACCTACCTATATCATTTAATTCCTGTCATCTTGCAACAACTCATGTATAGAAAAAAGCAGAGACCTGGCAAGAGGGTCAGGAGATCTGGCAAGATGGCAAAATAGGAACAGCTTCGGTCTGCAGCTCCCAGAGAGACCAACGCAGGTGGGTGATTTCTGCATTTCCAACTGAGGTACCCAGTTCATCTCAATGGGACTGGATAGGCAGTGGGTGCAGCCCATGGAGGGTGAGCAGAAGCAGGGTGGGGCATCGACTCACCCAGGAAGTGCAAGGAGCCAGGGGCCTCCTTCCCTCAGCCAAGGGAAGCTGTGAGGGACTGTGCTTTCCAGCCTAGGTACTACACTTTCCCCACAGTTTTTGCAATCTGCAGACCAGGAGACTCCCTTGTGTGCCTGCAACACCGGGGCACTGGGTTTCAAGCAGAAAACTGGGCGGCTGGTTTGGGCAGACTCTGAGCTAGCTGCAGGAGTTTGGTTTTTTTGTTTTGTTTTGTTTTGTTTTGTTTTTTCTTTACCACAGTGGTGCTTGGAACCCCAGCGAGACAAGACCATTCACTCCCCTGGAAATGGGGCTGAAGCCAGGGAGCCAAGTGGTCTCGCTTAGTGGGTCCCAATCCCAGGGAGCCCAGCAAGCTAAGAACCACTGGCTTGAAATTCTCTCTGCCAGCACAGCAGTCTGAAGTCAACCTGGAACAATAGAGCTTGGTTGGGGAATAGGCCTCCACCATTACTGAGGCTTGAGTAGGTGGTTTTCCCCTGACAGTGCTAAGGAGGCCAGGAAGTTCAGACTGGACTGAATGCAGCAGAGCACGGCAAAGCAGCTGCGGCCAGACTGCCTATCTAGATTCCTCCTCACTGGGCAGGGAGTCTCTGAAAGAAAGGCAGCAGCCTCAGTCAGAGGCTTATAAATAAAACTTCCATCTCCCTGGGACAGAACACCTGGGGGAAGGGACAGCTGTGGGTACAGCTTCAGCAGACTTAAACGTTCCTACCTGCCGGCTCTGAAGAGAGCAGTGGATCCTGACAAGGAGGATTCTCCCAGCACAGTGCTCAAGCTCTGCTAAAGGGACAGACTGTGTCCTCTAGTGGGTCCTTGACCCCATGACTCCTGACTAGAAGAGACCTCTCAGCAGGGGTCGAAAGAAATTTCATACAGGAGAGCTCCAGCTGGCATCAGGCTGGTGCCCTTCTGGGACGAAGCTTCCAGAGGAAGGAGCAGGCAGCAGTCTTTACTGTTCTGCAGCCTCCACTGGTGATACCCAGGCAAACACGGTCTGGAGTGAAACTCCAACAAACTGCAGCAGAACTGCAGAACAGGGGCCTGACTGTTAGAACAAACACTAACAAATAGAAAGCAATAACATCAACATTAACAAAAAAAAATCCCCTCATAAAACCCCATCCAAAGGTCATCAGCCTGAAAGATCAAAGATAGATAAATCCACAAAGGTGAGGAAAAATCAGTGAAAAAATGCTAAAGACTCTAAAAAACAGAATGCCTCTTCTCCAAATGATCGCAACCCCTCTCCAGCAAGGGCACGAAACTTGATGGAGAATGAGTTTGATGAATTGACAGAAGTAGGCTTCAGACAGTGGGTAATAACAAACTCCTCTGAGCTAAAGGAACACATTCTAACCAAATGCAAGGAAGCTAAGAACCTTGATAAAAAGTTACAGGAACTGCTAACCAGAATAACCAGTTTAGAGGGAAACATAAATGAACTGATGCAGCTGAAAAACACAGCACGAGAAGTTCATGAAGCATAGACAAGTATCAGTAGCCAAATCGATCAAGCAGAAGAAAGGATATCAGAGACTGAAGATCAGCTTAATGATATAAGGCATGAAGACAAGATCAAAGAAAAGAGAATGAAAAGGAACAAACAAAGCCTCCAAGAAATATGGGACTATGTGAAAAGACCAAACCTATGACTAACTGGTGTACCTGAAAGTGACAAAGAGAATGAAACCAAGTTGGAAAACACACTTCAGTATATTATCTAGGAGAACTTCCCCAACCTAGAAAGACAGGCCAACATTCAAATTCAGGAAATACAGAGAACACCACAAAGATACTCCTCAAGAAGAGCAACCCCAAGATACATAATCATCAGATTCCCCAAGGCTGAAAAAAAGGACAAAATGTTAAGGGCACCCAGAGAGAAAGGTAAGGATACCTACAAAGGGAAGCCTATCAGACTAGCAGTGGCTCTCTCTGCAGAAACTCTACAAGCAGAAGAGAATTGGGACCAATATTCAACATTCTTAAAGAAAAGAATTTTCAACCCAGAATTTCATATCCAGACAAACTCAGCTTCATAAGTGGAGAAGAATTAAAATCCTTTACAGACAAGCAAATACTGAGGGATTTTGTCACCACCAGGCCTGCCTTACAAGAGCTCCTGAAGGAAGCACTAAATATGGAAAGGAAAAACTGGTACCAGCCACTGCAAAAACGTGCCAAAATATAAAGACCAATGACACTGTGGAGAAACTGCATTAACTAATATGCAAAATAACCAGCTAGCATCGTGATAACAAGATCAGATTGACACATAACAATATTAACCTTAAATGTAAATGGGCTAAATGCCCCAATTAAAAGACACAGACTGGCAAATTAGATAAAGAGTCAAGACGCATTGGTGTGCTGTATTCAGGAGACCCATCTCATGTGGAAAGACACACATAGGCTCAAAATAAAGGGATGGAGGAATGTTTACCAAGCACATGGAAAGCAGGTTGCAATCCTAGTCTCTGATAAAACAGACTTTAAACCAACAGAGATCAAAAAAGACAAAGAAGGGCATTACACAATGGTAAAGGGATCAATGAACCAAGAAGACCTAACTATGGTAAATATATATGCACCCAATACAGGAGCACCCAGATTCATAAAGCAAGTTCTTAGAGACCTAAAAAGAGACTTAGACTCCCACACAATTATAGTGGGAGACTTTAACAACCCACTGTCAATATTAAACAAATATGAAAGATATGAAATTGACACTCTAAAATCACAATTAAAATAGCTAGAGAAGCAAGAGCAAACAAATTAAAAAGCTAGAAGGCAAGAAATAACTATAATCAGAGCAGAATTGAAGGAGTTAGAGACACAAAAAACCCTTCAAAATATCAATGAATCCAGGAGCTGGTTTTTTGAAAAGATGAACAAAATACATAGACCGCTAGCCAGCTAATAAAGAAGAAAAGAGAGAAGAATCAAATAGGCACAATAAAAACTACCAACAGAGAATACTATAAACACCTCTACACAAATAAACTAGAAAATCTAGAAGAAATGGATGAATTCCTGGACACATACACTCTCCCAAGACTACAACAGGAAGAATTTGAATTCCTGAACAGACCAATAACAAGTTCTGAAATTGAGGCAGTAATTAATAGTCAACGAACCAAAAAAAGCCCAGGACCAGATGGATTCACAGCCGAATTCTACCAGAGGTACAATGAGGAGCGGGTACCATTCCTTCTGAAAGTATTCCAAAAAATTAAAAAGAAAGACTCTTCCCTAACTCATTTTAGGAGGCCAGCATCATGCTGATACCAAAACATACCAGAGACACAAGAAAAATAGAAAATTTCAGGCCAATATCCCTGATGAACATCAATGCGAAAATCCTCAATAAACTACTGGCAAACCAAATCCAGCAGCACATTAAAAAGGTTATCCACCACAATCAAGTTGGCTTCATCCCTGGGATGCAAGGCTGGTTCAACATACACAAATCAATAAACGTAATTCTTCACATAAACAGAACCAATGACAAAAACCACTTGATTATCTCAATAGTTGCAGAAAAGGCCTTTGATAAAATTTAACACCTCTTCATGCTAAAAACTCTCAATAACCTAGGTATTGATGGAACATATCTCAAAATAATAAGAGGTATTTATGACAATCCCATAGCCAATATCATACTGAATGGGAAAAAGCTGGAAGCATTCCCTTTGAAAACCGGCACAAAACAAGGATGCCCTATCTCCTCAATCCTATTCAACATAGTATTGGAAATTCTGACCAGGGCAATCAGGCAAGAGAAAGAAATAAAGGGTATTCAAATAGGAAGAGAGGAAGTCAAATTGTCTCTGTTTGCAGATGACATGATTGTATATTTAGAAAACTGCATCATCTCAGCCCCAAAACTCATTAAGCTGATAAGCAACTTCAGCAAAGTCTCAGGATACAAAATCAATGTGCAAAATTCACAAGCATTCTTATACACAAATAATGGACAAACAGAGCACCAAGTCTTGAGTGAACTCCTATTCACAACTGCTAAAAAGAGAATAACATACATAGGAATACAACTAACAAGGGACGTGAAGGACCTCTTCAAGGAGAACTACAAACCACTGCTCAAGGAAATAAGGAAGGACACAAACAAAAGGAAAAAAATTCCATGCTCATGGATAGGACAAATCAATATTGTAAAAATGCCCATACTGCCCAAACTAATTTATAGATTCAATGCTACTCCCATTAAACTACCATTGACTTTCTTCACACAATTAGAAAATACTATTTTAAACTTCATATAGAACCAAAAAAGAGCCTGTATAGCCAAGATAATCCAAAGCAAAAAGAACAAAGCTGAAGGCATCATGCTGACTGACTTCAAACTATAATACAAGGCTACAGTAACCAAAACAGCATGGTACTTGTACCAAAACAGACATATAGACCAATGAAACAGAACAGAGGACTCAGCAATAACACCACACATCTACACCCATCTGATCTTTGAAAAACTTGGACAAAAGCAATCGGGAATGGATTTCCTATTTAATAAATGGTGCTGAGAAAACTAGCTAGCCATATGCAGAAAACAGAAACTGGGCCCCTTCCTTATACCTTATACAAAAAATAATTCAAGATGGATTAAAGACTTAAACGTAAAATCTAAAACCATAAAAACGCTAGAAGAAAACCTAGGCAATACCATTCAAGACATAGGCGTGGGCAAAGTCTTTATGACTAAAACACCAAAAGCAATGGCAACAAAAGCCAAAACTGACAAATGGGATCTAATTAAACTAAAGAGCTTCTGGGCAGCAAAAGAAACTATCATCAGGATGAACAAGCAACCTACAGAATGGGAGAAAACTTTTGCAATGTATCCTTCTGACAAAGGTCTAATATCCAGAGTCTACAAAGAACTTAAACAAATTTACAAGAAAAAAACAACCCCATCAAAAAGTGGGTGAAGGATATGAACAGACACTTCTCAAAAGAAGACATTTATGTGGTCAACGAATGTATGAAAAAAAGCTCATCATCACTGGTCATTAGAGAAATGCATATCAAAACCATAATGAGATATCATCTCACGCCAGTTAGAATGGCAATCATTAAAAAGTCAGGAAACAATAGATGCTGGCAAGACTGTAGAGAAATAGGAACACTTTTACACTGTTGGTGGGAGTGTAAATTAGTTCAAACATTGTGGAAGACAGTGTGCCGATTCCTCAAGGATCTAGAACCAGAAATACCATTTGACCCAGCAATCCCATTACCGGGTATGTACCCAAAGGATTATAAATCATTCTACTATAAAGACACATGCACACATATGTTTACTGCAGCACTGTTCACAACAGCAAAGACTTGGAACCAACCCAAATGCTCATCAATGATAAACTGGATAAAGAAAATGTGGTACATATACACCATGGAATACTATGCAGCCATAAAAAAAATGAGTTAATGTCTTTTGCAGGGACATGGATGAAGCTGGAAACCATCATTCTCAGCAAACTAAGACAGGAACAGAAAACCAAACACCGCATGTTCTCACTCATAAGTCAGAGTTGAACAATGAGAACACAGGGAGGGGAATGTCACACACCAGGGCCTGTCGGGGGGTTGAGGGCAAGGGGAGGGAGAGCATTTGGACAAATATCTAATGCGTGCAGGGCTTAAAACCTAGATGACGGGTTGACAGGTGCAGCAAACCACCATGGCACATGTATACCTATGCAACAAACCTGCACATTCTGCATCTGTTTCCCAGAACTTAAAATTAAAAAAAAAAAAAAAGAAAAAGTCAGCTCTCATTTATTTCATTAACTCATTAGTAACTATTATTACAAGCTTAGCTCAGTAAATTTTTTTAATTTCTTTTTTTTTTTTTTTTTTTTTTGAGACAGAGTCTTGCTCTGCTGCCAAGGCTGGAATGTAGTGGTACAATCACAGCTCACTGCAGTGTCAACTTCCCTGGTTCAAGTGATCCTCCTGCCTCAGCCTCATGAGAAGCTGGGACTAGATGTACATGTCACCACATCCAGCTAATTTTTAAAAATTTTTTTGTAGGCCGGGCGCAGTGGCTCACGCCTGTAATCCCAGCACTTTGGGAGGCCGAGGCAGACGGATCACGAGGTCAGGAGATCGAGACTATCCTGGCTAACACGATGAAACCCCATCTCTACTAAAAATACAAAAAAATAGCCAGGTGTGGTGGCAGACGCCTGTAGTACCAGCTACTCGGGAGGCTGAGGCAGGAGAATGGTGTGAGCCCAGGAGGCAGAGCTTCCAGTGAGCCAAGATGGCGTCACTGCACTCCAGCCTGGGCTACAGAGCAAGACTCCATCTCAAACATAAAAAAAAAAAAATTTTGTAGAGACAGGTCTTGTTATATTGCCCAGGCTGGTCTCACACTCCTGGGCTCAAGCAATTCCCCCACCTTGGCCTTCCAAAGTGCTGGGATTACAGACATGAGCCACAGCACCCAGCAAGCTCAGTAATTTTTAAAAGAGATTTAGAGATGCACATAAATAAGAATAACAACTGCACTTTTTCTACTGGGAAAATTGTTTTCTTGATTATAAACCAATTATCATTGAGGCAAAATTCATTATTTAGTCACAAGATTAATGTATAGTATCATCTGTTGAATTATTGAAAAAGTATGTGTTTGGAGGGGTCCCTCAGAAAAATCTATCCATGTAATGGATTTACAAGTCAATTTATCAAAAAATATCAATAAGTTTAGAAAATTATTTGAACTCCATGATTCTGTAGTTTGCTAATTGGTATTAGGATGAACAAACTATGAATCAAGCCAAATATACGTGCCCTCCCCCACTTTCAGGCCTTGGTTGACCACACTTCCTAGGAATCCAGTGATCTTCCACTATGACCACATTACTTAACTGCACAGAAACTCCTCACCTCCTGCTCTCCATACCCTCTCCTAGATAATTAAGAAGCAGAAAATATGGATCAGAATCTCAGATCTGCTTTAATTAATTGTATGGCTTTTTCAAATTGCTTAACATTTTTAAATCTCTTCTTATTTTAAGACAGAGATAATTATATCTGTATCCCTTATAGTTGTTTTATGATCTTTAAATACAATTAAACATACTTAATAGCTTGCATATTGCCAGACATATAGTAACTTTTCAATATAATAGCTATTAGTATAATCGTTATTATCCCCATTCCATTAGGATACTGACCTCTGGCAACTGAGAGGCCCTATAACCTGAAAATGAATTCACAATGACAGGTTAAGTGTTAATATTATAAACTTGATTGGTCTTGAGAGTTAACTACCACATTAAGATTTGCAACTGAATAGCTCCCTTCTGTAGTCCATACTTAACCTAGTGTTTCTTATATTTGTGTCCTCAATTTTCATAGGTATTATAAATCCAAAAAGTAAGGTTCTATAACCATACAAATTTGGGAAATAATAGGTTAAATACAATTGAAAAGGAATTTTTACTGTAGTAATTCTCCCAATTCTTAAATATGTTTATATACATTGTGAGTATCCAAGAAGGAATCTTAAGAAACCAATTGGATGATTTGAGCGATTTCCAGATCCTGGGTTCTCTGATACATCCTAGGGAAACGCTAATACCCCAAGAAGCATAAATGGTAAGAATGTGATGCAGGGTCTGGTCCTTCTGTTAGATGTCTTTGCATACTTCTAGGTCATTCCCAAAATTAGTTATCCAATTTATAGGTTGCAAGACACAAATATCCACATCAATGTTTTCTAACATATCAAGTCAAATTATTGATCATAAAATTAATAATTCCCAAAGAGCACTAAACAGGCTGCATTCCTTTGTTTTTCATTGCAAATTACTTAAATTTGGAACATCTTTTAAAAATGTTTATACCTGTTTTTCTCTCTCTTCATTTCTTCACAAAACACCCCACTCTGTGCCTGATGTAAGATGCTAATTCTCATATTATCTCCTCTGCAATAAGCTTCTAATTATATCCAGATAATCAAGACCAATGCCTGTGCACGCTTTCTCTAACTTTCTCTAAAAGGACTGCATATAAAGAATTCAAATAACTGAAATGCTTGCATTAGAATTTATATGTTTTTGCCTTAAATACTTTTCCAAAATAAAAGTGGTAGCCAGTAGCAACCTCAGTGACAATTAATGTACATGATGCTCTCCAGCCGAGTACAAAAATATGAATACTTAACAATGAACAAAAATGGTAGAAGTGTGGGTGGATTTACAATTATGAACAATCACCGCACTGTTTGTTGCTCTGCAATCTGGGAGCTTTGCAGCCAGGGATAATCATGTGATCATAAAGAGCAGCCCCCAAAAAGCCTGGGCACAGGTGAAAGAAACTCTTTATATGATGTATAAGAATGAAACTGAAGCAACCAAAATGACAAAAAAAAAAAAAAAAAAAAAAAAAAGGAGAGAAGGAGGTTGTTATGCAATTAAGGTAGTTCTTTATTATTTCAAAATAAATGTGTTATCCATTACTAATGAGGTCAATTTAAAATAATGCTTAAATTAAGTATTTCTTAGTAACAGTGTTAATAATAAATATAAATTTGCTTTTTTATGTTATCTGTCACTTTGAGAGGTGACAGCGTGCTGGCAGTCCTCACAGCCCTCACTCGCTCTCGGCACCTCCTCTGCCTGGGCTCCCACTTTGGTGGCACTTAGAGGAGCCCTTCAGCCCACCGCTGCACTGTGGGAGCCCCTTTGTGGGCTGGCCAAGGCCGGAGCCCACTCCCTCAGCTTGCAGGGAGGTGTGGAGGGAGAGGCGCGAGCAGGAACTGGGGCTGCGTGCGGCGCTTGCGGGCCAGCTGGAGTTCTGGGTGGGCGTGGGCTTGGCGGGCCCTGCCCTCGGGAGCAGCCGGCTGGCCCTGCCGGCCCCGGGCAATGAGGGGCTTAGCACCTGGGCCAGCAGCTGCGGAGGGTGTACTGGGTCCCCCAGCAGTGCCAGCCCACGGGCGCTGCGCTCGATTTCTCACGAGGCCTTAGCTGCCTTCCCGTGGGGCAGGGCTCCGGGACCTGCAGCCCGCCATGCCTGAGCTTCCCACCCTCTCCGTGGGCCCCTGTGCAGCCCGAGCCTCCTTGACGAGCGCCACCCCCTGCTCCACGGAGCCCAGTCCCATCGACCACCCAAGGGCTGAGGAGTGCAGGTGCACGGTGCCGGACTGGCAGGCAGCTCCACCTGCAGCCCCGGTGCGGGATCCACTGGGTGAAGCCAGCTGGGCTCCTGAGTCTGGTGGGGCCTTGGAGAACCTTTATGTCTAGCTCAGGGATTGTAAATATACCAATCGGCACTCTCTCTCTAGCTCAAGATTTGTAAACAAACCAATCAGCACCCTGTGTCTAGCTCAGGGTTTGTGAGTGCACCAATCCATGCTCTGTATCTAGCTACTCTGGTGGGGCCTTGGAGAACCTTTGTGTCTATACTTTGTATCTAACTAATGTGGTGGGGACCTGGAGAACCTTTGTGTCTAGCTCAGGGATTGTAAACGCACCAATCAGCGCCCTGTCAAAACAGACCACTCGGCTCTACCAATCAGCAGGACTGGGGTGGGGCCGGATAAGAGAATAAAAGCAGCTGCCCGAGCCAGCAGTGGCAACCCGCTCGGGTCCCCTTCGACACTGTGGAAGCTTTGTTCTTTCGCTCTTTGCAATAAATCCTGCTACTGCTCACTCTTTGGGTCCATGCTGCTTTTATGAGCTGTAACACTCACCGCGAAGGTCTGCAGCTTCACTCCTGAAGCCAGTGAGACCACGAGCCCACTGGGAGGCATAAACAACTCCAGACGCGCTGCCTTAAGAGCTGTAACACTCACCGTGAAGGTCTGCAGCTTCACTCCTGAGCCAGCGAGACCGCGAACCCACCAGAAGGAAGAAACTCCCAACACATCCGAACATCAGAAGGAACAAACTCCAGACGCCCTACCTTAAGAGCTGTAACACTCACCGCGAGGGTCCGCGGCTTCATTCTTGAAGTCAGTGAGGCCAAGAACGCACCAATTCCGGACACAACTTGGGAGTGTGCGTAGTTTGTATGGAAATATAAATAATTTTCTTAAATAAGAATTAACCTATGTGGCAAAAGGTAATATTTTGGAGTATAAGCATTTACATTCATTGTGTAATTTATAGAAAGAAATACTTCTATAACTTTATAGACTGTAGCATAGACAGGATAGTGCCTTCCCAAGGTCACAAACAAGTGCCAAAGCCAGGATTCACACCCAGGCTCTGCGGTTTCAGCACAGAGGCTCTTAATGGGCTAAACCATTATGCCATAGTCCTCTCCTGTGGGAATGATGAACAAATAGATTTCACAATCTGCTACATGTGCCTAGAGTCATTCTATAATCAGGCTTGACTTCCATGTAGGAGTTCATAGACATATTCCTGGAAGACTAATTTCCATATTTCCTAAATGGGACTGTATATATATGGAAATGTACTGTAACAGCTTTTCTTGGTAATAGCTGCCCTGCCTTGCCTTTGACCATGAATCTCTTATAATCAATCCACTTCTGGTACACAGTGGATTTGACTAGAAACTCTGAGACATGTTGTTTGGTGACACAACAGTGTGGAGGTGGCCTGACCCGGTTTCCAGAATTGTCAAAATCTTTAAGGAAACTTTATCTTCACTTAACATATCTGTTAGATACTATTTTTTAAAACAGAATATGCAGTTGAGAAATAGATCACTCTGCTTTACACATTTTATATGAAGGACTTCACAATTAGAGCACCTCCTTCCCGATTTTAGAATCCATATCAAATAATATTAGGGATTGAAATTACATTATGAAACATCTAGCAAAGCCCTTTCATTTTATAGATAAGAGACAAGGTCAAGAAGGGATCAGTCTCCTCAAACAGCCTTCTTCATTGAAATTACCACTTTGTTTATGTCCTCATTCAAAATGATTTTTGAACAATTGAATGGCCTTTATTTGCATCTACAAGGACTTATGATAGTATACATGAGACCTAAAGAATTCTTCTTAATCAACAAAAAAAGGCTTCAATAAGATTTCTTATGCAAATCATGAGAAAATGCTTTTATTTCTCTGTCTAGTATCAGATACTCTTCCCTTTGTTAATGATAGGCAGATGTTTATTCCCTTAACTTGGTTTCCTTTGGCATATCTTTGAATGCAAAGTTAGGTTTATCTTAGTGTACTCTTTCACCATTTTATAAATGTGTTTCTGAGTCACCAGATAAGTTACCCTTGTTGTATCTCCTTATCCTGAAATGTGAAATCCAATTCGTAAAGGAAACCATCAGGAGCAATATTCATGCCAGGAATTTATTCCACAACCTACAAGTCTGTCACACAAATTTTTGCTATTGAAATCTATAAGCATGATTTCCAAATCTACTTTCATTTTCAAAGACTGATAATGAAATAGTATACAGTAGTTTGAGGAAAATAAATTTTAAAAGGATGTGCTAAGAATCAAAAATCCAAGACATTATTCTTACTCTTACGTGATTCTCATCAAGTCATTTTATTTTTTAAGCTCGTACTATTTATTGATAGCCTTGCGCTAATAATACCTGTCCTGCTCACCTCACATGGTTGATTTGAGATTAAATGTGATAATGAATGTGAGACTGCTTTGTTAGCTATTAGTCACTACCGATTAAGTTGTTCACTTTCTCATGCATTCATTTATCTAGCAGTTTCGAGCTTCTATCCTATGTCAGGTTCTCTGCCAAACACTAAGTATAAAAAATTGGTCCAAAATTTTTATACTTATTACCACGCCAGTGTAGACCTTAATGTCTAATAGAGGAGATAGGCATTAACCAAAAACACAGAAATAAGTATATAATCAAATTGTGATCAGTTGAAGGGAAAGACCAGGGTACTATGAAAAATAATAAGAGTGGAGACCTGCCTTAGATCCAGGAAATGTCAGTACCATATAAAGAAAGATGAGCAGGAAATAGACAAGGAGCTGGGGATGAAAAGCACTCCAGGCTTAGGACACAATATATATAAATGCCAAAAAAAGGAATAATTTTCAGTTTTCCAGTAATAAATAGCAGATAGAAGAGAATGGTGTAAAATAGTGTCAGAGAGACAGGAAGGGGCCAAATCACCCAGAAAATTTTATTCTTGTGAAGAATTTTGGTTTTTATTCTATGTACAGTGGAGAGCCATTGATGTGTATGAAGCAATGGACTGACATAATATGAACAGTGCTTGTAAAGAAACACTTCTGTGTGAAGTGTATTTGAGATCTACTTTGGGATCAAAATAAAAAATGGATAATGAATTCAAAATTGACACACAATGAGGGAAAACCGAATATCAATGTTTTATTTCCTGATTAAGGAATAGCTGGGTGAAGGTGCTATGAACAGCAATGGGAATGTTAGATAATAACAACGGTTTTGAGGGAAGATCAAGAGTAAATAGTTTATCTGACAACTTGCTAAGATTATAAGTATATATTATCATGATATACAAAGCTACACAGATAAAACTGAGGCCAAAAATTCTGATATAATTATGCTATATTTTAAATGTGTCCCCTTCAAAATTTGGGTGTTATCAATGTGACAGTATTAAGAAATGGGACTTTTCAGAGGTCTTTATAAAAGAGCCTTTACACAGCCTTCCTCCCTCCAGAAGACGCAGCTTGCAAAGCACCACCTTGAAAGCAGAGACTGGACCTCACCAGATGCCAGCACCTTGATCTTGGACTTCCTACTGTCCAGAACTGTGAGAAAATAACTTTCTGTTTTGTATACATGTTGTAGCAGCACAAAGACAATCTGGTTAGTTCATGATATTACTAAATCTCCCCTTTGTTGAGTTGAATTGCTCCAAATATGCTTGCACAACTTCGGCATAAATGAAAACTTTCTATCAGTATTGTTCACTTTAGTACAGCCTGATTAGGATTATAAGATTCACAATTTCTTATGTGCAATTCCAAGATCTAAAAGTTCTGAAATCTAATAGTGTTTTTGCAACTCATCTATCAGCAACAAAACCTAACCTAACCAAATCTGGTAACAAAACCCATGCTGATATGATATAAGGCTTTATAGTCTTTATTTAATCCTACTTAGCTTGACTATTTGCATGTTATATCACATAAATAAAAACACATTTGATTACAAGGTTGTCACAGATCCTACTGGCACTGGTATGTAGAATCTGATATAAGAAACTTATTGCCTATCTGAAATCTTAAAAGTTCTGATTCCAGATGTCCATCTGGCCCAAGGATTTCTGATAACAGAATGTGAGCCAGTGGTAATATTCAACTTCTTGGGAATCACTGAACATCTGTCAAGCAAACATCCAATTTATTCCGCCTACAAGTAGAGTGCATGGCACATAGTAGGCACTTTGCATTTTTGAGGAAAAAGCTGCTGATTTTGTAACACTTTTTAGAGCACATAAATTGTCTCTTCTATACTTTCCAGAGAGGACCTTCTAGATTTAGTATTTTTACTGAGTTAATTAACAAGATCCATATCCCATTATAATAAACCTCTTGGCAAAGGCATCTAACACTCACTATCTTATTTTAATAACCGCAATCTTTTCTTACAGCTTATCTACCAGCAGAGCCAATGATACAAATTTTGCTTCCTTCTCTAAGTGCTGACTGTGCAACATTTTTTACATGGACCTTGCTCCTCACTAAATTAGACAAAAGCAGGGGCAAGGGATAGATTGTGTACCAGGTGTGCAGTGGACAATTCGAGGTTGAGAAGAATAAACAGACAAGAACTTTTGGATTTAAATGTTGTCAACCAAAACAGGCTATACGATGTACTCATGGCAGATTCATATTAAGCCTCCTGAACTTCAGAAATTAAAGTTATATGCAAACCCAGCATAATTCATGTATGGTAAACTGTATTTATAGTGTAAATACAAAAATGTTAAGGCACATTGAAATATCTTTCAAGATCTCTGTTTATTTTTCTCATATCTTTTCCTTAGTCTTGAGAGTAACTTAATATTTGTACCAAATTGATTTCCCTATTCCTTGTAATTTTTTGTTTCGTATGAATGCCATAATTTAGACAAATATGAATGCAATTATCTCTTTTGTCTTTATGATTACCTTTATGAATATCTGATTTTTACCTTATTCAAAGACCTGTGGGTTAATATTAGAACTTTTAAAGAAATAATGTAAGCCTATTAATATTTGGCCTGTTAAGTAAAATCGAATTTTGCAGGAAGAAAATTCCTTACAAACCAGTTGTTTTGAGAAAGGACTTCTCAGATGCTTTTACAGAAGTATAGCAAAGACTAAGCCTTGAAGACTCAGATAATTCAGTAGTCTCTTAAAAGAGAGAAAGCACCCTTTATTATTGAGAAAATGAGGCCATAATAATCGTTACTTTACAAAACAGGGTAACTAAAATAAGTCTTCTTTTGTCCAAGGAAATTATGAGGAAAAGAAAAAAAAGAAGATGAGTGGAGAAACAAACGGTCAAATATCTACATCCGATGTCTTTCCCTGGAGTTTCATTTCAGTGAACAGAAAATGCGTTCCACAGTTTGTTGGGTATTCATGTATTGCCACCAATCCTGACTTTCCATCTAAGAATGTGAAAAGTCCTTCTTTCAAACCGCTCTAAACCAACCCAAGTGACAGCTCTTTGATTCCTCTTTGATGTGGATGAACTCTGTAAGTGTCAGCTTGAGGAGGCAGCTAAGGAATCTATTTAGAAAAACAGAGTGCGTTATAGCAAGACCTGCGTAAGAGAAAACTCTATGCCCACTCAGGCTTTGAATGAATCTAAATAACAGCAAAAAGTCAAAGAGATCCAAGGTTGAGGTGCGATTGAGCTTTACCCAAACAGAAAGTGACAACATTACAAGTTACACTGTCCTCAGAACTGAATGCTAATCCCTATATGACAAGCAGCAACTGAGTGAATTTGGCCTATGAGACAGAAACAGCAGGCCACCCCCAACCCTGCCATTAGGACACATAAGCCACAACCTCTCCCCAGAGATTATCTAGTCATCATTATTTGGGATCACAAAATACCTCCTATTTGGAGTTGAAAAAAAAAATGGGTGTAAAACACTATTTCTCCACGATTCTTTTATTTCTCGAATTTCTTTCTGAGTATACATACACAAAGCTTCTAATAATTACAGTGAAACTAGATAATTATTATTATTATTTTAGATGGAGTCTCTTTCTGTCACCCAGGCTGGAGTGCAGTGGCGCGATCTTGGCTCACTGTGATCTCTGCCTCCTGAGTTCAAACGATTCTCCTACCTTAGGCCCCTCAAATAGCTGGGATTACAGGCGCCTGCCACCATGCCTGGCTTAGTAGAGATGGGGTTTCAGCATGTTGATCAGACTCGTCTCGAACTCCTGACCTCAGGTGATCCACACACTTCGGCCTCCCAAAGTGCTGGGATTACAGGCGTGAGCCACTGTGCCCAGGCAATTATTTTTGTAATTAGTTCAAAATTGGTCTACTAAATCAAAAGGCTATGGCCAACTCACATATTTGAAGACCGCTAATATGCCTGTCATTATACAACTATTTTGTAATCATCATTCAAATGTTCTTGCCAGCAAAATATATAAGGGGAAAAATTAACTTTACCAAAGAACTATAAAATGGAAAGTCCCAAAAAAGCCATCAGAATCAGCTATGTTGTTTTACGAAGATACTTTATATTTTCTTTTCCTTCAACCTCAAACAGGATTTGAGGCATAAACTCAAGTTGCTGTTATAGGCAACATTTATTAAGCACTTGATATTAATAGGGCCCTCTGTGTATTCTGCTTTCCAATGCATCTTGTTATTAAATATATTCACTCAACATATATTTTTTGCTCACTGTCAACTACATGCCAGGAACTGTGCTAGTTACTAGATAAAGAATCATGTCCTAGACTAGACAGTATCCAGACAGATACTATCTCTGTCGTCATTCAGCTTAACTTTTCATGGAGAATGCAGACACAAAAGAAAGCAAACTGATAAATAATAAAATAACTTCACTTTGTAGTATTAACATACAAACACACAGGAGATAAATCACATAAAAGAATCTTCTTTAGTTTGGGCAGTCACGGAAGACCTCCAAGGAAAACATCTTTAACCTGAGGCCCAAAGTGACAAAACAATGTAATAAGTTTGAGTGAAGTATAGGGTGAGGAGTGAGCAGAGCATGCCAAGAAAAGGGCATGCCTTATGCCAAACACCCAAGGCCGGGAAGAGCTTGGGGTCATGCAGAACTGAAGGAAAAATAGTTTGGCTTGAGTGTGAGAAACTAGAAGGAGTGCAGCAAAAGACCTATTTGGCAAGATATGCACCAAGCAACCATGAAGAGTTTTGTGAGCCATGGAAAGAAATATGTATTATATTTTAAGTTCAGTAGGAAACCCCTACAGAACATAAAACAAAAGAATGAGGCAATCCAAAGTAGGTGCTGAGGAGGTCACAGTTGCGGCACTGTGGAGATTGGGCAGGAGGGACACAGGATGGAAAAAGTCATAGATGATATGCTCTGGGAGCAATCTAGGCAGGAGATAACTGGCATTTGACGAAGGAGGTGGTACCACCATTTGATGAAGGAGACGGAAGAGGATGAAGTTAGATTTTGGAAATCCAATTGGCAGGTCTATTCATGAATTAAATGTTGGGGTATGAAGGGGGAAGGAATCAAGGATAATTTCTTTGCAGAGAAAAGAGTAATTTGAAGTTTGATAAACTTTATTTAGATATCTTTGAGAAATCCAAGTGGAGATGAATCACTTAAAAGGTAGGCAAGTCTAAAGCACACAGAAGAGGCCTGGACTAGAGACTTCATTACCATGAAAATGGTTTAAAATCCATGAGAACTGAAGAGACTGCCCAAGGAGAGCAAATAGTAAAATTAAGAATTTTTAATATGTTGCCGGGAACACCAGACAGCCCTTTGACATATGTGATGTTATATTATTACTTATCACAAAGTGCTGAAACTAAAACTTAGTAAAGGTCACGCAACTTGCCCAGAGGTTATACAACTATTATGAAACTCAGAGTTCACTTCAGTCCAGAGCCAAGCTCTGACGCAAAGTGATTCAAACCCAGACTCCAATTGAACAACACCAAACAAGGAAACAACAACAATCAAACCCACCCACAGTTCTGATTGTATTTTTTCAGGAATCTTGATTATAATTTACCTAAAATTTCCTCAGCATGACAGGTTATATGTTTAGTATATTTTCTAAGTGTAAATTGATACATTATGGAAGATAGAACCATCTGGTTTCTCACATTCATCTAGGGAGAAACCCTGTTTACTAATTCCTTACAAAGTGAAGGATGTGGCTCCCCGCAGAGCTAACATATGTGACCTTCTAGGCATCACTTTATACAGCTGCCACTGTATTCACCATTAAAATATAAGACCTCAATTGCTATTGCTTCTTGTTTGCTACAATTTAGCAAGATTATTGGTTTGTGTCGTGTGGAAAGTTAAATAACTCATCCTTAAAATTTCAAATCAATCTAATTTATATTTAATACATGCCATGGGGTACTTATTTCTCAAATAAGTTATCAGTGAACATAAAAAAGGTTTGTGGTTTTAATTTTTAGTTCCCAAAAGTTAATGGGGTTCAAAAAAGTTGTAAAAAGGCTAATCATTATTTTAAAGATTTCATTTCCATCCCACTCCACAACGTGGTTTAGTTTAAATGTGGTTTTGCAGTCAAAACTTTTTGAATAAGAATTTGAAGAAAGTTCTGTATAAATATTCTTCACTTTTTTAAGAAGATTTGTCACAATCACGTTTCTAACAACTTTCAACAATGTAAAAACAGGCTACCTTGAGGACATAAGAATAAAAAGATACACTACCTTCTCGAGATTCCAGGGATTGGACAGAAGCACCTTCACAAGACTTCTTGAATATACAATGCTGCCTGGAATAGGTTATAAAAATCCATTTCCCATATTATCAAAACTTTAAAAGTTTGAAATATTCGTGTTCAGAGTTATATATGTATTATAAAAGCTTCAGAAACTGAAAACATCATTTTTGATCCAGGAATTTTCCTATGGTTCGATGGATGGTAACTACTACAGTAAAATACGAGCATTTCGGCCTTCCACAAAATGACTGGAATATATTACTAACTAAGTCTGAATAGATCATATGGGTCTATCCAGGAGCCTATTTTAAAAGTTGACATATTTTCAAATGCAATCTAGTAGACCCAGTCTGAACTCTGTAAAATGCATATGCACAGGAACAAATGTGTCACACTTGAAGCACAATACATTATTCACAAACACACCCCAAGCATTTCTTACAGATTTATAGAGTAATTTATATGGAAAAATACATACATCTCAAGATTTCCATCCCATTCCAGCTACCTTACACTCATACCACTCTAACCAATGTATTCTAAAAAGTAAACATAAAAAAGAAAGTAAATCTACATGGCTTAACCGTGGGAAAAAAAATATTTACAAAAAGATGAGCTGAAACTTATTCAGAAAATGATGTTTAATATGACAACGATGAAGACCAATATTTCCTCTTATAAAATGATAATCAGGTGCAAATATTGAACTTAGTACTTATAGTTTTCACTATTCCACAGACAAGAAAAAGTTATGCATATCTAAAGTATTGTATTAGTAAACTTGTAAGTAGGCCAAAATAGTAAAAGAAGAGGATTAAGTTCCTCTGACTTAAGGTAATGCACCTGGATTTAATAGCTACTGACTGAATTGAGTTTAATTTTGTTTTTGCAACAGGAATAATGGCTTCTCAGGGAATTTCAGCCTTTAATAAGAGTAGCACATTCGACAAAAGGAATATATTTAGATCTCTTCACTTGACCCCCTAATTGAAATAGTTTTTGTTTTATAATTTTAGAATGATTGTACAAAGGAGTTAAGTTTTATATCTTCTCAAGTCTTTATTTTCTTATCTTTAGAGAAAATATCAAGAAAGATTAAATGAGTTAAAGATGTATCAAGAATGCCTACAGCTCTGCTGAGAATTGCGCATATTGCTGCTTCTTCTAATTTAGATTAAATGCAAAGAAACACTTTCTGATACTGCTTTCTTTGATATAAAAAGTATTTATAAAGGGAGGTAGTGATTTTTTGCTCTGAAAACTTCTAAAAATCTTATTTTTCTTTGTTTGTGACTGTGTACAAATGGCCTTGTCAATAGACAAGGAAATTACTAGATCCAGCTCTAAAATGATGAGAAAACCCCATAGCCAATTGCCCCAAACTATGTTATTATTTTATAGTCACAAATAATTCTAGATGATCTTTCATGGTTCTGTTAGAGCTACTATCCCACTGTAAATCAGAAAATGATAATCCAGTTATTATGGATGTTTCTCTTTAGAAAGCTATCTACTGATAGACACTGAAATCTCCTCAAGGAACAGTTGCCTGGCTCAGGTTTTCTTTGTTTTCTTCTCAGAATTATATATATGGCATGAGATCAACCCCACATATTGTTATCATCTGCAAAAAAAAAAAAAAATACACACATAAGAGACTTAATAAGGAGTGTATCTGTTTAGAGGGAAGGTAACCATTCTCAGAGTTGACCATGTGAATGATGCTATAAAGCATAAAAATGAAGTGAGTAGAAAGGACATTAATACTCTCAATTTGAAACATAAATACCCAAATCCACATGGCATGTATAAGCAGCATGCTGAGATTTATTATCCCATTTGTTCAGAGTCCATTGTTTCATGACAGAAAATAATATAGTGATGAGATTCACATATTTACAGCACCTGTTTGGTCTACAGGATTTGAACAAATCAGGAATTTGAATCAAATAAGGGATAACACAAGTCCCTTACCATCCTAGGAGAAAGGAGATAATAAAACCGTGGATAGAAGATGGTTAGGCTACTAAAGAGCTTTAGGGCACCAGGCCTGGGAGGATATATAGTCATCTACAATTTATTAATCAGTGCCGGTAACTCCTGATGTAAGCTAAAACGGAAGTTTCAAGAGCGGAGCATTTTATTTGATGGGAAGTACAGTTTTCTATTTGAATAAAACTTGATTCTGCTCATTTGTATCAAAGACAAATAGAAAGAAATGGATACCTTTATGGCTGAACTATTCAGAGAAAAGATTTGCAGAGACTTTAAGTGGAAACTCAAACTGTAGGAGTCAAGAATGTTCTTAATGATGTGGGCATCACCGAATCAAGGGTTAAACCTGAGCAACTAAAAGGCCCTCACCCAAATTATCTCCCAGAAGCATGATTCTCATATTTCAAGATGCAGCAATGCAAATCCATTCTCTTCTATTCACTTGTTCCGTGACCTTGGGCAAGTGGTAACTTCTTTAACCCAAATGATATTAAGATGAAATGAAACACTGCATTTAAAGCACTCAAGAGCACCGGGCACATATTAAGAATTTTAATAAGTGTATTAATGAGAGATGTAGTTAAGAGCTTCTTTCTCCAGAACGATTCTCTGTGCCAATCAATCTTAATAGAGACAAGGGTAGAGTGAAAAGGAGAATTCACAAGCCCTGGCAAACAAGGCTTCCCTGGGAGACAGGCAATGATCAGAGTGGAAAAACCCGAAACAGAACAGACAGAGGTGTAAGAGGACATTAAGGAACTAAGGAGGGGACAAAAAAGAAAGAAGACTTAACAGACAGAGGTGTAAGAGGACATTAAGGAACCAAGGAGGGGACAAAAAAGAAAGAGGATTTAACACACAGAGGTTTAAGAGGACATTAAGGAACTAAGGAGGGGACAAAAAGAGGATTAAATGTGCCAGAAAAGCTAGGTATATAAAAAAAGAGAAAAAAAAAAAACATTAAAAAACAACAACAGTTTATTTGATCACATTAAAATTAAAGGCTACTTTATGAAAAATATATGTCAGAACAGAGTTAAAACACAAACCTAAAGTGGCTAAACAAAAATCAATACTGCTTTCTCCACATCTTCATTAAGGAAGTTTTTTTAATCCTTAAGAAAAAAAATGCATCTTAGAAGGAAAAAAATGGTTAAATTCATAAATTCAGAATTCAGAAAGAATGAAAAAAGGCCCATGTGCATGTCAAAAATGTTCAACCTCACTTGTACACAAAGAATTGCCTTTTAAAGCAATAATGAGAAGCCTTTTATTATTTTAAAATCAGAAACCTTTTCTTTTTAAAGTACCCATTACTGTTGCGTTAAAATAAGCATTTTTTTCTACACTGCTATTGTGAGTATAAATTGAGTGAAATATTTCTAGGATAATTGAGAAGAAATCTAAATATGGTTAAAATTATGACCTTGAAATGATGACCAGACATCTGGGCACACAGTTAAACTACCTTCCCCAGCTATCAATTTGGTATAGTTTGGCTGTGACCACATTCCCGCAATGGAGCATGAGTAGATTCGAGGCCACTTCCTGGTGGGGCCCATATAAAGCTTCCACGAAATACAACATTCTGCTTCCCTTCCCCAATCTGTTGGCTGTATGTCATCTCCCAAGGTGACCACTGAAGGCATGTGTTGACAAGGGTAAAACCTGTCACCATGATCCTGGAATGTGAAGAATGGCATTCCTTCTGTGCTACCCCCCAAAACCACACTTCACCGTGATTGATCTTTCTGTGAACAAAAAGCATACCTGGCTAAACACTAGAACTTTCGGGTTTAATTGTTATAGCAGCTAGTGCAGCTAAAATAGATCTTTATTTTTACTTCTATAATTAATCCAAATTATATTTAAGGATACATATTTATACACTATAATATAAAGAAACATTAGAATTACCTAAAAATTTTTTAAAATTAGCAACAGAACATTCTTTTAATGGATTATCTCACAGGAATTAAAATCATGTTTGATTTTATGGGGAAATGTATACAGACCATCAGGTCTGTAGTCTGTAAGACTTATGATCACAATTTACACATATCCTATATAACCACAGTTATTTTGGAATGTTGTAATTATACAAGTAATTTTACATTATCTATTTTTTATTATCAAAACATTTTCGTTAAATTCACAAAAACACCCCATGAATATTATATTAAAAGATGAGGGGAAAGAAGAAGAAAAGAAAGAAGAGGAAAAAGGTCAAAGTTTGTGTATACAGTAATATACTTCACAATTTTGCCATGGCTGTCCTTTGCACATGAGTATAAATCTTTCCAAGCAGTGTGCTACCAGTGGGGCACAGATGTGCTGAGATATTAATCCTCTCAGCCCTGGGCAGCCTGGTAAGGCTCAGGGCCGTGGAAGCCCCCAGGTGGTCTCCTCAAGTAACCCAAGCACTGGGGATAAGGTAACAGCAGCCTTGCTAACCAAAGCCTGGGTGTTTAGTTATACATTTTCTCTTCATTTAAATCAAACAGAGCTGATATGTTTCCTATACAAAATCAAAGAGAAAGTTAATATAACATTTTAAAAGTATGCTACATTCATAAAAATACTGCAGTATGTTATCAGTCAGAAAATTACTAGAAAGTGAAACAGATTTTTCTTATTTGACTGTGTTTTGATGAGCATGAATGAAGTATCTGAAGATAAAACACTTCCTAAAGCTCTAGGACACATACTGAACTTGACAGAATATTAGCGTGTGAATGAGGGGGGAGTACATTTAAAAGAGTTTCTTATCCTAGTCTACCACTATGTGATATTTAATGAGCTCCAATGAATACATTGGTCCCATTGAAATATACTTCATGAACATAAAACTATATGCTAAATGCTTTGCCAGAAATAAAAGAAACCCCAACATCATCATGCACACCTGCTAGTGATGATTAAATAAGAAAAAAAAACAACAACCAAAACCCAGCATTGAAATGTATGTCTTACAAAGAATTATACATTACTCTTTCCCTTGCATGTTCCACCCCGCACCCCACCCCCCAAAAAAAGAAAAAAAAAAACCCAGTGAATTAGTCTTAGGTTTTCATCTTATTTTCCAGACATTATAGTTAGTATACTACATTTTTAAAGTAAAAAAAGATAAATTTAGATTCTCCTTAGAAATGTTCTTGTGGTAAATTAGAAACAGAAATGCATTAAGGAAGCAATTTTCTGCTTTGGAAATATGTATTTTTTAAAGCCCTTAAACCCAGAAATGACCTAGAGTTTGTGGAGATCCTCAATTCTGGAGAGAGTTGTGGTAGGAAGAGCATTCCTGCATCCAGAGAAGTAAAGAACTTCTCTGCCCATCCCCAACAAAACAGACCAGCGCAAACAGCTATCTATAGACCAAGGTGGCCTGGGTGGATCCTAAATGGAGTCCCTGGGTGCCCTTCGTTGGTGGGTCCAGCATCCTGCACTCTCCTCACATGACATTTGGCGCCTTGTGCTGCATGATGACTGCCTGTTCACTGATCCGTATTCTCCAGTGAATGATAACTGCCCTCCATGTGGAAAGAACTCATGTCTCTAAAGTCCATCATTGTATCCTCAGGTACTAGCCTTCTATTTTTACCTATACTCAATAAATATGTGCGTATTAATGAACTCATTCGTTTATTCATACAATCCACAAGTAGTTACTTAACAGCTATTATGTAGCACGTACTAACTCAAGCACTGGGGATAAGGTAACAAATAAAATATAGCATTTTATAGAAAAATACAGCCTAGGAGACAGCAAAGAAATCAGCAGAGAGAAGCACTGTTTTCAAGGAGGGTAGCAGCAGAACAATAAGCTCCATCTTGCACTGGCTCTTTAAGACCTTAGGGAAAGGAGACTAGAGACACATGTAAAAGGCCCCAACAACTCCCAGTACAGGAACAGGAGATGCTGATTAGAAAACTACGATGCTACAGGATCTACAAGCAAGTGAAATGTGAGCAAAGATGGTAATATGACCTAACTAGGAACCACAGAATAGTGAGGCCTGAGGAGGTTGATGTTATATAAGACATTGATCACATTGTTGTGTATGCCACAAAAGCCTTAATCATGGAATATTCCAAAAGAAATATCTCCACTATATGAAATATATCAGTTTTTGCTGTTCATAAACCCAGACATTGACCTTTTTTCCAACTTTTATTTTAAGTTCAGGGGTACATGTGCAGGATGTACAGTAAACACGTGCCATGGCAGTTTGCTGCACAGATCATCCCATCACCCAGGTATGAAGCCCAGCATCCATTAGGTATTCTTCCTAATGCCCTTTCCCCCACCCCCGACCTGCCGACAGCCCCCAGTGTGTGTTGTTCCCCCTCCATGTGTTCTCATCATTCAACTTCCACTTAAAAGTGAAAACATGTGGTATTTGGTTTTGGGTTCCTGCATTAGTTTGCTGAGGATAATGGCCTCCAGCTGCATCCATGTCCCTGCAAAGGACATGATCTCATTCCTTTTTACAGTTGCATAGTATTCCATGGTGTATATGTACCACATTTTCTTTATCCACTCTATCATTGAGGGGCACTTAGGTTGATTCCATGTCTTTGCTATTGTGAATAGTGCTGCAATGAACATATGCATGCATGTATCTTTATAATAGAATGATTAATATTCCTTTGGGTATATACCCAGTAATGGGATTGATAAACCCAGACATTTAGCTGAAATAAAATCTGGAGCAATTTTTTTCTCTCAGTATTTCAAATGTTCTTCATGCTTTAAAAAGGTACATAAAATTTCAAGTTAGGAGTCATTTAACAATATTGGTTGTCAAAAAGAAAGTGAATCTAGAACCCAAGAAATGCTGATTCTTCTACACATGTGTCCTATAGTTTGTGATGCTTTTAATTATAATAAAAAATAAAACATGAAGATGGATAAGAAGAAACAGAAAACTAAAGACTAACCAAAATGTGTGTTAATATGATTTGCTAAAATATGAGCATCAAACACAAAGTGCTCAATTAGGAAGATGGATAATGCCAACCTTTGAAACAAAAACAAGGAGATGGGAAGTCTTGCTTAATACAAGTGAAAGTATAAACACTCTGACTGGAATGCAATCTGGCAAAGCATATTGAAATTAAGGATGCCTATTTCCTGACATACAGAACTCTGATTTTAAGGTATGAAATCCAGATAAACACTCAGAATAAGTCCAAAATGTTCAGTGCTGCATTATTATGGCAGCAAGGGGTTGGGGACAGTTTAAGTATTCATCAGTAAAGGAATGAATGTTAAAATGTAGTAGATGCATGTGATGGATATTATCATGCAGTAATTTGAAACAATAAATCTGATTATTCTCTTAGAATATTATAAACCTTAAAAACAAAAATAAATTTAACAAATAAAATAAAACCTATAGTACCATAACATTTGTGAAAATTAAAACCTCTCTGTCCACAAACAAATACTGCTTATTTTACAAGAATTCAAAAATAGTTGAGAACATATATGGAACATATTACTAGAGTGGATGGTAGAAATAAGGGATAAAGGAAAAAAGATTAAATGAATAAAATGAGAAGACCTGGAATGGACCAGCCATGACAATTGTTATGAAACTAATACTAGAGTTAACACAACTCTCTGCACCTGTGGATATTAGACACAGTACTATATCAGTACATACAAGCGTATAAGACCCCTTTGTGCTTTTCCCCCTTCCTGAATCACTGTGTATACCCATATCACATATCTAGTATGTAGACAAATACAGATACAGATTCATTTATAGATAAAGACATAGACATAGGTTAGATATCGCCTGACCCACTGAAGTTTTGTATATTGATTATATGGACCAAGGACGTTCCCAGGATTCAAGACTGTCAGTGTTAAAACCAGCAAAGTCCCAGGAAAACCAGGATGACTTGATCATGCTACTTGTTCACCTGATGAACAAGTCAGATAGCACACCCTCACCTCTGCAATAAGAGCTTCCTCCCACAGATCTCTATTATTGGCTTTCACCCTGTTCTTTAAAGCAAACTGTTTTTATACAGGGTTTTAGGAGCTTTGGAAGTTCAATTCTTGAAAATCCCATGCACCAAAAAGAAAATAATTTCAGATATGCGCGTTGTAAAACTAATTGTGTGCCTGCAAAATTGTATTCAAATGATCACACGGTTGAAAAGAAATCACATATTTATTCATTACCTAAATTATCAAGACACTAAACTATATTAGACATCATTGTGAAATCATTAATAAGATGTACTCCCTTATCAAAGTTTTTATAGCATATAGTTTTGAGAAAAAGCAAATGTAAACGTATGAGTAGTAAAATACTGATTCCATAAGCCAGAAAATCATAAAATTTTTATTATATTTTAGTCAGTATCTTGTATACTTTCTATTGAAGCCTATAAGTAAAATTGTTTTGTTCACCTCTTCATATAAAAATTACATTGACATTATATAAAATAACCTTATTTTTACTACACAAAATCTTATCTAAAAGGCATGTAATTATTTTTTCATTTAATTTTTTTATTTTCCTCCTCAAAACCAAAGTCTCCACTAGCCTCTTGGTGAATATTACTCTTTTATAAGTTATAAAATTTTATGGCGTATTTCAGAGACCAGAACTGTGCTTACCAATAAATAAACTAATATATTTTATTTCCTTCAAAAGAAGGTGATAGTGTCTGTATGAATGAGTGTGGTTTCTTGCACCTTGGATAACATTTAAATATATAGCAAAAAATAGTTTGTTTTCAGTCGCTCTTAAGAGCACTCACACAGTGCAGAAATGAGAGGTATGAAAGGTCACTCCAGAAATGATCAAATCATCATAAACCTTTACACATTTGATACATGAGCAATTTTTTACTTTTGGAAGCTATTTAAGGGGGAGCAACATAACCTATGATGTCAATAAGAGTTTAAAAACTAAAGTGTGAAAACATGACTATATATTTAATTACAGTCCTCATTTTGGCCTAATATTGTTTTCTCTAGATTTTGTCTTTGGTAATGCTATAAGAAAGTGAGTTTTGAGCTCTATCTTCCTTAGAGGAGAAAAATATCTATTCCTTTCCTATTTCTCTTAAGGGCAGAAAGGAAGTGCAATATCTCACTGTACTCATAACCAGACCTGAAGGCACGGTTGCCAGGGAAGATGGCATCATGGCTCACTGTAGTCAAATTCGGTAGCCAACATCTACAGGCGAATTCTACCAAAAGGAGGTAACAACAACAAAAACCTTCAAAACACTTCAAGAAATTAGTTGAAGGAGAAATAAATCAAAGGCCAATGAACATCCTGAAAACCTGAAAAGAGATAACTAGCTATATGCATGTTTTGGCTGTACCATAACATTTTCATGATACTTTAGATCAGTCAAAGTAGCCTGTGTCCAAACAGAAGTCAGATGCACCTCTTGAAGTGACTCTAATAAAAGCATTCTCCCCAAGAGTCTTTAGCAAGCCAAGACAAAGCATGTGGTGAATTGGAGAGAGAAGGAGGGGTGCTTGCTTTTTGTCTAGTACGGCAATGTTTGCTCTGATAGGTCATGAGAGTTGACAAGGTAGTCTAGTCTCGAAGAGCCAAAAAGATACCTCCTTCCCCAACCAACCCTCCACAACCCACAAAACCCACAAAAAAAGGATGTGAAGGATAATGAAACTCTGCCTGTGTATTCTCTCTACAATTTGCCCAGAGCTTCCCTCATTCATAGATTTCTCTATTCCTAATCAAGAGAAACAAGCTAAAATAATTTTGACCTGTATTTCACCATGATGGCTTTTGCTTTTAGCTTACATGAAGAACTGTATTGTGTATTTTGACATATTTTCTGCTAAACACACATTTTAATAATTTATGTTCCCTTTTATTATTTGATTAATATTCTAATAGGTTTTCATGTGGTTTAAGCCAATGGAAATTTTTTTAACAGATCAGTTGGAATTTCTACAAGTAAATGTTCTGTTCTTTTAAATTATAGTTACCTTTCAAATTGCATATGCCTTCACAATTTAACCATTTGATAAAGGACTATTTTTATACAGTAAATTTGCAAAATCTAGATAATCACTAATGTCTTTTTTCAACGTCATTAATAATTAATTGTTCACTCTTACAGCACGTAATTATTGAACACCTAGAATATGCAAATTCTGGGATTATATCAATAAATCAAAAATATGGTTTTTGTCCTAATGGAGCTAACAGTCTGGCAAATTGAAAAAATAATTTTTTTAAAAAAGCAAGATTATGCAAATAAATTTTCAGCAATAATATTTTAAACTCTAAAATATTAATTAAAGTATTTCTAGCAAACCAAGCTTTGTTGTACCCACAGAAATATCGAAGGATGGATGATTTTATTGTAAGTGAAGCTAGGCTCTATCTTTCTGGGATTATCTTTCCAGGATGGTAGTTTTGCTTCATTTTTTAAGATACTACTGTACTTCCCAAACAAGAATGCCTAGAAAACTATATAACACATTAAACCATCAAATTTCTTGTCCCAAATCTTGTGTATAACATATGTACAGCAATACTTACATAGAAAAAATCATACTTTAGATTCAAAAGATTTAAATTTAGAACACTTCAAAAATCACTTATTATGATTATTATAATACAATATTTTTCAGTATACTTCATTTTTGGAGAAATAATGCTCCAGGCATTTTCTTTTCCCTTTAGCACACTGATAGTGTCCTGTCCAAGTTTGGTAATGAGAAAGGTTCTCCAACTATTCATGCTGTATATAGCCTTTGCTCTACTCAGATTATTCGCATCTCCCTAAGATCAACTATTGCTCCATCATTACTGTCCACTACACACAGGGTACAAGTACTTCAGACCCACTTACCTATTATTAAAGCCAATATAATGTACTTACTGACCACTATGTTTAAGGAATTTTTAGATACTATCATAAGACTTAAGAGAGAAGAAAAAAGAAAGTTAGGAAAGAGATTACACTTACAACAGAGAAAAAGGAAAGACCTAAGAGTATGTTTTCCTAACTAGTGCCTAAAAGACCACCTGGGATATCATAATTTTTCAGTGTATATTAGCTAAATGAATGGACGAACAAATTGCCTTAGAAATTAACTCTAAGAAGCGGAAGTTATAAGAAAGGTTCTGTGAAATACCCCAGGTGAAACAAGAAAAACCAAACTCACATAACCTCTCAAGTTGGTGATATATATCAGAAAATGAAAAATACACTCCACAGACACTAAGAATGGTATGTCTAAACTCATTCATATGAAATTACTTATTGTGCATATACATATACTCTGCACATACAATATTCCAGACACTAGAGGTCCAGCAATGAACAAAAGCAGGCCAAATATCAGCCCTCATGACATATACATTCCAGAATGATGACAGATAACAAAATAAAGTATGACAGGACTTTTGCTTCAGCCCATGAACGATCAACTGCTCTAGGGATGACCTATCTGCCAAAACAAAAATCAAAACAGAAATATATATATATAGATATAGATATATAAAATAACTGTTTTCAGACATTGGATATCAGACAGCCTAGGATAAAGATGAGTCAAAAAATTACTCCAGTTTACTGATTCAATGCTATCCCCATCAAGCTACCATTGACTTTCCTCACAGAATTAGAAAAAAAAACTACTTTAAATTTCATAGGAACAAAAAAAGAGCCCGTATAGCGAAGACAATCCTAAGTAGAAAGATCAAAGCTGGAGGTATCATGCTACCTGACTTCAAACTATACTATAAGGCTACGGTAACCCAAACAGCATGGCACTTGTACCAAAACAGACATATAAACAAATGGAACAGAAAAGAGGCCTCAGAAATAACACCACACATCTACAACCATGTGATCTTTGACAAACCTTACAAAAACAAGCAATGGGAAAAGGATTCCATATTTAATAAATGGTGTTGGGAAAACTGGCTAGCCATATGCAGAAAGCTAAAACTGGACCCCTTCCTTACACCTTATACAAAAATTAACTCAAGATGGATTAAAGATTTAAATGTAAAACCTAAAACCATAAAAACCCTAGAAGAAAACCTAGGCAATACCATTCAGGACATAGGCATGGGCAAAGACTTCATGACTAAAACATCAAAAGCAATGGGAACAAAAGCCAAAATTGACAAATGGGATTGAATTAAACTAAAGAGCTTCTGCACAGTAAAAGAAACTATCATCAGAATGAACAGGCAACCTACAGAATGGGAGAAAAATTCTGCCATCTATTCATCTGACAAAGGGCTAATAATCCAGAATCTACAAGGAGCTTAAATAAATTTACCAAAAAAAAAAAACATCAAAAAGTGGGCGAAGGATATGAACAGACACTTCTCAAAAGAAGATATTTATGCAGCCAACAAACATATGAAAAAAAGCTCATCATCACTGGTCATTAGAGAAATGCAAATCAAAACCACAATGAGATACCATCTCATGCCAGTTAGAATGGTGATCATTAAAAAGTCTGGAAACAACAGATGCTGGAGAGGATTTGGAGAAATCGGAATGCTTTTACACTGTTGGTGGGAGTGTAAATTAGTTCAAGCATTGTGGAAGACAGGGTGCTGATTCCTCAAGGATTTCGAACCAGAAATACCATTTGACCCAGCAATCCCATTACTGGGTATATACCCAAAGGATTATAAATCATTCTACTATAAAGACACATGCACACGTATGTTTATTGCAGCAATGTTCACAATAGCAAAGACTTGGAACCAGCTCAAATACCTATCAGTGTTAGACTGGATAAAGAAAGTCTGGCACATATACACCATGGACTACAATGCATCCATAAACAAGGATGAGTTCATGTCCTTTGCAGGGACATGGATGAAGCTGGAAACCATTATTCTCAGCAAATTAACACAGAAACAGAAAACCAAACACCGTATATTCTCACTCACAAGTGGGAGTTGAACTATGAGAACACATGATGGACCCAGGGAGGGGAACATCACACACTGGGGCCTGTCGGGGGTTGGGGGCTAGGGGAGGAATAGCATTAGGAGAAATACCTAATGTAGATGACGGGCTGATGGGTGCAGCAAACCACCATGGCATGTGTATACCTATGTAACAAACCTGCATATTCTGTACAGGTATCCTAGAACTTAAAATATAAAAAAAAATTTTAAAAAGGCAAATTCCACGATTCAGTGAACAGAGCTTAGCAATCCATTGAATTCAAAAGACAGATGAGAGAATTCAGGAGATGGGTAGAATTTGTTGAGCAGAGTACGCCACAGGGAGGGACCGTGCAAAGAAATAGCTTGGGATCACAGAAGGATCTTCTCATTATTTGGTAGAGTATTATTCTGTGACATTGTGGGGTAAAGCTCCATGAAGCTGAGGAATAAGCAGGTGAAAGTGGTAGGCCACATAATTCCTAGAACTTGCATAGGGAATCGTTTGTGTTCCCACCAGAGAGAATGAAGAGACTTTTTACTACCCAGTGCATTCAACCAAGGCCTCAAGAGGGTCATATCTTCATGGAAGATAATTATACCTAGACTAAATGCTGTTCCAGGATCTTTATAAAACCTTTCAAAGC
The DNA here is from genome assembly GCF_000001405.40 of Homo sapiens. NCBI lineage: Eukaryota > Metazoa > Chordata > Mammalia > Primates > Hominidae > Homo > Homo sapiens. The sequence goes on along the minus strand of NC_000004.12, from coordinate 159,846,733 downwards.
AAGCCTCACAAGTATCCATCTAAATCAAAAGTAACTTACCGTGTGTGCATTCATTTTCCATTGCTATATAAAAGTTGCCACAAATTTATCAGCATAATTCTGGTTGCAATCAAGATGTCAGGCAAGCTACTGTATCAACTGAGGCCTCACCTGGGGAAGAATCTGCTTCCAAACTCACTCGAATTGTTTGCAGAATCCATTCTGTTGTGGTTAGAGGACTGGGAGCCCTGGGTTTTGCTTGCTGTCATCTGGAAGCCATCCTCAGATCCTGGGTACCACCTGCAGTTCCCTGCCCAATAGGCTGACCAATATGGCCACTTTCTTCAACAAGCCTGCAAGGAAAGCCTACAGTTCCAATCTGATAATATGGAGTTTTATAATATAAGAGGAATGACATTGCATCACCTTTGCCATAAAACATAACCAATTAGGAAAGTGACATAACATTACCTTTACCACATGCTATTGATTAGAAGTATTCATGGGGAGGGGATTATACAAGAGCATGAAAACCAAGAAACAGGGGTATGGGGCCACCCTGAAATCTGTCACCTACATTATGCAGTAACAAAGTCCAAACTCTTTAAATGAATACAAGAAAACCCAATATTCAATAATGTGAAATTTACAAGATCAATGGACTGGTCAAAATTACTAAGCATGAAAAAGTTGGAAACATGACCCATAACCTAAAGAAAAATCAATCTGTAAAAACAGATCCTAAAATGACAGAGATGATAGAATTATCAGACGAGGGCATAAAATGGCTACTGTAAATCTTACAAATATTCTCAAAAATGTAAATGAGAAGATAAGCACAAAAAGAAAATATATGGAAGATTTAAAAGACCCTAATTAAACTCATAGGGGAAAAAAACTACAAAATCTAAAATAAACAATATGTCAGATGGGATTCCTAGCAGATTAAACATTGAAGAAGATGTGGAAACTTAAAAACACAATATGATAAAAATCATAGGTAAAAGGATTAAGAAGAAAAAAACAGATGTTCAGAAAATTATGGAACAGTATCTAACAGTTTAATATACGTGTAACTGGAGATTCAGAAGGAGAGGAAAGAAATGGAGAGGTGACAGAAAAAATATTTGAAGAAATAATCCCTGAACATTTACAAATTGTTAAAAATTATGAACTCAGAGACCCTAGAAACTTAAACAACCAGCAGAAGAAACATATAGAAAGCCACACCAAGGAACATTGCCATATATTGCTAAAAAGGCACATCGCAAACAAGAAGAAAATATTTGCAGACAACTTATTAATAAAGTACTTGTATCCAGAATGAAAAATAACTATCAAAATACAATTAGAAAATAAAACTAATTTAAAAATGGACAAAATGTTTAAAATACACTTCACCAAAGAACATAAATAGATTGCACATAAGCTCATAAAAATGTTTAATTTCATTAGTCATTAGGAAAATACAAGTGAAAACCACCATGAGATAGCAATACACACCTGCAAGAGTGATTAAAATTAGAAGACCAATAATACTAACGCTGGCAAAGACACAGAACAGCTGGAACATATGCAAAATGATACAGTTATGGAATGCATTTCGGTAGTTTCTTGTGACATCAGCATACCACTTGCCATGTCACTCAGCAGTCCCATGCCTTGATATTTACCCAAGAGAAATGAAGGATTTCAAAGATTGGTACACAAATTTTCAAGCAGCTTTATTCACCATGGCCCAAACTAGAAACAGCACGAATGTTACCAACAGGTAAATAAATAAACAACTTATAGATTAACCAGAGAATGGAAAACTACACAGCAAGGAAAAGAACTGCTAATACACTCAAAAACATGGGAAATCTCAAAAGCATTATGCTGAGTAAAAGAAGCCACACACACACACACACACACACACACACACACACACACACACACAAATGTTTTATTCTATTTATATAAAATCCCCCTTCCAGAAAAGGCAAAACTACAGTGACTGAAAGCTGATCAGTGGTTACCATGTGCTGGGAATGCAGAGGGTATTGACTGCAAAGGGAATGCTTTGGGTATTAAAAACTTTCTATATCTTTATTGTGGTGGTAGCTACACAAATATGTACATTTTTTCAAAATTCATCAACTACATACCCCAAAATGGGTAAATTGTATTGGATTTAAATCACACTTCAGTGAACAATAAATGAAAGACTAAATCAACAAATAGATGAATACATAAAATTGCCTAAATTATTTTTTAAAGCCAGTGTCTATAAAAAGTAAATAAATAACTTCATGGTGTTAAGTGCCCTAGAGGAAAATAAAGCAGCCAAGGGAAGAGGGTGTGCCAGAGTGAGGAAAGGGATGGAATATTAAATAAGGTGTTCAAGAAAGCCTCACTGAGATGGTGACATCGAGCAAAGATCTAAAAGAAGTAAGAGGGAAAGCAATGAGGCTGTTTGGAGGAAAAGCAGGAGCCTGGGGCAGGCTGATCAACAAGGAAGTCAGTGTACCTGGAGCAGAGTGAGCAGGGGTGGAAGAGTCAGTGAGGTCAGGGAGAAAAGACAGGGTGGGTCCCTTAGAACTATTATAAAGACAAGCTTTTACCCGAGCAAAATAGAAATCCATCATCAAAATTAAGGACTTTTTTGCTTCAAAGTCACCATCAAGAAATTGAAAAGACAATTCACAGGATGGGAAAAAATATTTGAAAATCATGTATCTGATAAGGGACTCATAGCTAAAATATGTAAAGTACTCTTACAACCCAAAAACAGACAAATAATCCAATCTAAAAAATGGTCAAAATATCTCAATAGATATTTCTTTAAACACATACAAATGACTAATAAGCATATGAAAAGATACCCAACACTATTAGTCATCAGGGAAGTGCAAACCAAAATCATAATGACCTATCATTCATATACATTCACACCTGTAATCCCAGCACTTTGGGAGGCCAAGGCAGGTGCATCACCTGAAGTCAGGAGTTTGAGACCAACCTGACCAACATGGCGAAACCCCATCTCTACTAAAAATACAAAAATGAGCTGGGCATGGTGGCACATGCCTATAGTCCCAGTTACTCAGGAGGCTGAGGCAGAAGAATCGCTTGAACCCAGGAGGCGGAGGTTGCAGTGAGCCGAGATCACACCACTGTACTCCAGCCTGGGGAACAGAGCAAGACTCTGTCTCAAAAAAAGAAAAGAAAAGAAAAAAAGGAATGGCTATAATCAAAAAGTCAGATAATAACAAGTGTTGACACGGATGTGGAGAAATTAGAACCTTCATACATCACAGTTGGGAATGTAGAACAATGCGGCCACTGTGAAAAACACTCTGACAGTTCCTCACAAAGTTAAACACAAAATTATCATATGTCTCAGCAATTTTACTCCCAGGTACATATCCATAAGAAACATGTAAACATATGTTTTCACAAAAACTTGTAAGGCAGTGTTTACTGAAGCACTGTTCATAATAGCAAAGAAGTGGAAAAAAACCCAAATGTACATTAACTGAAGGACAAATAAACAAAATGTGGCATATCCATACACTAGAATATGTATTATTCAGTAACTGAAATACCTATCACTTAGCAATAAAAGAGGACAAAGTACTGATATATGCTTCAACATGGATAAATCTCAAAAATACTTTGCTAAGGGAAAGTACCCAGTCACAAAAGACCACATAGTATATGATGCTATTTATATGAACTTCCCAGAACAGGCAAATACATAGAGACTGAAAGTAGATTAGTGGTTGCCTGGGGCTGGGAGGGTGGGGGTGAGAAAATAAGACGTGATTGCTAATGGGTAGGGAATTTTATTTAAGTGTGACGAAATTGCTCCAAAATTGATTGTAGTGATGGTTGCACAACTCTGTGACCATACTAAAACCCACTGAATTCTACACTTTAAATGGGTCAATTGTTTATGAATTTTATCTCCAGAAAATTGTAAAAAACGAATCTATCAAAAAAGTAGAAATCAAATAGGTGGTTTTGAGGAGAAAAGTGACTTTTTAAACTTTCTATATGTATCATTTTTGCACCTTTTTACTTTCTGACTTATTTTACCAATGATGAGAGGTTATAGGAGTTTGGTTTCACTTGGAATATTTCATGGAGATTTTCTTAACTCCTACTTCTCAGAGTTAATTTCTAAAGCATTTGTTTTTTCACTAATTTAATGAATATACATTGAAAACCCATTATTGAAAAGCACTATATCCCAGGTGCTTTTTAGGCACCTGGGAGAAGGAAACATGTCCTTCATTCTTTTTCTTTTCTCTGTCATTAGCCTAGTCAATTTCTTCACTTTCTTTTTCCTTGTTTTTCTTTTCTTAAGACTTAGAGCAGCATCTGAAAATCCCTTAAATATAGTGATCACTTAGTGGATTTTTTTTAGTTTTACGATTAGGTTAGTTTGATTATCTGACTTCAAATTATCCTATGAGGCTACAGTTAACAAAACAGTATGGTACTAGTATAAACATAGATACACAGAAAAATGGAACAGTCTAGAGAACCCAGAAAGAAACCCAAATATTTACTACTAACTGATCTTTGATAAAGCATACAAAAACATATATTTGGGAAAGGACACCCTATTTAATAAATAGTGCTTGGAAAACTGGATAGCCACATGTAGAAGAATAAAATTTGATCTCTGTTTCTCACCATATACAAAAATCAACTGAAGGTGGATCAATGACTTAAATCTAAGACCTGTAACCATTAAAGTTCTGGAAGAAAAACTAGAAAAACTCTTCTCGACATTAGCGTAGGCAAAGAATTTATGATTAGGACCCCAAAAGCAGAGGTAACAAAAATAAAAATAAATAGGACATAATTAAACTAAAAATATTAATTTTTTAGTCTGGGAGAAAGTATTTGCAAACTCCACATCTAACAAAAGACTAATATCCAGAATCTACCAGGAGCTCAAACAAATCAGCAAGAAAAAAACAAATAATCCCATCAAAAGTGGGCAAATGACATGAGTAGACATTTCTCAAAATAAGATATACAAATGGACAACAGAAATATGAAAAAAATGTTCAATTTCACTGATCATCAGGGAAATGCAAATTAAAACCACAATGAGATACCACCCTACCCCAGCCAAAATGGCCATTACTAAAAAGTCAAAAAAACAATAGATACTGGCATGGATGTGGTGAAAAGGGAACACTTAGACACTGCTGGTAGGAATGTAAACTAGTATAACCTCTGTAGATAACAGTATAGAGATTTCTTAAAGAATTAAAAGTAGAAATATCATTTGACCCAACAATCCCACTACCAGTATCTACCCAAAAGAAAAGAAGTCATTACCTAAAGAAAAGTAAGTCACCGTATCAAAAAGACATCTACAAGCATATGTTTGTCACGGCACACAATTCACAATCACAAAGATATGAAATAAACTTAAGTGTCCCTCAACCAATGAATGGATAAAGAACATGTGGTATATATATATATATATATACCATGGAATACTACTCAGCCATTAAACAGAATGAAATTATTTGCAGCAACTTAGATGGAGCTGGAGGTCATTATTCTAAGTGAAGTAACTCAAGAACAGAAAACCAAATACCATATGTTCTCACTTATAAGTGAGACCTAAGCTGTGGTTATGTAAGGGCATACAGAGTGGTGTAACGAACTTTGGAGGTTCAGAAAGGAGGAGGTTGGGAGGGAGTTGAGGAATTAAAAAGCTACATATTTGGGTACAATGTACTCTACTCAGGTAACAAGTGCACTAAAATTTCAGAATTCACCAACATACAATTCATCCATGTAACCAAACCACTTGTACCCAAAAACCCATTGAATATATATATATATATATATATATATACACACACACACATACATACATACACACACACACACACACACACACACACACATATATATATATATATATGAGTTTGAAGTATTTGCACCCTATTATGTAGTTGGACAGCAATAATGGAACAATAGTTAACCTTGGGGTAGCATGAAGAACTTGGGTAGAGAAAAGACTATCGGGTATGAATACTGGCCTGTCTACTCCTTTCCACATTCAGAGAGTACACGATCAGTGTGCCAAGGGGAAAAAATGACCTATAACATTATTTCTCCAAAAATATATAGTCTATAGGAAGATGCTAATTTTAAAGTAAAATTTTTAAAGACAGAAGATATGAAAATTTTTATAGATGACACCATCATTTTCAGGCAAAAATATCACATAGTAATAGAAACATTTGGATTGGTGGATGAACAAGAGTTAATAACTGGGCCTTAGTTGATGTTCTTTTCTTTCTCTGATCCTCTCTTCCTTTCTCTGACATACATCCTATATGTATTTGCTTCTCTTCCCTCTGACTTACTCTCCCATGCTTAGGCCATTGACTGTCTAGAATACCGAGTGATTTCTATAATCAGTGTTAGAACAGCTGCTGCCAACCAGGCATTGATAGGAAGCTGTGTAATGCCCTCCTCGAGAGAAGCTCACAAGTTGTCCAAGGACTGTAGCAACAATTTGGGCATAAAGATGGCCTGAAGTTAAGTACAGAGTTATTTTTTAAGCGTAAAAAGGAGCAAGGCCCAAATAAACACCCCCCCCAAATAAGAAGTCAAACTCCAGGAATGAAAATTTGACCTTATACAGGCTTTAACAGTGTTGTTAAAATGTGCAGACACTAATCCATCTACACACAGCTGCCAAATTAATCTTCTTAAAGTACACCTTCTACATTATCACTCCAGGCTCCCACCAAGAATGATGAATTCTGTCCTGGGCATTGAACATTAAGAAGAACCTGGTGACTGGATTATGAAAAAACTGGAGTGAATTCTGGGGAGAGAAACCTGGAAGGCAATAGAAAAGTCTTATCATGCTAAGGACAAGAGATACATCTCTAACCCAGGGGGGTGCAGATAATTTAACAAATTTTTTCCACCAAACTTAAAGGAGTACCATATTATTAGTAAATATATATCTTAGAAAGAAAGTTCCTCAGTAAAAAACAGAAAACTAACTGGGTAAAAAATGTGATTTTAATTTTATCATTTAACATATGCTTTGAATTTAAGTTTGTCTTTTAGGCAACCATACTCCTGGTATTTGGACTTTTCCCAAGCGATATAAAATTTTAATGTGTCATTGCTATCCTGAGAAAGCTACTTGTCTGTTCCCTGAAAGAGCTGTCTTCTAAAATTCCAAACCAAACAAATTAGTGTTTTCTTTCCTAAAAGCCATCATTGTTCCACAGTGCTTTAATTTGGCCCCCACAAAAAAAAAATATATATTCACTGTCACCTCTTAGTTCTACTAATTATACATTTCCTCCCATGATGCCTATATTCATGGCTTCTGTTTCTTATTAGCTGTTTTGAGGTAAGTCAGAAGTGAGCCAATTTACTGGTAATGGCTTCATGAAGAGAATAGGTCATCGGTGGCTAAATCTCATAGGTAAACCATGTTAATAATAGATAGAACCTAATTCAACACTTGCAAGCCAATTAAGAAAAATATGTACCTGCTCTACCTGCCCTTCATTCTTTTACTTTATTTTTATTTTTTCTTTTTGTCAGAAAACTCAACTCAGATGTTTTCCTGCCTTCCTTTGACCATTTCTTCCTCTCCTCCACCAGGCTGTAATCTATTGCCCTCTTATTTCTAGACATTCATTCACATCCAGGCACTTTCTTTCGGCCTTCAAACGTGATTTCACTAACATTTTGTCCTTAAGATCCATCCATTATTGTAATTATCACTCAATCTTCTTTCTGTCTGTTTCAATGTCCTTAGAGTTCACAACCTGTTCATTTTCTCTCAACTTTTTCTGATTCCTTGCTTTCACAGAATAATAAGGGAAGGAAGGTTTTTGTTGATTTTTCTTTTTTTAAGGAAAAAAAAAAAAACAGAAAATCAGCTTTTATGAAGGATTCGGAGTGCCCATTGGATGTACAGCCAGATAAAGTGCTCTATTGAAAATGGGTATTTGTCTACATGAAAGTACACACAAAGCTACACTTTCTTATAAAGAGAATCAGAATCTATTAAACTGTAGAAATTTAAAAGCTAAAAAACATCTTGAAGGCCATCTAGAACCACCTCATTATTTTTACAGACGGGGACAAACAGGAGCCAGCTGTTGTGATCTATTTCATGCATCAAGCTTTTGTATTGATGCCATTGTTGCTGTTGTTGTATATTTGTTAAGTATATCCACATATCCATTACAAGACTTATATATTCAATTTTACTAATATATACTTAATATTTAGTAATATTCAATATTTACTAAGCACCTCATCAGTGCCCGTCTTAGGGGGAAAAATAGAGAATCCTCATAGATGGAGCACCTTATAGTTCCCAGTTGCCTTCTCTCCCATCCCATTTAACCGTCATATTTTGACACAGACAGCAAATGAAACAGCCTCAAAGATGAGCAATTACTTGCCAAGGATCACAAATCTACAAAAGAGCAGAGCCAGAATTTTAAACCAGGCCTGTCTCAATTCAAAGTCTGTTTCTGTTTTTTGTTCGCTTGCTAGCTTGTTTTTACTCTTCAGGGCTGTCTATTCAGTATAAGCCCAACCAAGCCAGTTTCTCAAACAGACAATTGGTGGTCCCCAGAGCATCCAAACCAGATGACAATTTGCTTTCCTAAATTCTGACCATTACAGTTTTGGTCCATGTTTGCCCCAATTCAATGAACCACTGTATCTGTGCTGTGACAGCCTGGGAAGACTCTTTGTGTGGATGTGGGATATATTTAAGGAAGGCAGTGGTGATGCTATCAAGGAGAAAGACTAGAAAAAAAAGGCAATCATTTAGGTAATTAATTATAAAGTCTTTATATTAAAATTAACAACCCTTGTTATTATTTTTAAAGATATAGCCTAATATTTCTTCTACTGAAAAAAGATTTTCCACTCTTTTGTAATTTCAGTTTTAGCTATTTTATTTCCTTTATCATTTTTTTTCCATTTTCTTTCCCCACTTTCACACTCAATAATGTGTGATTCATCTTTTCTGATCCAAGGATGTCTGCCACTTTCCTTTAATATAACAGCAATTCACATCAGTATTAATGGCATAAAGTTCTACTCCTTCACCTGGTTCTTTTTTGGTAGATAAAGAATAACAAAAAAAGTACTTCAAACTTGAGAAGTGTCTTAAAATAGATAAGTCTTTGCAAAATGCATGACCTATTAAAAAAAATCCCTCACATTTTAATTCCTTGGTAGTTCAACGTTATTGACTAAATTTTCTCACGTCTACTTTGCCTTTGATATTAGATCAAGACAATTGGGATTAAAATTTTTTTCCTGTTCATTCTCAATCTTAGACTCTTAGATTTGCATTGGTGTGACTGTTTAATCCTGCAAACACATGCAGCAGTGTACATGCACACTGCTGAACAAAAGGCCTCTATACAAGGACACAGCACCTCTGTTGTATCTCACTCGGCTCCAGTGGGAGTTACTTGAGGGAAGGGATTTTGTTTTGATCATTCATGTGGTTTCTAGCACAGCGTAAACAGAAATGTGTGTATTGAATTAAATTGGAATGAAATTTGGCCATAGTGCTACAGCCTAGCTCTAATACACAATTCTCGAAGGAAAAATAGATTGAGTTTGAGAAAAGAGGGAATGGAAGAGAACAGGTAAATGGATACCTGCTATTACTGCCATATTTTATTTTCCACAACTTTCAGGAACTAAAGAGGTTGAGGAATGAACAAAAGCGGAAGGAAACTCATTTTCATTCATTTAACAATTATTTTTTAGGATCTAGTATATGTCAGGAACTATGCTATGAACTTGAATTACTTTATATTGTTTGTTTACAGAACAACTATGATTTAGGTTTCGTTATACAAATTTTTAAAATAGGAAACTAAGTCTCAGGGTGGTTATGTAACTATTTCCAGATTATACATTTAGCAAAGTGTAGAACTGGAATTTCAACCCAAGTCTTCCTGTCTCAAAAGCCCGTGCTCTTTAGACTTCACCGAGCTTCTTCCTGCATGCAAACAAAACCCATAAATGTAAATTACTCGTTCTATATTGATAAACAATATAGATCCTCATACAAACCAGTTGTCTAAAAGTGAATTACTGAACGTTGCTGAGTCTGTCTTTGACACCTCATAAATAACACAGCAGTGGAATCTGCAACAGCTTAAAGGTAAAGGATCTACATTTACAGATCCCATGGTTACTGCAAGAGCTAAATGCAGGTGCAAGTTTCCACAAGACAGACACGTCTCTAGCCTCTGTCTTCTAAAACAGGCACCTGCTAAGCTCTTCATCCCTTCATATGTCCTGGAAGTACATACTATAGAAAAAAACTCATTTCGATAATACATATTTCCTTGGGGATAACACTCAGTTTCAGAGGGCTTGTGCTGGTCTTTTATAAGATCAAGATTCTAGCTTAGTTGTTTCCTCTGCAGTGAACATGGATACATCCATTTTAATTGTTTGCTTTAGCAAGTAAACTCTTTTCCAAATATGGTGCTAGTGGTGAGTTAGTCTTGGGTCATATTCTAGTCATCCTCTGATGCAGCTGACCAAAGACCCTGACAAAGTGCAGGTCCTAGAGAAAGGCTCCTATCAAAGAATGGAGTGTTAGATTGTAAAGTGATATAGCGAGTATTTTTTTTTTTGAGATGGAGTTTCCCTCTTGCTGCCCAGGCTGCAGTTCAATGGTGCGATCTACGCTCACTGCAACCTCCGCCTCCCGGGTTCAAGTAATTCTCCTGCCTCAGCTTCCCAAATAGCTGGAACTACAGTTGTCTGCCACCACACCTGGCAAATTTTGTATTATTAGTAGAGAGGGGGTTTCACCATGTTGGTCAAGCTGGTCTTGAACTCCTGACCTCAAGTGATCCACCCGCCTCAGCCTCCCAAAGTGCTGGGATTACAGGCATGAGCCACTGTGCTCGACCTGAGTATTTTCTTCAATACTCAGATATTTCATATGAGGAAACTGAGATTCAAAGAGGTTAACTGACTTGCCCAAAATTGTTGCTATTTAGTGGCATAGTTAGTCCTAGGATTCCTTCTACTACATCAACTTGCCTGAGAGAGCTGAGGAGAAGGTGTGACCGAAACTCCAGACATCCAAAAGGGAGGAGCTGGCCAGAGCAAGTTAAACGTATGTTATTGACCTGTTTAACAAACGATTCCACAGCAAGCCAAAATGATTCCTGTTAATGCTCCAAAAATGTTTAATAGTTCACATCAGATTTTTAATTTTAAATTTACTTTCATCCATGTATAGTCTACTTTGTGTTTTTCACCCTCCATTTTTTTTTAATAAACTGGACTGTTTTTCTGATCTAGGACTTGCACATCCACATTTCTCAAAGATGTGAATTCCCTACTGGGTTTCCAATCTTAAAGAACAGCTTCCAGTAGTAAGGGATGTAGAGAGGAAATAAGCCTCCAGAAAACTAAAAATAGACCCCTTATCCTAATAGAAAACACATTTGCTGCTTTTAAAAAATGACACACTAATCTAATGTGAAGAGTACGATGCTGGCTGAATCTATTAAATAAATAACATTTTATCAAATAACATATATTTTTCCAAAATGCCTGGTTATTAAAATGGGCTGAATTAACCTGTGTTTCTCCATCATATATTCTCCAGCTTCATCTCCATTCCTCTTTTAAATAAAAATTCTGAATAATTGTAAATTATGTCATTTTCAAACGAAAGATACTCATCTTTCTCAAAAGCAATTTAAAGATATTTGCTTCTATATACATGCTCATCCTGCATGCCCATTCCAACTGTTCTACATTCTTCCAAAATCCATTCCATTATCCCATCTCTACCTTCACATTTATGCTCTTTCTCATGCCCTGTCTGAGCTGAAAGCCTAATCTTTTCAAATAGTCAAATCGTATCCAAATGTTAGAGAGCATATGAAAGATCACTTTCTTTTTCTACAGACTTTATCAGACACTCGAGCCACTGGAATCCCTCTCTCCTTTCAACATTAGTGGCACTTATTTCTTTCAATTAATTGGCACTTAGGAAATTCTACCTGAATTCAGTAGATACAGGGAACATAGCCCTCAAGATATGTTTTGGCCTTTGACATCATTGACTAGGAGAGCATCATTAACGTAATTATGGCGTTCAGGGTGCTGAGATGAGACATCAACCCGAAATGGAGTCATCGAAGAAATAAGGTAGCAAATGTCTTTTAGTAAATGAGTGTGTCCATTCAGAGGAATAGAAAGTGTCCCTGGGACAGAAATGTGATTATCATCCTGGATTCCTCCAACGTTATCATTGCCATTTAACCAATAGAACAGCTAATTCTGTTTACTTAATACCTGTCAAATATAAATTTAGAACTCTTGTTCCACTGGTAACTACATTCCTCATTTCTTTATTCCAGCAATATTTATTGAGCACCTACTATGTACCAGACACTATTCTACATTCTGGGGATATGTGATGAATTTTTTAAAATTCTCTGTCATTTTGGAACATAGAATGAAAGAAAACAGATCAAAAGTAATAATAATAAATGAGTTGTAGAATCTATTAGAAGGTAATAATGTCTAAGGAGAAAGGTAAATGAAAAAGGATGGGTAGTGTCTACAGAGTTCAATTTTAACTGGAATCATGAGATAAAACCTCACTGAGAAAACAATATTTGAGGAGCTATTTGAAGAAGAGGAGGAGACAAGCCAAAAAGATGAGTGAAAAAAAAATATTCTCTCCTAGACAAAAGGAAGGGCAAACACAAAGAATATGAGTGCGGACATGTCAGTTCAGTTTCAGAAACAACAGGGAAATGAGCACCGCTGAGAGAAGTGCTGAGACGAGGAGGAGCTGATGTCAGAGAGAAAATGGTGAGTGAAACCTCCAGTAGAATTTTGGCTTGTCCCCCAAATGAGTTTAGGATCCATTGAAAGATTTTTAGCAGAGGAATGATATTATCTGACTTGTATTATTCTCTAGAGAGAACAGACTCTAAAAAGTTCTACATTCTGTTGTAATCGACTAATTCAGAGCAATCCTCCAGCTGAGAACTAGAGGAGCAGAATTTTTAAAAAAATCATCAGAAGATACTGGAGAGTCAAAAAGCCTTGGAAAATTATAGAGACATATTGAGAGTAGAAGGCAGTTAGAAAATTAACCTGGCATAGGAGACTACTTTTCTCTTAGGGGGCCTATGTCTTACTTAGGAAGAGATTTCTGGGAGGCTAAGAGCTGGGCAGTCTGAGAGCTGGACAGAGCTCTCAGTAGATACAAGAGGACTAGCGGACAAAAAATGGAATTTAGAACCAGTGACAAGATGGGGGCTGCTTGATGCTCAACCTATGGGAAGAGGGAAAGTCTAATTTTATATGTAATAGACTTTCATATGTAAAATACTCATGTTATAAATAATAGAATAGCCATGAAAATAATAGTTAAATGATGTGAATCTTCCAAGCCAATTGAAGGAGAAAAATGTAACAATTTCTTTAAAATAGTTAATTCAAAATAAGTCATAAAAGAGAGATGAAGAAACTAACCAGAATAAATAAAAAGCAAATAACAAGATGGTAAGTCTTAATTCAAATGTGTTAGTAATTAATGTAATAGTAATTATATATCATGCAGATGAAATATAAATTCTCTAACTTAAAGAATTGTCAGACTTAATTTTTTTAAATGCAGCTATATACTGCTTAAAATAGATACTTTAATAATATAAAAATATATAATTATGGAATAGAATAATATAGAATATAAATACACGAATATAGAATATAGATATACTTTTAGAATATAGAATATAAGAAAATATTAAAAGTAAAATATAAGAATATAAGTTGAAAGTAAAGGGAGATGTTCCCCTCCCTGTGTCCATGCGTTCTCATTGTTCAACTCCCACTTATGAGTGAGAACATGTGGTGTTTGGTTTTCTGTTCTCATGTTAGTTTACTGAGAATGATGGTTTCCAGCTTCATCCATGTACCTGCAAAGGACATGAACTCATCCTTTTTTATGGCTTCATAGTATTCTATGGTGTATATATGCCAGTCTATCATTGATGGGCATTTGGGTTGGTTCCAAGTCTTTGCTATTGTAAATAGTGCTGCAATAAACATACATGTGCATGTGTCTTTATAGTAGAATGATTTATAATCCTTTGGGTATATACCCAGTAATGGGATTGCTGGGTCAAATGATATATCTGGTTCTAGATCCTTGAGGAATTGCCACACTGTCTTCCACAATGGTTGAAATAATTTACACTCCCACCAAGAAACAGAAGAAAAGTAAACATACTAAAATGCATGTTTGATCAGAAAAAAAAAAAAAGTAAAGGGAGAAAAACACATGTCATATCTGCTGGTTATTTAACTCTCATCCCTCGGTTCTAAAAACTCCTTGCTATATTCTGCTCTGTGATGCCAGGGCTAGGATGCCAGGACCAGGACACCGCACACACATTTCCAGGCTGCCCGTGGAAATCCTGTTAGTTTTTCCAATAAGGGTCACTAGAGATAATTTGGAAGGCCGGAGGAAGGAAAAAGGGACTCGCTTACTATATTCTTGTTTCTGTTAACAGTCGTTACTGTTAGCTGGCCCCAGCTGTGGCAGGCCAAACCCATCGCTTTCCATTGCCTCTCCCAGAGCCAGCCTCATCATGGCCCCTCAGTGGTTCAAGTAGCCACTGGGTAGAGACGGCTCCTCCGAGATCTGAGAACAGCTCCACAGGCCACATCTCTGTGTTGAATGGCACCCTCTTTTTAAAGGTCTTAGCACCAATTCCACAGGGCTCTTCCTTTTACCACAACATTTTTCTTTTTTTCTCCCAGGCTAAGGAGATTTGCTGTTTTCTATGGTTATTATCTCTGGGTTACTTCAGTAATCCTTTGTCATTACCTTCACCTCTCCAAACCTGTGTAACCAATTTTTTTAATTAAATCTACTGCTTAAAATATCTAATGTGATTTTTGTCTTCCTGACTGGAAAACTGGTACACCATGCAAACACTAGCCGAAGGAAGCTAGTGAAGCTATAATTGTAACAGAGAAGGTACACTGAAGTGGAAAGCCCCACTAGAAATAAAAAGAGACATTTCATCACGGTAATATACTCGGAAAATATTTCAATTCTAGATATATGTGTGCCTAATATCATGTCCTCAAAATTTATAAGGCAAAACAGAACTAAAGAAAGAACTAGGTGGATCCCTAATTATAGCGCTAGTTTTTAACAAACCTCTCTCAGGAACTTATAGAATAATCAGACAAAAAAGGAATAAAGATGGAGATGGGTTGAGCAAAACAAGTTCAGAGGGGTAGTTGTTGGAGGGGAAGTGATGGGGACAGAAGGGTGTTGGAACCCTTTGCAATATCCAGGCGAGAGATGGTGAAGCAAAGTACTGGGGTCACTGCATTCTGAAATCGATATTGAAGGCTGAGCCAAGACCTCCTGATATGGATGTAGGCTGTGGGAGAAAGAAAGAGTCAAAAATGACACCAGGCAAATGAAAGGGTGGAATGGCCATCAAGCGAGAAGTGGAAGACTGTGATAGTAGGTTTGGGGATAGGACAGGGAGTTCAGTTAGAACATCGGCATTTGAAATGTCTTTGATTTCTCTATCTAAGACCTTTCCACCTCTAAGTCATTTACTCACTCCACTTAAAAGTGGAGCCCTACCACTCTCAGAAGCCCCTTCAGGGCTTGTCTGGGTCTGGCCCCTGCTTATGCTTCCATCCCATCTCCCTCCCTTCCTCGCTAGCTCCTTCTGTTCCTCTACAGTGAACCTAATTACAGCTCCCCAGAGGAGTTCTTACTTCTAACCCTTTTATGCACTATTCTTGTGACTTGGACTATCTTTTAGTTCTTTGCCTGAATACCTGGATTCGTCTTTCAGGCAAATAATCTTATTCCCTAGGAATCCTGTGCTGAAGACTACACCTGGCCTCTGCACTGCCTTTTGTACATTAGCACTATCCTCCATGTTTTCCACAACTGTATCACTTACCATACAAAATCATAATTGCTTATTTACTTCTGTTTCTCCCACTAACCCAAAAGCCCCTTCAGGGTAAGTAACAGGACCTGTGTGCGCACCTGATGAAAAGGGTGTCTGATACATTGCCTTGTGCCTTGTTAAATAAATTCCCTATATAAGGCACAAAAACAATAACTGTGAAAACATATGGATCCCCAAAGGTTGGAAAGCATGGCTTTAAAAATCTTGTTGTGTGCATCCTGGAAATTTAATTTTTAAGGTGTTATAAGTGATCACATAACAATCGAGGAGAAAAATGAACAGAAAAACAATCCTTGAGGTTTAATATGATCTCACCAAAAGCCTAGGATAGATGTTGGCTTTTGAACGGAATATACCTCGCACTACCATTGTCATGCCATACGTAGATTCCTGCTAAAAACACATAACAAAACATCCTTCATTTCCTTCTGCTTTCAGTAATGTGTAATTTTTTACTTTCAAGCATATGAAAATAATCAAGCTAATTACGTATAACATTGTCAGAAGTTTTTCTCCTACAGATAAATAAAGGATCTCCTTGTCAAGTGGAGAATGGAGTATAAATAATAAAGCTTCCTTTCCAGACACTGTGGGTTTTTAATGTTCCTTGAGCACACCACTTCAAGGATACATGCCACTTTGACATTTTAAGTCACTGTGATCTTGTCTTCCTGGCCACTGCCTCAAAATCTTTTTATCTGACTACTAAATCCACTTCATCTTACCTAGGATAAGGTTTGCCGGCTAAATTTTGTCTAGCCAGCCAATTTTTCTGAGATTCAGAGAAGCAGTAGCTACCTACCTCAGATGTTTAAAAAAAAAAAAAAGATAAATCTAAAAACAAACAAACTTGAGTAGACACCAAAGGAAGGGACCTTCGCTTCCAAGAATCTGAGATTTAATGGAGTTAAAACCTCTTGAAACCAAACTGTTTAGCTCTCAACCCTCAAAAAAAGACTTCCAAAGCTGGTATGTTAATTTTCTCACCTAACTCATAACACTAATGATGCATATGGAAAGGAAAATGCAATGAATTTCATACGGAAATTAGGTATAAATTTTCTTTCATGAAAGCATATGTAACTATGCTTCATATTTTATATTTTTAATCTATTTAACTTTAAGAATAAATGAACTATATCACTCTAATCACTATGTGTGTTTTTTGTTACTTTGTCTACTCAAGATAAGAATTACACATTTAGCAGAGGTGTTCTCAATTGTTTGCTTTATACCAAACATTCCTTTGATGTTGTGTTTAGTTTCGTGTTGGAAAGCTCAATGGTGGGGACAAAAAAGGCAAAAGGAGTTCTAATTGAAGAAGTCCATCTCACAAGAATCAATATCGAGAAGGAAAACAGGTGTGTTGCTAAGCAAAGTATTTTTTTCTATTGCCCTATTCATGCCCTTTTCAAACATCTCATTTATGAGTCCAAACCAGCTGTCACTGCACTATTTTGCAAGCCAGAGCTCAGCTATTTATGCTGTCTCTGCTGTTAGAGATCTATATGTTTTGATCTTTTTTCTACTTAGCACATGAGAAGCATAATGCTGATATGTAACACTTGTTAATTGGAACATAAAGATATTTAATTTTATATGTGGGTTATTTCAGTGATACATACTATTTCTTATTCAAAAAATAGATATTTAGAAAAGACATACAGTCCCTGAAAGTGTAGGAGAATAGAGGCTTTAACCATAAAAATGGTGTACAAGACAAGAAGGATGGCAGGAGAAATTTATACAGGTTTGCCCTAATGAAGCTTTAGAGGAAGCTGGAGGAGGAGACATGAGGAAGTAATGATCAAGACAGAGAGGCTAGCACTAAGCATTCCTCGATGTGCACCAAGAATTCTCTGTGCTCACATAAGCATAGATCAGGTTTCCTTTTGTTTTCTAATTTTACCCTTCAAGATATTTTTAACAGATTGCCCACAATAAATTGTTTGGCCACCATCAATTTTCTGCATCAAGGTGATTACACTATTATAAAATAAATGGTAGAAATACAATTTCAAAATATATCTAGATGTGTTGGGATATGCTGTTTTTTTATCAACATTCATATTCCATTAGGAAAAGTTGTAGGAGCATATTAAAAGGATTCTAAACCCCAAGGTTCTTGTCAATTCTGGTGTTTCAAAGGCAATACTTATTAGAACTACCAAACAATTTTATGCAAAAATAATTTTAAATTCAAAATAAACGATCATAGCTACTGAACCGAAAATTGACTTGCTTGTGTTCCGAATTCAACATTTCAGTCAAGTCGTACTAAGGCCTGTTAAAGTAACACACGATCAGCTCTGTCATTTTATTATGCCAAATACAGCAAAGATCTATAGGTCAGTCATGGGACTGTTTGCCTTATATTTTCTGGAGAGGTGAAACCTCTTAACTGAATCCTACATTTAATCATCTCCAAATCCCAAGCTATATCTCCTGATCCCTGTTTCGATTTAAAATAAAATTCATTTTCTGGTGTTCTGTGTGAGTTTGATTCACGCTTGACTTAGAGATTTATGAATAGCATTTACTGTTTACTTACTGACCACTTTCACAGTTCCGATCCCCATGGGTGTCTTCCACAAGGCTGCGGTATGGTGGGAGATGGGAAGGAGGTGGATTGGTGAATGATTTCATGCAGTAAAACACAGCACCCTCACTCTTGAAGCCAAAGAAAATATTTTGAGGATAAAGTAACCTCTTGGATTTGAGTAGCACATTTGATATGAGAGTACAACTTTGTCTGAACAAACGTATGCCATTTCCAATATGCCTGCCGCACCCTGCTTCTGGAGAAAATGCTCCTATATTTCAGGGGTGAAATGTGACGGTGGTGATACAAGTGGTGAGTCCTCCTTTTGTTTGTTGTTTTTGGGTCTTTTTAGTGTGGGACAACATTCAATCTGATTATTGCTAAAAGTCAATTGTTTTCTCATTTGGAAGTCAGTGTCCAGAAATAGAGAACGAAAGCAGCATTTCCCAGTGAAAGAAAGCCCTTGAGTATTTACTGCATTAAAGGATTTAGGAAAGCAGGTAGCACCGGAAGGAAATACGGCTGTGCCTCAATGCAGGTGGGCAGCACAACAGCCAGCAGGAATAAGCTACCCCTCAGTCCAAGTTATACGCTCTCTGAAATTTTCAACATTGATGATAATGCCTTGCTTCTTTAGAGCTTCTCCTCCCTTGACTTCTGAGACTGACAATTCTCTGTTACTTTTTCTTTTTTTTTTTTTTTTTGAGACAGAGTCTTGCTCTGTCACCCAGGTTGGAGTGCAGTGGTGCGATCTCAACTCACTGCAACCTCGTCCTCCCGGGTTCAAGCAATTCTCCTGTTTCAGCCTCCTGAGTAGCTGGGATTACAGGCACCCGCCACCACGCCGGGCTAATTTTTGTATTTTTAGTAGAGATGTGGTTTCGCCATGGTGGCCAGGCTGGTCTCAAACTCCTGACTTCAGGTGATCCGCTCGCCTCGGCCTTCCAAAGTGCTGGGATTACAGGTGTGAGCCACCGCGCCCAGACTCTGTTACTTTTTCTACCATTTTAGTAACCCTTCTCTCAGATTCCAACTGTTCATCCCGTAAATGAATGTTTCCCAAGTGTTATCCACTAACATGAGAATTCTGTGGATGCTCATCAGCATCCCTGGAAATAGACAAGTGATATTTTCCATGCTACCTAAGTGGGATTTCTACACACAGGAAACAATCTCTGCCTTAAATATTCTTGTTCCTCATGTTTCATCTCTCTCTACTCAGTTCTTGGACAATTGCATGCACAATGTTTTCTTCCAGCCACGGTTTACATATTTATGAAGTACAAATCTCTCTCTCCAGCCCCAAACATTCTCCTGGTCTCCAGGTCCACTTTGTCAACATTCTACTATATACCTCCCCTATAGATCCCATAGGAATGCCAGTCCCTCACCACACATAAAACAAAACACTTGTTCAGGATTCACAATTCTCATCTTCTATGCTAATAGCAATATCTACCCACTTCCCCCATTCACAAACCAAAGAATAATTCTAAACTCTTCTTCACTACCTTAAGTCATGTACCAAGTCCAGTTAATTCAATCTCTTAACTCTCTATATTTAATTCTATGTCTTTGTCAAGACTTCATGAATTTCTATTTGGATTACTAAAGCATCCTCCTTACTGGTCCCCCAGACTTCGGCAAGACACATCATAATACTGTAGGAATAAAATGAGGTGTCACCTCCTCTTTGCATGACCTTGAGTAAGTGATTTAATTTTCCTCCTCCTAGGGTAATAGCTATTGAAGGAGTTAAGCAGGTAAAACACAAAACAGAAGACCTAGAAAGAATAAACATGAAATACTCACTACTTTGACTTCTTCAGAGTAGGCAAATGTTCATACTGTTTTCAAAATGGTTCCCCTAAAATGCAAAAGTTACCATGCACGATTCACAGATGCTCATGCCGTTCACCTGCTTATACACATCCAGTGACGGCTCAAACAAACCTGAAAGTCGAGAGCATGGCATTCAAAGCCCTTCATGTTCTGCTTCCCCTGACATTTTCCTCAGGCACCCGTAACCTGTCTCTACACCAATTATGTCTGAATGCCATCACTACTAGGAAAGGACAGTAAATTTACTTGCGCGTGGTAAAAGTTATCTTTCTTGTCTGCTGCCCCCAGCCAGCCACTAAAGAGAAGAGCCAGTGCTGGTTCATACCCACAGGGACGCAGACCACACTTCTTTGTAATTAATCGCAAGTAATGATCTGCCTTGTATAAAAACGTATTTGAATATCCACGGCTGGTTTTACACATAATTTTCCGACTCTTTCAAAGTGACACATGCTGAATAGCAGTGTGAATTTACAGCCAGGCTTTCTAAGCCATTATCACTGCTTTAATGACAAAATACTGTCACCAGCACCTCAACCTTCATCCAAGTTCAGTTTCTTCATTTCACCTGCATCAGGACTTAGAAATAAAACCCCAATTTTCTTTACAGTGTACCCACAGTGCGTATTCACAGAAAGGTTAGCCTTAAGGTAGAAGAGAACCTTTATTTTTAAAGATTCTGTCTTTGGGGCTTGTTTCCAGAGGAGCTCCTAAAGCCTTTTGTAGCTAAAGAAACCACTATTCAAAGAGAAGCACCAAAAGCCCAGTAAACCTCCAGACATTTCATTCCCAGGGCTCTGGGGGTATTATAACCTATGGAGCAAGCTCGGTGACCCTTGTACACTATGTTGCTTGTAACCTTTTTTTATAATACTAAGATAGGAAAAGATAGGCTGACATAAAAATCAAGGAGAACCAATGTTTTTTTCTAGAACATTTTAGTTTGCCTTTGAAAATACCCCTGCTCATTCAGTTGAATTAAAGATGGGATCACATGAGACTAAAGAGGAGCATATGACTTATTATATTTAAAAGAATTCTAAATTTGCGTGAGAAGAGATTCTGATCACATAAAAGTATGTTGTCTTATTCTAGTGTTGTGATCATCAAGGCAGATGATTCTGCGGTTGTGATCATCAATGCAGATGACCAGAATAAGACAACATACTTCTTTTTTTTTTTTTTTGAGATGGTGTTTTGCTCTTATTGCCCAGGCTGGAGTGTAATGGCACAAACTCGGCTCACTGCAACCTCTGCCTCCCCGGTTCAAGCAATTCTCCTGCCTCAGCTTCCCAAGTAGCTGGGATTACAGGCATGCGCCACCATGCTCAGCTAATTTTTTTTTTTTAATTTAGTAGAGATGGGGTTTCACGTCAGTCAGGCTGGTCTCAAACTCCTGACCACAGGTGATCCACCCACCTTGGCCTCCCAGAGTGCTGGGATTATAGGCGTGCATCACCACGCCCAGCCTGACAACATACTTTCATGTGATTTATTATCTCTATTGATAATTATCTCTCGATAATAAATGTGTTCAAAAACCCATCTTTCACAGTCAAATAGAAGTTTAGATGTTTTCTTCCTATGACATCCCTTTACCAAAATGCTTAGTTTCACTGAGGATTATTACATTTAATACAGTAGTATAATATTTCCAAGATTAACCTGTGCAGTTTACATTTCTTATACTCCCATCTTCATCCCTGTCCCCCATTAGAGCTGCCAGGCTATTTTCTTCTTCCTTCCTCCAAGGAAGAATGTGAGGAAGCAGAAGTCCAGGAAAGGGGATGTATTAATATCTTTCTGAGTTTTGTGTTTGAACTGACAAATTTCTTAGAGAAATAAGAAAACAAAGACCAAATTTTTTTTGGAGGGGGGCATATTTTTTTTAAAAATTTACAGCTGTGGGCTAGTAGGAGACAAGGAGGGAAATAAATACAGAGCAGAAATTAATGACAATATAGATAAAAACATGTCCCAGATAAAGAGATTCTGAAACCTGCCTCTCCAGAGAGTCAGCAGCACTGGAGGTAAGTATGTTAGAGCCCTGTGTGTGCTAAATGTGTGAGACCAAGAGCAAAGAAGATGTCTTCCCTAGGAAGAGTCCTCACAAGGTGGTGTTACATGCCAACAGGTTCCTATGCCCACTAAGCAATAAGAGACCCCCTGCACTGAGACACCAGGGTTCATGGCAAAGAAAGAGTTTAATGATCGCAGAGCACCCAATAAGGAGATAACAGGAGATGCACAAATGCATCTCCTGGAGGAGTTCTGGGCTGGAGTTTTTATGGAGATCTTGAAGGGTGAGGGGCTGAATAATTGGGGTCATTGATGGGTCTGGGTAAGGAAGATGAAGTCATCAGTATGTGTGAACTGCATTCTTTGATGATTCAGCTCCTTGTGGTCCTGCAGACCAGCTGAGTAAGTAGTTTCATTAGTGGGAAGGACCTGAAAAAATATCTCAGAGGGAAAACTTAATGTTTCATAATGTTCAAGTTGTTACCTGTAGAGCAGTTAAGGCGATGTATAATCTTGTAACAGGGTCTACATGATTCTGAGGCAAGAGGCAATCAACTATGAGGAAGGGGTCAGGCAGTAAGCTGACCAAATAATTAATGCTCAGTGTGCTGCAAGCTGGGTTTATTTCATTTCTCTCTTTCCCTTTTTTCTGGTTAATTTTATAAAGTTTATAGGGGCGGATTCAGTGGCACGGGTGGATAATGGACTGAGCTAGCCCAGGCTCTATGTCACTAAAAAGGCACGAGAATAGTGGAATGATTCTTATGTCCCCAGCAAAGTCCCAGAAGAAGCAAAGATGCCACCAAGATATAAAGGGTCCAGGCAGACAGGGCCAAGCTACATTTCAGCATGATCTTCAGAAATCAAAGACCAAGGTTCAAATGGGACAACCAACATATCACTAGATCTTCACATAGACAGGCAATATATGTTTTTCACTCTCCAATCTCCTTGAATTCTATTGAGTCACTATAACCCTTATTCCCAGAATTTATATATTTATCCTGGGAAGAAGACACTGGCAATGATCAAGAATGAATTTTTCTCACTGCAGTAAAATGGGCAGATGGAGTAAAAATTAGGCTGAATTAGGAAAACAAAATATAGAACTATTTTTTATAAATAAGCTTGTAACCCTTACAGTTTACAGTTTATAAATAAGTTTGTAACCCTTATAGTTCATTATAAATTATTCATTCATTAGAATATATGTAACATTCTTACTCTTTGTTAGAGCTCACTACCAGTAGTGTTTCCATGTACATTATTTGTCATCATGGCCCAAGTATTTATTAATCATATACTTTGTATAGGACACTGAGGTTATGTTGAATTAGACTATAGGAATGGTAAGTTTTATGCAATAAAATGTTTCTAATTTCTTAGAGTTTCAGAGAGAACACACTAACCAATATAGAAATGAACAAAGATTCATGAAGAAATCTATCAAAAGACTATACATTTCTTTCTGAGTATAAGAAAGAAAATATAGCCAGCTTGAATTGCTTCAGAGGATGACTATTTGAAATTAACATAAAAGCAGCGTTGCCACAGCCCAAGAAACTACAAGACAGGATTCATGGAGTCTGACTGATTGATGCAATTTTCATATCCATATATACTTGGGATTTCTTTTTATGCTGGAAGTATTTCAAACTTTGAACCACTTATTAGGGTACCAAAAAATATCCTACTCAACTTCCACTTCAGAACTGATCATTAGAACAGTACTCCACCTTAGATTATACTGTGACTCTCTATCTCAATATTCTTAGATACCTCAAGATGTTCAATGTGTTAAAGATGAACAAAAAGCTCAGGTAGGCTGGCACAGTTTGCACGTAAGACTCACAAAGCCTGCCTTTTCTTTATAGCATCAGACTCTTTTTTCTGCAAAGGGGGGAATGATCTATTTGACACATTTCTCAAGGATTCTTTTATTCTGTCACTTCTCAAGCAGAGAGTAAAAAACACCTTTCCTCTTCCCCCTAGTAATATATTTTGTGATTTTTCCATCAGCCCAGCAACTCTGAAAATCTGCTGAAAGTCACTTTAGTGCACTCACATAGGAAACTGCATTTTCCTACTAAAAAAATAGAAAAAAAGCCACATGTCACTGTGAAAATATATACTATATATGGGCATATAATATAGGCATATATATTCCTATTATATATATATATCCATCTATAGAGACATAGATATACATAGTTTAATATAAAATCTCCAGGAACAGATATTTTAAATGTAAAATAAGCAGAACAATTCAAGAGACACTGGGAATACAAAAGGAAAGACTGTATCACCAATTGTATGATTTGTTAAACATTTGTACAACAAATAGCATAAAATTCTAATTTTAAAATACAAGCTTCATAATCACCAGATGATTTATCTGAAGCATAGAAATATTTAGGACTTACAGTTAATAACAGTTTAGTTAACATCACCGCAAAAAGGCTTAAAAATTATTCTACCACAAAGAATGAGGTGTGATGGTCTGGTGAAATATTTCCAGGAGCATATTATCATCTTATATGAATCTCTTTCTGGTACAAAGCAATCAAGCAAGGTGTAGAGAAGTGGACTGAAAAAGTAGAAGCAATAAAATTTAGAAGTTTGCTACAAAGAAGAGAATATTTTTAAACTCATCGGTGAAAGCATGTTGTGGGCTTTTAAAAAATATGGAAGATTAACACACCCTAAATGCAGATCTTTAAAAGCCCATGTCTTAGAATAACACTGGATTTCCTTGGCTATTTCAAAAGTCTTATCCTTTCTTTTTTTTTTTATTATAAGTTCTGGGATACATGTGCAGAATGTGCAGGTTTGTTACATAGGTATACACGTGCCATGGTGGTTTGCTGCACCCATCAACTCATCATCTACACTAGGTATTTCTCCTAATGCTATCCATCACCTAGCCCCAAAAACCCCAAAAGGCCTCAGTGTGTGATGTTCCTCTCCCTGTGTCCATGTGTTCTCATTGTTCTACTACCACTTATGAGTGAGAACATGCAGTGTTTGGTCTTCTGTTCTTATGTTAGTTTGCTGAGAATGATGGTTTCCAGCTTCATCCATGTCCCTGCAAAGGACATGAACTCATGCTTTTTTACGGCTGCATAGTATTCCATGATGTATATGTGCCACATTTTCTTTATCCATTCTATCATTGATGGGTACTTGGGTTGGTCCCAAGTCTTTGCTATTGTGAACTGTGCTGCAATAAACATACATGTGCATGTGTCTTTATGCTAGAATGATTTACAATACTTTGGGTGTATACCCAGTAATGGGATGGCTGAGTCAAATGATATTTCTGGTTCTAGATCCTTGAGGAATCAGCACCCTGTCTTCCACAATTCTTGAACTAATTTACCAACAGTGTAAAAGTATTCCTATTTCTCCACATCCTCTCCAGCATCTGTTGTTTCCTGACTTTTTAACGATCACCATTCTAACTGGTGTGAGATGGTATCTCATTGTGGTTTTGATTTGCATTTCTCTAATGACCAGTGACTATGAGCTTTTTTTCATATGTTTCTTGGCCATATAAATGTCTTCTTTCCAGAAGTGTCTGTTCATATCCTTCGGCCACTTTTTGATGCGGTTGTTTTTTTCTTGTAAATTTGTTTAATTTCTTTGTAGATTCTGGATATTAGCCCTTTGTCAGATGAATAGATTGCAAAAATTTTCTCCCATTCTGTAGGTTGCCTGTTCATTCTGATGATAGTTTCTTTTGCTGTGCAGAAGCTCTTTAGTTTAATTCGATCCCATTTGTCAATTTTGGCTTTTGTTGCCATTGCTTTTGGTGTTTTAGTCATGAAGTCCTTGCCCATGCCTATGTCCTGAATGGTATTGCCCAGGTTTTCTTCTAGGGTTTTTATAGTTTTAAGTCTTACATTTAAGTCTTTAATCCATCTCGAGTTAATTTTTGTATAAGGTATAAGGAAGGGGTCCAATATCAGTTTTCTGCATATGGCTAGCCAGTTTTCCTAACACCAGTAATTAAATAGATAATCCTTTCCCCATTGCTTGTTTTGGCAGGTTTGTCAAGGATTTCAATAAGCTTAGGCACCATGATCAAGACAGCTTCATCCCTGGGATGAAAGGCTAGTTCGACATACACAAATCAATAAATGTAATCTATGACATAAACAGAACCAATGACAAAAACCACATAATTATTCCAATAGATGCAGAAAAGCCTTTGATAAAATTCAATACCCCTTCATGCTAAAAACTCTCAATAAACTAGGTATTGATGGAATGTATCTCAAAATAATAAGAGCTATTTATGATAAACCAAACAGCCAATATCATACCGAATGGGCAAAAGCTGGAAGAATTCCCTTTGAAAATTGGCACAAGACAAGGATGCCCTTTCTCACCACTACTATTCAACACAGTATTGGAAATTCTGGCCAGGGCAATCAGGCAAGAGAAAGAAATAAAGGATATCCAAATAGGAAGAGAGAAAGTCAAATTGTCTCTGTTTGTAGATGACATGATTGTATATTTAGAAAACCCCATCATCTCAGCCCAAAATCTCCTTAAGCTAATAAGCAACTTCAGCAAAGTCTCAGGATACAAAATCAATGTGCAAAAATCACAAGCATTCCTAAACACCAATAATAGACAAACAGAGAGCCAAATCATGAGTAGAACTTCCATTCACAATTGCTACAAAGAGAACAAAATACCAAGGAATCCAACTTACAAGGGATATGAAGGACCTCTTCAAGGAGAACTACAAACCACTGCTCAAGGAAATAAGAGAAGACACAAACCAATGGAAAAGCATTCCATGCTCATGCACAGGAAGAATCTATATCATGAAAATGACCATACTTTCTAAAGCAATTTATAGATTCACTGCCATCCCCATCAAGTTACCATTGACTTTCTTCACAGAATTAAAAAAAAACTACTTTAAATTTCATATGGAACCAAAAAAGAACCCATATAGCCAAGAGAATCCTAAGCCAAAAGAACAAAGCTGGAAGCATCATGCTACCTGACCTCAAACTATACTACAAGGCTACAGTAACCAAAACAGCATGGTGCTGGTACCAAAACAGATATATAGACCAACTAAACAGAACAGAGGCCTCAGAAATAATGCCACCATCTACATTTCCAGTGAATTTTCTAATAATTACTGAAATGTGGGGGAAAACCTATAGCATCAGTTTTGTAAAAAGTATATTTTGTAAAACATAAAAATAATGTTTCCAATGATTTTATTTCTTCTCCAATATACAAATATGGCCTCTGTAAAATACAATTCTGAAAATATAATTTATAATCCCCACAGTCTAAGGATATTGGGAAAAACCCTTTAATCTGCTATATTTTATGTAAATTCTCAAGATTCAATATGTTCAATTGTTACCCTTACAAACTGCTTTGGAATTGCATGACTAATTTAAAACTGAACAACAACAAAAAACAGCAGTGAGTCAAACAGTTAAGTAACACTGTCACAATTATTCTTCAATTCATAAAAATAAGAAATGTCATTGATCCTTCTTCCTCAAAAGCTATACAAATTGAATTTTTAAAAATTAATCAAAATGAACGCTTTTACTACACAAGTGATCATCTGCTAATAATGTATGGAACTCTTACAGTTTAGACCTATTATAAGGAAAAAATAACCTCTTCAAAACTTCTCAAATTTAATCTTTTTTTAACTTTTATTTTAAGTTTAGGAGTCCAATCGCAGGTTTGTTATATAGGTAAACTTGTGTCATGGGAGTCTGTTGTACAGATTATTTTGTCACCCAGGTATTAAGCTAGTACCCATTAGTTGTTTTTCCTGATCCTCTCCCTCTTCTTACCCTCTACCCTCCAAAAGGCCCCAGTGTGTGTTGCTCCCCTCTATGTGTTTGTGTGTTCTCAACATTTAGCTCCTACTTAGAAGTGAGAACATGCAGTATTTGGATTTCTGTTCCTGTGTTAGTTTGCTAAGGATGATGGCCTCCATCCATGTCCCTGCAAAGGACATGATCTCATTTTTTATGGCTGCTTGATATTCCATGTTCTGTATGTACCACATTTTCTTTATCCAGTCTATCACTGATGGACATTTAGGTTGATTCCATGTCTTTGCTGTTGTGAATAGTGCTGCAATGAACATACACATGCATGTATCTTTATAATAGAATGATTTATATTCCTTTAGGTATATACCCAGTAATGAAATTGCTGGGTCAAATGGTATTTCTGTCCTTAGGTCTTTGAGGAGGAATCACCACACTGTCTTCCACAGTGGCTGAACTAACTTACACTCCCATCAACAGTGTATAAGCATTCCTTTTTTTTCACAACCTTCCTACCATCTGTTTTTTTTGTTTTTTTTTTTACTTTTTAATAATCGCTATTCTTACAGATGTGAGATGGTATCTCATTTGTGGTTTACATTTGCACTCCTGTAATGATCAGTGATGTTGAGTTTTTCATATGATTGTTGGCTACATGTATATATTCTTTTGAAAAGTGTCTGTTCATGTCCTTTGCCCACTTTTTAATGGGGTTGTTTTTTCTTGTAAATATAAGTTTCTTGTAGACTCTGGATATTAGACCTTGGCCAGATAGATTTTAAAAATTTTCTCCCATTCTGTAGGTTGTCTGTTCACTCTGATGATAGTTTCTTTTGCTGTGCAGAAGCTCTTTAATTTAATTAGATCCCATTTGTCAATATTGGCTTTTTTTTGCAATTGCTTTTGGTGTTTTCATCATAAAATCATTGCCCATGCCTATGTCCTGAATGGTATTGCCTAGGTTGTCACCCCAGGTTTTTATAGTTTGGGATTTTACATGTAAGTATGTAATTCATCTTTATTTTTGTATATGGTATAAGGAAGGAGTCCAGTTTCAATCTTCTGCATATGTCTAGTCAGTTAACCCATCACCATTTATTGAATAGGGAATCCCTTCCCTGTTGTTTGTTTTTGTCAGGTTTGTTGAAGATCAGATAGTTACAGGTTTTCAGTCTTGTTCTATTCTGTTCCACTGGTCTATGTGCTTGCTGATGTACCAGGACCATGCTGTTTTCATTACCGTAGCTCTGTAGTATACTCTGAAGTCAGATAGTGTGATGCCTCCAGCTTTGTTCTTTTTGCTTAGGACTTCCTTGGCTATTTGGGCTCTTTTTTTGGTTTCATATGAATTTTAAAACAGCTTATTCTCGTTCTGTGAAGAATGTCAGTGGTAGTTTAATGGGAATAGCATTAAATCTATAAATTGCTTTAGGCAGTGTGGTCATTTTCAATATATTGATTATTCCTATCCATGAGCATGGAATGATTTTCCATTTGTTTGTGTCATCTATGATTTCTTTGAGTAGTGGTTTGTAGTTCTCCTTGTAAAGATAATTCACCTCCCTGGTTAGCTGTATTCCTAGGTATTTTATTCTTTTTTGTGGCAATTGTGAATGGGAGTTCATTCATGATTTGGCTCTCGGCTTGACTGTTGTTGGTATATAGGAATGCTAGCACTCTTTGCACATTGATTTTTGTATCCTGAGACTTTGCTGAAATTGTTTATTAGCTTAAGAAGCTTTTGGGCTGAGATGATGCGGTTTTCTAGATACAGGATCTATATATACGATCATGTCATCTGTAAATGGGGACAGTTTGACTTCCTCTCTTCCTATTTGAATGCCTTTATATCTTTCTCTTGCCTTGATTTCCCTGGCCAGAAATTCCAATACTATGTTGAATGTGAGTGTTGAGAGAGGGTACATTTGTCTTGTGCTGGTTTTCAATGGGAATGCTTCCAGATTTTGCCCATTCAGTATGATGTTGGCTATGGGTTTGTCATAGATGGTTCTTATTATTTTGAGGTATGTTCCTTCAATATCTAGTCTATTGAGAGTTTTCAACATGAAGGGATACTGCATTTTATCAAAAGCCTTTTTGGCATTTATTGAGATAATCATGTGCTTTTTGTCTTTAGTTCTGTTTATGTGATGAATCACATTTATTGATTTGCATATTTTGAACCAACCTTGCATCCCTAGGATAAAGCCTACTTGATTGTCATGAATAAGCTTTTTGATGTGCTGCTGGATTCAGTTTGCCAGTATTCTGTTGAAGATTTTTGCATTGATGTTCATCAAGAATATTGGCCTGAAGTTTTCTTTTTTTTATTGTATCTCTGCCAGGTTTGGTATCAGGATGATGCTGTCTCCTAAAATGAGTTAGGGAGAAGTCCCTCCTTTTCAATTTTTCGGAATAGTTTCAGTAGGAATGATACCAGCTCTTCTTTGTACATCTGGTAGAATTCAACTGTGAATCCATCTGGTGCTGGGCCTTTTAGTTGGCAGGCTATTTATTACTGCCTCTATTTCAGAACTCATTATTGGTCAGTTCAGGGATTCAATTTCTTCCTGGTTCAGTCTTGGAAGGGTGTATGTGCCCAGGAATTTATCCATTTCTTCTAGGCTTTCTAGTTCATTTGCATAGAGGGGTTTATAATATTCTCTGACAATTGTTTGTATTTCTATAGTACAACTCTTTTGCAAGATAATGAAACACTAAAATCTTCTCATTAATTAAACTACAAGAAAAGAAAAACTCAAAGAGAATTAAATAATCTGACTATCTCATTGATAAAAGTGTATATGAAATAGAAAATCCAAAATACATTTCCCCACTCACCCTTAGCAAAATTAATTAATTAGTAGTTAAACAGAAATACATTAGTCATCTACTCATTTATAGCAACCCCTTCTTTAGTTAGTAGTAATAATATTCACGTATATTTGGGAGCAAGAAGTACAAAGGAATTAGATCAACGTTTTTAATAAAAGGATACACTTTAAATTCTAATTTTCTGAGTTATTTTTCTAATTTTAATCAACATATAATCAACATTTCTGAATACCTAATGGCTTATTGAAATGACTGTCAAGTTTCTTAAAGGTTGATTTTTGAGATTTTTTTTCCTAACGGCTTACTATTTGAGTCACCTTGGTTATTTATATATAATGTAATACTTGTTCTTTTTTGTTGAATATGCATTCAAATTTTGCATAAGAATGCAGGTGACCTGTAACTCTAAAGTGCCAATTTTTCTCACACTGACAAGTAAACATAGAAGTCTTTTCTTACTGCCTATTAACTTATTTTGATAGGGAAAAAATATAAACACGATTACATTTTTATGTTCCTTCAGGTGATTTTGAATCAGATCAGTTGTTCATTCAGGCCTGAACATCCTCAGAAATCAAGATGAGTAGTCTATATCTAGATTACAAAGGTAAATGCAAATGTTTAAAGAGTCAGCTGATTGAGATATGGCAACAAGCTATTGAAAATGATCTACACCTTACATCTATGCCTTAGAACAGTTGCAAACTAATTGTAGTACTTTATTGTTACTCAGAGGTGTTCTGTGAAATCTTTTTTCAAGTGGAAATTCTAAAATTTAATCTCCCATAACCTATTAAAATGTACATCTCAAGACCTACATTCAATTTACAGTTCACTTGCTACATAATGAAACTTCTATGAATCACATAGAAGCAAATCTACCTAGGTGGATGAGCAGTACTATCATATGACTAGAACCAGGGCAGCTAGAAGTCACTTGATTTTCCAAGCCAGATATCCAGAAATCTTCTCATAATCATAGCTGTTCCTGAGCACCCACATCCCTATTCTCCACATACACACTGTTTCAAAGTCCTACTGATTCCACCACCTGAATAAATCTTCACCCATCCATTTTTCTCTATTTCCACTGTGATTGCTTTATTTTAGTCCCACGTCATCTCTCACTCACACTACTGCAATTGTCTGGTCTCCGTGTCTCCAGTTTCTGCACTTCCTGAGCTGTTGTCCTAATTTTAGTTAGAGTGAGATTTTTCTAATTCCATTCCCTCCTTCAGTTTTTCTTACTGCCTACACTGTCTACATCCCTGGAATAAACTATGAAGCATCTGTGGTCTGGTCTCTACTGGTCTTTTGTCTTCTCCTCGAAGCCCTCTCACATCATATTCCATACTTAAAACTACTACCAGTTTCTTTAACATACCAGAACGCTTCGTGCCTCCAAGTTTATGTCACATCTTTTGCCTATATAATTACTCCCTCTCTATTGCATCCCAGCCACAGCCAACTTTCTGGGAAATTTAGCTGTTCTGGTAATCCAAGGTAGAAATGATCATCCATTCCTGGGAATGCCCACTGTGCCCTGCACATATATTGCCATATCCCCTGGAACTCTTCACTGCACACTTGGGTGTCTTATCTCCTTGTAAGTTCTTTGAGGTTGAAGACTGTCATACTCATTTTGTCTTCCTCAGCACCTGGTATGGTGCCTGGATTATAACAGTAAATCAATGTTTTTTGAAGGAGCCACTTAATAGAAAACAAAAAAACTTATTCTGCCTTTCTGAGGTGAACTCTATGTCAAATTACATATTGAAACACCTCTCAACGCTAGACTAGCTTAATAAAGAATGATATTAGCAGTCTATGAACTGTCATCCATTTTCTGTTTTTAATTCTTTGAGTAGATGTCACTGCTAAGTTAAATCACATAGCAGAGTCCCCAAGTGGAAAAGAACTGAACAAGGATTTTTCATTTGGTCTCTGGGAGCCTGTGCACACATAGTCCAAAGAAAAGCACTTTATTTTTTCCAATGTCATTGATGATTTCAATTTTACATTAATTAAATACCCTCTGTCTCATCTCTGCCTACTTCTCCGTACTTTCTACTTAACTATACCCTCCTAAAAGCTTAAATGTGAAGAGCACTGAGTTTTAGAAAGGGGACTGGCACGGGGCTAAGAAATTGGTGTTCCACTGCTGGCTTTTTCTCATATGAATACTATGATTTGAGGAGGCTGCAACTTATAAGGCATTAAAGAAAAAATCTAACAGGACAACTCAAATTGCTTAGAAAAAATTTTCTGTATTATTGAAGCTCACAAAACAGGAATTACTTAAATGGATAAATACATTAATGCAGGCGGAACTTTATTAAAATGCCAATTCTCTCTAACGGATCTATACATTTCATCTATTTTCAAACAAAATGTCCTTATAAGTTTTTCGTGGAACCTGAGAAACTTATTCTAAAACTCATTATCAAATACACAAGGGTGAAGAATAGCTAAGACAATTTCATTTTGAAGTTTTAGGAAACTTGCCCCACCAAACGTCAAGACTACTTACAAAGCTGTAGTAATTATGATAGTGTTGTAGTGATATGGGAATCAACAAAAAAATCAACATAACAGAATACAGAACACAGAAACAGTCTTGTACATATATGGACGCTTGATATATGACACTGGTG
Source organism: Homo sapiens (assembly GCF_000001405.40). NCBI lineage: Eukaryota > Metazoa > Chordata > Mammalia > Primates > Hominidae > Homo > Homo sapiens. The sequence continues at coordinate 159,813,000 of NC_000004.12, read as the reverse complement.
GCCTTAAAAGTCAATAGAGGAAGGATGAACTCCTCAAACAGTGCTTTTGGGACAATGATTATGTTATCATATGGAAAAAATGAGATTCATACCCCATACCATAAATTTTAAAATTCATTCTAGGTCCTTTAAAATCCTAAAAGCAGAAATCATAATCCTCCTATGTGGAAATATACATAAATATGTTTATGATTTCTGATCAGAGAAAATTTTCTAAAATAAAACATCAAAACCCAAACTATAAATAAAAAGACCAAAAATTTTAACATTAAAAATAAAACATTTCACTTATCAAAAGACACCATAAATAATGACTTATACAAATGTATCTAGTAAATAAGTAAATAGCATGAATGTATACAGTGATCTTAGTACCTGTACACTCATTAAAGTATTACTTATAATAGCAGAAGAGCTTCCAGAAAAGCTCCCCAAACCAGGAACAATATGATAGGAGTCAAAGCATTGGACCACCCATGTCCTTGTGATCCTGCTGTCATTAATCAATCACCACCCTTGCCATCAGACATGTAAAAGAAGAGATGGAAGATGCCTATAAAGGGGTTTCTTTGAAGAGGGAATTTTCAATGACTGAGTTGAAGATTCCTCTACACACTCTTCAAAACAAGAGAACCACTGGGAAAACTTGGCATGTGTCCTCTGGAATTTGAAGGACATAGGAACTGGTGTCTGACTTGCAGATGAGTCCAATCAGATGGAGCTGACTGGTGGCCAAACTACAAGAGAAAAGGCTTTGTTGGTGATTGCCTGAACTTGCAGAATTTGGTTGGCCAGGCTTGAATATGTGTATTTCTTGTATGTTCTGAATTGCATCCCCTCAAAGTTTATATGTTGACGTCCTAACCCCCAGTACCTGAGAATGTTACTCTACTTGGAGATAGGACCTTAAAAGAGATAACGTTAGGTCATTAGGGTAGATCCTAACCCAATATGACTGATGTCCTTGTAAGAGGAAATTTGAACACAGACACACCCACAGGGAAAATCACGTGAAGACAGTGAGAGAACACTGCCATTTACAAGACAAGGACAGAGGACTCAGGAAAAAAATAAATTAAAAAAAAAGAAACAAAAAACCTGCTGACACTTCAGTCTCACACTTCTGGCCTCCAAAACTGTGAGGATATAGATTTCTGTTGTTAAATTTATATTCTGTGATGTTTTGTCATGGCAGCCCTCACAAACTAATATACTCATGGGCCAGAGGCAAGCTCCATGGAAGTGAGCTCTTTGGGGTTTGTCTTAACAGGGATTCCACCCAAGAGGATCGTTCTAGATAGATAATGGGACCATAGCAGCAGGACTGGGAGGGGAGCAGGAAGTTAGTTATGAGCATCAGGAAAATTGACTTTGTGGCACTCCAGCAGCACAGAATTTTCTAGTAATCCATATAAGAATCCCACAAGAGAAAATGTAAGCTCACCATCTGCCGTACTCAGGGAATACCAATTCCAGATTATAACTGTAAAAGCTGAATGAAAATCTTTCTGTCCTCTTAACTCTCTTTCCTCCCCTAAGTTACCTACCTTGGGGATCAGTGAAAGTGAAAGTAGCAGAGTACTAAATAAGTGGAGAGAAAAACAGAGGCATCAACCACTGCATCCTTTCTCATTACAGCTTGCCACGTCTGAAGTAGACCTGGTCTAGGGGATGGAGGAGCTTTAAATTTGGTGAAGATTCAAGCTGTGATACCAGAGTTGGTCAGACTTCTATAACTACCAATACAAAGCAGTGGGAAACTATAGAGTGACAGCCTAGGGATGAATCCAGAAGTGGGAAAATATATCCTGACTGAGAAAGTGAGTTAACGAGGGATGGTGAGAAAGGCTGAAGAGACTTCCTACTGCAACTGGGCAAGTCCATAGCTTTAATAAGTCAGTTACAGCAGACTAAATAATAAATAATACACATTATTAATATGAGATGTATTATAAAATTAATGATTCAAATCAACACCTGTTCCAGCTTAAACAACTACATAAAGTGGATCCTGAACACTCTACCTCCAAACTCTTTTCTTAATTCACACATTTTTTCATTCTTTATTCACTCAACTGATAGTTTTGGGGGATGTCCTGTGTGCCAGGCACCGTGCTAAGCTCTGGCAATACAATGGTGAACAGAATGCATGCCCTTATTGACCTCAAAATATTACAGTGAGATGGGAGTTACTGTTACTACTTCACAAGTGATGCTGCAGAAGATACAATGAGTCACTTACTCAGGCCTTGGAGTCTGCAAGGAAGGCACACAGGCTGCTCTCAAATCCAGGACTGATAAAATCATATTCTGCATCCTTTTCATTATTATACCTTGATTCTTATTCACCATGAAAATTGTTTTAATTGAGTGTTAGCAGAGCCTTCCTACACAATAGTGCTGAAAGGTTGAAGATCTTTCTATGTTCTGTATCGTGAATGACATATGTAACCTCAGGTACATAAACATTTCCCGGGAACACAGGCCCTTCTTCTGTGCAATACAGTGTCTACACTAAATTGCTAAAGCTTCCTCAGATGTTACTTTTTAAAACCCTAACAACTAAATAGCAAACTTTGATAAACTGATGCAAATAGTAACACTAAAAAGTTTAATTTTTTTAAATTTATTATTATTATACTTTAAGTTTTAGGGTACATGTGCACAATGTGCAGGTTACGTATGAATACATGTGCCATGCTGGTGCACTGCACGCACTAACTTGTCATCTAGCATTAGGTATATCTCTCAATGCTATCCCTCCCCACTCCCCCCACCCACCCCACAACAGTCCCCAGAGTGTGATGTTCCCCTTCCTGTGTCCATGTGTTCTCATTGTTCAATTCCCACTTATGAGTGAGAATATGCGGTGTTTGGTTTTTTGTTCTTGCGATACTTTACTGAGAATGATGATTTCCAATTTCATCCATCTCCCTACAAAGGACATGAACTCATCATTTTTTATGGCTGCATAGTATTCCATGGTGTATATGTGCCACATTTTCTTAATCCAGTCTATCATTGTTGGACATTTGGGTTGGTTCCAAGTCTTTGCTATTGTGAATAATGCCACAACAAACATACGTGTGCATGTGTCTTTATAGCAGCATGATTTATAATCCTTTGGGTATATACCCAGTAATGGGATGGCTGGGTCAAATGGTATTTCTAGTTCTAGATCCCTGAGGAATCGCCACACTGACTTCCACAATGGTTGAACTAGTTTACAGTCCCACCAACAGTGTAAAAGTGTTCCTATTTCTCCACATCCTCTCCAGTCCCTGTTGTTTCCTGACGTTTTAATGATTGCCATTCTAACTGGTGTGAGATGGTATCTCATTGTGGTTTTGATTTGCATTTCTCTGATGGCCAGTGATGGTGAGCATTTTTTCATGTCTTTGTCGGCTGCATAAATGTCTTCTTTTGAGAAGTGTCTGTTCATGTCCTTTGCCCACTTGTTGATGGGGTTGTTTGTTTTTTTCTTGTAAATTTGTTTGAGTTCATTGTAGATTCTGGATATTAGCCCTTTGTCAGATGAGTAGGTTACGAAAATTTTCTCCCATTTTGTAGGTTGCCTGTTCACTCTGATGGTAGTTTCTTTTGCTGTGCAGAAGCTCTTTAGTTTAATTAGATCTCATTTGTCAATTTTGGCTTTTGTTGCAATTGCTTTTGGTGTTTTAGACATGAAGTCCTTGCCCATGCCTATGTCCTGAATGGTAATGCCTAGGTTTTCTTCTAGGGTTTTTATGGTTTTAGGTCTATCTTTAATCCATCTTGAATTGATTTTTGTATAAGGTGTAAGGAAGGGATCCAGTTTCAGCTTTCTACATATGGCTAGCCAGTTTTCCCAGCACCATTTATTAAATAGGGAATCCTTTCCCCATTGCTTGTTTTTCTCAGGTTTGTCAAAGATCAGATAGTTGTAGATATGTGCCATTATTTCTGAGGGCTCTGTTCTGTTCCATTGATCTATATCTCTGTTTTGGTACCAGTACCATGCTGTTTTGGTTACTGTAGGCTTGTAGTATAGTTTGAAGTCAGGTAGCGTGATGCCTCCAGCTTTGTTCTTTTGGCTTAGGATTGACTTGGCAATGTGGGCTCTTTTTTGGTTCCATATGAACTTTAAAGTAGTTTTTTCCAATTCTGTGAAGAAAGTCATTGGTAGCTTGATGGGGATGGCATTGAATCTGTAAATTACCTTGGGCAGTATGGCCATTTTCATGATATTGAGTCTTCCTACCCATGAGCATGGAATGTTCTTCCATTTCTTTGTATCCTCTTTTATTTCCTTGAGCAGTGGTTTGTAGTTCTCCTTGAAGAGGTCCTTCACATCCCTTGTAAGTTGGATTGCTAGGTATTTTTTCTCTTTGAAGCAATTGTGAATGGGAATTCACTCATGATTTGGCTCTCTGTTTGTCTGTTATTGGTGTATAAGAATGCTTGTGATTTTTGTACATTGATTTTGTATCCTGAGACTTTCCTGAAGTTGCTTATCAGCTTAAGGAGATTTTGGGCTGAGACAATGGGGTTTTCTAGATATACAATCATGTCATCTGCAAACAGGGACAATTTGACTTCCTCTTTTCCTAATTGAATACCCTTTATTTCCTTCTCCTGCCTAATTGCCATGGCCAGAACTTCCAACACTATGTTGAATAGGAGTGGTGAGAGAGGGCATCCCTGTCTTGTGCCAGTTTTCAAAGGGAATGCTTCCAGTTTTTGCCCATTCAGTATGATATTGGCTGTGGGTTTGTCATAGATAGCTCTTATTATTTTGAGATACGTCCCATCAATACCTAATTTATTGAGAGTTTTTAGCATGAAGAGTTGTTGAATTTTGTCAAAGGCCTTTTCTGCATCTATTGAGATAATCATGTGGTTTTTGTCTTTGGTTCTGTTTATACGCTGGATTACATTTATTGATTTGTGTATATTGAACCAGCCTTGCATCCCAGGGATGAAGCCCATTTGATCATGGTGGATAAGCTTTTTGATGTGCTGCTGGATTCGGTTTGCCAGTATTTTATTGAGGAATTTTGCATCAATGTTCATCAAGGATATTGGTCTAAAATTCTCTTTTTTGGTTGTGTCTATGCCAGGCTTTGGTATCAGGATGATGCCGGCCTCATAAAATGAGTTAGGGAGGATTCCCTCTTTTTCTATTGATTGGAATAGTTTCAGAAGGAATGGTACCAGTTCCTTCTTGTACCTCTGGTAGAATTCAGCTGTGAGTCCATCTGGTCCTGGACTCTTTTTGGTTGGTAAGCTATTGATTATTGCCACAATTTCAGCTCCTGTTATTGGTCTATTCAGAGATTCAACTTCTTCCTGGTTTAGTCTTGGGAGAGTGTATGTGTCCAGGAATTTATCCATTTCTTCTAGATTTTCTAGTTTATTTGCATAGAGGTGTTTGTAGTATTCTCTGATGGTAGTTTGTATTTCTGTGGGATCGGTGGTGATATCCCCTTTATCATTTTTTATTGCGTCTATTTGATTCTTCTCTCTTTTTTTCTTTATTAGTCTTGCTAGCGGTGTATCAATTTTGTTGATCGTTTCAAAAAACCAGCTCCTGGATTCATTAATTTTTTTTAAGGGTTTTTTGTGTCTCTATTTCCTTCAGTTCTGCTCTGGTTTTACCTATTTCTTACCTTCTGCTAGCTTTTGAATGTGTTTGCTCTTGCTTTTCTAGTTCTTTTAATTGTGATGTTAGGGTGTCAATTTTGGATCTTTCCTGCTTTCTCTTGTGGGCATTTAGTGCTATAAATTTCCCTCTACACACTGCTTTGAATGTGTCCCAGAGATTCTGGTATGTTGTGTCTTTGTTCTCATTGGTTTCAAAGAACATCTTTATTTCTGCCTTCATTTCATTATGTACCCAGTAGTCATTCAGGAGCAGGTTGTTCAGTTTCTGTGTAGTTGAGCAGTTTTGAGTGAGATTCTTAATCCTGAGTTCTAGTTTGATTGCACTGTGGTCTGAGAGACAGTTTGTTATAATTTCTGTTCTTTTACCTTTGCTGAGGAGAGCTTTACTCCCAAGTATGTGTTCAATTTTGGAATAGGTGTGGTGTGGTGCTGAAAAAAATGTATATTCTATTGATTTGGGGTGGAGAGTTCTGTAGATGTCTATTAGGTCCGCTTGGTGCAGAGCTGAATTCAATTCCTGGGTATCCTTGTTGACTTTCTGTCTCGTTGATCTCTCTAATGTTGACAGTGGGGTGTTAAAGTCTCCCATTATTATTGTGTGGGAGTCTAAGTCTCTGTGTAGGTCACTCAGGACTTGCTTTATGAATCTGGGTGCTCCTGTATTGGGTGCATTTATATTTAGGATAGTTAGCTCTTGTTGTTGAATTGATCCCTTTACCATTATGTAATGGCCTTCTTTGTCTCTTTTGATCTTTGTTGGTTTAAAGTCTGTTTTATCAGAGACTAGGATTGCAACCCCTGCCTTTTTTTGTTTTCCATTTGCTTGGTAGATCTTCCTCCATCCTTTTATTTTGAGCCTATGTGTGTCTCTGCATGTGAGATGGGTTTCCTGAATACAGCACACTGATGGGTCTTGACTCTTTATCCAATTTGCCAGTCTGTGTCTTTTAATTGGAGCATTTAGTCCATTTACATTTAAAGTTAATATTGTTATGTGTGAATTTGATCCTGTCATTATGATGTTAGCTGGTTATTTTGCTCGTTAGTTGATGCAGTTTCTTCCTAGTCTCGATGGTCTTTACATTTTGGCATGATTTTGCAGTGGCTGGTACCGGTTGTTCCTTTCCATGTTTAGCGCTTCCTTCAGGAGCTCTTTTAGGGCAGGCCTGGTGGTGACAAAATCGCTCAGCATTTGCTTGTCTGTAAAGTATTTTATTTCTCCTTCACTTATGAAGCTTAGTTTGGCTGGATATGCAATTCTGGGTTGAAAATTCTTTTCTTTAAGAATGTTGAATATTGGCCCCCACTCTCTTCTGGCTTGTAGGGTTTCTGCCGAGAGATCCGCTGTTAGTCTGATGGGCTTCCCTTTGTGGGTAACCCGACCTTTCTCTCTGGCTGCCCTTAACATTTTTTCATTCATTTCAACTTTGGTGAATCTGACAATTATGTGTCTTGGAGTTGCTCTTCTCGAGGAGTATCTTTGTGGCGTTCTCTGTATTTCCTGAATCTGAATGTTGGCCTGCCTTGCTAGATTGGGGAAGTTCTCCTGGATAATATCCTGCAGAGTGTTTTCCACCTTGGTTCCATTCTCCCCCGTCACTTTCAGGTACACCAATCAGACGTAGATTTGGTCTTTTCACATAGTCCCATATTTCTTGGAGGCTTTGTTCATTTCTTTTTATTCTTTTTTCTCTAAACTTCCCTTCTCGCTTCATTTCATTCATTTCATCTTCCATCGCTGATACCCTTTCTTCCAGTTGATCACGTCGGTTCCTGAGGCTTCTGCATTCTTCATGTAGTTCTCGAGCCTTGGCTTTCAGCTCCATCAGCTCCTTTAAGCACTTCTCTGTATTGGTTATTCTAGTTATACATTCTTCTAAATTTTTTTCAAAGTTTTCAACTTCTTTGCCTTTGGTTTGAATTTCCTCCTGTAGCTCAGAGTAGTTTGATCATCTTTGTGGTTTTATCTGCTTTTGGTCTTTGATGATGGTGATGTACAGACGGGTTTTTGGTGTGGATGTACTTTCTGTTCGTTAATTTTCTTTCTAACAGACAGGACCCTCAGCTGCAGGTCTGTTGGAGTTTGCTAGAGGTCCACTCCAGACCCTGTTTGCCTGGGTATCGGCAGTGGTGTCTGCAGAAAAGCAGTTTTTCGTGAACTGCGAATGCTGCTGTCTGATCGTTCCTCTGGAAGTTTTGTCTCAGAGGAGTACCCAGCTGTGTGAGGTGTCAGTCTGCCCCTGCTGGGGGGTGCCTCCCAGTTAGGCTGCTCGGGGGTCAGGGGTCAGAGACCCACTTGAGGAGGCAGTCTGCCCGTTCTCAGATCTCCAGCTGCGTGCTGGGAGAACCACTGCTCTCTTCAAAGCTGTCAGACAGGGACATTTAAGTCTGCAGAGGTTACTGCTGTCTTTTTGTTTGTCTGTGCCCTGCCCCCAGAGGTGGAGCCTACAGAGGCAGGCAGGCCTCCTTGAGCTGTGGTGGGCTCCACCCAGTTTGAGCTTCCCCGCTGCTTTGTTTACCTAAGCAAGCCTGGGCAATGCGGGCGCCCCTCCCCCAGCCTTGCTGCCGCCTTGCAGTTTGATCTCAGACTGCTGTGCTAGCAATCAGCGAGACTCCGTGGGCATAGGACCCTCCGAGCCAGGTGCAGGATATAATCTCCTGGTGCACCGTTTTTTAAGGCCGTCGGGAAAGTGCAGTATTTGGGTGGGAGTGACCCGATTTTCCAGGTGCCGTCTGTGACCCCTTTCTTTGACTCAGAAAGGGAACTCCCTGACCCCTTGCACTTCCCGAGTGAGGCAATGCCTCGCCCTGCTTCGGCTCGCGCACGGTGTGCGCACCCACTGACCTGTGCCCACTGTCTGGCACTCCCTAGTGAGATGAACCGGGTACCTCAGATGGAAATGCAGAAATCACCCGTCTTCTGCGTCGCTCACGCTGGGAGCTGTAGACCGGAGCTGTTCCTATTCGGCCATCTTGGCTCCTCCCCTCCAAAAGTTTAATTTTTAAGGTACTACTGTTGGGTCACAAATTTCATTAGAACAAAGGGAGGCAGTCATAATGGAAGTTACTATTCACAACATTATATTAAAAATGAAAGTGCAAATTACATCAGGTTAAAATTTTGGAACCAATGCTAAGATATATTATTATTTCCTTATTGCCCATTAAAAACATGAAATTACATTGGCTGGATTATTCTAACACTGTTAATATTAAGACTATATTTTGTATTTATTCAGAATCTTACTGGTGACTATTGTTGCCTCTAAAAATTTTCCTTTCAAACTCTAAATTCATTTTATTTGTATAGCTAAAACAGTTCTTTATACAAGATAATAGAAGATCTTGCCTACCAAAGAGGAAAATTTTCAGCTGTTTATATAAACCCATTGTTATTCTCTGAAGCCTATAAAAGTGACACATTCAGTGTTTATTGGAAGGTCTTATTATTAGAATGAATAGTTATACTTTGCTTCCATCATGATCTAAACATGTTTTTAAAAAACAAAAAAAACTGAACTATTTATGAAACCAATTTTTTTCCTTTCTTTCAACTCACCAGTCCTCTCCCTGCTGAGTGGAATAAAGCTAATGGTACAAACTATTAACTATTTAATAAATAATACTGAATAAATTAGTAAATCGGTAGCACAGAAAGAGAATATACTCTAAGGCAGGCGTCCCCAACCCCTAGGTTCAACGTGGACTGTACTGGTCCTTGAACTGTTAGGAGACTGGCTGCACAGCAGAAGGGGTGTGGTGGGCAAGTGAACATTACTGCCTGAGCTCTGCCTCCTGTCAGAGCAGCTGTGGCATTAGATTCTCGTAGGAGCGCAAACCCTATTGTGAACTGCACCTGCGGGAGGGATCCAGGTTGCACGCTCCTTATGAGAATCTAACCAATGCCTGATGATCTGAGGTGGAACAGTTTCATCCCACTCCGCTCCCTGCAACCCCCCACAGGTTGCAGAAAAATTGTCTTCCACAAAACCCCTCCCTGGTGCCAAAAAGGTTGGGGACCACTGCTCTAAAGAATGTTGGTTCATTCTCCAACTTAGTATCAGTGCTTTAGGGAAATGCATTCAGCCTTTATATTGTTCATTCATTCATCAATCCTTTAGTTCATTCAACAGTATTTACTAAATAGCGAAACGGTCTGCTTAGCCCTGGAAGTATGAAGAAGAATAAAATTCCCCTTGGCTTAATCAGCTTACTTGTAAGGCAGAGAAATATAAAAATGCAATGTTGCCATTGCTTTAATACAAATACATAGGTTCCAAAAGTAAATGTTACTAATGCTGCTTCCATGAGTGAACACACTTAGAAAAGATGAAGGAGGAAATAACTAAACTTGCTCTTAGAAGAGAAGGAGAATTTTATACATGAGGAAAGCAGAAAGAATTCTAGAAAAAGAAAAGAGAGACTGCAGAGGCATGGTATTGTCAAATAACAACCAGTGGTCAGAAATGAAACTTTGAACTTCTCTGAAGTTTACTTGGACCTCGTGTATTAGTCTTCTCAGGCTGCCATAACAAAATACCATAGGCTGATTGACTTAAATAACAAAAATGTATTAACTTACAGTCCTGGAGGCTAGAAGTCCCTAATCAAGGTGCCAACTGATTTGGTTCTTGATGAGATCTCTCTTTCTGTCTTGTAAACAGTAGTGTCCTCATATAGAAGACAGAGAAAAAGATTTCTCTCTCTTTTCCTCTTCTTACAAGGTGATCAGTCCTATCAGATTAGGGCATCACTTACCCCTAATTATCTCCTAAAGGTCCTGTCTCCAAATACAGTCACACTGGGGGTTAAGGTGTCAACATAATGAGTTTTGTGGTGCCATAAACCTTCAGTTCATAAGAGTACTAAATGAGTTCAGAGCAGCTGGGGTGGGAGAAAGGAAGTAGATGCTATAAGAGTAAACTGGGGGTGAGGTAGTGAAAGATTTAGATTCCACTTTTATTTAGCTAGGTTTATCAGTTAGATAGATTTGACATGGCTGAAAAGGTTTAGGGAGAGGAAGGTCCCCTTAGAGGCATACATATAGGGTGGGAATATGGATATTAAGGAGCTATTAAGGAAGTAGAGTCAGTGGGACTAGATCAATTGCACACAGTTTGTAAGAAAGAGAGAGACACTGAGGCTGGTTCTCAGGTTTCAAGTTTGGGAAATGGAGGGATCAGGGGTGATGCTTTTAAGTGAAGTAGCAAATGCCAGGAAGGAGCAGATCAGAGAGAGAGAGTGTGCGTGACAGAGAGAGAGAGAGTGTATGTGTATGTGTGTGTGTGAGAGAGAGAGAGAGAGAGAGGGAGAGAGAGAGAGGCTGAGCAAGTTTGAATATGATGACTTTGAGCTATCTTTGGAATTTAATAGTTTAGAATATTTTGTAAACAACTGAAAATGCTACCTTGAGATCCCTAGGAGCAAGAACCTAAAATGAAACTCTAGGGAATACTTAAAATATGATTAGAAACAGAAACCTAAAAAAACGAACTTGTAGGTCCTGGGAGGTAGAAAAAGACCCAGAGAGAGAGCTAGAATGAAGGCCAGTGGGAGCACAGTTTCAGGAATGTTATCATCTTGAATGCCCTAGAGATGTTACATAAAACACAGACAAAGAATAAGTCATTAACTTATTTAATTAGGAGATCTTTCATAACTTTTATGGAGAGAAGTTTCAGCGGAATAATAAGGACAAGAATTTTTATGCAGGCAGAGTCTGGATGTATTTTATTCACCACCATATCCTCATTCCAAGCACAGTGCCCAGCACACGTGTATGTTCAATGAGTATTTATGAGAATAAAGTTAATTAGAAACTGAGGAATGATTAGGAAGAAAAAAAAAAGAGGAAATGGAGAATGTCCAAATACTGAAGCTGGCAGAAAAGAGGAGGACAGATTCATACTTAGAGAAAAAAGAACCAAAGAAAGGTTTCTTTCTTTGCTTTAGAAATGGATAGGAGGACCTTAATTACATTTATAGAAAATGAGAAAAAGCCATTGAAAATGAAGGAGAAACAAAACTAATAGGCCAAGATGGCTAAAAAGACCTTCATCTGTATCTGTTCCAATCAGAAGAAGATCGAGATATGTATAAAAAAGTAAAAGTGACTTAGGAATTGCCTGTCAATAATTATAAACAAGAATAACTATAATAGCTAATATTTATTATGCACTTGCTAAATGGGTTTTTTATAATAATTAGATATGTTGTTATGGGTTTTTTGATACTAACAATATATCTTATTGTTAGATATGTTGTTATGAACTGTGATCATTATTAGACTGTGTCATGAACTGAATGTTTATGTACCCCCAAAACTCACATATTGACAATGAGACTGTATTTGGAAACAGGACCTTTAGGAGACAATTAGGGGTAAATGATGTCCTAATCTAATAGGACTGGTAGCCTTGTAAGAAGAGAAATGTACCTGGCTATCAATGGGACAACAATAATTTTAATAGCTAATATTTATTATGTGCTTGATAAGTGGGTTTTCTGATACTAACAAGATATCTAATAATAATCTTGTTATTAGATACCACCCTGTTATTAGATACCACCTTAAAAGGTAATACTATTACATTTCCATTTCGCAAATAAAGAAATTGAAGCAAAGAGAAATTAGGTAACTGGTCAAAGGAAGCATGGCAAATAAGTAGCAAAGTTGGGTTTGGACCCAAGCTTACAGCTTCAATGTCTATGCCATTCGTTGCAGCATTATAGTACTCAGTCAAGGACAGTGTATTATTCCAGCCTGCAAGTCCAGCAGGCAGGTGCTGTGTAACTCCAGTGGGAGGCACCCCAACAGAATAAAGTCTTTTCAGTGGGAAACACAAAATAAATTTATTTCAATACTAATCATAATTATCACTCCCTTGCCGATGTAGTTTTAAAAGAACATTTATGTGTGTGTAAATACCTTTGAACAATGTGAAGATATTAAAAAAAAAACACATATCATGCTTTTATGCCTCAAAATTGACAATAAATTCTGGTCATAACATCAGCAGGGCAGCTGAATTTTAGTTGATTTCAAAACACAAGTTTATCAGCTGTAAGTTTTAAAAGATGTAGTTTTAAAAGAACATTTTATGTGTATGTGAATACCTTTGAACAATGTGGAGATATTTTTTAAAAATCATGCTTTTATGCCTCAAAATTGACAATAAATTCTCTTCATAACATCAGCAGGGCAGCTGAATTTTAGTTGATTTCAAAACACAAGTTTATCAGCTGTAAGTTTTATCCTAACCATAGAAAGTATGACATGATCTGAAGAAGGTTAGCATCCCTAGACTTATGACAAATGTATTTTTGGTATATAAAATCGGTCACTGTGGTAAATTGAAGGGAACTTGGTCAAAATGCTAGGAACAACATATTAAACCATTGTGTTTGATGTTTTCTTTATATCACTTAACTGCTTTGTAGAAATCCTCAACACTTTTCCATGAAACAGAAAGTAATGGAAAGAAGATGGCTTTTAAAAAAAAATGGAAATTGACTGGGTACAGTGGCTCATGCCTGTAATCCCAACATTTTAGGAGGCCAAGGCAGGAAGTGTGCTTGAGGCCAGGAGTTCAAGATCAGGCCAGGCATCATAGTGAGATCCTCTATCTATAAAAAATTAAAAAACTAGTCAGGTGTGACGGCACGTGCCTGCGATCCCAGCTACTCAGGAGGCTGAGGCGGGAGAATCACTTGAGCCCAGGAGTTTGAGGTTGCAGTGAGTGTTGATTGTGCCACTGCACTCCAGCCTGGGCAACAGAGTGAGGTTCTGTCTTAAGAAAAAAAAACAAAAACAAAGCTAAGTTATTAGGTCCCTAGTCAGATTTGTTCCCTAGGAATCTTTACAAAGTTGTTGCACTGGTTTCAATAATGTTTTCTTCTTAATATAAAACACTACAGTATACACCTGTGATGTCAGGGTGAGTGCATATTCCCCACATCAGCCAGGTTTAGGAGAAAAATATTCAATTAAAGTAACATTCCTGGCCTTACTAACCCCTTCCCTTGGTGACAACATGATTTATGTTGATGAGTCTGAGAAAGGAAACCGAGCAAGCTTAGCCCATGACCTGCCTCTCTGTCTTGAAGTCTACCTGCCTGAAGAGAGTATATGTTCTGTTCTTCTTCATGATCCATATCTATGGCTCAGCTTCTTCATGGAGAAGAGGCCTATCATTGTTCAGCACTGCCTGGAACTGGGTGGATAACTTGGTCTAATCTGGAAAGGAACTATTAGCAAGTGCCATCTGGCTCTCACAAGAAGCTATGACCTTCTGTACCAGCTTCATCAGTAATAAAATTGATACATTCATTCCTATTTGCCTAATTCCCATATCTGTCTCTGAAATGGTTATAAACTTGAATGAGAGAGAAGGGAGGCTATTTATTAGGTCTCTAGAACCTCCATATTAAAAATGGAGAGAAATAGGATTTGTGACAAAAGTGATGCTTCAACAGCAAACTTTAGCAAACCCAAGGGAATACTGGAGACATTTACAAGGAGTTCATTAATAGGTGTACATATGGTAGCAAAAACACTTGACAGAGCCTTGCGTTTGAATACATCACCCAGCAAATCCACTGTAAACAATGTTGATTTTGCTTTCAAAAAATATTTTAATGGAATTTAGTCTTATGTAAGCCTTTGCACTGAATAGCCCTAAAGTTAATGCACTCCTTCAAGAATTTAGACACCTGAAATTGTTTAGATGGAGGTCAGTAAGACTTTTAGGCCACTTTTAAAAGACATAACCTTCACACAATTTTCATTGTCCTTCATTCTCTCTCTTAGGTCCTAAAAGTGTTTTCAGTTAGAATTCCAGACAACACCGGCACATGTCCCAAATGAACAAATTACGTGGGTTGCCAGGTTCTCTAAACAACAACCACAAATCCGATAGTTCACTTAGGACAAAAGTATGCTACTTGGAACTTCCTATCCAGTTCAGATGTGAGTAATGCCTTCCAAATACTAAGCTGACAGCATTGGTACCTTTCGTTTATCTAAAGCATTTAACCCACGTATTTTTCAGGTCAAATAAATACTCTATCCTGGAAAGGAAAAATATAACCCCATCTACGCTATGTTCTTCCCGTACTTGTAGAAGCTAATTTAATGTAATTTAATTCTTATCTTTTTAGGATCTTTAATGTCTTCAACTTTATGGTGTTCTTCCTCTTTCCTCTGACTTCAATTGTATGCAAGACTTCCCCTTAACAACTAGTCCTTGACTTTTCTGTCCCTCCAACTACTGTCTATTCTCTCACTTTCCTTTCATTGCTCCAAATCTATTCCAAATTAGTTGTCTACATCCATCATTTTTTTCACCTTATTTCTTAATAGGTCAATAGCTCTTTGTACAAGTAGATGGTTAATAACTATCTATTAATTATTAGGAGTCTTTTGGTAATCCAGAAAAATGTGTGATTTAACGTAATTTAGGCTAATTACATTTTTTAATAATCCTGCTATTTTCATAGTTTTCATTCAGGTCAATTTTCCTGGGATTTTCCCTTGAATTTTCTTTGAGTGGATTTTTTTTCACTTTTTTTTTAAAGTAATTTGATACTACTGTATTTTCTTCTGCCTTACTAAGCTTTTTCAATTGTAACAGCACAGCAGCAAAAATGTTGAAAAAGGCATTTGAGATTCTTGAATGAATAAAATTTATTCTTGAACAAATTTTAAAAAATAGTAGTTTAACATTAAAAAATAACACGAATAAAAAATTAATAAATCTGATTGTTTAGGCAATCTTTATAAAAATACTTGCATCTAAAATAATATATGGCACAAAATAGACACTCAGTGAATAAATGTATATATTCATGCCTGACATATACGGAGGAAAGAGGAAGAACACCATAAAGATGAAGTCATTAAAGATCCTAAAAAGATAAGAAATAAATTAAACTAAATTAGCTTGACATTTAGCACACTGCTCAGCAAATGGGCTCAAAAAGTGGTCTCTTCCTCACATTTCTACGTGTGTTTTGTATTTCCTAATGATAGAAATTCTTCATAGTTAAATCAAAAACTAAAAAAGGAAGAAAAAACTCAGTCACTTTTTATATTTATTATACCAAATATGAAAATGTATTTTAAAGGAATAAAAAAGTACTGAATTTATATGAGACACTTTCATCATCATCATTATTTTGCATCAAAAGAGACCAGGCTCCTGGGCACTGAGTAAACATGGCAACCAGACCGACCAAGCAAAGTTGGTCCAGAGTTGCTCTCGATCTCCCACAGGGCCATTGGTTCATGAAGGAGGGACAGTGTTGTTTTCAGGCCACATCACAATCTGATTACTGTCACTAAAATGAGTCTTTTGGGTGAGGGGATTTGTTGTCTGACAAATACAATCAGAAAACTGAGTAAGATCAGTAATTGAAATAAACCACAAGAAATGGAGGATTATGGCAGTTATCTCAATAATCCAGGCAAGCAAATATTTTTGATTAAAATAAAAGTTCAGAATCTAAATGACCAGGATAAATTCTACTTAATCAGCACAGAAAAATATTCAAATTTTAGATCTATATATAAAAATAAAACCCAAGTTTTTATTTCCTAATTTTTATTTCCAAATAAGGTTAGATCATATTGATGAGATTTAGAATGTTTACAAAATTCACAATAATAATTATTCAAATAAATTTTTCTTTATTCTTAAGAACTACTTGAACATGTCGTGAGTAGTTATCTGTGTTGGCTAATAGCTGCTAGTTTTAAATACATCACGAATGCAATATTCATTCATTCCATAAGTATTCACAGAGCATCTCCTCTGTGCAAAATGCTGTGCTGGAGAGGAAGTAAACAGATGGATAAGACATATACTCTTGCCTTCCAGTCAAATAGGAGAAGGAAGACAAGCACATAATTAAGTTTCAGAGGAGAATGAAATAGATTAAATTTTCCAGATCAAAGAAGGAAGGATTTGTACTTTTCCCCATCATGACAGATGGAGAAGTGAGGGAGGAGGCACCATGAGGAATTTAAAAATTCGATTTGTACAAGATTTTACTGGTAAGGGTATGAACTTCCAAAAACCTGGAAAAGGACACTCTCAGCAAAGAATACAACATGAGCAAAGCAATGCTACGGTAGTAAACAAGACTGTGTGCTCACCAAAAGTGGGTTATTTGTGCTGGGAGAGAGAATTGCAGGATGGTGGGAGGGAGGTAAGCTATGGAAGAAAAGTTCAGAGAGGTATACTAGGCCTATTGTGGAGTCCCTGGCATGGCAATCTTCTCATTTGGACATATTTAATGACAACCTAGAAAACGCTGAACTTTTTTATTTTTAAAAAATCAAGTTTCTCTTTCAAGTAGTGTTGTAATTCTTGTGATTCAATTAACTAATAGTAAAATAATAACTACAATTTGAGAGCTACCATGTGCCAGCTATTGGGCTAAATATATTACATGATTTAATCCATTTAATCTTCACAATGCTGAGACTATTAGTTGGCCTCATTTTTCAGATGAAAATGTGGAGGCTACTTGTGCAGATAAATAGTATGCACGAGGTCAGAGGGTTGTTAAGCAGCTGAGCTGTAACTTGGCCTGTGGTCCATCAGATTCCCAGCTTCACACTGTTATCCACCACACCACAGTATTTCTTGGCATTTGTACCAAGTAACACAAGACACTTAGAAAACTGCCATTTTTTTCTACTGTATTTAATGGAAAGAAGTGTCTGGGCTAGTTTCAACCATCAATTTTTCATGTAACAATTTATGTGACAATGCTGATATATATCTTTGAAACCGCCTTGCAAATATGTCTTAAAAATAATTCCCCTAAACATATATTTTCTAGACATTTATAATGTATTTGAAAATTAAAATATTGATTTAACTCACGCACCTTGATGATCATCTTGCTTCATGGAATTACAGTTTTAGAATGCATAGATTATTCTTCCTCCAGAGGGGAGAACGCAATCAGGTAAAGACCTCTAACCACACACAAATTCTGTTCAGCTCCTTTTTATAATTTGAATAATAAAAATAAAAATATATTCTGGAATATTTAGAGTCCTAAAAAAACAATATTTTTAAAGTATTTTCTAGTTGTCTCCTTTTGTTTCTCAAACATTTTTTATTACCAATCAATCAGAAAGCCACAATATATCATTCTGCTTTATCTATATTGATCAAATAAGTAGGGGTTTTTTTACTGGTTTATAGTGTGTGATCAGTTCACAAATACAACCCCACTGAAGATTCTCACATAAAAGAGCTAGAAATACAATGCTTAGAGTGTTAATCAAGTAACTATATAATCTAGTTATTTTTATACCCTATATTAGGAAAACAGGAACTTTTCTCCAGACGAAAAAAAAAAAAACATTTTCCATGTCTAATTATGGTAAGCAAGGCAGAGATAATCATAGTCAATGTGATAAGTGACAGGAGTTCGTATTTACTTGGCATGCCATCTGCTAATTCTCTTTCCCTAGAGATTTCTTGCTGATTTTTTCCTCATTTCCTTGTGAAACTCCCCAACTATATATCTGCGCTATCCCCCCTCCATCCTCTACTTTTTGTGTTCTTATTGCTGCATACGGGAGGTTGCCTAAAGTTGCGCCAATCAATCTTATCTCTACTCAGCAGAAAAAGACAGCCCAACAAAGCTTGCTGCTGACTTCTTATATGTGATCCACAATTGGCTTGTTTTCTGATACATTTCTTATTTGTCAGGGCCTTTGTCAGACATTTTGTATTTATAGCCTCTGGGGTGATCAATTCTAATACAGTGTTTTATGCTGAATTTTGAATCCAGATCACTCCTGGCATGTACTTGCATACAGCATTGTCCAGTAAGGAAACTCACCCCTGTGGCTCTTTTTTTAGGAGAAGAGGAATATTTACTAGCATTACCAAAGGCCACCTCTTAAAATAATGCACCATGCCACATCTGTATCACCTTTTCTATTTGTATTAGACAATAATCTAATTATGCAGAGTATCTCCTTTGGGGAATCTGAAGAGTATAAAATGAACGCTGTCACTTATTTTTAAAATGTGCATTCAAAACCTACAAGTGGCCGGGCGTGGTGGCTCAGGGCTATAATCCCAGCACTTTGGGAGGCTGAGGCGGGCAGATCACGAGGTCAAGAAATCGAGACCATCCTGGCTAACATGGTGAAACCCCGTCTCTACTACAAATACAAAAATTAGCTGGGCGTGGTGGCAGGCGCCTGTAGTCCCAGCTACTAGGGAGGCTGAAGCAGGAGAATAGCTTGAACCCGGGAGATGGAGCTTGCAGTGAACTGAGATCGCACCACTGCACTCCAGCCTAGCAAGAGAGAGAGACTCCGTCAAAAAAACAAAAAAAAATACGAGTAATAATAAACTATTTAAGCTCACGATTTGAAAAAATAATACATAAGGTAAATAATATATTCTCATTCCTATGTAATCCACACAGTACTCATGTCAGCTCTCATCATCAAGAACTCATCTACCTCACACTGTAAGAACAGTTTTTAAAAAGGTCAACTGTATCCTTATATGAGGTATAAACTGGATTAATAAAGGCCCCTGCCAAACTAGGGTGCTGTGACGTATTTCAAAGCAAACAAAGCCTTTCTTCAGTTCTAAATTTACTTTTCCTTGCTGGATTGATCAGTTTATTTAGTCTTGACTTCATTTGGCCTTTCCCATTAAGGAAATGGGAAAATGTTTGACTAAATATAAGAATACATAGTTATTACCTGGCAGTAGCTTGAAGATGACACTGGAATGTATAATAGAATGTACTAATCTTT
The DNA here is from genome assembly GCF_000001405.40 of Homo sapiens. Classification (NCBI taxonomy): domain Eukaryota; kingdom Metazoa; phylum Chordata; class Mammalia; order Primates; family Hominidae; genus Homo; species Homo sapiens. The sequence continues at coordinate 159,793,556 of NC_000004.12, read as the reverse complement.
CTTGTACAAACAATACATCTCTTATAAAAATACACATTTTATGATTATATATATGTGGATATATACACATAAATATACATAGATATGTATATATAATAAATTCAACCAAAGGAATAAAAGTTTATAAGAAAATGAAGATCAAAGATTCATGTCCACATGATCAGTGCACTAAATGTTGGACATTAAGCCAGACTTTCCTAAAGACACTCTAAATATATCCTTAAATTTTAAAGATTGTTCTCTTAATTTCTTAAAATTTATTCTGTGACACGCCATTTTTTTCTTGACATTATTCTATAAACTGAAGCAATCTAATCATGTACCCTATGGTGTTGTCTCTAGAAATGCATATACTCTGAATCTAACAAAAATTATTTAATGTAGCTCTTAAACATCATATATACTAAATAATTATTGGCACGATTGGTATAAAAAACCTGTGGAATGAATGCTGGCATTTTTGTCATTCATTTCATACAACGTTTTATTTGCTTAACAAATTTTTACTTTAATTTATGCCATATATTTTATAAGTGCTAAAGTGACTGAAGATGAATACTACTTTGTCCCTTAAGAAAATTCAATATAAAGGAAAAAATTTTAAATTGTGTATATATAATTGGCATCCCTTTCTGTAGTAAAATTCTATTCACTTTGTTTTTTTGAGGACAATATTGAATTAGCAAATCTCTTCTCAGCACCAAGAAACTAGAAACCTAGTAATTCTTTGAATACAATTAAAAGCATAAGAAAATATTTAAAAATAAAAACAGTCGAGTCAGGACTATATTTTGACTAGAATTGCTTCTTCTGTGCTCACATTTCATAAAGATAAAAAGCCCTTAACTTTTCAAAATATTTTCTGATGGCAAGAGGGAAAAAAAACAGAGGAGATACTGCAGAATGATATTTTTAGAGGAAGGATTTGATTTTACATTTCTATGAGAAAAAAAAATGCTGCATTTGTATTAAAAGAATGACTTTTAGGGGCCGTGCATGATGGCTTATGTCTGTAACTCCAGCACTTTGGAAGGCAGAGGTGGGAGGATTGTTTGAGCCCAGGGGTTCACGACCGCCCTAGGTAACATAGTGAGACCATGTCTCTACAAAAAAAAAAAAAAAGCTGGGTGTGGTAGTGCATGCCTGTGCCTGTAATCCCAGCTACTAGGGAGGCTGAGGTGGGAGGATTACTCAATCCCAGGAGCTCGAGGCTGCAGTGAGCCATATCGTGCCACTGCATTCCAGCCTGTATCACAGAGTGAGACCCTATGTCAAAAAAAAGAAAAAAAGAAAAAAGAAAGAAAAGAGAATGACTTCTAGTTGTCCCAGTCTGCCTTGTGTGTAGGCTAGGCAAACTATGCACCAATTGAATTGAGTATGAAACTTAAAATCGACCTAGAACAGCAGTTACTTGCCATAGTTGCGTTCTAGAACATGGCGGGAGCAATTTTAAAATGCTGATTCCTGGGCCCCGCTTCAGACTGACTGAATCTTGGAAGCAAGGGGTAGGTATTGGTATTTTTCAAAAGCTTCCCAGGTAATTCTACACAATCACTCACTCCTTAAATCCTCTTAATAACTGACAAAGCATCTAGGATAGCACAGCCATCTTCCAGAATATGAGTGAGAGGGCCCAAATCTGCATGGATTTAACACTTTGCAGAAATAATGAAGGGAAGATATAGGGAATTCTGATGATCTCGAGTGCCTCCAAGCTTTATTTTATGTATTTCTAACAAATACCCCCAAAAAGAGAGGATTCTACTAGGGGCGGAATAAATAGCAATCACAGCTTAGCATGACGAGAAAAGACGGCACGGACTCAGCAAGAGTCTCTGGAAGAAGTAGGATTTTCTGAGGCTGCTTAAATACTTGAGCATTTCAGAAATACTCAGCAGTTTCCCTTTCATAAACACAAAAACTCACACTGCGGGAGAAGAAAATCTTCCAGAAACAGAATCCAAATTGAACAGGTCAGGAGGCCAGGGGTCCAGTTACTGGATGTAAAACGTGCTGAGAAGGCAGATATCAGATCTGTGGACATTTCTACACAAAGAGGCCACAGTTTTAATACTTTGTGGTAACCATAGAAGAGAAAGGCCGTGAATAAAAAACTGAGAAAGCTACCTTGACCTACCCCACCCCCTGCACAGGAACCTACTTCTGAGAATAGAGGAAAACCCATCTGATTAGCCATGAAAAGAAGAAAAGGCTAGCCATCCAACCTCATGAAATTATATCCTAAGAACTAAAGGAAAAAGTCCTGATCAATGTGCTAACAGATAATGAAAGAATAGCAATAAAATATAGCTGCAAAGTAGAAGAAAATTGTAACCTAATATTAAATATGAGATAAAATAAGAAAGTGGTAGAAGTCATGAAATTAAAGAATAAATCAAAAATGAAAAAGATAAGGAAAAAACTTGCCTAAACAATAGACCATCATGAAAAGGGAATTGATGGAGCTCAGGAAATATTTAGGAGAAGAAAATGAATAATGTCATTACTTAAATACTATTTAAGGTTAAAAAAGCCTAAACGGAATTTAATGATTTGAAAAATTGTTCCTCTTCTATTAAAAATAATCTAGAAGATGGTCAGTAAATAGCCTGAGTCAGAGCTGGGGCCACAGATAGAACTTCTCAGTTTCTAGCTAATTTATAACAAAAGGCATATTATAACCCCATTGGAATCCATAAAATGCCTATATTGTGTAGCACTGGACACACCTCAAGCCAACGGTAATGAAATCGATAAAAATATTACAATAGATCCCTGTATTAAGTTCTTATCACATAGCTGAGCTAGATGTTTTACTCATTCCTCTCAATAACCCCATGTACAGAAAAAGAATCTCCATAAATATAATAAAACTTGTGTTGATCCTGTTTTTTGGTTTTTATATCCCTCTAAAATATAGATAGATTTTTGCAATATTTAGTAGGGTATTTTAAGAATCATCCAACTTAACATGGGAAATGTCAAGCACACATACATTTTATCTTGGACAGTCCTTCAAAGCCTGTGACAATAAGGGGAAAGGCCAGCCATTAGTATCTGCTGACAGAGAGATGCACTACCTGTATTAAGAGAGTGACACAAAGAAAATAAATGGGAGCTTCAGATATGAACCCAAAATCAAAAGTCACAAGGACAGATCCTATCAACTGAAGGCTGTAACTTGCAATTGAGTTGCTTCTCAGAGAGAGTACCCATCTAGTGTGTCCCAGGCTGAGTAGCCACAATGATTTTTCTATCTAAAGAAGGTTAATGAATTTCTGACGGAAAGCCAGTTAGGCCAGCCAGCAAATAAATGAAATTGGAGGAAGAAGTAGCAATATGAACACAGCAGTTCATGGCTGAGGTGTTCCAACAGCTGCTTCTCAAAATGTCTGATGACAAGAACTGTGGCATCATCCAGGTGTTTGTTAGAAATGCAGTTTCAGGCCCTGTCCCATCTCTGCTAAAGCCAACTGCATTTGTTTTTTGTTTTTGTTCGTTTGTTTTTGAGATGGCTTCTCGCTCTGTTGCCCAGGCTGGAAGCTCGGCTCACTGCAAGCTCCGCCTCCCAGGTTCATGCCATTCTCCTGCCTCAGCCTCCCGAGTAGCTGGGATTACAGGCACCCGCCACCACATCCTGCTAATTTTTTTTTTTTGTATTTTTAGTAGAGACGGGGTTTCACCATGTTAGCCAGGATGGTCTCGATCTCCTGACCTCGTTATCTGCCCACCTCAGTCTCCCAAAGTGCTGGGATTACAGGCGTGAGCCACCGCACCTGGCCAGCCAACTGCATTTTAACAAGATCCTCAGGTAATTCAGATATATGAAAGTTTGAGAAGCACTGTTCTAAAGAATATAGGTGATTATTTGCCTTTGTGTACCAGAGTGGAGAATTTTGTAATAGTCAAAAATATTGCAAGTTTTTAACTTATTCATCCAGTAATTGTCCTTTTAACTGCTTACTCCATGCCATGATCTATGTGAGATGCTATCAGGGAACCTGCCCCCGATAGTCACGTAGTTTCTTTTCTGTTTTCCCTAAGCATCGGCCGGGTCGAGAAATAAAAGGACAGAGTACAAAAGAGAGAAATTTTAAAGCTGGGCGTCTGGGGGAGACATCACATGTCAGTGGTTCTGTGACGCCCCACAAGCCATAAAACCAGCAAGTTTTTATTAGTGATTTTCAAAAGGGGAGGGAGTGTACGAATAGGGTGTGGGTCACAGAGATCACATGCTTCACAAGGTAATAGAATATCATAAGGCAAATGGAGGCAGGGCGAGATCACAGGACCACAGGACTGGGGTGAAATTAAAATTGCTAATGAAGTTTTGGGCACCATTGTCATTGATAACATCTTATCAGGAGACAGGGTTTGAGAGCAACCGGTCTGACCAAAATTTATTAGGCGGGAATTTCCTCATCCTAACAAGCCTGGGAGCACTATGGGAGACTGGGGCTTATTTCATCCCTACAGTTTCGACCACAGAAGACGGCCACACCCAAGGGGGCCATTTTAGAGGCCTACCCTCAGGGGCGCATTCTCTTTCTCAGGGATGTTCCTTGCTGAGAAAAAGAATTCAGTGATATTTCTCCCATTTGCTTTTGAAAGAAGAGAAATATGGCTCTGTTCCTCCCGGCTCACCAGTGGTCAGAGTTTAAGGTTATCTCTCTTATTCCCTGAACATTGCTGTTATCCTGTTCTTATTTCAAGGTGCCCAAATTTCACATTGTTCAAACACACATGCTCTACAATTTGTGCAGTTAACGCAATCATCACAGGGTCCTGAGGTGACATACATCCTCCTCATCTTATGAGATGACAGGATTAAGAGATTAAAGTAAAGACAGGCATAGGAAATCACAAGGGTATTGATTGGGGAAGTGATAAGTGTCCACGAAATCTTCACAATTTATGTGTAGAGATTGCAGTAAAGACAGGCATAAGAAATTATAAAAGTATTAATTTGGGGAACTAATAAATGTCCATGAAATCTTCACAATCCACGTTCTTCTGCCATGGCTTCAGCCAATCCCTCCATTTGGGGTCCCTGACTTCTGGCAACAAGATGCTAGCAGTAAAGTGCTGAGAAAGGCAACAAAGATTTTTGTACTAATAGAGATGACAATCTAGAAGGTGATAAAGAGATTAATAAAAAAATTAGAAGAGTAATAAATGCTATGAACACCTGTATTAGGTGTTAAATAAATGTATAAAGAAAGAAACTAAGCTTAGTTTTGCTCACCTACATTTCAGAAAAATGTGGCTTATGTAATGATTCATGGTGGCTTCCGGAGCAATTTATTTGAAACAAACTTTACTTAAGTTAGCTGATATTAGTAGATTGGTTTTACATGTTTCACCCTCTCTCTCAACATCTCCAAACATAATCATAGGAGAAACCACAAGAAATTGGCACATTCCAGGCAACCATTGCGTGAGATTGCCATTCTAAAAGAATGACTAGAAAAGTAATACAGGAACTAAAGAATTACCCACCACTGGTGATAGAGGATGAAAAGAAAAATGACTCAGATAGCTTTTACAAATAGGTAGCTCAATAGCCTTCAGCAGCAGCACTTTTATACTGAAATTTCCTTTGGCAGAAGTATTTGCCAGCCACACTTTGAATGGCATCCAAACTAATGTAACAGGCTGTGTGCTATATTGGCTTTCTCCATAAACACATGATTCTAGCAGGCCAAAGAACCACTGTGGAACTGAAAAAAATCTGGGTTCACTGGTATTGTGTGTAAGCTTTAAATATGACCTAAACCTTCAAGTAAGGAATCAGTGAAAGAGTGATTACTTCAAATAACCATTTACAACAATTACTTCTGATATATTGCTTAACAAAATGTAGAAAGACCTCAGAGACAGATTGTAGTTTAAAGCCCCACTCCATTTTGTGCCAACTTTTTGATACCGAGAAGGCCATTTGTCATCCCTGAGCATCAGTTATTTATAATATATATACATTATATATATATATAATGGCAATAATCCCTACCCCCAAAGACAGAAGAAATTAGGTATTTATAATACCTAATTTATATAGCATGTTTAACCACTTTATTGAGGTATGATTGGCATACAAAAGCTGCACATATTTAATATATACTATTTTGATGAGTTTGAAGATTATATACCTGTGGAACTGTCACCACAATCTATGCTGCAAATGTATCCATCACCTCTAAAAGTTGCCTCCCACCATCTTTGTGTGTGTGTGTGTGTGTGTGTGTGTGTGTGTGTGTGTGTGTGTATTAACAACACTTAACATGAGATCTATCCTCTTAACAAAATTTTAAGTATATAATACAGTATTATTAACTATAGGCACTATGCTGTACAGTACATCTCTAGGGCTTATTCATCCTATGTAACTGAAACATTGTGACCTTTAACTAATACTTCCCTCCCCTCAGCCCCTGGCAACCACCATTCTACTCTCTACTTCTATGAGTTTGACTGTTTTAGATCCATCAAAGATGTAGTGTTATCTAGTGTTTGCCTTTCTATATCTATCTTATTTCAGTTAGCAAAATGTCCTCCAGGTTCATCCAAATAGCCATAGTTCCTATTTAAGGCTGAATAATATGCCGTTACATGAATGTACCACCTTTTCTTCATCCATCTGTCTATTGGTGGTCATTTATGTTGCTTCTATGTTTCAGCTATTGTGAATAATGTCTCAATGATCATGGGAGTGCAGATATCTCTTCAAGATTATGACTGCAATATTTTTGAATATATACCCAGAAGTGGGATTGCTGAATTATACATGTGTACTAGTCAGGGTTCTCCAGAGGGACAGAACTAATAGGAGATATATATATATATACATACACACACATACGAGTTTATTAAGTATTAACTCACATAATCACAAGGTCCTACAATAGGAGAATAGGGTTCTCCAGAGGGATAGAACTAATAGGAGATAGATAGATAGATAGATAGATAGATAGATAGATAGATAGATAGATAGATAGATAGAAAAAGGGGAGTTTATTAAGTATTAACTCACATAATCACAAGGTCCTACAATAGGCCGTCTGCAAGCTGAGGAGCAAGGAGAGCCAGCCCAAGTCCCAAAACTGAAGAACTTGGAGTCCAATGTCTGAGGGCAGGAAGCATCCAGTACAGGGAGAAAGATGTAGGCTAGGAGGCTAGGCCAGTCTAGTCTTTTCACGTTTTTCTGCCTGCCTTATATTCTAGCTGCACTGGCAGCTGATTAGATGTTGCCCACCCAGATTAAGGGTGGGTCTGCCTTTCCCAGCCCACTGACTCCAATGGTAATCTCCTTTGGCAACACCCTCACAGACACATCCAGGATCAATACTTTGCATCCTTCAACCCAATCAAGTTGACACTCAGTATTAACTATCACAAAATGGTAGTTCTATTTTAAATTTTTTGAGAAATTTATATACAGTTTTCCATAATGGTGGCACCAATTTACATTTCTACCAAAAGTATACAGGTTTTCCTTATCTGTACATCCTCCTTAACATGTACCTTTTGGTTTTATGATTATAGCCACCCTGACAGATGTAAAATGATATCATGGTTTTGATTTGCATCTCCCTGATGATTGGTGATATTGAACACCTTTTCATATACCTCTTGGCCATTTCTAAGTTTCTTTGAAAGAAACATTTATTCAGGTCCTTTGCCCATTTTTTAATGGGGCTATTTGTGGTTTTGGTTTGGTTTGGTTTGGGGGTTTTTTATTGTATTTTGTTTTTGTTTTTGCTGTGTTTACTATCAAACTGTAGAATTTGCTTATATGTTTTGGACATTAACATTTCAGCAGACGTATGATTTGTGAATATTTTCTCCTAGTCTATAAGTTGCCTTTTCATTTTATTGATTACTTTCTTTGCTGTGCAGAAGCCTGTTAGTTTAATGTAACTCCACTGTTTATTTCTGTTTTCCCCTGTGCTTTTAGTGCCACATTCAAGAAACAATTACCAAGGCCAATACCAAGAAGTTTCTTTTCCTATATTTTCTCCTAGGAGTTTTATGGTTTCAACATTTATGTTTAAGTCTTTAATAAATTTTGAGTTCATTTTTGAATAAGACATAAGGGTTCAATTTCATTCTTTTGCATACAGATATCCAGTTTACTCAACACTATTTATTGAAGAAACTCTCCTTTTCTCATTATGTATTCTTTTCACCTGGGTTGAAAATCAGTTTATCTATAGGTATGTGTTTATTTCTAGGCTCTCTATTCTGTTCAACTGGCCTATAGGTCATAAAGCATTTTTAAGTGCCTAATAAAACTTAGGTGTTCACAAAACTTGGAGTGGCTTCCTATTACACACAGCCTAAATTTTTGAGCTTGGTATATCTCAGCCAGATAAGCAAGCTATCTGGCCTTTAAAAAAATGTCCCCAATTTTGCAACCTCTACTCTTACCAGTTCTCTTCAATTGAAGCTCTTATTATGTGTTAGGCATTCTGCTAAGTACAGGGAATACAATGATCAATATTCAATATTACATGGTTACTATTATTGCACAGTTTACATTTTAGTGATGATGACAGAAATCCAAACAGATAATTTCAATATACTATGGAAAGTGTAATGATAAAAGTATAGTCACATTTGCATGAAAGCACAGAGATATTAAGCCTCATCACACAAGGTTAAGGAAGGTGTTTTGTGGCAATTGATGCCTAAACCAAATTTTTAAAGACAGGGGAAAATTAACAACATTGAAACAGGTTTGAGGATAATCTTTTAAGTGGAAAAAGAACATTAGCAAAGACAGTGTGATGTGAAACAGCATAATGCCTGCAGCCAACTACTAGAATATCACTGAGCATAAGTATACCTCTTAGCAAGGTGAGAGATGACAGCAAAGAGGTGGACAGGGGACAAGACTTTGGATGACAAATTAAAAGCGCAGATATAATAGTGAGCCACTGAATTATTTCTATAAAGGTAATAAAACCAGATTTGCATTTTGTGTGTATCTAGCTATTGTCTGGGCAAAACAGCCATCCTCAATACTGGTATCAAAACTCACAGATGTTTTCCCAAAATGTAAAGACATGTTGACATTTATTAATATAGTTAACAAAGTTTGTGAACATATTTAAAAATATATATATAGGAGCAAATTAACAACCTTCTCAATGCATTACCAATAATTTATTTATTTTATGATATGCTCTTCCACTTTCAAGTTAGAAGCCATCACTATTATTCATCATTATTTTTCACTTATTTATTGATAAGTATTTCCAATAAAGAAAGAGAAGGACAGAACCATGACATGAAATTTTAATAACTCTGGGTAAATCCTTGAGAGTGTGTAATAAAAATGAGGGTCTTCATGTGTCAAGGCAGGGGGTGGGGGAAACGAAGAACTATTGGTAATAGGTATGGCAAATGAACTGACAGGGCAAATTTAGAGATAAAGTTATTTTAGAAGGTTGTTGATAAACTTCCCACTATTCCCTGACATGCTCATTCCAGCCCTTCCTTATATCATTCTCCCCTCCATACATACACTTTGAATGTTCCTCCCTTCCTCTCACTGCTCCAAATACTATCCATCTTTAAGGCTCAGACAGATGCCTTCTTTGATTACTCTATACATACCAATATTTTCTTCCTTGTAAGACAAGCTACAAAACCAAGCATATTATTATTATACAGCATATTTGCTCCCAATTTGTTCTATGTGCTTTAATCTTGTTTCCTCAGCTAGGTCTTCAAGTACTGTAATGTAGAAAATAGTATTTTTCTCCTTTCTTAAATCTTCAAAGGGCAGACATCACCCAGAATCAATGGAAATTTCATTCGGCCCTTTCACCTTTTCTCTTATAATGTTCTTATCATTTTTGCTACATGTGAGAAAAACAGAGAGAATGGATTTGAGAAATCATGTCTGAATCAGACATTCAGTGGGACAAGAATCCTTTAATCAAGAACTTCCTAGAAAAGAAAATTATATTCTCAGGGCATCTGCTCTGCTTTGCAGTTCTTAACCATCCATCTGGAGGTGAGGGGGGATATGTATTTAGTTTGTCTTGGACATTGCTTGCTTGTTTCTTTTTTTGCTTGTTTTAGCAACCAGGATTTATCCATAAAACTATCCATGTCCTTTCTTGAATGTCAGGGGCCAGAAGCCTGAAAAATATCTTTTCCAGACTTCCTTGTTTCCAGGGCTTAGATATGATTTACATTCTGCCAGGGAGATAAATTTGTGTAAGATTTAGAAGTACAAGAGAAGCAGAATTCATTGCTTTCACCCTCCAGATCAGTAGTGAATGGATGTGTGGCTTTGACAGATGTGAGATCTTGCAGTGGCCCCCAGCTGTCTCCTTCTTTAAGTTCCCATCTGATACTCCCCACCTGGATGTGGCTGGGGAACAATGGTCATCTGAGAAAGTTTCTCAGTGATTCCTGAAGAGGTAACAGCACAAAGTTCCTGATTTTCTAGACCATACTTGAAAGGTCACACAACATTTGTTGATGTTCACAACGTTGGCCTTTCTAGTGGTTTTATAAGAATCTCAATAACTGTGTTAAAATTTTGGTGCAGCATATTCTTAACTCCTTCCCAGCTTTATTCATAATTGCTCAACCTTAGAAGCAACCAAGATGTCTTTCAGTAGGTAAATAGATAAACTGTGGTACATCCAGACAATAAACTATTATTTAGCACTAAAAAGAAATGAGCTATCAAGTCATGAAAAAAAAACATGAAGGAAGCTTAAATACATACTACAAAGTAAAAGAAGCCAATCTAAAAAGGCTACATACTCTATTATTCTAACCATATGGCATTCTGGAAATGACAAAACTAAGGAGATGGTAACAAGATCTGTGGTTGCCAGGGACTAAGGGGGTTTATTCATTCCACCATAGATAAATAGGTGGAACACCAAGGATGTTTAGAGCATGAAAATATTCTGTATGAGACTATAATGTTGGATACATGGTATCATATGTTGGTCCAAACCCACAGAATGTGCAACCCTAAGAGTGAACCCTAACGTAAACTATTGACGCTGGATAATAATTTGTCAATGTAGTTCATCAATTGTAACAAATGTACCATTGTGGTGTGGGATGTTGATAGTAGGGGAAGCTGTGCATGTGTGGGGATAGAGGGCATATGGGGGATCTCTGCATCTTCAGTGCAATTTTGCTATGAACTAAAAACGTTCTAAAAAATAAAGCCTATTAAGAAAAATTTTTGTGGCCCAAGAATACCTGGCTAAGTAAGGCATCCGTCAGCAAGGTGTTCTAAGCAGGGAAGTGACATGACCTGATTTATATTTTTGAAAAATCACTATACTAAGCGAGGAGAGAATGTAAGGAGACAAGACAAGGAAGAATGGAGTCCGGTTAAGAGAAATTGCCGATAGCCTAGGCAATGAATAATGGTGACAATGGATTAGGATGATGACAGTGAAAGTGGAGAGTAATTTATATTTTAAGTACAGATGACAGGACTTGATTGTCTGGATTTAGAAGACAAAAAGAAGTAACCAAGCATGACTACTAGGTTTTAGGATTTTCCAACAGATTGAATGATTATATCATTTACCAGGACAGAGAAGACTGAGAGGGTGACACGGTCATGAGAGGGAGAGCTGTGAAGAGAGAATACCAAGAGTTCTTTTTTCAGATGTGCTGCGTATAAGAAGCATATGAGCAGTGGTATGCTTGCAAATGTTTAACATTAGTTAAACTCTCCAGGAATAAAAAGATATACAAATAAATTTCAAACAAAGGTTTACTATAAATTTTTCTCATACAAAGATATAGTACATAATTTACATATAATAACAAATGTGAAATACTCTTTATTGTAATGACCATATAGCTAATTGAGCCTCTCAGGAACTTTCACTGGTTTTGCCAGCAGGAAGCCGAAAAAGCTGCTCCTTTTTCAGCCTAAGTTCCAGAATGGGAAGAGGCATGAGAGAAACAATGCCTATGAGTAGGATGTATCAGAAGAACCTCCGTAGCCTACTAAGGCCAACCTTACAAAATATGAAAGATTGATAAATGGGGTTTTAGGCCAATGAGACATTAGAATTACTTATCGTGCAGCATTGAGAGTGATGACAAGAATGGTTTCCAAAACAGTTTCAAAAAAGTGGAGACCAGGATGGAGGTGGTATGTAGAATCTAGACTTGTAAGGAGACAACCCTGAAAACTAGGGAAGCGCAGACTTTACCTGGGGGAAGGAGGGAGGTTTCGTTCAATGGTTGATTGGAGAACATGTTTATATGCATTGTTGAATGATCATAGAGGGTGGGAAACACAGTGATAAAGCAGAAAGGGGGAAAAAGAGCAACAGACATGAATTTGGGGAAGTTAAGGAGGGATGAGACTCATAGGTACATAGGAGGATGGCCTTTGATAGAAAGAGGGATACTTCAACTATTGTGCAAGTAGTGAGGCAGAAACTATGAGTACACATACAACAGATTTGTTAACTGGAAGTATGATGTGAGTTCATCAGCTGACATGATGAGAGAATATGATAAGAAGAGACAAGGAACTAGAATAGTTTACAGAGAGTGGAAAACTAAAGTCACTAGGAAAAGGTAGCAAAATTATCTGATGGAGTTAAGTGCTAACTAAATTTGTGTGTTAACTAACTTAAAGAAAAAGAAGTTAACATGGTTCTGTGATTCTTATTTTTAAAAATATCCAGCTTCTCTAGGATAGTCACAGAAAAGGAAAACAATTTGGTATAAATCAAGTTTAGAATTTTGACAGTTGAATAAATAGGGGAAAAAAGAGGCAAGGAAGTTGAGATTGTTACAGAAGCTATGTAACTGAACTGTGGACTCTCTGATAGGTATGAAGGAAGCAAAAATTAGAGAAGCATGATGGAAAGTAAATATGGATATAAGGTTTTGATTAGATAAAAGGACTTTTGGAATTTGGAAATACTAAAGTAAATGAACTGAAAAAACAGGAGCTGATATAGTTACCAAAGTGACAAGGTTTAGGATATATATGACCATGGTAGTAGAGAACAGATTTTTCAAAATGAGAAGATTCACGATTTAAGAAGTCAGAATGTTGGGTGTGTCATCCATGTGAATGTTGAATTGACCAAAAATAATGACTGCTGTAAGCGTAGAGAGAAAGACAATAATAAGCTGGGAGCTAATTTTTCAGTGAATGAGAGAATCATAAGAAGCTTAGTAGAAGTTGTGGATAGTGAGTGGTGTATACTTCTAAGGAGCTGGGACTCTTGAATAAAAAAGGAAGAAAATGAGATGGAAGAGACACTGATAATCATGGTCCTGGGAGTCACAGGATAGGAAGGAATGAAGGAAGGAAGGAAGGAAGGAAGGAAGGAAGGAAGGAAGGAAGGAAGGAAGGAAGGAAGGAAGGAAGGAGGGAAGGAAGGGGGGGAGGGAGGGAGGGAGGGAAATGGGTTTTTTCAGATGTGACCTTTTGTATTAGTACAAGTTGAGTATAACCTTAAGGGTTACAACTTATCATTGGATGTGCTGAGAAAATTAACAGAACGCTAAAAATATTTTGGGAGACTACAGAAAACTTTCTAAACTATAAAATTGAGGGAAATAGTGTTTGATTTTCAAAAGCAAAAGTCTTCTACTAAAAGATTATTTAAAACTGCTCTGACACGAAGGATAACAAGAACCGAATTCCAAGTGTCATGTGTGGTTTATAAAATCAACCACAGGCACTGTTATCATAAAAGGTTAGGAACCAGTAGGATAAAATACCAAAAAGGATGAAATAAGATTATAATGTGAAACCATTTGAAAAGGTAAATGTTTATATACACATACAAGGTCATCATATTATTATGAAATGCAAGTTGAGCATGAAATAAGAGAAGCTTCAGGCACTTTCCTCTGTAGGTATATTGTTCATTTTTCAGTTGTGTCTAAGCACAGGTTTGAATGCTAATCAGCTAAGTATTTAGGGTGCCCAGCACAGTGGGTTCCACAAGTATTTGCAAGAACAGATTCTGCCCTTATGAGGTCAACTAATTCTGTATAAAAATTACTAGAGGAAAATATAGCATGCAACTAACTATTGAATAGCGTGGCACAGACCACAAATGTAACAAGAATTTAGAAAAAAGATTAATCATTAGTAGTCACAGTAACAATGGATTAGATTATCCTTGCACCAAGCATTGTCTCTCAATTTAATGATTTATTTAAGTGACTTTCATCAGGAAGAGCTTTTGACAAAGGAAAAAGAAATAAAATAAAACTAACTAGAAAACTACAAATGGGCTGGGCGCAGTGGCTCACTCATGTAATCCCAGCACTTTCGGAGGCCAAGGCGGGCGGATCACCTGAGGTCAGGAGTTCGAGAGCAGCCTTGCCAACATGACGAAACCCCGTCTATACTAAAAATAAAAAATTAGCTGGGTGTGGTGATGTGTGTCTGTAATCCCAGCTACTAGGGAGACTGTGGCAGGAGAATCACTTGAACCCAGGGAGGCAGAGTTTGCAGTGAGCTGCGATCACACCACTGCACTCCAGCCTGGGTGACAGAGCAAGACTGTCTCAAAAAAAAAAAAAAAAAGAAAGAAAGAAAGAAAAAGAAAAAAGTGCAAATGAAAGCACATTTTATTACTCTTTTCACTAGAAGGTCACTCTGAAGAGTTATCTGTCGTTAGTAATCATGGTAATGTATTTTGAAAAAAGAAAATCCAACTATCAGAACAAAAACATCAACCATTTTCACCTTTTCAACTCTTGTCAGTAATTTAAGAAACCTTCTACAACCAACCACTCATGTAACTATTTCATTTCATACTCGAAAGAGTATTAAGCGTTCTTGATATCTTCGTTCACTGCACCATGCCCTCTACCCTTTAAGGAATTTATAGTCTAAGTCAAAACAATTAAAACAGATGGAATGTGGCAAACACTGAACAATTGATACTTTCCTTTTCCAAATAAGATATTCAATAAATTATGGGGAGATGTTTCATATTTTAAGAGTTAAAAAAAGAGGAACACCTATAAAGCCAAGTACACCAAGTAGTCTTCAAAGAGGAAGTGGGAGATGAGATTGTGAGTCAAATAAGCAAAAATCTTAACACCAAAGAAACAAACAGTGTAAAAACTAGCTTCCTCAACTGAAGACTGTATAACTTGAAATACTAGGTGATATGTTTGGGTCCTCAAAATTCCACAAAATAAACATGGTACATATTCTAGAACTATAACTTTATTCAATGGCAATTGACTTGAAATGTTTTTAGGTGAACACAAATGTATTATGGAGTAGAATGTAAATGTGTGGAATACTTTTCAAATGATAGATGCAATTGTGTTCTTTGAAATTATCTAGAAATATGAAATAATTGTCCACAAATAATAAGAGTAGTTTATCAGAAAAATTGCAAATTATTTACCAAAACAAAAACACACAGAATTGAGTCTGGCAGTAGAATAAATATATTTTTTAAATAAGATAAAGAACAGAAAAATAACTGGATAAGTAGGTCATTGAAGCCATTTTTATCTCCTGGCACACTGCTACCTACTCCCTAAATTGCATTAGATTTCATATAGTAGAAATATTAAAAGTTGTTTAAGGTTCCTAAGAAGAAACTACAACACGAAGATTAATCTGATACAAATATGCAGGATGGAATAACAGGAAGTGGGAGTGGGAGGGAGGGGTGTCTTGGGAGCACTACAGTAAGAGGATTATTGCAGGAGTCCAAACTTCCACTGATGAAGACATGGATTGAAATGAAGCGCGTATGTGCTCACAGTTAACAACAACAACAAGAAAAGGCTGGAGAAAACAGCGGTAAGAGCACTATGAGATAAATATGAAGACTAAATATACAGTTAACAACAACAACAACAAGAAAAGGCTGGAGAAAACAGAGGTGAGAGCACTATGAGATAAATATGAAGACTAATTATAATGTAAAATTTGAGTTCTGCCTGTAGATAAACCTCTCAATCTTATTAATCAAAAGAACTTCAGGTAGTATGGGATAATGTAGCTAATTAAATGCTGTATTTATATTTTCTGTCTCTTAAATCTCAAGCAAGAAACACATGAAGCTAAGATAGCTCTATGTCCCCTTTGCCACTTTCACTAGATTTCACCTGTGTCTATGCCTGGACGCCAGAGGTGGGGGCAAGAAGCAGGCCTCGCTGGTGTGGCTTGGCTCTGGCAAGAAGACGGCTGCTTGGACAGGTGATGCTGGTCATTCCCAGACTAGCAGCTCATTAGGAGAAAGAGGGAGAGACAGATGGGCCCCACTGGTCAGCTCTGGTTGCTGAATTTAATGTATTCACTGGTGAAAAAGTAACAGTGGCCTAACAGTTAACACATAGGCCAAGAATACGAGACTGTCAGACTGCACGATGCTATTAATTTTGAAAGTGGGAGCATAATTGGCTACCACTTACCACCTGTGGTTGATGTTAGTGCTTCAATAAAGGAGAAGAAAGATAATCTGAGGCTAGTGATTTTAGAGACTTAGCAGCTTCCAGCTGAGTCTCTTAAAGACAGTGTTGACAATTTTATTATAAACCTCTCCTAGAGGGGTTTCTCACTTTCACCTATAATTTGTCATCTCCTTGCACTCATGTGACTAATACTTTGCTTAAATCACTTTTGCCGTATTTCAAAAACAGAGAACCCAAAAGTGGCTTTTTTAGTGGAGCTGAGATCACATGCGTGTTTCTTTCTTTGCATTATTCTAATATAAAAGCAGTGGCAGAAAGCAGGAAAGAGAGTCTGAGAGTGATTTCAGCTGCTCTTCACCCATTTACTTGTTTTATGAGAATAAGCCTTCAACAGTGTAAAAGAACTTTTTATAAGAATTTTAAGGTTCTGTATGGTATAATTTCTCCTCATACTGTGACTCTCACTGATGTCACACTCATACTTCTCTGGCATGACAGAAAGGGGATCATGACCTTCTTTCCGCCAGCCATAATGAAGCCAAGATCATTGTATATAACAAAATATACTACAGAAAGAGTAAGATTTAATCTAACATTAAAACACTCACCTTTCATGGAAAGTAATGATTCATGTCACATAAAGTTCAGAGGGGCAGTAGGTCCAGGGTAAAACTGAATTCCAAACATCTTTTACAAATTATTTGATCATTGAATAACTACTTCTATTCCTGAACAAACTGTTCTTTCTTCTATTTCTCTGCCTTTGCTCAGGATGTACCCTTTGATTGAAAAAGTGTCTCACACCTTACTCCCTTCTCCCTAAGTTACCCTTCTCAACCAAACAAAAAGGAAAAACTAGCACACAGTAAGCATTATGTAAATATCAGCTACTAATTCATCATTATTATCTTTAAGGATTGTTTAAAACATTATACATAATAGACATAAAATGCCTGCATAGTTGGTCTCCCACAAAAGAAATGCTTACTAAGTGGTTATTATTATTAGCATATAATTAAGACTTCTTTCCATGTCTGTCTCCCTAGCAGTTAGGTACTTAAGGGTATGCATGATACCTTCATGTATTCATTTAACAAATATTTGTTAAACATCTGAAATGTGCATGGCATTGTGATGTGTACCAGTGGAGATACTTGGAGGACCAGCCAGTTAGGGTTTCAGAATTTCCTAAACTACCTGTCTGAGTTATTAGTACCCCTGTCATTTTTTGTATTTCCTATCACCAGGCACTTTTCACACTTTATTTAAAATATCTAATTGTTTGTCGTGTGGAGTCAGAGAATGCTTTCCTTGCCTTATTAATTATTGTGCCAATTTCATAAATATGAATTGATCAACTTATTAAGCCTTCTGCTTTTATATCTAGAAATCATCATTGTATCTATAAAACATTAACGCATTCATGAAAATTTTCTCCTATAGTTATTAGCCTTAGTTTACAAATTATCAAATTTTTGAACTAGCAGATTATATATGTTATTTTTGTTAACAAATTTTCAATAACCCACATACATGATTGGTTAAATACTGAAAATATATTTTGTGTATATAGCCTTTTATGTTTTCCAGAATACAAAAAGAAAGATAGGAAGTTATATGAAGATATTATTTCCAGGTTGTGATGTGAGATACTTTTTTCAGTTCAAGATCTAAGTCATTTGGAAGATAACAGTAAAGTAAAATCATAAACTCCAAATTATCATTTGCTAGGTGAGACTTCCCAGGGATCTCTGGATAAAAAATTAAGTGGACCTTCAATCCAGGTTTCTTTTATCAGGGTCAATAGCCCCTAATTTTCATCATAACACTCAGACTAAACCACTCAAGCAACTTTTCAGCTTAGAGAATAAGTAATTGCTATATATTCATCTTAAACTCTACTCACATTTTTAATGGAGAAGGGAAGTTACAATTCCACACTAATTGCAGTCACTGAAAGTAAAAGACGAACTTTTAGTATCTTTATTTTATCCCCAACCTCTATACCAAAGCTACTTTTTAAAACAGGAGATTTGAAGGGCTTTCAGAGAAAGAAATTTATATCAGAGTCTTAAGCTGCCAAAACAGATGCAAGCAAAGAAGACATGTCTATACATCAGCAGAAATTCTGCACATATTAAAAGATAGGTAAAAATTAACAATCTTACAGTAATTAATTTCAACCTTTGTTAGTTGATATAATAAATAACATCATTATATGCATGTAATCTTCTTCAACAATAGAACCTATTTTAAAGACTTTTAAGATATAGAAATAGTTTTAGTTTTTAAATCCTCTTAAGAATTTTCTAAAATTCATCTATATGTTCTGCTCACACTTTCTCTCCATTAAGACAAATCACATATTCTTTGATAATATCACATCATTTCCACTGACATACTAATGGATCCCACTGTGTGTTACAAGTTTATGGCTATATGATTCATTTCTATGATAATCTCGCTTTCATTAATATAACAGCTCCAAATGTAGTACATCAATTCCTGAGATATCCACATTCACATCCTAATGACTTTTTCATCCCTTAATGGGTTTTAAAAGAGAAGAGTCACATTGTTCTGGAAAAAAAATAATAAACCTCACTAGGAGACTTAAAGACTTAAATCAGCTACATTACTAGTGTCCTCAGCAAAATGGTAATGATTCAAGAACGTAGTGATCCAAAAATTTGCATACATGCAGAACATTTCCTCAGCTCTCAAAGAACATAACAAAAAACCGACACTATGGAGAATAAAAATAAATTTTCAAAGTAATTCAGCACATATTGTTACCTATTCTAGATTTTAGTAATTGTACTGTGAAGATACTTAGTCTGGTATTGGTGGGCCTGGGAAATTATAGGTGGGCTTCAAAAAGTCAGTCCCCTGATGGTATAGAAGTAATATGTTATATATGTGTATATTTATGGAGATAGTACACATCTTTCATCACATTCTAAAAATAGTCTTCATGATCAATACACATACAAATATATATAAAGACCTCCTTGTTTGTCTACTTTTATAACATAAACTAGAAGAAAACAGATTGAGTGCTTAGACTGTAGGAAGTGATTCATATGTAAATAGACTATGGGAGGAAATGGAAATAGTACTTTTAGCCCTAATCATCTGTATCACGAGTACCAATATGAATTTGGAATTTTAAAAAAGAGAATGATACAAAATTATAGTTTTGACTTAAGGCAGAAATATGAGTTAAAATTATAATACAGCAATAGACGATTATACCATTTTCATAAAAAACAGACCTGTTGATATTTTCATGGAAATAAGTTGGAGAGTCTGTGTTCAATGCTGAAAGCAAATGGAAGTAAAAATCTATGTAAAGAGGTTGAAGACATTTTTATCTTAAGAGTTGGCGTGGGGCCGGGCACGGTGGCTCACGCCTGTAATCCCAGCACTTTAGGAGGCCAAGGCGGGTGGATCACGAGGTCAGGAGTTCGATAGCAGCCTGACCAACATGGCAAAACCCCGTCTCTACTAAAAATATAAAAATTAGCCAGGCGTGGTGGCACGCATCTGTAATCCCAGCTACTCAGGAGGCTAAGGCAGGAGAATTGCTTGAACGCAGGGGGCGGAGGTTGCAGTGAGCCGAGATGGTGCCACTGCACTCCAGCCTGGGCGACAGAACGAGACTCCTTCTCAGGAAGAAAAAAAAAAGTTGGCATAATAATTCCTTTTCTTGTGGGATCTATCCTTGAGAAAAATGTCCCACTTTGGGGAAAACCTATCTGAAGACCAAAACATGGGAGGAAAGAGATAAATTCATCCAAATAAGACAAAGAGATGGTTTTTAATCAGAGAGAAAAAGGAATACAAGAGGAGCAGGAGAAAGAACTTAGAGAGGATGAAAAATTGAAAAAGTTTGGAAATTAAGGCCAATAAAACTTCCTGATGGAAGAATAGGTAAATAAAATTAACAAAAAAAATGATGCACAAGAGCAGATAGAAGTTTTTTGGGGATACACTTACACAATTTTGGTGGTCCTTGTTAAAAAAAAAAAACCCAGAATTTTAAATCTCTAATTAGGGAACAAATCTTTGGAGGAAACATGTAAATTAGGGCCCCTAAAGCCACAGCTTTATTAGTTTCATGGAAATTCAGGACAAGTCATGTCTAACATTCCATTTGAATTTCTTATATGCAGAACATCTACTAAAATTCATGTCTTCCATCATGCACCCATATGTTCATCACAATGCTATTCACATTAGCAAAGACATGGAATCAACCTAGATGGCCATCAATGGTGGATTAAACAAAGAAAATGCAGTACAAATACACCATGGAATACGATACAGCCATAAAAAATACATTTCCAACAATGTGGATACATCTGGAAACGTTTATCCTAAGCAAACTACCGCAGGAACAGAAAACCAAATATCATATGCTCTCACTTCTAAGTGAGGGCTAAACATTGGGTACAGATGGATACAAAGATGGAACCAATAGACACCGGGGACTACAAAAGGGAGGAGAAGGGAGCAGGAAAGGGGTTGAAAAACTAACTTTTGGGTACTATGCTCACTAGCTGGGTGGGGAATTCATTCATACACCATTTCCCAGCATTGCATAATATACCTTTGTAACAAACCTGCACATGTACCCACTGATCCTGAAATAAAAGTTGAGACAAAAAGTTCATGTCTTCCTTACTAACAAGTTTATCTTCCTGGCAGGCATTGAGGCATTGCATTAGACAGGAGATGCAAGGGTTCCGATTTTCATGGAGGTAATATAACATGATGGTTAGGATACCAGGGAGTCACTGCAGCCCTCATAAGTTATGTGATTTTTTTGTCAAGTTACTTAATATTCTATGATTCTCTTTCCTCATACATAAGATGGGGATAATATAGGACCTACTTCATGAAGCTATTGTGAAGATAAAGTAAAATAATATTTAAACACTTGATATTGTGTATTAAAGCTAGTAAGTGATGAGTGAAGCTATTATTATTACCTGTACTACAACTATTTCCATCTCTATTACAAGCCAATGAACTTAACATTATAACAAGAAGGACCCTAATCCTGGGCAATATAATGGTAGCCCTTGGAAGACTAACCAGGATCTTCTATCTCTAACAATACATTAAATTCATTTCCTTCTTAGAGAGACTGGAGCGATGGCACAGGGAAAGATGGAAGGCATAATATATCAGGAATTCAGGTTGAATTGCAAAGTTCAGGAATAATTATTGTGCTGGTTAAATGACATAGTACTTATTAATCTACTAGAGAGAGTTTTGTGAAAGGTTTCCAGAAATGTGCCACACTACTCCACTCTTAGCCTTGAACTCTTTACTTTTAAATGCTTGGATTAAGACAGAAAAGAAAAAACGATGTGCTCATATTCTAGGGTGAAATAAAGTCACTAGAATATGCACTCCTTGAGAGCAAGCACCTCACTTTCTTGTCTACCATGTGTATCTAATGCAGATGCTCAATAAATATTTTGTCAATGAATGAAAATCCAAAACAATTTTAGTCTGGATAAACTTAACCTTTATTTTAAAAAAAAGTGATAAATATAACATTTTTGACATTTAATTTTATGGTAACTTGAGAGAGATAAGGCAATTGAGCTGAAGCATATGTTAGAAAGAAGAAAAAAAGGTTTTATTTGACACTGAACACCATTTATTCAATGTTATAATAAAATCCCCAAAGCTTCCTCAACCCTGGGCTCTATTAATGTCTGCTCTGTAACTAGGGACAAAAGACTGAGCTAAGCTACTCCCTAATGGTTCCAAGTCTATGCAGTACATAAATTGCACTCAGTTCTCAAAATCGTATTTGAATAGAAAAAGAAGACACAGCAAAGTTACCAACAATCCAAATAATAAAGGTTCTATAAAACAAGTCAGGTAAGAAACGGTTAAGGAAATTATGGAGTGTATCCTGGAGAAGACTATAAAATAGCATGCTACTCTTATATAAACTTGTGAAAGCACAGACATCCGCATAGCTCCAGATTTAGAGAGATAGGATCAATAAATATAATCTATAGGAAAGCAGAGTTGGAATCAATAAAAGGTAGAACAAATATTTCTAACAAGGAACTAATTCAAATCATAATGGTTTTGAGAGGTTGTAAGTTCTTTCCAATGAAGTTTCCAATCCTTACTTCCTTTATTTATTCATTCATTCAAGTAAACGTTTAGTGCCTCTCTACATGTTTGATATGATCAGTCTCTGTTTAACAGCAATTTTATTCCCTAATTCCTATTCATATTTTAGGTCTAAGCTTAAATTTTATTTCCTTAGACTTTTCCTGATCTCAAAATTTAAATAAAATCTCTCTCTCTTTCATCAGATTTACTGAAGTATAATTTACACACCATGAAATACACCCACTATCAGTGTAACAGTGGGTTTTATTAAATTAATATATGTTTAAAAACAACATTCCAATTCTATTTTAAAACATTTCCAAAAAGTTCCAGCATGACGATTTGTTGGCAGTCTCCACTCCCAGCACCAGGCAACCACTGATCTGCTTTCTATCTCTACAGTTCTGTCATATGTAGAAACTTACAGGTTGAATCATTACATACATAAGTATTCTTTCACTTAAGATGTTTCTGAGGTTCATAAATGTTACATGCACCACTGTTTTGTTCCTTTTCATTTCCAGAAAATATTCCATTGTAAGGATATGCTTCATTTTGTTCACATATTCATCAGTTGGATATATTTGGATTGCTTTCAGTTTCGAGCTATTATGAACAATGCTACTATCCACATTAACATAGAAGTCTCTGTGGAAAGATTTGTTTTCATTTCTATTGGGTAAATACCTAAAGGTAAAATTTCTACATCACATGGCAAGTGTATGTTTAACTTTATAATGATATAATAAAACTGCTTTCCAATGTGGCTGTGTTACATTCCATTTCCATGAACAATGTATCAGGATTCTCATTTCTCTATATTCTTGACAGCACTTGGTTTTCTCTGTCTTTATTCATATATTCTGGGTACAAGTCCTTTCTCAGATATATGATTAACATATACTTTCTCAAATTCTCTGGGTTGTCTTTTCTTCTCTCTTACTAGTGTCTTTTGAGGAATAAACATTTAATTTTTAATTTAAAGTCTAATTTACCATTTTCCTTCTATGGATCTTGCTATTGATGTCAAATCTAAGACCTCTTGGCATAACTCAAGAACACAAAGATTTTCTTTGTGTTTTCTTCTAGAAGTTTTATACTTTTAGTGCTTACATTTAAGAATATGATCCATTATGGGTTAATTTTTGTTACTGGTGAAGCAAGAGTTTTAATTCCTTTTTTTGTTTTATTTTGCTTTGCTTTTGGCATAAGTTATCCAAATGTTCCAGAACTGTTTGTTGAAAAAAAAGTCATTTCCCAATACAATTACCTTGGCACTTTTGCCAAAATCAATTAGCCATAATGATGATAAGTATGCCAAAATCATGGACACCTATATATTCCTTATTGTGCATAACAATTATTGAAAAATGCATGTCTTTCACAAGCAGAAGCATGACAATTCATATGCATTCAGTTTGTTCAATAAACAAGCAACTGTTGTATATTTACAATGCAGGAAATTTTGTAAATATAAAAGTAAATGAGACATAGAATCTGCTACCAAAAAAAAAGTTTATAATCTAGATTAGGAAGTGAAAAAGGTCTCAAGGGGGCAAACATAAAGTGGAATGAATACTTAGGTAGAAAGAGGTTACCTCTATCTGAGGATACCTGCATAGGCTCCATACAGGCAGTGGCATTAGGGACAGAACTTGACAGATGGGTGGGATTGAATTCTACAGAAATAAGTTGAAGGGCATTTCAAAGAGGATAAAGCCTGGACACAGGCAAGGTGGCAAGAGAGTGGGGAAAGGGGAAAGTGGGGTGATACATAAGAAATATCCAAAAGAAGCAAGATTGTAATATGGAAAATAAATTTGAAAAGGTTAGTCCCACACTAAAGAATTGGATTTTATTTTCTAAGCAATAGGAGCAATGGGAGTTACTTAAGGTTTATGAGCAGAAAGATGTCATGATTGATGCTTATATCTGTGCTAATACAAGTAAAAAACTTAAACATTTACCACCATTTCTAAAATTATTTAATTTCATGTAGGAGATGCTATAATTCAGTTCTTGTTCTAACAGTTTCTGTGCTTATTATTTACCTGATACTGATTAAATTAGAATAAATTATTTAGATTTGAAAATTCTAAGTTCATTCATCTATTCATTCAGCATATATTTATTAAGTGTCTTCCATATGCTAGGCACTGGACATGTACTGGTTTAAAAAGAAATATAAAGGTGTATGTTCACACTTCATGAAGTATATTTACATACACATACATAATATACTCACACATCACACATGTAGATTTAAGTATATTAACTAAATCATAATGATTGTTAAAGAGCAATAGCATCTTATATTTAAATAGGTTTTAAATTTTATTTAAAGCATTGAAATTTTATTTTACATGTACATTAACCTATTTAATCTTCATGAAAGCTATTTTAAGACAGTATTACAGGCCTCACTTTACACAAGAGTATTAAAGAACACAAAATTAACTTCATACAAGATCATAAAATTAGAAAGTCAATCTGGGTTAGACAGCTCTAACCCAGATCTCTTGATTCTAAACACGGTACTCTTACCATAGCATGTAGAGGTTTTAAATTATAAATTTTTCTTAAATTAATATGGAGAAATTTATGTCAGGCTTAATCCATGGCATAATATGCAACACTGAAAAAACTATCCTGTCCATTTTGGTACATGTCTTGGCCACTTTATTCTTCCTACTCAAACAGCCATCCCACACCACTCACACACACACTGCAGAAGAATGCTTAATAAATGCCACTGTGGTCTAATTCTGACTGCTTGGCCCTGTGGGTCACACACACCACTATCTCACACTCCAAGCAGTAAGGAGAAGATTTGGTGTCTTAAGAGAAAAGTTGTTTGTCAAGAAGTTTTAAAAGCTCAGCTCCAAAGCCTCTCAGGGTAGGAAGAAAAGAAAAAAAGAATTAATTGAGAGCAGAGAAAACCTGGTGAGGTCTGTAAACAGGTCAAAGATTTTTAATTGCTTAAAAACTGTTGAACTTGGCCCTAAAATATATCCTTAATTCAGGAAGGCCAGCCTCAAAGGAGATTCATTCTGGAATCACATATAAGAACCAAGATGTTGAGGTTTAATGCTTCCTAAAAATAAATGATCATTTTTCAAAGCCACAGTCTTGCTGTTGCCATAACACTGTGATTTTAGTTGGTCTTGGAGAACTAGATTTTTCTTTTTAGGTATCCCACTTATGTTTTCTCAGAAACATTTAGAAAATTTCTAGTAATACCAATGGTATTATATTAGAAATTTACTTTAGCATAAAGTTAATGTTTTCACTAAGGAAACATTAAGAGTTCTTCCAGAATCATAAAAGTCTACATGAGAGTTATCACATGCATGCCTTCATTTTGATTCATAGTATTTTGGGATTTCTTAGGAGCAAGAGCCAAATAGCTTAATCTAGATCAAATGGGGAGGAAAATAAATTCCTGACTGCACCTCACATATGGCAAAGAAGCAGAATGCTAAGAAACTACTAAGTGAGAATAGTCCTAGAACATGTATGACACATTGAAAGGCTTAAGAGGAGTGCAGATTCCTGAAAAAAAAATAATTTAAACAAAACATTTTTGCATTTTACACTTTTGTGTCTAGAAATTGTATCTCTTTTTAAAATTAAACTTACGTAATCATAAGGATAACAAAAATGGTAACTAGTTTACTCTGGGAAATTAGCATAGCATAATCTCTTGAAAAAAATAAGCATATTGGTTTTTTATTTTGAAATAATTATATATTCATAGAAAGATTAAAAAAGAAGTTGAAGAGGTCTCATGCACCTTTTATCCAGCATCCTTTAATTTTAACATCTTGCATAACTATAGTACAAGATCACAAGGAAACTGATACAACCCACAGAGTTGTTTCAGAATTTGCCAGTTGTGCATGCATTTGTGTGCGTGTGTTTATATTTGCAGGCAATATTATCACATGTATATATTCAGGTAACAACCATCACAATCAAGATATGGAACAGTTATATCTAAAGATTCCCTTGTGGTGGTTCTTTAAAGCCACATCCACTCTCCCATTTCTAACCTTTTGTGGCAACAATTTGTTTTCTATCTCTGTAGTTTTGTTATTTCAAGAGTGTTATGTAAGTGAAATCATGCAGTATGTAACCTTTTATGATTTTACTGGGCATTATTCTCTAGTGATTTTCAGTAGTTTTTTCTTCTTAATTGCTGAGTAGTGTCCCACAGTGCAAATGTACTACACTTTAACCATTCACTCATTAACAGACATTTGGCTATTACCAATAAAATTGCTGTAAACATTCATGGACAGGTTTTTGTTTAGACATATGTCTTCATTTCTCTGAGCTAAATGTCCAAGAGTACAATCAATAGGTCACATGGTAATCGCATGTGTTAAACTAAATTAAATTTGGCCTAAATCGGCTGCCATACTAAGGGAACCGCAAGCAAACTTAGTATGTAAACAAACTGAAACCTAACTCGAGAATATATTTCTGTAATCAGAATCTACCGTAACGAGAGTCATAGCCAATCACCAGCAGCCAAGCTGCAGCCAATCACAGGCTGCCAACTGATCAGACCATGTGAACATAAGGCCAATGCTGAGCTGTAAACAACCAAGCTGTTTCTATATGTTACTTTCTCTTTCTGTCTATAAATAATGTCTGCCCACATTGTTGGATGGAGTTCTCCAAATCTCTACTGGCTCAGGGTGCTACCCAATTCATGAATTGTTCTTTGCTCAGAGTTTACGTGATCATTTGCTAAACTAAGTTTATCTAAAGTTTTTTCTTTAACACAGGCTGATTTTTATAAGAAACTGCCAAACTATTTTCCATAGCGACTGCACCATTTTACATTTCTACCATCAAAATATGAGTGATCCCGTTTCTCAGAATCCTCATCAGCATCTGGGGCTATCACTGTCTTCTAGCCATTCTGACATGGGCATAGTTATATTTCATTATGGCTTTAATTTTTATTTCCCTAATGTTTAATGGTGTTGAATATTTTTGCATGAGATTATTTGCCATCTGCATACCCTCTTCAGTGAAGTGTCTGCTACTCATTTTCTGACTGGGTCATTTGTATTATTGTTGAGCTTTCAGTTATTTGTGTATTCTAGCTACAAGATATTACAGATATTTATATTTTTGGTCAGATATGTGGCTAGCAAGATTTTCTCCAGCACATAATTTAAAAAAAAAAAAAAGAAAAGAAAGAAAAGAAAATTGGGAGACTGTTAGATGTGATATGCAATTAAATTATTTCTTCCAGGGAACATGAGAGACAATCAGTACTCATGAGTTTTTGTCAGAAATACAGAGAACACACAGGAATTTCAGGGTTTGAAAAAATAATAAAGAGCATCTGAGAGTAAGAAATTCCTATCATATTTTGTCATCATTCTCAAGATTAATCTCTTTGTGGCCCCATGACTAAAAGCATCAAGCAGCTATGAAAACTTGTCTCTACATCCAGTTTCTGTGACTGATATTCCATATAACCTCAGAAGGTAGCTCTTTTTCATAGAAATGTGTTTATTCGATATATGAGAATTACATTACTTCTGGGTTTGTATAATACTCTAAATCTAGAAAGAGTAGTATCTCCAAAATTTTTCTTCTGACACAATGAAAATATTACTGGTTCTAATGTATTCTGACTTTGTTACAGTCACTAAAAATAAGCCAACCTGAAATTCTCCAACCCCTAAAATTTTATTTCAAAATGGCATACTAATTCATAAATTTATTTTAAATTTTACCTCAAAATCCTGTAACACAGAAAAAATATAATTTGAAATTAATATTTTTCTTCAAAAATCATGAAACAAAACTTACTGTTAAAAGGACTAGAAAACAAATATTAAATGCCTTTTAGTACAATTAAAAGAGAGCTTTCATTTTAATTTTTGATAGACAATTTATGCATCAGGAGATTATCAGACATACTAGAAATGACCTGTGATTGTTTTTGACTCTCAAATCAATATCCTCACCACATAAATGCTAACTTTAAGCAAAATTTTATATACGCCATAAAAATGTAGCTTATACATTTTGTTTATATAGCATCATTTAGTTGAGAAATGGTATGAAATAAACTTGTTTTACATTAACATTCTTGGGTTTTATTTATATGAGTAGTGCTATTGGACATATTCACTGTATAAATGCCAGTGAATGATTTTAGAGTGTGTGTAAGTGTATACGAAATTTATTAGGGTGGAAACAGTAGTATGTTTTCAAATAATCGACATAGAATGTCTGAACAGTGAGACATGACATCAGTGTGAGTCAAAACAAAATAGAAGTCCAAGACAACTTTAGAAGACAGAGAAATCAATTAAAAAGTGTTTAAAAATTGGATGATTCTTGGAACTGGGAACAGGCGTCTGCGCTACTTGGTGACTTGTTGATAAGCAAGAACATGCCTAAAGCTAAGGAAAAAATAATGGTAGTCTGCCACCTAGAGGGCAGTTCAGTCATTTTTAACAGCGTGATATATTTTAATTGCATTGTTCTGGACCCCAGATCCACAGGCACAGAAAACCTTCCCAGCAATTTTAACTTTTGCATTAAAAGGGGGGATTTTTTTCCTTCTGAGAAAGGTTCAAAAAGCTAATCTTTTTAGCTGCCAGGAAGTGAACTGTATTCTGGTGTGTGGAAAGCATAGAAAGAAAGCCATTGCAAGCTAAAAGCCTAATTTAATGGTTTTCTGTGTCAAGCAGAATTTGGTAAAAAAAAAAAAAAACCATCCAGAATCAGACATTACATGGAATTGAGTTTGAAGATGTGCTTGATCTTGTTAAGGATGAACAAGATTGGAGATCAAGTGTGGCTTGGAGAGGAACTACATAATGGCCAAACATTGTTATATAGTTTCATTTAAAATCTGAAATGGTAATTTTTTCCTGAGACATCTCTGAATAAGCACTTACAAAATGCTTTTAAAAGGTAATTCTACAAGATAAAATGGTCTTTCTGCACTAAAAAAAATTTTTAATCTCATATTTCTAGAAAAATAAATAAGGAATACCACATTATTTACTATAACTTTTCGTGCCTTTTGTTTCTCATTGTTTCAATTATTCAGGTCACATAAAAGAAATAAGTTGAGATGGACACACGATAAAATTTAATTCAAGGAATGACAATTTAATAAATATTTAAAGGTTATTTCTGTCTCAGTCTACTACTTCTCACCACTAGCAGCAAGCAATCTGTACTCTACAACAGAATACATGTATTCACACAAATCTGACAATTATACAGTGGCAAAACACGTCTAGTGTTTCACCATTTGCAACATTAAGGTGGTTTTTTTGCTGAAAATTGCTGCTGTAGGCAGTCACTTTAAATATATAACATACAAAACTATAAAACTTTTAGAAAAAACTAGGAAAACATCATCAGGACATAAGGGTAGGTAGAAGAAAAGCTCTTAGACTTGATATGAAAGTATGATTCATAAAATAAATGATTCATGAATCGTAAAATAATTTTTTAAATAATTTTAAATTTTTAAATAAATTTATAAATTTATTCATAAAATAAATTGGACATCAAAATTTAAAATTTTGCCCTGTGAAAATCCTGTTAAAAAGATGAAAAGACAAGCTAGAGATTAGAAATAAATATTTACAAATATGTGACAACTAATATCTAGGGTATGTAAAGAACTCTCAAAATTTAACAATTTTTTAAATTTAATTAGAAAATGAGCAATAAACATTTCACCTAAGACGATATACAGAGAGCAACAGAGCACATGAAAATATGTTCAACATTATTAGACTTTAGGGAAATTAAAATTAAAGCCAAAATGAGATATTACCAGTCTATCAGAATGGCAAAACAGGAATAACAATAAATGATTGTAAGGATGCAGAAAACTTTATCTCTTATGATTTTCTTATGAGATAATAATTTGGCCACTTCTTATAAAAATAAACATGCAACTATATGTAACCCAGCAATTGCACCCTGGGGCACTTATCAGAGAAAACTAAAAATTTATTTTCATGGCAAAATGTGTAAATATTTATAGCAGCTCTATTTGTAAGAACCAAAAAGTGGAAACTACCCAAATGCCTGCCAATGGGTGAATGGTTAAACAAACCATGGTACATCCATACAATGGAATACTACTCAGCAATAGAAAAGAATGAACTATTGATGCAGGAAACTTGGATGGATCTCAAGGGAATTATGCTGAATGAAAAAGCCCAGTCCCAAAAGTTATATACTGTACGATTTCATTCATACAACATTCTTACAATGATAAAATTATAGACATAGAGAAAAAGATTAGTAGTTATGAGGGATTAGGGAGTGGAGTGGAGACGGAGGGAGAGTGTGGATAGAAAGGCCAACACGAGGAATCCTTATGGCAACAGAACTGTTCTCCACCCTGACTGTAGTGGTAGTTATGAGAATCTACACATGTGAGAAAATTTGATAAAACCAAAGACATATGCACATATACATGAATATGTGTAAAACTGGTGAAGTCTGAATAAATCTACCAATGTCAATTTCTTGGCTGTGATATTGTAGTATAGTTATGCAATATGTTACCACTGGAGAAAAATGGGTGGAGGGTATATTTCTTACTAATACATTTGCATCCGCAGTTATCTCAAAATTGAAAGTTTAAGAAAAAAGAATAAAAGCAACTAATAAGTTCAATAAAGTGCAGAATATATAAGATATGAAGCAAACTTAATTTTCTCATTAAATATGCAGTTCAGTGGAAAAAGGATGTAGCAAGACTACATGTAACCTACGGTAAATGTATATGTTTGTATATTTTCAACATTATTCTCTGTTAAATCTTTAAAAGTTTTACTAATGAAAATGCAAATGGACTAATTTCTTCACTTTTCCATATTTGTTGTTAGAAGAATTACTAAAACTGGGCAAAATATTAATAACTCACACAGTAGGGAGGAAGAAATCCAGTATGTAGTAGACACTTCAATAATAGGCCTGAAGTGAGATAGCTATCTATCCTTAGAAAGGACTATTTGCAAGGTGGGCCATTGGATTTCTGGAGTGTTCCTACCATTCTTTAACAGATAAAGGTGATACACTGTACCTAAAATATTCATACAAACAATGTGATGTCTACTGAACACCTGTTTTTCTTCTGGGAGTCTAGAATTTGGGTATGTAGTAAGTAGAGGATATTTAGATGACCAGTCACCAATAAAAGCCCTGGGAACTGAGTCTCTAATGAGCTTCTTGGGTAGACAACATTTCATGTATATTCTCGCAACAGATTGCTGAATGAATTAAGCACATCTTGTGAGACTCCTTTGGGGAGGAGCCTTGGAAGCTTGAGCCTGGTTTTCTGTGAACTTTCTCCATGCACCTTTTTCCTTTGCTGGTTTTGCTTTGGATCATTTTACTATAATAAATCTTACCATGGCTATGGCTCTATGCTGAATCTTATTAGTCCTAGTAAATTTTGGAATCTAAGGTAGTGTTGGGGCCCCTTAACCATTTGGATAATAAGAATAAAAAGGAAGAAATGCACTCTGCCTTATGACCTCTAGTTCTCAGTCTAACAGGCCACCCCATCCAGTTTCCAACTTACTATTCTGAGATTATATCACTGGGAAGATTCAAATCAACATTAAAAATCTCTTTGTGTAAATCCTATCAAGGCTGAGCTAGGGATTAAATGGAGCTCCTCTGTATGAATTTTGAAGTAGCTATGCCAACTTTTAACTTCACAGACAAGAAGGCTACTTTATTATTTAAGCACATGGATAAACACAATCTCTCATTCATATCAAAGTTTTCTTTCAAGCACCTTTGACCATCATTTTTCTTATCTCCAATTAGCATAAACTTCACAGAATTTTTTTTTTGATACAGGGTCTTCCTCTGTCACCCAGGCTGGAATGCAGTGGCATGGTCACCACTCACTGCAACCTCAACCTCCTGGACTTTAGATCCTCCCACCTCAGCCTCCCGAGTAGCTGGTAGCTAGGGCTACAGGCACATGCCACCACACCCACTAACTTTTTTCTTTTTTTGGTCTAGACATGATTTTACCATGTTGCCCAGGCTGGTCATGAACCCCTGGGTTCAAGCAATCCGCCCACTTCATCTTCCCAAAGTGCTGGAATTACAGGCATGAACAACTGTGCCCCATCAGAAATATATTTTTTAAAATAAAGAATAATATATATCTAGAACTGCAGAAACAAATGAATTTTTTATTTGTGGTTGTTTAATTAAAATAAGTGCACAGTAAATAGGAAAAATATATACACAAAATCCTGGTGACCTGAAATAGAGTGATGTAAAGAAAGACTGGCCCATATATTTACCTCATGTGCATCCCAAAACTCGGGGGAAATGACAAATATATTTGAGAATAAATCCAAAAGTGTTGGAAAAACAAGGGTGGGTGTTATCAGCAGATCAGAATCAGATGGGTTGGTTGAGATTGATGGGGAAAAAGAAACAACCATGAAACCTCCTATCCCAGTGCAGGGGAGAAGAGGGGCTGATGGAGATGTTTTCTGGCAATCTACCTGGAGATCAACAGTGTCCATATCATGTGCTTTCTGTTCTCTACTGTAGCTTTTCCATGGCAAGTAAGTTCATAAGGCTGACTTCTCTCATCCAGCTTTAACATCAATGAAACAAGCATTTTGTTCTCTATTTAGCTCTTTCATATATTTCTCCTTTACTTCAGAACCTGTAAAGAATGGGTGTGGTCAGCAATCACATGGAGACTCTACCTGTGATTTACACAGTGTCTACCACAGTGTTGCCCTCACAGGAGAAATTTAGCAAATGCTAAATGATTGACCAAAAAAAAATTCCTTGTCAATCTTTCAGAAATGGTCACAATTTAAATTTTACAGGTTAATGCATGTTCTTACTTATTAGTGGGAGCTAAACATTAAGTACTCATGGGCATAAAGATGGCAACAACAGAAACTGGGGACTTCTGGAGTGGGGGAGGAAGGGAGGGATAGCAAAGTAACAAGCCTATACATGCACCTTCTGAATTTAAAATAAAAGTTGAAAAAAAAATGTTATAGGCTGACTTCTTAATATAAATATGTAGCCAGGCCTTGGCTTCCAAAAGACTTTTCTAATTTTGTTTTTCTTAGAGGTAGGGTCTCATTATATTGCCCAGGCTGGAGTGCAGTGACCACTCACAGGCACAATCACAGTGCACTATGGCCTCAAACTCCTGGGCTCAAGCAATCCTCCTGCCTCAGCCTCCAAGTAGCTGGGACTACAGGCACATGCCACCACATGCCCAGCTTGCCTAAGTTATTTTAAACTTATTAGTTTTATATTGTAAAAACATTACTCTAAAGAATTAAGCAATTTTCTTAATCACAAAATATGGTAATATTAATGGTCCAATTTTTACTTTATTTTACATATGATTCCAATGAAAACAGTTTTACGTATGGTAAAATTTCAAAAAGCCACAAACTCTTAGCAAAGGAAAAAATATTCCTACCTCTCCAGCCCACACTGTCAATCTTGTTTTTTGTTTGTTTTTTGTTTGTTTGTTTTCTTCCTTTCTCTTTTTCAGAAGTCAGTCAACAAATATTTTAGTGTCTTCTATATGGCAGGCTCTATCGAGGCACTGGAGAATGTCACAGAAAGGGAATATCTCTGCTTCAGGAGAGCTTACTTGTTAAGGAGAGCGTGTAGGATTAGTTATGGCCTTGAGTAACAAAAACACTAAAAGTTTGAAAAAAATTGTAAAATGTGTTTGCAGTTTCAGACTAGTTATGGTGGCTCCATGATTATCAGGCTTACCAAATATTAATGTGATTGTATAGGTTCTGCACTGCACAAGTCTAAAGGGTATCATTCATATCATAGGCATTGTATATTTTGTTTTGTTTTTGTTTTTTGTTTTTTTGTTGTTTTTTTTTTTGAGACGGAGTCTCGCTCTGTCGCCCAGTCTGGAGTGCAGTGGCACGATCTCGGCTCACTGCAAGCTCCGCCTCCCGGGTTCACGCCATTCTCCTGCCTCAGCCTCCCGAGCAGCTGGGACTACAGGCGCCCGCCACCACGCCCGGCTAATTTTTTGCATTTTTAGTAGAGACGGGGTTTCACCGTGTTAGCCAGGATGGTCTCGATCTCCTGACCTCGTGATCCGCCCGCCTCGGCCTCCCAAAGTGCTGGGATTACAGGCGTGAGCCACCGCGCCTGGCCGGCATTGTATATTTTAATTAACTATTCTACACAAATGGAAGTATTTATAAGCATATGAACTTCTTAAATGAGGAGAAACATTTCTCTATTCCACACCCTCCTCTTTTAGCTCCCACCTTGTGCTACTTATTCCAGCTCCACAACTCAGCCTACAGGGGAGAAAAGTGTACACTTCCTCCCTTTAAGGGAAATTTCTACAGGTTACATATTTTACCTGTGTTCATATCTCATTAACAGGACTTAGGCACATAACCACACCTAGCTGCAAAAGAGGCTAAAAATGTGCTTTTTGTTCTGGGTTGCCATATGTCTAGTAAAGATCAGAAGGTTTTCTGGTTCCTGTCAAAATGCTGAACTAAGGTAGCTGCTATTCTCTCCCCAAAAATAAACCATGGAGAAACTACACATATTTATATACTTATACATAGTAGATAACCAAGTTTTTAAAATTGCATTTCATACTGCACACGAGGAGATCCACATTTCCCTGTGTTGGCTACAGTATCTTTCACAATACTGTGCAAAACACAAGCACTCAATAAATATTTGATTAAAGATTGACCAAACCCACTTCCTTCTGTGCCATGCTAGAAAGAAAGAGGAAAATTGGTCTGCTTGATAATTTCTCCATATACTTAAAGATTGACATCTAGTCACCTCTCAAACTTATCTTCTGAAAGAACTAATCTCCTTTTCTTTATCTTTCCTTATTGATTTGGGTCCTGAAATCTTAATTATCTTCTAAGCATTGCTGTAGATTCTTCCACCTTGACCAAATAAACAAATTTGATGAGCCCAAAAGGCAATTAATTGCTCCATAACATAGATTACCAGATTCCATCAACTGTCTACAACAGATTGAATAGTCCGTAGGCATTTTTATAGAATCAAAGACCTGGAGGTAGAAATCTTTTACCATGGTTTTAAAAAGCCTATGCATTCAATCAACACTTTTTGCTAAATTCATCCTTAGAATTTATTTGCTTTCATTTTTATTAACGTCCTAAAACAAAATATCCTTTAGTAATCAGAGCTTTTAGTGCTTTGTCTGAGTTCCCCTTAACAAGCCAGCTGGCAAGTTTCAAACCCCTCGAGAAATCCACAGAGTACACATTTCTATTTCTATTTATTCTTATGCTGTACTTGACTGTGGAATTTCATCTTCCTGATAACTCTTCTACTTGTACTTGGCTAATAACTAATTTAACAAAACCTAAATCTGAGAAGAGATTTAAGGGATCAGGAAAGCTACTTAGCCCCTTGAGTTTGCTGCAGTCCTCTGCCCTAAGAGCTATATTTTCTTGAAAATAGACTGTTCTGCGAGGTGACAGGTTAAAGCCCAGGAGTTCTTAATGTGTGTGTTTTTTTTTTAAATAAGGTAACTTTAAAGAGAGTTTTGGTGATGAAAAAGCACACCTTTAAAGTCAAAAATCCCCTCTAACCTGCCAACTTTGTGTTCATTAATTCATTCATTCATTCATTTTTAGAGTATCTATTGTGTGCCAGGCATCCTTTAAAGCTCTGGGAATACAGTACTAAACAAGAGGTCTTTGCTATCATTGAAATTAAATAAAAATCCAATTATTTTTTAGCTTACTTATTCTTTACAAAATGAAATAATACTACTTCAGCTCAAGAAAGAATTTATGCTTTGGTGTGTAAACTTGGTTGCCTGAGTTTGATTCCCTGAACTGAAATATAAATATATGCATTGTCAAAAGTACCTTTTTTTCCTTTTCTCTGAGTCATTTATGGCTTTAGTCAAAATAAAGTATATAAAGCCAAAGATACAAAACTTCCAATAGAAGTGTTAACAGAATTTTAATTTATCACTTACTTTTCCTACACGTGTAGGAAATAACATTGAAATGGTGAGAATGAGTTCACAGGGCACCTATACACATACCCAACAACAAATTCTTATATCTTTAGAGTATTGTATTTAATTCTGTTGGTAAATGCATAGTTTGAGCTGTAGATGCATATTTTGAACTATACATTTATGCTCATTTGAAGCATTATATCATATTATGATAGCTAGTAGACTGCTTAAGGGCATCCTGTCAAATCTCATTGGTATGTATGTTGAAACATAGATCATAAAAGCAATACTGAATAAGGAGAGTCACAAACATTTTAGTTTGTCAAGTGAAATTATCCAAAAACAAATAAAACGTGGCTAAGGATACATATAAAAACTATAAATATTTAAGGGTCACTTGCAACATGCCTTCCTGGGTTCTTTGCACTAAAGAAAATATAACTGCTATTATAAACCCTCATTTGCAAGGTGGCCTTTTTAAACTGTGGTTACCTACTTTCTTATTAACTATAAGAAGCACAGATCCACATATTTAAGCTGAATTTCTTTTAAAGTTTACTACCAACAAATGTAAATAGATTTTGACTTTACCAAATAAAGTCTCACATGATTTCACGATATTAGCTATGGGTTTGTCATATAGGGCAACATTATCTTTTAAAAATACAGGAGGGAAAAAGGTTTCCACAGACTGTATTTGTTCACTCTCACACTGCTATAGAGAACTACTGGGTAATTTATGAATAAAAGAGGTTTAATCGACTAACATTTCCACAGGCTATACAGAAGCCATGGCTGGGAAGGCCTCAGGAAACTTACATTCGCGATGGAATGTGAAGGGGAAGCAGGCATGGTCTTCACAGGGCCAGAGGAGGAGAAAGAGACAGAGCAAAGGGAAAAGTGCTACACACTTCCAAACAACCGGATCTCGTGAGAACTCTGTCATGAGAACAGTAAAGCGGAAGTTCACCCTCATGATTCAATCACCTCCCACACATGGGAATTACAAATTGACATGAGATTTGGGTGGGGACACAGAGCCAAACCATATGATTCCACTCCTGGCCCCTCCCAAATCTCATGTGCATCTCACATTTCAAAACAAAACCATGCCTTCTCAACAGTCCCCCAGGTCTTAACTCATTTCAGCGTCAACTCAAAAGTCAAAGTTCAGTCTCATCTGAGACAAGGCAAGTCACTTCTATCTATGAGCCTGAAAAATCAAAAACAAGTTAGTTACTTCCAAGATACAATAGGGGCATAGGCATTGGGTAAATGCTCCCATTTCAAAAGGAAGAAATTGGCCAAAACAAAGGGGCTACAGGCCCCATGCAAGTCTGAAACCCAGCAGAGCAGTCATTAAATCGTAAAGCTCTAAAATGATCTCCTTTGGCTCCATGTCTCACATCCAGACCACACCAATGCAAGAGGTGGACTCCCAAGGCCTTGGGCAGCTCCACCCCTATGGCTCTGCAGGGTACAACTTTTGTGGCTGCTTTCATGGGCTGGTGTTGAGTACCTGTGGCTTCCAGATGCACACTGCCAGCTGTCGGTGGATCTATCATTCTGGGGTCTGGAGGATGGTGGACCTCTTCTCACAGCTCTACTAGGCAGTGCTTCAGTGGGGACTCTGTGTTGGGGCTCCAAAGCCATATTTCCCCTCTCAACTGCCCTAGTAGAGGTTCTCCATAAAAGCTCCACCCCCAAAGGAGGCATCTGCCTGCACATCTTGGTGTTTCCAGACATCCACTGAAATCTAGCAGAGGCTCCCAAACCTCAGCTCTTGCCTTCTGTGCACTCACAGGCCCAACACCATGTGGCAGCTGCCAAGGCTTGGGGATTCCAACCTCTGAAGCAATGGCCTAAGCTGTACCTTGGCCCCTTTTAGCCACAGCTGGAGCTAGAGCAGCTGGGATACAGGGCACCATGTTCTGAGGCTGTGCAGAGCAGTGGGGCCCTCGGCTTGGCCTACTAAACCATTTTTCCTTCCTAGACCTCCAGGCCTGTGATGGGAGAAGCTGCCTGGAAGGTCTCTGAAATGTCTTGGAGGCATTTCCTCATGTCTTGCCTGTTAACATTTGACTCCACTTTACTTGTGCAAATTTTAAACCCAGCTTGAATTCCTTCCCAGAAAATGGGTTTGCTTTTCTACCACATGGTCAAGCTACAAATTTTTGAAACTTTTATGCTCTGCTTCCCTTTTAATAAAAGTTCCAATTTCAGACCATCTCTTTGCAAATGCATATAAGCTTACAGTATTAGAAGCAGCCAGGCCACCTTTTGAATGCTTTGCTGCTTCGAAAATTTCCTCCAACAGATACCCTAAATCATCTCTCTCAAGTTCAAAGTTCTACAGATCTCTAGGGAGGGGGCACAATGCCACCAGTCTCTTTGCTAAAGCATAGCAAGAGTGACATTTACTCCAGTTCCCATTAAGTTCCTCATCTCCATCTGAGACTATGCTAGTCTGGACTTCATTTTCTATATCACTATCAGCATTTTGGTCACAATAATTTAGCACGTCTTTAGGAAGTTCCAAACTTTCTTTCATCTTTCTTTCTTCTTCTGAGCTCTCCAAACTGTTCCAGCCTCTGCTCATTACCCAGTTCCAAAGTTATTTCCACATTTTCAGGTATCTTTAGAGCAATGCCCCACTCTCTGGTACCAATTTTCTATATTAGTCCCTTCTCACACTGCTATAAAGAACTACCTGGGACTGGGTAATTTATGAATAAAAAAGGTTCAACTGACTCACAGTTCTGGAGGCTGTAAAGGAGGCAAGGCTGGGGAGGCCTCAGGAAGCTTACAATCGTGGTGCAAGGCAAACGAGAAGCAGGCACAGTGTTCATATGGCCAAAGCAGGAGAGAGAGAGAGAGAGAGAGAGAGAAGGGGAATGTGCTGCACACTTTCAAACAACCAGATCTTGTGAGAACTCTATCATGAGAACTGCAAGGGGGAAATCTACCCCCATGATTTAATCACCTCCCACCAGGCCCCTCCTTCAATACGTGGGGATTATCATTCAACATGAGATTTGGGTAGGGACATAGAGCCAAATTATATCACAGACCAACAAAATAAAAACAGGGAGTTCCTCATCTCTAGACCAGTCTTATAAGACTGGAGAGTTCTTATAAGGGGAGTTCTTCAAGTTGAAATGACGGGATGCTAAACAGCAACACGCAAGCACATCAAAGCATAAATCTCACTGGTAAAGATAAATATATGGACAAATGCAGAGTAATGTAATACTGTAGGGTAGCCCTAGTACAAAGGCTAAAAGATAAAAGTATAAAAGATAACTATAACCACAAAAATTGGTTAATAGATACATAGTGTAAAAGAAGCAAGTTCTGACATCAATAATATAGTGTTGAGAAGGAAGTAAAAGTATAGAGGGTTTTCTTTATGCAATTGAGGCTATCAGCTCAAATAGGCTATTAGAACTACAAGAAATGTTATGCTAACATCATGGTAACCACAAAGAAAAAAACCTATAGCAAATACAAAAAAGATAAAGACAAAATAATCAAAGTATATCACTACAAAAAAAATCAAAACATAAAAACAGCAAAAGAGAAAAAGAACAAAAGAAATAAGAAACAGAAAACAATTAGCAAAATGGCAATAGTAAATCCTTACCTATCAATAATTATTTGAAATGCAATGGATTAAGTTCTCTAATCAAAATATATAGAGTAGCTGAATGGATTTAAACATATATATTGAGCTATATAATGTCTACAAGACATTCAAATTTAAGAGCACAAATAGGCTGAAAATAAAGAAATTGGAAATGATATTCCGTGTAAATGGAAACCAAAGAGAGCAAGGGAGGCTATATTTATATGAGACAAAATAGACTTTAGATCAAAAACTGCTGCAAGAGAAATGAAGGTCATTACATAAAGATAAAAGTGTCAATTCAACAGGAAGCTATAACAATTACAATATATGTGGACCCAATATTAGAGCACCTAAAATATAAAGCAAACATTGGGAGAGCTAAAGGATATAGATAATACAATAATAGGAGACTGCAACACCCATTTACAATAATGGACAGATAATCCAGACAAAAATATCAAGATGAGAAATAAAAATAAAATCCTAAGCCCCCAACCAACTGAATGGACCCCCACTTAACTAAGGAGTCCTAATATAAATCATGAAAACTGAATTCTTAACATGAGAGAATAGGAGATGGGACATGCCTCATTCTACCCTCTCCCTCTCTGAACACCATTAGGCTCTCTTTCCTAAGGGCTAAACAGCAACCAGCTTTTTGAAAGAACTCACTCTACCCCGGTATCAAGGGCTGCCTGACGCCGCTCCTCTCTTTTGAAGTTTTAACCAGCACTTGTTCCTGCTAAAAGACCACTGACCACAGAGTGATTCTGGCCAGTCTATGCACATTGCACAGTGAAGGTTTTCATGTCTTCTGCTTTACCTTTTGGCATCAGAGGGCCAAAATTTTCATGCTTGCATCATGCTAACACTGCTACTTTTTGAACATGGGTCCCAGGGAGGGGCCTGAAGCTCAACTGTACATGCATATTTCTCCTTTCATAAATACTCATGACTACTCCTATAGCTTATTAAATATGTATATTTGGCTACCACATTCAGCATAAAGCCCTGTGTTACTCTTTCTACCTTTGAAGGATCTGTTTCTGGCTTCTGACTAGAGGCTATGCTTCCTAGCCTGTAAGAATGGCCACCCTGCAGGCTGTAGCCCTTTATGAGAAATAAAGCTCTCCTTTTGAAATTTCTGAACCTTGTCATTGTTCAGTTGACAAAGGAAACAGCAAACTTGAATAACACTATAGACCAAATGGACATAACAAACAGAACATTCCACCAACAGCAACAAAATACACATTCTTCTCAAGCACACATGGAACATTCACCAGGACAGATCACATGCTAGGTGGTAACAAACCTATCTTACATACTTAAGATTGAATTTATCCAAATAACTTTTCTGAACCCAGTGGAATAAAACTAGAAACCAATAACAAAAGGAAAACAGAAAAATTCACAAAAACAACTGGGTCAAAGAATATATGAAAAGAGAAATTAGAAAATATTTCAAGACACATAAAAATGAAATGTAGCATAATAAAACTAATGGGATCTAGCAAAAGCAGTACTGAGAGGGAAGTTTATAACAATAAATGCCTGCATTAAAAAAGAAGAAATCTCAAATAAATACCCTAACATTACACCTCAAGGAATGAGAAAAATAAGAAGAAACTATGCCCAAGGGTAGCAGAAGGAAGAATATAATAAAGAGTAAAGCAGAAATAAATGAAATAGAGAATGGAAAAACAACACAAGGAACAGCATAATTGTTTGTCTTTTGAAAAGACAAATATAATAAATAAAACCTTAGCTAGACTAAGAAAAAGGAAGAAGGCTCAAATAAGTAAGTCCATAATCAATGCTACCAAAATAAAAGGATAGTAAGGGATTGTTATAATCAATTATACACCAACAAGCTTATCAACCAAGAAGAAACAAATTTCTAGAAACAACCTACCAAGAATGAATCAATAAGAAATAGAAAGCCTGAGCAGACCAATAAAAAAAAGGAAAAATAAAATATAACAAAAAAGATCAGTATTCAAAAATTTCTCAAGAAAGAAAAGCCTAGGACAAGAAAGTTTCACTGGTGAATCCTACTAAACATCTAAAGAAGAATCAATGAAATCCTTCTTAAACTTTTCGAAAAATGGAGAAGAAAGAGTACTTCCAAACTTGGTTTATGAGGCCAGCACCAAAGCCAGACAAAGATATCACAAACAAAGAAAACTACAGGCCAATATCTTTGCTGAACATGACTGGAAAATTCCTCAAAAAATATTAGCAAACCACATTTAACAGCATATTAAAATAATTATACACCATGATCAAGTAAGATTTATCCTTGGGATGCATGGTCAACACATTGAAATCAATTAATGTGATAAATGACATTACCAAAATGAAGGGAAAAAAATGGCACAATCATTACAATAGATGCAGAAAAAGCATTTGGCAAAAATTTTATACCATTTTATCATAAAAAACACTTAATATATTTGGTATAAAAACTTATAGCTGAGTGTGGTGGCTCATGCCTGTAATCCCAGCACTTTGGGAGGCCAAGGCAGGAAAATGACTTGAGACCAGGAGTTTGAGACCAACCTGTGTAACATAGCAAGACTCCATCTCCACAAAAAAAAACAAAATAAAATAAAATAAGCTGGGCATGGTGTAGTCCTAGATACTCAGGAAGCTGAGGCAGGAAGATCACTTGAGCCTAGGAGTTTGAGGTTGTAGTGAGCTATGATCGCACCACTGTGCTCCAGCCTAGGTGACAGCAAGACCCTGCTTCAAAAAAATTTTTAAAAAAGGAACATACCTCAACAGAATAAAGACTATATATGAAAGCCCCAGCTACGTCATACTCAATGGTGAAAAACTGAAAACTTTTCTTCTAAAATCTGGATCAAGGCAAGGATGCCCACTATTGCCATTTCTATTCAACATAGCCCTAAAAATTTTAGCCAGACCAATTAGGTAGGAAAAGAAATAAAAGGCATGCAAATCAAATGGAAGAAATAAAATTATCTGTTTGCAGATGACATGTTTTACATGTAGAAAACCCAGAAGACCCCACAAAAAAAAAACTGTTAAAACTAATATGAATTTTCAGGAAAGTTGCAAGATACAAAATCAACATACAAAAATCAGTTGCATTTCTATACACTGACAATGAACTATCCAAAAAGGAAATTAAGAAAACAATTCCATTTACAAAATTTTTAAAATACTTAGAAGCAAACTCAACCAAGGAAGTAAAAAATCTCTACTGAAAACTACAAAACATTGAAAAAAGAAATTAAAGCAGATGTAATTAAATTGAAGGACATTCCTATGTTCATTGAAAGGATTGATATTGTTAAAATGTCCACACTATCCACTACCCTGTAGATTCTGTTATCTACAGATTCAATGCATTCCTATTAAAATCCCAATAGAATTTTTACATAATAAGAAAAATAATGCTAAAATTCATTAAAAAAAAAAGAAAAAAAAAACAGAAAAGATCCTAACCAGCCAAAGCAATTTTGAACCAGAATATAATTGGAACCATCATGCTCCTTGGTCTTAAAGTCTACTACAAAGCTATAATAATCAAA
The DNA here is from genome assembly GCF_000001405.40 of Homo sapiens. NCBI lineage: Eukaryota > Metazoa > Chordata > Mammalia > Primates > Hominidae > Homo > Homo sapiens. Next base: position 159,749,779 of record NC_000004.12, on the reverse strand, counting down.
ACAGCATGGTACTGTCATAAAAACAGACAGATCGACCAATGGAACAGAATAGAAAGCCCAAAAATAAACTCACACATGTACAGTGAACTGATCTTCAAAAAGAGTGCCAAGAATACACAATGAGAAAAAAAAGTCTCTTTAATAAATGAGGTTGGGTAAATTAGACATATACATGCAAAAGAATAAAATTGGTCTCTTATTTTGCACCATATACAAAATCAACTCAAAACTGATTAAAGATTTAAACATAAATCCTGAAATTATAAAACTTCTCAAATAAAACATAGGATGCAATGGTATGTGCCTGTAATCCAAGCTACTTGGGAGGGTGAGGCAGGAAGTTCACTGGTGTCCAAGAGGTCAAGAGTAGTCTGGGCAACATAGCAAGACCCCATCTCAAAGAAGGAATAAGGAAGGAAAGAAAAAGTAGGAAAGGGAAGGGAAGGGAAAGGGAAAGGGAAGGGAAGGGAAGGAAAGGAAAGGAAGAAAGGAAAGGAGGGAAGGGAAGGGAAGGGAGGAAGGGAAGAGAAAAAGGGAAGAGGAAAGGAGAAAGGAAAAAGGGAAGAGGAAAGGAAAAAGGGAAGAGGAAAGGAAAAAGGGAAGAAGAAAGGAAAAAGGGAAGAGGAAAGGAAAAAGGGAAGAGGAAAGGAAAAAGGGAAGAGGAAAGGAAAAAGGGAAGAAGAAAGGAAAAAGGGAAGAGGAAAGGAGAAAGGGAAGGGAAAAGGGAAGGGAAAGGCAAAGGGAAGGGAAAGGGAAAAGGAAAGGGAAAAGGAAAGGGAAAGGGGAAGGGAAGGGAAGGGAAAAGAAAAAAGAGAAAAGAGGCAGGGAGGGAGGGAGGCAGAAAACAGAGAAAAACCTTCTGGATATTGGCCCTGGCAATGATTTCTTAGACATGACACCAAAAGAACAAGGAATGAAAACAAAAATACACAAGGTATTACATCAAACTAAAAAGCTTCTGTACAGCAAAGGAACTAATCAATAATATGAAAAGGCAACATGAAAGAGGCAGAGCAAGATGGTACAATAGGACTTCTTAATGATCATTCCTCTGCCAAAACATCAATTTAAACAGCTATCCATGCATGAAAATCTTTTACAATAGCTAAGCAAACCAGGTAAGAGATCACAGTACTGGGTATAGCATAGAAATGAGAAAAGATGCACTGAAGAGGGTGGGAAAGACAGCTTTACATTACCGATGTCACCTCTCCCTCAATCCCAGGCAGCAGAGCATGTAGAGAAAAAAACCTCCACTCAGGGGAAAAACAGGGAAGTGAGCAGAGGAGTTTGCCTCGGACCCCAAATCTAGGCCTGCCACAGAAAAACCCAGCATCAGGAAAGCTTTCACAGCCCCAGACTCCAGGCTGATACCTGCAGACTCAGCCTCCAAATCTTCCCTCATACCAGGCCAGACCCTACAGCCCAGGTTTCAGGCCTGTGTGGCAGACTCAGTCTCCAGGCCACATCACTGCTGGGCCTGCCTCAGCTCCACGGCAGTCTCAGCAGAAGCAGGTTTTGGGTCTACCCCACTGCCATCTTAGGCCCAATGGCCCCAAGCTTCAAGCCCACCTCACCATCAGCCTGGCTCCAGCAGACCCAGACTTAAGGCTTGCTCCACTGCCAGCTCAGCCCCAGGAGTCCTATGCTTTGAGCCCACTCACCTGCTGACCCAGACGGCGGCTGACCAGCTAGCCCAAGGGCTCCAGCAGCAAGCCTGCCCATGGTCCACAAGAGACAGTCTGCCCAGAATCCCTGGACAGGCTAACTGTTGAACTTCCCCAGACAAAGCCAGTCTGTGAAGACTGGAATAAATACCTGTTTCTTCAGATACACAGACACCAAGACATACAGCAAAGATAAAGAATATTCAGGGAAACATGACATTATCAAAGGGACAAACTAAAGTACCAGGGACTAACCCTAAAGAGATGGAGATGTACAAACTGACAAAAAATTCAAGAAAAGGCAACCTATGGAATTAGAGAAAATATTTGCAAACCATATATCTGACAAAGAGTTAATACTGAAAATATATAAGAAGCTCAAACAACTCAATAGCAAAAAAAACAGAAAACCCAATTTTTTATTTTACTTTATTTTATTTTTATTTTTTTGAGACAGAGTCTCAGTCCGTTACCCAGGCTGGAATGCAATGCCACAATCTCAGCTCACTGCAACCTCCAACTCCTGGGTTCAAACAATTCTCCTGCCTCAGCCTCCTGAGTAGCTGGGACTACAGGCATGTGCCACCACATCTGGCTAATTTTTTTATTTTTAGTAGAGATGGGGTTTCACCATGTTGGCCAGGCTGGCCTCGAACTCCTGACCTCAAGTGATCCACCTGCCTTGGCCTCCCAAAGTGGTGGGGTTACAGGCATGAGCCCCCACATCTGGCCAGAAAACCCAATTTTAAAAATAGACTAAGAACTTAAATAGACATTTAGTCTATGGCCAATAGGTAATGGGGCCAATAGGTAATGAAAAACTGCTTAATATCACTAGTCATTGGAGAAATGCAAATAGAAGCCACAATGAGATACTACTTCACACCTGGTAGGATAGCTATTTTCAAAAAAAAATTATATATATATATACACATATATACATATATAATTTATATGTATATATACATATATATGTATACATATAATATATACATATGTATATATGTATATATACATATATAATACATGTATATGTATATATACATGTGTATACATGTATATATGTGTATATACGTATACATATATACACATGTGTGTATACATATATACATGCGTGTATGCATGTACGTATACACGCGTGTATGCATGTATGTATACACGTGTACACATGTATACACATATATATGTATACACGTGTATACACATATAATATATAATATACATATAATAATAATATATGTATATATAATATACACATATATATAATTTTTTTTAAAATAGCTATCCTACCAACAATATATAAATGTTGGCAAGAGGCAGACGATACAAAGAACGTTTTTACACTGTTAGTGGAGGTATAAATTGTTTCTACAGAAAAATACTGTAAAGGTCCCTCAAAAAATTCAAAATAGAAATATATGATCCAGCAATCCTACTTCTGGATATATTTTCAAAGGAATTGAAATCAGGATTTCAAAGAGATAGCCACACTCCCATGTTCACTGCAGCACTATTCACAATAGCCAAGATATGGAAGCAACCTAAATTCCCACCAACAGATGAACGGATAAATAAAATGTTGTATGTTCATATAATGGGATATTATTCAGCCTTTAAAAAGGAAGAAAATCCTGCCATTTGTGGCAACTTAGAATAATCTGGTGGACATTATGCTAAGCAAAAGGAACCAGACACAGAAGGACAAGTACTATATGATACCAATTACATGATGAATCTGGTCAGAAAGAAAACACAATTACTGGCAAAATTCCCTTGCTGAATGGCAATATGGAATAACACTTAATGGAAAGTACACCCCACATGCATGCTAGAAGACATTTCACTTTAGAGCTGGATAAAGCCATTCACATAAGCAAAGCTTAAACCATTTCTTCACATATGCAGTAGGCATTTATGAGAAAACTGTGGGGGTTTTTTTGTTGCTGAAAACTCATGATACAGTAGACGAAATACTTTTTACATTGGTTAATGATTACTTTGCATATTAAAATAAAATAGAAAAAGATAAAATATGTCGTGATTGCTACTAACAGAGTAGCATATATGAATGCAGCAATAAACAGTGTAGCTAATCAAATTAAAAAGCTTGCTTCTTAATGCCAATTACTACACTCCATTAATCATAGACAACAGTTGATTTTGCCTCCTAATCTTGATTCAACATTGAAAGAAATGGTGAAAAAGTGAATGCAGTTATATTGTGCCCCTAAGCATAAGTATTTTAAGGCTGCCTAATAAAAAATTAAAAAAATAGTAATGTGCAATCCTGCTTTCTTCTGCCAGGTCCTGCTGGTCATTGAGAGAAAAGGTGTGCACACAGGTTGGGCAATAAGAGAATCAAACAGTTCTCCACCAGCCATTAACACCAGGGTACATATATCAGTAATGAATTCCGTATTTTGAAGAGCCTAAAATTTATAACCTCTGAGTAGAAAAAATAATAATATTGAGGCTAAGATATGATAAGAAGGCTAGACTAAAAAGAAAAGTATTTATTCATCAGAAAAAATAACAAATGACATGTTATTGTGCATATTTTTAAAATGCCTTCAAAATGCTTCTAAAAACATTATAAAATGCTTTCCAGAGTCAAATACATTCAGCTCTGGGTTAGGAAGCACTTTACTATTATCCTGTAAATTTAAAAAAAAAAAAAAAAGAACAGAGTTCAGGTGTGAGTGATATACTCATTGTCTAGTCACTTAGCATAGAACTGAAAGTTTCCATTCAGGTATAGAAAACAACTTGACAGTCAATTTCTGCCATAAATGGTGTCCTTCTAAGTTAATTTTTCTAATTTTCTAGTAATATGGAGTAAGAAAAACTGTGCCTGGTACATTGATTTATTGGCCACAATACTTCACTTCTCTCACATCCAACACCCTTGCCGTGACATCATAACTGGGGGAGGAGGCTGGATAATATATTCTTAGCCCTTAGTTTGGGGCTTGACTATGTGATTTGTTTTGGTCAGTGAGATATCAGCAGGCATGACACAAGTAAGAGTGTGATATGTGCTTGCCTGGGTCAGACTGTCTTCTTTGCATCTCTGCCATCTTCACAAGGAGAAAAATGTCACACTAAAGTGCTGATCAAAAAATGAGGGACACATCAGAAGAGCAATCTCAGCTCACAGGAAGACTAGCACCTGAAGCAGATGCAGATGCACAAACTTGTGAGCAAAAGAAAGGCTTACTTTGGTATCACACTGAGATGATCTGATTGCTATGCACCATTATTGAGGAGAGACTTCACTAATGAAAATTTTCAACTGGAATAGCTTTAAATTCTGGCTATGGCTCATCAAGCAGTAGACATTTTGCTTGATTAAAAACAGCATAACCTTTTTAACTGACATAAAACTATTATTATCAACAATATTTTTAACTTGCCTGATTTTATTGCTTTTAAATTGTGTTAAAATTTTTTAATTCACCTTGTTGTTTCCTATATGAGCTGAAAGCCCATTAAGTAGTTCATGATTGCTCATAATATATGAAACGCTGAACTGAAAACTTATGTCAAATACAGTATACTGCAAACAGTATTAAAATTAAGTACCTTGAACTGCTAAGTTAGCAAAAATTCATTTACATATACACATATACACATACACACCCACACACACACACACACACACACACACACAGAGTCCTTAAATGGTTAGGGGGGTAAAATTTCAGGTTTTCTCTTGTGCATATATTATTCCTATTTAATGCAGTATATTAATCTTACTCATGTGTAGACAACCTATTTTTACATAAAACATGTCCTAAACAATTGAATTATTCCCTGGAAATCATGAAAGCAATCAAGTTTCTGTAACTGTAACTGCCACTAGGACAACATTTTTCTTCTTTTCTCCATATCTGCTTTAGCGGCTAAAAATATGACTGAATCTATTCTATCCACCAAATGAGCCAAATTGGCTCTGACGGCTCAGATACTTTGTGAAAGGCACTTGATGTGACCATATGGGATACTGATAACAACTAGAGTAACAGTAGACATTTCAGATACTTTATTTTTTTCTGTATTTTTACATTATTCCTGATGTATTTGAAACCATGGCAAATGTTCAGGCAGCTTAATTGTTTTATAAAGATTTGTGTAAAATCTAGAGACTATGAAATTATTTTACAGATCCCATTGTTTTGTTATTTTTAATAGGAATTATATTTGTAAGGAAATGTGACAGGAGCAAGAATCAGGCTTTAAATTTTTTTAATCCCTATTGTGTGAATATTCTAAAATATATTTTATAGCTAAAATAAAAGTTAGCATTTTAAGAGATAGACAGCAACACAATAATAGTGGGGGGTTTCAATATTCCACTGACAACACTGGACAGGTCATCAAGACAGAAAGTCAACAAAGAAACAATGCACTCAAATTACACCCTACAACAAATGGACTTAACAGATATTTACAGAGGATTCTACCCAACAACTGCAGAATATACATCCTATTAATTAGCACATGGAACATACTCCAAGATAGAACATATGATAGGCCACAAAACAAGTCTCAATACATTTAAGAAAACTGAAATGATATCAATTACTCTCTCAGACCACAGTGGAATAAAATTGAAAATCAACTCCAAAGGAACTCTTAAAACCATGCAAATACATGAAAATTAAACAACCTGCTCCTGAATGATCTTTGGGTCAAAAATGAAATCAAAATGGAAATTAAAAAATTATTTAAACTAAACAATAATAGTGACAGAAACTATCAAAACCTCTGGGATACAGCAAAAGTAAGTGCTAAGAGGAAAGTTCATAGCCTTATCAAGAAGTCTGAAAGAGTACAAATAGACAATCTAAGGTCACACCTCAAGGAACTAAAGAAAAAAGAACAAACTAAACCCAAACCCAGTGGAAAAAAAGAAATAACCAAGATCAGAGCAAAACTAAATAAAAATGAAATGAAACAAAATAAAAGGCTTGTTCTTTGAAAAGATAAATGAAATTGACAAACCCTTAGTGAGATTAACAAGCAAGAAGAGAAAAGACCCAAATAGGTTCAATTAGAAACAAAACAGGAGCCTTACAACCAATACCACAGAAATACAAAAGATCATTCAAGGCTACTATGAACACCTTTATGCACACAAACTAAAAATCCTGGAGGAGATGGATAAATTCCTGGAAGAATACAACCCTCCTAGTTTAAACCAGGAAGAAATAAAAACTCTGAACAGACCAATAACAAGTGGCAACATCGAAATAGTAATAAAAAAATTGCCAACAAATAATGTCCAGGACCAGACAGATTCACAGCTGAATTATATCAGGCATTCAAAGAAGAATCGGTACTAATCCTATTGACACTAGGCTACAAGATAGAGATTCCTCCCTAAATCATTCTATGGAGCCAGTATCACCCTAATACCAAAACCAGAAATGAACATAACAAAAAACGAAAACTACAGACCAATATCCCTGATGAACATAGATGCAAAAATTCTCAACAAAATACTGTCTAGCCAAATCCAACAGCATATCAAAAAGATAATCCACCGTGATCAAGTGAGTTTCATACCAGGGATGCAGGGATGGTTTAACACCCACAAGTCAATAAATGTGATACACCATATAAACAGAATTAAAAACAAACAAAAAAAATCACATCATCTCAATAGATGCAGAAAAAGCATTTGACAAAATCCAGCATCCCTTTGTGATTAAAACCCTTAGCAAAATCAGTATAGAAGGGACAAGCTTAAGGTAAGAAAAGCAATCCATGAAAATCCCACAGCCAACATTATACTGAACAGGAAAATGTTGAAAGCATTCCCCAAGAACTGGAACAAGACAAGGATGTCCACTTTTACCACTTACATTCAAAATAGTACCTGAAGTCCTAGCCAGAGCAATCAGACAAGAGAAAGAAATGAAGAGCATCCAAATCTGTAAAGAGTAAGTCAAACTGTCACTGTTCACCAATGATATGATCATATACCTAGAAAAGCCTAAGACTAATCCAAAAAGCTCCTAGAACTGATAAATGAATTCAGCAAAGTTTCAGGATACAAAATTAATGTACACAAATCAGTAGCTCTGCTATACACCAACAGTGACCAAGCTGAGAATCAAATCAAGAACTCAATCAATTTTACAATAGCTACACACACACACACACACACACACACACACACACACACACACAAAGTACTTAGGAATATACCTAACCAAGGAGGTGAAAGACCTCTACAAGGAAAACTACAAAACACTGCTGAGGGAAATCATAGATGACAAAAACAAAGGGAAACACCATCCCATGCTCATGGATGGGTAGAATCAGTATTTTGAAAATGACCATACTGCCAAAAGCAATCTACAAATTCAATGCAATTCCCATCAAAATACTTCACAGAACTAGAAAAAAAATCCCAAAATTCATATGGAACCAAAAAACAGCCTGCATAGCCAAAACAAGACTAAGCGAAAAGAACAAATATGGAGGCATCACATTATCTGATTTCAAAGTATACTACAAGACGATAGTTACCAAAACAGCATGGTACTTGTATAAAAAATAGGCATGTAGACCAATGGAACAGAATAGAGAACCCAGAAATAAAGGCAAATACTTACAGCCAACTGAACTTCAACGAAGCAAAGAAAAACATAAAGTAGGGAAAGGACACCCTATTCAACAAATGGTGCTGGGATAATTGGCAAGCCACATGAAGATGAATGAAACTGAATCCTCATCTCTCATCTTATACAAAAATCAATTCAAGATAGATCAAAGACTTAAATCTAAGACCTGAAACCATAAAAATTCTAGAAGATAACATTGGGAAAACTCTTCTAGATATTGACTTAGGCAAAGACTTCATGACCAAGAACCCAAAAGCAAATGCAACCAAAACAAAGATAAATAGATGGGACTTAATTTAACTAAAAGGCTTCTGCATAGCAAAAGAAATAATCAGCAGAGTATACAGACAACCCACAGAGTGGCAGAAAATCTTTACAATCTATACATTCAACAAAGGACTAATATCCAGAATCTACAAGGAAGTCAAACAAATCAGCAAGAAAAAACCAATCCCATCAAAAAGTGGGCTAAGGACATGAATAGACAGTTCTCAAAAGAAGATATACAAATAGCTAACAAACATATGAAAAGATGCTCAAAATAACGAATTATCAGGGAAATGCAAATGAAAATCACAATGCAATACTACCTTACTCCTGCAAGAATGACTATAATCAAAAAACCAAAAAATAATAGATGTTGTCAGGGATGCGATGAAAAGGGAACACTTCTACACTGCTGGTGGGAATGTAAACTAGTACAACCACTATGGAAAACAGTGTGGAGATTCCTTAAAGAACTAAAAGTAGACCTACCATTTGATCCAGCAATCCCACTACTGGGTATGTACCTAGAGGAAAAGAAGTTATTATACGAAAAAGATACTTGCATATGCATGTTATAGCAGCACAATTCACAATTTCACAAAAAACATGAAATCAGCCCCAATCCCCATCAATGAGTGCATAAAGAAAATGTGGTACATATATACTACGGAATACTATTCACACATAAAAAGGAATGAAATAATGGCATTCACTGAAACATGGATGGAGTTAGAGACCATTATTCTAAGTAAAGTAACTCAGGAATGGAAAACCAAACATCGTAGGTTTTCACTTATAAGCGGGAGCTAAGCTACAAGGACACAGTCATAAGAATGATACAATGGACTTCAGGGATTCAGGGGAAAGGGTGGGAAGTGGGTGAGGAATGAAAAACTACACATTGGATGCAGTGTACACTGCTTGGGTGATGGGTGCACCAAAACCTGAGAAATCACCACCAAAGAACTTATACATGTAACCAAATACCACCTGTTCTCCTAAATCTATTGAAATGTTAAAAATAAGTAAATAATAAAATTCTTTAAAAATTAGCATTTTAAATGTTACAAATCTAGTATTTGTTTTGGAAAAACTATAACTCATTATCATCTTTATTGAAGCACTATTTACAATAGCCAAAATATGGAATCAACCTAAATGCCCATAAATGAATGAATGGATAAAGAAAATGTGGTGTATATATGTATGCACACACACACAAACACACACACACACACACACAATGGACTATTATTCAGCCATAAAATAAAATTTTGTCATTTGCAGTAACATGGATGGAAATCGAGGTCATTGTGAAATAAGGTCATAAGTGAAATAAACCAGGCTCAGAAAGACAAATATTGCATGTTCTTACTTATGTGGGAGCTTAAAAAATAAGTGGATCTCATGGATGTAGAGACTAGAATGACACTTACCAGAGACTGGGAAAGATAGAACGAAGAGAATAATGAAGAGAGGTTAGTTAATGGGTGCAAAAATACAGTTAGATAGAAGGAATAAGTTCTAGTGTTCAATAGTATAGTAGGGTGACTACAGTTAACAAGAATTTGTTGTATATTTCAAAATAGCCAGAAGAGATTTGGAATGTTCCTCACACAAATAAATGATAAATGTTTGAGGTGATGAATATCTTAATTACCCTGATTAGATCACTACACACTGAATATGCATGTATCGTATGCCACATGTATACCATAAATATGTGCAATTATTACATATCAACAAAAACATATATATATAAAACTCAAAGTCTGCTGTCACTTAGACATATCCTTCATTAAATTTAGTAAATCATCTCCAGAATTTATTCAACTGTATCCATGACCCTGACTTACCCAACACTTACATTTGTTGCTGCTGTTGTTGGAAGTGCTGGTAGGGTGAAGTTTTTAATCAATAAGAGAGGGCAAAAACTCAGGACAATTCAAATTATTTTAATCTTTGTTACTGTGATACGTATTCTCAAGTTCAGAAGACTTCTAAAACAAATTGATTCATGATTCTTTGTTAATCAAATATGTATAACAATAAAAATGTATTTTATTGAGATATATAGATATAGCTAGATATGGATAAAGATTATAGATATAGACTACTATAGATATAGATAGATATATAGCAGATTCTCTAATAACAACATTTCCTTCAATGTTGTTTATAACATTGATGAAAAACAATAATTGCTTCCCTGTCAGAAGAACCACTGCCTGTGTGGTTTGCACATCTTCACCATGTCTGTGTAGGTTTTCTCTGAATGCTCCAGTTTCCTCCCACGGCCCAAAGATGTGCACATTGGGTAAACTGGCCCAGAATGAGTGAATGTGGGTGTGTGTGTGAGTGCACCCTGTGATGAGATGGCATTGTGTCCAGGGCGGGTTCCCACCTTCCACCCTGAGCCCATGGGATAGGCTCCAGCCACCGGTAACCTTGAACTGGAATAAGCAGGTTGGAAAATGAATGAGTTCAAATCATTGTAAAATAAAAATCTGTAAAGGATACAATATTCATACAAATGCATGACACTAAAACGATGTGGTAGGAAAGTGCTCAGAGAGCCTACCATATTTGTGATTGTTTTTGAACTTCAAGGTGGGAGGAAGTGCTCCCTATAATTTTCACTTTTCAAGCATTTATTTCCTGATTTAATCCACCACTACAATCACTCCCACTCGCTGACTCATGAAAAATTGGGAAAATGATCATGTTACTTGTTTTTACTAACTGTCTTTCAATGTATGTAAAGCTCACATGTATTTCAATGCTTAATATTAGAAGTGTTTTGGGTCTTTGTTTTGAAGTTTGATGATGTTTTTGTGACCAGAAATATGTCATAGGAACTGAACTTTTGCTTATATCAGTTAGCCTGTGGTAAAATTGGTTGTAAGTTTTTTTCACTTAAAGTCACAATTCCCAAGAAGCTATCAGCAATGTTAATTGAGGGCTTAACTGCATACTGGTCATCTATCAAATATATCAAGTTATATATTTGTTGTAAGGTCAGAAGGTGGATTTATCAAGAGATTTTTAGAATCTACCCACTGATCTCATATCAAGGAGATATAGACATATTTCAATATTTTATATATATATCTTAACACGTTTTTATTGTATACCTATTAGATGGACAAAGAACAATAATCCAATTTGTTTTAGATGTCTTCTGAACTTGATAATATGAGCCATGGTAGCAAAGATTAAAATAATTTAAAATGTCTTGATCATTATTGTAGATCCTAATAATCTGTTGATGTTATAAGAATTTTCTAATCCTTAAAAAAAAATTAGATTTTCTAGATTTGACTTTCTGAAATCACTTTTCTTTGATTTTCTATGCTGCCTTTATTTGCTATGGTAATTCTCTACTTCTACTTTCCACATTAGTCATTAGTTTTTTCTCTACTGTCTCAAAATCATTGAATTTATTTATTCAGAAAATATTTTTATTTTTATAGTTCACAGGCATATATTCTGTATTTGTAGTATTGTCTTCTGATTTTTTTTTAACTTTTAAGTTCAGGGGTACATGTGCAGGTTTGCTACATAAGTAAACATGTGTCATGGGGGTTCATTGTACAGATTATTTCATCACTCAGGTATTAAGCCTAGTACCAATTAGTTATTGTTCCTGATCCTCTCCCTCCAACCGACAGGCCCCAGCGTATGTGTTCCCCTCTATGTGTCCATTTAGCTTCCACTTATAAGTGAAAACATGCAGTATTTGGTTTTCTGTTCCTGCCTTAGTTTGCTAAAGATAATGGCCTCCAGCTCCATCAATGTTCCACAAAGAACATGATCTCAATCCTTATTTTATCTGCATAGTATTCCACGATGTATATGTACCACATTTTCTTTATCCAGTTTAGCACTGACGGGCATTTAGTTTGATTCCATGTCTTTGCTATTGTGAATAGTGCTGCAATGCACATACACATGCATGTGTCTTTATGATAGAATGATTTATATTCCTTTGGGTATATACACAGTAATAGTCATCAGTATTTTCAGAATTCAGCAACCTCTGTGTGCACAATATTATTTAGCTTAGAGTTAAACAGATTCAAACAATGTAAACATGTAGTTTGCAGACTTCTAATTAAAAGATGAATTTCCATGAGAAATTTGAAAACATTAAAAAGAGATATAAAATCGTCACAAAATTGCCCAGAGCTTAATCTTGACAGACTAATCTGCACAGGGCTGGTTTGAGAAGCACCACACATGGCTTAAAATCATTAGCACTAGTGCAGCAAGATGATTTAAAAAGTTAATATCATTTATGAAGCTCTTCCTTTGCACAAGGTACTCTCCAAAGCACTTTACACCACAAAAATCTATGATATTGTGTATTAGTCCGTTCTCATGCTGCTATGAAGAAACAGCCAAGACTGGGTCATTTATAACAAAAAGAAGTTTAATTGACTCACAGTTTCGCATGGCTGGGGAGGCCCCAGGAAAATTACAATCATGGCGAAAGGCACCTCTTCACAGGATGGCAGGAGAGAGAATGAGTGCTGAGCGAAGGGGGAAGCCTCTCATAAAACCATCAGCTCTCATGAGAACTAACTCACTATCACGAGAACAGCATGGGTGAAACCGCCCCTAATGATTCAATTATGAGAACAGCATGGGGGAAACCGCCCCTAATGATTAAATTATCTCCACCTGGTCCTGCTTTTGACATGTGAGGATTATAACAATTCAAAATGAGATTTGGGTGGGGATACAGAGCCAAGCCATATCGGATTGTTCATTTTTTTATCCCCATTACACAGACAAGGAAACTTAAACTGCAACCAGTAAATTCTACCAAAATCAACTAGCTCAGGGATATGAACTCAAAGAGTCTGGTTTAAGAGGTGATGCTCCTCTACACGATGCTCTACTCTCTCAAAGATAAGAGTGAGAATATTAATCATCGCTATGTGAATGTGTTACATACATTAATCTTAATAGTGAGTACAATGATTATTCTATTTTATAGATAAAAAAACAAAGTATACAGAGCTTAAAAACCTTGCCCAAATTCACAGAGAGAGGACTTTTCGAGGTATTGTGTTTTTCTCTTGTGTGTTTTTCCTTCCTGAGTTTTATGTCTTTCCCTTCTCATTTTCCCTAAGAAATGAGTTCTTCCTTAATGTAGCCTTCCCTACTAGCTCATGTTACAGGTGGAAAAGCAGAATAGCCCAGACCAGTGCGGGGAGGGGTGGAGTTCTTTGTTTCAAAAGGTAAGCCTAATAAGGACATCCTGCTAAGTACTTTCTGAGGTAGTAAAAAGGAGAAAGACAGGAAGTAATGAGAGCTAGTGAGCTTTCCCACAATTAGGAAAGTGATAGAGAATTGTGGGTTCCCTGAGATGAGAAAGCCGTCATCTCATTCCCACTTGGGGTCCTTGGATGACAAGCACTCAGAGGGAAAGAAATTGCTGCGTATCACTGAGGTACTACAGTGATGGCTAGGAGGAGGCCCTGGGATGCTCAGCCCTAAAAAACATACCTACCCATTCCTTAGCACATCAGAGCCTCTCACTATCAAGGAATCATAACTTGGACAATCAGTAGTGACATATATAGTCTTCTGAAAGGAAAATATCTTGGGCCCCCAAATTCACTAAGGAAAACTCAAGCTGGAAACTGCTTAGGGCAAACCTGCCTTCCATTCTATTCAAAGTCACCCCTCTGCTCACTGAGATAGATGCATATCTGATTGCCTCCTTTGGAAAGGCTAATCAGAAACTCAGAAGAATGCAACCCTTTGTGTCTCAACTATCTGTGACCTGAAGCTCCCTTCCGGTTTTGAGCCTTCCTGACTTTGCTTCAAGTTGTCCCGCCTTTCCAGATGGAACCAATGTACTTCTAACTTATACTGGCTGATGTCTCATGTCTCCCTAAAATGTATAAAACCAAGCTGTGCCCCAACCACCTGGGCACATGTCCTCACGACTTCCCGAGGCTGTGTCACAGGTGCATCCTCAACCTTAGCAAAATAAACTTTCTAAATTAACTGAGACCTGCCTCCGATTTTCTGGGTTCACAGTCTGAAGCACAGAGGGTCCTCTTGCATTGTGAAACTCTAAGAACTCTGGTAAATTGTCACAGGATGGGGAAAAAGAAGACCTGATAATAACTGAGTTTGCATTTCTTGCCATTTGAAGTTAGATTTAATTTAGTTTTAGAAGATCATCATGTAATATGACTGGCATAGCTGAGTTTCTGGAGAAGAATGCATCCCTGCTGTACTAATTTTCCAAAAGGCTCCTGTTTATTCTCCCTAATACTATACCAAGAGAAGAGACAGAGTTTGAGTTGTGGTCAGTCTTTTCAGAAAGTCATCTTGTCAAAACACAAAATTATTGGTTTTGAAGTTAAGAGTCATGAACACTTGTACAAGGAAATCTGGACTTTAATCTGAAGCTATAATTACATAACAGAGTAGAGTTTTTATGTTAAATGACTATAGAAATGATACAAATGCCTAAATTCCAGCTGTGTCAGCTATAGAAACAAGCTTCTGCAAAAACTGAGAAAAGTATTCTTTGTAAATCTGCCCCAACATACTTGAAATTGATCCATCTATAATTATCTTCTCTTTTCCCCTAAGCAAAAATATTTTCATGATTTTTAAAAAGCCAAAATAAGGAGAAAAAGCTCCTTGATATGGTGTTTCTTGGTAGAGTTATTTAAAACTATGTACACTGTTTTTAAAATGATAGACGGATTATGCACATTATTAGAGCATAATGTATGGTAGAGATAAATGCTCCTTTGTTTTCTTATAGAAGATTTTTCTCCATGACAAGGCACAGCTGTCAAAACTTCAACAGAATTCTGCTTTTTTGGCAAGTAAAACAATTAAGAGCTGAGGCTTACCGACTCCTTTCCAAATATAGCCTCCTTTTCCACAAAGGTAGCTGACAGACTGTAAGAGCTCTAACCAAACTGAACACCAAGTAGGTATGACTTGTTTCTGGAAAAGGTGTGTCAAGTCTGTCAAAAAGTCCAGGTAAAATCTCACAATCTCGGTTATTTAAAGAGATGCTTTGAAGCTCATAATATGTCTATTTAAAGACCAAAAAGACAATGGCCTTTATGATACTTACAGATCCATAAATAAATGTTTACTGTTTGCTCTGAGCAAAGATACACAATTCTACACCAAGATGATAAATCTCAATCTGAGGGACCAATTATAAAATATTTGAGCCACATTTGTTGTTAAAAATCCATAAAAAACTGGAAGTTATTATACTTGTGTATGTCAAGTCTTTCTACATACATGTATTTCAATAGTTTATAGTATGCTACAAGTTTCTGATGTACTGGATTTACTTTCTTTTTTTGAGACTGAGTCTGGCTCTGTCACCCAGGCTAGAGTGCAGTGGCACGATCTCGGCTCACTGCAAGCTCCGCCTCCCGGGTTCAGGCCATTCTCCTGCCTCAGCCTCCTGAGTAGCTGGGACTACAGGCGCCCGCCACCACGCCTGGCTAATTTTTTGTATTTTAGTAGAGACAGGATTTCACCATGTTAGCCAGGATGGTCTCGATCTCCCGACCTCGTTATCCACCCACCTCAGCCTCCCAAAGTGCTGGGATTACAGGCGTGAGCCACTGTGCCCGGCCGACTGAATTTACTTTCAAGACAAAAGTTTAATGATCATTTAGGTGATAGTTTCTCCTGTTCTGCTAAGTCAGAATTATGAATGCCTGGTAGGGAATCAGTGTTCTTATGTGTAGGGGATTTTTGAGTCCCCAGAGTGACCTGTTTCAGTGACTTAGGCATGTAATTAGGGACATGTGGCTGGAATCATTGCAGTAATTAAAGAAGTCTAGAGGAAGGCCTGTTCATCTCTGCTGTCAACCATAGCAAGGACACAATGAGAAAGATGGAATTCTGGATGCTGCATATGTTGCTTGCTCGCTTATTTGTGTTTTAGTTGTTTCTTGAATCTGTTTGGTAGGGGTGAGATGGTATAGAAGGAAGGTTTTTTATTTAAACTCTGCTAAAGATTCATTCTCTAATATAAACATGCAGATAGTTATACTCCACCAAGAAATTTGAACAGTCTGAGCTGCTTTCATATCCTGTTGAAACTCTTGTTAGGCAATTGAATTTTATGGCACCCATCATGAGAGTTTTTCATTCTGTTTAATTCCAAAAAAATTAGAAATCTAAATATGAAAATGCTGGCCTTTGGTAGTCGAGGAAATCCCAACGATGGAGGAAGAAGATATTTTACAATATTTAACTTACATCTTTCTTCCTGATTGTCAAACTGGATTTCAGTTGGCTTACCAAAAAAAGATTTATTTAGTATAAGGCTGTTAAAAAGCATACATATAAAACTCCAGGCCCTTAAACATAGTTAGAAAGTAACATGATAACCATCAAATCGAATGCAGTAACCATGACTTAGCATCACGTTTAATTCTGACCTTTCCCTGAAAACAAAGCAGAAATGGTAATAGAATCAATTGTGTGTTTTATTATTATTTGATAGAAAAAAAGCATTCTAGTCTTTTAATAAATTTTTTTACATTAACTTCTAAAATTAATTTCATTGAGTTCCTGCCATTTACAGTTCCAGGAATGGCATCATATATTAGTGACCCTTATGATGGAATCAATAGGCAATGAGCTTAAAAAGGATTTAAAAGACTCTTGTATCATTTAAATATGTTAGGTATTTGCATTGAAAGAAACAGAGAGAGCTATCAAAAGGGAATTTAGTATCTTCTTAGAATACCATATATAACAGATGCTTATGTTCACCCACTCCAAGGAGGTAAATTATGCCACCTCTGATGTGATGTACCTATTCCCGAAGTAAAGCGAAAGCTCTGCCTGAGACTATCACTTTCTGCCATGCTTTTCTTCCACAAAAACTAATCACTTTTGAGGCACTTTATTGTCACCAGGGTTTAAAAAAAAAGTCATTTTTTATTGTTGAACACTGATTGAACTCTCAGTTTATTCTAGTATATTATGAGAATCATAAACTCGTGTTTATTATCATGAATATCTTACCTTACAAAAGGGGTAGGGTGAGGACACATACCAGTGAAGTAATAGTTGTTTACTATATGAGCACTTCTCTGCTACCAAAAAAAAATGAGACACGAATGGGTAAAAGGAAAGTTCCATAACCATTTTTTAAATGATGGTTTTAAATGTAGACTCCTCACAAATATTAGATGATACTTATCTGAGTAGACCTGACTACCCTTAATTATGTAATTAATAGACGGCCCTGGCAGTTTTTGTTTATATCTTATGAAGAAGTAAAATAAGAGATGTGAGCTGTCAAGTCTTATATCTTCCCTTACTGGCTATAAGACCCTGGACAAGTTATTTAACCTCACAGTTTTCTCGTCCATGAGATGAGGATAATAATCAGCCCATAAAGTTGCTGTAAATATTAAATTAGATAGTATACATAAATCAGCAGCACATAAAGCATGAGAGGAACTAGAACTGCTGCTGCCTGAGGGAGGTCAACTGGAAAGCATGAAAGAAGACTACAGGCTCCAGTAGGAGCCAAACCAGGACCTTCCAACTTCCAGCAAAGGAGCCTTAACACTACGAGAACAAGAAACTGAATTAGCCCGCAACCTGAAAGAGCTTGGAGACTGATTCCTTCCCAGAGCCTCCAAAAAGAAATGTAGCTTTCCACACCTTGATTTCAGCCTTGTGGGATCCTAAGCAGAGGACCCGGCTGAGCCACACTGTATCCAGATCTCTGACTTAAAGGAGGTGAGAAGATAAGTGGATACTGTTTTTTGTTTGTTTGTTTGTTTGTTTGTTTGTTTGTTGTTGAGACGGAGTTTCGCTCAATCTCGGCTCACTGCAACCCCTGCTTCCTGGGTTCAAGCCATTCTCCCGCCTCAGCCTCCGGAGTAGCTGGGATTACAGGAGCCCGCCACCACACCTGGCTAATTGTTGTATTTTTAGTAGAGATGGGGTTTCACCATGTTGTCCAGGCTGGTCTCTAACTCCCGACGTCAGGTGATCCACCCGCCTGGGCCTCCCAAAGTGCTGGGATCACAGGCGTGAGCCACCGTGCCCAGCCCTAAGTGGATATTGTTTAAAGCCACTAAACGTGTGGTAATTTGTTATGGCAACAAGAAAAGTAATACAAAGTTCTAAGAGAAAATATAGTTGAAGAATTTTACACTGTTGGAATAGGAAAGATATTTTTAATCATGATCCCAGAGTCAGAATCTATAAAGTAAAAGACTGATTTATAAAATTCACAAATATGTAACATTTCTACACAGAAAAGTACAAACACATTTGATATTTAAATGAGAAGATGTAAAAAGTATTTACATTCTACATGATAGGCAAGAGATTTATTTAATAAAGACATTTTATGAATAAAAAAACAAGTTATTAGAAAAATGGACTAAATGTATTAAAAATTTATTAAAGATGAAATCTAAAGAAGGAATTCTTAGAAGTCCCCCTGTTAGTAATGAGAAGTTTGAAATTCAATGAAGATAAACATTTTGATGTATCAGATTAGAAAAATTTTAACAGTTTCTGCTATTCAGTGTTGACATGGGTGTAAGAAAATAGGTACCCTTGCATATTCCCAGTAGAAATGTTCTGCAGGGCAATTAAATGTGTATTTCAAACTTTTAATAAGTATATTTATTGATAAATTGAATTCACTTTTACATTTTCATCGGAAAAAGTAAATATAAGCAAGTATACAAATATATTAATTGCAACACTGTTGACACTAACAAAAATTAGAAAAAGGTGAAATGATTAAATAAATTTTGTATAATAAAAATATTAAAATAAAATTAATTATATCTTTACAATGATATACTGGCAGATATTAAAATGAAGATAGAGATTCATATAATACAGAGAATTTTAAGCACTGAATAGTTATGTTGAACTTGATATTTGTGGGCCTCTCACCCTGCCATATACTAGATGTGCAACCTTAAGTGAGTTACCTATGTCCTGGAATTCAGATACTTTTTCAGCAAACTGCTGATAATACCTACCCAGCTTATTGTAAAACTTAAATGAAATAAATATATAAAATACCTAGTACACATTCTGTTGTATAAATATGCTTAACAAATTGTAGTTACTATTATGTCTGTCTAAAATTATGAGATTTGTGTTATAAAAATGTATACAGTTTTATACTCATGATAAGAAGCAAAAACCACTTTTAACAATAAAACATTTTATAAATAAACTTCAGATCTTAGATATAAGTAAACAAACCATATTACATAGCAGGATAATGATGTTATTAGTAATCATGCATGGACAACTGTGCTCCACTCCAACTGGGCAGCCCGTCCAAAAATAAAATGAAATAGTCAAAATGACATAAAAAGAAATTACTCTGTAATTATGTGTTAAACAACATAGTTGCTCTGAATTTTGGCAAGAGAATAAATTTCAGGCTGAGATTTTTCCTAAAAAGTGCATCTTTTCATGTCACCATCAGACATCTCTCCAGGTTAGAGCAGCCCACGGTTTTGATGCTTGGGCATTTTTACCCATTTATTATGGGAGACATAACTGTATTTTCCATCTCTTCAATTCTCAGTATACTCACTTTATCACTGAAAAAATACTATTTAATTTTGAGAAAACTGTAAGAGAAATTGTTTAAAAAATATATCCTTAGAAATAAAAAGTATCAACATTGGAAGAGAAGCTCTCTGTAAAGGTTGCTAGTTATACAGACAAGGAACCATGATACTGACAGACTTAGTAACTTACCCAAGTTCATGGCAAAGTGGGGTCAAGAACCCAGTTCTCTCATATCTCTGCCAAGTAATCCCCTTATTCGGTCACCTTATCTTCTTATTAGGACGTTTTCTAAGAGAAGGAAGGAGAAATCTCAGAATTACGCAGGATCATATACAAGCTCCACCTAAGCTAGCATTCTTTCTCTAAGAGGCAGGCTTTCCTAAGCTCTTCTTAAAGAAGGTAGGCTGTTCATCCCAATGTCAATCTCAAGGCTTAAATTTCTAAGAAAGTTAAAGGAAAAAATAGCAAAATTTCCTAATTAACTATGGAATTTCTGGAGCCTCCGACAAGGCCGAATTGCCTCCTCAGTCTGACTTGAGGAAAACCCCATGCCAGCTGCTCATGCTTCATTGCCATGAGAGTTCTTGTAAGGCACAAATCTTTCCTGCTTACAAACCATTGTGTGGTGTGCCATGCTGTAGCATCAGGTCCAAGCTCTTTATTATGGGTCTTCTAGATGCCTTCAGTCTCTGCCATATTTTACATTACCTATAATTCCTAGGGGCCCCAGCAACAGGGGGCATGAGTCTTGGTGATTATAATACATCTGTTCATACCTCTTCCTCTGTTTCTCACAGTAGATCTAGGGAGAGGTTAAGATTAGGGCTATCTAGGAGGAAACTTTCTTTCCTCTTGAGAGAGTGTCCAGGATAGGTGAATCTAGATCATGTCTTTCCTGGAGAACCTAAAACCATTAATATAAGGCTTAGAATCAATAGAAGTGAGAATTAGGACTCCTGGAATTTTTTTAAAACTGTGTAATGGCACTTTAAATATCTTTTGTAGATAGACTTCCAGGCAGAGTGGTTTGCTGGTAAATGTTTAATAAGCTCTCTGGGGAAAAAAAGAAAGAAAAGTCTGTGTGTGTCTGTGTGTACATACACAAATACACACAGACACACACATATATATCATATATAGTTCATTATAAATTGTACTGGTATAAGGATGTATATCACACAACTTACAAATAATAAAATGTACCTACAATTTTTATAGGTACACACATAAAGGCAATTGATTCTCCAGAACATTTTCATTGATTTTTGCCAAACTCTTATATCAGTAGCCAAACTTTGGTTGCAAGTGATGAATGAGTATAGTTCTGGCATGAAAGCTGGTTGATCTTTATGAAAAGATTTACATTAATATTTATGATGAAAGTGAGACAAAGATATATGTTGAAGCTTTGCTTATTCAACAGCAACATGTGCAAATCATTTGTCAAATCAGATAATAATTTTCAAGTATTGGCAGAAGGTCACCCGTTCTTTTGCCATTTGCAATGTAATGGCTAAGGACATACATGTTTTTTAATTTAATATGCCCTATTTATCTTTTCTCTATCCTTCTCTTAATTTTACACAATGAATAAAACAATAAGTCAAGTCCTCATTTGTAGCATTTGCTACAAATACTCCTACCATGACTGATTTCAAGCTATCAACGTGGTATCCTTTGATACCATTACCATGATTGAAGTACTCCTACCATGACTGATTTCAAGCTATCAAAGTGGTATCGTTGAAAATGGAGTTGGGAAGAGATATTCAATAGCACATCACTATGTAATATTTCCACCATGTAGATACAATAAATGCAAATAACCTCAAGAGCTCAGCTATCATAAAATGTAGTAAAATAATTAGGAAGTGATGTTTTGAATATTTGTTATCTTGTTTTTAATATAATTAATTTAGCTATAAGTTTATGTAATTTAATATTTACTGACTGTGTTATTAATAAACTTTCTGAATGTTTAACAATCATCTGGTATGGGTTGGCATCAATCAGTTCCAAAATACCACTGGTTCCAGGTATTAATGAGTAACTCATAAAATAAGTTTTCAAATAGGATCCAAGCTCCTTATAACCACTGAGAAATTATACAAATTCTATGGGAAATACATCTATGAATTCATGATGAAACATTAAAGACATTATACGGTAGAAATCTACATTGAAATCATGCTTCATTTTCAAAGCTATAGTTTTACATCTTCACTCTGAGATATGCTACCAATAGACATCGCTGATGACGTATTTTCTTTATGAAACTAAATAAAAGGGTGTTGTATAATAGCTATCGTATTATTCTCACTCTTGATCTCCTTTCTACACCATCCAATTTTCCTATATTATCTACCTTAGTTGATGGTGCCACTCTCCTGATCCAAGTTGGACAAAATGGACCCAAAATGTCCATACTCAAGATGGGCATTTGGAAGGTCCTATCTAACCAACTGTAGGTTTTTCCTTCATTTTCATCTTATCGCACCACCACCATCTCTCTTGTTAGATATCTCTTGAATGCTTCAGGTTTTCTGGCCTCACCCCATACCCTGAGCTTTTGGAAAGACCTCAGCCATCCCTGCTGAACTCCCTGAAGGCACAAGCCTACAGTACTTCTCACTCATACACAGTGCCTCTGCATCTCCTCCTTTCCTGTTTACAGTAAGGCCTCTAGTCTTTTTTCATTGCCTTGAGAGTTCTTCTAAAGCACAAATATTTCCTGCTTACAAACCACTGTGTGGTGTGCCATGCTGCAGGATCAGGTCCAAGCTCTTTGTCATGGCAAACAAGGTCTCTCATGAAGTGGCTTCTGCCCCATCTCCAATTCTACAACTCCTTCTTACACTTCGGCAATAAGAAACTTGAATTTTCCAGGTACTGGCTCTTTTTATTTATACTCTGTTTAAAACTTTGCATTTGTATTTATGCATAACAGATGAAATGTGACAGAATAAGTGAGATGTTAACACCTTTCTTTACTGCTTAACTTAGGGCTGTATGTGTTGCATGTTCTTCACATTCCACCCTCTTCCCCTTTCTGTCAATTCTATTTCTTAAATTTCCCTTCAATCTTCTATTCCCATTCATACTGTCTTAGTCAAAACATATTATCATGTTCTTAGACTGATTTAGCCACTCACAACTGATGTTCTATAGATCTTTTTCCTTCCAATCCATTCTCACATTGCCCCAGATATTTATTTATTTATTTACTTACTTACTTACTTATTTTTGAGACAGAGTCTCACTCTGTTGCCCAGGCTGGAGTGCAGTGGTGCAATTATGGCTCACTGCAACCTCTGCCTCCCAGGTTCAAGCAATTCTCCTGCCTCTGCCTCCCAAGTGATGGGATTATATGTGCCTAGGATTACAGGCTTGCACTACCATGCCCAGCTAATTTTTGTATTTTTAGTAGAGACAGGGATTCACCATGTTGGCCAGGCTGGTCTTGAACTCCTGACCTCAAGTGATCTGCCCGCCTTGGCCTCCCAAAGTGCTGGGATTACATGTGCCCCAGATATTTTTTAAAAGCCATGAATCCCTTCTCAAATCTCTTAAAGTTGTTTAAAAATTTTAGATGGCCAAAAAGCTCTGCTGGCTCCTACTGATTTTATATGTCCTGGCTAAACAACATTTCTTCAAGAAAGCATTTTCTGGTATCGCTGGCTAAATCAATTTCCCATGTTGAATACTTATAGCATCTTATACAATCTAAAAATATAATAAATTAATGTGAAATTATCCTCTTAATGCCTATCATTTTCTCCACTATTTTGTATAAAAGTATGAGTCATATCTGTTTTGTTTACCAAGCAGAAAAAAAATTTTTTTGAATGCATGAGTTAGTTAAACAATCAAGTTGGCATCATTTCAGCTCTCAGGAAAGAAGCTCTACTCTTAAGGTGATTGATAACATAAACAAATAATTATAAAATTAACTGGCCTTACTCTCAGTTTTTCACACATGCACACCAAATGGTACAATAATTTCCACATATATACCATAGCTCTGATGCAGCATATTAGTTCCTATTGCTGCTGTAATAAATTACCATAAACTTAGTGGCTTGAAACAACACAATTTATCTGCTTTCAGTTCCAGAGAGCAGAAATCCAGAATGAGTCTTATGTGGCTTTAATCAAGGTGCCTGCAGAGCTAGATCCTTCTGAAGTCTCTGGGGTTGAATCCATTTCCTTGGCTTTTCCAGCTTCTAGAAGCCACCTGTATTCCTTTGTAACATCTCCTACTATTTACCTTGATATTCCTGCATCCGTCTTATAAAGACCCTTAAAACTACATAGGACCCACCTAGATAATCCAGGATAATATCTCCATGGAAGACCCTTAACTTAATCACATTTGTGAAGCTCCTTTTTCCATGTAAAATAACATAGTCACAGATTCCAGGGATTAGGACGTGAACATCTCTGAGGGATTGTTATTCAGCCTACCACACTCAACTATAAGAAATGTTTAACAATCCGTATAGAGAAAAATCTGCTAAATTTCCTGTCTGATTAAGAGAAAGAAAAATGTTACTTATTCAAAATCAAGTCCCTTCTGCAACAGAGTTTTAAATGACTGCAAAAATGAGTTTGGCTGCTTGAAGAGTTTTTTATTATAAAAATTTACAAATCTCATTAAGCTTTGTTACTGTTTTCTCAATTCTAAATGCACAGCTGTCATGCAAATGACATGCATGAGTTAGAGGATGTAAAAAAAAACCACTTGTGGGAAAACTTACTGATTACTTTTTTGATATTATAATGGAATTTTTTTTACTGAATCTTATATAATGATTAGGTACCATGAATTATTGTCTAGCTAATGGGAAAAAGTGAAATATAAAGGTCAGACTTATTTTTCTAAATCACAAAAGGTACTCTCCTAGACTACCTTGAAATAACTCTTGTTTACCCAAACACACACAAGAACTGCATTTGATCTTCAGATTTAAAATTCAAATTTAGAAAATACTCAGATACTATTTCTCATTTCTCCCTTAATAATGCTATAATTGGTCCTTTGCTAATAAGTCATTTGTTCACTTAATGGCCTCTGTAAAATTAAATTTAGCAGTAAGAGCTACCATCAGTGTGACCATCTTTAACAAGCAAAGCATTCAACTAAAATTATGACAACTTTATATGTGGCAATGATCATTGACCACTGCTCTAAATTTACAATTGATTGTGAATCCTACAAGTTTTGAGTATAAGACTCTTAGTATTGGTCCCTCATCACAGACATGATAGTAAGAAATATAACAGAAAACACTGAAGGGTGTCTACAAAGTCACATAACTGGTTTTATGTATCAGTCAAACATCTGCCTCCTTGTTTTACAGAAACATTTGACACAACCTGAAAGATTACCAGAAAGAGCCATTCTATAACTTTGGCTTATTGCTACATAAACTTAAACTGATTTGTTGTTGTTACAAAAATATTGAATAGTTTTTGTAAACTCATGTTAAGTAATTGAATTCTTTGTGCACATACTAACTGATTACAGAAGAGGTTCATCTAAAATTGTGTTATGTGTCAAGGGAAGCCCCATATATAATTTTTTAAGAACAGTATCAGTAATACCCAAAAGCACTTAATGTATTGATTTCATTATGGACATACAGTCATGCATTGCATAATGACATTTTAGTCAACAATGGACTGCATATACATCAGTGACCCCATCAGATTATAATAGAGCTTAAAAATTCATATTGCTGTGACATTGTACCTATTGTAAAGTCATAGTGCAATCCATTACTCATGCACTTGTGGTAATGCTAATGTAAACAAACCTGTGCTGCCAGTTGTACAAAAGTTTAGCAGATACAATTATGTACAGTACATAATACTTCATAATGATAATAAATAATTAGGTTGCTGGTGTATGTGTTTACTATATCATACATCTGATGGCAGCAGTGGCCCGTCTGGACCAGCTGCTGCAAACATGCTGGCTGCAGCAGGGGAGGCACCGCTGGGGTCGTGCACTCCGTGGAGCCAGCAGGGGCCAGGAATAGGCAGGAGCCCTGACCCCTACCAAGTCAGTAGGGCAGGAGTCCCGTGCGTTCAGGCACAGCTGCAGCCACCCAGCTGGGGCTCCAGATCCCAGCATCCCTGCACACTCAAGGGCCCAGGAAACCCCTTGCTCCAGCACGCTTGAAAGTGCCTGCTCCTGCTACTTGGCCTCTCCCCACTCCCAGCACCTGCTTGGGGGTGGAGCAATGTTGTAACCAAGCCTGGTGCTGTCATGACCTGACCGCATGTGTGATATGCTAGTCCCCTGCCTCCTTGGCCCTCTCCAAATTCGGGGTGCCAACGAGCATGGGAGGGAGGCTGAAGGAGGTCTGAGGGTGGCTCCGCATGGGCCTGCAGGCACCCCTTGGCATGAACAGTCTGGGCACTGTGGATGACATGTTGATGGTGGCAGGAGGCAGACAGGCTCCTGGGCAGAAAAAGACAGGTGAAGCCCCACCTTCAAGCCAGGGACGGCCTGAAGCCTGGGGGCCAGGTTGTCCATTCTGGATGGAGTCTGTGGCCCAGAGTGAGGACTTATGGTGCTTTTTCCAGGCCCACTCATGGCCACCCATGGACCAATCAGCATGCACTTACTCCCTTCTGAGCCCATAAAAACCCAGACCCAGCCAGACTCACACAGACATCAGGACTACCAGCTGCAGGAAGGAGCTACCTACTTCAGGTCTCCTCGATTTGTCAGGATGATCTGCCTGCAGAAAGGAGCTACACACTGTGGGTCTCCTCTCTGCTGAGAACTGGACACTTGTCAGGATGACCTGCCTGCAGGTAGGAGCTATCCACTGCAGGTCTCCTCTCTGCTGAGAGCCAGACACTCGTTGGAATGACCTACAGAAAGGAGGTACCAACTTCAGGTCTCCCAAAAGCTATTCTGTCACTCAATAAAGCTCCTCTCCACCTTGCTTACCCTACAGTTGTCCACATACCTCCTTCTTCCCGGATGCAGGACAATAACTCAAAACCCATTGAATGGAGGGACTGAAAGAGCTGTAACACAAACAGAGCTGAAACTCAACTCCCTGCTCACCACATTGCGGGTGATGAGAAGGAGAGAAGAGCTGTGGCCCTTCTGGGAGCCCAGACCTAGGTGCTCCCCGAGCCAGAGCTGTGATACCCTCTTTGGGGCTCTGCGGTTTCTGACATCTCCAAGCTTCCAGGCATCACCGCATTCCCCTCATCCAGACATCGGTGCCCACAGTGGAAGCCACTTGCAGTGCATCTGTTCCAGCCGCAGGCTTGCACGGAGCAGGCGCCTGTGCTGGTGCCTGGAGCTGCCCGCCTCACCGCAGCAGCCTGGCTGTGCACAGTGGCCAGACCCCACATTTGCTCATCACTACCCTCTCGCTGCTCCGTGCCTGACTCTCCCTCGGCAGGCATGGAATCCGGGCTGATAGTGCAAGCTCAGCACTGCCTGCCAGGCCGAGTGAGCAGAACGAGCCCGGCGGGCTCAAGCAAAACTCAGGCAAAGGTGCCACTGGCCACAGAGGCTTCTGCCTGGAAAGGCAACACCCCAAGGATCCTGAGACATTTCTTATCGTTATTTTAGAGTGTACTTCTACTTATTTAAAAAAAAAATGTAACTGTAAAACAGCCTCAGACAAGTTCTTCAGGAGCTTTTCCAGAAGAAGGCATTGTTATCATAAGAAAGGATAGCTTCACGCTATTATTACCCCGGAAGAACTTCCAGTGGGACAAGATGTAGAAGTGGAAGACAGTGATATTGATGATCCTGACCCTGTGTAGGCTTAAGCGCTAATGTGTGTGTCTATGTCTGAGTTTTTAACAAAGAAATTTAAAAAGTAAAAAAATAAAATAAATAAAAATAGAAAAAAGCTTATAGGAAAGGCTATAAAGAAAATATTTTTGTACAGCTGTACAATGTATTTGTGTTTTAAGGTAATTGTTATTACCAAAGAGTCAAAAGGTTTTTAAAAACTAGTTTATTGGCCAGGCATGGTGGCTCATGCCTGTAATTCCGCACTTTGGGAGGACAAGGTGGGCAGATCACTTAGGCTCACAAGTTCAAGACCAGCCTGGGCAACATGGTGAAACCCTGTCTCTACAAAAAAATACAAAAATTACCAGGTGTGCTGGCGTGCAGCTATAGTCCCAGCTACTCAGGAGGCTGAGGAAAGATGGCTTGAACCCAGGAGGCAGAGGTTGCAGTGAGCCAAGACCATGCCACTGCACTTCAGCCTCGGAAATAGAGCCAGACCTTGTCTCAAAATAAATAAATATAGTTCAGTAAAAATGTTACAGACACCTAAGATTAATATATTATTGAAGAAAAACATTTTTTCACAGATTTACTGCAGCCTAAGTGTACAGTGTTTATAAAGTCTATAATAATGTACAGTCATGTCCTAGGCCTTCACATTCACTCACTGCTCACTCACTGATTCATCCAGAGCAACTTCCAATCCTGCAGCTTCCACTCATGGTAAGTGCCCTATATGGGGGTACCATTTTTTATTTTTACTGTGCTTTTTATATGTTTAGGTACACAAATACTTCCCATTGTGTTATAATTGCCCACAGTGTTCAGTACAGTGACATGCTATATAGCTTTATAGCCTAGGAGCAATAGGCTAACTATACCATTTAGCCTAAGTGTATAGTAGGCTGTATTAGTCTGTTCTCATGCTGCTAATAAAAACATACCTGAGACTGGGTAATTTATAAAGGAAAGAGGTTTAATGGACTCACAGTTCCACATGGCTGGGGAGGCCTCATAATCATCGATGAAGGCAAATGAGGAGCAAAGTCACATCTTACATGGTGGCAGGCAAGAGAGCTTGTGTAGGGGAACTCCCCTTTATAAAACCATCAGATCTCATGAGACTTATTCACTATCATGAGAACAGCACAGGAAAGACCCTCCTCCATGATTCAATTACATCCCACTGGGTCCCTCCCTTGACACGTGGGAATTATGGGAGCTACAATTCAACATGAGATTTGGGTGGGGACACAGCCAAACCGTATCACAGGCTATACCATCTATGTTTGTGTAAGTACCTTCTGTGATGTTCAAACAATGATGAAATCGCCTAAAGATGCATTTTTCAGAACATATCCCCATTGTTTGTGATGCACGATTGAATTAACTAATTTCTGGTGAAATCAGGTGGCTCATTTTATTCACTATGTGATGCATAAATAATTTAAATGTCTAGATATGTAATAGGTATGTTAACTTGTTAAATAGAAAATATAGGTTGTCTTATCATGTTTGGTGCTGGGGCTTGAGATACAAGGATAAATTGCTAAATTACAGAAGTTCTGATATCTCTTTCTATTCTTAATCTAATACACTCTCCTTATGTTTGTAACATAACACAAACAATCAGATATGCAAGTGTTATTATAATAGGGTGACGTGAAATATGATAAAATTTTCTAGTCACTACATTACTACTCAATTTACCCCCTGTAGTTAATTTAGCTAGGTTTGATGTGTATAGTAGGCCTATCTTTTTTAGGAAAAACATCAAGATTCCTTAGGTGTTCTTTCCTGTTTTATGTTTGAGACTGCCAATCACCATCCTCACTCCGTAGCCACACGGCTCACAAACAACCCAAACCAGTATACCAAGTCCTTCCTGGAATCAAGGAAAGAGAGTCAGTTTTTCTCTGATGGTGAAGCTGAAAAAATAAAGCCAAGTGTCTTTTGTTAGCTTCAATTTCTTCCTCACAAAAAGAACTGGCATGGAAGAATTGATACTACTCACAATGAAAAGCAGTAATAATAATAAATGCAGAATAAAGCTTATGGCAGCATTAGTACTGTGGGTTGCAGTCATTCCAAAAATCTGTCTCTATTCCTGTGCATCTGCTGGCTTGGATATGGAGCCAACAAATTCCATTCTTTGCTTAAACTAGTACCAGTGCAGGAATTCACAAAAGGAATGGGATGAAAGAAAAGCAGATAATTGGGTTTTCACAGAAGAGATGACTTTATGATGATTTGAAAGACTGGCAAGATTTTGATAGTGGAGATGGGAAGTGGTGGCAGATAAGAAACAGCATCTCTAGATAAAATAGAAATTAATAATACGTAGTGGAGATGGGTATCCCCACTCCAGTCCCACAAAAGAGCTGGTGCTGAGAACTTTCCTTCCACAAGACCATATCCAGTCTGCATCTCTTAGTCCTTACTTTCTATTTTGCAGTGTGGGTTGGTCATTGGAAAAAGGAAGATAGCATGGGGAGTGTGGATAGAGCAAATGCATCCCCTCTATTAGATAATTCATGGACAACATAAAAGCTTCACCTGAGAGCCAAGGCAACACACTTCAATGGGTAAGTCAGCTGAAGGGACTGCTCAGCAGTTGCAGCATGCAGTGTTCACTAATATGAAATCAGACAGACATTTGTTTGCTCCCCTGGTGCTGGTAACCTATAATATTCGGCAGTTTCTCCAATCAGGAACCACTCCCCTAAAGTCACATGCCTTATACCAGATACCATTGAGCTCTCCAGCATCATAGCCCATTTCCTCTGAACCCTGCTTCCAGCAGAAGTGACTTTGACCTTGCCCCTATTCTCTCTTAAAGCTCATGCAATGACATGAATTCAGGGCCCTGCTTCCACCAGGGCCTCCTTTGGTTCTTAAGAATCTTTCTTCTCTTAACAGAACCCATGTCTTGCTAATCACAGTTTCCTTTTCAAATGTGTTGTTTCTGGAGTGGGCTTGAAAAGCCTAAAAAACAACCTGAACATTGTTTCTGATTCTCAGATCAATTCTGATGCCTCTGGATGTCTTAAACAGCTATTTACAAATGTGAAAATATGTATTGAGCGCTTACTATATGTCAAGCACTGTTTTAATGTCAAAAAGAAAAGAGCAAAGCCTAATCATTCTAAGCATTGTCTCATAACATTCTTCACCCTGGTCAATTTTGTGTCTCTGTCAAGATCATTTCATCTTATCTTTGCTTTACATCCCAAGGCCTAACAAACTCTGGATCTTGTGCTTCCTCCTTTCTCCTATCTAACCCTAAACTACTAGGGGGCTGCTTGCCTTCATGTATTTACTGGCACTACCAGCAAGAGAGTAAAGCATCTTCCTTGTGACCCCCTGCACCTTGGTAATGGAGTTATTATGTGCTTGCTTTGTGCTGCCTTCACTTCTTTGCTGCCTGTGGCCACTAGTATACTTATCCGGTTTGTTGTCTGGTGCTGGCGGCCTATTCTTGACTTTCTAGTGTGATACTCAATTGCACAGCATCCTGGGATGGGTCACACAATTGAGGCAGTGCCACTTCCTTCCTTTCAGTCTAGCTATTGGTCACCAGGTATGCCATAAAGAGTGATTTTTTTTTTTTTCATTCTCTTAGTCTGCTGGGATGACAATATGCCCTGCCTCTTCTACTTCCATGGCTCACTCTGGACTCCAGGGAAAACTTATCTATCCTTGCTCTACCTGTTGGTGTGGACTCAGGCTATTTCTAGGCACATTCTCCAAACTGTGCCATGCTACAGTTCTGAAAGGATCAATGAGGAAGGCCTACACAGTGAGCACCTGCCTTTGCAAGACCCCTAGTCTAAGAAGAGAGATTATCTTCGTGCATTTCTTTGGAACAGAAAGAGTTGAAAGTTGCCCCTCATATTCACGGAGGGAAAGGATATTGTGCTAACACTATTCTTCTGAAATCTCTGCTCTCTGGAAAGAATACTTTCTTTTTTTATTATTATTATTATTATACTTTAAGTTTTAGGGTACATGTGCACAATGTGCAGGTTAGTTACATATGTATACATGTGCCATGCTGGTGTGCTGCACCCATTAACTCGTCATTTAGCATTAGGTATATCTCCTAATGCTATCCCTCCCCCTTCCCCCCACCCCACAACAGTCCCCATAGTGTGATGTTCCCCTTCCTGTGTCCATGTGTTCTCATTTTTCAATTCCCACCTATGAGTGAGAACATGCGGTGTTTGGTTTTTTGTTCTTGCGATAGTTTACTGAGAATGATGATTTCCTGTCCTTTGTAGGGACGTGGATGAAATTGGAAATCATCATTCTCAAGAATACTTTCTTTAAAACAACTTTACATTGATTTTCCAATATGGGGAAAAGATGGTAGAAACAAACTTGCTGATTTTTCTTATTCACTCTGTTTTATCTCATGGCTCAAAAGAGGTCACTGAATCCAGCCATCAGTTTTCTCAGTTCTTTGTGCTTAGCAATTTGAGATGGAGGATGGTCAAGAGGAACTCAACCCAAACATAACAATTTGACAGAAGCAATTAGTTTACATGCTGATTCATTTTATACCTTAATTTTTTTATTTTTAGACTATTTGATAGTAAACTACGATGTCAACGCATACAAAGTTTGCAAACTTTGCAAAACCCCAAGGATTAGTTCTCAGACTTCTTTCTTCTATTCGCACACCCAAGGTGATCTTGTCCAGAATCAGGCTTTAAATCCCAACTCGATGGTGGTGACTCCTGAAGACCCAGACTCCTCAGTAAAATCTAGACTCATATATTTAATAGCCTATTTAGTATCTTTCACTTTTCAATTAATTCAGCAAATATTTATTGACACCTACTATTTGCAAGTCACTATTTCCATAGTCCTAGCAAAAAACTGATTGTTTCATAGTCATGGTAAAAAGTAACTACCAGAACTAGAATTTATTTTGTTCCATCAAATACTACTCACGTCAATGAACATGCTTCCAAAAGCCAGCCCATCAGTGGCATCCCTCTTCTTTATAAAGCCAGCCAATCAACCACAGCCTCATTTCAGCAAACATGCCTCTGAAATTCAGCCCCTCAAAAATATCCCCACCCCAGTGACCAAGCATCTCCAGCTGAGTTAACCCATTCCTGCCAGTGAATCTTCATCAATACCTGAACGCCATGCCTCCCAACAGCCCTATGTAAGATCAACACTCTTCTTTGTTTGGAGATAGTGTGCCTAACAAACATAGCTCTTTTTTTTAAGTGATAAATTCAGATTTTTGATTCCAAATTAAATGCTGATCTTATACTTCAAGAGTTGAATAAATGATTGGATGATGACACAATTTGAGTCAGATATAGAAAGCCACCATAGAACAAACCTAACTACTATAAAGATAAGAGAGCATACTGCTAGCTAGGTTTCTCCTGATACTTAGAACAAGCCACAAAAGGAGAGTGTGAATCTCAGAACGCATAATGACAAAACCAAGTTTATTGTAAAAGATGAATGTTTCCTAGGTAGCTGCATCTAGTGCACGCTGCTAGAGCTACCACAACAAAAGACCACAGACTGCGTAGCTTAGACAACAGAAATTTATTTTCTCACAGTTCTGGAGGTCAGGGTCCAACATCATGCATGTGCAGGTTTGGTTCCTTCTGAGGCCTCGCTACCGGATTTGCAGATGGCTGCTTTCTTTTTCTTTTTTTTTTTGAGGCGGAGTCTCACTCTGTCGCCCAGGCTGGAGTGCAGTGGCGCAATCTCTGCACTCCAGGTTCAAGCAATTCTCACTGCAACCTCTGCCTCCTAGGTTCAAGCAATTCTGCCTCAGCCTCCCAAGTAGCTAGGACTACAGGCACACGCTGCCATGCCCAGCTAATTTTTTGTATTTTAGTAGAGACAGGGTTTCACTGTGTTGCCCAGGCCAATCTTGAGCTCCTGAGCTCAGGCAATCTGCCCACCTCATCATCCCAAAGTGCTGGGATTACAGGCGTGAGCCACCTTGCCCAGCCAATGGGTGCTTTTTTACTGTGTCTTTACGTGGTCATCTCTCTGTATACACATTCTTCTAATGGCTCTCTATATGTCCAAATTTCTTCTTTTTATAAGGACACGAGTCATATTGGATAGGGCCCACCCTAAGGATCTCATTTTAACCTAACTAACCCCTTTAAAGACCTTACCTACAAATACAGTTACATTCTAAAAAACTGGGGATGAGGACTTGAACATATGAATTTTGGGCAAACACAATTCAGCCCATAACACTGCGATCCATGGCCCAGACCCCCCATTAAGACTAAAAGAAATTATTCTGGAGAAGCCAAGATGGCCGAATAGGAACAGCTCCGGTCTACAGCTCCCAGCCTGAGCGACGCAGAAGACGGGTGATTTCTGCATTTCCATCTGCGGTACAGGGTTCATCTCACTAGGGAGTGCCAGACAGTGGGCGTAGGTCAGTGGGTGCGCGCACCATGCGCGAGCCGGAGCAGGGCCAGGCATTGCCTCACTCGGGAAGTGCAACGGGTCAGGGAGTTCCCTTTCCTAATCAAAGAAAGGGGTGACGGACAGCACCTGGAGAATCGGGTCACTCCCACCCAAATACGGCACTTTTCCGACGGGCTTAAAAAACGGCGCACCACGAGATTATATCCCGCACCTGGCTCAGAGGGTCCTACGCCCACGGAGTCTCACTGATTGCTAGCACGGCAGTCTGAGATCAAACTGCAAGGCAGCAGCGAGGCTGGGGGAGGGGCGCCCGCCATTGCCCAGGCTTGCTTAGGTAAACAAAGCAGCAGGGAAGCTCAAACTGGGTGGAGCCCACCACAGCTCAAGGAGGCCTGCCTGCCTCTGTAGGCTCCACCTCTGGGGGCAGGGCACAGACAAACAAAAAGACAGCAGTAACCTCTGCAGACTTAAATGTCCCTGTCTGACAGCTTTGAAGAGAGCAGTGGTTCTCCCAGTACACAGCTGGAGATCTGAGAACAGGCAGACTGCCCCCTCAAGTGGGTCCCTGACCCCTGACCCCCGAGCAGCCTAACTGGGAGGCACCCTCCAGCAGGGGCACACTGACACCTCACACTGCAGGGTACTCCAACAGACCTGCAGCTGAGGGTCCTGTCTGTTAGAAGGAAAACTAACAAACAGAAAGGGCATCCACACCAAAAATCCATCTGTACATCACCATCATCAAAGATCAAAAGTAGATAAAACCACAAAGATGGGGAAAAAACAGAACAGAAAAACTGGAAACTCTAAAAATCAGAGCGCCTCTCCTCCTCCAAAGGAATGCAGCTCCTCACCAGCAACGGAACAAAGCTGGATGGAGAATGACTTTGACGAGCTGAGAGAAGAAGGCTTCAGATGATCAAATTACTCTGAGCTACGGGAGGACATTCAAACCAAAGGCAAAGAAGTTGAAAACTTTGAAAAAAATTTAGAAGGATGTATAACTAGAATAACCAATGCAGAGAAGTGCTTAAAGGAGCTGATGGAGCTGAAAGCCAAGGCTCGAGAACTACATGAAGAATGCAGAAGCCTCAGGAGCCGATGCAATCAACTGGAAGAACGGGTATCAGCGATGGAAGATGAAATGAATGAAATGAAGCGAGAAGGGAAGTTTAGAGAAAAAAGAATAAAAAGAAACGAGCAAAGCCTCCAAGAAATATGGGACTATGTGAAAAAACCAAATCTACGTCTGATTGGTGTACCTGAAAGTGATGGGGAGAATGGAACGAAGTTGGAAAACACTCTGCAGGATATTATCCAGGAGAATTTCCCCAATCTAGCAAGGCAGGCCAACGTTCAGATTCAGGAAATACAGAGAATGCCACAAAGATACTCCTCGAGAAGAGCAACTCCAAGACACATAATTGTCAGATTCACCAAAGTTGAAATGCAGGAAAAAATGTTAAGGGCAGCCAGAGAGAAAGGTCAGGTTACCCACAAAGGGAAGCCCATCGGACTAACAATGGATCTCTCGGCAGAAACCCTACAAGCCAGAAGAGAGTGGGGGCCGATATTCAACATTCTTAAAGAAAAGAATTTTCAACCCAGAACTTCATATCCAGCCAAACTAAGCTTCATAAGTGAAGGAGAAATAAAATACTTTACAGACAAGCAAATGCTGAGCGATTTTGTCACCACCAGGCCTGCCCTAAAAGAGCTCCTGAAGGAAGTGCTAAACATGGAAAGGAACAACCGGTACCAGCCACTGCAAAATCATGCCGAAATGTAAAGACCATCGAGACTAGGAAGAAACTGCATCAACTAACGAGCAAAATCACCAGCTAACATCATAATGACAGGATAAAATTCACACATAACACTATTAACTTTAAATGTAAATGGACTAAATGCTCCAATTAAAAGACACAGACTGGCAAATTGGATAAAGAGTCAAGACCCATCAGTGTGCTGTATTCAGGAAACCCATCTCACATGCAGAGACACACATAGGCTCGAAATAAAAGGATGGAGGAAGATCTACCAAGCAAATGGAAAACAAAAAAAGGCAGGGGTTGCAAGCCTAGTCTCTGACAAAACAGACTTTAAACCAACAAAGATCAAAAGAGACAAAGAAGGCCATTACATAATGGTAAAGGGATCAATTCAACAAGAAGAGCTAACTATCCTAAATATATATGCACCCAATACAGGAGCACCCAGATTCATAAAGCAAGTCCTGAGTGACCTACAAAGACACTTAGACTCCCACACAATAATAATGGGAGAATTTAACACCCCACTGTCAACATTAGACAGATCAACGAGACAGAAAGTCCACAAGGATACCCAGGAATTGAACTCAGCTCTGCACCAAGCGGACCTAACAGACATCTACAGAACTCTCCACCCCAAATCAACAGAATATACATTTTTTTCAGCACCACACCACACCTATTCCAAAATTGACCACATACTTGGAAGTAAAGCTCTCCTCAGCAAATGTGAAAGAACAGAAATTATAACAAACTGTCTCTCAGACCACAGTGCAATCAAACTAGAACTCAGGATTAAGAAACTCAGTCAAAACCGCTCAACTACATGGAAACTGAACAACCTGCTCCTGAATGACTACTGGGTACATTACAAAATGAAGGCAGAAATAAAGATGTTCTTTGAAACCAATGAGAACAAAGACACAACATACCAGAATCTCTGGGACACATTCAAAGCAGTGTGTAGAGGGAAATTTATAGCACTAAATGCCCACCAGAGAAAGCAGGAAAGATCCAAAATTGACACCCTAACATCACAATTAAAAGAACTAGAAAAGCAAGAGCAAACACATTCAAAAGCTAGCAGAAGGCAAGAAATAACTAAAATCAGAGCAGAACTGAAGGAAATAGAGACACAAAAACCCTTCAAAAAATTAATGAATCCAGGAGCTGGTTTTTTGAAAGGATCAACAAAATAGATAGACTGCTAGCAAGACTAATAAAGAAAAAAAGAGAGAAGAATCAAATAGACGCAATAAAAAATGATAAAGGGGATATCACCACCGATCCCACAGAAATACAAACTACCATCAGAGAATACTACAAACACCTCTATGCAAATAAACTAGAAAATCTAGAAGAAATGGATAAATTCCTTGATACATACACCCACCCAAGACTAAATCAGGAAGAAGTTGAATCTCTGAATAGACCAATAACAGGATCTGAAATTGTGGCAATAATCAATAGCTTACCAACCAAAAAAAGTCCAGGACCAGATGGATTCACAGCCGAATTCTACCAGAGGTACAAGGAGGAGCTGGTACCATTCCCTCTGAAATTATTCCAATCAATAGAAAAAGAGGGAATCCTCCCTAACTCATTTTATGAGGCCGGCATCATCCTGATACCAAAGCCTGGCATAGACACAACCAAAAAAGAGAATTTTAGACCAATATCCTTGATGAACATTGATGCAAAATTCCTCAATAAAATACTGGCAAACCAAATCCAGCAGCACATCAAAAAGCTTATCCACCATGATCAAATGGGCTTCATCCCTGGGATGCAAGGCTGGTTCAATATACGCAAATCAATAAATGTAATCCAGCATATAAACAGAGCCAAAGACAAAAACCACATGATTATCTCAATAGATGCAGAAAAGGCCTTTGACAAAATTCAACAACCCTTCATGCTAAAAACTCTCAATAAATTAGGTATTGATGGGACATATTTCAAAATAATAAGAGCTATCTATGACAAACCCACAGCCAATATCATGCTGAATGGGCAAAAACTGGAAGCATTCCCTTTAAAAACTGGCACAAGACAGGGATGCCCTCTCTCACCACTCCTATTCAACATAGTGTTGGAAGTTCTGGCCAGGGCAATTAGGCAGGAGAAGGAAATAAAGGGTATTCAATTAGGAAAAGAGGAAGTCAAATTGTCCCTGTTTGCAGATGACATGATTGTGTATCTAGAAAACCCCATTGTCTCAGCCCAAAATCTCCTTAAGCTGATAAGCAACTTCAGCAAAGTCTCAGGATACAAAATCAATGTGCAAAAATCACAAGCATTCCTATACACCAACAACAAACAGAGAGCCAAATCATGAGTGAACTCCCATTCACAATTGCTTCAAAGAGAATAAAATACCTAGGAATCCAACTTACAAGGGATGTGAAGGACCTCTTCAAGGAGAACTACAAACCACTGCTCAAGGAAATAAAAGAGGATACAAACAAATGGAAGAACATTCCATGCTCATGGGTAGAAAGAATCAATATTGTGAAAATGGCCATACTGCCCAAGGTAATTTATAGATTCAATGCCATCCCCATCAAGCTACCAATGCCTTTCTTCACAGAATTGGAAAAAACTACTTTAAAGTTCATATGGAACCAGAAAAGAGCCCGCATCGCCAAGTCAATCCTAAGCCAAAAGAACAAAGCTGGAGGCATCACACTACCTGACTTCAAACTATTCTACAAGGCTACAGTAACCAAAACAGCATGGCACTGGTACCAAAACAGAGATATAGATCAATGGAACAGAACAGAGCCCTCAGAAAAAACGCCGCATATCTACAACTATCTGATCTTTGACAAACCTGAAAAAAACAAGCAATGGGGAAAGGATTCCCTATTTAATAAATGGTGCTGGGAAAACTGGCTAGCCATATGTAGAAAGCTGAAACTGGATCCCTTCCTTACACCTTATACAAAAATCAATTCAAGATGGATGAAAGACTTAAACGTTAGACCTAAAACCATAAAAACCCTAGAAGAAAACCTAGGCATTACCATTCAGGACATAGGCACGGGCAAGGACTTCATGTCTAAAACACCAAAAGCAATGGCAACAAAAGACAAAATTGACTAATGGGATCTAATTAAACTAAAGAGCTTCTGCACAGCAAAAGAAACCACCATCAGAGTGAACAGGCAACCTACAGAATGGGGGAAAATTTTTGCAACCTACTCATTGGACAAAGGGCTAATATCCAGAATCTACAATGAACTCAAACAAATTTACAAGAAAAAAACAAACAACCCCATCAAAAAGTGGGCAAAGGACATGAACTGACACCTCTCAAAAGAAGACATTTATGCAGCCAAAAAACACATGAAAAAATGCTCACCATCACTGGCCATCAGAGAAATGCAAATCAAAACCACAATGAGATACCATGTCACACCAGTTAGAATGGCAATCATTAAAAAGTCAGGAAACAACAGGTGCTGGAGAGGATGTGGAGAAATAGGAACACTTTTACACTGTTGGTGGGACTGTAAACTAGTTCAACCATTGTGGAAGTCAGTGTGGCCATTCCTCAGCGATCTAGAACTAGAAATACCATTTGACCCAGCCATCCCATTACTGGGTATATACCCAAAGGACTATAAATCATGCTGCTATAAAGACACATGCACATGTATGTTTATTGCGGCATTATTCACAATAGCAAAGACTTGGAACCAACCCAAATGTCCAACAATGATAGACTGGATTAAGAAAATGTGGCACATATACACCATGGAATACTATGCAGCCATAAGAAATGATGAGTTCATGTCCTCTGTAGGGACATGGATGAAATTGGAAATCATCATTCTCAGTAAACTATCGCAAGAACAAAAAACCAAACTCCACATATTCTCACTCATAGGTGGGAATTGAACAATGAGATCACATGGACACAGGAAGGGGAACATCACACTCTGGGGACTGTTGTGGGGTGGGGGGAGGGGGGAGGGATAGCATTGGGAGATATACCTAATGCTAGATGACGAGTTAGTGGGTGCAGCACACCAGCATGGCACATGTATACGTATGTAACTAACCTGCACAATGTGCACATGTACCCTAAAACTTAAAGTATAATAAATAAATAAATAAATAAATAAAAAATAAAAAAATAAAAAGAAAAAGAAATTATTCTCCCAAGTGCTAGAAGTGCTGCCAGGACACAGCCTTCAGCTATCAGCCCTTTTTACGAAGTGCCCTGCCCAAAATGTCTCCTTCCCCAAGGTCATGTCCTCTTCTCAGGGTAGTTCATATCCAAAAACTGATCAACACAGCGCTGCAAAGGCCCACCCCCTCGCCTTAACCTAGGAGGAATCTGAAAGCCCATCCTATGATGTCGGCTGAGGCTCCTGTTGCAACTACATCACGTATCAATCTCTCCCTCTGCCTATTCCTACTTCCTTCCCTTCCATTGTTTGGATTTCAAGAGTACTCCCTAATGCATTTCCTACACGCTAATCTCCATCTCTGAGTCTGCCTCCTAAGGGATCCATCTTATGACTCTTCTGAAATAGAATCCTGATTACACTGGAAAAATAAGTAGAGGCAAATCTAATTAGTTAATGTATATGAGATCACAGAAAACGGTATTCTATGAAAGGTTATTAAAATGGGGTGGAGTATTTGGGTTTCCTTTAAATACTATTTTGCATGAATTGTTTATCGCAAGTGAGAGATTTGAGTTCTTTATGGAATGTTTTCATAAAGTCATTACATTTAGATATTCTTAAAGGATGATATTTATTTAAGCTGTCACTGAAGTATGGAGTTTTTAGCTTTTGATAAATTTTCCCCTGGGTATAAGGGAGAGAAGCATATGGTGCTTAAGAGAACATGAGTTAAACAAAGAATCTGCTCAGGGATGCAAAAATTCTGGTCTGGACAACTTTGCTTCTCCAGAGGAGCAGATGTGAATGGATTTTCTCACCTTGGTTGCTGGTAGATGCCTGTAATGTGAATGGTACACAACATGCTTGTCATTCTGTTGCATACTTATTAAGACTGAATTTCTAAGCACTAATACCAACAGTTTTCTCTCCAGGCCAAAATAAAGACCCAGTACTGCCAAATATGTAGAATAAGGGAACTGAAGAGTAACCAACTCCCAGGGCAGGTGGCACATCAGAAACCCCTTCTCACTAGAACACAACTGAGCCTCTAAGTGAACACAAGCATATTTCTCCCTTTGCTTACAGGGTACTCCAAAAGACGCCAACTCCATCCCACCCCTCAGATTATAAGCATCTACTATATTTATGTAACCATAATATTGTGATACTTTGCCTCCATAGTTTTTGTTATTGTTAATTAATCGAGACCATAGTCTGACTTCCAATATCACAATGAGGAAAGTAA
This sequence comes from Homo sapiens, assembly GCF_000001405.40. NCBI lineage: Eukaryota > Metazoa > Chordata > Mammalia > Primates > Hominidae > Homo > Homo sapiens. The sequence continues at coordinate 159,708,273 of NC_000004.12, read as the reverse complement.
TATAATCAGGTAGTTTGTCATGAGAAATGCTCATGCTATTAACAAATCCCTCTAAACCCACTGCCATCAAAACTCACCCAAACAAACATACGCCAACAAACCCAGACAAATATACCACTCACGCACAAATAAGTTAGCAAAAAAAAAGAAGCATATACCTTAGGGTTGAACATAGATCAGCATCAAGCAGTCATGTGCAAACTTTTCAATGAACTAGCTGAAAGATTCACTTGACTTCATATTACATATTTGAATGAATGTGGTCAGGTACTTTCTTCTTGGAGTTGGCCATGATTATTAAAAGATGGACTCATAGAGGAGGAGGAAAATCTTTCCAATATATATGATTTATGAGTAAACCTTGACTAGTGTCATTAGCAACTCTTTCATTCAGGTCTCCAGAAATAATCAATCAAAATATCAGGCACAGAGACGATACAAAGTAGAGAAGGCCATCACACTGAAGTCAAATATCTAGAATCTATGCACTATGTAATTGCTTCTCAAACCATCTTGTGGTGAATAACCAGTTTTGTTTTTTTATTTCCAATTCATTTTTATATTGATTGATATTGTTGGTCTATATCACGTTCATAAAAATGGGTCTACAAGAATAGTAGGGTGTTTTGACAATATCAAATTGCTATAAAATGTTTCTATTCACTGGTTCTTATAAGTCTCTCTACTTATATTTCTGCAGACTGTAACAAGCCATTTGTGGAGATGCAAATGTGGGTCCACAGGTTATACTTTGAATAGCACATTTCTACGTAATCTGTGCGCCACTAAAAGGAAGACACAAGCCTCCCAGCCTACCATCATTAACTCCTTGTGGAACAAAATGAAAAAAACATAGAAACAAATTTTGTGTGTTCAAATGCTTAAAACCTATCTCCCTAACATTACCAAAGATTAACTTGGCAATGCATACTTACCTCTTACTAATTTTTTAACAATATGTCTTAAGTGGACAGGAACATAAATCTTTAACAATAAAAAAATTATTTTCTAAAATCCATGTATTTTGAAATTCTGAAAGCACTTTGATAGATCAGTGTTTGTTCCGTAAATATTTGGGACATATTATGTGTTCTAGTTTCTGCCTTAGACATTGGACCTGCTTAGCCTGATGTAAAGAAGTTCCCTATTTAGAATTCCATCTAGCAAAATATCAGATGAGGGATATTAGTCACTAGAAGAAAAGCCCCCAGATCTCTAGTGGGTCTGTGAGGATAGTTCCCATAGTGACCCCAGGTCTCTAGTGGGTCTGTGAGGATAGTTCCCATAGTGACACTATCAGTGTGAAGTAGGCCAATTTAAACTGGGTTGCTGCACTGCACATGATCAGTTCCCACTGGCTGCTGTGAGCAAAGGCTTTACTGCTGTTCCTGCAGGAGTGTGCATCAATCATCAGGTTAAGCCTGCAGGCAGGGTTCTGCCTTTGGTACAGGCCATGCATAGGCTTAGACAAGCAACTTGATATTTCACAATGTCACATATCAATGCACTTGAATTAGTGAAGTATTTTTGTAGTATAAATCATTTTTCTGATTAAAGAAAGAAAATATTTTTTTCTGGCTTACTAGTTTGATTAAAATTAACAAGTAGCTTTTTCAAATAGCTTGTCGGTTGACTAGTCAATACCTAGTCTCATGCATTTCATAAGGATCAGTTATGACCCTGAAACATTTTTGGAAGACCAGTCATAATTCTAAATCTTTCTTCAACAACTGAATAAGATATATTATAGCCAATCAATCTGTTTCCATGGCATAATCTGTAGGCTGACTGTTCTTACGGAGAGTAAAAATATATTGACATGACAGCCAAAAGTCTAACTCCATACAAAAGAGGTTTCAATGGGTAATCTTAGAGAGAACACATGATTAATAAGGTTATTAAAGGAGAGCCATGTGTACAATATTTGCTCACCTAAAATTATAGTTTTCAAAATTGAGGCCTCAAAATGAACCACATGGATGGTTTAAAATTTTCTTTGACAATTTTTAAATGTTTTTGAAAATAACATAAAATTGCAATAAAATAAGAGCACCCAATTTACTACATACAAAAGAAAACAATGACTAAATACCAAAATCATAAAGCAAACTTAAGTAGCCTAATGTAAAGGCACATCCACAGTTTAGAATATTATAGAAATAAAAATATAAATATATAGACATATAATGTCTGGTGTGTTGAAAATACCATGAGAAGATTTTTGGTATAATGTTATGATAAAAAAATATGATTAAAAAAATCTATCTGTAGGATAGATTTTCTTTTAAAAGGCATATACTAACTTGTGAACAGCCAATCATATTCTCTGGAGATAGAAATATTAATAGGTCAACATTATTTTCTTTTTTTTCTCTCTGATATTCAACCCTGAGGATAGTACTTTGATAACTGGGGAGGGGACCAGGAGAGGAAGAGTGAACTTTGTTCAAAAGAATAAAAGCAGAAATGATAAATAGGTTTTTAAAAAGCTTAAAAGAGAATGGTTATTTTTAATTAAGAAATAAAAACTAAATGGATTATAATTTAAGAAAAAAACAAATTAAATGGCAGTGTCATGTTTTAACAATGTCAAGCAAAGGAATCCAAGTGCCAGCCTTTTGAAGCAAAGTTTCAGTAGCTGTCACCTCTCCCCTATATTGTTCCCCTAGGTTGTAAAAGACTGCCAAGAAGTTTTCCTTTGAATGTCTTTCAATAAAAAAGGACTGTTAATCATCTGGACTTCTAAATCTCTTATACTAATCAGCATGTGTGCTTTAGCAGCCTTCAAATTGAATTAGTTGGATTTCCCAGGAGAGGGTCTAAAGAACAAAAAAATCCCTCTTCCCTTAGATCTCCCTCATCTGAAAAAAAAAAAAAAAAAAGAGTCCTCATATTGCTTTTTATTTTCATAGTTTACCTAAAGACAGAAGCATTAATAAATTTACATTTAAACTTACCCCTCTCATTTAGGGTTAAGCCTGCCCCATTATTCTCCACTTTAGAGCATATTCCTAAATGGAACTTTTCAATTCAGGTCCTCAAAGAATGCTTAATGTGTTTTTAATGATATTTCCTTAGTCTCGGGAAACCTTGTTTCTAATATTTAGATTAACTGTCATAAAACCAATTTATATAAATTCAATATATATTTAAATCGAAAGAGACTGAAACATAACAGTAAAACAGGTCTTATATTAATGTTCTGATACTGGCGTAAGTCCTACTTCGGCTAATGTTTGATGTATCAATGATAATAAAATCTATATTAGCAAACACAATCCACATGTACCAGATGTTCTATTGAAGGTTATCTTAGTCCTCTGCCAGAATCCTTTAGGATATTCAGTATCAATTACTATGGCAAAAATTGTGATTATAAGAAATGAGAGAAAGAGTGTTTCTGTCCTGGATACATGGAGCACATACCGCACCTCACTTAGTAGTGGTGATGTGTGTTCCCTGGCACTTATCTTTGAAGAGAAATCAGACATTTAGTGGAAGATAATTCAAACAGCTGCCTCCTATTTAAGCACTAAAACACATTTACATACTGGATGGTGACTTATCACTAGAATATCCCTGTTGAGTTGTAGAATAATTGTACCTTGACAAGGAAAATCTTAGCCTAAAGTAGCAGTGTCTATAAGAATATTAAAATCCAAGATAATTTAAAGTTGAAATTTCTGCTAATTATTTACATAAAGAAAAAATGAAAAACTTACAAGAAACATTACTACTCAAAATTACTGATTTCTGACAGAAGAAATTAATGAGCAATTTTATGACAGAAAAGTGTTATAATAGTTCAAGACCAGATTGAATGTAGTTTATTGATTTAAATAAACACCAATATCAATTTTTAAAATTTTCATGAGTTTTAATAACCTTTGTAAAATGTGATTTTTATTAGCATGCACAGATATATTTAGCTTCCAATATTTCTTAACATATAATGTTCAAAACTTCTATAAGTATTTAGAATAAAAATTTTACTGAATAAAAATTTTGCAAGTTAACAAATCAATTATATCATAAATGCAAATTGGTAGTAATAAAATGTACCATGTTATACATGATTTAAAGACAATTACCTCCATGTACACATAATAATCAATGTAATTTATTCTTCATAAACTGTTAAAAAAAAATCATGTATTCAAGTGGTTTTCAGATGTTTCCCAAAAACTGTGTTAATTATGTTTCATTCCATCAATAATTATTTTCTGTATATCAGACGCTTTATGAGAGATATACAAAAGCTTCAAAAAAGTGCTGTTTCTTGTTTTTATTTTCTGGAGGCATGTGTTGCTCTTATTAGAATTTTTGTCTTGTTTTATTTTGACCATGTAGTCAATTATTCAGTGTGGAGTTTGAAGGTGTAAGTTTATCCCAGTGCCTTCATCTAAGTTAAACCAGACTTACAGACATATTAATTAGTACAAGTAATGTCATTAGTGAAGGTTACTATTGTGAGGACTAGGAAATCTTTCATAAGCATATGTTAACCATTCTATCTTAATCAGGCTCTATTCTCATCTTACTGTGAAATAGCTTTAAAAGTCTATGTTATATCAAATGGCAAATTGATAACTAGTTTATGATACTTTTATTCTATATGACTAGATCTTCAAATGCTGGCCTCAATTTTTTTCCAGTCCAACACAGTGTATAAACTTTTGTACAGTGCCATTTTTTCCAAACAGTTAAAAAGGTTTTAGAAATCAAAACTCATTTGAATTCAACAAATTCCAGAGCTATAAAAAGCTAACAAAAGAAACCAAGAATGCATCAATCTCAGCACCAAAGACAAGAATAGGAGAGACCTATGGATCATCCAGTGCAATCCATTGTAAAATTATTTTCTTTTACATTAAATGTATGCTTACCTACTAACAGTGCTACCTGAGAATATGCTCCATAATCAATGTGATATAAACTAAATTATCTTTCTGCTTGGAATATTTTTATCTCTTCATCATGATAATGTGTTTCTTAAATATACTTTCTACAGTTTTTTTTTTAATTTAAGAGAGTAGCATGATATAATTGAAGTTCACAGGCTCTGAAATCAGATCTAGGTTTAACTTCCAGTTTGGGTATTCATTGACTGTTTAGCCTCAGGAATTTATTCATTCATACATTGATTCATTGCACCATAGTTACTAAAAACATACATGCTCCGGGGAAAAAGGACAAAGTGCCTTCCCTATTCAACCCTGAGTTCTAGTGGATTGTAATGCACTCTGAAATGTGGGAAATGAGAAAATATCTCTACCTAAAGGTCTGTAGAAAAATCAAACATGTAATTGTATTTTAATATAAATATGTTAAAGTATGCTGCATATGTTGTGCCAGGCTTGATTCCTTAGGCAGCTTCCCAACCCAGACCTAGTGCTCTCTTTAAGCATTTTCAGTCTGGAAGACAAATGCACATTGGTGATAATCCATGGAGAAGCATCCTGTCCCACCCAGTTCCAGTGCTGAGCGGTGATCCAACCAAGCCTTGGTGTTCTCCTTGAGCCTCCTCAGAGAGGAGGCAAAAGTAGATCAGAGATTATCCACAGAGGGAGAATATGGCCCTGCTTAACCCCAGCAGCCAGACAGTGACCCAAAAAAGCTGTTGTGTTCTGCTTAAGGCTACCCTAAACCAGGAGGCAAGCTCAAGTCCATGCCTATCTATGGAGCACAGTGTCTGACCCTGCTCACCCCAAATGGCAGAGCGGAGAATCCAGAGACCTCACTCAACCTCAGACCCCAGCACACAACCCTGTCAAACTACAGATTCCAAACAATAGTACTGCCCAGTCAGGGAAGACAGCCTTCAACCCTGCCTGATCAGAGGTAACTGCAGACCTAGCCAGCAACTCCACCTAACCACAGAGTTCAGCCAGTTGTCTCACTGGACCACAAGGCACTCCCGGCACACCCATTTGACCTCTGAGCACAGGGAGCAGCCCAGCCCAGCTAAAGGACCCAACATCAAAATCTGCCTGTTCTAGGTCACAACAGCTAGGCCCAGAATCCCAGACTAGACAAAATTCTGAAAGTTGATCACCACCAAAGAATACCTGCAAAGGCTGGAAGACATGGTCATTTCCTCAACGTGCAGGCACCAATGCAGAGACATATTATGAAAAATCAGAGAAATATGACACCACCCAAAGAAATTAAGCTCCAATAATGGACCCTCAAAAGATGAAGATATAAGAAATGACTGACAAAGAATTCAAGCTAATCCTCTTAAAGAAGTTCAGGGAACTATAATATGGATAAAAAAGATGGATAGAAAATTAAAATGTGGAAAACAGTTCACAAACAAACTGAGAACTTTGACAAAGAAATAGAAACTGTAAGAAAAAATTGTAGCAATAATGAATACAATAACTAAACCGAGAAAGTCAATATAAAGCTTCAATAGCAGACTTGATCAAGTAGAAGAAAGAATCAGTGAGCTCAACAATAAGACATATTAAATTATCCAAGCAAAGGAATGAAAACAATTGAAAAGGTCTATGGGAATTATGGGACATCATCAAGATATTGAACCTTGGCATAATAGTAGTTCCAAGAGAACAGACAGAAAAAGGGCCCAGAAAGCCTATTAAAGAAAATAATAGCTGACAGTTTTACAAATCTGGGAAAAAACAAAAACATTCAGATAAAGGAATCTCAGAGGTTCCACTAAAATTTAACCCCAAAAATATTAACCAGACACATCATAATGAAATCAAAAATCAAAGACAAAGAAAGAATACTGAAAGCAAGGAGAGATGAGAAACATATCAAAATCAGGAGAATCTAAAATGGCTTCAGCAGATTTTTCAGTAGAAACTCTGCAGGCCAGGGGAGAGTAGAAAAATATATTCAAGATGCTGAAGAAAAAAATCTGTCAACCTAGAATACTTACCGGGCAAAGCTGTTCAGAAATGAATAAGAAATAGAAACTTCTCCAGACAAGCAAAAGCTAAGTGATTTCATCACTACTAGACTTGATTTATAGGAATTGCTAAAAGGAGTACTTCAAGCTGAAATGAAAGGCTGATAATTAATTACACAAAACATGTAAAAATTAAAAACTCAATGTCAATGGTATAAGTAATACATAGTCATATGGAGAATTCTCTAATACTGGAAGGGTCGTGCAGTGTTTCTACTGAAAAATCTGCTTCATCTCTACTATAAATGTTAAAAGAAGAAACTATAAAAGAACTATAGCAGCAATAAATTCTTAAGAGATACAAATTATAAATGTAAATATTGACATCAAAATTATAAAAGGTGGTGAAGAGGTAGTGAATATAGAATTCTTCTATGTAATTAAGTTGCTATCAGCTTAAAATAGCCTATTATAAGGATAAGATATTTTATATAAGCACTGTAGTAACCACAAAACAAAAAGTTATAGTAGCAGCACAAAATTAAAAAAAAGATGCAAAGCATACTACCATAGAAAACTATCAAAACACAAAGAAAGACAGCAAGAGAAAAAGAAAGAAACAAAGGATCTACAAAACCACCAATGAACAAATTACAAAATGACAGTACCAAACCATTACCTATAAATAATTATCTTGAATGTAAATGGGTTAAATTCTCCAAAAAAAAGAAAGAGTGTCTGAATGAACTTAAAAAGCAAGATCCAACCATACTCTACCTACAAGAGTCTCATTGTACAAGTAAGTACAAACATAGACTGAAAATGAAGGGATAGAAAAAGATATTCCACAAAAATTGGAACCAGAAGAGAGCAAGGATAGCTATACTTATATCGGACAAAATAGACTCTAAATTACACCTTAAAGAGCTAAGAAAAAGAAGAATAAATGAAACCCAAAGTTGGCAGAAGGAAAGAAAAACAAAGATCCAAGAGGAAGAAACAGAGACTAGAAAAACAATAGGAAAAAAAAATCAACAAAACTAAGAGTTGGTTTTTTAAAAGATAAACAAAACTGACAGATCCTTAGCTAGACTAAGTAGGAAAAAAGAGAATACTCAAATAAATAAAATCTATAATGAAAAAGGAAATATCACAACTGATACCACAGAAATACTAAGAATCATAAGAAAATACTATAAAAAATTATTTGCCAACAAATTGGATAATCTACAAGAACCAGATAAATCCTAGGCACATACAAAATACCAAGCCTGAATCATAAAGAAATAGAAAATCTGAATGGACCAATAAGAAGTGAGAAGATTGAATCAGTAATAAAAAGCCTATCATCAAAGGAAATCCCTGGACTGTATGGTTTCGCTGCTAAATTCTACCAATTATTTAAAAAAGAACTAATTGCAATTCTTCTTAAACGTTTCCAAAAAATCAAAGTAGAAGGAATGCTTCCAAACTCATTTTAGGAGGCCAACGTTACCCTGATAAGCAAAGCCAGACAAGGACACTACAATAAAGGAAAACTACAAACCGATATTCTGATGAACATAAATGCAAAAATCCTCAACAAGATAAACAAATATTAGCAAACCAAATATAATAGCACATTAAAATAGTTATTCACCATGATCAAGTGGAATTTATCTGTATGATACAAGGATGTTTCAACATATGCATATCAATCTTTGTAATATACCACATTAACAAAATGAAGGCTAAAAACCATATGATCATCTCAATGAATGCAAAAAAAAAAATTTGAAAAAATGCAACATACTTTCATGACAAAACTGCTCAACAGATTAGGTATAGAAGAAGTACAAAAAAAGGTTATATATGCCAAACCTATAGCTAACATCATATTCCATGATGAAAAGTTGAAAACCTTTCCTCTAAGATTAGGACAAGACAATGATGCCCGCTCTTACTTCTTTTCAACATAGTACTGAAAGTCCTAGCCAGAGCAATTAGGAAAGTAAAAGAAATAAAAAGCATCCTAATAGGAAAAAAGAAGTGAAATTGTTTCTATTTGCTGATCACATGATTTTCTATATAGAAACCCCTAAAGACTCCACCAAAATACTGTTAGAACTGAGAAATGAATTCAGTAAAGTTGCAGAATACGAAATCAACATATGAAAATCAGTAGCATTTCCATATGCTAATAATAAACAATGTGAAAAAGAAAATTTAAAAAACAATTCAATTTATAATAGCAATAAAAATATAAAATATTTATATGTAAATTTAATCAAGGAAGTGAAAAACCTGTATAATAAAAATTATAAAACCTGATAAAAAAAGAAAACACAGAAAAATGGAAAACTATCTGTGTTTATGGATTGGAAGAATAAATATGGTTAAAATTTCCATACTTCCCACCAATATCTACATATTCAGTGCAATGCTTATCAAAATTCTGATGTCATTTTTCACAGAAATAGAAAACATTTTTAAGTTCACATGAAACCACAGAAGATTACAAATAGCCAAAATAATCTTGAGAAAAAAAAGCTGGAGGCATCACATTCTAATTTCAAAATATACTACAAAGCAATTATAGTCAAACCAGAATGCTATGTGTATAAAAACAGACACATCAACCAATAAAACAGGTTAGAAAGCCCAGAAATAAACCCATGCACTTATAGCTAATTGATTTTCAACAATGCTGCAAAGAACACAATGGGAAAAGAACAATCTCTTCAAGAAATGGTATTGAGGATTGGAAAAAAAAATAGCAAATAGGAGGCAAGACTAACTTGCAGCTCCCACTCAGATAGACAGAACAGTGTGTAGAGACTCACATCATAAATTTATGCTCCAAGAATCACCACAGGAATGTACTAGGAAAACCAAAAGAATTCACAGACCCATTGAAAGAAGTGGCTTGCCACTGCAAACTCTGTGAAACAGCTGGAAAAAAAAAAACTGTGACTGCCGAAAGTGTGAGAAGGGGACAGTTCACCTTCGAACACGCATCCTCACAGGGGAACCTGAAAATCCAGATCACAGGAGAAAGAATTAAACTTACCTAGAGCTGAAACAAATTTAGAGAGCCAAGTGAAATATAAAAGTAGAAGAAGCAGGAGGAAGAACCCTGTAGGCACTCCTGTTCCCCAGGAAGCCATTTCTGACTTCATCTCACAGGAGTCCTTGGGGAGGGCAGCCAATGGAATTAAAGAAGGTCCACAGGGAGAAGAAGACTTCCAGCTAAACTTTATAATAATTTTGACCTAGCATGAATTTTCTAGGGCAGAAGCCAGGGGTCAGGGCACAAACAGGAAGTGCAAATATGAACACAGAAGCCATGGCAGGCAGAGAGGAGCAAGGCCTCAAAACCCTGCTTGCTTTCTCAACAGGGAGGCTTATAGCCTGGGACAAGATCTCAGCCCTGTGCACTGGAGGCCTGGATATAAATTTAGCTCTGTTAGCTATTAGGGGAGCATGGCAGAAGTGAGACTGGCCTTACTGGCTGTGTAGGAGCTGAGAGAGGCCTGTTACTGCCTGCTTTCCCCCACCTTCCCTGATGACCTGTATGAAGCAGCAGAGGAAGCTATAATCCCCCTTGGAACACAACTCCGTTGGTATGAGAACCACCCCATGCCCCACAGTGACCACAACAAGGCCACCCAAGGAGTCTGAGCTCAGACACACCTAACCGCCTCCACCCCACCTAATGGTCTTTTCCTACCCACCCTGGCAGCCAAAAACAAAGGACATAAACTTGTGGGAGCTCTGTGGCCCTACCCATCACCTGAGAAAGATGAATACTTATTCAGGCAACCTTAGGGCAAGCTCGTACACCCTCTATACAACCACAGCTAATACTCTCTTGAAAGTGACACCTCCTGGCTAGAGGCCAACCAACTCAAGTCATTACGGCAACACGTAACAGAACAACCCTGCTCCAAGGAAGGAGAAAACAACAGCAAATTCCACCGCCTATAATATCCTGGCTGACAAGAGGCCCTGAGTCTGTCCACATGACAACTTTACTGCTAGGATAACCAGCATTCAAGAAAACCAGCACACTAAACAACACTGCAACCAAGGACTCTCACAGAGTCCACTTCACTCCCCCTGTTACCTCCACTGGAGCAGGTTTTTGTATCCATGGCTGAGAGACCTGAAGAAGGATCACATCACTTTGCAGACATTCCGAAGTGCCAGGCCAGAGCCCAGTAGCTCCACTGGGTAGCTAGACCCAGAAGAGCAATAACAATTACTACGGTTCAGCTCTCAGGAAGCCCCATCCCTAGGAGAAGCAGGAGAGCACCACATCAAGAGGTCATCCCATGGGACAAAAGAATCTAATCAGCAGTTTTTGAGTCCCAAATCTTTCCTCTTACATAGTCTACACGAATGAGAAGGAACCAGAAAAACAATTCTGGTAATATCACAAAACAAGATTCTATAACACTTCTAAAAGACCACATTAGCTAACCAGCAATGAAACCAAACCAAGAAATCTCCGAATTGCAGAAAAAGAAATTCAGAAGGTCAACAGTCAAGCTACTCAAGGAGGCACCAGAGAAAGGTGAAAACCAACTCAAAGAAATTAAAAGGAAAAAAAACAGGATATGGATTTTAAATATCCCCAGAGAAATAGATATCATAAATAAAAAACAATCACAACTTCTGGAAATGAAAGACACACTTAGAATAATGCAAAACACACTGGAAATTTTCAACAATAGAATTGAACAAATAGAAGAAAGAATTTCAGAGCTCAAAGACAAGGCTTTTGAATTAACCCAGTCTGACAAAGACAAAGACAAAATAATTTTTTAAAATGAACAAAGCTTTCATGAAGTTTAAGATTATGTAAATGACCAGACCTAAGAATAATTGGTGTTCCTGAGGAAGAAGATAAATCTAAAAGTTTGGAAAACTTATTTGACAAAATAATCAAGGAAGACTTCCCCATCCTTGCTAGACAGCTAGACATCCAAATACAAGAAGCTCAAAGAACACCTGGGAAATTCATCAGCAAAAGATCAACACCTAGACATGTAGTTATCAGGTTATCTAAAGTCAAGGCAAAGGAAAGAATCTTAAGAGCTGTGAGGCAGAAGCATCAGGTAACCTATAAAGGAAAATCTGTTAACAGCAGATTTATCAGCAGAAACCCTACAATCTAGAAGGGATTGGAGTCCTATTTTTAGCCTCCTTAAACAAAATATTTATCAGCCAAGAACTTTGTATCCAGTGAAACTAAGCTTCATAAATGGAAAAAAAAAAGTTGAAGTTTTTTTCAGACAAATAACTGCTGAGAGAACATGCCACTACCAAGCAAGCACTACAAGAACTGCGAAAAGGAGCTCTAAATCTTGAAACAAATTCTCAAAATACATCAAAACAGAACATCCTTAAAGCATAAATCTCACAGGGCCTATAAAACAACAATACAACAAATTTTTTAAAAACACACACACAAGATATTCAGATTTCTGTGACCCAGTCTTCCCACCTTGCTTCTGAGGAACATCAGCTACATGCATAAGCTGCCTCTACAATTTCTCCTCTCTCCCTTCTTCCCCCTGGAATTTCATTACCTTATTCTCCTTCTGGTGGTGGCTCTGTCCTGTGGTCTCTGGCAGGTCTCTTGCTGAGAGGGACTTCCCCTGTCGTGCAACCTTTTCCAGCCTCAATATGTTTCATGTGTTTATGACTCTCAACCTAGCTCTTCCTTGATCAACCTGGAGATTCTCAAACTTGTCCCAGCTTCCACTGAGAATCTCAGTAAAATCTGAACATAATGCAGTAAAATAATATACACTCACTTAAAAACCATTATAATAAATATACTTGTCTCATTATGTCTAAAATATCAAATCCAAAGTTAAAGTAATTAAGTACAAATAATGATTTCTCTTTTTATTGGCTTTAAATGTGATGTTTTAATTGTAAAATATTGATCAACTCTCTAATTTTTCTGGTCTAAATATATGCTGTCTTATTTCTTATTCCTCTTTCCACTCAGACCCTGTCCTTGTTTCTACATAAATATAACCTCTTTTGCACAGACCCACAATTTTTCTGAGATCTAATTTTTTACTAAACAGCAACACTTTTTACATAAACCTCTACAGTAAGTGTTTACAGATTTCCCTGATTCTGATTGCCTCACCCTTGTCTAACTAACTGCCACTCTAAATCACAAACATGATTGCACTATCTGGTCACATTTTGAAAATGCTTCAAGAGCTCTTCGTGGCTTGTATTTGCACCTAAATTCTTTCTAATCTTGTAGTTCATGCATACATGTATGAGATCTTCTGCCAGACATCCTTCCCTCTTTTCTATCACTGGAAATTACTTAACAACTCCACTCCTTAACTCTAGTTCATAAGTCTTTGCCTGCCCACATGTTCCATCTGCTTTAGACTATCTTTCCTATTCATTCATCTAACTTCCTCTAGTTCCTACTGGTCTACCAGAATTCAGCTGATCATTTTCTCCTACATGGGATATTCTCTACTTGTTCTTATTTAGAAACACTTGCCTTTATGCATCCCTCTGCATACTCTAAAACAGTCATCACATGAAACAATACCTTTGAATGAATATTTTTACTCTGAAGAACAAATCATTGCACATACGGCTTTCTTCAACATAAAAATAAAATAGCACCATTATTAAAACTGTCCTTTGTTGCCATGAGGATGTTAAAGCTAAAATAGAATAAAAACAAAAGTATATGTGCTTTTTCTCAGACACTGGGATAATTGCTTTAGATAGAGTATTCGACTCTCACAATATTCCATCAGGGTTATTTTTCAATTTTTCATTGCAGTAAAATACAATGTTAAATTTATTATCTTAGCCATTTTTAAGGATACAGTGCAGTAGTATCAAGTATATTCATATTGCTGAACAACAATCACGACCATCCATCTCCAGAACTCCTTTCATTTTGCAAAACTGAAATTCTATACCATTTTAAAATGGGCATAGAAATTGAGTATTAACCCCACTTCTCAATCCCCTGAGCCTTTGGAAATCACTATTCTACTTACTGTCTCTATGATTCTAATCACTCTTACTTAATACCCCATATAAGTAGAATTTGTCTTTTTGCAATTGGCTTACTTCACTTAACACAATGTTCATCCATTTCAGAATTTCCATACTTTTAAAAGATGAATAATATTCCACCATATGTATATATCACAATTTGTTTATCCATTCATCTGCCAATGGAAACTTTTGTTGATCTCACATATAGCTATTGTGAATGATGCTATGCTGCTATAAACATCTGTTCAGGTCCCTACTTTTAAATCTACTGGATATATACCCAGAAGCAGGATTGCTATATCATATGGTAATGCTATTTTTAATATTTTGAGAAGTCACCATACTCCTCTGTATACTGACTGTACCATTTTACATTTCCACCAACAGTGCACAAGAGTCTTAATTTTTCCACATCCTCATCAATACTTGTTATTTTCTGTTTTTTTGATAGTAACAAAACTAACAGGTGTGACATGGTATCTTATTGTTGTTTTGACTTTTTCTTAATAATTAATGATGTTGAGCATCTTCTTTATATGCTTATTGGCCACTTACATGTCTTCTGTAGAGGAATGTCTGTTCAAGATCTTTGTTCATTTTTGAATGAGGTTGTTTCTTCTTTCGCTGTTAAGTTTTACGAGTTTTCTATATATTCTGGATATTAATACCTCATCAAACATGTGATTTGGAAATATATCCTCGCTTTGATGGCTACCTTTTTCACGTTAATAGTGCCATTTGATAAATAATTTTTTAAATTTTCAGAAAATTTAATTTCTACTTTTTCTTTAGTTGCCCAGAAGAAAACGAAATATTTGGTATCATATACAAGAAATATCACCAAATCCAATGTCATGAAGCATTTTCCTTATTTTTTCTAAGATTTTATAGTTTTATGTCTTACATTTAGACCTTTGAACTATTTTATGTTAAAATATCAAATCCAAAGTTAAAGTGATTAAGTACAAATAATGATTTCTCTTTTTATTGGGTTTAAATGTGATGTTTTAATTGTAAAATATTGATCAACCCTCTAATTTTTCTGTTCTAAATATATGCTGTCTTATTTTTTATTCCTCTTTCCACTCAGACCCTTTCCTTGTTTCTACATGAATATAACCTCTTCTTTTGCCCAGACCCATAATTTTTCTGATATCTAATTTTTTACTAAACAACACTTGAATTTCTTCTCAGAAAATGGGTTCTTCTCTTCTATGACATCATCAGGCTGCAAGTTTTTTGAACTTTTATTCTCTGTTTCCCTTTTGAACATAAGTTCATATTTCAAACCATATCTTTGTGAATACATAAAACTGAATGCTTTTAACAGCACCCAAGGCATGTCTTAAACACTTTGCTGCTTAGAAATTTATTTGCCAGATACCCTAAATCATCTCTCTCAAGTTCAATGTTCCACAGATCTCTAGGGCAGGGGCAAAATGGCACCAGTCTCTTTGCTAAAACATGGCAAGAATCACCTTTATTCCAGTTCCCAAAAAGTTCCTCATCTCCATCTGACACCACCTCAGCCTGGACCTTATTGTCCCTATCACTATCAGTATATTGGTCAAAGCCATTCAACAAGTCTCTAGGAAGTTCCAAACTTTGCCACATATTCCTGTCTTCTGAGCTCCCCAAGTCTCTAGGAAGTTCCAAAGTTTCCCACATTTTCCTGTCTTCTTCTGAGCCCTCCAAGATGTTCCAACCTCTGTCTCTTAGCGAGTTCCAAAGTCACTTCCACATTTTCGGGTATGCTTGTAGCAGCACCCCACTCTCTGCAGCACCAATTTACTGTGTTAGTCCATTCTCATGCTGATATAAGGACATACCCGAGACTGGGTAATTTATAGAAGAAAGAATTAATTGACTCACAGTTCTGCAAGGCTAGGGAAACCTAAGGAATCTTACAATCATCGTAGAAGGGAAGCAAACACGACCTTCTTCACATGATGGCAGGAAGGAGAACTGCTGAGCAAAAGAGGGAAAAGCCCCTTATAAAACTATTAGATTTTGTGAGAACTCAGTCACTGAGTCTGATGTTTGAGCACGGGAAGCATCCAGCACAAAAGAAAGATGAAGGCTGGAAGACTCAGTAAGTTGGTACATTCCACCTACTTCCACCTGCTTTTTCTAGCCACACTGGCTGATTGAGAGTGCATCTGCTTCTCCCAATCCACTGACTCAAATGTTAATCTCCTCTGGCAACACCCTCACAGACACACTGAGAAACAATACTTTGCATCATTCAATCCAATCAAGTTGATACTTAATATTAACCATCCCAGTCTTTCATCATTGAGTTTGATGTTCCCTGAGGGTTTCCCACACATGGCCTTTATGATGTTGAGCTAGTTTCTTTTTATTGCTAGTTTGTTGAGTGTTTTTATCAAGACAGACTGTTGAATTCTGTCAACTACTTTTCTGCATCAATAGAGATGATTATGTGGATTTTTCTACATGTTGTTAATGTACTGTATTACATTAATCCATTTTCATAAGTTGAACCATCCTTGCATTCCATGAAAAAAAATCCCACTTTGTCATGGTTTATATCCTTGGATGCTGAAGAATTCAGTTTCCTTGTATTTTGTTGAGAAATTTTATATCATGTTTATAATGAATATTGGTCTGTAGTATCTATCTGACATTCATAGCAGGTTAACATCAGCCTTATAGGATGAGTTAGGAAGAGTTCCCTTCTCTTCAAATTTTTTGAAAAGTTAGAGAAAATTTAGTGCTAGTTCTCCTTTAAATATTTGATAGAATTCACTAGTGAAGCTACAGATTTTTCTATTTTTCTCCTGATTTTGTCTTGGTTGGTGTTGTGTTTCTAGAAATTTGTCCCTTTCATCTAGATTATCCAAATTTTGACATGTAAGTGTTCCTAGGACTCTCTTATAATCCTATTTATTTCTATAGAATAGTAATGTTTCAACTTTTAGTAATTTGAGTCTTTTTTCTTTTTTTCTTAGTTAACCTAGCTAAAAGGTTATCAGTTTTGTTGATTTCAAAGAAAAGACGTTTGGATATTTTTATTTTCTCTATCATTTTTTAATTTTCTATTTTATTTATCTCTGCTCTAATCTCTATTTTTTTTTCACTCTAGTTCATTCTTCATTTTCTAGCTTATAAAGTTATAAAAATTAAGTTGTTGATTTGAGATTTTCTTCTTTTTATGTGTTTTTAGCTATAAATTTCTCCCTTGGTACTGCTTTCACATGTTCCATAATGTGGGGTTTTCACTTTTATTCATCTCTAAGTATTTTTTAATTTCTCTTGCAATTTTTTCTTTAATACACTCATTATTTTAAGATGTGTTGTTTAATTTTCACGAATTTGTGAATCCTTCAGTTTTCCTTCTGTTATTGATGGCTAACTTTATTCCATTGTCGTTAGAAAAGATACCTGGCATAATATCTGTCTTTTTAAATTTACTGAGACTTAATCTTTGGCCCAAAATATTGTCTATCCTGGAAAATAGCCTATATGTACTTGAGAAGAATGTATATTTTGTTGCTGTTGAGTAGACTGTTCTGTATATGTCTGTCAGTTTAGTTGCTTTATCATATTGTTCAAGTCCTCTATTTCCTTACTTATCCTCCATCTGGTTGTTCTATCCATTATTGAGGTAGGGGTATTGAAGTTTCAAGCTATTATTGTAGAACTGTTTATTTTTGCCTTCAATTCTGTCAAATTTTGCTTCATATATATTGATGGTCTGTTATTAAGTAAGTATTTATAATTTTTATATCTTCTGGATGTATTGAAACTTTTATTAGTATATGTCTTTATCACTTTTAAAATATTCTGATTTAAAGTATATTTTGTGTGATATTAAAATAGCCACGTCTGGTGCATTTTGGTTAAAATTTGTATGGAATATATTTTTCCATCTTTTCACTTTTAACCTTTTTGGTTTTTTAGATCTGAAGTGACTCTCTTGTTATGTAGTCGAATCATGTTTTCTCTTTTAAATCCATTTTGCCAGTCTTCGTCTTTTGATTTGAGTTTATTTACATTTAAAATAATTATAAATAAGGAGAAACATTTTTAATTTTTCTTTGTTTTCTATATGTCTTATAGCTTTTATCTCTCATTTTCTGTATTACTGTCATCTTCTGTGCTTCACTGACATTTTGTCGTGAAGTATTTTAAGTCACATCCCTTTTCTTTGTATGTTTATGGTTACTATGAAGATTATATTTAACACCTACATTTATAATACTCTAATTTGAATGTATACCATCTTAACTTCAATAACATACAAAAGACTCTGCTCTTTTATAGCTCTGACCTCATTGCTTTTAGTTGTTGATGTCACAAATTTATATTTTTATACATTGTGTGTCCAAAACATAAACTAATAATCATTGTTATTAATGCATTCATCTCTTAAATTATGTAGAAATCAAAATATGGAGTTACAAAGGATAATTACAATACTAGCTTTTACAATTGCCCATGTATTTACCTTTACTGCCATCTTCATTTCTTTACACACTTCAAATTACTCTCTAGGGTCCTTTCATTTCAACCTATAAAACTTCCTTTAACATTTCTTGCAGGGCAAGTCTAATGGTAATAAATTACCTCAGCTTTTGTTTATCTATGGACTTCTTAACTTCCTCATTTGTGAAGAACACTTGGCCACATATAAGATATTTGATTGACAGATTTCTTTCCTTTTAGCACTTTATCAGCCCACTGCCATCTGGCCTCCAAAGTTTCTGATGACAAACCTGCTAATAATCTTATTGAGGATTTCTTGTTTGCAGTGTCTTCTTCTCACTGCTTTCAGTATTCACTGCCTTGGCTTTCAACAGTTTGATTATAATGTATCTCAGCATGGGTCTGTTTGAGTTCATTCTACTGGTAGTTTATTGAGCTTCTTAGATGTTTATATTTATGTCTTTCATCAAATTTGGGTAATTTCTGTCATTATTTCTTCAAATTTTTTTTCTGGTTCTCTCTTTCTCATCTTTCTGGGACTTCCCTAATTTATATGTTGGGCTGCTTGATGTTGTACAATGTTCTTTAAGGTTTGTCCAGTTTTTTTCAATCTTTTTTCTGTTTCTCAGACTAGATAACTTCCATTGTCCTATCTTCACATTTGCTGATTCTTTATTCTATCTGATCAAATCTGCCTTTGAAACTCTATAGTGAATTTTCGTTTCTTATTGTACTTTTCTGCTCCAGAGTTTTTCATTTCTTTTTAAGTTTCTTCTTTATTAATATTTTCACTTTGTTCACTTATCATTTTATTAACTTTCTCCATGTCTTTCTTTCTTTCTTTGAGCATCTTTAGGACAGTTATTTTAAAGTAATTTCCTGGTATATTTGCCATCGGGTCCTTCTCACAAATAGTTTCCAATAGGTCTTTTTTTTATTTGAATGGAATATAATTTCCTGTTTCTATAAATGCCTTGTAATTTTTTTTGTTAAAAACTGAGCATTTGAATCTAATAATGTGGTAACTGAAAATCAGAATCTCGTCTTCCACAGGGTTTGATGCTGTTTTGTTTTTTTTTGTTGTTGTTTGTTTGTTTCATTGTTGCATGCATTGTGAATAAGCTTAAGGTATAAATGTAATGCCTTTTGAAGTCTTTTCTGAGCCTGTGCTTTTGCTGGGCATTTGAGGTTACTTTCTAACTTCCCTCATATATGCAGCTGCTTTTGATTATACCAGTCTTTAATATCTGGCTCCCAAAGAGGGGAAAGGAGAAAAATAAAGGGCAATGAAAAAAGGCACTGGTCTTTTAAGTTTCCTGGAAGTAACTTCAGCCAAACGGAGGGGGACTTGCAACAATGGAGGAAGGTGCAACAACAATGGCTGCCACCTCTGTGTCTAAGCCCTCATAATCAGAAGCCACATCAGGAATTAGCTTGCAGATCCCCAATATTTGAAAGACAGGGTCCTTATTAGCCACCCTGGCTTCCTGGAAGTTGCTCCAGGAACATAGGCATAGGTAAGCAACAGGCGGGTGGGAGATGGGTAAAGGTAGCTACTGATGAGCTAAGAGATAAAGTTTCCTAAAGTTAACCACAATTTACTGTCCAACTCTTCTACTGGATGTTGCAAGCCTTCAAAAAACTCTAGTTCCAAAATAGTTACATCACACAGATTCTCTCAGTGTAATTGCTGTCTGAGTGAGGAAACAGATTTCTTGTACTTCCTATTCTGCCATCTTCCCAGAATCTTCTTTAGGTTTTACTATTATTATCCCCACTTTATAGATGAAAAAATGAAGACTCAGAGAAGGAAATCTGATAAACAATCTAGATATGTGATACCATTGATCATTTCCCCAGTAAAAGATATCAATCTTCCATTTGACACTTACAAAGATATTGATAGGCTGATAAGCCAGTTACATCAATATTTATAAGCAAAAGTCATTTTCATCCCATTTTAGAGTTTTATTCATTACTTAAGACCTGTATGCATTTCTCTTCTCTTTGGCACTAAAGTTCCAAGTTTTCATGTTTTTCACCAAAGACAGAACATGCTTAACTCAAAATCCAGACATATGTTACATTATAGAATTAAAACCCTTTTATCATCAGTTAAAAGGAGCTGTTTAACAGGAACTGGGTTTTTGAAAACGTAAATGGACAGGCCAAGCATGGTGGCTTATGCCTATAATCCCGGCACTTTGGGAGGTCAAGGCGGAAGGAGCACTTGAGGCCAAGAGTTCAAGACCAACCTGGGCAACATAGCAAGACCGTGTCTCTACAAAAAATTAAAAACTTAGCCAGGCATGAGTGGCAGGTGCCTGCGCTCATGGCTTATTGATCTACCAATATCTCTGTTCTTTGTATTCTCAGCTACTCAAGAGGCTGAGGCAGGAAGACAGCTTGAGCTCAGGAGTTCAAAGCTGGGATCATGCCACTGACCTCCAGTCTGGGTGACAGACTGAGACCTTTTCTCTAAAAAAAATAAATAAACGAAAGAAAAAGAAAATGTAAATGGACTTTAATGAAGCATTTGTATAAATATTTTATAAGATATTAAAAGTAAGGGATAGATTATAGCACCTGGGTCTATCATAATCTGGAAAAGCTCTTGGTTAAATAACCTTTCATGCTTGACTTTTTCCAGGTGGGAAATCTAATCAGAAGTTACCAAAGATGTTTAAAATTAAGTTTACCTCAAGGTATCAGGCTGCATCATCTAACACACACACACACACACACACACAAATCTTTAAAATCCCTAACCTTAAACACCACAGTGGAGTATCTCAGCAGGTTGCTCCATGGGACGGACCATGTACTTAACCTTTGGTGCCTCAAGAAGAACAAGATATATGAGATCTAAAAATGTACTTCACCTATGCTCCTTTACCATCAAAACTATGGATGAGTCCGTCAGAAACGTTGAGTTGGCCTGCTGTTCAGTGAAAATGCATTATGAATGAGTTTGTCAATGGCTCAGAATGAACATAAATCTCTAAACCTAATGCAACTAATTCTGTATTTGTCCTATCCTCAATCACTATTTTTAGCAAGGAATTTGACTATAATATTACAGTTGCTGCTCTATTTAATCATCTGTAATTTATTGAAAGTAATGTATTTTTTATTTATTTTCAGAGTTGTCTTTTTCCATCTTACAGTGAATAGGTTTAATCAGGAGACCAAACAAACTTCTTCAGTTTTACTCAGTTTAACTGAAGCCCTTCCATCTGTTCTAGGTTTTAAAAAATACCAAGTATATTCTATTCAAGGTCAGGACATGGAGCAGAATGCTATACCTCAGCCATTCAGTTAGAGAAAGAAACTGCATATCACGTTTCTATTGTCAGAAGTTTTCAATGTGATGAAAACATATTATACACCAGCGAGCTTCCAAAGGTCACCAAATAGAAACAAGCATTCTTCTCCCTCCTTTGCTATTTAATGTGGTATTGCAAGCTCCTAGCATTAAGGCAATGGCAAGGGCATTGTATTCATGTACATTTCCATTCATTCTTTTTTTATCATTTATTCATTCATTCATTCAAAAAATTCCAAACCAGAGGGAAATAATCAGCAAAGTAATTCAATAGGGAAAAGCAATACTACCATTTGAAATAGTTTTAAACAGTCACCACTGTTATGGATAACTGTCAAAAGTAAGTGTCAGAAGTTTAACAAGAGCTTCAACTCCATAAAAGATCAGCCTAACTTCATCATTACGTTTTTCCCTTTTCTGTACTCTCAGGTCCCAGCTTAATGAAAGATAACAAATAACAGGACATTTCATAAGAGAGCCAGTTCTCATTTTCACTTTACATATGAAAGCTTACCCAAGAATGTTGGATAAGCATTTGAGGCGGGAGGTAAAAAGAATAGCCCCTGTCACACTTTTGAAGTGTTCCAAATGCTAAACTATCCTCAAACATTCTTTGATCTGCCTTGGCTCAGAAGTTCCTTGTTTTCTCTTTCTACATACTCAGTTACATTTTTTCCACACTGCTCTGTGAACTGTTCATCCAGCTCTTCTCAATACCTGCTGGAAATAAAAGGAAGCAATTGACTTTTCCATGAGTCAAACTGCCATCTGTTAAGGGTACTGCCTCCCCCTTGCCAAAACTGTTTAGAAAGTCAGTTACCTGCTTCCTGGTTTCTTCCCCAGACTCGACTGGAAGCATTAACTAAACTGTGAGGCTTAATAACTCCAATTTTATAGGCTGCCAGGAGACAACAGAAAGAGAACAAGAAAATGAACAACTGCATTCCCACACAGCAGGGAAGTGGACAGAGTCCAAGTCTGAAAAACTTCCCCCAGTCGGCTAGGCCATTCAGATCCAGCAAGAATAGTTTATAATCATCATAAGAACAATTGCCATTGTCATGTCCCCAACCATGCATGACAGCACTACCCTTTTGTTATAAACTCTCTGTTGGCAGCACTGTAACTGGGAAATCATCCCCTCTAAATTTCTTCCTTCATTGAAGACAGCCTTTGCTAACAGAGGGGCATCTGCCACAGCCAGCTCTGCCTGTAAAGGCAACAGGATCCCTTTGAGGCAGGAAATATCATCATCAGACATACAAGTGCCTTCAGAAGGGCCTTTGGCTTCTTTTTCTACGCTATAAAATCTTCTAATAACCCTATTCTGCATTTTTTCTTTCTTTCTTTTTTATTTTCTGAAACAGTAAAGGGGTGGGGCGGAAAGCAGCATTGTAATTGAGACTTCCAAAGGGCATAAATATTTCATTGAATAAGACAAGTCACAATGTATTTGCCTCGTTTCATTCATTATAGCTATGGATGTCAAGGCATCTCATTGTTTTTAACATTCAAAACAAAGAATTCAACCTGTAAAATGTCTAAAGCCTGGTAATGACCTCCAAATGGATAAAAATAAATTAAATGTGCTTGTAGCAGCAGTTCTATGAGTATCATATACATTTTGATTTTTCAACAAAACTCATTAATATGGCCTGAGAGAAACCATTCTGAATTAGTAACATATTTAATATTGGCAGGCTGTATCTAAAGAAATGCCTGCTCTGTTATTTGCAAGTAATAACGTGACTAGAACTAAACTAATAGAAGATTGCCTAATGAAATTCCTGGTTTTATTGAAGAGATATGATTTCCCACAAGCACATCAGTTGTCTAAAATGTAAATATTGACTACTCAGGTGCTTAAGGGAGCTTACAAAATTTTTTGATACTACCTATTCAACAAATACACAGTTAGAGATATTATCAAGTTAAACTCCAGGATGGCATCTATCCAATCATTAAAAAAAAAAAAAAAAATCTGACAAAGTCATTGTCATCAAATCCTTTTCAACCCATACTGATTGTAAGGAATGTGTTAAGAACTGGAGATTCAAATTTATATGATGTAAGCTTTGCCATAAAAGAGTCTATAATCTAACTGGGGACATAAGACCTACACAAAAACACACCATCCATAGTACTGGGAAATAGATGAGTGATATAAATAATAAGGTCAATATAATTTGGGAAAGAGCTCAGTAAAAGAAAATGAGCGGAACAAGCATTTTAGGTAAGTAAAGGAGGGTGGAAATGAGGGCATACATGGCATGTTCAGAGCTTATTGGATTGCCAGACTGGCTGAAATGCAAGTTTCAAGAGTATTAACTGGATGATAGCTTAAAGACATGTTGTGGCATGCTTTACCACAAAGAAAGATATTTAAACATCATCATAAGTGATGAAAAATTTCAAAGAACACTAGGTAAGGGGGTAAATGTTCAAAGCAGTGTTTTCTAAAAATGATGAAGTAAAAATTAACCAGTTAAAATCAGGAGCATTTTGTGACATACACATATATGCTACATTCATATTTGTATGTGTATAGATATCTAAACTTATGAGAATTTGTGCATTTTTAGATCAAAATAGCTAAAGTCTCAAAATTTAGTTTGAAAAGTAGAAATTAAGAGCAAATATCTGAACAATTTTGCATAGTAACCTATATGTTTTAATTATTCACTTTGTTCATGTTTATGTATTAATTTTTTATTTTAATTCAGATATATTTTAATTGATATACTTTATTTCTTAGAGAAGCTTTAGGTTTACAGAAAAAAAATGAACAGAAAACATATTCCTTCTGCCTTCTCCAGCCCACAATTTCCCACACTGTTAACATCTTGCATTGGTGTGATGCATTTATTACAATTAATGGACCAATATTAATATATTATTATTAACTGAAATCCATGATTTTAGTGTTCATTCTTTGTGTTGTACAGTTTGACTTTTTCCAAATGTATAATGTCATTTATCCACCATTAGAGCATCATGCAGAATAGTTTCACTGCCCTAAAAATGCCCTGTGCTCCACCTATTCATCCCTCCCTATCGCCCCCACCCCAGCCTGAACCTCTGGCACTGCTGATCTTTTTACAGTCTCTATACTTTTGCCTTTTCCCAAATGTCATGTATTTGGAATCATCCAGTATGTAGCCTTTCCAGGCTGCCTTCTTTTACTTAATATGCACTTAAGATTCCTCCAAAGTTTTCCATGACTTAATAGTTTATTTATCTTTATCACTGAATAATATTCCATCGTATGGATGTTCCATAGTTTATTCATCTATTAGTGGATGTCTTAGCTGCTCCTAATGTTTGCAATTATGAATCAAAGCTTCTATAAACATTTGTGTGTAGTTGTTTATGTAGACATGCATTTTCAACTCATTTGGGTAAATACCTAGGAGCATGACTCATGGACTACTGTTTAGCCTTGAAATAAATTGTCAAACTGTGTTCCAAAATGGTTGTACCATTTTTCATCTTCACCAGCAATAAATGAGGGTTCCTTTTGCTCCACATCTTCATCAGCTCGTGGCGGGTGTTGTCAATGTCTTGCGTGTTAGCCATGACTGTAATAAGTGTGTAGTGATGCCTCATTGTTGCTTTAACATTCTGTTCCTAAGGATATAATTTTGAGAATTTCTTCATGTGTATATTTGCCATCTGTATACCTTCATCAGTGCATCGTCTGTTCAGATCCTTTGCTCCTTTTTTAATTGGGTTGTTTTCTTTTGCTGAGTTTTAAGAGTTATTGGTTTTCTTTTAAAAAGTTATTTATTTTGAACACAAGTCATTTATCTGATAGGTGTTTTGCAAATATTTTCCCTCAGTATAAGCTTGTCTTTTCATTCTCGTAAGAGTGTCTTTTGCAGAGAATTTTTTAATTTTAATAAAGTCTAGCTTATCGATATTTTCTTTGATAGATAGTGCTTATGATGTTTCACCTAAAAACTCAGTGTCAAACTAATGGCTATTAATATTTTCTTCCATGTTATCTTCTAGGAGTTTTATAGTTTTAAAACTCACATTTAAGTGTATGATCCATTTTGAGTTAGTTTTGTGAAAGTTATGGTCAGTGTCTACACTTATTTTCTTAAACATGTGGATGTCCAGTTGTTACAATATCATTTGTTGAAAACACTACCCTTTCTCCATTGAATCACATTTATACCATTATCAAAGATCTGTTGACTGTATTTGTGTGGGTCTGTTTCTGGACTTTATTTTGTTCCATTTACTTATTTGTCTATTCTTTTGCAAATACCACAGTCTTGATTATTATAGCTTTAAAGTAAATCTTATATTATTTGTAGTAAGTTATGCAGTGTTGGCTCTCCAACTTTCTGTTCTTCAATATCGTGTTGGTTATTCTTGGTCTTTTGCCTGCCCATGTAAACTTTAGAATTGGTTTTTTGATATTCATAAAGTAACTTATTGACATTTTGATTGCGATTGCATTGAATCTATAGACTAAGTTGGGAAGAACTGACATCTTAACAATATTGAATTTTCTATTCATGAACAAAGAATATCTCCAAATTTATTGAGTTTTATTAATCAAAGTTTGATAGTTGTCCCCATATAGAACTTGTATACATTTTGTTAGAGTTAAACCTAAGTATTTCTCTTTTTGTGTGTTAATTTTAAATTGCAATTGCCTATTGCCTGTGCATAGGAAAGCAACTGACTTTCTATATTAACCTTGTATCCACTGACCTTGCTGTAATTACTTATTAGTTCTAGAAGTTGTTTTTTTAATCAATTCTCTGATTTTTTTTACATAGATCATGTCATTTGTGAAGTTTTATTTCTTCCAATCTGTATACATTTTATTCTATTGTCTTATTGCATTAATTAGGACTTCCATACAACGAAGCATTTAAGTTGAGAGGAGACATTTTGTCCTGCTTTCAAACTTAGGGGTAATGCATCTAGTTTCTTATCATTGGGTGTAATGTGAGCTATAGGTTTAAACATTTCTTGCAAGGCAGGTCTACTATCAATAAATCCCTTCAATGTTTGTCTGAGAAGGTCTTTATTTATCTGGCATTTTTGAAAAATAATTTCACTGAATATGGAATTCTAGTTTGGTGGCTTTTTTTCTTCCAATACCTTAAATATACCACTGTATTCTCTTTCTACCTCTGTGGTTTCTGAGAAGTTTCATGTAATTCTTACTCTTCCTCCTCTGTAGTTAAGATTTTTTTTATCCCTGTGGCTTCTTTCAAGATTTTTCACTTTGTCTTTGCTTTTCTGCAGCTTAAATATGATGTGCATAAGTATTGATTTTTAGGTATTTGACCTACTTGGTGTTCTTTAGCCATCCTGGATCTTTAGTTTGGCACCTGGCAGTAATTCTGGAAAATTGTCAGCCATTATTAATTCAAATATTTCTTCTGTTTCTTACTGTTTCCTCCTTCTGGCATTTTCTTTATGCATATTTATACCTTTAGTTGTCACACAGTTCTTGGAATATTCTGTTTCATTCTTTTTCCTCTTGACATTTCAGTTTTGGAAGTTTCTATTGACATATTTTCAAGGTCCCTTATTCTTTTCTTGACAACGTCCTGTCTACTAATGAACCAATTGGAAGCATCCTTTACTTCCATTACTGTGTTATTTATTTTAGCATTAAAAAAAATCTTACCTAGAGTTTTCATCTCTCTGGTGACATATCTCATTTGCTCTTTCCTGTTGGTCACCTGTTCCATTAGAGCTCCCAGCATGTCTTAGTCAGCTCAGGCTGCCATAACCAAACACCATGGACTTGGTGCCTTAAACAGACATTTATTTCTTGCAGTTTTGAAGTCTGGGAAGCAGACAATCAATGTACAGACTCAGTTCCTAGAGAGATCCCTTTTGCTAGTTGACAGATGGCCACCTTTGCACTGTATTGTCACATGGCAAAGAGAAAACAAGCTCCATTCTCTTCCTTTTCTTGTAAGGACACTAATCCCATCATAGAGATCTCACCCCCATGACTTCAACTAAACCTAATTACCTTCCAAAGGCCCCACCTCCAAATACCATCATATGAGGTATTGGGGCTTCAAAATGTAAATGTTGGAGTGACACAAGCATTCAGTCTATAATAGATTGATTAATCATAGTAATTTTAAGTCCTGGTCTAATAATTCCAATATCCCTGCCATATCTGAATCTGGTTCTAATGCTTGCTCTGCCTCTTTATCCTGTGTTTTTGCTTGTTAGCATGCCTTATAATTTTTTATTGATAACTGGAAATGATGTATCAGATAAAAGAAACTGGGGCTAATAAGCCTTTAGTACAAGGTTTTGTTTATCTGGCTAGGAGTAAGTCTATGTTTACTGCTTTCTGTAGCTGTGGGGTAAGAGGCTAAAGTTTCCACTCTTCTTTTGTTTGTTTGTTTGTTTTGGTTTTGCTTTTGCATTTATGTTTGCCTCCCTTGTTGTCTTCTGGTTTTGCTAATATTTCTTAAGTATGTCCCATGGCTTTCAGTTCTTTTAGCTGTAATCTGTTATTTTACAGAAGCCGTAGTGGTAAGGTCTAGGGGGAAGGGACGCACTCTATACCATATGATTAGGTCTCAGTCTTTTAGCGAGACTGAGTTGGATATTCCTGTTCCGCAATGTTGAAGTCTAGAGGGAGCTGGAGTTGGGTATTTCTCACTTTTTTTCTCTCAGCATATTATACCTCTAATGGAGTTGGGTATTTCTCTTCACCCAGGTCAATTAGGCTTTGGTAGAACACAAGTGGATAGGCTCTGATAAAACAGATTTTCATGAGTACAGGCCTTGTTAAGGAGAACATAGATCTCTGGGTGTTTTTCAAAATGCTTACATTTTTCCTCCTCCTGCTGGAAGCACAGAGGAGTCTTCTCTGATCTTCTCATTGAGAATCTGATAGGGCTCCTGAAGGTAAAACACAATGTGTGAGGGCATCCCTAAGGACCTCTTATGAGATTTTAATTTCTAAGCCACACTGTGACTGGAACAATTTGTCAACTACACTTTAATGTAATCTTACTGATACTGACTTTAGCTGCTGGCTTCTGCTCTGGGCATCTTCTCTTAGGGGAGGTCTCTGTATTACCCTATCTATCTCTCCAGTTTCAGAGCAGCAGTCTACCTTGTGGCCTTAATTATCTGAAGATTACATGAAAAGTTGTTGATTTGGAGTTTGTTCAGCTTTTTTCTTGTTGTAAAGACAGGAATAATGACTTTCAAGAGTTTTACATGTCAAGCTGGAAACCAGAAGTCTATTTTTCTAAAACTAGTCAAACCATGAAATTGGTCCAAGATTTGCCAATAAACTATACAGAAATTATTAGAAAACTGAAGTCTTTCAAGTGAGCACTGTAGTAAATTTTGAACATGAAGATGAAAATACTTTTGCAAAAAGTATCCAATGTTAGCCTGCCGTTGTATGCATAGAAAAAAAAAATTACCTACCTGTGCTCTTCACACTCTACTGCCTTTCACTAATTGAAAGACAGCCACAGATATGAGAAAAGCTAGAAATATTCATCAGTCACAACATTACTTATTCTCTTCCTACATATAAGAGAATAGCAATATGAACAAAAGTACCAAAAGATGTTCCCACATGAGATAGGCACTGTTCCAAGGTAGACTGTATTCCAATATTCCTCTTGTAGCTTCTTTGGTTATTCTCTTCACCTCCCAAAATATAGCTAGCCACACATATCATTCAAGAAGATGAGATTCATGGCCATTTTATTTATATCTGAAGTTTCTTATAGTAAGAAAGCAATTTGAATAGAAGGATAAGACTAAACTGCAGAAAAATGTTTAGAAATAAAATGCAGTAGGTAGCCACTGTGAGGGCCATGTGATGTCTAACCCAGATGAGCTGGCAGGTTGATGCCAGAGCAATGCACTACGCCTTTGCACAAATCATTTAATCCTTAAAACAAAGTAGCTTTAAGGCAGTATTGTGAAACTCTTTTTATTGATTTAGAGAAGTTAAAGAAACTTTAGATAATACAACTAGTAAATGATGGAACCCAATTTCAAAGTTAAAGCTATCAGGTTTTAAAATTTTTTATCTATACCAGGTTTACTGATTTTGAATATGAGAGCATGTGATGGCAAGACTCTACTCCAACAGTTTGCTTAAAGTCATAAGGAAGGTGTTCAACAGAATCAGACCAAGAGTAGAAAAAGACAGTAAGAATTTCATACAAATTTTCACTGCAAACACTTGTCAAAAATACCTAATGGCTTTTTAACATCCATCAAGCAACTCTCATAAGATCTAAGTTAAACTCTTTTACTGGACTGTCATTTATAAGTATAATCAATTTATTTTTTAAATTAAATCAGAAAAAGTAAATCAATAACTATATAAATGTTTTCACTTAGAAAACCTAAAAAACAAACAAACTAACTAAAAAAGGATTAATTTGCTCTCCAGTGCTCTGTTCAGTTATTCTGAAAAAGATTTACCATGTTGGAGTTCATTTGAACAATTGTCTGAAAAGATTTCATGGTGCAGAAAATAATTTCCTCCAAAGAATTTGTGTCAGTAATTTCTTCTGAAATTGGATAAGCCAGCGTGACATGCAAGGCTCAAATTGAGACCAACTTGTTCAAACTCAGTTTTCCCAAAACAAAATATGATATAATATCAATCTCTTTCCAATCTGTATTATATATTTGAGTGTAAAATCCCCAATTGCATCAAATTCATTTTGTATTCAAAGGCTTCTTATTTGTTTAGCTGAATTGTGATAAACTAGCTCTTGCTACATTAGTATGAAGTTACTCAACCTTCAACTTCTACAGCCAGAGCAGAGCATTTCCTGGTACGTATCATTTGCCTGATTCCCATAAGAGTTACCCACAGCCTTTTATTATCAGATTAAATGTCACAGGAAACATATCCTCTCAGCTTAAACAGCCAGGAGCTATTATTATTCTTTTCCCAGCAAGAGAAATTTGACCTCATATTCACAAGTTTCATATCCCACAGTGAAGCAGGTTTATCATTTAATTTACAATTAGATGACTTTAATGCTTTTACTTGATGGAGGATGCAACAAAGTCTTTATCAGTCGCCTTAATGTAAAGCCCAAGAAAAAGATCTTAGAATGATAGGGAAGAAAAAGCAACTTTCCTCCTTGTTTGGTCTGGAACCTGTGATTTGGCACTGCTTGGGGATAGGGAAAAAAGAAAGTGGTAGCTGTTATTATCTATGTCTGTTACTATATTCACAACAGCTGCCCTGGGCTACATAATCATGTATGTTATGCAGACGGTCTCTGACTTACAATGGTTCGACTTATAATTCGTAGACTTTTCTATGGGCTTACTGGGACATAACCACATCGTAACTCAAGGAGCATGTGGACTTATGACAGTATGATTTACAATTTTTCAACTTTTATGATGGGTTTATTGGGATACTAAATGCATTTTTGTCTTAATGATATTTTTAACTTTTGATGGATTTGTCAGGATGTAACCCCATTGTAAGTCGAGAAGCATCTCCCTGGTGAGTGCTCTCGAAACCCACCAAAGTAGCTATTATAATACTTAGCTTATAGAAAAATAAACTGAGGCTCAGAGAGATTAAATAAGTTGTTCAAGGTCATACACTAAGTAGCAGGGCAAGGATTCCAATCCTTGTCTGACTCCAGCATATTTTACCCTTCACCCTGTATCCTTCCCAGCTCCCTAAGACGAGAACTATTAAGATCGTGTTTCCGGCCGGGTGCGGTGGCTCACGCCTGTAATCCCAGCACTTTGGGAGGCCGAGATGGGCGGATCACGAGGTCAGGAGATCGAGACCATCCTGGATAACATGGTGAAACCCCGTCTCTACTAAAAATACAAAAAAATTAGCCGGGCGTGGTGGCGGGCGCCTGTGGTCCCAGCTACTTGGGAGGCTGAGGCAGGAGAATGGCGTGAACCCAGGAGGCGGAGCTTGCAGTGAGCTGAGATCGCGCCACTGCACTCCAGCCTGGGCGACAGAGCGAGACTGCGTCTCAAAAACAACAACAACAACAAAAAAAAACCGTGTTTCCTGGTAGCTGCACAAAGGTAAAAATAGCCTTAAAATAATCAAAAGCAAAAATATAACTACTATAATATTGTGAGTTTCAGAACCTAAAGCATGCAACTTTACACCAAATTATGTTGTACAATTCTTCAGTGATAAAGCCAACAACTTCTCATAAACAGATTAGGCTCTCAGATACTTTAAGTCTAAAAAATATAGCTGTATAAGAAATCCAGAATTTTGTTAATTAACTGGGCTTGTTAAAAGTTAATAAAAGTTCATTAGGGACTTTGAAATTATAATAGACTCTAAACCTTATGAAAGCTGAGGCAAGATTTGTATTATTTACCATTAAATCCCATTATCAAACACTCTAATAATAGTTACTTGATATTTGTTATATCAAAATTAGATATTGTCCTTATGAAAAAATTATAACTTTTAGAGATATGACTTTATAATGTTGTAAGCTACATTATTTTGGAAGAAATTACTACTGACTAAAAAGATTAGTTCAAGTATTTTCAGGAGACTTCATCACTAGGAATAATTTAATTGCAAGGACCCATTACACAAATAGCATGAAAAACAATAGATCTCTGATACCAATAATCAATAACTTATCTAGATGCCACAGTAAATATTGAATGCAGTACAGAAAGGACAAATGCTACAGCCAGATATATACCATACAGTATCTTTGCTATTCTAAGGCACCAGCAATAAGAATGAACACCACTCATTTAATAATGAAAGGCTTATTTAAAAAATAAAAAAGAATCTTTAATTAATTGTAGCTAAATTTCATGACCCAATAATGAAATATTCATAAAACAAATGTAACTTTATTCACAAATATCAGAGTTTAATACTAATATGTAATATACCTTTAAAAATGCTTCTGAACGCTTTTTTTTTTTTGGCCATTGCAACTTTAGCAAAGAATAAGGATGTCATGCAATGTTTTATAACACATAATTGGAATCTCAATCTCCTTTGTGTCATTAGGACAGCCATTAGGACATTAGTGTCATTAGGAAAACCATTTAAATTGTGAAGCTTACAAAATATATCAGGACTATCGTATCCAGTATCGGAAAGCAAGATAATTCAGATTAACCTCCTAGTCTCCATAAATGACAAGTTAAATATCCAGAGAAAATTTGAAAAAAAAAAAAAGCATTAAAGAACTAAAAATAGAATGAGGAATAACTGAACCAAGATAAATGAGAATACAGAAATCCAGAGATATGAACCCCATATTCATAAAGAATTTTGTTCTAGGAGTATTTGTCAATACTGAAGAGTTGACAAAGATACTGAGGACTAGTTTTTAATCTAGGACCCAGTAAGAGTAGACAACTCTAGTGAGGACAGAACTTACCCCCAAACACCTTCTTTTACCTAGAATTACATCACCTTAAAATGAAGAGCATTTTAAATAATAAATCGGCAATGAGATAGCAAATTCATGAATTATCCTATATCTACTGTTTCATCTACACGATTACTATCAAGTTAGATATTTCAAAATAAAAAGTAATCTCTATAGTTCTTTTTGGATTATGTGCTAGCCACAGTTAATAATTCTCCTTCTTAGTACTAGAAAGTCAGTTCTCATATCTATCAAGTTATATGTTCAGTACTAGATATATTGTATAAGCTTAATGAATACTTTCTGTTTATCTCATGTTATCAAAAATAAAAAAAGATATAGCCAATTACATTAGATTTTCTTCAGATGCATATTTTAATAAATTAGGAATCTACTTTTACTCACAACACCTCTGACACTGAATGTGTGGTGTCTCTTTCAACACCACATCTCCAACTCTCCAACAGCTGAATGTCCCACAATTCAATTCAGTTCTGACACTATCTACCTGGAGTTAGCATAACACTCCACAAGTTAAGGGCTCAGTCCCACATACTGCCTTCACTTCGGCTGGCTGTTATAAGTCCTAGTGAAGCAGGATATTTCCCTGACCCTTTCATGGGTGGGAACTGAGGTGCAGGAGCACCGGAACTAGCCAGCCACATCAGCACTGGCAGGGGCGAATTCCACTCCCTCAGACCTTCTGCACTTCACCCCTTGCAGGAGGGGAGCATGCAGGTGAGCAGGTGCAGAAGCCGGAGCAAGCGGTTTTGGCTGCCAACAAAGGCAAAACTCCATGCCGGCCCTGTGGCAACGTCTAGCGGGGAGTACCTGTGACCCTGAAGCCCCAGTAGGAGTGTTACAGTCAGTGCTCTTTTAACTTTGCCACCATGCCATTGCAGAAGGCTTAAATGTTAACAGCTCAGTGGAAGGTCAGTGGAGGGTCAGGGACAGCCTTTTGCACCCACACCTTAGTTCTTGTTCAGCATCCAGGAGGAATGAGGTTGCATGAATGAATTGAGGTGATAAATGTGGGGGATTTTATTGCTGATGAAAGTGCCTGTCAGTGGGAATGAGAGCTGAAAAGGGGACAGTGCAGGAAGGTAATCTTCCATGAATGGCTGGACTCCTTTTCGAAGCTATGCTGTCAAGTTGTCCTGCTTCTCTCCGACATCCAACCATAGTCTCTGACATCCAGCCGCTTCTCCTCTCCCTGCTGGCAGGTCCTGGGGGTTTATGGGCATAGGATGGGGGTGGAGCAGGCCATGGGTGGTTTTGGAAAAGGCAACATTCCAGCAGGAAAATGGAGATGTAAAGTTCTCACTTTGGGCTGCAGTATTAGGCTTTTTGGCTTGAGGGTGGGACCCTCATCAGAGACCCCACCCTCTTCTGCCCAGAATTTCTCTGCTTCCTGTCCCTAACATTCCCCCCTCTGTAAAGGCACATCTAACTGCCATTAGAATACAGACAATGACTGGTTTTAACCACCTCCTGCTAACAGGGGGAGTTGTTTTGGGGAGAATGGCAGTCAGATTCCTCCCAGAGGTCTACCTAAGGTTACCCTGCAAAAGGAAGCCATCATCTGAGAGTCCGGTTCCCTGGCTGTTTGGAGTTTGATGGCCTCTAGGCGAGAAAAAACAAGTTTTACAAAGCTAAGTGTGCATGGATCAAATATGTGTATCATACAAAGAGGAGTTTAAAAGCAGACAATCTAGTGCTGAAGATTACAGAAAGAAGAAGTGAAATACATTAATCATTGTGAAAACAACATTCTACCCAATGGTATAGAACAGAATGAAGGTAAGAACAGCAAGCATAGGCAAGACTACAAGGAGGACATCCATGGAAGGTTAATTATTAACACTTATCTTTTGTGATTTTTAGCTTGAGGTCTCCAATCTCTTCACATTGGTACTTTGGGTGCTTTCCTGGGTTTATGGAGGTAATTCCATCAGCTTTCCAGTGAGTTATTGTGAAAGACTAAGGTGGCCACTTTCAGGAGATTCTCTAAAGTACTATCTGTTCCCAGGGCCTGTTTCTGCAGCTTCCTCCTGATCTCAGGGGCTGCCTGAGTAATAAATTTATCCTTTAGAATTGGTTGTCCTTTGACTGAATCAGGAGATAGAAAGGTGTCTTTCACCAAGGCCTCTCTTAGCCTTTCCAGGAAGGCAGTGGGATTCTCATCAAATCCCTGGTCTATCATGGATAGCTTGGTATAATTGAGAGGCTTAGTTCTAGTCCCACGTAAGTCCTCTATTATGCCCACATGAAAGTGTCTCCTCTTCCACCAGGTTGTTACCCACTTAATACTACCAGTTTACTATGAAGAATACAACTCAGGAATAACCAAATGGAAGAAATGCATAGGGCAAGGTATGGGGAGGTGGCAGGGTACAAGAAGCTTCCAAGTTTTCTCAGGCATACCACCTTCCCATCACCTTCCTGTGTTCACCAACCCAAAAGCTCTCCAAACCACATTATTTAGGCGTTTTTATGGTGGCTCCATTACATAGGCATGATTGATTAAATCATTGACCACTGATAATCAGACTCACTCTCCAGCCTCCCTCCCCTGGAGATCAGAGGATGGGGTTGCAACTTCTAACTCTCTAAACATGAGTTACTCTTTCTGGCAGCCAGCACCCATCCTAAGGCAATCTAGTGGCCCCCATCCAGCAGTCATCTAATTAGCATATAAAAGAGACTCTTACCACTCTGGACATTCAAAGAGTTTTAAGAGTTGTATGCCAGAAACCAAAGACAAAAAGCAAATACAAATTTATCAAGGGACATATTCATGAATTTCAAAAATATAATATTCTACTATCTCTTTGCCAAAAACACCTTGTATAGTACAACTGAAATCTGCAAACATACTTCTTCACCTTGTACTCTTGATTGCATTATGTAATCTATTATAACTTTTCCATGGTCTATGTGATACTTACTAAAATTTTTTTTCCAATGGAAGTACACAATCTCCAGAATTTCATACCAAACATAAAACTATAGAAATTTTACATAAAATTTTATAATTTCTATAAAAAACTATAGAAATTATTTTAATGACTTCAAACATCAAGCTAAGATTTTTAGGTTGAATATGTTAAAACCTTTTCATGACTTTTTTTTCTAAAATCAACTGAAAGCAAGGAGAGTGTTGAAAGCAGTAGGCTCAGAAAACAATACCCCAAAGTATGGTGCTTTGGCATGCTGCGCACTTTGAATTAAAGAAAATTGGAAGGCCTTAGAAGCTTCCTCCAAATAAAGATTTCTTTGACTTTACCTAGTTTCTCCTTCAAGATGAAGGGAGGGGCTATCTCTAAGGTACCGTTATGTGACCAAGGGTAGTTCTTATTAAAAAAAAAATACAATTTTCTCCAATCTCCTATCTGAAATCTCATTAACCAGGGAAGACTGACAACCAAAGAAGAAACTAAAAGTTGTCACCACACTTGCCCAGAGAGACATTTCATCTATTCTTCCAAGGTCTGTTACCTAAGGGACTTTATAAGACAACTTTTTTTCCTAATGTAGTTCTGCCCGTCAATGTTCCCTTAACTTGTTGCCAGCCTCCCCAGAGCTCAGGAGAACTTTGTCTAGATTATTATCTGTTCTTTAGGCCCATTCTTTTCCCCTATAAATTATTGACTTTTCCTCCAAAATTGCCTAAATCTCCCACTCTCCGTTCACCTATGAAGAGGGTATTTAAGCTTCAATCATCTGGCCCTTCCTTGAGTTTCATACGTTGTGCCACTTCTGTGTATTTGCACGGTATAAATTTATGTGCCTTTTCTCCTCTTCATCTATCTTTTGTCAGCTTATTTCAGTAGACTCAATTATTGAACCTTCAGAGGGAAAGTTTAAACTTTCCTACAAGACCAAGAAAATAAAATGGAAATTCTGTCCTCATTAATACTAATAAATACCCTTGATACCAACTTCAAAATAAATAAGAAAGGATTACTAAATGAAGTACAAATAGGATCAAGGTAAAGAGGAAAAAAGTGAAGCCGCTTGCCAGTAGAGATCTCAGGTAGAGACAGGAAGATCAAAACCAACAACCACCTGTTTGGAACATTTATAACAGAGTGTATGGGGCCAGGTACAAGAACTTTCTACTACCTTGTTTGAATATACAAAGTTGCAGAGGAGACAAAGATAACTGAAGAAATATACAGGCATTCTTTGTAATTACCATAGCAATGTAGAGAAGAAATCATGAATAGAAAAGTACAAGGACTGCCCCCATCTTTATCAACTAAAAATGAGACAAGGCTAAACTATAAATGCACACACACCCACACCCACCCACCCACACACACACACATTTTATCCTATAAAACTCTACTGAGAGCCAGGAAGATTTCCTGCTAGCCCAGACCACCTGTTGGCCCCTTCTCCATACTATTTATTTTGCAATATCTGGCCCTGAAACAACTTCAGTCATTAAAAAATTAGTAACAATTAAATAAGAATAATAGCCAGCAATAGAGATAAATAAAATGACTTCAAGAATAATCATTTAAGAATTTTTGACAGGAATAAGATCAAAGAAACTGCAAAATTTATTTATTAAATCAATATTTCTTTTAAAGCTAAAGTAATTAAAACTGTATGATAGTCACTCAAAGAGGAAGAGAGAGAAACAGACTGAATCTAAGTTCAGTTCCATGAACATTTGAAAACAACTTGTGACAGAAATGGCATTGTCAATATCTGAGACAAAGAGAAAAATGCTCAATAAGTTGTATACAAACAATAGGAAAAAATGTAAATAAAATCCTATGTCATCTGTTATACTAAAATTAATATCAGGTGAATTAGAGATTTACATGTAAGCATGGTTACAAAAACTTTCAGAAAAAAAATCAACTATTTCTATGACTGGAGGGTAAGTAAGAAATTTTTCAAGTAAGACACAAAAAGCAAACTTAAAAAAAAAGATTGATACACAGCGCTTCATTAAAATTCCAATTATTACATTCATCAAAAACACCATAATGAGAGTGAATATATAACCCAAGCTATGAAAAGTTGTATCAACACAGTAACTGACAAAACATTAGTAAAGATATAAAGAATGCCTCCAGGTCAATATGAAAATTATAATTAATCCAGTTGAAAATTTGGGGGCAAATATAAGTATTGGCAATGCCAGCTACTTAAATGAAGGGAAAATAAATGTGAAAATAGACCATTGAAAGGTGTTTAACTGCATCAACAATTAGGAAAATGCTAATTTAAATGATAATTAGTCAACATTTTACTCTGACCACAGTAGCAAAACTTTTAAATCTGATAATATCAGTGCTGGCAGGGACATGGAACCCTGGGAACTGTCATGCATGGCTGATGGGAGTGTAAACAGACAAAAACACTTTGGAAAATGATTTCACATTCTCTCAAGCTATTCATATACAGAGTCAAGCAATCTCAAACTCAAGCACATACCCCAGAGCCATGGATTCAAACGTTTTTCCTGACATATTTCCTAAATACTTTTTTGAAACTTTATAACATGTTGCCCATTTTTAAATGGATTGCCATTGTTAATCAGTTTCCAAAGGATGTAATTCCCAGTTTAATGTAAATATAACATTTTAAAATAAAACTGTTAAATCTCTCTTTTGAAATGTGTCTAAAGAGCAGAGAATATGGTCAAATAGAATTCTCCAATGATCAAACCCCCACAGGAAAACCAAATTGAACAACTAGCCATGCAACAAAGTACCTTTATAAGAACCAAAAAATCAGGTGAGCAATCACAGTATCTGGTTTTCACATCATAATAAGGAAAGAGGCATTGAAGACGGTAGGAAGGACAGCTTTGCATTGCCTACACCACCCTTCCCCCAACCCCAGGTGGCTCAGTGTAGAGAGAGAATCTATGTTTTTGGGGAGGGAGAGAAAAGTGAGTGTGGGACTTTGCATTGTAACTCAATGCTACGCTGTCATAGTGGAACACAACACAGGACAGAAGTCGGCTGGTGCCCACAGAGGGAGAATTTATGCCAGCTCTGGGCCCAACGGGAATCTTTTCCCAGCCTGTGGAGCCTGACTCCCAGCCCACTTTATCACTGGCTCACTAAAGTGGCCTGGGTCCTTGAATAAATCTGAGTGGCAATCAGGCAACAAGGACTACAGTCTTTGGGCAATCCTGGTGCTGCCTGGTCTCAGAGGCAGTAGACCAGGGATGCAACCCTCTGTAACATCAGCTGCAGTGGCTGTGTGAGTGCCTCTGTTACCCCTCCCCTGCCCCGCCTTTAGGCAGTGCAGCACAGGGAGAAAATTATTCCAACTTGAAGGAGGAGAGGGAAGAATACAGAAGACTTTGTCTTGAAACTTGGGTACCAGCACAACCACAGTAAAATAAAGCACCAGGCATATTCCCGAAGTCCCCAGTTCCAAGCCTTTGCTTCTGAACATTTCTAGACCCACTCTGGGTCAGAAGGGAATCTGCTGCCCTGGTGGGATGGACCCAGTCCTGGCAATATTCAGTACCCTCTGACTAAAGGCAACCAGGCAGTAGTGACTATGGGCCTTAGTGAGTCCCAGTACTGACTTGGTCTGGAAGCCCATGGGCTTCATGTATGACCCAGTATGGTACCAGCTGTGATGGCCAGAGAAGCACCCACATTACCCCTTCCCTGATTCCAGGCAGCGCAGTACAGAGATGCCTTCTGATTTAAAAAGAAAGGAAAGAGAGTAGGAGATTTTGCCTGGTAACTAGTATCCCAACAAATTCCCCATTATCTTCCCCAAGTTAACCAAGGCTATGTATCTAGGAGTCTACAAATGTCACAATGTTCCTGGGCTTCGGGCTCCTCCCAGTGCTAAAATGGCTTCAGTGACCACAGGCCTAGATAAGGGCACTCAATCCCCTCTGAATTCTTGGAGAGCCCACTCAAGAAGGATGAGTACAAAGAAGCCCAGACAGAGAAGATTGAAATAAGTACCTAAATCTTCAATGCCAGACATCCATGAATGTCCACAAACATCAGAAACATTCAGGAAAACATGACTGCAACAAACAAACTGAGTAAGATATCAGTGATCAATCTTGAGGTGACAGAAATATGTAACCTTTCAAACAGGGAATTTAAAATAGCTGTTTTGAGGAAGCTCAACAAACTTCAAGGTAACACAGAGAAGGAAGTCAGAATTCTGCGAAGAAAATTTAAGAGACTGAAATAATTTAAAACATCAAGCAAAAATTCTGGAGCTGAAAAATCAATATCATCTCACCCACATTAAAGTGGCTATTATCAAAAAAACAGAAAATAACAGATGCTGGCAAGGATACCAAGAAAGCAGAACAGTTGTATACTATTGGTGGGAATGTACAACAACTATGGAAAACAGTATGTAGGTTTCTCAAAAACCTAAAAATAGAATCACCATATGACCCAACAATCCCACTGCTAGGACTATATCCAAAAGAAAACAAGTAGTGTATTGAAGAGATATCTGCATTCCCGTGTTTATTGCAGCACTATTCACAATAGCCAAGATATGGAAGCAACCTAAGAGGCCATTAATGGATGTATGGATAAAGAAAATATGTTATATATACACAACAAAATATTATTCAGCCATAAAAAGAATGAAATCCTGTCATTTGCACCAACATAAAGGGAACCAGAGGTCATTACGTTAAGTGAAATAAACCAAGTGCAGAAAGACAAATAATGCATGTTTGCACTTATATGTGGGAGCTTAAAAAAAAAAAAAATGAACTCATGGTGACAAAGAGTAGAATGATGGTTACCAGAGGCTGGGAAATGCAGTAGAGAGAAGGTTAATGGGTACAAAAATACAATTAGACAGAAGTAAGATATAGTGTTCAGTAGCACAATAGGGCAACTGTAGCTATCAATTATTGTATGTTTCAGAATAATGAAGAGTGGAATTGTAATTTTCTTAGCACAAAGAAATAAGAAATGCTTGAAGTAATGGATATCCCAGTTACCCTGACTTGATTATTACACATTGTAATCCTGTAACAAAATTTCACATGTACCCCATAAATATGCACAACTATTATGTATCCATTATAATTAAAAAATAAAACCTTTTAAAAATAAATGTATCTAAGCAATCTTCTTCAACAGTCAGAAATTTGGTATCTTTTTTCTTCTTGAACTTATATCCCTATTTCATTTCTCTTACATAATTCTGTCCAAATGGAATATATTTTATGCTTGAGAGTCTACCAGTAAAACTGTTATGCCAATTTAGAAAGTGAAAAACTAGTAAAGACAAAGCATTAGTTAAAAAAAGATAAAAATAAAAAAATAAAGGAGACATCCACTTCCAGCAACATGGAGTAGACATACTTTTCCTTATTCCTCCCACTAAGTCCAACTAAGAATTCTGGGTATTACATATCAAATGTAAGTAGAATCTGAAGGCAGAAAAAAGAAGGAAGACTGTCTAGGGACCACAGGGCCCAAGGAATGACATAGTGATGCATTATTTGATTTGTTGGGATTTTTGTTTATTTATTTGTTTGTTCATTTTGCCTCATATATTCCAGGTTTGAAGGTGAAGAAGCTGGCAAATTGAAATGTCAACAGACGCATATAAAACCCTAACAAAAGCCTCTGTAGCCAATAGAACAAGAAAGGAGTAGACTAGCAAGGCAGAAAACTTTTGGAAAATAACTCTTCTGCTATATTCAATCTGGGAAAAAAAAAAAACACAACACTGGCTCCACCCAACGATGATAACAAAGGCCCAGTAAGAAACCTTGACCACCTCTAATATAGAACCTGAAGCTCCTACCTACCAGAATTATTTCAGAGGAGGCCAAGTAGAAAACCATGTCTTTCATCTCTACCATCCAATAACAAGCCTACACCTTGCAGTGTCAGTAGAGACACATGGGGAACTGGAACTCTTAAGCTCCCAATCCCACCAAGCAGTAATGAAGAGCTTTCCCGCACCATATGTCAACAGAGCACACTGTTGTGAGGACCCCGTACCACTTCTTCTATCCAGCGGTAACAAGGGAGATCTTTCCCTGCTGAGGTGTTGTCACATAAATCCAGCTAAAACAGGTTTAAAGAACACACAGAGTCTCATGATACAAAACTGTCCAGATATCAGTTAAAAAATACTTGTCATACCACGAACCAAGATCTCAAACTGAATTTTAAAAAGGAATTCAAAAATGTCATTACCAAGGTGACAGATTTGTTAGAATTACCTGACAAAGATTTAAAGTTGCCATGATAAAAATGCTTCAACAATTACCAAAAAAAGCTTGAAACAAATGAAGCAAAAGAAAACTTCAGCAAAAAAAATCAAATCTC
This sequence comes from Homo sapiens, assembly GCF_000001405.40. Classification (NCBI taxonomy): domain Eukaryota; kingdom Metazoa; phylum Chordata; class Mammalia; order Primates; family Hominidae; genus Homo; species Homo sapiens. The sequence continues at coordinate 159,665,880 of NC_000004.12, read as the reverse complement.
AGCAAAAAACATAATATATTAAAAAATGGAAATTTCAGAACTAAAAAATATCACCTCAATAAAATGCTCAGTAGATGAGATCAACAGAAAGATGGAAGCAAAGGGGGAAAAATATAAGTGAATTGAAAAATAAAACAAAATACATTACACAATCTAAACATAGAGATACAATAAACTAGAAACATGAAATGAACAGAACCTCAGGGACTTTAGGGAATATAACAAAAAACCTGACTCAGTTACCACCAGGGTCTGAGAAGGAGAGAGAAAAGCGGGTAGGACTATAAGTATACTAAAATAAAACTGGCTGGAAACTTTCCAAATTTGACACAAAAACCCCATAAAACTACAGATTCAAGAATCTGAAAACTTCATACAAGATAAGCCCAAAGAAATTAATCCCAAAACACATCAAAATGGAACTTTTGAAAACTAAACAAGGAAAAAAAAACTCTTAAAGGCCCTTAGGGAATGATATGGTTTCGCTCTGTGATCCCACCCAATCTCATCTTGAATTGTAATCCCTATATGTCAAGGGAGGGACCTGGTAGGAGGTGATTGGATTATGGGAGTCGTTTCCCCCATGCTGTTCTCATGATAGTGAGTTCTCATGAGATTTGATGGTTTAAAAGTGTTTGGCAGCTCCCCCTCCCCACCCACCACCTCACTTTCCCTCTCTCTTGCTGCCACGTAAGACATGTCTTACTTCCCCTTCACCTTCCACCATGATTGTAAGTTTCTTGAGGCCTTCCTAGACATGTGGAACTGTGAGTCAATTAACCCTCTTTCCTTTATAAATTACCCAGTCTCAGGAAGTTCTGTATAGCAGTGTGAAAACAGACTAATACAGAAAATTGGTACCGGTAGTGGGGCACTGTTATAAAGTTAACCTGAAAATGTGGAAGCTACTTTGGAACTGGCAAACAGGCAGAGGCTAGAACAGTTTGGAGGGCTCAGAAGAAGACAGGAAGGTGTGGGAAAGTTTGAAACTTCCTAGAGACTTGTTGACTGGTTTTGACCAAAATGCTGATAGTGATATGGACACTGAAGTCCAGGCTGAGGTGGTCTCAGATGGAGATCAGGAACTTACTGGGAACTGGAGTAAAGATCACTCTTGCTATGCTTTAGCAAAGAGACTGGCAGCATTGTGCTCCTGCCCTGGGGATCTGTGGAATGTTGAACTTGAGAGAAATTATTTAGGGTATCTGGTAAAAGAAATTTCTAAGCACCAAAGCATTCAAGATATGATTTGACTTTTTCTGAAGCATACAGTCAAATGCATTCACAAAGAGATGATCTGAAATTGGAACTTATGTTTAAATGAGAAGCAGAGTGTAAAATTTTGGAAAATTTACAGCCTGGCCATGCAGTAGAAAATAAAATCCCATTTTCTGGTAACAAATTCAAGCTGGCTGTAGAAATTTGCATAAATAATGAGGAGTAAAATGTTAATAGCCAAGACAATGGGGAAAATGTCCTAGAGAAAGACAGATTTTCATAGCAGCCCCTCCTATCACAGACCTGAAGGCCTAAAAGGGAAAAATGGTTTTGTGGGCCTGGCTGAGGGCCCTGCTGCACAGTGCAGTCTCAGAAAGTGTCACCCTGTGTCCCAGCTGCTCCAGCTCCAGTTGTGGTTAAAAGGGGCCAAGGTAAACCAGGCACGGTGGCTCATGCCCGTAATCCCAGCACTTTAGGGGGCCAAAGCAGGCAGATCACGAGGTCAGGAGTTCAAGATCAGCCTGGCCAAAAATGGTGAAACCCCATTTCTACTAAAAATACAAAAATTAGCTGGGCATGGGGGCACAGATCTGTAATCCCAGCTACTTGGGAGGCTGAGGCAGGAAAATCACTTGAATCTGAGAGGCGGAGGGTGCAGTGAGCCAAGATTGCGCCACTGCACTCCAGCCTGGGCAACAAAGCAAGACTCCATCTCAAAAAAGGAAAAAAAAGAAAAGGGGGGGCAGGTGCCAAAGTATAGCTTGGGCCATTGTTCCAGAGGGTGCAAGTCTCAAGCCTTGGTGGCTACCATGTCATGTTGGGCTTGCAGATGCACAGAAGCCAAGAGTGAGGATTAGGAACCTCCACCTAGATTTCAGAGGATGTATAGAAATGCCTGGATATCCAAGCAGAAGTCTGCTGCAGGGGTAAAGCCCCAGTGGAGACCCTCTACTAGGGCATTGCAAAAGGGAAATGTGGGGTTGGAGTCCCAGTACAGAGTCCCCACTGGGGTACTGTCTAGTGGAGCAGTGAGAGGAAGGCCACCGTCTTCCAGACCCCAAAATGGTAGATACATTGACATTTTGCACCATGCACCTGGAAAAGCCACAGGTAGTCAATGCCAGTCCACGAAAGCAGCTACAGGCACTGTACCTGCAGAGTCACAGGGATGAGGTTGCCCAAGGCCTTGGTAGCCCAACTCTTGCATCAGTGTGCCCTGGATGTGAGACATGGAGCCAAAGGTGTTTATTTCAGAGCTTTAAGATTTAATGACTGCCCCTCTGGGTTTCAGACTTGCATAGGGCCTGTAGCCCCTTTGTTTTGGCCAATTTTTTTTAATGGGATCATTTACCCAATTCCTGCACCCCCATTCTATATTGGAAGTAAGTAACTTGTTTTTGATTTTACAAATCCTTCTTAGGCGAAAGGAACTTGCCTTGTCTCAGATAAAATTTTGGACATGGACTTTTGAGTTAATGCTGGAAAATGAGTTAAGATTTTGGGAGATGGTTGAGAAGGCATGACTGTGTTTTGAAATGTGAGAAGGACATGATATTTGGGAAGGGCCAGGCGTGGAATGATATGGTTTGGTTCTGTGTCCCCACCCAAATCTCATCTCAAATAGTAATTCCCATATGTCAAGGGAGGGACTTGGTGGGAGGTAATTGGATCATGAGAGCAGTATCTCCCATGCGGTTCTCATGATAATGATTTAGTTCTCACAAGATCTGATAGTTTAAAAGTGTTTGACAGTTCTCCCCACCTCATTCTCCCTCTCTCCTGCTGCCATGTAAGATGAACCTTGCTTCTCTTTCGCTTTCTGCCATGATTGTAAGTTTCCTGAGGTCTTCCAAGCCATGTGAAACTGTGAATCAATTAAACCTCTTTCCTTTATAAATTACCCAGTCTCAGGTAGTTCTTTATAGCGGTGTGAAAACAAACACGTACAAGAAGAAATGACAATTTAATTATATGATAAAAACAATTTGAATGTTGGCGGATTTACATGAGAAACCAGAGAGGCCAGAAGGAAGTAGCACAATATTTTTCAAGTGTCAAAAGAAAATAACTGTCAACTCAGAATCTTATAACCACAAAAATATCCTTTATCTATGAAGGAGAAATCTTTTAAAACATTTTCAGAAGAAAGAAAACTAAAATGACTTATTACTAGCAGACCTATCCTTAAAAAATGGCTAAATGAAGTTCTCTAAGGAAAAAGAAAATAATAAAACAAGGAACTTTGGGATATTAGGAAGGAAAAAGGAACTCTGTAAGCTAAATTATTAATAAATACAATAGACTATTTTCTCCTCTTGAGTATTCTGACTTACGTTTAACAGTTAAGGCAAAAATTATAACACTTCTCATATTCTTCTAAATATATAGAAAAAATATTTAAAATAATTCTGTTTTGAATGTGGAGGGTAAAGGAATGTTAAGGATGATAAAGTTTTTAGACTTTACTCAAACTAGTAAAATATTAACATGAGGAGACTGTGATAAGTTATGTATTTATAATGTAATTTCTAAAGCAATCACTAAAAAAGCTATATAAAAACACTATAGATAAATTGAAATGAACTTTAAAACTGTTCAAGTGACTCATCAGAAGGCATGGAAAATAAAATAAGAGGGAAAAAAACACAGAGTAGGAAACAGAAAAAAATAATAAAATGGTATGTTTAAGCCTGTATTAGTCTATTCTCTTGCTGCCAATAAAGACATACCCAAGACTCGCTAATTTATAAAGAAAAGAGTTTTAAGTGATTCACAGTTCAGCACGGCTGCGGAGGCCTCAGGAAACTTACAATTATGACAGAAGGGGAAGCAAACACATCCTTCTTCACATAGCATCAGGAAGGAGAAGAATGAGTGTCCAGCAAAGGGGAAGCCCTCTATAAAACCATCAGATCAGATCTCGTGAGAACTCACTATTATGAGAAGAAGATGGGGGAACCATCCTCATGAGTCCAATTATTTCCACGTGGTCCCTCCCAGATCACATGAAGATTATGGGAACTACAGTTCAAGATGAGATTTGCTGGGGATATGGTTTGGCTCTGTGTCCCCACCCAAATCTCATCATGTAGCTCCCATAATTCCCACGTGTTGTGGGAGGGGCCTGGGGGGGTTAGTGAATCATGAGGGTGAGTCTTTCCCATGCTGTTTTCATGATAGTGACTAAGTATCATGAGAAGTGATGGTTTTAAAAGTGGAGTTTCCCTGCACAAGCTCTTTTCTCTTGTCTGCCACCATGTGAGACATGCCTTTCATCTTCTACCATGATTGCGAGGCCTCCCCAGACACATGGACCTGTGAGTCCAACAAACGTCTTTCTTTAATAAATTGCCCAGTATCAGGTATGTCTTTATCAGCAGTGTGAAAATGGACTAATACAGGCAGGGACACAGCCAGACCATATCAAAGCCTTAACCTATCATTAATTTTATTAAATGTAAATAGTCTAAATACACACATTAAAATAGATTAGCAGAGTGGGTTTTAAATATAACCTAGCCAAATGCTGTCTCCAAAAACCTCACTTCAAATTAGTTCAACTCTTGTGGAAAGCAGTGTGGCAATTCCTCAAAGAACTTAAAACAGACCTACCATTCAACACAACAATCCCACTACTGGGTATATACCCAAATGAATATAAATCATTCTACCATAAAGAAACATGGACATGAATGTTCATTGAGGTACTATTCCCAATAACAAAGATATGGTATCAACCTAAATGCCCATCAATTGTATACTGGATAAAGAAAATGTGGAACATATACACCATCAAATACTACATAGCCATATGAAAGAATGAGACCATGACCTTTGCAGGAACATAGAAGGAGCTGGAGGCCATTATCCTCAGCAAACTAATGAAGGAACAGAAAAACAAATGCCGCACATTCTCACTCATAAGTGGGAGTTAAATAATGAGAACACGTGGACAGAAAGAGGGGAACAGCGGACACTGGGGCTTACTTGAGGGTGGAAAGTAAGAGGAGAAAGAGGTTCAGGAAAAAAAAAAAAACTGTCAGGTACTATGCTTAGTACCTGTGTGACAAAATAATCTGTACACCAAACCCCCAAATCACAAGTTTACCTATACTACAAACCTGCACATGTTCTCCTAAACCTAAACATCAAAATATTTTTAAATAAATAAATAAAATATGTGGATAATTTTAATAAAAGATATTTTAAAACTCACTTTAAATAAAATTATATAGGTAGATTAAAAGGAATGGAAAATTATATACCATGCAAATATTTTAGTCAAATGAGAGTATGAATGACAATACTAATATCTAAAATCAACTTCAAAGAAAAAAAAGCAGGGACAAAGGGACACCATATAATGATACAGGAGTTAATTCTCCAGGAAGACACAGCAATCCTAAATGCATATGCACAAAATAAAATAAATGAAATATATGTGAATTAGTATAGCCATTATGGAAAATAGTGTGGAGGTTACTCAAAAAATAATAGAACTACCATACTATCCAACAGTCCCATGCCTAAGTATATATCCCAAGAAAATACTAATTATTGTGTCAAACAGATATCTGCACTCCCATGCTCATTACAGCATTCTTTACAATAGCCAAGACACAGAATTAAACTAAATATCCATCAATGAATGGATGAAAAAACACGGTATAAATATACAATGGAACACTAGCCTTTAAAAAGAAGGAAATCTTGTTATTTTCCACAACATTGATGAACCTGGAGGATATTACATTCAATGAAAAAAGCCAGGCACAGAAAAACAAATACCACATAATCTCACTTATATGTGGAACCTAAAAATGGCAAACTCATAGCAGAGGGTAGATGGTAGTTACTAGGTACTGGGGAGGTGGGTAGGACTAGGAAGATATTGGTCAAAGGATACAAACTTTCATTGACAGCAGGAATAAGTTCAAGAGATCTAGTGTATAACATGATGACTATAGTTAATATACTGTATACTCAAAAATAGCTAGAAGAGTAGATTTAAATGTTCTCACCACAAAAAACTGAGCTAATACACGTTAATTGCATTAGCATGATTTGGCCATTCAACAATGTTGAATTTTCATATTTCAAAACACCATGTTGTATACCACAAATAGACACATTTTTCATTTTTCAAATAAAAGAATTTTTAAAATATATATGTGAAGCAAAAACTGTTAGAGCTAAAAAAAGAAGCATACAAATCTACAATTATAATCAGAGACTTCAACACCCACTGTATTAGTCAGGCTTCTCCAGCAAGACAGAACAAATAAGATATAAATATACATAGACATGTGAGATGAAATTTATTAGGGGAATTGGCCCAAGCAGTTATGGAGGCTGAGAAGTCCCATGGCAGGCCATGGCAAGCTGGAGACCCTGGGATGCCAATAGCAGGGCTCATTCCACATCCTAAAGCCTCAGAACCAGGGAAGCTGCTGGTGTAACTCTTAGTCTGAGGCCAAAGGCCTGAGATCCTGAGGGCAAGGGGCTGGGTGAGGAGGAAAAGCTAGCTAAGTACCAGAGTCCAAACACCCGATAACATGAAGTTTTGATGTCCTAGGGCAGGAGACAGGTATCCCAACTCCAGGAGAGAGAGAAAAAAATTCACCTTTCCTCTGTGTTTGTTCTATTTGGGTCTCTAACCGATTGGACAGTGCCTGCCCACATTGAGGGTAGTGCTCCCTCCCTCAGTTCACTGACCCACATGCCAATCTCCTCTGGAAACACTGTCCCAGACACACCCAGAAATAATGCTTTACCAGTTCTCTGTTTCCTAATCCAATCAATTTTATGCCTAAAATTAACCATCACAGCCATGTAGACAGAAAATCAAGAATGTAAATACTCAACAACACCATCAATCAACAAGATCTAATAGACATTATACAACACTCCACCCAACAACAGAATGCTCATTTTTTGCAGCCATCTGTGTAATTTATATAAAGATATACCATACCCTGGGTGTTGTTGTACATCTTATAATTTTCACTGAATGCCGTGCATATTGTTCAGACTAGTAGCAACTGGGGTAAATAGCATAGTATTTATGAGATAAATAGCATAGAATTTATGCCTGGAAATGTACATGCCGCTTCTGCCAGGATATTAGTGTGAAAGTTGGGAGGTAAGTCAATCTAGCTAGGAGTTGAGCTAAGTTTAAGTTTTACTATTGCTATGATAACCTCCACTGTACTTCTAGCTTCAACTTCCTCTAGCATATGTTTGAGATTGGGGATGGACCAGTATTTCCAGTGGGTTTTTGTTTTGTTTCATGTGTTTAATATTTACGCTATCTTCTCAACATTTAGTCTTCCCTGTGCATCTGCCCCACACGGGGCTCTTTTTCTACTGTATTTTCCGTATACCAGTGGTAGTGCTTACTACCCAAAAAAGTGGGAGAGTTTCAGTGTTTCTCTGTGGTCTCGGTCATATAAAATTAAAACTACACCATCATTTGAGGTATTTGCAAAGCAATAATCAATATGTTCCCATTTTAAAAGCTAAAAAATTATATTTAAAGACATATAGAGGCCAGGCGCAGTGGCTCACGCCTGTAATCCCAGCACTTCGGGAGGCCGAGGCGGGCGGATCGCTTAAGGTCAGGAGTTTGAGACCGGCTGACCAACATGGAGAAACCCCATCTCTACCAAAAACACAAAATTAGCCGGGCGTGGTGGCGCATGCCTGTAATCTCAGCTCTTCAGGATGCTGAGGCAGAAGAATCGCTTGTATCTGGGAGGCGGAGGTTGCAGTGAGCCGAGATGTGCCTGGCGCCACTGCACTCCAACCTGAGAAACAAGAGCAAAACTCCGTCTCGAAATAAATAAATTTCAAAAAGGCATATAAATCAAATCACTAGCAGTTTAAATATTATAATTATGTACCAAATGGCAGAATTTTGGTTAGAAAAATAGCATGAATTAAAGGAAATTTTAAATTTATACTGATTGCTTGTTCACTAATCTATAAGTAATTTTATGATTCTCTGGACAATATAATCAGTAACATATCAACCTTACTTTAGTTGTTTTAAGAAAAGTATATTTTATCACCAGTAACCAAAATTAAGCATTTGTATAAGGCTGTTGCACCATTTCTGTAAAAGCCATCAAAACATTCGAGAGGACTACAATTAGTAAATCTTTAAATTAGATATTCTACAAATTGAACATTCCCTGATTTCACCTCTTGTGAATCGATTTGTGAGCCGTATATTAGGCAAAGTGTCCATTTTGGAAAATTAAATATTGGGCAATTTACCTGCTTCCATCAAAGCTTCAAATATTAGAAACAACCTAAGCATCCATCAATAGAGGCACATTAACTACATTATGATTGATCCATTTAACTCAAGTCTCAAAAAAAAATGATGCAGTTTCAAATAAATGGACAGGAACAAATCTTTAGTAGATAAAGAAAAAAGCAAGTTACTGTCATTTGTATAATTCAGTGATCATAAAAGTGTGATTCCCCATCCAGCATCTTCAGCTTCCCCTAGGAACTTGTTAGAAAGGTAAATTCTCAATTCTCAACCCCACTTACTAAACTGGAAACTCTGTGGTTGGGAGCCTAACAATTTGTGTTTTAACAGTCTTTCCAGGTAATTGTGAAGCATGCTAAAATTAGAGAAATACTGGTATAAAAAAGGAAAACATTGCAAACAAGCATGCCTACACACATACACATAGTGCATAGACTATCCTCATCAAGTACATACAAATCTGTAAGAGTTTTTCTTTCTGGCCATCAGAACAGAGGCACTTAGGAGCCCAGGATGGAAAAGAGATTTAATAATATAAACTACTGCATCTGTGTATCATTTGAATTCATTTTCAGTGAACATCTTTGACAAAAGAGTAGATTTTTCAAAATAAAAACACCTTCAAGCTTAAAGCTGAACTGTCCAAAGCTACTGTTCATGTAGATATTTTTTTCATTGAATTTCCATGTTAAAATGAAGGAAAATTGGATTAAGGCAAATGGAAAAGAACATATTTTGAAATATTTTATGCCTCTTTCTTAGAGCAAACATTAGGTTTGAGAAAAGGCTACAAGTTATAGCTAAGATACGTATTTCAATGATAGTAACTTTAAACAAATAAAGTAACACATGATGATTTTAGTTCATTGTCATGCTATTACCTTTCTAAAGATATCTCCATATGATGTTTTTAGAAATGTCTACACAAGGTAGATTTTTGCAAAATGTATCAGAATGGCTGTCTATAGGCCACAACTTTAAATGAAATACAAGGTATCATATACGTAATTCATCTCCTTCACATTATACTGAACTTGACAGTAATTTCATTCAAAACTTACAAAGATGAGATTATATTAAGACTCTGAAGGCAAAAGTTGCAGTTATTATATTTTTTCAATCTATAAGTTTTTCTGAATTTGTATAAACTACCTCAAAACATTTTAAATATAGTTTATCAGCATACCTTTACACCTATTTCCATTCCTAAAACATTCCAGAAATTCAACTATTTATTATCATTACAAAATGCATCAAGAAAATTTCTGCATTTCAGTATGATTTTCCTTCTGAAAAGGTAATATAATGTAGCCTTTGTTTTTTAGAGCACAAATTAGTTAAATTGTATCTGAAGAACTGGAAAAAAAAATCCAAGTTCTTGTGATTATTATAAATTATAGGTTCTAGTTATAAACATCCTATGGTGATTTCAAAAATATGTGCACATAGTTTTTAGTATTTCTGCCTTCAAGAGATGGAACACTATTCCTTTCCTCTTGAGTGTAACCTGGATCAAGTGACTCATGTCTAACAAAATGAACAAGGCAGAAGTTATGTGATATCATTTCTGATTAAAAGGCTGTGGTTTTCAACTAATGTGCAAAAAGAAAATTATCTTAGATCACTCACTCTTGAAGAATTCAACTTCCATGTTGTAAGAACACTCAGGCAGCCTACAGAGAGCTCCATGTGATGAGAAACTGAGGTTTCCAGCCAACAACTGGCAAATAACTGAAGCGTGACAACAACCAAGTGAGTGAACTTAAAAGTAGATCCTTACCTTCCTTGTCCCCAGTCAAGCTTTCAGATGACTGCAGCCCTGACCAATAGCTGAGTGAAAACTCAAGAGAGACCCTAAGCCAGAACCATCCAACTAATGTGCTTTGAAATGCCTAACTCACAGGAAAGGTGAAATAATACCTATTCATTATTTTAAAATGCTAGGTTTTGGGTAATCGGTTATGCAGTAATAAATAACTAAACAATATTGGCCGGGCTCAGTGGTTCATGCCTGTCATCCCAGTACTTTGGGAGGCCAAGGTAGGTGGATCACTTGAACCCAGGAGTCTGAGACTAGCCTGGGCAACATGGGGAAACCCCATCTCTACTAAAAATACAAAAATTAGCCCTGCTTGGTGGCATGTACCTGTAGTACCAGCTACTCGGGGGGCTGAGGTGGGAAAATCACTTGAGCTCAGGAGGTGGAGGTTGCAGTGAGCTAAGATCACGCCACTGCACTCCAGTCTGGGTGACAGAGTGAGACTCCATCTCAAAAAAATCATAATAACAGGCAACCTACACAACGGGAGAAAATTTTTGCAATCTATCCTCTGACAAAGGGCTAATATCCACAGTCTACAAAAAAACTTAAATAAATTTACAAGAAAAAATCAAACAACCCTATCAAAAAGTGGGTGAAGGATATGAACAGACACTTCTCAAAAGAAGACATTTATGTGGCCAATAAACATGAAAAAAAGCTCATCATTACTGGCCATCAGATATGATGGCCACAATGAGATACCATCTCACACCAGTTAGAATGGCGATCATTAAAAAGTCAGGAAACAACAGTTGCTGGAGAGGATGTGGAGAAATAGGAATGCTTTTACACTGTTGGCGGAAGGGTAAATTACTTCAGCCATTGTGGAAGACAATGTGGTGATTCCTCAAGGATCTAGAACTAGAAATACCATTTGACCCAGCAATCCCATTACTGGGTATACACCCAAAGGATTATAAATCATTCTACTATAAAGACATGTGCACATGTATGTTTATTGTGGCACTATTCACAATAGCAAAGACATGGAACCAACCCAAATGTCCATCAATGATAGACTGGATAAAGAAAATGTGGCACATATACACCATGGAATACTATGCAGCCGTAAAAAAAGGATGAGTTCATGTCCTTTGCAGGGACATGGATGAAGCTGGGAACCATCATTCCCAGCAAAGTAACACAGGAACAGAAAACCAAACACCATATGTTCTCACTCATAAGTGGGAATTGAACAATGAGAACACTTGGACGCAGGGCAGGGAACATCACACACTGGGGCCTGTCAGGGGTTGGGGGGTTAGGGGAGGTATAGCACTAAGAGAAATACCTAATGTAGATGACGGGTTGATGAGTGCAGAAAACCTGCATGGCACTATATACCTATGTAACAAAACTGCACATTTTGCACATGTACCCCAGAACTTAAAGTATAATAAAATAATAATAATAACAATAACTAAACAATATCATTAGTAATATAGTTGACACGCATTTTGTATTGCCCCAATATTGCTTGCTTTGTGAAATTAGTCCTTCCTCACTCTAAATAAGTCTGTTCAACCCATTACATTCCTGGTATAGCTGACTTTTACACTCTCCTTGGCAAGGAGGTCCAGAACCAGTCCACCAAATCAAAGTATGCCATACCCTTACCAGAGTTACTGCTTTAGAGTTGCATATGTAAGTTAAACTGGCCAGTCAGAATCCTCCCCAAGAAATGTCACCAGGGTTATCGGAAAGATGCTCACCCTTCCTCTGAAATAAGCTTCTAAGTTCCACATAAGCCTAAAGCTGCCAAGTCATCTTTCCACTCTGTGGAGAGTAATGTTCTGAAAATAAAGCTAAACAGATACAAGAAAGTAAGCAAATATGAGATGGAAAAAGAATGTGTTTTCATTATGTTGATTAAACCTCTTAATTTTATTATCTACCTTGGACTTCCCACTTCGCTGAACTCTTTCAGGAAGAATTTTCAGCTATTTCAGGAAGTTGAGTTGGTTTTTGTTTCTAAATGGGTCAACTGTATGAGTCCTAATAAATTTGACAATGTTTATGAATTAAAAATACACACAAGACTTTTGTTTCTGGCCGTGATGGAGTAATAGAAATCAGTTGTACCCTCTCTAATTATAAACAAACAAAAATGAACAAAAAGTATACAGAACAACCATTTTCAGAGATTGAACAACAGTCATCCCAAGACAGCAATCCCTGAGAAAAGGGAAACAAGGGAGGTGAGGTGTAAAGTTGCCCATGCCTTCTGCCTGCCGAGTTTCCAGGTCTCAGTGCAAAATAGTGGGCACCAAAAAGATACTCGAAGGCCTTCTGAATTGAAGTGACAGGGTTGGGAATATGGAAAGTCCAAAGTAGCCAGAATTCATAGGGTGGAGTAATAGGAGAGTGCTGCACTGAGAAAGAGAATTCTGAAAATATGCAAGGGGTTTCCCTAGCTTCGAGGCTGAGTACTTTTTCACACATGGATGTGAGGTAATTACCAGAGAGTGTTGAAGCAATTCCAGAGATTGTACTCACCTGGGAATAATTTATGCTCCCAACAGCAAGAGGACAGAAATCTCTCAATGCATGAGGGATCACATTATATACTCAGAAAAGTATTCTCTCAATAGTGGAACCAAATCAGCTCCAGACTAAAGGATAGTCTAGTGTTTCCAAAAGGCAAATTAATCACAGAGCAAATCTCAAAAAAATATGAAAAAGAATACAAAAATTCCAGAATCAAACAACATAAAAGTCCCAAAATCATCTTGCCAACACCAGTCAACATTTGACTGGAGGACCTCATCAGTGCATTAAAGAAAGAAGATAATAAATGGCACTCATATTGGAAAATAAAAGAAATAAAATTGTCTTTATTCACAGATGTCATAATCATCTTTGTGGAAAATCTTAACAGCTCTGGGAAAATCTACTACAACTAATAATAGAGTTGAGCAAGGTTTACAAAGTCAATATACAGAAATTAATTATATTTCTATGAAGTAGCAATAAATCAGAAATTAAAATTGAGAACTATACCATTTACAATTCCATCAAAATTTTCAAGTAGAGTTACAAGTAAATTTGGCAAAATATGTGTAAGATCTGTACACTGAAAATTATAAAACATTGCCAAAAGAAATGTTAAAGGTATAAAAATAAGATGAGACATACCATATTCATAGGTCAAATCATTATTGTAAAGATTCTGTTCTTTCTAAATTGATGTGTAAATTCACAGCAATCTCAATCATAATTCTAGCAGGCTTTTGATAGAAATCGACCATCTGACTCAAATTTATATATTAATATAAATGCATAAGACATAGGAAAGCTGAAACAATTTTAAAAGACAGAACAAAGTTAGAGGACTTATAGTATGTGATTTCAAGATATATTATAAAACTACATTAATCAAGAAAGTATAATATTGACATAAAGAGAGACATACAATGTAATGCAACCAAATAGTCCAGAAATAGATCCACACATATATGGCCAGTTGATTTCAACGAAAGTGCCAAGAGAATTCAATGAAGAAATGATCATCTTTTTAATAAGTTAAGCTAGAACAATTGGATAACTTTATTTTTAAAAAAACTAAAAATAAATCAGACTAAAATATAGAAGCTGAAACTACTAAATTTTTAGAAGAAATGATAGGAGAAAAATCTTAGTCACTTTGCATTTGACAACAATGTTTTAAATAGTTTATATTAAAGAAAATAACTAACAAATTAGTATCACATAACACTAAAGACTTTTGCTCTTTATAAAATACTATTAGGAAAATGACAGGGCAAACTACAGACTGAGAGACAATATTTGCAAAAACCTCTATCCAGTGAAGAACTTGTATATAGAGTATGTAAGTTCTTACAGCTCAATAAGACAACAAACAACCATTAAAAAATAAGCAAATGATTTGAACAAATACTTGATGAAAAAAGAGATACAGATATTTATCTACACATGAAAAAAGTGCTCAGCATCTTTAGTCATTAGAAAAAAAACACACTAAAATCACAGTGAAATATCACTACCACCACCCACTAGAAGGCTAAAATGTTAAAAAGTGACCATAGCAAGTTTTGGCAAAAGATGTGGAAAACTGAGACTCTCATACATGTTTTGAGAAAGCAAAATGATTTGGCCACTTTGAAAACCTATGGACAGGTTCTTTAAAAGTTCAATATAAATCTACCATTTGATCCAGCCATTCTGCTCCTAAGTTTTTTTAAAAGTAAATGAAAACATATGTCCACTTGTGTATGAATGATCTTAGAATTTTATTTGCATTAGAAAAAACCCAGAAACAATCCATAAGTCCACCTACAGGTAAATACATAGATTATATATATGCGTACAATGAAATACTCTTCTGCAATAAAAAGAAATTAACTGTTGTTACAGACAATGTCTATAAATGTCAAAATAATTTTTCTGAGTGGAAGAGGAAGACAAATTAGAGTATATACTGTTTGACTCCATTTATATAAAACTCAAAAAATGCTAACCATGCTGACGGAAACCAGATGTATTAGTCTATTGGCATGACTGTAAAGGAATAATTGAGGTTGGGTAATTTATGAAGAAAAGAGGTTTAATTGGCTTGTGGTTCTGTGGGCTGTACAAGAAGCATGACACCAGTATCTGCTTCTGCTGAGGGCCTCAGAAATCTTACAGTCATGGCAGAAGGCAAAGAGGAAACAGGTGCATCACATGGTAAAAGCAAGAGCAACACAGCAAGCAGGGGAGGTGCCACACACTGTTAAACAACCAGATCTCATGTGAACTAACTGAATGAGAACTTGCTTATTACGAAGGAGATGGTGCTAAACTATTCATGAGAGATCTGACCCCATGATCCAGTCACCTCCTATCAGGTCCCACCTCCAACAACAGGAATCAGATTTCAACATGAGATTTAGAGGAGACAAACATCTAAACAGTATAAGCAGACCAGCGGTTGCATTAGTGATAAAAGAGTGTTGGAAAAAAGGAAGAAATTACAAAGAAGCACAAGGAAAATTTGAGAGGATGACAGGTATATTCTCTTGGTTGCAGTAATAATTTCACAGGTGTCCAAATTCAACAAATTTTATACTTTTCAATAATGAACACTTTATTGTTTGTCAATTATCCCTCAATAAATTTATTTAAATGGTTTTTTTAAATTTCTGGCTGAGAATATAATGTTATGCCTACGATGCATAGTATAAATAGTTAATGGTGGAATCTTAATGTAAGACTAAAACTGTTCTTAACAAAGGGCAGGGAAAGATGGTGGAGTAGATCTCTCCAGTGATCTTATCCCCACAAGAATATCAATTTGAACAACTATCCATGCACAAAAGTACCTTCACAGGAGCTAAGCGAACCTGAACACGTGAGTGAGACTGTGAAGCCCCGTTGGACTGCAAAGATGAATAAAACCTCAGTTGGATGGTAAGGGAACCAGTCCTCTATGACAATGACACCCTGCGCCCAAGCCATTATGTTATCTCATGTGGAACATCTCCCTGGACTCACAGTTTCTACACTGGAAAAGTGGGCTGGAGGCAGACATTTGGCTTCCTAACCAACCTCGGTCCCTCTGCAAGAGACTTGCTCTTAAATTGACCCATGGAGAGTGCTGCAAGTACCTATGGGCCTGATCCACCTTTAGTTATTTAGGGACAGTGAGAGGGACTGGGACTAGCAGCAGCTAGTGTGTGGAACTCATCACGCCTTCCAGAGCAGCTACTGCACCAGAAAGACTGCACCACATGGCAGAAACAATGTTCCATGGATCCTCTGAACTTAAGAGCCTGACTGGCTCTCCAACATGGCCCAGGGACCCTTTGTGTATCTGCTACAGGCACATCTATTCAGACATTGCATTAACAGTGGAACCATCTTGAGAATCATACCTAACCTGGGCTTAGGGCACCCTGTAGTGCTCAAATGGAATACAACAGTATGCTCAGAATTTCTAAAAACCAAACCCTATTTCTAAAATAGAAAGGTCAGAAACAAGCCCAGGTGGTGAACACTTAGGAATCACTACCTGATTTGTAGATCTCTGTATGCATTCTTATTCATAGGAATAAATACCTGATTCATAAATATGAGGACAAAGATGCATATCTACAAGGAATTAGAATATCCTAGAAAAGCTGACCTCAGCAAATAAACACAAAGATGTGCCAGCAACTCCAGACATGCAGATGAATAATATGGCAGACAAAGAATTTCAAATAGCTGTTTTAAGAAAACTCAACAACCTTCAAGAAAGGACAGAGAAATAACTCAAAAGTTTGACAGAGAACTTCAATAGAGAAATTGAAAAACTCTGTAAAAAGTCAACAGAATCCTGGAGCTGAATAGTATAATAGATGAATTTTTAAATGCAATAAAGGGCATCAATAGCAGAATTGCTCAAAACAGAAGAGACAGACAGTGAGTTTGAAGACAAGCTATTCAAAAATACACTATCAAGGGAGGAAAAAAGAAGGAGAAAGAACAAAAAGAACTGATGAGACCTATGAGATTTCATCAATAGAGAAAATTTACATAGCAACGGCATTAAAAAGGGACTAGAGAATAAAAAATGAGTAAAAAGCTTATTCAAAGAAATAACAAAAACTTTCCAAACTATGAGAAAGGTACAAATATTCAGAGACAGAAAGATCAAAAATCATCAATCAGATTCAACCCAAATAAGACACCTCCAAATCATATTATAATCAAATTTCAAAGGTCAAAGACAAAGAGATAAGACTGAAAGCAGCAAGAGAAAAGAATTAAATAACACATAAGAGAATTCCAGTACATCTGGCAACAGACACCCTACAGACCAGGAGAGAGTGGGATAATATATTCAAAGTGCTGAAGGAAAAAGAAGCTGCCAACAAAATATACTTTATCAGCAAAGCAATCATTCAGAAATGAAGGAGAAATAAAGACATTTCCAGATAAACAAAAGCTGAGTGAATTAATTTTAACTAGGCCTGCTTTACAAGAAACACTAAAGGTCATTCTTCAAAGTGAAAGAAAAGAATTCTAATGTGTAACATGAAAGCATCTAAAGGTATAAAATCCACAGGTAAAAGTAAGTGTTCAGACAAATTCAGAATACTCTAACACAGTAATTGTGGGACATAAACCACTTACACTGCTAAACAGGAAGGTCAACCAAAATAAAAGTAATAAGACCTACAACAATTAGTTAAGGGATAAGCTGTTTAAAAAGATATAAATTGGCCAGGCGCTGTGCCTAATGCCCACGATCCTAGCACTTTGGAAGGCCAAGGCAGGCAGATTGTGGGAGCTCAGGAGCTTGAGACCAACCTGGGCAACATGGTGAAACCCCATTTCTACCAAAAATATAAAAAATTAGCCAGGCATGGTGGTGCTCACCTATAGTTTCAGCTACTCGGGAGGCTGCGGTGGGAGGACGACTTGAGCTGGGAGGCAGAGGTTGCGGTAAGCCAAGGTTGTGCCACTGCACTCCAGCCTGGGTGACAGAGACCCTGTCTAAAATAATAATTAATTAATTAATAATGTAAACTATGGCATCAAAAATGCAAAATGTAGAGGAGTAATCGGGGTTAAAGACTAAAGTTGTTTTCCTATTTTTGCAGTCAAAATTAAGTTGTTATCAGTTCAGAATAACCTGTTATACCTATAACGTGTTCTTTGTAAGCCTTGTGGGAACCACAAAGCAAAAGCTTTTCATAGATACACTAAAAACAAAAAGCAACAAATCAAACATACTGATAGAAAATGCCACTTAACCACAAAATAAAACAGTAGGAGGAGAAAGGAACAAAGTTTCTATAAAACAATCAGAAAACAATTTATAGTATAGTAGCACCAAGATCTTACCTATTATGACACAACAATTATTGATATTGAATAATTACCTTCAATATCAATAGATTAAATTCTCTTATTAAAAGACATAAAGTGGCTGAATAGATTTTTTAAAAAACTATATATTGTCCACAAGAGATTCTCTTCACCCAAAGGACATGCATAGATGAAAAGTGAATGGATGGAAAAAGATATAAAATATACTTTAAATCAAAAACTAAAGACAAACTAAAAAAAAAGACAAACAAGGCTGTTATGTAATGATAAAGGGGTCAGTATAAGAGAATATGACAATTGTAAATATATATGCACCTCACACTTAAATGTATGAAGCAAATATTAATATATCTAAAGGGAAGAATAGACTCCAATACACTAACAGTAGGAAACTTCGACACCCCACTTTCAGCAATGAAGAGATTTTCCAGACATAAAGCCAACACCACAAAAAATTAGATTTAAACTTCACTCTAGAGCAAATGAACCTTACAGACATTTACAGAACATTCAATCCAACATCTGCAAAATTCACAATGTTCTCAAATGCACATGAAACATCCTCCAGAATGGATCATGTTAGGCCACAAAACAAGTCTTAATAAATTTTTAAAAGTGAAAATTATATCAAGTATCTGTTCTGACCATAGTGCAATAAAACCATGAATCAACAACAGGAGAAACTTTAGAAACTATACAAGTACATAGAAATTAAACCACATGCTCCTAAACAACAAATGGGTCAATAAAGATTTTAAAAGAGAAATTTTTACAATTCTTGACAGAAATGAAAATGAAAACACAACATACTAAAATTTATGGGATACAGCTAAAGCAGTCTTTAGAGGGAACTTTATAGCAATAAACACTTATATCAAAAAAGAAAGACCTGAAATAGACAACCTAATGATATATCTCAATAAACTAGAAAGATAAGAACAAACTAAATCCAAAATTAGTAAAAGAACAGTAATAATAATTACAGAATGAATAAATAAAGACAAAAAATACAAAAGATCAATGAAATAAAGAATTGTTTTTTTTTTTTAAATAAAGCTAGTAAAACATTAGTCAATCTAAGAAGAAAGGAAATGCTGGGCACAATAGCTCACACTGTAATCCCAGTACTTTGGGAGGCTTTGGCGGGCCGATTGCTTGAGCCCAGGAGTTTAAGGCCAGCCTGGGCAACATGGTGAAACCCCATCTCTACAAAAAATAAAAAAATTAGCCAGGCAGGGTGGTGCATGCCTGTGCTCCCAGCTACTTGGGAGGTTGAAGTAGGAGGATCACCTGAGCCCAGGAGGTCGAATCTGCAGTGAGCTATGATCACACACCACTGCACTCCAGCCTAGGTGACAGAATGAGACCCTGTATCAAAATAAAAACATAATAAATAAATAAAACAGAGACAGAGAAAGAAGATTCAAATAAATGAAACAGAGACAAAAGAGTCATTACAACAGAAATATGCTATGCACTATTATATGCCAACAAATTGCAAAACCCACAAGAAATTGATAAATTGCTGAACACACAAAACCTACCAAGACTGACTAAAGAAGAAATACAAAATCTGAAGAGATGACTAACAAGTAATGATATTGAAGCAGTAACAAGAAGTCTTCCGTGAAAGAAAAGTCCAAAACTTGATGGCTTCACTGCTGAATTCTATAAAACATTTAAGGAAGTATTAACACCAATATTTAACAAATTGAAAAGGAGGGAACTCTTCTAGACTCATTTTATGAGGCCAGAACTACTCTAATCCCAAAACCAGATAATGACACAACAAAGAAAAAGAAAAAAAAAAAATAGGTCAATATTTCTGATGAACATAGCAGCAAAAATCCTCAACAAAATACTAGCAATTAAAACTCAACAGCAAATTTAAAAGATGATCAAATGGGGTTCATCCTAGGGATACAATGACAGTTTAACATCTGCAAATCAATAAATTTGATATATCACATTCACAAAATAAAAGATTGAAAATATATAATTATCTCAATAGATGCAGAAAATGCCTTTGGCAAAATTCAACAGCCTATCATGATAAAAACTCTCAATAAGTGAGGTTTAGAAGAAACATATCTCCATATAATAAAGGCCATATATGATAAAACCCATAGCTAACATTATACTGAATGAGGAGAAGTTGAAAGCTCTTCCCCTAAGACCTAGAACCAGAAAAAGATGCCTACATTCACCACTACTATTCAAAACAATACTAGAAGTTCTAGCCAGAGCAATCAGGAAAGAGAAAGAAATAAAAAGCATCCAAATTGGAATGGAGAACTCAAATTGTCCCTGTTTACAGATGGATGATATTACATACAGAAAACCTTAAAGACTGCATCAAAAAACTAAAAAAAAATACAGTAAAGTTGCAGGATATAAGATCAACATATAAAAATAGTGCTTCTGTACACAAAGAGTAAAAATCTGGGAAAGAACTCAAAACAACCAATTCTATTAGCTACAAAAATAAAATAAAATACCTAGGAATAAATTTATCCAAGGAAGTAAAAACTCTTTACAATGAAAACTATAAAACATCAATGAAGGAAGTTGAAGAGGATGCAAATAAATGAAAAAATATCCCATGTTCATGGATTGAAACAATTAATATTGTTAAAATGTCCAGACTACCCAAAGTGATCTACAGATTCAATGCAATTCCATCAAAATTCTAATACCATTCTTCACAGAAATAGAAAAAAAAAATCCTAAAATTCATATGGAACTACAAGAGAGCCTGAATGGCCAAGCAATTTTGATCAAAAAGAACAAAGCAGGAGGCATCACATTACCTGATTTCAAAATATGCTACAAAACTATAGTAGCCAAAACATCATGGTATTGGCATAAATATAGACGCATAGACCAATGGAACAGAATAGAGAGCACAGAAATAAATCCATGCACTTGCAGCCAACTGATTTTTGACAAAGGTGCCAAGAATACATGATGGGTAAAAGACAGACTTTTCAATAAATGGTGCTGGGAAAACTGGATATCCATACGCAAAAAATAAAAGGAAACTTGACCCTATTTCTCACCACATACAAAAATCAACCTAAAAATGAATTAAAGACTTAAATATAAGGCCAAAAACTATGAAATTACTAGAAGAAAACATAGGGGAAATGCTATATCACATCAGTTTGGGTATTTTAAACAAAATCTTAAAAGCATAAGCAACAAAAGCAAAAATAAACAAATGGGACTATATCAAACTAAAAAACATCTGTACAGCAAGCAATAAATAAAGAGGTAACCTACAAAATAGAAGGAAATTCAACACCTGTGAAAAGAAGGGAAAAAATTAGAAGTATTTTCAAATTACACATCTGACAAGGGATTAATATCCAGGATGTATAAGGTATTCAAACAATTCAGTTGCATATAATGTTAATAACAACATTTTAAAATGGGCAAAATACATGAATAAATATTTCTCAAAGAAGACATACAAGTGACCAGCAAGTATATGAAAAAATGCTCAACATCACTAACCATCAGGGATATGCAAATTAAAACCACAATGAGATATCACTTTATTCCAGTTAGAATGGCTATTACCAAAAAAAAAAAAAAAAAAAAAAAAAAACTAACAAACACTGGTGAGAATATAGAGAAATGGCAACTCTTATACACTGCTGGTGGGAATGTAAATTAGTACAACCATTATGAAAAATAGTATGATGCTTCCTTGAAAAATTAAAAATAGACCTATAATACAATCTAGCAGTGTCTCTACTATTTATATATCCAAATGATTTAAAATAAGTATATAAAAAAAATTTGCACTTCCATGCAAGCCAAGACATGGAATCAACCTAAATGAACATCAGTGGAGGAATGGATAAAGAAAATATGTTTATATACACAATGGAATACTATTCTGCCATAAAAAGGACAAAACCTTGTCCCTTGCAACAATATAGATATGTCCAAAGACAATTATTTTAAATGAAATGAGCCAGGCACAGAAAATCAATATTACATGATCACACTCATATGTGAAATTTTTAAAAGTTGATCTTAAAGAAGCTGTAAGGTAGAATAGTAGCTAACAGAGTCTGAAAAAAATAGCAAGGAAAGGGAGATGGAAAGAGGTTGGCCAATGGATAGAATGATATTGTTAGATAGGAGGAGTAAGTTCTGGTGTTCTGTTGCACAGTAAGGTGACTATAGCTAACAATAATGCATTGTATATTTTAAATATCTAGAAAATAAGATTTTGAATGTTCTAACAAAAAAGATAAATGTTTAAGGTGATGCATATCTAATACGTACATAGTAATTGTACGTATTTATGAGATAGAGCATGCTACTTTGCATGCATGTATCAAAGGATCACACTGTTTCTCATAAATACGTACAATTACTGCATCCATTTTAAAAACAAAATATAACACTTCTCCCTACACATTTCAATCTGCAAGACACATTTAAATCATGTGAACATTTTAGATCATAATGATTAACAATCACATTTAAACCTAAAATGGCCAGTGCTGGGTGTAGTGACACACACCTGTAATCTCAGCACTTTGGAAGGCCAGGGCAGGAGGATTGCTTGAGCACAGGAGTTTAAGACCAGACTGGACAACATAGCAAGAACCTATCTCTCCAAAAATAAAAACTAAAAATTAGCTGGACATGGTGGTGAATACCTGTAGTCTCAGGTACTCAGGAGGCTGAGGTGGAATGATCACCTGAGCTTAGGGGATCAAGGCTGCAGTAAACTGTGATCGCATCACTGCCCTCTAGCCTGAGAGACGGAGAAAGACCCTGTCTCAAGAAAATAAGACAGCCTGACAGCTCTAAATTTTTTTCTTAATGTTTACATATTCCCATTGATCTTTGAATATTTGAGACAAATAATGTGCTACTGGTAACTGCTTTTGTCAACTATAAAATTAGAAAATAAATACTTGAAGTTATGAATATTTTTCTTAATCCTCAGACCTGATCATTTTTACTTGGCATATAACTATGTTGTGCTTTGTGCCTCTATGTCTTCAGTTAATGTTCTTTCCTCTTTAAGAAAGCTAAAATAGATTACAACATACCTCTTCCCCACCATGAAGCCAGAAAAGCTTGGAAAACAAAAAAATGCAAATGAGAAAGTAAAAAAGATGTTTATATTCCAGTATTCCCTGAATAAGGCAAGGCTAGGTATCTAAGAAGTAACAAATTCCCAGCTTACAGACACACATACACATACACAACGAGAGTGTGAGAGAGACAGACAGAGAGAGAGAGAGAGAGAGAGAGACCAAAAGTAAGCGCACAAGATAACTGATATGGTTTGGATTTGTGTCCCCCCCCACCCCAAATCTCATGTCCAGTTGTAATCCCAGTGTTGGAGATGGGGCCTGGTGGGAGGTGATTGGATCATGGGGGTAGATTTTTCTCTTTGATGTCATTCTCATGATAGAGTTCTCACAAGATCTGGTTGTTTACAAATGTGTGGCACCTCCCCACCACCCTGTCTTATTCTAACTCCAATAGGACATGCCAGCTTCCCCTTGGCCTTCTGCCATGATTGTAAGTTTCCTGAGGTCTCCCCAGAAGCAGAAACCACTATGCTTCCTGTAGAGCAGGTAGAACTGTGTGCCAATTAAACCTCTTTCCTTTATAAATTACCCAGTCTCAGTATTTCTTTATAGCAATGTGAGAATGGACTAATACAACAACTGTATCTTAGAAATAACCAAAAGGAAGAGGAAGCCCAGAATTGGTAAAGTAGGTAGGTGCTGTCTGCTTGGAAATAGGAGAATAGTGGAACAAATTAAAGGAAAATGAGACAGATCAGAGGAATAAAATTGTGTGAAGTATGGATGAAGTTCAAATTAAGAGTAGAAACAGAAGAAAAGTGCAGAACTAAGCATAAGAATTTCACAATCTTTTTTTTTTTAATCACTAATTCACCTTCATTGATATTTTGACATCATGACTTCTAGGACATGAAGAAGTCTCTGAGAGCAATGGGAAATTAAGTTTTTAACTATCCAAATATTTTAAATCACTTTGTATAATTCTATGCAGAAAACTTCTGATGTTGTATCAGCCGTGTTTTTTTTTTTCTTTTTCTTTTTCTTTTTTTTTTTTTTTTTTTTTTTGAGACAGAGTCTTGCTCTGTCCGGCTGGAGCTCAGTGGCACGATCTCGGCTCAATGCAAGCTCCGCCTCCCGGGTTCACGCCATTCTCCTGCCTCAGCCTCCTGAGTAGCTGGGACTACAGGCGCCCACCACAATGCCTGGCTAATATTTTGTATTTTTAGTAGAAATGGGGTTTCACTGTGTTAGCCAGGATGGTCTCTATCTCCTGACTGCCCACCTTGGCCTCCCAAAGTGCTGGGATTACAGGCGTGAGCCACCGCGCCCGGCCATAAGCTGTGTCTTATACACAGGTTTAAGCTTGTGCTTTGGTAAGTTTAAGAAGCTTAGTGACAGTGATGCATAACTACATAACATGGGCCAACATAAGCCCATCTTACTCTTCCAACACCATCCTAAAGTGAGCAGGAGATGAAACAGATGACTCACTGAGGATTAGGCAGATCAGATGGCAAGAAGAGAACATGGGTTAACAAGAGCAATATTTTCTGATCTGAAAGAAAAATCACCTTATATATCTGTTCCCCCAGGTTTATGCTTGACTCATTGGAAAGAGCATTTAGTGTACCACTTTAAGCCTACTAACACACCGTAATCATTGCTATTCAGCTGAAACACAATTTGAAGGATAAGGAAAAAGTCCTTGGCTTGGTAGGTCTAGTCTCTCTCGAGAAAAAAAGAATTGTTAGTGAATGCTCCTGCCCTTAACCCCCAAGTCCTACCACAAAAGTTTGGAGAGGCCCTTATTCTTCTCTGGTACGACAGGTCAACATGCGTATCTTAATAAGCTGTGTTGTGTCTGCCCTTTATGGTTCTTTCTCTGCTCATCCTAATCCCGATATGGGTAAAGAAACTAAACTTTTTATAGGGGCGTAAATATGGCACCAAAATTGTGCCTTCCCACAGGGCAGCCTCGTCTTGTCTCCTTCCTGCAGTAGACTGTAACAGAGGAAAACTCCAACTCTGGAATTATAACTTACCGACTTAGAAACCTTGTATTCCCTAGCTGTGGCTTTAATACGGTGGTATTTCCTTAATACTATGAGGTAAACAATCAATGCCTAGATTTACATTGTGTCCCTCTCCCAGCCTCCAATACATGTACACATATACAAACATACTAATATATTTTAAAATCTCTAAAACTTATGAATTAAACATTTTTTAAAGCCCTTTACTCGAATGTGAATAGTCAATTTGTTGCTCATTTTAGAAATTATTACCTAATATTTACTGAATACCACATGTGTGCCAGGCACAGTTCCTAATGTTTCACCTGCATTATCTCATTTAATCCTTATGAAAACCCTCCAAGAGGGAGGTATTATAATCATCCCCCACTTTACAGAGGTGAAAATGAGGCACCAAGAAGTGAAATAGCCTGCTCAGAATCAGACAAGGTAAAAAATACTACAGCCTGTGTTGAAATCTTGGCAATCTGACTCCAGAACCCAATCCTAATCACCAGGTAACATCCTCTGAAGAAACAAGTGAGAATGACTAACATATTCAAAAACCACAAACCCTAAGTATTCTTGATCCATGTTAGTTGCTTTGACTACAGAACACGAGGGTAAAATTGAATGTTCCAGGATTATTTTGTCAAATCAAATGAATCAGTGAAAAAGTGAATGTCCCTCACCATGGCAAGCACTCCAGCTTCCCTAAGGAATGTGTTCTCTCTTGGCTATGGAAAATCAGGCATCACATTGATGGTGGCAGGCCAACTCTCAAGCAAGTGAGCTATCTGAAGGCTTTTGCCGTGACCAGGGCAACCCTCACGGTCCAGCAGCAACACACCTGCCTATGTTCAAGACAAGAACATTTTCAGCTGGCTAAGGAGCTATATATCTCTGCAAATAGTGATTTCAGCAAAATTGTTCGTCTCCAAGTTGTAACCCAGCTTTCCTGGTGGGAACATGTAAGCCATTTTACGGCTATTCTTCAGGAATAAAAGAACAGAGAAAGAAAAGGACAGAAAGAAACACTTCCAAATGACTCAAATGGGATTTAATTTTATTTCTCTAAGACTCTTTCAAATAAAGCTAAAACTGAGAGTACATGTTTTTGTTTCTTAGTTTATCCAATTTATTTTTTAGCAGTTCAAGACATTTTTATTAAATTACTGGGAAATTAAAGTATGTCGTCATTAAATTTTTTTAAATGCCTTCACAACTCCCAGGGCAATGACTTTCTCATTTGAATGAACATGAGAATCACCCAAATAGTTATTTACAAAGCAGATTGCAGGGTCCCTCTTTTTTGAAGATTATGATTCTTTAAGTGTAAATGACAGCCTACATAGTACCCAATTTGGGATTTGGATTTACTTTCCTATGACATTTCAAATGTTAATGACCTTTTTCTCTTTTTAAGTTATTGATTAGTATTCTTAATCTCCCTCGATGTTGACCTAGTTTCCTATTTCCATAAAGTGTAAGATGCATATATACATTGGCACACACAATAATAGGTAATCGCTCAAAAGCCAAAGATGCAATTACCATACCTCCATGTTTCCTACTTCAAAGAGATGCTTTCTATACACCATGCTTTCCTTTTGGACACTTGCATGGCATTTACAATTAGGTAAAGAGTTCGAATTGGTCCATGAGGCTGTGTGGAGAGCCTGTCCAGTAACTGAAGCAGAATTGCCATGTTTCAGAAGACAGAGAATGGTGGAGACCCAAATATAAATGGGAGAATAGATTCTGAAGTCTTGGAGTATTTTTCACAAGGAAGACAGGGAAGGGAGAGAACTAGGGAAGGGAGAGAACTAGTGAAGGCATCCACTTTTGCTTGAGGGAGCCCCTCACAACAGGACAGTATAGCATACGGTGAAGAACATGGCCTCTGGTGTCTGATGTCACTACTCAGTGTGTGACCTGACCTCACTATGCTTTAATTTTCTCTTGTGACAAAGGGATAGTCAAAGGACCTATCTAACAGGGCTGTTGTGAGGAAAAAAATGCACTGGCACATGAAAAGTAGTAAGTGGCATACCTGGAACTATGGAAGTGATAGTTATTGTGACTACTGCCATTAAAGAGAAGGAATGGGAGGATTTCAAACACCAAAGTTTTGGCTGAACAATGTTAGAAATTATATCATTCACCTTTCAGCTGGACGCTTAACAAACCTCTCATTGTTGACAAAGAATCTGTCCTTGAGCAAGTTTTAAACAGGCTCCTCACTCTGAGCTTTTTTGTTTGTTTTTTGTTTTTTCCCTGAGACAGAGTCTCACTCTGTCACCCAGTCTGGAGGGCAGTGGTGCAATCTCAGCTCACTGCAACTTCCACCTCCCGGGTTCAAGCAATTCTCCTGCCTCAGCCTCCCGAGTAGCTGGGATTACAGGCACACACCATCATGCCCAGCTAATTTCTGTATTTTTAGTAGAGACGGGTTTTGCCATGTTGCCCAGGCTGGTCTCAAACTCCTGACCTCAAGTGATCCACCTGCCTCGGTCCCCCAAATTGCTGGGATTACAGGCATGAGCCACTGTGCCAGGCCTGTGAGCCCTTTTCTTGACTAAAATTTGTCCTTGGTTTGTTAAGCGTAGTTTTAACAAAGAATTCAGTTATCCTAGTTTTAACAAGAATCCTCCTAAAGCCAGTTTAGCAAAAATATCTCTAACCCTTGATATCCAATAAAGTTTCTGATTCCCTACCCTTTGTAACTAAGCTCCTCCTAGTAATTTCCATTTAATGATTCCCTCACTCTGTCCATTTGCTATAAATCCCCAGGTGTCCTTCTATTCAGAGTTGAATTCAATCTCTCCTGCATTGCAATAGTCTTGACACCTACTTCAATAGTCTTGAAAAAAGTCCTTTTTCTCTGTTTAACTCTGTCTGGTGTAAGTTTTCTTTTACATTTGCCAGGGTAAAACCAATACTCTATTTGGAAAGTATCTGACTGGCGTAAAAGGGGAGAGAAAGAGGGACAAAGGCACCCCTCAACGTCTCCTTGTCATCCCAAGTCTCTCCTACCCTGGTCACTGGTGCCTGGTCAAATAGTTTCAAATATAAATGAAAGAAGTAATTGAAATTTACATATAGTAAAGTATAATTCATCAACCATCACACTCAAAGTTCTTAAAACTGAGAAAGCATGGGAAAAGCGGCAAGAATTGGGACACTAGACCCGTCAAAGTAGAGGAGAGAGTCTGTTATGAGGAAAATGGGGACCAGCAGGAAGGGTGAAACACAACTAGCCCTTTACAATGTTGTCAAGGGTGATCCATATCATAGAAATATCTTTATTGTGCATACTTTATCAGGAACATTGTTCATTTTACATATATCCCTCTTTTATAGGAATATGCAACAAAATCACTGAAGTAGTAAAAATAACCTTTCAATGTCATCTAATAAATGATATGACCTTTGTTCAGATTGCTCACTCATCAATATTTATAACTTTGTCATTGATAACTTCCTTCTTTCTCTTTTCACCTCTTTGGCCTCTCATCTTTCCCAAGCATAGTGAATAGCATTTATTTTATCTTTACTTTTAACTCTGGACACAGTACCTTTCTAGTAAAAGATGTCTCTCTCCTATGAGATTACAGGCCTTTGGGAGGCTGAGGTGGGCGGATCACGAGGTCAGGAGTTTGAGACCAGCCTGACCAATATGGTAAAACCCCATCTCTACTAAAAATACAAAAATTAGCTGGGCACAGTGGCACATGCCTGTAATCCCAGCTACTCATGAGGTTGAGGCAGGAGATTGCTTGAACCCAGCAGGCAGAGGTTGCAGTGGGCCAAGATCATATCACTGCACTCCAGCCTGGGCGACAAAGCGAGACGTCATTTCAAGAAAAAAAAAAAAAGAGAGATTACAGGCTTATTACTGTTTTCATATATTTAAACACACTGTCTTATTTCATTTTCTGTTGTCATAACAGAATGGCTGAGACTGGGTAATTTTCTCTCTGCCTGACCATCTTCAAGCTGAGACATTGGTCTTTTCCTGCCCTTGGACATGGACTCAGACTGGAACTACACTATCAGTCCTCCTGGTTTTCAGACCTTCAGATTCTGCCTAAAACTACACCATCAGCTCTTCTGGGTCCCCAGTTCACCCCCTTCAGCTCCCAGACTTCTAAGCCTTCATAATCAAGTGAGCCCCAATGCCTTATAGTAAGTCTCTTTCCCAATCCCACCTGCCTATCTTAATCACTTGGTCTATTCTTGCCCTCCCTCTTCTCTGGCTGTTCACTCCACTCCTTTCTGCCACACATATCCTCTATTATACGAAATACAATTACTCAAACTGTAGTGTGCATAAAAAATATTTGGAGTAGGAAAGACCTTGTTTAAAATGTAGATTCCTGGGCTCCATATCTAAGTTGTGCCTCAATGTGGTGAAACTAAATGTACTAAAATCTGTGATTACACTTTGAAACATTGTGTTCTGCTCTAAAAGGTACAAACTGCAGTCATCTCTCAAGCAACAATACCCCTGCCTCTAAGAGGCAAGTTTAAAATCATCTATTTTTCTGAGCATGCCTTTTAGTTTCCCTATATGCCCTAAGCATCTTATCAATGTAAAATATAGCTAAAAAAATTTTCCCCAAATTCACATTTAGAAAAAAGAATTTACCTTATAATCAAATATGAAGGGCTCTCTAAATTTCTTTATTTTGAACCATAAAGTACTGTTTGAGGAAGATATATTAACCAGAAATGACCCCAATCAATGCTAGTTTATAATTCTTACCAAGTCATCTGACATAAAAAGAGGAAGAAATTCTTTTTGATAAAAAGAAAAATTTCACAGATTTAATAATTATTCTTTGAGTATAAATTCACAGTAAGAATTATTGGATGCTGCTATACACTAACTTTTTAAAGATTTCTGGCTAAGCACAGTGGCTCAGAGGGCACGTCGCTCACACCTATAATCTCAGCACTTTGGGAGGCCGAGGCAGGCAAATTACTTGAAGCCAGGATTTTGAGAAAAGCCTGGCCAACATGGCAAAACCCCATCTCTACTAAAAATACAAACATTAGTTGGGTGTGGTGGCTCATGCTTGTAATCCCAGCTACTAAGAAGGCTGAGGCACAAGAATCACTTGGAACCCAAGAGGCGCAGGTTGCAGTGCGCCGAGATCGTGCCACCTTGAGTGATAGAGTCAGACTCTGTCTCAAAATAATAAAAAAAGAAAAGATTTCTTTAGAAAGTAATACATAAAATAATTTACATTTTAGAGATCACCTACACTCAACAGAGTAGAACCAAAAAATCTGTCCTAATACTCTGTGAGGAGTAGTGCTGGCTTGGGATACAATTTTTTATGACAGCACTGATCGATATGGTTTGGCTGTGTCCTCACCCAAATCTCATCTTGAATTGTAGCTCCCATAATTCCCACACGTTGTAGGAGGGACCTGGTTGGAGATAACTGAATCATGGGGGTGGTTTCCCCCATACTGTTCTTGTGGTAGTGAATAAGTCTCATGAGATCTGATGATTTTATAGGAGTTTCCCCTTTTGCTTGGCTCTCATCCTCTCTTACTGCCACCATGTAAGACATGCCTTTTGCCTTCTGCCATGATTGTGAGGCCTCCCCAGCCATGTGGAGCTGTGAGTCCATTAAACCTCTTTTTCTTTATAAATTACCCAGTCTCAGGTATGTCTTTATCAGCAGCATAAAAACAGACTAATACAACTGCCAAATACAAAAACATAGTATTGATTCTTAACTTGGAATTCAAGATGTTGGGCTCTGGAAAACTGTTTTAAGTGATTCAAAAGTGTGTCTATTGATGATAAAGACAGATATTAAAGATGAGGGGAAATGTCTCAATAACTTTTTTGCATAAAAGGCTAGTGAAAAAAAGTGTTATTTCTAAATTAATGCCATATTTTATTTTTAAGAACGAATAGATGATATATATGGAATGTGTGCTAAGGGCCAGCCATATCTTCTTCCTAACACCTCAATTCAACCACACAATTAATTTTGGAGAGAGCGCTAAATGTCCCCAATACATAGATGAGGAAATGGAAGTACTGAGAGGCTAGTTATTTACCAAAGCCATTCCACAGGGTGAGGCAGAGCTAGGATTTGAACTCAGACATATGCATTTCGAGTGTACAGGACCACAAGGCTTTTATTGCTTGGCAAAATGTGTTTTTCTAATCCATTCATGCAGAGGGAGCCTCTAATTCCCACAAAGGTGTGATGTAAATGATCAGTCTTGAGAGCCCCCCCCCACATACAAACCCTATAATCATAAATTACTTAATTAATAAGTAGAGTATAGTGTACACAGACTTTGGTCTTAGATTACCTGGATTCTAATCCTGACCCTATTTCTTAAGTGAGTAACTAACTCTGGGAAAGTTACTTAACCTGTCAACGTCCTCATTAGGAAACCGGGGATAGTAATGGTACTTTTGGAAGAGATTTGGTGAAAGGATTTAGTGAATTTAAATGTGCCAAACACTTGGTAGACACTATGTAAGTATACACTAATATGCTTATTTAGTATAAGTAAAAACGGCTTTCAAATAGTCCAGAGTAACATTATCTTTACTCCTACTATCCTTTTACAAGTCAAAAATTGAGGGAAAATGTGATTTACCATCATTCTCTCATTTTCCAACCTACATGATGCACTTCCTTACTAAAACAAAATTTCCTCCATTAGTTTTCTCTAACAGGCGTTTGTCCTTGAAATACCTTTGTACCCATTGACTTCAAAGAAGTCTTGCCCTCTAGCATAGGTAATTAATTTTTCCTTTAAAAAAGTTATGTTATAAAAATTTACTTCAGTTTAATTTTTTCAATTTACTGCTTAAAAAAATAAGGGACTAACGCTACAAGATTTCTTTTCAAATACCAAAATTAATTTTTATATAAAGAAAATAATACTAACAACATTATCCCTTAAACACACAGACACACATACACATATGCTCAAATCCTTCATTTGAAAGTTAACATTCCTACCTGCCCAAACTCTAGTATTTTGAATACCAATCTTTTTTTGTTCTTTGTTTTTTTTAGTCTAACTTAAATAAATATTTTAGTACTATCTATTCTGGGAAAACGAATTTTATTACAACCTCCTACTTCTCTTTTTTTCTTAACCAAATTCTCAAATGATTTGTGTATTTCTGATCATGTTCTTAGCACACAATCCCCCTTTAAAATTTCCTCTGTCACTCTTCTACATAGTGTTCTTTTAAGAATTTACTTTTAGCAGAACCCAAACTCTCTTCTTCATTTTTATTTCTGTTGTTTACTTGGGACCCTTCTAGCTTCTTTCCTGACAGTGCTTAGTCCTTTTCTTCAACCCTTAACAAAGTTTCTATCTTAGCCCCCGATCGTCTCTCATCTGATCTTCTGATCTTCCTGATTCTGTACAGAAATAACACTTTATCAGAACTTTAAACATCACCACTATGTTGACTGACTCTCAAGTCTGAGTATTATCAAAGCTCCCGAGCCATTTCATCATTTGAATGTCAATCACCATCTTAAATCCCAAATGTTCAAACTCAACAATCCCTCACTAAAAGAATATCCCTTCACTTTCTCCTATTTCCATTACTACCCCCATTTTCCTAGTCTCCAAATCTTCAAACCTATAAAAACTATCATCATCATCAAAGCAAAAATCGCACTGGATAAAATAATTAAAGAAGTAAAGAAGACTTTATTGGAGGCTATTGCAATGGGAAACAGAGGCCTGAACTCAACTCTGCTGAAGCGAGGGGTGAGAGGGTTATTAAGTACTGGGATGATCTAGTAGAAAAGTACTGGAGGATGTTAGAAGGAAATCATAGGCTATCTGGGTTTACTGACTGGCTTTATCCAAATAAGGATAAGCTTCTCATATCTTTATAAGAGGAGGTAGTTATGCAAATTGGAGCAAGGCATCTACCAACCCAAGAAACTATGAGATAGGGACACTATCTTCAATGGTGCCTACATTTCAAAAAGTCCTTGAGGAACTATTTCTGGGTTATAAAACTGGGGAAGAAAAGCTATTAAAAATATTCACATCGAAAACTGATCTTCATCACACCCCTAATTAGATATGGTAAGAGATAAAGGATAGAAGGTAGGAATTAAATGAGTGGGAGTTTCGATCTATTCTAATGTGTTTGACAGACTGAGGATTATCAAGGTAAAATGAGCTCTGAAAGGGAAAATGATGTTTGTTTCCTAAGGAAAATTAATAATCAAGAACAAGCAATAGGACCTGAGTTCAATATGTGGGACCACTCTCTTGGTACAACAGCTCTTGAGGGGCCCTAAAGCTATATAAGGGCAACACTTTCTCTAAGAGCTGGTTATGAAAGGCAGTAGGTGTTCTCTACTTGCCAGAGGGAGAAGAATGGCAGGAGTTGATTGTTCAGAGGCAGGAAGCAGCAGTGTCCGATCTAGTCCACAGTGAATAAGAGTCAGTGGCCTAGGGGAAGCAGGTGGCTGCCTAAAAATATTGGCCTGGCCAATATTTTAAAAAATATATTCCTTTAGATGTGTTTTCATATTTTTTTATTTGGCACTGTTTTCATCTTTTCAAAGAGAAAGAGAATAACCTTGACTTAAACCTAAAAAAATAGAAAGATTTTTGGCTGCCAATAGATGAGGCTGTTAAATTTTAGTGTTATTCCTTTATTTGTTGACTTCATTTGCTGGTAGTTGCTACCTCTGGTGCACCTCCATTTACACACTGTAAGAAACAGGATATGATAATACACATGGCACTTACCTAGGTGTGATGTCATATTTAAATAGCTCTGTTTATTACTGGCACCCAAAAAATGGCCCAGAATGCTTGGAAGCTGTTGAGAAAATAAGACAATCTTTACCATAACCCATATAACCAGAGCATAAGGAGTCCGAGAAAAAAGAGAAAGGAGACAGCTTTGGAAGTTCAAACTTCTGCCACAAGCAAAGGGTGCATGATTCTCTGAAAACCAATTTCAGAGAAGAGGAAACAGGACCAGAACAAGTACACTGCCCTGACAAATGACGAGCGCACCACAGAGAAAACCACGTGAGTCTAAACAGAGCAGCATTTGTTCTGTCCCTTTAAATCCTGTCCGAAGCCCCTGAGCTAGCTTTTCACAAAGACCCCAGAGAGCATTTTACTAGAGTTTGCATAAATGGAACTATTTGGCCTTCAACAAACAAAATGCAAATATTTCTTTAACCCCATCTGTTATGATCCACCAAACCCTCAACTCTGGCCTAGGTAATCAATCCTCTGCTGTAAACCTCTCCCATGCATTCCTACCTCTATCTCTTTGTTTAGGATTTTTCACTAGCCTATCTCATCTAAATCGCACTTTTTTTTTTTTTTTTGACAGAGTCTCGCTCTGCTGCCCAGGCTACAGTGCAGTGGCAGGATCTCGGCTCACTACAACCTCTGCCTCCGGGGTTCAAGCAATTCTCGTGCCTCAGCCTCCCGAGTAGCTGGGATTACAGGCACCTGCCACCACACTCGGCTAATTTTTGTCTTTTTAGTAGAGACAGAGTTTCACCATGTTGGCCAGGCTGTTCTCAAACTCCTGACCTCAGGTGATCCACCCACCTTGGCCTCCCAAAGTGCTGAAATTACAGGCGTGAGCCACTGCGCACGACTCATTTTCAAGGCTTTGTTTATATATCAGTCTGGGTAAAGCCTTCCTCTATTACTGAGCCTGAAAAGCTTTCTTCCTCCCCTAAACTCCTAGAAAATTTTGTGTTAGTAATCTTGTGAAAGTGCCTTTCTTATTGTCTTAAGTTATTGTTTAAATAGAGATATATCTAACTAGCACTTTTTAATGTATCTCATAAACTTACCTCATAACATATAGCCCTCTGCCTTTAAAGAGTTTACAATGGACAAGCTCCTTTGGGTCAGAAGCCATGCTTTGCATCTTTGCACCTACCTTTGGTCTTTAGCCTTTTGATGCACTGAGAATACACCAGATGATCATCAGCTTCTGGGAGTTGCAAATGTTAATAATAAATCCAGATAATCCCTTCCTCCCTCCAACTCAACACCTAATTTATTTCAGACAGATAAAAATAAATCCAATTTTTAAAGATTTCCCAAAGAATAAATTTTCTTTTCTTTTTTTTTTTTTTAATTGAGAAGAAATTTCACTCTTTTTGCCCAGGCTGGAGTGCAATAGCATGATCTCACCTCACTGCAACCTCCACCTCCCAGGTTCAAGTGATTCTCCTGCCTCAGCTTCCTGAGTAGCTGGTATTACAGGTGCCCACCACCATGCCTGGCTAATTTTTTTATTTTTAGTACAGACAGGGTTTCACCATGTTGGCCAGGCTGGTCTTGAACTCCCGACATTAGGTGAGCCACCTGCCTCGGCCTCTCAAATTGCTGGGATTACAGGCATGAGCCCCATGCCCAGCCCAAGATGAATTTATAAAGCCTCTTCTGAACTATGTGATTCATTTGAAAATTATCTCTAGAGTTGCAAACAAGATGGCCAAATAGGAACAGCTCCAGTCTGCAATTCCCAGTGATATCAAAGCAGAAGGCGGGTGATTTCTACATTTACAACTGAGGTACCTGGCTCACCTTAATGGGACTGGTTAGAGAGTGGATGCAGCCCACAGAGGGCAAGCAGAAGCAGGGTGGGGCATTGCCTCACCCGGGAAGCGCAAGGGATCAGGGAAATCCCTCCCTTGGCCAAGGGAAGCCATGAGGGAGTGTGCTGTGAGGAACGCTGCACACCGGCCCAGACATTACACTTTTCCCACGGTCTTCACAACCCACAGACCAGGAGAATCCCTCGGGTGCCCATACAACCAGGGCTCTGGGTTTCAACCACAAAACTGGGTGGCTGTTTGGGCAGACACTGAGCTAGCTGCAGGAGTTTTCCTTCATAACCCAGTAGTGCCTGGAATACCAGCAAGACAGAACCACTAGAAAAGGGGCTGAAGCCAGGGAGCCAAGGGGTCTAACTCAGCAGATCCCAGCCCCACAGAGCCCAGCAAGCTAAGAGCCACTGGCTTGAAATTCTCACTGCCAGCACAGCAGTCTGAAGTCAAACTGGGACGCTCGAGCTTGGTGGGGAGAGGGGCGTCTGCCATTACTGAGGCTTGAGGAGGCGATTTTCCCCTCACAGTGTAAACAAAGCCACCAGGAAGTTTGAACTGGGCAGAGCCTACCGCAGATCTGCAAAGCCGCTGTAGCCAGACTGTCTCTCTAGATTCTTCCTCTCTAGACTGTCTCTCTAGATTCCTAATCTCTGAAAGAAAGGAAGCAGCCCCAGTCAGGGGCTTATAGATAAAACTCCCATCTCCCTGGGACAGAGCACCTGGGGGAAGCGGCGGCTGTGGGCGCAGCTTCAGCAGACTGCCCGATGGCTCTGAAGAGAGCAGCAGATCTCCCAGTACAGCACTCAAGCTCTGCTAAGGGACAGACTGCCTCCTCAAGTGGGCCCCTGACACCCATGCCTCCTCACTGGGGGACACCTCCCAGCAGGGGTGGACAGACACCTCACACAGGAGCTCTGGCTGGAATCTGGTGGGTGCCCCTCTGGGATGAAGCTTCCAGAGGAAGGAACAAGCAGCAATCTGTGCTGTTTTGCAGCCTCTGCTGGTGATACCCTGGCAAAGAGGGTCTGGAGTGGACCTCCAGCAAATTCCAGCAGACCTGCAGCAGAGGGGCCTGTCAGAAAGAAAACTAACAAACAGAAATAAAGAGCATCAACATCAACAAAAAGGATGTCCACACAGGAACCCCATCCAAAGGTCACCAACATCAAAGACCAAATGGAGATAAATCCATGAAGATGAGGAAAATCCAGCACAAAAAGGCTGAAAATTCCAAAAGCCAGAACGCCTTTTCTCCTCCAAAGGATCACAACTCCTCACCGGCAAGGGAACAAAACTGGACAAAGAATGAGTTTGATGAATTGACAGAAGGAGGCTTCAGAAGGTGGATAATAACAAACTCCTCTGAGCTAAAGGAGCATGTTCTAACCCAATGCAAGAGAGTTAAGAACCTTCCAAAGAGGTTAGATGAATTCCTAACTAGAATAACCAGTTTAGAGAAGAACATAAATGAACTGATGGAGTTGAAAAACACAGCACAAGAATTTTGTGAAGCATACACAAGTATCAATAGCCCAATCGATCGAGTGGAAGAAAGGCTATCAGAGATTGAAGATCAACTTAATGAAATAAAGTGTGAAGACAAGATTACAGAAAAAAGAATGAAAAGGAATGAACAAAGCCTCCAAGAATATGGGACTATGTGAAAAAACCAAACCTACATTTGATTTGTGTACCTGAAAGTGACAAGGAGAATGGAACCAAGTTGCAAAACACTCTTCAGGATATTATCCAGGAGAATTTCCCCAACCTAGCAAGATAGGCCAACATTCAAATTCACGAAATTCAGAGAACACCACAAATATAGACCTCAAGAAGAGCAACCCCAAGACACATAACTGTCAGATTCACCAGGGTTGAAATGAAGGAAAACATGTTCAGGGGAGCCAGAGAAGGTCGGGTTACCCACAAAGGGATGCCCACCTCACTAACAGTGAATCTCTTTGCAGAAACCCTATCAGCCAGAAAAGAGTGGGGGCCAATAGTCACAATTCTTAAAGAAAAGAATTTTTAACCCAGAATTTCATATCCAGCCAAACTAAGCCTCATAAGTGAAGGAGAAATAAAATCCTTTATAGACAAGCAAATGCTGAGTGATTTTTGTCAACACCAAGCCTGTGTTACAAGAGCTCCTGAAGGAAGCACTAAATATGGAAAGAAAAAACAGTGCCAGGCACTGGAAAAACATACCAAATTGTAAAGACCATCAGCACTGTGAAGAAACTGCATCAACTAATGGACAAAATAACCAGCAAGCATCATAATGACAGGATCAAATTCACACATAACAATATTAACCTTAAGTGTAGACAGGCTAAATGACCCAATTAAAAGACACAGACTGGCAAATTGGATAAAGAGTCAAGACCCAACAGTGTGCTGTATTCAGGAGACCCATCTCACATGCAAAGACACACATAGGCCCAAAATAAAGGGATGAAGAAATATTTACCAAGCAAATGGAAAGCAAAAAAAAGCAGGGGTTGCAATCCTAGTCTCTGATAAAACAGACTTTAACCAAACAAAGATCAAAAAAGACAAAGAAGGCCACTACTTAATGGTAAAGGGATCAATGCAACAAGAAGAGCTAACTATCCTAAATATATATGCACATAATACAGGAGCACCCAGATTCATAAAGCAAGTTCTTACAGGCCTACAAAGAGACTTAGACTCCCACATAATAATAGTGGAAGACTTTAACACCTCACTGTCAATATTAGACAGATCAACAAGACAGAAAATTAACAAGGATATTCAAGACTTAAACTCAGCTCTGGACCAAGCATACCTAACAGACATCTACAGAACTCTCCACTCCACATCAACAGAATATACATTCTTCTCAGCACCACATCACATTTATTCTAAAATTGACCACATAATTGGAAGTAAAACATCCTCAGCAAATGCAAAAGAATGGAAATCATAAAAAAAAAAAAAAAACAGTATCTCAGACCACAGTGTAATCATATTAGAATTCAGGATTAAGAAACTCAATTAAAACCACACAACTACATGGAAACTGAACAACCTGCTCCTGAATGACTACTGGGTAAATAATGAAATGAAGGCAGAAATAAATAAGTTCTTTGAAACCAATGAGAACAAAAAAACAATGTACCAGAATCTCTGGGACACAGCCAAAACATTGTTTAGAGGGAAATTTATAGCACTAAATGCCCACAGAAGAAAGCGGGAAAGACCTCAAATAGACACCCTAACATCACAATTAAAAGAACTAACATCACAATTAAAAGAACTAAAGCAGCGAGAGCAAACAAATTCAAAAGCTAACAGAAGACAAGATATAACTAACATCAGAGAAGAACTGAAGGAGACAGAGACACAAAAAAACCCTTCAAAAAAATCAATGAATCAAAGAGCTGGTTTTTTGAAAAGATTAACAAAATAGATAGACCACAAGCCAGACTAATAAAGAAGAAAAGAGAGAAGAATAGATACAGTAAAAAATGATAAAGGGGATATCACCACTGATCTCACAGAAATACAAACTACCATCAGAGAATACTATAAACACCTCTACACAAATAAACCAGAAAATCTAGAAGAAATTGATAAATTCCTGGACACATTAAACCCTCCCAAGAATAAACCAGAAAGAAGTCAAATGCCTGAATAGACAAATAACAAGTTCTGAAATTGAGTCAGTAAATAATAGCCTACCAACCAAAAAAAACCCAGGATCAGACAGATGGACAGGCGAATTCTACCAGAGTTACAAAGAGGAGCTGGTACCATCCCTTCTAAAACTATCCCAAACAATAGAAAAAGAGGGAATCCTCCCTAACTCATTTTATGAGGCCAACATCGTCCTAACACCAAAACCTGGCAGAGAAACAACAAAAAAAGAAAATTTCAGGCCAATACCCCTGATGAACATCAATGCAAAATCCTCAATAAAAATTAGCAAACCGAATCCAGCAGCACTTTGAAAAACTTATCCACAATCAAGTTGGCTTCATCCCTGGGATACAAGGCTGGTTCAACATATGCAAATCAGTAAATGTAATCCATCACAAAAACAGAGCCAATGACAAAAACCACATGATTATCTCAATAGATGCAGAAAAGGCCTTTGATAAAATTCAACACCCCTTCATGCTAAAAACTCTCAATAAGCTAGATGTTTATGGAACATATCTTAAAATAATAAGAGCTATTTATGACAATCCCACAGCCAGTATCATACTGAATGGGCAAAAACTGGAAGCATTCCCTTTGAAAACAGTCACAAGACAAGGATGCCCTCTCTCACCGCTCCTATTCAACATAGTATTAGAAGTTCTAGCCAAGGCAATCAGGCAAGATGAAGAAACAAAGTGTATTCAGATAGGAAGAGAGGAAGTCAAAATATCTCTGTTTGCAGATGACATGATTGTATATTTAGAAAACCCCATCATCTCAGCCCAAAACCTCCTTAAGCTGATAAGCAACTTCAGCAAAGTCTCAGGATACAAAATCAATGTGCAAAAATCACAAGCATTCCTATACACCAATAATAGAGAAACAGAGAGCCAAATCATGAGTGAACTCCCATTCACAATTGTTCCAAAGAGAATAAAATACCTAGGAATCCAACTTACAAGGGATGTGAAAGACCTCTTCAAGGAGAACTACAAACCACTGCTCAATGAAATAAGAGAAAACACAAGCAAATGGAAAAACATTCCATGCTCATGGAGAGAAACAATCAATATCGTGAAAATGGCCATACTGCCCAAAGTAATTTATAGATTCAATGCTGTCCCCATCAAGCTACCACTGACTTTCTTCACAGAATTAGAAAAAACTATTTTAAATTTCACAGGGAACCAAAAAAGAGCCCGTATAGCCAAGACAATCCTAGGCAAAAACAACAAAGCTGGCGGCATCATGCTACCTGACTTCAAATTACACTACAAGGCTACAGTAACCCAAACAGCATGGTATTGGTACCAAAACAGATATTTAGACCAATGGAACAGAACAGAGGCCTCAGAAATAACACCACACATCTACATCCATCTGATCTTTGACAAACCTGACAAAAACAAGCAGTGAGGAAAGGATTCCCTATTTAATAAATGGTGTTGGGAAAACTGGCTAGCCTTATGCAGAAAACTGAAACTGGACCCCTTCCTTACACCTTATACAAAAATTAACTCAAGATGAATTAAAGACTTAAACGTAAGACCTACAACCATAAAAACCATAAAAGTAAACCTAGGCAATATCATTCAGGACATAGGCATAGGTGAAGACTTCACAGCTAAAACACCAAAAGCAATGGCAGCAAAAGCCATAATTGACAAATGGGATCTAATTTCCACACAGAAAAAGAAACTATCATCAGAGTGAACAGGCAAAATACAGAATGGGAGAAAATTCTTGCTATCTATCCTGACAAAGGGCTAATATCCACAATCTACAAAGAACTTAAATAAATTTACAAGAAAAAAACAACCCATTAAAAAGTGGGTGAAGGATATGAACAGACAATTCCAAAAGAAGACATTTATGCGGCCAAAAGCACATGAAAACAAAAGCTCATCATCACTGGTCATTAGAGAAATGCAAATCAAAACCACAATAAGATACCATCTCACACCAGTTAGAATGGCGATCATTAAAAAGTCAGGAAACAACAGATGCTGGAGAGGATGTGGAGAAATAGGAATGCTTTTACACTGTTGGTGGGAGTGTAAATTAGTTCAACCATTGTGGAAGACAGTATGGTAATTCCTCAAGGATCTAGAACCACAAATACTATCTGACCCAGCAATCACATTACTGGGTATATACCTAAAGGATTATAAATCATTCTACTATAAAGACACATGCACACGTATGTTTATTGTGGCACTAGTCACAATAGCAAAGACTTGGAACCAACCCAAATGCCCATCAATGATAGACTGGTTAAAGAAAATGTGGAACATATACACCATGGAATACTATGCAGACATAAAAAAGGATAAGTTCATGTCCTTTGCAGGGACATGGATGAAGCTGGAAACTATCCTCCTCAGCAAACTAACACACAGGAACAGAAAACCAAACACTGCATCTTCTCACTCATAAGTGGGAGCTGAACAATGAGAACACATGGACACAGGGAGGGGAACATCATACACTGGGGCCTGTCAGGGGGTAGGGGGGTAGGGGAGGGATAACATCAGGA
Organism: Homo sapiens; assembly: GCF_000001405.40. Taxonomy (NCBI): domain Eukaryota; kingdom Metazoa; phylum Chordata; class Mammalia; order Primates; family Hominidae; genus Homo; species Homo sapiens. The sequence goes on along the minus strand of NC_000004.12, from coordinate 159,623,847 downwards.
GAAATACCTAATGTAGGTGACAGGTTGATGGGTGCAGCAAACCACCATGGCATGTGTATACCTATGTAACAAACCTGCACGTTCTGCACATGTACCGCAGAACTTAAAGTATGATAATAATTTTTTAAAAAATTATCTCCACAGTTGGCCCAACTTTACCCCACAACTCCCCGAATATCTAGGCCACATTTTCTCAAATTTCCCTAGCTTAGTGGTTCTCAACTGGGAGCAAATTTACCCCACACCCAGCCTATCCCCCATCGAATATTTGGCAATGCCTGGAAACATTTTTGGTTTTCACACCTGGGAACATTATCCTGGCATCTAGTGGGCAGAGGCCAGAAATGTTGCTAAACACCCTACAATGCACAAGATAGTCCTACCCAACAAAGAATAATCTGTCTCAATATGTCAGTAGTGCAGAGGCTGAGAACCCTAGCCCAGGCGAAAATAATCTCCCATTCTTCTAAATTCTTTGAGTTAAAGTACTTTTTTCCTCTCTTATGGGAATCTCTATTTTTCATTTTGAAATTTGGTGAGAAAGTGCTATGCCTTCATCAATTTCAATCTCCCTATTCTCGGTACTTAGCACCACGTTTTATGCTTTTGCCTGGTTCCAAAGAATGCCAGCAGATCCCTGGACGAAATAAAAGCAGAAATCCTTAAAATAATAATATCTGGCATTCATGAAATGCTTGCTTCCTTTCAGATACCCTAAATGTTTAACAAGGATTGTCTCAATTCATCCTCCAATAACCCTGTGTTATTTCACAGATGGAAAAGCTGAAGTATTAGGGAAGTGTAGTAATCTGTTCAAAATCACACAGCTAATAAGTTAAAGACCCAAGATTCAAACGCAAACACACTGACTCCAGTGACCCTTTTCTGAACCAATTAACTGTACCATTAGTATTCTTCCTAATCCTTGAACCATAATCATTAAGAACAGACCCCAGACCTTTGGTAACAAAGTAAAGTACACTTTCAAATAGAAGTAAATAAATGCTAGAAAGCATGTTTTCTCAGTATATTAACCAGATGAGCAGTGCCAAAAAACAAAACTTATTTCTGATAAGCCACATCTATTATTTGCCTTCCATTTTCCAGAAATTATGTTAAGGTCTGTGTATATAAAGACAAGCAAGACACAACCCCTAACCTAAAAGAATTCATGATGTATTACGAGAGAGAGAGAAAAAAGAGATTCAACAATTTCAACCCAATAAAGCTAGAACTCTATTAGACCTGTAAACAAGGCGTTATGGAGAACTGAATAGAATAGAAATATGTAACCTACCTCAGCCTGGGAAGGTAACACTGTAATTAACTCTTAATGGGGTACTAGACAATATGGAGGCTATGTCGGCAGAGAGAAAAACAAAAAGACAATCCTATGAAGCCATATGCTTTTTGTGAAACTGCTAGTAATTCATCTGCCTAAGTAAAAAGTTAAGTATAAAGCACTAACAAGATAGGAACTTTAAAAAGAGGCAAGAGTGAAATGATGATACACTTTGTGAAGCTGATTGATTGCAATCCTCAAGGCATTGGGATATTGCGGAAGGGTTTTTAAGCAGGAGAGTGGAGTGACATGGTCAAGTTTGCCCTTTTAAAAGCTCTCTTGGGCAACAGAGTGGAATTCATATTGGAAGGGCACAAGATAATAGGAAAGAAAACTAGTTAGGCATTTACTGTAACAATACAGGCAAGAAATGGTAAGTGCCTGAACAAAGACAGTGGCAGTGAAAGTGAGAAGTTCTCTGTGAATAAACAGATGTTCCTTACCCGAGTTATTTTCTAAAATTTACAACCCAGTACACCTCACCATTAAAACAAAGTACTTATGCACTCTCATAAATATCCTGTTCTTGAGCTGAACATGCAGCACTTCTGTGATTGTCCTTGGACTTCATGACAAAAAGCCTGGACCTTACTCTCTAAAATCCCATCAAACCAGCCTTTCACCAGAGGTGTTAATTTAACAGTGGGTGAGATTTAGGATTTTTCAAATAATAGTGAGAAATCAGCAACAAACTCTAAATTCCCCCAACTTATATTAAAGAAATTATATTCAATGATATTTGATAAAGCAGAGTATGGCAGACTTCATTCAGGACCATCATGGTAGGTATAGGAAGAACAGCAATAGGATTTTGCAACGGAAGAGAGAGGCTAGACTCAACTCTGAAAACACTATGGGAAAGTGGGAATTTATAGCCAATAAGCAGGGTGGGGATCTGGGGATCGGTGGATAGAAAATTACTAAGGGGAAGTATCAGGGGTAAGGGGGATCCTGGTTCAAGCTATTGAGAGAAGAGGAAGAAACTGGCTAGGCAGATAGTTAGGGCAAAGAATCCTTGGCAAACTTCCCTTCTAACACAAAGAAGCCCAAGAAATAACTTCTCTCCTAACAAGGAGAGGCCGGGAAGATTGGGCTGCAAAACATTGATAAGGAAACAAGCTCTGGCACAGCGTGGGGAGCTTCTGGGTAATTAGCAAGCTTCACATACATACAGTGGGCCTTAGTAAGCACGTTCCTTTCCTTTTTTTGGACATAGTCAGATAAGGAAGCTGGAAGCTTGCTTGGGGGATGCCTGCAGCTGCACTGGTAGAAAGGACTACCTTGGGCCGGGAGCGAGCAGTGGCTCACACCTGTAATCCAAGCGCATTGGGAGGCCGAGGTGGGTGGATCACTAGGTCAACAGATCGAGACCATCCTGGCCAACATGGTGAAACCCCTTCTCAACTAAAAATACAAAAATTAGCTGGGCATGGTGGCATGCGCCTGTAGTCCCAGCTACTCGGGAGGCTGAGGCAGAAGAATTGCTTGAACCTGGGAGGCAGAGGTTGCAGTGAGCCAAGATTGTGCTGCTGCACTCCAGCCCGGCGACAGAGCGAGACTCCATTTCAGAATTAAAAAAAAGAAAAAGAAAAAGAAAAAACCAAAGGACTACCTTGGGCCAGGGCCTTCCACCCCACTTTTTAGGACATGCACAGTAGGAAAAAGATAAGCAACATGGAGTAGCTTAGGCTAAGAACCTGCTTGTATAATAAAAGGTTGGGTGGGGGCTGCTAGAGATCATGCTCTATGCAAATGACACACCTGGTACTAACTGGATTTTCACACCCTGTGTAGATAAGATACCCTCTCCCCACTAGCTCATTTATAAAAACCCTTGCCTTTCACTGTGGAACAGCAACCCTTTTCAGGACCCCTCTCTGCAGCAGAGAGCTGTTCTCTTTCTTTCACCTATTAAACTTCTGCTCCAACCTCACCCTTGGTGTGTCCATGTCTTTGATTTCCTCAGCTGTGAGACAAAGAATTTCTGGTGTCACCCCAGACAATGAGGCCGCTTTATTATCAAATAGGATTCTTGTTGAAGACAGTTCAAGGTGATCAAACATCACCTGGGGGATGGTGGAGGATGAGGAACCTCTTCAGATATTGGGAGTGATCAGATATCAAGCGGGGAGGAGTCTTGCTAAACTGACTTAGCAGTGTTCTTTTCTGGATTTTACAAAGAAATGCACAGATAAGCCTAGGAGAAGTTTCAGGAGCTTGACTAAAGTTTGGTCAAGCAAAGAATTAACACTGGTTAAATGAATGATGTGATTTAAGAACTTCTTCCTGAAAGTTCTCAACAATGTTCAAACTAAATCCTTCATATTGTAGTTAAAGTTCATTTGGCCTTCTTTTGTGTTACTTGCTATATTTTAGAAGACATGCATATATTTATCTACTTGGATTTTAGGTTTTTTGCAGCAATTTATTTTTAACCCCAAATTAAGAATTTTTACTTCTGAAAGCTTAATCCTTTAAAAAAAATACCAATTCACTTCAAAGCTTAATAATGCTAATGGGCTTATAGCTGACAGAAATAAGTGCTAAAACACAAGAGCTACTTAAATTGCATATGACAGTATAGCATTCTTTCTGCCTCTTATACCCTAAAATAGATGAAAAAATGTGTTAAAGACATTGCCTGCCTTCCCCAGGTCTTAGTATACACATCACTTCCTCAGGCAGGTCTTTTGCGACACTATAGATGAAGCTAAGTACCTCCACTGATTATTACCAGTACCTGTCCTTCACTACCCTGATACATCCCACCTTTAGGAAAATGCTTTTAATTGCTATGGCTCTTTCCCTACTCATTTTCCCAAACTCATTGAGGGCAGATTCACTGGTGACCTTTTTCATGCTACATTTCCAGCACCAAGCATGATGCCTGATAGATAGGAAGCACTCAATCAATATTTGTTCAATATATGGTTTAATCTGCTCCTTCACCCATTCAAGTTATTCATAAAAGATTTGAGATGGAAAAATTAACATTAATCATTGCCAATGGGGACTGAACCATTGTTCTAAGTTGGGAAAAACTTACTCTTTCTGTGCATAGTTTTTCCACTGTTTGGATTTTGCTATTGTTTGCAAGGTTGTTTTTTCTTTCATAACATGAAAGCTTTCTTAGTTAAAAACAAAAAATATTTTAAATTCAATAGTAAATAGGTTTCTTGTTCTATTTAACAGATCTCTGACAGAGAAAACACAGTTGGAAAACCAAAAGAACACTTACTGATTCATAAATACTAAGGACCTCTTTATTTCCTAAGTATAATTAGACAACATTGTTTAAAAAAACATTTCTTTCTTGAGTATATTTTAGTTTTAGAACTATCACAGCAGTCATTTCAATTCTCCAGTGTTCTTGAAATAGGCATTCATTTTGTATTACTAAATGAAATGGGGGAAGCATTATCTTAAATGGTATTGCCTCACTGGACTCCTTCCTAATAAATCTTCTCCATAATAGTGATCAGAACTTCTCCATGCCCTACCAGAATCTACAGATATTTTTCTCAATCCAATCAAAAGTAATTAAATATCTCAGTAATATCTGATTATTGATGAAGGCTTTACTTACTACTGTCTTTCTCTAACAAAATATAAATTTATAATTCGATCACTGTGTGTGTATATATATATATATATATATATATATATCACTCCCTTATTGCACCCCTTATTAAGAAATTATTCTTAAGAATAGCAGTTTGGATTACAAGTAACAAAAGACCTATTAAAATTAATCTTATAAATATATTTTTATTACTTCACTTAACAAGAAATGGGAAGAGGAGTATTTTCGAGGCTAGATGATTCTGTGATTCTTTTCGTTCTTCCCTTCTGCTACCCTCCCCATGGTGGCTACTCATCTCTGTAAACCAAAAATAAAATTCTAAGGCCCCCAACCATCTGAATGAACTTCCTCGGCCAGGGCATTCTTAAGTTTTAACCTGAGAGACTGGTTCATGCCATGATAGGAAGTGGGAGTCAGACATGCTTCTTTATACCTCTCCAGCATTAACATCAACATAGACCTGAAGTCTGATAAGAAAGATTTACAATCTATTCTCTCCGAAGCCTATTGCCCCGAGGCTTCATCTGCATGATAAAACTGCAGTCTCCATAACCTCTTATCACGACCCACACATTTCCTTTCTATTGATCCCAGATCTTTAGATAAACTCAACCAATTGCCAACCAAAAAAAATTTAAATCTACCTAGAAATTAGAAGCCCCCTACCCCCACCCCTGCCACCTGATTCAAGTTGTCCTTCCTTTCAGGACGAAACCAATGTATTTATTAAATGTATTTGATTGAAGTCTCATGTCTCCCTAAAATGTATAAAACCAAGCTGCACCCTAACCACCTCGAGCACATGTGTTCAGGACCTCCTGGGGCCTGTGGCCATGGTCACTCATATTTGGCTCAGAATAAATGTCTTCAAATATTTTACAGAGTTTGACTCTTTTCATCAACATCTCAATGCTCCAGATGACTTTAGACACTCTAGACATCATATCTTCAGTCAATAAAGTCCAGAAAACAGCCTTCCTTGGGCCCCTTTTGTTGAGAGAAGAAAACACTTTTTCAGAATACACTAGCAGCTGCTCCCCAGTTGTGCCCATTCCTAAACAAACTGCTGGAGAGGAGATGTATCAGCCAAAGTTGCCTTTTTTTGATCAGGATGTTGCCTGGTACTGAAGGTGACCCTTTTGCCTCCCACAAGCAAAAGATATTATGGGTCTGTTTGCTAGAAGATGAGAAAAATGGGAATTTGGTAGTCAACCAAATGTATCAGTGCAGTGAGTATTTTTTTCTCTGATTTGCCTATTTTAAGATATAGATTTAAGATTATAATTGTTAGGTAGAGCTGAACCCTGATTAGGTACTTATTTTTAGTAAGAGTATAAAATAATTTTTTATTCTTTAATTTATTCAATGCATTATAAAAAGGGCTGAGATAGGAGTGGGATGAGGCTCCTCCCTCACATATTTTTTTCTTTTTTCTCCTTCTTTTCACAAAACACACACCACTGCTTTACTGACTATATCTGCTAACCCCAAGGCTTTAGTCACACAAAGATAATAGCCATTCTTTTGTGCTCTCATAATGTTTAACAATGCCTTTTACTTAAATAATTCCAGAAACTGGCCTTAGGAGATCTAAACATAGAACTAAGGCTGCAGAGTGTCCCACCTTGGGAAAAAATGTTGAACAGTTGATTTACAGCGTTACCACTCATCAGACCACCAGAAGGCCAGTTACTAGAGATAACTAGATGTGCTGACTTGCATACACTACTTCTCACATGTTTTACCCAGCCCAGCCTGTATACCTTACCCCTAGGGTCAATTCCATGCTCGGCCTCATAAAAAAATCCCTATCGGCTTTCTCAAGGAGCCTGCTGTAAGATCCTTGTGCCGTGCCTCCACTGTCTCCCTTGCACTGGACCACAAGCTCTGAAATAAATCCTAGTCTGGGAAATCTGCTTGGCTCCATGCTAATTGCCATTACATGGGGAACCAAGGAGCCTGTAGTTTATAAAAGAGCTAGGTGTCAGAATAACTGATAAATAAACGCATGATCCTTGCTGTCATGGAGTTCACACTGTAGTGGGGGAGACAAACAAAAAAGGTGAGCTAACAAATGAAAACATAATCATATTTGAGGTAAGGGCTATGAAAAAGGAAACTACATGTAGTAAGAGGATGAGATGGGAAGGAAGCAGTTATCTTCTGTGATGAGGCTTCTCTGAGGAGCCGACATTCAACCTAAAGAAAGAAGGGGAAAATTAGCTGGGCATGGTGGCACACGCCTGTATTCCCAGGTACTCAGGAGGCTGAGGCAAGAGAATCACTTGAACCCAGGAGTCGGAGGGTGCAGTGAGCCCAGATCGCACCACTGCACTCCAGCGTGGGCAACAGAGCAAGACTCTGTCTCAAAAAAAAAAAAAAAAAAAAAAAAAAAAAGAATGAAGGGGAGGGATGAGTGGAGTACAAGCTTCCTAAGCAGAAGGGAAAAGTATGCAAAGGTCTTAGGACAGGAAAGTGGCCACCAGATTTGAGAAGGGACGCTTTCCTCATCTGCCTCAAGAAAATAAAGTAAGGATGTTTCCCAGTGCAGCTGAACTGCAACAAGTTGTGGGGTCCCCTTTCACATATGTTCTGTCTCTTTAGTGAGTAAGACACTGAGTGCTATGCCTTAGTATATTGCCACGGACAGAAGGTCAAAACTAACCTATTTAAAAAAAAAAAAAAAAAAAGGAAGGGGGGTGTACTGCAAACTCCTGTAGTAGCAACAGAATGAGAAGGGCTGCAGGAACCAGGACAGCCCTGAGGACCTAAGGGACTAGAGGGAGAAATTTTAAAAGTATCAGGACTCTCTCAGGCTTGCCTGCCCCCTGGGCATCAGCTTCACTCTCTCTCGGGCTTTTGTGAAGTATCACATTGCTGTAGGCAGTTCTGCAGGCAAAATTTGCAATCTCACAAACAGAGAAAATAGATAATTCCATACCACTTCCATCCAAAATAGAATAAAATCATCTCAGTTTGGCACATCCCTGAATCAAACACTGTGGCCAGGAGAATGGAGCACTGTTACCAACATACTGTATTGTGCAGGTGTAGTCTGTCATCCAAAAGAAAAGGAGGCCAGGCAAAGACAACAGTCACCATACTCAAGCTCTTCAAAAAGCAGTGCAACTGTGGCTGATACTTGACAGAGCAGGAGCATCACCATCTTGGACAAGCACCGCCATTCTAAAGTTCCCCTTGATCAAACACTGCCTAAATCCAAAGTGTATCAGCCTAATGGCTAAGGTCAGCATGACCATAAACCACTCCTAAACCCTTCCCCAACCAGAGATATGCCAGCCCCGACACAACCTCCCCTCCAACCAGAGACATTCCAACCCTGCAATAAGCTTCTCCACCAGCACGGCAGTTTCAAGATGGCCGAATAGGAAGAGCTCCAGTCAACAGCTCCCAGTGTGAGCGATGCAGAAGATGGGTGATTTCTGCATTTCCAACTGAGGTACTGGGTTGATCTCACTGGGGCTTGTTGGACAATGTGTGCAGGACAGTGGGTGCAGCCCACCAAGCATGAGCCGAAGCACGGCGAGGCATCGCCTCAACAGGGAAGCACAAGGGGTCAGGGAATTCCCTTTCCTAGCCAAGGGAAGCTGTGACAGATGGCAACTGGAAAGTCGGGTCACTCCCACCCTAATACTGTGTTTTTCCAACGGTCTTAGCACACGGCACACCAGGAGATTATATCCTGCACCTGGCTTGGAGGGTCCCACGCCCAGGGAGCCTCGCTCATTGCCAGCACAGCAGTCTGAGAACGAACTGCAAGGCAGCAATGAGGCTGGAGGAGGGGCGCCCACCATTGCTGAGGCTTGAGTAGGTAAACAAAGCCGCCAGGAAGCTCGAACTGGGTGGAGCCCACCACTGCTCAAGGAGGCCTGCCTGCCTCTGTAGACTCCACCTCTGGGGGCAGGCATAGCCGAACAAAAGGCAGCAGAAACCTCTGCAGACTTAAATGTCCCTGTCTGACAGCTTTGAAGAGAGTAGTAGCTCTCCCAGCACGGAGTTTGAGATCTGAGGACGGACAGACTGCCTCCTCAGGTGGGTCCCTGACCCCCGAGTAGCCTAACTGAGAGGCACCCCCAAGTAGGGGCAGACTGACACCGCACATGGCCCAGTACCCCTCTGAGATGAAGCTTCCAGAGGAACAATCAGGCAGCAACATTCGCTGTTCAGCAATATTCACTGTTCTGCGGCCTCCGCTGCTGATACCCAGGTAAACAGGGTCTGGAGTGGACCTCCAGCAAACTTCAACAGACCTGCAGCTGAGGGTCCTGACTGTTAGAAGGAAAACTAACAAACAGAAAGGACATCCATACCAAAACCCAATTTGTAGGTCACCAACATCAAAGACCAAAGGTAGACAAAACCACAAAGATGGGGAAAAAACAGAGCAGAAAAGCTGAAAATTCTAAAACTCAGAGTGCCTCTCCCCCTCCAAAGGAACGCAGCTACTCACCAGCAACGGACAAACCTAGATGGAGAATGACTTTGACAAGTTGAGAGAAGAAGGCTTCAGACAATCAAACCTCTCTGAGCGAAAGGAGGAAGTTCGATCCCATCTAGAAGAAGCTGAAAACCATGAAAAAAGATTAGATGAATGGCTAACTAGAATAACCAGTGTAGTCCTTAAAGTCCTTAAAGGACCTGATGGAGCTGAAAACCATGGCATGAGAACTACGTGACGAATGCACAAGCTTCAGTAGCCGATTCGATCAAGTGGAAGAAAGGGTATCAGTGATTGAAGATCAAATGAATGAAATGAAGCGAGAAGTTTAGAGAAAAAAGAGTAAAAAGAAATGAATAAAGCCTCCCAGAAATATGGGACTATGTGAAAACACCAAATCTATGTCTGATTGGTGTACCTGAAAGTAATGGGAGAATGGAACCAAGTTGGAAAACACTCTGCAGGATATTACCCAGAACTTCCCCAACCTAGCAAGGCAGGCCAACATTCAAATTCAGGAAATACAGAGAATGCCACAAAGATACTCCTCGAGAAGAGCAACTCCAAGACACATAATTGTCAGATTCATCAAAGTTGAAATGAAGGAAAAAATGTTAAGGGCAGCCAGAGAGAAAGGTCGGGTTACCCACAAAGGGAAGCCCATCAGACTAACAGTGGATCTCTCAGCAGAAACTCTACAAGCCAGAAGAGAGTGGGGGCCAATATTCAACATTCTTAAAGAAAAGCATTTTCAATCCAGAATTTCATATCCAGCCAAACTAAGCTTCATAAGTGAAGGACAAATAAAATCCCTCATAGACAAGCAAATGCTGAGAGATTTTGTCACCACCAGACCTGCCCTACAAGAGCTCTTGAAGGAAGCACTAAACATGGAAAGGAACAACCAGTACCAGCCACTGCAAAAACATGCCAAATTGTAAAGACCATCGAGACTAGGAAGAAACTGCATCAACTAATGAGCAAAATAACCAGCTAACATCATAATGACAGGATCAAATTCACACAAACAATATTAACCTTAAATGTAAATGGGCTAAATGCTCCAAATAAAAGACACAGACTGGTAAGTTGGATAAAGAGTCAAGACCCATTAGTGCACTGTGTTCAGGAGACCCATCTCATGTGTAGAGACACATATAGGCTCAAATGAAGGGATGAAGGAAGATCTACCAAGCAAATGGAAAACAAAAAAAGGCAGGGGTTGCAATCCTAGTCTCTGATAAAACAGACTTTAAACCAACAAAGATCAAAAGAGACAAAGAAGGCCATTACATAATGGTAAAGGGATCAATTCAACAACAAGAGCTAACTATCCTAAATATATATGCACCCAATACAGGAGCACCCAGATTCATAAAGCAAGTCCTTAGAGACCTACAAAGAGACTTAGACTCCCACACAATAATAATGGGAGACTTTAACACCCCACTGTCAACATGAGACAGATGGATGAGACAGAAAGTTAAAAAGGATATCCAGGAATTGAATTTAGCTCTGCACCAAGCGGACCTAATAGACATCTACAGAACTCTCCACTTAAAATCAACAAAATATACATTCTTCGCAGCAACACATCGCACTTATTCCAAAACTGACCACATAGTTGGAAGTAAAGCACTCTTCAGCAAATGGAAAAGAACAGAAATTATAACAAACTCTCTCTCAGACCACAGTGAAATTAAACTAGAACTCAGGATTAAGAAACACTCAACACCGCTCAACTACATGGAAACTGAACAACTTGCTCCTGAATGACTACTGGGTACATAACGAAATGAAGGAAGAAATAAAGATGTTCTTTGACGCCAATGAGAACAAACACACAACATACCAGAATCTCTGGGACACATTTAAAGCAGTCTATAGAGGGATATTGATAGCACTAAATGCCCACAAGAGAAAGCAGGAAAAGATCTAAAATTGACACCCTAACATCACAATTAAAAGAACTAGAGAAGCAAGAGCAAACACATTCAACAGCTAGCAGAAGGCAAGAAATAACTAAGATCAGAGAAGAACTGAGGGAGATAGAGACACAAAAAACCCTTCAAAAAATCAACTAATCCAGGAGCTGGTTTTTTGAAAAGATCAACAAAATTGATAGACTACTAACAAGACTAATAAAGAAGAAAAGAGAGAAGAATCAAATAAACGTGATAAAAAATGATAAAGGGGATATCATCACCGATCCCACAGAAATACAAACTACCATCAGAGAATACTATAAATACCTCTATGCAAATAAACTAGAAAATCTAGAAGAAATGGATAAATTCCTGGACACATACACCCTTCCAAGACTAAACCAGGAAGAACTTCAATCCCTGAATAGACCAATAACAGGCTCTGAAATTGAGACAATAATTAATAGCCTACCAACCAAAAAATGTCCAGGACCAGACAGATTCACAGCCGATTCTACCAGAGGTACAAGGAGGAACTGGTACCATTCCTTCTGAAACTATTGCAATCAACAGAAAAAGAGGGAATCCTCCCTCACTCATTTTATGAGGCCAGCATCATCCTGATACCAAAGCCTGGCAGAGACACACACACAAAAAAAAGAGAATTTTAGACCAATATCCCTGATGAACATTGATGCAAAAATCCTCAAAAAAATACTGGCAAACCAAATCCAGCAGCACATCAAAAAGCTTATCCAACATGATCAAGTGGGCTTCATCCCTGGGATGCAAGGCTGGTTCAACATACACAAATCAATAAATGTAATCCAGCATATAAACAGAACCAAAGACAAAAACCACATGATTATCTCAATAGATGCAGAAAAGGCCTTTGACAAAATTCAACAGCCCTTCATGCTAAAAACTCTCAATAAATTAGGTATTGATGGGACGTATCTCAAAATAATAAAAGCTATTTATGATAAACCCACAGCCAATATCATACTGAATGGGCAAAAACTGGAAGCATTCCCTTTGAAAACGGGCACGAGACAGAGATGTCCTCTCTCACCACTCTTATTCAACATAGTATTAGAAGTTCTGGCTAGGGCAATCAGGCAGGAGATAGAAAAAAAGGGTATTCAATTAGGAAAAGAGGAAGTCAAATTGTCCCTGTTTGCAGATAACATGATTGTATATTTAGAAAACCCCATCGTCTCAGCCCAAAATCTCCTTAACCTGATAAGCAACTTCAGCAAAGTCTCAGGATACAAAATCAACGCACAAAAATCACAAGCATTCTTAGACACCAATAACAGACAAACAAAGAGCCAAATCATGAGTGAACTCCCATTCACAATTGCTTCAAAGAGAATAAAATACCTAGGAATCCAACTTACAAGGGATGTGAAGGGCCTCTTCAAGGAGAACTACAAACCACTGCTCAACAAAATAAAAGAGGACACAAACAAATGGAAGAACATTCCATGCTCATGGATGGGAAGAATCAATATCATGAAAATTGCCATACTGCCAAAGGTAATTTCTAGATGCAATGCCATCCCCATCAAGCTACCAATGACTTTCTTCACAGAATTGGAAAAAACTACTTTAAATTTCATATGGAACCAAAAAAGAGTCCGCATTGCCAAGTCAATCCTAAGCCAAAAGAACAAAGCTGGAGGCATCATGCTACCTGACTTCAAACTATACTACAAGCCTACAGTAACCAAAATGCCATGGTACTGGTACCAAAACAGACATATAAACCAATGGAACAGAACAGAGGCCTCAGAAATAATACCACACATCTACAACTATCTGATCCTTGAGAAACCTGAAAAAACAAGAAATGGGGAAAGGATTCCCTATTTAATAAATGGTGCTGGGAAAACTGGCTACCCATATGTAGAAAGCTGAAACTGGATCCCTTCCTTACACCTTATACAAAAATTAATTCAAGATGGATTAAAGACTTAAATGTTAGACCTAAAACCATAAAAACCCTGGAAGAAAACCTAGGCAATACCATTCAGGACATAGGCATGTGCAAGGACTTCATGTCTAAAACACCAAAAGCAATGGTAACAAAAGCCAAAATTGACAAATGGGATCTAATTAAACTAAAGAGCTTCTGCACAGCAAAAGAAACTACCATCGGAGTGAACAGGCAACCTACAGAATGGGAAAAAATTTTTGCAATCTACCCATCTGACAAAGGGCTAATATCCAGCATCTACAAAGAACTCAAACAAATTTACAAGAAAAAAATCAAACAACCCCATCAAAAAGTGGGCAAAGCAGATGAACAGACACTTCTCAAAAGAAGACATTTAAGCAGCCAACAGACACATGAAAAAATGCTCATCATCACTGGCCATCAGAGAAATGCAAATCAAAACCACAATGAGATACCATCTCACACCAGTTAGAATGGCAATCATTAAAAAGTCAGGAAACAACAGGTGCTGGAGAGGATGTGGAAAAATAGGAACACTTTTATACTGCTGGTGGGACTGTAAACTAGTTCAACCATTGTGGAAGACAGTGTGGCGATTCCTTAAGGATCTAGAACTAGAAATACCATTTGACCCAGCCATCCCATTACTGGGTATATATACCCAAAGGATTATAAATCATGCTGCTATAAAGACACATGCACACGTATGTTTGTTGTGGCATTATTCACAATAGCAAAGACTTGGAACCAACCCAAATGTCCAACAATGATAGACTGGATTAAGAAAATGTGGCACATATACACCATGGAATACTATGCAGACATAAAAAATGATGAGTTCATGTCCTTTGTAGGGACATGGATGAAGCTGGAAACCATCATTCTCAGCAAACTATCGCAAGGACAAAAAACCAAACACCACATGTTCTCACTCATAGGTGGGAATTGAACAATGATAACACTTGGACACAGGAAGGGGAACATCACACACCGGGGTCTGTCATGGGGTGGGGGGAGGGGGGAGGGATAGCATTAGGAGATATACCTAATGTAAAGGACGAGTTAATGGGTGCAGCACACCAACATGGCACATGTATACATATGTAACAAACCTGCACATTGTGCACATGTACCCTAGAACTTAAAGTATAATAAAAAATAAAATAAAAATAAGCTTCTCCACCACACAGAAATATTCCAAGCCTGTGATAAACCCTCTCACCCTAAAACCAATAAATACTCTTAGTCTGTAGGAGAGAGCACTCTTGACTGAAATCGGCCAGAAGCCCCTCTCAGGTTTATTCTCCAAAATAAAACAGTCTTTTACTCTTGAGCTGCTTTTCATGTTTCTTTCCTCTTCCTTTAACTCTTACAATAATAACTAAATTCACGCTGTGTTTTTTAAATCACAACTAATGGATTTAAACAACAAAAATACTCTAGGATTCCAACTACTGAAGTTCTAACCAACTCAGAAAGGAAGACTTGATAAAGCTTCAAGTCAGTTGCAGCGTGAAGAAAAGATTTCTCACACCTATTTGGAAACCATTCTTCTCTGTATTGATCCTAGGATGCTAACATTCTGTGTTCCAGTTTATTCAATACCCCACACTGTGCCTTATTTAAATTTTACCTCCCTGTGTCTGTCTACCAATGCTCAAAATTTCACACTCATTTTTTTTTACTCTGGCTATTGCTATTCCTAATCGGCTACTTCAGAAATTTAGGAAAAGATGAAACAGTACAAAAGTATACTTAAAATCACTGAAACCGTCAGCCTCGATCTTTGTCACAAATCATACCATCCACTTCTGGTTTTGATTTAAAGTGTTAATAGTTATTCTAATAGAGAAAGACCTTGTGGCTAACTATAAAATTCCATTTCTACTCAGACAGCACCACCTGCAGAGTCATTATGTGATGTTGCAATTCGGAAAACCAAGCAAGCATAGGATTTACTTTGGAGAGTAGGAGACAGAAACAAGAGGTCAGATTCTCACTGGTTATGATATTCTCCTGCCCTACTTTTACACACTGTACTGTAGTTTTCTGTAAGTATATTTTCCACAAAATCGCAATGTCTAGGGCTTCAACAATTCAACTCTATTCACAAACCTTGAAATCTAAAGGCTTAGCTTTAAAATGTCAACTAGAATATAAAGGTATTAAAATATTTTACTACTTATCCTCTTAACGCTGCATGACTTTTTTAAAAAAGTTAACAGAATTATTTACACACTTGGAGAGATGTCAAAACCCAAGCAATACAGAAAGTATATAACTATATAATAGACTGAATTTTAAAAATGTTACTTTTCTAATTTTTGCAATTTCACTCAGTAGCTCCATTTAGCCTCCGTAAGTGGTTAAATATTTTGCATGAAGGAAGTATTTATTAGTTGTTCTCTATAGTACATTAAAAATAGTTCCCTACACCTTTAACTGTTAATTAGCTCAAATATTTGGTTCAGAAACCACAGCCCTGTTTAGTGTGACCTCACTGGTATGGCATCTGGGCAATTATCTTTGAGATAATGAGCCTTTTCATCCATAACAGAACAACAACCTCTCACTTGGATTGCAAAAGATCAGAGCCAATCTGCTGCGCACCAGGGTGCCTGCCATCCCCTTTGTATCATACCTTATTTTCAAACTAACCTTTCACATTCTGAATTAATTAAAGTGTTTTCAGATTAAAAATTAATGAATTCACTTTAGCATCATTTGAGGAAATAATAGGCACAAAATACCATCCAAGCCATGTTTTGGATTCTAATACCACAGCCTAAATGAGAAGATAACTACATCACTTACAGAATTTTCTGACACATGTCATAGTCTAGCCAGATCCTGGTTTGGATTACTTAGAAAAATAAAGCCACAGAAAACATTTAGTGATACAATGTGGTAAATGTTCACTTGGCATTCTGATGTATTCTAATTTCATTCGAAAATGAATTTGGAGGTCACCAAGTTTTCTATCAGATTGTGATGATAAAGTTTCTAACGTTTACCATTAATTCCTACTGCATTCATTTTCTGCCTAGCTACCTCACCAGCTGTTCAAGACTACATTTGTCTCAACTTTTCACACCATGCTAAATGAAAATGGAAGTCAGACCACCAGGACGGCTAGAGAGTAGAAAGGAAAACTTTATTGGTGATACTGGTTTGCAAGCCAGGAAGAGAAAGTATCCAGCATGGACTTCTCTTCAAAGAGAGGAAGAACAGGTTGGGTTTTATGCCTCACAGTGCCAGTATCACACATATTCAGCCGGTTTGGGTGGAAAACTATACATATTTATGAGGGGAGCCAAGTGGATGTGGATTGGGTAAACACGTACGTAACATACATCCCATGCTCACTTTGGGGTGGGGTTTTAGCATTCAAATGAGGTAGAATTTGGCTCTTTATGTCAAAAGATGAACTACAGGACACAAAGATGATTAGTGCTTAACCTCTATAAGCTGGCTGAAACTGCCCTAAGGTCTGTAGTACCTTCTCAGAAAAGAATGTTTGCAATGTTGGCCCTCTGTCCAGCCACAGTAGTAGTGGTCTAGGTTGTAATTCAGCCTGATGACTCCTGTTGTTAGGAGTTTCACAAGTGTGTGGTTTTTCTTATAGTAGGTATTTAGAAATTTGCTGTGGTAACCAGGCCCTGAGCCCTCAACCAAAGGGTAACTTTGTTTTATTAACCTTAGGGCCTATCTTAGCTGTAAAAGGGCATCTACTTTGGTGTCCCAGATCACATTTCCTGCCGCAAAGCATTGTAGGGGACTTAAAAAAAAAAAAAAGTCTTTTCTCACTCATCACTGGGTTCATGGCTGAAACTCCCATATCAAAAGACAGATAAAATTATACTAATTTGTTTAATGTAGGTTTTACCTGACAGAAGAGCCTTCATAAGGAAAGAACGACCCAAAAAACAGGGAAATCTGTGTGTTTTTATGCTAAGTTGGATGAAGAGTGGACAGTTGTGCAGACATACCATTGTTCAAAGGGAATATAATCTAATGGTAATAAACTGGGAGGTCTGGGGGACATTAGCAAGGCTGTTTAGATTTTTGTTGGTGTCTCTGTGTCTTTGAAAATAAGGATATTCCTTTCCTCTTGGTATAAGGAGAGTACCTCTAGAATGAAGGTTTTATGACTTACCTTTTTAAAAAAAAAAAAAAAAAAAAAAACGGAGTCTCTTTCTGTCACGCAGGCTGGAGTGCAGTGGCGCTATCTCGGCTCACTGCAAGCTCTGCCTCCAGGGTTTCTGCCATTCTCCTGCCACAACCTCCAGAGTAGGTGGGACTACAGGCGCCTGCCACCACGCCAGGCTAATTTTTTTTGTATTTTTAGTAGAGACGGTGTTCCACCGTGTTAAGCCAGGATGGTCGTGATCTCCTGACCTCGTGATCCGCCCGCCTCGGCCTCCCAAAGTGCTGGGATTACAGGCATGAGCCACTGCGCCCGGCCTTATGACTTACATTTTTAGAAGTTTAGAGAATTATTTTACGGTCTGCTTCAGGGGAGAAGAGTGAGAGGAAGCTGAGAGTGGCCTTCCCGCTTCTGCTGTTTTCTCACATGCCAAGGTGCCATATTTTGGGGTAGCATGTCCTGAACCCCATAAGAGTCAAGCATTCTTTTCAGGGATTTGCTGGAACCTTCCTTTTTTATAAGGCTGTCTTCATCAGGAGAATTGATATAGACAGATTTCACCTGGGAATATTAAAACTCCTTCATATCAGCTTGAAATGATACAACAATCAGTCCTATTCTCTTCCCCTTTTGTGCTTGCCTTGACTTAATAAGAAGTGAGAGATGTCAAGAAAAGAGATGCTAACCACTCTGCCATCATTCCCTTTGTCTTAGTCAAGTTTCCTTTGGTTGTGAGAAACAGAAATCCACTCAAATTAGTTCAATCACAAAGAAGAAACTTTTTATAAGAGGACTTAGTGTAATCAAGCCTTATGAAGAACTAGATTAAAAGCCTGAAAAAGAATCAGAAACCAAAGCATAACTCTCACTATATATATACATATATATATACACACACATATATATATACATATGTATATACACACACACACACATCACACACACACATATATATACATATATATATGTGTATATATATATATATATATATATATGTGTGTGTGTATATATATATATCTTCACCACCTTCCCCTACCACCCTACTTCTCTTTTTTTTAACGGGCTAATTGTTTTTCTAAAAGTGAATCTGACAGGACCACTTTGGTCTGCTGTGCACTACTGATCCTAGTTGCTTTTGCCAATGAAAGTAATGTCAATCTTAAATAATGAGATTTAGAAAGTATGATTAAGTATAGAGTCTGTTCAAGCACAAAGCTTGAGGATAGCCATCTGGGAAACATGGACTTCAAACAAATGGGGTCAGTGTTTCAAAGCTCAGAAGTTACGTTTCCATTTATGTGGGTAGAGGAAGAGAAGTATTGTAAGATTACATTTTCCAAACAAAACCAGTGCATCCTTTACAGTGATTAGATTGGTTACAAATTGCTAAATTCCAAGGAAGCTTAGTTTATTACCCTGTGAGGAGGGGTAGAGGTCTTGGTTGGGGAGGTCTTATCTCTGGCACCTCTTGATCTTCCTAATTATTTACAGGGCAGAAGTCGCAGTCGCTTGCCACATGACTCAGGCCACATAGCCACATTCCTCTCAAGGCTCAGAATAATTTAAAGTTCCTGCAGCTTTAAATTTGAATTATTTAATTTCACAGTAACAACATAATATCAAGATGGGTGTTGGGGCCTATACCAATGGCCAGGAAGGTGGAGATTAGTTCTCTGAAAATGAGTTTTCTTTGTCTAGGTCATCAAAACAAGCTGTTCACCTGCATATACACATCACTCTGCCTAGGACTAAATTCCAGCAAAATGTGGCATTCAACCTTAGCAGATTTAGCATTAAGTCATGAAAGTTCAGGTGTATCAGAAACCAAACCAGTGGCAAATGACCAACTAATACCTTTTTATTCTACTTTTAAATGTTTTCCCTTCACCCATACTAGAAAAATGTCTAGTACTGATTTTGCCATTGATGAGCCTTAAATTTCAAGGAAGGTAACTGGGAATGCCAAGAATAGTGTTCTCCTTCCACGTTGTAATAGACATGTTGCTATTAGTCTTCAAGATGCAAGAGGGGAATTAGAAATCAAATTCTGCTGGAATAACAATAATACATCTTAAAATCACGCTTAGAAATCTGGCTGATTAAGTCACGTAAAACTCTCATACAACTTATTTGCCCTTTTGAGAAAACTTGTTGCTGTCATCAGCTAATCTAATAAAAAGGTTTTTGCTCACATTAGATGTTATTTATATGCTTATTTTACATGTGGCAGTAAAGTTCCACGTGTGATATAAAATAACTAGAAAATGTTAATAGTTGATTAACAATTAAATTTAAAAAGAGAGCCATCAAAGATAGATTTCATTTTAATGCAGTAAATGTAGAGACTTCACTCAGTTTCATTACTTCTTTTCTAACAATAAATTCTTGCTCTTGGCTATTATTTTTAAAGACAATTGAGTTGAACCTTGTAAGAATTACAACTTTGTATTTTAAGGGACTTTTCCTTTGAGGAGGTCAAAGCAAAGGAATTAAATGCTTTACTCACTTGTATGTAGCTAGGCAATAAAAGAAAGATACTCACTGAAGTACCAGGAAATTCAAGATCTGTGGCTGAAAGCTGTGCATGAGTGATGCAGGGAATGGGACTACATCTGTTTTATAGATAATACCAGAGTTTTTTTACAGGTTGCTTTCAGTTTTGCAGAGCACAATAGAATCTATACAATATTAAGTAAAATGAACATTGATTCTGTGATATTTCCACAGTGGGAAATATTGCCCAATTACTCCTGCCCTACCTTCTACATCTCTCCAATCTTCTTCTATACATCTCCAAGTGGAACTTGGGCTTTGAAATCCATTGCACTTATTAATAACTCCAAAAGGTCCACCCCATGGCTGTGGGTGAAAATCATAGCGCAGGAACTTCACACTATAAAGATAATTCCTATGGTTAATAAATAACAAATTCTGTACTGAGATTTTCTGACCTAACTACAATGCTCACTGGGAGTTGAAGTTATTGTTTACCAATTATTAGACACTGAGATTATGTTAGTATGTTGAATAAGCCATAAATGTCACATTCCAGTTCCTTCTCCTCTAATTGAGAAAACTTAATGTGACCACAGCCTCATAACCCTCATAACCCTTATGCCTAAAAGACAGATCTTTACTCTGCCCTCTTCTCTCTCCCCAGTGTCACCACCTTAGTCCAATCCCCTATTGCCCCACCCTCCAGAACTATGGCCTCTTCACAGGTCTCCTTGCTCTCCTCGTTTCTCTAACCGGAGGCTGGAATGATGCTATACACTTTTTGATCTGCTAATCCCTGGAAAATAGTCCCATCTCTCTGGAGCTGTGGACATTATTTTCCATTCCCTTACTCCTAGAACAGTCAATATTGACTTTAAAAAATAGTAACTAAGAATAATGCATATCTTTGTTCCTTTCCATCTGGAAGAGTCCAACAAGTGTCCTATGGTAAAGAGAGGTCCCTTGTCAGGTAAGTATCACCTAAATTACCCTTACTATACAAGCATCCTTATTAATCCATTGGCATTTCACTGAGACAGACCATACAGGTGGGCTGCTCTGGCAGACTGTAATGACATTTTATTTTTCGTATTGAGCCAGAAAATCTTTGCCAGAAAAGGATCTCTACATTTTATTGAGTGTGAAAGTGTTAGAAAGGTATAAGTCTGCTGTAATTAAAATAGCAAGCCTACAGTCTTGCAGTGTATTCTACATTTAATAATGGCTATACAATCTTAAACAATATAAATGTTTGATGCTGATTAAAATAAAAATATTCTTAACTATGAAAAATCTTTATATTTTAGGGAAAAAAATAATCTTTTTATATTCTTTAGGCAACCAGTATTTAGAATTTCTTTTATCAGCTATGTTGTTCTCATAGTTACAAAGAAGGATTATTATTTTTTGTTTTTTAACTAATCAAATAAGCAGTTAATTTATGCTACTTGCCACCTGCAGTTATTTTATTATGACATTGAAAAGGTGAGAAAATAAGTAATTACTATGCATTGACAATTTCCTTAAGCAATTTAGAAGGGTCCATACATCAGAAATTGTTTTCCAGATCTCCACCATTGCAAGGCTAAAAAATTACATTGAAATTCAGCTATTTAACCTTCATAAATGAAGTAACCTGCACAGCTAACATTAAATGTTTGATTTAATTTACTTGCACAGGTAGCTCACTGAGAAGGCATTTAACTTTAAAATTAATGATATCAGATCTATTCCACAGTGTATGTGCCTCCAATTGCTTTCTACAGCACTGCACAAACTAATATTAAGTTCTCATTTTAGTTATATTCATGGGCAAGAGGGAGACATTATCCTCAATTATCCTGTATAACATCTTTGTCAACTTCAGATGCCTTCCATTTCAAGAGCAGTGGATGAGGAAAGTAGGGGTGAGACAAGACCCAGTTCACAGCAGATAACCTCTGAAAGCAGAATCAAGGAGAAACCTCTTAGAGCCACTCATGAGTGTTGGTTTTTAATTGTTTCTAAGCCAAATGGGCCTCATCCTTTTGATATTTTTACCTTGGCCACCTTTAGGATAATTAGGGGTTTGTTTTTGCACATGTTTCTAAAAGGAGGAAATTTTTATAAAAGTACTAGAAGACATCTTTGGAAAATTTATCCTAATCTCAAAAGAGAAAGGCCTTTCTATGATTAAAAAACTCAGAAGTCATAAAATTAAAAAATAGATAAATGTAACAGCACACACATCAAACATTTCTGCCTGGGCAAAATTCACCAAGCAAAGTCAAAATATATGACAAACTGGAAGAAAAACACAACCATGTCATAAAGAGTTTATCTCCCATTTCAAACATAAAGAGTATCTACAAATCAGTTTCAAAAGTCTAATAACACATTATGCAATTGACAAAAATATATAAGCACTTAATTTACATTAGAGAAATAAATATGTCTCTTAAATGAATGAAACAATGTCCACGTTCACTCATAATAATACAAAGACAAGGATACCAAGATAACTATTATTCATTACTAGACTGGTAAAGATCCAAAGTTTTAATAAGATACCATAGGTGATATTGTACAGCAACAGCCACTCTCATGCAGTGCTGATGGGTATAACATGTCAAAAGTTGTGTGGAAGATAGTTTCCAGTATTCGGCAAAATTATAAAAAAGAAATATATATATATATATACACACACACACACCAAGAATTTCTACTTCTAAGACTATATCATATAGGTTTACTCACACAATAAAGAAAGAAAAAAGATGCATTAAAACATTTTTATAAGAGCAAAAATGAGTAAACAACCTAAATATTCACATTACAGTGGACTGAGTACATAAATTAAGGAATATGCTTATAAGAGAATAATATACTATATAGTCATAGTATAATAGTATATACATAGTATAATAGTATATAATACATAGTATAATAGTATATAATATACTGTACATAGTAATTATTCTATGTATATAGAATATATACATATATTAGAATAATACACTAGTCATTTTAAAAATTATTAAAAAGCTTTTTCTACATTAAAATGAATTGATCTTTAATGTATACTGTTGGGTTAAAAAAAAGAGTAGTATGGGCCAGGCATGGTGGCTCACACCTGTAATCCCAGCACTTTGGGAGGCTGAGACAGGCAGGTCACCTGAGGTCGGGAGTTCGAGACCAGCCTGACGAAAATGGAGAAACCCTGTCTCTACTAAAAATACAAAATTAGCCAGGCATGGTGGTGCATGCCTGTAATCCCAGCTACTCAGGAGGCTGAGGCAGGAGAATCACTTGAACCCGGGAGCTGGAGATTGTGGTGAGCCGAGATGGTGCCATTGCACTCCAGCCTGGGCAACAGAGTGAAACTCCGTCTCAAAAAAAAAAAAAAAAAAAAAAAGAGTAGTATGAAGCAATGTGTGTAATGATAATACGAAAATATTTGTGTTAAAAAATAGAGAAAATATACATTTGATAACAAAGTTATCCAATGTTAGGGACTGAATGTGTCTCCCCTTAAGCCATATGTTAAAATTTAAACCCCAATGTGATGGTATTTAAAGATGGGGCTTTGGAGAGGTAATTATTAATCGATCATGAGAGGGAGCCCTTGAGAACAGGATTAGTGCTCTCATAAAGCAGAAGCCAGAGAGCTTGCTTGCTTTCCTTCCACGCTGTAAGGACACAATGAGAAGCTGGCAGTCTTCAACCTGAACCAACCATGCTGGCACCCTGATCTTTAACTTCTAGCTTCCAGAACTGTGAGAAATACATTTCTGTTGTTTATAAGCCATCTAGTCTATGGTAATTTGTTACAGCAACTCAAAGTGACTAAGATGCTCAAGAAGAAATAAAGGATACACAAGAAACTGATAACATTAGTTAACTGCACTGAGAAGAATTATGCAGCTGAGGGGCAGAGGTAAGAAGGGAAATCTGTAATAAATAGCCTTTGTACTTTTGAATTTTGAACCATATAATTTACTGCCTATACAGAATGTAAATAGTTTTAGTAATTAAAAAGGAAGCAACAGATAAAGGTGTTGGCTAAAATAAGACAGATTTTCTATGAATTTCACTTACTAAAGCTTCCTTTAACTTCTAGCACAATGGAACAGAGATCATCCAAATTATTTTTTGAATAAAAATATTAGGAATGCCCATCTGAGAACAACTGTTAGAGTTGCTCATGGCAATTGTCCTTCCTATAGAATTCTAAATATTTTCTCAGGTCTTACCGCACTCCATGCCTCTGATCTTCTCAAAGAATAAAACATGGTTGGATAATTTCTCTAGAAAATATAGGTAAGGATTTGCAACCCTTGCCCACAGTCTATATGGAATTAGTGCAGGCCTGCTCAATATCAAGCCACAGACCTTCTGAGGATATAATTATTGCACTTCTCAAATAGGGAGACCTTGCCTAACATATGGTCTGACATTAGGTCAGAATATTTTAAATGGGGCTTCTTAGGAAATTGGGCACATATGAGAATTTTTTAATCTCAGGTTAGAGGTTTGATATGAAATTAAATATTCAGTTTTTTTCTATTCTGTTTATGTTTGATTTCATGAGATTTCTTTAAAAATACAGAAGCTCCTTTGTTATTGGCTGGAGAAGAATGTTCAGTCCTAACAGAAAGAAAAAGCAATAGACTCTTCCCCAAGGTTAAGCCATGGGGAAAATGGGATGGGCAGAAAGAGGCAGCAAAAGTGAGTGAAGCAGATGAATGATTATTTTCATACTGAGTATGGTCCAGAGATGAAAGCTGTCTGGGAGGGTGGGAAATAAAATGTAACCCTAATGATTACTAAAAAATTATCACTAAAATTGCTTGACTATTTTGAAACATAAAGTTATCTTCAGTCCAACAGGACTGCAAGGTATATGTTATCATAATTGGAAATTGGTAATTTTTAAATACCACCTGCAATAACAATGCAAGACAAGCTGGGAGTGCGTTCTGCAAAACAGAACACATGTAGCCTGCACAAGAGAGGTGATGCTGATAAAAATTTTAAAAAGTAAGCCAGAGAGATAATTCTCCACATTTACATTTTTGTGGTCACAAAAAGTTCTCTGGCACAAAATCCTTTTCCTCATAAACTCAAGCTGGGCACAATATGTTCCTTCTCCATTCTTTTTTTTTTTTTTGCTCCCAGCACACAGTTTGACATTGGTTTGATGTCATTAGCATCACCTTCAACAAATCATTTTCTTCACTTGTCCAATTACAGACAACATAAAAATGCCTGTCCTCTATGTTTCTTATTTCAACACTGGAACTTGACATGACTCTACTCTAAATCACAGAAACCGCTTGTCAGTTTCTATGACTTAAAGTTAATTTTCACTCGGCTTACTCTTCTTTTTATTTCACATTTCTTATGGGTAATGGCCATAGTGAAAATGATGGTATAGGAGCTTTTCTCCCTCAGACCCCTACCTTTTCCACCATGGATTTATAGCACACTTTTGCTCAGAGAAATTTTTGTATAGCTCCCCTCCACTCAACAATAAAAGAATATCATAAACCTGTATAGATATCCTCTCACACTCTTTAGGGCCAAGTTCTTCCCTTATACCAAAATGTGGAACTGCTACAGCAATCAATGATGAAAACAGGGCAGTTGATGTCCCGAGAAGGAACTCACAAGCTTACTACTCATTTCATTCTACTGCTCCCAAAATAGGCTGACATGCGCATACAATAGTCAACTACCACCAAGACTGTAATCACGGTAAATACACAATGACATGAGTAGATTCAGGGAAGTGAAAGAACATTCATTCTTTTCATGTGAAGAAAAAGATTTTATCAAAGAGGGGACAGGCTAAGTAACTTCAATTTCACTAAATTTAAGTTGTGTGTTTTAATCCATATTCTCCGCATAAAAGCAGCAGCAAAGGAAATAGTGGGTAACTACTCCAAGCAGAAAATAAACTAATAAAACTTTTTGTGTGTTTTGTTTCAATGCATGTTATTTTGGCCTCCCTTGGCGGGGGGGCGGGGTGGGGATCACACGTTTTTTATTTGCACCTTCCTTTTTCCTTTTTTTTGGGGGGGGCCCTTTTTAAGGTTTCTAAATGCCTGACTTGTAGTACACACTTGTAGATTTCCATGGAAACCAGGATTCACCTTGAAATATAAGATAATATTCTAACCAGTGTACTGAAACACCTCCAGGGCTGGTGGGTAGCCCTGCTCAAGCCATTACTGTCAGGCTTTTATAAGTGAATTTCAGAGCTCCCTTGGATTCGTTGAAAATGTGAGTGTCTTGAAGATGAAATATCCTTCATCGCCAGTGTGTCCTGCTGGTATATACTTTATCTTTGATCCTGTGTGTTTCAATGTTACTTTCTTCAAAGCCAAAAAAAAAAGTTTCATCTCACCTTAGACTCCAGGAATTTATTCCCAGTTCAATTTATGCTAACCCAAAACCTAAACTCCAGCCATTTTTTTAAATCCAGAAGTTTTTTAATTCATCAGAGGTAATAACGGTTCAATCCCCAAGACTGTCTCAACTATAAATGGCTTTCCTATTAATTATAACAGTCTCATGAAAAATCATTGATTTAAACAATTTATTTTCAATGCTAATTTCTAACTTAGGAATGTCGGCATGTATTGATTTAGAAGAAAATATAAAAGGACATTTTACTGAGGGCTGAGGAAAATATGCTCCTTATATTGCTTTGATGCTATTTCATCCCACATTACGCTGCAGTGTTTGACTATAGTTTCCTGTCTTAAAGGATCCTGTGCTGTTCAGTTTGGTAGCTAACAGCTCTATGCATCTATTGAGCAATAGAAATATGGCTAGTCAGAATTTAAATGTGCTGTAGATGTAAAATACACATCAGATTTTAAAGACTTAGTACGCAAAAGAATGGAAAATATCTCATCAGTTTTTAAATAATTCTTATGGCGAAATAAAACTTTGGATATATGAGGTTAAATGTATTATTAAAATTAATGTCACCTGTTTCCTTTTCACTTTTTAAATATGGCTAAAAGAAAATTTAAAATTGCACATTTGGCTTGCGTTATACTTCTCCTGGACAGCACTGATATGGAATTTGTAAAAGCACCATGGAAAGGTTAGGAATACCACTATATCCAAGCCTAGCGCATGTTCTAAATACGCCTAGTCCCTGGCATAACATAAATACCCCTAGTCCCTGGTGCTCAATAAATATTCATTAAATAAAGCAACAATAAAAGTGAATAAACAATTTCTTAGCTATCAAGTAGATTTTTGCCAAAGAAATCAAAGTGTTTCATGAATATGAAGAAATGAGTGAGTTACATGCTTGAGGCTTAAAGGAAGGCAAGTATTAGGAGAGTTAAATCTGAAAAGCAAAGAAATTGTACTTAAAGACTAAGTAAGGGTTGAAGAAATGCCAAAAGCAAAGAAAGAAGAGCTATTTATAAGATAACATTTATGTGATCAAGAATAAGTATATATATTGTTTCTAAGGAAGGTAACAATATAATTAAAGATCAACAATTTATATTAAATTTGGGGGCATTTATTTTTATGGTAATTTGTGCAAAGTCATGATTTAAATAAGGTAAATCAAAATCTGACTAATTAATAAGATTTCTGAAAGGTATATTAAGAAAAAATGGTTTTATAAGGTGCCATGATGGCAATTAGTGTCATCATAACAAAGCTGGGCAAAGCTTTGCCTTTGTTTGTAACTCTAGACTCAAATACCCATCGATTTTACCAGATATTGGAGATAAGTTAAAAGTGAATTATTTTTCATGGGGGAAAATTCCAAATGCTGGAAAGCAAATTAGGTAATTTGGAAATTTTTCAGAAAGTCTAATAAGAAAGAAATTTCTCAGATCAGTTTTTATATCTAGAAAGGAGCAATGGCGTTATTAGCTAACATCAATATAGTGCTTAAGATATGCCAGGCGCTGTTCTAAGTGATTTACCTAAACTGGTATAATCATCAACTAGTCTTCACAAGAAGTCCATGATATAAGGACTATGGTTATCCCTATTTTACAGATAAGAAAAGTGAAACAAGAGATTGACCAACTAGCCCATGATCACACAGCTACTGAGGGGCACAGCCTGAATTCAAACCCAGGCAGTCTTGCATCTCATCACACTGCTGTACATTTATGAGAACCTGCTGTGTGATAGCTGATTTATATATATTACTCAATCTTTATACACTCTATGAGAAGGTACAATTATTACCATTTTGGTAAGTTAGGTGATCAGGATTCAGAGAGGTTAAGTCACTTATCCAAAGTAATTTCTTTGTATTAAGAGTCAAAATTTGAATACAGATCCATCTGATTCCAAAATTCCTTCCACTATATATTACATCATTCTAAATAAATAGGGCCTGCAAGTGACTCTGAAGACATTTTTTGTCTCTAAACACATTCCTATTGCCCAGTTTGGTGAAGGTAGTTTACTCAGATGATCTGTACCACAAATCTGCAGCACTTTCTTTTGTGAAACTAGAACAATATCCAATCTACTGAAAATTAGTTATTGTCACACACGTCCGTGTGAAGAGACCAAAAAACAGGCTTTGTGTGAGCAACAAGGCTGTTTATTTCACCTGGGTGCAGGCAGGCGGAGTCAGAAAAGAGTCAGCAAAGGGAGATAGGGGTGGGGCCATTTTTTTTATAGGATTTGGGTGGGTAGTGGAAAATTACAGTCAAAGGGTGTTGTTCTCTTGCGGGCAGGGGCAGGGGTCACAAGGTGCTCAGTGGGGGAGCTTCTGAGCCAGGAGAAGGAATTTCACAAGGTTAATCACTCAGTTAAGGTGGGGCAGGAACAAATCACAATGGTAGAATGTCATCAGTTAAGGCAGGAACAGGCCATTTTCACTTCTTTTGTGATTCTTCAGTTACTTCAGGCCATCTGGGTGTATACGTGCAGGTCACAGGGGATATGATGGCTTAGCTTGGGCTCAGAGGCCTGACAGTTATTTTCTCTTACATTTTTTACTCTTGTGAAATTGCACGCCGATGTGTATTTACTATTTTCATTTTTCAAATCTTACAGTGTCTGCTGAAATAATCATAAAACAATGTATAGGAAGCTATGAACAGTGCTGGAATAGGGTGTCAGCACCCTTCAGAGAGTCACCAAGCTACTGTCTGCCTCCTCCACAAAGGATTGCTGGATTTTGCAGACCCCATCTGTAAGCTGCAGAAAGCTCTTCTCCCCAACAAAGGAAACATGCTATGTTCCTTGCAGCCTGACCCACAAATACCTAAGTCCCAACATCAGTGAACAGTTAAAATAGGGAGATGCATGGTCACCTCATTAGCACAAATAAAATTGCCAATAAACAGAAGAAATATTTAACAAAAAAAAGCAAATCCAAGAAGCATATTTTTGCTTCTGAAAAGAAGTCAATATGGCAATAAAATATAGAGAAGACTTCATTGTTGCTAATAAAACTAATATGTCCACAGAGTAATTATCTAATGATGATAAACATTTTCTTTTCTTTAAGAAATCAAAGGAGGAGAAAAGGAAGGAAATCTAGTGCTAACTGTGCTGAAGAATTAAAATGCAGGAAAGTTAGAAATGGAAAGTTATGCTTCCCCTAGTAACTATAACTTGGCATATTCTATACAAGGACATAAATATAACAGTAAATATAGGACATAAAATACTATCATGTGTGAAAGGAACAAATAATGATAGCTGGGAGGATCATAATTTTGACTTTCCTGATTTTTATGAGTTTAAATTCTCAGCCACAATGTCACATTATACATGCAAGTTTTTAAACCAATCTTGACTTAATTTTTGCCCCTCTATGCAATTGTCCAGGTTTTCTTGACACTTTATAGGTTAAAGCAGTAACCTTTGAACATCGACCTTCCAAATTTGATTCTGATTCAAATCTTGACCTTTAAAGTGAAAAAAAGAGAGAGGCATGAGTATTTTTCCCTGGACCTCATTAAACGTGGGAAAGACAGTAAAAGCAAAGTTTTCAGCTGTGCATGATTGTTAAACAGTTGGGGAATGCCAAATAAAACAAGTCACACGTTGGTCCAGAAAAAAAGCTAAAGCAATCATTTCAACCTGCACACTGCTGTTTTTTATTTAATGCTGAGGGGTGTTTACAATGCTGTGGTTGCCTGAGAAAGGTTAATCCAGAGGAGTAAAAGAATAGCAGCGTATGAGACTGTTTCACCCCAGCTATTTGCAGTGAATATTTTAGTAACCATCATGAATCCATGTCAGCAGTGCAACCATCAAATGAAACAGGAAAGAAAGCAAATATTACCCTAAAGAATGAATTTTGATTTTCAATAGAGGCAGAGGCATTTTCACTGCCCTCTGCTGTAGTGATGATGCGGTGGAAAACAGTTTTCATGAGTCAAGTGCTCTTTCTGAGCTCCTGTATTCTCAACTCACCATCCTATTTTTGAACTTGAGAGGCAGGGAGGAGTAAAAACTTCCACTGATTTTCCCTCCAGCTTTTATTTAGTTTTTCTTTTTTCCCCCATGAGCTTCAGACTATAGTAGCAATTCTCTCCTTGGAGAGTATTACCTTGCCTCTGCATCAAGCTATGTCAAAAACTATTCAGTATTCTAAGCAGTTCCACTAGGGCACATGTTCCTGTCTTATTTCCTTCCCTGGAAAGTATCCGTATTGATCTCTCTAAAACCTTGGGGCTAAATGAAAATAGCAGGAGAGGCATTCTGTTGGGGGAAAAAAAATGCAGATTTGTACCTTCCCCTCCATTTTTTCCTTGCTTTCCAGAATATCAGTGCAGACAGAGCAATATCGGAAACTCTGTTAGTTTCTTTCTTCCTTCTTCCCCAAGGCTATGTTAATAGCAACCTTTTGTGTTCCTGCATTTAGAAATTCAGGACCAAAGATCAATCAGAGTCACTGTTACAAATTTTCCTTGGAAAGAACCACTACCCAACCCATAAATAAAATGTGAATTTCTCCTAATGTTATTCAATGCACTAATTTCTGTGAATTACTTGCAATGCTAATTTATTTGAGTCCAGTTTTTTGTGCCTAGTTAACATTGTTCATGATTTTGAACTCACTCTTTAACTGCATATTTTTAGAAAAGATAAGGAAAATACCATCAGGAATGTTCAATATAACATATTATCCCTGATGGTAACATGCATTGCAAGCAAATGTATTTTTGGATCCTGTGATTTTTATATTAATGGGGTTTAGAAAACTACCCCACAACATGATCCATTGGCATTTGAGAAATATCAGAAGCAGGAAGCTCTCTCTAACCTTCTCTCATCCTTTTTCCCTGAAGCAGATCA
Source organism: Homo sapiens (assembly GCF_000001405.40). Lineage (NCBI taxonomy): Eukaryota > Metazoa > Chordata > Mammalia > Primates > Hominidae > Homo > Homo sapiens. The sequence goes on along the minus strand of NC_000004.12, from coordinate 159,592,643 downwards.
TAATACCTAGGAAGGATTTTACGACCTTTTCCTGAAGCCAGTCATGAGACCCTCATGTGGGAAGTGCCCACCCTATACACAGAGGAAAGGAACATCCTTCTCTCTGAAGATACAGAGACACAGAGAACAATCTGAACCTTGCTAAGTTTCCCCTGGTTTACTACTGTTAGATTATACCCCTTTCCAAACATTTTTCTCCTAAACTGTCTACTCTTCATCAAACCTAGCATAAAAATACATATAGTCAACTATTTCTTTGGGTCTTTGCTTCCCTGTGAAGGCTATTATGTTACATACAACATGTTAAATAAATCGGTATGGTTTCTCCTGTTAATCTGTCAGTTTTTCTTTCAAACCCAGCCAGGAACCCTAAGACAGTGAAGGAAAATCTCTTCCTCCCCTAGAGCTTCTGGTACCCAATGAAGGGCCACATCAGCTGGGGACACCTTGCTCAGTCCAGAAGCTGCTGTTCAAAGATCCTGGACTTCCCATCTGACAAAAGCCAGCAGAAGGTAAAAATTCTTACATCAGTGTTGAGTCTCTGCCTTCAGGGCCTGGTGGAGCAAAAGTGGTAAGAATCTTTTTCTTTCCAAATCCAGATTAGCAGTAAACAACACTTTTAAAAGTTAGTTCTTTTATATTGTGACTCTAGTTAAAAATTTGGTTAAGTTGGGTTACCCATTAGTTATTGATCCTTTCCCTCCCAAGGACAGCTATTGCTTTCCAGTTGTCTCATCTTGTGTCTCGATTGCTTGGCTTGACTTTCCACTTGTTGGGGCACGTAGGTTATGGGGTCTGCATATACAGGTGCCCAAATGAAAGGTTGTAGGGACCCAAATACATAGCAAGATAAAAATATGAGTTCACAATTCTAATATACCAACTGTTGCCAGCTCTCCAGGCGCAAGTTACCTGTATTTCTTTTGGCTCTTAGGAGTGGTTTTGGATCTTGAGAGGGCTGCATCTTTTTGCACCCTCTTTTGAGGACACCTTTCGCATCCATGGCTAAGTCATAAAAGGTTGATTCATTCTGGTGTTGAGTCACTTGATAGATACCTTTGGTCTAAGAGAGAGAAAGAGAGGAGTTCCATGCTGCCAGGAATGTTTATTATTTTTTTCTGGCTGATACCTGATAACATTAGTTTTAACTGTCAGAAGTTGGTCAAATTGAAGGCTGACATTAAGAGCCTGAGGACCATTTTTAAGGCCTTCTAAGCTAAGATAGAACTATATATTCAGAGAGGAAAAAAAGTCTGAAGATTTTGTGGAAGAATTTATTAAAACAAAGACACACCGCTCTAAATCTAGAACATAAGACTCTTTTGATTTCTTAGTTGGTAATCTGCTCCCTGATATAAAGGAAGAAATGGAAGATAATGCAGAGGATAAATGAGTCAGCCCCTTAATATCATTTAGGCTATGACCCAGTGCTTGGAGGAATTAAGTCACTATCCTGACCTAATAAATTGAGTCTTTACAAAAACAGAAATGGAACTGCAGAGGCAATTTAAAGTCCACCAATCCTCTTTAACAATACCCAAACCTCACCTATTTATCTCAAGATGCTTGCAGATATTGTAAAAGGTCAGATCATGGAAAATGGACCTGTCCTACACTTAAGAAAAAGAGGGAAATTTTTCTAAAGAGTAATTATACTAGAGCTCTGATTATCGGAAAATATGACCCAAAACTCCCTCTTGGAAAAAATTCTTACTCCATGCCTTTGAAATGTAAATAATCTTCCCCTGGACTTGAGGCTGGGGGAAAGGAGTTATTTGGAAGCAAATTGGGCAGATGAAAAATCTTAAAAGTCTTTTCTACAAATAGTAAAGTTTTAGTCATCTAGGCAGGTAACTTTAACTTGTTCCATCAACCAGAAACACAATTTGGATCTAGCTATTCTTTTATAAACGAGTGAGTTCTGTATTATTGTACCTGACACATGACTAAAACTTTAAAATGAAAGCTACATGGCTTGTTCTGCATTTTTCTGCATGATTATGTATGTCCCTATGTATGTATGTTAAATATATGGGATGTTTCTCTTCCTCTGGATGGTATTACCAAATTAATTTATAAAATTTCTTGAAGTTATATTCAGACTGGCTAAAAGATAAATGAGTCAAAAAAATTAAAACTGATTCTTTGGATTTCTATTTTTTTATAAAGGCTCTTGTGTCATATAAAACTTAATTTAAATCACTGGACATGGTGGCTTGCACCTGTATTCCTAACTACTCAGAAGGCTGAGGTGGGAGGATCACTTGAGCCCTGTAGTTCAGGGCTGCCCTGAGCCGCAATTGTGCCACTGCACTCCACACTCCAGCTTGAGCCACAGAGCATACTCTTCTGCTATTAATCTGTCTGTCAATTTTCTGTTCAGATCCAGCCAAGAACCCTAAAAGAGTTGAGGAAAATCTTTTCATCCCCTACAGTATTCATGACTATTTTCAGAACATTTTATCATTAAAAATTTTGCAAATATTTCCACATAAACCAATGCCAGGGAAAAAACAAAGCCCCTAAACAAATTGGATAATTGACGTATTATCTGAATTATAAATAAAATCTTACATTTATGAAATGTTTTATATTATTTTCACATAACACTACTAATAACGCATTTATTGGGTGTTGATATGCACAAAGCCCTCTACTAAACACTATATGTACTACTTCACTTAATTCTTAAAACAACCTTTCTAGATAGGCTCTATTATTAACCTGATTTTAAGCATGAGAAAACCAAGGCTAAGAGTATTACAAATATATTAGGTATTAGAGATACATTTCAAACTCACATGCATGCAGTGAGCCACTGTAGTATAACATATTCATTATTTAAGTTGACCATTCCTACATTCTTACAAAACAACTAGAAAAGCAATTCTTCCTTCTTCTTGACAGACGTCCAAACTATAGAAAGAGAAGAAATTACTTATAAAAGGTCATTAAGCTTGTATCATAACCTCTCCCTTAGCCACAGTTTCACTTTAAGTGGTTTCAGTTACCTATAGCCAACCTCTTTCCAAAACTATTAAATGGAAACTTCCAGAAATAAACAGTTCGTAAGTTTTAAACCATATGCTGTTTTTGTTTTTGTTTGGTTGGTTTTTTGTTTTTCATTTTTTTTAGACGGAGTCTCGCTCTGTCACCCAGGGTGTAGTGCAGTGGCGTGATCTTGGCTCACTGCAACCTCTGCCTCCTGAGATTAAGCAATTCTCCTACCTCAGTTTCCTGAGTAGCTGGGATTACAGGCATGCGCCACCACGCCTGGCTAATTTTGTATTTTTTAATAGAGATGGGGTTTCACCATGTTGGTCAGGCTGGTCTAGAACTCCTTGACCTCGTGATCTGCCTGCCTCGGCCTCCCAAAGTGCTGGAATTACAGGCATGAGCCACCAATGCCCGGCCCTGCCGTGTGCTGTTTTGAGTAGCATGATGAAATCTCACAACATCCACTCCAGCCTGCCTTTGCCCATCTTTGCTGTGCAAAGATTATTCCCTTTGTTTAGCATATCCATCTGTTATACATGACCTGCCTACTAATCAACAACATCCATCATCTACTCCTAATATCCAGCCATCAACATCATCATGGCTTGATGATCCAAGCATCACTCGAAGTAGATAATCCTCCTTCTGACATAGGAAGGTCAATAGTAGCTTTATGCTACATTGCAATGTCTGTATCATTCACCTCACTTCACCTCATAACACAGGCATTTTATCATCTCACATCATGACAAGAAGGGTATTTTCAGAGTGGGAAAATATCTCATAATTTTTATTACAGTATGTTGTTATAATTGTTCTATTTTATTATTATTGTTAATCTCTTACTGTGCATAATTTATAAATTAAGCTTTATCATAGGTATGTATGTATAGGAAAAAGCTTAGTGTACATAGGGTTTGCTACTATCTGCAGTTTCAGGCATCCACTGGGTGTCTTGGGACATACTCCCTGCAGATAAGGGAAAACTACATTATTGCTGACTTTTAACCATCCCATATATTTTATGCATAGTTTAAATGTCCTTGAATTATGACTATCAATTGATATATTGAGATACTCAACTTCATAGGTAACCAAAAAAGCCAAATTAAAATAGTTATCATTGCCTTTCAAATTAACAGTAATTTTTAAATAATAATATTCAATTGTTGAGGTAGTTTGGTGAAATTGGCAGACCCATATACTGCCAGCTGAAAGTAGAATGATACAAGCTTCCTTAGAAGGTTTTTGTAATATGCGATAAGAGCTTTATAATGTTAACTTTCTTAGACCAGTAAATCCATTTCTAGGAATCTCTCCTACTGAAATCATCTGAGATACAGACCAAGATTTATTGATAAAATTGTTCAAATCAACATGAGTTTGAAATAACAAAAGTCTGAAATATACTAAATACTCAACATCAGGAAAGTAGATACATTATAAAAGATACTAGGGAATATTATGCAGCCATTAAAAATAATATTTTTAAAGAAAGTTTAATCATATTTGTGATTCAAAACTGCATAAATAATTCCTGTAATACTTAAAATATGTTTATCTCTGTATATATATTATTGATATGGTTTGGATTTGTGTCCCCACTCAAATCTCATGTCAAATTGCAATCACCAGTGTTGGAGGAGGGGTGTGGTGGGAGGTAACTGGATCATGAGGACAGATTTCCCTCTTGCTCTTCTCACAATAGTGAGTTCTCATGAGATCTGGTTGTTTAAAAGTGTGTAACACCTCCCCCTTCACTCTCTTCCTCCTATTCTAGCCATGTAAGATGTGCCTGCTTCCCTTCCACTATGATTGAAAGTTCCCTGAGGCCTCCTCAGCCATGCTTCCTGATCAGCCTATGGAATCATGAGCCAATTAAACGTCTTTTCTTTATAAATTACCCAGCTTCAGGTATTTCTTTTTAGCAGTATGAGAGCAGACTAATACAAAAAATTGGTACCAGGAGTAGGGCATTGCTATAAAGATACCTGAAAATGTGGAAACAGCTTTGGAACTGGGTAATAGGCAAAGGTTGGAACAGTTTGGAGGGCTCAGAAGAAGAAAGGAAGATGAGGGAAAGTTTGGAACCTCCTAGGTACTTGTTAAATTGTTGTGACCAAATGCTGATATTGATACTGACAAAGTTCAGGCTGAGGAGGTTTCAGATGGAGATGAGGAACTTATTGGGAACTGGAACAAAGGTCACTTTTGTTATGAGTTCACAAAGAGGTTGGAGGCATTGTGCCCCTGCCCTAGGGATCTGTGGAACTTTGAACTTGGGAGTAATGATTTAGGGTATCTGGCAGAAGAAATTTCTAAGCAGCAAAGGATTCCAGACATAGCCTGGCTGCTTCTAGCAGCCTATTCTCATATTCGTGAATAAGAAATGATTGAAAACTGGAACTTATATTCAAAGGGGAAGCAGAGTGTAAAAGTTTGAAAAATTTGCATCCTGACCATGTGGTAGAAAAGGAAAAACCATTTTCAGGGGAGGAACTCAAGCTGGCTATAGACAATTGCATAAGTAAAGAGGAGACAAATATTAATAGCCAAGACAATGAGTAAAATGCCTCAAAGGCATTTCAGAGACCTCATGGCAGCCCCTCCCATCTCAGACCCAGAGGCCCAGGAGGAAAGAATGGTTTCATGGGCCAGGCCCAGGGCCTCATTTCCCTGCGCACCCTCAGGACACAGATCCTTGACTCCCAGCCACTCCAGCTCCAGCTGTGGCTGTAGCTAAAACGGCCCCAGATATATCTCAGGCAGTTGCTCTAGACAGTATAAGCCATAAGCCCTGGCAGCTTCCATTTGCTGTTAAGCCTGTGAGTATGCAGAGGGCAAGAGTTGAGGCTTGGGAGCCTCTGCCTAGATTTTAGAGGAGGTATGGTATGGAAATGTCTGGATGTCCAGACAGAAGTCTACTGAAGGAGTGGAGCCCTCATGGAGAACCTCTACTAGGGCAGTGCGGAGGGGAAATGCCTTGGGACCCCACCCCTTGTATCAGCGTGGCCTAGATGTGAGACATGAAGTCAAAGGAGATTATTTTGGAGCTTTAAGATGTAATGACTCTCCTGCTAGGATTCAGACTTGCACAGGGCCTGTAGTCCCTCTCTTTAGGATGATTTATCCCTTTTGGAATGGGTGTGTTTACCAAATGCCTGTACCGTCATTGTATCTTGGAAGTAACTAACTTGTTTTTTATTTTACTGGCTCACAGGGAGAACGGACTTGCCTTGTCTTAGATGAGACTTTGGAAAGTGGACTTCAGAGTTAATGCTGAAATGTGTCAAGACTTGGGCGACTGTTAAGGAGGGATGATTGTATTTTGCAATGTGAGAAGGACATGAGATTTGGGAGGTGCCAGAGGTGGAATGATATGGTTTAGATTTGTGTTCCCACCCAAATCTCATGTCAAATTGTAATCCTCAGTGTGGGAGGAGGAGCCTGGTAGGAGGTGATTGGATCATGAGATGCATTTCCCTCCTGCTGTTCCTGTGATAGTGAGTTCTCATGAGATTTGATTATTTAAGTGTGTAGCACCTCCCTCTGTGCTCCCTTCCTCCTGCTCTGGCTGGGCAAAATGTGCCTGCTTCCTTTCTACCATGATTGAAAGTTTCCTGAGGCCTCCTCAGCTATGCTTCATGTACGGCCTGTGGAACCATGAGCCAATTAAACATCTTTCTTTATAAATTACCCAGTTTCAAGCATTTACTTATAGCAGTGCAAGAATGGACTAATACAATAATAAATGTAAATATGCCCAGAAGAAAAATGAAAAGGTGTTAGCAATGTATCTCAATATGCTTACAGGCCAATATTTTTTTCATGTCTTAAAAAAGGTGAGTTTGTCCCTCCATACACAGGGTCTAACAATCTCCATCCTTTCGTCCTTCCTTTCTTCCAGGGGGAGGGAGGAGGAGTACACCTCTTTCATACAGCCTCAGCCCCTCTCCTTCTTGCCATCCTACAGGAGCTCACCCTTGGGGCTGGGACAGAATTTGGGAAGCAGTGGGAACTACCACCAGGGGCATCAGAGCATGGCCCCATGGCTGGCTGCCACAGTCTCTGTCAAGGACAAGAAAAAATTCACTATTTAAAATTAAAAAAAAAAAAAAGAAAAAACCTCTTCTTAATTCAAAAGGGGAGGAGGGTTATTCCACAATTACTGATAATTTGAATCTTTTTTTTTTTTTTAGTTTTTGTTTCTCAGGTTCAAAATTAGATTAATTGCATTCTCTCCTATGTCATATTATTGGTGAAAAATGATTTTAATCAGCTTCTCAAAGTGTAGGTTGCCCATGTTTAAATTCAAGTATGTTGTTTGTGTATCAGTATTTCTAAAATAGTCAAAAATACTTAATAATTTCCACCAAAAAGGTAAAGATTTTGTTGCATTTTGATTTACTGCATGCAGTTGCTTATTTTCTTCCTTCCTTTCTTCTTCTTTTTTTTTTTTTTTTTTGAGACAGAGTTTTCACTCTTGTTGCCCAGGCTGGAGTGCAATGGCACAATCTCAGCTCACTGCAAACTCTGCCTCCTAGTGCAAGCGATTCTCCTGTCTCAGCCTCCTGAGTAGCTGGGATTATAGGCATGTGCCACCACACCTGGCTAATTTTGTATTTTTAGTAGAGATGGGGTTTCTCCATGTTGGCCAGGCTGGTCTCAAACTCCTGACCTCAGGTGATCCACCTGCCTTAGCCTCCCAAAGCACTGGGATTACAGGCGTGAGCCACTGCACCCGGCCTATTTTCTTCCTTTCAACCATACCCCACTTCCTGCTTCCCTCATAATAGGATAATCTTCAGACCAAGTTATGTTCTTATAACAAATCTAAATTTTAAAAGTCTAAATACTGATTTTTAGAATATATTGATAATTACTCTCAAAAACTCTTCTTTAGAGAAGTAATACTGTTTTCCATCTATTCAAAATAAATTTTAGTTTAACTAATGTGTTTCAAAGATTCCTATTTAGAAGTATTTAATAATTGAGAAGTTTGCAGCCAAGAGATTCAAAAGTTAAAGTTTTCAATATTTCTAATTAGAATATCCCATGTGTGCCAGGCGCAGTGGCTCACACCTGTAATCCCAGCACTTTGGGAGGCCGAGGCAGGCAGATCACCTGAGGTAGAGAGTTCGAGACCAGCCTGACCACATGGAGAAACCCTATCTCTACTAAAACTACAAAATTAGCCGGGTGTGGTGGCGCATGCCTGTAATCCCAGCTATTCGGGAGGCTAAGGTAGAAGAATTGCTTGAATCCAGGAGGCGGAGGTTGCAGTGAGCCGAGATCGCACCACTGTACTCTAGCCTGGGCAACAAGAGCAAAACTCCACCTCAAAAAAAAAAAAAAAGAATATCCCATGTGTATTTTAAGGATCTACAATGTCATCGGAGGGTCAAGATTAACTTACATTTTTTGCAAAACAATGTTTACACTTTAGAAAGCCATGAGAAGTTTCAAATATTAGTAACATATATTATAGCTTCTTTTTCACGTAGCAAACTGGAAAATTAGCAATCCATGTATGAATCCCCAACACCAAGCCATCAACTTTACATATCCATACAGTGAAGGCAGATATATTATTATAATTCATGGCCATGTAGTTTCAAAAACTCAATTCTTTTTTTATATTAAATCATGTAAGCAAATGTATCCAAAATATGTGTGTGAGAGGCAGAAAATAATGTCAAATAATTCTGAATGACTATGAAAACTCTGGATGTTGTCTTCAAATACATTTCAATCTCAGAATATTTTATAGGGGCAAGTCTGAGATAAGATGCCATAGCCTTCTTTTATATATAAATAATAGTTGTTTAGTGAAGTTTTTATACTAGCACTTTAGATAGAAGAGAGGAAGAGAGGCTTTGAACAAGGTTACATATTTAATTTATGTCCCTCATGAATTCTCAGCTACCCTCTGGGCCTTAAATGTAGAAGTTGGACATTGACAGTAATTATTTTGGATTGCACTGCATGAAGGCAGCTGAGTGTAATACTGTACTTCAAAGAAGTGCAGCCTTGTGTCACTTTGAACAACCATCATGAATATAACTTGAAGTGTTCAGGGATGTCTTTACAGAAGTGATCTTTGTAGATAAGTGATTTTCTTTAGATGGTAATATAACCACATGCATGTACACATAGAGATTTTTTTAAAAGAAGAGGTAGAAAACTTGTAACTATGAACCAAACTGTCTTTTGAAAACGTTGAATTAAAATGAAATTTTAAGTGCACTATTAATAGAAGTTTTTAAAACAGCGTAAGAAGTATGAAAATAGATGTTAAACTATTTAAAGCCAATATATGTTGGTAAGATGGCTTTCTTTCTGACTCCTTACAAAGGCAAACCTGCTGAAACTCAACTCTGTATAATTGGGTGGAAAAAATCTCTTTATCTCCAAGAGCTCATAAATTCTACTTTTGTCTTCAGACTACAACAAGATTTGAGTGGAAAGCTAAGGTCTTTCTGGTTAGAACTGTCAACCTGAAAGAGGCAGACTCTAATTCTTTTACATACACATGTGTATGTCTCATACACACAAACACACACACTCCTACATCATTCTATAAGACCAAACCATTTAAAGGCTTAGTATTCACTCATAAAACATTTGTATTCAATTTTTACAGCAGGCACTGAGCTACAGACTGGATTTGGGGATGAACAGGATGCAAAAGGATTCTGCCCCAGAGAAACATAATCTACTGATTGAGACAGACCTGTAATCAAACACTTTAATCCCTAGCCCAATTCCAAGGTCATGCTACTGAAAAGCCCAGGTATTAACAATACTCTTGGAAAAATCAATATTTCATGAAAAAAAAGGAAAAAAACAAATTATATTACAGCTATTTTAAACCCAACAAAAATACAAGTTAGAAAAGCCATCTTCTTCCAAACTAAACAGAAGAATATTTGTTAAAAACCTGCTTGGGTTAGTAACATTCTCCTGGATCACCCTCCTCTATTATTCAGCAAATAACAGTATGTCTTCATGATCAGCTAAAACAAATTCTTCCATAACTTTTTTAGGGCTTTTTTTGGTTGTTGTTGTTTTTTAGCCTTGAAACCAGATTTTACCTTATATCTTGTATTTCTTTCCATGTAACTAGATAATGTTTAAAATACTAACTGAGACTGCTTTTCTTTAGGCTTTCTTATCTTTTTGTTCTTTTTCTCAGAAGACAGCTAGCTTAGCCAGTAAGAATTGAATTTTTAGTTTTAAATCCCAAAATACACTCTTTAATTTCATAGAATAAAATAGGAGAGACAGTAGTCTTGAAGGTCAAGACTTTCACCATCAGAAGCAAAGTTTCTGGAAAAAGAAACTATCCCTCGGTGGGAGGAGTAGCAAGAAAAAAAAAAAAAACCATTTTTAATCTACCAAATGTGGGAAATTTACTTTTGGCAACTAGCAAACTTTTCTTACTGAGCATGTGTGTCATATGATAGAAAGAGAAGTAAACTGAAAGCCAAAATAGTTACATTCTAATATCAAATCTGTCATGATCAAACAGTCTTAGTCAAGCCATTTAATTGTTCTGGCCCTTACTTTTCTCATGCGTAAGATGTAACAGTGGGCAAGGAATATCTAAGGCCACTTTCCATTCTAAAATCCTAATATGTGAAAGACAGTTGCTATACTAAATCCTGTGGAATATATATAATCAGACATTGGGCAAAATCCATCAGAAAGCTTAAAATACAATTGTAAAATCAGGACAAATACATATATGTGTGTGTGTGTGTGTGTGTGTATATATATATATATGTTCATACATATGAACATAACTAAAAATACAAAGCATGTCCTGATCTTACTTTCTAAGCATTTTTCCACACTAAAAGGAACAAGAGCTTCTTGGGAAAATGGCTGATTCCAAGGCTACGGTAAGAAAGCTTGAGACAAGCCTGGGTCATTTTGGTGAATCAGAAAGAAACTACTCAAAAAAATATTAAGACATATCAAAAGGGTAAAAAAGCCAGTTTGAAGTAGTTCCCACTTACTAAGCATGGAAAAATTGTAATATCAAAATAAACATTAACGGTAATAGCAATAATAGATTTTAAGAAACTTTGATTTCATACTAATAAATAAATACATAAACAAAGATAGCAGGAAAGCTCTTCCTTACTGTAGAATATCAACCAATAAGTGTAAAATGAATAATAGACATAAAAATACACCATTTTCAATCACCACAGGGAAGAATCATAAATGGATGCTAAAAAGCTATTAAGTCAATGTTTAATGAGGAAAAAGGATATTTACATAAGCACAAAGTTTTTCCACACAGAAAAATAAGCAGCATTATATTGAGAAATCTGGTGGGCATCACCTTACTAATTAATCAAAGTTATTATCACCAATTGCGAGATAGATTGGTATCATGTACCTCCTGTTATGATAGACAGAGAAGGATGCAAAATCACTTAAGTAATATTTCTGCCAGAAAATACTCTGAATTTTATCATTAAGAAATGACAAACTCGGCCGGGCGTGGTGGCTCATGCCTGTAATCCCAGCACTTTGGGAGGCTGAGGTGGGCAGATCGCCTAAGGTCAGGAGTTTGAGACCAGCCTGGCCAACATGGTGAAACCCCATCTCTACTACAAATACAAAAAAATTAGCCAGATGGGCTGGTGGGAACCTGTAATCCTAGCTACTCAGGAGGCTGAGACAGGCAAATATCTTGAACCCAGGAGGCAGAGGTTTCAGTGAACCGAGATTTAGCCATTGCACTCCAGCCTGGGTGACAGAGCAAAACTCCATCTCACAAAAAAAAAAAAAAAAAAGACAAACTCAAGCATTCTACAAAACAAAAATTATTTGCAAAAATCAGTGTAATTAAAGACAAAAACAAAACAAAGCAAACAGCAGCAATAAATGCTGATAAACTATTCCAGATTAAAGGAAACTAAAGAAACATAAAAACCAAAAATGCAAAGCATGATATTCTATTAAATCCTGTGTCCAGAAAAAAAATGTTATAAAGAACATAATTGGGGCCATATATGAGAACTCACAACTAATATCATACTGACCAGGGAAAAATTGAAAGCCTTTCTTCTAAGATCTGGAACAAGACAAGGTTGTCTGCTTTCACCAATTCTATTCAATATAGTACTGGAAATTTTATCTAAAGCAATTAGACAAGAGAAGGAAATAAAAATTAAACAAATTGGAAAGGAAAATTTCAGAAAGTCCTTTTTTGGAGATAATGTGATTCTATATTTTTAAAAAACCTAAAGACTACACCAAAAAACTGTTAGGACTGATAAATGAATTTGATAAAGTTGCAAAATACAACATCAGCAGACAGAATTTAGTAGTATTTCTCTATGACAACAGCAATCAATCTGAAAAAGTAATCTAGAAAGCAATGCCATTTACAATTGCTAAAAAATAAATAATTAGGAATAAATTTAAACAAAGAAGTGAAAAAACTTCATTGAAAACTACAAAACATTAATACAAGAAATTGAAGAAGACACAAAATAATTGAAAGATATTCCATATTTGTGAATTGGAATAATAATATTGTTAAAATCTGCATTCTACCCAAAGTGATCTAGAGATTCAATGCAATCCCTATCAAAATACCAATAACATTCTTCACAGAAATAGAAAAAAATTCCTCAAATTCATATGGAACCACAAAAGACCCCTAATAGCAAAAGCAATCCTTACAAAGCTAGAGATATCACACTATCTAACTTCAAAATATACTAGAAAGCTATAGGAAACAAAACGGCATGGTACTGGCTTAAAAACAGATACACAGACCAATGGAACAGAATAGAAAATCCAAAAGTAAATCCACAAATTGAAAGCCAACTCACTTTCAACAATGGCACCAAAAATATATAATACATTGGAGAAAGGATACCTCTTCAATAAATGGTGCTGGAAAAATTGCATATCCATATGCAGAAGAATAAAACTAGATTCCTATCTCTCTCATACAAAAATCAAATCAAAATAGATTAAAGACTTAAATGTAAGACATGCAATTATAAAACTACTAGAATAAAACATTGGAGAAATACTTCAGGATATTGACCTGGGCAAAGATTTTTTTTTTTTTTTAGTAAAACCTCAAAAGCACAGACAACAAAAGCAAAAATAGAAAAATGGAATTACATCAAACTAAAATGCTTCTGCACAGCAACATTAACAGACTGAAGAGACAACCCACAGAATGGGAGAAAATATTTGCAAACTATTCATCTGAGAAGGGATTAATTACTAGACTGTATAAGAAACTCACACAACTCAATAGCAAGAAACAATTCAATGAAAAAATAAGCAGGCCAGGTATAGTGGTTCCTGCCTGTAATCCCAGCACTTTGGGAGGCCAAAGCAGACAGATCACTGGAGGTCAGGAGTTCAAGACCAGCATGGGTAACTTAGCAAGACCCTGCCTCCACACACACACACACACACACACACACACACATATAAAAATTAATTGCTGGGAATGGTGGCACATACCTATAGCCCTAAGTACTCAGGAGGCTGAGGCAGGAGGATTGTTTGAGCCTGGGAGTTTTAGGCTGCAGTGAGCAATGATCACACCATGCACTCCAGTCTAAGTGACAGAGTGAGACACTGTCCCTAAAAAAAGGAAGGGGCAAAAGATCTGAAGAGGCCAGGCAAGGTGGCTCATGCCTGTAATCCTAGCACTTTGGGAGGCTGAGATGGGCAGATCACTTGAGCTGAGGAGTTCAAGACCAGCCTGGCTAACATGGTGAAACCCCATCTCTACTCAAAATACAAAAATTAGCCAGGTGTGTCAGTGCAAGCCTGTAATACCAGCTACTCAAGAGGCTGAGGTGGGAGAATCACTTGAACCCAGGAGGCAGAGGTTTCAGGGAACCGAGAGAGTACCATCGTGCCATGGCATTGCAGCCTGGGTGACAGAGTGAGACACTGTCTCAAAAAAAAAAAATCTGAAGAGATATTTCTCAAAAGAAGATATATAAATGGCCAACAGGTATATGAAAAATGCTGAATGTCACTAATCAGGGAAATAAAATCAAAACCACAGTGAGATATCATCTCATCCCCATTAAAATGACTATTATCAATAAGACAGAAAATAAGGATGACAAGAAAGGGGAACACTCATACACTGTTGCTGGAAATGTAAATTATCATAGCAACTATGAAAAATAGTATGGAGTTTTCTCAAAAACAAAAAAATATAACTAATATAAGATCCAACAATCTCACTGCTAGATTATAGATCCAAAAGAATGGAAATCAGTATATTGAAGAAATATCTGTACTCCCATGTATATCTCAGCACTATTCACAATAGCCAAGATACAAAATCAACCTAAGTGACAATCAACAGATGAATAAAGAAAATGTGATATATATATATGGATATATATGATGGAATATTATTCAGCTATAAAAAGAATAAAATCCTGCCATTAGTAGCAACATAGACAGGACTGGAGGGCATTATGTTAAGTGAAATAAGTCATGCCAAAAAAAAAGATAAATATCACATGTTCTTACCCATATGCGGTAGCTTAGAAATAAAAATAAATTTTAAAATAATGATCTAATGGAGATAGTGAGTGGAATTGTATTTACCAGAGCCTGGAAAGGGTAAGAAAAAAAAGAGATGAAAAGAGGTTGGTCAATGGGTATAAAAATACACTTAGGTAGAAGAAATAAGTTCCAATTTTCAATAGCACAATAAGGTGATCATTACACATTGTATGCATGTATCAAAATACCGTATGTACCCCCATAAATATGTACAACTGTTATGTATCAATAAAACAAATCAAAAAAGAACATCATTGAGACAGCTGATAAAATTTCGATATGTATTAGATAGGAGTTTGGGTCTGACATGTAAAGAGCCTGGATATCATTACTCCCATCCTCACAACAAGAAAAAAGCTGAAAAAATAAAAAATTTACAACTCTTCTTAGACCCATCAAAGAATTAAGGCCTTAGGGCAAGCCATCATACTGAAAATTGAGACAGATGAATACACAATATCACAGCTTGTGTTCCATCACCTCCCCAGTGGCCCTGACCTTGTTAGTAAGTCCTCTTATTTCTCCAAACCTCCTGCCTTGGTTGAGGTTTAGGCTTTCATCGGGTGTTCTTTGTTGCCAACTGTCAACAAAGGAATTTTTTCCTTTTCAGTGAGTACTCATGGGGACTTCTAAGGGTATAGGTGCCAAGTCACTCCTTTCTGGAAACCCTGCTGCTTTTATGTACAAAAGTTACAGTCTTTCTCAATGGAACAACATCACTAAAAGTGATTTGAAACCACAATGGCCAACCTGAGGATCATTTGATTTGCCAAAACTTGTTTTCCTCTGTGGACAATTATAACGGCTAGAAGAAAAGATTAAATAGCCTGTCAGGGCGCAGTTGCTCACACCTGTAATCCCAGCACTTTGGGAGACTGAGGCAGCAGATCACACTCCAGGTCAGGAGTGTGAGACCAGCCTGGCCAACATGGTGAAACCCTGTCTCTATTAAAAATACAAAAATTAGCTGAGCATGGTCATGCACTTTTAATCCCAGCTACTCGGGAGACTGAGGGATGAGAATCGCTTGAATGCACGAGGCGGAAGTTGCAGTGAGCTAAGATCGCACCACTGCACTCCAGCCTGGGCAACAGAGCGAGACTCTATCTCAAAAAAAAAAAAAAAAAAGAAAAGACTAAATAGCCTGAGTGGGAAGTCTGCTCGTATCTTGAGGCATTCAAGAGACTCCAGAAATCAAACCTAATATCCCTAAGAGATAATAATGACAAATAAGCTCAAAGACTTTCTAAATTACAAAAGAACTCAGAAACTTCTAAAGGTAAGTCAAAAAACAAGTGTACCTCTATCTCTTTGACCTTGTCCTGTGTTGCTTTCCCCTTCTAGCTGTACCCCTTCCCAACCCACTGCTGTCCTATGCACCCTCTTGCTTACTGCCTGTCTACCCTTCCCTAACTGAACTTCCCTTTTTTGATGAACCCTGTGGTGGTTAATATTGAGTGTCAACTTGATTGGATTGAAAGATGCATAGTACTGTTCCCGCATGTGTCTGAGAGGGTATTGCCAACAGAGATTAACATTTGAGTCAGTGGACTGGGAAAGGCAGACCCACCCTTAATCTGGGTGGGCACAATCGAATCAGCTGCCAGAATAAAAAGCAGGCAGAAAAATGTGAAAAGACTAGACTGGCTTAGCCTCCCTGCCTATATCTTTCTCCCATGCTGGATGCTTCCTGCCCTCAAACATCAGACTTCAAGTTCTTCAGCTTTGGGACTCGGACTGGCTTTCTTGCTCCTCAGCTTTCAGACAGCGTATTGTGGGACTTTGTGATCATGTGAGTTACTACTCCGTAATAAATTCCCCTTTATATATACATCTATCCTATTAGTTCTGTCTCTCTAGAGAATCTTGACTAATACAAACCCCTTGTTGAATCTCCTCCTGTCACCCAAGCCTCTTTTAAAGTTGAATCAAATGAAGGAGGCTCTGGAAATTCTGTTGCTTATTATACTCCCTGAACTCAGGGTGATGACCAAAGATTTCCCTGATCCCTTAGTTGAGCCTGTCAGATTTTCCAAAGAATTTGACCTCCTTACTAAGCCTACCAACCAGGTTACTCTGATCTTTATGTATGAATTGATCCACATGTTAGTAGGTGAAAGCCATGCTCAAACATGGTTAAGTAAAGTACACTGGCACCATGCTTTAGATCACCTAAATAAAAGAAAACCTGGAGATTTCCCAAATACTCAAAAACTAGCCAATGGATTATATACTTAGATTTCTGAAGTATTTCCAAAAACTATAGACTGGGAAAAGATTCAACAGTGTACTCAAGAACCTGAGTAACGAATCTATAAATACTGTGACAGATTAGACACAGTCTATTTATAATATCCAGGTTTAGATAAAGTTTACTATCAAACTTCCTCTCTGTTTGATTCTACTTTTGTTAATGGGTTAGAGGAAGAACTTAGCACCCTAATGAAACATAAGCAATTAAATTGGGCCACTGCAGAAACCCCCAACCTACTTAATTTGGCTGAACAAGTTTCCAAAATCAAAAAGAAATCAGCTAAACAAAAAGCTGCTAGAGTCATAGATTTTCAGATTCAAACTGCAAAAGTTATGAACTACCAAATGCAGCAACTAGAATTAAACAAATCCCAAAAAACACCATAAAGCCCTTGTCATTATTACAAGGAAGCAGGTCTTTGGAAAAACGAATGCCACAGACTACAAAGACTTAAAATGAAATCATAGAAAAGCATGATATTTTGGATGAAACCTGAGAAAGAACCTTTTTCTTTCTCTTCTAAGACAAAATGCTAGGTATTCTCTGAGGAACAAAGGGAAATTGCCCTTTTCTTTTAGTCTACACTTTAGGTGAAATTAGAATAATCACTTAAAATGGAGCAACTAGAACCTCATTGACATGGGGGTCACATTTTCAGTAATAAACCCAACCACACTTCCTGTTTCCCTTCCTCAGGGTAACAACAAATATACAAATGGTTGGGGGGTTCAGATAAACCAATGGCAGTTTACCAGTCTCTCCCTACAGACTTTTAACTTGCAAAACTCTAGGACTCTCATCAATTTCTGTTAGTCCTTATTGGCTGAGATTTTCTGAAAGCACACAAAACTTACATTTCTTTCTCTCAAAAAAAAAAGGAAATACAATTAACATAGAAAAAAACTACTGAAGAGGGAACCCTCAAAGAACCCACAGAATTCTCAGTACCTATATTTTCAGTTCTTTAAAACAAGGAGAAAATACTTCCCAATGAAATATTTCAAGACCTACTAATCTCTATCCCTAAACACTTATGGTTTAAATATGCCACTGACATTAGCCATACTCATTAAGCACCACCAATTAAAATACAAATAATGAAACAAAAATACTTTCAAATATTAAACAATACCCTTTATGCCAGGAAGCTATTCAGGAAATCAAATCAATTATGCAGGATTACTTCAAACAGGGGATAATCATTCCACGTACTAACCCATTTAATACCCCGATCCTAGTGTTATAAAACTCTAATAACTGGGGAGCGACATTTGCCCAAGACTAAAGAGCCATCGTGGCATTGTTATACCCCATCATCATGTTGTACCAAACCCACATACATTAGCCAAATCACTAGATAGGTTTTCACTGTGATTGACATCTGCAGTGTTTTCTTTAGCATTCTAGTTGATCCGGATAGCCAATCTTTTTGCTTTCATGTGAGATGGACAATACACCTTTACAGTAATGTTCCAGTGGTATACTGAAAGATTTAGGTACTTCTCCCAAGTCTTCAAAGCAAACTTAGCAAACTTGGAATTTCCTTTGCATTCTGTTCTCACCTAGTGTGTGGATAACTTATTACTTTGCACCTCTATCCTAAAGGCTCCATAGAGGACAGCCTTTACCTACTAAAGAAATTAGCCACCAAAAGCCATAAAGTTTCAGAAGGGAAGCTATAACTCTCTTCCACACATGTAAAATATTTAGGATGTCTAATTTCAAGACAGGATTTTTTGCTTGATTCCCCAAAGAATAAAAACAATCTTGGATTTTCTTGGCCCCACCAAAAAAGAAAGACAACTCTGTGGGATCCTGGGATTAGTAGGATACTACAGACAATGGATTCCAAGTCTCTCTGCCATGGCTCAGGCTCTGTATTCTTTTTTAAAGTCTGACCCATCCCAAACCTCTACAATGGCTAGAGGATGCCATCTCCTCTTTTGATAACAATAAAGAGAGTCTTCGTTAGCCCCCTATATTAAGACATCCTAATTATAACCTTCTCTTTTCCCTTTTTGTTCGTGAACAAAATGGAAATGCCTTAGAAGTTCTTAGACAAAAGCATGGTGACTATCAGAGACCCCTCAGATATTACAGCCAACAGTTAGACCCTGTGTCTAAATAACTCCCACCCTGTATGCAGGCCATCACATCCACTGCAAATTTATTAAAGGCAATTAGGAGTTAATTATGGGCTCTCCATTAATGGTTTATGTCCCTCACTCTATCGAGGCCTTACTGATCTCTCATCATGGCCACCATCTCTCTTCGAGCAGACCCACTTCTTATGAGAACCTATTATTATCAACCTCTAATGTAACTATTGCTCCCTGCAACTCTTTAAGTCGTGCCAACTCTTATCCACTTTCTTCTAGCAAGACACCACATGATTTTATAACTCTAACTGAAACCTTACTAACCCCCGGGCACGACCTACAGGAAACCCCCATTCCAAGTGCTAAGCTAGTCTGATTTACTGATGAATCTTACCTTTGAAATAATTCAGGGAAACATCAAGATTTCTATACTGTTGTCTCACTGTCTGAAATCATTGAAAGTGGTCCCTCACCCAAGGCCATTTCTGCCCAATAGGCAGAACTTTTTGCTGTCTGCTAACATGTATGCTAGCAATTAATAACATTGCAAATATCTCTACCGATAGCCACTATGCTTTGGGGGCAGCATATGATTTTCATATGCTCTGGAAGCGGGTTTTCTAACCTTATTGACCAAAATTAAAAGCAACAGTGATTGTAATCCAGAATTACTCCAAGCTATCCAAAAATTTGTCTTTAGCAATAATTAAAATCCCAGGAAACTCAAAAACTGATAGTAAAGAAGATAAAGGAAATTACACGCCTGACACAACTGGAAAAGCCACAGCTTCCAAGAACCAACTGCCCATAGCTCAATATCCCCTTAAAACCTCTAATGGCCAGTTTGATACAATCGAAAACTTTATCCCCCATACATAACAGATAGCCCTTTGAATTGAAAAAACAAATGGAAAACTTGAGGTTGTTTTTATGATTCTAAAACTAGCCTGTGATATGGGCCTAAAAAGAGACCTGTCTTAACAGATGACCTCCAAGATCAAATTTTATATTAAATTAATTCATCATATAAACCATTGGGGAAAATGAAAAAATGACTCTATGGGGAATAATATCATAGGAATCCTTCCACAAAAGTCACTTCTCAAATGTATCACATATATCAAGTCTGTCCCAAATACAACCCGTGAAAACCTATTCATAGTTCTATAAGACATTTTCCTTTGCCTTCAGTATCTTTTGAGATATGGCAGATGGACTTTATCCAGATACCAACATTCTAAGGATATAAATGTGTCTTGGTTATGATTTTTATGTTTGCCCACTGGGTTGAAGCAACAGCCTCAGCAGTAAGTAAAATCCTATTAGAAAAAATAATCTCCACACGGGGAATACCCTTGGAACTGCACAGTGACCAAGGCACTCATTTTTACCAGGCAGATTATACAATCAATATGTAAGCTTTGACCTATTCTACAACATTTCCTACTACTACTGTGTCTACTACTCACAGTTCCCTGGGTTAGTGGAACATACTAATGGAACAATTAAGATCCAATGGCAAAATGAATTTAATATCTCAATCAACCCTGGCCAAAAGCTCTGCCCTTAGTGCTGCTTAATCTTAGATCTACCCCTGTCGAAAACATAGCTTATTTCCACTTAAGATAATTACTGAAAGACCCATGGACTTAGACAAAATACTTTATGAATCAAAGCTAATCAAAGGTGACACACTGACCTATTGTAAGGAATGGATCCAGGTATTAACAACAAAAAAAAAGGTAGAGTAATCTTTCTGCAGTACACTTCCAGGAAATAAAGGTCAACATCAATGCAATCTACAACCTGGAGATTTTGGATATTGAAAATGACATATCATCCAGGAGAACTTCCCCAGTCTATCAAGACAGGCCAACATTCATATTCAAGAAATGTAGAGAACCCCAGTAAAATATTCCACTAGAAGATCAGCCCCAAGACACATAATCATCAGATTCTCCAAGGTCAAAATGAAAGAAAAAATGTTAAGAGCAGCTAGAGAGAAAGGCAAGGTCACCTAAAAAGGGAAGCCCATCAGGCTAACAGTGGATCTCTCAGTGGAAACTCTACAAGTCAGAAGAGAGTGGTGGCCAATATGCAACATTCTTAAAGAAAAGAATTTCCAACCCAAAATTTCATATCCAGCCAAACTAAGCTTCAAAAGCAAAGGAGAAATAAGATCCTTTTCAAACAAGCAAATGCCAAGGGAATTCATCAACACCAGGCCTGCCTTGCAAGAGCTGCTGAAGGAAACACTAAAAACCATTACCAGCCACTACAAAAACACACTGAAGTACACAGACCACTGACACTATGAAGCAACCACATATACCTGTCTGCAAAATAACCAGCTAGCATCACCATTACAGAATCAAATTTAAACATAACAATACTAACTTTAATTGTAAATGGGCTAAATTCCCCAATTAACAGACACAGAAAGGCAAGCTGGATAAAGAGCCAAGACCCATAGATAGACTGTCATCAAGAGACCCATTTCACATGCAAAGACACAAATAGGCTCAAAATAAAGGAAAAGTTTATCAAGCAAATGGAAAATGGGAAAAAAAATGGGTGGCAATCCTAGTTTCTGATAAAACAGACTTTAAACCAACAAAGATCAAAAAAGACAAAGAAGCACATCACATAATAGTAACAGGTTCAATTCAACAAGCAAAGCTAACTATACTAAACATATATGCACACAATACAGTAGCACCCAGATTCAGAAATCAAGTTCTTGGAGATCTACAAAGAGACTTAGACTCCCACACAATAATAGTTGGAGACTTTAACACCCCACTGACAATACTAGACAGATCATTGATTAAAAAAAAAAATCAAAGATATTCAAGACCTGAATTTGGCTCTGGATCAAGTGGATCTGATAGATATCTACAGAACTCTTCACCCCAAAACAACATAAAATACATTATTCTCAGTGCCACATGGCACTTACTCTAAAATTGATCACACTATCAGAAGTAAAATACTCCTCAGCAAATACAAAACACCTGAAATAACAGCCTCTCAGATCACAATCTGATCACACAATCAAATTAGAACTCAAGATTAAGAAACTCACTCAAAACCACACAACTACATGGAAATTGAACAACTTGCTCCTGAATGGTTTTTGGATAAATAATTAAACTAAGGCAGAAATTAAGAAGTTCTTTGAAACTTATTAAAACAAAGATACAATGTACCAGAATCTCTGGGATGCAGCCAAAGCAGTGTTAAGAGGGAAATTTATAGCACTAAATGTCCACATCAAAAAGCTAGAAAGATCTCAAGTTAGCAACATAACATCACAACTACAGGAACTAGAGAACCAAGAACAAACAAACCCCAAAGCTAGTAGAAGACAAGAAATAACCAAGTTCAAAGTTGAACTGGAGATAGAGACACAAAAAGCCTTTTCGAAAATCAATGAATCCAGGAGCTTTTTTTGAAAACACTAATAAAAGAGATAGACCACTAGCTAGACTAATAAAGAAAAGATAGAAGAAGCGAATAGAGACAATCAGAAATGATAAGGGGGGATATCGCCACTGACCCCACAAAAATACAAACAACCATCACAGAATAGCATAAACACCTCTATGCACATAAACTAGAAAATCTAGAAGAAATTGATGAATCCCTGGACACATACACCCTCCCAAGACTGAACAGGAAGAAACTGAATCCCCAAATAGACCAACAAAATCTCTGAAATTGGGGCAGTAATAAATAGCCTACCAACCAAAAAAAGCCCAGGACCAAATGGATTCACAGTTAAATTCTACCAAGGTACAAAGAAGAGCTGGTACCATTTCTATTGAAAATATTTGAAAAACTTGAAAAGTAGGGTCTCCTCCCTAACTCATTCTATGAGGCCAGCATCATCTTGATATCAAAGCCTGGCAGAGTATACAACAGAAAAAAAAAAAAAAAACTTCAGGCCAATATCCCTGATGAACATTAATGTAAAAATCAATAAAATACTGGCAAACTGAATCCAGCAGCACGTCAAAAAGCTTGTCCACCACAATCAAACTAACTTCATCCATGGGATGCAAGGTTGGTTCAACATATGCAAATTAATAAATGCAATTCATTACATAAGCAGAACTAAAGACAAAAACCACATGATTATCTCAATAGATGCAGAAAAGGCCTTCGATAAAATTCAACATCCCTTCATCTTAAAAACTCTCAATAAACTAGGTATTGAAGGAACATACTTCAAAATAATAAGAGCCATATATGAAAAACCCACAGCTGATATCATACTGAATGGAAAATAGCTGGAAGCATTCCCCTTGAAAACTAGCACAAGACAAGGATGCCCTCTCTCACCACTCCAGGTCAACATAGTATTGGAAGTTCTGGCCAGGGCAATCAGGCAAGAGAAAGAAATAAATAGTGTCCAAATAGGAAGAGAGAACATCAAATTATCTTTGTTCACAGACGACATGAACCTAAGTCTTGAATCTCATCATCTTAGCCCAAAAACTTCTTAAGCTGATAAACAACTTCCGCAAAGTCTCAGGATACAAAATCAATGTGCAAAAATCACTAGCATTCCTATATATCAACAACAGGCAAGCCAAGAGCCAAATCATGCATGAACTCCCATTCGCAATTGCTACAAAAAGAAAAAAATACCTAGGAGTAACAGCTAACAAGGGAAGAAAAGGACCTCTTCATGAAGAACTACAAACCACTGCTCAAAGAAATCAGAGAGGACACAAACAAATGGAAAAACATTTCATGCTCATTGATAGGAAGAATCAATATCATGAAAATGGCCATACTGCTCAAAGTAATTTATAGATTCAGTGCTATTCCCACTAAACTACCTCTGGCATTCTTCACAGAATTACACAAAACTATTTTAAAATTCATATGGAACCAAGAAAGAGCCTGAATAGCCAAGACAGTCCTAAGCAAAAAGAACAAAGCTGGAGGCACTGTGCTATCTGACTTCAAACTATACTACAATGCTACAGTAACCAACACAGCATGGTACTGGTACAAGAACAGACATACAGATCAATGGAACAGAATAGAGAATTCAGAAATAAGACTGCACACCTACAACAATCTGATCTTCAACAAACCTGACAAAAACAAGCAATGGAGAAAGGATTCCCTATTCAATAAATGGTGCTGGGAGAACTAGCTAGCCATATGCAGAAAATTGAAACTGAACATCTTCCTTAAACCATACACACAAATTAACTCAAGAAGAACTAAAGACTGAAATGTAAAACCCAAAACTATAAAAACCCTTGAAGAAAATCTAAGCAATACCATTCAGGACATAGGCATGGGCAAATATTTCATGACGAAAACACCAAAAGCAATTGCAACAAAAGCAAAAATTGATAAATGGGATCTAATTAAACTAAAGAGCTACTGCACAGCAAAAGAAACTGTTATCAGAGTGAACACGCAACCTACAGAATGGGAGAAAATTTTTACAATCTATCCACCTGACAAAGGTCTAACATCCTGAGTCTACAAGAAACTTAAACAAATTTACAGGAAAAGAAAACTAACAACCCCATTAAAAAGTGGGCAAAGGACATGAACAGACACTTCTCAAAAAAAAAGACATTCTTGTGGCCAAAAAACATATGAAGAAAAGCTCAACATCACTCATCACTAGAGAAAGGCAAATCAAAACCACAATGAGACGCCATCTCAGGCCACTCAGGATGGCTGTTATTAAAAAGTCAAAAAACAACAGATGCTGGCAAAGTTGCAGAGAAAAAGTAACACTTTTGCACTGCCAGTGGGAGTATAAATAAGTTCAATCATTGTGGAAGACAGTGTGACGATTTCTCAAAGATCTAGGGCTAGAAATACCATTTGACCCAGCAACCCCATTACTGGGTATATACCCAAAGGAATATAAATCATTCCATTATAAAGATACGTGCACACGTATGTTCATCGCAGCACTATTCACAATAGCAAAGATATGGAATCAACCAAAATGCCCATTACTGATAGACTAGATAAAGAAAGTGTGGGATATATATGCCATGGAATACTATACAGCCATAAAAAGGAATGAGACCATGTCCTTTGCAGGGACTGGGATGGAACTGGAAGCCATCATCCTCAACAAACTAATGCAGGAACAGAAAACCAAACATCACATGTTCTCACTTATAAGTGGGATTTGAATGATGAGAACAAATGGACACAGGGAGGGGAACAACACACACTGAGGCCTGTGAGAGGCAGGGAGAGGGAGAGCCTTAGGAATAATAGCTAATGGATGCTGGGCTTCATTCCTAGGTGCTGGGATAATCTGTTCAGCAAACCAGCATGGCACACGTTTACCGATGTAACAAACTTGCACATCCTGCACATGTACCTCTGAACTTAAAAGTTAAAGAAAAAAAAAAAAAATGACACCCACCTGGGGTTGGCTTATAATCAAGTGGAAAGAGCCTTACCAGATACTATTAACCAATCCTTGTACCGCTAAGCTTAAAAGCATTGATGTGTAGATACCTGTGTCTTATTTTTAAAAAAGATATCCCTCCCAAGGGGACCTCACAACCAGATGGAAATCTGCAAATTAAACTAAACAGGAACCACTCTGTTCAGTCTTGGAATAAGAAGCAGAAGATATCATAGGTTAACAGCTATCCCAAGTACGTGGACCAGGCCTGTATATCATTATCAGCCTTATAATTGTCATCATACTTCTTTTCATATGAATCACACAGCCCAAATCTTCAAACTCTTAATCTTGCTCATTACCTTATTAGGAATTTTGCTTAAATTCTTCATTCCAATATGTAACTACTTGAAAATTTCTGGTGGTTGCAATTAAGTTCTCTATGATGACATTACTCCTAATTTTTGTTATAAGTAACATACTAGCCAAATATTCAAGTTACTCCAAGGCTATGTACCAGATTAACTAATCTTTTCAAGATATCCCTGAAGACACATGGCATTTTCCCAACCCTTACCTATAATGAGGTCTAATTACCTCCTGCCCCACTTTTCCCTCATTATTTGCTATACCACACCCTTAAAAAATAATGCCATCATCCAGTATTCACAATCTTTAGCCACTTCTGGAAAGCTCTTCGAATGTTGGATTTACCACTTTTCCCCCACTAGAAACTTCTCAGATAATAATAACTCTGTGGTCACACCTATAACCAATTTTTCCTCTATAAAAAATTTTGCTGTTCAGTATGAATCTAACCTTACTTGCCCTACCTATTGTGCTCAACTCTTTCCTATCACTCCTTGTTTCTTCCTAACTCCACCCATTCACAGAAATCTCATGCACCAAATGTACTATTCTGCTTACAGTTTTAATGTTCATGGCTTATGACTACCTTAATCACAGCCAATTAAATCAGTCCTCCCTCATTTATAAGGTGTCATTATATTAAGCTTTTAAACAAGGTTGGGGACCCCTTTCCCTATGATCATCTGTGCCATTAACACCTCTGTCCCTGACAGCTAGACACTGCCTCATTTGACACTTTGTTTGTCCCATGTTATCCTTTCTGCCCACCAACAAATCCATTAACCCACAAAATTGATCTGGAATTTTTGTGCTTTCCTGGTTATCTCTTTGTGAACACAGTGGCTTCCCATGGGCTCAGAAATGTGTGGATAGCTGGAGGATGGGCAGCACTTGCCTTCTGGGCTATCTTACCTCACTTATAGTAGTACTAAAGCAATAACCACTGAATTAACTCCAAACTCTCACAAAACTGAAAGTGTCCTCTCAATAATTGATGATTAGCCCAATGGAGATCCCTCCAAATATGAAGACAATAGCTGCAGGCCTTCACAAAGCTGTGTCCTTCTTGGTGATCTTAATCCCAGTGAGGGTGCATGTCTAGTGACATTTTTTGGATCTTTTTCCTGGGTATAAGAACCTCCTGGCATGACTATATGATGTGAAGCCACTCCTGTACTGTGAGCCAAATTGCATGATCCACTGCTAGAGCCGTTAGAGCCAAAAAATAAAAAAATGAAAAAATAACCCACCTCTTTATACACTCTCTTGCCCATGTAATTCTTGACAACTGTATTGCTTTAGACTATTTACTGGGCGCTTAAGGATCAGTCAGTGCACCGGCAAATAACTCTTGCTACACTTGGATAAACACTTCCCATCAGGTTGAATTAGAAATTTCTAAAATTAGCCAAATCTTTTAAAGGAATACCTTCACAGGGATTTCCTCATAGTTTAATCTGAATTTTTCTGATATTTTTAATTGGCTTCGTATAGGTGTTGGCAACATCCTCAGGACCAGAATACAGCTATATAATAATAATTGTTATCTCTCTTCTAATTCTTATTTTCATCCTTTTCAAGACTTCTAGTGTCTATATTTCTCATTGCTGCCAAGCTACCCAAGATTTTCAGATTATGATATTACAATGTTTAGACATGGTTGCTAAAATGTGCGCCTCTTCTGCTATAACATCAATCACCATGGCTTGATGTGTCTCTCCTTGTTAGCATGGCCCCCTTGTTACTTAAATTTGGCCAATATCTAAAGCCTGGATACACACTGACTTTCAGCAGCCCTCCTTCTTGGAACATGACAGTCTAGAAACAGGTGCTTCTAGCTCCAAGGGAAACAACAAATTTGTGGCTGACCAACCAATAATTGATCAGTAATGCTTCTTTATGTTAGCTCTTGATCAAAAGGGAGAAATGTGAAATATAATACACAAAATGGTGTTGTTCTGGTTCTGAGTCCTAAAATGGAGTCAGGAAGCCATTCTAAGAAGGACTGCATGAATGTCCTGCCAACTTACAAAAAAAGCAACAACGACAACAAAACTTGCCTTGAACCCTTGAACTGGGCCCAACTACAATGATCACAACATCCTGGAAAGCAGCTGAATTTTCCCAGCGCTGCAGCTCCTGAACTGCAATAATCAATGAACTTTGGACTCGTGTACTAAGCCAGCCACCTTCACCAACGGTAATCCTTTCAAGACAACTTCTGTAATCGCCCTTAGTTTCCTTTTGATTTTCTCTTAAAAACTGTTATTCTCCTCCCTCTGTTTGAAACTCAATTTATCTCTACCTTAATCTGTGTCTTCCAAACTGCAAATTCCAAGACCCCAATTAATGCTTTGTCTTACTGTATTATAGTCTGGTCTTTTGCTTCTTTGTGGTTGATGATATTAACAGTTGGTAATTCTGGGTAAAGAATATACAAGAGTTCACACTATTCTCATAACTTTTCTGAATTTTTAATGTCATTTCAAAATAAAAAAAGATATGTGCGTATATAAAACAATATAATATAAATACCAAGTAAGTGGCATAGAAATTCTGTTAGATGTCAGAGAACTAAGGACAGTAGGGTGGGTACAATATAGGATCTGAGACATGAGATGAGCTATAAAATTTTGAAAATTCTCAGGGAAGCAAAGAGGAGCAGGGGACATAAACATGAAGAAAATAGCCTTCACAGGATGGGCGCAGTGGCTCACACCTATAATCCCAGCACTTTGGGAGGCCGAGGCAGGCGGATCATGAGGTCAGGAGATCAAGACCATCTTGGCCAACATGGTGAAACCCCGTCTCTACTAAAAATACAAAAAATTAGCTGGATGTGGTGGCGTGTGCCTGTAGTCCCAGTGTAGTCCCAGCTACTCAGGAGGCTGAGGCAGGGGAAGGGCTTGCACCCAGGAGGCAGAGGTTGCAATGAGCTGAGATCACGCCGCTGCACTCCAGCCTGGTGAGACAGCGAGGCTCCATTTCAAAAAAAATAATAAATAAATAAATAAATAGCCTTCACAAAAACAACAGTCAGGAATGTGCACAGTATGTTCAAAAGATGATGAGTAAATCTGTGCAGCTAGGTAATAAATATGTAAAATTAATAAAACTGTTTTACTATTTGTGAAAAAACAATAAATCATTTCATGGAGCAACGAATTATCAATATCAAAAAAAGAGTGCCTAGAGATACTCATAATCCCCATATATATTTATTTAGTGACTTCCTTTCAGCCAAACATTAAGACATTTCACTGTATTATCTTTTGGCTGCCTTGCTTTCTACTCTATGACCTAAACTCCTGAGGCTAGAGTTCAGGCTTGCCCTGGGAAAGTTGAAATAATATGTTCTGACCAAAATTTACTGACACTTGATTGCCATGATAAGCAATTCGTTCTTCTATGAACATAAAGATATCTTGTTCTGAAACCATATAAAGAAACTGTAATCATGGTGACAAACCAGGAAGTTTAGACACAGTCATACCTGAGCATGATTCTTGACCTGCCAAGCCTGACACCTCACACACTTTGAACCTCTCTAACTTCAATTTCTTTTCTGTAAAGGGATTAAAACTGCAGTTTCCCCTCAATTTGTTTGTATGAAGATGAACTAGAAAAAAAGACCTGGCACATGGAATAAACCCAATATTACAATTATTAGATAGAGTCTCTATAATTCCAAGAGCACCCAATACATACTACTCCCAGGCAGAAATAGGCAAATTATTATAGTCAGGCTTGACCTACATGGCTGTAGCTATAGAGATATTTTTAAGGAGGGGCAGCATTAAAATGTCTGCATAACACATCTACTCAATAATTTGCAAGAAAAGCAGTGGAATCATGAATAAAAACATTTATTCTGAAGTGAGGTCAAAAATTGTCTGCTGATCTGTACCCTACCTGAGCTATCTCAGAGTCAATACAAATTAGAAAGAAAAAGCAATTCTAATTGACAACTGATGTAAAAATATATCTCAAACTATAATCCTATAGTTTTAAGTAAAGAGTTTTAACTTTGTCCTTCTCATGGAAGACATTGTCAGCCATTATTCCCCCTCTGCACATCCTCTTCCCAAATATTCCAAACACTAGAATTCCAAATGAAAGAAGTGATAAAGTATTTCTTCAGGCAAGATGTCTCTGAATTACAGTGAGGTGGAAAGAGAAAAGATGCAGGTATGAGTTGTTATCTTCAAAATAAGAAACAGTTTTGAAACACATTTTTAGTTCAGATTTAAGATTCTGTCCCAGAAACTTTATTTTTTTCCTGTAGCGATGATATTCTATAGCTGAATTGTCATAAGCAAGAAAGGAAGGTTGAAAAGCATCCAAACAGAAATTGCTTACAAATGCTTGAAATACTGCATGAAATCCCTATTTAATCTCCCAAAACAGATTTTAAGAATCAGTGTCTTAGCCATTTTCCACAGCTGTTCAAAAAGCCCCACAGCTTACAGTGCTCTGTCAGGCAGAATTGAATTAGTTGTCACCTCCTAAGAAAAGCAGAGGGTTTGGGTGATGTAGGTCAGAAAACAACTCTTGTATAAACTACTTAGTGCTTATTTGCTGGATTCAATGGATGTTCTTGAGTTAGACTTGGTAAATTTGTATTTGTTTGATTTAGTAGTGCTATGGATGGAATGTTTGTGTCCCCTCCCCTATGCAATTCATTGCAATTCTGTTGTTGGTAAGACACCTGGACTATGACAGTTTGTTATGGCAACTCCAACAAACTAAGACAATGAATACAGGTTCATTTTCAAGGTAAAAAAAGTGTTAAATTAGTGGACACTTTTACATGAATAGCCTGGTGGTCTACTGCTCATTAGTGTGCACAAAATGAAGATCTCCATACCAAATGCGATAGTTAATTTTAGGTATCAACTTGACTGGAATAAAGGATACCTAGAGAACTGGTATAAGGGTATCTTTAGAGGAAATTGGCATGTGTGTCAGTGGACTGGTCAGAGAACTGGTAAAGCATTATTTCTGGGTGTCTCTGTAGGGGTATCTTTAGAAGAAACTGGCATGTGTGTCAATGGAGAAGATCCTTTGTCAATGAGGGCAGGCACCATCCAATTGTCTGTGGCCCCAAATAGAAAAAAAAGGCAGAGGAAAGACAATTTTTTTATCTTGTCCTTGCTGCTGGAACTGGGACACTCTTCTTTTGCCCTGGGACATCAGAACTCTAGGCTTTCCAGCCTTTAGATTCTGAGACTTAAACCAGAGGTCCTCGGTTTCTCAGGCCTTCAGCCTCAGTCTCAAAGTTACACCATCAGCTTCTATCATCCTGAGGCTTTTTGACTTCAACTGAGTCATGCTACCAATATCTTAGGGTCTCTGTATTAGCTCATTTTTATACTGCTATGAAGAAATACCCAAGACTGGGTAATTTATAAAGAAAAAGGTTTAATGGACTCACAGCTCCTCCCTGCTAGTAAGGCCTCACAATCATGGCAGAAGGCAAAACAGGAACAAAGGCACATCTTACATGGTGGCAGGCAAGAGAACGTGTCCAGGGAAACTGCCCTTTATAAAACCATTATATCTCATGAGACCTATTCACTATCACAAAAACAGCATAAGAAAAACCCACCCCTATGATTTGATTACGTCCCACCATGACCCTCCCAAGACATGTGGGGATTATGGGAACTACAATTCAAGATGAGATTTGGGTAGGGACACAAAGCCTAACCATATCAGTCTCCAACTTATAGATGGCCTGTCATGGGACTTCTCAGCCTCCATACTCACATGAGCCAATTATCCTGATATATTTTCCTTATTTCTCCAAATATATATTCCAAATATATATAAATATATAAAAATAATATATATAATTATATATATATATAAAATATATATATTTTATTGGTAGAAACTAAATGCTTGACCATGGGTCACCAAGTTGCAATGCACAGCAGCAATGCATTATCAAATGGAAGTGTTATACACATGATCAGGCCCAAGCAGCTCATGAAGGCACAAATAAGTTATATGAAGAAGTGGCCCAAATGCTCATGGTTTCTCCTCCTGCTACACTACCTTCTGTCTCTCAGGATGGACCTATGGCCTCATGGGGAGTATTTATGATTAGCTGACAGAAGAAGAGAAGACTAGGTCCCTGGTTTGCAGATGGTTCTGTATGAGATAAAGACATCATCCCAAAGAGGACAGCTGCAGCACTGCAGCCCCTTTCTGGGACATCCCTGAAGGACAGTGGTGAAGTGAATCTTTTCAGTAGGCAGAACTTAAGGCAACGTACCAGTTTGTGCACTTTTTTTGGAAGAAAAAGTGGCCAGACATGAGATTCCATACTCTTTCATGGATTGTAACCAAAGGTTTGGTCGGATGGTCAGGATCATGAAACTGCCATTACAAAATTATAACTGAGATGGTGAAAGAGATCAATTTGGAGACCAAACCAACTCCTTATTGCTTCTAACCTCTAAGCTATCTTTGTTCATTCCTGTGGGTAGGCTGAACTAACTTTGGGAGAAACTTAGTTTATAAGTTAGCTTTGAAACAAAGACAATTAACAGCCCTTTCCCAAAACAAACCCCTTCCTACCTGGGGACTAGACTGCTTTTGCAGGACTAACAAATTAGCCAAGGATTAGAAATTATGGCTTACGAGTCATGTAGCTGGGGACTGCAGGATTCTAAACCTCCCCACATTGCTCTTGGGGATAACATTACCATTGTAAAAGCTAAGATCAGTGCTTGAGATATTTTGCAGACTCTGCACTTGATGGATCAGCTGGCACCACCCAGATCAATAAACTGGCTCATCTGATCTTGTAGCCCCCACCCAGCAACTGACTCAGCACAAAAGGACATCTTTGACTCCCCATGATTTCATCTCTGGCCCAACCAATCAGCACTCCTGACTCACTGGCACCCCCATCAACCAAATTATTCTTAAAAACTCTGATCCTCGATGCTCAGGGAGATTGATTTGAATAATTATAAACTCTGGTCTCCCACACAGCCAGCTCAGCATGAATTACTCTTTCCCTATTGCAATTCCCCTGTCTTGGTAAATCGGCTCTGTCTAGGCATCTGGCAAGGTGAACTTATTGGGCAGTTACAATCTTTAAAAAAACATGATTGGAAAATTGGAAGCAAAGAAATTTGGGTAAAAGGTATGTGGATAGACCCCTCTGAAGTGCAAATGCTATGAAGATATTTATGTTCCATGTGAATGCTCCCCAAAGGGTAACTTCATAAAAGGAATACTTTAATACTCAAGTGAATAGGATGACCCCCTTCTGTGGATATCAGTCAGTCTTTTTCCCCAGCCACCCTTGCCATCATCCAATGAGCTCATGAAAAAAGGGGCCATGGTAGCAGGGATGGAGGTCAGACATTGGCTCAGAAACATGGACTTCCACTTACCAAGGCTGACTTGGTTACAACCACAGCTGAGTCCCCAGTCTGCCAGCAGCAGAGACTAACTCTAAGCCCCCTACATGGTACCGTTCCACAAGGTAATCAGCCAGCTACCTGGCCACCGGTTAATTACATTTTCCCCACCCATCATAGAATGGGCAGGATTTTGTCCCCATCAGGATCAATATTTACTCCAGGTATGAATTTGTCTCCCTGCAGGAAATGCTTCTGCCAAAACTACCATCTATAGACTGACAGAATTCCTTAACTGCCATCATGGTACTCCACACAGCATTGCTTCTGACCAAGAACTCACTTCACAGCCAAAAAAGTTTAACAATGGGCTCATACTCATGGAATTCACTAATCTTTTCATCTTTTCCATTATCTGGAAGCAGTTGGCTTGACATAATGGTGAAATGTCCTTTTAAAGACACAGTTACAATGCTAGCTAGGTGACAATACTTTGCAGGACTGGAGCAAAGTTCTCCAGTAAGCTGTATATGCTATGAATTAGCATACAAAATATGGTGCTGTTTTTCCTATACCCAGGATTCACAGGTCCAGGAATCAACAAGTAGATTGGCATCTACTTGGGAGTGGCCACTACTTGGGAGATGCCACTACTTGGGAGTGGCATCATTCACAATTTCCAATTGGAACCCAGTAGCAAAATGTTTCCTTCCCTGTTCCCATGACTTTATGCACTACTTCCCTAGGGGTCTTAGTTCCAGACAGACACAAAAATAATTCCATTGAACAGGAAGTTAAGACTGCCACCCAGCCACCCTGGGATCCTCATTCCCTAAGTCAACAAGCTAAGAAAGAGTTACATTGTTGGTCAGGGTGATTGAGCCAGGAGACTGGGGGGAAATTGGACTACTACTCCACAATGAATGTAAAAAAAATAGTAGGTTTGGAATGCAGGAGATCCCTTAGGACATCTCTCAGTATTATCATGCCCTGTGATGAGGGTCAAAGAGAAATTACAACAACTTAATCCAGGCAGGACTACCAATTGCCCAGACCCTTCAGGAATGAAGGTTTGGGACACTCCACCAGGTAAAGAATCACTACAAGCTGAGGTGCTTTCTGAAGGCAAAAAAAAAATACAGAATGGGGAGAAGAAGGTAGTTACTATAAACCAAAAATAAAACTCTAAGCCCCTCAACTGACTGGATGGACCTCTCCTCTCAGCCAAGGGGATTTCAAAGAAACCTGATAAAACTAGTTCAGAGCATGATGGGAAGAGGCGTTCAGACATGCCTCATTCTGCCCTCCTCCCTTTGGAATTCATGTACAATTGACCAGCATTAACATAAAAACAGAGATCTTAAAACTGACAAAACAGACTATCTGGAGCAATAAGATACCAAATTCCAACCTGACTCTTGTATGGCATCACATGATAAACAGCAGGCCCTACAAGAAACCAAAGTATTTTACCCAAAAATATATTTCTTTGACATATTTTGAAATGGTCCTCCAAAGCTGTCTCTTGTGGGGAAAATCTACATTCTGTAAAGAATCCCCACTCCTTTCCAAGTATTTACCTGATGCAGGAGAGATTTAACTAAGAGTCTGGCACTTTTTAAGGTCTTATAAGAGATATTTGTCATCTTTTCTCTCTGAAGACTGCTACCTGGAGGCTTCATCTTCCTAACAAGAACCTTGGCTTTCACAAACCCCCTTATCTTAACCCCAAGCATTTCTTTTTGCTGACTTCAAGTTTTTAGGCAAAATCTAACTCTTTCAACCAACTGCCAATCAGGAAATCTTTGAGTCCACCTGTAACCCCTTTCAAGATGTCCCACCTTTCCAGGCCACCAAAGTAAATCTTACATTTATTGATTTATGTTTTACCTGTAACTTCTGTCTCCCTAAAATGTATAAAATCAAGCTGTAACCCAACCACCTTAGGCACAAGTTCTCAGGGACTCAGGGACAAGGAGTGGAATTATAATGGTTAATTTTAGGTGTAAATTTGACCGGATTAAGAATGATGTGGAGAACTGGTAAAGCATCATTTCTGGGTATGTCTGTGAGGGTGTTTCCAGAGGAGATTGGCATGTGAATTGGTAGACTGAGGAAAAAAAAAAAAAAACACCCTCAACATGTGTGGGCACCAACCAATCAGCTGCAGGCACAAATAGAACAAAGGCAGAGGAAAGGCAAATTTGCTTTTCCTTCTTTCCTGCAGATAGAACACCCTTCTTCTCCTTCATCTTACATCTAAGATGTAAGCCTTCATCTTAGATGTTAGAACTCAGAAACTCCAGCCTTTGGACTCCAGGACTTAAACCAGAGGCCCCGGGTCTCAGGCTTTCAGCCTCGGATTGAGAATTACACTATCAGTTTCCTTTATTCTGAGGCTTTTGGATTTGGACTGGGACATACTACTGGTATCTCAGGGTCTCCAGCTTATAGACAAACTGTTATGGAACATCTCAGCTTCCATAATCACATGAGCTAATTACCCTAGTAAATCTCCTCTTATGTATCTACATACCTATACCTAGTTCTGTCTCTCAGGAGAACCGAGATCACCGAGAGAGATCTTTGGATACTGGAATGTCCCTGAAGGTAAGGGAATGAGTGAGAGATCAACTATCTCTACTATTACATTAAAAAAAAGACACTAGTCTTCTAAGGATCATCATTAATCTCTACTCTCACTAAATTTTTTTTTTTCCAATTTCACTCTGGAAGTCCTAAAAAGCTTCTAAGAACCATCAAGTTTAATCTCTTTTACTGCAACTTCTTTCAGTTAACTCTTCCACTCAATATTTTCTTAATTTCCCTATTCATTCTTCTTATGCCTATCAAGATTCTTTTTCTCTAAAGGAGCTCTTCTCATTAAACATCTTCCCTCTCCTTTCTCTAAGAACAGTCTTCTAGTTGCTACATTATTTTTAAACCATAAATCACTCAACCATTAGACATATGTCTTAAAATAATTTATTGATGTTTTAGTCTATGCAAGGTGCTCTTGAAAGATAAACACAGGAATGAAATAATGTTCCTGCCCAAAGAAGACAACCCAGTGGAAAGCATGATGTGATAAATGCCATTCTGTGCCATGAACGTTATACTTCGGAATCACAATATAAACATGCTGATACAATTGTCAAAATGGGCTCTTTTCTCCTTTTTAAATTTCTTGGCTATTATACTAAAGACTCAGCAAATCTCAGTTCTGAAAAGAAAACCTTTTTACAGCTCTTTTAAAATGTGAAAAGATAAAAACAATGTTTTAATATCCCTAACTGACAAACATGAATTTACTCAAAAGGAGGAAGGGAGGAAGGAAGGAAGGGGGAAAGAAGGAATGAAGGAGGGAAAGAAGGAAGGAAGAAAGGGAGGTATGGAGGAAGGAAAGAAGGAAGGAAAGAAGGGAGGAAGGAAGGAAGGGAGGAAACACTTCTAACTACCATGTCCCCAGGGATCTGTCATGTGTCACAATTGGCTTACATTCTGTAATGACTGGGGTAACCCTTTAATTGAGTGCTGACACTTATATGTCATCAAATGACATCTTCTGCAGGCACCTTTAGAGCATTTTCATATACTTCCTGTACTCATCTGATGGCCAGAATTATTAAAATAGTCTTTTTACTGAGCAGACTTCTCTGTAATTTGAACATGTCAACTCCTTACAGCAGTGGCTAAAGGCTCACATATCACTTAGCATGCTGGAGATAAGGGCAAGGGCTTTTTCATACATTTACTTTTTTCATTTTATCTATGCACTATCTTTTTACAAATTGAAGACTAGAGTATAAATTTCTGATTCACATTCCGCTTTCAAAACTGAAAGGCTGATATGATGGTGGGTGAAAATATTTCCCTCAGGACTTCAAGCCACAGAGCCATGGCATATTCCCAGATAATGAGGTCTCTAGGTAAGTATAGTAGCAGACAAAATAAATGCATCTTACATAGCATGTCTGGAAGAAATAACTGAGCCCTTGAATTTTCCAAGTGTCTTCAGTAAAGTCCTTGAAAGTTAACCCATGGAGATAATTTCTCACTTAGCCCAAAATGTTAAAATGAGTCACAATGCTTTCATGGAAGCTAGGTTCATAAGTTGTCTGGTATGGAACTTTTGCCTATGACAGGAATAGAATAAATATTTACTGAGAAATTCAGCCATTGTTTCAGCAAAGTTTACAACTTTGATATTTTTGTCAGTGGTCTGGAGCTTAGAAAGTATTTTCCCATGGATGTTGTAGAAAGAGGAGACCATAAAGAATATTACCTTAAAATAAAGATGTCTCCACTTTTAGAAAAATATAACAGGACAACTCATTTTAAATTATGTTAAAAGAATATCAACATAACCTGTTGTATTATTTTGTCAAATATTTGGCTCTGATATATACACTGTTAAATTCCAATAAGGATTTAAGACAGCTTACACAGATATCTTAAGTTTAACAAGAAATTAAAAAAAAAACACACTAGTCACATTCTGGTAAAGGTATGGGGAAATGGAACATCTCATGCATTTTAAAAGGGAATATAAAATATTCAACATTTCTGGAGGGATATTTGTACCAACATTTAAAATGTGCATACCATTTGATCCCACAGTTCCATTTCTCATCATTTATCTTAAAGAAATAAGAGTGTGGCCGGGCACGGTGGCTCACACCTGTAATCCCAGCCCTTTGGGAAGCCAAGGCGGATGGATCACGAGGTCAGGAGATCAAGACCATATTGGCCAACACGGTGAAACCCCATCTCTACTAAAAATATAAAAAATTAGCCAGGCGTGGTGGCAGGTGCCTGTAGTCCCAGCTACTCGGAAGGCTGAGGCAGGAGAATGGCGTGAACCCAGGAGGCAGAGCTTGCAGTGAGCCCAGATCAAGCCACTGCACTCCAGCCTGGGCGACAGAGTGAGACTCTGTCTCAAAAAAAACAAAAAAAAGGAAAGAAAGAAATAAGAGTGTGAGTAAACAAATATGATACATAAATACATTTGTCGAATGTTGCATAATAAATATTGAAAATGAGAATGTCTAATAAGAGATTGAGTGAATAACGATGTATCCATATAACGAAATACTATTTAGCTTTTAAAGATACCCACAATATTTTGTTGAGTTAATAAAGCAGATTATGGAATACAATATGTGGTATAGCTACGTTTATGTAGAATGCATTCATTATAGGTTTATACTTGCAGAAATGTCTTGAAAGATATCAAATGAAATTCCTAACAGCAATTATTTTTGAGGAGTGAAATGAGGGACTGTTTGTCACATATTACTTTAAAATAAAGATGTCTCCACTTTTAGAAAAATGTAACAGGGCAACTCATTTTAAATTACATTTAAAGAATATTTCATGACGTTGGAAAATGCTCACAATTTTTAAATTAGAAAAAGCAGGTTCCTAGCCAGTGTAGACAACATGACTGTGATTTTCTAAATGTAGTCATACATAGAAAAAGTTTGTGCCAAAACGTTAGCAGTGCCATTTTCACAGGGAAAATTGATCCAAGCTGCAGCTTGAGAGAATAGACTAGAAATTCACTTGCCTCCATGAAGCCCTGGTAGTGAGTTACAAGGGGTTTTCTTGTCTCACCTGTGTACAAGTCACAGCAGCAGGAATGAAATTGCTGCTGCTGCAAGAACTGCCCAGAGAACAGAGAAGAGAGTCCTGTGCAGTCTTAGCGGTATCTAGAAAGGTAGAAAACCTGGGGGAAGAGCATTTGCAGTAAGCAGAGTAGTGAGGTTAAGTTCAAGATCAGACTGACAAGAAAAGTCACACATATTGAGAGTTTACTTACATATTAGGCATTCTGCTAAGAGCTTCAGATAGAAATTATCTGTTTTATCCTCAAAACAACCTCAGGAATAGAATATTCTTATATCCATTTTTGAGATAAAGAAGTCAATACTCAAGAAGCCAATACTAGTAAGTAACTAGTGGGTGGCAAAGCCCAGAACAGAATATACACCTGCCTGATTCCCAAGACCACAGCTTTTTAACCATTTTATGCATGTGACAGTGTAAATCGTGTAGGCATAGCCGCAATACCTTTTTATTCTGATTTTAAGATGTTAGGCAAATCAATGCAGTCTGCTGCTTTGTGTTGGCTCAGACCAATTTCACCTGGTTGCCATCTGGACACCTACACAGGGTGCCGTGAAAAAATATAATGCACTACATAAAACTCAAGGCATCTCTCTAAAGTGCGCAGTGCAGTTTTCAACCCAGAAATCAGAGAGAGAAAATGACTGTCCCCAAGATTGCTATTCTGAAAGAGATCATTGCTGTTCATCTCACTCTGCTCACAAAGTGCTTTGCTACAGTGACACTTACACCCTTGGAGGTCAACCCACATTTCAGTGACAGCTACCAGTTCAGCTGTGTCAATTCCACCTGACTCTGCTTGCTTGCAGGGTTTCCAGAGCACACAGCTTACCAAGCCATTATTATTCTGTGCCTGTGCCCAGAGAGCTCTACAAAGGGTGCATTTTAATCACCCTGGAAGAGATAAATAAATAAACAAATAGCTCATAGGTAATATGTAATGTAATAGAGAAAAAACAACCATGACTTGTTGCCCTCACAGTCCACACCCTCATGCCTCTGGTGATTACTTGCAGAATTCTATGGCGCAGAAAAGCTGAATTTTATTTTTAAGCTTATTCCTTAAAACTGTTAATTGATGGCTCTTTCCACATCTTACCTCAAATGTCCTTGCTCATCTCCACTCTAAGGTAAGCATATTTCACTGGGAAACTGCATCTATGCATGGATAACAATGCACTCAACACCTCCTAAATTCACACTCAGTCTATACAGGAAATCCAGTCAAGTGTTTAGGAATACCAAAGCATCTTTTCCTCTCTTTACTGCACAAAAAAAGGAAAAACTTAGAGATCTAGATATTATTCTCAGGTCACAGGGTTGATCTATTTTCCGACTTGCAGCTAGATCTGTGACGTTCTAATTTTGGTAATGTTTCTGGCAAAGTTGGTTGAAATGTTTCAGGAGAAAAGGGATCTTAAAGCATAGTTGTTGCTTGATGGCAAAACCAAAGTGCTTTGAAACACTCTCAACAGTTCACAGTCTGGGTTCCATGGACCCCCAGCTTCAGAATATTCATGAATTCCTTAAACTATACATAAAATTTTGCCCAAATGTGCATTTTCTACCACTTATGAAATTTTCAAAGTGTCTGCAAACCAAAACATTACTAGGAATCACTGAGTTATTTAGAAAGTCCGGGGGGAAATATCTGTAAAACTAGTGTTATTTACACAAATGTTTATCTCAAGAAAACACACTCATACTTATTCGATTATTGTTCATTCATTCATTCACATCAGGCCAATCTCTATCCCATTATAAGCTCTACCCATTTCTACTTCTAACTTCTTTTGCTGATCTCTCTCCCCATTCATATGCTACGTTTCCTTGTAAGCTAAAGTACTTCCTTGGTAAGTCTTTCAGTGACTAGGCATTAACCCAGATTGATTTTTTTCTTTATTTCTGAATTGGTATTGTACTTAGAGTCTGGGGAAATCAGAGAGAGAGAGAGTTTTCCATAAATGTTTTACATATGGACATGTCTTCAAATATATTATGACATATACCACATACCTTAGCCTTATCTATTTTTTATTGTCAAAGGGCCAATAGTTCATCAAAGCCAGGGATAAGTCTTACTTTTTTGTGTAGCCCTCACTGTGACTAAAACTATGTTGCATGGTAATCTGTCACTATGACTATCAGTAACCCATGGAAATGTCTGTAGTTTAAGCATTCCTCACGGTAATTGAATTATCTATAAAGGAAATTTTTTCCTAAAGTTAAAATGATACATCAGAGGGAACATGAATTAGAGATGAATAAAAATATAAAATATTCCTCCCAGTCAAATTATAAACTCCATATCTAATCCATACCACTTATTAGTAAATCCTACTAGGATTTCTGGCAAATATGTGCATATTTTCTTTCCAGAGTCTGACCTGTTTTCACTATTCCACTGATAGTATCCTGGTCTTGTGATTATTGCAACAGCTTCCTGACTAGTCTTTGTATTTCTGCCTCTGCTCCCTAGAGTCTCTTTTTCATGAAGCAATAAGATTGAGTCTTTTAAAATGTGAGTCAGATCATGACTCTCCCCTTCTTCAAATTTGCCCACGACCTTCATCTCAAGAATAAAAACCAAAGTCTTTAAAATGGCTCCCAAGACCCTGGTTATTCAGCTACCCACACTCCACTTTGGTCACAACTGCTGTAATTTCAACTCTCCTCCTGGCTCACTCCATTTGAGCCAACACTTTCAATTCCTACACCAATTTCTAGCTGTTCTTTGAACCCATCAAACATATTCCTATCTCAAAGTGTTTGCTATTCCCTCCACATAGTACATTCCCCTCAGACCTCTTCTCACTACCTCCTGATCATGAGGCCTTCCCAGACCACTCTCTGAAAACAACACACACAGAGACATAGGCACAAAGTACTCCTTTTCTCCTCACCCTGCATGTCTATTTTTCTCCGCTTAACACATTTATCTCCATTTAACACATTATATATTAGTTTATTATCTTTCTTCCCCAAGCAGAGGTCAAGTGTTTTTGCCTTGTTCAATACTATAACCTCACAGTGGCTAGGACATTGTCAAATACATATAAAGGGCTCACTATATTTTTGTTGAATGATTGATTCATAGTAGTAAAGTTTCTTTGGAAGAACAATAACCATTTGAAAATACTTTTTAAAATAAAATTATTTAAAATTTATCTGCAAAAAAAAATTAGGAGGCTGCTATCATGTTAATATTTCCCCCAAAGTTCATGTGTTGGAAACTTAATCCCCAATGCAACAGTGTTGAGAGGTCCAACCTTTAAGAGATGGTTAAGTCATAAGGGCTCTGCCTTCATGAATGGATGAATATCATTATTTCAGGAGTGTGTTAGTTATCACAGAGTGGGCTTGTTATAAAAGTGAGTTTGGCCCTCTCTTGCTCTCTTGCTCTTTCACATTTTCTTGCCCTTTCACTTTCTTCCTTGGGATGAAGCAGCAGGAGACCCTCACCAGATGTGAGCCCCTCAACCTTGGACTTCATAGCCTCTAGAACTGTAAAAAATAAATGTCTTTTCTTTATAAACTTCCCAGTCTGCGGTATTCTGTTATAGCAACACAAAATGGGCTAAGACAGAGGAAAAACACCAAAATGTCCACAATATGATCAGTGATTGGTCATTTCCGAAATTTCTTTAATGGATACATTAAATAAAAACAAAGGAAGAGGGCCGGGCACGGTGGCTCACGCCTGTAATACCAACACTTTGGCAGGCCAAGGAGGGCAGATCACAAGGCCAAGAGATCGAGACCATCCTGGCTAACACGGTGAAACCCCGTCTCTACTAAAAATACAAAAACAAAATTAGCCAGGTGTGGTGGCAGGCACCTGTAGTCCCAACTACTTGGGAGGCTGAGGTGGGAGAATGGCGTGAACCCGGGAGGCGGAGCTTGCAGTGAGCCGAGATTGTGCCACTGCACTCTATCCAGCCTGGGCAACAGAGCGAGACTCTGTCTCAAAAGAAAAAAAGAAAAAAAAAAAAAAAGGAGGAGGAGGACAAAAAAAGAAGAAGAAAAGAGTTTAAGTAATAGTGAGAATGTTTGAGATCTTGTCACAAAGAAAAAATAGTAGCTGTGAGACTTAAACAGTGAGACAAATCATCTGGTAATTTTAGGACAACTAAAAATTTTCTCTGGAGACTAATCTCTTGGAGGCAGTAGGGTAATGGTATTATATATGTTATCCAACATTATCAAAAAATATCATTACCTCTAATTATTGATTGTCTGCCATTATCATCTCTCTAGAAGACACATTTGGTTCTCCTCCCCAGTCCTGTATACCTCCTTACATTTTCATTCACACTGGCTATGTCCACCAGCATGTTTTCACTTTCACCAGCCACTAACCATATATCTTTGTCAGAGGACTAACCTCAGGATCCCAATACTCTTTGCCTCGGCACACAAGGAGTGGCCTGGGAAATTATTTCCCAGCAGTGACAACTGTTGTCATCAATGACTCCATTTGAGTTGTATAAACACTCCAACTTACTGCCCATGATCATGACAGCTATGAGGTGTGGCTACACTGTCTCTTGATCTTCCTTGCAGGAATGAGTCAAAGTTCTTCATCACAGGACTCACCCTTGCTTGGCTTCTTTTATTTCTTGCCTCACTTTTCCACTCCCTTACGGTCTTCTTGAGAATACTCCATTAATCACTTTTACACAAACCCTTAACTCAGAATTTGCTACTGGAGAACGCAACCTAAGAAACTTAGTAGCAGAAATGATGCTGAAAGCTGATACTCAGTATAGGATTCAGTGTTTGGATGACTCACTGGCTAGAAGGCAACAGGAACCTCATTGTTGGTGGTAAGTAAAGTGACAAAACCCCAGGACCATTGCTTAAACTTTCATGCGTGGTGAATTGGGATGGAACACAAGAGGAAAAAGACATACTAGATTGTTTAATATCTAGTATTTGAGATATATGGTGATTATGGTAGCTATAAGATCTGTGGGATTTGTGGTCATTATTAAGTGCCATCAATGGACTGAAGAAATAAAATTCCAAGTTTACGTCAGCAAATTACCAATTCCGAACATAATGTGAAAGCTGTAAGTTCTCCATGGCAGGATTTAAAGAGAATATCTTCATCTGTAGCTGCATATAAGGTGGTCCTGAAGACCAGAACCAAAACTTAAGAGTGAGAGTAGCAAACCTGCAAAGAAGGCTGATTAATATTTTGGCAAGTTTCTTATGCTAAAGGTAGGATCCTGATAGAGAAGGAGTGGGATCCTGAGATGGAATGGAAATTCCTGGAATACACACAAAATTATTAAACTCCCAATGCCCCTAAACTCCTGAGCCTGAAAAAGTACCCCAGTTCTACCTGCAGAACATCAGCTTCCTCTTGCCTAAACACTGTGCAGAAACCTCAACTGTGATCAATGCTCTGCAAGATTACACTCACCTTTTAAGATGGTTCCACACCTCCCTTCCTATTAT
This sequence comes from Homo sapiens, assembly GCF_000001405.40. Taxonomy (NCBI): domain Eukaryota; kingdom Metazoa; phylum Chordata; class Mammalia; order Primates; family Hominidae; genus Homo; species Homo sapiens. Next base: position 159,548,468 of record NC_000004.12, on the reverse strand, counting down.
TCTTGCATGATCTGATTGGGAGAGTACTCCATCTGCTAAAGGAGAAAAGGAATTATTCATTGAGGGAGATCCAGGATCTGTCTCATAGGTGCTGGCAAGAACTGAAAGAACATGCCTAGAAGTGGATCCTGAAGGTGCTGAACTGGCAAAGGTGGACTATAAGCTGGATAAGGGAGAATTTTTTAATCTGGGGGCATGCTCCCATAACCCAACACCCTAGCAGGGAAATCCACAGTCAATCCTAATAAATTTTGCTTGGTTTATCCCCAGAAACTTGGAAAAAAACAATGAGTCATATTAATTGAGGTTAAAATTCCTGGGCAGAGTATTGAGAAAGAGATTAGCAGGCTCAGAGAGGTGAGCAAGATAGTTACATAAGACCTAAGAATCCACCAAATAACCATGTTCCCTGCATAGTCCTGGAAGACACTCCTTTCACTAACTGTTAGGGAATGCATTAGTGAGGAGGACACTGGCATCATCAAAAAGCTCATTTGTTACTGTTTCTAGTAGGCTGGGATTGATAGTAGGAGATGCTGTAATGGAACTGACTTTCTTGTATCAGCGGGGAAGGATCTGAAATAGCAGAGGCCAGATGGCAGCATTTAATCACAGGGAGAAGGTAGACAGAGTTACTTGCAGGCATCAAAGTTGCAGTTATCTATGGTGATATCTAATAAACCATGGTGTTTCTAAAACAAGGCACATAGGCAGACAACAAGGGCATTGCCTGATATAGATAATTGCATTTTTTTAAATGAAAAGCAGATGCACAGAAGACTGATGTCAGCTGTACTAATGGATAAATCACTTTCCATTCCCTAATTTCCAAGCTTGAGCCATTTCTCAGGTATAGTGACCATTGTTTAAAGAAAAGCCAAATCTACCTGGGAAAGGATCCTATAGTGTCACAGAAAGGATATACAATATTAACTCTCCTGGTCTTCCTCAAATAAATCTATGGACATTTACCCAAGTAACTTTACACTGAGAAACAGGGGAAACCCACATTTTTCCTATACTTTTAGTGTAGAAGTTCAAGCTAACACTGATACCAGGAGTTTACAAAGTATCACCATCTTACCCTTAAAACGGTGGAGGCCTAAGGAGACCAGATAATAAATGGAGTCCTGACTCGAGTCTATCTCACAGTGTGTCCATAGCCCTCCAGATCCAGCCAATCACATTTCCATGTTCCTTGTATACATACACAGGATAAGTATATAAAGCAGCTGACAGAACCCTTAACTGATTCTTTGACCTATGGTAATGACATTCATAGTAGAAAAAATCAAGTGCAAGACCTTGTAACTGTGTCCAACAACAATAAATCAGAAATGCCACCACAGTCCCGTTGGAATGGTAGAAATAAGCAATTCACTCAAAGACTTAGAGTATGCAGAGGCAGTAATCATTATACCCTCTGGATTATATTGCTAGACAGCAGACTTCTGTGTGTACTTCTATCCATCCAATTGAATGAAACCTTCTGATCCTTCTTATTGATGATTGCTGAAAAAATTCATTTGTCTTGGAGAAAACACCATTACTGGTATAGCTAATGCAATTAGAACTACAACTTAGTTGTAGTCATCTGCCATAACTAATTGTATTACTCAGGGACCAGACTAGTAAGGATCTGTATGAATGCCTGTGTAGTGTCAAAAGCTTGGCTAATTGGTCAGAGACTTGGAAGCAGCAAGACTGGAAAACTAGTGAAAAATATTAGGGAGTGCTATGGTTTGGATAGGGTTTGTTTGGACCCACCAAACAAAATTAAATTTGATCCCTAGTGCGAGATGTTTAGATCATGGGGGCTGCTGTCATGAATGGTTTGGTGTTGTCCTCACAGTAATGAGTGAGTTCTCGAACTGATTGTTTAAAAAAATCTGGAAACCTCCCTCTTCACTATCTTGCTCCCTTTCTTGCCATGTGACACAATGGCATCAATTCCCAATTGCCTTGCATTAGAAGTGGAAGAAGCCTGAGGTCCTTGCCAGATGCAGATGCCCGTGCCATGTTTCTTGTACAGCCTCCAGAACCACGAGCCAAATAAATCTATTTATACACTACCCAACCTCAGATATTTCTTTGTAGTGACACAAAAGACACTACAAAAGACACAAGTGACACAAAATACGATTTTGGTCTTTGTGATACTCTATCTCTATTAAATACAGTAAATTATGAGGAAGTAGTTGAGCTAGGAACTGCAGCTAGGTAGGGCCAAGGTGAATGTGCATACGATTAAGGAAGTTAGGGAAGAAGCATGTAGATAGATGTGTGAGCATGGACACACAGTCTGTGAACATTGGCACTGCAGGTTAATGTCTGCTAGACAGCATCCGTGCAGACATGTGATGGACAGCCTGTGGACAGGATGTCTTATCCTGTAGATGTCAGGCAGACTCTGTCCTTGACCACCCCAGTACTAGCACAGTAGATCCACGTGCCATTGCAGCAGAGATGGAGGCTATTCATGGGCCCAACAGCATGAGCTCTCTCTCAACAAGGCTGATATAACTACCGATACTGTTGAACATCCAACCAGTTGGCAGCAGAGACAGAAGCTGAGCTTTCACTATGGTATCATCTCTCACAGAGACCAATCAGCCACTTGGTGTCAGGTTTTTTACATCAGACTCCTTCCACACTGAGAAAGGCAGCAATTCATTCTGAAAGGAACACATTCTATGTGTGAATTTGCCTGCCCAGCCCATGAGGAGTCAATCTGATGTGTGGTATGAATGGCTCTGAGTGGTATATTGAGTAGTCTGAAGAGGACACTGTCAGTACTCTACTCATATCTGTTTTTCATCACTTTACCATGTTCATGCTCACAGGCTTCCAGGTGTGCTTTTATTCCCAACATCAAGCACCTCGGCCTTTTTAGGCTTCTGGAACCCACTCTGCCTGCCTGAATGAGAGAGCTGGAAGTGCCATGGAATTCACATTCTTCCAGGAACAGGTCTGTTGCTCCAACGTCAAGACAATTTCCAGGTGTGACCCCTATTGGGAAGCTCTCTGGAGTTCCCAGAGCTCCCCTAGGGAATTGATCCAAAGTTATCCTCTGTGAGACTTTGATTGATGCTATCTACTTGCTGGTCCTTCTCCTCCTCATCCAACATTCCCTGTCCCTTATGAGTATTCCCAGGAATACTCCCTAATTAATCACTTCATATTAATCTTTTTTTTTACTGCCTCGTTATAGCTGTGGCCCCATTCCAGCACAGGCCTGGAACATGATGAACACTCAGTAAACATTTGTTGATAAATACATGGTCATTTAGATGTAGCAACTGTGCTCAACAGAACCATGCATCCACTTGCAATGAATGGTTTCACAAAAGGTGTGATTTCTGGGCACTAGGGTTATCCGCCAAAAAATAATAAACTACTATGTCACCATCAACACAAACATTTACTTCTGGTAGCTTTTTTGCAGGTCAAATACGATTTCAGTCATTGCGGTACTCTATTAAATACAGTAAATTATGAGGAAGTAGTTGAGCTGGGAACTGCAGCTAGGTAGGGCCAAGATTAATGTGCATATGATAGAGCATATGCTTGAAAAAAAGCATCCAGAGAGACAAGAATTCCCTGAATGTGAAAGTAGATCAAAGGCACTTCTCACTTTCTTTAAAATTTATCTCAGAATCCAACTTTATTTGCAAATGATTATACCTTCAACTAGAAACCTCTTGTAGCTTAAAGGATCCTCCATAAGACTTACAAGAGGAATCTGAACTTCTAAACCACACCGGAACTAGAAAATGTTAGCTTGTACTATCCCGAACATTGACTCTTGAAACAAGCCTGGCTCTTGCAATTGTTAACAGGTGGCTCTTTAGAACTATTCATGTCTTCTCAACATATCCTGGTATCCTGAACTCCACAGGATAGGCTGTAATCATAAAAGGTAATTTCAGTTACTGTTTCACACTTGGTCCTAGGGTCACATAACTGTAAGTTTTGCTGCTTTAGATTCCCAAGTATTGGCTAGAGAAGCTCAAGACTGCTCTCTGTGTAAATGACAGGAGACAGGATGCAGGGAAATTCTGGGCAGAAGAGGGTGGGTCCCCAGCAAGGAACCCACCCTCAAACCTGGAACCACAGCCCAAAATGAAAACTTTCATTCCTGTTTTCCCACTCAAATGTTGCCTTTTCCAAAACCACCCATGGCCCTCCCAAGCCCCCATACTGCACCCAGAAAAACCCCAGGCTCAGCTGGCAGAGAGAAGAGAAGCAGCTGGATGTGGTAGAGAGAGGTGGCTTGACTTCAGAGGGATGGCTTGACAATGTAGCTTCAAAGAGGAATACAGCCAGGGATAGCCAGACTTCAGGAGAAAATTACCTTCCTGTTCTGTCCCCTTTTCGGCTCCCCCTCCTGCTGAGAGCCGCTTTTATCAGCAATAAAATCCCCCACATTTACCACCTTCAATTTGTTCATATGGCCTCATTCCTCCTGGCTGCTGGACAAGAACTCAGGTGCCATGAGTGCGGATACAAAAGGCTGTCACACTGACCCTCCACTGAGCTGTTAACACTTAAGCCATCTGTGGCAGCAAAGCTAAAAGAGCACTGTAACACTCCTGAGGCTTCAGGGGTCACGGGCGTCCCCCCAGATGCTGTCATGGGGTCCGCATGCAGTTTTGCTCCTGCCAGCGGCCAAAAGCACTAGCCCCAGCTCCTGCACCCCCTCACCTACATGCTCCCCATCCCATGAGGGATGAAGTGCTGCAGGTCCGAGCGAGTGGAATTCACCCCCTGCCAGTGCCAAAGCAGTCGGCTAGTTCTAGCACCTTGGCACTCCAGTTCCCACCCGTGAAGGGGTCAGGGAGATATCCTGCTTCACAAACAGCTCATCCTCAAGGAAAAAAGAGCACTAACGTATATTGTCCAAGTTAAAGAACAGCAAATCTTGTCAGTTCTACCTTCAAATAGAAATCCAGAATTTGACCTCTAATTGCTTCCTTCACCAACACAATTCGGATAAAAGTTACCATCATTTCTCTCCTGGATTTTGGTAATATGTTCTATCTCCATGTTTCTGCCCTTGACACATATAGTCTAATCTCAACACAGCACCAGTGTGTCCTTGTAAAATATGTCTGATGATGTCATTTCCTCAGCTGAAAATCACCCAATTGATTATCAGCTCCTTTAGAGTAAAATCCAAAGTACAAACAATGGTTTCAAAGCTCTACACCACCTGCTTCCCATCCCCTTTCTCTCAGTCCTCAATGTATCTTTCTCTCCCATACTCTCCTCTTCTCTCACCTTCCCTAAGCCACATTGCCCTCCTTACTGTTCCTTAAATACACCAAGCTCTACCTGCCTCTGAGCCACTGACCTTGCTGTTCCTCTCCAGGCATGCTCTACCCACTCCCTCCCGTAGCTGTAGGGCTCAATTCAATTTCTGACTTCCTCATGTCTTTCCTGCCCTCCCTAGACAAAATAGCAACACCCTCCTAGTCAGTACCCCCGAGTTTTTCACCCAGCCCTCCCTATTTCCCTCACCTTTCTTTTTCTCTATAACCTTTATCACTATCTGCCATTAGATATTTACTTTATTCGTTTACCATTTGTCCCACTACCCTGTAAGTTCCTTTAGGGCAGAGACTTGATACGTTTTGTTTACTTCTGTATCTCTAAGTCCTTGATGCCAGATACATTGTAGTCATTCAATAATTATTTGTTGGATGAATTTTTAAAATCTCTAGAAAAATACCATTGGCTTTCATTTCAACATTATTGAAACATATCCTCCACTTCCAAATTATTCCCACTGCTTTATAAGTGATCCCAGTGGCAGCAACTCATCCTAGATGTCCCTTCATCCTCAAATCTTCCATTTTCCTCATGCTTCAACATTTTTTCTGCCTTCATAGCCATCAAATATTAACAATCCTTCAAGTCCTCTGGGAACCACCTTTCTCCTCATCTGACTACACTGCCTTGCACATAAAAGGAGATCAGTTACTAGATGTTAAATGACTGAAGGTGGCAGTTTGCCAGCCTGTGATAATGAAACGGCCCTCCTGTCCCTCCAAGGCAGCATGCACACTTCAACAAGAGCCTCCAGGAGACCTTGCACCAATGCTTTAACACAAAAGTTATTGTTAAAAAAGAGGATGCCAAGATAAAGCAGGATGAGTTTAGACCCAGGGCAGGTAGTTCGGAAGGAGGACCTTGTAGTCTCCCTAAGGAAATTTATGAATACAACTGTCTGAATCACTTATTTAACAAATAATACGCTATTTGGCTTTTCATTTATCATGCTAAAGGAGATCCTATTTGTAAGAAACAGTAATGAATAAATTCTGCAAAATAATGTAAAGCTGAAAACATTTGCCCTCTTGTCCTTAAGTGCACAAAAGCTCACTCTGACCCAGAGAAGTAATTCCAAGGACAGAGGTATGCAAACATTTGCATGGAAAGAAAGCACACCATGTTTGGTTAACTTTTAGAGAAGTGCACACTTCTGCTTACAAGCTTTATATTTGATGTATGCAGAAGTTGTTACAAAAATAAATATGTCATAATAAGGAGGATCCTGGAGAAGAGTTCAGAACCATCTTTAAATGCAAAAGTATCCACTATATTAAATCCTAGAGATCCACTGTGAAAGATTGTTTCTATAGTGAATAATACTGTATTGTACACTTAAAATTTTGTTAAAAGGGTAAATCTCATGTTAAGTGTTCTGACACAATATTTTCTAAAAGGACACGGTATTGTGGGTCCACAATGTATGTTGTTGTGTTGATGTAATGGTGATTTATGTTGATTAGAAATTCTATAAAAACAAAATAGTAAGTACTATTGTTACTGCTAAAAGCAACTTTACCAGGGAATAAAAGTGGATTCTCAACAAACTCTGTGCTTGGTATTGCACTGGGAACTATAAATTCCAGGCTGGAAAAGTATATAATACACAGAAAATGGAAAGAATGGGATGAGAATGACAAGTAACTGCTGAAGAGGGATCTTAAAACTGCTTTGACCTGAAAACCATTTCAGAAACAAGACTAGTGATTTACAAACTGAAACACAGATATAAAAATATATTTGGGTCATCTATTTTCCTAGATCTTTCTGACAACACTGCCATCTGGAGACTTGGTTTGACCAAGGACACGAGATCTTAAGGAAACTTAGATACCGACACTGAAAAGGTTGCTGATGAAGTCCTACTTCTCTCATTACTCTTATGCTGTTTATCACTAGAGCAAAGAGACAACAAAACACTTGAAAACTGATTTTAAAAAAATTCTAGCTCTGCAAAGTTTCAAGAGTCAAAATAAAGAAAGTCTATAATATTCTAACACAAAATATGGAGCAGTTAGCTGAAGTTTGTGCATTCAGAGGATGTTATTATCTTAGGAGAATTAAGAAAATAATCATAATATACTAAAATCATTTGTAAGAATGCTGGTATTCCTACAAGTGTTCTTTCATTTATAAATTTTATATTCAAGTAAACTGATTTGCTTCCAATCAGCAATACGGTGATTCAAGTAGGATTAAAAGACCTGAGAATTAAAGCATTATGCAATAAACCCATGTTACAAACTTGCACATGAACTCCCTGAATTCAAAACGTTTTTAAAAGACTTGAGAAATAGAGAGCAAATATAACTCATTTCCCCAGGCCTTCCACCACCTGCTCACATAGAACATCAACAATCTCTGAGTTCTTTCCCCAAGTATCCTTGCCAGGCCCCAAGAGGGTTTCAGGAGTGTTTGCAGAGAATCTGATGAGCGCTCCTGCGTAACAATGCTACATCTGCTTGACGCCCCACTCCCACTGGGCTTGATGCTGCTACCACTGTGAATAGTTTTTAAATGACACCTCTTTCCTTGCTAGTCTGCCCTGCAATTTCTGATCTGTCTGCCAGGCATAGCTGCCATTTCTCAGTAGGTCATGCTGGGCATCACCACCACCTAGAGCATAAGCTTCCCAAAGACAAAACTTAAGTGGCGGTCAGTGGTGAAGAAGATCTTCAACCTTGTTTTGTGGTATAGTCACTGAGACAGATGTCAAAGTAGAACTATTTCTTCACTGACCTTATGGAAAAGTCCTGTCCCCAAAAGTTCTTCAGTCTCTTATTCAAACAGACCCTGTAGTCTCCAAGCTGTCTGTAATCTTGCTCAAGTAAAAACTTGGTTAAGAGTTTGGGGGCTGATCCAGGAAGAATGCCAAGTAATAAGTCACACTGATATCAGAGCACTGAGTTATCTGAAGGTCACCATAGATTTCAGCAATGCTGAATTTCATGTTGAAACTGAAAGACTGACACTCCTGTGCTTTTGTGTTCCAGTCTTAAGTACCAAAAACATGCTGTTTTGCTCACCAAATGTCTTAGAGAGATTTTACTTAAAATAGCTTTTTCTGACTTGATTGCTTTTGTTTAACTTTTATTTAACCCCTGTCTCCCTTGTATTTTGTCACTGGCTCCTGTGGCATGGCTAGAGAATAAGTATCAGTGAAAGCACCCAGGCTATTCTCATCACTTTCTAGTCCTTCCCTATTGAGATATTCTTATTGGGCCAGCTTCTGTGTTTTACTCCCTCTTTGTTCACTAACAGAGACTCTTTTCATTTCCAAAATGTTCCAGATGCTTTTGCTTAAATGTTCTCCTGGCAGTTTCCTTCACCAGACCTCCAGGTACCCCCAGTAACGTATGCAGGTCAGATTCAAGCTGGGGCCTCAGTGAAACATGACTGAGGTATTGTGTGGGCCACCAAATCTATTAAGACAAAAAGATGCAATACAAATTCAAAACAGGGTTTAAAGTTTGCCGACTCTGGGTACTTAGGGAGTTATTTGAGGATATAAAGGCTTAGTGCTTTGTAATCACCAATTAGATCTATCAAGGGTTTTATCAGACAAAATCTATCAGAAATTTTTATAGCCTATCCAAAGAACAACAAATAGGAAAAGCAGAGGTAAAAGAAAGTTAATGTTAGGAGACATGGGTTCTGTTTCCACCGATGGCACTAAGAAATCTGAACTCAGGCATGTCACTTTAACACTTTGGTCCCTATTTATCACACAAAAGAACTAGGCTGAGTGACTGTCCAGGACCCTTTCAGTTGTAATAGTTTATTTCAGTAATAATATAATGGTTCTCTAAGTAACCTGGAAAAGGTGGCTGGTCATAAATAAAAGAAAGAAACAGAGCTGCGCCTGGGTTAGTAAGAGGATTGTACAAAGCAGGGGATGTAGGCAGAAAGTGGTTTACACAGCTGACAGTAAGAAGTGAGAGGATGGCAGCCAGCAGGAAGGCACAGGAGCTGCCGTTTCAGTGCAAAATTTATATGAAAATGTGAAAACTGGCACACTGTCCAAACAGCAGTATTTCACTCAATGTAGTAAATTCAAATCAGATAAAAATCACTTTCTCAGAAATCTAAAATACCATATAGATGTTAAAATTCGCTTCATGGATAACATTACAAGTGTGTTTTTTGAGATTAAAGTGCAACTTACAGGGACTCTAGCTAATTTTAAGAAAGAATAAATCGATTTCATGTGGTTCCTTATTTGGTTTAGGATATCCTTTTTTAAAATGTCATCTCGTAGGCAATGGATTTTTCACTTAATCCCAGTGAATGCCAACCATATCAGCAGCTGCCAAAGACAACTCTACCCAGCCTTTTATGTGTGAGAAACCAGCAAGTTAAGCACAGGAGAATCAGCACTTAGAAAGTAGTAATACTTTGGAAGTTTTGTGGAGAAAAAATAAATTCCTTGGGTTTTTTTGAAGGGAAAGATACACACACACGCGCACACACACGCACGCACACACACACACACACCCTCTCCCCTGGCTTGCTTATGAGAGAAATTCTTGCAATCTCTCGTTAGAGAGAGACCGGGGATCTTCCTTGTCCCTGAAAGACAAAAAGGACACTCCCTGTGCCTTCTTCCTTGACTTGCTTCAGTGATAACAGCAGACCAGAAGCCTCACCCTGCATGGAAGATGTAAAAATTCCTCTTGCTTGAACAAAAGAGTGAGCACCCCTAGACCTTCTTCCCTGGCTTGCTCCAGAGATAGATTTTTGCAGTCTCTTATTAGAGGAGGCCTGGGAACCTTCTTGCTCCTGCAAAAGAAAGGGAGCACTCTCTTTCCTTGGCTTGATTTAGGGGTAACTCCAGATCAGAAGGCTCTTCCTGCAAAGAGGGTGTGAAACTCCTGCTTACTTGAAGATACTCCCCATGACTTCTTCCCTGGCTTTCTCCTAGAATAAATTTCTGCCATCTTTCACTAGAGAGAGGATAGGGAACATCTCCATTCCTTAAAGGGAAAGGGAACACTCCCTACATCTTCACTTTTTGTTATTTTATTTTAGATTCAGAGAGTACATGTGCAGGTTTACACATGGATGTGTCGTGTAACAATGAGGTTTGGGCTTTTAGTGAACATGTCACCCAAATAGTGAACATTGTATCCAATAAGTAATTTTTCAACCCTCACTCCTTCCCAGCCTCCCTTCTTTTGGAGTCCCCAGTGTCTGTTATTTCCATCTTTATGTCTATGTGTATTCATTATTTAGCTCCCATTTATTAAATGAGAACATGAGTAAGTAATAATTGATTTGATTTTCTGTTTCTGAGTTATTTCACTTAGGATAATGGCCTCCAAGCTGCATCCATGTTGCTGCAAAGGACATGATTTCATTTTTCATAGCTGCATAGTATTCCATGGTGTATATGTACCACGTTTTCTTTCTCCAATCAACCAATGATGAATACTTAAGTTGATTCCATGAATTTGCTATTAAGAATAGTGCTGCAATAAATATATGAGCTCCCTACACCTTCTTCTGGGCTTGCTCCAGCAATAATTCCAGCCCTACATTCTCTCTGTGGAAAGAGGTTGGAGGCCTCTTCCAGCAAGTATGAAAGAGAAAGCACATTCCCCTCCCCACTTCCACTGGCCCTGTACCTTCTTTCCTGGCTTACTCCAGAGATAAATTCCTGAATCTCTCATTAGAGGGAGACAGGAGGACTACTCCATGCCTGAAAGAGAAAGTGGGCACTCCTTGTGCCTTTCTCCCTGACTTGCTTCAGTGTTAACTCCAGACCAGAAGATTCCCCCTGCTGGAAGATTATGAGACTTTGCTTTCTCAAACAGGAGAGTGGGACTTCCTGTACCCTCTTCCCTGGCTTGTTCTGGTGATACATCCAGATCCAAAGACTCTCCTTGGAAATAGTTTCTGCATGCTCAACTCTTACAGCTTTCATCCAAAGGACTAGCTCCTAAATCACCTAGCTGTAGTTGTTGACAGAGTTCTGCACTCCTGAGTCTCTTAGGCCACAGAGAACAAAAAGGTGACTTTTAAACTTGCAAATATTTAATAGCTATCTCCGCAGGTCCAAAATGAGTAGTCTGATCAAGAGCATAGGTATGTACCTCAGAACTTCTTTGTGTAGGGCAGAACAAGTAGGAGATAAACTCTGGCACTCAGCTTCTCTGCAAAGAAAGAGGGAACTAGAACACATATCTAACATTCCAAATGTCTCCATCTGCATCCCAAAGGACTGGTTTCTATTCCATCTCTCTAAAGACAATAGAACAGCTTGACACTCTTTAATTTCCTAGAGGCCACTATGAACAAAGACAGCAGGTAGGGCAAGTACAAAGAGTTTAGAGGCATCTAGAATCCCTGGTTAGGCTGATTGAAGAGTAATGTCTCCTAAATGAGACCAGTCTAAGAAGAATGGTAAAGGTGGTTCTTTTATCCAATGTACAGAAACCATCATGAAGAGTCAAGCAAAACAAGAAAACAGAGACATATGTTCCAAATAAAAGAACAAAATATATCTCCAGAAGCCAGCTCTAAAGAAATGAAGATATGTTAGTTACTTGACAGAGAATTCAAAAGGACATTTATAAAGATACTCAGGTAAGGAAAGCAATGCATAAACAAATTAAGCACATCAACAAAGAGATTAAAAAATATTTTAAAGTACCAAACATCAAGCGGAATAACCTAATAATTAACCTCAAGAATTCAATAGAGAGAGTCAATAGCATACTAGATCAAGTAGAAGAAGGAATTAGTAAACTTGAAGATAGGTCATTAAAAATTATCCAATCTGAGGAGTAAGAAGAAAAAGAACAAAAAATTGAGTGGCAATAACCTAAGGGACCTATGTGACACTATTAAGTGGAATAACATATGCATTATTGGTGTACCAGAAGAAGAAGAGAGAAAGGGACATAAAAATATATTCAAAGAAATAATGGCAGAAAACTTCCCAAGTCTGGGAAAAAAAAAACAAAAATCCAGATCCAGGAAGCTCAACAGCCATCTAATCAGATAAATACAAACATACCCATACTGAAATGTGGTATAATCAAATTGTCAAAAGTTAAATACAAAGAAAGAATATTGGAAAGCTTCAAGGGAAAAGCAACTTGTTACATACAAGGGGACTCCTATAAATCATCAGTGGGTATTCCAGCAGAAACCCTGCAGGACAGAAGGAATAGGGTGATATATTCAAAAGGCTGGAAGAAAAACTTCCAGCCAAGGAAGAAAAACTTCCAGCCAAGAATACTATACCCCTCAATCCTGTCCTTAAAAAACGAAGAGAAGAGCAAAACTTTCTTAAACTAAAGCTGAGGGAATTTATCACCACTAGACTGCTCTTACAACAAATGATAAAAGGAGTCCATCAAACTAAATAGCAACATAAAAATATGTGAAAATATAAAACTCACTGGTAAAAGTAAGAATATAGTCAAACTCAGAATACTCATTTACTGTAATGGTGGTATAAAAATCAATTATATACTTCTAGTAGGAAGGTAAAAAGAAAAAAACTTAAAAACAACTATAGCTACAAAAATTTCAGGGATAAAAACTATAAAAGATTTTTTTAAAGTGTCAACAGAAACAAACTGAAGGCAAGTAAAATTGTAGCATTTGCATAAGTGATAAAGTTAAGTCATTATCAGCTTAAAAAGCAAAAATTCTTAGTGGATACACAAAAGATTGAAAGAAAGGATTCAAGGCATACTACCACAGAAAATCATCAAATCACAATAGAAGACAGCAAGAGAGGAAGAGATGAACAAAGGGTCTACAAACTAACCAGAAGACAATTAACAAAATGGCAATAGTAAGATCTAAGTTATCAATAATTACTGGATGGATTAAATTTTTCAATCCAAAGACAGCAAGTGGCTAAATGGAACAAAACCTAAATATATCCTAACTATATACTGCCTATGAGAGACTCGGTTCACCTCTAAGCACACACATAGACTAAAAATGAAAGGAAGAACAAAGATATTCTTTGCAAATGGAAACTAAAAGAGAATGAGGAGAGCTATACTTAGAAAAGATAGACTTGAAGTTGAAAGCTATAAAAAGAGACAAAAAGGTCATTATATAATGATAAAGGGGTCAATATACCAAGCAGACATAAGAATTGTAAGCATACATTCACTAACATTGGAACACCTAAATATATAAAGCAAATATTAATAGATATGAAAGGAGAGAAAGACTGCAATCAATAATAGGAGGAGACTTCAATACCCCACTTTCAACAATGGACAGAGCATCCAGACAGAAAATCAATAAGGAAACACTGTATTTCAACAACACTTTAGACCAAATGAACCTAACAGATATTTACAGAACATTTCATCCAACGGCAGCCAAATACACATTCCTCTCAAGTCCACAGAAAACATTCTCCAGAATAGATAATATGTTAGTCCACAAAACAAGTCTCAACAAATTTAAGAAGAATGAAACAGAAAGACAGCCCAAAAAAAATCCATATATTTATGGTCAGTCAAATTTTGGCAAAGGTATCAAGATCACACAATGAGGAAAGGAAAAAGTCTCTAATAAATAGTATTAGAAACACTGAATATCCACATGAAGAAGAATGAAATTGAACCCTCATAACATATACAAAATCAGCTCAAAATGAACAAAATACTTAAATGTAAGATCTGAAACTGTAAAGTTTCCTGGAAGAAAACATACGACAACATCTCCATGTTGTAAGACTGGGCAATAATTACTTGGATAGGACTCTAAAAGCACAGGCAACAAAAGCAGAAATAGACACATGGGACTATATCAAACTAAAAAGCTTCTGCACAACAAAGGAAACAATTAACAGAATGGAGAGGCAATTCATGGGTTGGGGAAAATATTTGTAAACCATACATCTGATAAGGGGCTAATATTCAAAATATATAAGGAACTCAAACAACTCAATAGCAATAAAACAAATAACCAAATTTAAAAATAGGCATAGGATAGGAACAAATCCAGTCTACGGCTCCCAGCATGAGCGATACAGAAGACAGGTGATTTCTGCATTTCCAACTGAGGTAACAGATTCACCTCACTGGGACTTGTGGGAGAGTGGGTGCAGCCCACGGAGTGTGAGCCAAAGCAGGGTGGGGCATCGCCTCACCTGGGAAGTGCAAGAGGTTGGGGAATTCCCTTTCCTAGCCAAGGGAAGCCGTGGCAGGTGGTACCTGGAAAATTGGGATACTTCCACCCTAATACTGTGCTTTTCCAATGGTCTTAGCAAACAGCACACCAGGAGATCATATCCCATGCCTGGCTCGGAGGGTTCCATGCCCATGGAACCTTGCTCACTGCTAGCACAGCAGTCCCAGATCAAACTGCAAGGTGGCAGCAAGGCTGGGGAAGGGGCATCTGCCATTGCTGAGGCTTGAGTAGGTAAACAAAGTGGCCGGGAAGCTCGAACTGGACGGAGCCCACCACAGCTCAAGGAGGCCTGCCTGCCTCTGTAGACTCCACCTCTGGGGCGCAGGGCATAGCTGAACAAAAGGAAGCAGGAACTTAAACATCTCTGTCTGACAACTTTGAAGAGAGTAGTGGTTCTCCCAGCACAGAGTTTGAGATCTGAGAACAGACAGACTGCCTCCTCAAGTGGGTCCCTGACTCCCAAGTAGCCTAACTGGGAGACATCTCACAGTAGGGGCTGACTGACACCTCATACAGCCAGGTGCCCCTCTGAGACGAAGCTTCCAGAGGAAGGATCAGGCAACAACATTTGCTGTTCTGCAATATTTGCTGTTCTGCAGCCTCTGCGGGTGATACCCAGGCAAACAGGGTCTGGAGTGGACCTCCAGCAAACTCCAGCAGACCTGCAGCTGAGGGTCCTGAATGTTAGAAGGAAAACTAATAAACAGAAAGGAATAGCATCAACATCAACAAAAAGACATCCACACCAAAAGCCCATCTGTAGGTCACCATCATCAAAGCCCAAAGGTAGATAAAACCACAAAGATGGGGAGAAACCGAGCAGAAAAGTAGAAAATTCTAAAAATCAAAGCGCCTCTTCTCCTCCAAAGGAACGCAGCTCCTCGCCAGCAACAGAACAAAGCTGGATGGAGAATGACTTTGACAAGCTGACAGAAGTAGGCTTCAGAAGAACAGTAATAACTCACTTCTCTGAGCTAAAGGAGGATGTTCGAACCCATCGCAAAGAAGCTAAAAACGTTGAAAAAAATTAGACGAATGGCTAACTAGAATAAACAGCATAGAGAACACCTTAAGTGACTTGATGGAGCTGAAAACCATGGCACAAGAATTACGTGACGCATGCACAAGCTTCAGTAGCCGATTCGATCAAATGGAAGAAAGGGTATCAGTGATTGAAGATCAAATGAATGAAATGAAGCGAGAAGAGAAGTTTAGAGAAAAAAGAGTAAAAAGAAACGAACAAAGCCTCCAAGAAATATGGGACTATGTTAAAAGACCAAATCTACATCTGATTGGTGCACCTGAAAGTGACAGGGAGAATGGAACCAACTTGGAAAACACTCTTAAGGATATTATCAAGGAGAACGTCCTCAACCTAGCAAGGCAGGCCAACATTCAAATTCAGGAAATACAGAGAATGCCACAAAGATACTCCTCAAGAAAAGCAACCCCAAGACACATAATTGTCAGATATACGAAGGTTGAAATGAAAGAAAAAATGTTAAGGGCAGCCAGAGAGAAAGGTCGGGTTACCCACAAAGGGAAGCCCATCAGACTAACAGCAAATCTCTCAGCAGAAACTCTACAAGCCAGAAGAGAGTGGGGGCTAACATTCAACATTCTTAAAGAAAAGAATTGTTAACCCAGAATTTCCTATCCAGCCAAACTAAGCTTTATAAGTGAAGGAGAAATAAAATCCTTTACAGACAAGCAAATGTTGAGAGATTTTGTCACCACCAGGCCTGCCTTACTAGAGCTCCTAAAGGAAGCACTAAACATGGAAAGGAACAACCGGTACCAGCCACTGCAAAAACCTGCCAAACTGTAAAGACCATCAAGGCTAGGAAGAAACTGCATCAACTAATGAGCAAAATAACCAGCTAACATCACAATGACAGGATCGAATTCACACATAACAATACTAACCTTAAATGTAAATGGTCTAAATGCCCCAGTTAAAAGACACAGACTGGCAAATTGGCTAAAGAGTCAAGACCCATCAGTGTGCTGTATTCAGGAGACCCATCTCACATGCAGAGATACACATAGGCTCAAAATAAAGGGATGGAGGAAGATATACCAAGCAAATGGAAAAACAAAAAAAAGCAGGGGTTGCAGTCCTAGTCTCTGATAAAACAGACTTTAAATCAACAAAGATCAAAAGAGACAAAGAAGGCCATTACATAATGGAAAAGGGATCAATTCAACAAGAAGAGCTAACTATCCTAAATATATATGCACCCAATACAGAAGCAGCCAGATTCATAAAGCAAGTCCTTAGAGACCTGCAAAGAGACTTAGACTCCCACACAATAATAATGGGAGACTTTAACACCCCACTGTCAACATTAGACAGATCAATGAGACAGATGGTTAACAAGGATATCCAGGACTTGAACTCAGCTCTGCACCAAGCAGACCTAATAGACATCTACAGAACTCTCCACCCCAAATCAACAGAATATACATTCGTCTCAACATCACATCACACTTATTCCATAACTGACCACATAGTTGGAAGTAAAGCGCTCCACAGCAAATGTAAAAGAACAGAAAATATAACAGTCTCTCAGATCACAGTGCAATCAAATTAGATCTCAGGATTAAGAAACTCACTCAAAATCACACAACTACATGGAAACTGAACAATCCGCTCCTGAATGACTACTGGGTAAATAGCGAAATGAAGGCAGAAATAAAGATGTTCTTTGAAACCAATGAGAACAAAGGCACAACGTACCAGAATCTCTGAGACACATTTAAAGCAGTGGGTAGAGGGAAATTTATCGCACTAAATGCCCACCAAAGAAAGCAGGAAAGATCTAAATTCGACACCCTAACATCACAATTAAAAGAACTAGAGAAGCAAGAGCAAATGCATTCAAAAGCTAGCAGAAGTCAAGAAATAACTAAGATCAGAGCAGAACTAAAGGAAATAGAGACACAAAAAACCCTTCAGGAAAAAAATCAATGAATCCAGGAGCTTGTTTTTTTTTTTTTTTTGAAAAGATCAACAAAATTGATAGACCGCTAGCAAGACTAATAAAGAAGAAAAGACAGAAGAATCAAATAGACACAATAAAAAATGATAAAGGGGATATCACCACCGATCCCGCAGAAATACAAACTACCATCAGAGAATACTATAAACACCTCTACTCAAATAAACTAGAAAATCTAGAAGAAATGGATAAATTCCTGAACACATGCACCCTCCCAAGACTAAACCAGGAAGAAGTTGAATCCCTGAATAGACCAATAACAGGCTCTGAAATTGAGGCAATAATTAATAGCCTACCAAGCAAGAAAAGTCCAGGACCAGACAGATTCACAGTCGAATTCTACCAGAGGTACAAAGAAGAGATGGTACCATTCCTTTTGAAACTATGGCAATCAATAGAAAAATAGGGAATCCTCCCTAACTCATTTTATGAGGCCAGCATCATCCTTATACCAAAGCCTGGCAGAGACACACACACAAAAAAGAGAATTTTAGACCAATATCCCTGATGAACATCGATGCAAAAATCCTCAATAAAATACTGACAAACCGAATCCAGCAGCACATCAAAAAGCTTATCCAACATGATCAACTGGGCTTCATCCCTGGGATGCAAGGCTGGTTCAACATACACAAATCAATAAACGTAATCCATCATATAAACAGAACCAAAGACAAAAACCACATGATTATCTCAATAGATGCAGAAAAGGCCTTTGACAAATTCAACAACACTTCATGCTAAAAACTCTCAATAAACTAGGTATTGATGGGATGTATCTCAAAATAATAAAAACTATTTATGAAAAACCCACTGTCAGTATCATGCTGAATGGGCAAAAACTGGAAGCATTCCCTTTGAAAACTGGCACAAGACAGGGATGCCCTCTCTCACCACTCCTACTCAATATAGTGTTGGAAGTTCTGGCCAGGGCAATTAGGCAGGAGAAGGAAATAAAGGGTATTCAATTAGGAAAAGAGGAAGTCAAATTGTCCCTGTTTGCAGATGACATGATTATATATCTAGAAAACCCCATTGTCTCAGCCCAAAATCTCCTTAAGCTGATAAGCAACTTCAGAAAAGTCTCAGGATACAAAATTAATGTGCAAAAATCACAAGCATTTCTATACAACAATAACAGACAAACAGAGAGCCAAATCGTGAGTGAACTCCCATTCACAATTGCTTCAAAGAGAATAAAATACCTAGGAATCCAACTTACAAGGGATGGGAAGGCCCTCTTCAAGGAGAAATACAAACCACTGCTCAACAAAATAAAAGAGGACACAAACAAATGGAAGAACATTCCATGCTCATGGGTAGGAAGAATCAATATCATGAAAATGGCCATACTGCCCAAGGTAATTAATAGATTCAATGCCATCCCCATCAAGCTGCCAAGGACTTTCTTCACAGAATTGGAAAAAACTACTTTAAAGTTCATATGGAACCAAAAAAGAGCCTGTATTGCCAAGACAATCCTAAGCAAAAAGAACAAAGCTGGAGGCATCATGCTACCTGACTTCAAACTATACTACAAGGATGTAATAACCAAAACAGCATGGTATTGGTACCAAAACAGAGATATAGACCAATGGAACAGACCAGAGGCCTCAGAAATAATACCACACATCTACAACCATCTGATCTTTGACAAACCTGACAAAAACAAGAAATGGGGAAAGGATTCCCTATTTAATAAATGGTGCTGGCAAAACTGGCTAGCCATATGTAGAAAGCTGAAACTGGATCCCTTCCTTACACCTTATACAAAAATTAATTCAAGATGGATTAAAGACTTAAATGGTAGGCCTAAAACCATAAAAACCCTAGAAGAAAACCTAGGCAATACCATTCAGGACATAAGCATGTGCAAGGACTTCATGACTAAAACACCAAAAGCAATGGCAACAAAAGCCACAATTGACAAATGGGATCTAATTAAACTAAAAAGCTTCTGCACATCAAAAGAAACTACCGTCAGAGTGAACAGGCATCCTACAGAATGGGAGAAAATTTTTGCAATCTACCCATCTGACATAAGGCTAATATCCAGAATCTACAAAGAACTTAAACAAATTTACAAGAAAAAATCGAACAACCCCATCAAAAAGTGGGCAAAGGATATGAACAGACACTTCTCAAAAGAAGACATTTATGCAGCCAAAAGACACATGAAAAAATGCTCATCATCACCGGCCATCAAACAAATGCAAATCAAAACCACAATGAGATACCATCTCACACCAGTTAGAATGGTGATCATTGAAAAGTCAGGAAACAACAGGTGCTGGAGAGGATGTGGAGAAATAGGAACACTTTTATGCTGTTGGTGGGACTGTAAACTAGTTCAACCATTGTGGAAGACAGGGTGGCAATTCCTCAAGGATCTAGAACTAGAAATACCATTTGACCCAGCCATCCCATTACTGGGTATATACCCAAAGGATTATAAATCATGCTGCTATAAAGACACATGCACACGTATGTTTATTGTGGCACTATTCACAATAGCAAAGACTTGGAACAAACCCAAATGTCCATCAGTGATAGACTGGATTAAGAAAATGTGGCACATATACACCACGGAATACTATGCAGCCATAAAAAATGAGTTCATGTCCTTTGTAGGGACATGGATGAAGCTGGAAACCATCATTCTGAGCAAACTATCGCGAGGACAGAAAACCAAACACTGCATGTTCTCACCCATAGGTGAGAAGTGAACAATGAGAACATGTGGACATAGGTTGGGGAACATCACACACCGGGGCCTGTTGTGGGGTGGGGGGAGGGGGGAGGGATAGCATTAGGAGAAATGCCTAATGTAAAGGATGAGTTAATGGGTGCAGCACACCAACAAGGCACATGTATACATATGTAACAAACCTGCACGTTGTGCACATGTACCCTAGAACTTAAAGTATAATAAAAAAAACTGGGCAAAGGATCTAAATAGACATTTCTTAAGAAATACTAATGGCCAACAGATATATATGAAAAAAACCCAACATTTCTAAACATCAGAGAAATGTTAATTAAAACCACAATGAGATATAATCTCACACCTGTTAGAATTACTATTATCAAAGAATAATAGCAAATGTTGGCAAGGATATGGATAAAAGGGAATCCTTATTAACTATTGGTGGAAGTGTAAATTAGTACAGCCTTTTTGGAAAATAGTATAGAGGTTCCTCAAAAAACTAAAAATATATACACACTTCTGGGTATATATTTAAAGGAATTGAAATCAATATGTCAAAGAGATATCTGCACTCCCTGGTTTATTTTAGCATCATTCACAATAGGCAAAATATGGAAGCAACCTAATTGCTCATCAACAGATGAATGGATAAAGAAAATGTGGTACATATATACACAATGGAATACTATTCAGCCTTTAAAAAAGGAGATTCTGTCACTCACAACAACATAGATGGAACTGGAGAACATTATGCTAAGTGATGTAAGTCAGACATAGAAAGACAAATATTATGATCCCACTCTTAATGTGGAATCTAAAAAAGTTGATCTCATAGAAACAGAGATTAGAAAGGTGGTTACCAGACACTAGGAAGAGGAAAAGGATAGGGAAAGGGAAAATGTTGATCAAAGGGTACAAAGCTTTAGTTAGACTGGAGAAATAAGTTTTAATGATCTATTGAACTGCATGGTGACCACAGTTAATAATAATGTATCATATATTATAAAACTGCTAAAAGAATTTTTAATGTTCCCACCACAAAAAAGGGTAAATTGGTGAGCTGATGGATATGTTAATTAACTTGACTGAATCTTTCTGTAACGTATTCATAGATCAAAACATCATATTGTACCTCCATAAATAACAATTATGTGTCAATTAAAAATAAAATTTAAAAAAATTTTAAAGATACACACACACACACACACACACACTCTCTCTCTCTCTCTCTCTCTCTCAACATATTCAGTCTTCCTGACAAATGTTTTGCTCATCTTCAAGGAATCCAGAGAGATTTTCAAGGCCTCAACTAGAAGTATTGAAACCAGAAGAAAACAAAATTAGTCAAAATATTGGCAGGGCTGATAATTAGCTGTATATAGAATCATAAACCTTAAAAGAGTACAGTAAGAGAGGTGTTTTGATTTATAGTAACATGTACATGACCATTAAAATTGGGAAGCCCAGACACAACGGTAACTTATGTGGTTAGATTTGTCTTTACTATTCAGCACATTTTATGGTTTAAGAAAGGAAATTGGAATTCAAATGTGAATTTCAGTTTCGTGGCACCTTATTAAAATTATAATGAAAAATTCAATTCCTCTGCTTGAAACATCAGCATATAATGACCTGCACAAAGGGAAAGAAAAAGTACAAAAGAGAAAAAATCCATTTCACTATAATAAAGTAGAAAGAATACAAGATTGAGAGTCAGAAGACCTGGATTCTGTTCCTGACTCTTCTACTAACTGGCTGTCTTATTTGGGCAAATCATTTTCTCTGCGCCTCCATTTTCTCACTTGTAAAATATGGGAACTGGTTCAGGTGAATACAGTTCTGCGATCACCAGTGTCAGACCTCACAGCACTTTCTGTACCAATAGAGTCAATATTAAATTACCAAATACTCTTGCATAACAGGAAACAGCATTTCATTAAATCCACCACCTCCCACGGAGTCTGAGGTGGACAGACGAGCCCACATACTCGGTGTATTATGCTTCCTGTTGATCACAAGTCATTCATTCATTCATTTATTTTGAGACAGAGTCTCACTCAGTCGCCCAGGCTGAAGTACAGTGGCACCATCTCGGCTCACTGTAACCTCTGCCTCCCGGGTTCAAGTGATTCTCCTGCCTCAGCCTCCCGAGAAGCTGGGATTACAGGCACCTGCTACCACACCCAGCTAATTTTTTTGTATTTTTAGTAGAGACAGGGTTTCACCGTGTTAGTGGGGATAGTCTTGATCTCCTGTCCTCGTGATCCGCCTGCCTCGGCCTCCCCAAGTGCTGGAATTACAGGTGTGAGCCACTGCGCCCGGCTCTGAACATCTACTCTACTCTTGTTCGGAGTCTAAGGGTAGACGAAAAGGAACAACACTGTTAATATTTCAAGAAATTATATTGTCACTATTAGTAATCTATCTAATGCTATGCTCACATCTTCTTTACCTTTCTATGTATGTCCTGATATGCAATTTTATTACATTGAAAGATTTATGTGCAATATTCAATAGTTTTCCTATTCAGATGGTAAGATGCAGCATAATTATGATAAACATCATCTAGCATGCCACCTGCCTGGAATCCTGGAATATTACAAATGGAAAAGGCAGACATGCAATTAGACATTTGGCTACACTAAGTGAATACTGAAAAAATGTACATGTTTACTTGTAGGGGTTTTGTATTCCTATTTTGAGAAAAATAATTGTTTAGCCTCTTTACCCAGGTTCCCATTTGTTTCACCCAGGTCTGCGATAATCATCTTCTGTTTTAGAAATACAGAGAATCCAACATCATGTATTCTATTAACTCACAACTAGCAAAATAAATTAGACACATAATTCTTTCAATTAATATATACGTTTATTTTTCTTATCTGTTGAATATTTTATTTGATAACAAAAAAATTGTACAAGTCATCTTGCATTTTCTTTTTTTTGTTTGTTTGGTTTTTTTTTTGTTTTTTTTTTTTTAATTTTATTTTTATTGATCATTCTTGGGTGTTTCTCACAGAGAGGGATTTGGCAGGGTCATAGGACAATAGTGGAGGGAAGGTCAGCAGATAAACAAGTGAACAAAGGTCTCTGGTTTTCCTAGGCAGAGGACCCTGCGGCCTTCCGCAGTGTTTGTGTCCCTGGGTACTTGAGATTAGGGAGTGGTGATGACTCTTAACGAGCATGATGCCTTCAAGCATCTGTTTAACAAAGCACATCTTGCACCGCCCTTAATCCATTTAACCCTGAGTGGACACAGCACATGTTTCAGAGAGCACAGGGTTGGGGGTTAAGGTCACAGATCAACAGGATCCCAAGGCAGAATCTTTCTTAGTACAGAAAAAAATGAAAAGTCTCCCATGTCTACTTCTTTCCACACAGACACGGCAACCATCCGATTTCTCAATCTTTTTCCCACCTTTCCCCGCTTTCTATTCCACAAAACCACCATTGTCATCATGGCCCGTTCTCAATGGGCTGTTGGTCACACCTCCCAGACGGGGTGGTGGCCGGGCAGAGGGGCTCCTCACTTCCCAGTAGGGGCGGCCGGGCAGAGGCGCCCCTCACCTCCCGGACGAGGCGGCTGGCCGGGCAGGGGGCTGACCCCCCCACCTCCCTCCCGGACGGGGCGGCTGACCGGGTGGGGGGCTGACCCCCCACCTCCCTCCCGGACGGGGCGGCTGGCCAGGCGGGGGGCTGACCCCCCAACCTCCCTCCCGGAAGGGGCGGCTGGCCGGGCAGAGGGGCTCCTCACTTCCCAGTAGGGGTGGCCGGGCAGAGGCGCCCCTCACCTCCCGGACGGGGCGGCTGGCCGGGCGGGGGCCTGACCCCCCACCTCCCTCCCGGACGGGGCGGCTGGCCGGGCAGAGGGGCTCCTCACTTCCCAGTACAGGCAGCCGGGCAGAGGCGCCCCTCACCTCCCGGGCGAGACAGCTGGCCGGGCGGGGGGCTGACCCCCCCACCTCCCTCCCGGACGGGGCGGCTGGCCGGGCGGGGGGCTGACCCCCCACCTCCCTCCCGGACGGGGCGGCTGGCCGGGCGGGGGGCTGACCCCCCACCTCCCTCCCGGACGGGGCGGCTGGCCGGGCGGGGGGCTGACCCCCCCACCTCCCTCCCGGACTGGGCGACTGGCCAGGCGGGGGGCTGACCCCCCAACCTCCCTCCCGGAAGGGGCGGCTGGCCGGGCAGAGGGGCTCCTCACTTCCCAGTAGGGGTGGCCGGGCAGAGGCGCCCCTCACCTCCCGGACGGGGCGGCTGGCTGGGCGGGGGGCTGACCCCCCACCTCCCTCCCGGATGGGGCGGCTGGCCAGGCGGGGGGCTGACCCCCCCACCTCCCTCCCGGACGGGGCGGCTGGCCGGGCAGAGGGGCTCCTCACTTCCCAGTAGGGGCAGCTGAGCAGAGGCGCCCCTCACCTCCCGGACGAGGCGGCTGGCCGGGGGGGGGGCGGGCCCCCCCACCTCCCTCCCGGACGGGGCGGCTGGCTGGGCGGGGGGCTGACCTCCCCACCTCCCTCCCGGACTGGGCGACTGGCCAGGCGGGGGGCTGACCCCCCAACCTCCCTCCCGGAAGGGGCGGCTGGCCGGGCAGAGGGGCTCCTCACTTCCCAGTAGGGGCGGCCGGGCAGAGGCGCCCCTCACCTCCCGGACGGGGCGGCTGGCCGGGCGGGGGGCTGACCCCCCACCTCCCTCCCGGATGGGGCGGCTGGCCGGGCGGGGGGCTGACCCCCCCACCTCCCTCCCGGACAGGGTGGCTGGCCGGGCAGAGGGGCTCCTCACTTCCCAGTAGGGGCAGCTGGGCAGAGGCGCCCCTCACTGGCCGGGCGGGGGGCTGACCCCCCCACCTCCCTCCCGGACGGGGCGGCTGGCCGGGTGGGGGGCTGACCCCACACCTCCCTCCCAGACGGCAGACGGGGTGGCTGGCCTGGCGGGGGCTGACCCCCACCTCCCTCCTGGACAGGGCGGCTGCCGGGCGGAGACGCTCCTCACTTCCCAGATGGGGTGGCTGCCGGGCGCAGGGGCTCCTCACTTCTCAGATGGGGCGGCTGCCGGGCGGAGGGTCTCCTCACTTCTCAGACGGGGTGGTTGCCAGGCGGAGGGTCTCCTCCCTTCTCAGATGGGGCGGCTGGGCAGAGGCGCTCCTCACATCCCAGACGGGGCGGTGGCGCAAAGGCACTCCCCACATCTCAGACGATGGGCGGCTGGGCAGAGACGCTCCTCACTTCCTAGATGGGATGGCGGCCGGGAAGAGGCGCTCCTCACTTCCTAGATGGGATGGCGGCCGGGCAGAGACGCTCCTCACTTTCCAGACTGGGCAGCCAGGCAGAGGGGCTCCTAACATCCCAGATGATGGGCGGCCAGGCAGAGACGCTCCTCACTTCCTAGACGGGGTGGCGGCCGGGCAGAGGCTGCACTTTGGGAGGCCAAGGCAGGCGGCTGGGAGGTGGAAGTTGTAGCAAGCCGAGATCACGCCACTGCACTCCATCTTGGGCACCATTGAGCACTGAGTGAACCAGACACTGTCTGCAATCCCGGCACCTCCGGAGGCCCCTTGCATTTTCATATTGCAAATGTGATACGAGGTCACTAGTATTTTTTTTTTTTTTTTTTTGAGATGGAGTTTCGCTCGTCAGCCAGGCTGGAGTGATCTCGGCTCACTGCAACCTCCACCTCCTGGGTTCAAGTAATTCTCCCGCCTCAGCCTCCTGAGTAGTTGGGATTACGGGTAACCGCCACCATGCCCAGCTAGTTTTTGTATTTTTAATAGAGACGGGGTTTTTCCATGTTGGCCAGGCTGCTCTCGAACTCCTGACCTCAGGTGATCCACCCGCCTTGGCCTCCCAAAGTGCTGGGATTACAGGCATGAGCCACCGTGAAACTTAAATCCCACTTTCTTACTCCTGACCTTCATCCCCATTCTCATTTCATAAAAAAGTGAAAAACAACTGATAGTATATTTCTATCTAGTCTCTAAGAAGAAATTATTGAAATAACAAGTTACTTGATGTACATACAGATAAACTTCAACTGTCATTATTTAAATGCTAAGAATTAAAATTTTTTCATATTTGCTTTAAACTTTTCACAAAACACCAAATAAAAATATTTAATACATCAAAAAAATTTTACAAGAAACAGACTCAATGTGGGCTGGGGAAGGGTAGGCTAAAATAGCAGATATTTTTTTCCAACAGATTAAAATTGCAGCCAGGTGTGACGGCTCACGCCTGTAATCCCAGTAACTTGGGAGGTCAAGGCAGAAGGAGAGCTTCAGGCCAGGACAAAAGAGCAAGAGTTTGTCTCTGCTAAACATTTAAAAATTTAAAAATTAGCCAGGCATAGTGGTGCATGTCTGTAGTCCCAGCTACTCTGGAGGCTGAGGCAGGAGGCTCACTTGAGCCCAGGAGTTCAAGGCTGCAGTGAGCTATGATCACATCACTACACTCCAACCTGGGTGACAGTGTGACCCTGTGTCTAAAAAATAAAAAATAAATAAATAAATAGGTAAAACAATAAAATAAATAAAACTGTATTACATTCCTGCTATAGTACTATTTTTCAAATTAGTGAGCCTTCTCATTTAAATATATGTTTAGTTAGTTACTAATATTAATAAATGTTGTAAATACACACAATTTTAAACTCAGAGGATATTTCGCAGTAATACATCCACATGGTTGAGAATCAAGAAGCTAAGCCGACAACATAATTTAAAACTTAAGGACCAATGACTTTGGAACAAGACCACTTGAATTTTTATCCGGCTCCACCGCTTACCAGCATAGTGATTTGGGCAAGTTTAGGAAAAACCTCTCTCTATCTCTGCTAACTCATCTGCAAAACAGAGATAAAAGTGCCTCATAATAATGACTGAAGTGTGAGTGGTCAATGAGTTAACGCATGCAAAATTATTAGAAAAGAGCCAAGAACATACCAAGTGATTAATAATGGTTGGCTAATATCATTTATTACTGTAACAAAATTGGACCGCTTAAGGATTCAGCAGTTCCAACTCACCCCAGCCTGCAATCAACCCATGTGGCTCAAGAACGTCAGGAAAGGTGGAAGCACAACTGGCATGAGATCTGGTAACTCACATTGCTGGTTAATCTAACTACTGCCACCATATTAAACTTAGTTTTAGAGGATCCGAGTAGCCCTGGGTCTGCCACTGGCCTAAAATGTGGAAATTATTTTCTAACCCAAGTTTGCACAATGCTAATATCTGGATGAAAGATTTTTTTAAAAATTGATTTAAACCACCAATCTTACAATCTCTAGGTCTGTTTTTTAATGGGAAATGTAGATACATTTTTATTTACCCCAATGCTTATCATTATGTAGCTTTACAGTGTAAATATCTATATCCATCAAATTAAGAAAAAGCAGTATGTGGATTAAAACTTAACTACTAGGGATAGTGATGCATTCCACAAAGTATTCTAAACTCCTGGGATGCAAAGCAATGTGGAATGGCACATGTCAGAATTATTGGCCAAAAAGATACATTTCCTTATTAACCGGTTTTCATCTTAATATTAGAATTATTTAATTTTTGCATCAAATGCTAAAATTATTTGACAATAACCAACTATTTTATTTGGAATATAGATTCACCTTCAAAAATCACAAGGCCTTTAAAGGTGAGTCACAGTGATAGAGTTTGTAATGAAAAAAAAATACTGAACCCTGATGAGTTTATTTATTTTTTGGCCATAAGTTCCTTTACTAGTTTTCCTGTATTTTTACTTTCTCTCCAAACAAGGTATTAAACTCAGTTAAAAGGAACAGAATAAAGATTCCCATGTCTCCTGCAAACCTTACCATTACTCAGTTTTATTAACCTATATTCTCTATTTGAGCCTTTAGGGGAAAAGTGATTCAAAGGAGTATATGAATGACCTCCGAGTTCAGAACTATTGTGAGGAAACCAGTTCCGCTCCTTATCTCAGGAAGTCTGACCTCTAAAACTTCCACTGCAATATATATCCCTGGAGGGTGGCCTTTGACAATCCCAAAGGCCCTTCCCATCCCACCAACCAATATCAACAAGAAACGTTGACCTTTTCAGCTCAGTGTTATTCAACTTTTCTTCACAGCTGTCAACAACCCTGTACTGCAATTCTGACAGTTTTTAAGTAACCTATTTTTCTCGCCTTGCTGAATCAAATTGTGAGTGTAATTGTATTGAAGTTTGATATGTTCCTGTTACCCACATGTCATTTAAACTCTACTCTGTGTGATTCATATATTGTGTATGAATCTTTATTGAAAATATTTGGAGAAATATTTTCCATTTTTAGAACTATGGAACTATTTTATTTTTAATGAAACCAAGAGTGTGAAGAGTCTACTCTTCTTTCACAATTCTCCTCAACTGTCTTAGAAATAAAAGTTCTAAAAATAAAATATAAACAAGTAGAAAGCAGTCATTTACTTATT
This sequence comes from Homo sapiens, assembly GCF_000001405.40. Classification (NCBI taxonomy): domain Eukaryota; kingdom Metazoa; phylum Chordata; class Mammalia; order Primates; family Hominidae; genus Homo; species Homo sapiens. The sequence continues at coordinate 159,519,821 of NC_000004.12, read as the reverse complement.
TTAATAAACAACTAAATCAAATTTTGTTTACTAACTAAACCAAATTATCTCGGTGGATAAGGCACGCTGCAGTTGGTTGAGTGTGTGAGAAGGTGAAATTAATTTTTTCATGTGACCATGTGCAATTTGCTTCAATGAGGCAGAAGTTCCATAAGTAATACCGTAATGACCTGAAATAGCTGTACAGACTTCTGAAACTCAAAGGGAATAAAATACCCGTTGCGTTCCTCCTCTATGAACACTAAGGGCGCAACACTCAACAAGGAAAATTCCACTAACACAGAGCTTACACTCCTGTAGAGGGGACTGTCCTAGAAACAAAAATTTTAAGGCAGTAAAAACTAAATATGAGGTAAAATGATAGCTAATATTGATTCAATGTAATGTCAAGCACTGTATAATATTTTGTTAATACAGTGTTTTGCCTGTATTAACAGGTTTAACTTTCAAAACCTAATAAGTATATACTATTATAAGAACCATTTTACAGCTGAGAAATAGACAAAAGAAAGATTAAATAACTTCCCGGAAGTTACATCCAGCAAGGGTGAGAGACAGAATTTGAGCTCAATTTATTGAATGCCAAAGTGCTGCTCTTTACCACTGTGCTATTTTGGAGTCACCAGTGCTGCTCAACAAATATTAAAGTTAAGGAGATTGGCCACATGACTTTCTCTGGCCAATGATACATGAATAGCAGTGATGTGTAATTTACAATGAATACTTTAGGAGTCAGGACACAATTCACCACCGAGGTGATCATGGAAGTGTATCTCAAGTAAAGCTGCCATTGCCAGGGTTCCTGAGTAACTACAATGAGCAGAAACCTCCAGCAAACCAACACTGGATATGTAGAACAGGCTGAAATTAAAGATTTGTTACGTTAAATCTACTGAGAATTTGTGATTATTTATTACTAATAGAAAACTAGCCTATCTTGACAAAGATATGCTACCTACATATTATGAGGGTTCATTCATGGTCAATCCAGTTTTGGAAGGGATTCAGGATGAGTATGATTTATCCAGGTAAAGATAGGAAATAGGGAGAGCAAAAAGCATAACTGAAGGCCCAAAAGCAAAGACAGCATGAAGTTTTTGAGAACTTCAAGTGGATGAGAGGACTAAATGTATTCACATTAGGGGATATCCATAAAATGCATAATATTCACATAAAATTTGATTTGTTTGGGGATTGACTTTTTTCTACAATCAGTTTTTTCAAAGTCCTGGTAAATAAAGAGTTCTAAGTTAGTTATTAGTTTACTTAGGGACATCAAATAACCAATTTCATTAAGACAAATGTTGGGAGCTAAAATTCCGTTTAATTTTTGTCACAGAATTACATGACAAAATTTTTGAAATCAGAACAGTTCTGAAGAGCCACACGGTTTGCTGGTGGCCGAGGTCAACTAGCAACTCCTGATTTCCAGCATTTCTTGCATCTTTCTCATTTACTTTTTTTTTTTTTTTTTTTTTTGAGACAGATATTCGCTCTGTTGCCCAGGCTGGAGTGCTGTGTTGTGATCTTGGCTCACTGCAACCTCTGCCTTCTGGGTTCAAGTGATTCTCCTGCCTCAGCCTCCTGAGTAGCTGGGATTACAGGTGCACACAACCAGGCCTGGCTAATTTTTGTATTTTTAGTAGAGACAGGGTTTCACCATGTTGGTCAGGCTGGTCTCAAACTCATGACCTCAGGTGATCCACCTGCCTCGGCCCCCAAAATTGCTGGGATTACCGGTGTGAGCCACCACATCCGGACTTCACTTTTTATTTTTATTTTAAATTCGTAAATACCCAGGGGTAATTTGATAGCATATTAGCTGAAAGACAGGTTTACATATTGCTATAATGTTCATTGAACGTATAAGTATAGATGGTCCCAAATTCTCAATACCCCATCACCAGTAGGCTTAGAATTCCAAGTTGTAAAAGAATTCCCATTAGGAAAGCCTTTTTAAATTATTTGTCACCTTATGTGACAGCTAATGGCATTTTGAGAATTGCACTAATTTATTTCCAAATTTTGATTAGAGACTGCAACCCTTAATGAATACTCTTTTTGTCTAGTTTAAGATAGACATTGGCTACTTACTTTTTATGCACTGAGACCAATATTTCTTTCTCAGTAGAAATCATCTATGAATTATTTAGAAAACTTTGCCAAGGCAAACTGTCTTTGCTAAACAAATATTGCTTTGAAATGGGGTCACTCATTGCAAATTGCATTGGAAAGATATGATAGACATGTGTGTTTACATCAAAAGGGCAGATGTAGTATAATGCAATGAAAGGCAGCAAGATCTACTTATTCAGCAATGAACTCAGAAGCAGGAAGTTTTGTTGAAATATAAATTTGGATCAGAATCTGAGTCTATCTCTGACTCTGTTATGTGCAAATGCAGCCCTGTAATTGCCTATACTCTGCCATTGCCTTTCTGGAGAATTGGGGAATTGATGAGATATTGATGGAAGTTCTACGCAATGAAAGAAACAGTAAAAAAAAAAAAAAAAAAAAAAAAAAAAAAGTGGTAAAAGTTCTATGAATATAGAAATTCTCTCACCATTTGTTTTTAAAGAGTGTCACAATCCCCCTAAATAATGGGAAACTGTTAGTATTCTTACACTCTGTTTTTGTGTTGCCTTCAGTATTACTAATCCCCATTTGCTTTTCACTCTTCCCCCAGACACACACATATATACACCACCTTTTGCATTTTGCACATCATAAAATAATTGTCTTCAGTCACATCTCCCTTACAGAAGCTTCTTCAAACAATTCCTAATTTACCCATCTGGTCATGCAGTGTGTCTGAAGCCTATACAGTTCATTTTTCATCACTTTGACAGATTCTCTTTGGTTTCAGCTCAGTTTCTTCAGTCAGCATTTCTCCTCACCCATGCATGAACACTGGCCAGGCACAGGAGCTGTGACTACAGCCTCCTATTCTTTCTTGGGAGTGGGCTTGATATAAGCAAATTTTAAATGCTTGTGTCTTTTAGTACACAGTATGAAATGATCCATTTCTGGTCATTCTACTTTCTGATTCAGTGATTCAGTCTCTAAAGGCACATTGCCATGAAAAACAAAGTAAGCTCATAAATAATGTGTGCCTCATTTCCTTGTGTCTCAGCAGAGAGAAAAAAAGATTGAATAAAACTTTTTCAGTTGTAAGAGAAGAACAAGCCAGCTATCCCTAAGCACAAATTCTGAAAGTTGAAAATGTTTATCTATGGAAGAACCCTTCCTCATCCATTCTTTTGTCCTTTTCCACCTTCCTCCTTCCCATGAGACTGATCAATATAGGACTGACCAATATGTCACCCTGGACAGCTAGCTCTGGCTAGCTGGCTTCTGATTAGACTCAACCAATGGGATTTATTAGCAAAAGATTGGAGGGCAGGAGGAAAAAGAGGTTGCGGTATTTTGTTCCCATGCCTGCCCACTCTGGGCCACTTTTATGGCAGTAGCTGCATCTTTTCATGGGTTCAGCTACTGTCCATGGTTCCTTCTCTGTAGCTGCAGCTCTCAGTAGGTTCTGTTAACACTATTTCCTCCCCTTGCCCACTGACAACTAAAGATGCTAACTGCTTCCTGCTGTTGCTAATGTCTGGGTATCTCAACACTCCTTATTAATTTCCTTAACCCCCAGTACACCCTAAAACACATACCTGTGTATTATTCTCTTGATCAAAATATCTTGCATCACTTGAGTTGAATTTTGCTTTCTACTGAAACCCTAGCTAATATAATCAGCTTTCTTGGTTATTTTGTAAATTACAAGTGTTGTTCCAGTAGCAGCTATTTCCAAGCAATCAACCTAAAGTAATGAAGCAAAAGCTGCCTGTTTCTCAAAGAGCTATTTGTATACCCATGTTCATAGCAGCATTATTCACAATAGCTGAAATGTGAAAGCAATCCAAATGGCCATCAACAGATGAATGGATACGCAAAATGTAGTATCTACATACAATGGAATATTAGTCAGCCTTAAAAAGGAAGGAAATTCTGACATATGTGACAACATGGATGAACCCTTGAGGACATTATGCCAAGTGAAATAAGCCAGTTGAAAAGCACAATATATGATTTCACAGATAGGAGGTACTTAAATAGTCCAAAATCATAAAGATGAAAAGTAGAATGTTTGTTGCCAGAGGCTGGAGGAAGAGGAAATTGCAGGTTATTGTTTCATGGGTAGAAAGTTTCAATTTTGCAAGATGAAAAGAGTTCTGAAGATGGATGTTGTGATAGCTGTACAACAATGTAAATGTACTTAATACCCCTGAACTTTACACTTAAAAATGCTTACGATGGTAATTTTTATGTTATGTGTATTTTATCACAATTTTTAAAATGGAAAAAAAAAGCCTCCTGTGATGTTGCAGAGAAAATATTTTCTGTCCTTATATTCAAGAAAGCATGTTTCATTTGTCAAAAATACCAGGAAAATCAAGGAAGTATATTCCAAAAAGTATAATAAAAAGTATAAAATGTATAAATCAAAGGTCTTTTATAATTAAACAATCTGGAATCTGTATTTCCCCATCAAAGTTTGGAAATATAGCAATGAATGAAAAAGGTCGCACTGGTTTTATCTGACTCCTAAACATCCAAAAGTTTTTTTTTAGTAGAAACTCCTCAGAAAGTTGAATTTTCAATCTCCCACTAATAGAACATTGAGAAATTGAGTCTACCTCTAATTTAATGCTTGACGAGCATTAGGCAATACATACAACTGCCCTTAATCTAAAATGTAAGATCAGACTTCTCTTCCCAAAGGTCAATCATATGTCATGCAAGAAATAGCAATGTTGGGTATTGAGCTGTAAATGGTATCTCAAAATTGATCCCCAAGTGAGTACATACTGACAAAATCCCAAAATCTTCCCCTGCACTCTGACTAGTTAGAGCTTCTTGGAGAAAGACACTAAACACAAATATTAGTTTTTTAATTTAATTCATAAGTACATACATTTCCAGTTAATCCTTTTTTTTTTTTTTTTTTTGCTTGACTGTGGCACTTTGTTCTGAGTTTCATCTCTTTGAATTTAAAATAAAATAAACGACAAAAACATCAAAAGCAACTGCAACAAAAGCAAAAATTGACAAATGGGATCTAATTAAACTAAAGAACTTCTACACAGCAAAAGAAACTATCATCAAAGTGAACAGACAACCTACAGAATGGGAGAAAAATTTTGCAATCTTCCCATCTGACAAAGGTCTAATATCCAGAGTCTACAAGAAACTTAAACAAATTTAAAAGGAAAAAAAAAAAAAAAACATTAAAAAGTGGGCAGGCCAGGCGCAGTGGCTCAAGCCTGTAATCCCAGCACTTTAGGAGGCCAAGGCGGGTGGATCACAAGGTCAGGAGATCGAGACCATCCTGGCTAACACGGTGAAACCCCATCTCTACTAAAAATACAAAAACTTAGCCGGATGTGGTGGTGGGCGCCTATAGTCCCAGCTTCTCGGGAGGCTGAGGTAAGAGAACAGCATGAACCTGGGAGGCGGAGCTTACAGTGAGCCGAGATCATGCCACTGCACTCCAGCCTGGGCGACAGTGTGAGACTTCATCTCAAAAAAAAAAAAAAAAAGTGGGCAAAGAAAATGAACAGACACTTCTCAAAAGAAGACATTCATGCAGCCAACAAACATGAAAAAAAGCTAAACATCACTGATCATTAGAGAAATGCAACTCAAAACCACAATGAGAAACCATCTCTGATAGTTAATATTGAGTGTCAACTTAATTGATTGAAGGATGGAAAATATTGTTCCTGGGTGTGTCTGTAAGGGTGTTGCCAAAGGAGATTAACAATTGAGTCAGTAGACTGGGAGAGGCAGACCCACCCTCAGTCTGGGTGGATACCATCTAATCAGCTGCTGGAGTGGCTAGGATAAAACAGGTAGAGGAACGTGGAAGGACCAGGCTGGCTGAGTCCTCCAGCCTTCATCTTTCTCCCATGATGAATGCTTCCTGCCCTCAAACATTGGACTCCGTTTCTTCAGATTTTGGACTCTTGGACTTACACCAGAGACTGAAGGCTATACTGCTGGCTTCCCTACTTTTGAGGTTTTGGGGCTCAGACTGGCTTTCTTGCTCTTCAGCTTGCAGACAGCCTATTGTGGGACTTCACCTTGTGATAGCATTAGTCAGTACTCCTTAATAAATCCCCTTTCATATATACATCTATCCTATTAGTCCTGTCCCTCTAGAGAACCCTGACTAATACACCGTCTCACACCAGTCAGAATGGCTATTCTTAAAAAGTCAAGAAACCACAGATGCTGGCAAGGTTGTACAAAAAAAGGAATGCTTTTACATGGTTGGTGAGAGCGTAAATTAGTTCAACCATTGTGGAAGACAGTGTGCGATTCCTCAAAGATCTAGAAGCAGAAATACCATTTGACCCAGCAATCTCATTACCAGCTATATACCCAAAGGAATATAAATCATTGTGTTATAAAAATACATGCATGTGTATGTTCACTGCAGCACTATTCACAATAGCAAAGACATGGAACCAATCCAAATGCCCATCAGTGACAGACTGGATAAAGAAAATGTGGTACATATACACCATGGAATACTATGCAGTCATAAAAAGGAATGAGATCATGTCCTTTTCAGGGACATGGATGAAGCTAGAAGCCATTAATCCCAGCAAACTAATGCAGGAACAGAAAACAAAACACCACATGTTCTCACTTATAACTGGGAGCTGAATGATAAGAACACATGGACACATTGGGGTAACAACACACACTGGGGCCTGTCAGGAATGGCAGAGGGAGGAAGAGCATCAAGAAGAATAGCTAATGGATGCTGGGCTTAATACCTAGGTGATAGGTTGATCCGTGCAGCAAATCACCATGACACACGTTTACCTAACAGACAGTATTTGGGTAACAAACCCACACATCCTGCACGTGTACCCCCGAACTTAAAATAAGCTGAAAAATAAATTAAATAAAAATAATTACAAGGTATGAGTATAAAGATAGTACACATCAAAGATACATACATATAAGAAAATGCATTTTTAACCTCAAAAGATGACTATAAGGAACATTTCTCATTCTTTTGACTGACCAATATCTAAATCCCACCCCTGTGTGGGGAAATTCTCAATCTTTTAGGTCTTAGAAAACTCAGAATCCTACTCAAGAAAGTAAAGATTTAAGTACTTCCCCAGCTTCCCTGGTAGGTAGGTCAATGAAGCCTGGGCTTTATCAAACAGACCCATTAGCTTAGACTTTGAATAGGAAACTGGTGACACAAGGAATAAGGAGATAAAGGAAGAATCTACAAAACAGACAGTATTTGGAACACAGTCAAAATCCCAGATAGGAAGAGAAAACTACTCAAATGTAAACACATGGTATCTTTTATGAAAAAGAAAGGAGACAAAGAGGTGAAACCAAGAGCCCAGAGAGCAGGACCAAATGTTATGAATAATAGTTCAGGCCTCGAGATCTAATTAATCTTTAAACATTTGTTTTGCTGGAGTTTACAATTCCCAACAAGCAATGACTGTCTTATGTTCCCGATTTTCCCTTTTTTTCAAAAGAAATGTTTGTAACAGGTAGCCAGCCTACATCTGTTCCACCATTTTACAAGGGGTGTGGAAACTAGAGGAAATTTGCCTCTTTCACAGGTCTACAAATTGAAAGGATATGGGCTGTACTTAAGGAATGGTACCTGGTGAATCCCATCCACACTTGGACCTGACTTAAGACTCTGGAATTTGAGCTGATGCTATGAGATGAAACTTTGGGAGATATTGGTTGAGAATGGATGTATTTGCATGTGGGATGGACATGAATTACTGGGATCCAGAGGATGAACTATGGAAGGCAGCTTCTAAGATTGCTCCCGATAATGTCCGCCTTCTGGAATTCAAGCCCTTGTTTAATCCTCTTGATTTGAGTGTGGGATGGACTTACTGACTGTGACAGAATATGGCAGATGGTATGGAACAATATTAGGTTAGAAAAAGACTGAAGACGGCCAGGCACAGTGGCTCATGCCTGCAATCCCAACACTTTGGGAGGCCAAGGCCAGCAGATCACCTGAGGTCAGGAGTTCGAGACCAGACTGGCCAATATGGTGAAACCCCATCTCTACAATAATAAAAAAAAAATTAGGTGGGCTTGGTGGTGCATGCCTGTAATGCCAGCTACTCAGGAGGCTGAGGCAGAAGAATTGCTTGAACCTGGGAGGCAGAGGTTGCACTGAACTGAGATCACACCACTGTGCTCCAGCCTGGGCAACAAGAGTGAAACTCTGTCTCAAAAAAAAAAAAAGAAAAGAAAAAGAAAAAGATTGAGAACTGGGGCTTCAACTTTTCTGCTCTCTCTTGCTCTCACTGTTGCTCATTCTGAGAAAAACCAGTGCTATGTCGTAAGCTGCCTTATGGAGAGACTTGCATGATAAGGAATGGAGGGAGGCCTCCAGGAAATCCAAAGTGACTAGGTGGTATCCACAGCTGAAAGTTTAAAGGAGTTCTTTCTGTATTTCCTGATGGAAATGTTCAGTACCTAAAATTGCAGGAACAGGAAGTACAAACTATTCAAGAGGATCACTGAAAGTTATTACAAACAGGGCCATTTCTACTTCACAAATCACTCACTGTCTTATGGTATATAATATGTACTGGGCCTTCTCCTCAAAGGGTTTCATCTTCAAGCTGGCACCTGAGATGAGCTTCAAAGTCCATTCCATCACTCTATTGGGCAGGATATTCTATGTGGCATGGTATGTTAAAGGACAATTGTGTCCTGTGGTCATGTGCCCACTGTCTTCCTTCTTTACCATAAAGTGGGTCCTTAGGTCTCAAGTGATATGATACAGAGCACCATGTTGGTAGATCAAACATTGTATAAGCTCTCAGGCAGTGAGGCCCTGCAAACAAGAAAAGGAAAAAAGCAAATCCATATTTAGAATATGTGTCATCTCAAAAAAAAATTTAAAAAAGAACATGTGTCATCTCATAAGTTCCAGTTAAGATGATCAGTTGTCTCTTACATGTTGGAAAGAGTTCGATGTAATCGAGCTGCCAACGAGTGGTTTATTGTTCTCCTAAAGAGAGGTGGCTGGGCACAATGGCTCACACCTGTAATCCCAGCACTTTGGGAGGCCGAGGCGGGCAGATCACTTGAGGTCAGCAGTTTGAGAGCAGCCTGGCCAACATGGTGAAACCCCGTCTCTACTAAAAACACAAAAATTAGCTGGGTGTGGTGGCATGTGCCTGTAATCCCAGATACTCGGGAGGCTGAGGCAGGAGAATCGCTTGAACCCTGGAGGCAGAGGTTGCAGTGAACTGAGATCACGCCATTGCACTGCAGCCTGGGGAACAGGAGTAAAACTCCATCTCAACAAAAAAAAAAAAAAAAAAAAAAAAAGAGAGAGAGAGAGAGACAGAGAGAGAGAGCTATACTAGGGGCCCAGTGTTTATTTCTGTGGCTGACATATTGGACATTGAGCAGCAACAGTAGCTAGATCCACCTCTGTGAGTGGCAGCCCATGCTTTGGGGCCCAAGCATAGCCTTCACCCCTGTAACAATGGCTATTCTATTGTGCCTTCTGTGGAGTAAAGAATGACAGAGGCTAGCTGATATCGACTGGCAGGCCATTCTCTCTACTTGGTTGTTACTGTCTCTCATAGTGGATGTTCTCTAGTGGACATTAACAGAGACACAAAGATCTTTATACTTTGTGCCTGCGTCCACATGCTCAGATCTCCTTTGTTCCTGATTTTCTTCTTTGCAGCACCTGCTTAAATCACACGCCATTCACCACTACCCAGGAATCTAGATATATCTTTACTGGAGGTGTCACACAAGTGTTGACCACTGTGGACATTAACTTTTATTGCTATTGTGGGAGCCTTACCTGAGTGGTGTGGTAGTAAAGCAGCAGGCTACTCTCAGCTTGCATCCATGTACTAAGCCAGTTTATCCATAAACTAATTTAGGACTTTTTCTTCTTCAATTAGTTGGTCATAAAAGATCCTCCACAGGCCAGAAGAGTGAGCAGAGGAATTCATGCCAGTGCAAGAGTGGTGATGCTGACATAGGGCTCTAGGTTTACCTGTGCCTTCTGGACCAGCTCATGACATATCTAAAATGTACTGCTTCCATCTTTTGACAAATTGTTGTTGATCTTGTCCATCAATGACTTGGTGACCAAACCCAGCCCATAATGGGTGGCCCTGACACAGGTTCAGAAACTCCATCTCTACCAAGGCCCAGTAGAATGCCAGGAGTTATTATGGAATAATACATGGTTCTCTGCTACAGATATCCCCTCAGAGTTGTCCTGGATAGAGGCAAAGTAGCCAGATATTTTTACCTCCATATCAAACAGCTAAGAGATAAAGGGAGGAGATGCAATCTTGAATGATGCAGCTCCCTTCTGCTGAGGGCAGTTCCTGTGGAGGGACTCAGCTTGAATCATGGGCAGCCAACACTCCCAGCAGCTAGGGGAACATGACTCTCAGTCCAACACGGGGGATGTGTGTGGCACATCCCAGTATCCACCACAAGTAGCTTGAGTCAGACTACTTTCTTGCTACAAAACTAGCCTAAAACCACAATGTAGAATTTACTGTTTGCATTTGAGATGTGCATCAAAAAAACAACAGACTCGTGATTACGCCCAAACAAAAGTTCGCCAGTTCAGAGGGAAAAGGAGTAGACTTTGAAATCAGTGTTTAATGAATCACTCAACAATGTTGAATTTCTCTAGCGTAAGGTACATACAGAGAATTAAAGCAGTAGTAAGATAGCCTGAATTTGGTATTGTGAGCTTTTTGAGTTAGTGGTAGAAACAGTATTATTTTTATAACTACAGTTACACTTGTTTCTATAGGCCTGTTCTTGAAATTTATCCTAGCGGCTAGGAATTCATACTTAAAATGTTTTCATACAGACAATTCCAACTTAAAGCAAATTCTATTTCAAAGTTTCATTTGAAACTCAAAACTCTACAGAGGCAATGCTATGGCTAGTGATCAGGGCCCTGAGGCCAGTTCACTAAAGCCTAATACTAAAAAAGAATTACAAAACAATAAACTACCATCTACAATGAAATTCTTGTAACAAAAAGTGTCTTAAAGGGAATGATGGAAGGGCCTGGAAGCAGCAAGAAACAGACACATTTTCTGAGTTGTAAGAAAGAAAGGTGGGGTGTAGTATAGGCAAAATTATCTTCTTCTCTCCCATCTCATTCTGTCCCCAATTTTAGGCATAACTATTTTATTTGACTGTTCTTGGCATTCCCTTGAGCACTTTATACAGCCTTCTACTGGCATTTACCTCAATATTTTAATACCTTATTTAAATGTCTGCCTTTTTATGCACTCAGTACCCAGCATCTTTCTAAAGCATTTTATGTATTAAATATACCCCGATAAAAGAATGAGTGAATAAATGAAGACATCAATAAAAAGAGCTCATTACCCTGGAGGAACTACCCTGGTCCTCTTGGCACTTCAGAAATGGCACCTAGAATTTCATCAATGTCTTCCTTAGAATGAAAAATTGAAAGCTGACGAGACACATTTTTTTCAGACCACTTACTAACTTCAATTTTCTACAGGGCTATTTTGCTTCTTCTCTGAGTTTATATCAGACATATAAGGATGGCAGCCCAAGGACCAGTGAGAATCCCACCTCTGTCCCTCCTGCTGCCAAGACAGTGGCAGTGTAGAAACAGAGCAATTCTAGAAATCCAAGAGCTGAGATTTTTCACAATGAACCATTTTCCTGGTACAAGTGCACATTTTTAAGCTTTACCAGCTCCCGGCCCCATTCTGATGATACATACAGGGTGCATGCCACTGCAGCTACAATGACTTTAGGTTCAAGGTGAAACCTTTAAAGGACAATCTAAAAATTTCTCCATGTTACCACATTTAATACTGTTTCAACATATATATGGTTCTTATTCTTCTATCCCAAAACTCAGCTGGAGTTGCCTCTCTTTTAAAATTCAAACAAGTGTAGTCTAAACTCCTACACCATTCCCTTCCCTACTCCCAGAGAAAATTTTCTGCCCTCTCAATTTCACTTGAAATTCTTTAGAAGGAGGGAGAAGAGCACTTCTATTTACAAATATTATATACTCTTACTTGGTTCTGGCTTCAAGTTATTTTGATCTCCATTAGCTGGGTTGAGAGATCCTTTCGTTGTGTACTTCACATGAGTCCAACCACCACTTCCTTCCCTACATGAAATACCAACAAACTGAAGACTGGGTATAGGTCAGACTTTTACTACATTGTGGGAAGGGACAGGACTATGTTGCAGTGTCCAGGAGGCTAAATTAAAAACTGGATATAAGATGCCTATACCAAGACTCTACTTTCAGGGATCACTTCTATAGTCCATCCCTAGAGAAGTTTCTCTGAAAGTGTAGAGCAGCAGTCCCCAGTCCCTGGGCAGCTGACCAGTACAGGTCCGTGGCTTGTTAGGAATCGGGCCACACAGCACGAGGTGAACAGCAGGTGAGCCAGCATTACCGCCTGAGCTCTGCCTCCTGTCAGATCAGCTGTACCATTAGATTCTCAGAAGGGCGTGAAGTGTATTGTGAATGGTGCATGCCAGGGATCTAGGTTGCACGTTCCTTATGAGAATCGAATGCCTCATGATCTGAGGTGGAACAGTTTCATCCTGAAACCAGCCCCCCAACCCAACCTGTAGAAAAATTGTCTTCCACAAAAATAGTCCCTGGTGCCAAAAAGGTTGGGGACTGCTGAAGAGCACCGGAAACCAGGAGGAGGAGCGAGGAGGAGGCACAGGGTTCTCCCCTGAGAGCCAGGCCAGCTCTTAGTGTTGCTTCGCTGCAGGTGCCATTTGGCATTGAGGATTGTTTTTCTCTTCCTCCGGCAAAGTAAGAGGGAGAGGACACAGTCTGAGTGGTTCCCGTTTTAACATTGAAAAAAAAAAGAGTTTGAATGTTTTTAAAGATGCTCGTACTGTAAATACCCCTCACTATGCCCACTTCCTCAGCTCACTGCACTCGCCATGTACATTCTTGGCTTTCTCGCTACAGCTGAGCTTCTTTACCCAGTCCAGTCCCCGGCAACCTCCAAATTCTTGTTTTATTGATAAAGTCAGTTTAGATTTTTTTTTCTCATTCCTACACTTTCCAAGTCTTTCCCTGGTGTTTGTCTTTCATTCACAGTCAAAAAACTCATCTATTCCAAAGAGGAATTCTGAGACTTCCTTAGGATTCAGAAGTGGCTACAGGCTGCTGTGATTTCAAATAGCAAATTGTTTTTCCTGCACACAAAGATTAGCTGAGTACAACAGACAACTCTTAAGGGGTTCCCCTGTCACCAGGCTTCCACCCTGCTAGGAATTTCTGTACACCTGGGAGCACTGGGCAGCCATGTGATTCTCCCCCGACCCCGCCAACTGCTCATAGGTCCTCAAGAGAACACCTAATCGAAGCTGGAGGAACCCAATTTTCTCTCCCAGGAATTGGTATCAGGAATTAAACACCGGGACCTGAAATCAGAGACAAAGTCACATTAAGGACAGCACTCAGAGAGAAGGGCAGCCCACTCCCACTGCCAAGCTCCTGAGGGTCCTGGCTCCTGTCCTCCTCAGGGTGACGTTGACCTGCTCTTTTCAGCACCCAGGGGATACTCCAAAGTGCCTTCACTGCTTCAACTAGGTAGTTTTATTACTTTTCCCGAAAAGAACTTTGAAGAATAGAGACCTTCAGACAACCCCACAAAGAAAACCATACAAGCTCTCAGGGAAAGAGTGTCAGCAAAATTTTTTTAGAACATTCAGGTTAGCCTGTGTCATCTGATCAAGGAGGTAGTCAGCCGTTATTGCCAGAAAATGAAATGACCATGAATTCTCTTATAGCTAGATGCATTCATTTTACAAAACAACCCAAGACACCTTGTTACATATAACAGTGAAATGACCAAATTCAGAGGCTTTCACTTACTTCTAGAGGAGTCAGTAATTCATTCCACAGAAGGTGTGGAATGAAAATTGTCATGACAGCACAGCGAAACAAGACCTAGGAATGCCTATCCCCCACCACAAGATTCCTTAAGAGATTTGGAGTCGGGGTGGGGGATTGTCTAAAAGTTTTCTTTTTTAAAATCTTAGTAGTTCCCTAGAATCTGTCATTTCCAGGAAGAGACTGAAATGCTGCTCTTCAGTCTGTGACCTATTACAAAGATTAAACCAGCTGTGTATATAAGGCTGTTTTCTCTGTTAATCGACTTATCGTTCCTTCCATGCCCTTGAATCTCAAAGAGAAACTTATAAATAATCTGATCTTAACATTTAAAATATGCACTCTCCTTCTGCCCGCCAGAAGGTAATGAGCAGTCTAAAGTCACTCAGCCTGGATTTCCTCTCCCTAATTGCCCTAAAAATTAAATAAAAAGCTTCCTGCATCCCTTCTGCTGCTCAACAAAAACAGGATAAAATACAGCAAATTCTAATAAGCCAGCATACGTGAAGTTTTCTTCCTTGCTCCTTAACACCACATTTACATTCCCTTCCAAACAGCACTAACTCCTCTGCCTCTTTATCTCCATAGAAATCAAATCGCTATAGTTCAAATTTATGTTGCAGAGAGAATTTTCTTCTATTAGAAAAAGATTGTCTTCCATTTTGCAGTAAGGAGCTTTTTGTTTTATTTCTCTGATGCAAGATTGGAGAAGGGAAAGAAGGGAGGCTTGAATTAAAGGACTATTTAAGCCATAATATTTAATTTCAAACTTTGTCCTTTACAGCCGATTACCTCAGCTGCCATCTCTCTCCTGCTCCCTCATTTTCTGCTGAAATTGATCTCATTGTTCTTGTCTGAATAAAAAGGCCCAGGCTGGGGGCATTTCAACTGGCTTCAGCTCAAGAATAAAAGATCGCTTTAAAAGTGAAAATCATGTTTTTTTGCCAATTCAAATCACATTACTCATTTCCCTCCCAGGTCAGTCAGGACACTCCGGGCTGCACTCTTCAGGATCTGTACACACTGCTGAGAGGTTGGGCAATTTGCCACTTCACTGGCAATCTCCCTGTCTGCGTGACCCAAGGGTTGATGGGGAGACCTCGGAAACCTGCTCAGAGGGGTCTTCAATTGGCAATATCAGGAGAAGCACTACACATTTCCATGTAATGTCCCAAAGGGGCAACTTTTGCACTTGACTTTATTTTCTGCATCACTATTAGCCACCTAAATAGAAATACTGTTATTTATCACCAGTCTATAAGAGAAAATGGATATATGAGCTTATTTGGAAAGTAAGGCCTTCAGAGCACCTCAGAAAAAACTAATGTCACTGGAGCACTGTTTCTGGAGTCCCTGTTGGAGAAATATAGTGTGCCTGCGACAGTGCTGCTACAAAGCTTCCTGTGTTTCCTCTAATAGTAATCCCCTCTCTTCCTCCTCTCCCTTTAATCATAATCCCATCTTTTCCTCCATCCTCCCCTCATAAGCATCCAAACAGGTCTTCCCTGTTTTGATTTATATGCTCTAAACAGGTAGTGAACTAGCAAGAATTCGGAGAATGAGAAATGGTCATTTCAATTAGCATCAGGTAAAGCAAATTAAAAGGATAACAATTGGGAAATCGGGATGAATCTCCTCCCGTGGGGGAGCTTGTTGTTCTATTGATGTAAATTCTCTGTAAGTGTGAGATTATTTCAAAATAAAATATTATAAAACTAGTACCATATTCATAGCATATAATACGACTCTGTGCTGACCAAAAATCTAATAAAGTCAATATCTGTAGAGGTCAATTGAACAATAGAGTGTCTCAGGAAGAGAAAAATATTCAGGATTGAAGTAAGGGGGAAAAAAAATCACCCCTGAGTTAAAACATGTAAACTGATAAACAGTTTTACTATAGACATTTATTCCCGGCTTTAGTTTATGAGTCTGGTTTCAAGGCAACAGCCACAGGGAGGCTGCCACCGAGTTCTGTTCGTGAGTCTCAAGGCTTATCCTAAAGGAGTATTTATAGATTTCCAAACGCTTTTTTGTGTCAGTCACAAAATGCCCCAGGAGAGTCCTCAATCTTTATATTAGCATCAGGCAAACACAATCCTGGGACAAATTAAAACATGGTAAGCATAAAACTTGGCCCTGAGACAGATTAAAATGAGCAAGGTATTCGCCGACATCAAACTGAGATGGCAAAGTTTAATCAATAATGATAATGAGTCCCGTATCAACAAAGAATTATTCACAAAGATGGAGGGGACAGAAAGGCAGCCACCAGTGAAAGGAAGCAACATTCTGTTTCTGGGTGATGTTACGTTACACATTACCCAGGCTAAGTGTATAGTGTTACCTTTGAGACACAAAGGGATAAACAGATTAGCATCACAATTGTTCAATTAAGCGGCAAACAGGCTTGTTGTTTCTATGCATTCCATGGTGCCGAGCTGGCATAAGTGCAACCTTCTCTTTTCGATATTCAAAATTCTTTCAGTTCGTGAAGGCTCAGTTCAAATCGCCAATCCTTTTTGAAGTTTTCTCTGACTGAATAAATCTACTAAGCACAGCACAGGTGCAAGAGAGAGAGGCCGACTATTTTTTAAACTGTAAGTAGCCCCTTTGGGACCTGAGAGGATTTGCTGTTTCACATAGAAGCTTTCAGGGCAGCATCTTTTGGGGAAATGTTACCTAATAGAAAATATTTGAGGCAATTTGGGAGTTGATTTTTAGCCTGCCCCTTGAGTAAATATCACTTAAAACTCAAAACTGTGGGCTCAAACTACCGTGTATGTAGAAGAAATCTAAAGCTATGACAATTCTCCTCTTAGCTGTACCTAAGACACTATTGGTACTGTAATGGATAATTTTTGTTCTCATAATAAATTCATTCAACAGATAAAATAACCAATGTACAAAAAGAAAAAGAAATGCCCCCAAAAGAACTAATAGATCATGTTGGAACAAACTCGTGGCTTTGATGGAGGATCAGCATAACACAGCAAAGTCCAGAGACCAATCCCTGGGCTTGAATCCTGCCTCTGCCGCCCACTGGCTCTGTAACCTTGGACAAGACAGTTAACAGCTATGTACCTCAGTTTCCTCATATTTAAAAAGCAATAACAATACTATATAGCTCATTGGGTTATTGTAAGATTAAAGAGTCTAAATTATGTAAAGTCCTTGGAATCATGCCCAGCACACAGTAAGTGCTCTATAATTAATACCCATTATTAGTAGAATTTTATATTAAACCCTAATTTAAATGATCAGGTAACAAATGGGATTGAAACCCTTCAAAAGTTAACTAATTTCAGAACTATGAAGAATTGACTTCAGGTCTTTCTTCCTTCATTGCTCCTGTGTGTTCTGAAACAATTCACTCACTTCCTTCCAAGTTTCATCATCTAGGAAGCACAAATAAATAATAAACATCATAAATTCCATTTAGTGTTATGCAGAGAATAAACTGTAGGAGGCAAGATTGGTGCAGGAATATCATTTAGAAGGCTATTGCAGTATAGTCCAAATGAGACATATTCGTGGTTTGAACCATGCTGGTGGCAGTTTAGATGGTGAAAAATGTTGAGATTCAGAATGTATTTTGGAGGACTTGTCGATGAATTAAACAATGAAGATAAAAGGAAAGAGAACAATCCAGGATTATCCTTGTGTTTGGCAGGAACAGCCAGATGGATGGTATTGTTGTCAGGAAAATAGGAGAGCCAGGTGTGGTGGTACACACCTGTAGTCCCAGCTATTCTGGGGGCTGAGGTGGGAGGATTGCTGGAGGCCAGGATTTCAGGGCTGTAGCGCATGATGATTGCACCTGTGACTAGCCCCTGCACTTCAGCCTGGGCAATATAGAAAAATTCTATTTTAAAAAAGGAAATATCTTGCCTCAGAAAAAGGAGCCAAAAACCAAGTGAATAAATAAATAATTAAAATGGAAGATGAAGAGAAGAGAGACTGGGAAAGAAGGGGCTTTGGGCAAGGAGAAATAAAAAGTTCATTTCAGGATATGTTAATTTGAAAGTTTTGATTTAATATCCAAGTAGAGAATCAGGTAGATAGTTGCATACATAAATCTGAAAAAAATCAAAGCAGAGGTCAGTGGTCAAAATATAAATATAGAGTTATCAATATTTAATGATCTTCCCATATTTAATGGAAGCACATTCAAAAAGATTAGATGGTCAAGGACCAGGCACTGAATGGATCAATCCAAAATTTGGAGGTCCAGCAGAGAAGCCTGCAAAAAGAAACTGACAAGAAATAGGAAGTTGACAAAAGACCAGGAGAGTGTGGTGTCATGGAACCCAGCACAAGACAGTTTTCACAAGCAGCAACACCCGGCTTTGGAGATCAGACCGAGGGGTCCCATCTTTAAAGCAAAAACAATATCTCTCCCCATCCTAAGTTTGAAAGAGTAAAACTATGCATCTTATAGGTAAATGCAATGGTTAACCCTATCTTAAAAGATAACTATGCATGTCAAATGAAGGTAGGCAGGAAGAGAGAAAGGAAGGAACATTTTGCTTATAACCAGATTACTATTTGTGTATTAAAGATTGATGTAACAGAATCCCATTAGAGTAGACATTTTCACTAAAAATTCAGAAGTGCAAACCTTGTTGCCCAAAGCCATTGTGAGGTATGACTAGTGTGAGGAAGAGCCAGCAACGTGAACCCCAAATTCCCCTGCAGCAAACATGGCTGTTTCCCTTCTGCTGCCTATTACAACAATTTCCAGCAGCTTTCAAAACCATTTAGGAGCCCAGGGTAGCCGGCAGCATCACAGATCACTGCCAACAGCTGAACAATTCTGTTTCAACCAAGCACAGAGGAAGATTGGGCAAAAGCATCCACTATCTTTATTCTGCACTTCCAGCACAATTTTCTTTTGGAAATATGCAAAACTTATATTCTAAAGTTCAGAATCAAGTTTTGTTTGGAAAGACAAAGGCAAGTGAGGATTTGCAATCTGAAGTGACTTTCAAACAGAAAGGCACTGAGGCATCACGTAATACGTGCTAGACTCCATAGCCCAAGAGAGTGAGTTAGTGATAGATTTTCAGCCTTATCTCTTTCAATTTGTCTGCCCTTCTTGGAGTTACACCCCCTAACGTGATCTGGTTTGTGGCTTAAATTGTGTTTCTGCAAGAACATCCTATCCTGAGGCCCTGGGTTTGTGTCACTGAAGAGAGATTTAGCAGCCTGGATAGGCACACCACTGTACACGGGAGGATTAATGTCATTTACTTAGCGTTTATGTGGCACTTATATTCATGTTTACTGGCCATTCCTCATAGGGTCCCTGGGAGGTAGGTGATCACTGTTATCTTCAGAGTTCAGTGAAGTAGAACAACTTGCTTGGGGTTACACAATAAGAGGCAAAATCAGAGCTCCCATGTGCTGTTTAGCCCAGGAGACAGACTTTCATTACAAGCAATTCATCAGAGGGAGCCCCAGCAGCTGAGTGGGAGTCAGGGAGTCCAAACCCAAACCAAAAGTAAGAATCCTGCCACCCTCCTGTTCGCAGTATATTTCCCAAGGTAATCTCTTCCCAAATACAAGCCCAGGGAGAGAATGCACTTGGCAGTGCCCACCAAGCAGCAGGAGGTATGTGGGATGGTCACCCTCCCCGTTCCCACTGCCCATTCTCAGCGCTACCCCCTATACATCAGAGAGAAAGCCCACAAGGGCAGCAGTACCTGCTTTTTTCTCTTATCTATCAAGAGCCTGTGTTACTTACTCTCCCTCCTTCTCCCAGCACACAAACACACATGCATGCTCTGTGGCCAATACTACATCACATTTCCAATTTAGAGACTGTTTATATCCCTATGTCTTTGGAAGCTCTCATCAATTTAGGTTCTTCTCACTTAATTTTTCCTCCTCTGCACATATGGCAAGCCATGTTTTTTGAAGCATACTTTTCCCTGGGACACTTTTTATTCTCTAAGCTCTTGAATAATGTCAATAGAATTTATTATCAAACAAGTGCATCTTGGACTCATTCAAGTAGGAGTAGGGGAAGGCGATCTCCCCTACTTTAGGGGAAGGCAATCTCACAATGCAACCCTCTTTTAATAGAAAGATGATGGATTTAGGAGTTGAAGAGATATGAGTTCAAATCGTTGCCCCAGTACTAACTGGTTGTGGGATCTTGATGAATTGCTGAATCTTTGAGCCACAGTTGCCTCATTTATAGATCTGGATGATAACAATATGCCTTGCATTGTGACCTTAAGGAAATAATAATGAATGGTATGTAGAGAGCTTGACAAATGTGAGGTGCTCAATAAATGAAAGTAATTGCTGTTTTTAACAAATTTCTTGGGTTCTGTGAATTTCAGTCTCTTAATAAAGCCAAATTCATTGTGAAGATTAAATGAGGTCATAAGTATAAAATATCACACGCAGTCATAACACATAGTAGGCAAGAAACTTTTTCCCCTACCAAGGGAAGAATTATAGGAATACTCTGCCCATCCTAATTTTGTTTTACAGTTAGAAAATGAAGGCTTAGTCCCAATTATCCAAGGTGGCAAAGTTGCTATAATCAATTCTCAAATCAGTCTCCCTTCATATCCAACAAAGTTCATGGCTCTTTATTAAAGAAATACCTCTGAATTATAAGCACAGTTAGATCCACGGCTAAGATGTTAAATGAATAATAAAATAATAATAGCTAACTTATAATTAGTATATACTATGTACCTAGCATGGTGCTGAAGATTTACATATATCAAGTCCTTTCACGAAAAGAAAAAAAATCTTTCTATTGTTTTAAAACCAGAGTAGATATGGTATCAGTCTTGAGCCCTGTCCTTGCCCTTTGTCTCGTGGCATTGCAGCAGCTATGTTGCTTCATGTTGGTAAAACAAAGTCCATAAACAAGGTGGTTGTCACAGTCGCCCCAGCATGCAGCACAATATGTGTTTTTCTGCTAGAGACAGAGTTTTGGACAAATGCCCTGGCACAAGTCAGCAGCCTAAATGTCCCTAGCCCTGCTTGATCTGCCTCAAGCACCTTATCCAAAAGGCACCAGACATTCCCAGGAAATATGGTCTATGTTAAAAGCCAAAGGAAAGCGGATTTTCCATGCTGGTGCAATTGAGAGGAGTCAGGCCTAGCCCGAGGCCATAGCAGGAAGAGGCTCTGCATTGTGATTGCTTTCCTATGCACATCCATCTTGGCCTGCCACACTTGCATTGCTATAACCCCAAGCCCACTTCAGCCAAAAATCAATCATGCATGCCTACTTGCACTTGTACACCTAAACACACACACACACACACACACACAGAGAGAAAGGCATGCTCTGATGCCTCTTGGCACACATTTTGGATCAGCTTCATTAGGGTAACCATCTGGGTCATTTCAATTCTGTTTCCAGTCCTGAAATAATTATGGCATCTGATTCAGCCACTCCCCCTCCCCCACTTCTCCCCACTCCCTACCTCCCCTGCCCCATCTACCAGCTGCATAAGTGTAAAACTTTGTAAAGAGAATATAATTAATGTTTTGGAAACATTGGAGAATTTTTTAATCCACATAGGCTCATATGGTCAGAGGCCCAGAGCTAATCTCTTTGCTGGTCAGAGCAAAAGCAAGCCCATAGCACCATGGATTAATTCCTTAGAACTGTGTATCCTCTCCCTACCTCCTTTTCTGATCTCTCTGAACTCTCCAATGTGGCTAAGCTCATAATTGGGACAGCAGCCAACAAATAAAATGTGACTCTGTAATTTCATCTGCATCCATCCAAAATGTACTAAAACGACTGCTAGGGCCTTTGGCCTCTACTAACTGCTTGACTTTATTTATGCCAAAAAAAAATGATTATAGTTTGGGTTAATATAATCACATACCGGCCCAAAAAATCCCCAAGCTTGCAAACGGTAAGTGGCTAATGTATGTAAAAATACAGTCATTGGAAGACACTGTCTATTAAAGTATTTCAATCACTGAATTTTTAAACTATGGAATTTTAAAGGCTGCAGAAGATAAGAAATTTATATAAATCAGACTGGTCATGACAAATTCACCAGCCAATTACTTTATCTCCCCATGGCCACATAAATGTTGTCTTTAAAGATGTAAGCATGCAGCTGCCTATGAGATAAAGAACATCATAAGTAAAGAACATTTATTTTATTGTTTTTGTTTGCTTGACTGATTTCTTAAATACTTTTGCTTCTTCTTACTGCCTAATTTATTCATTCATCAGCCAATATTTATTAATGTATTAATATTTATTAACCCCCCTTCTAAAAGATAAATCTGTGAATAAGCTGGGCACAATCCCTTTCCTCACAGAGCTTATAGTCAAGTAGAAGACACAGAAAGTAAGATTTTATGATACAGCACAATAACCATATGAAACCACATGAAAAGTGAAGTACAAAGTATTATGGAGACACTTGGGAAGAGCAACCAACCAAGACTCAGGGAAACAGCCTATTAGAAAAGACCTGAGGGCTGGACAGAAATTTGCCAAATAGACATGGTTGGGAAATACATATTTCAGGCAGGAAGAAACAAAATTAGCAAAAATCAGGAGAATGGAGAGCTCAAGGCTCATTGCAGAAAAAACCAATTTTATGTGGCTGAATTTTAATGTATGAAGGAGAATTGGGAAAGAAGTTTCATCAGTAAAAAGGGGATAAGGAGACTAGAATTTATGCTGAGATCAAAGATCTCCATTTTTAAAATAGAGAAACTCCACAAATAGATTTTTTGTTTTGTTTTGTTTTTGTTTTTGTTTTGAGAAAGGGTCTTCCTCTGTTGCCCAGGCTGGAGTGCAGTGGTGCAATCTCAGCCCACTGCAGCTTCAACCTCTGGGACTCAAGTGATCCTCCCACCTCAGCCTCCCAAGCAGCTGGGACTACAGGTACACACCACCATGCCTGGCTAACATAATTAGATTTTGGTGGTTAAAACATTTTTCTGTTAGCTTTGTGGAAAAGGAGTTGGATGGAAGCAAATTGAAAGGAGTGAATTGGCACACACAAGGACTAAGTTTGAGAACTTCTGAAACTGAGGACTCTAACACATACAGATTACTCTTTATTCTAAGCTCAAAGGATCTATCTTCAACCAAGGTCATCTGAGGACATTAGACTGTGGGCTGTTCAATGAGTGTCCCATTTCTTCACTAGAAATGCTCCTGGTTGATGGCAATGGTTATTGTCTACCTGTGCACAGTAAGGTCCTGCCAGACTTTGGGTATATGAAGTAGGAGGTTACCAAACTTCATATTTCTCAATTGCAACAATGTTACACTTTAGCATAGTTAACTTTTATGCTGGCAAAAACCACCATTGGCAAACTCTGTTATCTGGATACTTTGGGTTCCCAGTATCATTTCTGAAAAAGCCACCAGCACATCCTGACAGATTATCCACAGATTACATCATTACAATCAGGCATCACACAGGTGTAATCTTTTTGCAGCTCTGAAGTTATGACCAATCTGTGGGCATGTTCAATAGTTCATCTCCTGCTTTACAAGGCATGGGAGGGATTGAGCAGGACAGGCCTGATGAGAGCCCACCACAAATATGGAGCTCGGTTCAGAGGCTGGCAAAATGAGGGTGATCTCAACTCAGGTAGTGACAGAATAAGACTGGAGAAAGCAATTCAAGAAATAATTACAAGATAGGTCTTGGCTAATGACCGGATGAAGGGGAAGAATCTAAGAAGTGTATTATTAAATAAAGACTCTAAGACTTGGCCATCAATATAGCTGGAATCTCATCATCTATTTTGTGGTTTTTGAAAGAATTTAATGCATTTCACAGGCTGTCAACACTATCAGTAGTACGATGTTTTCCCAGCAAAGACTTCCAGGCCAATATGCCAGATGAAGAAGAAAATAGTGACCCAAAGGATGTTGCTTTCCTGGCCTTCTCTGTCCTCTTTTAGTTTCTCCTCTCCCTTCTGGGGCTTCCCACCCTCCAGCCACTTAGGGCCCTGACACTGAGTCCTGGCTTCCACAAGCTACTCTCCAGCCTTCCTGTCTTGAAAAATTCCAGTCTTTTCTGTTCTACTCACACACCATCAAAAGCTGTCACTTCCCTAGCCCTTTGCCAGGTGGGAAGGAGATCTAGCACCAATTCCATAGCTGATAATGTTTTGGACTTTTCTCTGAGTCACTTTTTATTTTAGTCACTTTTATCTGAGCCTCTGTTTGCTTACCTGCAAAAATTAAGTCAATTGGCATAGATTGGAGGTCAGAAATTCACATACTTAACAGAGGCTGAGTGTATAACAAGGATGAGTGAAGCAAACTGAGGTGTAAGATAGTAAAGAGGGGAGGCCTTCTGAGTGACTTAGAGAGCTCCTGCCCCATCTAAAGGGTATTCAGCTTCAATATCAAACTGCTATCATGCAGGCTCAATGTTGCCAGATCTTCCAAATTTTTAAAGATAATTTTGAAATAGGGTTTTCAATGTAATTGTCCAATACCAAATAATGGCACCATAACTAATGGAAACTTTTTAAATTTTTGAGCCAGCACTGGGTACGCCAAATAAAACACATCTCCTGGCCAAATTTGGCCTTCTGATTAAACAACCTCTGAGGCTTCTTCTGGCCTTTTACAGAGGGAAAAATCTAAGATGCCTTAACTTTCACAGTAATTAATCCGTAAAATTGTGGAATTCTGGGCTCCAGAGCAGAGCACAGGTGTGTACCAACAGGTTAGTCAGCATTGTCTTCAAATTTCAGCAAATAAATACTTCATCAGTCTATTAAGATATATGATTAGATCTCTTGTTGATCTTATAGCACAAGGTTTGAAGCTGGCCAATAATAGTGAAAGATTAAAATGGTAATTTCTCAGAATCAACTAATCTTTGCTTTCATCTTGACACTAATTTAAATGGCATTTAACCATATTAAAAATTAATATCATCAGGGTAGTGTTACATTAAAACAATGTATAAATAGATATTTTCCAGTTATAAAATTTAAAAATAGTGAAAAAAAACAAGTTTTGTCTTTTAAAAAGTAACCTTTATTTTTTCTCACCATTCTCTGGGTTAGCTGGACAGTTTTAGTATGAATCAGCACAGATAATTTCTGTGGTCAACTGATGCTGAGGCTGAGGCTGAGGCTGGATGCTCCAAGGTAGGCTCAGTCTTCTCACTTTTTTTTTTTTTTTTAAAGAGACAAGGTATCACACCATTGTCCAGGCTGGACTCAAACTTCTAAACACAAGTGACCCTCCTGCCTCAGCCTCCAAAGTAGCTGGGACTAAAGGTATGGACCACTGTGCCTGGATCATGATGGCCTCACTCTTATGCCTTGTGTGAGCAGGCTGTTTGGTCTAAGTCTCAGCTGGAGAATTTGCCTCTGTTCCATGCAATCTCTCATCCTCCAGTAGGCTTGCCCAGGCTTCTTCACATAATAATCTCAGTGTTCCAAAAAGAAAAAGAGAAGACAAGCCCATTGCTCATTCATGTTACATACTCAGCCCTCGTATTTGAATTTGTGACTTCTGATCTACTCCAATATGAGAGTCTCTAATTAGATAGTATTTGATAATATCCCATTGGCCTGGACTTTGGACTTATTCCCTTTTCCCTGCATAGCTGCCCCCACCACTCAGGTTTATCAATAACAAGAATGACCTTCCCTTGCCATCCTAGGAAGTACGCAATTCTGTGAGCACTGCATTCCATCACTGCCCAAGCACAGTATATCTTCATTTTTTTCTCTTCTAAAACTATTCATGTTAATATGAGGCATTTGGTAAGTGTCTTAGCCTGTTTTTGCTGCTATAACAGAATATGGTAAGTCCTCATTTAACATCATCTATAGGTTCTTGGAAACTGCAACTTTAAGTGAGACTATGTACAACAGGTCCTCAAATAACATCATCTTGTTCAAAATTGTTTTATTATAACAATGATGAGTTATAAATTGGTTTTGTTGTACATCATTTAGCTGAAAGTCACAATTTCTAAGAGCCTGTCAATGACCCTAAGTGAGGACTTCTTGTAGCACAGACTGGGTAATTTATAATGAAGAAAAACTTATTGGCTTATGAGTCTGGAGGCTGGGAAGTCCAAAAATTGAGGGGCTGGCATTTGGCAAGGGCCTGCCTGCTGTATCATCCCATGATGGAAAGGCAAAGAGAAGGGAAGAGAGAGCAAGAAATCAAACTAGTAGCCTCAAGACCTTTTATAATCAGCAGAAATCCATTCACACAGCTCTCATGACCTAAACAACACCCATTAGGACCCACCCTGGTCCCCCAAATTTATATCCTTCTCACACAAAAAAGACATTCACTCATCCCAGTAGCCTCAAAAGTCTTAATTTGTTCCAGCATCAACTTAAAAGCCCAAAGTTCACGGTCTCATCTAAATGAGATATGGGTGAGACTCAAGGTACTGTTCATCTTCAGGCAAACTCCTCTCCAGATATGAGCCCATGAAATCAAACAAGTTCTCTTCTTCCAAAATACAATGGTAGGTTAGGCAAAGGATACAATGTTTCCATTACAAAAGGGAGAAATCAACAAGAAGAAAGGTGTAACTCATCCCAAGTAAGTCTAGAACCCAACAGGACGAAAAACATTAAATCTTAAGGCTCCAGAATAATCTTCCCTGACTCCATGCCCTGCCTTCCAGGGGTGGGAAGTGGGTCTCCAAGGCCTCAGGCAACCCCACCCCTATGGCTTTGCTGGTCTCAGCCCATACAGCAGCTCTCACAAGTTGGAGTTATGTGTCTGCAGCTCCCCAAGGCTGGTGTTGCACACTGGAAGCTCTACAGTTCTAGAGTCTTTGGGTGGCCCCACCCCCATAGCTCCACCAGGCACTCATCTGCTTGGGATTTTCTGCAGTGGCCTCACTCCTACAACTCCACTAGGTATTATCCTAGTGGGGACCTACTGCTATGGCTCCAACCCTGTGACAAGTCTATGTGTAGACCCCAGGTTGCACAAAACCCTTTGAAATCTAAGTGGAGGAAGGCATGCCCCACAACTCTTGCATTCTTCATACCTGCAGAATTAGCACCAAGTGGATGCCACAAAGGCTTATCACTTGTACTCTCCAGAGCAGCACCCCAAGCTGCACCTGGAACTGCTTGAGCCACAGCTTGGGCAGCTGAATACCACTGCACTGGAATGCAAGGAACAGAGTCCTGAGGCAGTCCTGAAAAGGGCCTGTGGAGGGACCCTGGGTCCCCAGCACCATTCTGCTTTCCAAGAGCTCTGGACCTGGGATGGGAAGGGCAGGCTTGAGGATACTGAAATGTTTTAGAGGTCATTCTCCAATTGTCTTGATGAATAACAGTGGGCCTCCTTCTAGCTATGCTAATTCCTTTATCAAAAGGTCACTTGTCACCTCCTACATGCTTTTTCATTTTTTACATGGCCAGGCTGCCAATTTTCCAAACTGTTATGTTCTGCTTTCCTTTTAATTATACATTCTGTTAGTAAATTATTTCTCTCCTCTCATTTTACTGTATGCAGTCAAAAGTAGCTACACCATCCCTTCAATATTCTGCTTAGAAACTCCTTCCATCAGATATCCTAGTTCATCACTTTTAAACTCTGCCTTTCATAAAGTCTTTGGGCATGGACACTGATAGTTTGGATGTTTGTCCCATCCAAATTTTATATCTAAATGTAATCACCAGTGTTGGAGGTGTGACCAGTTGGGAGCTCCAGTACCACATTTTCCCTTAGCAGTGTCCTAGTAGAGGTTCTGTGTGGGGGTTTTGCCCCATGACAGGCTTCTGTCTTGACACTCGGGCTTTGAAAATCTAGGTGGAAGCTGCCAGCCTTCTTCACTCTTGCATCCCACACACCCATACACTTAACACCATGTGGAAGCCACAAAGACTTACTGCAGTTTGCACTCTCAAAAGTGGTGGCTTAAGCAGGATCTGGAGCTCTTTGGGCTAAGGCTGGAGCCTGAGCAGCCAGGATGTGGAGATCATTGTCCCAAGGCTGAACAGGGCAGCAGCATCCTGGGCCTGACCCATGAAACCATTCTTTCCTCCTAGGCCTCTTGTCCTCTGATGGGAGGGGCTGCCTCAAAGATATCTGAAATGCCTTTTAGGACTTTTTCCCATTGTCTTGGATATTAGCACTTGGCTTCCTCTGAGTCATGCTAATCTCTCTAGCAAGTAGTTACTCCACAGCCTGCTTGTAGTCCTCTCCTGAAGATGCTTTTTATTTCTCTGACACATGGCTAGCCTGCAAATTTTCCAAAATTTTACACTCTGCTTGCCTTTTACACTTTAAGACATTTATTTGCTCCTACATCTGATTGTAGGCTCTAAGGAGCATCCAGGCCACACCTTAAATGTTTTGCTGCTTAGAAATTTTTTCCACCATGTACCCTAAGTCATCACTCTTAAATTCAAATTTCCAAAGATCCCTAGGGCATAGACACAATGCAATCAAGCTCTTGGCTAAGGCATAACAAGGGTGAACTTTGCTCCAGTTCCCAATAAGTTTCTCAGTTCCATGTGAGACCTCATCAGTTTGGCCTTCACTGTTCATATTTCTACCAGCATTTTGGTCACAACCACTTCACAAGTCTCTAAGAAGTTCCAAACTTTACCTTTTTTTCCTGTCTTCTTCTGAGGCTTCCAGACTCTTCCAAGCTCTGCCCATTATCTGATTCAAAGCCACTTCCACATTTTCAAGTATTTCTTTATAGCAGTGTAAAAAAAAAAAAAAACAAAAAAAAAAACAGGCTAACACAGACACATTTCAGCCAATTTACTTGCCACTTGTAATAGAAAAGGTCATTTCTCCACTTTCAAATAAGGCATTACACATTTCCATCAGAGATCTCATTAGAATGGCCTTTACTATCCATGTTTCTACCAACATTCTGATCATGACCACTTAAGTAACCTTGAAGAAGTTTCACACTTTTCCTACAGTTCTTCTCTTCTTCCAAGCCCTCAAACACCCTTAACACACCAGGTATGGAAACAAAGGCTTATTCTAGCCTACTTCTCCAACTCTTCCAGCTTTTCTCCATAACCCAATTTCAAAACTGCTTCCACATTTTCACATTTTCAGGCATTTGTCATAGCAACAGCTCCACTTTTTGGTACCAATTTTTTATCTTAATTGGTCTTGTGCTGCTATAACAGGATACCACAAACTGGGTAATTTACAATGAACAGAAGTTTATTGGATCATGGTTCTGGAGACTGAGAAGTCCAAGATAGAAGGGCTGGCATCTTGTGAGGGCCTTCTTGCTGCATCATCTCATAGCAAAAGGGCAAAGAAAGGACAATGACATAAAACAAGAGATCAAACCAGTGCCTCAAGTTCTTTTATAGTCTGCATTAATTTATTCGTGAGGGTGGGGCCCTCATGCCCTAAACACTTCCTATTAGACCCCACCTCCCAATACTTTTGCATTTAGGATTAAGTTCCTAGCACATGCTTTCGGGGGGACACATTAAAACTATAGCAGTAAGAGTGCCTATTCTTTGGATTTCAGGTGAGTACAGGTATCTATTTTGTTTGGATGCCCTTTCAATTTATCTGAAGTGTTAGCCTTTTCATAGCCAGTCTCATTTGAGACCCAAAGAGCTATGGCACCAAATCCCTTTTGAGATATGCAGGCACCACCTAATGCCAACTTCCATCCCTCTTAATCTTTCTTTTTTACATTCTTATGGCTCCTCTCCCTTTATGGGCAGAAAAATGTTTCTTAACTCATGTTCTCTATTTTCTTCTACTCTGGGGCTTAAACTCTATAATCACTCCTCTAAGTATTTGCTCAGTATCTTTCAAGTCAAGTCCTGAAGCAGGTCTAATTTGCCTTGGGTCAGCAGAAGGTCTAAAAGTCAAGCTGAGATCTTCAATTTTATGACTATTTAAGAGGTCAGAAAGGCTGTCTCTTTGTTAGAGGCTATCCAGTAATGGGAAAGATTAAAGTGGTAATTTTCAAAATAAGCTAATCATTGCTTCTATCTTGGCATATATTCAAATGGAGTTTAACCACATTAAAAATTTATGTCATCTGGGTGCAACTATGTGCAAATAGATTTTTGTCCATTTACGAAATTTGAGAATGATAATGCAAGGTGCTTTTTAATGTCTATAAAATAACTTGAATAACTTTGATTTGACATCTTATGCAACCTTAGCTCAGATTGTTTGCATATAATATTCTAAGAGTCCCATAGAAAGAAAATAGAAACATTAACTAAGCCACCCACTTTGCATGATATCCTGTTTAATTCTGTTTTCCAACTTGTTCAAAACACTCTCCTGGGAGAGCTGAGTAGTTTTTTAAATTATACTTGTTAACTGTTCATAAGAAGGCAATGGTTGTAGCATATTATTTCTACAATCGATACATCTAAAGTTATTTAAACAAGAGTTTTCATAAAAGTACAGTGATAACTGGCTAGGAATTTAGTGCTAAAATCCTAAACTAGGGATGAACACAAAAATGACTATCATTTCAACCCAGCAAAATGTGTTCACCATGATTTGTAAAGCACCATTGGCACATGATGTTATAAGGAAAGTCAATTAATGTTTTGAGAGGTTGAATCCTGCCATTATCTACCACTGAAACTAATGTTTACAAAAATGTCTTTGCCTTTTGTTAGCTGTCACTAAATTAATTTTCATTATATAGTTGTGCATTTTTTATCTAAGAACCCAGCAAAAAAAAATATCATTTCTGGGAAATGAGAAGAAAATACACAAGTAGAAACAAAATAAGAAATTTGTGTGTTTCTTAGAAAACAGGCATCAATCAAAGCATAATATCTTGAAAAAAAGAGATGACAGACCCCTCGGCACACTAGCCTCACCCTGCTCTGGGAACCACATGTTCAGAAGAACATGAACCAATGTAATTCATTCAGATGTAGGAAAGATTGAAAATGATATCATACTTAAACAATATAATAAAGATCTCTGGGGGATCTTA
The DNA here is from genome assembly GCF_000001405.40 of Homo sapiens. Taxonomy (NCBI): domain Eukaryota; kingdom Metazoa; phylum Chordata; class Mammalia; order Primates; family Hominidae; genus Homo; species Homo sapiens. The sequence goes on along the minus strand of NC_000004.12, from coordinate 159,488,897 downwards.
GTGCATTTAATAAAGAGAAAACCTGAGAGATTCAGAGTAACTCCCTTCAAATGTATGAAGGACTACCCTGAAGGGAAATCAGTCTTCTTGCATTGACCCAGTAGGAGGAGAATATGCTCCAGTCAGTAAAAAGACTAGTTATTAGATGCTTTCTTCCATCTGACTATAAGGCAGAGCCCTCTTACAGCCAGAGCTGTTCAAATGAAGAAGACTTATGAGTCCCCATCTCAGCAATGTATAACTATAACAACATATGACCAGCTAACAGAGATGCCATAGAAAGTATTCGAGCATCAGGCAGGTAGTCGAAATGGTTGAATTTTAATGTTTCTTTGTCCTCTTTGACCTGAGATTTACAGTCAAACAGCAGGGGAATTAGGAATTTGCATCAGCCTGTGAACCTCCATTTCGCCATCCTTGAAATGGTGTCAACGTCGGCCAAGCACTGTGGCTCACACCTGAATCCTAGCACTTTGGGAGGCCAAGGCAGGTGGATCACCTGAGGTCAGGAATTCGAGACCTTCCTGGCCAACACGGTGAAACCCTGTCTCTACTAAAAATACAAAAAATTAGCCAGGCGTGGTGGCGGGCGCCTGTAATCCCAGCTACTTAGGAGGCTGAGGCAGGAGAATTGCTTGAACCCGGGAGGTGGAGGTTGCAGTGAGCCAAGTTCTCACCACTGCACTCCAGCCTGGGCAACGAGAGCAAAACTCCGTCTCAAAAAAAAAAGGTGTCGACATCATAAGGCCCTTTTGAAAGTTATCAGACATACACGTGTTCACTGATAGCTTAGGGCAGAGCATGACACCATCCTCTCTCAAGAATGTTAGCTGCTACTTTTATTACTGATCCTTCCCTCTGAAGGTCCTTTCAGGGAATGTATTCAGGAATCCAAAGACAAAGAATCGATAGGGCACACGTTTCTTTATAGCAGACATTGAAGAGAAAAGGAAGCACAGAGTAGCTGTAAGAAGAATGGAAGAATCATTGTGGGGAAAACCTGGTAATCTGAACTTTTCTGATGTTTTAAAAATGCATTTTACAAAAATGTTTGAAATATAAGGGGCCAGGAACAGGTTTTAATGTTCTGTACTTGAAGACGGCAAAGGAAGCCTGACTGGAGGCTGGCCTCTCTGTTCTGGGTCTCTGAAGTTAGATCAAGAGCATCTGAACTCAACAGGGAGTTTCTCCCCCTTAGGTATCTTCCACTTTCCTCTATTTATGTCATCGGGTACAACCTCCACTCCCAACTGAGTCCATTATTCTTCACTCCCATACATGTAGCAGAGCTCCAGAGTTGGCCCTGAGGTTTTCTCCCTTTACCCAGTGAAGAACATCATTTCTGGGAAGTGAATTGCTGTGTTTTGGTTTTGAGTTAGGATTATGAGTGAGTTCTGTGTGTGTCTCCGCAGGGCAGCCTGAGACCTCGCACCGGAGTGTTTCCCCTGCGTTTCAGTGCTGAGAACCGACAAGCCTCATATCTGTTTTCTGGTTATTGGGTGACCCCTGCTGGTCAGTAGGAGCTGTTACTGCCTTCTCTAACTTGGATTTCTGCGTTTAATTCCAGTTATCAAACTGTGACTGCCACTTTCCACGATTCATCTCACCTTGATTTAGTTGTGATAACTTCCACTAATACCTGTTGTGCATTAAATGTCATCTTTATTGCATTAAATGCAGAGTTTTTTGAAAACACCTACCCATAAAATGGTTAAATCCATAGCAAAGGAAAACATCTTTTTGTTACAGTCTGTGCTGGTGAGTCTTAATGATTCAGAGGTCTCATGCTGACAGAGAAGATGACAATTTTTATATTTTCTTGAAAAATACTAGTCGGCAATAAACACAGGGACTGCCATATTTTGAAGCCCAGCTGGCAGCACAAAACAACATTTGCTTAACTTCTCAGCCCAGCGCTCTCATTGATGGAACATACATAGATACCCAAGCATAGCACACCATGATCTATGGCTTACACAGCCAGAAAGGATTTTAAATAAGGTTAAAAACATCCTCCCATTTCAAAACTCAACACCCTATCCTCCCTAGACCACTCTATCTGTAAAACCACTAGCATTTGTCTATTGAATACCTTTTTATTTGGTGCACCTATGATGTAAAAGACTTGGATTTCGTGTAGGGAAGAGAATGACAAAGTAATAGGTAGAAATGGGAGAAAACAGTAATATTTCTGCAGCAACGATATTTAATCCACATCTTTTGAGCCTCTTACCTGTTCATTTGTGTTAAATAATTTATTTCAGTGGATCTCAAGTTTCTTTTACTTTCTCATCTTTCTCACAGCTAAAGTAAAATGATAGCATATATAGAATTCCCTTAGTATTGTAATGACTAGCAATATCTCACTCCCCACCCTGCCCCACTCAATAATCCCCTGTGAGCAAAAGTGAACCTTTAAAGCAATTGTATTGGACACCCCTATGAATAATAACAACAGCTCACTTTAGCTGGAGCTGAGATGGGCAAGCTCAAGTTCAGCCAATCAAATGTGTGGTCCTTACATCTCTTTAGAGAAATTTATAGGGAAGCTACAAATGTACAGTAGACTCAGAGGTCATCAATAAAAGAAAATGCAGGGAAAGGGAAGGAAGATTGGACACTTATTGGCTATATGGATGTGTATATGTACATGTGTATGGGTTTATAAATGTCCTATGTAAAAAACAAATATTGATAAATAAATGTCTGTAACCTAAAGTGAAAGGTAGAGTCAAACCATTGACTAAATAAGTTCACAGGATTTAAATGAGAATATCTGTTACCTCGTAATTTCACACTGTCAAATTTTAGGCGCATACAACAGGAAGGTGATAACCTTCCTCTCTTTAGACTTTGCAAGTGAAGCTATTATTTATTCTTTTTATTCATACTTTCTCTTGAAAAGTCAATTCTCCATAGACCCTGAAATATTTTTGGTGTGTGTGTGTGTGTGTGTGTGTGTGTGTGTGTGTGTGTGTGTGTGTTTTAAACTCTGAATTCCCATCTCTGTTTGCCTTCATTTTCCTGGCAGTGAAATGCCTCAAACTGAATACAATATTCAAGGCTTTTTAAGAAGGTCCTCATGACTTTGTAATAGTAAAGACCTTGCCTAGGCTTTGAAAGTCAGCCTGTTCAGAGAACAGTAAGTTCACAGCCTTATCCATTTAAAGTCTTATCACAACTCTGCTTTTTATTTATTGGTATGCCTCTTTCTCTCTCAAAGGTCTTTCTAGTTGATGCGGTTCTTATAACATCTTGACCCTTTCAGTAAACTTTAATTTAATTAAGTTTTCTGCTTCTCTGTGTATCCTCTCTTAAAGTTTTCACTTTTTGTTGATGCTTTTTTTTTAATCTGCTCCCTTTTCCCATTTTCCAATACTTCAGTGACCCTTAGACCTTTAGAAAATATTTGCAAATCTATACTGACTTCTTATTTATTCATGGCTCTTTTCAGCAATGTTCTTTTCTTTGTAAAGAGCTCAAAGCAACTAACAAAGCTAAGGTCATACTTAAAACACACATCTTATAACAACTGAAGAATAAAAGGAAAAGAAAATGAAAAAATATTTTAAGAGTCCTAAAGATACTCAGAATTTATTTAAGTTATGTTACAAGGTACATCATTCTTTTTTCAGTGAAATAGTCTTGTCCTTTGAGCTGTATCTCTTTTTCCATTCAACTTGAGATTTTAAATTTTTTTCAATTTTATGAGAACTAAATTCTCCAGATATTGTGAAATTTATCTTACTCTTTTTGAAAAATCCCTGCTCAGTTGCCTTATTTCACAATTTCTTCCCTGAGGGTATCAGTGAAAGTTTGCTTAACAACCTGTATCTCAACTACACACTCAGCTTAGCCTGGAGAGTTGCTAAGCCGCCCTGCTATTTTTAAATCTTTGGCTTTTTCTTTCTTCTGATTAAAGTATAGATATTTCCTAATCTTAACGTTAGCCAGGCTTTACACAGTCTGGGTCATAAAGTTTTCATTTGTGATGGAAAAATATCTCATAGTTGATGAGAGCTTATCTGTTCCTTTTTATCTAGCAGATACCTATGTAGATATAAACTCCTGAATCCAAGATTACCCACATACCATCCCATACTTTCAAATACTGGGAGAATGGAAATATATTTGAATCATCAACACCTATTCCTAAAGATGATTCATTATGGTTGCTGATTGTCATTTCCATAATATTCTTTGTAATTTTACCACCAATTCCAAACACCATGACCTAGAATCATAGACCATACAACTAGAATGGAGTTTAGTCCACCCCCTTTACTTTACAGATGAAAGACTGAGCATGTAGCTACAGAAGTTGGCTGATGACATAGCCAGAATAGCATCAAGTATTTGCGTATATGCATATGTCTGTGTGTAACACATGCTTATACAGCACTTACCAGACACCAGAGCCAGTCTGAGCCATTTACAAACCTTGACTTTTGTCAAGATGAGGAAACTGAGACACAAAGAGATTAAATAACTTGCCCAGGATCACATACCTTGTAGGTGGCAGAGCAGGGATTGAAGCCAGGCAGCCTGGCTCCCAAGTCGGTGCTTTTAACCACTATGCGCTCTCTTTCACGGATGTCAAAGGATGAGTCACATGTCATCAAAAAAATAATCCTGTTCTAACAGCTGGATAAACTGCCTCAATACTGGCTAAGCATACTCTCCATCATCAATCAACATATCTTGGATTCCAAAGTCATTCTCACACTGGACACATAAGCATTCTCTCCAGATATTCACTCATAGAGTCAAGGGATGCTTTATCTGGATGTGAATTTCTAAATAAGGAAAAATACAAAATCTCACTCCGTTGCCCTCAGGGAAACAAAAACTGAACCAGAAGGTTACAGCAGATTTTTGAAAATCATGACACTCTGTCTGCTCCACTCACAATATGTTTCCATAAGCTCCCTTCTGTCCCCCTAGTGGGATGTGAGCATTTCTGAGGCTGGGATGCTAAGTAAACACCTTTGCGTTTAACAGATTGTTTCTGTTTCCCCTGTTTGCCTGTGGCTGCCTTTTACTTTTCAAGAGCTTCTGGGATTGAGACATCATGCCAGGCAGCTGAGGCAAGGCAGGCAATAAATGTAAATTGTAGTCCTCTATCTTTTGGGGCCTGCCCTTGCCTAGATCTTCTCAAACCTGTCACATAATGGCTTCCCACAAACAGCTCTCTACAGCCACTGGGACCCTGAGAAGAATGACCCTATTATCAGCTAGTAAGAACACAAGAAAACTCAATGAGTTCACAGTGCCAGTGCCAGTGTGAGAGGCCCTTAGCACCTGCAATATAAACACCATCATCTACTTAGATTTTCATTATACCAGCAACTACAGCATCAGAGATATTTATTTCCAGTAACATGACAACAAAAGCACACCGGAGAAATATGTTTCTATGACTTGCCTCTTGCCTTAGTGAATTTTTGCTTGTAAAGGTGTAAAGAAAAAGACATTAATATTGTCTTCCCCTAAGACACAGTCCAACCGATTTGACAGGAACAACTATTTATGCTGTGGGAGCATTTACCAGCCCTGAAAAGTCTGATGTGGTTTGAGGTGATTTTGACGTGGTTTGAGTTTTGAGAGACATAGGGCAAACACCCTGGAGGGTATTAAAGGAAGCAGATGTCAGGTATGGAATCGTCTGTTTCTGCTCACCCACCCAAGAAGTCAGAAAAGACTGATGTTTTATTTCCAAGAATCTATTTCCCATTTATTTTCAAGAGAACAGGGCCCATTTAAAAGTTGAAAAATCACCCAGCGCATATGGCGTAAGATTTAAAGTACTGAGAAAAATCTGAAACAAGTTAAAGGTGAATTTATAAAATAATGTAAAGGTGCTATAGACAGAAGGTTTGCATGCCTCCCCCAAAATTCACAGGTTGAAATTCTAACCCCCCAATGTGGTAGAACAGGCCAAGCCACCCAAATCTGAAAATCTGAAATCTGAAATGCTCCAAAATCTGCAATTTTTGAGTGCTAACATGATGCCCAAAGGAAATGCTCATTGGAGCATTTCAAGATTTCTGATTTTCAAATTTGGGGTACTCAATGGGTAAATATGTATAATGCAAATATTCCAAAATCAGAAACATTTCTGGTCCCAAGCATTTGGGTAAGGGATACTGTAATAGGAGGTGGGGCCTTTGGTAGCAATTAGACTGTGCCCTCATGACTGAAAAGACCTCTGAGAGCTCCCTCACCCCACCCCCTTGTGGGGTTACAGTGAGAAGGCACCATCTATGAACCAGGAAGGGGGCCTCACTAGACACCAAATCGGCCAGCATCTTGCTCTTAGACTCAGCATCCAAAAGAGTGAAAAATGAATTTACGTTGTTCATATGCCCCCTAGTCTGCAGTATTTCATTAGCGAAGCCCAAATTGAGTAATACAAGGAGTCTCACAGAGAAGCAAAAAGAGTAAAACATTTTTTATCAAGTATATCAAATGCCTTCCTTGTTATATTACAGGTTTGGATCTTCCTTAAAGCCTGTGGGTTGTCTGTAGATATGATTCAGGGTTTTATTTTCTTTTCCTTTTAAATTATTATTCATATTTTTTCCTTTTTATGTTTTTTTTTTTTTTTAATGAGGTCTCACCATATTGCCCAGGCTTGTCTCAAACTCCTAGGCTCAAGCAATCCTCTTGCCTCAGCCTCCTGAGTAGCTACGAGTACAGGCATGAGCCTACACCCCGGCTTATCATTCATGTTTAAATTGGTCATTTCAGCCACAGCACTGTTCACGTGTACAATGATCCCTTGCTTACTCAAGAAAGCCGCCCCAGGCTCTTCTTCGCACAGGGATGAACACCAAATGGGGGATTGACACAAGCAAGGACCAGCTGGCCCAGCCCACAAAACTCTGTCCAATCAGAGGGTCGTGATTAGCAAAGCCAGTCAGACTGGCTCCCTTCAGATTTTGGACTGGGGAATCTGAGTGGTCTGGCCAGTGATGGCCACTGGAGTGACCTGGTTCCTTGACTTTACTCTCTTTGTTCAGTACGTGTATATCCTTAAAATAAGATTTTTTAAATGTAGTTTACATTTCCACTCCCTATAACCAAAAGCAAAGGAACACAACATTAAATAAAATCAATGGCATATCCATTAATTGGGACAGTCCTGGATTTTATATTCTGACTGTCCCGATAACATCTCTACCCTGTCCTTCATTTACATATTTCATCTTCTATCACTTTCCACTCCTTATCTACATCTTTTTCTCCACTTTCCTCCTCTGTCTCTCACATATCCTTTCTCTCTCCTCTCTTTTATACCTATTCTAATTCTACTTTCTAGGGGCGATGTCATGGTAAGGGCTATTCCATCCTCTTTTTCTTCTTCCAATTTTATCTCATTTTCCTAACTAGGCCCCACAAAGTCAATACTTCATCCTCACCTCATGTACACTTCAGGCAAGCATGCCCATTAAGGATTAAAATTAATAAATGTATACCTTAGACAAATACTGGATAGTTCTAAAACCTGGCTCTTTCAAGAAAGCCATATTGGCTCAATGCTACAACAAAATACTAAATGTGGTTTTCCATAGTCAACACAATTCTGCAAATATTTATATCAAGATGATACCCATACGTTCACCAGGAAGCACCAAACTGGATGAGACAGGGCCCCAACCACTAGTTTGCCTACAATCTGGGAGGAAGAAGGAACATAGAGTAATGATTACCATGCCAGACAGAATATGATACATTGCTAAGATGAGGAGGCACATAAGGACACAAGGTTCAGCCAGGACTTTCACTGCATCAGAGTGACAACTCCAACGTGTGGACACACTTCACATACTGTGCCCCAGGTATCACAGCTGAAGTGAACTCTTCCTCATACACACATGGTAAGGCAAGCATCAGAGTTGACACATTTGAGAATATGCCAAAAAGGGCACCAAGAAGAATCTCAGCAGCATTCTAAATATAACCATGACAGGGCCCCATTACAAATTTCAGAATAGGAGATGATGATCTTTAGCTTCAAACATTTTTTCTTTCTTTTCTCCCCTGTACTTCAATGGTTGCATTTTTTTTAAATCTGTTCTCTTCTCCTATTCTCTTTTTACATGTCTTTTGGAATAAAGTCCCTGAGTTCTCAGTTCCCTTCATGTTCAACTTGCTGTCTGGGTCCCCGAATCAACTGCAAGGCCCTTCCCAGGCACCCATCCCCCCTTGCCTGTTCCGAGCCTGTCTTCCCCAGGAGTCCCATTCCACCATATTTTAGCCACATGTTGGGCAAAGTCATTATCTGTTCAAATTATCTGCAGTGAGGTGCAAATGACTGATGAATTTTACCCTCCCAAATGTATTTGCTTTTTTAATGACAACTCAAGTCAGAAAATTTCAAATTGATAGGAATATTTTAGATAAAAACCTTCAAAATCATACCTGATTTCTGCCTCACTTCAGTTCTCCCAAGTTTACCAGCACTGCCCCCAACTCCACTGGCACTCATACACTCACACAAATCTCTGTGCCAGAGCGCTACCAGGAGAATCTCTACCCTGATTTGATGAAACTGGTCTCCAACCCTAAAAACAGGTCGCCAAAAAACCTAATTAAACATAACTAATGTTAGGTAAGCTCCCATGTCACTTCTAAGTAAAAATTCAAATTCAGCATAACTAGAATTTTGTGACCTCCTGTTATTACATAAGAAGTTACCTTGGGCTGGGTGTGGTGGCTCACACCTGTAATCCCAACCTCTGGGAGGCTAAGGCAGGAGGATAGCTTGCACCCAGGAGTTCAAGACCAGCCTGGGCAACATAAGGAGACCCACATCACTACAAAAAGACACTATAAGGAAATTTTAAAAATTAGTCGGATGTGGTGGCGTATGTCTGTAGTCCCAGCTACTCAGGAGGTGAGGTGGGAGGATCACTTGAGCTCAGGAGGGGCAGGCTGCAGTGAGCCAAGATCAGGTCACTGCACTCCAGCCTGGGTGACAGAGCAGGATCCTGTCTCAAAAACACACACACACACACACACACACACACACACACACGCACGCACACACAAAATTACCTCAAAACTTGGTTGTTGAAAACAGTAATATGCCTTTATAATCTCACAGTTTTTGTGGGTCAGGAATTTGAGAGTATCTGAGCTGGGTGGTTCTAGCCCAAGGTCTCTCCTGAGGCTTTAGTCAGGTCACCAGCCAGGACCGCAGTCATCCAAAGTCCTCTGAAGATGTGAATTGACGCAGGCCCATTCACATGGCTAGTCGGTTGGAGCCAGCTGTCACAGGAGGCTTCACCTCCTCACTCACCGACCTCCCTGTAGGGTTTCTTCAGTGTCCTGATGTCATAGCGGCCAGCTTCCCTCAGGGGAGGGAATCCAAGCAAGAGCAGGCAGAGGCAGCAATGTCTCTTAGGACCTGGACTCACAAATGGCTTGTGATTTCTGCCACATTTTCTTATTTAGAAGTGAGTCACAAAGTCCATTCACATTCAGGGAGGCAGGTGTTATCTTTTGAGGCTGGGTGAGGTGGCTCACGCCTGTAATCCCAGCACTTTGGGAAGCCAAGGCAGGCGGATCATCTGAGGTCAGGAGTTGGAAACCCTGCCTCTACTACAAATACAAAAAAATTAGCTGGCCGTGGTGGTGCACACCTGTAGTCCCAACTACTCGGGAGGCTGAGGTGGGAAAATCACTTGAACCTGGGAGGCAGAGGCTGCAGTGAGCCGAAATTGCACCACTGCTCTCCAGCCTAGCAGACTTTATCTTTTGATAAGCAAGACTATCACATAATTTTTGGATATATTTTTAAACCACTATAGCTCCCATACCTCTTCTTTGGTCTCTGTCTCTACCCATGTTCATTAAGTCATATACCATACTGAGTAAATACTCTATTGAGTAAATATTTTTAAAACATTAAATTCCTAAATTTTAAATATCCCCATAAGCAACATATGGTTTTCAATTCTTTGTCACTAATCCCTTTCTCCAATTTTCCATAAACTTTCTCCATTCCAAATTACACAGTATTGTTCCAAAATAAATCTCCTGAGTAATTTGAGGTTCTATTGTATAGCATTTCTGCTCCTGAATTGGCATCCATAAAATCAATTTTAATTCATTTGTATGTAGCTAAGTAAAATATTTTATGAGACATTGGATCAAACATCTGTTCTATTTCTTTTCACTATGACTTCAGTAATTGAATTATTTTTGGAAAAAACCATCAAATTAGTTTCTCATAATTATAGACAGTTTGTTGTTCATATTTCATGTCCGTTACAACACTTAAATGAGAGTGGGTTTTTTTTTTCTACAAAGCACTTGTTCGATTATTTTACTAGAAGCTAAAGCAATCTTATTTACCCAAGTGACCTGCTTCATAATTGAAGTCTGTTTCTTTGGAACAGTGACAAACAAAGAGTGTTTATCTTATTGTTCCAAAACTCAGGGTATATTTCTTTCTAGTTTATTGATTTCTGCTGCTAAGAAACCATGTCCGGCATTCACAAGAAATAGTTTAAGTGAGGCAAGAGTCTACCAAGCAAAAACTATGCAGGCAAACATAGAAATCACCATTTGCCCTCTGCAAGCCTGTAAACTGAGTCACCAGGATAGCAAAAGTCAGTCAATTCATCTAATTAGGTCAAACCACCTTCTATTTCTGTGAAAAAGTAATTAGACAAGTTGCTTAATTCATTTACCCATTCAATAAACATTTATTGTATACCTGCAGTGTACCCACAGCTAGATTAAGATTTTAAATGCCCTAAACTCTGAAAGGATCATGATTACCATACTTTTATCAAAATAAAACTAGTACTCATACCCAATACAGCTAAGTAAGCTCCTATTGAGTCAGGACTGTTTCCTGCCTTTAGGTTGATGGTCTCCCTAACTTCGAAGAATGAATCTGGGGACCTTCACGGGGCGTGTTACAGCTCAAAAAGAGTCCATGGATCACAAGGTCAGAAGATCGAGACCATCCTGGTTAACACGGTGAAACCCTGTCTCTACTAAAAAAAACACACACACAAAAATTAGCCAGGCGTGGTGGTGGGCACCTGTAGTCCCAGCTACTCGGGAGGCTGAGGCAGGAGAATGGCGTGAACCCGAGAGGCGGAGCTTGCAGTGAGCCGAGATTGCGCCACTGCATTCCAGCCTGGACGACAGAGTCCACGGACCAGGAAAGTGAGGAGTGAGCAGCCTCACAGTTTATTGAACAAAGCGAAAGGAAAGCTTCCACGTGGTGGAAGGGGACCCGGAAGGGTTACTGTTGCTGGCTCGAGTGGCTAGGGCTTATATCCCTGTGTTACCCCCTCCCCTTTCTTTCTTTTTGTCCACTGAGAGTGGTTCTTTTTTCAATCCTCCCTTGGCGTGGTTAATTTTGAATCCTTCACTCAGTTGGTTAAGAACTCAAAACCCTGAGTCACAGGGGTCTTTTGCAAAAGTCCCTGAACCGTCCCAGGAAGTCCCGCCAACTCCACCCCCCTCTATGAAGCCTGATCTTCCTGCAGATATCAGCTATTAACTGTGAGCAAAATAAAGACCTGAAGGCACTGGAGAGTGTAAACAAGCAGGCAAATTCTGGAGGGAAGACAAAAAATTGGAAGAAAAAACCAGCACCAGACAGGACGTGTTTACAATTTTTATGACTTTTAATGAGACCAGCATAAAGGTGATGCCAGGTGAAGTGACTAAACTTTGACATAAAAAGACACACATTTCTGACATATTTCTGGCCAGACAAAAAACAATACAGAATTCATAACAATCATAGGTACTACAAAGAGAGGGGTCACATCTCAGGAAGAGAATGAGAGAGTGAGAGCACCATGTTATATACTGAGTCTCTGCAAAATCTCAGCTGCCTGATGAATGCAGGCAGGAAACAGATTCACAGCAGGGCAACTACACTAAAACAATTGAAATATGATTTGAACTACTACCAAAAAAAGAGTTTTGAGTCCAAGCAAGTAAATTGTCTTATAAAACTCTCCTAATAGAAATATAGCAGACTTGAGAGTTTCTACAAAATAATTTTCCCAATACCTAGAAGAAAATCTAGAATTAATCAACATACAAGAAGAAATACATAACTCATTCTTACAATACAACCAACCAAGACCATTGGTGAGACGATCTGAATGTTGTAATTAGCAGACAAGAATTTTAAAACAGCTGTTATAATTATGCTCAAGAAAGCAAAGGAATACATGCTCAAAATTATAGAAAATTTCAACAGAGAAATATAAATAATAAAAAATACCAAATGGAAATTCTAAAACCAAAACACAATTTCTGGAATCAAAAGTTTATTGGGGTGGGATATGGTGGTTGACCCCTGTAATCCCAGTACTTTGCGAGGCCAAAGCAGGTGGATCACTTGAGGTCAGGGGTTAGAGACCAGCCTGTCCAACATGGCAAAACCCCATCTCTACTAAAAATACAAAATTAGCTGGGCATGGTGGCAGACACCTGTAGTCCCAGCTACTCTGGAGGCCGAGGCAGGAGAATTGCTTGAACCTGGGAGGCAGAGGTCGCAGTGAGCCAAGATCACACCACTGCATTCCAGCCTGGATGACAAAACAAGACTCCCATCTCAAAAAATAAATAAATAACTTAATTGGGCCAGGCAAGGTGGCTCATGCCTATAATCCCAGCACTTTCCAAGAAGGGAGGATCTCTTGAGTCCAGGAGTTTGAGACCAACCTATGCAAGATGGTGAGACCTCATCTCTACAAAAAATGTTAAAACATTAGCCAGGCATGGTGGCATGTACCTGTAGTCCCAGCTACTATGGAGGCTGAGGCATGAGGATCCCTTGAGCCCAGAAGGTACAGGCTACAGTGAGCTTCGATCCTGCTACTACACTCCAGCCTGGACAACAGAGTAAAACCCAGTCTCAAAAAAAAAAAAAAAGTTTATTGTATTGGTTTAATAACAGAGTGGAAGTGATGGAGAAAAGAGTCAGCAACTTGAAGACAAATCTATATAGAACATGAGAAAAAAAGATTTTTTAAAGTGAACAGTTCAAGGACCTGAGGGCAATATTAAATGTCCGACAGACATGAATACAATTCAAGAAAGAGTGGTAAGTCAGGATGAGGTATACAACTTATTGAAGCAACAGTGCCCCAAGACTGCTTAAATTAGATTTTAAAACCATAAATTTTCATATTCAGGAAGCTCAGTAAAAGCCAAGCAGGATATGGGCAAAGAAACCATACCTAGGCCCATCATAGTCAAACTACTAATAACTAGAGTTAAAGGAAATTCTTGAAAGCAGTCAAAAGAAAATGACATGTCACATACAGGAAAACACAGATTCAAAATTTATCAGCAGAAATTGTAACAATACAAGAAACATTATCTTTTATCTCTTTTTTTGGTTGCAAATTTTCACCTTATCAGAAGAGCTTTATTATTTCCACTGATCCCATTTATAACAGAAAAATCTTTCACAATTAAAATGATAAAATACATTTAAACTACAAAGTACCACTTTTATGTATATTATATGTTAGGGTTCTAAATACACATGTTAAATATAATTCCTTTTTTAAATTTTAGATTAGATTCTTGGGGTACGTGTGCAGGTTTGTTACATGGGTGTATCTCATGATGCTGAGGTTGGGGCTTCAAATGATCCCATCGACCGAAGAGTGAACATTGTACCCAACAGGCAGTTTTTCAATCTGTCCTCCACTGCTTCCCCAATATTGAAATCCCCAGTGTTTATTGTTCTCCAGTGTCCATATGTACCCAATGTTTAGCTCCCATTTATAAATGAGAACATGCAGTAGTATTTGGTTTTCTGTTTCTGTGTTAATTCACTTGGGATAATGGCCTCTAGCTGCATCCATGTTGCTGCAAAGGACATGATTTCATTCTTCTTTATGGCTGTGTAGCATTCCATGGTATATAAGTACCACATGTTCTTTAACCAATCCATCACTGATGGGCACCTGGGTTGATTCCATGTCTTTGCTATTATGAATAGTGCTGCAATAAACATACAAGTACAGGTATCTTTTTGGTAGAACAATATGTTTTCCTTTGGGAATATACCAAGTAATAGGATTGCCCGTCAAATGATAATTCCATATTTAATTCTTTCAGCTATTTTCAAACTGCTTTCCACAGTGGCTGAACTAATTTGCATTCCCACCAACAGTGTATAAGCATTCCGTTTTCTCATCAATCTTGCCAACATCTGTTATTTCCTAACTTTTTAATAATAGCCATTCTGCCTGGTATAAGGGGGTATATCTCTTTGTGGTTTTGATTTGCATTTCTCTGATGATTAGTATGTTGAACATTTTACATATGTTTTTGGCCACTTGTATGTCTTCTTTTGAGAAGCGTTTATTCATGTCCTTTGCCGACTTTTTAATGAGGTCATTTGTGTTTTCTTGTTAAGTTTCTTATAGATTCTGAATATTAGTTGTTGGATGCATAGTTCGCAAACATTTTTTTTCCATTCTATAGGTTGTCTATTTACACTGTTAATAGTTCCTTTTGATATGCAGCAGCGTTGTAGTTTCATTTGGTCCCAATTGTCAATTTTTGTTTTTACTGCATTTGCTTTTGAGGGTTAGTCATAATTTCTTTGCCTAGGCCAGTGTCCAGAAAAGTATTTTCCCAGGTTTACTTCTAGGACTTTTATAGTTTGAGATCTTACACTTAAGTCTTTAATCCATCTTGAGTTAATTTTTGTATGTGGCAAAAGGTGGGGGTTCAGTTTCATTCTTCTGCATATGGCTAGCCAGTTTTCCCTACAACATTTATTGAATAGGGTATTTTTTCACCATAGTTTATTTTTGTCAACTTTGTAGAAGACTGGTTGGTTTTAGGTGTATATCTTTATTTCAGGGGTTTTATTCTGTCTCATTGTTCTATGTGTCTATTTTTGAACCAGTGCCATGATGTTTTGGTTACTGTAGCCTTGTGATATAGTTTGAAGTTGAATAATGTGATGCCTCTGGCTTTATTCTTTTTGCTTAGGATTGACTTCGCTATGTGCGCTCTTTTCTGGTTCCATATGAATTTTAGAATTTTTTTTTAATTCTGTGAAAAATGACAGTGATGCCAGGTGCAGTGGCTCACTCTTGTAATCCCAGCACTTTGGGAGGCTGAGGCAGGCAGATCACTTGAGGTCAAGAGTTCAAGACCAGCTTGGCCAACATGATGAAAACCCATCTCTACTAAAAATACAAAAATTAGCTGGACATCGTGGTGTGTGCATGTAATGCCAGCTACTCAGGAGGCTGAGGCAAGAGAATCGCTTGAACCCTGGAGGTGGAGGTTGCAGTAAGCCAAGGTCACACCACTGCTTTCCAGCCTGGGTGACAGAGTGAGACTCTGCCTCAAACAACAACAGGCTGGGCGCGGTGGCTCACGCCTGTAATCTTAGCACTTTGGGAGGCTAAGGCGGGTGGATTGCCTGAGCTCAGGAGTTTGAGACCAGCCTGAGGAACATGGTGAAACCCCGTCTCTACTAAAAATACAAAAAGGTAGCCAGGCGTGGCGGCATGTGCCTGTAATTCCAGCTACTTGGGAGGCTGAGACAGGAGAATCGCTTAAACCTGGGAAGCGGAGGTTGCAGTGAGCTGAGATTGTGCCATTGCACTCCAACCTGGGCAACAGAGCGAGTCTCTGTCTCAAAAAAAAAAAAAAAAAAAAAAAGAAAGAAACAAAAATGACAGTGGTAATTTAATAGGAATAGCATTGAATCTGTAGATTGCTTTGGGCACTATGAACATTTTCACGTTATTGATTCTTCCAGTTTATGAGCACTGAATGCTTTTTCATTCGTGTTGTCTGTGATTTCTTTCAACAGTGTTTTATAGTTCTTCTTGTAGAGATCTTTCATGTAATAAAATATTTTGTTGTGGTGACTACTGTAAATGGGATTGAATTCTTTTTTGTTTGTTTGTTTCTGAGACAGGGTTTCACTCTGTGGCCCAGGCTAGAGCTCAATGGTGCAATCATAGCTCACCATAACCTGAAATCCTGGACCCAAGCAATCCTCCTACCTCAGACTCCCAAATAGCTGGGACAACAGGCATGTACAACCATGCCAGGCTAATAATTTTTATTTTTCATAGAGACAAGGTCTCCCTATGTTGCCCAAGCTGGTCTCAAACTCCTAGCCTCAAGCGCTCCTACTACCTCAACTTCCCAGAGTCCTGGAATTACAGGCAGCAGCCACCATGCTCAACTGGGATTGAATTCTTGATTTGTTTCTTAGCTTGAACATTGTTGGTGTATAAAAATGCTACTGATTTTTGTACATTGATTTTGTATCCTGAGACTTTGCTGAAGTTGTGTATTAGGTCTAGGAGATTTAGGCAGAATCTTTAGGGTTTTCTAGGTATAGCATCATATCGTCAGTGAAGAGAGATAATTTGACTCCCTCTTTTCCTGTTTGGGTGCCTTTATTTCTTTCTCTTGCCTGATTGCTCTGGCTAGGTCTTCCAGTACTACATTGAATAGGATAAGGAACATTATATTTTAAATACTGACAGAAAAACTCTCTCCAGTAAGAACTGTATGTTAAGTAAAAATATTCTTCACATATGAAGACAACATAAGGACATTTTCATCTGTTAAAAAAGTACTAAGAGAATTTATCACCAGTAGAGCCACTCTACAAGAAATTCTTCAAAATTTTATTCAGCCCAAGGGCAAATGATACCAGACTAAAACCTGGATCTTCAGGAAAGATGACAGGACATCAGAGATGGCAACTCTCTAGGTAAATATAAAGGCCTACCCTTGTATAGGCCTGTGTAACCAAAACCCCTGTAAAGATATAGAATATTATCATTACCCCAGAAAGTTTTATCATGCTCTTTTGTGTCAATCCCCCTTCCAGGAGGAAGCCAATGTTTTGGGGTTTACCCACCACAGTAGTTTTGCTGATTAGAAAGAGGATAAAATTGGCCGGGCATGGTGACTCGCGTCTGAAATCCCAGTGCTTTGGGAGGCCAAGGCAGGAGGATCACCTGAGGTCAGGAGTTTGAGACCAGCCTGGCCAACATGGTGAAACCCCATCTCTACTAAAAAAAATACAAAAATTAGCCGGGCGTGGTGGTGGGCACCTGTAGTCCCAGCTACTCAGGAGGCTGAGGCAGGAGAATTGCTTGAACCTGGGAGGTAGAGGTTGCAGTGGGCCAAGATCGTGCCACTGCACTCCAGCCTGGGCAACAGAGTGAGATCTATCTCAAAAAAGAAAAAAGAAAGACAGAGGATAAAATTTATGAGAAAATAAAAACCTTTAAAAGTACTGGGTTTTGGGAACAAGAAAGCTCTCCCTTGATTCACTGACAATTATTGCAGTTAAAACAACTAAACCAGGAGATCTAGTGGACCCATGAATTAATAACAAAAGTTGAAACCTGAAGGCCATAACAATTTAACCCTGCAGAACTGAACAAAGCAGCTGCTGCTAGCACAAAAACTAACTACTATGAAATAATGCTTGATCTCTACTTCACTCTTTAAAGCAAAATTTCATTTAGATCTAGATTTAAATCCAGAGAATAACACCGCAGACATAATAGAATAAAATAACTACTATCATCTAGCACAATCCATAGCACATTTTCAAGACTAAAATGGGTAATAATAATGCCTCACACCATTTTTAAGAAATATTCCAGTATTTTACATCCCTCTTCTTCCTAGAATGTTCCCTCTGCTGTCTCAGCAAGGTTCTTACTGGTTACCAATGATTGCAGACTTTATTTGCTGAAATAATAGGGACTGTCTCTAAACTCCAGAGATTAAAACATAACGTATGAATTGAAACTGCAAAGAAACTGCCAACGTTGGCCAGAGTGGCTTCAGCCTTACCATCCTCATTAACAGGGGGACTGCTACATATTTTAGCTATTGGAGTATCTGGAGCCACAATATATTGTTAGTCAGTTAAAACACTGCAAAAGTTCATTTTTTTCATGTAACCAGTAATACTGGTGAGGCTCCACCAAGGAAAGAAACCGCATTAGAGGTAAAGACAAAAAGAGTGGAGGCATTTTTGTACTTAGAAGAAGCTTCATTTCTGAGAACTGCCTTTGCTTGTTGAGAATTCTCAATTCTGAGCCCCTCCACCCAACTCCTTGATGAATGTCTTTGGTCTTCCTTTCCACATTTCTCATTCTGGAATATGGAATAATGCAACGTAATCAAAAGAATATTTCAGATGGGCCCCTGGTCTTTCTTCTCCCAACCAAACTTAATATTATGCCATTCTTTTTATCCTTCCAATTTGTGCAACGACAAAAATAAAATCAAAGTTCTATTTCAGTAACTCACAAAAAGGTAGACCCAGCTCCATATATCTTTTCTTTCTATAAGACTGTTTCTTTATTCAGTCTATCATTGATGGGCATTTGGGTTGATTTCATATTTCTGCTATTGTGAATAGTGCTACAGTGAACATATGCATGCATGTCTCTTTATAACAGAATGATTTTTATTCCTTTTGGTATATTCCCAGCAATGTGATTGCTGTGACAAATGGTATTTCTAGTTCTAACTCTTTGAGGAATTGCCACACTGCCTCCACAATGACTGAACGAATTTACATTCCCACCAACTGATAAGCTGGATAAAGAAAGTGTGGTACATATACATCATGGAATACTACGCAGCCATAAAAAGGAACAAGATTATGTCCTTTGCAGGGACATGGGTGGAGCTAGAAGCTGTTATCCTCAGCAAATTAACACAGGAACAGAAAACCAAACACCACATGTTCTCACTTATAAGTGGGAGGTGAACAATGAGAACACATGGACACAGAGGGAGAACGACACAACTAGGGCCTGTGGGGCAGGCAAGGGAGAGCATCGGGAAAAATAGCGAATGCTGCTGGGCTTAATACCTAGGGGATGGGCTGATCTGTGCAGCAAACCACCATGGCACACATTTACCTAGGTAACAAACCTGCACATCCCACACATGTGCCCCAGAACTTCAAATAAAAATTTAAAAAGATTTTTCCGAAATTATTTTGAAATTAGAAAGATAAAGAACATACATATTTTATGTGGACTGCTTTTAAAAATAAGTTACAACAAACCTCACTTGTGAGTGTGATAACAGAATCAAGTTGTACTATCACAGGCACCCTTTGGAATTAATTTTATCATTTGTAAAACACAATAAGACATTGCTTCCCACCTGCACCTCCTGAAATTCCTAGAGCTGTTAACAATTGAGTCAGCCTGTGTTTCAGCAGTTTTGTATTTGCGTTTTTACTATTCAACTTCAGGAAACTGTCTGAAAAAGACCGGGTGCAGCCTCTGTCCTGGACACTGAGAGCAAGGGAATACTCACCATTCGCCATTCATATCACCTTGATGGTTCCTCCCTCTTCCCTTGACTTGTGGCATTTCTTAGATGCTTTGTTAGAGGAAGGACATTAAGCCTATGCATTAATTGCTTTAGAATTTTAAGATAAGAATCCTGCTCCAGCTGTGTGGATTCGTACAGCACATTGTACACTGCCCCCAGGACACAGCTCAGAGGCATATCTAGCTCACAGGCTGCATTTATAAAATCAGTTATTCAATCCTGGTCTTGATTTGCTCCCTGGTGAACTCAGCTCAAAAGTAAACTTAAAATCCCTTTACATTCCTTTACTTAGATAAGAGTGAGCAGATCTTTGTCTTAAAACTGTTGTATCTTTTGCATTGTTAGTTCCTGAGGAACTGCTTCCAGCTGACAGTGTTGGTTTGGAGACTAGTTATGATTCTACAGATGGATATTCTTCCCTAAAGACCCTTTAGACTGAGCCCAGGAGGTTGAGGCAGCAGTAGCCTTGATCACACCACTGCACTCCAGCATGTGTGACAGAGCATGACCTTGTCAAAAAAAAAATTTATGCTGCATTTTAAGGGCAGTAACCAAAACAGCAGCAAATTCTCCTAGTTTACCAAGGTTAAGGCAAGTGAAACGGAGCAGCAAAAAGGTCTGGTTGACTGTCACACACAAATTAGTAAAAGGAAGTTTACCCTAAGTCTTTGGTCCAGAAGTCAATGGTACATATGGTCACAGGTTATGTTTTTTACCCAGGGCTGGCTTCATCAATGGTCACACAAGACCCTGTGCTCAGAAATGCCCCCACAACTTGGTTTAATGTTATGCTGTTGCTGTCTTAAATTCTGCATATTTTTTAATAAGGGCTCTGCATTTGCATTTTGCACGGGGTCCCACAGATTCTGCAGTCAGTCTATTGTCAACTCCTTTCTCTTTACAAACGTCATGAAGCAGGAAAAAGGAAAATGAGAAGCCAGTTGAAGTTGAAGTGGCTGAGGGTCAAGTACGGCTCTGGGGGCTCCATAAGATTTCTCTCTTCATTCCCAGCCATCTTCACCAGCCTAAGCCATTCAGCAAGTTTTTTGTTTGTTTTTTGTTTTTTGTTTTTTGAGACGCAGTCTCGCTCTGTCGCCCAGGCTGGAGTGCAGTGGTGTGATCTCGGCTCACTGCAAGCTCCGCCTCCCGGGTTCACGCCATTCTCCTGCCTCAGCCTCCCGAGTAGCTGGAACTACAGGCGCCTGCCACCACGCCCGGCTAATTTTTTGTGTTTTTAGTAGAGACGGGGTTTCACCGTGTTAGCCAGGATGGTCTTGATCTCCTGATCTTGTGATCCACCCGCCTCGGCCTCCCAAAGTGCTGGGATTACAGGCGTGAGCCACTGCACCCGGCCATTCAGCAGGTTTTAAAAGTATGCCCTGACTCCTCAATTACTGTCTTCTCTGATTTCAAATAAGAAGCTAAACAATCATAAAACATATACTCATACCTTTTTTCATGCTCACTGGAAAGATCCATCATATAGAATAAAGCTACGGGTGAGGAATCTGCTACCGCATAACTTTGAGAGAGGCTGAGGAAGAGTAATTCTAAAGCAGTGAAAGTGACTCTGGAAGAAATTAAAAGAAACCTTAAACACTCATGAAGAAGTAAAATCAGTAATAGGATGACATCCCCCAGAAAATTGTCAAGTTCCCCTAGTCTGGGCAGAATCAGCCCAGAGTTCCACGATACAGAATCATGACAAAGGGGTACAAGACTGCAAGACCCACACGGTGTCTCAGAAGACAGCCACAACTGGCAGGGCATGGTGGCTCACGTGTGTAATCCCAGCACTTTGGGAGGCAACGACTGGCAGTTCACCTGAGGTCAGGAGTTTGAGACCAGCCTGGCCAACATGCAGAAACCCTGTCTCTACTAAAAATATAAAAATGAGCCGGGCGTGGTGGTGCATGCCTGTAATCCCAGCTACTCAGGAGGCTGAGGAAGGAGAATCGCTTGAACCTGGGAGATGGAGGTTGCAGTGAGCCGAGATTGCGCCACTGCACTCCCGCCTGGACGACAGAACGAGATTCTGTCTCAAAAAAACAAAACAAAAAAAAGAACACACTCAAGACTGCAGCCTTAACAAATAAGAGGTTTGTCTTTTGTCAGCAGAGAAAAGACATAGCAATTTAGCAAGTGCAGTTCTGGTTTTTCTAAGACTCAGCACTTGCCACAAGCAAGAGTGAGCCTAGGGTAGAAAAGAGAGAGAGCTATTGATTCCTGAGAAGAGTATTCAGTGTGTGTGTTGGGTAGGTATGGAGGTTGGTGAGGGGAGATGAAATTCACATCTGCCCTGGAGGATAAAGTTAGTTTGATACATGTTATATGGTATATTCTCTTAATTAGCCTTCTTAATTAAACTTTATGGCAAAAACACTTGTCTTTTATTTCAGATATCCCCAGGAGTGCTGGAAAAGGGAAATGTACCACCAGGAATTATTCCATAAAAGTAACTACCTGAAGGAACTCATGAAGTAAATGTACTGATTCAGGTGTTACATATACTATTAGTCACGTTTGAAAAATCTTGGTATAAACAAAATATTTTTATCCTCTGTGGTTAGTGTCAGCTCTGAAGAAGTCATTTCAGTGCTGAAGTAACAAATGTAGGTGCTACAACAGTGGAAAGAGTGGCAGACTGAGAATATCAATTCTGGATCTAATTCTACTTCTGCTACAACCTAACTACAGGACAGTGGCCAATCATTACCCATATTCAATTCCTCTATCAGAAAAGGAAATGCATAGATCAGTGGTTCTCAAAGTATGATACCAAAACCAGCAATATCAGCATCACTTGGAAACCTATTAGAAATGCTAATTAGAGGCCAGGCACGGTGGCTCATGTCTGTAATCCCAGCACTCTGAAAGGCCGAGGCGGGTGGATTACTTGAGCTCAGGAGTTTGAGACCAACCTGGCCAACATGGCAAAACCCCATCTCTACTAAAAATACAAAAAATTAGCCAGGGGCACCTGTAGTCCCAGCTACTTGGGAGCCTGAGGCAGGAGAATCACCTGAACCCAGGAGACAGAGGTTGCAGTTAGTTGAGATCATGCCACTGCACTCCAGCCTGGGTGATAGAGTGAGACTATCTCAAGGAAAGGAAAGGGAAAGGGGAGGGAAAAGAAAGAAAGGAAGGAAGGAAAGAAGGAAAGAAAGAAAGCAAGGAAGGAAAAAGGGAAGGGAAGGGAAGGGGAAAGGGAAAGGGAAAAGGAAGGGGGAAAGGAAGGAAGGTGGCCAGGCGCGGTGGCTCACGCCTGTAATCTCAGCACTTTGGGAGGCTGAGGTGGGCAGATCACGAGGTCAGGAGATCGAGACCATCCTGGCTAACACGGTGAAACCCTGTCTCTACTAAAAATACAAAAAATTAGCTGGGCGCAGTGGCAGGCGCCTGTAGTCCCAGCTACTCGGGAGGCTGAGGCAGGAGAATGGTGTGAACCTGGGAGGTGGAGCCTGCAGTGAGCCGAGATCACACCACTGCACTCCAGCCTGGGTGACAGAGCAAGACTCCGTCTCAAAAAAAAGAAAAGGAAGGAAGGGAAGGAGGGAGGGAGGGAGGGAGGGAGGAAGGAAGGAAGGAAGGAAGGAAGGAAGGAAGGAAGGAAGGAAGGAAGGAAGGAAGGAAGGAAGGAAAGAAGGATTAGATAAATTAGAGAGTAAGGCCAGCAAGATGGCAGAATAGGAGGTCACCTGCTTGTATCCCTTCAGGACAAGAATTCTGCATCCATCCATAGACAAAAGTTTCTTTGTGGGAGCCTTGGGGTTCAGATAGGAGGCTGTGGAACCCCACTGAAGCCTAAGACCTGGGAGGGTGTTTTGAGAACGCAAACTCACACTCAGGTGGCAGACCTGCTGGTTATGCTCCCGGGTTCAAGCCCAGAAACCCCTGTTACCCAAAGTGTTTGGCTGTAGCCCCACCTGGCCTTCAGCTTTACCAAAACCATCTGCCAAGGAGTCTGTGAACAATCCCATGTTAGTATCTTGGCAGAGAGGCTCATCTGCTCACTGACATTGATCTTGGCAATGGACCTGAAAGTTGCCCTGTGGTTCAGCTTCTAGCCCTTCTCAGCTGTAGTCCCAGATTAGTACTGCTCACACAAGAACCTAGAGGAAGACTTGCCCATATGTCACAGCCTGGGAGTTACTCACCTGACTGAGACTCCCTGACAGGCTTGCCAGCCTCCATCCCACAGCAGATCCTGAAGGGGACCAGTCTCAGTTTTGCCCCCTCTTGCTGCAGTCAAGGGACTATCCCACCTAGGCAGGGAACTGCTGGTAGATGTGAGCCTGTCTGAGCCACTGAGGAAGGGTCACCATCTTCCATCCCACAGCAGATTCTGAAGGAGCCAAGTCTCAGCTTGAACCCCTCTTGCAGGCTGAAGATTGTCCTACCTGTTCAGGGAACTGCTGGCAGTGCACCTATCTGGGCCTTCGGGACAGTCGGGAGTTTCCAAGCTTGGCCAGCTTTCCCACACAGCCTAGGTACCCTACTTGGGTCTTCCACAAGTCTTCTGGACTGGGTCACCACTCCAACCTTGAAGCCCTTGTGAGACTCACAGCAAACCTGGTCTTCTGGTGCTCACTAAGGCTGAAATAGCTGTAGCAGTAATGAGCTTAGGGAACACAAATCAGCCTGCTTAGAACTTCTGGGCAGGCCTACTGAAGAAGGACAGGCACAAACAAAGCCAGACTGTGAAGACTGGAATAAATACTAATTATTCAATGCATAGACATCAGCACATGTCAACGAGAATCAAAAATAAGCAGGAAAATATGACCTTACCAAAGGGGAAAAATAAGGTAACAATGACTAACCCTAAAGGAATGGAGGTGTGTGATCTGTCAGACAAGAAAATTAAAATAGCTATATTTAAGGAAACTCAATGAACTATAAGGAAACACAGAGAAACAACTTAGAAATTTATCAGAGAAATTTAACAAAGATTGAAGTAATAAAAATCAAAATCAAACAGAAATCTCAGAGTTGAAAAATGCAACAAATGAAATGAAAAATGCAATAGAAAGCATCAGTAGAAGACTTGATCAAGCAGAAGAAAGACTCTATGAACTAGAAGTAAAACTTCTCAAGCTCCATCCAAAACCTACTGAGTCAAAAACTCTAGGGATACAGTCTAGCAACCTGTGTTTTAACAAGCCCTCCAAGTGATTCTGATACATGCTGAAATTTGAGAACCACTGAATGACATTATCTCTAACTCCCCTGACAGCTTTAAAATTCTACAGCATTATAATTATTATCATCATCATCAGTAATAGATATCAAGAGCTTTCTGTATCCCTCTCTGCTGTTCAAGGCACTTTCTATATAATAATCCATTTAGTTGTCACAATACCCTTAGATGTAAACTCTATTGTTATGACATCTTGGTTAACAAGGAAACTGAGACATGAAAGGGTCATGTAGCTGTAGTGGAAATGCACCACCAAATTCTCCTTCAAGAAATGACTTGTTCTTCCAGCTCTTTCCTTGGCTGCAGAGAACCACCTTGCTCAAGGGTATAGCCTTTCCAGGGAAGCCTTTATCAAGTAATAAGGCTTGATGTGAAGCTTTATTACTTGATAAAGTAATGAATCACAAAAGGGTTTAAAGGCCTAAACCATGGGACAGATCTGACAGGTGCATAAGCTCCAGAGTTCTCCATAGGATTGGCCAAGGCTTTGTCAGGCCTACATCACAGTTCAGTTTCACTCTCTTTACAATCTTGCTTCCTTCTCCTTCCTTTTATTTGTATTTATCCCTAACTATCCTGCACCAAACTACTCAGTGTCTGCTTCTGGAAAATCCATTTTACAACAGTAGCTGACTAAAAGTTAGAGGTCAGTAATTGGTAGAGCCAAGGTTCAAACCCTGGCAGATAGACTCTATACCTTAGGCTCTT
The DNA here is from genome assembly GCF_000001405.40 of Homo sapiens. NCBI lineage: Eukaryota > Metazoa > Chordata > Mammalia > Primates > Hominidae > Homo > Homo sapiens. The sequence goes on along the minus strand of NC_000004.12, from coordinate 159,463,627 downwards.
AACTATTTATTACATTGTTCTAGATCCTATCATTTGTCCCCCACTTGGACTTGGAAATTAATGACACAAGCATTTGAACATGAGATCTTAGAAATAATTTAATTTTACAAATGAGAAAACTAAAGCTAGAAGAGATTTCCCCAGGTCGCCCCTGGTTTGTAAGCAAGCACTGACTTGGTCTGAGACGCTCTGACCCCTAGTGTTCTACTGTGTCAGTACTTCCCACCTTAAGGAAAACAGTCACATAGCAATGAGATAAGGTTTCTGAGGTAAATTATAATTTTACTGGGGAACACTTGACACAAAGCCCAGCTTCAAACAATCTATTTCTAAATCTAGAAAGAGCAATAATTGGTACTATGTTTAGCAGAGAGGCTATGGAGCAGATGAAAAAGGAAAGCAAAAATTTTCATCATAAAAATTAAACAAGCACTTCCCAAAGAACATAAGGGCCTTTCCAAATCCTTGCAACACTTTTATTATGAAAGGTCAGAAATAACAGCTTCACAAAGTTTCCTGAAAGGTGGTAAACCTAGACTCCACCTCCCTGACATGATTAGAAAGACTATGCCCCCACTCCTTCCAGCAAACCTTCAGATTGGCTAAGGACACAGGTTTCTGAGTCCAGAAGGCTATGGTCCAAATCCCAGCTGTGCTCAGACATATTGTATTACCTTAGAAAGTTCATTTCTCTGCTCCACTGTTTTCTCATTTGAGGACTAAGGACATTAATAATACCCATTTATAGGAATCCATAATGATTGAAAGCAATATTGCTCAGAGCCTGACACATGGTAAGTACTGAATAAATGTTAGAAGCTACCCTGGCACATGCTATTGCAATTATTATTATTAATAAGTATGGTCATTTGCTTGAATCACATACCTCAGGTAGTATGGGAAGGAATATAACAAGCATCAGTGACTCTTTAGGCTGACTAAAGTGACTAGGTGACCTTTTGACCAAGAGGACATGATGGTGGTTCATTGTAAGCTATGAAGTTCCAGGGATTGTTTTGATAGGAATCCATCAGAATGACAGAAGGCAGTGGACCAGCTATGGAGAAATCCACCCAGTCAGATAACAGCCTCACAACCAATCTCTTAAGCACCACAAGCCAGTTTTCCAGGAGCACTAGAACTCTACACCTGAGATTCACCATATTATCATAGCAAATCCATAGAAGTGTCACTGCTTGCCAGGAAAAATCACTGTTGAATTCATTTTCCAAGTTCTAACAGAAGATCAAGATCAAGGCTGGGAATTATGAGGCTTCCCATGTGCTCTATTGGAAGAAAACCTTATAAGGCCAAATGAACCACCCTTTGGCCCAACTAATTGCTCTTTTTCCTCCTTTCTACTGTCATAGATAATAGAGTAATTTTTCTATGAAAAAGATGGACATTACCATTATTTCTAGAATTCTAATAATAATAATAGCTATTATTACACAGCACTTACTACACGCCAGGCCAGTCCCAAGCATCTTACAATCCCGTCATTTAATTTAGATAACAATTCCATGAGAAGAGTTTTGTTGTCCTCTTGTACAAAGAAATGGAGTGTCCAACATCGCTCACCTAGCAAATGTGAGGCCAGGACCCAAACCCAGTCTCTCACCATGTACACATGCTCTTATTCTCCTTGCTAGCTTGTCTACCTAATGATGTATCTGACTCCTTCAGTACTTAGGTTAAAGATGAGTAGCTTTGGTTCTCCTTGTTACTCCATGACAGATAGTGCAGGGAAATAGTGTAAACAAGGTTACCCAGTCTATCCTGCTGATTTTGGCTGTTGAGAGATGATTCTCAGTAAGGAGAATGAGGGAAAAGCATGTTCCTGAGGCCCATAGGGGTGTGCATCAGAATCTGCATCTATTCTAGCTCTCATCTTGGGTTGCAACCAAGAAAAATTAATTCTGGGTAGTCGAAGGCAAAAAAAAAAAAAAAAAGGTAGTCAGAAAGATATCTGGCAACTTTCAGAATTAACAAGAAGACTGGCCAGGCATGGTGGCTCATGCCTGTAATCACAGCACTTTGGGAGGCCAAGGCGGGTGAATCACCTGAGGTCAGGAGTTCGAGACCAGCCTGGCCAACATGGTGAAATCCCATCTCTACTAAAAATACAAAAAAATTAGCTGGTCATGGTGGTGGGTGCTTGAAATCCCAGCTACTTGGGAGGCTGAGGCAGGAGAATTGCTTGAACCAGGGAGGCGGAGGTTACAGTGAGCTGAGATAGTGCCACTGCACTCCAGCCTGGATAACAGAGGGAAACTCTGTCTCAAAAAAAATTGGTAATAATAAAATAATAATAACATTAACATTAACAAGAAGACTGAGAACTAGGCTCCAGTTTGGTAGGAACCATGGTGTCCCCAGAATTAAGGAAGCAAGCATAATATAATTTTATCATAGCCTGGGCAGACAGCAGCATTGGGATAAATAAATTCCACCTGGTTTTACACTCTTATCTTCTGTCCAAGATTAAGCTCAGGAGCATCTAATGTGCCCAGCTTGGGTCATATCCCTGCCCCTTTGTTATGGGAGGACAGGCACTTGATTATAAACCCACCTTTTCGAGTCCCATGGGACAAATGTAATTTCCTGGAGTGCTAGTGGAAAGGGAAAGAGATGCTGGAGAATAAAAAAACAAAAAACTCATGTCAATTATTGCCTGAAAATCCTAGCATGGCTTATACACGTAATATGGATGCAATGAGGAAATCAGAAACTATCTAGAAAGGAGAAAGATATCAACAGCCACAAGATTCATTTCATTTCAAAATGGGGCTTAGCCTCATAGAGACTCTCAGTGGAATCCATGACAGAAACAGTAACTCTAAGAAAAACATTCTGGAGATTCTGGTACTGGATAAATATCTAATTGTGATGACTACCACAATTTAGGGACTTGAATGAAGTCACAATTTCCAGAAGACAGAGAGGAGTTATTGATCCCAGTGAAAAACTATGACTCACATGCTTCAGAGAAAAGATGCTATTCTCAGGACTTGGCTCTCAAGAGGAGAGTTATGGACTGGAGGACTGGCTATGGGAGCTAGTGCTATATAAGAATATAGGTTTGGATTTCATCCAAGAGGACTGGAGGCCTCTGAACACTGTTCAGAGGAAACAAAATAAACACAAGATTCTTGAAAAGTAAAGAAAACTAATGTCACCCAGGCAGCCAATTTCCAAAAAGGACTGATCTTGCAGTTAAAGGAAGGAGAAGTGCAATGCCGAACTGAAAGAAAAATGTCAAGAAGAGTCAGGGCAAACACTTTGAATCAAAGTGTCATCTTCAAAGTAGGGCATTTCTGAAAGAATATACTATACTCACAGATCAGTCTTGTAAAAGCCTTGGACAGTATGATTCTTGGGACAAAATGTTAGGTAAGATCCTGACGTTATTTTCAATAACACATGAAGCAAAAAGACCAAAGTATGTATTTAAAGTAAATAGCCACCCCCCAAAAAAGACTCCTTAGGGGGGACAGAGACCAAAAATGTAATGACCAGGATAAGTCTTTTAGTGTATTGATGCTTAATATTAGACGCTCACTGGAATTACTAGAGATTCTAATTAAACTGGCCTGGGGTACAGTCTGGGCACTGGGATTTTTTAAAGCTCCCCAAGTGACTCTAATATTCAGTGAAGATTAAGAATTACTGCTTCAGGATAAAATCGAGTATCATTACACAGCAAAGAGTTGCTTATGGGAGAAAGCTCCTATGTGTTAAATTTGCAAAAACACTTAAGTATTTTATTTTATAAGGTGGGTTACTTGATAGATTTAATAGCACACAAGAGATTTGTTCCAATAGTGATAAGATACAAAAATAAAGGCACATTTCTATTAGGTTGGTGCAAAAGTAATTGCAGCTTTGCCATTAAAAGTAATGGCAATTACTTTTGCACCAACCTAATATTATAAAGTAGGTGAGTGGGGACACGAACTTCACTCACTTCTCTTTCTACCTCCCATTCCAAAGCCAGCCTTGATCAGATTACAACCATTAAAGCTACCATGGGCTAGCCTGAGAATGACACAAATATTTGAGGGTATTCACTCCCTCCTAATAATAAAAACTGATAATTGTGTAGAACTTACACCTCACACAGGATTTCCAAGACATTTTCACATTTGCTATTCATAGGTGAAACTCAGTGAGATTGTTGTAAATAGGCATTACTTTACAGAATTGGAGAGGTTTAGTAACTTGTCCTATGCTTCTGGTGAGGGTCTTGGGAAGCTTCCAATCATAGCGGAGGCAAAATGGGAACAGGCACGTCACATAGCAAGAGCAGGGGCAAGAGAGCAAGGGGGAGGTGCCACCCACTTTCAAAACAACCAAAGCTTGTGTGAACTCAGAGCAAGAACTCACTCATCACCAAGGGGGTGGCACTAAGCCATTCATGAGGGATCCACCCCTGTGATCCATACACCTCCCACCAGCCCCACAGCCAACACTGGGAATCACATTGCAACATGAGACTTGGAGGGGACAAACATCAAAACCATATCACAAGGCTAGAGCAAAGAGTGTAGTAAAGGGAATAAAATAAGAGAAAAGTCATAAAGGCAGATCATAAAAAACTGAGCATGCATGGCTGAAGCCTCCAGTAAGGAAATGACATGGCCACAACTCTGCTTTAAGAAGTTTATAATGACTGGACCTCTTTGGGTATGGAACCCTTTATTTATTAAAAGAAAGAAGTAAGGCAACTGGGAAGTTCATCCAGGCTCCCACTTTGCAATCGTATGATTTAATATGGTTGCCCATGAGGAAACCATTGTATGTTCCTCAGTAGAGAAACAATAGAATGAAAGGGATGGTTTTAAAAGATGGGCCTGTCAGCAAGTATCTATTGCAGGAATTACTGTATTGATAACACTCTCAGCACAATGCCTTCTATCCCAATGTCGTATTTTAGATTCCTAGGAAAGCCTTTGATATACACCAACCATGAAGCATACATCATTGACTGAGGACAGGCAGTATGTTTCTCTTTTAGAAAGCATAATGGGTCAGGCGCAGTGGCTCACACCTGTAATCCCAGCACTTTGGGAGGCCGAGGCGGGCGGATCACAAGGTCAGGAGATCGAGACCAGCCTGACCAACGTGGTGAAACACCATCTCTACTAAAAATACAAAAAATTAGCCGGGTGTAGTGACACACACCTGTAGTCCCAGCTACACAGGAGGCTGAGGCAGGAGAATCGCTTGAACCCAGGAAGCAGAGGTTGCAGTGAGCTGAGATCACGTCATTGCACTCCAGCCTGGGCAACAGAGTGAGACTCTGTCTCAAGAAAAAAAAGAAAAAAAGAAAAAAAAAAGAAGAAATTGATATAATTGCAGAATGGTTTCAGATGAGAATTTTAAATGGGGCACTTGAAGTGGTGAAATATGTAACTAACACACGTATGAACTGTTCGACACTCATGGATGCAGCTACTCTTCATTTATTCAACATATTATTGACCACTGCAATGCTCCAGGTATAGTACTAGGTGAGGAATACAGCAGGAAGCCACGCTGACATGGGCTTTTCCTCTGTGGAGCTTACAATCAATAAACATGCAGATTCAAACAGCCAGTAGCACTATCAGGAAAAATACCGAAGATGCTGAGCCATTCTGGCCTATGGGCCTGATCTAGATTGGGGTGTAAGAAGAATTGATGAGTCTTCTGTGAGAGAGATGTTGAAGGTGAGAGCTGAAGGATGAGAAGTTAGGTAGGTCAGAAATAAGGAAAATACCTGAGGTAAGGGGAGGGATCATTTTGTTTTTCTGTAAGAGTATTGTGAAGACTAAAAGACCACTTTTAGGTGAAGGGTAGCGGCAGATCATGGTTGAATGGGAAAGGTGACACGTTGTCCAGTTGCCCCAATTTCTGCAGAAGGGTCAGTAGAGAGGACAAGGTCTCTGATCCATCAACATCACCAACACACTTGGCTCCAGGTGTTCACATCCCATGCTCATCTCCTAGATCTGATGGTCTTCATTGCCTCTTGTTTTACTTCTTCCCTCCAATATTAACAGGAAACGTACCTGGACCTTGGAATATTGCTTTTGTTTATTTTTTCTCTCTGTTTATTCTTTTTTCCTTTTTTATTTTTATTTTTTATTTTTTTGAGATGGAGTCTCACTCTGTCACCCAGGCTGGAGTACAGTGGCGCCCTCGCTCAATGCAACCTCCACCTCCCGGGTTCAAGCAATTCTCCTGCCTCAGCCTACCAAATAGCTGGGACTACAGGCGTGTGCCACCACACCTGGCTAATATGTATTTTTCAGTAGAGACGGGGTTTCACCATATTGGCCAGGCTGGTCTCGAACTCCTGACCTCATGATCCGCCCGCCTCAGCCCTCCCAAAGTGCTGGGATTACAGGCGTGAGCCACCATGCCCGGCCTGTTTATTTCTTTTCTTAAATGTCATTTTGCAAATGATTAAAAAAGAAAAATTGCCAAAAGAAAAATTACCCAAAATATTTTTACATCAGTTGCTTAAATATGACATAATGTAGACACTGGAAGCCTCCCTCTTTCACAGCCCTCTCTCTGATATTCATTCCTGTTTCCACAAACTTCTTATTCCAGTTAACTCATTGGGCATTTCCTTCTCAATTTTTCCTGTTTTCTCAAACTTGACTTGTTTTTATAAACAACTTTTCACATCACATATCAAATGTCAAAATTCCATATATATATATATATATTCCCAAGATATATATAATATTACTCATTTTCAGGAGAAGAGAAAAAGTCACCGCAATTGAAGGAAAAAAATGTTCTGCTGTCAACCCAGTGCTTTCCTCTCAAGGGCTCTAGAATGAATAAAAACTCTCAACAGATTCTGAAGTGACAGAGGAAGACCCACAGAAGCAAACAGCAAGATAACTGGCAAGCAGCAAGGGAGACCAGCAATCGGACATCTGGAACAGATTGGTTTCTTCTGGGATAAACTTTGCTTAGTATACATTTTTAAATATTTATAGCATAAATCATATTCAGAATATTAGAGCTTCAGTTTTAAAATGTAACGAGCTATATTGTGGTACTTGGGAAAAGAAAGATAAATTAAAAATATCTTAGTGAAATAAATAGCTGTGTATTTGCTTTGCTTCATTAAAAAAAAGCTAACTCACCTGGAAAACAGTTAAGGCAAGTGCAATAAATAATATATAATAATGTATAAGCACTGGAAATAGAAATGATGATCAACATAGTTGATAGGAACTTCGCTCAGAGAAGCAAGAAATAGGAAACTAAAAAATAATTTCACCATGTAAAAGAACAATATGCAAATATTGATGGACATTTATTGTCTACAATGACAGGAAAAATGAGGCCAAAGAACAGGCTTAAATATCATTAGAAAAAAATTAGGTTAAGGACTCAAGCAAAGTAAATTGATTATTGTCAAATTCATTTTAATACAAATAAGCATATAAATGCACAATGTCTTATATCCTTTCTCAAATATTTCTCCAAAGTACCCTCCTCTTAAATATCCATTTTCCAAAATGAAACTAAACTCCACTGCAGCCCACGCCCCCACCCAGAGTCTCCCTGGTTATTACAGTAACCAAGCAAAGCCAGTTTTAAATTGTTTCGTTCATAAGGGAGATGGAACCCCTTCAATGGTTTTTATAATATATTTAGCACTTTACTTTGAAAACTGGTCTTTGAATGAAAAGTCTAGATGACAAACAACACAGGGACAAAGGTAAAGTCTTTCTGTTCATCACTTCAATTAAAAACAAGGACATGTTAAAACAAGGAAGGAAGTAATCTGTGGTTGCAGGAGCTACCAGTAGAGGGAGAGTGTGAGCCATAGGAATGAGAAAAGCTGGGGGGCGGGGGGAGGGGGGGAGACATAATTACTAAAGGAGCAATTGGAAAGAGAAATAATGTTTACCTTATTTATATATGTTTGAGATACAAATATTTTATTTTTAAATCAACATGTAATAGATACAAATAAAGTAGAAAGAATGAAAGGAAACACCGATATATCCTCACCTAGCTTAAGAAGTAAGACATGACCAACAGCACAGCATAAACCTCCTGGGTGTCCTTTCCAACACATCAGCCTTCCTCCACCTCACAGATAAACACCAACATCAGTATTTCTCATCTCCATGCCTTTTTAATACTTTTTATTATAAAGGTATAAATGCCTTTAAAATGTTATTGTTTTGCATGAGTGGTGGTGTTGCCACTGCTGCTGTTGAGACGGGGTCTCACTCTGTCACCCAGGCTGGAGTGCAGTGGAGCAATCTCGGCTCACTGCAACCTCTGCCTCCCAGGTTCAAGCGATTCTCCTGCCTCAGCCTCCCAAATAGCTGGGATTACAGGCGCCCACCACACTGGCTTATTTTATTTTATTTTATTTTATTTTATTTACCAGAGACGGGCTTTCGCCACGTTGGCCAAGCTGGCCTCAAACTCCTGACCTCAAGTGATCCGCCCGCCTCGGCCTCCCAGAGTGCTGAGATTACAGGTGTAAGCTACCGTGCCCGGCCTGTTTTGCTTGTTTTGTTTTTGTTGTTGTTGTTGTTTTGAGACAGTTTCACTTTGTCGCCCAGGCTGGAGTGCAGTGGAGCAATCTCAGCTCACTGCAAGCTCCGCCTCCCAGGTTCACGCCATTCTCCTGCCTCAGCCTCCCGAGTAGCTGGACTACAGGCGCCCACCACCATGCCCGGCTAATTTTTTGTATTTTTAGTAGAGACGGGGTTTCACCGTGTTAGCCAGGATGGTCTCGATCTCCTGACCTTGTGATCCGCCCGACTCGGCCTTCCAAAGTGCTGGGATTACAGGCGTGAGCAACTATGCCCGGCTCTGTTTTGCAAGTTTTTAAACTTCATATGGTATCATACTGAACGTATTCCTCTGTACCTTGTTGTGTCTTTTTTGTGAAATTTATTCATATTGATACAGGTAGTTTTAGTTAATTCTTTTTCGATGAATTTATAGCATTCCTTTAATTCCATACTGTATGGACTAAAATTATACTACACCTGTAATTATTTGTATCCAGAATAAAGTGCTTCTAAATTTTTCAATAAGAAAAAGATTTTTTTTGACCCCAATAGAAAGATGGCAGCAAGTACACTTGAAATGATATTTAGGATATTACCATTTTATTCCTAGTGCAAATAATGCCACAAAAAACAATCCTAAACATCCCATTAGATGTTTAGAGAAACATGTAAGGGTTTCGCTAGGATATATACTTAGGAGTGATCGATGATGCTAATGTGAACTCCCACAGCAGAATAGAAGAGATACTGTTCCACAAGCTCACAATACTTGATATTCTCAGATTTTTTTTTCTTTTAAGATGGGGTCTCACTACATTGCCCAGGCTAGTCTCCAACTCCTGTGCTCAAGCCATCCTCCTGCCTCAGCACCCCCAAAAAGATGGGATTACAGACTCATGCCACTGAACCTGGCTCTCAGATGTTTTTAATTTTTGCCAGTATAATGGGTGTGAAATGGTTTTTCATTTTGGCTTTCATTCTCATTTTCATCACTACTAGTAAAGTTAAGAATAATGCCATATCAGGCCTGGTGCAGTGGCTCATGCCTGTAATCCCAGCACTTTGGGAGGCTGAGGCAGGCAGATCACAAGGTCAGGAGTTCAAGACCAGCCTGGCCAACATGGCGAAAACCCATCTCTACTAAAAATACAAAAATTAGCCAGGGGTGGTGGTGGACACCTGTAATCCCAGCTACTCAGGAGACTGAGGCAGGAGAATCACTTGAACCTAGGAGACAGAGGCTGCAGTGAGTGGAGATCATGCCATTTCACTCCAGCCTGGCGACAGAGAGACACTCCATCTCAAAAAAAAAAAAAAAAGAATAATGCCATATCATGCAAATTATTTTATAACAAACCAGCACATGTACTCTTGAAACTATAAGTTTTTAAAAAAGAATAATGGTTTATGTTTATTAGCTATTCATGATTTCCCTTCAGCTCCTGACACTTGCTGTCAATTCTGAGTGCAGATAGTTATAGAGACCCTGGAAGGTTGAAGAAGAGGCAGGAAGGGGTGGAGGGCAGGGATTTCAAAGAGTGGGGAGATATATGAGAGACCTATACATCCCTGTGATGGAACATCAAATAAACTGGCACCTCAATTCCCAGATTTAGACTGTTTCATCTCAGAGTTCTTTGCCCCCATTCCAGTACAGTAATGGCTACAACCTAGACCTTACTCACCAGGAACAGCTCATTCTTCAGAAATAATACAAGTGGAATTTCTCACCCTCCAAACAGCCTTCAGTCCTTCCAACTTATGTCCACATACTAATTCCCCTTGTCAGTACCTTCTATACAGCAATTCTACCACTTTCTGTCAGCAACTTCGTCTTTAGTTTTTACCTTACCATTATAGATTTTATGATCCATCACTTAAACAACCCAAATAGCCATTCTCCTTCCTTCACTCCAACCTACCAAAATCCAAATTCTCTGCCTTTTCCAAGCTATCCTCAAGTAAGATCATTCACATAGGAACATTGGTACCACCGCCGGACGCAGTGGCTCACACCTGTAATCCCAGCACTTTGGGAGGCCGAGGTGAGCAGATCACCTGAGGTCAGGAGTTCGACACCAGCCTGACCAACATGGAGAAACTCCATCTCTACTAAAAATACAAAATTAGCCGGGTGTGGTGGTGCATGCCTATAATCCCACCTACTCAGGGGGCTGAGGCAGGAGAATTGCTTGAAACCGGAGGGCGGAGGTTGCAGTGAGCCGAGATCATGCCATTACACTCCAGCCTGGGCAACAAGAACGAAACTCCACCTCAAAAAAAAAAAAAAGAATATTGGTGCCGCCATAAACTCATGGTATCCCATTAATGGTCAACTATCATTCTTATGCACTCATACTTCATGTGTTTTTACTCAGTGCCTACTATGTGGCGCTTACATCATTATGTCCTTAGCCAACACTCCTGCACATCCTCCTCAAAACTATTACCAATTTTCTCCACTTTCTTCAGACTGCTGTCTCCCACAACCTCAGCAGATGTGATGGGCCGCTGCTTCATAGAACTAGAAGCCCCTAAGGGAATTCTTTTCTTTAATTTGATAAATACAATACAATATTGTTAATCATAGTCCCCCTACCAAGCAATAGAACACCACAGATTATTCATTCTATCTAATTGTAATTTGGTACCTCTTGACCAATCTCTCCCTATCTTCCCTCCCCGCATGCCCCCACCCCCCAAACGACACCACCACCAGCACCAAGCCTCTGGTAAGCACTATTACACTTCCTACATCTATGAGATCAACTTCTTTAGATTTCACATGTGAGTGAGACCGTGCAGTATTTCTCTTTCTATGCCTGCTTATTTCACTTTACATCATGTCCTCCAGGTTCATTTATATTGCCCTAAATGACACAATATTATTTTTTTAATGCCTAAATAGTATTCTGTTGTGTATATATACAGTCATGCATCACTTAATGACAGGGACACATTCTGAGAAATGAGTTGTTAGGCAATTTTGTCATTGTGTGAACCTAACCGCAGGTACTCAGGCAAACCTAGATGGTATAGTCTACTACACACCTAGGCTACGTGATATAGCCATTGGTGTGCCTAGGAGCAATACTCCTAGGTTATAAACATGTACAGCATGTTACTGTATTAAATACTGTAGGCAATTAGAACACAATGGCAAGCATTTGTGTATCTAAACATATCCAAATATAGAAAAGGTATGATAATATACAGCATGGAATACTATGCAGTCACAGAAAGGAACAAGATCATGTCCTTTGCAGGGACATGGACGGGGCTGGAGGTCATTATGCTCAGCAAACTAATGCACGAACAGAAAATCAAATACCTCACGTTCTCACTTGTAAGTGGGAGCTAAATGACGAGAACACATGGACACACAAAGGGGGAGCAACACACACTGGGGCCTGTCAGAGGGTGGGGAGTGGGAGGAGGGAAGAGCATCAGAAAGAACAGCTAATGGATGCTGGGCTTAATACCTAGGTGATGGGATGATCCGTGCAGTAAACCACAATGGCATACATTTACCTGTGTAACAAACCTGCACATCCTACACATGTACCCCTGAACTTCAAATAAAAAATTTGAAAAAAGCATGATAGAAATATGGTATGGTATAAAAGATTCTTAAAATCAGCCAGACACAGTGATGCACGCCTGTAGTCCCAGCTATTTGGAAGACTGATATGGTGGGATCGCTTGAGGCCAGTAGTTTGAGGCTGCAATGTGCTATGATTATGCCTATAGTTACTATACTCCAGCCTGGGCAACATAGCAAGACCCCATCTTGAAAAACAAAAGATTTTTTAAACAGTTACCTGTATAGTCAAGTACCATGAATGGCATGTGTAGGACTGAAAGTTTCTCTGGGTGAGTCAGTGAGTTAGTGGTGAGTGAATGTGAATATCTAGGACATGACCGTATATTACTGTAGACTTTATTATAAACACTGTACACTTAGGCTAAATTTATTTTTTAAAAGTAATTGTGTGCTCAATGAAATAAAAGAGGATACAAACAAATGGAAGAACATTCCATGCTCATGGCTAGGAAGAATTAATATCATGAAAATGGCCATACTGCCCAAGGTAATTTATAGATTCAATGCTATCCCCATCAAGCTACCAAGGACTTTCTTCACAGAATTGGAAAAAACTACTTTAAAGTTCAAATGGAACCAAAAAAGAGCCTGCATTGCCAAGTCAATCCTAAGCCAAAAGAACAAAGCTGGAGGCTTCATGCTACCTGACTTCAAACTATACAAGGCTACAGTAACCAAAACAGCATGGTACTGGTACCAAAACAGAGATATAAACCAATGGAACAGAACAGAGGCCTCAGAAATAATACCACACATCTACAACCATCTGATCTTTGACAAACCTGACAAAAACAAGAAATGGGGAAAGGATTCCCTATTTAATAAATGGTGCTGGCAAAACTGGCTAGCCATATGGAGAAAGCTGAAACTGGATCACTTCCTTACACCTTATACAAAAATTAATTCAAGATGGATTAAAGACTTAAATGTTAGACCTAAAACCATAAAAACCCTAGAAGAAAACCTAGGCAATACCATTCAGGACATAGGCATGGGCAAGGACTTCATGTCTAAAACACCAAAAGCAATGGCAACAAAAGCAAAAATTGATAAATGGGATCTAATTAAACTAAAGAGCTCCTGCACAGCAAAAGAAACTACCATCAGAGTGAAGAGGCAACCTACAGAATGGGAGAAAATTTTTGCAATCTACTCATCTGACAAAGGGCTAATATCCAGAATCTACAAAGAACTTAAATTTACAAGAAAAAAACAAACCCATCAACAAGTGGGCAAAGGATATGAACAGACACTTCTCAAAAGAAGACATTTATGCAGCCAACAGACATGTGAAAAAATGCTCATCATCACTGGCCATCAGACAAATGCAAAGCAAAACCACAATGAGATACCATCTCACACCAGTTAGAATGGTGATCATTAAGAAGTCAGGAAACAACAGGTGCTGGAGAGGATGTGGAGAAACAGGAACACTTTTACACTGTTGGTGGGACTGTAAACTAGTTCAACCATTGTGGAAGTCAGTGTGGCGATTCCTCAGGGATCTAGAACTAGAAATACCATTTGACCCAGCCATCCTATTACTGGGTATATACCCAAAGGATTATAAATCATGCTGCTATAAAGACACATGCACACGTATGTTTATTGCGGCACTATTCACAATAGCAAAGACTTGGAACAAACCAAATGTCCAACAACGATAGACTGGATTAAGAAAATGTGGCACATATACACCATGGAATACTATGCAGCCATAAAAAATGATGAGTTCATGTCTTTGTAGGGACACGGATGAAGCTGGAAACCATCATTCTCAGCAAACTATCGCAAGGACAAAAAAAACCAAACACCACATGTTCTCACTCATAGGTGGGTACTGAACAATGAGAACACTTGGACACAGGAAGGGGAACGTCACACACCAGGACCTGTTGTGGGGTGGGGGGAGGGGGGAGGGATAGCATTAGGAGATATACCTAATGTAAATGATCAGTTAATGGGTGCAGCACACCAACATGGCACATGTATACATATGTAACAAACCTGCACGTTGTGCACATGTACCCTAAAACTTAAAGTATAATAAAAAAAATAAAAATAAAGTAATTGTGTTACACTGTTATGACAGCTACAATGTCACTGTGATAGGAATTTTTCAGCTGCCTTGTAATCTTTTTGGACCACCGTCACATTTCTGGTCAGTCATTAACTGAAATGCTGTAATGCAGTGCATAACTATACATTTATTTTATCAATTTATCATTTTATCCATTCATCCATTGTTAGACACCTAAGTTAAGCCCATATCTGGGCTACTGTAAATAATGCTGAATCAACATGGTCTTTTGCCCATTTTGTAGTTGAATTGTTTGTTTTTTGCTGCTGAGTTGCTTGAGTTCCTTATATATTCTGGATATTAACCCCATGTCAGATGCATAGTTTGCAAATATTTTCTCCCATTCTACAGGTTGTCTTTTCACTCTGTTGTTTCCTTCACCAGGCAGAACCTTTGTAATTTGATGTAACCCCATGTCTTTATCTTTGTATTTGTTGTTTATGTTTTAAGGTCCTATTCAAAAGATTCTTGCCTAATCTCATGTCATGAAGTGTTTCTGTTTTGTTTTGTTTTGCTTTTGTTCTTTTGAGACAGGGTCTCCCTTTGTCACCCAGGCTGGAGTGCAATGCCGTGATCTTGGCTCACTGCAACCTCTGCCTTCTGGACTCAAGAGATCTTCCCACCGCAACTCCCTAAGTAGCTAGGATGACAGGCATGCACCACCCCACATGGCTAATTTTTGTATTTTTTGTAGAGATGGGGTTTGCCATATTGCCCAGGCTGATGAAGTGTCTTCCCTGTTTTCTTCTGGTAGCTTTATAGTTTCAGGTCTTATACTGAAGTCTTTAAATCATTTTTAGTTGATTTTTATATATGGTGAAAGATAGGGGTTCAGTTTCATTCTTCTGCATGTGAATATCCAATTTTCCCAGCCTTTTTTTTTTTTTGAGACAGTCTTGCTCTGTCACCCAGGCTGGAGAGCACTGGTGCGCTCTCAGCTCACTTCAGCCTCCACATACTGGGTTCAAGTGATTCTCATGCTTCAGCTTCCTGAGTAGCTGGGATTACAGACACGCACCACCATGCCGGGCTAATTTTTGTATTTTTAGTAGAGATGGGGTTTGGCCATGTTGGCCAGGCTAGTCTCAAACTCCTGACCTCATGTGATCCACCCACCTCAGCCTCCCAAAGTGCTGGGATTACAGGCATGAGCCATCAAGCCTAGCATAGAAATACTACTGATTTTTGTATGTTGATTTTGTATCCTACAACTTCATTGAATTTGTTTATCAGTTCTGAGAGTTTTATTGGTGGAATTTTTAGAGTTTTCTATATATAAAGTCATATCATCTGCAAACAGGGACAATTTAACTTCCTCTTTTCCAATTTGGATACCTTCTGATTCTTTCCCTTGCCTAACTGCTCTGGCCATGATTTCAAGTACTATGTTGAGAAGAAGTTATGAGAATGGACATTTTTGTCCTGTTTCTCCTCATTTCTTAATTAAATTGGTTCTTTGTTGCTGAGTTATAAAAGTTCTTTATATAATCTGTATATCAACTCCTGATCAAATGTAGATTTGTAAATATTTCCCCCAGTTCCACGTGTTGTCTTTTTATTCTATTGAGTGTCCATTGATTCCTAAAAGTTTTTAATTTTGATCAAGTCTAATTTATCTATTTCTTCTGATATCTGTGTTTTTAGTATCATATTCACAAAGTCATTGCCAAATCCAATATCATGAAACTTTTTCCCTGTGTTTTCTTCTGAGAGTTTTATAATTTTAAGTATTATGTTTAGGTCTTTGATTCATTTTGAGTTAATTTTGTGCATGGTATAAAGCAAGGCTCCAACTTTATTTTTTTGTACGTGGGTATTTTTCCAACATCATTTACTGAAACGATTGTCCTTTTTGTTGAATGGTCTTGGCAGCCTTGCCAAAATTTCACATACTTTAAGTCATCAGCATTTTCCTTCCAGTTATCTTACGTCAAATTGGCAGCCAGTGCCCTGCTTCTGGTTTTCATGTTGTCTTTTATAAAATGGTGGTTTGGACCATGGAATGCCCTGTAATGATTAAGAGCAGTGTTTTTATTTTAGATGATTTGGATTCAAAATCGGGTTTTATTACCTCTCAACTGTGTGTCCTTGGACAAATTATTTAGTTTTGCTAGACCTCAATTTTCTCATCTTTGAAATGGACATATTAATAGTATTCACTTTGTGTAGTTGTTTACAGAATCAAATAACATAATACTTAAAGGATTTAGTCCAGTGCCTGGCACAGAGTAAACATTCCATAGGCAGCACCTATGTACTTCAGATGCTGTCCGCCCCAACATTCTCTATACAGAGCCATATAGGAATATAGCGTATTCTGGGATCAGCTTCTCGAGTGCGGATCCTCAGATGTACAGAACAGAGGTAAGTTTCCTTGCCACTGCAATCTGATTATATACCAACCACCTTCCCACTGACTCGCCAAATGAAAATGAAGCATAATAAACTCTTATCCCTATGCCCTACTTGCTCCCTGGTGATCCTGTCCCCACAGGCAGCAGATGCTGCTTTTCACCTCACATCATCAAGCACCTTCCTGTGAGTCACATTCTGTACAGAGTTCTCTGTCACAGGGGCACCCCACTCCAGACCATCCACCTCTGCCTCTTAAGGACAGTCCCAGAAAGCCAGCCATGGGCATGTGCGGACCATTGCTTTATGGAAGGCAATTTAGGCCCTGCTCTCTGTTGTGGGCAAGGCACTGTCTCCTGTTGAACACTAGAGGGTGCTCTGTACATTTCTATAGGAGGTTCTGAGCCTGTACACTAGAGTGTTACTGAAATCACACAAATAGAGAAGCATAGGCAAAAACTTACCCATGTACATACATGTTTTCAGTTACATGGAGAGACATCCGTCCAACATCACGTACATAACACACCTTCACAAAATAGATATGTATATATAAACTAGCACATGTGCACACACACACACACACCCATGCACACAGTAACATGCCCGTAAAAACTCAAAGACATACAAACTAGAAACATGAAACATACATTCAGATAAAGGCACAAAGACCTACACAGATGCATTTACACACACACATGCACTCACACAGATGTACAGACATACACACCGGCAAAGACAGAGGTAGACACCCTCTACAGTCACTTTCACACCCGTGACCCTCACACCAGGTTGGGCTCATCATTTACATATTATAGATGGGGAACTGAACCCTCAGAGAGTCTGAGTGTTTTATCTATCATCACATGGTAAGAGCAGGTAAAGATTAAACTCCAAGTAAGTCCTCCAGTCAGGAGAAACACTATTTCAAAAGAGGTAAGTTGCCGCTCATATCTACTTTTTCAATTACTCCAGTCTTCAGGCCAATTCTGCTGTTATTCCTTGAAAGCTATTATTCTGAAAGTCCCACTTTCAGATTCACTAATTATTTAACTCATGGTCTGTTGCCAATTGAGTGTATTTTCTTGTTCATTTTATTCTGGCCAAGGATCAGGAGAGGAAACATTTAGATCATTCTATCATTGTAACTGTCTGTCAACACCCAGGATAATGGAGGGTGACTCTGTGGGAATTGTTCGCAGCCTTGCTCGCCAGTAAGAGAAGCCAAGAAGAAAGAGGAGAATGGTCTCTGATTCAGTTCTGCCTTTCAAATATCACACAAGTACATGAACTCACATCCAGAATGCTAGCTGCATTAGAGTGTGGAGAATATAGATTTTAACCTTTCAATATCCATCTAGAAGGAGAGTGAAATGAGGTTTGAGTAAGTTGTTCCATAATATTTACCACAGCAAAGTTGCACTTTTTTTTTTTGAGACAAAGTCTTGCTGTCTCCCAGGCTAGAGTGCAATGGCATGATCTCAGCTCACAGCAACCTCCGCCTCCCGGGTTCAAGTGATTCTCCTGCCTCAGCCTCCTGAGTAGCTGGGATTACAGGTGCCCGCCACCATGCCCAGCTAATTTTTGTATTTTTAGTAGACAGG
Source organism: Homo sapiens (assembly GCF_000001405.40). NCBI lineage: Eukaryota > Metazoa > Chordata > Mammalia > Primates > Hominidae > Homo > Homo sapiens. The sequence continues at coordinate 159,445,441 of NC_000004.12, read as the reverse complement.
GTTTCACCATGTTGGCCATAATGGTCTCGATCTCTTGACCTCGTGATCTGCCAGCCTCAGCCTCCCAAAGTGCCGGGATTATAGGTGTGAGCCACCACATACAGCCCAGTTGCAGTCTTTAAGTGGTGAAGCCAGGATTCAAAACCACACAATGTGGAGTCTGAGCCCTTCTCTTATTCAATAATCTTACATGCTCTTAAACAAATAATATTATGATTAATGATAATATTTTTGACAAGTGAGAACAAGGATCTCAAAAACTATGTTCTTAACTGTTTTTACTGGCTTCTCCAAAATGCAAAACCTGAGGCAGAAGAGACCTTGCACATAATTTATTACTTTATTAGGGAGCAGAAGTGAGTGACAAGAGAAGGGAAGCAAGGAGGGAGGGAGAACCAGTACAAGAATGCATTTTTGATCTGGCCACAGCTAAATGCAACTCATTGCTGGATCTGTAGAACTGCACCCCTGAGACGTTACATAAAATGCATCTTGGTAGGATTGGAAAGGGTGTCTGGTTTCCCATTAGTCAGAGGTTCACCACCAGGATGTTAATTTCACCATCACTTCCCACTTGCACATGCACCTCTAGGAGGCAGAAGTGACTGGACAAGGATGGTTAGTTAGTGTGGTTTTAATGGGCCTTGAATGATGGCTGGTGGATTTGGGGATTGATTCTGCAAGCACTGAAGAATTACAGAGATTTTTGAAAAGGAAAGTGACATGATCAAAAGGGAAGATTTCCCTAGTTGTATGATCTCTTTATAGAATCTTCATCATCTACTGAAGTGAAATATTTGTGGAAGTTTCCTTTTTATCCCTTGAGAAATTGGCATGGTAGGGATGAATGCCCATTCTCACTTCCAGAAGAGGCAGCATCAAGCAGGACCCATGGAAGATAGTAAGATTGGGTTGGCCAAAAACTAACTTGGCCAATGGATGGGACTTAACTGGAAAGTTTAATTCAAATTGAGAGAACTCCAGAAAGCAACAGAATAATATTTTGGTCTCCCTTGAGGATTTGGGAGTTATGGATTCGGAGGTTCTGCCTTCCCTCCCACCATCTTATCCACACAGGCACCTGGGCAAGGTAAGAGCCTGGCACTGCCAAGCCAGATGGTGGAAGCTTTTGCTGCCAGCATCCTCCAGTGGGATGGGGCAGACTGTGTTCCCTGCCGGCTGGTTTCTGAGTGCTTTCAGTATACAGCAAAATCAGGGTGGATAGTATAAGCAATCTTTCATTCGTATAGCTGTTTATAATATAAACCACTTGTCTAAATATTTACACATTTAATCTCCACAACTTTCAAAACCATTCTGATTCTCCCTCCTTACAGTTCTCTTCTACCCTCAACCAGAGCCATTCGTGAACTATTTATCCTCTCTGTGGCTTAAATGAAAAAAAAACTGGAAAATGCAACAATTCTACCAAATGATAGTCCTCACCTCAGGCTTTGGGGAAGTTATAAATGAGATAGTGTATAAAAGGTGCTTAGCACAATGCCTGGCACAATGAAGGCCCTTAACAAATATTAGCTGCTATTTTCATTATCATTGTTTTTGCTATAGAGTATCACAATATTTTTATTAGTACTATTATCATCATCATCTGGCATTTGGTTCCATTATGAACCTTCTAGAACTAACCCTAAATTATTAGGAGATAGTATAAAATGCCTAGCTTAACACCGAGCATAGAGTGTCACTCAATAAACACTAAAGATGTTACCTGCAGTTTCCCAAGGGAGGAGGGGTACAAAGTCACCGCCTCTAGCACTCAGGGATAAGTAATTCCAGATGCCAGCTCTGAGATCTTTTCCTAGTCACTGGAATTCTTACATGATCCTATGATGATGGTTGTTTAATGGTCAAAAGCACAGACTGTAGAACCAGACATCCTGAGTTCAAATCCTACTCTACCTTGGGTAGTTTACTTAACCTCTAAGTGTCTCAATTTTATATTTAAAATAAAGAAGTCAATTGTACTTACCCCATGGAGTTTTATAAAAATTAAGTGAGTTAATAAACATAAAAGAGCTTGGGAAAATACCTGGCACATAGTAAATAGCATATAAAAATTAGCTAGTAGTGCCTTTCTTTATTCCCTTCTGCCTGTGGGCTCACCTCATATTCTCATCCAAATTCTCCTCTCCTGCATCCTAAACACACACACACACACACACACACACACACACACACACACGGTCCCAGTGTCTGAGCCCCTGATCTGCTGATGGTTCCCAGTTGTAATAGTCTATACTAACACTAAGATACCCCATTATTATTGCAGAAATTCAACCACAAATGGTATGATGAGGTTGGAGTAATGCCAAAACTATCCTCAGGCTTCTGACACAAAGCCACAAAGAGCGACAGTACCTTAGTACATTAACAAAAATACAGAGTTCACTCTTACAAAGACCTACAAGTTTGACTTTCCCAAGTCTCATGATTGGCCAAGTTCAAAGATACCAACTGATAGTAACAAAGCTTTCAAAATCCTCATGTGTAAGCCAGCGTGTCAATTTATAAACTTTCAGCAAGAAATATATTTAGTTAGGGGTTTAGCACTTCATATTATCTAGCCAGCATATTTTGTTCCTATAGCCAAACTTCTCAGGTTACCAGGTCTCACTGGTTTACATGTGAGTTAGTTAACAGATCTAAATGTTAAACTATCAGGCTCTCAAAACATGATGCAATCCTCTCAAGAAAAGGTATATTATCTGCTCAAAGAACTGACAAGTCATTGGGTCAAGATGTTCTCTACCCAGAGTGCACCTATGTGGTCGTTGCCAACATTTGCCCCTAAAACAGGCTGATCTGTTTTTGTTTTTGATGTTTCTATGGATGACCAATTTCTCCCACTTCATTAATTAACATAGTATTTTGTAGGGGAAAGAAAAGAAATATGCCAATAATTTTAGTCAAGACTTGATCTGGACTATAAGATTATATTATGTATATTTATGCTGATGATTCTTGAATAGTTATGTATTTAATTCTTTCAGAGTAGTCTTATTGTCCTTAGTTCTATATTCTTGAAGGACATTATGTTATACCCCTAGGAAGTACCTACATTCTCTTTTGGACTTAATGATGATAGCTGGGCCCCTGGACTAAATATTTATTATAGATTCTATATGATACCGTGCTTGACCAATCAAGCTGTACATGTGCCTATCTGTCTAGTTCCATTCCTGTGCCTTCCCAGTACAATCTACATCCTAAACTCTGTTTCTACTTTCAGATCTTACACACCTTTATTAACGAATATGGCACTTCTGGCCAGGCGTGGTGGCTCATGCCTGTAATCCCAGCACTTTGGGAGGCTGAGGCGGGCAGATCACTTGAGGTCAGGAGTTTGAGACCAGTCTGGCCAACATGGTGAAACCCAGTCTCCACTAAAAGTACAAAAATTGGCAGAGCATGGTGGCAAGTGCCTGTAATCCCAGCTACTCGTGAGGCTGAGGCAGGAGAATTGCTTGAACCTGGGAGGCAGAGGTTGCAGTGAACCAAGATCATGCCCTCACACTCCAGCCTGGACAAAGTAAGACTCCATCTCAAAAAAAAAAAAAAAGGCACTTCCGCTGTGTTATGGGATGAATTGCATCTCCTCACTCCTTCACCATTCATATAGCAAAGTCCTAAGTCCCAGTACCTCAGAATGTGACTATATGTGAGGATGGGGTGTTTACGGAAGTAATTAATGAGTTCACATGGGTAGGCCCTAGTCCAACATGACTGGTGCCCTTATAAGAAGAGACAATTAGAATACAAGCACACACAGAGGGAAGACGATGTGAAGGCAAAGGGAGAAGATGGCCATCTACAAGCCAAGAAGAGAGGCCTCAGAATAAACTAACTCTACCAACATCTTGATCTTGGAATTCTAGCCTCCAGAATTGTGAGAAAATACAGTTATGTTGTTTAAGACACTTAAACAACAGTCTTTGGTACTTTGGTATGGCAGCCTGTGATGGTTAACTTTACGTGTCAATTTGACTGGGCCACAGAGTGCCCACCTGTGGCCCAATTTGGTCAAACATTATTCTGGGTGTTTCTGTGAGGATGTTTTTAAATGAGATTAACATTTAAATCCCTAGACTGAATAAAGCAGATTGCCCTCCTTAACGTGGGTGAGCCTCATCAGATCAGTCAAAGGCCTGAATAGAACAAAAGGCTGACTCTCCATTGAGTAAGAGAGAACTCTTTCTGCCTGGCTGCCTTCCACCTGGGGCATTGACTATTTCCTGCCTTCAAACTTAAACTGCCCGTTGGCTCTTCCTGGATCTCCAACTTGCCTACCACGTTAGTCTGTTTTGTGTTGCTGTAAAGGAATACCTGAGAATGAGTATTTTATAAAGAAAATAGGTTTATTTGGCTCACATTTCTGCAGGCTGTACAAGCATGGCACTAGCATCTGCTTGGCTTCTGGTGAGGCCTTAGGAAGCTTTAACTCATGGCAGAAGGTAGAAGGGAACAGACGTTTCACATAGCAAGAAAAGGGAGCAAGAGAGATGCCACACACTTCTAAACAACCAGCTCTCTCATGAACTAACAACGCAAGAACTCACTCATTACTGTGGGGAGGACACCAAGCCATTCATGAGGGACCTGCCCCCATGACCCAAACAACTCCCATCAGGCCCCACCTCCAACACTGGGGATCACATTTCAACATGAGCTTTGGAGGGGACAAATATCCAAACCATATCACCTACTCACCCTGCAGATCTTGAGGCTGGTCAGCCCCCACAATCACATGAGCCTATTCCTTATAACATATGCATTCTGTTTCTCTAGGGAACCCTTGACATATAGCCCTAACAAACTAATACACACCGTGAGAGGAGTAAAAGCATTATCAACGTTCTCATTCGAAAGCATAATTTTAAAATTTCTTAAAGTTGAAAGTTAGGATAAGAAGCATGAGATACACAGAAATTCATAAAGAAATTATGTCCAAACTCTTTGATGAGCAAAATCCAGAAGTAGGCCATGTCAACATAACTCATTTACCAAATAATCCATGATCTGTTGACCATCTGAGAAGCATAACCAGCAAAGACAGCTGCTATCAAAATTAACAGTGCGATAAATATATGTTACTGAATTTTGAAAATGCAATGTAATGAGGTAACATGTATCACCGGTTACCACTTGAATACAATAATATGCAAAATTGTATATATATCAAAGAATAATTAGTAAGAATTTGCATGCAGATGGGGTTATGGGAGAAAAATATTTTCTCTGTCCAGAATGGTGTTTGACTTATTTTAGGGAACTGTTCATCTTATTAAACTATAGGAATGCTGGTGGGGTTGCAGTCATATCCCTACTCCCACCAATCATAGCAGTGGCCATGTATACCAGACTAAGCTAATTATAGGACCCTGTGTTAAGCAGAATAATGTTTTCTACAAAAGATATATACATCTTAATCCCAGGAACTTGTATTACATGGCAAAGGAGAATTAAGGGAACAGATAGAATTAAGGTTGCTACCCAGCTGACCTAAAAATAGGAAAATTGTCTTGGATTGTCAAGATGGGCCTAATCACAATGTTACAGAACTCAGTCCTGTAAGAATTAAGACGTAAGGTTTGTTTCAGATGAGCAATAAGATTTTGAAGTTAAGTTTCTTGGTGTTAAAATGGATCTGCTTGGCCAGGTGCGGTGGCTCACGCCTGTAATCCCAGCACTTTGGGAGGCCAAGGTGGGTGGATCACCTGAGATAAGAGTTCTAGACCAGCCTGGCCAACATGGTGAAACCCTGCCTCTACTAAAAGTACAAAAAAATTAGCTGGGTGTGGTGGTGAGCACCTGTAATCCCAGCTACCCAGGAGGCTAAAACAGGAGAACTGCTGGAACCCAGGAGGTGGCGGAGGTTGCAGTGAGCCGAGATCACGCCACTGCACTCCAGCCTGGGTGACACAGCAAGACTCCACCTCTGAAAAAAAAAGAATAAAAAAAGAAGAAGAAATGGATCTGCTTAACCCTCCTCCCATTAAGATCTTGATTGGTTGAACAATGAGAACATATGGACACAGAGGGGGGAACATCACACACTGGGGCCTGTTGGGGGACGGGGGGTAAGCGGAGGGAGAGCATTAGGAAAAATATCTAATGTAGATGATGGGTTGATGGGTGCAGCAAACCACCATGGCACATGTATACCTATGTAACAAACCTGCATGTTCTGCACATGTATCCCAGAACTTAAAGTTTAATTAAAAAAAAAAAAAAAAAACTTGATTGGGAGAAGCAGGAACTGGGAGTCAAAGCACCAATCCTCAGGAAGGATTCAAAGAGAGAGGATTAACTCAGTTTTCATATAACAGTGCTCCTCCAAAGCAGGTTCTCAGGGAAGTAAATTTTTTACCACCCACCTTGACTTTCTGTTTGGGGCAAAGCTTGCCCAATGGATTTGCCCTTTTACTTCACTCATCCTGTACTCATTTATACAATGTTGGTATTTTTTGGAATATGTGAAAAAAGCAGCCAAAGAATATCAAAAGACAGTTTATCCAACCTGGTGACAGAGTAAGACCCTGTCTCAAAAAATAAAATAAAATAAAATAGAAAGACAGTTTACAGAAAGAAAATACAAAGGGCTTTTAAACATAAAAAATCCATGTGATACATTGACTTCTAAGAATTCCCCAGATCCCTGCCTTCTTGTCTATTCAACCTTAATTATTGCCTCCCCGGGTGTGAGTGAGAACTGTGAATTTGATGGAATAGCCAGTCTCTTAATTAGATTAAAATTTAAGGCAAAAGATGATGGAGTAGGATAATGCAATCAACTCCATTGACTATATTATGTCATGCAGGATTCTCTTTTATCGGATTGAAGTGAGAGTCTCCTACTGCCTTTGAGTAAGTAGGCTGCCATGTGTGTACCACATGGCAAGGAATGGCAGCACCTTCTGAGTTGAGAGGGACCCCAGCTGACAGCCAGCAAGAAAATGGTGACCTCAGTCCTACAACTTTAAGGAACTGAATCCTAATACCAACCTGAATAAACCTAGAAGATCTTTTTCAGTCTCACCTCTAGATAAGAACACAGCCCAACAGGCATCTCCACTCAGCCTGGTGAGACTCTACAGAGAACTCAGTTAACTTGTGCCTGTACTTGTGATTCACAGAAACCGAGATAACAAATGTGTGTGTGCTGTTAAAATCACTAAATTTGTGGTAATTTGTTATACAAAAATAGAAAGCTAATAAAATATTCAACCTCACTTAAAAAGAGGCAAGACAGGCCGGGCGCAGTGGCTCACGCCTGTAATCCCAGCACTTTGGGAGGCGGAGGTGGGCAGATCACTAGGTCAGGAGATGGAGACCATCCTGGCTAACACGGTGAAACCCCATCTCTGCTAAAAATACAAAAAATTAGCCGGGCGTGATGGCGGACGCCTGTAGTCCCAGTACTCAGGAGGCTGAGGCAGGAGAATGGCGTGAACCCGGGAGGCAGAGCTTGCAGTGAGCCGAGATCGCGCCACTGCACTCCAGCCTAAATGACATAGTAAGACCCCATCTCAAAAAAAAAAAAAAAAAGAGAGAGGCAAGACATCCCCAAGGGAATACAGTCTACAAATAGTTAACTAATGCTAAAGCCTCTACTAATGAATCCACTGTTTTCTTCTAAATATTAAATATTTTAAAACCATAAGGAAGTTTATACATTAAAATGGACAAGGAATCGGGCAGTTTTTCAACTACCAGTCATAGTGAATAATTAAAACTTCACTACATCTGTTGAAGTAAACAAACATATCCTGGAGCATTTTTCTGCTGAAAAGAAGCATCCACAACCCTGATCAATCCTGTGCCCCAAGGCAAGGTGCAAGTGTATTTGTTCCTGATCATACAAGAATAGAGAATTCGGCTGGGCACGGTGGCTCACACCTGTAATCCTAGCACTTTGAGAGTCCGAGGCGGGCAGATCACGAGGTCAGGAGATCGAGATCATCCTGGCTAGGACAGTGAAACCCTGTCTCTACTAAAAATACAAAAAAATTAGCCAGGCGTGGTGACGGGCCCCTGTAGTCCCAGCTACTCAGGAGGCTGAGGCAGGAGAATGTCGTGAACCCGGGAGGCGGAGCTTGCAGTGAGCCGAGACCTCGTCACTGCACTCCAGCCTGGGCAACAGAGCAAGACTGGAAAAAAAAAAAAAAAAAAAAATAGAGAATTCATAAAGCATCATCAAGTTGGTTTTCAGAGAAGGGACTATTCATAGGGCAGCAAGGGGTAAAAAAGAGCTCACCAGAAATTTGAAAAAGTAAATGAAAAGATATTTGCTAAATGCAGAAAACTGAGCGTGAGGCTCCAAAGTGGCACATTCCAAGGCAAAGAGCAAGACCTCATGCAGGATTATCTAATTTTCACCACCTGTTTTAGGACTCACTCAAATCAGGGTGGGAGGTGGGAGGTTAGAGAAGAGTTTTGTTTTGTTTTGAGAGAAAGAGAAAGAGATGTTGGTAAGCAATAATTTATCCAAAAAAAGATTTAATACATAGTTTAAATATATTGCTGTTTTCAACATAGGAGATATAGTAAATATATACATATATACAATACATATATATGTATACACACACATTTATATTGCTGTTTTCAACAGAGGGATAGTAAGTATATATACACATATATATGTATACATGTATACACACACATTTTGCTGTAACCAAAGACAGAGAAACATAAATTATGATATTCTCATACATAGTATTGATTTAATTAGTCCTACCATTAATGTCTACTAATTGCCACTACGAACTAGTCCTATTGTTTTCTATCAATAATAGCATTTATGTAACTGGGAAGTAAATAATACATAATTTCAAAAATACCATAAATATGAAATGTAAAATAATTTCATATTTTTATTTAGAGTAATAATACACCTGTGTAGAACTATTTATTATATATTATATAATTATATGTGCGTGATTTTTTGTGTTGTTTTGTCTAGCATGGCTGTGTCATGGTGACCCTGTTGAAGCACTGCTCATCCTAAGTACTATCGAGTGGTCCCTTACAACAGCAACTATGGAGGATGGACAATTTATGCCACATATACTTAACACTGAAAACAATGTTGTTTTTCATCCCTATTTGGGGGCTGCCATAGAAGTCATATGCTTTTCTCCCAACCTTCCATATCTGCTGGGGTGGGGGGGAAAGGATTTTTTGCATCCCAGGGAGAAGTTTCCAGGGACGCAGGGGTTTCAGTACTGTAACTAGAAAAATCGCAGGCATTAGGTATGAGCTGAGAGGGGTGTAAAAATAAAAAAAATTTAAAATAAAAAAACAGAACAATCCTAGGCAAACCAGACTGGCTGGTTACCCTAAGAATGCCCACTTTCACCTCAGGTAGAGAGGGATTTAAAAGCAAATTGGTGTCATTTAGAATACTGGGTGATTCAATATCTGACTTGGAAAATACAGAAATTGCTCAAGTGAAGGAGAGGCAGTATCGCATGGCACGCCCTCCAAAAAAGACACTGAGCAAAGAAAATGAAAATATTTACCAGGAAGTGACTGGCTGCCACAAAGAGCCATTAGTCTGGGTCACTGAAATTGCTGGTGAGATTCCCAAGGGATGCAGTTGGGGAGGGCCTCTGAAGGTCCCAAGAAAGAAACTATGAGAAAAAAAAATCAGCTTTAACATGGGCCAAAACCAGCGGAAACCAACACTAGATCAGAATCTAGACCTTCCTCTCTCCCTCTCACCTGACCACATCCCCTTTCCCCAGCAGGAAGAACTTGTTCAATGTAAATCAGAATTGGAGTTTTGACTATTTGTGGCACTGAGCATTTTAATTACTGACCACAAAAAACTTTTATTACCTCCATGTAAGCAGAGAAGTCATGAGACTTGTTCTGAATTTCATTCACTGGGTAAATTTCTTCCACTGCATAAATTCCAACTAACTATGGGAAACACAAATAAATTAACTTTCTGATTTTATCCCTAAGAAGATTGTAAAAATTACGGAAAAAAAAAAGGTTACTTGAAAAGGGGTAATAGACAAGTAAGGGGCTATTACTATATAATAAACCGCAAATGTCACATTCATGATTCTTTTGAAGAGTAGAAAGAGAGACTTGTAAATATTGTAAATCTCTTTCTAGCAATGGTTTTGAGGTCATTGGTTTTACGTTGTCACTTGTATTAGTCTGTTCTCACGCTGCTTAAGACATACGAAAGACTGGGTAATTTGTAAAGGGTAAAGGAAAGAGGTTTAATAGACTCACAGTTCCACATGGTGGGGGAGGCCTCACAATCATGGCGGAAAGCGAATAAGGAGCAAAGTTACGTCTTAGGTGGCCGCAGGCAAAAGAGCTTGTGCAGGCAAACTCCCATATATAAAGCCATCAGCTCTCGTGAGACTTAATCACTACCACAAGAACAGTATGGGGGAAACCGCCTCCATGATTCAATTACCTACACCTGGCCCTGCCCTTCACATGTGGAGATTATTACAATTCAAGGTGAAATTTGGGTGGAGACACAGCCAAACCATATCATCACTCTACATTTTTAAAGCTCCTCCTCAGTATACACTGTTTCCTAACTTCCCCTCCCTGCTTCTCCTGTGGAACAGGGGGGCAGGTCTGAGAAGGAGTGCAGGAAGACCTGATTACATTTAACTCTCTCAATATACCACTAGAAAACATGCCCTTGAGCACCACAATCATTTGTGAGTTTAGCATTTTGCAAGACTTGCAAGAACAAAACAAGAATGCAAGAGCACGAGTCATTACATTTTAAGCTAGCAGGGACTGGCCCAGAACACTGTAAAGGAAGCGCATTTCATATGAAACAAAACCTACGGCCTCAGCAGATCATTAAGCCAATATCAATGTTTCTTGATCAATTAAAGAGGATGATTCTGGAGCAGACTGCTATATTAATAAAATGGGTTCTTTCTTGACTTTTCATTTATTGTGAATTTTTAAAGCCTATTATTTTATGTTATTTTAGTTGTTTCTACCATATTCTCTATTTCCTAATAGACCTTAATCTTGCCAGATGAAAATTTGCCAGACACTCTACTTGCTAGAAACACAACCTCCCGATAAGAGTAGGTAGCTTCTCTTATGTTCCAACCACAAATTTCTTGGATTTTATTGATAATTATATTTTCACTTACTTTGGAAAGTGCCCAAACCAAAAATTCCTAGAGCCAGAACTACCTTAGTAATTTATGACAGAGTTCTGGATGTTTGAATTTATTATTTTTCCCTTTTTTATAAAACACAAATCATCAGAAGTGAATTCACTGTACAGTGAATTTTTTCATTTGAATTTGAGTCAGATACTGTGGGTAAAGTGATGCCTGTAAGTACATAGTAATCTATAATTCTTGAAATAACCAGAAACTCTTCCTGATTGAGGAGACTCTATTTTCTGACACTGGTGAATAATATATCCAACCGTAGATGAAGAAAATCCCTGTTGTTATTGATACTTAATACTCCAGAAAAGGTACTGTACTTTCAAGGGTCCTCAAACCTCTTTGGCTTCAAGGCTCTGAAATTGATTCAGCCTTTTAATGTATAAAGAAAAAGATTCTGAAATAATGAAATGTCAGTGCTTAAGGTACAAAACAGAAACAGCTCAGTGAAGCATATTATATAGGTGTCAGATAAGTGATCGAAATGGTTATATTATTTGTTCTCAACACACTTATTGACAGTCTGCTATGACCAAGGAATTATACAGGTGCTATGAAGAATAAAAAGATAAACACAGTCCCAATTGCTCACGAACTTACAATTCAGTGAGGGAGACAGACATGCACGAATAATTAGAATATGCAACCCCAGAGTTTGCCTTGCACTGGAAGAGCAATGAAATTAGAAAGCGAAGCTGTCCCAGTCATAGCAGTAACCAGTTGTGTAACAGTGAACATAGTTCAGATTATATATTAAGCAACATAGTTCCCTAGTATGTAAAATGAGGTATCATATGGACTGGTCCAGTGGTCTCCAATACTTATTTATGATGATGGGCATGTACTATTAATAACATATTACAAATGCTATAACACAATCATGAGCTTGAGAGGCTTTTAAAAAATACCAAGGCTAGGATCTCCTCCAAAATAATTATATCAAGATGTCTGGGAGTGGAATATTCACACGGCTGTTTTTTAAAGTACTGCAAGGCTAGAATAAGAGACAGAAAAACAAGAAACAAAAATTATTAATAGTATATAACCAGAAACAGTCCGGGCATGGTGGCTCATGCCTGTAATCCTAGCACTTTGGAAGGCCGAGGCGGATGGATCACCTGAGGTCAGGAGTTCGAGACCAGCCTGACCAACATGGTGAAACCCCATCTCTACTAAAAATACAAAATTAGCTGGGTGTGGTGGTGCATGCCTGTAATCCCAGTTACCTGGGAGGCTGAATGTAATCCCAGCTACTTGGGAGGCTGAGGCAAGAGAATCACTTGAACCCAGGAGGCAGAGGTTGCAGTGAGCAGAGATCATGCCACTGCACTCCAGCCTGGGCAACAAGAGTGAAACTCCGTCTCAAAAAGAAAAAAAATAGTATATAACCAGAAACAAAAATCAGTATATACTGTCAAATTTGTCATAAGTGCTATGAAGAAATTTGATAGAATTAGAGAAAATAAAATGGAGATACTTAGATAACCACGATCAGGGAAAGCTCCATGAAAGTGACATTTGAAAGATGAATAGAAGCTTCCTGTTAGGAACTGAGCAGTGTGGGCTTGCCTAGGGAGAAGGACTGGCAATAAGCATATTGCAAACAAAGGAAAAAGCAGGAGACCCACATGCAGGAAGACTACTCAATGGGAGCAAACACGGCTGAGTCAAAAGAGTGATATGGGATGAAGCCAGAGAATTAAATAGGGGCTGGTCCTGTGGGCCTTGTAGTGTGGAATATGGTTTACTCAGACTATAGAAGAAAGCCAGTGACGATTTTAGCAGGTCAGTCATGTGGTTTGATGTTCATTTAAAGAAAATATTCTATATACACTTAGCCTTTAGGCATAGCTTTTTCTTTTTTTTTTTTTCTTCTTTTTTTCTGAGACAGGGTCTTGCTCTGTCACCCAGGCTGGAGTGCAGTGGGCGATCACAGCTCACTGCAACCTCAACTTTCCGGCCCCCAGGAATTCTCCCACCTAAGTCTCCTGAATGGCTGGAATCACAGGCATGCGCCACCACACGAGGCTAATTTTTGTATTTTTTGTAGCGACCAGTTGCACTGTGTTGCCCAGGCTAGTCTCAAAGCAATCTGCCCACCTCAGCCTCCCAAAGTGCTGGGATTACAGGCGTGAGCCACTGCACCTGGCTTAATAATATAGGCATATCTTATAACCCACCAATGTGTCTCCTAGGTATATAATAGAAATGTATACATATATGTTTTCCAAAAGGCGCGTACTAGAATGTTCATAACAGCATTCAAAATAACCAAAAACTAGAAATTACCCGAATTTTTATTATCCTATTTAGAATGGATAAGTAAAATGTAATAAAGTTATACAATGGATTTCTGTACAGCATTGGGATTTGACAATCTACAACCACATGCAACAACACTGATGAATCTTACAAACATTATATTGGGTGAGAGAAACTAGGCATACAAGAGTATATATAGCCTGGGTGCAGTTGCTCATGCCTGTACTCCCAATACTTTGGGAGGCTGAGCCAGGACGATTGCTTGAGGCCAGGAGTTCAAGAACAGACTGGGTAACATAGTAAGACCCCACCTCTATGTTTAAAAGAAGTTTATGTATGTACAGTCCCTGTGGTGTAATGTACAAGCATAATTCTTCCCCTAAAAAAAGGTGGAGGGAGAGACAGGTCATTTGAATGTACATCTAAGGTTGAGAATCAATAATGTAACATAATGGATGCCATAAACAGAGTGCTGGACGCGGTGGCTCATGCCTGTAATCCCAGCACTTTGGGAGGCCGAGGCGCGTGGATCACAAGATCAGGAGATCGAGACCATCCTGGCCAACATGGTGAAACCCCCATCTCTACTAAAAATACAAAAATTAGCTGGGTGTGGTGGCAGGTGCCTGTAGTCCCAGCTGTCCCAGCTACTCGGGAGACTGAGGCAGGAGAATCACTTGAACCTTGCGGCAAGGTTGTAGTGAGCCGAGATCCGCCACTGCACTCCAGCTTCACAACAGAGTGAGACTCCGAAAGAGAGAGAGAGAAAGGAAGGAAGGAAGGAAGGAAGGAAGGAAGGAAGGAAGGAAGGAAGGAAGGAAGGAAGGAAGGAAGGAAGGAAGGAAAGGAGGGAGGGAGGAAGGAAGGAAGGAAGGAGTGTCTGTAATCCCCAGCACTTAGGGAGGACAAGGCGGGTGGATCACCTAAGGTGGACTCCTCACCCTACCTGGAGACCTTCCAAGCTGTCTTCTGATTAAAATATGGTTTCCAAGTAAAAGTCCATCTCTAGGAGGGGAATTGGTTGGTAATTCTGACACGGGCATTCCTCCATTCCTCTCCTCTGTCTGTTATTTCAATTAACAGTCTGAATTTATGTGTAAGTCTTTGTAAGCCAAGTAAATATGAGATTTTTCCTTAGAAAATGTACTCTGGGTCGGGCGCGATGGCTCACGCCTGTAATCCCAACACTTTGGGAGGCCGAGACGGGCTGATCACCTGAGGTCGGGAGTTTGAGACCAGCCTGACCAATGTGGAGAAACCCCGTCTCTACTAAAAATACAAGATTAGCCGGGCTTGGTGGTGCGTGCCTGTAATCCCAGCTACTCGGGAGACTGAGCCAGGAGAATCGCTTGAACCCAGAAGGCGGAGATTGCGGTGAGCCAAGATCGCAACATTGCACTCCAGCCTGGGCAACAAGAGGGAAACTTCGTCTCAAAAAAGAAAAAAGAAAAGAAAAGAAAATGTGCTTCTGAATGCTGCATGATTCCGCTTATATGGGGTACCTAAAATAGTCAAAAATACGCCTGTAGTCCCAGCTACTCGGGAGGCTGAGGCAGGAGAGTCGCTTGAACCCGGGAGACTGAGGTTGCAACGAGCCGAGATCACGCCATTACGCTCCAGCCTCGCGACAGAGCGAGACTTCGTCTTAAAAAAAAAAAAAAAAAAAAAAAAAAAAGTCAAATATATAGAAGCAGAAAATAGAGTGGTGGTTGCCAGGGGATAGGGAAAGGGAGAAATTGAGTTCAGTGGGTATAAAGTTATTATTATACAAGATGAATACATGCTAAAGATCTGCTGTACAACACGGTGCCAATAGTGCACAATATGGTATTGTATACTTAAAAATTTTTCAACAGGGCAGCTCTCATAGTAAGTGTTCTTAGCACACACACAAAAGCAAAAGGACACAAGGAAACTTTCGGAGGAGATGCATACGTTTATTTCCTTGACTGTAGTGATGGTATCACAGTTGTATTCATATGCCCCAGCTCCACAAGTTGTATACATTAAATATGTGTAGTTTTTGTATATAAACTATACCTCAATAAAGGTGTAAAAACAAAAAGTCCTTCTGTGTACTCACAAATTAGGATTCTTAGCTCACATGGCTGAGGGGTAAACTCTAGACTGTAATGGGTTTCCCTTGGTGAACGTGGTGTTTCCTCAAATCTAGACATCACTCAGTGCAAGCGTCACAACTTCATTTAAATAATGGTTTTATTTTATGGAGTGGCATGGGGTGCTGGAAGGATAAGCAGGGGAAATTATTAAACGCACCTAGCAGTTGTAAGATACATCTCAACATCTGAAGTATTGATATATGAAATAAAAATGTGCATCTTAGAATCAGGATCATACATTCCCTCCAAGCTTCTTCCAGTTTCTTTGTCTGGTGACCTCTCATTGTTTCCACTTCCCTTTCACCCGATGCTGCACACTGATCTGTCTAGCAAGGTCTTGAAATGTTTTTAAATGATTAAAAGAGACTACTTCCCTCAGCAGTGACATTTTTCCACTTGAAATGTTTACTCTGGTGCCCACTCCCTTAAAGTCCCTCCACTGCAGCTGAATGCAGCTGTTGGCATCCATTCTACTCAACGCTATTTAGGAACCCTGCATAGCGACTACACTGCAGCCCTGTCACGGAAGTGCAATGTGGGACATCTGTAGTTGGAGGGGAGAAGAAATCATACAAAGACTAGCTAACAAAACTGCAATGTGGATATGCCCACCTGGGAAGCCAGGGAGGCAGGCAGACTGACCTGGGTGGAGTCACGAGAAAATGGAACAGCTATTTTTAGCAGAAATGTTTGGCATTTAAAGGAGCTGCAAACAAAATCCTAAGGGGGGAGAAAGGGACTGTGGCTATAACTGTCAGCTATATTAGACAGGTATGCAGTGAGAAATAACTGCTTCCCAAATATACCTTCCCACGTACAACACACATGCTTAATTAGCAGCAGAATCCACTAACTATTGCCAAATTAAATCAACCTTTTTTAATCACTGCACTGAGATCATGATTCATTTGTTTTGTGATTAGCCAGGATTGAAAATAAAAACAAAATTTTAATTCTCTCCTGTCCATTTTTCACCCCTTACTGCTGCTATAGCCAGATTTAAGCTGCTTCAACAAAGCATGTTGAGCAAAATCTCAGGGAACTAGATGCTTAGGCTCACCTGGCGAGATTGCAAGACCCTTCTGTTCCCTTTCCCACCCTACCATAAAAATAAAAGAAAACCTATACCAACGTGATCATTGGGAATTCCATTTGTTCCCCTGGTATGTACCATGCTCACCTTGAAGACAGTCAAAAATACTGCCTTTAACATTTTAAAAGTATAAAATCCAGCCAGGAACAGTGGCTCACTCCTGTAATCCCAACACTTTGGGAGGCCAAGGAAAGAGGATCGCTGGAGCCTAGGAGTTTGAGACCAGCCTGGGTAACATGGTGAGGCCCCTGTCGGTATATAATAAATAAATAAATAAATAAATAAATAAATAAATAAATAAAAATATGAAATACCTTTGATCCCCTGACTAGAAAAAGAGTTCACACAAACGCAAGCAAAATGCCAACCTCATTCACGGTTTTATTAACTTGAATGTACTTCCCACCTACATACTGTGTTTGTTGTTGTTGTTGCTGTTATTATTGTTTGTGGTGATCGGGCCCCAGATGGCTAAGTAAAAAAGAGAACAGAATCGGGTGACATCTGATGGAAATCCAAGAGAAAAAGAACAGCATATAGAAAAGTCTCTGCAAATGACTAATCCCAAGAGACACAGACAAAGACAAACTCCACAAAATGTATTGAACATCTCCCATGGGCAAAGCACTACAGAGGGATCTGAAATAAAACATAGCCTCTGATCTTGAGGATTTAAGAGTCTAATGGGGCTGGGCGTGGTGGCTCTTGCCTGTAATCCCAGCACTTTGGGAGGCCAAGGCAGGCAGATCACTTGAGGTCAGCAATTCGAGACCAGCCTGGCCAACATGGCAAAACCCCGTCTCTGAAATGGGAGAGTTCCCTGATCCCCCTCACAGGACATGCAACAGCAGTATGGCTTGCCTGTTCAATTGCCCTGCTACTCAAACCCCTAGCAAGAGGGAGAGCATGCAGATGAGCAGGTGCAGAGGCCAGGGTGAGCACTTTGGGCTCTGGCAGTGTCTAGGGATGGGTGCCTGCAATCTTAGTAACACAAAGCTCTTTCAGCTTTGCCATCCACAGACGGCTTGAGTGTTAATCAGCTCAATGCACCCTCTGCCTTTTCACAAGGGTAGAAGTCCAGTGTGACAGCTTTCTGTATCCCAAGTTCTTGCCCAGCATTCCCAAAAAATCAGGTCACACAAGGGCTTGAAGGATGAATGTGAGGTGAAGGTCACTTTCAGCAGGGTGCATGGGGACCCCGAAGGTGGGGGTGGAGTAGGAAGGTGATCTTCCCCTGGAGTCAGGCTGCCCAGCAGCCGGACTCCTCTCCAACCACCTCTATCTGAACTCCTCTAGGTGTTCAGCTGTTTCTCCTCTTCTCTCTTTCTCTGCCATGCTGTTCTACCATTCGTCTGCTGGTCTGCTGGCTTGCTTGTCTGCTTCTGGAACCTGGGGTTCAGGATTTATATGGGTGGAGGATAGAGGATGTGGTGAGCCACAGGGCAACTTTTTGGGTGTGAAAAACAGGAATGCCTGTCCTCATTTAGAGCTGGGGGTCTTCAGGTGTGATGGTGGGGCCTTTGCCACAGAACCACCCTCTTCCACCCAGTATTTCCCTGTCGCCTATCTGCATCATCTCTACTAAAAAAATAAAAATTAAAAAAAATAAAAAATTAGCCAAGTGTGGTAGTGCATGCCTATAGTCCCAGCTATTCAGGAGGCTGAGCCAGGAGAATTGTTTGAACCTGAGAGTTAGAGGATGCAGTGAGTTGAGATCATGCCACTGCACTCCAGCCTGGGAGACAGAGCAAGTTTCCACCTCAAAAAAAAAAAAAAAGAGTCTAATGGGCCTACAGGTGTCTTATGCAAATGTCTATCAATCAACTAACAATTACATAATTGTTGATCACTGTGTGCCCAAAAGGAATGACTCAGTAGGTTTGGGGTGTGACCCTGAAATCTGCCTTTCTTAAATGATTTGCAGGTGATGATACTGCACTGACAAATTTGGGAACAACTGTTCTAGGTATGGTACTTAAGAACTCAAACCAAATGCTTTGGGACCACCAACAAAATAAGGAAATCAGTTAAGGCTTCAAAGAAGTGATGGTGTTTAAGCTGGTGATTTGAAAGCCTTCTAACCAGGTTGGAGAGAGAAAAGGCAATTCTAGAATGAATGGAAAATGTATGTTTATAGCTCTGTCCCTATAACAAAAAATAAATAAAACATTAATAAAATAAAAATCTTTAGAAAAAAAAGAATGAGGTTAAAAGAAGAAAAGCAAATACGTCAGTCTTAAGTGCTCGATATGATTTCTGTGAATGAGCATGTCAGTGTGACTTTATGATACCTGCCGCCATAGAGACAGTATCATCAAAGACAGCCACCCCAGAAGGTGAACCGAGTAGTTCAATATAAGTTTGAAAAACAGTTAGGAGCCCGGGTGCAGTGGCAATAGAGCCTCTACCATGCAATACAGAAGCTGTCCTCACTGTGCTTTGTCCAAATTCCTGGTTCACAAAGTCTATGAGCACAATGAAATAATCATGCCGCTAAACTTTGAGATGGTTGGTTAGGCAGCCATAGATAACTGGAATACTTCTCTATGTTTCCCTAGTCTCTTGAATCCTCCTACTAACACTCCTACACCTCCCCCCCAACCCCTCACAGAACTTTTCTCATTCTCAGGAAATAGCTTTATTTTCTACTTTAGGTAAATATAAAAGAAGCAAATTAGAAGCCTCCCATCTACTTCTACCAAACATATAACATTACCTGCAGCTGTAGCCGTACTTTTCCTATTATAACAGAAATCTCCTTCCTAAAGTAATCTGAGAGGCCTGTGGGAGGGTAGAGCGATAGGGATTCAAAGCACTCCCCTCTCAGAAAACTTGCTGTATCATGAAGTCAACATTTCCCTCCTGACTGGTTCCTTCCCATTCACATTTAAACATATGCAAAGAAAAAAATGAATAAACAAACCACTATGGACCTTGTCAGGCCTCTGAGCCCAAGCCAAGCCATCGCATCCCCTGTGACTTTCATGTATATGTCCAGATGGCCTGAAGTAACTGAAGAATCACAAAAGAAGTGAAAATGACCTGCCCCGCCTTAACTGATAACATTCCACCGCAAAAGAAGTGAAAATGGCCATTCCTTGCTTTAAGTGATGACATTACCTTGTGAAAGTCCTTTTCCTGGCTCATCCTGGCTCAAAAAGCTCCCCCACTGAGCACCTTGCAACCCCCACTCCTGCCCGCCAGAGAACAAACCCCCTTTGACTGTAATTTTCCTTTACCTACCTAAATCTTATAAAACGGCCCCACCCCTATCTCCCTTTGCTGACTCTCTTTTCAGACTCAGCCTGCCTGCACCCAGGTGAAATAAACAGCCATGTTGCTCACACAAAGCCTGTTTGGTAGTCTCTTCACACGGACGTACATGAAAGACCTCACATCTCCCTTCTAGCTTCTGGCCTACCTCTTCTTCCTTCACAGAGCTATATATTCCAACCATTCCCCTTTCATCCTCTCTCACTCACTTTTCAGGTATCTCTTATCTGGTTTCCACCCATCATTTCATATAAATAACTCTCACTAATGTCACACAAGACCTCCACTTCACCAAATGCTTTCAGTATTTTAAACCCCTTGCTTGATATCTTCAGTGCATCCAACACTGTCGGGCATTCCCACTGTCTCCTGCTCTGGGTTTTCCTCCTACTCCTCCGGCTGCTCCTTCTCAGTCATACTTTCTACTAAACAATTAAATTCCAGAGTTCCTCTCTTGGCCTCTCTCCTTCTCACTATATACTTTTTTTCCTAGGAAATCTCATTCATATCCTTGGTTTAATTACCATATAAAATCATAAATTTACATCTCTGGCCCAGATCTCTACTGTAAGGTATAAGTCAATATGTCCAACTGGCCAGGTGCAGTGGCTCACGCCTGTAATCCCACCACTTTCAGAGGCCGAGGCGGGTGGATCACCTGAGGTCGGGAGTTCAAGACCAGCCTGACCAACATGGTGAAACCCCGTCTCTACCAAAAATACAAAGTTAGCCGAGCGTGGTGGCGCATGCCTGTAATCCCAGCTACTCAGGAGGCTGAGGCAGGAGAATCGCTTGAACCCGGGAGGCAGAGGTTGCAGTGAGCCGAGATCACACCATTGTGCTCCAACCTGCGTAACAAGAGTGAAACTCCATCTCAAAAAAAATATATATATATATACACACACACATATAATATGTATATATATAATATATATAATATGTATATATGTGTATATAATATGTATATATGTATATATAAATATATATATAATTGTATATCTATAATATGTATATATATAATATGTGTATATATATAATAATGTCCAACTGCCTGTTTAACATCTATCTTCCCTCAAATCTGGTAGTCTTCCAACACTCCCTGTCTCAGTGAATGGTACCACCATCCATGCAATTATTCAAGTCCCAAAACCCAGCAATTAACCACTATACCTCTCTTCCTCCTCTGCCTATTAAATTTCTCACCAAATCCTGTCTACTGTACCAACAAAATATCCCTCATAGCCTATTTTTTAATCTGCCACTGATTCTCTCCAAAACCCTAATTCATTCCCCAGAGCTAGAGTGATCTTTCCAATGCAAATATGATCAGATCTGCTTAAAATATTGCTAATGGCTTTCTGTAGTTTTTAGTATAAAGAGTGAAATCTTAACATGGTTTACAAGTCCTACACAGTCTATCCTGTGCCTGCTTCTTAAACATTATGTTACTTTCCCTTCTGCTAGAGTCACCCTGATCTTTAGTTCCTTGAACTTTGTGCTCCAGGGCCTGTATGCAGGTTATACTCTCTGCCTAGAACACTCCAACGCCCCCTGAAAACCTACACATCCAGTTAAATTCTACTTCATAGAAGATAGGCTGTAATAGACAAGGACCATATCCATTTTATTTTTCATGGTACTCCTAAGGCCTAGCACAGTGCCCAATATTTAATAGATGCCTATAATGTATACACTTATCAAATGTATAAATATGTATATTTGATCTTCTGGCAAAACACTTATATGGCAATATATAACAGGCAATTTGAAATGCAAGAGAGAGAAACCCAAGCCAGAGAAATCAATTCAGGGATCATCTTCATAAAATTGATATCTGAGGAAAGGGAAATGAATTTGACCCACGAAGGAGAGTGTGGAATAAGAATAAAAGAGAGTCGAGAAGTGACCCTGAAAGATTGCCACGGAAAGGGTGGATGGAGAGGCTAGCAAAGAGACTACGGAGTTACCAGGGCAAAATAATACCAGAGGGGAGTGAACATTTTTTTTGAAAGGAAAGGGTGGTCAGGAGTGTCAAACACCATGAAGAAGCACAGAATATGATTGCTGAGGTAGTGGATTTGGAAATTAGGAGGTTATTGTTGATTATAGGAGACTAGAACTAAAAAAAGACTATCAATGAGAAGTCCCCCAAAGGAGTTCTGGGAAAGGGACATTGGCAAAACAAACAAACTAACTAACGTTTTGTTCAAATCTGTATGCCGTGCTCATTTTTTTTTTTTTTTTTTTTTTTTTTTAAGACAGAGTCTCACTCTGTTGCCAGGCTGGAGTGCAGTGGCACAATCTCGGCTCACTGCAACCTCTGCCTCCCAGGTTCAAGCGATTCTCCTGCCTCAGCCTCCTGAGTAGCTGGGACTACAGGTGCCCCCCACCACACCCAGCTAATTTTTGTATTTTTAGTAGAGACAGAGTTTCACTATATTGGTCAGGTTGGTCTCGAACTCCTGACCTCGTGATCCACCCACCTTGGCCTCCCAAAGTGCTGGGACTACAGGCATGAGCCACCGCACCTGGCCTGCTAATCCTTTTTGATAAAGTGAAAGCTGGCCATCACTCTCCTATTTTCTTCAGCAAAAGACTAATATAATAAACACAGTTTCCTTGTATGAGTGGCAGATGAAGGAAATAAAAACATAGTAAACAGGTATGACTAGCTCATGGCTGGCCTGTTCAACCACATCCCCAGCCTTCCCTTACAGTTAATAAAGCCAGTGTAACTGTTCTAGCCATGGGAATGTGAGCCATTTTTGGTCAAGGTCTCTTCCAGGATCTGTCTCCCCTTCTCATTTGCTGGAATCTAGTCTGAAAGTTGATTAAGCTTTGACTCTGCAGATAGTGACAATGGCCTAAGGTATGACAGAGCTGCAAAACTGAAGAAACCAAGTCCCTGAATGAGTCCCCAAACAGAACTGCTCACCTTGAGGCTATTATATGAGAACACTATAAACTTAGTTGTTCTTTAAACCAATGTATGACACTGGATTCTTTGTAACAACAGCTTACCCCTCCCCCTAAAAAATACAGCCATTTGTTTTTATTTCCTTCATCAAAGAACCTGTGTGGTTATTGACAGACCACTGGTAATCTCAGCCAGCGCTCACATCCTGGAAATCTACATACCCGTGTGCATCTTACTTCTGTTAAAACAAAAACTTCAGCCAAATTAAATTTAAAGCAGTTTAATTGAGCAATGAATGATTTGTGAATCCGGCAGTGTTCAGAGCCAGAGTAGGCTCAGAGACACGAGCGCAGCCACGTGGTAGAAGATTTAGGAACAGAAACAGAAAAGTGAAGTACAAAAAATGAAAGTGAGGTCCAGAAACAGTCGGATTGGTTACAGCTAGGTGTTTGCTTTATTTGAAAATGGTTCAAACAGTTGGCTACATTTCACTGGCTAAAATACAGTGATTGGCCCAAGTGTAGGCTACCGTCTGTTTACACCTCCACTTGTGAGAGTTCATGATGTACAGAGAAATACCCTTTAGGCTGAACCCAAAATATGTAAGGAGGCAGCTTTAGGCCAAACTGATTTAACACCTCCCTCAAGTGGAATACAATTTTTCTCCAAAAGAGAAACCCGAAGTCCCATTCCATTACTGAAACCAGTTCAACGTCCAGAAACTACAGATAACATATTTTTGGGGGACCTTTGTAGTTTTGGTACCTATAAACTAAAAGATTTTTTTTTTCCTTTGAGACAGGGTCTTGCTGTGTCCAAAATTGGTGGGTTATTGGTCTCACTGACTTTAAGAATGAAGCCGCGGACCCTAGCAGTGAGTGTTACAGCTGTTAAATACAGTGTGTCCGGAGCTTGTTCCTTCAGATGTTCAGATGTGTCCGGAGTTTCTTCCCCCTCTGGCGGGTTCGTGGTCTCACTGACTTCAGGAGTGAAGCTGCAGACCTTTGCAAGTGAGTGTTACAGCTCATAAAGGCGGTGCATCTGGAGTTGTTTGTTCCTTCTGGTGGGTTCATGGTCTCTGGCTTCAGGAGTGAAGCTGCAGACCCTCGTGGTGAGTGTTACAGCTCATAAAGGCAGCACGGACCCAGAGAGTGAACAGCAGCAGATGTATTGCGAAGAGCAAAAGAACAATGCTTCCACAGCATTTAAGGGGACCCCACCGGGTTGCCGCTACTGGCTTGGGTGGCCTGCTTTTATTCCTTTATCTGGCCCCATCCACATCCTGCTGATTGGTCCATTTTACAGAGAGCTGATTGGTCCATTTTACAGAGAGCTGATTGGTCCATTTTGACAGAGTGCTGATTGGTGCACTTAACAAACCTTTAGCTGGACACAGAGTGCTGATTGGTGCGTTTACAATCCTTTAACTAGACAGAAAAGTTCTCCAAGTCCCCACCCATCCCAGTAGCCCAGCCAGCTTCCCCTCTCACTGGCACTCACTGCAGGACTTTGCAGCATCTAGCCCGGGCACTCTGGCACCCCAGAGGGAGCTCATCCCCCGATCAAGTCCAGCAGGTGCCGGCCAGCTGCGCCGAGTGCGCAGCCCACAGAGCCCGTGCCCACCTGGAACCCACACTGGCCCACGAGGGCTGCGCGCAGCCCCAGCTCCCACCCGTACCTCTCTCTCCACGCCTCCCCACAAGCAGAGGGAGCTGGCTCCACCCTCGGTCAGCCCCAGAGAGGGGCCCCCACAGCGCAGTGGGGGGCTGAAGGGCTCCTCAAGTGGGGCCAGAGTGGACACCGAGGCCAAGGAGGTGCTGAGAGCGAGCGAGGGCTGCTAGCACGTTGTCAGCCCTCATTGCTGTTGTTGCGGTCTTGCCAATGCACTACAATGTTACGGTCTTGTTGTCTGAGGTAGTACCTGGAGTTCTTTGTCTCACGGCCAAGAAAATTAAGGTGCATAGACACAAGGATGAAGTTGGAACGAAAGTTTAATAAACAAAAGAACGCTCTCTGCAGCGGAGAGGGGGCCCAAAAGTGGGTTGCCATTTTTATAGCTGAATCCAAAAGCTTTTGTAAGAAACTCCCCTCATTTCTGCAGCTGTTTGTGTAACTTCCCTTATCTGTGAAGCTGTCTGTGTAACTCCCCTTATCTGTACAGCTGAAAGCACGTCTTTAGGCAGGCACAAAGTGCAGTTTCTCTTGTTTGTGCAATGGTGTGTATGTTTTGAGTAAGAACCCCTGCTCCCCATGCAAGTTCCCCCAGAGCCCACTGTGTACATACCTGAAAAGGGGAGGAAACTTTTTCCTGGGAGCCCACAATTACACTAAGAATGAAGGCTTCTATGTTAGGCCTTGCTTTCTTATCTGTGCAGCTACAGCCTGAGATTTCCCCAGGTGGCTTTATGCGTGCCTGTAGGTTGATTCTTCAGGATGTCTTTCTGTTTAAAAGAATTTTACCAAAGACCAACTTTAGCTGTCTGCCAAACTATTTTCCTTTCCTCCTCCCTCGCTGTGTCACTCAGGCTGGAGTGCAGTGGCACAATCATGGCTCACTGCAGCCTCGACCTCCTGGGCTCAAGCAATACTCCCACCACAGCCTCCTGAGTAGCTGGGACTACCAGTGTGCACCATCACACCAGGCTAATTTTTAAAAATTTTTTATGGAGATGGGGCCTCACTATGTTGCCCAAGCTGGTCTTGAACTCCTGGATTCAAGACAGCCTACTACCTCAGCATCCCAAAGTGCTGAGTTTACAGGTGTGAGTCACCATGCTTGGCCAAAGACATTTTTAATCTGCCCAATTTTCCTGCCCTACTCCACACCACATCCAATATCCAAGGATGGAGCAGAAACAAGATAACCATGATAAAACTCCCACTTTTGTTAAAAGGAAAACTTAAGGCAAATAATTAAATTTAACAGAGTTTAACTGAGCAAAGAATAATTCAGAATAGGTTCAGCACAACTCTGGGGATGCCACATGGTCAGATAATACTTAAGGACAGAAAAAAGAAGGCAAGGTACAGAAACAGTTAGATTGGTTACAGCCTGGCATTTGCTTTATTTGAACATGGTTTAAACAGCTGACCACCTGTGACTGGCCAAAACTGAGATTGGTGTAAGAGTAGATTACAGGCCAGGCACGGTGGCTCACACCTGTAATCCCAGCACTCTGGGAGGCCGAGGCGGGCGGATCACGAGGTCAGGAGATCCAGACCATCCTGGCTAACATGGTGAAACCCCGTCTCTACTAAACATACAAAAAAAAAAAATTAGCCGGGTGTGGTGGCGGGTGTCTGTGGTCCCAGCTACTTGGGAGGCTGAGGCAGGAGAATGGCATGAACCTGGGAGGCGGAGCTTGCAGTGAGCCAAGATCGCGCCACTACACTCCAGCCTGGGCAACAGAGCAAGACTCCATCTCAAAAAAAAAAAAAGAGTAGATTACAGTCTGTTCATGCATTCAGCTGGATTATAGTTCACTATATATGGAGAAAATTTAGGCTGAACTTAAAATATGTAAGGAGGTAGCTGTAGGCAATTTTGAGAGATTGACCAAAACTTTAAGCATTGACTTCACTCTTTCACCATTATAAATCCATTTATTTGGTCTCAAATCCCACTGGGAAATAGAACAGTGGGTTTTGTAAGCTGGGAACAAGGACAAAGAACAATAGGGAAAAAATGGTTGTTTCAGACTACTTTTTGTAAGGAATAGAGCAGAGGGGCCCTCCTTATTATGCTGGAATCTCCTGTTTTAAGAAGACAGAAAAAAAAAAACCTGGTCCATTTTGGGATTTATCTGCTTTTTAAAAGTTTCAGTTTGATCACATAACATTTAGCATGAATGGTTTCATTTTGTTTTGGTCTGTCAGCGCCTAGTGCAAGAAGTCAGTTCAGAACAATGGCTTCCTATCATTTTGTTTAACAATTCAATAAGGGAAAGGTAGGAAATACAGAGAGGTCTCTGGTGCACAGGAGTGATCAAATCCTGCTAGACAGAAAAATCAAAGAATTTACTGTAGCAGTGAAATAGTCTGCTTAGCCCAGTTTGCTACCTGGAAATAACTCTCATGTCCTCTGGGGACCCAGATGTGCATAATAAAAGGTACTTTCTCAACCGTTACTACCAAGGCCAAATTTAAAGTAGATTGGGCAGTATGCCATACTTTGGAACTGGTTTGGGATTCAGCAATAACAAGCTTTTACAAGCTAAGCTTGTTATTTCTTTGGCAATACAATTCCCTTGAAATCTTAGTAGGCTTCTAGTTTTTTTTGTTGTTGTTGTTGGTTTGTTTTTTGTTTTTTTGTGTTTTGTTTTTTGAGACAGAGTCTCACTCTGTCACTCAGGCTGGAGTGCAGTGGTGCGATCTAAGCTCACTGCAACCTCTGACTCCCAGGTTCAAGCAATTCTCCTGCCTCAGCCTCCCAAGTAGCTGGGATTGCAGGAATGTGCCACTCTGCCCAGCACATTTTTTTCTATTTTTAGTAAACATTGGGTTTTGCCATGTTGGCCAGGCTAGTCTTAAACTCCTGGCCACAAATGATCCAACCTCCCCAAGACCTCCCAAAGTGCTGGGATTACAGGCATGAGTCACTTGCCTGACCCTGTTGTATTTCCTATAGTCTGTTTCATGTGCCAGTATGCACACCCAACATTCTTTTCCAGCCATATTTACTCAACCTGCTTTATTTCTTGACATCTGAGCTCAACCCTGGCTTCTTTTCTTCATTTGTATGAATGTTACCTTGAGACCATCTGAAACAATAGGTTTGAGTAGGAAAGCCACACCCTTAATCTGGTCTTTGCCACTGGCCTGGCAAAGACACCTCCCTTTGTTTTTGGGAAAAAAAAAAAATCTCAATAGGTCTTTAAGAAAAACTTGGGTCCAAAAGGATTTGGCTTTTCTAACCTTATGAGCCTCCAAATCTCTCAGCTCTTTCCATTCCCTTTCATCTCTGATTACAAACTGGCTAATTCTTGCTTGAGCTTGACTCATTATTGAATTTCTTGCTAAAGTCTTCAAAGAGTACCCCAAACCCACTCATATTCTGTTATTTCCAACCTCTTTCCTTAAAACAGTGTGTCCTCCAAGTATAATAAAAGTTTTAGTAAATACTTTGCCTTGATATACATAAATAACACCAGTTTCTAGCCTGCATTATCAGATTTCTCACTAGTTTCACTGTGGTTAATGAGGGGCAGCAGAATATGCCACCACAAAATATTCCACTTTAGCATAAGGACTGTTTTGAGCTGAAAACCCAAAACTGAAAAGAAGCAGATACAAGGATATAAGCTTTCTTCCCTGACCCTTTGTTCCTAAAAGCGAGACGTAAATTTGTAACGGTGTCTCTCTTCCCTCTCTACCAGGGAAGACAGAAGTTAGTCACCCAGAGAATTCCAGATCCTTATCTTTGCAGAGATAACACCTGAACAGTCTATAAAACAAACCTTGGAAAGTATCCCCTTTCTTTCTTTCTTTCTTTTTTTTTGGAAACAGAGTTTCAAAGGTGCCACAGACTCAGTTCATTCTCTCCTCAGTCAGGAAAAAGACCTAGAAAGAGAAGGCATTTCCTATAGAATGCAGATTTTCCTCACAAAATACAACTTTGCAAGGCCATTTCAAAATATGTCAAAGAAATATATTTTGGGATAAAATACTTCGATTTATTTCAGGGCCTAATATCTGTCATGTTGGTTTCTCATTGCTACAAATAGTCTGTTTTGTCACTCATAAGGTCTCTGGTTTTTTTTGTGTGTTTTTGTCTCACTCTGCCACCCAGGCTGGAGTGCAGTGACACAATCTTGGCTCACTACAACCTCCACCTCCCAGGTTCAAGAGATTCTCCTATCTCAGCCTCCTGAGTAGCTGGGACTGCAGGCAGGTGCCACCATACCTGGCTAATTTTTGTATTTTTTGTTGAGACAGGGTTTCACCATGTTACCCAGGCTGGTCTTGAACTCCTGGACTTAAGTGATATGCCTGTCTCAGCCTCCCAAAGTGCTGAGATTACAGGTGTGAGCCACCTTGCCCGGCCAGATCTCTGTTTTAATGTTAATGCTGCTCAGCTGTGCCTGGATTCCAGTGAGAGGAAGGTATAATGAGGCATGCCTGACCATCCATTCCCATCATGCCCTGAACTAGTGCTCAGGTTTACTCTAGAATGCTCTTGGCTGAG
Source organism: Homo sapiens (assembly GCF_000001405.40). Lineage (NCBI taxonomy): Eukaryota > Metazoa > Chordata > Mammalia > Primates > Hominidae > Homo > Homo sapiens. The sequence goes on along the minus strand of NC_000004.12, from coordinate 159,416,400 downwards.
ACGTGAGGTCTATTCAGTTGGTTGGGGGACTTCGAATTTTATTTTTGGTTTACAGCAGGACATCCTCCTCTGCACAGCTATTCATGGGCCCTGGTTCCTTTAATCTTGTTCTCTCTAGAGCCTTTGTCATCTGTTTGATCAAAGCTGAGTCATGACCATAACCTGGTTCCATAATCTAGTGGGAAGGGGAATGAGGTAGCCCAATGTCCTGAAGAGGAGAAAAAATACATTTCTTTTTTCAACCCTCAAATTTCTACCTGGGACACCTCTCAAATAAAAGGCAGAATAACAGGAAAAAGATATACAAATTTATTCACATGCATATGGACCTGGGAGCAATGCTGTGTAGGGAAAACTCTAACTGTATTCTCCTCTACTCTCACAATGTGTCCAGAATTTATTCCTTCCGGTGGATTCTTGGTCTCGCTGACTTCAAGAATGAAGCTGCAGATGTTCGCAGTGAGTGTTACAGCTCTTAAAGATGGTGTATCTGGAGTTTGTTCCTTCAGATGTTCAGATGTGTCCAGAGTTCCTTCCTTCCAGTGGGTTTGTGGTCTTGCTGACTTCAGGAGTGAAGCTACAGACCTTCACAGTGAGTGTCACAGCTCTTAAAGGTGGCACATCCAGAGTTGTTTGTTTCTCCCGGTGGGTTCATGGTCTCGCTGACTTCAGGACTGAAGCCGCAGACCCTCGCGGCTTCATAAAGGTAGTGCGAACCCAAAGAGTGAGCAGCAGCAAGATTTATTGTGAAGAGCAAAAGAACAAAGCTTCCACAGCATGGAAGGGGACCGAAGCAGGTTGCCGCTGCTGGCTCGGGTGGCCAGCTTTTATTCCCTTATTTGGCCCCACCCACGTCCTGTTGATTGGCCCATTTTACAGAGCACTAATTGGTCCATTTTACAGAGTTCTGATTGGTGCGTTTACAAACCTTTAGCTAGACACAGAGCACTGATTGGTGCATTTTTACAGAGTGCTGATTGGTGCATTTACACACCTTTAGCTAGACACAGAGCACTGATTGGTGTGTTTACAATCCCTTAGCTAGACAGAAAAGTTCTTCAAGTCCCCACTCGACCCAGGAAGTCCAGCTGGCTTCACCTCTCAACAACACAACAATCTTCAGCCCAGAAGACTTCTGTGACCAAATGTGTGGTGGTTTTCTTCTCCAGACTCCAAGCAGCGGACACCAGCGGGGTGTCCTCTAATTCAGTCCTGACACCATCGACCTGGAGATAGTGTCAGATCCCACAATTCAAAGGCTTGGTCCCCAGAACGGCTGTATATGCCACGCCAATTGCAAATCCAGGCCTCCAGAACTTCTGACCAAAAGGCTTCCAGTTGGGATTCTTTGGGTTTGATTAACTTGCTGGAGCGGCTTACAGAAGTCAGGGAAACACTTATTTATGTGTATCAATTTATTATAAAGAATGTCACAAAGGATACAGATGAATTGATGGATAGGGTGAGGTATAGGGAAAGGGTATAGAGCTTCCATGCCCTCCCCAGAGTGCTGCCTTCCAGAAACCTCCATGTATTCAGCTCTCCAGAAGCTCACTGAACCCCGTCCTCTTGGGTTTTCGTGGAAGCTTCATGTGGTCAGTATTCCTTCCCCACAGGGTATACGGTGGACCCTCTATGGTAGGGTCTTCAGACCCACAATCAGAAAGGCGGGAGAACCTTAGAGTCCTTCCTTGAGCAAGGTAGGGAGTGCAGTAGAAGGTCAGAGGCCTGTCCCTGAGGCCTAACACACCCAACATAATAACAAAAGACTGTAACAAGGGCTATGGGAGCTACAAGAAAGGAACTGTGGACAAAAGCCAATAGACGTCATAACACCACAAATATACCAAGTACGAAACTCAAAGTAGTGGCCAGCTGACTGAAAGTTCTACACTGTCCAGAAAGGAATAGGGGTGTGGAGCCTGCAAGACAGGATGTGGGTGGAAGAAGGAAAAGCATGGTGAGGAAAGGTCGTCTTCTTATGCAGATGAAGCCTCACAGGCAGCAGCCCTCAGAAAGAATACACGATAGCCTATGGTAAAGGTTTCTCTGTCAGACCTTTAAAAATACCAGACCTGGACAGGCTGTAATTGGCAAGACCCCGTCTCTACTACAAATACAAAAATTAGCCGGGTGTGGTGGCACGTGCCTGTAGTCCCAGCTACTCAGGAGGATGAGGCAGAAGAATCGCTTGAACCTAGGAGGCGGAGGTTGCAGTGAACCAAGATCGTGCCATTGCACTCCGTCCTGGGTGACAAGAGCAAGAATCCGTCGAGAAAAAAAAAAAAAAAGCCAGACCTTTAGTCCCCTTTTTATGTGAGTTCATCTTTCCTAGACCCAGGTGAGGGGGTCTCAGAGAAAACCTGTTTGCTTCTGCTACTCACTTCATTGTTTACCTCACCAATGTGGGATTTCTCTATAGAATTCTATAGAATTAAATCCCACCCCTACAAAAAGACAGCTTTTCAGAGCTATTTCTGCCTGCAGTTTTTTTTTGAATGATCATCTCAAAGTATGCCAAAGAAGGATATTTTGCAGTAAAACATTCTGGTTTCCTCCAGTCCTGAGACCCATAACAAGTGTCAAACGCCGCTTCTACTCATATTCCAATTGGCAAAACTTTAATCACATTACAAGAGTTTTCTGTCATATGTGGGTGGAGCAAGAGGTACAAACAAAGGGGAAATTCTCATTTCCTGCATATTATTTTTCCCTAAGCTGCTGACCAACTTCTACTTGTAAGGTAAGAGTTGTCCAAATTGATTACTGCAGCTGGCCTCTCAGAGCGAGAGCTGGCTTTCTGCAAATCTCCATGGAATCCAGCTATGGCCCTGTGCTGAAAGCAATCAATTCTCATCAACAAGCTTGGACCCCAGCCCCACAACGATGCCAGCAAAGAGCAGATGTTTCCCTAGCCATAAAAAGATGATGTAGCAAATCCCACTGCTATCTTGCCACATTATACAGCTGGACAGTCATGCATCCCTTAATGACGAATACATTCTGCGAAATGCATCATTAGGTGATTTCATCATTATGCAAACATCATAGAGTGTACTTACACAAACCTAGATGCTACAGCCTACTACACACCTAGGTTACATGGTATAGCCCATTGCTCCTAGGTTACAAACTCACACAGCAGGTTACTGTACCAAATATTGTAGGCAATTGAGAAACAATGGTAAATATTTGTGTATCTAACTGTAGAAAAGGTATAGTACAAATATGCTATTATAATCTTATGGGACCACCATCATATATGTGGTCTGTAGTTGACAGAAACATCATTATGTGGTGCATGACTGTAATCACAAGGCTTGAACACCAGGACCCTGACCATAGCAAAGAAAAGGCTAATGCTTCTCCAGTTGTAAACACTGAACTCTCAGGATAAGGCTGGACTCAAGACTCTGCCTCATTGTATTGTTATTATATGATTTCCCTGACCACAACAGGGAAAGGACTAGTGCTTCCCCAACTATGCAGTTTAATAAGCCTCAGTCCAGCAGCTGAGGTCCCTCTCCCATCCCATCTTGCTAGATTTCTTTGCAGTTTCCTAGATTACAACATTCAATGAAGGACATGCATACCTACTACTGCTCCTGTTTCCTTGAGTCTTGGCCAGTGCATATGGCTCCACCAGCTGAAGTGGGTCTGCTCTTGGCTATTTATACCCTCTATAGCTCCAGTGTGGACGTGGCCTCTAAAGAAAGGCTCAACACCTTCTCATTTAAGCACTAAAGGAAAGTCAATTCACAGAAGCTTGGAGGGCATGAGATACATGGGAGACTGACATTTGCATTACACAAAATATCAGATACCACTAGATAATTTTTTCCCCAAAATCCTAGTGGTGAAATGAAGCCCTTCATAATAACAAAACACTACGTGCAGGAGTTAAAGTTGAAATCTCAGCACAATGATATGTCATTATAATTTTGCTATTTAAAAAAAATAGTAATTTTTTTCAAATAAGCAATATTCCCTTCCAAATAGGCTTTCTGAAGTAGGCTAACTTAAATCAGTTCCCTTTCCCCTGCTGAGTATTACAAGGTTTCTTCTTCTACCTGTGGGTTATGAGGAGGCCCTTTCTCCCCTGCTGGGGACAAGGCAATTCTCAGAAAGGGGCTTAGATTTGACTCATACCTAAAGGAGAGCCTGCCATTTTGATCCGAGGAGGACCTGGGATGTGATGTTTCCAACTTACTGGCTAGTAAGCACTCCTTTCTTTCCTCCCTGCAATTCTTTGTAAGTGACAAAGTCTTATTTTAGATTCTGAATCTGTTTTCTTAATTTCGTCCAAACTAATGATCACTGATTATGTCCCTTTGCAAATCTTCTGGCCAATGCAGATGTCAGACACCCATAATCTCCTTTGCATCAAATTCTATGAGCCACCTGAGCTACTGCTTCCAGACCATCTACACAAATTCAGTTCTGGAAACTGAGTAAATGAAAGAAGACTAACGATAGCTTAGAAGATGGGAGATGAATATGCAATTGGCACAACAATTACAAAATTTTGTTTTAAAGAATGAGTGAGACAAATCACATTAAAAATCTAGAAAATCAGCAGACTACAAAGTGGGAGAAATGGACCAGAAGGGGCAGATGTATTCATGTTATTCTCTATTAAGTTGTACTGCATGTCATTTTTTAAAAGATTTTGAACCAAAAGCGAATTTCCTGCAAAGAAATTAAACATTCTAAGTTTCAGTTTAAGGGTAATTAATAAATTATATTAATAGCTATATACTCCATAACAATGGTTCACTAAAATAATGCTTTTTTTAAAAAACCAACAGCCATGGACTCCTACCCCATTAGTAATTGCAGGTAATTGGTGAATTGGTTAGCAGTTGCTTTCTAATTAACTGTTTATATCCAAGTTCCAACAATCAGCTAGATGTTATTAAGATTTAGAAATAAAACTAATTGGCAGCCCATCATTATAATCTCTATATTTGTACATACTATGTTTGAAAGACCACAATAGTACAGAAGCAGGAATGTCACCTTTGATGTCTTTGATTTGAAAGTAATATTTTGTAAGATTTATGAAAGCAAGAAACGTGACTGTTTGTCCCCCAAGTCTACTGCCATGGCACGAGGAAGACATCCAGGGAATATTTATGGATTCGATGAATATATAATGTCTTAAAATATCAGCCCTTGTATATTCAGAGCTTTTGCCGTCACGTCAATCAAAGTCCAGATCTTAACATTCTAATCAAATAGCAGAAAGACCAAGTTCTTCCTTTTGAGGTTTAGAAATACAACATACTCAGTTTTCATCTGTCATGATCACAGGGACCAGATGGCTACCTCCTCTATAACACTCCCATCCCAAGGAGGACGGTGTGACAGAATGTGAAACTGGCAGCATTTAATATGAGTTCTTCAAAATTCTGAAATGAGGGCCCTCCATTTATTTTATATTTTTTGGAGCATGCACACTCTAAATATGGCCCATGAGATGAACATTTATATAATTGGGGAACATTTGAGGCAGATAAAATTCACCAAGCTTTCCAGTGGTGTTTTAAGATGTTCCCAGAGAGCTCTCAGTGCTGACCTGTAGTACTCTAGGGCATCCCTATTCCACCAAGAAAAGAAAGCTTCATAGCCTGCCTTTTTAGTTATAACTCAAATAACAGAGCTAGACCGTACTTGTCCCCCTTGATAAAAAGTATAAATATGGCCAGCTGCAAAAAGAAGTGAGTGAAATGAAGCTGAGGGTTTCCAGTGCATGCATGCCAGGCTCCTCAGTAGCAGCATATCTTATCTGTTAAAGTGATAAAGTTGTTTTGGAAGAGCCATTTCCAACTCTATTACTGGTCAGTTCCAACTCCCCATTGTCTTGCAAAGGATTTCATTTTTCAAGTGAGTGTCAAGACTGGAGATGAAACGTGATTTCTGTATTCCACCATGTCTATCTACAAATGGCTGGAAAGACCCTCATCACCAAGCATCACTTAGTGCATCACCAAGCAGGCCCTGCTTTGCCATTCAGTGTTGTTTGTGTGGAGGCTGTGCAGGACTCTCGGTTCTTCAGATAGTTTGTGTCTCTATCCTGTGGCTGTCCACTTTCAGATTCTTGGGGTTTTTTTGTGTGTGTGTATGTGTCATGCTGAAAACTTCCCTGACCTGCAGGTAAAATTTAAAAATAGTTTTACATCTTTGTCATAGTGAGTCACCAAGGACTATGATTTAGTGATTTGGGATCCCCGCTACTCTGAACTAAATATATATTTAAGGTTCTTTGGAGAGGTGTGTGTGTGTGTGTGTGTATGTGTGTTTTAAGAAAGTTCAAGGGGATGGGATTGACATTTGACAAAATAACTTGAGTAGATTTCTTGAAAAATGGTGGCTCATGCTCTCAGTCAGAGTGATAGAAAATAGCAAGCTTACAAAACAACAGCAAGCTTACAAAACAACAGCAAAGCAGAAAACAGAGCTATAACATCAACAATGAAGGGTGGAGGAAAATCAGGATGAAGCACGGGACCCTCACTGACAGCAAAAGAAAATCAAATATAGACAATGATGTAATCCATTTCTTCAGCCCCCTTATTGAATTGAAATCCTGGCACAAACACATGATGAACTCTTGTTCTTTTTTGAATTTTGTTTTTTGAATTATTTTCTTTGGTCAACTATCTTTGGGTTTCAGATAGATTGATAGATGATAGATAGAGGAGGTAGATTTTATATGCATATCTATTCTTATAAATCAATGAAATGTGAGATAATTGAATAATATGCAAGTGTGTGTGTGTGTGTGTGTGTGCGTGCGTGTGTGTGTGTGATAGCTCATTTTGCCCTTTCTTTGCTACCTAGAGAATTGACAGGTCTACTGCAAATAAATATTTCCCCTCACCACAAGTTTAGCTCTGGATGATTTAAAATGGCAGTGGGATTGAACAGCAATGAAAGCAAACAAAGAATAAGAGGCCTTCAGTAAAATAGCCCCTCATCTATCTTTGGTTAATCCCACCTTAAATCAGTACTGCCATCACCCACGTGTCATCAAGAGGAACATAACCAACATGACTTCGTTCATTCATCTTCAGAAAATATTTTGAGCTCCTACTATGTCCCAGACACATATTAGTTAACAGCAAATATTTCTACTCTGCTCTAAAGTTTCTCAAACAGTTTTCCGTACAAATGATGCCAGACAGTCATCCAAACATCTTTGTAAGTAGATAGTATTGTATTCCATTTCTAGAAACGAGGAATTGAATATCAGAGATGTTTAAAACTGGCCAAGGTCATGTGACATTTAAATTGCAGATCTGGACTCAGGTTCACATCACTAATAGCAGAGCCCATGGGTTATTTTTTGGCAACACAAAGTGGTTGATACAAATTTTAAAGTAAAAATAAATGAATAAGTTGTCACAAGAAAACACTGGGAAGTCTCTTTGAATGCAGTTATCTTCTAGGCTTGGTATCTTTTTGCATGCTTCTTTGGCGGTTGACTTGGTATTGTAAATAACTTGCTTGGGAGCAATTGATTAATTCTGTATTAGGGAAATTGTTCAAAAGTTTAACATAGTCAGTTTAATGACTTAAATGGGAGAGCAGGTGGGGGAAGGAGAGCCAGGGAATTACATCATCTATAACAGTGTTTAATTGGCTTTTAAAAAATGTATTGCTAGGAGGCAATGATTGTGTTTAAACACTTGAATTGGATTGGCTATAAAAGTTATCATTTGATACAAAAATGTTGTAACCTTCATGACCAACAGATGTCAAGAAATAAGAAGGGAGTAAATATCTCAGAGCCTCCCTGAAAGGGGTCACTTTAGCCAAGGAAAACAGAGAGACGAAGTCTTTACTCCATGGGAATTACATGCTAGTATAATAAAAAATGAACAAATAAACAAATATTTCAACAAACATAATATCATGTAAGGAAGTGGTAAGAGCTAAGGAGAAGAAACAACACAGAGAGGGGATAGAATGGCACAGGGTACTATTTGGGATAGGGTGGTTAGGAAATTTCTCTGAGGAAGGGACTCTTTAATAAAGACCACAAGAAGATGAAAAACAAAGCACTAAAAAGATATGGAGGAAGTGCCTTCTAGGTTGAGGGAAGAGCAGATGTCAAGGCCCCAAGATGGGAAAGTCAATGACCTGTTTAAGAAAGAAGAAGGCCTGTGTGGCAGGACAGAGTGAACAAGGAGAAGACGTTAGACATTGGAGAAGCATGCAGAAGCCTGGTCATGACAGCCTTTTAGTCCATGGGTGGAATATTTCATTGTAAGTGCATCAGGGTTCTGCAGAGACACAGAATCAACAGGATATGTACACACACACACACACACACACACACACACACATAGGAATTGGTTCATGTGATTAAGGGGCTGACAAGTTCCAAGACCTACACTCTGTAAGCTGCAGACGCAGAAGACCCATGGTGTGGTTCCAGTCTGATGGCCATAGCCTCAAGATCCAGGAAGAGCTGGTGTTTCAGTTCAAAGGAGAAAAAATATCAATGTCCTAGCTCAAAGGTAGTCAGGCAGGAGGAATCTCCTCCTACTCACAGGAGGGTCAGCCGTTTTGTTTTATTCAGGCCTTCAGCTGTTTGCAGGGACCCATATACATTATGGAGGACAATCTGCTTTACTCAGTCTATCAGTTTAAATGCTAACCTTGTCCAGAAATACCCTCACAGGCACAAACATTTGTCTGACCAAATGCTTACACACCCCATGGCCTAGTCAAGTTGACATTTAAAAATAATCATCACAAATCACCCTTTGTCAATTTGAACCCATAATCATCTCCTCAAACAATACTTAATCGTCAAGTAAGGGCAATAACAAGGCCATAATTTTTCCTAACATGGTATAACTATCCTACATCCAACCAAAACACACGAACCTCTTCTCCAGAACATGAGGTAAAGTCCTTGTGCGGTGTTTACTCTTTTCCTTGATATCCTGTAACTTAAATACTAGGATTTAGAATCAGCAATACTTAAATATTATGAGATAAAGTCAATACATCCTATGTTACATGGTAAGGGAATAAAACAAGTTATTTGCTTAATACACACACATACACACACACAAATATAAGGCAGAAATACTCATGACAATTACAGTCTCTATTTCTGTAACTGGTTATATGGTCATGGTTTTATAACTATCTTCTTCCACTAACCATTCTATATTCCCTTTACCTTCAGTAAGCACCTTAGCTAGTTGTAGTCCTTTACATGGTGGGGAGACCCAAACCTTCATTTCAGAAGGGTATAGTCTATGAGGCCTGCCTTGCAGGGGTTGTCATGGATTTCCATTGACCTTAATCATAGGATATGGTAATAGTAAGAGATGCCCTAAGGGACCACCTGTATTCCAGGCATATTCTTCCTTACCTCCACTGTGGAGTAGCAGTCAGATTTTCTCTTGGTAATCAGGAATCACCCTAGTCAATATCATAACTCCCTTCTTTGCCTGTCGACTCAGAGGCATGAGAAACCCAAAGTAGCCAGGCAGCTATCTTAACTCCCAGTTCAATGGAATCAATATATCTCCTGGTGGAAGCATTTCTCCCTTTGAAACTAAGACCTCTAGGCCAGTAGACCATAAGTTCTCAGGAATAGGAAGCAAAAATCTTGCTAGTCGGTTACTGAGAGTAATAGTGAATGGTACCACTCCCATTTCCACCCCTTGATTTCTGAACCCGTAAATTCTGCCCATGGGAGAAACAGCAACATATATTGGATGCTGATTCAGAGCACATACAGCCTTCTGGAGGGCACTTTGCCCAGCCCCGCAAGGTATTGTCACCTAGCGGGTCCTGAAACTGTGTCAGCTGAGTCTGCATAAGGCCATTTCACCGTTCTATCAAGCCAGCTGCCTCAGATGGTGGGAGATGTGGTAAAACCAGTGAATTCCATGAGCATGGGCCCATTGCCACACTTCATCTGCTGTGAAGTGAGTTCCTTGATTGGAAGCAATGCTATGTGCAATGCTGTTTTCCCAAATAGACATCGCCACCACAATAAACTAGAGATAAGTCACCATGGGATTCTGAGTAGGTCATGACATGATCTGATTACATGTCAGTAGATCAACCTGGCAGTTGTGTAGAGAATAGAATAGAGGGGAGTAAGAATAAAACTCAAGAGACTATTGCAGGAAACAGATGATGACTTGGGATAGGTTCTGGCGGGGGAGGTGAAAAGAAAGTTTTGTCTTTTTCTTTTATTTTAGAGATGGGGCCTTACTCTGTCACCTAGGTTGTAGTGCAGTGGTGCAATCCTAGTTCATTGTAGCCTTGAACTCCTGGGCTCAAGCAATTCTTCCACATCAGCCTCCCAAGTAGATAGGACTACAGGCATGTGTCACCATGCCTGGCTAATTTTTAAATATTTTGTAGAGATAGGGTCTTGCTACATGGCCCATGCTGTTTTCCAGCTTGTGCTGGGATTACAGGTGTGAGCCACTGTGCCCAGCAGAAAGGACATATTCTGAAGGTAGAGTCTATAAGAGGTGATGACGGGTTGCATGTGGATCATGAGAGAAAAGAAGATAGTTCATTCCAGGTTGTTGAAATTGTAGAACTAACATGGTGAATAGCGATGCCGTGTACTAATACATGAGCCACTGTAGGGGGAAGAGATTTGAGCAGTATAATGAAGAGTTTGGCGTTGGATATTTAATAATCAAGATCCCCATTTGAGTTAATTAGATTGATTTAATCATATCACAATGTACATATATATCAAAATATTATGTTGTACACTATATATATATATGTATATAGCTTTATTTGTCAATTATTTCTTAATAAAGCTGGGGGTTCCCATTAGAAATCAAGTCGATATGTAGAAAGAACAGTTGATTTATGCATTTAGAATTTCAGAGTGTCCTAGGTTGGGGAAGTAAATCTGAGAATTTTCAGCATATATATAGATCTTTTCAACCATAAAACTGTATGAGATCATCTAGGAGAAAATAAGTGTAGAAAAGAAAACAAGAGTCTAAAGACTGAGCCTGTGGGCATTCCAGCATTTGAAAGTGAGAAAGAGGAGGAGGAGTCAGCAAAAGAGGCTGAGAAGGAGCAACTAGGGAAGGAAAAAGAAAAGCGGGAAAATGGAGCCCTGGAAGCCAAGGGAACACAGTGTTCCAAAAGGGAATAAGCAGCTGGATCAAATGCTGCTAAAAGTTCAGTGAAGATGACTGAGAAATGAACATTAGAAGAATCTATGTAGGCCAAGCGCGGTGGCTCACGCCTGTAATTCCAGCACTTTGGGAGGCTGAGGCAAGCGAATCACGAGGTCGGGAATTCAAGACCAGCCCGACCAACATGGAGCAATCCCATCTCTACAAAAAATACAAAATTAGCCAGCCATGGTGGTGCATGCCTGTAATCCCAGCTACTTGGGAGGCTGAGGCAGGAGAATCGCTTCAACCTGAGAGGTAGAGGTTGCAGTGAGCCGAGATCGTGCCATTGCACTCCAGCCTGGGCAACAAGAGAAAAACTCCATCTCAAAAACAACAAAAAAAGAAGAAGAGGCCATGTAGACGTTGTTACTGACATTGACAATAGCTCTGGACTGATGGGCTTGAATATCTGATAGAAAGGGTTCTGGAGAGATGATGCAGTGAAGTGAAGGCAGAGAGCATAGCAAGTCTTCCCAGGAGTTCTGCTACAAAGGGGAGCGGAAGATCCAAGCAGTAATTAGAAGGCAAAGACTGTATCATACTTGCATGCTAATGAGAACAATCCAGTAGGCTAGAGGAAAGATAATAAATGACAGAGAAAGAAGAATTGTAGGAATTGAGAAAGAATAAAATATGGTGCACAGTAGAGAAATTGGCTTTAGGTAAGAGTAGGGTCAATTCACCCATTATATGTGAAAGGAAAACGGAGAATATCCACAGTTGCGTATAAAGTGGACTGACTCAGTGAATGGAAGGAGTAGATGTTTTCTTCTGATTAATTATACTTTTGCAGTTCGATAGAAAGGAAGGTCTCGGCTGAAATTTAATATTGGTGGCCATGAAGGAGGAGAAAAATGAGAGTGTAAGGGGATACCTCGCAAAACTAATAGGCCATGCTAAGGAGCACTCAAGGTTTGATGTTACAAATTTAGACTGAGACTAGTTCAGTTGTTGTTGTTGTTGTTGTCGTCATTTTCTGGCCATGGTAGCTGCTTGGTTATAGATGTTAGGGAAAATTGAATTCAATCAGGTTCAGGGGTTTGCCAGAAGGTCTAAGGAAAGAGGCGGGGATAAAAGGGTCTTAAAGATATATGCAAGGAGTAATTGCAATGATGAACCACAGACTCTAAGATACATAAGTGAAAAGCTGATAGAATCAATTAATTGGAAGTACCAATGGAATCAATAAATTGATGAGTTGGGCATGGTGGCACATGCCTGTAATCCTGGCTACTCAGGAACCTGAGATGGGGGAATTGCTTGAGCCCAGGAGTTCAAGGCTGCAGTGAGCTCTGATCACACTACTGCACTCCAGCCTAAGCAACATAGCAATACCTCGACAACAACAAAAAAAGTGTTGAAATGGGGAGCCTAGAGGAAATAAGCCATAAACATAAGAGATAGAATTCAAAGACTGGGACGCTTGAAATTAAGATTTTGGAGGTTGTGAAACCATAGGCGATGACAAAGATACGACCATTAAAGTAGGTGGCTGAGGATATAATGATGGAGGACATATCATTATAAGTGAGGAAAACAGTGAACAGAGAGGCCAGGGTGTTGATGGACTATCTAGGGGCATGCCAATGACAAGAATGATGCCCAGAGTCAAGATGGTAGGAACAACAGTGAACCGGACACGAAGATCGTCAATAAGAGGGGAAGGAGTAACCAGGAGAATGGTAGAGAATTGCAATGTGAAGAGGTAAAGGCAGGTCTAGTTTGATGGCATGAGTTTCAGAAGATCAAAACTGTTTTAGGAAATACTATGACCAATGGCTTGGAAAGAGCAATGGGGAGCCAGGAGCTACCTGCCCCACCTCTAGGCCTTGTCTGAACAGAGAGCATGAGGAAAGGACCAGCCATGTGTGAGAGGGCTTCTGAAGAAGCTAAGCTTTCAAGGGCAGCCAGACCTCAGTCAGAGCAGCACTATGTTGTTGTTGTTGTTGTTGAGACAGGGTCTTGCTCTGTTGTCACCCAGGCTGGAGTGCAGTGGCACAATAATAGCTCATTGCAGCCACAATCTCCTGGGCTCAAGCAATCCTCCCATCTCAGCCTCCCAAGTAGCTAGGACTACAGAATGGCATGGGCTATTTTTTTGTAGAGACAGTCTCACTTTGTTGCTCCGGCTGGTCTCGAACTCCTAGCCTCAAGCAATCCTCCTGCCTCAACCTCCCAAAGTGCTGAGATTACAGTCATGAGCCATCACACCTGGCCAAAGCAGCACTATCTGATAGCAATATAATGTGAACCACATACATAATTTTAAATTTTCTACTAGCCACATTTCTTTAAATCAAACAGAAATAGGTAAACAATTTAATAACATATTTTACTTAATACAATATAGACAACATATTGTCATGAGAAACCATGGAGACCAAAAGGAAGTGACAACCACATTTTTGAAGGGCTACAAGAAAAGAACTGACAGCATAGAATTTTTTTTTTTTTTTTTTTTTTTTTTTTGAGACGGAGTTTCTCTCTTGTTGCCCAGGCTGGAGTGCAGTGGTGCATTGGGCCTAGTTAATTACTAATCTCAGCTCACTGGAACCTCCGCCTCCTGGGTTCAAGTGATTCTCCTGCCTCAGCCTCCTGAATAGCTGGGATTACAAGTGCCTACCACCAAGCCCGGCTATTTTTTGTATTTTTAGTAGAGATGGGGTTTCGCCATGTTGGCCAGGCTGGTCTCAAACTCCTGACCTCAGGTGATCCGCCCACCTCAGCCTCCCGAAGTGCTGGGATTACAGGCATGAGCCACCGCGCCCCGTCAGCACAGAATCTTATACCCACCTAAGTATCCTTCAAGATAGTTTAAGTTCCTTTTTTCATATGAAGTCTTCAAAATCCAGTATGTGTTTATGCTGATACCGCATCTCAATCTGGACTAGTCACATTTCAAGTGTTCAACAGCCACATATGGGTAATAGTGGCTGCATGGGAAAGCTCAGAGTTAAACAAGAAGGTGAAGGAAATGTTCCCAGATGAGAACGAAGACAGGAAATTGTACTGATGACACACTCTGAATTCCAGAGGCTCAGAGGAATGACTGAGGGTCACAGAGGTGTGGGAGCATGAGTCGGATGAGAGAATGTTCTGAACCCCATGGGAAAAACGGTAGGAGTAATGAAGGTTGACCTTGAAGGCTTGGACTTGGACTTTCAGTAGTAACTGAAGTAAACAGGTCCATAAGTGCTGGAGGATTTGTCCCAGGGCTCTCCTGCAGGGATGGGATAATCACCTCTCATTATAGCCTGCTCTAGGGCACTGGTGCCAGGCAATTTGTATCGGAGACAAAGAGAGAATGGAGGGATGGGGCCTGGTGGATTATCAGAGCCCTTGGGCTGTGTAGTGCTCCTTGGGTCCTGCCGAGGGAGGGCCTCAGGCTGGGGGAGAACCCAGAGTGCTCTCTGTATTCCTGCCCCAGTCTTGCTGCTGGCTGTGCGGGGTAAAAATAGAGGAAGCATGACGGGGAGTGGGGGGCTGGGCAGGGTTGGTTACTAAACAAAATAGCATTTTACCTGAGAAAAATAACACAGAATAGTGATACTGATGGCTGTCCTTAGCTAAAGGATGCTGACAACATTTTAAAAAGGAAATGAAATAAACAGAGCAGACTCAAGAAGGGGTGGAGAGAAGGCAAGAAAAGAGAAGCAGGCGGGAGAGGAAGAACAGAGGGTGTGGAGCAGGTCAGGAAGAGGGACTCAGAGGGGAGGAGTGAGCAGCAGGAAGCCTTCAGGCATTTTGTCCCCCTTGTTTCCAGGGACCCTAAGAAGATCAGATATCCATGGACTGGTGGCCCCTGTCCTGCAGATGGTGACCGTCAATGCCTAAGATCCAAGCCCTGCTCCCAGGCACACCCATCTAGACCCAAGGACACTTTCTCATTGCTGACGGGCTAGGCTGGCTGTGTCCCGCTTGGGTCTCCCCTGCTTCCCCCACAAAATCATGTGCATCCACAACTTATCTCATCTGTCCTTGGAATAAACCATAAATCCCTTCTTAGCATCTGTTTCCCATCAGAGTTCTTCCAAGGAGAGGGGCTGCTCCCCAGCCCTCAGCCAGCTCGTTCCCTCCAACTTGTCTTGTCAGTGCTGACTGTCCGCCTCAGAAATGCACCTCCCAGGATCAGAACAGTAGCTGCAGCATCTCCAAAGGCTTAGCTGCACTCCAAGCTTGTCCTCGGAAGTTTAGAAATGAGGAAATAGCCAGCAGCTGTTCTCAACGAGAAGGTGCAGCCAGCGTCCAGCCAGCAGCAGTTCTGCAGGGTGGGAGGTGGAGCGGGGGCGCGTGTGAAACTTCTCCCAGGCAGGTCCCCACAAGGTGGGAGAGGCAGCGAAAGCCTGGGGGGGAAGCTTCACTGTGATTAAAATGGTCTGCCTCATCCAGCAGCATCTTTGAGCGAAACATTATCTCAGTCTGTAAAAAAGAAGCCTGTGAGAAGGTTTCACTAGTTAGTCTAATTTTGGAATAGCATTCTACACAGTTCCGAGGGAAAGAATTGACACTTGCTAGATTAATTCAAATTGGTTTAACTGCAAACAGAATCACATTCCCCCAGGGAGTCAGACAACCCCATCTCAGGAAGAAAGGGATGTTTGAGCCTGTCCTGAGCTTGAGCCCTCAGGGTCATGTCCCATCTTTACTATCCTCGCCTCAGGACTCCCCCCCAACCACACTCAAGCCCCAGCCCACTCTGGCCTGACACACCCCATTCAATGCACAGAGGGGGCTGCCAGGACCATGCTGAAGGCAGGGGTAGTCACCTTGCCCTGCCTCCCTCCGCCTTCCATTTAAGGAAGGAGTGCCTTTAGAAGTGACCCCCTCTCAGCAGGCAGATTCCCTTTGGCTTGGAGGCATCATTATCTATCTTTGAGGGGCGTCTTTTGCAGCATCAAATTTTTTCTCCCATTTTTCTTCGGTGGCTCTAGACAGAGATTGACTGAGTGCAAGCCTGGTTCCTCTGTTTACTGGCTGGGTGGTTTTGGACTTCCCAGGCCCCCATTTCCCATCTGTCAAATGGGAATCCTGACAATAGCACTTTCATGATAGGGGTACTGTGTGGGCTTAAATAGGTAAAGGACATAAAAAAAGACCATCTCTCTTGCAGAGTAAACACCTGGTAAATATTCGCTGCTTTTAGGGGATATCTTTGTTATCTGCTGTTCTTTGAGGGTCTAATTCTGGCCTCACTCTATTCTTGGTTAATTTCTTGTAGCTACTAGTTTTACATCTACGTTCATCTTTCAGTGTAAAATGGTCCCCTTTAACCTCCCCAAACAAATGCATTCCTCACTTCTACAGCTACAACCACCATCACCACCATCACCAACTCTTCCTGCGAAGAATCTAAATTAAAAACAAAATCCTTCAGTGACACCAAAAAATTAAATGCCTAAAACCATTATACCTTCCCTCTCTATGGTGGGTTGTTTTTTTGTTGGTTTGTTTTGTTTTGTTTTGTTTTCATAGAGGGTGTCACTCTGTGGCCCTGGCTAGAATGCAGTGTCTTCATATGGCTCACTTTAACCTCAAACTAATACCTGGGCTCAAGCATCCTCTCAATTTCAGCTTCCCAAGTAGCTGGGACCACAGGCACACACACCAACATACCTGGTTAATTTTTTTTTTTTTTTGAGACGGTGCAATCATGACTCACTATAGCCTCAACTTCCTGGGCTCAAATGATCCTCCCACTTCAGCCTCCCAAGCAGCTGGGACTACAGGTGCACACCACTACACCTGGCTACTTTTTTTTTTTTTTTGAGACAGAGTCTTGCTCTGTTGCCCAGGCTGGAGTGAAGGTGTGTTCTTGGCTCACTTCAACCTCTGCCTCCTGGGTTCAAGCAATTCTCCTGCCTCTGCCTCCCAAGTAGCTGGGACTACAGGCACATGCCACCACACCCAGCTAATTTTTTAACTCCTGAGCTCAGGCAATCTGCCCGCCTTGGCCTCCCAAAGTGCTGGGATTATAGGTGTGAGCCACTGCGCCCGGCCCACTTGGCTACATTTTTAATTTTTTAATTTTTTTTTTGTAGACATGGAGGTCTCACTATGTTGCCTAGGCCAGTCGCGAACTCCTCCTGGCCTCAAGCAATCTTCCTGCCTTAGCCTCCCAAAGTGCTGGGATTACAGGCGTGAGCCATTAATCACTGGCCCCCTCCAGCGTTTAATTTCTGGACAATATTGGCTGACTTCAACGTCTCCTCTTAGGGTGAGGGTCTGCCCCTGATGACCCACAGCTTGGACTTTTGAAGAGATCTTGCCCCAAATTTGTCCAAGAATTTTGTGCTAAGGCCAATTCTGGCAACCGGCCGGTCACTGTCTCTCCAGAAGAGCTTAACGCAAAGAGAAGCCTGCATAAAGAATGCTCACAAGCCTAAAATCTCATGGTGGGCCCCTTCTGTGTCCCCAGCTACACAGATCCAGAATATGTTACTTTAAACAAGGTGGCACTCAACCAAGATAGGATATGGCTTCTAAATTAAAGTTGAGCTGAAAGCATATTTTGCTATCTCTATGGAAAGGTTTCAGGCAAACTCACAGGCTACGCAAGGTGCAACAGACACGCATACGGGCTGACCTTTGTTGGCATACAGCCTGACCTTTCTTCATCAGCCTTCTGCTTTTCATTGTTCCCTCTCTGAACTTCTCTGGAGGGCAGCAACGAGCAATGTTCCTCCCAGCAGAGTCAATTTGGGACATCTTTAATTGTCCTTATGTCTGTTTTCCCCAGAGTCAGACGTCCACTCAAGTCCAAGAACATTTCGAAAAGCCAAAGTAAATAAACAAAGAAACCCTTTTCCATGGCTCACCACTTGGTTTTCCCAAAGTTTTTCCCAGCTATAAAAAGATATTTCAACGGACAGGAAATAGTTTCCTGACTGACATACTGTCTCTTGGGGGGAAGTTTAGCTTCTTGTCTACCAACATTTCACGTTGGCTAGAGAATCGGCCCACCTTCCTTGAAAGCCTCCTAATACTCTCTGTCTCTGCAGTAACTAGGTGATCAAGTCATGAGCACCATGACACAATCTGAACCTGGTGATCCTTTCAAAGAATCACTAGAAAATCTCCATCTTTACCCTTAATTAGCAATGTTCTTTTAATTCACTTAGGAAATAAAGCCCAGGCATATTTGGAGATGTTTTTCCCTCTTACAGCTGCTAGAAGTTTAAGACGCAAAATATCTTTCCAATATTAGGTGGTCCATCTCAAAACTACCCACCTCATTTAACAGGGTGTACTTATTAGTTTTCTTTGCTGCCGTATTAAATTACCACAAATATAGTGACTTAAACAACACAAATGTATTCTTTTACAGTTCTGGGGGGTCAGAAATCTAAAATTTGTTTTACATTGCCAGGGCTGGTCTCTTCTGGAGTGTCCAGAGGAGAATTTGTTCCTTGTTTTTTCCAGCTTCTGGAGGTGCCTTGGCATTTCTTGGTTCTAACTCACGTCGCTCTATACTTCTTTTTTTTTTTTTTTTTTTGAGACAGAGTCTTGCTTTGTTGCCCAGGATGGAGTGCAGTGGCACAATCTCGGCTCACTGCAACCTCTGCCTCCTAGGTTCAAGCATTCTTGTGCCTTAGCCTCTCGAGTAGCTGGGATTACAGGTGTGTGCCATCACACCTGGGTAATTTTTGTATTTTTAGTAGAGATGGGGTTTCACCATCTTAGCCAGGCTGGTCTTGAACTCCTGACCTCAAGTGATCCACCCACCTTGGCCTCGCTCTATACTTTTTCTGTCTTCACATCACCTTCTCTTTGAGGGAGGGAGCTATTATTTTGGCTAATACGTATGGCTTTTAATTCATTTTGAATAATGTGGATCACCCTGCACTATGTTTTTAAATAATTTTTGGTTTTATGCATTACAATACAGGTCAATTGACAAAACTAGGTTTTTGTCTGGTGGTCTGCACTATTTTAAATTGCTAATTTAAAATGCTTTCCTTTTGTTTTATTTATTTATTTATTTATTTATTAGATGGATTCTCACTCTGTCCCCCAGGTTGGAGTGCAGTGGCTCAAACTCAGCTCACTGCAACCTCCAGCTCCTGGGTTCAAGCAGTACTCCTGTCTCAGCCTCCTGAGTAGCTGGGATTATAGGCGCACATTACCATGCCTGGTGTATTAGTCAGGGTTCTCTAGAGTGACAGAACTAATAGGATATATATGATATGTAATAGGATATCCTATCTTATATATATATCCTATTACATATCATATATATATATATAAAGGGGAGTTTATTAAGTATTAACTCAAATGATCACAAGGTCCCACAATAGGCTGTCTGCAAGCTGAGGTGCAAGGAGAGCCAGTCCGAGTCCCAAAACTGAAGAACTTGGAGTCTGATGTTTGAGGGCAGGAAGCATCCAGCACAGGAGAAAGATGTAGGCTGGGAGGCTAGGCCAAGCTAGTCTTTTCACATTTTTCTGCCTGCTTTATATTCTAGCCACGCTGGCAGCTGATTAGATGGTGTTGACCCAGATTAAGAGTGGGTCTGCCTTTCCCAGTCCACTGACTCAAATGTTAATCTCCTTTGGCAACACCCTCACAGACACACCCAAGATCAATACTTCGCATCCTTCAATCCAAACAAGTTGACACTCAGTATTAACCATCACAACTGGCTACTTTTTTGTATATTTTTTAGTAGAGATGGGGTTTCACTGTGTTGGCCAGGCTGGTCTCGAACTCCTGGCCTCATGTGATCCACCCATCTCAGCCTCCCAAAATGTTGGATTCCAGGCATGAGTCACCATACCCGGCCAAAACTGTGTCCTCTAATCTAATTTTCCTCAGTCTCTCTCAACCAGGACCACAAGACCTGCTAACAGTATTTCATTCTTTGCCCTGGCCAATTGTTCCAATTCACACAAAGCTAACTGTATTAATCAGGACACTTTTGGTTGCCAGAGTAGCCTAGCTTAATCTGGCTTAAATTTTTTAAAAACGTGTAGGCTCACAAAATTGAAAAGTGCAGGGGTACAGATAGACTTGGGCACAGAGGGAAGCAAGTACTCAATTACATCTTTAGGAATTTTTTTACTTACTCCATCTTTTTGACTTGCTTTCGTCTGTGTTGCTTTTTTTTTTTTCCAGACAAAGGCTAATGTTCCTAAGTATTTGCAAAAAATAGCTACGAGAAAAGGTCATCTTCTAATTGATCCATGTGGCAACCCCAACAGGAGACAATGCCTCTTTCACAAAAGTTCCAGCAAAAATCCCAAAAAGGATTCTTCCCAACCTAGCTGAGGTCATGAGTACAATACTCACCCAGTCATTGTAACTAACAAGCTCTGATACTGTGACTGGCCAGGCCTGAGTCATGTGCTTTCCTTAAGACTAGGATGAGGCCGGGTGCAGTGGCTCATGCCTGTAATCCCAGCACTTCAGGAGGCTGAGGTGGGAGGATCACTTGAGGCCAGGTGTTCAAGACAAGGCTGGACAACATAGGGAGACACCCACCTCTACAAAAAATACAAAAATTAGCCAGGCTTGGTGGCACATGCCTGCAGTCCCAGCTACTCAGGATTCTGCGGTGCGAGGATCACTTGGGCCCAGGAGTTTGAGGCTTCAATGAGCCATGATTGCGCCACTGCACTCCAGCCTAAGCAACAGAGAGAAACCCTGTAAAAAAATTTCTTTTAAACTTAGCATGAGCATTTGACCTATGCCACATGATAAACAGTGAGCATTTGACCTATGCCACATGATAAAGAGGGGTGGTCACTCTCCCCAAAATAAAGGTTTTTTTGTTTGTTTGTTTGTTTGTTTGTTTTTGAGATGGAGTCTTGCTCTGTCGCCCAGGCTGGAGTGCAGTGGTGCGATCTCTGCTCACTGCAAGCTGCGCCTTCTGGGTTCAAGCCATTCTCCCGCCTCAGCCTCCCGAGTAGCTGGGACTACAGGTGCCTGCCCGGCTAATTTTTTTTTGTATTTTTAGTAGAGACGGGGTTTCACCTTGTCAGCCAGGATGGTCTCGATCTCCTGACCTTGTGATCCGCCCGTCTCGGCCTCCCGAAGTGCTGGGATTACAGGCATGAGCCACCACGCCCAGCCCAAGATAAAGGTTAAATTCATAGAAGAAGGAGAAATGGATGATGGTCAAACAAAATTAATACGTCCACTACACCAGGATAAGACCCAAGTGGAACCTTTTTTTTTCTTTTCACCAAGTGGAGCCTTTTCCATGGAGCATCTAATAGTATATCTAGACACAGTTTCTGAAGGTAAAATTATCATTGGTTTCTTAAAGTTAGATTCTCACATCTATCCTTGAGCTATATCGTGTTAATCGGCTGTTTGTGGATGTTCAGACAACACTGGAGTCAGGTGAAAAATGATCTTTTCTCATGCCCAGGGCTGAATTATTGAAAGGACCAAATACTCTAGGTTTACAAAACCACATCACAAAAATCTCAACCTATTGTCAGATCTGTTAACCCTGGGAAAATTTAAAAGAAAGCAAGTAATTCAGTTGTCCAAAAGCTTAAATGACAACAATGAAAGCATGATGTTTAGCGTACTCTACTCTCTCTCATTTCCTGTAAGGCACAGAATGACAGGAGTAACTGATCCAAAGGTTCTTGATTTTCAAAAATCTCTTGACTAAATCAAGTAAAAATGGACCAATAAAGCTTTCAATTTCATGGCTTTTAAAGCTTGTTTTCACAAACCAGCTCTTGGATTCTTGACGTCAAAAATCTATTTTTAGGTAGAGTGTTCACTCTTCATCCAAGAGTAGATGTATATTCTTAGTCTGATTTTAATTTTCCTCTTATTTGGAAAAAATGACTTAGAGAATTAAGGAAAAAAATAATCACATGATAAAGGAATCTGCAAAATCACAGAATTTACATTTTCTATGTAGATATTTATCATTTGTATTATAAAAGTATAATCTTAGTTTCTAAAGTTACTTTGTTTAATGATTATGACAGTATAATCAGCCAGGTGTATGCTGAATTAAGATCGAGGCTACTTACCTGATTTTTCTGTTTTGGGTGACAAAATTTTATTTCAATTGTTAGCAGGGATCCACTTTGCCCACATAACTGTGGAAATAACCAAAGGCGTTGTTTAAATCAGGACATTATGTGAACAACTAAAAGGTTATCCAAAATAATTAAACTTATAGCACAAAATGAGAATTATGCACATTATTGTAATTAACTTAGTCACATAGGACGAACGATAAGAAATAGACTGAGATTTTGAGATTCCAGCTCCTCTTAGGAATCCATGACACAATTAACAGTATTTTACTCTTTTCTGATTCTCTTCTTCTTTGTTTTTAAGTTTTCCTGGCTCTTTCTAATTTTAGAAGTCTTCATTTTTCAGCCTACAGTTGAATCAAGTTGGAATTTTAAATATAGGGTCTTTATTCTTTATCATCTAAATTATTTTTAAAGTTTTTTTTTTCCTTTTAAACACTTTTAAATTCCTACAGCTAACTGTAGGCCTCTGGGAATAGTCCTTCTCTATCAAAGCATGTTGGCCAGGTGCGGTGGCTCACGCCTGTAATCCCAGCACTTTGGAAGTCTGAGGTGTGCGGATCACGAGGTCAGGAGATCGAGACCATCCTGGCCAACACGGTGAAACCCCGTCTCTACTAAAAATACAAAAAAAAAATTAGCCGGGTGTGGTGGTGGGCACCTGTAGTCCCAGCTACTCGGGAGGCTGAGGCAGGAGAATGGCATGAACCCAGAAGGCGGAGCTTACAGTGAGCCGAGATTGTGCCACTGCACTCCAGCCTGGGCGACAGAGTGAGACTCCGTCTCAAAAAAAAAAAAAAAAAAAAAAAAAAAAAGAGTGTTGAGGGGCCTCTTGTAGCCAGGTTTCTGCTCAATGGTGCATTCAGAGATGCCCCATCCAGGAAGCAAAGTCATTTTTCAAACGGATTCCAATCTTCTCGTCCTTCTCAAATGTCTCCCCGTCTCCCTTAATTCCCCATTTCTCTCTCTCCTTGCAACTATTCAAGATCCTCTCATGTGCTAAACCTAATGTTCTCACTTGAGCCGCAGCCTCTTCTCTTTCTCTCTAGACATTTCTCTCTCCCCAGCCTCTGTATTGTGGGTAACGATGTGGACTCCTTGTAAAAGTTGTTAGCCTTTTCTCCTCTACTGCTCCGCAATCCAATTCCACTGACAGCAACACTTAAAGACTAGGAAACTCAACCAGGCAAGTTAAAACTATATTTCCAAAAAGAGGATAGAAAAGTAGATTCTCTGCAAAGAAAAAATTTTCCAAAGTCAGACACAGGTGAATGAAAAGAGCTCAGGAATACATAGTACTGAACTCGTTCCTTGTGTTTTTACAACTTTCACCACCCTCGGGCTGTTACTTCTTGTTCAAACCTTTGTGGTTCATGTAAAATAAGACAGGGTTAAGCTGGGCACAGTGGCTCGTGCCTATATAATCCCCCTACTTGGGAGACTGAGGCAAGAGGATTGCTTGAGTCCAGGAATTCGAGACCAACCTGGGAAACATGGCAAGACCCCCTATCTCTTAAAAAGTTCTTTGAAAACATAAGACAGCCTTAAAAGAGCTTGTGCAGTCATCTGCTTTTTTTTTTTTTTTTTTTTTTTTTGAGACGGAGTCTCGCTCTGTCGCCCAGGCTGTTGTGTAGTGGCGCGATCTCCGCTCACTGCAAGCTCCGCCTCCCGGGTTCACGCCATTCTCCTGCCTCAGCCTCCCGAGTAGCCTGGACCACAGGCGCCCACCACCATGCCCGGCTAATTTTTTGTATCTTTAGTAGAGACGGGGTTTCACCGTGTTAGTCAGGATGGTCTCGATCTGCTGACCTTGTGATCCGCCTGCCTCGGCCTCCCAAAGTTCTAGGACCACAAGTCATCTGCTTTATAAAGAAAAATAACTTCCAGGCCAGGCGCAGTGGCTCACACCTGTGATCCCAGCATTTTAGGAGGCCAAGGCGGGCAGATCACCTGAGGTCAGAAGTTTGAGACCAGCCTGACCAACATGGAGAAACCCCGTCTCTACTAAAAGTACAAAATTAGCCGGGCATGGTGATGCGTGCCTGTAATCCCAGCTACTCAGGAGGCTGAGGCAGGAGAATCGCTTGAACCCAGGAGGCAAAGGTTGCAGTGAGCCGAAATAGCACCCTTGCACTCCAGCCTGGGCAACAAGAGCAAAACAGAAAGACAGACAGACAGAAAGAAAGAGAAAGAAAGCAAGAGACAGAAAAGAAAGAAAAGAAAAGAGGGAAAGAAAGAGAAAGAAAAGAAAAAGAAAGAAAGGAGGAAAGGAAGAAAGCAAGCAAGCAAGCCTCCAAACTGAATCTGAATTAGAGAGTTTCCCCTATTGCCCAGAAATCATGGGTGCCAGAGCAACTTCAAGGAAAACTATGCAACCTTTCTGGGCCTAGTAGTTCAAACTTAAATCATTCACAAAACAGTCATTAGGAGTACAGGCTCTGAAGCTAGCCGGGCTGGGTTCTCATTCTGCCTCCACCACTTTCTAACTGCACCCTTGGCAAATTGCTTACCCCACCTGGTGCCTCCGTTTTCTCGTGAAAAATGGAGAGAAAAATATCTACCTTACAGGCTGTGAGAAATCAGCCTGTTGCCACATGTAACATGCTTAGAACGGTGCCTGACACACTTGAGAAAAGCCTCAACATATATGAGTTGTTACTGTTCATGTCCATATTTATGGAGGCTACATAGAGTTGGGATTTTACATAGATTTGGGATATTTTACATAGACTTGCGATTTTACATTGATTTGGGATGTCAGCATATCACCTACTAAAGTACTCAGAATATTCATGGTGTAGAAATAGGCTGTATTTTTTTTTTTTTTTTGAGATGGAGTCTCACTCTGTTGCCCAGGCTGGAGTGCAGCGGCGCGATCTGGGCTCACTGCAAGCTCCGCCTCCCGGGTTCACGCCATTTTCCTGCCTCAGCCTCCTGAGTAGCTGGGACTACAGGCGCCCGTCACCATGCCCGGCGAAGTTTTTGTATTTTTTAGTAGAGACTGGGTTTCACCATGTTAACCAGTGTGTGTGGAATTGGTGGGTTCTTGGTCTCAATGACTTCAAGAATGAAGCTGCGGACCCTTGCAGTGAGTGTTACAGTTCTTAAAGGTGGTGTGTCCGGAGTTTGTTCCTCTGATGTTCGGACGTGTTCGGAGTTTCTTCCTTCTGGAGGGTTCGTGGTCTCGCTGGCTTCAGGAGTGAAGCTGCAGACCTTTGCGGTGAGTGCTACAGCTCTTAAGGCGACGTGTCTGGAGTTGTTCGTTCCTCCCGTCCAGAATTGTTCATTCCTCCCGGTGGGTTCGTGGTCTGGCTGGCCTCAGGAAGGAAGCTGCATACCTTCGCAGTGAGTGTTACAACTCATAAAAGCTGGCACCAACCCAAAGAGTGAGTAGCAGCAAGATTTATTGCTAAGAGAGAAAGAACAAAACTTCCACATTGTGGAAGAGGACCCGGGTTGTCCTGCTGGCTCAGGCAGCCTTATTTTATTCCCTTATCTGACCCTACCTATATCTTGCTGATTGGCCCATTTTACAGAGAGCTGATTGGTCCGTTTTGACAGGGTGCTGATTGGTGTGTTTACAAACCTTGAGCTAGACACAGAGTGCTGATTGGTGCATTTACAATCCTTTAGCTAGACACAAAAGTTCTCCAAGTCCCCACTAGATTAGCTAGACACAGAGCACTGATTGGTGCGTTTACAAACCTTTAGCTAGACACAGAGTGCTGATTGGTGCATTTACAATCCTCCAGCTAGACATAAAAGTTCTCCAAGTCCCCACTGGACTCAGGAGCCCAGCTGGCTTTGCCTAGTGGATCCCGTGCCTGGGCCATGGGCGGAGCTGCCCGCCAGTCCTGTGCCGTGTGCCCGCACTCCTCAGCCCTTGGGTGGTCGACGGGACCAGGCGCCATTGGAGCAGGGGGTGGCCACGGGGTGGGGGGTGGGGGGGCGGGGGGGCAGGGCTCGGGTATGGCTCGGGCATGGCAGGCTGCAGGTCACGAGCTCTGCCCCGTGGGGAGGTGGCTGAGGCCTGGTGAAAATTCAAGTGCAGCACGGGTGGGCCGGCAGTGCTGGGGGACCCGGCCCACCCTCCGCAGCTGCTGGCCCGGGTGCTAAGCCCCTCACTGCCCAGGGCCGGGTGGCACCAGCCGGCTGCTCCGAGTGTGGGGCCCGCTGAGCCCGTGCCCACCTGGAACTCGCACTGGCCTGCAAGCACCACACGCAGCCCCGGTTCCCGCCCACACTTCTCTCTCCACACCTTCCCGCAAGCAGAGGGAGCTGGCTCCGGCCTCCGCCAGCACAGAGACGGGCTCCCACAGGGCAGTGGCAGGCTGAAGGGCTCCTCAAGTGCAGCCACAGTGGGCACTGAGGCCGAGGAGGCGCTGAGAGCAAGCGAGGGCCGCCAGCACGCTGTCACCTCTCATCAGGATGGTCTTGATCTCCTGACCTTCTGATCCGCCCACCTCGGCCTCCAAAAGTGCTGGGATTACAGGCGTGAGCCACCGCGCCCGGCGGAAATAGGTTGTATTTCTATAGTCTGAGATACCCATAGTTCTGTGCAATTCTGGGCTCACAAAAACTGTTATTTAGTTAAACTAGAAAACCATAGTAACTCTCAAAGTCTCTCACAAGCAAAGAAACAAAACAAAACAAAAAAACACACCTCTCAGCAGAGAAAGGCCGATGTCCCTAGATGTTGTATGTGATACATCACACATATATCTCAGTGTGAATGTTTTGATTGAATTTACCATTTGACAGACATACTTGGCCAGTGATCTTCTATTCCCAAACCCAAAGCTGTTATCGTTCTGGGTTCTGGGCAAATGGGATTTTGTCCTTACATTCCAGCCTGCCCTGGATCACTGCAGAGATAATGAATCACAAATCAAAGTTTCCGTGGTCATGCTGGCTCAGGTTGTCTCTCGAGATGACTTGACATTACCAGGCTTAGAACCTCATTCGGTTTTTGCAACAACTTTAGATCAATTTGGTTTACTCCAAATTTACTGGTTCTGAGGTAGCTGTATTATTGAACTTTAATGCTTTTATTGCTCTTAGAAGCATCCTTAGTCTCATCCCTTGTTTTCTGTCCCACATTTGGATTTAGCACCTCCCCTCTGCTCCAAGATTTCTGTCCCAGTTTGCAGCCTCATAGTTCTTATCTCCAATAGAAAGTAACAGGTAGTGTGGGGATTTAGCATTCTTTCTTCTTTTTTTCCAGATGGAGTCTCACTGTGTTGCCCAGGCTGGAGTGCAGTGGCATGATATTGGCTCACTGCAACCTCCACCTCTGGAGTTCAAGCAATCCTCCTGCTTCAGCCTCCCAAGTAGATGGGATTACAGGCACCCACCACCACGCCCAGCTAATTTTTCTATTTTTAGTAGAGACGGGGTTTCGCCATGTTGGCCAGGCTGGTCTCAAATTGCTGACCTCAGGTGATTCACCAGTCTTGAACCTCCCAAAGGGCTGGGATTACAGGTATGAGCCACTGCACCTGGCCAGGATTTAGCGTTCTTAATTTCAATGGAAAAATTATGAGAAATGGTTAATGTAGGAGTCTTCCATAGGTGCCAGCTCTATTGCTAGTTAAGGATGGGTAGGTCAGTCCACACTTTTAAGTCACAATTTGCTCATCCAAGGTTTGATCCAGCTCTGAAAGCATATGTGTCTCCTGCTCTTTGTCAAGGTGAGGAATTTCCCATTTCTATTTTTCTGAGAATTGTGTGTTGTTTTTTTTTTAAATCATGAATTGAATTTTGTCAAATGTCTTTTCTGCATTACTTGATATGAGCACGTAGTTTTCCTATGAGCATGGTAGATTGAGTCTTACTTTATGGCCAAAGCTATGGTTTATCATGGTATATGTTCCATGCATGCATGAAAAGAATGCTTATTCTGTTGTTGGGTAGACTGTTCTATAAATGTTGATTACATCTTGTTGGTTGAGGATATCACATTCTTTTATATCCTTGCTGATTTTTAGCCTAATTTTTCTATCAGCTGTTAAACAGGGGTATTGAAATCTCCAACTATAATTGTGGATTTGTCTATTTTTCCTTTCAGTTCCCTCAGTTTTCATTTCATGTATTTTGAAAGTCTGTTGTGTGGTGGATACCCATACAGGATTCCTGTATCTTCTTGGTGCATTGACCCCTTTTATCATTATATGATATTCCTCTCTTTATCTGGTAATAGTCTTTGCTCTGAATACTACTTTATCTGGTATTAATATAGCTACTTCTGCTTTCTTTCTAGTAAGGTTTGCATGATATACCTTGTTTCATCCTTTTTCTTTCAATATGCCTATGTTGTTATATTTGAAGTAAGTTTCTTGTAGACACCATATAGGTGGGTCAGGTCTTTTAATCCACTCAAATTGTCTTTCTTTTTTTTTTTTTTTTTTTAAGATGGAGTCTTACTCTGTCGCCCAGGCTGGAGTGCAGTGGCGCAATCTCAACTCACTGCAACCTCCACCTCCAGAGTTCAAGGGATTCTCCTGCCTCAGCCTCCAAAGTAGCTGGGATTACAGGTGTGGGCCACCACATCTGGCTAATTTTTGTATTTTTAAGCAGAGATGGGGTTTCATCATGTTGGCCAGGCTGGTCTTGAACTCCTGACCTCAGGCAATCTGCCCACCTCAGCCTCCCAAAGTGCTGGGATTACAGGCATGAGCCACCATGCCCAGCCTTCAAACTGTCTTCTAATTGTTGTATTTAGGTTATTTACATTTAGTGTAATTATTGATATGTTAGGACTTAAGTCTGCTATTTGTTTTCTGTTTGTTCTCTCTGATTTTCATTTGTTTTCTTTTTATCTGCCTTCTTATAGGTTGATTAAATATAATTTAGTATTCTATTTTATCTATAGTGTTTTTGAGTTTATCCTTTTGTATAGTTTTTTATTGATTGCTAAATATTTATTACATAGACACTATGTCACATTTTACCAGTTTGAGTGAAGTATAGAAATCTTATCTTTCTTATATCCCTTTATCCGTCCTCATTTATGATATAATTAGCTTAAGTATTTTTTCTACATATGTTAAGAACCATATCAGACAGTGTCATAGTTTTTGCTTCAACTGCCAAACTAATTTAGGAAACTCAAGAGAAGGAAAATGTTTTGTATTTATCCATATATTTAGTCTTTCCATGATTATTTTTTCCTTTATGATGTTGCAAAATTCCTTCTAATTATCTTTTCTGTCCTGGGAACAGTTTCTAGTTATTCTTTTAGAATAAGTTTACTGGTGAGAAATCTTTTTAGTTTCACTTTATCTGATATTGCCTTCATTTCCCCTTCATTCTTAAATGATATTTAGCTGGATATAGAATTTTGTGTTGACACTTCATTTCTTTCAGCACTTCCACATATAGTGTCACTTCCTCTGGCCTCCATAGTTTCTCCTTATAAATCTGTTGTCATTCAAATTGTTTTTCCAGTATAACTAACGTATCTTTTTTGTCTCAGTGCTTTCAAGGTTTTTCTCTTTGTCTTTTAGTTTTCAAAAGTTTCATAAGTTTGACTGGGATGTGTCTTAATGTAAATTTATTTGGATTTATCTTGTTTGTGGTTTGCTCAGTATCTTCAATCTGTAGGTCTGGGTAGTTTTCAGCCATTATTTCTTCAATATTTTTTGAGCTCCATCCTCTTACTCTTCTCCTTTTAGAACTCTGATACCAAGAATGTTAAATCTTTATAGTCCCATAATTCCCTGAGGTTTGTTCTTTTTTTTTGTTTGTTTGTTTTTCAATCTTTTTCTCTCTGTTCTTCAGATTGGGTAATTTCTATTGTCCTATCTTCAAGTTCATTATTTCTTTCCTCTGTCCCCTCTATACTGTTTTGAGTCCATTCACTGAATTTTAGCTATTATATTTTTCAGTTCTAAACTTTTCATTTATCTTTTTGTATATCTTTTATTTCTTTGCTGATATAATACTGTCTATTTTTTATTTGTTTCAAGCATGTTTATAATGCTTACTGAAACATATGATGATTTCCTTGAGACCTTTATCAGATAATTCTAACATTGCTGTCGTTTCAGTGTTAGGATCTATTTATTATCTTTTTTTCATTCAGTTTGAGGTCTTCTTTATTCTTGGTATGAGTGATTTTTCTATTAAAACCTAGATATTTGTGTATTATATTGAGGTTTGGGATCTTATTTAAATTTCTTGCAAAGGAAAATGGGAGTGGGGAGTGAGCTGCCTGATTACTGCCAGATGAGGTCAAGTTTCAGGTTCCCACCTGGCTCCCACTGAGACCTGAGGGGAGGGGCTACTCATGACTGTTAGGTGAGAGTGGAAGTCCTGCTTCGCATTCAGCCTCTACTCCTGGCTGGGAGGGGTAGAAGAACCTTATTACTGCTCCCCTCTTGGCCTGACATTATGTTGGAGAAGTGGCTTAGGTGAAAGCTTTGTCTCCAGTAGGTCTCCTTTGAGGCCACCCTAGAAGGAAGGGGCAAAGGCATCTCATTACCACTGGATAGGTGTGGAAATCCATGTGGTATCCACTGACACTGCATGAGAGGGATGAAAGTTCCATCTCCCTACTCAGTTTTCTCTGACACTTGTCCAGTGAGAGAGTGGGAGGTGGAGGCTGGTGCTACTGCCATTACATCCTGGGGACAGTGCAAGTCTGCTTCCTCTTGAGCTTTCACTGGGAGTGGGGCTAACATTTTTTCTGTGGTGTTTGGCTGGAGTGGAGCAGTTATTGTCCAATCTTTGTCTCATATATGTATTTTTATGTGTGTGTGTGTGTGTGTGTGTGTGTGTGTGTGTGTGTACATATATTTTTTTTAAATAGAGATGGTGTCTTGCTATGTTGCCCAGCAGGCTGGTCTTGAACTCCTGAGCTCGAGCTATCCACCCACCTTGGCCTCCCAAAGTTCTGGGATTACAAGCGTGAGCCACTGCGCCCAGCCTGTCTAATCATTATCTGTCTCATTAGCTACCCATCTCTTGTTCTTTCAGCTGGAGAGGGCAGGCTTTTGGTAATTTTTGTTTTGTTTTGTTTTGTTTGGCGTGCATTCATTGGTATTTCGGGGTTACGAGTTTCTTTATCTATGAGTCTGGGATATGTGAGTTAAAAAGAAAACCCAGGGAACACACTGCCTCTGGTCCTGTGGTCTCCAGCCAGTCAGCCTTCTCCACCTTTCAGAGTCATCATATGCTTGTTTAATATGTAAAGTCTAGGGTTTGTAGTTGTACTTTGTGAAAGCAATAGGGAATAGTACATTCATTCAATGGATAAGGCATTGGCCTCCTTAAGGGTTGGGCTTTGGGAATAGTATATTCATTCTATCTTCCAGAAGTGGATTTTTTTTTTTTAAAGAAACTGCAGTAAGCTATTATACACACAAGAGGTCTCTTCTGACATACACTTTTGTTTTTTACTCAAGAAAGGCTAATTTTTAGCATTCTCAAACATAATTCTGAAGGATTAATTTGTCATTTTATTTTAAATTCTTAAATATCCAAATTTTCTTCCTTCTCATCTTGAAAAAAATCAGCTTTATCTCATCATTTTCTCAGGTTTATGTTATTCAATAGGGGAGACTATGAGCCTGACAAAACTGTGACATCATTATTATGTATCCACATTAATCAGTGTATTTTTGACACACTGCATTCATTAAAGTCTTTGAAGGAAACATATCACTGCCTTCAAAGATATTACATTCTAAAAATACAAAGTAAAATGTAAAGTAAGATTTCAGAATTTCGAAATTAGGCCGTTTTAGTTAGGAAGAATAAGTTCTAGTGATCTATTGCATATCAAAGTGGCTACAGTTAACAATAATGTATTGTATATTTTAAAATTGCCAAAAGAGTAGTTTATAAATGTTTGCCCTGCAGAGAAATGATAAGCTTGTGAGGTGATGAATATGTTAATTAGCCTGGTCTGCTCATTCCACAATGCACACATACATTAAGACATCATTGTACCACATAAATATTATGCAATTATTATTGTCAATTTAAAATT
The DNA here is from genome assembly GCF_000001405.40 of Homo sapiens. NCBI lineage: Eukaryota > Metazoa > Chordata > Mammalia > Primates > Hominidae > Homo > Homo sapiens. The sequence continues at coordinate 159,384,217 of NC_000004.12, read as the reverse complement.
AATAATTAAAAATTAAAAAAAAATTGAAATTGGTTTATTCACATATCTTTCACACACAAAGAAGCATTCATTGAAAACCTACATTGTTCCCACATCATGAAGATAAATGCAATTTACAATAAACAATCTTTCCCATTTTAATCAATATTTGTAGCTGGAGTGAGACAAGAGATGTTCTAATTCTTGAATCTCTAAACTTGTGTTTATCAAATGTAAACACAAAAGTGAGTTAAATATTGCAACAGGAAATTGGGGCTATCCTAGTTGATTGTCAGCTCCTACTGAGCAGGCAGTGTTGCCTGCTCATAACCCCTCACCCTCATTCCTTCATCTCCTCTCAGGATAGAATGATCAATCTTTTCAAGTGTCACCACAGAAATTTAAATTGGAACGCTTAGTGCCTTTGGAAATGTAGATTACCATTCCAGTTCAAGTGTAGGTGAAGGTCATAAGCTGCTTCTCTAACTCCACTCTCTATAAGCCTTTGGCCATCTAATAATTTAAAACCAATTTCTTTCCATTCAGATGGAGAGGCATTCCCACGACCTCTAACCAGCAAGCAGGATTTTACTACTAAATCACTTCTGCATTTAAAAATAAAAAATTACCATAACAAAACATGGATGCCATTTCAAGCCAAGCGTTGCTAAATTTTGACCTGGGTGCATTTGGGAGTGAAGACAGTAAGGAAAAAAAAAAAAAAAACTTTCTTCCAACAGAAATCATTTTAGTTGCTTATTATGCAGATTTAGTGGTCACGAGAGCTTAAAAAAAAGGAAAAAGGATCAACAATCTGCATAATGGAAGCTATACCCTGCTGTGAACTCTGAAAGGGATATATGTAACAAGGGCAAACTTGCTTGCTACGCACTCAGGGGCATGTTCCTATAGACTAAAATAGGAATGATGCCTGCTGGGGTTTTCCAGGGCCTTCTAATTCTGCCATTTACTAACTGCTGCCTCTACTCAGTTTACTTATCCATAGAAACAATACCCGCCTTACATGATTCAGGAAGGCTTTTGAGGAATGAATGAGCTAGATGTGAGCAGGACATTGAAAGTCCAAGATAATATTTAAGTCTCCTTTTACTTCATGTGCCATGTTTTTTTCAAAGCCAGAAGAGACGTGTAACTGAGGCTTGATGTAAGTCACAGTTTACTGGCAGGATGTCGGGGGAGGTTTTGGAGAAAAACAGAACAACATATAGGAAAGCAGAGTAGACTCAAATAGCAGAGCAGGAAGGAAGCACAAGCGGTGTTTGTATAGACAGAGTAAGAGGAGAGATTGAAAATAAACAGGATCTTGATCATGAGCAGCCGCCTTTATTTGTAAGAAAATTTCCTTTATCCTTAAGCGATAGGAGCCTACTAAGTGCTTCTAGAGAGTTAAATGAATAGATTAACATTAAAGAAAGTTCTTAAGTGGTTTCTGGAGGATCAACTGAAGGCAGGTGATCTAGAGGTCAAGAGATAAATCAGAAGCCAGAGCGTAGAAAAGAAATGATGAAATCCTAAACTAAGGCAGAGCCAGTCGTAATAGAGATCTGGAAGATGTTGAATGGAGATAAATTTGGTTTTTTGGTTTTTTGGTTTTTTGTGTTTTTTTTGTTTTTTTTGAGACGTAGTCTGGCTCTGTCGTCCAGGCTGGAATGCAGTGGCGCAATCTCGGCTCACTGCAAGCTCCGCCTCCTGGGTTCACGCCATTCTCCTGCCTCAGCCTCTGAGTAGCTGGGACTACCGGCGTCCGCCACCACGCCCGGCTAATTTTTTGTATTTTTAGTAGAGATGGGGTTTCACCGTGTTAGCCAGGATGGTCTCGATTTCCTGACCTCGTGATCCGCCCACCTCGGCCTCCCAAAGTGCTGGTATTACAGATGTGAGCCACCGCGCCCGGCTGAGGACTTTGAATTAATGGTGGTTGTGCTGGGGAAAGAGAAACGGTGAATTAAGATAACTTTCAGATCTTATGATGTTGAGAATTGGATAGAAGTTTGGTGCTTTGTTTTGTTTTTGTTTTAATATTGTCTTTTCATAAATCTCTAAGAACATATCTAATTTTTATTTCAGTGGTCCATTCATAGATACAATTTTCCTAAGATGTGTGAAGCCAACGCACGACTGTGTACTTGTCATTTGTGTGAAGTTGTGAACCATCACAGCCTGATGTTTTATATATATGTCTATACAGTTGACCCTTGAACAACATGAGTTTAAAGTATGCTAGTCCACTTATACCTGGATTTTCTTCTGCTTCTGCCACCCTCAAGATAGCAAGACCAACCTGCCTCATCCTCCTCCTCCTCAGCCTTCTCAACATGAGGATGATAAGGATGAAGGCCTTTTTGAGAGGCCACTTCCACTTAATGAATAATAAATATATTTTTTCTTTCTATTATTTTCTTTTTAAAATTTTATTTATTATGTATGTATGTATTTATTTATTTTTTGAGACAGGGTCTCACTCTGTTCACTGGGTTGGAGTGCAGGGATGCAATCATAGCTCACTGCAGCCTCAAACTCCTGGGCTCAGGCAGTCCTCCCACCTCAGCCTCCTGAATAGCTAGGAAGACTATAGGCATATGCTATTGCACCTGGATAATTTTTAAATTTTTTGTATAGACAGTGACATGGTTTTGTTGTGTACCCACTCAAATCTTATCTTGAATTGTAGTTCCCATAATCCCCGCATGCCGTGGGAGGGACCTAGTGAGAGGTAATTAAATCATGGGGGTGGTTACCCCCATGCTTTTGTTCCCGTGATAGTGGTAAGTTCTAATGAGATGTGATGGTTTAATAAGGGGCTTCCCCCTTTGCTTGGCACTCAATCTTTTCCCTGCCACCCTGTGAAGAATTACCTTCTGCCATGATTGTAAGTTTCCTGAGGTCTCCCCAGCCATGCAGAAATGTGAGTCAATTAAACCTCTTTCCTTTATAAATTACCCAGTCTTGGGCAGTTCTCTATAGGAGTGTGAGAATGGACTAATACAGATGGAGCATCACTATATTGACCAGCCTGGTCTCAAATTCCTGGTCTCAAGTGATCCTCCTTCCTCAGCCTCCGAAAGCATTGGGATTATAGGCATGAGCTACCAGACTCGGCCATACGTTTCTTTCTTGCTTGCTTGCTTGCTTATTTTCATTTCTTTACTTCTTTCTTTCTTTTTTCTTTAATAGAGATGAGGTTTTGCCATGTTGCCCAGGCTGGTCTTGAACTCCTGGGTTCAAACAATCTGCCCAACTCAGCCTCCCAAAGTGCTAAGATTACAGGTATAAGCCATTGCGCACAGTCAGCCATACTTTTCTTAATAACATTTTCTTTTCTCTAGTTTACTTTATTGTAAGAATACAGTAAACTAGACATACTATATACATATAGCATACAACGTGTGTTTATTGATTTGTATAAGTTTTGGGGAACTCAAAAATTATAGATTTTTGACTCTGTGATGGGTTGGTGCCCCTAACTCCCGCATTGTTCAAGGGTCATCTGTATGTGTGTGCATTTGGCATTCGAAAATAATTTAAAAGTAGAAGCATTTTATGCTGGCATGACATGATGTCTTGAATTTTCTTCAAAATAATCCAGTGGGTTGCAAGACAGAAACATACATAGTGCCAAAATGAAGTAAGAGTAGTCATATGTGAATCGTTGTTGAAAATGGGTGCATGGGGTGACAGCAATATACTGTCATCTCTACCTTTATCTAGGTTTTGAAATTTACATAGTAAAAATGTTTTAAAAACGAATAGAAGGGCAAATTAAATAGGTGCACAAGTTTCTAAAAACCATTTCCAAGGAAATTCTGTTCAAAAGAAAAAGTAACAGAATACCATTCTGGGAATGAGGTGGCAGTGGCAGTGTAGTTTTTTACCTTCTGAATGCCCCTGTAAAAAAAAACATCAGAGCAACGAGGAGAGCAAAACCAAAGACAGAGAACTCCTAAATTACTATCGGTTATTCACTGGAAAGCATGGTAGAGTATTCTGAGAATAACTGCAGAAACTTGAAGAGTGTTGTGCAGGTTATATTGTCCAGATAACTGCACTGGGGTTGCTGGAAGATCTAAGGATGCCGGATCTGCCTGGTGCCTATGAATTCTTGAAAGTAACAAACCAAACTGACTTTCCATGACAAAGCCCTACATTGAGGAGCAAATGTTGAGAATAGATTCCCAGTTGACTAGGGCAGGGACAATAGAGTCCAGATAAAATTAGAGATGAACAGAGAATGAAAACCTCAGGCAGTTCACTGCCATGTTTTCAGTCTCTTTGTGAAAACAACAAAAGGAAGAGTTCTACAGTCATGAGGTTAGAAATGTTATTCTGGCTTCTTCATCCGTCTTAAATATGCAAAAATAGTCATTTGAATTAAAAATGAGCCACAGAAAAGGACTGTATCAAATCTCAAACAAAGTATTATTAGAAAAAGAGAAATAGGGCCGGGTGCGGTGGCTCACGCCTGTAATCCCAGCACTTTGGGAGGCCGAGGAGGGTGAATCACAAGGTAAGGAGATTGAGACCATCCTGGCTAGCACAGTGAAACCCCGTCTCTACTAAAAATACAAAAAATTAGCCAGGTGTGGTGGTGGGTGCCTGTAGTCCCAGCTACTCGGGAGGCTGAGGCAGGAGAATGGCATGAACTCGGGAGGCAGAGCTTGCAGTGAGCCCAGATCATGCCACTGCACTCCAGCCTGGGCAACAGAATGAGACTCCGTCTCCCAAAAACAAACGAACAAAAAACAGAAAAAGAGAAATAGGAGGAAATTAAATCCTTATGTGTCCGGAATTGGTGGGTTCTTGGTCTCACTGACTTCAAGAATGAAGCTGCGGACCCTCACGATGAGTGTGACAGTCCTTAACGGTGGCATGTCATGAGTTCGTTCATTCTGATGTTCAGACTTGTTCAGAGTTTCTTTCTTCTGGTGGGTTTATGGTCTTACTGGCTTCAGGAGTGAAGCTGCACACCTTCGCGGTTAGTGTTACAGCTCTTGAGGCGGTACGTCTGGAGTTGTTCATTCCTCCCAGTGGGTTTGTGGTCTCACTGGCCTCAGGAGTGAAGCTGCAGATCTTCACAGTGAGTGTTACAGCTCATAAAAGCAGTGCGGACCCAAAGAGTGAGCAGCAGTAAGATTTATTGCAAAGAGCAAAAGAACAAACCTTCCACACTGTGGAAGCAGGCCCAAGCAGGTTGCCACTGCTGGTTCAGGCAGCCTGCCTTTATTCCCTTATCTGGCCCCACCCATATCCTGCTGATTGGTCCATTTTACAGAGAGCCAATTGGCCCATTTTACAGAGAGCTGATTGGTCCGTTTTGACAGGGTGCTGATTGGTGTGTTTACACTCTGAGCTAGACGCAGAGTGCTGATTGGTGCATTTACAATCGTTTAGTTAGACACAAAAGTTCTCCAAGTCCCCACTAGATTAGCTAGACACAGAGCACTGATTGGTGTGTTTACAAACCTTGAGCTTGACACAGAGTGCTGATTGGTGCATTTACAATCCTCTAGCTAGACATAAAAGTTCTCCAAGTCCCCACCAGATTAGCTGGATACAGAGTGCTGATTGGTGCATCCACAAACCCCAAGCTAGACCCAGAGTACTGATTGGTGCATATACAATCCTCCAGCTAGACATAAAAGTTCTCCAAGTCCCCACTCACTCAGGAGCCCAGCTGGTTTCGCCTACTGGATACCGTGCTGGGGCCACAGGCGGAGCTGCCCGCCAGTCCCACACCACGCGCCTGCACTCCTCAGCCCTTGGGCGGTCGATGGGACCAGGCGCTGTGGAGCAGGGGGTGGTGCCTGTCAGGGAGGCTCGGGCTGCGTGGGAGCCCACCACGGGGGGCTTGGGCATGGCAGGCTGCAGGTCCTGAGCCCTGCCCTGCGGAGAGGCGGCTGAGGCCCAGTGAGAATTCGAGCGTGGCGTGGGTGGGCCGGCAGTGCTGGGGGACCTGGCGCACCCTCCACAGCTGCTGGCCTGGGTGCTAAGCCCCTCACTGTTTGGGGCGGGCGGTGCTGGCCAGCGGCTCCAAGTGTGGGGCCTGCCAAGCCTGCAACCACCCGGAACTCACCCTGGCCGGCAAGCGCCGTATGCAGCCCTGGTTCCCGCCCACACCTCTCACTCCACACCTCCCCACAAGCAGAGGGAGCCGGCTCTGGCCTCAGCCAGCCCAGAGAGGGGCTGCCACAGTGCAGCGGCGGGTGAAGGGCTCCTCAAGTGTGGCCAGAGCGGACGCCAAGGCCAAGGAGGTGCTGAGAGCCAGCGAGGGCTGCTAGCACGTTGTTACCTCTCACTTACATACTATGAAATAACACCAGAAATTCAAGCTCACACAACGATGAAAACTTTAACTTAATATTTCAAAATATGCTCAACAAACATAAGGAAAACTATTATATGCATTGATAAAACATAAAAATCAGAATTTTAAAAAATAAATAGAGCAAAGAAAAATTTAAATGAGATATTGAAAAACTCAGAAAAGGTTTAGGGAAAAAAAATATAAGAAATAAAGGGGCTGGGTGCGGTGGCTCACACCTGTAATCCCAGCACTTTGGGAAGCCAAGGCGGGCTGATCACTTGAGGTCAGGAGTTTGAGATTAGCCTGCCCAACTCTGTCTCTACCAAAAAAATACAAAAATTAACTGGGTGTGGTGGCGCCTGCCTGTAGTCCCTGCTACGTGGGAGGCTGAGACGAGAGAATCACCTGAGCCTGGGAGGCAGAGGTTGCAGTGAGCCAAGATCATGCCATTGCATGCCAGCCTGGGAGACAGAGAAAGACTCTGCCTCACAAAAAAAAAAAAAAGAAAGAGAGAGAGAGAGAAATTAAGATAAACCAAATGAGATATGACAATAAATACAACACAAAATGCTTAAGGGAAGTGGAAGATGGAAAGGAGGAAACTTTTAAATAACAAGGGAAATGAAAAAATATAAAAAGGATTTGATAGAAAGTGAAAGCTATAGAAGACAGTAAAAGAAGTTCTAGCATGTTTGATAGGGAGATCTCTGAAGAGGAAAACCAAAATAATTGAAAAGAACAAACACTAAAATTTAAAATGCAATAAAACTTTCCTTAGGGAGAATTTGAAACTACTTGTTGGATGGACCTCTGCTTGTATGAAGTAATAGCCCAGAACTTACAATGCCAAGACTTAGTCTAATAAAACTATAGCTTTTTTTTTTTTTTTTTTTTTTTTGAGATAGAGTCTTGCTCTTTCGACCAGGCTGGAGTGCAGTGATGCGATCTAAGCTCATTGCAACCTCTGCCTCCCAGGTCCAAGCAATTCTTCTGCCTCAGCCTCCCGAGTAGCTGAGATTACAGACATGGGCTGCCATGCCCGAGTAATTTTTTTTGTATTTTGTAGTAGAAATGGGGTTTCACCATGTTGCCCAGGCTGGTCTTGAACTCCTGAGCTCAGGCAATCCTCCCGCCTCAGCCTCCAAAAGTGCTAGGATTACAGGCGTGAGCACGTTTTGACCACGCCTGGCCAAAACTATAGCTTTAAGAAAAGAAAAGAAAAGAAAAAGTCCTTTAGACTTCATAAAAATACCATACTACGGTTGAGCCTTGAACAACATGGGGTTGGGGCGCTGATGCCCCATGCAGTCAAAAATCTGTGATAACTTTTGACTCCCTGGAAAATTAACTATAAATAGCTTACTGTTGACTGGAAGCTTTAGCGCTAGCTTGCTTGTCTTTTTTTTTTTTTTTTTTTTTTTTTTAAGACAAGGTCGCACTCTGTCACCCAGGCTAGAGTAGAGGGATGCAATCATGGCTTATGGTGGCCTCAACCTCCTGGGCTCAAGTGATCCTCCCCCAGCCCCAGCTTCTCCAGTTGCTGGGACAACAGGCGTGTGCCACCACACCCAGCTAATTTTTTTGTATTTTTTGTAGAGACAGAGTTTCACTATGTTGCTCAGGCTGGTCCTGGGCTCAAGTGATCTGCCTGCCTCAGCCTCCCAAAGTGCTGGGGCTACAGGCGTGAACCACAATGCCTGGCCTGTTTTATGTATTATATACTATATTGTTACAATAAAGTAAGCTAGAGGAAAGAAAATGTTCTTAAGAAAATCATGAGGAAAAGAAAATGTATTTACTATTCATTAAGTGGAAGTGGATCATTATAAAGGCCTTAATCTTCACTGTCTTCACGTTGAGAAGGCTGAGGAGGAGGAGAAGGAGGATTTGGTCTTGCTGTCTCAGGGGTGGCAGAGGCAGAAGAGGTGGAAGAGACGAAAGAGGATGTAGGAGAGCAAGCACACTGGATATAAAAAAAAAAACAAACCTGTAGGCCCGGTGCAGTGGCTCACACCTGTAATCCCAGCACTTTGGGAGGCCGAGGCGGGTGGATCACCTGAGGTCAGGAGTTTGAGACCAGCCTGACCAACATGGTGAAACCCCATCTCTACTAAAAATACAAAAATTAGCTGGGCGTGGTGGCAGGCGCCTGTAATCCCAGCCACTAGGGAGGCTGAGGCAGGAGAATCGCTTGAACCCGGGAGGCAGAGGTTGCAGTGAGCTGAGATCATGCCACTGCACTCCAGCCTGGGCAATGAGAGTGAAACCACGTCTCAAAAAAAAAAAAAAAAAAAAAAATGCCTGTAAATGAACCAACGTAGTTCAAACCCATGTTGTTCAAGGATCAACTATGCTTCAAAGGAAAAGACGTACAAATTGACAATCAATTTTGAGTTAGCACTACTTTATGCAAGAAGACAATGAAGTGTCATTTTTACTACACTCAAGAAAAGAAAAGGTGAGCTGAGGGTTTTTACGTCAAAACTGAATTTCCAGTGCAAGAGCATTCCCATAAATCTTTCCTAACTAATCTATGAGAGAACTAACTCCAGACAACCAGAACAACCAGAGAAATAGTGATGTAAGGATGGTGAAATATAGCTAAGGTTGTAAGCCTGGCCCCTACATTCCAGGAAATCTCTACAATTTTGCACCAAGCCACAAACTTCTGTCTTATTTCAAGCAAAGAATTGCCAGCTTTTGTGGATCTGATATTTCTATTTTAGATGCAGACAGCTGAGCCAACCCTCAACAGTTTTCTACAGAAAGACATTCCTGGAAGATTCAGGACATGTGTTAAAGTATGAAAACAACATTTTACTTACCTGTAATATCTATTGCTATCTAATAAATTACCCCCAAAACATAGTAACTTAAAATAACAAATAGTTTCTGTGCTCAGTAATCTGGGAGCAGCTTATCTGGGTGGTTCCAGCTCAGAGTCTCTCATGATGCTGCAGACAAGCTGTCATCCGGGCCACAAGTCATCTCAAGGCTTGACTGGGGCTGAAACCCCTCTTACCAAGTTCACCCACATGGTTGTTGGCAGCCTCAGTTCTTCACCGTATGGGCCTCTCCACATACAGCCTGAGTGGCCTGCAGGGCCTCCTGGTGTGGCTGCTGCTTTCCCCCAGAGCTATGATCCAAAAGAAAAGCAAGAGTTCAAGATAGAAGTTTTTATTGAAAAAAATGCATATAAATGGACCAGTACAGTTCAAACCTGTGTTGTTCGAGAATCAACTGTGCTTAAAACGAAAAGAAACACAGATTGACATTTGATTTTGAGTTAGCACGAGTTTATGCTTGAAATATTTTTGTAACATAATCTTAGAAGTTACGTACTATCGGCCGGGCACGGTGGCTCATGCCTGTAATCCCAGCACTTTGGGAGTCCGAGGCAGGTGGATCATGAGGTCAGGAGTTCGAGACCAGCCTGACCAACATGGTGAAACCCCATCTTTACTAAAAATACAAAAATTAGTCGGGCGTGGTGGCCCGCGCCTGTAATCCCAGCTACTCAGGAGGCTGAGGCAGGAGAATCGCTTGAACCCGGGAGGTGGAGGTTGCAGTGAGCCGAGAGCACACCACTGCACTCCAGCCTGGATGACTAGAGCGAGACTCCGTCTCAAAAAATAAAAATAAAAAAGAAGTTACGTACTATCACTTCTGACATATCCTATTTGTCCAACAGACCACCACCCATCATGAGAAAGGTCAGAAGGGTATCAAACCAGGAAACAGGCACCACTGAAGGCTATTTTGGAGGTCGGAGATGTAAATATCTCAAAGTCCTGCAATGGAGAGGGGGGACATCCGAGTTCAAACCGAGACCTATCTGACTCCAGAAACTGTTGTCTTTTTAATTTATTCAAACCAAGATGGAATGTGGATTATGATCTTTTTAGATCTAGATCTTTTTCTTATAATTAAGCTACAAGAAAAATAGAACTAATTTTTCTAAGAGTCACATATCTATACTTTTAACAGGTGAGTGGGTCTTACCTTTCAAGTGATTCTGGATGTCCACAAACAACTTCAGTGTGCAACCTGCAGCTTAGCTGCTGGTCGCTTTCAAGTAGAGAAACTCAAATTTTTCATGCATGTGATTTACACCTATTTGTTTTTAGTAAGAAAGAATCAAAACGGTCTGGATAAGAGGAACCCATCCTAAACCTTAAGACAGAAATTCTCAAATTTTATGTGGATAGATTTCATTATATAATATGAAAAAAAAACCCCACATTCCTAAAGCTATTCCAGCAATCTCAACAGAAAAGTCTTTAACTGTTGGGGAGCTGTCAAGTTTATAGTGGCAAATACAAGTTTTTCAAAATTCTAATTTTCACTTGAAAGCTTGAATTTTATTATTGACAGTAGTCAATCAGTTGTTTTCTCTGAAGTGGTGGACTCACTTTTGTTATTAAAAAAAGCAAGTTGGTTGGATACAGTGGTTAAAATTTTTGTGAAATCTTGTCCCTTGAGTGGTGTCTAATTAATATTCTAGGTTAAGAAATGGAAAATAGAAATAAAGCACTTCTGCAGCATATCAAAAGAGAATAATTGTCTCAAGAAAAAGCATTTTTTTTTGTTTTAGTGTAAACTGAACTAGTTCCTTTTTTCATGGAACATAATATTTTCCAGAAGGATGACTAGTTTTTCAGATTTGGATATTTGGTAAACCTTTTTTTTTTTTTAATTTACAGACAAGATCTCACTCTGTCACCCAGGTTGGAGTGCAGTGGCGTGATCTTGCTTCACTGCAGCCTCCTCCTCCTGGTATCAAGCAATTCTCCCACCTCAGCCTCCTGGGTAGCAGGTGTGCACCACCATGCCCAGCTAAGTTTTTTGAGTATTATTTATTTATTTATTTATGTTAGTAGATACAAGGTCTCACTAAGTTGCCCAGGCTGGTCTCAAACTCCTGACCTCATGATCCGCCCGCCTCGGCTTTCCAAAGTGTTGGGATTATAGGCGTGAGCCACTGCGCCTGGCCCTTTTGATTATTTTTAAACTTTCACTTGACTTTTTTTTTGTTTTTGAGACAGGGTCTCACTCTGTTGCCTAGCCTGGAGTACAGTGGTGTGATCATAGCTCACTGCAGCCTCAAATTCCTGGGCTCAAGGGATCCTCCCACCTTGGCGTCCAGAATAGCTGGGACTACAGGTGCACACCACCATGGCTGGCTAATTTTTAAAATATTTTCATAGAGACAGGGTCTCACTATGTTGCCCAGGCTGATCTTGAACTGCTGGACCCACCTCAGCCTCCCAAAGCTCCAGGATTTTATTAGCCACTGTGCCTGTTCAGGTACTTTTTAAGGACCTTTGAGACATTTTTCTTAATCCTGTGCTCTGATTTCCTGCCCTGGGCTCACATTTTCCACCCCCTTTCCTGATACTTACCCCAGCCACATCCCAGGCAGCTGCTAAGCAGACCATGCCAGTTCTCTGCATGCTCAGTCCATGGGTCAGGGAATGGTGGAAGCACCTGCTTTTCCTCTAGTCTACCCTAGACCTTCACAAGGGGTGTGCCCTGCATTGTCAGCATCTCCCATGGCAGAGGAGGTGCATTCAATCATGGCTTGAACACAGCCACCATACCGCTAGTCCTAGCCCATGAGATGATCTGCTGCCTGAGAAATTGTAACCCATCCTACTTTGCTATCTCTTACAGATTTATGCTGTTACAATGTGTTTGTATACTATATGCATCTCGCCATGCATGTGTTAGAAAAACATGTTTCATTAGAAAAATATGCAACAGTTTGATTCTTAAGAAAAGTTATTGTATACTAAAAACCAACTATAAAGCAGATTAATTTTTTTTTTATTTTTTTATTTCCATAGGTTTTTGGGGAACAGGTGCTATTTGGTTACACGAGTAAGTTCTTTAGGGTCGATTTGTGAGATTTTGGTGCACCTACCACCCAAGCAGTATACACCGAAACTGATTAGTAGTCTTTTATCCCTCAGCCCCTTCCTGCCTTCCCTCCTGAGTCCTCAAAGTCTATTGTGTCATTCTTATGCCTTTGCAGCCTCATAGTTTAGCTCCCACTTATGAGTGAATACATACAATGTTTGGCTTTCCATTCCTGAGTTACTTCACTTAGAATAATAGTCTCCAATTCCATCCAGGTTGCTGCGAATGCCATTAATTAACTCATTTTTATGGATGAGTAGTATTCCATGGTTTTATATATATATATATATATATATATATCACAGTTTCCTTATTCACTCGTTGATTGATGGGCATTTGAGCTGGTTCCACATTTTTGCACTTGCGAATTGTGCTGCTATAAACATGCGTGTACAAGTATCTTTTTCATATAATGACTTATTTTCCTCTGGGGAGATACCCAGTAGTGGGATTGCTGGGTCAAATGGTGGTTCTACTTTTAGTTTAGTTTTTTTTTTTTTTTTTTTTTTTTTTTTTGAGACAGAGTCTTGCTGTGTCACCCAGGCTGGAGTCCAGTGGCGCAATCTCGGCTCACTGCAAGCTCTGCCTCCCGGGTTCATGCCATTCTCCTGCCTCAGCCTCCCAAGTAGCTGGGACTATAGGTGCCCGCCACCATGCCCAGCTAATTTTTTTGTATTTTTAGTAGAGACGGGGTTTCACCGTGTTAGCTAGGATGGTCTCGATCTCCTGACTTCATGATCCGCCTGCCTCGGTCTCCCAAAGTGCTGGGATTACAGGCGTGAGCCACCGTGCCCAGCCTACTTTTAGTTTTTTAAGGAATCTCCACACTGTTTTCCATAGTGGTTGTACTAGTTTACATTCCCAACAGCAGTGTAGAAGTGTTACCTGTTCACCGTATCCATGTCAACATCTATTATTTTTTTATTATGGCCATTCTTAAAGGAGTAAGGTGGTACTGCATTGTGGTTTTGATTTGCATTTCCCTGATCATCAGTGATGTTGGGCATTTTTTCACATGTTTGTTGGCCATTTGTATATCTTCTTTTGAGAATTGTCTATTCATGTCCTTAGCCCACTTTTTGATGGGATTGTTTGTTTTTTCTTGCTAATTTGTTTGAGTTCGTTGTAGATTCTGGATATTAGTCCTTTGTCAGATGTATAGATTGTGAAGATTTTCTCCTACTCTGTGGGTTGTCTGTGTACTCTGCTGACTGTTCCTTTTGCACAGCAAAAGCTTTTTAGTTTAATTAGGTCCCAGCAATGTATCTTTGTTTTTGTTGCATTTGCTTTTGAGTTCTTGATCATGAAATCCCTGCCTAAGCCAATGTGTACGAGGGTTTTTTCTGATGTTATCTTCTAGAATTTTTATAGTTTCAGGTCTTAGATTTAAGTCCTCAATCCATCTTGAGTTGATTTTTGTGTAAGGTGAGAGATGAGTATTCAGTTTCATTCTCCTACATGTAAAGCAGATTTGATTTGAGATTGTGAACTCAGCAGGGCATTTCCTGAGGAGGAAGAAATGCTGAGAGTCTTATAAGAACCTAAAGCACCATAGGTCAGCTTCCAATGATCTCACCCATGACTTGCTAGGGAAACAATAGGGAGGATTGTTATCTAGAAGAGTTTTTCTTTCTCTCTCATTTTTAAATGGAAAAGGTGTCAATAAATTGGCAGATGATATTAAAACATAGGTAGACATTATGAACCATAAACCATGGACATGTTAAACTTACAATGCAATCAAGGAAAAGCCTACATTATCCTGGATATGCTGAGGATAAATGCCCAAGAGTTCAACTGCTGGGTTGTGTAGTAATTTTAATTTTATAGTGATACTTGAGTTTATATTAATATAAATATAGTACAGTACATTTATAACTTTATAGTACTGTTGAATTTTATAGGAATTTGCCAAACTGCTTTCCAAAGCAGCTCTACCATTTTACATTCCCACCAGCAATATGAGTGATCCTATTTCCCCACACCCTCTCCAGCATTTGGCATTTTTAATTTTAGCCATTCCGATAAGTACATTAAAAAAGAGTTTTTCATGGGTATCCCTTGGCGCTGCATCTGGGCACGGCTGCACTCATAAACCTGAGGTTTTGCTTTTAGCAACCTGGTGGCTCGGTAATGACCTGTTATGAACTCAATTGTAGTCTCCCAAAATCCATGTGTTGAAGTCCTAACTCCCAATGTGACTGCATTTGGAGACAGGGCCTTCAAAGAGGTAACTAAGGTTAAGCGAGGTCACAGGGCGGAGGCTTCAACCAACAGGACCGGTGTCCTTATAAGAAGTGGAAGACACCATGGATGCACATTCAGAGGAAAGACCCTGTGAGGGCACAGTGAGCAGGAAGCCATCAGCGAGTCAGGGAGAACAAATCTGGGAGGGAGACCTCAGGAAAGAACAAATATGCCAGCACCTTCGTCTTGGACCCCTGCCTCCAGAACCGTGGGAACAACATTTCTATTGTTTAAAACACCCAAGCTCCCAAGCTGTGGCCACTCTAGCAAACTAATACAAGGAATATAAAAGAAAGAGAACAATCCAAAATAAACTCACGGAGTCTTTGTTTTCTAATCCCTAACACTGCCTGTCCCCTCCCACTGCCGGCCTCCAGGTCACTAGCGGTCCAGCGTGCACACCAGTACACAGCGGTTATGTCTCCTGGGGGTGCCCACTGGACTCCTGGCTCTCTCCCTGCTCCTTCACAGATCTCTCTAGCCAATGGCCACTAACACCCCCCTCATGGCAGATGGCCATGCAGTGTGTTCCCTGTTTTCCTGATGATGCTTTGGGTTGTCACAATCAATAATGCTTTTACAGAACAAAATAAGGAACTGGAGTTTGCTACATTTGTATTGAAATTCTTCCTCTAGGGCAGCGGTTCCCAGCCTTTTTGGCACCAGCTACTGGTTTCGTGGAAGCCAATTTTTCCATGGACCAGGCAGGGGGATGATTCTGGAATAATTCAAGAACATTACATTTATTGTGCACTTTATTTCTGTTATTACATTGTAATATATAATGAAATAATCATACAACTCACCATAACGTAGACTCAGTGGGAGCCCTGAGGCTGTTTTCCTGCAACTAGACGGTCCCATCTGGGGGTGATTGGAGGCAGTGACCGATCATCAGGCATTAGATTCTCATGAGGAGCACGCAACCTAGATCCCTCCCATGCACCGTTCACAATAGGGTTCGTGCTTCTATGAGAATCTAATGCCGCTGCTGGTCTGACAGGAGACGGAGCTTGAGCGGTAATGCCAGCGATGGGGATCAGCTGTAAATACAGATGAGCTTCCCTTGCTTACCCACCCTTCAGCCCCTGCCTGTGGCCCCGTACCAGTCTGTGGCCCAGGGGTTGGGGACCCTGCCCTAGGGTTCACACATTCCAAAGAGGTGATTTGGAGACTCCACTTTAGTAATAGAAGGAAGCCCTCCTGCATGCCAGCCTGACCAGGACCAGGCTACAGGAATTGCTCATCTAGGGGAATTTATTGGGTGCATGGCCACAGCAGGAGATGCCACAGGGCTAAGCTGTGGTGAAAGCGAGTTTGCCTCAGAGCACTTTTCTCACAGTTGAAAACTGGCTTTATCCTCACCAGGAAAAAAAAAAAAAAGGTCAAAACTCATGCAGACTTTCTGTCACATTTTTTAAAAAAGCATGGAAGCCCATCTCCTCTCTTGAGAACTTCTGGATGGGGATTCCCATACAGCTTCATATACACACATGTCACAGGAAAGGTAAGCAGGACCAAACAACTGGAATCCTTCACATTCTTATATCTGAAAGAGTTCTCAGAAGAGAAATAATCTCTTCTCAGGAGATGGACAGTTTATTTTCAGAGATAAAAGTTTGTTGCTATGTAGAAATAAGCCAGGGAAAATGGTTTGGAATATCTTTAAAAGGGTTAGAATATTTTCCAAATGCCTTCTGATTTCTTGACATCAGAAATGTTTAAATATTTTTTTTAGTTGTAAAACTGCACTCACTGTGTGCATTTACTGTTCCCTTTTTTGCTTTGAATCTTTGTCTTCTTACCCTCTCCCCACTATATTTACATACAAACTTCCTCGCCTGGGACAGAAACAGGCACATCGTCTTCTTCACACTTCTGTGTCACATCAAACAGACTGACTGCTCTTTCTGCACTGCCAAGAACTTCTCAGTAGACAAACCCCAGTCTGACCTAAAAAGTTAATCAATTAATTTTGTAAGATGGTGGTGGCCATTACCTTGAGCAATTGTTTTAAAGCGGGGAAGGGCAAAAGCTTATTTTGTTCTTGGGATGGAAATGAACATTCTCCAAGGCTTTTGTGCAGAGAGTGATAGGATGAGAACTTGAGCAAGAAAAGACACTCATGAGCTTGTCATAAGTTGTAAATGGGGGTTGAAAAAAGCCTAAAGATTTGGCAATAGAGGATTCTGAATAAGCCGGAGAATGGGAATGGATGCATTTTAAAATTTCAACTAGCAGAACCACCCTTCCATGAAGTGTGGAACGTCACAGAAGAATACCAAAAACGGAACTGTTTTTTTAGGGCAGGGTGGGTGGTGATGGTGAGGGCGGTGGGAGAGCAGGGAAAGAAGGAAGGGAGGAGAGAAAAAAACTCTTTTATGGTAGAAATCAACTTACAAATATTGAAGAGCGAATAAAGCACCACAATGGTTAATATGTTTTATTTATTTATATCCCACATTGTTTCAAAAACACATCCAAGGTGTGGGGTTGAAAATCATCTGAAGCTCACTGAAGCACAAATTCCACATTGTGCCTGTCACAACAGGGTGGAGTCTTCCTGTCTGGGTGGACAAAGCTTGATTTAGAGACACAGTGAAGCCGCGCCAGCATTTCAAGGCTGGAGGGTGGTGTTTGCTCTTCAAAGAATCTCCTGCAGGAACGTGTCCTCCAGCAGGGAAGATGTCCTTCATCAATGTGGATTGCAAAGGGGCAACCTCTGGGTGAGACCCAAGGAAGGAAGGAGACCCTCCCTTAAGAGCCATTTATGAAAGATTAGCTCAGAAAGTCAAGGCTTTGAATGCGTAAAGTGGATACATTTGGGTTTCCTTTCTGGGTCTGGAGAAGGAGAAATGAATTTAAAGCATTTATAAGTAGTTTGTCTCTAATAGTGGTATTTATATAAATCCACAGATAAATTGCGTCCTCATGAATTGACTGGGTAAAATGAAATTTCAAATATAGGTTCAAGTTCAGCCATTGCACTCGCTAAGTAGAGATTCTCTGGTTTGGGGGAAGTCTGATGATCGCACACTCTATGAGAGTAAAAAGAAACAGCTATTTAAATATCTTAGGTGCAATCGTATATGACTGACCTTAAAGGACGCTTGAAATCAATGAGGTAAACCACTCTGAGCTCAAACCAGGTAAACTCAGTGCAGCAATCACGGGCAAGATTATGTAGTTAAATCTTTAAGTAATTAAGTAAGAGCATCTGGTACCTACCCCAATCTGAGAATGAAAGGATACAATCTTTTGCTGTTATCAGAAGCCTCCAATTTATGAGTGACATTAACTATTATTAATGGGAAATTCACTTCCCAAAGAGGAGAGTTTTCCTGCCTCAGGAGGGGTCTGCTCCAAACCACAGATATGAACTATTGTGTTGCTTTTTTTTTGCTTTTGAATATTTGCTTATTAATTTATTTCACCATTTAATTGTTTTCTTCTCATCCTTTCCCTTCCCTCCTTTTCCTTGCTATTATTCCACCTCCTTTACCACTATTATTTTCCTGTTTCTTCCCCTATCTATATTTGGTTATTTTTCATTATTTATTTATTTATTTATTTAGAGACAGAGTCTTGCTCTGTTGCCCAGGCTGGAGTGCAGTGGTGCGATCTTGGCTCACTACAACCTCCACCTCCCGGGTTTAAATGATTCTTGTGCCTCAGCCTCCCAAGTAGCTGGGATTACAGGTGCACGCCACCACGCATGGCTAATTTTTGTTATTTTTAGTAGAGATGGGGTTTCACTAGGTTGGCCAGGCTGGTCTGGAATTCCTGACCTCAAGTGATCCTCCTGCCTCAGCCTCCCAAAGTGCTGGGATTAGAGGCATGAACCACTGTGCCCAGCCTCCTTGGTTATATTATGATGGAGCAATAATCTATAGTGAACAACTTCTGCTCCTGCCTCACGGGTCAGTGAGGGGTCTGCCGGGGAGGGGCACAGTGGAATACCAGGTGAGCAGTCTCTCCTCTCCTCAGGAAAGTAAATGGAAGAAAGGACACAAGTACCACAGTTCGCCCATGAGTAGGCTGGTGGTTTTCATTCTACTGGTCCTCCAGCTTTTTGAGGTGAATTTTTGAAATTATGTATTCCACATTGTCAGTGTCCTTCTCTGGGCCTAGTTTTGCATGTGAGCAAATAATTTTAATTTTGCAGGGGTGCTAGAAATAGCTTGGTTAGACGTAGTGCCTGCGCTCAATGATTCACAACCTTTACAATGACACAAAAGAATGAATCAGATGGCCGGGCGCGGCGGCTCACGCCTGTAATCCCAGCACTTTGGAAGGCTGAGGCGGGCGGATCACGAAGTCAAGAGATCGAGACCATCTTGGTCAGCCTGGGGAAACCGCGTCTCTACTAAAAATACAAAAATTAGCTGGGCGTGGTGGCACGTGCCTGTAGTCCCAGCTGCTCAGGAGGCTGAGGCAGGAGAATCACTTGAACCCGGGAGGCAGAGGTTGCAGTGAGCCAAGATCACACTCCAGCCTGGGCGACAGAGCAATACTCGGTCTCAAAAAAAAAAAAAAAAAATCAGATGTTTTGGAAAATGCAGTGAATAAACTGTGTGGACTCACCAGTACTGTAATTGTACCTGAAGAGGGTAGAATGCCCCCTTCCTCAACCACATCCAGAGCCTTACCTTATGGATGTATTAACAGAAGGTACAACGGAAACAGTGTGGAACTTTGAATCCCGTGGACAAGAATTTTTTTGACTCAGTTTTAAAAATTAACATTTTCTGCAACTTCCTTATCTTTGTCAATGTTAATTTTTTTTTTTTTTCCCCTGAGATGAGTTCTTACTCTCTTACCCAGGCTAAAGTGCAGTGGTACGATCATAGCTCACTTGCAGCCTGGAACTGCTGGGCTCAGGTGATCCTACTACCTCAGCCTCCCAAGTTGCTGGGACATATTGGCACATGCTACCAAGCTTGAATAATTTTTTTTTTTTTAAGACAGGGTCTCCCTGTGTTGCCCAGGCTGGTCTTGAATTCCTGGGCTCAAGCGATCCTCCCACCTTGGCTTCCCAGTGTTGGGATTACAGGTATGAGCCACTGTACCCAGCCTATTCTCTTTATCTTAAGCATTCAGAATAAGAATCTTGAACATTTTACAAATTTTGGCTTAACTTTTAAGTAAGTCTCTTATATGCTATTAGACACCAAATTCTATTGATTTTTTTCCTTTGAATTGCCTTTGAAACCATACTTTCCAGGGCTTTGCTGGCTCAGGCCTGGATGATAGCAGGTTTCCCAGCTAGCTACCTTCCCTGCCTCACCCTCCATCCTGCCTGGTCCTGACTAATCAAGTCATCCTTTCCTACCATTGTCTCATCAAAAGATTCTGTCAGTTCTTTCTCCTTTCCTTCCTTGTTTCTTTTTATAAGCATTTACTGATCCCCTAAAATGAACAATCTCTAAACATTTTTTGTCCTGATCTCACTCCCTACTTATCCCAACCAATTTCTCTGCATCTTCTATTCATAATGTCCCATCTAATGAGGCATGACTCCTGTGTCCCACAGCCATGCCAATAGCCCTGCCTCTTGCCTTCATTCTTGTCTTCAGATGATACTTGAAGCTATAGCTGAAGTCTCGTCTCTTCTTATGGACACTTCAGTCTTCATTGACCTTTCACTCCACTGAACTTCTGTAGTCACACAAAACTGAACTCTTTAAACAGTCTTTTATCCTTTGCTCCTTTTGATTAATCTGAAACCCTTGCTAGCCTTGTTACGAGTCATTTATTTCACTTCTGAATATTCACCAGTCTGAGCAGTTATAGATGCCCCTTCACACATGCATTTTGTCTGATTTTTGAGTCTCCAATTTACCTGTGTAATTGAGGTCCTTTAGGTTGCTTGATATGATATTCATTTATTAAACACTTTGGCATTATCCCAGGCACTGTTTCTAGATGCTGAGAACAGAATGGTTATTCAGAGAGGATACACAAAAAACAGCTCTCCATGCTGGTCTCATGAAGAACAAGAACATTTCAGAGCCAAGCTTCAGGGAGTTGTTCTAAGACTGGACATTGTATTCAGGTGTGATGATGACAGATCATTTTATTGTTCCCTAAGAAGTGTCTTAAGTTTTTAACAGGATTCCTGCCTTTGATGAATTGCTTTCTTGACCTCATGGGCCCCTTCTTGCTCATGATTTCTGCATCCTCATTGCTTCTGTTAGTCACGGCTTCTGAATACTCACTTCTTTGGTGCGTCCTTTTTTTTTGCCTTTTCATAGAAATTCCCCAAAGAGAATGTGCTAAGGTTGTTAGTTGTTGCTTTCCTTCTTACTGGCTGGTCACGGCACTCATTCCAGGGCCCTCTTACAGACTGCTGGTGAGCCCACATTGGCAACTCTTGGATCAGACACCTCCTTCAATCCAGCTGTGATCAAGATGGTGGGATCACTCCGTAGGTTTTTCCATGTAGGGCCTGAGACACTTCTCTAAAGTAAGAAAGTATAACTCGAAGGTGCCTCGGTTCACTTTAGTAAAATCTGTAAATATCTAGCATCTAGAAAAGTGCTTGGACCACAGTAAATTAGCTCACTAAACTGTATCTAGAAGCATTGTACATATACATATTTTCATCTTAATACCAAATGTGACACTCACCTGATCCTAAAACCAATTTTGTAGTCCTATTTGGGGAAAAAGGTTTCAATCTATATAAATTAAAGAAAACCTCACGTATGTTGAGATACTATTACTTCATTGGTCCCCATTTGACCACAGTGCATTTGGCAAGGTCATACAATATTATTAAAATGTTTCTTTTCTGAGACAGAGTCTTGTCCTGTTGCCCAGGCTGGAGTGCAGTGGCATCATCATAGATCACTGCAGCCTTGAACTCCTGGGCTTAAGTGATCCTCCTACTTTAGCCTCCTGAGAAGCTAGGACTACAGGTGCACACCCTTACAACTGGCTGTATTTTTTATTTTTTGTAGAGATAGGGTCTTGCTTTGTTGCCTGGGCTGGTTCTTGAATTCCTGGCACCAAGCAATCCCTCTTGCCTCAGCCTCCCATAATGCTGAGATTACAGGTATGACCCACTGTTCCTGGCCAAAAGTTTCTTAAATTGTATTAAACTTACTTCTATTTTTGAGGTGTTGAACACTCTGAATTAAGTTGATTTCACTTTCAGTCTTTATAAAGCTGGTCATTTGACTCAATTTATTTCAGATATTTTATTCTAGGCTTAGACATTTTTCCCATAAGAATTGTTACCATCTTGATTGCCCATGAAATAAAGTCTTTTCTGGCATTTCTTAACCTTGCATGGAATGTCGTGATTGCCTCTATAAAATTTTCTGGTATATGGCTATGGCATAGTAACAACTAGCTTGCCTTGTACTTGGCTAAAATGTGAATCTTTTAAAAAATGCAACTCAGGCCGGGCACAGTGGCTCACGCTTGTAATCTCAGCACTTTGGGAGGCCAAGGCGGGTGGATCACTTGAGGTCAGGAGTTTAAGACCAGCCTGGCCAACATGGTGAAACCCCGTCTCTACTAAAAACACAAAAATTAGCCGGGTGTGGTGGTGCACGTCTGTAGTCCCAGCTACTTAGGAGGCTGAGGCAGGAGAATCGCTTGAACCCAGGAGGTGGAGCTGAGATTGCGCCACTGCACTCCAGCCTGGATAACAGAGTGAGACTCTGTCTCAAAAAAAAAGGCAATTCATAAATTATTTTTCAGTTCCAGTCAGTATTTTCGTCTCACTCTCAAATAGGTAAATTCTCACTTTAAAATCTTTCTTGAAAGTGTCATGTTGGCCTCAGCTGCAGTTTGCCTTACACATTTCCGTCTTATTGCCCCTTTCAACAACCTCTGCTGATATTATACCCTTAGTGAATCTTCACAAAATAATTTACCTCTGCAATCAACAACTTGACTCCTCAGTTGCTGCATTACGTTTATTCTCTAGGTAAGCCTTTTTTTTTTTTTTTTTTAAAGAATGCTGGTATCATGGGATAAAGCGCTCAAGAGAGTTTCCTATTTTTCTTTGGCATGAATGTAGTGCACTGGCGTTGAGAGGCAGAGACCAAAAGGTGTGTTGATACATGCATCCTCAGAAGCTTGCATTATTCATTTTGGGATATTATCAGTGAACTAAAGGTAAAACATATTAAATCATAGATGAGCATAAAATCTATACCTCCCAAAAGCAGAGAAATGGATTGAGGCTGAGAAAAACATTCTGAGGACTTCAACCTGTATGTATGAAAACACAGACCCCGGTCTGTGTGGCCTCTTTGATTAGGGTGGAGAGCATCAGACCTTCACCAAAACCTTCTACAATATCCCTAAAACTTGGCAAAGTTCTATTATTAACATAACATAAACTCTGTCCCTGCAAACTGTTACACTTGGCAAATACTTATTTCTGGAAACCCTTAAGTGGAGACCAGTCTTGTGCTACACGGAGGAAGTATCCTAAAACATAAAAGTCTAATAAAACCTAAAAGGAAAACGAACCATGCCCTATTTGTCACTGTCTCATATTTTTAGCAGAACACACACAGTAATGATAAAGAGGTTATTCTCCAAAACATCAGATTCTTAGTATTTTTTCAAAAAAAGTTTGAGAAAATTAAGCTGAGTGACAGTCTAGGAAAGTCCCTGAGGAATGGGTTTTAAAGTGAAAAGACAACAGAGATGAGCATGTAACAACATACACAAACACGCAGGTTCTTCATTTTTTAAAAGGTGTGGTTGAAGCTACTAGAATGGTTAAAAAATAAATAAATAAATAAATAAATAAATAATTTTCCCGACTATTTTGGTGTCCAGGTTTTCAAAATTTCTCAGCAAAATAGCTGGCACGAATACCTTGGAAAGATCTTGAAGCCTAGCCCTGGCCATTTTCCTGTTAGCTTCTGGAGGGACCTTCCTCCCGCTCCTCTTCAGGCTCCCTCACATGTTCCAGTGTTTGGTGCCTCTGCTTCCAGTTGCTTCCACTCTGACTTCTGAGACTTCTCAGTGGCTGATGGCTAATACTTTTAGTTATGCTTGCTTGAGGAAAAGAAATGAGTCACTCATTTAAACATGTGCGTAAGCAGGCTGCTACTTACTGGTTTTTACCTTTTAAAATTAAGTGCCCTTCTGATAGACTAAAGTATTATTCAGACTTACCACACATCAGCACTCATATTGTGTACTAGTTAGAAGTCCAGAATCACTAGCTAAATTGTACTCTCCACTTAATAATCATGACCTTGAATGTCAGTTTCTCTGAGGTCCTGTCTCTCAGTATGTATACTGGGAACCAAAATATTACGTACCATAAAGATTATTGTTGGAAACGGTTGAGAAGAGACAAATGTTATGCAAATATATTGTGACAGCATCTTCATTTTCAAGAAACACTGAATTCTGAACATGGTTTGGCTGGTGCTAACGTTAATGATATTAATTGCTTTGGATCAACAGAGATCTGCCTAAAATAAATAGGCTATTGGGCAGTTTCCAATAACCATGAGGCTAAATCTCTCCAGCCGAAGGACTTGCTTCTGCAGGAGACGAAAGGCTTCTATTCCAATTTAATAATAAAAAGCATGCATGATTCATTAAGAATATAGGCAAGGCTTTATGTTATATTTATTTATTTTCCAGCTTGTACAAACTGGATGTAGAAGCATAAACATAGTACATTTCTACCATCTTCAACAAAAATATAACCAATATGTACAATTATTGTATTAAAAATACAAAAGGGATACAGACTCCACCAATGTCTTTCTAAAAGACATACAGGTACAAGTAGTATCAAAAGTATGAGGAAATCACCAGTTAATTGTACATTCTGCACTTGACATCACAGAGCGAACTGAGATTAGCAGTCCTATGTTCTACAATTACTTAATGCTTAGATAACATTTGTGCAACTTGTGGTAGAGCTAGATTTCTGTCTTTCTATATGCACATGAGGTCCATAGCCTATATAATAAAACTGGCAAATAATGCATATTACATGTAAAATTACAAATGCATAATTGACAATGTAATAAGCAAGTAGACAAATGCCATGATACAGAAGAGAATTATTAAATAAAGCACTGACATTGTTTGATACAGTGAAAAAACACTGCAATTCCACTTTTAAAATTTGAAGCTATTTACGTTTATCTACTGATCAATATGATCAGCTGAATTTAATGGAAAAAAAATCCAAGACCAGCAGTTCCTCACATTTGAGTACTACTCAGATTGGCAGCCTTCACTTTTCCGGAGTCTGTGCAAAACAACACAAAAATAGAGTGGAGGGGTCATTTCAGTCATTATAGGGTTAATAGCAGCTGTGAGCAGATGGTTGCTACACTTAGGCCTTCTCTATATGCAGCGTCCATAAAGCCACTTGGAGGTTAGTCTTTGGTGACTAACCTGCCTTGCAAAGGCTGGCATGTCTAACCAGGTTTTTGATCTTTTATCACGTTTAAAGGCTTGTTTATTCCCTAATGCCAATTCAATAAAGGGAGGCTGTCTTGAAAGAGCAGTATAAACAGCTGGCATTAGCTCCAACATCCCAAGCTGCTTTCACTGCAATGCTATCCAGTTATAAATGTTTCTCTTAAAAAAAAACAAAAAAACAAAAAACAAAACCTACACCTCTAAATTAACAAAAATCAAAGAAATATAACTTAAAAATGGGGTTTGCCATCCATCTCAATGGAGCAGGACACATCCGCCAATGACACCGTCCTGCCTCCATAAGGCTCAGACAGGACACAAGGGTCCTAGTTCCCTCCCCTGGCCATGTGCAAACAGTTTTACAGAAGAACCCCATCCACTGGGGAAGGAGCAGATGAGGTGTCTTGGTATTAATTGGCTAACATTTCATACTTCCAGGATAGGGCACTTCGCGGGTGAGACCAGAAGGACATGGGAAGCCAGGGTCACAAGCCAGGTCTTCCCGTCTTCTTGGTGTGGCCACACCCTGTCCGGCATATTTGGTTTTTCAGAAACCAGGCTGGCAACCCTACTTAAGGTTTAAAATAATACTGTAATCATTAAATGGATATATATTTACTCTCTGAACAAAATCTTTAAACTCATTTTTTTTTTTTAAAAGGAGGACATTGTAAACAAGTGGACAAGCACTGTACTCAAAGGATTTCATTGTTTTTCTTTGTCTTCCTTGGTGGGTTAAAGGCCCCAAGTAGTTCAATGGCTAGCTTTTCTCATTATCCCAATGAGATCAAGTGCTAGGACTGGATTGAAATCTAAAAGGAAGATTAAAAAAAATCCTTCCAGGCATTGAGAAGTGCAGCCAGAGTGAATCATCTTGTTGTGATGATCTTGGAATTTGGAATGATACTGTGTGATGTGGCAGGCAGCAACAGTGGGAGCTCGAAGATTGCTGCACTGTGCATTTCAAGCAACAAAGTCTGAAAAGTGCCAGGGCAATTTCTTCACAGTATTTCACATGCAAAGGGGAAAGGAAGAAGGGGAGAAGAAGCCCCATGCTGCTTTTAAGGCAGGGAAGGAGGCAAACTGGTCCACCGTCCTCAGAATGTGAGTTCCAAGGCTCCAATGCTCAGGACGTCTTCTTGTGCTCTCCTTTCAGGTGGCTCGCTCTGCTTCCAGAAAAGTCTGTGCCTCAAACAGCAGAAACTTGTTCATCTTCTGCAAATACAGCAGGGAAGAAAAAGAAATCAATGAGCAAGCAAGTAATTTCTTGTGCTATAGAGAATATATTCACTGATGTGCTAAATAAAACTATCATAGTTATTCTTTTTAGTATAGCTCACTTAGAATCCTTGTCTTTTTTTCCTAAACAATGACGAACAACAAAAAGGTTAAAATGTATGCAATACATATCTTTACATATATACACACAATATTAAAAAGATATGCATTATATATTTTTGTTCAGAAAGTTGTTAAATTCATTTTAAAAAGTTGTAAAATAGCATGTGCCATTTAAAAAAAATATACGATCAGATACACATAAAAAGTCTAGAATATATAACAACATTTTAATAGTGGCTATCTGCAAGTGACAGGATTTTAAGTAATTTTCATTTGTAATGTTTTTCTATTTATTTAATTTAATTTAACTTTTTTGAGACAGGGTGTGGGTTTGCCATCCACAGTGCAGTGTTCTCGGCTCACTGCAACCTCCGCCTCCCGGGCTCAAGCGATTCTCCTGCCTCGGCCTCCCAATCTCCCAGTCACGTGTTGCTTTTTTCTATGATTGTGTAATCAAACATGTTAAACTGAAAACTTTAAAGAAGATGGGAGGCCATGTTCTCCTTCCTCATTCTCAATTCAGCATGGTCAGATAGATTTGTAGAAAGAACGCACAAAGAGTTATAAAGAATGTGGGTTCCTTCCTTCCTTCCCTTTCTCCCTCCCCTTCTCTCTCTCTTTCTTTTAGAGACCGGGTCTTGCTCTGCTACCTAGGCTACGGTGCAGTGGCACAATCATGGGTCACCACAGCCCTGAACTCCTGGGCTCAAGTGATCCTTCCACTTCAGCCTCCATAGTAGCTAGGACTATTGGCACACGCCACCACGCCTGGGTCATTTGAAAAATATTTTTATGGAGACAGGTCTCACTATGTTGCCCAGGCTTGTCTCGAACTCCTGGCCTCAAGCAATCCTCCCACCTCAGCCTCCCAAAGTGCTGGGATTACAGGCATGAGCCATCAGGCTGGCTGATAATGTATCTTTCTTTATCAGACTTTCATTTCCAAATGAGTCCCAATTCATTAAAAGCGCAAATATAATGTTTCCACAGAAAACTTTAACCATCCACCTTTGAGAATCCTACATGCTTCTAAAATTCTTGACAACAGCACAAACTTGTGAAATTTTCATTTTCTTTTCCTTTTTTTGAGACAGAGTCTCACTCTGTCACCCAGGCTGGAGTGCAGTGACATGTTGTTGGCTCACTGCAACCTCTGCCTTCCGGGCTCAAGTGGTTCTCCTGCCTCAGCCTCCCGAGCAGCTGGGATTACAGGTGCCTGCCACCATACCCGGCTAATTTTTGTATTTTTAGTAGAGACAGGGTTTCACTACTTTGGCCAGGCTGGTCTCAAACTCCTGAGCTCAAGTAATCTGCCCTCCTCAGCCTCCCAAAGTGCTGGGATTACAGGTGTAAGCCATCGCACCTGGCCTATTCTTTTTCTTAAAATAGGGTCACAGAAGTACTTCAATTTTAACGAGAATTAGAAAAGAAATCAAGTCATATAAACACTGTATTTTAAGTGACTCCCTCCATAATCTTTGGGATTTTTTAAGCCATTTAGGGAAACACACATACACAGACACACAGAAAGCAATCAAATTTTAGTGAGAATTGGAGAAGAAAACCAGTTATATACACACTGTATTTTAAGTGACTCCCTCCATAATCTTTGGCATTTTTAAAGCCATTTAAGGAAACACACACACACACACAAAAGAAAGCAGTCAACAGCTGTAACCCTAAATTTGGAACTCTGAATGTAGTGTACTTTGTGTAGTATATGGTTAGACATAGCTGACTGCAGTGTTAAGAGAACAGAAATGCCTTGGGAAGCAGCACAAGTGAACACATCTAACTTGGAGGTTTTAGGAATATTTATGTGCATATACCATCCTCCTCGGTGGAAAACCCTTGGGACTGATAGGGGGCGAGGCGCGGGTCAGACTCGTTCGGTTTATGCCACTGAGGTTTGTTCACAGGCCTGCTGCTGGTGGGATGCCCATGTGGCTGCTGTACGGATGAAGGCCCAGCTGTGTCGGAGGATCGTGCGACCATCCGCGATCTCTGAAGGGCCACGTTGTAGTCCGGCGGTTTCCTGGCTGGATGGGAGTGCCCTTCTGGAAAGTCAGTAATGGGAATTCCAATGTAGCCGGGAGGGGTGGGCGGGGGCTCTCGATACCTGCCCTCCTTTCGTGCTAGAGTAGAAACAATGCACCAGCATTAAAAACTAGTTCATGCCACAAAAGTTTATTAAAAATATAAAAATAATTACTAAAACAGCATCCACAGTGTAGCAGCAGATGTGCATTTGCATGGTATCGGTTAGAGGTGCGGTGTGAGGCAGGCCAGGGAATGCATGTTAACTAAACCAAATTTCACAATGATGTTATCTTTGTGTGGTGAAATAATTGGTGAGAGAAGCTGCTAGTCCATCTAAGTACTTTTATCTTTAAATGGGCTGCTTGTCCATTTAAAATGGTCTGTAACTATAAAATAGTAAGATTAAAACCTAACCCCTGGATTTATTGGAAAGACTGAAGCACAGGAAGAACCTAAGTACACAGCACTATGCCTAGAACCTGTTTGTGCTTGGTACAAGTTCCCTTTTTCCTCTCTGCCTGCCGGATCTGCCCTCTTTCTGGGCATTTATCTTTACCAGGCAGAGAAGCAATTCTACATCACTCTCGGGTCTCAAGACTTCACTTACAGAAACAGTGAATTAAAATAAATTTGGAAAAGTCGCACAAAGGATACCAATTTAAAAATTCTAAAACTATTACTATAAGGTGTCTATTTTTCTTAAAATCCCTTTATTGATGCTCATGACCTAGAATATGAAACCTGTATAGGCCAGTAAAACTAAAGTTTCATTTTCTTGAACTTTTAAAACTCAATTGTTAGGAACTAAAAATCATTCTTCCTTCCTTTGCAATAAAAATTCTGAGTATTAGTTGTAAGCACTTGAAAAAGTCCAACCTAAGAATATTTATTAACTGTTTTCTCCTTATTCATTGTAAAAGGATATTAAACTTGAAATCTACCCATGACTATTTACATGGCTAAATAACTACAATTTTCCTACTAATAAAAGTAATGTCCGTAATGATTATACTCCAGAATTTCTCACTCTACAACCTATCATCTGTTCCTACACTTCGTCTATATAGATGTTAATTGTGCCATAGAAAACACATCTCAACAGGACTGAGGGCGCATGAGAGCCTCTTCTAACAGGAACAGCAGCAGCAATAGCTTTCATGTACTTAGTGAATCTACTATCTGGGCACTGTTCTAAATACTTTGCATAAATTTCCTTGAATCCTCACACTAACTCCATTAAGTAGAAATTATGAAGCTCATTTTACAGATGAGGAAACAGGCACTGTTTTGTATTTTACCCAATGTCACAAAACTAATAAAGTGGCAAAACAGGGATTCAATCCCCAGTCCGCCTGACTCCTAAACCCGTGCTCTTAGTCATTACACTATTAGCACCTCTCCCTCCTTCTACAGCGTGCACAAAGAATTGCTTATCAACAATGTGCGTGCAGAATAAAAATCAATGGAAGACTTTTAAGTATACAAAGCGTATAGTTCTAAATACAATCAAGAGAACAAAATAGAAGAATCAAAGATATAAAAGAGTTTCAATTAAAGAAAAATTTCTCCTCTATGAATAATAGGAATCCATCCTGATTTTCAGGTTAAGAGAAAAAAATTAGACTAGATAATATTCACAATGACAATCTACTCATCCTGATAGCTAAGATTTATTGAATGTTTTGTTATATAGGAACAGATCTGTAGGTACCTGACCACAAAACCTGGGCTCTTAACCACTATTGATTTCAAAGACCTTAACACACCACTAATTTGGAAGTCCTACATAGCAATGGAGAAAATGAGGAAAAGAACCAACAAACACATAATTTTACTATTGTAATAAGTTACATTAAAGACATGATCCAGACATGACAAAGTCCCCCAATTTTAAAACTTACCAATGAGCCCCTTTGTAGTACTTGATGCCACAGCTATGTGGGCAGGCATGGGGACAGGCTTGGTTTCTTCCGTAGTCACAGACGTTAGGCTACTGCTTTCGGCTTCAATGGAAACATCCTTTCCACCCCTCCGCTTTATTGTGCCTGTGTCACCTTCTGAGTCTTCTCCCCAGTAACCTGTGGAAGACGCCCAGCTTGCTCGGGACTGGGCTTGTTCAAGGCTCTCTCTACTTTGATTTTGCCTGTTATACTTTGTGCTATGATCAGAAAACATAATTTGGTCCATATGGCTGCTTGATGCCCATAAACCTGCAGGATCCCCTGAATAATCAAAGTGAGTATGCCCGAATGGAAGAGTCTCCCAGCTTCTCTGGTGCTGGATCGTCTGTATATTATCATGGGAGCCACTTGAGCATGACGTCCAGCTCCCACGGCCACTGTCAGCAGCATCAAGTGACGCGCGATCCCCCTGATCCTGGGAAAGTTCCTCTGTGCTTGGAGAAGAAATTACTGTAGCTGTAGCATATAAGCCTCGGCCCTCGGACATTGGTGCATAGGACCTAAGTGGTTAAAAGAAATGGAAAAGAAAAAAAAAACAAGATTGATAACTAATTCACCTATGATAAAACCAAAATACCCTTTTTCCTAGAAAGGTAGCTTGCTTTCATCCCAGAAACAGGATAAAAGTAGCACTGAATTGCCTTATATTGGCCAGTTCTGCCATGTCTAGCCTTCTGACTTTATCATTACTATAAAACAGGCATGCGGGAAAAGAACGCAACGTGCCATTAAAAAAAAAAAAATTCCCCGACAACATTAAGGGTGGCTCAATATAATTTGATTATTTCAGGAAGGCAGCTCATACGAAACAACTGGGATGGATCCTACAGTCACCCTCTGCCTTCAGCACAGAACAACTGTGTTCCAATGAAGAATAAACTTAACTAAAAAAGCAGTCTGCTTAACAAAAATAACATGATACTTAGTGTAGAAATTGTGAAAATCAGAACTGGGATGGCAGAAAAATTCTTAGGCATTATGTAAAATAAATAAAAACAAACACTGGAAGAAAAGACTCATTATTAAAACAGAGATGGAAGGATAAATTCAGAAGAATATTAAAAAGAGCCACCTACCCCAAGCTATACTGATCAGGTTCAATCATGGTCCGCCTCTCCATCCTGCCCATCCCTAGGTTTGTTTCCACGATGCTGACAGAATGCCTCTGGCGCCTCTCATCGTGCAGTGAGACTGGCACTGAGTCAAAAGACGAATTGCTAACAATACTGGATCGTGAAGAAATTTCACTGTGACCAGAATCTGAAAAATTATCCACAGTACCACTGGGAGCCAAAGTATAGCCTGCATGAGAAATACAACCGTATTAATTAGACTCTCTAGGTTTATAACATCAAAGGGAAGTCTACCAAATAGAAGCAAAAATAAAATGCAGGCATAGATATCTCTTAAGTGGGGAGAAAAACCCCATTTCACTTGTAGAGACCACATGACTAAGAGACAAATGTTTTATTCTAATGAAGCTTAAGTTGTTTAATCGAAGTTTAGAGAGGAAAAAAGAAAGTATCCTACAAGCTAGGAAAAGATGCAGAAAAGGCACCACTCAACTATTCTTAGCTCCCTTACCTATATAATTACACTATTAGTCTACAGAAAAGAAACCATGAAGAATAACGGATCAGATTTTAAAGTATGTTTTTTTCAAAATGCAAAGCCACTGATCTTGTTTTCAACAGTTTTCAATTTTTAGAACTTGTATGGCATAGACTAATTCAACTGGAAATACCTGTATCCTACCTACAATTTTAAGTAAACATATAAACAAAAAGAATAAGAAATAAGACCTGAAGATGTCTTTGAATTTTTGCCATTTGGTTTTTCAATATTAATATTGGTTGAACCACATAAAAGCCAATCGTTTTGAAGGAGTTAAAGGGCACTTTTCACAAGATCATTACTATAGAATATCTAAACAGATGTCCACTTCTTGGCCTGAAAGGACCCTTAACTCTCTTTTGCTACTAAAAATAATTTTGAAAGACACAATGGCAGGGGCCTATCTTGATTTTTTTGTTTTTGAGACGGAGTCTCCCTCTGTCACCCAAGCTGGAGTGCAGTGGCGGGATCTTGGCTCACTGAAAACTCCACCTCCTGGCTTCAAGCGATTCTCCTGCCTCAGCCTCCCGAGTGGCTGGGATTACAGGCATGTGCCACCATGTCTGGCTAATTTTTTTTTTTTGTATTTTTACTAGAGACAGGGGTTTCACCATGTTGGCCAAGCTAGTCTCGAACTCCTGGCCTCAGGTAATCAGCCTGTCTTGGCCTCCCAAAGTGCTGGGATTACAGGCGTAAGCCACTGCACCCGGCCCTATCTTGGTATTTTTAATGAAAAAAATCCAAATCTTCTTTCTCAATATTCATTTTTTCTTGTCTACATTACTAGGGATCTCATGTTACTTAAATATTGACTTTATCTTATATGCAATGCAAATTTCTTCAATGCCACTTACCTAAGAAAAATTAAAATCTAGAGCATCTAAATGTTGCCAGTTTAAGTATGTTCTTTCAGCATATTGGTAATTCCTGATTTATTTTTTAAAGGCTGCACAGGTCTTGATAAGATTTAATGTGTTCATTTATAAAATGTCTTTTTATAAAACCACACTGCAAGTTCTGACAGATAAGATTTAAAGCCCTCCCTGAACAGTCTGCTTAAAAAAAAAAAAGTTTCAGAAAAATAAATCACTCAGATGGAGCACTTGACATTTGGAGGAATTCTCCCATTTTCATTAACTAATGAGATGATTCCTCTCTTTCCCACCCCATTTTTGGTTCTATAAACCCCACCTATCCCATAGGTCCGTGGTGCATTGTTATTCTTGTTACTGTTCTCACTTCCAAGAGAAGAGGAGGAACTGGTTAAGTCCAACTGCCCGGAGCCAAAAGATCTCAGCTGATTGCCACTGCCACCTAACAACAGGATGAGAAAAGAATTGAGATGCATCCATGTAACAAGGACAGGAGAGACTGATACCCATACAAAATGCACAGATGTCTGAAATATCTACCAAGTAAAGCAATACCTGTTGAGTCAGTGAAATTTAACAATGTATTAAGCCCTTTTGGCTTTCCTTTAGGGAAAACTACGTCCTAGCCATTTATTATTGGCTTACACTCATTTAGTTAAAAGGGTAGGAGGAGGAAGTAGCCTGAAGAGTTATGCAGCAGAAAATTACCTACTCTTTTAATATGAGAATGTATCAACATAAGGAGGCGACTGAGTACCTAAAATATAGTCTCTAAAAATAAAACAAGGTAGCAACCAAAAAGGTAATCAAGACCTGTGTTAATACAATGAAAAAATAAATCAGGAAGATATTAGTTTTTCATGTTTTCAAAGCCCTCTTCTCTGTACTAATGTCATATAACCAAATTTAGTTAGAACAAATTGTAATATAAAAAATTCTTTGTATATTTATCTGAATTAAAAGTAAATGTATTTTTAAAAGGCTTCTTATAGTTATAAATTTAATACTATTTATTGTAAGTATAACATTTTTTAAAACCACCATTCTTCCAAATTTATAAACTGAGGGAAAAAAAATCCATTGGGCATTGCAAATGAGCTCATCTTAAATGACTATAATGTTAGGAATTATGTAATACATTACTCTGGAATTTATTATAGCCAAAATGTATAGGTTTCAATACAAGAAAACAAAAAGTAATTTAATTCTACCTTTCCTTGGAGAACTCTGTGGAGAAGTAGGAGGAGAAGAAAGCTGCGAAGATGCATTTGATATTGTATCTTCAGCCTGTTTCTTGTGACGTTCCAAACTTCCTTCTTCAGACAAAGAAAGAATTTTTTTTAAAGCTTGTGGAGAGTTTATGCCTATAATGGAAAAAAAAAAACCTTAAATATGTATTTTCAAGTCTGAAAATAAACACCATTTATGAATAAAAAACTTTTTTGTGTTAAGATTTAATATCATTACACTGAGGTTCAACCTATTTACAATCTAAATGTTCTTTGTACTCTTCAAGGTCCACACAGTAAGTGCCTACAGAAGTCATGAGATACCCGTAGTTTGGTTTCAGACTGATATCTGCCACAGTACCAGAAATATATTGCTTTTGATATTTTACGTTAGATTCTAAACTTTGAAGTAGTCACCATCTTTATTCAACAATATGTTAGGCAACAATGAAGAAAAAATGGACAATTTGGAAACACTGAATTTAGGATGGAAGTGGCACAGCTAGACATGTTTATTATTAGAAACCAAATTTGAGTTGGAAACTGTTTTGTATCCTTGGAAAGGGGTAGCTCAAGGGAAGTGAGAATAAAGGGAGAAGAGTACAGAGTCAAGAGCTAAGAGGAGCTAACTAGGAAAGTGAATGAAAGCGCTCTAAGGAATTCCATGCAGTTAATACTTGATCAAGTAAACAGATGAAAGAGAAGGGCGGAAGAGACCATGAAAGTGCTGTGTCACAAAACCTTGGAGGAAGGTTTCAGAAGAAGGAAGTGAGCCAGCACCACGTGCAGGATCCAACAGGATGAGAGTGGAGGAAAAATTATTCTACATGTCAATGTAAGATGATTTCCCTCCTCAAAATTATTTTTCATAAATGAGGAAGTTACACTGAAATATTTTACAAAGCCTCTCATATTATTATGAGGCACTCTCAATTTTATTTTGAACAACAAAGAGATATTTGGGAAGGCACTACAGCCTGAAACTACCTCAAATTAGTGTTAGTAAAATTTAACAAAGATTTAATCCTTCATTTCACTTCATGTAAGCAGTCTGATATTGTTTTAATACAATCTTTTTTAAAAAAACCTTTTAAAGCAATAGTTTGATTACATGTAGAAATCATATACACAGGAAATAAAGCTAATTGAATGGGTAGTTTTGATCTGGAAAAAATTTCCAAGGCCAGCATCATACACAGATTTAAAAAGTACTACCTTTCAAACCATGTTGGATGGATGTGAAGATATTATGCCTGAGAAAGCTGTGTGAGATACTTCAAAAGTGGTGCTAGTGATGACAAAGACACCAATGTTAAAGATGTAGAAAGTATATAGAACAAAACTATTTTATGGAC
This sequence comes from Homo sapiens, assembly GCF_000001405.40. Lineage (NCBI taxonomy): Eukaryota > Metazoa > Chordata > Mammalia > Primates > Hominidae > Homo > Homo sapiens. The sequence goes on along the minus strand of NC_000004.12, from coordinate 159,348,916 downwards.
TGGAGTGGGGGGAACACCTGTAGTGTCTCTAAATTAGTATTTTATATACTGTGACTTTAAATGTGTATGTTAAACTAAATAAATATAAGACAACATATAATATTTCATCCACATTTCTAAAGTTCATAAATGGAACTAAAGACATTTTGAGAGCTATGGCTTCAGAAACATGGGGGATAGAGCTTTATACTCAGAGACATCTACATTATATTAAATATGGCTAATAGGCATTTTTAGCTAAAGTGAAGACTGATAATCTTCCATATGAGAAGTTCTGCATAAAGACGATACAGACTGCAGGGGATTCAGGAATGCATGCATATTCAAAACGTAATATATAAAGAAACACATAATTCAATGTGTTTGTGATGAGAGGATCAACACAAATATTTGAAAGGAGAAATGTACCTAGGAAAGGTGTTCTTTTCTTATTCTCTCCCCATATCAATAAAGAGGACACTTGCTGATCAGATGGAATGAGGTGAGGATACAGAGTACGTGAGGGGTCTACGAAATGACTCTCACCCAAGCCATACAGATGGGCTGTAACTGTGCAGGGACTTAGTTATCAACACCCAATTTTATCTAAGTAAACTCTTTGCTATCTATCTCTCTATATCTTTATCTATCTATCCATCCATCCATCCATCCATCCATCCATCCATCCATCCATCTATCTATCTATCTATCTATCTATCGACAGAGTCTTGCTCTGTCGCCCAGGCTGGAGTGCAGTGATGCAATCCCGGCTTATTACAATTTCCACCCCCCAGGTTGAAGCGATTCTTGTGCCTCAGCTTCCCAGGTAGCTAGGACTGCAGGCATGCGCCATCACGCCAGGCTAAGTTTTGTATTTTTCGTAAAGATGGGGTTTCCCCATGTTGGGCAAGCTGGTCTCCAACTCCTGGCCTCGAGTGATTCACCCGTCTCAGCCTCCTGAAGTGCTGGGATTACAGGCATGAGACACTGCACCCAGCCTACTATCCCTTTATTTTTAATAATTTGTTTTTTATTAACTGTTTCATTCACATATACGTAGAAAAAAAAGAAGGTGTACATTTTATGAAAAATTATTGTGTTGTACCACTTCCACAAAGGGGCTAAACTACTAGATGTTCTTCTTTTTCTTTTTGAGACAGTCTCGCTCTTTCGCCCAGGCTGGAGGAGTGCAGCGGTGCGATCTAGGCTCACTGCAAGCTCCCCCTCCCGGGTTCACGCCATTCTCCTGCCTCGGCCTCCCGAGTAGCTGGGACTACAGGCGCCCGCCACCACGCCCGGCTAATTTTTTCTATTTTTAGTAGAGACAGGGTTTCACCGTGTTAGCCAGGATGGTCTGGATCTCCTGACCTCGTGATCTGCCCGCCTCAGCCTCCCAAAGTGCTGGGATTACAGGCGTGAGCCACCGTGCCTGGCTGATGTTTTTCTTTTAGTAGGAAAGATGAAGTGTAATTTAGCTCCTTCATATTCAGGAGTTAGTTGTTTTATTTTTCCCTCTAAGTTATAGAATCAGTGAGTCAACAAATAAGAATTTACCTTCAGACAATTCATTTAACTTAAAAATATTCTGCTTAAATCCCAGCAGTTTGTTGGTTGTAAAGCAAAACCAGTTTAAATAATGTAAATGAACAAAGCATCTTCTGCGCTTAGCAAAAATTAAATTAATAGACACATAACTTCTCTATTAACACCCTGTCGTAGCAAATTAGCATGACTAAACGAGATATTACTTATAAAAACAACCCCTTCCATTGGCAAAGTCAGGTTTAACTTGCTGAGTGTTCATGTTTTATTAGGAGCTAATAATTACAGAGAAACTCAAATATATTAGACAAAGTTATCCAAGACAAATATTTTTTTCCTAATTTGCAAACCATGACAGTGAATGGCACCAAAAAAAGAAATGAATGTAATCACTTACCAAAAGGTGGGAGATCCTTTACGGGCACTTTCTTCCGTGAAGGATAAAGGGACACGGCGGGAACCTGTAGTCCCTGGTTGATTTTATGTGCTGGTGGTGGCTGCTGCTGGGGCTGTGGCAGGGACTGAGCTTTCTGTTGTGACCCTGCCCTTGGAGCTACTGGAGAGGTCTCGGATTTGACAGGCTTTTTGTCACCAGGATTCTTAGGCACTGATAATTGTTTGGGTTTGAAAATAGAACAAAGAATTTTAGATGCTAGTAGGTATGTAGAAGATAATTCTAGAACTGTGTGAGCATTTTCTGCAGTTAGAATACTAAATTAATGCACACCTTTCTTCCTGTTGCCTTTATGAAGCACAGAAAATGGATGGGGGACCCTAGTTACAGAAAATATTAGATATGTGGCAGGACAAAGGTATCTACTTTATGAAGTCAGCAATCTCAAAAGATGATTGTACTATTAAACACCCCATTAAAAATATAGAAAAATGTGGGTAGTTCAATATGTTATATCCATGTATATGAAAGAAACAAATACGTGATAAAAGCTACAACAGAAAAGTCATCAGGCACTATTTTTCTAAAACGGTGTCCCAAATTGTTTGACATGTATGTGCTAAGTTTTTATTTAATAAATGCTGTCAACTGCAATCTATTTACTACCATATTCCTAGGAGGTAGAATTATCTATGCAAGCAAACAGTAGCCAATAATGCTTCAGTATCATACTGAGTATATATTTTGTGGTAGATAAATGGCAAAGCAATTTAGGACAATAAAATGTTGTATATGTAGCATTTTAATATTAAAAACTCAATGACATATGTATGCTTCCTCCCTTTTACACGCCTGGAAACTAAGGATTAGGGAGGTCAAGTAAGTTGCCTAAGGCTGCAGCTAGTAAGAGGAGACAAACAGGATTTGAACTCAGACCACTCTGACTCCAGAGGACAAGCTCTTCACCATGACACAGTGCTTCTACAGCATCCTGGGTAAATCTAATAATCCAAATCTTCTCAAATCACCTATCTAAATTAAATCCTACAGAAGACATCTTCAAACCTGCCCATAAAAGACACAGGTGTGTACTGAATGGAAAATGCCTTTGTCTTTTAAGTCAAGATGCAGATTTAGAAAAAAAAAAAAACTGCCCCATTTATAGATTAACCAGATTTTTAAAGGCTATTGTGGTTCACTGTGGAGCAGAATCATTGCTCTAACTAACTGGTAGCTGAATTTGTTGTTCGGTGTTGTCTGGGCTAGTGGTTAAAAGGCAGCCAGCACACCCAATTTTATGCCCTGACTCCCCTCAGGTTGCCCATACTTTGGGGGTAGCTTTGTGAGAACGTAAGACATGTAAATGGGAGCCATATCTATATATGCGTCTGTTGCATGTGTACTGGTTGTGTCCAGGTGAAACTAAAGTAATGGGTTGCCTTAGATGTGGACAGTGTCATCTTCCACATACTAACCCAGTTGACATGACGGCCTGGCCGTGCACAGTGCTACCCAGTATTAAATATTAGCATTCAAGGAAAAGACTAGTATATCTCAGGATTGCTAGCTCCCCCTCTGCACTAAGCCTTATTTTGTCACTGCCCATACCACTGCACAGGAAACAAATCTGCATCCTAGCCAAAGTCTGCAGCCACTTTAAGGAAAAACTCACATGTGTTGGTTGCTGGCTCACACTGCAGAGATAATGTCTGAAGACTCTCCTCGTCCATTTCTAGCTCCAAATTGGAAAGGTACTGCTTCACTTTTCGAGCCATTTGGGCATCTTCATAAAGCTTTTTGGCATTGAGAAAGGAACTACGACGTACCCGCTTTTTATGACCACCTGTCTGAGCAACATCTAGCACTGTTGCATTTGTACTACCCTGGCTGAGAGACCTGGAAGATGAAAAGGTACATATGCAGCTCACTCTAGCATGGGAGTACTTTATCTATTTAAAATGTGCCAAGACTGATATTAATAGTCTATGTTCAAAAGGTCACATGCCTCATTCCAGTGAGTAAACTGTTACACAGGAATATAGAATAATACAGATTTTAAAAATTTAAAGAAAATTACACATAATATACATATAAAAATTTATGTTTGGCACCTGTTCAGTTCCAACTAGGAAATTCTACTTTTCACTCTATAGAGCATTTAAGGCAGTTCTCTCACAGGTGCCAGAAAACAATAATTACATGTAAAAGCTCATGCAAGAATACACAGCTATAATCATTAAGATTTGCAACATTAAAATTACTTCTCCTAAAGAGGATATTATACATAAATTTAAATAAAATTAGCTACAATGTTCAAAATTGTCTTCTTATGCCTTGAGTTGAATGTGGTGAGTTTTTAAAGTAATACGGTCAATCTGTTAATAAAACAATCATGCAAATGTAAACATATATGTATGGAAACCATTGAGCACATGAATTGTTAAGAATTATTTTTAAAAAGGATTGGTTTATACAGAATGAAAATAGTAGTTAGTTGAGCTGTAAAAAATTTGGGTTTAACACCTGGGGGCACCTATTTTATATTAAATATATTTATTTCTCACATATCTGTGAAATATTTTAATTGCACAACTTTTCCCTTCTAATATCCTTCCTCCCCTCCCCCTACTTTGAGCTTTCTGCATTTCGAGACACACCAATTATATGAAAATAAAATTTTTCTAAGAGCTCAGAAAAACTGGCCTGTAGTTCCCCAGAACAATCATCAATCATTTCACAGCTCTCATGGATCATGACTTCAAAAGCAAAAGCCCCAACAGATTAAACTTGAAGTCAATTTGCCATCTGAAATTCTGCTACAGCACGAGGGTTAAGGAAAAAAATGCAAAAATGCAAAGCATCAGAAAATACAGCAGGTAAGAAAACAATGCAATGAGCAGAATAAGAACTGTGTGTGGGTATGCAAGGTCTCCACCACTTACCCCAAACTCCGCCATTTCTTCTTCCTGTAAGTGAGAGCCATGGAGATTGAAGCATGGGTGTAGAAAGAGAGACAGAAAGATCACAAGCTCAGAAAGAAAGGACTAGACTTCTGGATAAGCAGTTCTAGAAGCCCACAAACATTAAACTGCATAATCACCTCACACACGCAACTTTACTAGAAATATTTTTCTGGCTTAAAAGACACATACATTTAAATTTTTTGTTCTAGAATTAAGACTGACTTTTCTCTCTTTCACTGAATTAATCACTTTTTACTACACTGCTAGCTAAATTTGTTGTGTGGATATTGAGACAAGACTATTTGGGGTATTTACATATTTTAGTGCATACTACTAGCTATGAGTTTTAGCTCTACAAGTCAGTGTTCTGAGAAATAAGAAACACATAATTGTGTCTATTACATTGAAAATGTCTGAAAGACAAACTGTTTTTACTGACAGCCGAAAGAACACTTTATACAGAATAAGACATTTATTCCAAATTAGAGCTCACAGGTGATTCTCAGCACATCCTACTATAATTTCTGCCGTACTACAAATATAAATACTCAAACTTTAAAAAAATCATTTATTGGGAAGCTCTAAATTTAACCTTCTCTACTCTCACACGTGCCACTGAAGATGACATACTCACCGAGTCCTGAACATGAGGGCAGGGTCCATGTTCACTGAAGCCATTCGGCCAACGTGACGAATTTCTTTTGCAATCATCCTTAGCTTCTCAAAATTGACCAGCCCGTCTACTTTTGAGTCATTTCCTGAAATTGACAGAGGAGGAAAAGGAAATCACATGGCATTTATTCTGTGCTTCTTCAAGCAAAGATGGAAACCCTCTGCCTTATGTTTACCTTCGTGAAGGAAGGTGAGATCCTTTTTGATAACTGGGAATAGAGGGATTATGGGAGGTTGTAGATTTTGACTATTGAGAACATTACGATATTTTGCCATGTTTCTGGAAGGATCAAACAGGTCTTGGAGATCTTGAAATAGTTTTTCGTATTTATTGGGAAGTTTCTCCCAGGTCGTTCGCAGTCTTGCCACTGGTGCCAGGTTTAGGCCACTGAGAGGAGAAAAAGAAACATGGTATAACAACTAAAGTAAAATAGTGTACAGATTATTTATTGACATATAACATCTCTATGTTTATGCTTTATATGCATAACAATTTACAGAAGGCTGCATAAGAAACTGTTCATGATAATTCTGGGGAATGAGATGGCACAGGGAAGTAGGGTCAGGGTCAAGCCAAGGCGTTTTACTCTTCTCTTCCGTATAGACCTACCTCATCTGTTTACTATCAGTAAAACCACCTGAATGTAAGTATTGATGCTTTGTTTCCATACACAGCAGTATGTACACATAGCAGTGCTTAGCCCATAGCGGCCATTTGATAAAACCGACTGAGCAAATATCCTCTAGTAATAAAATAAAATAAAATAAAATAAAATAAAATAAAATAAAATAAAATAAAATAAAATAAAATAATATAAAATAAAATAAAATAAAATAAAAGCTATGATAGTAATGAGAGTATGACTAAACTCCCAGACAGAGAAAATGACTAATTTAATAATCACCCTCAACATCAATATAACTAATTGTTGCCATTTTTTTTTCTTCTAACCTCAATCTAAGCTCTTAAAAAAAGGGAAGAAAATTAACATTTCCCGGCCATCTGCTTTGTGCTATTTGATGGAACTCCACACACATTACATCATTAATCTTGTTGATAACTCTTTGCGGTATTGTTATTTCCACAGAAAAATAAACTGATATTGAGAAAAGTTGAAACAAACTTAAAAAAAAAGTGGGGGATATAGATTTTCTGAGCTCCAAATCAGAACTTCAGATGCTACCAAAATGTTTCCTGCTTAATGGCTTCTTCAAATCTCTTCAGGTTGGCACAGCTGTTTTTTTGATACGAGAGATTTTAAATTAAGGATTAAGGTTAGGATTCAGAGAAAAAGAATTGTCTCTTATGAGTCAATTAAAACCTATAGCATTTATACTAATTATATGATGTTCCTGGACTGATACATATTTTAAATCTGTGAACTGAACTGAATCTTAAGAAAAAATGTGCTCTCTTACCTGATGATTGCAAACATTGAGTTAAAATTCTTGCATTCCCTACAGTGCAGTGCTATCTTGATGAAATGCTTAATGATCTTCATCCTCTTCAGCTGGTTTGTTTCTCTGAGAATTTCAGATGCTACCCAAAATGTTTCCTGGTTAATGACTTCTTCAAATCTCTTCAGGTTGGCACAGCTGGTTTTTGATCTGAGTTTAAATAAATCATCTATATATTCAGTAGGTTCAATGTTGCGAAAGAGTTCAAAATTTCGCATAGAGAGCTGTGTTGCAACTTCCACAGTGCTGAGCTGAAGGAGGGAAATTTGACTCTCTCTCAACAACTCCTGAGCATCTTCATCTGAACAAAGAGTTTCTGTTTCCATGTTGTTTTTCAGATAATACCTATGAAAAACAGAAACATATCAGAGTCAAAGCCTAAGCAGCAATCTCATGATATTCCTTGAAAGAATAATGCTACTTTTTATGGAAAGTTTGAGAGAGCACTGATTTGAATTATGGAAGATTTCTTTTTAACCAAGACAGACAGCACAGCTGCTATCTCAGTTACCTGGTCATAGAACTGTCTATCCAGAAGTAGGTGGTAGAAACAAACAAATCACATGGAATTTCACTCGCACTAGTTGCACTTTCTATCCTTTCTTTTCCTGATTTCTGAAGTATTTTACCCTTTTTGTTAAAAATAACAGAAAATATCCACATTTTTAGTTTAAAAAGGGACTAGGCCCTAAGGCAGGAAGCAGGAAAGATTAGACCCAAGTACGTCATCACTCTTATTTTCCTTATTTTCTTATTTTCTTATCAATAATCTGTGATTATTGATGGGCCCAAATTGTAACAATCCAGGTTGACTTATTTATTCAAATACCTAAGAAACCCTAAGCTACTTCCCTCTATTTGATCCTATGAATAGAACAATCCTCCAACAGGTTAACTTTAAAAAATCTGGATTTTCATAAAAACTCTACAGGTAAGTGGATAGTAGGTATTATACTTATTTGTCAGAATAGGAAACAGGCTCCTAAAGGTTGACTAGTTAATGCCGGTGCCAAAATGGGAACACAGGGCTGGAGCCCCTTTTCCTTTTAGGCAATTTGTTGAAAATAGCATTAAGATGTTTGTTGCACGCACACGTGTGTGTGTGTGTGTGTGTGTGTGTGTGTGTGTGGTGATGGTGGTGGTATTTTTTGTTTTGTTTTTGTTTTTTAGACACATGCTTTCTCTGTGAAAATTCCATAAATGTGTGTGTGTGTGTGTGTGTGTGTGTGTGTGTGTGTGTGGTGATGGTGGTGGTATTTTTTGTTTTGTTTTTGTTTTTTAGACACATGCTTTCTCTGTGAAAATTCCATAAATGACAAAACAGAATGAGCATAGTAGGGGCCCTACTAAAATTTTTTTTGTGTATTTCACCAAGGCAAACACATATAACAGAAAATATATACTTTGCGCCCTTGACTTTCACAGATTTAACATTCTCCATTTTGATTACTCATGAAGCCCATGACATACCCATCTATAATTTTCTTCAATAATGAATGTGAATCATGAATCTATAGCTCAGTGGAGCTCTGTAAAACTCTATCGTGGTTCCAGATATATCAATGTGCATTGAAATGATAAGTGGAAAAAACAGAGCTACTAAAACAAAACTATTTGCTAGTGTTTGAAAACAAAAGTGAAGAGGAATAAGAAAGTTATAGTTGATGGCAAGAAAATCAAAGGTTTCAATGAATTATATCCTGGTTTAAATCTATAACATGAAAAAGTCAAATACAGTGAAACACTCCGTAAGTTAAAAATAGAAAAAATATGATTTATGGAACTACTTAATTTTGAGTGTAGCAACCAGCCACTATGAGAACCAAAGCAACTATTTTCTTTTTCAACTTGCACTTACTTATTGTGACTTGAAGATAAAGTTACATATACCTAACAGTGAAAATATCATTGAAGAGAATGATAAAATCAGACACAACATTTTCTTGCAAGTAACGTGTGATATAAGCACTTCTGCAGCAAAGGACTAAGCTCTGTAGCAAGTAAAGTCTGGTTTCAGCGTTAAGAAGTGTATTTCATAGCATAATGTACAATAACAGGCAGAAGTGGCCAACCACATTGTCACAGATGTCTCTGCCTAAACTAAGGAAGCTCCTAGAAAAGTTGGGTATGCAGGAGCAAATGACACTAGAATATGATTAGAAAATGTGTTTGTGAACGTACATATACAAAGGGAAGACAGCACCAGGGTTTAACCCCGTGACTTTACATCAAGCATACTCTACCCTTCCAAACCAGGACCCCAAGGCAAGCATGAGAAGTTACAGCACGCATTTTGGAAGTCAGTAACAACCTTCAGGTCACAGTGGCCTTGAACAAGTTCCTAAGAGATCCTTGTTAGGGTCAGTAGTCGACTGTGTGCATTTGCTTTCATACAGTAATTCTTGGTGAAAGGAAAAAAAAAACAACAACAATACTTTTTAATCGCAGGGACACTTACTCATTTAAAAAACACTTTGAAAATTGCTCATCTCTTAGACTTTGATGTGGGTTCGAAGAGGGGACAAAGAAATCCAGTAAGGTAGATAATATATACCTTCCACTCAGTTGTATTCTGTCTGCAAGTTTGGAAAGCTGATCTGGAAGTCTTCTTTGTTTGATTACTCCCTCAGGTGTGACAGAGACCTCACATAGTGAATATTGATCCGGGGTGGCAGTAACAGCAAACTCCCTGATAGCCTGAATGACCACTTCCTTTGCTGTAGTGTCCTTACTGATCATGATGTAGCGGCTTTGCTGATCAGCCTTAAAAACCCTTAGCACTTGATCTGGCAAGTCTGGGGGAAAGAAAAATCACACACATAAGTAGAAAGAATTTTAATATATGGCAATGCAATTAAGCAAAGTAATCAGAAAAAAGCTCCTTAAGAAAAAGCAATGCTGAACTTTTACCTCTCCCTTACTCTAGGTCTTCCTCAAAGAATCAATCTACATGCTGTTTTGCTGCAAGAACATACCTTTCCCTAAAAGATAACAGATTGAACTACAGACAGCTGCAAGCACATCAGTACACAACAGTAGCACTCAAGACTGTCATGCTGGCATCAAAGAAATAAAATTTAAATCCAGAGTTAATCTTTACTGTATTGAAAAGTCCATTAATTAGACCTAAAATATGCCTCTTACTCTATCTATTTGATATGATTTAGTAATCATGGCATGGGATGTGTTATCTTCATTTTATGAAAGAAGAAACAAGTTCAGACAGATAATTTGCCTATGGCCATATAAAAATACTCTGCTGAATGTAAAGAGAACTGGTTCCAACACCTGATTTCAAAAATCTTAAAGTTTAAGTTTCATCCTTACTCAGCATCTGATATAATCCATGCCAAATGAAGAGAGATACATATAATATGACCATTATGTTAGAAATAAAAAGATAACTATAAGAAAACAAAAGAAGTGTTGGTGATACTCACCAGGAGTAGCACTGAAGTCTAAAATGCGATGATGTGACTGCAATAAATCAGGATTACTGGATGATAAGGTTCCACTGACAGGCAATGCAGTTGGGATGTGCTTTGTCTGCCTTAATCCTACTATGCTGTCATCTTGAGACTGACCAATCCCAATATCACTGAACAAAGAGGAAAATTAGAAAATTATCAACAAGTTAAAAAGTTGTACATCATCACTATATAATAAACACAGACCAAAAACCATATTCCATTTTTTTTTTGCAGCTCATGTAAAAACACCATTAATAAATTTGGTTGAAAACTGCAAAAGCAACTACTGCTTAAGTGTATCCAACTCATTTTCCTGTTTTTGTTTTTTGTTTTTGTTTGTTTGTTTTTAGATATAGCATCTTGCTTTGTTGCTCAAGCTGGGCTTGAAACTCTTGGCCTCAAGTGATCCTCCTGCTGTGGCCTCCCAAAGTGCTAGGATTACAGGCATGAGTCACAGCACCCAGCCTCATTTTGCTGTTTCTTAAGTGTATAGTATGTTTCTCTAAAACCTATGGTTTTTCTTTCTTTTTTTTTTTTTTTTTTTTTTTTGAGATGGAGTCTCACTCTGTCACCCAGGCTGGAGTGCAGTGGTGTGATCTCGGCTCACTGCAAGCTCCATCTCCCAGGTTCATGCCATTCTCCTGCCTCAGCCTCCTGAGTAGCTGGGACTACAGGCGTCCGCCACCATGCCCGGCTAATTTTTTTGTATTTTGAGTAGAGATGGGGTTTCACCATGTTAGCCAGGATGGTCTCGATCTCCTGACCTTGTGATCCGCCTGTCTTGGCCTCCCAAAGTGCTAGGATTACAGGCGTGAGCCACCACGCCCGGCCAAACCTATGGTTTTTCTAAGTAGATAAGCCATAAAAAATATTAGTAGTTTCTCAGCACAGAAATATATTTAAAAAAAAATAAGCTCTAGTTTCTGATGGAAATGGATTTTAAAAAAAGCACATTAAAAAGAATACATTTAACTCACTCAACTGATAGTTCTGCATCAGAATGATAAATTATTTTATAATCTGACCTTCAATAGTTGAAGAAATTGGGTAAAATGAAAACAGGAGGAAAAAAATCCAAAGTGTCCTAATTTTATTCTCGATGTTTTAGAGAAAAAATGAGATCACTATGGAGTCAAATGTAAGGAGACTGACACAGACATTATTTCTTGATTATACAGAGCATAAAAAAACAGTGGTGCATGGTGACATTTCCTAGCATCAAAGAAAAGCCAACAGAAATCCAATGACTCACTTTTAATTCTCTGATCAAAATTTCTAGCTACACATTTAAGTATCCAGAGAAATACTGGTTATTATCGACAGTGACAAACTCATTTCCATTTATAAAAAGCCTGTTACTGTGAACTCTTGAAACATGATTTAATAATATGTAAAAACTATTTCTAGATTTGAAGGGTCAACTGTTTCCAAAACAAAAACTCAAATAAAGCAATAAGCAAACACACACAGAAATAACTGGGGTCGCAAGAAAATGGTTATAGCTCAGACTAGTTTCTATACACACCTTGAAATAAGAGGAAAATTATATTAAAGTTGGAATATAAACTAAGGTGTCATAAATAAAATGAAGAAATTTAGCATTTATTAGTCTTTTCACACATTGGGGCTTGATCATAATAACTACTATTTTTAATGACTATGCTAAAAAATAGCAACATTTCTTCCCTTTACTTTTTTTTTTGAAAATGGAAATTATAAAGGTAAATAAGGGCAAAAACATTTTTTAAAGACAAAAATTAAAACTAGAGACAATTTCACATTATACGAAAAAGACACTTGCACACGTTTTGTTTAGAGCAGCACAATTCACAACTGCAAAAACATGGAAGCAACCTAAGTGCACATCGACTAATGAGTGGATAAAGAAAATGTGTTTATAGCTACACCACAGAATATTACTCAGCCATAAAAAGGAACAAAATAATGTCTTTTGCAGCAACTTGGATGGAGCTGTTGGTCATTATTCTAAGTGATATAATGGTGGAAAACCAAAATCCCTATGTTCTCACTTATAAGTGGGAGCTAAGCTATGAGTAGGCAAAGGCATACTGAGTGATACAATGGACTTTGGAGACTCAGAAGGGGAAGGGTGAGGTTAGGGCCAGGGATTAAACAAAGTTACACATTAGGTACAATGTATACTACTTGGGTGATGGGTGCACTAAAATCCCAGAATTCACCACCACTATATAATTCACCCATGTAACAAAAAACCACGTGTACCCCAAAAGCTACTGAAATAAAAATTAAAAAAAAAAAATAAAGACAATTTCAGTGTGAATTATTTCAAATTCATAGGTCAGTCCGGGACAAAATTAAATTTCTATTTAATCATATAACCGGCATAAAGACTAAAAGTGTTAATATTCTGTAAAAGATGAAAACTTTTACGTTAGTGGAATTTTATTTTTCAACCATATAAAGCAGTCTCTGCCAAAAACCTGCTATGTAATACATGACACGAGATCATTACTATGGGCTCAGGACAAAGCATAGCTGGCTTGGCCACTCCGGCACAAAAGGCTACAAATATTAGCATCTTGCAGGCACACTCAACCTTTTTTTTTTTTTTTTTTTTTTTTGAGACGGAGTCTCCCTCTGTCACCCAGGCTGTAATGCAGTGGCACAATCTCGGCTCACTGCAAGCTCCGCCTCCCGGGTTCACGCCATTCTCCTGCCTCAGCCTCTCCGAGTAGCTGGGACTACAGACGTCCGCCACCATGCCCGGCTAATGTTTTGTATTTTTAGTAGAGACGGGGTTTCACCGTGGTCTCGATCTCCTGACCTCGTGATCCGACCGCCTCGGCCTCCCAAAGTGCTGGGATTACAAGCGTGAGCCACCGCGCACTCAACCTTTAAGAACCGTTTCTCCGCAACACTTTAACACCTTACATGATGAACTGCCTTTCTACTCTCAGTTTCCTCATTACTCACCTACATCTCTGTCATCCAGACATGCGGCCACTCTTGGATTGAAACTATTTTATATCCAAGACCTAATTCAGAAATGTCCCTCTCTGGGCACATCCTCTTAGGATTCTACCTCTCCAACACTTTCCTTGTTACTGAAATTGTCTTTCGATCTGCACTGGTTTTATAGTGTGCTGACTTACTCCTTCTTGTCTCTGGGTTCATTAGTCTTTTTCTACTTACTTGGCAACCAAATCTGAATTCTGGGAGCTCATGCCCCATCTTCTCCTTCCTCTCTATGCACATCACCCGATTGTGCCTACCTTGCCAATTTACCATTATCTAGCATCTTAGCTTCTCTAAGGCTGATAAAGTTTGAGGAAAAAACTCAACAGTATACTCTATCTAGACTTCTCTAATTGCTAGTTTAGTAGCTTTGTCAAAAAAAAAATCTTCATACACAAATGATAATTTATAGAAAAATTTAATAGCTAGTATAGTATAAATCAAGTCTGTTACCAATATGATAGATCCTACAGCTTTGTGAAACTTCCTTTAATTATTTTTTCTTTTCAATTGCATTACACATATGATTTCAAATAATTTTCATGATAAATCTTTAAATGAGCCATATATTTTCCTAAATACAAATTATTTAAGATGTTTCCTCAGTGTTTTAAAATCAACACATCTAATCATTCTTTTTCTTTTCCCTTGTCTAGCTTTTGAGTATTTCTAAATACACATAGAACAAAATTAGACATGGTATTCTCATATTGTGTTCCTTTCCAACATCCAGTATTGCTGATGGATTATCTCCCAGTTCTTACATGTCACATTTCTATTTATACTTGCCAAGGTCATATGAACTTTTTTTTAAAGGTTCTTATTTAACTCATGGTCAAATATGACTCTAAGATCTTTTTTTGTTATTGTGCTGTTAATAATTCTGCATTTAGGACTGGGTGTGGTGGCTCATGCCTGTAATCCCAGCACTTTGAGAAGCCCAGGTGGGTGGATCATTTGAGGACAGGAGATCGAGACCAGCCTGGCCAAACAGCAAAATCTTGTCTCTACTAAAAATAAAAAAAATTAGCCGAGCATGGTGGTGCACACCTGTAATCCCAGCTACTCAGGAGGCTAAGGAATGAGAATTGCTTGAGCTCAGGAGGTGAAGGTTGCAGTGAGCAGATCACAGCAATTGCACTCCAGCCTGGCTGACAGAGCGAGCCTCTGTCTCAAAAAAATAAATTAATTTAAAAAATCTGCATTTAGGTAATTTATTTTTTCATCCATTTAAAAATAAGGTTTTCATCAACGAAGGTTATTTTAAAAATTGATTCGTATTTTCTGTAAATGCCAGGTGCCCTAATCCATTGTCTCTTAGAAACTTACTCAATATATCCTCTTGAGCCTATAAATACTACTCACTGCTTATCCTTAGGACTCTGCTATAGAAGACTGCTGATACAAAACCACCAATCATTACTCTATAGTTTAATTGGGACAACTCAACCAATCAATAGTATATTTTAAATCACATTTCTCTAATCTGTGGATGAAAATTTTATCTGAAATGGAGTTTTCTTAAAAAAGATCTGAAACGGAATTTTTTTAAAAAAGAAAAAGAAGTGTTTGATATAGTCCTGCATATCTACTGCATGTCTTTAGACCCATTAAATTATCAAAGCACGAAATTATATGTTTTAAAGTTATTATCTAACATTGTAGTTTGGGGACTATATAACTAAATGTGGCACAGTGAGAAATGGCTGACAGTAATCAAGTTTTATAAAACATTCCTAGACTCAAGAAGGAACTAAAATGAAGAAGCAAGCAAGCAAAGAAGCAAGCTTAAAAAGCATCAGAAATACCTGCAATTTTGTCTAGCCTGGCTGAGCTCCTGGCATAAATAAATAACCAAGAAGAAATTCAAGAATACACCTGACATTCTGACTACTAAGTTGACTGGGAAAAATGAAAGGAGTTCTGTGCTTGGCTGTTGATGCCTTGACAGTAATTAAATAACTGAAAATAGAAGAGAGAGGGGAAAACAGAGAATGATAGGGATGAATAATGGCAACTGGATAAAGCAATGATTTGACTGGTAAAGAGCACATGCTGTTGGTAAAGAAGATACCCAGAAACAAAATACAGTAGAAAAAGCAACTCTAAATCATGATGGAGGAGACAGGAGGCAAACACACGCTTTTAAAAAGTCCAAACCTGCGGCTGGGTGCAGTGGCTCACACCTGCAATCCCAGCACTTTGGGAGGCCGAGGCGGGTGGATCACGAGGTCAGGAGTTCAAGACCAGCCTGGCCAAGATGGTGAAACCCCGTCTCTACTAAAAATACAAAAATTAGCCGGGTGCAGTGGCAGGCATCTGTAATCCCAGCTACTCGGGAGACTGAAGCAGGAGAATCACTTGAACCTGGGCGGCACAGGTTGCAGTGAGCCGAGATCGCGCCACTGCACTCCAGCCTGGGCAATAAGAGTGAGACTCTTTCTCAAAATAAATAAATAAATAAATAAATAAAAATTAAAAAATAAACTAAAAAGTCCAAACCCCCAAAAAATAGTTCAAATGAGGAAATGCTAAACTATCTTTAAAGAAGATTGGGAGTAGCCAAATAAGTGGCAAAAACGAGATTAAAACAAATTTGATTGTTTAATACTGCTTCCAAAATAGCTCAGTCATAAAAACCTAGAACAGTTTTCAGACTCATGCAAACATTAATTACATCACTATCTTTGCATATCATTTTAACAAAATAAAATAATGCACAGAAGACATATGCAGATGCTTACTTGTATGGTTTCTGTGGCAAGATACTGATCCGAGTCTTGTCGAGTATCTTTTTCAGCTTGTTCCTTCCTCCCACAGTGTTGGCTTTACTTTTTTTGTTCACTTTTTCAAGTCCTATCACCTGTTCTACATCTACAGCAAGATCTGGAATGGAGTAGCGACTGGCCTTTTTAATGTCACCAATTTTAGGAAGGTGGGGGGCACCATTTCTTTTCTCTTCTGACAATCTTGTTAGAAGTTCTTTAAATACTAAAATAAATGAAAACAGAAACACCACGTAATGGCAATTATAAGATATCTGAACAATTCTAAGGCAATTGTGGAACTTGGAAATATATGAGAAGTACAGACTTCAGTTATCAAAACTGCAAACCTGCAGAAAAACAGTATCACACAGTAAACGAATCACGCCAAATCTGCTTGGTATGTTGCTCTATCAAAATAAGTTTAAAAAGAGTAGTATACTCTTTACGGTTATTTTAGTATTTATCAATAAAAGATTTCAGTTATCAATAAAGACAGATTAAAAATATTTTTTATGGTCAAGTCAGTAGTTTTTATTTAGATCTAATCTATGCTTTTACCATATATGCTTTCTTATGATGTTTGAAATACTAAAAAACAAGGCCAAAAGGAGAAAAATGAAAAGTATGCAAAATACTTACCAAATAAATTGGTTTTCACAGTGATAGATAAATGTGTGTTATTTCTAAGAATTTCCATAGCTTTTGACAGCTGAATGTTTTCAAAGTTTTGGCCATTTACTTCTAATATCTAAAAATGAAATTATAAAATGTATCAAAATTGACTGAAAAAAAAAACCAGACACCAAAATTCACCCTTAAATGAGTTTAGAAATGGCATACCTGATCCCCCCGTTTCAAGCCTGCTTCAGTTGCTTTGCTACCTGAATCTACACTGTCAACAAAGATTCCAAATCCCTTCTCAGAGCCTCCAAGTAAGATAAAAGGCAAAGGAGCTTCTCGGGATGGTTTTGTTAACGTCATCAATCTTCTTTTTGCTTTAGCAGCACACGCGATATTCAACAGCCTTAGGTGTCCACCCATTTTCTTTAAGAGTTCAGAAACAGTAGTGTCAACTCAAGAACAGGCTGAATAAAATGAACTTTAAGCTGATCTTAAAAAAAACCACAAATATTACCTCTCTTTCCAGATTGTTTTCAAATTCTTCTAAAAATCGAGTCATTGCAGGATCTCCTTCAAAGTCATTGAAGTGATTATTTACCCACAATAATACTACCCGTGTAACCTGAAAAGTCAATTATTTTCAATAAGTTTCCTTTTTAGTGCCAAAAATGTGATTAAAATCATTCCAGAAAAGATATCCAACTTTCAAATAATTTACCTAATAATAATAAACAGGAAAATAAATTAACAATAATAAAATCTTAAATGAGGATGACCTTCTGAAAATGAGTATTTTTACTTTGAATATAGACTTCATGTTGCTTTGCCAGGAAAGGTTCTGAGTCTGTGAAGGTATTTAACTTAAAACTTGTCTAACTTTCAAAATGCATTTGAAACAGATCAAAATAAAAGCAAAGGTGTAATAAAACAAAAATCAGCTAATACAAAAGACAGAAACTAGAAAGTCAAGGTAGAAGAACAGACTGGACAAAGAGAATCAATGCTATTAAGCCTAGAAAGCT
The DNA here is from genome assembly GCF_000001405.40 of Homo sapiens. Lineage (NCBI taxonomy): Eukaryota > Metazoa > Chordata > Mammalia > Primates > Hominidae > Homo > Homo sapiens. The sequence continues at coordinate 159,331,030 of NC_000004.12, read as the reverse complement.
CTGTAAGGGTGCAGAATATAAAAGGAAGGAGATAAGACAATGTAGTTTGTCATCCAATCTGGCCTTAGAGCTCTCAAGAGCTCTAGATGGTCTCCTTAGAATTATAATCCTGGGGCCTACAGAGAGTGATGACTGTCATGAAATGCTGCTCTGGTGCCAATTTAAAAACTGTAACTTTTATCTGGTGTACACTTACTACCAAACTAGAAAATGTAGATTCCTATGGAATCCAGATGTTTATGTTTTAACACACTCCCAACAGAACTTAAAAAAATGTTTAAACATTTGGTGGCCAATTTATTGGCCTTTGTGTTTAAAGAAGGCTGAACTAATATTTTGTTCATATTTCTAAGGCTGAACTAATATTTTGTATCACCTTTTTTTTTGTTTTTTTGTTTTTTTTTGCTTCAGAATTACATTCTCCTATTTCATTACATTAATCTGGACATAATTGCTGTGACAAATATACACATTAAAGTATCTTTAGGTTTACATTTCATATTTAAGAGACAAAATAGAATATATTTCCAACCTTATCCCTGAGGCTCGGGTCATTAAACCACTCCAATAACTTTTTGCCCACTTCCATTGGGCTAGAAAGAAAAGTCCTATAGGTCAACAGAAAGTCTTCTATGAATGTTGGATCTACTACTGAATGCTCTTCCACCAAATGCATTGTTAACCTTTCTGAGGTACCCTGTAACAAAGAAAAGGTTTAATTACTACATATATATACACACACACACACACACACACACACACACATATACATATACACACACACATATATGACATTTATATGGTACTGGGATTTCAAACATTCAACATAAAATGAATTGGATAGTAACACAGTTAACAATTAATGAAACTGCTATTCACTAGGAGATCATACATAAAGATTTTTCACAACTGATAACCTTTAAGAGATAGGCCTAAAAATGAAAAAAAATCCTAAACTGCCACAACCAATACTACCAAAAAAAATTCCTTTCCTTGGGAAGGAGTGGTCCTGTGTCCTACCTTGATGACAATGTGTCCCTTTCTTGTTCCAGTTCGATCAAGTTCTCGGTGTTCTTTCACCATAACAATCTCTCCTTCCTCTTCAACTTTTTGCATGTTCTTTTCTACTTGATTGAGAATACGGCAGTAATCTTGCTGGGCTATGCAGACAAACTGGAATAAAACATAAGTCACATGTTAATGATAAAGTGCTTGCAAAAGACCTAGCAGTACTAATAATTCAGTGTTTTAATTATTTAAAACTGACATTTTTCCCTGTCTTTCCCATACTTTCTAAATTAATGCTGTAATGAACCTTAATCAGACTTCTCTACTTTTAATGTATTTCTTCCTTGGTCAAGAAAAGTTTCATTTTTAGAATACTTATATGTATTTTACATTCAAAATCCTAATAATTTTAAAAATCAAAAGACATAATTAGAAGATAGCTTTTTCATGCTTCTTTCACAATTAAAAAACACTGCAGTAGGGGGAGTGGAATTGTAGGAGAATAGATGTAAAAACTTAATTATCATCTAGTGAATTAAAAGAATTTGAAGAAGCAACAATTTTTGAATGAGAATGATTTTAATGAAAGATACAGACACTCAAAGATACCTATGGAGTAGATATATTAATTTGCTAATTATATTGATGAAACACCATTTTAGAAAGCTTGTTCAAAGAAGGTCAAAACACAAACCACATATGTGTTATAGCTCAAAACATTATCCTTATAACTGGTATTAAGGGTAATCCTTGCTCTTAAAGAAAAAGCTAAAAATCTGCATATGAAGTCATTACTCTCCCTGACCCCAAATATAAAAAATTTCAGAGCTTAGGGCAAACCACTTAAGAAATTACATTTCTTAGAAGTTTTAAAGAAAGTTAAGAATGAATGATAGAAATCACTTATTATAGAAATTAACTAGAGGTCAGTGAGGAGACAAGAGATCATTCGGAAATGGAAAGAAGCATGGTATTTCTTTTCCTCCTTTAATGTGAAGAAGATGAAAAAGGAGGTGGTTAAATTATATTGTAAATAAGATAAAATATGATGCAACCACCTGAAATCATGATTTCATAGGGCATTTAGAGCTCTGATAATACATTATTCTTTTTATATTGCTCATATTAATTTTTTAAAAAAGATACTATACTAAATATTACGATAATCATAATGACAACATCATCATCACCACCATCACCATCACACTGTGGCAGCCTTATGGAACTTTTTCAATTCATCCTCCTAATCAAACCATGAGGAAGGTGCTATTATCCCCACTGTACAGATGAGTAAACAGCCTGATGTCTCATAACTACATGCTGGCCATTTTAAAATAAATTATACATGCACATCAAAATCTTGGAGGGAAATAAACTGTTAATATTATTTCTGAGCAATGCAAATTATGAGCGACTTTCATTTTAGTATCTTTCTATATTTTTCATGCTTTCCGCATAATCAATAGATTTTAAGTAGAAGCAGCAGTTCATAAGAGGAACAGCATATTGCAGTATCATATTTCTCCCAGAGTTGGCTAATCTCACTAGTTTTTCTATTCAGCATTTTGAAGCAAAAAGTTAAAAATCAAAAGATATAGGCTTTTTTTGTACTAGTAATTATGCATACTTTAATTATATTAAAAATACCTTTAGAGCTCTGATATTACATTTTTAAAAATATTGCTTATAGTATCACATTAATTTTATAAATAAACTGTTAACATTATTTCTGAGCAATTTCCTTAACACTGACCACAGGTGTGTAATGTTTCAAAATACATGATCCTTAGTTTCTTATCTAAAAAATATTTTATTTCTTTGTACACAGCAGCAAAATTATTCCCAAATACATATAAGAGATTTAGAATGGTTTTATTTCCAAATAATTCTAGGTGTTCTTTCTTGTGCTCAGTTTTAGAGAACATAATTAAATACTCATTTTCTCATTTATCTTCTAAAAAAGAAATACATCCCTGAATTCAACTGAATAAGTAGATATAAGGGAAAAATGCTTTATGAAGAGAAATGTACTAAAATTAATCTTGACTACAGACTTTTTTAAATTAGAATACATTTGATTTGAAATTCTTAGTGTCTAGACAGACATTTTGGCATTTATTCTATAGCAAGCTGGAACACCATCCAAAAAGGAAAAAAAAAAAAATCCCAAACTGAATTTCTAATATGGTCATATAGAACTGGTACCTTAAAAGAAATACATTTTACTTGAAAATATTTATCTTTTTTAAATAAGCAACTTATTTTTGCTATAACAAATTTATAGATCTAATATGAAATCCACAGGTAACATTTAATTTTAACTAATATGATGAAGTCAGTTGAAAATCTTTGAGTTTTTTTTTTTTTTGAGAGAATCTCACTCTATCGCCCAGGCTGGAGGGCAGTGGCGTGATCTTGGCTCACTGCAACCTCTGGCTCCTGGGTTCAAATGATTCTCCTGCTTCAGCCTCCCGAGTAGCTGGGATTGTACAGGTGCGCACCACCATGCCCAGGTAATTTTTTTGTATTTTTAGTACAGACGGGATTTCACCAGGCTGGTCTCGAACTCCTGACCTCATGATCCGCCTGCCTCGGCCTCCCAAGTGCTGGGATTACAGGCATGAGCCACCGTACCTGTTCAGAAAATCTCTGAATTGCTTTACTGAGGTTTTAAGTTTCTGTAAATCTCATGGGTTTCAAATTGCTGTAAGCCCATGAAAGTACTATATGATCTCAGTACCCTAGTATAAAATAAAAATTCAAGTAAGAATTCACTTATAAAAGTCAATGACAGTTTATATCATAGGATTATTTTCCTTTGGGCATGACATTATAATTTGTATTTAAGTAAAACATTACAGATGATGAATGAAATAAAATTAAACTTCAAACCACATATAGTGTAATCAATTTTCAATTTATCCACAGCAAACTGTATTCTCATCCAAAACTGTTTCTTACATTCTAAGTGCTATTAGAGCCTATGATTCCAGGAAGAGGTGAGTCTAACATAGATTTGCTTTAACAGGTGAGATCTATTTAAACTGGCACTTTGCAGTCTGTGAGGGAAATTCATACCTAATTGTGCACATGGGTATCCAAGTGTTCATTCCCCACTTGAAGGGTGGAGGGCAGGGCTAAGCAATGCCTGGGTGTCACTGGCAGGCCTAAGACACAGGCAGTGGAGAAGAAAACAAGGGAAAAGAATAAAGGGAGTAAGAGGGTAAAAGAGGAAATAAAGAAAGGGCAACAGGAGAAGGGAAAAAGAAAAGAAAGAGGTACATGTGGGTAATGGAAAACCATTACCAATTGCCTGGTATCATAGGGTGTGTATATCAAGCTCTGAACTTTGTCCTTTCACACCAGACAGGGAGTAAGAATAGACACTGAAGTGGGAGAACTGGAAGAGAATATAAGGAAGGGACCCAGAGCAAAACAAGAGCTTGACCATATCATGGGATCCAAACAAATAAATCTTAAATTTAATCCATTCATCATTGTGTTCTTAGGCTTAACATGAGCTCAACCATCTTACTACAGAAACCAATATTCATTTTGGAACTCCCTGAAATATAAGATAATGATGGCAAAGCCTATGCAAAGTTGTTTTTTCTTGGTAAAGATAGCATCATTTTTGTTCATTTCACTCAATAACTTGCTTCCCTAAAATATGGTCAGTAAAATGATAGAAACTCATGGAGGCTATTTTATGCATGAATAAAAATATGGTTCTCACTGTTTCTTTTACTTCTCCCAACAAGGAGATGAGCTAACATTTGTATTTTCTGACAGTTATATGACATTTTAACAGAAATACCTTAAAATGGTATCCCAAGCAAGTACTTACATTAAAATGCCAAAATTCATTCTCCATCCCTGTTTAAGGAATTCCTTAGGGATAAAATGCTAGGCCTAAGCAGATGAGTCAATGGAAGTACAAGAACGAAATCCCTGATTTAACATATTCCTTTTACAGTGGTGTGGAGTGTAGCAGAAAGGAAGATAGGGACTTTCTTTAGCAGGTACCTCACCCTTGACCCTCTTCATAATTAACTTCACACTAGGAGCTATATAGGAGTCTATATATCTTAATCAGAGTTTTCTTTTGAATTGGACTCTTCCCTGTTGACTATCTGGGTTTCCTACTAATCCCTCACTTTGTAAATAAATTAGATTCTCTTCCCTAACATAACCCCTACTTCCTCTTCCTTTTCCAGAACTCCCAGATAAATAATGTTACCTGGTGCATTTGACATGACTTAAGCACTCTGTAATATTCAGTCATATAATATTTCAATCAATTATCCTGAAACAATTCTATGCCGCATATCATTTCAGTCTCATACTTACAAAATTTCTAACAAAAGGGTCTGGCTAATTAAGGGGTATTAATGCAATGGCTGAATTCTCAAAAAAAAACAAACAAACTTTTACTTGCTCGTCAAGGACACACACTCTAACTCAAACACTATTGTAATTCCACTATGTAGAAGGGTTCAGGGAAGAACTGAGAAAATAGGAGACAGGAAAAGGCTTTAACAATTTGCTAGCTTGTTTTGACTCAGTTTAGATTAGTTTTTTTTTAAGAGTACAATTACAGAGCTGAAACAGCATATATAATTCCCTTTAAATGCCCATTCCCGCTAAATAAAGACTTCAATATTTACCATTTGTTTTCCTCTATTATACCACATAACTGAGAATTAACCATTTTGTTTTCCTCTCTTATACCATTTTGTTTTCCTCTATTATACAAAATAATTGGGAAGTAAATATATTTAGAATGCGTTTCTGGCATTACATATTTAAAACACTGAAGTCATAGCCTTATTTTTTTTTTCCTCTATGGTGCTCATGGACGGAATTAGCTGGTGGAATTATTTAGATTCTATAGATAAGATAATTTTATGTATAGCCATGGTCATTTTTCTTTTTAGTAAGTAAAATGCTTAAAATGAATATTTAAATGAGTGATACCATTTTACATTGACCGGACACTGTAAAAATTCAATTATGTTACTTTAAAATAAACTATATTCAGATGTTTTTCAAACTGCAGACTAATAAATACAACTGACAATTAGTTTAAGTCACATCATTTGGTTGTTTACATTTAATTTTGTTTCAGAGACAAATTCTTTTAGAAGACGTCATAAATTATAAACACCTAATAATACCAAAAGTATCTTAAATGTATTTCTCTGTAATATAGTGGTTGCCAGTTAAATCAATCTAGTTTCACATTTGGCCTTAGTATTTTCTCTAGTCAATTATTAGATGCTTTTAAATATGAATATCAATAAAATATCAATACTGATACTATTTCTCTTTTGATATCAAGTATTTTCTTTTTATTAGCTATTATTTAACTAGCAAGTCATTCTACTGATTCACACTATGATTAATTTCCATGACTCTTCTAAAATCAATTTCTTATATGTATTTAAATAAAAACACTGCATAACTATTTCATATCACTTTTATTAATGTATTTACTTCATAATGTGCATTTTACTTCCATATTTTGATGAGATTATTAATTACTGTTGGCAATTTAAAAATACCATCCTTACATAACACTTTTTTTTAGTCGAACACATAGTTACGTGCAGTTCAAGTAAAATGGAAATTAATTTTTACTTTTCTGGGGTGTTATAAGACTAAAAGTAATAGTTCCACATTAAAATCCTATTGGTGCCAGGCATGGTGGCTCACGCCTGTAATCCCAGCACTTTGGGAGGCTGAGGTGGGGGGATCACTTGAGGTCAGGAGTTTGAGACCAGCCTGGCCAACACGGCAAGACCCCGTCTCTACTAAAAATACAAAAAGGCCAGGCGCAGTGGCTCACACCTGTAATCCCAGCACTTTGGGAGGCTGAGGCAGGTGGATCACGAGGTCAGGAGTTTGAGACCAGCATGGCCAATATGGTGAAACCCCATCTCTACTACAAATACAAAAATTAGGTGGGCATGGTGGTGCACGCCTGTAGTCCCAGCTGCTCGGGAGGCTGAGGCAGGAGAATCGCTTGAACCCAGGAGGTGGAGGTTGCAGTTAGCTGAGATCGCGCCACTGCACTCCAGCCTGGGAGACAGAGACTCTGTCTCAAAAAAAAAAAAGCCCTCCAAAAAACCCAAAAATTAGGTGGGTGTGGTGGCGATTGCCTGTAATCCCAGCTACTTGGGAGGCTGAGGCAGGGGAATCACTAGAACTCAGGAGGCAGATGTTGCAGTGAGCCGAGCTTGTGCCGCTGCACTCCAGCCTGGCTGACAGAACAATACTCTGTCTCAAAAAAAAAAAAAAAATTATTTGTAAGATATTTATATAGGGAGAAAAATCTCATCACAATGGCATATAAGTGTTCTTTATTAAGAATAAAATATATATTTTTAATGATATATTTTATACCTGGCAGTCATCCACCTTTGTTCTCATCACTCCTTTCATGTATTCTTTGTCCATGGTAGGAGAGACACCAAAACTATTTCCCATGCACAGTATTTCTGCTTTTCCATCTGGATAAGTCACTTCCACAGATCCATTGAGAATCACTGACCAGGAGTCCAGCTAATCCAAAAAAATAAAGACAAAGCAGAAAGTAACATCATGATCATACAGCTGTAAGTGCCAGTATGGTCCCTAAAAATGAATTAGCAGATCTTCCATTTTGGAGATAAAACAAGTAACTCAAGTTTACTGTTTAACAAGTTCACAGAATAAGGAATAAAACACAGCCACATATCTACATATTTCCATATGCCTAGCACAGAATGTATATCATAATGCCCTTTTAATTTGACTTTGGATATTCTTCTCTAAAATGACACAAGGAAAAAAATTTCTCTGTCCCCCCAAAGCTCATGTAGACAAAATGATCATCATTGCCTCAATGAGAATATCATTTTGTCTGACAAAATGCATTAAATTTATGAATATTTAAGATGCAAAAACTGAAAAGTTAATATATCAAAAACTTTCTATTTTCATATGAAATTCTGTAAATAATGGGAAATATAATGGATTTGGAATATAGTGACTCATATGGTGTGGCTCTGTGTCCCCACCCAAATCTCGAGTTATACTCCCATAATTCCCATGTGTTGTGGGAAGGATCTGGTGGCAGATAATTTGAATCATGAGGGTGGTTTCCCCTATACTGTTCTCTTGGTAGTGAATAAGTCTCACAAGATCTGATGGTTTTATCAGGGGTCTCTGCTTTTGTATCTTCCTCATTTTTCCTCTTGCCACTGCCATGTAAGAAGTGCCTTTCACCGCCTGCCATGATTCTGAGGCCTCCCCAGCCACGTGGAACTGTAAGTCCAATTAAACCTCTTTTTCTTCCCAGTCTCAGGTATTTCTTTATCAGCAGTGTGAAAATGGACTAATACAGTGACATAACAGGTGTACCATAATTCTTGAATTATTCAAACTTACTGTTGTTGGGTATTAAAAAGGAAAAAGTAAGAATTGGGGTTTTGTTCAATTGCTGTATTGAGATATCTTTAAGAAGAAACTTTTTAAGTGGTAGGAATAGTTACTCACCTCTTCACCATCATTTAACACTATGGTCCCTGCTCTTTCCACCACTGCGAACACCATCACAGCACAGAGTTCTCGCCTCACTGACATTGTCATATTGGCAAAAGCAGGCAACTGGTGCATAAATTCCAAGAGTTGTTCTGAAAAGCAAAAGACATACTTTGTAAAAACTACTACTTTTATTAAAAACAAGTATTCAAAAAGAATGTTTTAGGGTCCTTTCTTTTTAAATGCCCTACAATTTTGCTTATTGAAAAATACATATCAAGTATCTTTAGCACCAGCTGAATTTCTTGCAGGTACACAAAGAATTCTGTCACTGTGGAAATGATGACTCTTACTTGTTGAATTAGAGGCAACAGTTTTTATTGTAACTCCAGTTCTAATACCACTAAAGACATTACTAAACTTCAAATGGGAAATTTCTATTGTAAATGAGATATAAGGCTTATTATTATGAGAGTGGAAATGAAAGGTAGCTCTGAGAATTCTCCAACAAGTCAGTTGGTTCATTCCTGTGCCTTTTGGGCAGGTGAATGCCTAAAATAGTCAGCAGAAATAACTATATTTAATTCAAACATTCTAAGGAATATTTTCCATGTATCAAATCCATAAAAAAGATCAATTAAAAAATTAACGACATGATATGATAAATGAAAATGAAAACTGATAACACCATTTTTTAGCCCACAAGTTGGCAAAAAAGGAAGTTTGTTCACTCTTCTTTCCTATGGGAATGCTTTGGAGAAACAGCTTACACTTTGGTAGGGTTCTAGCTGTTGATGTCACAGTCTCTTCAAGTACTGGGTTTTCTATTTTTAAAAGTCCTGTGTTTTCTTATCATTCAGTAGCTTTACTAATTACACACTAAGTTCTTTCCTTACTCCTCACCATGGCTCTGTGAAGTGCGTTTTCTTTTTCATTTCATAGGGAGGAAACCAAGGCTCAGCATCAGCATCATATAATTAAGAGATGGCAAGACCAGGCGCAGTGGCTCGTGCCTGTAATCCTAACATTTTGGAAGGCTGAGGCAGGAGGATTGCTTGAGGCCAGGAGTTTAAGATCAGCCTGAGCAATGTGGCAAGACCCTATCTCTACAAAATATTTTAAAAATTAGCCATCTGTGGTGGTGCGTACCTATAGTCCTAGCTACTCAGGAGGCTGAGGTGGGAGGATTGCTTGAGCCCAAGAGTTTGAGGTTATAATGAACTGTGATTGTGACAATGTACTCCATAATGGGTGAAAGAGTGAGACTCTGTCTCTTAAAAAAAAAAAAAAAAAAGTGGCAGTGACATGATTCAAGACCATCTGCTTCCAAAGATCATGCTGGACTTTAAAGGGAGTGGTAAAGAGCACAGGGTGTATGTACATCAGATGTTTAAATGCTTACTAGCTGTATTACTTTGGGCAAGGTGATTAACTTCCCTAAGTCATAGTTTTCTCACTTAAAAAGAAAAATACAATATCTGCTTTACTGGATAGCTGTGAGAATAAAATGCAATAAAGATGATAAAAGTCCGTGGCACAGAGTAAATACTCAATAAATGAGAACTGCTATTATTGTCATTATTATAATAGTCATGACATCATTCAAACTTTTGGCTAAATAAAAATCATACTAGATGTTTCTTGTACATAATCAAACATTCCCTATATACATTCCTTTTATCTGTTAAGATTTAGTGACAAATTTTATGTTCTTGGATATAGTTTATTAACTGCTAAAACAAAGCACAACAGAAAAATATATTCTGTGAATATATTTTCCCAGATACAACATTTCTGGAAGGACAGACGGAGTGGTTTTCTCTGGCCCAGTTGGGCAATGGCATGTTCTGATTGGACTCTATGTCATCCCTCCTATATAAGACTTTTCATTACACAGGGGGGCTCTGGCAATAAGGAAAATGATAATGATAGGTGTACCCAAAGATTCTGTCCAATAGGACAGTGTTGCACAAACTGACTCAGATTTATGTGTCAGGAAATCACTTTACTTTTGCTACCAGTATTTTTTAAAAAATAAGTTAAACTATCAAAGCACATCAGTTATAGAAAGAATACGTTCTGTTTCATGAAACTTTTATTTCTGGAATGAGTAGGAGTGTCTGTGCTGTACCATAAAATGTATTTATTCCTGGAGAAGCAGTAAAGCAATTCTGAACACCATTGCAAGAGATGACCCATATCTATCATATATGGGAGGCAGGAATCATTGTTTTACCAATGCATTGACCTTTTGATTTGCATTATAAAGGCAAATGAACAAGTCATGGTCCTCTGAAGCACATCCCAGTTAATTCTGCAGCTTCCAGCCTCTGTTTTCTTTAGCCATCATCCCTCACGCCTCACCATAAACTATGATACTATTACCTATAGACCATGCATTTTACTTTTTTCCACCCCTTGTAGTTGCTAAATTTCTTTGGACAAGCAAAGATTCATGGGTTTAAGAAAAATGTGGGCCAGAAATTGTCAGAAATGTTTTGAATTTAGTATCTGTTTAGACAATAATAGAAGTCAAATAATTACCACATACATGATCAGAGAATAAAAAGTGGGAAGAAAATACAAAGTACCTTCACAAGTATTTGTTGTAATAATTTTAAAGTGCTTCGTGTAGACATATTGCGTGCTTTTTGGCAGACTCTTAATCTATTAGTGGGTCATGAGTTTAATTTGTGATATATAAGTAGCGGCTAGCATTAAAAAAAAAACCACAGGATAGAAGATACCTGCATATCATATATTGTAAGAATAAAGGAGACAGAAAGATCAAATAGTAGATGTACATAATTATCCAGGCTCAGCTGAAAAACCAGAAATACATAAATGCTAAACCAGATGGCATCTAAGATTTCATTTTAAGATTTCAAGGATTCAATAATGGTATCACTGGTTTTTAGATAATTTCTATGCTATATTATACTAGATGATTGGAGCAATTTTTAAAAATAAAGAACTATTTTATAACCAATCATATATATATATGGCAGCAGTCTCCAACCTTTTTGGCACCAGGGGCAGGTTTCGTGAAAGACAATTTTTCCACTCTTGGTGGGTGCGGGGGGATAGTTTTGGGATGAAACTGTTCTGCCTCAGATCATCAAGCATTACAGTCTCATAGGGAGTGCACAACTTAGAACCCTTGCATATGCAGTTCACAGTAGGGTTTGCACTCTTATGAAACTAATGCTGCCACTGATTTGACAGGAGGTGGAGCTCAGGTGGTAATGCTCCCTCACCTTTCACTCGCCTCCTGCTGTGCGGCCTAGTTCCTAACAGGTCAGGGACCAGTACCAGTCTGTGGCCCAGGGGTGGAGACTCCTGCTACAGGGGGCTCAAAACTCTGACAATGCCATAGGTATCATACAGACTTAAAAGGGCTTAGGATAGCCAAGAATTCAGAGCCTGGGATGGATACTAGGAAAATCCTCAGGACAAAGGAAAAGAAGCCACGGATGGGAGAAACAGGACAATTTTCTTTTGTATTTCTTAGAACAATCTATAGAATTATACACTTACCTATTAGAATGATACACTATTATGACCTATCTAACGTTTATGGAAAAATATTAAGCTTTAAAAACATTTTATTTACAATGTACCATTATAAAAAAACCCAAATAATTAACTTATAGATACCAGAAGCCGAAGCCAATTCAGAAAATTAGCTTATCCTGGTTTGCTTGATACAATTTTATATAAGAAATGTTTTATTAATTTTTTTTAAAAACCCGGGGCTTGTTAAAAGAGATCAAAGTAGTCTTCTACTTTACTGTGTCAAACTCTCAAAACAAAAAAAATTTTTTAAAACTATTCAATAATGGAGTACCTACAAAGTTATGAGTTCCAGGGTAAAAATTAATATGATAAAGTCCCTTCCTTCAAAGTACTGAAACAAAACTATACCCAAGAAATCTATCAGAACCCAAAGGGAATTTTTTTCTTCCTGCAGCTCGCAAAAATATGTTCAAATATTAGCAATTTCATTTGATTCACCTTAAACACTCATGCACACACTCACATGCATGCACGTGGACATAATCTGTCCCTTTTTTGCAGGGGAAGAGGACGTTGGGTAGGAAAAGAGGCATCTAGAGAAAACATCAATCATACAGATGTTTGTATTTTATATAAAGGTTGTCTATTTTAACTAAATCCTGGAGGATGAGTTGCATTTAACAAGAGCTAAACAGTTCTCACACATATTTTATTTTCAGGGAAATAGAATACAAAATCTTTCAAGGTCTTACATAGAACAAACAACACCCTTTAGGACTTGTTTAATGTTAGTGATTTATTGCTTTAAATAAATGTATCTTTGATAGCTGCAAACATGATAATTGTCATTGCTTGCAAGTAAACTGGTATTCAAATAAATGCTACTCCCTGTAGCAATTATATTGACAAGCACTTTTTTTTTTTTAAAGATGGCTTTTTATTTATTTGTAGGAATCATTATGGCTGCTGCTTTCTAGAGATTCTGGGAAAGAGGGTTTCTCAGCTATCAACTGAAAGTCTTAAATTTCCAAGAATGACAGACATGTATTTTAATAATCAGCATTTTCTTCACAACTATTTTAAAATGAACAGATTCAAAAAAGATATATTAGATTACAAAATGGTAACTTCCAAATCAATCTATTCATAGGCAACGTTTCACCAATTTTTTTTTTTAAAGCACCTATGAGTAAAGATTCTGAATTGAAATGGTAAACTGAACACACTTCCAATTTACTTCTTTAAAACTACAGGGGATTAAAAAGAAAGAAATTGGCAAGGGCAAAGAATGAGAACGTGAAATGCAATTTTGGACACTGGAAATCAGCTGAACATGTGGTATTGGACCCAAGAAAGTGAACAGGGAATTGGAGAGTGAAACCCGTTTTTAGAAATTGTAAATCAGATCAACACGCGATATCAGAAACAGGAAAAGTACAAACCTAAGTCTTCAGGGGGTGAAACAGAACCATTCCACTCAGGCCACTCCCCTGCTTCCATCAGCCCAGCCTCTACTTTACTCTTCTTCACTGCACTCACTGCCTGCAATAGGTTTATTTGTTCACTTGCTGATCACGCGTCTCCCCTAATAGACTGCAACAGAACAAGGACTTTTGCCCTTGTTCAGCACTGAGTGAGTTGCCAGGACTTAGAAAACTGCTTGGTACATAGAAGGTGCTCACCCACATTAGCTGAATGAATAAATAATAATTACCATACAATATTCATCTATAAAGAGTTAGCAATTCCCATAAATTACTTCAATTAAATGTTGAATGTCTAATCTAAGGTTTTGGTTTTTTTTTGCCTTTAATTTCCTAGAATATGTATATAGCTGAAATGGTGAAAGTTTTTCCTCATACATGTTTGTGTCACTCAAACTCATGTAACAAGCCACTCCACACCATCCTTTATCAATTCCAACAGATTCAGTTCATTTAATTGCCCTTCAAATATGTATTGGCCCAAGAGTTGGGGGAGTGGTACAACAGACAAGCAAGGCTCAGGCAAGGGTGGCTATGGACCCTGGAAATCTCGTGGAAGGATGACTCTCAACGGAAGTTGCTCTCATTTCCAGTGTTCGAAGAAACAAGGCAGAGTCTGGGAGGCATACTCAAATCCAAAACAATTACTACACAACCAACTCTTGCTATGATGGAAAGGTGGATATAAAGCTACTTAAATTTTTAACCTCTGGGTACACTTAAAGTCATTGCAGCACAATTCATAACAGCAAAGACATGGAATCAACCTAAATTCCCATCAATGATAGAATGGATAAAGAAAATGTGGTAAATATACACCATGGAATACAATACAGCCATAAAAAGAACAAGATCATGTCCTTTGCAGGGACATGGATGGAGTTGGAGGCCATTATCCTTAGCAAACTAACAGAGGAACAGAAAACCAAATACTACATGTTTTTACCTGTAAGTGGGAGCTAAATGATGAGAACACATGAACACACAGAGGGGAACAACACACACTGGGGCCTTTCGGAAGGTTAGAGGGTGGGAGGAGGTGGAAGTTCAGGAAAAATTACCAATGGGTACTGTGGGCAGCAAGCCACCCAGGTGCCGAGGCAAGAGACCGAGGACATGAGCTGTTCCAGTATAATAAAATATAAAACAAGAATAGTTATACTAGATCTAGGTTATAGACATGATTATATATAAAATCATTAATCATTAGTTAGTAGTACTTACTCTTTATTCCAATATTATAATAATCCTCGTTCTATAATCATAACCTAGGAAAAACCAGGCCATACAGAGATAGGAGCTGAGGGGACATAGTGAGGAGTGACCAGAAGACAAGAGTGCGAGCCTTCTGTTACGCCCAGACAGGGCCACCAGAGGGCTCCTTGGTCTAGCAGTAACGTCAGCATCTGGGAAGATGCCCGTTGCCAGGCGGACCATGGTCTAGCGGTAGCCTCAGTGTCATGGAAAAACACCGGCTACTTAGCAGACCGGGAAAGGGAGTCTCCCTTCCCCAGGGGGAGTTTAGAGAAGACTCTGCTCCTCCACCTCTTGTGGAGGGCCTGACATTAGTCAGGCTCGCCCGCAGTTATCCGGAGGCCTAACCATCTCCCTGTGATCCTGTGCTTCAGTGGTCACGCTCCTAGTCCGTCTTCATGTTCCATCCTGTACACCTGGCTCTGCCTTCTAGATCGCAGCAGTAAATTAGTGAAAGTACTAAAAGTCTCTGATATGCAGAAATAATGGCATTAGCTGTCTTTCTCTTTGTCTCCTCTCTCTCTCTGCCTCGGCTGCTAGGCAGGGAAGGGCCCCCTGTCCAGTGGACACGTGACCCAAGTGGCCTTACCTATCATTGGAGATGACTCACACTCCTTATCCTGCCCCTTTGTTTTGTATCCAATAAATACCAGTGCAGCCTGGCATTCGGGGCCACTACCGGTTTCCGCAACTTGGTGGTAGTGGTCCCCGGGCCTAAATGCCTTTTCTTTTATCTCTTTGTCTTGTGTCTTTATTTCTACACTCTCTCGTCTCTGCACATGGGGAGAGACCCACCGACCCTGTGGGGCTGGTCCCTACAGGGTACTAGGCTTAAAACCTGGGTGATGAAATAATCTATACAACAAACCCCCATGACACAGGTTTTCCTATGTAACAGACCTGCACTTGTACTCCTGAACATAAAATAAAAATTAAAAAAAAAAAAGGACAAAAACAGCAAAAGAAAGACAGAAAAAAAGTCTCAACCATCACACAGCCTATATGCCACTAACCTGACATTTTGCTGTCTCCTTCCACCCACTTGCGTCTTCACACAAAACCAGAGTAGAAGCAAATCACTGTGACAATTTTACCAACTGCCTTTATGTTTACATACAGAAAACATGAGCTTAATAAAAACAGTGCTCACGAGAAAATTAATAGAAGTAATACTGCTTGAAAGGCTCATTTTAACTTTTTTTTTTTTTGTCATAAACTAAGCTTAAGAAAGGGTTTATGTGGAAAGGGTTTACTAAGAAGTTTCATTCACATTATTATTTGTAGACTCCTGAAGGTAAGACTGAGTAAACCTGATTTTTTCCAATTTTTGTCCAACAAATACTACTGTTTATACAAAGGAAATTAATAAATTAATGAGTTTTTAAAGCCTACTAGTCTTGGGCTCTATTTCATCAGACAATTTTGCCACTAAATCTTTTTAATTGCTCGTAGATTCATTTTCCTGTTCAAGCTTACCAATGTCATCATCTGTCCGGTCAATTGGGTCCTTCTCTAGGCAGTCTCTCACAATGTCCCTGCTCATCAGAGGATCTGATGCTCTCTCAATGTCTTCTTCATCGTCGTCGTCTTCGGAATCCACTGCTGTTTCTGGCAACCCACTCAGGTCCATATCACCAGCCTCGCTTTCTGTGGCCTTAAGACACACACACAAAAATTAAAAACTATTTTAAGTAAATAAATCTTTGGGGCCCAAAGAAACAAGAGCAAGCCTCATTCAAAATAATGCTTGTTATATTTATTTTTCCATCCAACAACTATGTATGCACCAGAAACTACATGTAACAATTACTTTAACAAAATATGAGTGATTCCACCTCCTATTAAATTTTTGGTCAGGAATAACGACTTTATCTCAGTAATTTTGATTTCTTATCCTAGCTGTCATATGGCATTTGAAACATAGTAGAATAAAGAAGAAAAAGTATTTGTTTTCACTCCATTCTTCAAAGAGAATGGCTTAGGCTAACAGCTTAAGGGTGACAATTCTGAGCAATTCCTTTTGCAGAATAGGTGTGAATTTATTAATGCCAAGAAGCCTGGACCATTTTACCCCAATTAGACAGTCCTTATGGAAAAATGAGCCACAAATCAAAGGTAACTTGATAAATATGCAAACGAAACATTAACAATTAGTTGGATTATCCCAATGACCACTGTTAAACTATAAATCGAGAAACACTATAGGAGACCATACGCGTAAAGGCAACATACTCTTTCTTCCCATTCATCAACACAGGTAATCACATCACTAAACTTCAAGTTATCAAGATACCTGCAAATTTTCTAAGTCACTGGAGTCACACATTTCAAGATGGCCTCTTTTGTTGAACTAGCTCAATCCTAGAACAGTTATCCTTTCTAGGTCACCATGTAGCCTTTTGTGACTATCATCTCAGCAATATGTATGTATATATCATACAGATCTTATTTGACATTATATACCTAGACTTCAATTATCACTTAAGCATAGTAAAAATGAATTCAATTAAATATTAACTACATCAATCTTGAACAGAAGTGTTTTTCCAAATGAAATATTAAAATCTTGAAAACATCTTATACAATTATTAATTTTGTAGAAAACGTATATTACAAAGTTCAACTTCAAATCATAGCCCATACGATTCTCAAAGATAATAAATACCTTTTTTAAGAAAAAAATATTTTTTAAAAGAAAGATAAAAATATAAAATACTGACTTTGATAATAATAATAAGGTAACACTAAATACTTACAATGTGTCAGGTACTGCTCTAATTGCTATGTATTTATTAACTCATCTAATCCTTAAAACAACCCTATAAAGTAAAAGCCATTATTAACTTTTATTATTCTCTTAACACTTAGGTGAAGAGAAATAATTTTTCCAAGGTCATGCTGCTGATAAACTGTGGAATCAAGACTACAACCCAGGAATTCTGGCTTCAGAGTCTTAATCGCAATCTAATCTGTCTCTTTTTAAACATTCACTGAATATGAATGTGGCTTATATAAGGATCTATCCTTTTCCTATAATTTAATATTTACAGAATAAATTGTGCTATTTTCTTTTTCTTTCTTTCTTTTTGTTTTTTTTGAGACAGAGTCTTGCTCTGTTGCCCAGGCTGGAGTGCAATGGCACGATCTCGGCTCACTGCAACCTCTGCCTCCCAGGTTCATGCGATTCTCATGCCTCAGCCTCCCGAGTAGCTGGGACTACAGGTGTGCACCACCACACCCAGCTAATTTTTGTACTCTTAGTAGAGACGGGATTTCATCATGTTGGCTTGGCCAGTCTTGAACTCCTGGCCTCAAGTGATCTGCCCACCTCAGCCTACCAAAGTGCTGTGATTACAGGCATGAGCCACCACGCCCAGCCTGTGCTATTTTCTTATAAACAAAGTTTCAGCTTTGTAAAGTCCCGGTTCATATCACAGAACATAAGATTTAATCCTACATTTTGAAATAATACAAGCATGTGTTAACAATGAGTTTTATCACATTTTCTGCTCTTTAGGTACAATTTCCTGAACTAAAATGCATATATTATTTAAAAAAGAAACTTAAGGGGAAAATAATTGAAGACAGAAAACCTAATGTTTATGAAAGTTCAATGGCCTGGTCATTATAAGCAGAGATACTGCAGGCAGGAGAGTAATAAGCCACTGCAGCCCATACAGACAGAACTGTGACACACTCAGAAACACATCTCATAATTTAAACTCAAAATTAACTGAATCATTGCTAGATTTAAGAAGGAAACTGAAGTAGAACTTGATGTGATATAGTATGCCAAGGTTGTGGTTAGAGAAAATAGGTCAACATTGTTATCAGCACCTGACCCTGAAGTCTAGAAATACAATTTGCTAATGCTTGCTATGATCACATTTTTACCTCAGTTTCATCTTCACATTGAAGACTATTTATTACTCATCACCTTATATTTTCAAAAATATTATCAGTTCTCTATATAAACATTCTTTAATATTAGCATAGAGTGAAGAAAGGACACTACCAAAGACAGAAATTTTAAAAATATTTTCAATAATTTATATAGCTAATGGTTTTTCTTTAATTTTAAAACATCTAATGTATGCAAAAAGATGGAATATATTTTATACCATCCCAAAGAAATAATTATCGTTTAAATTATTTATATTTAAGGCTTAAGCAGAACATAAAGACTTTCAACTGTCAACTGGATTTATCTCTCCCAAACTGAACCTTCCACTTTATTTAAAAGATCACAGTTGCTTGCTATCTCTATGTGCATTCCATGCTTTAAGAAACAAACTATTCATAAAATAACATTTACTAAACCAAAAATTTAGAGATTATTATTTAGAATAAATAACCATTTTACCTTAAAATACTACAGATTCTCTAAATCATACTCTTTAAAAGAACGTGATAAACAACTTTTCAGGGACCTACTAATTTCATAATACCACTGCCTTGTGGACAAGATGTTTAGAGATTAAGTGGAGTTAAAAGTTTAAGGAACACAAACTGGTCTCCAGGAGGAGTACTAAACTTAAGAAGAGTACCTAGAATGTAGTATTTACTGTGTGAACAAACTCAGTTTTGTGGCTCCAAATCTCACCTCTACTATTCATGATGTGATTTTAGCAAAGTCACTTAACCTCCACAAGCCCATCTTATCATCGATGTAAACTGTAGATACAACTTCTTACTATTCATAGGACTGCTTTTGGATCAAATAAGGGAGAAAGCAAGCCAGTCTCAAGCTAGATCAAAAGTCCCTTCCTCAAGGGGATACTTTCTTCATCTTAGAACTTGTACACCTTCTACCTCTCCCCATAGCAGCAATGAACGCTGCACGCAATTTATATTTGTGGAATTTGACCAAAAAACCCCACAAAATTCTGTTAAACACCACACTCTCCTTATATATTTGTAAAATAGTATCTTAGACTAACTGCACAAATACATTCTGGTCAACTGGTTCATACACCAATTATAAAAATAGTGATCCTATATTGAATGACTATCATATGTGTCTAGCACTAAAGTTGATGTTTTAAAACATAATAATCTTCATATCAATTCAGCAAGTTAGTATTACTAACCCTAGTTTACAGAGGAGAAAATGTCAAGGACATTAAATAAGTTGTTCAATGTAAGCAAAACAAAACACAGTAACTGTGCTAGGACTCAAAATCAGGTGTGACCAACCAAGAAATACTAAGTACTCTGCACTTTGCTCGACATTCTCAATAGTCTTATAAAAAAAAATTGAAATATAATACAGTAATAAAATGTTTTCCACTTTGCTAAGTCATAAAAGATAAAAAGTTTAAATACATATTTGCCTATGAACATAACACTTATTGTTTTCTAGCTTCCTCCAAATAACAACACTACTAAGACTCACGCATGTCTTTAAACCCTTTTTTTCTAAATAAAGACACTAAAACAGACGCTTTATATTTAAAAGCTTATCTGGATATATTTGTTTCAGGAACAAGGAGAAAGGTTTACATAGTTATGTTAGCCAAATAACTCCTGTCTTAAATTAATTTATCTTATACAGGTACTGACTAACATAGATTTTGTTGTCCATTAATATTTAAATAGTGATATTCTTTTAAAAACAATATTCTCAGATCAATGCTGAAAGCTCCACTATTTAAATCAAAAGGGACTAAATACATTCTGCTATTGTGAACACAGTTCTTAAAACCAATTTATTTTACATTTTTTAAAAAAAATCAAGAAAATTCACAAACAAAAAAATTTTTATGCCATAAAGCTCTACTGAAGTATTAATTTAACTAAAATAAAAATCAAATACTGCATGTTTTATCAGTAAGCACTTTAAAATCACTTGCCAAAAAAGTTTTGCTTATTAAAAGCATATATATGCCTAAAAGAGAAGAACAATTTTTTAAAGCTCTTAATGTAAATCGTTAGGTTGCTTCCCCAAAATTACAATCCTACGAGGAGTATATAAAAATGTCTATAAATGCTTATTTTAAGTAAGAAAATCTGTGCTAATTTGATAGGCAGAATAATTTCATATTTAAGTCCTTATATGCTCAATTACTATTATGTTTCAAATACTTAAGGTGTAGACATTTGCATTTTCGTTTCTGTAAGTTACCAACTACTGTCCTTTGAACATTTTAACATTGTGAGCTGAGTATTTTTCTTATTTGTGTAAATCAGTTATATTCTGACTTTAAATCTTCTTATCAATTGATGTTCTAATTACAAAATGTTTTGATCCTTTATTAAAACATTGTTTGCTAACTCTTTAGTTTATCAGGAATTTATTTTAATTATGATACAAAATAAGAATACAAAATGATTCCCCAACCCCAAAGACCATTTATTGAATGATCCATCACTTTCTTTATTGATTTGTGAAGTTTCCTCTATTACATATTACATCCTTACACATGAGTTCAATTTTGCTTGAACTCTCTGTTCTATTGATCTATCTATTTTGTACAACTATTTCCGGTTTGCCTAAGCCACTCGCTCTGATCCTGATGGCCATACCATTTAACCAGGACCTTATCATGGCTGGAAATGGCATTGTCTCGTATTACTAACTTAGGCATTAAAGCTTTCAATCACCAACAACCTTCTATTCTTTCAACCTGCCCCCATCTGCTTCTAAGGTAACCCTTTTTCAACTTAAGAAGGATCTTCACTCAAGACTCTACTACCTTCTGTGTCTAGTGTTCACACCTGTCTTCCTTTCATATCCAGCTTATATTCCCTAGTCTATTATTTCAATTACATTCATTCAACACATCTTTACTGAATGCCTAAAATTTCCTGGCACTGTGCTAGGCTCTAGGGGAAAAAATAGAGACAAGAGAGACAAGTTCCCTGCCTTCTTGAAGGTGTCATTCTTCTAGGCAGAGAGATAACATAAAAATTAATAATTGGTTCAATTGGCGTCTAGGAAGGAAATAAAAAGATTAGGCAGGAAAGGAATCAAAATGGAGGACTTCCTTTACAGAGGATTATAAAGGAACAACTCTGAGGAGATGACACTTGAAAACAAAGGCTGAAAAGGATCAAGCTAGGAGAAAACATTCCAGGCAGAAGGCATACAAAAGCTATGATCTGCAGTTAGAAAACGCTTGCCTTGTTGCTCGACCTGTCTTTGTATTACACTCACTTAACAAACTTCAGTCCTGGGTGAAGTCAAATCCTTGCTTTCTTTGTGCTTACTGTGGAGAAAGCTACTTAACAGAGCAGAGGGAAATCACTTTATATTTGAGGGCACTAACTCAATTGAATCTCCATTTCTCTGGTCAATTTGTTCTCCTACTCTCTGCAACTATTATTTCAAAACTTCTCTCTCCTTAAAACTCTCTACCTGCCAACCCTCTCACTCTCAACAAATGAACTCAACTCTTCCGAGAGAAAACAGAAGTCTAAGACAGGAACTCCCACAACTCCCAAACTCCCCAGGATGTGTTCCTGTTAAAACAGAAGAATGTTTCTTCTCTTAAGGTTAGTAATTAAGAATGACTAAGAATTCACTCATGAATTCCTCTCTTCCCACCATCTCAGCAACATTATTCTATCCATATCTCCCTGGTGTACAGCATCTAAATTCAATCTCTCTGTGTCCATCTTGTGAGCATTTATTCTCACTTCAATGTGACAGGAGACCTCTGAAATCAGAACTGTATGAAGATCAAATAGGCTTCTAGGGGAGAAAGTTGCTCACCCTTGGAATTGTTCAAGAATAAACTGGATGCTTGATTCACAGGAGAGAAGCAGAGGATTCAAATGCAAATTTGGAAGTTGAACCAGATGCATGTCAGACTTCTCATTTTAAGTTCAGATTCAAAGACAACAGAAGTGGTCTACTGAAAATCTCTACTAAATGTTAAGTTTTGCACAGCCAATAACTAGATCCTTAGATACATCTATGGATTTTTCCTTATGATGGATATATACTTACAGGCTATCTGCCTGTCATCAAATTTGAAACAAATAGCTTTGACACTTAAGCAACTGAAATGATGCACAGGGATCCTCTTCTTCATCTACACCCAAAGATAAAGCCAGATAGCAGGCTGTAAGCTCCAACTATGTTAGAGCAATTAGGAACTCTCATCCACACTCTGGTTTCACAGACAATCAGATGATAACCAGGGGCAGAAGTACCATCTGCATTTCCTCATGTACTTATCTAGCCTATTCAAGGTAAAAGCACATATGACTAGAATTCCCCTCAGAATATGCCTCAATCGATTATACAAACAAGTTACTTTTTTGTTTTTTGAGACGGAGTCTTGCTCTGCCCCATAGGCTGGAGTGCAGTGGGGAGATCTTGGATCACTGCTCTGACAACTTCTGGGGCTCAAGAGATTCTCGTGCCTCAGCCTCCCGAGTAGCTGGGACTATAGGCATGCACCACTACACCTGGCTAATTTTTGTATTTTAGTAGAGATGGGGTTTCACCATGTTGGCCAGGCTGGTCTTAGATTCCTGGCCTCAAGTGATCTGCCTGCCTTGGCCCCCCAAAATGCTGGGATTACAGGCATGAGCCACTGCACCTGGTCAAACAAGTTACTTCATTATCTTAATAGATTTACCTTTTAGGAGTTTCATCCAAGTTTGTATTTATTTGATGAGAACAGTGATAATTGTAACCTCAAGCTGTATTCTCACTATAGATTTTCAAGATGTATAATAATAATCTCAAAGTTTAGAGGATGAAGGCTCTGCCATAATATTTCAATTAATATAAACTAAAATACAACTTTTATGTATACTGTTCATTGTTTTACACAAGGGAACTCTTCGATAAATGTTTAGAAAAATCAACTTTCAGAATAAATGGTGTGTTTGTGTGTATGTGATGAGGAGGTAAACTGAGAAAAGTATATAACTAGTATACTATCTCTTTAAAAGAAAATTATTTTTCAAGATCTACTAAATTTAGGACCTAAATGAATATGTCTTGTATTGATGGTATTCTTAATTGTTCACTAACTTTCAATAATTAAAAAAATAAAAACAGCACTGACTAAATACAACAATGATCCTTCATAACTATATTGTCTCTAAAGAAAGTTATTTTTACGGTTATTTCATGCCACAGTTCCTAATAAGCCAAGAGTTATTCTTTGTAAAGTAAGAATAATGTTATTTTGCTTGAAACCATATACAATCCAATAGTAACATAATGTATTTGAAGGCCAAATAAGGATATTTGTGTATATTTCAGTCTCTTTTCCTAAATTTGCACATTCAAAGCTAATAAAATGTTTCTTAACAATTAGAATTATTTTATTTTAAAAACAGTTTTGAATCCCATAGCTCTGGCTTATTTTCTATCCTTCAGTATCATAAAAATTTATTTTAAGCAGATACTAAATCTAATAATTTTTTAAAAACACAAGGAAGCTAATTCAATGATCCAGTCTTATTAGGCCCTTCCTTTTGTCACACTCAGTATGGACTTTAATAAGAAAAACTTGTAATATAAGACAAACCTACAGCTTACTGAACAGGGAAAAGTTGAAAGCATTCCCCATAAGAACTGTAACAAGGATGCCCACTTTCCCACTCCTATTCAAAATAGTATTCTAAGTCCTAGCCAGAGCAATTAGGCAAGAGAATGAAATAAAAGGCACCCAAACTGGAAAAGTGGAAGTGAAATTATCCCTGTTCACTGATGGAATGATCTCATTATATATAGAAACCCCTAAAGACTCCATCAAAAAATTGTTAGATTTGATAAAAGAATTCAGGGAAGTTTCAGAATGCAAAATCAATATGCACAAATCAGTAGCATTTCTATACAACAATAACAATCTAGCTGAGAACAAAATCAAGAAAGCAATCTCATTTGCAATAGCTACAGAAAAAACAAAATACCTAGAATATATTCGACCAAGGAGGTGAAAGAGCTTTACAAGGAAAACTATAATAAACACTGATGAAAGAAATTGTAGATGACACAAACAATGAGAAAACATCCCATGCTCATGGATTGAAAGAATTAATATCATTAAAATGACCATACTGCCTAAAGCAATATACAGATTGAATGTAATTCCTATCAAAATCCCAGCATCATTTTTCACAGAATTAGAAAAAAAAAATCCTAAAGTTCATACGTAATCACAAAAGAGCCTGAATAGTGAAAGCAATCTTGAGCAGAAAGAACAAATTATACTACAAGGTTATAATAACTAAAACAGCATGATACTGGTATTAAAATAGGTACATAGATCAATGGAACAAAATAAAGAACCCAGAAATAAAGTCACGTATTTACAGCCAACCGATCTTTGACAAAGCCAAGAAGAACATATACTGGGGAAAAGCCACCCTTTTCGATAAATGGTGCTGGGAAAATTGGATTACCATATAATGAAACTGGACCCCTATCTTTCAGCATAAATAAAAATCGACTCAAAACAGATTGAAGACTTAAGACCCAAAGCTATAAAAATATTAGAAGACAATCTAGGGAAAATTCTTTTGGACACTGGTCTACGCAAATAATTCAGGAGTAAGACCTCAAAAGCACAGGCAACAAAAACAGACAAATGGGACTTAATAAAACTAAAAACCTTCTGCACAGTAGAAGAAATAATCAACAGAGTGAACACATAATCGGTATAATGGGAGAAATATTTGCTAACTATGCATCCTACTGGGGACTCATATCCAGAAGCTCAAACAACTGAATAACAACAACAGCAAAAAATTTAATCCCATTAAAAAGTGGGGAAAGGACATGAATAGACATTTTCAAAAGAAAACATACAAATAGCCAACAGACATATGAAAAAATGCTTAATATCACTGATCATCAGAGAAACGCCAATTAAAACCACAATGAGATACTATCTTTCACCAGTCAGAATGGCTGTCATGAAAAAGACAAAAATAGTAACAGATGGTGAGGATGTGGAGATAAGAGAACACTTATATGCAGCTGGTGGGAATGTAAACTAGTACAATCTCTTGATGAAAAACAGTATGGAGATTTCTCCAAGAACTAAAAATAGAACTACGATTCAATCTACCAATCTCATGACTGAGTATCTACCCAAAGGAAAATAAATCATTGTATCAAAAAGATACCTGCACCTGTATGTTTATTGCAGCACTATTCACAATAGCAAAGATATAGAATCAACCAAAGTGTTCATCAATGGATGACAGAATAAAGTACAGTACATATATGCAATGAAATACTATTCAGCCATAAAAAATGAAATCATGTCTTTTGCAGCAATATGGATGGAAGTGGAGGCCACTATCTTGATTGAAATAATTCAGACACAGACAGACAAATACCACGTTTTCAGTCACAAGTGGGAGCTAAATAATGTTTACACATGGATGCAGAGTGTGGAATGATAAGCAGTGGAGACTCAGCACATGCGGGAGTAGGGGGTGCATAATGAGAAATTACTTAACGGGCACCATGTAGGTTATTGGGGTGATGTATAACCTGAAAGCCCTGACTTCACCACTATGCAATCTATCCATGCAACAAAATTACACTTTTACCCCACAAATTTATACAAATAAAAAAAGGAACACTTTGATAACTCGTCATAGCAGAGGCAGTATAATCAGACAGCAGTTCTACACCCTAAAAATAACATATACGAAATAAACATTAATATTTTATGTACTTACATGCACATGTAATATACACATATATTTATTTTATAGATTCTATCAGCTGAGAACCTTAAAATTTCTTGGAATAAATGAAAATGAAGCAAATGACAAGGAAAACATCCTCTTACCTGGTAGATATCAGAAAGACTGCTGCTCCCAGAATCACTAGTGATACTACATCCTGAATGGCTAGAAGAAACGTGGGTCACCTGTGGGTGGAGACTGTCAGTAAGATGCAGTTTTGTGAAATCTGCAGGAAGCTATGGAAGGAGCAGGAAAAACTAGGATTACAATCTGAATCAAGAACTCCAAGAAGACATTTTAAAATTAAAATATCATATTTTATTCTATACCATTGAACTAAAAATGGTATTCATTTTCCACATTCACAAATTACTAAATATTGTCTTATTTACCCAAAATCACATATAATAATTTTTAAAGTGTATGAGCACACATGAGCCTTAAATAACACTAAATTCAATGTCTTAAATAGGTGGGTTTGGTTATTAAGATAAACTTGGGTATTTAATTTAGTAAGCTAAAATTTTCCAATCACACGTCAATGAGCAAATTAGGCTACAGTACTATTTATTAGCCATCACAAATGTAACTTTGTGGCAAAAAGCAGTTTAAACAAGAAAACACATTTAAGCTACGTTTATACCCAAATAATGTTTAAAGGTTAAAAAAGAGAGCATCTTAGAATTGATGAAGTATATTGCCATATAAGCAACTGTACTAGGCTCTACAAAGAAAGAGAAAAGAATGCCATCAAAGATCTTAGAATTGAGAAAGTTATGGACAACACTTACCTATCCTCATATACATAAATATCAACTTTCTACATGTTCATGTTTAAATAAAAATAGTCTCTATTAAAATAAACACATTCACTAAGTATCCCTTACGTGTTCTGCCACCCCTTATATACCAGAGAAAATGCATTAGAAAAAAAAAAACCGCTTATTTGACAAATATTTACCGAGCCCCTTTTCTCTTATTATGCCCTCGTCAAGTGAGAATCTAAGAAAACAGATGTAAGGTTCTTAAGAATCTTAGACTCTTATCAGTTATTACCAATTCTTTTGAATAAAAAAAGACATTATATTTGTCTATAATATCACACATTATACTATTGAGCTAATAATGAAACAGCATTTCAAAATACATGTTAACTAGCATCATGAAATACTGATAACACTCCCTTTTTCCTGCATATTGATCCTATTTAGCTGGCAAATAGTTATAAATATAAGGACTAATTGTTAAAACTTAAATAAACGTTAACCTTAGTAGTATTCCCGTCCACCTTTTGAGGCTCATTCCCTCCCCCTCCAAAATGTTACTGCATAGTTTAGAGTAAGCCTCACAAGGGAGACAGTTTGGATTTACGACAATGATCAATGGATTTTGATACTTCGGAGCTCCAAGTAGGCAAAATGTATTTATATCCCTTAATAATTCAGA
Source organism: Homo sapiens (assembly GCF_000001405.40). Lineage (NCBI taxonomy): Eukaryota > Metazoa > Chordata > Mammalia > Primates > Hominidae > Homo > Homo sapiens. The sequence continues at coordinate 159,303,131 of NC_000004.12, read as the reverse complement.
CCTACTGTCTGAATAGATTACACCCCTCTCTACCTTAAGTGAATTATATTTAACAATATTTACATACAATCTGTTTAGAAATAATAACTTTATTGGATACAAGGCATACAAAGGGGAGATTTAAACATAAACTTAATAGGGGCATATAATTAGATGCCAAATAAATGGAGAAAAATTCATTTGTTGAGGGAGCTTGGAGAAGTGAAATAATCGCAAACCTATCTTACCAACAGTGTTTTTAAAGAAACTGGTAATTGAAGATGTTGTAAAATACATACGTAACTAACCTGCATAATGTGCACATGTACCCTAAAACTTACAGTATAATAATAAAAAAAATAAAAAATAAAAAGTAAAAAAAATAAAAAAATATGTAATATTTAGGAGAATAACAACTTATCTGTAAGGGATAGGCAAATACCTCTAAATTCAGAATTTATGTTTCATTCATAATGTAGAATAGTGAAATATTTGCAGGACTTCTTCAGGAACAATTCAAAGATAGAAGTTTGCAGATATGTATTAATGACTATAATTTTACACATAGCTAAATGGTGATCAGATATGAAAATAAATAATAGGCAGGATAGATACCCTTCATCGTCTTAGCTACACTTCCATTTAATTAAGTCACTGCAGAAGGCAACTGGGGAAACATTACTCTATGGCTTAGAGATGTTAAAAGGCATCAATCAATACATGTAATTAGAGAACAATAAACTGATTTCTATTGATTATCTTTTACAGACATGACTCAGGTTGACATGCAACATAGTGTGATTTTTTAAAAAAATTAACGTGTCAAATGAAGATAAAACTATCTAATGAATTTTTATATTTTATTTATTCAGGTCTCACAGAACTCTCTTCTCTTCAGAATCCATCATCTTCCCTGACTAAGAATTCACTGTATGGAGAGCACTAGGAGTTGTAAGAGCTCCAAGCCTAACATAAGAGACATTCATCCAGCTTTTAGATACCACAATCTATTCATCTGTGCCTACTTACAGCCAAATATCAGAATTACATGGAAATGTTAGGCTCAGAACCATAAAGACTGTCAAAAGAGAAAGAAATATCGTTGCTTTTAAAAATTCAATTATATTTAATAAATACTTATTGAGTATCTGCCATGTCATACACTCTGCTAGTGGCAGAGAGTATCAAGATAAGTAAGACATTCCTAACTCCAAACCTCTACTACCTCCAAATTCACTGTGATAGGTGTTACAAACAATAGAAAATACAAGATTTTTTTTTATTTTTTATTTTAAAGACAGGGTCTTCCTTAACTGCCCAGGCTAGAGTGTAGAGACACAATCATAGCTCACTGTAGCCTTAAACTCCTGGGCTGAAGTGATCCTTCCACCTCAGCCTCCTGAGTAGTTGGAACCACAGGCACATGCCACCATGTCTAGCTAATTTTAAAATTTTTTGTAGATAATAAAAGGGTCTCTCTATGTTGCCCAGGTTGGTCTCAAACTTCTGGCCTTAAGTAATCCTCCCTCCTCAGAGTGCTGGGATTACAAGTGTGAGCCACTGCAAACACTGTTTTTATCCCTTTCTCCGCACTATCTGTGTTCTTTGCAGAATGGCATGAAATAATGATATATTAAAGTAAATGCATATATAAATTAGCATTGATTAAATGCCTTTTAATATGAGATATGTAAGAATAGATGCCATGTTCAAAAAAACCTTAAAATCTTTTCCCACCAATTAGGATAACAATACTATTATTAATTTTTTCTTTTTGGAGACAGAATCTTGCTCTGTCACCTCGCCCCGGGTGGGGTGTGGGTGGCACAATCTCAGCTCACTGCAACTTCCACCCTTCCGGATTTAAGCGATTCTCCTGCCTCAGCCTCCCAAAGAGCTGGGATTACAGGCGCCCACGACCCCGGCTAATTTTTCTTTTTTAAGCAGATACAGGCTTTCACCATGTTGGCCAAGCTGGTCTCAAACTGCTGGCCTCAAGTGATCCACCCGCCTTGGCCTCCTAAAGTGCTGGGATTACAGGCATGAGCCACCACATCTGGCATTATTATTAAATTTTATTGACAATACACATCAGTCAAGTTATGGAATGGGAGATGTTATAAAAGGTGTTCCCATAAGGAAAGAAACTGAAATGCATTGATTTGACTCTGCCATGACACTCTAATGAAATAGAGGCCTGAGCCCATGCCTAGGAAAAATGGAGTTTCTAGGAGGCAAACAAACCATGTAGGGGTTGAGAGTCAGGAGGCAGACACAGGGGCAGATGCCCACATTTAAACCCAAGGCCATCAGGGAAACACAGATCTGAGAAATATATACAAGGCACAACGTGACAGCAAGCATCCCTTACTCTAAACTTTTTTCTAAGCTTGACCCAGTCCCAATTTAAATTACTATGTATAGTACGCTATTTAATTAAATTACAGATTAAATTGAGGTTGTGAATTATCTTGCGACTGTAGCCACCATTTATAACAGAAATTCTGTTCAAAAAATAAAATTTATAAAGCTAGAAATATACAGTAATTACCTGAATAAAATCAATAATTAAGTTAATTAAATGAAAAAGTAACACATTTTATGTATTTTTAATACCAATGTATTTCCCAACAATTCATTAAGAACACAATTCCAAGGAATCTTTTCACCTATATTTTTCATTTTTATCACTTAAATATTTATTTTAATATTCGATTATATAAATATATTACTGCTCAATTTTTTGTTCCTGGAGCAAGCAACCTATAGTCCTAAAAAACACCACCTGTGAATGACAATTTTAATAAACTACTCTTAGGCAAATGGTTGAATCATAGTTTAACCACAAACACTGCTAAATATATAAGAAACAAGGGTAATATTTAAATCAGATTCTTAAATCAGACTTAAATCAGATTATATTAATTATATATTGTTTAAATCAGATTATATTAATTTTAGGTTTATGCATATATAAAGTAATACTTACATAAAGTATATTAGTATTAAAGTATATAAAGTAATACTTTATAAGTATTACTTTACACTTTTAATACTTTATAATATTAATAAAGGATACTATATTTTCATTCAGCATTCATCCATCATTTATTGAAAGCCTGTGTTGTGTGGACTGAATAAATAAATGGGTGTGAAGGACTTAGAGAAGTGCCTGGCACACAGGAAGTAATACTTTATATAAGCATAAACCTAAAACTAATTGTAGTTTCATAAAACCTTGGTATCATTTGTATAATAGCTTTTTTTTTTATTATGTAGGACAAACAGATGCTACCATAATTAGCTTTGTAAAAGTAAATTCTACACATTATTTAAGTCTCTATAATATATAAATAGGAATTTGATAATCACTGATTAATCTAATGGTTGGCATTTATAAAATTACTAGCTAATAAATGAACTCGATCTTGAACATAAAGATGAGTATGGATGCCTTGAAGTCTCTGATACCAATAAGTAAATACTCATAAGTAAATAAGTAATAATAAGTTAAAAAAAAAGTTAAATTGGTAAAATACCTAAAATTGGTGACAGTGCAGTACAAACAAGGGTGGCTGCCCTTCTTCTTCCTTTCCGTCCTGAATTACTAATTATTGATATAGCGCAGCATCTGTGGTACCAGATCCCCAAGTTTTAGGGATGAGTTTTGTGGAATTTTATTATCAACAGAGGCTTATTCTCTCTGTCTTTTTTTTTTTTTTAATGTAAAAGAGAGTTTCATGGTCCAAGATACATATCATCATCATCTTAGGACTGCTGAGAAATCCAATAGTTAAAAACAAAAAAATACTGTCTATTGACTGAAATGTATTTAACTGATAATTTCCCAAACTAATCTTGGAACCACTTTAAGTAACAGTTATAACAGAATGCACAAGGTTTGGGGTGATGATCACTGGAATCTAGTCAATTTTCCCAGGCATCTTACCTTGAATAAATCTACTTAAAGTAAAATAAATATCACACTTAGTGACTAAAACTAACTTCATATTAAGATGCATCACTCAGAATTTACCCAAATGAACACTGCTTTCCCCATATCATTGTCAGGGTTTTGAGTCTTTATGTTCACGTTTTTAATCTCTACAAGGTGGAGTAAGTATATTCCTAGACATATTTTCTATTTTTCTCTGAGGTATTTGTAAAAAATAAAGGATACTATATTTTCATTCAGCATTCATCCATCATTTATTGAAAGCCTGTGTTGTGAGGACTGAATAAATAAATGGGTGTGAAGGACTTAGAGAAGTGCCTGGCACACAGAAATGACTAAAGTGTTAAGTACAGATCATCACGGACCAGACTCTGCAAGGCGCAGGTCCCTTCCAGCTTCATGATTCCTGTAGCTGGAATCTAAGCCTAGATGCCAATGGATTATTGAGCTATTCCCAGAAAGGGCTTTCGTGGCCAAACTCACCCAGCTATAGACACGATCTTTCACTCCCTCTGGAACTCAAGTTATTTTAAAAGCCATTCATATTGTTTCTCTTTCTCTAGGCATGCACATACATACACACCCACACTGTCTTCCTTTTTCTTTCCTTTCTGCTATTAATCATTTCAGGTACTACTAGTTCTGACACTCTGACTTGTTTCTACATGCAGCTTGATGAGGCAGGAAATTTTTTAGTAGCTCATTTTAAAGACCAGTTTATAATCTGATCATCTTTTATTTCTTTAAATCCTATCTCTGTAAGAACACAAGAAAAAGTAAACATTTGGACTTTTAAATATTATTCACCACAGTAATTTTGGCTCCTTTCATAACCCCTTTATATATACCCTAGATACAACACCCATCCTTGAAGTCTTCATATATCAGATCAGTATTCCACAAAGCAAAGAGAAAGATTTTTGTAAAATATAAAATTTATTTTGCTAATAAATATATATAATGTCAGGAAACAAAAGTTTTCTAAATGTGTCATGAGTTAATAACTTAATAAACTGATAAGATAAGGCCTAATGTTTTTCTGATTAAACTACAGGTAGACTTTTTAAGGTGTTGATGTAACTATGCTTTATAAGAATAGGTCTGCAAAAATTTATTTGCTTTTATCTACTGGAGAAAACTGCCAAAATTAACAATTTGTAATTACTTAACATTCTTCCAGCTTCTTACCAGGCTCAGAAGACAGAAGCCTCATGTTAGCCATATACGGATTAATCTTCTGTTCAACTACCTCCTAAGTCAAGTGAACCTGGGCAAGTTAGTTAACTTCTGTGTACCTCAGTTTCTTCTATGAAATGGCTATAACATAATAGAGTGATCAAATGAAATAATCACTGTGGTCCAAATAATCTACCTTACATATGCCTCTCTATTCCTTCTCATTTCTTCTGTCATTTTTCCAGACAACATCCTCCACCACCTTAGGCCAGATATTTTTCAAATTCGGTGGAAACGAAGAAGCCAACCAAAGAAACAACTTGTTTTGACACTGTCATACCTAAAACTACCATTATGGTAGTTCACTTACTATATATTTCCCCAAAAGTCTACATATTACCTTTTAAATAAATCATGTATTTATATGGAGAGGAACTCACTGCTTAGAATACCATAATACATTTTGCAAACTAAATAACTTCATTTTCATGATATGCTTATAGTTCAATTACTCTCTTTTATAATAAAATATTCAAATTTCTGTAGTTTAGAATTCTCTCAAAGTGATAACAACTTGCGTAGTTTTGTGCATTTATGTGTATTGCCTTATTATATTTGACTGCAAAAGCCTCGAAAATAATATGCATTTGGCACAGACATATGCTACAAACTAAGTATGGTAAAACCACAAAGCTTTGCTCCTGCCATACGGAGCACACTGCCTCTCAGAGGACAGTCTGAACAGAAACACCACTGTGTTGTGTGTTTTTTTGGGGGTTGGGGGAAGGGATGCATTTCAAACGTTCCTTGCTACTTTCCTATATTATGATAATGTTTTAGAGTTGTAACAGAGAGGGCTTGATAAGATGTGGCTTATATAATGAGTATTTCACATGGCTTGCTGTCCAAATATATATCTTTATGTGGTGGAATTAGCTACTGAAATATGGTACCCTAGCCCTCTCCCAAGGCAGAAAGGAATTAATTCTTGCGTGTATGAAATGGGGACAATTTAAATACACTTGGGACCCCGATGAGGAAAATAAATAATCAATATTAGTGAACTGGTTGAAAACTGGCTGTCTGTCACAAGGTGACTAATGTTTCAAAGCAAATACTTTTAGGAGGGTTTTTCCATTGAATGTTCAAAGAAAGCATTGAGTAGAAAGGAAACCTACATGAACTTCACTTGAAAATGGAAGAGAGGAATACGTCAATGTGATGAGAAACTGCATGATCTAAGTACCATGTATTTCAAAATGTGAGGCTTTGCCCCATTTTTCCAAAGATAACAAAATTAGATCACCTGTACACCAGTTACTATGTGACAGGCCCTACTCTAAGTACTTGCATACATTAGCTTACTTAATTTTTACAACACTCTTAAAAAATAGGTATTAGTAGGACTATTTTATGTAGGAGGAAACCTCAGATGCAGAAAAGTGATTTGCATCAAGATCACACAGCGAAAAGGTGATGGAAACAGATTCCAGCCCCAGATGAACGGCTAGGGAGCACACACTTAAGCATTAAACTTAAATATATTTATTAATTTACTAATTGACCTGAAAATTCTCATGGATATTGATGGAACAATCAAATGGCTATTTAGATCAAATTACTAGTGAAATACAAATTTCAAAATCACATGAAAAATATTAATTGTAAATAATTTCTCACTCATGAAACTTTAATCTGCATCTCCAACATCAATGACTTTGACATTTGCAAAGCTGACTCACTTTTTGAGTCATCCAATTGAGTTTACATTCCTTCTAATTTGTTTAAGGTAGTGATGTGTCTATAAATGACACAGTGCTGTATAACATTCAGGAAGCTGATTTTTCATTTTTCTTGCAAGTTCTTTACAACAACCATCATTTACTTTTTGCTTTATAAATTAATCTTTACAAGGTTTATGGTAATATCCAGTAATTGCAATTCTGAGATCACATATTCAGGCCTCGTTATTAAATCTATGTAAAACTTCTTTAACTCCCTTATACCAATTCCATCATGTGAATTATAAACATTCCAAGCTAAGATCGCTTGGGGTCATTTCTGATTAATTTTCCTTATGGAAAAATACATCCTTCTTTAAAAACAATAAACTAAATTGAGAGAGAACTTCATTATATAAAAGATTAAGGTGGCTTATTTTCTGATAGTTGATTTTGGTGGAAACAAAACCTTGTCTTTTATATAATTTCCCCAACATCTGAAGGTCAGAAAAAACATTATGTGCATGCGCGCGCGCGCGCGCGCGCACACACACACACACACACACACACACACACACACTCACACACTCTCTCTCTCTTATGCTAGTCAACTAATTCTATCACTTTAAGAAAGATATCTGAGATATCTGGCATCAAGAACAATAGTAGAATTATTATTAGAACCATTGAAAGTGTCATTGAAAATGTTTATCTGAGACCTCAAATGGTACAATCGAACTGTTTATACAAGTTTCCATAGAAACACGGAGGTAGTTGATTAATGTATATATGGCCAAATGAAATGTCCTGTTGCCTGTTAATAAACAGTTTTATGATGGATTTCAAGTGACAGCCAGACCATTCTCATTTCAAATACACATACATACACACACACACACAAATGCATACACACAGGCATGCACTCTGCATATAATTCCTTTTCCTTTTCAATTCATTTTCAACCATCAACAACCACTCATTTGAAATGCATAAATCCCTTTGGGAGATTCCAAAAAATTCTCTAGGTCATTCAGTCCAAGAACTTTCAATGAAAAACACACCAACTGTTGGTACTGAGTTGGGTGATTTAAAAGTCATGCTCTGGGTAGTATTTCATCTATTTTAAATTCCAAACTCCTCTGTATATTTTCTCTTAATGTTAATAATAATTACTGCGATAGCTTTGGGGCGAGGGGGCCTGTATTGTATAATGGGCAATACGCTGAACGTTTCATACTTTGTCTCTTTGTTCTAATATCTATGAAGAGCCCAGATGTTGCACTTCATTGCTGAAGAAATGAAAGCTCGGGCCAGGTGCGATGGCTCACGCCAGTAATCCCAGCACTTTGGGAGGCCGAGGCAGGTAGATCACCTGAGGTTAGGCATTTGAGACCAGCCTGACGAACACGGTGAAACCCTGTCTCTACTAAAAATATAAAAATTAGCCAGGCGTGGTGGCATGCACCTCCCAGCTACTTGGGAGGCTGAGGCACGAGAATAGCTTGCACCTGGGAGGCAGAGTTTGCACTGGGCCAAGACCATGCCAATGCACTCCAGCCTGGGTGACAGAGTGAGAGGAAAGGATGGAAGGACGGACAGACGGACGGAAAGAAGGAAGGAAGGAAGGAAGGAAGGAAGGAAGGAAGGAAGGAAGGAAGGAAGGAAGAAATGGAAGCTCAAAGAGCTCAAGTGGCTTGTCCAAAACCCTCAGTAACAGGCTCCAAAATCTATGTTTATGAACTATAAGCAAATCATGCAATCATACCATTTAGACTGTAATACTAATTAATATAGAAATACTGGTAATATTCTACAATTACTAAAACTTGAGTTCTCAGCCTCTTGTTTTCCAGAACCTAGTGGGACTGATGCTATGGAAGCGGCAATCCCTGGAGAGGGAGGCAGCTGCTGGTACGATCAGAAGATGGCTTCTATAACCAATTAGACAACAACTTTGATGAGCTCCAAAGGGACTGCACTTAGTTATCCCAACTGAAGAAATGCTCAATGGAGTATGGAGCTCGGGAAATGAGTGTTTAAAGTCAAAGAAAAAAGATTCCTATGGGATCCATGGAGGATTCTAAGCTGCCTTCTTTGTGAACAAAAAAGGTTGGGTTTGGGAAGGAGGCCTTACACAGAATTAAAAACATTAACCCATAATTAATTTTTAACTCTTTAAAAGTTATAAAGCTATCTTACACCTAAATGCAAATGAACTTAGATCTACATACAGTAGCATGGCTGAGACTGGCTAGCTATTCACCAGTGCTCTCTTGCTGGGTGCATCGCTAGATTACATTTCCCAACGTCCCTTCCGGTTACGTAAGTGCCAATTGAGTTCAAACCACTGGAGTATGAACAGTTAGAAGTGAGTACGCCACTTCTATATCTTACTCATAACAACCTTACACATGAGACCCTCCATGATCTTTCCCTTTCCATTAAAGAGAGTCTCTGTTGGAAGAAAACGCAAGCTTTGCATTGAAGGTTAAACACAACTGAGCCAAAAAATGGAGAGGGGCTGCAACCCTGAACCACTATCTAGAAGGAATTTGTCCATTGATCAAGAACACCATCAGATTTATGAAAAGGAGACTTAAAAGAAAGTCTACTGTGTTTGAACCATTATATTTTGTTTTGTTTGGTACAATAGCTAGCATTATCCTAAACAAATACTAGGATCATTTTTACGACCTATAACTGAAAATTCTTCCACAGTGAAATTCTAAATTCCTTATGAAGAAGTAGGCAGGACACTGATAACATCCTATTTCATGGGACTGTGTGCAGTTTGGATAAAATAAACACGACAGTTCATTTACTCTTCAATTAACTAGTCAAACGACATTTATTGAAAACCAGTAGGCCAGACACTATTCTGAGTTTGCTAAATACAGCAATGAGTAAAATAAAGCCCATGCTGTCATGCATCTTACAACTAGTGGGTGGGGACAAATAATTAAATAATAAACAAGAAACTGTCAAGTTGTGATAAGTACTGCATCCAGCAAAGATGAAAAGAAACCGATGTGATAAACAGTGACTAGACAGAAAGGGATGACCTAAGATGTGATATTAAGACGAGAAAATTGTTTTCATTTTTTTATGCTCTCACTTATTTCCCAAAGGAATAATTTTAATTATATCATCTTCATAAAATACATATATAGACATGTATACAAAATATATAAGCACACAAATTTTGTATATAACATTTTCATATATTAATATATAATACATTGCTAAGTATACTTCATATTTGTCTTTGTGTAAAGTTGAGATAAATCTAGCATATCACTAGGCCAAAGGAATATAATCATTAAATATATTATGAAAAATTATTGTGCTGTGTATGTAACTTGAGAACAAAATCAACAAAGTATTAGATTATCTTATGAACCAAAGACAGTAATGAAATATATGGAGTTGTTCAGTGCCCTCTAATTTGGAGAGCACTAATATCTACTCAAATATCAAGACACAAATATTCTATGATGAAACTATAAGGTTTCCGGAAAATTACTTGTTTTTAAAAGTGCTGCTTCATAGGTTACATGAAAAATTAGGTCTAGAAGCCACCTACTTGATTGTTTGATTTTGATGACTCATAAAATTTATTGAATAGGCTGACCACTTGAGAATAAATACTTCTCTTGAAATTTATGCTATAGTCTTTTAAAAAAATAGAAGTAAACTTATTTCATTAGGAAGAAGGGTGGATGTACTCAAAACTCTGACTCCATAGACTTTATATCCTAGTATTTGTGTGTCTGTGTTGGGGAGTGGGTAGGAAGTTGGGGGAAGCCCATCAAAAAAATAAGAACATCACTTAGTGGTAATTTAAAAATTAATTAAGTATCCAGGATATAGGGTGTGAAAGGTTTCCCTGCTTAGGTAACATCTGAGTACAAGATATGAATGGAATGAAGGCCTGACCCCTGCAGAAGCACATGGGAGTAGCAGGCATTTCAGCAACAAACACACTAAGAGCAAAAGCCCAAGGTAGGGTGGCGTTCGCATGTTTTAGGAATAGCTAGGTCAGTACAAGCTCTGACAAGGAGAGGGATTGGGGCAGAGAGATATTCAGGGGTGAAATCACGTGGGGAGCTATGGTAAAGAGTTTGGATTTTACCCTGAATGAGATGGGAAGCCACTGAAGGGTTTTGGGAGCTCAAAATGTACGAGTCAATAATTCAACACATTTTAAATATCAGCAACGGTGGTAATGTTGCACAAAAGATTTTCCTCATTTTAACGTGAACCAATTCTACACACATATACAAAATAAAGACTATGGAAGGGTATAAAGAAAATGTTAACAATAGCTATAATTACATGGTAGGATTATGGACAATTAAAATTTGTTTCTGCTTATCTACATTTTCTAAAATTTTAAATATAAATATGAATTACTTTTGAGATAAGAAAAATAAAACATTAACAGTAATTCCACATAACTTTAACAGAAAAAGATATTCATTACAACTTACATCAAGAGGACATAAAAAAAAAAACAACAGCACTAAAGCTTGTCTTGATATATATACAATGGATAGTGACTCAAAACTGTGAAACTCCATCTATTCTAAGTTATCATTTGTGGATACACTGGTTATATAACTTTATCAACTGAGAAACTTTATGTACTGTGTGGCTTCTCAAATACTGCCTAAGGTACAGTAAGTATTTAATAAGCAAATTGTCTGGTCAGGCATGGTGGCTCATGCCTGTAATCCCAGCACTTTGGAAGGTTGAGGTGGGAGGATAGCTTGAGTCCAGGGGTTTGGGACCAGCCTGGGCAACATGGCAAAACCCTGTCTCTACAAGAAATACAAAAATTAGCCGGGTGTGATGACACACGTCTGTAGTCCCAGCTACTAAGGAGGCTGAGGTGGGAGGATTGCTTGAGCCTAGGAAGTCAAGTGAACTGTGATTGCGCCACTGCACTCCAGCCTGGATGGCAGAGTGAAACCTTGTCTCAAAAAATGATAAAAATAATTACTAATCTCCACCCAATCCTCACACACACAGATGTATATATTCACACATACACAGGAAACTACCTTGATTTTAAATGACATCTCAGATCCTACCTCTAAAAATTTGCTTCTAGATTTTATGCAACAACCACCACCACAGGTACTCCTTTTCTAGTGACGGGTATTACAACTGAGCTAGACAATAATCTTTAAGACAAAAAATAATTATGTTACCCTTCTTAAGTTGCTAACAAAAACACTGGGTATTCATGTTATGTGTCTATCAATTTTTCCTTTTACTTCTGTGACAAAGATATCCATGTTAGGATTTATTTCTAAGGATTTCAATGATAAGAATTTAATTTCACATTTATTTTCAAAGGCTTCATGTGTCAACCCTGGCATGCCAGGTAATCTCATTGCTTTGGCTGTCGGGAGGGCACTATACAAGAACTGACTGAACATTTGTGGTGCATTACTCACTGTCTAGGGCCAGCAGGAATATATACTCATAAACTGCAAGAAGTCTAATAGATTTTTCTCTTTTCCTTCATCTTTTTTTTTTTTGTAAACCTTAGACACATGCCATTAAATGAATAGTCTGAATGACTATGACATCGTCAAGCACACATTACCTAAAAGAGACCCCCTCACTTCTGCCAATGCTCCAGCACTTTTCATGACTTTCTCAGTCACCTGCCATGATTGATTTACATCACCAGTTGAGTAACTCTCTTAGAAAGTACATTCTTCCCAAATTAATACAAACTTTTAATATTCTATTGCTGTATTAAGCTGTGGTTTACCTTCCTCAACTTCAGCTACTTTCTCTAAATGTTTCTGTTAAGTGTGTATGTGTATGCATACTGATGTATCATCCTAGGTTGAAATCAGGGAAACAGAGTAGCTTTCATTAAAATCCATTCAGAGAACCTGATGACTGGTTAAATAAAATCTGTGGTGTCAGTGCACATGCATGCACATACACAAAAGCAGGAATACTTTGAAAATGCCTTTAGATACAAAAAGTTTAACTTCCATAACCTTGAAGTTACACAGCCTCAATTCACCTTAGGAAAACCCAGAACTTAAAAAATTGACCAAGCTCCCACTATGTGTGACAGCACTCTGAGAGGGGATTTACAAATATGAACCCACTTCACTGTGGTGCCACTGTACTACCACTGTCCTATCTTGCTTCTTGTAACACCCTCTTCTTCATGTCGCAGCCAGAAGTAAACTTTTAAAACACGATAGGAAAATACACACCTGATCCTGTCACTCCCCTGCCTAAAATGTTTTAGTGGCTTCTCTTTCCCTTTGGAAAAAGTTATATTCCTAACCACTGCACCCCACTGTCTTCTCCTTTTGATCTTCTCACACTCACTTCTCTTCCCCTCAGCCTCTGTACTAAATATATAAATCTATTTCTGGTTATTTTAAATACAGCGAGATACTCTGTATCTCCTCCTGGGTCTTCATTGTTCCCTCTTCCGGGAAGAACACTCTCACCCCTGGCCTGGCTAATTCTCTGAACCCTCCTCCTGAAGTTAGAAATTCTTGTAAGATGTTCCTGTGATACCCAGAATGCTGCCTGTCACAGAACTTAAATACCTTTACAGTAGCTGCTGATTTAATAATCCAATGCCCTCTCTAGGTGTGTCTTTTTCATCACTCTTTTCCTAGCTTCTCATATAGTACCTAAGGTATAGTAAGTATTTAATGAGCAGATCATTGAACTGGTAACCCTACCTAGTTTAAAGTAGAAGATATTGAGGCTGAGAGAAATTGAACAGGGACTGTTTGATCCCAATGTTCTTTTCCTTACCAGCTCTATAGTCACCCCCTTCCATCAGCAATTATAGGTAAGATCACCAGAATAAAACTAAAACACAATGAACAGCAACTGTAGTTATGCAATAAATTTAGTTTAGCCTTCCTGGAAGCCAGCATCAAAAAAATTAATGACAAAACTTCTGAACTCAACATATTTTTAACTTCCTATCATAGATCTCAACAAGAAGCCTGTCAGATGAAGATATATAAAGTTACTCAGAACCATAAGATTCATTCATCTACTTAATTATCCAACAAGTATTTACTGACATCCTGTAACAAGCCGGTCACTGTTATAGGAACTAGTGATATGGCAATGACTAGGATTAGCAAAATCCCTGCTCCCTGAAACTTACACCCTTAAAGAGAGGAGGGGCTTGAGGGGAGAAGGGGAAAGGAGGAATATGTAACAATAAAAAATTTTAAAAAAAGATTTCAGCTATCAGTAAGTACTGTAGAGACAATACCACAAGAAGAGCATGTAATAGATGGTGATGGCTGGGAATGGAGAGGATACTATTTAAGACTGGGTGATCTGAGAAGGCTGCTCTGAGAAAATTACATCTGAAGTGAGAGGTGAATAAATACAAAGGATCCAGCCAAAGATGTGGAAGGAAAGCTTTACAGACAGAAGGAATATCCAGAGTAAAGACCTTCAGGTGGGATAAACCTAGGAATGGTCGAGAAACAATTTCAAGGTGACTGGAAGGTAAAGAGTGAGAATGTTGAGGGAGAAAACATGCACTCAGAATCTGACGGTTCTGAGGAGTTCATGCACTGGAAGGTAAGGCGTGAGAAAGGCTGAGTGGTACAAATGGGGTCAGGCAGTAGGGATTAAGCCTACCAAAAAGTAGGCTCTGTAAGTGCAATGAGAAGTCACTGGGTTTTTTAAACAGGAAGTTAACAAGACCCAGTTTTGTTTTATAAGATCATTCTGGCAGGGGGTGGGGAAAATGGCTTGTAAGGGGTTAGAATGGAAGTAGGAAGACAAGTTAGAATGGAGTGAGGTATGCCATCTGGACAACAAACTTAAAAATCGCCTTTCAAAACCTAACCTGAAGGTACTTTAGAGAAGCCTCTGTATTCAGCTATTCAACTTTTTAAAAAAGTAAAAATTTGATATGCTGGAAGCACCATAAAGGTGATTAGGTATATATCACAAATCGCTACAATACTTTAGTACTGGCTTCCTACAGATTATGTGAGTGGATAACCAAATTTCCAAGGTCAGATTTTTAAAATTCTCAAGTTACTGCAGTGGTAACTTATGAAATATGGATACTTACTTTGACTAAGTACTTAACATCACCAGGAATTAGCATCAGGAGGTCAAAGATTATGATATGAAATTATAGAGAGAATACATGGCTAGTTCCAAGATGGCTGTTTAACTCAAGAAAATAATTTTAAATTCTTAGTAGTTCAGTTTACTCACAAGTGTGGAACAGACATAACAAGGTCTGTACTGCCTACCTAACAAGACAGTTGTGAGAACAAATGGAAAACAGATGTGAAAGAATTCTGGTAATATAAAGCATTATGCAAATACAAGTTTTTGTATAAAGCACAATCATAGACCTGGAAGAGCTTGAGGATTCATTTAGTATAATCTTCACATTTCACAGCTGTAGGAACCGATATCAAGAGAGGTGAATTAGCTATGCCACTGCTTAAAGTAGAATTTAGATTTTGCTTTTATATCACAGAAAAATATTAATTTGAGTAGTTTCCAAATTTTCTACAATGTAAACTATTATTAATTTTAAAGACAAGTATTCCACAAACCCCCATAAATCCTAAGAAGGAAAAGTAACTTGGAATTCTTTATTAACAATTTATTATGCATGTAAACAAAAATTAACATATTTTTACTTCAATTCCATGATATACATACATTAAATATAATTGCTCTTAGAGAAGCATATAACTTTCATAATGCTTTATAGTCAAGTCCTATCACTCAAGGAGACATCCAAGTAGCTTTACGTGATTTTTGGCACTGAATTACACTGAAGGCCTTCAAAGACAGTTTGATCTTCAAAATAATCCATATTAATATTCTTCCTAAATAGAATGTCTGTATTTCTAAAATTCCGTATCATCTAAAATTCCTAAGAAGCTTATATCAAAATTTTTTTGCTGCTTAGGTAAACAATATTTATTTCCATATTTTATTAAAATGTTAAATATTAAAGAATCACATGACATAACAATAGCAATAGTTAACAGTGTTAATCTTAACTTATCATTAAGATTGCTAATGTGGATATTCAGTGATTGATGTTTACTGGCTACTTATTGCCTCCAGTCTTTATACCCAAATTTGATTTTATCTAAGTTTAATCTAGTCAAAAGAGAAAAAAAAAATCCTCTCAAGATGAAACAATTATCTACTAATTCTAAGCTTACTGACATGTTGCCTATACCTGCATTTTTGTACTTCTTATTAATTTTCCTCTTACACATTCCATAATTACTTATCAAATGGCTTTTTTATATTAAACACATCCTAGACATTACAGACAGAGTGATGAACTGAATAGATGAGGTACATACTCTCACGAAGCTTGCATTCCAGTGGGGAAAGACATAATAATCAAGCAGTAATAACATGAACAACAACAAACAAAAACCCAAAATATAATAATCAATGTTTGGCAGAGAATTAGAATAATATGGTGTAACAGAAATGCCCGAGGAAAACCTCCTATAGCTGAGATCTGAGAGTCATGAAGCCAGCCAGGTAAGCATCACAGATAAAATTCTGAGCAAAAGAAACAACTACGGAAAAGGCTCCATGGCTTGGTCTGTTAAATGTACAAAGGGAGGATCAAAGCAATGGAAGCAGAGTGGGTAAGATGGAGAAAAGTCCAATGAGAGGTAAGAAGAACAAGTGGGGCTAGTTCATGCATAGTTCTCCAGGGAGTGGAGATTCATTCTAGTCCAAGTGCAATAGAGAGCTACTGAGGAGTTTTAAAATCACAGAAATAACAGTTTGATCTACATTTTATAAGTCTGATTTATATTTTATAAATGTGAAGAATAGCATGCAGAAGAAGGGCAGATGAGAAATAAGGGGAACTCTAGGAATAGTACAAGTACTATTAGGTATTTGGAACAGTACAACATTAGGAATGGTACAAGTGAGACGATGGTAGCTTGGACCAGGGTGGTAATAATGGAGATGGAGAGAAGAACATCAATTCATGGTGAGGCAGGTAGAAGAAATAAGACTTGCTGAAGGATACAGAGGTTTGAGCAACCTGAGGAACCAAAGATAATCCATAGGTTTGGGGTTTCAATATGTGCATAGATGGCAACCCCAGTGATTTGAGATGAGGAAAACTAGGGACTCTAATAGTTTGTTGACTGCATGGTTGGTTGGTTGGTTTGGGTTAGTATTTGGTGGTGGTGGTGGTGGTGGTGGTGGTGGTGGTGGTGGTGGTGGTGGTGGTTGGGGGGAACAGTTAAGTGTTAAGAGTTGTATTTTAGCCATGTCAAATCTGTGACAACATCCACATCAAAATATCCAGTGGGCAATTAAATATAGAGTCTTAATTTTTAAAATTATAATCAACCAATTGATGTCTCATTTTGTGGGCAAAACTTTGCAAAACTTTTCACCTGCTCATTGAGTGCTTACAAGTTAACACATACAAGTACAACAATGATGATCAAGATGACAATGATGATGAGGGAGGGAATATTCTGATCCGTACTGTGATGAGACAGTGATTCTTGAAATCAATAAACACATGGGGTAAGTAGATAAAAGGTCTCAAGATTTCTCTTCCTTTTGAGCTAAGCCTTACTTAAAATAGTTACATACATGTAGCCCCACAGGAATGTAAAATAGGAATTCATTTATATTTTAAAGTTAAGTTTGCTTAAACGTCTACACTTTTGCTTATAAATCTCTTAAGGAACTTGAGAAACACCTAGTGCTTCCTCCAAACATAGAAACCTAATAAAAGTTCAAGTGAAATATGAACTTGGATAGATATTTGTCATTTGAATTAATGTAGCTTTGTAAATAAATTCTGTTCTTTAATGCTTTCAATTTTATCAACAGGATTAGCAAACCTCCTGAGATGGAATCCTCCCTTTAGACTGTAATTCATAGAATTCAGATTAAAATCAATAAAAGAAAATAGTAACCAAAACATCAATAACAAAACACACCAAATAAATCAGACATAAACTTTGATATTTGTTATGTGTCCTCTTCACTTGAAGGCCAACATCTGATATCTGTGATTCTCTGGTGCTTATAAACTAGATAGCTTCATGTAAACTAGATATATACATACCTTCATATATGACTAAATAGGGCTTATTCTAATGTATTCTACCAACTATGGAAAACTGGAACATAAAAAAAGTAATAGAGGTGGAAAAAATCTCCAGTCAACACAAGAAGAGTATGTTTCTTTTCTTTTCTTTTTTTGAGACAGGGTCTCCCTCTGTCACCCAGAATGGAACATGGCTCATTGCAGTCTCAACCTCCTGGGCTCAAGTGATCCTCCTACTTCAGTCTCTCAAGTAGCTGGAACCACAGGCATGCTCCACCACGCCCCGCTAATTTTTCAGTTTTTTTGTAGAGACAAAGTCTCCCTATGTTGCCCAGGCTGGTCTCCAACTCTTGGGCTCAAGTGATCTCCCGCCTTGGCCTCCCAAAGGGTTGCGATTACAGGCGTGAAGCCACCGCACCCAGGTAGAAGAGTAAGTTAAGGAAAGATGTCTTTAAACAATTTTCAAGAATTTTATATATTTCATATATTCCAGTTAATGATGGTTCAAATCTATGAGATATTTTGAAGTGAACTGAACCAAAAATGAAGATTTATCACCTTAATTCAGGAAAAAAGGGATAAAGTGTCTATTGGAATGAAATCCAGAGGAGTCAGGCACTGCGTATCCCCCACCAGGGCACTGTTTCATTTACAATTCGTGTGTGTGTGTGTGTGTGTGTGTGTGTGTGTGTGTGTGTGTGTGTGTGTGTGTCTCCATGGCGGTGGGAGGTAGGCATTAACTATATTCTTAATATTTCCAACCTGACTTCTCCATGATCCCTTAGGAAAAATTCTTAAGGTGCTCAATTTCACAATTCCTGAAGGATTCCTTGGAGTTATGTGTACAAGAAAAGGCTTACATAAGCTTCTCCCTCCAAATCAAGGCTGAGGCAAGAAAATACTTGGCTTACACGAGAGTAGAGTTGATAGAGTTAGTACATTACTGTGTTACTACGTTAGGCGAAGGTAGGTGCTTTTCTCCATTGATTGGGGAAAACTCTAAAAAAACAACTGTTATTCTGGTGGGGTGTATTGGGAAGTTAAAAGGAGCCAATGAAGACAGATTTCAGAGCTTTTATGTTACTTTTCAATAAAGAAACTTCAGCCTGACATTGGTCATTTTTCTTAAATTAAAATACAATTTCACTGTGAAACAGCCTAAAATCAAATGTTACATTTAGCATGTAAGAATTTCAGTGCTAACACCTCTTTTGGCACAGATTCTCAGTTTTTACTGCATGCAAATTTGGGGAGGGGGGTGGAGAATGAACTCATGGCTTAAGAATCTGGCAACTGCTTGAATTTCACTGTAAAGACGCATCATTAAGAAGCTAGGAATCTGAGTCACTTAATATCAGGCTTCAGCTAAATACTTAAATGGTTACATAACACCACTAATTTTTAAGAACAAGAAAGGGTTTTTTTAAAAAAATGTCCTGGCTTTAGGATTTCCTCTTTCTGTTTTTCATACTATAAAAATATCTTGTTTGATCCTTCAATATATTAAAAAACTTATTTGCTTTCTTCTTGAAGAATAAAAGATCTCCACATCTTCATACAGATGCCCATTATTAACCTGACACTCTAAGATGCATCTTTCTTTGGCATTAGATAATTCATTTCTCTCTGATAATGATTCATGTTTATGATATAAGATAAAATATGAGAAATTCCATTGTAATAATTAAAATATCTCTAAAATTCTAGTGAATTCACACATTATCAAATAACTAAACTGAAAACTAAAAACCATGCTTTAAATCCTGGATGCTTCACACCATGCAGATAACACATCTGAACCAATAACAAAAGTTTTCACTCAAGCTTTGACATTTCGACATGTAGTAGATATAACTTAAATTTTGGAAAAGAAATAAAGAACACATTGGAAAATTATTTTTTAAAAATCTTTTAAAGTTCTATATGAATAGTTTCTCAACATTAGCTGTAGTAAAATTAGAAAAAAAAATTCGACGTTTATCATTAACCAAAGGTACTATGTATATCATTAACCAAAGGTATTATCTCTTTTGAGATCAGGGTCACAAACAACTAACATGAATTTGCTTAAGCCTTAAGAGCTTGTTTTCCCAGTATTTTGAAAAGGGTGAGGAGAACCAGATAAAAGAAGATATTATAACTTCCTATAAACACTGTATTTAGAGCAGTAAGAAAGCAAATAACCATGCTCCTCTTACATACTCAACATTAAATTATCTTTCACAAAGAAAAAGGCATTTTTTTTAACAGATACAGCAGTATGTGCAGTTATAGGAAGTATAGAACTCCCACATCCTGGCCTTTACATTCTTCTTCTTAAAAGAACGCAGCATTTATGAGCCCCATAATGACTATTTTAAATCCTTGAATCACATTGCAATAGAAAAACACTGTATAGCATAATGTATAATGGCATATTTAAATACAGCCCCAAATCCCATGCTTCTATAATCTATATTAAGTTGTGAGCAAATAAAGACATTTCTACCTTGATCATTTCTTAAGCAAAGGTTAACCAGAAAGGCAAGCCTTAGGAAGAAATAGAATACATACCATGATGTAGTCTCTTTCGTTAGAAAAGGCAAGAAAAACAGATTTAAATTAAGACTTGGTGTATAAAAGCCGAAAGCATAGAATTTGTATCCACATAATGAACTGATGTCTCCTCTAAAGACGTCAGATTGCTGTTCAGCTAAACTATCTAAAAATACCTCCTTGCAAACACACACACACGAAATGACTACAAAGACAGGTCTTACTAAGCAGCTCGACTTGCACAAAATCACTTAATAAGTGGGAAAAAATTGAAGTACTTAGGGAAAAAATAATAGAAATTTTTCATATCAATTATGATCTTTTATGAGCTATTTTGCAAACCAGCATCAATGTGTAAAGAGTAGTTAATAAAGGATCTTAAATCGTAATTAAGCTAAGATGTCCAACAGAAAATCATGTTCTATGAAGTTAAAATCAAATAAAGAAAAATAAATCTCTGAATCACCATCAACATTCTATTTAAAAATCAAGAAAATGAAAATATCCTAGCTGAAAAAGCAGGAGTCAAATTCATGGATGCCACCGTGTGTCAGGCCATGTGCCAGATATGTAATTCCTGCAAAAACCTATGAAGTATGCATCATTAACAGTATTTGACAGATCAGGAAAAATGGTTCTGAACATTGAAGCAATCTGCCTACTGTCACACAGCTACAGAGAAGAGTTGGGTTCCAACCCACATAGGAATGACTCGAGCATTACAATCTAACAACAATAACTGGCATTCACATAAGCTTTACAGTTTGCAAAAAGATTCTGATGACATGAACTCCAGTTTTCTCATTTAAACCTCAAGTTTTCATCTATAGAATGAGGAGCAGAACCCCATTTTGCTCCTAATATTGTAAGATGACTAAAGAAAATCACACACACAAACACACACAGAGCACTTAATAAAATAATTTTAATTATTACTGTAACTATTAACAATTTTCCTTTTCCTTTTCTTTTTTTTTTTTTTTTTTTGAAATCAAGTTGCACTCTTGTTGCCCAGGCTAGAGTGCAATGGCATGATCTCAGCTCATTGCAACCTCCGCCTCCTGGGTTCAAGCGATTCTCCTGCCTCAGCCTCCCGAGTAGCTGGGGTTACAGGCACCCACCACCACACCTGGCTAATTTTTAATATTTTAAGTAGAGAAGGGGTTTCACCATGTTGGCCAGGCTGGTCTTGAACTCCTGATCTTCAGGTGATCCACCTGCCTCAGCCTCCCAAAGTGCTGGGATTACAGGCATGAGCCACCATGCCCAGCCAATAATTTTCAAAACAATATTGTGAGGTAAGACCAGTATTACAATCATGATCTCCATTTTGAAGGGAGAAATCAATAACTTTAAGAAGTTAAATGATGGCCAGGTGCGGTGGCTCACACCTGTAATCCCAGCATTTTGGGAGGCCAAGGCGGGCAGATCATGAGGTCAAAAGAGCGAGACCATCTTGGCCAACATGGTGAAACCCCATCTCTACTAAAAATACAAAAATTAGCTGCACGTGGTAGTGCGTGCCTGTAGTCCCAGCTACTCGGGAGACTGAGGCAGGAGAATCGCTTGAACCCGGGAGGCGGAAGTAGAGGTTGCAGTGAGCTGAGATGGAGCCACCGCACTCTAGCCTGGAGACAGACCGAGACTCCGTCTCAGGAAAAAAAAAAAAAAAGAAGTAGTTAAATTACTTGTCTACGCATTGTACAGCTAGCTAACATCAGAACAAGAACTCAAATCAAGGTCCTTGGTAAATAAAGTACTTTATTGTTTTACTACACAAAAAACCTAGTTGGAATAGTTCTTTCCTATTGCTGTGTAGAGGTCCACAGTTGAAAAAAATCAAGATTTTGTTTTAAATATGCTTATTAAAATGCTTGAAGATAATATACAATGAGTATTGTTAATAAGTTTTGCTACACTATGTATGACACTTCAATATAGATCCAGTTTGTTCTCAGGCTCAGGGTTCACAATTCAAAGTCACTCATTAACTTTATTATAAACAAACTTGACGACAATATCTTTTTCCATAGCAGCTTTGGATGACACTTAAAGGAGGGAACAATACAGAGAAAGGAGTAATGTATATACCTGTGACTAATAAAGCCAGCACTTGACACGAACTCCTTCAGGGAAGTGCTCTTGTCCTACCTACTCTAACACCACAGCCATCATGATCAGACATACACTCTTTTCAGAGAGTAGAGACCGAATATAGTGCCACTAGCAGTGCCAAGAAAGAAGAATCCATCATCAGTGGATTTCAGGGTGCTCCGTTGTGGCTAGGTTAAAATATATCTTAATACAGCTTTCTAAAAGGTCTAATTATTATTTCACAGTCAAAACCGTAATAAAGACAAACCTAATTATTATTTATTTATATGTATTTTAAATGGCTAAGACAATGTTGCTAAGTCAGTCTGGCTGAGAAAACTCCTTCATCCGGCTATATACTAAAATTAGCTCCCTATAAATTACTTATCTAACTAGAAACAAATTAAGAGAGCAATCATATCACCCAAATAGTAAGTCAAAGCAGGATTATTTTCTAAATCCAAGTCTAAAAAAAGGATAACATGAAAGACCTCTGGCGAACCATATGGATGGGAAATTTCAGATAAGCATGGTGACCTGCTC
Source organism: Homo sapiens (assembly GCF_000001405.40). Lineage (NCBI taxonomy): Eukaryota > Metazoa > Chordata > Mammalia > Primates > Hominidae > Homo > Homo sapiens. The sequence goes on along the minus strand of NC_000004.12, from coordinate 159,280,021 downwards.
CTAAAAGGTTAAATTAACAAGAGAAAATGTGCATATAGGCCGGGCACAGTGGCTCACACCTGTAATCCCAGCACTTTGGGAGGCCGAGGCGGGCAGATTACTTGAGCTCAGGAGTTAAGAGAGCAGCCTGGCCAACATGGTGAAACCCCATCTCTACCAAAAAAAATCCACAAAAATTAGCTGGGTGTGGTGATACGCACCTGTAGTCCCAGCTACTCGGGAGGCTGAGGTGGAAGAATCACAGGAACCCAGGAGGTGGAGGTTGCAGTGAGCTGAGATCACACCACTGCACTCCAGCCTGGGTGAGAGTAAGACCCTGTCTCAAAAAAAAAAGGAAAAAGAAAAGAAAATGTGGATGTGGATATAAAGAGTTAAAGAGTAGTTCTTCAAAACAAAATTGTATTCTTGCAATTCTGGCTAAGACTGAGGAACAATAAAATATACTGCTTTTATTTCCATTGAGATCAAGGTAAAGTTACTCTACATTTTATGTCAGGGATGGTAGCAGTTACGACATGGCACTTATGAAAGCCCTTTGAAACTTACTTGAAAGAAAATCACTTCTAAATGTTGAGGGAGGAATAAACTGTTCGAGGACTTTCTGATTAGAATTATAATCCACAGGACACACTGAAAACAAAAGGAATTGTCCATCCTTTAACCTATGTACAAAGGAAGGTGTTTCATGCAGCTTCCCCAAATAGACCTGTGCGTGCGCATGCATCTGCACGTACAAGAAAAACCTGCCAATGGCTCCACCAGGCGTTAGCTTGTGACTGTGAGAAAGTTACTTTACCTCTCTATGTCCTGATTTCTTTAGTATGTGGAGGCAGCACTCTTACATTATTGTGAGGATTCAATGAGATCATAAATGAAGAGTTTCGAACACTGCCTGGAACAAAGGGAGCCTTCCATTTTAACTAATGATATCATTACTGTTGTTTTTTCACTCTAATAATGAACTAGTAAAAAGAAGGTTGCTGCTGAGTATGGAACCGTAGGGGATGGAAAAGGCAAACCAACTTAAGGACAGTCACCTAAAGGAAAGGGAAACATCAAGTGTACTCAAGTGTACTGTCTCTGCCTCACGTGTGTAACAGGTTTAATTTTCCTTACCTCCTGGATAGTGTGGATAAAAACTTCCTACAAAAATATAAGAATTGTATTTATGGGTTGTGTATTATTCTAAGTACTTTATAGGTTTTACCTCATTTAATCTTCACACAACCGTATTACCTCCATTTTACAAATGAAGATTCCATGTTAAAAGACCACACAGCCAGGGTCACACAGCGAATGAGTGATGAAGCCAGATTGTAAATCCAAGTTACTGGTTCTGGAGTTTTCTGACCACAATGCTACAGCTCTTACTAATCCCTTCTCTTTACGTAACTTTCTTCACAAAGGTCACAACTGGCCAGATTATAGTTTTCATAATCACATGTACTAACTATTTCCTAACTTGGGTTATTTTTATAGATGGGTTACTAGCAGCAGTTTCACTTCTAAGTCAGATTCCCGCCTTCCACCCACTGCTAAATTTCGAGAGCTCCTGTGGAACCCTGAGTAGTTATTTCAATATATTTCAGTACTCAGGTTCCTTAGGGGTAGGAATGATAAAATCATATAAATTATAAGAGTAGAGTATTTAAACCAATGTGGGAGCAGGTCATCTTCAACCCCATTCTATCCTGGGTTTCTTCAAACCCTGTGTTCTAGGACTTCCAGATGACTCTGATGTGCCCTCAGAAATAATACCACACATCTACAACCATCTAATCTTTGACAAACCTGACAAAAACAAGAAATGGAGAAAGAATTCCCTATTTAACAGATGGTACTGGGAAAACTGGCTAACCATATGTAGAAAACTGAAACTGGATCCCTTCCTTACACCTTATACAAAAATTAATTGGAGATGGATTAAAGACTTAAATGTTAGACCTAAAACTATAAAAACCCTAGAAGAAAACCTAGGCAATACCATTCAGGACATAGGCATCGGCAAGGACTTCATGACTAAAACACCAAAAGCAATGGCAACAAAAGCAAAAATTGACAAATGGGATCTAATTAAACAAATGGGATCTAATTAAACTAACGAGCTTCTGCACAGCAAAAGAAACTACCATCAGAGTGAACAGGCAACCTACAGAACGGGAGAAAATTTTTGCAATCTATCCATCTGACAAAGGGCTAATATCCAGAATCTACAAAGAACTAAACAAATTTACAAGAAAAAATCAAACAACCCCATAAAAAAGCGGGCAAAGGATATGAACAGACACTTCACAAAAGAAGACATTTATGCAGCCAACAGATATGTGAAAAAATGCTCACCATCACTGGCCATCAGAGAAACACAAATCAAAACCACAATGAGATACCATCTTACGCCAGTTAGAATGGCAATCATTAAAAAGTCAGGAAACAACAGGTGCTGGAGAGGATGTGGAGAAACAGGAACACTTTTACACTGTTGGTGGGACTGTAAACTAGTTCAACCATTGTGGAAGTCAGTGTGGCGATTCCTCAGGGATCCAGAACTAGAAATACCATTTGAGCCAGCAATCCCATTACTGGGTATATACCCAAAGGATTATAAATCATATGCTGCTATAAAGACACATGCACACGTATGTTAATTGTGGCACTACTCACAATAGCAAAGACTTGGAACCAACCCAAATGTCCATCAATGATAGACTGGATTAAGAAAATGTGGCACATATACACCATGGAATACTATGTAGCCATAAAAAATGATGAGTTCATGTCCTTTGTAGGGACATGGATGAAGCTGGAAACCATCATTCTCAGCAAACTATCACAAGGACAGAAAACCAAACACTGCATGTTCTCACTCATAGGTGGGAATTGAACAATGAGAACACTTGGACACAGGATAGGGAACATCACACAACTGGGCCTGTAGTGGGGTAGGGGGAGGGGGGAGGGATAGCATTAGGAGATATACCTAATGTAAATGATGAGTTAATGGGTGCAGCACACCAATATGACACATGTATACATATGTAACAAACCTGCACGTTGTGCACATGTACACTACAACTTAAAGTATAATAATAATTAAAAAAAGATAGTCCCTAACTAGTCTTGCTCTGAGAAACAGCTAGAAGACATTTTAAAGTTATCCATATTTCCTTTTTTTTTTGAAAAAACTTCTTAATATCACTACTAATGAACTTTTGTGAGGATGTTCAACAGACATGCTTTAATTCTCATTTACATCAGGTTGCTCATTTTTTTCAGAGGGGAAATAAGGACAATGAACGGTAAAGAAATCTGGGAATATGCCCAACTAAAATGAACACATTAAAAGATTTTAGTGATAAAAGGTTCACTATATACAGTGCAAAGGGAGAAGAAATGTTGTCACCTGTGTTTATATTTTCTTTAGCTAAGCTATTTCAAATTTTATTTGTTATAACAAATAAGACACAGACCAACCTGCTGCTCAAATAACCGTAACAAAAACAAAGCAGTGAAAATTAGTTTAGCTATTCAAAGTGTACCCTCTTCTATATAAAATTGTTTTAAGTTATTTTTATATTTAGGTAAATGTTATCCCTAAAATACTATGATTTTGACATTTGACTATTTCAACAAATGATATTAATTTCAACAGGAAATAGGAAGTCCTATGCATCCATATCTTTAAGTTGCCATTTAAAATGAACAAAAGTATACTTTTAAGAAAACAAGTAAGTGTAAAATCAATTAGTCATAAAGAAAAAGCTAATTTCATCCTTCACATTCTCAATCACTGGAAACCTGGGGCATAAATTTACTCATTGCTCAATTTTGCTGAACTTCCCCCAAACCCCACCAACCCAGCCACTATAGGCCCAGTGACTATAGAATCATTCTAAATCTTTACTGACAAGGAACTCAAGGCAATCTCCTTTTTCACTACAATTAAAGATACTGGGATACTAAGTACCTAAGGTTTAAGTATTAAAATTACTATAGTACCTTTATTAGTCCTTCTCAGTTCCATAGTACCCATAAAAATTATATGGCAGAATACTCCCATTTAACTCCAAATATTTCTTAATTACTGAGAAAAATAAACAAGAGTGCTTCCACTTAATAAAAATACTTCACAGAGTAAAAGTGTCTGGGTTACCCGTTTTTTTTTCCCTAAGAAAAGAGAGGGAATGAAAAAATTACAACTCTTCAGCTTTTTCACATTCATGTTTTATTGTCTTCCTTTATCATGAAAAGTGTGATGTTCTTTTCTGCCACTTTTAGTAAATTTTTGCCCACTGAAAATACCCTATAATAAGATGACTCCATTGTAATCTGTATTTTCAACTCTATTATAGAAGAGTAAGAAAATAAAACATCTATGACAAGAGATAGAGCGTATATTCTCAAAACTCAATTTTTACTAATAAAGTAAGCAAATCTTAATTCTAGTTTTTTTCTACATACTAAAATTAAAAATTAAAGTATGGATTAATTATATTTACACATACACATACATATGAAATAAGTACATGTATACAGATGTATCGATAAAGGGGAAAGGAGGGTATGTTTCATTTAATAATCAAACCAAGTCAATATTACAAACCAATAATGTATTTCTCTAGAGTTCATTAAAGAAGAATGTAACTTTGATAATTGTAAAGAAATTTTTCAGGCTGTCACTTTGTTAATAAATCTAAGGCTAACTCATGCCTAAGATGTCTCTGAAAACAGCCTTTATGATGAATATCCAGTGTAAGTTGTAAAAGAGAATTTGGTCTATTGATGTAGAATGAAGAGATCTGAAGCATATGGGGCATATTTATATAGTGACTTCAGAGTACAAAAGAAATATAGACAGTGGATGATTGATAAGTTATAAAGATATGATGTATCACAGACTGTGCAATTATAAGATTCTCATATATCATACACACACACACACACACACACACACACACACACACACACACGAGAGACAGAGAAAAACATAACTACATATAAGGCCTATGTTAGGGGTTCAGTTAAGAAGAAGAAATGGCAGAGAGTGACAAGTGATTAATTCTTTATGACATGGGTGTTTCTGCACCAATAGGAAAGACAGTGAGTGGCAGGGACCATTGGTGAGCTTAAGGGAACTTCTTGTATGATGCAATTTGTTGCATTTTTAAAGTGTGCTCTGTTATATCATGTCTTTAAAGTAGCTTTAAAGTAGCAAATTTATATCTACATTCCCTAATATATTTTTTCTATTAGTTTCTTAATTTATGTTCCAAAAATCAGACACTGTTCCATTTAGCCCATTCTGTGTAATACCTAAGACAATACTAATAGCACTGGCATCTTAATACTATATGGAAATATCACAAGCATGTGTCATGTCTATAAAGATAAAGACCACTCGTTAAGGATGAAGAAAAAGTAGGTCAGAGAGAACAAAGATCTCAGAACAAGGAAATTTAAATAGAGACCTTAAGGACACATTTACAAACTTTCATTTAAATTACAAACACACTTATACACGCACACGTATATATTTTTATACATGCTCACATGGTTATATCTCTATGTAGATATATTTAGACATTCGTTTTATTTTTAAAATATTTTTCAAAAAAGCTTATAAGCAAACCATATTCAAATAAAATATATAATGATTAAAGTTATTTGATCTAAATTGAAAAGGCTTTCAAAAGTTTATAAAGATCACTACAGACATGACAGTAATGTTACTTTTTTAAAAATCAGGGATATAAAGTAAGCATTAAAAAGTACTTCATTAAGGATTTAAAGTAACTGTGAAAGGATTTTACCTTTATTGTTAAACAAAAGAAAATGAAGAAAACTTAAGCATTACTCTGGAGGAATTCTTAATAGATTACCTGAATAAATTAAGAGTTTGGTCAAACCTCTGGAGGCAGATTAAAGAAATGTTAGGGCCGGGCGTGGTGGCTCAGCCTGTAATCCTAGCACTTCGGGAGGCCAAGGCAGGCAGGTCACCTGAGGTCAGGAGCTCAAGACCGGCCAGGCCAACATGGCGAAACCCCACCTGTACTAAAAATACAAAAATTAGCTGGGCGTGGTGGCACGCACCTGTAATCCCAGCTACTTGGGAGACTGAGGGGGAAGACTGCTTGAACCCGGGAGATGGAGGTAGCAGTGAGCCAAGACTGCGCCACTGCACTCCAGCCCAGGCGACAGAGCGAGACTCCATCTCGAAAAAAAGAGAAAGAAATGTCAGGTTATGTTTAAGGAATACTTATACCTATGAGACCAAACTTACAGAGCATTTACTTTGATGCATTTTATATAATATTTAAATTGAGAAAGAAAGAAAGAAAGAAAGAAAGAAAGAAAGAAAGAAAGAAAGAAAGAAAGAAAGAAAGAAAGAAAGAAAGAAACTGATTACTGATCTTACTAGGGCTAAATGGTTAAAGGAGAATAACTGAATTCCTAATGACACATTTTGAGCATTTGCTTTTTCTTAAGTTAATCATTCTTTTTTTCAGTAATCTAAATTGATTTTATTTTCCAACAGATTTTTTAATGGATCATTACTAAAAATATTTAAAGGCAAAGATATGAGGTATACTTATTTTGACTAAAAGCAAAGATCTTACTTTACTATGTCCTGTGACACAAAAAGCACATATAAGCAGAGTATGCAATGTCTTGGCAAGTTTCTAAATACATTTCTTCACTTCTAATGGGGGTAAAAAGATCTATTATTTGTTGCCAGGGTTTCTTGGCCCAAATCCAAGGCAAGATGACCTTGTCCTTGAATAAAACAACAGGATATGCTTCCTCTCAGTCCCCTCTGCTAGCAAGCACAGTGGAAAATCATGCCAAGAGATAAGTTTATTTCATCTCAGGAAATATATCTGTTATAACAGACAAAATAAAGATCAGATAATGAAGAGGTGGAGTCTTACCCAAAAGAGGCATAACCTAGCCTCTACAATTAGTCCTGGTGCTTTTTTTCTACATTGCTAAGGAAAATCCATCAATCAAAATATACTAAAGAGACACTCTACCCAATGTTTACAGACAAGGTCAAACTGTCATGGTAATATAACACATTTTTTGTTAATTGAGTTTTCTTAAATCTGTTCCAGTTGAAAGATAGGAAGGAGAGGTGAAGAAAGAGGTTACACTCCTTTGCTGCATCTTCAAAATAGTCATTAATTTATCTGGTATTCTAACATCCTCCACTCCATCACCTGTACTGACCTACTTCTCTCTAACACAGTCTACTCTAACAGTGATGATTTCATTGTTTTTCCTCAAACCCTCATATTCTTCTATAGTTTCCTGCCTTGGGCCCTCACATGTTATTCTTCCAGCCTAGAAAATCCTTCTCTATACTGTACTCTTAACAGCTGATAAACAGTTTTAAATTCCAACCATACCCTTTGAACACATGGAATTCATTCCAGATGTAATCTGTCATCTAACTGCAAAGACCAAACAAATTTATAAGCACCAATTAGAAGAATTAATAAAATTAAGCACTGCATATTAAGTGATCCTGATTCATTAAGATAGAGATAAATATGAAGAGATAAGGACCAAGTCAAAGTCAAGCCAAGAACACAGCAAGCTGAGAAATGAGAAAAGAAAATGAGCCTGAAGTGTTTATAATCAAGCCAGCTTGTCCTAAAATAAAAGAGCACAATCTTGTATGTTTATAAGGGAAAGAATGTAGATTATAGAGGGCCTTAAGTGACCAATAGCAATTTAGAAAATATGGTTAAGTTACATTATATCCTTCTTGGTTAAGGGGCTTATGTATGATGAAAATGATACTTATGGCTAACAAATGAATCGTGGCCTGTATGGACTTAAGGGAGGTGATCATGATTGAAGTCAGGCTGCACTGTATATGCAGGGTTCACTGGGGCAGAAACAGGCGAGACAAAATGGCAAGGTTCAGGACTTCTGGTAGAACACAAATGGCCACGGTCAGGCACTCAGAGGTTACAAAGGGAATAGGCAGAGGAAGTTGAGACATGGAGCGTATGTTTAAAGAGTTAAGCAGCAAAAAGGAAATGTACATGGTAAGACCAAACACAGAAAAGCAGAAGGAAGAAAGGAAATGGGCTAAATGGCAACTATTCCTGACCATCTCAACTCAAGTCTCAACATGATTTCAAAATGGATAGATGTATTATTGACTCAGCCAAGCAATGAAAGTTTTATAAAATGATTTTGATCATGATATTCTTGCTGCTTGGAATGTCACATATGCCAGGAAAAAGATAGCTGCAGGAAAAAAGCACTTTTTCAAGTTGTGTATTCCACTAGTTAATACTAACTCTGATAATTATGCAGTCTACACACCTGAAGTAGACTAAATTTGGTCACATAGGGGTAGGTAGTACAAGTCTGTGGTTAAGGCAATGGCTATAAAATCAGACAAACTGGGGTACCAATGATGGCTCTACCACTTACTAGTAATATGTCCCTGAAAAAAATTCTTTTTAATCTCAGTTTTCTCATATGTAAAAAGGTAATACTGTTTCTTAAGAATTGAGATAATATGTAATATAGTGTCTGCTATGCAATACATTACTCAATAAGTTACAGCTACTGCAATTTATTCCCTATATTTAAGTAGGGCACTTTCTTATGTGTACTACCATTTTTATTATTATTTAATCATGACTTGGGCTGTGATTTAAGTATAGCACACTACATAAATCAATTTCTACAAAAATGTAAAATTTAAAACCATGTTATCAGTTTGATAGCACCAAATCAATTTATTTTAAAACTTTTTTTAATTTACAAAGTTTCAAATCCATCCTATATTGGGAAATTTTCAAAGGCATCTGAGCTGGGCAAGATGGGGAGAGAAGAGCTCCACTTTAAAAAAACACAACAGTTGGTAAATTGAGTAAAGAGACTTTTAATGCTAACAATTTCCCTAACTTAATGAGCCTATAAAACTTTTTTCATCTACCATCTATTAACAGTCTATTCAACTAATGGTCTACAGGAGTCTTTTGAAAAATGCAGTCTCATAATACATTTCTGAAATGTTAGCAACCTCCTCTTATTTTAAAAAGAAATCACAAGATTTTTACATTTTTATATTCACAAAACCATGAGATTCCTCCGAAGACTAACTGAAAAGCACCACATGACTATAAAAACACAGCCCAGTGCTGGGTGCATTTCTGGTGACACATGGGTATTCATCTTAGTATTATCAATCAACCACATAAAATGGAAATAGGGGGAGGTGTAATAAAATATGTAAAAATTACTAGTTAAAAAAGTTGAGACTTTATTAATCCAAAAATTTAAAGAGAAATTCAATGGTATTTATCGTACGTCTATTATGTGCCGGCAACTGAGGTATGCACTGAATGAGACAGACAACAAATAAAGAATAAAGCCCATGAGATCTGAAAGGTTCTGATAAAGTAGAAAAACTGAGCTTACTATTTGTGCCTAATCATAGCTAAAAAAAATGCCCCCACCCCAAATTTAATGGTTTTTGTTTTCTAGTACTGCACTACCTGCTGCAGTCAAAGAAGCAAAGCCACTTAAAAGCCCACAAACTTTTTGAATAAGCAAAACAGAAGTATTTGTGAATTTAATAAATTCTATTCATTTGAAATTAGCTCTGACACTATAAAGCCTCATAGGATGAAAGAGGGGCCTTCTCACTCATTTTTACCCAACAACTATATTGAGTCACTTATTGAGAGCCTGAGTAACTATTTTCTTATTCAACTCCTCACATACAATTAAAATTTTAAAGGTCTGATTATTACACAGCAAACTCAATAGAACCAAAGGACTAGTCAACAATTATACAGCCAGACCTTGATGTTGTAAGCTGCCAACTCTGCTGCATGTGACATCTTGAGATGGCAAATTCTAGTATTTCAAGTTCTAACCAAAGTGTCATGGGCAATACCACTCACAGATTTCTATAAATTGCTTGATCCAAAGTTATTTTATCACTAGTGTTACTTTAGTCTAATATCACTCTAAATTGTAGCAAAATATAGGCACTTGTCAGGAAACAAACAGGCTTACAGAATAAGATCAGGGACTCTAGTTTAGGCACTATTGGGTAATATCTGTCCCAACTGGCCTTTACATAAATGTAGTAATGTGTTTTCCTCCTCCTGGCAGTGAACGGTTTTAACAATTTTCTTTTCTTTTTTTAAATAGAGATGGATTTCACTATGTTGCCCATAGTAGCAAACTTCTGGCCTTAAGCAATCCTTCCACCTCTGCCTCTCAAAGTGCTCGGATTATAGGCGTGAGCCACCACACCCAGCCATCAATTTTCTTTGTTCATTAAATTTATATTATTATTCATTTAAACACCCCCACACACAAACATACACACACTTTAAGAAAAGACATATGAAAAAGGTAAGTAAAAAGCCTGGGGTTTAATTTTTGTTTCTAAGGTTCCTCAAGCATAGCTGAACTAACACTCTTACTTTTACCTGGAAAATCATGACTACAGAAGAGTTTAATTTCAAAGGCCCCGTTAAGAAAATCAAACTACAATGGAACTTCTTTACAACAACCTTTCCTACTAGTGAAATTAAGTTTAGGGCTGGTCTTTTTCTGGATCTGATCCAAAGAGAGTTAATTAGTGAAGTACCACGAGGACCTCATGGTAACGGGCTGGGCTCTCGGTGCAGCGTCATAACATGCTTCCAACACAGCCGCTGCCTTAAGCGCAGCTCGCATGGCTCATTCCTGAGGTGAGACAGTGCGCAAAGAATCACTTAGTCTAAGAACATCTCTTGGATTTAGTTAGTAATTTTGTTCCTAACAATGAACAAAACCAAATTGTACTCATGAACCTCAGCATCTAAATATTCTACATTCATGGCCTTCTATCTATAAACTTACAAAGCCTCAGCGACTTATTTCCACTTTTAAAGTTTACCATCTTATCTTCTTTAGAATACATGAAAGACAATTCCTATACTTTAATAACCTGCTAGATGCTAGGATGTAGAAGTAGGCATTTCAAAAATACCTAGACTACTATACAGGCTGTCTAAATTTATGCGTTTGCATTTTCACGATTGAATATATTTATGTATGTATCAATCATGTGAATTTGTGTGATGCCAGAAAACTCCCAACATGGTGATATAAAAGTAGCACCATGAGAACTCACATTCCTGAAACAGGAGGCTCTGACTTGGTGTTAGGCATAGAAAAGTCTTTCTCGGTAGCTGCCCATGGGATTTCAGCATGACAAACACATAGCTGACTCATGGGATCAATTATAAAGAAGCAATAATTTTTTGTGGCATTAAAAAAAGCTGTGTTTCCATAAGTGATGAATACATGTTAAGAAATCAGATGAGTCCCACTGATCGCTTTATTACCAAATCAATAACCAAAGCTCTCCCTCCTACACTCAAACCTACATGCGAATTCCTCACTATAGATTCCCGTTCTCAATAACCTTTCTGATGATTTCTCATTAAATTCAACTACAAAAACATTTTTTTGAAAACTATTCAAGTACTAAGTCGAAGCTGAACTGTCAAGCTTTAGTTTCTAAATATAAAAATTAGCTGCCCAATATTTCTCAGTATTAGTGATTTTGCTTTAAATAAATTGCTGGTCTTGCTTCAAATTTTTAAAAATTACAACATTGGAAGAACAAGCCAGCTTTAATGCACCCTCCCCTCCTCTCCAAGCAGACTACTATACCTTCTACAAAAACTGTTTTCCCTGAAGAGAAAGAGCAACAATTCCCATTTTAAAGCAGTTCTCTATGACGTGCTATCAAAGCACAAGCAGCATTTGCGATACTTACTGAGTGTTTCTCCTGCTGGCCCATAACTCCATGGTTAGCTGGGATTGCTAGTGGTTTCATAATGAAGAAACATATGCTGAACTGAATTTACACATCATGTACCAATCTCTCACGATGGCAAGTCACCCTCTACAGCATTAAATTAAAAGAAAAAGGAAAAAAAAAAAGGGAGGAGGGAAAACCAAGCTGCAGCTTAAAGTGTCACTACTGGTAAGCTTAAAAACCCTTCACACTTGTAGACCAGAAAAGGAATCCGAACAACAGTGTTCGTCTCCATTTTTATAACATTGAAACTCTAACCATCCTAGGCTATGACAAGACTGAGAAAACCTCACACAGCTCTCAGTCTTCCAAGAGAACAAGATCATTTCTGAGATTGAAGAACAAGAGGCAAAAGAAAAGGAGAGGAAAAAAAAAAAAAAAAGAAAAAAGCTAAAATGGCTGACTGCACACAGACTCCCCTCAAAAAGGCTTAACACAGAATTATATTAGTCAGGGTGGTATAAGAACCAGGCTCTAGCATTCAGCCAAGCATTGTTAATACCCTTGTTTCATCTGCAATCACACATACAGAACCCTCCAACCAAGAGAAAAAAAGAAAATGAAAGAAAGAAAAAAATCAGGGCAGAGCGTGTGAATCGGGAACTCCTCCCTAGCTGCTAATGATGCTGACAGAGTGGTGACCAGTGATCTCTGTCCCACTCCACTAACCAAGTTTGCACAATTAATCTTGGCAGCATGACACTGATGGACATTTAATTTAATGATGTCTGTCCCTCACACTCAACACAAGCATGCCTGCTAGCAAGAGAGCCACTAACAGAAACACAGCACATGCACACACACAATCTCAAAAATCATGAGTCTGAATGCAATACACCAATATAATTACATTATTGTGCTTACTTTGGAGGACCATGGCTGCAGGCAGTTGGCATAGCAACGCACAAGGAAAGCCATTTCCTGGATAGAAAGCTTCCTTTTCTAAATAAAAAATTCCTCTTAGGAAACAAACGGCATTGCTGCTTCCTGCAGAAAGCAAGACACTGTAGTCTGTCTCTTAACCTGCAAGGCTCACACTCAATGCAGTTCTAGTGATGTAAGTGGATTTCTCTCTCACCCTCCCTCTCCCTATACACACTGAAATATTCAGCTCAAATGGTACACACATTCCTTAAGACTCGCCCCCTCCTCTACTTAACCATTTCACTCATTAAGGTAGCAATGGACAATTCAGATAAAGTAACAAGCTCTTGCCTGTATTCTATCAGCAGCTGTAGGTTAAGCAAGTCTCAGAGGGATGGAATCCATTGATTGCTGACTCCAAATAATATCACTGAAGACAGGGTGGGAAAACGGAGCAAGGACTTACTTGAACAGCTTTGAACTAAAATATGATTTTTTTCACCAAGGTGAAGATAAAGGAATCAATGTGACCTCTATCCCATCCTCAAATATTGCTGTGCTATAGTAAACAAGTATCTATCAAAAATTTATAAAATGCATACTTGACAAGCTTTGTATACATTTAGATGATGTGATTTTCACAAACACCCATACACACACATACACACACACAGATGCACATATTGCCTTGCAAATAATATAAAAAATTAACCTACCCAGGTTTTTTTTTTAAAAAACCAAACCAAACTTCAGAGGTAGAGAGTTGAAATAAAATGCGGATACATTATTCTATTATAAACTCTTAATTTCATGTACATATGTAGGTATTTGAAAGACTGCATTATACTTGACAAAGAATAAGGACATTTTAATTCTGAAACACTGTCAGCTTTTCACAATCAGGTTTATCTATCAATGGCACATGTAATAGAAAATAGACACAGAAAATGTAGCATTTTTAATAATTGACTTTGGAACTGTCAGTGCTTGCTGACTTGTGTTTCTTGACTACTGCCAAAGACTGTACCCACCCTATTCTCTTTCCTTCTTTCTCCTCATATCTAAAGGCAACCATTCCCACCACATCACTCTTTTGGATCCTTCTCCCCATCCCCCCAACCCCTTTTCTTACATTACCCATTATCCTTCTTTTGCCACATATGCTTAACCTCTGCCCCACAACCGGAGTCCTCCCCACCAGCTTTTAAATGTGCAGGTCTCTCCTATCTCAAAAACAAAACAAAAACAGAATCATTCTCCAGACCAGGTATTTTCCTCTTCCTCCACTTCCCAACCAAATCTCTCAACAATCTGTTTTGGTTTTCACCATTCCTCATCCCATGGAATACTTACATGATGAACCATAGTGATCCTGTTATGCCATTTCTACATCTAAGAGTTTCCTTAACATCTCTGTCCATGATCAATCCATCACAACATCTGTTTATTACATTCTCTAATTTTTCTCAAATTTAGATTTCTCTTTGTCTTTGCTGTTATCATCCCACTCCAATCATTATTTTTTGCCTTGAGAACTGCAAAAGTCTCCTTAAGGAACTGTCTGGATTCTAACTCCATCCACCCAACCTATTTACCATACCACCTCCTGATATCTTATAAAAACTAAAGCCTGATCATTTTGCCCTCATCCACTAAGCTCCTTTTACAAATGAAAACAAAACACTTCCATGGCTTCCCACTGCTCCTGGCATAAAGACCAAAACTCTTATCATGATCTGCAAGATTTATACATTTTCCAGACTTACACCATGCTCATGGTCACTCTCTGCACTCCCAAGTTGCAGGGGCTGCTCTTGCCTCCTTCATAGACAAAAGGGCCTTTGCACATGTTATTTCCTCTGCCTGAAACTTTCCTTCTTCCTTCCTTTCCTGACTGATGCCACCTCCACTCCCAAAAACAAACTGGTGAAATACCCTCAGAAATCTCATGTTAGTGTTTATCCCTTCACTGAAGCACTCATTTACTACCGTTGTAATTTTGCATGTAGTCCCAAGAGTATTTAAGCAGTTACTGTCTGCTTCCTCCACTACACTCTCACCTCCATGATGGCTGGTGCCATATCTGTCTGTGTGTACTCCTGTGTTCACCGCACCAAGCACTGTAGGCACTCACGTTCTTGTTGAGTGAGTGAACCTTCCACTGACTGGGAAAGGGCACTAGAAAGACCCCATTTAATCCTCTAGACTAGTTTCTGTCAAAAGTCCAAATATTTTTCTGTAATAGATATAACTAACGACTTAAAAGTAAACTGTTGCCAAACGGTAGAAGCAACCCAAGTGTTCATCGACAGATAAAAATGTATGAATGATATTCATACAAGTGTGGTATATGCATTATTCAGCCTTAAAAAGGAATGAATTTCTATTACATGCTACACCATGGATAAAACTTGAAAACATCAAGCTAGAAATAAGACAGTCACAAAAGGACAAATAATATATAATGCTCTACTCTAGATACCAGAGTAGTCAAATAGTCAAATTCACGTAGGCACAAAGTAGAATGGAGGGTGACAGGTGCTGGGGGAAGGAGGGATTGGGGAGTTATTGTTTGATGGCACAGAGTTTTAACTTGGGAAGATCAAAAAAGTTCTGGAGATGGATGGCGGTAATGGTTGCAAAAACAATGGGAATGTATTTAATCCCACTGGCCTTTTACACTTAATAATGTGTAAAATTGTAAATTTTAATGTTACTTATATTTTATCACAATTTAAAAAAAGTAAATGGCAACTCAGGGATTAAACAATCAAGTTCTACACCTTCCATCTGGCCCGTGTCCCACAAAACACATATCCATGTGCCAAAACACTCCTCTCAAGGTTAAGTCAAATTACCCCCATGCTGATGGTATCTGACTTTATATATGTAGGTTACCAATTGCTTGCCTCTCTCTGGAAAATGTGTGACTTATCTCAAGAAGGAAACTAACCTAACCGGGAAACCTTATAGATGAAGTAAAATCACACATCCTTAGGCACTGATGCTTTTCTGTGCTAAGACTTGGCATGATCTCTCTCTCAGCCTGGCTCCATGCCTACAACCTACACATCTTAAAACTCATAATTGTAATACAGAAATTTCGTTATCCACACTATCTTGTATGTTGAAACACAATTATGGCAGGTTATAATACGCCAAACACTGCTAAAGAAATATAAACAAAGGATTTAGGAGAAACCCATATTATAGATTTTATACAAATAAGAAAAAATCACACTTACCTTGAAGTTCACTCTAATTTGGGTTATATTTACCCCATTCCTTAACCATTACCAAGTAGCATTAACTAGATCTTGTTAAGAAAAAGAACCATGTAAGAACTTTCTACCCTGTCAATAACATCCAATGACTTCCAAATTATCAGTAACAACACTCCAAAAAAATGGAGATTATATAGTTCAGGAAACTACTTAATGCAAAGGCTTTCCAGGCTATATTTAATATCATTATATTCTTTTTTTTTCCACCTAAAGTATTCACTTTCTAATTACTATGAAATTGAGAAAAATGGTCTGTTCTCAGTAATGATTAATCACACTTAGAACATATACAGTGTTTAACCATAGATCTCAATGTGCTTTACAAACATTTAATTAAACTTCATCAAAACGCAAGGGAATCAAGAGAATAATGTACTTATCTTTAATAGAAAAATAAAGTGTATAAGATTATAGAGTTAGTAGTATAGAAGAATGCAAAATAGAATTCTAAGTTTCTTAATACCACTTACTTCACTTAATAGTTAAATATTCCCTCTCCCCACTACCACAGAGGAAAAACCATAGAGGCTGGGGAAAACTTGTGGGTATAGCAGAAAGAAGTCATTCTTTGATACGAGAAAACAACAAATTTTACAAACTGGATTTTTAGTGTTTCACTGTTCCCCCCAAAAATGTCATTTTAAAATGCTATTTTCTATATGAGTACATCAAACTAATTAAGCACTAAGCCAATGCAAAATAAAAGATGGTAGATATGGTCAGAAGTTTTACTTCTCTTTTCCTAAAGCCAATACATCCCCCATTAATAGTGCATTTTCTTTTAAAAGAAAAGTTGATTATCTGATAAACTTTATATTTTAACTCAATCTTACATTTTCACGTCATCTATTTCATCTTTGGGTATACCTCACACAAGTCCTTGACACACCCCACCCAAAGCAGTCACAGAGGAAATCTGGGCTAAAATTTCATTTTTCTACTTTCATAAAGTGAAATGGCACTTCTGGTTCATTATTAAGAATAATTTAATTATGAAATAAAATGTGAAAGAAACCAATGCAATGGCTGACACATAGGAAATGCTAACTAAACATCTAAGTGAATCTAAATACAGTCTTTAGAAACACAAAGAATCTGTTGAGTTCATGTTCAGTATCAGAAAAACCTAACTGGGAGTTCAAAAAGATCACCATGATTTACTCCACAGATACGTTCCAAGGAAATGTTAAAAAAAAAAAGTTTCTGACGGCAAACTGTTTATGTGGCATCTGATTTGTAATTGAAAAATTATGTGGCAACTATCTATAAGAAATATACGAAAATTATGTGGCAACTATCTATAAGAAACATTCACATGGAGCATGTTAGAAGGGAAAGATTAAAAGATGACATGAGATGGAGACATGCAGAAAAACAAAGAAGCCTGTAAGTCCATGAGAAATTCCCATGTGGGGCTTTTAAAAATGCACTTACTTGAAAAACGGGCAGACTTTAGCAGCAGATTTAACAAAGCTTACTTCATTCCCTAGAATCTATCTTTTAAAAAGGCCAGACTTCACTTACAAACCTCTGCTCAAGGTTTCAGAGGTGGAGTCCTTGAACAGTGGTTGTGAATTATTTCCATGCTTTTTCTAGGGGCGAGGCTGTAGAACAAGGCCCCCCCACTAATATTTCACACATTAACACCGCATATGTAAAAGAATATTATCTTTATTACTAATTTGACTGTAATATATTCCCTTGGGATTAATATGTTGCATGAGCACAATGATCTGTTAATTATCCCTCTGTTTTTATTTAAGAAAAACAGGAAATACTGCATCACAAACTGGAATTATAAGTTAGATGAGGGGAACCACACAAAACTTATCTGATATTGTCAACAACAGACTGTGCTTTATCCCTAGTACTTGACACATAGTGGTTGTTCAAAGAATGAATGCATAAGTGATTCCACATAAACTTCAAAACTAACCTGTTAAATTCCACACTGTTTAAGATGGGGAACCAGACACAGGATGGGTGAGTAATTATAAAAGATGCCTAATTTCTTTACTGACAAAATCCAGAGTTTTAAATAATTTGATAGGCAAAAAGAGTAGGCTAAAACCAGTAAATTTAAATTTTACAGGAATAAATATAAAGACCTACATGAATATTATCAAAATGTCACTTGTACAAGAACAGGATGGGGAGAATCAGGCTTAAGGAACAATTCATAGGTGAGTGGGAGGTAGAAGGGGTTATCTATAAAACAGAGCAAGCCAAAAGCTCTCTCTGAGCCAATGTACAATCCCCAAAATCTTAATATAATCTCAGGTTACATGATCAGACCTATGATGTCCAGAGCAAAGAAGACAGAAAATTCTACTGTAATCTGCACTGTAGGGTATTACAGGACCTATGCAAACAACAGCAAGCAGTAACTGGTTTAGGAAAGCTACAAAAAGCTGGTAATATTTAATACAGAAGAAGAGGATTAAAGGGTGGATCTTTGTAAACATCTCAAACACAGTTATATAAAAATGGAATATTAATATTCACTTGTGTTGCTTTAAGAGACCTAGAAACATGAACTAAAATTATGGAGAGGCAGATTACAGCTAACCATAATAGTTTCCTAATAATTAGCCCTTTCCTATAATAAATAATAACTGTTAGGATTTACTAAGTTCAAGAATTTCTTAATAATTAACCTTTTTCAGCTGGATGCGGTGGCTCACGCCCGTAATCCCAGCACTTTGGGAGGTCAAGGTGGGCGAATCACAAGGTCAGGAGATGGAGACCATCCTGGCTAACACAGTGAAACCCCATCTCTACTAAAAATACAAAAAAAATTAGCCAGTCTTGGTGGCAGTGCCTGTAGTCCCAGCTATTTGGGAAGCTGAGGCAGGAGAATGGCGTGAACCTGGGAGGGAGAGCTTGCAGTGAGCCAAGATTGCACCACTGCACTTCCAGCCTGGGTGACAGAGTGACTCCGTCTAAAAAAAAAAAAAATTAACCTTTTCCTGGTGGGGCACAGTGGCTCACGCCTGTAATCCCAACACTTTGGGAGGCCAAGGCGAGGCGGAAGAATCACCTGAGGTCAGGAGTTCGAGACCAGCCTGACCAATATGGACAAACCCTGTCTCTACTAAAAATACAAAAAATTAGCCGGGCATGGTGGCGCATGCCTGTAATCCCGGCTACTTGGGAGGCTGAGGAAGGAGAATCACTTGAACCTGGGAGGCGGAGGTTGTGGTGAGCCGAGATCGCGCCATTGCACTCCAGCCTGGGCAACAAGAGTGAAACTCCGTCTCAAAAAATAATAATAATTAACCTTTTCCTCTAATAAATAATAACTGTTAGGATTTACTAAGTTCTTACTTTGTACCAGGCACTGGGATACAAATTTGACACTCATTCTGTAAAGGATGAGTGTCAAATACCTGTGCTAATTGTAATTTAAAAATCTTAAAAGTAGAGGCTGAATGTTAGTGGTTATAGAAAAGAACTAAACTGCATTAAGTAGTTCAGCCAGAAGATTCTTAAATCCTTTCACACTCTTAAGGTGGTCTTATCTAACATGGCAGTTACCAAACATCAGCTGGCGGGAAAATGCGAGTAGAAAGGCTGATATAATATAGAATCATAGGAAAAAAAACACTACATTAACGGAAACAAAACTGTTTGGGGATAAGATTTCCTCGTAATAACTCCTTCATTCCAAGATTTTTGTCTTTCTGTTTTGGCAGTGCGAGGGAGAATATTAAAATGTCCCTTACTTTAAAAAAAAAAAAAAATTAGGCTGGGTGCAGTGGCTCACACATGTAATCCCAGCACTCTGGGAGGCTGAAGCAGGCAAATTGCTTGAGCTTAGGAGTTCAAGACTAGTGTGGGCAACATGGCAAAACCTCGTCTCTATAAAAAATTAGCCAGTCGTTGTGGTGCACACCTGTAATACCAGCTACTTGTGAGGTGAATCACTTGAGCCTGGGAGGTCAAGGCTGCATTGACCCGTGACTGCACCACTGCACTCTAGCCTGGGCAACTGAGTGAGACCCTGTCTCAAAAAAGTAAAATAAATAAATAAATAATAATAAAAACAAACTACAGTGATAATAGGACAATAGAAGTTTTCTTCTTAACATCCTTAAAAATTAAAAGTTGCCAAACTTAGAAATGGATTAAAGATGATTTTAAACAATAATCTGAATTATTCAGATTATATATAACTAGATAGTTTTATAGAAGTATTTTTAAAACTCTTTGATTTACTTATATTTTTCAATATTCTTAAATATTACCAAAACACTTCCAACATTTTCTGGTACACAAGATGAAATTTTATGAGTGGTATTTTTTTCACCTCTAAAAACTATGAATAATTTTAGACAACTGTAAGTAAGTGATTTCAGTTCATTAAACAGTCATACCTACAAAAGATCTTTCTGCAAGATTTTGGCTTTCCTTATTATAATATTAGTGGGCCTAACTTTTAAAATACACTAGTTACACGGTCATCCCTTTGTTATGAAATGGTGCTACTTACTAGTAAAAACTTATCCTATTGGAATGAAGCTAGAAAGGTTAAAAAGAAAAAAAGATAGCTGTGCTTTATTAATGAGAAATACATGGTCAGAAAAGGAAAAACACTTAACTTCTAACGAAAAGATTGATTCATCAACCAAAGTCCATAACTGCTGCAAATATAGCTCAGTCATCATTTCTGGATATTGGACATTGGACATTCTATGCCCCAGTCTCTTTCTTCAAAAGGCACTTAAATGGTATACTTCTAAAGCGGTTAAATTATTTGATATATATCTCCTTTGGGCCACATTTTAAGTTTAAATAACATAAAAAGCAATACATGTTAAATTCATTTTTAAAAATGAGTAATTTCATAGATTGGGAATGGGAAAGACCTATGTTTGGCTTTCTAACATTTACTACCTGAGTGACCATGAATATTGAACATGTTACTTAACCTCTTTGGCCAGTGCATGCTTATCTACTGACGGGGAAATACTGAACTGTGGGCTAGTTTCATTGACAAAACACATCAGTAAACATCTAGCAGACTGGTGTATCATAAACCTTCAATAAGTGTCAGTTTTATTCTCTCTAAAATATTCTAAAAAGTCAGCTGCATTCAAGCCTCGGCCAACCCATTAATTAATGTACAGTTGTCTGGGACTAAGTTCTTTGTGCTGATATCCTTGTATAGACCTGTTAAAGCAGGAAGATCTATAATGCCACTCCTAGAAATACTAAATAATGCTAATTTTGCAAGTTTGATCCAAAGATATCAACATGATACAACCAGGGTATTGCTGAGACCTGTATTATCTGTTGTGCAAAGGATATACACAATGGCATAAAGATACTATCTGCTTTCATAGACCTATTGAGTCTTCAGAAATTTAATATTTAACAAATACATTTTTATTTTTAAAAAATCTAGTGTCTGGAAATAAATATCAAACTATGTAAGTTTTCAAAATGGTTTAATAGTCTTTCTAAAAAAAAGAAAGTGACAGTAATTATAAATGGACGCATTAACCAACAGACTTTACTACCAGAAATAGAATTGTGCCTGCCCTTTTGTTGTAATCAAATACATTCCAGACGGGAAATGCTTCCAAATAAACTTGCCTGAAAAATAAATAAATATAGAAGACCATCTCAATATAGAAAATATTTTAAATGACACAAAAATTTCTAAAATATTTTCTTGAGAAAAAAGTCAGCCTACCAATACAGCCACATGAGTTTAAGATAACAGCATTCAATATTCCTTTTTATAAATAAATGAATAAACAAACAAAACACACACCTAATTTCTCCCTCTCTTTAGCAGCTCTAAAAAGGCATGGAGAGTATTTTACTATTCATATTTTAGTTACACTTTGAAATTGTCAGTTACTACCATTTTGATATTTACAAACCAAAGATAATACTAGAATATTTAATTGTAAATATCAGGTTATCATTATTAGAATTGCTAACAACTGGCCAGATAGTTCATGTTCATGGAAGATTACATTACCTAGGTGTGTCATAAAGTAGCATTTCATATTATTAATACAGGAAGGCATTCACTCATTAATTCTACAACTGACCCCTAAGACTTTAAATGGGATAGGACAAGAAACGAGAAATCAGGGATGAAAGAGCCCATATAGCCAAGACAATACTAAGCAAAAAGAACAAAGCTGGAGGCATCATGCTACCCTGACTTCAAATTATACAAGTCTACAGTAACCAAAACAGCATGGTACTGTTACAAAAACAGACACACAGACCAATGACACAGAATAGAGAACTCAGAAATAAGACTGCACATCTACAACCATCTCATCTTCAACAAACCTGACATAAGCAATGAGGAAAACATTTCCTATTTAATAAATGGTGCTGGGAGAACTGGCTAGCCACATGCAGAAAACTGAAATTGCTCCTTTCTTACACCTTTTACAAAAATTAACTCAAGATAGATTAAAGACTTAAATGTTGATATGATTTGGCTCTGCATCCCCAACCAAATCTCATTTTACAGCTCCCGTAATTCCCAAGTGTTGTGAGAGGGACTTGGTAGGAGACGATTAAATCATGGGGCGGGTCTTTCCTGTGCTGTTCTCATGATAGTGAATGGGTCTCATGAGATTTGATGGTTTTAAAGACGGGAATTTCTCTGCACAAGCCCTCTCTTTGCCTGCTGCTATCCACGTAAGATGTGACTTGCTCCTCCCTGCCTTCTGCCATGATTGTGAGGTTTCCCCAGCCAGGTGGCACTGTGAGTCCAATTAAATATCTTTCTTTTGTAAATTGCCCAGTGTCAGGTATGCCTTTATCAGCAGTGTGAAACTGACTAATACAAATGTAAAACCCAAAACTATTAACAATCCTAGAAGAAAATCTAGACAATGCCATTCAGGACACAGGCATGAGCAAAGGTTTCACAAAAAACAAAACAAAACAAAACAAAAACACCGAAAGCATTGCAACAAAATCAAAAATTGACAAAATGGGATCTAATTAAACTAAAGAGCCTCTGCACAGCAAAAGAGACTATCATCAGAGTGAATAGACAACCTACAGAATGGGAGAGAATTTTTACAATCTATCCACCTGACAAAGGTCTAATATCCAGAGTCTACGAGAAACAAAAAAAATTTACAAGAAAAAAACAGACAACTCCATTAAAAAGTGGGCAAAGGACATGAACAGACACTTCTCAAAAGACACTCATGCAGCCAACAAACATGAAAAAAACTCAAACATCACTGATCATTAGAGAAATTCAAATCAAAACCACAATGAGATACCATCTCACACCAATCAGAATAGCTGTTATTAAAAAGTCAAGTAACAACAGATGCCTGTGAGGTTGCAGAGAAAAAGAAACACTTACATTGTTGGTGGGAGTATAAATTAGTTCAATAATTGTGGAAGACAGTGTGGCGATTCTTCAAAGACCTAGAGGCAGAAATAGCATTTGACCCAGCAATCCCATTACTGGGTATATACCCAAAGAATAGAAATCATCCTATTACAAAGATACTCACACACATATGTTCATCACAGCACTACTCACAATAGCAAAGACATGGAATCAACCCAAATACCCATCAATGATAGACTGGATAAAGAAAACTTGATACATATACACCATGGCATACTCTGCAGCCAT
Source organism: Homo sapiens (assembly GCF_000001405.40). Classification (NCBI taxonomy): domain Eukaryota; kingdom Metazoa; phylum Chordata; class Mammalia; order Primates; family Hominidae; genus Homo; species Homo sapiens. Next base: position 159,256,389 of record NC_000004.12, on the reverse strand, counting down.
AAAAAGGAACAAGATCATGTCCTTTGCAGAGACATGGATGGAGCTAGAAGCTATTATCCTCAGCAAACTAACAAGGAACAGAAAACTAAACACTGCATGTTCTCACTTTTAAGAGGGAACACAGGGAGGGGAACAACAGACACTGTGGCCTGCAGGGGGCCATACTGGGAAGAACATCAGGATACATAAAGCTAATACATGGGCTTAATACCTAGGTGATGGGTTGACAGGTACGGCAAACCACCATGGCACACGTTTACCTATGTAACAAAGCTGTATATCCTGCACATGTATCCTGGAACTTTAAATAAAATTAAACTAAAAAAAGAGATCAGAGATGAATTTCAGAAATCATGTTGGTCAGTTCAACAGCATGCTAGACATAAACAAAATGTACTGATCATCTATGAAATGCTTACTAAAAGATTGTCTTAGAGCAAGTGTATAAAAAAACCTGTTTTCTGGATGGGTTATATTTTATAGGAAGTAAATATTTTTTCCAAGACATAAAGCAAACTTAAAATCTGTTCGACAAAAATTTAAAAGTATATATCACTAAACTCAGTGAAGTTTTAAGATTAAAAACAAAATTAACAAGATATTAATAATCCAATCAACTACTACAAAACATGGTATTTACAATAAAAGTAAAAACACAGTATGGAAGAAAATGAGACTATTTAAAAAAAAATCTCTACCCAAAAACAATGCAAGAACCTATGGTGACCCCTTATCACGTAGAATATTCATCTGGCCATTTCAGTTTTCACCAAGGGAGACCCACCATTTCAGATTTGAGGAGTTGAGACAACATTTCTGGTGCCTTTCCAAAGGCAGCTCTATCCCCTCAGACAATTATTTTGCTTTATAGTAGCTGATTACCGAAAGAATTTTGAATGTCAGAGCACAGTCATGAGTTGCCAATCACACTTTGTGGTAACAAGGGAAACTGGTCACTTATGTCTTAATATAAGAACAAGGAGACAGAAAAAGACTGAAGGCAGCACAAAGGCACCAGTTAAAAAAAAAAAAACTATATATTCAAAATAGAGCAAAAGAAAGAGAAGAATTCTAGAAATAAGGTAAGGGGAGTTTTGAGAAGAAAGAAGTTTTAAAAATGGCCACACATCATAACGACAGAATGACGGGGAATACATTCCGAGAACGGCGTCATTGGGCAACTTTGTCTTTGTACAAACATCATGGGAGTGTACTTGCACAAACCTAGATAATGTTGCCTACTACACACCTAGCTAGGCTCTTTGGGATAGCCTATTGCTCCTAGGTGACAAATCTGTACAGCATGTCACTGTACTGAATCCTGCAGACAACTGTAATACAATAGTATTTGTATATGTAAACATACCTAAACACGGAAAAGCTACAGTAAAAATACTGTACTTCATCTTACAGGACCACTGTTGTGTATGTGGTCGTTCACTGACAAAAATGTCATTATGCACCACAGGACTATTTAAAGTCTCATGCTGGTGGGGCATGGTGGCTCACGCCTGTGATCCCAGCACTTTGGGAGGCCGAGGCAGGCGGATCACCTGAGGTTAAGAGTTCGAGACCAGCCTGGCCAATATGGTCAAACCCTGTTTCTACTAAAAATTAGCCAGGCGTGGTGGCACACGCCTGTAGTTCCAGCTACTTGGGACGCTGAGATGGGAAAATCATTTGAACCCAGAAGACAGGGGTTGCAGTGAGCGGAGATTGTGCCACCTCACTCCCGCCTGGGTGACAGAGCAAGACTCTGTCTCATTTAAAAAAAAAAAAAAAAAAAAAAGTCATGCTGTATTAGGTACAGATTTTGGACTTGTCAGCATCCACAATAGCATACGCCAATTCCTGAATATCTCCTTCCCTTAACGCTCCACTGGTTCTGTTTATTTGCAGAACTCTATTATATTATGCAAATAAAATCTGAAAAACCAGTGAATCAAATCTGTAAGAGACTAGTTCACAAAGTATGGTCTCAGGACCCCTGAGGGTCCCCAAGACTCTTAAGAGTTCATAAAGTCAAACTATGTTTTCATTATGACATTAAAATGTTACTTGCTTTTTTCACTGCGCTCAAGTGCAAAAGCAAAAATGGGTAAAACCTAACTGATGTCTTAGGATATATCAAGACACTGGCATCACTACTACTATGTAACTACTGTTATTACCAATATTGTCCTTGTATTCTTTACCACCACTCACAGTGGCAAAAAAAGAAAATGCCAGTATTAAAGTGTCCTTGATAAAGCAGTAATAATTAATTACATTATATCTCCACCCATTAGTATACGTCCTTTTAATATTCTGTATGATGAAGCGAGAAGTTTGCATAAAGCACTTTTGTTACAATGTACAATGGTTGTCTCAAGGAAAAGACGTGCAATTATTCCAGTCGTAAGTGAACTGGCACCTTTTTTTCACAGAAAAACATTTTCTTTTTTTTTGAGACGGAGTCTCGCTCTGTTCCCCAGGCTCACTGCCAGCTCCGCCTCCTGGGTTCACGCCATTCTCCTGCCTCAGCCTCCCGAGTAGCTGGGACTACAGGCGCCCACCACCACACCCAGCTCATTTTTGGTATTTTTAGCAGAGACGGGGTTTCACCGTATTAGCCAGGATGGTCTCGATCTCCTGACCTCGTGATCCGCCCGCCTCGGCCTCCCAAAGTGCTGGGATTGCAGGCATGAGCCACCGCGCCTGGCCACAGAAAAACATTTTCATTTGAAAGAACAAATAATAAAAAAAAAAACTATGGTTATTCGGAATTGGGTATCTGGCAGGTATTTTCTAAAAACGAACAAAATGAGCTTGTCATTTGAAGAAAAACAGATGATAATAATTTGCTAATGATAAAATTTGAAGTTTCAACTAAAAGAATTTTGAAAAACATATCTAACACAGTAAGTCTGACAGCTTCTTAATAATTAAGGCCCTTTCTTTATGAGATCTGTGGTGGTATTAACAAATGTGACTTTTCTTTATATTGTATAATGCGCCAAAATTCAGAAGACTGTTTAACCCAGTGACCAATGCATGATGTTACAAAAGTATGCATAAGTAAAAAGATCCTTTCATTGTGCAATTAAGACCAATGGGTTTTAATAAAAGAGAGTAAGGCAAGTTACACTAACATGGTTTTAAATTCCTCATTGCAACTGATCTTTAAGAAACCACTACTGGTCAAATTTTGGTGCAGTCTTTGAAAGAACACCCACATTTATTTTTGAAAGCTGTTAAAATACTCTTCCCTTTTCCAACTACCTATGCATGTGAGGCCAGATTTTCTTCATATACTTTACATACTTCAACCAGAACAGCATATCACAACAGATTGAATACAGATGTGAGAACCCAACTGTCTATTAGACCAATATTAAACATATTTGCTAAAGTATCAAACACTATCATTCTTCTTATAAATTTGTTTTATATTTCCCCTTAAAAACCCTCATGTTAATGTGTAATGGGTGTATCACTATTTTTAAGTTAATCAATGGATACATATTTAAAACTTTTTGTTTCAATTTTTAATATGGTAAATAATAAACAAAAGCTCATTAGAGCCAAAAATTTTTTTTAGAAGTTTAAAGGAGTCCAGAGATGAAACTGTTTGAAAACTGCTGCAACTAGAAAACAATCGGCCTCTCTTAGCTGATGTGAAAGAATGCAGTTATCAACTGTCCTTAGATTTCCTGTTTACACCCACTTCAGCAGAACCCTCTGACAACTTAATCCGCTTGCAGAATAGCTGGCTGCTCTTTCAGTCTAACCAAAGTTAATACTAAAATTTAGGCAAAAGTTTATACTACAGAGTAATTTTTAAACTGAGCCGTCAGTATTCCTCAAAAATGCCCACTGTAAATGACATCAAGAATATCAACGATGCTCAAGTATTCTCTACATCCCAGTTGGTTAGGGATATGCTTATTTCATAAATTAACAAATGGCAAAATGATCCCTTTCTAAAAACTTTCTTAAGTGTTCCAAAAGTCCTGATGATTGAAACATTTTTTTTAAAGGTTCAGTTTAAATTTTTGTATAAAGAAATACAGGGCCAGGCGCCTATAATCCCAGTACTTTGGGAGGCCAAGGCAGGCAAATCGCTTGAGCTCAGGAGTTCAAACTCAGCCTGGGCAATATGGCGAAACCCTGTCCCTACAAAAAACACGAGTGTGCTGGCTCACGCCTGTAGTCTCAGCTACTAAAGAGGCTGAGGTGGGAGGATCTCTTAAGCCTGAAAAGTGGAGTTGTGTCTCCGGAATTGGTGGGTTCTTGGTCTGGCTGACTTCAAGAATGAAACCACAGACCCTCACGGTGAATGTTACAGTTCTTAAAAATGGTGTGTCCAGAGTTTGTTCCTTCAGATGTTCAGATGTGTCTTTGTTCCTTCTGGTGGGTTCGTGGTCTCTGACTTCAGGAGGGAAGCTGCAGACCTCCGCGGTGAGTGTTACCGCTCTTAAAGACGTGGCAGACCCAAAGCGTGAGCCGCAGCAAAATTTACTCCACGCTGTGGAAACGAACCCAAGCAGATCGCGGCGGCAAACTGGGCAGCCTGTTTATTCCCTTATCTGACCCCACCCACATCCTGCTGATTGGTCCATTTTACAGAGAGCTGATTGGTCCATTTTACAGACAGCTGATTGGCCCGTTTTGACAGGGTGCTGATTGGTGCATTTATAATCCCTGAGCTAGACACAGAGTGCTGATTGGTGCATTTACAACCCTCTAGCTAGACATAAAAGTTCTCAAAGTCCCCACGAGACTTGCTAGACACAGAGCACTGATTGGTGCGTTTACAAATCTTTAGCTAGACAGAGTGCTGATTGGTGCATTTACAATCCTCTCGCTAGACATAAAAGTTCTCCAAGTCCCTACCAGATTAGCTGGATACAGAGTGCTGACTGGTACATCCACAAACCCTGAGCTAGACACAGAGTGCTGATTGGTACATATACAATCCTCCAGCTAGACACAAAAGTTCTCCAAGTCCCCACTCTACTCAGGAGCCCAGCTGGCTTTGCCTAGTGGATCCCACGCCTGGGACGCGGGCAGAGCTCCCCACCAGTCCCACACTGCACTCCTCAGCCCTTGGGCAGTCGATGGGACCAGGCGCTGCAGAGCAAGGGACGGCGCCCGTCGGGAAGGCTCAGGCAGCACGGGAGCCCACGGAGGGTGGGGGGCTCGGACATGGCGGGCTGCAGGTCCCGAGCCCTGCCCCATGGGGAGGTGGCTGAGGCCTGGCGAGAATTCAAGTGCAGGGCGGGCAGGCAGGCGGGCCAGCTGGCAGTGCTGGCGAACCCGGCGCACCCTCCACAGCTGCTCACCCAGGTGCTAAGCCCCTCACTGCCCTGGCCAGCAGCACCGGCGGGCCACTCTGAGTGCAGGGCCTGCTAAGCCTGTGCCCACTGGGAACTCGTGCTGGCCCATGAGCGTGGCGCACAGCCCAGGTTCCCACCTGCGCATCTCCCTCCACACCTCCCGGCAAGCAGAGGGAGCCGGCTCCGGCCACGCCCAGCCCAGAGAGGGGCCCCCATAGCGCAGTGGCGGTCTGAAGGGCTCCTCCAGGATGGCCAGAGTGGATGCCGAGGCCGAGGCGCCGAGAGCAAGCGAGGGCTGCTAGCACGTTGTCACCTCTCAGTTGCAGTGAGCCAAGATGACGCCACTGCACTCCAGCTTGGGTGACAGAGCAAGAGACCCTGTCCCAAAAAAAAAAAAAAAAAAAAAGAAGAGTGCTAATAATTGGTGAAAGGGAAATGTCACAACTTATTTTGAGGTTTTATTTTCTAATACCCTCAAATGTCTTCTGCATTGTATTGAAACCACAAATGGCAGATTACCATTGCTATTCTCATAGACATCTGAGTAAAAATCAAGACAGCCTGAGTATTTTCTTTTTCATCCTCAAATATTTCCCTTTGTAATTACTCCACTATTTATCCAAATCAGCAATTCATATTACAGATTTGGTCCACTCTGCTGCCATACCATTTCTCCCCTAGGCCAGCTATTTCAAATGTCATATTGCATCCAACTACCACCTGTCTTCCACTTAATTATTATTATTTTTATTTTTCCATAAGTTATTGGGGTACAGGTGGTATTTGGTTACATAAGTAAGTTCTTTAGTGGTGATTTGTGAGATCCTGGTGCACCCATCTCCCGAGCAGTACACACTGCACCATATATGTTGTCTTCTGTCTTCTACTTAAAAGAAAGGAAGATTTAAGGGGGTGGGGGAGGATATCTGATCATTTACTGAGTCCATAAGAAACTGCTATAATAAAATTATTTAGTAAGGTTTTAAAAATAGATTCTACAATTACTTTTTCCCAAAATATCTTTAAAGGTATTTTTTAGCCTATGTGTAATTTTATTTTACTTTTTTGCCTTGATATTTCCCAATACGAGTAATTTTAATTACCACAAAGGATGCTAGGCAGTACATCTGTGAAATGGATATGCTCAGTCAGTCCAGTTTACTACTAATATACTTAACCCTACTGAGCTGTATCATAAAAATGTTAAGATGGTAACATTAATGGTATCTGGGTTTCTTTAACCAAAAAAGAAAAACAATTAACTTATGTATTTTAAATAGGTGAATTGTATGGCATGTGAATTATATCTCAAATAAGCTGTTACTGGGAAAAAGAAGTGGAGGTTTTTCCCTGATCAGTTTTTAAAAAAAAAGTTTACTATTAAAATAGTACAGATAATACTGACTAAATTTTTCAGAGAAAATAAGGGGGAAATTTTATATAGATAAATACGTATAGCATTATTAGGTATTTTTAATTATCTTAATATAAATAATTAAAATATTTTCTTTCACAAGTGATTTAAAACCTAGCATCTATATATTCCATAAAATGCTAGAGTTTTGTCCAGAAGTCAGCAATATCTTCCAGCTAACAGAGAGGCATTTCAGGTTAATAATGTTTTAAAACTGCATTCAAAACCAAAAGAGAGTATTTCCAATCACCTGATATTTCAAACAGTGAAAACAGACAACTTACAACAGATAACTGTAAAAAAGATCAATTCAGCACTGGCAGGAAATAGGTCTGAATATCAAAGTAGATTTTTCAAAAAAAAAAAAAAAAAGAGACTTTTTTTAAAATCAGCATGTAGCTCTGCAAAATCTCATGACAAAAAAAAAAATCACATGATAAGAAATGAAACAGTCGAAGATGAAAAGCATCTTCGCTGTTGCAATTAAAAGCTAAATTTTAGCCAAGTATATTTAAAACATGTACAAGCACAGAGAGCCACCAGTATTCACAAGGAGAGGCAAGACAAAGTGACAGTGATCTTTTCGACAAATAAATCGCTTGAAATATTGCATGACTTGCTACACAACACCCTTATTACTTTCAATTTCCAAGTGCAACCAAAAGATGGGTCCAATTATGACATCAATACAAGCTTTCTTTCAAAATGGAATGAAAGAACAGTAAATCCCAGTGGACACCGGAGTTCTGTAGCAGAGATGATGTAATATATAAAAATAGACATCCTTCAACAGAAGCTGAAACTTGGGTAAACAGCACACTGCATACCATTCTTAACTGCCTTGCATGAATTTACAATGCATGCTGTTAATAGCATGAGAAATCATTTTATTTTCTAAACTATTTCTTGATTTACATTTCAATTTCTGTACATATGCTATAGTGCAATTTCCCAATCCGTATAAATTAAATCAACGTAAATACCTGATTGTAACTGCAAGAAAGAGAGTTAGTCCCCCTAAAGCAAGGAGGTTGAGACCACTATAGCAGCTTTAACATGCTGCATTTTGCCAGAAATTGCAGCACACACAGCACAGTATTGTTACATCCACCCATTGTTCAGAGACTTTTCCACAGGGAGCTTTCTGCAGGATGTTAAAATGCAACATAATTTAGGGTAAAGAGGAACTAGTAAACCTGCCGATAATGGGCGTGAAAAGCAAAGGATACTTTTGACACCACTCTCCTAAGACTCTTCTGATGAAAACATAAAGCATCAGGCATCCAAACAATAAATTTTAGTAAAATTTGTGGCAGGTTTTATTTGTATGTATATCACTCTCTAACACTCTCTCTTCATCCTCTTTTCCATTCTTTATTACCTAATCCAGTTTTCACATTTCTATTTAGCTTTCCTGGATTAAAGAATAATCTGCTTGAAACTAATCTACCTCAAACTCTCAGTCATGTATTTATATTCATATACAATATGGTCATTAAACACTATTGGAATAGAAAGTACTGCCCACAAAGCAAATCATCAGAAATTAATGAATTAGAGCTATTTAAAGTTTTATTTTGAAACATAAATTATTTCGGCCGGGCGCAGTGGCTCACGCCTGTAATCCCAGCACTTTAGGAGGCCAAGGCGGGTGGATCAATTGAGGTTGGGAGTTCGCGACCAGCCTGACGGATATGGAGAAACCTTGTCTCTACTAAAAATACAAAATTAGCCAGGCCTGGTGGTGCACACCTGTAATCCCAGCTACTCGGGAGGCTGAGGCAGGAGAATCGCTGGAACCCAGGAGGCAGAAGTTGCGGTGAGCCAGATTGCACCATTGCACTCCAGCCTGTGCAACAAGAGTGAAATTCTGCCTCAAAAAAAAAAAAAAAAAAAAAAAAAGAAACAAATTATTTCTACTTTCTTCTCCCTGAATACCACCTAAATCCCTCACCTTTCATTCTTACTCCAGTTGCCATGTTCTAGCCACCACTTCCATTTCCATTACTTAACCAGGTCTTGTGGTCCCACTTTACCATCCCTATCCCCAAAATTTATTCCATCTTGGAGCCAGAGTAGTTTATTTAAATGTAAATCTCAGTATGTCACACCTCTGCTTCAGTCTCTTTGTTGTTCCTTACAGTCATGAAAAAGTTCAACTTTCAACATGGCTTTCAAAAACCCTATAACCACTCAACCTCTAAGTCTTTGAACAAATAAGATTCTTTCTGTACAAAATATCTTTCTTTGAGCCAAGATATTCAGGTGGTTCATGAAACCATCCCCGACTCCTGTAGGGGCCCTGGGTGTGTACCATTTATTTATCTGTATTCCCTGTGAGATTGTAAGGGCAAAGGAGGCAGATTCTCCTGTGTTGTTGACTTTTATATCTCTAGAGCCTGGGACAGACCTGAAACATGGTGGGCACTCAATGAATATTTGTTAAATGACCAAAAATATATAAATGAAAATATTGAGCTTTTCTATGATACAAGAAATAAAATACACAAATTTCCTGAAACTCCATCCCATTATAATTCACAGAGAGACACTGATAGTAATATTGAAGACAAGCCTTCAGGTACAATTAAGCAAACAAATGTTTGATAAATTTAAGTTTTAAAAGGATAAAAAATGTTAAGATAACTAAGAAATTTCCCCTGTATTTGAATAATTTCTCATATATATACATAAACAGATTTTTAAATATCATATAAATTATAGCCAGGTGTGATATCACATAAACTGAAGGTAAAATTTGAAGTCCTTAAATATTCTAGGAAATTTACTAGCTATACAAGTTATTGATGTATTACCCAAAACATACCCTCTTAAGTAGCAAATACTGAGTCAAACCTAAAGAAACCTCAGTAAAAAACTGAATAAATAATAAATGATAAAGCAAAGACATGATATGAGTAAAAATATTGCCTACTTCTTATTTAAGAACATAACTCAAGTCAGAAAGCCTAAATGTCAAATAAATGTGCACAATCACGGAAACTAAATGCTGTAATGTTTTCATTGTTTCAATAGCTGAATGACTTTTGAAACTAACCAAAACTACCAAGGAGTCTTTAACTGAAGGAGAAACCAACTTAACTCTATCTCAGGAGAAATACTGACTTCAGAGATATTTAAGGTATATCCTAGGAATGGTTATATCTTATACACCCATTGTAAGAAATAGAATTTGCCTTATATTATTATACAGAATAATAACCTTAGTTTTAAAATGGGACTGATTTTCATAAGCCTCATACATGAATCAATCTTATTACATTGCTGCCACATTTTAAAAATATTGTATTATCACTGACTACAACAGAAATTATTTCCATAAAGTTTAATATTATATGGCATTCAATTTACATTATATTAATTTAATCTTATGTAGTATTTTCCATTACTTTTGCATGTTATCTCTAAGAACATTAAGCCTCATCTACTGGAAAATTCAATGTATCTTTATGAAACAGTACTCTGCAGTGTATATTCACACTGTAGAAAAGGACTACTAATAAAATGTGTGGGAGATATCCTTTTACACGACCAATAAGTTTTCATCATTTTAAAATTTTTGTACTGACTGAAACTTTATAAGTATGTTTTATTTACACTGTGTTCAAAGTCTCCTGATTCAGATTTGTATAAAGTGGAGCCATATTTTTGGGTAAGTAGGAGTGGGGGTGTGGGGTCAACCAGAATTTTAAAGCATGGAGAGCATTTTAACATTGCCACCAGCCTAGGAAGGATGGAAATTATGAAATGTCAGTTGGGACACATAACCTCTACAATTTGGCCAAGTTTTCTTCAATCTTTAGTCTAATATTTCTCTGTACAGTTTTCCTCTTTCCAAACTAGGAAAATGGAAGAGCTGGGTTTTTTCCTCATTAAAATCAGGGGAGGAATAGAAGATGATGGAAGAGGAATGTGCCAGCTTCCCACGTCACTCCAATAAGGTAAAAGTTAAAATGGTCCTTCCTCTCCTCTCCATTTTTAATATGGAATTCAGATTTTCCTACCCACACAAACTTCTAGAATAAATTACTGATCAATACAGAGAAGGCTTGAAACTATGGGTAAAATAAACATAGCTTTTCTTCACCTGCCCTATTCTGAACCTGGAGACAAGGTAAACTATTACCATCCAAAGTCCCAAGATAGTTCTTTAGTGACAGACCCCAAATCTTCCAGCCTCTGCCAGGAACCTTATTACCTGTCTCTATAATCTACTCACTCTAAGACTGAAAATTCATGCTAAATCTTATTTTTTAGCAATTTGAAATACGGCCTCAATCTCTACTCATCAAAATGTAAGAAAATGCTAATGAAAGCCATCTCCAATCTTCCTTTCTCACTGCATTTTAAAATGCTATTCTCTCTGCAAACCTCATACACTTGCCTTGAAAAATGTCCTGAAAACACAGTACATGGACTATGAGTATTCATGTTTCTAAAGAAAATCATTATAATCCACTTTAAACTACTGCAATGCATCTAATTTTAAAAAGTGTACATTAAAGTATACATCATAACTCAGTGCGCATTTTAAATTCAATTCCAAGTTCTAAGTTGGAATTAGACTGGTAATTTATGCTAAAAAAAGACGAAGATCAATTACATATTGATTTATCTTTTAAAATATCATGTTATATATATTTTAAGTGTACTCTTTTCAGAGAAAAGCTCAAAACACTGAGGTACATAAAACTCTGTACAATTTTAAAATTATTTTAGTGAACTTAAAATTTTAAAATTACATAAAAATGTTTTAGATTTACCACATCATTTAAAAATTAGTAGTGCTTCCAAAAACCAATATAGCAATCATGACACCTGTGGCATTCTAATACGTACTCTCTTGTATAGAACATAAAGGAACTGTCTCATTTTAATTCGAAAAATTATACATAAAATTCATACTTTTAGGCAAAGTTACTCTAATAGCCAAAGATATATCAATGATAGATTTCCCCAATGTGAATAAATTATTCATGATCTTTTCCCTGTACAACAATAAAACACAAGCATAAAATGCTACTAGTTACTTAACCAATTAGTTTTCAAGGATAAATCAGTTTTTCTTCCTTGACTCAAAATTCCCGGATAACCCCAAATGTAATCTAGATCTTCAAAGAACTCATAATGAAAATCATAGATTTTAGTACTTAGTACAGTACTTTAGTAATGTACTTTAGTACTTAGTATAGTACTTAGTCATGTACTGGCATCAAAGAAGTGAGCAAGGAGATTATTACAGACCTCAATTAAAATGTAGAATGAAATAAAAGCAAGAAACCTTGTTAAAAATAAAGTGCAAATAAGAAAATACAAGAGATTTTAAACTTTGTTTCCTTTTTGACCAACCTTTTAAAAAAAAATCTGACTGAAATTTTACCAGTGGCCTCCCAAAATGTTCTCCCATTGAGATTCCTGAACTTTAAAGTTTTCATCTGTAGTATTTAAAATGTAAATTTCTAATGAATTTCCCATAAGCTTTCACATAAAAAGGAAAAAAAATCCTTTATGTCTGCCTGCCTTTCTCTCTTCATTTTTTTATTTGCAAAGCAGGTTAGTGAAGGACAGTGTTCCATTCATTTTTTTAAGTGCTCCATTCATTTTTAAAAATAAGTAGCTTGCACTTGAGTTCTTTCTTCAACATGGACAATCCATCCCCAGGTCTGTACAGATCAAGCAGCCTATTCTACCACCCAAACCACTGATAATTTCAAAGTAAATTAGGGCAAAATACAGAAGGACAAGACGAAGCAAAACATATGAATATTATAAATTCATTAGTAACAGTGCAAATTCACACGTAAACTTAGGTTAGTGTCAGAAGACCACACACAAATTACAATACCTGAGATTTAGTGCATTCCTTTGAGCCAAAATGAAATGAGTGCCATAAAGGAGGAAAGGAAAAGATGAACATTATCAGACATGCTATATTACATCTGCCAAAATGAAGATAATGTTAAAATTAAGTTAAGAATGATCATATAGAATCAGCTATATGTATAATGCTTCCCATGTTATTTAGCCATGCACTTGAAATGCTCTTGCAATGACTTTAAATCACCTGTGAAGTTGATCATGCAATTCTTTTAAATAAACTTTTCACCCTCAGTCCTTCACTATTAGCCAATTTCTTTCAAAGAGAACTATTTCTGTTAAGAATAAGTAAATATGGCGTAGGGGTAATAAAGAATAATTTCTATTTAATTCTTTTTACTATGTGGTATCATACACACAAAACAAAATTTTGCAATCTTCCTACATTAAAATTATGTATTTATGTAAAATAAATAATAAATTATAATGTTATTTTTACACCCCAAAAAAGGATGCAATCCTTATGACCATGTTGTTGCCAATCTTAACTCATTTAGTAAAATTAATACCACATGTCACACATTAGTAAACCAGTATATGATCCATTAGTAATCAAGCCAATTTTTTCATCCTACTATTGAATTTTCCCTAAAAGTATCTGCTGGCTAGGTAAGACACTCTTAAAAATCCACTTAAAAAAAAAAAACTTGTAACAATAAAAGAAATACATATTTTAAAACAAATAATGAAAAGGGAGCCGTGTAAGGAAACTGAATGAAGCTTTCCATAAAGGGGGAATCACGCTGGGGGTGAGGGGAGAGAACAGTTATTAAATGGCCCACCCAACTAAAGTGTGACAAATATGACTATAAGAACAAACAAACCAACTTTAACGCTACATTTTAAATAATCCATACTCCCACTGACTATTTTAGTCTGAAAACTAATCTGGAAAAACAATTCCAAAGCAGAAAAAAATTAGCAATATTTATGCTAGGCTAAAATATTATCTGTGTTGTACTATTAATATGTATAACTATTTTTAATACATATTTCCTTCTTCCATAATGCTACATCAACCCTAAAAACATTACCTTTTTTATGGACAATGGTAACAAAAAAACCTTTCATGGTTTTTTTAATACTAGTCTCTCCAACAGACAAAGATGTCTTTGTGATGAGGAAAAAGCAGTCCTTTCCAAATGAGCTCAATAAAATGATTCAACTATGAAATCCATGTTAAACTAAAATACTTCATGGGTAGCAAGAGGAGTAGTCAGGTTGCTAGTGGTCAAAACCACATTAAATATTTAAATAAAAAGGGCTCTCTGAGAAATAGAATATATGAAGTGTGGGTATAAGATATATCACTTAAACTTACTAAAAATTGAGTAAATAATTTTAAGTCTGTGTACATTTTTCCCATGCATTTTGTATTTATACTTATTTGCAGGAAGAAAGAAAAAAAAGGTAAAGGAAAACAACTGGGGAATGTAAAATAGTTGTTAATTATCTATTTTTATTTTTTATATTTTTATTTTAAATTAATTATACATAAAATAACCACTCATTTAATGGTATTATATGCATAAATGATCTTTCACATTATTATGACATATCCAGGAATCTAAGCGACTTTGCTCTTGAAAAAACAAAGGAATAAGAAAAAAAAGGCTTTAAAGTGACTTTATTGAGATCTTGAACAAAGCACTCATTATCTATGTCTTGGTTTCCTCAAACATAAAAAGCAGTTTATTTATCAATATTTATGAAATAAATGACAATGAACTGGGTTATGTCTGCCTGCCTTTAAGAGGATCTTTGAACCTATTAGAAATATTTCTAAGCATCTTTACATTGAGATTTTAAAAAGCATTATTTCAAATTATTCCTCCTTCACTGCATTAAAAAATAAATCTCAGAGATATTCTCATAAAGGTATAAAAAGCTATGAAAAATAATGTAATTTTTACATATCTACTTTTAAAATAAAAAACAGGGATGACAGCAGTCATTTGGGTTGGGAGTGAAGGGTGGAGTGCACAGGAGGGCGCTAAAATGTTAGATTAAGGTAAAACAACTTAAAATATTCCAATTACAATTACATGTGCTTATCACAAAGCTGATCTTCAGAGAACAACTTAAGAAATAAAGGAGCTAGCAAAGTCTGTTGACATGTTATTTCAATGTCTTTTAAAAACTAATCATATCATGTTTCCCAGAAAAATCTACTCTTTCTATAATAAATGTTTAAATAATATATACATATTATATATTTATTTTTATATTTATTAATATAACAAATAAAAATAAATATTTAAGTATACTTAATGTGTGTGTATATATATATAATTGAAAAGATTTGTCAAAAATGGAAAACTTAAACATCTTTTCACAAAACCCCAACAAAAAACTAGAAATAAATAAAAATATTATACTTGTATAACTTACCGTGTGATAGCCTCTAGGCAAAGGAGGTTTGCCCATGGGATAAGGATCCACAGTGTCAATAATTGTTTGTCTTTCACCTTTCTGGTTGATTTTTCTAAATCTCCTTCGAGACTGTCTATGGGAAGCTTGCCGCTGAAAATATTCTTCATTTTCATCCATATAGTCCACCTGAAATAAAACCCCCCAAAATTTCATTTCTCCAAACACAACATTTCCTATTAATATTAGATACAGAAAGAAACTTACAGATAACCCATATTCAATCATCTTGCAAAGACATCTGTAGAAAACTATCTAGACAAACTTCAAGTGTCTCTGAACTTCTCTGGAACTAACTGGTTTTGAGTAACATTTCTTTTATGAGGAGGCATTTTCAGTTCCACTTAGGACAATATGGGTAACTCTTGAATTTCCTGTAGTTTCAAAGGGAAGGATATTTTCAGCAGTCTTTGTACTGATTTATTAGTGAAAGATCTCACAGGATACATTACCACACATTATGAAAGCAACTGCCACACTGTCTTAAGCAACGTAGAAAAAAGAAAAAAAAAAAAAAAAAAACCCTGATGGAAATCTGTAAAAACTTCCAAATCCTGAATGACTCAAAAACAGTGCTAACAGAATGGCTTTGGTAGGTTACGCAAGGGTTTCTCCTTCTACTTTCATTCCATGACTTCGGTTTCTTTTTTTATAAATAGTGTTGTTTAAAAGTAATTCCTCATTTAAAAAAATTTTAGGCCAGGCACAGTTGCTCACGCCTGTAATCCCAGCACTTTGGGAGGCCGAGGCGGGTGGATCACGAGGTCAGGAGTTCAAGACCAGCCTGGCCAACATGGTGAAACCCCATCTCTGCTAAAGATACAAAAAAGTAGCTGGGTGTGGTGGCACGTGCCTGTAATCCCAGCTACCCGGGAGGCTGAGGCAGGAGAATTGCTTGAACCCAGGAGGTGGAGGTTGCAGTGAGCTGAGATCGCGCCACTGCACTTCAAGCTAGACAACACGACAAGACTCCGTCTCCAAAAAAAAAAAAAAAAAAAGTAGAAATGCTGATGAATGAACAGGGAATAAAAGTTACATTAGGTTATTCCTCATGTGACTTCTCATAATGGAGGCATGTCTAGGTTACAAAACTGTTCTCACACCAGCAAACCTAGTAGTTTGTGTAGTATCAGCAAGTATAAAATACTCAGTTTTAAAGACTAAAAATCCTCCAGAGAAATCTAAAAGTAGCATTAACAGAGGGCAAAATCTCAAGGAAATATCTAAGACTATCTACTGTTGGAAAGTGCTATATATCTGCCTACATTCTTCCCAATCCTAAATCCTTACCATTACTATGCTACTTTCTCACTTGAGTACGTTTTGTAAAACTTTACCAAATATTTTAGTAAATTTTACAAAAAGTTCGCTAGCTTTGATGAGGAAGTTCTCATTTCTGACAGAATTCCTCTCCTACATCATAGGGAAAAACCCTACATCTTCTCTGAAAAGAGACCTAGAATTGTTTACTAAATACTTTACTAAATGTGAATAAAAGTTTCCATCATCATCTTTATTTAGACATCATTTACTTTACAAGATCTTCCTTCCCAGCTAGGGTGCTGGATGGAGACAGTAAGAATATCAACTGAATGTCTAGGCTGGGAAACTCCCCTTCCACCTCATCTTATTTTTGTTACTAAATTTTTTAAAGGGTACATATTATCCTATCTTAAAATCATTCTTATACAGTAAGTAAAAAGTATGACAGGTTTGGTTTTTAAGCTTCAAAGTATGTTGCTAATATCTATTTTAACAATATGTTCTATGTATAATCTCTGTTTATAAATTTTTGTCACAAAATTACATTAAAAAGAGGGAAAAGATGTCAACAGAGTGTTTAACCAGCATAATAATCCCCAAATTTCCTTTTAATAACTTGAAAAAATTCAAGTGATTTTCTTGTGTTTTTTAAAATAGTGTTGTTTAAAAAATAATTCCTCATTTAAAACATCTTAGAAACTCTAATGAATGAATTAACAGTGAACACAAGTTCCATTTGGTTATTCCTCACGATTGCTCACAATGGAGGCATGTTTAGATTCCAAAATTGTTCTCACACCAGCAAACCTAGTGATTGATTTAAAGTAAGTCACTCATTCCAATCAACACTTGGAGAGCTAAAATCCTGCAATCAAGAGATTCTCCCCAAATTTCAATTAAATGGCATTATTATAGATTGAATTACAAAGTACAAAAACCAAACACTTAGCTACTTGTACTTTTTAAATTTTTTTGGCATTTAATTGAATCCTGTAAATAATAAAATATGATTATGAACTCAAATTCATATTAATAAAAAGTTGTGAAATAAATATATCTGTTATAGAAAATATACAATATTTTCTATTCAACAAAAATCTAATATTATAAGCAGTTTATAAAAATGCCTTTATTTCATACAATTTTTTAGGGGAAAAATAGTCCTCACAGAAATACTCTTACCACAATCATTTCAGAAGGCTCTAAAACAATGCATTCACAGCCACGCCTAAAACTTCCTGCAGAACGCTTGCCAAAACTAGAAAGAAAGAAAAAAAAAATCAATGAGGAGAACCTCAGAGATTTAAGTAGTATGATTTGTGAACATAAGCCAAACTTCCTGATAAATAAAAATTAAAAACAATTACAAAAAGTACACATTGGAGAAAGTGAATTATCTTTAATAATTTACACAGAATGACAAGAAAGCATTCAAATTCTTAAGTTTCAGTCATAGATTTTTCTGGAAAATTCTAACATAATATTTTCAAATTAATAATGTAAGTAAAGGAGAATTATTAGCATGAGTGAGTTTTCTGTTAGGTTATTTTAAATCATCCTCAGGTGAACTTTGAGAATATTCCAGTAGGGATGGGAAATGTCTCAGTGGCAAACTATAGAAATGTCCCAAAGAAGTATAAAATGCATGTACATGTAATTCTCTTCATAACTTAACTTGCTTAGGTTAAACTTTTTTTTCACCTAAAAAGTGTGTTTATTTTCCTAAATTTTCAAATCAACTTATTCTAAATGTTTTAAGAAAAAGATACTCAACTTAAGACTTTATTTCTATGGTAAAGTTATTTCAGTTGATGTACTACTAAAAGCTCATTCCTCCTGAGAACTCTGCACGAGTGAACACAGACATAGCACCTTTGCCTTATCTGTGGTGAATTCCCACGTTAAGAATGGTGAAGATGTATTGTTTCTGACATAGGGATATGCAAACTAGAATTAAGAACAGAGAATTTGGGTGAAGCTCTTTTTGTTAATATAACACCTCACTCATTCACAAAAATCTTTCCTTCCAGTTAATTTTTTTTTTTTTAAGAGACAAGGTCTCACTCTGTCACCCAAGCCACAGTACAGTGGCACAATCACAGCTCACTGCAGCCTTGAACTCCTGAACTCAAGCAACCCTCCTGCCTCAGACTCCCAAGTAGCTGGGACTACAGGTGCGTACCACCATACCTGGCTTTTTTTTTTTTTTTTTTTTTTTTTTTTTAATTTTTGTAGAGACAAAGTCTAGCTATGTTGCCCAGGTTGGTCTTGAACTTAGGGCCACAATCAATCTTCCCTCCTCTGCCTCCCAAAGTTCTGGGATTACAGATGTGAGCCTAATATTAAAATTTTTGGTAATCATATTTAATAAACTTATCTTTAAGAAAAAAATGCTTTAAAATTCTACCAAAAAACTATTTCATTGAACAATTTTTTTCCAAGTTAATTAGGCACTGTGAGGGACTCCTATGGAAATTCTTGTTCTATTTATAATCCTCTTTATGTCATAGTAATACACATATTTCAAGTATTAGGAGCCAAGTCACGTAAGAGGAAGAAAACAGAAAAGCCAACATTCTCCTTCTATCATCTGCAATCTCTAGCAAACTATCTTGACCACATCATATGATAAATTTTATTTGTTTACAGGTTATCAGGTTAGACTAGGCCATCACTTAAGTCCTTTTCCTTAATAATAATTATCTGATTGTTAAAGATAATTAAGTCCTTTTCCAAAATCATTTCCGGCCACGCGCGATGGCACCTGCTTGTAATCCCAGCATTTTGGAAGCCTGAGGAGGGCTGATCACTTGAGCCCAGGAGTTCGAGACCAGCTTGGGCAACATGGTGAAACCCCGTCTCTACTAAAAATACAAAAATTAGCCAGGCATGGTGGTACAAGCCTGTAGTCCCAGCTACTCAGGAAGTTGAGATGGGAGGATCACTTGAGCATGGGAGGCAGAGGTTGCAGTGAGCCAAGAATGTGCCACTGCACTCTAGCCTGGGCAACAGAGTAAAACCCTGTCTTGAAAAGAAGAAAAAGTTTCCATGAAAATCAAAACCAGCATCATATTTAACATATTTGAAAAAAAATTTTTTGATATTCATATATACATTCACACATATATGCCCACACAAACATACACATTAGAGTACTTTTAAGTGAAAACATTTGCCAGGAACAACATAATAAATCTATCTTCATGTTACTTCTCATGCAATTTAAATGACCTGAATTTTTACACATTTCTTTTAGCTTACAGTTAAATACAACTGAAATTCCATAACTCTTCAATATACACAAAAGTTTGAGTTTCTGAATCTACCTATTTGCAATTTAATTTTTTAAAATGAAGCTTATAATTATACACTGCAAATAAATAATCTCAATGTGTTAGTAAAATATGTGGCAGGTTACAGACTTGGACAAGTTTATAAATATAGTGGTCTAATGTTTATGCGTTTTTAAATGTAACATAGTAAAAAATCATAAATGTTTGTAATGTATACACTGTTCATATAATACTTGATACAAAAACATATGCTAGAATTGTTTACAAATTTTAGCAGCAAAAGATGTTAATGTTCACATAAATAAACTATATAACTGTTATTTATTTTATATATAAATCTAGTACCATCTTCACCACTCCAGGATTTAAGGCGTAAATCCTCTTACCAATTAGTCATTCGTTCAACAGAACTTCATGGCTAGGAAGTCACACTTCAAGTTGCACTAGCACACTATTACTTTGGGGATGAAAAGTTTACATTTCCTAAAATGTGCTACACAAAAACATTTCCATAAGTGTTTTTCAGAGAGTCAGTTGCACTACAGCCTGATGAAACTTTTTCAACCATAAAAAGACTCGAGTTCCATAAACCGTCACAAAGATGTGAACAGGAGAAACTGCAGACTCTCCATCAGATATATTTATTGAATAAGCTGAATGGAAAAAGCAATGTGCACAGAACACACATTAGCAAGGGAGAATATGTTACTTCATTTACTCAACAATCTATTTTTTCAAACACAGCCAGGAATGCAGAAAGGAAGAGCAGCCTCAAAGGAGCCAAAGAGTAGGTCATGAGTGCACACGCTAGGCCTGATCAGTGACAAAGCCTCTGAGCTCTCTCACAGAGATGATGTGCTCTTAGCTCACAAACCAGAAGCTATAAGGTTGGAAGAAACAGACAAAGCAATGGAAAAAAAAATGTTAGCTAGAAATTAAGTCCACAAGTTACTTTTGCTTCTGCTCTCTGATTCTTTGAAACAGTAAATACATAAACAAAAGCAAGTAAATATGATTATTTACTACATTTTCAAAAATCTTTGGCGAAGTTCTACACAAATAAACTGAAAAAATTCAGCTCTGGAAAATAAGGACAGACTTAAAGGCAACAGATAAAGATGTATAGGAGATAAAGTACCTCACAGACAATATAAAGAACAATCCTTTTAAATATTTTAGATTACTTAGTGGAAAAAAATGGTGCAAAATCTTCAGGATTGCAAATAACAAATACACTTTGAGAGAGTGAAACAGAAAACCAGAACAGTAAGAACAAAGTACAAGACATTTTATAAAGAGTGTGAGTGCAGGCAAGCCGTAGAGGATCCAGTGTGCACAATGAAATGCTCTACACTGAAAAAGTGATCAAATGCACAGAGCATTTAACATTATACTCAACAACAGGTTCTCAGCTTTCAGTTAAAAGTTATTAATAAAAACGAAGTCTTTGAATGCATTAGCACAGCAAGATGCTTACACAACAAGTAAAATTATAAACAAAGACAAACTTTGAAATGATGGACACACAAGGAAAGAATCAAAAACAATAATTACAATGCATGCCCTTATAGAAAATCAAATCTATAAAAGGGTATTACCCTGGAAGAGTTTCTAAGGGGAAAAACACAGAACTGAAAAGTTTCTCACAAAAAATTCAGGGAATCCAAAGGGCTTTCCAAAAGACCAGATGTATAGATTAAGATAATTTTTCATAGGCTGGGCACGGTGGCTCATGTCTGTAATTCCAGCACTTTGGAAGGCCGAGGTGGGCAGAACACTTGAGGTTAGGAGTTCGAGACCAGCCTAGCCAACATGGTGAAAGCCTGTCTCTACTAAAAATACAAAAGTTAGCCAGGCATGATGGCAGGCACCTGTAATCCTAACTACTCAGGAGGCTGAGGTAGGAGAATCGCTTGAACTCAGGAGACGGAGGTCACAGTGAGTCGAGATTGCACCACTGCACTCCAGCCTGGGTAACAGAGCAAGACTCAGTCTCAAAAATAATAATAATAGGCTGGGAGCAGTGGCTCATGCCTATAATCCCCCCACTTTGGGAGGCAGAGGCAGGCAGATCACCTGAGGTCAGGAGTTTGAGACCAGACTGGCCAATAAACGGCATGAACCTGGGAGGTGGAGCTTGCAGTGAGCCGAGATCACACCACTGCATTCCAGCCTGGGCGACAGAGCGAGACTCTGTCTCAAAAAAAAAAAAAAAAAAAAAAAATTAGCCGGGCATGGTGGCATGTGCCTGAGGTCCCAGCTACTCGAGAGGCTGAGGCAGAATAATCACCTGAACCCGGAAGGCAGAGGTTGCGGTGAGACGAGATCGTTCCACTACACTCCAGCCTGGGTGACAGAGCAAGATTCCGTCTCAAAAAATAATAATATTTCATTAAGTCCTATTACACCAGCTGAAAGCCAGTATCCCTTAAGTTTCTAAAATAATCATTTTTAAAAAACTTAGAAATAATACAATTAAGGAAGAACTTGGGTAACTTAAATGTACACCTATGATCCTTCATCAAAAAATCAGAAGTAGGTAAGGATTGTTCTAAACCATGTGACTGCATTCTGATCCAAATGTGATTACATCCTGTTCCTTGGTGCCACTGTCAGAAATGGACTCAACACTATCAAATACAGCAGTTTTTTTTTTTAGTAAGTCTTATAATAAACTACATAAGGTGATCTACAGATTCAACATACCCTCTATCAAAATTAGACCAGTCTTTTTTACAGAAATGAAAAAGCTGGTCCTAAAATTCATATGGAAATTCAGGGGGCCCTAATTTGCCAAGACAATCTTGAAAAAGAACAATGAGGACTCACGCTTCCCAATTTCAAAACTTACTACAAAGCTACAGTAATCAAAATAGTGTGGTACTCAGGCCAAAAGGATAGAATTGGGAGTCCAGGAATAAACTCATACATCAATGGTCAATTGATTTTTTGTGTGTGTTAAATTAAAAGGACTTTTTTTCCTTATATATATATTTTTAAATTTTTTATTTCCATAGGTTATTGGGGAATAGGTGGCACTTGGTTACATAAGTTCTTTAGTGATTTGTGAGATTTTGGTGCCCCCATCATCCAAGCAGTATACGCTGCACACAATTTGTAGTCTTTTATCCCTCACCCCCTTCTCACACTTCCCCCGAGTCCCCAAAGTCCATTGTGTCATTATTATGCCTCTGTATCCTCACAGATTAGCTCCCACTTATGAGTGAGAACATACGATGTTTGGTTTTCCATTCCTGAGATACTTCACTTAAAATAATAGTCTCCAGTCTCATCCAGGTTGCTGCAAATGATTGACCAGTTGATTTTTGACAAGTATGCCATATCTGTTCAATGAGAGAAGAACAGAGTCTTCAACAAATGGTGGTGGGATTACTGGATTTCACATGAAAAAGAATGAAATTGGACCCCTACCGCACAAGATACACAAAAATTAACTCAAAATGAATCAACAAGCTAAATGTAAGAGCCAAAAGTAAACTATTAGTAAAAGCACAGGAATAAATCCTCATGACCTTGGAGTTGGCAATAGATTTTTAGCTCTGGAAAATAAAAGCATGAGGAGCAGGAGAATAAACATAGATAAACTAAATTTCATCAAAATTAAAAACTCTGCATCGAAGGGCCTTATCAATTAACTGAAAAGGCAACCTGCAGAATAAGAGAAAGTATTTGTAAATCACATATCTGATAAAGATTCAATATTCAAAATATATAAAAAAGTCTTAAACAACAAAAAGATAACCCAATGTAAACTTGACAAAGGATTTACATAGGCATTTCTCCAGAGAAGATACACAAAGAGCCAATATGCACATGAAAAGATTCTCAGCATCTTGAGTCATTAGAGAAAAGCAAATCAAAACCACAATAAGATACCATTTCACACCTGAAGCCACATGCAAATGAGATACCAGGATGGCTACAATTTTTTATTATTTCCCTTTTTCAAGAAAGCAAAAAGAAAGAAAAAAAATAATGTGGAGGACTTGGAACCCTGTGCATTGCTGGTGGGCATGTAAAATGATACAGCCACTGTGGAAGACAGTTTGGCAATTTCTCAAAAATCTAAACATAGAATTAACATATGACACAGCAATTCTAGCCCTAGATAAATACCAAAAAGAACTGAGAGCAGGGACTCAAACAGATATTTGTACACCAATGTTCACTGCAACATTATTCACAGTAGCCAAAATATGGAAACAACCCAAGTGTCCAACAACGGAAGAATGGATAAACAAGCTGTGGCATACACACACAAAGGAATATTATTCAGCCATATAAAGGAATGAAGTTCTGATACCTGCTACAACATGGATGAACCTTGAAAACATCCACTAAAGACAACAAACCAGCCACAAAAGTACAAATATCATATGATTCCACTTACATGAAATATCTAGAATAGGCAAATTCATAGAGACAGAAAGTCGATTCAAGGTTGCCAAGAGTTGGAGAAAGCAGTTTGGAAAGCGTAATGGTTTCGGGGTTTCCATCTGGAGTTACAGAAAAGCTTTAGAAAGAGGTAGCGCCACTAGTGGCACAACAGTGTGAATGTAATTAATGCCACTGTAACACACACTTAAATGTAACCATACATTTAAAACTAGTTAAAATGACATATTTTACATAATTTTTACTACAATTAAAAAAAGCTTAGAAAAGAAACTATAGACAGGATATCTGGGTTTACTGGCAAAAATCTGGGACTTGAATAAGAAAAAGTAGAATCTCTATTTTAACAAACAGCAAATCTTAGGAACCAAGGAAGAGTTATGTTTAATGACAGACAAACTGGGAACCCATCTCTTTTATATGATAACTTAACAATGAAGTGATAGACATTGGGTGAAAGACCTAGTTAGAGATGGGCAGAAGGTAAACAAATATGACTGAAAGACAGGTCGAGTATCCATTATCCAAAATGCTTAGCATCAGAAGTGCTTTGATTTTGGATTATTTTGGATTTGGGAATATTTGCACATATATGTGGAGCATCCCTACTCTGGAAATATGAAATCCAAAATGCTCCAATGAGCATTTCCTTTGAGCACCATGTCAGTGCTCAAAAAATTTCAAGTTTTGGAGCATTCTGTATTTGAAATTTTTGGATTAAGGATACAACTTAATATTTATTTTAAATCAAAGTTTAGAAGAGTCAATTATATGAACATTTTTCTTTCCCCTAACATTAATCTCATTTTTTCTTTATCCATGGTCATATATTTGAGGTTCTTTCTTTTTTCTCTCTCTACAAAACATATATTATTTCTCACACGGATATATGATTCATGTGAGAAACTTTTGTTTAAATTTGACATATAATGTATTTGTGAGAATATATTATATACATAACATATAACACATAACAAAATAATATGTGTGAGTAATAATATATATTAACATACAGTCATGCATTGCTTAAGAATGGAGATATGTTCTGGGAAATATGTTGTTTGGCGATTTTACTGTTGTGTGACCATCACAGAATATACTTACACAAACCAAGATGGTATAGCCTACTATAAACCTAGGCTAGATGATACAGCCTATTGCTCCTAGGCTACAAACCCATAAAGAATGTTACCGTACTGAATATTGTAGGCAATTATAACACAATGGTATATGTGTATCTAAACATCTAAACATAGAAAAGTTACAGTAAAAATACCACATTATAATCTTCTGGGATGACCACTGTATATGTGGTCCATTACTGATTAAAACATTATTACACAGTGCATGACTACATAATATTATTTCTGACATATATATTATTGTGCTATTTATTCCTCTTCCAAATGTTCACTGAACACATAACAGAATCAATATTACCAATATAAACTCAGTAATCAATACAGCGTTTACAGAAAAACTCACTAAATATAGTCCCTCTTCTTAAGTAGTTTATATTCCATGGATGACAAGTACACAAACAGCTATAACCCAATGACAAGTTGAGAAGTGAGTTTCATTGAGAGGTGAATTCTCAATGACCAGGCTCACTCACTAGCTAGTTGAGTGAAAAACACAAATCAGCATTTCTAATTCAGAAGGCAATTCAAATTCAGCAAAATTACAAATGACCATAAAGAGCTTTAGGGTTACCCCCGCAAAGATCTGAATGTCAAACCTATAAAGACCAAATCTCTTCAGGGAGCTACTGCCAGAACTTCAACTAGTAGGACATCTGCTTCTTTGAAATGGCACTCATAATACCACTTACCAAGATAAACAAGTATTTTAAAATTCAGACTCCTTAATTTTTAAAGATATATAGCTTACCTTTTCTACTTTGAATTATATATCTTTCAAAAGTTACTTCTGGTCTTCTAGTAGTTTCAGTCTTTGTGTGTATATGTGTATTTGTATATAAGACATGCTATTAACATATACATATTAACACACACATATGAATAGCTGTCTTTCAGAAACAAGAAAGATGTAGGTTAACAGTTATCAATGAGAGTTAGCCTGAATATTTTAAAAACCTGTTAGTTCTTTCTAAACAGACACCAGCGTTTGATAAGAGGTGTCTAGTTAGAGGCCATAAAGTAGGAAAAGGTGGTGGTGGAAGGGAGAAGTATGGTATATGTGTTTTAAGAATGCTGATAGTCTTCTCCTTCTACACAGAATGAAAATGTGATCACTATGGTCTAATTTAAACCCTTCTAAATTGTTCTGTATAAATACGCTGTACACCTTGCCTTTCAACAATTCAATCTCAACGTAATTTCAGCATGTCCTTAAAATCTGATATTAAACAACCACAAGATGACAACTAGAAGTGATGCAGGTTCACTTCTGGTCAATCTTTGAGTTCTCTGCCATATCAAAAAAGAAAAAAAATTAAGCCCACCAGTAAATGATTATTGAAAAGACCACTTGCAGCATATGAAACAGATTACTCCTAAATGCTAGTACTCCCTCAGTATGACTAAGGAACAACTGCTCTAAAAACAGTATAACAATTCAGACTTTCATTCTCATTAAATTTTTTGCTGAAGTTTTTATACAAAACAATTTAAAAATTAAGAATTAAAATTGTTAGCAAAATTGAAACTAAGTTAAATATTTCTACAGGTGCAAATGGTATGACTCTGTAATACCAAAAATATGAAGACAAACAATTACTAAGTAGTCTTCCATATAATATAGAGAAAACAAAACTTTCCTTCAAGACTCCCACACCGCATGAAAGTTTGGGAATGTGAAGTCTTACCTAGTTTTCGTAAATACCCATAGGCAATGAAACACCAGACAGGGTGCTGCAGGTGTTGTAAGGCCAAATTGTCCGAAGTTTCTGTGACCACATTCTCCTCTCCCAAGTTGGGTCAAGAGCACTTTCTGCCAGTGTGAGCTTTCCACGAAAGGCAGTCACAGAGCATAGAAGCCTCTTCTATCAGTGTCCCTAATCTTGCCCTTTGTATGGGCCTCCACATTCTTCTTGTACGTCAGAACTACCCAGTGGAATGCAATTCTCAGTATCGGAATGTAAACTTATTCAAGTCAGCCTACACCCAGCAAGGGAATACACAGGAGTCAAGCAGATATACTGGTGGGCAATCCTAATTTACAAAATGATTAAAAACATAATACTCCAATACATCAATTTTTTCACACCCCTGTTTCCAGAAAATGATAGGCAGTTACTACATTTTATTTTCTTCCTTAAAAAAATCTAAGTAACTGACTGGACTGATGTTCCTAAATCAAAACCAATTGATTTGTTTAGGACTTACAAAAAAACAATCACATAACATTGTCTTCAGACAGCAGAGTGGCAATTAAATTAGGGAGGAAAAGCTAACAAGTAACTGCTGATGCCATCAATTCCATTCTCAAAAATTAGTAACATATATAAGAATAAATTTTAATATAAGTATAAAAGGAAAGTGGATTGACTTTCCATAAAATACATGTAATCTTTTCTTAATAAGTTGACTCATTAGTTTAAGAAGCAAAAAAGTAACAGCTATGTTAAAAATCACACACACACATACACCAAGTACATATATAATTTACATGTGTGTGTGTAAATTGCGAACTGCTTCTAAAGCATGGACTTTAACCGGCTTCTATTTCAGAAGTATTGGGAAAACTGAATACACACTATATATCTCTAAATTTCCTTCAAGGCTCACTTACAAACATTCTAACAATCATCACCCCACATAAAATTAACAGAAGTTTGCTCCTCTGCACAGTGAATCTCAACATTTCATCTCTGCTTATAAAAATAGAGTACAAGATAAAAATTATTATACAATACGAAGGCCTTATAGCTGTGCTATTCCCCCGTTCATTCCTCAGTAGTTTGTTGTCTATTTAACAAGCACTAAACATTCGATACTTAAGCTACTAACATTTTAATTCCTTTAAAAAAAATTCTAACCTGCACTGTCTTCAGTATCTTTGAAGAACCACTAACACCAACAGTGCTGTCACCTTCTATAGGAGCTCTTTTCTCTGCAGCACTGAGCACTCCCCATTTCCCCGTGTTTTCTCCCAGTGAGTCCACGCGCGCGGCGTAGCTTGTACAGAGGCCAACATTCCATCTGACGGCTAATTTCCTGCTTCAATGACCCACCCACCTCTCCTGGCTGCAGCTATGTGTTTCGCATGTTGTATGGGCACTCTTTTCGCATACCAGCCTCATGACCTCAGCGGCTGCCTGACAGACACTCTTTATCAATTTCTATTAATTCATTATCTACTCTCTTGTAAGTCGAGGGCAAGTAGGGAAATCTGCAATGTCTGCTCTCCTCTGAGTCTTCAAGGTCAAATGCTTTGTGCTGGCAATACAATTTTGTTATTAAAATTTACCCAAGCTGTACTACAAACTAGTTGCTCTCCGCCAAAGAGATGCTGAACTGTATACCTGGCCTGAGGGATTACCATGGAAAATACTAGAATAAATTTAAATCAAAACAGCATGGGAAAAGGTAAAAGAGGCTGCTTTTGCTGTCATTTTTCCCTTCAAGAGAAAAAAAAGGTGGCTCTTACCTCAGCTGTATTGGGGTGAAGAGAGCAAGCAGTTTTTCTCTCTTGCCACAATCTAAACCAGCAAAGATCAGTGGTGTGATGACTACACTTTGGTAGTGTCTATGTCCTCGTGACCAAACTGCTAGAGAACAGCTCAGCTAAATTAATCTGCTGCTATCAGTCTACACAGTGGCACAAACAGGTCTCTGCTGATCACAGTGCTTTGTACACAGATGGCAGCTGATCAGTTTGTATAAAAGTTATGGTCCATAACAGCTTTTCTTTTCAGCATGTAGACACATGCCCATCCAATATACTTTTGTTAAACGTTCACCATTTCATTGTGCAAAGCTGGCCGTGTATGAGTTGTATAGACAAGGAAGCTTAGCTCTAATATCTTATCTTCAAATGACCTTATTTTTTATAAAATTCATTCAAGAAGCAAAATAAACAATTACATTAAGAAATAACCAAACAGATCTATGTAACATATTAATGAGAAAAATGGCAGATGAATATAATGAATGATTCAGATTGGCCCTAAGCAAGTAAGAACCTGAACTGATCTCAAGAATCAAACAAGATTTCAAGAATCAGAACTAAACATCTGATATTCTTTAAAGCTCTATGTTAATGGCATCAAAACCTAGCCACTAACCTGCCCAAAATTTGGCACATACCACAAGAGAAGTTGAAATGGTAAGTATTTCTTTGTAAGACTGAACCTCAACAAAAATTCAGGTCACTTGAAAAATACTGTATTCATAATTCTTAGAAGTTAAAAGAACACATGTGCAAGAAAGGAAAAGCATAAACTCGTACACATATATAATCTTTTACAAAGATATCAAGTAATAAAATGGCAATTGATTTAATTCATCTGAATTAAATGTGGACTTTTCTCATGAGCCCATACTTGTTCTGTAAGTGAAAGACTGTTTCTAATGCTACCAATAACTAACACTGGCAATATTGCTTAACCTCTGTTTCAGAGACTCTCCCTTATAGACTGAAGTGGTAAAAACCTATTACTTATAATCAAAACATAAAATACTGAGGAATAAATACAATGAAGAATGTGTATGATCTGTACACTAAAAACTACCAAAGGGAACTTAACCTTGCAAAGGGAAATTCTAGAAAACTTAAATGGAGAAAGAGTTCGCGGTTTGGAAAGCTCAATATTGTTAAGATAGTAATCTTTCCCAAGTTGATATATAGACTCAGTGCAATTCCAACCAAATCCTAACAAACATTTTTTTGGCACTGATAACCTGGTTTAAAATTTATATAAAAAGGCAAGGACAGAATAAAAACAATCAAGAACAAAGTAGGGATTTATGCTACATGACTTCAAAAGTGACTATAAAGTTACACAAATGTGGTATTGGTGGAAGAACTGACATGTAAAGCAAAGGAACACAAGACAGATTCCAGAGACAGATCTAAACAAATATTTTATAGTTAATTTATTTTTACAATTAATTGATTTTAAACAAACATGCCAAGGCAATTTGATGGATTGAAGATACTTTTTTCAATAAACTCTTCTAGAACAACTGAATATCTGTAGGAAGAAATGTAAACCTCAACCCTTTACCTCATACCACACACAAAAATTAAATCAAAATAGATGTCAGACCTAAATGGAGGAAGTAAAACTATTACCTTTCTAGAAGAAAAACATGAGGAAACCTTTATGACATCAGGTTAAAGAAAGATTTCTTAACAAGGACACTAAAAGTACAAATTATAAAAAAGGAGGTTGACAACATGGACTTCATCAAGATTAAAAGACTTAACTTTCAAAAAGACAAAGTTTTTATTTTTTTTAAGGCACATGTTAGATTAGGAGGAAATTTCTGCAAAACATAGCCAACAAAATAATTGTATCCAAAACACATAAAGAATGCTTACACAACTCAAAAATAAGACAAATAATCCAATTTTTTAAAACAGGCAGAAGAGGTGAACTGACACTTTGTCAAGATATAGAAATGGCCAACAAACACATGAAAAAATTCTCAACATTAATCTTCAGAGAAATGCAAAATAAAAACCACAGTAAGAATACTGCCACGTATCTACTAGAAGAGCTAAGATGAAAAAGACTGACAACACCAAGTGTTGACAAGGATGTGAGGCAAACAAGTCTCATAAACTGCTAGTGTGAATAAAAAATGTTATAGCCACTGTGGAAAACAGTGTGGGAGTTCCTTATACAGTTAAACATACATTTACCATGCTATCCATCAATTTCACCCCTAGGTACCTTTCCAAGACATTAAGGAAAGCATACACCCACACAAACAGACATTCGTGAATATTCGTAGAAGCCAAAATATGAAAGCAACTCAATCATTTTCAAATTAATGTTTTGTGAAAGATTAATACTGCCTCATTTACAAAATTCAGTAATTTTATAAATCTGGCATCCACTTTATATAAGGATTGACAACATATTGTATGGCTTGCTAAAATAGACCATGAGACAACTCTGCACTGGGTTGGGCGGTACAGCAAAATTTTAAAGTTTTCAAATTCTGTCCCTGTTTGTTACTTTCTGACATGGCTATAAGTACTCCTCTTTTCCTCTGGTATTCTTTCTATTTACCCAACTCTCCACCTACCCTACCCTGTATCTACAACCTTTCTCAGGTGACCCAGGTTATCTCTTTATATCCCCTGTAGCTCCCACCTATTTGTTAATGCATTAATTAAACATGCCTAAAATCAAGTATCTTCATTTCAACTCTGATACCCACCTACCTCATTCCCTCCAGATTTGGTTATAGCTGTCAAAGTAACTGCTCTGTAGACATCCAAATTCAAAGATCTGAAGCCATCTTTTACTTTTTTTCTTCCCTTGTCTGAACCTTCAGTCACTAAATTCCACCAATTAGCCCTTTTAAATTATGCTCCATCAACTTCTTTTTCCATGGAAATACTAGTCAGGCCCTTAGCTTTGGCACACAGAGACCATTAAGATAAGGTTCCTGTCTCTGGTTTCAACTTTACCAGATCTTCCAGGGATTCTCTTCTTCTATTGCTCTACCTTTAAAACAGTTACACATCGATTTTAAAGTCATTCACCTACAGCCTCTCTGTTCGAATCTGATTAACCACCTGCTGGTATGCTTTTAAAACAAGAGAGTCTAAGGTCCAACTCAGATGTGGCAAACCAAAATCTCTAGGGCGTGGGACTCAGTACTTTGCCCATCCTAAGCCAGGCAAATCTAATAACTGCCTGGTTTGAAAATCTCTACCTTGGGCAATTACTTTGAAAGTCTTGCCCCATGTCATCTTCAAACCATCTTTATTGCCTAACACAAAGACTCTAAAGTCTTTTCTATATACTGTCCCACAAGCACGTTCTTAGAAAAATTAAAATTCATGCTTCTTGGGCTTGAGTGGTAATCAAGCAGCTCTTCTCTACTATATTTGAAAGACTAAAATTACTTTATGTTCTGACATAGATAATCAATGAAAAAAATCTGTTTCAGCCACAATGATGCTTTCAAACACAAAATTTCCTATACATAAGGGATTTTAGAAGTTCACTTAAATGGGGTCAGGCGTGGTAGTTCATGCCTGTAATCCCAGCACTTTGGGAGGCCAAGGCAGGCGGACCACTTCAGGCTAGGAGTTCAAGACCAGCCTGGCCAACATGGCAAAACCCCATCTTTACAAAAAATACAAAAATTAGTCGGGAGTGGTGGCACATGACCGTAATTCCAGCTACTCAGGAGGCCGAGGCACAAGAATCACTTGAGCCTGAGAGGTGGAGGTTGCAGTGAGACAAGATCACACCACTGCACTCCAGGCTGGGTGGCAGAGCGAGACTCTGTCTCAAAAAAAAAAAAAGTTCACTTAAATGGGATAATGGCTATAAAATCTGGAATATCTTATTCAAAGCCAACTCTTTAGTTGTGTTCCCAAAATTATGTAAGTTAAAATTCAAGATAAGATGAAAAGAGGTAAACAGAAATGGTCTCACGATTCTGAGTAATAACTAAATTATTATCTTGGACTATATCCATCATGGCAAGAAGAGAGGCAAACATATATGTCTCTGATACGTATACGCTAGAGTATATACACGTTCATCCTAAAATGTATCTGATTTAGCCTAATGAAATGGAATTTCTTAACTTGAGGTTTTTCTGTGTGTAAAACTGAATTAAGTCTGCCTAATGACTGTTTTCTAAATTTACCCTAATGAACCATAAAATAATAATAAAACACAACAATGTGTTTGACAAATTTTAACCATTGCCCTCATTTTTAAAACTATCTGAAAATGTTTAATTAATAGCAAAGTTATCTTAAGGAAATTACACTTACATTCTAAGCAATTTCTAGTTGTAAAACATGAAAAGGTAAGCCATCAAGAAAAGATAAGATTATCTTGAAATATCTGACTCAATAAAGTAGATAGAAGTATAACTAAGAAAACAGTGATTTAATGTTCGTGTAGCTCTCTAAATACACGAACACTAGATAGCAGAAATTCTATTTTCTATTTAATAGCAAAAATATGTAACCCCTATAACGCCGTAAGAAACATCTAAGACAGTATTTTAAATATTTTGGACTCACAATTCAAAATACTAATTGGTAATAAAAAATAACTGCAGATCCTTTTAAAAACCACATGACATTTAAATTCTTACACTTAAAAAAGCAATAATATAAATATCTAAGCTATTCCTTCACTATTATTTCAACGAGTACTGTCAAACAGCTTACAATACATGGAAAAAATTAAGTGGGTACATAATACAGAATAAAGTCACCTTCAACATTTCAAAATATGATTTTCTTGTCTTCAAATATATATATATATATATAATTCAACTCATAATAAAAGTGTCCCTGAACTATGATTAATTGGACATTTTTATCTTAATAATGACATTCCAATTTCCCAGAGTATAATTTCCTTCACATATCAATCCTTCTTTTAACCATATTCTTACTCTTGTTATTTTCTGTTAGCGACCCCAATACAGAGAGTACACTTTCTTAAACAAAAACAAATTTAGCTGCTATGTTATTTTAAGATACACCCTGAATTCATACAAGTGAAACAGTAACTCACACATCCCTCTATCCCTTCTCCAAAAACAACCGGGGCACAGACAAGAGTTATGAGTTCCTTAGCACTTAGCAGTGGGTAACCAACTGAAACATTTTCCAGAGAAAAACAATACTGTGTTTCATTGACACAAACATCAGACTCTAAAATCTTTATGAAATATAGCATTATTTATTTCTTCAAGAGAAATATAAACATCACTGCAACCAGGACTTCTGGGATGAACTATCACACACTCATTTATAGCAAGGATCACAAACAATGCCCTAACTGAACACGTGAAGCACCAGGTGACCTGTGGAACTCCATCAACTATACACACAAAAAATATGAGTCCTTCTCTTTACGGCTACTTACTGTGTTAAGACACTACCAATCCCAGTGTTCCAAAGGCCACAGAAGCCTGCATTTATATGTACAGCACATCTGCGATGTTGTAGTTATAGCAACCAAATTCCCAACTTGATCCAGCAATTGAACCCTCTCTCTCTCTAGAGAACAGCTTTGCTCTGTGCATCAGGTATCACATCGGAATATGATGTACAAGAGGAAAGAGGGTTCTAAATGATGCTAAAAATCATGTTAGTGTTCCAGGATGAAGGTATTTCATACTGAAGCAGAAATTATGACTAATATCCGAAGGGGGAATATTTTAATATATACCACTGTGACTATTTACATATTTCACTTTACTTCTTTAGAGACCTACCTTATTTTACATTTAAAGTAGAATATACTTAAAACTAGTGTAGCTAAAGTTTCCCTTCAATATCATCAACTCTAGTTGAACCAAGTTGATATTTGTTTCATCATTTTCTTTGCCTTATTTGGAATTCTCTCCCAGCACTTCCTTAAGATCTTTAAGCCTTTGCCTTATATATGTCACAGGAATACCAGGACTTGAGTCAACTTTCAGTAGGACAAATAGGAATTACAGATGATATAAGAGCTAAAGGAGCGTGGCTAAGCCAATGTAGAATGTAAGCATAGGCAATTAATGCACTCTGAGAGTGAGGGGGAAAACTGAACAGCAGGTGTAACAGAGACCGTGGGTTCCCTGCCCCAATATCCATTTTCCTCTTTCTCCTTAGAAGGATAGTTTTTATATTATTATTTTTAGCAGGGCACATCACGTTGCAGAGTAAAAGACTACATGTCCCAGGATCCTGGGTGGCCTGAAGTAGCCACATGACTACTACTGTCCACATTCTGTACAATGAGATACAAATAGAAATGACACTTCAAGCAATCTGTCTTGAATGGAAAAGGTAACTTTGCTCTATTGCCTTTCCTCCTGCTTCTAGCTTTCAATGCAGACATGATGGCTGGGGTTTGGCAGCCATCTGTGCTACGAACTGACCCTGAAAATGCAAGCCACATGCTAGCACAAGCGGAGAAGAAGGGTGGAAGCCTGTAACCTTTCACCTTTGCAGCCACCACCAAACCATCCTGAACCATCCACTCCCAGGGTCCTTTTCTGTGAGAGAAAAATTGGGTCCTACTGTGTTGTTGCAATTGGTTTTTGCAACCAAAACTGATTACAACTAACATAGTAAGAAAACCAATATCCAGCCAACACCATTTGCCTTTTTTCCTCTTCTACATCCCTGCAAGGGTCGAACAATATCAATTTCTCATACGCTTTCCCCAGACTCCTCCTTCCATTACCTTCCAACCTCATTCTTTTCCCTGGTTTTCTCCTCTATATCAACCTGACATTAAATAAATTGTAGGTTACTGAAAAGTTATTTCTAAAAGGGAATATGTTATCATAATATTGTCAAACTTTTTAAAGTGATTTTTTTAAAGGTCAAGTTAAAAATATAATTCTGACCCAACAGAATTTAGCAAACATTTATTAAATGCCTGCTGTGTCCTAGGCACTGGGGAAGCAAAGATGAATAATAGAGCCCACACCTTTGAAAATCTCACAGCTTGGTATGGATATGGAATGATTAATCCTGACAGGAATACAAGGGTAGACTTCCCAAAGAAATTCACAGAGTAGGGGGAAGGTGATAACAATGTGGTGGATATCCCAGACAGACAGAACAGCTTAGACAAAAGTATGTCCAGACCACAGCGATCAGTAACTGTAGAGCGTGTTGGAAGCAACGCAAGCTGGAAGCACTTTGAGCTGTCCTGTATGTCTCGCCAAGGAGTGTGGATTTATGTTTGGCAGCAGGAAATCACGGAATTCCCAAATCTACCAACTGACCTACATCTCTCATCCTAAGTTTATAAAAGAGCATGAAGTGCTTTTGCTCTCTCAAAAGCTAACACCTCCCCCACCCCATCCCACCCCACTGTGGGAATTTCATCCACTTCTGCAAGTACCTCCCCTCTGTCCTGTATCACCTTTGTACCTCTCTCAACTGGATCATTTCCATCAACACACAAAC
This sequence comes from Homo sapiens, assembly GCF_000001405.40. Taxonomy (NCBI): domain Eukaryota; kingdom Metazoa; phylum Chordata; class Mammalia; order Primates; family Hominidae; genus Homo; species Homo sapiens. The sequence continues at coordinate 159,220,267 of NC_000004.12, read as the reverse complement.
ACGTGCTAGTGTCTCCTAACTTTGAAGAAACAAACCCCTCTTGACTTTACAAGTCCTAGCCACCACCCTGCTCTACTTCACAATGAAATTTTTTGATATGATGAAATTTTCTGTTTCACCAATTCTTCTTTCCCCATTGTCTCCTCAACCAGCTCTGCCACTCCACTAACACTAGTCCTGTTAGGTCACATAGGACTCCCAAGTTGCTAAATCCAAAGGTTATGTCTCTCATTACTGAATGTCCCTGCAGCACTAGACAAAGTGAACCTTCTCAAAACACTTTTTATCTCTTGGCTTTGATAGCACATGAGGAGGATCTCTCTTTTAGTTCAGCACCACATTCTAAGCAAGCATATAAGAAGCAATCAATAATATTTGTAGGACAAATAAGATAGAAGTATACGCATATCAAACATTGCAGGTGAGCAGTTTAGGACAGAAGTCAGGATAAAAGAGCTCATTAGTACGGACTAAGCACTAAGGTAAGGAATCTCTTGAAAAGACATGACTAATAACCTGGAGTAATGTCTGATTTTAGAAATCAGTTCTGGTCATTTTTGCTCATAACTTTTAATAATCCTTTTGGTAAACAATTCTTCAAAGATAAAGTTATGGCTGCGCGTGGTGGCTCACGCCTGTAATCCCAGCACTTTGGGAGGCTGAGGCAGGCAGATCATGAGGTCAGGCGATCAAGACCATCCTGGCTAACACGGTGAAACCCCGTCTCTACTAAAAATACAAAAAATTATCCGGACGTGGTGGCGGGTGCCTGTAGTCCCAGCTACTCGGGAGGCTGAGGCAGGAGAATGGCGTGAACCCGGGAGGCGGGGCTTGCAGTGAGCCCAGATCGCACCACTGCACTCCAGCCTGAGCAACAGAGCAAGACTCCGTCTCAAAAAAAAAAAAAAAAAAAAAAAAAAGGATACAGTTGGGACACTATCCCTTGTAGTGATTAGGTTTTACACATTAATATCTTAAAAAGAACAATACATATACCGCCCATTCTTGATAAACTATCTACTTAACTTAATAATTACTTCATAGGTTAATGCTTTGTAAAACTAATACGGGTATGTCAGTTTTTTATACCTGTTGCTGGATTAGGTGCAGGGTAAATAAGTGCAGAAGACTTAGGGAACAGAGTCAAGTCCTAGAGGATGAACTGATACACATACACACAAACAAATATATATTTATGCACATGTGTATATTTTAACTCAGTTGTAGATTCAGTTATACATATATGCATAGATCAAACTGAACATTTTTAGGTTAAAACAGATGGCTCCCTGCCTAACCTAGTACTTTCATTAACTGGCCAATTAGAGGGCCCAATCACCTGCTTCTGCAAAAATAACATGATAATGAGTTGCACAAGACAAATCCTAAGGTAAGCAGTTCTTACACACTTAGTAGCCCTTACTAATTCTGCCATCATCTAACTTTAGGCCATTCCAAATATGAATTAAATAAAGTCTTATGGTTTTCAAGAAAACGACTTTTTTTTTTTTAGATGGAGTCTCGCTCTGTTGCCCAGGCTGGAGTGCAGTGGCGTGATCTTGGCTCACTGCAACCTCTGCCACCTGGGTTCAAGCGATTCTCATGCCTCATCCTCCCGAGTAGCTGGGACTACAGGCTTGTGCCACCAAGCCCGACTAATTTTTTTGTGTTTTTAGTAAAGAAGGGGTTTCACCATGTTGGCCAGGCTGTTCTTGAACTCCTGACCTCAGGTGATCTGCCTGCCTCAGCCTCCCAAAGTGCTGGGATTACAGGCACGAGCCACTGCGCCAGGCCAACAACTTCTAATAATGTTCTCTATAAAGAAAATGTCTAAAAAGCTTACGTATTGCCTCATTTAATCCTATTACAAGTTAGTGATATTTTCCCACGGTAGGAGGAAAGGGTATATAAGACCAGTATATTACTTGTAAAACTCAATGAGGACAGTTTTAACATGATTTGTAGTTTTTCCTTTTTCCCCTCCATTCCTTCTCCAATCACCACCCTCCTACCATGCTTAATCTGCACTCCAGCTGTGATTTTTGCCAATACCTGAAAGTAAATCTTACGTGAATACACAACTTCCAGAACTCCATCCCTCACTTATCTTTATGCCTTTTGGATATGTTTAATGTCCAATAAAGTTACCCTTCTGTAACAGAATTCACTAGTGAGTTATTTTTAAAATGCCATACTCCTTAAGGCATCTCCAGTAAGTCATTGTATGACTTATAACAAATGTGTACTCTTTCAAGAATACGATTTTCTAATCCTATATAGCTCTTTACATGAAATAAGAAACACTTAAATTTGTCTTCACATACAAGTGGCCAATAAACATACGAAAAAATGCTCAACATCAATAATTATGAGAAATGCAAATCAAAGCCACAGTGAGATACCATCTCACACCAGTCAGAATGGCTATATTAAAACGTCAAAAAACAACAGATGCTGGACAGGCTGTGGAGAAAAGCAAACGCTTATACACTATTGGTGGGAATGTAAATTAGTTCAGACATTGTGGAGAACAGGTTGGACATTTCTCAAAGAAATAAAAATAGAACTGCCATTTGACCCAGCCATCCCATTACTGGGTATATAACCAAAGGAAAAGAAATCATTCTACCAAAAAGAAAACTGCACTTGCACATTCATCTCAGCACTATTCACCATAGCAAAGACATGGAATCAACCCAGGTGCCCATCTGTGGTGGACTGGATAAAGCCAATGTGGTACATATACACCATGGAATGCTACTAGCCTTAAAAAAGAATGGAATCATGTCCTATGCAGCAACATGGATGGAGCTGGAGGCCGCAACACAGAAACCGAAAACCAAGTATCACATGTTCTCACTTATAAGTGGGAGCTAAACGTTAGGTACTCATGGACATAAACATGGCAACAACAAACACTGGGGACTACAAGAGTGAGGAGGAAGGAAGCGGGCAAGAATTGAAAAGCTACCTATTGTATACTTTGCTCACTATCTGGGTGATGGGTTCAATCAAACCCAAATCTCAGCATCAAGCAATATACCCTTGTAACAAACCTGCACGTGTACCCCCTAAATCTAAAATCAAAATCAAAATTAAAATAAATAATCCCACTTGAAAACAAACAAGTAAATTTGTCTTCAGTCTCTGCCACATAGAACCACTCATCCATTGTTTTACCTCCTTTCACTACTAAAAAAAACCTTGCAAGCTCTCAGAGCAATCACTTAACTTATCACGCAGCACCGGCAAGCAGAAAGTAGGCCTGCGATTTTTAAACTCAAGTAGCTCATTGTTTGTCACGAGAATCATAATGAGAATAGTATTTCAGCCTCTCCAAACTGATTAGTTAAATGTCCTGTTTCTCCACTTATTCTCATTATAACTGCCAGCTGTAATTTAAAATGTGATTATTAAGAGTACCACAGCACAATTTTAATTTTTAAATTATGGATACAGTTGGTATCAATGAAGGAGAAGCACTAATTGTAAATGGACACAGTCAACGTGGTGCAAATACATGATATGCACATTTCTTTCAACCTTCTGCCAGTGTTACCTGAGACCTAATTTACCAACAGTCCCAGCTTTCCAACCAAGTTATACAGCTTTGTAAAGTAGAGCTCTCATCAATGCCACTATTACCAATGCTTCTGTAACTATTTCACTCCCTAAACTACACTTGCATTCTAGATAAATTGATCTCATTCTTTTACCCTCACTCAAGCTGTTGGTTATGTTTGAATTGTCCTCGCTGAATCCTATCTCTGTGCCATCACTCATGTTCTTTATCATGTCCACATTTTCTTTCTGACCACTTTCCAACAATCTAAACTATAAACCCAACTCAGAAAATACCCCCTTAAAAGCCACCCTTGATGACCTTCCACATACATTAAAATACCCATCTTTGAAATGATTTTGCATTCTGTATGGTCTTTGCCATGTCAATTTACACCGTACAACTTACTTGTTCAATGACACTCAGGGAATTTTTTCTATTTCCTATGCAACCGCCTCATCGCCCCAAGCAGATACTAAGTTACATGATGGCAGGGGTAGATCATCTTGCTTCCTTTGAATATTCCAGGACTCAGTGTAGAGACCACACAGTAGGAGTGTGGTCAATGCATGTTTCAATTAATGTTTTAAAATGAGCAGGATAATCCATAGATAAGCATGGAAAGGGCCCTTGAAGCAAACCTCAATTTTGATGGCACTTCACAGTACAGCAGTTCCCACTGCCAGTACATTTTCAGTGACAGATAAAATTTCTTAACACACTTGTAGTATAGATTATTTTGCCTACTAAGTCTGATGCCCAAATAACCTGGTATTTCAGACCCTAGAGTCCATGCATGAGAAGCCTCCACTCTCTGTATAGTCTTTGTCCTAATCTCTCCGGTTTCCAGCCTTAATTACCAACCTCCTATTGGCATCTTGGAAATTCCTAGACTAATAGCTACCCTGGGATTAATTTCCCTTCAACCTTACAGTCCCTACCTGGTCACCACATAAAAGAAAGTGAAGAGATTCCTCTCCAAATGCTCTATATAAAAGATATAAAAAGTTTTAAACTATCAGAGCAATAAAGATGTTGTTTATGATTAAATATGGTACACATGACTATTTCTATTAAAAGGCCCTTCCTTTGAGACTTCTATGATAAAATTGATTTTATTAAGAAAATCAGACTAAACATTTCAATAGCAGTGATTTTTTAAGACTGTGACCAACATAAAAAGAGTTTCTCTGTATAACAATGGTTCATGTCTTAAATATCTAGCACAGGCCAGGTGCAGTGGCTCATGCCTGTAATCCCAGAACTTTGGGAGGTCAAGGTGGGAGGATCACTTGAGGTCAGGAGTTTGAGACCAGCCTGTGCAACACAGCAAGAACCCCATCTTTCCCCCAAAATATTTTTCAGATCAGCAGGGAATGCTGGTGTGTGCCTGTAGTTCCAGTCACTTGGGAGGCTGAGGAGACAGGATGGGTTAAGCCTAGGAGGTTGAGGCCACAGTGAGCTAAGATTGCGCCACTGCACTCAAGCCCAGATGACAGACTGAGACCCTGTCTCTTTAAAAACCAAACAAACAACAACAACAAAAAACTGGCAGTGGCTCACACCTGTAATCCCAGCATTTTGGGAGGCCAAGGTGGGAGGATCACTTGAGGTCAGGAGTTCGAGAGCAGCCTGGCCAACAAGGTGAAACCTCATCTCCACTAAAACTACAAAACTTTGCAGGATGTGGTGGTAGGCACCTGTAATACCAACTACTTGGGAGGCCGAGGCACAATAATTGCTTGAACGTGGAAGGCGGAGGCTGCAGTGAGCTGAGATTGTGCCACTACACTCCAGCCTGGACAACAGAGTAAGACTCCACAACTCCCTCCCCACAAAATAAAAATTGTATACTGTTTTTTCTCCTTTTGCAAATAGGTTTTTTAATGACTGATAAATTAGTAGAAAAAGACTCTAACTCAATGAGTTAACATAAAACCTAGGTAAACTATCTCCTTCTTTAACAAATAATCTAAAGAGCTAGATACACATTTAGAAATACAGCCTGAACCTATCTTTAATAAATTCCTAGCCTTCTGGAAGTCAGCAGGCAAAAAATAATATGTTGGTTCATTATCATATTGTGACTTTATTAGGAAATAAGCTTCATCATTCATAGAATGGGGTAATTTTAGACAAAATTTTAAATTCCACAATTTCTATTACAATTTTTTAAATATACTGATTTAGGGTAATTAGGGGCAATGAAAATTGTCAATGTTTTCCTATCCATTAGGTACAATAGCATAAAGCAAAGGTACATTAGAAAACCATTTCTAAATCTGCAACCTCATAAGATAATCTTCATCTACTGCTGTCTAGCCCCACAGCTGTTGCAAATGATGCCTTTGAAAATATTATGTAGGAAAAACTCCTTCTTCTTACTACCCTCTGCCTGTCAATTATTTTAATAAATCAACCTACAATGACTATGGGTGTAATCAGCACCTCATAAAGTTATGCAGCACACAACCTTACAACAGTGTCCACAATTGCTTCACTCATAGATCTGAAAAAACACATCACAGTTTGCTCTGTTTCTATATTCACCTATGGCAAATATTCTCTCTCACCCCATACACTCCATTCTTAAATTACCTTTGATAGCAATCTTCCATTGATACAAAGAAACTGAATTCATTTTAAATAAGACTTTTAAGAAAACAATAACTATAAATTGTACCTTGCTTCAATACAAACTGTAAATCAAATAAGAGTTCAGCTCTATCTGAAGGCAACAATATATGTAACAACATAAAATACATGGCATTACAGGCACTTGTATAAATATCAATGTTTCAAAACTTGACAAATTTCTAGTAGATTAAAAATAAAACTCACAAAAACAACATTCATAATCACTGAAACTGCTTGAAGTGGAGAAGAGTGAGCAAGCTGTCACTGACAGTCACATAGGAATTCATAAGCTCTACAAATCTTAACAAGGAACAATACTCATGTTCAAACAACCAAAGTAAAAATACATACCCAAACCACCCTCATCTATCTAGGAAGATAACAAAAACAAAAGAAAAAAAATTAGAAAAACATAAAATGCTGACTTAAACGTCAACTGAGGATTTCAATAAGGCTAATTAAATCTGGAAGCCAAATGACAGATTTTCTGCCATATATATCATCCTTTTCACCGGATGAAATCATGTGTCAAAACAATTTCATAAGAATTCATCAAAAATATAAAAATGTTGTTCAAGCTACTTTGGTACTTTCAAGGTGAATTACCCGTCAAAACGAGTTGGCACTTTCAAGAGAATGCTTGGTTGACTTATTATATACTGATAACCAATTTCCAGGCTTACATGATAAAAACTTGGGGTGAAGAATAATCTGTAAACTAGTTGTTTTATAAACTGGACTGTCAGTAATACCTAATCCATATAGAACCTCAATATTTTCTGGGAAGAGAAATATATATTGAATCACTAACGCCAATCTTCAACATAACACCATTAAACTCTTTCTCATTAAAACAATCTCAGTCCTATTCCTAAGGCAACATCCCCAAAGGAAACAAGCAACTTGGACGGTGCAAACTGTCAGCAGGTGCAACATGAAGGAATAACCTATATATAGTACTGGCTTGTCATTCCGTCGGAACCGCCATTCCCTCTTTCACCCTATTAAAGTACTAACTGGCAAGCACTTGACATCCAGCCAGAAAAAGAATAACTTATGTCATCTTTTAAAATAATTAGACGTAGAGTCCAATGTGCTCAAGAAATAAGTCTGAACTGCAAGAACTCTTTTTTCTAGAATAGCAGTCTTCTGAACATTAAGTTCCCTTTCCAGAAGTTAGAACAAGCTGTTACTTGACTACTTGATAATGGCTGGTAGTCAAGGACGACCACTACTGGCTTCTTCACTGTTCTAGGGTTTCAGTCTTATGGATTTAGTTTGTACAACAGACCCTGTATTAAGATGATGATAAAGTCACAATCAGTGCTCTTTTTAAGACATAAATTTCAAATTACATTTGCTACAGCATTATTTATAATAAAATGTATTCTTTAAAATTATTAACTAAATTGTGGAAAGTTCAAATAGCTGAATGTTAAATAGGCACTAAAAGTTATAAAGAGTAAATCTTTTTTGAAGAATTTTTAATATTATAAGGCAACACATATATTCTTTAACCAGAATAAGGAAGACATTAAATTGTATTTAAAGCATGATCTTAAATACAAGCATATAAGTGTAGAGAAAAAAATACTATTAAAGAATGATTATCTCCGATGACAGGATTTTAGCTGATAATGTTTCTTCTCTTTATTTTTGAAAATGTATGTAGTAATTACTACTTTTATATTAAATTATATGTAATTTTTAAAATATGCCAATGCTTAAATACCATTTGCCAGCACCTTCTTTTAAGTTCAGAAATAGAGTCAGACATAACCTCCAAAAAGGGACCAAATAATAGGTCCTGAGTCTGAAGGAGTGGAAGAGCTTTACGATTCCAATGGAGACATTCCTGCCGAAAACAGAATTCCTAGAATTATCGAAGCTGGTTCACAGGGTCACTCTAGGCTTTCTAGGCAGATTTCCAGGAGGTACAACTACGCTCCATCCTGTATTACCATCGTTTCCTCATTCATAAAATACAGGTAATAACTGTACCCACTTCAAAGGAGAGTTATGAAATCATTTAACATATACAAAACATTTAAAATGGTGCCTGGTAAATGGAAAGTACTGTAAAAGCTTAGCTATTTTGTCGTCATTCTTTTATTACTATTATTTTTACTACTACAATTATTACTATCTTTACTACTACTACTACCACCACCACCAATGCTAGCATCATTTCTAAGACTATTGCTACTACAGAAACAAGCAGGCAATAGAGTGTCCCTCCCTCATGTGACCATTTTCCAAAGAGACTATGTTTGCCAATTTGACCTCAAAGAAGTAGAAGGGCAAAGAGGCATGAGAATCGCACCCAAGATTATTTTTAATTAAATGCAACGTGCCTCTGGCACTCCTTCACTAGCATTCTGGCCACCAAAAGCCCATTCTACTCACGTCAGCTACCACACCCAGGCTGATCTTTCTCTACAGTGCAAAATTACCTCTCCTTGTTTCAGACTCTGACCTTTTATAAAAATCTGTTCACATCTTTCAAATAGATTCTTAATATGACCCTGACCCAGTCAGAATATTTATCAACAAGACATTACAATATTTTTATAGAAGAGCTAAGTGACAGAAAGGGGCAATCCCTGTACTTTAGTCGATTCAAATAAAATATTTATTTAGTAATTTAAAATAAAAATACTTAAAATTTTAAAACCTTTAGTAAAAATTATTTACTTGCGAAAAGCACACAGAAACGTAACTACTGAAACTCAGTAGCTGACACCCTTGGGGAACCTGAATCTAGGCAATCATGTATGTAACAGATGAGCCCTAACCCTTTCTGGCCACAGCTGGTTGGAACAGAGGAATACATCCGCCCCAACCCAGGCCAGTCAGATTGTATCCTGAGGAATCTAAAGACAATACCAGCACTGCAGTCAAAACAATGTAAACATTAGGGACATAAGGCCATAAGTGAGTAGTCAGCACATACAAGCCAAAGACACAGGGAGAAAGGAATTAACAGCCTTACAGAGCAGGTAGCCAATCCACAGACAAATGCAAAAATGAAAGGCCATATGGTCTTGAGAAGCAAAAAATGTCAATGAAAGTCCCTGGCTTTCCATTTCTAGTCCCATGTGGTCTTAATGAACTTTCTTTGCCTCTCTTTAGATGTTTATGAGACTGCCTGCTATACTCTTTAAGTTCGTCCCCCTTTATCTAAGCTATCTTGAGCTGATTTTATTCCCTAGGAGCAAATGTGCCCTCAACACAGCTGACATGATCATGTAACAAATGCACATGTCATCAGCATGTTTTCTGTTCTTGCCCTTTGTTAAAGAGATTGGAAAAGTATATACAAAACAAAGTTATTTCTTAAAGATTCATGCATCAACACCCCAAAGTACTGTCTTGCTTTGTATCAGCAGAAGAGAACACAGGAAGAGAAAAGAATTTTAGAACTGAATTCTGCAAAAGAATTTCAAGCTTCATGGATAATCTATTACAGAATGTCTATACAATACCTGCTTCTTGGAAGAAACATGGATTCCTTGATGAACACGGAACCAGAAAGAAGGATATACCAGCAGGTCCCAATATCATCAGGGCTGAAAAGAAAAGGTAACAGAATCAGATTGTTACCTATAACAACAACAACAAAAAATTAAAACATATAGCACAAAGTGCAGCACCCATATTACTTTTAAAATAATAAAGAATAGCATACAACACATTCATAAAAATACCATTATTCAACTACTGAAATCATTTTTACAAATTACTTTGTATCCCTGAAATACACCAAATATATTTATCAGTACATTTAAATGTTTCAAATGTTCCTTAGACCTATAGCATCTACCATTCTAAGTTTTTTTACTTTTTTTGAACATGAAATACTTTCACTTGCTTCATAAAATGAAAAAATACCCAGAGCTATCAGTGAAACTTACTATTTCTAATCATTTTCCCTGTCCAGCAAGTTCTCACATTTCTCCACTATTTCTTCGGTATTCTTTTAGAATTTCTTTATGTATATGCACACAATAATGGACATATATTCTTATCCCTCCCATCATCTTTCTTCTTTGTTACAGAAAAGACAGCACACTCTACACAGTTCTTTTCTTTTGCAATAACTCAGAGATCTTTTCATCAAAAGATAGCTTTCTTGAGTATTCTTTTTACTGCTGTAAAGCATGTATGGATGTGCCATATTTGACTTAAGCAACCCCCTACTGATAGTCATTTCCCATTGTTTTCAATATTATACAATTATATAAAAACAAATAAAAACTGCAATAGTAATTTTGCACATACAGTAGTAGCTGGAAGAAAGGCAACTGTTGGGTCTAGGAGCACATACATAGTAATCTTCTTAGGTATTGTCAAACTGTCCTCCACAGGTAGTTAGCAATTTATATGCCTACCTACTTCCCCACAACCTTACTAATATAGTTTGTTATAATTTAACAAATATTGACAAATTTTATGTGGAAGGCTTTTCTGGATGTTTAGGATATGTCAGGGAACAACAACAAAAAGATCCCTGCCCTCACGGAGATTACATTCAAGTCTCATAGAGAAGACATTTGAGCAAAGGAGGTGAGTTAGCCACGTGGATCCTGAAGGGAGCAGCATTCCAGGCAACAGGCAGGGAGGATCAGGAGTGTGAGTGCAAAGGCCATGGGCTGCCACTGCCTCGCAAGGTCAGGGTGACTTTAGTGCTTTTGGATGTTTTGCCAATCGGCTTGGTGAAAATGATATCTCAGTTTGTTTTTCATATAAGACCATCTTTTTTAAGTTCATGAGTCATTTCTATTTTTTTTTTGTAAAATCACTTCATAACTTTTAACTAAGTCTCTAATTACTCTAAGTCTCCAATTAATTGTGAGGGTTTTTTTTTTTTTTTTTTTGGCTGGGCATGGTGGCTCACACCTATAATCTCAGCACTTTGGGAGGCTCAGGCAGGCGGATCACCTGAGGTCAGGAGTTCAAGACCAGCCTGGCCAACGTGGTGAAACCCCGTCTCTACTAAAAATACAAAAAAATTAGCCAGTGTGGTGGCTCACGCCTATAATCCCGGCTACTTGGGAGGCTGAGGCAGGAGAATCGCTTGAACCCGGGAGGCGGAGGTTGTAGTGAGCTGAGATTGTGCTACTGCACTCCAGCCTGGGTGCCATGGCGAGAGACTCTGTCTCAAAAACAAAAAAAAAAATTGTGAGATTTCTTTTTTTTTCCTAGGGGTACTTTATAAAAATTGGCCTTCTGAAAACATGAGCTGTGAATATCTTTTCTCCCAGTTTGCTGCTTACCCTTGGACTTGGTTTATGGTGCTCTCTGCCATGAATAAGTTATTTTATCACACATAGTCAATTGCATCAAATTTATTAGTTAGGACATAAACTCAGCTACTATTAAAACAAAAATCTAAACATAGCAATGGCATAACATAACCAAATGAACCAAAGTTCATTTCTTTCTCACACACAAAATAGTCTGAACACTGGAAGTCCAAGACTGGTAAGATGTTTCCACGATATTGGGAAGCCACACTCTATTTTATGGTTCAGCCATCCTCAACCCATGGCTTCCATCTCATATTCTAGGGTGACAGGTCCAAATCTCATCCACCACATCCACACTCCAGCCAGTGGGAGGAGTAGAAAGGAAGCACAGAGCACACCCCATTTCTTTCAAGAGTACATCATAGACGCTGCATACTATGCTCCTCTCAGATCCCCATGAACCATATGCACGTTGCAAGGGAGTCTTCAGCAATTTCTGCCAAGTCCTTGTTTTGTTTGGTTTCTGTATTGTGACATTAAAAAGTTTTTTAGAAGACACTAAATTCTATTTACAACTCTGAATAATTACATTACTTAATAATGTCAATCACTATCACCTAATCATTTTCACTGTGCTATCTACTTCCAAAGTGAATCAGCAGTGGAACATCTTTCCCCCCAAGTCCATTCTTCACCAAATTCATGACTACTTAGCTCAACAGCAATGCCTCAAGAAAACATAACGGAAAAGCACTGTCAAAGAGTTCAGTTTGAATGCAGAACCATAAAAATAAAAAGATTTCTAAAGTGAAAATGCAAAGTACTTCAAAGAGTAATTCATATTTTTGTCTCCTCAGTTTTTAATCATTAGCTCTTGCAACCAGCAATCATTCGTTTGGTTTGTGAAAAAAACTTATTTGTCTTTATTAATATGACAGCATTATTCTCAAATTCTGAATTATGCCAAGTAAAACTGTTATTCCAGACCCAAAACTAGTTTAATAATTTTTAAATAACAAATGGTGAAACACTAAAACAGAAAGCGGGAAAAAAAATACTCTGTAAACTTTTTAAAATCTGTTTTTACAGTGTTCCATTTATCACAAAAAACGTTAGCCCAAGGAAATAAAATCTAGAAAAATAGGAAATTAAGGTAGATTGCCACTTCCTAACTATGTGGCCTGGGGCAAGTTACTAGGCTGCTGCAAGGATTAAATGAACAGTTCGTGATCATTAAATGCAAATAATTATTCAGTGACAACTAATAGAGTTAACATGTTAGAAAGTACAATAAATGGCACCATGATCTAGATTATCTGTGACAGAGAGAAATAACAAACATTAGCTGGCTTTTCAATTATTTCATGTCTGTCAACTCTGAAGGCAAAAATAATATCGACAAATTAAGCACAAGGCTTACAAACTCAGCTCTCCTGGCACTGATAATAAAACACACTTGAAGTGAAAGGCAACCAGTGTTCAAAGTCGGTAAAATACTGTGGCAGTGAATGCTCTAGCATCCTTACCACCCGTCGATTAGCCTATATTTAGGGTTGACTCTTTATATCAGGAAATCCATGGGAAAGATTTGAGGATGTGAAGGTAAGTGGTAATCTCTACCACTTATTACAATTTTGTTTATCTGATAGATAGGCTGTTTCTCTACATTCCCCAAAGAATCCAAAGCTAACTTGCAAGAGTTATATTTGCTTTAGTAGGCATTTGCAGAGAATGACCATTCAATCAACATTTATTAAATTCAGTGAGCATTTACCACATGCCAGGCCACATATGATAAGCAAAATTTCTTTGAGCTATCCCTTCTAAGGATTCAGATTTTGGAAAAGTAAGTTAATTAAAAGTAAGAATACATAGTTAAGAAATGTAAGAATACAAAAAACAGTGACTCTTATTTTACAGATGTTCTGGAAATAGTTGTAAGCTAGAAAAACCCCTCTCCTCTCCTCCTATCCATCCCCCATAGAATTCATGTTTAGTTCCTGTTATGAAAATTCCTTGCTGAGGTGTCAGCATCGAAATATGTTTTATTTAGTCTTACTAGTCTAGAAAATTCCCCTTACTTTATTAGAAAGCACTGAACTAACCACGCTTACTCTTTTCACTTACAATCATGCCTCAGGCAGGCAGAGTTTCCGTGTGGGGTACAACGTGCTTCCCTTCAAGGTCTGCAAACACTTCCTTTCCACAGTGCAGCTAGCTGTCACTGGAGGGTTTTTACATGTGTATGTAAAAATGGGAAAGTGATGGTTTTTTTAAGAAAAATGAAACTGAAATTATGAAAATAGTACTTAGTAGTAGCAGCAGCAAATTGTTCAGTACTTAAAGGATATGCAAATTGAGACCTCACTTCCAGGCAATGAAGCTGGTTAAGAGAAGACTGACAATAATAATAATAGTACAGACGGTGCCCAACTTCCAATGGTCTGACAAGCTTTTTTGTCTTTACGACACACTCAACTTCCAGCACCACAACGATTCTGCTTTTCATTTTCAATAGAATATCCAATAAATTACATGAGGTACTCAACAGTTTGTTATAATATAGGCTTTGTGTTAAAAGATCCTGCGCGGCTGGGCGCGGTGGCTCATGCCTGTCATCCCAGCACTTCGGAAGGCAGAGGTGGGTGGATCACGAGGTCAGGAGATCGAGACCATCCTGGCTAACACGGTGAAACCCCGTCTTTACTAAAAATGCAAAAAAAATTAGCCGGGCATGGTGGCGGTGCCAGTAGTCCCAGCTACTCGGGAGGCTGAGGCAGGAGAATGGCGTGAACCCGGGAGGCGGAGCTTGCAGTGAGGCCAAGATTGCACCACTGCACTCCAGCCTGGGTGACAGGGCGACACTCTGTCTCAAAAAAAAAAAAAGATCCTGCCCAACTGTAGGCTAATGTAAGTGTTCTGAGCATGTTTACAGTAGCCTAAGTGTATGTGTCGGTTCTCACACTGCTATAAAGAACTACCTGGGACTGGGTAACTTGAAAAGAGGTTTAACTGGCTCACAGTTCCGCAGGCTGTACAGGAAGCATGACTGGGGACACCTCAGGAAACTTACAATCATGGGGGAAGGCGAAGGGGAAGCAAGCATGTTTTACCATGGTGGAGCAGAAAAGAAAGCAAAGAGGGAAGTGCTACACATGTTTAAACCACCAGATCTCATGAACACTCATCCACTATCATGAGAACAGCATAGGGGAAATCTGCCCCCATGATCCAATCACCTCCCACTAGGTCCCTCCCCCAATGGCACAACAATTTGACATGAGATTTGGGTGGGGACACAGAGCCTAACCATATCATTAGGCTAAGCAATGATGTTCAGTAGGCTAGGTACGTTAACTGCATTTTGACTTAGGATGTTTTCAACATATAGTGGGTTTATTGGGATGTAACCACATTGTAAGACAAGAAGTAAGTGTAGTGGTAGTAATAATAATAAATATCTAAGACTAACACTGAGATTCTATTCTATCTAGTAGTTCTCAGGCCCTGATGTGCAAATGAATCACCTAAGATGTTAATTTAAAATGCATCTATCCCACCCAATTCCCCAGTTTCTGATCATTAGATAGGAGATCCATCAAAGTGACTTTTAAACAAATATCCTGGATGTTTCTTACACATGGGGCTGGCCAACTCTGAAAAACTTTCAGAAAAAATGGTCTCAATATGAACTCCCAAGAGGAACAAATGGCAGGAAAAAAAGTACAACTCTATTAATATCCATGCAACTAGGTACATACATTGTATTAATCAGTGCTATTTTAATTTTTCCTCAAATAATTTTTTTTTAAAATTATGAGCAAAGGAGCCCCTTCAAGTGTTGCTGAAATGCCAAAGCTTAATCCTGAAAGAACCCTGACTGAGGATTTCCAAATAACCTGACACTACCAGTACTGGGCAAAAAACAGAAATCTGAAGACTAAAGAGGTTCGTATAGGAAAGCAGTACTTGCGAGTCTCTCTAATCAGGGGAATTCACGCTTACAGAAGACCAAATCCTTCTTAGAATCTCAGAATTTGACCACAGGATCTTGAGCTAGGAACCACAATGGACAACTGATTTCATTTCAATACATCTCATCCCACAATGGACAAAACGGAAGTCACAAAAGCCCTGGTTTATAACGAGAAACTCTAAAAGGCTCCTGTTTCTGTTTTTCATCAACAGGAAGGAAATTAACGAGGCCAAACAAAACCAAATACAGACCATTATAAAATGATCAGTTCACCTTCCAATGTAAACAGATAGAAAGCCTCTGGGGCAATCAGAACTGTATGATCCCCGCTGAGCATTATCCCAAGTCTAAACAAAGAATAATGGGCATGAGGGAAATACTTGATCTGACCCCCTCACCTCTCCCACCTTCCTTCCTACTACCCCTCAACATAACCTGCTGCTCCTGACAGGCTGCTTTCCTTCTGTTCATTCCAACTCTGCCATGCTGTTCAAGATGTTTACCTCTCTCCATCTACCCTCTACATCCCACTGTACCTTAAGAGATGGCTCAAAAACTACTACTTTAAGAAAATCTTCTCACTCACTGTTTTCCAAACTCTAAAATACTTAGCCCATCTAATTTCATTGTTTTATGTTTTTCTGTAATGATTTCTTATTCCTGAGCATCTTCTTCCAACTACAATGAACTTCCTTTCAAGGCAGGAACTGCGCATCATGCCTAGTAGAAGCTGGGAAACATTTCAGTGATCATTTGCTCAGGTAAATCGGATCAGATGACATCCTTCTGATGAACCCCATGGTCCTTCACAGGAGAAGGTCCAAACCCCCTGGCAGAGCCCATGAAGGAAGCAGGAAATGCTGTGCAAAGAGCGCAGGTTCTGGAGCACAGATTCCTTCTTCCACGCTAGCCACGTGATCGTGGTAAAGTCAAATTCTGAGATTCTAGTTCCTCAACTGCAAAATGGAAGACATTGATGCCTTCTTCACAGAGCTCCTTTTATTTAATGAAACAATATATATGCAGTACCTTGCATGATGGTAACAAAAAATACTAGTTCTCTTCATCTTCCTCATCTCCTTTCCTCTCTTACGATCGTCTCTGAAAGGACCAACCTACAGCTTTGCTTTCTGCTCCCAACCCCAACATTCCTTATGCTGCAAACTTCATCCTGTTCGGCCAGGCCACACATTTTTTTTTCCACCTATGCCACAAAGGTTTTGAACAAACCTGCAGTCTAGCTTCTAAATAGTATATTTTCTCTTGTAAATTTATTACTCATCCTTCTAGTTCCAGGTTAACTATCACCTCCTCTGAGAAGTGTTTTGGTATATTCCAAGGAAAGTGAGTCGCTTTCTTCCAGCTTCCCAGTGCCCTGTGTACATGCTCACGTGACGCAGGTGCCAGAACGTCATAATTATTCACATTGGGAGTTTCTCCTCAATAGTTTTTAAACTCCTCTAACTCTTAAGTACCCCCAATATATACACTACATAATGCTTGATTGGCACTCAAATATTTTCTTAATAAGTAAATTAATGAACTGAATAGACAGGAACCCAGGTAAGGTATTAAAGTGCTTGAAAGTCAAAGATGTGAACTTCAGTTTACCAGTAAATGGAAAAATGGAGCCAGGATCTAAGAGCCTCCTCGGCAATATCCTAGAGATCCACAAGGTGGCACTCTCTCCATGGGAAAGAGCTGTGTGTGCCGCTCCACATTCTCATTTAAGGAGGTGGCCAGTAAATGCAAGCGATCAAGTTGAAGTTGACAAGGGAACTGAAAGAACAAAAAACTACTAAGTCCAAAGAAAACTGATTAAATCAGCAAAGACAATTATTAGAGGGCAAGAAAATAACTGTGAAAATGCTACTTCATTCAGCTGTTAATACAATGTGAAAACTTAAGTGAGGCCCAGTCAGCCAAAAAGGTTGCTCATGGAGGCCAGGCACAGTGGCTCACGCCTGTAATCCCAGCACTTTAGGAGGCAGAGGCAGGTGGATCACCTGAGGTCAGGAGTTTGAGATCTACCTGGCCAACATGGTGAAACCCCGTCTCTACTAAAAATACAAAAATTAGCCAGGCATGGTGGTGGGTGCCTATAGTCCCAACTATTCGGGAGGCTGAGGCAAGAGAATCGCTTGAACCCAGGAGGCGGAGGTTGCAGTGGGCCAAGATCATGCCACTGCACTCCAGCCTGGGCAACAAGAGCAAAACTCCGCCAAAAAAACGAAGAAAGAAAGAAAAGCCAAGGGGGACTGACAAGGAGAGAAAAGAGAGTTGAAAGAAAACAGAGCGGCAGGCGTTGCGGAAGTGGCTGTGGGTAAAGGATGCTGATCCTAGAAGACCATCAGCTCAAAACAAGACTCCCAACAGCCACAAACATGGCCATCTAAGTTTTGGGGGGTTTTCGGGAGTGGAGAAGCAATAAACAGAAACAGAAAGAATGGTGCCCATGCAAAATCTAAGCAAACTGGAACTAGAAGTTAGTGCTTTCCCAGATGATCCTGACAAAATATGAAACAAGGAGGGTGTATGGGGTACAAGAAGAGACTCCTCCCACTCTAGCAGAGCAAGTGCAATATGGCCAAGCCTGAAGCGGCCCAGGGGAGTGAGGAAGCTCCTCTAAATGCTTCACATGGACAGCATTAACAAGGTCATTAAAACAGAGAAGCAAAAAGATGGCGATTGCTTTGTGAGAAAGAATAGGCAAAATGTCCAGAAACAGTGGCTGAGCCGAGCACACGACACAGCTATCTGAGACAGGTTCGGCACAACTGAGAACCACATATAGCATCAAATACCAATTTTGGTGCTATTTTAGAAAGGTCACTTTATACTATCCAGGATGTAATACCGCACAGTATCACATTCAAAAGACAAAGCTGTTGGCATCTGGAGAAAAGGAGACAGGAATCATCATCGAGGGCTATTGATCACATGCCTATAAAACAAGAAAGTGAAATAAAATGAAGACTAACAAAGGTTCCAATAACTACATGGGGACCACAAGGAACTCCAGAGGGCCAGCCACCCATGACCAAAAAATAGAAAAACACCTTTATTTTCCTGTATCTGCGGTCTCACCAACACCCTCCAACCAAAAGATAAAGGGACAACTTCCGAAGCTTCTCCCTCTTCACAGCCTATCATCACATTCTGCGGGTTCCCCTCCCAAGTCTCTATCGAAACCCTTTGCTACAGTTCAGGGTCCCATTTTTGCTCACCTACACTGCTGTTATTACAGACTTCTGGCCAGCTTAGACTTGTGCTCTCAAATATACGATTATGCCAAAAAACCACAGTGAAAATTACTTATTTACAACAAATTATCCTCTATCCTTTTATAGGCGTCCCGCAGACAGTTGAGATCAGAGGTTTTCAATGTCAAGAGCCCTTGGGATTTCAAGGCGTCCAAACCTCTTTCAACCATAATAGCTACTATTGTTGGGCTGAACAGGATTTTCTATGAACAAAGTGTTCCACGGCTTCAAAAAAATAAGTTCTAACAATGGCCACCTTCCAATAGACAGATGGCTTTCCAGATACACAATAATTTTAATCTTTTTCACAAATACATTACATCATTTCTGTTACTGGATTTATTACAGTTTAAAAATTTGTATATTTTTACTCCTCTGATGGAGCGCTGAGCTATAAGCTGATAGACAAAGTTTTCATTATTTATTTTTGTATAGTCAAATGGCACAAAGCAAGCTCACTAGATAAGTTAATGCAACACAGCACAGTAAGCAACCCCAACAATGATATCAAGCCAAAAGAAATATAAAGTGCATGTACTAAAACATGAAGTATACGCCAAATTTTAGAAGGAGGACTAACAAGAGTTAAGGGCTTTGGTATTTACAATTTCCACTGTTGGAATACTGATATTTTATTATAAAATGATATTATTCATAATACTGAGTTATATGTAAATATATCAATTATATATAAATTCCCACAATAAGAAAACAAATGACATTTTTAAAGTAGAGGGTAATTTTTATTCTATTTCTTAAAAGTTCTAAATTGTAAGGAAATTACTTCATTTATAATTAAAAACTCTGAAGAAAGAAAACACCATTTTAAGATTTTCAAAAAAAATCCTTATTTTCCAAACAATAGCAATTCATTTACAAGGAATTGCAACCAACAAAACAGGAAAAGTCAGTAAGATCAATAAGAACTCTGAAAGCTGATGAAAATATTGAAGACATTTCATCTTTATACTGAAAATACAGGGGACACAGCAGACATCCTTTTTTTTTAACTAGCAAACAATGTAAACTACTAAAGAACCAGTAAAGCCAGATATTCTATAGGCTCATTAATGTTATCATTTTTTTCATTATTTATTATTTTTATTATTGTTTTTGAGACAAAGTCTCACTGTCACCCAGGCCAGAGTGCGGTGGTGCACTCTTGGCTCACTGCAACCTCCGCCTCCCAGGCTCAAGTGACCTTCCCACCTCAGCCTCCTGAGCAGTGCTGGGACCACAGAGGTGCGCCACCACACTGGCTAATTTTTGTATTTTTTTAGAGATAGGGTCGTGCCATTTTGTCCAGGCTGGTCTCGAACTCCTGGGCTCAAGCGATCCACCCACCTCAGCCTCCCAAGGTGCTGGGATTACAGGCATGAGCCACTGTGCCTGGCACAATCTTAAATTTATGAAATTCATTTTTAACATGAAAGGAAGGAGTGAAACACTGGGAGTTATGAAGCTATTCAATAAATGATAAATGAAAGGAAAAACACCAATACAAACTATATATATATATAGAGAGAGAGAGAGATTACATCAAATCGATGAGTCAGCTAAACTGAGGGTAAAGAAATAGATCCAAGGGCTCAAGGAACAATTTATCACATTTAAAAGAATCTGAAATTTTGACTCTTTTGGAAACTACTAATGGGTTATGAAATTAATTTACAAATGTCTCTTTTAGATTCATATGCTGCAATTTTATCTTCACAAGAAACCTGTTTCTCACCTGGAGTCACCTGGGTCTCAGAAAAATGAAAGGTAACTTATACACACCCAGAGACAGAGTCAAATTCAAAGCTAAATCTGCCTAACTTCACTATAGGAGTCCCAACAGCAAGAAACTGCAACAATACTGCAAAACACCTGACAGCACCACTACCCCTCACATCAGAAAGGATATAAAAAGCAAGCTGTATTTTTCTCCTATACCTTACCCTAAACAGGTTTTTATTCACTAAGCAGTTTCACAGAAAATTGATACGAAGAATCCAACACCTGATGATGTGTAACCAGCCATTTTATTAGGAAGTGAGACCATAATGAAGGTCTTTATCTACAGATCAAAGGAGTTCCTTCTTTTGAATAGAGAATTGAAAAAAAAAAACCATCGGGAACAGACTAAATGCAAATTTCCATGGTAGGCATGAGAAGGCAAACCTGAAACAAACATAGTCCCTACCCTCATGAAGATTATGGATTAATTGTATTTTTAACAACGTTTTTATTTAAATACTCTTCTGCTCAACATAAAAATAAAACATTTTCATTTTAAAATAGTAATATAAAAATATCATTGTCAAGAAGCCTTAAAGGATCTCCGTATGTACATAAAACAGTCCTTCGTAAGTATCTGTGTGGGCATGGGTGTGCATGTGCTTGAATTCTCATACTTACATACAGGCGAGGTGGTTGAGCACCCGTGTCCTACAATTCCATGCAAAGGCTAAGTCTTTAAAGATGCCATTTTTTCAAATAAATTAAAACCTTTGGTTTCACTTTTTTTTTTTTTTTTTTTTTGAGACAGGGTCTCAGTTGCCCAGGTGTGATCTCAGCTCACTGCAAACCCTGCTGCTGGGGCTCAGGCAATTCTCGTGGCTCAGCCTCCCAAGTAGCTGGAATTACAGGCTCATGCCACCACGCCTAATTTTTGTATTTTTAGTAGAGATGGGGTTTCGCCATGTTGCCCAGGCTGGTCTCGAACTCCTGGCCTCAACTGATCCGCCCACCTCGAGCCACCATTTTCTTTATGTACACACATAAGCATAATAAAATTAGGACAGAAAAATACTTCAAAACGGTGGTTACATCTTGCTGGGTAAAAACAGAAGAGGCCAGGCGCAGTGGCTCACGCCTGTAATCCCAGCACTTTGGGAGGCCAAGGTGGGTGGATCACTTGAGGTCAGGAGTTTGAGACCAGCCTGGCCAATATGGCGAAACCCCAGCACTACTAAAACTACAAAAATTAGCCAGGCGTGGTGGCACATGCCTGTAATCCCAGCTACTTGGGAGGCTGAGGCACGAGAATGGCTTAAACCAGCGAGGTGGAGGTTGCAGTGAGCTCAGATCGTGCCACTGCACTCCAGCCTGGGTAACAGAGCTAGACTCTGCCTCAAGAAAAAAACAGTAAGAAGAAAGAAAGAAAGAGAGAGAGAGAGAGAGAGGAAGAGAGGAAGAGAGAGGAAGGAAGGAAGGAAGGAAAGAAAGAAAAAAAGGAAGGAAGGAAAGAGAGAGAAAGAAAAAGAAAGAAAGAAAGAAAGAAAGAAAGAAAGAAAGAAAGAAAGAAAGAAAGAAAGAAAGAAAGAAGGAAAGAAAGAGAAAGAAAGAAAGGAAGAAAGAAAGAAAAGAAAATAAAAGAAAGAATCGCAGTATTTTGCTTCCTGGGGTAGGGGTGGGGGGCTATAAAAATGATCTAAGTAGTAGATTAGTGCTTTTGTAATAATTTTCAAACAATTTACTGTGATGTAAAGTAAAATAAAATCTTGGTCACATCAAGAAGGAAAAAATAGTGTAATAATTGGATATGAGTAAGAGAGGCAAAGGAGAAACTTCAGGATGGAAGGCATCGTGGCACGCTTAGGGTCAGGCTTACGGTCTCAGAAACGCGGCAGGAAGAAGAGGCTGAAGATACAAATGAGAACAGAAATAACTCCATCATACAGGCAAAATGACATCCCTTCCTCCTAGAGACAGGAGTGGGACAAGAGGTAAATGCAGATACAGATAAATTAGGGTGTTTGAGACCAGAAAGCAAACTTGAGGCAGAGTTGCCTAGAGGAGGTGTGGGAGAAAGGAAAGGGGACAGCGATGGTTGAGCAGCCTCACAGAGCAGTGGGAATAGCTGCTGTGAAAACAGAAAGCCAAGTCAGCAACTGCAAAGACTGCTAAAAGCAACAAGAGCTCAGCTGAGGCTTGCAGTTCTAAATTGCACATTTACAGATTTAAATGAAAATGCTTTAAAAGACCCAACAGGCCTCAATGTAGCTCTTTTATGGAGAACAATTTCCTCTCCTGGAATAGAGAGAGAGAAACCCCTTACAAAGTGCTATGAAAACTCTTTTGGAAACCAAAGCAGTCATTCACATGTATGTGGAAAACAGGCAATGAGGTGCACAGTTACACTTATTTATAGTGTGGGCGTGTGTGTGTGTGGACACTTAAACTTTTGCAATGGTTGAATTTCTGATCCAAAGGTTTTGAGCACGTTAAATGTAATTATATATTAAACAGTATTTCCGTTTCACTTCACTATTTGTGAAGATAGCTGGCCATTAAGAAACAACTAAAGCAGATCAGTTTCCATGGTGTACTATGAGACAGCCCCAGGTTCAAAGAATTTTTCCAGAGAACAAATTCCCAACTTCTTATTGGCAGTATGCTGCAACTTTTACTACGATTTATCCAGTGTTTTTACATATATGTTTCTCATTTAAGATTAAATTGTTAAATAAAAACAAATATAAGTTAAGGTCCCTCTGGTGAGGAATTCATATTATCCGCCTCAGTATTCCCACAAAACAGCACAATACCTAACAGAGTAGATAATAAAGGCAAGGAAGGCAGAAATTACCTGATAGGCTTTTCCATTCTGTAAAGTTGAGCTAATTTTCTCTAACTTTCTAATGCAAACCAACACAATTTGATTCCAAATGGGCAACTCTAAATTTTAAAAATGCAATCTTATCAGAATCACAATGTTCCCCCCAACTCAATACAATCTAAAATGGCGTTTTTGTCATCTTGGTCGTTCATGTTAAAACAATAACACCATCAGAGCTAGAGCATCACTATCATAATTCCTTCCTGACAAACATTTAAAGCAACTAAAATATTGGAAGACCAAAATGTAAATTATCAAACAGTGATGAGAATGACAATGATGCTGGCACTAACGTGCTTATGTACTTATTCTGAACATGCTGCTCTAAACACTCTGTACAGGTTACTGTATCTCATCCTCATGCCAACCCTGACGGGTAGGAACTATTATTATCGGTTCCACATTATAGGTGAGAAAAACGAGGTACAGGGGTGGATCAAAAGAGTATTATATTTACCTGGCAAAATTATTGAAACCATAGACTTAGAAGGCACCAGCACATAAACATAATAAAATGACTACTCTACTCATTTCTTGGTCATAAAACCAAAGTGTGAAAGCCTTTGATATTTCTGACTACACTGTGTTCTTCAAACTCAAGGAAGAACAAGAACAAACAAGTCATTTCCCCAAAAGGTAATAATAACAGGTCCGAAAAAGAGGAGTACTATTATTATCACAAATTTATATATATAACACAAATACAATAATTTTTAATTTTCAAAACCGAACTCACACAAATTGGTAAGAGCAGAAACATGTCTAAGGATCATGGAAGAAAACAATTCAACTACATTTCATCACAAGATTGGCCAAACGCTAGAAATCTGATTATGTGAATTTACAATTAGTCTCTGAATTTTGGGCCTTATGAAATCATAATTTGTGGAATATCCAAAGACTTTTCATCACTTACTAACACTGTCACCTACTTCTAACTAGTCAAATACGGGCAGGTGCTACAATCAACTCTACAGAGTGGAATGCATTCAAATTTAAGATTACCTAAAATATGGCTTGGCATTATCAGCATAGCTCACATGCACTGTCTAAACCTCTAAGCCTACTTGGGGAAAAAAAAAAAAAAAAAAAAAAAAAAAAACAGGTATGTTTGAAGACACTGTAATCTACCTTCGATTTAAATAAGTAATCAATAATAATTGTTAGGCAGTCATAATGTAGCATGAGCTGCTGGCGGGTTTCAGTTGCCACTTTAGGAGAACAGGTTGGGGCAGGGAGAGAGTGTGTGTTTACCCCAGCATGTACACAAGCATTATTTTATGGTGACAAGGCATGAAAAGGGTCAGAAAATGCTGGTGACTAGGATAAGAGCTATGGCTGCAGAATCACAATGTCTGGGCTCAAATCTTTGTCCCACATTAGGCAGTGGGAGCTTGGCAGTTCTTTATCGTCTCAAAGCTTCAGTTTGTCCAGCTGGGATAATGATAACAAGTACTTCACAAGATATCCACGAAGAATAAGTAAATGAATGCATATAAATCACTTATTAGAGGACATGGGACATAGGAAGTGCGTGTTAAATGTCGGCTATCACCTCATCATCATCAATACTATCCAAACCACGTTTCAGAGGAAGACAAAATACTAGAAAGTTGATGCTTACTGCTACTAGACTGCTTTGATAAATGCCAGTAATAGAATTCAAATGTCTCTATCCCTGTTATTTGTATACTCATTCCACTGATAACTTTTTATTGCTCCCAAAATAACACTTTATTAACATCTTCATTTCTTCTGGGAATAAGTATGTTAAGAGCACTTGCCTCTTGTTAATTTTCTCATTATCAAATACTTCTTGATTATTTACGACTCTATATTTGGTGTAGGTTCTTTTAAGCTTGAGATGGATATTTATTATTGCCTGCTGAACAGGTCCCAGACGTCATAGTTTCACATGTTGCAACCTCAGAATCATCCTAGATTCTATCTACCTGTATCTTCTTCTAAAATCCAACATCCCTGACTCCTCCATTCCCTCAGTCTTTGCCTCAGTTCAAGCACTTACCACCTCAGATGGCTGTAACTGTCTCCTTACTGATCTCTTTGTCCAGACACTCAATCTATCTAACTCACCCTTCATATTTTCATACAACCACAGGTATTACCTTTGAGGGAACAGGTAGATAGGGAGGGTTGGGAGACATGTGATCACATCATTTTGCTGCATGAAAACCAGCCTCCAAGCTACTATTAAAAGAGGCTTAAAGAAAATCAACAATCACAATGAATAAACTTTAGATTTTGATTCAAATAAATAAGCTGTTAAAAAAAAAGGACAAAAACTTTGAATATTTTCATGATATTAAAGAGTTATTTTTAAAGACTTGATAATCTTGTGTTTAAGGTTTGTTAAAGTCACTATCTTTTAGAGATACATATCATAATAATTATGGATGAACTGTGCTGTCTGGGATTTACTTCAAAATCATCCAGTTGGAGCTGGGAGGGGAGAGTAAGAAATGAAAACACAATTGGCCATGGGTTTGCCATGTTGGACAATGAGTATTTGGGGGTCTGTGATACCACTGTGTCAAATATTGTGTCTGAAATTTTCCATAACATGTTATTTAGGAGGGAAAAAAATCTCCTGAAGAACCCAGGACCTGATCTGCCTGAAGGATCCAAGTCGTTTTCTGAACAACACGTTCTTGACCAAGTATGACTGTAGACTGCGTCTTCTCCTGACTTACCACCCTGACCCACACCACAGGCCAGTCACACTAAACTTGCTATGATGTTCAAAACATCAGGCCAGGCCCCGTCACCTCTCTGCGTCCCAGCACATACTGTTCCTTCTGCCTAAAAAGTGTCTGCAGCCTCCGGGACACATCTTTGAGACCTGGTTCCACAGCCCCTTTGCTGAGGCTCTCCTCATTTCCTTCACACGCTCCCTTGTGCTTCTTCCACCCTTGGAACATAGCCACATTCTCACAATTATTTTGCTTTGTTTGTTTCTGTTGTTGTTGTTTTCCTTGTATTCTATTTCTACCTTCCTCAACAGATTATGAACTCCTTAAAGGCAGAAGCTGGGACTTATTTATTTGAATAAATATTCCCTATAATAAGTCTAGAAGGTAGAAAGTAAGTGCTTTGAAAACCAGTCAACAAAACAACAGTCATGGCAAACATTATTGAAACAAAATGTCTAATAAATCATAATTTATGTTAATATGCCAATATTTATCTACTATATATTCTTTAAGAATACGCTGTCTTTTCTTAAGGAATATGTTGCACATCTTGAAAAGAATATTAATATTATCGAAAGATGCAATTATACCCAAAGACATGGGGGCAGCTTATTTTCCTGTTTCTGAAAGAACTATAAACTAAAATATGGCCTTTATGCTATCTTCACATTTCATCTGGTGTGGCTGTGGGAATATATGTTTTGTTCCATTAGAAAAACTGTATATTATTTCTTATTTCATAATAAAAATGTCAAAATACTCTACAATATGAAATAGTATCTTTGACCCACATGTGAGAGATACAAATATAGACACAAATGTGAACTTATCAGGAAAGAACTGTAAACTTTTATTTTATGACAGGAAACAGATAAAATGTTTCCCATTTCTCAACTAAGAAAAATAAGTTAGTGCTGACTTAGCCAGCTGTTACTAATACTCCTTTGATACTTTAAGAAAATTTAGTCACTGGATTAGATACATTGTACAAACAAAAAGGAAACACCTACTAGTATAAAACTTCATTTGCTTCGTGTCTCTCATATCTCACAGTTTCACACATTAACCTGTAAAAGAGATAAAAACATGAGTTCAACATCTGTCACTAAAAAACAGACTGGTATTTTAAACCCTTAAATGACACATACAGTCTAGAAAATTGATTATTTTATATGGTTTGTCACAATCATTTATTAGCCTCAAGATGAATATTTTTAATACCTGGGTTAATAAAATTACATTACATTAAATCTGGTAAAAGTATGCTAGAAAAGAAAATATCTAGTAAGATGTCAACTTCACCATGTTTATTTTATGGGGAAGAACATTGTGTGTATTTTCTATTTTGTAAATGGCATGTGGACAAATTAATGTTCCCCAAGATAAATAAAAACTGAGAAGGAACCTAAAAGTTTAAAAGGAAAACCTATTGATTTTAAAAGTGATAACATCATTCACTCATTCACGGCTCAACAAGAATGTTACTCCACATTATGGAATTTCAGATAAAAGTAGGCTCTAAGGCTCTAATTAACTTGATATTTTTATGACCACTGACTAACTGGAGGCTTTAGAACTTTAAAGATTTGTTACTTCAGCTGATTCATCCCAGAGTTTTTGAAAAAATTACGAAATTATAAAAATTATGAAAAACATGAATAATTTTTAAATATTCAAAATTACCCTGAGAATAGCATCTTCAAGAAGCATCCTATTATATTAAGTCAATTACATTTTTCCCAAAATACAGAAATGCAAATCAGAGAATTACTATTCCATCTTATGAAGGAACTAGAAATAGAAAAAGCTGGCTATTAAAAGTGTTTATTTCAACAGCACCTCCATTTTGGTCATTCGGGCTACCATTCTCCAACCTGTGAAACACTAGAATCACCCCACATCCATCTTTCTTTCCTCGGTTTGCTAAATCAAAGAAACAGCTCTCTTTGGTACTTTTTTTCCTTGTTCTTCGCGTTCCCACCACCGTACTTTAGAGGTCCTTAACCTCAATCCCTTCCTGGAAACATTGCAGCTGATTCTCACTTAACTCCAGGAGGCAGCAGTGAGTCTTGAATACATCTTACTAAGCATACATTCCTCTTCAATGAGTTGCCAAGTTGAATAACAATTTTTCATAGGAAAAGATGGTAGCCAAAAGCATTAAGTCTAAAAATATCTGGTCTTAAACTAGATAATGGGCTCTGCCTTGTTTCCTGTTGGAATAGAAGGGTTCTTGCCTCGGCCTCTTTACTTCCACCCCAAATCTCATTCCTGCTTCCACGGAAGACCCTGCACTCCTGTGTAAGACCCCGTGCTCCTGCAAGCTTACCTCCTTCTCCATGTTCCTCTCTACTGAATCACGTCCTCTAATATGTAACATAACTCAAGATATCACCTATCGTGTGGGCGGAACTCCTCTCTTGACCTCACATCTCCTTCCAGCTATTATCTATATTTTGCTTTTTTCCCATCACAGAAAATCTTTTAGAGTTGTCTATATAGTATTATTATTATCATTATTATTATTTTGAGATGGAGTCTCACTCTGTCACCAGGCTGGAGTGCCATGGCGCGATCTCAGCTCACTGCAACCTCCACCTCCCGGGTTCAAGCAATTCTCCTGCCTCAGCCTCCCAAGTGGCTGGGACTATCGTTGCGCGCCACCACGCCCAGCTAATTTTTGTATTTTTAGTAGAGACAGGGTTTCCTCATGTTGGCCAGTATGGTCTCGATCTTGTGACCTCGTGATCCGTCCACCTTGGCCTCCCACAGTGCTGGGATTACAGGCATTAGCCATCGCGCCCGGCCTGAGTTGTCTATATATTCTATCTCTATTTTCTCACCCCTTTCCCCACTCCTCCATCATTTGGTCCCTAAAACTCCAAAGAAAAAGCTCTAAAAATAATCAGCATCCAACTTGTTATCAGAATCCTACCTGTCCTTAGCAATTCCACTACTCTGCAGTATTTGATTACTCCTTTTTCCTCACAGCATTATTTCCTTTCAGCAACCTGTCCTTGGTCTTCTGCTTTTCCAGCTTAACTTACTAGTCATTTTTTTTTTCTGTCTCTTTTGGATGCTCCCCAACTTCATCCTCTACCTGACTTCTAAATGTTATCATCTCCAGGGTCCTGTCCTTAGCCCTCTTCTCTATGCTCCAGTAATCTCACCCAGTTCATGATTTTAATCTATACACTGATGACTTCCAAAGCAATGCCCCAGACCTGATCTCTCATCACGGCAGCCACTCATTTAAATGCCTACTCAGTGCTGCCACTTGAATATGTAACAGCCACCTCATGCTTACAATATCTAAGACAGAATATGAATTTCTCCCCCAAAATATGCTTTCCCAGAATTAGTACCCTGATATGGTTTGGCTGTATCTCCACCCAAATCTTATCTTGAATTGCAGTTCCCATAATCCCCACATGTCATGAGAGGGATCAGTGGTGATAACTGAATTATGGGGCTGGTTCCCCCAGTCCTGTTCTGGTGTTAGTGAGTTCTTAAATGATCTGATGGTTTTATAAGGGGCTTCCCCCTTCGCTGGGCACTCATTCTTCTCTCTCCTGCCACTTGTGAAAAAAGATGTGTTTGCTTCCCCTTCTGCCATGATTGTAAGTTTTCTGAGGCCTCCCCAGCCATGCGGAACTATGAGTCAATTAAACTTCTTTCCTTTATAAATTACCCAGTCTCGGGTATGGCCTTATAGTGAGAACAGACTAATACAGTAACAACCTTAGAGTCATCATTCCTGACTTCTCTCTTTTCTTCACATACATCTTTCCGCCATCACCTGTTTCCAAAATACATCCTCCAGAACTGACCAAATTCACCATCTCTCCTGTTAAATCTAGCATGAGCTATCATTATCCCACCATTATCCCTTACCAAGACCACAAGTACAGAGACTTCTGCTTCCACCTTTACATGCCTATTGTCCATTCCCCACAAGGCCCCACAAAGCTTCCAGAGATCTTTCCAACCACTAAGTCAGATGATCTCACAGCTCCACTCTAATCTCCACAACCTCTAAAAGAAAATCCAAACTCCTATGCTATTTGCTATACTTCTACACTGTTATATTTTACTTACTTACTGTGCCTTACTATACCGTGGACCCTGCCTTTCCCTGCACCAAGCCTGTGCCCATGACAGAGCATCTGGGGCACCTCTACACTGAAGAAATCTTTGCAGGCTGTCCTGACTCTAATGTCACCCCTCCTTTTGACTCCAAAGCCAGAGCTGTCTAGCACCCATCCTCATCATGTCCAGCATACTAAATAAAGTAACATTGATCCAAATATCAATCTTTTCTGCTCCACTAGGAACCTCAGTTCCGTGATGTCAGGGGTTTGATTTACTTCAATGCAGTATCTCCAGAGCCTACATCAATATCAAGTACACAGTAAGTATACAATCAATTGATAACTGTTTATAAAATAAATTTAAACAGTGCTATCAGAAAGTCATGATAAAATCTCTTATATGAAAATGTCATAAATGGAGGAATCAAGTACCAAAATGCTTTTTGTCTTTAAACATTGTTAGACAATGTTTTAGCTGAAGCATATTGACCTTCCCTGAGTTCCTATGAGAATAATAACCATAATTCGGTTACTACTCAAAGATCTAAAGGCGCCTATATAGTAACAATTACACTCATCCATGATGCTGCAGAAAATATGTATTATTTTATTTCAGCAGGCTCTTGTTTCCAAAACTGAATAGCCCCAATTACTCTACTTTTTTAAACAGATTTTTGGTCTCTGCTCCCAATTACAGCATACTCTTCCCCGCTGGCAAATATGCTGCTTCTTGCCTATATAAACTAAACGGATAAAACATTAGAAAAATAGTTAAAATGATGAAGAAACATAGTTTTTAGTGAAGATCTGAAAAACCTTTACATTGCACAGTGTGTGATCTTACAGCAACACAGTAATGTCTACTTTAACTGCTCTGTAACAATGCAGGGAAGCTTTCAAATAAATAAAAGCCACTTCCACTCCCCCACAGGAGAACACGAATGTTGCTGCTCTACTGCCCAATACTTAACAGACTGAAAATCTTGATTATGAGCACTTATTTCCTAAAATTGTAAAACTGTGTCATGTGGAAGTCTTAACTGACTGCTCTCTATTATTCCCAGGGTATAAAATTAAAGGAAAATAATTTATCTAAAGGAGATATATTTTTCCCAGAAATTGTAGTATTATAAAGCAGTTTAAGTTGTTGGGTTTATCTGTACCTCTATTTTTGTTATTATGTATGTGGTATCCTGATCTTGTTCTAAAAAAGAACTTAAATTAGTTTAAGGTGATGTTTTCCATTAATATGACTTCAACACAAGCATAAGATAAACATCTCACAGGCTCCGCCCTGTAGGTTCATGCCAACAAACACATCTGTGTAGGCTCCAAAATAGACATTCTAAGGTGTAAATAGACTCAACTATACCCTTGAACTTATTATTTATAACCAAAATTACTTCTGCAGCTGCAGAAAGTTGACAGTTCTGAAACTGGCTGATGGGTGTATGGAACTTCATTAGTATTTTTATACCTTTTCTTTTTTTTCTTTTCTTTTTTTTTTTTTTTGAGATGTAGTCTCATTCTGTTGCCCAGGCTGGAGTGCGGTGGTGCGATTTCTGCTCACTGCAACCTCTGCCTCCCAGGTTCAAGCGACTCTCCTACCTCAGCTTCCACAGCAGCTGGGATTATAAGCGTTTGCCAACACGCCCCGCTAATTTTTGTATTTTTAGTAGAGATGGGGTTTCACCACGTTGGCCAGGCTAGTGTTGAACTCCTGACCTCAAGTGATCCACCCACCTCGGCCACCCAAAGAGCTGGGATTACAGGCATGAGCCACCACGCCCAGCCTATTTATACTTTTGTCATCCAGAAAATTTCTGTAAGTATAAAAAATCCTTTTTCTATTGCATAGAATTCCTATTATCTAAATAAAATGCATTATATAATCAATATATCTAAATATTACATGTGTGGTTTTATGTGCACAGTGGGAATGTGACATTTGTATTTACATATTAATTAGTTGCATTTCCATTTATGAATTAACCGCACGCAATTAAATAATTGTTAGTACAATTTTTTCTTAGCAAAGTTGTCGTCACAAAATATAAAATGAAAGTTACACACTTTAAAAATTATTCTTGCTCTAATTTGAGCCATCTTCTAAAATCCCAGTGGTTTTGCCCTTTCTAATAAAACTTGACTTAATTTTTAAACACTTAATCTACAATCTACTTTAATTTAAATGACTTTCATTAAAAATTTAATTTTAGAAGTACTCAATCCTCTTGATATTCTTTTCAATTAACTAAATATGGAATTGACATGCTCACAAATTAATTAGTGTTGAAAGAGTAAAGGGGAAATATATGGAAAAAGCATTCCTTTCATAATTAAAACCCGCTGGCATCAAAAATAGCTAGACCTGGAAAAAACAAGACTTTCCCATTATGTCCTAGTTGGTGTTTATATATTATCCATCTTCCTAAGGTCCTTTATTTTATATCCCACTTAAGGTAAAATCATTTTTGTTCTTTAATATGAAGCCCAGATAAACATAAATATAGTTGCTGTATTACTGTACAACAGAAGTGATGAGATTTCTATATGGGCAGATCTCATAAAAACAAATATAGTATAAACTGTGTTTCTCTGAAAAAGGTAGTCTACTTAATGCAATAAAATATTCAAACAAAGATATACAACATACTAAAATAATGGACCTAGTAATTCTTTAAATGATTAATTTAAAAGGTTCTGGTTTCTAATATATCTGAATGCTAAGTAGTAGGTTTTTATTTGCCAAGATGGCAAATATTGCCCCTATTGATATATTCACCAAGTGGCATTTACTACTTTTGGTGAGAAGTGAGAGAGGAAGGGAGGGAAGTGGAGGGGGATGGGGAGAGACAGAGAAAAAAAAGGGGAGGAGGAAGAAGAAAGAGACAGAGACAGACCCTGGGGTGGAAATGGAAGAATATAACTATGACAGAAATGTCAAAATATTATTCTCTTACTGGATACAATTGAATTCAACTTTGTAAAAGTAAAACTTAATTAAGTATATATTATTAGTGTAAGTTTAAGCTCCTTAGTATAGGACCTAGATGAAGCAGACTTTTCATGAATAAGATTCCTTTAAGCCTACTTGTTGACTACAGTAAGTGATCTATAAAATTCTAGCATTCTAGGTAGGAGAAATAAGTCCTGGTGTTCTATAGCACTATAGGGTAATATCATTAACAACAATTTGTGGTGTATTTTCAAATAGCTCAAAGAGTGGATTTCAAATGCTATAACACAAAGAAATGATAAACGTTTGAAGTGATGGACATGCTAATAATCCCCATTTGATCACAATACATTGTATACATGTATTAAAATATCAGAATGTACCCCACGAATATGTACAATTATTATGTCAAGTAA
This sequence comes from Homo sapiens, assembly GCF_000001405.40. Classification (NCBI taxonomy): domain Eukaryota; kingdom Metazoa; phylum Chordata; class Mammalia; order Primates; family Hominidae; genus Homo; species Homo sapiens. The sequence goes on along the minus strand of NC_000004.12, from coordinate 159,186,800 downwards.
GAATAAAAGTAAAAAATTAAAATGTTAAATTGTTACATGCTTCAAATTTTTACCATTCTATGATTAACTGAATATTAAAATGACATACCTAAGTTGATGCTCCCTCAAGTTTGATAAGGCTTCCATACCATGTAAATAGGAATATACTATTTCCAGATCCTGTTTCAAAGAAAAGAATAGAAATTATTAGACCTGTCAGGAAAAGGGGTTTCTAAAATAAGTCACACTGTATCTACAAACCAAATTAAACTATGGATAGCTTTTTTAAAAATACATGTTTTCTTAAGACAGTAAAAATAAACATTATTAAAAGCTCAGTTGTACAAATGTCATCCATTACAACTGCTTCTGGGATATGCACTAAACCTACTAAAATATAAAATAAAATGATTAACTTATAAAAATAAATTCCTCATAAATCGTTCTTTATCACCTGTTTCTGCCTTTTACATCAAAATAGCAAGTACAAAGTTTTAATTTCACAGTATATTTGTCAATACCATAGTTAAATCAAATTATTTTCTTAGTCAATATAAAATGAATGCTTGTTATTTCCTGGCTACACTTAAAAATGGATATAAATTCAATTTTTTTCAATTCTTACCAAAATTACATCTTATATAGAAATATTTTCTTATATAGAAATACTTAAGTTTAAATATTTTCTTTTAAAAAAGAAAACGTGCCTTGTTTTACCAGATCACATTGCAGTAAATAGAAAAAAAAAGACTCAAAGTTATTTATGAAAGTTCAGAAGAAGTAAAAATTCAAAGTCCTGTTTATATTCATTTGTGACAAGCCAGAAAGGATTTAGTATTTTAAGACTCTAATATCTAGGAGTCTAGGATTACACATAGTTTCTGACATCAAGAATATGAGGGATATTTACTCCTCTCTTAAACCTTAGTCAAAATCTACAACAGATCTATTTTAAGAAATTTGTAAAATAATCCTCTCCTTTTCAAAGTGTTAACAGCTTTATTTACTGATGATTCACATACTATAAAATGTATCCCTTTAAAGTGAACAATTCAGTGGTTTTGTTGTACAATCTATCTCACTAATTTCAGAACATTTTCACCAACCCAAAAAAACAACTCCATACTCATTAGCAGTCATTCTCCATTCCCCCTTACTCTAAGCTCCTGACAACCACTAAACTACTTTCTGTTTCTATGAGTTTGCCTATTCTGGACATTTCGTGTAAATGAAATCCCACAGTGGAATATATGATCTTTGGGGACAACTTCCTTCACTTAGCACAATGTTTTCAAGGTTTATCCATGTTTTAGCATGTATCAGTACTTTCCTTTTTATTGCCAAATATTATTTCATTGTAGATATATACTACATTTCATTTGCCCATTTATCAATTGATGGACATTTAGGATCTTCCCTCTTTTTGGCTATTATGAATAATGCTGCTACAAACTCATGCGTAAGTTCTTGTTTGAACACCATTTTGAATTCTCACGGGTATACACCTAGAAGTGAAGCTGCTGGTTCACGTGGTAACTCTATGTTTGACTCTTTAAGGACCTGCCAAACTGCTTTCCTAAGTCACTGCAACCATTTTATAATCCCACAGGTAATGTATGAGGATTCCAAGCTCTCTATATCCTTACCAAAGCTTGTTACTGTCTCTCTTTTTATTTTAATCATCTTACTAAGTGTGTAATAGTATTGACTTGCATTTCCCCAATGATTAAGGATGTTGAGCGTCTTTTCATGTGCTTTTTTGTCCACTTATATAACTTCTTGGATAAGTGTCTATTCAAATCCTTTGTTCGAAGAAATGGGGAAAGGATTCCCTATTTAATAAATGGTGCTGGGGAAACTGGCTAGCCATATGTAGAAAGGTAAAACTGGATCCCTTCCTTATACAAAATTTAATTCAAGATGGATTAAAGACTTAAATGTTAGACCTAAAACCATAAAAACCCTAGAAGAAAACCTAGGCAATACCATTCAGGACATAGGCATGGGCAAGGACTTCATGACTAAAACACCAAAAGCAATGGCAACAAAAGCCAGAATTGACAAATGGGATCTAATTAAACTAAAGAGCTTCTGCACAGCAAAAGAAACTACCATCAGAGTAAATAGGCAACCTACAGAACGGGAGAAAATTTTTGCAACCTACTCATCCGACAAAGGGCTAATATCCAGAATCTACAAAGAACTTAAACAAATTTACAAGAAAAAAATCAAATAACCCCATTAAAAGTGGGCAAAGGATATGAACAGACACTTCTCAAAAGAAGACATTTAGGCAGCCAACAGACAAATGAAAAAATGCTCATCATCACTGGCCATCAGAGAAATGCAAATCAAAACCACAATGAGATACCATCTCACACCAGTTAGAATGGTGATCATTAAAAAGTCAGGAAACAACAGGTGCTGGAGAGGATGTGGAGAAACAGGAACACTTTTACACTGTTGGTGGGACTCTAAACTAGTTCAACGATTGTGGAAGACAGTGTGGCGATTCCTCAAGGATCTATAACTAGAAATACCATTTGACCCAGCCACTCCATTACTGGGTATATACCCAAAGGATTATAAATCATGCTGCTATAAAGACACATGCACACATATGTTTATTGCGGCACTATTCACAATAGCAAAGACTTGGAACCAACCCAGATGTCCATCAATGATAGACTGGATTAAGAAAATGTGGCACATACACACCATGGAATAATATGCAGCCATAAAAAAGGATGAGTTCATGTCCTTTGTAGGGACACAGATGAAGCTGGAAACCATCATTCTCAGCAAACTATCACAAGGACAGAAAACCAAACACCACACGTTCTCACTCACAGGTGGGAACTGAACAATGAGAACACTTGGACACAGGGTGGGGAACATCACACACCAGAGCCTGTCATGGGGTGAGAGGAGGGGGGAGGGATAGCATTAGGAGATATACCTAATGTAAATGACGAGTTAATGGGTGCAGCACACCAACATGGCACATGTATACACATGTAACAAACCTGCATGTTGTGCACATGTACCCTAGAACTTAAAGTATAATAAAAAAAATTCTTTGTTCATATTTTAATTGGTTTATCTGTCTTTTTATCATTAAATTGTAACCGTCCTTTATACATTCTGGATAGAAGGTCCTTATTCAGATGTGTAATTTGTAAATATCTTCTCCCATTCCATGGACCATCTTTTTTACTTCCTTGATGGTGTCCTTTGAAGCACAAAATATTAATTTTGAAGTCCAATTTATTTTCTTTTGTTGCATGAGCTTTTAGAGTAATATTTAAGAAACCATTACCTAATCCAAGATCCCAATGATTTACTACTATATTTTCTTCTAAAAGTTGTATGGTTTTAGCTCTTACATTGAGGTCTGTGATCCATTTTAATTTTTGTATACAGTGTGAAGTAGGGGTCCAACATTATTTTCACATGTGCATATCAGTTGTCCTGGAACCCTCTGTTGGAAAGACTATTCTTTACCACATTGAACTGTAATGGTATGCTCACTGAAAAATCAATTGACCATATAAAAGGGTTTCTTTCTGGACTCTCAACTCTATTCCACTGGTTTGTCTATCCTTATGCCTGTATCACGCTGTCTTGAGTAGGCAGCTTTGGTAGTTAAGTTTTGAAACTGTGAATTGTGAGTGTTCCAGCCTTGTTCTACCTTTCACAAGAGATTTTTCTGGCTCTTTTAGGTGCCTTGCATTTTCAATCTTAATTTTTTTGATTAGCTTGTCGGTATATGCAAATAAGCCAGTTGGGATTTTAGTAGGGTTGCATTGAATCTGCAGACCAATCCGAGTAGTATTGCCATCTTAAAAATATTAAGTCTCCTGATCCATAACATGTGATGTCTATACATTTATTTAGGTCTTCTGTGATTTCTTTTAACATTGTTTTTGTCTTTTCAGTGTACAGACCATACTCTCTTGGTTAAATTTTAATCCTTTTAATTAAGAAAAAAAACTTTTTGTAGCCTGAGAACACTTATGAACAATTACAACTGTGTGTGCAACTAAATCTTATATAAGGACACAGATGACAATAATTCACAGAATAACTAGATAAGGAATTAGAAACCTTTTAAAGAAAGTACTAAGGCTGGGCACAGTGGCTCACGCCTGTAATCCCAGCATTTTGGGAAGCCGAGGTAGACAGACCATTTGAGGTTAGGAGTTCGAGACCAGCCTGGCCAAGATGGTGAAACCCCATCTCTGCTGAAAATACAAAAATTTGCTGGGTGTTGTGGCATATGCCTGTAATCCCAGCTACTTGGGAGGCTAAGGCAGAAGAATCGCTTGAACCCAGGAGAAGGAGGTTGCAGTGAGCCGAGATTGTACCACTGCACTCCTGCCTGGGCAACAGAGTGAGACTCTGTATCAAAAAAAAAAAAAAAAAAAAAAAAAAAGAAGAAAAGAAAATACTAGGAAGCTTTTCAGTCTAAAATATTTTAGACTATTTTACTCCTTAAAACAATGTTATGGTATGTTAAGACATGATTTATAATTTTAAGTCATTCCAATTTAAAATTTATCAGTATTAGGGACTTAAAATGTCACCGTCATATAGACAACTTTCAAATAAACTGATTGCCTCTCATTTTATCCATCTGTACTCCGATATTTCCAAGAAGCCTTTTAAAAGCTATTTAAAGATGGAAATGTAAAAACAGGTCCCATAAGTTCAATACCAATAAGAAAATTAAAACAAAATTGTTTCCCCTATCCAGTTAACAAAGTGTACATTCCTAAATCTAATAAACCCCTCCTTTAGAAAAGCAATCAGGCTCCAATCATAATGTTCTATTTGCATTCAAGGAAAGCCAATAAAAATGTCCCAATGAAACATTTATAATAAAAGATCCTTCTGGATAATCCTAAAGTTCACCATTCTTGTTTAAATATGAATTTGTATGTTACTTGAAGTTGTTAAATAGTACAGAATGACTGTATTCCCGGCCAGGCATGGTGGCTCACACACCTGTAATCCCAGCACTCTGGGAGGCCGAGGCGGGTGGATGACCTGAGGTCAGGAGATCGAGACCACCCTGGCCAACATGGTGAAACCCCGTCTCTACTAAAAATACAAAAAATTAGCCAGGCGTGGTGATGCATGCCTGTAGTTCCAGCTACTCAGGAGGCTGAGGCTGAGATTGTGCCACTGCACTCCAGCCTGGCAACAGAGCGAGACCCCATCTCAAAAAAAAAAAAAAAAAAAAAGACTGTCTTCCCATTTCTGAGGAGCTTATATTCTGACAATGTAAGGCTAATATTAAAGTCTTACATTGTTTTCACTAAATTACCTGTCAACCTGTCATAATCTGCCCAAGGCCTAAAACTGATTTTATCTAAGCAAAAAGACTATTTGCATTCATTTAACCATCAAGCAAATAAATTCACACTGACCAGAAAAGTGTATCTGGAAAAGTATTAGAAAAAAATAAATAAAATTTTTAAAAGCTATGTCAGGAAAGGATGGAGAAGTCTAAGAGACACAGTAGAAGCAAGAATTTGGAAGCCTCAAGACAGAATCAAAGAACGGCCTTAAGGCCTTAAAATAGAACAAAAGGCCTTGAAATAATCAAGTTTCTACGCCTTCAACTAACCCAAGAAAAATCAAAGATAAAAAGCTAGCTCACTGATCAAGTGGCACTTTATTAATCTGTTGCTTTTCAACATTACGGTGTTTCACAGTTGTATAAGGGCCACGCTCTTATACAAATTACGTCATACACATTATGTGTGTTAGTATGATATACATGGATTTAACAATTTTGAATATGAATGTATACTTTGAATAATAACCATTATTTCTTTATCTTAATTATAACATACAAATTAAATAAGATTGTTGATTAGTTAATAAAAATGTAAAGAATGGAATATTATCACCTATAATTCACTGACATAAGTAAATCAATCAGGAAATTGTTACTGAGCCTGTATCATAAAACTGGGAAATAGACATTACACCTTACTGCATGAACAAACTTAAAAAGCAGTTTTTCTTTCTATATGTACCTGCATAAATAAAACATTCATATCCATATAATCATGATTTTTAGGGGGTACTTTCAAACGTGTCATTATTCAAGCAGTATACAACCAGAAAACCCTGTGTAGTAACTGCTTCATTTTGTATTTTATATATCAAACCAGACTATAAACTTCTTAAATAAATTCAATTACATTCAGGGTTTCTTCTATTGCTCTTACAGTACATCATCCCACATGAAACTTGTTTTAAACGGTCTGTGCCACAAGGAGCCTATAAACTAGGGGAAAAGACTACATTATTCTGCTATTATAGATGCAGTTAGGTGGCTTTACAGATAGACTCCATGTAAACTTGAGACTTCTTAGTTGTATTAACAGGAGTGGCAGGCAACACATAAGTAATGTTTCACTACGTAATATGAACTTGACCAACGTGGATTTGGGTATGTAGGAAAAAAAAGAGAAACTATGGCAAAGACATCAAGAAATCTCTGCTCTCAGACCCCGAAAAATGAAAGAAAGTTTACTAGAGATAAGCAAAAGACATGCAAATTAAAGGAAGAAGCAATCTGTGTTTAAGCTTTTCTTCAATCAGGAGGTCAGCAGCCAAATATTAGTTACCACAGATCGCATAAACAACAAAAAGGAAAACGGAAGACAAGTTTTCTTATCCTTTCCTAAAAGCAAGCGGGACTAAGCAATGTCTTGAAATAGGCACACATTGCCTTTCATTTCTAATCTTCCTATCAATTTTTTCTACCTTCTCACCAGGTGTCGAGACCTCACATTACCCAAGCCCCATATCGGCTCACTATGCCCTGGTCTAAGAATTAAAGGCAGGCAATCTGAACACATTCAATAGGAACCCTTAAAACTTGCACATGAACTGTCTGTCGGCATTTGTACTTCCATAGTCCAAACAAACCTCTAAGTGGTATGAGATTTCAGGCAGCACAACCAAGAGAAATGAAATCTACCAGGAGTTGTAAGGGAGGAGATTTAGGGCATGAAAGGCCACTGCAAAACAATCCAGCTCTGCCCTGCCCAGGAGCTACCCCCACTCCTTTCCTGCCCATAGTGGTCACTCCTATTTCTCCTCCTTCACTTCTCACACAGAAGTTTCAACCTTCATTTCCCCTTAGTTGTTGGCTTTTCTTAAAATAATTAGTTGGCATGGAATTGCCTCTACCAGCAAAAAAACAGAAAGGCAAGTGAGTAAGAATGGGGTGCTGAGAAGTCCCGCTCCTCAAACCAACCTGAAATGTGCAACCATTAGTGAAAACTAAATATGTAGCATCACAGAGCAAGACTTTTCTCTTAAGATGCACAAAGAAATGTATGGCCTTCAGGGAGTTACACTTTTAGATTCTTTTTTTCTCTATGCAAACAAGAAACATTCATAGAAGGAAATTTCAACCAACAACTATAGAAAAATAATGCTGGAGAGTTAAATTACCTAGAGTGTCTCAATTTCCATTTTGGTCAAAAAACTATGACACACAAACTGAAAAATTTCTAACCTTCCCAACTGCACTTCCCAAGACAAATGAAATTCACATGACTACTACTATTTTAAAGGACTCTGAAAAAAAAGTAAGCTATTTTTTCCCCCAAATTCTCTAGTCATTGAGCACAAACAGGAACATGTTGCTTTAACCAGGAAGCAGCATTTTTTAGAACAATAAGTCTTTCGTTTTACCCTAGGAAGGACATCCTTTTTTCAAAATAGATGCTACTTGAAAGTAGACTGAAGTTATAAAACCATGGTAGCACATTGGACAAAGATATTGATAAACCAATAAAGCTTTCCCTTTTTTTGTCCCAAATGTAAACCAGATTCAAAACCCAAAAGCATCCTTTAAGTACTTTAGGGGGGTGATTGTTCACAACCTATCCAAGTCAATCCTCTTGCTCAAAGTCTGTTAACATAATACATGCTAGGTCAGGCGTGGTGGCTCACGCCTGTAATCCCAGCACTTTGGGAAGCCGAGGCGGGTGAATTGCCTGAGGTCAGGAGCTCAAGACCAGCCTGGCTAACATGGAGAAACCCCCGTCTCTACTAAAAATACAAAAACTAGCCGGGCGTGGTAGTGTGCACCTGTAAGCCCAGCTACTTGGGGGGCTGAGGCAGGAGAATCGCTTGAACCCGGGAGGTGGAGGTTGCAGTGAGCTAAAATCGCGCGGCAGCACTCAAGCCTGGGTGACAGAGCGAGACTCCGTCTCAAAAAAAAAAAAAAAAAAAAAAAAGCATAATACATGCTAATGGGAAAGAAGTCAGAGGGAGAGTACCCCACATCCTGGGCTCTCTAATTTCTCCTTAGAGACTCATTCAGAATATATAACGGGCTTCATAGCAAACTTACAATTCACTTACAACTAGCTTTTAGTTTCATTTGTTTGCAGCATCAAGATCTCACTAACAATGTACAGTATGTCGTAATATGATCTTTGGAGAACTGAGAGCAGATTAATATTTCTCCACCTCCTCTCCTGACTGCCTGCCCATACCATATGCTGGTGCAATCCCTCCTATCCTGTATAGACTCTTTGCTGCTTGTACACAACAAAAAATAATGGGGTGGGGGGATTATGTTCCACTGCAGCATGAGAAAAAAGACATATCTTTTTCCTTTAAAAGGGGTTTTGTTTCATATATGAACCTACATATTTAACTGTATTTGGAAGTGGATTGATTCCTTTAAAAAGTCTTTCTTAATGGTCAAGGAAACTGAGGCCAAGACTGTGTCATAATTAGCAGGCCTATGGAGGTTGAGGCCTAAGTGGTAAATGTCTATGGACTTAAACATAAGGAGGAAGAGAAAGGAGCATCTTGCTTAAAGCGACACTGGTCACAGGACCAGAACTGTCCTGATGCCAACATATTCTTCCTTGTTGATCCATCAGAGAGAGGAACTTGGAAAGATAAAAATGAAATTTATCCTTTTGGGCAAAAGATCACTAGCAATGAATTAGAGAGTTACGTCTTGAACATTATTAATAACGGGGTTAAAAGCTAGATTATCCAATGCTCAAATTCACATCTATACCCAAATGGTGAAGGGGCAGAAAAGGGGAAGTTCTGCAAGTTTCATTATGTTTATTGATACGGTATGGTTAAGTGGATATGCTATGGTTAAGCTGCAGTGTTTTATTTAGGAGATCTCAAATACTTCTACACTAAAACATACAAAAGAGCTATCCTAAGAAGGAGAGAGATGTAATAAAAGGAATACAAGCTTTGGAGTCAGATGGGCAGAGTTCAAATCCTGATCCCCACCACTCCCTAGCTGTGTGACCCTGGGTTTGTTAGTGAGACCATATTTGCAAAAGACGGTGAATAATATCTATGCAACTAGGCTGTGTGGCTGAAATTACACATAGTTTCAGTACTGATAGTTTCATGGCAAAATCAGATCCTGGAAAAAAAGGTGATTGAGTTCACTGCCAATGAGATCTGAATAAAAGCACAAGTAATCCTAAGAATATAAAATTTAAAATATTCCTGAGACACTATATATATCAGAATTTTTACAAATTAATGTATCCTTTTATGATGTGTCTGTATGCCAAAAAAAAAAAAAAAAGTTGAATGAATTCTTATAATACTTATAAGGGTCCCTAAATTGTCTGTTTTATAAATCCAGATTTTTATATTAGGTTTAAAGAGAAGTGTACCTGACATATATTTTATCACATCTGTTATAAATATACTTTCCAAATGACATTGGTAAGAAATCTCATATCCTTAAGATTGAGAAAGAGGAGAATGGGGAAATTTTCCAATTTGAAAACAGCCACTTAATTTTTCCTCCAAGAAAGATTGGCTAGGAACATATTTAAGACTGGCAGAGCTGGACAACAAACTGTAAGTATTTTCCTCTCTAATGTAAGTTTACCTTCCATAGCTCAAGACTGTTTTACAACACTTAAAATGAAGTCGTTAAAAAAAATTCTGCATGCATTCCATTAACATTTGGACCTACAGACTTTCTACCTTTAAAACATTCCTTATAATATTTACACTTCACTCTTAACATTGTTTAAAATTACAAGAGGTTTCCCACAAGTTTCAGGTCACATTGGAGTTACTGAAACTGACTTTGAAGACCTAATTTAATTTAGCACCGTTCTTGGATATTTTTTCATCTGTGGATGGTATTAGAAAACAAATTAAAATTTTGTATATATTTTCTTCCAAAATATATCCACACAACTGAAGTATTATTTGAAAAAAACCTGTTATATTGAAGTAATTCAATATAACACATCAGTAGCATATTGTCAGGTTAAACCTTTTTAACATTTTTTTGCAGTATTTCCCAAAATATGCCCCACAGTACCTTGTCCTATACAACATTGTATAGCATATATTTCTGCCAGGTTCACAAACTACATTAAAGTTCATGCAGGAGAGGGACTAATAACTTTACCCACGAATTTCCCAAACAAGGCTAATGCTGTCTTTGAGGTGGGGGCGGAGGGTGCCTGTTACCTCCAGAGCACGTATCTGCTAACACTGTGTCAAGCACACCATGTTCAAACCACCTCGTTCCAAGGCTCCCCACACTGGAATGAAACCCAAACACCAACAACCTCTTGTACCCTTTCCACATGATGACCAGCAGTCTTTGGGTACAGCCTAACACAAAGTCCCTCCAAACACTCTTCCATCCTCCTCTGCTCCAAGACCCCATTTAACACTGGCAGTGAACACTTCCTTTCTGAGCCTCTAAAGTTCTTACCACCTTGACCATTCACATTAGGGCCTTCACATGTGCTCTATGTGGGCACTTTAATAGGTTTGTATTTTATGTCCTCGATCAGAGAAGCACCTTGAACAAAGACACTCGTCTTCTCTTACATCTCTTTCTCAGCTCTGCATCTAGCAACGAACGGTGGATGTGCTGGGTGCAAAGAAAGAAAAGGGCAACATTCCTGCAGGGGTGGTGGTATGCATGATCTTAAGCACTCCCTGAGAACAGGGAGAGAAAGAAATGCAGGAAATGTGTTTTCAATCTGTGTGTTACGGCTTCAGAAAACTCACACCTATACAGGCTGAAATAATTCTGTAAATAACCACAAGGTGGCAGACTGGACCAACCGTCCTTCCTAGAACCCAAAAGCAGTCGCCGGTCTCGCAAGTGAGTCAACACAGAGATGGGGGTTTAAAGCATTCCTGAAGATCATCTTAAAGAATATGATGATTCCTTTCTCTTTATGTCCCTGACGAAAAGGGGCAGGAAGTCGGGAACAAGTCCATCAGCACTCCTATTAAAACTGTTTAACTTCTATCATCCTTAGCAGGGAAATGTTTATTTTAAAACAGCCTCCCCAGATCTTTGTAAAGCACCAGAGCAAATAAAACAAAAATGTCATATCACCAGCCTGCTGAGGTGCTTTGTGCATCCGAGTGACTCATACCCCAGAGTTACATCATCACATACTTTTGAACAATGTAAGAAAAAAAATCCATAGCAGAGTGTATGGTTTTCAAAAAAAAAATTATTATTTTAGAGTTACAATAATTACTTTAACCCTAAATCATATGAAGGCAAAATACTGTTTCTGAACTTACTAATTTACACCCAAAAGAAAAACAATCTCCTAGGATTGTGATTTCATTCAAATTCACATCAAAGCCCAGGAAAACCTGATAATGACATTACTGGTCATTGCTGATAAGGCCCTCGTATATTTCTTCAGCCTCGGATTCCTAAACATTATAAGACACATGTATGGCTTAAACTTTATTAAGACATATGTATGGCTGAGTGCAGCCATATATGTAATCCCCACAAATGGCTTGAGTCCAAGTTTGAAACCAACATGGGAAACACAGTGAGACCCATCTCTATAGAGAAAAAAGAAAACAAAATTAGCCAGGTGTGGTGACGAGCACCTGTGGTCCCAGTTACTGGAGAAGCTGAGGTAGGAGAATCACTTGAGCCCGGGAAGTTAAGGCTACAGTGTGCTGTCACTGTGCCAATGCACTCCATTCTGGGCAACAGAGCAAGACCCTATCTCAAAAAAAAAAAAAAGAAAGAAAGAAAAGACATGTATGAAGAATGCTAGAAGTAAATTATAAAGACTCAAGTCATTCCCTGTTTGTCTAAAACTTCTTCAGGTTTCTTTTCCAGAGGAAAAAAATAAACAAATCAATCAAAAAACTTCCTCAAGTGTTTTCCACTGAAAAAGGCATGCTTTTTTAGACTGAGTTTTTGAACAATTCCTAAACTTGAGACAAAGGTGATTAGTAATTACCTCATTAATTAGCCATAAAAATTACAAAACAGACTTGTAAATTACAACAAAACACTCTTTTATCCCATTCGTCTTCTAATTCAAGTTGGTGTCAGGGAGCCCCAGAGCAGTCAAGTGTCAAGGGACAAGAGCTGAAGAAGGTACCAAGTACTTCATAAATTTTAAGGGACAGATGAAGTATCATCTATAATCTGCATTCTCAAAGAGTTTATCTCTCATTGAAGAAAACACAAGGGTTAAATGATATAGTCACAACAGAAGTCACAGGCAGTTTTTATGATTACCAACTGGGTGTTATGTTTAGCAACCTAAAATGCATACTATGCACCATGTTAATTGTCACGTCCCTGGGAAAAATGATCCCGTAAGCAAGTTTCACTTGTTAAGTTACGATTTTTCATTAGAAGAAGCAACAATTTAGTTTTCACCAAAAACTCATTTTGTTAACAAATAAGAAAAGAGAAAGTGTCCAAAATCAGTTCGCAATTCCTGTTTTCAAGAGTCAGTATAAATATTTCCCCTTCAGAACAATGTATTACACCACCAAGCCTACAGCTTCCCAGAATTGCCATCTCTTAGGCAGCAAAAATACATTTAACAAAAGATATCTTCATTTTAAAAGTATCTTATTTTAATAGACTCTCAGACTGCAATATTTGTAGTCAAATTTTAATTTACATGTGTAGATTAACATACTATATTTGCACTGGTTTTTTCCATCAAAAGTTAGCAGGCTGTGAATGATTACATTTAACATTTAAGTAAAACAACCAAAAACAGAAATCAGCTGCGTATACACACAGAGAACAGAGGCACAGACATACACTCTCTCTCTAATAAAATGATTCCTGAACTATCTTCAATTTCAATTAAAAAATAACATCAACCAAACACCTTCCCCACAAATTCTCCTCTATCAGTAGAGTTAAAACCTTCAGCTTGGTGTTCAATTCATTTCCCAAATACAGTCTGGCTCCAGTTAAACCTCCTAGAAACCTTGTTGAGCTGGGGGTGGACAGACAGGGGCTGCTATACATCATTCCACTGAACTCCTATCTCCGCAACAAAGGGCCATAGAGTCTGCACAAATCACCCTCAGGAAACCTCAAGTTTCTAATACCAACCTAATTCCAGAGGCACTATCAACAGCACTCATTTTGAACATTCACTGTACAAATCTCAATAGTCCTACCACGGTAGAGTTTAGATAGTCTTAATAAAAGCAAAGCGGAATAGGTCACTGAGGACACCAGTTCTTTATTGCCTCTTAGCAAAAAAGAAGTACTCTTTGAATGGAAGGTTTTAAATATAGAAAATTTCATTGTAGCCATTTTTCTAGGACAAAAGACAAAAATAATTTGACATCTGTTTTTCCCATCTTGAATGTTTTACCAAGGAGTCAACCACCAATAGTACTACTTATTCTCAAATTTTCTATTTCTCAAGAGGACAGGAGAAGCAAATGAGAATATTCGACATATGTAATTAAAGCCTTCCACTATTGGTCAGAAAATGAGCTAAAATGCTAAAGAAATTTTAGGTCTGTTCAAAATTGATCTCTTTTAGACCTATCCATGAAAGGTGAAGGAGCAGAGAAGAGGAATAGTTTATCCAATCAGATAAACTATTTAGGGAAAGGGTGCAGAGGAGGGCAGTTACAGAAAATGCTGGGTATTACTGAATTTCAAAGAAGAATCAGAGACTTAAAAATATGTAAAAATATGTATTTTCTAATCAAGTGCTCCACTAGAAGGGACAGCAAGTTATAGTTTCTGAAGTATCTCACCTTTCAATACATGTTTTGAATTCTCCTTTGAAGCTAAGAATCTCACTTTACTTATCCTACTGATAACTGTTCTACCTCCCCCACTTACAGAGGAAGTAGCATGCGTGCATTACAACTTAAAATTGTACATGTGTACATTTGATTTATATGACAGACTCCATCACATTCATAAATAAGTAGACCTTTACCTTCACAACATTGATACTCTGACATCCCACCCCCAACATTTAAAGCCCTCAGATCATCATTACCAAGATTCTCCAGAAATCAGAAGGAAGCAAAGAGCCCTTGGGGTGGTAAGAGTGAATATCCTATGAAGTCAATTACTGCAGAGCAGCCATCACAATCAGAAAGGAACATGAATAGGGAAGGTAGGAGAACGGTTCCCAACTTCACATTTCCTAAAATACTTGTGCATAACTTAAAATGTGTGTTGCCTCAGGGCCAGTGTTATAAAGGGTGGTTGGGTCTATCAGCTACTGCATCCGAGAACTACAGGACCCATACAGGAAGAAGGAAAAGGAAGCTATAAAATATTTTCTTGGTAAAAGATTTCAAAGAAGGCTAGTGAAAAGGTTCCAAATGTAGGTCCACCAGAGAATTCTCACTAGTGTGTGGCAAAATGAGAGATTAAGGACAATGAGTTGAGATCCTTGATAAGCTTAATGTATTCCATTTAAAGAGTTCTCCTTTATTGTGGGACTGTAACCTTCCCTTTTTTTTATAATGTCATTACTTGAAATTATATTGATACTAGATAGTAGTTCACTGTTTTATCTAATATCCTTAACAGAAGAAATGTTTTAAGTTGCCTACCCTATTTTGGTGCTGTAACTCTTGAACGGTAGTATGAAGGGCAATGGTCTTGGCTTGATGAAAATCCAAAAACTTGGGACACTTGTCTCTGACACCTACCTAAAGCAATCTTACTGAGTGAGTGAGGTGACTGCAAAGTTGCAGAATTATTTACCTTTTACTTCCGGCTCTTATTCTCTATGAAAACTTTCCAGAAAAAAGTATTCTAGGTATTTTGACCCTATCCCATGAAAGATTCTTAAAAAAAAAAATTTAAGAGACACTCCTTTTACATGAAAGATATCTCTAGAACTACTAGTGGAACTCTGGGCCTTGGTATAGAACGAAAAATTTGCAAAATGATGTAGGAAGATGTTGTGGACAGAACAGGTAATCACAGTGCACCTTTCCAGGCAATTCCCCTGCATACTCTCTGCTTGCCAGGCCACTAGGCAGATGAGTCACTTGAGCAACACTGACTGAGTTCAGTATCTGACTGCCATTTACCAGCTTGGCATCCCTGAACAAGTCACTCAACCTCTCTGTGGCTCAGTCTCTCCACCCGTAAAATAGGAATAATAAGAGTATCTAAGATTTTCTAAGCGAATCATCAGTGCCTTGACGTGTAGTAGGCACTTTCTTTTATGAACACTGGCATGTGGAACATTATTGTTGTTCAAGTTAAAGGTAATTATGAAAATCAAACGGAGAGGAGTGCCTCAGGGTGAAGGAGGTTATCAGTAACTCTTTGGCTTCTGCCAAAATATGTCAGGCTGCAGAGATTTCCTACAACATACTCAAAACAGCATTTTAGTTTATCTTTTTTGTTTTCTTAGATAATGTCTGGTCTTAAAGTAAAATAACAATGTTGCAACACTCTAATAGTAGACCACTTAAGAAGTAGACAGGGTAACAGAACAGAGAGATCAGAAATAAATCCACCATTTACAGTCAACTGATTCTCAAAAAAGGTACCAAGAGCACACAATGGGGGAAAGAAGAGTCTCTTCAATAAATGATGTTGAGAAAACTGGGTATCTACACATGCAGAAGAATAAAATTAGACCCTTATTAATACCATACACAAAATAAACTCAAAATAAAGACTTAAACGTAAGACCTGGAACCGTAAAACTAATAGTAGAAAACATCTGAAAAGTTCCATGACATTGGTACAGGCAATAATTTTCTGGAAATGACCCCAAAAGTAAAGGCAACAAAATCAAAAATAGATGAATGGGATCACATCAAACTAAAAAGTTTCTGTATAGCCAAGAAAACAGTTGGGCTAAAGAGACAACCTACAGAATGGGAGGAAATAAAGCTGACCCTTAGTATCCATGATGGGTTGCTTCCAGAACCCGCCCCCGAGGATTTTCCTTATATAAAATGGCATAGGGTTTGCGTGTAGCCTATGCACATCCTTCCATATATTATCTCTAGATTACTTATCGTATCTAATGCCATGTAAATACTATGTGAATAGTTGGTGTTATACTGTATTGTCTTTTTTACTGTATTAGTTTTTACTGTTGTATTGTTTGTTTATTGGTTTTTTAAAATATCTTCGATCCATGGTTGGTTGAATCTGCAGGTGCAACCTGAGTGTATGGAGGGCTGACTGTATTTGCAAACCATACACCTGATAGGGGGTTAATATACAAAATATATAAGAAAAACAACTCAATAGCAAAAAAACACAAGTAACCCAATTTCAAAATAGGAAAAGGACCTGAATAGACATTTCTCAAAAGACTACAAATAGCCAACAGGTATATGAAAAAATGTTCAAGATCACTAATCATCCAAGAAATGCAAATTAAAACCACAACAAAACCTCATACATGTAAGAATGGCTGTTTAAAAAAAAAAAAAGAGATGAGCATTGAAGAGGATGTGAAGAAAAGAGAAATTCTCACTGTTGATGAGAATGTAAATTAGTATATTCATTATGGAAAACAGTATGGAGGTTCCTGCAAAAAAATTAAAAATAGGACTACCATATGATCAAGCGGTCCCACTACTGGCTATATATTCAAGGAAATGAAATCACTATGTTGAAGAGATGCCTGCACTCCCATGTTCACTGCACCATTATTCACAACAGCTGAGATACGGAATCAACCTAAACGTCCCTCAATGGATGGATGAAGAAAGTGCGGTATATAGGTATAACAGAATATTAGCCTTAAAAAAAATGAAATCCTATTATTTATGACAATATAAATGAACCTGGAGGATATGTTAAGTGAGATAAGCCAGGCGTACAAAGGCAAATACTGTGTGATTTCATCTATATGTAGAATCTAGAGAAGTTGAATTCACAGGAGTAGAGAGTTCCCACAGTGGTCACAAGGGGCTGGGGAGGGGGGGCTGTTGGGGAGATGTTGATCAAATGACACAAAATTAGCTAGGAGGAGTAAGTTCAAGAGCTCTAATGTACAACATGGTAACTACAGTTAACAACAATATATTGTATTCTTAAATCACTAAGTAAATTTTAAGTGTTCTAACCACAAAAAATAAGTTGAGGTAATATGTATGTTAATTGGCTCAATTTGGCTATTCCACAATGTATGCATATTTCAAATCACGTTGTACACCATAAATACCTATAATTTTTATGTATCAATTTTAAAAATAAACTTTTAAAAACAAGAGAACAGCAGAATTTGACGTGTAATTGAGTATTTAATTAAACACACATTTTTTTTCCTAATACAAATGACAACTTTTATTTAGTCTCAAATTTCCACATAGATTGGGAGTTGAGGGGGGTTCCAAAATCTGTTCAGATGTTATCCTTTCCCTTCATTTGCAGTTCACTGGTCAATTCAAAGTATTGAATACTTGCTCTGTGCAAAGCACTGTGCTGGGATGTTGCCTTGGGGATACAAAGGTTGGTACAATATACTCTGGTCCTCAAAGAAACTCAGTTTGCTAGAATAGATAAAAGATTCTCACAAATGGCCACAATGCAAGATAGAAATTCAATTATGAATAACGGTTGTCAGAAGACAAGTTTTCTTACTCCCAAATTCACAAATGCTTTCTTCCACTCTACCACTGCTGCCAGCTGATATCAAAACTTCTATATCCTATCACATATATTCTTCTCTTCTAGCCTTTGATCCTCAAGCTACCTACAAAGCAATTATATGAAAAATAATAAATACCCATAACTTCTCATTCTTTCCATTGGAAAACTGTTACTGAGTACCTCCTACGCATAATGAAACGTGACCGTATCCTACATGTATCATCAGGTCCTTTTATCATTAGAAAAGAGGTGTCGTTTTCAAAGTATACCCTTTTACTATTTAAATTTATGACAGTTCAATAATAATTTAATATAAAGTGATGTCTTCTGCCAAAATGTACTAATAAATCTGCATGCTCTTGGGGATGAAACCCAACTTGGCAGAACCACCAGCTGTGCTGAACCATGTGTGGGGCCTGGCTGCCCGGCATCTAGTCTGCCTCCTTTGCAATGAACTGGGGAGGGAAAATAAAAATAAAAAGGGGAGGCCAAGGATGGATTTGTTTCCTGACTGTTCACTGGTCATTCACTGTAATGTTCTGGCTATCAAATGCACGCATAGGTATGTGTGCTTCAAGAATACCTGGAAATACATTCCTTTGAATATTGTAATTAGTAGTAATTCCTCAGCCTTTCTGGGGAGATTTGGCTTGTGAAAACATTCAACATACTCACCCAGACTTAAGCCTGGTAAAGGGGTTGAATATATTTAAGTTCAATCAGGCTCAAAAACAACATACTGTTGTATGAAAGTAAAGAGGTAACTTCCTTGTAGAATTCACTAAACAACTCTGGCAATAACCCCAACATAAATTCTAAACCTGTTTTGAGTAATGGCACCAAGGTTTTTATAAAAACTGCGTCACTGGACAACATGACAAAATTTCAAGATCATACATATTTACACATATGAGCCTCACCACCTTATTTTTAAATTTCATTTCATCATAGTTGATCCTAATTTTTACTGTAATAGAAAAATGTTAGTAAATCAAAGACAACAATACTTGTGGAAGTAAATCTACCACTACATTAAACAGGTACATTCCTTTGGTCCATTTTCTCAACTATCCAGTTATTGTATAACTTTTGGGAATCTGATCTTTGCCCCTAAATTTACTGAAATTTGTTTCTCCAAGATCACCAGTGATCTCTTTAAAGCAAATCCTTTTTTCTTCTTGTGCCAAGAATAGTGTCAAGCTCTATTCTAGATGCCAGGAACACACTAGCATACAAAACAGAGAAAATCATTGTCCTTTCTAGTAAGACAAACAATATTAAATAGAACATTTTTTAAAATTTGACAGTGACACACAAGAAGAAAAAAAATCACAAAAGGAAAGGGTATGAAACTTCGGGAAGGCACCCAGTGCTGTGTGGCCAGTCCTTCCCCTTGGGTCTTTCCCGGCCCAACATGGGCTCTGCAGTCTCTCCATGTTAGGTACTCCCAGGGCTGGGCTTTGAACCGTCATTCTTCTTCATAAGGATCCTTCCCTAAGATATCGCATCTATTCTCAGCCTATCTTTACAACTGACTCCTGGACTCTGACTTTTTTTTACAAACCACCACAATTCCCAGCTGATTAGTTACCATTTGAAGCTGCTGAAGCGTCATTTCAAATGGTAACTAAACTTCACACTAAATTTCCCCCAAAAAACTGGCCACATGTTTAGATTTCTCTACTTCTGGTGCCTGCACCAGTGTCCCAGCTATTCCAGTGAAAACCACGTAGGAGTTTTCAACTTAGTAGCAACTATTTTCTCTTTTTTCACACATTTAATGAGTCGTGGTTTTTTTTAATCCTGTAAAGTCTCCTGTCATACTTTTCTTTTTGATTTCTATTTTCTATGCCATGGTCATTTCGGGGCCTTCTCTTCTTTCACCATGTACAACATAAACCAATTAAAGGACCCCAAGTCATTTTTTAGGCGGTTGCCCTACCCTGCTGTAATATGTCCCTTGATCACCAAATTTCAACTGTGTTACACAGGCACATCATGCAGCATCTGAGGTCTATTCCAGTGTTTGCCCACATCAGCATCCACTACCCAATCCATCCTGATGGGCAACTCAACTCATATCCTCAGAGAAACCTTTTTGGACCCCTTCTCTAATCTCATCAACATTTACTCATGTATCACAAATAAGGAAGTTTTCATATGTTCATTTTTATTGTCGGTTTTTTTAATGTATATATGAAATACCTGAGTAAACAAGACAATATAGACACTACTCAATAAAGACTGTATTGCTCCCATACAGGGACCATACCCTATACCTCTTTTTACTCCCCACAATCCCTAGGAAACTGGATTCTGGAATTCTGGAACTCAAGTGGCAGAAAGCTCTGTAGCAATGGCTGTGTTAACTTCTCTAGGTTAACTACAAAGTAGATCAACAAAGTAATGAGACTAAAATCCCACAGCAGAGGTAAAAATGCATGTCTGATCAATACTTATTATCTGCAAAACAGTACATTTCCTCTAGACGCACTCACCCCTCACCCCACAGGCCTCTGCCACACCCAGTCTCATTGCCAGAGCCCTGAGGGTTTGCTCAGTTTTGATTTATGCCTCTGCCCTTTTCCTTACATTTTTTTTTTGAGATGGAGTCTTGCTCTGTTGCCCAGGCTAGAGTGCAGTGGCATGATCTCGGCTCACTGCAACCTCCGCCTCCTGGGTTCAAGCAATTCTCCTGCCTCAGCCTCCCAAGTAGCTGGGACTACAGGTGCCCGCCACCACGCCCAGCTAATTTTGTGTATTTTTAGTAGAGATGGGGTTTTGTCATGTTGGCCAGGCTGGTTTCAAACTCCCAACCTTGTGATCCACCCACCTCCCAAAGTGCTGGGATTACAGGTGTGAGCCAATGCTCCCGGCCCCTTTTCCTTACATCTTTGGAGCACTAATCCACTTTTGACTAGTCCTACTTCCTAATTTCTTATTTCATTGTTCAATGACTTTTTAAAAAAATCTTTCTTGTAACCTCTGTGATTTCTTTTCACATTTTCCAAAATGTCCATTGTTAGCTAGGCACAGTGGTTCATGCCTGTAATCGCAGCACTTTGGGAGGCAGAGGCTGGAGGACTGCCTGAGCCCATAAATTCGAGACCAGCCTGGGCAACATAGCGAGACCCCAACCCTACAAAAACTAAACAAATTAGCTGGGCATTGGGGTAGGCGCCTGTAGTCTTTCCCTACTCAAGAGGCTGAAGTCAAGACTGCAGTGAACTGTGATCCTGCCACTGCACTCCGGCCTGGTCAACGGATTGAGACCCTCTCTCAAAAAAACAAACAAAAATCCATTGTTTACACAATCTGATGTCCAGTATCCAACATGCTAAAATGAAAATACCTGCTCTTATATTCAACCTGATATGAATTATTCACTAATGATAACCTGACTTCAAAAACCTTTAGGCAAAGAGAAGACACATTTAATTATATTTATGTATACAGATAGAGATATATAGATATACATACAATTATATAAAATAATTACCAAAACATATCCGATCTGAATGATTTCCTCCAAGTTAAAAATGTATTGACTTTAAAATAAACATGAAAATGAACCAGGTAGGAAAAAATAGTTACTCCAGAAAAGATTAAAACTTTGTACCAGTTGGTCTATTTTAATGTTCTATTTTATAAAGTAGTATTTAAAACAAGACTCCTTTGTAATGAGTCATCATTTAATTAATATCCAAATACCTTGAGAGCCCATAACAGTTCAACAAAACAGCTGGAAATCAAATATCGGAGATAATTACTCACAGCTGGCTTTATTCAACTGATGTCATATTAAATAAGCTTATCCTACAGACCTTTTCCCCTTCCCCAAAAAAGAAAAAAAAAATTCTTTAAGAAACATAGAAGGCTCTTTGTGTGAGATTTTTTTAAATGTGCAGAATATATTCCTCTACTAAAGATTTTCAACAGTATGTTAAAGATTTTCAGCAGGAATACACTGCTGTATTTTATACCATCCTGTGTGCTTGCAATATTTTGAACTTCATTTTTCTTAAAACAAAAATAGCAAACTGAACTAAGTCACAAAATACGCTGGAAAGCTAAATTTTTATGATCCTAGCAGTCAGTTTTACTATTTTGATATTGGGCTAAATTTATTATTTTTGTAGCGACGTCACATCTCAACAGCTTAGTAATATAAACTATCAAACCAAAATATCAGTTTCAAGCTTACTGTTTCAAGCCATTATTTAAACCATTGCATTGTACTGTACCACCCACATTATATGAATGTATTCATATAAATGATTTATCAACAATAACTACCTATTATATGCCAGACACTGTGCTGAATATTCTATATTATCTCTAATTTCCATGAAATTTCACATGTAGATAATTTATATCTAATAATCACCAAAAGGAAAGATATCAAAGACAGTTTTCAAACTGCTACACACATACACTAACTCCATAATAAGCCAGGTTATTATTATCTGCTACAGTAGAATTTTCAAATCCAAAATACAGATATTTTCGTTTTCACTCCTCTCATTCATTCAAATTTGTTCTTATATTCTCTCCCCTTCTCCTTCCTGTCTCTCCCGTTTAATAAAGAAGAAGAAGGAAAAAAAAAAAAAAACAGCCGGGTGCAGTGGCTCACGCCTGTAATCCCAGCACTTTGGGAGGCTGAGGCGGGCGGATCACAAGGTCAGGACATCGAGACCATCCTGGCTAACACGGTGAAACCCCGCCTCTACTAAAAATACAAAAAATTAGCTGGGTGTGGTGGTGGGCGCCTGTAGTCCCAGCTACTCAGGAGGCTGAGGCAGGAGAATGGCGTGAACCCAGGAGGTGGAGCTTGCAGTGAGCTGAGATTGCGCCACTGCACTCCAGCCTGGGGGACACGGCGAGACTCCGTCTCAAAAAAAAAAAAAACTACCAGTACTACTGATACATGTTATCATTATCTACCCAACAAACTTTGAAGTCATATTTTATGAAACCTCACAAGTAGCCCTGATATGTGAGATACAACCTAAGTTTGCTCATTTTATCCATGTACTATAATTTCTTCACACTCATCTAGACAGACCCCTGATGTGATTTTTACTGATGTAATAATCCCTTTGTTTTTCAGATCCTTTCATCTTTCAGTAACCCCTTCTTGGCATTTTTTAAAACTATACAGTCTCTAGCACACAGTAAGGACTCAATTAAAATGTGCTGAGTCAGTAAATAACTTTTCTTCCAGTACACTAGAAAAAGTGATTTTTATGCTTACCAAAAAATTTAAATAGATTAACACCAAATTTTCTTGACATGTCTTAGACAGTTCCACTGTATTCATTTATGCATTTAAGTAAACATTTTAATCAGATCTTTTATTTTTGCACATAAGCCTAAATTTTGTACAACACATGATACGAGAAATATAAGCTTATATTTAGAGTGCTCTTGAATTTTCACTGAGCTTTTATAAACTTTCTTATTTGCTTTATTCTATCAGTATAAACAACCATTTTTACCACCCCAGAAAAGCAAAGTAATTCTCCATCAAGACAAAGTGCTTATTCAACACTCAACATTTATACCTCACAATAAAATGTCTCCATGATCATCTCTCATTATGTGAGGCACTAACAGGATATTATTGGGGGTTCTGGAGGGAAAAAATTCTGTCACAATTGCCACATTTTACAAATCTGTAAAATAGGTAAAATAATAATGTATAAAATTATTGGAATAAGAAAAACCACCCCACTCTTATAATTGAACCATTTACTTCAAGCATGCCCATCTTTTGGTAAGGATAAATACCTACTAGCTACCTTTTCTGGAATAGTATGATACAAAAAGAAACAAAATTAAGCCCTTTACAAAGCTCAGCAAGTGGTGCACAGTCATCATCAGAAATAACTAACTCCTTTTTGGAACAGGTGTTTCGGAGTGAGGAGGTACCAGGTAACAAAAAGAAGATTCTAGATTATAGTCCACTGCCTAACCTCTCTGGTATTTCATCTATTTCTTCCTCCCTGGGTAATCTTACGGAAAAAAAAATTACAAGGAACAATAAAAGAGACAACTTAAAATGTGTACTTTAATATACCTTGCATGCTGGCACTGTGGGTAACAGACTGATCTCTGGAGCCAGGCTGAGATAAAATCTACACCTCTGCAACTTGCATGGTTTTTAACTGTGGACAAGTTACTTATAACCTGAGAATCAATTCCATTTGAAAACTCAATGCACAGGGTGGCTGAGGGCTATAATCTAGAATCTTCTTTTTGTTACCTGGTACCTCATTAAATGAGAGAACACCAGCAAAACCCTTAGGTTCTATTTTGATAGCTGGCAGACACTGTGCAGATGTAGGCAGGATTTAAGTAGGTTCTACAATCCAGGTTCATTAATATATACAACAAACCTGAATTTTAAGTGTAAAGATTTACGAATATGCTTCCCAGGTGGTTGAAAATTATTTTCTAAGAACAATTATAATAATTAATTTTTTCAATATAAAGATTCCCAGACCTTTTTTTTTTTTTTTAAGAGACAGTATCTCACTCTGTCATCCAGGCTGGAGTGCAGTGTTATCATAGCTCACTGTAACCCCCAAACTCCTGGGCTCAAACAATCCTCTTGCCTTGTACTTGTAGTCCCAGCTACTTGGGACTACAAGTACACGCTACCACATCCAGCTATTTTTTTTTTTTTTTTTTTTGAAGAAACACAGTCTCACTATATTGCTCAGGCGAGTATTAAACTCTTGGCTTTAAGCAATCATCCCACCTCAGCCTCCCAAAGTGCTGGGATTACAAGCACGACCTACCACACCCAGCAAAGATTCCAGATTTTTAACAAACACTTAAAAATATGTTAGAGACAACATATAAATGAACAAAATTTACGGTTTACTTTACAGCTGTTTGCATGCTGCATTCTGCAGATTTTTCTCTCCAGAACGTTATGATGCATGCTTTAAAAGACTATAAAAGTTTAGAATAGATTTGGAAGATAATCTAAATTACTATAGCTCACTTTTTAAAAGTCTTAACTTCCTCTATTAAGCACCAGTTAGATTCTTGAAAGGTATCACCATCCTTGGTTTATGCATCAAACCTGATCACACAAGGAATCAAATTTAATATGTATGAAGATAAGCAATTATGTTTGGCTGTGATTAACTATCATAACTGCCATCACAATCTAAATTTTTTTTATTTTTATTTTTGAGACAGGACCTTGCTCTGTCACCCAGGCTGGAGTGCAGTGGCGTGATCATGGCTCATTGCAGCCTTGACCTCTTGGGCTCACAGGCTCAATCGATCCTCCTGCCTCAGCCCCCTGAGTAGCTGGGACTACAGGCAAGTGTCACCACACCTGGCTAATTTTTGTATTTTTGGTAGAAACAGGGTTTCACCATGTTGCTCAGGCTAGTCTCAAACTCCTGGGCTCGGCAATCCACCTGCCTTGGCCTCCCAAAGTGCTGGGATTACAGGCATAAACCACGGTGCCCAGCCTAAATTATTTCTTCAATTAAGTAACACTTCGCAAAAAGAAAACCTACAGGGAAACTACATATTGTTTATGATACAAATTTTTGAAAATACAATTTTAACTATTCATAAAGAAACTACCTCCAAACACAGTTAACATCTCTTCTAATCACTGGCTTTCTGAAACTAATACCAGAGAAAATATTATTACGAAGTTCAATTTTACTAACAATTGTAATCCCTTTAATTTCTGAAAACAAATTAATACATGAATCTCAAAATCTTTAGGATGACACACAGAAATCCGTTTTTAATGTTTACATCCAGAATGTTTTTTTAATCATACATGGGAATGTCCTCATTTAAGGTACTTTTTTCTTTTATCCCATGTAAATTCCCATCTTATCTTCAATCAGAAGCATTTTTTTAAGCTATGAATTCAAAACCTATGATTAAAAAAAACTTTAATTTCTAATTAGGTTCGGATACTTGATCACTAATATTTCTAATTAGTTTCAAATGGAAGGGTAAAAATGTAATATAGACAAAGCTATAGAAGAAATTTTACCTTTTAAACCCTGATGTGGGTAAGTACACTCCACTTTAAGATGATTTCCTACATCGTACTCAAAAAATTTCATTGTGGAAGAGAAAAAAAAATGATGTACAGGAATAGGTGAATAGAGCATGCACTACAAATTCACTTAAATCAAATCCACTTCCTTTTGGAGTCGTTATTTTAAGGCACAAAGTAACAGATCTTCATCCATATAGTTTGCTACATACAGAAAAAGATATACTGAATATCATGTTAAAGATACATACCTAACTCTGGTCTAAGCTCTGTGCGCAGGCAATGCAGTTAGTTTGAAGTTGACTTTCTTCAAATTGCTACTGAAGTTTGCTATTGAAATAAGTGAAACAAACACTTTCTAGCCATAGTCCCAACACTGCCAACAATATCCATGTTACATGAGTGAGGATTTAAAATCAGAAACAGATGGGTTTGAAGCTTCAGTTCTAGCATTTACTGTGTAATGTATGACCTTAGGCAAAGTATATCAACTGTCCTCATCTGTATAATGTGAGAAAACATGTTCTTCACTGGGTTGGGAGAGAATTAAGTAAGATAAAACAGGCAAAATATAAAGCACAGTGCCTGGCTTTCTGTAAGTATCAGATATTATTAACATTTTATATAAAAGCACAACTATCAGTTGTTGATAGGAAAGAATGGGAATCAGTAAAAGGTACATTTCATAAAATAACTACAATTTTAAATGTGAATAGACATGTGTCTATAGTATACGTAACAGACTAAAGCCTTTGCACAACTAGAAATGTTGAACAAAGATAGCTTCTTGATGAAATAATCTCATTAGACTAAAACAACTATGTAAGTGTCCAATTAATATGAATTCAGCATCACATTTCATACTTAGCTATTAGAGTTTAAATGTGGGTTTTTTTCCATATAGATGAATAAAAGCTTGATTGGAGGGAGATCAATAATACCTGTGTTATAATTGGCTCAATCACATTTTCCCCACAGGATCATCCACCTGATGATCTGAGAACAATAGTATTCCTCCTAAATAAAGAAAAAGGATGCAGCTGCTTCCATCTATAAATAGGATGCTGCTATACGAGTTGAGAACACTATTGTTCACACTGTCAGTTTAAATCACTTCCACATTTCTAATGAAGAGGTCAAGTTGTAGAATTGTTATTATAATCTTGAATGCTGAGAAAAAGTCACTAAAATTTAATTTGCTGTAATATGTGTATGAATAATTTTTCAGTGGTCAGACGATTCTGAAATACTCTTTTTAAGAGACCTCTTGGAACAACACTACACTCAGTTTTCTTGAAAACATCTATAGGTTGATCCCACTATATGTACTTAAATCAAAATAAAAGAATTTTCTTGGAACAACACTACACTCAGTTTTCTTGAAAACATCTATAGGTTGATCCCACTATATGTACTTAAATCAAAATAAAAGAATTTTCTTGGAACAACACTACACTCAGTTTTCTTGAAAACATCTATAGGTTGATCCCACTATATGTACTTAAATCAAAATAAAAGAATTTTCTCCATACAGATTGAAGCAACACATTTTTCCTAAGAGAATAGTGATGTCCAACCATATTTGCCTAACAGTGGAATCTGAGGGTACAACTTGTTGTTTGTAAAATGGAAGGAGGGTGATGCAAAATAAACAGCTGCGTGATCCAGGAAAGGGGCTGAGGGAGACACTGTGGACGGGCGCTGCAAACCACAGAGGTGGCAGAGGAAAACAACTGAGGGAAGTATTTTGGCATCAGACCCAGTCGAAATCCTAACTTTGCTACTTATTGCTGTAAGATTCTGGGACAGTTACTTAAATATCTCTAAGCTTTCATTTCACCATATAAAAATTAAGGATCATACCTACACTTTATAGTGTTGCCGTTAAGACCAAATAAAGTGAGATTATAAAACACTTAAACGCTAGCCCTTATACAGCTACGGCTATTGTTTCAATTTTAAAGAAAAGGGGGATTAGCCAGTCTCCAAAAAACCCAAATAAGAGTGAAACTTGAGTAAGGGCCTCTAGCGAGGTTGTCAATGATAATTTCTGGTTCCTTCAGGTTCCAAGGTCCAACCTGGCAAATAACGCTAGTAAAATTTCACCCTTCTCAGTTGATTCAATTAATATTGAGCAAATTGCATAAATTAAAAAGACTTGGTTTTGTGTGCCAACATACTCTGGATGCTCTCCTGAATAGGTGACTATAGTCATCTCTGAACTTTTTTTTTGTTTGCGACCACCAAGGGTTGCTACTGGTAATTACCTACTTCTCCCTGCCCACAAAGAGAATATTTACACAAAATGTTCAATAAAGGAACTCTGTAAAGGAAAGGTGTTAGCTATTTAAAAGCAGAGAGATTTGGGTAGGAAATTTTTTAATGACCTCTGATAACCTTACAAGTGCTCTCAACAAAGATGGTTTAGGTACTGCCTGTTGGGAGACTGGAGATTAACTAGATAATCTTAAAGTCCTTTTAGACTCAAGACACAAAAAGGAGAGCCAAAGGAAAGGGATATGTCTTCCTTTGCTTTTTGTTCAACTACAATCTACATTTACACCTAAGTAATAATGCTTTCCCACATAAGGAGAACAATGAAAGATAAAGGATCACTGATCTGCATGCAGTTCCTGGAATTTATTGCTGGTTGGGGAGTGAAGTTGAAGGAAATTAAGAGGACTATTGCCTCTTTTTACTTTTGGCAAAAATACAATGCAGGCCCTCTTAAGAATAAAAATCATTAAAACCTTCTAGTTAATATTTATCTCCTTTAAGAAGAAAATATTATAAACTTCTACTATAACTCTGAAATGTCAAATAAAACAAGTATTTTAAACAACCAAAATTAGAAGTACACCCCCAGGCACCATCTGCTAGCCCCACCATAGACATTTACTACACCTGGCTGCTGCCTGTCTCGGTCCCTACCCCAATTCCTCAAAACCCAGCTTCCCTACCTCAACCTTCATGCCACTGCCACTGCCATAGGAAGAAAGGAAAATGAGTGGAATAACTTCAAATACTCAAAGAACTGTCCTAAAAGAAGGACCATTCCTTTCTTAAACCATGACATTCTAGCAGCAGAGATATGTTGGGAGTGTTTTTCAAGGTCCAAATGAGAAAACGGACATTATGATTAACAAGGAAAACCATGGCAATAGAAAGCTGTTGTCTCATAAGGTTTCCCCTTCCCCCTGAAGAACGGACTTGGTGAAGAATTCCTTTAGACAGATACGAAGATTACAGATACCAAGTGCAACAAAACTTCTGGTCCTGTAAAACATGTTCTTTTAAAAAGCCATTCTTATCCATTTTGGCTAACAGACATAGTCAGTTAAGTCAAAGGTCTGACTCCGAAACCCTAGAAACCACTTTAAAAGAGTATGGGTTTATGATTCCCAAACTATAAAGAACACAATAAGCACATAATTTGGGAGTATTAGCAATAATAGATAAAAACAGTAATGCCCCTCCTCTCCCACTTGCTTAGCAGTAGCCCTGTTAGTTGGCTTTTTTTCTTTTTTTTCAATCACCACTGAACGGTACACCCTAGGCCAGCATTTTTACTGCTATCACACAGCAGTTTCATTCAGACATACTCAGCTATAACCACCTAAGATCCTTTCAAGGGGCAAAGCTGCAGTCCTAACTTCATGGTTAATGGAGTCTGGCATATGTTTATTGACATTTATAGGTCATGAAGTGTTATGTGAAGAAGGTGCAATTGGGCAGTATCTTTTCTTCAGCTTGAATGGACAGACAATGCAAGAATCCTGACCAGCCAAATAAAGTGAAAGGCCAATGAACCAGCTAAGTGGGAGAAAATGGTTCCTAAATTGAGCACTGGAGTCACTGAGCTTCTTAAATAATACATATTCCTGAGCCCCTCTTTAGCTGTAAATTGGGTAGATACTGTACTGGGTAAATGTCTAGGTTATTTTAAACAATACAATATAAACACTCTGCAAATGGTTGTTATACTATATTTCTTGTTTGTATTGTTTATTGTTGCATTGTTATTTTTGGGTTTGGGGGTTTTTCTTAATATTTCCCATCCATCGTTAGTTGGACGCTGCACCTGCAGATATCGAGACCAACTGCAACAACTATCACAAGGACAGAAAACCAAACACCGCAGGTTCTCACTCATAGGTGGGAATTGAACAATGAGATCACTTGGATACAGGGCGGGGAACATCACACACTGGGGCCTGTCCATGTGGGTGGTTGGGAGCTGGGGGAGGGATAGCATTAGGAGAAATACCTAATGTAAATGATGAGTTGATCAGTGCAGCAAACCAAAATGGGCACATGTATACCTATGTATCAAACCTGCACATTGTGCACATGTACCCTAGAACTTAAAGTATAATTTTTTTTAAATGCAAAAAAAAAGTTCCTCAGGCTAAAAAAAAAATTACATACAAATCATAATTTATAGAAAAGAATTCAGAAAGTAGATATAACACATAGGGATTAAACAGAGATTCTTTTCTTTTTTTAGTTGTGTTATAAAAATTGTTCAAAGAAAATTAGTAACAATATATTCAGAAGTTAACAACACGCAGCAGTAAAATATATAAAACAATTTCAAGTGCTGTGGGATGTTAAGTAGAATGACACTTTCAAAAGATTTTTCATTTCTATTGAGAAACTGAGTCCTGCCAACAGCCAGCTTGGAAGTGGATCCTTCCTCAATCAAGCCTTCATATAAAACTGTAGCCCCAGCCAGAGGATGATTACAGATTTGTAAAAGAACCTGAAGCACTGGAATCTGCTAAGCCATCCTTAGTTCCCTGACCTACAGAAATTGAGACATAACAAGTACACAGTGTTTTAAGCCTAAGTTTTACAGTAACTTTTATAAGGGAATAAGTAGCTCATATATCTAGAAAAATCTTCAAATATTTGGAAACTTGGCAATAAGTTTTTGATAACCTATGAATCAAAGTAAAAGTTATAATAGAAATAAGCAAATATTTAGAACTCAACACTAACTAAAACATATCAAAATTTGTGAGATGTAATTAAAATAGTACCGAGAGGAAATTTTATAGCTATAAGTGTTATATTAAAAATAAATGTTTAAAAAAAAAAAAAGAGTGCATTGTGAGGCATAAGGGATGCATTTACTAATTAAATGGCAGAGGTCTGCCAATAGACAAAAGTGCTGTTTTATTCCTTGAGAAAGACCAAAGTCACACTTAAGAATTACCACGTCTTCTGTAATACTGCTCAAACTAAATTCCAGGAATTTCTACTCTCCTAAATACAGAGTCAATTCAGGTGTGGAACAATAAAATAATGCTCAGTACTGGTCCCACTAGAGAAACATCTGATAACATCTTACATGTTCCCCTACCTGGAAACTTCTTACAAAGAAACTCATCATCTCCTTTCCATTAACTGTATTTCTTCTCAAGACAGAATTCTATTACTGAACATTCCCACCTTTGTTTAAGGCCAAAGGGAAGGAGAAATGCCTGAAGAATCAATTTTCTAATCCTCTGAAATCTTGTCAAAACAAGGACGAGGAAATGTGCAAAAGGTGGCTGTCAATCAAAACGGAAAATTAAAACCACTCAGCGGGAATTTCATATTGGCTTTAAATGCTGTGTTTGCCAACTTTTTCTCACCTACGTATCCTTTCAAAATTCAAAAAAATCTCATTGTCTCCTCACTATAGTTTAAGGTTGTTCCTTGTCCCTAATTTGAGAATCACAGGAAACATACTAGCTGACAGTTTCACTGTGTTAATCTCTGGGGAGATTTACACTATATTTTGGAATATATTATGGAAGTTATAGGATGTTCTGAATTCGAAATATCAAATTTTTATAATACTGCTTCACATCTGAAAATCATCACTTTAATAAACATGTAAGCTACTTAAAAAGTGGTTCATACTATATACTTATAATAGGTTATACAACTGATTGGCTCTCTAAGCAAACAATCATATCTATGGTACACGGATTATCCTCATACCCATTTCTAACAAAAGAGAATATTTGTCTTCGCCCACTTGGCCTAATATAGAATTCATAAGAAGCAGTATAGTAACACGGGAAGGGATCTGACTGAGATCCAGAATCAAATCCTATCTGAGAACCTGAGCAAGTCACCAATTCCCTCTATGTCTCTGATTCAAGAGATCTCTTGATTCTAAAATCTCCATAGTCAATCACAAATTCAGCCTGCTACCTATCCCCAGAAGCAGATTATTTTACAAATTATCAGCACAATAACATAGCTAAACATCAATCACTAACCATTTGATCTTAAATGCTAAATATAGTCACTGGTTTCTGGATGTAATCTCAATTTGTTTTTTGGTGGTTGTTTTTTTTAAAAAAAAAAAAAAGGTGATGTGAGTGGAAGGAGAGAAAAACATAAGAATGTGTTTGTAATCTGAGTTCAGTAATACCGAGTAT
The DNA here is from genome assembly GCF_000001405.40 of Homo sapiens. Classification (NCBI taxonomy): domain Eukaryota; kingdom Metazoa; phylum Chordata; class Mammalia; order Primates; family Hominidae; genus Homo; species Homo sapiens. The sequence continues at coordinate 159,154,435 of NC_000004.12, read as the reverse complement.
GCATTCTCCAAATATAGTACACAAAGACTTTATGAGTGAAGGGATTTCAATAGATGTAAACACAACCAGTAAGAGATAGGCAATAAATAATATGTGCTGAGAAAGAAGGATCCACTATTACTGTCCTTTCTACATCTGATCGACCTAGTAAGTTTTCTTGCCATTTCACCAACATACTGAATTCTACTTGCTTCTCTAGTTGAACAACCTTCTAGTTAGCTAAGAAAATTCTTTCCTTTGGACTGCTAGGTGATAATGTATCATTTACTTAAAATTACATTGCCAAATATTAATGGTTATAGAATCATAAAATGCTAGAGCTAGAAAAGACCTTAGAAAGCATCTATTCAACCCTAATTTTATAAGGAAACCAAAGCCTAAAGAAGTTAATCAACTTGCAAAATGTCAGATTCCGTATCTAACCACTCAGTTTATCATTGCAAAGATGGACTGAGAGATAGAAATGTTTAAAAATTAAAACACGGGCCCTTCTTTTGTTTACTCAAGTACTAATTGAACATCGACTGTATACCATGCTAAGCAATGAGGCTTGTATATGTCCTTTTAATGCAAGGTTAGCTAATTCTGTTTTATTTAAAACATCCTGTACTTGCAAATTTGCAGAGTACCCGTCTCTGAACAGCCTACAAGAATTCTACAAATAACTTTCAAGGAGGGGATATTTTCTCAAAGAAACAGCAAAGATTCAATTTCAGGAAAATGTTGGGGGGCAACTGGAGGAAGCAAGAAGGAGACACTACATATACCTGGGAAAATCTAATCACTCCTGTATTAGACCTTAGAAAGTCAGTGATAGGTCAGTTAAAAGGATTAGGATAAGAGACTCTCACAGTGTTCAGTTTTATTTCCAAATTATTAAAACTACCAAGACGGACCTCTAAAAGTCATTCTAAATTCACCAATTTTAATAATGATTTTGGATCCCCAAAGTAGACATTAATTTGATTAATAAGTCTGAGTCTCATTTTTCTTTTCCACAGAGTGAGGAACTGTAACAGTGGTTCTCACACTTCACTGTACTTTACAATCTCCTGTGGAAGCTTTTTTAAAAGTCTGGTGCCCAGGCCACACTCCAAATCGATTAAATCAGAATCCCTCTCAGGTGGGGGGTGGGTGGTGAACCCCAGCAAGATTTCTTTTTAAAGTTCCCCAGATGTTTCAATGTACAGTCAAGGGAACCACTAAATCAGGCAATCTCTTGCATCTAATCCAGTTCCAAAATTCTACATCAAAATCAACTCAAGTCCACTGCACCAGAGAATTTTCATGCTAGTGAAGGCTACTAGTGTAATGAAGTTGTTTGATAAAGGCAAATAAAAGATTATTGAAATAATATAGTAACTGACCAATATAAAAAAGTGTATAAACAATCCAAGTGAAAGTCATATAGCAAGTATTTAAACACTTACTAACTAGATATAAGACAGCAACACCTAAAACCATTAGCTAAAATAGAAGACCATTTCAGCTAAGAACACTTTTAAAATATATAACACTTAGGCCAGGCACGGTGGCTCACGCCTGTAATCCCAGCACTTTGGGAGGCCGAGGGCGGATCATGAGGTCAGGAGATCGAGACCATCCTGGCTAACACGGTGAAACCCCGTCTCTACTAAAAATACAAAAAAAATTAGCCAGGCGTGGTGGTGGGCACCTGTACTCCCAGCTACTCAGGAGGCTGAGGCAGGAGAATGGCGTGAACCTGGGTGGCAGAGCTTGCAGTGAGCCGAGATTGTGCCTCTGCACCCCAGCCTGGGTGACAGAGCGAGATTCCATCTAAAAAAACCAAAAAAACAAAAAAAAGTTTTTAACAGGGGAAACTCAGTAGGGGATATTACAAGAACTTTCTAGACCATCTCCGCAATTTTTCTGTAATCTAAAATTATTCCACAATAAAGTATTCTTGAAAAAACCATAGCCACATGGACATACCAATTTTAAAAATATTTTCTCACAGCTAAAAATAAAACAATGCAAAAGAATTTCATAGATTCAGGAATGGGCATTCTGCCTCTGAGTCCAGATTTAAGTTTTAGAATGATTTACAGACTAGAGAAGAAACATTCATTCTTTTCTTTCTTTCTTATTTTTTTTTAGACAGAGTCTCGCTCTGTCACCCATCCTAGAGTGCAGTGGTGTGATCCTGGCTCACTTGCAGACTCTGCCTCCCACACACAGGTGATTCTCCCACCCCAGCCTCCAAACAGCAGGACTACAGGCGTGCAACACTATGCCTGGCTAAATTTTGTATTTTTTGTAGAGACGAGGTTTTGCCATGTTGCCCAGGCTGGTCTCGAACTCCTGAGCTCAAGCAGTATGCCTGCCTCAGCCTCACCAAAGGCCAGAATTATAGGTGTGAACCATCACATCTGGCCCATTTATTATTTAAATAGTACAAAACCTTACTTTCTACTTTCTCCTTGTCCATATTCAGTGATCAAGACACACTTATTCTTGCTCCTCAACAGCTCCTTCCCACTGCCAATCAAGCATCTGGTTAAAGGCCCTTGTCCCTCTAGATGAAGAAGTACCTGTCTCCTACCAATGCCCTTTTCTCATTCCATCAATGTCGCCCAACTGTTTATTCCTAAGATGCAAAGCTTTAAAGTTTACACCCTACTTTAAACAGACACCCCCCAACACAAATACACACAAACACACACTTACACAAAAAGCCACAAAGTAATCACTGATACTGGCCTTTACATACCTCTCACTACACCTTCCCCAAGCACCCTACTCTCTAACAAATTTATTTCCTGAAGCCCACCACAACTTTGCTTTTTGTTTTTTAATATTTTGCATCCTGTATCAGACTGTCATCTTCTAAAAGCCAAGGAATAGCACATTTTATTTATTCCGATTCATTGTCCACAGACCAGCACAGGACTTTATGCAGAACAGGCCCTTAATACGGTATTTTTAAAAATTTTCTCAAGAACCCAAGTTTCCACATAAAATCAACTTGACAATCTCAAAAACAAACAAATAAACAACCTATTTAATAATCAGCTAACAAGCACTGCTCAAAATTGGGTCATTTGACTGCATTCAATTCATGTTTTCAGTTTCATACCAACTCAGCTGACCTGCACCAAACTGACCTGGACTCCTGAGATAAGCGTTTATCATTGACTGCAGCTGTGAGCAACTATGAGCCCACATGGGAACAAAAAAGCCAAACAGCTGTATGGTATAACTTAAAGTACTTTAAACAGTTGAACCTGCATCTACACTGACTTGTTGCATATGGTAAAATCTAACTTTGAAACCAACATTTACACTCTCTATCATAAATTACACTAATACTTGAAGTATAGGAAATAGGAAAGTACAATATAAGTCTCCGATTTGTCCAAGAATTTTGGGCACAATCAGCAAAATTTCTATAGCCAAGCCCTAGCTCTACTCACTCCTCCAATCCCATTACTTGGTCACCCTCTATTCTCTCGCTTGCTGGATCAGCAGCAACCTACACATACTTCACACTGAAGCTGGAGAGAGAACAGCAGCAAAGCAGAGAAGGAGGGCAGTCAGGGGAACACGAGCTGAGTTACCTGAAACCTCAGCTTCTAGGTCATCACCTGATTCCAAAACAATCCAAATACTGCTGGATCCTCATTATTCAAGGATTCCGTATTCGTGAATTTGCCTACTTGCTAAAATTTATTTGTAACTCGAACAGTCAATACTCCTGGACTTCCATGGTCATTCAAGGGACATGCACAGAGCACCAAAAAATGTTTGTCCAACAAACACATTTCCAGCTGGGGCTGAGCAAGTGGCCCTCTGCCTTCCTGTTTCAATTCTTATACAGTAAACAAGTTTCTCTTCATGGTACATTAGGTCTCAGGTTTTTCCCATTCTTGTGTGTTCTCTGGTGATTCCACTGTTTAAAATGGCCTCCAAACAAAATGCTGAAGTGCTGTCTTGTGTTCCCTAAGCACAAGAAGCCTGTGATGTGCCTTACAGAGAAAATATGTGTGTTCGATACACTTCGTTCAAGCATGAGTTATAGTGCTCCTGGCCAGGAGTTTAATGTTGATGAATCAACCGTATATATTCAATAAGCTATTTTTAAACAAAAGCACACATAATATGGGGTTATGTATTAATTAGCTGATGAAAATGTGACCAGAAGTTTGCAGGAACTTAACCCCGTATTTCCTAGAAGCAATGGTTCATTATTCGCTAATTCAGTGGTCATGGTGACTTTATAGTATATAACTACCACAAATAACAAAATTAACTATTTTGTTTATATACTGTTATATACTGTTATATATTATAGTATATAACTACCACAAATAACAAAATTAATTGATACTGCTAATAACAATATAAATTACTACTACTTGGTGAACCTTCTACTGGGATTTGCGAAGTCTAGAGCAAGAAAAACAGAACATTCTAAGTAAAACAACTTAGATTACAGGGCTAATTTTCTAGATCCAACCTCCACCTGTGCCTGTTTTTAGACCAGTGTTAGTGCCACAACATTTTATAAAGTTTTGAAATTACATTTTCAACATCACATCTGTTTATGATAGCAATTTTGTCTCCTAAGAACTTCTGATTATAGCTGCACTAAAACAAACAATGGGTAAAACTACCCAATACCAAGCAATTTCACTCTATAAGATGCTTACCAGACTGGACAGTCTCAATTACTTAATGCAGTTTTTGAGCACTCACAGTACTATACACACAGAAATAACCTATTTAGGGAAATACATACTCAAAATAATTCTCTGGTTCTTTTTCATTGTTTACAAAAGAACAGTCTCTTATTTTAAAAAAGGGAGTGAGGAGGATGAGGGAGAGGAGATGAAGAGGAAGAAGAAAAACTAAAACTTTAGGCCAGGCGCGGTGGCTCACACCTGTAATCCCAGCACTTTGGGAGGTCAAATTGGGTGGATCACGAGGTCAGGAGTTCAAGACCAGCCTGGCCAAGATGCTGAAACCCTGTCTCCACTAAAAATACAAAAATTAGCCGGGTGTGGTGGCAGGCACCTGTAATCCCAGCTACTTGGGTGGCTGAGGCAGAGAATTGCTTGAAGCCAGAGGCAGAGGTTGCAATGAGCCAAGATCACGCCACTGCACTCCAGCCTGGGCAAGAGGGCAAGACTCTCTCTCAAAAAAGCAAACAAACAAATAAACAAAAAAACTAAAACTTTAAATCTGTGTCCACAAAAAGCAATAGTTTTAAGTGCCAGTTTTATTGTTTATTCAATGAATAAATATTTCAGCTTTATCTTCTGCCCTCTTTCTGTATTTTTATTTAGAACAGTATTTCCCAGAATGTGTTTCATGACAGCTATGCAAAAGGGTGGCTTAGTCAAGTCAATTGATTTTGGGAAACATATATCCTACCCTCTTCCAGCCTTAGAGAGGCAAGATGCAGATTAGAAAATCAAGGGCTCAAAAAATGCTTGCAGTAAACAATAAACTTGTTTAATCCAAGTTTAATTTGGACCCCAAAAATAATTTGTTCACAACATCCTTTTTCCAATAAACAAAGTAACTAACATTTATAAAATATCAAAATTTAAGAAAATAGACTACAAAAAGAAATTACATAAAACAAATATGTTCATAAGAACTAGGTTTAGTTTTGTTTCTTCTAGACCTGTTCTTGACAGTTGCACCAGAATGCAACCAATAAGCAGATAAACGTACACTGTACTATTCAGAAAATGTAATATGAAATCTGGATTCACTTGCAAACTCAATGCTTAAGTACACTCAATCCCAAGAGTGGTTTCCAAGAAAGCCATGAAAAAAAACACAGTGAAAATCCATTTTAAATAGAAGAGTTGGCATTCAATAGGAGTAGTTAAACATGGACCACCATATGTGTTAAGATGCTTCAAAGGATTTAAAGGCAAAACGGAAATAAAATCAGGAAAAATTATTGGAAACATTATATTCAACTCCCCAAATTAGTAAATAATCTGATAGTTTGACTTTCTCTTTATTAAGGAATCATAACACTTTCTGATTCAAAATATAAGAAATAATTTTTAAAACTTTCCTAAAAACAAATATAAGAAACTGGCATTTACAATTTTCAACATCTACTCTCTAGTTATTGAAACCTTGCCTAACTGTCTATACTTTAAAGATAAAGACTGGCACTCAGGGTCAATAAAACTTACTATTTCTTTATGAATACTATTAACTGTAAATGTGGTTGAAGGGCTGTTTTTCAACATCAGATGAGTGATTCTCTAGACTTTGCAATTCAGTAAGCAACAGTAATAATTTTTGATATAGATCTAATATACTAGATGTTAATATAACATCAAATCTATCTTTGCTCTCTTTAACCTAAAAACAAAACAGTTCTTAGCTTTAAAAAAGTTCATAAAATATGTCTATTGTTGAAAATTTTAAATATGAATAGGACAAAATAAGAAATTTTAGATTATCTGCAATCTCTTCAGCCAGAAATAAGATTTTTTAAAACATTTGTGAGGGCCATTTATTAGGCACATGTGCCAGGCATTGCCAAAAACTCTTTCTTTGCTTTTCATCCGATTTAATCCTTTCAACTACCTGTAAATCTGTAAAGGAATCTCTTCAAAGAAAACTTAAGGCACTGAGAGATTAGGTATCTTGACTAAAGTCACACACCTAGTAAGGAGAAAGCAACAATTGGAATCTTTCTGTGGAGATGATTTCTACTCACATGTATATGAATGCATGAGTGTAATTTTTAATGAATATTCAACTACAGTATGCATTCTGTTTTGTAATCAGCTTTCATCACTGACATCTAACCATAAATATCTTCAGGAGCAACTAAAAAATAATCTTTTATTCCAAATTCTTGATTTGCTCTATCAAGCTATTCATTATAAATATTTAATATCTTGCTATTTTTTCTACAACTTTAAGCAATGCTGCAATATACCTCTGCCACTTGATATTGTATGACCTTGGGTAGTCAGCTAACCTGTCTCCTCAAAGCCCTAGGAAAACTGGGTATTACTCTCTTTTTTCTACGAACTTTTCCAGTTTAATAAACCAAAAAAAAAAAGGTATTTTTGTGCAAAACTGCATGTTTAGTTTCTAGTGAAAATCATTTTTCATACACTTCAAACCATTTCTTTTTCTTTTCGTATATTCCTGTCCCTTTATTCATTATATTAACATGTTTGCTTTTTTGAGTTGTAAAAATTCTTTGTGTTTTTTAAAGATAGTACCATTTATGCTGCAAATAATTTTATCCAATAATGTTTAGTCATTAATGTTTAGTTTCAGATAAAAAGAAAAGACTGGTTAATAGAACGGTAAAGTGGAAAATAAAAAAGAGGCCTGGTGCTGTGGCCCATGCCTGTAATCCCAGAACTTTGGGAGGCCAGTGGGGAGGAAACGCTTGATGCCAGGAGCTCAAAACCAGCCAGGGCAACAAAGTGAAACCAATCCATCTCTACAAAAAATAAGAGCAAAAGAGAATGTATAGGTTAATGTTGTCAATGGTGACTCTTTTTTTAAACCTTTATTTTGGAAGTACAGAAAGGCTGCAAAGATATTACAGACAGTATGAGGTCTTTCCTTCCTTGAATCAGGTTGTACCAATGTTTTCACATTAAAAATTATGAAAGCTGGGGAGAAATGACTAGATACCAAAGAAAAGCTGGGAGGGAAGAAACCTAAGTCAGCCCCACAATAGGCAGTGAAGCATCACAGGTAATAGCTTTAGTTCTGGTGCCAGGTAACCTGGATTCAAATCCCAGTTCTTCCTCCTTGAACAAGTTAGGTCACCTCTCCATGCTACTATTATTACATATACAGACAGCATCATATTACAGTTTCCTCATCTGTAACATGATAATAGCAATAACAGTAGTAGCATCTACCTCATTAGGTTCTTCTGAGGATTAAATTAATAAATGTAATTACAAATATTGACACAGAACAAGCAGTCATCAAATGACTTTTATCTCTAGTTAACTGAGTTCTTCAAAGATTTAAACATTTAGGCTTTATAACTTACCAGGAACTATCCTAATAATCCCTACAATGCACCAAAAGAAAAAAAAAAAAAGAAAAAAGCTTACATGCTTTTTAAAGTTTTAAAGTTAAAACTTCTGATTTTTTATGGCATAATTTATTAAACCAAAAGTATTAAATATACACATCCAACTAACATTCCACTTTTTGTTGCTTTTGTAAACCCATTCTCATCCCTCTTAGTCATTCTCCTTACAGTGATAAACATCCAACTTATATATAATTTCATAGAATTATATAACAATGACCTCATAGTTTATCAGAATCATAATTCACTCTGCAAGGACAACCATGAAATATGGAAGGAATAGTTTCATAAACCTGACAAGCTTTCTTCTATGATCTTTTGCCAGAAAAAAAAAAGATACTGTTACATACAGACAGCATAAGACTCCGACACCAACAACTCCTTATCAAGTGGTGACAGTTTACCTATCAACGCTTCCTTTCCCACTTTTCTGAAACCTAGCCCTCTATGACAAGCCAGCTACTTGTTTCTGGGATAAGCCAGAGTTGCTCCCACTACACATCATCTTTGCTCAAGCCATGCACCTGGGGTTTCTTCCAACCAATCCACATGGCACCTGATGGCTTAGATCTGCTCAGCCCTTGGTACCTCCAGCTCCTCCCTGAAACCTCCCCTCAGGCCCAATCACTGTGATCCTTACTAATACCTCTTAAACATATATTTTCTATACCTGCACTATCTAACATGGTAGCCACTAAACACATTGGCTATGGAATGCTTGACATGCCACTGGTCCTGGTGAACATACGTCAGGATTTTGAAGAGCTGGTAAGAAAAGAGGAACGTAAATTATCTCAATAGGCTGTTATATAGATCACATGTTTTGGCAATGTTTTTGGCAAATGTTTTTGGTAATGTTTTTGGCAATGTTTTTGGCAATGTTTTGGCAATGTTTTTGGTAAATTATCTCAATACGCTGTTATATAGATCACATGTTTTGGCAATGTTTTTGGCAAATGGCAATGTTTTGGGGTGTACTGGTTAAATAACATTTATTTTATCCATTTCATTTTACCTTTTATAGTGTGGCTCCTAGAAAATTAAAAATTACACAGGTGGCTTGCATTATGTTCTATCCGACAGCAAGCACTGATATAACTTGTATTTTGACAACTGTATTAGGCAAACTGAGTCCTCAGCACTACTTTCTGAATAGTATTACTACAATAAAGCGGGAAAAAAAAACAGGCCAGATGCAGTGGCTCACGGCTGTAATCCCAGCATTTTGGGAAGCTGAGGCGGGCAGATCACTTGAGCCTAGGAGTTCGAGACCAGCCTGGGCAACATGGTGAAATCCTGTCTATACCAAAAACTACCCAGGTGTACTGGTGCATGCCTGCAGTTCCAGCTTCTTGGGAGGCTGAGGTGGGAGAATCACCTGAGCCTAGGGAGGTAGAGGCTGCAGTGAGCCATGATCATACCTCTTCACTCCAGCCTGGGCAAGGGGATGACACACTGTCTCAAAAAAAAAAAAAAAAAAAAAAAAAACAGGAAGAAAGAAAAAAATTAAGAAGCAAGTTGTTTAATAAGCAAAAACATCAATGGAGTATGATCAAAAGTACTTAAAAGGTTAGAGCTATGCTTTCTCTATAATTCCTAGACCCATCAAAGATGTTACAAGGCAGCTTCTTGCAACAGCAATGCTGTTACTTATAATTTCTGGAAAAAATCCATTATCTTGAAAAGATAATAACATCCCAAAACCTAGCCAGGCTACAAGTACATGGGTAATACATATCACAGTTCAACAGAGTAAACATGTGATGAGAACGAATGACTGCAAAGTACCTAAAATGATTAAAAATAAATAAACTGAACTGAGACCATTTGAAAGAACTGAAACAGATGAAGGATAGCTTCATAGCTCATAACCTAGCTTTAGTCAAATCAAAATAAAGTCAAGTAAGTTTGTACTGAGTTCCTACACGCAATACCACAGAAAGGACAGGAACAAATGGAACTGAAGAATTACACAGAAATACAAGAAGAGCACATCTAAACGTCTGTTACTAAGGGACTAGATCAAATGCAGTACAATGGAATACTATCCACCAACTAAGATAAATGAACCAGATTAATGTCAATATGAAGAGACCTCAAAAAATACAGTAAGACTAAGGTAAGTTGCAGAATGATATGTGAAGGATGACAGTATTCGGATGAACTTTAATAACACAAAACTGTTTATGCAGCTATACAGAGAGTAAAGGAATTAAAAACATGGATTGGAAGGACACCACCAAATTTTCAATAGTGATTTGCTCCAGGTTAAAGGGAGGACTCTGAGACTAAAGAAGGAAAAGAGTTCTTTACACGGTTTCACTGTTCCTATGTCAGACATATACACATAGACAGGAAAAAAGAATATGAGAAAAAGAGATTATAAAAAGACCAGTGGGCACCTGGCTACTGTAAAATAACGTCTCTGAACAAACTGACTATACACATCTGGAGTCACTCTGTTCTCACAGCCCCACATGACAACCCAATGCCATATTCTTGCCTGTTACTGCAAGTTACAATTTATAGACTCTACACTTCTCCATGGCAATATGATCTGTCAAAAAGGCAGGCATTTGCTCAGAGTCAGAGAAAACATTTTTCCTCAAAAGCACACTGCCCATTCAAAAAACGCCAGAAACACCTATTCCATCCAGCTCCCCAGTAAGTATCAACTTTAAAGCAACCATGTAACATTTGATCCAGCTCTTACCCAGAGCCTTAAGTGTATATCCCTGCAGCTGTTAAAAAAAAAGAAAAAATTACATTTGACCCAAGTTCTCAGTCAAAATAAACTACATTATATCACATGGTATTACAAATCCTCCTTTTATTAATTGACCAGTTATGGGCCCGGTGGAATATTTGCTGTGAGAAAATATATTCTCCTTGAATATATCATAAGATTGATAAAATAAACATTCCAAATAAAGATTTTTATGTGCTTCTCACTTTTATGAGTTTCCATCTATTGTGTGAGTTTCCACAGACCTTTGGAACCCAAATTAGGGAAGACTAAGACCTAAACCAAAAACAAAATTAGAGGAAATTTATTGCAGAAAAGAAAAAAACAAAGTTTTTTTCGTTTTTTTGGTTTTTTTTGGTGGTGGTAGTGGTGGTTGTTAAAGAGACGTGGTCTCACTGTATTGCCCAGTCTGGAGTGCAGTAGCTATGCAGAGGAGCGATCATCATATGATACAGCCTGGAACTCCTGAGCTCAAGTGATTTTCAGTCTCCCAAGTAATTGAGACTACAGGTGCATGCCACCAAGCCCAGCAACAAATTTCTTCTTAATCCTTAAAATTACTCAAGGAAGTTTATTAATGTTTAAAAATATGAAGGTTTTTAGTGAGATAAGCTCAATTCACAAATTATATTTGTTTTTCTTGAATACTTGGAGCCATTCTAACACAATGCTTAGGAGCACAAGTTTTAGAACCAGAGTCCCTGGATTACCCCACTAGTTCTTCCACATACCATCTGTGTCAGCCCTGACAAATCACCGCACTTTCAAAGCCTCTTCTGAAAAATGGAAATAATGTGTCCAACACATAATACAGGTGAAATGTTTAACGCAGGGCCTGGCACACAGAAACTATCCAATAAATATTTGTTACTCATACTATTTATAAGAGAGAAGATTTTTTAAAAAACCATTGCATTCTATAATTTAAACTGAAAAGAAAATTTTTAAAGGCTTTTTTAGAATTATATGTTAAAACATATATTTTTATTTCTTTGACATTTACATTTATTTTGTTTATGTATTTTTATTTTTATATATTAGCAATAAACGTTCTTGGTTTACCCATTCATACCCAATTTTTGAAAAATTTCATATAAAAAAAAAAAAACCATGAAGTATTCTGGTAAGTCAACCCTTCCCCCACAGCAGCTGTTGTGTGAAACTGACTCATGAAATGTAGACATAGAAATGAAATATTTGATCATCTGGTCCCATCCACTTGCCAATGTACTAGTAGGATTCTTTCATCTTATAATTTATTTTCAAATACTCCAAATAAATTGCTTATTGGTTTTGTCAGAAATCAACCGAGGTTTAACATACACAAGAAAAATGTTCCTCATTTTGACAAAGCTATAAATCCATTAACTTCTGACGACAACAAAAAGGGAAGAAAGAATAAAGACATTTTCAACATTTTTAATGTTCTGAGTGACATTAGGGTACTTCTTACTTTCAAAGTCAAAAATAAATAAATACCCAAATTAAATCATTTTTTCAATTGTTCTAGATAACATTATTTAAATAAAGATAAAATTGCTATTCCTACAATCTTAGATGTACACAACGTAGAAAAGACATTTGGTCACACACACTCAGAAGGTACAGGGGAATTTGCTTTGTCTTTCATTCTGCACATATGCCCCCAACAACAGTGATACACTGAGATACTTCTCTTATGTTACAGATGGGTGAGGTTTTCTGGATCCCATTTGTTTGTTGAGCCTGTCTCTCCACTTAATATAAATTATTTATAACTGAAGTAAATGTAAAACTGGTTAAAATTATCTTTAATAATGGCCACTAACCACATAAAAATATGTTCAGCCTCACTCAGAATCAAAGAAATGTTATCTAAAGACTGATAAAATTTTTCACTTCTCAGATTGGCAAAAGTGGTAAAGTTTAATGAAAATCCATCGCTGGCATGGACTTTTTATACACTGTTGGTGGAAATATAAACTGGTACAGGCTTCTCAATGAGCCATTTGGCAATATCTACCAAAATGTTAAAAAATATATATAAATATATATATATACACACTTAGTCTCCATAATTCCACTACCAGGGACCTAAGCTATGCATCTACTCACAAAAAGCATCTACAAACACACATACACATACACACAATGATATTCACCACAGCACTATGTGTAAGGGGACATGGAATCCAGAAACAAGCTAAATGTTCATCCTTCGGGACTGCTAAGATAAATAATGAGGTATCCAGGGGAATACTGTGCTGCTGGACAGAATGAGGCTGACCTTTGAATCATCTCGTGGAAATATTTAAAAGGAAAGGCAAGAACTATGTGTATGAAACGACTGCCCAGTCTGGGCATTTGTTTAACTTACAAAATATATCTAAATATCCCGATAGGATTATAAAAATTTTTATTCAAGTATATAAAAAGGAATTAGGAAATTTGGAACAGTGGTATACAGGAGGAAGACTTTCTCTTATGTTGTTTTAGATTGGGTTGCAAAGCGTTTGTATTTTTTATTTTAAAAAAGTACTTTTAGGCCAGGCGCAGCATCTCATGCCTATAATACCAGCACTTTGGGAGGCTGAGGTGGGTGGATCACTTGAACTCAACCCCGTCTCTACTGAAAATACAAAAATTAGCCAGCCGTGGTGGCAGGCGCCTCCAGTCCCAGCTCTTCAGAAGGCCGAGGCAGGAGAATCACTTGAACCAAGGAGGCAGAGGTTGCAGTGAGCTGAGATCGCGCCACTACACTCCAGCCTGGGCGACAGAGTGAGACTCCGTCTCAAAAAAAAAAAATTTTTTTTTTTTTCCAGAAAAAAATTTTTGGCTTACCAAGATTCAACATCATTGCTTATACGATCTTTCATGAAACATTAAATTGGTGTTATCAATGTTAAATTCTGTCCTCCCAGGCCCTATCTGCTAAATAACAGGCTGGTCTTGTTAATTTCATTTCCTATTTCTTTGTCTACTAGAGAGTTGTCACTGAGAACCTTTCCTCATCTTGATCCCCCGGTAATTAGAACAGTCTTCTACATTACCTTGGTTATCCACTTCTCTATTTTCGCAGCCCATGGCAAATCCTGAATTCTCTGATACTTGTAACATTTAAAGCTGTCACATGCAACCTAACATTTGGCAATTACAAAGAGACATCCCAAAAAATATCTTTTAAGAAACAGTAATATCATTGGAATTAATATATACCTTCCAATAACAATTGCTTTTAAAAGAGAAAGGTAAGTTCAGGTTCATTTGCTGTTTATTTGCTTGATTCCCAGGAGGGGAAGAGTAATTTTTTAATATTATACCTCCCATTTTCAAACTTTCTTGAATAAATATATGTAAATGTAAAAACAAATGGCTATACTAAATTACTGAATCTATACTAACCATATTTAACTACACTAAAACTATTTCTACCCAAAATGGAAAATTATCTCCTAATAGTATAAAACGTTGAGAACATCAAGCTAAACATGATAATGAATGAATCTGAGAAAATACCTCTGTCAACTTTCAAAACTTTATTCTGCAACATGCTATCTTGGTCAAGACAATTTATCACTCATAGCAGTAATGAAAAAGACCATTTAGCACTCCATTAAATCTAACATTCTTGAAAAGGTACTCATAATGGTGAAATGGTATAACTCAAATTCTAAGCATGAGCCTCCATTTCCCTTTCAAAATGTATCTCTTAGCACACAATTCCTGTTTACTGGATGTCTTTCTTCCTGTTCCATGACTCCACCCCTAATAGGACAAAACTAAAAACCTGAAGGAATCTACTTTTAGCACAGACATTCATTGAGGTATTTTCCATTTAATAAACAGGATGCAAAAGTTGTTTATGCTTGACAAAAATCTGTCCTCTTTGTTCACTGTCCACTTACTAACACTGAACAATGGGAAATCTCTTAACAAACCACATTTAACAAAAGATAACTTTAGAATAATTTTGAGCTTAATATCCCCGTAATAATTATATTTCAGGATTTAAAATTACCAAAACAACCTTTAAGGAAAAAAATTTAAAGTGCTACATTTTTTTTTTTAATTTCACCAGTATCACACTCCATGTATTTCAGAACATGCTGTATATATGACAGGTAAAGGAAATATTGCTCAAAATGCCTAAGGTTTTCATTTTTTCATTCTATGCTTTAAATGTGTGTCTTACATTATATAGGATGTCCTTCTCAAAGCCTTAATTATTACAGAAATATGATCTGAAATGAGATTGAAGAAACTGTATAGAAGAGGCTACTGGGGAAGCAACAATCCTTTTAATGGAAACACTTAATGGAGTCTGTCATTTGACTCGTGCATACCAAGTTTCTTTCACCCTTTTCCACACTGCTTCCTCATTGCACTTCCATGCTATTGTATGAATTCTTCACCTATGGGTACTGCTTTCACTGGACTGTGAGTTCCCTGCACTATGCCTTACCAATCTCTGCATCCCAAAGTACTTGGCAACACAGTGCCATACACACACGGTAGGTGTGCTCAAAAATATCTGGCATGTGACCAAGGGCCTCAAGTGTGCAAATGTGCCCTTCCTAGAGCTTTACACCATTATGACTTATGCCATATTCACCCATTCACTGAAAATGTTACCTAGTCAGATGCACCAAGTTGCCTGAGACTCTATTTCATGGAAAATTTACATCATCCTTCTGCTTTACCTATTTCAATTCGTTACTGTCCCCAGAAATTTCCTTCACGTGGTAGTTAAGTTGGGTATCCTTTCAGTGCCTATAAACTATAATTTAGGAGTACATGATTGGTATCCTTGCTCTGTAATTTTTGGTTCAAATGGTGTCAGAGAAGAGTTTTATGCTCCAGTGAGGTAAACAAGTAGACAAAAATATGCTTTAAGATTATTACACATTTCCTAATTCTTTCAATCACCCAAACTCAATATATAATTTCAAAATTATCTTGTCTACATCATTTTTTTAAAAAACATTCCCCAATGTAGAAATCATATTCTTTCACATGGATCTTTGTACTTCCCAAATGAGTCAATTAACCTACCACAAGAGATCATTTCACTTATTTAGTACCATCTATTTACTCAAGCCAAAGAGATATGAACACAGTAGAATTCTCTTAAAATTTGGCCTACATCCTAAGGTCTGAAATTACTCTTACCTCTCCCTACACCTGCTTAAATTTCAAAAGCTGAAAGAGATAAGGCTTTATTCAATGTGGCAGTGAAAACTATTACCAAACCAAATGCATCAGTATTAGTAACTTTAGCTGGATAACTTGGAAACACTAAAATATGAGCTTTATACTTTTCTACTTTCTATCAAAAAGGAAAAATAGTCTATATCAGTGCTTTTAGATGTTTTAGGTATAGATACCCATCTTATATGCATATGTGTGTGTGTTTGTGTGTCTCCATCCATTTCAAATCAGAGCTCCTTTCAGCAACGTAGGGGTGGTATAAAACTGGTACCAATGTAAAATCTCTATGGAGATACCTCTCATCCCAATACTTTCTTAGAGAAAGCTTGTGTCTCAGGCCACATGATGTGGTAAAATTAAACCATATTCATTAACATTATACTAATTAGTAATTCAGTCTGTGCGAAAGTCAATTATACCATGAAAATTAATAATGCAATAAAATCTTATGTGGACACATTTCTCCCACTCAAGAAAAGAATTTAAAAACCCTAGCTAGCACATTAGTTGAAAGCTAATTACAAATCACTAATTTTTTAACTCATTAAATCAATTCAAACAGGATAAAGAAATGTTTTTAAAGAATTACAGTTACTCTTTGTGCTTATAGGTAATTAGTTGCATGTATTTTTAATTTTTAAAACACTCTACCATGTAAGCATTTCAGAAATTTAACCTCCCTTCCCAGTAAGTTTAAATCTTTGCAGGTTTTTTTTTTTTTTTTTGCATTTATTTTTCACAAACTCATTCTCATTTCCTAGAATGATACCTCAGGTATAAATACCTAAAAAGGTGTGTTCTTTATTCTCTCTCACATACAAAAGAAGTGCAAAATAACCCCAGTATTAAAGATGCTACTATGGTTACATGTTATGGATTAAACTGTATTCCCCTAAAATTCATATACTGAAGCCCTAATCTCATGTGATAGTACTTGGAGATGGAGGCCTCTGGGAGGTAATCAAGGTTGGATGAGATCATAAGGGAGGGGCCCTGGTCCAGTTGGACTGGTGTTCTTATACAAGAGGAGAGACACAGAGCACCTGCTCTCCCTCTCCCTCTGCTCCTCCTACATTTCCCCTCCTATGAGCTGAGGAAAGGCTGTGTGAGGACACAGCAGGAAAGCAGTCTGCAGGCCAGGAGTAGGCCTTCACCAGAAAATGATACAGGCCAGAACCTTAATCTTGGACTTCTGGCCTCCAGGACTGTGAGAAAATAAATTTATGTTGTTTAAGCCACCCTGTCTATGGTATTTGGTTATGGCAGCCCAAATGGACTAATACAGTAAACTTCTTAAACCAAGGTAAGTTTCAAAAGAACTTTAAATGTAATCAAATGAATTTATAGGCCCACTGAACAGAGCCAAAATACAGTTACTACCAACCCCCCCACCTTTTCTGTTTACAAATAACCTATGATGATTATAAATTTACCTTCTTACACAGTTTTAGCACTAGCAACCAATGGCCATTAAGGACAGGAAGCCTAGGATCAAGGATGGCACTTTTCACAGTGGTCAGGAATACAGGCTTCAGGGAACAGTAGCCAGTTCAGGTGCAGGCTCTATTTTTTTAATGTCTATACATTTCCAAAAATTATTCCTTAAGGAAGGTTACCAAACTTTCTCATGACTTCATAAAATTATATTATATTCAAGTTCAGTTGAAAGAAAATAATGTATACTTCAAACACCAGAAACTATTATTAGAGTAAAATATATAATTATAGAAAACAGAACTGAAATTTACATTTCAATTCAATTCAACATATTCAACATTAAACACTTCTAGCATGTCAAGCAGTGTGCTAGGCATTCACATTGTTTAGAGAAAATAAAGACATTTACCTATACATAGATGTCAAATATGAGTTAAAAAGCATAGTAGCCTGAAATCCCTACCCAGTGAAGTCCAAACTACAGTACTTACTGGACATCTCCTCTTTGTATTACAAATAAGCATCCCAAACTCTCCTTGTTCTAAAGCTAAACTCCTAATCACTACCACCACCAGCAACACCCACTGTTCACCCTCTTAATCAAACCTGGTCTTCCTGAAGTCCTTTTCTCCAATAATTAACATCCCCAGCCATCCAGAAACTTTCAAGTCATCCTTAAGTCCTCTTTCTTTCACACCCAAATCTAATACGAATAATGACTCTGCTACTAATACAATTAATTTGGAGAACTGTGCCAAGTGAAAAAGTGGCGTTTAATAAAGTAACTTGTATCCATAACATATAATGAAACTCTCACAACTCAAGGAAAAACAACC
Source organism: Homo sapiens (assembly GCF_000001405.40). Lineage (NCBI taxonomy): Eukaryota > Metazoa > Chordata > Mammalia > Primates > Hominidae > Homo > Homo sapiens. Next base: position 159,136,161 of record NC_000004.12, on the reverse strand, counting down.
ATATTTTTTAAAATGCTAAATGCAATATCGTACACCTGGACTGGATCCTGGAGAAAAAGAAAACATTAGTGGAAAATCTGGCAAAATCCAAATAAAATCTGCAGTTAATGGTATTGATTCAATATTAATGTCTTACTTTTGACAAATGTACTTAAATTATTAACAGCAGGAGAATCTGAGTGTCAGGTATACATATGGAAACTCTCTGTACTATTTTGGCAATTTTTCTGTAAATCTAAATTTATTTCAAAACAAGGAATTAAGGCCAGGCACAGTGGCTCACGCCTGTAATCCCAGCACTTTGGGAGGCCGAGGCGGGCAGATTACCTGAGGTCGAGAGTTTGAGATCAGCCTAGCCAACATGGTGAAACCCCATCTCTCTAAAAATACAAAAATTGGCCAGGCATAGTGGTGGGCACCTGTAATCCCAGCTACTCAGGAGGCTGAGGCTGGAAAATCGCTTGAACCCGGGAGGCAGAGGTTGCAGTGAGCCGAGATCATGCCATTGCACTCTAGCCTGGGTGAAAAGAGCAAAACTCCGTCTCAAAAAAAGAAAAGAAAGAAATTAAAATGGGGACAAAATATTTGAAAAGATCTTCACCAAAGATATATGGATAGTAAGTAAATATATGAAAGGTTTTCACTGTTAATGATTAAAGGAAATGCAATCTTGTACATGAATGTTTATAACAGCATCATTCATAAGAGCCAAAAGGTAGAAACAATCCAAATGTTCATCAACTGATGAATGAATACACAAAACATAGTATTATCTATATAATGGAATATTACTTGGCCATAAAAAGAAATGAACTGGGCCAGGCGCAATGACTTACGCCTGTAATCCCAGCACTTTGGGAGGCTGAGGTGGGCGGACTGCTTGAGCCCAGAAGTTCGAGACGAGCTTGGGCAACATGGTGAAACACCATCTCTACAAAAAAAATATAAAAATTAGCTGGGCATGGTGGCACACACCTATAGTACCAGCTACTCAGGAGGCTGAAACAGGAGAATCACTTGAGCCTGGAAGATCAAGGCTGCAGTGAGCCATAATCACACCACTGCACTCCAGCCTGGGCAACGGAGTGAGACTCCTGTCTCAAAAACAAAAGGAAAAAAAATTAAAGAAATGAACTGCTGATACATGCTACAACATGGATGAATCTTGAAAACATTATGCTAAATGAAAGAAGCCAGTCCCAAAGACCACATATAAACTATTTACATGAAATGTCCAGAATAGGAAAACACATAGACAGACAGTAAACTGGTAGTTGCTTAGGACAGAAGGGATAGAGGATGAGGGTACAGGAATTTTCTTTTTGAGGTTGATAAAATGTCCTAAAGTTGACTCTGGTGATGGCTGCATATATCTAGGAATTTACTAAAAACCACTGATTATATACTTTAAATGGGTGAATTGTATGGTATGTGAATTATATCTCAATAAAGTTGTTTCTAAATTACAGAATTAAATACCATCACATGCCCATAAGATGACTTACAAAATAAAACTGACACGTGTAAGTGCTGACGAGGATGCAGAACTGAAACTTTTGTACATTGCTGGCAGAAATAAAATACAATATAGCTGCTTTGGGAAGGAGTTTGTTAGTTTTTCAAAAAGTTAAACATACACTTATCATATATCCTAACAATCTCACATTTAAGTATCTATCAAGAAGGGGAAAACATGTGTCCATATTAATATGTGAACATTTATAGCAGCTTCATTCATCACTGCCAAAAACTAGAGGCAACCTAAATATTCATCACTTGGAGAAAGAATAAACAAATTTCAGTACATCCATACAATGAAATACTATTCAGCAATAAAAAGAAGCAAACCATTGATACATACAACACTATGGCTGAATCTCAAAAGCTTGTGCTTAGTGAAAAAAGTCATGCAAAAAAGACTGTACACTATATGACTCCATGTACAGTACAAGACATTCTTAAAAAGGCAAAACTATAAGGATAGAAATCAGATCACTGGTTGCCAGAGACAGGCTAGACGGAGAGGACTGCCTACAAAAAGGCACAAAGGCACAAGGGACCTTTTCTGGGCAATGAAAATGTCTTAATTTTGATTGCAGTTGCAGTGGTGACATGACTGTATACAAATTAAAACTCACAGAATTGCCAGGCGTGGTGGCTCACACCTGTAATCCTGGCACTTTGGGAGGTCCAGGCGGGTGGATCACTTGAGGTCAGGAGTTCAAGACCAGCCTGGCCAACATGGTGAAACCCCATCACTATTAAAAATACAAAAAATTGGCCAGGCGCGGTGGCTCACGCCTGTAATCCCAGGACTTTGGGAGGCCGAGGCGGGCGGATCACAAGGTCAGGAGATCGAGACCATCCTGGCTAACACGGTGAAACCCCGTCTCTACTAAAAATACAAAAAATTAGCTGGGCGTGGTGGCAGGCACCTGTAGTCCCAGCTACTCGGGAGGCTGAGGCAGGAGAATGGCATGAACCCGGGAGGTGGAGCTTGCAGTGAGCCGAGATCATGCCACTGCACTCCAGCATGGGTGACAGAGCCAGACTCCGAAAAATAAATAAATAATATACAAAAAAGTAGCCACGCGTGGTGGCAGGCGCCCGTAATCCCAGCTACTCGGGAGGCTGAGGCAGGAGAACTGCTTGAACCTGGGAGGTGGAGGGTGCAGTGAGCTGAGATCGCACCACTACACTCCAGCCTGGGAACAAGAGCAAAACTCTGAAAAAAAAAAAAAATTCATACAACTTTACACTTAAAAAGGTTAATCTTACCATATATATTACAAGTTTATATTTTAAAAATAAAGGAAAAGAAATGCACTAATACAATGCTAGTAGTCCTGTAAGCCACTTCTACAACAACAAGCAAAATTAGAAATGCAAGCACACTTTGGCCCAGCAGAAATTTTGCAGGTCAGGTATGTGAGGGGTATTCATTGCAGCCCTGTGATATTCTGTAATGGTTAATCACACACACAGGAGCTCTTCATGTACTGATATGGAAAGATCAGTATACATCTTTCCAAACTATACTTTACATTAAATAAATAAAAGGGCAGATATGTATGTAGATATAACTTGAGAAGAAGAAAAATATGTTTTTATGGATCTGTGTATGAATTTTTTTAATTTTTGGGAAGAATAAACAAGCAATGAAAATCACTCACTACCAGAAGGGAACTGGGAGTTAGGCAGGTGTGGGAGAGGAAAGTAAGACTGCACTGTATAACTTTTTATACTTTTTGACATGTGAACTATGCAAAAAAAAAAAAACTAAGTATATAATATTTAAAATATTAATTTAGGTACAAGTTATAAACATTTCTAGAACACTAAAAACATTCCAGAAAGAAAAAACATTATCATATACACTTAAAACGCACATAACTTTCAACTACCAAAAGAAAATGAGCAATCAACGTAAAAGACTGTATTTAACCTTTCTTTCTGACCCACCACCCACAAAAATGAAGAAAATAAGGAGTGTGAGAAATAGACAACAAAGAATGGTTTGGAAGAAAAAGCTATAATTTAGAAAAAGGAGGCATAAATGAGAAAAGTCAGATTTTAAAAAGCCAACAACTTGCCACGCCTTTAAAAACCATCTACCTCTTTCTGTCCTGGAGTACGGTGCTCATCTATCCCTAAAGGAGAGACAGCCCTTTCTATGTCTTGTAAGGACCAAAGAGAAACAAACAAGACTCCTTGCCACAGACACAAGGAGACACTGTCCTCTACAACCAAAGGACTCAAAAACATCATTTAAACACAGATACACACACCCATCACAACCATAGGATCTGGATGGATTATTTTAGAATTTCGGAAGAACTTAAGTCTCCTTGAGAGCCCACATTCCAAAATCTAGCAAAGTAACTCTTTCATTCTGCAGTTGAGACTGTGAAGTACGATCATAAAATGGTGTTAGAGCTAGATAACCTGAAGATAACGTACTTCTGTGCAAGACACAGGCTTATGAATATATCTGAATAAATGTTTCTCAATTCTTGATAAATTCTAGACCAACTAGCCCCTCTCTAAATAGTGTGGTCCAATAACAAAGTTCACCCTCAAGCTAAGACATTATCCTAATGGCAACAGTTAGATAAGCAAAAACACCGGGAATATTTTACTCTCCAACTTGATAGTTTCAAACAATATACCCATTAAAATCTGGACTTTTGTTGCAAGTATCCAGATTTGAATCTGGATCCTCTTGGTAAGGAGACTGTAACTTCCCACACATTTCCTCTGGCTTTTTCAGTTAGCATAGAGAACCAAAGTTCCCACCTATGGCCCTACAAAGAAAGGCTAAGTATTAACAAAGTAATTCTATGTTAAAACTTCTTAAGGAATGGAAATATCGAGTATGCCAAGTCTTTGTTTCTGACAAACAAGGAGATGCCGGGCTGTAGGACTGCTGAGAAAACCCGATAACTTTCCCAAGTACACAACAACGCGAAAGACGTTAATCAAGCCCAAAGTTCTCTAGCCCAAGGTTCCCAAAGCCCAAAGAACTTTAACTGCACTTAGCACTTATATTTCTCTTCAACTAGTAAAAACTCCAAATAGTATAGCTGACTGAACAAAAACAACAACAGCAAAAGCTAAAAAAAAAAAAAAAAAAAAAAAAAAATAGCAATTAATCAGACAAAGATATCAAGATAATACATTTAAGTCTTTAACATAGTATCTGCTGACAAAATCAGCAATCAATCAATCTTAAACGTTATTAAAACCATGCGAGGCTGGGCGCGGTGGCTCATGCCTGTAATCCCAGCACTTTGGGAGGCCAAGATAGGCGGATCACCTGAGGTTGGGAGTTCGAGACCAGCCTGACCAACATGGAGAAACCCTGTCTCTACTAAAAATACACAATTAGCTGGGTGTGGTGGCATATGCCTGTAATCCCAGCTATTCAGGAAGATGAGGCAGCAGAATCGCTTGAACCTAGGAGGCGGAGGTTGCGGTGAGCCGAGATCGTGCCATTGCACTTCAGCCTGGGCAACAAGGGCGAAATTCTGTCTCTCTCTCTCTCTCTCTCTCTCTCTCTCTCTCACACACACACACACAAAACAACACGCGAAACTCTGTATTATTTTCAAATAAACCTGGAGAGTAAAACATGCTATTTAAAAAGGTAAAGTTAAAATAATAATAGCTGGCTGGGTGTGGCTGCGCCTGTAATCCCAGCACTTTGGGCAGATTGCTTGAGCCCGAAAGCTTGAGACCAGCCTGGGCAACATGGTGAAACCCCGTCTCTACAAAAAATACAAAAATTAGCCAGACGTGGTGGTGCCCGCCTATGGTCCCAGCTACTTGGGAGGCTGTGGTGGGAGGACACCTGAGCCTGAGAGGCGGAGGGTGCAGTGAGCCGAGATTGTGCCACTGCACTCCAGCCTAGGCAACAGAGCAACATCCTGTCCCAAAAAATAAAATAAAATAAAACAATAATAGATAACTTTTATTTAGAGTAATTTATTCGCTAAGCCTGGGTCTAAATTAAAAGAAGCCCTTCCAGTCCTACTCTACTAACTCTAATTGTTTAAAAATTTTTAATTTTAATAAAATTAGACTTTAGATCCGAAATTCATCTCTAAAATAAAAATGACCTAGCAGAGAAATTTGAATAAAGAAAAATGTGCATGCCTGTAGTTCTAGCTACTTGGGGGGCTGAGGTGGGAGGATCACTTGAGCTCAAGAATTTAACACTGCAGTGAGCTATAATCACACCACTGCAATTCCACCTAGGTGACAGGGCAAGACCCTGTTGTCAGAGGCATTTGAACCAGAGCCAACTCCATCTTAAATAGGGGCTGGGTAAAATAAGGCTGAGACCTACTGGACTGCATTCCCAGGAGGTTAGACATTCTTGGTCACAGGATGAGATAAGAGGTCACCACAAGATACAGGTCAAAAAGACCCTGCTGATAAGACAAGGTAAAGAAGCAGACAAAACCCACCAAAACCAAGATGACAACAAAAGTGACCTCTGGTAGTGCTCACTGTTCATTATTCATTAATTATAATGCATTAGATTGCTAAAAGACACTCCCACTAGCGCCATGACAGTTTACAAATGCCATGGCAATGTCTGGAAGTTTCCCTGTATGGTCTAAAATAGGGAGGAACACCTCAGTTCTGGGGAAAATCCCCACCCCTTTCCAGGAAAACTCATAAATAATTCACCCCTTGTTTAGTATATAATCAAGAAATAACCATAAAAACAGCCAGCCACCAGTCCTCAGGGCTGCTCTATGGAGTAGCCGTTCTTTTATTCCCATACTTTCTTAATAAACTTGCTTTCACTTTATTCTATGAACTCACCCCAAATTCTTTCTTGCCCAAGATCCAAGAACCCTCTTTTCAGGGTCCGGATTGGGACCCCTTTCCAGTAACACTGTCTCGAAAAAGAGAAAAACATCCTAACTAAATTAGAACTTCATTTTGTAAAAGTCTTTATTAACAACAACATAGACATTTACACCTGCTCTTATTATAGGGGGAGTAGAGTGGATAGAATAGGGACTTTGAAATCAGTTATTTGTTCTTAAGCAAATTACTTAATCCCTGCATCTCAGTTTCTTCATTGGTAAATTGATAATAGTACCTCATGCTTTATAAGGTTGATGTTAGAACTGAATAAACCATAAGAAAACATCTAGGTGACTTTCTGGCACATAACACACACTTTATAAATGACAACTGCTTTTCTATGTCTTTCCTGAACTGTTCTGAGATATGTGCTCCCTAAACATAAAATAAAGAACTGACACCATAACTGTAAGCATTATGTATTATTACACTGACAGGCAACCTGAAACCATCAGTGTGGCACTTTCAAAAGGTCTATATTATCAAAGTAACTCTTAAGAGATAACTAGAGGCATAATATAAAGATTCATTAATATTGCACCTTTCAATGGTGAGCATTTATAATATGAAAGCAATTCTAATTGCTTTTCAAATTCTTCAAAAAGAAAGCGATAAGATTTCTATTCAAGATTCTTATTCTTATTACATTTCTATGCAAGTTTCTGCCTCCATGTCTAAGATCACATAGCAGCATTCAAATTTAAATACAGAATGATGACAGATTTCAATAATCAAAAGACTGCATCCATTCATATCATACAATTACAAATCTTTTCTTCTACAAATATGTATTCCAAAAAATATACTTAAAATAGATTTATATATATATATATATACACACACACACACACACACACACCCCCCATATGTATATATATACACACACTCTTCACTTTCAAGAGTGGCAAAGTCTTTCCATATGTATGTATGTATGTCTGTTACACATATGGAAAGACTTTGCCACTCTTTAAAGTGAAGAACTTTTGGTTCAGCTTCTTTATTTAAATAAAATGATCAAAACTATTTAAGATACATTGGTGTAAAAGAGTTTTTACACAATGGTTCTTTGAAGTCTGAAAATGTTTTGGCAAAGAGAAAGCTCTTTACAAAACTCAACATGAAGCCTGTACTTCTAAAATAATCCATATAAGTATTAACCTGCATAACCAAATAATAATTTGAAAACATGGTTTTACTGCTTTGTATTCACCAAAAAGAGGGGTGAATAAACTACTAGCCAAATGTTAAGAATATTAAGAAGATCTTAGCCTATTATCTTTATAAATGACTCACAATTTCTACTGACACTAATATTTTTATTATGTCAGCAATAGTAATACTTTACATTCATGTAGACTTTTCCATTGCGAAGTACTTTCTCATATATTAAACTTACGTAACCCTGAAAATAGGTATGGAAAGCATTGTGTTCCATTTTACAGGTGAGAAAACTAAGATCCAATGAAAATTTCCAGGGTCACGTGGAGAGTAACTGGATACAACATCAGTCCCTCTCTTCCAGCTAGTCTTCCTCAGTAGAATTAGGCCCCAAAATGTACTATTAGATTGACAGTAATGTAAAAGTTAAGACATTATTAGTCTCAGTATTTTTTCTTCTTGGATTTTACTAGATGAAATAGAACGTACAATTTAAAGTATCTCCTAACAAAAGAAAGGTTATAAGGTACATGTATAAAACAGGGAGTTCAAAATTCAAGGAAAGCAAACATATATATACATACCTAAATATAATCCAAGGCAATAAACTGCAGTCCAGGGCATAGAGATTCATAACACCATGCCTAGAATTCAGGACTTTGCTTCTGACTTGCTTCTGTAACTTACACAAATCATGGTGACTAAGTAAAATTTGAATTGCTATCACCTAACCAGGCAATTTTCTAAGAATCAATTTTGACTGTCTTAAAATAATTTACAAGCCTGAACAATGTTGTATTCAAATAATAAAAATAACTGCCTATGAATTAAATTTTAAAAACTGCACCAAACTGAGCTATATACCCCATTAGTATTCTTATTCTATTACTATGAGAATGTCAAACACACTTCATATTATACATTTGAATATTTAAGGAATGCTAAGGTATTATAAAACGCCATGGAGACATAAAGGTCATAAAGGTAGTTTAACCTTTGAGGAATTCTGCAGTTTAAAAATGAGATATGTACACTTAATAATTACGAAATTATGCATTGCCAAGGAATGCCCAGAAGAAACGCAAGCTAAAAACAGTGACAGCATAAAGAAAAATTCAACCTCTAGACTAAGCAACTAGAAGATGCTTCATGAAGGGGGGAACATGGCATTAAATGAGTTACTACCACAGGTAAAAAGGGAGGAAATCAAAAGGTGTGTTTTTTGTGGGGTACTGATAAAGCCCTGAGAATGGTGGCAGTGAGAAGGTAAATAGTATCATAAAACACAAATAAATAGGCCAGGTGCGGTGGTTCACACCTGTAATCCCAGCACTTTGGGAGGCCAAGGCAGGCGGATCACCTGAGGTCAGGAATTCAAAACCAGCCTGGCCAATGTGGTGAAACTCCATCTCTACCAACAATACAAAAATTACCCTGGTGTGGTGGCGTGTGCCTGTAATCCCAGCTACTCAGGAGGCTGAGGCAGGAGAATCGCTTGAACCCAGGAGGCGGAGGTTGTAGTGAGCCAAGATAGCACCACTGCACTCCAGCCTGGGCGACAAGAGCAAAACTCCGTCTCAAGAAAACAAACAACAACAACAAAAAATGCAAATAAACAAATGTTTTCATCCACAAACCACAGTTACCTCTTTACAAAATCAATTCAAACGTAGGAGCAGTTTACCCAGAAGATAGTGTGAGATTATTGTTCTTTGTGGTTACAAATATGATTCTTGACAATTACCATGCACATGAATGGGGTTCTACTTGACAATGAGAAATGAGGACTCGGGTTTTTTCCTCTAAAAGACCATCCTAAATAAACAGGTCTATAACAGCATTTTTCCTCTTGTAGCTCTGATCTTATAATCAACTGAGAAAAATAAAAATGAAGGGAAACTGAAATTATGACCTAGCCTAAAAGCAGAGGGGGAAAAGGATAAGTGTGGGTTCCTGTAAACACTTTTAAGATGGTCATTTTCACAATCAGCAAAGAGGAGTGTTTATCCAGTAAGTTAAAAAGAAAATTCTGAGAAAGTCTTAAAATCTTCTGAGAGATGACAGGGAGGCATCAGGCTTTTTTTTTTTTTTAAAACCTGGACAGGAGATAGAATAAATGACATTTTACAATCAAAATTACTTCACTTATTTCATATATAAAGAAAACTAAAAATATGCAAAAAGCCAGATTTTAAGTTGTGTTGGTGAGACTTTCTTATTTTTAAAAATTTCACCCAGCTTGGTAAGAATGATGAATTGCTTTACACTGGGCTTTCAAAGGTTTCTAGAATTGCTCTCTCCTATGCTATTTTGTATTTTGTTTCAACCAATTTGGAGATAGGTGTTTTCCTGAAAATTGTGTTTAACTCTCGTCCTTTAAAAAATAAAAATCACAACTAGAAATGTATAAAATGCTACACAGTAAGTTTGAAGGAAGGCTTAAATAGTATTCAATCCTTTCCAAAAAAATATTGTTTTCATAAAAAACATAAAAATTGAGGATAATCAATTTTTATACTTTCAAATATCACCCAGTTATTTTTGACCAAGTAGTTAAAGGAGAATAAACACTAGCAACATTGCTATTGGGAAGTGCTGAGTTCTGATAGCAGACACATTGTAGTAAGTTTTTCATTAGCATTTTTCTACAAAGTTATACTTAACATCACTGGCAAGATACTGTTGCCAAATTCTGAGTGGTCAGTGTCTCTCCTGAACCATGATGAAAGCAAATGCTCTCAACTAAGTAATTTCACATCTAACAACCAAAATCCAATTGGAACAGCCTCTTTTCTTAACACATATTGATAAAATTGTCATAGATGCACAGACTATAACAGCGAATTATTATTTTTTTTTTTTTTCGAGACAGATTCTCACTCTGTCGCCCAGGCTGGAGTGCAGTGCCGCAATCTCAGCTCACTGCAAGCTCTGCCACCCATGTTCACGCCATTCTCCTGCCTCAGCCTCCTGAGCAGCTGGGACTACAGGTGCTCGCCACCATGCCCGGCTAAATTTTTGTATTTTTAGTAGAGATGGGGTTTCACCGTGTTAGCCAGGATGGTCTCAATCTCCTGACCTCATGTTCCGCCCACCCCAGCCTCTCAAAGTGCTACGATTACAGGTGTGAGCCACCGCGCCCAGCCCATAACAGCTAATTATTTATCTTTGTGGTTTCCAAGAAGTAGCAGCTACTCAAAAAAACTCCATAGCACATTACAAAGAAAACGGAATACAAACTCTGGTAAGTTTCTGTTTTGACACAAGATAAGGAAATGTAAACAATAAAGAGTAAACAGTCTCATCTCTGACTCCAATTTCAAGGTTGATATACCTACAATCATTTTAAATAAGGTAAAACAGTAGTAAATATTTCTTGATTGTAAACTAAATCGATTCATTGATTCATTGATTGTGCAGATTTATTGAGCAAAGCACCTAACATATGCCAGGTATTGGGGTGTGGTATCTCTGATGGGCTTTAAAATCTCATAGCTGTTTGCGTGTGGCTTAATAACAAAAGCCTAATGCAGGAAGAAAACTGTATTAAAACCTCTCATCTAACTTTTATTTCTAAAAAAAAAAAATAGAAAAACCTAGGCAAAGACTACAGACAGTTTCAAGAAAGTTAGGCTAGAAAACTGAAGGCAACCTAGACAAAAATATGTCCTTCCATAAGCAAAAGTGTATGATCTGGAAAAACCATTCTGGATGAACATTAACAGATGAACAATAATAAATAGTATCTATTATACCTAGTATCTTTAAAAAGTTTTGCAAAGTTATGTTAATAACAGTATTTGTAGAATAAAATTTCTTTTTTCCCCTCAGAGTATATTTGTAAAGATCATCAACAGATACTTTCTTAGAGTTACTACAAGTCCTAGTCCTTGCTTGGCTATATTTAGGAAGAAAAAATAACCAAAACAGACAAAAGAGCTTTGTCTTAGCTGTTTTTAAATAACAGGGAAACTAGGCTGGATAAGTCTCTTCCTCTTCATTCTTCTTTGCGTAAAGATATATCTTCAGCAAAAAGATTACAGGCTTGTAATTACAGAAGACTTATTAAATTTTTTTTCTCTTTTAGACGGTATCTAGCTCTGTCACCCAGGCTGGAGTGCAGTGGTGTGCTCTTGGCTCACTGCAACCTCTGCCTCCCAGGTTCAAGCAATTCTCCTGCCTCAGCTTCCCGAGTAGCTGGGACTACAGGCGCGTGCCACCATGCTCAGCTAATTTTTGTATTTTTGGTAGAGACGGGGTTTCACATGTTGGCCAGGCTGGTCCTGAACTCCTGACCTCAGGTGATCCGCCCGCCTCAGTCTCCCAAAGTGCTGGTATTACAGGCATGAGCCACCACACCTGGCCGACTTACTAGATATTGTGCCCTGAAATCAGTTGAAAGTTCTCATCGAGAGTCCAACAGACAATTGAGAAAGAAAAACTTAGCACATCTAACAACAACAACAAAGGCCGGGTGCAGTGGCTCACGCCCGTAATCCCAGCACTTTGGGAGATGGAGGCAGGCAGATCACCTGAGGTCAGGAGTTGAGAACAGCCTGGCCAACATGGCGAAACGCCATCTCTACTAAAAATACAAAAATTAGCCGGGTGTGGTGGCACGCGCCTGTAATTCCAGCAACCTGGGAGGCTGGGACATAAGAATTGCTTGAACCCGGGAGGCAGAGTTTGCGGTGAGACGAGAACACGCCACTGCACTCCAGCCTGGGCAAGAAGAGTGAAACCATGTCTGAAGAAAACAAAACAATACAACAATAACAACAACAAAAGTAAAACGATAAAAATCCAGCCAGGCGAGGTGGCTCACACCTGTAATCCCAGCACTTTGGGAGGTCGAGGCAGGTAGATCACGAGGTCAGGAGATCGAGACCATCCTGGCTAACACGGTGAAACCCTGTCTCTACTAAAAACACAAAAAATTAGCCGGGCGCGGTGGTGGGCGCCTGTAGTCCCAGCTACTCGGGAGGCTGAGGTAGGAGAATGGCGTGAACCCAGCTGAGATCGAGCCACTGCACTCCAGCCTGGGCGACAGAACAAGACTCCATCTCAAAAAAAAAAAAAAAAAGATAAAAATCCATATCCCACCCACAGACACACACAGTTTAAACTCAAAGAAAATACTTAACCTGGCACGAATAACTTTTACAAGCTGGTAAACCAACCAGAAGCCAGTGAAACACAAATTTTTGTAACCACCAAGGCAGGCAACAAGATCCTTTTTATAGAATATATGCAAACTATGAGGGAATTAACACTTTCAGCATAACAAAAGAGAAATATCAAATTAAGTGTTCCATCACAAAAGCCAAAAACCATCTTGCTAACACTCAGTGAGTAAATTTAATCCATGAAGTAGGTAACTTCTGACCTATGAACAACTCGGATATTAGAGGCGCCAACCCCTAACAAAGTTGAAAATCTGCATTAACTTTTGACTCCCAAAAACTTAGCTACTAATAGCCTACTGTTGACCAGAAGCCTTACTGATAAACACTCGATTAACACATATGTTGTATTGTATACTATTTTCTTACAACAAATAAGCTAAAGAAAGGAAAATGTCATTAAAATCATAAGGAAGAGAAAATACATTTACAGTACTGTATCAGTATCTTAAATTTGTTTAATAAATAATAAAAATAACCTTTGCTAGATGAACTGCCTATCTGAAATTTTGGGTAACTGCAGTTGCAGATCTTAATCTACAGTACACAGCAAGCAATTCAACTTTTTCTTATAATGTCATGAATTTTCTTTGCTTCTTGGGAACACTTCCAGCATCACCAGTGGCACTTTGTATGGGTCCCATAATATTATTCAAGGTTTACAGTATTGCACTAAAAAGATGAAAAATATAGATCCACAAAAGATCACTTTTACTGCAATATGCAGTTTACTGATGGACAAACTCCTCATTGAGAGATGAGTAACCATACTCATGACACGAAAGCAACAGGAGGTGGCTACAAAATTATTACAGTAGTACCGTATGCACAATAATCTTATGCAGTTATGATTTAATGCTGCATCTTTAGATTTGTTTACATTTCTCTAGACTTCAGATGGAACTATGTACAATCTGTAAGGGTCCATAAGTTTTGATAAATTTTAACTTTTTTTTTTTTTGAGACAAAGTCTTGCTCTGTCGCCCAGGCTGGAGTGCTGTGGTGCAGTCTCGGCTCACTGCAATCTCTGCCTCCTGAGTTCAAGCAGTTCTCCTGCCTCAGCCTCCTAAGTAGCTAGGATTATAGGCGTGCGCCACCATGCCCTACTAATTTTTGTATTTTTAGTGGAGATGGGGTTTCACCATGTTGGTCAGGCTGGTCTCAAACTCCTGACCTCATGATCCGCCTGCCTCAGCTTCCCAAAGTGCTGGGATTACAGGTGTGAGCCACCACGCCCAGCCAAATTTTAACATTTTATCATAGATTTCTTTACATCTTATTGTCATATATAAAATAGACTAGTTATCTAAATATATTTTGTGCATTCATGACATACCTACTTTTTCATAATATTTCATAATTTTTCCATAACCTGTATTTTTTTTTTTTTTTTTTTTTTTTGAGATGGAGTCTTGCTCTGTCTCCCAGGCTGGAGTGCAGTGGTGCGATCTCACCTCACTGCAACCTCTGCCTCCCGGGTTTTACGCCATTCTCCTGCCTCAGCCTCCCGAGTAGCTGGGAGTACAGGCATGCACCACCTATGCCCGGCTAATTTTTTTTTTTTTGTATTTTTAGTAGAGATGGGGTTTCACCATGTTAACCAGGGTGGTCTCGAACTCCTGACCTTGTGATCCGCCCGCCTCGGCCTCCCAAAGTGCTGCGATTACAGGCATGAGCCACCGAGCCCGGCTCCATAACCTACATTTCTAGGCTATGTAGCCCATTTGCAAGTTTTTTCAAATTGTGGCAATTCTCCAAAAATTTTTTTAATATATTTATTGAAATCCCAACATTTATAATCCCAACACTTTGGGAGGCCAAGGCAGGAGCACAGCTTGAGCCCAGCAGTTTGAGACCAGACTGGACAACACAGTGAGATCCCATCTCCACAAAAAAAATTAAAAATTAGCTACAGGCATGGTAGCACACACCTGTAGTACCAGCTATTCAGAGGCTGAGGTGGGAGGAGAGCTTGAGTCCAAGAGATTGAGGCTGCAATGAGCTGTGATCACACCACTGTACTCCAGCCTGGGCAACAGACAGAGGAAGACCCTATCTCAGAAAGGAAAGGAAAAAAGAGAAAAGAAGAGGAAGGGGAGGGGAGGGGAGGGGAGAGGTCCATGTATGAGTAGATCCACAGAGTTCAAAACCATGTTGTTCCAAGGTTCAACTGTACATTTTTCCCTGTACCACCAAGTCTAAAACTCTCAGGAAATCAAGATCAAGTCATTAAACATTTATCAGCTCCAATTCTGTGCTAAAAGGTTGAGCATGAGCTTCAAAGATCGGCCGGGTGCAGAAGCTCACGCCTGTAATTCCAGCACTTTAGGAGGCCAAGGCAGGCAGATAGCTTGAGATGGAGTTCAAGATCAACCTGGCCAACACGGTGAAACTCTGTCTCTACT
The DNA here is from genome assembly GCF_000001405.40 of Homo sapiens. Taxonomy (NCBI): domain Eukaryota; kingdom Metazoa; phylum Chordata; class Mammalia; order Primates; family Hominidae; genus Homo; species Homo sapiens. The sequence continues at coordinate 159,121,034 of NC_000004.12, read as the reverse complement.
AAAAATACAAAAATTAGCTGGGCGTGGTGGTGGGTGCCGATAGTCCCAGCTAGTAGGGAGGCAGAGGATGGAGAATCGCTCGAACCCAGGAGGCAGAGGTTGCAGTGAGCCAAGATTGCGCCACTGCACTATAGCCTGGGCAACAGGGCAAGACTCCCTCTCAAAAATAAAATAAAATAATTTAAAAATTAAAAAAAAAAGATGGACAGTAAGTCTCAGCCCAATAAACTCTTAGCTTAGTGGGACTGATAGACATAGTTCAAGTTAATCAATTTTAAAGAAAAACCGAGTCCTAACTTAGACTGCAAATTCAGGCATATGTTGTAGTCCCACCAAAAGAAATAATTTATGGAAACATAGCTTATTTAAAGATGATAAATGCTAGACTCTTATCAGTAAAATTTCTAGACATTAGCTTCTGATAGGAAATTGTTTAACTGATCCCACTACAAAACATTAAGAGCAGTTTATGTATATAAATCTTGAATGCTATCAGAAAAAGCCTGTAACACATCATGTCCTAAGATAGGACACAATGCATTCTTAGAAGTTTTAGTATCAAAGCTAATCTTGTATAACAACCAATATGAAACTATTTTTCTTAAAGACATAAAGTTATGATGTAAGTATAAATTCGACAAAGTGCAAAAACCTATTTAACTAGCTTTTATGTATATTTTACATAAAAATATATACTTATAAGAAGTGATGATTTGGCTGGGTGCAATGGCTCACGCCTGTAATCCTAGAACTTTGGGAGGCCAAGGCATGTAGATCACGTGAGGCCAGGAGTTCAAGACCAGCCTGGCCAACATGGCGAAACCCTGTCTCTACTAAAAATACAAAAATTAGCCAGGTGTGGTGGCATACACCTGTAATCCCAGCTACTCAGGAGGCTGAGACACGAGAATTGCCTGAACCCAGGAGGCAGAGGCTGAAGTGAGCTGAGACTGCACCACTGCACTCCAGTCTGGACAACAGAGACTCTGACTCAAAAAAACAAACAAAAAAGAAATGATGATTCAGCTTTGGGGAGTGATGACAAATGAAACACTGAAGTCCTAAAAAAATGACAAAGTATTACTACAAGTAGACATATCAGTACATACAATTGGAGCACCCAAAAAAATGAAATACATTTCTGGAATTTTTTAAATAGAGTAAATCTGAAACAAAAGGAACCAATTTAGAAAATATCATATGCCAATATCCTTAAATCAATAGATGGGATGTTTAGAACTCATCTACCATAGAAATGATAATATTTACATTACAGACAGTGTTTTATAATATTTACACGTAATGCTCACCCACTAGTATTTTTATCCCTATTTGTAAATGAGACTGAGGTTCAAAAAATTAATAATCATACACCTAATAAGCGAACCAAGAAGTTGAATATACCTGCATTCCATAACCGTAGCTACAGTAATATAACTCTATAATTCAATAAGACTTTCAAAGAGGTCTCCTGAGAATCACTGCATAAGCTTATTACAATCATCTATCTCCTATGCAAAGTAAATTGGAGAAATACATCAGCTCACAGCACCCATTAATCTTCATCTTTCTGTACTATCGAGGCTTAAAAGCAAAATACTCAAATTTCCAGCCTCTTTTGCAGCCAAGAGTAGCCATGTGACACAGCCTTAGCCAATAAGTATCTAGAGAGGGCTTTCCTTCAAAATAAAAAGACAAAACACCAAGAAAAGGATTTAACACCCACCCCTCTCCTTTCCTGATTATTGAGGCAACTACCATTTTGTGGCTTTGAAGACTAACATTGCTTGCTAAATAGAAGACTCAGCCAGTTTCTTTAAATGACATCCTTGAGCGTCTGCACCAACCCAACCCTGCACTGTCTACCTTTAGATTTTTCTTGTATATAAAAAAAATAAGCCTGGAGTTAACCCCTATATCTGCAGTTCTTGGCAACCTGCAAACCTAACACAATCTGTACTATAAATCAAGTCTATCAAATCAACATATTAAAATCACTTTAGTGAATCAGTCATTAAACCAACGATGAAAAGTTAATCTATGGGAAAAAGTAAAAGAGTAATGAATATCAACTACTGAAAAACAGTAATAAGAAGAGTAAATATTTATTAAATCTTCAATGCCAGAGACTGTGTTAAGAACTTTAATAGGGCCGGGCGCGGTGGCTCATGCCTGTAATACCAGCACTTTGGGAGGCCGAGGTGGGTGGATCACCTGAGGTCAGAAATCCAAGACCAGTCTGGTCAACATGGTGAAACCCCATCTCTACTACATATACCAAAATTTGCAGGCAAGGAGGCGGGCGCCTGTAATCCCAGCGACTTGGGAGGCTGAGGCAGGAGAATCGCTTGAACCCGGGAGGCGGAGGTTGCGGTGAGCTGAGATCGCACCATTGCACTCCAGCCTGGGCAACAAGAGCAAAACTTTGTCTCAAAAAAAAATAATAATAATACTTTAATATACATTAATGCAGAGGTCCCCAACCCTTCTGGCACCAGGGACCAGTTTCATGGAAGACAACCTTTTTCCACAGGGTTGGGCGGGGGGGTGCAGGATGATTCAAGCATATTACATTTATTGTGTACTTCATTTCTGTATTACATTGTAATATATAATGAAATAATTATACAACTCACCGTAATGTAGAATCAGCACGAGCCCTGAGCTTGTTTTCCTGCAACTAGGGGATGATGGGAAACAGTGACAGATCATCAAGCATTAGATTCTCATGAGGAGTACACAACCTAGATCCCTTGCATATGCAGTTCACAATAGGGTTTGTGCTCCTATGAGAATCTAATGCTGCTGCTAATCTGACAGGAGGCGGAGCTCAGGCAGTAACGCCAGTGATGGGGAGTGGCTGTAAACAAAGATGAAGCTTCACTCTCTCACCTACCACTCACTTCCTGCTGTATGGCCTGGTTCCTAACAGGCCATGGACTGCTACCAGTCTGTGGCCCAGGGGTTGGGTACTCCTGCATTAATGTATTTAATCTTCACAATTATAGGAGATTGGTAATATTACAATACCCACCCATGGTGAAAATTTCATCAATCCTTGAAAAAAAAAACATAATATAGCAAAACAAAGCTGTATTTGTTTATTCTGAAACTATGACCTTCCTATTTTTATGACAGTAAAATATCCTTTCTTAAATGAGGCTTGTGGATAGCAAGTTTATGTTGTATTAAACATGCTTACTTGGTATAGTAAATAGGTGATGAACAAATGTCAATGCCCAGTGTTGTGAAATTTTAAGCCTGTGAAATCAAAAAGCCTGAAACTAAGGTGAAGTAACCTGCCCAAGGCCACAAAGCAGTTTGTTTGACAACAGAGACCAAGATTAAAACCACTGGGTTATATGAAGGAAATACACTAAACTCAAAACAAGTATTCTATGCATACAATTAAAATTAAAGATATGAATTTGTAACTACGAAAAAAAAAAAACCCAACCATCGCAGAATATATAAAGTAGGAACAAGGACTTTTAAAATGAAATGATTTTAGCATGTTGCCTCCCACAGAGTTTTCTCTAACTATGGGATGTAGATTTAAACCACACCAGAGAAAATAGAATCAAGATAGGAATTCTCACCCATTCCAACTTAAGTCTCAGATGACGATTATGTTAGGAGGTCCACATATGGGAATAAAGAACTTTTGGGGCTCTAAGCACACTGACTCTAAATGAAGCTTGTGGTATCCCAAATCCAAGCAACAGATACACAGAAAATGTTTGCCCTAAAGCTTGCTCTTCAATTTCTCACAGCTACACAAAAACAGGATGGGGATCAGATATGAATGAAGATTAGAAACATTGAAATGCTATCAAATTCCTCCTTATTTCAACTCTTGGCATTTTATGATACTATGTTTCAAGTTTTTTAAACTCACAAGTTTTTAAAACTCATTTCTAGTCATTTAGAAATGTATAAATTTGATGAAGCCATTTTTCAATACAATAACTATAAGATACAACTTAGATAAATACTTTTGTTATTTTTAAGTTCCAGGATACATGTGCAGAATGTGCAGGCTTGTTATAGGTAACAGTGTGCCATGGTGGTTTGCTGCACCCATCAAACCATCACCTAGTTATTAAGCCCAGCATGCATTAGCTGTTTTTCCTGATGCTCTCCCTCCCCCAACACTGACAGGCCCCAGTGTCCATGTGTTCTCATTGTTCAGCTTCCCACTTGTAAGTGAGAACATGCAGTGTTTGGTTTTCTGTTCTTGTGTTAGTTTACTGAGGATAATGGCTTCCAGCTCCATCCATCTCCCTGCAAAGGACATGATCTCACAGCCTACAGAGTATTCCATGGTGTACATGTATCACATTTTCTTTATCCAGTCTATCAGCGATTGACATTTGGATTGATTCCATGTCTTTGCTATTGTGAATAGTGCTGCAATGAACATATGCTTCCATGTATCTTTATAACAGAATTATTTATATTCCTTTGGGTATATACCCAGTAATGGGATTGCTGGGTCAAATGATATTTCTGGTTCTAGGTCTTTGAGGAATCACCACACCGTCTTCCACAAAATACTTCCACAAATGCATTCCTATTTCTCCACAGCCTCACCAGCATCTGTTGTTTCCTGACTTTTTAATAACTGCCATCTGACTGGCGTGAGATGGTATATCACTGTGGTTTTGATTTGCATTTCTCTAATCATCAGTGATGTTGAGCTTTTTTTCCATGTTTGTTGGCTGCAATGAATGTCTTCTTTTGAGAATTGTCTGTTCATGTCCTTTGCCCACTTTTTGAAGGGATTGTTTTTTTCTTCTAAATTTGTTTATGTTCCTTGTAGATTGTGGATATTAGGCCTTTGTCAGATGGCTAGATTGCAAAAATTTTCTCCATTCTATAGGTTGTCTGCTCACTCTGATGATAGTTTTTTTTGCTGTGCAGAGGCTCTTTAGTTTAATTAGATCCTATTTGTCAATTGTTGCTTTTGCTGCAATTGCTTTTGACGTTTTCATCATAAAATCTTTGCCCGTGCCTATGTCCTGAATGGTATTGCCTAGATTTTCTTCTAGGGTTTTTATAGTTGTGGGTTTTACATTTAAGTCTTTAATCCATCTTGAGTTAATTTTTGTATGAGGTGTAAGGAAGGTGCCCAGTTTCAATTTTCTGCATATGGCTAGCCAGTTTTCCCAGCACCATTTATTAAATAGAGAATCCTCTCCCCATTGCTTGTTTTTGTGTCAGGTTTGTCAAAGATCAGATGGTTGTAGGTGTGTGGTCTTATTTCTGAGATCACTATTCTGTTCCATTGGTCTATGTGTCTGTTTTTGTACCAGTACCATGCTGTTTTGGTTACTGTAGCCTTGTAGTATAGTTTGAACTCAGGTAGCAGAGAAATACTTTTAACAATTTGACCAAATATTCCCTAATAAATTTGACTGTGTTTAAAAGGAAATGGAGTTTGTAAGAATGCATGAAGTAGCTTAGAGGAAAAAAAAAAAATCAGAAACTTATTGCTTTGCAGAATTCAAATAGTTTCTATATGAATACATGGAAGAATGTCAAATAGGTTTAGTCCACACCTGTATGTTTACACATTTTTCATTTTATTTTATACAATTAGTTACTTCAAAACCTGGCCTGCTCTTTTCTTTTTCATTTGTGCCCTCAAATGCAACTTATTATTTAAAATATCAAATACCAGCAAAAGTTTCTTAAAATACAGAAAACAAGTGATTTATGTCTTTATTATTGAAAATAGTAAATATCTTCCTGCTTACACTATATTTACAATTATCTAAAATGTTAGGTCTCATGTTTTTTAATCCAATCTTCTAACGCCAATTTCAGTTATGAAAAAAATACATAATATTAAAAACAGCATTCATTCTCCAGTACTCACTACCAAAAAATCAAAAACGGAAAGATAGTTGGCTAATCCGTGGGACTGGGGAGGGGGGCTGACTTTATAACCTAAATGTAAAGGCATAGATACAAGGGGGAAAATGTGTAGAGATTGTTTGCCTTAATTTGATTTTTAAAATTCCTTTTTATTTTCTTTTTATATCCTACTAAAGTCCTTTTAAGACATCTAGATGAAAGTATTCAATACACTCAGCTTAGATAACACTATTATCCATAGCTGTAACAGTGCCTCTGACTAGACTTTTTAAACACACCCTTGCCATTCATTCCCTTCCCTCCCCTTCCACCCCCTCACTCCTACCAAAAGTAACCATTTAAAGAATTTTTAAGGTCACAGGAAAGAAAAAAGTGGGGAAGAGAGAATCTACAATTTAAATTTCATTGGGATTGACTTCCTTAAGCTACTACCACAATTTTTCTATTTTGCTTAACATACATGGAATATTCTATTTCCTACAATTTTTCTTATAACAAATATTGTGATCTACTTAAATTCAGAATCACGAAACATTAAACACTGATAAAATACACTCCATCTTGGGAATATCAACAAAATTCAGGTAGGAATAAAGGTGAATAAATTGTTAAAATTCTGGCCAAGCAAGGTGGCTCACACCTATAATCCCAGCACTTTGGGAGGCCGAGAGGAGAAGATCGCTTGAGCCCAGGAGTTCAAGACCAGCCTGGGCTAAATAGCAAGACACAGATCTAAAAAAATGCAAAAATTAGGGCCGGGCGCAGTGGCTCACGCCTGTAATCCCAGCACTTTGGGAGGCTGCAGTGGGCGGATCACGAGGTCAGGAGTTCGAGACCAGCCTGACCAACATGGTGAAACCCTGTCTCTACTAAAAATACAAAAATTAGCTGGGCATGGTGGTGTGCACCTGTAATCCCAGCTACTTAGGAGGCTGAGGCAGGAGAATCACTTGAACCCAGCAGGCGGAGGTTGCTGGGAATGGCTGAGATCGTGCCACTGCATTCTCCATCTCAAAGAAAAAAAAAAAAAAAAAATTAGCCAGGTATGATGGTGCATGCCTGCGGTCCCAGCTACTCAGGAGCCTAAGGTGCGAGGATCCTTGAGCCCAGGACGAGGCTGCAGTGAGCCATGATCATGTCACTGCACTCCAGCCTGGGTGACACAGTGAGATCCTGTTGCAAAAATAAATAAAATAAAATAAACGTTACTATTTTATCTCTTCTCATCCATTTATTTATTAGCTATTATGTGTGTGTGTGCTTTCAAGTTTCCCCAACTAATAAATATACTGCCTCAACCATTTTACTAGTGGTTCAATACATACAAAATATTCACTTAAAAGGTACTAGGCTCTTCATTAAGAGTAAATTATTAAACTGGAAAAAAAGATACTTTTTTTTTTTTTTTTTTTTTGAGACAGAGTCTCATCCGTCACCCAGGCTAGAGGGCAATGGTGCAATCTCGGCTCACTGCAACCTCCACCTCCTGGGTTCAAGTGATTCTCTTGCCTCAGCCTCCCAAGTAGCTGGAATTACAAGCATGCGCCACCACTCCTGGCTAATTTTTTGTATATGTAGTAGAGAAGGGGTTTCGCCATGTTGGCCAGGCTCAACTCGAATTCCCGACTTCAGGTGATCCACCCGCCTCAGTCTTCCAAAGTGCAGGGATTACAGGAGTGAGCCACCATGCCCAGCCTAAAAGATGTCTTAAAAAGTAATAATTTGGTATCCCCTTTTCAGGTTCACAAAAAAAACTTCAAAAGCTATGCTTCCTTTTTTTAACTTTGAATTTTTAAATAATTTTAGAGTAAAAAAGGTTATTTAAAAAACGGGTCAAAGATCCCCTGTTTACCCAGCTTCCCGTAATTTAGCATCTACAATAATTGTGGTAAAGTTATCTAAATATTCAAATTTCATCAGTCATCCTAATAATGTTTTTTTGTTGTTGTTCTTGTCCAGGATCAATTCCAGAATCCTACATTACATTTGGTTATCACATGTCCTTAGTTTCTTCCAATGTGTGGCAGTTCTTGGGCATTTCTTCATCTTCCACACCCTCAATACTTTCAGGGAATACTGGCCAGTTATTTTGTAAAATGTCCTTAAATTTGAGTCTATCTGATATTTGCTCCACTTAGGTTGATTTTTAGTTAAGAATACCAGAGATATCTCTTTCTCAATACATTATATCAGCAGACACATGATGTTGACATGTCTTATTACTAATGATATTAACTTTGATGATCTGGTTAATTTGATATTACCAGTTTTCTTCACTATTAAGTATTGATTTTTTCCTTTATAGTTAATTAATTTTGTGGGGGAGATATTTTGAGACTATGCAAATATCCTGATGATACTGATCTATGATGATATTTTTCATCATACCTTCACCCACTAATTTTGGCATCCATTGATGATTCCTGCCTGTAACAATTGCTACTATGGTGTTTACCTGCTGGTGATTTTCTATTTCCATCATTCCTTCATTTTCTAATTAGAATTCTATAACAAAGAGGTGTCTCTTCTCCTGCTTTTATTTATTTATTCAACTACTTACTTATATCAGTATGGGCTCATGGATACTTTCTTCCCTAGGGGTTATAGTCCGTTACTGTCATGATTTGCTTCTCAAACTGTCCCAAATTTGGCCATTGGGACTCCCTTTTGTATATACAGTCATTAGACTTCCTTCTGATTTTATTTTTTAAATTTCAGTTGGAGAATATGAAGGCTAAGGCTAACCTTACTACTTCCATTATGACAAAAAAAAAATATGAAAAGGAAATACATATATCAAAATCTCCCAAATGTGGTATGCTATCACAACTCTTGCTCATCCAAGACCTTATGCTCTTTGCTCTATATTTATACGCATTATCACAGAACTTTCTCTTCATTGTCACTATTAAACCCATCTCACCTTTTACCACCAACCCCCCAATCCTCAGACATTATTGGTATTTTAGAAGCACAAGGCCAAACTATTCACTAACAACAGAAATTCATTTTAACCAAAAGGTAATAAGCCTTAATGATGCTGCGCAGGGGGAGGGGAGTCAATCTCCAAAGGCCATATACTGTACGATTCCAATTAATAACATTTTTGAAATGACAAAGTTATAGAAATGGAACAGATTAGTGATCCCCAGAGGTGGGGTGGGGGAGTGACTGTGGCTATAAAAGTCCAACAAGAACCATTTGTGGTGCTGGAATTGCTTTGTTTCTTGATTGCACTGATGTCAATATCCTGATTGTGATATTACACTACAGTTTTATAAGCTATTACTAATGGGAGAAACCGGTTAAAGGGTACACACAGGATCTCTCCCCATTATTTCCTACAATTGTATGTGAATCTACATTTATCTTAAGCTAAAAAGTTTAAGAAAGATAATGATTCCACTGAAGACTGGTCATTAAAAAATAAAATACATTTTAAAAGATAATGAGTCTTAACTCTAGAATGAATTTTCAGGAGAAATCAGATAATCACCATAGTACCATAAACCTCTCAGATCCACTGATTGTTGGCTTCTAAGAAAGTTACTATCAGACCTCCCCAGAATGACCTAATGATTAATTCTCGTTCAGTGTTCTCTACCTTTCTTCTCCGTTTTTATGTTGGGTGAAAACAAATACCATGAGCTAGAGAAGAACAGAAAGGTGCCAAGGGGCAGATATTACACTGTGTCGGTTTGTCAACTAAACTGCAAATGGCAGCGAAATGTACATTTTTATTCACTTATTTTAATTCTAAAGCTCCACAGTCCATTATTTTCAACCTGTGGAAGGCAAGCAATGAGAAACAACAGCCAGCGGAAGACAAGTTTAGTTCCAATGACAAAACAAAGTTCCTCTTCAAGTCACTGACACTAACTCTCCCAAAACACTTCTTATACATAATGGATATGAAAGCACAGAAGAGGTGGAGCCAGGACAACTTAAAATCCAAGGACCAAGTTGTTTCCTCCACAAAAACCAATAAACCCACCACCACCGCACCAAGGGTAAATTCTTTCACAGACTGGAGGGAAAAAGGAAACAGCTGAATACAGCAAGAAACACACGCTTCTTAAAATTCAGTAGGTAGTGGCGATTTTGCATGTGAAAACAAGGGTGGTTTTTTTTTTTCCTGAAAAGATAAAAATTCTAGAAGTCAAAATAATGCGGCAATAAACTTATTTTTCTTCCTACAATGACTGACATAATCACTTGAACATAGTTTTAACTATATAAATACATAAATATATATTCTAGCTCTGATAAAGTTACAAGATCAATTATATGTACTACAGATTGCTTCTCCTAATTTACCAACATCAATTAATTTATCTAAACAAAAAATGGTATAAAGGAGTAAAAAACTGTTCTCAAAGACTCAATGCCATCATTACATTGTGTCGTCACAAGTCAATTTTGAGTTTTTATATAAATAAGTTCATTTTTGCCTGCTTAAATTCAGAAGTTCTCCAACTCTTCCAAATGATGAAATGCTTGGAAATCACATTATCATTACAGATTAAGAAATATATTTAGTACAACTACATGATGGTGTTTTGGGTTTTGTTTTTTTGAGATGGGGTTTCGCTCTTGTTACCCAGGCTGGAGTGCAATGGCACAATCTCGGCTCACTGCAACCTCTGCCTCCAGGGTTCAAGTGATTCTCCTGTCTCAGTCTCCCCGAGTAGCTGGGAATACAGGCACCTGGCTAATTTTTTGTATTTTTAGTAGAGATAGGGTTTCACTATGTTGGCCAGGCTGGTGTTGAACTCCTGACCTCAAGTGATCCACCCGCCTCAGCCTCCTAAAGTGCTAGGATTAGAGGCATGAGCCACAGCACCTGGCCTAGTTTAACTATATGATTAACCAGATATTTCAAACTAGATTCCCAGAATGTACATGTAGTAGAAGACATTAATGTTTAAGGGAAAAAAATAGTGTGAGAAACCTTAAAAATCAAGAAAACTATATTCAACAACTTGGATTTTTTCCTATGAACTATGAAATATCCATGATCATCCTGTGCCATAATTAGGCTGCACTGGTATGATTCAAACACAGTTTTACTATAATGAGATATAAAACGTGCACACATTCAGCCAGCCTGTCCAGCAGATTCTACTCCTGCAATATTTCTAATCCATCACCACTGTGTAATTCAGCTTCCCAGCCATCTCAAGCCAGGAAAATGAACATCAGTCTTTAACAGAACTCTTGGTCTCCTCACTACCCTCACAAACCATGAGCTTCTAAATGCCAGTAATCATTCCTTACCCCCTCCTCAGTCCCCTGGTTCCCAGCACACTGAACAAAGAGCTGCACATGTTGTCTTACCAGGTGTGCTACTCATATGACAGTAGGTCAATCTGGAATACCACTTCAGGTCCACTAGTTCACTGGTAGGTGAATTCTTACTCCCCTACAACTCAATACATATTCATCTAGGAAGTCCACATCCTCTTCAGTGCTGTCATAGGATAGCTGTTACAGCACTCATGAATTACAATCTACTTATAACAATAGATTAGTGAGTTACTTGAGGGACACACATTTCATCTTTGAATTCCCAAGGCCTGTTAAATAATAGAAATTGTATAAAATATGCTATAAAGAGGACTAACATTAGGCATTACACTAAATAATGTACTTTCACTTAATCCACAAAACCTCAGACAGCTATTATCCATTTTACCGACGAGGAAATTGTTACCAAAAATGGAGTGAAGAGAAGGAATACCCCATAAAATACGGATTATCAAGGACCAACGATTTTCAGTGGTTTCCATATCTCCTAAGTCTAAATCAAATTTACCTTTCTTTTAAATAGAAACGGGGCCTTGCTATGATGCCCAGGCTGGTCTTGAACACCTGGGCTTCAAGAGATCCTCCCACCTCAGCCTCCCAAAGTGCTGGGATTACAGGTATGTGTCACCACTCCTGGCCAAAGTTACTTCCATATAAAATTTACAAAGAAGGAATACTTTTTTTCTCATTAAGTTTTCATATGAATCAAGCAAAATCAGAGTTTTTATTTCTAGAAGGTTATCATATCATTATTTCGGATAGTCCATTTATATCTGAGGCGCATCCCATTATAATTTTATGCAACTTGAATTTCAAATTATCACCAATGGACCAGGTGCAGTGGTTCACACCTGTAATCCCAGCACTTTGGGAGGCTGAAGCAGGAGGATCACTTCTGCCCAGGACTTCATGACCAGTCTAGGCAACAAAGCGAGACCCTCATCTCTACAAAAAATTTTTTAAATTAGCCAGGCACAGTGACATAAGCCTGTAGACCCAGTTACTCGAGGCTGACGCAGGAGGATCATTTGAGTCTGGGAGATAGAGGCTGCAGTGAGCCCGGGCAACAAAGCAAGACCCTATTCCAAATATATATATCTCGCTCTCTTACCAAACATTGTCTATCGCCATACCATCCTGAAAGCACCCCATCTCATCAAATATCACCAAAGAAAGACCTTATTGTGATTCTTTAAATCATCCAAAATCTACCCAAATAAGTTTTTTTCAGGTCCAAAGTAAAATTTAAATGAAAAAATGCAGTGAATTTTCTTATGACGCAAACAATATTTTCTTTCAAAACTGAGCTTTAGAATAACACTGCATCCTTCCTTTCTTAAAAACAGTGAGATTAAATGATAGTGATAAGAAGTTATAACTAGTTTTGTTTTTATTTTATGTTCCTTCTTGAGAGAAAAACCAAGGTGGTCATCTTCTCCTTAAAAAAAAAAAAAAAAAAAAAAAGAAAGTTCTGTGAAATTCCAGCATTTGGGAATGACTGCGACTGCATTAAACGAGTATCTGCATAAAGCACTGCAGTTGGAGAGATTTTCATTTTGAACCTTAGCCAAGATATGCAAAGCTAATTATGGAACTGTTAATTACTAAATGTTTAAAGGGTTATTTGAAGGCGACTAAGGTTCTATCAATATTGCAAGGAATGTTAATATTTTTATCATAAATTTAATTCCTCATTTGTTCAAAGTCACATACCAATAGAGTTTGAAGCTAATATTTCAGTTATAAATGTATTTCTGTACCAAGAAATTCAAATGTCATTGTTATGAAATCTAACTGCTTGTGGCCAATCATTTCTTTATGAGACATGCTTTTTAAATGGCATACAGATAGTTTAGTTGTATTCTATGAACAAAAACTATTTAAGAAACAAATATTACTAGAGCCCCAAAATGGGCTAAAATATAATGAGAGTATAAGCTGACAAATATGAGTCTGCTTATAAGCAATGGTAAAAAGAAACTCAAATGGAAAATTTAACTATAACAGACACAATTCTTCCATTAGATTTGAAAGTTAAATATTTGTCAGAGATATTCTTTCATGCCGTTTCTCATAATTTACAGTTCTCTGAGCTAAAGTTACTTTTTTCAGCCCTCTCATTATGACTCACGATGAATTCTACCAAGTACTTAGCAATGAATTAAGTCCTGTATTCTTTATAACACATCAATGAGTTAGTACTTATATCAAAAGTTGTAATAGCCCAAAAAAAAGTAAGATTATTAAATAGGAGGAGATGGGGTGGGGGTTATTTTACACATAACATTTTTAACAGTAACTTTTACAACTAGCTAAAAATGCATTACATTAGGTCTTTAAAGAGAAGAAACAGTTTTGCAATAGATGTTTCACCTGAAAAACTGAAAATGGTATGCATTTAGACACTCTACAGAAGCAATTTCAAAGGGCCTGAACTCAACAAGTTAACAAAATGGTTTAGAAAAACCATTTTATTGTATAAGCCTTGGGGGATAAAAGCTGTTTGTAATTTATTTACATCTTTTACTTCACCAAATTGCCTTGGTGACCAAGCTTCTCATTTAAGTGATTAAAGACATAAACCCAAATGGTTAAATAAAGCAATTACTTAAGAGTCCTGTTTTTCAACAGAGGTGCACTGAAAAATATCAGTAGAATGTTTTCAGGGCTCATTATTTTCAAGGAAGTTTGTTATTTAGAATACAATGCCCCATTGACTAGAACTCAGCCAGGTTTCCAGACACACAATATGGGACACACATTGGATTAGAGTTTTCCTCCTCCTCTCACAATATCAGGTGAAATAGTGATAGTCTCTTGAAACTGAGTATGTATAACCTGGCTAAAACTTAGATGATAATTTTTTTGGTATTTCTCCTTACTATTCCCCCTCTCTAAAGATATAACTGAAATGCGTTTCCATTGTGCAGGTGGACATGAAAAGCTCCCAATTTATGAAAGTTCCTGGTACTCTTCCCACCCCTAGATTCTCTTCTAGCCAACTTCTTAGGTTACACCAATGACATCAGGATTACTTCTAGGCAATTGATTGACCTAAATACAAAACTATGTTTTCACGGAGCTTGGGAAATGAATGAGGCCAGCAAGCCTTTAAAAAACAAACAGAAATGAACAGCAGGAAAAAAAATTACATATGTTCCCCAATTCTTTTCCTTTTGCCTATAACGAGAATCATGCAAACTCCTTTATCGAGTCTATCCTCAGAAACAGAAGGAAGCAAAACAGCAAAACTTTCCTAATTCCTGTCCTTCTGTTCATGATATCAAGCTTATTTAACATGGTTGCTTTTCTAATATTATAAAATTCGAACTCACAAACATTTATAAGACAAGGCTGTATGGAAAATCTTCCAGCGTTCCATTAACAAAGCATTCTTAACATAAAAAGTACCTTCTACAAAAACTTTTTTTTTTATAATTTTTGAGTAAATTTCAAATTTTTATAAGATTACTCCTGGCCAGTCAGGTAAAGATGGAAAACGTTCACATTTCGAACAACTTTCTCTTGAAAAGAAATAAACGTGGGGATTTGTAGTAATAACCAAACGAACATCAAAGTTAATAGGGCTGACACTTAGGAATGTTTGAAATGTTTGGTAGGTTTCCTTATGTTTACTTTTTCTATGAAGGTTTGGTAGGGCAAATGGGCTGCCTTCCGACTGTCAATAAAGCTTTCATGTCGTGGGTTAGTAGTAGCTGGCCCAGGCCAAGTTCTGTGTTGGGTCAGTTTTTACTCTATTCTACACAACTGGCAGGGGAACAGGAAAGTTTAACAGTTCATTTATTTGGCACAGTGGGCCCACAGTCACAGTGGAGGTTTTGTCTCTTCTAGTCTTGTTTGGTGACCCGCCCCCCAACCTGATAGTAGGTTTTAGTCATTGTTATTCTTCTAACTAATCAACCAAATGCACCACTTCCCCCTTCTCTAATTTCCACCAAAGGCCTCTGACATCATTTTCTGACCAGCCTTGCTAGGTTCTAATATTCTCAGCATGCGTAATTTCACTTGGCACTTAAAACAATATTCTTGAAAGGAAATGAAATATCTCACTGAAATCTGCTTTTCCTTCACACTGAGACAGGGAATGTGCATTTTCAGATGCAGAAGACTGATCCAACTGACCATTTTAAAACAAATAGATGAGAAAGGCATAGGAAAGGCAGCGTGTGCAACACCAAGAGAAGAACAAGATCAATGCAGGACATTCCTTGTTGGGATAAAAATAGTCTTTTAGAATGGGAACTTTCTGGAGACAGATAAATTTTCTTGTAAAATTACAGCCATCTTCCACACGTTTGATAAATATGTGCAATCTATCCATGATCTCCCAGATGTGACAGCTCCATCAAGGAAAATGAAAAATCAAAAACGGTACCAGGTGCCACTCTTGGGGCTTGTCCAAAGGCAGCCAGGGGAAGAGTCTATTTTATTATGCTCTCCCCACAGTAAATAATAATCAACATCAGAGAAGGAGAGCATTTGGATTTGAACAGATGGCATCCAACATCTAACAAGCGAAGCAACACTTTCAAGCATTAGATCCTAAATGTCTGATGGTCCCAAGGATCAGGAGGGCTTATTTGTCTTAAGAGGGTTGGCAGGCAGGATCTCCTATAGTCACCATCCCAACGCTTAGGAATATGCGTCATTATCCAGTCAGCAACTAAAGGCGGAGAAAATTAAGCTACCACATTTTTATAAAATTTCCCCCTCTCCAGTAAAACTTGAGACAACCAAATCCAACCCTATCAGCCGCTATAAGTAAGAGAAGAGTAAGCCTGCAGGTAAACAAATGTATAAAGGTTAACAAACTTATCTAATTTTGACAAGGTTGTGCAACACCAAAAGAATCCGCAGGGTGCCCTTCCCGAGGGTGTACTGGAACATGCCTGCTCTGCAGCTATGTCTGCAATTTAAACTAAAAGCACTAACTTAGCTATTCAACTTTTTTTCCCTTCAATTGAAAGCAGTATCCTTTAAAAAATAAAAGCAAAACAGTAAACATACAAACACCTCAATGTTTTACTGAAGGTCAGCATGGATTTGTCTTTAGCACAACCGTACAGGTTTCCTCCTATACCTTTCAAACACCACTGAACTCCAAGGGTCACTTGCAAGGGGAGGAACGGATCTGGAGTCAGAGGGAGCAAGAGTCGCTGCCCGAGGGGAGATGAGACTCCATCCCCTGAGATTCAGAGGCCACGGAGGGCGGCTGGGGAGAGGGAAAGCTAGAGAATTCACACATTCACACACATACACACACACACACACACTCTCTCTCTCTCTCTCTCTGTCTCTCCCTCTCTCTCTCTCTCTCTCTCTCTCTCTCTCTCTCTCGGCTGGGCAACATAGTGGGAAAGGTCAGTCATGGGGAGGGAAGAGTTAAGGAGCAGAATGTCAAGGAGAGGGAAAAATAAAACCAGGATAGGCGGAGTAAAAGACTCGGAGGTGGGATGCCTTTGGAAGTTGGGGGTCCTGATGCAAGAAGTGGGGTGCTCGGGGCGAACTGTGTCAGGAAGGAGGTGGGGGGACAGGGGAAGACGCAGCCTGCGAGGCAGAAATCCGGCCAAGGGCAGGCGGCCGCCGCGTTCTCACCTGGGGGGTCCTTTCGGGGGGATTCTTCATCACCGCCTGGCGGAAGCTGTTATCTACGTAGGACGCCATCTCCCCTCTGGGAGCGGGCCGGGGCCGCTCCGCACCCTGGCCGGCCTCCTCCCGGCCCAGCGCCGCTGCTGCCTCCGCCCTGCGCGCTGCGCCCGCCCGCCCGCCCGCGACTAATCAGCCAAACCGCGGCGGCGGCGGCGCGGGGCCCGCGGGGGGGCGGCTCGGCTGGGCCCGGCGGCCGAGAGCGCGGTACAGGCGCGAGGGGCTGGACGCAGCCGGGAGGGTCGCGGCGCCCCTAGGCTGCCGTGCGATGCGGCCCGCAGGCGGAACTCCCCTTCCTCCTCCTCCTCCTCTTCCTCGCCGCTCCGCCGGCTTCCTCCGGCCCTGGCTCGACACGCCTCCCCGGCTCCACTCGGGGGACAGTGGCGGCTCCTCCTGGCCCCAGCGGGCCCGAGTTATTTTTAGGGAGGTACGAGTGGCAGTGGGGAGGGCTGTGGGCAGGCGGAGCCTCCTCCCCCACGGCGCTGAGGGTCGCCCCCTCCTCTCAGGGGCTTGCGCAGCCGCCGCCCAGGGGTCTCCGAGAATCACTTGGATCTTCCGCGTCCCCAGTCCTCGGGCGCCTCGGCCGCCGGTCGGGAGGACGGACCAGGTGGGTCTGGCTCAGGTCCGGGCGCTGCGAAGCCCGATCGCCTCGGCCGCCGCTCCTGGTCTCTGTCTACTGGGCTCGGCCGTCCCTCCCGACTGCTGCTGCATCCCCTCGGGCCGCCCAGCCGCCGCCGCCGCCGCCTCTGCTGCTCGGGCCGCCGCTGTGGGCTCCGCCGCCGCCGCCTCCCCCCATCAGCGCGCCCGGAGCGGAGCTGCCCCGGCGCCGGCGCCGCCGCGGCCAGAGCACCCGGCCCGGGCTGCAGCCCTCCGGCCCAGTCGCTCTCGGCAACTTTGTTCCTCGTCTGCGCGGGGCGGAGGAGGGGGAAGAGGGGGCCGCGGACAGCCCGGGTTCGGACTCCCGGCGCGGGCGTCCGAGGGCCGAAAGCCGAGAGCCGCGCACAGCCCCCTCGGAGAGAGTGTTTGGGAAGCGGCGATTCCCCTCCTCTTCCTCCGCCTCTTCCTCCTCCTGCGCCTTCTCCGGCCGCCGGAGCCGCTCCTCAGGGAGGAAGCGGCCTCTGGGGCTTGTTGCTTTGTGCTGCAACCATGGTGAGGAATGAGTGACAGCGTGGGGGCGAGTCGGCGGCCGCCGCATCATCGGGGGGCGGGGCAGCCCCGTCGCGCCGGGTCCCGCCTCCCCGCTCCCCGCCCGCCAGCGGCCGCGCCCTCGCGTCTGAGCGGCACCTTCGGCGGCGCCCAGGTGAGCAGCGCTCTGGCCGCAAGTGGGTCGCGGAGCCCTCGGCCGGGCTGTCGGGTCCCGCGCGCGGCCTGGACCCGAAGAGGGGGCGCAAGTCCTGGTGCCCCGGAGAGAAGCGCAGGGCTTTCCTCACGCAGTGTCCCCCACTGTCTCACGCCGCGCCCCCTCCCCACACCCGACGCGCCCTACTAGGAGACCCAGCCGCGTCGGGTCGCTGCTCCCCGCCCGCTCCTGGCGCCACGCCGCCGCCCAGGGGCTGAAAGCTAACCTTGGGCAAAAGACCGGCCCACCAGCCCGGGCTGTACTGGGCATTCTTTTTGAGCCCAAGAGTTGCGTCCGAGTTGCTTCTGTGGCGATAAATCCTCTTAGGATTTATTTTGCTTATTTGTAATTTGCTGCACCCTCCCCTGCTTTCCAAGCCCACTCTGGCACCTCAGACAGTAAAATGACCACGAAATTAGGCAGAGAGGTTTCAACACCAGACCCACTACCACCCCTAGACCAACAAACACTCCAGATTTAAAGTTGATCACTCCTTAGCGACAGACCAGGATGGCAAGTTCTGTGACATAATCAGAAACATTTATTGGTAGGTCTGGCTTTGCCTTGGACAGAACAAGCCTCCTCCTCTAGATGCTCAAATTTCCAAACCGGACCCACATGGTGCAGAAACAATACCTCGTCCTTCAAGATGTCACCGCTCCTGCTGATTCCCTCAGCTCCCCCCCACTCCTTGCCCCGGCCACGTAGAGGTGTGTTAAGGTCAGCCCAAGCATCGGGGACCACTCTGCTGTTCTGGTCCCAGGGATTTATTTTTGTTTGCCCCCACCCCCCACAAGTTCTTATTTTGATATCTATAGACACAATGAGTTTTATGTATGAGCTACTGCGTTGAACTTTTCAAACATGATTTTCAACATCTAGTTTAAACACTTGGAATAGATTGTCAGCTAACATTTTGGGGTTCCTTAAGTCACCTGTGTGCACTAAACAGCTTGTGTGACTTCCTAGCAAAGGGACTGTCCCTGCCCAACCTTGTGAAAGGGAATCTGAGTTACAAATTGTATCTGTAGACCTTTTTATATTACTCTTGCTGGAACTGCTTCTCTATATTTCTCTTTCACCTCTTAGTTGAGCGCCAACATCAAATTCTCTATGACATAGGCCACTACCTTGAAAGCAAAGGAACATGAATAAGTGCCAATACAGCTCTGAAAAAAGGAGAGAGGCAGATAAAAGAATTCAAACCCAATGAAGTGAAAAAATATAACTGACATCTCCACCTGGTGTCTAATAGACATCTCAGAATTCACATGTGCAAACCAGGCTCCAGATCTCCTGTCTCAGACACCCACAGCCTTCCCCATCCTCTGTTAATCACATCTACACCATTCTCACTTCCTGGGTGAAAACGTTGACTTCCTTGACTCCTTTCTTTCTGTTATACCTCAAAAGTGTCAGTAAAAATCGTCAGCTCAACCTCCAGAATGCCATATCTGAACTCTAACCTTTATCTACCACTTCTACTGCCATGACCCTGGTGCAATCCAGCATCATGTCTGGCCAGCACTTTGTCATAACCACCCACCTGGTCCCCCTCTTTCTAACCTTGCTTGCCATACAGTTCATTTCCAACACAGCAGCCAAAGTGTGAATTCTTTTCACTCCTTCTCAAATCATTCCTCTGCTTAGCTCCTCATACCACTCAAGGTAAAAGCCAAAGTCTTACCATGGCCTGAATATCCTATGGACCTTTATCTCTCTGACCTCTTCTACTATTCTGTTCCCAAGCACATTAGCCTCCATGTTGTTTCTGAAACAGCAAATTCCAGTCTCATGACCTTTCCATCTGCTGTTCCCTCTACTGCCTGGATTATCTCTCCCCCTCTCCCCACCCCACTTGCACCCACAAAAACAAAAAACAAAAAGAAAAATGCACACACACAACAACCAAAATATAGAATGTTGTTCCTCATTGTCATCATATCTTCATTTGAATGTCACCTTCCCTGTAACTCCATACACTCTGGTTATCTTCGTCGCTTTACTTACCACCTAACATACTGTATATTGTACAGGTGCTTGCCCACTTAGGATGGGGTTACATCCTGAGAAACCATTGTAAGTCGCAAATATTGTAAGTCAGAAATGCATTTAATACCCTGATAAACCCATTATAAAGTGGAAAAATCGAAAGTCAATTTATTGACCATCGTAAATTGAGAACCATCTATACTTATTTATTTTATTTATTGTTTTATCCCTCCACTGTAATGTAAGCTTCTAAGTCAGGGATGTTTGTCCCTTTTATTTACTGCTATATCCTCAACACAAGACAGGCAGCCAACAAATAGGTATTAAATGGATACATGAAGTAGTTCATGTTACCTTGTATTTGTATGAGATTTTTACATACATTATCTCACTTGTGTCCCTGGTTGCGGGGAGAAAACTGGGAGAGGAAACTTAACCTCTCTGAGCCTGTTTTCTGTTTTATAAAAAGAGAGTACAAATTGAATAGTCTGGCCAGGCAAAGTGGCTTACACCTGTAATCCCAGCACTTTGGGAGGCTGAACCAGGAGGATAGCTTGAGGCCAGGAGTTCAAGACCAGCCTGGTCAACATAGCAAGACCACTGGCTGCACAAAAACTTAAAAAAAAAAAAGGAGCGGGGCATGGTGGGGTGCACTTGCAGTCCTAGCTACTCAGGAGGCTGAGGTGGGAGGTTATCTTGAGCCCCGGAGTTCAAGGTTGCAGTGAGCTATGATCACACCATGGCACTCCAGCCTGGGTAACAGAGCAAGACCCTGTCACAAAAAAAGAAAAAGTTGCATACCCTGAAGATTTGTGACGATCCAAGATAATACATGCAAAGTGCCTTGCATAGTGGTTTAACAACAGTATATACTCAATAAATGGTAGTTATATTTAAGATTATTCTCATCATTGCAACTCTCTGAGGCTAGTGGGACAGTGTTATCTTATTTACAGATGAAGAACTGACACTAAAATAGGCTACATGACTTGTCCTAGTTCCCGGACTGCCTTTAACTTTAGAAAGTTCTGGAGCCAGCTAACAAATGGGGATCCATATACTCTATCATAAATACTAAAAGCTACAAATTAACTGGGGGAGTACTGAGTACTACTGCAGGGAGTACTGGTATCTGGTCTGCAACTGGAATCCCCTTTTCTTTCCATCTCAGCTTCATCCTATCCCATGGAAAGGCTCACACATAAGAGGACAACCCAGCTAGTGCGGTGGCTCATGCCTGTACTAATTCCAGTACTTTGGGAGGCCGAGGTGGGCAGATCGCGAGGTCAGGAGTTCCAGACCAGCCTGACCAATATGGTGAAACCCTGTCTCCACTAAAAATACAAGAATTAGCCTGGCGTGGTGGCGTGTGCCTATAGTCCCAGTTATTCAGGAGGCTGAGGCAGAAAATTTGCTTTTACCTGGGAGGTGGAGGTTGCTTGCAGTTAGCTGAGATCAAGCCACTGCACTCCAGCCTGGGTGACAGAGTGAGACTCCATCTCAAAAAAAAAAAAAAAAGGACAAGGACAACCCAGCCTACACATCTAAGTGATATCACACCCCTCAAAAAAGCCACCCCTTGGTGATTCCTCGGGCCAGGGGCCAGCCTTGGAAGATGAGGTCTGGAAGTGGCAAGGCAGTCAGGACCAGGGTTCCAGGTGCTCAGAGAGTATGGAACTCCTTGCCCCATGGGGAGGGGGGATGCTAGAGGGGACCTTCTACACCAGACAGGAATGCCTCTCTGCCAGATCTCACAGCAAGAGTTAGGAATTCCAGTTGCACACCCAAGTCTTTTTTCTCTGTGTGCTCTACTGTAACACTGAATTACATCAATCACCTCAGGTAAGACATAATAGTATGTCTTATCCACCAACAAAATGACTAACTCACTGTCAACTTCTAAGCTATCATTTAACTTCAATTAAAGCTAATTTTCACACTATGTATAACCTACTTATCTACATATGTCAATAATGCATATCACCACTCAGCATCTAGGACATCAGATACTTGGCATGCATTGCTGTTTTATTAACATTTGAGCACCAGTAATGTGCTAGGCACAACCTGGAAGACAGAATTAGACAAAGATCTGCCACTCTGCCAATTAGTCTAAACCAAACTGTGTCAGCAAACCATAATCAAAGTAAGCTATCTATTATGCTGCCTCATAAAGGCAAGTGTAAAAATGAGAGTTTCTTTGTTCTGTTTCTACTACCATCATATTATCTAGAAAATCACTGGGGGATGGGAAGAGAGACAGAGCACTGGGTTTTAAGTTCAGAAATACTTTTCAAGTTCTGGCCTTAATACCATTCTACTTGTAACTTAAAAAGCTTTGATCTTTCCAACTGTAAAATCTAATAGATCCCTAAATATATCGTGTGGGTTAGGCATTTAGGGTCATCTTTAAAAGTGAATTAAAATATTTGTTTTAAATTCCCGTGAGTCCAGCTATACCCAAGATTAGGGAGATTTTACATACATAGTCATTTTGTTTTAAAAACACGTCAAGCCCTTACTGCTCCATCAATAAATATTTATTGTGTGCTTTGCTGTGTGCCAGGTACTGATCTCCATGCCTGGAATACCAGTAATGAATAAGACAAATATGGCTCCTTCCCTGGCCTCCTGGGAGCTTGTTCCATGTGCCAAGCATTGGTTTAATTTACTCACCTCTCCTATAAGGAGGGTAAGGATAATAGAAAGGATCCAGGAAACTGCCCTCCTCTGCTAAGAGCTTCCTCTCCTTACTGCTTTCTCCAGTGGTTACAACCCTCTCAAGGCAAGATTTCCAGCTGAGAGAAGTTGGATTCTGTTAAAGACATTCCTCACACCACTCCCCTTTCCCTAGAAACATTTTTTTAAGCGTTGGTTTGCAATTACTTTTACCCTTGTAGTCAAGTCAGTAAGAATCTCAGGAGGGTGGAAGGGTGTTGTTTACACATTGTGTCATTCTCAGTGAGCACACTCCACTAGGAAATATTGTGTTCACCTACAAGTAGCATTCCAGAGAGTCCCTGATGGGGAGTACAATTACAGACATTCAGGGAGAGATACAGTGAGTTTATAGGATGGATCTCATGATGAAATGTATCAGAAGCACAGGTAGAGTATCAGACTATTCATTTTGATTGTACAGGAATCATAACATTCAGAGTTGAGGATGCTGCCGCAGAACTACACTAACATAGAGGTCAGGTAGATGTTTAGATATTTTGGAACTGATTCAGAAAAAGGAAACCATCTCCCCCTGATTTATCAATATTATTACCTAGGTTCTGTCTGGACATAATATTAAATAAAAATAAAAAATATACACACTAACGAAACTGTTCTATTCAGTTACACTATTGTATCCCTCACACTGACATAACTACTTTCTTTCATTGATTTGTTTGCACTTGAAATATAGGGCCAGTGGCAGAGAACAACCTTTGTATTTCCCTTATTGTGAGAAAGCTGATGCTGACATTTCTAAAAGGAAATGCATTGTTAAACTTCTAATCTACCATCAATTCCTTCTATTGTTATGTAGTATTTGGCATTTATTTTTATAAATTGGCCCATGGGATGATGGTCCAGAATCATTTGGCCAGCTTTAAGGGGAGTAAAGGAGTTTAGGTAAGAGATACAGATTAAGTTTTTTGTTTTTTTTTAAGCCTAAAAGCAGGTAAAATTAAGAACTTTATTTTAAACTCTAACAATATAAATGCACTACATAATCCAAGAGTATTTAATGCATAGATTTTTTTAGAGCTTACACTAGATATCATGAATGCTCAAGTTAGTAAATCAAAGAGAAAAAAACCTCCCATTTCCAACATGCAAAGTTAACCCATTGAGATAATTCTGTCATAATAGAGCATTGTACAAGATGGTATCTGGGTTTTTCCCGTTCTGTTAAGGTGATTATACACAACTGAAATTACATCCATAAGCAAACCGGTGTGCAGTGCAGAATCTGTAAAAGTGTTCCAAAAAAGTAAAACAGCTACACTTGGTGCCAACTCTGTTCTCCAGGTAGTATTCAAGGGTAAATGTAAGTGTGCTATAGTACAGCTGTCGACCATAGCAGTGTCAAAATCAGAAAAGGTCATTTGAGAAAACAAAACAAAACAGTATTCTTGGCCAGCTATGATTTTTTAAATGCCAATACTAATAATCATTCTGAAGTCATGATTATTTAATATTTGGTAAACCCAAGACTAGTGCTAGGCACCATATGTACATAAACAAAGACAAAGTGCTTATGTGTTGAGCTTACAAATCTAAATTAGGCAAAGGAAGTGAAGGGCAAACAAGGGCATGGGAAACACACACTGAGGACCTGTTTAGAAAATGAGGCTTTTTTTTAATTGTTATTTTATTATTATTATTATTGTTATTTTTTGAGATGGAGTCTCGCTCTGTCGCCAGGCTGGAGTGCAGTGGCGCGATCTCGGCTCACTGCAACCTCTGGCTCCTGGGTTCAAGTGATTTTCCTGCCTCAGCCTCCTGAGTAGCTGGGACTACAGGCGCACACCACCACGCCCAGCTAATTTTTGTATTTTTAGTAGAGACAGGGCTTCACCATGTTGGCCAGGATGGTCTCGATCTCTTGACTTCATGATCCGCCTGCCTCAGCCTCCCAAAGTACTAGGATTACAGGCATGAGCCACCGCGCCCAGCCAGATTGTTATTTTTGTTTTAGCTATCAGAAAGTCCGTTATCTTGCAAAAAAAAAAAAAATTAAGGAGGAAAATCAAAGGAGAAAAGCATATTGTCTTTTTGGGAGTTTAAAGAGGAAGGCTTAAATATGAAATGGTGACATGTATCAAGTTAGAGACCTGAAGGAAGAAAGCACAAGTAAATGGCAAAAAGAGAAACTGTCAGCATTGGATGGAATACAATACAGGGACTAAGTGAAGATAATGTATGAGACATGGCTCAGAAGACAGAACTGTCCAAGCCCTTGAGAGACATATCACAATTGGTCCTGGCCATCTTCTGTGTTTTTCTTCTTTTCTTTTTTTGAGACGGAGTCTCGCTCTGTCACCCAGGCTGGAGTGCAGTGGCGCTATCTCAGCTCACTGCAAGCTCCGCCTCCCCGGTTCACGCCATTCTCCTGCCTCAGCCTCCCGACTAGCTGGGACTACAGGCACCTGCCACCATGCCCAGGTATTTTTTGTATTTTTAGTAGAGATGGGGTTTCACCATGTTAGCCAGGATGGTCTCGATCTCCTGATATCGAGATCTGCCCGCCTCGGCCTCCCAAAGTGCTGGGATTACAGGCGTGAGCCACCAGGCCCGGCCTGTGTTTTACTTATCACATAACATAAATAGAACCAGTGATAAGTTCTGGTATGGCATTTAAAACAGAGTTCAGTTTCACCTTATGCTTATCTCACCTAAAAGGAATGAGTTTGTGTCATCATAGCCTTTCTGTAAGAATCCAGTGATAATTAAACCAAGTCACAAACCAATAAAAGCCCATAATACTCCACACCAACCTGGCCAGGTGCCTCATAGATGGGTCTATTGACACAAAAGAAATAGCATAGAAGTGATTGAAGTAACAGAATTTTATCATATTGCTACAGGGAGGGAAATGTGATCTGCGTTATCAATGGAGTCAATAAATGCAGCTTTATAAGGTTATAATAGAATATATGAAGTAAGTGATATAATGGAAAAACCTTAGGACTGATATAAGATAGCCCTGAATTTGAAAGGTTATTGTGATATACATTAGCTCTGTGCCCTTGAGTAAAGAATTTAACTTCTCTGAGCCTAAATTTCCACCCTTGTAAAATGTGATTAGAAATATCTTCCTTGCAGTCAGGTGGGTGGCTCACGCCTGTAATCCCAGCACTTTGGGAGGCCAAGGCAGCCAGATCACTTGAACTCAAGGGTTTGAGACCAGCCTGGCCAACACGGTGAAACCTCGTCTCTAGAAAAAAAAATGCAGGCCGGGCGCGGTGGCTCACGCCTGTAATCCCAGCACTTTGGGAGGCCAAGGCAGCCAGATCACTTGAACTCAAGGGTTTGAGACCAGCCTGGCCAACACGGTGAAACCTCGTCTCTAGAAAAAAAAATGCAGGCCGGGCGCGGTGGCTCACGCCTGTAATCCCAGCACTTTGGGAGGCCAAGGCGGGTGGATCTTGAGGTCAGGAGATCGAGACCATCCTGGCTAACAAGGTGAAACCCCGTCTCTACTAAAAATACAAAAAATTAGCCGGGCGCGGTGGCGGGCGCCTATAGTCCCAGCTACTCGGGAGGCTGAGGCAGGAGAATGGCGTGAACCCGGGAAGCGGAGCTTGCAGTGAGCCGAGATTGCGCCACTGCAGTCCGCAGTCCGGCCTGGGCGACAGAGCGAGACTCCGTCTCCAAAAAAAAAAAAAAAAAAAAAAAAAAAGAAAAAAAATGCAAAAATTAGCTGGGCGTGGTGGCACACACCTGTACTCCCAGCTGAGGTGGGAGAATCACGTGAACCCGGAGGCAAATGTTGCAGTGAGCCCACATCATGCCACTGCCCTTCAGCCTGGGTGACAGAGACATACTCTGTCTCAACAACAACAAAAAGAAATATTTTCCTTGATAGATTGATATGACAATGATTCAAAGCAGGATTAATAAAAAAAATTATGGCTGGTCATTGTGGCTCACGCCTGTAGTCCCAGCCCTTTGGGAGGCCAAGGTGGGTGAATCACTTGAGGTCAAGAGTTGAAGACCAGCCTGGCCAACATGGTGAAACCCCGTCTCTACTAAAAGTACAATAATTAGCTGGGCGTGGTTGCAGGCGCCTGTAATCCCAGCTACTCAGGGGGCTGAGGCAGGAGAATCACTTGAACCCAGGAGGCAGAGATTGCAGTGAGCCAAGATTGCGCCACTGCACTCCAGCCTGGGCGACAAGATCGAAACTCAGTCTCAAAAAAATAAAATTAAATTAATAAAAAATAAAAAATCTTTTTCCTCTAACCCTTCTCCCAAAAAGAAATTGCATTAGTTCTAGACTATTTATATGGCCCTTCCAGTTTCTATCAAAGAACTTAGGCTAAAAATTTATCAACTTGTCTAATAAACTTTACAGAATTTTGAACTTAGAAAACTAAAATAAGCTTTAATTGATTTGTTGTAAACAACCCAGAGCCTCAAATATAAATAATTTCCATTAACTTCTCTGAGCCTAAATTTCCACCCTTGTAAAATGTGGTTAGAAATATCTTCCTTGTGGTCAGGTGGGTGGCTCACGCCTGTAATCCCAGCACTTTGGGAGGCCAAGGCAGCCAGATCAGTGATTCCTAGACGCAGGTGATCAGCATCTTTGCAATGCTAAGAGTACTGGCACAGGTAGACAGAGCTGGCAGTCCCCAGAAATCTTCTAGTATCCCACAAGACAGACCAGGAGCTGTGTTGCAGACATGTCAAACCGGGGCTCTGGAGGCATCTCTGCCTTTATTGAATAAATGAAAATTAGAATTTACTCTTACAAATATTTAATCTGTTACCAGGTTTATGTCCATTTTATAAAGCATGAGGTAGTTGTCATCTATTAATTTGTGTTATTGTCCCATTTTTTAAATTATTTATTTCAAATATTGATATGTACAAATGTAAATATAGCACTCAAAAGGCTAACTCTAAGAAGTGTATAATAAAGTCGAATTAGAGAGATCCAATTTAATTATATTCAAAAGTAATAGTCACGATGCTGCTTGTAACATTTGCAATTCCCAGGTTTTCAAAAGATTTTAAAATCAAATCAATCTGTGCCATACCCTGGCCCACCACAGGACAAAGAATGATGCTTCAGAAGCTTCTCATTACTCTGTCCAACATTAGCTATAGCATTACAGTCTGATAAACCAAGAGGAATCTGCAAAATGACCTGAGGCATTTCTTCTACCAATTTACCTTTTTATTTTATTTTATTTAAACTTCTGGGATACATGTGAAGGACATGCAGGTTTGTTACATAGGTAAACGTGTGCCATGATAGTTTGCTATACCTATCAACCCATCACCTAGGTGTTAAGCCCCACATACGTTAGCTATTTATCCTGATGCTCTCCCTTCCCTCCTATTCCCTGCCAGGCCCTGGTATGTGTTGTTCCCCTCCCTGTGTCCATGTGTTCTCATTGTTCACCTCCCACTTATGAGTGAGAATATGTGGCATTTGGTTTTCTGTTCCTGTATTAGTTTGCTGAGGATAATGGCTTCCAGCTCCATCCATCTCCCTGCAAAGGACATGATCTCCTTCCTTTTTATGGCTCCATAGTATTCCATGGTATATGTTTACCACGTTTTCTTTATCCAGTCTATCATTGATGGGCATTTGAGTTGATTCCGTGTCTTTGCTATTGTGAATAGTGCTGGAGTGAACATATGCATGCATGTGTCTTTATAATAGAATTCTTTATATTTCTTTAGGTATATACCCAATAATGGGATTGCTGGGTCAAATGCTATTTCTGGTTCTAGATCTTTGAGGAATCACCACAACATCTTCCACAATGATTGAACTAATTAACATTCCCGCCAACAGAGTAAAAGCATTCCTATTTCTCCACAGCCTTGCCTGCATCTGTTGTTTCTTGACTTTTTAATCATCACCATTCTGATTGGTGTAGCTAGTATCTCATTGTGGTTTTGATTTACATTTCTCTAATCATCAGTGATGTCGAGCCTTTTTAAAATATGTTTGCTGGCCGCATAAATGTCTTCTTTTGAGAAGTGTCTGTTCACCTGTTCTTTGCCCACTTTTTGATGTTTTTTTTTTTTCTTGTACATTTGTTTAAGTTCCTTGTAGATTCTGGATATTAGGCCTTTGTCAGATGGATAGATGGCAAAATCTGTTTTCTCCCATTCTGTAGGTTGTCTGCTCACTCTGATGATAGTCTCTTGCTGTGCAGAAGCTCTTTACTTTAATTAGATTCCATTTGTGAATTGTTGCTTTTGTTGCAGTTGCTTTTGGGGTTTTAGTCATGAAGTCTTTGCCCATGCCTATGTCCTGAATGGTATTGCGTAGGTTTTCTTCTAGGGTTTTTATGGTTTTAGGTTTTACACTTAAGTCTTTAATCCATCGTGAGTTAATTTTTGTATAAGGTATAAGGAAGGGGTGCAGCTTCAATTTTTTGCATATCGCTAGCCAGTTTCCCCAGCACCATTTATTAAATAGGGAATCCTCTCCTGGTTGCTTGTTTTTGTCAGGTTTGATGAAGATCAGATGGTTGTAGATGTGTGGTCTTATTTCTGAGATCTCTATCCTGTTCCATTGGTCTATGTGTCTGTTTTTGTACCAGTACCATGCTGTTTTGGTTACTGTAGCCTTGTAGTATAGTTTGAAGTCAGGTAGCATGATGCCTCCAGCTTTGTTCTTTTTGCTTAGGATTGTTTTGGCTGTATGGACTCTTTCTTGGTCCCATATGAATTTTAAAGTTTTTTCTAATTCTGTGAAGAATGTCAGTGTCTACTGATTTATCTTGATGGTCATTTTTAAAATACTTGCAAGACACATTTTATGTAGTCTAACACAACTTCCATCAAGAACTATGGAAACTTGTGAAGACAAAGCCACCTAAGAATTTCTGGGAGGAATGGTAGCAGGAGTCTTGGCACTGAGTCTCAGACCGATTGGCTTTTTCCTGACAATGTGCTACAAGAGATCTTGAAGGAGTACAGGCACTTTTGCCTGATTAGAGAATCTATACTTTCCGTTACTATCTCAGTAGCACAGTTAGCTGTGGGCCTCTATCCTGGTACCTGCCAATATTAGAGAGTGGTCCCCTTTCTGAGGAAGTCATTCCTTTGGCTTTTCTTGTAAACACAGTGAGAATGAAATTGGAGAAATAATAACTTTAGTAAAGAGTTTCAATTCTCCCCTTTTCCCCAACAAAGTGCCAAACAATGTCCAGACCATAGAGCTGTCATTGTCCAATTTCTGTCCTTTCCCTAAAGTGAGATTATTTTGAAGAACTCTGGTCTCATGCAGAGCTGGAGACAGACTAAACCATGGGGATAAAATCTGTGAGCAAAGCTAGGCAATCATTGGGGAAGATGAGGGATAGGAAGGAAAAATATGAATTCTGAGTCCATGGTAATACCTAATTACGTTTCTCATACTTCATTTGGGAGATGTTTGAAACACATATCAAAAATAGCAAGCAGGGGGTGTAGGAGATAAAGAGAGAGGTTGGTTAATGGTTATAAACATACAGTTAGGGACAGGCGCGGTGGCTCATGCCTGTAATCCCAACACTTTGGGAGGCTGAAGCAAGTGGATGGCTTGAATGCAGGAGTCTGAGACCGGCCTGGCCAACATGGTGAAACCCCATCTGTATCAAAAAATATAAAAATTAACCAAATTTTTGTATTTAATTAACATAACAATTAATTTATGTACTTAATTAAATTAATTATTTTATTAATTCAAATATGCATTTAATTAGCATAATTAAAGTAATTTTATTAACAACAATTTTTTAAAGGTCTGGTGGTGTGGATCTACAGTCCCAGCTACTCGGTAGGCTGGCATGGGAGGGTCACCTGAGCCCAGAAGGTGGAGGTTGCAGTGGGCTGAGATGGCATCACTGCACTCCACTGCTCTCCAGCCTGTGTGACAGAGAGAGACTCTGTTTCAAAACAAATAAATAACAAATGTTAGACATAGAGAGACCCTGTTTCAAAACAAATAAATAACATACAGTTAGAAGAAATAAGTTCTAGTGTTTGATGGCATGGTAAGTTGACTACAGTTAACAACAATTTATTATATATTTCAAAATATCTAGAAGATTTGAAATATTCCTGACACAAAGAAACAATGAATGTTTGAGGTGATGAATATCCTACTCTGATTTATTGTTATTCATTGAATGGATGTATCAAAATATCACATGTATCCCATATATATACAATAATTATGTATTAATTTTTTTAAAAATGCAAGCAGGCATGGTTTCTAAATGAAGAGCTTTTAGCAGAGAATTCCAGATGTTACAATTTGTTTATTTATTTTGTGACAGGGTCTCACTCTGTGGCCCAGGCTGGAATGCAGTGGTGTGATCATGGCTTACCACAGCCTCGACCGCCTGGGCTTAAGCAATCCTCCTGCCTCAGCCTCCCAAGTAGCTGGGACTGCAGGCATGCAGCACCATGTGTGGCTAATTTTTTATTTTTATTTTATTTTGGTAGACATGAGGTCTCACTATGTTGCCCAGGCTTGTGTCGAATTCCTGGGCTCCAGTGAGCCTCCTGCCTTGGCCTCCCAAAGTGCTGGGATTAAAGGCATGCGCCGCTGCACCCAGCCACAAATTTTTTATTATGTACAGTTTACCTTTGTACCCAGACCTGGGCATATTTCATGTAAGAAAACTTATTTTAGTAGTGAATCCCAATTTTTCTTGTGAAAATCAATAGTCATTGCCAGAAAATACCAGGAATTTTAAAAGCCATGACGTTTTTTCCAAGACATTCCCACAGTAAGCTCCTAGAAAGTAATTTACACAACTGGTAAGAATGGCTGACAGATGTTGAGTGCTCACTATATGCCAAGCATTCTTCCGTGTCCTCCATGTGATTGTCTTATTTGATCTTCCAATAACCCTATGAAATGGGCACTATTACTATACCTGTTTACAAATATGAGAACAGAGACTTAGCATGTTCCCAGAGTCAGCATCTAGACACATACTCTTTGGTACCATCTGATTTTGGGGGTTCTTGGGTCTTCCTTGACTCATTTCTTAAACTTAGAACATCAAGTGCCATAATTAACCATTTGTTGGTGATTTGGTGATTAAGGTGACTTAGTCCTCAGCCCTATTTTCTTCTCTGTTTTTTGTCCATGAAAAATCTGACACGTTCTGAGAAATGTGACTACACTAAACTTGAATTTTATCCTAAATGACACCCTAGACCTCCAGACTTCTATATTTATTTTCCCACATCTGCAAATAGACTTATACAGACACCTCAAAATCAAAAAGTCCAGCAAAAAGAAATGAAGTACTTAGGGATAAATATAACAAAATAAATGCATGATCTGTATTCAGAAGACTATAAAACCCTTATAAAGAAATTTAAAATGTCTAAGTAAATGGAAAAATATACCATGTTTATGGGTTAGAAGACTCAATATTATTAAGATGTCAGTTTTCTGCCATTTGATTTATCAAATCAATGCAATCTCAATCAAACTTCTAGCAAGTTTCTTTATAGATATTAACAAGCCAACAGTAAAATTCATATAGAAGGGCAAAACACTTTTCTCTCTTTTTCAACTTTTATTTTAGATTCAGGGGGTACATGTGCCAGTTTGTTACCTGCATGATGCTGAAGTTTGGGGTATGAATGATCCCATCACCAAGTGCTGAGCTTAGTGCCCAACAGTTAGTTTTTCAACCCTTCCCTGCTCCTTTCCTTCCCCCAGCAAAACACTTTTGATAAAAAAGAATGAAGTTGAAGGATCCACATCACCCCACTTCTAGGTTTACTATAAAGCTACACTCATCAAGACAGTGCGTTATTAGCAAAATAATAGACTCATAGACCAATGAAACAGAATAGAAAGGCCAGAAATAGACCCACAAAAATATGGTCAACT
The DNA here is from genome assembly GCF_000001405.40 of Homo sapiens. Taxonomy (NCBI): domain Eukaryota; kingdom Metazoa; phylum Chordata; class Mammalia; order Primates; family Hominidae; genus Homo; species Homo sapiens. The sequence continues at coordinate 159,088,263 of NC_000004.12, read as the reverse complement.
GATTTCTTAGAAAGGTGCAGTAGAGAAAGGACAATCTTTTGATAAGTGGTGCTGAAACAATTTTGGCATCCAAATGCAAAATTAACATGTTCAAATTTAAACTTAGCATCTGTCTTCCAAAATCTTCTCTCCAAATATTCCCATATCTCACACCACCATCTACCCAGCTGCTCAGGCAAAACAAGGGGTCATCTTTGATACACTTTCTCATTTTTGGCCCCATAGTCAATCAGTTATCAAGTTATGTTGAATCACAAGGCCAATCCTCCCCACCACCATTCCTACTGTCTTTGACCTAGTTCAGGCATTCTTTCTCCTAAACCTTATTTTCTGTCTTTAATCCCTCCAAAATGCCATTTAAGGAGAAGCATTGCTGGAAGTAGTAGAGGAAACCATTGCTTCCCTGGGCACCATTTGCAAAAATGATACCTTTTAAATATGTTATGTTATTTTATTATTTTATTTTATTTTATTTTTTGGACACAGGGTCTAGCTCTTTTGCCCAGGCTGGAGTGCAGTGATGTGATCACAGTTCACTGCAGTCTCAACCTCCTGGACTCAAGCAATCCTCCCACCTCAGCCTCCTGAGTAGCTGGGACTACAGGCATGTGCCACCACAGTTTTAAAATAACATGTTGGCATGATGGTTTTTATGATTATTTTGGAAAAATGATACATTTCGTCATGTTGAAAGAAGGACTGTAAATTATGTAGAGAATACAGGCAAAGGGTAAGACCTTTTTATCCTGCCAGGTGCCTCCAGTCACAGTGCAGACTCAACCCCTGCTTGGTGCTTGCCCTTGGCTGACTCCCTTCTTGTTAGAGTCTGTCTGGCCTTTGCACAGTCATCTTTCTAAAAACCAAATCTGATCATGGAATTCCAAAGCTTAAGGTCTTTCAGTGGCTTTCCAATGCTTACTCCATAAAGTACAATTCCCTTTGCATAATATTCAAGAGCCCTGTGTTCTGGCAGGTAGGACTATTTAGTTTTTTCTTCTAATACCTTCTACTCCAATTATGCCTAATAATTAATTGCGTCTAGGAGAATTTGCCAAACTCTCTAATTCCTTAATGCTTTGCATATGCACCTCCTGACTACAATTCTCTTTTCTCCTTGGTTCACCTGTGAAATTCCTACTCCCAATTCCACCTTTATTTATTTATTTATTTATTTTTTTTTTGAGACGGTCTTGCTATGCTACCCAGGTTGGCCTCAAACTTCTGAGCTCAAAAGACCCTCCTGCCTCTGTCTCTCAAGTAGCTGCAATTACAGGTACAAGCCCTGATGCTGAACTTCCCACTCCTCTTTTATTAAAGACTCTCCTAAGCAAAGGTCTGTGGGCAGGTGGCATTACATACTAAATGGAGCAAGTGTCTGAGACACCTGAGTTCTAACCTAGATTCTATGTTGCCACACACCAGCTGTTTTTCCAGAGGCAAAATGCATACCTACCTCCTGTGAGCCTCAAGGCCTCTTTCGGGTGGAGGCAATATTAGCTAGATGACATATGAGAAATATGTGCGAAGGGAGTTTGTGGCAATGGCAAAAATGTTCTAGCCAGGTAGACTTGCTAGCATTTTTTACCCAAGATTTGTATTGCCATATCCTGGGCCTGTTCCCTACCTGGTAATTTGTATTGGCTTATGCCAACTGTCAACCCTTACCTACCCCTCTATAACTGTTGTATTTAGGACTTGCCCGGTGTATGACCACTATTATTATTGTTGTTGTTGCCATTATTACTTATTATTGTATCATTATAACCTGATTTATCACCTCCTTCCTTTCTCATCAGATAAATTAAGGCTTCTTAAACCATGATCCCATAGCAGCTTATACATACCATTATTATAATGCTTTTTACATCATACTGTAATTATGTGTCAAAAATCTGCCTCACCAATTGACTGTGAACTTGAGGACGGGGCCCTTGTCTTTTTATTTTTGCATATTCAGAGCCCAACACTAGCCCTGGCATAGAACAGTCACTAAGTTGTACTAATTGGATGAAAAAAAGAAGAAAACACCTATTTTTGATTAAGGCAGTGTAAGAAATATTGCTTTATTGATTCTTAGGTTCTGAGTTGGTAGAAAGCTAAAGTTGTAGAAGAAAAAATTCATCAAAAGAAACTAGATAGTTTGTTTTTAAAGGCTGGACTTCTTTAGAAAGTAATTGGCTTGGCGTTTTGTCCAGTGACTTCTGAGGTTGATTGAATTTATGTCTGTGTGCTTTTGTAAATCCGTTTATCTAAAATGAGTGACTTGGCCAGGCGCAGTGGCTCACGCCTCTAATCCTAACACTTTGGGAAGCCAAGGCAGGAGGATTGCTTGAGCCCAGGAGTTTGAGACCAGCCTGGGCAATATAATGAGACCACCCCCAACTCTACAAAAAAAAAAAAATTAGCCAGGCATAGTGGTGCATGTCTGTAGTCCCAGATACTTGGGGGACTTAGGTGGGAGGATTGCCTGAGTCTGGGAGGTTGAGGCTATGGTGAGCAGCATGCAGTGGTCACATCACTGCACTCCAGTCTGGGCAACAGAGGGGAGACCCTGCCTCAAAAAAATAAATAAATAAGTTTACACAAAATACTTATCAACTATGCTTCTTTTGATACTTGGCATTCTAATTTTAGTGATTATGTGTTTTTCCCCCCTACAGAAAATTTGAAAAAAATCATACATATTTTACCACATTTCGGTCCATCTCTCTGTCTCTGTCTGTGCCCATCTCTGTCTCTCTTTGTCTTTCTGTCTGTTGGTCTGTCTCTCTCTCTGTCTCTGCCTCTCTCTCTCTGTGTGTGTGTGTGTGTGTGTGTGTGTGTATACACATAGGGTCTTTTTTACTAAAGAATTTGCAAGTTCCAAACATCACGACACTAAACTTCAAAATATTTCAGCACGTACTTCCTACTGATGAAAACATTTTTTATCTAATCACATTAACAGTACAATTCGTAAGAAATTCAATGAAATAATTAAATATCATTAAAAGAAAAATCAGAAGTTGTTGGACTCTACCATACAAATTAGCATTACTTGACTGGACACAGTGGCTCACACCTGTAATCCCAGCACTTTGGGAGGCCAAGGTGAGTGAATCACCTGAGGTCAGGAGTTTGAGACCAGCTGGGCAACATAGTGAAATCCCATCTCTACTAAAAATACAAAAATTAGCCAGACGTGGTGGTGCATGCCTGTAATCCCAGCTACTCGGGAGGCTGAGGCAGGAAAATCACTTGATTGGTTGCAGATGGGAGGCAGAGGTTGCGGTGAACTGAGGTCACACCACTGCACGACAGAGCGAGACTCTGTCTCAAAAAAAAAAAAAAAAATAGCATTGTTTTATTGAGAATTGAATATGGGGGGGGTGGTGCACCATAATTTTGTCAGCATTAAGATTTCTAAGAGTCTGTATCCAGGCCTGGTCAGCCATGAGGGTACCATGGAAAGACAATCCAGCATGATTTGGGGGCACCTGCCCCAACCAGGAACAAGGTGTGCAACCAGGAACAATGGCTGTGTGCTGTGACTGTGGTAAGTTACCTTTTCCTATTCAAGGACAACTTTGCAAGAGTGCATCAGCCAAAAAAGTGTCTAAATTTAAACATATGCTTTTAAAAAAAACTAAATATGATTCCTTATATAATAGGGTGGGTGGTGGATTGTCTGCTAGATTACTCAGGGTGATTGCAAACCTGTTTAACACTCAAGTATCAAGCCCTATTCTGTTTTCCATGATTGCAGGAAGTTTTTCATTTTATTTTTTTTTTTAACACAAATACATGTGATAGCTTCGCCCTACATATAACCAAATTAAACGATTGCTCTATGCTCTACAGAGGTAGTCTGTAACTTTTGTAACTGTACCTGTCCTCTAAATACACTTCCTTATCTCATACAAAAGGATAACGGATAACTCATCCGCATTCATATTATTAAATTTATAGATTGCTAACAAATTCATAAAACACAACATGTAACAGGGCCTAATCCTTAGGTTTTGTTTTTGTTTTCAGACAGAGTCTTGCTCTGTCGCCAGGCTGGAGTGCGGTGGCACGATCTCGGCTCACTGCAACCTCCAACTTTCTGGTTCAAGCGATTCTCCTGCCTCAGCCTCCTGAATAGCTGGGATTACAGCCATGCACCATGATGCCCAGCTAATTTTTTTTGTGTGTGGATTTTTAGTAGAGACATGGTTTTGCCATGTTCGTGCGGCTGGTCTTGAAGTCCTGAGCTCAAGTGATCCGCCCGCCTTGGCTTCCCAAAGTGTTGGGATTACAGGCATGAGCCACCCTGCCTGGCCAACAATTTTCTTAAATCACAATACCATACTAATATTTACTATACTTACTTGTAACTCTGTAGTTAAGCTGGGGAATGTTGTCTCTTGGGGTCCCAGAAGCACTTTTAAAGTAATGGAAATTACAATTCACTCTAGAGAGAATTATGAGAATATTAATTAAAATCAACTTGTCCTAGTTTTCATAGCTTCCTAGTTTTCATAGTTTCCCCAGAAATGAAAAGGATGATGGGTATGGCAAAACTGACATATTTTCAAAATGTGACTGCTCCTCAAGGCTATGGTTTTAAACAAAGTTGAAAGAATCTTCAGAAAAGATGATTTCTGGAAGAACAGAGCATTTTTACCTGAAAAATTACATCATAATGTATGACTAGGATACACAAGGGACTCAACTGAATTAGTGAAATGTGAAAGAAATAAGGCAATTTCTGACAGTGAGAAATCGGCAGCATTTAATCTCCCAAGGCATGGCCTATTCATAGTTTTACTTTGATGTGCACACCTAACATGTATTAACATTGACAAGAATTAAGCATACTTTTTCTTTTGAGATGGAGTTTCTCTCTTGTTCCCCAGGCTGGAGTGCAATGTGCAATGGCGTGATCTCGTCTCACTGCAACCTCTGCCTCCCGGGTTCAAGCGATTCTCCTGCCTCAGCCTCCCAAGTATCTGGGATTACAGGCATGTGCCACTACGCCCGGCTAATTTTGTATTTTTAGTAGAGACGGAGGGTTTCTCCATGTTGATCAGGCTGGTCTTGAATTCCCGACCTCAGGTGATCCACTCGCATCGGCCTCCCAAAGTGCTGAGAGTACAGGCATGAGCCAGCGCACCCTGCCAAGCACACATTTTAAATGAGAAAATTGCAGCATTGTGAATCTATCTCCCAAATGATTAATAAACACCAAAACCTACATTTAAATAGAAATCTAATAAAATACTAGGAGCCAATAAACTCAGCTCTGATTATGCTGTCAGGCACTAAGACAAACCAAGGAGACTGGAGAAATCCAAAACTTAAATTTCTTTTTGTATGTGTGTATTTTTTGTAGAGATGGCATCTCACTGTGGAATTTGAGACCAGTCTGGGCTCAAGCCATCTTCCTGCCTCAGCCTCCCAAAGTGCTGGGATTATAGACATGAGCCAATGTACCTGGCCCAAATAGTTTAATTTCAAACATAGGAAATAGGTAAGTAGTTGAATTGAATTGATTATTTACCTGCCAATATATAACCAGAATGGTTTTTGCAATGTAGTTTCTAATTATGATCAGATTAATTACATTAGTGAAAAAGTAATTGAGCATCTTTTTTTCTAAAATTGCTTAATATTTATTTGAAGATAATATTTCAGCACTCCCAGCTTGTCATCAAATGCCTTTCTTAACCTCCTATTCTCAGTCTTCAGTCCATTCATTTTTTCCAGGTTCATATTTGATAAATCCTTCTGCCTTTCAGGTTCAAAACACACACACACACACACACACACACACACACACACACACACACAGAGAAAAGTGGAATTGTTAGATTTAGATTATTCATTTTTCTGCTTGATTTTCTTCTTTATGGTTTATCTCCTCATAGTAGAAGCACAACATTTATTTATTTATTTATTTATTTATTTGAGATGGAATCTCACTCTGTCACCCAGGCTGGAGTGCAATGGTGCAATCTCAGCTCACTGCAACCTCTGCCTCCCAGGTTCAAGTGATTCTCCTGCCTCAGCTTCCAGAGTAGCTGGGATTACAGGTGCCTGCCACCACGCCCACCTAATTTTTTTTTTTTTTTTTTTTGCATTCTTAGCAGAGATAGGGTTTTGCCATATTGGCCGGGCTGGTCTCAAATTCCTGACCTCAAGTGATCTGCTCGCCTTCTCCTCCCAAAGTGTTGGGATTACAGGCATGAGCCACCACGTCCAGCCTAGAAGCACAACTTTTAAAGAACTCTCATGTAAACCAGGTTCATTAAATGAGTAAGTGTTGAGTTTCAGCAGAGTCTGGATGGGAAAATATGAGAAAATCAAGAATCCAATAATCTGTACACAGAATTCCAGGCCCTCCTTGACTCATTATATCACTTCTAAAATTTAGTTATAAGTAAATAAGAGTTAACTGTACCACTGTTTATAATAATGCAAAGGTGGTTACAATCTTAATATTCAACAAGAAAGGGCTTATTAAATAAATTATGTTAAAGCAATAGAATAAAATACAGCTTTAAAATCACATTTTCTTTTTGTTTTTTTCTCTCTCTCTCTTTTTGGAGACAGAGTCTCACTCTGTCACCCAGGCTGGAGTGCAGTGGAGTGCAGAGCAAACATGGCTCACTGCAACCTCCACCTCCTAGGCTCATGTGATCTCATCTCAGCCTCCGAAGTAGCTAGGACTGCAGGAGTGCGCCACCACACCAAGCTAATTTTTATATTTTTTGTAGAGACAAGGGTCTCCCAATGCTGCCTAGGCTGGTCTTGAACTCCTGAGCCTAAGCAATCCTCCTGCCTGCAGTCCCAAAGTGCTGGGACTCCAGGCATGAGCCACCATGACCAGCCTAAAATTACATTCTCAAAATTATTTAATAACATGAGTATTGCTCACAATATGCTTAGTAAGAAAAAAATCGGCTGGCCATGGTGGCTCATGCCTGTAATCCCTGCACTTTGGGTGGCTGAGGCGGTTGAAGCACCTGAGGTCAGGAGTTCAAGACCAATCTGGCCAACATGGCAAAACCTCGTCTCTACTAAAAATACAAAAAATTAGCCAGGTGCAGTGGTGCGCACCTGTAATCCCAGCTACTTGGGAGGCTGAGACAGGAGAATCACTTGAACCCGGGAGGTGGAGGTTGCAGTGAGCCAAGATCATGCCACTGCACTCCAGCCTGGGTGACAGAGTGAGACTCCGTCTCAAAAAAAAAAAAAAAAAGAGAAAGAAACAAAGAGTCCGGGCACAGTCATTCGTGCCTGTAATCCCAGAACTTTGGGAGGCCAAGGCAGGCGGATCACAAGGTTAGGAGATCGAGACTATCCTGGCTAACACGGTGAAAACCCGTCTCTACTAAAAATACAAAAAATTAGCCGGGCATGGTGGTGGGCGCCTGTAGTCCCAGCTACTCAGGAGGCTGAGGCAGGAGAACGGCGTGAACCTGGGAGGTGGAGCTTGCAGTGAGCCGAGATCGTGCCACTGCACTCCAGCCTGGGCTCTGTCTCAAACAAACAAACAAACAAACAAATTACACTTCACACCTGAATTTACCATGATAGCCCAATTTTGTTGTTTTTTAAAAAGAGGTATAGCTATATATACATATAGAAATAGAAATAGATGGTGGGGGGCACTCATATGAGGAGATACCAAAAGTGTTAATAATGGGGAATCGCTGCTTTAATCTATATGTCACAATAAGTTACTGCCCATTTATGAATTAGCTCAAGAATCAATTAAGGGGCTCAATGAGGGGCTCATGCCTGTAATGTCAGCACTTTGAGACCCGAGGCAGGAGGACTGCTTGAGCTCAGGAGTTCAAGACCAGCCTGGGCAGCATAGGGAGACCCCTGTCTCTACAAAAAAAATTTTTTAATTAGCCTGGTGTGGTAACCTGTGCCCATAGTCCTGGTTACTTGGGAGGTGGAGGTGGGAGGATCACGTGAACCCAGGAGTTCGAGGTGGCAGTGAGCCGTGATTGTGCCATTGCATTCCAGCATGAGCAATGGAGTGAGACCATCTTAAAATAAATAAATAAATAAATAAATAAATAAAGTCTTTGTTGTGCATGTATCAGAACGCATATATCTTTTCTAGATTGTAAGCTTCTAGAGGCGAGAGAAAAAGTCTGTACAGTCACTTTGTACATCAAGACATGCCAAAAGACAACTGGGATTCTCACTATTATTCCCATTTCCCATTATTATTATTTGACACTTTTTATTATTATTTGATTATTTGATAATAATGGGAGATGATGGAATAAAGCAAAAGATCATTTTGAGACTGTAGGTGGGATTTAAATGCTAGAGAAGTGCTTCATAGGTAACATAAATAATACAATTAAAATTAAAATGCTTTACTATTTTTACTTTTTTTTCAGCTTGAGAATGCATTAGTGTTTTTTAAAAACACTCTCCTCAAACCCATTTTTCCTATTACTAAAAATCTAATTAAAAGCAGGAAAGAACAATCAAAACCAAAAGGTGATTAAAAGTAAAAAGTAATATCCTGTGACAATTTTCATGTGCCAAATATAGAACTCACATAGAACACCAAATTAAAGCAGAAACCAAATGAAATTCAGGATTCCAAATTTTTGTGCTTTAAATATATGGTTGATCTCTGGCTTGGTAAAACCAAACAATTTGCCATGAAAACAGCCAATACAAAAACCCCAAGTCTTCTTGACTAGAAGACTTCTTGAACAGAAATCAGTATATTTGTCTTAGCCTGCTCAGGCTGCTATAACAAAATACCTGGAACTGGGTAGCTTATAAAAAACAGAAATTTATTTCTCGCAGTTCTGGAAGCTAGAAAGCCTGAGAACAGGGTGTGCACCAGCAGATTCGGTGTCTGGTGAGGATCAGTTTCCTGATTTCTTAGAAGGCAGCTTCTTGCTGTGTCCTCACATGGTGGAAGGGGCAAGGAAGCTCTCTGGAGTCTCTTTTTTTGGCCACTAATTCCATTCATGTGGGTGGAGCCCTCATGACCTAATTGCCTCCCTAAAGGCCACACCTCTAAAAAACATCACTTTGGAGGTTAGGATGTCAACACATGAATTTTGGGAGGGACACAAACACACCATGACAGTGTTTTAAAGTTTCCAGTTATTATTATTATTATTTATTTATTTATTTTTGAGATGGGATCTCACTCTGTCACCCAGGTTGGAGTGCTATGGCATGATCTCAGCTCACTGCGACCTCCACCTCCCAGGTTCAAGTGATTCTCCTGTCTCAGCTTCCTGAGTAGCTGGGATTACAGGCTTGCACCACCACACCCAGCTAATTTCTGTATTTTTAGTAGAGATGGGGTTTCACTGTGTTGGCCAAGCTGGTCTCAAACTCCTGACCTCAAGTGATTCACCCGCCTCAGCCTCCCAAAGTGCTGGGATTACAGGCATGAGCCACCATGCCTGGCCTCCAGTTGGTTTTTACATGACAAATTAGTTTGTCCACTGGATCATATTGATCTAGGAAACTAGGTAATGTTCAAGTTGTGTAGGACCACCTCTATCTCCAATGTCAAGTGAGAAATTTGTCTTTTTACTTCCTGCTTTTCCTTACAATCCACCCACACAATCCCATGTCTTTCCTTACAATCCACCCATGCAGTCATCAAGCTTTCTTCACCTTCTAACCCTCAGCCATTCTCCATTAAATACCCAGGCTTTGGAAGGTTCTCTCAAATTTATTCAGCCTAAGATAAAAAGTGCTGACCAACTTAGTGAAGTGCTTATATGAAAAATATTGGCATTTGAGTAGAGGAAGTCTTGAAGCCCTCAGTGTTTCTCCACTGGGGCACTATTTGCCCTTAGGACAGAGCCATTTCCATGCCAGTAGGAACTCCGCACTCTCATCTTTTCGAAATTCAGAAACTTGGTGTAGAACTAGTGCTATCAAGTTCTAGTCTGGATTCCTGCCAATTGCTTGGGGATTTATTTATTTATTTAAGGGATATTTATTGGAGATGTACTACAAAGCCAGGCACTGTTCTGGATCTCAGAGCAAGCTTTGGTGCTCATGACTGCACAGGAATCATGACGTAAAATACATAATACACTGAAAACTTTCTTTAACAAACATTATTTGTATGCTGTTCTTTCCGATTTTCCCCCTTTACTTTCCATTTAATTTTTGAAGCAAAATCAAAAAAATAAAATCAAAGTTTAGATTTAACTTTCAAATATCTGTCTCCCCAGTCCTCTGCTTTTTTTCACATTTAAAAATATGATTTTTAGAGGTAGCTTGCCTTTTTTTCTATGTTATTTATATATAAACTTGAGACTCTTGATTACATCCCCTCTTTGGTAATTGGAAAAGAAAATGAAAGTGCCACCTGTTTGCTACCGTAATAGCATTGGTTTACATATCTCAGTTTCAGTACTTTATTTGACAGGATATTACTTTGTTCCATTAAATTGAAAGCTTCTGTTTTCATTTTGTTTCCAGTATATTAGTCATCATCACTCTGTTACCTAAGAGTTTCTTTCTAGGTAATTAAAGATCTCTTTGTATCATGCTTTAACACTGAGTTCGAAATGAATTAACCAATGGGACTTTGGTCTCCTGAGTTTGGTAACATCTGCTTTAAGGAAAGAAATTTTTCAATAAATTTTAAAAGTGTAAAAGAAAAATTTGATTATACATTTCTAATACAGCTGGGTTTATAAAGCATGCCATCTTATTAAATAATGAGAGTAATTTATAAGAAAGTATTACTAACCTCAAACGTTGGGTTAGAAACCAAAGAAGCTAACCTTCCCTCCCAAGAAAAACCCTCCTAAGAAAAACACATTAAAAGAAAATCTGGGCCAGGTGTGATGGCTCACACTTGTAATCCCAGCACTTTGGGAGGCCGAGGCGGCAGATCACCTGAGGTCAGGAGTTTGAGACCAGCCTGACCAACATGGAGAAACCCCATCTCTACTAATAATGCAAAAATTAGCCAGGCGTGGTGGCAGGCACCTGTAATCCCAGCTACTTGGGAGGCTGAGGCACGAGAATCACTTGAACCTGGGAGGCGGAGATTGTGGTTGTGGTGAGCCGAGACCGCACCATTGTACTCCAGCCTGCGCAACAAGAGCGAAACTCTGTCTCAAAAAAAAAGAAAATCTGTTTAGGCCAGGCGCAGTGGCTCGCGCCTGTAATCCTAGCACTTTGGGAGGCCAAGGTGGGCAGATCACCTGAGGTCAGGAGTTCGAAACCATCCTGGCCAACATGGCAAAATCCTGTCTCTGCTAAAAATACAAAAATTACCCAGGCATGGTGGCAGGTGCCTGTAATCCCAGATATTCGGGAGGCTGAGGCAGGAGAATCGGTCTAACCTAGGAGGTGGAGGCTGCAGTGAGCCGAGACGGCACCATTACACTCCAGCCTGGGCAAGAGCGAGACTCCATCTCAAAAAAAAAAAAAATCTGTTTAGTGCCAGGAATGGTGATGCATGTCTGTAATCCCAGCGACTCTGGAGGCTGAGGTGGGAGAATCCTTTGAGCCCAGGAGTTTGAGGCTGCAGTGAGCTATGATTGTATTACTATACTCCAACCTGGGCAACAGAGCAAGACTCTATCTCTAAAGAAAAAAAGAAAGAAAAGAAGGAAAAAATTGTTTAAGTATGTTTTAAAGTATTTATTACTGTTTATTACCATTAAAAAATGGACATCAGGACTTTACCCCTACTTTTCCTATATTTTAAATTGTGAACATGTATTCAAACTGTAAATGAAAATAACATGCTTTTATTAGGCATTTAAAATAAAATGCTTTTCATAATATGCTGGGTTTTTTCATGATATGCTGGTTGTCCCATTACTATTCTAGTAACAAGACATTACATAGATAGATATTTCAACTAATAGAAATCAAAACAGCAGTTACAAAAATAGAAGTAACCATGAAATTAATTATAGCTTGCTGTATGCTGTATAATAATAACAGAGTAAACTTATCACCCAGAATTAAAACTATAGGTCAAAAGAGCAATCTTTTGGGAGTTGGTAATCTTTAGCCATCAGTGAAAGTGTTAGAATGACACAGACCAAGGTTTGAGGATAAGTTTTAATGCTTATTGGAAGTGTGATCTTGTTTTAATAACCCTCTGAGCTGCAAGTTCTTCACCTGTAAAATCGGGACAATAGTGTCTGACTCACAGTTGTTGGGAGAATTAACATGTGTGAAGCACATAGTACACAGTACCCTATAAATGTCAGCATCATCCTCATCATCACCACCGTCCCCATCATTAGAGAAACTAAAAGCCAACTATTGGTTTAAAGGCCTAGTTAGTGGCAAAATCTTCTTGATTACATGGAAAAAAAATTAGTGCCACCAGCCAGGGTTTTTTTTCTGCTGTAAATGGTGAAGCAAAAGTTTTAGCATTATCCAACGCTCATGGATGTTCATCACTGTAAACTGTGAGCCCTCATTACAAAATACTGAAGAGCTTTCAGAATTTAAAAAAAAAAAAAAGATGAGTCAAATTATGTTCTGCTTGATGCTTGATAGTCATGGCATCACTATTTTAATTGGATCTAAAAATGTGAATGTTGGTGATTTATGCATAGTGGAAGTCCCTGAGTATTGGTCTATGACACATCCTGTCACCAGATATGATTGCTTTGTCCTACACGCTGTTGGCACAGATGAAGTTAAAGTGACCAAGATTATCACACAGGATTCAAATCCAAGTTGGCCCACCTCTAAAAGCTTTCATTATGCCACGCTGTCTCTTTGAATTTTTTCCAGGCCACTCATCTACTAGAAATCTCTCATCATTATAGAAACACAATTACAAAATGATCCAATACAATGCAGTGGTATTTTAAAGTATGGTTAGAAAAAAATGTTAAAGGAAAATAATAACCTTTAGATTTTGTTTACACAATACTTGATGACAAGTTAATCTTTGAATATCACGGATAATATCTCATTGACATATTTATGTATATGACTAAATTGAATATTCGGTTACATGGTTGTTTCTGTCACATGAAATGTACATGTATATGCATGTGTATCTGTCTGTAGGTAAATAAGGCCATGCTGCAAATTTTCTGTTTGACCCTCCAGATCACCACCCATTTCCACTCTCGTCCCTGCACTGGTAGGCTGACCTATAAGGACTACATCAATGGACTCTGTTGTTTGCTTGCTTCTAGGCAGGTTCAACTAATAGAGTACATCAGCAGGAGATGGGAGAGAAGGACAGCAAGAGTTTGAAGTATTTATTCCCCATGTCCCTCCCTAAGGTGGTCACTGTGAGAGGGCAAGGGCTCCATCCTTGACCAGACTTCAGATTGGTAAGGCCCTTGCTCTTACCAGCCCCAAGAAATTGCATCACTGTGGTTTCCCCACATCCCCCTTGCATCCTTGTAAATAGTCTCTTTATTAAGCTCTCTTGAAAATCCCTAATGTGAGTGTCCCATCTTACCTCATGTTATGAGGGTCTCTGGTTGATACAAATTCTTAACATGAATAATATAATGGACTGTATAGTTAATATTTTCATCTGCCTCCCAGATTCAATATCCTCCTTCTTCTGGTCAACCTCCTGCTTCTGTTGAGATTGTAAAACATGTGCTCCATTACACATTGCCCCACTCACTGCAAAAACCACCCCAGGATCATGGTGGGTCACTTATATTCCTACTATCCCTTAGAATAAGGATAACTTCACAAGGTGAAGCTGCACTCTAAGCCAGACTAATAAGAATTCTGTACCCAGAACTTCCCAAATTGGAGGGAAGTGGCTTGTCCTCTTCTTGAATGAATAACTGATAAATGTAACCTTGGGGCTCTCTGTGGCCATACCTCATCTTCTCAAGTAGAGCCTTCTATAGAATGGAACTCAGCAGACAACTAGGAATAAGAGAAAGATGGTGCCAAGGAGAGGGTCCTGAAGTCATTGTGCCCATTTCATTCCCTGAGCTCCTTGTTCCTGCAGCTCTCTTCTACGCCTGCCTTCACTGCTATATGAGCATACAGCATCTATAGTATATGCCCTCTGTGCTTGAACTAGTTGAAGTTTCTGTCACATGCAACTAAAAAAAAGTGCTATTGAAATAATGGTAAAAAGTATAAATTGATATGTTTGTAATATTTGAATCCCAATTGTTTTGAATAATTCAGTGATGCTGGCAAGAAATGCACTAGAAAAGTCTTGACCTGCATTTTCACCAGAGTCAACAGGACCCTTTATCACCAAGAGTCTTCAGAAAGCCTCCACTGGAATTAAGTTTTTCGTTTTTGTTTTTTGAGACAGAGTCTCACTCTGTCACCCAGGCTGGAGTGCAGTGATGTGATCTTGGCTCACTGCAACCTCCACCTCCTGGGTTCAAGGTGGTTCTCCTGCCTTAGCCCCCCGAGTAGCTGGGATTACAGATGCCTGCCATGATGCCCAGCTAATTTTTTTGTATTTTTAGTAGAGATAGTGTTTCACCATTTTGGCCAGGCTGGTCTTGAACTCCCGACCTCAGGTGATCCTCCCGCCCTAGCCTCCCAAAGTGCTGGGATTACAGGCATGAGCCACCATGTCCGGCCAGAATTCAGTTTTTCTTAGGACGTATTTTGGACATATTTCTAGTCCAGATTATTTCCTGAAGGGAAAAATGACTGGATTAGGAGAGGGAGGATGGCAGCAGGGTGGACAGAGAGGAGAGCTTCCATTTCTTCTTATTTTTAAAGTACAAGCATGGTTAGGTATTTTGGTTTTATTATTTGTTGTGGAATTTTACTTATTTATTTTTTTGGTCAAAGAGAGCCTGAATGAAGAGTAGGTAGAATAATAGAAGAAAATGTATTCTTCCAGCCAGGTGCGGTGGCTCACACCTGTAATCCCAGCACTTTGGGAGGCTGAGTTGGGCAGATCGCTTGAGCCCAGGAGTTTGAGAACAGCTTGGGCAACATGGTGAAACCCCATTCCTACAAAATATACAAGTTTTAGCCGGGCATGGTGGCGTGCGCCTGTGGCCCCAGCTTCTTGGGGAGCTGAGGTGGAAGCATCACTTGAGCCTGGGAGGTCGAGGCTGCAGTGAGCCGTGTTTGCGCCACTGCACTCCAGCCTGGGTGACAAAGTGAGACCCTGTCTCCAAAACAAAAACAAAAAGAAAAAGAAAAAGAAAATGTATTCTTCCTAAACCGAACAGCTTCCCTCCATAGGTGTGACATTGTGTGGATTCAAAAAAGCACAAACACAGCACAAAAGACAAATGGGATTACACTCCATTAGAATAATTTGCATATGCATTAACAATACATGTCACCTACTTCTCTGGCTGCAGCATTGTGAGACTAACAAAACCTTTGAAAAGATAGGAAATAGTCCATAAATATTAATAATAGTTTACCTTCCTACAATTAAAAAATAGGAAGCCAGCATAATTCACCATGTTTTGTTATACTTATCAAAGCACATCTTTTCATTAATATTCTAAATCTAGTTTTAGAGCAATTATATTATTACTGGCGAAGTAGTTTCTCTGAAGAATTTGGGACACTGAAAAAAGAATTCATAAGATTAACATAATCCCAGCACTTTGGGAGGCCGAGCCAGGTAGATCACATGAGCCCAGGAGTTTGAGACCAGCCTAGGCAATATGGCGAAACCCCATCTCTACAAAAAACACAAAAATTATATAGGCATGGTGGTGCGTGTCTGTAATCTGAGCTGCTCGGGGAGCTGAGGCAGGAGAATTGCTTAGTCCAGGAGGTTAAGACTGCAGTGAGTCATGTTAGTACCACTACACTCCACACTCCAGCCTGGGTGACAAAGTGAGACCCTATCTCCAAAAAAAAAAAAAAAAAAAAAAGAATTCATAAGATTAACAATGAGCATCATTAAAACACTATAACAGAAAAGATCAAGAAATAAACACAAAGGAGACATTCAAATCCAAGTTGTCCTCAATCTACAAACTTCTATTAATATTTTTCTTTTATTCTTTTTTTGAGACAGGGTCTCACTTTATCACTCAGGCTGGAGTGAGTGGTGCAATCACAGCTCACTGCAGCCTTTACTTCCCAGCCTTAGGTGATCCTCTGACCTCAGATTCCTGAGTGGCTATGACTACAGGCATGCGCCACAACACCTAGCTAATTTCTGTATTTTTTGTATAGCGGGGGCTTTGCCATGTTGCCCAGGCTGGTCTCAAACTCCTTGGGCCCAAGTGATCCACCCACCTTGGCCTACCAAAGTGCTGGGACTACAGGGGTGAGCCACAGATGTCTGGCTCTAACTGCTATTGTTACTTCTAAAACAGGTATTTGTGAATTCATTTGGAACTTAGAAGAAAAAATTCCTATGGAAACAATGCTAAAAATGGTAGTTAGGTTCCTAGCAGGACCTTGCAGGTCTACTAACCCCCAGGCAGCTGAACCAAAGAACTCTAGCTCCCTGTTGTTTTTGTGGGAAAGCAGTCAAATTCCAACCTGCAACCCAGGATTTTGGAATCTCTCTCTCTTTTCTGACATCATCATCCACCACAACTCCACAGCTTGAGAAACTGGAGTAGAATCCTCCAGTCTCTTCTACTGAGCCAACAGGAAAAAAGAATTCTTTCCCTCATGGTGACAAAAGAAAAAAAAGAATTCTCAGGTACAAACATTAGCAGGAAGGAGGCAGTGACTCATCTATCAGGATGTTCAGACTTTAGTTTTCAGGGCTTGGGAAGGGCCCAAGTCCAGATACTTGCTTCATTTTCTTTCATAATGAATTTCTCATTGCTGCCCTGTGTTTGCTTTTGTTTAAAAGAAATCGCTGTGTTGCTTTTTGATCCTGAGAGACAGCAGGTGTTTTGAATTTTTATTATTCTTGTGAGTAAATGGTAGAATCTGTAAATCCAAGGCTCCTCCTGTTCTTCCTCTTGTCCTTTGTCCTCAAGAGGAAGCTCACTCTGGACAACTTTACCTGAGATACCAGAAACCACACACAGGTTCTACCAGCCACCTTTTAGGATTCTCTGAAGGCATCACCTAAATACAATCTCCTGTATATTATTCTAACAACAACTACTGCCAAAAGTTAACTCAGATCCATTTTTTAAATGTCAAGCCTCAAAAGATTTTCCCCTCCCTCCAAAAACATTAGCATGCAAACGAGTTAGCAGCCACTAATAATTTTTTTTGCTCCAAAATTATTAGCTAATTATAACAATTACTGCATTCTTAGCCTATCAGACCATGCTTTGATCATCCAGAGACAAAGATGTTTCTTGGAACCAATCCACAGGGCAACAAACAGAATCTGTTTTGATTGTTCTTTCTGAAAATCATGTTGCCAATAGTGCTCATCATCATTGCTGACCACTGAGGCTTGGCGCAGATCCAGAACGAATGGTTCCAGCATGCTATCAAGCGTCCTTAGAGGATGAGTTCTCGCCTGGCAACTTTCCCTCTAAAACATTCATAAAACCAAATAAGTGCCACATAAACATATATTCTCTGACACAAGTTTTCACTCATATCTTTCAGAATCCTGAAAATTCTGAGTATATGGGTCTGCATACATTTAAGTGATAAAAAGCATGTCTCCATTTCACAGCACTCTTCTCTAATAAGTATTACATTACAGATTGCCATATTGAGGACAATCTAATAAGACTTATGTGTGAAGGAGGTAAGAAATACCTCCAAAGTTAGCAAAATATTCTCCTTATCTACCACTTGGTTGATATTAATAATTTAAGGCTCTTCCAAACCATATGTGTATCTTTACATTTGAAAATGTCTAGGCATCATCTGGCATTAAAACTTAATCACCACTCAGAAAAGTTTAGTTTGTGTAGGTCAAAGCTTAGTGAACTATTAAAGCAACAAAAGCTTACAGTGGAGTTGTAAAGATTATACTAGACAATATGATGGAAACTTAAAAATTCACTTTAAAACGTATTTACATTCAATCACTTGCCAGTGTATATATTACCCTTGAATCAATTAAATACTTGATGACTGTTGATGTTTATTATGGCAAAAGATTTTCTGACTTCACTGTATTCACTAAATGTACTTGTCATTACATTGTGGTTTTAAACAACTCGATGGCACAAAATATTGCAGATTTTTATCTCATGATTTTTTCTCTTACAGTTTTGGCACATTCTGTTTATGGTAGGGAATGGTAATTCAAGTTAGGGGCAGGGTGTAATAAGAACCATCTGTCCTTTTCCCCATCTGAGTCCTTCTGTCATGAGTAATTGTTGTTACAAAAAAAAAAAAAGTGTACCACCTCCTTCTTGTACTTTGCGAGAGGTTACTAGTCATTCCCTTCTTTTACAATAACGTGCTTAAAATATTACATGCTTAGTTCTCTGTGGCACTAAATATGCAATCTCTGCTATTAGGATTCCAAAGCCTTCCAGTAGACTTCGAGAGACAGGTGGAAGCCATTCTTGTTAATGTCAGAGTCTAACAAAATAGAGACAATATTTAAATGGTTAGTCAAGAATGCTCCACTTTGTATTAAATATCCCAGATGTTTGCTTCATTAGGAATAAAAAAGAACTGAAGAAAAAAAAATATGTATCATGTACAAAGGAGTTTCTAAAGGGTATGAGAAAAATGTTAATATTGCATCAAGGTATGTTCATGATTTACAGAAAATAAGTACCAGGCTGGGCAACATAGGGAGACCTCATATCTACAAAAGATTTTTTTTTTTTTAATTAGCCAGGTGTGGTGGCACTTGCCTGTGGTCCCAAATATTTGGGAGGCTGAGGTAGGAGGATTTCTTGAGCCTGGGGAGGTTGAGGCTGCAGTGAGCCATGATCACACCACTGCACTCCAGCCTGGGTGTCGGAGTGAGGCCTTGTCTCTTAAAAAAAAAAGAAAAAAGAAAACAAGTTAAAAACCTAAATTCATACTTCCTAAAGACTTCTAGCATTATTTAATTTCAGAAGCATTTTTAAGAGAAAGTGAAAAGGATCTGAAGTAGGATTTAATTGTTTCTTGTTTGTTTGTTTTTGAGACGGAGTCTCACTCTGTCACCCAGGCTGGAGTGCAGTGGCACGATCTTGGCCCACTGTAACCTTCGCCTCCCAGGTTCAAGAGATTCTACTGCCTCAGCCTCCCGAGTAGCTGAGACTACAGGCACCCACCACCACGCCTGGCTAATTTTTGTATTTTTAGTAGAGATGGGGTTTCACAACATTGGCCAGGCTAGTCTCGAACTCCTGACCTCAGGTGATCCACCCACCTCAGCCTCCCAAAGTGCTGGGATTATAGGTGTGAGCCACGGCACCCAGCCTAATTGTTTCTTAGAAGAAAAGAAATTCTAGGAGGAACCAACATAAGAGGTAATCTAGGAGATGAAAGATGTGCTCAGAGATGTTGCATTATTAGCCCTAAAGAGGTAGCTCCCAAAAGGATCTACTTTACTTCAAGTGGAAGATTCACCAAGTTAGACTACAATTCTAATTATCATTGCTTTGTAAATAATATGTCTTTTTGGTTTCTTCTCCATCCCAATTTACCTTTTCTATTTTCCATTTCTTCCTTTCTCCAAGTTATGGGTAGTTTTGTCAGTTTTGGCTCATTGAGTCTCACTTCTGCTCTTTTTCTTTTTTTTATTTTTTTATTTTTTATTTATTTATTTATTTATTTTTTAATTATACTTTAAGTTTTAGAGTACATGTGCACAACGTGCAGGTTTGTTACATATGTATGCATGTGCCATGTTGGTGTGCTGCACCCATTAACTCGTCATTTAGCATTAGGTATATCTCCAAATGCTATCCCTCCTCCCTCCCCCGACCCCACAACAGTCCCCGGTGTGTGATGTTCCCCTTCCTGTGTCCATGTGTTCTCATTGTTCAATTCCCACCCCTGAGTGAGAACATGGGGTGTTTGGTTTTTTGTCCTTGTGATAGTTTGCTGAGAATGATGGTTTCCAGTTTCATCCGTGACCCCACAAAGGACATGAACTCATCATTTTTTACGGCTGCATAGTATTCCATGGTGTATATGTGCCACATTTTCTGAATCCAGTCTATCGTTGTTGGACATTTAGGTTGATTCCAAGTCTTTGCTATTGTGAATAGTGCCTCAATAAACATATGTGTGCATGTGTCTTTATAGCAGCATGATTTATAATCCTTTGGGTATATACCCAGTAATGGGATGGCTGGGTCAAATGCTATTTCTAGTTCTAGATCCCTGAGGAATCGCCACACTGACTTCCACAATGGTTGAACTAGTTTACAGTCCCACCAACAGTGGAAAAGTGTCCTATTTCTCCACATCCTCTCCAGCAACTGTTGTTTCCTGACTTTTTAATGATCGCCATTCTAACTGGTGTGAGATGATATCTCATTGTGGTTTTGATTTGCATTTCTCTGATGGCCAGTGATGGTGAGCATTTTTTTCATGTGTTTTTT
This sequence comes from Homo sapiens, assembly GCF_000001405.40. Classification (NCBI taxonomy): domain Eukaryota; kingdom Metazoa; phylum Chordata; class Mammalia; order Primates; family Hominidae; genus Homo; species Homo sapiens. The sequence goes on along the minus strand of NC_000004.12, from coordinate 159,067,891 downwards.
GGCTGCATAAATGTCTTCTTTTGAGAAGTGTCTGTTCATATCCTTTGCCCACTTTTTGATGGGGTTGTTTGTTTTTTTCTTGTACATTTGTTTGAGTTCATTATAGATTCTGGATATTAGCCCTTTGTCAGATGAGTAGGTTGCAAAAATTTTCTCCCATTCTGTAGGTTGCCTGTTCACTCTGATGGTATTTTCTTTTGCTGTGCAGAAGCTCTTTAGTTTAATTAGATCCCATTTGTCAATTTTGGCTTTTGTTGCCATTGCTTTTGGTGTTTTAGACATGAAGTCTTCTTTTTCTAATTTTCTATTGATACTTAATTTCAATTACTTTTGTTTGTCATTTATAGAAGTTCATTTGATTGGCTGGGCATGGTGGCTCACGCCTGTAATCCCAGTACTTTGGGAGGCCAAGGCGGGTGGATCACCTGAGGTGAGGAGTTTGAGACCAGCCTGGCCAAAATGTCAAACCCCCACCTCTACTAAAAATACAAAAATTAGCCGGGCATGGTGGCGTCCCATCTACTTGGGAGGCTGAGGCAGAATCGCTTGAACCCAGGAGGCGGACATTGCACTCCAGCCTGGGTGACAGAGTGAGACTCCATCTCAAAAAAAATCAAAAGTTCTATTTAATTATTCCTTTCAAACCTATATGTTGGTTTTTTTTTAAATAGATTCTCATTCTGTTCTCACACTTTAGAGTCTTTCTATGTTCTTAATCACATTTATGTTTATTTTATAGTTCCTATCCAGTCGTTCTGTTATCTGAATGTCCTGGGGAACCCATTCCTCCCATGTCTGCTGGCTCTCAGGTATGCTGTACTGCTTTCTTGTATGCTTTATATTCAGAAATATGTGAAAGACCAATTTTTATTGGGATCAGTTTTTTGACTTACAGGTTCCTGGCCCATGCAGATAGTGTAAATCAACAAACCACCACCTGCTTTTATAAAAGTTCTATTGATACACAAACATGCCCGTTTGTTTACACATTGCCTACAGCACCTTCCCTCTGCAAAGGCAGCGCTGAATAGCTATAACAGAGCCTACGTGTACAAAGCTGATAATAGTTATTCTCTGGCCCTTTACAGAAAATATTTGCCAACCCCTGGTATAAATTCAAATCCTAAGCCAGGATAAGAGCAGATATAAGGTTACAAATTCCCAAGAGAGACTGTTTTCTTCCACAGAGGGTCCAAACTGACAAGTTTCTTTGTTGACTTCAAGTGTTAATGAGAAGGGTTGAGATATATATTACTCAACCCTTTAATACTATATATATATATATATATATATATATATATAAAATACACACACGTATGTCATCCCATACATATATAGGATATATGTAATACATGTATACATACATACATATATACACACACACATACATACATTCCACACATTCACTAAGGACATAGCTTTTTGAAGGTTCTGAATTCATGCAGAGGTGTTGGTTTTAGCTCTCTGTCTTGCGTGAGCCCAGGACTCAGTCGTATATCCTGAGGGCATTGAAATCCACACCCCTAGATCTAACAAAGCATATTTCCCTGTGGCACCAGCACATCTTCCATAGGATTGCAGCATCCATAACTCCAATACTCACCACTCTTCATTTTTGTCCCCTGCAGATATCACTTACAAGTCAGGTATGCATTAGTTATTTTCCAGCATTCATAGTGTTTTATGGCAAAATGTTTCTCAAGTTATGTAATATGTCATATTTCTGGGAATTGAAATTTGCGTAAAAGGTAAATGGAATCTTGGAGGACTGCAACATTTTGCCCAAACAATTTTAGAATTTTGAATTAGACAATATCTGTGGAATTATAAAAGTGGAAGCTATTTAGGAGGCTTGAGAAAGAAGTGAACAATGAGGGAAGTAAAGACACATACATAGCCACAAATGATTGGCAGCCACATAGCAGAGAGGACTCTGATATCAGACATGTCTCATTCTGAATCCTAGCTATGTGACCCTTGGAAAAGTTATTTAACTTCTCATAACCTTAACTTTCTTATCTATAAAATGGGGATAATAGGTCTGACATATAGCAAAATCTCAATGACTCTTGGAATCAATGTGAGTGTATTACAATGTCTTAAGATTGTTACCCACTCTCCAGATGACTTCTCTCTACTTTGAAGGAAGGAAAGAACTGTATGTATGTGGCATATTTAACAGGCAATGTTTCTAGTTGAATTTAGTCATTGTCATTGTTTCCATGGCAACTACCTTATTCTGAGAAGAGAGACTTAGGAGATCCTCCCACCTCAGCCTCCCAAGTAGATGGGACAACAGATGCATGCCACCACGCCTGGCTAATTTTTGTATTTTTTGTAGAGAGAGGGTTTCGCCATGCTGCCCAGGCTGGTCTCAAACTCCTGACTGCAAGTGATTTGCCAGCCTTGGCCTCCCAAAGTGCTGGGATTACAGGTGTGAGCCAACACACCCAGCCAAGAAAAATAGTTTTTAAAGAACTGCCTAAATGAATAAATATTTCAAAAGTCTCAATTTTATTTAATATGAAAGGCTGATGAAAAGGTACTCTTCCTTATGGTATGAAACTTAGTTTATGGTGAACTTGTCTAGCTATTTAGAACATTTACTTAGAAGATGGAGAATAGATTCTACCCCATCTCTTCCTTCAAAATAGGTGCTGCCATTTGGTCTCTATTCATTGTCAAATACTCAAAAGCAGCTAGAGTTCTAAAAGAAAATCTGCATAGAGAGGAACTAGCAAGACATCTTTGCTCAAGGGTCTTTCAAAATAAAAGTGCAAATGTATGTGAGTAAGTTTATGTGAACAGGTATAATGTGAAATTCTCTAAAAGGTCCCCTGACCAAATGCATCTTCCCCGTCACCATTCTGCCCAGGGAATGTGGAATTCTGTTTGCAAATAACTGCATGCATTACTAATGCAAAGCTATGGAACCAAATAGAAAACTCAATGTTGGGTTACATTAATATGAGTTGAGAGATAATCAATGCTTCCTTTTATTCCCTCAATACACATGTGTATTCTTTCCATATGTGGAAATTGATTTAAAAAATCTATACAACTTCACAGGTGAAAGACAGACAGTAGTCTCAATGGAATTAGACTAAGGCCTTTTAATGAAAACGATTTAAAAACATATAAATATATGCATATATAAAGTTTATATGTATAAAACTTTTAATAATTAATGTAGTTTTCACAAAATTTGGGGTATTTAATATTTTTCAGACATTAAAATAGAATTTGGGAGAGGAAACCATAGACATTGTAAGTGTTAGGGGAAAAGTTAACATGAAATACGGTGATGCTTTTTCAAGCAATCTTGTTGACCATTTTTGAGTAAGAGGAAAAATACGAATCATCTGCATTTCTTTCAAACAAGAAACAGTGAAGAATTTCAAGAATATTACTGACATCGGAAATGTGATTTTACTTAGTAATCCTTTTCTAGCCTACTTGGCTTGCTATTTTTCACATTAAAATGGAAGATGTTGGCTAGTCTGAAGGTGATGAGTTATGTCAACTGATTGTTCATAGTCAAACTCCTTGTTCTACTCTTTCTCCTCTTCTCACTACTGCACTTGACTAGTCTTAAAAAAATAATAATAATAATAAATAAAAATAAAATGGAAGATGTGGAAGAAATGGAGACATTTATTTTATTTTGTTTTGTTTTGTTTTGAGATGGAGTCTCACTCTGTCACCCAGGCTGGAGTGCAGTGGCGCCATCTCAGCTCACTGCAAACTCCACCTCCTGGCTTCAAGTGATTCTCCTGCCTCAGCCTCCTGAGTAGCTGCGATTACAGGCATGAGCTACCACGCCCAGCCAAGAGATTTGTTTTGAACATTAAAATGAGCATTGAGAGAGAACAGCAATAAAGCTACTAATAAATTGTTTTTGTTTCCCTACATGTCTTTTTTAGAAAGATTTTAGAAACAATTCCTTTGAAGTATCTTAAAATTTCCTCATACGTTTTTCTGGCTCCACATGATCCTTTTACCCTGGTAAATATGAAGAATGCAAACCCATGAGCCACTGAACATTAATCACTCCATTGTAACCATTGCTCAAACCAATTTTGTTGATTCAAAAAATATTCTCTGTTCGTCTTACTATTCATTATTTATTCATCAACTCATTAATAATATATAGTGATAAATTACAAATACCAAAGTTAACACGCTTTCGGCCGTCTTTTGATATTATCCTTGTAAGTACTTAAATAAACAAATAAAAACTAAAGCTTTAGGAATGAACTCTCAATGAAAAGAGCCAAGGAAAATACCAGTCTCTTAAAGATTGTTTTATTTTTATTTATTTATTTATTTATTTATTTATTTTGAGACAGGATTTTGCTCTGTTGCCCAGTCTGGAGTGCAGTGGCACGATTTCAGCTCACTGCAAATTCTGCTTCCCGGGTTCAAGTGATCCTCCTGCCTTAGCCTCCTGGGTAGCTGGGACCACAGGCATGTGCCACCACACCTGGCTAATTTTTATAGAGAAGGCGTTTCACCATGTTGGCCATGCTGGTCTCGAACTCCTGAGCTCAAGTGATCCTCCTGTCTCGGTCTCCCAAAGTGCTGGGATTACAGGCGTGAGCCACCATGCCCGGCCCAAGATAAGTTTGTTTTTAGAACACAGTGAGCTAAATAACCTACTGAGTCAGTGGAGGTTTTATTAATTTTGTAAGCCTCTCCTATTTTTGCTTAGTGTCTTCTCTTTTGTTGGTCTTTAAAATGAAAGCATTGAAACTGTATTGTGAAGCCACCCTAACATCTTATTCTGTAATTATCATTGTGAGGTTGAGTAAATAGAACTAAACTTACACCAAATGATAGTGTCTTTATACAGTCTGTCTTATTAACTTATTTGAGATAGAGACCATTTAAAAATGCAATCAGACTCCTGCTGGGCTCATGCCTGTAATCCCGGCTCTTTGGAAGGCTGAGATGGGTGTATCCGTTGAGCCCAGGAGTTTGAGACCAACCTGAGCAACATGGCAAAAACCCTGCCTCTACAAAAAAAAAAAAAAAAATTAGCCAGGCCTGGTGGTGCACACCTGTAGTCTTAGCTACTTGGGAGGCTGAGATGGGAGGATTGCTTAAGCCTGGAAGGCGGAGGTTGTAGTGAGTTGAGATCGTGCCACTGCACTCCAGCCTGGGTGACAGAGAGAGAGAGAGAGAGAGAGAGAGACCCTGTTTCAAAAAAAAATGCAATCAGCCTGAATGAACTTGGGGCAAACAGATCAACATTGTAGACAGGAAATCACAAGAAGCTTTCAAGACTAGTCAAGAGTCAGGTGAGGTGATAAAGGGTTTTGAAACCTCACTTTACACAGTAAGAGTTAAAAGAAAGAGTGAATGGAATGTGGGGAAGCTTTGGGTTTTGAAACTAGGCACCACAACCTGAGTTCAAGTCTCAGTTAATCTTCCTGAGAGTCAATTATCTTACCTGAAAAGGGGGCATAGTTAAATCTTTTACATATATGTAAATACCCATTCCATCATAATGGCTAGCATATGATAGGTGTTTTAAAATAGTGGCCCATAGTAGTAATAAAGGAAAAATATTAAAGCAATTAACATAAAAACTAAAGCCAATTACCTTAGTTTCAAATCTATGTAACCCTTGCTTTCTAGGCAGCCTGCCAGGGAACAATCAAGAGGTAACTACTACAAAAATAATGAAAATAGTCTCTGCTTTTTAGCTGCTCACAGTGGAATCGGGGATAAGACATCCCCTCCTTCTAACCCCTGGTAGGGTCCCATGGTAGTCCTGTCTCTTTTTGGCAGCCAGTTAGGTTCTGCTGAGGTCTAGCTCCCGACACACACGTGGCATTTGTACAGTCACTCATTGCTCCTGCAAACAAGGCTGTACTGTTCCCACTGCTGCTGGTTTCTCTGGTCACTGCCAACCTTTATACCATCACTATGGATGGCTGCTGGTGCTCACGCTATCACTCAGTACTGCCATGCTCTCCCCAGCAGGGATAAGACATTCGCAGTTTTCCCAGAGGGAAGCCTCCAGTTTCCATGGTGCTCCTGCTGTTTCAGCTCTATCTTTTTTTTTTTTTTTTAATTGAGACTGAGTCTCGCTCTGTCGCCCAGGCTGGAGTGCAGTGGTGCAATCTCAGCTCACTGCAACCTCTGCCACCCAGGTTCAAGCAATTCTCATGTCTTAGTGTCTCAAGCAGCTGGGACTACAGGCATGTGCCACCACCCCCAGCTAATTTTTTTTGTATTTTTAGTACAGATGGGGTTTCACCATGTTGGCCAGGCTGTTCTTGAACTCCTGACCTCAGGTGATACGCCTGCCTCGGCCTCCCAAAGTGCTGGGATTACAGGTGTGAGCCACTATGCCCAGCCCATCTCTATCTTTTAAGTGTTCACTTCTTTACAAACCATCATTTTGGCTCAAAGGATAAATGGAGGCGCCCATGCCATGTGTCTCCCACCCACCATGAACCAGTGTCCCAGGATACAGTGAAGGGCCAACAGTGTTCCTGGTCTCGGGGTAAGGCAAGTACATGTGTTTTCTGAAAGGTGGGCTGAGGACTGTAGGCATTGGGTCTGAAGGTGATGAGGGGACAGGGAACAAAAATACAGGACTGGGGCCAGCTCTCACAGTTGAAGGTGTGTGAGGTGAGGGTGGTGAGGTTTTTCCAATAGAGGCCAAACTTCAGGGTTCCAGGTTTTTTTCTGCTGTTTTCTGGCTATATTCCTTTCCCTCCAATTTGTTTACCATAGTCAGTATTCAGCTATGTTACATATATATATATATGTATATATATATATATTTTTTTTTTTGAGATAGGGTCTCACTCTGTTGCCCAGGCTAGAGTGCAGTGGTGCAGTCTTAGCTCACTGCAGCCTTGACCTCCTGAACTCAGGTGATCCTCCCACCTCAGCCTCCCAAGTAGCTGGAACTATAGGTGCATGCAACCACAGCCAGCTAATTTATATATTTTTTCTTAATATAGGATTTTGCCATGTTGCCTAGACTGGTCTTGAACTTCTGGGCTCAAGTGATCTGCCTGCCTCGGCCTCCCAAAGTGCTGGCACTATAGGCGGGAGCCACGGCACCCAGCCTATGCTATATATACTTAATACTACTCTATGAATGGTAATTTAAAATTAGAATTTACATAAGGTTAAGCTATTTCACAAATAGGGTTTATGGCATTTAGTTTGCTCTGTACAGGATTAAACACCAGGATGACACTGTGGTCTCCATCTCTCTGGCCACCTCAAAGCCTCTCAGATTTTTAAGTGTTAACCATAGCTCCTTCAACCTACAACTATCAGAAAATGCTTTATCTTCCTGGCGTACACCATCCTTACCTACTATTCTGTGTTCAGGCCACCATCGTTACTAACACTCTTCCAGTGTCTGGGAAACAATCATTTTTCCTGTGTAGTCACCAGCTCTAAACACTAAACTTCTGTTTTCTGACTCCACTGACAGTAGATTACATCTGCCTTAACAGCCAGGTCCAGGGCTGCCACTCTAGGCTGGGCGCCACTTTAGTTCCTGATGTTGGCAGCAAGTACAATGACCTCATTTGGAACTTAGTATTATTGGACTGGCAGGGAAGCAGTGCTGCTCCCCTCCCCACTAGGCCTCTGAATCCGTGTCCCTCTTTGTCCAATCCTGGTAATTGAACTCCTCACTAAAGTTCCAATTCTTGAGTCAATTTTCTTATCTGACCCAGCTGGTAAAACTGGAAATCTGTCTTGGTTCCTATTCTGGAAACCTCAGGATATATTAGAATTCTACTGGAAATTCACTCGGCCCACTCAATGGCTGGTGCACTGCACACAACAGTCAGGTATGCCAGGAGTCCTGGAAACCCCATCCACGGTAGGACTCACCATTCTGTGCCCTGAGTGCCTGGTGGGACTTCTGCTGCTTTGCCTTAGAGCTGCATATGCCTCCCCATGACTGGAAAGCATTCTTGTGTTTGGCCCCTGTGCTTTCTCTCACCCCAAAGAATCGTGAGGTCAGCCCCTATAGCCAAGCACAGTCCCCTGAGCATCCACATCCCTCTCATGGGGAAGGACAGCATGCTCCAGGCCTTTGCCTCATTTTTTAGGAGTCAGCCTGCCATGTCTCATCAATTAATCCTTTGATGCTCTTCTTTCCCTGTTCAGACATTATCTCCTTTCCAATACCCCAGGGATCACTTCACAAAACTCACCTGCATTTTAAAATTAACTCAGCCTGAGTGTGGTGGCTCACACCTGTAATCCTAGCACTTTGGGAGGCTGAGGCTGGTGGATCCCTTGAGTTCAGGAGCTTGAGACCAGCCTGGGCAACATAGCAAGACCCTGTCTCTACAAAAAATTAAAAAATTATCTGAGTTTGGTGGTGCACACCTGTAACCCCAGTTACTTGGGAGGCTGAGGCCATAGGACAGCTTGAGCCCAGGAGATGGAGGCTGCAGTGAGGCACATTTGTGCCATTGCACTTCAGCCTGGGTGAGAGTGAGACTGTCTCAAAAAATAAATGAATAAATTAAATAAAATAAACTCTATCTGCTCTATAGTACATTAAAAATATTTGATTCCATATTTTATCACTCTTAAATTCACATTCATATTTTAGGATACAGAACCTTAGAAAAACTTGCTTTCTGGGGTCTGGGACAAAAATAGACTTCAACCCCCAGCCTCGTATAGAGTCCCATGGCACAGGGAAATGTCATCTCATACTTTGCAGCTCCTATGGATCTAACCACCAGCATGCTTCAACTTGTGCTATTGTCTTTTCTGTTTTTGTTCATTTTACTAAGCCATCCTATGATATGTCTGCATTCCTGCTGTACATTTTAGAATTTAAGCTCTCACAGATTGTGTCTATGTTCAAGGTGAATTATTTTATCAAGTACCTATCACAACGACATTTGCACTCAGATTTTTTTACCTACTGTATTTTCATTATAATAGTTATCCTAAAATTAAAGTAGGAATTACATGCCATTTGTGGATCAGTATTTTACTTTATGTAAAACTGTAAAGATAATGGGTATGAAAGTGCTTTGTAAAATATTATTATTACAGTTATTCTTGTATTATTTCATTTTCATAAATGTGCCAGTTAAAATAAAAAAGGTATCTTATTCTCAATATTATAATTATGCTTTTAAATAGAAATAAGCCACTTTTACCCATGCTTCCATTATTTCTTTTGTAGCTATTTATGTTCTTTCTTTTCCTGTAATAGCTGTGAATTTCTAGATTGATAGTCATAGAACCATACACCTTTTAAAAGAGACTTCAGAGCTCTTATCTATTTATTTGCCTTTAGGTAGAGTTGCCCTTAAACCTATTCAGACAGATGAAGATGTACACAATTGAAAAAGTATAATGTGAATGTTTTACCAATTATAAAAATGACATACATTTTTATAAGAAAAGAAGTCCCATATCTTCCTTTCATTCAATGTCAAATACTTCTGGCTTAACAATATAAACACTCAGTAATCAAGGGCAACACAAAACAATATATAACCAAAAACTATTTCTTTTGCTAGTACTTGGCATAAAAATTGCACATTGTGATTTGATATTGCTGTTCTTGGTGATGGATTTCCTGTCCCCTTTCACCCTAGTTGCTTCTGCCTGCAGACATGACATTTAGAAAATAATACTATTAAAAAATGTTCAAAACAACCGTAACAAGAATTTTAAAGAAAAAAAAAAAAAGCCCAGCAAATACAATTGCCATTTTCTGGCCTAGTGCAGCGGCTCACGCCTGATAATCCCAGCATTTTAGGAGATCTACACGGTGGATCACTTCAGCCCAAGAGTTCAAGACCAGCCTGGGCAACATGGTGAAAGCTCTACAAAAATTACAAAAATTAGCCAGGCATGGTGGCATGCAGCTCGGATCCCAGCTACTTGGGAGGCTGAGGTGGGAGGATTGATTGAGCCTGGGAGGTTGAGGCTGCGGTGAGCCGAGATCCCACCACTGCACTCCAGCCTGGGCTACAGAGTGAGCCCCTGTCTCAAACAAACAAACAAACAACCAACTTACAATTGCCATTTTCTACTTTACTCTCCTGTAGCTACTAATACATGTGATGATTTTAAAAATTATAATCATGTACTCAAAATTTTTTGTATAACATTACTTTATAAATATTTCTATATTCTGACACGTTGCTGATGTTTTTCATTTTAATACATTTATAATATTTTATTTGGTAAACATGCCATTTATTTTCTATTATTATATAATGAGGCAATAAACATATTTGGTCACACATTTTCTCCAATTGAAATCTCTCTTTATAAAAATTTTCAAAAATGAACATTTTTGAGACTTGATCTACAGTTTCAAATTACTTTCCAAGTGATTCTTCTGATTTCTCTACCATCAGCCATGCATGAGTGCTCTAGCACTGTATGTTTCAGTGATTTTAATTTGTACTAAATTTGGAATAGGTGTCCTTGATGTAATTAATCTTTTGGGAACCAAATAAAGGGAGAAAAAATGTACTGTAGCTGCTGCACACATTAGATTATAAAAAAACTCAGATTAATTTCAGACTATTAGACAATGATCTAAAGTGTTATATCAGATGATCAGTTGCCAGATATATTAAAAGGGCAGTCACGAAATGAGAGCTACTGTTCCTTGCCTGCTAACTGTCCCATCTGGGCCCCTTGCCCTCTAAAGAGGCCCTTTGATAAAAACTGATCATTTTAATGATAGTTCTCTCTTTTCTGATTTAATTGTGTATCTCCCTTGCTGAAAAGAGTTTCAGTGGCTCCCATTGTCCATAGATAAATTCCAAATCCTAAATCCGGGGTCTAAGGCAATAGAAAAAATGCACAGAACATTTGTACCCTGACAGGGGGACAAGGTGGGCAGTCAGAGGACCTGGGTTCAAGTCCCATCCGTGTGCTAATATTTAACCTTTCACTTTGCTTATCTGTGCAAGGAGAAGAATAGTATCTATTTTACAAAGCTGTTTAGAAGATTACATGAGAATTCATTTGAAGAAGCTCAGCATAGAATGAACGGCCTACTTCATGTGAATTCCTTTCTTTCTTTCCTCCTTAATCTGGGTTCAGCCTTTGTTACTCCAGCCCATGGATCCCCACCCCACTTGTTGCTTTTCTGTTTCTGTACCTCTGCTCATTCTATTTTCCCTATCAAATTCTTGTTCTTCACATCTTCAAAATCCTATAGAAGATCTACATAGGAAGCCTTTCCAGCTTGATCTCTCCTACTAAAACAAACTCCTCATGCACTACCATCTCCTTCTAGCATTTATCTTAGTTTGCTGCATGCAAGAGTCACGTCCTTTGGAAATGAAGTCCATGCCTCGATGTTCTTTGTATCCCTACATCACTCTGATGTAATACCTGGCAAAAAATAAGCAACTGTTTATTGTTGGTTTTATTTAATTCTGTCTTATACTTTATGCTTTTTTCTACTGCTCTCCCTCCTCTGCCTTTATTTTTTTATATTTTATATGCACTGACATTCCACACTCAGCACATCCACCGTGAACAATAGAGGTGGAAGACTGTGAACTTCCCCTACCCTCCAAACAGGCATACAAAAATTTGAATAAGTAAATGAAATGATAGCTTTAAGGAAAGCGGGGAAGAGAACAAATCTGTCAAAGAAACAGTGTTTGCATGTCTAAATCTGTCTGTTTTGGGATGTAAGCCAAAGTCAGGGGTCCAAGACTATTTCCATTCTATTGCATTCCATCTATTATTTATATAGTGCATATTGCTATAGTCTCTAAGCACTTTCAAATGAAATACAACATACCTTTGGGAGTGAAAAAGGAAATGAGGAACTGGGAGGAGGGGGAGGTGTTGGAACATTGGTTATCATTTTGAGCATGGTAAGGTCTGAAGCTAAGACAAGCGGCTCCTCCTCTCTTGACACAGGTGTGAATAACTTATTGTTCAGTATCTGTGGCATACATTTACATTTGTGAGCTGGAGGCCAAGCTTTGCAGTAAAAGCTTTCTTTATCCTTTGCTTTAAAAACGCACACTCCTCAGGGAAGAAGGACCCCCTATTTCCCTAGTATCCACCCTGAAATTCAAAACCCTATCAGAACATAATTGCTATCAGTGTTCACCACATCAGCCTCACTCTTCGTGTTTTTGTTTTTCGTTTTTTATATTTGTTTATTTATTTATTTATTTATTTTTGAGACAGGGTCTTACTCTGTCACCCAGGCTGGAGTGCAGTGGCATAATCTTGTCTCACTGCAGCTTCAACTTCCTGGGCTCAAGTGATCCTCCAGCCTCAGCTCCTCAATTAGCTGGGACTACAGGCACACACCACCACGCCCAGCTAATTTTCGTATTTTTTTTGGAGAGATGCGGTTTTGCCCGGTTGCCCAGGCTGGTCTCAAACTCTTGAACTCAAGCAATCTGCCTGCTTTGCCTTGGCCTCCCAAAGTGCTGGGAATACAGGGGTGAGCCACTGCACCCGGCCTGTTTTTCATTTTTTAAAAGTTCTTGTGGCAACAGAGACTACAAATGCTAAAGCTTCTGCATGCTGAGTTTTGCTCATATGGTTCAGTTTCCCATGACATTTGTAAATTCTCAAAACACAGAAGAAAAGAAAAGAGTCAGGTGGTGTCCTCAAACACTTATAGAGCACCCTATGTCTCTCCAGGCAGCGCCACAGATACATAGACAGTAGAGGTTCAATACATGCTTTTCCTGTCACTGAATTCTTCAGGTAGTTCCTTATAACCTGCTCTTATTAAGGAGGTCTAAGGAAGCCTTGAGATCTCTCCAGAAATAGAAAAGCATCCAAAAGCTTTGACACCAGCCTCCAATATTTCTGATGGCTTTAAAGGACGTCTTTAGGACAGGCAGGGGGCCTTGATAAGGCTTTCTAGTTATAAGTCATGCAGACTTCCTTGCAGAAGCCTCAGATGGGGGGAATAAGTTAAATACAGCTGCTTCAGCCTGGGGTGCTCGATATTGTCTTTAATGATTAAAAATGCTGACTCCAGTGGGAGCAGAGCACATGCTGCAGAGATTATTATGGTTTGAAGCATTTTCTATGTGAGTGGCAAGGGGCAGGGTGGGAGGGGTTGGGGAGGAAGACCATGAAAGATAGTGCATTGAGCAGCTGAGCTGGTGGAGGACAGAGGCAAGCAGGAGAAGGTCTGGAAAGGGGATGGCCACTGTCCTCAGGAGCAAAGTTTTAAAAACTGAAGTCTCAAGTTGTTTTCCATTTTGTGTGTAGCGCCCACCATCCAGTGAAGAATGTTAAAGACAATGGCTTTCTGTTAGCAGTGCACTGAGGGATAGGAGGGAAGCACGTGTCTGTGCTCTGGAGGAAAGTGGACTGGGGAGAGGTGTGAGCACGAGAGGTGATGGAGGAAAAGGCTTCCAGTGTGGTGGGGAGTGAGAGGGGACAGTGGCAGCCAAAATGGGCTTGTGGAACTTGTCAACATGATCCCTGGCTTCTCAGAAATCCTAGGAGTTAGGGCTACATTTCCTGCATCCATGCAAGATGGAGGAGGGGAGGTCATTATGATATGATTTTTAAGGAAAGACTTGAGCTGGAATAATGATAAACTAATTGGAAAAAAATTGCTGAAATAGTCTGGGCACCGTGGTTCACAACCACCCAACACTTTGTAATCCCAACACTTTGGGAGGTCAAGGCGGGAGGTTCACCTGAGGACAGGAGTTCAAGAACAGTCTGGGCAACATAGTGAGACCCTGTCTCTACAAAAATAAAAAAAAATTAACCAGGTGTAATGGCATGCACCTGTAGTCCCAGCTATTCAGAGGCTGAGGAGGTGAAGCAGGAAGACTGCTTGAGTCCAGGCATTAGGAGACTGCAGTGAGTGACGATTGCACCACTATACTCCAGCCTGGGCAAAAAAACAAGATTCCATCTCTTTAAAAAATGAATTGCTGAAATCTGGATTTGTTTATTTTCTTTTCTTTCTCTTTCTCTCTTTTTTTTTTTTTGAGACAAGTTTCACTATGTTGCCCAGCCTGGTTTATTCTTGGGTTCAAGCAATCCTCCCACCTCAGCCTCCCAAAGTGCTGAGATTACAGGTATGAACCACTGTGCTCAGTCTTGGATTTGTTTCTAATTGAAGGAAAGAAAGAAAAAGAAGAGGAAAGAAAGAAGAGGAAGGAAGGAGGGAGGGAGGAAGAAAAGAAGGAAGGGAAATCTCTGCCAACCTTATACCACCCATGGATTCAGTCTGCTTAGAATGGCTCCTACAGAATGGACTAGTAAGGTCCATATCTCCCAGGAATGACTTAAAATGATGGGGTGGTAGAAGGGAACTCAGAAACAAAACACACATTGAGTTTTCAGAAGGCACCAAAAGATCCTGGAAGAGACCTAAAATAGGAAGGCACGGGCTAGGGGAAACTAAGAATGTGAGGTGTGGGGTTCATGGCTAGGGGACCCTACCGGCCCACAGCCATCCTTGTATTCTCCTAGGTGTAACTCAACCTAGGTGCATTTGTAACTCAATATATTACCCATCCGTGTATGCTTGTATTTTAAAAGGGGGAGCATCAAGTAGATACCATTTAACCCAAAAGAATGAACCCAGAAAAACTAGCAGCCATGTAGTCGATACTGTCACTCAAATCATATTTTAAAAAATAATAGTCGGCCGGGCGCGGTGGCTCACGCCTGTAATCCCAGCACTTTGGGAGGCCGAGGCGGGCGGATCACGAGGTCAGGAGATCGAGACCATCCCGGCTAAAACGGTGAAACCCCGTCTCTACTAAAAATACAAAAAATTAGCCGGGCGTAGTGGCGGGCGCCTGTAGTCCCAGCTACTTGGGAGGCTGAGGCAGGAGAATGGCGTGAACCCGGGAGGCGGAGCTTGCAGTGAGCCGAGATCCCGCCACTGCACTCCAGCCTGGGCGACAGAGCGAGACTCCGTCTCAAAAAAAAAAAAAAAAAAATAATAATAATAATAATAGTCGACCAGGCGTAGTGGCTCACATCTGTAATCCCAGCACTTTGGGTGGCTGAGGTAGGCAGATCACCTAAGGTCAGGAGTTCAAGACCAGCCTGGCCAACATGGAGAAACCCCCGTCTCTACTAAAAATACAAAAAATTAGCCAGGCGTGGTGGCAGGCGCCTGTAATTCCAGCTACTCAGGAGGCTGAGGCAGGAGAATGGCTTGAACCTGGAAGGCAGAGGTTGCAGTGAGCCGAGATCGCACCATTGCACTCCAGCCTAGGCAACAAGAGCAAAACTCCGCCTCAAATAATAATAATAATAAAATAATAATAATAATAATAATAGTCTTGAGATAATCCCATGGGGACAGATAGCAGCATCACTACCCCATCTACGGAAGAGAAGATGGAGCCTCAGGGGAATCAAGTTCCAACCACAAAACTTCTCACTGTTTCAGTCGGCTTTACCCTGCACAACTGGCTAGTTGCAGAGTTTGTGGCATCTGAGCAGATAAATCTTTTTTACCGTGTGCAGGGGTTGTGTTGGTTGTTGGTTGCTGGTTGTTGTTGTTGTTGTTGTTGTTTTCAGGGTCTACTTAACTCATGGAGCATGGGACACTCTGCTGTAGCTGATTGTTACCATGCAGGAATGTAGGTCCAGGTCTTCCAATTTTTTAAGAGAATTTGGACATTTCTATTAGCACACAAGGCCTGATATTTTGATATTGGTTCATCTGGAAAAAAAAGAAATCAAAACATTGTGCGAACTAGGTACACTGGCCGTCAGTGTGAGACGTCTGCTTTAGCTCTATGTACTTGGCCTGGAGAACTCATCTCTTTTGTCTGCTTCCCTCCATCCGAATCATTTGCACTTTCTGGGGGGAATCTTGCAAATGAAAGATGGCAAGGGAAATTTGGTTTTTGTTTTTGTTTTTTTTTTAGCATCCAGAATTCCAGTGAGCTTGATAGTAGGTAGCTGGAGGGTGTGGGGGCAGGGCAAGGAAGAGCAAGGAAGGAGGGGGAGATGCCTGTGAAGGAGAGGAAATGAAAGCGCAGGAGCTGACAGCACTCTTAGTAAATATTAAACAGTAATGAAACAAAGAGTAATAGGCCACAGAAACTGCGATAAGAATGCCAGTCGTTTACTATATTTCAGCACGCAGCTGGGTACCAGAGCTTAACACATCTCTTCTGACATTGCAGACAGTTTCACTATGCTAGGAGCAAAAACCTGAGTAATAAATAAAAAGCAAATGTGTTTGCTATTGAAGAAATAAATGAATGGTAGAATGAGAATGACAAAAGAATGAAAGAGAGAAATTCTATTTCCATCATTCTAAATAGATGTTACATCTCATGACAGATAAGAGTTCATTAATTAGCAGCAAGAGATTTTGGAAATAACCATAGTATAAATGGTCTCTGCTTTGCATTTGGTAATGAAAGTGCTTTGAATGTGACGCTTTAGTAATTCAGACACAATATTTCTTAGTTTCTATTGTGTACGAAGTACCAGGCACTGTGGGGAGAGGCATGGGAAATGGTGGGTGTAATCCTTTCTTCTGAGCAGTTTACAGTCTGGTGGTATTAGATTTTCAAGAAGGACGAAGCTCCCCCCAAAAGTCCATGTGAAATCTTAAGCAGTTTCAAGCAATAAAAAAGCTATGTGCTAGATACCTTTTCCAGAAAACATATCACTTTGCATTCATCTGAACATAATTCAAACCACATTTACCAAAACTCTGGTTACTCTGTTATACAGCCACTTTGCTTTTATGTTTCTGTAAGAAAATGCAAAGAATAGCACTTTTTTGGAAACATCTTTAAGATTTTTTTTTTTTTTTTCTGAGACGGAGTCTTTCCCTCTGTCCCCCAGGCTGGAGTGCAGTGGCGCGATCTTGGCTCACTGCAACCTCTGCCTCCTGGGTTCAGGTGATTCTCCTGCCTCAGCCTCCTGAGTAGCTGAGACTACAGGCACCCGCCACCATGTCTGGCTAATTTTTGTATTTTTAGTAGAGATGGGGTTTCACCATGTTGGCCAGGATGGTCTCGATTTCCTGACCTGATGATCCACCTGGCTCAGCCTCCCAAAATGCTAGGATTACAGGCGTGAACCACGGCGCCTGGCCAAGATTTTTTTTTATAGCTTTTTTTTTTTAACGGATGAGTTCTTGCTCTGTCACCCAAGTTAGCATGTAGTGTTATAATCATAACTCACTGCAGCCTTGAACTCCTGGGTTCAAGTGATCCACTCACCTCAGCCTCCTGGGTAGCTTGTGACTACAGGCACACACCATGGCTAATTTTTTATGTTTTGTAGAGATGGGGTTTAGCCATGTTGCCCAGGCTGGTCTCGAACTCCTGGGTTCAAGCAATCCTCCTGCTTCAGCCTCATAAAGTGCTGGGATTACACGTGTGAGCCATCATGCCTGGCTATCTTAACATTTTAAACAATAAAATGCTGTTTACATTTATCCAATCTTAAGGCTCTCTGAGTCTGGGCTGTTACTGGATATGGTGATCCTTACTCCTAACCCATCCCCCTTTCTTCCCCCTCCCTTCTTTTTATATTATACTCACACTATCATGAATTGCAGACATATTTATTAAAAATGCTATCACACCTCCCTTTCCATTCTTTTCCCTTTCAATACAGCAGGCCTGTCCTCAAGTTAGGGAGTCACACCTGTCCACTTCTCAAGCCTGACAGTAGTTATCAGGAAGCACATTTCAAAAAAAAAAAAAAAAAAATACAGTGGTGGCAGTACCACCCAGTGAGAAGAATGAATTCCAAATGCTGTCAAAATAAAGACTGGTTTGATTAATGCCAGCATTCACTTTATTTTCATGGCTTCCCCTGCAGGGTCAAAAAGAGCAGCCCAGGGCCAGAGAATATGTGTTGACACTAACGGGCACCTTTTAGCAATGCACATTTTTAAAAGTAACGTCTAAGTTACTTGACATGTTATCAAGAGATTGCCTTATATCTATCAAGAAGCTTTAAGGCTCATTTTCTACCAAGACATCTCCAGTACCAAATTTTTTTCTCTCTTCTGTGACAGCTACAATATCAGTGATGTAATGCAGTATATATTTGAGCTCTCTATGACATCTGTGGAAGTCAAACCCTATTTTCCAGACAGACACAAAAATCATATGGGTTTTAATTCATTTTAAGTGGATTCTAACCTTGTATAAAAAAATTGAGAACAGGTGATCAATATTCTTAACGAATCATAAAAATTCAGAACATTCTAAAGAATAAATACCTTTAAGAAAAGTTGATGGAAAATCCTAAGCTGAAATCAAACAAGTGATTGTATTTAAAATCACTTGATTTGCCAAAATAGCTAGAAGAGAAGCTTTGGAATATTTCCAAGAAATGACAAGTGTTTGAGGTGAGGGATATCCTAAATGCCCTGATTTGATCATTACACGTTGTCTGCGTATATCAAAAGAAGCACCCCAAAAATATATACTACTATTATGTATCAATAAGAATTTTTTAAAAAAATCACTTGGTTTGCATTCTATCCCTTAATCAATCTTTGCGAATCTTGATCTCATCTATATGTTTCAGACTATTTTCTTACATCTTCTCAACCATTTTCAAAGCTATTGTGGTGCTTTTAGGAAACCAGTAAAACAATTCTTAACAATTCTTAGACTTGTGTGCAGCGAAAGAACAGAAAAATACGAGAGCTTACTTGGTCCAGCTGGACCTTCTTGTTTACTTAAATAAAAATAATAAGCTAATCTGTGTTGAAGATAGAATCCACTGAAATGTCACAAACTGACGTTGCTTTATCTTTCTCGACAGTGTTTTCTCAGAAATCCCTGCCATCTTTTTGTCAATTTACAATAGAGAATTCTTTTATTTTCTTTCTATGAAAATCAGAATTGGTAATATTTAATAAATATAATAAATGCACCTGACATAACCTTAACATTTGACATCTATATTTTAAGTCATTCAAATTACATTATGTCAACTAAAAGCCCACGTTTTATACTCCGATTCAAAAAAAATTTTAACTTTATATCATTTAGTAAATTATCTCAGGTTTTAAAAAATAATAATTATTAAGCCTAGGATGGTGTCGCATATCTGTAATGCCAGCTAAGTCTGGAGGCTGAGGCAGGAGGATCACTTGAGCCTAGAAGTTAGAGTCCAACCTGGGCAACATAGGGACACTCTCTCAAAAAAAAAAAAAAAAAAAAAAAGTGGAAGGGGAGAGAAAAAATTATTAGTTATCATTGTAAACAAATTTCTTTGACAATATCATCCTTTGCAAACTGATAGGCATTTTCAATTCGGGATCCTTGTGTATATTGAATGTGGGAGGAAAAACCGTGCAAAGCGTCCCCTCCCCCTGCTTCTGGTCCAAGATTTTCTTGTGGCTCGGTGGCTCTAGGTTACGTCCATGTGGCTCTGAGCCAAGAGAAATGCCTATGGAAAGGCTGTTCTCAACAGAGGGCTGTCTGCCTTTGTGAAAGACGAGAAGACAAAGCCTAATACAGTGCAACTTCTTTAGAACATTTTCCAGGGAACTGAACATTTTGAATGTTGTACGTGGGAAAACATGCGCCGTGAGAGCAGCACAATGACGGCATTTCACTGTACTTGCACTTGCCAGGCATTCCAGCGCGCCCTGCCTACGAGGCTAACAAATGGGCTTCAACAGGAGATAGCACAGGCTCGGGAAAGCTCTCCTACCCCACCCCCTTTTGTGCTTACACAAAACGGTCAATTATGTCCTTCTGAAACAGAGGCCAGGTCTGTTCTCAAATACCATGCTTTGGAGGAGGTATGATTACTTAAGCGAGTTCAGGTGGCCTAGAGAAAGGCAAAAAGGCAAAACAGTACCTTTACAGACTGCAAAACATCGCTAAAAGCATGAACAATCATCTCTGAAGGAAGGTAAGCACACCAGCACGCGGTAAGCATCCTCATCTCTAAAGACTGGGAGCAGGAGCTCTTTTATTTTCCCTCTTTGTGCTTTCTCTATTACATGCCATTCTGTTACATGCTATCATATCATGGTTCACATATTTGAAACCCCGTCTTCTTATTCATTTAGATTTATTTCAGATTATACAGAATCTCAGGCCACTGAGGAGCAGGTAGTGGGGCAGGCCATTCTCTTTGTCTTTCTTCCATTGTGCTGTGTAGACCCAGAGGCAGGGCTCTCCATAGAACTGGGATTGGGCAACCTCACTGTCAACTACTGGCTCCAGCCTAGTTACTTTTCTGCAGAGCTTGTTTGGTACAGCGCAGGAAATACTACTTCGCTGGGGTTTTCAGTTATCTAAGAGCATCTTGGTATTTTTCAGATTACCAAGAATCTGTGGCAATGTGACTATGACTCAACAGATAAAGCAACCAAGATAGATGACTGATGGAAACCCTGTGTTTTCTAAGCATGTATGATAAGCACTAGGAGATAAAAAAAAATTTAATCAATCAATGGAACAAGGCAGGAATGAGAAGAATGTTTCTAATTTAAAATCTAGCATAAATTTTGCCCTTAAAATCAGAGAAAATATAAAGAATCAGGAAATTTTTTAAATACAAAATTAATCAAGAAAAGTCTTGCTTAAATAGATGAGTATATGGTTTCAGACACAAATAAATGTATATATGTATGGGGTTTTCCTTTTCTGTTAGGATTAAGTAACTTTTTGGAGCAAATTTATTTAGAAGTTGATTATTCAGTTTGTGTATAAAAATCTACTTTTTATAATTTTTTTAAAAACTATAAAATGCACAAGATTAGATTTTTTTGAAAAACACAAATAATATTTTTAACTTTTCTAAATGCTAGGTTCCAGAGCATAAGTGGTCTAACAAAACTGATCAAGTCATGGTCACTGAAGTGGAGTGCTCTAAAAGGCCTCAAAGAATACAGGAATGAAAGAATGAGGCAACCAAAGGTCAAAGTCTGGATAACTTCCAACTCTCTGTCCATCAACCCCGCCTTACCACACCTCTTATGGATCGATCATTCTTCCACCATGTGATGGGTTGTATAGAGTCAGCTTTGATGCTTAACAGGCTGAAGCAGCACTATAAACAGCTGAAGGGCTGGGCGTAGTTGCTCACGCCTGTAATCCCAGCACTTTGGGAGGCCAAGGTGGGTGGATCACTTAAGGTCAAGAGTTCGAGGCCAGGCTGGCCAACATGGTGAAAGCCCGTCTCTTCTAAAAATAGAATAATTAGCTGAGTGTGGTGACATGCACATGTAGTCCCAGCTTCTTGGGAGGCTGAGGCAGGAGAATCGCTGGAACCAGGGAGGTGGAGGTTGCGGTGAGCCAAGATTGTGCCACTGCACTCCAGCTTGGGCAACAGAGCAAGACTCTGTCTCAGTAAAAAAACAAACAAACAAACAAAAAACAAAACAAGAAATGAACAAACAAAAAAACACCAAAACTGAAAGTTCAATATTTAACATTCTTGCTCTTAAAATACTCCCAGTGCTGCTGAGGACTTCTCATTGGCTACCTGTAACCTGTATCCCTACCTCCTGTTGTTCATGCCCTTTGTAATGCCCTCCCCTTCAATGTGAGCTGGGTTTTGTGAACTTGTTTCTAGCAAACACGATGGGGCAGAGGTGATGAAATGGCACCTGTAAGATTAGGTTACAAAATAACCGTGGCTTCTGTCTCAGGTGCCCTCTCTCATTTTCTCCATCTGAAGGAAGCCGGCTGCCCTTTTTTTTTTTTTCTTGAGACAGGGTCTCACTCTGTCACCCAGGCTGGAGTGCAGTGGCTCAGTCACTCTCATTGCAGCCTCGACTTCCTGAGTTCAAGTGATCATCCTGCCTCAGCCTCCCAAGTAGCTGGCACACACCATGACACCTGGCTAATTTTTGCAGACAGAGTTTCGCCATGTTGCCAAGGCTGGTCTCGAACTTCTGAGCTCAAGTGATTTGCCCGCCTCGGCTTTCCAAAGGGCTGGGATTACAGGCAGGAGCCACCGTGCCCGGCCTCAGCTGCCATGTTTTGAACTGCTCTATGGAGAGGCACACAGTGCACTCCAATACCCCTCCAAGGAACCAAATCCTGCCAACAACCATGTGAGAGAGCCTGGAATCAGATCTTCCCTCTTGAGTCTTCACATAAAACCTCAGCCCCAACTGACGGCTTGCCTGCAATCTTACGAGAGATCTTGAGCCAGAGGCACCTCGCTAAGCAGTGCCCAGATTCCTGACCCACAAAAACTGTGAAATGGTAAATATTTGTTGTTTTAAGCCACTAAATTTTAGAGTAATTTGTTATGTAGCAACAGATAATGAACACCCCAGTGTTGTTCAGTTTCAGCCTTCCAGCTTCTTCAGGCTGCCTTCTCTCACCCTTTCTCTCTCATAGCTATTCCCACCCCCACATTCCTTTTACTTCTTTTGTGCAGAAGTTTAAAACTGTCTCCTTTAGGCTGGCCCTTTTAGGCTATGCCCTATGGGTTTCTTCTCCTTCACTTTCAATGGCCTAAAAATAATAAAGAAAGGTTTCAACCTAAGTGAAACTTTAGTGTTAGCTGTTATGAGAACAATTTTTTCAACTTATATTAAGAAAGTGAGTTATCCAAAATAAATAATGTATCTCAAAAATACCTTAGCTTTTATACATTTTATAAAGTTGAGATTAAAAATCTTGATTAAATAATCAAATCCTTGAGTAATTAAACTTTTTATAGTAATTAGACAAATTATTTTCAAATATTTTATCTGGAATATTTTTATCTTTGGCCTACCATTTTATTTGGATTATTACAATATGTTTTTGTATGAGATGTATCTACATCTGAAATCCTCAACTTTCCAGACTTCTGGGCTCAGCTATAACTTCTTTTTTTTTTTTTCTTTTTTGAGACAGAGTCTCACTCTGTTGCCCAGGCTAGAGTGCAGTGGTATAATCTCGGCTCACTGCGACTGCCACCTCCTGGGTTCAAGTGATTCTCCTGCCTCAGCCTCCTGAGTAGCTGGGACTACAGGCAGCTGCCATCACACTGACCAATTTTTGTATTTCTAGTAGAGATGGGGTTTCACCATGTTGGCTAGGCTGGTCTCAAACTCCTGACCTCAGGTGATCCGTCCACCTTGGCCTCCCAAAGTGCTGGGATCATAGGCGTGAGCCATCGTGCCCAGCCAGCTCAGCTATGACTTTAACACACTAAAGAAAATGCCTTGTGCCACCCTTGTCCCATTCGTCACCTTGAAAAATGTTATATTGGAGGTAACAAATAAAATTAAAATTAGGCTTTTCCTCCTGGATGACTGGAGCACAGAAAAACCCTCACGAACTCCCCTTCCAAGGGCTGTGTGTCCCTCTCCACCTACCCCCATTTTTCCCACACTCTTCTTGTCTATCTTGCTGTTTTTCCCCCAGTTCCAAAGCTCCCAAATTCATTCTCCACCACGACATTATTTCTCCTTAATACAGGGCCTTTTGACTTGATTTTTTTTTAACTTCTCCCATCTAGGTTGTGTGATAGTAGGGAGGGGAGGGGCCTCTGGTTACAACACAAAGGAGGTCCCAGACCCATTTGTGTTTTCTTTTTCTTTCTCTCTTTTTTTTTTTTTTTTTTTTTGAGATGGAGTCTCAATCTGTCACCCAGGCTGGAGTGCAATGGCTCGGTCTTGGCTCACTGCAACCTCCACTTCCTGGGTTCAAGCAATTCTCCTGCCTCAGCCTCCCGAGTAGGTGGGACTACAGGCACCGTGCCCAGCTGTGTTTTCTTTCCCAGATGTTGTCCTCCCCTTCAGCTCAAACTTCCTTGCCACTGAAAATAACATTTTAAAAATGTTATACTAGAGTTTAAATAAAATGATTAAGTTTAAAAATCTTGATAAAATATACAACAAGAAAAGTAATTTTCTCATTGAAATACTGCTGAATTTGCTAAAAAACGAAAATTTTCAAAGTGGAGTATTTTCTTAATCCTGGCCCAAATGCTCATAAGCCTGGTTATAATCCATTTCAGGTAAAAGGTAAGAGCTGTTTTTATGTTATAATTATAAGACTCTCTTTGGGGATCAATAGTCACGTATTTGAATGTTCATTTTATGGCATGGCAAATGAATGGCAAATATTAAGAGCTTATGTCTTCTCTTTTAACATCAAAAGTATGACACTGAAACTAATCCTGGATTGTAGCCTGCTGTAAATTGTGCTTAGTCTCAGGAAGCTGGGTGAAGAGGAGACACTCAACTTCAGACATTGGTTCTAAGGAGGAACTGTAGAAGAGCTTATGGAAGACTACATAGTAATTCTAGATGACATTCAATTGTATTTTTAAAAAATAAATGTAAAGGTGGGGTGCAGTGGCTCACGCCCGTAATCCCAGCACTTTGGGAGGCCGAGGCGGGCGGATCATGAGGTCAGGAGATTGAGACCATCCTGGCTAACACAGTGAAACCCCGTCTCTACTAAAAATACAAAAAATTAGCCAGGCAAGGTGGTGGGTGCTGGTAGTCCCAGCTACTCGGGAGGCTGAGGCAGGAGAATGGCGTGAACCCTGGGAGGCAGAGTTTGCAGTGAGCCGAGATCGCGCCACTGCACTCCAGCCTGGGCGACAGAGTGAGACTCCGTCTCAAAAAAATAAAATAAAATAAAAAATAAATGTAAATATTTCTATTCCACTATGAAAATGCATTTACCCAGGAAGATAAGAAGGGTTGGTTTCTGGCTGTGCACTGGGGAAACATTCCCTCTCTGCTTCCCTCTTGGCAGCTAACTGTATCCAGTGTTTTCAAAGGGAGTTGGAAGTTTCTAGGGAAAATAACTCGAAACATGTTTGGTAAACTGGATAGGGGATAGAAAATAGGGAGTTAGTGAGGGAGAAGGGTGCTGATGAAAGAAAATTTCCACAGGTACATTTTGCTAAGTGGTAGAAAGAATTCACGAGGAGCAAAGAATAAGAATGGCATGGTGCCCTGGATTCAATAGAAGACCTGGGGGTCAGAGTAGAGGAGTTTTAAAATCAAAAGTACCTAGGCTAGGCGCGGTAGATGACAGCCTGTAATCCCAGCACTTGGGGAGGCCAAGGCAAGTGGGTCACTTGAGCCCAGGAGTTGGAGACCAGCCTGAGCAACATGGCAAAACTCTGTCTCTACTAAAAATGCAAAAATTAGCCAGGTGTGGTGGTGCATGCCTGTAGTCCCAGCTACTCGGGAGGCTGAGGAACAAGAATCACTTGAACCCAGAAGGCAGAGGTTGTAGTGAGCAGAGATTGTACCACTGCACTCCAGCCTGGGTAACAGAGCGAGACTCTGTCTCAAAAAAACAAAAACAAAATAAAAAAAGTACCTAGTGAGTCCCTAGCCAGTCAGTAGTGTGCTTGCTAAATAATTAAAAGAGTTGTCACCCAAAATTGTGTTGTTTTGTGGGGGCCCAAGAAAACCTTCTGGGGACCCTCTAAGAAAGCATCTCATAGTGGAAGGGACTTGTTTCCCTTCTCGTTGAGCCAAGGAGTCCAAGTCAGAATGGCAATACACAGAATGGAACAGTAGCCAGAAGCCTAGTGGCAGTTGAGTGATCTGGGGATCAGAGATTAGCAGAACTTCACTTTGGCCAACGGCCAATGTAGAGAAGTGCTCCACTGGCTTGATAAAACAGGTTTGAGCAGCAGCCAAGTCAAAACTTACAGAGCAGCAGCCTCGAAGAGAGCAAAGAGGGAAGCGTGGGCATCTGGGACCTCCAGAGACTTGAGCTGGTGGACGGAGGAGAGGAGACATTTGAAAGGAGGTTGATTTTTTATAGTTACAGGGGTGGGAAAGATACTAAACTAGGAAAATATTAGGATTGAATGATACAATCAGTTCATTTGCACTCACAGGCTGGGAAGTTACAATAGCCCACAGAGGGAATAGTTTCTAACTATGATCAGTTTTTCATATGGGAGAATTTCAATCGTGTAAAAATAACATTTTGAAAAACATGTTTGTTGAAGATCAAATTTAGATTTCAGTTATTAAGAACCCAAAATAATTAGCCAGATTTGGGAATCAACATTCTCTGTCGTGGATGTACAATAAGGCAAAACTTTGACACTAAACTGTAGAACTCACCTCTTCGTGAATCAGGGTAATAATTCTGTGTCATAACACTATTGTGCAGATAACAAGAAAAGTTTGGGGAAAGTGTTTAGCACAGTGTCTGGCACATAGTAAGTGTCCAATTATATTTGTTCATTGATCAGTGAAAAAGGCTTCACCAGAAAATTAAACTGGTGGGAGGAGAAAGACCACATAAAACACTAAAGCAATCTCCAAGGGCTTTTGACATCCACAACACCATGAATGAGATGACAGTTTCTTTTACAAGGCAGAATAGAGAGAAAAACATTCCGAACTGAGAATCAGGAGTGTTGGGGTTTTTTGGTTGTGGTGGTGGTTCTATTTTCAACTACCCTGGTACCTTTGGTTAACTCCTCAACTAACCTCTTCCAGTGTCAGACAGCTCATGGGAAAAATAAGGGGTTCAGTCTTAGTAATAGGTAGGGTTGCTTTTAATGATGACAACTCATGCATTTATAAGATATGACCATTATTGCTTCTATAACACTGGCTTTAAATTATCTGTTGTTTTTTAAATGTGTAGTATAGCAATTACAGGATAGAAATTATAATGTTTTGTGTATTTATTTTTAAAAACTGTGTGTCCATAGAAAAAGCCTAAGTGTTGCATCATCCCCAATTAAGTTAACTACAACTGGGGGAAGTTGGGTTGATTGGCCCGGCAGGGAATAGCACCACTATACTCTCAGCGTCATCTTACCCAAATTAGAGTTAAATGAGCCAGAGGAAGACTACAGACTCTTTTGTGAGCTGGTGTTGCAAATTCAAATACAAAAAGTAAAGTTATGATGGTCGCTGTTTAAATTTGTATTAATCATCTATGTTTTTTCAGGGAAGAATGGGGTGGGTGGCAAGGATTTAGGGGAAGCATGATGAGACCAATATTGCAGCTGATATTTATTGAATACATACCATGTAGCAGGCACTGTGGCAAGCACTTTACATCCATTATCCCAATTGACTTATAGGTAGGCACAATGATTCTCATTTCATAGAAAAGCAACCTGCCAATGTTACTCAGACGAGTTGTTGGGATTTGAAGCCAAGTCTGTGGCTCTATTCAGTGTGTTTTCCAGATTATTTCCTGAATATAGAATACATGGAAAAGACATAAAAATATGTGGTACTAGGCTGGGTGCAGTGGCTCACAACTTTGGGAGGCTGAGGTAGGAGGATATCTTGAGGCCAGGAGTTCAAGACCAGCCTGGGAAACACAGTGAGACCTTTTTTCTACAAAATGTACAAAATTTAGCCAAGTGTGGTGGTACACACCTCTAATCTCAGCTACTTGGGAGGCTGAGGCAGGAGGATCTCCTAACCCCAGGAGTTTGAGGCTATAGTGAGCTATGGTCCCACCACTGCACTCCAGCCTGGACAACAGTGAGACTCTGTCTCAAAAGAAAAAATACAGACCGGGCGCAGTGGCTCACACCTGTAATCCCAGCACTTTGGGAGGCCGAGGTGGGCGGATCACGAGGTCAGGAGATCAAGACCATCCTGGCTAACACGGTGAAACCCCATCTGTACTAAAAATGCAAAAAATTAGCCAGGTATGGTGGCACGTGCCTGTAATCCCAGCTACTCGGGAGGCTGAGGCAGGAGAATTGCTTGAACCTGGGAGGCAGAGGTTGCAGTGAGCCAAGAGCACACCACTGCACTCCAGCCTGGGCAACAGAGCGAGACTCCGTCCCAAAAAAGAAAAAATACATACATATATACACACACACACACACACATATTTAAGTACCATATATATATTTAAGTACTATACATATAGTGCTTAAAAGTATAAGGTTCACTGCTAAACGGTGGCAAAGCTTTCCAGTTTACCAAGTGTGCTTCATAATAGGATATTTGAATGTTATTATGTAATTGTAGTACATTCTGACCTGTGTTCATCTAGAGATATATCTCTGCTATATAATAAAAGCTTCTAATTTGTATCACTTTTATATCATTAAGATATATAACTTGATTCTTTCGCAAATGTTAAAACAAGATACTTTTACAGGGCCACTGCATTGGCCTCCAAGTTGTAACTGGTAAAGTGGTTATCAACTCTGAATTAGCTATTCAATTATCGAAGCGAGACAATAGCCAACATCTCATCTGTGCTGAGCAGCAAACCCTGAGTTTCATCAGAAGAGCAACTATTGATTCATAAACAATAGGGATTTTCCGTAACAAAAGGCATCTGGTGGCTCATGGAGACCACTTTTAGTCCCAGTAATGAGTTCAGTCGCTGTCACAATACTTTATGACAATTTGGGCTTAATTTTAACTGCTCTGTTAGCCTGTTGTGCAGCATGTACAAATCCACATCTAGTCAATGCCATCAATTTATTCATTGGCCCCCGTTTTCTTTCTTTTGTTTTCTCTGTGTTATTTTGGGGTACCACTACTCACTAGTCAGCCAAACTAGAAAACTGGGGGTCATTCTTACTCTTCGATACACACTCCAAATGTGTCTCCTCTGTGCCTGGCTTAGTTCAGGCCCCATCTCCACTCCCCTGGGCCACTTCAACAGTTTCCTGCTGGGCCCCAGACTCCTCGCTTTTCTTAAGCCCATTCTCCACACAGTCAGGTGTCTTCTATTTAAACCCAACACCAACCAGTGTCTGCTCGTTTAAAACCTTTCAGAGGGCCAGGTGTGGTGGCTCACGCCTGTAATTCCAGTATTTTGGGAGCCTGAGTCAGGAGGATTGCTTGAGCCCAGGAGTTCCAGACCAGCCTGGCCAACATGGTGAGACACCATCTCCTGTAGTCTCAGTTACTCTGGAGGCTGAAGTGGGAGGATCACCTGAGCCCAGGGCAGTCAAGGTTGTAGTGAGCCATGATTGAGCCCCTGCACTCCAGCCTGGGTGACACAGTGAGACTCTGCCTCAAAAGAGTAAAATAAAATAAATAAATAAGACTATAAAACCATCAGGGGTCCTCATTACCTACAGAGCAAAGCTCCAGCCTCACCTCCCAGCTCACCCTCCTAGTGATGACTCTCTAGCAATGAGGAACTTGTATTTTTGCTAGGCACAGTGCTATTGGCTGTTTCTCCCCTCCTAGCCTTTTGTTCAAGCTATGCCCTTTGCACAAAATGCCCTCACCACCCACCCCAACCTCCAGCTCCTTGTCCCTTGTCTAGATCCTAGTCATTCTCTACAACACAGTTCAAACATCGCTGCCTCAAGGAAACCCTGCCTCACCACATCATCAGCCCTCAGCTTCCGTCCCAGCCCCGGCCAAGTGATCTTCCTCTCTGTTCCCATGACTCTGGGAAATCAGGTATTTACTAAATGTATTACTACATTTATCATTACTCTTACTACATTGTATTTTCATTCTCTGTTTATGTGTTTCTTTAGAATGTTAGCTCATTTTTAAAAAAATGTAGGATGGAAAAAAGTCAACAACTTGATAGAAAAAGAGGTAAGACTAGATAGTTCATAGCATATAATGTACATGGCCCTGACGCACATGAAAGCATGTTCAATCACACTAACAAGAACAGAAGTGTAAATTACTATGTTACCATTTCTTACCTGTCATATTGAAAAAAATTAGAAAGTTTGACCACATAGTCTGTGGGTGAGGCTGTATAAAAATCGGCATTCTCAGGTATTGTGGATGAGAATACAAAATGGCATAACCATGATGGTGGCAGGGTTAGCAACATTGAGCAAAATTACATATGTGTTTTCCTTTGACCCAGGACTATCCCTTCTAGTAATCTATCCCAAAGATGTCTGCAAAAAATATAAGATGTATGCAGAAAACTACACTTTGTAGCAATCTTTGTAATAGCAAAAAAATTGGAAACAGCCCAAATGACCACTAATAGTGGACTGGTTGAATAAACTGGTAAATGCATTTTGCAGCTGTATTGAGAGAGAGAGAGAGAGAGAAAGAGAGAGAGAGAGAAATATCTTTACGTAATGCTATTGAGTGATCTCCAGATGGATTAAGAGAAAAAAGCAAGGTAAAAGATAGTATGTTCAGTATGCTGCCATTTCTTTAGGAAAGGTGAGGATATAATCATAAATACATACATATATATATGTGTGTGTGTGTGTGTGTGTGTGTGTGTGTGTGTGTGTGTGTATATATTGTTTTTGAGACAAGGTCTCACTCTGTCACCCAGGCTGGAGTGCAGTGGTATGATCACAGCTCACTGTAGTCTCAAACTCCTGGGCTCTCAAGTAATCCTCCCACCTAAGCCTCCCGAGTAGCTGGGACCATAGACACAGACCACTGTGCCCAGCTAATTTTTGTAGAGATGGGGGTCTTGCCATGTTGCCCAGACTAGTTTCAAACTCCTGGGCTCAAGGAATTCACCCATCTCGACCTCCCAAAGTGCTGGGATTACAGGTGTAAGCCACTATGCCAGGCCTTGTAGTTATATTTTTAAAAATGTTTCCTGCAAGAAAAGAAAAAAAAAAAAAGGAAGGAACAGCAGGAGGTAACAAGGATAAAAGCTGGACTTCTCTGAATATCCATTAAGGATTTTACTTTGAAACTATGTAAATATGTTACTTGTGAAATAAATTTTTAAATTTCTAAAAACTGAAACAACACAAAACAAATGAACCTAAATATGTCTTCAATTAGTGGAATAATTTTATGGAGAAGAGCTAACCTGGTTCTTCTCCCATATTTTCCCTTCCCTCCAGCCTTTGCCATCAGAATGTCTGACCCTAAGCCTACAACAGATTAAAGTTTGTAACAGTCTCAAAGGCAAAGCAGAAGCCCGCATTTCCCCTGAAGTGTTAATGGGAAGTCCTCCAACAAAAGCCAAGATCTCATTTATTTTCTGCCTTGTTTACTAAAGAATTACTTTCTTCATTTAGGTTCCTTCTTCCTTTCTCTTCTCAGCATCCTTAAAACCACAGGTGAGTGAGCAGGCTTCTCTCTTCTAGGAATGTTCAAAGTTGGGCGCCTTGGAAAATGGTAGTTTCAAAGACACAACTAGGAGCTTTTCAAAGAAAGATACTTTCAGCTAGAGATAGAGAGCCCTTGACTATAGGAACCAGAATTAATTAACAACAGAAAGAGTAGGAAAGCTTCTGAAACTGTAGCAGGCCATAGGAAGGTAAAGAAGAGCATAATGCAGGTCAGAACCAAAGAAAATGACACCAAAGATCAGTAACACAACAGCGACTGACTCTAGTTGCCCACATTGGGGAAATATATTCAGTTTCTGGTTAGGAGGGCTGAGTGGTTAAAATGAGAAGCACTCTTGTATAATACATTTGTGCATATGTGCTTATGCTGTCTAGTTATCTCAGGTCGGGTTCTCTGAAAGTGGGGGGCAAGGTGGTTATTTGGGTTCAATACCTGTGAAAGGAAAGGTGAGGAAGCAGGACTGATCAGAGGAAGAAGAAGAACTGTAAGGGCTCAACACAGCCTTGACCAACCTGGTGAGAAATGACTGGTCTTTATACCTCTACCTCATTCAGTACCTGACATAGGCTCCCCTGGAAAAGGCTTGACCTCAGACAGAGGAGGCAGCTCTCTGCAGCCAAGGCAGACCCCGAAGGTGCTGACAGCTGGACACTGTCTGCTGACAGTCCTTCCTCCAGCTGGGCTACAAGCCTTCCTTGAAAGGGAACCTACCTGAGTAGCACATCTCTTTGCCTACCATAAGCCTACTGTAAGCCTTTCCAGAGTTAATATAGTGTTTTTCTTATAATTCTCAAAATATAAAAGATATTACATTTACAGTAGACAACTCCATATATTTAATGTTGAATACAAAATTACTGTTAGAATTTATCTTCAATGGATTA
Source organism: Homo sapiens (assembly GCF_000001405.40). Lineage (NCBI taxonomy): Eukaryota > Metazoa > Chordata > Mammalia > Primates > Hominidae > Homo > Homo sapiens. Next base: position 159,036,100 of record NC_000004.12, on the reverse strand, counting down.
TCAGGTAGCCGATATATTTCTGTGCAAGCTAGAATTACTGTTCATACAATTATTCATCCCACAAACATCTATTAACTATTTATTGCATACAAGTCTCTGGAAATTGAAATATAAATAAGTATACTTTTATCATAAACTCCTAGAAGTCAGATTCTAGTGGGGAGGTCGATAAAATAGACAAATAATTGAAGTGGTGAGTTAAAAAGATACATCTAAACACAGTGCTATAGAGGTTAAAGGGACATGAAGAAGAAAGCACTTAGCTGTGTCTGCAGACATCCTCCTGGAAGAGCAGATGTGGGCCTTGGCTGTCAAAGGACAAGAAATATTTGCATAGCAACATTACAGGAAGAGCAAATTGTATGTGTAAAGGCTCAGAACAATGAGAAAGCATTGCACAGATTGAGAACCACAGGTAAATTGACATGACCAAAGCACAAGCACTATTTAAGGAGGGATTGGAATATGAGACTGGAAATATATCTATATATATTTGTGTGTGTGTAATTATCTCATTAATTTATTAATGTTATTTTTTACTGTATTTTATCTTGCCAGTGTTTGTCAAATATATTTAACCATGGTTTGTGGGGGCTTTTTGTTTTTTGCTGTAACATATTTCTGCAAGACATTCTTTTTGAAATGTTGAAAGACAGTGGTGACTGAGCCTGCCAGATTATCTGGGACATAAGCTGGAACTGGATCTAGTACCTGTGAACAAGTGTATTCTGACTTGATATTGACAAATAAGGAAAAGTTATTACTGGATGCAAGTTCTGGGAAGACTATAGCAGTATCTGTCTCTGCTCTTGGAGATTGGAATGCAGAACTCTGCAAGGAGGAACATTCTATCTCCCTGTCATAAAGAGTCATTAGCAACCACCTGGTGCAGGTCACAAGCAGGGAGAGGAAAGACTGCAGAGTCTTTCGTTCTTTCTGGTGCAGCTTAACTGATTTGAAGAAGCCGAAGAAGAAAATCCAGTAGCACGGTTAAGACTTTAGCCATGGCATCTGTATCATACCAAAAGCCAACATCTACTACTGTGGGAAAACAAATGATTTTTACAGGTAAATAGTTTTTGTGTTTGCTTTCACAAGGAGATCTAAATTTGCTTTTTCTCTCACATATATGATTTTTATATAATGGATATAACAATGCAATGATCACATATGTTTTTTGTTTTTGTTTGTTTTTTGGGTTTTTTTTTTTGAGACAGAGTCTCGCTCTGTCGCCCAGGCTAGAGTACAATGGCGCGATCTCGGCTCACTGCAACCTCCGCCACCTGGGTTCAAGAGATTCTCCAGCCTCAGCTTCCTGAGTAGCTGGGATTACAGGCATCTGCCATCATGCCCAGCTAATTTTTGTATTTTTGTAAAGATGAGGGTTTCACCATGTTGGCCAGGCTGGCCTTGAACTCCTGACCTCAGGTGATCTGCCTGCATAGGCCTCCCAAAGTGCTGGGATTACAGGCATCAGCCACCATGCCCAACCCACCTACATTTAATTTACATGATACTGCTATCTCATTATGCCCACTCAGTCTGATCATCATCATCTTGTTGCCATAAACATGTCTTTAACACAGCAGTTGTCACTATATCTGAGGTAACTTTCACAAAGGAATATTTGAATTAGCATAGCTTTTATGGTTTGTGCAAGAGAAACTTCTTTGATGTAATAAAAAACATACTTTTCATCGAATTTTTATTAACACTGATTTAAGCTTCTCATAACATTATAAACTTGACATATTTGCTTGATAAAAATTTGAGCAGGATATGCATTAAACCTAGTAAAGTGATTGGTTTGAGTTTTGTTCATTCAGCTTACTTTAAATGATTTGGGCAGTGTGTGTGAAATTATAATAATATCTAAAAAATAGAAGATGACTAGTTGTGGTAAGTCTATAAGGCATAAACTAAACTTCATTTTATTTCCTTTTTTTCCAAATTATTTATTTTTTGAGACAGAGTCTCGCCCTGTTGCCCAGACTAGGGTGCAATGGCACGATCTGGGCTCTCTGCACCCTCCACCTCCCAGGTTCAAGTGTTTCTCCTGCCTCAGTCTCCCGAGTAGCTAGGACTATAGGCACATGCCACCACATGTGGTTGTTTATTTATTTATTTATTTTGTACTTTTAGTAGAAATGGGGTTTCACCATGTTGGCTAGGCTGGTCTCGAACTCCTGACCTCAAGTGATCCACCCACCTGTGTCGGGATTCCAGGCGTGAACCTGGCCTTTTTTTCTTTTTTTCCAAAGTGTGAGCATATTTTACAATGTTACAGAAAAATAATCAAATGCATATTTATGGTGGGCATTTATGATTTGTGTTGCTCATCATCCATCTCATCCACTCCCCTTCTTGTGACTCACTTGGCTTTGGGAAAAACATCTCTTTCCTCACTCTTACCTCTTTTTTACTCCTGTGAGAAGGACTTTGTCAACAAGAGTACACTGCTTATCTGCAATTCCTTTTGCCTTTATTCTTATAAACTCTATTCATTTCCAAAGTTACTTAAGTCTGCACATTTTCTTTCTAGCCTCTTCAGTAAGGTTGTTTTATGCACTTGTAATACAGTTAGATTTTCTTGTCACAGTCTGAATTCCTTCCTGAAATCCTACAATCTCGTAAATAATTTTTTTTAATTTGCATCCATTAAGGTTTGCTTTTTATGCTATTAAATATATGGGGGTCTTGACAAATTAATAGGACCATGTATTCACCATTATAGTACCATACGTTATGGTTTCACCACTTAAAAAATCTCTTGTGCTTCACCTATTCATTCCCCCCTCCCCCTTTCCCCCTAGCTCCTGGCAACCACTGATCTTTTCACTGTCTCCACAGTTTTGCCTTTTCTTGAATGTCACAGAGCTGGAGTTATACAGTATGTAGTCTTTTCAGATTGGCTTCATTTCCTCATCAATATCATTTTAAGGCTTCTCCACATCTTTTCATGGTTTGATAGCTTATTTCTTTTTACCACTGAATAATATTTCACTGTGTGGATGTGTCACAATTTGTTCATCCCTTCCCCTATCGAAAGACATCTTGGTGGCTTCCAGTTTTTGGCAATTGTGAGAAATGCTTCTATGTACATTTATGTGCAGCCTTTTGCATGGATATGTTTTCAAATCAATTTGGTAAATACCTAGGAGAGTAATTGCTGGATCCTGTGTTAAGCCAAACTGTCTTCTAAACTAGCTATACTATTTTGCATGTCCATCAGCAATGAATGAGAGTCCTTGTTGCTTTGTGTCCTTGTCAGCCTTTGGTATTGTCTGTTTTTGACTTTTTTACCAAAAAAAAAAAAAAAGAAAGGTCATTTAGATTTTTATCCTGTGTTTTCTTTTAGACATTTTACAATGTTACGTTTTCATTTAGGTCTATAATCTATTTTGAAGAGATTTTTGTGCCTTTTAAAGTTTTAATTTTCATCAGCCAATAAATCTCCTCTTTTCCTTAGCCAGTTTGGGTTGGGTTTTCTGTCATTTGGAACTGTGCAAGAGTCTTAATTAACACTTAAAATTTCTTCTAACTTACACCAGTGTATATACTTAGTTTTATGTATTTACATAGTTCAAATTGTTGTCACCTTTGATAGATTTCTGCCTTTCATTATACTGACATATAATACTTAGCTTCACAGCCTCCTGTATTTTATAATTTCCTAATTTTTACTGTTACAAATTTGTATGAATACTTTGCATAAATTATTTTTCTTGTTCTCTTATTTTCATGTGGTATATATAGAGAGAGCAGAATTAGCAGGTGAAAGATACAAACAGATATATAACTTATTAATGCCACAAGCTTTAGAGAATTGTATATACTATGAACAATGTATACGTATTTAAAGCCCAACAATTTTTTTTTTTGAGACAGTCTCCCTCTGTTGCTCAGGCTGGAGTGCAGTGGTATGATCTCAGCTCACTGCAGTCTCTCCCTCCAGGGTTCAAGTGATTCTCGTGCCTCAGCCTCCTAAGTAGCTGGAATTACAGACGTGAGCCACCATGCCCACTAATTTTTTGTATTTTTAGTAGAGATGGGGTTTCACCATGTTGGCCAGGCTGGTCTCAAACTCCTGACCTCCGGTGATCTGCCCGCCTCAGCCTCCCAAAGTGCTGGGATTACAGGCATGAGCCACCACAACCGGCCCCCATCAATATTTTTTAAAATCATTTTTATTACTTCAAAGAAGTAGATATGAATCCTTTTTTGCTTTTGCCTTTTACAAATTTTATTGTGACTATTTTAAAACACACGCCAATGAACTCCCACTTACCTGTCACCCATATTCAACATTTATCAAAATTTTGCCACATTTGACTCACATCTCTCGTATTTTTCTTGTAAAAATATTTTAAGCCCAGATATCATATTATTTCACTTACATATTTTATTGTGCATCTGAAAAAATATGAACATATTCTTACATAGTCACATTGCCGTGACTGCACCTAACAAAATTAATAACTATCATTTGGCATCATGTAATTAACAACTCCATAACAAAATTTTCCTGATTGTCTCTAAAATGTATTTTTACAGTTGATTTTGAGAATAAGGATCCAACACACATTGCATTCAGTTGTGTTTTCTCTTTTTGTCTATTTTAAACTGGTGCAGTCTTCCCTTCTTTTTTCCCTGCCATTTACTTGTTGCAGAAACTGGATCAGTTATGCAGCAGAAATGTCCAACGTTCCGAATTTGTCAATTACTTCCTTCTCATATCATTTAACTTGTTCCTTTATTCTCTGTAAACTGAATTTGGCTCTAGAGGCTTGATTATAGCCAAGTTCAACTCTTTAGGGATGCTTATGTCTTAGATGGTACTGCAGTCAGTTCACAGAAATCAAACTTTTGAGCTGTTCAAGAATAATAATTTTAACTCCTATAAGGCCCATCACTTACCACCTTTCTAACCTATTGGAGCTTGGAGCTCTTTCCTCCATGTTTGGAACTGTTTTTAATATAAAGTCCGTGTTTTCATAAAAACATTAGTTTAAGTGAAGTACCCAGGCTAGGCAAACAAAAGATTGATTTAATCCATGCAAATATTGTGTAATTGTGATAAAAACAAGAAAAATATCTTGTCACTATTAATAATTAATATGACAACAAAATATCATGAGAAATCATTTAGAAATTATTTTGGATGTCAATAATGTAAAAAAAACCATGTAGAGGATGAGAAAATACTGAGGAATTTCGCAGCAATTCTGAGAGTTACTTTAGAGCACTTTTAAGAGTTTCATAGGATTTTTATTGATTTCTAATTTAATTTTAAAGTGAAATTTTGGCTGGACGTGGTGGCTCACACCCTGTGATCCCAGCACCTGGGAGGCCGAGGCAGGTGGATCACTTAAGGTCAGGGGTTTGAGACCAGCCTGACCAACATGGTGAAGCCCCATCTCTACTAAAAATACAAAAATTAGCTGGGAGTGGTGGCATACCCGTGTAATCCCAGCTACTCAAGAGGCTGAGGCATGAGAATTGCTTGAACTCAGAAGGCAGAGGTTGCAGTGAGCCAAGATTGCACCATGGCACTCCAGCCTGGGCAACAGAGTGATACTCTGTCTCAAATAAATAAATAAATAAATAAATAAATAAATAAATAAATAAATAAATAAAATTTTGCTTTCTCTTGGCATAGGCATAACACTACTCTTTTTTTTTTCTTTTGAGGGAGGGTCTCACTCTGTCACCCAGGCTAGAGTGCAGTGGCACGATTATGGCTTACTGCAGCCTTGACCTCCCTGGGCTCAGGTGATCCTCCCACCTCAGCCTCCCAAGTGGCTGGGACTATAGGTGTGTACCATCACTCCTGGTTAATTTTTGTATTTTTGTAGAGATGAGGTTTCACCATATTGCCCAGGCTGGTCTTGAACTCCTGGGCTCAAGAGATCTGCCCACTTCGGCCTCCCAAAGTGCTGGGATTGCAGGCATGAGCCACCGCACCCAGCCAACACTATTCTTTTATTTGTCATTTATAACTACAGTTATTTTAATTTTCATTTTAAAAAATTTCCACTGATGCTTCATTATTCTATGTGATGATTCACAGTATATATCTAGCTGGTATACTCGACCACTTAACTAATGTGATCACTCATCAAGTCTTATTTTTCTATCAAATTTTGATATATTTCCTTTTAAAATACATTTTTGATGCTAATTTTTTATCCTACATATTTGAAATCCAATTTAACAAATTGAGTGCCAATTAAGTACTAAAAACTTGTCCATTAGCATTGGAGGATACAAAAATATACATGAAAAAAATGTTCTCTTTTCTAGAAGCTTATAATCTATTGGATAACCAGAACATAATAGGGTTGATTTGCTCAGTCTGAATATCCATCACAGCATAGTGTGGCATCCAAAGGAAACACAAATCCAATTCCAAAAACCCTGAGAAATAACAGGAAATTACCTCACATAACACTACACAAAACTCAGCCATATGTTTTGTTTTGTTTTCCCACTCATTTCTCTTCTTTTTGAGTATCATAGTTAGAGCATAAGTTACTTCCTACATTGCAGATGGATCTTGGAATTTATTTAGCTTTCAATTAATAAAGGAATTGAAATTCTTTTTGAAAAAACTATCGGTGGATCCAACTTTTAAAACCTTTTTAAAAAGTTGATATATAACATACTCTATTAAGTACATTAATTTGTCTTTAGCTTGATAACATTTTACAAAGTGAGCACCTTTATGTATGCACTTTTAGATTAAGATACTGAATATTTTTATCACTCTAAAAAGTTCCTGTATGTCCTTTCCCAGTCAATCCTCCCACAATCAGATGCTGTTCTGATTTCTATAATTCATGTTTTCGATAACTGTGAGTTTTAATCTAATAGGGCAAGCTAACCATCTGTACTTTTAAAACATTTATCTGCTGGCTATTCTTCCACAGAAGTTTTACTACCAATTTGCTAAGTTCTGTAATGACATAGTGAGGAGATTTTATAAATAATGTTTGTTTGTTTTTTTGAGACAGAGTCTTGCTCTGTTGCCCAGGCTGGAGTGCAGTGGCACGATCTCAGCTCACTGCAGTCTCTGCCTCCTGGATTCAAGCGATTCTCCTGCCTTAGCCTCTCGAGTAGCTGAGATTTCAGGTGTGCGCCACCACGCCCAGCTTATTTTTGTATTTTTAGTAGAGATGGGGTTTTGCCATGTTGGCCAGGCTGGTCTCGAACTCCTGAGCTCAAGTGATCCACCAGCCTTCACCTCCCAAAGTGCTGGGTTACAGGTGTGAGCCACCGCACCTGCCTAGAAAATGTTATTTTTGTATTACAAAGATTTTACTATAAAAACCTTATAAACAAAATTAGGAAGAAAATTTAAAACTACTTTAGAGCATGGTTATATATTTTTAAAACATCTGTTTACATACAAATGACATTAATTTGTTTACCCAGTTCCAGGTCCTATGCAATTTTAAAGTTTAAAACTTGGGCTGAATGCGGTGGCACACACCTATAATCCTAGCATTTTGGAAGGAAGAGGTGGGAGGATTGCTTGAGCCCAGGAGTTTGAGACCAGCCTGGGCAACACAGAGAGAGTTCATCTCTACAAAAAATTCTAAAAATCAGCCGAGTGTGGTGGTGCACACCTGTGATCCTAGCTACTTAGAAGGCTAAGCCAGAGGATAGCTTGGGCCTGGGAGGTCGAGGCTGCAGTGAGCTGTGATCACACTACTGCACTCCAGCCTGGCCAACAGAGCAAGGCCCTATCTCGAAGGAAAAAAAAATACTTAAAAATTACATTTCTTTAAAAATACATTCTTTAATTCAGATTTTTCTTCATTAATTCCTACTTGGCTCAAATTAAATATAGTTAAGAAATAGTTAATATAAGACATAAAATTAAAAAGGCACTATAACAGATAATCTAATTTAACCTATTTTTTCAGATGGGAATACTCAGGGTTCAGGTAAGTTAAGTGACTTGCTGAAGGCCACACAGCCTTGTAAGAAGGATGGAAGCTTCTGCCTGCTCCCTGTTTATATGGGGTATTTATGTGCCTTACATCCAGATTACTGACTAAATAAAAGTATTAATATATTTAGTCAGCCATCATATACCTACTAGAAAGTCTGCTCATGTAAACCAGAAATATTACAGAACTCTACCTTACAAAGGAGTGATCACAGCATGAAATTTCTGTTAGAAATACATTAGAATTGGAAATACTCTCTAGGAAATGGCCAAAAAACGATATGATGAATGAAACTGTAAGTGGTCGGAGAAGCACATAAATGTATATGTAATTTTGAAATGTATTGCTCCATTAGCCAGCATTTCAGACCCACTTATTCATCTTATTTTTTGCTCTGTGAAACTGTCATACTAATAGTTATGTCTCAGATTCAATTATTTTAAAAATAGAAAATGACTTCACACTGAATTGCCAGTGGTTTCCTGTTTGAAGAAATAATAAAATAGTCCTACTGCAAATGCAGTTTAAGTCCCAGCACTATAATCCACAAGACAACTCTTTTAGATTTTTAAAAACTAATTCATGACAAAAGCTTACACATTTTAATGGTACTGAAACATTGGGTTGACTAAACTGCATTTTATTTGTCTATTTTTATTTTTACCTGCCTTTTATTCTGTTGTCATAGCATGCAGTTTGCCCTGAATCAAAATTTGTTCTATTACTTTAAGATATATTGTAGACAATATACATATGTCCTTACCATGATTCTTCAGTCTACTCAAAAATAATAAATTAAAAGCTAAGATAGTTGGAAATGATCTTCTGATAGAATATAATGGGCCATTTATTGAAAACAAAATTGCCAAACATCTAGTTAGCTTAATTATATCCAGTTGCAGTGATTTATTTGATAAGGACATTAGATATTAGGCGTTGCTATCATAATAGCAAAAGTGGGAGACCTTATTCATTGTCCTCCATCAAACACTGTTCTTTTCATAAGACATATTATTACATTTACAAAACTATAAGTGTTACATGAAAGCCTTATCTATAGGTGACAGCAACTCCAAATCAATCCTACCTTAAATTGTTGGTCACCTAACTCAACACAGTGTAATTTGCAGAAAAAAAAAAATCAGTTGCTGCTATCCCTTTGAAAAGCACCTGAACCAACCCCTTAGAAGAGGACTTCTAAGGAAAAGCTTTGTCTTAACTTCAAGTTTTTTGGTTTTGTTTTATATATGCATAAATATAAATATATAAATATAAATATATGTATATAAATAATTACTGCATAAGCTAAGATGGAAGGGAGGAGGATTTATTTGCCTTTCCATGGCTTTATTTAATTTTCCAAAGTTGATCCTTTGTAGGTTATGTTAATATCACTTCTTAATTTTTTTATTTTTTATTTTTTAGCACAAACACATTTATTTATTAACCAAAGGGATGATCCTAATTAATCTGATACTGAAACAGCTGCATGTAAAATGTTTGTGATAAAGATAATTGAACACAGTAATGAAAAAAAAGAAGCAGTATGGAGATTTGCCCATTGAACTGAGCTTGTTGATTTTCATAGCTATTTCCTGTCCAAAGTGATGATGAAATTTTTATTCTACTTTTTTATAGATCTGAGAACAGGTGACATTGTTCATGACACAGTCTACCATGAATTTCCCATCTTTCAATTTTCTTGTTATTGTGCTTTTCTTCCCATCCCACTCCTGATGCTGAACCAATGATCCATCTGTAAAGTTGTAGAGAGTCTGAGTTTTTTTGCTATGAGCTGTAGTTTCTTCAAACTTCTCTCCCAGGGTACGAGAAAACTGTGCTGTTTTCTAAGTGCTCTGAGTTTTTATGGTGAGGTTTTTGTCATCACAAATGATGATACACTCTGGCTTGGCCATTGTGCCCATTTTTCACAAAGCTATTCCCACTCCTAGTTCCTTCACGTATTCATCAAGGCCTTTGCTGTCCACTAGGCATCATCTTCCATCTGCTGAACAGTGGTCATGGTGGGCATAGGAGGGTGTGTGGAGCAAGCTTAGCAAGGTCGGCATGGGCAGCGCACTGTGAATATCACTTCTTTAAATCAGGATGAAATGCTCTTGATTAAGCAAAAAGAAGTTTCTGTTGTTGAAACAGGATGTGAAAAAATTATTAAATGCAAGATGAGTTGATTGTTTACTGTGTGCCAGGCCCTGTGCTACCTACTAGGAAATAGGTGTAAGCATGAAGATCCTGCTTCAAGAAGCAAAAACTGTAAACTTAGACACCAATGTCGGCTTTCCCCTTAACTCTTTTGAACTCAGTTTTTAAAAAATCTGTAATTTGGGGGATATAAGGTTTTTATAAGGTTTTCTATCATGGTTTAATGAAATGAAAGCACCTGTAAATAATATGAATTTAATAATTTTTTTAAACTGTTTTTTTCTCTTGAGAAGTTGATTATCTGGGGGAGATTGGTGCTGGGGAAAGGACACAAAACCATCTTAAAATTCTTTTTTTTTCTTAATAAGCCAACCAAGTACACCTTATTTCCCAAAGTCTGAAGCCATAAGCAGGTTTTTAAAATACAGGAAGAAATAATCTAAGATTATTTAAGCAAATGGTTTTAAAACTTTAATGTGGAAATTATTCTCCTGGAGAGGCTTGTTAAAATGCAGATTTTGGGGTGGGTGTGCTGGCTCACTCCTGTAATCCCAGCAGTTTGGGAGGCCGAGGTGGGGGGATCACTTGAGCTCAGTAGCTCGAGACCAGCCTGGCTAACATGGTGAAACCTCGTCTCTGCTAAAAATATAAAAATTAGCCAGGTGTGGTGGTTCACGTCTGTAATCCCAGCTACTTGGAAGGCTGAAGCAGGAGAATTGCTTGAACCCAGGGGATAGAGGTTGCAGTGAGCCAAGATCATGCCACTGCACTCCAGCCTGTGCGACAGAGCAAGACTGGGGTGGGCTTGAGAGTCGGCATTTCCATCAAGATCCCAGGTGATGCCCACCCTGCTGGTTCCCAGACCACATTTTGAGTAGCAAGGATCTAAACTATTCTGGCTCCACCACTTACTTATTGTTGTGACCTTGGACAAGATACTTACCCTTCTGTGTCTCAGTTACACCATCTGTAAAATGGCCATAATAATATCTACTTCATAGGGTATTTAATGGGGTAATATGTACAGAGTACTTAGTGTCTGGCATGTGGTAGGCTTCACATGTGTTATATATGTATATGCATATCGTCACCTGAGGTAGGTCACAAGCAATATAAGTAAACTAATGGCTACTGGGCCTAGAAGATGAAGTTATTTGTGATGCTAATCATTATCCTGACAAACATTGGCTTTTTGGATTTTCTTGTAAACCTGATCTAAATAACATTAAAGAAAAACAAGTTCCATTAAAAATATTTTATAGTAGAATGGCCAAGTTTGGAATTCTGCCTATAAACTTCATTAGTTTACATAATCTTGGTTGATGAAAACTCTATGTCATTCAGAAAGAATAGAAAGATCTCATTAGGGGCCTCTGGTGGAAAGCTTTTAACTACAGGCGTCATTTTGTCTGTTTACCTTGAGTCCGTTTCCCTTGAGTCCGTTTCCCTTTCCTTTCTTCCCTTTCTTGCAAGAGGAGAGGTAGCACAAGTTGAACGCCAGCAAGGAAGCACTTTACCCTTGACCCCTGCTGTGTATGATCCTAGTCAATTTCATTCACAGCAAGTGATAAAGGATAAAGTGCCTCACTGTCTTGCTAACCCCAGTTGCCAGTAATTATCTCAGAAAAGGTAGAACCTTTCACCGTGCCTATTAAAAGCCCCCTTTGACCAAAGATATCACCTTTTAGAAAAATATACCTCAGGGAAAAGTCTGCAGTGGATAGAAGATTATCCATGTCTTCAAGAATAATGGCACTGACAGAGACATCAAATCATTTAGTTGGTCAAATCATTTAGTTGGTCAAATCATTTATTTGAGGCAGCACTTTCTAAAATAAGGAGATAATTTCTGGAAAGGACAGGATTGCAGGAGAGGTGGTCATTTGAGAGGAAGAAATGAACACAGATGGATTGCCCCTGCTCTGTAGTAAGGGTTGAACCAGACAAACATCACAAGGCATCCAGCTACTTCGTTTCCAAGCTGAGTCTGAGCAGAACTGAGTTCCTAGTCAGGATGATACCTAACTGTAGCTCTGAAAAGGACCTACAACAGCCCTGGGAAACCTCGTGGAGGAGAGGAGAGATCTGCTTTATTTCTAAGCTTTATTCTTGGCAGTCAGGTGACCTTCTCTGGCTGGAGGAGCGGAGACCTGAGGGCAGAGCCAGGAATTTGAGGTGGCTAGAACAAGTACAGCAGCTTCTAAGTTTATTAAACAATGATCAAAACTCACAAATGCATAATTGGGGGCAAGGGTGGTTACTGAGGAAAAAAGAGATACAGTGTGCCATAACATGTGAGCCTAATCCTGTTTTGGGGTTCTTTGTGAACATTCTGTCTGTGATACAGCCATTCTGTTGGTGGCTTTAGAGGATGACTCTAGAAGATTGTGAGATTTATTCATAACATCTACTTTTATTTAAGCCAGATTATCTCCAAATTTGGATGGGAGTTTGTCTGGTCATTTTTGTGTGATGAAGTGACGTAACTACAGGGTCCTCTAGAGAAGCAGAACCAACAGGATATAGCAAATGAGGGATTGGCTCATGTGATTATGAGGGAGAAATCCTATGATCTGCTGTGTGTAAGCTACAGAACCAGGAATGCCGGTGGTACAGTTCCACTCCAAACCTGAGGCCTGAGAACCAGGAACACTGATGTCTGAGGGTCCAAGTGGAGCACAAATTTGCCATTTTTCCACTTTTTGGCTCTATTCTTGCCCTCCAGGAATTGGATGATGCTCACTCACATGGGTGAGACGGTCTTCTGTCCTCAGTTTACCAATTCAAATGTTAATATCTTCTGGAAACACCCTCACAGACACACCCAGAAAAAATATTTAACAAGATCTCTGAGCATCCTTTAGCCCAGTCAAGTTGACACACACACTATATACATATATTTTTATTTTATTTTATTTTATTTTATTTTATTTTATTTTATTTTATTTTATTTTATTGAGATGGAGTCTCGCTCTGTCGCCAAGCTGGAGTGTTGTGGCATGATCTCGGCTCACTGCAACCTCCGAATTTCTGGTTCAAGCAATTCTCCTGCCTCAGCCTCCTGAGTAGCTGGGATTACAGGCAGGTGCCACCATGCCCAGCTAATTTTTGTATTTTTAGTAGAGACGGGGTTTCAACATGTTGGCCAGGATGGTCTCGATCTCCTAACCTCGTGATCCACCAGCCTCAGCCTCCCAAAGTGCTGGGATTACAGGCGTGAGCCACCGCGCCCGGCCAACACACGATATTAACCATCACAGTCTTCCTGAAGGGGACTCTGAGCTAACCACAATCCGTATCTAGGGCATTGCAGGCCAAGATGTAATATGCATAAGAACCACTTATGGAGACACTTAAGAATGCAGAGCCTCAGGCCCTATACCCCAAATTGTTTTTTGGGGCCTAGGAGCCTGCATGTTAAAGAAGCACACCAGGAGACTGTGATGCAGGCAGTCCAGTGACACATGTGGGAGACACAGTAGGCCCAGAGCAGTAGGAGCTGTGTATGTTCTGCACCTTGAAGCTCACATGTGCTCCAATTCCACTGCTCTTTACGATCTAATTTTAGTAGGAAGATCAGAAGATGGGAACATACTTTTAATTTTATTATTTAACTTAATTATTGAAATTAGCATGTATAATACCATTCTGTAAATGATAATATAAAAATGGAATATGTTTTCTGCCCAGTGAATGACGGCACTGGTGACAGGATAATTAGGAATGTAAGTCGTCAAAAGTTATGCAAACAAATCTGAAGTTAAGGGAAGATTAGTGAATAAATGCTGGTAGCATTTGGGTTACATAAATTCTGTGTTCATTGCAAGGAAATAATACCTCCCACATCTCTTTCTTTTAGGGATTTCCAGACTCTTTCAAAGTTCCATTTACAAGCTAAGTAGCTATCACCACCCTCTTTTCATAAAACGGAAACAGAGCAAAGTAGGCATGCTCATCATGTGGGCTGAATAAAGAAGTTAAAAAAATAAAATGATCTATGATTCCAGATCATACCAAGGAACTGACATCGTAGATTTCATTTATTTCCTTTTCGGAGGATTCTATAGTCACTTAGAACGCAAGATCCACCACTGAACCAAACTCACCTTCCTGATCACCACCCCTCACCAGGATATGCACACCCTTGGAGATATGGAAATGTCCTGAGGAATGCCAGCTTCTTTTGTCTGCATGGATACAAAACAATCCATTCCAGATCTTGGGGATTTCTTTCTTTTCTCAAACTGAGTATCTTAGACTCCCTTGTAAGTGAGCTAAAAATAAATAATAGCATTGACCCAGGCATAAAACTACTCAGAAGATAGAGATAGAAATCAGGATTTGCAGTAAATCCTATAACATTGTATTGATTCTACTTCTGCTTCTGAAGGAAGGAAGATGCTGTGGAATTATTGTCCACATGTATGGATTGTTTGTGTGAAGACCATAAAGTACAAAGTTATTTATCTTATTCTATATATTGGTCAAGAATCCCATTAATCATGGTTAAATAAGCAATTTCCCAGCTGCTGCTCACCCAGGAGCACTCTGAGGCATGAGCACCAGCATGGAGAAGCTGCTCATTCACAAATCAATGCGGGACACTGAAAACCTCTGCCTCTGTGATTTTGTGATGAAGGCTCACAGTTGTCCTGGTCCACAGCATCTTAATGTGAATGGCTTTCTCCAATTGGCCATTATGGCTGCCTCTTATTGTGCCTGTGTTTGAATGGCTTTGGAGGATGACTCTAGAAGATTGTGAGATTTATTCATAACATCTAGCTTTTAATTAAGTCAGATTATCTCCAAATTTGGATGGGAGTTTGTCTAGTCATTTCTGTGTGATGAAGTGACAGAACCACAGACAGAAACTATATGTGTAAACCATTGCTGCACCACTGTGGACCTCCTAAGAGAACGGCAGAGGCCGGGTGCGGTGGCTCACGCCTGTAATCCTAGGACTTTGGGCGGCTGAGGCGGGTGGATCACGAGGTCAGGAGATCGAGACCATCCTGGCTAATACGGTGAAACCCCGTCTCCACTAAAAATACAAAAAATTAGCCGGGCGTGGTGGTGGGCGCCTGTAGTCCCAGCTACTCGGGAGGCTGAGGCAGGAGAATGGCGTGAACCCGGGAGGCGGAGCTTGCAGTGAGCCGAGATAGCGCCACTGCACTCCAGCCTGGGCAACAGAGTGAGACACCGTCTCAACAACAAAAACAACAACAACAACGACAAAAAAGAACGTCAGAGTGCCTTAGCTTAAACGTTTGGAAGTTGAAGCATACATTTGGGGCTGTGATTGTGGCCTTAAGAAAATTATGTATTGTATGAAAATTAAGGACCATCTGTTAAAGCAGAGTTCAGACTTCCCAGAAGGTGGCATAGGGTAGCCTCGCAGATAACTGGAAAGGAAAAGACTCCCTTACCTCTAACCGGCCCAGGGGCAGAAGGTCCAAGGGCAGGGATACTTCAATGTGGGGCACTCACTTTGTCACATCTCCACTGGACACAACTGAGTAGATAAAATTTTGAGCAAGTGACTCTAACATAAGGCAGCTTCAAAGACAACTTCTACCATAACCGTCATCCCTGTAGTCTGTTCATTAAAAGGGATGACAAATATTTTGATCCTCTGCTATCTCCTACCCTCACCAAATGACTGATATACCCTTACCCTCTGTTCTACTCACCATCCCACCCCCTACCCATCTCTCCATAGCTTCTTTCTCTTCTACAATTGCACAGAGATGGAAGAAGAATGAAAAGGGAAAACCTGCACATATAGAAAATCACAAACCTTAGTCTCTAGTTACATTATTAAAAATTGCTACCAAAGGACATTTAGGGAATCTTTTTTTTTTTTTTAAAGATGGAGTCTGGCTCTGTTGCCCAGGCTGGAGTGCAGTGGCACAATCTCGGCTCACTGCAACCTCCGACTCCCAGGTTCAAGCAATTTTCCTGCCTCAGCCTCCTGAGTAGCTGGGGTTACAGGCATGTGCCACCATGCCAGCAATTTTTGTAGTTTTAATACAGGTGTGAGCCACCGTGCCCGGCCCATTTAGGGAATCTAGGTGAAAGATTTACAAATCAACTCTAATTTATTGTCCCCCAGAACTGATTTACTGTCCCCCTCTCTCCAGTCAGCAAACCCAGCAGGCCAGATGGCTGGCATCCCTCTCATTGTACATTTCCTTTGCCTTTTCTTCTGATTTTAGTTTCTCCTGTTGTCCAGGTCAGCAAAACCTTGTTCCTGCCACAGCCACACTCTGGCCTAAGTTGACCAATTGTCCCAGTGTATTCACGATGAAGGGATTCCCAGGACACTGAACTTTCAGTGCTAAAACTGGGTTGAGCTGGTTTCCTGAATTCTAACCCTTACTTGCTGCCCTGGCCAGGCAGCCTCTCCAGTGCCATGACATCCACTTCCACGTGCAAAGAGAATTCAGATAAGCACCAAACAGAAGGGGAGGCACTCATGATGTCAGGGTACTGGGCAAAGTTCCCGCATCTATAAGCCATTACTGACTTCCTTCCTTGCAATCAGAGAAAGACGAAAAGATGCAGGCCATTCCACAGATATCACCAAGTAGATACCCACCTCTACTCCGAGGAAATCTTGTGCAATTATGAGAGGTGACATTCACTGGTGTATTTATCCAGCTATGGTTTGCTTTTTTTTTTTTTTTTTTGAGACGGAGTCTCAAAAAGAGCTCTGAGCTCTTGCTTGTTCTCCAGCATCTGAATCACTTTCCTGCACTGGTGTTGGAGGACTATCCACTTGGGTATATCACAGGCAGAAACTTTCTTGTGAAGCGGTCTATTTGGGCAACTCCAGCTGGGGAACCAGGACTTCTAGAACACTCTTTTTGGCTCCAGCTTTAAAGGATAGGGAGATAGGACATGCAGGACCTCCTTTTGCCCAGGCTGGAGTCCAGTGGCGCGATCTCGGCTCACCGCAAGCTCCGCCTCCTGGGTTCACGCCATTCTCCTGCCTCAGCCTCCTGAGTAGCTGGGACTACAGGCGCCCGCCACCATGCCCAGCTAATTTTTTGTATTTTTAGTACAGATGGGGTTTCACCATATTAGCCAGGATGGTCACGATCTCCTGACCTCGTGATCCGCCTGCCACAGCCTCCCAAAGTGCTGGGATTACAGGCGTGAGCCACTGTGCCCAGCCTAATTTGCTATTCTTCTTGACTAAAGATGACTTTTATCAAAACCACCTGTTGACTTCATTATAAACCCAAGGAGAAGACTGTGAATTTATCCCAAATTGATTGCAGTAATTCAGAGATGACCTCAAATTTTGCCAGGGGGACAAGACCAGCATTCTGAACCATCATACTTGCCTAGGGACAAAAAAATTAATACAATCTCCTTTCACTTTTTATAGTTTGGACATTTTTTTGCCTTGTTCAGTGATAAGCTGTCCAGGTATTTGTCCAGTTTTATATCATTAATCAGTACATATTGCCTATCACTAGAGTCAAAGAAATTATGTAAAGTGCAAACTAGAAAACAACATAGTGCCTTAGCTGGACTGAGCTTGCCACAGCCTGTGGCAGGTTCGTACTGTGTCAGCTGAGCCCATTGGACTACATGTCCTAGATTCCCTTCCCTACATAGTTTTGGGTTTGTCTGGGCCACAAGAGACATTTTGTGGGAAATTTGGAAAGCAGAAGTGAAGCAGCAGACGTATCATTTCAATACAACAGCAGTCCCCAGGGGCTGCTGCAGCCACGTGGGCTGTTACTGATATGCTGCCTCTGTTGCAGTGAGGCAGCTGCCACGTCCAAAGTGAACTCCAGCTCCTTCCCTGCCTCCTCCTTCAGTGTCACTGGCTTCTGGGCCAGGTGATGTTTAGCCCCATGTTGAAAGGCACCAGTTTCAGTGCAAACCACCCACTTCATCAGTGTTGGAGGCTTGTGGGTGATAAGAGACCTCCTTGGGTTCCACTAATCCTCATGGGTTCCAGCTTGGCGGACAAGTTTAAAGCCCGCTGACTGTGTCTGGAGCATCCCAATCCACTCCTGAAGCAGCCACAGTAGTCCTAGATTTGTGTGATGCATTCTTATTCTAGCCCACATCTCGCTTTGTGTTGCCTCCCTGTATATCTTATAAGCTGCCCCAAGACTTCCTCTTTACCATTCTCAAACCCACATTGGCTTGACTCCTTGGCTCTGAGCTCTTGCTTGTTCTCCAGCATCTGAATCACTTTCCTGCACTGGTGTTGGTGGCCTATCCACTTAGGTATATCACAGGCAGAAACTATCTTGTGAAGCGGCCTATTTGGGCAACTCCAGCTGGGGAACCAGGACTTCTGGAACTCTCTTTTTGGCTCCAGCTTTAAATGATAGGGAGATAGGACATGCAGGACACACCAAAACAGCCCAATACAGAGTACACTAAAAAGATCGTGTTAGGTGGGGTGGGAGGAATCACTTGAGCCCAGGAGTTCAAGGCTGTAGTGAGCTATGATTGCACCACTGCACTCTAGCTTGGGCAATGAAGTGAGACTCTGTCTCTTAAAAAAAAAATTGTTGGAGGAAGGAGTAAATGAATGAACTGATTTGCAGGGGCTTGAGAAGTTTGCAGTCTAAGGTCTGTGTGTGTGTGTGTGTGTGTGTGTATGTGTTTGTGTTTGTGTTTTGTCTTACTGTTCATAGGCACTAACTTACAAGTTTGATTGACTGTTCCATCCAGGGAGTCATTCGGGATAACTGTTTATCCTTAACCTGGGCCAATAATAATCTCAGCACAAAAAGGCAGTGCAGAAGGAACCTATCATTGTACACTGTTTTTGCTCACTTTTTCTTTGCCTGGAATAGGGTATGTTGACGGAAAGGGAAGGAGTCCTTTTTCCTTTCCCATCTAACATTTCTCTACTACTACTTTCTCAATGATTTATACTATTTGTTCACTAATAAAGGGCTGCTGAGGGCAACATCTAGAAGCAGATTTCAGAGAAACAGCTCCCACCTGCTCCCTCCAATCCATACTCTAATCACCCGGGCCCCTCCCGTCTCATCGCTCCCCACAGAGCTTTCCAGGGTGGTAGTTACTTATGTTCACTGTCCTTTGGAAGAGACAGAGATTTGCTTTCTAGCAGAAATGGAAAAGTAAAAGTGTTACAGATGCATTGTGGGAAGCAACGGGAGGGAATCACACAACTGAAACGGAATGCATTTATCCCCCTTCTCCAGTGGCCCAGCTGCGGCTCACCTAGTGTCTCCCTGTGGGGGGCAGGCTGCTGTCAAAAAAGCGAAATTGAAAGCCCAGTTAGACTCCCACTTTAGCCTTTTTTAGCTGGCAAGCACGCTTGAAGCAGCTAGGCTGCAACCACAAGGGGTTACCAAAGAAAAGGTTGAAAAATAAAATAGAAAAGATGGCCATCTAGAAAGCCTCCCTAAGAGAGAAGGAAAAATAAATAAATAACCAACTTAATCCCCTTTTATTTTTGTTAACTAGAAAATTGGGAGCTAGAAAATGATCTGTAATTTTTAAATTGCTGGATTTTCCCCAGTAATAATTAACATGAAAAAGTAACACCTGATGGAGCAAAAGTAGTGTTATGTTTTCATTTGTGAACAGTAGTATAATAAGTGGGCTAAAGGGAGTTCAGCTAATTGGCTCATGGTTATAGCTTTAATTTCTTCATCTATTGTCAGGAGAAATCAGCTTTTGAAGTGCGTGGAAAACTATGAAGTTTTTAATATGGATCAATAGGATGTCATAATGGTCTGATTAATAGAGATTGGCAGTGATTTTGGAAATCTGCTTTACATTTCATGTCTCTTACACAGAGAACAGGAAAATTTAACAGATTCCCATCCCCGTGTTTCACAAGTATTTGATTGTATACTGGTATTTTTTAAAATTACGAATTCTAACTTTTAAAACTTGTGTGTTGACGTCATCAGTCTGTCGTAAGTCCTGCTCAGGACCACATTTTCCATGACTACTACAGACTGACCACACCCTTCTCTGAATTTCTTTTTCAGTGAAAGGCGGCATCACCCAGCTTTGCTGTAGTTATTCAGTGCATAAGACTCTTTTCTTAGCTACATTATAAGCTTTCTGAGGACTGGGCCAAGCTTTCTCTCCTTCTGCCACCTCCTGATCCATCAACACAATATCACACATATACTAAGCACTTACTATAAATTTTAAACAGCTATAATCATTACTCATTCTAATTGCACAAAATTCTAGGTTTTTAATCTTTTGTCAGCATTTGAATATATATTATTCATATTTATACTTTATCTTAGCCAAAAGGCCGAGAAGTGATATTATTCATATTTATATACAAATTACAAAGCATTGTAAAAGCTAAATTTCTTTGTTCCAACTCTCTTTTTTCTAATAGAATAGACTGTTTCTCTTGCCTTGATCTAGTAAATCTTGAAACTTTTATATGACATGTGCAAAGGCATTAGGACAGATGCTCAGAAAGTTGCACCAGCATTTCTTGTTTTTGCTTTTCAAAAGGGAGGAAGTTATATTGAATTAAATTTTATTTCTAAATGGTTTGCTGCACCTGAAAATAATTCTTTCCAAATATAAACTTATTATCTGTATTTTAAAAACTGAACTATTCCTACAATAATGTAATGCTATCCTAAAATATGTTGCTTAGAGGTCTGCACATGACTGGTTTGCATGAGGCACTGCATTTTTCCTTTCCTTCAGTAAAGGAATTGTTTTCATAACATGCAAATACACACATATATTCATTTATTCACAAATATTTACTGTGTGTTAGGACACAGGCATTCCTTGCATTTGTATATTAGCCAAGGAAGGGAAAGAGACAGAGGCAAAATAAATCTGGGAGTTTCCAATTCTGCTAGTTTAGAGTCAGTCAACATCTGACGATATTGTTAAATTATTTACAGTCTTGCAGGACTTACGAAACCCCAAAGCTGATTTTCCTGTAATTCAGTAAAAATGTAATTTTATTACCATCACTGTAGTTATAACACATGGAAAAAATTAAGTTGCAATGCATAATGAAAATTTAAGAGTTATGGAAAGGTACATGTAAATCAAGCTTGTCCAACCAGTGGCCCACGGGCTGCATGCAGCCTAGAATGGCTTCGAATGTGACCCAACACAAATTTGTAAGCTTTCTTAAAACATGAAATGTTTTTGAATTTTTTTTTTTTTAGCTCGTCAGCTATGGTTAGTGTTAGTGTATTTTATGTGTGGCCTGAGATAATTCTTCTTCCAATGTAACCCAGGGAAGCCAAAAAATTGGAACCCCTGACATAAATGACGAAATACCCATCTGACACATTGGAAAAGCCAATATGGAGAAAAAGCATAAAATGCAGACTTTTAGGCTAGTGGCTGAGAGACTGACAGCACATCATGGCAGCATGGTGTGTGTGTTTAAATTTGTATACATATGTAACTAACCTGCACAATGTGCACATGTACCCTAAAACTTAAAGTATAATAAAAAAAAAATTTGTTTCAGAAGGGATACATCCACTTACAGTGAGTAGCATTTGGGGCTGCAATTTTTTTTGAGACAGAGTCTTGCCCTTTCGCCCAGCCTGGAGTGCGGTGGTGCGACCTCAGCTCACTGCAACCTCTGCCTCCTGGGTTCAAGCGATTCTCCTGCCTCAGCCTCCTGAGTAGCTGAGACTATAGGCGCCAGCCACCACATCCAGCTAATTTTTGTATTTTTAGTAGAGACGGAGTTTGACCATGTTGGCCAGGCTGGTCTCCATTTCCTGACCTTGTGATCCGCCCACTTCGGCCTCCCAAAGTGCTGAGATTACAGGCGTGAGACACCGCACCTGGCCCTGGGCTGCATATTAAAACATGAATGGTTTAATGTTGGAGTGCTTTTCTCATTCTTTTCTTTTATAAACATAACAGAATTTACCTTTTAACTATTTTAAAGTGGACAATCCTGTGGCATTAAGTATATTCACATTGCTTGCAACTATCACCTCTTCCATCTCCAGAATTTTGTCATCCTGTAAAACAGAACCTCTGTACCTATTAAACACTCACTCTCCATTCTCCCCTTCCCCTAGCCTCTGGCAACCACTACTCTACTCTCTGTCCCAGTAAATTTACTCAGGACCTCATTAAGTGAAATCATGCAGTATTTGTCTTTTTGTGACTGGCTTATTGGACTTAGTATTATGTCCTCAAGCTTCATTTATATCACAGCATGTGTCTCAATTTCCTTCCCTTTTAAGACTAAATAATATTGCATTGTATGTTGTTATGATCTGAATTTTTATCCCCACCCCCCAATTCATATGTTGAAGCCCCAACCCCTCAGTGTGACCGTACTTGGAGGCCAGCCCTTTAGAAGGTAACTGAGGTTAAATGAGGTGCTGAAATAATCTCATGAAACTGGTATCCTTATAAGAAGAGGAAGGGGCATCAGGCCTTCCTCTCTCTGTCTTCACCTGTACAGAGGAAAAGCCATTTGAGGACATGACAGGAAGGTGGGCTCCTACCAGACAGGAAGAGGGGCTCACCAGTCACCAACCCTAACAGCAACTTGATTTTAGATTTCAGGCTCCGTAACTGTGAGAAGATAAATTTCTGTTGTTTAAGCCACCCAGTCTGTGGTATTTTCTTATGGCAGCCCTAGGGAACTGATACATATGTATACACCACACTTGAGTTGCCTCTGTACCTCTTGGCTATTGTGAATAATGCTGCTATTAACATGTGTGTACAAATACCTGAGTCCCTGCTTTCACTTCTTTTGGGTATATACCCAGAACTGGGATGGCTGGATCTCATGGCATTTCTCTGTTTAAGTTTTTGAGGAATCACCATACCTTTTCCTGCAGCAGCTGCACCATTTTACATTTTCACCAGCAACATACAGGGTTCCCATTTCACTTTATTTCTCATTTTTAAAGCATTTAAATATACTTTGGTTACTGTGAAGAACCTGTGGCCACTGGGGAATGATCGTAGACGTGGGACTGTTGACAACATATTCAAACATGTAAAGTTAATTTGCTTTCCTGTAAGCAGTGATGTAACAAATACACAACATTGCTTTTGAAGTGGAAATCTAATTAAGCAGGATCCTCAGTGCTATTTTGTATCAGCATAACTTGATCAAAAATTGGCCAGGTGCAGTGGCTCATGCCTATAATCCCTGCAATTTGGGAGGCCGAGGTGGGAGGATCACTTGAGCCCAGGAGTTCGAGACCACCCTGAGGAACATAGTGAAACCTCATCTCTACAAAAATAAAAAAAATTTAGCTGGGCATGGTGTTGAGGGCCTGTAGTCCCAGCTACTCGGGAAGCTGAGGTGGGAGGATCATTTGAGCCCACGAGATTGAGGCTGCAGTGAGTCGTGATGGCACCACTGCACTCCAGTGTGGATGACAGAGTGAGATCCTCTAAAAAAAAAAAATTATTTCAACATACTGTGGTGATAGGTTAGCTAAGGTTATTCATGTTAAAAATGCTGCCACTCCTTCCCTAGCAGTGTTCTCACCATGTCTATTGAAAACACATTTTCTGATCTTTCCTCTCTGGGTGCTGTGAAGGTATCAGATCAGGTATCATCTCAGCCCACATCCTCTGAATTGAATTATGGTATTTTCGATCATGATGTTATTTGTTTTCAACTCCACATTACACGTAATCATGTAGCTCATACATCAAGTTTAGGAATATATTTCTTCACATAGCCCATGATCTCTAAGTGCCAATACTCTGTGCTAAGTAAGATATCTTAAAATTTTGTTTTAATAGAGCTAGGGTCTCACTATGTTGCCCTGGTTGGTCTTGAACTCCTGGGCTCAAGTGATCCTCCTACCTCAGCCTTCCAAGTCATGGAACTACTGTTCTTGGCTTTAAATTTTTTCTTTATAATTATTTTCAATTTTTATAGATTTAAGAAGCCATTTGAGGAATAATTTTTTTTTTTTTTTTTGAGACAGAGTCTTGCTCTGTCACCCAGGCTGGAGTATAATCGTGTGATCTTGGCTCACTGCAACCTCTGCCTTCTGGGTTCAAGTGATTCTCCTGCCTCAGCCTCCTAAGTATTACAGGTGCACACCACCACGCCCAGCTAATTTTTGTATTTTTTTTAGTAGAGACGGGGTTTCACCATGTTGGCCAGGCTGGTCTCAAACTCCTTACCTCAGGTAATCCACCCACCCTGGCCTCCCAAAGTGCTGGGATTACAGGCATGAGCCACCAAGCCTGCTCAGAATAATTTTTTTTTTTTTTTTGGGATGGAGTTTCGATCTTGTTGCCCGGGCTGGAGTGCAATGGTGCAATCTTGGCTCAACACAACCTCCGCCTCCCAGGTTCAAGCGATTCTCCTGCCTCAGCCTCCCCTGTAGCTGGGATAACAGGCATGTGCCACCATGCCCGGCATGTATTTTTGTATTTTCAGTAGAGACAGGGTTTCTCCATGTTAGTCAGGATGGTCTTGAACTCCCGACCTCAGGTGAACCACCCCACCTTGGCCTCCCAAAGTGCTGGGATTACAGGCGTGAGCCACCGCGTCCAGCCAGAATAATTTTTATAAGCATTAATTAACCCAGAGAAAATTACAAAACCCTAAATGTTGTAATAGTTGTTTTCAGTATGGCATCACCACTCTCTAAATACTTCAATTAATCCCAGATCATGATAAAAGCTTTTAATTACTCTATACTATTCTTTAACTACCTCCTTTTGCACACATCAAAGAATGGGGATTTATATTTCAAATATTTAATACCCATTAGGCATTCTATATGTTCCCTAAGAATTATTTAGAATGATTACATTTTCATTTTTCAGGCTACTTCAGTTGAAAGACAGATTGAAGTAAAATTGGCAAGTGAAAGTCAATATTTAACTGGTACTTCACTTGGACATTTTATTCTAGTTTCAAGCTTTGAGGTAAATAATTGAGTGAGGGAGGGGAACAGGAATCAGCTCTGTTTTGTTCAACAGTTTCCTCAGGATTTTATACAAAGAGAGACATCATGTGGTTATGTTTGCTGAACATATAAACCTAGGAAGAAGAGAGAGTAAAATTCGATGACAATTTGGACTGTAAAAGATGTTACTATTTTAGAATTGGGTCTGAAACTCACAAAGTTATAATTTAATAGGACTAAATATGAAGCTTGCACTTAGAGTTTAAAAATCAACAATCCAAGTAGAGGATAGGTAAGACATTATGCAATAGGTTGGTGTGGAGCGTGGAGCTGACTGCAGACTGGAGATGTGCCCGGAGGTTAGCTCAGTTGCCAACAAAGCTGACACAATAACAGGCTGCATTAACAGAGAGCTGTGTTCCAGAAACAAACGCTGCCCCGATTGGGCCACATGGTAGCATTATTTTTGGTTATGCATGCCACATTTTAAGCCAGATGTTAATAAATTGAAGAGCATCAAGAGGCAGAGTGGTGCAGAGCCTGGGAATGTTGTTACATGAACGCCTGAAAGAAGTGGGGAAGCCTAATTTGCAAAAGAGCCTAAAGTGACCCTTTCCTGGGATCTCATGGGCTATTTCAATGAGACGGGGATTCTTTACCAGAATTCAGAATTCAGACTACTGTGTGACTGTTACAGGAAGGCAGATTTTAGTTCAATGTATGGAAGAATAATTAGACCTGTCCAAAAATAGAATGTGCTTTTGTTACTGGAAATATTTTGTCAGTTGGATGAACACGTGCTGTGAAGGGGAGCCCACATAGAGTGCAAGGTCATACCTGCTGACCTCTGAAGGCTGCACCTATCCAAAGCTCCCTTAGAACATCCTGGAAACCATGTATCTCTGCCAATACTGTGTACAGTATAACTGAATTTAGGGCTGTATTTATGTGATTTTCAAACAACCAACCAGCCATACAAAGTAGATTAACAACGTGTCCACTAATACATCAGGGCATATGTTTATTTCAGCACCGGGATTTTGCCCATGGTCTCTGCTGCAGAAGCAACCAGAAATCACAAGGAGTAGTTTTTGTTTTTTGTTTTTGTTTTTGTTTTTTTGTGACAAAGTCTCCTCTGTCATCCAGGCTGGAGCACAATGGCGCAATCAAAACTCACTGCAGCTTCGACCTCCCAACCTCCTGGACTCAAGTGATCCGCCCACCTCAGCCTCCCAAGTAGCTGGGACTATAGGCGTACACCACTGTGTCGGGCTAATTTTTGTAATTTTGCATTTTTTTTTATTAACAGAGATAAGGTTTTGCCATATTGTCCAGGCTAGTCTCAAACCCCTGGGCCCAAGGGATCTGCCCACCATGGCCTCCCTAAGTGCTAGGATTACAGGCATGAGTCACTAAGCCAAGCCAGTAGAACTCTTAACTAACCCTTATGAGAGCCTCTCAATAGCAACGGAAACATGGGGACATTTGAAGATAAGATTACCTTTCCATGCAAAAGAGCAGCAGCTTGGTGTCCTTTGTTGATTCTAGGAATATATAAATTGCAATTTCAGAGTCCATAATTAGATGCTTTGAAGAATGAGAATGCCAACATTGCTAGTCTTGGTACATTAATTAATAAATGTTAGAAGTTACTTGGCACTTCTTCCCCTTCAGAAACAACAGCAAGAGCATAGGGCAGGGGTCCTCAAACATGATGCATCAGAATCACTTGGAGGGATTGTTAAGACAGATTGCTAAGCCTCATTTTCATGGTTTCTGTTTTAGGAGATATAAGGTGGGCCCTGAGATTTTGCATTTTTAATAAGTTCCCCAATGATGCTTATGCTGTCGGTCAGGGGATCACATTTGCAGAACCATTGGTATAATGAATGAATGAACACTGTATGAGAAGCCATGCTATAATCATGCAAAGTATTTATTTGAGTGGTGTTTGGGAGCCTGTTTGTACCTTCTTGAGAGAACCAATTATTAGCATCTCTTTCCAACTTTGCATTCAGTGACATCACACAATAGTTTGACATTGACCATGTTGGAAATGTTTATACCACAGAAACTGGTAAATGCTAAAACCATAGCTTTTTCTCTTGAGAGCCCAATAAACCACTGCTATAGACTCAAAGCAGAATGAAAATATTGGATGATCGAATGTCTAATACAATGTTTCTCAAATTCACTTCATTCATGGTTTTACTTAATGCTGCTTGAGTCCTGGCTACATAACCACAGCAATATTTTTTCAATTATAATGTGTTAAAAGGGCTTAACAGGAATGGAATTCATGAAATGAAGTGTATTCTTGGATTTAAAAGACAATGCAATATTGTTTTATTTACTAATTATTTAAGAATAGTCAACATCTGATCCACTTTATAAATGTGTATTAAAATTATAACATGAAAATGAACATAGTGATCATTAAATATATGTACAATACTAGTTCATCATCATCTAACATTTACCAGCTGCTTAAAATGGGCGCTGTCATAATTCTTTACATGAATTATCTCAATTTTTTTTTCTTTTGAGACAGAGTCTTATTCTGTTGCCCAGGCTGGAGTGCAGTGGCACGATCTTGGTTCACTGCAACCTCCGCCTCCCGGGTTCAAGTGATTCTCCTGCCTTAGCCTCCTGAGTTGCTGGGATTATAGGCGTGTGCCACCACACCTAATTTTTGCATTTTTAGTAGAGATGGGGTTTCACCATGTTGGTCAGGCTGGTCTCGAACCCCTGACCTCAGGTGATCCACCCGCCTTGGCCTCCTAAAGTGCTGGGATTACAGGCATGAGCCACCATGCCCGACCGAATTATCTCAATTCTTACAAAACTCTGTGATGTAGATATGTTATCCTCCACCTTACAGATAAAATCTGAAGTCACAATAACAGGTATATGAAACTGAGGTATCAATATGTATATGAAAGAGGCTGGCATGTATCAGATGATCTCATAGGTAATGTCCTAGAAACCTCACATGTAGCATTTCTTTTTAAAAATTTTGTACTGTATCTACTTATTTATTTTAGAGAGAGTTCTCAGTATGTTGCCCAGGCTGGACTTGAGCTCCTAGGCTCAAGAAATCCTCCCACCCCAGCCTCCCAAGTAGCTGGGACTACAGGCGCATGCCACTGTGCCAGGTGAAATATACCATTTCTTAAAGACATTTTACTGATAACTACATTGTTATTATGTAATTACCATATTCTTTTTTTTCCCACACACAACATATAGGTCATTTATTTTCCTTCTAGTCCTGGATTCAGTGCATAGATGGCTTCTCTTCACCCTTCGGGTTGACAATTTTCTCCAGGTTGCTGCTGCTGATATGTTAAACCTCAGCGTAGAAGGCCCCGAAGTCCAGCACCATGGCCCTGAGCTCCCCATAGGCTGCCTCATCTCGCTGGTGCACCAAGACCCAGTAGTCCATTACATGAGTCTCCTTGGAGGCCTTGGCCACAGCATCCCGACGTTCTGAGAAGTACTTGGAAATGGTTGTCTGGAAAGCTTCCACTTTGCTTTTGACGGCATTCACCCTCTCCAGCACCTTCTCCTGGATTGCTACCCCAAAATCATCCATCTTCAATCTTGAGGATCAGGTGCTGGATCCCTGTGATCACTAGAATGCATTTCTCTTTGAGACTACAGACTCCTGGCTTAACCAGGGCAAGCAGGAACAGGACCTTCTCATTCCTAGGGAGAAATCCACTCTTAGGGACTTCTTTCATCTCCTGCTTATCTGTTTCCATCTCATCATCCTTGGGTGGAGGGCCTGGGATGAGATGTCCAGTGGGGCCCGGAGGGAAGTCAGGTCAGCCACATTGAGGCAGTACCTTGCAAGAGCTGATTCAAGTATATGATTTTCTGTGGCAAGAATCTGTAGAGGAATTCCTCAGCCTCCTGGAAAAGATTCTGCCTGAAGATCTCCACCTGTTTACAGGCCTCCCGTCTCAGGCGCACCCCACACGGCTTGGCCATATGCTGCTTCAGTTGCTAGATCTCTGGCCTCCTAATTACCGTATGCTTCAATATATTTTAAATACATTTTAGAAGAAAATACTGCCGGCATCAAAACTTTCACAGGACAATATTAGAACAACACTGGCATTCTAGGGAAAACAATGTTAAACATTGGCTTAATGGCCATAAACTGTAATAACTTGACCAATCCTAACCCTTCTCTTTTGAGCTTTGCCTCTCAAAGGGAGGACCCTCAGCCCTCGTTTGTGGTGGGTGAACATTATCAATGCTTGCCACTTTGACTCCCTGATTTCTATGCTTCCCTGAGGTTGTCCTACCTGTGTTTGACATGTTTTAAATTTACATATTATTAGTAAGTTATTGGCAATCTATGATTGCTCTGACTTTAAAACCTCTGTCTTTAAGTTTCTTTTGTATCTCTTTGATACAACCAAGATGCATCCTGGGGATTACTATCTGTCACCACTTAGTATCATCTTCAATTCAGCTTCTTCATGTTCAGCATTTTGCTCAAAGCCGTAATATGACCAAAAATGAGTATTAGGTTGAATGAAAACCTTGGAAACTTGGCTGTCAGCATGTACAACATATCCTGTAGGGAGTGTAATCTCACTTTAAAAGGGATCCAACTGTGAGCAATTAGCTATAGAAAGCTGGGGGGCAGGTTTCAGGGATGAGTAACAAGATGAACTTTGCATTGCATTGGCAGGGTGTGGTACATTTTCCCACAGGTTAAAGCCACTAGCTTTTCATCTCGCGTAAACATGGTTGCTTAAGATGGTTTCACTTTGGACTTCTGAATGACCCTTCTATACTGCTTCTGTCTGACTCTTCAGCCAGTTATGTACACTAAAAACCTCTCCCTCTCTAACAAATATTGCAACAAGTTTTCCAAATCTTAATGAGCCACAGTTATAATTATCCACCAGCTTTAAGTATTGTAGAATTTCACAAGTTTGTAAACTTCAGACCAACACTGTTCAACGGAAACATAATTCGAGCCACATACATAATTGAACATTTTCTGGCAGCCACATTAAAAAATTAAAAGAGGGTCAGGCGCGGTGGCTCACGCCTGTAACCCCAGCCTTTGGGAGGCCAAGGCAGGTGGATCACTTGAAGTGAGAAGTTCAAGACCAGCCTGGCCAACATGGCGAAACTCTGTCTCTACTAAAAATACAAAGATTAGCTGGGCGTGGTGGCACACACCCATAGACCCAGCTACTCAGGAGGCTAAGGCAAGAGAATCACTCGAACCTGGGAAATGGAGGTTACAGTGAGCCGAGATTGCACCACTGCCCTCCAGCCTGGGCAACAGAGTGAAACTCCCTCTTAAAAAAAAATTAAAACAGGTACAAATAACTTTAATAATATACTTTGTTTAATCCAATAAATCCAAAGTTATTTCAATATGAAATCAATATTGAAAGTTATTAACAAAATGTTTACATTTTTTCTTTTGTACTAAGTATGTGAACTCTGGGTGTGTACTTTTGACTTATAGCACTTCTCAGTTTGGGCTAGCCACAATAACACATGTGGCTAGTGGCTGCTCCATCGGAAAGTACAGCTGGAGACTTGTTAGAACTCAGATTAATGTTATCTGGGAGCATCCATATATCCAAACACCCTAGTTGATGGTTTTTTGTTGTTGTTATTATTGTTTTGTTTTGAGATGGAGTTTCGCTCTTGCTGCCCAGGCTGCGGTGCAATGGCGTGATCTCGGCTCACTGCAACTTCTGCCTCCCAGGTTTAAGCAATTATCCTGCCCCAGCCTACTGAGTAGCTGGGATTACAGACACTCACCACCATGCCCGGCTAATTTTTGTATTTTTAGTAGAGATGGGGTTTCACCATGTTGGCCAGGCTGGTTGATTTTTTTTTTTTTTTTTTTTGAGGCGGAGTCTCACTCTGTCACCCAGGCTGGAGTGCAATGGCGCGATCTCGGCTCACTGCAACCTGGGTTCAAGGGATTCTTCTGCCTCAGCCTCTTGAGCAGCTGGGATTACAGGCTTGCGCTACCATGCCCAGCTAATTTTTGTATTTTTAGTAGAGATGGGGTTTCACCATGTTGGTCAGGCTGATGTCGAACTCCTGACCTCATGATCCGCTTGCCTCGACCTCCCAAAGTGCTGGGATTACAGGTGTGAGCCACCGTGTCTGGCCGATGGTTTTTTAAAACTAAGTTTCTGGAAGAAGGTATTAATTAAACAGCCTGGGCAACAAGAGCAAAACTCCATCTCAAACAAACAAACAAAACCACTCTTGACCTGGTAGCTTTAATACCAGGTCATATAACTAATAGGATGAATAATAATGAATTAATTATGGTAAAAAAAACAGCTTGACACTTACTGTGTATTAATCAAAGTGAGTAAATGTATTGAAATTGTGACCCAGTGCAAAAATAGAACAACCATGTTAGGTGCCAGAATTCCCATTATTATTTATAATCAGGTAAAGTCTACCCAGGCTAGGAATCTAGGAACTCATAGAATGGCTCTTGATTATTTTAACATTTAACAAAAAACTAATGAATACATCATGTCTGTAATCCCAGCACTTTGGGAGGTCAAGGCAGGCAGATTACCTGAAGTCAAGAGTTCGAGACAAGCCTGGCCAACATGGCAAAACCCCGTCTCTACTAAAAATACAAAAATTAGTAGGGCGTGGTGTCATGGGCCTGTAATCACAGCTACTCAGGAGGCTGACACAGGAGAATTGCTTGAACCTGGGAGGTGGAGGTTGCAGTGAGCTGAGATCGCACCACTGCACTCCAGCCTGGGCAAAAGAGTGAGAATCCATCTCAAAAAAAAAAAAAAAAAAAGAGCACAGAGTAGCTTCAGACAATCTCTAATTCCTCTTCAAAATGGACTCAGCTTGGCCTGGGCAACATGGCAAAACCCTGTCTCTACCAAAAATACAACAAAAAATTAGCCAGGTGTGTTGGCACACACCTGTGGTCCCAGCTACTTGGGAGGCAGAGGTGGAAGGATCACTTGAACCCGGGAGGTAGAGGTTGCAGTAATCCAGGATTGCGCCACTGTGCTCCAGCCTGGGTAACAGTGAGACCCCAACTCAAAAAATAAAACAAAACAACAACAAAAAAAACCCAAAATGGACTCAGCTGGTGATGACTCGTCAAAAGTCTGTGAATCAGTCTAAGTTCCTTTTCTGTGTCCAACATTTTCTTATCTGGTCGAGGTTAGAATGTTCTTGTCCCTATCAGCATTCACAGAGCATTCTTATTTTTGCCTTTTAAGTCCTGGGGAATGGTAGTTTGAGCTACCATTCTGACCCTGTTAGCTGAATGGTTAGCATTTCTAGTAGCTGTGTTCTCTTTAAAGAGGAGTATTTTTCTGTCTACCTTGATAATGGGAAGGAGGTTTAAAGCTCTCTTTTGTGGAAGAAAAAATGTCTTTCTTTTTTAGAGTGAAATGAAATCTGATCTCTTTCATCTCTTTGGCACCATGACACTTCCTGTGTAAAATCATTCTCACAAGGGTAGTTGAGGTCATTGAATTTAATTATCTGAGGCGCCGTACTGTACAGCCTACAATAGCATTAGCATAGTAGAAGATACAGACATGAGGGAAGGTGATGGAAATAACAGAAGTGGTTAGAAGGTACATAGTATGGTGATAATAGCTATCATCAGGCATCTATTATGTGTCCGGTATAGGACTAGACATGCCTCACATATGCTACATACAATACCTTACTTAATTCTTACAACAAATATATGAGGTTGTTAGATGTGGTTTTATTTTTCAGATAAAGAAACTGAGCCTGAGAGATGGTATTTTGAAGAAGGTTATGAGCCTATTATGAAATAGGGTTCAGCTGGAGTATGGCCCATTCTCTTTTCTACACATCATGCTGTCTCCCAATAAAGCAAAACAAATGAAAAAGGAAATGATGTGCTGTAAACCAATTGCGAACCACAAGAAACACTGAATGAAAGGTCACAGGGCGAATTACACAGAGAGTGGTATAAACTTGGCAGGGAGATATAAAATGTTTTATCATTTCCCTGTATAGCAGAGAGGGGAGGAAAAAATGAAAGGAATAGCAAAAACAATGCTTTCCTGAGGTGATCATAAATGTGCTTTCATAGAAAATGACGTTTTAGAGGAACAGTGGAAATTGAAGAAGCAGGAAGGACTGAATATATGGAAGTGATAGACAAGAATGATTAGGAGACCAGAGAGAGAGAAAAAAGTAATTCAGGTAGCCATCATAGCACTGCCTTTCAAACTTTTCTGACTGCAGTCCACAGTAAGAAATACATTTCACATAGGGACCCAGTTAACAACACTGCGTGTGTGTGTGTGTGTGTGTGTGTGTGTGCAGTGATATGTATCATTAAAACAAAGATGCAAAAGCAATTTAGTGAAAAGTGATAGTCTTTTACAAATGGTGCCAAAATAACTGGATATCCATATACAAAAACAATTGAACTTCATATCTCTTCTTATATACAAAAATGGACTTGAAATGGGTCATGGACCTATATGTATAAACCTAAAACTATAAAACTTCTAAAAGAAAACATAGGAGAAAAACTTTGTGATCTTAGATTAGACAAAGATTATTTAGGCTGGGCACAGTAGCTCATGCTTGAGGCCAGGAGTTGAGACCAACCTGGGCAACATAATGAGATCCCATCTCTACAAAAAATAATTTTTTTAACAAAATAATTTTTAGGTGTAACACCTATGGTATGATCCATTAAAGAATAAATTAATAAAGTAAACTTTATCAAAATTAAAAACTTCTGCTCTTCACAAGACACTTTAAAAAATGAAACTACAAGCACAGATTAGAAGAAAATATTTGCAAGGTACATATCTGATAAAGGACTTGTATTCAGAGCATATAAAATACTCTTGGTCTAATATCCAGCATCCATAAGGAACAGAAACAAATTTACAGGAAAATAACAAACAACCCCATTAAAAAGTGGGCAAGTGATAAGGATACTTTTCTAAAGAAGACATACATGTGGCCAAGAAGCATATGAAAAAAAAAGCTCAATATCACTGATCATTAGAGAAATGCAAATCAAAACCACAAAAACACCAGTCAGGATGGCTATTATTAAAAAGTCAAAAAATAACAGATGCTGGCGAGGATGCAGAGCAAAGGGAACACTTGTTGGAGTGTAAATTAGTTCAACCATTGTGGAAAGCAGGGTGGCGCTTCCTCAAAGAGCTAAAAACAGAACTGCCATTTAATGCAGCAATCCCATTACTGGGTATAAAACCAGTGGAATGTAAATTAGTGTATCATAAAGACACGTGCACACAAATGTTCATTGCAGCACTACTCACAATAGCAAAGACATTGAATCAAACTAAATGCCCATTAATGATAGATTGAATAAAGAAAACATGGTACATATACGACATGGAATACTATGCAGCCATAAGAAAGAGTGAGATCCTGTCTTTTGTGGGAACATGGATAGAACTGGAGGCCATTAGCCTTAGCAAACTAATGCAGGAATAGAAAACCAAATACTGCATGTTCTCACTTATAAGTGGGAGCTAAATGATGAGAACTCACAGACACAAAGAAGAGAACAATAGCCTACTTGAGGGTAGAGGATGGGAGGAGGGAGAGGAGCAGAAAAAGTAACTATTGGGTACTAGGCTTAGTACCTGGGTGACAATCTGTACAACAAACCCCCATGACATGAGTTTACCTATATAACAAACTTGCACATGTACCCCCAAACCTAAAATAAAAGTTTTTTAAAAAGCTCAACTCTCTCAATAAGAAGACGAGGCAATTAAGAAATGGGCAAAAGATTTGAACACTTTACTAAAGAAAATATATGGATAGCAAATAAGCAAAAGGTCCTCTACATGATTAGTCATTAGAGATTGCAAATTAAAACTGCAATGAGGTATCACTACATACCTATTAGAATGCACCAATTAAGAAGACCAAGTGTTGGCAAAGATGTGGAGAAAATAGAACTCTCATATACTGCTAGTGGGAATGCAAAAATGACACAACTACTGTTGAAGCAATTTGGAAGTTCCTTTACAAATTAATACATCTACCATATGATCCAGCCATTCCACTTCTAGTTATTTACCCAAGATAAATGAAAACAAATGTCCATAAAAAGATTAATACACAAATGTTCATAGCAGCTTTATACAGCCCCAAATTGAAAAGAACCCCAAAGTCCATCAATAGGTAAATGTTACATATCTGTACAATAGAATATTACTCAGCAATAAAAAGGAATAAACTATTGCTACATGTTACAATTTGGATGATCTCAAAATAATTATGCTTAGTGTAGGGAGCCAGACAAGCCAGGCACCGGTGGCTCACACCTGTAATCCCAGCACTTTGGGTTGGGTGGATCACTTGAGGTCAGGAGTTTGAGACCAGCTTGGCCAATATGGTGAGGCCCCATCTCTACTAAAAATACAAAAACTAGCCGGGCGTGGTGGCGTGTGCCTGTAATCTCAGATACTAGGGAGGCTGAGGCAGGAGAATACTTGAATCCAGGAGGCAGAGGTTGCAGTGAGCGGAGATTGCACCAGTGCACTCCAGCCTGGGCAACAGAGCAAGACTCCCTCTCAAAAAAAAAAAAAAAAAAGAAGAAGAAGAAGCCAGACAAAAGAGAGTGCATACTGTATGATTCGATGCCATTTAGATCAAATTCTGGGAACCGCAAACTAATCTATAGTAACAGAAAGCAGAAAAGTGATTGCCTGGGTATGGGAAAAATGACAGATAAGTTCTTGATCTTAACTACAGTGAGAATCCATGGATAGAGCTGTTTGATTTCGCAAATAAAAACATAGAGTGGCCAGTTAAATTTGAATTTCAGATGAATAAATTTTTTTAGTATGAATATGTACCATGCAAATGTTTGGGACATACTTATACTAAAAATGTTTCATTGTTTATCTGAAATCCGAATTTAACTGGGCATTCTGTACTTTAAATCTGACAACCCTGTTCATGTGTGTACATATATGTAAAAATGTACAGATGTATGCTTCAAATATGTGCAATTTATTGTATGTCAATTACATCTCAATAAAGCTGGTTTAAAAAAAAAAGAAAGAAATTGAAGTTAACCAAGGAAGATGAAATGACTTTCCCAAGTTCTCTATGCCAGTGGCAGCAAGGTCAAAACCAAAATCTTAATTGCCATTTTTCCCTGTTCAAGTGCTCTTTCTATTATACCAAGTAGGTTCTTAAAAAAAAATGTTTATTTACAGAGATGGGAAAATAAATCCTTAAAGTAAGAATATTCAGATAAAGAAATTTAATTTGTAAATCTTTACTGTCATGTGGCTTTACCCACCTAATATTTCACCTGTTTATAAATCCATTTTACAAGCTAAGTGCTGCAGCATAGTGAAATCCATTTCTGGAATGAATAAGGAGTCACTTTATTTCAGTCTTCTTAATGATCAGGAAGCACAGCCAGTTCCCTGGGTGTCTTAAGTAGAGAAGGGCAAAGGTTTTACAAAGAGATACCAAAAAATGTAAAGATTCTGTTGATTACAGCTTACTTGCTTTACACCATTAAATATTTCTCAATAATCCAGATAGCAGGTTTACATGTTTTTCTTACAGCATACTTTGAGCTATTTTCCCTTTATTATATATTTACAAGGTTGAGAAATACCACTTACTGGTCTAAATTACCCTGGCCTAAATTGAAGTCACTTACTGCCATCTAGAAATAGACAAGCCCTTCCTAATGTACTGTTTATCTAGGGAATTGCCACATTTCATCCAGGCTAAAAGTGTCATTTTCATAAATTACATTTAACTTGTCTATAATTGTGATACTCTTTGCTATCAATGCCTACATTTAAAGTGGTAAATTTCTTTTCTCTTTTTGAAGCAAAACTACTATTAAGTCAATGGGTTTTTTTGGGTTTTTTTTTGTTGTTTTTTTTTTTGAGGCAGGGTCTCACTCTGTCTCCCAGCTAGAGTGCAGTGGCACGATCTTGGCTCACTGCAGCCTCAACCTCCTGACCTCCTGGGCTCAAGCAATCCTCCAGCCTCAACCTCTCAAGTAGCTGGGACCACAGGTGTGTGCCACCATGCCCAGTTAATTAAAAAAAATTTTTTTTGTAGAGACAGGGGCTCACTATGTTTCTCAGGCTGGTCTTGAACTCCTGGACTCAAGTGATCCTCCTGTCTTGGCCTTCCAAAGTAGTCATGAGCCACCACGCCTGGCCTCAATGGTACATACGTTTTACAAGCCATATTGTTATAGAGTGGAGGATTGAGAGCACTATTTCCACCCAGTCCAGTGTCGGTTGTGCTCTGTGGATTACATCATAATTACCATCATTACTCAGAGCAATAAAAGAGCTATGCATACCTCTCAGCTCTTTCCAGTGTGGGTAAAACCGGCGCGATTCTTACCTAATGTTATTTCCAATCTATCTGTATAATTTAGTGTCTTCCCCACTTTTCTATTTTTTATTGTGCTGGCAAATCTGTTTTATATTCACATCTTCTCACTGGTCATTTATACAACTCTAATAATAAGAAAACCAATTAACACAAAGGCAGAAATGATATGGGGCCAAATTGACACTGGCAATGTAGAGTCAAGCAAGACTCTCCACTGGGACCTGTTATTGTACAAATAAAAAGTACGTTCTTTTATGAATCTACAAAATAGTCCACTTAAATGAAATACTTATTTTTGCAGTTATGTAATCAATTAATTAAGTCTAATAAATAGAGAAGCTTCATTCATATCTAAAATATGCAAGAAGGAGATGTAAGATAAAAGACAAATATGAAAACTGCTGTAGAACAGGATTTAGTAAACCATGGCTCATGTGCCAAATCTGGCTTGCCACCTTTTTTTATACAGCTAAAAGTGGGCTTTCACTTTGTAAGTGGTTGAAAAAAGTTAAAAGAAAAATATTTACCAACCCATAAAAACTATATAAAATTCTAATTTCAGTGCCCATAAATTCTGTTTTATTAGAACACAGCCACACTTACTGGTTTACGTATTGTCCACTGCAGTGACAGGGTTGAGGAGTTGTGATAGAGATTGTATGTATGACCTGCAAGCCTAAAACATTTACTATCTGACCTTTAAAAAAAAATGTGCTGACCTCTGCTCTAGATCAAAGAGTTTGATTATGGAGGCCAGGCACAGTGGCTCATGTCAGTAATCCCAGCACTTTGGGAGGCCGATGTGGGAGGATCACTTGAGGCCAGGGGTTTGACACCAGCCTGGGCAACATAGTAAGACCCTCATATCTACCAAAAAAATTTTAAAAATTAGCCGAGTGTGGAGGCCCATGCGTGTAATCACAGCTACTTAGGAGGCTGAGGTGGGGGAATTATTTGGGCCCAGGAGTTCAAGGCTGCAGTGAGTCAGGATTGTGCCACTGCACTCCAGCCAGGGCAACAGAGTGAGACCCTGTCTCTAAACAATAACAACAACAACTAAAGAGCTTGAATATGGAGGAATACCAATAATTGCCCTCTCCCTTGCCTTTTGTGAGGATAGTTTCTGAATGAGCCCCTGGCTTGCCTTCATTTCTTTGCATTGCTTTAGTATAAACCCATATCCTTGGCTGGGTCCGGTGGCTTACACCTGTAATCCCACCACTTTTGAGGTGGGCAGATCACCTGAGGTCAGGAGTTTGAGACCAGCCTGACCAACACAGTGAAACCCTGTCTCTATTAAAATTACAAAATTAGCTGGGTGTGGTGGCGCATGCCTGTAATCCCAGCTACTTCAGAGGCTGAGGCAGGAGAATCGCTGGAACCCAGGAGGCAGAGGTTGCAGTGAGCTAAGATTGTGCCATTGTACTCCAGCCTGGGCAACAAGAGCGAAGCTTCATCTCAAAAAAAAAAAAAAAAGCCATATTCACAAGTATGATAGTACGAACACCAAACTAATTATGATTTAGCTAGCAACAGAGACCAAAGAGGAGAAAAGAAGTAACTTCAAATAATTTCATGTGGTCTTAAAAGTAAATTGCACAGCAGCAGTAAAAAGTTGCATTGTAGCTGTGTGTTTGTGTGTGTGTGTTTTCTCTGAGGAATGTTTTCCTTTTTGCTTTGTAGCTGACTACCCAGAGGCCAGCACACTCTTCTCCCTTTCCAGAGAGCTTCCATTTTATTTGGGTGTCTACCCTGACCTCACATGACTCAGGATTAAATTCTGAATCATCCAAGCCAGTCATCGAAATTCCAGTTCCCTTGCCAGCTCTTGGTTTTAGGAAGAGACGAATGACTCAATCCTGGTGAATAAAATGAGAGAGGAATTTATCTGAGGTTTTCTAGGAAGGGCTTCCCTGCTGATTAAACATACACACACCCTCTTGAACATCATTGTATCTGCCTATGATAACTGAAACCGTGACAGCCTCCTTGGGACCTCAAGGGGAACTGGCCAGGGGTAAGGAGAGGATGCAGTGCACACAGATGGAAAAGCCTGTGATTCCGAAGACATCATTGAGCTACTGAAGAAAGCAACCCTGGATTCCTCCTGCCTCAGAAGATCTTATTATGGGACATAATTTTCCTTAATTGTTTAATCAATTTTGCAATGGATTTCCTATTACTTGCAGCACTCAAATGGATTTTTATTAGTTCTATATACACAAATCTTACTAATTTTTTTCATGAAATATCTAGAGACTATCTATGTGAATGGTGAGCATTTCTTATAATAAAACTGACTATACCATGCACATTTATGCTAGGAAAATTGCAAGCCAAAATAAAGAAAATGTAATTTATTTGTTATCTACTTAGATTTTCCTTTCAGGAGAGATGAATATGTGGATTCACCTGGTTGCAAAATTTTGTCAAGATGGGTCAGTTTTACTTTTCAACTAAAAGTCCAAGGATGTTTACAAAATTTTTGATTCTGCCTTCTTTCTCTACTTGACAGGAAAACTACAGAATTTTATATTTTTGATTACATCAGCAAATTTAATGAGCAAGCAGTCTTCTTTCAGCAAATATTACTATGCATTTGCTTGGTGCATTGCACTGTCCAGAATGCTAAAGAGGTTCCAAAGCAAACGAGACGTCGTGCGAGTCTCTAATAGGGACGAAAAACGGGTTAACTGTCAAGCAAAGAGACAAGACACATAGTCACGAAACGGCTAGGAAACCTCAGCACACAAATGAAACAGATCAAATTGTACTTTAAAGTTTCAGTGAATAATAATGTCTGCCATGAAGAACAGAAAATGTTTTCTCTTTTTTTTTTTTTTTTTTTTTTTGAGATGGAGTCTCACTCTGTTGCCAGGCTGGAGTGCGGTGGTGCAATCTCAGCTCACTGCAACCTCCGTCTCCCGGGTTCAAGCGATTCTCCTGCCTCAGCCTCCTGAGTAGCTGGGACTACAGGCACACGCCACCACGCCCAGCTAATTTTTGTATTTTTAGTAGAGACAGGGTTTCACTATGTTGGCCAGGATGGTCTTGATCTGTTGACCTTGTGATCCACCTGCCTCGGCCTCCCAAAGTGCTGGAATTACAGGCCTGAGCCACCATGTCCAGCTCAGAAAATATTTTCTAAAGGAGGTGAGCATGGTCTTTAGATTGTATGGGAGGCCAGAAAAACAGAGGCCATGTCATAATGACCTTTGTTCACACTGAGCCAGTATTGGGCATGTGGTAAGGTGCCAAATATATTATTTAAGCCATCAGTTAAGCTGTGCATAAGTGTCAGGTGAATTCTCTAATTCTTTGTGACTGAATTCCAATTTATAATTTGAGGCATAATTATATCAGTTACCTAGTTGACACAATAATCCCACGAGTTTATTATTGGAAGCAGTTTAATTAGTAACCACTGCCCCTGCTTTCAGGTTGTCCACAGGAAAGTTTGACTACAAAAAAACAAAAAGAATAATAACAAAGTCCAGGCACGGGACTCATGCCTGTAATCCCAGCACTTTGGGTGTCCAGAGTAGGAGGATCACTTGGGGCCAGGAATTCAAGATCAGTCTGGGCAACACAGCAAGACTTTGTCTTTATTAAAAAGAAAAATGAAAAAAATGAGAAAGTTTATCATTTAAGAATAGAACTAAGGTATGTAGCAAGGATGCTTTAGCCTGCTGTTTATTTGGCTCATTCAGAAATTTGACAAACCTAGCCTTTCAGTTCTTTCAGTGGTTAGGCCCATTGCATAATTGTACCAACTGAATTGAAATGCAGCATTTAAAAATTTTCCGGGCCATGAGTTCATTCTGTGGTAAATGTCAGAATTGGAGAGCCTTATTCACATTAGCAGTTGTAGTAATTAATCTCTAGCAGTATCTCCTTTTTTCTTCCCCCTATGTGCACATGTCAGACGTGCCCATTAGAGTTCATTTCATAGGTTCGAATCCCACCATCGCTCTCTGACCTTTACCTTGGCTTGATTCCCCTGACAAGCCCAGCTGTTCTGCACTGCACATCTTCAAGGGGCAAATTATGACTCTAGTGTCAACAGATTATCAAATATACCTATTGAAACACTCATTTCCAAGGTCTACTTGATTCCTTTTGATTTATTTATTTGGTGGGTTTCCATCTGGTCACTGAAATAGAGGATTGACCTCATGAGGCAATATTATAAAATGAAATAATGTAACTGTGAGCTCTCATCCTTCTACCTCTAAGTATTAAAAATAAATGTAGTGAAAAGCAATTCTTCCTCTGACCTTACACTTAAGTATCTTAACATAAATTCCAGAATAGGAGGGTTTTAAGGCAGTTCTGGAAATTAAGTTGCTAGTTGGAAATTTAAAGAAGTGCTTGCCTCTCACCCAATATGACTTTATATATCTTCAGTCTTTTAATGGAACTCTTTAATTCATGTATTCAATCAACAATTCACTTACTTATTCAACATCCATTTCTTCTGTGGATCTCCCACATTCAAAGCACAGTGCTGGCCATTAAGAATTAACAGAGATAAATAAGATACAACTCTTCTCCAAGAGCTTACAAATGAGGAAGATCCAGTAAATTTGATATAGAAAAGAAGAAGTGAAATTCAATGAAGCTACCATCTACATCGTGCTGAGTGTTTAATTTTGACTTGAAGGGATTAGATAGGTTCTCCATAGAAGGAAGCATTTACAATAAGCCTCATAGTGTTCGGTTTAACAATGAGAAAAGGTTAAGGAAGGTATTATGGTCAGATTAGGAAGACATTATTCTTCAATCCTGAGAAATCTGAATGGACACAAATTCCCAAGTGCTGGAGAAAATTATTTCATGTTATTTCATGTTTTTAAGGAAAGGAAGTGTTTAATGTTGTCTGAGTTTTAAATCACTCTTGGCAGCTGTGTAGAAGATGGATTAGAAAGGAGAGAAACTAGAGCCAAGACTAGTTAAGGAGGCTGTGGTGATAATCCAGATGATGAAGAATTGTTTATTTCTAGCACCTGCCTCTCAAAGAATGCCAGTTTCATAAAGGCAGCGGCCTTTGTTTTTTTCACTGCTATATTCCAAGCACTCAGAAGAGTGCCTGACATGTAGTAGCTGTTCATAAGTACGTGTTGAATAAATGAATAAATCAGTGAAAGAATAAATGAACGAACTAAATGAGACAATGAAACTGCAGAGAATCCCAGTAATAGCATGAAAATAGAAATTTAAAAAAAAACTGCACAGAAGAGGTCAGAAAGACACATTTGCTTCAGGGATGGAATTTTCCCTTTCTCTATTAACACACATTGTAGTTGGGTTCTTTTTTTTCTTTTTTTTCTTCTTTTTTTTAGAGACAGGATCTCACT
Organism: Homo sapiens; assembly: GCF_000001405.40. Lineage (NCBI taxonomy): Eukaryota > Metazoa > Chordata > Mammalia > Primates > Hominidae > Homo > Homo sapiens. The sequence goes on along the minus strand of NC_000004.12, from coordinate 158,993,350 downwards.
CTGTTGCCCAGGCTGGAGTGCAGTGGCATGATCATAGCTCACTGCTACCTCAAACTTCTGGGCTCAAATGAGCCTCCTGCCTCAGCCTCCTGAGGAGCTGGGACTACCCGGGCATGCCATGGGCGGCTGGCTAATTAAAAAAATTTTTTTTTTGTAGAGACAGGGTCTTACTATGTTGCCGAGGCTGGTCTCAGACTCCTACACTCCAGTGATCCTCCCTTCTTAGCCTTCCATGGTGCCTGACACACCATGCCCAGCCCTTTTTTCAAGTGTTGGCAGAAGATGAAGTTTGTTGGACTGACTGGACACACACACACACAGAAACACACATACTTGGGTTGCAAAGCATGTGCACTTTTCATCACACCTTCTAAAACTAAGAGCTTTTGACTCAGCTTGTGCTATGGTTTAAGTGTGCCCACCTCCCCAAATTCAGGTGTTGAAATTTAACGGCCAATGTGCTAGGAGTAAGAGGCGGGGCCTTTAAGAGATGATTAGGCCATGAGGGCTCCTCCCTCATGAATGAGATTAAAGCCTTTATAAAGAAGGCTTCACAGCACCTCCAGCTTGCTTGTCCTTCCACCTGCTGCCCTGTTGGGACCTGGTGTTCCTCCCCTCCAGAAGATGCAGCAACAAGGCACCATCTTAGAAGCAGAGAGCGGCCTTCATCACACAACCTGCCAGCACCTTGATCTTGGACTCCCAGCCTTCATAACTGTATGAAAACAAATTTCTGTTCTTTACAAGTTACTTAGTCTCGGGTATTTTGTTATAGCAGCACAAACCAAGACAGCTGGCAAGTAATGGCTTTTTTCAAAAGCTTACTGCAGTCCACAGAACAACTTAGGAACTAATGACAGATAAATATCTACTCTCACATTTACAGTAGGATGCATATAAGTGACCCAGTAGGGAAAAACCATCTATGTTTAAATCATTTTGAGGAACACTGAGCTATGTAATTGTAAATAGTTTATTTACCATAAGTCTTATCAGAACTCTTAATATACTTTCATATGCTGTGAATATCTGCAAGGCAAATGTAGCCAGCAGTGTTCCCAAATGCATTTGACTACAGAGATCCCTCCCGCACACACCACCACCTTCATGGTGCACTCATACGAGCAGCATTTGATGAAGTATTTGGGAAAACACTGGTCTGAGTCTGGACACAGTGGCTCATGTCTGTAATCTCAGCACTTCGGAAGGCCGAGGCAGGAGGTTCACTTGAGGCCAGGAGTTTGAGACCAGCCTGGGCAATAAGACTCCATGTCTACAAATAATAATAATAATTAGCCAAATGTGATGGCCTGCACCTGTAATCCTAGCTACTCGAGAGGCTGAGTCAGGAGGATCCCTGGAGCCCAGGTGGTCAAGGCTGCAGTGAGCTAGGATTGCATCACTTCAGCCTGGGTGAAGCAAGGTCCTGTTTCTAAAAAGGAAAAAAAGTATTTTCTGAAGGGTACACCTCAGAGTAAAATAAAATTAAAAAAAAACTGGCTTAAACATACACTGCAATTCCAAAAAGACTAATACAGTTCTTCCATATTTCACTGTTTAGAAGAGATTGCAAAAAGTTCCTTATGAGAGAGTTTTGTAAATGAGACCTCAACACCTGTCATATGGAAAGAGAAAACAGGTTTTCATGCTCTGACAATTCTATGCTTTATCAAAGTAGTTCTAAGTGAAAACCTGAAGCAAATAAAATTGAAGCCACGATGTTTTCATCAGGGGAAATTAGCCACTCAGTGAATACTCAATTTTCACGGGGAGTGATGGTGATTAGGAAGCTGTGAAAACACCTGCTAAAATTGTTTCTGAAAAACCCTCACATTTTCAGCTTCCTTGGAAAGCTGAGATTCGTTTTCTGAGCACAGTCTTGTTACACGTTGACCATCCTATCAAGAGTACCTGGTCCACATGTCAGGGGCAGTGGATCAAAGCCCTTGCCCACCTTGCACTTTTTGCAAATACTGAGCTCCCTGATTTAAGAACAAGATGAAGGGAGCCACAGGAGCCAGAAAGGACTGAGGCAATGTTGTCACCACAACACAGATTCTGTCTCCAAGGTCTTTGGTTAACTTTTGGAAAAGAAATGAAATTCCTTCTTTCTGTCCCCAGTCTGCCCATACACGTCTACACTCATTTTGGTTCTGGGGCTTTGAACTTCTTCCTGGGCCAGTAGCTCCATTGTCTGTTTTTCATCAGTAAGTACCATTTCTTACAGAAAGTCTTAGATCTTTCACATTCACATAATCAACTTTACCAATTTTAGCAGAGCTTGGTGGCATGTGCCTGTAGTCCCAGCTACTTGGGAGGTTGAGACAGGAGAATCATTTGAACCCAGAAGTCCAAGTCTTTAGAGCACTATTATTGTACCTGTGAATAGCAACTGCACTTCAGCCTGGGCAACATAGCAAGACCCTATCTCTTTTTAAAAAATGAATTTATTTGAGCTATCTGCAAACGTTTTTTATTATATTTTAAGTTCTGGAGTACATGTGCAGAATGTGCAGGTTTGCTTACACATGACATGGTGGTTTGCTGCACCCACCAGCCCATCATCTACATTAGGTATTTCTCCTAATGCTATCCCTCTCCTAGCCCCTCACCCCTCAATGGGACCCAATGTGTGATGTTTCCCTGCCTGTGTCCATGTGTTCTCATTGTTCAACTCCCACTTATGAGTGAGAACATGGCGGTGTTTGGTTTTCTGTTCTTGTGTTAGTTTGCTGAGGATGATGGTTTCCAGCTTCATCCATGTCCCTGCAAAGAACATGACCTCATCTTTATGGCTGCATGGTATTCCATGGTGTATATGTGGCACATTTTCTTTATCCAGTCTTTCATTGATGGGCATTTGGGTTGGTTCCAAGTCAGTATTCACTGTTCACTATTGTGAACAGTGCTGCAATAACCATACGTGTGCATGTGTCTTTATAATAGAATGATTTATAATCCTTTGGGGATATACCCAGTGATGGGATTGCTGAGTCAAATGATATTTCTGGTTCTAGATCCTTGAAGAATTGCCACACTGTCTTCCACAATAGTTGAACTAATTTACACTCCCACCAACAGTGTAAAAGCATTCCTATTTCTACACATTCTCTCCAGCATCTGTTGTTTCCTGACTTTTTAATGATTGCCATTCAAACTGGTGTGAGATGGAATCTAATTGAGGTTTTGATTTGCATTTCTCTAATGACCAGTGATGATGAGCTTTTTTTCATATGTTTATTGGTTGCATAAATGTCTTCTTTAAGAAGTACCCGTTCATATCCTTCACCCGCTTTTTGATAAGGTATTTTTTTCCTTGTAAATTTATTTAAGTTCTTTGGAGATTCTGGATATTAGCCCTTTGTCATATGGATAGATTGCAAAATTTTCTCCCATTCTGTAGGTTGCCTGTTCACTCTGATAATAGTTTCTTTTGCTGTGCAGAAGCTCTTTAGTTTAATTAGATCCCATTTGTCAATTTTGGCTTTTGTTGCCGTTGCTTTTTGGTGTTTTAGTCATGAAGTCTTTGCCCATACCTATGTCCTGAATGGTATTGCCTAGGTTTTCTTCTAGGGATTTTATGGTTTTAGGTCTTACATTTAAGTCTTTAGTCCATCTTGAGTTAATTTTTGTAAAAGGTGTAAGGAAGGGATCCAGTTTCAGTTTTCTGCATATGGCTAGCCAGTTTTCCCAACACCATTTATTAAATAGGGAATCCTTTCCCCATTGCTTGTTTTTGTCAGGTTTGTCAAAGATCAGATGGTTGTAGGTGTATGGTGTTATTTCTGAGGCCTCTGTTCTGTTCCATCGGTCTATATATCTGTTTTGGTTCCAGTACCATGCTGTTTTGGTTACTGTAGCCTTGTAGTATAGTTTGACATCAGGTAGCATGATGCCTCCAGCTTTATTCTTTTTGCTCAAGATTTTCTTGGCTATGTGGGCTCTTTTTTGGTTTCATATGAAATTTAAAGTAGTTTTTTCTAATTCTGTTAAAGTCAATGGTAGCTTGATGGGGATAGTGTTGAATGTATAAATTACTTTGGGCAGTATGGCCATTTTCATGATATTGATTCTTGTTATCCATGAGCACGGAATGTTTTCCATTTGCTTGTGTCCTCTCGCATTTCCTTGAGCAGTAGTTTGTAGTTCTTCTTGAGGAGATCCTTCACATCTCTTGTAAGTTGTATTCCTATGTGTTTTATTCTCTTTGTAGCAATTGTGACTGGGAGTTCACTCATGATTTGGCTGTCTGTTTGTCTGTTATTGGTGTACAGGAATGCTTGTGATTTTTGCCCACTGATTTTGTATCCTGAGACTTTGCCAAAGTTGCTTATCAGCTTAAGGAGATTTTGGGCTGAGACTGTGGGGTTTTGTAAAGATATAATTATGTCATCTGCAAACAGACAATTTGAGTTGCTCTCTTCCTATGTGAATACCCTTTATTTCTTTCTCTTGCCTGATTGACCTGGCCAGAACTTCCAATACTACATTGAATAGGAGTGGTGAGAGAGGTCATCCTATTCTTGTGCTGGTTTTCAAAGGGAGTGCTTCCAGTTTTTGGCCATTCAGTATGATATTGGCTGTGGGTTTGTCATAAATAGCTCTCATTTTGAGATACACTCCATCAATACCTAGTTTATTGAGAGTTTATAGCATAAAGGGCTGTTGAATTTTGTTGAAGGCCTTTTCTGCATCTATTGAGATAATCACATAGTTTTTGTCATTGGTTGTGTTTATGTGATGGATTACTTTTATTGATTTGTGTAGGTTGAACCAGCCTTGCATCCCAGAGATGAAGCCAACTTGATCATGGTGGATGAGATTTTTGATGTGCTGCTGGATTGAGTTTGCCAATATTTTATTGAGGATTTTTGTGCTGATGTTCATCAGGGATATTGGCCTTTTTCTTTTTTTGTTGCATCTCTGCCAGGTTTTGGTATCAGGATGATGCTGGCCTCATAAAATGAGTTAGGCAGAAGTCCCTCTTTTTCTATTATTTGGAATAGTTTGAGAAGGAATGGTACCAGCTCCTCTTTGTACCTCTGGTAGAATTTGGCTGTGAATCTGTCTGGTCCTGGACATTTTTTGGTTGGCAGGCTATTAATTACTGCCTCAATTTCAGAACTTGTTATTGGTCTATTCAGGCATTTGACTGCTTCCTACTTTAGACTTGGGAGGGTGTATGTGCCCAGGAATTTATCCATTTCTTCTAGATTTTCTAGTTTATTTGCGTACAGCTGTTTATAGTATTCTCTGATGGTAGTTTGTATTTCTGCAGGATCAGTGGTGATCTCCCCTTTATCATTTTTTATTGCATCTATTTGAATATTCTCTCCTTTCTTCTTTATTAGCCTGGCTAGCAGTATATTTTGTTGATCTTTTCAAAAAACCAGCTCCTGGATTCATTGATTTTTTGAAGGGTTTTTTGTGTCTCTATCTCCTTCAGTTCTGCTCTGATCTTAGTTATTTTTTGTCTTCTGCTAGCTTTTGAATTTGTTTGCTCTTGCTTCTCTAATTCTTTTAATTGTGATGTTAGGGTGTCAATTTTTATTTTATTTTTATTTTATTATTATTATACTTTAAGTTTTAGGGTACATGTGCACAATGTGCAGGTTAGTTACATAAGTATACATGTGCCATGCTGGTGTGCTGCACCCATTAACTCGTCATTTAGCATTAGGTATAGCTCCTAATGCTATCCCTCCCCACTCCCCCTACCCCACAACAGTCCCCAGAGTGTGTTGTTCCCCTTTCTGTGTCCATGTGTTCTCATTGTTCAATTCCCACCTATGAGTGAGAACATGCGGTGTTTGGTTTGTCCTTGCGATAGTTGACTGAAAATGATGATTTCCAATTTCATCCATGTCCCTACAAAGGACATGAACTCATCATTTTTTATGGCTGCATAGTATTCCATGGTGTATATGTGCCACATATTCTTAATCCAGTCTATCATTGTTGGACATTTGGGTTGGTTCCAAGTCTTTGCTATTGTGAATAGTGCCACAATAAACATATGTGTGCATGTGTCTTTATAGCAGCATGGTTTATAATCCTTTGGGTATATACCCAGTAATGGGATGGCTGGGTCAAATGCTATTTCTAGTTCTAGATCCCTGAGGAATTGCCACACTGACTTCCACAATGGTTGAACTAGATTACAGTCCCACCAACAGTGTAAAAGTGTTCCTATTTCTCCACATCCTCTCCAGCATCTGTTGTTTCCTGACTTTTTAATGATTGCTATTCTAACTGGTGTGAGATGGTATCTCACTGTGGTTTTGATTTGCATTTCTCTGATGGCCAGTGATGATGAACATTTTTTCATGTGTTTTTTGGCTGCATAAATGTCTTCTTTTGAGAAGTGTCTGTTCATGTCCTTCGCCCACTTTTTGATGGGGTTGTTTGTTTTTTTCTTGTAAATTTGTTTGAGTTCATTGTAGATTCTGGATATTAGCCCTTTGTCAGATGAGTAGGTTGCAAAAATTTTCTCCCATTTTGTAGGTTGCCTGTTCGCTCTGATGGTAGTTTCTTTTGCTGTGCAGAAGCTCTTTAGTTTGATTAGATCCCATTTGTCAATTTTGGCTTCTGTTGCCATTGCTTTTGGCATTTTAGACATGAAGTCCTTGCCCATGCCTATGTCCTGAATGGTAATGCCTAGGTTTTCTTCTAGGGTTTTTATGGTTTTAGGTCTAATATTTAAGACTTTAATCCATCTTGAATTAATTTTTGTATAAGGTGTAAGGAAGGGATCCAGTTTCAGCTTTCTACATATGGCTAGCTAGTTTTCCCAGCACCATTTATTAAATAGGGAATCCTTTCTCCATTGCTTTTCTCAAGTTTGTCAAAGATCAGATAGCTGTAGATATGCGGTGTTATTTCTGAGGGCTTTGTTCTGTTCCATTGATCTATATCTCTGTTTTGATACCAGTACCATGGTGTTTTGGTTACTGTAGCCTTGTAGTATAGTTTGAAGTCAGGTAGCGTGATGCCTCCAGCTTTGTTCTTTTGTCTTAGGATTGACTTGGCAATGCGGGCTCTTTTTTGGTTCCATATGAACTTTAAAGTAGTTTTTTCCAATTCTGTGAAGAAAGTCATTGGTAGCTTGATGGGGATGGCACTGAATCTATAAATTACCTTGGGCAGTATGGCCATTTTCACGATATTGATTCTTCCTACCCATGAGCATGGAATGTTCTTCCATTTGTTTGTATCCTCTTTTATTTCCTTGAACAGTGGTTTGTAGTTCTGCTTGAAGAGGTCCTTCACATCCCTTGTAAGTTGGATTCCTAGGTATTTTATTTTCTTTGAAGCAATTGTGAATGGGAATTCACTCATGATTTGGCTCTCTGTTTGTCTGTTGTTGGTGTATAAGAATGCTTGTGATTTTTGTACATTGATTTTGTATCCTGAGACTTTTCTGAAGTTGCTTATCAGCTTAAGGAGATTTTGGGCTGAGACAATGGGGTTTTCTAGATATACAATCAAGTCATCTGCAAACAGGGACAATTTGACTTCCTCTTTTCCTAATTGAATACCCTTTATTTCTTTCTCCTGCCTAATTGCCCTGGCCAGAACTTCCAACAGTATGTTGAATAGGAGTGGTGAGAGAGGGCATCCCTGTCTTGTGCCAGTTTTCAAAGGGAATGCTTCCAGCTTTTGCCCATTCAGTATGATATTGGCTGTGGGTTTGTCATAGATAGCTCTTATTATTTTGAGATACGTCTCATCAATACCTAATTTATTGAGAGTTTTTAGCATGAAGCATTGTTGAATTTTTTCAAAGGCCTTTTCTGCATCTATTGAGATAATCATCTGGTTTTTGTCTTTGGTTCTGTTTATATGCTGGATTACACTGATTGATTTGTGTATATTGAACCAGCCTTGCATCCCAGGGATGAAGCCCACTTGATCATGGTGGATAAGCTTTTTGATGTGCTGCTGGATTCGGTTTGCCAGTATTTTATTGAGGATTTTTGCATCAATGTTCATCAAGGATATTGGTCTAAAATTCTCTTTTTTGGTTGTGTCTCTGCCCAGCTTTGGTATCAGGATGATGCTGACCTCATAAAATGAGTGAGGGAGGATTCCCTCTTTTTCTATTGATTGGAATAGTATCAGAAGGAATGGTACCAGTTCCTCCTTGTACCTCTGGTAGAATTCGGCTGTGAATCCATCTGGTCCTGGACTCTTTTTGGTTGGTAAGCTATTGATTATTGCCACAATTTCAGAGCCTGTTATTGGTCTATTCAGAGATTCAACTTCTTCCTGGTTTAGTCTTGGGAGGGTGTATGTGTCGAGGAATTTATCCATTTCTTCTAGATTTTCTAGTTTATTTGTGTAGAGGTGTTTGTAGTATTCTCTGATGGTAGTTTGTATTTCTATGGGATCGGTGGTGATATCCCCTTTATCATTTTTTATTGCGTCTATTTGATTCTTCTCTCTTTTTTTATTTATTAGTCTTGCTAGCGGTGTATCAGTTTTGTTGATCCTTTCAAAAAACCAGCTTCTGGATTCATTAATTTTTTGAAGGGTTTTTTGTGTCTCTGTTTCCTTCAGTTCTGCTCTGATTTTAGTTATTTCTTGCCTTCTGCTAGCTTTTGAATGTGTTTGCTCTTTCTTTTCTAGTTCTTTTAATTGTTATGTTAGGATGTCAATTTTGGATCTTTCCTGCTTTCTCTTGTGGGCATTTAGTGCTATAAATTTCCCTCTACACACTGCTTTGAATGTGTCCCAGAGATTCTGGTATGTTGTGTCTTTGTTCTCGTTGGTTTCAAAGAACATCTTTATTTCTGCCTTGGTTTCGTTATGTACCCAGTAGTCATTCAGGAGCAGGTTGTTCAGTTTCCATGTAGTTGAGCGGTTTTCACTGAGTTTCTTAATCCTGAGTTCTAGTTTGATTGCACTGTGATCTGAGAGACAGTTTGTTATAATTTCTGTTCTTTTACATTCGCAGAGGAGAGCTTTACTCCCAAGTATGTGGTCAATTTTGGAATAGGTGAGGTGTGGTGCTGAAAAAAATGTATATTCTGTGGATTTGGGGTGGAGAGTTCTGTAGATGTCTATTAGGTCCGCTTGGTGCAGAGCTGAGTTCAATTCCTGGGTATCCTTGTTAACTTTCTGTCTAATGTTGACAGTGGGGTGTTAAAGTCTCCCATTATTATTGTGTGGGAGTCTAAGTCTCTTTGTAGGTCACTCAGGACTTGCTTTATGAATCTGGGTGCTCCTGTATTGGGTGCATATATATTTAGGATAGATAGCTCTTCTTGTTGAATTGATCCCTTTACCATTATGTAATGGCCTTCTTTGTCTCTTTTGATCTTTGTTGGTTTAAAGTCTGTTTTATCAGAGACTAGGATTGCAACCCCTGCCTTTTTTTGTTTTCCATTTGCTTGGTAGATCTTCCTCCATCCTTTTATTTTGAGCCTATATGTGTCTCTGCATGTGAGATGGGTTTCCTGAATACAGCACACTGATGGGTCTTGACTCTTTATCCAATTTGCCAGTCTGTGTCTTTTAATTGGAGCATTTAGTCCATTTACATTTAAAGTTAATATTGTTATGTGTGTGTTTGGTCCTGTCATTATGATGTTAGCTGGTTATTTTGCTCGTTAGTTGATGCAGTTTCTTCCTAGTCTCGATGGTCTTTACATTTTGGCATGATTTTGCAGTGGCTGGTACCAGTTGTTCATTTCCATGTTTAGTGCTTTCTTCAGGAGCTCTTTTAGGGCAGGCCTGGTGCTCAGCATTTGCTTGTCTGTAAAGGATTTTATTTCTCCTTCACTTATGAAGCTTAGTTTGGCTGGATATGAAATTCTGGGTTGAAAATTCTTTAAGAATATTGAATATTGGCCCCCAGTCTCTTCTGGCTTGCAGAGTTTCTGCCGAGAGATCCGCTGTTAGCCTGATGGGCTTCCCTTTGTGGGTAACCCGACCTTTCTCTCTGGCTGCCCTTAACATTTTTTCCTTCATTTCAACTTTGGTGAATCTGACAATTATGTGTCTTGGAGTTGCTCTTCTCAAGGAGTATCTCTGTGGCGTTCTCTGTATTTCCTGAATCTGAATGTTGGCCTGCCTTGCTAGATTGGGGAAGTTCTCCTGGATAATATCCTGCAGAGTGTTTTCCAACTTGGTTCCATTCTCCCTGTCATTTTCAGGTACACCAATCAGACATAGATTTGGTCTTTTCACATAGTCCCATATTTCTTGGAGGCTTTGTTCGTCTCCTTTTATTCTTTTCTCTCTAAACTTCCCTTCTCGCTTCATTTCATTCATTTCATCTTCCATCACTGATACCCTTTCTTCCAGTTGATCGCATCGGCTCCTGAGGCTTCTGCATTCTTCACATAGTTCTCGAGCCTTGGCTTTCAGCTCCGTCAGCTCCTTTAAGCACTTCTCTGTATTGGTTATTTTAGTTATACATTCATCTAAATTTTTTTCAAGGTTTTTAACTTCTTTGCCTTTGGTTTGAATTTCCTCCTGTAGCTCGGAATAGTTTGATCGTCTGAAGCCTTCTTCTCTCAACTTGTCAAAGTCATTCTCCGTCCAGCTTTGTTCTAGGGTGTCAATTTGGATCTCTCCTGCTTTCTCCTGTGGACATTTACTCTATAAATTTCCCTCTAAACACTGCTTTACCTGTGTCCCAGAGATTCTGGGAAGTTGTGTCTTTGTTCTCATTGGTTTCAAAGAACTTGTTTATTTCTGCCTTCATTTCGTTATTTACCCAGTAGTCATTCAGGAGCAGATTGTTCAGTTTCCAGGTAGTTGTGCGGTTTTGAGTGAGTTTCTTAATCCTGAGTTCTAAGTTGATTGCACTGTGGTCTGAGAGACTGTTTGTTATGTTTCTGTTCTTTTGCATTTGCTGAGGAGTGTTTTACTTCCAATTATGTGATCAATTTTAGAAATAGTGCTATGTGGTGCTGAGAAGAATGTATATTCTATTGATTTGGGGTGGAGAGTTCTGTGGATGTCTGTTAGGTCTGCTTCGTCCAGAGCCGAGTTCAAGTCCTGAATATCCTTGTTAATTTTCTGTCCTGTTGATCTGTCTAATATTAATGGTGGGGTGTTAGACTCTAACACAATAATAGTGGGAGACTTTACATCTCTTTGTAAGGTGTCTAAGAACTTGCTTTATGAATCTGGGTGCTCCTGTATTGAGTGCATATATATTTAAGATATTTAGCTCTTCTTATTGCATTGATCCCTTTACCATTTTGTAATGCTCTTCTTTGTCTTTTTTGATCTTTGTTGGTTTAAAGTCTGCTTTATCAGAGAGTAGGATTGCAACCCCTGCTTTTTTTTGGTTTCCACTTTGTAAATATTCCTCCATCCCTTTATTTTGAGCCTATTTGTGTCTTTGCACATGTGGTGGGTCTCCTGAATACAGCACACTGATGAGTCTTGACTCTTTATCCAGCTTTCCAGTCTTGTGTCTTTTAATTGGGGCATTTAACCCATTTACATTTAAGGTTAATATTGTTATGTGTGAATTTGATCCTGTCTCTATTATGCTAGCTCTTTTTTTTTTTTTTTTTTTTTTTTTTTGCCCATTAGTTGATGCAGTTTCTTCATAGTGTTGATGGTCTTTACAATTTGGTATGTTTTTGCAGTGGCTGATACCAGTTGTTCCCCTCCATGTTTAGTGCTTCCTTCAGGAGCTCTTGTAAGGCAGGCCTGGTGGTGACAAAATCCCTCAGCATTTGCTTGTCTGCAAAGGATTTTATTTCTCCTTCACTTACAAAGCTTAGTTTGGCTAGATATGAAATTCTGGGTTGAAAATTCTTTTCTTTAAGAATGTTGAATATTGGCCCCTATTCTCTTCTGGTTTGTAGGGTTTCTGCAGAGAGATCCACTGTGAGTCTGATGGGCATCCCTTTGTGGCCAACCCAACCTTTCTCTCTGGCTGCCCTTAACATTTTTTCCTTCATTTCAACTTTGGTGACTCTGATGATTATGTGTCTTGGGGTTGCTCTTCTCAAGGAGTATCTTTATGGTGTTCTCTGTATTTCCTGAATTTGAATGTTGGCCTGTCTTGCTAGTTTGGGGAAGTTCGTTTGGGTAATATCCTGAAGAGTGTTTTCCAACTTGGTTCCATTCTCCCTGTCACTTTCAGGTACACCAAGCAAACATAGGTTTGGTCTTTTCACATAGTCTCATATTTCTTGGAGGCTTTGTTCCTTCCTTTTCATTCTTTTTTCTCTAATCTTGTCTTCATGCTTTATTTCATTCAGTTGATCTTCAATCTCTGATATCCTTTCTTCTGCTTTATCGATTCGGCTATTGATACTTGTGTATGCTTCACAGAGTTCTCATGCTATGTTTTTCAGCTCCATCAGGTCATCTATGTTCTTCTCTAAACTGGTTATTCTAGTTAGCAATTCCTCTAACCTTTTTTCAAGGTTCTTCCTTGCATTCTGTTAGAACATGCTCCTTTAGCTAGGAGGAGTTTGTTATTACTCACCCTTTGAGGCCTACTTTTGTCAGTTCATCAAACTCATTCTCCGTCCAGTTTTGTTCCCTCGCTGGCAAGGAGTTGTGATCCTTTGAAAGAGAAGAGGCATTCTGGTTTTTGGAATTTTCAGTCTTTTTGCGGTGGTTTCTCCTCATCTATGTGGATTTATTTACCTTTGTTCTTTGATGTTGGTGACCTTCAAATGGGGCTTCTGAGTGGATGTCCTTTTTGTTGATGTGTTGATGTTGATGCTATTTCTGTTTGTTAGTTTTGCTTGTAACAGTCAGGCCTCTCTGCTGCGGGTCTGCTAATTTGTTGGAGGTCCACTCCAGACCCTGTTTGCCTGGATATCACCAGCGAAGGCTGCAGAACAGCAAAGATTGCTGCCTGTTCCTTCCTCTGTAAGCTTTGTCCCAGAGGGGCACCCGCCAGATGCCAGCCAGGGCTCTCCTCTACAAGGTGTCTGTCAACACCTGTTGGGAGGTATCTCCCAGTCAGGAGACATGGGGGTCAGGGACCCAGTTGAGGAGGCAGTTTGACCTTTAGCAGAGCTCGAATGCTGTGCTGGGAGATCCACTGCTCTCTTCAGAGCCGGCAGGCAGGGATGTTTAAGTCTGCTGAAGTTGCACCCACAGCTGCCCCTTCCCCCATATGCTCTGTCCCAGGGAGAGGAGAATTTATCTATAACCCCCTGACTGGGGCTGCTGCCTTTTGTTCAGAGATGCCTTGCCCAGAGAAGAGGAATCTAGAGAGGCAGTCTGGCCACAGTGGCTTTGCTGAGCTGTGGAGGGTGCTGCTCAGTTCGAAATTCCCAGAAGCTTTGTTTACACTGTGAGGGGAAAACCACCTACTCAAGACTCAGCAATGGTGGATACCCCTCCCCACCAAACCAAGCTTGAGCGTCCCAGGTCGGTTTCAGACTGCCGTGCCGACAGCAAGAATTTCAAACCAGTGGATCTTAGCTTGCTGGGTTCTGTGGGGAGGGGATCCGCTGAGCTAGATCACTTGGTTCCCTGGCTTCAGCCCCCTTTCCAGAGGAGTGAACAGTTCTGTCTCACTGGCATTCCAGGTGCCACTGGGGTATGAAAAAAAAAAAAAAAAAAAAAAAAACTCTTGCAACTAGCTCAGTGGCTTCCCAAACAGCCACCCAGTTTTGTGCTTGAAACACAGGGCCCTGGTGGTGTAGGCACCTGAGGGAATCTCCTGATCTGTGGGTTGTGAAGACCTTGGGAAAATCATAGTATATGGGCCAGTGGTCACTGTTCCTCATGGCACAGTCCCACGTGGCTTCCCTTGGCTAGGGAAGGGAGTTCCCTGACCCATTGCCCTCTGTGGGATGCACCCACTATCTAACCAGTTCCAGTGAGATGAGCCGGGTACCTCAGTTGGAAATGCAGAAATCACCCACCTTCTGTGTTGATCTTGCTGGGAGCTTCAGACCAGAGCTGTTTCTACTCAGCCATCTTGCCAGCCTTCCTCAGGAGTTTCTTTTTGTTTTTCGTACCCCAGTGGTGCCTGGAATGCCCATGAGAGAACCATTCACTCCCCTGGAGAGGAGGCTGAAGCCAGGGAGCCAAGTGGTCTGGCTCATCGGATCCCACCCCCATGGAGCCCAGCAAGCTAAGATCCACTGGCTTGAAATTCTCGCTGCCAGCACTGCAGTCTGAAACCGACCTGGGAGGCTCAAGCTTGGTGGCGGGGTAGGGGTGTCTGCCATTACTGAGGCGTGAGTAGGTGGTTTTCCCCTCACAGTGTGAACAAAGTCTCCGGAGCCCACCTCAGCTCGGCAAAGCCACTTTAGCCAGACTGCCTCTCTAGATTCCTCTTCTCTGGGCAGGGTGCCTCTAAAAGAAAGGCAGCACCCCCAGTCAGGGGCTTATAGATAAAACTCCTATCTCCCTGGGACAGAGCACCTGGGGGAAGGGGCGGCTGTGGGCACAGCTTCAGCAGACTTAAACATTCCTGCCTGTTGGCTCTGAAGAGAGCAATGGATCTCCCAGCACAGCACTCAGTACAGAGTGGCAAAATTGGATGAAGAGTCAAGACTCATCGGTGTGCTGTATTCAAGAGGCCCATCTCATGTGCAAAGACACACATAGGCTCAAAATAAAGGGATGGAGGAATATTTACAAAGTAAGTGGAAAGCAAAAAAAAAGCAGGGTTTGCAATCCTACTCTCTGATAAAACAGACTTTAAACCAACAAGGATCAAAAAAGACAAAGAAGGGCATTACAAAGTGGTAAAGGGATCAATGCAATAAAAAGAGCTAAATATCTTAAATATATATGCACTCAGTACAGGAGCACCCAGATTCATAAAGCAAGTTCTTAGACACCTTACAAAGAGATGTAAAGTCTTCCACTATTATTGTGTTAGAGTCTAACACCCCACCGTTAATATTAGACAAATCAACAAGACAGAAAATTAACAAGGATATGCAGGACTTGAATTCAGCTCTGGATGAAGCAGACCTAATAGACATCTACAGAACTCTCCACCCCAAATTAATAGAATGTACATTCTTCTCAGCACCACATAGCACTATTTCTAAAATTGATCACATAATTGGAAGTAAAACACTCCTCAGCAAATGCAAAAGATCAGAAATCATAACAGTCTCTCAGACCACAGTGCAATCAGCTTAGAACTCAGGATTAAGAAACTCACTCAAAACCGCACAACTACCTGGAAACTGAACAACCTGCTCCTGAATGACTACTGGGTAAATAACGAAATGAAGGCAGAAATAAATAAGTTCTTTGAAACCAATGAAAACAAAGACACAACTTCCCAGAATCTCTGGGACACAGGTAAAGCAGTGTTTAGAGGGAAACTTATAGCAGTAAATGCCCACAGGAGAAAGTGAGAAAATTCTAAAACAACACCCTAACATCACAATTAAAAGAGCTAGAGAAACAAGAGCAAACAAATTCAAAAGCTAGCAGAAGACAAGAAATAACTAAGATCAGAGTAAAATTGAAGGAGATAGGCTGGGTGCTGTGGCTCACACCTGTAATCCCAGCACTGGGAGGCAGAGGTGCGCAGATCACGAGGTCAGGAGATCGAGACCATCCTGGCTAACACAGTGAAACCCCGTCTCTACTAAAAATACAAAAAATTAGCTGGGCGTGGTGGCGGGCGCCTGTGGTCCCAGCTACTCCGGAGGCTGAGGCAGGAGAATGGCGTGAACCCGGGAGGCAGAGCTTGCAGTGAGCCGAGATTGTGCCACTGCTCTCCAGCCTGGCTGACAGAGCGAGACTCCGTCTCAAAGAGAAAAAAAAAAAAAAAAAAAAAAAAAAGAACTGAAGGAGATAGAGACACAAAAAACCCTTCAAAAAATCAATGAATCCAGGAGCTGATTTTTTGAAAATATCAACACAGTAGATAGACCTCTAGCCAGACTAATAAAGAAGAAAGGAGAGAATATTCAAATAGATGCAACAGAAAATGATAAAGGGGAGATCACCACTGATCCCACAGAAATACAAACTACTATCAGAGAATACTGTAAACACCTCTATGCAAATAAAGTAGAAAATCCAGAAGAAATGCATAAATTCCTGGACACATACCCCCTCCCAAACTAAACCAGGAAGAAGTTGAATCCCTGAACAGACCAATAACAAGTTCTGAAATTGAGGTAGTAATTAATAGCCTACCAACCAAAAGTCCAGGACCAGACAGATTCACAGCCGAATTCTACCAGGGGGGTGCAAAGTGGAGCTGGTACCATTCCTTCTGAAACTATTCCAAACAATAGAAAAAGAGGGACTCCTCCTTAACTCATTTTATGAGGCCAGCATCATTCTGATACCAAAACCTGGCAGAGACACAACAAAAAAAGAAAATTTCA
Organism: Homo sapiens; assembly: GCF_000001405.40. Classification (NCBI taxonomy): domain Eukaryota; kingdom Metazoa; phylum Chordata; class Mammalia; order Primates; family Hominidae; genus Homo; species Homo sapiens. The sequence goes on along the minus strand of NC_000004.12, from coordinate 158,977,046 downwards.
GGCCAATATCCCTGATGAACATCAGTGCAAAAATCTTCAATAAAATACTGGCAAACTGAATCCAGCAGCACATTAAAAAGCTTATCTGGCTAGGTGCGGTGGCTCATGCCTGTAATCCCAGCACTTTGGGAGGCTGAGGCAGGTGGATCACAAGGTCAAGAGATTGAGACCATCGTGGCCAACATGGTGAAACCCCGTCTCTACTAAAAATAGAAAAATTAGCTGGGCGTGGTGGTGTGTGCCTGTAGTCCCAGCTACTTGAGAAGCTGAGATGGGAGAATTGCTTGAACCTGGGAAATGGAGGTTACATTGAGCTGAGATGCCACTGCACTCCAGCCTGGTGACAGAGCGAGACTCTGTCTCAAAAAAAAAAAAAAAAAAAAAAAATGCTTATCCATCCTGATCCAGTTGGCTTCATCCCTGGAATGCAAGGGTGATTCAACATATGCAAATCAATAAACGTAATCCATCACATAAACAGAACCAATGACAAAAACAACATGATTATCTCAATAGATGCAGAAAAGGCCTTCCATAAAATTCAACCCCCCTTCATGCTAAAACCACTCAGTAGACTAGGTATTGATGAAACGTATTCAAAATAATAAGAGCTATTTATGAAAAACCCACAGCCAATATCATAATGAATGGCCAAATGCTGGAATGATTCCCTTTGAAAACCGGCACAAGACAAGGATGCCCTCTCTCACCACTCCTGTTCAACATAGTATTGGAAGTTCTGGCCAGGTCAATCAGGCAAGAGAAAGAAATAAATGTATTCAAATAGGAAGAGAGGAAGTCAAATTATCTCTCTTTGCAGATGACATGATTATATAATTAGAAAACCCCATTGTCTCAGCCCAAAATCTCCTTAAGCTGATAAGCAACTTTGGCAAAGTCTCAGGATATAAAATCAGTGTGCAAAAATCACAAGTATTTCTATAAACCAATAATAGCCAAATCATGAGTGAACTCCCAGTCACAATTGCTACAAAGAGAATAAAATACATAGGAATACAGCTTACAAGAGCTGTGAAGGACCTCCTCAAGGAGAACTACAAACCACTGTTCGAGGAAATAAGAGAGGACACAAGCAAATGGAAAAACATTCCGTGCTCATGGATAACAAGAATCAATATCATGAAAATGGCCGTACTGCCCAAAGTAATTTATACATTCAATACTATCCCCATCAAGCTACCATTGACTTTCTTAACAGAACTAGAAAAAAACTACTTTAAATTTCATTTGGAACCAAAACAGAGCCCACATAGCCAAGACCATCCTAAGCAAAAAGAACAAAGCTGGAGACATTACACTACCTGACTTCAAACTATAGTACAAGGCTACATAACCAAAATAGTATGGTACTGGTATCAAAATAGATATGTAGACCAATGGTACAGAACAGAGGCCTCAGAAATAACACCACACATCTACAACCATCTGATCTTTGACAGACCTGACAAAAACAAGCAATGGGGAAAGGATTCCCTATTTAATAAATGGTGTTAGGAAAACTGGCTAGCCATATGCAGAAAACTGAAACTGGACCCCTTCCTTACACCTTTTACAAAAATTAACTCAAGATGGATTAAAGACTTAAATGTAAGACCTAAAACCATAAAAACCCTAGAAGAAAACCTAGGCAATACCATTCAGGACATAGGCATGGGCAAATATTTCATGACTAAAACACCAAAAGCAATGGTAACAAAAGCCACAATTCACAAATGGGATCTAATTAAACTAAACAGTTTCTATACAGCAAAAAAAAACTATCATCAGAGTGAACAGGCAACCTACAGAACGGGAGAAAATTTTTGCAATCTATCCATCTGAAAGTGCTAATATCAAGATGCTGCAAGGAACTTAAAGTCACAAGAAAAAAACAACCCCATCAAAAAGTGGGCGAAGGATATGAACAGATACTTTTCAAAAGAAGACATATATGTGACCAACAAACATATGAATAAAAGCTCATCATCACTGGTCATTAGAGAAATGAAAATCAAAACCACAGTAAGATACCATATCACACCAGTTAGAATGGCGATTATTAAAAAGTCAGTAAACAACATGCTGGAGAGGATGTTGAGAAATAGGAATGCTTTTATACTGTTGATGGGAGTGTAAATTAGCTCAAGTATTGTGGAAGACAGTGTGGCGATTCCTCAAGGATCTAGAACTGGAAATACCATTTGACCCAGCAATTCCATTACTGGGTATATACCCAAAGAATTATAAATCATTCTACTATAAAGACACATGCACACGTATGTTTTTTGCAGCACTATTCACAGTAGCAAAGACTTGGAACCAACCCAAATGCCCATCAATGTTTTACTGAATAAACAAATTGTGGCACATATATACCATGCAATAACTATGCAGCCATAAAAAAGAATGAGTTCATATCCTTTGGAGGGACATGAATGAAGCTGGAAACAGTCATTCTCAGCAAAGTAACTCAGGAACAGAAAGCCAAACACTGCATGTCCTCCCTCATAAGTGGGAGTTAAACAATGAGAACATATGGGCACAGGGAGGGGAATATTACACAAGGGGGCCTGTTGCGGGTGGGGGGCAAGGGGATGGATAGCATTGGGAGAAATACCTAATGTAGATGACGGGTTGATGGGTGCAGCAAACCATCATGGCACATGTATACCTATGTAACAAATCTGCACGTTCTGCACATGTATCCCAGAACTTAAAGTATCATAATAAAAAATTCATTTAAGTGATCTTTACCCAGACCTTCTCTTGTTTCTGCTTTTTTCACCTATTTCTATAATTCATTGATTTTTTTTTTTGTTCATTGTTTTACTTTTAAAATACAAATACTTCTGCCTTTGGTAATCTGTTATAAGCTACCCTCATCTAACAATTTTCTCCATTTTTCAATTTTTGCTAATACATTTTCGGAGTATTCTAATACACATTTCAGATTTTTATCTACCTAGATAAAACACCTCAATATCTGAAGGCCTACATCCTGCAAATGTAGCATGGGATAAATTTTAGTATATATCATGTCTTTTTTTTTTTTTTTTTTTTTTTGAGGTGGCCTTGCTCTATTGCCCAAGCTGGAGTGCAGTGGCACAGTCATAGCTCACTGCAGCCTCCACCTCCTGGGCTTAAGCAATCCTCTTACCTCCATCTCCCAAATAGCTGGGACCACAGGTGTGTGCCACCATGCCTGGCTAATTTTTATTTTTTGTAGAGACAGGGTCTCAGAAGTTATCCAGGCTGGTCTCAGATTCCTGAGTTCAAGCGATGCACCCACCTTGGCCTCCCAAAGTGCTGGGATTACAGGCATAAACCACCACATCCAGCCCATGTCTGTATTAAGTTGATTATATACAAAGCAGTTTAATGGGTCAATTAAGAGCCCAACCTTCGCATCAGCCTGTCTGGGTACAAAGAGCTTGTTAGCTATAATTCTGGACAAGTAACCAATCTTTCATTTTCCCCATACATAAACTGGGGAAAAAAATTCTACCCGTCTCATTTGGTTATTAATAAACATTAATTAACAGATAAGCATTAATAAGAATTATTAATTATAAATAAGTATTAATAAGAATTAACATGTCTAAAAGGCTTATAATAGAACCTAGAACGTAGTAAGTACCATATAATTATTGGCTATTAGTATTTCAACGGTTAAAATAACAAAAGTATCTTAGAATAAAGTGTGGAGAAGTTTTAAGTACATTTTGTCTTTTAAAGGTCCAGACTACATAAAGGATTATTTACCCAAAATTCATCAGCACACCTCCTATGTAGGAGAACAGCATCTGGCGTTAGAAAAAACTGGAGATCTCAGATATTTATGGAGGCCTGCCTCAAATAGAAGCTTGCCAGCAAAATATAAACATGAGTACGTCAGTGAAATTGGTTGGAGAATACCACAGTATAATTTTATCAACAAATCAAGACTGGGGAGTGGCTTTCATATCAAGGTATTGCTCTTAAATTTATGCTTTTCATAGTATACTGTTTTCTAACTTGAATTCTTTATGAATTTGCTTCCAAAGGAAATGTCGGGTGCTTGATTTCTCATTGAGACATAATGAGGTTTGAGTTTTGCAGAAAGACACATGTGTGAATAAATGCATGTGCTCCACTCCTGGAGCCCTTTAATACATCAAGGGAAGGGTATGAGGAAAACAAAGCCATGGATAATCCAAAAGCGTTTGTGTTTGTCTTTGGAATGTATTCTGATTCACATTCAGGCTGAGGCACTTGCACACACTCTTCCCCCATCCTAGCACTGCTTCATGCGTGGACGATGGAAAGAAAGAAGCCTGTGCTGGGCATCCCATAATCCACAAACCTAACACGTGCATCTCAGATCTTTAAGATTCACTGTACTGATAATGCCTTCGTATCAAGTATTAATAATTCAGGGTATGTTGTCAGAGGGTTTTAGAAACCTTGTCTTATTTCCTTTTGGTGATGTAGACATAGGCATGAGATCCTGGTGTCTCCCCTGAAACAGAAGAGTGCACAAGGGATTTTAGAAGTAAAATCTGAGAATTTGGATATTTTTTTCCAGACAGGCCTGTGCATTGTCTGAAAATTAAATGTATCAATCATGCAATAACTGAATTTCCTCAAATTCTTAAGTTTCATCTGGTAAAGGTTAACAAAAGGAAAAACCATTATTTATTTATTTAGAGACAGGGTCTCACTCTGCCGCCCAGGCTGGAGTGCAGTGGCACGATCTTGACTCGCTGTAACCTCGGCCTCCTGGGTTCAAGCGATTCTCCTGCCTCAGCCTCCCAAGTAGCTGGGACTACAGGCACATGCCATCAGGCCCGGCTAATTTTTGTATTTTTAGTAGAGATGGGGTTTCGCCATGCTGGCCAGGCTGGTCTTGAACTCCTGACCTCAGGTAATCCACCTGCGTCGGCCTCCCAAAGTGCTGGGGTTATAGGCGTGAGCCACCACACCCGGCCAGAAAAACCTTTTTCTGGCCCAAACTATGGCAGTCCAGGAGGGTGGATGGGAGCACAGTCTTTGAGGTTACACTCTGATTTAGGTCTAGCTCTGTGACCTTGGGCAAATCAGTTCACCTCTCTGCATCTTTGTTTGCGCCTCTTCTACATGGCAGTATTCAGAGGCCCACTTCACAGGATCATCTAAATTTCTATCCTAGTTCTGCCACCTACTAGCTGTGTATGGCCTTGGTTAAGTTCATTTGCCTCTGTGCGTCAGTGTCTTCATTATGAAATCTTAGTTCTAGGATATTTTTTCTAGGCAGGCCTTTGCATTGTCTTTGCTCAGGTAACAGGCTGTTGTAAACAGTGCATAAGTTAATATTAGTAAAGCACTAGAAGCAGTAACTAGCATGTATCAAGCCCTATATGCGTTTCATATTGTTATGTTGTGAGGACTATATATGAGAACCCAAGGAATGCACTGAGCGCGATCCTGGCACCAGGCTGACATCCAGATTTTAGCTATTAGTACTGTTGTGGTTGTATTTCATGTAACTCATTAAATTTAGTATGATATTATATTTAATGTATTGTAATATGTTTAAATGCCAGGGCCAAGAAAAGGCACTGATGATAAGCAACGTCTCTTACAGCATATTCCAAAGAAGACCAGTTTCTGAGTGACAAGCTGAGTATAATGAATGCTTAGGTTCTTAAACTGTGTCCTATTCCACTTAGGCAATAAAAATGAAAATCCAAGATTTGATCAAATATCAAACTAACCACCAGCAAGAAAAGTCCAGCCCCAAAGCAAGGCGGCTGGGTTGAATAAAGTCCAGAACTTTTGTTGTCTTGGTGTTTCTCCTTGGGTGATGATGTCCTGCTCTCGGACACAGCCCTCAATCTGTCAGACCATCTTGAGTGTGTATAGCCTCTCTCCCTCTTTATCTTTAACTTAACCTATTTTTCTGCTCAAATGAAGTGCAATCAAGCATTCCTTGGTCTTCAAAGCAAGCTGGGAATCCAAAAGAGATGATAGCTGTGAGTTAGCCTTCCAGGAATGTATTTATTCTGTATCTCTAGTTAGTATTTCATGGATTGCTTTTAATCACTGCACTGCTGAGTAACGGGGTCCTCTTTGTCTCTGAGATTGTGAACCAATCTCACAGTGAACCAATCACACAGTGATTTTCTTCCCCAGCTGTGGCACGCTCAGAAACTGCTTGGAATATACTATAAGAAATGTTGCTTCTCATCTGTGCACTTTCTTGGCCCCAGTATTTTAACAGTAATTGTTTTCAAGGGTCTAGCTGTCTCAGATAACAATCTTGAACAATACCTTAAAGCTCCTTGGACTTAGAGCTTTAGAATAGGAAAAAAAAAAGATTCACTGAGAATGACCACACATACCAGCACTGAAGCATCTATAATTTCCTTAACAGTTAAGATCTAGGTTTTGTCACTGGGTCTACTCATCTCTCCCTCTACATCTAAGGCATACTGCTCTCTCTTTCCATCTAAGGCAGATCAAAATCTTTTTTTTTTGTTTTTCTTTTTTGAGACAAGGTCTCACTGTGTCCCCCAGGCTGGAGTACAGTGGCATGCTCATAGCTCACTGCAGCCTCCATCTCCTGGGCTCAAGCAATCCTCCTACCTCGGCCTTCTGAGTAGCTGAGACTACAGGCACATGCCACCACACCTAGATAATTTAAAAAAATTTTTTAGTAGAGACAAGGTCTATGTTGCCCAGGCTGGTCTCAAACTCCTGAGCTCAAGTGATCCTCCCACCTCGGCCTCCCAATGTGCTGGGATTACAGGTGTGAGCCACCGTGCCCAGCTCACAGTGTCATTTTTGGAGTGTAGACTCAGACTTTTGATTCCTTATCAACCCTGTGCTTCAGGCAGCTACTTCTAAAAAATCAGACTTGGTGCGTGAATTGACACTTGAGCCGATACATACACATACACTCCATGCATTCAAACATGCTCCTAATTACAAAGACTATACAAGAGTGGTGGCATTAACCCAGGGCCGCCCTCACAAGGGAACTGGTAAACTTCTCAGTGTGGTGTCACTTTGAGAAATGTCTCAATCCACTTCCTGTTCGTTCTCCAGTTTCTTATCTGTCTATAGACCCTTTCCATATCCCTTGCTCTTCCTTGTCCCATAATAATCCAAATCAAAATGGTCACTTCTTGTTTTAGTCTAACTGCAGAGACTCCTCAGTGTCTCACATGGCAATTGCTCAGAGCTTGGATTTTAAGCAAAACTTTCATCTCCTGGATTTTTATAGCTCTAACAGCTGTTCTGCCTAATTTACTGCTCCAGGTTTATATAAGACTGGCGGTTAAGGATGCTCAGGCACCTCCAATAGAGTCTTGGTAAAATGCCTGGAGCAGCTGCCTCCTACCTGGGAATGGTTTCTCCTATTTGGGGCACTAGGAGGGGTTCTGCAGATCATCTGGCTTTTTGCAGGAAGATAATAACTTCCATGCTGAGTGACACCTGAAAATCTTCCCCCACGTTGCGGAGGTCAGTAAAAATCACAAGATCGAGTTCCTCTTCCAGATTTTTTAATGTTTAGCTATTTCCTACTGACTCTTACATGGGTTACAATGCAATAATAATAAATGTATGTATAAACAAGGACAGACCATTACTTTCATCATCTCGGATTTAAGAGCAGCACATTCTTTAAAAAAAAATGGATTTGGTCTTTATCAAACTATATATGTTGTTTCTGCAAGAATATATGGAGACAATTGAAACAGTTTCTTTAGTTTCAATCCCGTGCTAAACTAAGGAACTTTTCTAACTGCTGCTTAGCTGGTTGTATCTCCTCTCCACTGGCCTTTCTTTAACCCCAACCTCAATGGGGACTCCTGGCTTCCTAATGTCCATTTGCTGCACCTGTGCTCTGACCTCGTGACAAAATGATTTAAGTCATTTGGTTTTCTCACAGAAACAATGTTACACTGGACATGATGACTCACTTTTCATGGGTGTGACCCCAAAGAAAATATTAAATCAATTAATCATATTATAACCAATATATTATATATTTTAAAAACTATATGAGGTAATAAGGAGAATCGTGGGAACTCATCAACATATTTATATGTAATATGAGGTAATAAAAACCAAAATTTTGAGGCTTTGAAATCTCTGCCTCATTTTTAACTGTCACAAGTTCCGCTGTCATGAAATAGAGCTTCTTTGTGACGGTTTTATGGACATTTGAACAGCCTTCTGATGAAATCTTGAATTTCTTGATGGCTATGGAATAAACTGATATAAGATTGGCTTATTAGACATTTTGCTCACTATGAATTTATTTAGAGAAGGTAAACACAAAAAGAGCTACAATTGATTGTTATTAATAAGAATGGTACTGTGATGATTTTACAGCTGAGGAAACTGAGGTATCAACAGGTGAGGTTCCTTGCCTGAGGCCACACAGCTAGTAAATAGTAGAGCCAAGATTTCATCCCAGGCCGTGTGAAATCAAGGACTCGGAGGAATACAGGATGTATGAAATGCAATGATAGACAATGAGATCAGAACATTAGATTGGAGCCACTTTATAATGTACACAGTTGCGTTATCATTTTTCTCTAAGGCAGGGTCAGGCTGGGGTCAAACCTACTTGCTTTATCTTATAAGGTATGCATCCCTTTCTTCATGGTTCCATCAATTGTCTCCTAGCATCCCACTTTGCATCATTTGCACGCAATATAATTCATTTATAATATCAAAATAAATAGTTGAGGCCGGACATGGTGGCTCATGCCTGTAATCCCAGCACTTTGGGAGGCTGAGGAGGATGGATTATTTGAGGAGAAGAGTTCAAGACCAGCCTGGCCACCATGGTGAAACCCTGTCTCTATTAAAATTCAAAAATTAGCTGGACGTGGTGATGGGCGCCTGTAATTGCAGCTACTCAGGAGGCTGAGACAGGAGAACTGCTTGAACCCGGGAAGTGGAGGTTGCAGTGAGCTAAGATCGCGCCACTGCGTTCCAGCCTGGGTGACAGAGTGAGACCTTCTCAAAAATAAATAAATAATAGTAGAGATGATACTACCCACATATTTGACATAAGAAATCGCTTGATAGTAGTTTTTGAATTTGTATTTTGTAAGCACTTTATTGCCTTTCAAAACATATAAAATATAATCATTGGCATTATGGGGAAAAAAGTAAGAGAGTGAGTTCTCACCAAGCCAAACCCTCTTTCCTTGCACTAACTCTATGCGTTCTTCTAAACTCCTATACAACAGTGTCCTGTGTTTTCAGATTCATCTGGGAAAAATGTATTGCCAGCATGGAGTTGATAAGTCTGTAGACCACCAAAATACATATTTCAGAATTTCTGCATTTTTTATCCCCAAATTCTCATTTACCTTGGGGTTCATCTAGAGCAATCATAAAAATAGCCACCAGTTTTGAGTCTCATTAAAATTCCTAATCTCCAGATGTTATCAGTATAGACAATTTTAGAAACATAATAAAGCTTCCTTTTTCAACTAACTTATAAAAGCAAAATAGAAAATAGCTTTTCTAAAATTAGGCATGTCTTTGGAGGGCTGCTGTTCTTTCCCAGATGAGTGCGTGTTTAGTTCTCACTTTTTACTTATAGTTATTTGCATCCTAACAGTTTGTGGTTTAACATAAAAATAATTACATTAGCACCTTTCATCCTTAAGGGCTGGTATAAAGTTATATGTCTTATGATACCACCAGAAGGCTTTAGTGCGAGAGTACCACATGCTGACCATCTGTGAGGCGGGAGAAATATTGTCTAGGGAGACCAAATCACCCTCCTTTTTCTTGAAAATAATATATTAACCTCCTTATATACAGATGTTACATTTTCTCCATTTTACAAAGCTTAGCTTTATAGGATTCTCAAATACATTGAAGGAAACAATTTCCTTATAAAATTTTACTTATATCTAAATTTCCAGAAAATAAATTTTATGTTTGATGCTTCCTTTTCCTAACAGACCATGGAAACATCAAGGGAGGCGTGTATCACTGATGTGTACCCTCTGTACCGTGTTCAAAGCAGTTGCACAAAGAGTAATGCGTTTGGAATGGGAAGCCTGTTGGTAGCCAGCGATGCTGCCACATTCAAGTGGGCATCCCCGCCCCCAATTACCTGGCCTCTCAACTAAGCACAGGGCTTTCTCTCTCTTTTAGAGGTGACTTTCTAGAAGATTATTGGCAAATTGGAAAACAAAAGTCCTAATTGTCACATCATTTGTTAGGATGTGAAAATTTAGGGGAAAAAAGGAAAGAAAAAAAAGGACCCAAAGTAATGTAAAGCTTGGTAGATTATTTTATCCCTTAATTTAGGCAGGCTAAAAATACATTGTGGTAGTTATGAACTCTTGTTAAGGCTTGACACAATATCTGGAGTATGTGTCTAAATGTAAATATCACCTTTTAAAAAAATTTAGCTTCTTAAAGTTAGTAATTAAGGATATGTCACAGATTTTTCAACAAATGTTATTTGATGATAGTGACATACAAGGCTAAGAAGAGATGCTATAACTTAGAATAGGTAGGTGCTAGTAAAAGTGTAGTATGACTCCATAGCTAGGCTGTTAAGTATATTGTCAAAGAATTCTGAAACTTCTGTGTGAGCCAATATCCCAAGCACAGGTGGATCAAATACCAGGACATCTGTTTTCTAAATCTGGCGTTAATCCTGTCTTTTTAAGATCACTGGAGGAAATTCTTAAATCATTGTAAATTTATGACTGTAGTTTTTCCCTATTATTCATATACAACACTCCCAGGGTATCTCAGCTATGTTGACAAAAATGCATAGCATGCATAGCAAATGAGACCAGAAACCTGGAGATTTCTTTTCCCAGGATTAAATCTAGGAAACCAAGGAACTTAAATTGGGGAAGTTTAGGAATAGTTCATTAAATATAGGGGTCCCCCACTACATGGTCTCAGCTCTGTGTTTGGGCAAGAAGAAATGGCACTGAAAATATATGCTATAGGAATCCACTATGACCACCTACTCGGGAAGAATTCACAGGAAAGTTTCTTTGTGGAAGTTTAGTGTGATTATTGTCAGTAATTGCACTACACAGTTCTAGCCACATTCCAATGGCTTTAAGCAATTTGAGGTCTGAGATCTGTTGTATGTGTCTTTGTACTGACAACATCAATACAACATCAATACCAGCCCCCACCCACCATCTCCTAGTGCTTAGCATGTGGTAAATGATGATCAGTAAATGATGAGAAATGGAGACTGGAATCTATTCTATTCTCATGCAGTGTCTTTGTTGAGAGACCAAATTGTAGATAAAGAGTAATGAATTTTTAAGTGTGTATTAGGTTGGCAATTTGTCCACTCCCAGCTTATTCAATAAAATCATTCAAAACTATGTACCTTTTTTTTTTTTTTTAAATAGAAACTTAAGGAAACTGGGCACAGTCTCCTTCATATCAAATCTCATGTTCACAGTGCTTGTTTTACAAGCCATAGTTGTAGAGCTAATTGGACAATTAACTTGGGGGGAGCATACTTCCTAACCTTAGAATTAACAACAGTGGCAAACACATTAGAAAACTCCAAGGGTGAGTACAGTTGCAAAATAGGCCCTTGATGGTTATTTCAGAAACTCTGCACTGAGCACACATAGTGACTTGGAAGCACTTGTATAGCTTTCTGTTGCTTGAATAGTCCACTCAGATTTCAGACCCTGCTAGGAATCATCAACCAGCTCTGGGTAAAGGACTGAATCAGAATGGCTGGTCATCCATCACAAATCATAACAATTCCCAAGAAAATTAATTCCAGTCTTTCTTTAAAAAAAAAAAAAATCCTGGTGTATTTTGAATTATAGAATGAAATAAGGAAAATATTTATCTCCTTGGAAGGATACTGGGAGAAAATTAAAAAATTTACCTTTGTTGTTTTGTTCTTGTTTTGTTTTGTTTCGTTTTTTGTTTCCACCCACTGCATTGAAAAACATGCCTTTTCTCTGAGAATTAATGAGGCAATTAGCATTCATATTGCTTCTCAGGGCAAATCTATGTTTGTGGCCTGATAGGGTTTGGCTTATTGTCCCCATCCAAATCTCATGTAGAATTGTAATTTCTATAATCCCCATCAGTCAAGGAAAGGACCTGGTGGGAGGTAGTTGGATTGTGGGGGTGGTTTCTCCTGTGATGTTCTCCTGTTGGTGAGTTCTCGTGAGATCTGATGGTTTGATAAGGGGGTTCCTTCTTTGCTCTCTCTCACCTGCCACCATGTAAGACATGCCTGCTTCCTTTTCTGCCATGATTGTAAGTTTCCTGAGGCCTCCCCAGTCATGTGGAACTGTGAGTCAATTAAACCTCTTTCCTTTACAAATTACCCAGTCTTAGGTAGTATTTTCACAGCAGTGTGAACACGGACTAATACATGACTGTAATGAAAATGGAATGTGGCTTTTAAGCTAAAATAGCCAGTCAAAGAATTTTTTATATTCCTTTTCTCCCCTTGCATGCTAGTCCGAATGCCATTTTTTATAATGCCTCAGTTTTCCGATCTATGAAATGGGTATATATTGGTTTTCTGTTGCGTAACAAATTACCACAAATTTAGCAGCTTAAATCAATACTCATTTATTGGCTTACAGTTCTATAGGTCAGAAATCCAGGGATGGCATGACTGGGCTCTCCACTCAGATCTCCCAAAGATGAAGGTGTTAACTACGGCTGTGAAGTCATCTGAGGCTGGGGCTGTCTTCCAAGTTCATATGGTTGTGGAAGATTTCAGTTCCTCATGGTTGTAGAGCTGAACTTGTACTTCTGTTTCTTTGCTGGTTGTCAGCCAGGGGCCATTCTCAACATTCAGAGGCCACCCAGGCACCTCACTCCATGATCCCTCCACATGTTTTTTGTTTTGTTTTGTTTTGTTTTGTTTTGTTTTGTTTTGAGATAGTCTCACTCTGTTGCCCAGGCTGGAGTGCAGTGGCTCAATCTCGGCTCACTGCAAGCTCCGCCTCCCGGGTTCAGGCCATTCTCCTGCCCCAGCCTCTCGAGTAGCTGGGACTACAGGCACCCGCCACCATGCCTGGCTAATTTTTTGTATTTTTAGTAGAGCTGGGGTTTCACCGTATCAGCCAGGATGGTCTTGATCTCCTGACCTCATGATCTGCCCGCCTCCCAGAGTGCTGGGATTACAGGCGTGAGCCACCGTACTCGGCTGACCCCTCTACATCTTTAAAGCCAGCTGTGGAGAGTCTCCCTCCTGTCAAATCCCTCTCATGCTTCAAATCCACTTTGCCAAGGAGAGCCTAGATCTTTTTAAGAGCTCTCCTGATTAGCTTAGGCCCACTGAGAATAATCTCCCTTTCTTCAAGTCAGCTGATTTGGGACTTTAATTACATCTGCAAAATCCCTTCACAGTAGCACCTAGATTTGTATTCAGTTGAATATCTGAGAACACGTGTATACCAGGGGGTGAGAATCTTGGGTGCTCTCCTAGAATTCTGCCTACTGGCTGGGCACAGTAATTCACACCTGTAATCCCAGCACTTTGGGAGGCTGAGGCAGATGAATAGCTTGAGCTCAGGAATTTGAGACCAGCCTGGGCAACATGGCAAGACCCTCTCTCTACTAGCTGGGCATGGTGGTGTGCACCTGTGGTCCCAGCTACTGAGAAGGCTGAGGTGGGAGAATTCCTTGAACTTAGGAGGCAGAGGTTGCAGTGAGCTGAGATTGTGCCACTGCACTCTAGCCTGGGTGACAGAGCGAGACCCTGTCTCAAAAACAAACAAAACAAACAAACAAAAAAAAAACAAAACTACCTACTACAGGATAACAGTAATACCTTAGCGTATTATTAAATGGATAGAGACATGTGTAAAGCACTTAGCATGCTCAACAAATGGGATCTAGTATTAATGTCTCTCTCTACTATATTTTCCTGCCTGCATGGATTTTTAAATTATAGTGTTACAAGCACACTAGAAACATGAGAGACTATGTTGCTCATTATTTAGATACTCCCCAGAAAGCAGAGATACTAGGGCCACAGTGAACAAACTCACAGAACCCAATGTTTAGACTATTTGCTGAAAGTTGATGAATTAATTCAGATTATTTAAAAACTATAGTTAAAAGAGACCAGGATATCACTAATGTTGGTACTCTAAACCCATCTATAATGTGGCATAAAATGAAGTACGTATGGGTCTCTGCACTGAACTTTTTTTTTCCTTTAACAAGAGAAATGCATCACTGAATCCATGCCTTAAACACCAACATTTTTCAGAAAGAATTGTTTTGTTTCTACTCATGCTCTGAATGTAAAATGAATACTTCAAATGCTCCATTCATGCAAAGGCCTTTATGTCCCCTTTCTCCCTGTAATAGTTCCAATCTAGAATAGGCAACATTATGCAATTTGGTGACCCTGCTGCAACAATGGAAATGCTTCTCACAGGCTGTGGGAAGAAAGACACCTAAGGGGTTAACAGTAATATTTTGCAAATTGAGGCAAGTGAAGGAAAAAATACATTAGCATAAGAAAAGATAGCCGTAGGGAATTTTCCACTCAAATGTTTGATACTAAGAGCCCTATGTTACCAAGGAGGAGGCTATAGAAGAAAACCCTTAGTGTCTATGCATTCTCAAATTACATTGCCATTGTATTCGTTCTATGGGTGAGAAAGACTCATAGTTATAGAGATGGAAAATTGTTCTTTCTAGAAGTAAGAAAAGTAAAAATTGGATATACTAAGAAAACCATCTTGGATTATTGCAAGAAAGCAAGAGGATTCCTCAGGAACAGTCCCCAAAAGACTTCCTAAATGTGTCAGGACTAGACTAGAGATTAAAAGTGAAAGTCTTAAGCAATGATTTTAATTTTTAACTAGAATGTGCCCCAAATGTCTGCAATTAATTTAACTCAAATTTAACAGTTTTTACTCATTTTAGAAATTGTGTAACTCACGATATGTGAATGTAGTTAGCAGGTATTTCCCTTTTGTTAATAAACAGACTTATTTGAAGATTGATCTGTAGGAAATATCCAAATTGGAGTTGTAATTATTTTTGTTGAAAACATTTAAAATAAGTGTAAAAGGTTCTCACTGATTTAAGATAGAAAATATAATTGTTACCCATTTCAATGAAGATATTGGTTTTGAAATCAATCTTTACTCTTAGGAATGATTGGCCAGTAAAAAAAAAATAATTTATCTGAGTCTGAATTTTATTAGGTTTAACACTACAGTAAACATAGATGTCCAAATAAATCATGATGCATTTCATTAATAAATTAAGATAGAGAAGGACCAGCTTATTTTAGATAACAAATTGTTTATAGGGACTGATATCTATAGGAGGAATGGAAAAAAGATGTGTTATTATGTTTCTGAGAAAGGTCTTCCCCAATTAAGAAGATGCAATTTTGGATTATTAAAGATAAGAATAGCATAAAACTAAAGATCATCCAAGTCCTGCAAAATTTGTCCAGAAGCTGATAATAAAATTCAATGGATAAGCTGATAATAAAATTCAATGGAATTCAAATTCAATTTTCAGGGGATCATGTCAGAATCAATTGAGAAAAAAAGCTGTCCCATGATCTTTCTATTATATGCAGATTATGTTCAAAGTTTCTATGGAATAGTGACCTTGTTTATTTTGTGCCTGCCTTTGTTCAATTTATGTGTGAACATTGAAGAGATTAAGGTTTCAGGTCTTTATCCCTGAGAAGATGACACAAATAAATGAATTTGCCTTCTCAAGCACAAAGAACTCTATGGTAGTCAATAAGGAAAGTCATTCTGAACTGAAGCTTCAGGGAAAAGGAAGAGGAGAGAAGAGAATTTAAAAAGTACTAAGTAACATCATTCCTTTAATGTTGAAATTTTTATAATAGGATTTTGCCACTTTTTGAGATGTTATGAATAGCGCATCCCATACTAATGTAAGTAAAAAATGCATCCACAAATGAAGTGAAATACTTTTTGATAATTTATGTCATGGCTTCTCAATCCTAGTATAGAAATTTGAGAAATGGTTATAGACCAATACGCTTTTCAATATAAATTTGACACTTTTATTCCCCATGCTTATTTACAAGATGTGCCATCCATCTGACAGTTCCTAGAGAAGAGGAGTCAGTATATAGCAGTCATTCATTCAGTAATAACAGATCATTTCAATGCACATGGGAGGGGGTGGGTGGGAATTACTTTTTAATCTAAGAACCACTCAAAGCCACCAAATATGTTATCAATACTCTGAATTATGCCTTCTGAAAGGAGTTTTCAAATCTACACTTTACCACAGTCTGTCTATAATCCAGCTCTTTCCTACGTTATTACGACCACATTTTTTTGATTCTGTAAGGAGAAAGTAAAGTGAAAAGAGGTAACCTGTTTGAGTCTAATGACAGTAGTTTAGAATGCTCGCTTATTTAGACATAGAATCATAAAGCTGGAAAGCAACTTAGTGATGACGCATCACACTCTTCTTCCTACCCAGCACCCTCCTTTCAAAGAGGGAAAGTAAAGCGCATAGGGTCTTGTTTATTTTACTTCTTGTACTTTTTTCCTCTCTGTTCAGGAATCAAAAGCCTGTCTTCTTCTCTGATCTTCTTTTAACTGAATTTAGCATTTTCTATTTCATTTCCCAACCTGACTTCCTTTTTTGACTAGAAATATGGATACTTAGACCGGCCACCTCTTTACTTTGGAATTATGGTACATTAATTTTCTTCCTTTTACAGTATGAAGAACTAAGTCAAGCTTCTCTTGATTCAATAACCCACAGATATCAAAACCCATGGTAAGCAAATATGAATATATTTTTATTAATTACTGTGTTTCTTTCCTAAATTGGTAACAGGATTCATTTTTGTAAACTTTTAAGTATATTAACACTTTCTTTTTATTTCATGTAGGTTTTTGATAAATTTACGAATTTTTATTTCTAATAAACACAGTAAATATGCACTATCTGCTAAATTTTAATTAAGGGGAGAAAAGGAATAACGCAACATAGTTAGAATGAGAAACTGTTAGACTATAGTAAAGAAAAGGAGAAGCAAGCCTGAAGCTATGAAGAATGGCAACTGGATTAGTAGATTAGCTTTAACTTTATAAATAATTATCTCTGTGGAAGAAACAATATTAATTTTTTTCAGATTAAAAAACTCATTTCATGCTGTTGGCCTGGAAACCATCATAATGGGTAATCTTGGTTAATAAACATAATCTTACTAAAGTCACATAATGGCTTCAATTCAAATTATCTTATGGCAGCTTCTGACCCAAATGAAACATGGGTAGCTCACAGCATGTTAAATTACAGGAAACAAGCAAAAGCTGACTTGTCATCTAGGTATAACATATGATTCAGATTCCTAAGAGGGAAAAGATCAATCAGCATTGCTCTTACAAGACTCCAGATTGAATACTGTCTTTGTTATCATAGGTTTTTGAAGGTGAGGATTTCTGGGGCTTATTTTACTTCACTTTTAATTGTTGAAGGATTTAGCTATTAGCATATGCAAAATCACTGGATTTTATTAGCCCTGAGGTGGCTATACTATACCAACATAAACTGCATCAAATAGAGAAAAGACTTCAAACCCCATGTCAAAAGCCTATTATTTCAGAACAAAAAAAATACCTTAGTGGGCAATTCCTATAACTTATTAAACACGTACCATATTTAAAGCCACAAAGAAACAGATATACTTTAAAGCATGAATAACACATATTCTCATTAAAATATTCTACTTCATTTGTTTAGATAGCATTGCAGGCATCCACTGCAATTACTTTATCAAATATTTCCAAGCAAAGAAAAACATTAAAGACCACTGAAAATCAATAAAACTTCAACAAGCATTGGTGGTAAAAGCATGAAAATGTGCTGCATTTATTTAAACATTAAAAACTTGTTGGAGGGTATCTGAGAAACACTGAAGCCCTGGGCATGTTCTTTGAATGAAAGAATGTTGGCTATATTCATTTCTAGGGAATATGCTGTGGGTTGAACTGAGTCATGAGGATGTAGAATAGTTATGAAAGAGACCTTGTATTTAGGAGATTGCAGATTCAACTAGGAAACTGGGTGTATATGTGAAGAAAAATAACAAAATTACTTTGCAAACACTGAGAGCCAAATTAATAATGAAGATAATATTTAGAAAATTATAGCTAGAATTTTTGTTTAATTAAATGTATTGACAACCTCCTGGACTCATCTATAACTCCTGGCTTGGGTCCTATTTAACTAGTCAGACACCAATAACCTGAATACTCTTTCCTTTGTGAGACTATAAGCACCTACCCTGTTTCAAAGCCCTTGTTAGCAGGGTACTTTTGAATAGGGCCCTGACTCAGTTTCAGGTGTGCCCCACCCCTTTGCATTCTCTAAGGTGGCCTGAGAGCCATCTTTTTCCTGGGCAAAGGTTAGTGCTGAGTCTCCCAACCAGTTTTCATGTTCTGTTCTTTTCAGTCAATAGCATTCACTCAATATGTTCAGCATCTCCTGGGTTCAAAGCACTGTTAGATTCTGTGGCCATCATGGTGAACCAGCCAGCCTCAGTATATGCCCTTCTTGGAACTTGTATTCTAGGGGAGGAGGCAGACATTGAAGCAACAACATGGCTTTTAAAAAATAATGTATTGGCTGGACACAGTGGCTCATGCCTGTAATCCCAGCACTTTGGGAGGCCCAGCAAGGCAGGAGGATCAATTGAGGTCAGGAGTTTGAGTCTAGCCTTTGCAACATGACGAAACCCCATCTCTACAAATAATAAAAAACTAACAGGACATGGTGGCTGTGCCTGTCTCCGCTATTCAGGAGCCTGAGGTGGGAGGATGGCTTAAGCCCAGGAGTTCAAGGCCAGCCTGGGCAACATAGAATCCCCATCTCTACAAGAAAAATTTTAAAAATTAGTCAGGAGTGGTGGTACACACATGTGGTCCCAGCTACTGAGGGGGCTGAGGTGAGGTGGGGGAGGAACACTTGAGCCCGGGAGGTCGAGGCTGCAGTGAGCCTTGATCATGCCAGTACACTCCAGCCTCAGCAACAGAGCCCCTTCTCCAAAAATAAAAAATAAATAACAACAGACCATACTGTTTCTCAAAAGCAAATGTTTTAAATTACAAATATAATTCATGCTTATGGCAACAAATCAAACAACATAGAGGTATATTGAGAAAAAGTTAACATCTGACCCGAATCCATCCGGTTTCTGATAAAATAGTTCATTATAAAAGAATATTTATGGGATGTAAAGAGAAGGTTTTCCCAGGGCACCCACCTGGACTGAGGGTCAGATAAGTGTTTACTGAGAGAAGTGATTATTAAGCTGATGTTGACAAGATAGGTGAGGACGGGCACAGTGGCTCACGCCTGTAATCCCAGAATTTTGGGAGGCCAAGGTGGGTGATCACTTGAGGTCAAGAGTTCAAGACCAGCCTGGCAACATGGTGAAACCCTGTCTGTACTAATAATACAAAAACTAGCCAGGCGTAGTAGTGGGTGCCTGTAATCCCAGCTACTTGGGAGGCTGAGGCAAGAGAATCACTTGAACCCAGGAGATGGAGGTTGCAGTGAGCTGAGATGGTATCACTGTACTCCAGCCTGGGCGACAGAGAAACTGTGTCTCAAAAAAAGAAAAAAGGTAGGTGAGTACAAGATCATTCCTGGCAGAGAGAAAAGCATGAGCCAGGCCCTGAGGTGGGAAAGAGTACATCAAATTACAACCTGTGCTGCCAGACTGTATAGAAAGCAATGGGGAGAGTAGTGAGATGAGGATCAGATTTTGTAGAAACTTGTGACCTGGGTTAGAGAATTTGGATTTTAATAAATATAAGAACAAAGAAAATTCATTAGAAGATTTAAAATAGAAAGCAATCTGATCTTAACCTGTTTTGTTAAGATCATTCTGGAATGTTGGAATGTTATATGGAGAAGGGATTGGAAGGTGACAAGAACAGCTATAGAAAGATCAGCCAGGGCCAGGCTTGGTGGCTCACACCTGTAATCTCAGTTACTGGGGAGACTGAGGCAGGAGAATCACTTGAACCCGGGAGGTGGAGGTTGCAGTGAGCCGAGATCACACCACTGTACTCCAGCCTGGGCAATAGAGCGAGACTCCATCTCAAGAAAAAAATAAATAAATAAAAAAGAAACATCAGCCAGGAGACGATTTCATTTTTACAGGCCCATCTTGAGTTTTCAGTGGGCTTTGCAAACAAGCCAAAACAAATGTAATTATGGAGAGCTGGGGCCAGGGGAAAGGTTCAGTTGAGCTTTTAAAGAAAGGTGGGCTTTAAGTAAATGGAGAAAAGAAGAGACCATATTTGTTATAATGATGGGGAAGTAAAGCATGTGTATACAGCAATCTGATGAAGCAGATTTAACAATATCTTAATTTTAGGTGAAGAGATCGAATGTCAGAGATTGTCACATGACCAGGGTCACAGAGCTCACATCCTATTGATCGGGGTTTGGATCTGGACTTGGATATTTTATTTATTTATCTTTTTTGAGACAGAGTTTTGCTCTGTTGCCGAGGCTGGAGTGCAACGGCGCGATCTCCGCTCGCTGCAGCCTCTGCCTCCCAGATTCAAGCCATTCTCCTGCCTCAACCTCCCAAGTAGCTGGGACTACAGGCATGCACCATCATGCCCAGCTAATTTTTGTATTTTCAGTAGAGACAGGGTTTCACCATATTGGCCAGGCTGGTCTCAAACTCCTGGCCTCGTGATCCACCCACGCGGCCTCCCAAAGTGCTGGGATTACAGGCGTGAGCCACCGCACCCAGCTAGGGCTTGGACATTTTAAAAGGGCCCTACAAATGATTGTGATGTATCGCCAGGGCTGAGAGCCGCTAGTGACAACTGAGAAATGAAAGGGACTGAGCCTTGTGGGATGCCCACATTGAGGGCAAGATAAATGGGAGCCACTGAAGAAGAAAAGGAGCCTTAGAGGTCAATTCCTATAGAAGGCTATAGCAGCCGGTGAAGAATTTTGAGAGGAAGAGTTTAATGCAAGGAAACAAAGAAATCAAGGAAAACACAGCAGACAAATGTTTAGAGGTGATCAGTGGCCTCAGAAAAAGCAGTATAGGAAAAGTAGGATGCTTTGAGTCAGTGTCACTAGTGCTGAGAAATGTTTGTCTACTGACATAATGCAGGCAAGAGTCCACTCTATGACATGAGAAATTCAGTTAGAGCACAATTACCGGACTTCTTCCATTCGAAGGCATATTTTTTACATTTTAATATTCTTGAAATCAGGATGCATTTTATATAGTTGTTTATAAATACCATGTTCAAATGCAGTGCCTTTTTTTTGGCCTCCAGTGTAAAACTATTAAACTAATGGCCGCATGCAGTGGCTCAGGCCAGGCATAGTGGCTCACACCTGTAATCCCAGCATTTTGGGAGGCCAAGGCAGGCAGATCACCTGAGGTCAGGAGTTTGAGACTAGCCTGGCCAAAGTAGTGAAATCCCATCTCTAATAAAAACACAAAAATTAGCCAGGCGTCTTTGTGCATGCCTGCGATCCCAGGTACTCCAGGAGGCTGAGGCAGAAGAATCACTTGAACCCCGGAGGTGGAGGTTGCAGTGAGCTGAGATCATGGAACTGCACTCCAGCCTGGGTGACAGAGTGAGACTCTGTCTCAAAAAAACAAAACAAAAAAAATTAATGGTGTGTTATACAATTAATTGTATCTTAAAGACTGATAAAGATGTAGGTTAGCAAATTGATGACTTGCTATGTGCTAAGCGCTCAGAATCTAAAAATTTGTACACAGAGTCCTTACTCTTAGGTTGCTCACAGAATTTTCAAGGCAGATAGATGTAACAGATGATTTCAGCACAAGATTCACTGATGGAGAGACAGTGCAGTTATTGGGTGTAGGTTAACTCATTTTTGTTGTGTGAGTGTGTGTGTGTGTATTTTAAATCTTTAATCTATTTTGATTTTTTAAAAATGTATAAATTAAAGGAAATGTACTCTTGTTTTAAGTATCTCAAGTTTCTCTAGATATGTGACCTGATGATTTGTTTTCATATGATCTCTTCTGTTTGCAATTGGGTGTTTCCTTATGTATACCTACAGTATTTCTAATTTCAACAAGCAGAATAAAAAGCATAGATAGGAAATAGAGGAATGGTTTACAGTCCAATTAAGAGAGGTCGTAAGAGAATGTATTAGCAAACAACGAATTGGCAGGGCTTTTGTTTTTTCTCTAAGAGGTGAATGGATTCTGCAGGAGCTACTCACCATTACTGAAGAGCCCACCCTATCTTCTAGGCCTTTAATAAATAATATGAAGGCTAACTTCAGAAATGCCTGTTTTTATTTTCTAATGAGAGCTAACTTTCTGTGATAATCTTTTGTTCTAGATGTTTCTGAGTCATTGAACTCGAGAAAAACTATTTCCAGGGATAGGACTTCTTTAGCTCTTTGGAATACAACTTCTTATTTTGGTAGTTGTAATTATTGTGTTATTAAACAGCTGGGCATGAGATTGATCTCAAAGTCAGTGGGTTTCTCTAAAGCTACATTGATTTAAAGGCAAACAAGTTTGGAAAGGGACAGTGTTCTTGTAGTTCCTTTGTATTAGTCCGTTTTCACACTGCTGATAAAGACATACTTGAGGCTGGGAAGAAAAAGATGTTTAATTGGACTTACAGTTCCACATGACTGGGGAGGCCTCAGAATCATGGTGGGAGGAGGAGAAGGCACTTCTTACCTGGTACCAGCAAGAGAAAATGAGGAAGATGAAAAAGTGGAAACCCCTGATAAAACCATCAGATCTTGTAAGACTTATTCACTACCACGAGAACAGTATAGGGGAAACTGCCCCCATGATTCAAATGATCTCCCACCAGGCCCCACCCACAACACATGGGAATTATGGGAGTACAATTCAAGATGAGATTTGGGTGGGGACACAGAGCCAAACCATATCATTCTGCCCCTGGCCCCTCCAAATCTCATGTCTTCACATTTCAAAACCAATCATGCCTTCCTAACAGTTCCCCAAAGTCTTAACTCATTTCATCATTACCCAAAAGTCCATAGTCCAAAGTTTCCTCTGCGACAAGGCAAGTCCCTTCTGCCTATGAGCCTGTAAAATCAAAAGCAAGCTAGTTACTTCCTCAATACAATGTGAGTACAGGTAATGGGTAAATACAGCTGTTCAAATGGGAGAAATTGGCCAAAACGAAGAGGTTACAGGGCCCATGCAAGTCCAAAATCCAGTGGAGCGGTCAAATTATAAAGCTCCAAATTTGATCTCCTTTGACTCCAGGTCTTACATCCAGGTCATGCTGATGATGTAGGAGGTAGGTTCCCATGGTCTTGGGTAGCTCCACCCCTGTGGCTTTGCAGGGTACAGTCTCCCTCCCAGCTGCTTTCCAGGCTGGCATTGAGTGTCTGTGGCTTTTCCAGGCAAATGGTGCAAGCTGTCAGTGGATTTACCATTCTGGGGTCTGGAGGACAGTTGCCCTCTCCTCACAGCTCCACTAGGCAGTGCCCCAGTAGGGACTCTGTGGGGGCTCTGGCCCCACATTTCCCTTTCACACTGCTCCAATAGAGTTTCTCCATGAGCACCCCACCCCTGCAGAAAACTTCTGCCTGGGAGTTTCCATGTATCTTCTGAAACCTAGGCAGAGGTTCTCAAACCCTAATTCTTGACTTATGTGTACTCGCAGGCTCAACACCACGTGGAAGCTGCCAAGGCTTGGGGCTTGCACCTTCTGAAGCCATGGCCCAAGCTCTATGTTGGCCCCTTTCAGCCATGGCTGGAACAGCTGGGACACAGAGCATCAAGTCCCTAGGCTGCACACAGCACAGGGACCCTGGGCCCAGCCCATTAAACCATTTTCTCCTAAGTCTCTGGGCCTGTGATGGGAGGGGCTGTCATGAAGACCTCTGATATGCCCTGGAGACATTTTCCCTGTTGTTTTGGGGATTAACATTCTGTTCCTCATTACTTATGCAAATTTCTGCTGCCAGCTTGAATTTCATGTCAGAAAATGGGTTTTTCTTTTCTATCACATTGTCAGGCTGCAAATTTTCTGAACTTTTATGCTCAGTTTCCCTTATAAAACTGAATACCTTTAGCAGCACCCAAGATGCTGCTAAATTTCACCCAAGATGCTTAGAAATTTCTTCCACCAGATACGCTAAATCATCTCTCTCAAGTTCAAAGATCCACAAATCTCTAGGGCAGGGGCAAAATGCCACCAGTCTCTTTGCTAAAACCTAACAAGAGTCATCTTTGCTCCAGTTCCCAACAAGTTCCTCATATCCATCTGAGACCACCTCAGCCTGGACCTTATTGTCCATGTTGCTATCAGGTTTCTGGTCAAAGCCATTCGACAAGTCTCTAGGAAGTTCCAAACTTTCTCACATTTTCCTGTCTTCTTCTGAGGCCTCCAAACTGTTCCAACCTCTGCCTGTTACCCAGTTTCGAAGTTGCTTCCACATTTTAGGGTATCTTTTCAGTAACACCCCACTCCTGGTACCAATTGACTGTATTAGTCCATTTTCATGCTGCTGATAAAGACACACTTGAGACTGGGAAGAAAAAGAGGTTTAATTGGACTTAGTTCCACATGGCTGGGGAAGTCTCCTTATATGGTGGTGGCAAGAGAAAATGAGGAAGATGCAGAAGTGGAAACCCCCAATAAAACCATATCTTGTGAGACTTGACTACCACAAGGACAATATGGGGAAAACCACCCCCATGATTCAAATAATCTCCCACTGGTCCTTCCCACAACATGTGGGAATTATGGGAGTACAATTCAAAATGAGATTTGGGTGGGGACACAGCCAAACCATATCATCTTTCTACTCATGATTTCACAGAATTTTTTTCAAGTCATGTTCTTTTCAAATAACAAGCAAGGAGTACTGATTCATTGGTAAATTTTACTTCCTTTCACAGTGTGTTAATTTTCCTTACCTCAGAGACAGTGGATCAGCAAACATGAAATACCTAAATACAAATCCTTAAAGTTAAAATACCAACCAGCAATCCCAGATTACCCCAGAAATACAAATAATGTGTTTGTGTGCTGTACAAAGTAAATAGATTCTGGATTTCCCTGTCATTTTACAAGCCAGAAAGAGGAATTTAGACAAAGTGATTTTGGAAAGTCTAGCCTAAGCCTTTTCCCCTTTTTCTTCACCTCACATCTGTAGTGAGAATGTATGGAAAACTACTCAAGGTTCTGAAATCACTGAGCAATCTGAACTTTCATCCATCCCTGACATATTTCAGCTAGTCACCTAGTTAGGGAAAGCATTTCACAGCAATAGGAACTCACACATGGGAACTTGGCTCCTCAACACCATTTGCCACTAATCTGACATTCTCTGCAGGTTTAGCTCCTCAAAACTTTCCTATTCTTTTCTGTATGCATTTGTGTGTGCGTGTGTGTGTCCTCTTTGTTCTACTTGGGATAACTTAAATTTTCTCACAAAGCACTCTCCTGCATCTATTTCTTTGACTTAGTCGTAAAATGGGGGAATTTAACATTCATTCTTCATTCGATCAATCTGTGTACTGCTTAATGAGGAGCTGCATATAGAAAGGTGGTCCCATAAGGTTACAATACTATATTGTTTACCTTTTCTATGTTTGGGTATGTCTAGATACACAAATACTTACCATTGTGTTACAATTGTCTACAATATTCAGTACAGTAACATGCTGTACAGGTGTGTAGCTTAGGAGCAATAGGTTATACCAAATAGCCTAGGTGTGTCGTGGGCTATGCCATCCAGGTTTGTGTAAGTACACTCTATGATGTGCACACAGTGATGAAATTGCCTACTGGCACGTTTCTCAGGACATGTCCCGTTAAGTGATGTGTGACTACATTTAGTACTCACGTACTAGGTGGTAGGCACTACAGCAAAGCATTTAGGAAACAAAGATAAATAAAAGTCTGGCACCTACCATCAAGAAGCTTATAACAGGGAAAATAAAAATAAGA
The DNA here is from genome assembly GCF_000001405.40 of Homo sapiens. Lineage (NCBI taxonomy): Eukaryota > Metazoa > Chordata > Mammalia > Primates > Hominidae > Homo > Homo sapiens. The sequence continues at coordinate 158,951,085 of NC_000004.12, read as the reverse complement.
TATAAAACTGGCAGTTTAACCTGACAGGATACGGTAGAATGGGAAGCAGTGTGCTGTGGCTGCTCACAGTAGGAAACATCTCTAGCTCACTGGAAGCCCCCAAAACATAAGCTTGAACATGTTTTCTCCTTTGTGAACCCTTTAACATTCCCACAGACCCTCCCTTCAGCCTCCATTTTGCCTGCTTGTTTTTGAGATGGAGTCTCTCTCTGTTGCCCAGGCTGGAGTGCAATGGTGCAATCTTGGCTCACTGAAACCTCTGCCTCCAAGGTTCAAGCAATTCTGCCTCAGCCTCCTGAGTAGCTGGGATTACAGACACCTGCCACCACGACCGGCTAATTTTTGTGTTTTTAGTAGAGATGGAATTTCACCATGTTGGCCAGGCTGGTCTTGAGCTCCTGACCTCAGGTGATCCACCTGCCTCGGTCTCCCAAAGTGCTGGGATTACAGGTGTGAGCTACCACTCCTAGCCTCAGTCTCCATTTTGAAGACCGACTCAATTCCATTGCCGATTGGTCTTCCCCCCAAAATTGTGCAGCAGGCAGTGTTTTGCTTTTGCTTTCCCTTTCCCTTGCATTGAACATGGTGCTTGGCATAAATGGGCACTTGATACAATTTGCTGAATTGTGTATAAAAGACAAGTCCTGGTCTATATTGTATGCCTAACAGCTCAAATGGCTGTGGTTTAGGCTTGAGAAGCTGAATGAGTTCAAGTGATGAGGACTTCCTTAGAGGAAATTTAAGCCAGGTATAGAAGGAACATTTTAAGGAAACCTCTAGCTGCCTCCATGGGTGAATTTTTCAATATGTGCAAATGAAAGACTTGAGATTATTAAATCAGTGGAATTACAGTCAAACACCATTCTAGAAAGAAATGATGACATGCCTCTGATCTAATGTCACAATAAAGATGCCTCTTCACAAACTGGGGGTGCCTGATAAATTTGCCACTTACTTGCTGATTTATAGATTTGTCTTAAGGAACACTTACGGAACACTGCAAGTTCCTGTGGACTGTCATTGTTGGTAGATGGGGTTCGGGGTCAAGAGGCTGCAAATCCCAAGGTAAGGACAGCCAAAGTGGTTGTCAGCCATGACCAGAGAAACATGGGTTTTAAAGGACCAGAATTAACTACAACCTTCCCCAGTTTTTCATTTGCTTGAAAATCACAGAAACACAGCTCTTTTCAATATTGCCTCTCCTAGTCTTTTCTTTTGCTTTGTAATAGAAGCAAGATCATATATAACTGATCCGCTTTCTTGTGGTCTGTCTGCTCATAATCTTAGACTTCATTAATTAGCAGCCACATTCAACAGGCATGCAGCATGGCTGAGTTGAAAGAGCACAGAATTGAGAATCAAGAAAATTGGGTTCACTAGGAATTTATCCTTCCCAAGTAAGTAATAAAGGAGATGTACAAAGTTTTGCTGGAAGGAAGCCTAACAATATGTGAGCAGGAATAAAAAGTCAGAAATCACTTAATATCCCGCAAATAGGGAATTCTAATCAGTCATGAAGCACATGAAGTACAATGGCTTTAAAGACAGACTTCCTGAATTCAAGTCCCAGCTTCACCACCTCTTAGCTATGATACCTTGGACAAGTTATTTAAACTATGCCTCAGTTTTCTAATCTGTAAAATAACAGAATCTACTCCACTGGATTGTTGTATAGATAGTGTTGTTAAATATACAGACTTAGAACAGCATTTGGTACATAGGAAGGACTTAATAAATAGTATGACCATATAATTTATCACCCAAGACAGGACACTTTTGAAAGTGAAAGAGAAAGCTAATCAATGAGTCACCAGGACAATAGGATAAACTGAAACTATCCTGAACAAAGCAGGCCAGTCTATTAATAAATACTATGTATGAAACAAGTACAGCACACTGAAATAATGAAGCAAATATATCTATTAAAATTCATATTAGCTAAAAATGATCAGGATAAAGATTCAGTATGGTCTAGAAATTGTATACTATATAGGTGAGTTAATCCTTCAAAAGTAGAACAAAAAGTCTGAGATGAAAAAGAAGAGAAAAAATAAGAGATCAGTTAAAATGTATAATATCTAACAAAGGATTCAGAAAAAGGTCAGAGAAAACAGAAGGAAATAATACAAGAAAATTTATCAGAAGAGAATAATAAATTTCCAGAATGAAAGTTTCCATTAATGGTGGGGCACGGTGGCTCTTGCCTGTAATTCTAGAACTTTGGGAAGCCATGGCAGTTGAATTACTTGAGCCCAGGAGTTCAACACCAGCCTGGGAAACATGGTGAGATCCATCTCTACAAAAAATACAAAAATTAGCTGGGCATGGTGGCGCATAACTGTAGTCCCAGCTACTTGAGGTGGGAGGATCACTTCAGTTTGGGAGATCGAAGCTGCCATGAGTCAAACATCCCACTGCCCTCCAGCCTGGGTGACAGAGCAAGACTCTGTCTTAAAAAAAGTCTCATCAAATGTGAATTGAAAAAAAAAAAAAACAAACCACATACAGGCATGTGAAACTTCACAATATCAGAATGAAAAGACAACTCTAAAGCCTTCAAGAAGAAAATTAGGATATTTACAGAGGATCAGTAATCAATATGGTATCACACTTCTTGACACAATGCTGGACTCTAGAAGACACTGGGCCAATGACTTCCACAGTTGATAGAAGATGACTTTTAACCTAGAATTTTATACCCAACCAATGAGCAAGTAGGAAGGTAGAAAAAAAGAAAATTTCAGGCATCTATGTACTCAAAAAATGTACCTCCAAGCTTTTTTTCCCCCCAAGAGGCAGCTGAAGAATGTTATCTAGCAGGACAAGCAGGTAAAACAAAGAAAAAGGAGTCCAGTCCAGGAACCAAGGTACCCAACAAGGGTGACGGGCAAAGGGAATTCCTAAGACAGTGTTAAAGGACTAGGAATTTGGCTATGCAGGAGCCTAGGGAACTTTCAATTCAGACAGGAACAAGCAAAGTGGGGGCTCCAGAAGGAGCTTTATCGAGTATAAGTATTGGGTTAAATAGAGTACTAGAACCATATGGGCTAAAAGTGGTTGCTTTGGGGGAAGAGAACATTGGAGCAGGGAGAGAAGGGGATTAACATTTTAATAAGCATTTTAGTGTTATTTACATGTATTATCTACATGTATCTAAATTATTTCATTAAAATGGAGAAAAAGCACTCTATTATGTATATGTAAAAGTGTTCTATTTGGTAAAAATGAAAATTATTTTTTCTTAAATAATGATGAAAAAATTGATTTCCTTGTTTGACCTCTTTCTGGATATTTTATTAGTTAGATATTACACATTTTAATCTCTTATTTTCTTATTTCTTTCGTCTTTTCCATCTCTCGGACTTTTTGTTCTACTTTTGAAGGATTAACTCATCAATATAGTATAAAATTTCTTTACTGAATCTTTATACTGATCATTTTTAGCTAACAATATGAATTTTAATAGATATATTTGCTTCATTATTTCAGTGGCACTATCAACTTACTATGGGAGAAATGGCAATAGTCAACAGGAATGTTAGTAGTTAGGGCTCCTAAATTGAAAAACAAATTGCAATATAAAGCTAGGACTTTCCATGCCAAAGAAATATTCACTGACCTGAATAAACAGGGCTTTTTGTTTATTCAGAAAGGTGTAAGGTGTGCCTGTATTTTGTGTTAGTTGGGTGGTGTGTAGAAAATTGCCTGTTTTATTTCATAAGAAATACTGCCAAAACCAGTTGTTAAACTAGCACAGACTTAAGGTCAGCCACTATTTTAAACCATATTGGTACATAAATGCATGCTTTTTTTTTCTTGGAGTTGTTTTCCTCAAAACATCCATAAATCTGGACAGTTTTCTGTTTTTAAGACTGTCAGTGCCTGGCACGTTGGAGGGATTTCCATAAGCATTAAGTAGCAAAGTTCTGCGATTTTTTTGAGATAATTAGTGCCCATTCTTACTTTGGCCCCTTAGGTCTGTTCAGTAAAAACTGTCTTCCCACTTCCTTTCCCAAGCCTATTCCTCCCTCCCTCAGCTCTCCTTCAGCTGAGCAGTGGGGGAGTAGGGTTCTCAGGAAGCTGCTGCCGTAGTCAGGACAGTACAGAGCTCCTGTAGTTGTTACCCCTGTAGCCACAAAGATAGTTGGTGCTGATAGATTCATTCAATAAATAACCAAGTGCCAACTATGTACCAGGCACTGTGCTAGGCCTGGGATTCAGAAGTGAACAAGACAGACACAGTTCCTGCTTTCTTTACCTTCTATTGGGGAGATGGGATAGAAACAGCCTAATACATGATTGATCATTTAATTGCAATCATAGTAGGTGCCACAAGGGAGAAATGCAAGATGCATATCTGTCAGTCTTTGGTAAATGAATGATGTGTTAGTTCATTTTCACATGGCTATAAAGAATGACCTGAGATGGGGTAATTTATAAAGAAAGAGGTTTAATTGGTGCACAGTTCTGCATGGCTGGGGAGGCCTCAGGAAACTTACAATTGTGGCAGAAGGCGAAAGAGAAGCAAGGCATACCTTACATGGTGGCAGAAGGGGCAGGGGGGAGGTGCCAAACTTTTAAACCATCAGATCTCATGAAAACTCACTATCACAAGAATAGCATGGGGGAAACCGCCCCCATGATCCAATCACCTCCCACCGGGTCCCCCCCCCTGAAATGTGGGGATTACAATTTGGGATTCGATTTGGGTGGGGACACAGAGCCAAACTTTATCAAATGAATATTCTTCATCTCAGAATGCAGCACTGAGAGCAAACAGACGAGATGTCATTGGTCTTTGAAAAGCTACTGTTTTTGAAAGAAAAGCTAGCTCAAGAGACTGTACTGTGATTTTTAAGAAGAGAACTTACTAATCTATTACTTGATGCCAAGTTGGGGGAAAAATCAGTTCATTTCAGAATATGACCTTTTACAGTAAATTCTTCACATAAATTATGAAAGATACATCTCAAATATCTCACACACATCTAAAGTGTGTGAGAAAGAGGCACTATCAATTCACTGGTCTGTCATCTATAATTTCTTAGCATTTTGGAGAGACCTGTATCTCTTACAGCATGTTTCAGGAGACCAGGTTTACCGAGGGAACAGCTCCTGGACCTAACAAAATGATTTGTGGTGATGAAATCAAAGCATGGACTGCAAATTACAAGTAAACAGATGAGCTAAGATTTTAGGTCCAGGCAAAGTTCATGTACTGAACAGAAGACTACAGAAAAAAAAATAACAGACAAGTTATGTTATGAGTCTTATGTCCATCTTCCTGGTAGGGGTCACACTAGTTCAAAGATTTTGAATTTGGTAAAATTTCAGCTTTCAGTTGTGGGGAAGGTCTTATCTGCGGCATATAGCTTCTCATTGGTGTCATTATGTCTGTGGCTGGTGTGGTTTCCCAACTGTTCATCCGCCCAGCGATGAGGGACAGCCATGCGGCTCTATGTGATATTTGATGACTATAAACCATCAAGAGTCCTTGCAAGGGTGCTTTAAAATTATTAATAGAAAGAGAGTAGTTGTTCAGTATTTGTCTTTTTCTTGGAACTCACTGTATTCCAAATGGTCTCTTCCATGTTCGATGAAAAGGAAATGCCCTTTTCTGACTACTTTGGGTTAAAGTTTTCAATCAGACCATTCATTTATTCAGTCAGTAAATCAATAATTTTGCAGCATGGTCCTTTCCATCAAACTGCTCCTCGTGTAGGGGGAGAGTGGGCACATAGGTAATTCTGAAACCCACGGCCAGAGCAGTGATGCAGCCACGCCAGGGTATTATGCATGTCACCCAGAACACGGATGAGGAGGGAAGGCACAGAGGCTGTCTGTGGAGGAATCTGAAAAGTGAAGTTAGGTGGGAAAGGAAGGGCAGTGATGTGGGGGAGTGGTTCAAGAAGAGCGGACCTCAGTAACAAATGTTCAAAAGTGAGAAATATTGTGGACTGATGCAAATGAGTGTCATAGCGTGCTGCCAGATCCCAAAGTGTAATCATGAACAGTACAGAGACCGATGAAGACAGTGACATAGTCAGGGGCAAGTTAATTCTTGAGTTCTGACCTTTAGAGGAGGAGGAAAGCCAGGAAGGAATTTAAATTTTGTCCACCCATCCCTTTACATAGTACCCAAAGCGACAAGGGCAGGTTTACATTTTGGATGGAAGATAGATGTGAGCAGGGCATGACCAGGTATGAATCTGTCAGGCAGCCCAGGAGAATGATAGTGGCCTAGAGGAGTGGAGTCAAAGTGGAGAGGAGGAACAGATTCCAGAATTATTAAGGAGAAAAATTATCAGGACTTACCAGAAGGGATGAAAGTAGTCATGGAGGCAGTGATGACTCCAAATTTTCTAGTTTGAGTGAATAAGTAGAAGCAGATCAACTCAGACACAGCATGGAAGAAGCAGCTCCCTTAATGGGGAAGATGATGAGTTCAGGTGGATTCCAGGTTTCTGTGGGATCACCAGTGACAAGTAGAGGTAGATGTATGAAGCTGGATGGAAATACTGTGCTGAAGAGCTCTTTCTGCCATCATTTTTAGGTTGTATTTGAAAATGTGTGAGTGGATGAGAAGGGAAAAGACCACAGGAATAAGGGCAGAATTGTAGGAAATTCAAACTCTGATTGTAAAAAGAAGAGCCATGAAAGAAGATACAGCAGAAGCAGAGGAGACCCTGGGGGGCTGAGGTTCACCGTGAAATAAGACGTCAAATAAGAAATAAGATGTCTACTTTCTTCAGTAGACAGCCAGTCTGTCTCACCAAGACAGAGACTTGGTGAGAAGAGAACAACTAGAACAATTTAGGGGAAGAGGGAGGGGAAGGCAAAGAGGGATGGGTGGGAGGTATGAATGGGAGGTGAAGTGGAATAAACCAAAACATGCCATGGTTTTTGAAAAATTTGGATAAGGAAGAAAATGTGGCCAGGTGCGTTGGCTCACACCTGTAATCCCAGCACTTTGGGAGGCCAAGGTGGTTGCATCACAAGGTCAGGGGATTGAGACCATCCTGGCCAACATGGTGAAACCCTGTCTCTACTAAAAATACAAAAATTAGCCAGGCATGGTGGCGGGCGCCTGTAGTCCCAGCTACTTGGGAGGCTGAGGCAGAACAATCACTTGAACCCAGGAGGTGGAGGTTGCGGTGAGCCGAGATCACACCACTGCACTCCAGCCTGGCGACAGAGCGAGACTGTCTCAAAAAAAAAAAAAAAAAAGAAAATGTCAATAGTAACTAGAGGCAGATGAAGGGCCAAGTGTAGGATTTTTTTAGGATTCAAGAAGCTTGATCTAGAGAAGGGCTTACTGCGTGGAGCACTGTTCTGGGGTCAGCAGTGATTCATTCCCAGAGACTAAAAAGGAGACAGGATTGGCTTGCATATGTAGGTAGGAATGCACTTATACATGTAAGTGTGGGGTATGGGGTTATGGTGGTAGTTGATGAAGTTTAAACCTGAAGGCCTTGTTCTCCATGGAGTCTTCTTTTTTGGCTATTAAAAAAAATGGTGGTAAAAGATATATAACAAATTTTACTGTTTTAATCATTTTAATTGTATAATTCAGTGGTCTATGAAGTCTTGTAAAAAAATTCTGTCCTATAGAGAACTGATGAGAGTGATGGGAATGAGAAGTGAGCAGGGGTCTTGAGGAAACAAAGAAGGCCCACTTGAAGTTAGAGGCCAGGTGTTTGTATCAGCAAGGTTATCCAATTGTTCTGTAAAAGAGTTAAGCCACCATGATATAGGATCCAAGAAAAATTGGAATTGGGGCAACTGGCTAACCTTTTGGAAAAAGTAAAATTATAGCTATACCTCATAGCATGTAATAAAATTAATTCCAGATGAACTAAGCAATTAACTGCTTTAAAGGCCTGATATTAAAACACAGAATAAAATATACAGAAACATTTATATTATGTTTATAGAGTCTGAGGGTACAAAAGGCAGACTGCAGCGGTAAGCATTAAGTTGATGTTTTGTATGTTATCACTTTATATTTAAATGTTGACTCAAACTTATGTTTCTTAAGAGCAGCTCATGTTTATTCTTTGTAATTCTAATTCAATTTTCAAACAGCATCACTAATGTTTTTTATTCCATCAAACTATGGACAAGTATAGTACCAAGAAAATAAAACGTAATTCCTGCCCTAAAAGAGCTTATCATCTGGTTGGTGGGGAGAATACATAAATAGGTAATTTTACCTGAGTATATTAGGATGCAGTGATAGAAATTTTGAGTTAACCAACATTTAGGGATTACCTATTTGTTTTTTGTTTTGTTTTGTTTCTTTGTTTTTTGAGACAGAGTCTTGCTCTGTGGTCCAGGCTGGAGTGCAGTGGTGCAATCTTGGCTCACTGCAACCTCCACCTCCCGGGTTCAAGTGACTCTCGTGCCTCAGCTTCTCAAGTAGCTGGGATTACAGGCACCTCCCCACCACCACCATGCCTGGCTAATTTTTGAATTTTTAGTAGAGATGGGGTTTCATCATGTTAGCCAGGCTGGTTTCGAACTCCTGACCCTCAAGTGATCCGCCTGCCTTGGCCTCCCAAAGTGCTGGGATTACAGGTGTGAGCCACAGTGTCCAGCCAGGATTACCTATTTGTGCTGATACAATGCTCGATGCTGGGTTTGGATACTTAACACAGTTTAACAACTGAGTGCAAAGCCTGTTAACATCAGGGAGGATTTTAGAGGGTGCAGTGGAAACACATATCCGGAAGCCTAACTTCGAACAGGGATCAGGAAGGCTCAATAAGTTCACCTGAGCTTGAAGTGTTGGTAGGAGTTAGCTTCTAGAAGTGCTGGACTTAGATTCCAAGATGCTGCTATTTTAGAAATGGAACGTCACACATTCAGATGAATTACCTTGGAGCACAATTACCACACATTTGACAATAAAAACTTTTCATTTCTAGCTTCTACAGCAATATGTAAAGATGGCAGGGTTTATGCAGTATGCTGTGGCTTGTTTCTGTCTAGCAGCCTAAAGGCTAACTCATTAAAATTCAAGGATGAATTACATGGTGGGTGGCAGAACAAATGTTTTCTTCACTGAGCAGAGCTAGGATCTTCAAGACAGTTTCTACCAGAACCAAAGTCACTCTTTGCAGCTGTTCGGTAAGACATGATTCAAGTATCACCTCCTCCAAATCTACCAGAACACCACCATCTCTTAATCTGCATTAGAACCATATGGTAATGACAGCAACAAGAAAAAAAAAATAGAGCAATGCTGGTTCCACCCTTGATTTTTCTTTGGAACCAGGTACATTTCTTACCTAGTTATAAATTAATTTAAATATTACTTTCTTTAAAAAGCCACATGTTTCTAGTTGATAGTTTAATTCACAGAGTAGAGTTATTCCAAGAGATTTAAAGCACAATAATTTGAGCAGAAATCTCCTTTCTGTTTTCTGAGACAGGATCTTCCTCTGTCACCCAGCCTAGAGTACAGTGATGTGATCATAGCTCACAGCAGCCTTGAACTCCTGGGCTCAAACAATCCTCTTGCCACAGCCTCCCAAGTAGCTGAGATTACAGGGAGGTACCACCACAGCCAGCTAATTTTTAAAATTTTTTTGTAGATACAGAGTCTCTTTATGTTTCCCAGGCTTGTCTGGAACTCCTGGCCTCAAGCAATCCTCCTACCTCAACCACCCAGTGAGTATAAATCTCTAATGTGGTATATCCAGAGAACAAAAAGAACAGCAGAAAGCTTGGTTGAGGCATTCATAGTGTTACTCAGATTCTGTTGTGGGTATATTGTGGGATAAATGATCAATCATATAATGTTCTTATTCAATCATTCCTGGTTTGATTGAGTACCAGCATTCTTGGAGTGGGAGAGAGAAAACACAGATGTTAACATAAAATACCTGAAAAACAAACCCTGAATTTGACTGGAAGATTATATATGTCTATTTGTCTATCTGTACGTGTGCATTTGCATTTTTTTTTCTGGCGCTATTCTCTGTAAAGGCCTAGACATAGAGATCAACTCAGTAGCTGTGATGTCTCCTAGTACTTAGATTCTTCAAATACCTTTCCTCCTAAAAGAAATTGGTGCTTCTTGAAGAAATGGCTGATTCTGGATCTGGAGAAGGAAATGAAAAAGATGAACCTAGAACATCTTGCCATATCAGGTAGCAAGAAAGCCATCAGAGACTACTGCAGTCCTGTCTAAGGGACTTAGGAGCCAAACTTGGAGAGATTTTTGCTGGCCAAAAAAACTGGACAACTTGAACAATAAGGGCAATAGCTGCAATGGATCAATATACATCATACATACATATCCACATATGTATCCATGAACATTCACAAGTCCATACTGTCACTTTAGGAAAAACACAACAAACTGGTTACATTATTTTAAAACCAACTCATTATTTTGAAAACGGTAAATAAGAGGAAAGAAACATTAATTCCACCTTTGCAATATGTTAGTGCATAACCAAATAGAAAATAAAATGACTTCAAAAAGAATCAAGGTTATTCAGCTAAAAAAAAAAAAAAAAGAAGGAACAACAGAATTAGGACATCACCACTTTGGAAACCCTGATGAATCAATGAATCTAGGGACTGAAAATCCAGGGCTGCCAAAACCACAAAAAGAGTGACGCTGAGATATTTAGTGCATCTTGGTGGAAAAACACACCACCACCCAAGATGAATTGTTTCCTTGGGTTGAATTGTTTCCTTCTCCAAGTTCATATGGTGAATTTCGAACTCCCACTACCTCAGAATGTGACTGTATATGGAGATAGGGCCTTTAAAGAGGTAATTAAGTTAAAATGAGGTCATTGTGGTGGGCCCTAATCCCTCCTAATTGTGGGATCATAAGAAAAGGAAATTTGGACAAGTACAGAGGGAGAACCATGTAAAGACACAGGGAGAAGATGGCCATCTACAAGCCAAAGAGAGAGCCGTCAGGAGAAATCAACACTGCAGACTCCTTGATCTGGGACTTCTAGCCTCAAGAATTGTAAGAAAATTCATTTCTGTTGTTTAAGCCACCCTGTCTGTGATACTTGGTTATGGCAGCCCTAACAAACTAATACAGTAGTCTTGCCCCCTGAAAACCCAACCTGATGCAGATCAATCCTCTAAAGCCAACTGACAATGTATAGGAAATAAGATGACCTCGGAACATGCTAAATGACATCGTGGAGATGTTATCAGAAAAGTGTACTGTGAAAAATTTTATAGAATAAAGGATCCTTTTGTTTTTTTGTTTTTGAGACAGAGTCTTGCTCTGTCACCCAGGCTGGAGTGCAGTGGCACAATCTTGGCTCACGTCTCGAACTCCTGACCTCAGGTGATCCACTCATCTCGGCCTCCGAAAGTTCTGGGATTACAGGTGTGAGCCACCACACCCGGCCCCAGTTTTTTTCAACAAATAAGAGGAGAAGAGGGAGAAGAAAGAGAAGAGAAGCAAAGAGATGAGAGAGAACCTATGAATTAAAAGAAAGTTAACCAATTGCAAGGTGTGGGACTTACTTGGATTGTCCTAACAGACAAACTGTTAAAAATTCCTAACATGACACAAATCAGACTTTTGAATACTGAATATTTGGTCAAAATTTTTAAATTTTTAGGAGAAATGTATGTTAAGAAAGAATTTTCATATTTTCGAGAGTCATATCAAAAGATATTATGGGGTGGTGTGGAGATTAGTAAGTAGGATAGAGATGAAATAAGATTGTCTATAAATTGATATTTTTTGAAGTTGAATGATTAGTTCTATGGATCTTTATACTATTTTGTCTTTTTTGTGTATATTTAAAATTTGCAAAGTAACTAAAATAAGTTGGATCAACTTTATTCTTAGTTAATACATGTCAAGATTTACCATCTGGATAGATAAACTTATCCAAAACTAAACTGAGTCAATACTGCTATAGTCTCCCAAAGAACCTTCACTCCAATTGCTACCGATCAGCTCACAGAAACACTGTCCTCCTTCCTTCCCTGTGTTGCCCTCTGATGTATAAATTAGCAAGTGATGCTGAGGAAGCACCAGCGTGAAGAGAAACTGGACTTGGTTTAGTTTCAGAAGCCCCAAACTGTTGGAATTGGAAGACCTTCCTGAATGTCTTATAAAATCTCCCACCTCTCTGGGAACACCGGGAATTATATTCAACACTTCTAATAGATGACCCTAGATGATCTAATAGGCCACATTTCTGGTAAGATTTTGGACAGCTGCCTCTGAGGCTGTGTGCAGGAGAAAACCTGATGTGCTCATTACTCCATATAAATCATTTAAAAATACTGAATGAAAATCAATAAACACTGTGTATTTTTACATCATGGACAAACTCTTGGCAACAGTAACCTTTTGCAGTATGTTGTTCTGCCCAGGAAGACAACATGCTTGATTTAGAGTGCATGACTGGTGTAACTAGAAGCCCAGCTGGAGCCCATAAGGGCAACCAGCAATGTCCTGGTGACGTCACTATGGCAAGGATGGCATTTTTCACATTCTGGAGCTTGGGGAAGGCAATCTGGCAAATTAGCGAGTAAGTGTTCACTTAGCATAATGTGAGACCTTTCTTGTTTCAATTAATTCTTTAGAATAGTGGTAGAATATTTAACAAGCCCTTCAAGTAGAGTGGTTGTATTCCTATGAAATCAAAGCAATAAATCAAACCAAAACAGTCACAACCTGAGGTTCGAAGCATATGGTGCATGTAATTTGGCTGAACTGCATAATCTTTTTGATGCTTCCCTTATAGAGGAGAGCCCTAGAGAGTGGGCTTTTCCTTCTTAAAGGAAAAATAAATATGTTTACACTTTGTTACCTCTTTCTGCCTTTTAAAAATGGCATTTAAGCAATATTCATCTGTCTGAAATAGGTACACTGGCAATTTGGGATGACGTCTCTTGTGCTTTCTTAAATACTTCTTCGGGGAGCGATTTCATTTTGATCCCCAGACAGCATGGGTATCATACTAATGTGGGATCATCCAATTTTGTTTAGAAATTTAAATAATTCTTACCATTTTTGCAAAATAGTTTTGTCCATAGATACGCAGACCCATTTCATAAATTCATGTTTGAATTGTTAATGATGTAAAACAGATCATAAACATTTTTGCTGTCTTGGGAGGGAGGAAACTCCTAAGCAAGAATAAAAGATTTAAGCTGGTATAAAAAATTATCTTTCATATTTCATCATGAACAACTGATTATCCTTGGAATTTATTGTCATCAAATAACCTCTTAGTACCCATTTCACTCATGCACAGGTATAGCCGTAAATCAGTTATTGTTTATGCATATACTAATGTTTGTGCCTTTTGCCATGAGTCTATATTACATAGACTGTTCACTTTCTTTGTGGGTTCCCAGAGGACCTCATACATGGCTGAACACATAGTCAGTGTGTGCTCAGTAAACTCTGCCCAAGACAATGTCTAAAGACAGAAGAAACAGATGGAAAGATTCTGGATCCTTAAGGCTGCTAAGTGCCTCAAATTGTCTTGATTAAACAGTTGGATGTTACTTTGGACCTTTATTTTAAACAGGATGCCACCACTCAGAAGTAGAACCTCGATTTTCCCAGCATCCTGAAGACTGCACATAAAACAAGTAAGCATGACCCATGCCTTCTAGATAAATCTCTATAAGCTCCTGTGGATTTTGATCGCTAAAATTTTGCTTCTTTTTATAAACCCCTTTCGGTTGCACTTACCAAGAACCTCCCAGGCAACAATTATCCTTGGGTAAACTCCATTAACGTTTAAATTTTTCTCTATTAATAATTGCTAAATATGGTTGTCTAGTCATTCGTTCATCCAAATACAAAATATAAAGATAACTTCCTGTTTTGAATCATCTCCATGACAACTGTTGATCCAGTATCAAATAAGTGTTCTCCCAGAGGATTAAGATGAAATGTTTTGCAAACAAGATACAACATTATCATGAATGATTCTATGGCGGCAGGGAGAAAAGGAAGATTAATGTCTGAGAAATAAGGTTGGATCAGCTCAATGATGATACGTCTAAAACGGACCTGTAGCATTGGTTTCCCCCGTTCCTCCTTTGTGGTATTACCCCTTCAAGATATGCTCTCTCGAGAAGGGGTGGGTGATCATGCCTTATAGTACCTCTCCTAGCTGTGTGCACTGTTAGCCTAACCTCCAGTTTTGGAATAAAAAGGAGCAGAGAAGGACAAAAGGGAGTGTTTTCTCAGGCAGCCAGTGTCACTGAAATACCACATATGTCTGTGTCAGCAGTAACACCCACCCCACCTATGTGGAAAGCCAATGTAGCGAGGAAAATATGATTAAATACATCTTTAAAGCCCTAATTGTGATTCCTTGGAAGATTCTGTAGGTGTGGACTACACCATCACACACAAAAAAGATCTTTAAAGAGCAGAGGTCTTGTTTTCCTGTGAATCTTCCAAAGGGAAAATAACAGGGAAAGAAGGCTTGTTCTCCCAGAAAGCACAGATCCTGCCAAATGGTTTCTAAATGTGTTTCTCAAAAATTTCCATGTGCCATCAATGGCTTTTTAGTACTTTTGGAAATGGAAAGAGCAGAAATCGGTACCACTGTGAGAAAGCAAACATTGAAGGAAACCAGCTTGTTGAGGAAACAGGTCGTGCTTTTAAGTCACGGCACAGATATGGCACCGGTCCTCTTCACAAGTTTGAAATACATGAATACACAGAGTTACATCACGTTCTGATGCTGCAAGGAAAATGTTGAAGTCCTAAAGGGAAGTTTCCACATTATTTCTCTATGTGAAACTCAAGTGAATGACTGTTTCTGCGGTTTATATTAGGCAACTAGACTGACTCCCTGGAACTCAAACAAACAGTGATTTTCTTTCTTTAATTTTGGAATCCAAAAAGACATTAATTTTGCCACTTATTAGAATTATTTTTAGTCAACCAGAGAATCTCCAGAAGGTGTGGGTCAGAATGCCAAAGAGAAGAATATAAGGTTTGTTTCTGGGCAAGACTGAAGCTGGGTGGTCAGTTATCCAGAATAACCATCTGTTTTGATCCATTTAAGTCAACATGTTTATTCAAGCTCCTTATTTTGCCAAAATACTGAGAGTTCATTGAATTGTTTGGTCGTGAATCAAAATGGCTGACATGGATGCTACTGTGGGCCCAGCTCAAGTCACAAAAAGGTGGAAGACCAAAGACCCAGCTCAGCAGCAGCCCCGGCGGGTCCCTTCTTCAGCCCTCTGGAGTGTTTTCTCTGGCTAAAGTGTCAAAATTAAAGTGGAGTTTGTCCTATTGGTTTTAGACATTATATAAGTAAGGCACAGCCAGTCCTTTCCTCACTGAAGGCTGAAGCCTATTTTATCTTCTTACCCCATTTCCCAGACGTTCAGGCCGCTAGGAGAATCTTGGTCATTTCTCAAATAACCAACAATGTTTAAGGAAAATTTAAATATGTTTTGTTATTTAAAATCAGTTCTACCACACTCCAAACCCTTTATCGTTGTGCAGTCACAATTTCCGTCACCAGAGACAGACACTTTTTTTTTGTATCATTAGAGAAACAAGCACAATTGACTGAAAATGTGATCTATGTCAGGAATTCGGCTAGATGCTGAAGACACAAAGACGTAAGGAATGAATCCTTCCCTTTATCACAGATTTACTGAGGGAAGGAGTCAACATGACTACCCCAAGTGTCGTGGGTATGAACAATGGTCTGTGGGGAAGACAGGAGGGAATCATTGTGTCCCAGTGTTGCAGGTGGGTAGACACTGAGGCATGCTTTGTAGGAGAGGTAACACTTGAGCTGCATTTTCAAGGCTGTGTGGGAAATTAAAAGAAGAGTGTGGAGGTGGAGGCAGGAAAGGAATTCCAGCCATATGGGATTGCATAAGCCAAAGCATGGAAGGGTGAACCATCATGATGTCTTAAGGGAATGACTGGTTGTCTGGTATGGCGAAAACACAGGGTATTGTTTTAAAAGTTTGGTGGGAAGCAAAGATGGAATTGCAGTATAGGGAAAAAGATTGCATAGTGTTTTAAACTCCACACTAAAGATTTTGTGCTTAATTCTAATAGGCAATGACCTGTTCTTTTAAATTCTTTAAGGAAGTGATATAATCAAATCCATGTGTTAGAAAGAATACCTGATATATAATAGGTATAGAAAACTGTTTGCTGAATGAATGGAGCTGAGGAAGGAGAGACCGAGGGAGACAAGTTACGTGATATTGCAATAATCCTGATGATGGGAGCCTGAATTAGAGAGCTGGGGGTGGTGAGATAGCTTAAAGAAAGACACAATGAGACTTGGCAACCAACTAAATGTGGAGGGATGGAGGAGAAGTAAAAATGAAAGCTAATTCTGATATGTCTCTCTTGGGTGGCAGAGTATATGGTTATATCATTGACCAAAATAGGGAACACAAGAAGGAGAGAGTATTTTGAGGGGTGACAGGTGGGTAGGGAAAGCAGAGAGATGGGAAGATAAGTTGAGAGGCAGCATTCTATAATAATAATAATACGGCTAACACGTATAAATTTTTACTATGGGTCAGATACCATTTTAAATGCTTTATAAGTATTAACTCATTTAACCCTCATAAGTAGTATTACATTATTGTTCCTATTTTATTTTATTTTATTTTTGAGACTGAGTCTGGCTCTGTCACCCACGCTGGAGTGCAGTGGCACGATCTTGGCTCACTGCAACCTCCACCTCCTGGGTTCAAGCAATTCTTATGCCTCAGCCTCCCGAGTAGCTGGGGTTATAGGCATCCACCACCACGCCCAGCTAACCTTTTGTATTTTTAGTAGAGATGGGGTTTCACCTGTTTGGCCAGGCTTGTCTCAAACTTCTGACCTCAAGTGATCCACCTGTCTAGGCCTCCCAAAGTGCTGGGATTACGGGTGTGAGCCACCACACCTGACCTGTTCCTATTTTATAGATGAGATAATTGCATAGGTTTGGAAGGCAACAACTCTGAGTTCAAGTCCTAGCTTTTCTGCTTTTTAGCAGTCTGATCTTGAGTATGTAAAAAATGGGTAATAATACCTATTATAAGAAATTATTAGAAAGATGAGAGATAATACATATAAACCAACTGGCATAGTGTCTGTAACCTCATATGTCTCAATACGTACTAGAAAGTATTACCAGCTATGAGATGTCCAGTAAAAAGTCAGGCATTTGTGTCTAGATTGTAAGAACTGAAAGTAAAAAATTTAAACATCAATATGTTGATGTTGGTTTGATTCTTGGATATAAATACTATTCCCTGGCCTGGAGGTGAGTGGCAGTGTACAAAGAGATAAGAATTGAGGGTAGAATTCTAGAAAATACCAATGGTAAAGGAACAGAAAGAATAAAAGATTCTTCCAAAAGAAATATAGATGAAATAATATTAGAGGTAGAAGGAGAGACATAAAAAAGTTTTGCAAGTCCAAGAGGAAAGGGTTTCTAAGAAGGCAATGTCAACAATCACAGATGCTTCTGAGAAGCCATATATGAAAGTCTGAAAAGAGATGATTTTATCTGACAGAAAAGAGCTTGCTGTTGGCTGGGGTAAGAACCATTACAATGAAGTAATGGCAACCCAAGGCACAACTTCAGCATATGGAGGAGGGGCAAATGAAGAAGTGGAAACAAAAGGAAAAGGCAATTTTTCCTTTAAATAGTGAGTCTCTGTTTCATTTCACAATGATACAGTTTGGAAAGCACTTCAGGAATGGTGAACTAAGGACCTCCAAAAATATGCTCCTCTAAAAAAGAAACAAGAACACTGGCAAAAATCATCAAAATCACCTTTTTGAAAACACTGGAGGCACGTTTTCACATTTGCAATCCCAGCACTTTGGGAGGCCAAGGCAGGCGGATCACTTGAGGTCAGGAGTTTAAGACCAACATGGTGAAACACTGTCTCTACTAAAAATACAAAAATTAGCAGGGCGTGGTAGTGTGTGCCTGTAATCCCAGCTACTTGGGAGGCTGAGGCAGGAGAATCGCTTGAACCCAGAAGATGGAGGTTGCAGTGAGCCGAGATTGCGCCATTGCACTCCAGACTGGGTGACAGAGCGAGACTCTGTAATTAACAAATAAATAAATAAAGTATAAACAAGAAACCACTGGGAATAAACCAAATGCTTGCAGCAATTCTTGGAGCATTCATTTGAGAAACATGGCTGAATCTTTGTAATAACAATGATTTTTGTGCCATTTGAAATTGTACTATTCCCATTCCTCTCTTCCTAGCTCCATGGCAGCCTTGAAAACCAACAGCCTCACATCCATGGAAACTATGAACATCAGCAGCTTACCAGTCACTGGAAGTTGAACACAGATTTGAAGCTCTTTGAGAAGCCCTGTACCCAAAGAAATGTCATTTTTGACTTGTCTTGAAATCCCCTGAAAAGCTTCATTCTCAGGGCTTGTTTTTGTTTGACCTGACTCTCTGTGTGCTCTACCCCATGGACATTTGCCAAAAGCAAAAAATTAAGACACCCAAAGAAATGAGAAATGGCCCATACACAAGGTGAAAAAAACAGTCGATAGAAACTATCTCCAAGGAAACTGAAACATTGGATTTACCAGACAAAAACTATATTTTTATTTATTCTGTATGTATGTATGTATGTATGTTTTGACACAGAGTCTCACTCTGTCACCCAGGCTGAAGAGCAGTGGTACGATCTTGGCTCACTGCAACCTCTGCCTCCTGGGTTCAAGCAATTCTCCTGCCTCAGCTGATCCCTAAGTAGCTGGGATTACAGGTTCCCACCTCTATGCCTGGCTAACTTTTGTATTTTTCATAGAGATGGGGTTTTGCCATGTTGGTCAGGCTGGTGTCTAATTTCTGACCTCAAGTGATCCACCCGGCTTTGACATACAATTCTTGAAATTGTTTAGTGTTAAGAATTTTAATTGTCTTCCTTAAAAGAACACTGCATAAACAGATGTATTATTTATTTACGCAAAGAAAAACAAATTGTACCCGGTATTTCTACCTGAAGCCAGGCTGGTCTTGAACTCCTGGCCTCAATCTATCCACCCACCTCAGCCTCCCAAAGTGCTGGAATTACAGGTGTGAGCCACCATGCTCGGCTCAGACAAAGACTTTAAATCAGCTGTTATAAATATGTTCAAAGCACTAAAGGAAATTGTATCTAAAGAGTTAAAGTATGAGAATAATGTTTTATCAAGCAGAGGGTATCAATAAAAAGATAGCAATTATTTTAAAAATTCTGGAGTTGCTGGATGCAGTGGCTCACACCTGTAATACCAGCACTTTGGGAGGCCAAGGTGGGCAGATCACTTGAGGTCAAGAGTTTGAGACCAGCCTGGCCAACATGGTGAAACCCCATCCCTACTGAAAATACAAATGTTAGCTGGGTGTGCTGGCATGCACCTGTAGTCTCAGCTACTTGGGAGACTGAGGTACAAGAATCACCTGAGTCTGGGAGGTGGAGGTTGTGGTGAGATTGTACCACAGCTCTCCAGCCTGGGCAAAAGAGCCAGACCCTGTCTCAATAATAATAATGATGATGATAATTTCTGGGCTGGGCATGGTGGCTCATGCCTATTATCCCAGTACTTTGGGAGACCGAGGCAGGTGGATCACCTGAGGTCAAGAGTTCAAGACCAGCCTGGCCAACATCATGAAACCGCGTCTCTACTAAAATTACAAAATTACAAAAATTAGCTGGGCATAGTGACAGTGCCTCTAGTCCCAGCTGCTTGGGAGGCTGAGGCACAAGAATTGCTTGAACCCAGGAGGCAGAGGTTGCAGTGAGCCGAGATCATGCCACTGCATTCCAGCCTGGGTGACAGAATGAGACCACATCTAAAAATAAAATTCTGGAGTTGAGAAGTATAATAAAAAATAAAGAATTTACTAAAATTTACTAGAGGAGCTCAAGAGTAGATTTGTGCTGTCAAAAAGTAATCAGTGAACTTGAATATAGATCAATTGAGATTATCCACTCTGACAGAAAAGAAAAAAAAAATGAAGAAAAATGAACAGAGCCTCTGAGACTGTGGGACACCATCAAGTGTGCCAACATAGCAAAATGGTAATCCCAGAAGTAAATGAGAGAGACAAGGGAAGAAAGAATATATGAAGAAATAATAGCCAAAACTTCCCACATTTGATGAAAAACAGTAATCTATATATTCAAGAGGTTTAACAAACTCTGAGTAAGATAAGCTCAAAGATTCATCACAGTCAAACTGTTAAAAGGTAAAGACAGAGAATCTGGAGAGTAGAAAATGAAAAATGACTATCATATACAACAGATCCTTAGTAAAGGCTGGGCACAGTGACTCATGACTCTAATCCCAGTGTTTTGGGAGGCCAACACAGAAAGATTGCTTGAGGCCAGGCCTGGCCAGGAGTTTGAGAACAGCCTGGGCAATGTAGTCAGATCTCATCTCTATCCAAATAAAAATAAAAAATTTAGCTGGGCATGGTAGTGCATGCCTGTAGTCCTAAATTCTCAGGAGGCTGAGACAGAAGGATCACTGGAGTCCAGGAGTTCAAAGCTGCAGTGAGCTCTGATCCCACCACTACACTCCTGGGTGACAGAATCTCTTAAAAAAAAAAAAAAGCCAGGCATTACAGGCTCATGCCTGTAATCGCAGCACTTTGGGAGGCTGATATGGGTGGATCCCTTGAGCCCAGGAGTTTGAGACCAGCCTGGCAACATGATGAAATCCTGTCTCTATAAGAAATACAAAAAATAGGCAAAGTCGTGTGCACCTGTAGTCCCAGCAACTTGGGAGGCTGTGGTGGGGAGGATTGCTTGAGCTTGGAAAGTCGAGGCTTCACTGAGCTGTGATTGTACCACTGCACTCCAGCCTAGGTGATAGAGCAAGACTCTTTCAACTCAGAGCGAGTGAGAGAGAGAGAGAGAGAGAGAGAGACTGAGATCCTCAATAAGATTAACATGAATTATCAGCAGAAACCATGGAAGCCAGAAGGCAGGAGGATGACATATTCAAAGTGCTAAAAGACAGACTGTCAGCCAAGAATTCTATGTATGCAGAAATTTGTAGTATGCAGGAATACTATGCTTTTATGCCTCGAAAATGAAAGAGAAAGTAAGATATTCTCAGATATACAAAAATTGAGAATTTTTTTCACTAGCAGACCTGCCCTGCAAGAAATGCTAAAGAGAATATTTCAGGCTAAAATGAAAGGACCATACACATGAACTCAAATCCACATGAAGAAATAAAGGGCACTGGTAACTACATAGGTATATTATAAAGTCAGTATTAATATATTTTTGATTTGTAACTTCTCTTTTCTCCTATGTGATTTAAAAGATAACTGCATAAAACAATAATTATAGAATTATATTGATAGGCATATAATTTAGAAAAATGTAATTTGTCTAAAACTAATAGCACAAAGGAGGAAGGAGGAAATGGAGTTATACTGAAGCAAAGTTTTTCATATGATGGAAATTAAGTTGGTATTAATCCTAACTAGATTATTTTGAAATAAGATATTAATGATAATCCCCAGACCAGCCACTAAGAAAGTAACTCAAAAATGCATACTAAAAGATACAACAAGGGAATTAAAATAGTGTACTATTTAAATGAAATGCAAGGCTAAAATGATAGAAAATATCTACCACAAAAGCAAGCATGAAGAAATAGAGAAACAAAAAATATTTAAGACTTATAGAAAACAAATAGCAAAATAACAGACATAAATCCTACCAAATCAATGACTATGACCACATTAAATGTAAATGGACTAAACAATCCAATCAAATGCCAGAGATTGTGCTGGGTATGTTGGCTTATGCCTGTAATCCCAACACTTTGAGAGGCCAAGGCAGGAAGACTGCTTGGGGCCAGGAGCGTGGGACCAGCCTGGGCAATAGAGCAAGGCCCCATCTCTACAAAAAGAATTTTTTTAAGTAACCACGCATGATGACATGCACCTGTAGTCCTAACTACTCAGGAGGTTGAGGTGGGAGGATCACTTGAGCCCAGGAAGTTGAGGCTGCAGTTAGCCAAGATCATACTGTGTCCGGAATTGGTGGGTTCTTTGTCTCACTGACTTCAAGAATGAAGCCACGGACGCTCGGACGCTCGCAGTGAGTGTTACAGCTCTTAAGGTGGCGCGTCTGGAGTTTGTTCCTTCTGATGTTCTGATGCGTTCAGAGTTTCTTCCTTCCGGTGGGATCGTGGTCTCGCTGGCTCAGGAGTGAAGCTGCAGCCCTTCGCGGTGACTGTTAACAGCTCTTAAAGCAGCACGTCTGGTGTTGTTTGTTCCTCCCGGTGGGCTCGTGGTCTCGCTGGCTTCAGGAGTGAAGCCGCAGACCTTAGCGGTGTTACAGCTCATAAAAGCAGCGTGGACCCAAAGACTGAGCAGTAGCAAGATTTATTGCAAAAAGCAAAAGAACAAAGCTTCCACTGTGTGGAAGGGTACCCGAGCGGGTTGCCACTGCTGGCTCTGGCAGCCTGCATTTATTTTCTTATCTGGCCCCACCCACATCCTGCTGCTTGGTAGAGCTGAGTGGTCTGTTTTGACAGGGCGCTGATTGGTGCGTTTACAATCCCTGAGCTAGACATAAAGGTTCTCCACCTCCCCACCAGATTAGCTAGATACAGAGTGTGGACACAAAGGTTCTCCAAGGCCCCACCAGAGTAGCTAGATACAGAGTGTCGATTGGTGCATTCACAAACCCTGAGCTAGACACAGGGTGCTGATTGGTGTATTTACAAACCTTGAGCTAGATACAGAGTGCCGATTGGTGTATTTACAATCCCTGAGCTAGACATAAAGGTTCTCCAAGGCCCCACCAGAGTAGCTAGATACAGAGTGTCGACTGGTGCATTCACAAACCCTGAGCTAGACACAGTGTGCTGACTGGTGTATTTACAATCCCTGAGCTAGACATAAAGGTTCTCCACATCCCCACCAGACTCAGGAGCCCAGCTGGCTTCATCCAGTGGATCCCACACCTGTGCTGCAGGTGGAGCTGCCTGCCAGTCCCGTGCCTTGCGCCTGCACTCCTCAGCCCTTGGGTGGTCGATGGGACTGGGCACCGTGGAGCAGGGGGCGGCGCTCATTGAGGAGGTTCAGGCTGCACAGGAGCCCACAGAGGGGGTGGGAAGCTCAGGCATGGCGGGCTGCAGGTCCTGAGCCCTGCCCCACAGGAAGGCAGCTAAGGCCCGCCGAGAAATCGAGTGCAGCGCAGGTGGGCTGGGACTGCTGGGGGACCCAGTACACCCGCCGTAGCTGCTGGCCCGGGTGCTAAGCCCCTCATTGCCCGGGGCCAGCAGGGCCCGCCGGCTGCTCCGAGTGCGGGGCCCACCAAGCCCAGTCTAACCGGGAACTCCAGCTGGCCTGCAAGCACCTTGCGCAGCCCGGGTTCCCACTGGCGCCTCTCCCTCCACACCTCCCTGCAAGCTGAGGGAGCCGGCTCTGGCCTTGGCCAGCCCAGAAAGGGGCTCCCACAGTGCAGCGGTGGGCTGAAGGGCTCCTCAAGTGCCGCCAAAGTGGGAGCCCAGGCAGAGGAGGCGCCGAGAGCGAGGGAGGGCTGTGAGGACTGCCAGCACGCTGTCACCTCTCAATACCACTGCACTGCAGCCTGGGTGACAGAGTGAGACCCTGTTTCTAAAAATAAATAAGTATAAAATTTTTAAAAGTAAGAGATTGGCCAAAAAAAGAAAAAGGAAGAAAACATAATTCAAGTATACGTTGTGTATAAGAGATATACTCTAGATTCAAAGACACATAAAGTGAAAGTAAAAAATACCTCAGACAGTAGTAATCAAAGAGTTAGAATGGTTTCTCTAATGTCAGATAATTTAGTCTCCAAGACAAAAGTTGTTACAGAGATAAAGAAGAGCATTTTTAAGAGTCTCCAGATCCAGCTGGAAAATATATTTTTTAAAAAAGAGGGCATTTTATAATGATAAAATGGTCAGTCTATCAGGAAGACAGCAATTATAAATAAATGTGTACCTAACAACAGAGCCCACAAACACATGAAGCAAAAACTGACAGAACTAAAGGAGGAAATAGACAATTCAACAATAATAGTTGGACAATTAAATACCCCACTCACATTTTTTGTAAATTTAATTTTATTTTAGATTCAGGGGTACCTGTGTAGGTTTGTTATATGGGTATACTGTGTAATTGTGGGGTTTGGGCTTCTAGTGTACTCATTACCAAATGGTGAACATTGTATCCAGTGGGTAATTTTTCAACCTCAGTGCCCTCCATTTCCTTTTTTGGATTTCCCAGTGTCTATTATTTTCATCTTTATGTCCATGTGTATTCATTGTTTAGCTCTCACCTATAAGTGAGAATATGTGGTTAAGTGCTCCACTTTCAATTACAGATAGAACAACTAGGCAGAAAATCAACAAGAAATTAAAAGACTTGAACAACACAATAAACCAACTAGATCTAACAGAGATCTATAGGATACTTTACCTTATGACAACAGAAAATACATTCTTTTCAAGTGCTCATGGAACTTTCTTCAAGATAGACCATATATTGGGCCATAAAATAAGTCTCGGTACATTTAAGAGGCATGAAATCACGGAACTATGATGACATCTTCAGCCATAATAAAAATTAAATTTAAAATCAATAATTAAAAATTTGTAAATATTAAACAATAAACTTAAATAACCAATAGGTCAAAAAAGAAATCACAAGGGAATTAGAAAATATTTTGAGATAAACAAACACACAACACATGAAAACTTTAGGGATGCAGCGAAGGTAATGCTTAGAGAGAAATGTATAGCTATCAATACCTACAATAAAAAGGGAAGATATAAAACCAAGAACCTAACCTTACACCTTAAAAAAAAAACTGGAAAGTGACGTACAAACTAAATTCAAAGCAAGTGGAAGTAAGGAAATAATAACTAATAAAAATAGATAAAGAATAGAAAAGCAATCAGGAAAATTTTTTTAAAAGTTGATTCTTAAATGATATAATTGACAAAACATTAGTGAGACTGATTGCTACGGTCTGAATGTTTATGTCCCCTCAATATTCATATGTTAAAGTCCTCAACCACAAGATGATGGCATTAGAAGGTGGGGCCTTTGGAAGGTGACTAGATCATGAAGGTGGGATGAGTGCCTTTATAAAAGAGGCTTGAGAGAGACCCTTCCACCCTGTGAGGACACAGGAAGAAGATGGCTGTCTAGGTGGAAGCAAGTCTTTACTAGACACTAAATCTGCTGGTGCCTTGATCCTGAACTTCCCATCCTCCAAATTTCTGTTACTTATAAGCCACTCAGTGTATGGTATTTTGTTACTGCAGTCCAGATGAACTAAGACAGGTGTCCCCATCCCCTGGGCTGTAGACGTGTAACCCGTTAGGAACTGAGCTACACAGGAGGAGGTGAGCAGCAGGCCAGAGAGCATTACTGCCTGAGCTCTTCCTCCTGTCAGATCAGTGGCAGCATTAGATTCTCATAAGACTGTGAACCCTTTTGTGAACTGCGCATGTGAGGGATCTAGGTTGTGTGCTTCTTATGAATCTAAGTAATGCCTGAGGATCTGAGGTGACAGTTTCATCCTGAAACCATCCCATTCAACCCCCTCTTCGTCCATGGAAAAATTGTCTTCCATGAAACTGGTCCCTGGTGCCAAAAAGGTTGGGGACTGCTGAACTAAGATACCGACTAAGAAATATGAGAAAACATTTAAACTACTAAAATCAGGAATAAAATAAGGACATCACTACTGATCTTATAGAAATAAGAATTATTATAAGGGAGTACTGCGAACAATTCCAACAAATTAGATCAATTCAATAAAATTGATAAATCCGTAGAAAGATACAAACTACCAAAATTGATTCAAGAATAAAGAGAAAATTTGAATAGACCTATAACAAGTTAAAAAATTAAATCATTAATCAACAAACTTCCCACAAAGAAAAGGTGAAGCCTGAATAACTTCACTGGTAAATTCTAGCAAACATTTATAGAATAATTAACAGAAATTCTTCACAAACTGTTTCCAGAAAAATAAACGAGGAGGAAACACTTCCAATTCATTTATTACTCTGTTACCAAAGCAGACAAAGATATAACAAGAAAACTGCAGACTAATACCTGCTATGAATATAGATACAAAATATATTCAACAAAATACTAGTAAACCAAATCTAGCAACATAAAAAGGATTATACATCATGACCAAGTGGAATCTATCCCAGGAATGCGTGGTTGATTTAATGTATGGAAATCAATCAATGTAATATACCATGTCAACAGAATGAAGGATAAAAACCACATGGTCAAGCCAGGCATGGTGGTACATGCCTGGAGTCTCAGCGACTTGGGAAGCTGAGGTGAGAGGATCCCTTGGGCCTAGAAGTTCAAGTATAACCTGGGCAATGTAGTAAGACCCTGTTTGAAAAAACAAATAGGCCAGGTGCAGTGGCTGACTCGTGTAATCCCAGTGCTTCAGGAGGCCAAGGCAGTTTGATCACCTGAGGTCAGGAGTTTGAGACCAGCCTAACCAACATGGTGAAACCATGTCTCTACTAAAAATACAAAAAAATTAGCCAGGCATGGTGGTGGGCACCTGTAATCCCAGCTACTTGGGAGGCTGAGGCAGGAGAATCACTTGAACCCAGGAGGCAGAGGTTGCAGTAAGCAGAGATTGCACCATTGCACTCCAGTCTGTGCAACAAGAGCAAAACTTTGTCTCAAAAAACAAAAAACAAACAAAAACCATCCATATGATCCTCGCAATAAATGCAGAAAAAGCATTTGACAAAAACTCTAACCCTTTTTCATGATGAAAAACACTCAACAAACTAGGAATAGAAGGGGATGTTCTCAACCTGACTGTATTAGTTTGCTTGCACTGCTGTAACAAAGTACCACAGACTGGGTGGCTCAACAACAGAGATTAATTTTCTCACAGTTCTGGAGCTAGAAATTCAAGATCAAGGTACTGTTAGGGTTGGTTCCTGGTAAGGCCACTCTTCTTGGCTTGGAGATGGCTATTTTCTGTGTCCTTACATGGTTTTTCTATGTGCATATGCAGAGTGACAGCTCTCTGGTGTCTCTTTCTCTTCTTATAAGGACACCTGTCCTATTGGATAAAGGCCCCACCCTTATGACCTCACCTAACCTTTATTATCTCCTTATAGGTCCTATCAGCAAATAGGATCACCTTGGGGGTTAGAACCTCAACATATAAACTTGGGGAGAAAACCAGCCTATAACATTGATAAAGTGAATCTATAAAAAAAAACCACAGAGAATATAATATTTAATGGTAAAAAACTGCATGTGTTTATTCTATGATCAAAAACAAGACAAGGATGTCAGTTCTCACTATGTCTATTCAACCTTGTGATAGGTATTCTAGCCAGGGCACTTAGATAGAAGACAAAATAAAAGGCATCATATTGGAGAAGAAGAAGTAATACTATCTCTAGTTGCTGATAACATGATCTTATATGTAAAAAATCCTAAGGAATCTACATAAAATCTATTACAACTAATAAGTTCAATAGATCACAGTGTAAGATCAAGATACAAAATCAATTGTATTTTTTTACATTAGCAATGAATACTCTAAAATGAAATTAAAACAATTTCATTTATAATATCAAAAGAATAAGATATTTAGAAGTAAATTTAACAAGCACAAAATGTGCACACTGAAAACAAAACATCATTGAAAGGAAGTAAAGAAGACCCAAATAAATAGAAATACATATGCATTAACTAGAAGACTTAATATAGTCTTCCCTAAATAGATCTACAGATTCAATGCAGTCCCTATCAAAATCTCAACTGGCTTCTTTGTAGAAATTGACAAGTGTATCCTAAAATTCAAATGGAAATATAAGGGATCCAGAATAGTCGAAACAATCCTAGAACAAAGTTGGAGAACTCACACTTTTCCATTTCAAAACTTGCTATAAAGCTACAGTAATCAAGACAGTATGGTACTGGCATAAAGATAGATATATAGATCAAAGGAA
This sequence comes from Homo sapiens, assembly GCF_000001405.40. Taxonomy (NCBI): domain Eukaryota; kingdom Metazoa; phylum Chordata; class Mammalia; order Primates; family Hominidae; genus Homo; species Homo sapiens. Next base: position 158,923,105 of record NC_000004.12, on the reverse strand, counting down.
TAAATTTTAGAGTCCAGAAATAAACTCTTACATTTATGGTCAACTAACTTTAACAAGGATGCTGAGACAATTCAATATGTTAAAATAGTCTTTTTGACAATGGTGCTGGGATGACTGAATATCCACCAAGTGATGAATATGTATAAACAAACTATTATATATCCATACCATGAAATATTATTTGGTCATAAAAAGGAATGAAGTACATTCTACAACATGGACAATTCTTGAAATCATTATTCTAACTGAAAGAAGACAAAAGGCCACATTTTGTATGATTCCATTTATATAAAATATTCCCAATAGGCAAATGCATACAGATAGAAATTGCTAGGGGCTGGAGGAAGGGGAGAATGGGGACTGAGTGTTACTATAAAGTATCTTTTTGGGGTTGGTGAAAATGTCTGAAATTATTAAGTGGTGGTGATTGCATAATCTTTTGAATATAATAAAACCCTACTGAATTGTTCACTTAAATATCTGTGGATTCAATAGTATATGAATTATATCTCAATTTAAAAGTGACCTAAAACATGATTGAATGATATGATCTAACAATCTGGATCTAGTGATATAAAATCAATTTATTTAATCAGCAGATATATACAGTATCTTCTTCTAGACATTTGGGGATGTCTCAGAGATATCTGACCATGTTCCTCTTCCCTTCCTCCACAATACAGTCTCAGAGCCACTAGGTGCAGCCTGGCAAAAAGATTTTCTGCCCCAGAGTGGCAAGTTGGGGGACTGTGGTGGTCCAGAGCAGAGTGAGAAGGGGTCTGTTGGGGAGAGCATCCTGGGTTGGGATGTTGGGTTCCAAGTGGTGTGAGGAGGCCATACACAAGGCAGAGGGGGGTGGCAGTAGCATTGGGAGATTGGTTATAGACAAGGAGGCAGATCAAAAAAGTAAATATGTAAGGCTGGGCGCGGTGGCTCACGCCTGTAATCCCAGCACTTTGGGAGGCCGAGGCGGGCAGATCACGAGGTCAGGAGATTGAGACCATCCTGGCTAACACAGTGAAACCCCATCTCTACTAAAAATACAAAAAAATTAACTGGGTGTGGTGGCAGGCGCCTGTAGTCCCAGCTACTTGGGAGGCTGAGGCAGGAGACTGGCATGAACCCAGGAGGTGGAACTTGCAGTGAGCCAAGATTGCACCACTGCACTCCAGCCAGGGTGACAGAGCAAGACTCTGTCTCAAAAAAAAAAAAAAAAAAAAAGTATGTAGAAGGAATGGGAGCCAGGTTTATCACTGTAGTAGAAGAAGTTTACAAATATGGCAAGGGAGAAAACTGTAGCTCAGGAACACTGTCACCCCTATAGCAATAAGAATGTTTAACACTGTGATCTTGGGTTTTTAAATACCATTCTCCATGAAAAGGAACTAGAGTTCTGTATTAATGTTTTCTCGCACTGCTATAAAGATATATCTGAGACTGGGTAATTTATAAAGAAAAGAGGTTTAATTGGCTTACAGTTCTGCAGGCTGTACAGGCTTCTGCTTCTGGGGAGGGCTCAGAAAACTTACAATAATGACAGAAGATGAAGGGAAAGCAGAAGCAGGCACATCTTCCTATGGCCAATAGGAGGGAGAAAGAGCGAAGTGGGAGGTGCTATACACTTTCTTTTTTTCTTTTTCTTTTTCCTTTTTTTTTTAAATTTTGAGATGGAATCTCATTCTGTCACCCAGGCTGGATTGCAGTGGTGTGATCTCAGCTCACTG